>NC_000009.12:88220552-98220552 GCF_000001405.40 Homo sapiens | reverse complement strand
TCAAATGAGAGATGAAAGCCTGACTAGCTAAGTGTGGGGCCTGGCCTGGTCAACCTCCCTTAGTGCCATCCCAGTGCACCCGAGAGCCCTAAGGGGCCAGCACGACCCTCCCCCCACAGTCCTGCGCCTGCACACTGTACGGATGACCTGCAGCTGCCAATAGTCACTGCTCCCATCTGTAGAATTTATAGGGTGTTTCCTGTGTGCCAGGCACTGCCCTCGGTGGGTGCATCGCCACATTTAGTCCTCGCGCCAGCCCTGTGAGGTGAGGCAGCCGCTGGTGTGCTCCCCCTTTACAGATGTGGAATGCTGAGGCTGAGAAAGGTTAAGGAGCCTGCCCAGGGTCATGTGCTGAAGAAGTGGAGGAGCTGGAGCTGGGCTGGAGCTCATGTCTGCGGTCTGGTCTGTCTGCTCAGCTGCCGCTTCTAGCTGCTGCCACCATCCCTGCTCCTCCTTTCCTCCCCTTCCTTCCCCTTCTCTGTCCCTATCTTTCCCTAGGCTTCCCCACCCCACAGGGACCAGTGATGTCACAGGAGGTAGGAACTTTATGTGAAGTGTGTTGCCTGCCGTGACCCGCAGCCTCCTCTCTAAAGGGTTGTGACAGGAACTGTCCCACTGGGAGGCCTGTGGCTGTGGAGTGCACTCATAGCCTCCACTGTCCGTAAAGGGAGCCATACAACCAGAGTTCGTCCTGCCCCAAACCCTGCCACTCACAACCACATATGTACAGTCAGATGCCATATAACAGGCTGCATATGTGATGGTCCCATAAGATTACAATGAAGCAGAAAAATCCCTGTCACATAGTGACATCATAGCCGTCATAACATCATAGCACAACATGCTACCTTTTCTATGTTTACATGTGTTTAGATACACAAATGCCATTATGTGACAGCCACCTATGGTATTCAGTACCGTAACAGGTGCACAGGTCTGCAGCCTCGGAGCAATAGGCTACACCATCTAGCTGGGTGCGTAGTAGGCTAAATCACCTAGGTTTGTCTGCGTCCAGTCTACAATGTTTGCACAACAGTGAAATCACCTAATGACGCATTTCTCAGAGTGTATCCTCATAATTAAGCCACACGAGACTGTACATATAGACTTATAACCTTGAGAACTCTCATGCTACTCTATCAAAGAACTACTCGGTGAGGGCAGATGGAGAAAGAAAAAAAAAGAAATCAGGAAGCTTTTGAGAGAAAAGCTCTCAGTGGGCAGTGTTGAACAGTGGCCACCACCCAAGCTTTGAAGTCAGACTGACCTCTTTGACTCTTGGCTCTGCCTCTTTCTGGCTGTGTGACTTTAGGCATGTTAGCTCACCTCTGTGTCAAATAGCCCAACTAGTCCTCTTGACTAGGGCTGTTAGAAGGATAAAGGAAAAGGACGTGAAACCTGATTCCCTTCCCTTTCTTTCAGCAAAGACTGAAAACCCACATAACCAGTTCCCGAATCTTTTCCCTTATTTAGTCTGAAATCAGAGATTCTTTTGGGTTAAAAGAAAAACATAACCTTTCCAATGCAAATGCAGCCAGATGATTAGAAAGCTCTCAGCCCTCCACACAGCAGGGAAAACTGCTTCCATCTGATTGCTTTTCTACCCTGCCTGCCCCCAGCCAGGCGGCTTCCTCTTCTCTCCACCCATACTGCCGGAATCCACTGTGCAAGCCCCGGTAGAGCAGCACAGGGGTCAGAAAGATTTGTGGTGGCGCACGCCTGTGTTCCCGTCTACTCTGGAGGCCGAGGTGGGAGGATCGCTTGAGCCCACGAGGTGGAGGTTGCAGTGAGCTGAGATTGTGCCACTGCACTCCAACCTGGGTGAAGGAGTGAAACACCATCTCAAAGGAAAAAAAAGAACACTAGATCAGCCAGGTGGCTCCAGACAGCCTGAGAGTTGATTGTAATCATGGACTCACTAGGAGACTGAGTGTGCCCCTGAATTTACATATTCAGGAATTTTATTTTTTTTTATTTTTATTTTTTGAGACGGAGTCTTGCTCTGTCACCCAGCCTGGAGTGCAGTGGCGCGGTCTCGGCTCACTGCAAGCTCCGCCTCCCAGGTTCACGCCATTCTCCTGCCTCAGCCTCCTGAGTAGCTGGGACTACAGGTGCCCGCCACCATGCCCGGCTAATTTTTTTGTATTTTTAGTAGAGACGGGGTTTCACCATGTTAGCCAGGATGGTCTTGATCTCCTGACCGCGTGATCTGCCTGCCTCGGCCTCCCAAAGTGCTGGGATTACAGGTGTGAGCCACCGCACCTGGCCATGAATTTTCTTTATCAGTGAGCTCAGCTACATGGAGACTCTGGGTATGTGATTCACATTAACCAAGAATACACTTGCATATGATCCTCAGAGGCCCAGTGTTTTGTGCTTTGTGCTTTAAAGGGTTGCATAAGGCCAGGCATGGGTGGCTCACACCTGTAATGCCAGCATTTGGGGAGGCTGTGGCAGGAGGATTACTTGAGGCCAGGAGTTAGAGACAAGCCGGGGAAACATAGCAAGATCTCATCTCTACAAAAAATTAAAAAATTAGCCAGGCACAGTAGCACGTGCCTGTAGTCCCAGCTACTTGGGAAGCTGAAGCTAGAGGATTGCTTAAGCCCAGGAGTTCATGACCAGCCTAGGCAACATAGCAAGACCCTGTCTCTAAAAAAAAATAAAATAAATTCACTAGGTATGAAGGCACCCGCCATAGTCCTAGCTACTCAGAAGGCTGAGGTGGGAGATTACTTGAGCCGCCCAGGAGTTCGAGGCTGTGGTGAACTGTGATCACGCCACTGCACTCCAGCCTGGACAACAGAGTAAGACACTGTCTCTATTAAAAAAAAAATAAAAAAGAGAAAGAGTTGCATGTAGTTGGTGTTCCTTAGTTTTTAGCTTTTAGAATACCCATCAAATATCCATTGTCTTGAGTTTGAGGACAGAGAATGTTGAGGTTTCCTGCCTGCCCTGTGATTGAGGAACCCAACTTTAGGGAATGCCCCTTGTTATTCAGACTTTGGTTTTGAGAACAGGATCACTGACCTCTTGAATATCAGATCTGGAAAGACTCAGAAATCTAGTCTGCCCCACTCATTTTCTGGCAGGGACAGCTGAGCTGGGGCAAGGGAGAAGGACTGGCCCAGGGTCAGGCAGCAAGAGGCAGGGCTACAGCCGGAACCTGGCCTCCCATGCCCAGGCCACTGCCTTCCACACAGCACAGGGCCTAGTCCATGGGCATGGCCCAAAGAGAATTCCCGGGCTCCTGCTTCCCTGGTCCCCCTTCTCCAGGGTTTTCCTTCTTTCATTCCACTGGTGACTGTCCTGTGGCTTTTCTCTTTTCTGAGGTTTCTCTTTTTCCTCCCTACAGTTCTGAGCCAAGACGAGCACTCAAGGTAGGGCATCGAGCTGGAGGGGGAGGTACTGCCCGACGCCACCCACTGCCACTGCTGTTCCAGGCTGTGCTCACTCTGCCTCCCTGTCCGGCATGTCTGTGCCTTCCCTAGAGCTGGAAGCAGGGTATCTTATGTGACAAAAGCCTTCTTTCCAAAGCCTTAGAAATAACAGTGTGTAGCCAAGCGTGGTGGCTCACAATCCAGTGCTTTGAGAGGCCACGGTTGGAGGATTGCATGAGGCCAGGAGTTTGAGACCAGCCTAGGCAACATAATGAGACCTTTTTAAAAAATTAAAAATTAATTAGCTGGGTGTAGTGGCACACACTTGTAGTCCCAACTACTCAGGGGCCTGAGACAGGAGGATCACTTGAGCCCAGGAGGTCAAGAGTGCAGTGAGCTATGATCATGCCATTGCATTCCAGCCTGGGTGACAAAGTGAGACCCTTTCTCTAAAAATAAAAAAAGAAAGAAAAATAAATAAATATCCATGAGCACATCTAGGCCTGGGAGGAGGAAGGGGTGATATCAAGGAGGGAGACCCAGTGGTGTGGAGCAGTGGCCAGCGCCAGAGCTGGGTCTGCTTTCTCTACGCAGTGTCTGCTGAGCACCTGCCATGGGCTGAACACACCTGGGTTTGGATCCTGGCTCTCTTTCGTGACAAGGGGAACTTACTTTCTCTGTGTGTGTTTCCTCATCTGTTAAATGGGAATTAGGGCACTTTAATAGTTATCCCACAGCCTTGTGGATATGAGGGAGATGGGTCAGGTCATGGTAGGTCCTTTCCTCCCTTGCGGGGGGGCTTGTTGTATTTTCCCGGGCATTGGATTCCGAACTCTGTGAGCCGACTGAGGGGGTGGGTGCAGGGTGGGGAATAGTAGCTCTCGAGCTGTCATGCAAACTCAGTGAGGGAGACGATGCTCACGCTCACGTTGCACTTGCCACATGCCAGGCACCGTTCTGAGCCTTTTGCACATATTAACTCACTGAATCCTCTCCCAGCCACATGAGGTAGTACTGTTATTATCCTCATTTTCCAGATGAGAGGATGAGGTTAAGTAACTTGTCCAGGGGCTCAGTGGTCAAGACAGAATTTCCACCCAGACAGCGTGCCCGCAGCATTCATGCCACTGACCACCAGGCGGTGCCGGTACATGGCCAACTCCAGCGTCTTTGATGTGTTGTTATACTGTCTGATGGGTAGGAGAGGTCACATAAGCCTGCATGCGTGTAGCCAGGAGACACCAAAGGACAACGCTTGGAGGGTAGGGACTAGAGTGTGGGCATCCAGGTGGATTCCAGCTGGTGGGGAGCTCAGATGGTGCCCGGCAGGAAGTTTGGTGATTAGGGCTTTAGAATGAGACAGTCCTGGCCAGGCACAGTGGCTCATGCCTGTAATCCTAACACTTTAGGAGGCCGAGGTGGAAGGATTGCTTGAGGCCAGGAGTTTGAAAACAGCCTGGGAAACATAGTGAGACCTCGTCTCTACAAAATCAAAAAATTAGCTAGGCATGGTGGTGCCTGCCTATAGTCCCAGCTACTTGACAGGCTGAGGTGGGAGGATTGCTTGAGTCCAGGAGGTCGAGGCTGCCATGAGCTATGATCACGCCACTGTACTCCAGCTTGGGCGACAGAGCAAGACAAACAAACAAAAAGAATCAGACAGACCTGGGTTTGGTCACATCTGCCTTATACTGGCTGTGCCTTAGGCAAGTTGCCTACCCTTTCAGAGCCTCTGAGGCCTCATCTGTGTCATAGGAATAATAAAAGAACATCCCTTCTAGGGTTGCTAGGAGGATGAAGTGAGAGAATATATGCTGCGTGGTGTTGGTGATGGGGGTGATGCCGGAAGCCTGCACAGCCTCTGTATTCATAAGTTTCTATATCTCCAGACAGTAAAGTGTTAGACTCCAGAGAGAGTGGGGAGTGGTCCAGGAAAGGCCTGATGCTCATGGGAGACTGGTCCCTGTGCCACAAACAAGATTTTCACTTCTTGCCACATAAGGATAGGATATGGGGACTGTGGAGAAGAAGCAGGCAGAAACTTGCCAGCAGAGCGGCTGGCGCACACAGCAGCATTTTTGAGAGGCAGTGAAGCTGGTTTTTTATCTAGGTCAGGGACAGGATTGGATAGGGGGAGGAGGGTGGCGCCAGGGGTTGGAACTGCCTGGGTCCAGCCAGAAGGCAGAGAGCAAGCTGAGTGGATGCACAGCCTTTCAGCCTTGGCACAGCGAGGGAGATGAAAGCAGGGGTGGCCTGGGTTGGGGCACCACAGAGAGCCCCCGTGGAGTGGTGAGGGGTGATGTGATAAAGTCAACAGGGGGCATTCGTTCCCTCCCCTGGGAGCAGAGGCCCTTCTAGTGTGTCAGGCTCTGGGCGGAGGGCAGCAGCCCCTGGGCAGGCATCGGAGCTTCCAGCCTGGGGAGACCTTGGAGATCATCTTGGCCAGAGTGAAGACCCACCCAGGGAGGGCCAGGACCACCTGTGGGCTGTGCACATGTGACCCTGACGAGGATGTGCCCCAAACTACATGTGATGTTCTTCATTTCCAAATCAATCTGGCCACGTCGGAGTCATCCTTGCTGCAGCATCGCTTGCACATGTGATGTTCTTCATTTCCAAATCAACCTGGCCACGTCGGAGTCATCCTTGCTGCAGCATCGCTTGCACATGTGATGTTCTTCATTTCCAAATCAACCTGGCCACGTCGGAGTCATCCTTGCTGCAGCATCGCTTGCACATGTGATGTTCTTCATTTCCAAATCAACCTGGCCACGTCGGAGTCATCCTTGCTGCAGCATCGCTTGCACATGTGATGTTCTTCATTTCCAAATCAACCTGGCCACGTCGGAGTCATCCTTGCTGCAGCATCGCTTGCACATGTGATGTTCTTCATTTCCAAATCAATCTGGCCACGTCGGAGTCATCCTTGCTGCAGCATCGCTTGCACATGTGATGTTCTTCATTTCCAAATCAACCTGGCCATGTCGGAGTCATCCTTGCTGCAGCATCGCTTGCACTCACCTCCAGCCCATACATCAATGGGAGAGAAAGGGCCTGAGTTTCAGCCAGTAAATACCCTGGAATTGTGAGGTATAGCTCTAAGAATGTGTTACGTGACTGAACGGCTTCTGTAATGTCCATCCCAGCAGAATTGAGAGCCACTGCTATAGCTGATCCTTCTCTGAGGCTCAGGTCCTTGCTTGAACCTTCCCAGTGCTTGTCTGGCTTCTCCTTGTATGCCCCAGCAGCAGGGAGCTCATTCCCTCCACTGGATGGGCAACTTGCAAAAGGAAAACTCAGAGATGTTTATCACAGCATTATTCATAATCAAAAACCAACTGCAAACACCCCAGGTTCAAATTAAAAAATGACAGGAAAAGGATTATGAGTAAGTTCTGGTAAATTCACCCAATAGAATCATCACCAGAGGTTAAAAATGATCACTGGGAAGCTTATGTAGCAACATTGAAAGGTTTTACAAAGTGACACTGAGTTAATTTTACAGTATGATTGTAAATATATGATAAAATATGTTGATTTTAAAAACAAACACTACTTGAGCACTTGCTATGTTTTGGTCCCTGTACTTAGTGTTGTCACACATTATCTCACTTAGTTTCCCAACTGCCCAGTAGGTTAGTTGGTATTTGCCCCTTTTACAGATGAGGAAACAGAGGGTCAGAGTGGTTCAGTGGCCTGCCTGAGGCCTTCCAGCCAGAACATCAGCCAGGACTTAAATTCAGACCTACTGGTCCCTTTACCACATCATGCTGACATCAAGAATAGAGAAGGGTGCTATGAGTATTTTATTTTTCTTTCAGACTTCCTCTTCTGTTGCCATTATTGGAAATTTCTAAGGAAAAGAAGCTTTGGGGGCTCATTTGAGGGTGTGACTCCCCAGGACCAGGGAGATGTTTATGTCCAACTGATAACATATTTTACTCTCTTCTCCAGGATGACATGGAAGCTTACCGGACCCAGAACTGCTTCCTCAACTCCGAGATCCACCAGGTCACAAAGATCTGGAGAAAGGTGGCTGAGAAGGAGAAGGCCCTTCTGACGAAGGTGCGGGGTGGGGCCCTATTCCAGCCGTCTCCATCCCTGGCCCCTCTGCTGGTCCCCATGCTGCCCACTCCGTCTCACTCTCCTCATTTCCTGTCTGCCCCTCTCCCTCTGAACTGACCCCTTGTGAGCAGGGCCCATATCAGGTTCTTCTCCAGACCCCTGTGGTCGGGGGATTGAGTCATTTGTTCCGCAGCGTTCACTGAGTAGCTGTGGGGTAGGGACATCAAGACCAATAAGGCTGGTTCCTGCCTACAAGGAGGGTATAGACTAGTGAGGGAGTGTAACCCAATCAAGATGTACTTGGGGCCAGGCGTGGTGGCTCACACCTGTAATCCCAGCACTTTAGGAGGCCGAGGCGGGTGGATCACAAGGTCAGGAGATTGAGACCATCCTGGCCAACACGGTGAAACCCCATCTCTACTAAATATACAAAAAAAAATTAGCCGGGCATGGTGGCGGGCGCCTGCAGTCCCGGCCACCCGGGAGGCTGAGGCAGGAGAATGGCGTGAACCTGGGAGGCGGAGCTTGCAGTGAGCCGAGATTGCGCCACTGCACTCCAGCCTGGGCAACAGAGCAAGACTCTGTCTCAAAAAAAAAAAAAGATGCACTTGGACTTGTGGGATTCTTGGGGGCCCAAAGGGAGGAAGGAAAGTCAGGGAGGGCTTCCTGGAGGAGGTACCTTCTGAATTGAGTCCTAAGGATGAGTTAATGTTATCCAGGCAAGCAGTGGAGAAGGACCTTCCAGGAAAAGAGACAGCATAGTAAAGACGTGTGGTCTGAGAGGTGGGGGGCAGGGCTAGGGAGAGTGAGACATGAGGCTGGAGTTGAGGAGTTTGGAATTTACTCCAAGGAAACTGGGGAGCTGAAGGATTCTGAGTGGAGAAGTCCTCAATCAGACTTCTGTTCCTGTTCCAAGAAGACTGCTGTGACTGCTCAGGAGGGTGGGCTTGAGAAGGTGGGCCTGGAAGTAGGGAGATTGTTTGGAATCAGCAGCAGAAATCCCTGAGAAGGGGCCAGGTGCGGTGGCACAGGCCTGTAATCCCAGCGCTTTGGGAGGCCGAGGCAGGTGGATCCCTTGGGGCTAGAGTTCAAGACCAGCCTGGGCAACATGGTGAAGCCCCGCCTCTACCAAAAATACAAAAATTAGCTGGGCGTGGTGGTGCACACCTGTAATCCCAGCTACTCAGGAGGCTGAGGCACGAGAATCATTTGAACCCCGGAGGTAGAGGTTGCAGTGAGCCAAGATCATGCCACTGCACTCCAGCTTGGATGACAGAGCGAGACTCTCTCAGGAAAAAAAAAAAAAAGGAATCCCTGAAACAGGTGTTAACGATGGGACTCAGGAAGCAGCCCAGGCAACAGAGGTGGGCACCAGGTGGGATAGGTAGAAGAACAGGCACAGAGGATGGCTTGGAGCTGGTGCCCGGCAAGTGTTTGGAGATGGCGACCGGGCAAGGGTGCAACAGAATTGTTCCCCTGCTGCCACCCCAGGATGAGATAGGATTCGGGGTGGCCCAGAGATCATGGCAGTGCTATGAGTGGATTTTCACTGTCCCCATCTCACAAAAATGGAAAACAAGGAACTTGCCTGACTTGCCTAGCACCACCCAGCTTGTATAAATGTAAACACAAAAGTTCAAGGTGAGGTAGGGTTGGGGGGAGTGTCCCAAGCAAGGGAAGAGGGTGCAGGAGGGCTGTGAAGTGGGAGGGGTGTGTGTTGGAGGAACAGAAGGAGCCTAGGTGGCAGCAGCAGAGGGCATGAGGGCAGTGTCCATCCCCTGGGCGCTGTTCAGTCATACCACCTGCAGAGCTTGCTCTGTGCCAGGCACCCTGGGAAGGGCTTTATACACATCCGCTCATCTGATCCTCACCCAAATCCTCAGGCAGACTCTGTATGATCCTCATTTTACAGATGAAGAAGTTAAGGCACAGAAAGGTTAAGTAACTTGCCACAGACCACCCAGCTAGCAGTGGCTGAACCAGGATGGGACTGTAAGCTGTGTAAGAGCCTGTGCTGTCTCTGCACACCCCTCTCCTCTTTCTTCTGAACCAGCTCCAACCTGGGCCTGGGCCTCTCTTGCCTGCCTTGCTGTAAACCACTGGCCTCAGGGCCCATCTCCTTTCCCTTATACGAAGGTCTGGGAGTTGGGAGTGGGGCAGATGAGAGCTGGAAGGGCTGTGCTGCCTAAAGCTGTTCAGGCCTCAGGCCTCTGGGGCGGCCCAGCTCCCACCCGGTAGCCTGACCAGCCTTTCCCTGTTTGCAGTGCGCCTACCTCCAAGCCAGAAACTGCCAGGTGGAAAGCAAGTACCTGGCCGGTCTGAGAAGGCTGCAGGAGGCCCTGGGGGACGAAGCCAGCGAGTGCTCAGAGCTGCTGAGGCAGCTTGTCCAGGAGGCACTGCAGTGGGAAGCTGGGGAGGCCTCATCTGACAGCATCGAGCTGAGCCCCATCAGGTGAGCCTGGCGGCCCAGGAAGGGCTGGTCTATGTGAGCTGGCGGCTCCTCCCCAGCTGCCTTGCTGCCAGGTCCTGCCAACCATGTACAAGTCCTACACAGCACTACCTCCTCTGATCTTCACATGCATTAGTGTGCGGCTGCAGCTGAGATGGTTCACGCTCAGAGGAGGCAGCCCCCTGCCATGGCCCTATAGTACATTTGCGGCACAGGCTGCCTCCAGAGCCCCATGCTTTCCATTTATCTAGGCTGCCTCCCAAATGTGGCTGCCTCCCAGATGTGCCTGTCAGAGAGGGGACGAGGGGAGACAAGCAGGCCATCTCCTCTGCACCAAGGCCTTGCTGAGCACAGTGGACATGGGCAGTTAAATATAACAGAAAGGAGGGTGGCTATGCTCGAAGGCCCCTGGAGGCTGAGTAGTCCAGTGGCAGGAGCTCGAGCTTTGGAGCCAGCCCTGGCCCTCTCACCGTGTGACAATTCCCTTTACCTTTCTGAGCCTCGTACTCAGCCTCCATAAGATATGTGCAAAGAGCTGGGCACAGTGGCTCATGCCTGTAATTCCAGCACTTTGGGAGGCTGAGATGGGCAGATTGCTTGAGGCCAGGAGTTTGAGCCCAGCCTGGGCAATATATTGGAATCCTGTCTCTACAAAAAAAAAAAAAAAAGAAGAGTGGTGGTGCACGCCTGTAGTCCCAGCTACTCGGAAGGCTGAGGTGGGAGGATCACTTGAGCCCAGAAGGTAGAAGCTGCAATGAGCTGAGATTGCAGCACTGCAGTCCAGCCTGGGCAACAGAGTGAGGCCCTGAAAAGAAAAGAAAAGAAAGGAAGGGGGGAAGGGAGGGAAAGAAAGAAAGAAAAAGAAAGGAAGGAAGGAAGGAAGGAAGGAAGGAAGGAAGGAAAGGAAGGAAGGAAAGGAAAGAAGGAAGGAAGGAAGGAAAAAAAAAAGATTTAGGCAAACACACCTGCTTTGCAGGATCATTAGGATTAAATGAGATAGTGCAGGCAGGGCACAGAGTGGAGGTGAGTCAACATTGAATAAATCAAAGGCCTTCTGGAACGGGTCCCCAGCTGTCCCACCTGTCTGTCATTGGTGCTGTCTGTTCCCCGTCCACCCCTGCGCTTACTGGCTGTGGTAAGTGGGGTTCTGTATGCACAGTGCAGGACTCCTTGGGCCTAAGGCTGCATGGAGTAATAAGAGGGTCCTTTATATTTGCATAGAATTAGTAAATATCTCTTGGGCATTTACTGTGTACCAGGCACTATCTAGGCCCCCAGCATCTTACAACAGAGGATCTCGTTGGGTCTTTAGGAGGCAGAGCAGGGATTCCCATATGCATTATACAGATTCGCAATCTGAGGTTGGGAGAACTGAAGTGACCTGCCCAGAGCTGTGTGGTTAACCCTCAGTGAAGGCAGGGCAGGAACCTGGCCTGGGGTCCTCCCTGTCACCACCACCCCTTATCTAGGGAAGGGCTCTGCAAGGTGTTGCTAACGTGCACTTTTGCTGGCAGTAAGTATGATGAGTACGGCTTCCTGACGGTGCCCGACTATGAGGTGGAAGACCTGAAGCTGCTGGCCAAGATCCAGGCATTGGAGTCACGATCCCACCACCTGCTGGGCCTCGAGGCTGTGGATCGGCCGCTGAGGGAGCGCTGGGCTGCCCTGGGCGATCTTGTGCCCTCAGCCGAGCTCAAGCAGCTACTGCGGGCAGGAGTACCCCGTGAACACCGGCCTCGTGTCTGGAGGTGGCTGGTCCACCTCCGTGTCCAGCACCTGCACACTCCAGGCTGCTACCAGGAACTGCTGAGCCGGGGCCAGGCCCGCGAGCACCCTGCTGCCCGCCAGATTGAGCTGGACCTGAACCGGACCTTCCCCAACAACAAACACTTCACCTGCCCCACCTCCAGCTTCCCCGACAAGCTCCGCCGGGTGCTGCTGGCCTTCTCCTGGCAGAACCCCACCATCGGCTACTGCCAGGGCCTGAACAGGTAAGCCACCAAAGCCCAGTGAAGGTGTGATCTTTACCTTTTGGAGCGCAGGTCCCCAACCCTCAGACTGTGGACAGGCAGCCATCTGTGGCCTGTTAAGGGGCCGCACAGCAGGAGGTGAGCAGTGGGCGAGAGAGCATTACCACCTGAGCTCTGCCTCCTGTCAGATCAGCGGCAGCATTAGATTCTCACAGGAGCGTGAACCCTATTGTGAACTCTGCATGCGAGGGATCTAGGTTATGTGTTCCTTATGAGAATCTAATGCCTGATGATCTGAGGTGGAGCAGTTTCAAAGCCACCCCTCCCCTACCCCAGTCCATGGAAAAATTGTCTTTCATGAAACCGGTCCCTAGTGCCAAAAAGGTTGGGGACCGTTGTTTTAGAGCACTGCTGTCTCTCTTTGGAGCCTCCCAAGAACCTGAAGACATGAGCCTAGGTTCCCCACCCACAGGCTGGTGAGAGGACATGTTCAAGACAGAGATGGGCCAGAGCTCAGAGCTCCAGGCCCCTCGTCCCTGCTCTCTCCTTTGATTTGTGCTTGGGGACGTACAACTTACATGGCCTCTCAAACTTTGGCCTGCTGGAATCTACAGGGTAAGGCCCCACTCACATATGGCAGGACTCTCTGGATCAGGAATCATTCGCTTTCAGTGAAACCCATGCAGAAGACCCGGGGAAAAGAGACTTTCTAAATGTTACAAGGGGAGTTCACAGAAGCCAGGAAAAGAAAACACAGCTGAGGACCAGATGGTCATTGGAAGCCAAGGCAGCTGCTGTCTGCAGCAGGGCTGCACCCCTGCACAACCCCAGGGGGCAGCCTTCATGCCACAGTCCTGGGATGCCATGACCTGAGCTCGTATAGCACCAAGGTACTGCTCTGCTGCCCTCTGCAGCTGCATGGCCTCTGGCCTCTCTTCATTCTGCGTGTCTGCTTCCTTCTCTCTCAGCAGACCAGCCTCTGTCCATTCATTCATTGGACATTTAGGGACCATCGAAGCTGTTAGAATGGAGACCTCAGCCCCTGAGTCTTGAGCCTTTCAGTGAGTCTTCCCACCCCACCCCTCATGTTCCAGTTCTAAATTCCCCAAAGAAAAAATCTGATTGGCCCAGCCAGGAATAATTTCCACTTCTGGTCCAATTGGTAGGGGACGCAGGGAGGGACTGGGGTTAGGGGATGAGGTCACCTGGTTCACAGGGCTATCTCCCCTCCAAGACTGTGAGGGACTGTCATCCCCCCGCTCCAGCCCCAGCTATTTCAGTAGAAGCTGCATAGTTGCAAATATTTTCCCAAAGCAAGTTTTCACTCGATTTAATTTAAACACACATATACCTAAGCAAAATTTACATAAGCCATGCTGCTTTTTTTTAGAATAGGTGGTGTGTGACATTTATTTAACACAGAATCAACATTCAGTGTCCTTACTCAAATTTGAGTGGTTCCCAAAGGTAGATATTTTTCATACTCTATTTCCAGCCTAAAATTGGGTGAAATTGAGCATGTGTATGTACAATTCCTGGGAATTAAGAGTTAAACTCCAACAGTAATGCCTCTCAGTCGAAGCCTCCTTGGAAAATATGTTCAGATTTCATGCCACACTAAACGTCTGCCACAGGTCAGGTCTGTAGAAATTTCATTCATTCAACAGTCTGACAAAAGCCCCTGTACTTCTCATTTGTTTGAACATGTTAAAATCCAGAAGAAACAAAACCTGCAAAGCCTCTTCTAAGAATAGCTGTGAAGGGAGCTGGAAGCTATGAGATCAGAATGAATAATAATTTTTGCATTTCACACAAAAGCCAGGTAGGAAGTAAAGCATAATGGGGGCCTCTTGGATGCCAGGTGTTTAACACCTGATGGCATCTAATCCTCACAAAAACCTTCACTGGTGCCACCATGCCCAGATGAGACATGAGAGGGTCTGAGAGGCTGAGGAACCTGCCCGTTGTCTCACCACAAATGCTGACCCAGCCAACTGCTCACCCTGGCCCCCCGCCCCCAGCCCCCAAACCCAGTCCTTTCTACAACCTGCTCTCTCTCCAAATAGCAGTAGTCAGAGGCTGTGCTGAGGCCTCCCAGAAACCTTTCCCCTATGTGGATGTAACCTTCTCGAGACCTGCTTTTGGAGTTCAACCTGTGCTGAAGGGGCAGAGAAAAATCCTATGGCAGGAGGGGCACTTGAGATAAGCCTCATAGGAGGAGAGAAGCTTCTCCCTGTGTGGAAGGAGGCAGCACACAGGCCACAGAGAGGCGCAGAAGGGACAACTGAGGCCAAGAGAGGCGGAAGGTCCCCAGACGGGTTTTCTAAAATATCTTTCTCTGAATAGCATTTTTACTTAAATTTGATATGCAAATGCAGATAATTGGTATTCATGTAAATATTTACTGCTTAAAACAGAAAGTTACTTGTAATAGGCCAGGCACAGTGGCTCACGCCTGTAATCCCAGCACTTTGGGAGGCTGAGGCAGGCAGATCACGAGGTCAAAAGATCGAGACCATCCTGGCCAACATGGTGAAACCTTGTCTCTACTAAAAATACAACAATTAGCTGCCTCAGGAGGCTGAGGCAGGAGAATCACTTGAACCAGGGAGGCAGAGGTTGCAGTGAGCCGAGATCGCACCACTGCACTCCAGCCTGGTGACAGAGCAAGACTCCATCTCGAAAAAAGAGAAAGTTACTTATAATAGAAAGCCTGTTCAAATGTGGCAAGTGCAACGTATTCTTTTGGAGGCTCTAAACCCAAGCCTGCAGGTCCCTGATACGTCTTCTTTGCCATCTAGTGGTAGCCATTAGAACTGCATGTGTGGGCCCGGCGCCGTGGCTCACGCCTGTAATTCCCGCATTTTGAGGGGCCGAGGTGGGTGGATCCCTTGAGCCCAGGAGTTTGAGACAGCCTGGACAACATGGCAAAGCCCTGTCAAAAAATACAAAAAATTAAAAAAACGAAAAACAAGAAACAACCTAACAACCTAGCCAAGTGTGGTGGCACATGCCTGTAGTTCTAGCTACTCGGGAGGCTGAGGTGATAAGGAGGCAGAGGTTGCAGTGAGCCATGATCATGCCACTGCACTCTAGCCTGGGCAACAGAGTGAGTCTCTGTCTCAAAAAAAGAAAAGAAAAGGAACTGCATGTTTGATGTCTCAAGATGACAGACCCTGCCTCTAAGGCAACAAATCCAGCTTGTTTAGTGATGGTCTAATGCTAATTTAGAGCAAATGTTTTAAACCTATGAAAATAAGTACAGTGCTCTAAAAGTGGTTTGTTTTTCCCCCATCAACACACTCCTTTCTTTGCAAGCCTACCTGGGCCCTAAATGCCTTAGGTTCGAATTCAGCCATACACCTGAGCAGTTAGTAAGCCCTAGCAACCAGCCTCAGATAACTGAGTTTTTAACATGTGCTGAAGTCTAAACCAATGCTGGCAGCTAACTCCCTAGACTGAGGCCATTCTGAGGCTCAGGGGGAACAGGGTGGGATAGAGTGGAGAGAGCACTGGGCTAGACTTTGGGAGCCCTGGGTTCTGTTTCCACTCTGCCACCAACTGACTATGTAATGTTGAGCAGGTAACTTCTGCTTTCTAAGCCTTGGTTTTTCCACCACTGCAATAAGGAGTTTGTTTAGACCAGAGATGACCAGTAGGAAGCAGCTACCTGGAGCCCTGTCCTGAGAGAGTTTCTGAGGCAGCCTTCAGACTCAGTGGGAAAGAGTACTGTGATCAATTACTTATGTCTACCATGGGCTTAGACAAAGGGAATGCTGCCATGATCAGTTAGTTATGTCTGCCCTGGGCACAGACGAAAAGGATAGAGGCCAGTGTATCTCACGTTTGCTATCCTTGAACTCAGTGACCTATGGAGGTCCCTCCCCACCAGCTCTGAGAGAACGGAGCTTCCTATTTCCCAGGAGACCTGTGACTGTTCTCTTCATCCACTCAGCTTCGACTTAGGAAGGTTTTGTACAAATATCTGAACCAAATTTGGGAGAAATTCCTTCCCAATCTACTGGGGAAAGAGAAGGGATATTTCTTTTTTCTTTTGAGATTCAACCATGTTTCTAAGAGTTGTGAGCCTCAAAAGAAGGTGGAGGTCATGAATCCAATCTAGAGAGAACCCAAAGAAGCATAAATATCTGGATGAGGGAATGTGTTCCTTAAATGCTCGTTATGACCAGAGAGTCAGAGGCTTTCTAAAGCGACATCTCTCCAGGGTCCTCTGAGGAACATTCATTCTACTAGGCCCCCATGGGTGCAATGGACAACAGGGGCTCTGTGGACCCCCTGGGCGACCCTGGGTTAGAGTCAGCCACACAGCGTTTTGTCACCACAGGACTTCTCAGAGGCTTTACTAAGACAGTGTGTGTCATAAGCCTCTCAGGGGCTAGAATGGGCAGCATTCCCCAGATATCTTTGAATATAGAACCTTGTGTTCACCTAGCATCTTGGGAGACCAGTAGTCCCTGGAAGACATTTTTGGAAAATGACTTCTTGGATTGGCCCGGGATGAGAGCTGCCAGGGAAGATGGGAGAAGTAGAGAAAACAGTACTTATCCCAGGAAGACTTCCCTGCTCAGCCCTGTGGGTTTTTGTTTGTTTCTTACCCATGATTTCATTAGAGCCTTATGCTAACTTGGCGGGGAGGGGAAGTAAAGGAGAAAAAAAGCTATGTGCATTGAGCACCTCCTAAATGCCAGGCAGTGAGCGAGGCAAGGTAGGTCTGTCTCAAGATGCCTCTTGGCCCCGGGGGGATAGATATTGTTAATCTCACTTTACAGATCATGAAACCAAGGCCCAGAGAGGTTAGTGTACTTGCCAAGGTCTCAAAGCCTGTGAATACTAAGGTGAGGATAGCTAACATTTATAAAGAGCTCACTGTGTGGCAGGCACTGTGTGGGGCACTGAATGAGCTCTGTTCATCCTCAAAATAGTCCTGTGATTATTATGAGACTGAGGCTTACAGGGGTTCAGTAACTTGCCCAAGGTCACCCAGGAAGCCACAAGATCAGGATTTACCCAAGCAGCCTGATTTCAGAGCCCCTGCTCTGAAGTGACCCCCATTGCTCTGGAAATCGCCGGTCATCCTCCCCAAAAGAGCGTTTATCTCACCCCAGGTGCCAGGAGCACAAATCTGGTTAGGGAGTGGGATTGCACTGATGCTCACATGGAAGGACTTTCCCCCTGGAACCCAGGAAGCCACCTCTGCCATGTGCTGCCTGGCAGGGCCACGGCTTCTGTAATCACTCCAGGCCTTCCCTACTACTCCAGGCTGGCGGCCATTGCCCTGCTGGTCCTAGAGGAGGAGGAGAGCGCCTTCTGGTGCCTGGTGGCCATTGTGGAGACCATCATGCCCGCTGATTACTACTGCAACACGCTGACGGCATCCCAGGTAAGTGGGGCCAGGAGGGGACTTTGCAGCCATGTAGGGCAGTGCCCCAGAGCTGTTCCTAGAAGCCTGTGACTCTCAGGAAAGTTGGGAATCTCTCGGGCTTCCATTTCTCCCTCTGCACTGTGGGAGTGCATTTGGCTGCATGGAAGAGAAGCCCAACCTAACAACAGCTTCAATCGGGGATTATTATTCTCAGATAGTGAATGACAAGGCAGTACCGCAGGGTTCAGGCTCCTAGCTCCCTGCTCTGCCATCTCTGGCAGGTGGCCTTCATCCTCACACCCATCACCTCCTGGTCACAAAATGGCTGCATCGCCTCCAGCACTGTGGGCATGGCCTAGGCCAGGAGAAGCAGAAGGTGAACACCAGGAGCTGGCTCCCTGACCCAGCAATTTCTACTTGCAGTTTACTGGTCAGAACTATTTCATGGCTGCCCTAGTTGCAAGGCAAGTTAGGAAATGTACATATTTAATTTTTACATCTTAACATCTCTGAAATTGATGTGTGTTATATGACCCTTTTTTCCATATTTTATTATGGAAAATTTCCCACATTCAAAACGATAGAGGGAATAGTATAATGAACCTCCATGTGTCCATTACCTGGCTTCAGTTATCAACCCAGGGAGCCAGTGTTATTTCTTCTGAACTCCCATCCGCTCCTCCTGCTTTGTCTTGAAGTAAATTTCTGGCATTGTATCAGTTCATCCATAAATCCTTCAGTAGGTCAATGGCATCTTAGACTTGGGGAGTTACCTTAGGTTTTGAACTGGACACTTGGCCTCGGTAGATGACCCAAGGTTCTGGGTGAGGGAGGAGGGGAGCTACTGGCTGTTTGCCACAGCTGACGCTAATGCCTGGAAGAGGACATAAGTGAGAGGAGAGGACTGAGCAGTTCCAGGAAAAGCAAGGGGAAACTGAAATGGAGTCATCACAGAGGGAGGAGGAGAACCACGAAAGAACCATGTCTTGGAGCCAGTGCTGAGAGTGGTTAACCCATCCAGTGAAACAAGGACGGAGGCATGACAGTGGTCACAAGAAGAGGTCACTGGCCAGTGTCGCCAGGAGCACCCTGTTTTGAGAAGATTCCTTGATGTCCGGCGAGGCAGGACATTATGCGTTCCCACACACACCTGTCCCTGGACCAGACATCCGCCTAGCATCTTAGGTGTCAGGCACAAATTGGGTATAGAGAAGGGGCTGTGGTTGTCAGCTGATATAAGCCTAGAGACAAAGCTTCCATTTCGCCAAGGCCCCTGGGCATGAGACCAGTGTCTCTGAACTGCCAGCAGGATCAGCTGGCCCCTGACCTCCTGCTTGGCTCAAGGGATTCAGATGGGTGAGCGGGCGGAGAACGTGCCAGCCCACATGGCTCCACTGCAGAGCCCAGTGCCCCAGTCCAGAGGACTCTGGCCTATATTAGGAGCAGCGGAGTGATATGATGCTGTACCTGACTCCCAGCTAGACTGGCCCCTGGCTCCCCGAGGTGTCTCCTGGGCAGGAAAGGACCTGCCCAGAGCAGCTTCAGGATTGTGTGTGGACTGACTGGGTAGGAAGGCTGGGCAGGGAGGGAGGCAGCCCTACGCTGGGGCTGCAGATGACAGGCCCTCTCGCTGGCTTCCAGGTGGACCAGCGGGTGCTCCAGGACCTGCTCTCGGAGAAGCTGCCCAGGCTGATGGCCCATCTGGGGCAGCACCACGTGGATCTCTCCCTCGTCACCTTCAACTGGTTCCTCGTGGTCTTTGCGGACAGTCTCATTAGCAACATCCTCCTTCGGGTCTGGGATGCCTTCCTGTACGAGGGGACGAAGGTAGGGTGCAGCCAGGGGATGGGCAGGGGGCCCCTGAGCAAGTCCCTTCACCCATCTGCGTCTTGACTCTGCCCCTGGAGAATGGGAAGACAATGCTTACTTGTCAGAGCTGTTGAACGTCTCCTGAGAGCATTGTCAACTGCAAAATGCTTTGCATGTATGAGAAGTAGTGGTTCTGCCTCTGAAGTTGGGGGATTTCCTTTCCGTGGAGAGGAGGTGTGAGCATGATCAGAGAGGCACATCCCTATGCTGTCCTTGCCCCCTAGTCACCTGGGCCCTCCTTTTCTTCCTCCTGTTTGGACTAAACCTTGGATTAAGAGATCGGAGCTCAGGTCTGGACCCAGCTCTGTACTGACCTTGCCCAGAGACCTTGGGCAGGTCCCCCAACTCAGCCCTAGTTTACACCTCAGTTTACAAAGCACCCACAGATTTCTCATTTCTTTCTTTCTTTTTTTTTTTTTTTGAGATGGAGCCTTGCTCTGTCACCAAGGCTGTAGTGCAGTGGCACGATCTCCGCTCACTGCAACCTCTGCCTCCCAGGTTCAAGCAGTTCTCCTGCCTCAACCTCCGGAGTAGCTGGGATTACAGGCATGCAACACCATACCTGGCTAATTTTTGTATTTTTAGTAGAGATGGGGTTTCATCATGTTGGCCAGGCTGGTCTCGAACTCCTGACCTCAGATGATCCACCCGTGTCAGCCTTCCAAAGTGCTGGAATTACTGGCATGAGCCACTGTGTCTGGCCTGTCATTTCATCTGGTTCTTGCCAAAGCCCCACGTAAAGATACAGATTAACTCCATGAGATTCAACAGGGGCCGTGCCTCACCCACAGTCATGGGACAAGACAGGCTAGAGCCAGGACTCTGTCCAAATCCCCAGATTTCAAGCTGTGCGTCCCTTCCCCCGCCCCCCCACCACCCCGCCGGGGTATTCAGTCTCCCCCAGCCCCCTGGAGCCTATCCCCACACATTGTGCCTCCAGGCCTCAACTTCCGCAGCCAGTCCAGGGTCTTCCATACTGCCCAAGTCTGTCAGGTTCCCTCCCTCCGGGGATGACCTGCCTGGCCCCCCCATGCCCTACCTGAGCCCCCACTCTACCCCCAGGTGGTGTTTCGCTATGCCTTGGCCATTTTCAAGTACAACGAGAAGGAGATCTTGAGGCTACAGAATGGCCTGGAAATCTACCAGTACCTGCGCTTCTTCACCAAGACCATCTCCAACAGCCGGTGAGGAACCCCCACCCCCTGCCACTCCCACCACTCACACACCCCCAAGGACACATAGCAGAGGGGAGGCTGATGTTTGCCAAGTAGAGATTGGTAAGTGACGCTGATGCTCGTATTATAGCTTAGAAATCTTTGGGGAAGTCTGACTGTCTGAGTGATATGTCTGCCCCCTTAACATGGCATTTGAGGCCTCCATGGAGTTTCATTTTTTGCCCACCTTCCCCTACCCTGAACACCCATGGCCAGTGATCCTGGAAAACAGAATTATACGAGTTCCTAGGACAACCCCACCTTTGGGCTTTTGCTCTTGCAGTTTCTTTTACTTAGAATGCCTCCTTGCCACTTCCACCACCACTATCTTCTTTGCCTGGTCACCTTTTATTCATTCCTTAAAACTCAGCTCACACGTGGGTCACCTCCTCCAAGAAGCCTTCCCTGACCAGCCCTTCCCTGCTGGGTTAGGTGTCTTTCTTCTGATCTTCCTCCTGCCTCAGTACATATCTCTGTGGGTGGAAATCATCTTATTCATTGTTTCCTCCTGAGGGCAGGGGTCAGGGCTCAGCCACAAAGGCAGAAGGAATGCGGGGATGTCTGTCTGGGAGAGCCGGGTAAACGCCGGCCAGGTGGGGTGACGTGCTCTGGGCTGATTGTGCCCTCCTCCCAGGAAGCTGATGAACATCGCCTTCAATGACATGAACCCCTTCCGCATGAAACAGCTGCGGCAGCTGCGCATGGTCCACCGGGAGCGGCTGGAGGCTGAGCTGCGGGAGCTGGAGCAGCTTAAGGCAGAGTACCTGGAGAGGCGGGCATCCCGGCGCAGAGCTGTGTCCGAGGGCTGTGCCAGCGAGGACGAGGTGGAGGGGGAAGCCTGACTTGGCCACCTCCCCTCCCCACAGCCTTCCTCACCCTTGGCTGGCAGACCCACTGGAGGTCAGGCACGGACCAGTGGCCCAGCCCTGGGTGTCCCATCACCATGTGACCTTGGACATGTCCCTTCCCCTCTCTGGCCCTCAGTTTCCCCACTGGGACATTGTGTGCTGCAAAGCCATTGGTTGGGCTACTTCTTCATAGGCACTTACTTACCCAGGGATGCCACCCTTTCGTCACCTCTTCCACAGAGCACTTTGGCATGTAAACAAGCAAGAGCACTGCCTCTATAGGGTAACCTGGAACATTCTCTAGGTTATATCAATATAAAACAATGTAAATGGTGGAAATCATTCATAAGCTTTGGAACTTAAACAGTTCTCAGTTACCAGTTGTTCCTGGATGGGCCCACGGTGCCAGGGTGTGCCACCACCAGGCTTCCAGCCTAGGGCATCTCTGGCTGCTATTTCTGTGAGCGTCTGCAGGGCCAGCCCCTGCCTGGTTCCCTGAGATGTTAGGGTTTTGTCTTTCTGGGTAGCAGCTCCTTTTCAATACTGCCTGGGTCTGCATTCCGGGACGCTCTCCGTGTACTGAAGCCTGTTTCCAAAGCCCGGCCCCTGTGCCCTCCTTTCTGCTCACAGCCCATTTTGGGGGGATCCCAGGGAAACCCCCTGTGCACCACCACCAGGAACTTGGTGTGGGGGTTGGGCAGAGAGCCCTGGGTCAGGTGCCCCACTTGTGACCTCCCACTGCCCACTTCACAGGCTGGGGCACGGAGGGTTACCTCTCCTCTGAAAAATGGGTGGTTGGGAGGATGGGAGAAGGTGGGAAGTAGGGACTGCTGCAGCGCAAGCCAGGGCTGGCTCGTCACAGCACCCACCGTGGCCCCAACCCAGCGTCAGCCTCCTCCAGGTCCCTCCTCAGCAAATAGAGGCTTCAGTCTGTCCCCACCCGAGGCAGGGGGTCAAGGCCATACCAGTGACTTTGGCAACTCATTTCTCAGCAAAACCTGTGTCTGTGCTGGCCTAGCCTTGAGTTGGCTGTCTTTGGTATGAAGGACTGGGGGTTCTCACATGGAAGCCTCCTCTCTGGAAAACCACCGAGGATTAGGGGACGCTGCCCTGGAACCTCCTGGCTCTGATCTGAGGCTCCCATCCAGGCTGGGGAGGAAACTTTCCCCATCACTGGGGACCATGGACGGGCCCCGTGGTGGCCCTGGCTGGTCCCTAGCCCCACTGTCACCCACAGGTGTGAATTTGAGGGGTTGGCCCACCAGGCTCCCAGTTCCCTACACTGCACCGCCTGTGCAGCCTCAGGGAGGAGACGCTCAGGGTTCCTCTCCTCCCTGTCCACGTGGGCTCCTGGCTGGCCCGAGGGCTCCACTTTTCTGTGAACACCCTGCATTGGGGCTTGACTGCCTTTCTCATTGCTAAACTTTTTTCATTCGCTAAGGCCCTTTCAGCACCAAACTGTTTATGAAGTGTGATGGTGGCATGAGGGCGGCCTGGGGGTCCCAGCTGCACCCTGGACAAGCTAGATACTGCGCCCCTAAGTTGGTCATCGGGATGATGAGAGGTCCAGCCCCATGGGGCTCCCAGGAGGGCTAAAGCAGGTAAACTGGTGCAGAGCCTGGAGCCTGGCACAGAGGAAAGTGCCACCGATGGGAACGAGCAGCCCTATTTTTTTTTTTTTTTTTGAGACGGAGCCTCCCTCTGCTGCCAGGCTGGAGTGCAGTGGCGCAATCTCGGCTCACAACAACCTCTGACTCCCTGGTTCAAGCGATTCTCCTGCCTCAGCCTCCCGAGTAGCTGGGATTACAGGTATGCGCCACCACGCCCAGCTAATTTTTGTATTTTTAGTACAGACAGGGTTTCACCATGTTAGCCAGGATGGTCTCAATCTCCTGACCTCGTGATCTGCCTGCCTCAGCCTCCCAAAGTGCTGGGATTACAAGCGTGAGCCACCGCACCCGGCCTGAGCAGCCGTCTTACGAAGGAAACACCACCTGCAGGGCCCTGAGGCCTGCAAAAGCCCCAAGGCTGCCTGGGAGCTCTGGCCCAGGCGGTCCCTCTGCCTTTAGCCTTGAAATTCACATTCCCTCTTCAGCAACAACAATCAAAAAAGAATCAGGCAACGGGCACAGGGGCTATTGGATAAATGGCAGCCCACCTCTACCTTTTTCCCTCCCCTTCCCTCCCCCTCCTCCACCTCCCCTTCCCTCCTTCCTCCCCGTCCTCCCTCATCCCCCTTTTTCTCTTTCCCCATTCTCCTCTCCTTCCCTTCTTCCTCCTTTCTCCCCTCTTCCCCCCTTTTCTTCTTCCCTCTCTTCCCCCTCTCCACTTCTCTTCCTCTCTCCTCCGTCTCCCCACATCCCCCCAACCCCAGGCAGAGGAGAAGCTCTGCTCAGAGCTGAGTGTCTGTGCTCTTTCCCTCCCCTCCTGTGGAGAGGGGTGGGTGGTACTTTGTATTTGACCCAGCATAATGTAACCTCTGGTTCCTACCTGGCTGCACCTGAGAATCACCTGAGTAGGCCAGGCGCCGTGGCTCACGCTGGTAATCCCAGGACTTTGGGAGGCCAAGGCGGGTGGATCACTTGAGGCCAGGAGTTCAAGACCAGCCTGGCCAACATGGTGAAACCCTGTCTCTACTAAACATACAAAAAATTAGCCAGGCATGGTGGTGGGCACCTGTAATCCCAGCTACTCGGGAGGCTGAGGCAGGAGAATCACTTGAACCTGGGAGGTGGCGGTTGCGTGGAGCTGAGGTCGTGCCATTGCATTCCAGCTTGGGCAACAAGAGCGAAACTCTGTCACAAAAAAAAAAAAAAAAAAAAGAATCACCTGAGTAGTTTTTTAAAAATGTTGGTGCTAGGGTCCTATGCCTGGAGCCTGTGGTGGAGCCCAGGCATTCTGATACATGGAAGGGTTGGGGACACAGGACACGGGACACAGGGCTAACTGCCTCCTCAGGCCCTGACAGGGAGCTGGGATTGAGAACTGCTTGTCCTGCAGCATCAACTCACCCAGGCCAAGCTCAGGTTACCAACGAGTAGACAGGGCTCAGAGACATTAGCTAACCTATCCAAAGTGACACAGCCACTGGTTGAGCCATGCTCAAGCCTAGAGCCCTTACTGCAAAGCCAGGGAGGACTCCCCCAGCTTAACCCACCTGTGGAACCTAGAACACCTTCCCCAAGGACCTAGGGAAGGGGCATGCCTGGCCTGTGGCCTCCTGGGGATACCCTCAGAAGATAGTTCTAAGCCAAGGAAAACTAGAGGAAGAATTTCCTCATGGTTGCCTCACGCTGGGATTGTAGCACTATTTCTCCCCTTCATCAGAGACAACAAGAGAAGCATGATACCCACATGGCAAGGAGGCTGAGCAGGGACTGGTGGGCCCACCCCAGAGCATCTGTGCCTGCTGTTGCTGCCCCTGGGGCGCCTGCTTGCCCTTCCCTGCTCTTTCTGGAGGGTGTTTGGGGCCCACTCCTGGTGTCAGGTTCCTGGCCCGCACCACAGCTGTTGCCCCCTTCCCCTGGGGCTGCTGCCTTCCAGGGCTGGAGGATCCGATCCCTCTCAGCCCCACCTTCCCACCCTAGGGGACAGGACCTCATGCTCAAAGCATGCCTTCCCCAGGCCTTAGGCCCCCAGCAAGCTGTGGTCCGACCTGCTCTAAAGGAGAGGAAAAGGGAATTACCCAGGGAACCTCCCTGGGGCAACATCCCTAAGAATAAAGGGACTGGGTCAAAGGAGGTGGAAGGCCCCCCTCCCAACAACCCCTAACATAAGAGGTGCTCACTCACTTCCAGAGATTGCCCGTGTTCAAGGCTACTATCCTCCAAACACAGACCCCTCCCCAACCCCCAGGCACTGTCTCCTCATTCTTTCTCAACCCCCTCCCCCATGGACATGGGGCCATATCGTACAGAAAGTTCCATGTGGGGCAGATAGATGGAGAACTTGCCCCCCACCCCCACCACACACACACATATGTTCTGGTCCTGCACAAGATGTTTACCCACATATGGAAGATTAACAAAGCCAGCCATGTGGGTGCACTGGGAAGGAAGAGGGAGGTTTCCTGGCCCATCCCAATCCACACTAAGGCCTAATAGAAGATGCCAGGAGATGGGCCCAACTTTGGAACCAGATCTGCTATGTGGTTTTCTAGCTAGGGGATCCTGCGTAGGTCATGCCCACTGTGGCCTCAGTTTCCCCATGTGTGCAATCCTGCATCTGGACCAGGATTAGAGGGAGGGAAGGGGCAAGAGAGGAGGACACTCCCCAGCCACAGCAACCCCAGGAAGGGTCCCAGGTTCATTGCAGAGGTCTCCCTCTGGCTTATGGGTCCATATGCCCACAGCCCCCAGAGATGTCTCTGTCAAACCAGCTGTTCCCCAAACAGTCCCAGCCACCAACCACCATGGCACAGGGTAGGAAGATGCAGGTGCAAGCCTTGGAGGGCACATCCATAGGACATCTAGGAAGGCTAGGCCTGGAAGGATGAGTGGGTTTAGACAAGGGAGATGATGATTTGGGAAGAGAACTGCAGACAGAGCAAAGGCTCAGAGATGTCAGAGTGCAAGGCGAGTGGCATTGGCAGAGGTAGAAAGCCACACCAGAGATGCTGGCCCAAGCCCTAAGTGAATTAAGACATTCAAGGCCAGGCGTGGTGGCACGCACCTGTAATCCCAGCACTTTGGGAGGCCAAGGCAGGCAGATTGCTTGAGCCCAGGAGTTGGAGACCAGCCTGAGCAACGTGGCGAAACCCTATCTCTACAAAAAATATAAAAATTGGCTGGGCATGGTGGCACGCACCTGTAGTTCTAGCCATTCGGGAGGCTGAGGTGGGAGGATTGCTTGAGCTTGTGTGGTGGAGGCTGCAGCAAGCTAGGATTGTGCCACTGCACTCCAGCCTGGGCGACAGAACAAAACCATGCAAAAACAACAACAACAAAGTTATTCAGATGCCTTAGCCTGGGAAAGATCATGGTGCCCACCGTCCAGCTGTAATTCAAGTAAAAACCAAACCATGATTATAAAGAATTCCCACAATGTTCTGATTTCATCCATATGTTTGTTTGTTTGTTTGTTTGTTTGAGACAGAGTCCCACTCTGTAGCCCAGGCTGGAGTGCAGTGATGTGATCTCGGCTCACTGCCACCTCCACCTCCTAGGTTCAAGTGATTATCCTGCCTCAGCTTCCCAAGTAGCTGGAACTATAGGCACATGCCACCACGCCCGGCTAATTTTTGTATTTTTAGTAGAGACAGGTTTTCACCATGTTGGCCAGGCTGGTCTTGAACTCTTGAGCTCAAGCAATCCACCTGCCTTGGCCTCCCAAAGTGCTGGGATTACAAGCATGAGCCACTGCGCCCAGCCATCCATATGCTTGATACCCAACTCTTGCACGCTAACACCAGAAGCATGCGTTCAGTCTACCTGCTGGGCAATCCAGCTCCAGAAGGTCTGAATCAGAGCTGTAGGATGGGGTTTTCAGGACCATAGTGCACACTGGGCTTTGGGTGGTAGGCAGGGAGCCCGTCCAGCTCTGGGCAGGGGGGTGGTACAGTGGACTATGGAAGCTGAGTCACATTCTAAGGAGAGAATCAAGAGCTCCCTAAGTACCTTGCCACTCCAAGCCTCAGTTTTCTTATCTGTAAAATGGAGGTAATAATAGTGGCTAAATAAAGCCACTATTATTAGAAGCTTAGAAGAAACGATACAGATATGTAAAGTAGTAACAGTGTACTCTGTTATCCACTCCACAACTATATATTGAGTGGTTACTATGTGCCACGGAGCAGTTCAAGGCCCTCAAGATAACCCGTCTCTACTGAACAAAACCAAGAGCTCTTCACAGACGTGGTGTGGAGTGGAGTGGCTGTTAGCTTAGTAGCCGTGGGAGCCATACTGCCTGGGGTTGCATGACTAGCCGGGTGATCTTAACCTAGGTACTTAATATCTCTGTGCCTCAGCTCTTTTGTGTTAAATAGGTGAGTAATGGTATCAACCTCATAGGCCTGTGTGACAGTGAAGCGAGGTAATGCACAGAAGGCGCTTAGAGGAGTGCGTGGCTCAGTAGTGTTAGGTGGGGGTGGTACCCAAAGGTAGGGCCTCCCCATTGTCTAGTGTCCTCAGGGCTCTCCAGCCAGCGAGGCTGGCAGCAGCGCCCCCGGCTGGTCCCGAGAGAAGGAAGGGCGTCCTCCTCGGTTCCCAGCGGCGCTCCCGGCTCCTCTCCTCCCTGCGGACGGGGAAGCCTCGGTAACCGCTGTAACTGCTCGGGGAAAGGAGCGCTTCCCTGGCCGGGCTCGGCGCGCGCACTGTACCCGGCCGGGATCGTCACATCCAGGGCTCAAACAGCCTTAAGAGGCCGACGCGGTTACTGTCTCCATTTCACAACGGGGGAAACTGAGGCTCCGGGAGGTCAGGTTCCTCATCCCACACCACGCAGCGAGGGCACGGCGCGACGTGGGGCCCGCGGCTCTGCCTGTCCCCAGCCTCCGCCTGGTGGCCGGCAGCCCGCCCCAATCACTGCGGCGTGTGCGCGCCTGTTCCCAGCACGTGTGCGCGCCCCGAGACCCGCCCCGGGGAGCCAGGAGCGCGGTCGGGGTCGTGGGGGCGGAAAAGGGTGGCCAGGGCGGACCCGCGGGGCGGGCAAAAGGGCGGACCTTGGGCCAGGCCCCCGCCCCGCCCTCCGGCCCCGCCCGCCGGGCTGCAGGGGGAGGCGGCGGCGGCTCTGGGCGCCGGGAGTCGGCGGGCGGCGAGGAGCGCGGAGCCGGAGCTGGACGCCGCCGCCGCCACCGCCACCTGCGCGGCAGTCATCAAGGTAGGGCGGCCCTGCGCCGCCGGCCGTGCCTTCCCGGTCTGCGCGATGGGGGCGTCGGGCGGGACGTGCGCGCTGCGGCTGCAGCTCCCGGAGAGGGAGGGATGCGGGGCTCGGAGCGCGGGGGACCTGGCTTTCAGCCCCTTTGCGTGACCTTGCACAAAGCACTGCTCCTCTCCAGGCCTCAGTTTCCCCGTCAGGATAGCTTGCTCATTGGTGGCCCCCTTCTCGCGGGGTTGTTGGGAGGGGCCGCCTCGAGGTCCGGGCTCCCGACGGCTCGCTGCCCTCATGAGCACTGTCTGCACCGCCCACCCCTCCTGCCCGCGGTGAGGGAAGCTCACTCTGGGCGCGGCCAGCCGGTCCCGACAGGCCCCTGCTGTGGCCCGGGTGCTCCATGGGACTCTTGTCGGGACCCTCCCCCTCTTGGCTGCGTTACCTGCTGGGCCTCAGCTTCCTGGTACAGGAAACGGTGGGGTGGGGGGCATCCCCGGGTCCCCGCCAAGCCGGCCTGGGCGTGCATGTGGGGCATCAGCCGGCCCGCCAAGAGGGTTTACTCGTCTGGGGCTGGAGGAGCCCTAGGTTGGAGGTGGCTGGACTCCTGGCGGCACGACTGCCTGGACCAGCCCCACGTAGGCACCTCGATTTAGAGAGTGGTATAGGATAGCTCCTTCCCCTTCCCCACCCGGGCCAGGTGCTGGTGCCTAGCTCTGTGTCCCAGAGCTAGTGTGTGATAAGGTGTGACACACACTAGCTGGTGTGACAAGGGGTGACTGGCGGCCACGCCTGGACCTCAGAGGGGTGACAGTGCCAAGGTGCTGTGTCCGCGTGGCATTAAGGGATGGGGCAGAGCACAGGTCTGAGGGACTGTGGTCCCAGGCTCCCTAGGTAAAGAAGACCTATGGCATCTGGCCCAGCCCCTCTGTAAGATCCCCTCTGGAAGGTCTTGCTGCCCCCTTGCACACTCCTTGTGATAGGAATCTCACTAGTTGTAAACCAAGCTGGAATCTGCTACCCAGTCACTGCCTCTCCTGCTGGTCCTGCTCTGGACACACAAACAACCTCTGACCCTTCCTCCCTCACCCTGGGGCAGTGGTCAGGTCCCTTAAATATGCTCATCTCCAGACCCAGCAGCCCCAGGCCCAGCAGTTTCTCCCATCAGATCCCAGGGAGCCAAGGCAAGAAGAGGGAGCCGAGGTGTCTGCCCTGGAGCAGGCTGTGGGGCCTCCGCTTTCCTGGGGCTTGTTCAGAACCCACCTGTGCATCAGGACTGGAATGTGTCTCCCCAGCTTCCTGCCCCTCCTGGGGACCGTCTGAGAGGTCCGGAGTGAGGAGAGCCGGAGCCCCTCTGCAGGCCTTTCCTGCCCCATGGGGCCTCTTCTCCACCTCCCTGATGCCTGCCCTGTTTGAGGGAGCAGTTTCTAGGAATCACTTCTCAGCCTCCTGGTCTTTCTTGTCCCCTTCATGACCTGCCCTGCACCCAGGGATTTTCTTAACAGCCAAAAGAGGGCAGGAGGCCCCTGGACAGGTAGTGAGCTCTTTGTCATCACAGGTATTCAAGCAGAACCTGGGGGTGAGCTACCTTGGACTGAAAGTCTATGGAATTCTAGGGCTGAAGTAGTGCCTATGACCTTGCCCTGCGGCCATGGTGGAGCTGCACAGGACTGGGAGCTGGACCACAAATGAGTGTTATTATCCCCTCGTAAAAGCAGGCAAAGTATATGTGCTGGCCCATGAGCCCAGCTCCGACGCACAGGCTTAAGTGCTACCTGGGTCTCCTGTCATCTCGACACATGTATAATCTGGGCCCTGTTTTCCTGCTTGCCTAATTCAAGCCTTTTTGGCCTGATTTAGGAGCATGGCAGATTCTGGTTATTAAAAAGTCATGCTATGACTTTAATTGCTAATACTTTTTAAATGCACCATGGAATCATGGAATGTCTGAGCTGAAAGGAGCCTTCAGACGTCGTCTCATTCAACCCCCTCATTTTACAGATAGGCATCCCCTGTCGCCAGAGGGGATGTGACTGGGCAAAGGTCACACAGCAAACCAGCAACCGAGCCCAGGGATCCTGATTCCAAGATTGGAGTGCCTTTTTTTCTCCAAAAAAACACATAACATATAATAAATGAAAGCAGTCTGTATTTATTCCTGTAAAATTAGCAAAAATAAAAATAAAAAGATGAAACTCTGTGCTGGCAAGGCTATAGGGATTCGCCTGTGGCATTTAATTTTGCAGAGCAACCTGGCAGCCTGTTATCATGAAAATGATCATATTTGCCCTTTGCCCTTAGCCGGCTACTTTGGGGACTTTATCCTAAGGAAGTAACTAGGGAGAGAGACATATGTAGTGCTGTTATTTGTAAGAAGTTGTCTTCTGGCCAGGCACAGTGGCTCATGCCTGTAATCCTAGCACTTTAGGAGGCCAAGGTGGGCGGATCACCTGAGGTCTAGAGTTTGAGACCAGCCTGGGCAACATGATGAAATCCTGTCTGTACTAAAAATATAAAAATTAGCTGGGTGTGGTGGCACATGCCTGTAATCCCAGCTACTCGGGAGGCTGAGGCAGGAGAATCACTTGAACCCGGGAGGCAGAGGTGGCAGTGAGCCGAGATTGTGCCACTGCACTCCAGCCTGGGCGACAGAGCGAGACTCCATCTCAAAAAAAAAAAAAAATAAAGGAGTTGCCGTCTAGTGAAGAAGTGTTCAGTTTTATCTGAGGCTTAATAAACATTTCATTTGACAAATACAGCTTAAAAAATAGTGGCACTGAAGCTTACATTACCGGAGTCTGGCCAGCATAGAAACAGTTTAATCCAGAAGAAAGACCATGAGACTAAAGTCAGCAGACATAGATTCCAGATTGAAGTCTTCCTCTTCCCTACTGTGTGACCTTGGGCCGATCCGTTCCCCTCTCTGGACCTCACTTTCTCCATCTGTGAAATGGGGGTAGACTCAGCAGTTGCTGAATTTGTTTGAGCTCTGACAGCCAACCTCTTAGAGTGAACAAATCTCAGTAGCAAAGCCGAGATTGGAAGGAGATTCATTAAATGAATCCCCTTAGAGGCAGGTAGCTAGCTCCCCACCGAGGGGTTTCAGCCTTAAACCTTTGCTATTTCAAAATGGCCAGAAGCTGGATCGTTTTAGAAGTTGGTGTGTTTTTATCTTCTCTGCCAAATCTCAGGAGGTCCAGAAAATAATTCAGCAGAATCTTCTTGTGTTTTAAGTCTATAATCCATGCCTTGCCTCCTTCAGAACAGATTGGACGTGCTTTGCAATCACACCTGGTCTAAAGGGCCAGGAGTAGGTGACTTTGCTTCTGTGGTCAAACTGTGCCTCCTGGGGGTCTGCAGGCTGCTATGGGAAACTTACTAGGTTAAACCACATGAAACGGCCAGTATGTGACTTTTTTTGACTTACAAGAAATGGCAATTTCATTTGGTTCAGCCTAAATGGAAAAAGATATACAGGTATTTAAAGAGCGGTGTGCTCCTTACTATAATTGAGAGATTGGCAGGGTGTGGTGGGGACAAGGAAGGTGTGATTATGAGCTTGCAGAAGTCAAGGAGGAGGGACATGGGAGCCTCACTTTGAAGAATCACTAACAGTAATAATAATAGCTAACATTCATTGAGGGTTTACCGCCTGCCTAATTCTGTCCTAAGTGCTTTATGTTCATTCATTCCATTAGTCATTCAGCCAGTATTTATTAAGCACCTACATTGTACTAGTTTTTTTGTTTGTTTCTTTTGTTTTGTTTTTGTTGTTGTTTTTTGTTGTTGTTGTTGTTTTCTGAGACAGAGTCTCGCTCTGTCTCCCAGGCTGAAGTGCAGTGGCATGATCCCGGCTCACGGCAACCTCCGCCTCTGCCTCCTGGGTTCAAGTGATTCTCATGCCTCAGCCTCCTGAGTAGCTGGGATTACAGGTGCGTGCCACCACACCAGCTAGTTTTTGTATTTTCAGTAGAGACGGTGTTTCGCCATGTTGGCCAGGCTGGACTCGAACTCCTGACCTCAAATGATCCGCTTGTCTCGGCCTCCCAAAGTGCTGGGATTACAGATGTGAGCCAACACACCTGACCTGTACTAGGTATTTTCTAAGTGCTGGGGAAAGGGGGAAGGCGCTGATATTAAACAAAATAGACCAGAAAGATCTTCCCCCAAAGAGCTTACAATCAGATGGGGGGAAGACAGATGAAAAACAATAAATAAAATAGATGAATAGGTGATAAATAAAATCAGTGATAAATGAGGTGGAGCAAATAGAACATAGGAGGGGTTAGGGTGTGTGAGGGGGCAGTTTTAACTAGGGTGGGCTGGGGGCCTCATTGAGAAGGTGATTTTTAGGCAAAGGCTTGAAGGAGAGGGGTGAGTCAGGCTCATTTCTGGGGAAACAGCCATTCAGGTGGAGGGAACAGCTGGGGCAAAAGCCCTGAGGCAGGACCATGCCTGGCATGTTCAGAGAAGCACGAGCTGGGACAGAGTGATGGCGGGAGAAGAGGAAGAGAGGAGCAGGCAGGCCCTGGGCTAGACTGTGTACCCCACCATGCTCATAATGGAATCCTGCGAGTGTATGACGGAGCTACTCTTTTTATCCCGCTTTTCCAATTAAGAAAACAAAAATACAGAAAAGTTACATGGCTTATTGAAACTGTGTCTCATGGAGAATCTAGGACTTTCAGCCAGGGTCAGCGGGGAGCCATGGAAGGCTTTTGAATTGGGTAGGAACATGGCCAGATTTGAATATTGGTGTGATTCCTGCGAGATTGCTATGGTCTGAATATTTATGTTCCTCCAAAGCTCATATGTTGAAATCTTACCCCATAAGGTGATGGTATTAAGAGGTGGGGCTTTTGAGAGGGAATTAGGTCAGGAAGGCAGAGCCCTCATAATGGGATTAGTGTTCTTATAAAAGAGGCCCCAGAGAGACCCTCACCTCCTCCACCACATGAGGACACAGTAAGAAGGCGCCATTCTATGACCCAGGAAGTGGGCCCTCACCAGACTCCAAATCTGCTGTCTTAGTCTTGGACTTCCATCCTCCTGAACTGTGAGAAATACATTTCTATTGTTGATAAAGCACCTACATTTTTTTTTTTTTTTTTTGAGATGGAGTTTCGCCCAGCCGCCTAGGCTGGAGTGCAGTGGTGTGATCTTGGCTCACTGCAGCCACCGTCTCCCGGGTTCAAGTGATTCTCCCATCTCAGCCTCCTGAGTAGCTGGGATTATAGGTATCCGCCATCATGCCTGGCTAATTTTTTTTTTTTTTTTTTTTTTTTTTTGAGATGGAGTCTTGCTCTGTCGCCCAGGGTGGAGTGCAGCAGCACGATCTCGGCTCACTGCAAGCTCCACCTCCCGGGTTCATGCTATTCCCCTGCCTCAGCCTCCCCAGTAGCTGGGACTACAGGCGCCCACCACCACGCCCGGCTAATTTTGTTTTTGTGTTTTCAGTAGAGACGGGGTTTCACAGTGTTAGCCAGGATGGCCTCAATCTCCTGACCTCATGATCTGCCCCCCTCAGCCTCCCAAAGTGCTGGGATTACAGGCGTGAGCCACCGCGCCTGGCCAAAGCACCCAATTTATGATATTTTGTTGTAGCTGCAGCAACGGACGAAGACAGGTGCAGAGAGATGGCTGTAGAAATAGTCCAGGCCTGGAGTGCTGCTGTGGGACCTGGGCAGTGAGCTCAGTGCTAGGGGAGAGGTTGGGGTCCAGGCCAGGTGAGCAGGAGGAGGATGAGGAGGAAGCCAGGCTGACCCTGGGCTTATATATTTAACAAACACTTATTAGCACTTCTTACCACCATCTAATATTTTATATACGTTAACCCAATCCCCATAACAACCTATAGGGTACATACTGTTTGTTATTATTTCTCCCGTTTTAAAATGGATATATTATATGTAAATGATATCTCATGAAGTTAATTTACAAAGAAAATACATTTTTAAAATTATAAACACTTGATAATGGAGAATTTCAGAAAAAGGCAGGAAAACAGACAAAATAAATTACCCATATCTTCTCCTCTTCTCATCCCACATAATCAATATGAACATTTACTTTCAGTCTTTTTTGTACTATCATTCCCATTTTATAGATGACAACACTGAGCCCCAGGGAAGTTGGGTAGCTAGCCCAGGATCATACATTCAATCTATGTCATCTGCCACCAGTGTCCAGGGCTTAATCACCTTCCCCTGCTGCCTGTAGTCCATCCCTGGAATGTCAGAGTTGGTGGGTTCCATTAAGATACCATCCCCCAAACCTAGCCCCTCCCCCCGCCAGCCACCCCTCTCCTGGCATCATTTCACAGATAGGTAAAGTAAGGCCCAATAAGAGATGGGGCCTTGCTCAGCATCTGTCAGCCAGTCAGGAGCAGATAGGTGAAGTCTCATTCAAATAAGAAATCGGGAGCTGAGCATTTGTGCAGGGTTGATATGACAGCTGCTTCTAGCCTGGCCTTGAGCCTGGAGTTTGTAGGGGCCCTGGCAAATGGCATGACCCTGCCCACAGGCAGTGCAGGGGCAGGCGTGTGTTCCCTGGGCCCAAGAGTCTTGTCCCTCTAGCCAGCCCTGGGTGGGAGGTGAGTTTGGGGCTTTGCCCACACTGCAGGTCCCCTGAGAGTTGTCTCCTGTACTCTGACTGTGCATTTATTTCTGGCTCTGGTGCCAGCAAACTCCTGGGGCTGCCTGCTGCCAGGGATGCAGCCCTGGCTTCTAGCCCCATCTCAGACACTGAGTGGCCTTGGGCCAGGGTCTCTCCTGGCCCACCTGCAAAATGGCATCATAACGGCCCCAGCCACAGGATGAAGTAAGAAGTGCAAGGGAAGTTCTTGCACAGGGCGTGGTCTATGGCGTGCTCAATAACTGGGCAACTCCTGTGGCTGTTCCTAAGGCTGCACCACGGTGTTGGCCCAGGCTGGGGAATTGAGCCCACTGCAGACAGAGCCCCCTCCTGCCAACCTCCCTTTCACACCTGGCTGACCAGGTAGACCTGCCTGAGAAATCAGATACGAGCCTCCAGCAATGGTTTGGAGTCTAAGATTGCGGACAACAAGGGATGCAGTGGAGCAAAAGAACCCAGGCCTCTGAAGAAGGAGAGCTGACCCCGCTGCTGATATGCTCCTTAGGCAAGTCTTGACCCTTCTTTATGACTCAGTGTCCTCATCTGTAAAAGGGGAAGAATAATTCCTGCCTTAGTCATTGTAATGATCTTCACCCCAGCAACCACCTATTGATGTTTTTCTAATGCTTGGGGAGTGTGAATGCAGACAAGCTAGACCCATCACAGCCGTGAGGGCCCATGGCCTGGCAGGGGCACTACAGTTATCATAGGGAAGCCCAGGAGCTGTGGGGCCTCCAGGAGGGCACCTAACCCAGCCTGGGGTGGAAGTGGGGGGTCATGGAAGGCTCCCTAGAGGAGCTGATGCCTGAGCTGGGTTGTTAGTGTGATTTGGAGACGGCCAGACTATGAAGGGTAGAAAAATAAGGGAAGATATTGGGTCAGTCACTCCACTTCTCTAAGCGTCAGTTTCTTCATTTATAAAATGAGGATAATAAATACCTGTTCTGCCTAATGTATAAGCTTGTTGTAAGGCTCTAAATTGGATAAAAGTAAGGAGGCGCTTTATGAACTACAAAATGCCAGGCACCTACCTATTCATTATTCATTGTGATTTCTGGAGCCCCTAGGGGTTAGGGAAATATCAGGCCAGCATCTGGGGCTGGGAGAACTTTCAGTTGGTTTTGAAAGGGCTACAATCAAATCGGACAGAGACAGACAGCCGCCATTAACCACACACCCCTTGATTTAAGTGCTCTGGAGTATTTCTGTGCCTGGGTGTGGCTTTGTTTGGTGGGGTCCCCGAAGGCAGCCATGGCCCCATCACAGATCACAGCCCCACTCTGAGGATGAGGAGGAACAACGTCAGACCCAAAGCACTACGTCCCTGTAGAGGCCTGGGACCTGCCAGGGATAGGGATAGAGGACGGGAGCACTGTGGGGCCGCCATGAAGAAACCAGTCTGTTTAGAGAGAGGGCCACCATGTCACGGTAAGAGAAAGAGTAGTATGTGTGGAATGAGACTGTTTGGGTTTGGATATGAGAAAAGAATCTTTCCCTAGCATGCAGACATAGCAAAATATTCAGACAGACATCAAGCTAATTATCACTAGGTGGTAGAATTTTGTTTTCTTTGGTCTTTTCTACATTTAAAATGTTTTGGCTGGGCATGGTGGCTCCTCCTGGTAATCCCAGCACTTTGGGAAGCCAGGAGTTTGAGACCAGCCTGGGCAACAAAGTAAGACATTGCCTCTATTAAAAAAAAAAATAAAATAAAATAATTTTATACTTGATAGATAATTTATTTCTGTAAAGATTTTGGTGATATGTGTGCAGTCATTCCTAAATATTCAGCTTCCAGGACACCCAAGGATATCAAAATCTGTGGATATTCAAATCCCTGATATAAAATAGTATAGTGTTTACATGTAACCTACACACACCCTCCTGTATACTTTAAGTCATCTATAGATCACTTACAATGCCTAACACAATGTAAATGCTATGTAACTAGTTATTATACTGTATATACATATTTTTAAGACAGAGTCTTGCTGTGTCACCCAGGCTGGAGTGTAGTGGCACAATCTCAGCTCACTGCAAACTCCGCCTCCCGGGTTCAAGTGATTCTTGTGCCTCAGCCTCCCAAGTAGCTGGGATCACAGGCATGCACTACCACACCCAGCTAATTTTTTACATTTTTAGTAGAGATGGGGTTTCGCTATGTTGGCCAGGCTGGTCTCGAACTCTTGATCTCAAGTAATCTGCCCGCCTCAGCCTCCCAAAATACTGGGATTACAGGTGCAAGCCACCATGCCTGGCCCATTGTACTGTATTTTTAAATTTGTATTTTTTAATTGTTGTATTGTTATTTTTCCTTAATTTTTTCGAATATTTTCCATCTGAGGTTGGTTGAATCTACAGATGCAGGACCCACAGATACAGAGGGCCAACTATGTATGCAATACAAGTTATAATGATATTTAGATAATAAAATACTCAGGCCGGTCTGACATCAGCAGGCTGCAGGGATGAAGTCAGCACTCACAGCATAAGGACTTTGGTAAGGCCTGGATGACATCCCCAGTGCTGGCCTTCGGAACAGTTGGGAGCAGAGTCCAAGGATGGCTTGATGGAGTCACACTGGAGGAGATGTCTGTGGGGGTTTCTGAAGGTGGGAACTAGGACTCTTTTCTTGGGACAAAGACTTGGGGTTTTGGGTGGCTGCAAGCACAGTAGCATTGTGACCAAACTGTCCAACTGTGGAACCTACCACATCAGTAGCAACAGAGGGTTGGAGGCAGAGGTGAGGGTCCTGCTGAAGTTTGGGCCGCTTTCTGAGCAAGACTAGGACAGCTGAGACAGATCCAGAGGGGCGCCAGGCCGGGGAAGGGCCTGAGCCTTCAAATTCCGTGAAGCTCTGGAGATCCAGGGTGAATGCTAGGCCTCAATAGACCCTTGTCCCTTAACGATTTGTGTTCTTGGTCTTTGATCCCATCTCACAGGCGTTTCAGCCTCTTTGCAAGGGAAGTAAAGAATCTAAGCTACTGCGGTATTTCATTCAAGGCAGGGCTTATCTGTTGTGAGATGTACCCTTATTTTAGAATCCATTAAGAAAGAAAAAGCAACAGAAACTGTAAGTTGCATCCCAGTTTCAGAGATGTTAAAATGTAAAAAGCTGTCTTGGAATCATTTGACATGTGGCGGGTCCCCAATTAGACTCTTAGTGTGCATTCACTCATGGAATCTTCACCATCGCATTGTAGCTAGATAGTCTTGTCCTCTTTTTACAGATAAGGAGGCAGGAGCCCAGAGAGGTTGAGTAAATTTGCAAGGTCACGCAGCCAGCAAGAGGCAAAGCTGGGCTTTGAACCTGGTCTAATTAGATTCCACTTCTTTTTCCTCATCCAACCCCACAAAGAAAAGGCTCCTGAGTCCTGGCCCTTGGGAAGAACAGAATCTCCACAATGCCAGCTCAGAAATGCTCCAGTGGCCTGGTCATTAAAAGCCTGGTACTCTGAGTAATGGGGGTGGGGAGTGTGGAGGAGGGCTGGGGAGATAATGAACAGGAAGGAGCTTTGAGAGCTTGCTGGCAGGGTCACTAGCCTCATCCTTGTTGAAACCATTGCAGGAGTGGCTCGGCCTGTGTGGCCTGCCCTGGAGAAAGACTGTAGAGATATCTGCCCCACACAGATAATCCTGGAGCCTCACCCAGACTGACCCATTCATTCGCTCCCTAAAAAGTTATCTTTCAATGTAATTTTTTGACTAGGACCTTTGTTCACGATTGATTACTTTCTGTATGTAAAGCATTAGAGATACCAAGCACAGCAAAACAGACACAGGCCCGCCTTTGAGGGCTCACAGACCAAACGAGAGATGGACAGTAATCGTAGAGTCCCACAGAATCTGGAGGAGGAGAGAGGAGTGAAGGGCGTGCAGAGTAGAGAATGTGCTGAGTCCGGGGTCACTGCAAAAGGCTGCAGTCCAGGGCACAGATGGTGCCGGTCAAGGAAAGGAAGGTATTTGGAGATGAGATGGCTCTTTTAAGGAGGTGAAACTGAGTCTCAGAGAGGCCATAGGACTTGTCTGAGGTCACACAGCTTGGAAGTGACTCTCCTTGTATGGTTTTCTTTGTTGCGGGTTCCTTTCTTGAGTTTTCCTTTGGAGATGAAAACATGATGTGAGGGGAGCCATGGCCTGCGAGGGGATGGATGGGATGTTCTAAGGAAAGGACTTTGAGCTGAGATCTGAAAGATGAGTAGGGACTGAGCAGGCAAGGGTGGGGAGGGAGGCACGCTGCATAGGAGAAACAGCCTTGCCAAAGCCCTCCGGCTGGAGGAAACAGGACTTTGAAGAACTGAAAGCACCGTGATGTGTGCAGCTCAGATCCCTGGGCAAGGTGAGGCTGGGGAAGTAGAACAATGGCCGCCGAGGGGTCTGCTCACGTTTACATATTTCGGAAAGATCAAGGGCAAGATGGTTGGTGGCTGAGACTAAATGACCAAGTTTAACAGATGTTTGGAGCCAGGCACCGAGGCTCACGCCTATAATCCTAGCACTTTGGGAGACTGAGACATGAGGATTGCTTGAAGCCAGGAGTTCCAGACCAGCCTGGACAACATAGTGAGACCTCATCTCTTAAAAAAAAAAAAAAAAAAAAAAAGCAAGAGAGAGAGATGATTTGAAGGTGGGACAGGAGGCTGGGATTAGTGATGGATTGGCATTGGGTACAAGAAGAAGGAGGCCACGTGGGTGCCCGTGGGTTCTGGCTTTTCCGGCAGTGCCCTTCTCATGGCCTGACTTGCAGAGGGAGTCGCGCTGGGGGACACAAGCAACATGGGAGCAGCCTTCACCCCACTGGGGCCTCCTTCCCAGGGCTGGTTATTGTCCACCATTTTCCTCCCAACTGAGCTTAGATATCCAGGTTCACCCAGTGCTGGGGTTTGCCAGATGATGTGAAAAAAAAGTCAGTGGCGTGAGGGATTTTAGGGTGTTGATAAGAGTGAGCTGATGTCCCAGGTTACTGGGGACAAGAAATGGCCTTCCACAACATGCCCATGGAAATCACATGGCCCCCACACCATCCCTGGAGCTGGTCTTTCAGCAAAGGTGTTGCTGAGCATGGTGGTGGAGTTGGGGCATTGCTTGATGCATTGTGTCATCCTGGAGAGGGGTCTCTGGTTGTGGCTTCCAGGGCCCTCTACTCGAGCCTGAACCTGTTTTTACTGATCCATCATTGGGGACACTGGCAAAGGGCTGGTCACATGTGGCAGGTGACAGGAGGCTGGAGGTGGGGAGGGTGCGGTCAGGAGGGGTGCTTGAATTAGTGACTTTGGAAGCAGGTGGAGCATTTTCACCTAATGACAGAGTTCACTGTGCAGTCAAAAGAAGGGATGGTGCAGGTCAAGGAAAGGAGGGTATTTGGAGATGAGATGGTTCTTTTAAGGAGATGAAACTGAGGCTCAGAGAGGCCATGGGACTTGTCTGAGGTCACGTAGCTCAGAAGTGACTCTCCTTGTATGGTTTTCTGTGTTGCGGGTTCCTTTCTTGAGTTTTCCTTTGGAGATGAAAACGTGATGTGAGGGGAGCCATGGCCTGCGAGGGGATGGATGGGAATGCTTGCAGGAAGACTTCCTGGAAGAGGGAGCACTTCTCTAAGCTGAGCCTTGTAGCAGCCGGTCATACAGAGTGGTGGATAGGGCATTACTGGCAAAGGAAATGATGTAACCCAAGGACTGGAGAGGAGAAAACTTACTAGGCCTATATGGGATGCGATGAACGTAGGGTCTGGTTTGGCTCAGTATAAGAGGCAGAGTATAAGGTATTTGCCAGACGCCAAGGGCAGGGAGGTAGGTGCAGCCTGCCCTGTCAGGGAGGAGCGTTTTAGCACTGACGCACTGACGTTGTTTAGAATTGCAGGCACATTATGATCGTAAAATGTCAGACTTTGAGGCAGTTTTTTTTGCTTGCTGTTTTGTTTTGTTTTGTTTTGTTTGAGATGGAGTCTCACTCTGTCATCCAGGCTGGAGTGCAGTGGCGTGATCTCGGCTCACTGCAACCTCCGCCTCCCAGGTTCAAGAAATTCTCCTGCCTCAGCCTCTTGAGTAGCTGGGATTACAGGCACCTGCCACCGCACCTGGCTAATTTTTGTATTTTTAGTAGAGACGGGGTTTCACCATGTTGATCAGGCTGGTCTCAAACTCCTGACCTTGTGATCTACCTGCCTCGACCTCCCAAAGTGCTGGGATTACAGGCAAGAGCCACCGCGCCTGGCCTATTTTTAATTTCTCTGTTGAAAATGCACTTCCTGAGTGTCTGCGCCCGGCCGACTGCTCACCTCCCTCCTGCCCTCATCCCTGCCACTTCCCCTTCCCTGCTTGCCTCACATCCCTTCTTGATATACTCCTGGGCCACACCTTGGCTTTGAATCCCCAGCTGAGAAGCTATTGAAGGTTTTGGAATAGAGGATGCTGCCATCTACCAGTAGCCCAAGTGGGGTCTCAGCTTTAGAGAGGTGGGATCTGAGATGAGGACAGCCTGGAGGAGGCAGGAAGGACCTGGAAGATGGGGAGGATGAGAGATAGGAGCAGGATTGCAGGTCATTGCTTCATGAGACCCAGGACCCATGTCCACAGCTGCCCACCAACACGCCAGGCCCAGGCCAGCACAATGCTGGGCAGCAGGGTCTCCGCGTCCTGCAGGGTCACTGCTGTGGCTGGTAGGCAGAGGCAGAATCCTCATGCTCTAGCGGTCCCAGATCTCAGACACTCAAGTAGGACCTTCCAGAGCCTAGGGAAGGGTTTCTTCCCAGTCCGCAGATGTCAGCGAGACTTTACCGGCACTCAAACAGCAGCCCAAGAGCTGGTTTGATTCGTTCCATTTTACAGATGAGGAAACTGAGGCTTCAGAGTGAACCCAACCAAGAGGCACAGTAAAGTAAAAGGACCAGTAAAGTAAAAGGACCGGTAAAGAGCTAGACTGTGACCACTTTTAGCAGCCATTTGTAGCATCAAGGCCTAGAGATTTGCATTCTCTCCAGGATCTGCCACTGACCAGCCAGGTGACCCTGGACAAGTCACATCCCTTCTCAGGTTCTTGTTTCCTCACCTGCAAAGTGAAGGGTAGACTAGATCATTTCTGCCATCCTTTGAGCTTAAAAATTATCTCCGACTCTCTTCATCTTCTATCCCAATTGCCTCCAAAGTGATCTATGCAAGATGCACATTGGGGTGCAGGAAAAAATATCTAAACAAATAGAACAAAGAATTCAGCTTTAGTCACATTTGCCAGGTGGAGACACACTCGCCAGCTGGGGTGTCAGGCAGCCTCATGTGGTCCAGGAGTCTCCTGTCTCATGTGGTCCAGGAGTCTCCAGAGAGAAGGGGAAACACTCTGAGAAAGGGTAATGAGGACTCCCTTACTCTTTAGTCTGTTTTTGGCAAGTTATCCCAATTAATTAACCTGGTTTATTAATCCAGGTTAATCCAGACTAATTAATCCAGATTGGATTTACAAATTATATTCACCACTCTAAGCTAACTAGCGCTTACAGAATGGACACGTGGTTTTTAAAGATTCGTACTGAAAAATTGTGACTTGTTAGCAGTGCTTACTTACTATGCTAATAATGCTAGTACATGAAGACAAGGGAATGGAAGAGGTTGAGTGCTGGCCTGTAATCCCAGTACTTTGGGAGGCCAAGGCGAGAGGATCACTTGAGGCTAGGAGTTTGATACAAGCCTGGGCAACATAGCAAATCCCCGCCTCAAGGAAAAGTTTAATAATTAGCCGGGCATGGTGGCTCATGCCTGTGGTCCCAGCTACTCAGGAGGCTGAGGCAGGAGGATTGCTTGAGTCCAGGAGTTGGAGGCTACAATGAGCTATGATGGCACCACTGCACTCCAGCCTAGGCGACAGAGCGAGACTCTGTCTCTAAAAAAATGTTTTTAATAAAAATAAATTTAAAAAAGAAAAAAAGTGAGAGAATTAACACTGGGGTTTCTATTGCAGTCACTTCATCAGCTACAAGACCCAGGACAAAAACAGTGACAAGCTAATAAGTCTGACAAGTTTGTCAGCTCAAGTTTGTTTGTTTGTTTATGTTAGGGGACACTTTGAAATAGATATTTACAGTCACTCTGGTTAGTGATGAATCTCACTCTGTGTATACGTTTTGTCTTGCGAGGTTGATGATGATTACTTGTATATAATATAAGATAATGGGGTGTGAGCACAGTTTGTTTTTTTTTTTTCTTGTGGAAGGAGTGAATGATCAAAAAAGTTTGGAGATCACCTGAGGTCAGGAGTTCGAGACCAGCCAGGCCAACATGGTGAAACCCCATCACTATTAAAAATACAAAAAAATTTGCCGGGTGTGGTGGCACATGCCTGTAATCCCAGTTTCTCTGGAGACTGAAGCAGGAGAATCGCTTGAATCTGGGACACAGAGGTTGTGGTGAGCCAAGATTGTGCCACTGCACTCCAGCCTGGGTCTCCAGCAGAGCCAGACTCTGTCTCAAAAAAAAAAAAAAAAAAAAAAACAAAGTTTGGAGCCCATTGCTCTAACCTCCTGGTCTTTTCCTTGCTCCTGCTACCTCTAACACGCCACCACGTTTGTGATCAAGCGTTGCTCCAGTAGGGATTTCCCTATTTTTCTACCCATTCCCAAGGGGAGAGACCCCATGGGAATACCTCCATCCACAGAGCCCAGCACAGGGGCTATCTCCAGCTGGGGACTTGGAAAATGTGGGTGGAGTGAATGTGCTCCAGGTTTCCCCTCACATCGTGGGGGCTGCTGATGCTCTGCCGGCCTTTCTAGCAGAAAAGACCTAAGGTCTGCCATCATTCCCAGCCTAAAGCACTCTCTGGAGAAACACAGTTCACCTTTCAAAGGTGTGAGTCCAGGAGAGCCTAGATAAGGCCAATGACCCTTGAGCTCACAATTATAAGGCCTTTCTTTCCTAACCATCTTTGGAATTTGTCCCTCCACAAACGAGTTTCCACTATTACTTAGAGCAACACAGATAAGGAACAAAAATGTTTGGTACTGTATCCAGGTACAGGAAGACAGGACTCTGTTCTGTGTTTTAGCGTACTCTTTTGGACTGGGAGGCTGGAGACCTGGATCTTGTTCCTGGTTCTGCCCTGTGTGGGTGGCCTTTGGCGTGCTGACTCCATTTCCTCTTTCTGTACCCCACGATCTCTTGGGGTCTGGCTAGTGCTTTTGTTCTGAGATGTGACATCTGGGATCCTTTTGGGGACCTGCTCTGCTGAGGAGTTCTCAGCCCCCATCTGCAGAGTTCGAGTATAACCTGGAAGATGGGGAGAGCTTGGAGCACATGGGCAACCAAAATGGGGAGGACATGGGAAACCAAGTCACACAAGAAACCCCCACCCCCCAGTGGAGCCATCCCATGGTCCTGAGTTAAGAGGTCTTCAATCTCTGGAAGGCTGTCAAGGGGCAGAAACAATGGATGTGGCTGGCGGGGCTCCAGGAACAGGTAGGGCAGTGGGGAAAATTGTAGATTTCTGTTCAGTAGATGCGAGGAAGTCCACTGGTTGAGCACATCTTCCCCCAGCAGGGGTGAGCTCCCCATCACTAGACTGGTACGAGCCAAAACCATCAGACTGTTTACGTGGGGTGCTGGGGAAAGAAGGGCAGAATTCTGGGGTATTGTATTTGGTGCTTACCCCTAGATGTAATATGATTTGGGAGAGAATTAGTGGGTCTGGCTAAAAACTGAAGAATTAGAGCTTTAGATTCTAAATCAACACTCATGGGTTGATAAGGGGCACAAGGCTTTCTCTGCTTTCATTCGGTTCAGAGGGTTTTGGTGCCTCCCAGCACAGGTGACACCCCTCACCCCCCGCCGAATGTTTAGATCTTTTGATATTGCCGCTTTGAGGAAAAATAAAGGACCATGAACACTTTGTGCTTCTAGTTTAATCTGTAAGCCCTGCTCAAAGCCCATATTCATTTTTATTAAATGTTCATTTCAATCCATGAATACAGGTAAATAGCTTAGGACAGTGCCTGGCTCACAGTGAGTACTCAATAAAGGTTACCATTATTTACTTATTTTGAGTTTAGTTATTTAACAAATACTTACTTTGAGTTTACCATGTGCCAGGCTGGGTTCTAAGTGCTTGACAGATATTAACTCATTTATGGTTATCATCCCCATTTTATGGATGAGAAAACCCAAGGCCAAGAGAGGTAGATAACTGGCCCAATGTCTCCCAGCTGGTGTGTGGCAGGGCTGATGTCTGAGCCCGGCAGGCAGGTTCCCTACCATGTCAGTAGCCACTGTGCTGCTGCCTCTCCATGCGATTGTGTTGTGTAATAAATAAACCAGCCCCTCTGCATCCATTCTTCCTCAGAGCCTCCCTACAGCCTCTGGAAGGTGACAGGCAGGGATGCCCATGCCCATTTAATGGGTTGAGACACTGGAGCCCAGAGAGGGGCTTTCACAGCATCGCACAGCAAAAGGGGGCAGAGCCTACTGGAGCCGGGTCACTGGGCTTGGAATATCTATGTGCCCTCCCTGCACAGAGCAGGGCTCCCTGCTGAAGCCCAGTGGGAGTTGGTGCTAATTAGGGGGTCCCTGGTCCCTCAAGGGGCCCTTCCTTCACCAGGAGGAGGGAGGTTGGTGGGAAGAGCCACGACTCTGCCAGGGGCCTGGGGAAATATCGTCCAGGCATGTCCTGAAGCAGGGAGGCTCCTGGTGTCTGGGGAAATAGCAAGGCCTCCCCACCCTACCGAGCCCCTCTGCTGGGGCCCTGGCAGAGATGGCCCTGAATAGCCAGGAGTGAAAGGGGAAGCAGACAGGGAGGGCCATCCCGCACCCCACCCCCTGCTTTTGAAGTCACATCAGGGACCAACTCTAAGGTCAAGGGTCAGGAAGGGCTAAAAGAATAGGAGCTCTGTGGAAATCAACATGGAAGCAGAGATGTAGCTGCCAGGGAGTTCAGGAAAGCTGTGGGCTGATACCTAAGTGCTGTCATTTCTCTTTTCTTTATTATTTTTTTAATGATGGTGATATATACATAGCAAAGTTTACGATTTTAACCATTTTTAAGTATACAATTCCGTGGCATGACGTACATTCCCATTGTGCAGCCATCTGTATTAGTCCACTCTCACACTGCTATAATGACATACCTGAGACTGGGTAATTTATAAAGGAAAGAGGTTTAATTGACTCACAGTTCCACATGGCTGGGGAGCCTCAGGAAACTTACAATCATGACGGAAGGTGAAGGGGAAGCTGGCACCTTCTTCACAGGGCTGCAGGAGGGAGATAACTCGCAGGGGAAACTGCCACTTTTCAACCATCAGATCTCATGAGAACTCCCTTAGTAATACCAGAACAGCCTGGGGGAAACCGCCTCCATGATCCAATCACCTCTCACCAGGCCCCTCCCTCCACACTTGGGGATTACAATTCAAGATGAGATTTGGGTGGGGACACAGAGCCAAACCATATCACCATCACTGCCAAGATTTTTACATTTTGATTTCACAGTAGCCTACTCTATTATTTAATGTTTTTGTTTACATGTGTCAATGAAGAGCTTATGTTCAGACTGAAATATATTTGACAAAACAGGAATATACATGTAGGAGACTAACACCTGGCTGAGCACTTGCCAAGCACTGCTCTGAGGCACTTTATATGAATGAACATCTCCTCTATAAGGTAGGTGCTATCATGGACCCCAGCTTACAGCTTAGGAAACTGAGGCACAGAGAGGTTTAGGAAAGCTACTCAAATGCTTGCCTTGGCCCACTGGTTGCTACCGTTTATTGAGAACTTTACCATGGGCCAGGGCTACACGCTCTTTGGTTTTTTTTTTTTGTTTTTTGTTTTGGCGGTGGGGGGTGGGCGGGGGAACAGAGCTTCACTCTCGTTGCCCAGGCTGGAGTGCAATGGCGCAATCTCGGCTCACAGCAACCTCCACCTCCCAGGTTCAAGCAATTCTCCCTCCCGAGTAGCTGGGATTACAGGCATGCGCCACCACGCCCGGCTAATTTTGTATTTTTAGTAAAGACGGGGTTTCTCCATGTTGGTCAGGCTAGTCTCGAACTCCCGATCTCAGGTGATCTGCCCGCCTCAGCCTCCCAAAGTGCTGAGATTACAGGCGTGAGCCACCACACCCAGACCAAAGGCTACACGCTCTTAAGCTCCTTGCTCATCTCACAGCAACCTGACGATGTGGTATCAAGACTTAGAGAAGGGAAGTGAGTCTGGATTTGGATCCAGGTTTCTCTGACTCTGAAGCCCGTATCTTAAGCACGTGTACTGGGCTGCGAAGCTGTTATGGGACAGCAGACGCAATAGGTGGATTTTGTTCCGGCTGTGGAGCACCATGAGAAGGAGGACGAGGAGGATTGGGACGCCCAGTTCCGGAGTGCTGGCCTCAGAGCATGCAATTTATATGTTGAGAAGAGACTTAAGAAAGCAAGCCAAGGAGCAGAGCCGCAGTGGCCACCGAGTTGGGGGGTGGTTGAGTGCTCATGGAGCCCGTGGATTTTGGACAGGAGTTCCTGCTGCTTATTAATCGTGTAACCTCAGAAAACTGACGCCGCTGCTCTGCAGAGTGCCCCGGCCACACTCACGAAGTGGAGATAATCCTCCGCGCCCCCAGATGGTTGTGAGGGGTAAACTGAGCGATAGTTGTGAATCATAGAGCTGGGCTGTAGAGCAGCGATTCTCAAAGAGTGGCCCCTGGGCCAGCGGCTTCCTAGTCACCGGGAACTTGGTGGAAGTGCAGACTCTCAGCTCTCACCCACGCTGCCGAATCAGAAACTCTAGGGTGGGGCCCAACAATCGGAGTTTGTTTGTTTGTTTGTTTTTTGTAGAGACAGAATCACTGTGTTGCCCAGGCTAGTCTGGAACTCCTGGCCCTAAGCGATCCTCCCACCTCGGCCTCCTAAAGTGCTGGGTTACAAGCGTGAGCCACCACCTGGGTTTGTTTTTTTCCAGCCCTCCAGGTGACTCTGAGCACCCTCAGATGCTCTGCTGTGACACAGCGGGCAAACACATGTAAATGTGATGCTGTCACCTGTCCTCACAGCCAGTCTTGCGGGCAGAAGTGCCTTTCCCACAGGGGCACTGACATCTTTGCTGGACTCTTTTAATCCTCATAAACCCAGGCTGCTGGCACTTGAAATTTGAGAAGGGCAATCAGTCTGGCCTCCTGCCTTTCTGGCCTGCAGGCCCAGCCTGGACAAACAATTTAGGTGGAGCTCCTGGAGGCTGGAAGCAGAGAGGAGGTACCTCACCATCCTCTCCTGCCAGCTGTTGCAGACTCTGCCTGGGGAACTGATTAAGGGTGAGCAGAGGCATTTATCTCCATGTTAACAAGCAGGTGAGAGAGTAGCGGAAAAGAACTTCCCATCCACTTCCCGCTGTGGGGTCGAGCTCAGAAGTGGGGTGTGGGGCTGAGCTTGGAAGTGAGGCATGGGGTCGATCTCAGAAGTGGGGTGTGGGGCTGAGCTTGGAAGTGGGGTGTGGGGTCTCAGAAGTGGGGTGTGGGGCTGAGCTTGGAAGTGGGGTGTGGGGCTGAGCTCGGAAGTGGGGCGTGGGGTCGAGCTCAGAAGTGGGGTGTGGGGCTGAGCTTGGAAGTGGGGTGTGGGGTCTCAGAAGTGGGGTGTGGGGCTGAGCTTGGAAGTGGGGTGTGGGGCTGAGCTCGGAAGTGGGGCGTGGGGTCGAGCTCAGAAGTGGGGTGTGGGACTGAGCTCGGAAGTAGGGCGTGGGGCTGAGCTCAGAAGTGGGGTGGGGGTGCCGAGCTCAGAAGTGGGGTGTGGGGCTTCCAGCATCTGCAGGAGCAGGCAGGCCTTCAGTCATATCTGGGGACTCTTGTCCCAGGGCAGTCACACCCTTTTCCTCCTGAGTCCAAGCACGGAAGGCCTCAGAATTCTCTCCCTCCTCCTCATGGGGTTCCGCAACCCCTCCAGCCCACTGGAGCTGGACATGAAATGAAACCCACTTATTTCTTCCTTCGATACCAGCCCAAAGTTGAGGAAAGAAATCGTTTCCCAGGCTCAATGTCCTGACTTCCTAATTGCAGGGGTTAAGTCTATTTCGGCTCTGACCATGTCACACCCCCAGTTACACACTTTGATGCCTCCCCACTGTCTCAGGTGCCCCCTCCTCAGCACTGCGCCCCCAGCACCTCTCCCAGCGGCAGCCCCATTGCTGGCCTGCATTTGCTCAGACCCAGCCTCCCCACCCCCGCGCTGCAAGCTCCTGGCTCCATCTCCGCACACCACAGACAGGCATGACCTAGCACAGCGCCTTCCACCCCATGCCTCCCCTTCCCTCCTCTGCTGGGCTTGCTCTACTTGGCCTTGAAAGCTCAGCTCAGTCGTATCCTCCCGGGGGCCCTCCCTGACTTCCCAGATTTCCATCTCCCTGCTGCAACTTGCAGCGCTGGCTTTAGCCCTGATGACCCTGAATTGAGCTTGCTGGTTACATGGGGGCCTCCCCCATCCTCTGAGCTCCCCCATAAGTGACGCTGTCTGGGTCTGCCCATGCATCTCCCCTACAGTGCCCAGCATGGCATCAGGCTCAGAGTGGGCACCAATGATGTTGGCTGAACTGACTCTGGGCCCCAGGTCCCTGAGGCAGGCAGAGTGAGGGCTGATTTGTGGGTCCACGCTGAGAACAGAATGCAGGACCCCTGGTTGGATGCCCACCCCAGGACCAGAGTTACAGAGCTTCAGCCCTGCCTCGGGCTGACTGTGGGACGCTAAGCAAGGCGCGCTTCCTCTCTGAGCCTCAGTGTCCCTCTCTGTCCAAAGACAGGTCTGAAAGCTCTGTGCCAGAAAGCGGACAGTGAGCAGGGAGTGGAGCTGCCAGATTTTCAGCCTCCTGGAGGTGTCTTGGAAAATCCCCAGTGATCCTTGTCGCTCGAAACTCCCAGATAAGGAGATTGTGGGGCAATAAACCTGTGTGGAGTTTTGGTCAGGGCTTGATTTGGGGGATTAAACAGAAAGAAGCTCTGCTCTGTCTCCAGAAGGTCCAGGCAGGACAAGACCTTCTCAGGACAGCTGATGGCTGGACAGCTCTGTCGCCCTTGTGGTCCTGTGTGTGTCTGGTGTGTGCAAGCTGCAGCACCCTCCACAGACCGTCCTAACAGGTGGGCAGGGCAGGGCTGTTACTATTATATGGATAGAAACTCAGAAAGCGGGAGAGGGGACGAGATTTGCCCAAGGTGACGGAGCGAATTGGTGTCAGAATTAGGATTCTCGGCCAGGCTCAGTGGCTCACACCTGTAATCTCAGCACTTTGGGAGGCCAAGGTGGGCAGATACCTGAGGTCAGGAGTTCAAGATCAGCTTGGCTAACATGGTGAAGCCCCTTTGCTCTACTAAAAATACAAAAATTAGCCAGGCGTGGTGGTGCACACCTGTAATCCCAGCTACTTGGGAGGCTGAGGCAGGAGAATCACTTGAACCCCAGAGGCAGAGGTTGCAGTGAGCCAAGATCACGCCATTGCACTCCAGCCTGGGTGACAGAGCGAGACTCTGTTTCAAAAAAACAACAACAATAAAAGAATTAGGATTCTCCAGCCTGACCAGCACAACTGCTATGACAGTGATGGGCCCAGCCCCTTGGCTCCTACCACCTCAAGGAGGGGTTCAGAAGAAGCTGCTGGTGTGAGTGAAAGCTCAAGCTGGGAGTCAGGTTGGCCTCCCCCTGGGTACCCACAGGGCTGTAGGTGGGCACAGCAGAAGGGGAGAACCATCTAAGGTTGACAGTCCTATGGGTGTGTTGGTGGGGGAGGAAGGAAGAGAAGGAAAAAACACAGTGGGCAGGAAAGGAGACGAGGGGCGCTTCCATGGGCTGAGCTCCTACTTTGTGCCAGACACATGCAAGGTCTTTTACATACATTATTTCATTTAATCTTCTAGATTCTATGAGAAAAATATGAGGATACTCTAATGCTACGGCACAGAGACAAATAGGGGTCCAGGGCTTGAACTTGGTGCCTTCTTTTTCCCTGCCTTTGGCTACCTCCCCAAATGTCAGGATGGGACCTCATGGGATGGAGAGACTGCTCAGTCTGAGAGCTGGGGAGGCTCCTTGGAGGTGGTTCTGTTGGAGCTGGGCCAGGAAGGTGGGGTGACAGGAAGGGGCATTCTAAGAGCCCTGCTAAGAGCCACCCAGCGACTTACCTGAGCTGGCTTAGTTCTAGGCAGAGGGAAGGGGCATGAGCAAAGACAGATTATCTGGGAAAATGATGCTTTTTTATTTTCTTTTTGCTTCTCCCCTTCTCTTTTGAAAAGCACGATGCTTTGAGGGGAGAGCAGACAGACCAGTTTGTCTCAGAGAACAGGTCTGTGGAGATGAGAAGGAGGTCAAAGACTCAGGGGGAACGTAGGGACCTCAAAACCCAAGTCCAGCAGAGGACTTTATCCTGAGGACAGAGGGGACCCGGGGTGCATTTTAAGGGAAAGTGCAGGGCCAGAGTTGGGGGTGGAATATGCGAGGCCTGAGTCCCCAAGAGAGAAGGCTGCTGAGGCCTTGGCATGGCCTGGGAGAGGGGTAGAGAGCAGGTGGGGGCCGTGGGGGCAGGGCTGGGGAGGAGGCAGGGCAGGAGGAGGTGGCCCGCCCAGGGACGGTGGCTCTGGGCAGTGTCAGATGTGGGGAGGAGGCACTCCCTCAGGCCTAATCTCATCAGGAAGAAAGAGGCCTTGTCTTGGTTTGCTCTCTGACTCAATCTGTACTTCCTGTGGGCCTGCAGAGATGCATCTGTGCTGGACCAGAAGGATGGGCGGCGCGGGGGCGGGGAAGGCGGAAACCTGAGGACGGGACTCTTTGCATTTGCTGTTTGCATTTGCCGGCTGCAGACGGCTTCTGCCTCGCTGGTGATGGTCAAGCCCCAAAGGAGGGTCCCTGGATGGCTGCGCTCTGCTTCCCTGCCTGGGCTGTGCTGATGGAGAAAAAGCAAAGGGCTTCTTCCCCCACCCCTCCACCCCGTCCCAGGTCCCTCAGCACTAGGGCAGGGTGGGGCCTTCTGGCCTCCACCTAGGAGAACCCAGCCCGGAGAGATGCACAAATGCACTCTCTTGGATTCTTTTTGATCAGTAGGAATTGTCAGCTAGCCTTCTGCATGTGTGTGTCTGTTTCCCCATCATCATGGTTTGCACCAGGGGTTGGAACTCTCACGAGCCACTTGGCCCCTGGGAGGCTGCTTCATGCTTTCTGGTTTGGGATTTTTACTTAGATACCCAAAATGCTGGCCTCCCAGCATATACCTGTTGTGTGTTAAATCACATCTCAGTGTCTTGTACACATTGGGACCACAACAATCTTACTAGCCAACGTCTTTTGAACACTAAGTATGCACCAAGCATCACTCTGCATGCTGTGTGTATCACCTTATGTAAGTGTCCAGGAACCCCTGCGAGAGAGTGTGGACCTGTGACTGAACAGCCTGGCTTCAGATTCCAGCCCAGCCACTAACTAGCTATGTGATCTTAGGCAAGTTATATAACCTCTCTGTGCCCTGTTTCCTTATCTTAAAAATGGGGCTATGACAGTACTTGCATGAGGGTTGAGTTGGTATGTGGAACATACTTAACACCTAGTCAGTAATATAGGCGTTAGCTAGTATGTGTATTTGTAGTGCCTGATTTTCCTGGTGAGGAAATAGACACATTAAGTAACTTGCCCAGAGTGGCAGATAGGAAATGATAGGGTGGTGCTGTCCATCAGAACTTTGTTCAGAGATGGGCATGTTGTTTAATTACACTGTTCATTGGGTGTTGCTTGTATGGTTTCATCTGTGATTATGAAGCACATGTGGCTTTTGAGCTCTTGAAATGTTGCTAGTGTGACTAAGGAGCTGGATTTTACACTTTATTTAATTTTAACTTTAATTTAGAAGCCTTGTGGGACTAGAGGTTCTGTGTTGGACAGGGCCGTTTAGAGCCAAGATTAGACCCCTGACAGTCAAGCTCCGGGGCCTGGGCCACCTCTGTGCTCTCCTGCTTCTTTCTTGCTTAAATCTTTTACAATGGAAATTTAAAGACACATACAAAATTAAAGGAAAGATTCAAATGAATCCTCTTGTACCCTCACCCACTTTCAGTAGCCATCAGCAGCCTGTTTCATCTCTACGCACTCATTCCCTCCTCCTCTGTCCAACAACCGCAAGTTATTTTAAGATAAATCCCAGATGTTATATCATTTCATCTGTGAATATTAGGCATCCGTCTCTAAAAGATAAAGACTCTTGTCTAATATAAGCACAGTATTATTACCACACCTAATGACAACAATTCTTTAATACTGTCAGGTGCCCACTCAGCTTTCCCTGATTGCTTCCTGATGCCTTTTTGCAATTGGTTTGTGTGAATCCGGATCCACACAGGATCCACACATTGCACTTCTTGCTGTGCCTCTGATCTCTTAAGTCTCTTCTGAACTGTAATGACCCTTGTCCCTTTTTCCTTGTCATCTTAAAGAAACCGGATCTTTTAAAAAATATATGTATATTTCATTGTACTAAAATACACATAACATAGTATTTGCCATCTAAATCATTCTTAAGTGTACAGTTCAGTGGTATTAAGTACGCTCATACTGCCGTGCAGCCATCACCACCATCCATCTCTAGAACTCTTTATCTTGCAAAACTGAAACTCTATATCCATTAAACAATAACTTTTCATTCCTCCCTACCCTCAGCCCCTGGCAGCCACCATTCTACTTTCTGTCCCTGTGATTTTGCCTACTCAAAGTAACTCATATAAGTGGAATCATGCGCTGTCTTTTTGTAACTGGCTTGTTTCACTTAGCATAATGCCCTCAAAGTTCATCCATGTTACAGCATGTCTCAAGACTTTCTTCCTTTTTCTTTTCTTTCTTTTTTTTTTTTTTTTGAGACAGGATCTTGCTTTATCACCCAGACTGGAGTACAGTGGTATAATCATAGCTTACTGCAGCCTCTAACTCCTGAGCTCAAGTGATCCTCCCACCTTGACCTCCCGAGTAGCTGGGACTACAGGTGTGTGCCACCATGCCCAGCTAATTTTTTTTTTATTTCTAGCAGAGATGAGGTCTTGCTGTGTCACCCAGGCTGGTCTTGAACTCCAGAACCCAAGCGATCCACCTCATCCTCCCAAAGTAGAGTTTTCTTCCTTTTGAAGGTTGAATATTATTCCATGGTTTGAATATACCACATTTTACTGATCCGTTCATCTGTGAACGGACACTTGGGTTGATTCCACATTTAAGCTATTGGGAATAATGCTGCTATGAACATGAGTGTGCAAATATCTCTTCTAGACCCTGCTTTCATTTCTTTAAGGGTGTATATTCCAGAAGTGGAGTTGCTGAATCGTATGATCGTTCTATTTTTAAATTTTTGATGAACTGCCGTACTATCTTTCATAGCAACTAAACCCTTTTGCATTCCTACCAACAGTGCACTAAATCAGATTGTTTCAAATCAAATTGTTTGCTTGCTTGTTGTTGAGTTGTCAGAGTTCTTTATATATTCTCAACATTAACACCTTATCATATGGATTTGCAAATATTTCCTCTCATTCCATATGTTGCCTTTTCACTCTGTTGCTAGTATCCTTAAATACACACAAGTTTTTAATTTCCATGAATACAATTTGTCTATTTTTTTTCTTTTGTTGCCTGTTCCTGGTATCATAACCAAGGAATCATTGCCAAGCCCAATGTTGTGAAGATTTTGCTCTTCGTTTTCTTCTAAGGTTTTTTATAGATTTAGCTCTTCTATTTAGGTCTTTGTTGCATTTTGAGTTAATGTTAGAAACCAGAAAACTTAGCATGTAGGATGTCCTGTGTTTTTTTCCTGATTGTATCTGTGTGGCTGTTAACATGTTTCTCCATACTCTGTGTGCACAGTTACATACAAAGACTCGGTCAACAGTGGGTTTCATTTTTTGGCAAGGCCACTTTATAAGTAGTGTTTCCTGTTGCTTCATGTTAGCAGCACATAATGTCTGGTTATCTCTTTTAGTGATGCTAAGATTGGGCAGTGGGTTCAGGTATTGCCAACCCATCCATTACACCACTGAGTCTCAAACTTGAACCTGGGGGGCTGGTTAAAGCAGAGTGGTGAGCCCCACCCCCAGAATACCTGATTCAGTAGGTCTGGGGAAGGAGGCTTGAGAATTTGCAAATAAAAAGTTCCCTAGTGATATGGTTAATGGGGGACTGCACTTTGAGAACTACTGCATCACATCCATTATGTGTTTCTGTTATCCTTGCTCCTAACATGCGCTGGAATCACATGCACTGGAAGCTTAAGCAGTGCTGGCATCTGGGTCCCCCACCCAGTAATCTGATTTAAGTGATTCTAATGTGCAAAGTTGCAAGCCACTGCCCTGCATGTTAGCAGTCCCTCAAGGTCACACCATCTCATCTCTTTCTGCTCTTGGTCATTTCCCTGAGAGGTATGAACATGTGGAGAGCAGTGACTGAATTATTCATCTCTGACCCCTCCGAGCCCTGCTCCTGACACGGCTTGGCGCAGAATAAGCACCAAGTCAATATCAGATGAAGATTGGAGATTGAATGAAATCCTCTTCACCTCTCTCTATAAAGCTTCCTGGATTATTCTGCTTTGAAATTTCTATTCTATGGTTCGGTATGTTGGGCCCTTTAAGAAATGGATTCTAGAGCCTCCTCTCTCGCAGACAACTTGACAAAGTCAGGGCTACCAGGAATTTACAATAGAATTGTTACGTGTAAGCCAGGCACGGTGGCTCACGCCTGTCATCCCAGCACTTTGAGAGGCTGAGGTGTGAGGATCGCCTGAGGCCAGGTGTTCAAGACCAGCCTGGCAACAGAGTGAAACCCTGTCTTTACAAAAAAATTAGCCAAGCACGGTGGTACATGCTTGTTCTTAGCTATGCAGGAGGCTGAAGCCAGAGGATTGCGCAAGCCCAGGAGGTTGAGGCTGCAGAGAGCACTGATCACGCCTCTGCACTCCAGCCTGGGTAGCAAAGTGAGGCCCTATCTCAAAAAAAAAAGAATTGTTACACCTAGACCCTGGTGGTGGTGGTAGTGGTGGGAGAGTGACCAACTTATCCCTGTTTGCCTAAGTAAGACTTCCCCCAGTTTAGCGCTGTAAGTCCTGCCTCCCTGGAACCCCTCCACAATCCGAGGCAAACCAAGACAGTTAGTTGCCCTACTTCTGTGGAGAGCGGCAAGGACCCTTTTTGCTTTGAAGGAGGGAGGAAAAATTACCCTGTGGGGTGAGACTGTTAGGTCCTAGCACACTGGATCCCACTGTATCACTTCAGACCTTGTTGCTGGCCGGTGCAAGGCAAAAGTTAAGACACCTCGTGCCAAGAGGTGGTGGTTTAAACCAGGGTCTGGCCTTAGATTCACAGAGCCCAGTTGTGATAAAACCCTTACAGAGGAGAAGTAGCTGAGCCTTGTATTTTTTTCTTCCTGCCTGGTGAGAAAGGAAGATGCTGTGGGAAATGGTTACCCAGAGGCCTAGGTTGGCAGCAGGGTGGCCTTATCCTCCATGGGCTTTGATTTCAGAGCCAGATATCCCACTCGCAATGGGTGGATCAGAGACCCCATAAGGATTCTGGATGACTGAAAAGAGCTTTCCCAGCAAGTTTAGGGCCAAGGCCAGGATCAAGATAAACTGTGATGGATAATAGTGGGTCAGGGATTGGAGTCCAGGTGAGGGACCCACCCATGATGAGACGTGTATTGTGTGAATTCTCAGCCTTTGTAGAGCACCTTCACATAGAGCGTTCTTTATCCTGATTAACAGTAACCTCTTTTCGGTTTTTGAAATAACTGGGTAACTTGTGGTTCTAATCTTCCCTAACTGTGGCTGTGACATAAGTGTGGTGGTTCAGACCCTCTCACCAGGCACTTACAGGTGGCAGCTCACTGTGCCCACAAGTCAAATTTTAAGAGAGAGAACAGATAAAACTTCAAATATTATATGTGAAACCACAAATTTACGAAGGGGCACTGGTAGCCAGCAATGCCTACCCATCCTGTTCAAAGACCAAATCAGGTCATTTCATTCTTTCCTTAAAGCCACAAACAGTACAATTAATGAATAATCTATTATAATGGTTTGCACCACGCCCAGTTTGGGTTCAGTTTCAGCCACCCTGCAGCTAACCCTTGTCCTGCAATGAGTTTAGGGCTGGGTAAAGAAGAGGGGCCTTTGGAACAGGCAGGAAACTCTCTCTGTCTCTTTCTCTCTCTCTCTCTCTCTCTCTCTCTCTCTCTCACACACACACATACACACACACACACACACCCCGCATGTATGTCAAGAAAGGAGCATATTGCATAGCAGGAAGAGGGGTCTCTCAACTAGTCCTCAGACTACTTCCCACCTGCACTGCTCATCATAACATGACTTCAGTCTAGTCACTTCCCTTGCACCCCAGTTTTCCCATCATCAAATGGGGGAAAATAATCCCCACCTACCTTGCAGGAGAGTTGTGAGCCACTGTCAGGTGTTAAGAAATAAACTCAAGGCCGGGCACAATGGCTTACGCCTGTAATCTCAGCACTTAGGGAGGCCAAGGTAGGCGGATCACCTGAGGTCAGGAGTTTGTGACCAGCCTGGGCAACTTGGCAAAACCCTGTCTCTACTAAAAATACAAAAATTAGTGGGGCACAGTGGCATGCGCCTGTTATCCCAGCTACTCTGGAGGCTGAGGCAGGAGAATCGCTTGAACCCAGGAGGCAGAGGTTGCAGTGAGCTGAGATAGCACCACTGCACACTCCAGCCTGGGCAACAGAGCGAGACTCCGTCTCAAAGAAAAAAAAAGAAATAAACTCAGTGCGATGCAAAACCCAGAGATGACTACATCCTTTCTGGGAGTTGGGAATTCACAGGCCCCGGAGCCTAATCCCATGGCATCAGGCCCACCAAGCCTGCATGGGATCACAGCAGCAGAATGGATGCCACCTCCCGCCTTGTGCCCAGCAGGCTGTCCCAGAGTGCCACACCTGAGAATGCCTGTTGTGGCTTTGATGTGGGCCCAGCCAGATGGAATGGGGCAGGATAAGATGAGTGGCCTGGGATAGACCTGGCTCGAATCGGCTGTTCTGGCCCAGCCTGTAGGCGAAGGGCCCGCTACAGTACTCACTTGTGGGCAAGTGCCTGCTTGTAGGGAAAATGAACTCCTGTTCTCTGAATTACTGAGTCATTAAAGTCATGCATGCACGGATACACGCATGCGCTCATGCATGTGTATATACACAGCCTCAGTTAAACATCCAAAGGGATGCACACGTGCATGCACACCCACAAAACGACACAGGCGCTCATGAACTTCCTGATGAATGCAGTTCTTGTGCACACACAGTACGCACACAGGCCAGCACGCATGCACAAGCTTCACCCATGCATATACACATACACTTCCATGCCACATACAAAGGGAGAGGTAGCTGGCCTTGCTAGCGGCTGCCCCACCCCCTACTTGTGAAGTTTCCCTTCATGACAGCAGGTCTGGAAGAATCTTAGCAGTGCAAATAAGAGTTAGGGTGGGGAGAGGATTGGGGGACGGACAGAAGGGCACTGATGTTCACGCTCTTTTGCTGTCAGCTGGCTTCATCCGTGGGGAAGTGGGGAGCCTTTCCAGAGGGTTCTAGCTAGCTTCCTGGGCCTCATTTTCCTTCTCTGTAGAGTGGAAGTGATCATGATCATGACAGTTCCTCTTAGGGACAGAGGTGAGATCCAGGGCTGTGATGGGTCTGAAAGAGCTATTGTCATCATGGGTATTGTCTGTGAGGACCTGGAGCTGCAGGCTCAAAAGCTGCAGGCTTGAGACAGCTGAGTGCAGCCCCCAGGCCTGCTGTTCACTAGCTGTGTGACCCGGTTACTGGCCTGAACACCTACATCTGAACGGGGGAGCAAGGTAGCACCCACTTGCTCTATTCATGCATGGAAAGCATTTGGAATGGCGCCTGGCAGCTTGTAAGCACTCAAAAACCATGACTTCTTATTGCCACAGAGGTGACTGTGAGCTCCAGGGGAGGTGTTGCCCAGGCCTCTCACGGCCTCCTCACTCCTCCTGGATGGAGAGTGGCTCTCAGGAGTTGGGCCAGACCCCAGGTACCCCCTACAGGTGCACAGACAGGCTGTGGAGGGAGACAGCTCAGAGGGTCCGGAAGGGGCCAGGGCTGTTGTTAATGTAAGCTCATGTCGATTTCAGCGACTACCCCAGGCCCGCCACATGCACTCAGGCACCACATTTGGTTGATCCCACCTCCTTGGTATTTCAGTAACATCCTCTCCCCACCATCCCGTCCACTTCACTGCCCTACTCCAGCCCGGGTGACCATTGCCTCTTACCTGCTCTATCCTTTCCTCTGCTCAGGAATCAGAGGAAAACCTGAAAATTAAATCTGGTCCTCTATCTCCCCTGCTTTATTTATTAGAATTATTATTAATTATTTTTGAGACAGATTATCACTCTGTTCCCTAGGATGGAGTGCAGTGGTGCGATCTTGGCTCGCTGCAACCTCCGCATTCCCGGTTCAAGTGATTCTCCTGCCTCAGCCTCCAGAGTGGCTGGGACTACAGGCGCGCGCCACCACACCCGGCTAATTTTTGTATTTTCAGTAGAGACGGGGTTTCACCATGTTGGCCAGGCTGGTCTCGAACTCCTGACCTCAAGTGATCCCCCCACCTCAGCCTCCCAAAGTGCTGGGATTACAGGTGTGAGCCACCGTGCCCAGCTTCTCCCCTCCTTTAATTTCTCCAGTAGCTCCCCACTGCCCTCAGAGTCCGGGTATCTGAGATGATCTGGGTCCTGCCTCCTCCTCTGTGGCCACACCAAGCACAGGCAGCCACTTGCCATCTCCATGGGCCGGACTTGCATAGGCTGTATGAATCAGGATGGGTCGCTGTCCTCCATGACAAATAACCCCTTATCTCATGGTTCACTCTACAAGTGTATTTCTCTGTTGCACTGTATGTCAGTAGAAGAAAGTGCTCTGCTACACATGGTTCCTGAGGGACCAACTACCTTATAGATGCACCATCTGAAACATGCACCCTTCTCATCCCTTTGGCCAAGGACGAGAGTCCTAGAGGGTCACAGGCAGGTCTCATGTGCTTTGGCCTGGAAGTGACACACATCACTGCCTCCCATGATCCACTGGCTAACGGGTCATAGGAGGCAGTGATGTGTGCTATGGCTGCCTGACTGGAAGGGGCCTGGACATGAGGGGAGCAATGGGACGTCTGGTGAGCATCACCAGCTGCCACAGACAGGTGCACTCCCGCCACCCCCAGCAGTTGCTCAAGGTGAGGGAGGAGTGGGGGGGCCTGGAGCGGAGCCTGCTGATTTGCTCCTTGCTTTCCCACCCGAGCCCAGGCCCAAGGTGGCTCCTCCACTGCCACCAAGTTGCCAAGACCCTAGGGAGGTCATTTGTCCTTGTTGTTTCTTTCCAAGGGGACCCCCAGTACCCATTTCTCTCAAAACTCACTATAGAGAAAAGATGTGCTGCTCCTTAGCAACTTGTGGCTTTTATCTTATAGACACCAAATAAATCCCTTTCTGATTCTCTTTTCCTTGTTGAATTGGCCACTAGGAAGCTCAGAGCCAAATCTGAGGTCTACCTCCTCTGTGTGGTGGACCTGGCCGCACACCTAGCTTAACTCCTCCTGCGTTTCAGGTGATCTCTTTTTACCTGCATTTTCCTTGTGTCCCTATTTTTTCTCTTGTAGCTTTTTCATTTCCTTCTATCTTGTGTTCTATTTTTGTGAGTCTTCTTAAATCCTTTCTGGAATCACATGGGCATTAATTAGTCAGTCCATCCCTACATTCTGTGCAGCTTCCTGTAGCTCTGGCAAATGCAGCCAGGGTTTAGGGCAAAGCTCCCGAAAGGAGAGTTGGAATTTCTGAGCTTTATGGGATACACAAGCCCCTGCAAGACTGACGTGCTACCTGGTGCTGTCTAAAGGGCTTGCCTCAGGGGTCAGGCCCTTATCGCTATGACTTGCCTGAGGTCACACAGTGTAATCTCGTTCTGAGGAATTGAGCACAGAGAAGAGCCTCATGGGTCAGCCGTGTGGGCTGGGTGAGCATCTTCTTTATCTTGACCAGCGTAGGCCCAGCCAAACCTGCCTTCCCCTAAGTGGGGAAGGTGGGGGCCCAAGGGGGATAGACACTGTGCTGGACACTCCTGGAGCAGAGCCTTCTCTGAGGAAGCTCCAAGCCAGCAGAGAAAATGAGAACTGACCCTGAACCCCAAATCAGGGTAGACAGTGTCAAGGGCTAAAGGCAAGGGGAGAGGTGGCTGTCAGGGAACAGAGGAGAGCGAGATCTCTGCTACTTGGGATATCAAGGAGGACTCTCTGGAGGAAGTGGCTTGGGAGCTAGGGAAGGGGCGGATTTGGATTTGTGGAGATGGGAACAGGAGGTGGGGGCATGGGAATGGCAAGCCAAGCAGAAGGAGAGGGACGGGCAAAGAGCCAGAGGGCTGGAGATGCAAGAGCAGGTGCTGGGGAAGCTGGAAGGTGCCGTTTAGATGAGCTAGAAGAAAAGAATCTTGGAATATGGAATGAGACCCAGCCAGAGGCCTTGAATGCCAAGCCAAAGGATTTGGCCTTGATCCTGTAGGGCAGCAATGAATGGGCAGCATCAGAGGGTGATGTGAGGCCAGGGGCAGTGGCTCACGCCTTTAATCCCAACCTTTGAGAGGCAGCTACAGGAGAATTGCTTGAGATCAGGAGGTTGAGACCAGCCTGGGCAACATGGCAAGAAAAAAAATTTTTTTAATTAGCCAGGTATGGTGGCATGTACCTGTAGTCCTAGCTACTTGGAAGGCTGAGGCAGGAGGATCCTTGAGGTCAGGAGTTTGAGGCTGCAGCGAGCTATGATCACACCACTGCACTCCAGCCTGGGTGACAGAGCGAGATCCTTCCTCAAAAATAATAATAAATAAAGGGTGATATGAGGTGGGGGTGGGGTGGTGAGGGCTTGGTATTCAGAAGGGTCCGTCTGGCCAAGAGGAGGCCCCCTGGTATTATGGGTATGGGTTTGGCCATGAAAGAGGCCTAGACCCTCTCACAGGCCACTTGTGATCTGGCTCTCCTCGCCCCTCTGGCTTGTATTCTCTTCATTCACGTTACCCAATATACATGGTGTGTGTGTGTGTGTGTGTGTGTTTTCTTCTTTTTAATTTCTCTTTGATAATCTTACTAAACCACATGTGGTTCCCCCAAACTGTTCTATCTGCCTAAGACACCTTCCCCCAGCTCTCCCTCATCCTGCCTACATGACCAACTCCTACTCATCCTCCAAGTCACTGTTTAGTTGTCACTTCCTTTGAGAAGCCCTCCCTGACTGTCATGTGCGAATCTCTGTTATTACCCATAGTACAGTCGGTCCCAGTGGCCCAGACTCTCCTAGTAGCCTCACCCAGAGGACTCTTCACTCCTGTAAAGGCTGGGCTCAGGCCTACTGTTTCCAAACTCCCTGGTACCTGGCACAGGGCCTAGACACACAGTGATGCTCGGTAAATATTGAGTGAACAAATATAAGGCTGGACGAGGAGCAAAGCAAGCTGAAGATGCCCAGATGATACTAGTGGCTGTGATTGCCACTGTTGATCAAGTATCTGCCATGCACCAAGGGGTCTAAATACATCATCTAACTTAATCCTTATGACAAGGCTATGAGGCAGATACTTTTTTCAATCTCTCTCTCTTTTATTTTTTTTTTAGAGACAGGGTCTCACTGTGTTGCCCAGGCTACATTTGAACTCCTGGGCTCAATCAGTCCTCCTGCCTTGGCCTCCCAAAATGCTGGGATTACAGGCATGAGCTGCCATGCCTAGCTGAGATGGATACTTGTGTTACCTCATTTTACAGATGGAGAAACTGAGACTCCAGAGGTTAAGTCACTTGCCATCCAGCTGATAAGAGACAGAGCTGGGATTGAAACCCAGGCAGGCTGGCTCCAGACAGCACATTGGTACCTACTTAGTCGGGCTGAGGGTACTGGGCTGTCTGGTGAAACAGCAGATGGGGGTCAATGTGGTGGATTCTCTCTATGGTTCTTCTGCCTTGTTATATTCACACTCAAAGGGATGAAAAGCCTTAACACATCAGCAAGCAGGTCAGTAATAGCTATGCTTCATCCCATCTTATCTTACCAGGTCTACAGAAGTAACTGTAATTAGAGTCTTTTCACTTGTTTGCCCTTCACAGTGCATCACCGTCCACGTTGAACTGACCACTGTCCTGCTCGTACCCTCTTATGTACTCTTAAGATGAGAGCTCTGTGTGTCCCATGATCAGGGCAGTGAGCCTCATACCCTTTGTCCCATTTGTCTCCTGCAGATGTCATGGCACCCCCAGTACCGGAGCTCCAAGTTCCGTCATGTCTTTGGCAAACCAGCCAGCAAGGAGAACTGCTACGACTCCGTGCCTATCACCCGCAGCGTTCACGACAACCACTTCTGTGCCGTGAACCCCCACTTCATTGCAGTTGTGACTGAGTGTGCTGGTGGAGGGGCCTTCCTCGTCATCCCCCTGCACCAGGTAAGGACACCCCCAGGCCCAAACAGCTCTCTGGAGGCAGGGCAGGACAGAGGGAAAGTGGAAAGAGCCTGGGTTTCTAGAAAGTCCTAGCCCTGCCCATTACTAGCTGTGTGACCTTGAGTAAGTCATTTCATCTCTTTGAGCCTTGGTTTCCTCACTGGGAAAAATACACCTGTCCTGAATTTTAGCCTCTAGCAGTTGGCTTAGCTACTCGTAGCACCTCTCCTCTTCTCTGCAATATAATTCTGCGAATTTATTTCCTCCTGAATAAAATATAATTTTTTAATGCTTTACTGGGATTACAGGAAATTGGGAAAGTCTCCAAAGCCACCTTCCCCACCAAAAAAAGGGAAACAAACATTGAGTCAAAACTAGCTAGGAGAGGCAAACAGTAAGCAAGCAGGAAGAACAGGCTTTTGTCCTTAGTGCAAGTGTTGCTAGCGTAGGTTGGACCATATAAAATTGTGGATATTCAACTGGTTTGACCCCAAAAAAGCAACATTTTCACATAGATCAACCTAATAGTAGTTCCATTCAGGATGCCAACCCTGAGTCTCTACCTTAAGGCAGAACACCTGAAGGGGCTAGAGGGATCCCAGGTTAGTAGTGCCACTGGCTCACAGCAGAAACTGACATGAAGCCTCTCCAGAGGAAAGCATCCACAATGTGGACAGGATCCCCACAGATTAAACATAGAGAAATATGAATCCACAAAGATCACAAAGCATGTACACCACCATGAGTGAGAGTCAGCTGAAACACAAATAGCAGACTTAGACCCCCAGAGGACTTCAGAAGTTAAAAGATCACGCAGATTAGAATCTCATAGACCAGGTTTCCTGAACACAATGCAATTGAGTTAGAAATCAATAACAAAAGATAAATCTTAAATTCCCATTCATTTGGAAACTTAAAAACTATTTCTAAATAATTTATAGGCCATAAACAAAATCAAAATGGAAATTTAAAAATCCTTGGAATTGATAAAATGAAATATATCACAAAACTTACGAGATGTAGGGAAAGTGGGGCTTCAAGGGAAATCTATAGCACTAATGCTTATATTAGAAAAGAAGGAAGCCTAAAAATTAATGATTAAACATTCCATCTAAGAAGTTAGAGCCGGGTACAGTGGCTCACACCTGTAATCCCAGCACTTTGGAAGGCCAAGGCCAGAGGATTACTTAAGCCCAAGAGTTTGAGACCAGCCTGGGCAACATGGTGAAACCCCATCTGTACAAAAAATACAAAAATTAACTGGGCATGAGGGCATTTGCCTGTGGTCCTAGCTACTTAGGAGGCTGAGGTCAGATTACCTGAGCCCAGGGAAGTTGTGAGCCATGCTTTCAACACTGTACTCCAGCCTGGGCAACAGAGTGAGACCCTGTCTCAAAAAAAAAAAAAAAAAAATTCAAACAAAGAGCAGCAGAATAAACCCAAAGAAAGTTTGAGGAAGGAGATAATAAAAAGCAAAAATCAATGAAAGAGAATATAAGGATACATTAGAGAAGATAAAAGGGCCAAAAGTTTGTTTTTAGAAAAGGGTGATAGACAAGCCCCTGCAGAGACTGGCCAACAATAAAAGAGAAAGGGTACAAAAAGCATCAGGAATGAGAAAAACAATATCACAGCAGAGCTTTGAAATCTAATAAGAACTAATACAAGCAACTGTATGCCAATAAATTTGAGAACATTAACAATATGGGCAAACTCCTTAAAAAATATAACTTGTCAATACTGATTTATGTAGAAATAGAAAGCCTGAATAGTTCTTTAAAGGAATAGTCCTTTATGTACTTTAAAAATTGAACAATAGGCCAGGCGTGGTGGCTCATGCCTTTAATCCCAGCACATTGGGAGGCTGAGGTGGGTGGATCATGAGGTCAGGAGTTCGAGACCAGCCTAACCAACATGGTGAAACCCCGTCTCTACTAAAAATACAAAAATTAGCCAGGCACAGTGGCGGGCACCTGTAATCCCAGCTACTCGGGAGGCTGAGGCAGGAGAATTGCTTGAACGCAGGAGGCAGAGGTTGCAGTGAGCTGAGATCATGCCACTGCACTCTAGCCTGGGTGACAGAGCCAGACTCCATCTCAAAAAAAAAAAAAAAAAAAAAATTGAGCAATAAAAATTTCCCTTAAAGAAAATAGCAAAAGGAAAGGCGAGCTATAGAGTGGAAAAGGATATAATAAACATGACAAAAGACTCATTTCTTGAATGTATAAAATGTACCGAAAAATCCACAAAACACTGAACCAGCACTTCATAGCAAAGAAAATCCAAATGGCTAATAAGCATTTGAAAAACTACTCAACCTCATTAGTAAACCAGTGCAATACCACTACACATCAGATTGTCAAAAATGTCTAACACTAGTAAATGACAGCAAGTATACAGAGTTGTGTAAACGATCAGACACTTCTGATGGGAGTGTAAACTGGCACACCTGTTTTGGAAAGAAGAAGAAAATGCATATACCTGTGACCCAGAAATACCAACCATAGGTTTATACCACGCAGTGTTCACCACTGGTGCTCTGTCCACCAGAACAGAAGCATAAGAATGTGCATAGTAGCATTGTTTGTATTATTGCAAAACTGGGAAAACCTGTATGTCCAAGAACTTCATAAATAAATTATGGCATATCCATACAAGTGAATGTACAAAACCACAAAAAGGAATAAAGTGTAGTTATATACAACAACATGGTTGAGTCAGAAAGATAAAGTTGAGTGAAATAAGCCAAACAAATTTTAAACTATATCATTTAATTAACCTTAAATTAAAAACAGCCTACACTAAACCATACTTTAACAGTTGCATAATTACATAGTGAAATTTTAAAGAAAAACAAAGAAGAGACTACCATGAAAAACAGAATAGCAGTTACCCCTGGGGGATGGAGAGGGTTACGACTGGAAAGCATCTCGTGGGAGACCTCCTATGTGCTAGTAATGGTTCATGTCTTGGCTTGGGAGGGTAGCAATTATGGGTAATTTATTTTCCAGTAATTTGTTAAGCTGATAATTTTCATTCTTTACACTTTTTGCATGTTTCTTATATTTTACATACATATATTTAAAATATATATATATATGTATTTGTGTATATATATATATATATATATATACACACAAACACATAAGAAAGACTCTAGGCCTAGATGGTTTTACAGGTAAATCCTACAAAACTTTCAAGGAACAGATTCTAATCTTTTACAAACATTTCCACAAATAAAAAAGATGAACAACTTCTTTCCTCATTCTGTGAGGCCACTGTAACCTTGATACCAAAACCAGACAAGGAGGACAGAATAAGAAAGAAAAAAATATTGATCAATCTCACTCATGAAGATGGATGCCAAATTACTAGCAAATTACAGTAAATAAAAGATACATTCTGACCAAGTTGGATTTATTCCAGAAACTAAAGGTGATTTAATATTAGTAAATCTATAAAGATAAATCATCATATTAGCAAGTGAAAGAGGAAAAACCATATGATCATGTCCATAGATGGAGAAAAAGTGTTTGATAAAGCCCAATACCCAGCCATGAGAAAAACTCAGCAGCAACAAAAAGAAAATTAGCAAATGAAGGATAAGGGAGAATTTCACTGACCTATAGTAAACAGCATTTTAAAACCTTTTTATCTTGAAGCAATTTCAAGCCTACAGAAGATTTGCAAATAAAACTGAACTAATTCCTGATTAACCTTCACCTGGTTTACCGGTTTTAACATTTTGCCTCTCGGGGTGTGTGTGTGAGTGTGTGTGTGTGTGTGTGTGTGTGTGTGTGTGTGTGTGTGTGTTTGGAAACAGAGAAGTTACAGACATATAGCCTGGGCAGTATAGCAAGACCCCATCTCTTAAAAAATTGCTTTTTAGTTAGCTGGGCACAGTGGTACACACCTGTAGTCCCAGCTATACGAGAGGCTGAAGCAGGAGAATTGCTTGAGGCCACGAATTTGAGGTTGCAGTAGCTATGAAAGCACCACTGCACTCCAGCCTGGGTGACAGAATAAGACCCCATCTCTTAAAAAAAAAAAAAAAAAGTTATCAGCCGGATGCGCTGGCTTACGCCTGTAATCCCAGCACCTTGGCAGGCCCAGACGGGCAGATCACTTGAAGTCAGGAGTTCGACATCAGCCTGGCCAACATGGTGAAACTCCGTCTCTACTAAAAACACAAAAAATTAGCCAGGTGTGGTAGCGGGTGCCTGTAATCCCAGCTACTCAGGAGTCTGAGGCAGGAGAATCACTTGAACCCGGGAGGCAGGGGTTGCAATGAGCTGAGATCGTGCCACTGCACTCCAGCCTGGGTGACAGAGCAAAACTCCGTCTCAAAATAACAAAAAAAGAGAAAAAGTTATAGAGATGACCCTTTACCCCCAAATACTGTACTTCGGTCTGTATCTTCTAAGAACGAGAATATTCTCTTATATAACCACATCCTAGAAATTTAACATTGATTCAATGCTAATTATAATATACAACCCAAATTCAAATTACATCAGTTGTCCCAATGATGACCTTTATAATAGCTTTTTTTTCTGATCTAGAATCCAATTCAGGACCACACATTAGTTGTCATCTCTTAGTCTTCATCACTTCATGATATTAACATTTTTCAGGAGTAAAGGTCAGTTGTTCAGTAGAATGTTTCTAAATTTGGACTTACCAAATTGTTTCCTCATTATTAGAATCATTTATGTATTTTTGGCAAGAATATTGCATGAGTGGTGGTATATCATTTTTAGGTCATTACATCATGGGACACATGATGTCAGTTTGTCACATTATTCATGCTATTAACTTGACTTATTTGTTAAATAGTGCAAATATCATTCATAAAGGGGAAATGTTAGAAGCATCTACAGGCCAGGCAGGGTGGCTCACACCTATGGGCCCAGCACTTTGAGAGGCCAAGATGGGTGGATCTCTTGAGCCCAGGAGTTCGAGACCAGCAACATAGAGAAACCCCATCTCTACAAAAAATGCAAAAATTAACCAGGCATAGTGGAGCATGCCTGTAGTCCCAGCTACTCAGAAGGCTGAGGCAGGAGGCTGCCTTGAGCCCAGGAGTTCAAGGCTGCTATGAGCCATGAACGTGCCACTGCACTCCAGCCTAGGTGACAAAGCGACACCCTGTCTCAAAATAAATAAAATAAAATAAAATCAGGAATAAGATAAAAGGTCATGGCCTGCACAGTAAGACTAGAAAAATGTAACTTGTCAATACCAATTCAAGTAGAAACAGAAAGCCTGAATAGTCCTCTAACTACTAAACATTGAGCAATAAAAATGTCCCTTAAAGAAAAAACAAAAAAAAAAAACAGCAAAAGAGGCCGGGTGCAGTGGCTCATGCCTGTAATCTCAGCACTTTGGGAGGCCAAGGCAGGTGGATCATCTGAGGTCAGGAGTTTGAGAGCAGCCTGGCCAACATGGTGAAACCCCATCTCTACTAAAAATACAAAAATTAGCCGGGCATGGTGGCGTGCGCCTGTGGTCCCAGCTACATGGGAGGCTGAGGCAGGAGAATGGCGTGAACCCGGGAGGCAGAGCTTGCAGTGAGTCGAGATCGCGCCACTGTACTCCAGCCTGGGCGACAGAGCGAAACTCCGTCTCAAAAAAAAAAAAAAAAAAAATTAGCCGGGCATGGTGGTGCATGCCTGTAACCCCAGAGGCAGGAGAATTGCTTGGACCCAGGAGGCGGAGGTTGCAGTGAGCCGAGATGGCGCCATTGCACTCCAGCCTGGGTGACAGAGCAAAATTCCGTCTCAAAAAAAGAAAAATAGCGAAAGAAAAGTTGAAAGTGTTAGGATGGAAAAGGAAGAAATAAAACTGCTATTATTTACATATATAATTGTCTACATAGAACCCAAAAGAACATGTAGTCAAATTATTAGAAAAATAAGAGTATTTGGAAGGTAGTGGATACAAGAATCAGAACACAAAAATGAATTGCATTTGTACATACTGGGAATATTTAGATGATATAATTAAACATTTGCAATAGAATAAAAGAAGATTGGATACCTAGGAATAAACAAGCAACGCTTAGAAGGAAAATGATAGAACATTGTTAAAAGACTAATAAAGATGACCTCAATAGATGGAAATATTTACTATATTCATGGATAGACACTTTTACTTCCTCCCTCAAATTCCCACAGCATTCTCTTTTTTTAGGACATATTCCAAGCCTATTTTTTCCTTAGAACCATGCCCTGACTACTTTGAATTAGAGTCCTTTGTGCTTTTCTGCTAGTACCTCCTAATGTAGTTGGGTGCATAATTGTTGCTCATAAATTTTCATTAACTCCACAAATTATCTCATGGTTGTTCATCCAAATAAATAGGGAGGGTATAAATGGCAAAGGGAAGGGCACAAGCAAAGGCATGGAGGTGCAACTGTATATAGAATGTTCAGGAAGCAATGCAGAGAGCAGCTGTCTGGCCAGAACAAATAATCTGTGAAGGAGAAGAAGGGAAGTACCCTAAGGAAGTGGACTGGGGCTAGCTGAGCAGAGCCTTGAATGCTGGGGTGAGGCATGTGACCTGTATCCTAAAGAGAGAGAGAATGTTTCGAGCTAGGGAGGGACAAGTGCAAAATGGAATTTGTAGAAAGACATAAAAAGGTCAAAATGGGAAGGACCCCCTATAGATGGCCGATTTTGCTACTTGTTTCTTCCAAGCTTTGCATGCTTGTAAAAGATTACGTCCACCAAACAAACTGCATTCTTAATTAATTCAATAATTAGTTGGTTTTCCTTTTATTACTCAAACTCTCAGAACTGTCACTGTTTCTAACTTGCATGAACTGCTCGGTGTAAATGGGTACTAACAACTGATATAAAGAAAATAAATTGGTGTGATGTGATAGAGTGTGACGTGGGTTGGGAGAGGGGACCTAGTTTAGGCAGGATGGTCTGGGAAGGCATTCCTGGGAAGGTGATCTTTGAGCCGAGAGCCACTTGAGGCTCTAAAGGGAGAGTATGCTGGCAGAACAAATAGAACATGCAAACATTCCCCTGAGTGGGAATGGGTTTGGTGTGTCTGTGCATTGTCAGCACGTGGACACATGTGCTGTGACCACAGAGTGGTGGGAGGAGGTGAGGTCAGATTGGGGAGTAGGGCCTGGACTGTGAAGGCGTCGTAAGCCCAGGCAGGAGTCTGGGCTCTATCCTGAGTCCAGTGGGAAGCCACTGGAGGGTTGAAACTCACTTGTCAGCCAGGCGCTGTGGCTAACACCTGCAATCTCAGCACTTTGGGAAGCCGAGGCAGGCAGATCACGAGGTCAGGAGTTTGAGACCAGCCTGGCCAACATGGTGAAACCCTGTCTCTACTAAAAATATGAAAAATTAGTTGGGCGTGGTGGCAGCCACCTGTAACCCCAACTATTCGGGAGGCTGAGGCAGGAGAACTGCTTGAACCCAGGAGGTGGAGGTTGCAGTGAGTCAAGATCGCGCCACTGCACTCCATCCAGCCCAGGCAACAGTGCGAGACTCTCTCAAAAAAAAAAAAGAAAGAGAAAAAGAAACTCACTTGTCCTACACAGCCTGATCCTAGATAAAATGTGTGATTCTCTTTGGGCTTTTTGAAATATAATAAATAGCTCAAAGATACATGTTAATTGCTATCATCACAGACTCCTAGGAATCCAGATCCAACAGGAGCTGTGATACAGTTTGGATGCTTGTCCCCTCCAATTTTCATGTGGAAATGTGATCCCCAGTGTTGGAGGTGGGGCCTCATGGGAGGTGTTTGGGTCATGGGGGCAGCTCATGAATGGCTTGATGCCCTCCCTGTGATAATGAGTTCACCTGAGATCTGATTGTTGAAAACAGTCTGGGACACCTCCCCGTGGCCTGCGGCACACCTGATCCCCCCTTCACTGTCTGCATGATTGGAAGCTCCCCTGCAGTCCTTACCAGAAGCAGATGCTGGTGCCAGGCTTCTTTTGCCTCCTGCAGAACTGTGAGCCAAACAAACGTCTTTTCTTTGTAAATACTCAGCCTCACATATTCCTATATAGCAATGCAAAATGGACTAACACACCCAGGAGCCACTAATCAGAGCTTCTCATACTTTAGTGTTACAACACAGATTCTGATGTAGTGGGTCTGAAGTGGGGCCAGGGAATCTGCATCTCCAACAAGCTCCCAGAGATGCCTGATAAAATACAGGATGCCCAGTTTAATTTGACTTTCAGATAAACAACAAATCGTTATTTTTGCTTTTTTCTTTTTAATTAAAAGTTTTATTTTGACATCATAGTAGATTCACAAGCAGTTATAAGAAATAGTACAGTGCAATTCTGTGTATCCTTTACCCTGTTTCTTCCAGTGGTAACATCTTATAAGACTACAGTACGCAGTACAGCATACTGTTGTGATACTGGCATCACTACAGTCAAGATACAGAACATTCCATCATCACAAAGATCTGTTCCCCTCCACCCCCATTCCCTCCTTAACCCCAGATGACAATTAACCTGCTCTCCATTTCTATACTTTTCCCGTTTTAGGAATGTTACATAAATGGAATCATACAATATGTAACCTTTTCAGCTTGGCTTTTTTTACTCACTGTATTTCTCTCGCAGTTCAGCTGGGTTGTTGCATATATTGAGTATTGATCATTTTTTTTTGTGTTTTGTGTGTGTGTGTTTTGTTTTTTTTGTTTGTTTGTTTTGTTTTGTTTTGTTTGAGACAAGCTCTGGCTCTTTCACCCAGGCTGGAATGCAGTGGCATGATCATATCTCACTGCAGCCCTGAAGCCTCCACTTCCTGGGCTCAAGCAATCCTCTTACGGCAGCCTCCTGAATAGCTGGGACTACAGGTGCATGCCATCACACCCAGCTAATTTTTGTATATTTTTTATGTAGAGGTGAGGTTTTGCTATGTTGCTCAGGTTGGTCTTGAACCCCTGGGCTTAAGTGATCCACCCACCCCAAACTTCTGGAATTACAGGTATGAGCCACTGCACCTGGCCTCAATTATGTGTTCCTTCTTTCTTTTTTTAAATTTTTATTTATTTATTTATCTTATTTTTTTTTTTTTTTTGAGATGGAGTCTCGCTCTGTCGCCCAGGCTGGAGTGCAATGGCATGATATTGGCTCACTGAAGCCTCCGCCTCCTGGGTTCAAGCAACTCTCCTGCCTCAGCCTCCCAAGTAACTGGGACTACAGGCACATGCCACCACACCTGGCTAGTTTTTATATTTTCAGTAGAGATGGGGTTTTGCTATGTTGGCCAGGCTGGTCTCAAACTCCTGACCTCAGTTAATCTGCCTGCCTCAGCCTCCCAAAGAGCTGGGATTACAGACATGAACCACCTTGCCTGGCCTCTTTTTTTTTTTTTCTTTTTTTTTTTTAATAGAGGCGAGGTCTCATGATGTTGCCCAGGCTGGTCTCAAACTCCTGAGCTCAAGTGATCCTCTTGCCTCAGCCTCCCAAAGTGCCAGGATTACAGGCATGAGCCACCACTCCTGCCTCTGTGTCCTTTCTTACTGCTGAATAGTATTCTATGGTATGGATGCACTACAGTTTATATAACCATTCACTCACTGAAAGCCAGTGGGTTGTTTCGAGTTTGGGGCTATTACAGATTAAGCTGTTACAAACATTTGTGTACATATTTTTGGGTGAATATAAGTAAGTCTCCATTTCTCTGGCATAAAGGGCCAGGAGTGCGGTTGCTGAGTCATAAGGTAGTTGCATGTTTAGCCTTATAAGAAACTGTCAATTTATTTTTACAAATTTTTAGTGTAAGTAAAATATTGCATGGAACCTCCTTATGCTAAAATATTTGTTGTTTATCTGCAATTTGAATTTTACTGGGCATCCTGTGTTTTACTTGCTAAATCTGACTTCCCTCCTCCCAGGTGATACCGATCTACTTGTTTGCCAATTGCATTTTCAATAGCAAGGCTCTAATCTAGCTCAGGTTCATAATTATGGAAAAATCTCAAGCACAAAAGTAGATAAAAATAATATGATGAACTTTCCTCAGCCCAGATTCTAGAATTATCAAGTTTGCCCTCTTGCTTCACTCATCCCTTTTACCTGAAGTATTTTAAAGCAAATCCTAGACATTTTGTCATTTCAACCTCTGCCCCCCGCCCCCTACCACATGTCAGTATGCAATTCTAAAACCAGGGACATTTTCTGACATAACCATAATGCCAGGATCACATTAATAATAACTCTTGTGTCACCTGATTCCTAATTCATGTTAATGGTCCCTGGTTGCCTCATACATGCCACTTTGCTTGTGGTTTGTTTGCCTCAAAGTCCAGATGGGGTCCACATCTTGCATTTGATTGATGTTTCTTTTTAATTTTTTCTTATTGTAAGTAGAGATGGGGTCTCACTATGTTGCCCAGGCTGGTCTCAAACTCTTGGGCTCAAGGGATCCTCCTGCCTCAGCCCCCCAAAGTGCTGGGATAACAGGCATGAGCCACCACACCTGGCCAATATGTTTCTTATTAAGTAACCACATCCATTACTACTGTGCAGGCACCATGCCATAGCACTTACCTGCACAGACAGGCCTTAGAGGCTCTTTATTATGTTGTAACCAGGGTTGGAGTGATTATGCTGATACCTTATGAACATTAGCCCCATTTATAGGGGATCTTGCCCCATTGCACAGATGAGGTCGCTGAGGCTCAGGAAGATGACTTCCCAGAGGACCCTGTGCAGTGTGTCCAGGACCCGAATGGGAGCCCAGACCTGGGTGTGGCCTCGGGCCTTGCTCTCACTTCACTGACATGAGGCCCCTGAGGTTTGGCACTGATTTGCATCAGCTCCTACTTGTTACCAGGATTACGTTCTGTGCCAGGCACAGAGATGTATCAGTAGGTGAGTGATGTGAGAACAAGGAAGGGACAAGCTAGCTAATGATTTAATTAAGTACATAAATTGCATTGAGATTGGGAGATGTCTGGCCTTGCCACAGCGTGCAGGAAGTCCTTCTCAGAGGGGCCGGGCTGCCCCAGGCAGTTTCAGATGTCCCAAAGGGAGTGACACTGCAGGCAGGGTCCCTCCCTCTTGCCTGTTGTGACCCAGGGTGAGCTGGTTAGAGGGAGGCTGGAGGTGAGTTTCGCAACCTGCAGCCTTGGCAACCAGGGACTGTACTCAGGGAACAAAGGCAGCAGGGGAAGGCTGGGGAGAGGCCAGGACTGTGCTCCTGAGCCTGGGGCCCAGCCTGCCACAGAGTCACTCCAGGGAGGGGGTGAAGAAGGTGGACTTTGCTGTGAGGTGTGGAGGGTGGGGAGGAATGAAAGCAAGGGCAGGCAGAGCCCCTGGGGGTCAGCCCTGGAACCCTGCTGGGAGTAGACAGGCCAGAGGGGACATGGGCCTGAGGGCCTAATGGACACCGTGGCTTTCAGGTGCCTGGGAGAGTGGAGAGGAGCATTTCACTGCCATGATCTTAAAGGCCAGCCTTAGCCAGCATGGTGGCTCACACCTGTAATCCTGGCACTTTGGGAGGCCAAGGCAGGAGATCACTTGAGGTCAGGCATTCGAGACTAGCCTGGCCAACATACCAAAACCCTGTCTCTACCAAAAATAAAAAATCAGCTGGGCGTGGTGGCACATGCCTGTAGTCCCAGCTACTTGGGAGGCTGAGGCAGGAGAATCACTTGAACCCGGGAGACAGAGGTTGCAGTAAACCAAGATCGCACCATTGCACTCCAGCCTGGGCGACAGAGCAATACTCTGTCTCAAAAAACAAACAAACAAAAAACCAAGGCCAACCTGACCCTTCTCAAGCCGATGTGTGTCCACATCACTCCGCTGCTCAGATGCCTCCCAGGACTCCTTGCTGCCTGCAGATAATGTTCTGCCTCTCTCATCAAAGCCCTCTATGCCCTGTCCTAGCCAACTGTTTGGAACCTCAGAGCCTTCCATAGCACATATCTGTTCCCTCCATACAAATTGCCCTTCTAGAAAGGCAGGGTATGGGCTAGTCTGGCATTTTGGAAGTCTCTTCCAGTTCTAGGGGTTTGTTCATCCTGGACAAGAACATACTCAAGGAATGGGTCCTCTGTCTTCAAATATCCAAGGAGTTGGCCTGCCACAGAGGGCCCAGATGTGTCTATAGGTCCCCAAAGGACAACGCCAGGACCAGAAGTGGGAAGTGAGGGGAAGCAGGGGCCACCTGGAGGCCACACTGGGCTCGAAGTAGGAAACATTTTCTCCAAATTCACAAGGTCTGAAAGTAGGATGAATTACCTCAGGAGGAAGTGAGCTCCCTGTCCCCACAGGTGACCAAGTGGGGACACCAGCTGTGGTTCACCGCTTTCATCCCTGGATGTTGGATTCTACAGTAAACCCTCCAAAGGCTCATCTGGGTGCTCATAAGGAGAGGGGTGATGAAGGATGCTCTGCCCTAAATCATGGGAATGTGCTGTGCATTTTAGAAGTGCTGCCATTCCTAGGGTCAAGAAATGCTCCTCTCATCTCTCCCTCTGCTCAATCCCAGCCTCCTCTGGGCGGTCCCTGGTCCCACATCTCACCCTCTCCAGTCAGGACATGGCTCACCTATCCATTTGTCCACCTCTCTATTGGGTCCAGCCTTGCACCCTGGGCAGGGTGAGTAGACTCCATGCCCTCAGCCTCACCCCTCTTGCTCAGCCTCCTCTCTTGCCCTGTCCTCCAGCCTACCGTGCCCGCTGGCTGCTTCAGCCTCCTCCCACTTAAAACCTACCTGTGGCCCTGCCTTTCTGACTTGAGATTCCTCCCCTCCACCTGACCTGGTCAAAGTCTCCCTCTCTTTAAGGCCCAATTTAAAGTCCTCCTCCTCCAGGGAGCCTTCTCTGGTTCATCCCCCAGGTCTCTTGTGTGCCTCTCCTCTGAGCTCAAAGTATATTCCTTCCTGCCTCCTCCATAAGGTAGATGGCTCCTATAGCCCAGGATTGTGAGTACCGCATCTCTGCCATCACCTGCATGCAGTCTGGCACATAGTATGTCCTCAGTGAAAGGCCTGTATGATGATGATGATAACCATGGTGTGAGGACAGCAAGAGCAGACCAGGCCATAAGAGGAAACATTCCCAATCCTGGCTCTGCTGTCCTTAGTACATGATTGTCAACCTCTCTGAGCCCCAGCCTCTGCACTTGTAAATGGGGAATTCTTGTACTATGTCCTGGGGTGGTTGGGAGGTAAATCAAATATTATGAGCAACGCAGCTGGCACTGGGCCTGGCACATATATGACTCCCTAGATTATGGTTTCTAAAGAAAAGCTTTTTTTTTTTTTTTCTTCGAAACAGGATCTCACTCTGTTGCCCAGGCTGGAGTGTAGTGGCACGATCATGGCTCACTGTAGGCTGGACCTCCCAGGCTCAAGTGATCCTCCTGCCTCAGCCTCCCGAGTAGCTGGGACCACAGGTGTGCATCCCTACACCGGACTAATTTTTGTAGAGATGGGGCCTGTTGCCCAGGCTGCTCTTGAACTCCTGGCCTTAAGTAATCTGCCTTGGACTTCCAAAGTGCTGGAATTACAGACATGAGCCACTGTGCCCAGCCAAGAAGCATTTAAAAACCTATTTCTTATAGACATGGGAACATGTCTGATCCAGCTGCCTGCATTCACCAGTAGGAAAACAATCAAGCCACTAGTTCATTCATGGAGGGCATGCCTGGAGCCACTGCTATGTAGGAAAGGATGGGAGTCCCCATGCAGAACAGTTTGTCCCCTGCCCAGTGAGTATATCCCCTGGCCCCTGAAACATACTGAGCAACAATAAAACTGGGTAATGGTAATGAGCTGTGATGAGCTTCTCCTGGCTAATGTACTGAGTACTTAGCAAGTACTGGGCACCGTCTTCAGTGCTTTACTGTGAATGAGGTGCTACTACTGTTGTCATTTCGTAGATAAGGAAACTGAGGCATAGAGAACTGAGGTCACTTGCCCAAGGCTGCACCATGGTAAGGGATGTGGCAGGGATTCCACCCCTGGAAGCCAGAGTCTGCCTGCCCACTTCACCTCTGCTACACTGTGTGTCCTCCCTCTGCCCGTCCTGCCACCCCTGCCTCCCAGTCTCCACCCTGAGCTGTTGGGATGCTCATTTGAGGCCATGACTATGATGCTGTTGTAGGAACAGCTGCTCCCTTGACTGCTGAGGGTCGTGACAGTGGCCTCACAACCTCTCCCTTTCTGGCAATGGAGGTCAGCCGTAGAGAGTCCCCAGTCTGGTCCCCCACCCGCCTGACTCCTCCTGGGTCCTTCTGTCCTGTCTTCCCCCTCTGCCCCAGGGCAGCCCCTTGGAGACTTGGAGGTGATGCCTCTCCAGGCAGGGCGGCCCAAGCCAGGGTTCTGTGGGGTCTGCGAGGGGAGCAGGCGTGTCTCCCCTGATTTAGAGCTTGTACACCACATCCATCAGAAGCCTGTTTCTGGCTGAGTGCTGGCCTAATGGGCAGAAGGTGGAAATGGCCTCCTGATGATAAATGTCCCTGACAGGCTTTTAGCAGCTCAGTCAATAGCCCACCAGGCTGGCTAATGTCCGCTCCTGCCTGTGGTCCTCAGCGTAAAACCTTTTAGAAGCAGAGCAATCTGCCAGCCCAGGGCAGGGCAGCGCAGGGCAGCGCAGGGCAGCGCAGGGCAGGGCAGGGCAGGGGAGGTGGGGCGGAGGGGAGGGCTGGGGTGGGCTGGGGTGTGAGTGGGCAGCCTTCCCTCATCAGCTGAGAAGGAAGAGAAGGCTGAGAAGGAAGAGAAGCTGTCTAGGGCTAGGCCCTTCTGAGCCACGCCCAACCCTAAGGCGCCTTCCCTGAGTCTGTGGGAGGTGGGAGGTGTGTGTCTGAATGGGGCTCCTGGGCACTTTGCCTCCCGTCAGCCCGAGGGCAGCCTGACTATTGGCTCATCTGGCTTTTCTTGGGAAACCGCACTGCGGAAATTGGGGCATGGCCCTGGGCCAGAGTCTAAAGGCCCGGAGAGCAATCAGTGCCCCACAGCCAAAGACACAGTACTGCTCATGGCCTTTGACCCAGGAAATGATCCCAGAGAAAGGAAAGGCTGTGTGCAGGAAGGAGGCCAGGGCAGGGACTCACAGAGCACTCACTGGTGCTCCCTCAGAGCACAGGAAGTACAGCACCAGGCTCACACTTGGGGAACCAGAGGCCTGGGCTCAAGCCCAGCTCTGCCCCTCACCTTTGCAGTGACCCTGGGCAAGTCCCTACTCCATGCTGGATTTCCCCAAGTCTGAGGTCCGAGAGAGGGTGCTGGGATCCATTCGCAATGCCTGCCACAGGTGCAGGATAAGACAGTGCAGCTGTGGGCTCCATTCCTGGTCTCTAGAGCCCTTCAAGAGCTACAGTTTTATAACAGAAGTTTTTGGCTAATCCTGGATGGACCCATTTTTTCAGAAAATCTGTATTTTTGTTTTTAAACACCTTTTTTAATTGCAAAACTTACATAGCTAAAAATAAGACAAAGATATTAAAGCCAGCCATTTATTCCACCATCTAGATATAACCATGATTAACATTTTGGCTCATTCCTTTTAGTTTTTTTTTCTCAGTTTTGACATACAAATATACATACATATACATATAATAGTAGCTTCTGTTACTGAGCACTTACAGTAACACCTGACTGTTGGGCTCTTCATGCATAGTATCTCATTTAACTCTCAACAATCCTGCAAGGAAGAAATGATTATTCATTCACATTTTACAGATGAGGAAAAAGAGGCTTGCAAAATGTGAGCAGGTGCACAACATGCTCAGGTTTTAATTTTCGAAAACTCACCTTGAGGACAGTGTACAGGATGTCCTGGAGGCTAAGCAAGAGGTCATTGGCAGCTGGGCGCAGTGGCTCAAGCCTATAATCCCAGCACTTTGGAAGGCCAAGGCGGGCAGATCACCTGAGGTCAGGAGTTCAAGACCAGCCTGGCCAACATGGCAAAACCCCGTCCCTACTAAAAAATACAAAAACTAGCTGGGTGTGGTGGCACGCACCTGTAATCCCAGCTACTCAGGAGGCCGAGGCAGGGAGAATTGCTTGAACCTGGGAGGTGGAGGTTGCAGTGATCCGGGATCGCACCGCTGCACCCCAGCCTGAGCAACAAGACGAGACTCCATGTCCAAAAAAAAAAAAAAAAAAAGGGTCAGTGGTCCCATGGAGACCTGGGCCAGGGCCTGTGGGTGCAGTGTCCTTCTAAGACCCTAGCTCCAGGTACCGCCCTGCCAGGACAGGGCAGGAAGCATGCACCTCTCTCCCCTGTCCTGCTGTAGAAGAGGCAGAGACCACTTGAAAGAGAGAAAATTTTCACCTCCCTCCATGCACATCACTAACAAAGGACACAAGTCCACATTCTTTCCTTTTTTTTTGGTTCTCTTTCTCCCTCTGAATGTGTAGGTGTGTGTATAATTTTTTGTTTTCAGAACTCTTTGAGGGTAAGTTACATCCATCTTAGCCCTTCATCCCTAAATACTGTTTCCTAAAAATACAAATATTCTCTTACATTACTGCAGTACATTATCAACTTATATAAGTTTAATGTTGTGATAATACTGTAATCTACCGTTCTTGTTTAGATTTGTTAAATAATGTCCTTTATAGCGTTGTCCCCTCCAGTAGGGGATCCAGTCTAGGCGGAGGTGTCTGATCACTTTTTCCTGAGGGGAGAGACCTGGATTAGCCAGAGTATTTCCAGAGGGAGGCACAGGACCACCTCCTCTGTTTGCAGAGCTACTAAAATGCATGCATAGGCCAGGCACGGTGGCCCATGCCTGTAATCCCTAACTTTAGGAGGGCAAGTTGGGAAGATTGTTTGAGCCCAGGAGTTCAAGACCAGCCTGGGCAACATAGCAAGACCCCATCTCTACAAATAATTTTAAAAATTAGCTGAGCTTGGTGACACATGCCTGTAGTTCTTAGCCTGGAACTTGGGAGGGTGAGGTGGGAAGATTGTCTTACCCCGAGTTCGAGGCTACAGTGAATCATGATTGCACCACTGCACTCCAGCCTGGACAACAGAGTGAGACCCTGTCTCTTAAAAAAAAAAAAAACAAGTACAGTGGTCTCTACACAGATGGGGAGGTGATGGAAGAAGAGAAGGTTGGGTGTTCCCTGAGTCCACCCTGTTCTTGAAAGTCCCTCTAGAAAAAATCCCAAGACTATTGATTCTGCAAAGTCAAGGACTATGTTGAGTGTTCACCTTGCAATCAGCCCCTCCAACAGCACCTGTCCCCTGGGCACCTCGGGAATATTTGTGGGATGGATGGATGTTGGCCAGTTTTCTTCTCAGCTGTCTCTTTCACTTAGATATAAAAATGGCTGGGGGAGCATTCTGGTGGGTGGCTCAAGAACCTGGAACTAGATGGTGGATGTGGGAGGTCGAGGGCCTGGGTCCTGGTCCCTGTTCTGCCAGGGCCATGCAATGTGATGTGCAAAATGAGCAGATTGGTCACTGCCAGTCCAAGGTTCTGTGACTGAACTGGTGTGGTTTCTCTATGACCCCAAGAAATCCAAGTCTCTTGGTGGAGTTGGAAATAGCTTCAGGGCTGTGTGGCATGGGCTGGGGGACCTGTATGTCCCTCCCAGCACCTATACAGGAATTCTCATTAGGAAAGGGGAAAATGAGGGAAATGCCCTTTCTATGTAATTGAGGTAGAATTCACATACCAGAAAATTCACCGTGTTTTGTTTTTTGTTTGAGACAGGGTCCCATTCTGTTGCCCAGGCTGGAGTGCAGTGGCACAATCATAGCTGACTGCAGCCTCGACCTCCCAGGCTCAAGCAATCCTCCCACCTCAGCCTCCCAAGTAGCTGGAACTACAGGTGTGCGACACCATGCCTGGCTATTTATTTATTTATTTATTTTTGAGACGGAGTCTCACTCTATTGCCCAGGCTGGAACGCAGTGGCACAATCTCAGCTCACCGCAACCTCCACCTCCTGGGTTCGAGTGATTCTCCTGCCTCAGTCTCCCAAGTAGCTTGGATTACAGGCATGTGCCACCACGCCCGGCTAATTTTGTATTTTTAGTAGAGGTGGGGTTTCACCATATTGACCAGGCTGGTCTCAAACTCCTGACATCAGGTGATCCACCCATCTTGGCCTCCCAAAGTGCTGGGATTACAGCCGTGAGCCACCATGCCAGGCCTAATTTTTTGATTTTTTGTAGAGACGGGGTTTTGTCCTGTTGCCATGTTGGAAAATTCACCGTTTTAAGGTGTATAGTTCAGTGGATCTTAGTATATTCACAAGGTTGTGAATATACTGTGAATAAACTGTCACCACCACCTAATTTCAAAATCATTTTGTCACTCCAAAAAGACACCCCTCACTCATTAGCAGTCACCCCCTATTGCCCCTTCTCCCAAGCCTGAGGCAACCAGAATCTTGCCTTCTGTCTCCATGAATGTATCGTTCTGCATTTTTCTTTCTTTTTTTTTTTTTTTTTGAGACAGAATCTTGCTCTGTCGCCAGGCTGTAGTGCAGTGGCATGATCTTGGCTCACTGCAACCTCTGCCTCCTGGGTTCAAGCGATTCTACTGCCTCAGCCTCCCGAGTAGCTGGGACTACAGGCGTGCACCACCACGCCGGGCTAATTTTTTGTATTTTAGTAGAGACAGGGTTTCACCATGTTGGCCAGGATGGTCTCGATCTCCTGACCTCGTGATCCACCCGCCTCGGCCCCCCAAAGTGCTGGGATTACAGTCGTGAGCCACCGCGCCCAGCCCGTTCTGCATTTTTCATATGCATTACTTAGGGTTCCAGATACCAGGTACCAGGGGGATGCATTAATGTGCTCAGGCAATGAAACCACATCTGGAACATCATCTAAGTGGAATCACACAACGTGTGGCCTTTTGTGCCTGGCCTCTTCTTCTAGTGTTTTCTAGGTTAATCCATGCTGTAGCAGGGACCAGTACTTCATTCCTCTTTTTAGGGACAGTAGTATTCTGCTGCATGAATATACTGCATTTTGTATGTCCATTCTTCACTTGATGGGCATTTGGGTTGTTTCCACTTTCTGATATTATGAAGAATATTGTTGTGAACATTGGTGAACCAGTTTCTTTTTTTTTTTTTTTGAGACATAGTTTCACTCTTGTCACCCAGGCTGGAGTGCAATGGCGCAATCAGAGCTCACTGCAACCTCCACCTCCCAGGTTCAAGTGTTCTACCTCAGCCTCCTGAGTAGCTGGGATTACAGGTGCATGCTACCACGCCCGGCTAATTTTTGTATTTTTAGTAGAGACAGGGTTTCACCATGTTGGCCAGGCTGGTCTCGAACTCCTGACCTCAGGTGATCCACCCACCTTGGCCTCCCAAAGTGCTGGGATTAGGTGAAACAGTTTCTTGCGGACTTATCTTTTCATTTTCCATGGAGATAGACCTAGGAGTGGAATTGCTGGGTCATGTGGGAACCGGTTAACCTTTTGAGGAACTGCCAGACTATTTTCCAAAAGAGCTGCACCATTTTACATGCCTACCAGCAGTGTGTGAGGGGAAATGCCCTTTTATTGAACATCTGCCATGTGCTAGGCACTGTGCCATACCTCCTCTCCCATGATCCTCACACCAACCTGTGAAATACCTGTGATTGCTCCCTTTTACTGAGGAGGACACCAGAGCTCAGAGAAGTGAAGTAACTCCCCCAGGATCCCACAGGGAATAAGAAGTAAGGCCTAGATTCACACCCAGCTCTGTCCCTTATGTTTTCCTGTTGACTGGTTGCTAACTGACTATGTGACTGTCCAGATGCTAATGTGGAATCCACCTCCTCCCCAACCCTCCTGGGCACTGTCTTGCAGACAGGGAAGTTGGACCCCCACTACCCAAAAGTCTGCGGGCACAGAGGCAACGTTTTGGATGTCAAGTGGAACCCTTTTGATGATTTTGAGATCGCCTCCTGTTCTGAAGATGCCACAGTGAGTGTCAGCCCCTGAGGGGCTTCCCCTTCCTGAAGAGTGGGATTGGGGTGGTTGGGGTGGAATGGTACCTGTTCTTGGCTCTGGTGCCCCTGACTCCATCGCGGAGGTGAGGTCACTGTGTGGGGAGGTGTTAAGTTAAGGTAGAGGAGGAGACATTCTTGGTGCTGTAGGACTAGCGGCACCACCCCTCCTCTCTATGGGCCTTAGTTCCCCCCCATATAAAATGGGCATAATAGTTCCACCCAGCTAATAAAGCCCAGTGAAAATGTATATTCCGATGGGAAAACCCATCCTTCGGGGAGCTATAAAAGGCTATGAGGGGCATTTTTATGGTGATCAGAAAAGATGTTCCACTTAATCCCATAGTGAGGAAGCGAGCTATAAAAGGCTGTGAGGGCCTTGGATGAATGTGGACACTAAAACCATTCCAGCAGCTTCAGTCTCACTCACTTTTTTGAGCCCGTGTTCTGTACCAGGGTTATCATCCCTGCCCCAACAATGTTCAGTGTTACTTATTTACAATTCATTTTGTACCCACTTCTAAAATATGGTGGTATGGCTTAAGACAAGAACCACAGATATGCCAGGTTCAGTGGCTCACACCTGTAATCTCAGCACTTTGGGAGACTGAGGTGGGAGAATCACTTGAGGCCAGGAGTTGGAGACCAACCTAGGCAACATAGTGAGACCCTGTCTCTATTAAAAAATTAAAAAACACAGATATGATCAGATGATTAAAATAAAGATAAAAGTCATTGTCACCATTTATTGTGAGCCCACTGTATTCCTAACTGTCATCACACTTATCATTTCACAGTCTCCCCAGCAACCCCACAAGGTAGGATATTTTTCTGATGGAGAAGCTGAGGATCAGAGAGGTACAGCAATTTGCCTAATGTTACACAGCCTGTGGGAGGCAGAGCAAGACTTCAGACTGAGGCCTGTCTGATTCCACAGCCCATTCTCTTTCCAATGTGCTGTGACACATCTTTAAAGAGAAGCAGCCACAGATGGAGAAACTGAGGAAATACTAGAAATGATGGCTAAGAAGGGTTGCAGCAGCTAAGCTGCTAGTTTAGCTAAGAGCTACCTGGCAGCCAAGGCAAAATGGGCAACAGAATGTATTGCAAAACCTTCAGTTAGATCAAAAGAAGCAGACCAGTTCATCAGGAAAGGAAGGCAGAAAATTCAAAGAGGATTTGTGTCGGTTTCCATATAGCAGATGCTGAGGAACGTAAAGGACAGTGTCTGCCGAGGTGATTTCACCAAAGGGACAATCAGGTCCTGTGAGAATTGGCCCTGTCCCCAGGGAGTATAGGGCCTCTGGCAGGATATCAAATATCTGAAACTGTCCCCACTTTTGTGATACCTGCCTTTTCAGGACTGCTTTGAAGGCTCCCATCAAGATCTTTATAAATCTCTTGCTAGCCTCATTGCCTGCCACTGCCCCTTCCCCGATGCCCCAGGGCAGGACGTGACTGTTGGGGGACTGAAGAAGGAAGGGGCTTTCCTCCCCGAAGCTATGCCCACAGTGAATTTATGGGGTGTTCCTCCCTGCCTTCAGGGCCTGGAGGGCACGGTTGCTCCTCTAGCAGTGGGGAGTCTTCTCTGCTTCAGTGTTGCGGGTGGTACCTTCATCTTCCAAACATACCTCTTCAGAGTGTGTCTTCCTCCCGGGGTTCTATGCAGTGACAGCCCTCATCAGACCGAAGTATCTGGAGCCTGTCACTACTCTCGTGGGGTTGGCTTCCTGGTTTTAAATCCAAGATGACCAGGAAATAAATATTTGCTGAATTGAAAGCAAAGTCGTCTACCTGAAAAACCTGTATACCTCTAAGGGAAACAGTGCATACAATCAACTAGGGGCCAGAGAACCTTGCAGGACCAATAAGGAAGATCAAGTCAGCAGCATCCCAGGATCACCTTGTACTCCATTTGTATACCTCTGTGACAGGGAGCTTACTCTCTGCCATGGCAGCCCCCTCCATCTTCAGACAACACTACTCTGGAAGGAAGTCCCAGCACCTCTTCTCAGGCCCTCACCATGAAATACAGGCCCATGACCCCATCCAGCCCAGCCTCCTGACCTTCAGAGTTTCCTCTTGCAGGCCATCCAGGGTGCACCTCCAAAGCAAGAAGTTTGTCCCTGCCCTGCTGCAGAGACCTCGCCGGCTCCCTAGTGCCTGAGGATGCAGCCTAAACCCTTCATCCTGGCATTTGAGGCTCTACCCTGGGTCTTTGGGACAAGAAGAACACTGTACTTTGGGGATATCCTAGCTTAGGAGACAGGCCTGAAACCCAGCCACCTGCCCACCACCTCAGGCCAGCAGGATGACAAAGATCTCTCAAGGGCAGATTTGGAGGCCTAGACTCATCCCTGGTCAGCGCTGGCCCCTGCTCAGGCTGGAGGAGCTTGGGGAAGCCCCTGTCTGTCTGAGGACCCTCAGCTGCCCCTCCACTGCCCCTCAATGCCCATAGCCACTGAGTGGGAGGTGGCTATGGAGAGAGCTCCCTTGGTCCTTCTGCTGGTCACTGCCAGATCTGTGGCTTAGGCTGGTGACGGTGCCAAGGTGCCCTGGCTAATGCTGCCTTGGGCCCTGTCTCCCCTGCCAGATTAAGATCTGGAGCATCCCCAAGCAGCTGCTGACCAGGAACCTCACGGCCTACAGGAAGGAACTCGTGGGCCACGCGCGCAGAGTAGGCCTGGTGGAGTGGCACCCCACGGCCGCCAACATCCTCTTCAGTGCTGGCTATGACTACAAGGTGAGTCTGGGTATTCTTTCTCTGGGGCAGCCCCAACAAGTTCCCACAAACTGGAATACAATGGAAATGTATTCTGTCACAGTTCTGGAGACCAGAAATCGAAAATCAAGGTGTTGGGAGAGCCAGCTCCCTCCAGATGCCCTAGGGAAGAATCCTTCCATGCCTCTCCCAGCTTCTGGTGGCTCCAGGCATCCTTGGCTATAGCTGCGTCACTCCAGGCTCTGTTTCTGTCTTCACACGGCCTTCTCTCTGTGTACCTGTCTTCCTTATAGGAAGAGGAGAGCAACTATCATTGGATTTAGGGCCCACCTAATCCATTATGATCTCATCTTAACTAATTTCAGCAGCGAAGACCCCATTTCCAAATAAGGTCACATTCTGAGGTTCCAGGTGGACATGAGTTTTGGGGGGAACCCTGTTCAACTCATTATAGCCTGCCCGGAGTGGATGGGATGGCACTGCCCAGAAAATCGTTCCCCCGACCCTGCTCCACTGACAATCAAGCATGCAGGCAGTAGGCCCTGTAGATTGGGACCCACAGTACAGGAGACCTCAATTCTATTCCGACTCAGTCTCTGACCTGCACTATAGCCTGGGAAAGTGCCTTGACTTCTCTAGGCCTCAGTTTCCCAATCTGTACACAAATGGAATTGGTGGCACCATAGCTATGGCCTTTCAGTTCTTTCCTTTTGACACTATAGGGGTTTACAGAGACACCTCGGGACCCTCTGTGTTGGATAAAAGGGAGGTGGGGGGCCGGACATGGTGGCTCACACCTGTAATCCCAACAGTTTGAGAGGCTGAGGTGGGAGGATCACTTGAGCCCAAGGATTTGAGACCAGCCAACATAGTGAGACCCCATCTCTACAAAAAAATAGAAAAAATTAGCCAGGTGTGGGAAAATGCGTCAAGTAGTCCCAGCTACTCAGGAGGCTGAGGTGGGAGGATCACTTGAGCCCAGGAGGTTGATGCTACAGTGAGCCATGATCATGCCACTGTACTGCAGCCTGGGCAATCCTGTCTCAAAAATAAATAACTAAAATTGTTGTGGGGAGCACTGAGGGAACCTGGGCCCTCGCTCTTCCGATCCACAGCGCTTTCTCATCTGTTTGTATGGGGTGTCTGCAGAGCTGCTGCGTGTATTTGTGCTGGTTGTTCTATACCCAACTTCAGGGGGCACTAGTCACGTCCTAGTCTATAGGAATGGATTGCCCTGGACCTCTGCATGCACAGCCTGTGCAGCTAAACATACAGCCCTGTTGATCTGTGGGAGGTGCAAACTGCTGCTAATAACTGAAACCGCCTGGATTAGCTGGTTCCCTGGGGTCCTCCCAGCATGGATGTTTTGTTGCTCAGAGGCAGGTGGCGTTTTCCTTTCACCACTAGACAGCCTGGCCCTGGGATTCCCCCTCCTGCCACAAGCAGCTTCAGCCTGCACATCATCCTCCCACTGAGGCTTCTTGGCCAGGCTGCCAGCTGCGCCACCCTCCCAGGGATACTGTGTTTCACTGCATCCTGGCCAGCATGTAACTATGAGGCCCAGGGGCAAGGTGGCCCCTGTGCTCAGAGCTGGCTCTCTGCCATGCAGGTGATGATCTGGAACCTGGATACAAAGGAGTCTGTCATCACAAGCCCCATGAGTACGATTAGCTGTCACCAAGATGTGATCCTCTCCATGTCCTTCAACACCAACGGCAGCCTGTTGGCCACCACCTGCAAAGACCGCAAGATTCGGGTTATTGACCCCCGAGCAGGGACCGTCCTCCAGGTCAGTTCTGGGCCAGGGGCTGGCTCAGGCTCAGAGGAGCAAGGAGCAGAGTGGGGACAGAGAGAGGCTTCAGAGAACAGGACAGTGATGCTGTCAGCGTCTGGGCTGCGCCTTCACAGGCAGCATCCCTGTCTGTCCTCTCGGGATTGCTGGAAGGTGGGATATGTCCTTTCCATTTTGCAGATGAGAAAACTGAGGCCCGTGAGAGATGAAATGACTCACCCCCATGGAGAGCTGGGATCTGAACCTGGTCTGACTCCAAAGCTTGTTGGCGTGCCTCAGCTCTGGCCAGGGGGTCAGGAGAGCCGACGATACCACTGTTTAGCCACTGTGCAGCCTTGGGCAAGCGCTTCCTGCTCTGAGCCTCTGTTTTCTCATTTGCAACAATGGGCTGTTAGTCCTTCCTCTCCAAGGATTAGATAAGACAGGCCAGGTGACAGTGCCCGCCCCTGTAGGGATGCCCAATACTCTTTCAGCAAGAACAGGGCGCTGGGCAGAAGTTTGTTTCTGTTCTTGCTCAGAAAAATAACTCTTAACAAAGATAGTGGGGAGAGACTCCATGTGGATGAGAGGGATCCAGGTGGTGCCCCTGGGAAGAATCTCCAGGCAGAGCTGGGGTGAGAAAGGGAGGCCTCCCAGGTGGAGCGGTGGCATAAGCAAAGCAGGGAGGCCAGAAACCCCAGCTGCCCCCGATCCTCTACTGTCTCTCCAATACCGACCGCACGTGTCCCTCCAGGAGGCCAGCTACAAAGGGCACCGGGCCAGCAAAGTGCTGTTTCTGGGGAACCTGAAGAAGCTGATGTCCACAGGCACATCCCGATGGAACAACCGGCAGGTGGCCTTGTGGGACCAGGTGAGGGCTGCACCCCACCCCTCACCATCACCCCTCAGCTGAGAGCCAGTGTCATTCATTCATGCATGCATTCATTTAGACACCCATTTATGACACACACATTTAGCGTAGACTGCCAGGTGCTGGGGATCCGGGGATGAATAGCAGGGAGATGCTGACAGCCCCGGGCGAGCCCAGACCCTGTGTATCTTGCCACCCAAGGAGGGAGATGGGTCAGGACCCAGGGGAGTCCGTTGGCTAGAGGAGGGGAGGTAGCTGAGTCTGGGACCAGGACTAGGAGGAAGGGAGAAGGAGAGGGCCATCTGGGCTGAGGGTGCACCTGGAGCAAATGAGGTACTAACGGGTATGGGGAGAAGGAGCTTTCATTGGGACAGCTGAGGGTGGAGCAGGGTAGGGTGAGGGCCAAGCTGGCGGTAGTATTTTGAGGGAGCATTTGACAGAGTTTCAAAGACTGGACAAATCACATTTTCTCTCTGAGTCTCCTTCTTCATCTATTAAAATAAATTTTAAAAAACAGGTAGGGGAAGATTGGAATGAGATCGGGTGTGTCAAAAGTGATTTGTTATGGCCAGGTATGGTGGTACACGCGTGTAATCCCAGCACTTCAGAAGGCCATGGCGGGAGGATCACTTGAGGCCACGAATTCGAGACCAGCCTGAGCTACACAGCAGGACCCCCATCTCTGCAAAAAATCAGCGGGGTGCAGTGGTGCATATCTATAATCCCAGCTATTTGGGAGACTGAGGCGAGAGGATCGCTTGAGCCCAAGAGTTTGAGACTGCAGTGAGCTATGATCGCACCACTGCACTCCAGCCTGGGTGACAGTTAGACCTTGTCTCAAAAAAAAAAAAAAAGTGATTTGTTAAGGGCAGAAAGCTGACAAAATAGGTGGCAGCAGCATTTTAGTGCCTTTAAGATGTCATCTCCACTAGAGAGTAGCCCACACATTGGAACTCAAGAACCAGGGACATCTTCCCCCCGCACACACATATAAAAAAATCACACTTTTTCTCTGACACACACACTCTCGCCCAGAGCACCATGGCAGCAATTCTTATCTCCGGGAGCACCACTGAGGGCCCCCAGGAGTGACCCAGGCCTTCCCTGCCTCCCCTTCCCCTGCAGGATAACCTCTCTGTGCCTCTGATGGAGGAGGACCTGGACGGCTCCTCGGGCGTGCTGTTTCCCTTCTATGACGCGGACACCAGCATGCTCTACGTGGTGGGGAAGGTCGGCTTGGCACGGGAGGGAGGTGACCTCCTGGACCCCTGAGACAGCGGCAGACAGCAGCCTGGGGCCATTGGGAACACAGGGCAGGGATGGGCAGGCCTCGCTGGCCACTCTTTCCCTGTGAGAAGGAACCCCTCCCACCCTCCTGGCTCCCTAGGAACACCTGGAGCCAGGGCTCTGGCTGGACACCTTGACCTTGTCTCTTCCCAACTCCAGGCCCAGATGTGGGGGGACCATTGGTGTTTCTCAGCAGGGGCACCTGCTAAACTGGGGGCAGAACAGGTCTCCACTGGGTAGGACTATCCCATGTCTGGCAGCCCTGGCCCCTGCCCACCAGTGCCAAGAACAGCATCTCTCCCCCTCCATCCAAGTCATTATGACAACCAGAAATGTTCCCCATGGTAAGACCTTCTGGATGACCTCTGAGGCCACCCCAGTTCTGACTTTTGCTGCTGCTCTCAGATAGGAGCGGGATTTGGACTTGTCTTCCCAGAGCTTCTGTCTTAGAGGAAAAAGGGTGGGCTTTGGGTCATGGTGGGGGAGGATTGAATATTAAAATAAGGGCCCAGGCCCAGCACAGTGGCTCATGCCTATAATTCCAGCACTTTGGGAGGCCAAGGTGGGAGAATCACTTGAGCCCAGGAGTTCAAGGCCAGCCTGGGCAGCATAGTGAGACCCCATGTCTACGAAAATGAAAAAATAAAAAATTAGCCAGGCGTGGTGGCACACACCTGTGGTCCCACCTACTCGGGAGGCTGAGGCGGGAAGATGGCTTGAGACCAGGAGGTTGCAATGAGCTGTGATTGCACTACTGCTCTCCAGCCTGGGCAATAAAGTGAGACCCTGTCTCAAAAAAATAAGATAAAATCTAAAATAAAATGAATATCCCCTCATCACCCTCCTGCCTTGATGACAGGGCCCCCAGTTTCCTGGTGTTCCCTTGAGTGAGATGGGTTTGCCGATCATCAAAAAAAGCCAGGTCTTTGCTGCATGGCTGGGTTGCTGATGAGCTGATGAGCTCCAGCTCTGAATCTCACCCTCCTCTTCCTTCTCCTCCTCCTCAGGGAGATGGCAACATCCGCTACTACGAGGTGAGCGCCGACAAGCCTCACCTGAGCTACCTGACTGAGTACCGCTCCTATAACCCACAGAAGGGGATCGGTAAGTGAGGGACACTGAAGTTCATGCCTGTAATCCCAGCACTTCGGGAGGCCGAGGTGGGAGAATCAGGGTCAGGGCTTCAGTGCGGGGTCTGGGGAGACAGGGATGAGTCAGATGGGAGGAGAGACAGCATAGCAACACTCTGACTTGGTGGGGGCTGTACTTGACGTGTGCAACAGCACAAAGGAGGAAGTCAGGGAAGGCTTCTCAGAGGAGGCAACATTGGAGGAACTGAAAGAGGAAGCAGAGCCCAGCAGGGGAGAGAGGGATGTGTTCTAGGTCAAGGTTAAGCAGTTACCACAAGAGCAGAGATGGAAAGGGCTGACCTAGAAGAGCCTCTAGGAAGCAGTCCTCAGTTCCTTTCTAAGTGTGCTTGAGGATTAAAAACACAGCTATATTTCTGTAATCTACAAGAAACCCACTTTAAACATAAAGACATGGCTAGATTAAAAGTAAGGGACTGGAGAAAGATGCACCCTGCTAACCCTACTCAAAAGGAATCTGGAGCGGTTTGATTAAGAGCATTTGGGTCACAGGAGCTGTGGGGATGGAGATGGGGAACCTTAAGCAGAGCAAACTGCCTATAAAAGTTCAGCTAATCCAGCACTTTGGGAGGCCAAAGCTGGAGGATCACTTGAGCCTAGGAATTCGAGCCTAGCCTGGGCAACAAAGTGAGACTCCTGTCTCTACAAATAAATAAAAAAATTGAGGTGCATACCTGTGGTCCCAGCTACTTGGGACGCTAAGGCAGGAGGATCGCTTGAGCCCAGGAGTGTGAGACTGCGGTGAGCTATGATTGTGCCACTGCACTCCAGCCTGGGCAACAGAGTGAGACCTTGTGTCAAAAAGAAAAAAATTCAGCTAAAATAATTTAAATCTTTGAAGGTGAAGAGTCTGATTAATTCAACTCCATTTCCCAACATAGGGCCCAGCCCAGTGTCGGTATTTGTCCCTGAGCTGTTTTCTGGGAGGAGACTGGTCTCTGTTCAGGTCCAGGTGTGCAGCCTGGCTTTGGCCCTAACACTGTGGCCCCAGCCTAGCCAGAACCTCTTGGCCCTCCCTGTCTGCCTTCAGGTGTCATGCCAAAGAGAGGACTCGACGTGTCCTCCTGCGAGATCTTCCGCTTCTACAAGCTGATCACAACCAAAAGCCTCATCGAGCCCATCTCCATGATTGTGCCCCGGCGGGTAAGGGCAGTCGGGACCGCATGGGAGGCAGGTGGGGAACCTGTCCTGGAGAAGACAGACCCAGGGCTGTCGGGCACCAGAGCCTGGAGCCCACGTTCATGGGGCAGCCACAGAGCGGCCTTTCTCACAGCCAGTGTGACATCAGTGGGCGTCAGGAGTCCTGGGTCTCGGTCCACCTCTGTTCTTGAGCTGCTGCGTGACCTCGGGCAAGTCCCTTTGTTCTCTGGGCCTCAGTTTCCTCAATTCAGCAGGGGTTGGTGAGAGCCTGGACTCCCAGGTCTAAGGGCCTTTCCCATCTGAGCAGCCTACCCTACCACCCTCCTCACTGTCTGGATTTCTCCTGCAGTCAGAATCCTACCAAGAGGACATATACCCTCCAACAGCAGGGGCCCAGCCCTCCCTGACGGCCCAGGAGTGGCTCAGCGGGATGAATCGAGGTGAGGAAGGCAGAGAAGAGGCCCAGGCAAATGTGACAGGAACATGGCGTGCCCAGTGGCCCCAAGCAATTGAGAGGGGTTGGGCCTGGATTTTTCTTCTCTCATGACCTCAGAAGCCATGCCCTTGACCTTCAGTCCCCAGTGGGTAGCATGGTCACATACAGGTCCAGAAAGTCAGGGGGCTTGACCCAAGAGCTCAGAAAACTCCAACTCAAGGGACTTTGCCCCACGGAAAGCTTCTTTACACTCTGGGGCTATGTGGGGTGCCTGGACCACCTCAGCCAGACTCCCTGTCCCTGTTCCCCACCCCTACCTCTGCAATTCTTTTTTTTTTTTTTTTTTTTTTTTTTTTGAGACAGAGTCTCGCTTTGTTGCCCAGGCTGGAGTGCAGTGGTACAATCTCAGCTCACTGCAACCTCCACCCCACCCCCAGGTTCAAGTGATTCTCATGCCTCAGCCTCCTGAGTAGCTGGGACTACAGGCACGTGCCACCATGCCCAGCTAATTTTTCGTATTTTTAGTAGAGATGGGGGTTTTGCCATGTTGGCCAGGCTGGTCTCAAACTCTTGACCTCAAGTGATCCACCTGCCTCGGCCTCCCGAAGTGCTGGGATTACAGGTGCGAGCCACTGGGCCTGGCCTTTTGCAATTCTTCTTGACCCAAGAAGCCCTCCAGGCAGCAACCCCCACCCAGGTCCCTCTGCCCACTCTGCCTGTCCTGAGCCACTCTCCCGCTCCTGCCAACACGGGGGCCAGCCCAGCAGAAGCAGTCACCCCAGCTGCTCCCTCTCCCTTCCACCCCCACAAACTTCCTTCACCCCCACCCCAGTGGCTGAGCGGGCCTCCTGGTGTACTGGAAGAGCCTCTGCCTTGGGGGGCAGCGGACCAGGGCCGAGTCCTAGTTTTGGATAACCTTAAGTAGGTTTTGCTCCCTGGGCCTCAGTTTCCTCATCTGTAGCCATGATGCCAGCCTCCCCTGCTTTCTGGAGGTGGTGAGAGAACTAATGAACTTGGTAGATGGTGGGGTGCAGTGTGGGTGGGACTGTCCTTACAAAGCAAGGGCAAGGTCTCATGTGAGTTTGAAGTGTTTGGGGGCTGCTTCAGTGCACGCACCGTGCTGTTCCTACAAACCAAGCTTCACTCTGAGGGTGGCACACGTGGGTATTTGTATCTGTTAGCCCTGCTCTGTGGGTTTGGGCCTGTCCACAGGTAGCTGTATTTCCCACACATGTTGCATGGGTCTGCATGGCTCTGAGTGTCTCTGCATGCCTGCCTGTGTCATTGGTGCCCCATATGCCCATCTTCCCGTGGGCACCCCGTCCTCACATGGCTCTGCTTCCCTTCCAGACCCAATCCTGGTGTCCCTTAGGCCTGGCTCTGAGCTGCTGAGACCCCACCCACTGCCTGCAGAGAGACCTATCTTCAATTCCATGGCCCCAGCCTCACCCCGGCTCTTGAATCAGACAGAAAAGCTGGCTGCAGAAGATGGCTGGAGGTCTTCCTCCCTGTTGGAGGAGAAGATGCCAAGGTGGGCAGCAGAACACAGGCTGGAGGAGAAGAAAACCTGGCTGACAAATGGCTTTGACGTTTTCGAATGCCCCCCACCAAAGACAGAGAATGAGGTGTGAAGGAGGACGGGGTGGGCCTTTCACATGGGGCAGCTGGGGTGGAGGGGAACAGATCCAGGCTGAGAAGAAGGGAGAAAATGAGGCATGAGAAGAATAACCAGCTGTGTGGCCTGGCCTAGTCACTTGACTCATTTTGTTAATTCATTCAACAAACAGGCAGTGAGCTCCATCTTATGCCAAAATGATGGGCATACATAAAGATGGTGGGAGGCTGGGCACAGTGGCTCACTCTTGTAATCCCAGCACTTTGGGAGGCCAAGGCGGGCAGATCATGAGGTCAGGAGTTCAAGACCAGCATGGCCAACATAGTGAAACCCCATCTCTACTAAAAATACAAAAATTAGCCGGGTGTGGTGGCGTACACCTGTAGTCCCAGCTACTTGAGAGGTTGAGGCAGGAGAATGGCTTGAAATTGGGAGGTGGAGGTTGCAGTGAGCCAAGATCACACCACTGCACTCCAGCCTGGGCAACAGAGCAAGACTCCATCTTAAAAAAAAAAAAAAAAAAAGATGGTGGGGACCAGGTGACCAGGTGCAGTGGCTCACACCTGTAATCCCAGCACTTTGGTAGGCCAAGGCGGGTGGATCTCTTGAGGCCAGAAGTTTGAGACCAGCCTGGCCAACATGGCGAAACCCCGTCTCTACTAAAAATACAAAAATTAGCTGGGTATGGTGGTGCGTGCCTGTAGTCCCAGCTACTCTGGAGGCTGAGGCAGGAGAATTGCTTGAACCCAGGAGGCAGAGGCTGCAGTGAGCCAGGATCACACCACTGCGCTCCAGCCTGGGCAACAGAGTGAGACTCTGTCTCAAAAAAAAAAAAAAAAAAAAAAAAAATGGTGGGAAACCATCTGTAAAATGGAGAGGGTTTGACCTAGTGGGTATCAAAGTCTTTCCAGTTCTGACATTATAGGACTTTCTGTGCTTTCAAAGTCCACATTTGTTTAGTGCCTACTGTGTGGCAGATCCTGGGGTAGGCACTTTGATACAGCACGTGATTGAATTCTCTCAACAGCCCTGGAAGTCAGTCTGTAGTGGCTAAGAACACAGAGGCTGGCATCTCACAGATGGATTCTGATCCTGGCTCTGCTGAGTACTAATTTAGGGTCTTAGACCCAGAGACTGAATGTCTCTAAGCTTCCGTTTCCACGGTGGTACGGTGGGGACACTAGCACTGCCACCCTTATAGGGGTGTCACAACGTTCCAGTGGGATAACGAGGCCCTTAGGGCATCACTCAATATCTAACACCCATTCTGCACAGAGGGCAGTTTTCTGACCCCATTTTCCAGAGGAAGGAATGGAAGCTCAGAGTGGGTAAGTAACTTGCCCAAGGTCACACAGTTCAGTGGTGGCGAAAACACCAATCCCCAGACTTCAGAGCCAGGCATCCTTTCCTCTATTTCATGGAGGATCTATGGAAGCAAAATACATCTGAAACATTCCAGTCTTCTTGAATTTCATTTATTGGGTGAAGTAAACAAGGTGTTTGTAAAAGATCTATGCAGTGACAGCCCCATCAGGCCTCAGCCATGTTAATGTGACCGCCTCCACCTTTCTGAGTCAAAGAGGGATAGTGGTTTAGCTTTCAGCTGGTGTCCTGACACCATGGTGATCCTGCCTTCCGATCTTTCTTCCCCAGTTGCTGCAGATGTTCTACCGGCAACAGGAGGAGATCCGAAGGCTCCGGGAGCTGTTGACCCAGCGAGAGGTCCAGGCCAAACAGTTGGAACTGGAGATCAAAAACTTGCGGATGGGCTCAGAGCAGCTCTGAGCAGAGACCTCTGCCCTCCTCACCCTCAGGGACACCACTCGGCTCCATGGGGAGGTTTAGAACCAAACCACAAGTCCCCTCAAGGACAACCACTATTTCTATATTTTTTACCAGAAAACAAAACTCTCCATCGCTGAAAGAGATTCCAGTGGGACATGGTGCCGTTTTTCTGTTTGCCTTCTTGCAACAACAGTTTCTGAATTGACTTTGTTTTCAGATGATGCCTTCTGTTGAATTCTGTTATTAAGGGCCCATGATGAGCTGTAACTTCTCAAGAGGAAAGAACACAGTAGAAAACTAGAGCTGGAAGGATCTAGGTTGACCTGTCTGTGATTTTCAAACTGTGGTCCAGAGAATAGGGGAAGACTGGGCCAGACGCAGTGGCTCATGCCTGTAATCCCAGCACTCTGGGAGGCTGAGGTGGGCGGATTGCTTGAGGTCGGGAGTTTGAAACCAGTCTCACCAGGCGCAGTGGCTCACGCCTGTAATTCCAGCATGTTGGGAGGCCGAGGCTGGTGGATCACGAGGTCAGCAGTTCGAGACCAGCCTGACCAACATGGTGAAACCCCATCTCTACTAAAAATACAAAAAAATTAGCTGGGCGTGGTGGCAGGCGCCTGTAATTCCAGCGACTTGGGAGGCTGAGGCAGGAGAATTGCTTGAAACCGGAAGGCGGGGGTTGCAGTGAGCTGAGATTGTGCCACTGCACTCTAACCTGGGCAATAAGAGCAAAAGTCTGTCTCAAAAAAAAAAAAAAAAGAAAGAAACCAGCCTGGCCAACATGGTGAAACCCCGTCTCTACTAAAAATACAAAAATTAGGCAGGGCGTGGTGGTTCACGCCTATAATCCCAGAACTTTGGGAGGCCAAGCTGGGCGGATCTTCTGAGGTCAGGAGTTCAAGACCAGCCTGGCCAACATGGTGAAACCCCGTCTCCACTAAAAATAAAAAATTAACCAGGCATGGTGGTGCATGCCTGTAATCCCAGCTATTTGGGAGGCTGAGGCAGGAGAATCGCTTGAGCCTGGGAGGCGGAGGTTGCAGTGAACCAAGATCATGCCACTTCACTCCAGCCTGGGTGACAGAGTGAGACTCCGTCTCAAAAAAAAAAAGTTGGCCAGCCGTGGTGGTGAGCGTCTGTAGTCCCTGCTATTCGGGAGGCTGAGATAGGAGAATTGCTTGAACCTGGGAGGTGGAGGTTGCTATGAGCCACGATTGCGGACTGCACTGCAGCCTGGGTGACAGAGCGAGACTCCATCTCCAAAAAAAAAAAAAAAAAGAGAGAGAGAATAGGGGAAGACTAAGCAGGAAGGCTGTGTCTCCCTTCCCCACACTGTATTCCAACCAGACAGCTCCCTTCTATTTTATATGTTGGGCTAGTATGAAAAACAATTCTGCTAGGAAAAAAAAATTTTTTTAGAAGTTTGAAAGCTAGTGATTTGACCCAAGTTCCTCATTTTACAGCTGGGGAAACTAAGGCCTAGAGAGAGGCAAGTGATATTTGTTTCATGGCAGGGCTGGGCTGAGATCCTGCTTTTCTGGGTCTGTCTTTTTGCTCTTTTGGGTCTGATGCAGTTCTCAGCCCAAAGAGTAGAAATCTGTTGCTTCTGGCCTCAGCTGTGCCCCAGCTTACTCAGTGACCTCTTGCAAGTCCTGCCCTCTCTGGTCTCAGTTTCTTCATCTGAACCAGGGGTACCCTGGAACAAGCTGCTCTCTGCAGGATCTGCCACCTGAAACCTTGACCTAAGAGAAAACTACCTGTGGGGTGATCTGGGTTTGCTACAGAAACTAACGGACACTGGCAAGGGGTCAGAGGCATTCAACCCAATTCTACAACACAGGCAGGTGGTCAAAACCAACCTTTCCAACCAGAATCAGCCTGATATGGATAGATGCTGTCCCTTATGGAGGGACGCAGACTTCAGAACTGTGCCCATGACTGCTGACTGCCACCACCAAGGCCCTCAGGTACACAGCCTGCCTCCTGCAGGATGATGTGGGCAGATTTCAGCCCTAGTTAACAGAAGAGTCCCCCAGGAGGTAGGGGGCCCCCATCACTGGAGACATGCCAGCAGAGCCTCTGGCCACCTAACCAGGAGGTCTTCTGAAATGACTATACGAGGTAAAGAAGTAGTACCAGATGGTCCCAAAGTTCCCTTTTAGCCTGAAAGCTTTTCTTTGTCCCTCCTTAGTGAATCTGTGTTCCGAGCCCTACTCTAAAGTTCAGTGGTCAATACAATAGTCCACCAAGAGACTGGGAATGATTAGAAGTGAAATTGGTCCCTCCTTACCAAGGAGGGGCAGATGATCTCCATTGCACAGGGCGATTAGATTCTGGAGCTGAGGTGGGGACTGCAGGAGGCCACCTAGTCTGGTAGGTTTCAACCCAAGCTGTGTACATTAGAATTCCCTTGGGAGCGTGCAGGAAATACAGATGCCCATGCCACATTCCAGACCAACTGAAGCTGAATCTCCAGAGTAGGGCCTGTATGGTCATATAAGCTCCACAGGTGATCTGCAGTACAGTGAAGATGGAAGACTGCATGTGTACCTATTTGCAATAAAGATGAAGAGGACAGCAAGCTCCAGACAGGAGCTGGGACTCAACCCAGATCTCTTAAGTCCTGCCTGGTGGCTCCTTAAAAGTCCAGAAGTGTTGCCCCAAGCCCTCCCTCAACATCTCTGGGAACCGCAGCTGCAGCACGATGGGGGTTCAGTGCCCCTGTTTGCCCCTTACCCAGCTGTGGTTTATTCTGCTTGTATGTCTGCACAGGCCGGATGCTCGTGTTCCTTGTCTTATTCTCCATTTACTCAGTCACTGGGGCTCACTCCCGTCTGATGCACTAGCCAAGATTGCCTTAGTGTGCTCCAGAAAAGAAGGCCAAATCCCAGGCATTGTCAGGGCAGCAGAGCTCTACAGGATAGGCTTACCTTTCCCACCTGTGTGGCTAGCACTTCACAGTTTACAAATTCCTCCCACCTCCACTCAGTGACACATGCTGTTCTAACACAGGTCAGGCAGGCATTACAGTCCCCATGTTCAGAATCAAAGACCTAGCCTCAGAGAAGTGAAGAAACATCATGCCAAGGTCATTGACTGCCAAGCGGTAGAGGTGGGGTTGCATCCAGAGAGCTTCCCGGTATGCCTCTGCACAATGCCATTCCTTGGCCAGCTCCCTCCACCCCAAGGGACCCAGACTGCACACTTAACAAACAGGACACAGGTGTCTTTGAACAAACTTTTTTGTATTATTATTTTTACATCTAGAATAAATTATTTAAATTATTTCACAGCAAGGGAGAGGGATAGGTAATTTTTATCAGATATTTTTTTAAACCATCTGTTTTTTAAATTACATTTTTGTTTATGTTCTTGAGCTGATGTAGTGGAACTTGCCTAGCACATTCAGGTCCCAGCCAGTTGGCAGAGCATGCTCTCATCTCCTTATTCCATACCCTGGGCGTCCCCTTTCTGTTGACTCAGGAACTTTCTGAGAATGAGGACAGCACTAGGAGATGAGCTTTGGCAGGTATCCACCTTAACGCTACAATAATTGTGCTTCCTGAAACAAAACTTGAGATTGTATCATAGAAGGAAACAGGAAGTCAGAAATCAAATCTATGCTTTTAATTGAAACCGTGCCTGAAACAGTTTGAATGATTGTTTTAATGTTGTTTCTGAAATTCCTTGTACCTTTGTGAAAAATAATGATAATAAATAAAAGTGAAAATAAATAGATGTGGAATATGCAATGGAAATAATGTAACAAAATAATAAACATCTGGCCATTTTACTACAAGGAGCTTTCCTTTTCTTGATTTGTTCCACAAATACCAATTAACTATCTACTCTTGGAGTCAGACACCAAGCTGGAAAACAGGCAGAACAGACAGTCTTTGCCCTCTCCAGTTTTCAGTCATGGCTGCGGGAATGGGGAGGGCCAGGATAGGGAAAGCATAGGCTGTTCTGGAAGGAGAAGGAGGGAAGGCTTCCTGGAGGAAAAGATAGTAAGGTAGAAACCTGCAGAGTAAGTTGGAATACTCAGGGCAAAGGGCATTTGGGAAGAAGAATGTTCCAAGCAGGGTAAACTGCACGTCCCCCAGTCTTGAAAAAGCACAGGGTGGAGCATAGGCAGGGCGGAGACCAAGGATCTTAAGAAAGAGCTGAGGGCTTTATAAGTGGAAGTCTAGACTTGAGCCTGGGGGGGCAACTGGAATTTGGGGTGGTGGTGTGTGTGTGAAAGTTGTCAGTACCAAAACAGAGTCACTTACATCAAAACCAAACTAAATGGTGCTCCTGTAGTCCCAGCTACTCCAGAGATGAGGTGGGAAGATCACTTGAGCCCAGGAGTTAGAGGCTGCAGTGAGCTATGATCGCACTATTGCACTCCAGCCTGGGCAACAGAGCGAGATCCTGTCTCAAACAAACTAAATGGTGCTGGGAGGCCATGAAGTGGGGGGCCCTCATCAACGATTTGCCTGGTAACAGGAACTATTATTGCAAAAGATTCCACCAAACTGCAACCTTGCACAAAGAACCACAACCTTGCACAAAAGCCATGATATGAGGACATCTGCCCAGCAACTGCCTGTTCAACTTTTGGACTGAAGCCACCTGTATTAATTCTTGTAACCAAGTATTATTATTTTAAAACGATCTGGCCGGGCGCGGTGGATCACGCCTGTAATCCCAGCACTTTGGGAGGCCGAGGCGGGCAGATCACGGGGTCAGGAGATCGAGACCATCCTGGCTAAAACAGTGAAACCCCTTTTCTACTAAAAATACAAAAAATTAGCCGGGCGTGGTGGCGGGCGCCTGTAGTTCCAGCTACTCGGGAGGCTGAAGCAGGAGAATGGCGTGAACCCGGGAGGCGGAGCTTGCAGTGAGCAGAGATGGCGCCACTGCACTCCAGCCTGGGCGACAGACCGAGACTCCGTCTCCAAAAAAAAAAAAAAAAAAAAAAAACAAAAACAAACAAACAAACAAAAAAAACAGTATATGCAATCCTCCTCGTTTTGCCTTTAAAAGCCTCTGCTTTCCTTTGCCTCCCTGAGTACTCCGCGTCCCCACCCCTTGGGTGCCATGGCACATTTATTCCCGAATTGCAATCCTTCTGCTCAGTCCGAAATAAACTCAATTGGAGAATCTCTGTGTCCTTATTTGAGGTTGATGAAGGTATCTTACAGTTGTGGGAATGATTATCTTTCCGGGGAAAAGGGCAAGAGAGGATCAAGGGAAAGTGAGAGGAGCACCCCCGGAAGGTCACAGCCAACTTTGGTCCCATCATCAGGGCTGCAGTTTTCTGGGCGTTACTGGAACAGCGTCATTAAGCAGGAAGCCCACCCTCTCCTAGCTGGCTCATTAGGAGCTTCCCATTTCTGGTGGGACCACCTCCCGGCCTGGGCGGGCAGAGGGAGCACCCTGCTGGTCGGAGGATGCTCCGAGGCCCGACGCTGCTCCCGGCGGGCTGTCATCCTCCTAGGGGTCGGCCGGCCGGCCTGGAGCCGCCCCGCCCACGGCCGAGGTTTCGGTTTCCCTTGGGAGCCCCGCCCTGTGTCCCGGGGAGCCGGAGGAGGTGGAGATGAATGGCGGGCGCGGCGACCGGGAGCCGGACCCCTGGGAGGTCGGAGCTTGTCGAGGGATGCGGCTGGCGCTGCCCGGAGCATGGCGACCGCGTGGCTGAGCTCTTCTGTCGCCGCTGCCGCCGCTGCGTGTGCGCGCTTTGCCCGGTGCTGGGCGCGCACCGTGGCCACCCTGTGGGCCTGGCGCTGGAGGCAGCGGTGCACGTGCAGGTGGGGACGATGGGGACGGGGTTCGCCGCGCGGGAGTTGGGGGAGCCAGCCCAGGCATAACGGCCGAGGAGGGGGCGTGCCTGGCCGTGGCCAGTGGCGGGTTACAACCTGGAAACCAAAGGTGCCCCAGAGGGCGTCTAAGCGGTCGACCGAAAGTTCAGAGCGGGAGCCTGAGACCCAAGGAAGGGCAAAGGCGAGCCAAAGCCATCAGTTGAGCTTCAGAAAAGGTGGGTTTAGGAGTGAGAGGTTGGGAGCCCAGGCTGGTACCCAGATGTCCTTGACCGTGTCCACCATGGCCGATCCGCCACACTGCCATTGGGCTGGAAGACAGTCTGCCTTTTAGTTAACAGAGGTACAAACTCTCCCTCTTAATAAACAGCCCTGTGTAGCTCAGAAAGCCACACAGACATCTCAGGTTTACTTAATCTGCAGTCCACAGAAAGGGCCTGTGAACTTTGAGCTGAGGACGGCCTGACTGCCCTGGGAGCAGCCTCAGCTGTCACTACCTACCTCCTCTCCCCTCCCCGGCCACACAGACACTCCCATTCCTGCTCATAGCAGCCCTGGGTGAGCCATTATTATTACAGCCATTTTATAGGCCACAAGAGGAAGGCTCTGGAGGCAGGGGCAGGCCTTGAACCCAGGACTCCATTAGCCAGATGCCCCCAACAGGGCCATTGTCACCGTGGAACCCTTACCCATGCATAATCCTAACAGTGCCCCAGGGGCTCTGGGCTCCTGCTCCAGCTTCCCAGCTGACTTTTTCTGTGGCTTCTCTCAAATCCTTCTCTCTCTCTGGGTTTCATGAAGCCTGGGTGAGGTAGGCCCTCATGTCTGACAGCTGTTGATCCTACCACTTGTCTCCAAGAAGTCTTCTGTGATGAATTCAGCCCCATCGTGAGCCTTTCTCCGGTACTGCATGACTCCAGACCACCACACTGTGACAACCTTGGAACTCCAAGGTGAAAAGGGGATCATGGGGGACAATCCAGTGGAGTCGTGGGCTCAAGACCTGTCCCTGCCACCAGACCCTTCCTTTTTTTAACGTATGAAATGGCTGTAATTATAATAATGGCTCCTTGAAAAACTGTTATTCAGAATTAACAAGGCTGCTTTCCACAGATCTGGCTCAAGAGTCTCACCCATCCATTTGTCCATCCCCCTACCCACTACCTACTGTCAACTTGAAGTAATAAGATTCAGAAAATATGATTAAGTACAGAGTTTATCCAAGCCTAAAGCTTGAGGATGGCCAACTGGGACCATAGATTCAAATTTCTGTGACTATCCACTCTGATTAGCAGCAGTTACATATAAGTTTTTAAGGAAAAAAGAAGAAGCAGTTCCTAAATTGTTTACCAAGAATTTACATTAAAATGACATAAGCAGTCGGGCACAGTGGCTCATGCCTGTAATCCCAGCACTTTGGGAGGCTGAGGCAGGAGGATCACATGAGGCCAAGGGTTTGAGGCCTGGCCAACATGGGGAAACCCCGTCTCTATTAAAAAATATGAAAATCAGCCAGGTGTGGTGGTACACATCTGTAATCCCAGCTACTCAGGAGGCTGAGGCATGAGAATCGCTTGAACCTGGGAGATGGAGGTTGCAATGAGCCGAGATCACGCCACCGCACTCCAGCCTGGATGACAGAGTGAGACTTTGTCTTAAATAAATAAATAAATAAATAAATAAATAAATAAATAAAACAGAGAATCTCTATGGCAGAACAACACCAAACCTATTCCACTGGGGAGTCAACTAAAAACATCACGAAGAAAATCCCAAGCCTTCTTTAAAAGCCAGGAATTGGCTTCTAAAACTTTTTCTACAACCTTCCTTGTTGTAGCCAGGAAATAATTCAGGATTTAGTCCAAATTGCAGGAAAATAAAAACTAAAAAACAATGGCCAGGGCTGGAATCTAATAACAGGAATAACAGGTGTGCATAACAGGTGTGCTAAGATTTTCTTCTGAAACATAATTTTTCTCTCTCTAGTTCCCTGTTTTTACCAAAAATGAGTCTTGATAGGACAAATTTACTTGCAAAGTAAGTTTTAATATTACACTTGGCCTGATAATTTGCATTATTGGAACTTTCATAAGGAATTTTGGATTTGACTTTTTTTTTTTTTTTTTTGAGACACAGGGTCTCACTCTGTCACCCAGACTAGAGTGCAATGGCATGATCGTGGCTCACTGCAACCTCCACCTCCCAGGGTCAAGCAATCCTCCTACCTTGGCCTCCCAAGTAGCTGGGACTATAGGTATGCACCACCACACCTGGCTAATTTTTTTTTTGTATTTTTTTTGTAGAGACGGGGTTTCACCATGTTGTCCAGGCTGGTCTAGAATTCCTGGGCTCAAGTGATCCTCTTGCCTCAGCCTTCCAAAGTGCTGGGATTATAGGCGTGAAACACCACGCCTGGCCTGGATTTGACTTTTAAAAGCCTTACAGCTAAAAAGCCAAACCAAGGATTCACCATCAGACTATGCCTGTGATACCCATACACATTGGGTGAATTATTCTCTTCTCAAGGTCCCAAAATATCTTGAGGTTCCTAGACCTGTCGGAAAGTGACATTCTTTTCTTACCACAAGGTCGGGAACCTTGTAAGGGAACTGTGTAGACAAGGACCAAGCTAGTCCAGTCTTTCCAAGGATTTTTTTTTTTTTTTTTTTTTGAGACAGGGTCTCACTCTGTTGCCCAGGCTGGAGTGTGGTGGTGCAATTTTGGCTCACTGCAGCCTCCACCTCCCAGGTTCAAGTGATTCTCCCACTTCAGCTTCCTGAGTAGCTGGAACTACAGGTGTGCACCACCACTCCTGGCTAATTTTTGTATTTGTTGGTAGAGATGTGGCTTCACCATGTTGGCCAGGGTGGTCTTGAAAACTCCGACCTCAAGTGAACTGCCCACCTCAGTGTCCCAAAGTGCTGGGCCCCCTTTTATTGTATTTTATTTTATTCTTGTTAACATTTTTTAATAGAGGCGGGGTCTCACTATGTTGCCCAGGCTGGTTTCAAACTCCTGGACTCAAGTGATCCACCTACCTCAGCCTCCCAAAGTGCTGGGATTACAGACCTGAGCCACCAAGCCTGGCCCCCAAGGGTCTTCTTATGGGCTCTGTAAACTTGACTTCAGTTCCTGAAAGCAGTCTGATCATATATGAAGATATATCATTTCAGTCAAAGCCTTGGTAAAATTACCAGTGTCTCCAATGTGGTCTGTTATGAAAGAAAACATACTCTTATTGAACTTATGCAAATAACTATATTGTCATAAAATAAGAATACTCACAAATAGCCAGGTGCGGTGGCTCACGCCTGTAAACCCAGCACTTTGGGAGGCTGTGGTGGGCGGATCAGTTGAGGTCAGGAGTTGGAGATCAGCCTGGCCAACATGGTGAAACCCCATCTTTACTAAAAATACAAAAATTGTGCTGGGCTCAGTGGCTCACGCCTGTAATCCTAGCACTTTGGGAGGCCAAAGTGGGTGGATCACGAGGTCAGAAGTTCGAGACCAGTATGACCAACATGGTGAAACCTATCTCTACTAAGAATGCAAAAATTAGCTGGGCATGGTGGTGGGCACCTGTAATCCCAGCTACTCGGGAGGCTGAGGCAGGAGAACTGCTTGAACCCCACGAGGCAGAGGTTGCAGTGAGCCAAGATTGTGCCACTGCACTCCAGCCTGGGCAACAGAGAAAGACTCCACCTCAGAAAGAAAAATTAGCCAAGCGTGGTGGCATGTACCTGTAGTCCCAGCTACTCAGGAGGCTGAGGCAGGAAAATCGCTTGAACCTAGGAGGCAGAGGTTGCAGTGAGCCGAGATCATGCCACTGCACTCCAGCCTGGGTGACAGAGCAAGACTCTGTCTAAAAAAAAAAAATTAATTTAAAAATGAAAATAAAAAAAGTAAACACAAATAGTTTGCAAATTTTGGTGAAATCAGGTAGAGAGAAAGACAAATGTTTCAATTTTGCTCACAAAAGTATCTTTTATCCAGTTGCTGTGACAAAAGAAAAAATTTTCTTGACTGAAAAACAATATAAAAAGAATCAGCAATGTTTCAAATTTTAAAAATCATAAAAATCACTTTTATCCTCTATCAGTTTAGTCCCATGTAAATAATTCTTGCTCTGCTTGATGTTGGGTTAGCAGTCTTCATGAATGCCTCAGGTTTTTATTAGAGTTCTGGAAGCTTTTGCTTAATCCAATGGTAAGATCTCTGAAGTTACCAGAAACCTGTATTCAAGAGTACTTGTCAGGGTTTTTTTCCAAAAATTTCCTTAAAGATGAAGCAAATTTTGTAGCTGATTATAAACGACTTTTTTTAAAAGAATCAAAGTAAAATAAAAATTGTCGGCTGGGTGCGGTGGCTCACGCCTGTAATCCCAGCACTTTGGGAGGCTGAGGCGGGCCGATCACGAGGTCAGGAGATCGAGACCATGGTGAAACCCTGTCTCTACTAAAAATACAAAAAAATTAGCCAGGCGTGGTGGCGGGCACCTGTAGTCCCAGCTACTTGGGAGGCTGAGGCAGGAGAATGGCATGAACCCGGGAGGTGGAGCTTGCAGTGAGCCGAGATTACGCCACTGCACTCCAGCCTGGGCGACAGAATGAGACTCTGTCTCAAAAAAAAAACAAATTGTCTGTGGATGATAAAAGGCTTAGAATAGCCACGGTCAAAGATGAAATTGACTAGGATATGTGGTTATTTGTGTGGCACACACCAGTTTATCATAATAATTATGATAATGATATACTGATAACATATACCAAGACATATCAGACTTTTAGGAATCTCATACAATTTTGGAACACATTAATAATACGCTTTTATAAATATAACTCAAAGAAAGTTAAACATCATTTCTTATTTGACAATATTTCCCATATGACTTTGACATCCCAAATAAGCCTAATGTGTCTCTTTTGGACTTCCAGGGGTCCTGGTTATGCCCAAGTTAGCTTGGGTCAAAAAGACTTAATTTAATTTTGGGAAGTATCTCAAATATTAAAGGTTTAAAACACTTGATATAGAAATAAGAAAGGTTTAAAACACATGATCAAAATAGAATCACAGGTCACTACAAAATAATGGTAATTACTTTAGCCAAAATGATTATTCAAAGATTTCAAAAAGCAAAAACCACTCTGATAGAGGAGATTCAGTTCTCAATCAAGAGACCTAATAAAGACAGCATGGGACAAACTCTCCCCAGTTACCTTTTCTTTGCCATTTATGCAAAAGTAAATACATCTTTTACCGTCTCTTATTAATTCTACATTACATTTTTATTCAAAGGAGAAAAACAAGTTTTACTTTTAGGCCAGGCACAGTGGCTCATGCCTGTAATCCTAGCCCTTTGGGAGGCCAAGGCAGGCAGATCACTTGAGCTCAGGAGTTCAAAACCAGCCTGAGCAACATGGTGAAACCCTGTCTCTACAAAAGATACAAAAATTAGCTGCGTGTGGTGGTGTGTGCCTATAGTCCCAGCTACTTGGGGGGCTGAGGCAGGAGGATTGCTTGAGCCTGGGAGGTCAAGGCTGCAGTGAGCCAAGATTGCACCACTGAACTTCATCTTGGGTGACAAAGTGAGACCCTGTCTCAAAAAAAGAAAAAAATTACTTAGGTGTTAGTATATTATCTATCATCCAATTTCAGTCAGCTTTGACTACACAAGATAAGATAATCGATAATCTCTCACCATTTTCTATTAAAGAGCAGATCAATGCTCTGATAAAACCTGGTTGTTCCAACACAGGAGCCCAGACTCTGGCCTTACATGAGTGTGCTTTTGATATTAATACTTAAGTTTTAGAAAAACTTATAAAAAATTCCTTCTTTTTTTTTTTTTTTTTTTTTTTTGAGATGGAGTTTCGCTCTTGTTGCCCAGGCTGGAGTGCAGTGGCATGAACTGCCTCACTGCAACCTCCACCTCCCAGGTACAAGCAATTTTCCTGCCTTAGCCTCCCGAGTAGCTAGGACTACAGGTGCACAACACCATGCCCAGTTAATTTTTATATTTTTAGTAGAGACGGGGTTTCACCATGTTAGCCAGGCTGGTCTCAAATTCCTGACCTCAGGTGATCCACCTGTCTCGGCCTCCTAAAGTGGTGGGATTACAGCCATGAACCACCGCGCCTGGCCATTTCCTTCTGATTTTTTTTTTTTTTTTTTTTTTGAGATTGAGTCTTGCTCTGTCACTCAGGCTGGAGTGCAATGGCGCAATCTCTGCTCACTGCAACCTCCACCTCCCAGATTCAAGTGATCTCCTGCCTCAGCCTCCTGAGTAGCTGTGATTACAGGCGTGCACCACCACACCTGGCTAATTTTTGTATTTTTAGTAGAGACGGGGTTTCTCCATGTTGGTCAGGCTGGTCTCAAACTCCTGACTTCGTGATCTGCCTGCCTCGGCCTCCCAAAGTTCTGGGATTACAGGCAGGAGCCACCACACCCTGCCATTTCCTTCTCATTTTAACCAATTTGATCACATACAAAATGTCTTTTGTGAGATTAATCTTCCACAGACCTTCTAGAATTTGCTTAAATCTTCAGTTTTGTCCTATACTTCCTTTTTATTTTGGCATTCTACCTTAGGACAAAAATTTACTTCCCTTTTCCCATTATCATTTTGACTACACAAAGTTCTCTCTCATGCAAAAGAAAAATTACTCTCTTTCAACAGTCTTTACCAAAAACACATCTGACTTTATACACTCTGTAAATAGAACTGTTTCTTTTATATCAAGTAGTTTTAATCACATATGTTAACTACAATTTTCACTCTTAGTAACCCAAATTTCCAGTGAAAAACCTAGGAAGTAAGTAATTTTTAGCTGTTTTCTACCAGCATTTGTAGATGAAAATAATTTCATAATTTCTAGAAAGATGGCTCCTCAATTTTTTTTTGTTAACAGATCGAAATATATTTAGCTTTTCTATACCATATAAATGATTCAGACGTTTTATAATGACCTATTACTTCATTTAACATAACATGATATTAAGTTACTGAAAACAATTTTTGTTTGTTTGTTTTTGAGACGGAGTTTCACTCTTGTTGCCCTGGTTGGAGTGCAATGGTGTGATCTTGGCTCACTGCAACCTCTGCCTCCTGGGTTCAAGTGATTCTCCTGCCTCAGCCTCCCGAGTAGCTGGGATTACAGGCATGCGCCACCATGCCTGGCTAATTTTGTATTTGTAGTAGAGACGGGGTTTCTCCACGTTGGTCAGGCTGTCTCGAACCCCTGACCTCAGGTTATCTGCCTGCCTTGGCCTCCCAAAGTGCTGGGATTACAGGCGTTAGCCACCGTGTCCAGCCTGAAAACAACTTTTAAAACTATGAAATGTTCATTTATAAACTTTGATCTCATTTACATTTATTTAATTTTTTCATTCTTAACAATTTTGCCTGAATAGTTCATTAAACAAAGCTAGCCACCATCAATTTATTTCTTTGCTAATCATTTCTATAGCCTGTGAATGTCATCCTCCCAAGCAGCTGGAACTTGAGGCATTCTCCACCATGCCCAGCCAGGTTTTTTGTTTTGTTTTGTTTGTTGTTTTTTGGTAAAAATGGGGTCTAGCTATGTTGCTCAGGCTGGTCTCAAACTCCTGGCCTTAAGTGATCCTCCCACCTCAGCCTCCTGAGTAGCTGGGATTACAGGTGCAAGCCACCATGCTCAGCTCTTGAATTTCATTACGTAAGGTTGACACTATGAATATTCATTTTGCATCCACATACCCACTTTCCTATCCATTCACCCATTATTCATTCATCCATCCATCATTCACCAAACATCTATTCAGCATATATTTTGGGCCATGAGTCAAAGAACAGATCAGATCCTTCCCTGACCTGGAAGAGTTCTCTGGCTGGTTGGGAAAGAAGCTAGCAGCACCTGATAATTGTTTTTTTTTGGGGGGGGGGACAGGGTCTCACTCTGTTGCCCAGGCTGGAGTGCAGTGGCATAGTGGCATGATCATGGCTCACTGCAACCTCCTGGGCTTAGGTGACCCGCCCCTGACCTCAGCCTCCCAAGTAGTTAGGACTACAGGTGCATGCCACCATGCCCAGCTAATTTTATTTTATTTTATTTTATTTTATTTTATTTTATTTTATTTTATTTTTTGTGGTAGAGGCAGAGTCTCACTATGTTGCCCAGGCTGGTCTCGAACTCCTTGGGCTCAAGTGATCCTCCTACCTCAGCCTCCCAAAGTGTTGGGATTACAGACATGAGCCACCATGCCTGACCAGCCCCTGATAATTCTGTTCAATTCAGCAAACACTTCTGGTCACACCCTGCTCCCTGTGGGGAGTGAGAACGAAGCGAGCCTGCCCTCAAGAAGCTCCTAGTCAATGGGGCAGCCAGATCTGGGCCCAGCAGCTGAGTGTAAGGCCAGCTGTAAGAAAGGCTAAGATGGAGACGAGATCACACCCTTGGGGAAGGAGAGTGCAGAGCAGACTTTGGGGAAAAAAGCAATTTCAAAAAGCAGAGATATGGAAGGTGGGAAGAGCAGGAAGCATGAACCCCACTGACCTCTCACGTAGTCCAGGGCCAGAGGGTCACAGACTCCCTGGAATGTATGTTTCATGAGGGCAGCACCTGGAACAGGGCCCAGCACATAATAGGTGCTCAGTTAATACTCCATAAGTAGATGTTCTTTCCCAGACCCCAAGCTGTTTGCCTTAAAGTCCCACTTGAAAGGCTGGAAAAGCAAGTCACAGGCAAGACTTGTCCTAGATAAAGTAAAGTGTGAGGAAGGGGTGCAAATCAAGATTAGAGGCATACCTGATGTGGACCTCCGAGGATCAGAGATGTCCTAGTCCCAGCTCATCCACCAACTTGCCATATGACTTTGGGCAAGTTACCTCACCTTCAGATGCCTCCATTGGAAAAGAATACAAGGGTAAGAGGAGGTGACCCCTGTGGGGGGCCTGTTATTTGGAAAGTGACAGTATTACGACTTTTTTCCTAACTCCCTCCTGTACAGAAACTCAGCCAAGAATGTTTAAAGCAGCTGGCAATCAAGAAGCAGCAGCACATTGACAACATAACCCAGATAGAAGATGCCACCGAGAAGCTCAAGGCAAGTGGACATTTCTTCCTCATACCCATGGAAAGACCCACATTTCCCCCCAGACAAAAGGGACCCCCAATATGGAGCCAATGAAAATAAAAACCAACTGCGAAGGGGCAGATGGTGGGGCCTGGAGCTTCTATAATTCAGGGTTCTTTAGAAAAAGAACACAAAATTACAGACAAAATTAGGTGCAAGACCATGAAGGGGCTCTGCAAGTGAGGGGCCCTGAGCTCCGGTTTCCTTTGCTTTGTGGCAAATCTCTGGTTCCTTAGTGTCATCTGCCAGTCTCTTGGAGGAATTAGCCCATTATCCCAAATTGCCTTAAACAAAGCAAAACACAGCTTAAGGAATATGCAGATATCTCTTTAATTCCACTGCCATGCTGAAAGAAAGCAAGTAGGGTAAGATCTGTTCCACAAATAGGTACTTTCTTCACTCTCCTTTCATAATGATGTTTGAGTGGATTCTCTGTGGATTTTGAATGGGAACTTGAGGCTGATGTTATTCTAAGTAACCATTTTGACATGACAAAGTTGTTGTGTTTTTAGGGCCTCAGGGGCTGGTCATTTCCCCTTGCATCCTCCGTTGCTCCCTCCCCCTTTCATCCTGTTGCTCCCTCCCCCTTTCATCCTCTGTTGCTCCCTCCTCCCCTTCATCCTCTGTTGCTCCCTCCTCGCAGTGAGGGCTGGGGTGGGAGGCCCTCCTGGGGCCTGCCCCACTGAGAGCTGGAAGAACCCCTGCTCTGCACTTTGGGAGGCCAAGGCTGGAGGATCACTTGAGCCCAGGAGTTCGAGACCAGCCTAGGCAAGATAGTGAGACTCCCATCTCTACTAAAAATAAATAAAATAAAATAGCCAGGTATGGTGGTGCACGCCTGCAGTCCCAGCTGTTTCAGAGGCTGGGGTGGGAAGATCGCTTGAGCCCTGAAGCTTGAGACTGCAGTGACCTAGGATCACGTCACTGTGCTCCAGCCTGGGCAACAGAGCAAAACCCTATCAAAAAAAAAAAAAAAAAAGGAACCCCTGACTGATTCACACAAGAGGAGGAGTGGCTGTGACCATGGGAGAAGCTGGCACCCAGTTTCTCCTGTGACCAGGCCAGGCCACAGAATTGGCTCCCACATTTGCCTAAAGTCCATTCTCTGTCAGTTGTCTTCATGACAGTTTGCCAGTACCCTGAAGACGTTTGTAGTTCACACCTGTGGTCCCAGCTTAATAGTGTCTCTCATGTCTTCACAAGCAGAACTCTGGGCTAGGAGATAGACAGTACCAAAGGATTTAGAAAGTGAAAGCTGTCACGTTGGAAGGGTTGTGGGGAGGCCTGAAGATCAGGCTCCCTGTCTGCAAATGCCTGAGCAGATATGGTTTGAGGGCCCCCAAGAATTAGGACCCATGTGGAGGGTCTAGTCTTCCCCAGGCCACACTGGAAGAATTGTCTTGGGCCACACATAAAATACACTAACACTAACAATAGCTGATGAGCTAAAGAAAAAAAAAATATCCAAAAAACTCATGATGTTTTAAGAAAGTTTACAAATTTGTGTTGTGCCACATTCAAAGCTGTGCTGGGCCACATGCGGCCCACAGGCTGCAGGTTGGATAAGCTTGGCCTGAGGGATGGCCTGGGGTAGGTTTCAGCTTAATCTAAGCCATGGTTCTCTTTCTCTTGACCCTTTCCCCAACTAACTTTTTAACTTTTTATAGATTTAGAGGAAGTTGCAAAAATAGTAGAGTTTTGTGTACCTTGACCTAGTTTGCCCCAAGGGTTACTTGTTACATAACTATAGCACACTATCCAAAAAAAAAAAAAAAAAGGATGGTATGTGTGTATAGTTTTATGTCAACTTATCACATGTATAGATTTGCATAACCACCACTGCAATCAAAATGCAGGCTATTCCATCACTGCCAAGTTCTACCTTCTTCTAGGCCAAGCGAGGTGGCTCATGCCTGTAATCCCAGCACTTTGGTAGGCTGAGGCAGGCAGATCATTTGAGGTCAGGAGTTCGAGACCAGCCTGGCCATCATGTTGAAACCCCATCTCTACTAAAAAAAAAATACAAAAAAATGCCGGGAATGGTGGCGCCTATAATCCAAGCTACTCAGAAGGCTGAGGTGGGAGGATCGCTTGAACCCAGGAGGTGGAGGTTGCAGTGAGCCAAGATCATGCCTCTGTACTCCAGCCTGGATGACAGAGCGAGACTCCATCTTAAAAAAAAAAATCTACCTACACCTTTATGGTCACCTCCCTACCCACTGTATCCCCCCGACCAATCCCTAACCCCTGGCAATTATTAATTTGTTTGATAATTGTTGCATTTGAAAATGTCATAAAAATGGAAAATGATCTTTTGAGGTATTTTTCACTCAGCAGAATGCCCTTGGGATCCACCCAAGTTGTTGCAAGAACCACTAGTTCATTCCCATGTATTGCTGAGTAGTAATATTCCACTAATCCGATAGTATGCATGTACCATAGAGGTTTTTTAAACCATTTACCTATTGTAGGCTGTTTGGTACAGTCTAGGGCTATTGCAAATAAGGCTTCTTTGAACAGTTGTGTCCAGGTTTCTGTGCGGACATAAGTTTTCATTTATCTGTGTTAGATGCCCAGGAATGCTATTGCTGGGTCATATGGCACCTGCCTGTTTTGTTTTTTAAGAAACTGCCAAACGCTTTTCCAGAGTGGTTGTGCCATTTTACATTCCCACCAGCAATGCATGAGAGTGTGTTTTTCTGCATCTTTGACAACATTTGGTATTGTCACAAGTTTTTATCTTAACTTGCATAATCTGTGTGTAGTGATACCTTATCATGGTTTTAATTTGCATTCCCCCAGTAGCTAGTGATGTTGAGTATCTATTCATGTGCTTGTTTACCATCTCTACAAAAAACTAAAAAATCATCCAGGTATGGTGGCACATGCCTGTAGTCCCAGCTACTCAGGAGGCTGAGGTGGGAGGATCGCTTGAGCTCAGAAGGTTGAAATTGCAGTGAGCAATGACCATACCCACTACACTCCAGCCTGGGTGACAGAGCGAGACCATGTCTCAAAAAAAAAAAAAAAAAAGAAGAAAGAAAAGAAAAAGAGTTTGTTGGGATTTTGATAGGAATTGTGTTAAACCTGTTTATCAATTTGGGGAGAATTGACATTTTTACTATGTATTCTTCCAATCCATGAATATGGTATATCTTTCCATTTATTTAGATCTCTGTTTTCTTTCATCAGCATTTTGTAATTTTCAGCATACAAATTCTGTATGTTTTGTTAGACTAACACCTAAGTGGCCTTCATAAGGTAATAAGAAAAATGGAATTAATAGTCAGCATTTTAAACCTGAGACATATTTGTATAAAAATTTATAGTTAGGAAATTAGAAAGATATTGCCACCCTATGCCTGCACTCTCATGTGGGGGCAGATGGAGCTGAGCAATGGCTACTCCCATGGCATGGGATCTCCCAGCTCCACCCTGCCCACTTCCTTCAGTGTTAACAACCTGGCTCCTGTGAGCATTTATATTCAATTCCTGATCAAGAAACATATTTTTAAAAATTCATCCATAATCCTGCATCCTGCCACTTCAGGCCAACCATTATTCACATTTTGAGATTTTTTTCCTGTATATGCATATGCTTTTAATGTAGCTTGAGTTATATTGTACATACAATTCTAATATATCCCCAATCTGGAGGTGAGGCATGGTGGTTCATTTTCTTGTGTGGTTTGTCACGTGTATTATCATCTTGTCTCCAGTAGCTATTTACCATAGATGTCCAATACACTGTGGATTGTGAGTGTGCCCCTTCAGAGCACTGTGACATGAGCATCTTCAGGAGATGCTAAGAGTTTCAGTAGCTCCAGACTCATTTTCATATTATTTTTCAGTTTTGAGTTTCCGTGAATTTGGACTCCAACCCTGCTTAATGCAAAACTGTTGTTTTATTTGTTTTGCTGGTGATTTTCTTTTCACCTGTGACCCTGGATGAATGACTAGATTCCTCTTCTTTTCCCTGGGCCCGGGGGTGGAGTTTTTCTGGTGCTAGTTGATGGATGGAGCAGCTCTTTGTGGATCTGACTTGATGCAGGTCACTCCTTTCCACTCTCAGCTGGAATGTGGCCAGGTACTCTGTGCTCCCCCTGGATGGCCAGGCCCCATTGTGGCTTTCGTCTGCATGCATGCACCTCTGGCTCCACTCCTTCCAGGTCACTTAGCTTCAGCTCCTGCCAGGTCACTCACACTGTGTTTCCTCTTTGGTTTTGGCATCAGTGAATTTACTTTGTTTGTTTGTTTTTTTGTTTGTTTGTTTGTTTTTTGAGACAGAGTCTCGATCTGTTGCCAAGGCTAGAGCACAGTGGCGTGATCTCAGCTCACTGCAACCTCCGCCTCCTGGGCTCAAGCAATTCTCCTGCCTCAGCCTCCCGAATTGCTGGGACTGCAGGTGCCCACTACCGTGCCTGGCTAATTTTTGTATTTTTAGTAGGGATCGGGTTTCACTATGTTGGCCAGGCTGGTCTCGAACTCCTGACGTCAAGTGATCCTGAAAATGCAGTCGGCGGGGCTCAGCCCCTCTGTCCTACAGAGCAGAGCCGGGGATGGGCAGGAAATGGGCCTGAGACACAAGGGCCCAGCCTGGCACCAGACCCAGAACCCCTGCGGGTGGAATAAGGAGCCTCAGTTGCTGGCTCCATGCCTTTCTCTGTGACCCGCAGGAGCTGTAGGGACTGAGCCAAGGCTTGGGATCAAGGCACCAATGGGGGGACATGAACCAGCCTTTGCCAGACTGGGAACAAAAAGATGGGGACCCTGCCAGGCCATGCTGCTGACAAGGCCACTGGTGTCCATTGCCCCTGCTGGGCATGGCCACTCCCTGCCTCTTCCTGCCTGCCATTGCCACCATAGCAGAGTCTAAAGAGTCCCCATGCTAACGTGGTCTGGGCAAGGTTGGACAGCATGCCTTCTTTCCCTGGTGGTGCATCCCATGAGAGGCATCCGTGGGAGGGTTGTTGGAAGTCATACTGAGTTTTCAGCAAAACAGCGCCCTCCTTTCATCTCCTCACTCTCCACAGGACCCAGAGGTGGATTCACACAGCAGCCCACACTCTGAGTGCAAAATCCCCCAGCCTTCCCTGACCGGGGCTTCATGGCTGTTCAGCTTCTTTCTCTTCCACAGTCCTTAGACCCTGCTCAGCTAGACTCTGTTAGGCCCTCACCCAGCCACCAGCTCTCTTCAAAGCCCAGCCCAGTTCAGCTGGGATCTTCACTTTGAACCAGTGGGACCCAAACCAGATGGCGTACTTCCTTATTTCATGACCATGATATTCTCTTGCTCTCTTTCTCTCTCTCTCTCTCCCCTTCCCTCTCTCTCTCTACCCCTTTCTGACCATATTGCATAATCAGCCTCATCTGCTTATACAAGAAGTTTTCTGGTGGCTGTTTTCCATACTGGTTGCCACTGTGCTGAGAGTTAGAACAAGGTATAGCGTCGTGAAGCTTCTTTTGTATTTTCTACTTTACAAAGTGGATCTATAAAAACTGCTTGGAGCATAACTTGGTTGGGAGGAGATATTTGCTCTCTTGGTTTCTCTGCAAAGGTCCTCTGTGTACTTACGTTGCTTCAACATGTGTTCATAAATCAAGAGTTTGAAATACATTTTATTTTCTTCATTTGATCATTCAGTAAATATATATTTGTGTCCAGGCTCATTGACCCATTGCAACCATAAAAATGTGGACTAATTCCCAGGCTAGCTTAAAGCTATAATCCATAGGCCTGTGTATGAGCTAGCCTCTGAACCTATCCATAGGCCTGTGGTATGAGCTAGCCTCTGAACCTATCCTCTGCCTGGAGCATTGGATAGGAAACACAGATTTAGAGAACTCATCTCCTGTTTGCTGCCAAACCACATGCTGTCCCCCTGAGAACACGGTATCACGGGAGCCTGCCCACCCCTCGTGACTGGCTGGGTGCTGGGTTCATTCTGCTATGTGGACTGTGCAGATGTTTGGGCTGAGGAAGGGAGCTGGCCTATGTTTAATTTTTTTTTTTTTTTTTTTTGAGACGGAGTCTCGCTCTGTTGCCAGGCTGGAGTGCAGTAGCACAATCTCGGCTCACTGCAACCTCTGCCTCCCGGGTTCAGGCGATTCTCCTGCCTTAGCCTCCCGAGTAGCCAGGACTACAGGTGCCCACCACCACACCTGGCTAATTTTTTATATCTTTAGTAGAGACAGGGTTTCACCATGTTGGCCAGGATGGTCTCCATCTCCTGACCTCGTGATCCATTCGCCTCAGCCTCCCAAAGTGCTGGAATTACAGGCGTGAGCCACCGTGCCCAGCTTTAGTGTTTTTTTAATTGTATAAATAATACATGAACAAATTGTCATTTTTTAAAATTTAAACAATGGTATAGTATGGAACTACATAAGGTACAAAGTGAGAGCCTCTCTTTTCCCTTACCCCCAATCCCATGCCTCTTGCCAAATATGACCACTACTAACAAACATTTTAATTGCACTTGCAAATATATAGATGTATACATATGTCCATATACAGGTTTTGTTTTATTATGTTTTACATAAATTTGGATTATCTTGCTTATATTATTCTGCAGCTTGTTCTTTTTCACCTGTTTTTTTTTTTTCTGGAGAACTTTCCCTGCCAGGACATATAGGTCTACTGCATTGTTTTTTGTTGTTGTTGTTTGTTTTTGGAGATGGAGTCTCGTTCTGTTGCCCAGGCTGGAGTGCAGTGGCATGATCTCGGCTCACTGCAACCTCCGCCTCCTGGGTTCAAGCAATTCTTTGCCCCAGCCTCCTGAGTAGCTGGGATTACAGGCGCCCGCCACACGCCCGGCTAATTTTTTTGTATTTTTAGTAGAGACAGGGTTTCACCATCTTGGCCAGGCTGGTCTTGAACTCCTGACCTCATGATCTGCCCGCCTCAGCCTCCCAAAGTGCTGGGATTGCAGGCGTGAGCCACCGCGCCCAGCCTACTGCATTGTTTTTGTTGTTATATTTTCTTCTTCTTTTTTTTTATGGTGATAAAATATACATAACATAAAATTTGCCATTTTAACCATTTTAAAGTATTCAATTCAGTGGTATGAATTATATTCACAATGTTGTATAGCCATCACCTGTGTCTACTTCCAAAACTTTTTCATTATCCCAAACAGAAACTCTGAAACCATCAAGCAATTACTCCCCATTTCCCCTCTCCCAGCCCTTGGTAACGTCGACTCTACTTTCTGTCTCTATAAATTTGCCTGGTCTAGATGTTTCACATAAGCGGAATGATAAATTATTTGTCCTTTTTTGTCTGGCTTAATTCACTGGGGATGATGTCTTCGAGGTTCATCCATGTTTAGCATGCATCAGCACACTGCATTCTTTGTAATCGCTATAAATTATTTCATTGTACGAATGTAGGACAATTTATATAATGAACCGATATACATATCCCATATTGAAAATTGTGCCAAATATGTCATGGTTAACAACTGTCTGAGGCTGGTGCACAGGGGAATAAAATAATTTACCAAAACAGCATTGAGTTTAGAAAGGCAGATTTATTTAGAGAAAAGGGGGAGATACATTGAAAGGGAGCAATGGGTGAGACAGCAGAAAGAAGACTGTCTGCAAAGAGGCAGGAGCTGGAGGTGGAGTTTTCTAAGGTTGTGCTGCTTGAGCTGAATGCTTGCAGACAGGATGCCTGGGTGCAGGTGGACTGTGAGTTGAGTGCTTGTAACAGGATGCTTGAGTGCTAGTGAGCTGTTTGTGGTTGACCCTATTTCTCAGAACGTTCGCTCCCCACTGCTGTTGTTTCTGTTTCTGCTAGTGACGCCCATTTTTCAATGTTTTTTTCTTTTCTTTTTTTTTTTTTTTTTTGAGTCAAAGTCTTGCATTGTCGCCCAGGCTGGGGTGCAGCGGCCTGATCTCAGCTCACTGCAAGCTCCACCTCCCGGGCTCAAGTGATTCTCAAGCCTCAGCCTCCCAAGTAGCTGGGATTACAGACACCTACCACTACACTTGCCCAATTCTATTCTCTATGTGTAGAAGCTATATACTGAGAATCTTGGTACACAAATCTTCATGCACATGTGAAAGCATTTTCTAGGATATAAGTAAAGTAAGAGGAATTGCTGCATGAAAGAATAAATGTATTTAAAACTTTGAGGCCAGGTGCAGTGGCTCATGCCTGTAATCCAGCACTTTGGGGGACCAAGGCAGGCAGATCACCTGAGGTCAGGAGTTCAAGACCCAGCCTGGCCAACAGTGACTCCCTGTCTCTGCTAAAAATACAAAAATTAGCCAGGCATGGTGATGGCCACCTGCAGTCCCAGCTACACGGCTGAGGCAGGAGAATCGCTTGTACCCGGGAAGCGGAGGTTGCAGTGAGCCGAGATCTTGCCATTGCACTCCAGCCTAGGCGACAAGAGCAAAACTTCGTCTGAAAAAAAAAAAAAAATTGATAGCTATTGTCGTATTGTCCTCTAAAAGCGAAGTACCAATAGACCCTACCACCCACAGTTTATATAAATGCCCTACTTCACATACCCTTACAGACTGTATTTCAGTCTCTTAAAAGTCTTCCAATCTAATGATCAAAAACTATTTTCTGGGCTGGGCATGGTGTCTCATGCCTGTAATCTCAGCATTTTGGGAGGCTGAGGCAGGTGGATCACCTGAGGTCAGAAGTTCAAGACCAGCCTGACCAACATGGTGAAACTCCGTCTCTACTAAAAATACAAAATTACCTATGTGTGGTGGTGCGTGCTTGTAATCCCAGCTACTCAGGAGGCTGAGGCAGGAGAATCGCTTGAACCTGGGAGGCAGTGGTTGCTGTGAGCCAAGATCGCACCACTGCACTCAGCCTGGACAAGAGTGAAACTCCTTCTCAAAAAATAAAAATAAATAAATAAATAAATAAAAATTGTTTTGTATTTCATCTAATTGATTTATTCTTTGGGCTTTATGTACAGTGTTTTAGTTTAACTGGACCTTCTCTTTTGTTTGTTTTCCTTAACCTTTCATTGTGGAAAATCTCATATTATTTTAATTATTTTTACTTTTATATTTTTAGTACAAAAAATACAAAAATTTGTTCTAAAATGCCACTGTTACACCACACATACACATACATACATTTCCATATATAATTTGAGTTCTTTTAAAAGCTCTTTATTTTGTACTTTTGACCTCTTATCTATGCTTGAGCCACATGGTTTTAGATCCTGTAGATTTATTGTTTTGTTATCAGATAAGGCAGATAAGGCAGATAACCTCTTATCAGTTTTCTCTTTATTGATTTTTTTAAAGCAATTTTGGCTTTTCTTATGCTTATTCTCTCTCCTAATGATTTAATAATTTTTAATCAGCATGTTAAGATTTTGATTAGAATTTCATCAAATTTATAGACTAATTTAGAGACAAATAGTGACTTTATAGTAATCAACCCTCCCAGTCACGAATATGGTTTTGTATTAGGTATATTTCCACATATTTTGCTATTTTTTCTCCCATTTTCAAAAGGATCTTTATTTCTCCGTGCATTTTACGATCGGTGATGGGCTGGTGCTTAGGAAAGCTTTGGTTTTTATAAGTTGATCTTGTGTCTGACTGGCCACTTTACTGAACTCACATTTCAGACGTTATGATTTTTTTCATGTTGATTATTCTGGATTTCCTGGTTGGCAGACATGTCATCTGCAACTGGTTTTTCTGTTTTTAGGCTAATGCAGAGTCAAGTAAAACCTGGCTGAAGGGGAAATTCACTGAACTCAGATTACTACTTGACGAAGAGGAAGCGCTGGCCAAGAAATTCATTGATAAAAACACGCAGCTTACCCTCCAGGTGTACAGGGAACAAGCTGACTCTTGCAGAGAGCAACTTGACATCATGAATGATCTCTCCAACAGGGTCTGGAGTATCAGCCAGGAGCCCGATCCTGTCCAGAGGCTTCAGGTAATGCTGGGGTCACTGCTCTTACTGCTGCCACCTGCCACCCACACTTCATCTCAAGTATTGTGGCATTGAGCACAGTATTGACACACTAAGCAAGTACATGGACTATTGTCTTGTCACCATGTAGACTGTCTTGCCCCCACACAGGTGGTCAAGAGAATATACATTGTTAGGAAGATAATACACCTCTTGGGCTAATTAAATAATATTAACAGCCACCAATTTCAAAGGCCCCTGTGTCCTGAGCACTGTGTAGTTTAGCACTAATATTCACCAGAACTCTGCAAAGTGGGCTCACCCCATTTTATAAACAAGAAATTGAGGCTCAGTGAAGTGACTCACCTGGTCTCACACAGCAGGTAGGTAGCAGAGCTGGTATCAGGTCTGGCTGTCTGTCTAGGTCTGTCTGACTCTAAACCCACAAGGGACCCTGCCTGGCCCTCTGACTGTACAGTCTTTTTTTTTTTTTTTTTTTTTTGAGATGGAGTTTCTCTCTTGTTGCCCAGGCCGGAGTACAGTGGTGCGATCTCAGCTCACCACAACCTCTGCCTCCTGGGTTCAAGCAGTTCTCCTGGCTCAGCCTCCTGAGTAGCTGGGATTACAGGCATGTGCCACCATGCGTGGCTAATTTTGTATTTTTAGTAGAGACAGGGTTTCTCCACGTTGGTCAGGCTGGTCTTGAACTCCTGACCTCAGGTGATCCGCCCACCTCAGCCTCCCAAAGTGCTGGGATTATAGGTGTGAGCCACCGCAATCAGCCTGCCTTTATAGTCTTAAATTGAGACACCCCACCTGAAAAGGCAGGTGTCCTTGCAGCTACTGAGCACATTTCAAAGGCTGAGTCACAGCTGGCTCAATGGTACTCCTTGGCCACTGGGCTTTGTTGAGGAAGAGTCTAAGAAATAGCCCCTGTGGCAGATCACTTGAGGCCAGAAGTTTGAGACCAGCCTGACCAACATGGCAAAACCACCTCTCTACTAAAAATACAAATATCAGCCAGGCGTGATGGCGTGCACCTGTGAGGCTGAGGTGGGAGAATCACTTGAATCGGGGAGGCAAAGATTGCAGTGAGTAACGAGATCATGCCACTGCACTCCAGGCCGGGTAACAGAGTGAGACTCTGTCTCAAAAAAAAGAAAAGAACTAGCCCCAGGGATAGTCATTGCTACATTTAGAGAAAGCATGTTGTTGAGGATGGTGTTCCTGTCTACTTTTTTCTTTTTTTTTGAGACGGAGTCTTGCTCTGTCGCCCAGGCTGGAGTGCAGTGGTGTGATCTCGGCTTACAGCAAGCTCCACCTCCCACCATTCTCCTGCCTCAGCCTCCCGAGTAGCTGGGACTACAGGCGCCCCCCACCACGCCCAGCTAATTTTTTGTATTTTTTAGTAGAGATGGGGTTTCACCATGTTAGCCAGGATGGTCTCCATCTCCTGACCTCGTGATCCGCCCCCCTCGGCCCCTCAAAGTGCTGGGATTACAGGCGTGAGCCACCGCACCCGGCCGATGGTGTTCCTGTCTTTAGGGAACCGTGGAAGAAACTGTTGTCTGGTGTCAATATCCCTGTGCAGTCACTTCTGCACTAGAATTGCTTTTCCACTAATAGAGCTCCTCCTGTTTCCTTCTTTGCCTTGGGAAGTTCAGAGCCAAATCTGCTTTGACTAACCAGACTAAGGCTTCATGGCAAACACTTTGTGTCTAATTTTCTCTTAGCTTCATTTTTCTCGCTATAAAGAAAAATCTTGCCTTATTAGAGGACCTTCACAAGACACTTTAAAGGCTGTGGGACAAGGCAGGGTACAACTAAAAGTGGCACCAACTCTAACCACAGATTAGTATGGGCTCTGGCTGGAAAATAAGACAGACAAATAAGCCAGTCAACACAAAACCCGCCAAGCCAGTCTCCAGCTGGGGATTTCCACTCTTGTGTCTTTATGTGGCCTCAGTCGGTTCAGCCTGTGTCTCATTGTCAGCTGTTTGAGCCAAATTCTGGATGAAGTGTTTTCCTAGGCATAATGGGTGTTGTGCTTTAAGAGAGGCAAGATGCACAAAGTGTTACATGTAATTGTCTCTTTTTAAATAATGGTCGTTTTTAAGGCTATGGAATACAAAGGAATCCTTCCATGGAGAAGCATGCTATTCTCACATCAGAAAACGGTTTCAGGGCTTTGTCATCTTTTTTTTTCAAATTCTCTTGGGCCACAGCTAATGATTTTAATCATTCACCGTTCCCACCTTCTATGTGTTCATTCGTTTATTCATCAATATGTACTGAGCCAGGTCACTTGCTGGACATTAGGAGCTCACAGTTGGGTGGGGGACTTGCTCAGAAACAGTTATTTACAATACAGCTTAAACAATTTTGTAAATATGAAGCTAGCAAAATTATGTCCAAGAAATGTCTGACACTCTCTGGCTGGGAGAAGGATGCAGTCTGGGAAGACTTCTAGGAAGAGGTGATGGTAGGGTTGGGTGCTGGACAATGAGTAGGAGCACACTGTATATAGAGAGGACGCAGAGAGGACAGACAGGAACTGTGTACATGTGAGAGCTTGACAGGCTGGGGAACCAGCTGGGGTGCAGCCTGACTTGAGGAGAGGTGAGGGTATAAGGGTGGGGGGATTGAGAGACACAGCTGGATCCATAGGCCATAGTTAGTTCATGAAGGCCTTATGTGCCATGGAGTTCAGACTTTGTCCTGTAATGAGATAGGAGACAGGAATGTTTGTTTGTTTGTTTTTGAGACAGGGTCTCACTCTATTGCCCAGGCTAGAATGCAGTGGCTCAATCTCAGCTTACTGCAACCTTTGCCTCCCAGGTTCAAGGGATTCTCCTGCCTCAGCCCCTGGAAGAGCTGAGACGACAAGCACGTGCCACCATGCCCAGCTAATTTTTGTATTTTTAGTAGAGACAGTGTTTCACCATGTTGGCCAGGCTGGTCTCAAACTCTTGACCTCAAGTGATCTGCCCACCTTGGCCTCCCAAAGAGCTGGGAGGTGTGAGCCACTGCACCCAGCCCAGGGGAGTGTTTTGAACTGAGGGATGAAAGCATTCACATGGTCAGATTAGTGCTTTAGAAAAGTCACTTTAGAGATAGAGTGGAAGATGGACAGAGGAGGCCAGGATGGGAGGCTGGAAGAGAACTTGGGAGGAGGCCACAATGTCCAGGAGAGAGATGATGGTGGCCTGGACCAAGACAGGGGCAGTGGGGATGGGGAGAAACAGGCAGGTCAAGAGATGCCACAGGAATGGAGATTGGAATTGGAGAATGGGTAGGAGGAATCCCCAGATGATGCCTGGGTTTCTGGCCTGAGAGATGAAGGGCTGGGATTTCTGTTCTCTGAGTCTGCAAAGGCAAAAAAGTGGCTGTGCTCGGTTTCATGCATTGATTTATTCCATCATACATATGTTTTGAGAACCTGTGTGTCAGGTCTGGTGCTAGCTGCTGGAGTTTGGGGTTACCAGGTGGTGCCATGTGTCCTCTATCGACCCCTCATCCTACCCTACTCATCTGCCCTCTGAGCCCCCTCTCGCCTCCCCGGAGCTGCTCCCTGCCCACCCTGGACTTCCTGCTAGTGCTTGGTCTCCCCTGGCCAGCTCCATTCCAGCGCTCTGGGTGTGACCTTAGGCCTGGTTCCCCACCAAAATGAGGTTGGACTCTATAGACTCCTGGCCTCCTAGGCTGAATGGGGCTTGCAGGCCATCTCACAGCCCCCTCCCAATGTACAGCATGCTGCCAGGTGGGATCTGCCCCTGCCCAACAGCCAAGTGCTAGGCCACCCTCCCTCCCTCCTGAGGCCCTCATCTGTCCACCCCTTCTCGGGTGGGCAGCACTGCCACTGCCAGCCAAGCCTGATCACCTGAGGCAGTCATCTTCCTTCCAACTCCTGGCCAGGACAGAGCTTCAGAAAATGCAGCCATGGTTCTTACCTGCAAACATGAGAATCCACTGGAACTGTTTTAAGCAAGAAAGGAGTTTATGGAAGAGTATGAGATAGCCCATAGGATCTCCAGGAGGGCCAGAGAGTCGGGATGGAAGATGGGCAGCAGGAATGAAGTCCAGACTCCAGCAGGGGTTGGTGCCAGTATAGGCCCCACGGCACCCCTGCTGGGCAAGACATCACCACTCACACCACTGACCAGAGCCCCCACCACTGCTGTCCCTCAGTGCCACATGCCACCATCACTACCTTCACCGTCATTTCCAAATCCACGCTTTGGCTTGGAGGCGTCTGGTCACACTCCTGCAGCACAGGTGCAAAGGGAGCTGGGAGAGGGGGTTTTCTAGCTTCTCCTTAGTGAAGCCACATACCACAGGAAAGTATTGAAGAGGGGCTGTCCAGGTGCAAAACAGGACACATGTCCCCTGCGGTGGCCACACCCCCTCAGTCAGCACTGCAGCTGAACCTTGCTGGCCTTTGGCGTCCTTCTTAGAACATGGTTTCCTGCTCCACCTTTGAATAAGCTCCAGGTGCTCCTTCCCCAGGGAGACTGACCTCTCACCCTTTTTGTACCCAAGGCAGACCCGTGGCGCAGTGTGTGTGAGGCTGAAGCCTCTCTGGGAAGGGCCCCGTGTCAGCCTGACCCTGCCTTCTGCATGCATAGCTGGCACAGAGTAGGTTTCAATGAACACGTAAGGAAGGAAGGAAAGGAGGAAGGATGGAGAGGGAGGAATCCCCAGTGCCAGCACTGAAAAACCGCACCTCCGCATGGCTCCCACCTCAGGGATGCCGTATGGTCTCTCCAGGGCTCTGCTCCTGCAGGCATGGCCTGGGCTGACCATAGGTGCCAGGCCAACGTGGAGCCTGGGCATGCTGGTGTGGGTTTGTTCCTGGGTGCAGCACAGGAGGCTGGGATGCTGCCTGCATCTCCCAGAGCCACCCTCACCCCCGTGTGCCCACACAGGCATACACGGCCACCGAGCAGGAGATGCAGCAGCAGATGAGCCTCGGGGAGCTGTGCCATCCCGTGCCCCTCTCCTTTGAGCCCGTCAAGAGCTTCTTTAAGGGCCTCGTGGAAGCCGTGGAGAGTACATTACAGACGCCATTGGACATTCGCCTTAAGGAAAGTAAGTCGCCGAGTGACCAACTTTGTGTCCTTAACTCCCCTAGTGTCCTTTAGCCCAGAGACGAATGCAAAGATCATCTCCCTACATCCTGTCTCTCCCACACTGAGGCCCTTGGCTGGGCGGTCAGGGGCTCCTGGGCCTGGTGCCCAACCCACCCTCACCACTTCACCTCCAACCCTTCCTGAGACTGAGACCTGCCCTTCTCCAGTCACACTGCCCTGCTTCTGCCCCTCAGATTGCTCCTGGGAGCCTGCCACATCTCAGCCTTGCTCTGGGCTCCCAGCTGGAATGACCAACTCTTCCTCCTTCTCTTCCTCTGGCTGGGGCCAAGGCCTGGCACCCCTTCGAGGCAGACTGGCACAGCTGCGCCCACCTGGGAAGCCCTTTCCTGCCAGCCCAGCCCTGACTCACTCTCTCCTTTAGCCATCTCCCCTCTCCCTTCCCGCTCCAGGGCCTGCCCATGTCCTGCTAGAGGGTGCTCATGAAGTGGATACATGGACCCCCCTCCTTGCCCCTTGTAAGCACGTGAAGGGCAGAAACCAGCTTTAGGTCCAACTCTGAGGTCCCCCCAGGGCCTGGCACAAAACATGTACTCAAAAATATCTGTTCTTTGATTCATTTATGCATTCATTCATTCATTCACCTCTGCTATCATGATTCATTCAGAACATTTATCAAGCCCCTCTTATATGCCAGGCATAGCAGGGCACAAAACAAAGCTCCTTCTCCTCTTTTGGTGCTCACAGTCTTCGTAGGGGAAGACAGACCGTACACAAACATGTCAGGTGACAGGAACTGCTATACTGCTATAAAGAATAATAAAGGCCGGGCGTGGTGGCTCACGCCTGTAATCCCAGCACTTTGGGAGGCCGAGGTGGGTGGATGATGAGGTCAGGAGTTTGAGACCAGCCTGGCCAACATGGTGAAACCCCATCTCTACTACAAATACAAAAATTAGCCAGGCATGGTGGCATGCACCTGTAATCCCAGCTACTCGGGAAGCTGAGGCAGGAGAATTGCTTGAACCCGGGAGGTGGAGGTTGCAGTGAGTTGAGATCATGCCACTGTACTTCAACCTGGGTGACAGAGCAAGACTCTGTCTCAAAAATAACAATAATAATAATAATAATAAACCAGGGCAGGATGGAAGACAGGAAAGTGACAAGGAGGAGGAGCTGTTTTATATAAGCAGTTGGGATGGCCTCTGAGAAGGGGACACTCAAGGTGGCCCAAAGGAAGCATTCATTCTGCAGGTTCTGTGGGTCTGAAGGGCCAGAGAGCACAGTGGTCATAGGCACGGCCTCTGGAGCTAGGCCTCCTGGGTTCCTATCCGAGGTCTACCACTTGGAACCCTGCTGAACCCTGCCATCTTAGACACGGCTCCTCCCTTTTCCATGCCTCTGTTTCTGCATCTGTAAAGTGGAGACCATAATGCAGTCGCCTCTCCTGGGCTGCTGTGAGGATTAAATGAGCTCTTACACATATAGCGCTCAGGCATATTAAGCACCACGTATGTCTTGGCGATTATGATTGCTGCTGCTGTTACGTCTGGGGGAGGTATTCTAGACAGAGGGAAAAGCAAGGGTGGAGGTCCTGAGGCGCGATGGGAGTGAGCTGGCCATATCGAAGGAGCAGCAATGGGGACAACAGGAGTGGACGTAGGGTCACAGGGGAGAGAGGAAAGAGATCAGAATCCAAGGATTTGGACGTGGGCAACTCGCAGAAGGAAACTGTCATTTTCTGAAGTGAGAAAGAGTATTTAGGACTGGAGGGAATGAAGTGAACCTGTTAGATTTGAGAAGTTGGACTTCCCATGTGGTGGTATCGCCTCGGCAGTAGGACCTATGATTCTAGAGTTCTGGGGAGAGGGGAGAGGCTTTTGCCTTGATGAAAGAACAACTTCAGCCAAATTAAATTTAAAGGAGTTTAAATGAGCAATGAACGATTCATGAATCCGGCAGCCCTCTGAGCCACAGTGCACTCAGAGACTCCAGCACAGCCACGTGGTGGAAGAAGATTTAGGGACAGAAAAAGGAAAGCGACGTACAGAAAACAGAAGTGAGGTACAGAAGCAGCTGGATTGGTTACAGCTCGGCGTTCGCCTAATTTGAACACAATTTGAACAGTTGGCTACATCTGATTGGCCAAAACTTGGTGATTGGCACAAGTGCAGGCTACGGTCTGTTTACACCTCCACTTGTTATTGTTCATGACGTACAGAAAAATATGTAGGCCGAACTTAAAAGATGTAAGGAGGAGCTTTAGGCAAAACTTGATTTAAACAGCCTGCAGGTGGGCTTCCCACAGATCTCTACAGGCCCCTGTGATGAGTGCTGGGAGTGATGGGGGCGGAAGGCACTTCTGCGGAGGTGCTGAGTGAGCTGCGGCCCCAATAGCTGGGAAGGAGGCAACCTGGGCAAGGGGGGAAGGGTGTGGGGGGGCTGTCCAGGCAGAGGGCACAGCAAGTGCCAAGGGCCCTGGGTGCCCCTGCTGTGCCCGCTTGTTGGGATAGACTCCCCTCCTTCTTTCTTTCTGAGCACTCAGACCTTCCTGAGGACTCAGCTCTACTTTCTTGTTTTCCATCTTTACCCTGGAATCTGCACATCTTCCCTGAGTCGCCGCCCATCCTTGAGTGTTGGATCCAGTAGTTGTTCGCGCCTCAGCTCCTCCTCCTATTTAGGACTCTCCCACACCAGCCTTGTCATCCTGGGGTTTTCCTGTCCCTGTGAATTCACATAAATCCCTTAAATCTGCCTGGCTCTTGGGCGAGATTATGCGAATCTCCAGTTGTGTGGTATTTTTAGCACGTCTTATTTGTCTGCTTGCATAAGCTCCGGGCGCTCATTTCTCAACAATTCCTTACAGGCATAAACTGCCAGCTCTCAGACCCTTCCAGCACCAAGCCAGGTACCTTGTTGAAAACCAGCCCCTCACCAGAGCGATCGCTATTGCTGAAATGTAAGACCCCCGGGAGTGGGGATAGGGTGGAGACGGTGGAGATGGTGGGATGTTGGGTGGAGGAGGATCATGGAAATGGAGGTCCCTCTTTTTTTCTCATTAGAATTTATTTATTTATTTATTTTAAGAACTTGTTTTTTAAAAAATGTTTATTATTAAAGGCAATAAAACAATACATGTTCATTGTAGAAAAATTAGAAAATGAAAGAAAAAAGTTACTCATAATCCCTCTTCTGTGAATAACTGCTATTATTATTTGTCCTTTTAGCTTTTTTAGCACATCTAATATGCATATAATGATATATTTAATATATCTTTTTATGTTACAAACGTGGTGTCATACTATACATACTGTTTTGTCATCTGTTTTCATTTACTGATATATTATGAACATATATATATTTGGGATTTATACAGTGAGCCACTGTGCCCAGCTAATATTATCACTATGTGTGTGTGTGTGTGTGACCGAGTCTTGCTCTGGAGTGCAGTGGTGCAGTCATGGCTCACTGCAGCCTCGACCTCTTGGGCACAAATGATTTTCCCACCTCAGCCTCCCTCATAGCTGGGACTATCAGTGTGTGCCACCATGCCCAGCTAATTTTTTATTTTTATCATTGTTTTTAGAGGTTGCATGGCATTGCATTGAATGGATGTGTCATATTTAGCCAATCTCATAATGTTGGATGTTTACATTTTCATTTCTAAAACAATGCTGTAATAAACATCCATTCTTGTACACATTTGTTGAATTGAATTAATGAATGAGAGAATGAACACACCATACCTCATTTTCAGATTATTTTTTAGGAGTAATTTCTCAAGTGGAATTACTGGGTGTCAACCTAAAAAAGACTCAATCTAAAGAAGGCTCAGTATCCAGTTAGCAGAGTTTATTCAAGTGCAAAGTAACCATCAGGAGACAGAGGGAAACCAAAGAATGGTGATCACTGCCCCTGGTGTTGGGAGGGGGACAGTGAATATCAAAACAGAGGCACTGAATAAATTTACATTTTCCATACAAAGGCTAACATACTGATTTAAAGGCCGAGCACGGTGGCTCACACCTGTAATCCCAGCACTTTGGGAACCCAAGGCAGGTGGATCACTTGAGGTCAGCAGTTCGAGACCAGCCTGCACAACATGGTGAAACCCTGTCTCCACTAAAAATACAAAAATTAGCTGGGCATGGTGGCATGCACCAGTAGTCCTAGCTGCTCAGGAGACTGAGGCAGGAGAATCGCTTGAACCCGGGAGGCGAAGGTTGCAGTGAGCCGAGGTCGCACTACTGCACTCCAGCCTGGCAACAGAGCAAGACTCCGTCTTAAAAAAAAAAAAAAAAAAAAAAGTGCACAAATCAAAAATGTGCAGATCAATCAGCTCAATGATTTTTTAAAAAGGAAACATATTTTGTAACCACCTTCAGATCAAGAAATGGAAATTTCCACTCCCCAGAAGTCTTCCTCATGTGCCTTCTTGTTTACTATCCCCAAAGGGGATCCACTCTCCAGACTTCTAGGACTATAGGTTAGTTTTACCTGTTTTTGAACTTTCAGTAGATCATTCACACTATACCCTTCTGTGTTTTGCTTCTTTCACTCAATATGAGATTTATCCATTTTTGTATATTGACATACTGAGTGGCTGTTATAAATTCACTTAGTACTTCTAAGCTATCTACAGATTATTTGGGTTTTTGTGTAAATAAGCATGTCACCTATGAATAATAATCTTTCATTTCCCCGATCTTTATTCTTTCCTTTCACTTCTTTTTCGTGCCTTGAGTTACTGTCTACTACATTTAGAACATTGTTGAATAGAAGTGGTTATAATGAGCAGCATTTTCTCCCACCTTAGACATATATCCAACAGAAATGCATACATATGTGAATCAAAAGACCTGCACAAGAATGTTATGTGACCGAAACACAGGTTCAGTTGCTCAACGCTTTGCAGAGTTCAATTAACAAGAGCGAGGTCTGGTATAAAGAAAGTGGTTTTATTCTAAAGATTAGCTTAGGGGAAGAGGTACAGGCTCCTCCTGCCCTTAACGGTACCGCCTCACTTTTGGGGCAGAAAGCAGAGGCTTTTAAATGGGGACTTTGTATGAATGGCATGCAGGGAAGGAGCAAGCAGATGGGGGTCTATATGACTCATTTTGATGCGTTTTCTACCAAGTGGTTGAGCTGGTGCCATTGAGGGCAGAACTAGGTTGTAATGTGGCCGTTGTCTTGAGATGCTGTCCGGGTGGAAGAGTTCTGTTGAAGGCATACTTTATGTTGTAAATTGACTGTTGTCTCTTAAGGCAATCTCCTGGTGGGAGAAAGTTCTGGTTCTAGACCCTCTAAGTAGGTAGATAAGTTTGCCCTGTAGGGACTATCTGGTGAAGGGAAGGTAATGGTTATAATTACATTTCTAAAGAGCTAAGTAGAGGCAGGGCACAGTGGCTCACACCTGTAACCACAGCACTTTGGGAGGCTGAGGCAGGCGGATCACCGGAGGTCAGGAGATCAAGACCAGCCTGGCCAACATGATGAAACCCTGTCTCTACTGAAAATACAAAAATTAGCCAGGCGTGGTGGCAGGTGCCTGTAATCCTAGTTACTAGGGAGCCTTAGGTAGGAGAATCGCTTGAACCCAGGAGGCCGAGGTTGCAGTGAGTCGAGATCACACCACTGCACTCCAGCCCGGGCAACAAGAGTGAAACTCCATCTTAAAAAAAATAAAAATAAAGAGCTAAGTAGGAAGTGGGAGACAGGAGAAAAAGGGGGAAAATCTTAAAAATAATTCATTCTCTTTCTCTTAGAAAAATGCTCTTTTTCTTAGAAAACTCAGTCTCTGTTACACGTTTACAGTTATAGCAACATTAGTCACAATAGGCAACACGGAAACAATCCAAATGTCCATGGAAAACTGTTTGGCCTTGTTTATGAAAGCTGAATATCCACATACCCTGTGATCCAGACTTAAAAAACAACAACAACAACAACAAAAAAAACTTCATGTGTACATACATGGTGTAATGCAAAGAGAAATGTTAATGAGAGTTTAAATCACTACAAACTTTGGGGAGGATAGTTTTGCAATATGTATCAAAGACCTTAAAAAAATACCCATTGACCCAGCAATTCCTGTTTTAGGAGTATATTCTACAGAAGCAATCAGATACGTAAAAATGTAATTGTATTAGTGGTTTCAAAAGCTTTTTAAACGGAGGACTAAGTTATGCGTCCAAACATCAAAATTTTAGAATCTCCACTAAAATGCTCTTGTGAAAGGATATTATGATGTGTCAAAATGCCTCACAAGTAGATCAATCAATTTTAAAAAGCAGATTACCTAACGTCATGTATGGTGTGACACCAATATTAAGAAAAGCTATAAAAATTAGCCGGGCGTGGTGGTGGGCGCCTGTAGTCCCAGCTACTCGGGAGGCTGAGGCAGGAGAATGGCCTGAACCTGGGAGGCGGAGCTTGCAGTGAGCGGAGATCGCGCCACTGCACTCCAGCCTGGGCAACAGAGCGAGACTCCGTTTCAAAAAAAGAAAAAAAAGAAAAAGAAAAGCTATAAAGCAGCAAGGGGAGGGGAAAGATAGGAAGTACACACACCCTAATGTTAACAGTGATAGGATTAGTTTTAATTAAATTTGTATTAATTGGCAACAAATTTCACGGCACAAAATACAGACAGTATAAGGGATGTGCAGCAGAGTGATCTCTTCTTCCCCTTTCCCCAAGACCCCGCCCCAGGGGCAGTCGCGGTTTAAAGGGGTCTGTCACCCCTTCCTTGGGCCATTTCCGCGCTTCGCATTTTGTGATTTGCACGTGCGTTGGTGGGTTCCCGGGGGCGGGGCGCCGCGCTGGCCCCGCCCACCAGGTGCGTCCCTTGTCTCGCCCCCTGCAGACGCGCGCACGCCCACGCTGGATCCTGACACGATGCACGCGCGCCTGCGCCTGTCCGCCGATCGCCTGACGGTGCGCTGCGGCCTGCTGGGCAGCCTGGGGCCCGTGCCCGTGCTGCGGTTCGACGCGCTCTGGCAAGTGCTGGCTCGTGACTGCTTCGCCACCGGCCGCCACTACTGGGAGGTTGACGTGCAGGAGGCGGGCGCCGGCTGGTGGGTGGGCGCGGCCTACGCCTCCCTTCGGCGCCGCGGGGCCTCGGCCGCCGCCCGCCTGGGCTGCAACCGCCAGTCCTGGTGCCTCAAGCGCTACGACCTTGAGTACTGGGCCTTCCACGACGGCCAGCGCAGCCGCCTGCGGCCCCGCGACGACCTCGACCGGCTCGGCGTCTTCCTGGACTACGAGGCCGGCGTCCTCGCCTTCTACGACGTGACGGGCGGCATGAGCCACCTGCATACCTTCCGCGCCACGTTCCAGGAGCCGCTCTACCCGGCCCTGCGGCTCTGGGAGGGGGCCATCAGCATCCCCCGGCTGCCCTAGGGGCCAGGACCGGCGTGACAGCCTCCAGGTACGCCGCAGCTGCCCAGTCTCGCCTAATCTACCTAGATCAGCGTGGCTGGTCCCCTTACTGCCTGCTTCTTAGGGCCCTCTCCCTGCCCCAGCTTTCCCCGACCAATCACGCCTACAGTGCTTTGAAGGTTTCCTCTCCTAGGCTAGTTTCAAACAGGCCCTAAACAAGTCTGCTGCTGCCCTCTCATCAGACCTCCGCACCCTCACCCCACCATCACTTACACTACTTTAATCCAGTTCCTTCAAAGTGATACCCCCACAGGTAAGCCCTCAGCATCCTGAATACATCATCCGCAGCCTGGGAACCTTCTCCCTCGTACAGCACAGGAACCTGACACATAGTAGGCACACAGTAAACGTTTGTGAATGAATGGGAGTCATCCAGTCCTGACTCTTCTGTCTCTTGAGGTCCCTTGAATCTTCCGCTTCCTCCCCACCGATTTCAGCGTGTCCACATCACAGCTCCCTCCAGAAGCTGCAAGAGCTTCTTAGCAGTTCCTGGTCTGAACCCTCTCCCAGTCCTCATCTTCCACCCTAAAACTAGAGTGATCTTCCTAAAACTTCACTTAACCCCTCAGCTATGAAAAGGCTTCCAGGAGTTTCCATGAAATAACAAAAAAAAATACAAGCGCCTCACCTTAGCATTCAAGGCTTGTCTAGTCTGCCCAAAATTACTTATCCTCACCTAGCTCCTACCACTCTTCTTAGAGACTCTCCAGTCAGAAATGTGTCGCATAGTTCCACCTCCACACCTCTCTGCTGCCAGCACATTCATGCAGAAAAGTCTTTTCACCTGTCTCAGTCTTCCGCAGGCTTACCTGCGCCAGGAAGTCTAACCAAGGAACAAGAATCTCACTATCAGAGCCACAAATCTGGGACCTGTCTTTCCAACTAAATTGGAGGCTTTGGAAGGGCAGCTTTGTCCTATACTCTCTCCACCCTGAAAAGTTCCCAGAAAGCCCCTTCCCTCCCAAGCAGTGAATTAATAACCAGCAGGTGCCTATCACTGAGTAACAGAAGAGCTGAGTTAGGCGGGCCTCACAGGTCACCCAGCCAGATCTCATCTGGGGAGTCTGAGGTCCTGAAAGAAAGCAGAGCTGCGTAAAGTTACCCCGGGGTGATATAGGGGGGCCAGACGTGTGCCCCGTTCACCCACCCCCAGGCAAGCATCTGACCTGTCCCCTGGCCCAGCCCTTAGGCCCAGCTTTCAACCTGCTTACTCATTTCTCAGGGGATTTTGGGAAGGAATCAGCAGGTGACAGTTGCTAAGCAACCAAAGGGGGTGGTGTTTCCCAACTGTCTTGGGACAAAAAGGGTAAGAGCACCCTTAGATCCAGATGTTGCCAAGGAAACCCAGAGTGCCCAGCTGTCTGGAATGAAGTGACAGAGGTAGAAAACAGTAGGCCCTCACAGGAGGCCACCTTCGCTAGCAGGGAGTGGGAGGCTTCTTTCCAGGGATTTGTGTCTCCGTTCTGAAGGTTCTGCGTCCTGTTTTGTCAATTCCCTAGACGGTTTTGAAGTTATATTCTGTTAAAGCATCTTCATAGGTGCTTGGTGGGAGGCCAAGGTCGCCGAATCCTCGTGGTTTAAATAGACTTTCAGTGCATTAGTTTGAACCATATAAAACTGACAATTTTCAATAGTTTTTGAGTTAAAAATGGCACTTTTGATATGAGACAATGTAGCAGAATACCAGGCAGACAGAACCTTGCAAACACCTTAACTTCTAACCAAAGACTTTAAAACTCTGGCTGGACAGAGTTTTAAGCACTATGCTGCAGGAATCCTGAGAAAAAGGGGAAATTAATTCTATTAGGAATGGCCCAAACTGAATTGTGACAGGCAGAGGGTGTTCCTGACAGAGGGAAGATGAATACACTTGACCCCAACATTTCTGCCCATCCCTGATGACCAAGACCTCTTCCCAGACCCACAGCTGCAGGGGCCAAGTAATAACAGCTCTTAATAGTTTATAATGCACTGTTTTAATGCTTTACGACTAAACTCATCTGATCCTTTCATCAGCCCTAGAGGGTAGAAAGTTTTCCCAATTCTACACATGGCAAAATGGAGACCCAGAGTCACTTGCCCAAGGTCGCACAGCTAGTGGTGGAGCTGGAGTCTGGGCCCAGGCTGTGAGTTCCAGGTCTGTGCTCATGGCCACCAGGCCCTACTGCTCAGGGTGAATGCAGCTGGTCTCTGGCCAGTGCCTGGTGCTCTGGCCCCTCTCGTGGAGCTACTGCCCATGATGCTTTCCTAGTGCCTGGTTACTCTGCGAGACTTGAGTCTACCTTTGGACTGCCTTCCTTGGGGGTCTGAGATGAGGCCTTATGGCCCAGAGGGGAACTTGATTCAAAAATTTGGGATTCATGTAGCAGAGACAGAGCTAGACTGTAAAGGTCACAAACTAGCTGTGTCAAGGCCCGTGATAGCCAGAAAGCGGCAGTTTCAGTCCATATCAATTGTGTGACCAGGGCTAGTCACTTTTTACTTCTCAGTGCCATCTATAAAATGGGGATAATAGCACTACCTACCAAGTGCTGTGAGGCTCAAATGAGCCAAAGGTTATAAACTTGCCTTAAAACTATAGTCCTATACAAAAATTAGCTGGGCGTGGTGGTGCATGCCTGTAATCCCAGCTACTAGGGAGGCTGAGGCAAGAGAGTTGCTTGAACCCAGGAGGCGGAGATTGCAGTGAGCTGAGATTGCACCACTGCACTCCAGCCTGGGGACAGAGCAAGACTCTTGTCTCAAAAAAAACAAAAAAAACATATATACTGCTGTATCATGCCAGGATTTATCAGCATTCCCAAGGGAGCTTGCACGGTACTGACCGAGTGCTGAGACTACTGGTATTCCCAGCTGCCATGTGGCAGCAGCAGGAGCTACTAGAATATTCTCAGCACAGGAATGAGGCTTCCTTGGTTTCCATGTCTGTAAGGGTTACTGATCACTTACCTTCTTCTCTTTCAGACTTGAATCTGTAGACATTTCTTTATTGATATGGCAAATTGCTTGCAGATATTTTTAAATGACAGCAATTTTCTAATATTTGGTTTAATAAAATGTGAATAATGTCCCTTTTAACCATGGTCTTCACTGGGAGTTCATGTTGCTTCAAGTCCCTAGCACCCAGTGATACCCCCACAGGTAAGCCCTCAGCATCCTGAATACATCATCCGCAGCCTGGGAACCTTCTCCCTCGTACAGCACAGGAACCTGACACATAGTAGGCACACAGTAAACATTTGTGAATGAATGGGAGTCATCCAGTCCTGACTCTTCTGTCTCTTGAGGTCCCTTGAATCTTCCGCTTCCTCCCCACCGATTTCAGCGTGTCCACATCACAGCTCCCTCCAGTTCATGTTGCTTCAAGTCCCTAGCACCCAGACCCAGAAGGGCCTTTACTCATATCTTATTCCTTACGCAGCCTTCTGGTAGTAGTCAGCTGCTCCCTGATTAACTATCTCCAGGGATGGGGCATTCACTGCTTCTGAAGATAACTCATTAAAGTTCTCACTTACGTGTAAACAAACCCTGACTCCCACCTGTTCCCATCCAAGATCGTATTATAGCTTGAACTCCTGGTCTCAAGCAATCCTCCCACCTCAGCCTCCTAAGTAGTTGGGATTACAGGCTCACACAAGCACGCCTGGCTCACATACCACCTTCTAACATATTGTGTGACTGAATCACTATGCTATGGATTTTTATGCATCTGCCCCCATCTGAATGGAAGTTCTCTGAGGAAGGGATTGGGGCTTGTTCATGGCCATATACTCTGTGCCTAAAGCAGTGCCTGGCACAAAGATGGCCCTCAATATTTGTTCAGAGAAGGAACACATGCCATTTCCCTCTCTTTGCTCTGAAAGGAGTGCTTTCAGCATTTTCTGCCTACAAGATCCTTTGACCAGTCCTTTCTCTGATGTGGAGTGACTGCTATACAATGCCAACTAAACACAGAGGCCAAGGGCAGGAAAGGGATAAAGACAATGGAGAAGTAAAGGGCTGTAAGGAAGTGAGAATGAAGGCTTAAAGGAAAGGACATGTGCAGCCAGCTCTCACCCCTCTCTGCAGCCACCCAGCAACTGGAGGATATGGACTTTGTTTGGAACCACCCCTTCTTCTGGTGCTCTGTTTATAATGCACTGTTGGCCAGTGCACTAAGCTGGCCAACTTGAAGGAGAGATTGCATCACTGGATCTTTTTCTGTCTCCAGTGGGCTGACACAGGGCCTAGCCCAGAAACATCTGCTGTCTAAGGAGCAGGTGGAGGTGGATGACAGCCAGGTCCCTGGAGACCGCCATTCCTGCCCTCGCCTCACTCAAACACACCTGACAGCATCAGCAAGGGAACTGAGAATTCAGAGAATGGCACTTTATTTTTAAGACTTGATTTTTTTGCCATGATTATCTACCAATTCTTCCATGATGGTGTCATCCTCTTCAACAGTGACCAGGACCTTCTTGCCCACTAGATTAAAGATGTCTTCAGGAGGATAGCCTTTGGGCTCACCCACCTTCACGGTGAGCATGTCCATTGTTAGAATGGTGCCTTCCGGAATTTTCACTTTGGCCACCACAGACTTGCCCAGCTGTGGACAAAATGAACATTCAGTGCCAGCTTCACAGAAGTAACTAGTGCACACTACTTTACTTTACACTCAAGGTCCCTGATCAGTCTTCCCCAGGCAGTACCTTGGGAGCAGGCACTCTGTTGCCCCCTACACTGCTCAGAATATCTCATACATGGCAGGAATTCAACCAGTATAGATTGAATTCAGAGACTCAGAGGAGGAGCCTTTACAACAAAGTGCAAAGGAAAGGGCTGAGGCTATGTAGGCGGAGCCAGGTTCAAATCCCAGTCTGTGGGGTATAGGCCACGTTTTAGTTTCTCTGTCAAATGGAAACTTATCCTGTCAGATGACTGTAAGGATTGGTGATATTACAGAATGTACGTGGAACATAGAATGCTCTCAATACATGCAAACTCTGATTCTTTTGGTTACCATTCAGCTCAGTATCTCATTGTAAACATGGGGAAACTGAGGCCCATACAGGGTGGGTGACTTGGCCAGGGTTGCAGACAGCCAAGATGAAACATAACATAGGGATGAGATTCTTAACTCCTGACACACCGTTCTCCAGGGCACACACCTTACCGCCACTTTGTTTGGTAAAATAGAAATATGAAGGACTCATAAGATGGTGAATGTGGCTGTTATGCAGATGGCAAGAAAAGGAGCCCCCGAGGAAGGGGCAGATAATACAGGCAGATGAGGGAATGAAGGGTACCTGAAGCTCATGACCAGTGTTTGTCTTCTCTATAAATGCTTTCAAATAAATTACGTGTTTTATTACTCTATATCCTCCACGTAAGAGTACAAGGAATCAATTCTGCTTGGAATGTGGTGCCAGGAAAAAATGTCAAGTGATAATCATGCATCCTGTTATGTTTTACTGTCTGCTCAGAGAGCCAAATTAAGTGCTCAGCTGTTATAAATCTTACTCTGGTTTCTGGTCTAATTCTCTCCTGTTTCCTCTATAAAGAAACTATTTCTTTTTACTTTATTTTAATTTCCTGGTATAGATGCATCTTTGATTTGGGGAAGCAGGTAGGCCCCACTAGAATAAAAGGTGACAACAGTCCCAGGCATGCCTGGTGTTTGGTCTTTGCCTTGACCCCGACAGCCTACAGGTTAGGTGTGTGTGTGCCTGGCAGCCCCAGGATGCCTGCCTGGCTCTATGACTCAGAAGGCAAGAAGGTCCAGGCCACGGCTTCCAGGAAGCCCTGATAGTCAGCATGCCAGGCAGTGCTTCTAGGCCCACCAGTTCCTCTGTCTGAAGGTCACTGTTGCACAAGGAATAGCTGCATCATCACCCACCCACCTCTGCAACGACTCACTGCCCTTCCCACCAGTGCCACCCTGGCTTAGGAAATGCCACAGGCTCTTCTGGTACCTCAGGGAACACCGTGCCTAAATGTTTCTCAGGGCTTACCTGCTCCAAGGGAGCCCAGACTTGACTTATTCCAGGGCCTCACTCCTGTTACATATTCTGGAGTCTAGGAGTACTGGGGCCATGGGCTTCAGAGAATTAGTGGAAGACTCTAATGTGACCCTAGGTGGCCAGAGAAACTGCTAAAGTTAGATAACATGTGTCTCCTGCTGCTGCTACAGGCCAGAGTGACATGCATTACTGAAGAGAAGCCTGAAGAAGCTGACACGGGTGGGAGCACATTCACTGATCATTTCATCAGCCTGGCTCAGGGAGGGCTGGTCCTGACCATCCCTCTCAGGCCAGCCTATCCTTTTTCCACACACGGCAGCAGAACCGAGTAGAGTCCGGCAGGACACACCTTCTCATTGCAGGCCATCTCACAGGGCAGCAGCTGCTTGGTTGGGGAGCCCAGGGCACGCTCCACAAGACGCACTGACCGCACCAGCTCGGCCAGTTCTCCAGGCTCCAGCGAGGCCGAGTGGTCACTCCCCTTCCAGGTCTTGTCCAAAGTTATGTGACGTTCCAACACCTTGGCCCCCAGAGCCACTGCGGCCACAGATATCGCTATGCCTGTTTCATGCCCAGAATACCCTATGGGAATGTCAGGAAAGAGCTTCTGATATTCCTTTAAAATGGAAAAAGAAAAATAACATTAAATATCATGCTGCTTTATGCATATTCTCCAGGTGAAGCGTATCTGGTTGAGCCCCGGTTTAGCCACTCACTAGCTGTGCAGCCAGGGGCAAGATACTGAGGCTCTCTGAGCCTCTCTTTCCTAGGGATGATAATAATACCTGCTGAGTGTTGCTGTAAATGCATGAGAAGCACTCAGCACATTGTAAATGCTCTAAAAATGGTTACTGTTATTCTAAAGAATGCATTTTAAGAATGTTTCACATTGCACAATACACCAAGAGTAACAACAGAACTATAAATGAATGTCTAACCTCATTCAAAAACCATCTGTCACATTTAATTAGCCTGAGCTGCTGAAAGCAAGTGTGCTATATGCACAAATATCATCAATAATATACACAGCCCAATCTCAAAACAATCCTTTGGTGAAAATGATAAATAATTAATCCGTTATCTATAATTCACTGAATGCAACAAAAGACACTCTAAGATGGGTGAGTCTTGTTGGTGAGGGTGACCAGAAAGCTGAGTACAGTAGAAAGACTCAGGTAGCGTGTATTATTATTTTATTGTTATTTATTATTTCTTTTTGAAACAGAGTCTTGCTCTGTCACCAAGGCTGGAGTGCAATGGCGTGATCTCAGCTCACTGCAACCTCTGCCTCCTGGGTTCAAGCGATTCTCCTGCCTCAGCCTCCTGAGCAGCTGGGACTATGGGTGCCCGCCACCACGCCCAGCTAATTTTTGTATTTTTAGTAGAGACAGGGTTTCGCCACATTGGCCAGGCTGGTCTCAAGCTCCTGGCCTCAAGCGGTCCACCTGCCTCAGCCTCCCAAAGTGCTGGGACTACTGGCATGAGCCACGGTGTCTGGCCTCAGGTGGGATTTAACAAAAGATTAGGAGGGTTAGGTGGCAAAGGCCTTGAAAACCAGGCTTAAGGGTGTGTGATGGAGTGCGGGTTGCTACAAGTTTGAAAATTCAAACCACTGTACTATGTGCAGGCCCAAGATGGGATAGGCTGGCAGAATAACTCCTGCAATGTGTAGTGTCAAGAGAGAGGACATGACAGCACCTTGAGTGGGGACGGAGATACACTGAAAAGGAAAATAGCTGGGGTCACGTCTACTAAACTGTTAATTATCGGAATCTCTGTGGGATGGGAGTGCAGGGGATGTTTACTTTCGACATTACATATTTCACAGAAATCATTTTTAAATTTTAAAAATAACGTGATTTAGATAAGCTGTAAGTGAAGCAAAAACAGGATTGGGAGGGACAGAAAGTTTAGGTAAAAAGAGAGTAATGTCAGTTTTCAAAAAGGCTAACTTTTTAAGTTAATGGCTGTATAACAACATGTAAGAAAGCTTATATTATGGGGAAAACAATGTCAAATACTATACTGAAAGGAAAATATAAAAGGAAAACAACTGCAATATCAGGATTCTAGTATGTGTGGATAGATAGATAGAATTCCATTAATGTTACTATAATAGTTTTAATGATAATTACATACATATTTTCGAATAAAGTTAAATTTCCAGTGCTACAGGAAGAACTGAGAGAGATGGCGTGAGACAGTAAGAGACAAAGGCCTAGGGGGACATGCCCAGGTTCTAGTTCCAGCTTTGCCACCAAGCTGCTGTGGGATCTCAGGCTTCCCGACTTGGGACTGGATTTCACCATCTGTGAAATGACTGAGTAGGCAAAATCGTGGGAGAGAGTAATTTCCATCAAGGCTGTCACTATAACTAGTATGAGCCTCAGGGATGCTCAGCATTAGAAAATAAGAGAGTCAGCAAATAAAGCAGAAAAAGCCAGGAAGTTTCAAGAAGGCCTCCTATAACTCAGTATGAAAAAAGATGAATATTTATCTGTACGCTAGTGTTCATAGCAGCATCATTCACAATAGCCAAAAGGTAAAATCATCCCAAATGTCTGTTGACAGACAGACTTTTTTTTTTTTTTTTTTCCCCCTGAGAGTCTCACTCTGTCACCCAGGCTTGAGTGCAGTGGTGCAATCTCGGCTCACTGCAACCTCTGCCTCCTGAATTCAAGCGATTCTCCTGCCTCAGCCTCCTGAGTAGCTGGGACCACAGGCACGCATCACCATGCCTGACTAATTTTTATATTTTTAATAAGAAGGGGTTTCACCATGTTGGCCAGGCTAGTCTCGAACTCCTGACCTCAGGTGATCTGCCCACCTCGACCTCCCAAAGTGCTGGGATTACAGGCATGACCCACCGCGCCTGGCCAAGAAAATTTCATTTACAGTCACCCTCTTTAGAATGTATGTGCTTCCTCAACTGCTTAGCTCGAATTTGATTTGGTAACAGCAAGACTGTCAAAGGATGTTCAAATTATAAAGTATGCCATGTTTGTTAGAATTTTGGTTATAAAAAAGACTACGCCTTCCCCATAGTAAATGGCCCAAGAAGGGAACCCCCTCCCTCCTGCTCACCGAGATGACCCGCAGGTTGACGTCCTCAGGCTGGAGCGGGTATGCGCTGGTACACTGCAAGAAGCAGAAGTTGGGGTTGAGGGGCTTCACGATCTGATAAACTTGCTTCATGGTGTCCATTGACTGCATCCCACTGGAGATCACCATTGGGCGACCTGAGTAATCCAGCACCAACACCATCAGCACTTTCTCTTTAGAGGTTCTGACTCTCCCCAACACATCCCAACTGCTGGTCTCATCATTCAACTGAACTCCACAGACATCTCTTAAAACACTGTGCCAGCCCCTGTGGGGGAACAGAGAGGAGCTTGTTGGGTTCCTGCCCTCGGCCACAGGAAAGGTGGGCTCCCCTCTGCCCCCCGACAGTGTTCTTGAGCAAAAGGAACTGAATTAAAGAGGCAGAGGAATTTCACACTGCCAAGAGGAAAATGAGTATCTTATCTGATTAATAGGTTGTATACCATGGCAGTACAGTAGAATGAGTGCTGATTCAAGAGTGTGAATGAATGTGAGGTGTGGAGCTGCCACTTCTAGCTGTGCCTGGGCAGAGTACTGTCCGTCTCTGAGTCTCAGAGGCCTCCCCTGTGAAATAAGTATCAAGCATCATAATCATGACCTGTTTCAGTCCTAGGAGTGTTATGAGGATCAAATGAAATTGTTCATGTTGTAAAACCACTTTACACGATCATGTCCCACTGCGGTCTCAAACTCAAGCAATCCTCCTACCTCAGCCTCCCGAGTAGCTGGGGCCACAGTAATGCACCACCATACCCAGCTAGGTTTTATATATACTGTCATATCCTTAATTTCTTATAAATTTTAGTTAAAAAATTTTCTAGGACAGGTGCAGTGGCTCACACCTGTAATCCCAACACTTTGGGAGGCTGAAGTAGGAGGATCACTTGAATCCAGGAGTTCAAGACCAACCTGGGCAACATAGACAGACCTTGTCTCTATTAAAAAAAAAAAAAAATTCTTAAAAAGAATTTCTAAATGTCTTATAAAAACTGTCATATTCTTAATTCATTTTCTTTCAAATTAGCTTACAAAAAATGGAAGTACAGGCTGATTGAAAAGAGGTTTCTGGCAGGGCACAGTGGCTCATGCCTGTAATCCTAGCACTTTGGGAGGTCGAGATGGGAGGATTGCTTTAGGCCAGGAGTTCAAGACCAACCTGGCCAACACAGCGAGACCCTATCTCTATTTAAAAAAATGAAAAGAGGCTAAAATTTGTCTTCATGAAATCTGCTGAAAGTGGGCCACCATGAGGGGAGTAAAAATATGAAGGTTTGGACTCCCTTCGATTTTAAGTCAAAAATTAGACACTTACCTTTTTTGGCTGTCTTTTCCAGATAAGGAAAATTATTAGTGTCTCCAGATCCAACTTTGAAAAATGGAACATTCAGTTCATGCAGGAATTCAACTGCCATCTACAAAAATCAAAGAGGGAGCTCCTTTTCACCATTGTCCAAAAACACTGTTGTTATGACAGGCAAGGAATAACATACAAGTAGAAAAACCCCTCATCTTAGGCAGTAGAGGGACGCTCAGCAACTTGAAAGCAGGCAAAGATTTGTTCTCAGTCATTTCATTCAAATGCAAACATTCATTTGCATCCACCCATCCATTAGCCCAACAAACGTTTGGTGCTGGTCTTTGCTGGCTACAGGAATCTGGAAAAGGGCTGGGCGTGGTGGCTCATGCCTGCACTTTGGGAGGCCGAGGCGGGCAGATCACCTGAGGTCAGGAGTTTGAGACTAGCCTGACCAACATGGTGAAACCCCGTCTCTACTAAAAATATAAAAATTAGCCGGGTGTGGTGGCGGGCACCTGTGATCCCAGCTACTCAGAAGGCTGAGGCAGGAGAATCACTTGAACCTGGGAGGCGGAGGTTGCAGTGAGCTGAGATCATGCCACTGCACTCCAGCCTGGGCCACAGAGCGAGACTCCATCTCAAAAAAAAAAAAGAATCTGGAAAAGAACCTTTCCCCTGGCCAGACCCTACCTGCCCCAGGGGCCCAAGGCCAAATGAACAAACATGAAACGGTCATGACCTAATCCTGACCCAGAAAACCAGGCAGTGAAAACATGAATAGCCTCAAAGGCTTTCCCTTCTACTCGGCCAAACGAGCAGGAAAAGGGGCTATTTCAATTCTTGGCGAAAGGGGGAAAATGGAGCATTTTTTTGCCCAGCCTCTACATAAGGATCCATGGCTGGCAGGGCCCATTCAACCCGAGCCCTTTCAGGCCTCAAAGCACGCTGCCTACTTAAAAGTGAACCTCAGTCACTTTTTTCAGATATAACGTCACTGCTTGAGGTTACCTATTTAGTGCTCTTCAACATCCTTCTCTAGTATTCATCAACAAGACTCAGGAAATTGGTAAATGTCAGCAAATGCTTGCTGAAGGAATCAGTGGATCACAAGTTATAAGAGTAAAATCTCAGTTTGCTGTCAAATTATAAGAACTCAAAAACTTTTTATTATCATTTCTTTCCAGCTTCAGTAAGGTGTAATTGATATACTAAAAACTGCACATAATGTAATTTGGTGAGTTGGGACTTAAGTATACACTACTGCTACCATCAGCACAAGAGTAATAAACATACACATCACCTTCAAAAGTTTTCTTGAGTCCCTTTGTTTTGTTTTGAAGTTGGAAATCAAAAGTCGAAAAAATCAATGTCTCTGAATGGTGACTCAGAAATAAGTTAGGGCTTAGTGAGTTGCTCACACTTGATCACATGGGCACAAATCTTTCCCTCTCCCAGGGAAGTTGCTGAAATGAAATGCAAACTCTGATTGGTCTAGGACCGACGGACCGACGGACCAACCAACCTACCTCCCTTCCTGTCTCCTTCCCTCCCTCCCTTCCTTCCTCCCTCCCTCCCTTTCCTCCCTTTCCTTCCTCCCTTTCCTTCCCTCCCTCTCTCCCTTTCCTTCCTCCCTCCCTCCCACCGTTTCCTTCCTTTCCTCCCTTCCTTCACCTTTCTCACTGCTCTTCCTCTGCTTTATTTTTAACTCTTCTCTTTTCCCCTTCCATCTTTTTCTTTTCTTTTGTGGTAGAGACGGGGTCTTGCTATGTTGCCCAGACTGGTCTCAAACTCCTGGGGTCAAGCAATCCTCCTGCCTCAGTCTCCCAAGTAGCTGGGACCACAAGCACGTGCCACCACATGTGGCTAATTTTTTTTTTTTTTTAATTTGCTGTGGAGATGGGGTCTTGCTATGTTGCCCGGGCTGTTCTCAAACTCCTGACCTCAAGCAGTTGTCCCACCCTGGCCTCCCACAGTGCTGGGGTTGCAAGCTTCAGCTGCCATGCCCAGTACCTTCCATACCTTTCCACCTCACTCCTTCCTGTTTGTGTCTCATAACACTGCTAACTAGCCCTAAGACAGAACTGAAAAAACATCAGTTTTAAATATATTTTTTCAATAAAATCTAATTTTCCTACCCTTCTCACTTCATTTGGCAGATGAAGAGAGTGCTTTCTGTTTAAAGAAGGAACCTTCCACTGAGTTTTCTTTTGTATAATGTTCATCTTGTGGGAGTGTGGTGTGGCCCACCAGGGCATAAACAGAAGCAGAAACCCCCCCAAGAGAGGGGCAGAGCGATCGGGGCAAGGAGGGGGGACAAGTGCAGAAAAACACCTTGTGAAAGCTTACCTACAGAGGCTGTAAAATCTGCATGGAATTCTGTAATTTTCAAGTAAAGAAAAAGGCCAATTCCTGCTGGAAAGGGAAGGGGCGCCTCATTTTGCCGCCTCCTGGGGAGCCAGCGCCACCCAGTGGACATTTAGAAAACTGCCACTCAGAGCCATCGGGCAAAGGGAATCTGAGTAATCTGGAAGATCCTAACTTTCAGCCCTAAGACAGTATCGCTGTGCCTAGGGGCTACTACAGGCTGGGTCAGCAACTGGTGACCCCTTTCTCTTCAGGGACTCCTTGACTTCCCCTAGCCTGCCGACCGTGCTATCGGGTTCCCTCTATCTGGGGTTCCATGCAGCCCGGCAGCCTCAGCACTCCTCTCTCCCTCCTGCCCCATAGCACAAAGTCTGTGGGAGTCTGAAGGGAGCTCAGGCATGTACAACTCTCCTCGGGCTCCCAGCTGAGTTCAACATGCAGAAATGGGTCCCATGGATAGCCTCGTTTGGGAGAAACACTACCCTGCCTTAATGCCTTCTTAGAGGGTCCCAGTAAATCAACTTAGCTGAGTTCCAAACCCAGTGTTTCCCAAACTTATTCGACTCAGAACTTTATTAATTCTGGCCAGGCATGGTAGCCCATGCCTGTAATCCCAGCACTTTGGGAGGCCAAGGCAGGAGGATCATTTTAGCCCAGGAGTTTGACACCAGCCTAGGCAACATGGCGAAATCCCGTTTCTACAAAACATATAAAAATTAGCCGGGTGTGTGGTGTGTGCCTGCAGTCCCAGCTACTCAGGAGGCTGAAGTGGGAGGATTGCTTGAACCCAGGAGGTTGAGGCTGCACTGAGCTGAGGTCGTGTCACTGCACTCCAGCCTGGGTGACAAAACAAAAAATAAACCAAAAAACCCTTTATTGATTCTAAATCAATTAATGAATGAGGGTGGACAACACGTGCCCACAGAACCCCATTTCTGTACTGTGTCCTGTGGGACACTCTGGGAACTGCTGATCTGAGTCAGGGGTAAGGAAAGAGAGGAGTGGAGCTGAGATTTTTCTAAAGTCCCTTCCTCTCCCCTCAGGTTTTGGATCCTTCAGGATTGGAAAAAAAAAAAAAGAAGCCCAGGCCAGGCGCGGTGGCTCACGCCTGTAATCCCAGCACTTTGGGAGGCCGTGGCGGGCAGATCACGAGGTCAGGAGTTTGACACCAGCCTGGCCAACATGGTGAAACCCCGCCTCTACTAAAAATACAAAAATTAGCCCGGCGTGTTGGTGTGTGTCTGTAATCCCAGCTACTCGGGAGGCTAAGGCAGGACAATTACTTGAACCTGGGAGGTGGAGGTTGCAGTGAGCCAAGAGCATGCCATTGCACTCCAGCCTGGGTGACAGAGCAAGACTCCGTCTCAAAAAAAAAAAAAAAAAAAAAAAAAAAAAAAGCCCATGGTGATGAGCTGGGGAGAACAGGGAGTCAGGGGAAGGGTGTAGCCACAAATAGGCTGGGCCAGCCTCAGGGCAGCAGCCTGTCAGAGGGCACCGTGCCTAGGACAGAGGCAGGTGCTGGAGGGAAGGGCGGCTTTGCTGGGATGGCCACTGTGTGTGAGGAGAGCATGTCCCTCAGGAGTCACCTTTTTGGTCATGGCTTCCATTTGCCTTCTCAATAGAACTTTCCTTTTAGACTAAAGACATTCTGCTGTTTCACCTGAGTTCCACAGCCTTGGTGCAACTTTCAACCAGAAGCCCTGACGGTTTTCTTGGCCTTAATAAAATTCTGCCACACCTTAACCTTTCCTCAGCACACAGAGAACGCCCTAGAACAGCATACAGTGTGGAGAAAATATGCATTCAATAAATGCCTGTTTCTATAAGGAAGTTAGGGTAGGTAAACACTGGGAGCCACTTGCTAGGTAAATACAGAACAAGGAACCAATCTACCTCCAACAGTTTGACAGAGGGCAAGGTAAATTAACTCTCGTAAAGGCTCTTAAAGAATGCACTTTCCTGCCGGGCACGGTGGCTCCCGCCTATAATCCCAGCACTTTGGGAGGCCGAGGTGGGTGGATCATGAGGTCAGGAGTTCAAGACCACCCTGGCCAACATGGTGAAACTCTGTCTCTACTAAAAATACAAAAATTAGCTGGGCATGGTAGCGGGCACCTGTAGTCCCAGCTACTCGGGAGGCTGAGGCAGAGAACTGCTTGAACCCGTGAGGTGGAGGTTGCAGTGAGCAGAGATTGCGCAACTGCACTCCAGCTTGGGCGACACAGCGAGACTCCGTCTCAAAAAAAAAAAAAAAATGCACTTTCCCTCACTGCCTGTGCCCTAGGTCAGGCAGGGGACTAGCTGGGGACAAAAGGCATTCCTCATCCAGAGGAACCTACCTGCCCAAATAGGCTGAGGCAGAAAAACTCCAAAGGGTTCTGAGTCACAGAACAGCCATCGCTGGGTGAGTGTAGACCTGGCCCTGTGCTGGCACCCCACGGGTTTAGCTCCCTGAATCCTCCAGATAGCCCCAGGAGCATCTTAACAATCCTGTTTTTACAGACGGGGGCCACTGCGGCTCCAAGGTTACATGAGGAGCCCAAGCCACACAGAGTGTGAGCACCAGGAGCTGAGCTCAGAGAGCCTGACTCTAAAACACCCATCACAGACACCAAGCAAATGGGCTGCCTGGGGAGCAGAGGGAAGGAAAACCAAGGAGGAAGCCCCGCTGCAAACACCAGACTCCTCCCTATCACCCAACTGCTCCGGGTTCTCAACCGATGCCACCTGCAGGGCACGGCCTAAAGAAGTGACTCCGCCTTGGCAGCCTCACGGGCAAGGAGGCACCTTTCTCCTAGGTCAGATCCAGGAGCTCAGGGAGCTTGCATTTCCAGGAAACGTGGACGGAAGCAGAAAAGTCCCCAATCCAGGTGCAAGTCACCTTGATGACATCTTCCCTGGTTCTGCGCTGACTCAGGACATCAGAATAGAGAGAACCACTGGATGGTAGCTTGGTCACACACGGAAAATGAAATGGTGGCCCAGGCAGGGAAGGGGCTCACCAAGGTCACACTGAGAGTTAAGGACAAAGCCAGGACAAGTACCCAGATGTCCCAGCCTGCAAGTACCCAGATGTCCTAGCCCTTAGCCCAGGTTGCTTTCCTTAATTGTAACTGATATTCACTGAATACTGATTGTGTACTATGCTTTATATTAACGATCACATTTAATCTTCACTTTCCCTCCCAGATGGGTTCTGCTAGGAAGCCCACTTTACAACTGAAGAAAACAGGCACAAAAAGGTTAAATAACCTCCACATGGATATACCAAAAATAACAGGCAGAGCCATATTCAAACTTAAAATCTGACCCTAGAGTCCATTCACTTGGCCACTGGGCCATATAGCCCGGGTATGGGCCACACAGCAGGGTGTGTACCACAGAGCTGGGGTGTGCATCATACAGTCGGGGGTATGTACCATACAGCTGAGGTGTGTACCATACAGTCGTGCCATCATATAGCCAGGTACACACCACACAGCTGGGGTATGTGTATACAGCATTCAGCATGGAGTCCCAAATGTTTTCATCTTCAAATTCTTAAAAATTACTAAGGAGGCCAAGTGCAGTGGCTCACACCTGTAATCCTAGCACTTTGGGAGGCCGAGGTGGGAGACTGTTTGAGGCCCAGAGTTTAAGACCAGCCTGGGCAACATAGGGAGACCCCATCTCTACAAAAAAATTTAGAAATTAGCTGGTTGTGGTGGCATGGACCTGTAGTCCCAGCTACTAAGAAGGCTGAGGTGGGAGGATCGCTTGAGCCTGGGCCGTCAAGGCTGCGGTGAGCTATGAGCTATGATTGTGCTGCTACTCTCCAGCCTGGGCAACAGAGTGAGACCCTGTCTCAAAAAAAAAAAAAAATTACTAAAGAGTCTGCAGATCTTTTTTATTTTTATTTTTTGATGTGGTTTTATTTATTCGTATTTGCTGAATTAAAAATTAAAATTGTGACCAGGCGCGATGGCTCATGCCTGTAATCCCAGCACTTTGGGAGGACAAGGTGGGCGGATCACCTGAGGTCGGGAGTTTGAGACCAGCCTGGCCAAATGGTAAAACCTCATCTCTACTAAAAATACAAAAATTAGTCGGGTGTGGTGGCGGGTACCTATAATCCTAGCTACTCAGGAGGCTGAGGCACAAGAATCTCTTGAACCCAGGAGGCAGAAGTTGCAGTGAGCCAAGATCACGCCATTGCACTCCGGCCTGGCCAACAGAGTGAAATAAATAAATAAAATAAAAATTTAAAATGAAAGCTGGGCACGGTGGCTCACACCTGCAATCCCAGCACTTTGGGAGGCTGAGGCAGGCAGATCACCTGAGGTCAGGAGTTCAAGACCAGCCTGGTCAACATGGTGAAACCCCGTCTCTACTAAAAATACAAAAATTAGCTGGGCATGGTGGCATACACCTGTAGTCCCAGCTACTTGGGAGGCTGAAGCAGGAGAACTGCTTGAACCTGGGAGGCGAAGGTTACAGTGAGCCACAATCGTGCCACTGCACTCCAGCCTGCGTGACAGCAAGACTCTGTCTCAAAAAATAAAATATAAAATAAAATAGAGGAATCTTTTCTTAATTTTAAACTTTGAATTTTGAGATAATGGTAGATTCAGGTGCAACTGTAAGAAAGAACACAGAGAGATACTATATACTCTTCCCCCAGTTTCCCCCAATGGTAATGTCTTGTAAAACTATAGTACAATACCACAACTGGGTGAATGACATTGACAAAGTCAACCAATCTTATTCAGATTTCACCATTTCTACAAGTATTCATTTCTGTGTGCCTATATTTAATTATATGCAATTTTACCCCATGCACAGACTCATGTGAGCACTGCCACGGTCACCATACAGAAGGTACCATGATGCCACTGCTACAAGGATCTTTCATGTCACCCCTTTATAACCACATCCCCTTCCCCTTACTAACCTTTGGCAACTACTCATCTGTTCTCCACTGTCATAATTCTGTTATTTCCAGAATGTCATGGAAGCAGAATCGTACAGTATGTTCCCTTCTGCATATGCTGCTTTCTCACTCAGCATCATTTCCTTGAGATGCATCCAGGCTGCTGCACGCATCAATAGTTCATTCCTGGCTGGGCGCGGTGGCTCACGCCTGTAATCCCAGCGCTTTGGGAGGCCGATGTGGGTGGATCACAAGGTCAGGAGTTTGAGACTAGCCTGGCCAAGATGGTGAAACCCCATCTCTGCAAAAAATACAAAAATTAGCCGGGCACCATGGCATGTGCCTGTAATCCCTGCTACTCAGGAGGCTGAGGAAGGAGAATCACTTGAACCCGGGCAGCGGAGGTTGCAGTGAGCCGAGATCACACCACTGCACTCCAGCCTGGGCAATAGAGTGAGACTCCGTTTCAAAAAAAAAAAGAAAAATAGTTCATTCCTTTTGATTGCTGAGTAGTACTCTACGGTATGCATGTACTACAGTTTGTTTCACCATTCACCCACTAAAGAACATTTTGCTTGTTCTAGTTTTGAGCTACTAAGAATAAAAGTTGTAATGACACTCACATACAGGTTTTTGTATGAATGTTAAGTTTTCATTTCTTTGGGGATAAATTACCAAATGACAACTGGTGGGTCATATGATAAACACATTATCTAGCTTTATAAGAAACTCCCAGTCTATGTTAAGTGGTTGAATTATACAGTATATGAATTATGTCCCAATAAAGCTGTTTAAAAAAGAAGGAATGAAACTGCCATACTGTTTTCTAGAGTGATTGGATCATTCTACATTCCCACCAGCAATATATGAATGATCTATTTTCTTTGTATCCTTGACACCATGTGGTGTTATCAATTTTTTTTTTTTTTTTAGAGACAGGATCTCACTCTTTTGCCAAGGCTGGAGTCTGGAGTTCACTGGTGCAATCATGGCTTACCACAGCCTCAAGCTCCTGGGTTCAAGGAAGCCTCCCGCCTTCCTGCCTCAGCCTCCCAAGCAGCTGAGGCTACAGGCACACACCACAATGCCTGGCTTTTTTTTTTTTTTTTAATAGATGGGGTCTTGCTATTGTTGCCCAGGCTGGTCTTGAACTCCTGGCCTCAAGCGACCCTCCTACCTCAGCTTCCCAAAGTACTGGGATTTCAGGAGTGAGCCACTGCATCCAGCCAACCACTTTTTACTTTAACGATACTGACAGCTGTGCAGTGATATCACATTGTGGTTTAAAACTGAGAAATAAAGGAAAAAAAAAAGCTAAAAATGGCTGGTGAGGTGGCTGACACCTGTAATCCTAGCATTTGGGAGGCCGAGGAAGGCAGATCACTTGAGATCAGGAGTTCGAGACCAGCCTGACCAACAAGGTGAAACTCCATCTCTACCAAGAGATACAAAAAAAAATTAGCTGGGCATGGTGGTGTGCGCCTGTAATCCCAGCTACCTGGGAGGCTGAGGCATGAGAATCGCTTGAACCCGGGAGTTGGAGGTTGTAGTGAGCTGAGATTATACCACTGCACTCCAGTCTGGGTGACAGAGTGTAACCCTATCTCAAAAATAAAAATAAATGAGAAATTTTTAAACATATAAATAGATAAACACAAGAAGAAAAAAAGATAATTTGGACATCATCAAAATTAAAGATGTTTGTAATTCAGAGGACACTATCAAGTAAGTGAAAAAGGGCGAGGCATGGTGGCTCATGCCTGTAATCCCAGCACTTTGGGAGGCCAAGGTTGGCTGTTCGCTTGAGCTCAGGAGTTTGAGACCAGCCTGGGCTACATAGTGAGATCTTGTCTCTACAAAAAATACAAAAATTAGCTGAGTCTGATGGCGCATGCCTATAGTCCTAGCTACTTAGGAGGCTGAGGTGGGAGGATTGCTTGAGCTCAGGAGGCCAGGGTTGCAGTGAGCCGATATTGCACCACTCTGCACTCCAGCCTGGGCGACAGAGCAAGACCGTATCTCACAAAAAAAAAAGAAAGTGAAAAAGACAACCCAAAGACTAGGAAAGTTTTTTACAATCATTTATCTACTAAAGGACTTGTACTTAAAATATATAAAGACAATTCATTGGAAGGCTATACATGAAAAAATAATTAAATTTCAAAAGAATATATAAAGAAAAATAATCCAATTCTTAAAACTGACAAAGGATCTGAATAGACATTCTTCCAAAGAAGATATGCAGATGACCAACAGACACATGAAAAGATGCATCAGAGAAATGCAAATCACAACCACAATGAGACACCATGTCACATCCACTAGGATGGCTAGAATCAGGAGGTAATCACAAATGATGAGGATGTGAAGCAACTGGCACCATCAAACCCTGCTGGCGGGAATGGTGCAGCCATTTTGGCAAGCAGTCTGGCAGTTCCTCAAAAAAGTTAAACATAGAGTTACCAGGTGACCCAGCAATTCCACTCATATATGTAATACCGAAGAGAAATGAACACATGTCCATATAAAACCTGTACATAAAAGCTCACAGCAGCATTATTCATAACAGCCAAAGAGTAGAAACAACCCAAATGTCCACCAGCTGACAAATGGGTAAATAAAATGTAGTATAGCCATAAAATTGAATTATGAGTTAGTCAAAAAAAGAAATGAAGTACTGATATATGCTACAACATAAATGAAAACACAATGTTATATGAAAGAAGTCAGGCTCGAAGGACCACATATTGTATGATTCTATTTATATGCAATATCCAGAATAGGCAAATTTATAGAGACAGAAATTTGAGGCTGGACGCAGTGGCTCACACCTACAATCCCAGCACTTTGGGAGGCCAAGGCAAGTGGATCACCTGAGGTTAGAAGTTCAAGATCAGCCTGGTCAACATGGTGAAACCCTGTCTCCACTAAAAATACAAAAATTAGCTGGGCAGGGTGGTGCATGACTGCAATCCCAGCTACTCGGGAGGCTGAGGCAGGAGAATTGCTTGAACCTGAGAGGTGGAGGTTGCAGTGAGCCAAGATCCTACCACTGCACTCCAGCCTGGGCAATAGAGCGAGACTCTGTCTCAAAAAAAAAAAAAAATCGGTAAGTGGTTGCCTAGGCCTGGGAGAATTGGGGCAATTGAGGAGTGCTGCTAATAGGTAGTTTTTCCTTTGGGGGTGATAAAAAATGTTCTAACGGTAATTGTATTAATGGTTGCACAACTCTGTAAATATTACTAAACACCACTGAATTGTACCCTCGATTGGGTGAATTGGATGGTGTGTCAATAAAACTGTTCTTTAAAAAGACACACAACACACCTTCCATTAGGTGAGCCGCTGCCAGAGGAATGATGTCATCACACATCACCTAGCCTCTGGAAAACTCCACTATATACTTGTGAGAATGATGATGGAAAGGACAAATAACATTTGAGTATCATTATGGAAATAGCTTTGCCTTTGTGGACCTCCTGAAAGGGCTCATGAATCCCCCAGGGGTTCCTGAACCACACTTTGGAAACCGCCTTCATATACTTCTCATTACTCTGATTGGTTATTATTGTTTTTAATTGTCACTGCAATGAAATGCACACATAACATTTCTCCTTACTATGGATTCAACACTAGGTATGGTCAAGTTTTAGAAAAACTGTGTCCTGGGGAAGCAACTATGGAGGAGGAGGGATGACAAAACTACTGAGCCTAATTATTTTTAACAACCAGGTTAGGACTTAGTCCTCCAAATGAAAGTGCTTCTCAAAGTGATTACTCTGGGGAAGGCTGTAAGCTGTAATTGGACTTACAGTTTCACATGGCTGGGCAGGTCTCAGAATCATGGTGGGGGGCAAAAGGCACTTCTTACATGGCAGCAGCAAGAGAAAATGAGGAAGAAGCAAAAGCAGAAACCCCTGATAAACCCATCAGATCTCATGAGACTCATTCACTATCATGAGAATAGCACGGGAAAGACCAGCCCCCATGATTCAACTACCTCCCTTTGGGTCCCTCCCACAACACGTGGGAATTCTGGGAGATAAAATTCAAGTTGAGATTTCGGTGGAGACACAGCCAAACCGTTATCATTCTGTCTCCAGGGGGAAAAAAAAAAAAGCAGCTGGATGCAGAGGCTTACGCCTGTAATCCTAACACTTTGGGAGGCCAAGAAGGGTGGATCACCTGAGGTCAGGAGTTCGAGACCAGCCTGGCCAACATGGTGAAACCCCGTCTCTACTAAAAATACAAAAAAAAAAAAAAAAAAAAAAAAAAATTAGCTGGGCATGGTGGTGGACGCCTGTAATCCCATCTACTTGGGAGGCTGAGGCAGGAGAATTGCTTGAACCCAGGAGGCGGAAGTCGCAGTGAGCCGAGATTGCACCATTGATTGCACTCCAGCCTGGGCAACAATAACGAAACTCTGTTTCAAAAAAAAAAAAAAAAAAAAAGCACCAGGAGTGACTAACACTTTAAAAGAATAATATTATTTCACCAGAAGCTAAACATTGTAATTCTCTGTTGAAAAACAATCCTATTTATTTAGAGGACACCACATACAATCTCAGAAACTCTCCTGGGCTGTGAGTACGCCCAGAAGGATTAACACAATAATGTCCCTTTGGTTCTGTTGTTGATACTTACAAGACCTATTCCTTTCTGAATGCAGGCTGCTATGTCACCAGTTTGAACTGAATTTGAGCAAACCCAGGTCTCAGATTTGAAACTGGATGCAGAGTGAGGCCCCTGCCCCAGGTTGCAGGGCAGTAATTAACTGAAGATCAGCAATATATCTAACTAACCTTTTTACGTAGGTTTAAAAAAAAAATCTGTCCCCACTCCCAAGGCAGCTCTTGGGCCCAGAGACTCTCCAGCCAACTTCAGTCTTGAACTGGTACCGAGCGTGGTGCATGCGGAGACTCTCCTGAGCTTTCAGGCATTCACAGTGGGAGTCTACGCTCTGGGAAGCCTGGGCTGCCAGCCAGGCAGCAGCAGCTGAGGGACTGTGGAAAGCATACTGCTCTAGGCATCAGATCTGCTACCTTTAAGACCCATTTCCTAACTGTGTGATACTGAACAAACTTCTGGCCCCTCTGGTCCTCCATTTCTTCATCTGTAAAATGGGGCACTGTAGGGATAAAATATATTACTGTATGTGAAGATGCTTCATAAACAATAATGTGTACTTCAAAAGTAGGGAATTAGGGCGGGTGCGGTGGCTTACACCTGTAATCCCAGAACTTTGGGAGGCCGAGGCAGGCGGATCACTGAAGGTCAGGAGTTCAAGACCAGCCTGGTCAACATGGTGAAACCCCATCTCTACTAAAAATATACAAAAACTAGCCGTGTGTGGTGGCAGGCGCCTGTAATCCCAGCTACTCAGGAGGCTGAGGCACGAGAATAACTTGAACCCGGGAGGTGGAGGTTGCAGTGAGCCAAGATCGTGCCATTGCACTCCAGCTTGAGCAACAGACCAAGACTCCGTCTTTAAAAAAAAAAAATAGGGAATTAGGATTGTTAAGTACACAACTGCATTTGAAGAATGTCATGCGTACGAATGCTGTGAATTAAGGAATGAATTTGGTCTACAGAAGTGTAGCCTGAAACTGCCAAGTTCTCTAGAGGCCTAGGTTCTCCACCTTCCTCCTTTTTTAAACCACCCATTACCTCTGGCCTGAGCTGCATGTGTGCTTCTTTCAACTCAGTCGACACACATGTTTTAGAACTGGAAAAGTGGCACAGAGTCAGAAGTCTGCTTCAAATAACCTGGTTGACCAAAAGAAAAAGTGTTTCAAGACCCATAAAAATGTTCTAAGGTTTTACCTAAAAATCTATTTCTAAGAAGCCATCTTAAGGAAACAACCCCAAACAGAGAAAAGATGTCTATCTCAGCACTACTTATTAGCACAAAAAAACAGGCTGGGTGCAGTGGCTTAAACCTGTAATCCCAGCACTTTGGGAGGCCTAGATGGGAGGATCACTTGAGGCCAGGAGTTCAAGATCAATCTGGGCAACACAGTGAGACCCTGTCTCTATAAATTTTTTTTTTAATTAGCCAAGCGTGTTGGCACATGCCTGTAGTCCCAGCTACTCAGCAGGCTGAGACAGGAGGATCACTTGAGGCCAGGAGTTTGAGACTGCAGTAAGCTATGATTGCATCGTTGCACTCCAGCATGGGTGACAAAACAAGATCCCATCTCAAAAAACAAAAAAAACTAGGCCAGGCACAGTGGCTCACACCTGTAATCCCAGCACTTTGGGAGGCTGAGGCAGATGGATAACCTGAGGTCAAAAGTTCGAGACCAGCCTGGCCAACATGGTGAAACCCCATCTCTACTAAAAATACAAAATTTAGCTGGGCCTGGTGGCAGGTGCCTGTAATCCCAGCTACTCAGGAGGCTGAGCCATGAGAATAACTTGAACCTGGGAGGCAGAGGTTGCAGTGAGCTGAGATCACACCACTCCACTCCAGCCTGGGAGACAGTGAGACTCTGTCTCAAAACAAGCAAACAACAACAAAAAATAAAACTGGGCTGGGCATGGTGGCTCACACCCGTAATCCCCAGACCTTTGGGAGGCTGGGGCGGGCGGATGGGCTGAGGTCAGGAGTTTGAGATCAGCCTGGCTAACATGGTGAAACCCTGTCTCCACTAAAAATACAAAAAAAATCAGCCAGGCCTGGTGGTGCATGCATACTTGGGAGACTGAGACAGGAGAATCGCTTCAACCTGGGAGGCGGGGGTTGCAGCGAGCCGAGATCACGCCACTGTACTCCAGCCTGGGTGACAGAGTGAGACTCCATCTCAAAAAAATAAAATAAATAAAATAAAATAAAATTGAAGAAACTTTTTTTAATTTTAAACTTTGAATTTTGAGATAATGGTAGATTCACATGCAGCTGTAAGAAAGAACACAGAGAAATCCTATATACTCTTCCCCCAGTTTTTTTGAGACTCTGTCTCAAAAAAAAAAAAAAAAAAAACTGAAATAACTTCCGTATCCAAAAGTAGAGGAATGGTTAGGTACAGTATAGTACATGCACCAAAAGAAATATTACGTTGCTATTAAAATCTTTAAGCATAAGGTGGGGTAAAAGTTTGTGCTATAATGTTAACTAAAACAAGCAGGCACAGAACTCGATGTTCACTAAATAGTACCAGCAGGCAATAAAACAAGAATATAAAAAGACTTCAGGAGGAAATATATAAAAAGAACTGCTATAGAGGGATTATGGGTCAGTTTTTTCCCTTTTCTCATTTTCTAAACTTTCTGTAATGTTATTTTTACAAGTAAAATTTTTTTTACATTCAAAAGAACACATGAAGGAATTTTAAGGAGGCAGGTCACAGAGCAGATGGGACCTGAGACCTGGCACGAGCTGTACTCTTCCAGGATGTAGCATGGCCAAGCCAAAAACCACCGGTGACCATCCTGTGAGCCATTCCCTTCTGGACAGTGCCAGTGTCCCCCCACTCAAGTCAGTCAAGGCTAGTCAGCAAGGAGCGGACTCCAGAACTGTGGTTTCCTTGCTCTATTTTTTTTTTTTTTTATTAAGAGACAGGGTCTTGCTCTATCACCCAGGCTGGAGTGCTGTGGTCCAGTCATGGCTAACTGCAGTCTCAAATACATGGGATCAAGCAATCCTCAGCCTCCCAGACTACAGGAGTACGCCACCACGCCTGGCTAATTTTTGTGTTTTTTGTAGAGATAGGGTCTCCCTGTGTTGCCCACACTGGTCTTGAGCTCCTGGCCTCAAGCAGTCCTTCCAGCTCAGCCTCCCAAAGCTCTGGGATTACAGGTGTGAGCCACCACACCCAGGCCCTGGTTCCCAGACCATTTTCTACTGGGAGAAACCTGGCCCAGCTGGGGTGTCCCTACAGCTTGGAGGGACTCTGGGATTCCAGTGTGGCTGACCCCTACTTCCAGAGACAACTTGTTATTGTTATTACTATTATTATTATTATTAATTTTTTTTTTTTTTGAGACGGAATCTTGCTCTATCACCAGGCTGGAGTGCAGTGGCGCGATCTCGGCTTACTGCAACCTCCACCTCCCAGGTTCAAGCGATTCTCCTGCCTCAGCCTCCCAAGTAGCTGGGACTACAGACGCATGCCACCACGCCCAGCTAATTTTTTGTATTTTAGTAGAGACAGGGTTTCACCATGTTGGCCAGGATGATCTTGATCTCTTGACCTCGTGACCTGCCTGTCTCAGCCTCCCAAAGTGCTGGGATTACAGGTGTGAGACACCGCGCCTGGCCTTTTTTTTTTTTTTTTTTAATTTGAGATGGACTCTTGTTCTGTTGCCCAGGCTGGAGCACAGTGGTGTGATCTCGGCTCACTGCAACCTCCACCTCCCAGGTTCAAGTGATTCTCCTGCCTCAGCCTCCCAAGTAACTGGGATTACAGGCACGCACCACCATGCCCAGCTAATTTTTGTATTTTTAGTAGAGATGGGGTTTCACCATGTTGGCCAGGCTGGTCTCGAACTCCTGACCTCAGGTGATCCATCCCCCTCAGTCTCCCAAAGTGCCGGGATTACAGGTGTGAGCCATCAAGCCCGGCCAGAGACAATGTGTTTTTAAAACAATGGCATCCTTCCCACAGATTCTCACTGGGCTTTGGCGCCTGCTAGCCTCTCCAGTAGCTGGGAACAGAAAGGATGAGCAAGGGCTGGAGGTGGCCCTAAGCCGGAAGTCACCAGGCTGCCTGCTGACCCTTGGTCTGCTAAAGTGACAAATGACAGAGCAGCAGAGGACTCACCTCATCCATGCCAGAGGCAGTGAAGAAGATCCCAACCTCCTCGGCGTACCTCTGCAGCTCCCTGTACTGGTCATGGCTGAACTCCAGATGTCGTTTGTGCTCCCCGTACGTCTTCCCCCAGGAATGCTTCGAGGTGTATGGCCTCTCCAAGGCTTTCCGATTAAACTTGAATTCTAGCTCACTCTTCTGGAACTTAGCACAATCAGCCCCACACTCCTACAACACACATTAGGACATCTTTCAGTGACTGTCGTAGATTCTCAAAAAAAGGAAAAAATTCTGGAGCAACCACTATGACATCACCATCTTTATTTATTTATTTATTTAGAGACAGAGTTTCGCTCTTTCACCCAGGCTGGAGTGCAGAAGGTGTGATCTCGGCTCACTACAACCAATGCCTCCCGGGTTCAAGCCATTCTCCTGCCTCAGCCTCCCAAGTAGCTGGGATTACAGGCACCCACCACGACACCCGGCTAATTTTTGTTATTTTTAGTAAAGACAAGGTTTCGCCACATTGGCCAGGCTGGTCTTGAACTCCTGACCTCAGGTGATCCAAACGCCTTGGCCTCCCAAAGTGCTGGGATTACAGGCATGAGTCACTGCGCCCAGCCGACATCACCATCTTTAAAAACAACATAGACTGACAGAGACCTTAAGGACCTCCAAGGAAGAGGAACAGAAAAGGCAAGAAAGTCTGAAAGGAAGAAAAGGTTGTTTGGAGATGGGAGACCTCCCCCTATTTTTTTCTCTTAACATGCCAAAAGAAAAAAAAATGGGACTTTTTTCCTTTGTTTTGCATTGTAAATATTAAAAACATTGGATCAAAGAGTTAAGGAAGATTTTAAGTTATATAACTGAGCAAAGAATAGTCAACTCAGCACTGGACCAGAATTTAGTAAAGAAAAATTCTGGTTTAACTTTGACCCTAACTCTTAGATAAGTCACTTCCCAGCTCTGGACTCAGTTTCTCCATCGATATAAAAGCAGTTTGGGCTACCTCCAGGATGTGTAAACTGTCCTAATGAGGCCCTCTCAGGGACAGGAACATCCAGGGACAGTGCCCTATGCCTCTTTCTCTGATTTCAACAATAGCAACTCTGCTTTTAGCTGCTTTGCACTGGCGCTTTTCTCCATGACATTTTCTTTGAACAGGTTACATGTTAAAAAGCAGACAAACAAAACAAAAATGCCCCAGCCCCTAGATGACTTCTACTGAGCAGAGGCAATAATATAAAAGCCGGATTGTTTGACTATAAAAAAAAAAAAACAAAAAACACTCAAGAGGTCAGGCACAGTGGCCCATGCCTATAATCCAAACACTTTGAGAGGCCAAGGTGGGAGGATTGCTTGAACCAAGGAGTTCAAGACCAGCCTCGGCAACATAGTAAGACCCTGTCTCTACAAAAAATATAAAAATTAGCCAGGCATGGTGGCATACGCTTGTAGTCCCAGCTACTCAGGAGGCTGAGGGGGGAGGATCGCTTGATCCCCAGAGGTTGAGGTGGCAATGAGCTATGATGGTGCCACTGCACTCCAGCCTGAGCAACAGAGTGAGACCTTGACTCAAACAAAAACAATCTACTCAAGAAAAAGAGTAATTAAAACCCACTAAAGTCCCATCTCACGGCCATTTCTGTAGACACAGAGGTATTCATGCTATTAAAAACTTCTTGGCTGCCGGGCGCAGTGGCTCACACCTGTAATCCCAGCACTCTGGGAGGCCGAGGTGGGCAGATCACGAGGTCAGGAGATCGAGACCATCCTGGCTAACATGGTGAAACCCCGTCTCTACTAAAAATACAAAAAATTAGCTAGGTGTGGTGGTGGGCACCTGTAATCCCAGCTACTCGGGAGGCTGAGACAGGAGAACGGTGTGAACCCAGGAGGCGGAGCTTGCAGTAAGCCGAGATCACGCCACTGCACTCCAGCCTGGGTGACACAGCGAGACTCCGTCTTGAAAAAAAAAAATAAAAACTTCTTGGGTCCAGAAATGTCAGTGCTGAGATCACTACTCCTGCTCTTAGACAAATCATAAGATGGTAGAGTCAGGACTTGATGCTGGAAAGTTCAAAGAACATTAGAACTGAAAGTGACCTTGGGCAACAGAGCTCTCATTGTCTAGATGAAGATCCCAAGGCCCAGACTGACCTGACTAAAGTTGCACAGTGTCTCTAGCAGAGCTGGCCAGATCCCTTTCCTAAAGGCTGCAGCCACCTAGATTCCAGCTCAATGGAATTAGAGACAGGGTCTCGCTATGTGGCCCAGGCTGGTCTCGAATTCCTGAGCTCAAGCAATCTGCCTTCCTCAGCCTCCCAAAGTGATGGGATTACAGGAATCAGCCACTGCACCTGGTCAGTACAGCTTTGTTTCTATGGCTTCAGTATCTCTAGATATTTCTACAACTTCGGCATTCCAAGAGGAAAAACAGACTGCTCCTTCAAATTAAGAGTGGGAATTTCCCTCTAGAAAACAATGTTGCAGAAGAAAGGCTGGAGTCCTGTGGCTTAGGAGCAAAAACTGAAAAAACCCCTTACTGTATTTATTATACTAGCTATGTGACCTTGCCTAAGTCACTTATTTTCTCTTAGCCTTTAAAATGAAATCGGCAGCATCATGGCATTGGGTTGTTGTAAAAATTAAATGAGATGGTGCATGTACAGCATTTAGCTTAGTACCTGGTAGAGTAAGCACTCAAAAAATGTTAGCAATGTTATTTTTGTAAAGTATTTTTATGATTCAGTGATTAGGTTTCCATAAAACCAGTCCCGAAGGAACAGCAAGGGCCGAGGGTGGTGGCTCACACCTGTAATCCCAGCACTTTCGGAGGCCAAGGTGGGCAGATTGCTTGAGCTCAGGAGTTCGAGACCAGCCTGGGTAACATGGCCAAACCCCATCTCTACAAAAAAATTAGCCCAGCATGGTGGTTCACGCCTGTGGGTCCCAGCTACTCGGGAGGCTGAGGTGGGAGAATCACTTAAGCCTGGGAGGCAGAGGTTGCAGTGAGCCGGGATCATGCCACTGCACTCCAGCCTGGGTGATACAGAGACCCTGTCTCAAAAAAAAAAAAAAAAAAAACCAGGAAAAAAAAAAAAAAACAGTAAGAGAAAACCTCCAGCCTGGGTGACAGAGCAAGACCCTGTCTCTAACATAGATAAATAAATAAATAAACATTTAAAAAACCTATCACAAATGATACAAAATCAGTTGAGTAGCATTGATGAAGGGAAAGGAAAGATGGGGTGAGCTATCTCTAAACCAAAGAATCATAGTGCAGGCCAGGCCTTATGCTGGGGGCTGGGGTCGTAATGAAGAATATGGCAGTCCCAACAGAAGAGGGAGCACGCATTTACCGACTCATGTGTGCCAAGTGCTGGGCTCAGAGCTCTATCTGAGAATCTCATTTGATCCCCATAACAACTCCATGTGGAAAGAACTGTTGTTTTCAAGCCCCGTTTTCAAATGGGGAAAAGGGTTCACGGAGGCTAAGTAAGCAGCCCATGTTCACACAGCTAGTAGTGGTGGAACTGAGATTTGAACTCAAAGGCCCGGCTTTTAACCACTTCATATTTCATATACAGGGAATGGCGGGTGAGAGAGACCACAGCAACTTCCAGGAACTGTCATTCCTGAAAGTAACTCTGTGTCGCTGAAGAATGTCAGAGAAGAATTATGACGGGCTGGAAGGGGCCCAGTCATTAAAATCTTGAAGGCTATGTTAAAGGGTTTCGACTCTACCCGCGGGCAGGAGGGAGCCACAGAAGGTGCCAGGCAGGGGGGATGGTCTGATCAAGTCTGACTTTTAGAAAGATTATTCTGGCACCAGAACGGGGAGGAAACAGGTCGGGTTAGGAGGCAGCTGCTGTAATGCAGAAAGGTCACGAGGGTGGCGGACACGGTGAGGAAGAGGGATCCGAAGGATTCCGAAAACGGAACTGGCGGGCGGGAAGAGGCCGGACCAGGGTACCCAGCCGCGGAGGCCGTGTGGCCCTGGCTCCCCGCGGCCCCGCCCCGCCCCTCCCGGCGCCCGAATCCCGGGTCCCGGGAGCTGCCGCCTCACCTTGGCCATGCGGATCATGCGCTTGGCTACGTCCAGGTCGCCCTGGTGGTTCTGGCCGATCTCGGCAATGATGAAGCACGGGTGTTGCCCGCCCACCCAGCGCCCGGGACACAGCTCCAGCTCCAGCGGCATTGCAGCGGCTCGGGGTCCAAAGCCTCACTACCAGTCTGGGTCCGGCCGCCGCCGCCGCCGCCTCTACTCTGTTCTGTGAGCAACGCTGCGAGACCCACACGCCAGCCCCGCCACGTCAGCCCGCGGTCGCCGGGCAGCCAATCCCCTAGGCCCCGCCTCTCTCCCGACAGCCAATCGGGGCGGGGGGCGGGGGCGGGGCCTCCCGCGGGAAGGGCGGCGGGGCGGGTCGAGGAAGCTCCGCGGCCCTCTCCTGTGCGAGGCTTGAGGCTTGCTGTCCCAGAGCGTGGTCTCGGACCATCGCGGTATCCGTGCGTGCACCCAGGAGCAAGCATTCCCTGCAGGAGGCGGACGGCTGCCTGCGCAGGGCATAGTCTATGTCCTGCTCTCAGGAGCATGGGGAGAGCGCGCCCTATGGTGTAATGGAAAAAACAGGGTTGCTAGAGTTAGAATCACAGAGCTGGATCGAGTCCAGCCTATGCCAGTCACCAGCTCCTGCTCATATATACGTTACTCAGTCTTCCGGAGCGTTATTTTTGTTTCTCTCTGAAGCAAAAAAATAAAATAGAACTGTGAGATGACGTATAGAAACCCCTGATCACAATACTTGGCTTGTAGTAAGTTTTCAAGAAGTGGCGGAGGTTCCTATTATATGAGAGGCAACAGGTTCGAGAAGTTGCACTGGCTTGTCCAAAGCCATCCAGAAAGCCAAAGCAGAGATGGGACTAGTACCCGGACCTCCCAGCCCCAGGCTCTTAAAATACAATCACCTGGGCGGGCGCGGTGGCTCACACCTGTAATCCCAGCACTTTGGGAGGCCAAGGCAGGCAGATCACCTGAGGTCAGGAGTTCGAGACCAGCCTGACCAATATGGAGAAACCCCGTCTCTACTAAAAATACAAAAAAATTAGCCGGGCGTGGTGGTGCGTGCCTGTAATCCCAGCTACTCGAGAGGCTGAGGCAGGAGAATCGCTTGAACCCGGGAGGTGGAGGTTGCAGTGAGCCCAGATCACACCACTGCACTCCAGCCTGGTGACACTGCAAGACTCTGTCTCAAAAATAAATAAATTAATTAATTAATTTAAAAAATAAGATAAGTTATTTCCCAAAATAAACCTCCTTCTTTCCTGGGAACTAGACTGCCTTTGTAGGACTAACAAATTAGCCACAAGATTAGACACGTAGGAGTCATGCACCTGGAGGCTACAAGATTCTGACCCTCCCCAAATTGCTCCTGGGGATAACATCACTATTGTAAAACCTAAGACCAGTGCTTGAGATATTTTGCAGACCCTGCACTTGATGGATCAGCTGGCACCACCAGATTGATAAACTGGTTCATCTGATCTTGTGTCCCCCAACCAGGAACTGACTTGGCACAAGAAGACAGCCTTGACTTTCTATGATTTTATCTCCAACACAACCAATCAGCACTCCTGGCATACTGGCCTCTCTTAACCCACCACATTATCCTTAAAAACTCTGATCTCCAAGGTGGGGCATAGTGGCTCACACCTGTAATCCTAGCACTTTGGGAGGCTGAGGCGGGTGGATCACCTGAGGTCAGGAGTTCGAGACCAGCCTTGCCAACATGGTGAAACCCTGTCTCTACTAAAAATACAAAATGAGCCAGGTATGGTGGTGCATGCCTGTAATCCCAACTACTTGGGAGGCTGAGGTAGGAGAATCGCTTAAACCTGGGAGGCGGAGGTTGCAGTGAGCTGAGATTGTGCCATTGCACTCCAGCCTGGGCAACAAGAGCGAAACTCCATTTCAAAAACAAACAAACAAAAACCCCAAAAACCTCTGATCCCTGAATGCTAGGGGAAATTGATGTGAGTAATAATAAAACTCAGCCAGACTGCACAGCTGGCTCTGCATGAATTACTCTCTCTATTGCAATTCCCCTATTTTGATAAATCAGCTGTGTAGGTAGTGGGCATGGTGAACCAGTTGAGCAGTTAAAAATTTGGGGGCTCATTCGGGATTGCTCTTGTGCTACCTGCCCCGGTTCTGTAGACCCCCTCTGGCGATGGATCCAGAGGCCAGCCCAAGCGGCCACCTAGTTTTGGACTGGGGGCTGACTCTGGCGTCATCTCTATCGGCAGGGCACTACTAGCCCAATATGTATGGAGTACACTTTGCAATAGAGAAATTGTCCTGGGGAGATATCTCATAACTAGAGCTCCATGGCAAGGTGTCCCTCTGTAGCTCCACCATGGGGTGCCTGTAACTGTAACCTTATCACAGTGTCTGTTTGTAGCCCCATCATGGATTGTCTGCAGCTGCAGCCCCATTATGGGGTGTCTGATTTGGTGAGTAGTCTAGGTGCTGCCAACACCCCTTTCCTTCTCCCAATTGGTTCAGCTTCTTCAGGGGTCTCGGTTTACTCTCCCTAATTAGTAGGAAGAGTCTTGGTTCTGGAGACTTCTCCTCAATCAGTAAGATTTCGGGGAGACTTCTCAGATGGAGAATAGGATAGTTTGGAAGGAATACTCTTGGAATTCTTGGTTAGGGATCTTGGTTTGGAAGGCCTTCTGTCCGTCTTGTCTTTGTGTGTGTGTTTGTATATGTGGAGGGGATCTCTGAGGGAATTTCTGATGCAAGTCCAGCAGGCCTAACTCAGAAAACCCTCTGTAAGTATGGTCACATTCAGTGAGCTCTGAAAAAAAAGCTTAACAGGCCTGACTGTTAAGGGGTAACTCTCTGCTCTTTGTCTTGCCCAGAGACTACTCATTGATGCCATCCCTCCCCACCTTGAGTGGATCAAAGATGATAGGGACCAAAGGAAGACAGTTTGAGCCTTGCTAGGGTGATACTGGGTGCCCAATGAGGTGACTACTATCTGTTTTGTTATGTGTATTTTGCTTCAGCTGAGACGGAAAATGTTAATTCGGTTCTCCATGCAGCCCATCGGGCAGCATCTTACAAAGTTGAGAAGCTTTGCCTATGGTTCCATAAAACAGAAAAGGATGATATTTATTTATTTATTTATTTATTTATTTATTTTGTAGTGGGCTTGGCCCCCACAGCTATAGCATAGTGAACAGTTATCAAAGGCCGCTCCGTTCTTCTGGAAGCTGCAGAGAAAGGGAACCTGGAAACCTGGTATGCCGGCAAAAAGGGTAACAACTTATTAGCCAACTTTCTGGCCTGTATGTGTGTGTGTGTGTATGTTAAACATCACTGTCTCCTCTACAAAGGTCTGATTAATAGAAAAAAAGACTTATGAGACTAGTTTAGGCTATAGAAAATCTGGTGTACTTAGTGCTATGAATTTGTTTTTCTGTGTTGTTCTATAATGGAGGGGGCATCACAGGATAGAACATGGACTTAGGAGCCATATAAGCCAACTGTCCAAAGCCAGTTCAGCAGGCTGGTCACTTACAAACTTTTCTGTGAGTCCCTGAAACCAATACCAGATGAAGTTTCTCTCTCATGTTGTTTTATGTCCTTGAACTTAACCTTGTGACCATGTGAGGATACTTTATCTTGGATTCTGCCATCCAGAGGACAGGAATTTTGGGGTTCATGTCATAGGTAGCCCTAAAAATTATCTTGAGCAGTTAAAAGCCTTCGCAAGCTCAAAATCTTCCTTCTGGGAAGAGCAATAGAAAGTGCTTAATGCGGTAGCTCAGTACTAAGGCTTTGGCATTTGACAGTGGTGGCCCAGGTTCAATTCTTGGCTCAGGGGGCTTAGGGAGTGAGCCCTTTCTGGTTTGTTATTTGTGTAACTTTTTGCCATTTATTGATTCTTTTTCCCCATGGACCGATTCTGGTTTTCTGTCTTTATTCTTACTTTTGCTGAACTACCTTTGGGGAGACTCTAATTATTAGAAAACGAAAACAAAAACTGCTTACCATCTCTTTAAGACACTTTATGCATCCATGGTTAAGTTATGACCTTAGTTAAAATGTATTAATTTCACATGGGAGGTTACCTGTGGTAGAATTCAAAAGCCAGAAATATTGGCTGTCCTGGCTAGTCTGGTAATAAAAGATTTTGGGCTGAGCACGGTGGCTCACGCGTGTATTCCCAGCACATTGGGAGGCCAAGGAGAGTGGATCAGCTGAGATCAGGAGTTTGAGACCAGCTTGACTAACATGGAGAAACCTCATCTCTAATAAAATATAAAATTAGGCAGGCGTGGTGGCACACGCCTGTAATCCCAGCTACTCGGGAAGCTGAGGCAGGAGAATCACTTGAACCCAGGAGGTGGAGGTTGTAGTGAGCCGAGATCATGCCATTGCACTCCAGCCTGGGCAACAAGAGCAAAACTTTGTCTCAAACAAACAAAACAAAAATTTAACAGTTTTTTTTTTAAGAAAAAAGAGCTATATGGTTAAAATCAGCTTAATAAAAAGTGGATATGCAAACTGTACATATATTTAAAAAGCCTTTATGTTTGTTTTCTTTTCTCTTCTTGGATCTTATTTTTCTGAAGGAAAATTAAAGTTTTTTTTTTTCTTTTCAGTCAACTGAATTGTTTTTCTCCATTTTGTCTTCTTGCCATTCTTGAGGTCCACATGAGAGAACCTAAGATAATTACTAACAGCCTGGGACTCCTGGGGAAAAACAGAGGAGGTGTCACAGACCCCATTCTAGGAAAAACCTCTGTTTCCCTCATGTAACCCCAGAAATTGAAGGAGGATAGAGTCCTCTCAAAGTCTAAGGCTCTGTTCTGTTTTACATTACATTACCTGACACTTGTGACTTTGGGGGCAGGTTGTCCAAAATTACTTTGCATTGTGAGAGAGCTTTTAGCCTTGGTGTGTAATAACCAGGTAGCGAATATATTTTAAGGGATGGCTAATGGCAGTTAGGAGGGATACTTGGCTCTTTGCACGCTTGGATCAAAGAAGCACGCTCTTGACCACCTAGAGGCATGGAAACATCTCCACCCCACCCCCTCACCCCTGCTAAATATGAGATTCCCATAAGAGATGGGCTGATTACAAAATGAGCTGATTGGCTTTGGGTTGCCTTGCAATGAAATCCACAGTAGAAGCATTGCACTATCTTCTCTGGTAGCATTTCCCTTCTTTTTGGGGATCCAGGATCCAGTATAAAAATGGGACCCTTCATTTTGGGGATCTGTTTTTGCCTTCCAGCTGTGGCTGCTTGTTAGAACATTGGCTCACTCCTCTTAACCCACATCATGGGTTAAAGAAATCATTGCCAGGAGGCCTTCACTCCTCTAGAAGGGCATCATTTGTTAAGTCCTTTTTCTATGGTTTGGAGTAAAAGGGGCAATGATTAGAAATGTATCCCCCATGATAGGTTCTATAGCAGGTTCTACTGTAAAGTCTATGGTTCCACAACAGACTTTATCTTATGAAAGTTATGCTAAATAATGGAATTGCTCTAGATTACTTACTGGCACAGAAGTATCTGTGCAGCTGCTGGCACTTGTGGCCTATGGATAAATATATCACGTCGGGCATTATAGAGATTCAGTTGTAGGGGATTAGTGGAAAGACTGCTTAGTTAAGCGAGTAGACTCTTCATCTAGCTCATTCTTTGATCTATTTAATTTCAGGTGGTTTGGTTTATGGGGACCCTGGATAAGGAGAATACTCCAAACACTTGGTGTTATCCTCGCGATAGTCATAATAGTAGTCTCCCTGGTGTGCTGTATTCTCTCAAAGGTTTTAAGTGTTTGCACACAGCCATCTTTAGAATATCAAACGGTCTCTCTTCAGTTGGAATGACAAGAGCTGAAAGAAATGTGCAACCATGCCGGGTGTGGTGGTTCACTCCTGTAATCCCAGCACTTTGGGAGGCCAAGGCAGGTGGATCACTTGAGGCCAGGAGTTCGAGATCGTCCTGGCCAACATGGTGAAACCCTGTCTCTACTAAAAATACAAAAATTAGCTGGGTGTGGCGGTGCCTGCCTGTAAACCCAGCTACTCAGGAGGCTGAGGCATGAGAATCGCTTAAACCCAGGAGGTGGAGGTTACAGTGAGCCAAGATCATACCACTGCACTCCAGCCTGGGTGACAGAGTAGACTCTGTTTCAAAAAAAGAAATGTGCAACCATGAGGACACCATAACCTATGAATGACACGCTGAGACCAGAAACCCAAAATGATGGTAACTGAGAGTGGCGTTAAGGCCCTAAGTTTTGGTCACCGTCTCACCTAAGTAAGAACTCTCACCTAAGGGAGAATGTGACCAAAAAGGGGGAATATTTAAAAACAAAATTAGGGGAGGCCATTGTTTTGGAATGAGCACTAGGCCCCAAACCAAACCAAAATGGAGTCACTCGTGCTAAATGTGACATAGCAATACTAAGACTTTAAGGAACACATAGGTCCTAGAACAAACCAGGTTTTGTTTTTCTTCTGTAAACAGGAGGTTCCAGCATAAGGAGGTACCCTCTACTCAGTCCTTGTTCCCACCTTGCAAAACTCACTGTTCTACTGTTTCCCAGTGGGTTTCAAGACCAAATAAGTATATTTATGCTGGGATGGTGACATGAATGACTAAAGTTTTGGTCAATCTCTCAAAATTGAGAAAATGATCAAAAGGGGGGAATTGTTAAATCAAGTTTAGCCTAAAGCTGCCTCCTTATATATTTTAAGTTCAGCCTAAAGATTTTCTGTACATCATGAACTACAACAAGTGGAGATGTAAACAGACTGTAGCCCATATCTGTGCCAATCACTGAGTTTGGGCCAATCAAATGTAGCCAATTGTTCCAACTGTGTTAAAATAAGGCAAACGCTGAAATGTAAGCAATCCAGTTGCTTCTAAACCTCATTTGTGTTTTCTGTACTTCACTTTCCTTTTCCTGTCCATAAATCTTCTTCTACCACAAAGCTGCACTGGAGTCTCTATGCCTACCCTGGCTCAAAAAGCTGCTCAATTCGTGACTTGCTCATTGATCAATCAAACATCTTTAAACTTAATTCAGCTGAAGTTTTTCTTTTATCACTGTGGCAGAGGCATTTGAACTAGAGTGACTCCATCTTGAATGGGGGCTAGATAAAATAAGGCTGAAACCTTCTGAGCTGCATTCCCATGAGGTTAAAGCATTCCTAGTTACAAGAAGAGACAGGAGGTTGACACAGGGTACATGTCACAAAGGCCTTGCTGATAAAAAGTAGTGGTAAAGAAGTCAGCCAAAACCCACCAAAACCAAGATGGCAATGAGAGTGACCTCTGGTTGTCCTCACTGTTCATTATACACTAATTATAATGTATTAGCATGCTAAAAGACACTCCCATCAGTGCCATGACACTTTATAAATGTCATAGCAACATAGAAAGTTACCCCATATGGTCTAAAAGGGGGAAGAACTCTCAGTTCCAGAAAGTGCCCACCCCTTTCCTGGAAAACTCATGAATAACCCACCCCTTCTTTAGCATATAATTAGGAAATGATCATTAAAGTGGACAGCCAGCAGCCCTTGGGGGTGCTCTGCATATGGAATAGTCATTCTTTTTTTTTTTTTTTTTTTTTTTTTTATGCAGAGTCTCACTCTGTTGCCCAGGCTGGAGTGTAGTGGTGCAATCTTGGCTCACTGCAACCTCCACTTCCCAGGTTCAAGTGATTCTCCTGCCTCAGCCTCCTGAGTAGCTGGGATTACAGGCATGCGCTACCACGCCTGGCTAATTTTTGTATTTTTATTAGAGATGGAGTTTCTCCATGTTGGTCAGGCTGGTCTCAAACTCCTGACCTCAGGTGACCTGCCCACCTTGGCCTCCCAAAGTGCTAGGATTACAGGCATGAGCCACCGCTCCCGGCCAGAATAGCCACTCTTTATTCCTTACTCTTTTTTTTTTTCTGAGACAGAGTCTTGCTCTGTCACCCAGGCTGGGATGCAGTGGCATGATCTCGGCTCTCTGCAACCTCCGCCTCCCAGGTTCAAGCAATTCTCCTGTCTCGCCTCCCAGGTAGCTGGAATTACAGGTGCCCGCCACCACGCCTGGCTAATTTTTGTATTTTTGGTAGAGACTGGGTTTCACCATGTGGCCAGACTGGTCTCGATCTCCTGACCTTGTGATACACCTGCCTCGGCCTCCCACATTGCTGAGATTATAGGCATGAGCTACCATGCCCAGCCTATTCCTTTACTCAAGTTGAACGATTTTCAAAAGCCAAAGAAGCAGTTTATAACCTTAAAGCATTTAGCAAACCTAATATCTGACCTGCCTAAATTAGACTAAATATCTTTATTTTACCAATAATCTTCAAAATTGTTTTTATTTCCCAAAGGTTACTAAAGTCATGTGAACTAAAAGGCATTACAGTTTTTATTTTTCTTTCAAAATATTTAAGTACTTATTTTTCTTGAAGCCAATTAATCAGAGCTCTTTTATATAAACATCACACGCACAACACATATATAACTACACAGACAGACAGATGGAAGAAGATCCAGTAGCTGTAGGATTTTTCATTTGCCAGTTTTTATATTTCTTAATTGGATTACTGGCTTTAGAGTGGAGCCCTTTGTAGAACAGGGTGAGGAAAGCAGTTTCTAGGACCTAATAAGCAGGCACACCTGGAAGGTAAAATGGATTCCCCCAATATTAAGGGTTTCATTTTTAGACCAGATCTCAGATCCCAAAAGGAGAAATGCTATGAACAAGACAGTGCAATGATTTTACCATGCATTTAATTGCAAAGCAATCCAAAGCTAACCAGCCCATTCTGTGACTAGCCCATCATCCATGGGAGTCTTGTCTCTCAGTCAGGGGGTGTGGGTGACATTTCCATACTTTTTTTTTTTTTTTTTTTGAGAAGGAGTCTCACACCATCACCCAGGCTGGAGTGCAGTGGCATGATCTCAGCTCACTGCAACCTCCACCTTCTGGGTTCAAGCGATTCTTCTGCCTCAGCCTCCTGAGTAGCTGGCACTACAGGCATGTGCCACCACGCCCAGCTAATTTTTGTATTTCTAGTAGAGATGAAGTTTCACCACATTGGCCAGGCTGGTCTCAAACTCCTGACCTTGTGATCCACCTGCCTTGACCCCCTCAAAGTGCTGGGATTACAGGTATGAGGAACCACGCCCGGCTCATTTCCATGCTTTCTAGGTGGCCAAGAGCATGCTTCTCTGATCCGAACATGCAAAGAGCTGAGAATTCCCCCATAATTGCCATTAGCTATCCCCAAAACTGTATTTCCTACCTAGCTATTACACACTAAATTTCTCTCATAATGTGAAGTAACTTCTGGTACCCCCAAAACTCAAAAATATCAGATAATGCAATGCAGAAAAGAACAGAGCCTTAGATTTTGAGAGGGCTCTAACTGCTTCCAATTCCTGGGGTTTCATGAGAAAAACAGAGGTTTTTCCCAAAACAGGCTCTGTGGTGCCTCCTGTTTTACCCAAGGAGTCCCAGGCTGTTAGAGCTTGAATATCTTTTTGGGTATCTTTACAGCAGTGGTCCACTCTACTGGTACTAATTTACTGTATTTGTCCATTTTCACACTGCTGATAAAGACACACCCAGGACTGGGTAATTTATAAAGAAAAAGAGGTTTGATGGTCTCACAGTTCCACGTGGTGGGGGAGGCCTCACAGTTATGGTGAAAGGCAAAAGGCACGTCTTACATGGCAGCAGACGAGAGAATGAAAACCAAGCAAAAGGGATTTCCCCTTATAAAAACCATCAAATCTCGTGAGACTTACTCACTACCATGAGAACAGTATGGGGGAAACCGCCACCATGATTTAATTCTCTCCCACTAGGTCCCTCCCACAACACATGGGAATTATGGGAGCTACAATTCAAGATGAGATTTAGTTGGGGACACAACAAAGCCATATCACCCACCCATTGCAGTGATACTGAATCAAAAGTTCAAGTGGTCACTTTTTGGTCACAAAGGGACCTTTTCCAGCTGTCCCATCAGCCCTTAAATTTCACCTTTGGGGGGAAAAGTTTCCCCAGGTTCTAAGGTCCTGTACGTGCCTAATCCTGTCACTCATAGCTGTCAGCAAAGAGTACAAGGCAGATTTAATTTTTTTTAATCAATTAGTTGCCTAAGCTTTTTATTTGCCTTTTGTAAAGGCTTTAAATAAAAATATGGAAATCTTTTTAAACTCTTCTGCATATCAGCTGGGCGCAGTGGCTCACGCCTGTAATCCCAGCACTTTGAGAGGCCAAGGCGGGTGGATCACAAGGTCAGGAGTTCAAGATCAGCCTGGCCAATATGGTGAAACCCCCTCTCTAATAAGAATGCAAAATTAGCCGAGTGTGGTGGCGCATGCCTGTAATCCCAGCTACTCAGGAGGCTGAGGTAGGAGAATTGTTTGAACCCGGGAGGCGGAGGTTGCTGTGAGCCGAGATCACGCCATTGCACTACAGCCTGGGCAACAAGAACGAAACTCCATCTCTGAAAAAAAAAACAAAAAACAAAAAAACTCTTCTGCATATCAACAGACATCCCTAGATGAGACTAATTAGGGAGCCCTCATTTTCAAATGCATTTCAGTGCAGTTTTATTCATTTGGAATGTTCCACTGTAAGTTACCTTTAGTACGATTTCACCATTTCTGTAAGACTTCGCTGCTTCCAGGGCCCTAATACTTACGCATGTATAAGTCAGAAGGAACTCAGTTCTTCAGAAATTAAGTATCAAATTTTTACCTAGGATATTGGGTTTGCTCTCGGGTTCCCTTGATTAACTTAGCCAATGATTTTTTTTCCTGTGTAAGCACTGAAGAAAAATGAAACAAAGGGGTGAAAAACAAAAATCCCTGTGAATTTCCAAAACCCAAATTTTACACCCCCTGCAATATTACCATTTACTACCAGTTTCTTTCTGACCCAGTCAGTTGTAAGAGGCCTTAACTGGATCCAAGCCAGTTAATTACCAGATCTAATTCAATCCCGGACCCAGTCCAATTTCTGTTGTGATTTCCAAACCCAGTTTGGAACAGAAATTTCCTCAAAGAAACTCGGAGAGCTCAAAGCACAAATCCATGGAGTTCTGAAATCTGAGCAAGAACTTACCATGATCCCCAGCTGCTCCAAGAGATCAATGGACACAAATGGGTCCTGCAGGTACCTTGCTTGATCACTCAGCACCCCTGGGGGTCATTAGAAGAAGCTCTACTTCAGATCCTGTTTCTGACCCCATCTGATGAAAGCAAAACTTCAGCTGAATTAAATTTAAAGGAGTTTAGTTGAGAAATGAACAATCCATGAACTGGGGAGCCTTTTGAGCCAGGCTAGGCTCAGAAACTCTAGCACAGCCATGTGGTGGAAGAAGGTTTACGACAGAAAAAGGGAAGTGATGTACAGAAAACGGAAGTGAGGTTCAGAAACAACTGGATTGGTTACAGCTCAGCATTTGTCTTATTTGAACACAGTTCAAACAGTTGGCTACATTTGATTGGCCAAAAACTCAGTAATTGGCACAGGTGTGGGCCATGGTTTGTTTATACCTCCACTTGTTATAGTTCACGATGTACAGAGAAACCTTTAGGCTGAACTTAAAATATGTAAGGAGGCAGCTTTAGGCTAAACTTGATTTAACAAGAGATACCAGAGATGACCTTGTACTGAGAGAGGATTTGACCTTGGCATGTGAAATGGTGGACGAGAGCTACAAAGTTAGGGGTGGCTGAGCACAATTTACAGGAAGTAGTCTTGGCTGTTGTTTTTTTTCTGTCTTAGGAGGCTGTTGTTTAAGGATCCTACTTCTAGTTCGGAGGTGCATTCTTTATTTTTATTTTTTGGAGACAGAGTCTGCTCTGTCACCTAGGCTGGAGTGCAGTGGTGCAATCTTGGCTCACTGCAACCTCCGCCTTCTGGGTTCAGGCAATTCTCCTGCCTCAGCCTCTCACGTAGCTGGGACCACAGGCATGCACCGTCATACCCAGCTAATTTTTTGTGTTTTAATAGAGACAGGGTTTCATCATGTTGCACAGGGTGGTCTCAAACTCCTGAGCTCAGGCAATCCACCCGCCTTGGCCTCCCAAAGTGCTGTGATTATAGGTGTGAGCCACCACACTGAGCTCAGAGGCGCATTCTAAAGGGTCTTCTCCATTGCTTTTTCTCCCAAAATTAATCTCAATTTGGCTTGTCTGTGTACATTTAAGTGAGGAACTGAACTGTTGTTTTCATAGGTAAATGACAGACTGAGTTTACTCAGCATCCAAGAGAAAGAGCATTTTGCAGCCAGGCACGGTGGCTCATGCCTGTAATCCCAGCACTTTGGGAAGCCAAGGCGGGCAGATCACGAGGTCAGGAGATCAAGACCATCCTGGCCAACATGGTGAAACCTCATCTCTACTAAAAATACAAAAATTAGCTGGGCATGGTGGCGCGTGCCTGTAATCCCAGCTACTCGGGAGGCTGAACCAGGAGAATAGCTTGAACCAGGGAGTTGGAGGTTGCAGTGAGCCGAGATGGTGCCACTGCACTCCAGCCTGGTGACAGACCAAGACTCTTTCTCAAAAAAAAAAAAAAAAAAAAAAAAGAGAAAGGGCATTTTGCCCTTGCTAGCTGAAAGGCGCCCCTGGGTGACCGGGGGCCACATGGGAGTGTCTGGAGGGTTGACCCTCATGACGTGCAACGGCCCTACAGGGAACCCTCACCAAAATTAGTTTTAAAAAGGCTTGTCCAGGAAGGGCATATGGAAGCTGATGACTCCGCACTTTCAGCCCTCCTGAAGGGGCTTAGACCTGCAGAGTCAGAAACTGAGACGCTAAGAGGGCAGTAACACCTCAGTGGTGACACACTATGGAGTGCTGCCCTCAAGCAGCACACACTTTGACCCACTCCACAAAAGCCCTAGGACACAGCTCAGTTCCTCCTTTTAAGAAAAAAAAAAAAAAAAAAAGGAAACAAATAATCTAAGAAGGCGGAGAAAACAAGAAGAGTAACCCCTTTTGGGGCACTCTTAGTGTTATGGCACCTCTACTTGTTAGAATTTGTGTAAAATGGAAATATTATGGTCTTTGTGCACAAGATGACCACTGCATTAAGGAAAAAGAGCCCAAAGGTCCACAGAATTTCTAAGTTCTCTTTCTCTCTATTTTCTTTTCTGCTTGCTTTAACTCTGCTGTTACTTTTCTACTGAGATAAAAACCACTGTTTAGATCCAAACTTTTTTTTTTTTTGCAAGCCAGTGAATTTGTGTTTATCTCATGGCTAGAGTTCTGAAGTAAAAGCTATAGGATCTCTCTCTGTGTGTGTGTATGTGTGTCTGTGTGTGTGTATTTCCTTTATGATAGATTTCTATAATTTTATGTTTAACTGGCAATTAAATCAGTTTTAACTTCCCTCTAGCACACCAGACTTTTTCCTCTCTGAATTTAGAGATGTAAATTTTGCTATCTGATTTTTCACCTAAGAGTTGTTTGCTTTAACATGCAAATTAGCCAGGCATGGTGGCCCATGCCTGTAATCCCAGCACTTTGGAAGGTTGAGGTGGGCAGATCACCTGAGGTCAGGAGTTCCAGACCAGCCTGGCCAACATGGCAAAACTAAAAATACAAAAATTAGCTGGGCATGGTGGCACATGCCTGTAATCCCAGCTACTCGGGAGGCTGAGGCGGAAGAATCGCTTGAACCCAGGAGGGGGAGGTTGCAGTGAGCCAGTATCGCGCCATTGCACTCCAGCCTGGGCAATAGAGCGAGATTCCATCTAAAAAAAAAAAAAATGCAAATTTAGGGCTAGTCAGCTGACAATTCCCTAGAGTAAAGAAACAGGTTATCAAGAATTTGCAAGTCTAAATAGGGGGAAAAAAAGAGGTCTTATGAGTCTATAAGATGTACTTCTATTGGCATGCCTAATACGTCTATGTATTTATGTGTTGTATACACAATGTTTCACTACTAAAAATGTATGAGTTCTAATTAACTGGCTTAAAGAAAAATAAAAGTGCTTAAATCAAATACTTTATCAAAAAAGAAAGACTAATCAAATGCTTTTTCAAGATTGCATGACTTAAGTAAACTCTTTTTTTTTTTTTTTGAGGTAGAGTCTCGCTCTGTCTCCAGGCTGGAGTGCAGTGGCGTGATCTCGGCTCACTGCAACCTCCATCTCCCAGGTTCAAGTGATTCTTCTGCCTCAGCCTCCTGAGTAGCTGGTACTACAGGTGCGCACCACCATGCTCAGCTAATTTTTGTATTTTTAGTAGAGACGGGGTTTCACCGTGTTGGCCAGGATGGTCTCAATCTCTTCACCTCATGATCTGCCCTCCTCGGCCTCCCAAAGTGCTGGGATTACAGGCTTGAGCCATTGCGCCCAGCCTAAGTAAGCTCTTTAATAAATAAGCTGACTTTAACATTATAGGTAAAATAACATTAGAAATGTTTTAAGAATTGTTAGCATTTTTGTTTGCATTTATTGATCAAGTGGTTTAGTGCTTATTCGATATCACAGTTAATCTAGGAAAACTATTAAATAATCAGGTAAATGTAATGGAATAAATGCTTGAAAAACAAACTTGTCATATAATTTGAGATCTAAGATTAATAATAGATACTAAGTGTCCAGGCAATTTTCCAATTTAAAAATTATAGGAAAACTTTTTTTTTTTTTTTTTTCCAGACAGAGTCTGGCACGTTCGCCTGGGCTGGAGTGCAGTGACACCATCTTGGCTCACTGCAAGCTCCGCCTCCTGGGTTCACGCCATTCTCCTGCCTCAGCCTCCCGAGTAGCTGGGACTAGAGGCTCCTGCCACCACGCCCGGCTAATTTTTTGTATTTTTAGTAGAGACAGGGTTTCACCAGATTAGCCAGGATGGTCTTGATCTCCTGACCTTGTGATCCGCCGCCTCAGCCTCCCAAAGTGCTGGGATTAGAGGCATGAGCCACCGCGCCCGGCCAGGAAAACTTTTTTTTAAAAGATGTCCTTAGGCCAGGCGCGGTGGCTCTTGCCTGTAATCCTAACACTTCGGGAGGCCAAGGCGGGCAGATCACTGAGGTCAGGGGTTCGAGACCAGCCTGACCACCATGGAGAAACCCCGTCTCTACTAAAAATACAAAAAATTAGCTGGGTGTGGTGGCAGACTCCTGTAGTCCCAGCTACTCGGGAGGCTGAGGCAGGAGAATGGCGTGAACCTGGGAGGCGGAACTTGCAGTGAGCCGAGATTGTGCCACTCCACTCCAGCCTGGGCGACAGAACAAGACTCCATCTCAAAAAAAAAAACGAAAACAAAAACAAAAAACAAAAAACAAAATTAGCCTGGCGTGGTGGCACATGCCTGCAATCCCAGCTACTCCAGAGGCTGAGGCAGGAGAATCACTAGAACCCAGAAGGCGGAGGTTACAGTGAGCCAAGATCATGTCATTGCACTCCAGCCTGGGCAAAAAGAGCAAAACTCAGTCTCAAAAAAAAAAAAAGATGTCCTTATTGCTGGGTGAGGTGGCTCATGCCTGTAATCCCAGCACTTTGGGAGGCCGAGGCGGGTGGATTACCTGAGGTCGGAGTTTGAGACCAGCCTGGCCCACATGGTGAAACCCCATCTCTACTAAAAATACAAATCTTTAATAAAAATGAAGAATGGAGAGAGAAAAAATTGGCTTCAAAAACAACTATAGTACACCTGTTGTTAGTTGTTCTTAAGTTTTTTTTTTCCTGCAATTTGGACTAAATCCTAAATTATTTGTGGGTTACAAGTCCCCAAACTAATGCTTTCAAATCTTTACTTTTAATACTGGGAATTTTATTCCTCATCCTAGAGCTCATTATTTACCTAATAGTACACTGTTCCCCTAAATACTATACTAAAACTGTAGATGAGAATACTGGCCAGGCACAGTGGCTCACACCTGTAATCTCAGCACTTTGGGAGACCAAGGTGGGTGGATCACTTGAGGCCAGGAATTTGAGACCAGCCTTGCCAACATGATTAAACCCTGTCTGTACTAAAAATAAAAAAATCACTGGGCACGGTGGCTCACGCCTGTAATCCCAACACTTTGGGAGGCCGAGGCGGGTGGATCAAGAGGTCAGGAGTTCAAGAGCAGCCTGGCCAAGATGGTGAAACCCCCTCTCTACTAAAAATACAAAAATTAGCCGGGCGTGATGTCGGGCACCTGTAATCCTAGCTACCCGGGAGGCTGAGGCAGAGAACTGCTTGAACCTGGGAGGCAGAGGTTGCAATGAGCTGAGATCGCGCCACTGCACTCCAGCCTGGGTGACACAGCGAGACTCCGTCTCAAAAAAAAAAAGAAAAGAAAATACGCAGGTGAAGCTGCCCCCAGGCAGGAAGAAAGGCAATGTGGAAGCTCAGAGCAGAGGTCTTGAGTGGAGAGGGATCTGGGAGCTACTCTGAGTTGGAAAAAGACCGAGGATAGGCCCAACTGCTGCAGGAGAGCGCATGCCGGGGGCTAAGCAGTGCAGAGGAGACAGCAGGTGCAGCTGCCCTGGGAGAAACAAGCAGGAGACAGAGCAGGTGTGTGTCCTGAGGAGGCGAGGCCCACAACATCAAAGGCCCCGAGCAGTCCAGGAGAATGAGGAACGAGAAGACACCAGTGGCCATGGGGATCAGGGGCCACTTGGAGACAGCAGATTTGGTGGCAAAGGGGAGTTGAAGAAATAGAAAAAGTGAAAATAGCCCTTTCTTGAAAAAGCTCAGTTGTCAAAGCAGGTGGAAAATGGACCCTGGGCTGGAGGAATCCAAAGAGTTGAGGGGTTCTGAGGAAGTGCGTGTTTGGAGACCAACAGGAGGCAACCAAAGGAAAGAGAGAGATGCCGGGTACAGTGGCTCATGCCTGTAATCTCAGAACTTTGCGAGGCTGAGGCAGGAGGACCACTTGAGCCCAGGAGTTCAAGAGCAGCCTAGGCAACATAGTGAGACCTGGTCTCTACAAAAACTAAAAAAGTTAGCCAGACATGGTGGCGCGTGCCTGTGGTCCTGTAACCACCCAGGGGTTCACCTTACCCGCTGCTAGACAGTGTCAATTCATGAAGACATGGGAAGTGCAATAGAGAAAGAGTAATTCATGCAGAGCCGGCTGTGCGGGAGGCTGGAGTTTCATTATTACTCAAATCAGTCTCCCTGAGCATTCAGGGAGCAGAGATTTTAAGGATAACTTGCTGGGTGGGGGAAGCCAGTGAGCCGGAGTGCTGATTGTTCAGGGATGAAATCATAGGGAGTCGGAGCTCTCTTCTTGCACAGAGTCAGTTCCTGGGTCGGGGCTGCAAGATCAGCTGAGCCAGTTTATCGATCTGGGTAGGGCCAGCTGATCCATCAAGTGCAGCGTCTGCAAAATATCTCAAGCAGTGACCTTAGGAGCAGTTTAGGGAGGGTCAGAATCTTGTCCCCCTCCAGCTGTGTGACTCTTGAACCATAATTTCTAATCTTATGTCTAATATTAGTCCTACAAAGGCAATCTAGAGCCCAGGCAAGAAGGAGGTCTGCTTTGGGAAAGGGCTGTTACTGTCTTTGTTTAAACTATAAACTAATTTTCTCCCAAAGTTAGTTCAGCCTACGCCCAGGAATGAACAAGGACAGCTTGGAGGTTAGAAGCAAGTTGGAGTCAGTTAAGTTAGAGCTCTTTCACTGTCCCAGTCATAATTTTGCAAAGGCAGTTTCAGTCCCAGCTACACAGCTACCCAAGAGGCTGAGGCAGGAAGATTGCTTGAGCCTCCAGAGGTGGAGGCTGCAGTGAGCCGTGACATGCTACTGCACTCCAGCCTGGGCAATGGAGTGAGAGTCTGTCTCTAAAAGTAAAAATAAGAGGGAGGAAGGTTGAAGCAGGTTCACTTATCATGCATGAAATACGGGTGTGCTACTCTAGAGGGCATGTGTTTAGTGTCTCAGGTTTTTTTTGGTTTTTTTTTTTAGACGTAGTCTCTCTCTGTCGCCAGGCTGGGGTGCAGTGGCGCGACCTCGGCTCACTGCAACCTCTGCCTCCTGGGTTCAAGCGATTCTCCTGCCTCAGCCTCCCCAGTAGCTGGGACTACAGGCACCTGCTACCACACCTGGCTAATTTTTGTATTTTTTAGTAGAGGCGGGGTTTCACTATGCTGGCCAGACTGGTCTCAGACTCCTGACCTCATAATCCGCCTGCCTCGGCCTCCCAAAGTGCTGGGATTACAGGCATGAGCCACCACACCTGGCCGTGTCTCAGGTTTAAATGGCCTTCACATTCTGGGGTGAGGCTGAGCAGCGGACTCTGATCACAGAGAAAATGAAATCCAGCACTAAAGTAACTCAGTCGCTTTTGACTGAAGAAAGCTATTGCAGTTTTGTATAATTTGTGAATAAGTGGAAATTAAAAGGAAAAAAGAGAAATCACATTTAAAAATAGTCATCTCACGAAAGCAAGTTAGGCTCATTTGTGACTAAATAAAAATTTTCAGTAAAGTAACGTAGTACTTTGTCTTACTATAGTAAAGAGGAAAGAATCAATTTTCATTCCACTCTTATTCTTGGATTTAAAGTCAGTTTCTGGTGCTTTTTCTGCTTGGATAATGAATCAATGTTCAATCTGTCCAAATGGCTGAGAACATGTAGGAAGTTCTTTAAAAATAAATTAGGCCGGGCTTGGTAGCTCATGCCTGTAGTCCCAGCACTTTGGGAGGCTTAGGTGGGCAGATAACTTGAGGTCAGGAGTTTGAGACCAGCCTGACCAACATGGTGAAAACCCATCTCTACTAAAAATACAAAACATTAGCTGGACATGGTGGCTCGTGCCTGTAATCCCAGCTACTCAGGAGGCTGAGGCAGGAGAATAGCTTCAACTCAAGAGGTGGAGGTTGCAGTGAGCCGAGATCATGCCACTGTACTACAGCCTGGGTGACACAGAAAGACTCCATCTCAAAAATAAAATACAATAAAATAAAAATAAAAATAAGAGCCGGGTGCACTGGCATGTACCTGTAGCCTTCCAGCTACTTGGGAGGCTGAGGCCATGAGGATTGCTTGAGCCCAGGAGTTAGAGGCCAGCCTGGGCAACATTATGAGATCCCATCTCAAAGAAAAACAAGTAATAACAACATATTAAACCAGACTCTTTCCTGTTGTTAACAGGAGAAGGCAAGGAAGAACTTAGTTTGGAGAAGCTAGAGTACCCAGAGTGCTAGGTCACGGGGTCAAGGTTGAGGATGGGGGTCCAGTTTCCAGATTAGACCCTCTGGAGTTTGAGGCCCCAGTGGCTACCCCAACTGTGCCAAGCTCCTTTTGAAGTTGGCTCCTAGAAAACTTCTTCTAGCCTTTAGGACTCCTGCCTAATTTTTTGCCACTCTGTGCTCCAGCTACACAGAACTATTTTGAGTTCCCTAAAGGATCATGTTCTGTCACCTCCAGGTCTTGGCACAGCCTGTTTCCTGTTCCTGCACACTCCCCACTCCTCCACCCTCCCACACTGAGCCTTGCCTGGCTACTGTCTGCAGGTCCTTCAGTGCACAAGCTGCTTCCTCTCAGAACTTTCTCTGATCTCCCCAGTAACCATCTCTGGGCTCCCACAAGACCCTCTTCTTCACCCACTTTTTTTTGTTTGTTTGTTTGTTTGAGATGGAGTCTTGCTCTGTCGCCCGGACTGGAGTGCAGTGGCACGATCTCAGCTCACTGCAACCTCCACCTCCTGGGTTTGATCAATTCTCCTGCTTCAGCCTCCCAAGTAGCTGGGATTACAGGTGCCTGCCACCACACCCAGCTTATTTTTGTATTTTTAGTAGAGACAGGCTTTCACCATGTTGGCCAGGCTGGTCTCAAACCCCTGACCTCAAGTGATCCTCCTGCCTCAGCCTCCCAAAGTGCTGGGATTACAGGTGTGAGCCACCGTGCCCGGCCCCTTCTTTGCCCACTTCTCACCCTTTATGACATCTGCCTCTTTTGTCTGTCATTCCCTCTAGAGTGTAGGCGCCTTCAGTTAAGGAACCATTTGGAGTACCTTCCCAGCACTGAACCCAGGGCAAAGCCCTAGAGAGACAAGGTGACAAGTCAGGTCAGGCCTCTGCCTGAGGTTGCCTGGAGCCTTGCATTGTCACTGTGTCCTACGGGGCCAGGGGATCAGGGCATGGACTCTCTCCTACTCTATCCCCAGCACCAAGCACAGGACTTTTTGTTTTGTTTTGTTTTTTTGAGACCGAGTTTCACTCTTGTTGCCCAGGCTGGAATGCAATGGTGCGATCTGGGCTCACCGTAAGCTCTGCCTCCCGGGTTCAAGCAATTCTCCTGCCTCAGCCTCCTGAGTAGCTGGGATTACAGGCATGAGCCCCCAATCCCCCTGGCTAATACTGTATTTTCAGTAGAGATGGGGTTTCTCCATGTTGGTTAGGCTGGTTTTGAACTCCTAACCTCAGGTGATCCACCCATCTGAACCTCCCAAAGTGCTGGGATTACAGATGTGAGCCACCTTGCCTAGCATTTTTTTTTTTTTTTTTTTCAGATGGAGTCTCACTCTGTCACCCAGGTTGGAGTGTAGTGGCATGATCTTGGCTCACTGCAACCTCTGCCTCCCAGATTCCTGCGATTCTCCTGCTTCAGCTTCCCAAGTAGTTGGGAGTATAGGCACATGCCACCAGGCCTGGCTAATTTTCGTATTTTTAGTAGAGATGGGTTTTCACCATGTTGGCCAGGCTGGTCTCAAAATCTTGACCTCAGGTGATCTGCCTGCCTCGGCCTCCCAAAGTGCTGGCATTACAAGGACTTCTTTTTTTCTTTTTCTTTTTCTTTTTTTCTGTTTTTTTGAGACAGAGTCTCACTCTGTTGCCCAGGCTGGAATGCAATGGCACGATCTCTGCTCACTGCAACCTCCGCTTCCTGGGTCCAAGCGATTCTCCTGCCTCAGCTGGGATTACAGGCACATGCCACCACGCCTGGCTAATTTTTGTATTTTTAGTAGAGATGGGGTTTCACCATGTTGGTCAGGCTGGTCTCGAATTCCTGACCTCGTAATCCACCCACCTCGGCCTCCCAAAGTGCTGGGATTACAGCCGTGAGCCACCACACCCGGCCTACAAGGACTTCTTAATACCTAGTAGATGCCAATAAATATTTTCTGAATGAGCAAGTGCAGAAGAGAAAATATGACAGCGATGACTGAGGCGTAACTGACTTCATCTGTTCTCAGGCCACATTCTGCCCCTTGGGTGAACCTGACTGTTCCCTGAGTCGTCGCTGAAGTCAGCTTTCTGGCCAGTTCCTCAGAGGAAGAAGTGAAGCATGGAGCCACCCAAGCTGCCCAACCCCAGCTGCTGAGGGCCTGCCTCAGGTCCCATGGCCAAAGAACCTGCTTCTTCCAAGGCTGTCAGTTGTCCCATTTTCGGCACCCTTGCTGATCACACCCTCGCTGGTCACACCACCTACTTTCTGCTTCCCCAACCTTGGTTCTCATCCCTGTAACATAAGCATCATTTTTATGCTGACCCTGAGAGAGCAAACCCCCCATCACACTCTGGAGGGTGTGGGGGGTGAAAGTCAACACCTTCAGTCTCTGGTGGAGGCTTGTGACCTCTGACATCCCTCATTTGCCTCCGTTTTCCAGTGCACCCCACTGCTGCATCCACCAAAGCAGTTTCGAGTGCCTGCTTGCGTGCCTGGTACCACAGCAGGTGCTGGGGATAGAATGCGGAACAAAAGAGGCCTCCACGGTCCTTTTCCTGCAAACTGTAGTTTACAATAAAAGTAAACTATATTCACGTATAACTATATGGTCTTGAATTATGATGAGGGCAGTGAAGAAACTAATTGAGTGCCGCGTGAGAAATGAGGAAAGGGACCTTCTTTAGATGGGTGGCCAAGAGGAGTCTTTCTGATGAGTTGATGTTTTGGCTGAGACCCCCACCCCAAATGTCTTCCAAATGATAATAATCTCTTCCCTCACTGGGTCCCTATGGGGTCCTGGAACACTACAGTGTCCTGAGAAGTGCACAGGGTTTTGGATAATTCAGGCCGGGGTTCACCTCCCAGCTCTGTCCTTTCACGCAGAGGAACTTCTCAACGTCCTCCCCTGTGAAATGGAGACAGCCACCACCAGAGGGCAGTAGTGAGGACTACGTGAGAAGAGGTGTGTAAGGCCCCGTTGGCTCAGACCTGCCGAAACACTCAGGGAGGGGTCTCATTCCTGAGCCCCTGCTCCCATGCCTGTTTCCACCGCCCGCAACCTGCGGGGACCTTCCCACCCTCAGACCTCATCTTGACAGTTTATCCCTGTCACTGGCCTCATCCCTAGTTTGGCTGGTCCTGCCCCTCCCCGTACCCAGTTAGGACAGTTGGTCTGACGTGTCTCCACCTTCTCATCTCACCCTTAACTTCAAAGGGTCCCCAAAGCTTTCACAACTCTCACGCTTCTCCCTCACTGTCATTGGGAATCTCCTCCATTCTAGGGCTTCAAAATTTCCCCAGGTGCAGTGGCAGGAGGATCACCTGAGGTCAGGAGTTCGAGACCAGCCTGGCCAACATGGTGAAACCCCGTCTCTACTAAAAATACAAAAATTAGCTGGGTGTGGTGGTGGGCGCCTGTAGTCTCAGCTACTTGGGAGGCTGAGGCAGGAGAATCGCTTGAACCTGGGCGGTGGATATTGCAGTGAGCCAAGATCGTGCCATTGCACTCCAGCTTGGGCAACAGAGTAAGACCCTGTCTCGAAAAAAAACAAAAACAAAACAAAAAAAATCCGTATCTTCATGGGAGACCTTTCTCACCACACTGCTTCCTCATGGTCATCTCTGAAAACAACCCCAGGAACCAGAGCGCCCCATAGTAACTTGGGCTCCGCCGTGTGATACTGTCCCCGGAAGCTGACCAACCTGATGCAGACATGTGATAGAAGATCATCTCTGGGTCAATAAGCACATGAAAAGATGCTCAACATAGTTAACTATCAGGAAATGCAAACCAAACCCATGGTGAGATACCACTTCGCACTTGCTAGGATATTTAAAATTGGAAAGATAAATAATAACAAGGATGTGGATTTTTTTTTTTTTTTTTGAGACAGGGTCTCACTCTGTCACCCAAGCTGGAATGCAGTGGCACCTGCAGCCTTGAACTCCCAGGCTCAGTGATCCTCCCACCTCAGCCTCCTGAGTAGCTGGGGACCACAAATGTGTGCCACCCTGCCCAGATAATGTTTTTTGGTAGAGATGGGGTTTTGCCATGTTACCCAGGCTAGTCTCAAACTCCTGGGCTCAAGTCATCCTCCCACCTCAGCTTCCCAAAGTGCTGGGATTATAGGCATGAGACATTGTGCCCAGCCTTGATGTTTGGCTATCCTTCCAAAGCTCTATCAACCAGGTTCTCTTCTCTCACGATTCTCTCTGCTAATGATGACTCTGTAGCCCGGAAATCATGAGGAATGGCAAGTCCATAAACTTCTGCCAACTGAGTTGCCCAGAGCTGCCCAGTTTCAACTCTTTTGAGACCCTTCCTTGGATTTTCTGAATCACCCCATAACACCCCAATAAACCCATCATTTTGATTTGTATAGCCACACCCACTTCCCTCCAGCCCCACCCCCTCCCTAACCTCTGCCAACCACTAATATTTTCCATTTCTATAATTGTGTCATTTTAAGAGGGTTTTTAATAAACAGAACCATGCAGTTCTGTAACCTTTGGGGGCTGGCTTTTTTCCCTCAGCATGATTCCCTGGAGATTCATCCTGGTTGTTTTGTGTATGGGTAGTGTGTTCCTTTTTATTTATTTTTTATTTTATTTTAATTTTTTTGAGATGGAGTCTCACTCTGTTGCCTAGGCTGGCATGCAGTGGTGTGATCTCAATCACCACAACTTCTGTCTCCTGGGTTCAAGCGATTCTCCCGCCTCAGCCTCCTGAGTAGCTGAGATTACAGGCATGCACCACCATGCCCGGCTAATTTTTGTATTTTTAGTAGAGATGGGTTTCACCACGTTGGTCAGGCTGGTCTCGAACTCCTGACCTTAAGTGATCCACCCGCCTCAGCCTCCCAAAGTGCTGGGATTACAGGCGTGAGCCACTGTGCCTGGCACATGTTTCATTTTTATAAGAAACTGCCAAACTGTTTTCCAGAGTGGCTGTATGATTTTACATTCTCACCAGACATATATAATTGATCAGTTTCTCTGCATTCTCACTAGCATTTGGTGTTGTCCTTATTTTTCATTTTTTCCATTCTGAGAGGAGTGCAGTGATATCTCATTGTGATTTTAATTTGCATTTCCCAAATGGCTAATAATAATGTTGAACATCTTTTCATGTGCTTATTTGCCTTCTGTATATCCTCTTCAGTGAAATCTCTTCATGTCTTTTGCCCATTTTCTAATTCTATTCTTGTTTTTTTGCTGTTGAGTTTTGAGAGTGCTTCATATTTCTAGTTACTAGTCCTTTTGTCAGGTATGTGGTTTGCAAATATTTTCTCCCAGTCTGTAGCTGTAGCTTGTCTTTTTATCCTCTTTACAAGGTCTTTTGCAGAGCAAAAGCTTTTAATTTTGACAAAGTCCAATATATAAATGTTTCCTTTTATGAATCATGTTTTGGGGGCTAAGTTTAAGAGCTCTTTGTCTCACTCTAGATCCCAAATGTTTTCTCCTGTGCTTCTTTTTTTTTTCTAAATTTTTTATAGAATTGTTTTTAAAATATGAAATGCTTCACAAATTTTTATATCATCCTTACATGGGGCCATGCTAATCTACTCTGTATCATTCCAGTTTTGGTTTATGTGTTGCCAAAGTGAGCAGAAAGTCTTATGGTCTTATGTTTACATTTTAGTCTGAGGTCTTTTTTTTTTTTTGAGACAGGATTTTGCTCTGTCACCCAGGCTGGAATGCAGTGATGCAGTCATAGCTTGCTGCAGCCTCCATCACCCAAGCTCAAGCGATCCTTCCACCACAACCTCTGTAGTAGCTGGGACTGCAAGTGTGCCCCACAATGCTCAACAAATTTTTGTGTTTTTTGTAGAGACAAGGTCTTGCCATGTTGGTCTCAAACTTCTGGCCTCAAGTGATCCTCCCTCCTTGGCCTCCTAAAGTGTTAGGATGACAGGCGTGAGCCACCACGTCTGGCACTGAGGTCCATTTTAAGTTAATTTTTGTACAATATATGAGACTTATGTCAAAGTTTTGTTGTTTGGTTGATTTTGGGGCCTATAGATGTCCAGTTGCTTCAGCACCATTTGTTGAAAAGACTTGTCTCCATTGATTGCTTTTGCACCTTTGTCAAAAATCAGCAGTCAAAAATAGTTGTGTGGCTCTGTTTCCGAGTTCTGTGTTCTGTTCCATTGATCTGTGTGCTATTCCTGGGCCAGAACCACACTGTGACCATATAACAGGTTTTGAACTTAGGTAGACTGATTTTTCTCTAAAATTAGCTAAATTTTAATAAACCATCTAAAATTATTCTAGCTATTCTAGTTCCTTTGCCTTTCCACATAAATTTTAGAAAAGTTTTGTCAATATTTGCAAGAAATAGATTTTGTTGGAATTTTGATAGAAAGTGTGCCAATATGGGAATAATTGACAACTTTATTATGTTTAGTCTTCCAACCCATGAACACAGTTTTACCTCTCAGTTTATTTAGATATTCTTTGATTTCCTTCATCAGCATTTTATAGTTTTCAGCATAGAAATCCTATACATGTTTTGTTAGATTTCCACCCAAATATTCCATGTTTTGAGTGATTATAAATGGTATTTTATTTTTAATTTTGGTTTCCATATGTTCATTAGTATATAGATTCTAGGAATTTTGTATGTGTGTATGTGTGTGTGTATGTGTGTGTGTGTGTGTGTGTGTGTGTGTGTGTGTAGATTCTTTGGGACTTTCTACCACATCGTATCATCTGCAAATACAGACCATTTTATTTTTGCCTTTCTGAAATGTGTGCCTTTTCTTTTCTTTTCTTTCTTGCCTGTTACACTGCCTAGAATGTTCAGTTGTATGTTGAATAAGAGTGGTGAGAGTGGACATCCTTGCCTTGTTCCCAATCTTAGAAAGAAAGCATTCCATTTTTCACCATTAAGTATAGTATTAAATGCAGGGTTTTGTAGATGTTCTTAATCAAATTCAGGAAGTTCCCTCTATTCCTAGTTTTCTGAGGGTTTTTGAGACGCTGAGATTTGTTTCTAATGGAGCTACAAGCTGTAGAGAACTTTATGAAATTGAATACATCCTAGTACAGCCACTTTATATCCAGACTGTTAAGAGTTTTGTGTTAGAGAAACCATCAACCTTATATGAGAAGATTATTCGTGTGTGTTAGAATTTGCATCTTAGAGAAAACCCTCATTTTAGAATTGGGTTGAGAAGAAGAACAAGACATTGGGTTTATTAATTGCAACTTTTGGCACAACGGTTAGAGCATTTATTTGCATCAAGGTTACATTACTGGGAAATTCATCTTACAGTAAAAAAGGTGAATAAAATATTTTTTCATAAGAATTAATGTAGAAGGGGTGGATATATTTCCAGACACCCACAGTCCAAACTTTCTATCTATTGACACAATTCACAAACCAATGGAATGACACAGAATGAATTAAGTGAGAAATAAAAGATCATATGATCATTTTACAGTGTTCTCCCTGGGATTCACGGAAGCATTAGGAAGCTACACTAGGTGCAGGTGCTACCAAAGTTAGCAGTCATTATAGTGTATCCCTGAGAGTCTGAGTCCAGTGAGGTTTGGGGTGGAATGGAAGAACCACCTGCCTCTGCCCCATCTCTACATCCCCTGCTGAGACTTAGAAACAAATACTGCACTCTGAGAATGCTCCAAAAACCTCCACCTTTCTTCTTTTTCCTTTTTTTTTTTTTTTTTTTTTTTTTTTTGTTTGGAGATGGAGTCTCACTCTCTCGATCAGGCTGGAGTGCAGTGGCACAATCTTGGCTCACTGCAGCCTCCACCTCCTGGTTCAAGAGATTCTCATGCCTCAACCTCCCACATAGCTGGGACTACAGGTGCGCACCACCATGCCTAGATAATTTTTGTATTTTTAGTAGAGACAGGGTTTCACCATGTTGGCCAGGCTGGTCCTGAACTCCTGGCCTCAAGTGATCTGCCCGCCTCAGCCTCCAAAAATGCTGGGGTTACAGGCATGAGCCACCATACCCGGCCAAACCTCCAGCTTTCTCAGGAGCTCTTGAGATGGTAAAGAAGGAATGAAGTGGAGATCCTCCCCACTGTGAACTGCAGCATTCAGCAATCCCAAGATAACATGCCTCAACTGTCCTCCAGCCGCAGCTGCTCCCAGTTTACCAACAAGGTGAGTGCAAACAATGACTTATACAGAAATTGATCCCATTTTTTATTTTTTATTTTTTTTAAGAGACAGGGTCTCACTCTGTTGCCCAGTGTACTCCAGGCTGGAGTACAGAGGTGTGATCACAGTTCACTGTAACCTTGATCTCCTGGGTTCAAGGGATCCTTCTGCCTCAGCCACCCAAGAAACTGGACTACAGGTACATGCTACCATGCCCAGCTAATTTTTAAATTTTTTTTGTAGAGATGGGGATCTTACTTTGTGGCCCAGGCTGTTCTCAAACTCCTGGCCTCAAAAAATCCTCCGGCCTTGGCCTCTCAAAGTGCTGGAATTACAGATGTGAGCCACTATGCCCAGCCCTTTTAAAATTGTTTATTTTTATTTTTAGAGATGGGATCTTGCCACATTGCCTAGGCTGGAGTGCAGTGGCTATTCACAGGTGTGATTATAGCACACTGCAGCCTCCAATTCCTGGCCTCAAGCCATCCTCCCACCTCAGCCTCTTGAGTAGCTAAGATTACAGGTGCGCACTATCGCACTTGACCTGATCCATTTAAATAACTGACATTAAGTGGAAAAGGCTTAGTGTATGGAACTCAGATCTGCTGTGTCCCAACCCAGTGCTTGGAACACAGTGGGTATTTAGGGACCTTGAATGAAATAATGAGAATTTTATTAGCCATTCTCAATCAGAAATATGTAGTTCATTTGTAAATTGTGCACCCCCTCGCCATAAAATAAAATGTGGGATGGGATCAAGAATTTAAATCTTTGAAAGGCACTTCAGCCCTCATTTTGTCCAACCTGTATATGGAGCTAGGATCTCTTTCTGCAGTATTCACAAGTACCAACAGTCCCATCTTTGTCTGCAAAGACCTTTCCACTGATTCACAGGTCTGTTCTTTTGTTCCTTATTTTTTCTTTATATCAAACTTAAATTCTCTATCCTCCAATTCTCAAACCCCAATCTTAGTTATGCATCATGAGGCTTTTGGAGAAAACCTGCCTAATGGTCTATCTCCCTTCCTGTGTATTCAACCTCCCCTTTTCAGCTGGCATTTTGCATGAGCATTGAATCATGGTCAGGTCTTGCAGCTTGCTGGGGAAGCTCCTTACACCCCTTGTCCTTTCTTCACCTCTCACCTTCTCTCTCCTCTTCACAACCAATCCTCTTGAAGGACACTTATTATCTCCACTTATCCCTCCCACTGCCCAGCTCTCCTTAGTCTGGCCTCAACCCCAACCCGAACCCTTGAATTGCTCTATGACAGATTAGCAATGATGCACCTCAGACCTTATCTTACTGGTGGACTTGGAAGCATGGATGCATGTGACACCCTAGGCTTCTGAGGACCCTGTCTTCAGGGTCATCTGAACTGGCTTTAGGGGCTGGGCACGGTGGCTCATGCCTGTAATCCCAGCACTGTGGGATGCCAAGGTGGGCGGATCACCTGAGGTTAGGAGTTCAGGACCAGCCTGACCAACATTGTGAAACCCCGTCTCTACTAAAAATACAAAAATTAGCCAGGCATGGTGGTGGGCACCTGTAATCCCAGCTACTCAGGAGGCTGAGGCAGGAGAATCTCTTGAACCCGGGAGGCAGAGATTGCAGTGAGCTGAGATAGCACCATTGCACTCCAGCCTGGGCAACAAGAGCAAAACTCCATCTCAAAAAACAAACAGGCCGGGCGCAGTGGCTCACGCCTGTAATCCCAGCACTTTGGGAGGCCGAGGTGGGCAGATTACGAGATCAGAAGATCGAGACCATCCTGGCTAACACGGTGAAACCCCGTCTCTACTAAAAATACAAAAATTAGCTGGGCTTGGTGGTGGGCACCTGTAGTCCCAGCTACTCGGGAGGCTGAGGCAGGAGAATGGCGTGAACCCGGGAGGCGGAGCTTGCAGTGAGCTGAGATTGCGTCTCTGCACTCCAGCCTGGATGACAGAGTGAGACTCTGTCTCAAAAACAAACAAACAGACAAACAAAATTAGCTGGGCGTGATGGCAGGTGCCTATAATCCCAGCTACTTGGGAGGCTGAGGCAGGAGAATTGCTTGAACCCAGGAGGCGGAGGTTGCAGTGAGCCGAGATCACGCCATTGCACTCCAGCCTGGGCAACAAAAGCAAAACTCTGTCTCAAAAACAAACAAAAAACTGGCTTTAGGGACATCACTCTCCTGGTTTCTTCCAACTGCTCTGGCTCCTTCGTGTCTTGTTGCCTGGCTGGTTCCTCTTCTTCTGTCCTCCCTTAAAAAACAAACAACAGGCTGGGTACGGTGGCTCACACTTGTAATCCCAGCACTTTGGGAGGCCAAAGGGGGCAGATCACCTGAAGTCAGGGGTTTGAGACCAGCCTGACCAACATGGTGAAATATCGTTTCTACTGAAAATACAAAAATTAACCAGGCGTGGTGGCACATGCCTGTAGTCCCAGCTACTCGGGAGGCTGAGGCAGGACAACTGCTTGAAACTGGGAGGCAGAGGTTGCAGTGAGCCGAGATTGCACCACTGCACTCCAGCCTGGCTGACAAAGCAAGACTGTCTCAGCCGGGCACGGTGGCTCATGCCTGTAATCCCAGCACTTTGGGAGGCCGAGGTGGGCGGATCACGAGGTCAGGAGATCGAGACCATCCTGGCTAACACGGTGAAACCCCGTCTCTACTAAAAATACAAAAAATTAGCCGGGTGAGGTGGCGGGCGCCTGTAGTCCCAGCTACTCGGGAGGCTGAGGCAGGAAATGGCGTGAACTCCAGGGGGCGGAGCCTGCAGTGAGTGGAGATCGCGCCACTGCACTCCAGCCTGGGCGACGGAGAGACTCTGTCTCAAAAAAAAAAAAAAAAAAAAAAAAAAAGACTGTCTCAAACAACAACAACAAATCGTACCTTAGCGATCTGTTCTGGGCCTTCTTTTCTTCTCATTTTACACACTTTTTTCCTAGATGACCTGTCTATACCCATAATTTCAGTTGCCAACTGTTGTGCCAATGAATCCTGAAACCATAATTCCAGGACTTGCACAGAGGAGGATTCACTATCTGTTGAATAACAAAGTGGATGAGTCTGGGTACGGTGGCTCACGCCTTTAATCGCAACACTTTGGGAGGCAGAGGTGGGAGGTTCGCTTGATCCCAGGAGTTCCAGACAAGCCTGTATGACACAGTGAGACCCCGGTCTCTACAAAAAATACAAAAATGAGCTGGGCATGGTAGCTCATGCTTGTGGTCTCAGCTGCTTGGGAGGCTGAGATGGGAGACTCACCTAACCCTGGAGGTAAAGGCTGCTTGTGAGCCAGATGCCACTGCACTGCAGCCTGGACGACATGGTGAGACCCTGTCAAAAAAAAAAAAAAAAAGATGAAACCTGTAACTTCAGTCAAAGCCTAGATGCTGAGACTCATTCTTTTCTCTTGTCCTGTTCCCAGCCTGCTCCTCTCCCTCCTCCATTTCCTGTCCTAGGTGCCAGATCTGAGTGCCTGCCTTGCATTTCCTCTCTCCCTAACCCCAGACCCTATTAACCTCTTGCCAGCCTGTCCACTTCTCTAGCTCAGGCCCTCTTCATTCCTCATTGTGACTGCTGCCTCTAGAATAGATTGCTGCCTATTCTAAATGGTCTTCCTGCCTCTAATCCTGCTCCTTCCCCAATTTCTTTCTTTCTTTCTTTTTTTTTTTTTTTTTGAGACAGAGTCTACCTCTGTTGCCCAGGCTGGAGTGCAATGGCACGATCTCGGCTCATTGCAACCTCTGTCTCCCGGGTTCAAATGATTCTCCTGCCTCAGCCTCACAAGTAGCTGGGATTAAAGTTGCCCACCACCATGCCTGGCTATTTCGTGTGTGTGTGTGTGTATTTTTAGTACAGACAAGGTTTCACCATGTTGGCCAGGCTGGTCTTGAACTCCTGACCTCAAGTGATCTGCCTGCCTCAGCCTCCCAAAGTGCTGGGATTGCAGGTATGAGCCAGCACACCCAGCCTCCACGTGCAATTTCAAAAAGAAATTTTGGTCCCACCACTTGCTTGTTTAAGGTTGTTCAAAGACCCCAAGAGAGCTTTTTTTTTTTTTTTTTTTGAGACGGAGTCTAGCTCTATCGCCCAGGCTGGAATGCAGTGGAGCGATCTTGGCTCACTGCAACCTACACCTCCCAGGTTCAAGCAATTCTCCTGCCTCAGCCTCCCAAGTAGCTGGGATTACAGCCGCCCACCACCACGCCCAGCTAATTTTTGCATTTTTAGTAGAGATGGGGTTTCACCATATTGGCCAGGATGGTCTCGAACTCCTGACCTCGTGATCCACCCATCTCAGCTTCCCAAAGTGCTGGGATTACAAGCATGAGCCACTGCGCCTGGCCCCGAGAGCTCTTTCTGGCCTGCCCCACTCCTACCTCCCCAACCTCATCTCTCATGAGCATCCTCTTCACTCTTCATTCCTCCCATGCTGAGTTTCTCTCAGCTGTCTGGCCCCCAGCCCTTTGCACAGGATGGTCCTGCTCTCTGAATGCTCTTCTTTTCACATGTTGCCTGGCTCCCTCCTACTCACTCCTCAGGTCATTTCCTCGGGAGCTCTGTCCCTGCCCTGCCCTTCCTCAGTTCGTGTACTACCCGATGCTACGGAACTTACACACTGCATTGCAATTACACATTTACATAAGTGTTTTGCTCAGTAGCCTGTAGGTTCTGTGTGGGTAGGACTAGAGATTATTTCTATCCTGTTCATCTTTTTGTATTCTCATATATAAATATAACTCATCACCTCCTGACATTTGAGCCCTTCTGCTGATCCAAGTAAACAGTACTTAACACAGAGCTGTGTACACAGTAGATGCTCAGTGTGTTGAGTGGAAGAATCAATGACTCTTCCCCAAGGAGAATGGCATCATTTCTAACATGGATGGCTGGGCTGTCCCATGTGATTTGAGCAGTTTTAGATTTACACCAGGAGGGAGTCCGCCATTACCTCTGGGTACTTATTGTCCTCCCTTTCCAGAACTGTCCCCACATTAAGCATAGACATGAGGAATGGAGCCTGCATTATTAAAATAGGGCTTCCTTCTTTATTGTCTGAGTGGCCTCCAGGGAAGTCATGATAGGGGACAACCGTTGTCAAACTAAAAAAAATTCACTGGGGCCTAAAACATCACCAGCCTAGGTCCAGGACAGAGAGGTGGGGGAGACAAGGCTCATTCATGTGCATAGCAGAGCACACAGGAAGTTTCAGGGGACTGAGCCCAGTGGCTATAGCAGTATGATGGTGACATCACAGGGCTGGCAGCTAAGGCTGTATCAATAGGGATGTAATGGAACAAGCAACAGGATACCCCTGATAGACACTGATTGATAGAGCCAGAGTTTGTCTCAAAAAAAAAAAAAAAAAAAAAAGGCTGAATTTGGCTGGGTGTGGTGGCTCACATTTGGAATCCTAGGACTTTAGGAAACCAAGGTGGGCAGATTGCTTGAGACCAGCCTGGGAAACATTGCGAGACTCTGTCTTAAAAAGAAAGAAGCTGAATTAAATCCATTCTTCTTTAGCTCCATTGGGCAAAATTACAGCCAAAAGTGTTACAGGAAATTGCATAAATAAGAGCCTTTTAAAAAGGATTTGTTTACCATATTAGTAACAAGGCTCATGATAAAAAAAATACAGCTGCCTTACTATTTTATTCTTATTATTTTTTGAGACAGGGTTTCATTTCTGTCACCCAGGCTGGAGTGCAATGGCTTGATTTTGGCTCACTGCAACCTCTGCCTTCTGGGCTTAAGTGATTTTCCTGCCTTAGCCTCCTGAGTAGCTGGGACTGCAGGTGCACGCCACTGTGCCTGGCTAATTTTTCTATTTTTTGTAGATATGGGGTTACACCATGTTGCCCAGGCTGGTCTTGAACTCATGAGCTCAAGCAATCCACCTGCCTCGGCCTCCCAAAGTGTTGGGATTTATAGGAGTGAGCCACTGCGCCTGGTGTGCCTTACTATTTTAGAGATTTTAAAAAATCTGTTTTGTTTTGTTTTGTTTTGTTTTTTTGAGACGGAGTCTAGCTCTGTCCCATGCTGGAGTGCAGTGGTGGGATCTTGGCTCACTGTAATCTCCGCCTCCCAGGTTCAAGCTATTCTCCTGCCTCAGCCTCCAGAGTAGCTGGGATTACAGGCACGTGCCACCACACCTGGCTAATTTTTGTATTTTTAGTAGAGACGGGGTTTCACCATGTTGGCCACGCTGGTCTCGAACTCCTGACCTCGTGATCCACCTGCCTCAGCCTCCCATAGTGCTGGGATTACAGGTATGAGCCACCATGCCTGGCCAAATTTCTGTTTTTCAAAGATGGAATACATTGCCTTATAAGGAGTGGGGTCCCCATCACCAAGGTATCCAACAAGTAAGGTAGGCATGTTGCAGAGGGCGTTTCAGCATCAGCCAAGGGACTAGATGTGATCTGGTTTCTTCCAGCCCAGGGTTCTTGCCTTTCATTGCATATTAGAAGTTTCCATAAATGTCTGGAGATACCAACTTTGTTAACTCCAGATTGGTAAGTTCTGATTTTTAAGAGTCCAGACCTCTTGTATTGATTTGTATAATCTGCTGCCATTTTAGCCCTCTGTGCCTCAAAATGAAACAATTCTGGTGAGATTGGAAGGGAGATGGGAATTAATATAATTAATGTGAAAGAGAAATACAGTTTGGAATAACTGACTTACACAGATCACAAAACAGATAGGAAGCAAACCAGGACTTGATTCTGTTCTCCAGACTTGAGCTCCCAAGTCCTCCTTTTAATCACATCACTCTTGTGTCCAAACACTGGACCGTGAGGGGAGTGAAGCACCTGACTGCCATTGCCATTCTCGGTCCAGAGGTTTTCACAACTCATTTGTTTAGTGTTAGGGGTTGAACTGTGCCCCCCTAAAATCCGTATGTTGAAGTCCTAACCCCTAGTACCTCAGAATGTGATTGTATTCAGAAACAGGGTCATTACAGACAAATAGTTAAGATGAGGTCATTAGGGTGGGCCCTAATCCCAGACGACTGGTATTCTTAGAAAAAGAGCAGTTGGGCAGGATGCAGTGGCTCATGCCAGCAATCCCAGTGACTCAGGAGACTGAGGCCGGAAGATCACCCAAGCCCAGGAGTTCGCAGCTACAGTGAGCTGTGACCACGCCACTGCACTACAGACTGGGTGACAGAGAGAGACCCTGTCTCAAAAAAAAAAAAAGAAAAGAAAAGAAAAAGAAAAAGGGGCTGGGCGCGGTGGCTCGCACCTGTAATCCTAGCACTTAGGGAGGCTGAGGCAGGAGGATCACCTGAGGTCGGGAGTTTGAGACCAGCCTGGCCAACATGGTGAAACCCCCTCTCTAGTAAAAATACAAAAATTAGCTGGGTGTGATGGTACAAACCTGTAATCCCAGCTACTCGGGAGGCTGAGACAGGAGAATCACTTGAACCCAGAAGGCAGAGGTTGCAGAGAGCCGAAATCACGCCATTGCACTCCAGCCTGGGCCACAAGAACGAGACTCTGCCTCAAAAATAAGGGCAGTTTGGACATAGACACACACATACACAGGGGAAACTCCATGTGAAGCGACACATGGAGAAGATGGCCATCCCCAGCCAAGGAGAAAGGCCTGGAGCAGCCTCAGAAGGAACCCATCCTGCTGACACCTAGATCTTGGACTTCTAGCCACCAGAACTGTGAGACAATCAATTTCTGTTGTTTAAGCCACTCAGCATGTGGTACTTTGTCATAGTGGCCCCAGGAAACGAATACATTTGGTGATTGAGGAAACATTCACTGAGTGCCAGTGTACTGGGCCCAGCAAGAGGAATCAGACACGTGGCCCAGAGTGCTATCTGGCAGGGGAGACAGGACAGGGAGCAGAGCAGTCACTGCCAGGGGCAGAACAAGTCATCAAGGTCATCCAGCGAGAAATCCAGGGAAGGAAGCCTCCTGCCTGCCAGGCTGTCTGGGGCTAATGCGTTTGCTCTGGTTCTTGAACACTGGGATGGATTTTGCTGGTGCAGGTAGGGAAAGAGACAGAGGAGGTAGCATGAACAAAGTCAAAGTGCGACAAGGTGCAGATGGCCAGCTAAGGCATGTGGGGACCATGTGAAAAGAAGGCTGGAAGGTGGATTGAGAGCAGGTTGGTGGGGGAACGATGCCAGGAGTGCTCTGCAGGCCCTGGGAAGTCACAGAAAGTTCCTGAGCTAGGAGCTGCTGAGAGCACCAGCTGTGTGGTCACTTGAGCAGTGGTGGAGAACAAGCTGGGGGTGGCGGGCCGGCACTGAGGGCTCTCAGGTGGTCAGTAATGCAGACCCAGGAGAAGCTGTCAGTGGGAACTTGGATTTCCTCAGCCTCATTTCTTTTGTCTTCCACTTGCTGAAAACACCTGCATTGTGAAGAGCTCTAGGTTTCAGAAATTCCCATCCACTGAGACAAGCTTTGCCTAAATGGAGTGGTCCTAGCAGTCCTGTTAGCTGCCTCACCCCCAGCCTTTCCCAAGAGTAGCATTAAGCAGGCAGGGAAAGAAGTCACCCTTGATCTGCACTCTGGGACCTTGCAAGTGACCCTGAGCCTCAGTTCCCTTGTCTGAAAGATGGGGTCAGACATCTTTGAACAAGACAAGAATGTGCAAGAGCCTGTAAAGTGCAGTGAGCCACGGACACATCAGGGGCCATCACTCCCTTTGTCAGAAGCAGGGCTCAGGCAGTTCAGTGGCTGGTCAGGACTGAGCTTGGCAGGATGGTTGTAGGTAGGATCTGGACAGGTAGCTGTCGGGGGAACTAGGTGGCTACAGAAGCAGGAAACAATGGCCCCATGTTCCAGCAGGAAGGGAGCCTAAGGGCAGATCGGGCCCTGACCAAGTCACTGGAATGGACAAAGCCAGGGCTGGATGGGAATTCCCATTCTTGGGGCTGGCAGGTCCCTTCACCCACTGTCAGACTCCCCAGCGCCAGGTCACTCACTCTGCGCAGATGCTGGCTTCTGACCCACACATTGCTACTGTGACTCCCAGGTGCAGCTGATCTAGCACCAGCTATGCAGAACCACTTCCAGGGATTTCTTGTGTGCTCAGGCCCTGGCTGGATGCACGCTAGTGCAGTCTATCACCGACAGAGGCCCATGGCATAGGCTGTCCCCAGCTCTTCTTAAGTTACTCCTCATGGGTATCCTGCCCTGTCATGCTTATCGACTCAGAGAGTGGGCAGGGCTCTCACAATTTATAAATGAGAAAACTGAGCTCCAAGAAGCAAAGGGTCTTTTGCAAGTTCTCTAAGATGGTATATGACAGGGCTGCCTCCCACAGTGTGAAATTATCATAAGAGTTGTAGTTGTAAGTATTTTTTTTTTTTTTTTTGAGATGGAATTAACTTTTGCTGCCCAGGCTGGAGTGCAGTGATGTAATCTTGGCTCACTGCAACCTCTGTCTCCTGGGTTCAAGTGATTCTTCTGCCTCAGCCCCCCAAGTAGCTGGGATTACAGGCACCCACCACCATGCCTGGCTAATTTTTTGTATTTTTAGTAGACACGGGGTTTTACCCTGTTGGCCAGGCTGGTTTCGAACTCCTGATCTCAGGTGATCCACCCACCTCAGCCTCCCAAAGTGCTGGGATCACAGGCGTGAGACACCATGCCCAGCCAGTTGTATTTACAGTGCTCGCTGTTTGCCTGTGTCCCTAAGCATTTTATGGTTCCAACTCTGACAACTAGTTCTGTTCACGCCCTGTCCTGAACCTTTGGAACCAATGAGTCTTGTTAGCTAGTGTCTACTTTGCTCCCTGCTTTGGACTAAGGGAGAAATAAGTCCACTGACTTTCTCATCAGAACTGAGCCAGGAGCAAGGGCCCTAGGGAGGGATATATGGCAACATACAGCAGCTTTGGGTTTGGGCAGAGCTGGGTTTGGATCCCAGCCTGGTCATCATTACTAGCTACATGACATTGGATAGGGCACTTCACCTCTAAATCCTTCAGTTTCCACATCCATAAAAGGGGATTATAGGTTATTTTTCAGGGAAGTTGAAGACTAAATTCCTCTCAGTAAATGGCCATCAATGGCAGATGTATGTACTAACCTGCATCTGTAATGCTACTAGATGACTGACTAGTCTGGCCAACTTATGTATATACCTGTGGCAATTTCTGGAAGACACCTCCTTCACTGAAAGTGCAGCACTCATCTGGCCCCATGCTACTGGTCTATCCTTTTCAATTCCATCAGCCTAAACATAGCTCTGACATTTTCTACTAGCCCAAACCCTTACCTACTCCTTCAGAGGGTAACTGGGAGTAACGGCATGAAATACAATTAGTATTCCTATTGCTGGTTAGGCTCACGGTGAACCACATGCAGATTTGTACAGCTGAAACAACCTGCAGGCTCACTTAGCTTGGGCCTCGGAGTTTCAGTTGAGGAACTGGAGGCTCAGAGGGGAAGTGACAGAGGGGAGCAAATACCATTCAGTGGCCAGGTTGGGGCTAGAATATGATCTCTAGATTCTGTTTGAGGCCTCCCTCCCCATACCTCCACTCTTCCTCTGCCAGGGCTGGCGCTGGGGAGTGCTGTCTTAAACACAGAGACCCCAGGCCCCTCCTGGCCAGGGGTCAAGTCCCCTTAATCAGAAATAGAGTTAACTCTGGCCAGGTGCAGTGGCTCATGCCTGTAATCCCAGCACTTTGGGAGTTCAAGTCAGGAGGATCACTTGAGCCCAGGGGTTTGAAACCAGCCTGTGCAACATAGTGAGACCTCATCGCTACCAAAAATATTTAGCCAGGCATGGTGGCACGCACCTATAGTCCCAGTTACTCAGCTGAGGTGGGAGGATTGTTTGTGCCCAGGTCGAGCATGCAGTGAACCATGATTGTGCCAGTGTATTCCAGCTTGGGTGACAGAGTCAGACCGTCTCCAACAACAAAAAGCAATAGAATAAGGGTATTTTCTCCATATGCCCTCCCAACACCCCTGGGACAAGTTATAAAATACCCACTTGATCAGAGATTATTAAGCTGACCTAATTGGCTCTGAGGACTTCCACACTCACTGCAATCTTGGTGATTTTCCTGCAGAGCAACTGTTTGGCTGGCTGCAGCTTAAGTCTACTAGTAACTTGATTCCCTTTCCAAACTGTCAACACGGCGGTATCATCAGGCTCATTAAAATTGATGGCAGCACAATGCAACAGAGCTGGAGAAAACTGGAAGGTCATAGCATAGTGTACAACCACTTTGTGCTTCTGTCTCACCTTTCTCTGGCGATGGGGTAGGTAGTGTAGCCCAGATAGGAATGCCAGGAACAGGACGACTCAACTCTCCTGTATCTGTCCTGGAGTATGTACCAGGAGTCCTGGTGGTGGTGATACAGGAGCGGGTAGGGTGCAGTATCTTACACAAGGTGGTTTGTGCATTTCCACGCTGGCCACTATCATTCTTCAGGTGCTGGACTCCTGAAAGAGGAGTGAACTAAAGGTAAGAGCAGAGGTTGAAAACAGGGCGCCATGGACCGGGCACAGTGGCTCACACCTGTAATTCTGGCACTTTGGGAGGCCAAGGTGGGTGGATCACCTGAGGTCAGGAGAGTTCAAGACCAGCCTGACCAGTATGTTGAAACCTCGTCTCTACTAAAAATACAAAAATTAGCCAGGCGTGGTGGCGGGCGCCTGTAGTCCCAGCTACTCGGGAGGCTGAGACAGGAGAATTGCTTGAACCCAGGAGGCGGAGGTTGCAGTGAGCCAAGATTGTGCCACTACATGTCAGCCTGGGCGACAGCGAAGACTCCCATCTCAAAAAAAAAAAAAAAAGAAAAAAGAAAATAGCTTCAAAAAGATGGCATACCAATGTATCACACATGTAGGTGTGTATGTAGAACACACCTCCACCAACCTCGGAGCAGCTAGTCAGGACCAGTCATCTAGCCCATCATAGCTGCCACCCAGCTCAGACATTTTATAACTAAACTTACTGCAGAAGCTGGAAGCAAACCCTCTCAATGTTCTCCTTCAGATGGGAGACAACTCCAAAAATAGTCTGCTGTGTGACCTCATCACCAAACAGCTTGCTTCTCTGAGGACCATGTCAAAGGCATCTTCACTGGCCACATACAGGTGACATCAATATTTTACTATAATGCACAAAAAGGCTTTGACCTTCAAGGCCCCCTACAAGAGCCCAAATGACTTGTCCAGTATTATCATCTATTCATGTGTTGTCAAATCTACTTGTATCTAACTGTACTCAGCAGTTTCCTACCTTTAACCTCTGCTCACCAAGATACTCCCTTCTCTCTCTATTCCTATTTATAGACGCTATTCACACTTGCATGTGCAGCTGAAGTACTTTCTTTTCTAAGAAGCTTCCCTCCCTCCAGGTTGGGTGCCATCTCTCCAGCCTCTGAGCTACACTAAAACTTACCTAAACCTCTTGCTCCTAGGTCCTAGTAAATATTACTTGTGTTGATGTCTTTTCTTCCTGACTAGTTACTATGAGCACCAAGGGCTGGCTTGTCTTTTTAACCCAATTCCCTTCCCTTTTGCCCAGCCAATAAGCCTGGCATATCCTACAGGCTTGGTAGATACTGGGAAGTTCTGTAAACTTTAAAAAACAACTAAAAACAACAACAACAACAACAAACCGGGAAAAATAATCACTCAAAGTTACTGTGTTTGATATTTGACAAATAAGCAAAACCTTAAGGACACACTTAGGCTACAGAAGAAACCATTTTACAATGTATTGAAGGTTTGCCAAAATGGCCTTATGGTTGGGGAAAATGATGTGTAATACCTGTAAAATCAGAAATCAAATTTTCTTGGATTTTCTTTGCAAAAAAGAAACTCCATTTTAAAGTCTATGGGAGATTTTGATTTTAAAGTACAGTATTTGGGGGCTCCATAGAGACTGTGACTTGTTATAAATTCAAATTAGATTCCAATTTTACATATTGCATTTACATGCATCAAAAACCTCACTCATTCCAGCAGCTATAAGCTAAAATTTACTGAAACAATCCTTAAATCTTCCACTATAAAAAACTGTATTGATAATGCAGTCATACATCTATTTTCGCTAAACGGTTAATCACTGAATACAGACAGAATATCCTCCTTTCTCAAATCCCTTTAAGATCTGTAAGAATAGAGAAAATTTCCATCTTATGGAAAACCTGAGTTGACCTCAGGCAGTGCCTACCCACTGCTTGGTGAGGCTTTTCACATGTCATTCCCCCTTTTCACGCCTGTCTTGGCAACAAACCATACTGTGTTCACCCATCAGTCAAACCCTACATGCTTCAGACTAGTGGAAAGCCCATTTTTCTCTTCAGACCTTCCTGTCAGCAAGGGTCACAGAACATCAGTGCTACAAGTGACTTCAGAAGCCATTTGGTCACACCCCTTCAATTTTCCAGACTGGGTGGTGACCCAGAGTCAACACAAGGTCACACAGAAAATCAGTGGCAGAGCCAGAACTAGAATTCAGATCTCTTGGGATTCTGGTGAAGGCCTTTTGCTTTACACTATCTTCTTTCCCTTAATTCACATAATACTTGAACCTAACATTTTACTGGTTTTCAGGGCCCCAGAGTATTCCATTTTGAACGTTATTTTTTAAAGTATGCTTCATTTACTCCCAGTTATCAATGAGGATTTGATCTAAATGCTCAAAGATCCTACACACTTGTGCAATTCCCCTCAACAACTACTAATATAAAAATGCCAAATAAACCAGTTCTTTGGTGTTTTAACATGAGCTTACAATGAGAGTATAATTTAAAAATGTAAGCATACAACTAGGCTTTACCAAAGAGTAACTGTTTATTTCGCTTAAATTCTTAAAAATACTTTTTTGGCAGTTGTCACATAAAATGTCCTAATGTAAAAAAAATAATAATAATAATTAAAAAGCAAAGCATGAAAAAACAGACCCAAAATGTTAAGATTTTATTTACAAAGCTTTTTTGTTGTACAGAAAGTAAAAATGCTGTTACAATCTCAGTGTAACTGGTAGCCACAGACGGTTGACTCACCAATCACAGCTATCCACGCTACAGCAAGAATCTTACACAAAAACCTAACAACGCTTACAATTTTGTTGGGGTGAAGTCCACAAGCTTGGTGGTAGATTACCAAGAGGGACTACATGGAAGGAAGGCGGAATGTCACAGGAACTATTCTTTGGCTCTTTGGGTGGGTGGGTGTCCTGGGGTTTGTATCACAGCTACCTTTTTTTTTTTTTTAAACAGCTACAAAATCCATGAGCAGTCCAACCAATACTGAACAGTTCTGTTTCTGCAGGTCATCTGGGGTCTTAATCATCTTCTCCTTCATCATCTGTTTCTCTCTTCCTCTTTTCACCTTTCCCACCTTCTTCCTCCTCTGTACAGTAACAAAAATTGACTTTAGGACAGTGGAAAGGCATTTTGCTTAGATTATTGCCAATGGAGGCAACAACAACAAAGTTTTTGACAGTTAGGAGATAAAACAATGTAAACTTGATCAGATTAATATAGGTGACTAATAGCAAGTATAAGTGGTGACCACAGAACCAAGAAAAGCAAAATGCACAGCAGCACCTCAACTCACCCAGGAAAAGTTAATCCAGTTTCCTCGATTTTAAGGTGTTGTCTTCCAAATGTTTCTTTTTACAAATCTAGCAATTATTAAAGTGCTTATTATTAACCTGAGCTGGTCAGGCCCACTGGCTCATGCCTATAATCCCAGCACTTTGGGAGGCCAAGGCAGGCAGATCACCTGAGGTCAGGAGTTCCAGACCACCCTGGCCAACATGGTGAAACTCCGTCTCTACTAAAAATACAAAAATGAGCCAGGCATGGTGGCATGTACCTGTAATCCCAGCTACTCTGGATGATGAGGCATGAGAATTGCTTGAATCCGGAAGGCGGAGGTTGCAGTGAGCTGAGATTGTGCCACTGGACTCCAGCCTGGGTGATAAGAGCGAAACTGTCTCCAAAAAAACAAAACAAAACCCCTCGTGCTATCTAGCACGTCTTCAAGACATGCTTACTTTCAAGTGATCTCAGACAAGCTTAACCTCTTTAAGCCTTTTTCATCTGTAAAATGGGGACAATGGTACTGACTTTAAAAGGTTATTCTGAGAATTAAATAACACACAAAACATAGTATGGAACATCATTAAGACTCAAATTGTAGCAAACTAATATTAACTAAAAAGGAAATTCTTAAGAGTATTATGTAGTCGAGACACAGAGACTTACATATAGACCAATTTTTTCAACTAATAAAATCCATGGTTATTTTAATGAAATTAACTATATGTTAAATCATATTTCATACAGGTTGTTTTTTTTTTTGAGACAGACTCTGGCTCCGTCGCCCAGGCTGGAGTGCAGTGGCTTGATCTCGGCTCACTGCAAGCTCCGCCTCCCGGGTTCATGCCGTTCTCCTGACTCAGCCTCCCGAGTAGCTGGGACTACAGGCGCCTGCCACCACACCCGGCTAATTTTTTTGTATTTTTAGTAGAGACGGGGTTTCACCGTGTTAGCCAGGATGGTCTCGATCTCCTGACCTCATGATCCACCCGCCTCGGCCTCCCAATCATACAGGTTCTTAAAGGCAGTGACCAGGTCCTAACCAGGGTAATATCTAGTGTAAATGTAATTGAGAGCTTGACAAAGTGGATGCTGAGAAAACATCAGCCAACAGCACAGTGAACACCTGATTTTCTGAGACACAACCATGAGACTTTTTATTTGAGACAAGGTCTCCCTCTGTCACTCAGGCTGGAGTGCGGTGGCACTATCATAGCCTCACTGCAACTTCAAGCAGTCCTCCCACCTCAGCTTCCCAAGTAGCTGGGACTATAGGTGTGCACCACCATGTGCAGCTAACTTTTTTTTTTTTTTGAGACAGAGTCTTGCTCTGTTGTCCAGGCTGCAGTGCAGTGGCATGACCTCAGCTCACTGAATCTCTGCCTCCTGGGTTTGAGTGCGTGCCACCACGCCTGACTAATTTTTTAATTTTTAGTAGAGACAGGATTTTACCATGTTGGCCAGGCTGCTCTCGAACTCCTGACCTCAGGTGATCCACCTGCCTCGGCCTCCTAAAGTGCTGAGATAACAGGCGTGAGTCACCACACCCGGTCCCAGCTAACTTTTTAATTTTCTGTACAGACAGGGTCTATGTTGTCCAGGCTGGCATACTTTCAACAGTATTAAATAAGTAACAGCTATTTCATTTGTCTTGGTTGTAGTGGGGAAAGGACTAACACTGACAAAACTGGGAAACTGCTACATCTATTTATATATCCTGAAAATGATGGTTCAATTATTAAAGCCTTTTTTTAAAAAATGAAAGAACTCCAAACACAGAAACTCACACTTGACAGTAAACCAAATGACTGGTCCTAAAAACACATTTAAAACATGGGGAACAGGCTAGGCATGGTGGCTCACACCTGTAATCCGAGTAATTTGGGAGGCCGAGGTGGGTGGATCACTTGAATTCAGCCAGGAATTCAAGACCAGGCTGGCCAACATGGCAAAACCCTGTCTCTACTAAAAATACAAAAATTAGCCAAGTGTGGTGGTGCATGCCTGTAATCCCAGCTACTGAGGAGGCTGAGGCAGAGAATCCCTTGAACCTGGGAGGTGGAGGCTGCAGTGAGCTTAGATTGCACCAGTGAACTCCAGACTGGGCGACAGAGCAAGACTCCATCTCAAGAAAACAACAGGCCGGGTGTGGTGGCTCACGCCTGTAATCCCGGCACTTTGGGAGGCTGAGGCGGGTGGACCACGAGGTCAGGAGATTGAGACCATCCTGGCTAACACGGTGAAACCCCGTCTCTACTAAAAATGCAAACAATTAGCTGGGCGTGGTGGCAGGCGCCTGTAGCCCCAGCTACTCTGGAGGCTGAGGCAGGAGAATGGCTTGAACCTAGGAGGCGGAACTTGCAGTGAGCCGAGATCGTGCCACTGCACTCCAGCCTGGGCAACAGAGCGAGATTCCGTCTCAAAACACCACCACCACCACCACCACCCCGAAAAAAACCCCATGAGGACTGAAGACCAACAGGACCCTTGCCATGAGACAGGAATAACTGCTGTAGCAGCAGGGAGCCTGCACCAGCACAGACACACTGATGGGACGATAGAAACGAGAATGTGAATGTGTAAACCACCAGAGCCAAGAGTATTTTATTTTCTTCTCAGTGGTATCATATTCTAAATAATGGATGTTTTTCTCTAATTTTTAACTGAGAATGATCAAAATGCATGCATTAGGCCCACCTTCATCCTCATCCTCATCTTCATCTTCTTCATCAAGTCCAAATTCTTCTTCCTAAAGAATAGCAAACAGCATAACATTAAATTAATTCTGCCAAATTGAAAAGTGCATATAGTACAAATTCTGCCAAACTAAGAAGTACAAATAAATGCAACAATATCAATCAAGCAGGAAACTGTAATGTTATTTTTATCTACTTTGATGTACCAAGACCCACTGATTTTCCTTAACGAGCTTTATAATTTTTCTAAGAAAAATTTTTTTTAGAAGCAAGCAGTTCATTTGCTAGATGTTTAATTAGTATATAACTCTGGATAATTCAAGAAAACATCTTAAAATCTCAAATTTCAAAACAGATTTAGACAAAAATTTCTATATCCCATTCATATACAAAGCTTCTTTCAGAACTTTAATGTCAATCATACACCTAATGACATCACACAAACCCCAAGCCTTATTTTTATACTACAAAAGAGGATGCGTTTTGTTAACAACTAATGTTGTCTGCCTGTTTCCCAAACCTCTTTGAGGGTCAAAGTCAAGACACTGTTTTCTCCTGCCCTCGTATAGCATTTATTTCCTCAGGGATCCTCTATTATTGGGTATTTCATAAACCAGACTGTGCTCTTTCAGGGCAGGACCACAATCTCATTTCATTTTGTACTCCCAACTCTTTAACATAGCAGATATATATTTACTGAATTACACTGAATATACAAGAAAAAGTTTAGACTTGGTAAACATAAACTTCCCTACAATTCAATGAAGGAACAGACATACCATCAATTCTCAACATGTCCAGTTTTCTCACCACACTGAATACTCAATTCATTCCTTCCCCCAGAGGGCCAGAACTTACCTTGCACAGCCAGGAACCGTACTAGTTTGAGTTCAGTAGGCATTCTATTTAGTAGTTATTTAAAGCCAGACAAACACTAAATTAACCAGATTCATATTGTAAATGTATTCACAGGTATACTAATTTCTTCAAAAGGTGTTTTTTCTTTTCTTTTGTCATCTTTTTGAAACCCCCACTTTTGTTGTAATTACAAATAGGAAGCAGGGTAGAAAACAGCTGCACTGACCTCCTCACTGACTTCATCGTCGTCCTCATCCCCTTCTACATCTTCATCTTCATCATCTTCTTCATCAAACTCCTCTTCTTCACCATCCTCATCGTCCTCGTCTTCCTCATCTTCTCCTTCTAAAAATAGTCCAAAAGGGATTCATTAAATATCCTCGACGCTCCACAGGGGACAAAGTGTTGAGGATCTGTGGGCTGGCTCACAGAACAAATGCTGTAAGGCCACGAACTGCAGTCACTTTCTTTCTACTATGTGCTACAGCTCAGTCCCTTTGTCCGATAGAGTCCCATAAAATCAGAGAGCTAGAAGTCCTGGTAGATAAGACAAACACTATAATTCTCGCTGATGAAATGATACAATGGCTAAGATTTGCTTCAAAATTATATGGAGTGGGGAAGAAGGTAAGGGTATGCAGGAATAAAATAAGATCAGCTATGACCAATAATTGCTGAAGCTGAGTGATAAGAACATGGGGGTTCATTTTGCTATTATTTTTACCCTTTGTCACTGTCTGAAATTTTTGACAGTAAAAAGTTAAAAAAAAAAAAATCATGTACCTTCTCTTGGGTATCATTACCAGAGTCACAGTCAGCTGCTCAAATCAGGAACCTGAGAAACACCCATAATAACCCTGTGACTCAGGGGACAGGAGGCTGAGAGGCACCTGCATCTCTAGCTGGTTGTTCGGACCTCTAGTGCGGCAGTTCTTGCTTCTCCTGGGTCCTAGAGCACACCATGCTCTCACCTGCCTCCTGGTCTCTGCATGCTCTTTCCATCCTCTTTGCTTGGCTAACTCTGACTCCACCTTGGAGTCTCAGTCAACATCACTTCCTTAGGCAGTCTTACTCACCAGACCTCCCAATGCCAGGTCATAGGCTCTCACCATGAGTATGTGGTGCTTCTCCATTACAACACACTTTGCTTACTTGCAATTATTATTTAGAATTCTTAATTTAAAACAATTTTTTCTGTACAGATAGGGTTTGTCTATGTTGCCCAGGCTGGTCTTGAACTCCTGGATTCCAGCAATCATCCTGCCTCACCCTCCCCAAGTGTTGGGATTACAAGTGTGAGCCACCATACCTAGCCTATTTATGATTTAAAAAAAAAAAACAAAAAAAAAAAAACACCATTTCTCTGTAAGGTCCAAGAGGGTAGGAACCTTGTTTTTTTGTTCCTTTTTTTTTTAAACCACTATTTTCCGCAGTGCCTGGCACATAGGAAATGCTCAAGTATTTGTTGGCTGACCCATCTTTGCTCTCAGGAACTGCCCCCCACCTTCCAAGGAATGTCCTTTACTGGCTCTTGCACATGTGGCTGTTCTTCCTGTTTGAGGTGAACTTAAATAGACAACAAGCACAAATGGTTTTTAGGAAAAATGGAAAAACTGTAGAAGGGACAAAGGGACATAACATTTGGAAATAAGTGAGATGTCCTATTCTCTGTCCATTTTACCACCTTATAACTCATTAATTTTTGCCTGTCTCAATATGCTTCAAAATAAAACTGTAAAAATGCTTCCAGAGAATTATACCATTAACTGCACCCAAACTCCTTGATGCTTTTCCTCCTCTATTTTCTTGATAATTTCTGTCATATGTGCTAATTTTTAAAGAAAAGAAATACTCATGCTGACTGATGTGAAAACTAATCATTCTGCTTCCTCCAAACCAGGGGTTCCCAACTCCCAGGACTGGTACTGGTCTGTGGCCTGGGCCGCACAGCAGGTGGTGAAGAGCAGGCCAGTGACCATTACCACGTGAACTCCGCCTCCTGTCACATCACCTGTTAGATCCTCATAGGAGTGCAAATTCTATTGTGAACTGCGCATGTGAGGGATCTGGACTGTGCATTCCTTATGAGAATCTAATGCCTGATCTAAGGTGGAACCGTTTCATCCCAAAACCATTCAGCTGCCGCCCCCAACCCCTTCCCTGCATCTGTGGAAAAACTGTCTTCCATGAAACCAGTCCCTGGTGCCAAAAAGGTTGGAGACTGCTGCTCTAAGCCACCTGTACGTGAGAAGCGTTTTATTCTAAGAGTGACTGAGAATAAACAAACTCAGCATGCAAAGAAAACACAAACTAATCAGGAGGAATATCTTGGGTAGAAAGTATTAGTTATTTCTTAAAATCTGTAAATCTGTAAAATATGTATAAATCCTGGGTCAAATGCCAAAACTACTGAAAATCATCTTTTAATTCTATGTTATGATCAGAGATTATTTCCCTTATGAATGAAAAACGGAATCTAACATATAGTTATTTGAAATCATTACCTTTTAAAACTCTGGTCATATGTCAATGGAAGGGAAAGCTATTTTATTTATAGCTGGCAATAACAAACAGGTACCAAGTACCTACTCAGTGTCAGGCCCTGTGAATCAGGAGATAAGTATCTACCCAAGATGATGACTGTAGTGCAGTAGGACAGCGGTCCTCAACCTTTTTGGCACCAGGGACCAGTTTTGTGGAAGACAATGTTTCCACAGCCTGGGGGTGGGGGGATGGTTTCAGGATGATTCAAACGCATTATGTTTATTCTGCACTTTATTTCTATTATTACATTGTAATATATAATGATATAATTATACAACTCATCATAATGTGGAATCAATGGGAACCCTGAGCTTGTTTTCCCTGCAACTAGACAGTCCCATCTGGGGGCAATGAGAGACAGTGACATTCGAAGTGTGTGCTGCTTATGTCCAGTATACTCCATAATCTTGTTTTGGTTGCTGTCACTGCAGAAAACTTTGCTTCACAAAGATAGGATATTGGAAATGGAAGCAGGTTTTTCAGTGCTTTTTTGGCAATCTCAGGATATTCCACCTCGACTTTAATCCAGAATATATGGAGATTTTGAAGTTGTCTCAAACCATACTTTTAAGGCCACTGCCATTTGTGATCTCAACCAGTTGATCCTCTTCAAGCATGAACAAAGTCGATTGACCTGGCTTATTCATAAATGGGTTGTGGATCCATTCCTTCCCAGTTCGGGGGTCTTTTGTGGTTGGGAAGTAATGCTCAAACTCTTTTGAGAGCTGAGATAGGTGATCATGCACCAGCTGTGAGAAAGAAGGCCCTGGCTCACTCTCTTTCAAAAATCACTCCTACTGTTTGAAACATGTCAAAAATCCCAATGCTCAGAACAGAAAACTAAGTATCGTATGTTCTCACTTGTAAGTGGGGGCTGAATGATGAGTATACATGGACACATGGAGGGGAACAACACACACTGGGGCCTGTGGAGGCTGGGGACGGAGAGCATCAGGAAAACTAGCTAATGGACAGTGGGCTTAATACTTAGGTGATGGGATGGTACACGTTTATCTCTGCGACAAACGTGCACATGTACCCCTGAACTTAAAAAAAAAAGTTTTACCACTCATTCTGTGTTACTAAAATGTTCTGCTAGTGGTGACTGTTATTCTTAGAGAAATCTCTGGAGCAGGCCTCTTAACTCAAAAACTCTGGCCAGTGATCCACCTTTAGAACGCCATCTCGCTTCTCTGTGTAAGAGAAGTATTCTCTGCATCCATCTCACAGAACTGCGTGAACAGACATGGGTTAAGGGCATGTACTTTAATGTGGTTAATTTTAATCACATCCTGCAAAACGTTAAGTTCAGGTGACATTTGTCAGCTAGCCAGCATTTCTCTATGGATGACACAGTGCATAGACTCACATCCAGAAGCGACCTCTCTGACTCGAGTAGTGAAACCAGAAAGCCGTCCAGCCATGGCAGCCGCTCCATCTGTGCATATACGACACAAAATGACCAATTCAGTTTTCCTGATATGTAATCGTTCAAAAGACTTGAATAGTTCTGCAGCTGTGGTGCTGGTTGGCAACGAAGTACACATAACATAGTCTCATGCACATCCTCCTGAAAATATATTGCACAAAAACAAGCATTGTTGCCATGTTGTCAACATCGGCAGACTTGTCAACCTGCAATGTGTACCACGGTGACTCATCAATCCTCTCTAACAACTATGCCTCAATATCCTCTACTATGTCATCAATTCATCTAGTTATGGTGCTAGCTCAAAGAGGAACATGTGCCACCTTTTGAACTGCAGCTTAACTGCAGCCTCTCCTAAAAGTTCATGACAAATGTCCTTAGCAGCAGGCAGGATCAACTCTTCAATAGTAAAGGGCTTCTTACTTTAGCAATGCAGTTAGTTAAGGGCTTCTTAGCTTTAGCAATGCAGTTAGCCACTAAGAATGAGATGTTCTCAGTGCAGTCACATTTGATGAAGTGGGAGCTTTCAATAATTGCCTCTGTTTTTCACGTTCATGTTTATTTCTTTTGAAAAACTCCAAAGGCTTGTCTTTTAAACGCAGGGTGCTTGGTCTCCAAGTGGTGAAGCAGTTTTTTTTTTGTTTGTTTGTTTTTTGAGATGGAGTCTTGCTCTATCGCCCAGGCTAAAGCACAGCGGCACAATCTCGGCTCACTGCAACCTCCGCCTCCCAGGTTCAAGCAATTCTCATGCCTCAGCCTCCCGAGAAGCTGGGACTAAAGGTGTGCACCACCATGCCTGGTTAATTTTTGTATTTTTGCAGAGCCAGGGTTTCCCCATGTTGGCCAGGCTGGTCTTGAACTCCTGACCTCAGGTGATCTACCTCGGCCTCTGTAAGTGCTGGGATTACAGGCATGAGCCACTGTGCCCAGCCAGTGAAGTGGTTTTGAAGGTTTCATGGCTTTGTTGGATAGCTTGTTGCCACATATTATACAAAGTGGGCTTGGAGAATGTGAATCATCTGTTGCAATGAACCTGTAATTTAAGTAGCACTCTTGGTATTTTCTTTTCAATGAAGCTTTCTTTTCATTGGCAGTCTTGTCTTCTGCTGTCTCATTATTGGGTCTTTCCCCCTTCTCAAAGAAGCTCTCCAGCGACGTTTTTTACTCATGTTGGATAGTTAGCTTGTGGGCCTAACAAAACTGTGACTGAGACAAATACGCAGTGCGGGAAAGAGGTGTGGATGGAAGTGGTAAATAAAAAAATGGGCAGGCCATGCACTGACTAAAAAAAGCATCAGATTCTGACTTAAAGCCTGTCACCAGATACAGCTGTACAACTGAAGTACACCAACTCACTTGCCACTATAAAGCCTGCCACCAGATGCAGCTTGTCACTTGCCACTCACAGATAGGGGTTGATGAGTCTGCAAGCAATTGATTTATTATCATCTCTGTAAAGTCAAACCTCTTTGCTAATGTTAATCTGTATTTGCAGCCACTCCCCAGTGCTAGCATCACCACCTCAGCTCTAGCATCACCACCTCAGCTCCACCTCGGATCATCAGGCATTAGATTCTTCTAAGGAGCACACAACCTAGCCCCCTCACATGTGCAGTTCACAATAGGATTCTCGTTCCTATGAGAATCTAATACCACCATTGATCTGACAGGAGGTGGAGCCCAGACAGTAATGTGAGCAATGGGGAGTGGCTGTAAATACAGATGAGGCTTCCTCACTGCTCATGCGGCCTGGTTTCTAACAGGTCATGGAGTAGTACCAGTCTGTGGCCTGTGGGTTGAAGACCCCTGAAGTAGGAAGACTTAAGAACAGCAGAGTGGCAAGCCTGTAAGAGCAAGCGGTTTACAGTTTAAACGCACAGCATCCTAACTTAGCTTGTAGACTTCAGGAAATGCTTCCCGGGCCAGGTTCAGTGTCTCATCCCTGTAATCCCACCACTTGGGGAGGCTGAGGTGGGAGGATCCCTTGAGGCCAGGTGCTTATGAAATAGGCCTTAGCTATAAATTTAATGGAATGCCTACATTCAAAAAATACACGCGTGCGCACGCACACAAACACACACTATTTTCCTCAATAGTAAGAACATCTAGTAGCTTTTTTTTTTGAGACACCCTGTCTGTCTTCTGAGACGGAGTGCAGTGGGGAACAATCATGGCTCACTGTAGCCTCAAACTCCTAGGTTCAAGTGATCCTCCCACCTCGGCCTCCAGTCTTCTGAGTAGCTAAGACTCCAGGTGTGCGCCACCACACCTGGCTAATTTTTTTTTTTTCTATTTTCTGTAGAAACAAGGTATTGCCATGTTGCCCAGGCTAGTCTCAAACTCCTGGGCTCAAGCAATGCCCCCTGCCTCGGCCACCCAAAGTGCTGGGATTACGGTTGTGTGCCACTGCGCCCGGCCAACATCCAATAGCTTTTATCAGAGGCTTTGAAAGGCAGACATCAGGTTCACCAGATGCTGAGCCTACTCACCTTCGTCCTCCTCCTCTTCATCCACACCATCCACCTCGGCATCTGAGTCAGGTGCTTCCTGGTCCTCTCGGTCATAGCCATCCAAGTAGGTAAGCTGGGGCAGGAGCTTGAAGACACTCTCTCGGTAGTCATTCAGGTTGGTAACCTCACAGTTAAAGAGGTCCAGGCTTTTCAGACATTCTAACTTTTTCTGAAGAAAAGGATCAAAAACCACAACTCCTAAACCAAAGGAATATAAGTAACAAATCCATCTCTTGAAGAGGTAAAATTCTAGGCTCTATATTCAATTTCCACTACCCACTCAGCCTCATATATAGAAAAATACATCAAGTCTTTTGCAACCTTTATATTAGGTTACTAGACTTTAGTCCCTCTCTTCCTTTATCTACTCTCCCAGAGAACTATGTGTTTTTCTGGCAGCATAGTAGTCTAAAGAAATATAAATTGAAAATAATTTTTATTAAATCCAGGTATTTTCACAGTATGAGACAATCAAACAGTTTAATAAATTTAGCTGAAACAAATGTTAACATTTGAGTAATCAAATGGCCATTAAGAACTTCCTGGGTATCAAGCGGTCTTTAATGTTCTAGGGTGGCAGTATAGGGAAAAATTCAGAGATTTATAACACAATCTTAGGGTGCTTACAATTTTAGTTAGGGCACAGACATGAAACACTAGAGGATGAAATATAATAAAATATAAAGTGTGGCAATGCAGCTACTTTCAGGGAAGACAGGAGTCAATATGGGCTGAGGAAAAAGCAGAGGGGCGCAGAGTTGAAACTTCGGAAATACGGAGAAACATTGCACTCTTCTTTTTTAGTATTTGGGGAAAAGACTGACATGTTACCAGACTTTTATGATGTAAAGTTCTTCTGATTTTATTTACCATACCTTGAAATTTTGTTGCAATACCTCATTTCTTTGGAACCATCAGTTTCATCTATCTAAAAACAGTTAAGCTATAAAAAGTTGGCCCAAGTCAAGTTTTCTGAGTAGTCAAAGTGCACTGGAAAATGTCTATGTATTTACTCAGATCTTCATTTGTTATTATATCAGTGTACTAGTATTTCAATCCCAGGTCTATTAAGTTTTGATTAAGGGTAAATTAAGAGATTGAGAGGGCAGAGGTACTACACTATAGGCAAGTCAGGAGACAGCAACAGGAAGTGACAGCAGACCCTTGTAGATAGAAGAGGGAGCAGCCTATGAAAGGCAAATCCAATGTGAAGTAGCACATAGCCTGGTGCCTTTCAGAATAGGGGCAATAACTACATATATCTGGATAGCTTCATAAACACAACCTTTAATGGTTCTGAATCAAGAGAAAAACTTCGGTATTCTCTAAGAAGATAGTACTAAAAACACCCAAACAAACTTTAAGAGGACCTCCACATAAAATAATTTCTAAAAAAATAAATGTTGATGCTTAACAGGTTTTGCTGCTTTATTAGGAAAGCTGTTACAACACTCACAAGGACCTGAGAAGAAATGCAGACAAAACAAAACCTTATTTTCAGAACTCAAGGTATCTATGTAGTTCTGAGGAGATATAAAATGGTGTGAAAATCTGCCTCAAGGCTCTAGAGCAGGGGTTGGGAACCGGTGGTCCAGTGGCCAATTCTGGCCCACCACTTGTTTTTGTAAAATAAGCTCCATTGGAACACAGTCACACTCATTTATTTATGTATGGCTCCTTATGTACTAAAATGGCCAAGCAGACTAGTTGTGACAGAGACTATATAAACAGGCTACAAAGCCAAATGAACCTACTATTTGGCCCTTAGAGAAAAGGGCTACTGACCCCTGCACATGAAGAACTTCATCTTCTTGATGAAGAAAGAGGCTCCCACACTTGTTTTATTCATGCAGGGAACACACAGCAGGGTTACAGCAACAGGAAAACGTTGCACCCCTCAAAACACAAATTGTACAATGATCCAAGAGTCTGTGGATCAAACAATGTGCTTATATAGTCAGTTCCTTGACGTTTTAAGAAAGCTGTCCCCAGCCCTTCTGGTCATAGAGCTGCTTTTGTATCATGTAATTTTCAGATTAGCTTCCCTTCCAGTCAGGCCCTGACTTCCAGAAGCCCAGGTATGACTTCTTGCCAAAGAGGAAAAAAATGCTGCAATGCCACCCCAGATGGCTAGCTAGCATACTGGCTTTCTCTTCACAAAGGCTGACTCGATGCCAGCTAGAGTCAGCTTTAGGCAGCTTTTCCAAAAAGGTTCACTCTAAAAATTCTCCACTTAAAGGAATGAGCCATTTATATTTCAGAATTATTTCCTAGAAATAGGTGCACAAAAACACATACAACCTCTGATATTTATCTAATGCTTTTTAATACCAAAAGCCCTTTCTCTATCTAGTTTCATTGACTCTTCCAGTACACAGGGCCTCCAAGGCTCTCCTGTTTCTGAAACTGTACAATTATGTGAGATTTTTGGCTACTTCCTGGCAAAGCACCCCTTCTCAAACAATTTGGACATGCCAATCAGTAGTTTGAAAAATGAAATGAAAGCAAGAAAACAACAAAAATCCCAAATAACTGTAGTACTCTGGAACTGCTGAAAGTAGTAAAATTGTGCTTTAAGGCCCAATAGGCACAAAATACACTACACACAGATTATTCAGGATCCCAATGTAATGTGTAAATACTGATTAAAAAAAATTACAACTCTACCATACCAGAAATTTGATGTAAGCTAATAGGCTAGCCATAATAAACATTAAACATTTTATTAACAATAATTTTGCTTGCCTTCTTAGAATTTAGAAGGGCTTTGGGGGATGGTTTGGATGGCCCAGGTCTCTTAAAAAAGGTGTCCAAGGAAGTTTGAATTGATGCCTTCTTTGTCTCTCGATTAATGTCCCTGTAGCAAGCAGAGGCATTCACAATCATTGCATTGACTATAAGAACTGGGCTCAAAGTAGACGGTGTTCAAAATGTATGTGGTTAATGAGGATGAGGATGGTGTTTTTCCCCACTGAAGAATACTGCCAGAAGTCAAAATGGACCCAACTCTTCCCCCCTTCACCTTCTCCTACAGATTTACTTAATTCCAAGTTAGAACTTCAGGAGACCAACCTAGCACCGCCAGGAATCTGAGTGCCAAGTATAGCAGAATGGCGGGACCCCAGGCTTTTCGAAATAGCTCTGGTGTGTAGCCCTGTGGCTCTGCCACAGGGTGTGTGACTCTGGACAAGGGATTCAGCCTCACCCAAGCCTTAGCTTCCTCAATATAAAACAAGGGCCATGCTATTTCTATCCACTTTGTATCGAAGGTTTTTTTTTTTACAATTACTAATAAAACATGCATAAAGCACCCAGTAAATGTATGGGTATAGCAGATCCTCTAAAAATGGTGAACACAACGAAGATTACTTTTTATCCTTCACTATCCTGGGGGACTGAGACTTTCACAGCCACCAGAGGGTCCTCTCATACATTACTGACCAGATCAGGAAAAAACTCAAGCAAACAACTCCCACACAGTATTTGCTTCTGCTCCATTGCTGTGTGCTACAACACTGAAAAAGGCTTCTGATAATCAGAGGATTCAGGCTGCCACGAGAACTAGGTAATGGCCAGTCATCAACTGGCCAACAGTGAAAAGGTACTGCCTGCTACTCTGTTCTTTAAAAATTAAAAGAGAAGGCCAGGCATGGTGGCTCACGCCTGTAATCCCAGCGCTTTGGGAGGCTGAGGCAGGCGGATCACGAGCTCAGGAGATCGAGACCATCCTGGCAAACACAGTGAAACCCCATCTCTACTAAAAATACAAAAAACTTAGCCAGGCATGGTGGCAGGTGCCTGTAGTCCCAGCTACTTGGGAGGCTGAGGCAGGAGAATGGCGTGAACCCAGAAGGCGGAGCTTGCAATGAGCCGAGATGGCGCCACTGCACTCCAGCCTGGGTGACAGAGCGAGACTCCGTCTAAAAAAAAAAAAAAAAAATTAAACCAGAAAAAAAAAGGGGGGTGGCGGGGAGAAGGGTTTCTTATGCTCACAACCTAGGATTAGTATGTCTGTCACTAACCAATAAACAAAGGCTTAGTGTAGCCCATGTGAACGGGAAAGCATCAGCAGTTAAAATTTGGTGCTCCTGTTGGAATTCCCAGCTTAAGGAAATTTGGGCATGAAATAAATTTACAGGTGGAAAGAGAAGAAGAGGTCCCAAGGGCTATGGAAAACACAGCAGACTTCGAATTTTTTTTTTTTTTTTTTTGAGATGGAGTCTTGTTCTGTCACCCAGGCTGGAGTGCAGAGGCATGATCTCAGCTCACTGCAACCTTCGCCTCCTGGGTTCAAGTGATTCTCCTGCCTCAGCCTCCCAAGTAGCTGGAATTATAGGCGCCTGCCACCACGCCTGGGTACTTTTTTGTATTTTTAGTAGAGATGGGGTTTCACGTTGGCCAGGCTGGTCTCAAACTCCTGACCTCAAGTGATCTGCCCGCCTCGGCCTCCCAAAGTGCTGGGATTACAGGCGTGAACCACCGTGCCCAGCCTAGACTTAGATTTGAATCCCTACTCTGCCATTTCTCCTGAGCAATTATCTACATTCTCTAAACTCAGCTTCCTCATCTCTAAAAAGAGGACAGTCATTCTCTCTTCTCTGGGTTACTTAAGGATACAATGGGCAAATGTTCATGTCCTTGGATGCAGCAAAAGTCAGTAAATGTCGGCTTAAATACTGGAAATGGGGGTTGGTTTGAAGGAAACGAATAAAACTAGTAAGAGCCCGAGTATCTGGGTATACCTGTAATAGGAAAAAGGGCAAAATGCATGGAGCACTGGTGAGGCATCACATTTATGAGAAATAAGCTCTTAAATATGGACAACTTAAAGAAATGTAAAAATAAAGAGACTCAGCCGGACATGGTGGCTCAGGCCTGTAGTCCCAAACACTTTGGGAGGTCGAGATGGAAGGATCACTTGAGGGCAGGAGTTCAAGACCAGCCTGGCCTAACATAGTGAGACCTCTCTAAAAGAATACATATACACATGCACAAAGAGATTCAGTAAAAGGTAATTAAATCTGTATTGCAGCAGTCTCAATAATTGTTTAGGAAGGAAAAGATCTTCTAACTCTTGACAGGAAGTCCTCTTCATTAAAAGAAGCTACAATTTAACTGTCTTCCCCTCAAGTATCAACAGAGCATTCTATACAAGTGATGTGAAATCCACTTATTTTAATATACTCTGACATCAGAATAGAGACAACAGAGAAGAAATGTCTTACCCTCTAGTGTCTGTTCTGGATTCTCAAAGACACCTCCTATATGCTAAATAACCCTCTTCCAAATAGCACAGCCTGTGGGGCTGCCCTACAAACTGCATTAAGCCCCCTGCCTCCAGTCCTGCCTCTGGAAGCCCTTTTCTGGCCACTACAACTTACACAAACTGGACAAAAAGCAAAATAAGTACATTAACTTACAAAGCAAAGTAAGTACATTATCTTATTCTCAGAACTCCTAAGTGAGGTAAGTAAGGCAGGGATTATTATCCTCCCTGCTATAAGTGAGGAAACTGAGGCCCAGAGAGAAGAAGCAGTTTGCCCAAGGTCACACATCAAGTCTACAACCCAAGTGGCACTGAAACTCAGCTTTTCATATCTTATCCCAATATGTAAGACTGAGGAGGATCTTGGCGTTTCCATGCAAAACTCTAGGCAACTGTAATCCAGCTAGAACACAAGATCATGAATTACACGACCCAAAGCTTAAAATAGAGCTGTCTTTGTTCCATCTACAATTCAGGTATGCCACACAACATAAATAGCCTTTTCTGTTAAAGTGTAAAAGTACATAATGGCTTGGCCAGTCTGAAGAAAAAAATTGTTAAGAACATGTTTAAGGCTATATAGTCAATACATGAATTTCAAAAGTGGATCCAAAACAAAATACCCCCAAAAATTCTCTTCTGAAGGATGCCACCACAATATCAGGCAGGGAGAGAGCAAAGCCACAGAAATACATCTAATTAGAGAGGCCCTGATCTTTAAAATTGGGACTTACATAAAAAGTAAAAAGCCACCACTTTCGGCCGGGCGCGGTGGCTCACGCCTGTAATCCCAGCACTTTGGGAGGCCGAGGCGGGCGGATCACGAGGTCAGGAGATCGAGACCATCCTGGCTAACAAGGTGAAACCCCGTCTCTACTAAAAATACAAAAAATTAGCCGGGCGTAGTGGCGGGCGCCTGTAGTCCCAGCTACTTGGGAGGCTGAGGCAGGAGAATGGCGTGAACCCGGGAGGCGGAGCTTGCAGTGAGCCGAGATCCCGCCACTGCACTCCAGCCTGGGCGACAGAGCGAGACTCCGTCTCAAAAAAAAAAAAAAAAAAAAAAAAAAAAAAAAAAAAAGCCACCACTTTCTCAACCAATTATTATTGCCAGTAATTTCCCCCACTATAAAGAAATATGAAAATGAAAATGACCAGTAAGTTCCAGTTTCCAAATTCTCAGTTACTTACCAAAGGTTCCAAGGTGCTGATATCTTTCAGTTTATTTCCACTTAAGTTTAGATGTGTGAGATTTGGAAGTTTTTCAGCTAACATGTCCAGACCTCCAAAGATTCTATTTTCACTGAGTTCAAGCTGCAAGAGAAAATGGACACAACACAAACACAAATACACACAGAGAAACAGAAATCATTTAAGGTATTGTAAGTAACAAATACAGTTCTCAAAGATTTATCAAGATCAAATGATCCCTATTTCTATTAGGGCATGCATGTTCATTTTGTTTAAATCCAAATAATTAACAGGAGAAGGTAAGGTCAGAAGTATTGTGTTTTCCTAATCAGCTGCTAATAACAGCTTACTCAAGAACTGGTCTCTAACATCAGCAAATAAATTTTCTAACTTAAAAAGTGGGTCAAAACCAATTAGAATCCTTTGACAAGTTGTAATACCCTATACCTGCCAGAAAGGGTAAATGGTTTAATAGTCTGTGCATTCTGAGCAGCATATTTTGTGTGCCTTCAAAGCTTGCAATGCCCACTTGAAACCTAATTTCTGGACAATACTGACATACACTGTAGAGTTCTACACCTGGAAGCCACCAGGGAATGTTGCTCTGAAAGCTACAAGAGAGGAACGGGCCCTACAAGTAAGCCCATAAAGAAGCTTCATAACCTCAGGAAAGGGAGTAGGTCAACAGCCTCAGGTTTATGAAACCAGCTCCCTGGAGGCCACATCTTGCATAAACCTGGCACTAGCCTTTATTAGAACCTACTCTAATTTCTAAGCTGCAGGTCAAGTAGCACAGGCAAGTAATGTGCCAATGAGGGAATGAGCCTTCACCAAGGAATATTAGAATCTTAGAGTAGAAGGAATTGGAGCCTGGAAAGCATTGTGAAGAACATCTAATTCAAGCTCTTCCTTTTGCAAACAAGAAAACTCAGCTACACAGCTGGTTCTGATTCTCTATTTTAAAGTGCCAACAACAATAGTAACTTTAACCCTTACATAGTATTTAAATGCCAGGCACTGCTCAAAGCACTAGAAATACCTTAACTCATCTGATCTCACAAGAACTCTATGGGGTAGGCAGAATTACCACTCCTGTTTACAGATGAGGAAAATAAACTTGCCCAACATCGCCCAGCTGTTACTGTAGTGGGCCTATGATTTGAAGCCAGGCAGGCTGGCTTCATAAATATCCATGTCCTCATTATTATGCTACGTACCTAGAATAGCATGAAAGCTTCATGTAATGAAGTTTTTGCCATGCAATGAAATGTACTATATGATGCAGAGTAGAGTAACTTTTAAAAATGTAAATATCTGCTGAAAAACAGTTAAAAAAACAGGTCAGCTGCTTAAGGTGTTATTAAATATTTCAGAAGAAGAAAATGTAACATTTCAAAACATTTTTTCCTTTCAATGGGATATTTCAGTGAAATAGTCATGGTCTAGGTTTAAAAACATAAGCCCATAATCAATAGAGTCAAGTGTTAGCTTTATTGGTGATTTTAGTAAATCAAAATAAAAACAGAGATAACTTTTCTTAACCCATGTTTTAGACCCTGTGGTTAGAATATCACATACACATGTAACATCCACATCCTTTCAACATGTGTATCTTAGGGAGTAGGAATAACAAGGCAATCTACCAAAACAAGGCAGTCTACCAAAACATTTATTAGCATATTTATTTTGAAATGAAATAGATGTGTAAATTTAGAAAATTTGTGACATTTACACATCAATTTTTTTTCAGTACTTATTTCTTGTTAAAAACAATTTGTGGGCCGGGCACGGTGGCTCACACCTGTAATCCCAGTACTTTGAGAGGCCGAGGTGGGCTGATCACCTGAGGTCAGGAGTTCGAAACCAGCCTGACCAATATGGTGAAACCCCCATCTCTACAAAAAAAAAAATACAAAAAGTAGCCAGGCGTGGTGGTGCATGTCTGTAATCCCAGCTACTCAGGAGGCTGTGGCAGGAGAATCGCTTGAACCTGGGAGGCGGAGGTTGCAGTGAGCCGAGATGGCACCACTGCACTCCAACCTGGGCAACAAGAGTTAAACTCCATCTCAAAAACAAAACAAAACAAAACCAATTTGTGTTCTGGAATAGGAAGAAAATAAAGTTCTTATCAATCATGAGTACACTCAACCTGCCTTTAAGTATGATTCCCTCTCATTAGCCCTATAAGGGAAGTGATTAATGTTTTAAATGTTAAAAGTTTTTAATTTGTGTACTTAACGTGCCCTCCCACCCAAAACCAACAAAAACAAAAACCCTGTCCTTCTCAGAACTCAAACAAGCTCTATTCAGAATTCTGAAAGGTTTATTAAAGTCCCTATAAAAACGGTCACTGATAGGCTGAATTTCTGAATAAGTCTGAGAGTACAGAGACCAACAGTAATTTGGGAAAATAAATCAGAATGCTAGGAAAACAACACAAAACACACACTAAGGATCTGCTAGCATCAAGTTTATGTAAATAGATGCTAAAAAGCTATACTATGTTTAACTGGGCTAATCAGAGCTTCCAATGTCACTGATAACCCATGCAAATATAAAAGAATTATACTTGAACCTCTAGTATACTTAGAAGGGGAAATTTCTTTCTCATCAGAAACGGTCACCTGAAACTCACGAAGACTGCTTGAGCATTTAATATTACCTAAACAAGGCAAATAAAGAAAGCAAAACAAAAAATACTTCCAGTTTTTAATTCATGTATTATACTTTTTTTTTTTTTTTTTTTTTAAATCGAGACAGAGTCTTGCTCTGTCGCCCAGGCTGGAATGCAGCGGTGTGATTTTGGCTCACTACAACCTCAGCCACCGCCTGGGTTCAAGCAATTCTTGTGCCTCAGCCTCCGGACTAGCTGGGACTACAGGTGCGTGCCACCGTGCCCAGCTGATTTTTTTGTATTTTTAGTAGAGATGGGGTTTTGCCATGTTGGCCAGGCTGGTCTCGAACTCCTGACCTCACGTGATCCTCCCACCTTGGCCTCCCAAAGTGTTGGGATTACAGACGTGAGCCACCATGACTGGCCTCATGTATTATACTTAACCCACTCCACCTGCTGTAAAACCACAAACAAACAAACAAACCCCAATACCAAAAAACTAACTGTCCCACTCAGAACTCAAGCAAGCTCTAGGCACAACCTACCTTTGCCCAAGTTTGATTAGTTTCCTTCTACGTGTGCCTTAGTTTAAATAAAGGTACAACTTAACTTTCCTAGTAAAGCGAATATTGAAATGGCAGAGAATTCTGCAAGACTTATATAACCACATATCTTTTCCTATATAATGGGAAGGGTATGGGGTTAGGAGATACGGGTTCTAGTTTTGGCTCTAGTACTAACCACTTCTGTGGGTGGCTTTAGGCAAATTACTACACTTTCCTGGGACTATTGCTGTGCCTATAAAATAAGGGGTTGGGTTAGAGGAGCAAAGTTTCTTCCAGTTCTGACATTCTGGGACTCTGTGACAGTTAAATGTGCAGTGACAAGAGAAAACATTTTTATGTTGCATTTGGTCCCTTTTTCCGAAAGGATAGAGAATTGTTTTTATAACAATTAACAAATAAATTACTCAACACAGTAATTATTCTTCCTAACTACTACTTATTGAGCACCCAACATGCATTATTTCCAAACTTCACAGCAATTCTGCAAGGTCAAGTAATACCACCAGTTTACAGGTGAGGAAATTGGGCCTTAGAGAGATTAAGTAACCTGCAGAAGTTTGCCCATCAAGGAAATGCTAGGGCTAGAATTCAATCCCATATCTGCCCAGTTCCAAAGGCCATGTGCTTTCTGCTACACTAAGTGCTTCCTTACAGGTAAAATCATACATTTTCCCTTCCCAGGATCGTTCTCTTTTACTGTTAAAGAAAAAGCACTTACCTTTTTCAATTTAGGCAGCTTGGGGAGATTTGAAACTGAGATCAAGCCTACATTTATTAAACTGAGGAACTCTAAGTTCACAAATTCAGCTGTTAAGCCCTCAATTTTTCCATCATTTGATTTGCAATTGTCCAAGACAAGTTCTCGAACCTGTGGATGACAAAGAAAAAAGGATAAGCTCTCAAAAACACATTGAAAACAAACAACAATGCAGAAACTTCTACCATAAATATCCTGCAAAAACACCCATATATACAGGCAGCCTCTTACTTAGACCTAGATCATAGTTATAAAAAGATAAAAACTGATTAAGCCTTCAGTAACAATATACTGACAGGTTCAAAGATGGAATATTATTCCATGGGTATAAACACTTACGCTCTTTGTTTTTCCAGAAACAGAAACTATACTTTTTAAGATATAAGTGAAGTAAGCGTATTCCCCTTATTTCTTTTCTCCAGCCTGTTCCCCAAAGGGCAGCTTTTATCTAAATGCAAATGCAGAATGAAGACACTCTTTAGGCTGGGTCTACCTTAAGGCCCAGAAGATGACCCCTGGAAAAGAGGAAAGCTTTATGTTTCCTATCAAGACCACTAAGAGATTCTGGCTAGAGGTTTCTGCACCAACGCACTTTCCAACTCTGGTTTTAGTAATCTTTGCCAAGATTATCTTGACACTGGGAAAAAAAATCAGGATGCAAGAGTCCTTAATTCAAAACAAAGATCAATCTGGATTGCACTTGAGAAAGATGTTTCTAGCAGAGAACTGCTACATAATAAATTAAATTGCATTTTCAGGCTACACAGTCTCTTTTTCAGAATTTAAGTCCATCCAAGAGTATCACATCTGGCCGGGCGCAGTGGCTGACGCCTGTAATCCCAGCACTTTGGGAGGCTGAAGTGGGCAGATCACCTGAGGTCTGGGGTTCAAGACCAGTCTGGCCAACAAGGTGAAACCCCCTCTACAAAAATACAAAAATTAGCCAGGCAAGATGGCGAGTGCCTGTAATCCCAGCTACTTGGGAGGCTAAGGCTGGAGAGTCGCTTGAACCTGGGAGGTGGAGGTGGCAGTTAGCCGAGATTTCGCCATTGCACTCCAGCCTGGGCAACAGAGTGAGACTCCATCTCAAAAACAGTATCACATCTGATGATTTGAACTTTTGAATATTGATTATTTAATAGTCTACATGCAGATCCACCACAATAATCCATATTGCCATTCTTGCTCTATGATCATCCTGAAACTTGCAACTTTTTAGCTCACTTTGATCTACTCACAGTGATGCAAATTACCATTTTAACTGCACCAACAAAGGCATTCTTTTAGTGAACCTACCATATTTAATAGCATTAATCAAGCATGTATACAGTAGGGAGATGCTGACAGTCTGAAAAGAGAAGAGGAGCTATTAACAGTGTCCTCATCCTCTCATACAAAATCCAATGATGCTACTCTAGTAATTGCTATCAATTATAGAGTACTTAATCATTTATTCTTTTTACCACCACTCTCCTTCCCCCATTTACAGAGAAGGAAACAGATTTCAAGTCAGCAATGCCCACAACATAGTAAGTGCCTAACCGCTTCTCACTACCCTGTCTACTTCCTCTTCAGAAGCCAGGCATCCTTTTTACTCTTTACATCCACTTACTTCTTCCTTCCTTCCACTTTTCTTTAGGTATCTCTGCCATTCTTCCCTTTTCTGATAAGAAATGGGCACATCTGAAAACTTAATAGGTCAACTCTGACAAAAGCTGGGCTCTGGAGACATATGCCGGGGGTTGAATCCTGGTTCACCTCTGCCACTCAGAACTTGTGCGACCTTGTGCGAGTCACTTAACTTCTCTGTGCCTCAGTTTCCCATAAAGTGGAGATAATAGTACCTACCTCATGAAGTTGTAGAGACTAGGGCTTGGAACATTATAAATGCCCAGAAAGTAACCTCTGGGTAAAGGGAATGGGAAATGTCAGTGACCTTTGCTGTTTACTTTACTTATATCTGTACTAAGTTTTTTACAACCATGTATTTATTCTGTATTAAAAAGCAACTAAACATAAAACCAACGAACCATTAAAATTTTAAAAAGGTCGACTGTCATCACCCACCAATGTAAACAGTATACTGCAATACAATTAAAATGTTCCCATTTAGCTTGGGAGAGTTTCTATAATTTTATCCAAAATAATCCAAAAACGTTATACAAAATACACCAATATGCCAAAAGTGAAGTGAAGAAGAATTAAGAGTTAGCCACACTGCCTCTCAGCTCACAGAGTGAAATCACCTCTTAAAGACATTTCTTTCAACTTGCAAAATTCCACTTGAACCACTGCAAGGCGTCATCAGAAAGTATCACAGGACTCAAATGCAGGTTAAAAAATGTTTTTGCTGGCTGGGCGTGGTGGCTCATGCCTGTAATCCCAACACTCCTGGGAGGTCAAGGCGGGCGGATCATCTAAGGTCAGGAGTTCAAGACAGCCTGGCCAACACAGTGAAACCCCATCTCTACTAAAAATACAAAAATAAGCCAGGCATGGTGGCGTGTGCCTGTAATCCCAGCAACTTGGGAGGCTGAGGCAGGAGAATTGCTTGAACCTGGGAGGCAGAAGTTGCAGTGAGCTGAGAATGTGCCACTGCACCCCAGCCTCGGTGAAAAAGGAGACTCCATCTCAAAAAGAAAAAGAAAAAAAAAGTCACCGCTAGACTAAGCTTCATGATGACAGGATCATGTATATTCTGGTTACCACTATATCACTGTGTAAGAGCCTACATAACTGCGGAATGAGGAAAAAAACGGTCACAGGTTTGTCAGCAATATTGTACAGAGGTTTGTGTCACAATTGTGGGGGACTAAGATGAAAACCTGGACATAAAAGGGACCAACTTTCTGATCACAGAGTATTTTTTAAGAAAGCACAGTGTGTGGATATATTATAAATCACTTTACAATCCTTCGTGTTGAACATTTGTGCTCAATTTTCCCTACTATAAATAATGCCATATCTTTACTTAAAATGTCTTCTGTATTTAGGACTGTGTTTTCAGAATCCATTGCTAAGTGAAAGAATACAAACATCTGAGTGTGTTATTAGTTAAGAGTTCTTTATTTAAAATGTCAACTTCTCTTTTAAATGAGTAGTTCATTTTAACTGCCACAAAATTATTTTCTGATTTATTTGACTGTTACTTTTTGTAACCTCTCGATTACGGAAATTCTGGCTATTTGCATTTATCTTGTTCTTGAGGATATCTTCTATTTTTTTTACCCTAAGTGAGGAAAAAATAAATACCCCAGCAGAAACACTAACGAAGGACAGACAAGCTCTAAAAGACACAAATAGCCAACACTAAAAAAAACTGTTCAAGGCCAGGTGCAGTGGCTAGTGCCTACAATCCCAGTATTTTGGGAGGCAGAAGTGGGAGGACCACCTGAGCCCAGGAGTCCAAGAGTCACCTGGGCAACATAGGGAGACCCTGTCTCTACAAAAAATAAATAATTATCTGGGCATGGTGGTGCATGCCTGTGGTCCGAGCTACTTGAGAGGCTGATGCAGGAGGATCACTTGAGCCCAGGAGGTCCAGGTTGCAGTGAGCCATTATCATGCCACTATGCTCCAGCTTGGGCCACAGAGACCCAGTTAAAAAAAAAAAAAGTTTGGCTGGGCACGGTGGCTCACGTCTATAATCCCAACCACTTTGGGAGGCTGAGGCGGGCAGATCACCTGAGGTCAGGAGTTTGAGACCAGCCTGGCCAACCTGGCGAAACCCCATCTCTACTAAAAATACAAAAAAATGTGCCGGGCATGGTGGTGTGCACCTGTAGTCCCAGCTACTCGGGAGGATGAGGCAGGAGAATGCTTGAACCCGCGAGGCGGAGGGTTGCAGTGAGCCAAGATTGCGCCACCGCACTCCAGCCTGGGCACCAGAGCAAGATTATGTCTCAAAAAAAAAAAAAAAAAAAAAAAGGTTCAACTGTAAGCAGTAAAAGTGCATATTAAAAATGAGGTATCATTCTACTCTTGTTGGAGGAGGGACAGCTCCTTCAAGAGAGATGGCTAGGATGGACACAGATGTAGGTGAGTTTGTTAAGTGAGAATGAGAAGTTCAGGAAATGAATACCTGAGACCTTTAATTGCCTCTACCAGTAAGAGGCAATAAGATATACTGGGATAAATAGGGCAGAGAGTTGTTGGGCTAGGCAGAAAAGGCAAGTCCCTTGACTTTTCCAGAAAGGCTGAGAATGTAAAGAAACATGCCACCCCAAGAACAGAACGCCAGAAGCATACTGAGAAGATGAGTCACTGGGGAATAAGCACAGAGGAGAATGGGAATTACTGCATAAAGCAGAGACCACTGGAGGGCCCCACTTAGGGCTGTACCCAAGGATAGCAGGTCTAAATGTTCCATCAGCCAACTTCAAGGTTGTTGAAAGTTCTTAACAGGACCTTGATGAAAGGTATTCTGAGCTCGGATATTGTTTCAATGGCAGAAAAGTGGCATTTGAGGTGCAGAAAAAGTGTATTTACATGTGCAACACACATACACAGGTGCACTCACACTCAGTGATAACTGAGTAGTTAGAATTTAGGGCTTATATACCTAACTTAGAAGAGGAAAGGACAGCAGGAGAAAAACCTTTTGGGAAGAACAGATTTCTTTAGGGAACACAAATGGTATTTTCAGAACAAATGAGAGATCAAGTTTACAATGTCTGTCTACATAGGTATGAGTGGTCTTTCTTTTCTTAGGGCCAAAAGACTACCCCTCCAACCCCTACCAGAGGTTTACTCTTGGCCTCTCTCCTGGGAACAGACTCACTCCAAAGGGAGAATTTATGTCAGCCCTCGTTTGTGACATGTATTTGCTTTTAGCCAGATAAACTCCAAGTAGGCTTCTCTCTGCATCTGTTGAATCTCAAATCTCTTCAGTTTAAAACAATCTTTATATCAACTCTGGGGTTCTCAGTGGATCTCCACAGAGGTAACTAAGCCTCATCTCTTTTCATTCCTTCCTGGGTATAGAGATCTAGACTGCCTTGCAAAGGAGATAACAGCTTTGGAAGAGTGTAGTTGAGACAGTGAGTGGAGCTGGGGTCAAGATGATCCCACAGCTTCCCAATCTAGATTCAGAATAAACCAGAGGTCCTAATCAAAGGAGAAAAGGCCCTAGTTTCTTCTTATATCTCAAATCCTCCCAGAGCTGCTATCTAATGAAGAAAGTTAGGCAGGCACTTGTTCATTTGTGCTTAAATCTGAGGGATCTATTTGATCCAAGAGTTAACTGGCCTTCTGCTTGAAGATGGACAGTTTAACTTTTGGGGCCAAATTCACTCCTCTTCTTCCCTCATGCTCCAATTAAACTTGCCTTTTCTCAAACACAAATTTAAGGTAAACACTTAAAAATGAAAAATCCATACTACCTCCTACTTAACTCATATTTGTTTTCTACAGTTACCAGCAAACAGTAGTTTCCTACTACTTTTTCATTGAAAAATTTGAACTATATTGCAGCCAAATACCTTTTCAGATCTGACTGGAGGATATAACAATGATTTATAACACTACCTCTATGAAAAACAAAACACATTTTAAGTTCTAAATGGCAAAATGCCTATGAGGTCCTTCTTTAAGTTATGATGAGTCTAGGTCATGGGAATATCCCTGGGGATTGGAGCTGGGGGCCACAGGAGATGGAAACATTTTTTTTCCTTTCATTCTCTTCAATTTGCTCATTTGCCACTCCCCTAGCTATTATGAAAAAAGATCAACTTTACCTAACTGGTGGGGCGATGCTCTCCAATTATACCAGCTGTCTCTGCCATAAAAGGAGGAAAGGGTATGGAGGAATTAAAGATCTTTCTGAGTTGTCAATTCTTTTAATTAGAACAATACTGGTTATTATGGTAAGTGAAATAATCCCAAAATATAGAAAGTAATTCCTGCCATCCTTGCAATTTCCATTCTTCTGAGTTAACCAGTATTCAAATCTTCTACCCATTATTTTAAAATAATGTTTCTAAATTAATAGAACTTTTTATTATTTTATTTTTATTTTTGAGATGGAGTCTCGCTCTTTTGCCTATGCTGGAGTGAAGTGGTGTTATCTTGGCTCACTGCAAACTCTGTCCCCGGGGTTCAAGCAATTCTCCTGCCTCAGCCTCCAGAATAACTGGGATGACAGGTGCCTGCCACCACACCTGGCTAATTTTTGTATTTTTAGTAGAGACGGGGTTTCGCCATGTTGCCCGGTCTGGTCTTGAATCCCTGACCTCAGGTGACCCACCCTCCTCTGCCACCCAAAGTGCTAGGATTATAGGCACGAGCCACTGTGCCCAGCCTGGAACGGATCTCTATTAGTGGTTCTCCAATGTGTTTAGGTAGCACGACTGCTGGCATTAAGGAAGGAAACACCAATATTCTACTGGTGGGTATTTAAAGACGGGAACCATTCTGAAAAGCAATCTGGCAGATGGAAAAAAAAATCACATTATAAGATGCTCATTTCAGCAGTATTTAAAACAGCCAAAATCCCTGTGAACAACCTGAGAGGGATGTTTAAATTATGATCTATGCAGACATTAATAATGAGTCTATAAAATAAGGACACACACAAAGATGTTGACTGTATTTTTTTTCTAAAAAAAAAAGCAACAAGCTAGCTAGCATTTGGATTATTTGCATGAACCAAGTTTAGAAAAAATTTAAACATTCTGGTAGACTATAATACACTAAAGTGTCTAGATGGTACGTTAGGCATGTATGATGTCTATCTTCTTTTTGCTTGTCTATACCTACAATTTTTTGGCCTATCTATATCTAATTTTTCTTAAACGAAGATGTATTACTTATACAAGGAAAAAAACCCCAATTAGTTGCTATGCAACCAACTAGAATATCCAATTGAGCTCAAAATTACATCACAGTAGACACAACAAAAGAGGTCAAAAGCTGGGGAGGGGGTGCGGATCAAAAAAAGATGGAAGTTAAAGACAATCTACATTTTTTCTCAGTAAATTGGGACTACGTAAAGACTTTTATTTTGGTATATGAAATGTCACAGTCCAGCATATAGCACACCAGCATTTCGCAGGTGCATAGACTGCAAGCCACAGTAAGGAACTGCTTGGCTTTCTAACTTTGAATGAAAAACTCAGAGCTGATAGGAAGGCTGACTGTCCCCAGATGCGTGGTTAATGAGGTGCTTCTAACAGAGCGACATGTTCAGTTTACTGGAAGGATAAGAATCTCACATAAAGAACAGGTATTCTTTTCCAATTTTAGAATACAACTAAATGTGGTTTATATCTAGCTACTGCATGTCAGTGTCTTCTCATTTTACTGACAAGACCTCCAATTTCCATGGTGTATATATGGTGTATTCTAGCACTGTTCAATTTACTCTCAGTGAACTGCCAATATTTTATATAAAATATTTCCTTGTCATACAAACTATCTCCTATCCTTGTCTATAAAATGTTTTTAAATGGTAACCACCATTCTTCATGAAGATTACTTTAAAATGCCATCTTAGGCCATTTTGTTCCACTATGAGAATATACCCTGCCATAAGAGCTCTTTTGGACTTAGAAAAAAATAAATAAAATTCTGTATTTCTTTACAATCCCTCGCCCCCATCCCTTAGGGAAATGGGCATACTTGTGTTTATAAGGAATAGGGATATAGTAACAGGTGAACTGAAGAAGACCCTAGTAACACTTTTGTGTTTACCTTCTTGTCTTCCTTGGTCAGAACACACAAGAGCCCAACTGAACAAAAGTGTTACTAGGGTCTTCTTCAAACCCCAGTAATTAAAAAAAAGCCATATACACAATAAAAGCCCATCTGGTCTTAAACGTAAGAACATATTTACAATTAAACCCCTATTCGCCCTCTTCAAACACCCTTAAATCTCACTTGACTTTAAAATCATTAAGGTCAACCATGGGACACTGCTGTATATTTCAGGGCATCCTGTTCATACAACAACAGTATACCTTCAACAAGGGAAACGATTCTTCATGTTACCCCACACGACAAGTCTGCAGGATCCCAGAGGCCAAGCCTACTGTGTAACAGCTGACAATGCCATCAATTTCTGTGGTGTTTATGGCATGTTCCAGCACATCACACATAAGGTATCATGTGACTAGCTGAATGTGATTTTAAGAGAGTGATCTCCAAACTTTTCATTTGCCTTAAGGATGACGCCTCTGTGCGAAAACACTTTAAACTCTCTTTTAGAATTTCCTTCAAAATCTACAGCATTTTTTCCTGAAAAACCCTTCACTTTTAGGTCAAAGTTTTATTCGCCCAACTGGGTACCTAACTCCCACTGGTCTCAGTCTCCCTAAGGGAACCTTCCTCTACCCCCACAATCTTAGCTGGCTCCCACAACACTCTCTCAAGGCCTCATCAACTCTCCCAAGTGCAAAAAGCACCACACCACCTCAATGGTTTCTCAGGCTTAAAATGTTTACTTAATAAACCAGTGGATTCTGCAGGCCAGTGCTGCCTAACGCAGCACCCACGAGCCACTTGTCACGTCTGAGCACTTGAAATGTGGATAGTATTACAGAGAAAATGTTTTAATTTAACTGAATTAAATGGCTCTGGCCTGACTGGCAAGAAGGTTAAGCTGATTACTTGAAAAATGAACTGGTGGCCGGGGGCGGTGGCTCACGCCTGTAATCCCAGCACTTTGGGAGGCCGAGGCGGGTGGATCACCCGAGGTCAGGAGTTGGAGACCAGCCTGAACAACAGGGAGAAACCCCGCCTCTACTAAAAATACAAAATTAGCCGAGCATGGTGGCGCATGCCTGTAATCCCAGCTACGCGGGAGGTTGAGGCAGGAGAATCGCTTGAACCCGGTAAGCGGAGGCTGAGGTGAGCCGAGATAGTGCCATTGCACTCCAGCCTGGGCAAGAGAGAGACTCAGTCTCAAAAAAAAAAGAAAAACAGAAAAAAGAAAAATGAACACCTGTAGATATACATGTGTTTTTAAAGCAATATTACTTCATATATGAAAACATCCTCTAAGGGGAACAGCAGACCAACTGTGTTTCCCAGAGGGAACACTACTCTTGAGAATTTTAAAAGACCTTTAGTTTGAGCATATCCTAAAGAATTCAAATTCTAGATTTTAACGCATTTCTGAAGACCCACGTGTGTACTTCTCTTGCGGGCACTTTGGCTAATTTTAGCTACTCCATATTCTACGGATTTGCAATTACGCCGCAATGGAAAAGTCTGGAATAAACACCTTCTCAAGCCAAGAAAGCCTCTCAAGTTTTGAGGCGCGAGCTGGGCGATAGGCTAGCACGTGGCGGGCACAAAATGTCTGACGGAAGGTCGGAAGAACGCACGCCCGCGACCCTCCATCTCGCAACCCCCGGAGCGGCCCACCCTCGCGGGCCCTCCGGGAAGGACAGCGCCGTGCGGTGGAGCCCGGCCCGCCCCGCGTTAGTGGTGACCTCAAAGACTAGAGAGCAAGGATTTAAAATGTCGAGCACACCAGGTAAACCCTGGTCGACGAATTCCCACAAGTTCGCGACTTGTTAACCACAGCCACCTGAGGGCACGAAACCTGGCCGCTCGCTTAGCCCAGAGCGGGTCGGGAGGCCCCGCGGGGCCGCCCTCCGCGGGAAAGCCACTGGCCCGCTGGGGCACCCGGCCGCGGCGCTAACTGGCCCGCGCCGGTCCGCGGCGGGGGGGGGGCTCGCGACGGCGGGCAGCCGCGCTAAACCCGGGAGACGAATGGGGCAATTCCCACAGGTCGGACCCACGCCCACGCAGCCGCGCCGCAAGAGGGCCGCCCTCAGGCCCCTACAGCCCGCAAGGCGCGCGGCCGACCGCACCAGGCCGCTCTCAAGCACGTGGGAGGCCAGAGGCCGCCCGGCCCACGAGCCGAGCCGAAGCCCGCCCAAAATCCCGCGCGCCCGGCGCGGGGCGGGGGCGGCCGCCTGCCGTTGCCCTTTTAAGAAGGGGGAGGGGGTCGGCAGCGCGCCCGCGACGGGATGAGTCGGCGGCGGCCGCGGCGCGCGGCTCCCGCCAGTGGGAGCCAAGCCCCGGCGGGGCGGGGGGAAACAGACCGAGGGCTCGGCGCGGGAAGAGGCGGCCGCCAGCCAGCGCCGAGGGCGGGCGGGCAAGGCCAAGCTCGTGGGCCGGCTCACCAGGCGCAGGGAGACGGGCACCCGCCAACATGGCGCTGCGGCGGCCTGTGGCGCGCCCCGGCTGGCGTGAAGAGCCGCCGCCCGCCCACACGGAGGGGCCAGCCTCCCGGGGCAAGGGCAGGGGCCCCGGGCGCCGCCGCCGCGGCACAGGGGGAAGGGCGAGGCCGTCGCCACAACGGTTGGCCTTGGTCGACCCGGGCTGCCCCTGGGAGGCAGGAGTGGGCAAGGCCGAGGGCGAAGAGGGAGCGAGAGAACGGGGGAGAAAGTTTTATTTTTGGGCTTGAAAAATGGCGGGAACCACGTCCTTTTTTCAAACTTGGCCTCGGGAGGGGCGGCGGTTGCGCCACCTCCGCCGCCCTGGCCCGCCCCTCCCCCGCTCCGCGCGCCGGGCCGCGCCCGCCCAGGCCTCCAGGCGCCCGAGGGGGCTTCTCGCTCCCTTCAAAAGAAAAAAGCCCCCTCCTCGCCCCACGACTGCTGACCTCGGCCGGGCCGGCGCCCACGGCGAGCTCCGGCCACAAGAGCCCCCGTCCCGCCCCACCCGCGCCCCTTCCCCGGCCGGCCCGGGGCGCGCGGAGCCCGGCCTGGCCCAGGCGGGGATGGCCGCGCAGCTCCTCGGCAGGCCGGGCCTCCGCCCGGCCGCGCATCCCGGGAGGCTGCAAACATGGCTCCCAGCGTTACACAACCCCCGCCTCCCTCTCTCGCCGCCGGCCACTTGCACACGCGCTCCCTCAGGGGAAAGACCCCGGCGGGCGAAGCGCTCAAAGTTTGCTTTCCCCCACACCGCTGCCTCCCCCCGGCCGCCCCAGGGGCCCGCGGGCGGCAAAGAGTTAATCCTCGCGCGCTCGCTCCCCCCTCCGCGCCCGCCCGCCTTCCCCGTCCGAGCCCACGAGCTGCGCTCTTCCCCGCGCCGGGGCCGGCGAACCCTCAGCCCGGGCCCCGCAGGTGGCCACCATTACATGCAAGTCATCGGGGGAGAGGGCACCCAGAGGGGTCTCTGCTTACAGCTGCCGGGGTCCGGTTCCTCAGCTCCAGGTGGATCCTCCTCTTCATGTCCATGTTCCCCTCTTCCCCCCTCTTCAAACTTAACTTTCCGCGGCGGGGGCGGAGGGGGGAGAGGCGTCCCGGCTTGCGCAGCGAGGGCCGTCGGAAGGGTTTGCTAGCGGCGGAGGCCGGCGGCGCGGTCCTGGGTGGCGGGCGGCGTGCGGGCAGGCGAGCGGAGCCCCCGGAGCCAAGTTACTCACGGGAGCGGAGAGAAACCATGGAGGGAAAAGGGGGCTGGAGCGCAGCGCTGGGCTCACTACCGCCGCCCCCGGCCGCGGCCTGCACTGCGCTTAAACCGGCGACGCGGCGCGGCAGCTGCTCGGCTCCACTCGGCCCCGCGCGGCGCTGCTCGGCTCGGCGGCCGCGGCTGCACCAAGGCGGGGCGGGGAGACTCGCGGCGGGCGGGGCGGAGGCTGGGGAAAGGCGCAGCCCGAATAGAGGAGCGACTTCCTCCCTCTCTCCGATTGCACGTGGGGCGGCTGATGTAAGACCTTTCTCGTGGGTGGGGGGGCTTCCCCGCCCCCCGGCCCCCGCCGCGCTGAGACTCCTTCTACCTCCGGCCCCACGTCGTCGCGCCCGGAGCTGGGCTTGCGGCCCGGGCTGGGAGGTTCGCGGGAAGGGTTGGTGGGAAGCTTTGCAGTCCGGCTGCGGGGGTCCCTAAAACCCAGTCCATCCGGGGAGGCTCACGGGGGCGGCCCGACGCCCGCGGAGGCGCGAGATGTGAAGAAGCCGGGGACAGGCTTTGACGTTCACCTTTTGCCTGCCACACAGTCTGGGGCCAACAGGCCGAACCCCGCTGCCTCCTTGGCAGACTGGCGTCCGTAGTGCCGCCGAGGATCCCCCCCGTCGGGACGGAATCGCGGCCGACCGGCCCTGGCAGGGCAGCTGGGGTCGCTTGCTAAGCCACAGAGCAGCCGAGCATCCCCACCCTGTTCAGGAGAGTCTCCCTCGGTTTTCTAACATTTTAATAGGAGCTAGAGAAGGAAACGATTAGCATTTCTAATAGGGCCTCAGGGTTTCCCCGCAGACTTTTTTTTTTAATCTCATTTATTCCTTAGGGCACCCCTGTGAAGTGTGTAAATTCTTGGTGGTCTAAGTTTCGCTGAAACCTGGCAGGCAGCCTTTGTCATGGTCTGGCCCAAAGGGTCCCAGGGGTTAGAGCACCAGATCGGGATGAGTGTTGTGCTTTGCAGAACACCGGGGAATGACGTTATATTCAGCGTACAATAAGTAAATACATAATGTGTCAAATCAAATACAATCTAAGAAGATCGTACTGACAAGAAGCACCAAAAACTAAGAACAATTTGTTAAAGAAAAACTTGAAATTCTATGTATTAACATGAAGTTTTATGGAAGTTAAGAAAGTGCCCCCTTTCCTATTTTACCTAAGTTTTAGTGGCAAACAACCCAAATTTAGTTGTAAACCAATTATATATCAGCTTTTAAAATACTGAGTGAGTTAACATTTGAAGATGAAAGTTTTAGAAGGAATATGGGAAAAGAAAAACTTTCTGGTAGTAGTTCCCTGACTCCGTTTGTAGTCTCAGCAGACGTCTTTATGACAAGGGAAAATGGAGACAGATGTTCTCAGGGTTACAAAAGGTCTGTAACTAAGGTTATGAGAACCACAGGGCTATGCAATGAGGGCTTTTACCAAACAAAACAAAACAAAACAAAAAATCGGTTTCATGAGCCAACAAGCGATTATTGAGGATCTGCTTTAAGGGGCTTGATATTATTTCTCTAATTCTCAGACAACTTTCTGAAGTAGGTGATAATTTAATCATTTTACAGATGAGGAGCTCAGGAATCTTAAGCTGCACGTCCAGCAAGAAGCAGAGCTAGGATTTACACCCAGATAGGTCTGACTCCACAGCCCACCATCTTGTGCTACATCATCAGTCTGGCTAGAGTGGAGTCATAGCATGGTGGGGGGCTACTTTGGTGCTGTAGGTTGGGAACAGTTGCAGAGGGCTTTTAATACCAAACAGCATGCAAGTGTCCTCGTGCAGGAAAAGGGGGGATGGTGCTGAAGGAGTCTTAAACGTGGTAGCTCTGTGCTAGAGAGTGGTAACCTGATGGCTCCCGGAGGAGGTGGTATTAATCCTTAGCATCAGGGCAAATCTTGAGACTCTGTCCTCTCTTTATGGCCAACTGGAGGGTATGAAGGACTCTTTCCCTAGGGTACATAGCTCACAGGATAGATGTGTGTTTTATAGTATTAAGCCACAAAGTAATTAATAAACATAGCCACAATGTGCTGCAAATAGAAGGCAAAAGAGCCAAAGGAGGAGAGACTACAGACACGGCACTGTCCGTTCTTACGCAGCCGGTGCTGGCATGCACCTCTGTGAACAAAGAGCATGTGTTCCAGTGACATGCTTCTTTGTCAGGGGCTTCACTGCCAGAGGCATAAATAACACAGGCAGAGCAGGGTGTGTCTCATTGCCCTGCCAACATCTTCTACGGGACTGTCAGTCTACAGGCCTGAAGGGGCTGTTGTCACAGCGCCTGGGTTTTGAATATTGCTGCTCTTAACATCATTCTCTGCATCTGTGTGTGAGAAAGATGTAGAATATTCAATTATATCTAATCTGCAAGTATTATCATGTCCATGGATTTATGGATTTCAACAAGGGCTGAAAGGGAATAAGGAAATGTAAAAACAGTTTGTTAGACCAAACTAAGAATGAACTTCTTTTTACTTCCATTGATGTTAACGTTTGACCAGTAAGTAATAAAAATATCAAATAATGCCAGGTTTTGGCACCCCTTGAGCCTTAAAACTGCCTGTTAATCAGAATGGCTATGTATTCCAAAAAGCTCTAAAATGTCTGAGCGGAACACTCCGAGCCAGTTTGTAACTCCTTGGACCTGTGCCCCACCCCGCTGCCTCAGCAACAGCATGTTACTTGTCATGTCATCATATGACTTGAGCCTTCCCCACAAACTTTGTGGCTGTGGACAGACTTTAATAAATCTGAAGATGAGAGGAAACAGCCCTACTAGGTCATTGATTTAACTAGCTCTGAAACCAGCTTAACAGAATGGGCACATTTTAGTAACGACAGTATATGAAGCTGATATATAATATAGAGTGAGGAAATGATTACTCTTTAAATACTTCCATTCTTCCCGTCCTCTTCTACACGCATGTGCATACACTGGTAAGAACATATCTCTTCCCCAGCCCGGAGTTTCCACAACTTAGTGTGTGTACCTCTATTATTGCAGTTCGGCAACAAATGGTAGTTATTGAAGGATCTAACTTCTCAATTAGAACTCAGAGAAGTATTTCTGGATGATAGGAATGGAGAGGAGGACCTGGGGTCCATCTTTAGAACATAGCAGATGCTTTGCAAATGTATGTTATGTTGAAAATAGTGTCACATGTACTAAAAAATACCATCTAGGCAGCTGAGATTATTGAGACAAGGGGAGAGGGAGAGGCAAATAGGTGAAAATGGGTTAAGGGAGGAGATCCTGTTAGTCTCCACATGGTAAAAACAGAGGAGGGGAATGTGTCAGGTGTACAGGAAGCTCTAGGCCCAGTAACGGGCCCCTGCCCAGGTTCCTTTCTGCTTTCTGAACCAGCTGGAGGTGCTATGCCTTCCTGGTGCAGCAGGGAAGAGCTATGACTACCAAGAGTCAGGTCTAATATTTATTAAGCACCATCCTTATGCCAAGTGCTATGCATGGGACTTTTGTGTACACTGCTTCTCAGTTAATCCTAGCAACAGCTCCCCGGGCAGGACGATAATCCACCTTTTTTTAGTATTTAGGAAACAGACTCAGCAAAGCCAAGTAGGTTTGCTGAAATTCATATAACTACTAAGAAGCTAGATTTCTCTTGTCATTAAGGGCTCACTGTAATTCATTCTCATTACTTTGATCGACTAGTCCTCACAACTGCTTCTGAAAAAAAAAACATTTTTTTCCTGTTTTAAAAAGGTTTACTTGCTCATTGTGCAGAAAAAATTTAAAAATAGAAAATAAATTTAAAAGTTCCTGCCATTGAGATATAACCACCATTAAGTTGTATATCCTTGCAATTTTTTTCTGTACTATACATATTGTTTTTCAGTGTTGGGATCAGATTGAAGATTTTTTTTAGAAACTTGCTTTTTCCACCTATCATTATGATAAATCTGTATTAATATAACTTTCTTCAGTGGTTTTCCCTTTTAGAAGGACTTCAGTGAGATGAGAATCCCACTCTACCACTTACTGGCTGTGTGCTTTAGGGCAAAACATATAGCCTCTCTGGGCCTCAGGCTGCTCATCTCAGAACTTTTGAGGGTTGGACATAATTACATTAGAGAAGCTGAGTGCCTTTCACTTTTCTCTGCACCCCAGCCACAGTCACTGCAAGCCTGAGTCCCTTCCTTACCCAAGCAGCATCCCAGAGCCTGCCAGCCTCTTCCAAGGCTAGGAACATTCTGCTGTTTCCATCTCTGCTCCATGTGCTACCCCTTTGGCTAAGGGGGAAATATGTTTTTAAATCTCAAATAGTCAGGCTCATTTTCTGCTTCACACAGTCCTTGTTCTCTCTTGAGGAACTTGGAACATGCTCCTGAGCTACACTGGAAAATATCGAAGTGCCCTTCTCCATAATTAGCCAGCATCCCTGCCATCTGGACCCTCTCATACCTCACAGGGATTTCCTTGTCCACATGGAACTGAGACTGATCCAAGAGTCCAGCTCCTGCTGACTGAACTCTGCCATCTGTTCCGAAGCTTGCCTTACCTGCTCCTGTCCAACCAGGCACCCCTCTGTGGGCCTGTGCTTTAGTCCTTTTTCACTCTAGACCCTGGTACTACTGAGGTGGCTTGCGTGGTCCTAAATTTGCTAGTCTCTTATTTTGATAAAGGCTGCAAGTAGCAAATATCCTTATCCTTGAAAATAAGGGCATCTAGGCCCCTGGCTTCTTTTTATGTTTATTTATGCATGTACTATAGAAAACTTGGAAACCATACTTACAGAGAAGAAAATAAGAATTTCCATCCAAGGCTTTTTTAAAGGGCCAAGCACTGTTCATGTTTTGTTGTCTATTCCTCCAGTCTTTTCTCTACACACATATGGCATTTTCTCAAGTCTCAGATAGTGAGAAGCATCATCTCATTAGTAAGACCTTTTCAGGAGGGAGGGAGGGGGAACCCACAACATCAAATATTCATGTCAATTTTAAGAGATATTTCACATATAGAAGTGAAAAAGTATAATACCTAGGAAATATCACAATTAAAAATATTTTTCAAAAGTGGGATAGTATAACCTGCTTTTTAGTTAACAATATATTATAGACATATTTCCATGTCATTGAATAATCTTCTACAATATATATTCCTTGAAGATATTCTTCTACAAAAATGAAAATTTGTTTTCTTTTTCTGGGCTTAAGGACAATACACATTCATGTAGCAAATTCATGCAATGCAAAAAAGTATAAATAAGAAAAGCCAGCCAAAATCCCATTACTTAGAGGGACTACTGTTAACATTTTTGTGAATATTTTCCAAGCTATTACTCTACGAATGAAGATGCATATATAAAATATATAATTTTATATAAATGGAATTCTATAAATGATACTCTATAATACGTTTTTCATTTTCACTAAGCAATGGGTCACAGAGATTGCTCAGTCAGTAAGTTGGATCTACTTCATTTTTAAAGGCTGCATCATATTTTATTGTACGGACTGGAGAATAATTTACTCACCTGGTCTCCTACTGATAGACACTTAGATTACTTCCAGTTGTTTACTATTATACATAACATCGTTGAATACATTTAGCTCCTTGGAATAAATTCTTAGAAGTGCAGTTCCTGAATCAGAGTGTACACATTTCAAACTGGTATATACATGTCAAATTGCCCTTCAAAGGCTACTACTTTATACTCCTGTTAGCAGTGTACAAGACTTCCCCTCACTCTTGCCTAAACTAGGTATTATCTTTAAAAAAATGTTGTGAATTCGTTTTCAACAAGGGTGCCAAGACAGTTCAACGAGGGAAAGAATAGTCTTTTCAACAAATGATGTGGGACAGTTGGCTGTCCACAAGGAAGAGAATGAAGTTGGACATCATTTACAAAAATTAATTCAAGGCCAGGCACGGTGGCTCACGCCTGTAATCCCAGCACTTTGGGAGGCTGAGGCGGGTGGAGCACGAGGTCAGGAGATCGAGACCATCCTGGCTAACACGGTGAAACCCCGTCTCTGCTAAAAATACAAAAAATTAGCCGGGTGTGGTGGCAGGCGCCTGTAGTCCCAGCTACTCGGGAGGCTGAGGCAGGAGAATGGCGTGAACCTGGGAGGCGGAGCTTGCAGTGAGCCGAGATCGTGCCCCTGCACTCCAGCCTGGGCGACAGGGCAAGACTCCATCTCAAAAAAAAAAAAAATTTAATTCAAAATGGATCATACACCTAGATATAAGGACTAAAACTATAAGACTCAGAAGAAAAAGTAGGATGACCTTGGATTAGGCAAAGTTTTTTAGATAGGACACCAAAAAGAAAAATAGATTAATAGACTTCATCAAAATTTAAAATTTTGTGTTTCAAATGACTCCATCAGGAAACAGAAGACAATGCATGGGATGGGAGAAAATATTGCAAATCATATATCTGATAAGACACTTGTCTTCAGATGTATAAAAAACTACTGCAGGCTGGGCACGGTGACTCATGCCTGTAATCCCAGCACTTTGGGAGGCTGAGGCAGGCAGATCAGTTGAGGTCAGGAGTTCAAGACCAGCCTGGCCAACATGGTGAAACGCCGTCTCTACTAAAAATACAAAAATTAGATGGGTGTGATGGCGCGGCCCTGTGAAGCTGAGGCTGGAAAATCGCTTGAACCCGGGAGTCAGAGGTTGCAGTGAGCCGAGATTTTGCCACTGCACTCCAACCTGGGCAACAGAGCGAGACTCCGTCTCAAAAAACAATGGGCAAAGGATTTGAATATACAGTTCTCCAAAGAAGATATACACATGGCCAATAAGCATATGAAAAAATGCTCAACATCGTCATTAGAGAAATGTAAAAACCACAATGACATACAACCTCACACCCTTGTGCATTGCTGGTGAGAATGTAAAATGGTGCAACTTCTTTAGATTTTGGCTCACTGCAACCGCCGCCTCCCAGGTTCAAGTGATTCTCCTGCCTCAGCCTCCCGAGTGGCTGGGATTACAGGCACCCGCCGTCATGCGTGGCTATTTTTTTTTTTTTGTATTTTTGTAGAGAGGGGGTTTCACCCTGTTGGCCAGGCTGGTCTCAAACTCCTGTCCTCAGGTGATCCACTCAGCTTAGCCTCCCAAAGTGCTGGGATTACAGGCGTGAGCCACCGCGCCTGGCCAACAACCTCTTTGGAAAACAATTTTGAAATTGTTTTGTTTACAATGTCAGGTTCATAGAAAAAGAAAAAGTTAAACATGGAATTACATATGAGCCAGCAATTTCACTCCTAGGTATATACCCAAGAAAATGAAAATGTATGTCTACACAAAATTTGCACATGAATGTTTATTGCAGCATTAGTCTTAATAGGCATAAAATGGAAACGACCCAAATATCCATTAGCAATGAATGAATAAACAAAATGTGGTTATCCATACAATAGAATATTATTTGGCCATGAAAAGGAATGAACGTGGGTAAACCTTAGTAACGTTATGCTAAATGAAAGAAGCCATTCATGAAGGTCACATACTGTGTGGTTCTGTTTATGTAACATGTCCAGAATAGGTAGACAGAGACAAAGCAGATTTGTGGTTACCAGAGGTTTGGGGGAAGGGAGGATGCAGAATGACTGCTAACGGGTCTGGGGTTTCTTTCTGGAGTGATGAAAACATTCCAGAATTAGATTGTGGTGATGGTTTGGTTGTACAACTTTGTAAGTATACTAAAAACCACTGAATTGTACACTTTTAAAAAAGTTAAACATATTGCTACCATATGACCCAGCAATTCTACTCCTAGGCAAATATCCAAAAGAATTGAAAACATAAATCTACACAAAAGCTTGTAAAGGAATGTTCATAGCAGCATTATTCATAATACCTCCAAAGTAGAAATAACCCAAATCCATCAACTAGTGAATGCATAAACAAAATATGGTGTATCTGTGTGGTAGGCAAAATCATGGCCCCCAAGGGACTTTGCAGATGTGATTAAGGATCTTGAGATGGGGAGATTATCCTGGATTATCCACATAGGCCAGTGTGATCACAAGGTGCTTAAAAGTTGAAGAGGAAGATGAAAGAAGAAAAAAGGAAATTTTGACTATAAAAAAGGAGGCCATAGTGATGTGTGAGAAGGACTTGAATGCTGGCCTCGAAGGTGGAGGAAGGGAGCCATAAACGCAGGAATGTGGATGGCATCTACAAAGTGGAAAAGGGAAGGAAAAAGGATCTCCCTTGGAGCCTCCAAAAAGGAACACAGCTCCGACAACACCTTGGTTTTAGCCCAATAATACCTGCCTCAGGTTCCTAACCTACAGAACTGTAAAGTAATAAATTTGTGTTGTTTTAAGCTACTAAATTTGTGGTAATCTGTGGCCGGGCGCGGTGGGTCACACTTGTAATCCCAGCACTTTGGGAGGCCGAGGCAGGCGGAGCACGAGGTCAGGAGATCGAGACCACGGTGAAACCCTGTCTCTACTAAAAATACAAAAAATTAGCCGGGTGTGGTGGCGCACGCCTGTAGTCCCAGCTATTCCAGAGAGGCTGAGGCAGGAGAATGTCGTGAACCTGGGAGGCAGAGCTTGCAGTGAGCCAAGATGGCGCCACTGCACTCCAGCCTGGGCGACAGAGTGAGACTCTGTCTCAAAAAAAAAAAAAAAAAAAAAAAAAATTGTGGTAATTTGTTATAGCAGCGAATAGGAAACAAATACATCCATACAATGGAATACTATTTGGCCATAAAAAGGAATTAAATGCTGATACATGCTACAACATTGATGAACTTTGAAAATATGCTAACTGAAACGAACCAGACATAAAAGGCCACATAGTGTATGATTCCACCTAGATGAAATGTCCAAAATAGGCAAACCTGGCTGGGCGCGGTGGCTCACGCCTGTAATCCCAGCACTTTGGGAGGCCGAGGCGGGCGGATTGCCTGAGGTCAGGAGTTCAAGACCAGTCTGGCTAACATGGTGAAACCCCGTCTCTACTAAAAATATTTTCAGAAAAAGTAGCCGGACGTGGTGGCGTGTGCTTTTATTCCCAGTTACTCGGGAGGCTGAGGCATGGGAATTGCTTGAACCAGGGAGGTGGAGGTTGCAGTGAGCTGAGATGGCGCCACTGCACTCCAGCCTAGGCGAGAGTGAGACTCCCTCTCAAGAAAAAAAAAGGCAAACCCACAGAGACAGATTAGTGGTTGCCAAGGACTGGAAGTTATGGGGAGTGACTGCTAATGAGTATGGGGCTTCTTTGGGGGGGAAGGGAAATGCTCTGGAATTTGGTAGTGGTGATGGTTACACAACTGTGTGAATATACTAAAAATCACTGAATTGTATACTTTAGAAGGATGAACTTCATATAACTGTATCCCAATAAAACTGATAAACTTTGTCAATTAGGTAAGTTGAAAATATCCCATTTGGTTGTTTCAATTTGTACTTCTTTATATAACAAATAAAGCTAAATACTTTTTCAGATATTTTTAAGCCATTTGTACTTCTTTGTAAGTTGCATGTTTGTGTCTTATTGGTGTTTTAAAATTATTTATTAACAAGTGCTCTTATATATTAAGAATGTTAGCCTTTAGTGTAACATATATATATCCAAACTATTTTTCCCAATTTTTTGTGTGTGCTTTTAAAATGTTGTTTATAGGATAGAGATATATCTCCATGTATAGGTGTAAACACACACACACACACACACACACACACACACATACATACACCACACACATACAGGGGGAGATGAAGAAAAATTTTAAATTTTTATTCAGGATCAAACCAGTCTTTATGGTTAATGGTTTTATGTCATGATTAGAAAGACCTTCCTCACTCCAAGATTATATCAGTATTCACCTATATTTTCTTCTGGTACTTCTGGTTTCATTTTTTATGTGAAATCTTTCATCTACTTGGACTTTCTTTTTTTTTTTTGAGACAGGAGTCGCACTCTGTCGTCCAGGCTGGAGTGTAATGGTATGATCTCAGCTCACTGCAACCTCTGCCTCTGAGGTTCAAGTGATTCTCCTACCTCAGCCTCCCAAGTAGCTGGGATTACAGGCACCCATCATCATGCCTGGCTAATTTTTTTGTATTTTTGTAGAGATGGGGTTTTACCATGTTGGCTAGGCTGGTCTTGAACTCCTGACCTCAGGTGATCCGCCCGCCTCATCCTCCCAAAATGTTGGGATTACAGGCGTGAGCCACTGCGCCCAGGCTTCTTGGACTTTTAATGTATGGTTTGAAGTAAAGATCTCATGTTCTTTATTTTAATGGCTAGCTGTTATTCCAATACCATTCCTTAAATAACCATCTTTCCCCCAATGAACATGAAATGTGACCTTTATAACATACTACATCCTTACCTATTCGTGAGTCTCTCTTTCCTTCCTTCCTTCCTCCCTCCCTCTTTCTCTTCTTCTCTCTTTCTTTCTTTCATTCCTTTCCTTTCTTTCTTTTCTTTCCTTTCCTCCTCTCACCTTCCCTTCTCTTCTCTTCTCTTTTCTTTTCTCGCTTTGTTGCCCAGGCTGGAGTGCAGTGCCGCAATCTTGGCTCATTGCAACCTACACCTCCCAGGTTCAAGTGATTCTCCTGTTTCAGCCTCCCGAGTAGCTGGGATTACAGGCACGTGCCACCATGCCCGGCTAATTTTTGTATTTTTAGTAGAGACGGGGTTTCACCATATTAGCCAGGCTGGTCCCTACCTTCTGAGCTTAAGTGATCCACCTGCCTCAGCCTCCCAAAGTGCTAGGATTACAGGTGTGAGCCACCACACCCAGCTGTAAGTCTATTTCTGAACTTCCTTCTCTGTTCGTTTATTTTTCTGTCTGTGTCCTTACCAGTACCTCTGGGAGAGTTTAGAAAATGCTAAGCCAGTGGACAAATGGCAGAAGAGCAGAAGTTTACTTTCTGGAGAAAGTAAAGCTAATAGAGCGCTGGGCTTAGAGACACCAGGCCCAGATGAGGGTGGCTGTGGATTCCCCAGGCCCATTTCTTATCTCCCTTTCTGCAAAAGGACATACTATCAGCCAAGATGTAGAATGGTATCAGAAGGATTTCTAGTTAGTCATGGTAAATTGATACGCTTATCTTCATACCCTCCCAAATCACTAAAAGGATTTAAGGATAGAATTGAGGAAATTTGCCCCAAAAATAGCATAAAAATATAAAGAAATACCCTAAAGGAAAAATACATATAAAAGTAGAGAATCGGTCCAGGAGGTCCAACATCTGACTAATCAGAGTTCAAGAAAGACGGAAAAGACAGAATGGAGGGGATGAACTGGAAGTCTACATCCTAAATGGTGAGCTACTCCTCCAACTCCCCTTTTCCCAGCTGGCTCCAGAATGCTAATGGCTAATCTCCAGAGGCAGGAGACTGGAAGAGTCTTTTCTGGGGGAAAGTGACTAGTTTAAGAAAAAATAAGATAACCACATTTGGTTTTTTTTTTAGCTGTCATATTTTTAATTTCCAAGGGCTCTTTCTTATTTTTAATGTTCATTTTTCATAACATGCTGTTTTTATTCCATTAATGTAACATATTTTAACCTCTTTTTTTTCTTTCAAGCATATGGAGCTCAGGTGAACATATTTTAACATCTTTAAATACATACACATGTATTTATGTATGTAAACATATATACATAAATATATGTATAATAAATATATTTATGGACATATTTATATCTAACATATGTACATTAAATATATATATTTAAATTTTATTCATTTTTTGAGGGACACAGTCTTGCTTTGACCCAGGCTATAGTGCAGTGGCATGATCATAGCTAACTGCAGCCTCAAACTTCTAGGCTCAAGTGATCCTTGTGCTTCAGCCTCCCGAGTAGCCACCACGCCTGGCTAATTTTTTTATTTTTAATTTTTTTGTAGAGACAGAGTCTCACTATGTTGCCCAGGCTGGTTTCTCCCAGGCTAGTCTCTAAATCCTGGCCTCAAGTGATCCTCCCACCTCAGCCTCCCAAAGCTCTGGGGTTAGAGGCAGGAGTCACCAAGCTTGGCCCCTTAAGTTTTATTCTGATCTCTGAAATGTCTCCATTTTCTCCAGGTTTCTATTTATTTGTTTATTTTTGGGACAGAATTTTTGCTCTTGTCACCCAGGCTGGAGTGCAGTGGTACCATCTCGGCTCACTGCAACCTCTGCCTCACAGGTTCAAGCAATTCTCCTGCCTCAGCCCCCCAAGTAGCTGGGATTTTAGGTGCCCGCCACCACGCTCAGCTAATTTTTTTGTATTTTTAGTAGAGACGGGGTTTCACCATGTTGGCCAGGCTGGTCTCGAACTTGAAATTGACCTCAGATGATCCACCTGCCTCAGCCTCCCAAAGTGCTGGGATTACAGGAGTGAGCCACTGCGCCCGGCCTCCAGGTTTCTTTTTAGTAACACAGAGTTCTGGCTTTCATTATAGAGTCTTTCCTGAGTATATGATCATCCTTAAATATCCATTTATATTTATGAGAGAGGCACTAAAAAGTGCTTCTGTGGGAACTCTGTGTCCCCTGGTAGGTCTTAAAGACTAGTGGGCACTCCCCTAGGGTGATCAGGAAGCAGGTTCCTTGAGGAACCCCCAAATGTCAGTATTTTTAGTACCGATAGCTGTAAATAATGAAATTATCAAACAGTAATACAACGCAATTCCTCTAGGATTCCAGATCGAAATGGCCCACCAAGGCATATCATAATGAAGTTGCAGAAAACTAGAAATCCTAAAAGTGTCCTAAGAGGGGAAAAAAATCATAATCTGAAGACTAGGATTCAAAATGGCATGAGCCTTCTCAGTAGAACACTGGAAACTAGAAGACAGTGGAGCAACTGACAGTCTTCAAAATTGTGAAGAAAGTTATCATCTTAGAACTTCCGCAGCCAAATTATCATTCAAGAGTAAGCATAGAATAAAGACTTACATACATTCAGCGTGTCAGAATATTGACCCTCCATGCACCCCTTTCCAGGAAGCTCCTGAAGAATACATGCCCATAATGTTAGCTGTACAGCTGGCCCGGAGGGCAATCCTGTGTAGGCGGGAACCAGAGGACAGAAGGTTCTTGGGGTGGCCGGGGGTGGGGTGGTGGGGGGATGTCAGGAAATAACAATCAAGGATACCACCTGCGTAACCACACTGAGAAGAGAGAGGAGTTTTACAGCTCTGACGGATGTAGTAAATTAAGCCAAAGGAAGACAAAAAGAGGTTATTCTTAACACCAGGAAAAATTAAAAGTTGTACAAAAAATATAATTATAGTATGTTATATGTAGGTCTTAAAATCACCTGTAAACACCACATACAGAGTCACATTAACATAAGTAACCATTACTGAAAGGAGGGGGGAGTCAAAAGTGTGGGAAAGTAAGGATGAAGAGAGATAAAGTCTTATTTTTCATAGTAGGAAGTCAATAGTTAATGTCAAAAATTTTTAAAAAAAGAATAATATAGTCATAGTATTTATATAAAAGGAGGTAAACAACAGAAGCAACTGCTAAAAGAACAGTCTCTGGAGCACTGTCTGTGGAGAATGACAAGTGAGGTGGAAAGGGCTAAGGCAGGGGCCTGCTGTTTTTCGTAACAGACTTTGTTTTGTTGTTGTTGTTGTTGTTTGTTTGTTTGTTTTGAGATGGAGTCTTGCTCTGTCACCCAGGCTGGAGTGCAGTGGCACAGTCTCAGCTCACTGCAACCTCCACCTCCTGGGCTCAAGCAATCCTCCCACCTCAGCCTCCCCGGTAGCTGGGATTACAGGCAAGCGCCACCATGCCTGGCTGATTTTTATATTTTTAGTAGAGGTGGAGTTTCACTGTGTTAGTGAGGCTGGTCTTGAACTCCTGACCTCAAGTGATCCACCCGCCTCGGCCTCCCAAAGTGCTAGGATTACAAGTGTGAGCCACCGCACCTCCAGACTTTGGAGTAGTTCTATTTGATGTTTAAAACTCTGCCCATGTATTACCCTGAAACAAATAAGATTTAAGTTGAAAAAGCAAGCAAGCTGGCAGAGGAGGGTCCTGGCCTTGGGTGTAGGTGCTGGGAAAAGGTGCTCTGCCTCCTCAGCGATCTGTTCCCATCAGGCTAATGTCCCAGAGGGGCAGAGGACAGATGGTGTGGGAGCAGCCAAGGGCATTCTTTCCTTTTCTCAGGCATCCGCTCATAAAATTCAGGTGAGTATAATGTGTGCTCTAAATTGGGTCAGTGTTTCTTAATACAGCTGCAACATGCACATTAGAAGAACAGAAAACAGAAATGCTGCCAAGACTCTGGCATCAGATTTCTTTCAGACTTTTTATGGTGTTGGGGATTCCTAATTTTCCATTTTCTTCAGATGTTTTTCAGTAAGGAATTGAGAAAAAGTAGGAGACTACTAGGAAGCCTCTGTTTTTTACCAATATTTGGGCTTTTTAAATTATTTTTTTTGAGACAGGGTCTCGCTCTGTTGTCCAGCCTGGAGTAAAGTGGTGTGATCACTGCAACCTCAAACTCCTGGGCTCAAGCAATCCTCCCACCTCAGCCTCCCAAGTAGCTGGGACTACAGGTGCATCCCACCACGCCTGGCCAATTTTATTATTTATTATTATTATTATTATTATTATTATTTTGTAGAGATGGGGGTCTCCCTATGTTGCCCAGGCTGGTCTTGAACTTCTGGGCTCAATCAACCCTCCTGCCTCGGCCACCAAAAGTGTTGGGATTAGAGGCATGAGCTACCGTGCCTGGACTCTCTTTCTCTCTCCCCCTCATTGGGGAACAGTTACAGTGGAACACACAGATCTCAAGCATACGGTTAATGAGTTTTGACAAAAGTATACACCTGTATAACCAGTCCCTCAGTCAAGATAGAAAGTACTGCTATCGCATCCCCGTGTTCCTTCCAATGCCTATCAGAGACAACCCTTATTCTAAATTATATCCCTATAGATGATAATGATGATGATGATGATGATGATTGTTTGAGACAGAGTCTTGCTCTTGTCACCAGGCTGGAGTGCAGTGGTGCCATCTTAGCTCACTGCAGCCTCCGCCTCCTGGGTTCAGGCAATTCTCCTGCCTCAGCCTCCCAAGTAGCTGGGATTACAGGCGCCTGCCGCCATGCCCGGCTTTTTTGTATTTTTACTAGAAACAGGGTTTCACCATATTGGCCAGGCTGGTCTCTAACTCCTAACCTCAGGTGATCCTCCCATCTCTGCCTCCAAAAGTGCTGGGATTACAGGCGTGAGCCACTGCATCTAGCCTCCATAGATTATTTTACCTGTTCTTGAACTTCATATGAATGGACTCATACTGCATGTATTCTCTTATATCTGACTTCTTTTACTCAACATGATGTTTTGAGATTTATCTGGGTTGTTGGGTGCATCAGTAGCTCATTTCTTCTTTCTTTCTTTCTCTCTTTTATTTTTTGTAGTGACAGAGTCCCACCACGTTGTCCAGGTTGGTCTCAAACTACTGGCCTCAAGTGATCCTTCCATCTCAGTCCTAAAGCACTAGGATTACAGGTGTGAGCCACTGTGCCTGGCCTTCTTTTTACTGATTAGTATTCCAGTGTATGAATATACCACAATTTGTTTTTTTTTGTTTTGTTTTGTTTTTTGTTTTTTTGACACTGAGTTTTGCTCTTGTCGCCCAGGCTGGAGCGCAGAGGGTGCGATCTCAGCTCACTGCAACCTCCGTCTCCTGGGTTCAAGTAATCCTCCTGCCTCAGCCTCCCGAGTAGCTGGGATTACAGGCATGTGCCACCACACTCGGCTAATTTTTTTGTATTTTTAGTAGAGACAGGGTTTCGCCATGTTGACCAGGCTGGCCTCAAACTCCTGACCTCAGGTCATCCATCCACCTTGGCCTCCAAAAGTGCTGGGATTACAGGTGTGAGCCACTGCGCCCGGCAACAGTGGGAAAATAATGGATAAACAATTAACAATGGATAAACAATTTGTTTATTCATTTGCTGGGCAAGTCTCATCTTTCTGGTGATCAGCCTTGTTTCTGAGCTGGAGCAAATCTTCTTTGACCCTTTTAACTAACACGCTAATGGAGTTGTTGCCACTATATGGAGTTGGAAGTTGAAAGAACTAGGCTTTTTAAAGGACCAACGTAATTTACATATAAGCTATAAATGGAAACTGGATGCAATACATGCTCATTTAGGTTAAAGCTATTTCTGTACCAGGAGACCAATTAAAAGCCTGTGGCGGCCGGGCACAGTGGCTCACGCCTGTAATCCCAGCATTTTGGGAGGCTGAGGCGGGCAGATCACTTGAGGTCAGGAGTTTGACACCAGTCTGGCCAACATGGTGAAACCCTGTCGTCTCTATTAAAAATACAAAAATTAGCTGGTCGTGGTGGCACACGCCTGTAATCCCAGCTACTCAGGAGGCTGAGGCAGGAGAGTTGCTTGAACCTCGGAGGTGGATGTTGCAGTGAGCCAAGATCGTGCCACTTCACTCCAGCCTGGGCAACAGAGTGGGATTTCCTCTCAAAAAAAAAAAAAAAAAAAAAAAGCCTGTGTCAATAACCCATGTGTGAGTTGACTGAAGTCTGGAGTATGTTTTTTTGTTGTGAGAAGAGAAAGTTAGGGACAGATAGGGTAAATATTTCACAAGAAGACTTGACAAGGCTTTGTGACAGACTAGGTGTATTACATGAAGATGCAGGATGAGTCAAGTCCTATTTCAATGCAAACACCTGCCTGTTGAGTTCCTCTTCTCTTCACAGCTCGGGCCAATCAGCCCCTCTGCAGGCTCTGTCAAGTCAGGGAATTTAAAGGGCCCTGGTTCAATAGCTCAGCCTGTCTTCCAGGCTAACTTACACCTTTCATCCTACTTCTGGTATCTAAGCTCTCACCACACACCTCAGGTCTTTTTAAAAGCATGGTGATATTATGGAAAGAACACTGAATTTGGACTTGGTCAATATTTCATTCTTTCATTCACTGAGGCTCTCTACATCGCAGTATCGCCACTCCTCCAGACTGTTTTGGTAATCAGAACAATTGATTTCAAAGTTCTTGTTATGGTTCATAAGAAACTGAATAAGAGAAATTACCTGTGGGAGGGGAGTAGGTGGGATGAGGAAGAAGTAGGAGTGAAACTTTTTAGTGCATACCTTTTTATACTTAAAAATATTTTTTGAACCATATGAACACATTACTCTTTCAAAAAATATTTTTAAATCCTGAGTGGAATAAAATAAAAATATGTCTATAAATTAGGCTGCTGAAAAGGAATGGGGTGCAGAGATTGTCTACCACCTATTTGTGAGAATGTTGAGGTCCGTTAGACAGGCAGTCCTGTCACTTTGAGATAGATGGATTGCCATTTCTGCTTAATGACCAAAAATGGGAAATGGGTTACAGTGGAAAGAACTCCGCTCTGGAATAAAGACATCCGGGTCTGGGTCCTAGTTTAACTGTGTAACTTAGGTGGGTTCCATCCCCTCTCTGTGTCTTCTATTAGCTAAAGGAGAAGGACTGCATGATCTTTGAAACTCTTCCAGCTCTGACACGCTAGACTATAATGCTAATTTCTAAGCAACAGAGGTTGATTCCAACTCTAGGATAGGGCATGCAATTAATCCTAATTTATCAGCATAGTCCCACATCTTGTCACACTTATTGATTCAGAAGTGAGCACTATCTTAGATTGAGTTCTCCAGAAACAGAATTTAAGATGGAAAGTTGCATGCAGAAGGGTTTTTTTTTTTCATTTTTATTTTTTCTTATTTCTTTTTTTTAAATATTGAAACACGGTCTTGCTATGTTGCCCAGGCTGGACTTGAATGCCTGGGCTCAAGCAATCCTTCTGCCTCAGCCTCCTGAGTAGCTGGTACAGAATTGCATCTGTACCTAATATAGGCATGCACTACTGTGCATGGCATGCAGATGGTTTATTGAAAAGTGTTCTCAGGACATACAACTGTGAGGAAGTAAAGAAGACAGGGTTGGGTGTAGAGAGAAGCTGACCAGCAAAATAGTTGCTGGGTAGTTACAATGAAGGCTTTCTCTGGTCCCACTGGGAGCCCAGGAGCTGGGCTAGCCCTTCAGAGTTGTCCTAAGTTGAAGTGTATTCCCACATCAGCCTGTCACTGGCCTCAGGCTGTACCCTAGGAGAACATGAAATGGTTTCCTGAGGCTGAGAGCAGTAATATCCCCTGCAGCTGAAGGATGGGTGTATCTGCAGGGAAGAGGGGCACTGGGCAAGGCCCCACATAGCCACTGTAGGCATATGACTCAGTTTAGATTAACAGAGGTTCTCTAGGGGCTCCTGAGAGAGAGGCTTGTAGAAATGACCTTTGTCTATCTGGATATGGACAAGGACTTATGTAGCTCTGGGAATTGTTGGCAGCCATCTCACATCAAAGTCAGCTTTAATGACATTGGTGATCTGCTAAATCAAACCAAGCCTGGAGCCTGAATTACCCTGGACTTTTAGTGTGAACTTTTGTTGTTAGGTCAGTCTGTTGGTTGTGTTTTAGTTACTTACAAATGAATGTATTTTATTTCTTTGAGCAAGGATGGGTTAAAAAAAACAAAAACAAAATCAACAAAATCAACAAATGAATGGTTTTTTTTTTTTTTTGAGACGGAGTCTTGCTCTGTCACCCAGGCTGGAGTGCAGTGGCACGATCTCGGCTCACTGCAAGCTCTGCCTAATTTTTTGTATTTTTAGTAGAGACAGGGTTTCACTGTGTTAGCCAGGATGGTCTCGATCTCCTGACTTCATGATCCGCCCACCTCTGCCTCCCAAAGTGCTGGGATTACCGGTGTGAGCCACCATGCCTGGCCCTCTTCTGGGCAGGGTTTCTAAGGTGCTAGCTGAATAACTGTCTTAACTATCCTTTCTCTCCTTGATGAATGCCTTCTCTCTCTTGGCTTCTTTTCCTCCTCCCGATCCCTCCTCTTAAGCTTTAGGTTCCTGTTTCTTCTACAGGATTTCTTCTACAGGATTATTCTGGTACAGGCAAGCCCTATTTTCCCTGCCTTACCTTTAACTCGCACCAGGAGATCCCCAAGGTCCCTCTCAGCTCTAACACTATGAAGTCTGAAAAGTATGGAAACATCTTCCTAAATGTCACTTAAGTCATAAAGTCTCTTCCATTTACTTAATATTATTAGCCATTTTTTTCTATTGTTAGAGAAAACAGGCAGCAACCATGTGCAGCAACCATGTGCCAAGTTTGGTTTTGCTATCACATGGATTTTCTGTTTTAACATCACTTTACAACCTGAAAGTTTTTGTTTCCTGAGTTGAATCATCAATAAAATGTATATAAGGTTATATGGATTAAATGAGTTAATGTCTCTAAGGCCTCTAAAAAAGTACCTAACATATAGTTGTTAATGAGCACATTTGGAGTATGCGTGTGTTTGTGTATGTGTGTGCATTGTGCTTTAGGGATAAGAAAATACTGCTCTTACAAGTCACCTTTGGGGAGACAGACATTAACAAAAAGTGATATGTTCTAACTGTGATTCAATGTGATAAGGCCTTGTATCAGGACTATGTTAAAAGGAATAGAACCAAAGTACTGTAGAAATCCAGAGAGGCAGAAGGGACCAATTCTTGGGGTGCGTGGTGGCCCAGGAAGATTTTGCAGAGGGAGTGTCATTTTAGATGGGTTTCAAAGGCCAGGTAGTAGTAGCTTTCCAGGTTGACAGAAGATATTTCAGATACAGAAACTAGCAGAGACAGGGTTAAAAGAAGTAGATTTAAAATACCTAGTGTGTTGGGGAACTAGGGAAAATGTTTCATTACTTTAAGAATTGTAGCTACTGAAAGAATTGTGGTGAAGAGAACTTCCATGTGCTGGTTTCAAACAGCACATAACAAAGAGAACTTCCAAGATTAGAAGACCCTCAAGAAGCTTCTGTTCTGGATGGGAAGAAGCTCCCATGCACTACAATATGCGACCTTCACATTTTTTTTGTGTGTGTGTGGTAAAATTCATGTAACAGTCAGCATTTTAAAGTATATAATTCAATGGCATTTAGTACATTCACAGTGTCGTACAAATGCCACTGCTACCTAGTTCCAGAACATTTTCATCACAAAAGGAAACCCTGTACCCATTAAGCCATCACTCCCCATTCTGGCCTCCCCCAGTCCCTGGCAGCTACTATCTGCTTTCTATCTCTATGGGTTTACCTATTATGGACTTTTATTTTCTTTTCTTTTTTTGGGGGGGGGATAGGCTCTGGCTCTGTCACCCCGGCTTGAGTGCAGTGGAGGGCAGAGGTTGCTCACTGCAACCTCTGCCTTCTGGGCTCAAGTGATCTTCCCACCTCAACCTCCCAAGTAGCTGGGACCACAGGCATGCGCCACCATGCCTGGCTAATTTTTGTAGACATTTCATATAAATGTAATTATATAATATGTAGTCTTTCAATGCTGTGAACAAGTCACACAACATCTTAATATTATTGTGAAAATAATTTTGACCTAATGAACCTGCTGAAAGAGTATTAAGACCCCCAAGAGGTGTGCAGACCAGACTGAAAACCGCAGGTCTAGGTCATCAAGTAGTGTGGTTCCAGCTCCCCTTTCCAGTTTCTGTTCGGGCAAGGTGATTATCAGGCCCGTGTCCAGTCTGAGGGCTCCCCATCTCAGCTGCTCATCTGGGTGAAGACTCCATCAGCCATTTCCACAAAGCTGAGATTAACGCTACAACAATGGCTTCACATTTCAAACTGCTCAAAGGAACCAAACAACCAAATGGGGACACATTTTATTAGTAGTAAATCTGAAAGTGTTTTTTAAAAAAGACTCTGCCACAAACATTTCCTATAAAATGCTGATCACTATCTGCCACGATCATTACATTTTTATGGTTTCAATAATTCCCTTTTACCTGAGATGAGAGCCATCATGTACTTTTGAATATCAAGCAGCAGCCCATGCCATAAATTGCTAACCCCCTTCTCCTCTAATGATCACAGCTTATTTTATTCTTTAAGTATTCTTCTCAGAGTAATTAGCACGCTTATTATACAGCATATTCAAATGTTAATGTGCACACTGTACTGACGCTATTGTGAGACACGTTTTGCTCAGGAGCTAAAATTATGTTGCCATTCTGCTTGGTGCTAGGGGTTCTGTGCTTGAAACCTGTTTCCCACATGCAAGGAGCCAAGGTTATTTAATTGGAATGCTGAGCTAGAATGAGAAGAGTCTGACACTTAATATAGAACCTGTAAGCTAAACGGGGTCAGCAAGTACAGGGCCTACACACTTTGAATTAGCTATCCACCACTGGGGAGACAATCAATATTTGAGCAGACTGGCTTAGGGGCATGTTTGACATCGTTCCTCCAGGGTCTCCACTAAACTCTGCACTGCCTCAGCAGGTTGGACCACCAGAAGTCACAGTTCTGACAATTGGAAATATTTTCCTGAAACTGAGCTGAAATCTGCTCAAATTTTCACTCGTTTATTTTTGCCCTGCCTTCTGGAGTGCTCTGTAACTGCCCTTCGGAGACTGAAGACAGTGACCATCCCCATGGTCTGCTCTCCTAAAGCTCACTTGTCCCAAGTCCTTGTATGGCAGGCCACCAGTCCCTTCACCATCGTGGTCAGTCCCCTTAGTTGTTTGAGGTGATTTTTTTTTTTTTTAATTCTTGGGTTTTGTTTTTGTTTTTGTTTTAAAGAGAGGTGCTCAGAACCTGAAACAATGATCCAAGTGTGGTCTAATCCATGGGAAAGTGAGTAGGCCTATCACTCCTCTTGGATGCTATTCTATTGGTTCTTTTCAAGAGTTTATTATCTTGTTACCCACCACTGATTCATAATCAGCTAAAGCCACCAAGTCTTCTAAACCATATATGCTACCTTGGCATTTAGCCATTTAGACCCAAATACAGGATCGGAAATTAGTCATTGTTACATATAATCAGGTTAAATCTGTCCTAGTGTTTTGGCTTGTCAAGAAACTTTTTGTTTCTTGGATTCTGAATCCATCTTTTCCACCCACAAATGTAATCAATCTATTAATATTGGCCTTTTTATACGGCCAAAGTTCAATGTTTGAACTTTGTAAGAATCAAAGTTAAAAATGCCAGACAGCAAAGATCTCAGGAGATGGAGCCCTTCACCTACTACCAGATACCTCCTATCAAAGTATTTATGTAACCAGTTACTTACACACACACACACACACACACACACACAGACACACACTGCCCCAGTACATACACACGACCATCCCAACTGTTCCATTCTCTAACTCAAGTTGACAGGGAGGGAAAACATCAAAGAATATGCCAGGTTACTAACTGGCTGGTTTAAGTAGCCAGGAAAACAAGGGAGGAGTGAATAAGGCCTAACGAAGGACCAAAAGTGTAGGACCAGGATCCGGTGAGGCTACATTATCTAGGCCCACACACCAGCAAAGGTTGGGAGATAGCAAGGCTGAGTCACATGGAAGATAGTTCAGGGTTCTGCCATGATGACAGAGAGGAGATCAACAACCAGAAAACAGGCTGGGCGTGGTGGCTCACGCCTGTAATCCTGCACTTTGGGAGGCCGAGGTGGGCAGATCACTTGAGGTCAGGAGTTCAAGAACAGCCTGGCCAACATGGTGAAACCCTGTCTCCACTAAAAATACAAAAAATTAGCCAGGCATGGTGGCGCATGCCTGTGGTCCCAGCTACTCAGGAGGCTAACGCAGGAGAATCACTTTAACCTGGCAGGCAGAGGTTGCAGTGAGCCGAGATCGCTCCATGGCACTCCAGCCTCCCGAGGCTCCTCTGTCGCTCTGGCTGACAGAGCGAGACGCTGTCTCAAAAAATAAAAAATAAAAAAAAACCCAGGAAACAGAGCTGGTGTTGGAAGCTGGAAGGTAGCCAATGAGCATGTCAAACTGGAGGGACTGGGCAGAAGGGAACAGGGACAGGCAAAGCTCCCAAGGGGAATGAAGCAAGGAAGGACCATGTGAAACAGAATCTAGAGATGCTAAGTGGACTCCAGAGCTGTGCTGTCCAATATGGTAGCCACTAGCTGCAATATGGCTATTTACATTTAAATTAAAGCAAAATAAAAATTAAAAAATTCAGTCCCTTAGTTGCATTAGCCACATTTCAAGTGCTTTAATAGTCATGTGTGACTAGTGGCTACCATATGGGATAATACAGAAGACAATTTCTATCACTGCAGAACATTCTGTTGCATTCTAGGTGTACTTCTAGAAAAGGGCTACACCAGGGAGGATACTATTTTAGTGTGCTTATTTTTCCTTTGCTTTCCTTCAAGACCCAGCTCAAATACCAATTCTTCTGGGAATCTGTCCCTATGCTTGTTGTGTAACTGTATGCTACAGGCAGCAGGGCATTCCGACTGATACAGTTCTTAGTGGTAATGCATGGGTGTAGATAGGACTTAATATGGAGATCTCAGCACAGCTGTTTCTTAATTCTTAACCTTCCTCTATCTTGGGAAGGCTTCTTCCTTGACAAAGTAATTTGTTTTGAGGCTAAGACATGAGGTGGGGGCAGGAGGGGAGGAAGAAGGGCACACTGGCCTAGCCAGCCAGATCTGCTGAATCCAACTCTGTAGCTGTAAAAAAAAATTGTAAAACTGTAACAAAAAGCTTTTTCATCTATTGTCCACAAACATTACATAGGCCATCTTGGCCAGGCTGTCCAGAAGGTGAAATCAAGGTCTGATTTGCTTGATGCAAGATATCTTGTCATCTTACCTATGGGCCTTCACTAAGTTTTCAGTCTGCCTTCTTTCTCTTTTAATTTCCTGTCCCAGAAGCTCTTAGAATTTCTAATAAGATCAATCAATTCTACCTTCTAAATCTCTCTAGAATCTGTCCCTCACTTCAATACCCCAGTTCATTTCTCACCTCTTCCCACCCAGCCCTCATACTGCCACAGCTCTAAGATTCTTACTTGCCCATCACATTCTTCTCCCTAAAACCCTTCCGTGGCTCCCATGACATATAAAGGCCAGGCCCTTTGGACTCCAGCTACCTCTCCTGTTTCAGTTCTTCCACTCCCTGATGTGTAACAGACACTCCAACCTTACTGTTACTGTGCCCAGAGCCAAGATGCCCTTTCACATCTCTGTGCCTTTGTACTTGCAGCTCCCTCTGTCTGAAATGCCCGTTAAAGTCCGGTTTAAATCTCATCTCTTCTGAGAAGCCTCCCCTGAGCCTGAGTCCTCAGATAGATTTTAGTGACCCATCAGCTATGCCCACACACTGCAGGCTCTGATCATAACACATCCTGTGTATAACACTCATGAGTCTGTTTCTCCCACTAAACTGTGAGGTCTCAGGGGCAGGCAGCACATCTGACTCAGCTCTTATCCCCAGTGGTTAGCACAGGACCTAAGTCATAATAAACACTTACTAAATGCCTATTAGGATAAACAACAAGTGTGCCTTTATGAGGTTCTCCTGTGCCTGAGAACGAAAACTATGAGAATCCTCTGTGTGGCTGCCTGTTGCCATGCTCCTTAGGGCTCACCCATGCCACTGGAGGCCTAGTGAGCAAGTGGCCTCGGTAGTTGAAGATGTGGGGAAAAGCAAGAGGCCTGCAGCTGTTCCTGCTGAAAGCCTCACTATCTGCTGGCTGTTACCCCAGCAGACCGTGTGGCCACACAAGCCCATTCCTTGTTTTTCGTGAAAAAACACAGGACCCCTTGAAGAACGCTCTTATAGTGACCCATCTGTGGCTAACTCTGGGGAAGAATTATTGGCAAAGGGGAGGAACCTCTTAGTAGAATGGAGAGACATGAGGCCGGGCATAGTGGCTCATGCCTGTAATCCCAGCACTTTGGGAGGCCGAGGTGAGAGGATCACTTGAGCCCAGGAGCTTGAGACCAGCCTGGGCAACAACATGAGACCCCGTTTCTATAAAAAAATAAAAAAAATTAGCTGGGCATGGTGGTGCGTGCCTATAGTCCCAGCTACTCTGGAGGCTGAGGTGGGAGGATCACTTGAGCCCAGGAGTTTGGGGCTATAATGAGCTATGATCGTCACTGCTCCAGCCTGGGCAATAGAATGAGACCCTGTCTCAAAAAAACAAAGAGAGGCATGAACCATTGCTACTCTTACATAGCACATGGGATGTCCCTGGTTATGGAATGTAGGAGCTAAGAGTAACACTTTTATACAGTATTTAATTTTTTTTGTTTTGTTTTGAGACGGAGTCTCACTCTTTCACCCAGGCCGGACTGCGGTGGCGCTATCTTGGCTCACTGCAAGCTCCGTATCCCGGGTTCACGCCATTCTCCTGCCTCAGCCTCCCGAGTAGCTGGGACTACAGGCGCCCACCACCGCGCCCGGCTTATTTTTTGTATTTTTAGTAGAGACGGGGTTTCACCGTGTTAGCCAGGATGGTCTCGCTCTCCTGACCTCGTGATCCGCCCGCCTTGGCCTCCCAAGGTGCTGGAATTACAGGCGTGAGCCACCGTGCCCGGCCTTAATTTTAATTTTATTTATTTTTTGAGACAGGGTTTCACTTCCGTCTTCCTAACTGGAGTGCAGTGGCGTGATCTCCGCTACTGCAACGTCCGCCTCCAGGGCTCAAGCGATCCTCCGGCCTCAACCCCCTGAGCAGCTGGTGTCACAGGCACGGGCCACCATGCTCGGCTTATTTTTTATTTTATTTTTCTTTGGAGAGATGGGGTTTTGCCATGTTGCCCAGGCTGGTCTTGACTCCTGAACTCAAGTGATCCACCCACCTCAGCCTCCCAAAGTGCTGAGATTACAGGCATGTGCCACCACACCCGGCCTTATACAGTATTTTAAAATGTCCACCATACCTTAATGGTTACCAAGAGACTTCCACTAATATGATCTTTTTTCTTTTTTGAGACAGGGTCTCACTTTGTCATCCAGGCTGGAGTGCAATGGTGTGATCACGGCTCACTGCAGCCTCAACCTCCCAGGCTCAAGGGATCCTCCCACCTCAGCCTCCTGAGTAGCTGAGATTAGAGGCCGGCACCACCAGCCCTGGCTTTTTTTTTCTTTTTTTTTTTTTTTTGTAGAGACAGGATCTCATGATATTGCTCAGGTTGAATATTACCTTCTTTAGCCCATTATTTACCCTGAGTGGCAGGCAGGCAAGGCAGGGCTGGAGTTGTTATTTATACATAAAGAAACTAATGTCCAGAGAGGTGAAATGACTGGCCCAAGGTCACATACATTGTAAGCAAAGGATCATAAAGGTGAAGTCCCATTCTTACGGCTATGAAGTAATAATCAGAACTGCAACACATGGGAGTTATTTTTTAAATATTTGCTGGGGTTTCGTGTTAATAGAATGCTTAAAATCAGAAACATTTTCTAGCAAATTGAGTCTATAGAAGGCTTTCAGGCATCTCTTGGGAAGTTTGGCTAAATGAAATTACAGATTTCTTCCAGGCAGGACATTCTATGAAATTTAGTGTTTACTGTGTCCCAGGTTCATGTAACTCCTGAAATGATCAGCTAAGTAATTTCCAAAACAAATAGCTCTCCTGCCCAGCCCAGCATCCCTGTCTGGCTTATCAAAGAGTCTCAAGCTCATTATTTACTTATTCTATCACCTACTTCTCACTCTAGTTTTTCTACTCCTTCACTTCCTACAACATGGCACTCCTATTACTTGATCAATTGTTCATTTCCTCTATCAGAGATAACCATGATTTAAAGCTAGAGGAATAATTTCTATATAAGACTAGAAAGCAGAAATGTCATCATGCATTATTCAGTTCTTAATTTAATTCCCATTAAGGGGGAATTAAATTGACTGGATTAGTGAAGGTTCACTTGATTCATTTCTTCTGAGAGATGACTAAATTCATTTGGGTGCCATATTTGGTAGTGGGTGTGCTAAGGGAGTTTTTGATAGGTCAGTGTAGGTGGATGATTTTCTAGGAAGGACAATCTGCCTTGGTTGGATGGAGAGGTTGTTTAAGCTCTGCCTGACAGGATTCTCCCCAGCCTCCCTGCATAAGAACAAAGTATTGTACATCTACTTGAACTGGGCAAAATCAGAGTTAATAGCAGCTTGATGGAAATAGATACCCCACTTTCTTCTGTTTGCAGTCCAGGTTCTAACCACTGCACCACATACTTTTCAGGGTGACAATTGCTCCTATTAGTTAGTGTTTCTGACACAGACGTGAAATGCAGTCTCCAATTTTAATGATATTCTATTTTTGTTGTCTAATAGGCTGCTATAAAAGTGATATCCTATTTTTGTTTTCATCAGGAAGTCCCAGGCCCTTCAGATAGAACTATGGGTAATTTTTTTTTTTTTTTTTTTTTGAGACGGAGTCTTGCTCTGTCACCCAGGCTGGTGTGCAGTGGCACGATCTTGGCTCACTGCAACCTCTGCCTCCCAGGTTCAAGCGGTTCTCCTGCCTCAGCCTCCTGAGTAGCTAGGATAACAGGGACCCGCCACCATGCCTGGCTAATTTTTTTTTTTTTTTTTTTTTGGATTTTTAGTAGAGACGGGGTTTCACCATATTGGTCAGGCTGGTCTTGAACTCCTGACCTTGTGATCCGCCCGCCTTGGCCTCCCAAAGTGCTGGGATTATAGGCGTGAACCTGGCTTAATTCTTAAGCCAGGCGTGGTGGCTCACACCTGTAATCCCAGCACTTTGGGAGGCCAAGGCGGGCGGATCACCTGAGGTCAGGAGTTCGAGACCAGCCTGGCCAACATGGCAAAACCGTCTCCACTAAAAATACAAAAATTAGCTAGGTGTGATGGCTTGCGCCTGTAATCCCAGCTACTCAGGAGGCTGAGGCGAGAGAATTGCTTGTGCCCAGGAGGTGGAGGTTGCAGTGAGCCAAGAGATCTCGCCACTGCACTTCATCCTGGGTGGCAGAACGAGACTCTGTTTAAAACAAAACAAAATAAAACAAAAAAAAAATACAAAAAACAAGAACTGTGGGTAATTCTTGATGTTCCTAGCAGTCTTTGAGGATGGAGATTCTGTCTGAGTTTGTTTTAATTTTTCTCTTGATCACAAGAACATTCTGATATTTAAACATATGAATAAGATGTACTTCTTGCTGATGGTGGGGGGACCCTCATTACAAAGTTCTAGACCAGACCTTCTTTACTTCCAGTGGTGCATCAGACTTTGCTATGTGACTCCCACACAGGTGTCTACCATGGTTGAGCAAGGCTGGCCTCTTTAGAAAGAGATGAGAGCACTAACAATAAAGGGTAATGATACAGAACATGAAGAAGCACAAAATGTTCTTCATCCTCTTGTTGGCTTTGCCCAGGATACAAGCTGATAAAATCAGATCAGATCAGATCCTGAACGCTGTGTGTTAAAGGTATTCACAGATGCTTAGGAGAATGCCAGGCAAGAAAGACCTGGCAATACATTTCCTGCATGCTAAAGTAACTCCTCCTTTTCCCTCTCCAACCTGGCTAAAAATATAACCTAAGTGTCACTAAATTCTAACAAAATACAAAAAAGCCTAACATTTGTTGAGCAGGTTGTGACAGAATATCAGTTAGCTAAGTGCTAGGTATGCAAACATCCCCAGTGCTAACTTACCCAGAGGAGGACTTGGAGGAAGGGGGAACAGAGGGTGTCAGAGAATTAACAGAGAAAGGCCAACTGCCTCTAAGGGAAAGTGCTGGAGCCAGGGCTCATGACCTAGTTGACAGGTCAGAATGGTGCAATTGCCATTTATGTCCACCTAGTGGCAGCAGTTCTAGCCAGAAGCACCTGTACCTCAATTGGTTCACAGGCCCACTGGCAGCCACCTGGAATGGAACCATTTGGAAGGTTGCATTTGGAAGCAGTGGTCCCTTTTGGGCAGGAACTGATCTAGGTTATCCCAACTCTAAACCCCAAGTCCATGTGATAGAATCTGCTAGAAACAGGGTGCTGAAGTTTCCAAACAAATGCACTTTATCATATTAGGTTCTAGTACATGTTTTATGCCAGGGATCTAAAACTCCAAGGAGTAGAGAAGTTAGCTAAAAGAGGTGAGACTAGTATTCAACTAAGGACCAGTGATAGCTGATACGAATAACAGTGGGTCGGTGGCAGGCCAGGGAGTGAGTTGGGTCTTATGTTCTGTGCCTTCTGAATATAAACCAGCCACTGAAAAGGGCAGTTTTGTTTTAGGATAGATTTGTACATGATCTAGAATTTCTGTGAAAGGAAAATAATTCACTCTATAGGCCAGCATTTCCTAAGAAGTAGTATGCATGCCACTCAGGGCAGCGCAGATAATTTTTGATGAAACGCCTTTTATTTTAATATTTCAGTATTTATTTTAAGATGTCTTTGAAGAACTATATTATACCACAAACCTATGATTTCACAGGTGATATTTTTGGTTTTCCATTTACGATAATGATATGAAATTTTCACTGTATTTGCTTATTTATTTATTTATTTATTTTTGAGAGAGGGTCTTATTCTGCTACCTAGGCTGGAGTACAGTAGTGTGATCATGGCTCACTGCAGCCTTGAACTCCTGGGCTCAAGCAATCTTCCCACCTTAGCCTCCCAAGTAGCTGGGAACACAGGTACACACCATCATGCTTGGCTAATTTAAAAAAAAATTTTTTTTGGTAGAGATGAGGTTTCTCTGTTGCCCCAGCTAAAGTTTAATTTAAAGTACTTTTAGTAAAAATGAGTTTATTTGAAAAAAAAAAAAAAACTAAGTAAATAATAGCATAAAAGCACGTCAATACAAGAACATGGTAAAAATCACAAAGGTAGAGTACAAACAATTGGAAAGTTTGAGAACTTCTTTGTTATCCTGGGGGATGAGGTGGATTGACTTGTAAACAAAGGAGTTTGGAATGTCAGATAGGCGAAGAAAAAAGTAGACTGTCAGAAGATCTGGATTCCAGTTCCAACTGCCACTCAGCCTGTGTGACACTGGCTTCTCTCTGGGTCTCCATTTCCTTATCTACATAATAACTCTTAATGCTCTGCTTAGCTTTATTATTTGGTGGTTCTATTTCACTTTTTATTAATGAGATTATAAACAATCATGATAACAGCCAGCACATACGGTCTGCTTTGTGGCAGGCACTGTGCAGGATGCTTTCCGTAAGTCATCATTCTTATTCTCACAACAGCCTTAAAAGGTAGATATTATTATTATTATTTTGAGACAAGGTCTCGCTCTGTCACCCAGGCTGGAGTGCAGTGGCACGATCTTGGCTCACTGCAATCTCCACCTCCTGAGTTCAACTGATTCTCCCACCTCAACCTCCCAAGTAGCTGGTACTACAGGCATGCACCACCATGCTCAGCTAATTTTTGTATTTTTGGTAGAGACAGGGTTTCACTATGTTGGTCAGGCTGGTCTTGAACTCTTGACCTCAGGTGATCGGCCCACCTCGGCCTCTCAAAGTGCTGGGATTACAGGCGTGAGCCACTGCACCTGGCCAAAAGGTAGGTATTATAATGCCTATTCTACATACGCAGAGAGTTGAGCCTGGAAGATTTTAAGTAACTTGCCCAAGGTCACACACAACTTGATTTGAATGAACTTGGATCTGATTCCAGAGCCTGTGTTTTTTCCCCTAAGCCTTGCTGTATCCTAGTAGTTGATTCCTATTCACCCTTCAAAACTAAGCTCAAGATCATCTCTTCCAGGAGGGCTTCTTTGACCTCCTCTCTCCATCCTGTTTAGACATCTCTCTCCTCAGTGTTCCCTTAATTTTCTAAGTATGTCTTTTGCTGTTGTTGTTGTTATATTTGCCTTTGCGTCCCCAACACCCTGCATAGAATAGGTAGTCAACAAATCATTATGGAAACAGAGGGAGTGTGAAGGAGGGGGAGAAAGGGGAGAAAGGAGAGGGAAAGAATTACAAAAGAAAATATATTGCTACCTTATTTTATTAAATACTAAGGAAGTAGAATTGAGAGATAGGAGAGGAAGGTGGTTAAGCATATGGCCTCTAGATTCAAGCCACCTACCTTTGCTACTTACTAGGAGAGTGTCTTAGAGCACAGATTTAAAGCCTGTGCTTCAGTTGCTTCTTCTATAAAATAGAGGTATCAATAGCACCTACCTTAAAGACTGTTGTAAAGACTAATGAGTTACTATACGTAAAGTGCTTAGAGCAGTGCTTGAGATGTGATAAGCAAGTACTTTAAATATTGGCTATTATTATTTCTGTGAAATAAATAAAAGTGAATGTAACACTATTATATACATATAATGCCTCTTCATTTCCCAACTGATTGACTGATGGCAGGGTCTTTCCAAGGCAGTATGAATAAAGACAATTATACCCATAGGATGAACAATGTAATAGCCTTGTCTTTCCAATCCCATGGTAGCAGCATTAAGCACCCCATCTCTATGCTCAGAACATTTAGAAATATTGATATTAAAATTATCACACTGGGCTGAGTGCAGTGGCTCACACCTGTAATCCCAACATTTTGGAAAACTGAGGCAAGAGGATGGCTTGAGGCCAGGAGTTTGAGACCAGCCTGGGCAACATAGTGAGATGCTATCTCTACAAAAAAATGTTTTAAAAATTAGCTGGGCATGGTGGCATGTGCCTGTAGTCCTAGCTGTTCAGGATGCTGGGGCGGGAGGATCGTTTGAGCCCAGAAGTTAGAGGCTGCAGTGAGCTATGATTGCACCACTGCACTTCAGCCTGTGTGATAGAGCAAGACCTTGTCTCTTAAATAAGTAAATAAAGAAAGAACATTATCACACTGTATTATATTCTAAATCCAGGTTTACTTGCTGTCTACCACCCTCAATTAGGCTGTGAGTTCCTTGAAGGAAAAGACTCTCATTTGATTTCTCTCTCTGTCTCCAATTCTTAGCAAAGGGGTTAGTAAGAAATAAATGCTTAATAAATGTTTGCTGAGTGAATATAATAGAAAAGATGTGTACACATAAGCAATAAAATAAAAAATATTAGAGGTCCATTCCAAGATGGCCTAATAAGAACAGCTCTGGTCTGCAGCTCCCAGTGTGATTGATGCAGAAGATGGGTGATTTCGGCATTTCCAACTGAGGTACCTGGTTCATCTCACTGGGACTGGTTGGACAGTGGGTGCAGCCCACGGAGGGCAAGCCAAAGCAGGGATGGGTGTCGCCTCACCTGGGAAGTGCAAGGGACTAGGGGATTTCCCTTTCCTAGCCAAGGGAAGCCGTGACAGACTGTACCTGAAAAACAGTACACTCCTGCTCAAATACTGCACTTTTCCAACAGTCTTAGCAAACAGCACATCAGGAGATTATATCCTGTGCCTGGCTCGGCAGGTCCCACACCCATGGGGCCTTGCTCACTGCTAGTGCAGCAGTCTGAGATCAACCTGCGAGGCAGCAGCCCGGCATGGGGAGGGGCATCCGCCATTGCTGAGGCTTGAGTAGGTAAATAAAGCATCCAGGAAGCTTGAACTGGGCGGAGCCCACCAGTTCACTGCTGCAAGGCTTGCTGCCTCTATAGACTCCACCTCTGGGGGCAGGGCATAGCTGAACAAAAGGCAGCAGAAACCTCTGTAGACTAAATGTCCCTGTCTGACAGCTCTGAAGAGAGCAGTGGTTCTCCCAGCATGGTGTTTGAGCTCTGAGAATGGACAGACTGCCCCCTCAAGTGGGTTCTTGACCCCTGTGTAGCCTAACTGGGAAAAACCTCCCAGTAGGGGCCGACTGACACCTCATACAGGCGGGTGCCCCTCTGGGACAAAGCTTCCAGAGGAAGGATCAGGCAGCAATATTTGCTGTTCTGCAATATTTGCTGTTCTTCAGCCTCCCTGCTGGTGATACCCAGGCAAATGGTCTGGAGTGGACCTCCAGCAAACTCCAACAGACCTGCAGCTGAGGGACCTGACTGTTAGAAGGAAAACTAACAAACATAAAGGAATAGCATCAACATCAACATAAAGGACATCCACACCAAAACCCCATCTGTAGGTCACCAACATCAAAGACCAAAGGTAGATAAAACCACAAAGATGGGAAGAAACCAGAGCAGAAAAGCTGAAAATTCTAAAAACCAGAGCATCTCTTCTCCTCCAAAGGATCGCAGCTCCTCGCCAGCAACAGAACAAAGCTGGACAGAGAATGACTTTGATGAGTTAACAGAAGTAGGCTTCAGAAGGTCGGTAATAACAAACTTCTCCGAGCTAAAGGAGGATGTTTGAACCCATCTCAAGGAAGCTAAAAACCTTGAAAAAAGATTAGACAAATGGCTAACTAGAATAAACAGTGTAGAGAAGACCTTAAATGACCTGATGGAACTGAAAACCATGGCATGAGAACTACGTGATGCATGCACAAGCTTCAATAGCCAATTTGATCAAGTGGAAGAAAGGGTATCAGTGATTGAAGATCAAATTAATGAAATAAATTGAGAAGTTTAGAGAAAAAAGAGTAAAAATAAATGAACAAAGCCTCCAAGAAATATGGGACTATGTGAAAAGACCAAATCTACGTTTGATCAGCATACCTGAAAGTGACGGGAAGAATGAAACCAAGTTGGAGAATACTCTTCAGGATATTATCCAGGAGGACTTCCCCAACCTAGCAAGGCAGGCCAACATTCAAATTCAGGAAATACAGAGAACACCACAAAGATACTCCCTGAGAAGAGCAACCCCAAGATACATAATTGTCAGATTCACCAAGGTTGAAATGAAGGAAAAAATGTAAGGGCAGCCAGAGAGAAAGGTCGGGTTATCCACAAAGGAAAGTCCATCAGACTAACAGCGGATCTCTCAGCAGAAACTCTACAAGCCAGAAGAGAGTGGGGGCCAATATTCAACATTCTTAAAGAAAAGAATTTTCAACCCAGAATTTCATATCCAGCCAAACTAAGCTTCATAAGTGAAGGAGAAATAAAATCTTTTACAGACAAGCAAATGCTGAGAGATTTTGTCACCACCAGTCCTACCTTACAAGAGCTCCTGAAGGAAGCACTAAACATGGAAAGGAACAACCAGTACCAGCCACTGCAAAAACATGCCAAATTGGAAAGACCATCAATGCTATGAAGAAACTGCATCAATTAACGGGCAAAATAACCAGCTAACATCATAATGACAGGATCAAATTCACACATAACAATATTAACCTTAAATGTAAATGGGCTAAATGCCCCAATTAAAAGACACAGACTGGAAAATTGGATAAAGAGTCAAGACCCATCAGTGTGCTGTATTCAGGATACTCATCGCATGTGCAAAGACACACATAGTCTCAAATTAAAGGGATGGAGGAAGATCTACCAAGCAAATGCAAAAAAAAAAAAAAAAAAAAAAGCAGGGGTTGCAATCCTAGTCTCTGATAAAACAGACTTTAAACCAACAAAGATCAAAAGAGACAAAGAAGGCCACTACATAATGGTAAAGAGATCAATTCAACAAGAAGAGCTAACTATCCTAAATATATATGCATCCAATACAGGAGCACCCAGATTCGTAAAGCAAGTCCTTAGAGACCTACGAAGGGACTTAGACTCCCACACAATAATAATGGGAGACTTTAACACCCCACTGTCAATATTAAACAGATCAACAAGACAGAAGGTTAACAAGGATATCCAGGACTTGAACTCAGCTCTGCACCAAGCAGACCTAATAGACATCTACAGAACTCTCCACCCCAAATCAACAGAATATACATTCTTCTCAGCACCACATCACACTTATTCCAAAATTGACCACATATTTGGAAGTAAAGCACTCCTCAGCAAATGTAAAAGAACAGAAATCACAGCAAACTGTCTCTCAGACCACAGTGCAATCAAATTAGAACTCAGGATTAAGAAACTCACTCAAAACCGCACAACTACGTGGAAACTGAACAACTTGCTCCTGAACGACTATTGGGTAAATAATGAAATGAATGCAGAAATAAAGATGTTCTTTGAAACCAATGAGAACAAAGATACAACATACCAGAATCTCTGGGACACATTTAAAGCAGTGTGTAGAGGGAAATTTATAGCACTAAATGCCCGCAAGAGAAAGCAGGAAAGATCTAAAATGGACACCCTAACATCACAATTAAAAGAACTATAGAAGCAAGAGCAAACAAATTCAAAAGCTAGCAGAAGGCAAGAAATAACTAAGATTAGAGCAGAACTGAAGGAGATAGAGACACACACATACACAAAACCCTTCAAAAAATCAATGAATCCAGGAGCTGTTTTTTTTTAAAAGATCAACAAAATTGACACACCGCTAGCAAGACTAATAAAAGAAAAGAGAGAAGAATCAAATAGATGCAATAAAAAGTGATAAAGGGGATATCACCACTGATCCCACAGAAATACAAACTACCATCAGAGAATACTATAAACATCTCTACACAAATAAACTAGAAAATCTAGAAGAAATTGATGAATTCCTGGACACATACAGCCTCCCAAGACTAAACCAGGAAGAAGTGGAATCTCTGAATAGACCCATAATAGGCTCTGAAATTGAGGCAATAATTAATAGCCTACCAACCAAAAACAGTCCAGAACCAGATGGATTCACAGCCCAGTTATACCAGAGGTACAAATAGGAGCTGGTACCATTCCTTCTGAAACTATTCCAATCAATAGAAAAAGAGGGAATCCACCCTAACTCATTTTATGAGGTCAGCATCATCCTGATACCAAAGCCTTGCAGAGACACAACAAAAAAAGAGAATTTTAGACCAATATCCTTGATGAACATCGATGCAAAAATCCTCAATAAAATACTGGCAAACCAAATCCAGCAGCACATCAAAAAGTTTATCCGCCACGATCAAATCGGCTTCATCCCTGGGATGCAAGGCTGGTTCAACATATGCAAATCAATAAATGTAATCCATCACATAAACAGAACCAATGACAAAAACCACATGACTATCTGAATAGATGCAGAAAAGGCCTTTGACAAAATTCAACAGCCTTCACGCTAAAAACTCTCAATAAGATAGGTATTGATGGGACTTATTTCAAAATAATAAGAGCTATTTATGACAAACCCACAGCCAATATCATACTGAATGGGCAAAAACTGGAAGCATTCCCTTTGAAAACTGGCACAAGACAGGGATGCCCTCTCTCACCACTCCTATTCAACATAGTGTCAGAAGTTCTGGCTAGGGCAATCAGACAAGAGAAAGAAACAAAGGGTATTCAATTAGGAAAAGAGGAAGTCAAATTGTCCCTGTTTGCAGATGACGTAATTGTATATTTAGAAAACCCCATCATCTCAGCCCCAAATCTCCTTAAGCTGATAAGCAACTTCAGCAAAGTCTCAGGATACAAAATCAATGTGTAAAAATCACAAGCATTCCTATACACCAATAACAGACAAACGGAGAGCCAAATCATGAGTGAACTCCCATTCACAATTGCTACAAAGAGAACAAAATACTTAGGAATCCAACTTACAAGGGATGTGAAGGACCTCTTCAAGGAGAACTACAAACCACTGCTCAGCAAAATAAAAGAGGACGCAAACAAATGAAAGAACATTCCATGCTCATGGATAGGAAGAATCAATATTGTGAAAATGGCCATACTGCCCAAGGTAATTTATAGATTCAATGCCATCCCCATCAAGCTACCAATGACTTTCTTCACAGAATTGGAAAAAAACTACTTTAAAGTTCATATGGAACCAAAAAAGAGCCCGCATTGCCAAGACAATCCTAAGCAAAAAGAACAAAGCTGGAGATATCACGCTACCTGACTTCAAACTATACCACAAGGCTACAGTAGCCAAAACAGCATGGTACTGGTACCAAAACAGAGATATAGACCAATGGAACAGAACAGAGGCCTCAGAAATAACACCACACATCTACAACCATCTGATCTTTGACAAACCTGACAAAAACAAGAAATGGGGAAAGGATTCCCTATTTAATAAATGGTGTTGGAAAAACTGGATAGCCATATGTAGAAAGCTGAAACTGGATCCCTTCCTTACATCTTATACAAAAATTAATTCAAGATGGATTAAAGACTTAAATGTTAGATCTGAAACCATAGAAAACCTAGAAGAAAACCTAGGCAATACCATTCAGGAGATAGGCATGGGCAAGGACTTCATAACTAAAACACCAAAAGCAATGGCAACAAAAGCCAAAATAGACAAATGCAATCTAATCAAACTAAAGAGCTTCTGCACAGCACAACTACCATCAGAGTGAACAGGGAACCTACAGAATGGGAGAAAATTTTTGCAGTCTACCCATCTGACAAAGGGCTAATATCCAGAATCTACAAAGAACTTAAACAAATTTTCAAGAAAAAAACAAACAACCCCATCAAAAAGTGGGCAAAGGATATGAACAGACACTTCTCAAAAGAAGACATTTATGCAGCCAACAGACACATGAAAAAATGCTCATCATCACTGGTCATCAGAGAAATGCAAATCAAAACCACAGTGAGATACCATCTCACACCAGTTAGAATGGCGATCATTAAAAAGTCAGGAAACAACAGATGCTAGAGAGGATGTGGAGAAATAGGAATGCTTTTACACTGTTGGTGGGAATGTAAATTAGTTCGATTGTGGAAGACAGTGTGGTGATTCCTCAAGGATCTAGAACTAAAAATACCATTTGACCCAGTGATCCCATTACTGGGTATATACCCAAAGGATTATAAATCATGCAACTATAAAGAAACATGCACACATATGTTTATTGCAGTACTATTCACCATAGCAGAGACTTCGAACCAACTGAAATGTCCATCAATGATAGATTGGATTAAGAAAATGTGGCACATATATGCCATGGAATACTATGCAGCCATAAAAAAGGATGAGTTCACGTCCTTTGCAGGGAAGTGGATGAAGCTGGAAACCATCATTCTGAGCACACTATCACAAGGACAGAAAACCAGACACTGCATGTTCTCACTCATAGGTGGGAATTGAACAATGAGAACACTTGGACACAAGGAGGGGAACATCACACACTGGGGCCTGTCTGGGGGTGGGGGGCAGGGGGAGGGATAGCATTAGGAGAAATACCCAATGTAAATGACGAGTTAATGGGTGAAGCAAACCAACATATCACATGTATACCTATGTAACAAACCTGCACGTTGTGCACATGTACCCTAGAACTTAAAGTATTTATATATATATGTATATATATGTATGGTAAGATGTATATATATATATATATATGTATATATATGTATGGTAAGATGTATATATATATATATATATATATATATATAAAGATGTGCAAAAAAGTTATGTAACATTCACTACAAAAGAGGCTAAAATCAAGCATGGTTATAGCTCAGAAAGGAGAGACCACATCTAGGCAATTAAAGGGAATAGAACAGAATGGTTAAATCCCTAAACTTTACAGTCGGACAGCCTTAGTTTTGAGCCCTAATTCTGCCACTCATGAGTTTATGTGATCTAGGGATATAACCTCTTTAAACCATGGTTTTGTTATCAGTGAAATGGGGATACTATTAGTTGGAAAAATGAAATGAGATACTGCATATAAAGTGTCAGCTACCCATTATGAGTTTGTAGAGTGACTAAAGTCTCATCATATCATTGTCATCGTTGTCATCATCATCATCATCAAAGGCTTTGTGATTAAGGCACTCACTATCTGGATCGGCAGACATATGACAGAAGACTGAACAACCAGAAGTTATGAAGATAGGTACTGTGGGTGTTAGAAAGATTCACGGCAAAACAGGGAAGGCAAGTGGTACTATTTAATGGAAACATTGGGTAGTTCCAGGAAAGTAATGGGAAAGAACATTGGGAAGTTAGACTTAAATGCCAGACTGGGAAATTTAGTCTTTATTCTGCAGGCAATACTGAGGCTTTACAGGATTCTAAACATGGAAGTGACTGGTTCAGAGCCAGCTGTAGCAGGAATATTCTGGATGTTTGTGCAGGATGGACTTGGGAGGGTGAGGGCAGATGAAAGCAGATAGCCACTTAGGGAGCTTTTCCAATGCTTCCAATGAGAAGTTGAGGCCCCTCTCTGGGATGGTGGTATAGGACAGGAAAAGATGGAATGAGCATGTGGGACACTGGGAAGAAAGAACTGGCAGAACTGTATCTAGCTGAATGTGAGAGACAAAGTGAAGAGGCAGAGTCAAAGAGACTTCTGAAGGCTAAGAACTAGATGGCCAGGCATGGTACTACTATTCTAACAGAAATAAAGCACAGGGAGCCTAGTTTTAGGGGGGAACATATATTTGCTTTTAGTTATGCTAAGTTTGAGGTGCAGTGGGACATCCAGCTAATAAGTGATAACCAAGAAACACTTGGAAATGTGATCTTAGAACTCAGACATATTTATTTAGAAGACATCTGCAAAGAGGTAGTAGCTAAAAGTATATAGTTGGATCAACTGTCTTTGGGTAAGAGTATTAACTCAAAAGGATCAGGGACTCTTGGAAAACACCTCCCATACCTAGGGGAGTGAAAGAGAAGCCTGTGAGCAAGGAGGAGGAGAAGGGAGAGAGAGGTGAGAACACCACACCATCAGAGAGGCTCCACACCATCAGAGAGGCCAAAAGTGGAGCAAATTTCATGGAGGATAGGAGTACTCAGAGGAATTATAAGCTGCAGAGAGGTCAAAAAAGAAGAACTGAGAATGGACCACTGGATTTGGCCATTAGGAAATCATTGATGATTTATGAGAGAATGAGTGAAAGAAAAAGCTAGATTACATATGCAAAGCAATGAAATGGTGTAGGGGGAAAAGGAGACACTGAGAATATATTACTAGTTCAAGAAGTTCAGAAATGAAAGGACAGGGATAAGGGGGAGGCTCAAGGTGGGACCAGAATTGCTCTTCCCCAGATAAATGACCACTCATCAGTGTTTATTCAGAGATGTTTGTCTATACTCTAACAGAAGGAGCATTTGTGGGAGGATTCCAGAGGAGGGACTTTGGGACAAACTAGATTGAAAGGCAGGCTACAGCCATTCTAAGTTATAGAACATGTTATCTATATGTGTACAGCAGCATCTGTTTTAGCAGACAGAAGTCATTTATCATGCATCAACAGACTGAGAGAGAGGGGAACAAGAAACTGTCCTTCTCCTTCTCCACTTAGGAAAGCAAAGCTTGATCCAGTCTTTGAAAAGTATTTAAAAGCTTTGAAAAAGTATGTCAGCAAGGAAGGAATGCTAAGAAAAACAAGTGTCCATTGTGTTCCCTTCCATGACTTTTCCACCCAAATGTATTTTAGGAAATTGCCCAGGTGCATCATTAGAACACTCTAATATCACTATCAACACTGTCCGGGTTGATGGGACTTATATCTGCCGTGTTTTTCATTTTATAAAAAGCTCCCATGATCTCTTTTATCCTCACAGAATCCCCATGAGGTATTACCTTTCTCTATTTTACAAGGGAAGAAACTGAGGATCAGAAAGAATTAAGTGATTTTCCCCAAGTTACCCAGCCAGGAAAATGATAGAGCCCTGTACCCCTCATTCTTTTCAGTGTATGCTTTCATATAATATGGTCTTCACAGTATGGCTCTCTGACTATGGCATGACAAACCAAAGTGTACCAGGGCTCTCATCTCTCTGGTTTTGGAGGCGCTATAATTTTTATCAATATAGCCTTAAATGGCGTTAGCTTTGGGGCACTTTTACCCCGTCTTGTTTTTGACTAAACAGTATCCAGTACATGGCCTGAGCTATTTTTTCCTGTGCTCCCTTTTCACCCCCATCTTAAAGGGCCCTAGGGCAGAAGTTTCAGCAATGTGTTTCCTCCCTCCTTCATTTGCCCAGTTCAGTCAGGCCTCTGAAATGTATGACCAAATTCTCAATACTTACACCTGCTCCAGATGGTCAGGAAGCAGGAAAGCAACTCTCTCCCTCAATACCTAGTTTGTTCTAGTAGGAAGAGGGCCAGGCTGGGCTTGGTAGCTCATGCCTGTAATCCTAGCACTTTGGCACGCAAAGGCAGGGGTATTGCTTGAGCCCAGGAATTCAAGACCAGCCTGGGCAATGTGTCAAAACCCTATCTCTACAAAAAAAATACAAAAAATTAGCCAGGCATGGTGGTGTATGCCTGTAGTCCCAGCTACTTGGGAGGCTGAGGTGGGAGGATCACCTGAGCCCAGGGAGGTAGAGGCTGCAGTGAACTGTGATTGTGCCACTGCACTCCAGCCTGGGCAACAGAGTGAGACCCCATCTCAAAAACAAAAAAAAAAAAAAAAAAAAGAAGGAATTAGAGGGAATTGGAGGCTGAAGGCCCAGCTTCTGGTGCGAACTACCAGTCTCACTCTGTGATCTTAGTTATATCACTCAATGCACTGAGCACCAGTTTCTTCATCAGAAAAATGAGGACAATAATAGCTATGTTATAAGTCTGCTTCAAGGATCCAATGAAACACTTGTGAAACACTTGCTAGGTTTAATTTTCTGCTATAGCCATCTTGAAATTCTTAGCAATTTTTGAAGGAGAAGCCCTCTGTCTTCATTTTGCCATGGGTCCCCCAAAAATTATATAGCTGGTTTCATCTGCATGCCCTTGGCCAAGTTACTTCACCTCCATAATCTATAATTAATTTAAATGAATTGAATTGTTAGGAAATCAATTGTTAGGACAATTCTCAATCCTTCCTCTACTTTAGCAAAGTTTGACACAGTGGATTAGTCTCTCCTCCTTGAAACAGTCTTTCCTCTTGGCTTCCGAGACACTATATTTTTCCAGTTTTCCTCTGCCTCACTGGCTGCTCCTTTGCTGTTTTCTCCCTAACCTGTTAGCACATCCAAAATGAAACTCTTGATCATCTCCTCCAAGCCTGCTTCTCCCAATCTTCCTGATCTGTGAATGCTAACTCCATCCTTCCAGTTGTTCACAACAAATCTTTATCTTGATTCTTTATGTCTCACCCCATATTCAAGTTATAAGTTAATCCAGAATCTGACCATGGCTTCACCACTGCCATCATCCAAACCTTAATTATCTCTCATCTGGATCATTGCAATACCATTCTGATTGTTCTTCTTGCTTCCTCTGCCCCTGTCCCACATAGTAGCCAGAATAATTCTTTAAACATGTAAGTCAGATCGTATCACTCCTCTGTCCAAAACCATGCCATGACTACCCATCTCACTCAGAGTAGAAATCCTACAAGGGGCAATAATAGGCTTCTTCTCTGATCCCACCTCCTTAACACTCCCCTCCTTGGGCCATTTGCTGGTGCCCCTATACCTGGAATGCCCTCCCAGATATCAGCATGGCATATCTGGCCTCTCACCTCCATCAGTTCTGTTCACCTGTCACCCTATCAGTCAAGCCTTCTCTGACCACACTATTTAAAATAGCAGCCACCATCAACCTCCTTTTTCTTATCCTATTATGCCCAGCTCAGTTTTCTCCAAAGCACTTATCACCATCTGACACATTATATATTTTATTTATTTCCTTATTGTTTATCTCTCCCCATTAAAATGTAGGTTTCATAAAGGCAGGGACTTTGCTGTTCAATTACTCTATCTCTAACACATAGGACTGCGCTGGGCACAGAATGAATGACAGTAGAAAGAGCTCTGACACAGATGATGATATTGCTATTATTAAGTCACAGCAGCATCAAGCCCTGAGTGTATAAATTACTGTCCCAGGCTGCATGTTCATGAAGCAGGGAGTGAGGGCGATTATGGGGACTACAGTGAGCCAAGCCTCCCACCGGATCATACTGTGGAGACAGAAAAGTGAATCAGGAGCTGTATCTGCTCTCTAAGGGTTTGTGGCCTAGAGAGAGGTTTATGTATATATGCAAATAACTCTAGAACAAGGCAGCATTTGTCAAAAAATATGTGGACTTTAATGCCTAACACACATTCTGGAAATTCTAGTTAGAGAATTCTAACTAAATTTCTAACTAGAATTTTCTACAGAGAGAAGGGACCATGAACTGTGGCTTGTAAACTTACTGTAGGCTACTTCTGTCTCAAATTCCCACTCTGGCCTGTTTATCATGCCAGAGACACCTTGCCTGACTTCCAATCTAGTTTGCTCCAAAGTGTCTCTCCACTGGCCTCCTCCACCCAATATTACCTTCAATTTACTGTTAACTTGAAACCCCACCCTCTTACAGTCCCTCCACACTCTGCTTCTAGATACAGGGAACATGGGGCAGGGGTGGAATTGACTTAGGTAGGTTGTAGCAGGATATAAAGAATCTATTATTTCCTTGCAATACAGATGTACACACTTTCTCCTCTATGAGCCTACAGGGCACAGGGCTCAGGAACTGCACCATCCGTCTCTACAGCACAAGAGGGGGCATTAAGTAAAATTTGCTGAATTGTTGAACTGGGTGTTACAAGCTCTTAGTAAGGACAATTTTATTCAAGAAGTACCTCTGCATCCACTGAAGGTGTCCCAGAGGGATTCTATAATGTTATTTTATTAAACTATCCTAATGTAAGAAACAACCTAACTAATAAGAATTAAAACATATCAACTAAAGGGACCAATATTTAAAAAAACACTATTTTGTAATTTTTAAAGTTAGTTTGAGTTATTTAAACCCCATATCTGAAAATCCAAAATTTTCAAGCAAATAATGCCTGCTGTTCCGTGCAGGATTCCTTTGAGCAGGGGCTCCCTGAAGTTACCTGAACTTTTAGATACAGAGATTTACTTAAGAGAAGGACTGGGGAACTGAGAGAGGTAAAGCTAAATATTAGGGTTTAGTAATTAAAAACCAAGTTAAATTTTAGTGGCAGATACTTGGGTGTTTGTTATATCATTCTCGATACCCTTTAGTGTGTTTGACAGCTTGTTTCTCTAATATATTTACATGATACACACATTTTTATACCCAGGAAAGATCAAGCACACAAAATGATGACCCATCTCCTAATCTGTAAGAGATGCTGCTGGCAATAAGTAATAAAATACTAAGTATAGGTAACTCTCCTCCTCGGTTCTCAGTTTCTTTGTATACAAAATAGGCAGGGACTAGATGATTTTGGGCTCTTCCAGTTCTAATGCCTTAAGACTCCATGGAAGTAGTGGGTATCTATTCACATTACAAAGGTCTTTCTTTATAAAGAATCCTCTTCAGATTCTCTCTTTAGTGCATTTAAACTATGACTTGCTTTACCAAAATCTGGTTACTGTATTTTTATTGGTAGCTAACATTTACTGACCAAGTTCAATATGCTAGGCACACATAAAATGCCTCATATGGATTACTGGACTTAATCATCCCAGTAACTTTCTGAGGTAGATACCAATATTGTCCCCATGTTATAGATAGGTAAATTGACTCCAAGGCTATCTAACCTGCCTCAGGTCACTGAATTAGGGAATGTCAACACTGGAATTCAAACTCACTTCAATTCAATCTGAATCCAGAACACATATATTAATCCTGCATCTCCCAGACTGGCTTCCTGTATCAGGAGGTGCTCAGGGTTTCTTCTTTAGTTGAACCATAGTAGTCTGTGGCTCCTTGTCTTCACAAATGGGGTTACTGCTTGGAGATAGGATGGTTCCTTTGATTATTTCAACTTAATTTCTGGGATATAATGTGGTGATATTTTCATTAAGAAGTAATTTTTCACCTTCCCCTATATGAGTAACAATGGATTTCACTAGTTATCTTGAGTCACTTGCGAATGATTTGGTGAGCCAAAAAGGGTACAAAATTGCTGTGAAATTCTAATTTGGTTCTTTATGTCTATTTCTTAACTAAGTCTAACAGCATACACAGCAAAACTGTACATTATTTTGCAACAGATTAAGGTGAAAAAAGCTACATACAGGAAACCATGTAAGATTAATATATATCACACTTTCTAGAAACTTTTATATCTATTATTTTCACTTTCACAAGAACCGTATGAAGTAGGCAAGACAGGAATTATTTACCCATTTTGCAAATGCAGAGAGTCATAGAAAAGGGAGGTGACTTGCCCTGGGCCACTGAGCTGGTTGGGGCCTAGATTGTGTTCTTTCTACACTAGGCTACCTCCATCTGTAAAAAGGAACATCGGATCCAGACACTTCCTGGCAGATAGAACCAAAAGAGTGCTGACTAGAGGCTGTGCCATGCCAGGCTGTGGTCAGAGAGTTTCCCTGTATAAATAGCAACCTATGCTAGGGGTTGCTAGCACCAGCCATTTCCCCTACTCACACCTGTGCAGTGTGATAAAGATAGTAGAATTAGCCTGCAGTTGTGGTCCAACCAGATAAAACTTTTAGGCGGGAAGTCAAGTGACAGGCAAACTTGTGTGTGTGGTTTTTTTTTTTAAGTGTTAGATGTTTTTGATATTTTAAAAAAGCATCTAGGCTGCTTGTGGAAGTCAGACCAAAATAGCAGGAAGGTATTGCAGCAAGATGGATTTGGGAAAGGACCAATCTCATTTGAAGCACCATCAGACACCTGACCCTCATCAAGAAGAGAACCATTCTCCAGGTAATGAAAAATACCTTAAGAGCTGGTGGCTGTTGAGAAGAATTCGGGGTATGATAATTTTCTCTTTTCAATGGATCTGGCCAAAAAAAAAAAAAAAGGAAATAAATGAAAGCTAATGAGACTAGTTCATCCAATAATTTCATTCGATGGCTGTGGTAAAACAAGTGGATTCATACATTTCTATGGCAGCACAAATTTGGTCTAACGTTTGGAAAGAGATCTGGCAATAAGTGGTGAGAGCTATAATACTGCTTATTCTTTTGACTCACTAATCTCAGTCCTTGGATCTATCCTAAAGCAACATTTCTCAAAATGTTTTGTGGAAACTTAGGCCTTGAGATACCTTAAGACATTGTTTTAAATTTTTTTTGCTACATGGATCTCTTTGGCATTCTGATGAACCCAGAGACTCCTTCTTTGAATAAAATTTTTAAAGGCATAAAATTAAATATATAAGACTAGAAAGGGAATAATTACATTAAGATACAAATATCAAAATAAAAAATTATTATATAGTAATATATATGATTATTTATAGATTACAATATCCAGTGGTGGGTCTAATAATAGTATCAAGTCAAATAAGTCATAGCCAGTAGGTGATATTTTAAGGTATCTGCAACAACTATAATGTGATAAAAAAATATGTGATTTCTTTATAGGGACCAAGTCATATGCTGAGGGGGAGGGAGAGCATCAGGAAGAATAGATAATAGATGCTGGGCTTAATACCTAGGTGATGGGATGATCTGCACAGCAAACCACCATGGCACATGTATACCTATGTAACAAACCTGCATATCCTGCACATGAACCCCTGAACTTAAAATAAAAGTTGAAAAAAAAGTCATATACTGCCAAAACTACTGTGGTTTGTTATCTACATTCATAATTGAAGGAACTGTCAATTTTAATTAGAGGTTGGTAAAAATAAAGATATAATTTTTCCTATTAAGAACCCTTATCCCAAGAACAAGAGGCACCATGGTTCAAGGGGCATGCTCTATTCTTTAGAGGTCCCAGTGTGGATTTGTATCACTTCACAGGCTCTAGGAAGCTCTGCATCAAAGACTCATCAATTTTTCTCAACCTTAGACAGCAGCAGAAACTTTTTTGATCAAACCCTTAATTTTCCAAAGAACTTGAAAAAACACCGTTCTAAGGAAAAAATACCAAAGAAAAGCTATATGCAATGAATATGCTTATTATAATTTGATATACAAGGCAAAGATAACTAGCAACAATCTAAATGCTCAATCCAAGAGGAATGATTGGGTAAATGAGAGTACATCAACTAGACTATGTATCACATTGTCATTAAAATTATCATTATGAAGACTACGTCATGGAAAATAGTTCTAATATAACGCTAGCTTAATAAAAAGATTAAAATTGTGGTATGCTATTCTTACAACTTTGTGTAATATAAAGACTGGATAGAAGTGAGGAATAAAATGAAAACAAGTTATCATGTTAAAGACAGCAAAATATGGCTACTTTTTTCATTATTTGTACAATATATAAAATTACTTTGAAGAAATTAATAGGTTGGTAGCACACTTATGTACAAATACTATGTAGGAGTAGGTCTCTGACCTTTTCATTCAAAAACATTTGCTGAATGTCTGCTTCCAGGCTTTCTCTGGAGATACAAGGATAAATGAGATGCAGTCCTTGTCCTCAAAAAGCTAGGAGAAAAACCTAGAACAGAGACTCTGCCACTTGGCTACAGGACTTTTGCTGATAGACACCACAGTTCATCACTTTTTCTAATCACTTTCATTTTATTACAGAAGTCATTGGAACCTGGAGTTTGAGAAACAGAGAACTACTTAGAAAAAGAAAAGCTGAAGTGCATGAAAAGGAAACATCACAATGGCTATTTGGGTATGGTAGCATCACAAGGGAAAGGGAACTAATATATTTATTGAGGATGTTATGCATAAAGTAGTGCTGTGCACTTTACACACTGTATTTTATCTTTCCAACAATCCTGTAAATCAGACATGGTTATCCCTATTTTACAGAAAAACAGAGACTAAGCCTCCAGTGAGTTACACCTCTTGCCTAAAGTCACACACACAGCTGGTAAAATGGTGGGAACAGAATTTTTTCCCTGGTCTCTTTTAATTAAAGCACTGAGCAACCGAATTATATTGTAGAGAAGCCTGGCGTTTAGCTCCTAGGTAATATAAACATAGAAGCATCCTGTTGGGAGTGGGAAACATCATTGAAGAAGCCTCCAAGATTGTTCGCCAAGCTTTCTATTAGCTAAATCTTTACTGAATGAGTGTGATTAACTCTCCATGGAATAAGCCAAAACATTCGCTGTAAATGAGTGACAAAGAGTTTAGATAACCTGTATGTTCACCTGTATGTAAATGCAGGAAGGGGGTACAATAACATGACTGTAAATTAGGCGACATCTAATTGCATCCATTTCAAATATGATTGTGGAAACTGGGGACTTGCTTGCTTGGAAGGGGAGCCCAAAGAGCCAAAAGTGCAGCATCCATCTAAGCCAAAGTGTCTCCACCTTGGCACTGCTGACACTGGGGGCAGGAGAACTTCCTGTTGTGTGGGGGGCTGGCTTGTGCACTGCAGATGTTTTGTAGCATTTTCTGGCCTCTAGATGCCAACAGCACCTTCCACCCCAGCTGTGACAACAAAATGTCTCCAAACATTGTCAAAAGTCTTCTGGGGTGGGGTTGGGGGAAGACAGGCAAAATCATCCCCAGTTGAGAACCACTAATTTAAGCAAAGCACTCTTCCTAAGAAAGGGCATTTTCCAATCCCCAAACCCCGCTGTGGACTGAGCACTGTCTGTTCTGCTACAACAGATGTTTCTATAACACCAAGTTCACATACGATTGATAAATAGGAGAATGATGTCAGTATAATGTGGGGGTTGTGTTGGTTCATGATTTTTTCCTAGTCAGAAGAAAGCAGAATAGTGGGAAGAGAATTAAAGCTTTCAGCTGGAAAGAAAAAGCCTTCAGCTTGGCTGTTGTATAAGCAGGATTCTTTTCAGCCAGCATCCAGGGTTCCCTCCTCAGAGAGGCACAACACCAGCCTTGCGCAGCTCTCCATCAAGTGGCAGCTTGCACTTCCCTCCTGTGCCCAACTTAACGGCAACCCCGCTGGCTCAGAGCTCAGGTCTCAGCAGCTTCAAGCCTGCAATTACACTATATTTGCATTTACTATCCCCTGAGGCAGCCTCCAGCCACAGTAAACTGCTTGTCTAGACCATCCAAGTTCTCTCTCCTGGTACCAATTATTGTTTTAGTTAGTGTTAAAATGTTGCAAGGGTTTTGAATCATTTGTCCCAAGCCTATTTGCCCCACCTCCATAACCACTGTAACTTTATAGAGGATGATTTTGCAGAAAGTGAGGTTTTTTTAGGAACACGTGTATCATTTTACAGTAGAAATATTTGTATTAGGGTCCTGTGGCAGGTCTATTGAAGATTATCCAATTAGCTCCCAAATTCCATACCACTAAGCAATCTTCCAATCATTACTTGGCTTCCCAAGTACTTATCTACAGAGACGGTGCATTTGTTTGGGAGCCCAGAACCCAGGTATTCTCCTCCCCTCCCCTCCCCCCTCCCCTCCCCTCCCCCTCCTCTCCCCCATCCCCTCCTCTCTCCTCCCCTCTCCTCTCCTTTTCTTTTTTCTCTTTCTCTCATTCATTCATTCATTCACTCGTTTTGAGACAGAGTCTCACTCTGCTGCCCAGGCTGGAGTGCAGTGGCACAATCTCGGCTCACTGCAACCTCTGCCTCCCAGGTTCAAGTGACTCTCCTGCCTCAGCTCCCAAGTAGCTGGGAATACAGGCACTGGCCACCACGCCCAGCTAGTTTTTGTATTTTTTAGTAGAGACGGGGTTTCGCCATGATGGCCAGGCTGGTCTGGAACTCCTGGCTTCAAGTGATTCGCCCACCTTGGCCTCCCAAAGTGCTGGGATTACAGGCGTGAGCCACTGTGCCCAGCCAGTCCAGGTATTTTCTACTATGTGACTTTGTATGTCTGTTCATTTAAAAATTGGTCTTTAGGTTTATATGTCAGTCTCCTTAAATCTGCTTGATGAGCTCTGCCCCTGATAAATGGAGGTAGTCTCAGTGTGCTAACAGAATCAGGTTTCTGGGCTTGCTGGGCTGAGGGTATTCACTCAAATGGATAACACCTTAGTGAGCCTCTTGGCAGCTGGCTGGACTTGCTCTGGTGATACATCTCTATAATGCTAAGGCCTGTGCCCTCTTTTCTCACTACAACACACCATACAGTGAAACTTTATTAGTTTCAGAGAGAGGCAGCAGAGTGCATGGTTATGAGCCTGGCTGTTAAAGCCAGAATGACTAGATTCGTAGCCTGGCTCCCCTACTTGGTAGCCAGAGCCCTTGGAAATATTATGGAAAATAAATAATTCTCATTATAAACGAATAGATTGGCACTCTGGTTTATATACTAGTCTCTTTGCATTTAGTCTGTGTGTATTACTTCACTACCCCTGAGTAAACTCATACTCAGGGTTTCTAGACCTGCAATCCAGGCACGGCTCCTTATCTGTGCAGCCTGCAGGTGGATAATGTATATGGCTTGATTATCAAATACAAGTGTTGGGCAAGTTACTCAACATCTCTGTGTTTCAGTTTTGTCATTTGCAAAATGAAAATAATAACTACCTACTTCATAGACTGATGTGAAGATTATATGAGATAACAAAATAACTAAATTATTTAAACGGTGCCTGACATATACAAGCACTATAAGTGTTTCCTGTATTCATATGAGTCCTAATTTATATTTGAATAATTCATTCATGTAAGTTATTATATATAATTCTTATAACCACCACATGAAATTGGGCCGATATTATTTACCTCATTTCACTTACAAGGAAACCAAGGCATGTAGAGGTTAAGTGACTTGCCCACAACCATGAGAGAGTACAGACTAAAGTTTAGGCCACATAGGTATTTTTTGCATTTTTTGAAAAACTACCTGGGAAGACATGGACTATTACATTACTCAGATCTCCTCATACAGAGATTTAAATAACAACTTCTTTAGGATTTAATATCTAGGAAAAAATATGTGTTTCCTAAGGAACTTGGATTACTATTAATATCTTTTTCAAAAAATTTATCAGAATTTTATGATTTATCTTGTCACCTTGGTTACTTGTAGTAATAGTTCAAAATGCTGAGGTGCCATAACCATCATCTTTAGATTTCCTTTTTTTTTTTTTTTTTGAGACAGAGTCTCATTCTGTCACCCAGGCTGGAGTGCAGTGGCACAATCTCAGCTCACTGCAACCTCCATCTCCTGGGTTCAAGCGATTCTCTTGCCTCAGCCTCCCAAGTAGCTGGGATTACAGACGCGCACCACCATGCCTGGCTAATTTTTGTATTTTTAGTAGAGACGGGGTTTCACTATGTTGGCCAGGCTGGTCTTGAACTCCTGATCTCGTGATCCACCAGCCTCGGCCTCCCAGAGTGCTGGGATTACAGGCGTGAGCCAACGCACCCGGCCTAGATTTCCTTTTTTAAATATAATTTTCAATATTATTTTAGACTGCTCTGTTACATCTATACCTTTTTTTCTTTTTTTCTATAGCCTCATATTAGAAGTGAACATATATACTTTTTTGGTATTGACTTCAAACTGTGTTTGGTGAGGTAATCTTTTAAAAACACTTTTTTACAACGGAAATTTCAAACATACACAAAAAATGGAACAGGGTATACTTTTTTTAAATATGCAAGGAACGATGGGCACTATAAAGATGTAAAAAACACTGGTTTTTATCTCCAAAGACTGTCTAAAATGTTTACTAAAAGAAATACAGTTTCTTCAGAAATAACTACAGTATGAGGCAGCCTACATTCCTTGCCTTTAGCATGGTACACCCAATAAGTCCTATAGGAGTGCTAAGCTGGGAGAGCATTTTAGTCCTGTAGTCTCTTAGAGAAGGCTCCATGGAGCGGGTAGCATGAAACAGAATTTCAGTAGATTTAGAAAAATGATGAAATGCTTATTTATAGTACTTCCCCCAGCCCCCAGCCCCCAGCCCATCTGTATTAGCCATCTGTATTTGGTTGTATTTGCAGTGCCTAACAATTTGTCACTGGCTGCAATTACCATGCATATCCTTTCATCTTCTAGATCTTTAATTTATTAATTAGGAATAGGTATAATATGGCCACTCATGCCTATCTACCTGACTTCTTAACTTCAAGAAGTGCTTTTGCAGCTTTTGACCCCTTACAGTATACCTCATTTGATATATACTGTAGCAACTTAGAATTCTTTACACAAAATAATGTATTTGATAATCAAGCCATATACAGCATCCACCTGCAGGCTGCACAGACGAGGAGCTGTGCCAGGTCTAGAAACTCGATTTGTATGAGTTTACTCAGGGGTAGGGAAGTAACACACAAAGACTAAATGCAAAGAGACTAGTGTATAAACCAGAATGCCACTCTATTAATTTGTAATGAGAATTATTTATTTTCCATAACAAAACTTTAAGAATATGCTATAACACACGCACGCACGCATACGCGCATGCACTACCCTCACCAAGAAGGCTCCTGGTAAGCATGGTATCAATGCCACGAAGTCCTGGAGAAACATTCCCTCTCCTAAGAATTGAGAACATCTAGAGCTGCTCCTTCATTTTACAAACAAGGAGATTGAGGCCCAGAGAGATTAAGTGACTAGTTCATGATACTTGTGCAATGAGGCAGTGGGGGACCTGGCACTGTTATTACAAGCATTTATTTGAATTCTGTAGTACCACTGCTGACACTAATTCTGTTCTTTCTGCAGAGAACAGAAAAAACGCAAGCAGCAGAGAACAGGAAAAGGAAATCGAAGAGGCAGAAAGAGACAACAAAACACAGAATTGAAGGTGGAGCCTCAGCCACAGATAGAAAAGGAAATAGTGGAGAAAGCACTGGCACCTATAGAGAAAAAAACTGAGCCACCTGGGAGCATAACCAAAGTATTTCCTTCAGTAGCCTCCCCGCAAAAAGTTGTGCCTGAGGAACACTTTTCTGAAATATGTCAAGAAAGTAACATATATCAGGAGAATTTTTCTGAGTACCAAGAAATAGCAGTACAAAACCATTCTTCTGAAACATGCCAACATGTGTCTGAACCTGAAGACCTCTCTCCTAAAATGTACCAAGAAATATCTGTACTTCAAGACAATTCTTCCAAAATATGCCAAGACATGAAGGAACCTGAAGACAACTCTCCTAACACATGCCAAGTAATATCTGTAATTCAAGACCATCCTTTCAAAATGTACCAAGATATGGCTAAACGAGAAGATCTGGCTCCTAAAATGTGCCAAGAAGCTGCTGTACCCAAAATCCTTCCTTGTCCAACATCTGAAGACACAGCTGATCTGGCAGGATGCTCTCTTCAAGCATATCCAAAACCAGATGTGCCTAAAGGCTATATTCTTGACACAGACCAAAATCCAGCAGAACCAGAGGAATACAATGAAACAGATCAAGGAATAGCTGAGACAGAAGGCCTTTTTCCTAAAATACAAGAAATAGCTGAGCCTAAAGACCTTTCTACAAAAACACACCAAGAATCAGCTGAACCTAAATACCTTCCTCATAAAACATGTAACGAAATTATTGTGCCTAAAGCCCCCTCTCATAAAACAATCCAAGAAACACCTCATTCTGAAGACTATTCAATTGAAATAAACCAAGAAACTCCTGGGTCTGAAAAATATTCACCTGAAACGTATCAAGAAATACCTGGGCTTGAAGAATATTCACCTGAAATATACCAAGAAACATCCCAGCTTGAAGAATATTCACCTGAAATATACCAAGAAACACCGGGGCCTGAAGACCTCTCTACTGAGACATATAAAAATAAGGATGTGCCTAAAGAATGCTTTCCAGAACCACACCAAGAAACAGGTGGGCCCCAAGGCCAGGATCCTAAAGCACACCAGGAAGATGCTAAAGATGCTTATACTTTTCCTCAAGGTAAGGGCTGTTTATAGCACCAAGGTAGGTACATCTCCCCCAGAGTAGTGATTTACAACTTTCTCTGACAATCCTGGGTATTCCCTGTTATTTCAATGGATACTGTGAATTTCATTGACTAGTTTTAAGTGAACAATATTTTCATGCAACCAACGTCTGTCTTGGCATATTTCAAAGAGTTAAAAAAATTGAAAATGCAAGCATGTACATTAAGTACTTATTCATACTATCCATCCATTATGAGATGCTATAGTCAGTGAAATGAACCCAATATAGGATGAATTATTGCAAAATATTTTTAAAAATTAAGTCTACATTAACAAGAAAGCTTGATGAATGAAGTTTTTCTAGGAAATTTAATTTGCCTGATAAATGGAAAGCAGGTAAATTCATAGTACGAAGTACTGAGGGAGATAAAAGCTGTAAAATATAATCCTGTTACTAGGGAATTCATTCTTGTAGGATTTATCAGGTTTACCAAAAACCCTTTCTATTTCAAGATTTGTTCCTGAAAAACTTTTTCCTAAGTATAGGAATTTGAAAATAATGCAACCTTTCTTTAATTTCACTTGCCTCAGAGACATAACTGAGAACTTCAGCTCTCTTTGTACAATACTGTAGACAGTATAAGAAATGGACTGAGTCTATCAGACCATAGTTATCCCCAGGAAACTGATTTCTAAAGAAATCCCTTTAGTAGTTTACTTGCTCTTTATCCTAAAAGATGAGTGCAACAAAAACATGGTGCTAGTTGGTTTCCAAGTAATACCAGTTTTGAAGAACTACTTTAAAGAAATACATTGCAGCAAAAGCAGGCATGTGAAGCAGTACGTGCACTGACAGGAGTACCCTGCTGGAGAAGCAGCTCTAACCAACACAGCGTCCTGATTCCTAACTGCTTCATTCTAAACCCAGCAAGGTCGATATGGTCAATTAATTAACGCTTATTTTATTTTTGGCTTTGTTTGACCAAATAAATGGGAATATCTATTTTTCCTGATTATAAAAGTAGTAAGTGTTCATTATAATAAAGCAATATGTAAGTGAATATCAAGTAAAGTAAAAGTCCCCTATAATACCATCTTCTATCTTCAGTTCCCAATGTTAAGGTTGTTTTGTTTCAACAAATGAGACAGTACCCATCCTATCCTGTAACTTGTTTTTGTTTTCATTTACAATATGTATTGCAGCCATCTTTATGATGTCTTTTGTAACAACTGCATAGTACTGTGCTATATGTATATTCAACCAGTCTCTATAAGGATGAACACTTAGGTTACTGCCAAGTTTTACTATTACAACAATGTTCAATGAACATCATTGGGAATAACATTTATTTAGTTAACATTTATCTGGTACTTTTCTATGTGCCAGACACCATATTAAATATTTTATGTGGTTTATTTTATTCAATGTTAAAAGCTCTACTGGATAAATAATACTCCCATTCTAAATATAAGGAAATGGAGGCACTGGAGGCTGAAGTTTGTCTGATTATTTCCTTTGAATCAACCCCTAGAAATCAAATTGTTGGGCCAAACGGTACCCAAATTTAAAGTTTGAATATACAGTCAGTCAGACTAGCCTCCAGAAATGTGGTAGCAATTCACACGAGACAGGTGCCTTTTCCCCACACCCTTGTCAGCACTGTACATTATGACATTTTAAAAATCCTTGTCTGTCTGCTAGGTTAAAAAATACACTTGATCGGCCGGGCGCGGTGGCTCACGCCTGTAATCCCAGCACGTTGGGAGGCCGAGGTGGGCGGATCACGAGGTCAGGAGATCGAGACCATTCTGGCTAACACGATGAAACCCCGTCTCTACTAAAATTACAAAAAATTAGCCGGGCGCGGTGGCGGGCGCCTGTAGTCCCAGCTACTCGGGAGGCTGAAGCAGGAGAATGGCGTGAACCCGGGAGGCGGAGCTTGCAGTGAGCAGAGATCGCGCCACTGCACTCCAGCCTGGGCGACAGAGCGAGACTCCGGCTCAAAAAAAAAAAAAAAAAAATACACTTGATCTTAGCCAAAAGGCTGAGAAGTGATAGGTTAAAAAATAAAACACACCTAATGGTCTTAATCACCCCCTTTTATAATTAATGTTACTAGACATCTTTTCAGGATTATTATAAATATAATTTTTTAAGAATTGCCTGTTTGAATCCTTATCCCATTCAACATTTTTTATTTCTTTTTTCCGATTAAAAAACCTCTTTAAATAATAGTTTTTACTATGTATATGTTGCAAATATTTTTCCAGTTGTCTTTGATTTGGTTTAACTTTGTTTATAGTGGTTTTCACCATATATAATTTTACTTTTTAGGTATTCGAACTTGCTAGTCTTTTCCTTTATGGTTTCTGGTCTCTGTGTTCTGCTTAGCATCCTAAGATTACTAAAAACACTATTATTTCTATAACTTTATGGTATTTAAAAATTTACCCCATCTACGGTTTGTTGTTGTGTATGTTGTAAAGCAGTTTTTCTTCCTCCAAATGGAGAGTCAATTGTCCCAATACAATTTATTGAATCTATTTTTTATTTTATTTGATTTTACAGAAATGAAAGAAAAACCCAAAGAAGAGCCAGGAATACCAGCAATTCTGAATGAGAGTCATCCAGAAAATGATGTCTATAGTTATGTTTTGTTTTAACAATGCTCAACCATAAAGTTGTGGTCCAATGGAACATACAGCTTAATAGTTTATGCGTGATTTTCTCAAAATATTGTAAAACTTTTGACAATGCTCATTAATATTATTTTTTCTATTTGTAGACCATATCTGAAAGAAATAACATTTTTTAAGGCTCTACCACATAGACAATATCATGCTAGAATGTGTGTGTGTGTGTGTGTGTGTGTGTGTGTATGTATGTATAGGTCGGGGAGAGGATAGTGGTGGGAACAGACAAATAAGGAAGCGGGGAGGACTGGATAATTGGTTTTCCCCCCTAAGAACATTTATTTACGTCTTAAGAGCAGATAAGTGACTAAGACTGAACACATACATTTTGTGGAGTATATAGTTTTCTTGTAAATGCTGTTCAATTATTAATGTAACAGTAGCATCAAAATTTTATTCAGGCTTTAGTTGACTCTTTTGGTCAGTTTTAACAATTCTCCTTAAAAGATATTTTGGAGTGATGAATGTAGTTTACTTTTGTATTTGAATTTTGATTTTCTATTTTTATTTTTTAAATATTGTATTTGTGCACAATGTACATTAAATCATTATTACATGCTTAACTGTGTGGATACCATCATGTTAAGAATTGCGGAGGTTAGAAGACCTATCTAACACCCCACGGTGGGGTTAATTTGGTTTCATGGGGAAATAAAACAGAAAACAAATAATCACAAAAGAAAATAGTAAGGGCTGGTGCCATTTGAATGGTAGATACAAACAGAGAATGCTCACTTTTTGCTGGAGTGACCTGAAAAAATTACACAGGCATGAAGCCTTGAAAGACGGAAAGTATTTGCATAGATGAGGATAGCAGCATTACTGTATGTGACAAAGAGAAGGGTGAGTTCAAAACATGTTCAAGAGAACTGCAGGCAAACTATGGTTAATGTAGAGTCCATATGAAATAGTAGTAGGCTTGCATGCTGAAAAGCTCATATTACTAGAGCATAGAATATTTTGCTTACCTAACCAAGAAATATATCACTTGTTAAAAATGGGGAATGAAGTCAGATTTTTGAACAATGGAATGGCAATTTCACTATTTTAGGAATATGGTAAATATGGTGATAATGGTAAAGATTAACTGAAAACGACAAGAGACCGGGGCAGGAATAGAAGCTGTTCTGGATGGGAAGATGTCTGAAAATCTACCCTGGTATTTTTTGTTTTCACTTTTCCTTCTGTTATTACAGAGGACTAAGGATATTTTTGCAAATAAAGTTTCATTCAGCAAGAACACACTTGCACAAGCTTTCCATATAGACACTGTGCTAGGTACTAGCTATATCAAAGAACAAGACAGGGTCACAGTCCCTCAGGCATTCATGGTATAATGAACATGAGAGAGCAGTGGTTCTTTCAACCCTTCTGGTACATTAGACTCACCTGGGAAGGTTTCAAAAATACATATATGTCCAGACTTCTCCCCCAGGGATTCAGATTCCCCCATCTAGCTGATGTACAGGCATAGGTATATTTATTTTTTAATTGTTTTATGCTTCAAATAATAGTTTTTGGAGGAATAATTTTAGAATTACAGAAAAGTTGTCATGATAGTACAAAAGTTACTATATACCTTTCGCCCAGTTTACACCAATGTTAACGTCTTACATAACCATGGGCCATTTGTCAAAACTAAGAAATCAGGATAGTTACACTACCATTAACTACAGACATTATTCCGTTTTCATGAATTTTTCCACTAATGTGCTTTGTCTGCTTCAGGGTCCAATCCAGGATATAGAATTGCATTTAGGATGTTTTTATTTTAAAAGCTCTCCTGACAATCCTAAAGTGGAGGTAGGGTTGAGAACCAATAGTACAGTGGGATGTTACAATATTGTTTCCCTCCTATCTGCCTACCCCCTTTTGTGTGTACATTAAATTTTTTACCATCAGGATGTATTCATTGCACAATTATTCATACCCCTATTATATTTATTACACAACATACTGAGGGCAGGGCAGCACAACCACATAATAGTTTCGTCTCTTTTTTTTTTTTTTTTTTTTGAGACGGAGTCTCACTCTGTCGCCCAGGCTGGAGTGCAGTGGCACCATCTCGGCTCACTGCAAGCTCCGCCTCCTGGGTTCACGACATTCTCCTGCCTCAGCCTCCCGACTAGCTGGGACTACAGGCGCCCGCCACCACGCTTGGCTATTTTTTTTTTTTTTTTGTATTTTTAGTAGACGGGGTTTCACCATGTTAGCCAGGATGGTCTCAATCTCCTGACCTCGTGATCCTCCTCGGCCTCCCAAAGTGCTGGGATTACAGGAGTGAGCCACCGCGCCCGGCCACAACCATATAATAGTTTCTTACCTCTCAATGACACTTCAACATTTATACTTTCACATAAACTATTTTATTTGATCTGTACAAAAGTATGTGAAATAGGCCAGGCGGTGATTATCACTCTCACTTAAAGATGAGGGAATAACATAGAGGGAAGGTACTCACCCAAAGTCACATCTGACTTCCTCAGTGCTTTTTTTTCTTCTTTGGAATGTGCTTCTGTCTCAATTTCACCTGCCAGAGTGGGCCAAAATTAGAGGAAAAAAAAGAGTAAACTGAAGTCTCAAGTTCTAACAGCGTTGCATTAAGATGGACCTTAAGAGATTTGCATACGTACAGTGCACAGGAGCACAAAGATGAGATGGGGAAGGAGAGGGAAAGAGGAATGCAGTACATTAGAGGAAGCAGAATTTCTCTCTCCACCTCTCGGGACCCTTTCTGCTTGCCCTCTTACATCACTCCCTGCATTCACACACCACTTCTGCTTTCTCACCATTCTTGTTTAAACATCACTGTGCATCTAAAATTCTTCTGGCGTTCTTCTTGGCTTAGAACCTTTAGGTGACAGAATTAAAGTTTTGCAAGAATCCTTCTAGCTTGACTTTGTGCTGCCCTCCTCTCATGTTAGGTTAGAAACCCATGAACCATATGATATTATAGCCAAAATGATGTGTGGGACGGTTCAAAGCTTTAGTTGATTCTCAAAGGGGTCCTTCACCCAAATGAGAGGTTAAGAATCACTCTACTGAGAAGTGTTTCTCAAAGTAGTACAAGCTGAAGACTACATAATTATTTAGGTCATTTCTTTAAGGCAGATTTCTAGGTCTTACATCTGGAGGAGAGGTTAAGTCTTATAAACTGCAAATAATCACATATAATTCCAGACAAGATAATAAGAACTTCAAATCATAGACTAAAAAATGTGCTGCATATTTAAGTTCCCGTTTTCAGTCAAGAGAAATTTTACCTATAAAAGAAGTAGCAATCTATTTCCCTAGTATATTCAAATCAGCTTTGCATTTCAGTACTTGTCACACTTGGTAATTACATATTTTTTTGTGTGATTAACAACGTCTACCATGCCCTCCAGGAGGGCAAATATCTCTTTAAATCTAGTCTTTCCACAGATAAAGCGGGACTATCATTTTTAGCAACACCACCATCTAGTGGCAAGCGCAGTAATTCTGGCCCAGTTTTATAAACACACACATACACACACACGCGCGCGCGCTATATATATATAAAACAATGATTTTCAAACTTGTTTCTCCAGCTGCACAGAGCTGTCCCTCCTAAAAAAAATGGCAGCCTTTTCCAAGTTGTCCTGTAAAAATGACCTGCCAAAAGACACTATATGAATTTGATCAGTTTTATCTTATTTTTTAAACCACAATCTTTAATTATTTGGCTCCTCCTGCTGGTTATTTTCTACCAGAAATCAATGACAAATGGACAGACATGGAAACATCTTTTCATGGTTGTTAGACTTTTCAATCTGTGACTCATATGCTTTTGAATATTTTATACTGCAGATGTTAACAGATAAAAAGATAAAAGATTTTAAAATTTCTCCCAGAAAGAGAATTATATACAGAGAAACTTACTAAAGGTGAGAGACAGCATTACAAGTGGGTAAAAGATAGGCTATCATTGCAAGGACAACTGGTCATTGCATGGGATTAAATGATTCTTGTTAGCTCTTAGCTTCTCAGAGCTGTCCAGAAACGACAATAATCCCCACAATGCACATGGCATGTTGACTCTTATAATTCCATTCTCACTTCAGTTCCGGTAAGGTGTGGAGCACAAGAAACAGTTCCCACTCCTTAACCCCTAGCACATAGTAGGGCTCCTTTATAACATCCACCACACTTGAAATAAGACTTATTTGGGGTTGTTTCTGACAAAGCATAACTTATATTATGGAAAAATTTCCCACCACCCAGGGATAATTTTTTTTTTTTTTTTTTTTTTTTTTTTTTTTTTTTTTTTGATACGAGGTCTCGCTCTGTCACCCAGGCTGGAGTGCAGTGGCGCGATCACGGTTCACTGCAGCCTCAAACTCCTGGGCTCAAGCGATCCTCCCGCCTCAATCTCCTGGGTAGCTGGGACCACAGGTGCCTGAGAATTCTTAACATTTCTTAACGTCCAGTCCTTCCGCTCTGTGTTAATTACATATACACATCCCTTAAAAATTAGGGTCATACTGGACGTATAGGTTACTTAATAATGTTTCGAGAGAGACATAGTTGCGAGTTCTTCATGGAGGTGTGTTCCCTCTCAAAAAGCGCGGGAAGCCGGAGTCGCATTCTACCCTAGGAGGGCGGGCAACTGTAGCAGCTGTGTGTAAGATAAACGAGATTGGGGTCCCGGAGGGGCACACGCCCGGGATAGGGTTCGAAGCCCCATGGAGAACTCAAAGCTTCCCTCAACGCCACCCTGCGCGCGCACATTCTCCTGGGTTCGCGGGACCTCGCCGGCGAGGCCACTGCGCATGCGTCAGGCATGGAGAGCGGAAGCGGAAGGTTGAATGCGTCGGGTGGGCACCTCAGCAACCAGTAGCCATGCGCGGCTTGGAGGAGTCGGGGCCTCGGCCTACAGCGACCCCGTGCGGCTGCGTTAAGCCGGCTCTGGAGACAGGTAACTTCCAACACCGGCGGTGCCACACTCTGGAGAGGTTTAGGCCCAGGCAGCGGACTTCGTTGCCGAGAGGGGTGTAAAACGCACGATCTGGAACTGACGTGCGTCATTCTTTTACCTACGGCGAAGGCACGGGTCACGTGCTGCGGAGACCACGTGATGTGCTTTGGCGAGCGGGATGACGTCATCTGGCTTGTTCCGCTTTGTTATAAGACTTGTACTGTCTGCGTAGTCTTGGCTCAGTAGCTGGAGCAGCTACGTGCAGCGTAGGGGCTTTTCTCTTAGGGGTTTCCTTGCCATAGCGTATGGGAGATGGTGTTAGGCGGGTTAGGAATTAATAAATGCCATAGAGAGGCATCCTGCGCTGTAGGAATGAGGACAGAGAAGGGGGAAAGTTTCTGGGGGAGAAAATAGTTTTAAATTGGGCCTAGAAAGACAAGGCATGAATTTGTTTCTCTTTACTCACACGTTTTCATAGAGGAATATATTAGCTTTAGAAACTGGAAAGCAAATGGAAGAAAATTAAAATAACCTGCCAGAGAAAGCCATTGTCAATATCTTGGTGTCTACCTTCCACGCTTGTTTCTTTGCATACACACTTGGAAAGTGAGGTACTATACGACCTGTTTAGTAACGTTAAAATAATTTAAAAAAAAATCTTAACAGGGCAGTTAATGTTAATTATAACACTTTGGGCCGGGCGCAGCGGCTCATGCCTGTAATCCCAGCACTTTGGGAGGCCGAGGTGGGCGGATCACGAGGTCAGGAGATCGAGACCATCCTGGCTAACACGGTGAAACCTCGTCTCTACTAAAAAATACAAAAAAATCAGCCGGGCGTGGTGGTGGGCTCCTGTAGTCCCAGCTACTCGGGAGGCTGAGGCAGGAGAATGGCATGAACCCGGGAGGCGGGCTTGCAGTGAGCCGAGATCGCGCCACTGCACTCCGGCCTGGGCGACAGAGCGAGACTCCGTCTCAAAAAAAAAAAAAAAAAATTAACACTTTGTTTTGTTATTATTAATTTTTGTAGAGGCAAGCTCTCACCGTGTTGCCCAGGCTGGTCTCAAACTCCTGGGCTTAAGCAATCCACCTGCCTTAGCCTCCCAAAGTTTTGGGATTACAGGCATGAGCCACTGCAACCAGCCTAACGCTTTGTTTTAGATATGTGCTCTAATTTAACCAGCTTCCTGTTACTGAGCATTTAAGTTATTGCCAGTTTGCATTGTTCTAAAAGAAAGCTCTTGAAGCCGAAATGTTTGTGTACATTCTAAAGTTTGAACTTTGTTAAATTTCTTGGAAGTGCTATTACCTGGCCAAATGTGCTTATTTAAAAAAAATTGTTGCACACTGCCGATTACAGGTCTCATATTTTGACAGGAAGGAAAACGCAGAAGCCAGGGCTCAGAAGTCTACACAGTATAGGTTTGGGGAGCTAGAAGTCTAAAGTGTTGGATGGAACAGGGAGGTGGGAACCTTTGGATTCTGATTGTGAAGAAACTTGAGTACCAGGCTAAGAAATACAAAGTCTGTTAACAGTGGAGAATATGAAAAGTTTAAAGTTAAAGAGTTAGCATAACACAAGAAACTCTAGGAGTGTTGAGGATTCGTCTAGAGTATTTTGAGAAGGGGAAGAACTTGCAGTGGGGACAGAAAGCCTAAGAAGGGTAATTTAATAGTACAGGTGGAAATGAAAAGGACCTGAACTTATTTTCAGAGCAAGACGTGTAGACAATCCTGTACACAAAAAACCCCACATTGATTGCTTGCTGGCTTTTTACTTATTACACAGTTAATACAGTTGTAATGTTTAAATGAGGAAAAAGCCTGAGCAGGGACTTTAAAAAGCACTCCTTGCTGGGCACCTTCTATTTTATTGGATGCTTTCCTATTTTATTAGTACTTTTACAGCTTTCCAAAGTAGGTAGTATCCCTTGTTTTATAGATGAGAAAACGGATTCAGAGAGAGAAGCTAGTTTTTCCCATGGTCACACAGCTAGTGTAGTGGCCCTGTGTTGTTTTTATCCTTTCTCCATTCTGAAACCAGTCCTAATTCTCTCATGCTCCTTTGAGGAACCACTTCTCCCCATTTCCATGAGGTTCTTGTGCTGGTTTTTGTCATACCTGTGCTTATTTATCTCTATCCCTGCAAAGGCACCTAGCTAGAATTGTTGATTTACTTGTCTTTCTCTGTCAATGTACTGGAAACCCTTGAGGACGAGAACTGGTTCATATTTGTACCCCAAGTCCTTAGCACAGTGCTTACCAAAATGGTAGGTGTTTACTGTTCTTTTGGGTTTTTGTTGTTGTCGTTTTGAGATAGGCAAGAAGAAGAAGACCAGAATTCCCCTTGGCAAACGGTGTCAGGTCTCTGCTTCAAATAGCATTTATATTTCATAGCATTATCCCCAGGAGGGCACAGAGAATGTATAAATATGTCCCAGAAGAGTTCAGACGTACTAGGATATGGATATTTGGTATTTTGAGAGTGGTCCCAAACATTTTAGAGTAGCAGAGTTAGAAGAACTCTTTCAAAGTAGCTCTTGAGTATACTTCCAGTTCATTGCTAATCCAGTGTTGTCTTGCTTATGTTCTTAAGGAGATGCACAAAGAGGATAGAAGTAAATCTAATTAGAGGATAGAAGTAAATCTAATTGGCAGCCACTTATATTTATCATATCATATGTGTAATCTGTGAAAAACAGGCATAGACTGATTTAGTGAAGTGATAAATCAGCTATAATATAAATTCCTAGGCCCCAAATCAAAGAGTCAAGGGCAGAAGTCTTTGATTACTTTACTGCTGACAGGACATTTCCCATGATATTGAAGCATGGTGTGATAGTCTCCTCAACTATTAAATTCCACTGTAGTAAGAGTTCTTGGTTTGTATCTTTTCTCCAAACTTAACACAATGTCTGGCAATTGTAGACACTTGGAAAATAGTGTTTCTCTCTTTCTTTTCTTTTCTTTCCTTTCTTTCCCTTTCCTCCCTTTCCTTTCTTTTCTTTCCTTTTTCTTTTCTCTTTTCTTTTCTTTTCTTTCTTTCTTTTTTTTTTCTTCTCTTTGTGGAGCAGAGCTAACTCATGGGCAGTGTGCCCAGAGTATCAGCCAGAAAATGTTTCTTGAACAAATGAAAAGAAGACACAGGGATTTTGTGGCTGGGCTAGGGGTCTTTTTTGGCCATTTATCTTCCAGACATAAAGAAGATATGCCAGGTCGTTTGGCCTCAGTTTCTTCATTTTTAAGATGTCTACTATATCTGTTCCATAGAAGCATGGATGAGGATTAAAAAGAAAAAACAAAAAACTAAAAACAATGCCTGTAAACATACTTGAACAAAAATTAAAGTTGTCAAAAACATACAGAGTATGTATGGATCTTAGCCTCATAATATTGAGAGAGAAAAAGCAAGTCTGAGAAGACAACTTACAGTTTGGTGCCAGTTTTTATAGATCTTAAAGACAAAAATCAATGAAATACTGTTTAGGCATGCATGTACATGTAACAAAATCATTCTCTAAAAGGAAGTGAATGATAAAGATCAAATTCAGGCTTCTGTTTATCTCAGAGGGAAAAGAAGGGTGTGAGGTAAGAGAAAAACAACCTAAAAAGAACAAGTCGTTAGTAACGCTCTAGTTTTTGGGATGGGTGGTGTATACACGGGGTTTCATCATATTATGCCGTATAACTTACATGTATGTTGCATATGATATTTATATATATCAAATAAAGTAGCTTCTAGAAGTGAAGAGTAATGAAAGATACTGTGAGGGACAGCCCCAGACCTATAGTCTTACTGCTTATGCTGGTAGGGTAGATTTAAGGAAGCAGGAAATAAAGTCTGAAGTGTCTTTATATCATCTCTCAGAAATTGATAACGCTGTCATGAAATGTGAGAATAATAAAAAAGTTATCAATAAATTCAAAGTGGTAGCCATGGAAACCTTGGACTTTATATTGATAGTGTCTGGCCATTTTTTTTCTTTTGAAATATGTTATTACTTAAAAAAATTGTGATTTTTTTTTTTTTTTGAGATGGAGTCTCGCTCACCTAGGTTGGAGTGCAGTGGCGTGATCTTGGCTCACTGCAACCTCTGCCTCCCAGGGTCAAGTGCTTCTCCTGACTCAGTTTCCTGAGTAGCTGGGACTCCAGGCATGCACCACCATGCCTGGCTAATTATTTTTTTTTTTTGTACTTCTAGTAGAGATGGGGTTTCACCATGTTGGCCAGGCTGGTCTCGAACTCCTGACCTCAGGTGATCTGCCCACCTCAGCCTCCCAAAGTGTTGGGATTACAGGCGTGAGCCACCGCGCCTGGCCTAATTTGTGATTATTGAAAAAACTTCAAATATTATAGAAATTACGAAGTTAAATTTAAAGGTAATTAAAAAATCTCACCACCCAGATTAACCACTGTTAAAAAAATTGGTGAATATTGGCCAGGTGTGGTGGCTCACACCTGTAATACTAGCACTTTGAGAGGCCGAGATGGGCAGATTGCTGGAGGTCAGGAGTTTAAGACCAGCCTGGCCAACATGGTAAAACCCCTTCTCTACAAAAAAAAAAAAAAAAATTAGATGGGCATGTTGGTGCGTGCCTATAATCCCAGCTACTTGGGAGACTGAGGCACGAGAGTCGCTTGAGCCTGGGAGGTGGAGATTGCAGTGAGCCGAGATTGTGCCACTGCACTCCAGTCTGGGCAACAGAGCAAGACTCTGTCTCAAAAAAACAAACACAAACAAAAAATAAAACACAGCATGTGGTGCATATCCTTCCAGATAGCTTTCCAAACATACCTGTATGTGTTTAAGAAGGTAAATATGTAACAAATTTCCATAAGTGGGATTATATTATATATATTATTATTTTACTTTTTCAATTTCCACATTAATCAGTTTAGACATATATGATCTTTTCTTCTATGCAACATGAATTTTTTGAGTACCTACTCCGTTGCAGGCAATGTACTAGACAATGAGAATGCAGCGATAAATGAGACAGAAAAACTGCCCACATGGAGCTTACATTCTAGAGGGGCAGTAGGCTACTGGACCAAGCCTAACTTGAAATTTACCTTGCCTCTAGATATTTTAGCACTATGAGCTTATAAGCTCTCTTTATTGCTTAAATTAGTTTATTTCATATGTTCTGTTGCTTTCAATTGAAGATATCCTTACTTATGTATACCCAGTGTTTCCTCATCTTTCATTATTCTCTGCCTCTTATTTCATACTCCAGCCAATCAAAATAGCTTGTTCCCTGCATATGCTATGACATTTCTCATTTACTTTTGTGTACACTCTCTCCTCTATTAGAAATACCCTCATAGGCCAAGCACTATGGCTCACGCCTATAATCCCAGCACTTTGGGAGGTTGAGGTGGGTGGATCAAGAGTTCAAGACCAGCCTGACCAATATGGTGAAACCCCGTCTCTACTAAAAATCCCAGCACTTTGGGAGGTCAAGGTGGGCGGGTCAGGAGTTCAAGACCAACCTGACCAATATGGTGAAACCCCATCTCTACTAAAAATACAAAAAAAAAAAAAAAAGTTGAGCGTGGTGGTGGGCGCCTGTAATCCCAGCTACTGGGGAGGCTGAGGCAGGAGAAATGCTTGAACCCGGGAAGCAGAAGTTGCAGTGAGCCGAGATCGGGCCACTGCACTCCAGCCTGGGCAACACAGCGAGACTCCATCTCAAAAAAAAAAAAAAAAAAGAAAGAAATACGCTCATAGCCCTGGCCAGAGTCACATGACTTAGTATTGGTAGCATAGAATTTTAATTATGGTCATAGTAGGTATTCTGAAAATGCCCCCTTACTTTCATTCTTTCTTTCTTGGACCATTATTCTTTCTAGTATATCTAAAGGGATATTACTATGTATGTAATGATGTATGTGTATGTGTGTGTATGTAATGATGAGAATACTTATACGTATTCATGAATACTATAAAAATCATTTTTATAGTTGCACGACACTAAGATTTTAAAACTATGAAACCAATGCATTAGAGAAAACATGTTTTCTTACAACTTGGTTTGACCTTTTGACTAATAACTTTTTACCTAATTTTCTCCTGTAGGGAATCTTTTAACTGAGCCAGTCGGCTACTTGGAATCTTGTTTCTCGGCCAAGAATGGTACTCCAAGACAGCCATCCATTTGTAGCTATTCTCGAGCCTGTTTGAGGATTAGAAAGAGGATCTTTAATAATCCTGAACATTCCTTGATGGGCCTAGAACAGTTTTCTCATGTTTGGTAAGTTGCTTTATAGTTAGATGTAGGATTTTGGGCCAGAACTTGCCCCCGAATAAAGTACTCTAGTTGAAGGCAACCTTGGAGTCTGCCATCCAGACCACCCTCATCTTTGTTTTGTTTTGTTTTTGAGTCAGGGTCTCTGTCACCCAGGTTGGAGTACAGTGGTGCAATAGCAGCGCACTGTAACCTCTGCCTCCCGAGCTCAAGGTATCCTTCCACCTCAGCCTCCTGAGTAGCTGGGACCGCAGGTGTATGCCACCATGCCTGGCTAATTCTTTTTTGTATTTTTGGTAGAGATGGGGTTTCACCATGTTGCCCAGGCTGGAACTCTCATCTTTTGCATGGCTTTTTTATTTTTTTTTATTTTTTAAGACAAGTGCAGTAGTGAGAAGAGGGGAAAAGTAGAACAAAAAGTTCAATCTGTAACTGACTGTGAACAATCAATTGAGATAACTCATTACCTTTGAACCAGCCTGTTGTATGGAATTTTGTACTGTATTTGTGCATATGATTATCTGTGTCATTTAGAGATCCTCAGGGAAGCTTGGGATCCACTGAGGTGACATGTTCCATTTGCAGTTGGTTCTAATGGTGATGAATGCCTTCTGTTGAGTGGAAATTATAGACCTCCTTGACTCTGCCCCTGGGTCATTATTCTACCCTCTAGACCAGGGGTCAGTAAACTATGGCCCATTTTTGTAAATTATTTTTATGGGAACAAAGTCATATCCATTTGTTTAAGTATTGTTTGTGGCTGCTTTCGTGCTATAGCAGCAGAGTTGAATAGTCTCTATAGTGACTGGTTGGCCTGCATGTCCTAAAATATTACTCTCTGACCTTTTACAGAAAAAGTTTGCAGATCCTGCTCTAGACTCATGTAGAATTAAGTATACTCCTAAAAGACAAGACACTGTAGAAATCTGGATACTTTAAGTGTTACCTATATTAGGGCCTGTGTTATACTAGCATTGTTTGTTGTCATTTCAAATTCTGTCCGTGTTCATTCTTCCTCACCCCAGCATCAGCAGTCTGAATCGGTCTATTTTTATTGGTAGAGACCTAAAAATTAAGTGTATATTCTGAAATAGTTTATTTTTCATGTCAATTTGGGGACAAGAGTAGATTAGAAAGAAAATGTATGTTCTGACCTAGTTTGTATTATGATCCTGATTGAATTATTTAAGTTAAAAACATTGATGATGGAAAAAATGGGTTCAGAAGTATATAAAGAGATTTTTCCTTATCCCTCCTATTTTCCTCCCCTCTCTCCCTAACCCCAACCACTCATCAGAGCTTATTACTGTTAACAGCATGGTGTAGATCCTGCCAGACCTTTTAATTTTTTCTTTTTCAAGTACACATAGAAACAAATATATACATACAGAGTGGGTATTTGCTTTTTTTAAAAAAGTATGTTTTCTTCACATAACAGTATATACCATGGAGAACTTTCACGACAGTAGATTTACCTTTTTTTTCTTTAATAGCTGTCTATTATTACAAAATATAGATGTATATTTTGTAATATACACACTCTTGTTAATGGAGGGCTATGTTGTTGTTATAATAACTGTGACAAACCCCCTTAGACACATTCTTGGCCACTTATGTATTTTTATGAACAGGATATCAGAAGTGGATATATTGGGTTAGAAGGTAAGCATATTTAGAATTTTGGGGAACTACTTCCAAATTATCCTCTAAAATTAACCAATGTATACTTCAATAATATATGCAAATGACCTTTTTCTTACACCCTTCCCAACACAATATGTTATCAGTTTTTTACATTTTTGCCTGATGGGGAAAAAGAGTATTTTGGATTTTTAGTTTAATTTCTAAATTTAGAAATTTCTAATTATTAGTGAAGCTCAACATCTTTTCATATGGTTCTTAGCTACTTGCCATTTTTTTGTGAATTACTTATTCATGTTCTTTGCATAGTGTCCTATATTGGGTTGTCCTTAGTAATTTGTAGGAACAATTTGTGTGCCACAGATATTAACCTATGGTCCATTATGTATGTAGCAAACGTTTTCTCTTAGGCTGACATTTTGTAGTACATAAATGTAATGATTTCATGAGTTCAAATCTGTTAGTTTTTCTTCTTGGCTTCTTGGTTTTGTATCTTTTTTAGGAAGGTCTAGTCATGCCAAATGGAAAAAGAAAGGAAGGTCTGGTAAAGGTATTTAACATTTCTGAACTTCAATTTCCTCATCCCAAAAATGGGGGATAAATTATATTACTTAAGACAGTTAAGGCGATTGTATGAAATGAGTGTAAAAATGTTTTACCGTACTACCTGGCAAACAGCAGACACTTAGTAAATATTGTTTGTTGGGCACTTGATAAACGTCTCTCAAGTTCCTACTGTGTGCCAGTTGTTGTGTTAGCTGCAAAGGATGTGGAGATGAGATTCTGTCTCTTCCTTTAAGGAAAGGGGATGGTGTTATTTTCTTCCTACCAGATGACAAGTTAATACTATTTAAAACATGATTTCTGTTAATTTGTGGGAGATTGCATTTTTTTCCCCATCAGATCATTGTGGTAAAATAACTTGTGCTCTTTTCTTATTCCGTGGTTTGTTTTGTTTTGTTTTCTATAGGATTTTGTTTGTTTTTCACAAAAATGGTCATTTGAGCTGTAAGGCAAAAGTGCAGCCTCCTAGGCTGAATGGTGCAAAGACTGGAGTTTTTTCCACAAGGAGCCCTCATCGTCCCAATGCAATAGGACTGACCCTGGCCAAGCTGGAAAAGGTAGAAGGTAACCCATTTCATTTCTACTTTTACCTTTTTCCTCACCCAAAAAAGCCTTATAAAATAAACAGCATTCACCACTGGCTGTTTATTCAGACGAGTACCAATGATGTTAACTCCTGAGAACCACCAGACATTGAAGAAAATACAATGATTAAAAGAATGTTAGCATTGAAAAATGTTGAAATAAACTCATAGGATGCTCAGAGCTTGTTTATATTATTGCATATATCCAAAACTATTAAATTATTTAGAAATAACACAAATTTCACAATCATTAAATTAGTAACCAAAGTTTCTCTGACTTGGAATGCAGTAAATACAAAATGATTAAAAATAAATGGACACTTTCCAATTTAACACACAATAACTCATTGTACATGCACATATGGAAAACACATAGACTGGTGGTATATCATTCCTTCCTTGCAGCCTTGGGGAAATGGACAGATATCATGGCTGCAGTGCTGATGTCAACTGTGCTGTGTGGCAGGAGTCTGGGATGAATCACACTACAAGGACAAACATTGGTCAGGTTGTAGAAGTTTTAAACTAGTTTTAACTGTGTGTTCGTATATAACCTAGTTACGCATTTATGGAAAGCATTCCATTCTGACCTAACAGATGCATTTGTTATAGAGGCAGCAGATGAAATGGCAGGTAAACTAGGAGTCAAGAGACCATTCCAGGCTTCAGCCTGCTGGTTGTGAAGTGGGCAAAGGAGAAGGACCTGCTTCCTCTGTGATTCCACAGAATATTTTGAGAATCTTGTAAGAGAGAAGTTCTAAAACTACTTTTTCAGGCTATTGGACACTAAATAGATGAGAGCAGTTATTTTGCTTGTTCTTTCCCAGAACTTGAACTCTCCCACTGGATTGTACTCAACTGGGCCTTAGGTAGTTTTCTCAGAAAAATTCAGTAGCTGATCCACCTTGAATTTTATCAATTTGTAATGGCTAACAAACTTGGATAGCAAGTACTAGAAGATTTTATGATTATTCAGGGACATATTTTCTAGCACTGAATATGTGCCAGACATTGTCCTAGGTGCTAGAGCTATAGTGATAAACAAATCAGATGAAAGTAGAAATCCATGCCCTAAAGAACTTAATGTTTCAATTGGGAAGGTCAAGTCAGATAGGTTAAAAGGCAAACACAGTAGCACTGTAGACATTACTATATAAGCTTTATGGCAACTAGTGTTTGTGCAGTGCTTTACAGTTAGTAAACAGTGTTCACGTACCTTATCTCACAGTGGCTTTGTGGGTTTGACAAAGTAGCAATCCTCATCTCATAGGTGAGGAAACTAGGGCTCTTTAAGATTAGATAATCTGTCTAATAGCATCCAGCCAGGTGGTCATCTGACTCTAAATCCTTTGAAGTCTTACTTATGCTACAGTGCCTTTCTTTTTCCTACAGATATTGTTAGGCATAATTCATCATCTAGCAAGTCCAGAATCATCTTTCCAGAGTTCCAGCTCATTCATAATAACATGTTTCAGAAATCAGGGTCCTGTATTAGTTACGTTTTTCTTAAATGGAGACGGAATCAAATGTGACTGCATGTAGTTTTTCTGTTCTCATTTGGCCTATTTTCCAAGAGTAAGGTTAGTAGATGGCTATTTGTAGCAGTAACTGGACAGCATCTGTCCAGTGGGACAGCTGGAGACTTGTCTTTAGTATTTGGTAATGCTGACTTATGTGCTGCTTAATCTTTTGAGTCTTGATGGATGTATTAGATTTCTATTGTTGTGTAACAAATTACCACAGAATCATCAGTTTAAACAACACACATGTATTATGTGTTTGAAACATTATTATGTATCTGTGGGTCAGAAGGATGGGCACAGCTTAACTAGGTCATCTGCTTAGGTCTCACTAGACTGCAATTAAATTGTCAGCTGATATGAGTTCTTATCTGGAGGCTTGACCATGGAAGAATCTGCTTAAGCTCACTCAGACTGTTGGCCACATTGATTTCCTTGCCATCGTAGTAGGACTGGGGGCCCCAGATTCTTGCTGGTTGTTGGCTGGAGGCTGCCCTCAGTGTCTAAAGGCTGTTTGCAGTTCCTTGCTATGTGGGCTTCCTAGCACGCCTGCCTACTTCAGCAAGCCTTCAAGGAGAGTCTCTCGAGTGAGTCTTCCAGCCAGCAGCAGTGCTAATGAAAAGCATAGTCACTGGAGGGACATCATACCTCTTTTGCCATATTCTGTTGGTTAGAAGCCAGTCACACTCAAGGGGAAGGATTATATAAGGGCATGAACTTCAGGAGGTGCGGGTCACAGGGCCACTTTTGGATCTGTTTGCCACAGTAAGAACCTTCATTGGTCCCACAGAGATATACTGAGGACTACTATATCCCTGGAACAGAAGCACCAGTGATACAAAGATGAGTTGGTCCCAGCCTGTGTTAAGGGGCCTGCCTGCGTCTAGGGATGAAGACTCTAAGCAGGTCACTACCCTACCGTGGGGAAAGCGCTCTAGCAGAGGTTTGTGCACAGGCTTCTCTATGGGGACTGTAGGAAAGAATGCTTTTGTCTGGAGGAGCCAGAAAGGCTTTGTAAAAGGTGTGCTTTTGAGGGCCTCAAAGAGCAAGTAGGAGTTTGATAGGTAGAGAAGAGGATGGGCTACCAGGTAGCAAGAAGGGTGTGTGTTGGTACTAGGTCTGTGTGAGAGAATTATGAGTAAGTGCAGTGAGGCGTAAGCAGACAGTGTTAGAGGATTCTGGGGCGTGACTGTATTCTCCAAGTGTTTGCACTGTTCTTCATTTTTCACGTTTTTATGTCATAGGTGGAGCTATATACCTTTCTGGAATTGACATGATACATGGCACACCCGTACTAGACATCAAGCCCTACATAGCTGAGTATGACTCACCGCAAAATGTGATGGAGCCTTTAGCAGACTTTAATTTACAGAATAACCAACATACACCAAACACTGTGTCCCAGTCTGACAGCAAGACTGACAGCTGTGACCAGCGACAGCTCTCAGGGTGTGATGAGCCACAACCCCACCATAGCACTAAGAGGAAACCTAAATGTCCTGAAGACAGAACTTCAGAAGAAAACTACCTGACACACAGTGACACAGCCAGAATTCAGCAAGCATTTCCTATGCACAGGGAGATAGCAGTGGATTTTGGTTTGGAATCAAGACGTGATCAGAGTTCCAGCGTGGCAGAAGAACAAATTGGCCCATATTGCCCAGAGAAGAGCTTTTCAGAGAAAGGTACAGACAAGAAGCTAGAAAGAGTGGAAGGAGCAGCAGTCTTGCAAGGAAGCAGGGCAGAGACACAGCCCATGGCCCCTCACTGCCCTGCTGGAAGGGCTGATGGAGCTCCCCGCAGCGTGGTTCCTGCCTGGGTGACAGAGGCTCCTGTGGCCACTTTAGAAGTGCGGTTTACTCCTCATGCCGAGATGGACCTTGGGCAGCTCAGTTCACAAGGTATCTTCAGTTTCTTCATTCTGAATGAGAGATGAACTTTTACTTTGAGATTTAGCCAAGTTTGGTATTTGTGAAGGCAGGTATGTGGAGTGTTTGTCAGTATGACTGGTTTTTAGGAAACAGGTATAAAATAATATTTTTGCAGTACCATCATGTGATGACTTTTGTTGGACAACTGTGTGGTCAGCACAGTTAGTTCCAGGCTGTCAGTAAAGCATTGGCAGAGAGTGGCTGCTGCCTCACAAGGTGGCCTATGACTTACAGCCCCTTGTCTACTTGCTACAGTAGTTCTTAGAGTCTTCAAATATCATTCAGAAGCTAAATTGTGCTTGTTCTATACTTATGTACATAAAGTTTTCTTATTTGTTTTACTGTCTGACTTGAGAAATGTTGCATTGTATTCTGACTGTCAGGTAGTCGATAGCTCAGCCTCTGGCACAGAGGACTCTAGGAGCCCAGAGTCACAGGGGAAGAGTCTCTTAGCACAGAACTTGCCCCAACAAAGTCCCACTGCTAGAGGCATACACTTTGCTGCAGAAGAGAGGCCACAGGGCTCTTACATGGAGCCTGCTTACTTTAACACATGGTTCTTAACAAATGTTATCTGGTTTCCCCAGCCCACAGCAGATCCCAAGCAGTAGCCTAGGATGAAGGAAGGGGCTGTTAAGATGTGGATACAGCGATACCAGTAAGAAGTAACTAATTTCAGGCTGGGCACGGTGGCTCACTCCTGTAATCCCAGCACTTTGGGAGGCTGAGGTGGGTGGATCACTTGAGGTCCGGAGTTCAAGACCAGCCTGGCCAACATGATGAAACCCTATCTCTATTAAAAATCCAAAAAGCCAGTTTTGGTGGCAGGTGCCTGTAATTTCAGCTACTCAGGAGGCTGAGGCAGGAGAATTGCTTGAACCTAGGAGGCAGAGGTTACAGTGAGCCGAGATGTTGCCACTGTACTCCAGCCTGGGTGACAGAGTGAGACTCCATCAAAAAGAAGAAGCTGGTTGCCAAGGAGATGTCAGATTGCAAAAAGCTGTTCTTTGTGTTACAACTCAGTAAGGAGCCAGCATAACCATATAAAGAGGGAAGTTCATTTATTCATTCTACAGTTGTTTACTGAGCTTCTGCTAGGTACCAGACATTGGTCTAGGTTCTTGGAATACATCAGTGAACAAAACAGATATAAAAAACCCCTGCTGTCATGGAGCTTGCATTCTAATGGGGAGGAGAGAGACAAATTAAAAGTATAATAAGCAATCAAGTTATTAGACCAAACATATTCAACATTATATAATATTAGAAGGTGATAAGAGTTACTGAAAAATTTAAGAATACAGCAGGCTTGGAGTGTTGTTACTATTTTATTTTATTTTTGAGACAGGGTCTCACTCTGTCACCCAGACTGGAGTGCAGTGGCAAGAACATGGCTTACTGCAGCCTCAGCCTTCCGGGCTCAAGCAGTCCTCCCACCTCAGCCTTCTGTGTAGCTGGGACTACAGGTGTGCACCACAACACCTGGCTAATATTTTGATTTTTTTTTTTTTTTTTTTTGAGACGGAGTCTCGCTCTGTCGCCCAGGCTGGAGTGCAATGGCTCGATCTCGGCTCACTGCAAGCTCCGCCTCCCGGGTTCACACCATTCACCTGCCTCCGCCTCCCGAGTAGCTGGGACTACAGGCGCCCGCCACCACACCCAGCTAATTTTTTGTATTTTTAGTAGAGACTGAGTTTCACCGTGTTAGGCAGGATGGTCTCGATCTCCTGACCTTGTGATTCCCCCGCCTTGGCCTCCCAAAGTGTCCAGATTACAGGTGTGAGCCACCGTGCCCAACCTATTTTGAATTTTTAAAGAGACGGGGTCTCATTTTGTTGCCCAGACTTGTCTTGAACTCTTGGGGGTCAGGGGATCCTCTGTCTCAGCCTCCCAAAGTGCAGGGATTACAGGTGTGAGCCACTGCACCTAGCCTGTTGCAATTTTAAATAGGTGGCCCCAGTGGGCCTCACTGAGAAAGACACATATGAGCAAAGGTCAAAGAGGTGAAGACATGAGCCAGCCTGTCCAGAGAAAGGACATGCTGGCCTGAGGGACAGCCAGTGCACAGCCGCAAAGTGGAGGGTGCATGGCACGTTTGAGGTCATGTGGTCAGAGTGGACTGAGGAGGGCTGAGCGGAAGGATATGAGGTCAAAGAGGCACTAGAAAAGGGACGAGGTCACCTAAGGGTTTTATAGGCCATTGTAAGGACTTGAGTTTTGATCTTGGGAGAAGTAAAAGGCAGAGGAACTTGATGTCCGTATCCCCAGAGAGCAGGGGACCATCTCTGGGGTCAGATCACTACCTGTGTGATTTCTGGGATGTCACACCTCAGTGACATGCAAAGGCAAGCTGGAGTTCCTTATTGAGACAATGAAGACTTTCATTCTATATCCAGAAAATAAAGGCTTACACAACCAAAGATACTAGATTTTCCCCTGCTTTACTAGCAGGGAGAGAATGAAGAGGCTAGGGGGGTATTTGGCTTTGATAATCCAACCTGAAGGAGGTTTTTCTGATGGGAAAAAGAAGTCTAAAAGTTGGGACTGGAGATACATGCCAACTGACTCTGAGATTTCCCCATTTCTTCCTGTCAGAGCCACAGCCAGCCCACACTGTTGCCTTTTGCAAAGGAAAAGCCACCCCTTCCTCTGGGTGGAGGCAGCCACCTGCCAGGGCCCAGGAACTGGTTTTAGCCCCAACATGCAAACTTCAGCCAAGTGCCGTATGCAGGGCACCCCCTGCACTTCTGGACACGGCAGTCTCGTGGTCATGAGTGGTGATGCCACTTGAGGGTTGTGCTTCTCTTTGGCTCCTAAGGCTTTACTTTTAAACAAAGCTTTTGATTTTAAAATTGATCTTTTTATTTTTAAAAGTTTTGTTGATAGAAATCATTACATCACTGTATACAGTTGATGGGAGGAGGCTGGTCAGTTGTAAAAGGATTTTATGGTGGAACAAAACAGTCCTGCCTTCTAGACACTTTATGCTTACCACTTGTCCTGTGGTTATTGTCTAATGCAAACTACTATGGAAAGTTTTGTTTTTCTTTCTTTTCTTTTTTCTTTCTTTCTTTTTTTTTTTTTTTTTGAGACGGAGTCTTACTCTGTCACCCAGGCTGGAGTGTAGTGACGCGATCTCGGCTCACCGCAACCGCCTCCTCCCGGGTTCAAGCGATTCTCCTCCCTCAGCCTCCTGAGTAGCTGGGATTACAGGCGTGAGCCACCACACCCAGCCTGGAAAGTTTTGTTTTTTAAACTGCAGTGCAGTATGTGTCAGATGTTTGAAATATGCCTTACTGATTAAAAAAATGATTAAAATGAGAAATTACGCAGTGTAACTACAAAACAGGAACTGATTGATAGCAAACAGCAAAATTCAGAGCTGTTGCAGAAATAAGAAGTGACTTCAGGAAGTTCTGAGTCTAGAAGAGGTTAAAGGTGTTGAAATGGGAGGAAGTTTGGTGCTGGAGTAAAGGTCTGGGCAGAGTGCTGTGGGCACTCTGAGAGGAGAATCCTGACTTGTGTCTGGGAGGGAGTGTGGAAGGAAACAGTGCTTGAGCTGAGCCTGGCAGGATGAGTAGGCAGGGAATTGGGGGAAGGCACCCATGCCAGATAAACGGCCAAGCAGAGGCCTGGAGCCTCTCCCAGAAACGCCGTCACAGGGGAGTGTGATGAGCTCTCCTCATTTTTGAGTGGCCTTCAGAGCCATTTTCTATGAGCCATGCAGTAAAGGAACCTTATTGCCATATAATTGATTTTTTTTTTTTTTTTTGAGATACAGTCTCTTTCTGTCACCCAGGCTGGAGTGCAGTGGTGCAATCTTGGCTCACTGCAACCTCCACCTCCCGGGTTCAAGTGATCCTCCTGCCTCCTGAGTAGCTAGAATTACAGGCGTGCGCCACCATACCTGGCTAATTTTTTTGTGTGTGTGTATTTTTAGTAGAGATGGCGTTTCACCATGTTGGTCAGGCTGGTCTCAAATTTCTGACCTTGTGAGCCTCCTGCCTTGGCCTCCCAAAGTGCTGGGATTACAGGTGTGAGCCACCGTGCCCAGCCCATATAATTGATTTTTGACTAAAAATTGTACTTCATGGCTTTATTTACCCAACCTGCTTATTAGATATGGCCCACAGTGATTTTTGGCTGCTTGTAGAAATCAAATCCACTCCAAGAGGGATAAAGATCCACTGCCACCACAGATGATATTTTGAGCAGGGACAGTGTTTTTAAGATCTGTACCTTCCTGGAAGGGGCATTTGGATGTATGTGATGTTGTAGTTATGAAAAACTAGGTCACAGTTACTTTCTAAATTTATGTTTTATACATACCATATTAAAAATAAAATACATTAAAAATCCTACAAACATAGGAAGTTTTGCTGTTTCTTAGGGACACAGATGTGAGAGAGTCCCAAAGCAAAGGGATGTTACTGGTAACTGCGGGTCTGTGATACTAGCTTTCTGGTGCAGCCTCTCTCGCCTGTAGCTGGTGTTCTGGGTGTGTGTGGGTTTAGTTCTCTTTCTTGTGGCTTTCTGAGGATGCTGGGACTGTCATGCATTTCCTTGTCTCTGTTCTGAGAAGAAAATGACAAGGAATTAAAGTCTACATTGAGTATAGAAAAGTGACATTTTGGATATCAGAAAAGTGACATCTTGGCTGACAGAAAATGAAAGCTCACCTGTCTTAGGAGACTAAGGAAAAATACTACCATGATTTTTCTGTCCAGTAAAACAAAAATTTGGGGGTGTACAAGTTAAACCTAATGATAATAAACACCTCTTGACGGTGACAGTCTCCGTAATGATCAAATAGTTTTCCAAACCCTGTCCATGTCAAGTGATCTTTAAGGAACCAACCAGATTCCATATTGAAGTTTGTTGTAATTAAATTCAACCTGCATGATAGTGCTCATTAAGTTGTGTTTTTTTCATTGCAGATGTTGGTCAGGCGTCATTTAAATATTTTCAGTCAGCAGAGGAAGCAAAGCGTGCCATTGAGGCTGTGCTGTCAGCGGATCCTCGGTCTGTGTACCGCCGGAAGCTTTGCCAGGACCGCCTTTTCTACTTTACTGTAGACATAGCGCATGTCACTTGCTGGTTTGGTGATGGCTTTGCAGAGGTGCTGAGGATCAAGCCGGCTTCTGAGCCTGTTCATATGACTGGCCCTGTGGGGTCCTTGGTGTCTCTAGGGTCTTAAGGAGCCTCCCTCATGTCTTTAAGGTAGCATCATTGATCTTTGGATGTGGCTTTTGGATTTTCTGAACAAGCTAATGTTGTGTCGAGAAGCAACACTTTGTGATCTCATGGCTTTGATTGATTTGGGCTGTTCAAAATGTTTATTTGAAAAACGTATACATTAATAAACTTAACAAAGAGATATAAAATACAGAGAAATCACCAAATGCTTTTTGATCTGTTGATATTAAAGAATCAAAAGGTGATGCTGTCTCGATAATTTCTGAAAGAAGCTGTTCTTGGTGCACTTGATAAAATTAGACAAAGTTCATTCCAGCAGAGACTTTCTAGTTGAGGGGATCTATTCAGTAATTCATATTGGTTTTCCTGTCTGTCTGGAAAAGCCTGACCTTTCTATTTGATTCCAAATCAAACCTATATCAGGAAACTAACAAATAAAAAACAAGTAGAGATAGTTTTTGAGATTAAACTTATGTGTTTCAGAGACTTTGTGACATAGTCACACACACATATATATATGTATATATATTTAATACTGATTCTAAAATAGAGACTCTCTGAGATTTCTTTGGATGTCTTTGTATCAGAAAAGGAAATCACCCTCAGAAGTTCAAGAAAATTGTTACTGTTTTTTTGTTTTTGTTTTTGTTTTGAGATGGAGTCTTGCTCTTTCGCCCAGGCTGGAGTGCAGTGGCGTGATCTCGGCTCACTGCAATCTCTGCCTCCCAGGTTCGAGCAATTCTCCTGCCTCAGCCTCCTGAGTAGCTGGGATTACAGGCGTGCGCCACCATGCCTGGCTAATTTTTGTATTTTTAGTAGAGACCATGTTGGTCAGGCTGGTCTCGAATTCCTGACCTCGTGATCCACCCACCTCAGCCTCCCAAAGTGCTGGGATTACGGGTGTGAGCCACCGTGCCTGGCCTATAATTACTGTTTTTTAATATACTCACTTTGCAACTATTTATTGAGAACCTATGGGTTAGGTTTTGGTGATAAAATAAGATGACAAGATGTAGTTCTTGTTGCAATCATGGTTAATGGAAGAAGTAAGACATAAATAAATTATTGTATTATAGTTTTAGAAATACAGTAATTATACATGGATCCTCTGTAGTACCACATAGGAAACAGTTGTAAGAATGTATTGCCTATAGGTGATTTTAATGATGTGCTCCCAGATAACTGAGGATTTATGATCAACATAACCAAATTAGACACCTGTCAACATGATACATGCTTTCCTAATCATGATTGTAAATCTTAATAGCTGATCGAAATGAGCTGATTGAAATAGTCTTGAATAGTTTTGAAATGAGTTCTGCTGCCTGTGGATACTTGTGCAGAGTCATTTGTGGCTGATGACACTGTACTCCTAAACCAAACTGATTTGTAATTGCCTTTGATGTTACTTAGAACTTCTTGGGGAGGTATCTTTAATTTGATTTTTGGTTTTTGATTTTTTTTTTAGAGATGAGTCTCATGCTTTTGCCCAGGCTGGAGTGCAGTAGCCTGATCATAGCTCACTGCAGCCTTAACCTCCCAGGCTCAAGGGATCCTCCCACCTCACCTTCCTGAGTAGCTGGGTCTACAGGCTCATGCCACCATGCCCCACTATTTTTAAATTTTTTTGTAGAGACAAGGGTCTCGCCTCATTGCCCAGGCTGGTCTTGAACTCCTGGTACCAAGCAACCCTCCCTCCTCAGCCTCCCAAAGTGCTGGGATTACAGGCATGAGCCACTGTGCCTGGGCTAATTTGATTTTTTAAAGCTTTTTATTTTGAAATAATCAGAGGTTCACAGGAAATTGCAGAAATAGTAGAGGTCCTGTGTACCCTTCACCCAGCTTTTCATTTAACTTCTTCCAGTGGTTGGTTCCATCTTACATAACTATAGTAAACGTTAAAGGTAGGAAGTTGACACTGGTAGAGCCTACACTTTAGTTTGATTTTGTTGTTTTTTCTTTTGAAAAGTTATTTTGAAGCTTCATCAGGGCTTGAAGCACAAAATGTTTTGTTTAATATGTTAACAATGACTCTGGGGGATGGTAACCAACGGCCTTATAACAAGAGGACTATTAAATTGTTTGGGGTTTTATTATACAGTCTCAGGATTTTAGAGCTAAGAAGGATTTTAGGCTGGGCGCAGTGGCTCATGCCTGTAATCCCAGCACTCTGGGAGGCGGAGGCGGGTGGATCATTTGACGTCAGGAGTTCGTGATCAGCCTGGCCAACATGGTGAAACCCTACCTCTACTTAAAATACAAAAATTAGCTGGGTGGTAATGGCGCATGCCTGTAATCCCAGCTACTCGGGAGGCTAAGGCAGGAGAATCGCTTGAACCTGGGAGGCAGAGGTTGCAGTGAGCCGAGATCGTGCCACTGCACTCCAGCCTGGGCGACAGAGTGAGACCCTGTCTCAAAAAAAACCCACAAAAATAATAAAAAGGATGTTAAATATAATCTGGCTCAGTTTTCTGCCAGTTCCTGAGTCTCTTCAATGTTCCCACTATCTGGCCTTTCCAGGCCCTGCCTAAATGAGGTATATACCCCTGACCTGTGCAGCTTATTCTTTATGGGCAGTGCTCATTATTAAAACATTCTTCCTGAACGTGAGATCCACTCTGTCCTCCGACAGCTCTGCCCACTAGAGAGGCCACACAGGCTGGTTGCCCTCCCAAGTTAGCCTGTCATACCACCCCTTGGTCTTCCCTAGGCTGAGCACCCCCGTTTTCTTCAGCTGTTTCTCATAACATGATCTCAAGCCTCTTCTGAACCCCAGGCTTTCTTGAGTCTCCATATGAGCATTTGCCTCTGTGGGCACAACTTCAAGTGTCCTTTGTGAGGAAATGTGCATCTCTGGTTGGTGAACTTCCATCCCTCAGAGAGAAATAGAAGCACAAATTTGAAACAAGCTGTCTGTCTGTCTGTTTCTTTATGTCTTGGAAACTTTATTTATCCATCCAAGCTTTTTTTTTTTTTAGCCTTTGAGAGCAGGCAACCATCCAAGCTCATTCCACGAACCCAGAGAATTAAATATACCTGATTTGTAGCACAAAATAAATAAATGATAAAAGTTCCCTCAAACCTTCCATCAAGTGGTTTTAAAACTGTCATTGATTTTATGTCCGGAATTGAAGTTGTTTTGGTGCGTGCATGTACACACACGCATGTACACACACACACAAATACACACTAATCCTAAAAATGAGATGGAAATGAGCTACAAGAAAACTCAAAAGTGCCATAATTATGACTGTCAAAAATAGTGTTACAGCTCTAGGGTCGTTTTGTGTCCTATTTGTATCAAAATCACATTTGGTCCTTTATTAAGTGGGAGGTGAGTACATCAAGAGGAAGAGGTTGCTTGATTCTTGGTCCTTTAGATTTTTAAGACTCTTTGGCCAGAGTTTTGGAAAAGGGATTGTGTCAACAAGCAAAGTTGTGGTTTCAGGACTGCCTTAGAAACTTTTTCAAGAGAAGAAACAATTCTCTACTAGGCGTAAATGGCACCCACCTTAATTTTTAGCCTTTGCTTTTTGGTGCCTGTAGGGGGAGCCCTTGATAGCAGATTTTATTCCCATTTCACTGGCTTGGAGGAAAACACCAGGAGTTCAAGCTGTTTAGGTAATTTTGGCGTTTGGCCCACCTGCCCCAGCTTTAAAGAACAGTAACTTGTACAAGCAATGCTGACTGATGATTGTCAGTCACATGTGAGAAGAGATTAGAAAGATGAGTGGCATTTATTAATTTTTTCTTAAATTGTAAGCTTGGCTTCAGGGGTGGGATTGATTATTCCAGCATGTGGATCTGTGCACAACCAGGTGACTCATTAAGCCCATGAGCACACACGGACAAGGCATTGACTTTGTTTCTGTGTTTGTGACTTTTTTTCTTGGAGAGAAGAAAATGAAGTTGACGTGAATCAACCTCTTGTTGGTAGGGTTTTTAAAATGCTACAGTCCCAGAGAAAGCAAGAGAAGACTCAATAAAAATGAAAGCCTGCATCACTTACTGAACTTTTATCATGTCCTTGGAACTGGACTATGTGCTTTTCGTACATTGGGTGGAGGTTGAGTAACGTGCTCAAGCTGCTCGGCTGCACAGCTAGGATTCCAACCCACCAGTCTGGCCTGAGTCCTCTTCCTTCTCAGCCTGGCTCTACGCCTTAGCAAATCATGCTGGTTTATTGGAAGGTCAGCAGTTCCATATGATTCAGCACATGAGTCTTTGGCAGAATGAAGTCCATGGAAATCCAACCACTCGTGAAGAATGCACAGGGGAATAAGGGCAGAAACGCCCATTCCCACAGGATCTGCATGGAACCTCCTGGGAAGCAAGATGGGAAATACGAAGAGCACTGGGCTTGGCCTCAGAAACTTCAAGCGCTTTCTGCCCTGCCATGGGCTAGCTCGTGACCTCAGGCAAGTCACTGCACCCTGCCTCTAGCTCTGTGACCTTACAGAGTTGTTGCCAGGATAATGCTTGGGAAAGTGTCTTCTGAACTCTTCAATGACCTATAAACCTAGGTAATATTTTTATTGTGTTTCTCTTCATTGATAGCCTTTTTCTACCACTCTGTTCTGGCTTACCTGGCTAGATAAGCAGACTTCAGGGGGATCTAGGGGGTCCCTAAAATTCAATGTATGAATGGCTTCTGTTTTTGTTGTTTTGTTTTGTTTTTTGAGGCAGTCTTGCTCTATTGCCCAGGCTGGAGTGTAGTGGTGCAATCACGGCTCACTGCAGCCTTGACCTCCCAGGCTCAAGTGATCCTCCTGCCTCAGCCTCCTGAGTAACTGTTTGCCACCATGCCCAGCTAATTATTTTTTCTTTCTTTCTTTTTTTTGGAGACAGAGTCTCTCTCTGTTACCCAGGCTGGCGTGCAGTGGCTCAGTCATAGCTCACTACAACTTCTGCCCCTGGGCTCAAACTATCTTTTCACCTCAGCCTCTTGAGTAGTGGGGCTACAGGCGCACGCCACCATGCCCAGCTAGTTTTTGTAGTTTTTGTATTTTTTGTAGAGACAGGGTTTTGCCATGTTGCCCAGGCTGGTACCGAACTCCTGGCCTCAAGTGGTCTGCCTGCCTCGGCCTCCTAAAGTGCTGGGATTACAGGCGTGAGCCACCGTGCCTGGCCTGTCTTTTTAATTATAGAAATATTTTTTTAGGCTGGGCTCAAGAGGCTGAGGTGGGAGGATCATTTGACCTTGGGAGATGGAGGTTGCAGTGAGCTGAGATTGTGCCACTGCACTCCAGCCTGGGTGACAGAGCCAGATTCTGTCTCAAAATAAATAAATAAATAAATAAATACGTACATAAAAATTAAAATGACTATTTTTACCAAGCAATATGATGTTTTGCTAAGGGAAGTATCACAAAGTGCTCCTCCCTAAAGGATTCAGTTACCCCACAAAACATCTTCCCCCTCTCATCTGGGTTTCTTTTCTGGGGTTACACGTGCAGTACCGTGAACCACCTTCACTGCCCGGGCAGGCAGTCACCAGCTCACGGGTTTTTTTTAGTACGCTTTCTCTTCTACTTTCTTTCCTAATCCTAGCCCTGGTATTGCAGGAAAATCTCTGCATTTCATTTATGAGAAAATAGGCCGGGTGCGGTGGCTCATGCCTGTAATCCCAGCACTTTGGGAGGCCGAGGCGGGCGGATCACGAGGTCGGGAGATCGAGACCATCCTGGCTAACGTGGTGAAACCCCGTCTCTACTAAAAATAAAAAAATTAGCCGGGTGTGGTGACAGGCGCCTGTAGTCCCAGCTACTTGGGAGGCTGAGGCAGGAGAATGGCGTGAACCTGGGAGGCGGAGCTTGCAGTGAGCCGAGATGGCACCACTGCACTCCAGCCTGGCTGACAGAGCGAGTCTCCATCTAAAAAAAAAAAAAAAAAAAAGTATATATATATATGAAAATGCAATTATAATCATGGTGTGAGGTTATTGAAGCAAGCCCTACCTCCGTGATGGAGAAGGGGCAAGTCATAAGTTTTAAAGCTCAATTAAATATATAATAGGGATGTTTATATTGTAAAAAATAAGTTTCCTGGTGGGGCACGGCAGCTCATGCTTGTAATCCTAGCACTTTGGGCTGCTGAGGGTGGCAGATCGTTTGAGGCCAGGAGTTTGGGAACAGTCTGGGTAACGTGAAAAGCCCGTCTCTAAAACAAAATTTTTTTTGGTATACAAGTATATATACAAATGTATATATATATGAACACAAAATTAAAAAACGGGGTGTAGTGGCTCATGCCTGTGGTCCCAGCTACTCAGTGGGGTGGGGGGCTGAGGTAGGAGGATCACCTGAGCCCAGGAAGTCAAGGCTACAGTGAGCCGAGATCATGGCACAGCACTTCAGCCTGGGCGACAAAGACCCTATCTCAGACAAAAACAAAAAATTGAGTTTCCTGATCTAGGTAAGTCATAAAATGACTCTCCAGCATTTACCCTATTCTTATCCTTTCTGCTCCTTCTCTGCCTTTGTAGGTTCCAGCAGATGCAATTCACAGAAGGTTCAAGGTTTAGGCCAGTGCACGTGGCTGTGAACAGCAAATGGAGGAAGAGCCTTTTCAATGCCCGCAGTGCAAAAACTCAGTGATATACTCTCTGTTTTTCAGTGGAGGGGGGCACTTGGCATATGAGCTTACACCACAAGAATCACATTTGTGTTAATGTGTGTTTATGTTGTGTTGACAAAAAGTGTAGGAAGCCAAGCGTGCTGGTGTGTGCCTATGGTCCCAGTTACTCAGGAGGCTGAGGCAGAAGGATTGCTTGAGCCCAGGAGTTCAAGGCTGCAAGGAGTTCAAAGCTATGATCATGCCACTGTCCTCCAGTCTGGGCAACAGAGCAAGACCCCACATCTAAAAAAAATTTAAAAAAAATTTTTTAAAGTAGGATTAGCAGTAATACAATGTTATCTTCTGCCTCGTAGATAGCTTGAAAATTCTGAGATTCTTTGCTAATATATCTAACTCTTCATCCAATTCAAGATATAAAAAACATTTTTAAATTCCATGTTAACTTTTGTTTTAAAAAGTTATCCACGTGCTAAACACTGAAAAACTACATAATTCTTCATATTAGTATAGACTTTACAATGCAATTTAAAATATATTATCTTATTTGGCATCTCAGTAATATTATGGATTAATTGTGCTTCTGGGAGCTAAGCTGTGGGCCTAACCACCACTTAGAAGAGGGGTCAGCAAATGATAGTCCAAAGGCCAAATCTGGCCCACAGCCTGTTTTGGCACTACCTGAGATCTAAGATTGGTCTTTACATTTTTAAAGGATTGTAAACAAAACAAAACAAAACAAAAAACCCAGAGAAGAAGACATGACAGAGATTGGTGGGTAAAGCTGAACATACTCACAATCTGGCCCTTTACAGAAAAACCCCTGATCCCACTCCTTGATTTAGAACATTATTTCTCTGAAACTCGTTGTGAGTTCCAGAAAGGTTATTTACAGAAAGGTTATATTGAGTTCCAGAAAGGTTATTACATACAGAAAGGTTACATTTTTGGGATATCACATGCTTCTAAGTCAGAGACTGTTTTTATTTTTAAAGGATTTATTTAGCCATGTGAGAAAATGTATGAATAGGATATAAATGGCAAGTATGTATTATAATATCCCATTCATATATGTAAAATGAGGAGGTTATACAACCCATGTTTGCACATCTGTGGAAAATTTCTAGAAGCATAAACAAAAATATGCTAACAGTGGTTACCTTGGGGTGGGTTCTCTGGGGACTCACTGCAGAAGGGGACTTTTTGCTTTATTCTCTTCAGTACCTTATGAATTTTCTGTCTAATCACAAGCATGCATTATTTTTATATGTGGAACATGAGGAAAGTAAAATGTCTAGAACTCAAACTGGAATGGATTGGATATGTTAGTGCATCTTAATAAATAAGTTAGGCCAGGCACAGTGGCTCACACCTGTAATCCCAGCACTTTGGGAGGCTGAGGCAGGTGGATCACTTGAGATCAGGAGTTTGAGACCAGCCCGGCCAACATGGTGAAACCCTATCTCTACTAAAAATACAAAAAATAGCCAAGCATGGTGGCACATGCCTATAATCCCAGCTACTCGGGTTGCTGAGGCAGGATAATTGCTTGAACCTGGGAAGCGGAGTTTGCAGCGAGCTGAGATCGCGCACTGCACTCCAGCCTGGGCGACAGAGCGAGACTCCATCTCAATAAATAAGTAAATAAATAAATAAATAAGAAAGACATATATATTTAAATAGATAACTATATATCCTCCCTCTGTTCCATTTACTAAATATGGTTAGAGGCATTTTTACTTTTTCCTAGAGCATAACATATGGATCACAATACCAAAAACCACCCAGGTCATACATTGGCTGTGGAGCTGAGCCAATTTGGAACAGGCAAACTGGCTAAGCCTGGGCAGCTTTGTCCCTGAGGGTGCACTGACGTTTTCTGTTCTTCCAGAGACAGGTTTATGGATAAGGCGCTGTGCCTCCAGGCAGAAGACAGACGCCCATGTGGATGATGTTGCTGGCAGGGCTGAGCCACCAGAGAGCTCCTTGACCCAATGCTTGCCAAAACTGTGTGGTTCATCCAATCTGGAGTCTCTGCCTGCAGATCACTCACTCATCAGCTCCACCCACTGGTTCACTGTCTACTTGCATGTAGTGAGCTAGGCTATGAGTGGTAGGAATTGCTCTTCCTACCACTGGACCTTGCCGCTGTCAGAATGGGAAGTCTGAGCTCAGTCACTTGAGTCAACAGTAAAGGAGAGGCTTGGAGTCCAAGATTGGCTGTGCCCCTCTGGATAAGGTGGCTGTACTGATGCAGAGGTGGGCAGACCTAGGAGAAAGGCCAGGCTGGGATGTTGGCAGGTGATGGAGCAGAGCCTGGGCTAGGGGTGCAGTAGGGTTGTCAACAGACTTGGGAGTTTAGGCTCTGCTGGGATTAGGGGAGGAGTTGAGATACGAGAGAACTGACAGAACCAAGGCAGGATCTGAGTCCAAGAGGGTATAGGCAGGTTATCCAGGGCGCTCAGGGACCTCAAGGCAGGGACCTCCTCATCATACTGGAGCTGGAGATTTGTATTTCTTAGTTCTTTGCCTAATATCTGATCTTTGCCAAGATACAAGGTCACATATGAAAATGCCTTCAAAAATATAGTAAGATGACATAAATAATGCTTAAAACTAATGGGCCAAGGGAAAGCAAGTGGTGTTAAATGGGAGGCTGAGACAGGGGATGGCTTTGAAAACTGAACTGACTTTGGAACCTCTGTCCACAGAAGGTGAGTCATAATTTGTGGTCTAAACCTAACTGGAAAGAATTGTTAGGTTAAAAAAAAAAATCAGTGTTCCCCAGAGGACTTTAATAGGATCCAGCATCTTACAGCATAATACAGTCATGTACCATATAACAATGTTTTGGTCAAAAATGGGCTGCATATACAACAGTGGTCCCTCGAGATCATGATATCATAGTTTTACTGTTTCTTTTCTCTGTTTAGATATATTTAGGTACACAAATGCCACTGTGTTACAATTGCATGCAGCATTCAGTACAGTAACATGCTATACAGGTTTGTAGCCTAACAGCAATAAGATATACCATGTAGCCTAGATGCATAGTACGCTATACCATCGGTTTTGTGTAAGTACACTCTATGATGTTTGCACAATGACAAAAGTGTTTGATGAGGCATTTCTCAGAATGTATGTCTGTCATTAAATGACATATGATCGTATTCAAAATGTCTAAGCTATAATCCAAAATCACTCAAAAAAGTACTAGGAAAATTTAAACTATTATCAATGGAAAAGACAACCAATAGATGCCAATCCTGAGACAACTCAGATGTTGGAATTATCAAAGACTTTAAAGCAGTTGTTACAGCTATACTATAAGAACTAGAGGTGAACACTCCTGAAATGAATGGAAAGATGAAGTTCTCAGGAGAGAAATAGAAACTACAAAAGAAGAACCCAATGGAATTTTAGAACTAAACACTACAATATCTAAAATAAAAATTCATTTTAATGGGCTCAATATCAAAGTGAAAGTGACAGAGAAAAGAATTAGTGAGTCAGTGAACTTGCAATAGGTAAATTGAAATTATCCAATCTGAAGAACATAGAGGAAAAACACTTAAAAAATGAACAGAGCATCAAGAATTTATGGGACAATATTAAAGGTCATGCACACCATTGTATTCCTGAAGGAGAGGTGAAAAAGATTGATTGCAAAAATAAAAATTGATGACATAATGGCTAAACACTCCCCAAATTTGGTGAAAAATACATAGATTTAAGAAACTCAGCAAGGCCAGGCACACGCCTGTAGTCCCAGCACTTTGGAGAACAAGGGTGGTGGATCACTTGAGCCCAGGAGTTTGAGACGAGTCTGGCCAACATAGGGAGATCCTGGTGTCTTAAAAAAAAAAAAAAAAAAGTTAGCCAGGCCTGGTGGCATGTCTCAGCTACTTGGGAGGCTGAGGTGAAAGGATTACTTGAGCCTGGGAGGTTGAGACTGCAGTGAGCCGTGATTGCACCACTGCACTACAGCCTGGGTGAAAGAGCAAGGCCCTGTCTCAAGAAAAAAGAAAAAGAAGAAACTCAACAAATCTGAAATATGATAAATTCAAAGAAAACAATGTCCAGACACATTATTATTAATCTACTGGAAATGAGAGGAAATGAAAAGTATTTTGAAAGCATCCAGAGAAACATTACAAAACAGAAATTAAATGTTTTATTGTAGCAGAACTCAATGAAATTGAAAACGGAACAACAGAGGAATATTAGTGAAATGAAAAGCTGGTTATTTAAAAGGATTAATAAAACTGATAAACTTCTAGCCAGATTGGCCAAGGAAAAAAAGAGAGAAGACAGATTACTAACATCAGGAATGAAAAAGATGACATTACTACAGACCTTACAGATATTAAAAAGATATTAAGGGAATACTACACACAACTCTATGCTCATAGATTGAATATCTTAGATGAAATAGACCAATTCCTTGAAAGACACAAACTATTAAAACTCACTCAATAAGGGAATGGAGTAGCTAGGCTATTTGAGGCAAGGGGCACGTCATTGGGAAACCTGAGGCTGGCTTGGCAGTTTTAACTCCAATTTGAGCCTCAACTCATCTTTAAGGCTTAGACATTCCGGATCTTGGGCACCAGCACTGTTGGTGATGGGGGGCATTTCTTCGTCACTGGAGCCCTTGACCACTCAGATGGCCATTTAGCTTCTGGATATCTCCTGGCTCACTGGCTTTCAGGACATCTTCTGGGTGTGGCTTAGGAGTTGGAGTCTCCTTAGACTTCCTATCTCCTTGACATCTTTGGCTCTTGAAGGAATCCCTAAATCTCCAACATCTTTTTCCTAAAGTGAAATCTCTGAGAAGATGCTGTCCCCTGTGCTGAGCCCCTTCAGACCCTCTACCCTCTGTCCTCTGCCTCTAGGTACTGCTCTTCTATGGCCAGAGTTTGCTGGGACATCACTCTCATCCATTGGGTATGTCCTGCCATTGTCTGACTTGAAGTGACTTTGGACTGCCTCTCTTGTCCCCCTAACAGTCTCACTCTGACACAATTTGTCCCTGAAGATGGTAAAAGGAGCTTAAAAGTTTGCCTGCTTTCCTTCTTGGACTCACGGTCCTCTGTGACCAAACTCAGGGACTTTTGGACTTCCTGCTTATAGCTGAGGAAGCAGGGAAGGAATCTCTGGGGTGAGGACTGAATTTTTTTGTGATCCTCTTGTCTCCTGGCTTCAGCTTATCTAACGGTTTCTTTCAAGGATCTAAAGAACCTCCGCTTAGCCATCATGGAAACATGGGGTGCTGAGGGAGAAAGGTGGACCTGGGAAGGAGCCATGATTGGGCCTCTGTCACCTTAAGTTTTATGGATTCAACAACTTTGAGAGGTAAGCTATACCTCTACCTCTGTCACACTCAAAACCATACCACCTGGGCTTCTAGTGCCTATGTAGCACTTGAATCAAGAAAGGAAAGCTTCCAAGAGGTATTCAGGCAGTATTCTGATTCATTGAGGGTGCCAAGGTTTCAGTTTCTAGAAAGATACAGGACTTCCCAGGAGGGGGCAATATATAGTTGGCAACAGTCATGAACCATGGCCATGGTCTCCAGCCTGGGACATTCGCCCAGCTTCTTGTCCAAGTGAATGTTTAGGGTGTTTTCCGATGGCTCTGGTCTAGGTTCTCTCTTGGACCCCTGGATAAGTCATTCCCTGAGTGACACTTCAAGCCATTTCTTGTCTCCTTCTAAAAGTCAGACCCTAGGCTCCTCATGGGGTAGCTTTTTAAGCACCAGAATAGATTTTTTTTTCTTTTTATCCTTCCTCAAGTTGGGCTCCATACTCTGCCTGTCATTCCCTACTGCAACTTTGCTGGGCCTCTCGTAGGAAGCTTCCGGGCACTTTGATGCCATCTTGCTTAGATCTTTCCTTGCTGCTTTGACCCTTACCACAGAGGACTGTACGGGTCCACGCTTGCCCTTTGGATGAGAATTTGTTCTCAGGCTGTATCTGTGCCAGGTGGGGCTGGTGTTGGATGAGGCTCTTTCAATGGTGGTGCCCCTCTTGCCCCCAGATCCTGCTGCTGACGGGACATTCTCCAGCAAGGATGGAGATGGGTGCTCTGGTCTGAGAGGCCACGCTATCCTGAGGAATGTTGACAGCTGAAGGATTCAAGGTTTCCTGAGATCTTTGGACCAAAAAAAAGTAAATGCCACAAATATTCTAGTTGCTTTTGCAATCAGTGCCAATTCAGTCATTGAATTTCCCTTGGGATGAGAGACTGTACGTCTTTCTGGGCTCTAGGGAAAGATACCCCACAGGCCCTAATCTGGGGTGAGAGTTAGAATGGGGGAGAGGATTGAAGGTGGGCCTGAGGTGGGGCTGGGATTGGGACGGGGCGGGGGATGCAATGCAGATTCTTTGGCCTAAATTAGGCTGGAGGCCCTTAGGAGAGCAGTGAGTAAGACAAATGGAAAATCTACTGGGGATCAACTACCAGACACCAGGACTGTAGCCTCCAGGAACTCGCTGTGCAGAGGGCAGACCCCAGAAAAGCTGGCTCCATTCCTGTTGCAAATGGTTCTGCCAGGTTTTGGGATCTGGGAGCTGCTGAGGACTGTCCAGACTGACTTGTCTTCAGTATTTCACAAGGGTTGGGAGCCTGTGTTGTTTTGCATGTCAGCAAGACATTGACTGTAAATTAGACCCAGAAGATTTCAGTTTATTTTTCCCATTGTTTGGGAAAAATCCCTCCTGCATTTCTCTCCTCCCTAACCTGGAAATGCACTCTCTTTGTGACTTGTATCTCTAGAGCTCCTGGATATCAGGGCTGAGGAAGACAAGCTACCATCTTAATACCTGCTGGCAGAGTTCCCTAGAGACAGGCCTCTGAGGAAGGGGGGGCCCAGGCAGAGGAGCTGTGGAAGTTAAAGGGGACCCAGAAGGAGGAGCATCTTCCCCAACCCCCATAAACAGCAGAAGTTCAGCTTGTATGGTCAATCAACCTTGACCCTCCCAGCAGGAGTCATCTTGCTACAAGCTGCCCTCATCAGGAAGCCTGCCCAGATGGCTGCAAAAGTCAGGAGATACAAGCTTCAGCCAGAAGCAGAATGGGAGCTGGGCATGATGGCTCACACCTTTAATCTCAGCACTTTGGGAGGCCAAGGCAGAAGGATTGCTTGAGGTCAGGAGTTTGAGACCAGCCTGGCAAACATGGTGACCCTGTCACTACAAAAAATACAAAAATTAGCTAGGTGTGGTGGCAGGTGTCTGTAATCCCAGCTACTCAGGGGGCTGAGGTAGGAGAATTGCTTGAACCCAGGAGGTAAAGGGTTGCAGTGAGGTGAGACTGCATCACTGCACTCCAGCCTGGGTGACAGAGCAAGACTCTAAAACAAAAAAACAAAAACAAAACAGAATGGGGATAGATAGAAGGCCCAGCAGGCCTGGTGGGAGTTGCATTCTCCCACACCATGGGCATTGTGGAACTTCCCTTATTCCTCATGCTGGGGCTTTCTTTCACATTCCCTTCCTATGGGATTCCCCTCCCATGCCAACCTCAGCAGCACTAGGGCCCTGGAGTCACACAGGCCATGCTAGGAAAAGGGGTACAGCAAAGGTGAAGAGATTAATCAATACGTGCTTTTCCAAAGAGCAAGCAAGTACAGTATCAACATGAGCTCCTTTCTGGCAATCTCTCCTAGCTGGGAAACCAGGGGACTTGGTCACACGTGGTGAAGGTAGGAGTGAAGGGATCATAGAGAAGCCTGGGGAAGGTCCTGGGACACTAGACTCTGACAGCCCCAGCCTCTGGTACACAGGGTGGAGTGGTCAGTGACAACAGTCCACAGGCTCAAGTATGTCACCACGTGTTATACTTGAAAGTGCTTTCTTACACGTTATCCCGTATGATCTACATACCTGTGTTGTGGGGGATACAGGCCAAGTGTATCTCAAGGAGGAATCTGAGCCTCCAGGAAGTTAAATATTTGTCCAAAATCTGAATCTCAAAGGTTTGCCTCCAGCTACTCTTCCCACTGCACCTCACAGCGCCATCTAGTGGGTGAGACCCATGGGCCGGCTCCATCATTCTTTCATTTCAGGGGATGGACAGAGCAGGCAATCTCCTAAGCACTCCAGATTCGGATTCCTTTTTATGAGTGTCCCTGCTGGGGGCTTTATCTTCTGAGAGTAATGGGCTCTAGAAGCTGACACAGCCTCAGAGGCTGTGGACCGGGGTCCTCATGGGAAAGGAGAGATTAAGTTTAGACCTTGAGAGTTCTGGGCTGAACAGGCAGAACCTTCTACTATTGACTGAATGTTTATATCCCCCTAGTTCATGTGTTGAAATCCTAATCCCCGGTCCAACAGTATTAGGAAGCGAGGCTTTTGGGAGGTGAGTAGATTGTGGGGGAGGAGCCTTCATGAGTGGAATTAGTGGCCTAATAAAAGAGACCCCTGAGAACCCCATTGTCTGTTTTACCATGTGAGGACATAGTGGGCGTCACCGGATACTGAATCTGCCAGTGCCCTGATTTTGGCATTTGCACCCTTCAGCAGTGTGAGAGATCAATTTAAGCCACCTAGTCTATGGGCCTATGGTATTCTGTTATTGCAGCCCAAACGGACTAAGACACTAACCTGGAAATGCACCCTCTTTGCTGCTCCTCTTTTCTCTGCATTGATGCTGAAAGACAAGAAAGGAAGGAGGGCTGAGGTCCAATGCTGTCTCTCCTCTCTAGGCAGACTATACTCATGGATAGTCTTTCTCCGCTGCAGGAGTGGAGCTCTATGTTACTTCCTTTTTATTCATTTGTAATGTGGGTAAAAGTGTTTTTCTATTTTCTTCTTTTGAAAACCTTAGAAAAGGGTTATCTGTGTATTCCTCTCGAGGAAGGGGACAAAATCTCTAATAGGGTTTGCTCCATGAGATGGGATTCAGCTCCACAAGGACAGCACTAGGGCTCCAGCCTCCGACTGGAACCTTTCAGAGGCTCAGCATTACTATCCAGATCAGCCCTAAAATGGAGGAAAGGCTTGGCCAGCACACCTAAATGGAGGGGACTGACAAACAGGGCGAAGACTCTGCTCCCCTTCGGTTATTCTGAACTCTTAATAATCCAGTCCCTGGCTGGGAATTTTTCCTGAACCCCTCTACCACATCCAGGTAGATGGTCTGTGAGTATTGGATAGAAGCCCTAGTCTCAACCGTAACCCCTCCATGTCCATAAAGATGATGCCCTCTTTTTTCCTGAGAGTTCCCATCTCAGTTGTCTCTCTGGGCTAACATAATAATTCATTTAGACAAGTGGGAAGAGAGACAAAAAAAAAAAGATTCAATCTCTGCTGGAGTCTGGCCTTCGGTTTCTGTAGGGTGGGACGGGAAGGACAGACTGCCAGCTTAACTCATAGTTTCCCCCACCCCGACTATTTAGTCCAGAAGACCCTTAACCCTCCAGCTCCTTCTAAATCTCCCCACCCTTCTCTGGGCCTTCCTGTTCTCCAACTCCATCTTATCATCATGTCAGATATATCCCTTGTGCTACTTCCTATTTCTCCCACCTAGAACCTAGACATTAATTGGGTCCATTACCCCTTGAGATCTCAGCTTGACACCCCCTCAATTCCACAGCTTTTGAAAGTCTTGCTCATTTCCAGGAATTTACCCTGGAGACTTCCATTCCAGCTTCCCTTCATGATGTGTTTTTGCCTTGCATGCAGGCCAGGTGCAGTGGCTCACCCCTGTAATCCCAGCAGTTTGGGAGGCCGAGGTGAGCAGATCACTTGAGGTCAGGAGTTAGAGACTAGCCTGGCCAACATGGTGAAACCCTGTCTCTACTAAAAATACAAAAATTAGCCAGGCCTGGTGGCATATGCCTGTAACCCCAGCTACTCAGGAGGCTGGGGCATGAGAATCACTTGAACCCAAGAGGTGAAGGTTGCAGTGAGCTGAGATCACACCACTGCACTCCAGCCTGAGTGACAGAGCAAGACTCCATTTCAGAAACAAACAATTCATCCCTGCATCCTTCAATACTCCCTGGAGAATCCCCTTTCACAAAAAAAGAATGACTTTTCTAAAGACAGTGTAAGAGTGACAAGAGGGAAGGAGGCCCATAGCACACACCATGACAAACAACTTAAAAATTCCCTCTTATTAATTCCTTTTCTCCCAAAGTCTTTTGTGCTGCTGTGCCCCTAAGGGCTCTCACCTTCTGTCCTTCATTCAGGTGGTGCCCCACCCTGCTTGCTGCTCACTCCCCTCTCCCAGGTCCCTCCCCTCCCCTCAGCATTATGATTCTTCTCCTTTTTGTACAGAACAGTTCGCCTCTCCCAAAACTCTGCCCTAACCTGCACACCACCCTGATTTGGGAGTTCTCACAGCAGTTATGACTATAATGCACAATATTCTATACAAACCTAATTATTCCTTTCGTCATTCCTTTCATAGGTAGTATAGGAGCAAACCATTGTGTTACCTGGTGGTTACTTTAGAACACCCAAATGTTGTTTAGATATGAAAACATCTTAACAATTTTGTTGTTTTGAATATGAAACCTGGATTTGGGAAAGGCAAAAATCAAGAAAAGATGATTAGAGGATGGCCCGACGTAGTGACTCACGCCTGTAATCGCAGCACTTTGGGAGTCCGAGGCAGTCAGACCACTTGAGGTCAGGAGCTCAAGACCAGCCTAGCCAACGTGGAGAAACCCCACCTCTAGTAAAAACACTAAAAATTAGCCGGGTGTGGTGGTGCATGCCTGTAATCCCAGCTATTTTGGGGGGCTGAGGCAGGAGGATTGCTTGAACCCGGGAAGTGCAGGTTGTGGGGAGCCGAGATCGTGCCACTGCACTCCAGCCTGGGCAACAGAGCAAGTCCCTCTCTCTCTCTCTATGTATATATATATGCGTGTGTGTGTGTGTGTGTAGTTAGAGGAGACAAGATACCAGCATACTTTGGAAATATTATAGGTTCGATTCCAAACCACTGTAATAAAGCAAATATTTCAATAAAGCAAATCAAATAAATTTTTTGGTTTCCCAGTGCACATAAAAGTTGATGTGCAATAGCATTATGTCTAAAAAAAACTATAATTTAAAATGCTTTATTAAAAATGTTCAAAAGAATAAATCTGACCTACTATTTGATAGCAAAATAGGGTGACTATATAGTTAATAATAGCTGTACATTTTAAAATAACTTAGAGTGTAATTGGTTTGTTTGCAATTCAATGGGTAAATGCTTGAGGGGATGGATACCCCTTCTTCACAATGTGCTTATTTCATGTTGCATGCCCGTATCAAAATATCTCATGTAGCCCATAAATATGTACACCTACTATGTATCCACAAAAGTAAAAAATACTTCATTGCTAAAAAATGCTGGCACAGATACATGAAGTGAGCATATGCTGTTGAAAAATGGGCACTGATAGACTTGCTTGATGCAGGGTTGCCACAAACCTCCAATTTGTAAAAAATGAAATACCTGGCCGGGCGCGGTGGCTCACGCCTGTAATCCCAGCACTTTGGGAGGCCGAGGCGGGTGGATCATGAGGTCAGGAGATCGAGACCATCCTGGCTAACAAGGTGAAACCCCGTCTCTACTAAAAATACAAAAAATTAGCCGGGCGCGGTGGCGGGCGCCTGTAGTCCCAGCTACTCAGGAGGCTGAGGCAGGAGAATGGCGTGAACCCAGGAAGCGGAGCTTGCAGTGAGCCGAGATTGCGCCACTGCAGTCCGCAGTCCGGCCTGGGCGACAGAGTGAGACTCCGTCTCAAAAAAAAAAAAAAAAAATGAAATACCTGCAAAGCACAATAGAGTGAAGTTCAATAAAGCAAGGTTTACCTGTGTAAACCATAAGTATTTAAAGACAAGGCAGGTGACATTGTAACACATGGCAATAAGGAACAAATTTTTTTTTTTTTTTGAGGCAGGGTCTAGCCCTGTCACCCAGGCTGGAGTGTAGCGACACAATCTCAGCTCACTGCAACTTTCGCTTCCTGGGCTCAAGTGATTCTCCCACCTTAGCCTCCTGAGTAGCTGGGACTGCAGGCATGCACCACCATGCCTGGCTAATTTTTGTATTTTTTTTTTTTTTTGGTAGAGACAAGGGCTCCTTATATTGCCCAGCTGGTCTTGAACTTCTGGGCTCAAGCAATCCTCCCCACCCACGTGCTGAGCCACTGTGCCCAGCCTAGGAGCAATGATTATTAGGAACTTAACTAAGTATGGTAGAAAGCACCAAGAGTTAAAAAAATATTTTGGTGACACAAAAGAAACTTTACTAATGTGGGCATAAAATATTCGAGTAATTTTACATAAGCATTACATAATGATGTATAATAAAGGATTTACTGATATCCTTTTATACCTAGATATATGCTGTTATATAAAAATACAAATGACTACTAAATCTAAAGCTTATGTCTATCGCTTTGAAACACAAAGTATCAGTATATTAAATAAAACAAGATATGTGTATATTTACTAGCTGAATAAACTGAAACAACTTTTAAAAATAAACATTAATCATATCCATTATATTGCATACATGTTTGTATTTATCTATAATTATTATTCTTAGAATAGTCAACCAATTACAGTAATTATCATCTTTAACCCAAGTACAGTCATAACCTAAGTATGTTTATGTCAGTAATGGGCTGCAATATATGGTGGTGGTCCCATGAGATTATAATGGAGCTGAAAAATTCCTATCGCCTAGCAAGATCCAGCCGTCGTATCATCATAGCACAATGCACTACTCATGTGTTTGGGGTGATGCTGGTATAAACAAACCTAATGCACTGCCAGTCTTATAAAAGTATAGCATATACACGATGTATAGTACATAATACTTGATAATAAATGACTATGGGCTGGGTACAATGGCTCATGTCTGTAATCCCAGCACTTCAAAAGGCTGAGATGGGGTATGGCTTGAGTTTGAAACCAGCCTGGGCAACATGGTGAAAACTCATCTGTACATTTCTATAAGAAATACAAAAATTAGCCAGTCATGGTGATGTGTGCCTGTAGTCCCAGGTACTCGGGAGGCTGAGGTGGGAGGATGGCTTGAGCCTGGGAGGTGGAGGTTGCAGTGAGCCGAGATCCCACCACTGCACTCCAGCCTGGGCAACAGAGCCAGACTCTGTTTCAACTTAAAAAATAACAACAACAATAACAAACAACTATGTTACTGATTTATGTATTTATTATACCATACTTTTAATCATTATTTTAGAGCATACTCTTTCTACTTATGTAAAAAGAAGTAAAATAGCCTCAGGTAGATCCTCCAGGAGGCGTTCTAGAAGAAGGCATTGTTATCATAGGAGAGGACAGCTCCGTGTGTGTTATTGTCCCTGAAAACCTTCCAGTGGAACAAAATATGGAGGTGAAAGACAATGATATGGATGACATGGTGAAACCCCGTCTTTACTAAAAATACAAAAATTAGCTGGGCATGGTGGCACATGCCTGTAATCCCAGCTACTTGGGAGGCTGAGGCAGGAGAATTGCTTGAGCCCGGGAGGCAGAGGTTGCAGTGAGCCGAACTTGTGCCACTGCACTCCAGCCTGGCTGACAGAGCGAGACTCTGTCTCAAAAAAAAAAAAAAAAAAAATTGAGATATAATTCACATACTATAAAATTCACCGTTTTAGTACACTTTGATGGCTTAATTATTTTTTTAAGAAATGGGGTCTCACTCTGTTGCCCAAGCTGGGGTGCAGTAGTGCAATCATAGCTTACTGCAGCCTTGAAATCCTGGGCTCAAGCAATCCTACCACCTAAGCTTCCCAAGTAGCTGCGACTATAGGTGTGTACCACCACACTGACTAATGTTTAAAAATTGTAGAGACAGGATCTCACTATGTTGCTCAGGCTAGTCTTGAACTCTTGGCTTCAAGCGATCCTCCCACCTAGGCCTCCCAAAGCGCAGAGATTATAGGTGTGAGCCACTGTGCCTGGCCTAAAGTGTACAATTAGGTGTTTTTTAGGATAGTTTCAGAGTTCTACAATCATCACCACTATCTAATTCCAGAACATTTCATAATTCCTTGAGGAAATCCTGTGTAACCATTATCAGTCACTTCTTATTTCACCCTCCCCCTAAGTCCCTAATAACTACTAATCTTTCTTTCTCTGTGGATTTGGCTATTTTGGATATTTCGTATAAATGGAATTAGATTATATGTGGCCTTTCGTGTCTGGTTCCTTTCACTTAACCTAATGTTTTCAATTTTTTTTCATGTTGTAATATGTATCAGTACTTCATTCCTTTTTATGGCTAAATGATATTCCGTCATATAAATATACCACATTTCGTTTATGCATTTATCAGTTGATGGACATTTAGGCTGTTTTCACTTTTTGGCTGTTATGATTAATGCTGCTATGAACATTCATGTACAAGTTATTGTATGTACATATGCTTTCATTTTTCTTGGGTGTATACCTAGGAATAGAATTGCTGGGTCATTTGCTAGTTTTATGTTGAGCTTTTTGAGAAATTGCCAAACTGTTTTCCACAGTGGCTGTACCATTTTACATTACTACAGCAATGCACAAAGATTCCAAATTCTCATTGTGGTTTTGACTTCTAGTTTCCTAAAGACTAATAATGAACATCTTTTCATTTCTTATTGGCCATTTGTATATCTTCTTTGGACAAATGTCTATTGAAGTACTTTACTAATTTTCAAATTTTTTTATTGTTGAGTTGTGAGAGTTTAAAAATATGTATATTCTGGCTATTAGACCTTTATCAGATACATGATTTGCACATATTTCCTCTCATTCTTTGTCTTTCTACTTTCTTGACAGTGTCCTTTCACATGCAAAGTTTTTAGTTTTGATAAAGTCCAGTTATCTGTTTTTTCTTTTGTTACTGTGCTTTGTTTTTGGTATTATATCTAAGAAACTGTTGAGTAATCCAACATCACAAAGATATACATCTGTGTTTTCTTTTATAAGTTTTATAACATTGTCTATAAACATTAAGGTCTTTATTCCATTTTGAGTTAGTTTTAGCATATGGTGTGTGGTAGGGATCTGAATTCATTCTTTTGCATGTGGATATCCAGTTGTCTCAGCACTATTTGTTGAAAAGGCAATTCTTTTTCCATTTAACGTACATTTGTTGAAAATCAATGACTATTGATTTCCACTGAAGGCACACTGGTTGAAAATCAACGACTATTGATTATGCCAGTAAGGCATAAGGATAGACATATAGATAAATGGAATGGTTTTCATTGCTGTCATTTTGTAGTTTTTTTGTGTGTTTTTATTTTTATTTTTTGAGACAGGGCCTCTGTTTGTCACCTATGCTGGAATGCAGTGGCATGAACACAGCCCACTGCATCCTTAACCTTCTCCTGGGCTCAAGCAATCTTTCTGCCTCAGCCTTCCAAATTGCTGGGACCACAGGTGCATGCCACCATACCTGCCTAATTTTAAAAAAAATTTGTAGATACAGTCTCACCATATAGCCCAGGCTGGTGTCAAACTCCTGGGCTCAAGCAATCCTCCCGCCTTGGCCTCCCAAAGTGCTAGGATTACAGGTGTGAGCCACCGTGCTCAGCCCAATTTCATTTTTTGATTATTCATAATTGACTTTTTTTTTAAAAAGTGAAAGCCAGTTTATTAAAAGAAAATAAAGGAATAAAATAATGGCTACTCCATAGGCAGAGCAGCTCATAACTGACTTTTAAAACAATGCAGTTGCATTATTCTGATAAAAAATGAAAATTAATTCTAAAAATAAGAAAAAAACAGTGTTTGGCAGAGGCTTCATATAAAATTTGAAAATAAGCCTGATACAGAATCCCATTTAGCAAACAAATTATATGAAATTTTTATTTCCAGTAGTTTAGCTCTCCCACTGCAAAAACCCAAATGGTAGATAAATTAGAGCAAAATAATTTAAAATACATTTATGGACTCACAAGAAAATAAAGTCCTTTTCACAATGCTAAAGGCAAATGTTTGTTGAATTGAAATTATATATCAAGTAATGCTATGTTTTAAGAATAAGGGATACATTCTGGGAAGATAGTGATAAATGCAGAATTTTGAGAACAACTTAATAGCAAATCCTCAAGCCCATGCACAGTATTGACAATAAGACTAGGTGACCAGGTATTATCATAAAGCGCACAATATCAAAAGTGGAAACAAAAGGCAATGAGATGGACAATATGAGAGAATAGAAAATTCTATGATTATTATAAGGGATTGTACATTCAACTATTAAGAGACCCAGAGAGAACAGGAGATGTGATGAGGAGAGATGTGTTAAGGAAGTAACATAGGAAATGTCCTAGAATTGTAGGGTATGAATCTCAAAAATGAAAGGTCCTATCAAGTACCCCATACAACAAATGAGAAAAGCCTTATATTAAGATACATCACTGTGAAATTACAGAGCACAAAGAAATAGAGAAAATCCTATAATCTTACAGAGAAAAATGGGTTGCAGAAAGGATTAGAAAGAATAATGGCATCATTTCTAGAAGGCAATGGAGCCATGCCATCAAGATTCAGAGTGAGAATTATTTCCAACCTAGAATTTAATACCCAATGAAACTATCAATGAAGTATGAAGGTAGAAAAATTCATTTTCAGATATGCAAGGTGCATTAGTTAGGATATAAATATTGAGAGGAGGTAGATAAACTTAAGAAAAACAAAAATTATATAAGAAATGTGACATATTTATTGCTTGGCTTATCAGAAAATAAGCTTGATGCATCATAATATACTCGTATAGTAAACACTGGACAGCTATGATGTAGATGTAACTATTTTGGTAGACAGTGGTAGGAATAAACTGGAGAGAAGTGGGTAGAGAGGCAAATCTTTATCTTTTTCAGTTGGAACTCAAAACACATCTTTGCTGGGCCAGTGGCTCACGCCTGTAATCCCAACACTTTGGGAGGCCGAGGCAGGTGGATCACCTGAGGTCAGGAGTTTGAGACCAGCCTGGTCAGCATTGTGAAATCCCGTCTCTACTAAAAATACAAAAAAATTAGCCGAGTGTGGTGGCGGGCACCTGTAATCCCAGCTACTCGGGAGGCTGAGACAGGAGAATCGCTTGAACCCAGGAGGTGGAAGCTGCAGTGAGCTGAGATTGCACCACTGCACTCCAGCCTGGGCAACAAGAGTGAAACTCTGTCTCAGAAAAAAATCAATCAATCAATCAAACAAACAAAAAACACATCTTCTACAATTAAAGAATTTTGAGATTGCAATTACAGATAACAACTACTGTAACCTATATAATATCCTTTTCCTCTTATTTACTAACAGAACACTGATTTTACTTGAGGAAGCTGAGCATTCAGCTAAAAATTAAAAATCTGCCCATCTTTTCTGCAGTGGGGGTGGCCTTGTGACACAATTGTAGCCATTGAAATGTAAGGAGAGGTCCCTGGCAGTGATGTTGAAATGTAAGCAGTCAAGCGGGTTGTCCAGGTACAGTGGCTCATGCCTGTAATCCCAACACTTTGGGAGGCAGAGGCAGGGGAATAGCTTCAGCTTGGGAGTTCAAAACCAGCCTGGGCAATGTAGCAAGACTCTGTCTTTATGGAAAAAAAAATTGTCCAGCGTGGTGGTGCGTCAGTGTAGTCCTAGCTACAGCCACTTGGCAGGCAGAAGTGGGAAGGTCTCTTGAGCCCGGAAAGGTCAAGCTGCAGTGAGCCATGATACATTTAAAAAAAAAAAGAAGGTTGACTCAACTAGCACTTTTCTTTTGTGCCTTTTCATCCATCTACTTACTCCTGCCCTAGTTGCAGACATATGGCTGGAGCTCTGGCAACTCTATTGAAAAGACTAAGACAGAGGTATAGGGTCACCCCTGAAGATCACAGCTATAAAAGGGAAAGCTGTAAGGAGCCAGGTCCTTTTGGCATCATAGACTGCAATATTACCTCTGAACTCCTTTTGACATCAGAGAAAATAACACTGTATCTTTAGGTTTCTGTTACTAGTGCATTTCCTACTTGATAATCAATATATGGATATATAATAGGGGAGTCTAATTGCTTTAACAAATAGATGCCAATATGCACACTGACTCAAACATAATAGAGTTCTTTTTTCATAATAGTACTGGGCAGGTAGAAGCAGACTGGTAGGTCAGTCTTCCTTCTTTCCCTCATTCAGACACTGGCTGATGAATGCTTTTTTTTTTCTTTTTTCTTTTTTTTTTTTTTTTGAGATGGATTCTCACTCTGTCGCCCAGGCTGGAGTGCAGTGGCATGCTCTTGTGCCTCAGCCTCCCGAGTAGTTGGGATTATAGGCATGCGCCACCACGCCCAGCTAATTTTTGTATTTTTAGTAGAGTTGGGGCTTCACCACATTGCCCAGACTGGTCTCGAACTCCTGAGCTCCAGCAATCTGCCCTTCTTGGCCTCCCAAAGTGCTGGGATTACAGGCGTGAACCACTGTACCCAGCCTAATGAATGCTCTTTCATCTTTTAGTATGTGGCTTCCAGAGCCTGCAAGGACATCATCTCCATTCCAGGCAGCCATAACAAGAAAGATCATAGGCTGGGCATGGTGGCTCACACCTGTAATCCTAACACTTTGGGAGGCTGAGGTGGGCAGATTGCCTGAGCTCAGGAGTTCAAGACCAGCCTGGATAACATGGTGAAACCCCGTCTCTACTAAAATACAAAAAATTAGCCGGGTGTGGTGGCGTTTGCCTGTAGTCCTAGCTACTCAGGAGGCTGAGGCAGGAGAATTGCTTGAACCTGTGAGATGGAGGTTGCAGTGAACTGAGATTGCGCCACTGCACTCTAGCCTGAGCGACAGAATGAGACTCCCTCAAAAAAAAAAATAAATAAAAAATAAGAAGAAAGATCATAGAGGAGCACATGGGTGAACATGGTGGTTTTAGGGACCAGGCTTAGAAGTGGCACTAGCACTTCTGCTCACATTTCATTGGCTAGAGCTCAATTGCCTCTAACTTTGGGGCTGGGGGCCTGGAAGGAGGAAGAGGAGACAGGAGCAGGAGCTGAAGAATGAGATCTAGCTGTACACCCAGGAAAAAGAGAACATGGATTGTGGAGGGCTGTTAGTCTCTGACATAGCTTATGACTTAGAAATTTGCAGGTAACCAACATAAGAGGAAGCTTAAAGAGTTGGAAGTTGCTACCTCCTGAAAATAGGACTCAGAGGTAGAGTAGGCTAGGCCAAGGGACCACAGGCTTTTGTTAAAAAAATCCTTTTAATACTATTTTATTTTTATCTCTTTGTTTCTTTGTTTTTCCTGAGACAGGGTCTCACTTTGTCACTCAGGCTGGAGTGCAGTGGTGCAATCTTGACTCACTGCAACCTCTGCCCCCTGAGTTCAAGTGATTCTTGTGCCTCAGCCTACCAAGTAGCTGGGATTACGGGCATGCACCACCATGCCCGGCTAATTTTTGTATTTTTAGTAGAGACAGGGTTTCACCACGTTGGCCAGGCTGGTCTCGAACTCCTGGCCTCATATGATCCACCTGCCTTGGCCTCCCAAAGTGCTGGGATTACAGGCGTGAGCCACTGTGCCCAGCCAATACTATTTTATTGTAAAAACACTTTATAAATATTACCTTGTGAAAAAAAAAACACTGCCAACTTAATTTATAAAAATAAAGCAAAAGGGCCAGGTGCAGTGGCTCATGCCTGTAATCCCAGCACTTTGGGAGGCCGAGGCGGGTGGATCACCTGAGGTCGGGAGTTCAAGACCAGCCTGGCCAACATGGTGAAACCCCATCTCTACTAAAAAATACAAAAATTAGCCAGGAATCGTGGCACGCACCTGTAATCTCAGCTACTCAGGAGGCTGAGGCAGGCGAATCGCTTGAACCTGGGAGGCAGAGTTTGCAGTGAGCTGAGATTGTGCCATTGCATTCCAGCCTGGGTGACAGGGCAAGACTCCATCTCAAAAGAAAAAAAAAAGTTTCAGCTACATCTTCCTTTTGCATGCCTGTCTCTGCCTCTGCCACCAATCTCCCCAAGGGTGGGAACCCTTTCTTTTTTTCTTTTCTTTTTCTTTCTTTCTTTTCTTTTCTTTTCTTTTTTTTTTTTTTGAGATGGAGTCCCGCTCTGTTGCCCAGGCTGGAGTGCAGTGGTGCAATCTCGGCTCAGTGCAACCACCTTCCTGGTTCAAGCGATTCTCCTGCTTCAGCCTCTTGAGTAGGTGGGACTATAGGCGCCTGCCCCGACACCTGGCTAATTTTTGTATTTTTTAGTAGAGATGAGGCTTCACTATGCTAGCCAGGCTGGTCTCGAACTTCTGACCTTGTGATCCGCCTGCCTCGGCCTCCCAAAGTGCTGGGATTACAGGCATGAGCCACAGAGCCTGGCCATTCTTTTGTATTTTTATTCGAGCCAGGGTTTTACCATATTGGTCAGGCTAGTCTCGAACTCCTGACCTCAGGTGAGCCACTTGCCTCTCCCTCCCAAAGTGCTGGGATTACAGGCGTGAGCCACTGTGCCCAGCTGGGTGAGAACCATTTCTTAGATCCATCTTCTTTCTTCTTCTCCAGAGACCCACACAGGACCACATGCTGCTAAACACGCAGAAAAAAATGTTGAACAGAATGGCATTCTGCCCTCTTTGCTTGCAGTGGGCTCGCTCTCATCTAACAGCCGCTCATTCTTCCCACGTGTCCAGCCTGGTAGATTTGTGCTGTAGCATGCACTGCTTCAGTCCTGAGAGACTGGCCAGATTCCAGGGCCCTTGTACTCACTGCTTGATGAAGCCAGAGGAATGCCTGCAGCGGATGAGCACATTCCCAACCAGTGTGCAAATAGTAATGAAATCACTGCAGCTTCCTGTGGGGAGTCAAACACCATGACCCTAACCCCAGCAAGAAGATGCTGATGGGTACATTAATAGACATGGATTTTCCAGGATGCAGAGTCCTTGCATTTCACTCTGTCCTGGATCATTACCATTAAATTATAGCGTTATCTTTTTCTTTGACTTTTCAGTATCGTGAGATTGCAAGAAAAGGTTTTCTTAGATCTTCACTTGCTCAACAAGGAAATGGGATGCCGTGGGAAGTTATGAGTTCCCTGCCTGGGGTGCTCGATAACTGATTGGCAGGGATGTTGTGGAGGCGGAGAGGAGGACTCCAACCCCAGGATGCTATGAGTCTTTAGTGCCCATTGTCCCTAGGACGCCACCAGAGGTACGCAATCTGATGCGGATTTCGCAACACAGCTTCTGAGGTTAGTGATGCAAGTTCATTCAGGAGAAAACTGTGTGGCTGGTGAGATAGACCCAGGCTGTTGAGGCTGCTGCTGGGGCTAGAAGGGTCTGACTCATGCTTCGCAGCCCGTGCCAGCATTTCAGAGGGAAGCGATGTTGTCTCTTGTTCTTCCTCCGCTCATCCCCTAAGCCAGGCGTCTGGTCTTCAGCCCTTGTCTCTTTCATTGCACACAACCACCTGAGAAATCTCAGCCACCCCCCAGCCTCAACCCCCATCTCTGTGATAACTCCTAACTCTGTCTACAGCCTTGACCTCATCCCTAAGCAACAGACTCATATAGCTAACAGTTTATTGGACATCTTCATCTCATTGTCCTACATTTCAAACATGATGTTATAAAATTGGGATGTTTTCTCCTGGCTTCAAATCTGAAGTCCCTCATCCAGCCAGCCACCCCATACAGAAACCTTCCTCCATCTCCCTCTTAAGTTCATTTCTACCTTGTGTGCAAGTCCTGTGTATTCCACTTCTATGGCGTCTCTTCTTATTGGCCTTTTTCATTCTAGCTCTATTACCACTGATTTCATTCCTGCCAGAGTGAGTATACTTCAACCCAAGTGGGACTCCACCTCCACCAGGTGGTCATTCCCCTAAAAAAAAAAAAACAAGCATAAAACACAAAAAGACTGACAATACCAAGTGTTGACAAGAATATAGAGCAATGAGAACTCCTGTGCATCCCTGGTGGGCGTGTACATGGGTAGAACAACTTTGGGAAACTAGAAGTATCTACTCAAGTAGATATATGCATAGCCCACAACCCAGCAATTCCACTCCTAGATATGCATGCAACAGATTTACCCCCAGAGGAGCACGTAAAGGCATGTGCAGGAAGGTTTACAGCCCCAAACTGGAAACTGCACAAAGCTCATCAACAATTGCAGTGCATCCATACAATGGGATATCAACCAGCAATGAGCAAGAACAAAGTGCATTTATGTCTAACAACATGGGGGAGTCTTGCAAACATATGTGGAGTGAAAAAAGCCACACACAAGAAAATAGTGAAAACTAGTTTATGATGTTAGGATGGTTATTTTTCTTGTATGTAAGTAGTTCCTGAAAGAGGCCAGAGTGGATCTCTGGAGTTTTAGTAATAATTTGTTATTGTTTTAATCTGAGTGCTATTACGTAGATGCGGTCAGTTTGTGAAAAATTTTGTACTTTTCTATACATATGTTACATTTCAATAAAAAGTTTACTAAAACACATCCACCTATGCATACACACTGAAAAAACAAAATCTCTTCCATGGTTCCTCATGCCCTGAGGAGAAACTTCCAGACCCTAACAGAACACTCATAGATCTCCATGATGTGACCCTGCCTGCCAGGCCACACCCTTCCCATCAGTACTATGTGTGCCACGCACTAGACCATTCTCCTTGCTGATCTCTGTGCTACTCCTTCAGCCTGAATCCCTCTGTCCACCTGGCTCTGTCTGAAGATGCCACCTCCTCCGTGAGGCCTCTTCTGATTTCTGAGACCACACATGCTGCTTTTCTTTCTCACACAGCTCTGAGCTCTTTCTGCTTGCATGTGTTCCCTTGACTGAAGGCAGCATGCCATGAAAACGCAGCCCAGGGAGAGATTTGTGTGGTCTCAGAAATCAGGAGAGGCCTCACAGAGGAGGTGGCGTCTTCAGACAGAGCCAGGTGGACAGAAGAATTCCAGGCTGAAGGAAGAGCACAGAGACCTGCGCAGAGAATGTGGAGTGGGCTGGTAGATGGCACACATGCCCCAGGTGGGCAGGAGGGGGCCTGCTAGACAGGGTCACATCATGGAGGGCAGAAGGTAAACCTCCTCGAGGTGGCAGAAATGGTGCCTGGTTCATCTTTGTAGACCCTGCTAGGGCCAGTGCTGTGCCTGGTACAGTGCTTGAGCTAACAAATGTTTGAGAAATGATTGAATGTATGCTCTGAGTTAAGCTGTAGTCCACAGTGCCAGAAAGCCAAGACACCCAGTGTGCCTGCAAACAAGCTTCTGCCGAGAGCCAAGTCCCTTTGGAACCAAACACATCCTGTAGTCCTTTATTGGCTGCTGACAGCCAGGTCGATGTAAATGTGTTGTGCAGCATTGTGGGCGTGTCCAATTAGACTCAGTGAGATGGAGCAGCCCAACTAACATGAATAAGCTGTGCAAATATGTGGTTAATGACCATGTCGCTCCGTGTCAATTCTTAATCCCGGATAATTAGCAGATAGATAATTGGTGGAAAAAGGGGAGGTGCTGATGGATGGCCCATCACTTGGGTGAAGCTAATGATCCTCTATGGATTAAGACCCACCCTCTGTAAGTGTTGATGGCTCTTATTTGAAATGCTCCTTTTGAAAGGGCCTAGATCCAAGAAAAGGTGTCAGGAACTCCAGAGCTGGGCGTTGGCATCAGGACTAATTCCCTGGGCTGCTTCCATGAAAGGTGGGCTGACATGTCCCGCTGCTGCCAGCCTTGTGCAGGCAGCCAGAGTCCTGGGCTACTCCTGACTTGCTGGGTAATCCCAAGGAGGGCCTTTTTCCTCTCTTAGTTTCATCGTTTGTCTAATAGCAAAGAGCGGGAAGGCTGGGGTGGGTGTGCTGACTTGAGAATCCACTGTAGATGAGAGTTTCCCTCACCTGCCCCTCCTTAACTACATTGGAGGTGTGTCATTCGCTGCCATTGAAATGGTTTGGGTGGACTAGCTGGCCTTGATGATAGGGTGCGGTGGAGGGGACATGCAGGGGTTGAAAGCAGACACCTGAGATGGAAGCTTGTGGTACCTTATGTGATTTGAGGCAGGGCCAGCTAGCCGTCCACCAGGATGGGTGCATCTGGTGCCACAGGGTGAGTCATCACTGCACAACAATTGCTCAGCCAGCAACTCCATTTCCCAGGCCCCTTTGCACTAAGTCAGGTACAGTACAGTGTTTCCTGTTGTTGACAGCTGGCATTTGTTCCGATTGGCTGGGTGTCCACTCCGACTGGTTGGTGCGTGTGCTGAACTAGCCAAAAAGTATTTTTTCTTTTTTTGGTTTTAAGGAGCAAAAAGTTTAATAGGCAAGAAAGAAGGAAGAAAAAAGAGACCAGCTCCCTCATACAAAGACAAGGGAGGAGGACTTGGAACAAAGAGAAACCCTGTGTGCAGCACAAAGGCAGTCCATTATATAGGGAGGCTGGAGGAGGCAGTGTCTGGTTTGCATAGGTCTCAGGGGATTGGTTTGACCAGGTGTGTCATTCACGTAGCCCATGAACAACCTGGCCTTCCCACCTTAGCCCTTTAATATGCAAATGTCGGTCGCCATGATGTTCTGAACACATGGTGTTATCTGGAGGTGGCCATCACACTTGGCACAGGTGGTGACAAGGGGAAGATGGCAGGAATCACCATACTGAGTGAACCCAGTTTCTAATGGCCAACATTTGCATATCAAAGCTTGCCTGCTGGGCCCTTCTAGCCACCTTTTCTGTTAGAAAATAGATGGTTTGGGGGTTGTTTCTTATTACAGGAAAATTTCCACTGAGAACCTTTACCCTTACTGTCTGTCTGCCTAAAATAATTTCTTTTTTTTTTTTTTTTTTTTTTTTTGAGACGGAGTTTCGCTCTGTCGCCCAGGCTGGAGTGCAGTGGCGCGATCTCGACTCACTGCAAGCTCCGCCTCCCGGGTTCACGCCATTCTCCTGCCTCAGCCTCCCGTGTAGCTGGGACTACAGGCACGCGCCACCATGCCCGGCTAATTTTTGTATTTTTAGTAGAGACGGGGTTTCACCGTGTTAGCCAGGATGGTCTCGATCTCCTGACCTCGTGATCCGCCCGTCTCGGCCTCCCAAAGTGCTGGGATTACAGGCATGAGCCACCGCGCCCGGCCAAATAATTTCTTAATAACTCCTGGATTATTCCCCCCTCAAAGAGAAGTAAACCTAATTGCTGTTAGGGGGTGTTGGATGACGAATCTTTCAGACTAGTTGAAAGTATTTCTAACATCACTCCTAGAGGTATGAATCCCTAAACAAGAAAGATATGATTTAGTTTTATCCATTTTGCATTTTTAATGAATGGGATCAGAAGGCATGTATTCATCAGTGATTTTCTTTTTTATGCTCAGAGATTCACATGCATTGTAAGAAATAATACATGGAGATCCTATGTATCCTTTACCTAGTTTCACCCAAGGGTAGCATCTTGTAAAACAATAGTATAGTATCACAACCAGGATATACTTACATAGATCAATATCGGAACATGTCCAGCGCCACTCATATTGCCTTTTTATGTTCACAGCCACTTCCCTCCCACCCACACCCACTCCTTAACTCTGGGCAATCACTAAGTTGTTCTCCATTTCTATAATTTTTTCATTTCACCAATGATATATAAATGTTATATATTGAAATAGGCTTTTTCCACTCAGCATAATTCCCTGAAGATTACAGATAAGTGTTGTATATATCAACAATTCATTCCTTTTAATTGCTGAGTAGTAGTTCATGATATGGATGTACCACAGTTTAACCACTGATGTGCCATATTTAACCTGTTGAAGGACATCTGTTTATTCCCAGTATTATTTGTTGCTACTATGTAAATAAAGCTTCTATAAACATTTATGTACAAGTTTTAGTGTGAACATAAGTCTTCATTTCTCTGGAATAAATTCTCAGGTGTGCAACTAATGAATTGTATGGTCGTTGCATGTTTTGCTTTAGAAGGAACTGTCAGCCCAGTGTACTAGCTCACACCTGTAATCCCAGTCACTCCTGAGTCTGAGGCAAGAGGATCACTTGAGTCAAGGATCACTTGAGTCCAGGAGTTGAAGACCAGGCTGGGCAACATAGAAAGACCCTGTCTCTACAAAAACAAAAAGAAAATTAGGGCAACACAGTGAGACCTCATCTCTCCAAAAAAAAAAAAAAAAAAAAAAATCTGGATGTGGTGGCAGGTGCTTGTAGTCCCAGCTACTCATGAGATGGAGGGGAGAGGATCTCCTGAGCCTAGGAGTTCAAGGCTGCAGTGAGCTATGATTGCCTTCACCCTGGAGGACAGAGTGAGTAGTTCCTTTTAGTTCTGTAAGGAATCTCCACACTGTTTTCCATAGTGATCGTTCTAGTTTACATTCCCACCAGCAGTGTTGAAGTATATTTTCCCTTTTCACTCTATCCACGCCAACATCTATTATTTTTTGAGTGTGGTCATTCTTGTGGGAGTAAGGTGGTATTGCATTGCGGTTTTGATTTGCATTTCCCCGATCATTAGTAATGTTGAGAATTTTTATATGTTTGTTGGCCATTTGTAATCTTCTTTTGAGAATTATCTATTCATGTCCTTAGCCCACTTTTTGATGAGACTGTTTGTTTTTTTCTTGCTAATTTGTTTGAATTTGTTGTATGTTTTGGATACTAGTCCTTTGTCAGATGTACAGATTGTGAAGATTTCTCCCACTCTGTGGGTTGTCTGTTTACTCTGCTGACTGTTCCTATTGCTGTGCAAAAGCTCTTTAGTTTAATTAAGTCTCACCTATTTATCTTTGTTTTTATTGCATTTGCTTTTGGATTCTTGGTCATGAAATCCTTCCCTAAGCCAATGTCTAGAAGGGTTTTTCCAATGTTATCTTCTAGAATTTTTATAGTCTCAGAGGGCCTGGATATCTTTGAGGACCATCACTGAGCCTATCACAGTGGCATGAAGTTGCACCTAGGCTCCTTACTTGACCTTTTTGGTGTGGTTACACGTGGGGTCACAGTTTTCTGTGGTGTTTGGCTAGAGGGGAGCAGTTTATTGTCTAAAAGTTTTCCATCTTGCTAGGCTTCCCCTGTTCTGCTTATTTGGCTAGAGGAGGCTTTTGGGGGCAATTTGTTTTGTCCCCTGTGGCATTTTTGGGTCATTTTCAGCTCCAAGTCTGGGATATACAAGGCAAAAAGAAAATATGCTTATATTCATTCACCCCTACTCTGACTATGTAGACCTTTGGAAATCCCAAGTTTTGTATAGTCTTCTTGTGTGGTCTCCACCTTGAACAGGCCCTCGATGCGTATTTCTTGTCTCTTGTACCTCAAAAAGCCTACAAAACAGTGCTGAGCCTTCGGGATTGGCAGCTACCCTCAGGGCAATTACGGCTTGCTCATTTCTAAGAATTCCTGATTTCATTTCATTTTGGGCCTCTGTGGATTTTAAAAAATTTTAAAAAATTGCCTACTAAGCAATGCATTTTAAGGGATATTTTATTCAGATAGTTTAGTTGTTTCCCTTGGTGTTTAGTCTTCTTTGCTGATGGAAACAGAAGTCTCAGTGCTTTTTCCACCAAGATATCTGTCCCCACATTTCACAGTGTTGATGTTACCCAAGCTCTTGACCTGGATACACTTTGCATGCCTTTTATAGGGTCAGGGAAATTATTGCTCTCACTGCAATGGGAAAGGTTGGAGGAACAGACTTTAGAGTCTCCGTGGCAAGTCCCTGCTGTCTTAACCTGAAAAAAGCAAGGCACAAATCCTTTATGGTGCCAGCCCAGGATCCCTTTCTTCTGATAACATCTTCCTGATTTGCAATTGCTTTCTGGAAGACTTCTTTATTGGATTTGGTCATGATTGAACTGTCTGTTGGTCAATGTGCTTCGTCCCCTACTAGTCAACGGAAGTATGTGATATTGGAGATATCACATACTCCCCACGGTGTCCCTGGAAGCTGAATTGTGAGCTCAGTGGCTCAGTGAGTGACAACTTCACCTTGACAGTGGACTCACAACTCATTTATTAGTTCCTGGAGCCTACGTATTAGCTACTGTTTTGAATTGTGTCCTCTTTAAGGCCTGATTTTTCAGCTTTCTCTTGAGTTTTGTGAACTGTCTCATGCCTTCTAATATGTTCCTGTTACTGTTTAATTATTCAGAGTTGTATTTTTTTTTTTTTTACTTGCAACCAAAGAACCCTGATTGATAGTGCTGTAGAAAGCCTGCAATGCCTTGTTCCTTTGGAGTGCCACTTGAATGCCTGTTAGAGGATGGGTGTAGAATTAAGAAATGGGTATGTGGGTGAGTCTTCAGTGGATGCCTGATATCCTAGAGACTTAGGGCTGTAAGAGTCTTCAAAAGTCATTTGGGGGCTGAGCATGGTGGCTCACGCCTGTAATCCCAGCACTTTGGGAGGCTGAGGTGGGTGGATCACTTGAGGTCAGGAGTTCGCGACCAGCCTGGCCAAATGGTGAAACCCTGTCTCTACTAAAAATACAAAGATTAGCTGGGTGTGGCAGTGCGTGCCTGTAATCCCAGCTACTTGGGAGACTGGGACAGGAGAATCACACTCCAGCCTGGGGGACAGAGCAAGACCCTTGCAAAAAAAAAAAAAAAAAAAAAAAAAAAAAAGTCATTTGGACCCAACCCCTACCCAGCGAATGAATTCCCTTACAACATCCCCACTGACTGCTTTTTCAACTTTGTTTGGACACCCCTCCAGAATGAAGAGCTTGTTACTGCCTGAGGCAGCTAGCTTCACCCTTGGCTGCCTCCAATTATCTGAAACTTCTTCCTTTTATTAGCTGAAATCTGATGCTACATAGCATTGATCCTATCTATGCTCCCTCTCCTGCCTTCTCCACTCTGGAAACTCCTTAGACACTTCAAGAAACGGAAATGTACCCCAGACTGGCTTTCTTCAGGCTACACAAGCCTAATTCACCTAATTCCTCCTCCTGGGACACAGGTTGCAGCCACTGCGCCATTCCGTTTGTCTTCTATGACATAGTCCAGTTAATCAATGCCCATCAAAAAGTGTGAAGCTCATGGGCAATTCAGACACCCTGAGCAGGGCAAAGTCAGGTATGACCATTGCCTCCTCACTCTGGGCACTCTATTTCTTTTAATGCTGCTACAAATGAAGTTTATTATTATGGAAGCCTCATGACATTCCTGACTCACAGGGAGCTTAGCATTGGCTAAGCCTTTAAAACGCATGCTGTTACCTATTGTGGCTTCCCTAGCTAGTCCATGTGTTATTTGTTTTTTGAACTCATGGCCCTACTTTATAATATGGCATATCCTACCTAATTTTTCTATAGCATTGTCAGAATGATCTGGCTATGGGGTTAGGTAGTTTCTAGATTCCCTTTGTATTATTTGTTCTGGATATGCAGAAGAAGAGAATGTTAAGAAACACCGCCTCTCACTCAAACAGTGTTCAAACACATATTGGAGCAGAAGTCATGAGTGTAATAATGAAAAAACCTCAGTCCAGGTTGTAGGGTGTGTTATTCACATCCTTTTGGGAGCAGTTTATTCTAATTATAATATTGGACTTAAAGGCCAGAAGAAAGTGGGTTGAATCTGCTGTTTTTTGTTTTTTTTTTTTTAAGAAAACTAGAAAACTTTACTGAAGTGACACTGGCATAAGGATAGATATATAGATCAATGGAATAGAATAGAGAGTCCAGAAATAAACCCATACACCTATGACTAATTAATTTTTGACAAGGGTACCAAGAGCATTCCATGGGAAAAACAGTCTCCTCAACAAATGGTGCCATGACAATGGATATCCACATGCAAAAGAATGAATTTGAACTCCTACCTCATACCATATACAAAAATTAATTTACTAGTCCTAACAGGCATATATACGTGACTCTTCCTAACAGTAAAATACATATTTTTCTCAGGTGCACATGGCACATTCTCTGAGATAGACCATGTATTAAGCCACAAAACAAGTCTTAATAGATTTTAACAAATAGATATCATACAAAGTATTTGCTCTGAACAAAACAGGATGAAGTTAGAAATCAATAAAAGAAAACCAGGGCTGGGCATGGTGGCTCGTGCCTGTAATCCTAGCACTTTGGGAGACCGAGCTGGGCAGATCACTTGAGGTCAGGAGTTCAAGATCAGCCTGGTCAACATGGTGAAACCCCATCTCTACTAAAAATACAAAAATTAGCCAGACATGGTGGCCCAACCCTGTAATCCCAGCCAGTTGGAAGGCTGAGGCATGAGCATCAGTTGAGCCTAGGAGGTGGAGGTTGCAGTGAGTTGAGATCACACTGCTGCACTCCAGCCTGGGTGACAGAGTGAGACCCTGTCTCAAAACAAACAAACAAACAAACAACCCCCCCCAAAAAAAACCACAGAAAATTCATGAATCTATAGAAATTTAAAAACTCATTCTTAACCAATGGGTCAAAAAGAAATCACTTATTTAGATATTAGGGATATTAGAAAATACTTGGAGACAAATGAATATACAGCATACCCAAACTTATGGAATGCAGTGAAAAAAGTGCTCAGAAGGAAAAATTATAGCTGTAAGTGACTGCATTAAAGATAAAGATCCCAAGTTGCTAACCTGATTTTACACCAAATTTTACTTTTTCTTTTCTTTCATTCTTTTCTTTTTCTTTTTTTTTTTTTTTTTTTGAGATGGAGTTTTGCTCTTGTCACCCAGGCTGGAGTGCAATGGTGTGATCTCGGCTCACTGCAACCTCTGCCTCCTGGGTTCAAGCGATTCTCCTGCCTCAGCCTCCTGAGCAGCTTGAATTACAGGCACCCACCACCATGCCCAGCTAATTTTTTTTATTTTTAGTAGAGATGGGGTTTCATCATGTCGGCCAGGCTGGTCTTGAACTCCTGACCTCAGATGATCCACCTGCCTCAGCCTCCCAAAGTGCTGGACTACAGGCGTGAGCCACCATGCCCAGCCCAAATTTTACTTTTACTAAAAGTAGAGCAAACTGAACCCAAAACTAGTAGAAGAAAGGAAATAATCAAGGTTAAAGTGGAGGTTAAAAAATAGAGAATAGTAAAACAGTAGAGAAAAATCAATGTAACCAAAAGTTGGATCTTTGAAAAGATCAACATAATGAACAAACCTTTAGCTAGACTGACAAAGAGAAAATAAAGATGTTCCATAAATAACTAAATGCAGAAGTGAAAGTGGAGACATTACCACCAACCTCACAGAGATTTAAAAAAAAAAAAGATTATAAGAGAATACTATGAGCAGTTGTATGCCACTGCATTAGACAACCTAGAAGAAAGGGACAAACTGCTTGAAATACACAAATTACTTAAACTGACTCAAGAAGAAATAGAAAAATCTCAACAGATCTCTAACAAGTAAAGAGATTAAATCAGTGATCAAAAACCTCCCAACAAAGATAAGTCTGGTATCAGATGGCTTCACTGGTGAATTCTATCAACTATTTAAAGAAGAATTAAAACCAATTCTTACCAAACTCTTCCATAAAATTGAAGAAGAGGGAACACTTCCTAATTCATTCCATGAGGGCAATATTTCTCTGATACCAAAGCTAGATAGACATTATAAGAAAATTACAGACAAATATTCCTTTTGAATATAGATGCAAAAATTCTCAACAAAATATTAATAGATAAAATCCTAGAGCAAATTAAAAGGATTTTCAACATGATCAAGTGAGATTTATCTCAGGAATGCAAGGATGGTTCAACATAAGAAAATCAATCCATCACTTTTATACAATGAAGAGGGGAAGAAACTGCATGATCATCTCAATGCAGAAAAGGATGTTGCATTATTTGACAAAATCCAACATCCTTTCATGATGAAAAACTCTCAGGAAACTAGGAACAGAGAGAAAATTCCTCAAAATGATAAGGCGTATTTATTTAAAAGTTCACAGTTAACATCATACTCAGTGGTGAAAAACTGAAAGCTTTCTTCCTAATAACAGGAACAAGAGAAGAATGTTTGCTTTATGCTGTCCAACATTGTACTGGAAATTCTAGCCAGAGCTATCCGAAAAGAAAAAGAAATAAAAGGCACCCAAACTGGAAAGGAAGAGGTAAAACTATCTCTATTCACAGATGACATGATCTTATATGTAGAAAATCCCAAAGAATCCACAAGGTTACTAGAGCTATTAAACAAATTCAACAAAGTTGCAAAATATAATATTAACATAGAAAATCAGCTGTAAGAAGGAAATTAGAAAAGTAATTCCACCTACAATAGCAGCTAAAAGAATGAAATACATTAGCAGCTAAACGAACGAAAGAATAGGAATACATCTAACCAAGGAAGTGAAAGACATAGACTGAAACATTGCTGAAAGAAATTAAAGGCACAAATAAATGGAAAAACATCCCTGATCATGGATAGAAAGACAATATTGTTAAGATGTCTATTCTACCCAAAGTGTTCTACAGATTCAATGCAATCAAAATTCCAACAGAAACAGAAAAGGCGATACTTACATCCACATGAAACTGCATTTTGAATAGCCAAAACAAATCTTGAAAAAGAGAAATAAACTTGAAAGCTTCACACTACCCAACTTTGAAACTTACTACAATGCTACAGCAATTAAAACAATACTGGCAGTCCAGGTGCAGTGGCTCAAGTTTGTAATTCAAGGACTTTGGGAGGCTGATGTGGGAGGATCACTTGAAGCCAGGAGTTTGAGACCAGTCTGATCTTGCAATATAGTGAGACCCTATCTCTACAAAAATAGAAGACAAAAACAACAACAACAACAAACGGGCATGGTGGTGTGTACCTGTAGTCTTAGCTACTCAGGAGCCTGAGGCAGGAAGATCCCTTGAGCTCAGGAGTTTGAGGCTGCAGTGAACTATGATTGTGCCACCACACTGCAGCCTGGGAAATAGAGCAAGACCCTGTCTGTAAGAAAAGGAAAAAAAACAAAAAACAGAAAAACAGTACTGGCATAAGGACAGACATATACACCAATAAAATAGGACAAAGATCCCAGAAATAAACCCTCATGTATACAGTTAATTGATTTGTTCAAGGATGCCATAAAGGAAAGGACAATGTTTTCAGTAAATGGTGTTGAGACAAACAGATATATCATGCAGAAGAATGAACTTGGTCCTTTACACCATATACAAAAAAGAACTCAAAATGAATCAAAGACCTAAACTGAAGAGCTAAAGCTATACGACTTTTAGATGAAAAATTTGGGAAAATCTTCATGACATTGGATTTGACAATGACTTCATGGGTATAACAGTAAAAGAGTAGAAAACAAACAAAAAAGAAAAATTGAACTTTATCAAGGTTAAGAACTTCTGTGCATCAAAGAATACTATCAAAAAGTGAAAAAGATGACCTAGTAAATGAGAGAAAATATTTGTAAAGCATATACCTGATAAGGAATTAATATTCAAAATACATAAAGAACATCTAAAACTCAGTAACAATAAAACAACTTAATTCAAAAATGGGCAAAGGACTCGAATAGACATTTTTCCAAAGAAAATATACAAATGGCCCCTAAGCACATGAAAAAATGCTCAACATTATTAGTCACTAGGGAAATGCAAATCATAACCACAATGAGATACCTCTGCACACTTACCAGGATGATTATAAGAAAACAGAAACAAACAAACAAAACCCCAGAAAATAACAAGTGCTGGTAAGAATGTGGAGAAACTGGAATCCTCATGCATTGCTGGTGGGAATGCAAAATGGTGCAGTAACTATGGGAAAGTTTGGTGGTTTCTCAAAAGATTAAACATAGAGCTGGGCACAGTGGCATGCACCTACTAAGAAGCTCTGGACCCAGACTGCCTGGCTTCAACTATGCTCCCACTGTTTTCTAGTTCATAGTCACTACCTCCGTAGGGGATTTTCGGGGGCACTAAGACTTCTCAGGTATCAAAGCCAGGACTTAAACCAGTGCTTTTCTCACGAAGGCAGACAGCCTCTTGGGAAGCTGCAAAGTATCAACAAAGGTAAGATTTGACGGTTATGAAGAGTACAGCAGGCCGTGGCTCACGCCTGTAATCCCAGCACTTTGAGAGGCTGAGGTGGGCAGATCACCTGAGGTCAGGAGTTCGAGATCAGCCTGGCCAACATGGCAAAACCCCATCTCTACTAAAAATACAAAAATTAGCTGGGTGTAATGGTGGGCGCCTGTAATCCCAGCTACTTAGGAGGCTGACACAGGAGAATCGCTTGAACTCAGAAGGTGTAGGTTGCAGTGAGCCTAGGTCGTGCCACTGCACTCCAGCCTGGACCACAGTGTGAGACTCCATCTCAAAACAAACAAACAAACAAACAAAAAAGAGTACAGCAGAGGCTTCAAGGCTCATTTCGTGCCTGTGTGTAGTCTGCAGGGGGCAGTGGGAGCAGCCTTAGTTTCCTGAGTCTGAATTTAGGAAGAAATTTTCAAAATGAGGCCCAAAACTCCCTTGCTGAGAAAACAAGCCTTCCATCAGGGGATCATTCTCTGGTCTAGCCAAACTTGCAGTTCCGGGAAAGCTGCTTATGTTTATTGTAGTTTGGTTTTGGGTGGAAAGGCTGTTTTGGTTCTAGAGTTTTGCTTTCCTCTTGGCCCAGCTGCAGGCCCAGACGGGTCCTTGTTGGAAGTCAGCCCTCCTCCCCGAAAGGAGGAAAGGCCCTCCTGTCTGTGGTCGGCGGCATTGTACTTGCTGGATTCCAGGCTGTCAGTCTCATGGGTGAGCTCCCGGGATGCTTAGCCTGCAGATTGTTTTGTTAGTTTTTTCCTGCAATTAATTTGGAAATTACCCAGCTACCCACAGCCTCTCCCAGGTGTTCTGTAAACTACAGGCCTGCTCCTGCAGCTTTCGCCTTGGTGGAACCAACCCTGGCTGAAGCTGGGAGGGTTCTGGGTGGGGTGACAGGAGTCCCACAACGGCAGGGCTTGTTTTTAGCAAACGCCAGTTCCCTTCAGCTTGGTCACTAACCATCCTACTTTGTTGGATCCGAAGCAACTGGATCCACACACTCAAAGACACTATCTTTAAGCCTTACATGCCGTATGGAGATAAGCCAGGGGCATATGGAGAATCCACCCTACTCAGAGGCTCGAAGCCAGAGGATTCCCAAGCGCCAGTCAACACTAACAGGTGATTCTCCCAGCCTCCTGATTCCTACATCCAGGGAGGAAGGAGCCTCAGATTTCTGGTTCATTTTACTGAGGATTTGTTACACCCGGGTTGAGGGTTGGTCCCTCCTGTGTGCAACGGTCACATGACTTGAGCTCATTACCCCTTTTCTTGGACCTTAGTTTCCTTGCCTGAAAAGGGTGCATTTGAAACCTTCTGCTTCCCAGGGGAGCTGTGAGGATCCAAAGAGATAACACCTGTGAAAATGGCTGGTACTCCCTGAACAAAGTGGCTTTTGGAAAATGTTGGGATTATTATTAGTTTTGTTCCTGCTGAGCCCCTGGAGCTGTGGAAGGGCCCTGAACTAGGGTCTACAATGATAACTCACTGTTACCTTGGAAAGTTACTTTCTCTGGCTTCTCTTCCATAAAACAAGGGGTAGGGCTAGATAGTCTGTTAGCTGCACATTTATTTATAAGAAGCCAAGAGAAGTCTCAAAGGGAATACATCAAGAATCAGTTTTCCCCTGCCCTTTCATGGTCACTTTCTGTATCAGTTAGGATACATTTGTTTGTTGTTGTTGTTGTTATTGTCATTGTTGTTTTTGAGACAGAGTCTGGCTCTGTCACCCAGGCTGGAGTGCAGTGGTGCGATCTCGGCTTACGGCAACCTCTGCCTCCCGGGTTCAGGTGATTCTCCTGCCTCAGGCTCCTGAGTAGCTGGGATTACAGGCATACACCACCATGCCCTCCCCTATTTTTTGTTAAGACCAAATGAATGTGTTCCAGAAGTCCACAGCAGACTTTCCTGAACATCTCATTGGCCCAGAAAGTATCCTGTACCTGTTTCCAAATCAATCTCTGACAAGAGTGATAGGATAGTGACTGCGCTTACCTTATGCAAGTCAAGATTCACTGCCAAGGGATAAGACACAACCAACTGAAACCTGAACAAAATCAGGGTCTTGCGAGCAAACAAGAAGTGAAGAAAATGGGTGGGTAGACAACTAGCAGTGTCTGGCACACTTTCTTCTCAAAATAAGCTGATATTTATATGGCAGAAAGAGGGTGGATTGTTTCATGCCTGTCTGGAGTTGCCTGCTGGACAGTTGTCCTCAACATGGCCCTGCCATCAAAAGCCCTGAGCACAGTCCCCAGGAGAGGACACCATTCTTTATGAGCACCTGTGCAGGGAAAATGAAGGCGGACCCCACTTCACACAAGGTTGAATAGTTGTGTGAGGTTTTGATAAAAATTTGGGATAAAAGAATGTGTTGGCCGGGCGCGATGGCTCACGCCTGTAATCCCAGCACTTTGGGAGGCTGAGGTGGGCGGGTCACCTGATGTCAGGAGTTCGAGACCAGCCTCAACATAGAGAAACCCCGTCTCTGCTAAAAATACAAAATTAGCCAGGCATAGTGGTGCATGCCTGTAATCTCAGCTACCCGGGAGGCTGAGGCAGGAGAATTGCTTGAACCTGGGAGGCGGAGGTTGCAGTGAGCTGAGATTGCGCCATTGCACTCCAGCCTGGGCAACAAGAGTGAAACTCCATCTCAAAAAAAGAGAATGTGTTATGATGTGGGAGTGGAAATTTTTGAAAACATTCATATTAAATGTAGTTTTCTTCATACTGTGAGAAACCCTTCACAGGACTGCTCGTGGAAACGCCATGTTCCTAATTGCACTCCCTGTTCCTGAGGTCTGGGCCTCTGTGAGAGAGTGACATGGTCTGGCTGGGCTTTGAGCTGGGTCACACATTGGCTGCTGTAGGGAAAACTGCCAAGGGAGCAGGGGAGGAAGCAGGGGGTCCTGTTAGGGGCTGGCACTGTGATCCGGGAGAGATGACAGGGTCCTGGAGGGCTGGCGGCTGTGGAAGCGTGGCATGGGGTTAGGTGGTTCCTGGAGAGGGAATGGTCAGGGCAAATTCATGATGACAGGAACACATGGGAGTGTCAGGGAACAGCAAATGGTGTGTTGGCTGCAGCCTAGGGGTGTGGGAAGGCAGCTATGGGAGACGTGGCCGGCAAGAAGGTTGACATAAGGATGACCGAGGGTCCCAAGTGCCAGGTGAGGCACTGAAGCGTTCTACTGCAGACGGCAGGCAGCCTTCTCCACAGGACTGGAGCTCAGCTTCAGGGAGGCAAGCTGGCAGCACGGACAGAATGGAGGCAGGAGTACTCTTGGGAGGCCCTGGCTGGCTGCTGGGGCCGTGAGCAGAGGTGGGAGTTGAGTCCTGGGAGGTGGTGGCTCTCAATTTATTGCCTGGTTGCAGAGCACCTCCATGCCTGAGAAACCATGACTGGGGCTCTGCCCTGACCACCCCCACTTGAGAAACTGCTCCAGGTTCTCAGATAGCGAGATAAACTGGTGCTCTGCCCCATGGCTGAGATCCACCCTGATTCTGGCTTCCCAATCTCTTCCTCACCCTGGGAGGGGCTGACAGCTGTTCCCTGGGTGTCTGACTAGGTGCTTCCTGGTTAACCCTTCTGGGCTGAGCTGGAAATCCGAGCTTCCGTTCTCAGAAGAGGGAGTGTGGGGCTGGCAGAGGGGTTCAGGAACTCCACAGGGAGCAGACAGCATTCCTCTTTTGAGGCCAAGCATTGAGGACCATGCCAGGGGCTCTGCAAAGGCTGGCTTTGGCCTCAGCCAGGGAGAGGAGATGCTGGAGAGAGGGCCGGGGCAGGAGAGCAGAACTCACTAAGGGCATTCCATCTCGCCCCTACTCTGCCTGTCCATCCCATTTAAAATTTTGTTCACTGCTTAGTTTGGCCTGAGGAGCACTAACTACACTACTTTCTCTCAAGGTAGTTCTAAGCTATTTATTTAACAGGTAAGTCCATTCCTCAAGCTGCAGTCCATCCCCACTCCTTAGCCCCTACCTTCACATCCTCACCAGATTACTTTTACTTCCATATTACCTTCATTAAGATGATAATCAAATGCAGTCTCCATTGGGGGAGGCAGAGGTTCTAGTCCAGCTTGGACACTTGTAACTGTCATATCTTGGGCAAGTCACACACCCCTTCTATGGCTCTATGGAGGCTCCACACACACTCACAATATTCCTATTTATTTCTATTGGGAACTTATACAAGCAATGAGATGAAAATCCTGGTTCTCCCCATGTGGTGCAATGTGATCCTGGGAACATGCTTTCCCAATCTGGGCCCCTTCCCCATCCTTCATGGTACATGCCCCTGTCTGAACTGTTTTTCATCAGGGACATATTCCCCCAGCTATCTTGTCATGTCTACCCTCAGGAACAGGCTGAGCACACACAGAAAGTCAAGCTCGTATGTGTTCAAGGCAGGGGAGGGTTCCTTAGGGCACTGAGGAGGACCTTAGGCTTTTACTAGAGGATCCTTTGGCCCAGACTGACTTGGAGACAGGGACCCCTTCCAGTTGGCCATTGTGTCCTGAACAGAAAGCTTAATTTTTCTCCTAAACCCTCAACTACCTCAGACTTGGGGCTAGAGCTGAGGGGTCAGAGGCAAAGTTTATTCTATACTCAGGCAATTGACTGTTGCTAAGGGAGGGTATAGAGCTTGAACCCAAGGTCCCTACAGTGCCTCAGCCCGAAATCAGGACGTGGCTTCCTGCCCTGGCTCTGTCACCCCAGCTTTCAAGATGTTTTCAGATATACTCTTGTTGAATGTCATTGTCACAGTCACCCATACAGCTGGAAACAGGAGATGAGGTACAGTCTAAGGGCTAGGATTCCAAGACTCAGAAAGTACTCAAAGGAGGAGATGAAGCACTCCACCCCATCTCTGTCCCCTTGCCACCCTGCCCTCTCTGCTCTCTGTGGTCAGAGCCACAAGACAGCGCTGGAGTGCTAGCTGGGGTTCCGGGCCAGAAACAGGAGGCTTCTAGAAGTTATTCTGGCATCTCTAATCTCAATAACACATTTTTTCAAAGTTCTTTCTCTTTGACCAGGGCATAGGAATCACCTAAGGGTCTTATAGAAAGGCAGGTTCTGGTCTAGGAGGTCTGGGGTGAGGCCAAAGAACCAATATTTCTAGCAAGCTCCCAGGGAATGTCCTTGCAGCCGACCTCCATCTCTTGTGTAAACCAACAGGGAGGGCTTGCCTCCCTTTGCCCCCAGGCCTTGCTCCTGGCCCTTGCAGAAGTGCATCTTGCATTCAAGTGACCAAAAGAAGAGGCATTAGAAAATGTGAAAGGGTAAAAGGGGACCTGCACCCAGTTTTATAGGTGGGGAAACAGGCCCACTCCATGCCAGAAGGAATTTGTTCAAGACCTCACAGCAATTTAGTGACAAAGTCAAGACTCAGGCCTCCTGTATAGGGGAAAAGTCAAAAGCAAAAACAAACTCCAGAAAAGATATATACTTAAGCGTTAACTGCGCATTCTCTGGGCCAACTATGGGTTCCCCCCCGCCAGCCTTTTTTTTTTTTTTTTTTTGCTGTTATTTCCCTCCCTCTTTATTTTTCTTACCTGTTATTTCTTTTAAAACAATGAACACTACTGATTTTGTAATAAGAAAAAATTTTAGTAAAAGAAAATTCTCACAAAGTTTTTAGTAAATGAGATTATGTTCATGAATGTGTTTGGTAAACTGTAACTCCACAGGGCAGCTCCAAGTCATGAGTGTGCAGTTGGGCTCAAACCGTACAGAAGTCATTTCCAGGATGTTATCCTTACTCTTCTAGGAGCCCACATCGCCCAGATGAGGAAGGCCACCGCTGCCGCCAACGCCGACTACCGTGAGCAGCTTCCTGCTCCCCTGTCGTCGCCTCTGCGGTCGGGGCACTTTCCCCAAAGCGCTGGCCGCAGGAATCTTTCCCCTTAAATCGGGGAAGAAGTTTCTCTAATCCATTTTCGCGGTGAACGACCTCGGGCCAAGTTTGCTTTTGTTGCTGGTTCCCTAAGCTTAATTGCAAGCAAAGTTAATTTGAAAGAAAATACATGATACAGCTCTAGGGCGAATTCTAACGAGCCTTGGGCAATGAGGGAAGAACGTGTCTAATTATCCACAGCCCGGGGACGCCTGCACACGACGCTGGCGGGTGCAGGGCCCGGAGAGGGACAAACGATTTTTCTGTGTTCATAAAGTGAAGAAGAAAAAAATAAAAAAGGCACCTCCAGTCTCTGAGCCCCCAGATGAGGGACTGGGAGGGGTTTGCAAATTCCTAGGGTTAGAAGGTTCCAAGACATACAGCGGAATGTTCTCAGGATCCCACAGTCACGCGGGCTAAGGGGGCCGCCCGCGACCCCGCTGTGGATGAGGCCCCGGGCGGCGCGCACTGTCTCCGAGGTACTCGCTCCCCTGCGCGGCGCCCATTCCCACCTGGCCCGGCCGGTGCGCGAGCTCTTGGTGTCGTCGGCCGGTGGGAGGCCGAGAAGGGCTGTCGCTCTGTCTTCAACGCCTTGATCCCAACCCTCGCGCGTCTCCGTGTCCCTTGGGGCACCTGAAGCACACAACCAGGTCCCTCCCCGCAGCGTCCTCTCTCTCCTGATGCTGACCCTCGCCTTTGGCACAATCTTACCTGTCCCGCAAGTTGACAAGTAGAATGGGGGACGAAAATGTCCGCTCTTTCCCACCCTGTCTTTCTCCTTCCCGGGGCTTTATCATGACACTCCAGGAGGCTTTGTTACAAGGCAGCGCTTATTTAAAGCCTTTCAGCCCTGCTATGCTCTGCGCTTTGCAGTTTACAAAGCGCTTTTCACCTCTCCTCTCGTTTAACTTCAGGAAAATTATCTGAGGTAGCAGTCACAAATTCCCATTTCACAAATGACGACCCGAGAGGAGAAGGGACTGGCTTAAGATTAGTGGTGCTGTCAAAGCACTGGACTTGCTCATTAGGAAACAGAGAAAGCCTCAACTCTGGCACTAAGGGCAAAAACCAGCCTTCTCCAGCCCCAGTCCCACGCCTGGGCTCTTCTGCAGCCCAGAACAAAACTCCTGGGTGGAGAACTCTTACTTTCCCATTCTTCTCAACCAGGCAAGTCATCCTGACCTCTGCACCTGGGACAGCCAGCTTGTCTAGCTGAATGAAGGAGAACCCTTGAACTCCATACCTGCAAAGATTCTTAGGGAGAGGAGGGCGGCCCAATACCTGCACTCTTCAAGGTCACAAGGCTGGGTCTGGAATTTGGGCCGACGGGTGGCAGGGTCAGCGCTCAAGTGCTTCCAGGTACCACCACCAAAGCCAGGAAGGGCCAGCACCTAGACCTGCACTGCACAACACAGTGTTGCTACTGAACACCTAGCAGGTGACTAGTCCACATTTAGAGAAGCTGTAAGTGTAAAACACACTCCAAATTGTAAACCCTTCATGTAAAAGGAGAGCAAAACATCTCAATTTTTACATTGATTATATGTTGAAATCATAATATTTTTGATATGTTGGGTTAAGTATATCATTCAAATTAACCTCACCTGTTTCTTTTTACTTTATTAATGTGGCTACTAGAATATTTAAAATTACATATGTGGCTTGCACCATATTTCTAATGGAGAGCACTGGTTTATACAAATCCCCATTTGGACTGAACCAAGTTCACATGTCTTCGTGAACAGGATAGTGCAGTCCCAAAAATAAAAAATAAAAATTACCAATGGTTTTCATACAATCTTCTTTTTCACACCCCAGCCCTTCCCTGTTAAGTTTATACAGAAAGAGGCTGAGTTTCTCTTGCCATAACTCACTTGCTCAAAGATTTTTATTAAAACAGTCCATCTGAACACTCCAGTTTATCTGAAAGCTGTGAATGGAGCCTCTGAAATATTTAATGCTGAAAGTTTTTGCTCCAGAATCGAAACTTAAAGATTTCTCAAGGGAAAGGGGGAGAGTTATTGGACTTTCTCTAATTTTAGTGAGCCTGCTACTTAAGCAAGATACAAAATGAAGTTAAAATTCCAGTTTCTTTCTAAAGCTCACTTTACTGACTGCCCTAACTTAATTTTTCTCTTTCCTTTTTGCATGGGGGAGGCTGCTGAGGTGTAGCAGGGGGTGCTGGGGATGGAAGAGCCCTCCCCAGCTACTGAAAGGCGTCACCAACGGGCTCCTTGAATCCTCTCATCTCCTTAAACTTTAGTTCACCCTTTGGGTCCAGGGCTGCGTGATGACAAGAAACAGTGGACAAATGAACGAATGTACTTCTCTCTGCCTTATAATGGAAAAGCAGATTTATGACTGGGCAGTAACAGCCATGAAATTACCAGCACGTCCTGCTCAAAAGTTCAATAAGTTATGATATAATTGCTGCCTGGAGCCAATCCTGGGACTTTAGGTTAGACGCTTGGCCATGAACTCTTTTCCGTTCCCTAGAACAGCGGCTAGGCTTTGGGTGGCTACTCAGAGGCCCTGGGTGGCCCACCATTGCTGCCAAATACGCAGGGCAGCATCCAAGATGATGGGGCCCTGAATGATAACCCGGGGGCGGTGGATAGAGTCCTGCAGCCCTCTAGTGTAACAGATGGGGGAGACTGAAGGTTCAGGTGATGGGACTGGAGTGCTGACGCACAGTTCAACTCGGAGCTAGGTCTCAAGTTCTCAGAGACAGGGAAAACCAGCCCAGGTCAACCAGAGCAGAGATTTCTCCAATTTAAAAAAGAAGAAAAGCCTATTTCTTTTGCAAATTTGTCCTCCTCACTTTAAGAAGAAAGGCGCTGCCGCAGCCTTTTATTGTAGTAACGCAGTTAAAGGCACTAGAGGACGAACCGCGTAAAAAGGCCCGAGTTCCGGCAGCACATGGAAGGCTGAAACTGATTCCCCACAATTTGGATCCTGGTCTCTGGTGTTGACACTACGCTGCCCTCTGGTTACCGCCAAGGACCCTCCCCGATAGAATACCAGAAAGCATCCCGTTTGAGGGCTTCGCTCCATCGAGGGTCCCTGTGCCAGTCCAAGGGCTCTGGCTGCCTCGCCCCACCTCCTCCCGTTTACAGAGTACACCGGGTGCCTACGCTGTGCGCGGGGAGACCGAGCCTCTGTGGCCTGCTCGGTCTTTTCCACGTGGGTCCCAGTTGAGTCCTCTCTCCATTCCTGTTCGTTCTCAGATTGCGGGGAACGTGTGAACAGCCGATGTGTCTATGAGTTTTCGTCCCTACGCTGGCTCACATGGCGGACACGAACCGATCTATCCCACCGGGATAAGCGGCAGCATGGCGAGCATGGTAGGCGCCTGCACTGGCCCCTCCGAGCTGCCCGCCAGGGTTGTAGCAGGCTCCCAGCGCTCCGAACTGGCCGGGCGACGTGCGCCCGTAGAAGTCCACCGTGGTCTCCACGCCGCCACTGCTGCCGCCCGCTGGGGGCGAAGCGGGTCCCGCCAGGCGGCCAGCAGCGGCAAAGATCGCACTGCCGGCGCCCTGCGGGTACGCGCCGTCGGGGCCCGCGTAGGCAGCCGCATAGGCGGAGGGGTTGGCCGGCCGGGCCCCGGTGCAGCCTGCGGGCTGGTAGCCGGTGGTGGTAGCGGGGGCGCCGGCGGAGGCAAAGGCGCAAGAGCCGCCGGGCCCCGACGGTGCGGGCCCCAGCTCTGGGCTGAGCGGCCGCTCAGGAACCAGGCCGAAGACGCGGCAAGGGCCGGGCGACGCCGCGGGGTAGTAGACTGGAGGCGGCGCGGCCAGCGACGGCGGCGCGTAGCCTGCATAGACGGCGCCCGGGTAGGGGGGGCGCGCGGCGGGCACCGCGCCTGGGAAGATGGCGGCGGCGGCGGCGGCGGCGGCGGCGGCGGCTGCGGCAGCCGCCGCGTCGTGCATGTAAGCCGGGTAGGTGGAGAGGTCCGAGCGCTTGAAGCGCTTGCGGCGGCGCAGGAAGCTGCCGCTCTCGAACATGTCCTCCGCGTTGGGGTCAAGCGCCCAGTAGTTGCCCTTACCCGGGCGGCCGGCCTCGCGCGGGATCTTGAGGAAGCAGTCGTTGAGTGTGAGGTTGTGGCGGATGCTGTTCTGCCACTTTTTGGGGTTGTCGCGGTAGAAGGGGAAGCGCTCGGTGATGAACTTGTAGATGCCGCCCAGCGTGAGGCGGCGCTCGGGCGCGTGCGCGATGGCCATGGCGATGAGCGCGATGTAGCTGTAGGGCGGCTTCCCGCGCTGCAGGGGGCGCTTGCGGCGCCGCCCGCCCGCCCCGCGGCCCGTGGCCTCCCCTGGGACCCCGGCCCCTGCTGCCGTCTCGCCGCGCTCTTCCTTCACGGTAGCCAGCACCTCCGGCTGCGGCGGCGGCGGCCCGCTCTCGGCAGTCATGGCGCGGGCGTCCCGCACCCCCGGGCTCTGGATCCCCGCGGCTGTCGGGGGGCGGGGGCGGGCCTGGCGTCCCCGGAACGGACGCTCGGCCCTTCTGCGGAGAGCTCAGGGGATCGTCGCGGGCTGGCCCCGAGAGCCCAGCGGCCCAGGCTGGCACGCGCTGGAGGCTCAGCGTCCGTGGTCTGGGGCTGGCGCGGTGCAGACAGAGGCTCGGGAGTGACCCGCTAGCCGACGGCTCAGCCCGCGTGGTGCTTCTCGAGGCGGGCAGCGGCGGTGGCCTCGTGACCGGGACTGGACTCTGGTCTCCGGCTGAAGGGTCCCTTGCGCGCTGGTGCCGGGCGGTCGAGGGGTCCGGAAGTGATCCCTGGGTTGGGGTGGCTGCAGCTGGTCTGTGGTGCCCGCTAGTTTAGGATTACTGCCTAGGTTGTGCGCGCAGAAGAGGCTTCGGGCTCGAAGGCCAGAGCGAGGGCAGTTAGTACTGGCGCTGGGCGATCTGGCGGGGGCCGCCCATGCCCTGCCCCCGAGGCCAAGGTGGCCGTAAGCGCCACGGGCAGAGAGGCGAGGCGGGGGCAGCGAGGTCGGGGCGCGGGCCCAGGCGGGGCGACCTGAGGCTGGTCCTCTCCACGGCGTGGGTCTCCAGCCCTGCGGACCGCTGGCGAGGCGCTCCCCTGCACACACCGGACCGGCTCCTCCCTCCGCCGGCTTCCCCTCCTTAAAGGGGCCACGAAGCGTGGGGCGGCACCGGTTCCCTGCCCGCCCCCCGACTGCCCGCCCCCCGGGGCCCGGGCGCACCTCCCCAGGTAGGAGCAGCTGTGGCGGCGCGGTAGGAGCCCCACAGCGTCAGGGCGGGGAGGGCGCTTGGAGATCCCCCGGGTCGGCCCCCTCCGCACCCCGATCGACTGAGGCCCGGAGAGTTCAGGAACCGGCTCGGGAGACCTCAGCGCCCGAACTCGGAGTTTTCGGACTTTTCAGGCCTCTGCCAAGGGCTTGGACTCGCAGGTGAAAGGACGGGCTCATCTCACTTTTTTGTCCTGAGAGGGTGAGAATTGGCCGAGAGGGCGCTTGGTTTTTGTGGGAATGGGGAGGGAGAAGTTCCAGGAGACTGGCTCCCCGGGCCTTTCAGGATGGTTTCCAAACCCCAATCGTGGCTGCCACAGCCACTCGGCACTCCAGTCCCCCCATCTTTCGAATGAGTATTCCTAGGCCCGAAAGGGAAGGTGACTTGCCATGGCCCCACTGCGGCTTCTCCGCTTAGCGGAGTCTCCAACCTGCGTCTCCTTTAGGACTGCGCTTCCCAACTGTGTGGTAGAGGTAGCCGCTTTCCCTTTTTGGGCCCCAGGTCCCTCGACTGTACCGGGGTCTGGATCTCTCAAGAGTCCTTGCGTGGTAGATATTTAGGGATAGGCCAATCACCACCCCCAATCATCCGTCTTTGAGAGGCCCAGGATCTGTCTCTATTTGATGGATAGTGGTGCACGGATTAAAGACGACGCAGGATAGGTAACCTCCTCCTCCAATCCCCCGGGACCAGGGTAGCTCTGAAGACCCCCAGAGGCAGCCAAGCAGCCCCTTCCCGCAGCGGGGAGTGAGGGCTGCGGGTAATGGGGGAGTGGGAAGAGAGCGGTGGCCGGGTGGGCGCGTCTCCGGGGGAAGGGGCGGGCAGTCGGGACACGTTTGCTTCATGGGTGTCCAATTTCTGAGTTCCTTTCCTGCTGTCCCTGAGCCGGAACTTGGTCCTAACCTGAGATCCTCGCGGCGCGGCCCCTCTGGCCCGGGTTCGTTCCCTGGCCATTCACTGGGAGATCCAGGGCCTGTCCTTGTCCCCTCGCAGGGCCTCAGTGTTCTACTCTGTTAAATAGCAGCTGGAGGGCGTGTGCTGATCTCCGAGGCCCCTGCTACGTATAGGATTCCGGGCCTTGGCGCGGGTTCCAGTGGCTCCAGCCCGGACGCAGCTTTCCGGGGTGGGGGGGGGGGGCGGGCCGGGGCTGTGGGTGCAGAGCCGCGCGGATGGTGGTGCCAGGTGAGTGTGGGAGATCCCAAGACGAGAGTTCTGGCCAGTAACGGGTGGCATGCCTTCCAGGGTTTTAGTCGCGTTCTTCGTGGCGGTGAGCTGAGGGCAGGCTAAGCCCGGCCAAGCGTTGGGCAGCTGCCTTCGGAAGAGCGAGGCAAAGCCCAGATCCTTGCTCCGTCGACCCGGTGTGTGGAAACGCTCAAAGCGTTTGCTTGACAACCTTCTGCGGCAGAGGGTTGGTCGAACGAAGGGAGAGGGGCTTTACACTCGCTAAACAAAACTCCTGGTTTCCTTCTTCCCAAGTAATGGAGAAGCAAAAAACCCAGATTTCGTCCTGTTTCGTTTTTACAAAGGAGGAAAAACTTCAAATTTTAAAATTTTTAACTGGATTATATTATAGGCACCTTTTAATACGGGATTTCGTGGCTCTCAGTAACTTTCAAGATTCTGAGATTCAGATATCTAGATTTTAAATTCTGGACGACCGTTGTCCTAACGTGATTCCATAAATCTAAAGAATGCGATCCTGCGATCCTGCGACCCTGTAATTCTAAGATTCCAAGACTGGGAGTCTAACTTTGACTATGCTTATATTCCTTTGACTTAAGCTTCTAGTCAAAGTCTAAAAACCTATGTATTAAGATACTGGGACTAAACCAGGCACGGTGGCGGGAGCCTGTAGTCCCAGCTACTGGAGGTTAAGGCAGGAAGATCGCTTGAGCCCAGGAGTTCCAGGCTGTAGTGCACAATCATTGTGCCTGTGAGTAGCCACAGCACTCCAGCCTGTGCAGCAAAGGGAGACCCGGTCTCTTAAAAGCAAAACAAAACAAACAAAAAACGGGGACCTAAGATTTTGTGCCTGAAAATATGATGCCACTCTTGAAGCTGCCACTTCTCCAGTTTTTTATTTTTTCCACTCTAAGTTATATATTATTTAATTTGAATTCCTGTTTAGGAATGTCTGATTGGAAGAATTTGAATCCTGTAAATCCGCAGTTCTCTCCTTCCTTAATTCTAAAATGTTAGTGCTGGATCTGCTATTCTGTAGTTCAAATAATCTGATTCCAATAATTCTTCTAATGTTTGTGATTATATGCTGTAATGATTAGTCCCATGACTTTATGATCCTCTACTTTTAAGCTGCAACGACTATGGCTAAAAGCCTTCTTGTCTCAGGATTTTCTGTTCTTCAGTGTCTTGTGTCTGTGACCTCATTCTTCTAGAATTCTGATGGTTTTCTCAAACTTTGTTAATATCAAGCTACTCCTGTGGCCGAGACCAAATACCTAGCATCATGAGATTAGAATTTCCAAGATCATGATTCTAAGATTTTCGCAAACCAAGGACCCCTAAATTTCTATTTCATAAATGTTCTCTTTGAATAATGCATTTGAAGATTCTGTGAGTCCACAGTGAGTTCACATTAAATGATTTGGTGAGTACACAGGTCACAAGTTTACCCGTTTGGATCAAAACCATACACAAAAATCTCCTCGGGGCATTTCCTATCTCTTCCCATTGCTTCCTTCTCAGTTTCTTGAGAAGGAACATGGTCATGGCCAAGTCCTCCCCTCTTCTCTGCCACAGTGCTCCTTAACGTTTATGAATCATCTGGAAGTTAGGAAGGGCAGGTTCCAGACCCTTGGAAATCATTCTCCCAATCCAGCAGGGGTGGGTTGGTGTTGATGTGGGCAGGCCAGTGATTTCTGCTTCCCACTGATCTTCAGCCCTTCAAGTATTCCCAGCACCCCTGGAGAAGCCAGCCTGCAGCAGGCCATTTTATGTGCATAGGGGGCTGGAGGTGCTATTGGGAATCTTTAGAAGATGTTCTTCTGCAACAGCTGCTTTCCTCAGTTTTGAATGGGCGACTTTGTAAATAAAAACGAGAGGGGTCCAAGGAGTCAAGGAAAATTCCTCCAGATTCCTTGACGGAGATTCCCCTGCATGCAGACGCAGAGGTAACCAGTTCTTCTATTAAAGAAACCATGGAAATTCAAGCTGGAAGGAGACTGGGCCTGGATTGTGGAAGGGACTTGTAGAGAGAAAAGCCTTGGGCTGAGAAGGAAACTCAGGTCTTTGGGCCTTACTCTTTGGCCCCAAAGCCTCTCTGTCTTTTCTTGAGTTCTCAGAGCCTTACTTGTACTTAATTCTTTGGCCTGGGCTGCCCTTTTTACTGAACAACAAAACTCCAGGCGTCCACACTTGCAAATCTGATCCAAGGATCTCCTTACAGCAGCATCGCAGTGACCTGTTTAGGTTACTCCAGTGCATTCTGTCTGGGTCAGTGGGCTGTATGGCCCTAGAGAGCATCAGAGCAAGACACTGTCACAAAAGGGGGCCCCCAAGTCACACTCGTCCTGCTGACCACAGAAGACATCCATGTAAGGCAGCACCAGTGTTGTGAGGGTTTCCACCCAAGATTGCTCAAGACCCACCCAGCGACTTTAAACCATCCACTGCCCTTCTTAGGCCTCAGTTTCTCTATCTGTGAAGTGTGTATGTGGGGATATCCCATATCTGTGCTTTCTCTTCCACCGAGTCAAGGTGATAAAGTGGAGCGCCTTACAGACGCGCGGTCCTCTTCTTCCTCTTTTAAATTGTTTTAAGGCGAAACTTGGACATGGAAAAAAGACGCTGGGGATAATTCTAGCCTGTTCCACTCACAGGCCGCGATGAGATGCGCACACCCCCACCCACCGCCCCTCTCCACGGAAGAAGTAGCGGTTGATTAAAGTGTAACATTTTCTGCGGTCTAGCGGGGGATTTTGAGTCTCCGAGGCTCCCGCGGGCGTGGACCCTTTCGGTTTCCCAGAGCTCGGCAAGCGCTCTCTCCCTTTAAGTTGGTCCACTTAAACACTATGAACAGCGAATCACTGTCACCCAGGGGACAGGATGGAGGAACTGGGGCCCAGGAAGGGGAACCTTCTGCTTCCCACCTCCCCGTTTGCTTAGATCCCGCCACCAACGTTTCTTACGTAGGTAAGAAGCACCTAGCCTTTCTTACCCCGCTCCCCGCAAGCCCTCCCACAGAGCCCTCTCCCAACCCAGTCTGCGCGGGCCCGGGACACTCAGTGTTCTCAGAGCAGCGGGGAGCGCAGGAGCCGGCTTGGAGGTCCAGCAGCTTTACGGCCACAACGAGAAGGGGAAGTCGGCTCCGGACGGCGCGGACTTGTCCCACTGCGCACAACGAATCGGGGACAGAGTCAAGCCAGACCCTGCTCCCGCTCTAGGTTGGCTCCACGCGCTTTCCCTGCGTTCCGGACCCGAGGACCACGAAGCGCAAGCCACTACCCGCGTCTGATCCGACCCAGGCGGGCGGGCGGGAGTTCAGCTGTGGCGGCGGGCATTCCTGGCAAAGCCGTGGCCCGGGGCGAAGGTGGCGGCCCGCAGGCGCATTTCAGTTAGATTCTGGGACCCTGGGCGCAGGATCGGCCCCCAGGCAACGTCTAGAGTCCAGGATTCTTGGTCTGGTTCCGAAATTTGTGCGCGGCTTTGGAACACTTGGAAACCTGAAATTTACACACTAGATTGTGGGTGTTCATTTCTGGGGAGAGAGTCCATGGTTTGCAAGACAATCTCAAAAGAGCCGATGATTACTCCCCTTCCCCCTTCAAAAGCGAGATGAGCTAGCCAGGATTCTAGTTCAACCACTAGAGGCACAGGAAGAGGCAGTGATTTTTTCCCCTTACCCAGGCCAGTCTCTGTAGGGATCCCATCCCGCAGCTCAGTCCGGCCGCCTGAGGAGGGGTAACAGGGCTGATTGCCTCCCCCTACAACGCAACCCGGTTGCTTGGCTGCTTGGCGCCCAAAGCATGAGGTGGGCGGTGGCACGGTGAGGAGGGGGCGCGGGGAGCTGGAAGACACTTGAACCTCAACACGAGAGAGCAGCCAGCTCTCCTCTGGCCTCCTCCCCACTCTCCCTAAGGCTTCTCCCCCGCCCCCCCACCCCCCGGGCCTGGAGTGCAAGTCTCTCTAGGTTTCGCCGTCAGTATTTCTGCCTCTGTTACGAATATGCGTGCAGGTGTCCTGCCTCTCTAGGCGCATCTCCCGGGAGTCACCCCCGCGGCAGCCTGCGGGCTGGAAGTGAGGGGGCCAGCTGCACACTCCAGCCGGGTTCCAGTTGCCCATACGAGCCTCCTTTGTCCTGGAGGATGGCACAGAGAGTGGCAAGACAGGACGGAGGGACATCCACCCAGGAGGACCCTGGAGCCCGTGGGAGTCAGATCCTCCGCCTTTCTGCCCAAGAGCTTCCTCTGCTGGGCAGAGCCTAACTTAGGGAGGAGAGGCACACAGGGTTATGCGGCATCAGCTTTCTCCACATGTCCAAGGTTCTAAACAGTCCGCTCCCAGCGGGCGCTCCTGCTGGCTCTGCACAAACCCTCAATGCTTCCCATCATCCTCCTGCAAGATCAAGTGCTATTTCCTGGGCCTGTCATTCAAGACCCCCTCCCTACACAATGCAGCTCCTTTCCACTCTCCCTTGGTCTTCCCTTTCCCAGCATCTGAGGACACTGCCCCCCACCAAGTCTTCTGTCACAATGTGACCCTCCTGTGAGAGCCTGTTACTCAGTCATCCAGTCTTGGGTCAGTTCCTGTCTCTGCCTCTTCCAAGCTGTGCAGCCTTGGGCCAGTCACTTATCCACTCAGCCTCAACCTGTCGATCTATACAATGGGGATAAATAGTAATGTAAGAGAGTTGTGAAAGTTAGTAATATTAACTCAGACATACATAACTCTTCCATGAACACACACTGTTGTAACCACTTTGCACATATTAAATACACTAATGTATCAGGAGACCCAGGGGCTACTCTCAGGCCTGTCACTAACTGGGCATTGGGAGCATATCCAGGATAACTGGCAGAGCACTGGATCTGGAAGGCATGGTAATGGAAAGGTAGGCCATCTAGACAGGTGGGCAACTGCAAAGCAGCCCAGAAGCAGGGGTCTTGCAGGTGATAAGCAGGCATGAGGGGAGATTCAGACTCGGAGCACCATCTTCTACCCTAGGTTCAGGTACTGGGGACCCAGGGATTATCCTGGGGTCTAGAAATAAGAAGCTTTGAGGGAGAGTTTGGCTAACTTGGCCCTACTGGGCTGGGGTCTGAGGGTCTCACAGGAGCAACCTTTCTCCCTGGTGTCCTGGAAACTTAGGGTCTTGCATGTGCATGTAGCCCTGGCCTTTGCCTGGGCAGATGTAGCCCAACTTTTGGCAGGAGGGTCGGGGAAAGATTCAGCACTGAGCAGGGTCCCAGCTTCTATAGGTTCAGGGGTGTTTTTGTCAGTCCTGAAGCCATCCGCATGGTCATCATGTCTATCAGCCACTAGGGTAGGACTCTAGGGAACCCTGGGGCTGGCCAGGAGAGCTGAGCTTGCCCTCCTGTTGTGGGTTTAAATGTAATTCAGGAATATGAAAAGATGAGGAACAGCTGCTCAGGTCTGTGTAGGGGGCCTCACCTTGGGTGGCTGGTGTGTAGCGCTCCCTGCCTTCCCTGAGCCCTGGCGAGGCCAAACTGTCCATAGGTGGTGGGACCAAACATACTGCTGGAACAGAGCTCTGGGTCAGAGGACTAACACAGTGGTGAAGCCCTGGATGTGTGTAAGGGTTGCGAGGATGGAAAGAAGTGAAAGGAAGGAGAGGAAAGATTGCTTCTGAAATGGCCAGGAGGTGGAGTTGACAAGGCTTAGGAAAGGCTGTCAGTTAGCTGCCTTGTGGGGTTGGTGTTCCAGTAGCTCTCTGACCACTCGGGCTTTGCCCTACAAGACTCTTTTAAGCAAAGCAGGGGCCCAGCTATGGAAAGAATCATATTAATGCTCTCTGAAAGCCTGTGCAGGCTTCTGTCACTTCTGTTTTCAAAGTTTTAACCCTCTCATAGACTTCCTACTATATTCTCATCTCTGGTTTGTGGAGCTGCCTCTGAAAGTTGGGGCATTTGCTGGCCAGAGATGATTGACATCAGCTTTACCCAGTGAATGAACAAGACTATCCAAGCACAGGTAAGCAGTTCCACTCGCTCCTCAGGTTCACTTTGTTAATCCACCTTCTAGTACCCCTTCCTTGGGAAGTGGGTTTCTAGAATTTGTCATTTATTAGATTGAAATAACCTAAAGAGTCAAACAGTGACAGATGATTTCCACCAAGAGAAGAAAAGGGGGCATCCTTTATACCATACCCTAAGCCTGTCCAGCATTTTATCAATGACTTAGAGCAAGCTCATCCAACCTGTGGCCTGCGGACCTCATGCAGCCCAGGACAACTTTGAATGCTGCCCAACACAAGTTCTTAAACTGTCTTAGAACATTATGAGATTTCTTTCTTTCTTTTTTTTTTTTTTTAGTTCACCAGCTATTGTTAGTTTTAGTGTATTTTACGTGTGGCCCGAGACAATTCTTTTTCTTCCAGTGTGGCCTAGGGAAGCCAAAAGACTGGACACTCCTGACTTAGAGGAAGACACAGAGGAAGGCAGGCTGATTGGGCTTGTGGCTGACCACACTGAGGTGCTAATGCTGGGAGCTGACAGACTCAAGGCATGGAATAATCACTGGGTTGGGAGCCTGAGCCAAAACCAACAAGAAGACATTTTAAAAACTGTTATGAAAACATTGTAATGTTACAGGAGACAAATCAGGAAGAAAAAGTCACCCACATGCCAATTACCTATCATTCATCTACTAGAATTTTCTGTTGTTTTTCTTACCTTTGTGTTCTTATGCATAAGTATGCATGTTTACATAAGTGTAACCATAGCATAAGTACAATTCCGTAGTTTTTTACAAAGTGCATTTGCATTATTTTATAAACATAGCTAAATGCTGCTCCTCACTTCTTGTTTTTCATCTGTAATTGTGAAGGAAATGGTCTAGTGTTGATTTAACCCTTTCACAGTAGCTAGGCACTTAGGTAATTTCCAGTATCTTTGGTGTAGGTGAAATTACTATGAATGTATTTGTATGAAAAGCTTTTTATATTTTTTTGAAATATTCTTAAGACAAATTCCCAAGAACAAGATTTATGGGGCCACAAATTTTTTATGGTTAATATAGTGTTACTAAGTTGTCTCCAAGGGTATCTTGTAACTCACTAAAATCAAGATAATTAGCATATTTATCACCCCTAAAAGTTTCCTCCTGTTGTTTTGTGACCAAATTATTCCCCACTCCCAATACCCATAAGCAATCACTGAACTACTTTATCACTATAGATTAGGTTGCATTTTATAGAATTTTATATAAATGAAATAATGTAGTGTACACTATTTTGACATTCATCCATGTTGTGGTATTAATAGTCTATTCCTTTATATTGCTAAATAGTATCCATTATATGGGTGCATCACAATTTGTTTATCCATTCACTTATTGATGGACATTTGGGTTTTTTCCATTTTTGGCTATTACAAATAAAGCTGCTATGAATATTTGAGTATAAGTCTTTGTGTGGACATATGTTTTCATTTCTCTTGGGTAAATACCTAGGAGAGGAATGTTTGAGTTATATGGTAGTTGTATGCTTAAATTTATTTCTATTTTATTTATTTAAAATTTTTTTTTCAATAGAGATTACTCCTTTTGAAAGTATGGTTAATTTTTTTCTATTTATTTATTTATTTATTTATTTATTTATTTTTAACTTTTTGTTTCAGGGGTACATGTGAAGGTTTGTTACATATGTAAACTTGTACCATGGGGGTTTGTTGTACAGATTATTTCATCACCCAGGTATTAAGTCCAGTACTCAATAGCTGTCTTTTCTGCCCCTCTTCCTACTCCCACCCTCCACCCTCAAGTAGGCTCCAGTTTCTGTTATTTCCTTCTTTGTGTCCATGAATTCTCATAATTTAGCTCCCACTTATAAGTGAGAATATGCAGTATTTGAATTTCGGTTCCTGCATTAGTGTGCTAAGGGTAATACCCTCTAGCTCCATCCATGTTCCCACAAAAGATATGATCTCGTTCTTTTTTTTTTTTTCTTTCTTTTTTTGATGGAATCTCGCTCTATTGCCAGGCTGGAGTTTAGTGGCACAATCTTGGCCCACTGCAACCTCCGCCTCCTGGGTTCAAGTGATGCTCCTGCCTCAGCCTCCCGAGTAGCTGGGACTACAGGCGGGCACCACCATGCCCAGCTAATTTTTTGTATTTTTAGTAGAGATGGGATTTCACCACGTTGGCCAGGATGGTCTCGATCTCTTGACCTCGTGATCCGCCCACCTCAGCCTCCCAAAGTGCTGGGATTACAGGCGTGAGCCACCGCACCCCGCCGATCTTGTTCTTTTTTATGGGTGCAGAAAGTATGGTTAAACTTTTAAGAAACTGCCAAATACGTTTCACAAAGTAGCTGTATTTCTTTCGTTTCCACTACCAGTAGATGAGAGTTCTAGTTGCCCTACTCCTCAACAACATTTGACATTTTCAGTCTTTTAAATTTTACCTATTTTAGGGAGTGTATAGGTATCTCATTGGTAGCTTTAGTTTGTATTTACCTCATGACTAATAATATATTTGTTATCTACTGCTGTGCAACCAATTACCCCCAAATTACTGGCTTAAAACAACAAACATTTATTATCTCACAGTTTCTGCGGGTTAGGAATCTGGGTGTGGCTTAGGTGGGCTGGGTGAGGCTAGTTCAGGGTCTCTTATAAGTTTGCAGTCAAGTAGAAATCATCTCAAGGCTGACTGGGACTGCAAAATCCACTTCCAGTTCACTTACATGGTTGTTGGTTAACCTCAGTTCTTCATCATGTGGACCTCCATAGGCTGCCCGAGCATCCTCAGGCTGGTGAACTGAGAAAGAAAACTAGAAAGAACCCAAATGGAAACCACAGTCTTTCTGTAGCTTAATCTCAGAGCTGCTTTCTATCACTTTTATTCATATTCTATTTGTTAGAAAGGAGTGACTATGTCCAACCTATACTCAAGAGGAAGGGATCACACAGAGTGTGAATACGAGAATGTGGAAATCACTGGGGACCATCTTAGAAGCTGCTTACCACAAACAATGTTGAGCTTCTTTTTATGTGCTTTTTTCCATCTGTAGATCTTCTTTAATGACATGTCTTTGGTGAAATTTTGGCCAATTTTTTAATTGGGTTGTTTGCTGTCTTATTGAGTTGTAAGAATTCTTTATATTCTTTATGCCAGTACTTTGTCAAATATATGTTTTGCAAATAGTTTCTTCTAGTCTGTGGTTTGTCTTTTCGTTTTTGTCATAGTGCCTTTTGAAGAGCAAATGTAAATTTTGATGAGGTCCAATTTATTGAATTTTTATTTTTATAGTTGGTGCTTTTTGTGCCCTATTTTAAAAATCTTTGCCTAACCCAAAGTCACTAAAATATTCTACATTTTTTCTGTACATTTTAGCTCTTATATTCAGTTAATGATCTACTTCAAGTTGTTTTAGATGGTGTAAGAGTTGAGATTCATTTGTTTTTCAACATGGGTACCTATTTATTCCAGAACCATTTCTTGAAAAAATTATCATTTCCCATTGAATTACCTTGGCACTGTCATTGAAAATCGACTGTCTTTAATGTTATTTTTCTCTCTACTTATACTGGATGGTTGATTTTTAAAAAATTAATAAGCCTATATTAGCATGTATATGGTATATAGCATTGATGAATTTGATTTTCTTTATTTTAAAATTTTGATTGTATACATAAAAAGTTTCATATATTCATGTTTGAATATTTTCCTTTGTAATTTTTTCTGTTGATTCAATTAATAGGAAATCATTACTTCTTCATAGTTGGGATAAATATGATACCCTGTTCTTTGATAATTTTTACAAAACTTAAAAACTATTTTTATTTATGTATTTATGAGACAGAGTCTTGCTCTGTTGCCCAGGCTGGAGTTCAGTGGTACAATCTTGGCTCACTGCAGCCTCCACCTCCTGGATTCACGCAGTTCTCCTGTCTCAGCCTTTGGAGTAGCTGGGATTATGGACATGTGCCACCACACCGAGCTAATTTTTGTATTTTTAGTAGAGACGGAGTTTCACCGTGTTGGCCAGGCTGTTCTTGAACACCTGACCTCAGGTGATCCACCCATCTCAGCCTCCCAAAGTGTTGGGATTACAGGCGTGAGCCACCGCGCCTGGCCAAAAACTATTTTTAAACACAAAAGCAATATAGTCAGTCACATTATAGAAATTCTGGAAAATGAGATTTTAAAAAGTTATTTAATTTCTCTTACTATAACATAGCTATTATTACCATTTTTGTATTTTTCCTTCTAAACTTTTTATACGCATATTTCCTACAAATGTTTGTGTTCCATGATTTTAAATTATTTAGCTTCTTAATTTATCTGGAACATATCACTCTCATTCTCCCTCCATAGCCAATCAATTCTGAAGTTCTATCTTTCCTACTTCCCCAGAATTCTTTCAGTTTGTTTATTTCTGTTCATTTTCATTGCCATTATCCTGGTTTAAGCTACAACAATCTCTTGCCTGGTTTGCTATAATGACCTTTTAAAAAAATCCAGCTTTATTGAGATATATTTTGCATAAAATAAAATTCACTATTTTAAAGTATACTATTTATTGGGTTTTAACACAATCGCAGACTTACACAGCCATCACCACTATCTAATTCCAGAAGATTTTCATTACCCCAAAAGAAACCCTATACCTATTAGCAGTCATTCCTCATTTCTTCTCCCTAGCCCCTGGCAACTACTAATCTACTCTATGGATTTGCCTATTCTGGACATTAAATACAAGTGGAAATATACAATATGTAGCCTTTTGTGGCTGACTCTTTTACTTAGCATAATTTTTAAGGTTCACCTATATCATAGCATGTATCACTACTTCATTCCTTTTTATCACTGAATAATATTTCATAATAATATTCCCTTGTGTCTATATGAATTTTTTTTAATCCATCCTTCAGTTGATGGACATTTGTGTTGTTTCCACTTTTTGGTTATTATGACTAATGTTATGAACATTTGTGTACAGATTTTTGTATGGACATGTTTCCAGTTTTCTTGGATATATACCTAGGAGTGGGATTGCTGGCTAACTGTTTGACATTTTGAAGAATTACCAGACTGCTTTCCACAGCAACTCCACCATTTTACATCCTTCCCAGTGATTCTAATTTCTCCAGATCCTCTCCAGTACTTGTTATTCTCTGTCAGTTTGATTTTTAGCCATCCAAGTGGGTGTGAGGTGGTAACCAATTGTGGTTTTGATTTGCATTTCTTTAATGACTAATGATGTCAAGCATCTTTTCATATGCTTATCATCCATTTGTATATCTGCTTCAGGAAATGTCTTTGAAATTCTTTGCCTATTTTTAAACTGGGTTACTTGTTTTACTGTTGAGTTGTAGGAATTCTTTACATATTCTTTGTACAAGTCCCTTTTCAGATATATGATTTGCAAATCTTTTCTCCCATTCTGTGGGTTGTATTATGGTGTCCTTTGAAGCACAAAATTTTAAATTTTGATGCAGTTCAATATAGCTTACTTTTGTTGCTCGTGCTTTTGGAATAATATCTAAGAAACCATCCCCTAATCTAAGGTCACAAAGGTTTACTCCTACATTTTCTTCTAGGAGTTTCATAGTTTTGCTCTTAGATTTAAGTTTGTAATCCATTTTGAGCTAATTTTTGTATATAATGTGAGGTCATAGTCTAGCTTCTTTTTTGGGGGGTGGTGCGGGGAAGATATCTAGTTGTCTCGGCATCATTTGTTGAAAAGACTATTCTTTCCCCCATTGAAAGGTCTTGGCACCCTCATCAAAAATCACTTGATCATAAATACAAGGGTCTATTTCTGGACTTTGAATTTTATTCCATTAATGATTTTCATATGCAGTATCAACCTTAACATTCCTGGGATAAATACCACTTGGTCATGGTGTATAATCCTTTTTATATATTGTTGGATTAAGTTTGCTAGCATTTTATTGAGTTATTAACATCTTGCATTAGAGTGGTACATTTGTTACAATTGATAAGCCAATGTTGATATATTATTATTAACTAACATCCATAGTTTACATTAGGGCTCATTCTGTGTTGTGTAGTTCTATGGGTTTTGAGAAATGCAAAATATAATGTTTTCTTCTTTTGTAATATAGGCATTTATAGCTATAAATTTCCCTCTAGATCTATATGTCCAGCATTATACCAGTATCACACTGCCTTGATTACTGTCGTTGTAGTAAGTTTGAAATCAGGAAGTGTGGGTCTTTCAATTTTATTCGTTTTTTTTTTTTTTTTTTTTTCTTGATGGAGCTTTGCTCTTGTTGCCCAGGCTGGAGTGCAATGGTGCGATCTCGGCTCACCACAACCTCCGCCTCCTGGGTTCAAGAGAGTCTCCTGGCTCAGCCTACCAAGTAGCTGGGATTATAGGCATGCGCCACCATGCCTGGCTAATTTTGTATTTTTAGTAGAAATTGGGTTTCTCCATGTTGGTCAGGCTGGTCTCGAACTCCTGACCTCAGGTGATCCACCCACCTCGGCCTCCCAAAGTGCTGGGATTACAGGCATGAGCCACCAGGCCCGGCCTGTTCTTATTTTTTTTATGATAGTTTAGGTTATTCTGTGACCTTTCCATTCTCATATGCATTTTAGGATCAGCCTATCAATTTCTATAAAACAGATTTTGATAGGGATTATGTTGCATTTGTAGGTTAGTTTGTGCAGTATTGCCATCATAATAATATTATGTCTTCTGATCCATAAACATGGGATGTCTTTCCATTTATTTAGGTTTTCTTTAATTTCTTTCAACTATGTTTTATAGTTTTAAGTAGGCAAGCCTTGCAATTATTTTGTTAAATTTATTTTTAATGTTTTATTCTTTTTGATGCTATTGTAAATGGAATTATTTTCTTAATTTCATTTTAATTTTTCATTGTTAGCATATAGAAATATACTTCACTTTTGTATATTGGCTTGTATCCTTCAATTTTATTGGACTTGTTTATTAGTTCTAATTGTGTGTGTGTGTATTCATTAGGATTTTCTTTGCAAATCATCTGCTAATAGAGGTGATCATCAGGTCATCTGCAAATAGAGATAGGTTTACTTGTTTCTTTCCAATATGGATGCCTTGTATCTGCTTTTCTTGCTTAATTGCTCTGGCTAGAACCTTCAATATGGTGTTGAATAGGAGTGGGGAGAGTCATCACTCCTATTCAGTGTTGTACTGGAAGTCCTAGCCAGGGCAATCAGGCAATAGAAAGAAATAAAAGGCATCCAAATAGGAAGCAAAAAAGTCAAATGATTTCTCTTTACTGATGATATGATTCTACACCTAGAAAACCCTAAAGAAAGACTCCACCAAAGGCTCCTAGAGCTGATAAATGACTTCAGTAAAGCGTCAGGATACAAAATCAATATATAAAAATCAGGGTCGGGCATGGTGGCTCATGCTTGTAATCTCAGCACTTTGGGATGCAAAGGTGGGAGCATCGCTTGAGTTCAGGAGTTCAAGACCAGACTGGGCAATGTAGTAAGACCTCGTCTCTTAAAAAATTATTTTTAAAAATGAGTATACAAAAATTATTAGCATTTCTATATGCCAGTAATGTTCAAGCTAAGAGCCAAACCAAGAATGCAACTCCACTTACAATAGCCACACTCACAAAGTTAGATGTGTCTAACCAAGAAGGTGAAAGATCTCTATAAGGAGAACTATAAAACATTGCTAAAAGAAATCATAGATGATACAAACAAATGGAAAGATATCCCATGCTGATGGACTGGAAGAATTAATATCATTAAAATGGCCATATCACCGAAAGCAATCTACAGATTCAACACTATTCCTATCAAACTACTAATGTCATTTTTCACAAAATTAGAAAAAATCATTCTAAAATGTATATGGAACCAAAAAGAACCCAAATAGCTAAAGCAATCCTAAGCAAAAAGAACAAAGCCATAGGCATCACACTACCCAATTTCAAACTATACTACAAGGCTACAGTAACCAAAAGAGCATGGTACTGCTACAAAAACAGACACATAGACCAATGGAACAGGACAGAGAACCCAGAAATAAAGCCACACACCTACAAACATTGGATCTTCAACAAAGTCAACAATAACAAGCAGTGGGGAAAAGATTCCCTTTTCAATAAATGGTGCTGGGATAACTGGCTAGCCATATGCAGAAGAATGAAACTGGACCCCTACCTTTTTTCATATACAGAAATTAACTCAAGATGGATCAAATACGTAAATGTAAGACCTAAAACTATAAAAATCTCAGAAGAAAACATTGGAAATACCATTCTGGACATTAGCCTTGGCAAAGCATTTAGGACTAAGTCCCCAAAAGCAATTGCAACAAAACCAAAAATTGACAAGTGGAACCGAATTAAACTAAAGAGCTTCTGTACAGCAAAAGAAACTATCAACAGAGTAAACAGATAACCTACAAAATGGGAGAAAATATTTGCAAACTATGCATCTGTCAAAGGTCTAATATCCAGAATCTATAACGAACTAAAACAATTCAATGAGCAAAAACAACCTCATTAAAAAATGTGCAAAGGACAGGAACAGATACTTCTCAAAAGAAGATGTACACGAGGCCAACAAATATATGAAAACATGTTCATCATCACTAATCATCAGAGAAATGCAAATAAAAACCACAATGAGATACCAGTCAGAATGGCTATTATTAAAAAGTCAAAAAATTACATGCTGGTAAAGTTGCGGAGAAAAGGGAACATTTATACACTGTTGGTGGGAAAGTAAATTAGTTCAGCCACTGTGAAAAGCAGTTTGGAGGTTTCTCAAAGAACTAAAACAGAACTACCATTTGACTCAGCAATCCCATTACTGGGTATATACCCAAAGGAAAATAAATCATTCTACCAAAAAGACACATGCACTCATATGTTCAATGCAGCAGTATGCATAATAGCGAAGATACAGAATCAACCTAGATGCCCATCAATGATTGACTGGATTAAAAAAAAAGTGCTATACATATACCATGGAATACTATGCAGCCATAAAAAGAATGAAATCATTTTATTTGCAACAACATGGATGCAGCTGGAGGCTATTATTCTAGGTGAATTAATGCAGGAACAGAAAACCAAATACCACATGTTCTCACTCAGAAGTGGGAGATAAACATGGAATACACATGGACATAAAGATGGGAACAATAGACACTGGGGGCTACTAGAGGAGGGAGGGTGGGAGCAGGGCAAGGGTTGAAAAACTGCCTGTTGGGTACTATTCTGACTACCTGGGTAATGGGATCATTTGTACACTAAACTTCAGCAACGTGCAATTTACCCGTGTAATGAACCTGCGCATGTACCCCCTGAATCTAAGAAAATAGTTGAAAAAAAAAGTGGGGAGAATGTACATCCTTTTCCTCTTCCTGATCTTAGGGAAAGCATTCATTTTTTTCACCATTAAGTATGATGTTAGCAGTGAGTTTTTCATATCTTCCCTCTTTCAGATTGAGGAAATTCTCTCCTATGCCTACTTTGTTGAGGTTTTTTTTTTTTTTTTTTGGCATCATGAAATGGAGTTGGATCTTATCAAATGTATTTTCTGCCTCTATTGAGATGACTGTGTAGTTTTTGTCCTTTATTCTATTAATATGTCATAGTATATTGATTGATTTTCATATGCTGCACCAACCTTACATTCTGAGATAAATACCGCTTGGGCATGGTGTATAATCCTTTTCATATGTTGTTGAATTCAGTTTGCTAGCATTTTCTTGAAGATTTTACATCTATATTCATAAAATATATTGGTCTATGCTTTTCTCATGATATCTTCGTCTTGTTTGGCATCAGGGTAATAGTGGCTTCACGGATTGAGATGTGAAGTATTCCTTCCTCTTCTATCTTATTGGAATAATTTATGAAGTATCGGTGTTATTCATTAAACATTTGGTGGAACTCACCAGTGACTCCATCTCGGCCTCAGCATACCCTCTTCCTGATCCTTCAACTGTTTGTGGGCTTTTTTTTTTTTTTTTTTTGAGAGAGAGAGTCTCGCTCTGTTGCCCAGGCTGGAGTGCAATGGGACGATCATAGAAGACTGCAGCCTTGAGGGCCTGGGCTCAAGCGATCCTTCCACCTTGGCCTCCTAAGTAGCTGGGATTACAGGCATGAACCACCATGCCTGGCTAATTTTGTTTAAATTTTTATTTCTTTTATTTTTGTAGAGATAGGGTCCCACTATGTTACCCAGGCTGGTCTCTAGCCCCTGGCCTCAAGTGATCCTCCCACCTCAGCCTCCCAAAGTGTTGAGATTAGAGGCGTGAACCATCATGCCCGGCTCAACTCCCCACCCCAAATATACAGTGTACAGTAACTTTTTAATCAAAACAGCATTATAGATGGGGAATGAAAGCCTGCTGTTATTTGTTGCTGTTGTTTTACAGTTGATGCAGGCATTCTGGTGATGCTACTGTGCTGCTCAGTTACCCTGAACACATTAGTTTTTTACTGCATTAATGGTATGTCATATTTTTTACTATCAAGTACTTAGGTGTGAATTAGCATAAGAAAATGATTGCTAATCAGAAGCATATAAATTCAGAGTCAGGAATGATGGTGATGCCAAACAACCAGATTGTCCACATGGGGGGCTGGGAGAGTGGCACCTTTGCCTTCTGATGGTTCAATGTACACAAACTTTATTTCATGCATAAAATTATAAAAATATTGTATAAAATTACATTTGGACTATGTCTATAAGGTATATATGAAACATAAATAAATTTTGTGTCTAGACCTGAGTCTTGTCCCCAAGAGATCTCTTTATGCACATGCAAACGTTCCAAAATCCCCCAAAATCCAAAATCTGAAGCACTCTGTTCCCAAGCATTTTGGATATGGGATACTCAACCTGTATTTTATATATATATATGTGTGTGTGTGTATGTATGTGTGTGTGTATATATGCATATATGACTACTTTTCAAATGTATGTCAAGCTGCGTGACAAATAAAATGCAAATTCATTTTAAGATGTTACTGAATTTTTGGTCATTTTTTGGACATAAAATTTCTCAGTGTTTACTGAAAAGTCTATCTACTTTGTATGTTGCAAGGACTGTGGAATTTATAGCTGTTAAAAAAGTATCTTCAAACTCAAATGATAGAGAAGCACTAAGACATTCCCCAAGGTCTCTTCTAGCCTGATGGAGTGATATTAACAATATTCTATTTTCTGAATTAGAGAGCCTGGAGCAGGGGTAGAGTATAATGTAAAATTATTATGTCAGTCATCATACTTATTGTGTTCAGGATGCTTTTCTGACAAGAGGGTATTGTAGGTTATAGGAAAGAAAGGCTCTACCAACAATGAAATGAGCAGGCCAAGACATTAGGATGCAGAGATTTTTATGGGAGGACAATAATAGGTTATTAGGAACTGATTATATGGTAGAAATAATGCAGGGGAAATGGTGGTCACTTTCTCCATTAAATGGCAATAGCTGTTGCATAACAACGATTGATGTAAATTAGTCTTTTTTTTTTTAATTGATGAAAGAAGAGTTTTGAGGGTAGAAAATTTCATCAAAAGAACCGAAATAGCATGTTCTTGAGTAGAATTCATGTTAGCTGCAGGAATTACAATTTCCTACTGTTTGGTAAGAACGTATCATAGATATAATGTTTTAACTAATAAAATTCAAATTTTTCTATAACTGAAAAAAATTTTAACACTCTGCAGGGCAGGAGGTATTGGCCAATCAGAATATGCCCTGGATCAATTAGAATGGAAGCCTGCTCAGACCGGGCCCCTGCGATGCCAGGCTTTAACCTTTTAGTTGCAAGTGGGTCCTGGGCATCCCAGGGGAAGGGTTGAGACAACCAGGACAGCTGGGGGAACAGGGTAGGCATGGGGAAGGGAGCTTGGGCAGTGGGTATGTATCTATGGGCATGGCTGTCTTTCAGTATCTCCATATTCAGAGGTTGAATGTAGGCCATCCTTCCAGCTGCAGCACTGAGTGGCATATGAGGCTTGCAGCCCAGGCTTGGCCTCTTGCCTCCCATACAGCCAACTCTCCATGGCCACAAGCCCATCTGGTATCACTGCATGCACTCTTCTGCTCCAAATTTGACTTTAAAATGCTCCACTGTGCTGGGCAGTTTTCCACCCAGGTGATAAACTTGTGAACCTCCAAATCAGGCTTTGGTTGAATGAGTTCATCTCCTGCTCACAGCCTGTGTACAGGTGAACTGTGTAGAGGAAAGAAGGCTAAATTTGGGGTCAGGAGCCTGGTTCTGGGTTCACATCTCAGCTCTACTACTGTTTCCCCGTATGCCTCTGGGTAAGTCATTTCATCCCTGTGACCTCAGTTTCATGGTCAGTAAAACAGGGTGATGACTTCTGCCATTGTAGGGCCCCTCACAGGACTGTGCTGAGGTTTAAATAAGACAAAGGAGGTGAAGCACTTTGCAAACTGTAAGGCTCAGTGCACACATGAGTGAGTCTGTATTCCATAGACTGAAGGATCTGGCTGTTGAGAATGTTGCTGGTCTGTTTCTGATTAAATCAGGAGTTACATAGATGCCATTTATTTAGAATGTTCCCTGACTATCCTCAAATATGCCCATAATGTAGCTTTGGCTTTTCATGGAGAGGGGAGGGTGGGCTGCAGAAGGTGTGATCTTTCTTTCCCATTAACCCTACAGCCTCACACAAAATCAGAGCTGAAATGGACTGCCAAAGAATACCTACTCCACCTCTCTCAGTTCAATTAATGGGATCCCTGAGATCCAGAGAGGGCCAGTGAGTGCCCATAATGCATTATTAGTAGAGCCAGAACCAGTTCTTTTGATTCCCAACTCTTTTCGTCACAGCATGTGACATGTCTTGTGGCTAACTTTTCATTCAGATTTATGTTTTCTTTCATTCAATAGCATTTATTGAGTCCCTACTAAGTGTTGGTTTCTGTGATGATCACTTGGGGTAGACAAATGGGGTGCAATTCTGCTTTCAGGTTGCTCATGGCTCTGGGCAGAGAATGCTCTTTCAGAGTCCTGAGCGAGGGACAGGTAAAGTTCTATCTGTGTAGATTTGGCCACCTTCTTTGAGGGTGGCGGTGGTTTTTGAGAATGGTCAAGAAGTGTGATTCTATAACCCCAGCACTTTGGAAGGCCAAGGTGAGAGGATTGCTTGAGGCCAGAAGTTGGAGACCAGCCTTCTCAACATAGCAAGACCCCTATCTCTGCAAAAAATTTAAAAAACTAGGTAAGTGCAGTGTTGCACACTTATAGTCCCAGCTGCTGTGGAGGCTGAGGTGGGAGAATCTCTGAAGACTTTGAGGGTGCAGTGAGCTGTAATTGCACTGCTCTCCAGCCTGGGTGACAGAGCGAGACCCAGTCTCAAAAAAAAAAAAAAGTGTGATGAAGCTCTGCAATGCTGACCTAATACCAATGATGACCAAGCATTCTCACCTTCCTGTCTCATTTAGTTTTTACAACAATTTCCTCTCATATTGCAAATGAGGAAGTTGAGACTCAGAAAAGAGAAGGCATATGGCTGGGGTCACAGATCTGGAAAGAACCACAGTCACTTTGATGGATTCCAGGGCCTTGTAGGTCTTACGAACTGGCTTAATTCAGGGAGAAAGAGCAGGGCTCAGGTGCTTGGGAGACCTGGGTTCAAATTCCAGCTATGCCACTTCCCAGCTGGGTGACTTGGGCAAATTACTGTTATAGAGACTCAGTTTCCTCATGTGCAAAGTAGAGAGATAATAGGGTATGTACCTTAGGGGCTCCTTGAAGGTGCTATCAGCGACTGAGGGTAAAGCCCCCAGCTAGTGCCTCTCGCATACAACGATACAGTGGGAACTCCATACATGCTCCTTTGCAGCCCCTCCCGGCCCCTGCTGTGAGTGGCTTGGTCAGTATTCCTGGCTCTCCGGAGCAGTTCTGTGCTCCCAGGAGAGTGGCCTGGAAGGTTTTCCTCTGTCGAACAATAACAAGGGCAGCGGCAAAGGTGAGGTTTGCTGAAGGTGCAGGCCTGAAAACTGGGGCCCTCTCCCCCAAATTTCGATCTCTCTCTTTTCCTCTCTGTCTTCTTCCCTATCCCTCTACTCCCTTCTCTCTCCCTCTACCCTCTTATCTCCCCTCCCCCTTCCTCTCTGTCTCCCACCCCTCCCCCTTTTCTTCCCTGTCTCTCTCCTGGGTGGAGCCTACTCCAAGCTTCTGAAGGCGCAGTGTGGATACCCAGAGTGGCTGGCCACGCCTGACTGCACAGGTGTCAGTTCTGTCTTGTCCCTTCTGCATTCCGGCTTCGTATGTCAGCACCTATGAAAATCTTCCAGGTCTTGGGTTTGAATAGCCCCTTAGCTGCCTGGGAGACAGGAGGCTGGCTCTGTTTTGCCTGTCAAATCATCCGCTTTGTTTGTCTACGGGCAGGTAAGCCGGGTCCTCTTCCATAATACAGACAGGGCCATCAGTGTCAGGGCTGATTCTACCAGGCTCAGACTGAACAAACAGCCATCTGCCCCACCGGTGAGGCCAAGGCCAGGCAGCGGCAGGGCCTGCTATTCTTCAGGAGCCGTTTGATGACAGGCTGGGAGTGGATATCACTCCACTGGGAGGGAGCTGAGCTCAGACTTGCCTCTTCCAGCCGGCGCAAATCCTCCTTTCCTGACTGGGTCTAACCTTCCGAAGGACTCCCACTTTCACTCCTGCCATCATCAGCATGTGATACAATGAGATAAAGAAATGGGCACAATGAAAGGAGACAGAGATCTTGCTACACAAAGAGTCCATGAACATATACAGAAAACCCCATAATCTGCCAGATTTCTTCTTTTGCTTTGCTGCTAGGAGACATGGAAGGAATTTAGTGCTGGTGGTAATTATTAACTCACCCCAATGGTCTGGCAACATCCTCTGCTCTTTTGAATTGGTTCTCTTAGTTTAAAATTCATCTTTCTTGGATATATTTTTTTTATTGTGGTAAAAAACATGTAACATAAAATTTACCATTAATGACATCGAGTAATTCACAATGCCATGCAATCGATTGTGCACTCACAATCTGCACCACTATCTAGTTCCAGAATGTTTTCCTCATCCCAAAAGGTAACCCCTTATCCACTAAGCAGTCACTCCCCATTCTTTAACTTTTAAGACATCACAGATATCTTTGTGAAATGAGTAGGGGGTATAGATTCTAAATAAAAATAATAGATCAAAGAACAGACAACTTTTACATTTCATTGCATTAGCTGTACCTATTCACCTTTTATTTTTCCAAATTCATTTTTGTTTCATTTTCTTTTGTCCATTGAGGGTCTGAGTTGTGGGCCATTTCTGACCTGTCATTCCAAATTCCATTCCTTCTTTTCCCATCCCTTTTTCCTCTTTTTTCTCTTCCCTTCCTTCAGATCTTCAGGTCTACTGTTTATCTACTTAATTACCTATTATCTATCTATCTATCCATATTTCTGTCTCATCCATCATGTTTCAAAAATCTATCATCTATCCATGTGTCACCTACGTATCTATCTACCTATTAAAAATCTTTCATCTGTCCATCAATCATATATCTATTACATCTCTATCACATTTCTATTCTCCACCCATCTTTCTATGCTTCTCTTTGTAAATCTAGATAATTGGTTCTCAGTCCTGCACATTAAAATCACCTGGAAATACATTGAAATCACCTGAAGAGTTTTTAAAATCTATGGATGCCTGGGCTCCATTTCAGGCCAATTGAAATAGAATATTTTGGTGTAGGGCCTGGTGATCTGTATATTTTGAAAGTCCTCCCAGATGAGGCTGGGTACATTGGCTCACACCTGTAACCCCAGCACTTTGGGAGGCCGAGGGGGTGGATCATGAGGTCAACAGATCGAGACCATCCCGGCCAACATAGTGAAACCCCGTCTCTACTAAAAATACAAAAATTAGATGGGCATGGTGGTGCACGCCTCCAGCTACTCGGGAGGCTGAGGCAGGAGAATTGCTTGAACTGGGACCCGGGAGGTGGAGGTTGCAGTGAGCTGAGATTGTGCCAGTGTACATCAGCCTGATGACAGAGCGAGACTCAGCCTCAAAAAAAAAAAAAAAAAAAAAAAGTCCCCCCAGATGATTCCAAAGCATAGTGAATGTTAAGAAGCACTCACTTGGACATACCTCTCTGATACTTAACCTTCTGCAAAAACTCCTTGTCTGAGCTCTGGTCCTCAGTTGGCCTATTTTTTATATAAATGGAAGTTTTCTACACATAATCCTTCATAATTTGCTTTAATAATATGTATAAATGACTTTCTATGTAGTTAAATATTTTTTAAGAGCATCATGTAAAATGTTGCTTAGTATTCTATTAGCATATATGTTACATTTATTTTGTCTTCTGTTGGGATTCTGATTAGGATTATATGAAGTCTATAAATGAGTAAGGGATAACATGTATATTTGATATATATGTTTAATTTAAAAAATTGGAATTTTAAGCATATACAAAACAAATAGTATGATGTATCCCTTTGTACTCATTACCCAGCCCTAACAGCCATCAATCCTGTCCAATTTGGTACCATCTGTGCCCCCATCGTCCCCTGTGCTCATATTATTTTGAAACAAATCCCAGACGTCATTTAAATTCATCTGTAAATATTTCAGTGTATATCTCTAAAAGATATCAAAACCCCAATACTGTTGTTGTACTCCCCAAAAATTAACAATAAGTCTTTAATATCATCAAGGGCAACTTGATGACTTGTTAAAAGTCAAGGTTTAAATTTCCAACTCATTCATTCATTTCATGAATTTATTTGTTTTTGTTTCTACATTTTGTTTTGGGTTGGCTTTCAGTAGTCTTATCTCACTTAATACATAAAGTATTGCTCCATCTTTTATTTTCTCTGGAATTTATTTGTTGAAGAAGCTGGATTGTTGGTCTTATAGAGTTTTCCATATTCTGAATTGTATTTTTATGGTGTAGTTCAACATGTTTTTATCTTCTGTATTTCTCATAAATTAGTGGCTTGGGCTAATACTTTGTATGACATTGAGCCTTTCAATTCATGAACATGTTTTATTTATAATTTGTTTAGGTTTTCCTTAATGTCTATCAATAAAGTTTTCTATTTTCTCAGTAAAGGCCTTGTGCATCTTATTGAAATTATTTCTAACACTTTGTCTTTTTAAAAAATAAAATTGAAAATATTAGGTCTTCTTAAATTGAAGTTTCTACTTGTTTATTGCTGATGGATATAACAGCACTGAACTTTTTACATTAATTTTGTAACTGGTTATTTGGCAACTGGTTAAACTCTCTTAAAAAATCTAATAATTTATTCTAGAGTTCTTTGTGTTTTGAGTGTATATAATTATATAATTTGTGAGTAACGACACTTCTGTTTTTTCCTTTCAAATATGTATGTAACTTTTCTCTTGCTTTATTGCTTTCAATACAATGATGAATTAAAGTGATGATATTGGGCATCCTTGTTTTGATCTCTATCTAAAAATAATGTTTTAATGTTTCACAAATAAATATAGTATTTTGCCATAGTTTTTTTTTGGTTGGGGGGGATACACTTATCAAGTTAAGAAGTTTCCCTCTGTGCCTAGATTTTAGGGAATTATGTCATAGATTGGATGTTGATTTTTTAAATGCTATTTCTGCATTTATTGAGATAATCATATTCTTTAACCTGTTAATATTAATCTGATTTTTGAAAATGTTAAACCACCTTGTATTTTGGCGATATACCTTATCTAGAGCAAGATATACTATCATTTTTATATATTATTGGATTTGATTTGCTCATATTTTGTTTGCAAGTTTGGTATCCAGCTCATGAATAAGGTTGATCCATAATCAATTATCCTTTCTTTTAATGTTATTTTCAAGGTTTTGTGTCAAGTTTATGGTATCATCATGAAATAATTGGGGAATAGTCCTGTCTAGTCTGTTTGGGCTGCTGTAACAAAATAACTCAGATACTGGGCAATTTGCAAACAACGTGAATTTATTGCTTACAGTTTTGGAGCCTGGGAAGTCCAAGATCAAGTCAACAGCACATTCAGTGTCTGGTGAGGGCTTCTCTCTGCTTCTAAGATGGCACCTTCTATCTGTGTCCTTATATGATAGAATGGGTGAACAAGCTCCTTTTGGCTTCTTTTATAAAGGTGCTAATCCCATTCATGAATGCTCTCGCCTCCCAAAGGCCTCCCCTCTTAATGCTATTGCACTGGGGATTAGGTAGCAATATATGAATTTTGAGGGGGACACAAACAGTCAGACCGCAGTGAGTCTCATTTTCTGTTTCTTTTTCTTTTCTCTTTTTTTTTTTGAGATGGAGGTCCCGCTCTGCCGCCCAGGCTGGAGTGCAGCGGCGTGATCTCGGCTCATTGTAACCTCCACCTCCCGGGTTCAAGTGATTATCTTGCCTCAGCCTTCCTGAGTAGCTGGGATCACAGACATCCACAACCACGTCTAGCTAATTTTTGAATTTTTCAGTACAGACGGGGTTTCTCCATGTTGGTCAGGCTGGTCTCGAACTCCTGACCTCAGGGGATCCATCCGCCTCAGCCCCCAAAAGTGCTGGGATTACAAGTGTGAGCCACCATGCCCCGCCCCATTTTCTATTAGGATTTTTTTTCTTAAGTGTTTGAAAGATTTTGCTATTAAAATCTTTTGGGTTTGCTGATTCCTTTGTGGAAATTTTTTAAACAATTCAATGTGTGTGACAATTGTAGGACTACTAGGTTTTATGTTTTTTTCTTGTCAGTTTTAAAAAAATTAATATACTGTTTTAGAGCAGCTTAGATTTATAGCAAAACTGAGAAGAAAATGCGAAGAGTTTTCACATACTGCAATCCCACCCCTCAACACACATACGACCATCAACTTTCCCCACTAGTGTGGTGCACTTGTTACAATTGATGAACCAACATTGACACATCGCTACCAGCTAAAGTCTGTAGATTGTATTAGGGTTAACTCTCTTTATTTATAGTGTATGGGTTTTGAAAAATGTATAATGGCAAGTGTCCATCATTATAGTATAATACAGAATAGTTTCACTGCCTTAAAATCCCCTGTGATCCACTTATTCATACCTTAGTTCCCCCGGCAATCACTGGTCTTTTTACTGTCTCCATAGTTTTGCCTTTTCCAGAATATCATATAATTGGAATCACACAGTAGGTAGCCTTTTCAGATTGGTTTCTTTCACCTAGTGATATGGATTTAAGGATCCTCCATGTGTTTTCATGGCTTGATGGCTTGTTTCTTTTTATCACTGAATAATATTCCACTGTATGGATGTAATTATTTATCCACTCAGCTATTGAAGGACATCTTAGTTACTTCCACACTTTGGCAATTGTCTTAATCCATTTGTGCTGTGACAAAAAATACCACAGACTGGGTTTTTTCATTTCTCACGGTTCGGAAGGCTGGGAAGTCCATGATCAAGGCAAGCTTGGTATCTGATGAGGACTGCTCGCTCTGCTTCTAACATGGTGCTTTGTTACTGCATCCTCCAGAGGGGAGGAATGCTGTGTCCTCACATGGCAGAATGGACGGATGTGTAAAAAGGCGCAAATTCCCTCTGCCAAGCACTTTTATAAGGGTATCTAATCCCATTCATGAGGGTGGAGTCCTCATGACTCAATCACCTCCTAAAGGCTATACCTCTTAATAATACTGTTGCATTGGGGATTCAGTTTCAACATGAATTTTGAAGGGGCAAAAATATTCAAACCATAACAGTAATTATGAATAAAGCTGCTATAAACATTTGTGTGCAGGCTTTTGTACAGACATACATTTTCAAGTTATCTGAGTAATTACTGGATCATATGGTAAGAGTATGTTTAGTTTTGTAAGAAACTGCCAAACTGTGTTTCAAAGTGGCTGTGCCATTTTGCATTTCCACCAGCAATGAATGAAAGTTCCTTTTCTTCTATATCCTTGCCAGCATTTGGTGTTGTTAGTATTTTGGATTTTTGCCATTCTAATAGATGTAAAGTGGTATCTTATTGTTGTTTTAATTTGCAATTCCCTAATGATGTATGATATCCTTTGTCATCTGTATAACTTTCCTTGGTGAGGTGTTTGTTCAGATTTTTTTGCCCATTTTAAACATTGGGTTGCTTTCTTATTGTTAGGTTTTAAGAGTTCTTTGTAATTTTGGACAACTGTTCTTTATCAGATATATGCTTTGAAAATATCTTTTCTCAGTCTATGGCTTGACTTCTCATTCTCTTGACAGTATCTTATGCAGAATAGAATTTGTTTTTATGTCCAACTTTAAATTTTTTTTTCTTTCATGGATCATGCCTTTGGTGTATCTAAAAAGTCATTGCCAAACCCAAGGTCATCTAGATTTTCTCCTGTGTTATCTTCTAGGAGTTTTATCGTTTTTCATTTTACATTTTGGTTTATGTTCTCTTTTGAGTTAATTTTTGTGATAGGTATGAAGGCTGTGTGTAGATTAATTTTTTTTTGCATGTAAAAATGTCCAGTTGTTCCAGTACCCTTTTTGACAAGATTGTTCTGCCTCCATTGAATCGCTTTTGCTCCTTTGCCAAAGATCAGTTGACTATATTTGTATGGGCCTATTTTCATGCTATTATGTTTTACTGGGACTTTTAAAATTCCCTTGCCAATGCCACACTGTTGCCTTCATTGCTGTAGCTTTATAGTAAGCCTTGAAGTTGAATAGTGTCAATTTCCTAACTATGTTGTCCTCCAGTATTGTGTTGGCTATTGTGAGTTGTTTGCCTCATCATATAAACTTTTTTTCTTTGGTAGAGATGGGGGTCTCACTATGTTCCCCCAGGCTGGTCTTGAACTCCTGGCCTCAAATGATCCTCCCCAGTCAAAGTGCTGGAATTACAAAGGTGAGCCACCATGCCTGGCCAGCCATATACACTTTAGAATCAATTTGTCAATATCCACAAATCACTTGCTGGGATTTTGATTGGTATTGTGTAGAACCTATAGATCAAGTTGGAAAGAAATGATATCTGAACAACATTAAGTCCTCCTAATCATGAACATGATTATAGCTATCCATTTATTTTTAATTCTTTGATTTCTTTCATAAAATTTTTATAGTTTTCTTCATATAGATCTTGTACATATTTTGTTAGATTTATACCTAAGTATCTCTTTTTTAGTCTAATATGACTGGTATTATTTTATAATTTTTTAATAAAATATTTTAAATTTAAATTTTAATTTCAATTGAATTATTTTAAATTTCAAATTCCATTTGTTAGTTACTGGTCTATAGGATAGCAATTGATTTTGGTATATTAACCTTGTATCCTACAACCTATTAGTTCCAGGAGGTTTTTGTTTTGTTTTTGGTCAGCTCTTTGGGATTTGCTATATGGACAATCATGTAATCTGTGAACAAAGACAGTTTTATTTCTTCCTTCCCAATCTGTATACCTTTTATTTCCTTTTCTTATCTTATCACATTAGCTAGGACTTCCTGTTACTGGTTTCTAATTTAATTCTATTGTGGTCTGGGAACATTAATGGCATGATTTCTATTCTTCTAAATGCATTAAGGTGCGTTTTATGGCCCAGAATGTGGTCTGTCTTAGTCTATCTTCTCAAGCTCCATTTGAGCTTGAGAAGAATACATATTCTGCTATTGTTGAGAGAAGTATTCTATAAATGCTAAGTTATTGTCATAGCCTTGTGTTCATATTTTCAAGACTCTTTTAGTTTCTGATACATAGTATATACAATTTAAAATTTTTATTTAGATAGTTCTAATAGCTTAAGTCTACAGTTTTTGCAGTTCTGATCTGCCACCTCATTTTTTGTGTGGTACATTTCTGACTGAGATATTCATTTTTAATAGAACTTCATCTTTGGAAATGCTTTAGGCTTTATATCCTCTTTCTTTTTTTTTAATGAGTGGAACTACTCTCCCAAATTTCTCTGTTTTCTTTCTATATAAAAGCCAACTTGTCTTTATATGAAGTTATTGGTACGCAACATTTCTTACTCTCAAAAACTTTGTAAATGTTACTTTATTATCTTTCATGCTACTTTTGCAAAAGACAAGTTTGAAGTTAAATTGAGTTTTGTTTTTTTGTGGTAACTTTAGTTTTCTGTCTGTGTGGATTTTAAAAATTGCTCTCAGTTCTAAATGTTTTCTAGAATATATTTAGATGGAGCCTCTTTTATTGATTTTGCACAGCACATGATTAAACCTTTCAATCCCACATACACCAGTTTTTTTCCCGTCTCTGTAAAAGTTCTCTTTTCTAGCTTTTATATTGTCATGTGCTTCATTTATTCTAATCTCTTAAGGAACACCAAATAAGTGTATATTGGCTTTATGCTTATTTTTCCTCAACATCTATCATCTTGTCTTTCACCGACTTATCCTATGTTCAACATTGTCAGTGCTCTGCTGTGTCACATAGGACTTACCTCTATTCACTGGAGGCTGCTTACTGGGAACACCTATGACTTTCCTGAGGACTTTCTTCTATCTATGAGAGTATACTTAGCCTGCATGTGGAACAAAATGAAAGTTCTAGGAAGTTAATGCCCCCAGGAGTCACAGAAAATGATGACAGATATAGAGTTGATGGGTAAATACTCCAGCTTCCTCACTTGTCAGGTGGGGTCATTCTGAGGTATGATTTGCAGTGTCTCTGAGGGTTCCCCTGTGGGACTGAGCCCCAGTTGCCCATGGTGGAAACCGGCTTGATAACTTACCCTTTACAGGGTTTCTTTCCTTGCCTGACCCACTGCCTTATCCCCCTACTGGTGCTTCCTAGGGTCACTTCTAAAATAAACTACTTGCATCCATAACCTTGTCTCAGGGTCAACTTCTGGGGGAAACCCAGCTTAAAACAGACATTTGTTTCTAATTTTTATTATTATAAATAATGTGGCAATGAATATGTTTGTACAGGAGTCTTTGCAACTTTCATTATTTAAAAAATAGATTCTCAGAAGTGGAATTGCTAGGTCATAGGACATTAATATTTTAAATCTGTAGTAGATATTGCCAAATTCCAGGTAGGTTTTGGACAGGAGTTGGCTAGCAATCATTCTATAGCTGGTCTCACTGAAAGACATCAGTGTTGACAACTGCTTCATTTTTTTGTGCTTGCTCATTGCTATCGTTTGACTGTCCCAGCCAAAACGCATGTTGAAATTTAATTGCCATTGCAACTGTTGAGAGGCAAGACTTTTTTGTTTGTTTGTTTGTTTCTTTGTTTTTGGGATGGACTCTTGCTCTGTTGCCCAGGCTGAAGTGCAATGGGCGATCTCAGCTCACTGCAACCTCTGCCTCCTGGGTTCAAGCGATTCTCCTGTCTCAGCCTCCCAAGTAGCTGGGATTACAGGTGCCCGCCACCACACCAAGCTAAATTTTGTATTTTTAGTAGAGATGGGGTTTTGCCATGTTGGCCAGACTGGTCTCAAACTCCTGACCTCAAGTGATCTGCCCGCCTCAGCCTCCCAAAGTGCTGGGATTACAGGTGTGAGCCACCGCGCCCGTCCGAGGCAAGACCTTTAAGAGGTGATTAGGTCAAGAGGGCTCCACCTCATGAATGGATTAATGGCATTATTGCAGGAGTGGGTTACTTATTGCGAGAGTTGGCTCCTAATAAAAATAATCCGTTTGCCTGATTTCCTCTCTCTGTCTTCTGCCTTCCACCCTCTTCCATGTGATGACCTTCACCAGATGATGGCTCCATGCTTTTGGACTTCCCAGCCTCCAGCACCATGAGAAATAAATTTCTTAAAAAAATTACTCAGTCTGTGCTATTCTATTTTGGCAGCAGAAAATGGACTAAGATGCCCATATCCTTATAATCTTAAAGAATAGGGGCAAGACAGGCTTTTCTGGAGTGAGAGGAGGTAAATGCTGGCTGTATGTGATTTTGTTAGGTTGGCCTCACATACCAATCTTACTCAAATGCATCTATTCTTATTTTGAATTTATTAATTCTTAGACTCCATAACATCCTGCCATAGACACTAACCTTAGCCACATACTTACTCATGTTCATGCTATTTATTTTATTTATGCGGTTTACCTTTGAAAGATCCTCAATTCGATAAGCACTCTTTCCCCCCAGCATTAGATATGAACAGATCTGTTTCATGTACTCGCCAGTGTGTTGAGCCAGGACCCTGGGTTCAAGGTTTATAATCTTGGATTCCTCCCCTTTCCTCTCTTAGCCTCAGCTAGAGTTGATGAAAATGAGACTTAGAGAGAGATGGTGACTTGCCAAGATCAAACATCAGGTTAAACATGGAGCTAGGTTCAGAATCTAGCCCATTTGAGATCCTAGAACTAAAAACAAAGCTAAACAAACAACCACACGAAACCCTTCTGGGGAGGCCGTGATCAATCTTCCCCACTCCCTGCCCTTGCCTGCTTTTTCTAGCTCAAGCAGATGTTCAATCTGCTACAAAGTTCCAGAGCCATCCTTCCTGATCAGGACTTTTCCCATCTCTCTGGGCTTCTCCCCACCATGCCTTCTTACCTGCCCTTCCCCCAAATATCTCTCTTGCTTTACTCTTACCTGATCCTGACCTGCCCTCACCCCACTCTCCTACCTTTCACCAGATGACTCCTCATGTGCCACCTCTTCAAGGAAGCTGTACCTGGTGATTGGTTTGTCTGTTTTCTGGACTAGACTAGAAGTTGTTGATGCCAGGAACGGCCACTATATCCCCAGCACTTGTCACAGTGCTTGGCCCAAAGCAGGTACTGAGTAAATATCTGCTAAATGGACAAATACCTACTAAATGAATGAAAGAAAAAATGAATGGAGGGCATTTGTTAATCTCCTTGAATGAGAATTTGTTTGAAGATTAGCAGTTAAATTATTTAAAAACTCATCCCCACAGAGAGTTAGGAAAATGAAACAAGAATGACAGGCAAAATGGCTGCTAAAAATACCAGTGCCTCAGGATCTTATTTTTCACACCTGGTATGGCGAGTTTTGTTTATTCAGAATTTTCTTATTTCCATGTAAATCACATTCACTGACATCAGTCTGGCTTAGATTCTATGTCTTCTTGTCCTTTGGTTAAAAAAAAATACTGTAGTTAGTAAGCTCCTGGACTTCACAGTCTGTTATTAAGAGCTGCCATTTAGTAGAGCTTCCTATGTCACAGAGTGTGCTAAGAGCCTCATATCTGATATCTAATTAAATCCTCCTGATACATATTATCACCTCCTTTTGTTGGTAAGGAAATGAAAGTCCAGAGAGATTAATTTATCATGGTTACCCAGGAAATGAGCAGTGAGGCTGGGGTTCGAACCCAGGTTGGATCTTTTCACACTCCATTTCTTATCTCCCTAATTGACAAAGTGGTTTCACTTCTATCATCTCAATGGCTCTTCAAAGCCCCCCTTCAGGGAAGGACAGCAGGGATCCTAATCCCACCTTATGAGTGTGGAAGGTGAGAAAGTCATTAGCAAATTTAGAACTTGAAACCAGTCCAGCAGATCCCTCACTCAGCCCTTGCTAGGTATGTGATTGTGGACAATTTACTTTCCTTCTCCAAGTCTCAGGGTCCTCATCTGAAAAATGGGAATCACTGAAGAACCCATCTGCAGGGTTGCTGGGAGGATGAAATGAGACAGTGGGGGTAAAGCAACTAGCAAGACCTGAGTTCTCTGCAGGAAGCCTGAACCTTTCAGGCAAAGCGAGGGAAGACAGAACCCTGAGACATGAGTGGGTAGAATGAGCTGAATCCTCAGGAGTAGCAAGGATGGATGGCTGAACTGTGCAGGCTTTATGGTGACCTCCCGCAGAGACCCACATGATGTTATCTGTGAGGGTTCAGAACTGCTAAGGGAATAAACAAGTCTAAGCTGCTGGGATGAAGCCAGTGAGGGCAGAAGTCCTCTGCCAGCCCCCTCTTCTCTGACCTTCTCTTTCTGCATGCCTTTCGCCTCACATTTCCCTCACCAGCTTCTCAAAGGCTCCTGTCTCTTCCTCCCACCTTCCAAGTCCCACCTACACACACACACACAAACACATACACACATACACACTCTCCTGGGACTCATACACTCTGTCCCAAGCACCAGCCATCACTTATCCCAACAGGTAGCCTTAGCAGTCTCCTATGCAGCTCTTCAGGGTCACTCACCCATTCACTCACTCATTCATTCATTCACCAAGCATTTCCCAAGATTTTGCCTGCCCTGTGCTGGTCCCACTGAGCTGAACAAGTCATGCCCCTCTGTCTGGTAAAGGAGCTTTCTTATCAGATCAGCAAGCTCTCAGTGATGCCTTTCAGCTACCTACCCTAACTACAGATATTTTTCTTTTTTCTTTTTCATTTTCTTTTTTTTTTTTTTTTTTTTTTCTGAGACAGAGTCTTGCTCTGTCGCCAGGCTGGAGTGCAGTGGTGCGATCTCGGCTCACTGCAACCTCCACCTCCCAAGTTCAAGCGATTCTCCTGCCTTATCCTCCTGAGTAGCTGGGACTACAGACGCATGCCACCACACCCAGCTAATTTTTGTATTTTTAGTAGAGACGGGGTTTCCCTGTTGGACAGGATGGTCTTGATCTCTTGACCTCATGATCCACCTGCCTTGACCTCCCAAAGTGCTGGGATTACAGGCATGAGCCACTGCGCCCAGCCTCCAGATATTTTTCTACCCTGTTGTCCTTAGGAACTCTTACCATTGGCATCCTATTTCTTATTTTTAAAAATATTAAAATATTACTATTCAAATAATGTTGAATTATATTATTAATGTTGTAACCCTTACCCAACCACCTGAACTTTCAGCTTTCATTTCTCCATGAATATCACTATGCTTATAGAGTTGATTTTGCTGGAAGGCAGTGTAACAAAGTGTTTAAAAGCTTGAACTTCGGGGTCAGCATGGATCACCTGGGCTTGAGTAATGTCTGTATGTTTTACTATCTGTGAGATCTTGAGAAAAGTCCTTTAACTTAACCAAATAAGTGAAAGATCTCATCAACAAAAACTATAAAACATGGATGAAAGAGATTGAAGAGGATACAAAAAATGGAAAGATATTCCATGTTCATGGATTGGAAGAATCAATATTGTTAAAATGTTCATAGTACCTAAAGCGATCTACATATTCAGTGCAATCCCTATCAAGATACCAAGGACACTCTTCACAGAAATAGAAAAATCAATCCTAAAACATATATGGATTTTATTTTATTTGTTGTGATTGTAAATGGGATTACTTTTTTATTTCTTTTCCAGAATGTTCACTCTTGGCATATAGAAATGCTACTGATTTTTGTGTGTTGATTTTGTATCCTGCAACTTCACTGAATTTGTTTATTAGTTCTAATACTTTTTTGGCAGAGTCTTTGGGTTTTTTAAAATATAAGATCATAGCACCTGTAAACAAAGATAATTTGACTTGTTCCTTTCCAATTTGGATGCCCATTATTTCTTTCTCTTGTCTAATTGCTGTAGCCAGAACTTCCCTAACCACATTTTTAAGGCCTCACAAATGCACACCTCTTTTTATGTGATATGTTAATAACCTCTTACAAAATTGAGCATCCAACTGTTATATAATCCAGTCATCAGGATGAGAAACAACACGGACACAAAAACAATATAATCAACCACTTTCAACATAGGTTAGAATCCTACAATCTGGGACTTATTTTTCAAATCCTCTACCCCAAGCAACAGTCATCAGAGGGTCTGGGGAAGAGAATGGAGCTGCAGCCTGTGAACCCAATCCTACATTAGGGAGAGGAGTCACATGGGTTGGAAATTTGAATTATGTCCACTACACTTATTCCGGTGGCCATTCTAATGCTCCATGTCCACTCTACCTCCCCAGCATCATCTTGATTTTGTCTCTCCTCTCCATTCCTTCTGTCAGTTACAAGACTATTGCAATCATCTCCTTACTGGTCTCCTTCTCCCAGTCTCTGCCCTCTCCAGTCTACCTCCCATACTAGCTTCCAGAGGGACCTTCTTTGAGCATAGTCTTGATAATGACACCTCCCTTCTCAAAAACGTACAATGACTTCTCATTGCCTACATAACAAAATTCAAACTGTAAGCCTGCCACTCAAAGCTGTCCATGATCTGGATTCTTTACCTCTCTCCAGACTTACTTCCCTCTTCCCCTTTCACACATCCTTTACTCCAACCAAATAGAGCTACCTGCTCTTCCCCAACTGTAGCCCCCTTGCTTTGCTTTTACTGTTCCTTCTGCCTGGAATGCCCTTCACAGAGCATCTCTGCAGACTGGCTCTTTCACTCTTCATCAGATGCCATCCCTCCATAAAGCCTTCTCTTTTTCCCAACTGGAAGTGATCTTTATTGCTTTGTGTAGTAGTCTTTGACTTACTCACCGACAAGGCCAGGAATGCTGCACTACACATCCCTGGGAATGGGGATGAGGGCATTCAGTTTGTAGTCTATGAGACTGGTTTTCCTTGGAGTTGTGCAGTAAGCACCACCTGTGCGGCCCTACATGATCACTCTGGGCAGGGCCACTTTAGCCACTGGAGACCAGAGTTACAGTCTTGGGAGTTTTCAAGAGCTTGCCCAAAATATATTGATTCCCAAACATAAAAAGAAAACTGTAAAATTGAAAATAATTCTAAATTTAAAAAAATTACTGAAATCTCCTATCTTTTACAGAAAAAACATTTAACTTTAACTGGTGGGATAAGGCTTACAAAAGAAAGAGTGATTAAGGCCCATGGTGACAATAATAATGATCATAGGTGACATTTATTGGGTGCTTACATGCTCTAAGCACTGTTCTAAGCGCTTTACATATTTTAAATTAATTTAACGTTTATAACACCTCTGTGAAGTTATGCTGCTAATATCCCTTTTTCACAGGTGAAGAAACTTAGATGTAGCTCAAGAATGTCTTAAAATGGCTCTGTTTGCCTGCATCATCCTTTAAGTCCTGGAAGCAGAGGCCATGAGTGATTAAATGCTATGTCCAGCTCAGGGCTTGGCATTGAGTAGGTGCTCAGGGCTATAAGATTAAGGAATAAATAAATAGTTGAGTTGATGCCCCTCCACAACATTTTAGATGTACTTCATTTATGGGATGCATTCCCTCCCTTATTAGGTTAGAGGATTTTTGTTCTTATATTCATCATCAGGCTCTTGTGAATTCAGTCACTTCTGTTGTAAGAAACAAGTTTGGGTTACTACTTTGCTAATGGACTATTGTGAGGATTCACAGAAGAAGATGCTTTTAACCTAGATATCCCATGCAAAGAGTGAGCTAAAGGGAGCTGAGATAGCTATTAATATATTATTGTCAAAACAGATTTTAAGTAAAGGGTTACAGGAGACAAAGAAGGACATCATATACTGATAAAATAGTCAATCCACTAATAAATATTAAATTTTATAATAATTATAAACATATACATATCTAAAAATAGAGTCCCAAAATATATGAAGCAAAAATTGACAAACTTGAAGAAAGAGACAGCTCTGCAGTCATAGTTGGAGACTTTAATATCTCTACTTTGAATAATGGATAGAACAACCAGATAGAAAATCAATAAGGAAATGGAAGACTTGAACAACACTATAAACCAATTAGACATAACGAACACATAAAACACTCCACTCAGCAATAGCAGAATATCCAGTCTTCTGAAGTACACATGGAACATTCTCCATGATAGGCCATATACTATGCCACAAAACAAGTCTTAATAAATTTTAAAAGATTAAAATCATAAACAGTATATTTTTCAACCATAATGGAATAAAATATGAAATTGATAACAGAAAGAAACTGAAAAACTCAAAAATATGTGGAAATTAAATAACATACTCTTAACCAATAGGTTAAAGAAGAAATCACAAGAGGAAATAAGAAAATACATTAAAACAAGTCAAAATGAAAAACACAACATAGCAAAACTTATGAGATACAGCAAAAGCAGTGTTCAGAAGGAAATTTATAACTGTAAGTATTTACATCAAAAAAGAAGAAAGATCTCAAATCAACAATCTAACAGTACATATTAAGGAACTAAAAAAAGAAGAGCAAATGAACACAAAGCTGGCAGAAGGAAGAAAATAACAAAAGATTAGAGAAGAGATAAGCAGAATAGAGAATAGAAAAATAGAGAAAAATCAATGAAACCAAAAGCTGGTTCTTTGAAAAGATCAACAAAATTGACAAACCTTTAGTTAGACTAAGAAACAGGAGGCCAGGCACGGTGGCTCAAGCCTGTAATCCCAGCACTTTGGGAGGCTGAGGTGGACAGATCGTGAGGTCAGGAGATCGAAACCATCCTGGCTAACACAGTGAAACCTCATGTCTACTAAAAATACAAAAAATTAGCTGGGCATTGTGGCATGCACTTCTAGTCCCAGCTATTCAGAAGGCTGAGGCAGGAGAATAGCTTGAACCCGGGAAGTGGAGGTTGCAGTGAGCCAAGATCACAGCACTGCACTCCGGCCTGGGCAACAGAGTGAGACTCCATCTCAAAAAAAAAAAAAAAAAAAGAAAGAAAGAAAAGAAAGAAAGAAAGAAAAAGAAAAGAAACAGTCCAGCCTGGGCAACAGAGTGAGACTCCGTCTCAAAAAAAAAAAAAAAAAAAGAAAGAAAGAAAAAGAAAAGAAACAGGAGACCCAAATTACTAAAATCACAAATGAAAGAAGGGCCATTACTACTGACTATAGAAATAAAAAGGATTATAAGAGAATGCTATGAAAAACTGTACAACAACAGACTGGATAACCTAGGTGAAATGGACAAATTTCTAAAAACACACAAACTTCCAGAACCGACACAAAACCTGCCAAGACTGAATTACAAACATATAGAAAACTCAAATAGACCTGTAAGAAGTAACAAAATTAAATCAGTAATCAAAAGCCTCTCAACAAAGAAAAATCCAGGACCAGAAGCTTTTATTGCTTTCACCACTTCTATTTAACATGGTACTGGATGTCCTAGCCAGGGGTAGTAGAAAAGAAATGGAAATAAAAGGCATCCAGATTGGAAACAAAAAAGCAAAACTATATTTTAAGATGACATAATTTTATATATGGAAAACCCTAAAGAATCCACCCACTTACACAAAAATGTGAGAGTTAGTAATGAATTTAGCAAAGTTGTAGGATACAAAATCTATGTACAAAAATCAGTTGTCTTTCTGTATACTAGCAATAAAAAATCCAAAGCAGAAATTAAGAAAACAATTCCATTTACAATAGCATCAAAAATAATAAAATATGCAGGAATAAATTTAACCAAGGAGGTGCAAGATGTACATTGAAAGCTACAAAACATTGCTGAAAGAAGTTAAAGAAAACCTAAATAAGTAAAAAGACATTCCTGTGTTTATGCGTTGTCAGACTTAATATTGATAAGATGTCAAGATTACCCAGTCATCTACAGACTCAATGCAATTCCCATAAAAAAATCCAATGGTTTCTTTTGCAGAAATGGAAAAACTCACCCTAAAATTTATGTGGAATTTCAAGGGATCCAGAATCGCCAAAACAATCTTAACAAAGAATGAAGTTGGAGGACTCTTTCATTCCAATTTCAAAACTTACCACAAAGCTACAGTAATCAAAACATGTGGTACTGGCATGCAGACCAGGGGAACAGGCTAATAGGCATATTAGACCAATGGAATAGAGTTAAGCATCCACAAATAAACCCTCACATCTATGGTCAGCTGATTTTTGAAAAGGGTGCCAAGGCCATTCAATGGGGAAAAACAGTCTCTTCAACAAATGGTGCTGGAAAAACTGGATATTCACATATAAAAGAATGAAGTTGGACCCTTACCTTATGTCATACACAAAAATTAATTCAAAATTGATTAAAGATCTAAATGTAAGAGCTAAAATTATAAAAACCTTGGAAAAAAATCATAGGGGCAAATCTTCATGACCTTGATTTGGTAATGGTTTCTTTTCTTTTGTTTTCTTTTCCTGAGACAGGTCTTACTCTGTGGCCTAGGCTAAAGTTCAGTGGTGCGATCACGGTTCACTGCAGCCTCAATCTCTTGGGCTCAAGTGATCCTCCCAACTCAGCCTGTCGAGTAACTGGGACTACAGGTGGACGCCACCACACCTGGCCAACTTTTGTATTTTTTGTAGCAACAGGGTTTTGCCATGTTGCCCAGGCTGGTCTTGAATTCCTGGGTTCAAGCGATCCACCCAACTCGGCCTCCCAAAGTGCTGGGATTACAGGTGTGAACCCACTGCACCCGGCCTGGCAATGGTTTCTTAACATCATTTTTTGACATTAAAAGCATAGGCAACAACAGCAAAAATAGATACATTGTACCTTCTCAAAACCAAAAACTTTCTTGAATCAAATGAAACTACCAAGTGAGTAAAAAGACAATCCATGGAAAGGGAGAAAATATTTTCATATCACACATTTGATAAAGTTTAATATCCAGAATATACAAAGAATTCTTACAACTGAAGAACAAAGAAACACCCAAACTACCCAATTAAAAATGGACAAAAGACTACAACAGACATTACTCCAAAGAAGTTATATAGGTGGCCAATCAGCATGTGAAAAGAAGCTCAACCTTATTGGTCATTATGGATATGCAAATAAAAACCACAATGAGATATCATTTCACATCTACTAGAAAAGGTAAAATTAAAAATGTGAAAAATAACAAGTGTTGGAGATGATGTAGAAAAACTGGAAACCTCATACACTGCTCTTGGGAATGTAAAATGGTGCAGCTACTGTTGAAACACTTTGGCAGTTCCTTAAAAAGTTAACTATAGAGTTACCATATGACCCAACAATTTCACTCCTAGGTATATACCCAAAGTAACTGAAAACAAGTGTTGAAAGAAACACTTGTACAAGAATGTTCACAGCAGCACTATTCAAAAATAGCTAAAAGGTGAAAACAATCCGTGTTCAGCAACAGAGGAATAAACAAAATGTGGTATGTATGTGTGTGTATATATATATATATATATATGTGTATATGTGTATATATGTATACACATATATATGTGTATATATATGTATATATGTGTATATATATGTGTATATATATACACATATATATGTCTCCTATATATATGTGTGTACATATATTCCTATATATGTGTGTATATATTTCTATATACATCTGTATGTATATAGGAATATTATTCAGCCATAAAGAAGGAATGCAGTGCTGATATATGCAACAAAATGTATGAACCTTGAAAACATTATGCTAAGTGAAAAAAGCCAGACACAAAGGGACAAACATTGTATTATTCCACATATATAAAATATCTAGAATAGGCAAATTTATACAGACAGAAAGTAGATTAGAGCTTACTAGGGACTGGGGACCAAGGGAATGGGAAGTTATTGTTTAGTGACTACACAGTTTTTGTTTGGAGTGACCAAAAAAATTTGGGACTAGATGGTGGTAACAGTTGTACAACACTGTAAATGTAATTAATGCCACTGAATTGCATACTTAAACGTGGTTAAAATGGCAGATTTTCTGTTACACATGTATTTTACCACAATCAAAAGAAGAAAAAACTTGTATGTCTCTGCCTGCCCCTCCCAAGGTTACTATAGCACCTGACACAAAATAGAAACACAGTAGGTGTTTGAACTGAGTTAGGCCCGAGGCTGGGAGCCCAAGAGCCTATGCAGAAAATGTTTAATGCTTCTGTTTTCTACAGAAATATTTATAGATTGACCATACAAAAGATAGTCAACCTTTTTCCTTCCTAGAGCTACCAGTGAATCTGGTGCCAAGGCAAGAGAGGAAAAGTCGATTTCTTATCTTTCTGAGACTGGCGGTGGCCCTTGCCAATTCAAGGTAAGTACATTTTTCCACAGAGCTGTTTTCCTCTCAAGGAGCTCTAGTTGTATTTGGAGAGTTCTTCTCCAACTAGTTCAGGCAATACAGCTACTCAGGGTTGAAGAAGGAGAGCTAATCTCAGAAGGATGAGTCACTGTGGTTTTCAGAGCCAGGATGAAGGGGGAATAAGGGCAAATTCAAAACAAGTGGAGGGGATGCTGCAGCACATGTGAGATGGAGGGCATGACAGTTCACTCCATACAGTCGTAGGTATGAAAACAAATTGCTATGTTCATACCATCGGCAGCAGACATGACAATCAGCGCCTTTGTCCGTAGCAGCTTGGAGTTGAGTGGGGTTTTTGCAGATAGTTGCCCTCATTTTGGAAGGGCATCTGGTCTCCATGTGAAATTCCTCAGCCCCTTATTAAGCACCTACTATCTGCCAGGCACTGGCAGGATGCCAGGAATACAAAATGAATGAGGTAAGGAATGAAGTACTGTACATGCCACAACATGGATAAAACTAAAAAAAAAATTATGCTAAGTGTAAGAAGCCGGACACAAAAGACCACATATTATATGATTCTGTTGATACATAATGTCAGAAAAAGCCAATCTATAGAAGCAACTGATAGTGGTTTGCCTGGGGCTGGCAATGGAAATAAGGATTGATTGCAAATGGGCATGAGGAATCTTTGTGGGATGATGGAAAGACTTCTGAAACTAGACTATGGTGATGGTTACACAATTCCGTGAATTTACTAAAAGTCATAGCATTGTACACTTAAATGGGTGAATTTCATGGTGTGTAAGTTATACTTCAATAAAGCTTTACAAAAATTGTGAGGTTGGCCAGGCACGGTGGCTCACTTCTGTAATCCCAGCACTTTGGGAGGCTGAGGGGGGTGGATCACTTGGGGTCAGGAGTTTGAGACCAGGCTGACCAACATTGTAAAACCCCGTCTCTACTAAAAATACACAATTAGCCGGGTGTGGTGGTGCACACCTATAGTCCCAGCTATTCGGGAGGCTGAGGCAGGAGAATCGCTTGAACCCGGGAGGCGGAGGTTGTAGTGAGCCGAGATCATGCTATTGCACTCCAGCCTGGGCAACAAGAGCAAAACTCCATCTCACAAAAAAAAAAAAAAAAAAAAAAAAAAAAATTTGAGGCCCCAGACTCTTCTTTGGGAATGTGGGCCTTCGTCAGGGAGAGGGACTTGGAGGATGCACATTTGACGTTGAGGTGGAGCCAGCATGTGCCAGACGCAGCTCCAGCACTCAGGGGGAAGTAGGGGGAAGGGGACAGGCCCTTTTCCACTGTGGGAAGCACACCATGCCCCCAGTGCACATTCTACACCTCTGCCACAGGCCCTTCTCACTCTTACCACCTTGGTCCTTGTCACCACCTGCCCCTGAGGGATGCTTTGCCTCTGGACAGTTAGCAATGGGAAGAAAAGCTGCACTGGGTCAGATGGCAGGAGACTGGTTATGGCCAGGGCCTGAGCAACTGATTCACCTGTGTAACTGTGGGCAAGATCTGTGCGTTTTCAGCATTGAAGAGAGGCTGTGAGGCTGGGCTACGTGTCTAGTTCTCTCTTCATGGTTAGGGAGCTAGGGAAGAATGGCCCATGGAGATGGGCAGATGGACATCCAGCTGGTAAAGCACGTCTGCATCTGGCTCATAACTGCCCTGTGCAGGAGGTTGGTGGGAGCAGGCTGAGAATTGCTCCCTCCAGTTCCCTAAGTGGTCTCCTCCTGTTGTTCTGAGTGTGCCGGCCCATCCCAGGACCTCTGGACAACCCTATCCCCAGCAAGCAGAGGACAAACACCCAGCCCAGGGGGGACCTCCAGACCCCTGCCAGTGTCTGCTCTGATTGGTCTTTGCTATCCTGGTGGTTTTTTCAGTCAGCCCACTTCTACCCTTAGAACACGGAGGCCTGGAGGGAGAAAGGGCTGTGATGCTGTTCAGACAGCAACGAATGATTTAAGCCCTGGTCTCCTGTTTCTTCCCAATAGGTGGTCTCTCTGGGCTCCTGCACAGCAGGCTTTTCCGTGGAGGCTGGAAGGGTCTGGAGCTGACTCCAAGACATGGTCTTTCTCTCCATAGATGGTGGAAAGCTGCACTTGAAGTCCAACTCTGTCCTGGGGGAATAATTATGTTCCCTGTCTTGGGAGCCTTTCTTCAGGGAGCTTGATGGTTCCAACCCACCCAGGAGCCTGGGACATCTGTGCCCCTGGGCAATCCCCTGCAGGTGAGTCATAGGGAAGGAGGAGACAGTTTCATTATGAAAGGGGCCACCCACCGGGGCTTTATCATCCAGCATAATAGGAAAGTAATTGCCTGTATTTATCCAGGGCCTAACATGAGCCTGGCACTGTGGTAGGTGCGTCCTAAGCTTTATCCCACTTAATCCTTACAGTATCATAGCAAAAACATAGGAAATATTACTTAAATTTTACCAAAGAGGAAACTGAGGCTCAGAGAGTAAGGAAATCTGGTTTGCATTCCCTACCCTCAGCGCCTGTTGAAATCTTACTCACGGGTCAAGATCCATCTCTGGTGCCTGTGGCTCTCCTCAGAGCCATCTCAGGGCCTCCATGCCACCACCTCTGCTTGTCTCCCATGGCATTTTGGCTGTGGACTGTGGATCTTTGAGACCATGTTAGTTGCCCCACTCGGCTGGGAGCTCCTGGAGGGCAGGAAGCTGGTCCTATTGGGTTCTGTCCCCGGAGCCTGGCCAGGCATCTGGGAATTGGGTTGGATTGGACCCCAATTTACAAACTGGGTCAAGACCCAGGGGCAACAATAAGAAAGAGGAATGTAAGAACAGCAGTGGTGAAAGTAAGCCATAATCCTCACACCTCCCCACCGCCCCCCCCCTCACACCCCCATGCACCTCCTCCCACTCCATCCCTTCACACTGCCATCACCCCCACCAACATGAGGTTTGGTTAATGATCTCCATTAAAAAGTAATGAGGAGGAAACAATCTCAGAGAGCTTGAGTAATGAGGTCACACTGCTAACAATTGGAGGAACTGGATTCAAACCCTGGCCTGATTCCAAAGCCCATGTTCTTTTCATTGTTCCAGGGACGTTCACCATAATTTTAGTCTTTTGATTCTGCCTTTACAATTTTTGTCATATCTACAAACCACTTGTGAGAGTAATCAATATTTTTCTTTAAACTAACTCATTTTTAAAAAATGTACGTTTACTCTAAAAAGAAACTTTGGATGGAAACCCAGTATAATTTGCCATAATTAATTAAATTAATTAATTATTATAACAATGAAGTTCATCCTGGAGCTACCTACGATCACCTTTGGTGCTATGCACGTATCCTCTGGGGAATCCACACCACGCACACACTGCATGCTTCACACTGCTGCAGGAACCCTTTAAATCTCTTCTCTCCTGCTCTCTTGTTTACTGTCCATTTTGTCACATGGTGCTCAGCGTCCTGGGGACTGAGGGTTGGAAGGGACATTGGACACTGGAGAAGTCCGATATTGTCACTGAGTCTGAGAGAGCTTGTGATGTGCCCATAGGTTTGTGGTCATGTGACCCAGGTCCCACTGGGGCTTTTCACCGCTCACATTTCATTGTCCAGAACTAGCCACATGGTGCCTCTTGCTGCAGGGGGCAGGAAGTGTAGATTCCCAAACAACTAGGAAGGAAAGGAGAACCAAATAATGGTGAGCATTTAGAATATCTCCTACATATCATTCCTTACATCATTCCTATGGGGGAGGAGGTTACTAAATATTATTTCTCTTCTATAAATGAGGAAACTGAAGCCCACAGAGGAAAATTGACTAAAGCCACACAGATGGAAAGAAAAGGGGCCATGATTTGAACCCAGGCAGTCTGGCTTTGGAGTTCATGGAAAAAACTCAATGAGAATGCTTAGCATACAGTCAGCAATCTATCTGTATTATTTTCCTATAGCTGCTGAAACAAATGTTTACATTTAGGGCCCATGTGGATAAGCCAGGATATCCTACCCACATTAGGATCCTTACTTTAATCATACCTGCAAAGACCCATGTGTCATATAGAGTAATATTCACAGGTTCCCAAGATTCATGGATGCACATCTTTGGCAACATTACTCAGTCGACTGTACTGTGAGAGCTCTAATTGTCTGTGAGAGCTCTAATTATCTGAATGCTGGTTGTCTTTGTGGTCTGCCCCTTTCTCAGGGACTGATCACTTTCTACCCTGCAGGCTAGCAATTTGTCATGTTTTCCTGCTGGAATTTGAGCACCCCGAGGGTAGGGAGTGTTGTTGATTCACCTTCCCCTCTACAGAGTTGGGCACATACAAATCACAGAATTGTGCAAATGATTGATTTGAGTGAGTTAAAATTTCTCTTGAGGGCATCAGAAATAGCTGTGGTAAAGGAGGGGTCTGTGTATGGCAGTGCCATCACAGACATCCTTTTGAGGATGAAGGAAACATCCTTTTGAGGATGAAGGAACAAAAGGAACAAAAGGATGAGGAAACATCCTTTTGAGGATGAAGAGGGGGACCAGCTGTCCTCCAGGGCTCATGTAGAACTGCTTTCCCCTGCCATTGCCTCAAGCCTACACGTTGGGTGGGGTGAGAAAATTGGCTGGCCTCTCACCAGGGCCTTTGATTCATTTACTCATTCAACAGATGTTCATTGACTATCTCTTCACTTTAGTAACATCTTCAGCTGGAGAAGCCATGGCCATAGGAAGCTCTTTTTGGTACCATGTGCGAGGACTTTGGGGTCACACCTATATGTGCAGTCCACAGGCACATTCCCAGTCAATAAGGTGGAATAGAAAGAGGCTCAGGATAACTGGGCTCAAGTCCTAACTTTGCTGTTGCCTTGAACAAGTCTTGTCTACTCTCTGGAGTGTCCACACACATCACTCTTGTTGCATTTACTATATTATTAAATTGTAATCATATATAGTTTCTGTATCCTTCTCCTTCCACAGGATGAGTTCTGTAAGGAGAGGACAGTGTCTATGTCATCTTTGTCTTCCCATTCACTATCTTAAGACCCAGTGTATCACAAACTCTTAGTAGTAGTAATAATAGTGTAGCAATGATGATGACGACCCTGGTAAAAGCTCTCCATTTATGGAGAGCTTACTATGTGTCAAGCAGTGTTTTATGTACTTTCATGTTGAAACTCATTTCATCCTCATAACACCTCTATGAATTAAGTACTATTATTATCCACACTCTACAGATGAGGAATCTGAGGCACAGAGAGATTAAGTAACTTGCCCAAAGTTGCACAATTAGTCAGTGGTTGAGCCAGGATTTAAATTCAGATTCTCTGTCCAGAAGTCATGGTTTAAACCATTCTGTACAATGTGGTTTGTTTGAAAGATGGAACGAAATGTGAAATGAGGACCTACAAGGTCATTTTAGCTCTCATTTCCTGTGAGTCTCAAAAAAGCTTCCCTGCAACCTGTACAAAGGACCTCTGCTCTGGTCTGGCAGGGTGGACCAGGGAACACTGAGGTACAAGGTCTGGTGTCCTGAGAATGAGTGTTTGAATCCTGGTTCTGCCACTTATTGCTGTGTCTTTGAGAAAGTTATTTAACCTTTTTGAAGTTCAGTTTTCTCACAGAGCAAAAGAACACTAATACCTACATTGTGGAGTTGTTGGTAGAATAAAAGAATAAAATAAAACAAAATAAAAATAAAAAAATAAAAGAATAACTAAGGAAAAGTGGTTAACACCAGGGAAGCTCTCTACAGAAAATAGGGACTTTGGAATGTAATTGCCACAGAGTTGAATATTCCTCCTTAGAACAGAGCTTGGTGGGGGATTTAAGTTGGTTCACTTTTCTGAAGGATTAGTATGAGAGATCCCCATGGGAAATCAAGTGAATCCAAGATTAATCTGCTTTCTGAATGTAAAGACTTTGGATGGAAAATTAGGCTGCCCGTGTGTGTGTGTGTATGTGTGTGTGTAGACTGTCTTGGGGTCAATTGCTGGGATGGGTAGGGACATATTTCAAAATGAGCAGGGACCACAGAGTGAGGAAACATGTTCAAATTCTGGCTCTGCCATTACCTTCCTGTGCCATCTGGCAGGTGGGGCCAGTAATCAATCATCTTTGGGTTTCCAGTTTCCTGATTCCAAGATGAGGGGGTAGAATCCGAAGATCTCCAAGGCCTTGATGAGTGCTACCAGTCTGCAAATTCCCAAGCCAAGTTCTTCAATGAATCAAATTTCCTCCAGTAGCCATTTCTACCAAAGGAGCAACTGTTTTTCCTTCCCACTGACATGGCTATGTATTCGAACTGGATATAGGTGAGAGGCATTTTTGTCCTAGCTTCTCGGGCCCCTCCAAGGAGCTCCAAGAGGCTTAAGGATCCCAGCCATGTTGGGATAAAAATACCCAATCAATCAATAAACATTTTATTTAAAAATGATTTATTTAAAAAATCACACAATTTGAGAGCAAATACAGAAGATATGAATTAGCAAAACGAACAAAATTAAAATCTCATACAATCGCAGGACACTGGGACCTGAAGTCTTGGAGAGGATGTAATCACTAAGTCATCCCAAGGAAGAGTGGGATGCCTACAAGAGAGGGATGCCTACAAGAGAGGGATGCCTAAATTGGTTACCCCTAAGCCCACCGACTTTTAAGGCATGTGTAAGTGAGTGGGAACCTGCAAAAAGACTGGAAGGAGCAGCCAGAGAGGTAGGAAGAAAACCAGGAGTGCCTGTTGTCACGGAAGCTGAGGGCAAGGAGGACAGTGGTTGGGAGAATCTGATGCAGGTATATCCCTCACACTTTCCAAGGGTCACCTTATTATTTTAATCCTCCCAACAGATTGGTGAAGTGGGAACCATCATACTCTAACTTCTCCTTTTTTTTTTTTTTTTTTTTTTTTTTTTGAGACGGAGTCTCCCTCTATTGCCCAGGTTGGAGTGCAGTGGCGCAATCTGGATTCACTTCAACCTCTGCCTCCTGAGTTCAAGCGATTCTCCTGCCTCAGCCTCCCGAGTAGCTGGGACTACAGGAGCGTGCCACCATGCCCGGCTAGTTTTTTTGTATTTTTAGTAGAGACGGGGTTTCACCATATTGGCCAGGCTGGTCTCAAACTCCTGACCTTGTGATCCGCTCGCCTCGGCCTCCCAAAGTGTTGGGATTACAGGCGTGAGCCACCGCGCCCAGCCACTTCTCCTTTTTTAATTTAACATTTTTTATTTTGGATGACGGGTATTTATTATTTTTATATAATTCTTTGAGTCTTTTTGTCCTGCATACTTTCAAGGTTTAAAAAGGGGAAGGAGGAAAGCAGGGACTCTCAGGCCAGATCCAAAGAGTGGCTCCCCTATGGAACTGTCTTTGGGCACCCCAGACTTGAGCCTGAGCAAGTGACTAGCTCTGCTTCCTTCCCAAGGTTGGACTACAATCTCAAAGTGTTGGTGTAGAATGAGGCCCCACTGCAAGTGGCTGCCCCCAGGACCAAGCTTACCTGCCCTCCTCTTGCCTCAGTTCCTTACTTGTTGGTTGGGACAGCAACACCACCTTAAAGCCCTGGGGAGGACTGGCCTCAAAGGCTCAAAGAAGGTGCTGGGTGACTGCAGCTCCTGTCAGACCTCCCTGGGTTGTGTGTGCACCTGTGTGTATGTAGTGTGATGTATGTGTATATGTGTGTGCCTATGTGTGTATGTGTGATCACACTTCTAGGGATCCTGGTGTAAGGTCAGGATACCCTGTCCCACTCCATCCCTCTCTAACAGCAGCTCCAAGGACCATGGCCCCAGGAACTAGGCACAAGTGACAGGAGACACTTGCTATGTCTAAACCCAGTGCACCCTCAGCCCGGCCTCGCCTTTTCAAGGACGGCTAGCACAGGCCATCATCCTGGCCCACGATGAAGGTGAGCATCAAACTCCAATTTCTGAAGAGGAAACTGAAGACCAGAGAGGGGAGGTAAACATCCCAAAGTCACCAGCAAGTCAGTGGGAGACACAACTTTAACCCTAGTTTTGACTGGCAGTCTGTGGGCATCGAGGCCACCATTCCATGTACCTAATGTGTGTCTGGCAGTGTTCCAGGCCTCACCTGCATCATTTCTAATCCTCTCAACCAGAGGATCAGAGAGGTGGCGTTTTTACCCCTAGTACACAGAGGAGGCGCTTGGGGTTCAGAGGCACGTGTGGAACTAGACCGACGCCACTCACCCCAGCAGGTGGCCAAGCGGGATGGGAGCGCGGGTCTCCCCATCCCCAGCGGTGACGGGCGGCGGCTCTTTCCTGAAGAATGGGGCGGCGTCCGCAACGGGAACCGCTGGAGGCGCTCCCCGGGACCCTGGCCCGCCCTCGCCCCCGCGCATGCCTGGCCGCTGAGGCGTGAGAGCCGCCGCCCGGGGCCTCCCCCCGCGCGCCTTGCACAACCGGCCCAGGTAAGTGCTGCGTCTCTGGGCAATTATCGCCCTCCCGCCGCCGGGGCTGGCCGCGCACAGGGCCCACGGCCAAGGCACTCGCAGCCACCCAAGGAGAGCTGCACGGTCTACGACGGCCGCCAGCGCGCGCGATTTCACAAGGCCCGGGAGCGGGGACGGGGCGGGGCGGCGGGGGCGGTGACGTCACGCGCAGCCACGCCCCGCGGTTGCCCCGCCCCCGCGCTGGGCCGGGCCTGGGGAGGAAGCGATGCGAGGCCACCTGTCCACCTGCGCCGCTTCGTCCTTCCTCCTCCTCCTCCCTGTCAGCTGTTTTTCTTTCTTCCCATCTCCCATCTCTTCCTTTTTATCCCTCTCATTCCTCCCTCTTTCCGTCCGTTTCCTTCTCCCTTCCCCATCTCCTTCCTTTTAATTTTCCTTTTCTCCTCCCTCCCGCCTTCCTTCTCTCTGCTTCCTTTCTCTTCCTCCCTCCCTCCTTCTCTTCCGCCTGCTTCCTTTCTTTCTCCTCTCTCTCCTTTCTTCCTTTCCTCCTCTCCTTTTTCTTTTTCTTTTATTTTCTTTCTTTCTTTTTTTTCTGAGACGGAGTCTCCCTCTGTCGCCCAGGCTGGAGGGCAATGGCGCGATCTCGGCTCACTGCAACCTCCGCCTCCCGGGTTGAAGCGATTCTCCTGCCTCAGCCTCCCGAGTAGCTGGGATTACAGGCTCCCGCCACCACGCCCGGCTAATTTTTTTGTGTTTTTAGTAGAGAAGGGGTTTCACCATGTTGGCCAAGCTGGTCTTGAACTCCTGACCTCGTGATCCACCTGCCTTGGCCTCCCAAAGTGCTGGAATTACAGGCGTGAGCCACCACGCCCGGCCTCATTTCTTTTAAACATGTATTTTAATATTTTTAATTGTTGTGGAGAACATGTCACATGAAATTTACCATCTTAACCATTTTAAGTGTGCAGTTCAGTAGTGTTAGCTGTATTCACATTGTTGTGCAGCAGAGCTCTAGAACTTTTTCATCTTGCAAAACAGACTTTATACCAATTAAACAACTCCCCATCCCACCGCCCCTCCTAACCATTATTCTACTTTGTGTTTCTTCTGTTCTTTTTCCCTTTTGGGGCCTTTGTTTCTTTTCCTTTATCTCTCCCTTTTCTTCCCCTCCCTCTCTCCTTCTCTCACTTCTATAAAACCTAATGGCCCCGCTGCCTGGGCAGCCCTCTCCGGCCTCTGCCTGGACTGGGCCAGTGGGCCTGTCAGCAAGGCTGTTAGAGTTTGGTGAATCATCATTCTTACCTGATGTGTCAGGGCCAGTGGGAGGCCCCTGGAAGCCTCACTTGGCTTTTCACTGGTAGGCAAACACGTCCAGCAAGAAACTTCTGCCAGGAAGAGTTAATTAGGAGAGAGGCCCCGACTCCCCCAGAGTAAGAGGGTCGGCCTGGGAACCCCTCTCTTCCCTGGGCCTTCTCCAGCCCTGGGGCTCCCCTTCTAGACGGTAGAAGACAGCCACGATGATGCTGATGGGGGTGATAACTTGGACTGACACAAAACGCGTTTCTATAGACATTATCTCATTCTTGTTCTCACAATAATCCTAGGAGGTAGGTGTTATCATTCCCATTTTACAGCTGAGGAAACCAAGCCTCAGAATTCTAAGTGAAGGGATTTGCCTATGGCCACAAAGCTGCTCAGCTGCAGAGTTGGGAAGCTGGGGGACGCAGGTTTGTATCACAAAAGCAGGAAAAATGTGGCTAGATCAGAGTGCAAAACACTACAAAAATGATTTGCTCCTTCGTCTGTGTTCCCATAGTGCTTTGTTTAGACTCCTGGTTGTGGACTGTACCTGATGGGTTTCTCCATCAGCTGGGCATAGACAAGGGATATTGAATGAACAAGTGGTAGAGGTATCTGATAGCATGCATAGCAAGTGAAAAGGAAGAACGTTGGTTTCTAGGCAGCTAAGAGACTTTTTTTTTTTTTTGAGACAGAGTTTCGCTCTTGTTACCCAGGCTGGAGTGCAATGGCGCGATTTCAGCTCACGGCAACCTCTGCCAGTTAAGAGACTTTTTAATCAAATAGAGCTGCCACCCAGATGTCCTTGGGGTTTCTGGAATTTTGGCCGTCCATACTGGGAATGTATTGAGAGAATAAGGTGTGGCTGGAGTTGCAGTTCTCCCACTTTTTCTGGGTAGGACCTCTGGTTCATGGGACAGTTCACATTCTTTGAGCAAGTTCTGTTTCAATCTCTTTGCAATATGTTGGTGTGGAAATAATTTTTAGTATCACAGGTAATCGTGGAAGATAGTTAATGTTCACCAATTATCCAATTCTCTTTTACTTCTAAGTATGTGGATGCATATACTCTTCTGTCCCCTTGAAATAAAGCATGGTCATGTGACTATTTTTGGCTGATAAATGTGATTAAAAGGAGTTGTTCCTATCTTTTGGCTATTGTGAAGACTGCTACTATGAACATTGGTGTATAGGCTTTGGTTTAGACACTTGTTTTCAATTATTTGGGATATATACCTAGGAATGGAATTGCTGGGTCATATGTAATTGTATGTTTAATGTTTTGAAGAACCACCAAACTGTCTTCCATAGTGGCTGCATCTTGTTACATTCCCACCAGCAAGGTACAAGGGTTCCAATTTCTACATATCCCTGCCAACACTTGTTATATCTTCCCGTTTTTTGGATAATAGCCATTCTAATCGATATGAAGTGGTATCTCATTGTGTTGCCTTTGTTTCTGAAAGATACTTTTACTGTGTGTGAAGTTCTCGGTTGACATTTTTACATTAAAGATTTTTTCCCCACTGTCTTCTAGCTTGCATTTTCTTCCAATAACAAATCTGCTGTCATCTTTATCTTTGTTCCCACTGTATATAATATGTGTCTTTCTCTGACTACTTTTTAGATTTTTCCTTTATCATTTGTTTTGAAATGTGCCTTGGTGTCATTCTTTTGTTTGGAATTCACTGGGCTTCTTAGATCTTTGCATGTATACTTTCCAACTTTTGGGAACTTTTGACCGTTCGTTTTTAAACACATTTGTTGAGATATAATTTATCTACCATACAATTCACCCATTTAAATGTACAATTAACTGTATATTATTATATGTGTTGATGATGTGCACCCATCACTGCACTCAATTTTAGAATGTTTTCATTATCCGAAAGAGAAACCCTGTTCTTTTTGGCCATCATCTCCCAACCCTCCTCACCACCTTCCACCTCCCTACTTCAGGCAAGCACTATTCTACTTTCTGTTTGTACAGATTTGCCTATTCTAGATATTTCACATGAAGAAAGCATACAATATGTGGCCATTGACCGGCCTGCCTTTCTTTCCCTCCCTCCCTCCCTCCCTCCCTCCCTCCCTCCCTTCCTTCCTCCCTTCCTTTCTCTCTGCCTTTCTTTCTCTCTTTCTTTCTTTCTTTTTTGAGATGGAGTTTTGCTCTTGTTGCCCAGGCTGGAGTGCTGTGGTGTGATCTTAGCTCACCACAACCTCCGCCTCCTGGGTTCAAGTGATTCTCCTGCCTCAGCCTCCCGAGTAGCTGGGATTACAGGCATGCGCCGCCATGCCCGACTAATTTTTGTAGTTTTAGTAGAGACGAGGTTTCACCATGTTGGCCAGGCTGGTCTCGTACTCCTGACCTCAAGTGATCCGCCTGCCTCGGCCTCCCAAAGTGCTGGGATTACAGGCATGAGCCACTGGGCCCGGCCTCTATTATTTCTTTAAATATTTCTTTTGTCCTTTCCTTCTTCTCCTCTCCTTCAGATACTCCCATTTGTTTTAAAGTTATTTTGAAAACTGTATTTGAATATAATTGGTTTCCTTTGTATTCCTTTATATTTTTAATGCATTTAAAAACATTATTCTAAGAAGATGTCCATAGGTATCACTAGGCTGCTAGAAGAGTCTTTGGCACAAAAATGTTAATAGAATATCCTTATTCTAGATAGTGTTATAGATGAATGTTTTCCAAACTGGTTTTTCAAAGAAAGCTATTTCTTAGGATATTGATAGTTGCTGCAATAGAGGTAGTCTTTGCTCAGATAAGCTTGGGAACACTGAATGAAACTGAGTGAACACTGAGAAAAGCATCTGATATCTTTTTCTGCCCGATTTCTCCAAGTCTTTTATTCGCTAAAATGCTTTGTGTATATCTAAGAGGAGATATAATGTGCAACATTTTCTAATTCAGTGTAGCACACAGTACACACTTTTTTCAATTTGTTATTTTAAAAAAACCCCTCTAATAATATCTAGTTCAATGAATTATGCAAATGAAATGCTCCAAAACACAAATCCCCTAAAAAAGGGCCATAAATGCTTTTATATTATTATAATAAGTGTTTCTCAAACTAAGAATAACAGACTAATGAACCCATTTAAAAGGAGAAAAATCTCACAAACTCCTCGGTACTTAATGTGTAACTTAAATGAGTTTTAGTTTAACATTATTTAAGTATGTAGAAATGTAAAACTAGATATAGCCTTTAAACAATAAAACCAAAACAAATTTATGAATTAAATACGATGCTACAAACAAAATCAAAATAGAAACCCATATGTTTAATATGATGGAATTTTTTTTTTTTTTTTTTTTTTTTTTTTTTTTTTTTTTTTTTTTTTTGTTGCTGACACTAAATGGCTACTTGCAGTGTTACTATGGGGCTAACCTGTTAAGGGGCAGGCTCTTTGGGATTTGTCATGACTGTAATGCTGTGTGTGGATGACTCAGTTTGAACTTTCTCTATTTGAACTTCTGAGAAAGCTTGCTTCTTACAGGGCTGTGATATTCTTTCATTTTAGTTAACATGGCCATATTACACCTTGGGATTGGGTCTGCCTCCCTTTTCTCATTAATGTTTTTTTTTTTTTTTTCATTTGGTAATAATTTTATTTTATTTTTATTCTGTCATGTCCATTTAAGTTGTATAATACTTTCAGATATAGAATTTGACAAAGTTCCTATGGCAAATATGAAGCTGCATAAAATCTGCTTCCTGACCCAGAGAGCTTGGAGGTTGTTGTGATTATGATTATCTTATATTATGCTCATACTACTTAAAACTCATTTGTTCTTTCTTAGTTATTATAATTTCTTAGGACTTTTAGATCACAGATTATTGTCCCATTACTTTGTAATATATGTTTTGCTTTTAAGAAAAAAAGTTCAGCTGCTTTATTTTTTGTATCAAAATACACAATTTTAGCATTTGGAACGTGAGAGAGGATGAGAAAAGAGAGACTTAGAAGATATAATTAGTATCAATTAGGGCAAAATATATATGTATCACTATAGCAACATGTTATATCATTTAAAAGCATATACTGTGGAGCTAAGTAGATAACGGATTCAAATAACAACTCTTTTCTTTATTGTCTGTGAAGATTTTGGAAAGTTACTATTTCTCAGCTCCAGTTTCCTCACCTATAAAGCAGAGCAAATCATTTCTACCCATGAAATTATGAGGATGTGTGAAATATGGTATACAAAAAGCCTGGCTTATAGTTGGCATCAGTGTGTAATATAAGCATTTTTGTATACATTCTCTTTATATGTATTATTACTTTTTTGAGATGGAGTCTCACTCTGTGGCTCAGGCTGGAGTGCAATGGCGTGATCTCAGTTCACTGCAACCTCTGCCTGCCAGGTTCAAGCAATCCTCCTGCCTCAGCCTCCCGAGTAGCTGGGCTTATAGGCGCCCACCACCACGCCTGGCTAATTTTTGTATTCTTAGTAGAGATGGGGTTTCACCATGTTGGCCAAGCTAGTCATGAACTCCTGACCTCAGGTGATCCACCCGCCTTAGCCCCCCAAAATACTGGGATTACAGGCATGAGCCACAGCGCCTTGCCTATATGTATTATGTTTTTAAACAGCTCTTCACAATAGATGATTAGCAAGTAGCCCCAATTGTTGGCATATGTTTATTCAAAATATTTCTTCATCGTCCTTTTACTGTCTTTAAGGATCTGTAGTGACAATTTTCTTTCAATGTTGATATTTATAATATGCATTTTCTTTCTCTCATTATTTCTGGATTAGCCATGAATTTATCAATTTTGTGGATTTTTTTTTTTAATTGATCATTCTTGCGTGTTTCTCACAGAGGGGGATTTGGCAGGGTCACAGGACAATAGTGAAGGGAAGGTCAGCAGACAAACAAGTGAACAAAGGTCTCTGGTTTTCCTAGGCAGAGGACCCTGCGGCCTTCCACAGTGTTTGTGTCCCTGGGTACTTGAGATTAGGGAGTGGTGATGACTCTTAACGAGCATGCTGCCTTCAAGCATCTGTTTAACAAAGCACATCTTGCACCGCCCTTAATCCATTCAACCCTGAGTGGACACAGCACATGTTTCAGAGAGCACAGGGTTGGGGGTAAGGTCACCGATCAACAGGATCCCAAGGCAGAAGAATTTCTCTTAGTACAGAACAAAATGAAAAGTCTCCCATATCTACCTCTTTCTACACAGACACGGCAACCATCCGATTTCTCAATCTTTTCCCCACCTTTCCCCTCTTTCTATTCCACAAAACCGCCATTGTCATCATGGCCCGTTCTCAGTGAGCTGTTGGGTACACCTCCCAGACGGGGTGGTGGCTGGGCAGAGGAGCTCCTCACTTCCCAGTAGGGGTGGCCGGGCAGAGGCGCCCCTCACCTCCCGGATGGGGCGGCTGGCCGGGCGGGGGGCTGACCACCCCACCTCCCTCCCGGACAGGGCGGCTGGCCGGGCAGGGGGCTGACCCCCCCACCTCCCTCCCGGACGGGGCGGGTGGCCGGGCGGGGGGCTGACCCCCCCACCTCCCTCCTGGATGGGGCGGCTGGCCGGGCAGAGGGGCTCCTCACCTCCCAGTAGGGGTGGCCGGGCAGAGGCGCCCCTCACCTCCCAGATGGGGCGGCTGGCCGGGCGGGGGGCTGACCCCCCCACCTCCCTCCCGCATGGGGCGGCTGGCCGGGCGGGGGGCTGACACCCCCACCTCCCTCCCGGACGAGGCGGCTGACCCCCCCACCTCCCTCCCGGACGGGGTGGCTGCCGGGCGGAGACGCTCCTCACTTCCCAGACGGGGTGGCTGCCGGGCAGAGGGGCTCCTCACTTCTCAGACGGGGCGGCTGCCAGGCGGAGGGGCTCCTCACCTCTCAGACGGGGCGGCCGGGCAGAGACGCTCCTCACATCCCGGACGGGGCGGCAGGGCAGAGGCGCTCCCCACATCCCAGACGATGGGCGGCCCGGCAGAGACACTCCTCACTTCCTAGATGGGATGGCGGCAGGGAAGAGGCGCTCCTCACTTCCCAGACGGGATGGCGGCCGGGCAGAGATGCTCCTCACCTTCCAGACTGGGCAGCCGGACAGAGGGGCTCCTCACATCCCAGACGATGGGCGGCCGGGCAGAGGGGCTCCTCACATCCCAGACGATGGGCGGCCAGGCAGAGACGCTCCCCACCTCCCAGACGGGGTGGCGGCCGGGCAGAGGCTGCAATCTCGGCACTCTGGGAGGCCAAGGCAGGCGGCTGGGAGGTGGAGGTTGCAGCGAGCCGAGATCACGCCACTGCACTCCAGCCTGGGCACCATTGAGCACTGAGTGAACGAGACTCTGTCTGCAATCCCGGCACCTCGGGAGGCCGAGGCTGGCGGATCACTCCCGGTTAGGAGCTGGAGACCAGCCCGGCCAACACAGCGAAACCCCGTCTCCACCAAAAAAATACGAAAACCAGTCAGGCATGGCGGCACGCGCCTGCAATTGCAGGCACTCGGCAGTCTGAGGCAGGAGAATCAGGCCTCTCATTAATGTTACTGCTTGGTCCCAGTTTCATCATAAACAGTGCAAACATGAACACTGTGATGGTGAATTTGGTGTGTCAACTTGACTGGGTTCTGGGGTGCCCAGATATTTAGTCAAATATTCTGCGTGTTTCTGCAAGGGTGGTTTTGGATGAGATTAACATTTACATCAACGGACTGAGCAAAGCAGATTGCCCTCCCTGATGTTGGTGGGTCTCACCAAATCAGTTGACACTTCACTAGAAAAAAGGCTGACTCTTCCTTGAGTAACAGAGGATTCTTCCTGCCTGACTGCCTCCAAACTGGGACATTGACTCTTTTTCTGGTTCTTGAGCCTGCAGCCTTCAGACTGGAACTATGCCGTTAGCTCTCCTGGGTCTCCAGCTGCTGGATTTATCCTGCAGATCCTGGGTCTTGCCAGCCTCCAAATTGTTTAAGCCAATTCCTTATAATAAATCTCTTTATTGTATAATAAACATATAATAAATGCATACACACAGGTACTAACATCAGGTGGCAATAGTTATAAAGTATAATTTTTTGGTAGAAATATGTATCATGCAATATCTGAGATATATTTATACTAGAAAAGCATTCACTGTTTATGTGAAATCTAAATTTAACTGGGAGTCCTGTAATTTATCTGGTAGCCTCACATCTAGAGGACATAGAATATGATTTTATTATTTGTTAAGCTTATTATCAATATAGAAAAATTAAAATTCTCCCTGATAACTTGAGGATGGGTCTGCAGACTCCAACAGAGAAATTACAGTGGTGTTTACACAAATGTCACTTGTGTGGAATGATTTGGGAGCCTGCCCGCCACACCACCACACCACCCAGCAGCACAGTGGCAGGCTCTGAGCTCCTTGTGCTCCAGAGCATCATAACACTGCACCACCTGAGGAGTTGGAAAAGTCAACCCTAGGGATCCATTTTCAGGGTAGATGGACCCTCCCCGGAAGCCTTCACAGTGAACTCCCCTTAAGAGAACAATCCCTTCAGGGACTCATTCTGGCTTCTGCATTACTCACAGGCACAGTAGAGAATTGTTGCTAACCAGCATTGTGCCTTTTGTCTCAAGTCCACCTTCCCCTAAGAGACTCTTAAGACTAATTTCAGGATGCCTTTCATTCCTGTCCACTTCAGTCATCTCCAGAAACCCAAGCTCCTCAGGTCAAGGGGACCCTAATTCCCATGCCACTTGGAAGAGTCTCTGTTTTGACTCAATTTTCCTTTCCTTCCTGTGCTCCCAAACCTTTTCTCTGTGGGTTTGTGAACTCATGGCTGTCAATTACACTCTTTCCAATATCCTCAATTACTTCTCTGAGTGCTCACTTACTTTTTTGCATTAAATGAAAGCTGAATATCTGCTCATGACATTATTTCTTTTACAACCTACTGAGGTGGAAGGTGTCTTTCCTCTTAAAAACTGGGTACCTGAGGGCCTGAGGTGGGGAAGTTGTGTAAGTGGTCCTCCTTGCCTTCTGTGGTCACTTCTGAACCCATCCCTTCTCCCTCTTCCTTCAACTCTCCACTCCTTTAATGCCCATATGAATGCTCTATTTACCCTCATTAGTGGGTGTCTTTAGCACTGGCACACTGTCTTCCTGTCTATCCTTTTTCCTGACACCATTCCTGGTAATTTCAACATTCATATGGGTGAGACATCCAATACATTGGCTTCTAGTTTCCATGTTTCTCTTTGATCTTCTGATATGGTTTGGCTGTGTCCCCACCCAAATCTCATCTTGAATTGTAGTTCCCATAATCCCCACGTGTCGTGGGATGGACCAAGTGGGAGGTAATTTAATCATGGGGACAGTTACCCTCATACTGTTCTGGTGATAATGAGTGAGTTCTCACAAGATCTGATGGTTTTATAAGGGCCTTTTCCCCCTTTTGCTCAGCACTTTTGCTTCCTGCTACCATGTGAAGAAGTACGTGTTGGCTTCCCATTCCACCATGATTGTAAGTTTCCTGAGGCCTCCCCAGCCATGCTGAACTGCGAGTCAATTAAATCTCTTTCTTTTATAAATTACCCAGGCTCAGGTTATGTCTTTGTTAGCATTGTGAGAACAGACTAATACATCTTCTTTTTAATTTACTCTTTTGATCTGTTCCATTCCAGCCACTCATTACCTTTGTCATGTCCATGACCATACCATCACCAAAAACCTACATTCTCTGCCTGCTACCTCCTTTCATCCCAGCTCCCTTGGGGCAGTATTTCCAATCCACCTCATCAAGACTTCCAATACACTGGCCCTTCCACTTTTCCCACTATCTGTCATTTCCCTCAGGTTCTCACTTCCTTCCTTAACCAGCTAAATTTCTGTGGTTCATCATCATAACTACTCTATTTCAAGTATTCTAATTCCTGTATTCCACTCTTCTTCCTTCATATTTGCTCTCAGCTTAAGCCTACACATCTGACTACTACATACCTGAACTCAAGCCGGTAAACGTCATGAGAGAAAAACATATATCTAGACCAACTGGTCTTGCTTTAAATTCATGACCACAGATCTCAAATGAGCACTCAGCCCTGCTCAGCAATCCTACCCTTCACTATGTGTTCCACTTCCCAGTCTTCAAAACAACTATTTCACATTTTTACCTCCTGCCTCCCTTGCCTCCCTCACTTACTGGGGCCTCTTATCTGTCAGGAAGGGCCATCCACCTTGTTATCTTCCCTCATTCTTACCTGATGACCTCATCTCATATTTCACTGAAAAAATAGAAGCAGTTATATAGGTCCTCCTTGATATGGTTTGGCTGTGTCCTTGATAAAGGAGGACCTTTATCTTCCCAGCATACCTCCCAATTCATCTGAATTTGTGTTAATATTTCCTTCGTGTCTTCATATTGCTGTGGATAAAGTATCTTTGCTTTTACCAAGAGAAACCCTCTTCGCTTGTAAGCTTAATCCTCTGGCCTCTTGGTTTTTTAGAGGACTTTGCTTCTGCAATTCTCCTATCTCTGCTGCATCTCTAGGTTCTTTCTTTCCACTCAGATCATTCCCCCAAAATGCAGACCTGTTCCAGTATCTCCAGGGTTTGCAGAGCCTTTTCCTTACCCTACCTTTTCCTGTAGCTGATCTAGTTCTCTGCTGTCCCTCACAGAAGCCCTTTTCAGGGAGTTGTCTCCTGTGTCTACTTCCTCACCTTTGATTCTCTGCTCAGCCCTGTGCTATGGGTCCTCTCTTTCTTCCACCCCACTGAGACTGTTTTTCACGAGGCTGCTGATGACCTCCAGTGGTCACTTCTCTGTCCTTATTTGATCTCTCAGCAGCGTATTATATGGTTGATAGAGTTGGCCACACCCTTCTTGAACTGCTTTCTTCTCTTGGCTTCTAGAATATCATATCTTTTTAGTTGTCCCTTTGTAGTCTCCTTAGCAGCCCTGCACATTTGCTGCTTGATTTCTAAATGTCATAGTGCTGCAAGTCTTGGCCATAGATCTCCTTCTTTAGATCCATCTTCTCCCTGGTGAGCTCCTGAGCTCCTCTGGCCCAAGGCTTTGAATATGCTGCAGTGCCTCCCAAAACTACATACAGCTCTGTCTAGCTCACACTCATATATATCCAACCTTATATTTTATACCTCTACTTGGATGTCTAATAGGTGTCTCAGACTTGCTTTGTCCCAAATCAAACTCTTGCTTTTCCTTTCACCTCCAAACATGTTCCTCCCCCAGGTCTTCCCCATCCCAGTAAATAACACACATTCACACAGATGATCAGGCCTAAAACCTTGGACACATCTTTGATTTATTTCCTCATGCCTTATACTTAAGTCCTGTTGAACGTCCCCCCTAGAACTAATCAAGAATCTGAAACTTCTCTTCATCATCACAATTACGTCTTAGTCCCATCCAACATCAACTCTCACCTAGATTACTGCAGTCTGGTCTCCCTGCCTATCTCCTGGTCTCCCTTAATTGGTCTCCCTGCCTATGTCCTATTTGTCTTGTTCCTGTACTTTCTATTGTCCACTCAGCAGCCAGGGTGGAAATCAAATTTAAAGGTGTATTTAAAAGTATAAATCAAATCATGCGTACTGTGATGGTTAATTTTGTGTGCCAGCTTCACTGGGCTAAGGCATACCCAGATAGCTGGCAAAACATTATTTCTGAGTATGTCTGTGCACGTGTTTCCAGAAGACATTAGCATTTGAATCAGCAGGCAGTAAAGAAGCTCCACCCTCCCCAACATGCATGGGCATCACCCAGTCCATTGAGGACTGGAAAAGAACAAAAAATGTCGAGGAAGGGTACATTCTCTCTTCTCTGGAGCTGGAACATCCATCTTCTTTTATTCTCGGACATCAGCACTCCTGATTCTCAGGCCTTTGGGCTTGGATAAGAACTACACCACTGGCTTTCCTGGGCCTTCAGCTTGCAGATAGCAGATAATCACATAAGCCAATTCCTCATGATGAATCTTTTTCTCTACATTTATATATATCTTAAGGGTTCTGTCTCTCTGGAGAACCCTGGCTAATGCACCAGCTCTTCTGTTTATAACCCTTAAATGATTTTGCAGTGCTCCAAGAAGAAAGTCTAATCTCCTTCACTTGACCTACAGTGCTCCATGTGATCTAGCTCCTGTTTACTTCTCCAGCTTCCCTTTGAACCAGACTCTTCCTTGTCTACCAAGCTCAGTTAGACTGACCTTCTTTACATCCCTGAAACACACTTTTTTCCTGCCTTAAGGCTTTAGCACTAGCTGTTTTCTCTGCCTCAAACACTTTTCCTCCAGATTGTCCCACATGTATCCCCTGAAAGTCATGATTCCTCAAACCATGGGGAAGCCTTTGGAGATGGCATTTTCAGAACCAAGCAAGGAAGTAGATAGTGAGAAGGTAACTTGGTATCCTCATATACACAGACTGTCTGGGAAAGTCCACTCCCTTGCTGGAGCAGGTTTTGGGGGTAAGATGATGAATATGGGTTTGGAGATGTTGAGACTGAGGTGCCTGTTGGGTGTTTGTAGGTCTGATGCCCAGGAAAAGGTTTGGACTGGGGCTAGAGATTTCGGAAGCATCAGCATCCACTCGGTAGTGGCAGCTGTGGTAGAGAATGAGAACATTCAGTAACGTAAATGGTGTGGCCATGATGGAGTCATGACCCTGGTTGACAGCGTGGAGCTCTGAACTTCCATGAGACTCTGACATGTATTGGTATGGCCAAAATTACATCACTGATCAATGTTCCCATGGTAACCAACAATCACGGACATGACTCAAAATGGGTGAATGAATGACTGAATAAATCAATACTATTCAGCAACAATTCAAGGTCTTCAATTTTAGCCAGGCTGTTAGTGCCACTAGGGCATCTTTTTACTCATCCTTCCACTTCTTTCAACTATTCATACCCCATTTTTAGTTTCCCACACCCATCTCTGTATGTCGCACTTCATAAAGCAATCAAGACCATCAACTGTTACCTTCCCTATCTTTCCATTTTTCTATCCTCAAATCCAGTGGTCCTGATTCTACGGAACAAGCTCATTCTCGTTTTCCCAGGACCTTCCTGGGTTTGGCACTGAAAGTTCCACATCCTGGAAAAATCCCCCCATCTTGAGAAAACCAGGATGGTTGGTCACCCTACCTGAGACACAGATTGCATGGTTTCTCGGGGGACATTTCCATGAGGTTGAATAATGAGGTGCATTTAGCAGTGGCCGTCTCCATCATATATCCTTGTATCCTCCCTCTTGCCTGCTTCGCTCTCCTTGTTCCTCACTCCTGCTCCCTAGTAAAATACAGATGCTTCTTGGCTTATGATGTGGTTATGTCCCAATAAACCCATTGAAAACTGAAAATATCATAAGTTGAAAATGCATTTAATACACCTAACCTACTGAACAACATAGCTTACTCTAGCCTACCTCAAATGTGCTCAAACCACTTCCATTAGCCCACAGTCAGGCAAAATCATCTAACACAAAGCCTATTTTATAATAAAGTGTTAAATATCTCATGTGACTTATTGAACACTGTACTGCAAGTGAAAATCAGAATGGTTGTATGGGCTCTTGAACTACGGTTTCTACTGAATGTGTATCACTCTTGCACCATCATAAAGTTGAAAAGTCATAAGTTAAACCATGGTAAGTTGAGGATCATCTATGGCAGCTCAAAAGCCCTCTGCCTCAAGCTCTGCTTTCTGGGGAAGGTAGGTTAAGTCCAAGCAGTAAGCTGACTCCTACTCTGAGGATACCACTGGGTGTCATGGTGGTGGGAATAGGATTGTGAATTATTGCAAGGAGGGAGGAGTTCTCTGAAATTCACATAAGTTTTACTGGAGTCTATCCAGGGTCTCATCTTCCAATCATGTGAGCTGTGTCCCTATTGACCCTTTTCTGTCTCCGCATCCCACCCACATTTTACCTGTGCCATGTGTAGTTTTTGTACATGTCATGCTGCTTTGGACTCTGGGCTTTCTAGCTCATTCCTGGAATGCCCTGCCCACTTCTTGTGAAAGATTTCTATTTATCCATCCCTCATGACTCAGTTCAAACACCACCTCCCCCCAGGGCCTGCCAACCCTCCTGGCCAAGGCTTGGGGGAGCTCCTTCCTCTCTACCTAGTGCTGATCTCTGCCACTTCATGTCCACATTGTTTATAGAGTGTCTGTTTATGCACCAGAACGTAAGCTCCTTGCAGGCAGGGATTTTTTCCTGTTCAACTCCATATCCCAGCACTTGTCACGCTCCTTGCTTAATACATATTAGTTGAATACTGAACAAGTTCTTCCAGCAGTCCTGTGAGGTCTATTGTGGTGACACCATTTCCAGTTAAAATATGATAAAATTAAGACTCAGAGAAGAGCAGAAGTGATGTGGGATGTTAGAGGTAAGCCAAGTCGGGTTCGTCCACCTTACCAGTGGTTTCTTTAGACAAAATATGCGTGGCTTTTCCAAGCACTGTATGCAGAGGGCAGCCAGGGACTCAGAGTCACTCACAGAGTGAGACTCTCAGAGGGCCTCCCAGCACAGTCCTTCCCAGGCTGTCCTCCTGCTTGGAAGCAACCTCGCAGTTCCACTGTTGCCCTGACATCTCCTGCTGTAAACTCTGCAAGGCAGCTGCAGCCTTCTACCTGCTCCAGTGCTCAGCTCTCCCTTCATTTTGACCTTGAAAATGCCCTCACTGTGGAGTGACAGACATTGGAGAGTTGGAAGGGTGGGAGGGGGGTAAAGGAAGAGAAATTCTTTAATGGGTACAGCGGACAATATTTGAGTGATGACTACACTAAAAGCCCAGACTACACTATCCAATGTATCCATGTAACAAAACAACACTTGTACCCCCAAGTCTATTTTTTTAAAAAAAGAAGGAAAATGCTCTCATGTTCCTGTAAGCTTAGCTGTACATTTAAAATGACTGAAAATTTTCTTACCAGCATTTCTGAGTGTTTTGTAGCAGAGAACTTTCAGGTTATTTCGTCTGACACTCTATGAGTAGTTAACCTCTTTCTTGTGTTTAGCCTTCATCTCCACCTCTCCCATTCCACCGTGATGTAGTTTTTCCAGAGGGGAAGGGCAACTGTGTTGAGAAACCTAAAGGGTGACCTCTCTTGACTCTGTCATTGCTGCTGAAGCCACTGTAGAAAGGAGTGATCCTGGGACTGAAAGATTTATAGATGGGGCTTTCCAAATCTGGGAGTGTGCTGTACAACATCCCATGAAAAGGTGTGGGGCAGGCATGAGTAGGGGAGCTTCATATATGCTTGGGGCCTCTTTCCAATCCCAGCTCTTGTCCCTCAGTCTCTGTTGCCTCCATAATCAAGTCCACTCTCCTTGGCCTGAATTTAAGGCCTTTTGCCATCTGCCCTACATACCTCTCCAGCTCCACCTCCCAATTCAACCAACCAACCATTCTACCTGGTGTGATTCCGATGCAGCCCATCTTTCCTGCCTCCAGACTGCACCTCATACTTTCTCTTCATCTTGGATACCCTCCTTCCAGGGTTTTGCTTCATCAGATCTTTCTTATTCTCCAAGGACCAGGTCCAGTATCACCCTTCAGGAAGATGGGGCACTCTTCCTGACCCCAGTGCCCCATAGCCCATCTCTGGCCCTTCCTGTGGTCCTGATGACCATACTTTGCTGGTGCTGGGGTCTGTGACCATGCAGTCCTGGGAGGAAGCCACCTTCAACTCACTCTGCTTCTGCCAGTGCTCCATGCAACATCTTGTTCATGGTAGGGGCTCACGTTTGTGTGGAATGATGAGAATGGGTGGTGGGGGCCTGGCTGCCACAGGGAGGTATGTGTAGTCTACCAAAGCAGCATGCTCCTTCCTGGTCATGAGGTGGTGACCATCTCATGGCAGCCTTGAAGTTGAAGGAAAGTGACTACTGAGGCTGCTCTCCATTTTCTCATCCAGAACTGGGGCTGGGAACTTAGAAGCAATGGAGGGAGCATTGCTTTGCTCTGAATGGAGGACAGTTTATGGCTTTCACGTTCCAGGCCCTAGGAGGAAACAAAATGCCACATCCTGAAAGATCCCTCAGCCACTATTACTCCATTGCCCAGATCATGCAGGCTCCCCACCCCGCAAGAAGCACCTCCCCAGCATCACCTCTGAATGGGGGAGCAAATGATTGGGTGGTCAGCTGATGGTAGAGGGATTTCCAAAAGTAATTTTGAGTATGCTGAGTTTTTGCCTAATATGCTGACTTCAGCCCCTAACCCCAATACCAGATATGTCTTCACCTTAGCACTGACACCTGACGTACAGTTTGTTGTATCAGTGAATGAATCCTCAAACATTAGAGTTAGGAGGAGCCATAATGGCTATTAGCTGCAATACACATTTTATGAAGAAATAAATATAATTGTAATAACTATTTATTGAGAGTGGATCTATGCTAGGTACCACACTGAGCACTTTATACGCATTATCTAATTTTATCCTTTCATCAACAATGTGAGGTGGAAGTTATCATCCCTACTTTATAAATAGGGAATAAGGCACATAGGAGTTGCATGGCCTAACAAGGTTGCAGAGCTGGTGAGTTGCGGGAACCAGATGTCTCTAGAGCCCTCTGGCTAACCCTATGCTATACCGCTGCTCACTGCATCTGGAGGAAACAGAGACTCACAGAAAGATAGTAACTTGCCTGGGTCCCCCATGCTCTCAGAAGCAGGATGGCCACTTTATCCAGAGGCGCCTTCATTCCTGGGCCTTCCAAGACATCTGGCCACAAAGACACCATGAAGAGGAAGAAGAATTTCAAGTGCATTCTAAGAGCCACATCCATTCTCTTGTTGTATAGGCAGAAAACCTGCACTCAAAGACCCAGCCAAGAAGAAAGATTTGATCGGCTGGGCAGGATCCACTTCCCATGGCGACGCCTCCTTGAGTCGCAGCTCTGGTATGAAGCAAGACTTGTTTAAGGCAGTTAAAAGCAGCAGTCTCCATTGTGTCGAGTGGTGACAGTATAATCCTCCTTAATAATTTTGTTCCCTCTCCAAACTCCCCTCCATTATGCATCCTTAAGATGTGACTTCAGATGCCTCTTTAGGTTTCTAGTCCTATGAATGCAGGAGGATTTGGTGAGAGGGGAAGCAGTAAAGAATGTCTTTACTGTGCTCAATCACGCAGAGATACTTCACTGGAAATATCTCCTGCACCCTCTGCCCCCAATATTTTTATTTTTTGATCAGAGCTATTTGTTTTATTTTTGAATGCAAATATAAATTATATACCAAAAGTAAAGATATTAAAACCTCCACATCGACATCACCTTGCTTCAATAATATCAACATATGGCCAATCTTGCCTCCTTATACCCTGTCTATTCCTACCCCCTTACCACTGCATTCATTTGAAGCAAATCCCAGATATACCTGGGATGCATATATCTTTTTATCTCTAAATACATCTTTTATCTTTAAAAAATATACACAATATTATATCACACCTAAAATTAAAAATAATTGTTAATATCACTAAATACCTAGTCTATGTTCAAATACACACACACACACACACACACACACTAATGTATATATCAGAATCCACAGACTTTGTGGATTCTGATATACACATTGAATTTGGTTGACATATCTCTTGTTTCCTTTTTTTTTTTTTTTTTTTTTTTGAGGCAGGGTCTCATTCTTTCACCCAGGCTGGAGTGCGGTGGTGCGATCTTGGCTCACTGCAAACTCCACTTCCTGGGTTCAAGCAATTTTCCTGCCTCAGTCTCCCAAGTACCTGGGATTACAGGCATGTTAAGCATGTGCCATCACAACTGGCTAATTTTTGTATTTTTAGTAGACATGGGTTTTACCATGTTGGCTAGACTGGTCTCGAACTCCAGACCTCAAGTGATCCAACAGCCTCAGCTTCCCAAAGTGTTGGGATTACAGGCGTGAGCCACCGTGCCCGGCACTTTTTTTTTTTTTTTTTTTTTTTTTTGTGAGACAGAATCTCTTCTCTCTCTTTCACCCAGGCTGGAGTGCAGTGGTGCAATCTCGGCTCACTGCAACCTCCTCCTCCTGAGTTCAAGGGATTCTTCCACCTCAGCCTCCTGAGTAGCTGGGATTACAGGTGCCCAACACCACACCTGGCTGATTTTTCTATTTTTAGTAGACAGGGTTTCACCATGTTGGCCAGGCTGGTCTGGAACTCCTGGCCTCAAGTGATCCACCCACCTCGGCCTCCCAAAGTGCTGAGATTACAGGCAGGAGCCACCGCGCCCAGCCCTTTGCCTCTTTTAATTAATATGCTCCCCTTCTTCCTTTATTAAAAAACAATTACATATTGAAGAAACTTGGTTGTCCTGTAGAATTTTCCATGTTCTGGATTTTGCTGACTGCATCCCCAGGGGATCATTTAACATGTTCCTCTGGTTCCTGGTAGTGAAGTCTAGAATTTCTATCAGATTCAGGGGAACAGAATTTGAGGGCAAGAAAGTTTTAGAGGCGGTACTGTGTATTCCTTGTTGCCTCACATCAGAAGGCACATGCTCGCTAGTTTTCTCCAGTCTTGGGTTATTGAGAAGATATTGATCAGTGGATTCAGGTGTTTGCAGCCTGATCCATCCATTCTAATATTCCTTGCTGGCCTTTTGCCTAATGATATTAGCAGTCATTGATGATTATTGTCTAACACTGTGATTTCATCAGAGGTTTCACATGATATTCTAATTCTGATATTCCTTCTTCCTTTATTAGCTGTAATTCTTCTATAAAGAAGAGCTTGGTCTCATCAACTATCTGGTTACTCTGAAATAGTTCATAAAGGAAAGGCAGGACAAATGCTTGATTCTTTATCTTTAATTTATCTGCTTTTGGAATAATGAGTTTATTCTCAAGCATCTCCCAAAGGTGATATGCTGGTTATGTATTGCTGCATATTAATTGCCCCCTCACTTAGTGGCTTAAAATAGCAACCATTTTATTTTGTATTATAATTTTGTGGGTCAGGAATTTGGGCCAGGATCAGCTGAGAGATTCTTCTGCTCTGTGTGGTACTGGCTGAAGTCACTTGGGAGTATTCAGCTTGTGGATGGGCTGATCTGGAGGATCCGAGACAACTTCCCTTGTATGTGTGATGTCTTAGTGGGAATGGCTGGAAGGCGGAGCTGTGCGGGGACTGTTAACCGGAGTGCCTACACTTGGCTTCCCCAGTATGGCAGACTTCTTATATAGTAGTTCACGGCTCCTTAGAGAATGTTCCAAGAGACTCAGGTCAAAGCAGCAAGGCTTTTTCTGACTTAGCCTCAGAAGTCATACAACATCACTTCTGCCATATTCTTTTTATTACAAGTGAGAGTTCCAGGATTGGTCCAGGTCCAAGGGAAGGGTAGTACACATACACGTGAACACTGGGAGGCATAGTTTATTGAGACCCTCTTACAGCTACCTGGAGCATAGAGTCAGAAGTCTTCCTAGCTTCTCTGATTGTACTCGACCCCTTCTCCCCGCTATGCCTCTGACCATCCTCTTAATTTTGGCTGGGAGTTGTTGCAGAAGACACATCCATGCTCCAGGTGTGCACAGTCCCCTTCGTGGTCAGCAGAATGTGTACAGCCTCATTGTGAGCAGGGCCAACAGTAGGTTACCAAGCTCCTGCAATGCTGGAGTGCCCATTACCAACTCCTGCCAACCCACTGCCACATAGTATCTCATGGGCTCTTGTTTAAGCTGAACATATTCACTGGGGCCACCTTGGAGAACTTGGCCTTGACCTGCTTAAACACTTGAGCAAGGTTCTATTCTGAGAGCTTGGATCTTTCCTGAGACCAACAGGACTCACAGGGGTTTTGCAGATGGGACTAAGAGCGCCACAGCCATGCTTTCATAATGATTGGTTTTAATGGCTGTAAAATACTTCATACTGTGGACGCAACACACTCTGGCAAACCATTTCTCTACTATTGTAGTTGTTTGCACTTTTTGATCATTTGCAAGTAATACAAATATATATATATATAGTATGCAGAGCCTTTTTATTCTGTTGAAGTATTCTCTTAATTATTGATTTTTAAGAGGAGAATTGATTTTTGTATCTTGATGTATATTACCAAATATACTTCCCAAAGAAGTAAACAGTTTATATTCCAACAGCAGTGTATATACTGGTGTTTCTAATACCTTCAACAGCATTGGCGAATTACCATTTTAAAATGTTTTTGCTAATTTTATAGATGCTAAACTGAACTTAGGGTTGCTTTGGATTTCTTTTGTTTTCCCTATTCTGTTCTAAGATGTCAGTTCTTTTCTCTTACAACAATCATACAAAAGAATACATTTTGGCTCAATTTGGTGTTGATTTGTTTGATTTGGAGCAATTTGATGTTGGTCACTTAAGTGAAACTCAGGTTGTTTCCAGTAGTGTCGCCAGTACAAATTGTATCAAAGATTCTCTTTACCTTTTAAAAATAAAAACATTTAACTTCTAAATCTTAGGGATGAGCAACAGCAACACTTTTCTTCTTGGATTCTGTACCTACAGGAAATTCACAAGTGGAGGTAATACCTAATTATATCAGGGATAAGCATGTGACCAAGCTTCACCAATCAGAATCCTTTCCCAATCCAGGATTTGCGATAATGGATCTGGGAAAGGGACCTTTTCCTCTCTGGTTATGGCACTGGGAGGATACAAGCCCAGAGCTTGGGTGGCTAGTCCTACGTACCATGAAAAGAATGAGAACAGAAGGAAGACAGAGAGAGGGGAGAGGTAGCCCCATATGGGGTTGAACGACTTATTCTAGTCACCAAGGCATATTAATCCTGAGTTGTTTTTTTTTTTAATTCAGCTTAGCTCTTACCTCTTGTTGTTGTTGTTTTGAGACAGGGTCTCACTCTGTTGCCCAGGCTGGAGTTCAGTGGTGCAATCAAAGCTCACTGCAGCCACCAACTCCCAGGCTCAAGCAATCCTCTCACCTCAGCCTCCCAAGTAGCTGGGACTACAGGCATGCACCACCATGCTTGACTAATTTTTGTATTTTTTGTAGAGATGGGTTTTCACTGTGTTGCCTAGGCTGGTCTCAAACTCCTGGGCTCAGCGATTCTCCCCCGCCTTGGCCTCCCAAAGTGCTGGGATTACAGGCGTGAGCCACTGCACCCAGCCTGTTTTGTCTTGTTTTTAAGCAATGATAATATCCTTCCAATAACCACCCTGTCTTCTTTTTTTCTTTTGTTTAACCAAGCTGGAATTGGGTTTCTGTCTCTTGAAGCCAAAGAATCTAGCCTGGTGTTTCTGAACAGCAGCACTAATGACATTTTGGACAAGGTAATTCTGGGTTTGAAGGAGCTGCTCTGTGCATTTTAGGATGTTAGCAGCAGCCCTGGCCTCTATTCCACTAGATGCCAGCAGCACCCCACCCCAAGTATGACAATTGAAAATGTCTCCAGAGAGCTACATGTCCTCTAAGGGTGAGGGCAAAGTTGCCCCTGGCTGAGAACCACTGGTTTAGTCTAATGCCCTTGATTTTTCTTGTTTAAATGAGCAAACAGACAGATGGGGAAACTGAAGTTTGGCGAGATGGTGGCATTTTTTTTCAAGGCAGCAGAGACATGACTCCCAAATCAAGCGGAAAAAAAAAAAAAAAAAAAAGGATCCAGGAAGCGATACTACAAAGAGATGTTGGTACATGCAGATATTGGCTCTCTTATAGCTGTTGGAACAATAACAAACCCCACAAAATGATTTGGGATTTTACCCATGACACAGGCAGTAACTGTCTGCTTAAGAATTCTCACGCATCTCACGAGATAGTGAGACAAAGCAATGCCAATTTGTTTCATTTCTGTTGGTTTAGATCTTTCAGGTGAACGACTTGGAGGTTTGGGTTCAGCAAACTTTGACTGGTGTCTCGGAGGGTTCACCACATGACCTCTGAAGCAGATATCCAGGAAACCAAACGTTGCTACAATTCAAATATAAGATTCCTGACACAATACTGCCTACATGAGATCAGTAAAATGACATGAAGAAGCAGCTTCATTTTTGTTAGAACTATTTTTAAGGAAGCGCTCTTCAGAGGAGGAATGGTGAGGAAAAGAGTACTGGCACAGGAATGCAGAGGTCGGGATGTGATCTTGGCCCTGCCACTAATGCTGTATAATACTGTACAAGTGTCTGCCCATCTTGTGACCTCAGTTTCCTTTTCTGTATAATAAGGGCCTGGACCAGACAAACTCGGAGGGCCTTTCTAGCACTGCCCTTCAATGATTCTCATAAGCAGACACCACACCTGTCTATCTCAGCTGTCCTATCCCCAACCCAGGACCTGGTGCAGCATCAGACGTGAAATAGGTACCAAGCAAATGCTTGTAAAATGCATAGATAAATTATTTAGGAGATAAATGACAATAACATCCCAGCTCCCACAAATGCATAAAATTGAAAAGGGTCTTAGAGTTAAAAGGGTAGGAAAGCTCATTTAGTTTAACTTCCCTAATGAAGCTGGAACCTTCTACCTTATTTCTGGTAGGCTGAGCATATAGTTTCTGTTTAAATACTTCTGTTAGATGGCGAGGGAACTCTATTTGTAGGGACAGCCAGCTCCACTGTTGGATACCTCTGGATATTAAAAAGTTCTTCCTTATCTGGAACCTCAGTTACCCTCCTTGTAGCTGTTACCTGCTTCTAGTTTTATTTTTTAAAATTAAATTTTGTTTTAATCAAGAAATACATGCAGTTTGAAAAGTCAAATAATACTGGAAGTCTTATTTATAATAAAAACTAACTCTCTTCCTTACTTTTCACTCCTTAGAGTTGAGACAATCATTTTCCACCCTTTCAGCTGTTTCTTCTGATATTTATATCTGAATTTCTTTCTTTCTTTCTTTCTTTTTTGAGATGGAGTCTCACTCTATCGCCCTGGCTAGAGTGCAATGGTGCGATCTCGGCTGACTGCAAACTCCCCCTCCCAGGTTCAAGCAATTCTCTTGCCTCAGCAGGAGTAGCTGGATTACAGGTTCCTGCCACCATGCCCGGCTAATTTTTGTATTTTTAGTAGAGACAGGGTTTCACCATGTTGGCCCCGCTGATCTCTTTGGCCAGGCTAGTCTCAAACTCCTGATCTCATGATCCACCTGCCTCCCAAAGTGCTGGGATTACAGGTGTGAGACACTGCCCCCGGCCACTTATATCTGCATTTCTAAATGATACGCTCATACTTTTATTTCTTGATTTATTTCTTGATTTATCAATTTTAAACACTATTGATTTCCTATTTTCATAGAAGAGGATTTAGCCCTCTACCATTCTGGGGCCTGGAAGATGGCGACCCTCTTCTCACAGCTCCACTAGGCAGTGCCCCAGTGGGGACTCTGTGTTGGGGCTCCAACCCCAGATTTCCCTTCTGCACTGCCCTAGCAGAGATTCTCCATGAGGACTCTACCCCTGCAGCACACCTCTGCCTGGACATCCAGGCTCTTCCATACCTCCTCTGAAACCTAGATGGAGGCTTCCAAACCTCAATTCATGTCTTCTGCACACATGGAGGACCAACACCATGTGGAAGCTGCCAAGGCCTGGGGCTTGCACCCTATGAAGCAACAGCCTGAGCTGTATCTTGGCCCCTTTTAGCCATTGCTGGAGCGGCTGGGATGCAAGGCACTCTGTACACAGCAGGAGGGCCCTGTGTCTGGCCCAGGGAACCATTTTTCCCTCCTAGGCCTCTGGGCCTGTGGTGGGAGGGACTATCATGAAGATCTCTGACATGCCCTGGAGAAATTTTCCTCATTGTCTTGGTGATTAACATTCGGTTCCTCCTTATTTATTTAAATTTCTGCAATGGGCTTGAATTTGTCCCCAGAAAATGGGTTTTTCTTTTCTATTCCATTGTTGGGCTGCAAATTTCCAAACTTTTATGCTCTGCTTCATTTTTTTTTTTTTTTTTTTTTGCGATGGAGTCTCACTCTGTTGCCCAGGCTGGAGTGCAGTGGCATGATCTCAGCTCACTGCAACCTCCGCCTCCCACGTTCAAGCAATTCTCCCTGCCTCAGGCTCCTGAGTAGCTGAGATTACAGGTGTCCAGCACCACACCCAGCTAATTTTTGTATTTTGAGCAGAGACGGGGTTTTGCCATGTTGGCCAGGCTGGTCTCAAACTCCTGACCTCAGGTGATCTGCCCACCTTGACCTCCCAAAGTGCTGGGATTACAGGTATGAGCCACTGTGTCCAGCCTCTGCTTCCCTTTTAAACATAAGTTCCAATTTCAGATCATCTCTCTCAAGTTCAAAGTTCCACAGATCTCTAGGGCAGGGGCCAAATACTGCCAGTCTCTTTGCTAAAGTATAGCAAGAGTGACCTTTGTTCCAGTCCCCAAGAAGTTCCTCATCTTCATCTGAGACCACCTCAGCCTGGACTTCATTGTCCATATCACCATCAGCATTTTGGTCAAAGGCATTCAACAAGTCTCTAGAAAGTTCCTAATGTTCCCACATCTTCCTGTCTTCTGAGCCCTCCAAACTGTTCCCACCTCTGCCTGTTAGCCAATTCCAAAGTCGCTTCCACATTTTCAGGTATTTTTACAGAAGCACCCCACTCCTGGTACAAATTTACTGTCTTAATCCATTCTCATGCTGCTATGAAGAAATACCCAAGACTGGGTAATTTATAAAGAAAAGAGGTTTAATTGGCTAACAGTTCCACATGGCTGGGGAGGCCTCAGGAAATTTGCAATCATGGTGGAAGGCACGTATTCACAGGGTGGCAGGAGAGAGAATGAGTCCTGAGCAAAGGGGGAAAAGCCCCTTATAAAACCATCAGCTCTTGTAAGAACTCACTCACTATTATGAGAACAGCATGGGGTTAATGCCGCCATGATTCAATTACCTCCCATGACACGTGGGGATTATGGAAACTACAATTGAAGATGAGATTTGGGTGGGGACATAGCCAAACCATATTACTATGTCTCTCTTTTTGTACTTCTTTTTGTTTTTCCTGGACTTAATAATTGCTTGGATGAGTCATCTAGGTAGTTTTCTCTAATTCTTCCCAAATGTTTCAACTAATCTGAAAACAGCTATCAATACATCGTTTTTAGAAAGTTTTTATATTTTTTAAAGTTATACAGATACATAGTTTAAAGATCAAATAACTCTGTAAGATTTGACACAAAAAGAGTAGCCCTATTGCTTTGCCTTCTCCCATATCCCCCACCCAAAAGCAAATTTTTTCCACCTCTTTTCACTTTTTTAGTATTTTCTTCCACATCTCTATATAACTCAATTAACTTGCTATTACTTGATTTTTAACAATTGAGATATAATTGGCAAATAAAAATTGTATATATTTAAGGTGTACAACATGATGTTTTGATGTGTATATACATTGTGAAATGATTACCACAATCAAGCTAATTAATATATTCATCACCTCATGTGGTTACATTTGTGTGTGTGTGTGTGTGTGTGTGTGTGTGTGTGTGTGTATGTGTGTGTGTGATGAAAACACTTGAGATCTACCCTCTCAGTAATTTTCAAGTACATAATACAGTATTATTAACTATGGTAACCATGCTGTACATTGGGTCTTCAGAACTTATTCATCTCATAGCTGAAAGCTTGCACCCTTTGACAAATACTCCTTTTTTCTGCCACCTCCCAGCCCATAGTAAGCACCATTCTATTCTCTGTTACTAGGAGTCTGGCTTTTTAAAAAAAGATTCTACACATAAGTGACAGCATGTGGTATTTGTCTTTCTGTATCTAGTGTATTTCGTTTAGTATAATGTTCTCCAAGTCCATCCAAGTTGTAGCGAAATGTCCTTTTTTAAAGGCTGAATAATATTCCATTGTGTGTGTGTGTGTGTGTGTGTGTGTGTGTGTGTGTGTATTACATTTTATTTATCCATTAATCTGTTAAGGACACTTAGTCGTTTCCATATCTCAGCTATTGTGAATAATGCCACAGTGAACATGTGAGTGCAGATATCTCTTTGACATACTGATTTTGTTTCCTTTGAATATATACCCAGACATGGGATTGCTGGGTCATCTGGTAGTCACATTTTTAATTTTTTGAGGAACCTCCATTCTGTTTTCCATAATGGCTGTACCGATTTACATTCCCACCAACAGTGTACAAGGCTCCCTTTTCTCCACATCCTTGACAACACTTGTTATCTTTTGACTTTTGTGAAATAACCATTCTAACAAGCATGAGGTAATATCTGATTGTGGTTTTGATTTGTATATCCCTGTTGTTTAGTGATATTGAGATTCTTTTCATTTTATTTACATTTATTTATTTATTGAGACAGAGTCTCACTCTGTTGCCCAGGATGGAGAGCAGTGGTGCAATCTCGGCTCACTGTAACCTCTGCCTCCCAGGTTCAAGTGATTCTCATGCCTCTGCCTCCCGAGTAGCTGGGATTACAGGTGTGTGCCACCATGCCCAGCTAATTTTTTTGTATTTTTAGTAGAGATGGGGTTTCACCATGTTGGCAGGCTGGTCTCAAACTCCTGACCTCAGGTGATCCACCCGCCTTGGCCTCCCAAAGTGCTGGGATTACAGGTGTGAGCCACTGCACCCAGTTGAGATTCTTTTTATATACCTGTTGATCATTTGTATTCTTAGGAAAAATACCTATTCAGGTCTTTTGATCCTTTTTAAATTTGGTTATTTGGGGTTTTTTGCTATTGATTGTCTGAATTTCTTATATATTTTAAATATTAACTCCTTATCGGACATATTAGATTTGGAAATATTTTCTCCTATTCCATAGGTTGGATGTCTTTTTGTTTTGTTGATGGTTACCTTTGCTGTGAAGAAACTATTTAATTTGATATAGTCCCAGTTGTTTATTTTTGCTTTTGTTGCATGTGCTTTCGGTGTCAGCTACTACTTAATATTTCAGATTTTGGGCTTAACACTATGGAAAATAAAGATTTAGCTTTCTTTTACACCTATTTCCACCATGTGTACCCATCCTTCCTATTACCCCATCCTCCTAATATAGTCATATCATAATGTTAATTAGATCAATAGTCAGTGTTTATAGTATTATCTAAATGCTTTTCACAGCTGAACTAGTAGAATACTATTTATTTATTTATTTATTTATTTATTTATTTATTTCCATTTTTGGACTTTTGGTTTTGTCTGGAGATAATAATTATCTGTGTTTTCATTTGCTGAATTAAAAAAAATTATTACCATCCTTAATGCCCTCCTCTCTGTGTTTTCGTATGAACTTACCAGTTTCCACTTCTTGCCTTCTGTCTTGCTGCAATCTAGGTCTCTTGGCCTCTCTGATTTGGGCATGGTTATCACCCTAGGATCACCCTTCACCAACACTACAGGAATTCCCTTGATCTTTCTGCCGTGTTTCATGCCTTGCCCTTGTGTCCATGTCTTTCTCCTTCTTGATTTTCTCCTTTTTTGAGGGAAGCACATATTTCAGTAACTTCCCAAGAAAGGTCATGGGAATTAAGGATGGGACAAGAGAAAGGAAAGTGAGGCACTTGCTTCAAGTGCAAAATGCAAGAGAGCACCCAAAATCTCAATAATCACAATAAATGATATTTTAAACAGCATTTTAAAATATAAAAATTAGTGCAAAATAATCATTATGAAAAACATATCAGAATTTTAGATAAAGACAAAGTCAGCATTACTGACTTTTCCTTTTGCTTCGGCCTCCAATATGGCTCAGCACAGCCCTGATAGAAAATATTTTGAAATTTTGCTTGTATGAAATGTCTCTATTCTATTCTTTCATTTAGCTGGGAATTGAATTCTAGGTCAAAAATAATTTTCCTTCAGAATTTTGGAGGCAATGTTCCATCATCTTCTCACTTCCAGTGTTACTTTCTGAGAAGTCTTCAATCACTATAATTGCTGACCATTTTTGTACGTGACCTGGTTTTGCTGTTTGGAACCTCATAGAATCTTTTCTTTATCACCAGTATTCTTGTACTTTGCAGTAATTGTTTTGTGGAGCTTTTTGTTTGTTTGTTTGTTTTTTAATCTATGGACCTGATTCTCAAGGATTCTTTCATTCTGGAGACTTATGCCCTTGGGTTCTGGAGAAATCAATCTCTTTTTAAAGAAAATAATTTTTCACCTTCTTTTTTTCACTGTCTGGAAGTACTATTAGTCAAATTTACTGAATTCGTCCTTATTTTTCTTACATTTTCTCCACTATTTTCATCTCTTTGCCATTTGTTTTCTATTTTCGGACAGACTGCCTTGTTGATAAGAGGATAAGTGCAGTCTTTCAGATACATTTTCTTTTATTATTTTGGAAATCAAAACATTTAACACTACTCAACTTTTTGCTACTTTTCCTTTTCTCTGCGAGTTGTTCTCAAAGATTACAGGGAGTACTTTCGATATTGCAGCTACAACTTTCACACACCGAGATGGAATTCATTGACTTGGAGACACACTTATTGCTTTACTAAAATGTAAATGCCTATAATAATAATAGGTACTGTATTTTGAACACTTGCTATGTGCCAACCCTGTTCTAAGTGTTTCACATGGCTTAATGTATTTAATCCTTAAAACAATTCTGTGGGTTGGGTGCTTTTATTATCCCCACCTTCCAGATAAGGAAGCTAAGGTCCAGAGAGGTTAACAGCTGGTAAATTGCAGAAGCAGAATTTGAACGCAGATGGCAAGACTCCAGAGCCTGTGTCCTTAACCACCGTACTATGTTGTCTCTCGGAACTTGTTCATCACCTAAAAATTCATTTTTAGGAGGTACTTTTTAATTAGGATCTGAGTAGAGGGAGTAACTAGCATCCCATGATTATAGCAGTTCTGGGATGTTACTACTTAACCATTTCATGGCCAGTAAAACCAGTTTAATAGGCACAGTCTTGGTCTTTTAAGCCAATAGTTCTCAGACTTTTGGATTGACCAATATTTCAAGTAAAAATAGGGGAAATCTGCATGGAATGTCCATTTTTTTTGTTTTCCAAGTCAGGCCAAACAAAGAAACTTATAAACTTCAAAAGCTAAGATCTGCCACCATTTTCCAAAAGAAGGACATTTTAATAGCCCCCAATAAAATAATTAGGAAAGACACACACTTGACTAAAGGCCAATCAGTTCTTTCCAATAACAGTCCTCCGATTATCTTATACTGACTTTTCTACTGTGACTTTTCTACTTTTCTACTTTTCAACTGATGCTTGGAAGCCATAACTCTATACTTTTTCAGGAAACAATAATAAGCCCTTGAATTTGTGGTATTAGAAAGGATGTTCACCTAGCCATGAAAACCAGACATTGCTGGAAGTTATTATGTTTTGGTAACAGGTTAGGAAATGGAAGCCCAGACAGGGAAAATGACCTGTCTAAAGTCTCATGGCAAGCACCCTGAGGAGTGGAGTCTTTTAACACAGACCCAATAATTTCCCAGCTACAGTTGGGTCTGGAAACTTTCCTTTGAGTCCATATCAGTCAATGGCAGAATGTGCTCTAAAGATAAGGGGCTCCTGGGACATTAGTTATTTTAAATACACTGGAATAAGTCACTTCTGTGCAAAGTAGGGCTCAGCAACTGGCATGACGCACTGAGGTTGGCAGCCATCCCAAGCCTCAGTGTGAAAGGCGAGAATGTCTCCACACCCTATAATCCCAGCAATAGGGTCTCTATCGTTTAAGATTCCTAAACAGTATTACACATAACCCTCTAGGGGCTTAAACTTGACACACAGAAAGGTAAGCAGGGGCAGGTAGGTAATCTCCTCACATGTCCTGTTGCACCTCCCTAGCTGGTAGAGAGCAGTGTCACCTTAATCCCCACCAGGCAGATCTCTTCTTGCTCCTGTTGGGAACCAGGAGACAAGAAGTGAGAAATGACCCCAGGCCTGAAGCCAAATCATTCTCAATTTTTTGAAAGTGAGCTCTGCAATATAGAACAGGAGCTGTGTTCTGAAAACACCAGAGCAATCCCTGCACGATTAGGGCTGTGGTGAGGACCCCTTTGACACGTGATCCAAGGGGTTGATGGAGACTGACTCCTAAGTCTTCTGCAGGTAGGATGCCTATGTTTCCACTGTTTGTACCCAAAACAAGGCAGGGGGATTTGTCTCCCTACACGCTTAGGAGCAGCACTGCCAGAGAAGGGACATGAAAGTCTCCACCTTCTCCCAGAACAACACTAGGAGTGACTCAACTGAGCAGCTCTGAGAATGGGCAGACTGGCTGCTGTGCAGACTCACATCCCGGAACATTCTGCTGCAGGTGTGTGGAGCCTGGGGGAGGGGCAAGGAGCCTGGTTAGAAAGAGAAACAGGGAAGTGACACAGGTTCCCACCATACTTCCCTGATTCTGGGGTCCATCGTTTCATTTGGGCCAGGTGGTGGAGACTACAGGGCTCTGGAGTTAGGAGAAATCTTGGTGATGTCTCATTTGAGACAGAAGGCTTAGCAGTTGAGGGCCTTGCACACCTGGCAGGTAAGTGCCGGAGCTGCTAATGGCAATAGCAATAATTGGGTGCTTACTATATGCTAAGTGTGGAACAAAATGTCTGTGCCCATTAGTTCACTTAATAATTCCAACAATTTAATAATTCCAACAGTTAATAATTCCAACTGCAGTAATTTGCCAAAGCCGTGGGGCTAGCAAAAGGCAGGAGTAGGACTTGAACCCAGCCTGGTCTGCTGCCAGGGCCTGTGCTTGGGGACTCCAGTGAGATGCCAGGTCGGACAACACTGTGGATGGAAATTGGAATACTGCATTTCCCTCTGTTCCAGTGTTCATACTATGTTTTAAAGAAAAACACTCATTAAAAAAAATTTGAGGGTTGTGGTGGTGCGGAAGTCAGGAGGTCTTGTGCCCAGTCTCCTGCCTAACTTGCTATGTGACTTGGGGTAAGCATCTTCCTTCCCCTCTCTGAGCCTCAGTTTTGTCATCTTGGGGCCTTGTGATGAAAGTGCATTGTGTGCTACAAAGCAGGGTTGGTCACAGAGTGAGGACATGTGTTGTGGACATGCTTCTGTGCAGCCCTCAGTGGCAAAAGGGAGAAAGGCCACCAGAGGAGATTCCAGGTGATGGCTCAGGGCCTGGCCTCCCAAGAGGCTGGGCCGCTTCTAGCCCACCAGCTGGGCCGACACAAAACCTCAGCTTTTGTTTGACTTGGCTTCTTGTGCCTTGTTTAGTCTGCAGAGCAGGGAGCTTATCCTCTGCCTTTGTCACAGGCCATTAGTACACACACCATCCCTGGGGGCTTACAGCTGGCTGCTTCTCTAGGAATTCAGGGAGGGCCATGGAAGAAGCTCAGCTCTTAGAAGCCATCGCCCCAACCCCCATCAGAACAGCCTCAGCTGAGAACCGATGGAGCTCTGCACTCCTTGTCTGCACTTTTGGCTGTGTGACCTTGGGCCAGTCTCTCTCCATCTCTGGGCCTAGGTCCACACATCTGTGCATAGACAGAGCAGGCCCAGGTGCCCTCAGAGGGACCTCAACTTCATGAGGATCAGAAGCACCTTCCTGTGTGGTTCCTCCCCTTTGAGGCCTCCCTCGCTTCTCTGCTGCTCCTCCCCCAATCTTGAAGCAATTTGTAGTGTCTGTTGGGTTTTCACTGATCCCAACTCTGCCTAGAGCCTGGGACCAATCCCTCTGTCAGTTCTTCTCTCCTTCAACCTCCTGCTTGTAAATTGGGGCTAATAATACCTGATAACTCACTTTGCTGCTACAGGGATTAACTAATTAGTGGTTATTAAGGGATAGAGGAATGCAGTACTCTGCTCCCATTAAGATGACTTTCCTCCTCCAACTTCCTGCTACTGTGTGCGCAATCTCAGTGTTAGTCAGAAAACCCTGAAAGTCCGGACTTCCAGGACCTCCATGATACAGATAAAGAAACTGAGGCTGAGGAGCAGGAAGGAGTAGCCTGTGACCATGCAGCGTCTTGTAGCAGAGAGGGGACCAGAACTCAGGGCACTGGGCTTCTGTCTAGTCTTCCTCCATCATCCCCAGTGGAAGTGGTCCAGGGTGATCCTTGGGCTAGGAGGGAAGATTTATGGAAAGGCTCTCACACCCAGTGCCTGGCTCACAGGGGATCCACAGTTTGATTTTCGGGGAACAAAATTTGGCATCAGCCAGACCCAGGTGCCAGTCCTGGCATCTTGGCTTACTGGGTGACTTTGTACATGTTACCTGCTTCCTGCTTAACTGTCAGTTTGTTCACCTGTAAGTGAGGATAATGACACCTTCCTCAAAGGTTGCTGTGAGGACTGGCCCCACACAGTATTTGGAAAACAGTAGGCATCATGTTGTTCTGATTATATTGTTGTTCTTGTGGATTGCCGTGCTGGACAGAGCTCTCCCTGCCCAGGAGCAGAGCTTCCCTGAGGGCTCCTGTGGGCTACACCTTGGCTGGGGGCTTCCAGGTGCAGCACCTCACTTCATCCTCACCCCAGTCAGCCCATTTGACAGAGTTGCACATGGAGGCTCAGACAGAGTTACTAGCCCATTTGACAGAGTTGCACATGGAGGCTCAGAAGGGAAAATAACTTGCCTGAAGCCATGCTTTCATTAGCAGTGAGATGGCAGCATTTTCAGTCTTTTTCTTTCTATCTCCTCACTCTCTTTCACCCTTTATTTCCTGTCCATTGCCCTTTCTCTTTACTGTAGAGAAGTTTGAGTGATGCCCAGTTCATTACAAGCCATGCCCCCTCAGGCTTCTCACACCCCTCCCTCATATAGCCCATCTGCACCCACCTCAGGTTTCAGGCATTTGCTGGAAGGTGCGTGGGGGTGCAGGAAGACACTGTGTCTGACCAGGCTCAGTGTGTGTGTGTAGGGGGGACAAGACTATGACATGCACCAGCCTCAGCCCTGGGTATGATCTCTCTGTAATAATATTGATGACAATGTTGGTGTTAGCTTCCATGGCTGAGCACTGAGCCAGCATTCATTGTCTCCTTACTGCAACATGTGGGCTCCATACTACTAGCTCCCTGCTACTGGCTCCATTTTAAACATGAAGAAATGGAGGCTGAGAGAGGTGAAGTGACTTGCCCAAAGTCACATAGTCGGTAAACGGTTACAATTTAAACCCAAGTCTTTTGCCCCTGTGGTCTGTGCCCATAATCAGATTCTGTATACCTCTGAACTCCTCCACCTTCCTTGGGGCCTGGAGTCTTGGGACTGACACAGGTTCAAACCTGGGTTGTTTCTGGTCACATCCATCCTTCAGATTCCTGCAGTTGTCCCCTCAACCCAGAGTGACAGCCATGTATACATAGGCAGTCTAATGGGAATAATAATGCAGAGTTATTGAAGATGGAATACAAGCAGAGCACTCATTAAGGTGCCTGGCACATGGTGAACACACAGTGTATGGCAGTAGTTGTTATTATAGACATGACGTTGGCCTCCTGTGGAAATGTGGGGGTCCATGTGCTCAGGGGAAAGGGAAGTAGAGGAAGTCAGGCTAGCAGGACAGAGCATCCCGTCCCTGGTGACCTGTTAAGGCTGCAGCCAGAAGAAAAATAAAACTTAGGGGCATGGTCGTTGTCTCTGAGGGGCTACCCTGGGGCAGAAGGAACAGATGTGGTCTGTGGGGGCCACAGAGGACAAAGCCAGTGGGGAGGAGTTGCGGGAGGGAGGATGATTTTTAAATACTCAAAGAAGGAAAGGGTCGGCTTGAGTGGTGTTGAATTCCCCAAACTGGAGGTGAGCGAGCAGATGCTGGAAGTGGGCCGGCATCTGTGTCGCAGAAGGCATTTGAATGGCTGCATGGCATGATTACTGAGGTCTCAGACAGGAGTGTTACAAGACGGCTGATTTTGACCCTGACTGAGCAAGTGTTTTCTGGCAGAGCTGTCTAAAGATGCATCTCGCTGCTTCAGGGAATGGTAGTGAGGCTCGTGTCTTGGGGAGTGTTTAGGCAGAAGCTGGATAGTCACTGGACAGGGACGTTGTTGAAGGCATTAGTATATCAGATAGCAGGCTGGATTAGATGACCCCTTAGTGAGAGGTGACACGGCACTGGAGAAAAAGAGGGGGCCTGAGTCTGAAGTCTGATCCAGGCTCTGACATTTGCCTGTTGGGAAATCTTGGGCAAGTCACAACCTCTCTGAGTTCTGATTTCCTCACCTGTAAAATGAAAATCATAATTCCTTCCCTCCTTGCTGTCTAGGATTGTAGCGAAGGGTTGGAGATACGCAAACTGTAAAAAGGCTTTGTGAACTCTGAAGCTGCTGTGAATGACTCGTTTGACTCACTTGACCCTGTTGGGGGACAGGAAGAGTGGCTTTTGGATCTTAATCCAAAAAAACACAATCCCAAACACCATCATCCTGAAAGCTGAATTCTGGAGGTGGGATTAGTGGGGGTTTCGGTTGCACACAGAGCAGTTACATTATGTTAGTTGCATCACGTTAGGCGGAACTATTACCTTGCTGTTGTCTTTATTTGCATCTGGTGGAAAATTCAGATGAGTTGTTTGGCCAAGCAATATTGCAGTTATGAAAACTTCTGTTTAAGAATGTTTCCTTGGCCTGCATTGACATTCCTTCTAGCTGATGACATTCCAGGAGCTTTTAATGAATTAAAGCCACATTTGCCTGAAGAAGCTGGTGACGTTATTGACTAGTTTGAAAACAATTATTTTCGTGGTAGGATAAGGAGACAGCCAATGGTGTTACAATGTGTTACTGTTTGATCGCCATTATCGTTTCCACCAAATTTGTGGTCTGTATATGCACGCTTGTGGAATGCATTTTGGAGTACTCAAAACAACACAGAAGCAGGGCTCAAAAGATTGGAAAATTTAATAGGAAATGCTAATGTCAGTGTGTATTGTATCATAGAAGGATTTCAAAAAGAGCAGTGCCACATAGAAAATGAATGTGAATGTATTTTCCAAGGAGATCTGTGTCCAAAAAAATAATAAGCAGCTATTTATCATGATGCAAGACTTCAAAACATAGTTAATAATCATGAAAATCAGCTAGCTCTTATGGACTATCTCTGTGCAATTGCCCATAATCTATCCCTATAATACACTTTTCAATATGTCAAATTTTCTTTTTAGTTTTTAAATCTTTTGGGGTTTTCCCCCTACTATTTAAAATTGTCAGTATTATTTTTTACAATTCACTACCCTTCATATCTCATCTTTGCATCATTTCCAATACTTGTAGTATAAATTGTATAGAGGCTTTCAGAGTTCTAATTTGTTTTATGCAGCTTTTACAAATTTGACTCCATGAAAGTACAGCATCACAATGTTGGCTTGTGTGTAAGCATTGTACATGTATGTAAAAACATTGAAGCTTCCTCAGTAAAGGAAAATATGTCCTTTTTTGTACATCTGCATTTGTAAAAATAACATTTCTTGAGATCTTGGCCCTTTGGGTGACTGCATATTTGGTGGTGACGCACCATGGTTTTTTATTGATGTCATCAAAAGACTTAGGATGTTCATCATGGTATTTCAGATGACTGCCGTTATAAATCTGGGTGCCTACAACTACTAACTATGGTGGTATGCATTTATACATTTCCATTTGTAACCTATTTCTTTATGAATATAGTACATCTGCTCATAACTGTCATACTTGTATAACTGTTGTTAGTACACTTGAGTATTTATGCTTGCAAAAATATGTATGATATTATTGCCTATTTTATTGTGTAAAGTGGCCTATGTGTTTTTGTGTTTCTCAAATAAATCTTCTTTTAAAGATGTAAATAAATATCTTTTCAAGAATTTTTAAATTATTTTTTCCAGAATTGTGTTTTTGGGATTTTGATCCTTCAGGATTTTTCAATATTTGGGATTATGGTGTTCAAGGTTGTCTCTTCCGGGATTATGATCTGCTCCTGGAAAGGGGTGTGGAGAAAGATGGGTGGAAAGGAAGGAGAGAGAGGAGGAAGGAGGCTGTGTCTGGCCTAGTGCTGGGTGCTGGGTTGGAAAAGAATGGTGTTTGTAGCAGATGGTCTGCCCCTCTTAGTTCTGCAGCCATAGTTTGAGTTTCTAGAAAAGGACTTTCTACAATGATGGAAATGTTCTATGTTTGTGTTGTCCAATCAGTAGCCAGTAGCTACATAGGGTTATTGAGGCCTTTGAGGCTAGTGTGACTGAGGAACTAAATTTTAACTTTTATTTAGTTAGTTTAATTTTTTTTTTTTTTTTTTTTTTTTGTGAGACAGAGTCTCCCTCTGTTGCCCAGGCTGGAGTGCAGTGGCGCAATCTCGACTCACTGCAACCTCCGCCTCCCAGCTTCAAGCAATTCTCCTGCCTCAGCCTCCTGAGTAGCTGGGGCTACAGGCACATGCTACCATGACTAGCTAATTTTTGTATTTTTAGTAAAGATGGGGTTTCACCATATTGGTCAGGCTGGTCTCGAACTCCTGACCTCAGGTGATGCACCCGCCTTGGCCTTCCAAAATGCTGGGATTACAGACGTGAGCCACTGCACCTGGCCCAATTAGTTTAAATTTAAATAGCCACATGTGGCTGGTGGCTACCATACTGGACAACTCAGCTCTAGAAGAAGTGACAGGAGCCTCTCTTCTTTCCACCTTTCCTATCCTCCTTTCTTAGCAGGTGTTGTTGACTTATGCTGTGCTGGACACTGTGGAGGCCACCAAGATGAACAAGATATGGTCCCAGCTCCCGAGAGCCCCCAGCTCATTGTGTGAGAGGGACAGATAAGCATGTGGATAGAAACTACAACCCAAAGGGAGGCGTGCAGCCCTCCAGCTGTGTGGGAGCAGAAGGAGGAAGCTATTCACTCAGTTGGGACTGCGAAGGCTGTACTGTGAAGGATGAGTTAGGAGGCCTGGGTGGGAGAAAGCCTTTTTGAAGAGGGAAGAGCAGAGCCAAAGCTTGAAGGCAAGAAACAGCATAGAGTGTTTGGAGAATTCAGACTGAGGTGAGGCTGGGGAAACCAAATCCCACACTCTGTTCCCATCACCAAGCAATGACTGGTGAGCTGACGGAGCGAAGAGCTTCAAGGTCAGTCCTAGTGAGGGTCCTGTTCACCCAACCTGCCTTGCACCATTCAGGACATGTAAAGGGTATGGCACTGGGGGCCCCTCCCTCCACCTCCAACTCACAGAGTCTTGTCTCCCTGCCTTTCCTGCACAGAAGGCCTCAGGGCCCCAAGATCCTCCTTTGGCAAAATCCCCAAGAGTCTCCCTCTGACAACACACCCTTCTTTTCTTCACCCTTCTGACCGAAAACTTAGTCCTGACTCATGCCTTGGCATTCCTGGGCTGGGGTGTCTGCTGATTTTACTGGTGCTGGGCTGACAGCTGGACTGACTTCCTGCATTCAGCACCACCTCACTTTAGTCCATCCCATGACAGCAGTCCAGAGAACCTTTCTCAAAGTGACTAGGACAAATGTCGACACCTGAAGGTTGATTCTGGACATTGTGTGTGGATGTCTTATGATCACCATTCTCTTGCAGAGACTAGGGGGAGAAAACTTCCTGCCTGAGAACTTGATGTGGCCCAAGTTTAAGGAAAGCTTTGGCCAAGGTAATCATTGGACGTAGTGCAGTGCACATCGTGGGCTACCTGCCAGTGCCGTTTTCCTTTTGTTCCTTCCTAACAGAACCCGAGTGTGATTGAGGTAACCCCATCATACACTTACAGACACAGCCAGCTACCCCTGGGGGTCTCTGACCCCACCCCCAACTTCAGAGGAGTGCTTGATTGGTCTAGGGAAAATCCCATTTCACTTGCCAGTGTCTCTATCTCAACTCACTGATTGAGGAAAGCCATGAGATCTGATTTTGGCCAATGAAACACAGGAAATATCTGCTGAGGACTTTGGGGAAGTTTTCCTTGCCTTATCCCTGGGAGGCAGACATAGTAAGAAACGGTTCCCCTACTTCCTCAGATTGACATCATGTGGAAGATTCCATACAGATGTGATGTTCGAAATTGATGTGTCCTTGTTTCTAGGCAGAGTAAGGAGCTTGGAAGAACCTGAAGACACCATTGAATCCCTGAATCAACCTACCCTGAAGCCCATCCCAACTCCACACTTTCTGTTTTGTGACATAATACATTTCTGTTATTTGAGGCTGGATGCTTCTTTTTTTTTTTTTTTTTTTTTTTTTTGAAACAGAGTTTCACTCTTGTGGTCCAGGCTAGAGTGCAAAGGAGCAATCTTGGCTCAGTGCAATCTCCACCTCCCAGGTTCAAGCGATTCTCCTGCCTCAGCCTCCCAAGTAGCTGAGATTACAGGCACATGCCACCACGCCAGGCTAATTTTTGTGTTTTTAGTAGAGATGAGGTTTTACCATGTTTGCCAGGCTGGTCTTGAACTCCTGACCTCAGGTGATCTGCCCGCCTCGGCCTCCCAAAGTGCTGGGATTACAGGCGTGAGCCACCGTGCCCGGCTGGCTGAATGCCTCTTAACCAATACAGGGAGATGAGGTGCACTGGTTGGGACTCTTACCATTTTAAGTGATAGAAACACAATTCCAACTGGTGTGAGCAAAAAGGGGCACGTATAAGATGGATATCCATGTGGGCGGGAGAATCTGTGCAGATTATGTGCATTTGTAAAAATGTCTTCTAGTAGTCTAGAGTCTACACTGGCTTTGAGAATTATTGTTTAGCTTTGAAAGTGTGTGTGTGTTCCAAATATTACCATTTGGGAGGTGGTGGGGAGAACCAGTGGCATTTTCATTTCATTTTGGTGAAGACACATAGAAGAGGACTGTCTTTTGAGTGCCCAAGCTCACCTCATGTGTTTCTGCTGAGGCCCTGCGTGACTATTCTAGACTTGGTCTTTGAGAAATTCCTGCTAGGTGTATTTTGTATGATGGATTTCCCTGACTTTGAGTTAGTCTCATTCCTGTGAGGACTCACCTGGTGAAGGACTGGCAAAGGGATTTTTCTCACAGAGAAGGAAAAGGAAAGTGGTCTTCAAGACAAGAAACATGAGAAAACCACTCATGGAGGGTTTATATTTCTTTGTTTTTGTCCCTTGGAAGAGTTATATTTGGAATCCGGTTTTATGGCTGCAATTTTCTGATGTTCTCTGATCTTTAGTGGAGGCTGATAGACCTATACAGCCTGGCAGGTGGGTTGTGGGGTGTTGAGCACGGGCCGGGGGCGGGGGCTGGGTTTTTCAACAGCTCCTTCATGGTGAGGCCCTGCAGTGCTGACTATATCACACAGCCGATGACCAGGGCAAAGCAAATGGAAGCCCAACGTGGAGCTGGGAGTGGTGGGCAATTGGGACCCTTTGAAATCCATTCCTCAGCCTTGAATAGGCCTCCAAATATCTCCCGTTTGGGCCTCAATGCCAGGTTAGGGTGGAACTCGATGAGAGTGGCCCAAGATCTAAGAACATATACTCCCCACTCAGTGACTCCCCTGCCCTCTTGGGTCCTTCCTAAGCTACCCCCTGGGGATGGGGCCCCACTTCCCCTGTGAGGTCAGAGCTGGGGCCCGAGGTGCCTGCAGACTGGGGTGTCTGTCCTCTGCAAGGAGTAGCGATGCCTATTACCTCCTCCTGTGTGTTGGGAGGCTTAGGGACTTAGTGCAGCTGTTGAGAAATAAAGCTATTTAAGTGGTGAGCTTTATATTTTGATCCACAAGCCTGTCTGTTTCCAAAATTCCCTTGTAGACACCATCAAGCAAAGCCTGGCAGGTTTTGTTGTTGCTTTTTTCTTTCCTCCAAAAGCCTGCTAAAATTGCTTGGTTAGCTATGATAGGAGAAGCCATTTTCTTCTGTGTTGTTGGGTTCTGTTCTCCTCTCTCCACTGAAGCCACCAGCTTGGAAACTTCTGAGTGCAACGGGAAGGGACTGCTTCTTAATTTCCCTGCCTTAGCCTGGCATTTGGGGCTCTTTTTCAAGAACAGATCCTAATTGGCCTTCGCAGACTTAGCTCCAGCTACTCCTCAGAGTATACTCTTTTTTAAAAAAAATGAAACAATGGCAACTCTACTTTTAAAATCCAGGGACCCACAATTACCTCCTTTTTTCCCTCTCTATTTTATTCCCTCTGCCTAAAATGCCCTTTGTTCCCTTCCACATCCCAACTTTACCTCTACATGCCCAAAGTCTACCTAGTTTTAAAGCTCAGGGCAAATGCCACCTATAGCACAAAACCTTGCCACAGCCTTGGTTAGAAGTCACCAGAGGAACCGATAAGAGATCATAATCCCCGCCTCACAGTGTTGCTGAACAGAGTAGACACAGCAGGAAAAGTGCCTGGCACATGGTGGTAGTTTACTAACAGGGAGCTTCTCTCTTTCCCTTCTTTGGAGAGTGGTTTGCCCAAGAACATACTTGGCCATAACCCGTCGGAGCTCCCTCCACATTCTGCCTCTAAGGATCATGGGCCAATATGCCTCAGGCTAGCTGGGGATGCTTGCCTTTCTCTTCCTCTTGTGTGGTTTGAAGTCTCACACATTGGCCATTCTGCCCCTGAGTGCTCACCATTACTTTCCTTTACCACTCCCCTTCCCTGGGCTCTTGATAGAAATAAGGTGGCTGCTCCACCAGCTTTTCAAGTTCTGAGTGATCTCATCCAGCTTGGGAAGGGGATGAAGGTCTGAGAAGGTTTCTTGGAGGACTTTGATGGTGAAGCTGTATCAACTGGAGTGACTATTATTAAGCAAAGACAAGGAAAGCTTGAGGTCTGTCTGGGAAGGGGCAGGGCACTGAATGTGGCTGGGGTATTGAGTATGTGATGGAAATGGTGAGAGATGAGGCTGGGAGGTTAGGGTGGTGCCAGATCATGAGGGAACTGGAGATCTGACTTTGCCCTGAAACAAAGGGAGCCACTGAAGGTCTTGGTGCAAGGGAATGATGGTGTCCAAGGTGTGTTTTGGAAGAGTGCTCTGAGGTAGCTTGGAGGATGGGTTCGGGGAGGTGAGACTCGATGCAGGAGATCCAGGCAATAGTCGAAAGGCAGGGAAGAAGGGTCTAGAAAATACAGATTTTAGAAGGCTGGATGGATAGGGGCCTCCACCCCAAGAGCCTGGACTCCCCTTTGGACATCTCAGCTTCCCAGACTCACACAGGTGGGAAACAGGAAGGTGGGCTCTCTCTGTCCCTCTCTATTCTGGCCCCACCTTGGCCCCCAGTTACCTCCTTGGTAGCTCCATTACTGGTATCGTTAACCTCTTCTGTGCTGAACTCAACTTTCCCACTTCAAACTAATTTCATCTGAACTACTGCAATAGCCTCCTAACTGATCTCTCTGCCTCCCTTCTTACCCCAACCCTCTCATACCCACCCAGCAGCCAGGCGGGTCCTGTGAAAGTAGAAGTTAAATCATGCCGCCTCTTTGATCAAAATTCCCCAGTGTCGCTTCATCTTACCCCGAGGAAAAGCCAAGTCCTCACTGTGCCCTCTAGGCTCCACCTACCTGACCTCTGACCTCACTGCCCTCCCTGACCAATACCTCTCTGAGGTCACCCACTCCTGCTCCCTCACCCCAACCCCACACAGAGCCTCCATCCTTCTGCCTCAAGGTCTCGCACCTGATGTTCCTTCTGCCTGAAACACTCTTCCCTGTGGGTGCCTTTGGCTCCTTCCTCCCCACTTTCACGTCCTGTGCAGATGGCACCTTCTCTGAGAAGCCCTCATCGTGCATCCTATCAGTCATAGCTGCCTGGCCCTCCTCGCCTTTGGGAGCCTTCCTTCCTTTATTCTTTCCCTACACCTGTCACCTTCTGCTATAATGTGTGACTGTCTCATTTGTTATGTTTGTTTTCTGTCTCTCCACTAGAAAGTAACAGAATTATGTCTGTTTTCTGAGGTCTCCCCCAGTGTCCAGAACAGTGCCCAGAGCATAGTAGGCATTCAGTAAACATCTGTAGAATGAACGAATGATGAATGAATGAATGATTCCTGACTGCCCTCAAGTCCGAGCACCACTGAAAGCTCTCCCAAGTGCTTCACTGTCCTGGTCCCTGCCCAGTCCCTCCTTGTCCTATCCGCAGCTCTGCACTGACCTCAGCTCGTCTGGTCACTGTCAGCTCCCCTAGATCCTGCCCCTCCTCGTTCCTCAGCTGCCGACTGAACAGTCAGAGCGGGGATGAGGAAGCCATGAAGATGTAAAAGGAAGGGTATGCAAACCCTATGAGATCTGCTCTCAAGGACACCCGGGAGAGAGTCCAAACTCCTTGACATGTGTCACAGGGCTCCTGCCTCCCTCTGCTGCCAATCCATGTACCACTCCTCCCTGCAGCCTGTGCTATTGGTGTCTTTCTGTTTCTCGAATGGCGCATCTGTCCTGTTGTGTTCCTTGAGCCCTTTGGACTCCAGACTCCATGCTGTTCCCTCCTCCCTGAATTCTTGTCTGGCCAACTCCTAGCCAGCCTTCAGATTTTATCTAAATATCACTGTCTCTGGAAGACCTTGCTCAATTCCTAGATAAAGTTCACACTCCCATGGGGCCCTGTCTCTGCCCTTGTGTGAGAGTCATTATGCCTATAATTATTCTTCATTGCTTGTTCTCCCCACTGAGCTGTGAGTCCAGGAGGGAAGGCTTCAAGCCTGCTTACCTCTATATGCTCAGAGCCTGACACAATGCTTGTCAGAGAGAAAGGGTTCAAGAAGTCATTGCTGAATTAAAGAGTGAAGAGGATTTACCAGGGGCCATCCAAAAAGAAAGGAGAGGGAAAGGGAGAGGGAAAGGGAGAGAAAGAGGGAGAGGGAGAGAGAGAGGGGGAGGTAGACGGAGAGGTGGGGGGAGAGAGAGAGGAGAGTGAGAGCGAGGGAGAGAGAGAGAGTAAGAAAGAAATAAGGAAGAAAGTCCAGAAAGAACATAGGCTCTGGAATCCAAATGTCCTGGTTCCAATCCCAGCTCTGTCACTTACAAGCAGTGTGACCATGGGTAAGTCACCTCCCCTCTCTGAGCCTCAATTTCTCATCTCTAAAATATAGATAATAATAGAGCTGTACCAGGAGTGTTGGAAGAATGACATGCAACACTGGTCAGATGCTTGGTACCTGGGAAGATACTGAATAAATGGTGTCTATGTTACTGATGACACTATGAAACACTAGCAATCGTCTCTCCCTATTCAGCTTTGACTCCAAAGTATGTCCAGGCCAATTGTCTTATTTTCTTCTTAGAGTAGCTCTTTGAGAAAGAAGGGTAAGGATGGAAACTGAGGGTAGAGAGATTAAGCAACTTGACCAAGGTCACCTAGCATTGTTGGGCTATGCTGATTCTGGACCAGGCAGCAGGAATCTGGAATTCATCTTCCAGGGCGCTGCCATGCTCTGCTTTGCATTTTGGCTATGTGAGCCCAACTCTTACTAGATTCTGAAGAGCAAACATAGTGCCTGATTCACTACAGAATCCCCAGTTCCCAGTGCAGTCTGACAGAGGGCAAGTCCATGGGGAATGTTTGTCAAGTTGAGTAAGTAAGTACAAAGTACAGGGGTTTATTCACAACTCTCAGCTCATGTCACTCCCTCTGGCTGCTCAGATCAGAGTAGGACCCCATGACTATTTCCCACTGGCCCCTTTCGATAGAGCCAGCGGCAGGCTCCAGAGAGGCAGAGGGTGCCCTATGAGGAAGCAGCCATGGGTGTCATTGGAGCATGTCCCTGGCTCCACTGAGAGACAAGTCAAGTGTGCCCTGGAGCCCTGGCCCCTCTTAGCAGCTCCAGCCATCTCTGCTTCCCAGCCCCTGCTTGGGTGTCCACCCACCTGTGACAGCTGGGTCAGGAACAGTGCTGGGGAGGGCACTGTGTGAATCCAAGCACCCTGGGGTTCTTATGCTTGGCTCCAGCCAGGGGATCTGGGGCTCGAATGCCATCTCTGAGCCTCTCAGGCAGCAGCTAGGCAGCCAGGCCTAGACTCCTGGGAAACATTCCAGCTTCGGCTCCCCCAGGCATGCAGAACGCTGGGCTTGGAAACTCTTCTCCTAGTCACTCTCTAGGGGAATTTAATTTACCAGGACTCTGAGGACTGGAAGTATTTCTTATTTTGTCAGTTCCAAGTACTCCCTGCCTTACATCTATTCCTTTTGAATCTAAGGCACATGGCAGAACGAGAAAAGCTCGATGCAAAGAGTGAGAGAACTCATATTTTTGTCCCAACACAGTTCCCATTGTGCTGTGCCCCTGGCAAGGTGCTTCTCCTCTCCTGAGGCTGAGAGAAATATTACTCAGAGGCTAGCTCGATGATACCACCTTTTTTTTTTTCCTATTCCAAGATAAACAGACAGCTCATTAGAATGTAAAGACCACCGGATTCTGAATTGGGGGACTTCTGTGACCCTTGACAGTTGCCTAACCTCACAGACTCAGTTTCCCCATCCATAAAAATGGCGATAACATATATTTTCCTAACTACCTCTCAGGCTTTTGGGGGCTCTGGAAATTTTATGAATGTCCAAGTGCCTAGTAAGAGTGCTTACTAAGAGTATGAGGAGGTGACAATGATCCAAACCTCAACTATCTAGACTGAAAATCAAGTCAACTAATATTTCTTAAGCACCTGACATATTGACAGCACATCACTGAATGCCAAGGCATGCAAATATATGTCCAAGGAGTCAGAACTTTAGGTTGCTGCACATTTTGCTTTCTACAAATCTCAACTATAATGATTCTTAGATATCATTGCTATAACAACCTAGGAGACCTCAAGCTGGAATACATTTCCAGAGGGCTCAGATAAGTCAAGGAATGTGTCGGGAGAATGTGAAACAAGGAAGAGGGCAGAGATCAGCCATCCCTGAGGTCATACTGTGTGCCAGGTGCTATGTGCATGTGATCTCCTTCAACTTCCAAAGCAACTCCCAAATGACAGGCAGTAGCAGCCCATTCCACAGATGAGGAAACTGAGGCTCAGCAAGGTGATACAAGGGGGATGGGTTCAGACCTTGTAGTCTGATCCCCAGGTCTGACGCCTTGGTGGATTCATTGACTCATTCATCCCTCCTTTCCTTTATTACGCACATATTTGTCACACTCACATCTGAGTGGAGGGATTTGGTTTCTCTGCCTGAGCCTCATTTTTTGCTTCCTTCTCACTGGGCTCTTCCAGCTGACTCGGTTTTCCCCTCTCACAAGGAGACACGTCAAAGGAGATCAAACTGGGCGTAGACTCGGTGAGACTGGCTGACATCAGGAAGTGAGAGTGGATGCTTGTTTCCTGGAGCCTGGCAAGGAAAAGGGGTGGTCAAGGGCAGACTTCCACCCCACCTTCAATAATATCACTTTACACTTCTCAAGATCCTGCCACCTTAATTAGGAAATTTATAAGGCTGAGTGATGTTTCTATTTAGAAGTGGGAAGATTTTTGTGGTGAGGAGAGCTCATGGGTATTGGTGTGGCAGAGTTCTTGCCCATAAAGGGGCAGGGTATATAATGGGAAATGTACCAGACCTGGAGCCAGGAGACCTGGGTTAGTCCTAGTTTAAAAACTTACTGACCGTGTGACGTTGGAGAAGTCACTTTGTCTCTCTGAACCTCAGTGATTGTATCTGTAGAGGCAGTAACGTGTGGCATTATACAATTCCACATATAAAGACTCAGGTTATTTGGCATAGAGAAAATGCTCCATAAATGTTACCTGTTATCTGTAACAGGGCATGAAAGTTCCAAATGGCTGACATCACGTGAAGAAACCTCTCTGTAAAAGGCATAGTCCTCTTGCTTATAAATGGCAACAAGAGATAATTATAATTTTTATTGTCTAAGCCTCAACTCTACCTTGAGATCAAAAGACTAAAATAATATCTGGATTGGCAGCAACTTTTGTATAGAGAATCACCCATTCATATTCCATTCATGCTGTAAGGACCTATAGAGATCGTATAGCCCCAGGTTATAAATTCCAATGGGAGTGATGATGATAATATCAATGAACGTTCATTGAGCACTTACCTATGCCAGGCACTGAACTAGGTATCATAAATACATTTTCTCATTTGATTGCCATATCATCCCTGCGAAGTGGGCATTAATATGATTCTTATTTTTAGATGAGGACACTGAGGCACGAGAAAATAAGCATTTTGCTTTATCACTTTCAACAGGAAACAGAATGCACCCAGATGGTTCAAATAGAGACTTCAATGAAAGGATCACTTACAGAGGAATAATAAAGTTAAGAGAGGAAACAAGAGATGACCCAGAGGCTAGCCCAGTGGGAAGAAGCAAAGGGAGGCATGGAGTTGCCAGCACCCAGTGAGGATGGGGACTGTTAGGGAGGGTTGCCCAGCAGAAGCCACGGTTTGGGGACCTGCAGCTCCTTCCAGAAAGTAGGTACTTAGGTGTGGAGGAGTGCAGTGGGAGTAGAGAGTGGTCCCTTTCTCCTCTCACCCTCTGATCTCTTGCCAATGCCTTCTGCAGCCAAGCCCACCTGGAAGCTAGCCAGCAAGGGAGCCTGGGAGATGCAGTCTACAGGTTCAGTCTCAGGACACAGAGCAGGACAGAAAAGGGTGGAGGTAAGATTGGGGGCTAGGAAGTGGTGCAAATGAAAAACAATCAGCATATTTGCCTGGAGACACTCGGCTAATAAGATGCAAACGTGGTCTAAGTTCTTACCAGGACTTGGCAGGTCACATAAGAACGACAGGAGGGGATCGTAGTGCATGTGCCTCAATCCCTCGTGCCCCATCCAAAGAGAGCTACTGCTATTCACTTCTCACCAATTATTGCCATCTGGGAAGATAGACCCTGTGTCACCAAATCTTCGCATTCTTCAAGAGAATCTGAAAATCTGGATTTCAAAGTAATGCCTCTCATTCTTGAATGTTGGCAATAGTTCCAGCCAAAAAATCATACTGGTAAATAGGTACATACTGGTAAATGGGTATTGACTGTGGTACATCAATACAATGGAATATTATTCAGCAAAAAAAGAAGTAAACTATCAAGCTGCAAAAACACATGGGGGAATCTTAAATGAATATTGCTAAGTGAAAGAAGCCAATCTGAAAAGGCTACATACTGTATGATTGCATATCATTTTTGACACTCTGGAAATGGCAAAACTATAGAGACAGTAAAAAAGATCAGTGGTTACTAGGGGTTTGGGAGGAAGTGGGAGGTATGAATAGGTGAAGCACAGCAGATTTTTAGGGCAGTGAAATTATTCGGCATGCTACTGTAATAGTGAATACATGACCTCATGCATCTATCATAACCTGTAGATCTGTACAGCACAAATAATGAACCCTAATATGAATTATGGGCTTTAGTTAATAATAATGTATTGATGTTGGTTCATCAGTTATAACACTTGCACCATATTAATGCAAGATGTTAATAACAAAGGAAACTGTTAAGGTGGGAGTGGGGAGAGTAACTATGTGGAACCTCTCAGTACTTTCTGCCCATTTGTTTTGTAAGCCTAAAGCTGCTCTAAAATAGAAAGTGTTTTAATTTTTTTAAAAACATACTGAAAATGCTCTGTGGGCCGAATGGAACACGTGCCTGCTGGATCTGGCTACCGCTTTGTGACGTATGATCTAATCCAACTCCCTCATTTTACAGATAGGGAAGCTGGGGACCAGAAAAGGAATGGACCTTGCCAGTCTTCAGCACAGAGTGAGAGCAAAGCTTCCCATCCCAGGGTGTGGGGGTCTTCCAAATGAAGGGGAAGGCCCCCAGGAAGGCTACTGCTTGAGGCAGCTGAGGGAAAAGGCCAGTTGTGAGCTTTGGCTCTGGCCAGGCTGGTCAGGCTGAAATGCTCCAGTGAGTAGTGAAAGCCTCCAAGAGCCCAGATGCTCTTAATGTCTGTGTTTATTTAGTCAGAGACCAGCCTCCCTCCCAGCTTGGATCAGACTCACTGAGTTGGATGCAGAAAGGAGTGGACATTTGTGTCCCTTGTATGTGCCTTAGAGCAGGACAAGACTCAAAGGGCAGAAACTGCCATGTGCAAGGCCCAAACCTGGAGCTCAGTGACAGTGATGTAATGATATTGGGCATTTGAGGGGTACTAGGCAATTCTTCTGAGCCCTTTTATATCTCCTATAATTAATCCCCACCATCAGGGCTATGAATCAGGTAGAGCAGAGTTTATTATCCTCATTTTACAGGTAAGTAAACTGAAATAAAAGAGAAGTTAGGTGTGTGCCTTATATGTATCTACACAGCCAGTGAGTAGCAAAGCTGGGGTGTGAGTCCAAGCCTTGTTTTAAATATTAAAAATTATATGTAGTTAAAGACAAAACAAGCCATTTATAAACACTGTGGTGTAGTTGGTAGATGTATTTCTCATAGGAGTACAGGTTAGCATTCTGAAGCTACTTTATATGTATGTAAGGGTTCAACAAATAAGTAAATAAATGATAGATAATGGGAGCCAGATTTCTCATTGTCAAAGAAAAAAGTCACAATTGATAACAGGGGAAAGACTAATATGAACCCTACAGGGCTAGTGTCAGTATGAATTCATGTTTATTTTAATATATATACAAGATCAACAAATAAATAAATAAATAAATGATAGATAATGGGAGTCAGGTTTCTCATTGTCAAAGAAAAAGTCACAATTGATAACAGGGGAAAGACTAGTATGAACCCTGCAGGGCTGGTGTCAGCATAAATTCATGTTTATTTTAATGTATATACAAATAGATTCAGAAATAAGTATACACATGTATATTCATAGGTTAGTTTATATATATATTTCCTTGCTCTGTCTGCTGAGAAGGCCTAGAAGCAGTGACACCCCAGTAGCAATGGGCACTCTCAGCCCCCAAATCTTGGTTCCTAAATACCATTCTCCAATAAAAGGAACCAGGGCCCCTTGGAGAAATGGGTAGTTCTAGAGCTGAGTCAAGGAAAATAAATACAAGATGGTCCTAAATCCTAAAGGAGTGCCAGCAAGTAAGAAAGTATATTGAAAAAATAAAGATAGGGCATGACAAAAGGACGTAAAAGTCAACCTGAAAGAGCTCCCAGTGGCTAAAGTTGAGCAACAAGGTTAATAAATGTGGTAGTGCATTATAACCTGAAGAATAAAATAAATATCCATGAGTCCATATTGATATAAATAAAAATGGATTGAATAAATAAATAAACGGGGAAGAAGAGATAAATTTTCCTTATAGAAGAATTTCAAATAGTAAATATAGAAGAAACTAAGAAAACAGAAGATCACCATTAGAACACTATAACAGTAATTGCAATATCCACTGACTATGATAAAATTGGTGGACAAAATTTTAAGAAGAAACTGGATATTTATACAGCCTCAGAGGACCTCCTGTTAAATATTTGTTAATCACTGTGAGGTAGGAGGTGGGACTCCACTCGAGGTGGGGCTTGGACACTGGATCAAATTGGACACTACCTAAAACAGGGATGGGGTAGAAGCAGCTTTCCATAAGACATGCCCACCAGCATGCCATGTCAGTTTACCATTGCCGTGGCAACACCCAGGAGTTACTTCCCCTTTCCATAGCAATGACCTGATGACCCAAAAGTTAGCACCCTTTTCCTAGAGATTTCTGCATAAAGTGCTCCTTAATCTATATGTATTTAAAAGTAGGTTATAAATATCACTGCAAAACTGCCCTGAGCTGCTACTCTCAGCACACTGCCTATGGGGTAGCCCTGCTCTGCAGGAGCAGTTACAGAGCTGTAACACCACTGGAGCTGTAACACACTGCCGCTTCAAAAAAGCTGTTTTCTTCTACTCTGTCACCGACTTGCCCTTGAATTCTTTCCTGGGTGAAGCCAAGAACCCTCTTGGGCTAAGCCCCACTTTAGGGCTTACCTATCCTGCGTCAACTGTGATAGTTTTAACATGTCCACAAACCCTGATATTCCTCCCTCCAGGAGGTGGAGCTTAACTCCTTACTTCTTGAACTGTGTGTAGTGTAAGCTGAACTCAGTGATTCTCTTTTCTGAGTAGACTATGGGGAAAGGGAAAAAACAGTACTTTACTGTGGAGATACCTGGAAAACACCACCTTAACCAAGTGATCAAATTTGACATCACCAGTGATAACAGTATTAATATCATACCACTGCTATGATGCAATAAGAATGGAACTTCATCTCTGTGATATTCTTTCCCAAAATTCACTAGCTCTGTCAAGTCATGAGAAAACATCAGGCAAACCCAAATTGAGGTCATTCTGCAAAATGCCTGAGTAGTATTCTTCAAAAATGTCAAGGTCATGAAAAAAGGGAAGACTGGGAAACTGTCACAGATTGCAGGAGAGTAAAGTGACATGACAGCTAAATGTAATGTGGTACCCTGTGTTGAATTTTGGAACAAAAAAGGACATTAGTACAAAAATTAGTGAAATCTGAGTAAAGTCTATAGTTTCATTACTAGTATTGTACCAATGTTAATTTCTTAGTTTTGAAAATTGTTCTGTGGCTATATAAGATGTTAACCTCAGGGAAAGCTGGGTGAAGAATATATGAGAATTCTCTGTTCTATCTTTCACAGCTCTTCTGCAATTTGAAAAGGTTTTTGAAATGAAAACAAAGAAAATAAATTACATTTGCTGCACAGACTGGTTGTTAGCCACTACCAAAGAAATATCAAAGCCAATGAGAATTTGCCCCTGCTTTATAGTTCTAATACATCAAACTGTCTAAAGGAGGCCTTCAGTTCTCAGATCTAGTTGACATCCCTCCATGTTGATCTAACAATCAGGAGGGTGGAGCAGGATATTTATCGCAATGGGCCCATTGCACAGAGGAGGGAGCTGAGGCACAGATCATAGCACCCCATCATCTCATTGTACAGATGGGGAGACTTAGGCCTAGAGAGAGGGAAGATTTGCCCTTGGTTATATAGCAGATAAAGGGGCCAATCCAGGGCTAGAACTCCTGCGTCCCCATCCTTAAAACTATCTTGGCTGCTGTTTCAGGGCAGCTGCAGACAAAGCTTAAATTTGAACTATGCAGGAAGGCAAAGGAGAGTAGTTTTCATCTTGCCCCCACCCCCTTCTCACCTTTGAGTTAAGCAATGAAGCTGAAAAGATCCTTCAACAAACAAATCCCTCCTCATTATAGAATCCACAGGCACATCAGCTCTTAGGAAACCTGAAAGGCAAGCTCCTGAGGAGGGAGGGCTGTTCATACATGCCTGTCCAGGTGCCCTCTTCCCTGCTCACTCTCAAGAAGACAGAATGTCTGTTTCAGGAGCAGCAGTGCGGTGGACATTCAGGTTCCCAGACCACCATGATAGAATAGGCTAGGGGTTGTGGGAGCAGTGAGGTTCCAAGAGCCGGCTTCCAGGAAGGCACACTGGCCAAGGCATAGTCTATACTTCCCTATTCCAAAGTTGGATTCTTTCTGGATGTTAGAAAATGCTCCAAAGTACTCCCGTTGATGGGAAAAGGCATTTGTGGAGTCAGGCCCATGTGGTGATCAGATAAAGAACGTTCCCAGGCCAATGGATGAATCCAGAAAAAGATGAGCCCTTTTTCCTTCAAAAGAAAAGTGCAGCTCCACTGTCCCTTTTAAACTACGAGAAAACTGGATTAGTGGGATATAGTTTTGCTCATGAAATTGGGGCCAGGAATTCTGGGCAAGGTTTGGCTGCGCCAAGAGATGGAATTGCCTTAGAGAAGGAAAATGCAGAGAAAAGATCCCACTTAAGCATCTTATTTGAGGGATATAGAATAGTTTCTCCATTTGCATAAATAAAATATTAAAGCTTTTTGTTCAGGAAACCTATATCTCAGAGGAAAAGAATGCAATAATTCCAGTAATTAACAATTCCCCCAAGAAGTGTGGTTTGCATCATACATGATCTTCTCATTTTGATCCTCTTGGTTCCCAGAAAATGCAATGTTCTTTCTCCAGGGCCCCATGAAGGAGAGATGGCATTGACAAGAAGACTTTGCATACCTATGATGTCAGAGTCCAAAGTTTCAACTCTTGGTTGATCAGCTTTTAAGATTAGAAAACACAACATGGTGTAGGAAAAGATTCTGGGCATTGCTGTACATCATCCTGGGCTTAAATCCTGGTCCTACTTGGTAGCTGCATGGCTGAACTTTGAAGAATTGGTTAGCCTCTCTGACCCTTTGGTTTCTCCTCTTTAACTACGGTAATAACTCCTACTTAATGGTATTGTTGGGATAGCTACCATCAGGTTCCATGGTACAGTGGGTGCTCAGAAGGTATTCTTGCTGAATATCTCTTGAATATCTTCTCTCTAATTTGCTTGTAAGGAGTCCTGTTTTGCAGGAATATGTGTTGATTAAGAATTTCTTTTAATTTTCCTCAGATAAATAAGAACTTCTTTCTGTCTGCTTTCTTTTTACAACTGCTGTATGGAGCTATGGAAAAGTTTCTTTTAATGACAGCTTTTAAGACCTTCAGCAGATTAGCACTTTCGATTCTGATTAAGCTAATCACAGTGCAGTTTACTGCTATTTTGTAGCAATTACCACCATTTTAATTGGCTAATTAATTGGGAAATAAATTGTTTAATGATGATCTGTTTTACCAGAATGTAAGCTTTATGAAGGCATGAACAGTAGGGACAGAATCTGTCATGTTTACTGCCATACTCCTCATACCAGCCATGTGTATGTGTGTGTATACACACATATATATTAAGCACAATATAAGTGTTGCTGTTACTTTTTGGTAGCAAATATTTATCCTTTGAGGGTGCAATCATTTTTGGAAGTAGCCAAAAGATAATCCCAGCCCTGTAAATGATCAAGCTGAGAAAGAGGGTTTTTGGTAAAAATCAAATATTTTATGTATTCATTTCCCCCCCCCCACCTTTTTTGTTGTTGTTGTTGAGACAGAATCTTGCTCTGTTTCCCAGGCTGCAATGCAGCGATGTGATCAGCTCACTGTAACTCAAAACTCCTGGGCTCAAGTGATCCTCCTGCCTCAGCCTCCCAAGTAGCTGGAACTGCAGGCACGCACCACCACGTCCGGTTAATTATTATTATTATTATTATTATTTTGGAGATGGGATCATGCTATGTTGCTCAGGCTATGTAGAACTCCTGACCTCAAGTGATTCTCCTGCCTCAGCCTCCCGAAGTGCTGGGATTATAGGTCTGAGCCACCAGGCCCTGCCTTCCTTCACTTACCAATATTTCTTTAGTCCTAAGTGCTGGGAGCTGGGAAGCCAAGCATGAACCTTGCTCTCAAAGGGCCTCTGGCCAGGCTGAGAAGACAGACAGACATATCAACAACTGCAGGAAAGGCCAGACAGAGCCTTGGAGCTGGAGGCAGGGGGCAGGACACTTGGATTCTAGTTCCAGCTGTGCTTTGAACTTGCTTTGTGGCCTTGAATAAGTCCTTCTCCTCTCTAGGCCTGTGTGTTGGGGGAATTAGACTGATGTGAAACATCTAGCTTTGTGGTCCTGGGATCTTGAGATTACTTTCAATAAGACAGTGCTCCTTCCAGCAGTTTCCATCTCTTGAATCCTGTGCGGCCTCTACAGGAAGGTGTGTGAATTCTGTCTGCTGAGAGCTTTCCAAAATGCCAGCCCTGCCAGCCTGCCTGGAGTGAAAAGGCCGTTCTTGGCCATGGTGCCTCCCCTCCTTGGCTGTGCAACCTGAGAACACCTGCTACTCTCTGGGTCTCAGAACCTCACATGTACAACAAAGAGGCTCTGCACAGAGGTCTCCAGGCTTCCTTCACGGCCTCCATCCTGTGCTCTCAGGTTGTCAGGACAAGAGCTGATATTTTTCAGGGCAGCACTTCACAAACTGTGTTCAGTGAAACATTTGTATTCTGTGGGACAGGAATAGGATTCAGCAAACAAAAAGTAGTGGTGGGAAGGGAGTTGTTCCAGCCTCAAATAAGTGTGGAAGATGCTTACTTTTTTTTTTTTTAATGGAGTCTCGCTCTGTCACCCAGGCTGGAGTGCGGTGGAGTGATCTCCGCTCACTGCAACCTCTGTCTCCCAGGTTTGAGCAATTCTCCTGCCTCAGCCTCCCAGGCAGCTGGGATTGCAGGTACCCGCCACCACACACAGCTATTTTTTGTATTTGTAGTAGAGATGGGGTTTCACCATATTGGTCAAGCTGGTCTCAAACTCCTGACCTTGTGATCCACCTGCCTTGGTCTTCCAAAGTGCTGGGATTACAGGCGTGAGCCACCGCACCTGGCCAATGCTTAGTTAAATTTAGACAAGAATCCTCAGGATGTTCAGCATGCTAATGACATTTTGAATTTCCTCGAGGAACAATGCAGTAGACAGAAAGGTAGACTTGCAAAGTGGCAAAATGCACAAGATGAGTTTGGAATCCTGGTTGCACTACTGCCTAGCTGTGCAACCACAGGGAAGTTCATTAGCCTCTGTGAGCTGCAGTTTCCTCACAGTTCAGAGGAAAATATGGACCCTGCCTTTTAGGGATATTATCAGGATGAAAGACAACATTGCATGTAAGATGCTATGGGCATTGTTATTATGTATTGCCCATGGGGTTTTTTGTGGGAGGAATAGCTATAAGCATCTCTCAGGATTGTAGTATTCCACAAACACAGTTTGGGAAGGGCTGAGCCATCTGTGTGTTCCAAACACTGCTGTTTTTTTACTCTGACGTTGCAAGACTTCAGTGAACATCTGTTCTGCCTCTTCATCCAGTTGAATTGATTGTGAAGTCCCAGGGTGCAATGGGGACACAGTTTAGGCACCAAGTACAGGGTTCTTAAAACTCAGGTGAGCCCAGGCCCTTAAAGCTTAGGTGGATAAGCAGGTGTGGCTCAACAGGGGTATCTGAGAAGGAGTTTAAAGGATGAGCCTGGAGAGATGGCCTTGGGAAGGTCATTATGCCAGGAGGAGGAATTTGGGCTTTACCCTGGGGCAACAGGGATTGTGCTGCATGTGCCTGGAGGCCCTGCCTTCTGCTCCACTTTGTCACACATCCTCTGACCTGGGCATCCAGGGCTGGTCCAAGTGGGTGGCAGGTAGACCAGGAGGCATTAGTGAGATGCTGGCTTCCCTCTCAGCATGGAGCCTGGGACATGTCACTCACCCCTCTTTGTCTTAGCCTCCACATCCATAAAATGAGAGGCATCACGACTCCTGGGCAGCCTGACCCACAGGGCTGTTGTGAAGGTTCAGGGAGATAAAGTATTTCAACGAGCACATTAAGTTGAGATCCTAGTATGTGCCACGCCTTGTATTTAGGCCTGGGGGAGACTGAGATGAACAACACATGATCCCTGCCCTTGAAGGCTCACAAGCTGCTGAGTTTGGTACACTGAAGTAAGTGCTAAGATAAAGATAAGCCCATGAAAGGGACCTTCACCCAATGTAGGGAGTGGAAAGGCTGATGAGGGGAAGGAGACATTTAGGAATCTTCCCGGGAGGAGGTGATGTCTCTGCTGAGTTCTGAGATACACCTGGTAGTTAGTGGATGAAGAAGGAAGAAATAAGTTTCCAGGCAGAGGAAACAGCATGAGGAAAGTCAAAGAAAAATGAAATGTCACAGTCCATCTGTGCAAATGAGTAGCAAGCAGTATTATTAGGACTTTAAATTTGAGGTATGGAAGAAGATGTAATGGACACCATTGGTGGCGACATTGTTTGCATTTAGACAGACAACACATTCAAAAGCTAAGGAAGTGAAGCTCTAACTGGACAACTCCAGTAATTAGCTTGTATAAAGCTTTTTTGTTTTCCCTGAAATTGCACCATGGTCTCTTTGCTATCTGTGATAGGTTACCTCGGTGGTGTTGGGCAGACTGCAGGCCTTGAATGCCAGGCTGAAGGGTTTGCTCTATAGCTTGCAGACTAATGGAAGAATTAGCCATAAAAGCCAGGGGATTTAGAATGGAATCCTTGGCATTCTCTGCATGTGTGGGGCTGGCTAGGCAAGGAGGTTCCCAGAAGAAAAACAGAGCAACCTTTGCCCTCCTTCTGTACTTAGGTGAAAAGCAGAATTAGAATGGGGCTGACTGAGTGATGTGGTTATTGTGCCTTCCTTTTGGGCTTCAGTATCCAATCTGCCCTAGTGCAGGGGGCTTAAGGCATGCCACTCGGGAGGCCAGATGATAAGCCCCAGCCACGGCCTAGGCTTTGGGGAGCTACTGCACACAAACAAGCCTGTGCCAGGGAATTAGTACTGTTGTTATTAAGAGAAAGAGGCTTGGCTGTAGCTCTCCAGCTGAGAACATGCACTGTCCAGGCTGCCACCACTGCAGGGAGAGTCTCTCATCCTGCTCCTCCAGGACACCCCCCATCACTGCCTTGGCCTCTGTGCTTGACAGATGAAACCTCCCATTGGGAGGCCCCTAAGGTGAACAGAGGCAAGGGCTGGGAGACAGGAGGTTAGGGACTCTGCCCCTAACCTACTGTGTAACCTTGGGTGAGTCCATTCACTTCTCTGAGCCTTTCTAGAAAGACTTTCTCACATTTCCGGAATGAAGAAAGTCCAACCCTGTGTAGGGCCAAGGGCAGATAATGAGCATTAGATAAGATAATGTGTGTGGAAGGGCTTTGCAGTGGAAGAGGTATTATTATCTTTATTAAAAGAGGCAGCAGGGGAGAGTAGAACAATGATTGGAAATGTGAATTAAATGTGCTGCCTTGTTATTTGGTAATCTTAAGAAATTTTACAAAGTTTTAAGGCACAACAATGGTATTTTAGTTACGTTTTTAAAATTGGCTTTGTCTTGTAAAGGCACATACTGAAGTATTTATGGACAAAACTATATGATGTCTGAGATATGCTTCAAAATAAGGAAAGGGTGAAATGGATGTGGATTAGGATGAAATAAGACTGGCCAAGAGCTGATCAATGAAGCTGGGTGACAGGTGAGTGAGGGTTGGTTACACTATTCTGTCTAATCTTCTATATGCTTAATTTTCCCATAATAAAAAGTTAAATCGGCTGGGTGCGGTGGCTCACACCTGTAATCCCAGCATTTTGGGAGGCCGAGGTGGGTGGATCACCTGAGTCAGATGTTTGAGACCAGCCTGACCAATATGGTGAAACCCCATCTCTACTAAAAATACAAAAATTAGCCGGGTGTGGTGGTTCATGCTTGTTGTCCCAGCTACTCCAGAGGCTGAGACAGGAGAATTGCCTGAACCTGGGAGGCAGAGGCTGCAGTGAGCAGAGATTATGCCACTGCACTCCAGCCTGGGGGACAGAGCCAGACAAAAAAAAAAAAGTTAAATCAAAGAGCATGTCACTTAGTCAGACTGACCTGCCTTCACCACCTAATATTTATGTGACCCAGGGAAGGTCACTCCCTGACTTTCATCTCTCTAAACCTCTTTACTCATCTGTTAAACAGGGTTACTAAAATAGCACCTGCTTCGTAGGGCTCTCATAAAGACCATATATGTAGAATGCTCAGCCTATGCCTGGCACATGGCAGGTGTATGGTAAATCATGATTCCCACTCCCTCTTAGAGATCATCATCCATCATTATATGTCACCCGATAGCCCTGCTGGATGTAGCTTGACATCCTGGGCCATGGTCTGTCTCCTAAGGTGGAAGAGGAGGTCCATTGTGACCCTAGGCTTTCTCCACTGGTTGGGGCACAGTTGGTATGCGGGAGCTCTGCGGTGGTGAGGAAGGGAGTTAATGTGGTGCCCCTATCTGTCCTCCTTCCCATCTGGAAGAAATGGGAGTGAGTGAGTAGAACACGCTTGGATTGGGCATTTTCTCTATGCTGACCACTGAGCTTTACAACCACCTTGTGAGGTTAGGGCTTTCACTCAGAGAGGTTAAGAAACTTGCAAGTGTTTGCACATCTAGTGGGTGAAGAGGAAAGAGGGAGGAAGAAATAAACAGAGCAGGTAGGGATGGAGGGAGGTGGAAAACGAGTACCTCCAGAGGAATGGAGGGGAGGTTGGAAGGGGATGAGAGAAGAGGAACAGGATGAATTAGGGAGAAGGGCGCAAAGGGGCAGGAGTAGGAAGAAAGTGGGAGAAGCAGAAGCATTCAGTCCCCCCTTCTCCTTCTCCTCCAGTGCCTCAGTTGAGAAAGTGTCTCCAACCCCTTCAACCACTGATTGGGAAGGGTGGGATACAGGAAGGACAAATCCACTTCCCTGGAGGTCTCTCTTTTCCCAGCAACTAGAGACCAGTCAGCACTGTGGGTCGGACAGCACCCTGGCCACACCTTTAGCTGGCAGGGGCGTTGCCCTCTCTCCTTGGATCTTATTGGACAGTGCTGGGTCTGCTCCCTAACCCCCTTCCTCAACTCCTCTCCTTTAGGCCACTGTTCTCAGATAGCTTGGGACCTGACCTAAAGGACCAGATGGAGCATGGGGTGTCTCTCCTGGGCAGGGCCTGACACATGGCAGGATATCTTTCACCTACCAGCCCTGGGCAGATAACCAAGGCTTCCTAAAACATGGGAGAAAAGACCCTGCCTGCAAAGGCTCAGTGTGCTTGGAGAGATAAGACAGATGTGTATGAAATTCCTGTAGAAAAACAGGAGGCATTTGGATTTCACTCCCAGGCAGCACGCCTGGGAGACCTGTTCTTGGAGCCTCAGGGAACCCCAGCCCTGCCACTCACCAGCTGTGTGACCTTGGGACAATCTCCAGAATATGAGCCTCAGTTCTCGCATCTGTAAAACGCAGATTACACTGTCTGCCCTGACTGGCTGTTTGAACATATGTAGGATGGCAGATGTGAAAGCACTTTGTGAACCCTGGTGTACTCTGTCCGTGTGAGGGCTTATTCCTGGGTGCCAGTCTGGGTGGTCAGGATGCTGAACTGTGTTTCTTTATTGGGCTGTAGTGTTTATGAAGGGATAACATGAGAACCCTCCACGTGAGGATAGCCCTAGATCTTGTCTGAGTCACTGTTGAGCATTTTATCTCCTGCCTTGTTCAGTGTCCACTGTGTGAAGACATACTTGCTCAGTTATTCCTAGAATACAACATAAAGGAAAGATGTGTGTTTCTTGAAAAGCAAAACTGATTCCTTTTTATCAGAAAGTGAAAATTATATCATCCGCCCTGATTTTCGTTTTGCCTCAGCTGTCTGGAGGCTCAAGGTAAAACTTAAGTGCAATAATAACAATATAGGTGCTTATTATATAACTTGCTTATTGTATAATTTTCTTTCTCTCATTTTTACCTGATTTTATTTTTTCTACTGATGTTTCAGAGTCAGTTGATGCCAAGCTGATCCAAAGGCAAGAATCATGTTAACAAGCCTGTATTAGTCCGTTTTCACACTGCTAGTAACGATACTACCTGAGACTGGGTAATTTATAAACAAAAGAGGTTTAATTGACTCACAGTTCCACATGGCTAGGGAGGCCTCAAGAAACTTACAATCATGGCAGAAGTCAAAGGGGAAGCAAGGACCTTCTTCATATGGCAGCAGGAGAGAGAGACAGTGCAGAGGAAAGTGCCAGACACTTATCAAACAACCAGATCACGTGAGAACTCACTCACTGTCACGAGAATAGTAAGGGGGAAATCCGCCGCCACAATCCAGTCGTCTCCCATCAGATCCCGCCTTTGACATGTGGGGATTACAATTGGAGATGAGATTTGGGTGAGGACACAGAGCCAAACCATATCAAAGCCCCAAACAGACCATTCCAGCCATCAAGAGCAACTATGACAAACGGGGAGGTAAAGTACACTTTACCACTGGTATTAGTTTCCTGTGGATGCTGTAAAAAACTTTACCACAAACTTGGTGGCTTGAAACTACAGAAATGTATTCTCTCTTTTCTGGAGGACGGAAGTCCCAAATCAAGGTGCCAGCAGGGCTGTACTTCCTCCGGAGGCTCCAGCAGGAGAATCCATTCCTTGCCTCTTCCAGATTCTGGTTGCTGCCAGTATTCCGTTGCTTGCGGCTGCATCACTCCAATCTCTGCCTCTGTCTTCATATCACCTTCTCTTCTATGTGTCTTCTGTCTGTGTCAAACGTCCCTCTTTTAAAAAATACATGTGATTGATGCAGGTCCTACCCAGGTAATACAGGATAAGTTCCTTATCTCAAGATCTTTAACTGAATCACGTTGTTCACCATATAAAGTAATGTTCACAGGATCTGGGAATTAGGACATAGACATTTCTTGTCTATGTGAAGACATTTCATTCCTTCACATCATTTTAGAGCCCTACAGTCATAGAATCATCCACCTCTCTCATTTGTGATATAGCTTAAGTGATTAGGAACACAAGTTCCGATTTCTGACTCCTGGGTTCCCATCCTAGCTCTGTCATTTGCTGTGGGATTTTGGGGAAATTACTGAATATCGTAGAATCTCAGTTTTTGTTTTTTTTTTCATTTGAAAACTCAAGGATAGTATCTACCTTATAGGGTTGAAATAGGGATTAAACAAAATACTCTGTAAAAACACAAAATACAGGAGCTCTCAAGATTTGAAGGGCACTTACAGACTATATAATCCCATCTCTCTAACTTAGCACTGATGAGTCTCAATCTGATTTTAGGTCATCAGGGACAAATCATTTTTAATGGTTGGAAAATTATTTTTATTGTAGTAGGAACTACTAGCACATAAATCTCATTTTATTTCACAGATACAGCTTAGCAAAAATTTAATAAGCAAGTTGATATAAGAAAAACGTTGAATCAGTAATACTACAAGTTGTGAATCAGGTTCACTGTGTACTGGTTACCAACTTGTCTGAGTGGGATGAGATAGAACGCCCACACACAACAAGTTACATGAAGTGGGTTCACTGCTTACAGAGATGCAGCAAGGGACTGTAGAAGCGTAGGACGCATTTGAGGCCTGAGCCCTAAGGCTCCGGAAAGCTGTCCAGGGGAAAGGAATCTCGACTGTGTGTCTCCCACTTGTACGGCAGCGGAGGACCCTGGAAAGCAGCCTGTCCTGGGTTTTATACCCCGGAAAACAAGACTCGCTGGACTAAAGCGTTGAAAGACATTCTGTTCTGGGGAGGACTGGCACAGAGCCAGGCTGTTCCAGCCAGCCACTCCCTATCTCAGGATGTTGCCCTTCCAGCATATTCTACAGTTATTCTTGAGAACTACAAGGCAGAAAGGGGGTAGAACTGGATGAGTCCAAGGTCGCCTGGAGAAGTATCCCACACAGGTGGTACACAGACATGGCCAAATTAGAAATGCATGAAGTTCCAACACTCTGCAGTAGCCAAAGCACAAATCCAGCAGGATCCCAGACAGTGAAAGCCCATCATTCTTTTTTCTTTCCTGTGTGTGTGGTTTTGTTTTGTGTGTGTGTGTGTGTGTGTGTGTGTGTGTGAGACAGGGTCTCTCGTTCTGTCGCCCAGGCTGGAGTGCAGTGGTGCAATCACAGCTCATTGCAGCCTCAAACTTCCAGACTCAGACGATCCTCGTGCCTTAGCCTCCCTAATAGCTGGGACTAAAGAGGAGTAAGACACTGGGCCGCCTTCTTTCTTCTTCTCTTCTTCTTCTTCTTCTTCTTCTTCTTCCTTCTTCCTCTTCCTCTTCTTCCTCTTCTTCTTCTTTCTTCTTCTTTTCTTCCTTCTTCCTCTTCCTCTTCCTCTTCTTTTCTTCTTCCTCTTCCTCCTCTTCCTCTTCCTCTTCTTCCTTCTTCCCTCCTCCTCCTCCTCATCTTCTTCTCCTTCTCCTTCTTCTCCTTCTTCCTCTTCCTCTTCTTTTTTTTCATAGAGACAGGATTTCACCATGTTTTCCAGGCTGGTCTTGAACTCCTGGGCTCAAGCGAGCCTCCCCGCACCGGCCTTTGGGAGCCGACAAGGAATCCCTGTCTTCTAGTAGTCTTCAAAGCCAGATCCAGCTTGTCTAGGTTAAGGATTCGATGCCTCCAATGAGGCAGAGAAAATGAACATGCCCGTTCCCCCAAGGCCTTCAAGAGCCTCCAGGCTCACAGAGATTAACTTGTCCTCACCCGCCTGCCTGCCTTTTGTGCAGATCTCTGCATTGTCCTGAAGAAAGACTCCGGCACTCGGGCTGAAACTCCGTGTGCCGATGACCCTGGCCTTGTCCCGGGAGGCACTGGAAGGGATGGCGCCCGTCGCGCTCCTGAAGGCCCGGAGCCACCCGCTGTGAGCAGATAACCGGCAGCACTGGGCAGCGCGGAGGCGGCCCCACGAGGACTCAGCCCCGGGCTGGGAGTCAGGGATTCGCCCTGAAGCCTTGCAGGTGCCCCCGTCACCGGGCGTCGGATTCCCGCGGGACGCGGTTTTCCCCACGGCTGGGCCTCCCTTTGGGCGAGTCCCCAGCACAATGCGCGTCATCCCGCAGACCTGCCCGGCAGAGGCGGGCGGGCAGGAGCGCGCTTGGCTTCCTGTCTCGCTGAATGGCTTGAATGGGCGCTGGGCCCGTTCCTAATCCCCTAGCGGCTGACTGTCCCGGCAGGGGCGGAGGAGGGCGGGGGGGCTTGCAGCCCTGGCGTCTCCTCGCAGGCTGCAGGCAGTGGGGCCCGCCTGTTCTAGTTCCGCCTACCTTTCCAGGGTGAGACCGGCAAGGGGACTCTAGGCAGGCAGGCGCCCTCCTGGAACCTTCCGCCCTTCTCCCAGGACTATTCCTGTTCAGAGTTGCGTGTGCTAAGGTTACAAGCAGGGCGCTAGTGGTGGAGAAGAGCTTCAAGATCCAGCGCATCAGAACCGGAAACGCCCTTACTTATCATCCCCCTTCTCATTTTACCAGTGAGGAAACAAGTTCTAATGGTTCAGGAACTGCACACAATGAGTAAGTGAGAGACATAAAAGAGTCAAGGCTTCAGTCAGGTGGCCTTTCCAGTAGACCAGCTGTCTCCCAAACCTATTCCCTGCAGCATCCCCAAAGACTAGGAGATATTTAGTGCTCCTGACAAAAAAAGTTAAGCGAAGGCCCTCAGAAGTCCTGCAGTGTGTTAACGTGGACGATGTTAATGCAACCCTTTCCAAACTTACTTGGTAGCTCCTTCTTTTTTCACATGGCACCTTTTCTCAGAAGCAGAACTCTGAATCACACGATCTGGAAATTCTGCACTAGACCCTGCTGTAAATTTTCCAGAAGTGATTATGAAGAAGATGAGGATATTTCTGTTTAAAATTTGTTGAGTGTCATCCAGGTGGAAGGCTGTAAAATAAGAGGGATCCCTTTATAGATTCAGAGTCACCCGGTGCTTATTGGGCATCTGTTACTACCAGGTGTGTTCCATCTCAATTATCTCTGCTCAGCCTCCTAACAACCCTGTTGGATGATTAATAGAACCTCAACTTTACAATCGTGGAAACTGAGGCACATGGAACTGAGTAACTTGCTTAAGGTCACACAGCTAACAGCAAAAGTGGGTTTCAAGCCAAGTCTGAAATCCGGGGCCCTTGTTCTTCTGCCATGCCCCCTTGCTCCTCTTTCCATACAGTCTGTTAATGAGGCAAAAATGCTGAACTGGAAATAAAAGAAAAAACCCTGAGTTCATGCCCCATTCCACTCCTGTTGCACTGTGTGACCTTGGACAAGACCCTGTCCTCCCAGGTCTAAGGCATCCCCCCAACAATGGGAGGGTTAGAACAAGTTCCCAGTCCCTACATGACTTTCCTGCTCCAGCATCCCATGGCTCCACCACTCTGGTCCTCAGACCCAGTGGTCTAGAGGTTGTGCTATCAGGGACATAGATCATCCTGGGGAGTCGTCAGTTCAGGAACTGGGTGACATAAGGCTGGGCTCATGTCTGACAGACACCAGGACAGACCAGACCAGTAGCCTGTCTGAGAAGGCAGAGCATATGCCAGCTCACTTCTAGCACCTTGTCAGAGCCATGGGAAACTGTCACCCAGGGGCTCAGGGATGGAGTCAAGCCCTGTATGGTTCTGGTTCTTGGTAGCATGACTTGTGACACCCTCACAGGTGTTCCCCTCCTTCATGAGTGGTGAAGAAACTTGCAAGACTGGTGAGGGTGGGGCCAGGAAAGGAGCAGGCAAGTGGTGAGAGGGCATGGAGGTATAGACCTAACTTGGACTTACTTCATATAAACAATATTTGCCATTATGTAGCCAGCTGGTTCACCCACTCTGCCATTTTTTTTTTTAGAAGGTGGTAGTCTTAGTTTGGGTTATTCCAGAAGCAGACTCTAAGACAAAGATTCAAATGCAAGTAGTTTGTTTGGGAGGGGATGCTGCTAGGGAGCATGGAAGTAAAGCAGGAGAGGGGAAGAACAATCATGGTGTGTTAGCAAGCAAGCCTCCCCTGTAGGCAACTGGAGCTGGGTCCTGCTGGGGGCTCTGGGAGCCAGTGCGGCCCATATGCACAGCCCCTGAGTTCCCAGGGGCAAGGCAGCTGGAGGGTGTGTCCGCCAACTCCTGTCAGCCACTGGCTGAGGACTGCTCCCAAGGAGGGGCTGTTAATTCCCCCAGCACATCTGGCCTGTGCCAGAAATGACCAGCAGGAGATACCCCAGGTGGCATATCAGGTGCTGAGGGCCTGTGGATGAGGCAACAAAGTGGCTGCCTCAGATGTTTAGGGAGCCAGAAGCTGGAACACCAGGGAAGGGGTCTAAACTCCACAAATCACTAGGCAAGTAAGGTTCACTGAGTGCTTGCCTTCTTTAAGCTGCAGAGGAATTTTGATGGAACTTTTTCATCTGTTGAATGGGAGTGGAATGCTGTCCTGCCTATCACAAACAGGACCAAATCATGAGTTATTAAAAGGCAACGATGAGTATGTGCTTACCTCTCTCAAATCCATTCCTCCCATCTGCCTGCCCCGATACCACATACCAGTTCTCATTCACTTCAGCTAGGACTGTGCTCACTGAGGTCATCTACATAACCTCCTGCCCATCCTGGTCAAGGAGCCATCTCCCTTAGAGCAGGAAAGGACTTTAGTCTAGAAATTATTTTTAGGTTCAAGGGGAAGTAGAATGATATATCAGAAATAATATGAACCTGGATTTAAATCTCAGTTTATTCATTCATTCACCCAACATTCTTATTTAGTTATTTATTTATTTAAGACAGGATCTTGCTCTGTTGTCCAGGCTGGAATGCAGTGGTGCGATCATGGCTCATTGCAGCCTCAAACTCTTGGGCTCAAGCCATCCTCTCACCTCAGCCTCCTGAGTAGCTAGAACTACAGTCATGTGCCACCACACATAGTTAATTTTTTTTTTCTTTTGTAGAGAAAGAGTTTCACTATGTTGCCCAGTTGCCCAGGCTGATCTTGAACTCCTGGCCTCAAGGGATCATCCTGCCTCAGCGTCCCAATTAGCTGGAATTACAGGCACAAGGCACCACACCTGACTCACTCAATATTTACTGAGGACCTACCATAAGATAGGAGCTGAGGGTGCTTTTTTAAAAAAATGTTTATTTTAGGTTGAGGGGTACATGTGTAGGTTTATTTTATAGGTAAACTCCTGTCATGGGGGTTTGTTGAACAGATTATTTCGTCAGAGGGCGCTTGATGAAGACATAGTTCCAAAGGAGCAATGTGTCCCTGGGTAGGCAGGCACTTTGCCTTTGCTTGGCTTCAGTCTCTCCGTCTGTGAAGTGGGCCAGGTGGTTCCTGAGGTCCCTTCTAACACTATGACTGTTTGTTGTTGTTTTTTTTTTTTCTAATTACCGTGCTCCCAGGCTCATTGAGATCTGCAGGGGGTCGACAGAGGAAATGAGGCCAGGGTCTTACTGAGGCGGGGGCTATGGGTTGGTGAAGGGAAAGCTCCACGCGGAGCCCTCCAGTGAGACTGCCACAGTTCCTGGGCTTCCTCTGCTGGGAACGCTGCCTAAGCTCTGCAAACAGCAGCTGAGGATGGTGGATTTGGTCAGCATTAAGCTGTATTAAGTCGAGCTGTTTCTACAAAGACTACATTTTGGGATAAACATGGTACCAAAGCCACACTAAGACAATATAGCTCTTGGAAGAAGGGGCTTCATGCCACCCTCAGCACCTAGTGCAGAGAACTGTTCTCCTAACGCACCCACATACAGACTTCCTGAGGAGAAATTCCTGCAGCATCCCCACCCTCTGTTCCTGCCGGGAACAAGTCCCTTAGCCCAGGGAGAGGCATATGACCCAAGCTGAGCCAATCAGAGGAGCCATCCTCCTGGCTACTGTGATTGGTCCAGTGTGGTCATGTGACATAGCCTGGCAAATTAGAGTCCTTTTCCCGGGATGTTTTTTAGCTGGTGGGAAAGAATCCTCTCCTGATAGGTCATGGAATGGTGAACTGAGAGGTTTTGGAAGTCATGTCCTCACCCCATAGGAAACCTCTGTGGCAGGGCAGAAGGAAGCCAACAGTTAGAGATGAGAAGCTGAGAAGAGAGAGTCTTGCTGATGTCTAAGTCCCTGTCCCCGACTGCCCTAAGGCCAACCCCACCCCTGCCCTTCTTGGTTATTTAAAACAACAAAATGACTACTTTACTTAAGCTAGTGTGAGTTTGATTTCCGTCACTCAAACCAAGAGAGTCCTAAATGAGACCAGCATCTTCCATTTATTAAGCTCACTTATGTGCTGGGAGCTTTTCACTGTATCACTTTATGTAATCTTGCACACAGTCACATGAACCATATGGCCATTTTATAGACAAGGAAGCTGAGACACAGAGGGCTGAGGGATGTACCTAGGGCCACCCAGCTGTTAGTAAGTGGCCAAAGAGGGATTCAAACCCAGGTCTGCCTAACACCAAACCCATGTCCCTAACTCTTGCCACAGTGCTATTCACACTATGCCCTGAAGCTTCTCCAGTTCTCACTCTCTGGGATGGGCAGCTTCAGAACAGACTCAGCTTCCATGACTTGACCTTTTGTGTACTGGCTTCTTGTACCGCGTATGAACTGCACATAAAATTACTCCCATAAATAATTTTTCAATACAAGATCTTATGATGGTTCTTAGCAGCTTAGCGGGTTAGAGTCAAAGTCTCCATGCTGGATCTGTCCTCACACCTTCACCCAACTAAGTAAATACTTTTTATTGACATCCCCTTTGGAAAGTGAGACTTTTCTGATCTGATCAAATCCTGGCCTTAAGAACGACAACCAATATTGTAATCTTCAAAGGCTCAGACAGGTGAAATGACTTGCCTAGGGTCACTCAGCTTGCCAGGGTCAGAACAGAAATTGGAACCCAATTATTCATTTTGTCTAGTCCTAACAAATTTCTGAGTCCTTATAGTCCTCAGGGTTCCAAACCTTCTGTCGCAAGACCTCTGCATCCAGGCACAGATGACGGTGGTGGTGACGCCAGCACTGGTAGAGAGAGGTGCAGAGAGCCCCACCTTTTTGCTTGGAATTGGTGAGAGCTTGTGCTTACCTCATTAAAACTTCTTGTGGGAGCTCCTGTGGAAAATGCTGTGGTCAGGAAGTTAGGGTAGAGTACCTGCCCTTCCCTCTAACAATAGAGCATTCCTCCAAAACCAGTGTAGGCTGGAGGAGGCCATGGGCTAGCTCAGGTCTAGCCTTGGCACTGGCAATCACTGATTCACATTGAATATGTACATCACCATCATCATCACCACCACCTACTCTTCTTCCAAGAAGACAAATAATAACCACCACTTATATCAAGCAGTCTTATATGTGCAGACATTCACAACAGCCCAGTGGAGGACGCGCTATAGTCATGCCACATGACAGATGATGAACCTAAGGTACAGAGCAATTAAATGACAGGGCCTAGGCATTGCAACACAACTGCAAGTGGCAGAACTGGGATTTGAACCAGGCATTCTAGCTCCAGAGTCCATTCTATTAGTCATCTCGCTACATTATCTTCCTTTTGAATCATGAATCAGGGTATTCTCTGGCAATCAAACCATTCCAGATTCGGTGGGGAAAAGGATACATCAGATAGCATGTTTCTGAGGCTGAAATCACCAATTTTGTATTAATAGAATAGGGTATTATCTATGTATTAGAGTAAGTTAATCCAATATCTATTTGGAGGGAGCCCACGGGGCTAACTGTATGGTTTAAAGAAATGGGGAAAAGTTCCGTTCTCTGTTATTTATATGGGCAGATTGAATGAGCATTATCTCCGCAAGGTCTTCCCAGTACTTTATAGTTTGCAAAGCAAACTTTAATGTCTCTGAACTCTAAGGATACTCTGGCAAGCAAAGATAGTCTCTCATTTTACTAATTAGGAAACTGAGGCCAGAGAGGGAAAGGCACCTGCTCTGTGCATCATGCGTGCATGCACATGTGCCTGTGTATGTGTGTTTCTGTGTGCAAGAAAGGCCTTGAATGCTCCTGCAGACCTGGATCCCAGTTGTGAGAGAAGTTGTCAGTTCTGATGCTTGGCGGGCAGCGTTCCGGCCCACTGCCCATGTATGGAGTCACTCAGACTTAGCTAAGTACACAGCAGCCAGGAGCCTGTGTTTCAGCAGCTAAAATCAGTGGGCAGCACAAAAATGTAGGTGTAGCTCCCTCGCCGCTTCCACCTTGCCCCTCTTCTCTCCCCTCCCACAGGGTGGAACTGCCTGGAATAAGCTCAGCCCAGATAACAAGTCTACACATGCAGCATCCAGGGAATAAGCACAGGGCAGCTCTGGGGCACACATGGAGACATGTATCTTCATACACACGCACATATGTACACACAAATATACACATGCATGACTTTCTAGAAGCTATACTAGAAAGGTATGGGCTCTGGGTTGTGATCTAGCTCAGCCTCTGACTCTTGGGTGACTTCTGATTCTTCCTTCCTCAAAGTCCTGACTTTCCACCTATAAAATGGGAAGGATGATGTCAACCTCCCAGGGCCGCTGCAAGTATACAAAAAACAAAGATGGCAACATTTGAGAGCTCTGGATCTGAAAGAGCCCTGGGAGACAATTAGCCTAAAGCTTTCATTTCACAGACAGGGATGCTGAGGCCCAGGGAGAGACAGGGAACTGCCCAGATCACAGAGCAAGTCAAGCACAGATAGCCTAGAACACAGGCCTTCTGATTGCCAGGACCCACGCTCCAAGCTCAAGGCCTGGCCTTGAAAAGACCAAGGTGCTGTCATAGGTGAGTTCTTGCTCTTGCCCCTGAACTTCCATGTGGATGTCGTTTTGAAACCAAAATACTCTGTAAACAACACTTATTAACACAAGTTCACATGTACTCTGCTGTGGAAGGAGATGCGTCTTTCTTCTTTGTGAAATATTAGCTCAGATAGGCATACAAAGAACTCTATGACTCTCAGTTTGCTTAACATATTTGATTTGCTTTATGCCTACAAGTTCATACTAAGCTCTTGCATATCTGCTGGCCTCTTTATTGACACTATATCAATCCAACTTTCCCTAAAAGATAAACTCCAAAAGAGATAGAAAGATGGAGCACTGGGAGACAGGAGAGCCAGGGTTCAGGGCCACTGGGAGAGCTTCCCCCAGTCCCTACCTGTCTGCTTGCCCATCTGTAAACTGCCAGGCTTGCATGCATCTGGTGTGTTTTCCCGGACGGAGTTTGACTACTGATGTCCTCCTTGGCTCCTGGGGCCCGCTGTAAACACCACTTCCTCACCCTGGCTCTCAGTTTGCCCCCTACAGTGTGGCTGTCCACATAGGTGCCCGTCTACCTGTCAGGTTGGGTGCTTCTCAACGGCAGGAGCAAAACCCCACTGTCTCTCACAGGACCCAATCCTGAGTAGCTGCTCAACCATGTGTGTCCAGTGGGATGGTCCTGGGTGAACTTAGAGTTAAGGCTCGCAGATCACAGAGGAAGGAAGAACTTAAAGACAGCAGGTAAAACACGGGAAGTCAACATTCCCTCCTCCCTCTGCCTCTGCCACCAGCCTATGTAATATTCCAGGTAATGCAACAGGACTTTGTGGGTGACCTAGATTTTCTTCATAATAATCACAGCCATTTACTCAGCACATCCCATGCACCCCACACTTCATGTGTATTAGCTGTAATCCTAACACCAGTCCTAATCCCATTTTCAAGATGTGGGGCCTGAGGTTCAGAGACCTCAAATTATTTCCTTACAAGGAGAGGAGCTAGGATTTGACCTCAGGTGTGTTTGATTCCAAGCCCGCATTCTCTCTGTAAAACATGCAGCCTTGTTCAGAACACTGATAGTCTCAGCAGGCTTGAGGCTAAAGCACTTCCCTCTGCTGGACGTTTTTTCTTAGTGTAGAGGGTAGAAGTAGTGAGGGTGGGGCTCTTCCCTGACCCTGACTCCTTGTGGCTATTTCTTCCTTCCCCTGCCTCAATTTCCCCACGAGCGCAATGAGGAAAGAGACCAGATGCACTCAAACTTATTGGTGGTTCCAATCAACCATCCACTTTTCTTTTTTTTTACTTTGGCTTTTAGGAGCAAAGACATGGAAGAAGACGGGGGTGGGGTAGGGGTTGTGGTGTCAGGGGAAGAACCAATTGTAACTGCTGTCCTCAGAAGGGGACTGGGGAAGTAGGGGGGAATCAGGCTGTCTGAGATGGTGATAATTTGCCTCGTTGGTCCATAGTCCATGCAAACACAGAAATCAGGAAAGTTTCCATACCTGGCTGAGTGGCAGAATCACCTGGGGATACTTTCTAAAAGGCAGATTGCTGGGTCCTGCTCCTGGAAAGACCAAGGCCATAAGTTTGGGCAGGGGCAGGATAGTGCATTTTTAACAAGCCCTCCAGATGATTCTGAGACAGAAGTTTGGGAGCCACTGTCTGAGAGATCTGGGGCCTAGGATTCTTCTAAGTCCAAACACTAAGGGGTCAGGCAAGCTAAAGTGGGGGCGGTGCTACTGTGAGTTAAAGTCCCTGATTTATTTGACATAGTCACACACGTTAAGATGTTTTATATCCTACCTTTAACCAAATAAGATTTAAAGTGGCATAGGGAAAAAAATTACACTAAGAATCCCCAAATTAAAAGGTAATTAGGACTCCCAATATATACATAACAGAAATGCGCTTGTGTATTAAAAGACACTTATAAGCATGTTCATTGGCCGGATGCGGTGTCTCATGCCTGTAATCCCAGCACTTTGGGAGGCCAAGGTGGGTGGATCACCTGAGGTCAGGAGTTTGAGACCAGCCTGACCAACATGGAGAAACCCCGTCTCTACTAAAAATACGAAATTAGCCGGATGTGGTGGCGCATGCCTGTAATACTTGGGAGGCTGAGGCAGGAGAATTGCTTGAACCCGGGAGGTGGAGGTTGTGGTGAGCTGAGATCGCGCCGTTGCATCCAGCCTGGGCAAAAAGAGCAAAACTCCGTCTCAAAAAAAAAAATGTTCATTGCAGCACTGTTTTTAATAGTCATAAATTGGTAACAACCTAAGTATCTTTTAACAATAGAATAGATAAATTGTAATTGTGCAATTGGCTACTATCCCTGGGTGAAAATGAAATAAATCATTGCTACCTGCAAAAGTATAGATGAATCTTACAGATATAATGTAGAGTGAAAGGAGCTAGACACAAAAGAATACATATTGTATGATTCCATTTATAAGAATTTCAAAAACTTACAAATGGAAAAATCAATCCTGATGTCACTTCTGAAGGGTATTGACTGGGAGGAGGCAAGAAGTCATCTGTGGTACTGAGAATGTTCTATACGTTGATCCACATGGTGGGGACATAGATACATATTTTGTGAAAATTCATCAAGTTGTACACTTAATATGAGTGCACTTTACTGAGCGTGTATTATACCTCAACTTAAAAATATGTTAAGAAAAAATATTAAGTTGTGGAAATCTCAATGAATCCCAAAACACTACCATCTAACAAATCATATTCACTGATCAGAATACAAAGCAATTAGAACTAAATTATTGAAAGACAGCTTCCCTTTGCAAACCCATACACCTAGAAACAAAAATACACTTGAAAAGGACTCTTGGGTTAAAGAGAAATCCAAATGGAAAGTGCACATTTTAGAAGTGAATGATAATGAGAACACCGTTTCTTAGTTCCTGGCACATAGTAGGTACTTAATAAATATTTGCTGAACTGCGTGATTTCACATGTGGAATCTTTTAAAAGTTGAACTTTTAAAAGCCACTTGGCATGGTGGCTCCTGCCTGTAACCCCAGCACTTTGGGAGGCTAAGGCAGGTGGATTGCCTGAGCTCAGGAGTTTGAGACCAGCCTGGGCAACATGGTGAAACCCTGTCTCTACCAAAAAATGCAAAAAATTAGCTGGGTGTGGTGGTGCATGTCTGGGGTCCAGCTACTTGGGAGGCTGAGGTGGGAGGGTTGCTTGAACCTTGGAAATGGAGGCTGCAGTGAGCCAACATTGCACCACTGCACTCCCACCTGGGTGACAGAGTGGGACCCCATCTCAAAAAAAAAAAAAAAAAGGTGAACTTATAGTACAAGAGGGTAGAACAGTGGTTACCAGGGCCTGGGGAGTGAGGGGAGATATTGGTCGAAGTTTACAAATCTGTTATAAGAAGAATAAGTACGGGAGACCTAATGTAAGCATCATGACTATAGTTAATATTAATGTATGATATACTTGAAATTTGTTGAGTAGGCCTCATGTGCCTTATCTCACATGCACACAACATACACACACACACACACAGTAACTATGTAAGGTAATGAATATGCTATTAGCATTACTGTAGTAATCATTTGCCAATGTGTATATATATCAAAACATCATGTTATATACCCAAAATATATATAATTTTTATTTCTCAATCATACTTCAATAAAGCTAGAAAAAAATTTGTTGAATGAATGGATATCCGATCTATGGGATATTGCCAAAGCAATACTCAGAGGGAAATTCATAGCTTTAAGTGTCCTCACTATTAAAAGAGAAAAATTTAAAAAATAAAGAGTGGGACCAACTAAAGTTTCAATTCAAGATACTAAAAATAGAGAAAGAAAAAAATAAACTCAGAGGAAGTAGAAGGAAGAAACCTACTTGAAAGTAGGAATATCAAAATAGAAACAACTAACTCAGGTAAAAAAAGAAACTAGTACAGATGATCAACAAAACAAAAAGCGTTCTTTGAAAAACTGATAAAATCACCGGCCTTAGGAAAAATTAAGGGAAAAAATATATAAGACAAGTAATATCAAGTACAAAAATACTGCTAGGGGTTGAAGGAGAAACCTGACTACAGACACTGAGGAGATTTAAAAACATATAAGAACAGTAAGTAATGAGGACACCACAGTAAAAAGAAAGGAAGGATGGGCATGTACAGTGAAGGCAGAGAGCTTCTTGGATTTCCTGTCTCACTAGGATTCAACATAATGGCAGGATTAGGCAGAGTAACAACACAATTGGGCTGCAGTGTGTGTTCTTGAAGGGCAGAAGCACAGGTTCCCTGGTGGGTGTGCAGGGATCCTGGAATCAGCACAGCATGCCCAGACCTTCCCTCTCTGCCTCATCTTCTCCTACTTGGGTTTTGACCTAGAGAGGGCTGGCATCGCATGAGGGGATCTTTTGGCCCTGCTAGGTTTGTCTCCAGCTCAGGGATGCTTTGAAAATACAGGGTCCCCTCTCTCCAGTGGCTCCAAAGCATTTTCTCCTGGGATGGTCCAGCTCAGCACAGTCTGTAGCCAGGCTCACTCAGTGGGAGGTTGGGAGTGGCCCCACCCAGGGTTGCCTCCTTTCTCCTGAAAGCTATTTGGGCCAAGGACAAGAGCCAGAGGAATCTAGGGCAGTAAGGATGCTGGCCCCCAGGAGATAGCAGCTACCACATCTCCTACAGTGTCACTCTGCTATAGAAGACACTGTATCTATACAGTAGGGATTATAATCCCTACTGTATCTTCCTCTACCTTCTCCTGCCCTGTCTTCTCCTATCTGAGTTCCTACAATGGATTCTCAAAAATGTATGCATATATATGTATATAAGTTAATATAAGTATACAAGTTAATATATGTATTTGTTAATTACAAATTTTCCTAATATAAAGAATGTGTAGCCCACAATTTAAAAATAGTAACATGCAATACTCTACTGTAAATTCCATACACCTTTAACTTCAGTGCTGCTGTTTGTTGTAAAATCCACTAGCAGTTGGCCGGGCGCAGTGGCTCACGCCTGTAATCCCAGCACTTTGGGAGGCGGAAGCGGGCTGGTCTCAAGGGCAGGAGATCGAGGCTATCTTAGCTAACACAGTGAAACTCCGTCTCTACTAAAAAAAATACAAAAACTTAGCCGGGCATGGTGGCAGGCGACTGTAGTCCCAGCTACTCGGGAGGCTGAGGCAGGAGAATGGCGTGAACCCGGGAGGCGGAGCTTGCAGTGAGCCGAGATCATGCCACTGCACTCCAGCCTGGGTGACAGAGCAAGACTCCGTCTCAAAAAAAAAAAAAAAAAAATCCACTAGCAGTTTTTGTAATTCTATCACCAAAAATCGTGTTCTAAAATCAAACTACAAACAAATGCTTGTTTACTATAGGACTCAGCAATGAAGTCACTCATGTCATGGAGCCTAGTTTTTCACAAATGTTGATTGATATTTTCATTTACCCTAACAGGTAAGAAAAAATGACATATAATGAAGACATATAATGGAACTTCACTCATTTATCAGTGACACAGATATTACTTTCATTGAATCAGAATTCAATCAGATATTAGTTTTAAATAGAATATTTCCTCATTTGTGGGTGCTATTCACAATATATAAAAGCTATAGACATGACAGACTTTGAAATTTAATCTGCATTATTAATATTTTCTTCACCCCTTTCTTAAGTTCAGAGTCTAAACTTTGCACAATCAACGAAACATTAACTGGAGTCCTGATGTGTAGCATTTGCCCATTTCCATAGTGTAAATACTCCCACCGTGGCCAGTTTCAGCTACCAACATCATGTCCCTGGATACAGAGTTGGGAAGAGATGTATAGTAGCACAGAGCTTTGTAGTATTTTCACCATACAAATGCAATAGTTGCAAACAATCTCAAGAGCATAGATAATAGTAAAACATAGTGAAATAGTTCAGATGTGACAAGTGTTGGGTATTACCTTTGTTTCAAATATTATTTATCAAATTGTAAATTTGTCAAATTTATTTTTAATAATACCTATGTCTAAGCACTGGCATGTGAAATTCCTAAAAGCAGCTAGCCTCCAAAAGCTGGTACAAACTGGCTCCAGTGTGCCACATGTCCTCACCCTGCTTTGAGATCCAAATGCCACTCCTGCTTAATGCCCTCTCTGATCACCTCAGGCAGAGATCGTCTCTTCCTCCCATGTGCCCCGTGATAGTGAGCACTGGGTCGGGTCTGCCTCTCTCCCTCAGGGCCTGGCATTGAGTAGGCTCCTTTGCTCAGTGGGTGTGTGCTGAAGCCACGTGTTGAACTAGCTGTCTCCACCCCAGCTCCAGGTGTCTTTCATGACCTGATCCTCCTGTTGCATGGTCACCAGCTCCTCCACTCTGCCCCTGTGGGCCACACGGAAACTGTAGGGACAGGTTCTCAACAGCAGGAACAGCCCATTGGTCTCAGTTTCCTCATCTGTAAATGCAAAGGATGGAGGGGATGAAAGAAGGAAAACACCCTGATATCCTTTCTAGTATCTTTTTCATAGGCATATGGCTGTGGGCAGTTGTATTTGGCCTGTACATGCAATTTAGTGTCTTGCAGCTTCTAGCAGAACACATCATAAGCAAGTTTCCATGTTCCTGTATAGTTTCCACATTTTCCACTATTGGATGCAGAAGACGTCATATTTTATGTAATCAAAATTTGCTTTACCTTTCCTTTGAAACAATTGTGTAGTTTTCAGTTTTATGTCATCACCACCAGCATAGAGATTTTTCATTTCAGAAAATATATGCCAATCATAGACTTTATTGTTGTTTTATGTGCTTTTTGTTTTAACTACTAGTGCTATTGGACATTTTTCTACTAGCTGTCCCTGCCCTCTTAGATCGACAGCACAGATCACAAAGCCTGATTCTCAGCATCTGCAGTCATTACCAATAACAGGAGCTCCTGGAATGTGTAGGATTTTGACCCCAGACTATGCTTTTGAATGAATACAGCTGCCATTTATACTCTTTTGGGCATTTCTCCTGTCAGGCTGTTAAATATTGCTTTTTGCTGGGGTCAGTGGGCCAACTTCTTGAGTCTTTGTTTACTTCTACTCTGAAAAACTAGACGCGATAACTAAGCTTGTTAGAATTGCTTAGAAGAAAACACATTCACCGAGTGTCAGAGCCTGGTTGCTTCATTAAAAGGAAGGTGCATGGGTTCATGTTATCTTGTACAGTTGCCCAGAGGCCTTGCAGGTTTATATCCTAACTCTTGGCTGGGGTCTGAGTGTCTGAGGATGTTGGATCAATTACCCAAAAAAAGAGAAGTGACCACATTTGGTTTTATTAAAATCATCCTGGTAGAATGAATGTGGATAGCAATACCTTCACATGTGCATTGAACTTGACATTTTTTTTTTTTTTGAGATGGAGTTTCACTCCTTTTGCCCAGGCTGGAGTGCAATGGTGTGATCTCGGCTCACTGCAACCTCCACCTCCTGGGTTCAAGTGATTCTCCTGCCTCAGCCTCCCGAGTAGCTGGGATTACAGGCATGCGCCACCACACCCGGTTAATTTTGTATTTTTGGTAGAGATGGGGTTTCTCCATGTTGGTCAGGCTGGTCTCGAACTCCCGACCTCAGGTGATCCACCCACCTCGGCCTCCCAAAGTGCTGTGATTACAGGCTTGAGGCACTGCGCCCGGCTGAGCTTGACATTTTATGAAGCCCTTTTGATATATCGTTTATCCTCACCATAACATGATAGGTAGGGACAGCCTTCCCATTTTATGGATGAGGATGATCAGTCCCAAAGAGATTGTGTGTCTTGCACAAGATCCCTCAGCTCGTCTGTGGCAGGACCAGCCATCAAACTGGGACTCAAGACCATTGCTCCCTGGCTACATGTGAGGTCTGCATGGCTTCAGCTTCTGTGTGTCTGGCTCCTTCACATGTTTGCTCATGTTCAAGATGCAGGATGTGGGGAAATTGCCTTTAAATACAATAAAAGAGAAACAAGCCGATGAGCTCACAAGGTTTTTTGTTAGGGATGGTACCTGTTTATCTAACTTAAATCACTAATACTGCCGTTGCAGCCAGGAGATGGGCCACCCTGTATCTGAGACATAGGTGTCTCTCTGTGGAGTTCATAAGGTCATAATTTAATTCACCTTGATCCCTGATGCTGGACAAATTCAAGAGGACAGGGGTGATTATAGGGAAGGGGACATTAATGTCAACCTGGGGACACCCATGAGGGCTTTGGATTTCTGAGGGCAGATGGGGTGTGTAGGATTTTGTGGTACATGAAAGATTTCCTATGGGTGGTCCTCCATAGATAAGGCATTAGCTCATGTAGTGAGACAGTAGGGCACAGAAAAGGGCACATGGGATTTGGAGTCAGATACACCAGGGCTGGAATCCTGACTCTGCCACCTGAGTGACCCTGATAGGTCACTCAACCTCTCTGGGCCGTCTCCAGAGAGGCCTGTCCTATGTGTCTCTTGTTCTCATTTCTCGTGTTCTGAACGTCCAGCCTGGAAGGAATTAGTCCTTCTTTGAGCTGATATTGTCAGTGCATATCCATTTAGATTCCTTTACCATTGGGGGCCTACCTGTGGCCAGCATCTGCATCTCTTTGTCAGAGGATAGAGTCCAGGGCTGCTGGCGACTGTTCTGTCCGCACACAGGAGAGCTGGAAGTACCTGGGAGATTACCCACCCCCACCCACTCTTTTTCTAGTAATTGATGGGTGCTGAGGCATAAGTACTCTAGCCCCCAGCCCCTGACCAGGACGACTCACGGGTGTGACCCTCACCAGAGCTCCCTGGTGGGATTAAGCCAAAGTTCTCCTCCGAGTGCCTTGTGTGATACGGTGCCCCACTGCCTTACCATTTTTTCTGGGAGCACTTCCTAATACATCACTTTCACATGAATCTTCCTCCAGGGTTTCTTCTGGGGACCCCAATTAAGATGCAGCCATGGAGAGGTAGTTGCCCAGGCTGCAACACAGAACCCAAATGGGCTTACTCAGACTGCCAAAGGGCTTCACCATCCAAATGCGTAGGTCCTCCAAATTGGCTGCTTTTTTAAAAAAGAAACTGTTAAAACGTTTCAATAAAGCAGCCATTTTTAAAAAAGCTCTTTTATAAAACCATTTACTTTTGTAGCATTTTAAAGGAGTTTTCATATACATGGTTTCATTTGAGTCTCATTACATTGCTAATATAGCAAGAAGTTATTATCCTCTTTTTCAGGTGAGGAAGTTAAGACCCAAATTGATGAAGTGATTAGACAAAGTAACCCAAGAGGTACACCATAGAATAAGATATAGAAACCCACATTTTCCAACCCTGGTTCAGCCATAGGACTGATAGTTTTTGATAGTGTGACTGATGATCGTGAAGAGGTGTTTTCAGGCATCTTTATTGGTGTTTTGGACATATTTATTTATCCTGTTGTAATGTCTCAGAGCTCGTCCACTCCATTATTCTTAAAAAGGAAAAACCTTTTATGTAATTTTTCTCATTATAAAACTAATACATTCTCATTACATAAAATTTTGAATATACAGAAAAAAAGAACAATATGAAAAAAACTTTTCATAATTCCAAGAGTTTCTTTTAGTCTTTTATTATGGTCCTTTCTTTTTTCTGTGCAGTTATTTCTTTCTGTGTTATATGCTCAAAATAATTTGCACTTAATTATACCTATAATTGCCAATGCACAACCATCTTTGTTGATCTGTGAGGGCCCCTTTTTTTGTTCTAATCACACACTTTTCCTTTACAAAATAAGCATTAAATACCTTGTGCTGGAAAGTAAGGCAGTGCTCAAAAAAGTGATGGGGACCTGTCAAAAGGACAAGGAAATCAACTTGAAGAGGCTTCCACTGGCCAAATCTAGGACAATTTGAGCATCAACATAATTAAGAAAATAAAGAAAATAAACCATTGAAAAATAGGAATCTATGAGTCTGTGCAAGAATAAATAGATCAATAATAAGTAGATAAGAAACAGGAGAGAGGAGAGGGCTCCTGCTTACAGTAAAATGCCAACCATTAAATGTGAAGATGGTGCTAAAGTTGGAAGATCATCATTTTCCAACTATCATGGAAAACATTGATTTGAATAAGAATCTTCAAAGGGTGTGACACCTTAGGGGGACATTTTTTATTTATAGAAAAGTTACAGAGGTAATGCAGAAAATTCCCATATATCATCACAAAGTATTCCCTAATGTTAACCTGTTTTTGTTTTTGTTTTTGAGACAGGATCTCTCTCTGCCACCCAGGCTGGAGTGCAGTGGCACAATCATGGCTCACTGCAGCCTCAAACTCCTGCGCTCAAGTGATCCTCCCACATCAGCCTCCCAAGTAGCTGGGACTCCAGGTACGCACCACCATGCCTGGATAATTTTTTAAATTTTTTGTAGAGACGGGTCTCACTATATTCACTAGGCTGGTCTCAAACTCCTGGCTTCAAACTATCCTCCCACCTCAGCCTCTCAAACTGTTGGGATCACAGGCATGAGCCGCCACACCCAGCCCAGAATCCTTCTTGCCCCAACTCCTCCATGAAGCTTTCTTGATTATTTCCCTCCTATCAGAATTTTTCTGTTTCTGTTTTACATTACCTTGACTACGTTACATGCACCTCTACTTAGCACCTGCCTCATTGCACCTTGTTTTTGAATTAAGAGGTGATATGTCTGTCTTCCCCTCTTACAGAAGGGAAGAATGAAATCTAATCCCTCCACCTGGCAGAGTGCAGAGTGTACCTACTCTATGGGTAGGTTCTCAATGACTACTGCTGAAGGAATTCAAACTGAAATGGAAGAAGTTTTCTCATGGATCAAAAGTCTTAGCTGAAGACTTCATGTTTTCCATTAACTGCAGTCACTCACATCTATTTAAGCTTCTGCTATCAAAAATGGAAAAGCAGCCAGTGACTTCTGCTTTAACCGAGGCTGTCTTGTATTTTTTGTAAACTTTTTTCTATTTTTAAATTTTTATCTAGAGAAAGGGTCTTGCTCTGTCATCCAGGCTGGAGTGCAGTGGCACGATTGTAGCTCATTAACTTCAAACTCATGGGCTCTAACAATCCTCCTGCCCTAGCCTCTCAAGTAGCTCAGACTACAAGTGCAAGCCCAGCTAATTTTTAAGATTTTTTGTAGAGATGGGGTCTCGTTATGTTGCTATGTAGCTGGTCTCAAACTCCTGGCCTCAAGCAGTCCTCCTGCTGCCACCTCTCAAAATGTTGGGATTACAGGCAGGGCGCAGTGGCTCATGCCTGTAATCCCAGCACTTTGGGAGGCGGAGGCAGGTAGATCATTTGAGGTCAGGAGTTCAAGACCAGCCTGGCCAACATGGTGAAACCCAGTCTCTACTAAAAATACAAAAATTAGCCAGGTGTGGTGATGCGTGCCTGTAATCCCAGCTACTCGGGAGGCTGAGGCAGGAGAATTGCTTCAGCCCAGGAGGCGGACACTGCAGTGAACCAAGATGGCACCACTGAATCCCAGCCTGTGCAACAGAGTGAGACTCTGTCTCAAAAAAAAAAAAAAAGTGTTGGGACTACAGGCATGAGCACCTGCACCTGGCCAGTCCTTTTAAATACTGTACTAAAGGGAAGATGCTGATTTGGGTTGCAATACGCTTTCACACTCTGCCATCTGTGTGGGGATGCACTGTGGAGTGATGCAAAGAACTGGCCTCCACATTTGGAGAGCACGTCTGAGGGGCCAGGAGACCTCTCCATGCCTCTCATTTCATTCTAGACCATTTAATCTGCTGCAAGTGAAAACTGATTGACTCCTTTACATTCTAACTAGGTTTTATTATTTTTTGTGAATTTTTTTGTGTCTCTAGGTATGAGAGAACAGAAATAGAGATTTGGGTGGCTTTAGCTGTTTAAAATAAGGTGACCAAACCTCCTTTCTGCCTGTTCCTGCTATTTCAAACACCACTGTTCTCCACACAATGAAAATGGCCTTGTTCCTTAAGGTAGTGTACTCTTTCATTTTATTTTTAATGATAGGAAAGAAGAAAGAAGACATTTTATTTTGGATTGTGGTATTCATTGATTGGAAACCTCCCAGGTTGTTTTCTAGTTCCATACAACTTGGAAAGAAAAAAGTACAAGTCAGGGAGACAAATATTTGAGAGTGATGTGTACATTTCAAGAATGTTTACCCAATTCAGGGAAGAACCATTTGCCACTAAAAGGTCCCCCCGCCTGTCCTCATCACCATGTCACCCTGCAGAAGGTCAAGTGGCCTTATGCATGAGGCTAATTCCCTGCATTCCTGATCAAGGGGCAGGGAGGGCCAGGCAAAGTCACTGCTGTCTTCAGCAGACAGTGGCCATGATGGAATTAGGACCAGAGGCCCACAGTTGCAAAGATAACTCAAATACCCTGTAGGCTTCCTTCAAAGGCTGAAAAGCACAGGCTTGGGGCTTCGTTCATTGGAACAAAACTTTACGAAAAGAAACAGGTACACTGATGTCTAGGCATCTTTAAGACAGGTAACCTCAAATGACATTTACATAGCATGTTATGGTTTATTGTATACATCTCACCAGCCTGCTAAAAAGAAAAAGGGTCTCTCCTGAAGGCTGAGTTCCAGCCCCAGCTCAGCTACTGACTTGCTGGGTAATCTTGGGCAGGTAACTTACTTTCTCTGGGTCCCAAGTTCCTCATTTGTAAAATAAGGGGTGGAGTAGGTCATGTCTAAATTGGTCCCTGATTCTTACCTTGTAACCCACATGATGACTCTGAGATAGGGAAAAGAACACTATCCTCATTTTACAGATAAAGAAAACTGAGGCTCACTGAGGAAAAGAATCCTGGCCAAGGTGGATTAGAATCCTCTAACGCCTGTATTTTTCAATTTACATTGAAGACGCCATTGCATGGCTGCTATGGGAATTTTTGTACTGGGGACAGAAGGCATCATGGGTGAAGGACAGCATGAACAAAGGCCCAGAGCCCCGTGTCTGCAGCCCAGGCTCATCTGCTTCCCTCAGGATGCTCACCCCTCTCTCTTTAGGGGTTCCAAAGTTGGCTTACTGATGTTATATAACCTTGATTTCTATCAACACCTAAAAAATACCAGTTATTTCCACTGGCAGCCAGTCAGAAATAACCCCAGAATGGCAAGAATGCAGCTGTGTCTCTTAGGCATGTCAGCAAAGGGCATGCTGACTGAGTCCAAGCAGAGAAACGCCTGAGCTGAGAAGCAGCCCCTACAGGACACATGGGCAGCAGAGACATGAATTCAAAAGATGGGAATTCCCTGCATAGCCGCACACCATCACCCACTGTGAGTGGCACCCAAGTCATCTCATGTACTCCTCACAGCAGTCCTAGAGGTAGCAAACCTCATCATCCCCATTTTACAGTGGAGAAAGCCAAGGCCCTCCGAGCTTGGGGAGCTTGCCCAGAGAGTCTCTATGTATTGGAACTGGGGTGGAATTTGAACCCAGGTCTGCCTGTCTGCAAGGACAAGGTGTCTTTCCATTAATTACCCCATGACCACATTCTACCTTCCAGATTATTTTGAGATACTCTGCAAAATTCTGTAGTCACACGCAAAAGATTAGTCACCTTGAACAAGTAATGGTTGGATACTTCCGGGGTGGAAAACTAGGTGGCTCCTGGCCATGGAAAGGAGAGAGATCTCTTCTTCAGCATATATCCTTTACACTGGTAACGTTTTGAACTATATGCATGTATTACCTATTCAAATGAATGAATAAATGAATTTTTGTTTGATTTGTTTTTTGAGACAGGATCTCACTCTGTCATCAATGCAGTGATCAGGGCTCACTGCAGCCTCGATCTCCTGGGTTCAGGAGATCCTCCCACCTCAGCTTCCCAAGCAGCTGGAACTACGGGGGCATGCCACCTTGCCTGGCTAAGTTTTTGTATTTTTTGTAGAGATAAGGTTTTGCCATGTTGCCCAGCCTGGAATTAATTAAATTTAACAAAAGGTAATCTAGTATATTAGTTTCTGGTGGCAACTATAACCAATTGCCACAGCCTGGGTAGCTTAAAACTACAGAAATGTATTCTCTCGCAGTTCTAGAGGTCAGAAGTCTGAAATCAAGGTGTAAAGAGGGCCCTACTCCCTCCTGAGGCTCTAGGGGAGGGTCCATCCCTTGCCTCTTCCAGCTTCTGATGGCCTCATGCATTCCTTGGCTTGTGGCCACATCACTCCAACCTCTGTGGTCACATTGCTTCTTCCTCCTCTTCTCTGTGTGTCTGTCTTATAAAGTCACATGTGATTGCTTATAAGACAACCCACGGAATCCAGAATAAGTTCTGCCTCTCAAGATCCTTAACCACATCTTTGTCACATAAGGGAATAATCACTCTTTTGCTATATAAGGTAATAGTCACAGGTAGCAGGGATTAGGATGTGAACGCAGCTTTTGGGGCCACCATCCAACCCACTACACCAGAAATTAGCAGGTGAATCTCCACCCCTTCCCTGTTTGATGTTATTTTGTCTCTCTCAGTATATTCCTTTGGGTGGGACACTTGTGTCTAGAAACAGCAATTGTCGGTTTGAATCTCATCCATAGTGTTTCTCCGGCCTTCTTTTCTTTCTTTCTTTCTTCTTTTTTTTTTTTGTTTGAAGCAGAGTCTCGCTCTGTTTCCCAGGCTGGAGTGCAGTGGTGCAATCTCAGCTCACTGCAACCGCCGCCTCCTGGGTTCAAGTGATTCTTCTGTCTAAGCCTCCCGAGTAGCTGGAATTATAGGCGCATACCAGCACACCTGGCTAATTTTTTTGTATTTTTGGTTGAGATGGGTTTTTGCCATGTTGGCCAGGCTGGTCTCAAACTCCTGACCTCAGGTGATCCACCCGCTTTGGCCTTCCAAAGTGCTGGGATTACAGGTGTGAGCCACCATGCCCAGCCTCTACGGCCTTCTTGAAGTGTTATGTGCTTAAGCTTGGGAGTCAGCCAGATGTGTTTTCTAATCTCAGCTCTTTCATTTGCCACCTGGGGGGCCTTCAGGAAAACAAATCTGCACATTTTCCCAGATTAATACTCCTAAAGCACAGTTCTGATGACATTACATCCCTTTTTTTCAGGCCTTCAGTGGCTTCTAGTACCAACCAAATGCTTTACACACCCCTTGCCTTGGCGTTCAAAGCCTCCTAATCTTTCATGACCCCCCTGCGCAGGCCCTAAGTTTCTAGCGCGTTCATCTCATGATAACATGGACTTGCCTTGCTCTTCCCTGCTTCCCTGCCTTGCTCACGCTCTTCCCCTGGCTAGAATCCCTTTTCTTCCTCATCAACACGTGTTTACATCCTTCTCATCCTTAAGGCTCAGCTCAATGCCACTTCCTCCATGATGCCTTTCTTCATCTTTTTATCCAGGCAGAATCTCTACTTCCACAACTCCCTCAGTGCACCACATCTCCTGCACAATCTGCCAGGTGTGGCTCTGCAGCGCAAGCCTCTCCACTGGCCTCCTCCTCCCTTGGTGACCAGAGGGCTCTTGCAGGCAGGAAATGTTCATCTTAGGCACTGTCAGAGCCAGGAGCAAGGACTGTGAGAGGACACGTGCTCAGTGTTCAGTTCTTCCTTCCTTTCCTCTTTTCTTTCTTTCTTTTTTTCTTTTCTTTTGAGACAGGGTTGTGCTTTGTTGCCCAGGTTGGTCTTGAACTCCTGGCTTCAAGTGGTCCTCTTCCCTCAGCTTCCTAAAGTACTGGGATTACAGGCGTGAGCCACAGCGCCCAGCCCAGTACTGATTCTTAAGCTGAATTGACATAAAAAGATTAGAAACTGTACTGGAAGTATCCTTAGTGGTCATGTGTTCAAACTCTCATTTTATAGACAAGGAAATTGAGACCCAGACTGGGAAAGGACATGTCTTCCAGCCCAGTCTTCCAGGAAAATTTGAGGAATTAAAAGAGAAGGTTCAGAGGTTCAATTTGGGACACTATTAGCCTCTGACCTGGGAATCTCTTCATTTGTAATGATGTCAAATGGCAAAGGGCATGCATTTCATGGTGAATTTTGTTTAGGAGACCGAAAAGGCCAGATCACTTGAGGTCAGGAGTTCAAGACCAGCCTGGCCAACATGGTGAAATCCCATCTCTACTAGAAATACAAAAATCAGCTGGGTGTGGTGGTGGACGCCTGTAATCCCAGCTACTTGGGAGGCAGAGACAAGAGAATCACATGAACCCAGGAGGCGGAGGTTGCAGTGAGCCAAGACCACACCACTGCACTCCAGCCTGGGTGACAGAGCAAGAGCCTGTCTCAAAAAAAGAAGAAGGAGGAGGAGGAGGAGGAGAAGAAGAAGGAAAGAAAAAAAGAAACATACAATTTTGTTTCTCTCTATGGTCCAGCTGTTACCAGCAAATTGCAACTCTAATCTCAAACTTGGCTTGGTTAGCATGCACTTTGTATTTCACCCTAATTTTGTTGTTGTCATTTTTTAAAACTTTCCTTACTCAGCTTTAGGCCAGAACTTCCAGATTCAAAGTTTTGGCACTGTCTTTGAGAGTCCTGTTTTCCCAGGGGAAACACAGCAGGAAAATGCAAGTTCCCTTACCTAACAAATCCTTCCAGTCATGTACAACCTCAGAAGGGCAAACCAGTCTTCATCAACATGTCTTTGCTGTCTGGTAAAGTATAAAAAGCGTGAAGCAGAAAGGCAGATTGGAACACCTGTGGCTATTATGAAAACCATGCCACTTCCCAGCCTTGCGTGTTTTCTGCTCAGAAAGTATGCACCTGTCAGCCACAGCTGAAAACCCAGCAATCTAGGGCCCAGAGCTAGGGCTCAGATTAGTTGACTGAGGAATTAGAAGGATTTCAAAATAAGCCTATTAATTCTGTTGTATTGAAATATCTTCCATCTCCACACAGCCAAAGATAGCTGAACTTTTGTTTGACATTTTACACGGTGTCTTATACCTGCCTGAAAGAAGGGGTGCAGGTCTTCACAGAATGAGGAAAGGCCAGAGATTTGGACTCCAAAGACCACAGCTTGGATTCTAAGCTGTCACTTACCAGCCAAAAGGGAATCTTGGCCCAGTCACTGAAGCCCCCTGAGTCTCAACTACCTCATCTGTAAAGGGTCTCATCAGGCCCACATTAGATTATCTACTCGACCATCAGTTCAAGCTCTAAGGTAATGTGTCATTGTTCATGTTATTACCAACTTGAGAGAAAAAGAAAAGCAAAACTTGGTGGTTCAGAGAAGACCATTTATCTGGATTTTCTCTGTTATAGAAAGGTCAAAATCACCCATCCTTCCTAATCTTGGTCCTTTGATTTATGTCTGATTGAGGGAAGAGGTGGTCCCAGCACCCGGGGTGGGAAGAGCTTGCAGGGGGACCCAGGGGGACTTAGCTGCAGGAGGGGGTTAGCTGACACTCAGGGCCATCATTCGGAACAGCTGAATTGTCCTCTGCGTTTTAGAAGGAACATCTTCATTCTTCCTTCTGGGCCCCAAGTATTTGAAACCACCACCATCTCTTGGAAGGCAGAAAGTCTTACCTTAAATTGTTTTCTTCGTTTATACACTTATTGAATATAAAAACAAATGCTAATACTCTTGTTAAACAGAGGGCCCAGATTTTAACTATGTAAAATCTGTATACACATAGAAGAAAAGACTTGATGAAAATGTTAATAGTGATTGTATTTGAGAGAATAGATAATCAACTTTTACTGCTTTTCTATGTTTTCTAAAAACCTAAAAGTGTTCATCAATTGCTCTTATATGAAAAAGATATTCTATTCAGAAATATTTTAAGGCCCCAAAGGGATAATTCACTTATGTATTTTTATGAGAATTACATATACAATTTCAATAAAAATTAATGATATTATTAATAATACTAAAACATTTGAAAGTAAGATGTTTTATGAATATTAATAAAGATGCCAAGTCTGAGTCACTCAAAAGGTACAGCACAGTGAAAGTATATCATAATAAATTTCTTATGCATTAAAATATCTGTATGATAAAAAAAAATCCACTTCTGAAAATAGTGCACTTTTTTTTTTTTTTTTTTTTTGAGATGGAGTCTCGCTCTGTCGCCCAGGCTGGAGTGCAGTGGCGCAATCTCGGCTCACTGCAACCTCCGCCCCTGGGTCCTGGTTCAAGCAATTCTCCTGTCTCAGCCTCCCAAGTAGCTGGGATTACAGGAACACGCCACCATGCCCAGTTAATTTTTTTGTATTTTTAGTAGACAGGGTTTCATCATGTTGGCCAGGCAGGTCTTGAACTCCTGACCTCGTGATCCACCTGCCTCGGCCTCCTAAAGTGCTGGGATTACAGGCGTGAGCCACCACGCCCAGCCAATAGGGCACTTATAGTAAGGAATATTTGATACATTTAAAAGCACAGCACATGTTTAAAAGAATGTGGGCAACCTCTTGGGGTTTGTTGTACTAGAATGTTTCTTTTTGTTTTTCGTTTTTTTTTTTTTTTTTGAGAAGGATCTCTTCCTGTTGCCCAGGCTGGAGTGCAGTGTCACTAGCCTGACTCACTGCAGCCTCCACCTCATGGGCTCAAATGATCCTCCTGCTTCAGCCTCCTAAGTAGCTGGAACCATAGGCTGATTTTTTGTGTGTGGAGATGGGGTCTTGCTATGTTGTCCAGCTCGTCTCAAACTCCTGGGCTCAAGTAATCCTCCCCTCTTGGCCTCCCAAAGTGCTGGGATTACAGGCATGAGCCACCATGTTCAGCCTCAGGATTTAACCTGTATCTGTTTAGGCTCAAAACCATTGTCAACATTTCTCAAAGTCATATATTGGAATTAATGGAGGGATGTGTTAATGTTTTAAAATATTGCAATTGTTACTAGCAAACATATTTAATAGAAAGTATGTTCTAGAGCAGTGGTAACCAAAATTAAATTCCATGGGACCATCATTTGGTAAGAGGTCTTAGATGTTACCTGAGAAGAGGTTCAGTGGTCAGAGATGTCAGGTAAACCCTACATCCAGATATTCAACAGGCTTATCTTTGCATGGCTTTTGGAGCCTCAAATATATTAATTTTCACTGTGAATCTCCAAAAGGAGTGCACAATATATAGCATGTGCCCATAACATTTGCCCAGAAAGTCATTTTAAAAAATCTTAGGCTGGGCATGGTGGCTCACACTCCAAGCAATTTGGGAGGCCAAAGTGGGAGGATTGCTTGAGCCCAGGAGTTCGAGACCCACCTGGGAAACATAGAGAGACCCTATCTCTACAAAATATCAAGAAAATTAGCTGGATGTGGTGGCTCATGCAGGCCTGTAGTCCCAGCTACTTGGGAGGCCGAGGTGGGAGGATCACTTGAGCCTAGGAGTCTGAGGATGCAGTGAGCTAAGATCACCCCCACTGGACTCCAGCCTGGGTGACAGACCAAGACCTTGCCTCAAAAATGAAATGAAATAAAATAAAATGAAATAGAGATCTTCCACAAAGAAGACTTCTCATTGGGATATGCAGTGTCATAGGCATGTAAAGCCTTTAAAAAATCTTTTCAATTTTAGTTTTGAGGCCATGAAGCAGAGTTTGTCTATCTCTGTTGTCACAAAGGGGGTATTTTGCTGAGTGCAGTGGCTCATGCCTGTAATCCCAGCTCTTTGGGAGGCCGAGGCGGGAGGATCACCTGAGGTGAGGAGTTCAAGACCAGCCTGGCCAACATGGTAAAACCCTGTCTCTACTAAAAATACAAAAAAATTAGCCAGGCACCTATAATCCCAGCTACTTGGGAAGCTGAGGCAGGAGAATCATCTGAACCCTGGAGACAGAGGTTGCAGTGAGCTGAGATCGTGCCATTGCACTCCAGCCTGGGCAAAAAGAGTGGAACTCCATCTCAAAATAAATAAATAAATAACAAAGGGGGTATTTTATAAATTTGAAGCTCATGTATGGGTCACAATAAACCATTTAATGAGTCATATTACATGGACCCAAAGCCTAGTTCTCATTGTTGGGGTGAGTCTCATTCAAGTCATTCCTGGCAGGAGTTCTACAGGTGCACACCACCAGAAGCCTGAAGGGACTTTTGAGCTTCATCACAAGCTCCATGCTTTGACCTCCTTTATGAAAAGGCTGAGGAATGACATGCAACCCTGCACCTCCCTCCTGCCCCCCAATACACAAATGCACACCCTTTGCTGGCATGCGAAGCGTGCTTAGAAAGGGGAGGAAAAACCCAAACCACAAAACCCCACATTCCTTTCAAGGGCTGTCTGTGTACACACCCTGGACCTTTGACTTCCTTTCCCTGGTGAGCAGGGGTTTTTCAAGGCTTTGAGTCAGGAGTTAAGGACTGTTGAGATGCAACTCTAACACGTCCTAGCCTTATGATTTCAGCATTTACCCTCTTGGGGCTCTGCTTTTCCTCTGTAAAATGGGGATAATGAGCCCTAGGACCTGTCTAACCTCCAGGACTGCTGTAAGGATAAAACAACCTTCACTATTCCCTTTATCACTTATTTAGCCAATCTTTGTCATCGCACTGAACACAGGGCATCAATTCTTTCTAAAGACCACAAAATGGCAAAGCTAATGACAAATGAAAACAATTGTAACATTTCACAGAGATGGTTCATATCCATAACACAGGAAGAGTGCTTACATACAAATTTAAATATATATGGGCCATTAAAAGTTGGCAAAAGTCAAGAATATGCATTGACTTTTGCCAATAAATGTAGAAACAAAGAAAATGATTTTGTGTGGGAGAAGCAGCACAAAGGCCAATAAACATATTTTTATGTTGATGCTCATTTTGAAATTTTGAAATTGCTTGGTTATTAGACCTGCTACTGGATGGTGTGATTTAGTGTGTTAATGATAATGCCCACGTTTTACTATGTCGCATTCTGAGACAGAGTCCTCAGGCTTTATCAGAGTGCCAGAGGTCTATGGCAAAGAATCCCTGATCTATAGGAATCTGATAAAATGAAGTATGGTGTATCCATATAATGAAATGCTGTGTTGATATTAAAATTGATGTTTTAGGTAAAGATGTAGAGCAACTGGAACTTTCATACACTGCTGCAACCACTTTGGAGACTATCAGCATTTTCCACTAAAGCTGAACATTATGGTCTAGAAATTGCACTCCTGAGCAGGTAGGTAACAAAAGTGTATACCTATGTTCACCAAAAGACATCTAAAGAATGTTCATAGCAGCTGAAATAGCTGAAACCTGGAAACAACCCCCATGTCCATCAACAGTAGAATGGATAAGTAAATTGTGATATATTTATACAAAAGAATACTATATATGTCAATGAGTGAATGAACTATAGCTATATGCAACAACATGAATCTCATTCATATACTGTTGAGTGAAAAAATATAGACAAAAATAAATACTGTATAATCTACCATATAGTTCAAAAGCCAGACAAGACCATTTTTAGAAATCAGAAGTCAGAATTATGTTGCTTTTGGGGTAAGAGGTGACAGTAACTTGGAGAGGGTCCAAAAGATTTTGGGGGATGCAGGTAATGGTCTCGTATTTTATCTTGGTGGTGAATATAAAAGCAGAGTCAATATGCGAAGATTTATACCTATGATTGTTTGCATGTTTCTGTGAGATTTACCCCTATGATTTTTTGCATGTTTCTGCTTTTATGTTCTACTTTAATCAAAAGTCTGCTTAAAAATGACATAGAAACATTTTCATGACATTGAAAGATATTTGTGTTGTCATGTTATATTAAAAAATACAGGTTTGTGTATAGTGTGCTTTCACTTATTCCCTTCAAGATCATCATACATATGTGCTTTTCAGTACATGACATATCTTTAGGAGGATATATGAGCAATTGATAGAAGTGGTTGCTTCTGGAGAGTGAGAATGGGAGAGAGATTTATTTTTTACTTCATGTCAAGGGTGTCCAATCTTTTGGCTTCCCTGGGCCACACTGGAAGAATAAGAATCGTCTTGGGCCACACATAAAATACATTAACACTAATGATAGCTGATGAGCTTTAAAAAATTGCAAAAAATTTTCATAATGTTTAAAGAAAGTTTACGAATATGTGCTGGGCCGCATTCAAAGCTATCCTGGGCCATATGTGGCCCATGGCTGTGGGATGGACAAGTTTGCTTTATGCTGTTTTGTACCTTCTGAAGATTTAACTGTGTATATGTATTGCCAATTCAATGCATAAATAAATCAGACTATAAAACTGTATAATCTCATTTTTCTGAAAATAAAGGACTGGCACTATCAATATAAAATGATAACTATGTTTACCTCTGGGTAATGGAATTATGGATTATTTTATTTTATTTTTATTTATTTGTTTATTTTTAAGACAGGGTCTAGCTCTGTCACCCAGGCTGGAGTGCAGTGGTGTGATCACAGCTCACTGCAGCCTGGAACTCCTGGGCTCAAGCAATCTTCCCACCTTAACCTCATGAGTAGCTGGGACTACAGGTGTACACCACTGCACCTGACTGATTTTTAAATTTTTTGTAGAGATGGGTTGGGGGTCTCGCCATGTTGCCCAGGCTGGTCTCAAACTCCAAGACTCAGGAAATTCTACCCCCACAGCCTCCCAAAGTGCTGGGATCACAGGCATGAGCCATCGTGCCTGGCTAATTTTTTTTTTTTTAAATCTGATTTTTTCAGTCTTCTAGTACGAACATGTATTTCTTTTGAGAATGAGAAAAGTCATTATAACTTTTTTTGTAGTGCAGTTTTTATCAGTGTTACTGAGGTATAATTTGCAAACGGTAAAATACACTGATTTTTAAGTGCATTGTTCAATGAGTTACAAATGTGTATATATCCATGTCATCGCTCAGTCGAAACCTAGAATGTTTTCATCCCCTAGAAAGTTCCTTCTCAGCCTTTGTAGTCAACCCTCCCCTTGCCTAAGGAGGCAACCATTGACCCAGTTTCTATCACTGTAGCTTAGTTTTGCGTCCTTTGAAGAAATAGAAATTGTACAGTTCGTACTCTTTTTATATATGGCCTATTTTGCTCAATATAATGCTTTTGAGATTTATTTATGTTTTTATGTGTATCCGTAGTTCATTATAATTTTTTTAAATGAAGAGTAACATCTTAACTACTTCCCGCTTTCTGATCTATGGGATGAGACACCATCCACACGAAAATAATCCTCCACAGACTCTCCAAGCATGTCCGCTGTAGGCAGGAGTGATCCTATAACCTTCCTATCCTGGGAGGAGAAACAACACCTCCCCATTCCATTCTGGCCTGCCCCCTCCTCTGGCGGCAGCGCCAGTCTCAGGTGAGAGCCACCCTGCTTGTTGCCATTGTTCTGCGAGTGACAGCCTCGGGGGGCAAATGGAAAGCCGTCAACCTGAGGGCTGTCAACCGCAGACAAGAATTCCTTTCTTTGTCAGGCTGGGTGGTCTTCGTGGCTTCAGCATCAACCTGTACGAAGACGATAAACATCGTGTGCGCTTGCAGGAAAACATCGCCACCACCCAACAACTCTAACCACACTCCTTTGTGAGGCCAAGATTAGCCTGTATGTGGCTTCCCTTGACTGTGTACAAATCATCAAGTCCCAGCCCCAGTGAGGGCATCCAGAGGTCATTTACTCCATGTCCCCCCACCCAGTCCCCCCACCTGCTGCCTCATGACATTTATTTGTCCCAGAATCTTAATCATAGACAGCTGGAGTGTCCCTTAGAGATCTCCTGGTCCGACCCTCTCAGGCTACAAGAGGGGGTCCAGACACAGGCTGTGTCTGGGTCACACAGCACAAGGGCTAGGGCAAGGGCAAGAACCCACATCCTGCAAGCCTTCCCCTTTGGAGTATCCTTTCCACTACTCCAAACTGCTTTTGTTAATGTCACCTTCACCCCCAAGGTACAATGTAGTGCAATTTCTAACTTTCCAATAAAAAAGGAGCGTGTGTATGAATAACCTACATACTTAGGGAACCTCCTGCAGCCTGGGGTGTAAAGGCTTTCTTGCATTTGTGGCCAGGACAACCGAGGCCGCTTTCATTAAAGAATGGTTTGGTGCCCTCTACTGGCTATCAGTAACAATGACAATCACTGCCCCTCTTCCTGGGCATCTGCTGAGCAGGACATTCAACGTGCAAATTTATTTCTAATTTTGAATGCAAAGAACAGGCCTGGAGAGTAGGCAGTTTTATCCCAACTTTATAGAGGATGAAATTGAGGCTCATACATATTAAATAATCCGCTCAAGTTGATTGAGCCTGGATTCAAACCCAGCCCTGTTTCTTCCGCTCCTCTGTGTCAGCACTTCTACTGAACATGTGGGCAGGCCTAGGCTGGGACATCAGTGGCTTGCTCAGGGCCACAAGTCCAGTAAACCCCATGCTTGCTGTTCACCGTGCCAGGCTGCTTCCCAGAAGGAAAGTGACATACAAAGTGCCCAAGGAAACTTCTTCCCTGTGGTAGCCTTCCTCCAGAAGGGGCGCTAGGAGGGGACCTAGGGTGTCTCTGGGCCTTTCTCTGTACCCAGGCGTATGTGGTTAGGAGGTTCCAAGGGACTCAGAGATGCAGAAAACACATTTAATCCACTTGATTCAATGATGCTGTGCAACCGAGCCCTAGGAGTAAATGTGTGAGTGAATGAATGAATGAATGGAGTGGTCTAGACACTGGCGTGAGGACTAATGGCAGAGGCTGTGCAGGTCAGGGGTGGTTTTGCAGTTGTACTATAAAGAGATTGATCCCAATTTAATTTGAGGAATCCATTTCTATGGATCAGAGCAGTCCACAGATAGAGAAGGCTTCTACCGTGGGGGTGAACTCCACATCCCAGGGATATGTAAGCAAGTTGAGAAGACTTCAGTGGAGTTGTTGAAAGGGGATTTAGAGCCTATGTGTGTTTTGTTTTGTTTTTTTGAGACGGAGGCTCACTCTGTTGCCAGGCTCGAGTGCAGTGGCGCAATCTCGGCTCACTGCAACCTCCGCTTCCCTGGTTCAAGCGATTCTCCTGCCTCAGCCTCCCAAGTAGTTGGGATTACAGGTGCGTGCCACCACAGCAGCTAATTTTTGTATTTTTAGTAGAGATGAGGTTTCACCATGCTGGCCAGGATGGTCTCCAACTCCTGACCTCGTGATCTGCCTGCCTTGGCCTCCCAAAGTGCTGGGATTACAGGCGTGAGCCACCGCACCTGGCCGCCTGTGTGTGTTTTTAAACATTGGTGTAAACATTTAGAAACTGGAAGATTTCACATTAAAATCCAGATTTCTAACTCCTCTTTAACAAAGTGGGAGACGGCCTCACTGGGCCTGCTGCAGCCGGTCACTGCTGCCCCTCCCCTCTGCGTTGTCCCCCAGCACTGAGGATGACCAGCAGAGGTTACTTCGCCTCACACATGTGCTGTTGTTTTTCTTATTGTAAAAACAAATAAGAGTAGCTGGGACTACAGGCACACACCACCACACCTGGCTAATTTTTACACTATTTTTTTCCAGAGGCAGGGTCTCCCTGTGTTGCCCAGGCTGGTCTTGAACTCCTGGGCTCAAGGGATCCTACCACCTCAGCGTCCCAAAATGCTGGAATTACAGGCATGAGTCACCGTGCCTGGCCTGAAGTTTTTTTCAAAGGAAAAGAGAAATTTTAACAGGAGGAAAAAGAAAAATTGAGTACAATGTATTTGTTTGTGTAAATAAAGACATTTCTATACATTTTAAAGGCAAACACCTGACTTGCTTTTATTACCAGCTTGGACTCCACAGCATCCTGAGTTTGCTAGCCAGTAGAGTCTTTGGCACCTTCTTATCTCTGCAGTGTGGACCTCAGGTCAGATTCTCACCCTGTTGCTGCTTCCGTCTTTAGCTTCTGAGAGATGGGGGACGTGGAGCAGTCCTGGGTCTCATGGTCTGAAGGGAGAAGAAATCCTGCCCAGGCAGACCACTGTGAATGTCCAGGTAAGTGAGAGCATAAAGTCCTGGCAGACCATATCTATGCCCTCTGCCCTAGAGGAGCCCTTTGGAGATGCAGTGCCTGGTCATGAATCTGCACTTTCTTCCTGTGATAGGGTTTCTTAACTCTTCCCTCCCCGTCCTGGCCACATAGATGGCTCTCTGATTCCCTGGTGGTGTCTAGATCTGAACACAAGCTCCAGATGTGGTTTAAGCAGCCCCAAACAGCGGGACAAACACCTCCCTCAGTTCAGGCCCTGCTTTTGTTCTTGTCACCTCAGGTCACACCATCTCTTTTCAGAAGCCATGTCACACTGTTGGTTTCCACTTAGCTTGTAGGACACCAAGGCCATCAGATTATTTTATGAGCCCTTCTCAATAGTGATCTACCCCTACCTAACATGAAAATCATAGACACTGAAGGTTGAACATTGTCCTGAGGTCATCTAAGGCCGCTTCCCACACATGCAGAAAGAGACCCTTTCCTCATATACCCTGTATTACTCCATTCTCATATTGCTATAAAGAAATACCTGAGCCTGGGTAATTTATAAAAATTAAAGAGGTTCAATGGACTCACAGTTTCACATGGCTGGGAGGCCTCACAGTCATGACAGAAGGTGAAAGAGGAGCATTGGCACCTCTTACATGGCGGTAGGCAAGAGAGCATGTGTAGGGGAACTGCCCTTTATAAAACCATCGGATCTCATGAGACGTATGCACTAGCACAAGAACAGCCAGGTAAAACCTGTCCCCATGATTCAATTACCTCCCACTGGTTCCTCCCATGATGCCTGGGGATTATGGGAACTACAGTTCAAGATGAGATTTGGATGGGGACACAGCCAAACCATATCACACCCTTACAGAATTTTTTAACTGAAGTGAGGAATTTATATTTCACTCATTGCTCCATTCCTCCAAGAATGGATCTTGATTTTGTCAAAAGACACATTAGTCATCTTTTCCAGTTCTATGTCATTCATAAATTTGATGAGGACAGTTTCTACATTTTTATATATGTTGGTACATACTGGTTATGCATTCTGCTCATCAAGGTACCTCATAGTCATTGTAGAAAATTTAGAAAATAGAGAAAGCATAAAGAAAAAAATTAAAAAGCCTGTGATATATAGAATATATAAAGAACACTTACAATTCAATAATAAAAGGCAAATGAATCAATTTTAAAATGGACAAAGGATTTGAACACATAATTCTCTAAATAAGATATACCGATGGTCAATATACACCTCAAAAGATGCTCAACATCATTCATCATTAGGGAAATGCAAATTGAAACCACCATGAGATACCACTTCTCACCCAACAGAATGGCTATAAACAAAAAGATAGGTGTTGGCAAAAATCTGGAGAAATTGGAACCCTCATATACTGCTGGTGGGAATGTAAAATAGTGCAGATACTTTAGAAAACAGTCTGGCAGTTCCTCAGAATGTTATGGAGTTAAATATTCCCCAGCAATTCCACTCCAAATTCTATATCTGATTAAAATGATCATATGCATCCACATAAAAACTTTTACACGGATGTTCACAGCAGCATTACTCATAATAACCAAAAAGTAAAAACAACCCAGTGTCCATCAGTGGAGGAATGGATAAATAAAATATGGTACATCCATATAATGGAATGTGGCTTGTCAATAAAAAACCAAAATATCATGCAATACATAAGAACCCTGAAAACATTACGCTAAGTGAAAGAAGCCAGACACAAAAGGCCATGTATTGCATGATTCTATTTATGTGAAAAGTCCAGAATAGTCCAATTTCTGTCTATAGAGAAAGAAAACAGATTAATGGTTGCCCAGGGCTGAGGAGGCTTGAGGGGAAATGGGGGTTTGACTGCTAATGGGTATGAGGTTTGTTTCTGGGGTGATGAACATGTTCTAAAATTGATTGAGGCGATGGTTGCACAACTCTGTGAATATACTGAAAATAATTGAATTGTACACTTTAAATGGGTAATTTGTATGGTATGTGAATTATATCTCAACAAAGCTGGGAGACACTACCTTTTATGAGTGCTCTGTGTAATCTCTCTAATTGTGTTCTCACCAGTGGTGGATGAAGTGTCAATCAGCAGCATTGGCTGGATATGAGTCCACTGTGGGCCAGCTCCTCTGCTGGTCCCTGGATGCAAAGGAATTCTGCCTCAAGAAGCCAGGCACATCTTGTATCATCCAGGGGAAATAAGCATCAGCATCATTATAATACAAGATGCAAGGTTGGAAAATGGGGGTCCTTAGAAGATGGGGATGAGGGGCCAGGGATAAGCCTCAGAGGGGGGAAAAGATTACTTCCAGCTGAAACATTGGAAAAAGGCTTTGAGGAGAGGGAAATTGTATCCTTTCCGATAAGATTGTGACAGGTGGTCATGGACATGACCAGAAGGAGTCTAGATTAGACTTTAAGCTCCTTGAGAGGAGGACCATGACTAATTCATTACTGGTTCCCAGCATAGGACCTGGCTTGAAGAAGGTGCATAGTAAACTTTGTGGAATGCATGAATATACGAATGAAAGAATGAGTGAATGTATAAACAAAAGATTTACAGGGAAAGAAAACAGCATGAGCAAAGCATGGAAACAGAAGGGCACAGGACAGGCCTAGAAAATGCAAACTTGTCCAGTGTGGCTAATGTATAAGGTTCATGATAAAGGTTTATGGAAGGAAAGTTCCTGAAGGGCTACAGGAACCAGGTGATGGGAACTTACAATTAGCTGCAACTGGGAGTCAATAAATGATTTTTGAGCAAAGGAATGGCATGGCAAAAGCTGTACTTTAGAAAGATGGAGCTGTAAGCCAATGTGGAAGATGGATTAGAGGGGTCAGCCTGGAGTCTGGGAGACCAGTTCAGAGGCTATACAGGTAAAATTTGGGGGGAGCTAAACCAGGACAGTGGCAGTAGAGCCAAAGAAGGGATTAAGGCCAGAGACACTCAGCCCCTTTCCAAGCATTATAAACACTACAAAAACAAATGCATCTGGTGATAAATATTTCACCCATTCAACAGAACTATACGTATTAGAGGATGCACTTGCCAATAAAAATATTAGTGGTTTGTGGTTTGAAGCTGCAACCACACTTGTTATAAAGATAATTGAAAGGAAAACTCCCATTTGGGGTAAGAGAGGAGGAAACCACAAGACCATAACCCCATTATGACCAGAGTTCATCTACATAATGGGTGAACCCTGGACCATATTCATCCTCCCTTGGCTCTACCCATGATGGGCAACAATAACTCCAAGACTAAGCTTGAGGCAGAGATGCCCTCTCTGTTTCAAGCCACCTGGTTAGCCACGTAGGGTACTGGCAAGAACCTGGTCTGATTCCAGCTCTGTGCTAACCCATGCAGGACAATCTCTGGTGGAGGAAGTAAGAGGGTAAGAGGGAGACTTGTTCCAGTTTAGAGACTTATAATTTGGTGGTTGAGACTATTAATGCTGGGGCTGGGCTGTGCCTGCCTGAACCCAGCTCTGTCACTTATTAGCTGTATGATCTTGAACAAGTTGCTTAGCATCTCTGTGCTTTAGTCGTCTCATCTCTAAACTGAGACTGGTGAATATGCTTAAAAACTGCCTAGTATTATAGTAAGTACCATATAAGTGTTTGCTATTGTTATTGTTATTATTACAATAAATAATGGCCAATGCTAGACAACAATAGAATGGGTTGTTTGTTCTCAAGTGGAGTGTTCCCCATCACCAAAGTCACACAAGCAGAGACAAGGCGGTTGTAGGGTGCAGCTTTGGACTATGAGTTGTCAGTGCTAAAGAGATATGCAAGTAGTCTTACTCAGTATTATTCATTCAATTTATTTAACTCCACAAGCATTTGCTGAGCAGCTACTCTGTGCTGGATACCATGCTAAGCCCTGGAGATACTGGGATGAATCAGACAGCCTTAGCTCTTAAGGACCTGAAAAGCTAGTGAGGACGGCAGGTGGGTATCACTTCTGGTGGGCTAAGTGCCACAGCACCAGCACAGAGGAGGATCAGGGACAGCCAGAGGAGAGAGTCCGGCTTCCAAAAAGCTGCAACGGGAAGCTAAAGACCTCTGGGCCATATTCAGGATCTAGGGATGCCGAGTGGGAAGACCTGCCCTTGCTGGTCTGTGAGTGGTGAAGATTTTGGCATCCAGAGCTGATGGCCCTGTCCTTAGTTGAATCAGTTGTACACTTCTACTCCTTACTGCTTTTGGAAAGACAATTCTTGTGAGTCTTCAAGATGATTTTGAAACCTCTCCGTGCACATATTTTGTTGATAGATGCTCCACTATGATGTTTTTGCCCAATTCTTTTTTTTCTTTTGGTTCGGGGAGGCTGAAATCTAAGTTTCTTCAGAAGGAGGATTTGTCTGGCCAATCACAGAAAAAAGAGACTGCATTTCCTGGATTACTACATGAATGCAGCTTAAGGCAACAGGATCAGGCTAATTTCTGTGTTGCTGCATCCTTGTTCCAGAAAGATTCCCCGCTTGGTGTGTTTCTTCTCACAGATGTTTCCCTGTTGTGAATTGATGCCAATGATGTTCAAAGTGACCACATTAAGAAGTAAAGCCCCAGGGAACCAGGGGAGAAATAAAAACAAAAAAGAAAGCCACACACAGGTACTATTTACTAGATAATAAAGACAAATGTGTTCATACCCTGTCATCTCAGGCATGAGTCACCCCGGTAACGCACTTAGAGAGCAGGCCCTGTCAGGAAACACTGCCAAGTTTCTCACTCTCCTTTCTGGCCTCCATTCTTACCTTCCTGCTCTTTTTGAGGCTTCGGTGACGGCTTTCAATTCTTTCTATGTTTTGTTAAGTATTCCTCTTTGAGCCAGGACCACAGCTGGTTTGGGAGGTGAGGGAGGTAGAAAGCAGGGAGATAAATGCAGTCACAGGTTTCCCCGAGACTGAATCAGGAGACTCAAGAACACATCTACTGCTCTATTTTCCTTGCCTGTTTCCCTTTTGTGCCCTGACCAAAATGACTCATGCTGCTTTGCTCTGGGCAAGCCCTCAAGCCTCTGTCACCCTGTGGGCTATATGCATTCTTCTTTTCTCCAAAGGAGTCATTTTTACCCAACTATACGAAACTTGCTAACGAAAGTCAGTACACCAAAGAAGGAGTTACCGGCCAAAGAAGAACACAGTTACAAAAGCTGCCAAGAGTTACAGAATCTAGAGCCTATACAACATCCGAGCTGTAGGTCACATTCTCCAGCATTGAGGCTTGGAATGCTTTGTTGGGGAGGAGGTTCTCCGGATTAATTATTTTCAAAAGGTTACCTTGGGGGAAAACTGTGACCTTGTCCTCTAGAAATATTTCACCACATGAGAGATCATTAGGGCTATGGAGTCCATAAGGGCCATCTAGTATGCGGGCTCTCAAATTTGGCTGCCCATTAGAATGATGTGGGGGGGGGGTGTGGGGCTTTACAAAATCCTGATGCTCAGATCTCACTCTGACCCCATGACATCAGAATCCCTGGGGGTGGGGCCTAAGCATTGGTATTTATTAAACACTCTGGGTGCTTCCCGGTACAGCCAAGTTTGGGAACCTGTAATCTAGACCCTTACCATTCCAAGTGTGATCTGTGGTGCCGTAGCACCACCAGAGATAATGGCATTTCTTATTAGACACTCACATTCTTTACTGTAATGGTAGACACATGCCATTATACATTTGTTCAAACTCAGAATGTACAACTCCAAGAACAGCCCTAATGTAAACTATGGACTTTGGGTGATGATGATGTGTCAATGTAGCTTCATCAGTTGTAACAGATGCACCGCCCTGGTTGAGGACGTTAATAATGGGGGAAGATATGTATGTGTGGGAGCAGGGAGTATGTGGAAAATCTTTGTACCTTACTCTCAGTTTTACTGTGAACTTAATATTACTCCAAAGATAAAGTCTAAAAAAAAAAAGAAATGCATATTCTTGGGTCCTACCATAGACCTACTGAGTTAAAATATGCATTTTAACAAGTTACCAAGAGACCTCTACATGCATTCAAATTTGATTTTTGCTTTTCTTGAAAGATTGAAAAATCTGGCAACAAGGGTCCCAAATTCTTTCTTTAAAACTATCAGCTGGAGTTGTATAGTAGGTGTCCTCTTTAAGGGAGATCTCCACACTCCAGTTCGCCTCAGTTTCACAACGGGCTAGGTTCATTAACTTCTATTACCTACCTGAGCCCAGAGAGATACTGAGTTTTTTTTAAATTGTGGTACAATATATATAAAATAAAATGGACCATTAGTGACATGTGGTACATTCACAATGTCGTGCAACCATCACCACCATCTAGTTCCATAACATTTTTATTGTCTCAGAAGGAAACCCCTTATCTATTAAGCACTCATTCCCCGGTTCCTCTTCCTTTCAGCCCATGACAACTACTAATCTGCTTTCTGTCACTGTAGGTTTGCTTATTCTGAATGTTTCATGTAAATGGAATCATACACTCTGTGGCATTTCATGTCTGGCTTCTTTCACTTAGCATCGTATTTTCGAGGTTTATCCATGTTGTGGCATGTGTCAGTACTTCATTCTTTTTTATGGCTGAATAATATTTCTTTGTATGGATATACTATATTTTGTTTATCCATTCATCAGTTGATGGGCAGTTGGGTAGTTTCCAGCTTTTGGTTATTGTGAATAGTGCTACGTGAACGTTTGTGTGCAAGTTTTTCTTCACACACCTGTTTTTAGTCTTGTGGGAACATACTCATGAGTGGAATTACTGACTCATATGGTAATCCTATGTTTCGTGTTTTGAGGGACAAACTGTTTTTCGTGGCAGCTGCACTAGTTTACATTCCCACCAATAATGTATGAGGGTTCCAATTTTTTTTACATCTTTGCCAATACTTCTTTTCTTTTCTTTCTTTTGTTCTTTTTTTAAATTCTAGCCATCATCATTAAAGACCATAAAGGCCACTTTGATTAAGTCTCTTTGGGAGGTTTGAGGGCCATCTTCTAGTTTTTTAAGTTTCTTTCAGACGTTGGGGGCTGACTGGGAAATGAAGTGTAAATGGGTAGGTAGATTCTGCCCCCATTGGTATCAGGGCTTAAGGTGGTATAATTAGTTATGGCCTCTGAAATGCGGGAGAAGAAAAGAGCAGGGTTTTCATTGGGGCCTTGAGTGATTTCTTTTATCTTTTCAGAGTTTACAGCCTTAAGGGCAGCTTTATCCATGCCAGCTAGGAGGCATGATATCATATAGCTTCGTTTCTGTCTGTCTGAGGAAACTGCTTCATAATCCCAATTGGGGTCAGTTCTGGGGACAGCTAGGGTCCCTATAAGGTTATGGGCAGCATCTTGTTGGTGGAGGGTGTCTGCATGGGCCTGGGTGGTTGTCTGGATACATTCCCTGTCATCCGGGATGAGGGAGGAGTAGAGGATGACATAAACGTCATGCCAGGTAAGGTCATAAGATTCAGTGACATACAGAAATTCCTTGTGGGAGGAGCTGGGGTCGGTGGAAAAGGAGCTAAGTCTCTTTTTAAGCTGGGAGAGGTTGGCTAGGGAGAAGGGAACATGAACTTGGACTATGCCTTCGGCCCTAACACCTTTCTCAAGGGAAGGACTTTGTAAGACCTTTGGTAGTGGGAGTGACCTTTGGCAGAAGGGGGTTGGGTGCAAGACCGGGTGTGCAGTGGAGAAGGAAGGTTGGGATGGAGGACCAGGATAAGGGGGTGGGGGAGCGGAGCCGAAGGAGAAGGAGGAGGGGATGGTGGTGGGAGGGGGACTGAGAGAGGGGGTTTGTTGGCAGGGTTGAAATTACAGGAGGAAGGCTTGCCTGGAGGTGTGAAGTGGTATCTCACTGTGCCTTAATTTGCATTTCCCTAATGACTAATGATGAATATATTTTCATGTGTTTGTTGGCCATCAGTACATCCTCTTCGGAAAAATGTCAATTTAAGTCCCTTGCTCATTTTTAAATTGGGTTGTCTTTCTGTTGTTGAGCTGAAAGTGTTTGTTATAAATTCTGGATACTAGACCCTTATTGGATATCTGATTTGCAAATATTTTCTCCCATTCTGTGGGGTTTTTACCCCAATTTTCTTCATAGTGTTCTTTGACGTAGAAAAGTTTTCAATTTTTTTTTGACCTCTGAACTTTTTATTGGCCTCCTGCTCCCCAAAGTGTACCCTGCTTCTGCTGGCTTAATGTCTCAGAACTTTGGTGTCGTTGGTCAGACACCACTTTGCCATCCACTATCCGGCGGGTGGTGGTCTTTTGGATGGTTTGCATGGAGTTGCTGCTGTCCAGGGCATCACCAAGATTGAAGTCCTTGCCATCCTCCAGCAGGCAGCAGTAGGCAGTGCTCTCAGCCTCCAGCTTGACCTTGATGTTCAGCAGGGCCTTGTACTCTTGAGCCTGGCACTGTCCCTCTGCCCGGGTCTGTGCCAGCTCTGACTCCAGGTGCAGCAGGATCCCGTTGAGCTGCTCCCTCTGCAAGGCATAGCGGGCCTCGACCTCCCTCAGGCTGTTCTCCAAGCTGGCCTTCAGATTTCTCATGGAGTCCAGGTTGATCTTCAAGGACTGGACTATACATCTCAGCTCCGTGAGCATCATCCCAGCAGCTCCAACCTCGGTGGACTGCGTGGTGACCACTGAGGTGCTCTCCTCAATCTGCTGAGACCAGTATTTGTCCAGCTCCTCTCAGTTCTTCCGAGCCAGCTCATCATATTGGGGCCGGATGTCTGCCATGATCTTGGCAAGGTCCCGAGACTGGGGGCATCTACCTCCATGGTCAACCCAGAGCTGGCAATCTAGGCTTGTAGGCCTTTTGTAATGCCCAACCTCATTTTTCCTTTTTCACCTAGGCTTGTTTCCACCTGAACAGACTCTCCCTTAGCTAAGAGAACCAGACAAACTCCATCTTGGCTCTTTCACTGGCAGCCCCTTCCTCAAGGACTTAACTTGTGCAAGCTGACTCCCAGCACATCCAAGAATGCAATTAACTGATAAGATACTGTGGCAAGCTATATCCACAGTCCCCAAGAATTCATCTGTTTGATAACGCCCAAAGCCCTGCATCTATAACCTTGTAATAGTCTTAAAGCCCCTGCATCTGGAACTGTTTACTTTCCTGTAACCATTTATCCTTTTAACTTTTTGACTACTTAACTTCTGTAAAATTGTTTTAACTAGACGACCCCCCCTTTCTAAACCAAGGTATAAAAGTTAATCAAGCCCCTTCCTCGGGGCCGAGAGAATTTTGAGCGTTAGCCGTCTCTCGGTCGCCGGCTAATAAAGGACTCTTAATTCATCTCAAAGTGTGGCGTTTTTTTAACTCGCTCGGGTACAACACTTTTACTTCCTCTTCGTGGTTCTTCTTCATGAAGAGCAGCTCCTCCTTGAGAGCTTCGATCTCTGTCTCCAGCTGCAGCCGAGTGACACTGGTGTCATCAGTGACCTCCGGAGCCCATGGATGTGGCTCTCCACAGACTGGCGCATGGCCAGCTCTGTCTCATACTTGACTCTAAAGTCATCAGCAGCAAGACCAGCATTGTCAATCTGCAGAACAATGCAGGCATTGTCCACAGTATTTGTGAAGATCTGAGTCCTCAGGCCCTCAATGGTCTTGAAGTAATGGCTCATCTCTGACCTGGGGTCCCTTCTTCTACAGGTGCTCCTGGATTTTACTCTCCAGCTTCCAGTTCTTGGCCTCCAGGCTCCTCATTCTGTCCAGGTAGGAGGCCAGGCAGTTGTTCAGGTTTTGCACGGTCTCCTTCTTGTTCTGGATGCCTCTCATTCCTGCCAGACCCCTGGCCATCCCCGCGGCCAGGCCCCCGGAACCCATGCTGCTCAGGTAGCTGGTGGAGCGGGACATGGAGATCCGGGAACCAGAGCCCCCGTGCCTGTACAGACGCTGGCTATGCTGCTGACCAGCCGGACACCGTAGCTGGGTGCCTGGACAGAACCCAGGGACCGGTAGTTGGTGGAGAAGGTGGAGCGAGTGGTGAAGCTTATGCTGTCCAGGGAGGAGAGTGAGAGGACAGGACTCAGGCTTTGCCGACGACTTTAATTTTTTTTTGAGACAAGATGTTATTGTGTTGCCCAGGCTGGAGTGTAGTGGTGCCATCACAGCTCACTGCAGCCTTGACCTCCTGAGATGGGTTCTTGTTACATTGCCCAGGTTGGTCTTGAACTCCTGGTCTCAAGCAATCCTCCTGTGTTGGCCTCCCAAAGGGCTGGGATTACAGACATGAGCCACTGCACCTTGCCAATTATTATTATTTTTTAATAGTGACAGGGTCTCACTGTGTTGCCTCAGCTTGTCTTGAACTCATGACCTCAAGTCATCCTCCTGCCTTGGCCTCCCAAACTGTTGAGATTACAGGTGTGAACCACTGTGCCCAGCCTAGTTTTTAATTTTAATGAAGTCCAGCTTTTTTTCTTTTGTTGCTTGTGCTTTTGATGTTATGGAATTTGAAATAGTTTCACCTGGGCAAGATTGATGGGTAGGGAGAAAGAAGGATCTGAGGGGAAGGGAGATGGGGATGGCTTGAGATTCTATCTCCAATTCAACCTAAGATTTCAGCAGGTAACTGCTTTATACGAGGTTTTGCAGCTTTATGTATATATGACCGATAAATTAGAACACTGAATTGTGTTTCTGAAAGGTTAACCATTGAACATTAGTGGGAAACATCAGTGTGTGAGGTTGTCTTTCTAAAAGCCAGTCCTAAATGGTACATGTAGTAATTAGAAGTTAATGTTTTCTGGTTTCAATTAAGCATTATTTGTAACAAAGGGAAAGCATACATTTTTGGGAAAGCCTGCTATGTTTCTTTTGTTACACTAGCCACACTTTTGGGAAGTCAGGATATTTGGCCCAGATCCAAACCCACTGTCTACCTGGCAGTAGCTCATCCTCACTGAAGGAATATTCCATGGGAAAGATAGCCAACCTTATGCATATCAGCCTTGGAGCAAGTCCTGCATTTGCCTGAGGTCACACAGCAAGTTAACTGGGAGTTTCAACCCAGGTCTTCTCATTTTAAATCTAAGGCTGTGTCTCTAGGCCGTGTATCCAACATAAAATCAGGACTATCATCTGTTGGGCTCTATGACTGGCACTACTACTACTCACTGTTACCATTTTTTGAGGTCTTCTACGTGCCAGGTTATTGTCCTGGCAATCTAATCCTCCCAAAGACTCGGTAAATGGTTCCATAATTATCCTCATTTTACCACTGAAGAAACTGAACTCTGGTTAAATAACTTGCCCAAGGTCACACAGACTTTAACTGTCAAGAGCTCAGACTTAACCCAGGCCTGACTCCAAAGCCTATACTCTGAATCACCAAGCGAGACCTATTTTAAAGGTGACCAGGTCGTGAGATATGATCTCAGCACGGACCCTTCTCCCGGATGACAAGAGAGCAGGTAGTTAGGCGGGTACTCCGTGTCCGCGCATACCCAGACTCCGCCCAGCGCCCGGGCAGGCCACCCCGAGCCCCTTAACTGCGCAGGCGCTCTCACTCAGAAAGGCCGCTGGGTGCGGGGAGCGCAGAGGCGGTGCAGGGCGGCTGGCTCGCCTCGGCGTGCAGTGCGCGTGCGTGGAGCTGGGAGCTAGGTCCTCGGAGTGGGCCAGAGATGGCGGCGGCCGACGGGGCTTTGCCGGAGGCGGCGGCTTTAGAGCAACCCGCGGAGCTGCCTGCCTCGGTGCGGGCGAGTATCGAGCGGAAGCGGCAGCGGGCACTGATGCTGCGCCAGGCCCGGCTGGCTGCCCGGCCCTACTCGGCGACGGCGGCTGCGGCTACTGGAGGTTTGGGCCGCGTCCGCGCTTTCCCCTTCCCTCTCCCCGCCTCCCCGGTCCCCAGACTGGCTCGTGCAAGCCGAGTCCCGGGGCCCGGGGGTCGCGTCAACTCCGCTGGCGTATGTGTGCAGATTCTCCCCGAGTCGGAGAGGGAATCCGCCCAGCCAGCCGCCTTGTCAAAGCGTCCTGTCCACGACCACAGAGCGTTCCTCTGTCGCACGCGGGCCTCCTGACCCCCAGCCCCGGGCCTTCTTCGCTGCACCTCGGCTGCTGGCAGCTTCGATTTTTCGTTTAGGGATGCAGCCGCCCCGGCCGGGAGGTGTCAGCCACTGCCAGGTGTCAGGGCCTCAGCTGTCCCGGAAAGAGGAGTTAGACTAGTTCTTGATTCTGGCCTCTATACCTAGAACTAGTTGATGGAAGAGGCAGATCTTGGTGTTTGTTAGGGAGAGCTTTCAACAATTAGAGTTGCCAAAAGTGCAATGGATTGCTTCTCATGAGCTTCCCGTTACTAGAAGCGCTCAAATAGGAACTGGAAGAACGCTTACTTATGTGGAGGAGAGGAGATTCAGCAATCAGAATCTCCTACTCAGCAATCAGAAGAAGGGACTGGATAGTAAACCTTTAAGATTCTAATCCATAGATTCCATGAGTCTATTTCTTGGACATGTGACCTCTGCGATTTCTTGGCAAAAACTAGTTGCTCAAAACGTGTTTATTGATTGAAGTAAATTAAGGACTGATCTCTCATTGCAGATTATTCTCTTATAGAATTTGCCACTGGGGTCAACTAATAATCTTTAACAGGATACTTAAAATATAGTTTGGTTGACAGGCAGTTCTTCAGGGCTGCCTCTATAACATGAAGTACATGTGTTCCTAAAGCTCTATACTGCCCTTTGTCGAGCACAGTTTAGAGCTGTATTACTCTTTTTTATCAGCCAGATGTAGTGAGAGTGAGAAGAGTCTGAGGCTGGCAGCATGTCTTGATGTTCATACTAACACCGAAACTGCAAATTCCAGCTACTTTTGATGGTACTGGTCTCATCCTTTCTACTTTATAGTGGTTACCTTTTATTCCTTTCTAAACTTGAGGCACGCTAGAGTCAGACAGAAAGTTCATTTGCACTGATTAATTCATAGTCATGATTCCATAAAGGTTTCCAGGTCTACGACATGGCTGTGGAACGGAAGGTGCAAAATAGCAAAAACTGACATTAAATTAAACTTTTGATCATGGAAAGCAAGGTAGAATGAACATTCTTTAAGATTTCTTAGGCAGTTCCCCAAGAACTGAACTGTATTGTAGCATTGTGTACAACCCACCATGTTTCAAGAGTTAGGTAAGTGCTGAGATTTTTATCTTTGTGACACTTTTATTTCATGGTACTATACAATTTTCTTTTTCTCTGTGTGCCATGACATATGCCATGAAAGACTGAAAAAACTTGCTTAGAATACGAAGAGTGGTGCTAAGGTCCTGGGGAAACAGCAAGGCATAGCAGCAGAGAGAAATCGGACTTTGTTTTGGGCATGAGTTAGCATTGTTTAGGATCCTGCTCAAGTCATGGGCTCGACTACTCCAGCTTTCCCTCTTCTTAATTCTCATTGTGTTTACTGTCATTCCATTCATTTACTTTGCTATTTATATTACATATTCTGGTAGGTTCATTCATTTCTATCCATCCAGTTGGTACTCATGGAATGTTTACTATTTGTCAGAAGTATACAAGTAAAGGCACTCAGTCTAATGAAGGGATACAGAGAGATGAACAGGCATTATAGTGTGAGAATTGCTGTTAACAGTGGAAACAAGTTTATAATCTAATCCTTTCATTTAATAGAGGGAGAAATTGAGGCCAGAGAAGGGGAGTGACTGTAGCAGAATAAAACATATTAATCTGTCTTAATAAATGGAGGTGTAACATACTGTAAAATGTACTCATCTGAATTTTACCTATGTGAATGCTTGTGTAAACACCATCGTGATCAAGACATGTACACTTCCGGAACCTTAGAAGTTTTCCTATTGCGCCTTCCTAGTCGGTGTCCACTCTCTACTCTCAGAAGTAATACTCTTCTGACCATTTGATTGGTATTACCTATTTCCAAACTTCATGTACATTGAGTCATACAGTATCTGGCTTTTTTTGCGCAACATAGTATCTGAGAGATTCACACATTTTGTTGCGTGCATTGGTAGTTTGTGCATTTAGATGTTGTATAGATTCTTTTGTATTATGCCACAATTTTTTCCATTTTCCTTTTGGTGGCTATTTGGGTTGTTTCCACTTTGGGGCTGTTACGAATGAAACCTCTGTACACATTCTTTTTTATGTATTTTAGTGGACATACACACTCACTTCTCTTGTGTATATGCCTGGAGATGGAATTGCTGGGTCATAGGAGAGGTGTAGTTATGTTAAGCTTTAGTAGATATTGCCAAACGGTGATTATATCAGTTTCCAATCTCACCAGCAAAATGGCAGTTCTGGTTGTTCCACATCCTCACACTTGGTATTGTCAGTCTTTTTCATTTTAGACATTCTGGTGAGAGTCTAATGATACTTCATTATGGTTTTAATTTGTATTTTCCTAATGATTAGAGATAATGAGAACCTTTTCATGTGCTTTTTGGCCGTTTGGATATCCTCATTTGTGAAGTGCCTGTTCAAATCTTTTGCCTGTTTTTAAAAGTTGGGTTGTCTTTTACTGACTTAGAGGATTTTATTATGTATTCTGAATGTGAGTCCTTTGTCAGATATGCATACGTTAGACCTCCCTTTTCCAAGGTTTCACTTTCTGTGGCTTTAGTTACCCACAATCAACCATGGCCCAAAATATGAAATGGAAATTTCCGGGTGCACACGTGCGCACGCACACACACACAACGCACCCCACTGCTGGAGTTCTAGCTGAGATCACCTTGCATCTTTAGATAAATTTGTGAAGAATTGACGTTTTTATAATATTGAGGCTTAAAATCCATACACAGTATATTTCTCCATTTAAGTCCTTTTTGATTTCTCTTAGTGTTTTGTAGTTTTCAGGGCAGAGGTTGTACACATCTCTTCCTAGGTTGTTATTTCTTAATTCTAATTGTAGATTCTTGTGGATATTTTACACACATAATTACATCATCTGTGAATAGATGCTGTTTTACTTCTTTCTTTTCATCCTTTATGCCTTTTTGGTTTTCTTGCTCTGTTAGACTAGCTGGGACCTTCAGTATAATGTTGAATAGAAGTAGTGATTGTGGACATCCTTGTGTTGTTTGAGATATATTGAATTCAAAGGAATTTTCTATTTATGAACAAGGTAACATACAGGCTTACCTACTTCAATTGTTGACTGCTTTTACTTACTTTTGTAGGCATGGCTAATGTAAAAGCAGCCCCAAAGATAATTGACACAGGAGGAGGCTTCATTTTAGAAGAGGAAGAAGAAGAAGAACAGAAAATTGGAAAAGTTGTTCATCAACCAGGTAAAGTGAGTTTTTCAAAAATAAGTATCTAGATTGGTTATTTTGAGTAACATGCATAATTCTATGCAAAGTGATGCTAAATAATGCCATAACTACTTTAATCAGTGAGTACATTATCTTTATAAAAGTGATAAAGTTTGGCAGTTTTGCTAGTAGATTAAAAAAACAATCAAAGAAACAGCCATGCATATGGAAATGATTATTTAACTTGTGGCTGATGTACTTAGGGGTTGCTGCTCTCTGTTGTTTTATAATAGGCAGGGTTAGCCAGTATATTGATTGGTAGAATAAATACTCAAAATTATCTTGATAGGCTGAAATGAGGCACCAGAATCCAAGAGATAACATTTAGGACATTCTTTTATTTATCTGTGGAGAAAGAAAGCAGCTTACAAAGTATAAGATAGACCAGCATAAAAAGAAGGATGTAACTATGATCTAAGGTTAGTGCTTTGGTAAATCACTTATATGTACACATATCTTCACAGTGAGGGTACTTTCACACTCTTTGGGAAAAAGATAGAAACACTTTATTTGTTCATAAGTTTGGCAGCCAACAGTGCAATATAACAGCTTTTTATTAAAAAAAAAAAAAAAAGACCTATTCCAGTCTTTAGTTGCAGCTACAGAAGTGTTGTGCATTCATCAATGTAGGTGGTTGCTCTGCTTTGATCTATGTGTGTCTATATTGTTGTTTGCAGAAGCTGAGACTTGAAGGATTAAAATATTTGTTTTTATTTGCATCAGGGACTGGTTTTGTGGAAGACAAAACCCAGGGTGGGGTTGGGGGGTGGCTGGGGATGGTTTCAGGATGATTCAAGCATATTACATTTTATTGTGTACTTTATTTCCATTATTATTACATTGTAATATATAATGAAATAATTACACAACTCTTGCTTATGGTAGACTGCCAGTTTCTGAGTGGTAAATGTAAAAGGGAGTGACAGTTTGAAAATTATCATTGTGTTTATTTAGGAATTCCCATTATAAAGAATATTTTAAATTAGAAAACTGCACATTTTAAATGTTTTGATTAATAATGCTATGTAATAGCTTCCTAATTGGTATTTCTACCACACTTTCTCTTCATTCTAATGCATCCTGGTAAATTTTTCAAAGATACCACTTTGACTATCACTAGCCTTGTTCCAAAGTTTTTAGTTTTCCTTTTGTCTATAGATATGCTTCTCTAATATTCTACAAAAAAAGCATGATTTTTTTGTTTGTTTGTTTTCTTAAAGTTTGGAGATTAGTGTGTTATAATGAAGGAGGTAAGGGAAGGCAGTGATAGGAATATTTTGAAACAAACAATTAATGACATAATGACAATTCCCCTTTTCTTTTTTTTTTCTTTGAGACAGAGTTTCACTCTCGTTGCCCAGGCTGGAGTGTAATGGTGCGATCTCAGCTCACCGCAACCTCTGCCTCCTGGGTTCAAGCGATTCTCCTGCCTCAGCCTCCCGAGTAGCTGGGATTATAGGCATGCACCACCAGGCCCAGCTAATTTTGTACTTTTAGTAGAGACGGGGTTTCTCCATGTTGGTCAGCTGGTCTTGAGCACCCAATCTCAGGTGATCCACCCTCCTCGGCCTCCCAAAGTGCTGGGATTACAGGCGTGAGCCACTGCACCTGGCCGACAACTCCTTTTTTCTTCTTGTTGGAAATTGTGGCAGTTCTGAGAGTTGGAGCATTCAGCCTAAAGACTTCTTAGTAAAATTTATTTATTTACATATATATATATATATATATATATATATATTTATTTAGAAAGAGCCTTGCTCTGTCGCCAGCCTGGAGTGCAGTGGCATGATCTTGGCTTACTGCAACCTCCACCTCCTGGGTTCAAGCGATTCTCTTACCTCAGCCTCCCAAGTAGCTGGGACTACAGGCACACACTACCATGCCTGGCTAATTTTTTTTGTTTTTGTTTTTGAGACGGAGTTTCACTCTTGTTGCCCAGGCTGGAATGCAGTGGGGCAATCTTGGCTTGCTGCAACCTCCACCTCATGGGCACAAGCGATTCTCCTGCCCAGCCTCCAGAGTAGCTGGAATTACAGGTGCCCGTCACCCAGCTAATTGACACCTGGCTAATTTTTGGATTTTTTTTGTAGAGACAGGGCTTTGCCATGTTGACCAGGCTGGTGTCGAACTCCTGGACTCAAGTGATCCACCCACCTTGGCCTCCCAAAGTGCTGGGATTATAGGTGTGAGCCACTGTGCCAGCCTTACTAGTAAAATTTAAAGACTTGCTGGGAGAAACAGTTCTTACAGGATTAAGTTCCTTAGCTAGGCATTTGAAGTCCTTAAATAATCTAGCTTTACCTTACCTAGAGTGGTTTTTCTGTGCTGGGAGTTGAGGATACATGGCTGAATACAGCCTCTCCCCTTAAAGAGTTTATAATCCACAAGGTGAGACAGTTGAAGAAGCTATTTGCTTTGTTGGTAGGGGATAGAATGGAGGGAGACAAAATTTTTTTCCATTTGGAAGTGAATTCTGTTGTTGTCTCTCTTCTATTACCATGCTGTTTATTGCTTTTTCTTGTGCAATGTTGGTGCCCTGTCTGTAAGCAGATCCCTTTTTGCCCTACCACTCTGGGACTAATCTCTTTTGTACTTTCAGCAGTGCTGTGGTGGGCAGAATAATGGCCCCCAAAGATGTCCATGCCTTAATCACCCTGGAACCTGTGAATATATTATCCTTATCATAGCAAAAAGGACTTTGCAGATATGATTAAGGTTAAAGACCTTGACATAGGGAGAATATCCTGGGTTATTCAGGTAGACCCAATGTAAGCACACAGGTTTCCTTAAAAGTGGAAGAGGGGCCGGGCACGGTGGCTCACGCCTGTAATCCCAGCACTCTGGGAGGCCAAGGCAGGTGGATCACCTGCGGTCAGGAGTTCAAGACCAACCTGGCCAACATGGCAAAACTCTGTCTCTACTAAAAATACAAAAATTAGGGCTGGGTACAGTGGCTCATGCCTGTAATCCCAGCACTTTGGGAGGCTGAGGTGGGTGGATCACGAGGTTAGGAGATCGAGACCAGCCTGGCCAACATGGTAAAACCCCATCTCTACTAAAAATACAAGAATTAACTGGGCATGGTGGTGCGTGCCTGTAATCCCAGCTACTTGGGAGGCTGAGGCAGGAGAATCGCTTGAACCCAGGAGGTGAAGGTTGCAGTGAGCTGAGATTGCACCACTGCACTAAAACCTGAGCAACAGAGCGAGATTCCATCTCAAAAAACAAAACAAAACAAAAACAAAAATTATCCGGGCATGGTGGCTTGCACCTGTAATCCCAGCTACTTGGGAGGCTAAGGCAGGAGAATCGCTTGAACCCGAGAGGTGGAGGTTACACTGAGCTGAGATCGTGCCACTGCACTCCAGCCTGGGTGGCAGAGCAAGACTCCATTTCAAAAAAACAAAAAAAGTAGAAGAGGAAAGCCAAGAGTCAGAGGGACATGTGATTATGGAAGAAGTGGGTGATGCCGTGTGAGAAGCCACCATTGCTGGCTATGAAGATGGAGGAAGGGGTCATGAGTCAAGGAATGCAGGCAGCCTATAGAAGCTGGAAAAGGCAAGGAGATGGATTCTTGCCTAGAGCCTCCAGAAAGGAACACAGCCCTGCCAACACCTTGATTTTAGCCTGCTGAGACCCATGTCAGAATAAACTAGAGATCCGTGTGATAATAAATGTGTGTTGTTTTAAGTCACTCTGTCTGTGGTAGTTTCTTATAACTAATGTAGCACTAATACAAGTACCTTGTACATGGCTGGGATTCAGAAATATTTGTGGAATTGCTACGTTTTTTTCTTTATGTTACTTCCTTTTCTTTTTTCCTCTTTAATTTTTTTTTTTAGATAAACATAAGGTCTTATTTTGTCTTTTACTTAAATGTATTTATGTCAGGCATTGCATACATGCTGATAAGCTAATAAAATAGAGGAAAATATATTGTTCTAGTCATAAAAAAGGAAACTAGAGTTCATTTTCCTTTTCTTAGGACCTGTTATGGAATTTGATTATGTAATATGCGAAGAATGTGGGAAAGAATTTATGGATTCTTATCTTATGAACCACTTTGATTTGCCAACTTGTGATAACTGCAGGTACTTATTTTAGATGGTGTTCTTAATTGCTAATGTTTATGTGTAGGTTTAGGGCAAAACAAGTTATATCTGTTTGGATTTGATATTTTCTTAGTAATTATGAATTTCATTTTGGGTGTTTCCTAAAATTTCTATGGTTTCTATTTTGCCAAATACTGTAAATCTGTGCTTATTAAAGCTTATGATATACCCCATAAAATAGGAAGGATGCCGATGGTTCTGCCATAGAAATTTCCTTTTCTTTTTCTGCTGGCCTGAGTTTTTTTTTGTTTTTGTTTTTTAACGTCTCTCAGTAGTAGGCTGCTAACCCTTCTCTTCACCCAGCCCTAATGATCCCTCTATTTCTTAATTATTCCAGGGTGTGTTACATCTTGGTCAGAGGAGTGGGGCCTTCAGTGAAAGGACAGTAGCTCCGAATACCTTTTTCATTCATCTTTTGCTACCCTCATAGAGAGAATAGATGAGGAAGAACTATATTCTTCCATTCTTTTTCTTCTTCTAGACTTTATCCTTTTTTTTTATATCACCCAGAATAACCTTTCTCACTTCACGTGGTTCTCCTATCACTACTGTTTACTCAGCCAAATGCTGTGTTGATATCTTTTGCACATTGAAGGTCTTATCTTGGAATCTTAGTTGGCCCTCTTACCTGTTCCCTGTGCTTACTTTGTCCCTACAGTCCTAAATCAACTCCTCACCTGCCTGAAGGACCTGCCCTTTCAGAGTCCCTGCTGCAGACATTGGGAGCCATCATGATTGGCTTGTTGCTGAGCAGAATCCTTGGTAGATAGAGAGGGAGATGTGGTCCCTGGTCTCATGATCAGATACATGGCTGGGAATGCTCTGGCACCACAGCTGGAACTATAGATTACAAACTCATTTCCCACCGACACAGTGGTTAAAGTCCACAGTATTGTCGTCATTCTTAAAGGCCAGTATAGCTTTTGGGAACTGAAACACTACATAGAATTTTATTTCCAAGAGAAAATGGAAGCAACTCTTGTACCAGTTTAAAGAAAGTTGTGAATATATTACCTTGCCATAGCAAAAGGACTTTGCAGATATGATTAAGGTTAAAGACCTCGAGATGGGGAGATTATCCTGGGTTATCCAGGTAGACCGAATACAAGCACATGAGCTTTCTTAGAAGTGGAAGAGGAAAGCTGAGAGTCAGAGGGACATGCGATTAGTGAAGAAGTGAGTGATGCAATGTGAGAAGCCATCATCACTGCCTGTCAAAGTGGAAGGAGGGGGTCGTGTTCAGGAATGCAGGTGGCCTCTAGAAGCTAGAAAAGGCAAGGAGATGGATTCTTACCTAGTGCCTCCAGAAAGGAACGTGGTCCTGCCAACACCTTGAAAAGTCTGGAAACATTACACTTTTATATTTAATCATAATCAGGAACACAGTCCTCCATTCTTTTTCAACATCATCAAAGATGATAGTTTTAGTACCATATAGTCTACATGTCTCCTGTTAGTTTATACTTCTGAATTATTTAGCTTTTGTATAGCTCTTCCCAGTTTTAACTTTTATGTTTTTGTGATAGAATCCTCTGATAGAACCTTTGATTTCTCCCCTCCCTGATCTGTACCTGCTCTTTAGTGTTTACCATTTCAGTAAAGCCAGCTTCATTCGCTGGCTATGTCTCCACTCTCCTGTGTGTATTAATTCCAAACCTGTTTGGCTCTAGGTTCACCATATCCTGAATTCATCGGCATCTCATCCTCTCCCACTGCTGCCTTAGTCTAGGCCACCATCAGCTCTTGCCTGGACCACCGCAGTAGTGTTCTAACTGGTCTCTCCCCCATTACCCCTTTCGCACCCCTAGGGTCTCCTTTTCATATAGTATTTTGCTCAAAACCTTCTAGTGGTTTCTAACCATTGTCTTCACCATTGCTTGCAAGGTCCTGACTGTCTCTGACTGTATCTCCCACCACTCCTCACCATCGCTTACTTCAGGTCTTCTAGTTACACTGGTCCTCTTGCTGTAAGCTCTCTTTGCAAAATACACCCCTGCCCTAGAGCCTTTTCCCTTGCTGTTCCCTTTGCTAGGAATGTTTTTTTCTCTAGATAATGTAACTTACCAGAATAAGTAAAAGATAAAGTATTTTTCTGTTAGAATTCTTATGTTGCTAATTTAACCATGAGAGTTGCAGGAAAAAGTATTTTATATGTCCTTTTTGCTGTGTGTGCCCCTAAGTTGCTGGGCTATTTGCAAACTTAGCTTATTTAAAATAACTAATTTATATAATGGACTTAATCTGTTTTCAGAGATGCTGATGATAAACACAAGCTTATAACCAAAACAGAGGCAAAACAAGAATATCTTCTGAAAGACTGTGATTTAGAAAAAAGAGAGCCACCTCTTAAATTTATTGTGAAGAAGAATCCACATCATTCACAATGGGGTGATATGAAACTCTACTTAAAGTTACAGGTCTCTAATAAGTTGTATTTATTATTTTTCACTCTGGTAAATTCTTAATAACAAACTAGTCATAATTGGTTTGGCTTTTGCTTACAGAGTGTGGAAAAACTCTTTTCCCTAGTTTTGCATATGCTTCACAGTCATGTATAATGACATTTAATAACATGTTTTCTCATTTTGCTTTTTTCTTTTCTTTTTTCAAACAATAAGGTCTCACTCTGTCACTCAGGCTGGAGTGCAGTGGTGAGATCATGGCTCACTGCAGCCTTGACCTCCCGGGCTCAGGTAATCCTTCCACCTCAGCCTTCTGAGTAGCACCTGGCTAGTTTTTTGTATTTTTTGTAGAGATGGGGTTTTACCATATTGCCCAGGCTGGTCTCGAACTCCAGGGCTCAAGTGATCCTCCTGCTTTGGCCTCGCAAAGTGCTGGGATTACAGGCATGAGCCGCCACGCCTGGCCTCATTTTGCTTCTAATATGGCACTTTGAAAGAAACCTGTTGCTATTGGGTGATGTTAAGAGTACAATTTGGAAACTAAAAAAGGTTGGAATGGGAGTCAGGCCCTGTTTCCTTACCCTCTTTCACCTCCATCTCCCACCAAAAAAGAAATATTTTAAAAAAAGAAAAATTTCAAGAATTTCATAAATACCTAAAATCTAACTCTACCCATCTGGAATGCTAGCGAGTGTCCATATAGCTCTATAATCTCAGAGCAGATCGTCTCAACTCCACTTGCTGCAGATGGGTTATAGGTGTGCCAAGACGGTGATCCACTTAGTGGCTAGGACTGCTAGTGCCCAGGCCAGTTTCTTTGAGTCACAAGCAGCCTCTTGTATCTACCTCAGAGTGGTACAAATATTGTAATATTCTTTTTGTGCTGTTAGCTTAAAATATTGGGAGGCATTGCTTTAGAGCACAGTTTGAATATATACTATACTAGAAAATCCCATATCTCCAAATAAAATTAAGAAGCCATATTGTAAAACAAAACGTGTACTGAATTTCATTAAATACTAAGATTCTGTTGATTAGAACATTCACTATTGTTTTATGTACCATTAAATATTTTTAAATGCCGCTGATTAAAATCAACATATGCTTTCTTATCACTTGATGCTTTTTATACTTGGTGAAATAGTGCCATTAGACTTTATTATAGTTTGTCATATATCACGACTTTTGCACACATAAAAGGGAAAATGCAAGTGCAAAAGACTTATGAAGGTATTCCTAAACTTTACATTCAGAGTCCAATTCTTCTGCACCACTTTTTGACTCACAGTTGTTAAAGTACCATTAAGTGCATTGGTGATGCAGCATTTTCAGGGATGTTAAATTGCGGAAAACGTGATGTCTCAGAATATACGAAATATGAGTGTATCACTTGATTATGTTAAATTTGAGTTTGGCTATGCTGATTAATATTATGGTCCTTTTAACATATTGTGAGAGGTATCCTGAGCATAATTCTTAGTGTGTAAATTCTCTTAAAATCTAAGTAAATACTATAAAGAGTAAAGGTATATAATGTAAAGTTTTAAAAGTAGAATGAAGACTTTTTACATCATCTTGGTACCAAAATTAAAAAAAAATATATCCTGCAGATCAGAAGTCAAGTCGATAGAGACAATTATTGATCTTGAAGGAGATGAGTAGTAGTAATTGGTAATTTCCTGCGGTTGGAGATTTTTGGAGATGACCTCATATTTAGGTCTGATGTGGCTAATCTGTCAACAAACTGTTTCTTTGGTGAGCCCACCACAGTTGATCAAACTCACTGACCACGTGTACTTTTGATTCCTGTGACAATACAGTCAGAGGACAACTTTTCTATTTATAATCTAATTCAGCATACGTTTACTGACAGTTTCATAGGTTTAGATAGATGTTTTATTAGAGTTGTTTCTGATCATTAATATTTAAAATCTTTAAATTTCTAATAAGTATTTATAAATTTATACTTGAGTTAGATCATTCTTTGGTACCTTTGGATTTGACAGTTATAACTATAATATTTCGCAAGTCTGAATCACAACTTATTTAAATATGGATTTTGTGTTGTAGATTGTGAAGAGGTCTCTTGAAGTTTGGGGTAGTCAAGAAGCATTAGAAGAAGCAAAGGAAGTCCGACAGGAAAACCGAGAAAAAATGAAACAGAAGAAATTTGATAAAAAAGTAAAAGGTAGATGGCCACATTTTATATCGTGAAGGATTGTGTTTTACCATTTTGCAAAAAGCCTTTAGCTAGATTCTTCCTGTTTAATGTCACCAATAGATTGGAATGTGTTTTTTAGAGGTTGAAAAAAATGACTTACAGTTTGCCCTCAGTATGTTGGTCTTCAAGGCACTAAGCTCAAACCTCACAGTACGACATTTCTGAAAAGCATGTACGTCATCATCTTAAAGTGAATCATGTTTTTATATAGGAACAATGTGAGGATCAGGAGTGGTATCACTGGTCAAGGATTTGGCATCAATTAAATCTTAAGTATGATCAACAGGTGTGTTATAAAAAACACACCTACCAACAATCCCCTCTAATTGCTTAAAATGAAAAGCCATGCCCTAAGTCTTAGTCATCTAATTCAGCAGCTAGAAGGAACTTTTATTTTATATATGACCAAAAGACCCAGAAAGGTGGAGTGACTTGTTATGTAGATAGTTATTGGCAGAGTTGGGACTGGAAGCAGGGTTTTTTGACTGAAAGTCTCCATGAAGTAGTCATTTCTCTATCCATGCATCTGTCTTTGCATGCATTCCCTTGTCCATCTATCGCTGCATTAATTTGTCCCTGTTATCCATCCAGGTATGTATGTCTGTTAAGTCTGTCTGTATGTTCATCCATCCATCCATCCATCAATACATCCAGTATTTACTAAGTGTCAGCTATGTGCCAGGCACTGTGCTAACATAAATTCTGGAGTCAGAGTTTGTCAGGAGAGAAACTTAAAATCGTGCAAGTGTGCTAGGTACCATGATAGTGATGAACGTGCGGTGCTGCAGGAGCACAGAGGTCACTTTGTGCTCTATCACAGAATCCCTAAAAGAGTCTTAAAAAAGGAAACATACATGTTCTTCATGCAGTAATTATGCAGAGTCCCATTGTAGTGTACAGTGTGTAGAGATAACACATACTTTATGTATATATTCGGTTTTATATATATACTAAATTAATTCATTGAAAGTGAACGTCCTATCCATATAATTTTGCTCATGTTTTTAGGATTCATAAGTGGTTTTGGAGAGTGAATAAGGTCAGATGTCTTAAAAACAAAAAAGCAAAACCAAAAATTGAATGTAAGCCTTCCTTGTTGTGAGGAACACAAGTTGTTGTAATCCTTCTCATTGTGAGGATTTGTTTTTCCTTTGTCATTACAAGTGTAATTCAGTTACAGTGCAGAAAAGAGAATTACAAAGAGCTCTTATTGCATGATTTTCCTACTCAGAGACAATCATCAGCAACATTTTAATTTTTGCTCTTCCTGTTCTTTTCTATCCTAAGATCCTTAAATTTTTTTTTAAAATAAAAATGGAAGCACTGTTTGACACGAAGTTAAGCAACTCCATGATCAACATCCTTATACACATCTTTTTATATAGTTACTTAGCAATTCCTGAATCACAAGGTAAGGCACACATTCATGGCTTTGTAGAGAGGTTTCCTGTAATAAGCTGTGCCATATAAGAGCATTTCATTAAAGAACCTTCCCAAAATTAGCCACTGCTGTATTGAGAGGATTTGGAAAGAGTTCTGATGAATTTGGCCCTTTAATCTTTTCAGTGCTTTACACCAGTCCTTCCTCTGTAGTAGCAAGGAGAACCCTGAAAGATAAAGTAGTGAAAAGGCATTTTAAGAGGTGCGAAAGGGAGGACAGAGTGATAGATTAGTTATATACTAGCCTAGGGTTTTTTGTTAACTCCAGCTACCTGAAATCACCTCAACTCTTACCTCTTTGCTGCCTCCTTAAACCATTTCCAGGTGGTATTTTGGTGCAGATAATAATACATGGATAAAATAATAAGTATTAATTAAAAACCTGTATCTGCAAAGTGATGAAATATTTTTTAAAACGAGGGCTGTCTGTACTTTCTTAGATACTAATTCTGTAATTTGGTCAGTGTCATCTAATGGTAACTAAATTCCTGTAATTTGACAAACAGATTGAAAGATGATGGCATCCATTTCATCACATGCTTTTTTTAATAAGAATTCTATGTGGCATATATATTAGTAGTATGAACAGAACTCTTAAAAGATTTAGTTTTCACTGGTATTACTTTTTAAAGAAATATAAACTTTAATATAATTAGCTTTTTTTCTCATTACATTAAATTGCTGCTGTTAATCACCAGATAAGCTACTGTCAATTGTCCTCATTTTCGAAGAGTTTGAATTTGCCCTGAAGTTTTTCATAGAGTTAGACCTCTTGGGTCTGGTTTCTTTTTCAGTTCGCTTGTTATTTGAATGAAGGATGTCTTTTGAGGACATTTTCCAAAGTGGTTACATGAGTGATATATTTTCCAAGTGTCTCTGTAAATAGAAATGTTTTACTGCTTTTGTGCATATGAATACCTAAGTTCTGTAACATTACTCCACTGTCTTCTGGTGTTTAATGTGCAGAGAGGTCAGTGTGATGCCTTCTTTAATTATGGCTTCTTGTTGATTTACTTTAGAGGTTGTTCCCGCCTTCCTGAATAGGCCACAAAGGGCTGAGACTGGAGTAGACACTGTAGAGATTAGACACAAGGAGCTTACTGTGCAGTTTTCTCAGAAGGCTCAGAACAGAGAGGAATAAAAGCAAGTCTAAAAGTATTTTAGTTGAAAAGAAATTGGAACCTGGTTCCTCTTGGTCTTCTGATTTTGATCCACAAAGAAGCTGACACAGTTTACTTCTTTATGGGAAGGTAAGAGATTATATTTACCTGCTTTGAGAATATGATCTTCTACTTTAGCAGTTTGAGAATTGATCTTACTACCAAAAAGAATTTTACAGTTTAAATAGTATAAGGTGTGTATAGATAGATAGATAGATAGATAGATAAAAATAAGGTGAAAGACAAGAAAGTGTTTTCTTGTTAGTGAATTCAAATTGTTCTGCCTTGTTAGATACAAGGCAGAAACTGCTGTTCAGTTTTTTTAACTGGTATCAAAACTCTGTATCAAAATATTCAAAGGACCGATAGAGAGTATTTGGAGAGTTCTTTTGAATTTGGCCTTTTAATCTTTTCAGTGCCCTACACCAGTCCTTCCTCTCTTCAGTAGCAAGGAGAGCCTTGAAGGATAAAGTAGTGAACAGGCATCTTAAGGAGTCTGAAAGAGAGGACTGTTACACATTACAGAAATCAGTTACAGAATATAGAAATGTTTTGATTTCAAAACTTCAGGATGCACAGGCCTTAATATTAGATGGGAACGTTCAGCTGGTTCAAATGTACAGAACGTTTTGGGTTTGCATGTCTACTCTATAAATAAGGTAGAGATAAGGCATTTCTTTAGTTATACCAGCTTTCTCTTATTCCATACTGGTAGAGGTTACCCTTCTAAAAAAAGGAAAATAAATTCATTTTCATTATTTATTACTATGTACTTTCCTCCCAAAAGAGGTAGGTAAGAAATCTCTTATGGGGGTCCCAAGTTTGTGGACATTGTACATTGTGGGCCTGTGGTTATATTTATGACTCTGGAGTCATCTCTCAAGAGAGTTCGGGAGACTCAGTTCTCTGTTACTCTGCTTTAGTTTATGGAGGACTAAAGAAGACCAAAGCATCATATTGTCATTGTGTCTTTTCCTTGTAATTTTTTTTCCTCCTGTTAACAAGGGGCACCATGAGTCAATACTTACTGTCCTACCATAAAGTATTTAGAAGTATCTTGTCTCTCGCAGCTAGTTGTCTTTTAAATTTACCTCAGAAGCAGCATTGGGTTTCCATGAATACAGACCACCTCTTTTGCAAAACCAAGATGTTAAACTGAATACAAGTTTTAGATTGGTATAAAATAACATTTTCATTTAAAAAAGGATTTAGGAGAATTTTTTCGTCTGTAAAAAGTATAAGCAGTCCCTGAATATATCAGTAACAAGACTGCTTACACTGAAAATTGTTATAAATTTCCATGAAAGGCAGTCCTTAGTTAATAGCTTCCAGCATTGTGAAATTCTAGGCCAATGGAACTAGGAGGTTGGAACGTGGTAAACCACTGTTTTGTCTCCAGCTTCAATTAGGCCTTCAGTACTGCGTAGGACCTGCACCCACCCCAGGTTTCCTCAGCTCCCCGAAAGTCGATTTCAGACCTACAGACCTTTTTTCACTCTTCTAAAGCCTTACCTTGTTTTTAAAACTACCTCCTTCTCATTCTCAGCAGTAGGTAGTTGATTTCTGCTTTCCTAAGTTTTAAGTTGTTAAATGAAGTAATGTGAAAAAAGTATTTATCTTAAATTTTTTTTATTTACCTGATGTTGACATTTGCCATATTTACTTTTTCTTTCACACACACATATTTTGCCAAGCCATTTAAGTTGCAGACATTGTGATTCTTATAAACACTTCAGCATGTTTCTCCTCAGAACAATGGCATTCGACTGGGAGCAGTGGCTTATGCCTGTAATCCCAACACTTCTGTAATCCCAACACTTCAGGAGGCCGAGGCGGGTAGATCACCTGAGGCCAGGAGTTTGAGACCAGCCTGGCCAACATGGTGAAATCTTGTCTCTACTACAAATACAAAAATTAGCTGGGCATGATGGTGTGTGCCTGTAGTCCCAGCTACTCAGGAGGCTGAGGCAAGAGAATTGCTTGAACCTGGGAAGTGGAGGTTGCAGTGAGCTGAGATCCCCCCATTGCACTCCAGCCTGGGCAACAAGAGTGAAACCCTGTCTCAAAAAACAAAAAACAATGGTGTTCTTCTACATAGCTAAAGAACAACGATCATACTCAAGAAACTTAGCATTAATATAATGCTGCTACCTTGTGTATAATTTAATATTCTCCAGTTGTTTTGGTGTCCTTTACAGCTTTTTGTCGGATCCAGGTGTTATTCAAGGATGATGCATATTGATAGCTGCTTTTAAACTAGTCCCTCAGCCTTTTTTGTCTTTCACGACATTGACATTTTGCAGTGCCCAGGCCAGCTGCTGTTCAGTGTGTCCCTCCATTCAGATTTGTTAGCTGCTTGTTTCCTCAGTTAGACTCAGGTCGAATGTTTTTGGTAGGAATACTTTCAAGGTGATGTGTTTGAGCATTTATCAGTAGACACATGGTACCAGCTCTGTCTTTTAAGGGAGTGGTAGTTTGACTGCTTAGTTAAGGTGGTGTCTGCCAGGTTTTTCCATTGTAAAGGTACCCTTTATCCTTTGTAATTAGTGAGAAATCTAATACTATGTGAATATCTCATTCCTTACCTTTCACTCAGTGGTTTTAGTACACAGGGCTGAGTCTTACTTTAGTTATTATATTGGATATAAATGGTGATTTTCTATTTCTTTCACTTTCTGTAATTGTTATTTGGCTTTTGGAAAGAAGAGCTTTTCTTCTCTTAGAAACTGATTTTTTTTTAAGCATCAGCTGGACTGATTGTTTCTTATTCTGAAGTCAATGTATTATAGTCCATTCCAGTCATGATTCATTTTGGTGTTGAAATTGTCCAAAATTTGCCCAGTAGAATCCCCTTCAAGGTAGCTCCTGTCTTTTTAAACTATTTTGTTTGGAAATATTTCAAACTTATAAAAAATTGCAAGGATAATAATACAAAGGGCCACTCATATATCCTTTTTCCAGATTACCTACTGTTAACACTTTATGCTATTTGCATCATCATTTGCATGCTCTTTCTATACATACACAGTATTTATTTTTTTCCGAACCATTTAAGACTAAGTTGTATACATCACCACCCTTTACCCTTAAGTATTACAGTGTATATTTCCTAATAGGGATATATTTTGTTACATAACCAAAGTATATTGTTAACTTGAGTAAATTTAACATTGATTTAGTATTTATGTCTAATCTGCCCTCCATATTCTAGTTTTGTTAGTTGATCTAATGTTCTTTTTAGTAATTCCTTTCTAGAACAGAATCCAGTCTAGGATTGGGTATTGGCTTTAGGTACCAAGTCTTTCTAAACTTTTCTGGGATATTTACACAGCTCGTATTTTTTATGACATTGACATTTTTGAAGAAAAGTCTGCTTCCCCTGCCCTGCCCTTCAAAACATGCTTCTCACTTGGGGCAGTTTCTGGTGTGTCCTGCTGGTTGGATGCAGGGTATGCATTTCAGGCTAGGGACAGTAAGTGATGTGCTTTTCTCCGGGCCTCATATCTGGAGGCACTGATGTCTATCAGCCCTCAGTGGTAATTCTGATTTTGATTTGATAAGCAAAAAGAAATTGTATCCCCCTAGATTTAGTGTCCATCCATTGATGGTGCTTGCTAGAACCAGTCTTTAGTATGATGGTTATAAGAACTGTCTTCTAATTCCAGCATTCCTTCTGCATTTAAGCAATTGGCAGTCAGCATTCTGCAGCATCCTTTGCCCCATTTACTTATCATTGGTATGAATTCATTAATTTCTGTTTTTCTCCAGTGGCTTTGGTTCATTTCTGTCCTTACTTTGTTGCTCAAATGGTCTGATTTGGCCTAGTGACTAGCTTTTGTATCTTTTGACATGTCATTTCCTTACTTTTTTTATTTACTTATTTACTTTTGAGACCTAGTATTGCTCTGTCACCCAGGTTGGAGTGCAGTGGCGCAACCTCAGCTCACTGCAACCTTCACCTCCCGGGTTCATGCGATTCTCCTGTCTCAGCCTCCCAAGTAGCTGAGATTACAGGCATATGCCACCATGTCCAGCTAATTTTTGTGTTTTCAGTAGAGATGGGGTTTCACCATATTGGCCAAGCTGGTCTCGAACTCCTGACCTCAGGTGATCCACCTGCCTCGGCCTCCCAAAGTGCTAGAATTATAGGCGTGAGCCACCATGCCCAGCCTTATGTCATCATTTCTTGAGCACTCCTTTCTGCTTTCTAGCACAACACATGTATCTGTATTTCTATGTCTCTGTCTATAAATATATGTAAACCTTGAGTTTACACTGATACATCCAGTTTTAAAATTTCATGGTTCATTTTAGTTTTACTTATACTGGCTTTTTGGATGATGAGAAACCTGGTGGCTCCCATGATCCTTAATATAGTGACTTGATCAAAGCCCTATGTGTGACTAATTCCCATTACTGTTGCTGCCTCCTCTTCTGGAGGGAGCCCTTTTTCTTGGGCTCTCTCACCCTCCTATGGATGCTTGCTTGCTCCATAGGACTGGATTGTTCAGAAAGGGAAAGAAGGGTAAAAAAAAAAGAAAAACCCAAACCTATCCATTTTTAAATACTTTCTTATGTTCTGTTGTTTTTTTCTTTGAGACAGTCTTGCTCTGTCACCTAGGCTGGAGTGCAGTGGTGCAATCATGGCTCACTGCAGGCTCAAACTCCTCGGCTTAAGCAATCCTCCCACTTCAGCCTCCCAAGTAGCTGGGACTACAGGCTCATGTCACCGTGGCTAGCTAATTAAAAAAATTTTTTTAATTTTTTATTTATTTATTTTAAGAGATTGGGGTTTCACTGTGTTGCCCAGGCTGGTCTTGAACTCCCAGGCTCAGGTAATCCTCCCAAAGTGCTGGGATTACAGGCATGAGCCATTGCACCTGGCCCCGAATACTTTCTTACTTTCTGGCACAAGTTTTTCTAGGAATGTCTAGTAAGTATTAAAGATATGGCTTTATTCTCACCATTATATAGCCTGACATACTGGCTGAAGAGTGGGGAGAAAAAGTCAAAGTCAATGTAAAACCTTAGGTTCAATTATGGCTAGACAGACAGACTTTTACTACAAGTATTTTTTTTTAGTATTCAGAAAATTTTTCTTTGGTACCTCTTTTTAAGTACACATAATATTCAAATTAGGCAGAGAAGTTAGTTTAGCATGATTGCGCTGCAGTAAAATTTTGTAGGATTTTCAGTGGGATAAGGTGAGAACCAAGTTGAAAAGCAGGTATTAGAATTCAAGTAGGCAACATCTTCCTTACATTATCTGAAACCAGAGGGCATCTGTGGAGTTCTGGTTAGCATATCATTTTTTATTTAGAAAATATCCTAAGTAAAATTTAAAGGAAGGAGGGCATTCCAGATCTATATCTAGAAAAACCAAGGTCTTCAGAATATGAGAGGATGCTGAAAGAAATGAAGAGTTTGGATGAACATTTTTTTCTTCCAGACCAAAAACTATCTAGAGGTATATGCACTAAAATAATGTCAAAGTACTTTTCATGCTAGAGGTATCCATCAACTATATAACCTTGAGCAACTTATAACTTCTCTGTGCCTTGGTTTTCTCATCTGTAAAATTGGAGTAATTCTACTTATCTTAAAGGGTTGTGAGGATTAAATGCATTTAAAGTGGTAAGAACACTGCCTTATACATAGCCCTGTGTTTTCATCCTCATAAAAGCTGAAAATAAGGTTCAAGTAGTATTTTGATACTACTTATAGATCTAAAATGGATCAGGGAAAATATGTGATTACTTGATGTATGTTATTTTTATAGCTGAGATTATACAAGACAGCTATCATAATCTCCCTTAGGTAATGCCACTGTCAAAGATAATGAAGAACTGGGTGGATCACTGGTGAGAATAGAAGTGTAAAGTGTTGCTTTTTATTAAAATATGATTTACTTGGTTGCTTTCAAAGAACCCAATATAATTTTCTTTGTAAAATGATTTTGACACGAAGTAGCAGAAAAAGCTCCAAACATTAGAATATGACCAGTGTCCTGGCTTCACAGTTAAACTATCTTTGCTCAGTTTCCCTACTTGCAAAATAAAGTGAAGTAAAATCAAAACTCTGTGGTTCTTTCCAGCTCTTAACATTCTGTGATTCTTATTTTTAGCCCTCTCCTAAAATAATGCTGTCATCTTATAAGAACTTCAACAGACTTGAGGTCTTATTGCACAAGCACTTTTTCTAAGATGAAAACATACCAGCATAGTGGTAGAGTTCTCTACTTTCTAGTTTTCTTGCAAAGCTTGACTTGATGCTTATTGACGTAGCTCCTAACAGGAACTTAAAAACACTCCTTTTTCTTAATTATTTCAGCTGACTCCTTTTCCTACTGTGGCATTCTGTTATCTGAAGTCAAACGTACCTGAATGTGTCCTATTGTGTTACTCAACTCACTTCTGAATATGGTTCTGTTTTGCATACCACCAACCCACATAACCATTTCTGAATCTCTTGTTTCACACTGCTCCAGTGACAACTTGATTCACAGGCCGAACTAGTGAGGTAAGAAAGTAAGTTTGCCAAGTTTGTATAATCAACTTTGTTATAAAATTAAGGTAAACTATATATGGTTTAAATACACATAGACACACACACATGTACATGGCTGAAAGCTTGATGGAGTTGGATTTTTGGATTCACCTGAATAGCACCACTGAAAAGATGACTTTAAAATTTTTTTTTCAGAATTGCGGCGAGCAGTAAGAAGCAGCGTGTGGAAAAGGGAGACGATTGTTCATCAACATGAGTATGGACCAGAAGAAAACCTAGAAGATGACATGTACCGTAAGACTTGTACTATGTGTGGCCATGAACTGACATATGAAAAAATGTGATTTTTTAGTTCAGTGACCTGTTTTATAGAATTTTATATTTAAATAAAGGAAATTTAGATTGGTCCTTTTCAAAATTCAAAAAAAAAAGCAACATCTTCATAGATGAATGAAACCCTTGTATAAGTAATACTTCAGTAATAATTATGTATGTTATGGCTTAAAAGCAAGTTTCAGTGAAGGTCACCTGGCCTGGTTGTGTGCACAATGTCATGTCTGTGATTGCCTTCTTACAACAGAGATGGGAGCTGAGTGCTAGAGTAGGTGCAGAAGTGGTAGGTCAGCTACAAATTTGAGGACAAGATACCAAGGCAAACCCTAGATTGGGGTAGAGGGAAAAGGGTTCAACAAAGGCTGAACTGGATTCTTAACCAAGAAACAAATAATAGCAATGGTGGTGCACCACTGTACCCCAGGTTCTAGTCATGTGTTTTTTAGGACGATTTCTGTCTCCACGATGGTGGAAACAGTGGGGAACTACTGCTGGAAAAAGCCCTAATAGCAGAAATAAACATTGAGTTGTACGAGTCTGATCATGTTTTCTGTACTCTTGGGGCCTCTATTGTGGGACTTAACATTAGTCTAGATAGCTTTTTAAATGCTGGATTAAAATGGAAAAGAGCTGTTTTCATGGTTGACTATCTGATTGTTGATCAAAGAAGGCACTGATGTTTATTTTAAGTAGTGCTAACATTTACTGAGCATTTACCAACCAGGTGCCAGGCATGCACCTAAGTGCCTTAGGAGTATGTTCATTTAGTCCCAGGCTTGCTTCCATGCTGCTTTCAGACTTCTAAGGAAAGGAAGGTGAAGTCTCACATCACCGCAGGCATCTGCATCAACTTTAGTGAAATTTTCCTGTAGCTTGTCAAAAGAATTATTGGGTCTATGCATTATTTTTTGACAAAAACAAATTCCAGTTAGTTAAAATAACCTGATATTTTCAAATTGTTTGACATGACATTTTATCCTACTGTACAAATAGAATAGGAAGTTTAAACATTTCCATTTTTTTTTCTTTAATGGAGATTATGCTTGGAGAAAGGCTAAGTCAAAACAAGTCATGTCCAAATAATTCAGACTACACAGAAATGTTTGTGTATTTTTCAAGTTTGATTTTTTTTTAAACACCTTCACACTCAATGACTAATACGTGCTATGCTAAATATTACAGCTTAGTAAAAATTGATTCTGAATGGGCAGCAAGATGTCTCTGGGGAAAAAAGCTTTCAGCTTGATGACAACAGATGATGACAACAGAATAACTAGGGGTTCAGGTTGTTGTAAGAGCATTATGGGGGCGGGGAAGGAGCTCTTGGGCCAACTGGATCTAGGTTCAAATTCCACTTACTAGCTGTGGACCGTGGGTAAATTACTCCAAAACCTGTTTTTATCTGTAAAGAGGGCATAATCATCTCAAAGGACTGTTTGAAGTAGTTAATAGGGTGAACCTATAGCACCTGGCACATAATAACCACTAGTTAATGAGCATGTATTACCAAGGCCACTATGTTACAGAAAATAGATTTGTCTAGTTAAGGGATGCTTCTATTCACCCTCTACACCCTTACCAGTTTAAGACAATCCTGGTATCCAGAAATCACTAACAGCTAAACCTGCTCTACATAGGTTGGCAAGGTCCCTTCCTCATCTTTCATTTTCAAGTACAGTTATAAATTAGGAAAACAGTATGTTTACTTTGACAAAAGCATGTTAAATTGCACCAGCACAATTTAACAGAATATTTATTGCAAGGTATGATGTACAGTGACATGCCATCTTTTGTCTGTATGAACTTCATTACTGGGGACAGCAACTGTTGAATGTTTGCTCTTACACCTTTATTTCTTCAAAACTCAATTCCTAGTTCAATTTTTCCATACACTAAAGCTGCTAGACTGGGACAGAGCAGGACCACATCAGCGAACAGCTGTTAAAAGCAACCATTATACATGAAGAGAGGACCAAGAGAAAAGAAATTAAAACCTACAAATTTCTCTAGAATGTGGATCAAACATAACTAGCCACACTTTTCAGTACATTGTGAAAAGATTACAAAGCAGTTTTGAGTCAAAGTTACCAATCCCTTAAAGGTTATCCTTTGGTTTTTTGAGACAGGAGTCATTTTAAACTACAGTTGACCCTTGAACAACATGGGGTTAGGGATGCTGACACCCCGCACAGTAAAAAATTTGCATGTAACTTTTGACTCCCCCAAAACTTAACCACCAATAGCCCACTGCTGACTTACCAATAACAAACAGTTGATAAACTCATTTTGTATGTTATATGCTATATATTTTTTTTCTTTTTTGAGACAGAGCCTCGCTCCATCACCCAGGCTGGAGTGCAGTGGCACAATCTTGGCTCACTGAAACCTCCACCTCCCAGGTTCAAGCGATTCTCCTGTCTCAGCCTCCCAAGTAGCTGGGACTACAGCCATGTACCACCACGCCTGGCTAAGTTTTTGTGTTTTTAGTAGAGACAGGGTTTCACTGTGTTAGCCAGGATGGTCTCAATCTCCTGACCTTGTGATCCGCCCGCCTCAGCCTCCCAAAGTGCTGGGATTACAGGCGTGAGCCACTGCGCCCAGCCCATATGCTATATTCTTATGAAGCTAGAGAAAAGAAAATAAAATCATAAGAAAAAAATATATTTACTATTTAATAAGTAGAAGTGGATCATCATAAAGGTCTTCATCCTCATCATCTTCACGTTGAGCAGGCTGAGGAAGACAAGGGGCTGGTCTTGCCATCTCAGGGGTGGAAGAAAACCTGTGTGTAAGGAGACTCACACAGTTCAAACCCATGTTGTTCAAGGGTCAACTGTAATTATATATAATTACATAGTTTGTGCTGTGCTTAAGCAATGGGAAAGATAAACAGTATAAACGAAAACATTTAGCCAAGAACCTGGGTTTTAGTCCTTTACTAACCAGCCACGCAACCTGGATTTTTCTGGATATTTTGTATTTTGTCTTAAATAGTATGGTATTTAAACATTCTAGGAATTCCCATTTATTAAGCAGACTACATTCTGTAGCCACTAAAATGTATGGTAAACCAAAGCAAAAATATATCAAAATATGCAAAACGCTTAATGCATCATAAACTTGGGATGTAATAAGAAAAAATTATACCTATTTTGTGCAAATGCACAACAACACTACCAGTAGTTGTAGGATTACTGGTAATTTTTTTCTAAGGTTTAATGAAAAAAGTCTAAAAATCCTCGAAATTTGGAATGTCAGACAATTCCTCATATTTGTGTATTATTTTACAAACTGCTGTCATCTTATTTCAGCATCAGTACTATACAGGAAACAAGCTCAGGACTTCGTAGTTTTTTGGATCAGGTTCCATATAAACAAAATCTAAACTCACATCTAATTCAGGGTATAGTTTCAGTCAATCTGACCACTTCTACATCCACTTTAGTATTCTGTAACTCACTACAAGACCTTGGACAAATAACCCCAAGGCTAGAGGAAGTGAGTAGATGCTCTAAGATAATGGTGACCAAACCTGGAATCACCTGGGGAAACTTTAAGGATTACTGAGGATGTCTGCGTTCCACCCCCAGACGGTGGTTTAAATTTCAAAATAACTTGAAAGATTCCCAGGTGATTTACATTAAGACAAATTTGAGAGCTACTCTTCCAACTAGTAACACTTTTATTACTAACAAGTCATGTCTTAAAGATACTACTTAAAAATACTTTGAAGATAAAATTTCAAATGGAGAACACCTTCAGTAAGAAACCACCAGTTTTAGAGTAGAGTGAGATGATAAATCATGAAATGCCAAAGTTTAAAAACCATACTTTTAGTTTTATTTCAGCCATGTTAATTCATCCCCGAGCTGTGAAAAGTTATGCTACTGGGTAGCTGGGTAAACCCATCAGTTCTATATACTATGTAAGGTTGACCTCTAGTGTTTCACATACCTCAAACCAATTATTTTGTGCCTTAAGGAGAAAAAAAATAACAAACTGATCACAGAGAATTTGTATCTGTCACATATATAATATATCATGGTCATAGTCACATTACTGCCGTTAGGAAGTATTTGCTTTTCAGGGCAATTAAAAGTAATGCCATGTTCATTCACTGTCCTCTTCCCCTTTGTTTCCTTTAAGAAGTGAAAGGATACTACAAGAAAGCAAGCATTCAAACCATCAAAAAATAAGACAAATTATTTTAAGATATCAAAAAAAACCTTGACATGAGGAAAAAATGACCCTTAGGCCTGCAGGGCACAGAACTGCTGGAACACGGCCAAGATATGAGGGTCTAATTCAGCAGTGAAGAGAAGGTTCTCCAGGGTCACCATGTACTGCTGGATTATTTGGTGATGCTGTGGACACACAAAAGGGGGTAGTTAGGTCAGGAAAAAGCATATAAGCAATCTTGTGGAACATTTCCTTCAGCAGCCCACCCATGCTGCAGAATGATGAAAAGAGGAAGGGGAAAAAAAAGTGCTGATAGGAACAATGGACCCCTGAAAATCCCCAACATTAAAAAAATAAAAAGGGAAATGAAAAAAATGGATGCTCAATAGCTTTTTAAAAAATCCAGTTCTTACCAACTTCTATGTAAACAGAATTCATGATTCAAGGCAGTGGCAGCAGTGCCTGCTTGCTCCTAGTACTATTACGGACTAGGCTCAGCTAGCTCTCTCCCCAGTCAGGGCATAATACATTGTAACTTTTTAAAAAGCAGCCAGACGGACTGACAGGAAGATAAACAGTCAGAAAACGAAATACTCTTGTCTATGTGTTCCTCTATAAGCCATGAATACTCTCAGAGATTCTTATAGGACTAGAGACTGTTAAAGCTTTTAAAACTGGCAGTAACTATAAAATCAGAGGGAATTCCTATTTGGAGGCTCAAAGAATTGAACTTAGAGTGACTTCTACATTAATCATTCTTCTAGAATGAACAAATGAAGATTTAGGGGAGTAGTGTCCGAAGATACAATGAATTAGCTCCACTCTCCTATATACCTTTAACTTAAATCTAGGTGAGAATAGGTGCCGGCATTTTGCTTTTGCAGAGAGACCCCAGGGAGCTTACCTTGATTCTGTGGACAGTTTACCACCTGCACATTGGATAACACTGGCTTTTTAGGGACTTATAAATCCAATTACTGTCCTCTTGATATTTTTGTCCTCTACATTTTATATTACAGCTAGGATCCCCAGCATAGAAAATGACAATTAGGAGACTGGGCACCGTGGCTCACGCCTATAATCCCAGCAGCACTTTGGGAGGCGGAGGCCTCCTGAGGTCAGGAGTTTGAGACTAGCCTGGCCAACATGGTGAAACTCTGTCCCTACTAAAAATACAAAAATCAGGCAGGAGTAGTGACGGGTGCCTGTAATCCCAGCAATATGGGAGGCTGAGGCAGAAGAATTGCTTAAACCTAGGAGGTGGAGGTTGCAGTGAGCTGAGATCGTGTCACTGAACTCCAGCCTGGGCAACAGAGTGAGATGCCATCTCAAAAAAAAGGTGGGGCGGGGGGTTGTTGGGGGGGTGGCAATTAGGAATCTAAGTGGTACAGAATCAGTTTAAGCCTAAATATTCTGATGAGCAATGGTAGCAGCAAATGGACATGAACTAAAGGGTCTAACAGGTACTATATAACCTCCTAACAAATTTGACAAGGATTTTTTTTAATGAAAAATCTTTGTGGCTGAGAATAGTGTTATTACCTAATCGAAGTTCCCCACATACCTGTAGGAAGATCTGCTGCAGCCTCTCTATACAGTTCTTATACCATGGTGTTAATACACTGGTCCCATCAGTTTCGCATCGTACTAGGTGCTCGGTCAAGATCATGATAAACCGCTGGAAAGGGAGAAGAAGTTAAGGTAGTACTACAGACAGAATCTTATACTTTGGAAAAAAATTCATGACAAAGAAACCCCAAAGTATTGCCTGTTCCACCCTGTCTTTGTGGTGTGTGTGCCTAGCTTCCATTATTCATGAAGTCAACCTAGAAGGGCAGACTGGTAATAACATGAGTTGGTACATTCTTCCTGGCAATACATAAAGACCTTTAATGTCTTAAATTACTTATCCTAGTAATATTACTTCCTGGAATCTATTCTAACGAAGTAATCAGAAATTTTAACAGGAATCTATGCATTAAAATGTTCATGGAAGGAAAATGATCAGCAATGAGGAATAATTAAACGAGACATATATAAAAAAAGCAACCCACAATTTTTTTTCAAGCATGGAGAAATGCTCATGCGAGAATACTAAGTAAACAGCAGAGAAACTCAGACATACATGGTTGCCTCTGAGTAGTGAACTTTTATTTCCTTCCTAAATTTTTGTATTTTTAATCTCTTCTATAAATGAATGTGTATTCCTTTTACAATGAAAAATAACATTTTTAAAAACTAAAACTAAAGAAATGTATTGTTTCCTTTTATGTATAAATGTCCCAAGCCAAGATACCTGAAATATAACGAGGAAAAGATTCTTTTGTTCACTCTGAGCAGATTCCACTTTTTCCTGAAGTCGTTCTATTTGTTCCTCAAGAACCCCGTCTTTCCTGTCACTGCTTCTGTCGTCATCATCACTTCGCTATAGAAGGCAAATGAACAAAAGGAAAATACCATTTAGATTCCAGTGTGTTAAATCTCCTCCAGGGGAAGCATTTTACTGTGTCTGGCCAAATGTTAAGACTTATATTCTATAGTGAAAGTACCCCCCCACCCCGCCACCCACACATATATACCTCAAAGTCCTGTTGTGGTTCAGAGACACTGTCTTCTCATTCAGAAATTCCATGGGTTCTTATCTAGGCCAGGGAAATTTAGTGGCACTTGTCTTGGTAACAACATGGGGGGACTTGGCTACAATTTATCACTATTTGACCATTTGAGCAGTAACAACAGGGAGACAGCTTGCTAATCATTCATCTGCTAATGGGCCATACAGAAAAACTGGGCAAGTCCTATGGGCCAAGGCTGCTCATTCTTGTTATAATTTAGAAATGGCTCCAGCCGACATATAATAATTCAAAGTGGGCTGTTTAAGACTTTCTGCTGGCAATGATGGGCTCAATATACTCCTGTAAAGCTTTAATAATCCCTGCCCCCAGCTCACTCTGAAGAGTTTATAGAATTTAATTTTTTCTTTTTAAAGGAAAAGAAAAACAAGGCATGGTTTATTTCCATTTTACAGAGAAAAAAGGCTGAGAGGTTAGATGACTTTCCCAGCATCACCCAGTCAGAAAGTGGCAGAGCCAGAACGTGGCTCTAAGGTGTTACATACCAAGGTACTTTCAGCAAGAAGGTGGCATCACTGAATCTAGAAAGCCTGGTAATTCTTCGAGGTTAATACTTAACTGCTAAGGCCCCATCTACTGATCTCTCCACTTTAAGCAAAATTATCAGAACCCTGCTCTCGGATATCACAGAATCTTGCTTTTCTCTCTATAAACACAGCCCATTTATGAGGTCTGCTCTATGTTCTAGACACGTGGGTACACGACTGTCCTTTCCTAACACCACTCAAAGGTAAGGTTCTAGAGCACTACTACCTAATAGATAGACCTTTCTTCAATGGGGCCAATGTTATATAAATATGTGCAGCCTGTTACGACCGCAACCACACGTTACTACTGAGCACCTGAAATATGGTTGTGTGACCAAAGAACTGAATGTTAAATTGTATTTAACTAAAATAGTCACGTGCAGCTAGTGGCTACTGTGTTGGACAGCACACTTCTAGAAACAGTGTGGCATGAGAGAAAAGTCTCTGGAGTCTGACAGACCTGTGTCAGAACCTAGCTCTGGTCATTTACCAGCTATGCAACCTACTAGCTATGTTACTTAACTTCTCTATGTCTCACTTTATAACATCTACAAAATGAGATGACACCATTTACCTTACAGTATTTCAGGTCTGAGTGTTTATATCCATATATGTATACAGGTATGTCTACATGGAGACTGGTACTCAAACTTGCGAAAGGTTCCTATAGGGCACTAAACTCAACTTTTTTTCACCTTCTACTATGGTAAATATGCATAACACTGGAAAATACTTTCATAATGAATAGTAGTATCATGTTAAGTCACTCACTGCTTCCCTCCAAAATGGCTAAAATACTAAATTAATACTATGAGAAGTATTCCGTTAACTTGGGAATGACTGCCCCATTCCTCCTCACAGTACGGGGAAAGTGTTAAGTATCTATAGTCCTCTCCCTCTTCCCCCAGAGACTCCTACAGAAATACAAGTGTCCTCTTCCCTTCTGCTACTTCCCTTGTGCAAACGTGAGGCCGACCCAGAGATAGTGAACTATGGGAAGTGAAGTTTGTGGCTTCCTGAACTGGTTCATCATGCAGTGTAACAGCACACAACACACTACCTGCTCCTTCCTCCTCTTCTGCTTCTGCATTAAATTGGGCTCAGAAAAATTTCTGCTCTGCATTAATTTGGGCTCAGAAAAAATGAAATATCATCAAGATAATGAACTCTGAATCCTCTCCAGAGTTTCTGGTATATTTTCTTTAACTACTTACAAGTTTACACAAAACTTACCCGTTTGTGTTGCCTAGCAAGTTTCTCTTTAGCTTCTTCCAGCTCTTTCTGGATCTTCAGGACATGTTTGTTCATCTTACGAATTGTAGAGTGCAAAATTTCCCAAACAAACAATCTTAAAGAAATATGGCATTTGGTTACTGTATGTCAAGCTATGGTTACAGAAAATAAAATCTTTCAACTTTTGTAATTTCATTCTTAACAGCTGATACAGCCTTCTGTCCTTGGGGCTGAATTAGTCATCTTTCTCCAGCAATACTTACAAATTGGTCTTTTATTGTAAATTGTGCAAGTATCTATCTTCACACCCATTAGATTCAGGCGAGCCCCCTGAGGGCAGCACTGTGTAGTCATTTTTCTTATTTCCATCCCTTACCAGAGGTACATACTTACTGAATTGAAATGGCAAACTATGATGGACATTAACATTAAAAATGGAAATACATTTTTCCTCTCCTAAATGTAAACATTATGTGTAGAAATTTTCTCAAAATGGTGACCTAACCTGAGACTTATTTCCCATGCTTTATATTATTTAACTAGCACACACTCAGCCAATTATTCTCTTGGAATGTTTAAGAAACTCATTAGTTGATAATAGGTATCAACTGATGGGCTCTAAGAATGAGATAATTATATGTCAGCTTTCTTACTAGCAAATACATACTAAGATCACTTTGTAGGTGCTTTGAAATGTTTGTTGCATAAGTGTTTTTCTTTTAAAAAGTAACTTCTCAGCTACTTTTGTGTCTATAAACTAGGTCTCCTAACCCAGCACAGAATAGTACAGTTGGCCCTTGAACAATACAGGTTTGAACTGTGCAGGTCCATTTACACATGGGTTTTCTTCCACCTGAGTCAATAAGACCAACCCCTCCTCTTCCTCAGCCTACTCAATGTGAAGATAATGAAGATGACCTTTATGATGATCCACTCTCACTTCATGAATGTTTCCTCTCTTATGATTTATTGTAAGAATACAGGATATAACACATACAACACAAATATGTGTTAATTGACTACGTTATCACTAAGGCTTCTGGTCAACAGTAGGCTACTAGTTAAATTTTCCATGCAGTTAAAAGTTCTATGCAGATTTTTGACTGTGTGGGGTGGGGTGGGTGGGGCGAAGTCGGTGTCTCTAACCCCTGTTGTTGTTCAAGGGTGAACTGTACTTCCTTCTACAAATTTTGACCCAAATAATAGTTTAAGTGGAAGATAATAAAACAATCTGTTCATAAAACTCCAAGTCTAGAATGTTAGGAAACAGGACAAAAGAGCAGAGCACTTTAACTCTGGAGGGGGTGGACTATAGTCAGGGAAAGGTTTGCAGAGTTACAAATATTTGAGCTAGGTGTTAAAGAACAGATGGAGCTGTTGAGCACTATACAGATTCCAGAATGCCTGGGTTTGAATGCTGGCTCTGCACTTAGTTGTGTGACTTTGGGCAGGATAAAGCACTCTGTGACACTTCCCTATTCTGTAAAATGTGGACAATAATGGAACCTTCTCTACGGTGATGCGGTAAGGATAAAATGAATTGAAAACGTAAATCACTCAGGACAATGGTTAAAACATACTCGGGTGGTTAGTTTTCTGAGAGTTTACAAATCTGAAAAGGTTCTTCTGTTGTCTTTGTTTATGAAGGCCAACCTGGCCGGTATGACAACCTTAGATCACACCCTATCACCCTAACAATTCAGTATATTTCTGATCAGTGTCCTCTGGCAGTAACAGATACAGTGGAAAAGTTAAAGGTTGTGATGGACTTTTATGTTTTTACAAGTAATTTGCTTTAGTTTCCTGCTTTGTGTCAACTCCTGCTGCCCTGGTCCTATCAGCTGTAAAGTCCGTGAACTTCATAAATAAGAACCAAACAGCAAAAACTTTCTTTCCGTTAGGGGGAATGAGGGCAGAATGAATCTTCTGCATTAAACCTAAGATTATGACTGTGGTGAGAACCCCTTTCCCCCATCCCTCAGGTGTCTTGTTAATCACCAAGCTTTCCTGGATCCCTCCATGATTTACTCTACTTTGACTTTGATTTCTCCTACTTCCTGGTGTGCATTCTAGGTGCCATCCCCACTGAAGCTGGAACCCTTCCCGAGTTCCATCTGGACTAGCTGAGACTCTGCACATAGCTGGCTCTTGCTAGTTTTCTCTCCCAACAGTCTGGATCCTTCAACAGGATTTCTACTTCACTGGCTTAGCCTTGATTCAACTTAAGAGTGTCCCTGCTAAGAGACGCTGCAACCTGATAGGCTGTGTATGTTTCCACTGTCTAGGAATTTTTGCCATGTCCAATCCTACCAGATTGGACCATTAGTATATTAATATCAACCTGGTTTGGACCAGAATTTGAAGCTTATGTATAAGAGACCACACATATATCAATTCTTAGGGAACACAAGTTTCATAAAATAATTTATATTACCTGGTAAAGTCACGAGATAGTTCTGAAGAGAAGATCCAATTTGCTACGGCAGCACAATCAACTATTTGTGTACGAATCATCTTATCCACTAGTACAGCAATCATCTACAATGAGAGAATTATTCAAGTAAATCACACACACACATACACACACATATATATGTGCCACCACACTGCTGCTATAAAAGTAAAATAGGAGGGCTATAAAATTTAGTTTTGGTGGCTATGGAATTGATTGATCAATCTGACCATTAGGTCTTTTTTTTGGGAGACAGAGTTGCTCTGTCACCTAGGCGGGAGTGGAGTGGCACGATCTCAGCTCACTGCAACCTCCACCTCCTAGGTTCAAGCAATTCTCCTGCCTCAACCTCCTGAGCAGCTCAGATTACAGGTGTGCACCACCATGCCTGGCTAATTTTTGTAATTTTAGTATAGACGGGGTTTCACTGTATTGCCTAGGCTGGTCTCGAACTCCTGGCTTCAAGTGATCCATCCATCTCGGCCTCCCAAAGTGCTAGGATTACAGGTAAGAGCCACCACGCCTGGCCTGATCATTAGGTCTTAAGATTTATTCTCCCCTTTGCTTTGCTCTAGCACTACAAGAAACAGGTTGACTAAACAAAAACTCTGAATGGTAACAGTTAAAATTTGAAAAAACTGGCCAGGCGCGGTGGCTCACACCTGTAATCTAGCACACTTTGGGAGGCCGAGGTGGGCAGATCACCTGAGGTCAGGAGTTCCAGACCAGCCTGGCCAACATGGTGAAACCCCATCTCTACTAAAAATACAAAAATCAGCCAGGTGTGGTGGTGGACGCCTGTAATCCCAGCTACTCGGGAGGCTGAGGCAGGGGAATCACTTGAACCCGGGAGGCGGAGGTTGCAGTGAGCCAAGATTGCGCCACTGCACTCCAGCCTGGGTGACAGAGTGAGACTCTGTCTCCAAAAAAAAATTTAAATTTCAGGTACTAATACGTATTCAAAAAAATACATAATTTCAATGAACCCCAGAAGTTAAATGTAAAACAATGTTTTATCATTACACACTCACTGTTTTATGAAATTTATTTAAATGTTTCTTTGTCATACACAATATATATCAAGGTTTGAGAAATCTGGAGCTTGCATTTAGAAACTGGATAGACTAGATAAACCTTTTCCTGAACATTTAAAACATATTGAGATATTATAGTTCAAAACCAAATCATAATAATGCTTACTCTTTCAAGAATGAATGAAACATCATTACTCCCATAGCACTGAAAGAATTAGATCTAAAAACCATTATCTAGGCAGAGTCAAATTTCATGTTTTACAAACAAAACAATGGCAATTAACGGCCTTATTTTTATACCCATACAATCAGAGCTTCAACATGTCTAATTAAATAATTTTTACCTGTGGATGGTTCCTCCAGACCTCAAACATAACTCTTAGCACATGTAACTTTCCTTCATCACTTTCAGCTAGGGTTTTGAAGACTTCATGAAACCTTTTGATAATGATGGGAAAAAAATACCATATATACTTATTCATTAAACATTTTAGTGTTTTCAAAGCCTTTTCAATGTTACTCAATTTATAATGCAATATATAAATGCAAAATAACTAAGTATTAACCATTAAGGATGCAAAAAGTGTGATCACAGATTGATAGTTTTTAAGGAAGCTGTCACAAAATCTCAAGACATTTACAATATACTACCGTTAGCCCAGGGCTACAGTTTAAAAGAATAGGTAAGGACTAAGGAACTGTCTTCAAACATGGTGAAATATTCAAACTGCATCTTCTGTGGGAACCCTGCAAGTAATATAAAGCCTTGGAGACAGAGATGGGGTGAGATGTCCAGTTTCTCTGCTTGGCAGAAGGAAAATCTATGTGCTCTTTCTTCCTTTGGACCCTGTCTGACAAGTTAAAAATACCTGTCTTCAGATGCCAACCTTTGCGTGACTCCCAACAGTGTAGCTGATTCTAATTTCTTCTTACATTGCTTTGGAAAGATATTTAGCGTGGGAACTTCCAACTGCATATGACTGTCCCAAAAACCTAGGTTTTTCACTAGTTTCTTTAAATGTCTATATGAAAAAAAGCACTTACCATGTACATATGCCAACTGTACAAACAGACTGACGGAAGCCTTAGGATATGGATTTCAGCTACCACAAACCCAAACCCACTGTGTCCAATTATACACTATTAAGATCTTCATATTCAACAATCTTAGGTAAAAATTACCATACCACTGGTGTTCACCAAGCAAAATTCCAAACTCTCAAGCAAGGCTCTGTACTCATACATACTTTGCAAGAGCACTGAAGGAGTGGCTGAATGATTTGGCTGCCAAGTGTAGCAGAGTCTGTACAAAGACTTCTATTTTCAATGGGTTAAAACTGAATCCTTCATCTGAAAAATATTTTATAGTAAAACAGAAAAATGTAAGCACAGCAATTCCTTGGTGCCTTACCTCAAATGCTAAATAGATGGTTGCTCACATCTATACACAGATATTTGTGTAATGTTTTTTGGTTCTAATAAACAATAAAAGACCGTCACTGATTTCAAACACTGAAAATATGAAACCACTTGTAATTTTAAGTCTTAGTTTTATGTGACTGTCTTAATTCTATCATCCATTCCTTGAAAAAAAAAAATCACACAGGTTTCCTTATTCATAGCCTCTATTATATTAATACCAAAAAAAAAAAAAAAAAACACTTAAGCTTATGTCTTAAGATGTCTGACAACATCTGAATTTAATGCCATCATTTTGGCTTATTCTTTCTAAACTCATTTTCTCTAATATCATAATACAAATTTCTTAGAGATATCCAAACAAAATCCCAGTAATAAATACCCAAAGGCCACTAATATCTTATTTTGATTCAGTAGTTTTTCTATGTGCATATCCATTTATTGATTCAGGCAACTGTATAAATTATTTTGTCAATTTTCCCACTCTTGCCCAGAAAAACTCCTAGGATTCTGGTTGGAATTACATGGTATATAACTGAGTAAATGTTAAACATTATTATTCTAATAGCTTAACTTGGAGAAAACATCCAACTTTATAACACACCAAGTCTTTCTATTCAGGAACTTCTCTATGGTGAAAGCAGGGGTTAAAAATCCTTGAATGGTAACATATTTCACTTTGTATTTACGATGAAGTTTATATTCTTAAGTAAGCTATATCACAGAAATGTTAGGATCTCTTTTTATATAAGGGGAAAATACCTGGGGTGCTAAGAACAACAGTCTGAACAGGTCAAACAGATATAGATATATTGCTTTAAGAGCATCATGTTGCCAGAGTTATGTTTATGCTTTAAGTTGGCCTATACATAGTTCCACTTAAGAAATACTGAATTCCACTTACCGTCGTCATCATCCTGGTTAGGATTTGGTACATCTTTCAGAATGCTGAAGATTTCATCATTGGTTGCCTTACTTTTAAAGGCAACAGCTAAACAGAGGGCAACAGAATGTCCAGGAAGAGAATCTAAACACAGAATTGGGGGTAAGGGGAATGACAGATCAGGTTTCAAGACTATTCTAATGAACAGTTAAATAACTGAGAAAAATTTTTTTTAAATTCTTCCTTTCAAAATAGGATGCTCTTTATCCCAAGGTCAATATTTAATCACATATAAATACCGTATGTGAAAGCTTTTTCTAATAGGTTAATGGTTTTTCACCTAAAAAGGGACAATTCTCATTTCAACAATTCATTAAGGACACTTAGCTAAGTAAAATTTAGAGCACAAGGTGCTGATCATCCTCAAGATGAATGGTAAGGAGAAAAGTGGACACAGTTAAACTGTCTTTTAATGCCCTCAACTCTCCTGGGCTCAAAATCCCAGAACCAACGTACTTCTCTTTCATTTTGCCAACACCCACTTCCTCTTTCTTTCCTCGGGACCGTGGAAATGAAGTCTGAGTCTCAACAAGGTAATGGCTGCCAACTTCAGAGAGGTTTTGTTTTTGTACTTTTCTTTTTTGCTGAGTCCACAAGCTTGAATCTACGTAAGTCAGATGCTCACGTGATGGGACTCCTTGTATTTACTATTGGTTGGTATCAGTTGAGTCCTTATTATAAAAATTTGTGCTAATATACACCGTAAGGCATCACCAGAGCAACAAGAAATCTGCTTTTAATGTAAGGTAGACAAAGAGGTAACAAAAAAGGCAATCCTGTTATAGAGTATGAGTTACTGGAATGAATAAAGTAAATTACAACAGTCATGTGAGGACAGTCATATTACACCTGCTGTGAGCTTTTTCTCTAAAAAAAAGAAGGCGAAGAAAAACAGAATCCCCTGTCACCAGTCTACATTCTAGCTGGGGAACCAAGATATTCACATTAGACACAGCCAGGAAGCAATACAAAACTGGCTTGCTAACGGTTAAAAAATATTTACAGCTATTGAGCTTGGGCTAGAATCTAGAAGGAGAAAAGGAAGTGGAGCTAGAAAGGGCTTTCCAGACTGGGGTAATGGCAAAGTCAAGAACAGGGAGTATGGAAAAAATAAAAAAGTACATGGACCTGGCAGAAATAGAGGTCCATGTGGGGAGAAGTGAAAAATAACAAAGTAGGAACAATGGTTATGAAGGCCTTGAATGTTAGGCGGAGTTATTCCTATGGGGCAAAAAGAAAGCTTAATCTTCAACAAAAGCCTGAGCTTTCTGATAGCAAAGACTACACCTTATCATTCTCGGAACCAGTACAGGACAAAACTCAAAACCCAGCACTTCTAAGTACTGCATAAACCTTTGATCTGCCAAAAAGCACAGTGGCTAACAGCATGGCCACTCAGTTAGTGCACCTACGCCTGAATTTGGGCTCCACCACTCAAAAGCAATCTCATTCTAGCTTGACCTCTTGGAAGTCATTTCCTCATTGTAGTTTTGATAATCATATCTATTCTTCAGAGTTGACATAATGAAATAGGAAATGTACCAGGACCGACACAGTTCATTTCAAGGAAAACAGGTACAGTCAGAGACAGAGGTGGAGAAACAGGCACACAGTATGAAAAGCAAAGAACAGCAGAAAGTTGTGAGATACAAAGAACCTCTACACAACACAAAATGGAAGGATCATGGAGGGGCTGTGTTAAGTGTAATCTGCAAAGAACAAGTTGGAAAAACTCCACACCTAACTCTACCAGTGATCAACAATGTATAATACTTTACCTTCATTAAGTGTAAATACTATGCAAAGGGCAAAATGGCACATCAAATTACACTCCCTGATTTATGGTGCAATTTCAGAGATTATGTGACCAAAAGGTAAGAAAATCATAATTAAGAATTTACTTTTAAAGGCATACTGCCACAAATATGTGCATCTATGTTCTCAATACCACACCTGAACAAGATAATGAATTCAAGTAACCTCCATCACCATGACAAATACACGTTTTCAGTTTAGTAAGTTCTAACTATAAATTCATCTTGCTATACTTAACACATTCAAAAGAGAAAAAATGATAAGCCAGTAGTAATTAATTTTATCACAACCAAATCCTCAAAATGATGACAGGGCAAATAAAACAGTGGCTAATGATAGACCACCTTTCAAATACAGGAAATATAAACCCCAAGAAAAGAAAAAGTTCAATTTCTCCACTTTAAACAACTAACTTCAGATATACTTGAACTGGTACCTTTTAAAGACAGAGGGATTAGTTTCATTACTTACTGCTACTTTCATCTCCATACTTGTAAATGCAGGTTGGGTTTGCAGGACACAGAGCTGAGAAGGTAGGAGGAACAATATCTAATATACGCTGATGGTAAGACAACCTACAATACAAATAACAGCCTCAGAAAATATCTTTTATCAGTCCCATTCTTCGGTAACACCCGACTTACCTGGAAAGTCATGATCTCCAACAACTTGAACTCAGCTGACAACCAAGAAGTGAAAGGGAAAAAAAAATCCTTTGAGTTTTTGTCTAAGCCAGCACACCAAATCTCAGGCATACTGCAAAACTCACTGGCTTGCACTGAGGTGCGGGTGAGTGAGCTCATGAGCCTGGTGGCCAAGTATGTGGGGTGATGATGGGGCATGGTGGAGATGACTGCACGCTTTGGAAACTGGCTATATTCTATCAAATAAATAAATATTGAGGATAATGGAAGCCAAGTTTGTTACTGCCTGAGAAGGTGTTTACAAATCATGGTAGAGAAGAAGTGTAGAAATAAGGTATTGAGTTGGAATTGGAGGCATATATACACACAGGTGGACATAAAAACAGTTATGGATGGATGGATGTGTGTCCACCAAGAGGCTTAGAACCAATGACACCCCAATGGCAATGAGCATATCAAGTGCCCAGATCTTGGCTCCTAAATACCATATTCCATTACTACTTTACTAGAAACTAGGGCTCCATGAATAAATAGATGATTCCAGTGATAGGGCAAGAAAACGCAAGATGATCCTAAATATGTTGTTCTAGAAAATAAGGGAATGCTCAATGAATGGCTGGGGACGTTAAAAAAAAAAAAAAAAATATATATATATATATATATAGAGAGAGAGAGAGAGAGAGAGCTTACCGGGGCTCCTCATGTACATACCAGGGACAATTTGGGCATCAAAATAAATAATCCTCATAGTTTATAACCCATCGAATGAAATATAAATTAATTAGTCCCTACTGATATATAAATAAAGGAATAAATAAATGGGGGAGAAAGGACAGCTCTTACAGAAGGCCCACTAATAAATGTAGAAAAAATAATGGAATGAGAAAATCATCACTTGGCAACCATCTTAGTGGTAGCTGCTAAAAGCAGGATGGAGATCTGATGAAGAACAGAGTAAGAGTAAAACTTCAGAATATCTAAAATACTTATCAATTCTACTAAAGGGAAAAATGGTGAGGTTAAGGTAGAGAAAGCTGGCAGATATTGACATGACCAGGTGGATCAGGATTAACATCACCAGTGGTGGGAATCATGTGCCTCTAGAAGTGACACACCAAGAGCATTAACAATTTAAGACCTCAGTCTGCTCATGAGAAATATCAGAGCAATCCAAGTAAGGTCTAGACTCTTTCAAACTGGTAAAAACACAAAGATAGAAAAAAGAGTTAAGTGTTCAAGACTGAAGGAATCTGAAGAGAATGACAACTCAACACTATATATGTACCTGGATAAGATTTCAGACCAGGCTGGGCACGGTGGCTCATGCCTGTAATCTCAGCACTTTGGGAGGCCGAGGCGGGCGGATCACGAGGTCAGGAGATCGAGATCATCCCAGCTAACACAGTGAAACCCCGTCTCTACTAAAACTACAAAAAATTAGCCAGGCGTGGTGGCGGGCGCCTGTAGTCCCAGCTACCAGGAGGCTGAGGCAGGAGAATGGCGTGAACCCGGAGGTGGCGCTTGCAGTGAGCCGAGATCGTGCCACTGCACTCCAGCCTGGGTGACAGAGCGAGACTCCAACTCAAAAACAAAACAAAACAAAACAAAAAAAACACTCCAGACCAGACAGGAAATACAGGTGTTGGGACGGCTGGCAAAATTTCAGCAGCACCTGTGAATTATGTGGTAGGATTGTACCACAGCTAATTTTCTGATCTAAAAGGTTGTATGCTGGCTAGGTAGGAGAGTGGTTTTGTTTTGGGAAGATATGTAATGGAACATTAAAGGATAATGGGCCATTACATCAGCTGGGTATGCAGCTTATTCTCAAAGGAAAACCAACGTAATGGGTCTCTAGGGAGAGACGAAAAGGGAGTGAGCATGAGAGCAAACATGATAAAATGTTAATAGCTATGGAATCTAGGTGAAGAGGATACAGAATTCTTTGTAATGTTGTGCCAACTTTTCTATAAATCTGAATTCATTTCATATATAACACCTTTTTTATTTTATTTTTTTGAGATAAGAGTGTCGCTCTGTCGGCCAGATTGGAGTGCAGTGGCGCCATCTTGGCTCAAAGGACTCTCCCTCAACCTCCCAAGTAGCTGGGATTATAGACGTTCGCCAACACGCCTCGCAAATTTTTATTTTTAGTAGAGAGGGGGTTTCCCCATGTTGGCCATGCTAGCCTGAACTCCTCACATCATGTGATCCACCCGCTTTGGCCTCCCAAAGTGCTGGGATTACAGGCGTGAGCCACTGCGCCCGGCCTGTGACATCTTTAAAAGAACTTATTGGCTTAAATTCACATGGAATCTATATGGCATGGTTGCCTAATTTTTCTTAGCCTAAGTCTTGATTAAAAATGGGATGGAAGATGAGTAAGTGGATTTTGAATCCAATATTCTGAACACACATCACAAGTGCAGAGAAGAGAAAGAAATCCTCCCAAAGAAGTTAAAAGGAGAAAACACAAAAAACTTACCTCATACATTTTTCTAGAACTTCTCTTACAAACTTCGGTTTGGGACTTTCAGGATCTTGACTAAGACAATCTGACCTAAGGAGGAAATGTAGTTTTATCAATGCTTACATATAATCTGCACTTACACCCATTTGTACTATAATTATCTGTTAACTTATAACAACTTACAAGTTTTGTTAAGTTATAATTGCACTTGTAACTATTTGTACTTAACTACAAATAGTTTCCAAGAAATTAAATATTTCAGACACTTTTATGTTACAGTTTTAAACATTAGTAGTTTTTTGACTACAGAAAAAGATAAAACAAACCATCACTTACCAATCTTCCCAGCTCCAACGGAACTGGAAGTTACTTAGATGATGAGAAAACCAATTAATAAACCTACGTAGAGAAGGGGGAGGTAGGCAGAGAAAAAGGAAGAATAACTGGGATTTAGAACAGAAACTTATATAAGCCTTCAAACAGATAAAACCCGACTTTACAGAGTTAATGAAAAGCATATTCCCCTACATGCAGTTGTATCTTCTGCCAACTCTCTTTATCCTTTTTAGGTCAATGACAGATATAATTCTAGTACCTGTTTTGTGCGGGCACCTAACATGTTTATTATTTAATTCTCACAACTTCCAAGGTACATATTATTTTCTCCATATAAAAGATGATGAAACTGAAGCAAGAAAAAAAAAAATTTTATGAAATTGTAGGCCAGGTGCAGTGGCTCATGCCTGTAATCCCAGCTACTCGGGATGGAGACTAAGGCAGGAGGATTGCTTGAGCCCATAAGTTCAAGGTTACAATGAGCTATGCTCATCCCACTGCACTCCAGCCTGGGTGACAGAGCAAGACCCTGTCTCAAATAAAAAAAAGAAATTGCAGATAAAACATTTTATAAATGGCAGAGCCAAAGTATAGTCTTTGATACTTGACTAGAGAATGAAATTAAAGAAAATCATAGCATGGACATCAAAAAACGTAATGTTACATTAAGTATGAGTCTGGTTATTATACAAAGGTTATTTTGGGAGGCAAGAAAAAAACTAAACATGGAAATTCTTAAAAATGTCTTTCTCAAATTCCTTTATGAAGTACAGGAAGTAAAAGCTGCTAACTCAGCTCAGCAGTAAAGCGATTACTGTACCTGTCTACACAGGTAGTGTTCATTGTGTCCAAACGCATGTATAGCATTTCAGTTGCCTGTGCAAGCTGTGAATTTAGGATAAGGAAAACTATTCTCCACTTTTATCCCAAATAAGTTGTAATAGACAAGAATAGAAATAAAACATTTCAAGTCTTTATAATGATTAATAATGCTGAACATCTTTTCACACAATCAATCTTGTTTTTGTTTTTTCTTACAGCTTTGAAATATCAGTGATGTATAATGAATCTGACCTGCATACACTCGTGAAATCAAGATAATATTTTCATCACCTCCCAAATTTCCCCATGCCCCTCCATACGCACAGGCATACATTGTTTCATTGTGCTTAGCAGAAATTGCTTCTTTTTTTTTTTTTTAACTGAAGGTTTGTGGCAACCCTGCAACAAGCAAGTCTACTGGCACCATTTTTCCAATGGCATCTGCTTGCTTCTTGTCTCTGTGTCACATACTGGTAATTTTTACAATAAAACAAGCTTTTCCATTATTAATTGCTGCAATCCCATAATAAAACTTTAAAAAATAAGAAGATGCTTTCTATGTATGAGCAAAGAAAGTGTTTTTTTGAGATGGAATCAACTCCTTGTGAACACTGCTGAATGACAACGAAGGATTTAGAATATCATAGAAACTTAGCTAATAAAGCAGTGGCAGGGTTTGGGAAGATTAATTCCAACTCTGAAAGAAGTTCTACTGTGGGTAAAATGCTGTATCAAACAGCAAGCATCACATGCTTCAGAGAAATCTATTGTGAGAGGAAAAGTCAATCTAGGCAACAAATTTTATTGTTGTCTATTTTTGAACTCCCTGACCCAAATAGTGAAGGATGTATCTACATATGTATAGGTACATATGTATTTACAGACATACAAGTACATACATGTAATACACACACACAACACACTTCAAAAGCCACATTTTTTACCTACAAAATTTAAACCCACAAGCAGAAATATTTAATAATCTTTTAAGACCAGGCCAAAGAGATTAAGTTTAAAAATAAAGAAAAGGATACAACTTGGGGTAGAGAGCCAGGTTGAAGTTTGCACAGTTCAATGAGGAGTGTTGTGTACATCACATCAATGTGAGGGGGTGCTGGAAGTTGAAACAGCTCTGCAAAGATCACCTACAAAAGAATCATGAGTCACAATTCAATCCAACTGCTATCTTTGCACTTCTATTAGAAAGACCTTAACATTCTAAATCTGAGCTCTAACTCCATGGCATTCATATGAAAATGGAATTACTTTTTAATATTTAAAATTATGCTCTTTCAAACACAAAAATCTAAAACTGAAAACTGTAATGAAAATTTCTTCTCTCTATAATTCGATCAAATAAAAACACACGACACTAATGCTTATTCGATCTACACTCCTCCCAGAGAACTATGCAATTAAATTCCAACTTTGAAAGCACCACAGCTGAGCCAGGATGTACAGCTTTTTGAGGGGCTCAAAAGATCCATGACAGTTTCATTCCTATAAATAACAAGAACTCTTAGGCTGGGCGCAGTGGCTCACGCCTGTAATCCCAGCACTTTGGGAGGCTGAGGCAGGCAGATTACTTGAGGTCAGGAGTTCAAGACCAGCCTGGCCAACACGGTGAAACTCTGTCTCTACAAAAAATACAAAAATTAGCCAGGTGTGGTGGTGGGCACCTATAGTCCCAGCAACTTGAGAGCCTGAGGCAGGAGAACTGCTTGAACCCAGGAGGCGGAGGTTGCACTGAGTTGAGGTCGTGTCACTGTACTCCAGCCTAGGCGACAGAGCGAGACTCCATCTCAAAAAAAAAAAAAAAAAAAGAATTCTTTTAGACTTTGGGGTCAGGAAACAAGAAAATCAAGTCATTCCACACTGTTACTTGAAATAGATGCTCAGATCTTTCTGGCAGTCCAAGACTTCTTTGCCATGCCTCTTATTCAGAAACTTCCTTCCTACTCTCTCTGTATAATTGGTGGACCACCTGTCTAGAATTCTAAAGCCCTAGTCTGCATCCTTTACTCTTACCTATCTCTCACACTTCTACACTTCGGTCTGATGAATTTCTATACATTTTGCAGATTTAAAAATGACATTTTGCATTTCAGACATGTCATTGAGCCAAGTTCACAGCATTAAGTATATCCAAGTTTTGTAAAGATAGGAAATACACAGTACTTTTTTTAAAAAGGCACCAAAGTGCAATATTAACAAAATATGAACCTTAATACATCCTATCAGGCCCAGCTAGCTCAGTCGGTAGAGGATACGACTCTTAATACATCCTATGCTGTCTCTTTCATGAACACTATTTATTTATTTTGAGACGGACTCTCACTCTGTCACCCAGGCTGGAGTGCAGAGGCACAATTTCAGCTCACTGCAGCCTTGACCTCCTAGGCTCAAGTGATCCTCCCACCCCTAAGTAGCTGGCACCACAGGTGCGTGCCACCATGGCTGGCTCTTTCTTTTTTTTCTTGTATTTTTAGTGGAGACAGGATTTTGCCATGTTGCCCAGGCTGGTCTCGAACTCCTGAGCTCAAGCTATCAGCCTGCCTGAGCCCCGCAAATTGCTGGAATTATAGGTATGAGCCACTAAGCCTGGCCCATGAATACTTTAATATAAAGACATAATGCAGTGGGCTGGGCACAGTGGCTCATGCCTGTAATCCCAGCACCTTGGGAGCCCAAGGCAGGCAGATCACGAGGTCAGGAGTTCAAGACCAGCCTGGCCAATATGGTGAAACCCTGTCTCTACTAAAAATACAAAAATTAGCCGGGCGTGGTGGTGTGCACCTGTAGTTCCAGCTACTCAGGAGGCTGAGGCAGAAGAATTGCTTGAACCCCGGAGGCGGAGGCTGCAGTGAGCCAAGATCACGCTACTGCCCTCCAGCCTGGGCGACAGAGCAAGGCTCCATTTGGAAAAAAAAAAAATGCAGTTAACAGTTTGACTCACGTGTCAAGTGAACACTGTTTTTTGATATAAATCTCTATAATGTATTCAACTGTATACTAACATCAACCTTTTGTATGAGTTAATATGAAGTCAAAAGTGTTGCTACTCTATTTCTAAACTGCTTGGCTCTTTAGATTTCTAAGAATAAATGATGATTCATCTACACTTTGTGTTACAGGAAATAATACACTAACTAAGTTTATGCTAGTACTGAGAGGCCAGATAAACACAATTAAAGATATGTTATCTGTCTAAAATGATATTTTAAAGTATTTAAATCACTTATACGTCTGTTAAGTGGACAATGTATTGACAGAGCTAGAGGTAACTTACATTATCCACAACAACTATCCATGAATGAAGACATACTATATAAATAACTTATAGGCAATTCAAAATTCCATTTGGCTACTGGTTCCAATCTTTTTTCTCTTTACTAACATGGCTAATAGAGCACCAAAACCGACAGCAATTTCCTTGCTTCTATTAATTCTGAATGCTGGACAAGTAGCAATAAATAAATAAATAAATAAATAAGCCAAGAGTAGATCATACTTTAAAGCCAACAGAAAGATTCTGAAACTCAGAAACACGCTCCACATGGAATTCATACCTCAACTATGTGGTAGTTCAAGGGGATCTTGTTCTTCCCTGGATAGCTCACTAACTGTGCAGCACTATAAAAAGTGTAATTTAAGTTTAATAAGTATACGAAGACACAAGAAAAGTCAAATAAGCAGTTTCAAAAGCAATGTGTTTAGATATAAGCAAAGAAAAATCTTTTTTGAAATGTCCTAGATTTCAGTTACTTCATTTAACTATGGCATAAATTATTCTGTCTACCACAAGGAAAATCTTTACTGCATCCAAAATTTCTTGAAAGCTCAAAAGGAGTCTAGGTAATAATACTAAGGAAGCATATTCAGATGTACTAACTTAAAGAAGTTTTAATAGAGTAGATCACTCTCATAATACTATATTCATTTCCACCTTAAAATCTAAACCAAACTTCCCAAAGTTTAAGAAAATTTTATTTAAAAAAAAAAATTCCAAAGCTTGGGTGTCTAAATGCTAGAAAACAGAGCAAAACTATTGGTATCCAAACCCAAAATAACTTGCCATTCAAGCTCTCCATAGCATATACTAAATATCCACACCAAACACACTGGCATCATACGCTTATTACTATAAAGCACCTCGAAAAGTACTATACAAGGGTGAAGAGCCTTGAGAAAGTAAAGCAAGTGTTTTTAGAAATTGATTTTAGCAAGACAGGGAGTCAGGAGGATAAAATTTTCTTACACTCTCAACATATATTTTGCTCTTACTGAATTATCAAAATTGCTGCTTCTCTCCCTTCTAAAAGTACCATGAAAAGAATCTTACCAAGTCTTCCTTTCCTTCCAGTGGGACTTAATGATGCAGTGAAGATTCTCTTCTATTACAAATCTTTCCACTGAATGACTCCCTGGCATGACAGGACCCTGGAAAGAAAACCAAATGTGTACACTACAGGCCTAGAAAACAGATTTCTTTTACTTATTCAACAAATATTTGAGAGACTATTATGTTCCAAGCACTAAACTGGGTGATGGGGATAAAAGTTCTGAAGTGTTAAAGCTCTATATTTCAGGAAATTCCATTGTCATGTTCACTTATACCCCAGAGTATCAGCTGTAGTGTTTTTTCTACCACATCTCATACCTAACCATACAACCACTGCCTACTTTACACACCAATTATTATATGAAACTAAATAATTTTGGATAATACAAGTCTTACAGAGTTTATTTTTTAAACCGAGAGTGAATTATTTCCATTAATAACTATGCAGAGAGAAAATTCTATTCAAACACCACATAGCCATAAAAAGTCATGCATGAATTGAAAAATGCCCATAATATACTGTCTAAGCTCAAAACATATTCCCTACATGGCATTATTTTATTCTTAAGTATATTCATAGCAAACAGGTTCAAAACACACAAAATAAACCTTTAATAATGACTTTTGGATGATTCTAATCTTTTTTTTACAATTTCTAATGTTTTTTAATAAACAACTTGTAAAAGGCCAGAACAGAAACAAAATCCTGTTCGTTTTGGGAGTAATATGTATTTTATATATTTATACTCTTCTAGCAAGGGATGGATATGCACCTTACAGAGGTGATACCAATTAAATACAAATTCAGGAGAAACAAATTTTGAGGTCCCATTCTAGTTTCCCCTGCACAAAAAAAAAAAAATACCCGACCACAAACATTAGCAGTCTTAAATGTAAACCAGATTTTCAGTTAGACATATCTAAGTAGATCATTACATAATTTTGACTAAAGTATTTGGTTACATATGGAATATAGCAAAGACGGCAGCAAGCTGATAATTTTGTATATGTAACTGATTATCTGAGAAATTTTTATTCCAAAATAGATTACATATATACTAAATTCCTACTGGTCATTAGCACTTTACCATAGAACAGAAAAGAGACAATAGAAGAAACTCAAATTTGACTTAGGTGGTAATATTAATTTTTATGGCAATAGTTTTCAACTGGGGGCAATTTTGCTCTTGAGGGGACATATTGCACTCTCTGGAGATATTTTTGGTTGTCAAAACTGAGGCAGGGAGAGTGCTATTGACATTTAGAGGGTAGAGATCAGGGACACCGCTGAGCATCTTACAATACACAGGATAGTACCCACAATGAAAATTATAAATTTTCTTAATTGTACAATATACAATTATAACAGTACAATGGCTGCCAGGAAACTTGACTTTGAAATAAAGAACATGTATATTAAAAATGATAAAGTCAGCTTAGACTAATCTTTGGAATTTTTTAATTAAAAATACTTCCAACATTTGTTTTCAAATAATCATACAATATGAATAATCACAAGACAGGCTGTGTTGCCTAGAGAGGGACCATACCTAAAACTAGGTACTTTTACTGAGAAATAACCTTATTAAGTATAATTATGGACAGGTGCAGTGGCTCATGCCTGTAAGCCCAACACTTTGGGAAAACGAAGCGGACGAATTGCTTGAGCCCAGGAGTTTGAGACCAACCAGGGCAACATGGCGAAATCTCAACTCTACAAAAAATTTGCCAGGCTAGGTGACACATGCCTGTGGTCCCAGCTACTCAGGAGGCTGAAGTGGAAGGATCGCTTGAGCACAGGAGGCAGAGGTTGCAGTGAGCTTAGATCTCACCTGCAGCCTGGGCAACAAAGTAAGACCCCATTTCGAAAAGAAAAAAATAAGAAAGAAAAATTGCCAGAATGACTGAGCATTCATCATGTGACAGACACTGTTCTTGTTCTATGCATTTTACATGTGAATAATTTAATCCTCATAACATGAGATATATACTACTATTATGAGATGTATACTATTATTATTACCTTCAGGAAATGAAAGCACAGGGAGGTAAATAACCTTCCCAAATTAACACAGCTAGTATTTGGCTAAACCAAGATTAAAACACAAACCAACGTAGCTCTAAAAACCCAAAACCCACACTCTTAGCCTGCAAACTGTGCACGTCTCTGTAATCTATTTACACATGCCAAATATAATTTCTTGCATAATGAGGTGATATCATTCACTGAATTAAAAAGTTAACTTCATTGCTACTGACCTTCTTAGATAAAAACAACTCAAAATTAAAACATACCACAGGCATAATTCAAGCGGGATTAACCCACAAGCACAATGCAACACAGGTCAATATCTAGGACTTTTAGTCGGTCACTTACCTCGGGATCATCTGTGTAATCAAACATTCTGAAGATGACCCTTGGCATTGGGTACACTGAATCTTCAGTGTGAGGAGGTGGTGTAAAAGGAGGCAGATTGTGCTGCAGTGCTTCACACAGGATGCTGTCAAAGGCAAGATAAGGTCTTAGGATGTGCCGTTCCTGCCAGCGATCCTTTTTCAATTTCTGAATCTGGGCCCACAGGCAATCTAAATACTAAAGACAGATTAATTTTTAATCATTAATATAATTAACATTTTGACTAGACAAAATGAAAAAATCACTACCCTTTAAAATACAGGATACAAAAGTAAGCTAACTTGTAAGATGGTACAAAAAAAGGTGCTAAGTTTTTGTTTTTATTTTACTTACAAAGTCTACCTGTTTGGAACTGTCTGTTTTGACATTTTTCAAATTAAGCATTTAAATAAATATATGTCAACTCTGTAATAGCTGGCATTCCAAAGAACAAGGGAATATTTCAATTACATTCTATCATCTATTAAAGACCTACCATACACCTTGAGCTATGAGAAGGAACTATCATGAAATGTAGAAACACAGTCAAAGGGTAAAATGGAATGGTCTGAGTATCTTACAGAGATAAGAATCTATTCAAGAGCTGACTGTGTTTGTATCACAAGGGACTGAAATCCATTTACCTCTTCTTGTGGATGTGGTTTATCAGCAGTCCATACCTGTAACATGGGTACATGAGTCTTTTGGCGTCTTCTAAAGATAAAAATGAAAATCTACATTTAGGCTTTTAAAAACAAGAGATGCTCAGTCACCCTCACAGTTATTAAAATGCAAATTAAAGCAATGAAATAACATTTTACCTACTGGAGTGGCAGATATCAACTGTTTTGATAATGTACTGTGTATCATCAAGATGCAGGTCAAGATTCAGTCTCAAACATTGTTGACAAAGAGGTTAACTGATATAATCTCTTTGGGAAAGTATAATCTCTTTGGAAGGTAATTTGACTAAATCTATCAAAATTGTTTAGAACCCTCAACTCGGCAATGCCATTTCTAAAAATTTATATCCCCCATAAATATATTTGCACATGTACATAAAAACATATACACAAAGATATTCACTGAAACATTGTTTATAAGAGCAAAAGATTGAAAATAACCTAAACGTCCACCAACAGGAGACTACGGAAATCATGGTACATTAAAAAGTGAAATACCCTACAACTGTTAAAAAGAATGAAGTAGAGTTAAGTATTTTTATGCAACAAATCCAAGTTATAGTAAGAAAAAAAAAAAAAGCCAAGTGAAGAACAGTGTGTATATTGGGCTATCATTTGAATAAAAAAGAGAAAGGATATGTATACACACACACACGATTCTTTTTTTTTTTTTTTTTTTTTTTGAGACGGAGTCTCACTCTGTTGCCCAGGCTGGAGTGCAGTGGCGGCACCATGTCGGCTCACTGCAACCTCCGTCTCCTGGGTTCAAGCAATTCTCCTGCCTCAGCCTCCCGAGTAGCTGGGATTACAGGCACCCACCACCACGCTCGGCTAATTTTTGTATTTTTTAGTAGAGATGGGTTTTCACCATGTTGGCCAGGCTGGTCTCAAACTCCTGACCTCGGGTGATCCACCTGCCTTGGCCTCCTAAAGTGCTGGGATTACAGGCGTGAGCCACTGCGCCCGGCCAAAAGATTCTTATTTTTTAAGCTTCTTTTAACTTTACTTAATAACCAACTAAGTAGCTATTAACAGTTATCCAAAAAAAGCACTTAAAAAAGAGAAAATGAAACTTAACAACAAAATCAATCTGTAAAAACCTAAGGGCCACATAACCATTACCATGTTGCTGGATAGTTAAGCATAAATTTACTAAAAAGACCTATTTATTATTATTGTATCTAACAATATAAACCAAGCTTTTACATTGGCTTAGGAGAGATGAGTAATGGGAAGACATGTGACTATTTTAATTGAAATGTGTCATATTACTTAAGAAGTACTGGCTGGATGGAGGGTTAAGGACCACTGTTTTAAGAGCTTGATTTAAGATTAATTTACATGAACTAAATATACTGTATGTGCTAGGACAGTGGTTCTCCACTTGTGAAATGTGTTAATAATACAGATGTCCAAACCTCTCTCTCAAATTGTATAATTTATCAGGTCTGGGGGTTGGGGTCTGAGTATTTTAAGTACCACAGGTAATTCTTATCCACACTAATATTTGAGGAACTATTGCACTAGGGTGTTTTATGTCTTTTATAAACAAACATATAAAAGCAGCTTAAAAGAAGCTATATTGCCAACTGTCCTTTGCACTGGCAAAAGTAAGCAAACCATATCTGACTACTTTGAGGTCTCAGTGAGTTAAAACAGCAGGAGAACAGGATTACCTAGAAAATACCTTCAGGAACTCTACAGCTTATTTTTGAGAAACTCAAATGGTATCACTGATATAAGATATCCTTTACCTAAGCAACAAAGAGTACTATGAGCTGTGCCCTTACTTAAGATAGCTTTCAGTGTTGGCAAAGATGCGGTCCATCTCTGCATCTTTCTTTTCGTACAACTCCTTTCCAACCCAGGGCAAAGATGACAGAAATGCATACACATACCAATCTCGTCGCACCTAAAGGATTTTTAAAAAGTTAAGTTTAAAATATGCTTTAATTATATTCATTCATATTTTATTTATTCTTGAATGAAATCCTATGGAAGCTATTTAATAGGACTTAAATAAGACATCTGGTTTATACAGAGCATTTCTAGATATATTAGTTCTAATCTTACTAGACAGCATCATTTAAATCAACATACAGATATTATGAGAACCCACCAGTGTGCCAGTCAGCTTAATTTTTAGATAGTAAGAACTTAAAGTGTGATAGTCTGCTGTTATTTTTTTCTTTATTGCTAATGGGTTATCAGCGAAAAATTCCTGGTACTATATGGAAGTACCAGGATTCAGTAACCCCTCAAGAACCCCTCAAGATTCAGCATGAGGGGTTCTCTTACCTGAGGTACATCTTCTTCCTGAGTTACGCTTACAAAATTTTCAAACATAGCAACCATTGATGGGGCGGCAATCACATGACAATTCACAAGATCAGATAAAAAACGGACCTGTTGGGGCAAACAATTTCTGCTATTAAACCTAAATGTTCTTTATAATAACTACAAAATAAGCAATCTTGTATAGGCTAAACTATTGGTCTAAAAAACTATAGCCTAAGGGCTGAATCTAGCCTACTACCTGTTTTTTGCATAGCTGGGAACTAAAAATGGTTTTTACATTTTTAAATGCGTGAAAAAAAAATCAAGAGTATTTTATGACATATACAAATTACATGAAATTCAAGTTTCAGTGCCCATAAGTAAACTTAGTGGAATAGCCACGCTCATTCAGTTACATATTGTCTATGGTTGCTTTTGTGCTACAATGGCAGAATTGAGAAGTTGTAACAAAGACTATATAAAGGACAGTAATCTGTGAGTTCATACGTTTCTATGCTATACTACATCAAGAATCCAGATTGTAAAATATTCTAGCTACTTCAACCTATAATCTCCTTTTCTGTTTGGCTGTAATTTTCACTGAATTACAGAAATGGAAATTACAGAACACATATTTATTGGGTGTGCTTAGTGTGCTATTGCTAAACACTACTAAAAGTCACTGTTAGGGGACCCATTCTAGTGGAACAAGCACAATCTCAATACAAAGGAATGACTCCCACACTAAAAGGCAAATTAAGCATTTTTTAGGAACAATGACAAAGGGAGTTGGGGAAAGCATCACAAAGGAGGTAACAATTAGGCTAGGTCATAAAGGATAGCAACAGCCTCAAGTAGTGAGCAAGGAGGGCAGTCTAGGCATAGAGGTTCAAAAACAAGGTGTGTTTAGGGATCTGCAAGTTATTTTGATATTGCTGGGGAGCATATGGGAGACAAGAATAGAGAAACAGACTGGGGAAACCATAAAGGGTCAGGCTAAAGAGTCTGGACTTTAATCCTATAGCCTGATGGGTGTCCAAACTTTTTTGATTGTGTACTCAGTAAAAAAGAATTTGATCACATATCTTCAACACATACATATGTATTTATGATATACACTGGATCACCATTAATCTATGTATTATTAGTAAGGTTTAATTTCATTTCCACTTAAGATAAATAAGAGTTCTTAATATTCACTTCCTGAAACCCAAGGAATCATCTTGTGCACCAGGCTTTTAAGACCACTCACTGTAGACAATGGGAAGGAACTAAGGTTTTTTTAACCAGTAACCAACATGTGCAGAGCCTAGTTATAGAAAGACCAGTCTGGTGCCACTGTAGAACACAAAGTGAAAAGCAGAGAATCTAGATGCAAAAAGATCAGTTAAGAGGCTATTAAGAACATCTGGAGGAAGGCATAAACTATGCTAGAGGCCCTGGAGACTAAGAAAGGACAGACTTGAGAGAAATTAGGGAGACAGAATTGACAGGGATTGGGAACACCTATGGTACGAGAGGGCAAAGGGAAGACAAAAATTAATGCTCAGCTTTCTAGATGGGTTATTCAGTACACAGTGGCCACTGTATGAGCTGGGGAGAGGGCAGAAAAAAGGAGGTATGAATGATGCATTAATTTAGGCACTTCCTAGTAAGGTATCTGAAGGCTATGCAGCTAGCATCTGGAATACTGGACTGGAGCTCAGGAGAAAGGTTGGAGATACAGTTACAGATTTGGGGGTATCGTCAAAATAAAGGTGGCTTATGAAGCTATGAAAGTGAATGAGAATGTTTTAGGAGAGCATTTTAAATTATTTGGTTGTAGTTCACCTTTTCCCTCCATCCCAACAGTAGTCATAACATACCAACAAACAAACTAACTTACCAAATACACGGCTTCATTATAATTGTTTGCTTTCAATGATTCTTTAAGTTGACGAATCATGGCTTCTACAAATTCTCCACCAAAATTGTAATTCCTGGCATTCAGTAGTCCAACTAATGTTGTATAAATTGTCAGCTTCTCAGGTAATAGGCGTGCACTGATTTAAGAACCCAGTATAACAAGAAAACCCCAAAACAATGGCGTTAAGTTGCTGAATTTTATGTGAATCTTTTTATCATTCCATTAACTTTGGAACAGGATTACTTTTAGCTATGTCTTTAAAAATACTTCAGAAAAAGCATGTCATTGAGAAATGTTACAGACATAGTCCCGTAATTTTTCATTTTAATTCATCAGTTAATCTAAGAGTTAAGAAAGTAAATGATTTAATTGTAAAGTTATCATACTGAAATAAATAAAACTAATGCTACAACAGTTTTTCTTCAAGTGTGCTTAGTGGAACTGAATAGCATTTCCACAGAACATGGTTTCCATGGTAAAATAGCTCAGAAATCCTGGGTGAAACAAGCCTCTTTAATACAGAATCATTAAGGGGGGGCGTGCAGCATTCAGAATTTCTAAACTTAGCTAACCAAATGTCATGGAACTAGAATTCTACTTTGAGAAACACTATTCTAGTTGTTTAGAAAAGATGCACAATTAAAACGAGTTTCATCTAAGTTCCTACCAGTTTAATTATTGAATTTTTTAAAAACATACTCTGATATAGTTAAGATTTGTTTACGTCTCAGTTGCTTACTCCAAGTGTGCTGATTTCATTAAAGTTATTTTAAAAGTATGGGAAAGGATTACAATAAACCTTTAGAAAAAGCAATTTTTCCTAATTTAGGCAGCCTTTAGAATTAGCTCAAAAAGCAATAAGAATTCATAATCATTAAGTGGGCAAGAGATTCTCTTTGACTTGTTTTCCTAAAGTACCTAGCAGAACATCAGGGACAATCAAGGTCTTCAAAAAAAATACCTGTGTTGATGGTAACTGTGGTCCCTGAAACCCTCCCAAAACCAAAAATTAAAAAAGAACACTGCGAAGCAATACAAGTTCAGCCTTAAACAAACAAGGCTTCCAACAGTTTAAGTGTAAATACTACTCCATTTTAATAAAGGATTTCAGAAGATTTCCTTAGTAGTTTCTTAAAGTTACCTTCACTTGATCTAAACTAAAAGGCTGAGAAGTGATAAACATCACCTTCATAATTTAAAAACACCTCATGGATACATTACAATTTCATGTAACTACAAAGACTCCCATTTATCCAGAGAGTATGCCTATTAACAGTGGCTTCCAAAGCATCTTCAGTCTTCCAAGAAGGGCTATTACCTGAGTTACCAATTCCCAAATTTGTCTGGTACTAATTTAAAAATGTAAGTATCATACATTTAAATGTACATGCTTAAAAATATATATCTGAATGAGACAGTATCTACTATCTCTATAAAAAGTCAACTAAAATGATTCTAAGGTTGTAAGAACATACAAGGAAAATGTTCAATTTTAGTTTTATCCCTAAGAAAAAGAGTTCGCCAAAGCGCCAAAGGTTGGCTCATTTGTACAAATTTCCCCATAGAAGTAAAGCCAAGGACATATAGAACATAAACATGTATTTTGAACATTTCCCAAAGCATTTAAGAGTAGATAATACATTATCACCTGGATTCATAAATCTTTTGCATACATACACTGTACAAAGAAGCCTTAAGATCTTGCTCTTGTAGTTAGGAAGATCAGCTTCCAAAACACCAGCCAAGCCTTCTAGGTTGCTCTCCAAAGAGCAGGCACTCTGTAGAGGACATCACATTAAATATCTGTCAAGTACTCAGCAACATAAATTTATTTTTAAAAATCTATTTAAATGTAAATATATACATATTTTAAAATCTATCATTTTAAAATCATTACCAATCATCTGTCCTTTCAATTGCTATTTTAGTGAACTAAAATAAAAACTTCTGCATGATCATTAAAATAGTCTTACATGCATACAGAGCTATAATGGGTTTAGTATAAATCAATTCAGATAGTTATTGTTCTTCAGAAATCCATGAAAAGTGGACGAGTGAAATTTAAAAACTAAGCAGTCTATGATAACAGAATAAGTATTAGAAATGGGAGGACACCATGGGCTCCATTTTACCTCTTTTACTAATTCACTCTCTTACTCTGGGCAAATTACCTCAAGTATTCAGGGCTGATTTAGTTCATGCATAAATTAAGGGGTCTATACCCTAGGTCCCTTCTAAGGGCTCATCTTCTATGAAAATTATTAATTACTAAAGTACTAAAAATGATCAATTATCTACATCCCAGGGGCTTCAACATGGATTCAATTTGGGATACAGATGCATGGTAATACCAGCTTTGCCAAAATGTAGTCCAACTTTTCAGCTGCAAAAATTAATCAAAGCACAGTTAACCACATTCTTAAACCCATCACAGCCTGTGCCTATTGTGTGACATACCTTTTCTCCTACTTTACATATTAAAGATTCCAAATGATCTTCAGTTTCATTTGCATCAGAGGTCTTTCTCCTTTTGTGAGGCTGCCCACCTATTTCAGCAACATAAAAAATTAACATTACATGATAAATCTGCTATCACAAATTTTATTTAACCTTTTTAGGTTATAATCTCTTTTCTACCAGGCCCTATGTTTTTACAGAGTAGAAGCTCTTCACAGACCCTCCATTTCTCAGACTAAGCTAGATTAACCAACAGCCTCCCATTCCCAGAGCCACTATATACAATAACTCCAGGAGGCATTATTTATGTTAAATTTTGTGTGAGTAGTGCCCATGGAGCTATGCAATCAGCAGCCCTGTCCATTTCTGTGGACAAGCTGGAAAGCTGCCAACAACATGTTAAACACTAGTAGTTAGAATACTCATGTACCGCTACTCCCATTCTTTTAACTTGAGTTGTTTACTGATCCTCAGTTGCTTGTTCCGAAACCTGTTAGTACCAGTAGTATTCATTAGTCTAATAATGTATTATGTAAATGACAAAATAAGGGTGCAAAACCAAGTCGAATGCTTTGGAAAGACTTGATCAGAAAAAAAAGCTGTCATATCAGCTATAAAGAGGAAAGCTTCAAAAGATGGGAAAAAGGAGCATAAAACATTAGGATTTCTCACTTGCTTCACATGTTTCTAAGCTCTAATCTCAAGTCTTCAATTAACAATTTCAGTTCTGCATATGATGCAGCACAACGGTATAGTTTATCCTAAATAATGGGAACGACAGTCAGTATACGTATATTCAAAGAAAAGTCCTGAGCACTATATCAAAAAATTGGTGGAAAAAAGGACCACGTTTTACAATTCCTGCTTTAACTAGCTTTTATTAACTGAATTACTGATAACTGCTTTATTTAAAAACCATATCATTCGAATAATCTCTATGTTTTTTAAATCTACCATTCTAAAATCATTACCAAGCATCTGTCTTTTTGATTGCTCAACAATTCAAGTTGAATGAAGGTGTGCTAAAAATTAACCTCAAACACCTGTCTATTAAGACCCTTGCTGTTTGTATCTCTTACCACTTTGTTTAAAGCCTTAACACACTCACCTAAGTCCTTTTGTGGTATAACATAAAGCTTAAAAAATTAAAATAATAGTGTTAAGTATGGAACCTGATGCTGCTGCTAAACACTTTGGCTAGTCTAATACAATCCAATTTTCGACTTCCATTGATTCAATTATTTGGTCGGCATATGGACAAGAAAGCAAGAGCCTGTAACTGTGCAGGGAATCGGTATTAATAATGAAAATCTGCAGTTGGATATATGGTTACACAGTAGCAAGTTACATATAACTTCAATCTTCAGATCTGAACAGCCAAAGGAATTATTGTTACAAAGTTCATAATCACTTACTTGCCTATGGAACACTTGGCTTGAAAATGATGTATGGTGATTCTCATAAAACACAGCACCTGGCTATTCTAAGCTTGGAATGTTAAATCTATTGAATGACTGAAATGATCTTCAGATACCACATGAACTGAAGCTGAATAAAACGAATCTATTACTATCCACATAGGATCTGAGGGGGGGTATTATAAAGGTTACAGGGTAAGACACTCTGTACGTCAACTTCCCAACCCATTAATTACCATGATAACCTGACTGAATGTCCACTGACTATAATTTTGAAAGGATAATGCCACAAAAAGTATAATACGCATGCAGCATGAGAGCTGAGATGTATTTATTCCTGGAGATATCTGCCTGTGTAAAGTTGTAGACATGTGTGGCACAGAGGTTCAGGGACCTTGATTCTTAAGTATAGATCAAACCTAAGTCACAGGACCTATCAAGGTTCCACCACCCAAAGTGCCAAATTTCACACAAAGGTCTTTCATTTCCAGGATTCACTTATTGAAAAAAAGCATAATTGATGTAATATTTACGCAAGCTGCCAGCTAGGACATTCAAATAGCCTTCTTCTACAGCAGTAGTTCTCAACAGGGTGTAGATTTTGCCCCCAGTGGTCATCTGGCAAACCTTGGAGACATTTTTAGTAGTCAAAACTAGGGGAAGCAACTGGCATCTAGTGGGTAGGGGCCAGGCATGCTGCTAAATATCTCACGTTGCATAGGGCATCTCCCAAAACAAATAACTGGCCAAGAATGTCAATAGTGCTGATGTTAAGAAACCGTATTCTAGAAAGCAGAGCTCCTCAGAACCAAATTTCAGTGAGGTTGGGAGAATGCAGATGCTGAAAAACTAGCTGAATGAGAGCAGTTATTTTTTGTTGCTGTTTTTTAAACCTTAAGCACACTGTTCCCTTCTTTCTGGCTCATCTATTTTGCCAACCCTTTATTCCACCTCTACAGTCTTCCTAACTTAACTTTCCAGCTGGCTTGTTCCAGTTTGGAATCATACCACAGCCTTTAAAGCAACCCTCCTAGGCCCTCTTATAAGCTTGAAAAGGGGAAAATAGTGCTGTGGGAAGAGAAGGTATGATTTCTGAGAAACAACTAGAAAATACATGTACATAGTCACATCTCTGAACTGCAAACCCTTTGTTCATTTTGGCTATATTAAAGGACAATATTTGTCTGGAGAATGGGAGGAGGCAGAAAGTATTAAGAGGTAAGAAATGTTCCACTTTCACCTGATAGTTGAGAGACTATAAAGGGGTGAAGACTACAGACAAAATCTGAACTTACGAACAGAAACATGATATTGAACTCATAAGACAACCTGGGTAAGGGAACAGGGAAATGAAATAAAACAATACGAATACAATTTGGGGAATTCGCTCAATGTACCCTGAAGAAAACGTATCTATGGTAGTTCCCAAGGCAAGAACAGATTTTTTATTAAAATTTAACTATGTAAAAGTTTTAAAATGTAAATTAAAGATAACATTACCACTTCACTCAGACAGACTTGGCTAGTATAGAGAAGCAGGTATAAAATCCATCTGAAAGGATCTTAATAAACCAAATAAATTTCCCCTCTATAAGTCAATCCTAATTTTATACGGGTACACTGTACATCTTATAGCCTTACAAGAAATTTTAGACCCACAAAATGGAAAACAAAAACCAACCCTGTAAAATAGAAAAGTAAAGTAACTAAAACCAACAACTTCAACATTACGTTTTTAAACCTTAAGCACACTGTTCCCTTCTTTTTGGCTCATCTATTTTGATATTGAACAACTTGAAAGATAACATGCCTTGAGCCCGCAGACTTAAAACAGGCAACCATCACTTCTGAAATAAACTATACTCTCTCAAAATAACAAATCCTTTCACTTCTATTTTTTTCTTTAGTTAAGTAAAAAAATCAGCCACAGTCCAAAAGACAAGGACCTAATTCTAAGAAGCTTAAATGGGGCTAATACAGCAAATCTGAAATTTTTGTAAATTGCCCAAATTCCCAAAATTGTATTCGTATTGTTTCTAGCTAAGATTTTGAACAATCTAAATACTTTCTTAAAAGAACAAACAATGGACTGCATATCCCATAGTAACTAAAAAGCTTCAGAGACATTTTTAAAGCAAGTCTAAGCAATTAGTTAAGATTTAGCACTGGACTAGTATCCATACACATTACTTTCCATTTAGCATTTCCTTTTCCTTGTTTATAAATGGACTACTACATGAACTTCATTGGTATAGCCTCCTAATCCTACCCCCCTTAATCTTTGATAGTCGAGTCTCAACACAGAAGTATAATTTTATAATCTCCCTATAAGATGCAACCCTCTGCTATCTCTCTAATCTTATCTCCTACAACTTCCCCCTCACTCACTCTGCTCCAGCACCACTGGCCTCCTTGCTCTTCTGTTAACATGACAGGAACCCTATAGTCTTCAGGCTTTTGTGCCCATGGTTACCTTTGGATCACAGCTTTTCCCCATACAGCTATATGGCTGCTACCTTACCTCCGGCAAGTCTTTGTTCAAATGCCATTCACACCGAAGCCTTCTCTAATCAACTTACATAAAATAGTAACTTCTCCCTCACAGAAATCTCTCCCCTCTTTACCTGGTATCACTCCATAGCGCCTGTCACTATATGATACACTATACTTTACTTGACTGTCTTCTCTCTACTCTAGAGGGGAGGCTCTATCTTTATATTGTCCACTGCTGTATGGCAAGTAATTAGGACAGAGCTTGGCACTGTTAAGTATTTGTTGAATAAATGATTTTATATATATATATATATATATATATATATATATATATGTATTACTTTCCATATGCTTGCTTCTATATATACAGTATATAATTATATGTAAAATATATATTAGAGTATATATTTATATAAAACTTATAATAAACAAACTTATATAATATATAAATATAAATTTATAATATATAAATATAAATTTATATAATATATAAATATATATAATACATTCTATTATAGTTTATATATATACACACACTCTATATATAGAGAGTCAAGCATACGGAAAGTCAGGGCAGTGACTGACAGCAGCTGACAATTGTCCAGAAATGCTCAGATGCATCTATTTAATTCTGACTGTAATAATTCCTACCCTATTTTAAAATAGCCTTCTATAATCCTTAAGCTTCTAAGATTTATTTTTTAAAAAATAGATTTTTAACTAAAAGGAAAGCATCCAAAATAATCTGATTCAGATCACTGTGTAGGGTAAACTCCAGCGATCGTTATCCAAATTGTGGCAACTGACAAAAATTTCAGATTTGCTGTATTATCAAACATGAATTGTATCTGCCTCTCCCACACTAAAATATCAACCATAAAAACCTTTGCTTAATGAATGCTTTGTTTTACTTGTCTTATTTACTCTGAGGTTCTCGCGGCAAGACCCAAATGGACAGTGATTTGGCTGCCAGCTGGTGTTAAAAACAAGCCAACTCCAAGAAAGTTATGTAAGTCTCCCAATAACCAAAGCAAAAGTTATTTTTCTACATATTAGCATTCCAATTCTCTAGGATGCCCTACAATGACATTTCCTCTCTCTTTAGGGATTACCTCTAAGTGAGAAAAAGGAAGCATTAGAACAACAAAGAAAAGAACAAAAGACTCAAGTTCTCCAGCCCCCAAGTAATGACTTGAGAAGTATATTAGTTTTTGACTAGTCAATTACAAAGCATATGAAAATTGTATTATCGGCGGGCGCAGTAGCTCACATCTGTAATCCCGGCACTTTGGAAGGCCGAGGCGGGTGGATCACCTGAGCTCAGGAGTTCAAGATCAGCCTGGGCAACGTGGCGAAACCCCGTCTCTACAAAAAATACAAAAACAAAAAAAAAATTAGCCGGGCGTGGTGGCCCGCGCCTGTGGTCCCAGTTACTTAGGAGGCTGAGGTGGGAGGATCACTTGAGCCTGAGAGGCGGAGGTTGCAGTAAGCCGAGATCGCGCCACTGCACTCCAGCCTGACAAAGAATGACACTCCGTCTCAGAAAAAAAAAAAAAAGGGAGGGAATTGTATTTTCTGTGCCTTGTACAGAGGTTACACAAGAAACCTCGTGTTAGAAATCAAAGCACGCAGCATAGTTATTTAATTTATACCTGTGTAGTGAAGAGAGCCCCGGACTGGATTCGCTCTTGCTGGTGTTTGGGAACTGACAGCTGTCCCTCCATCTTAGTTATGCTCAGTCTCTAGACCCTTAGGTGTCAGATAGAAAGCTGGACTAGAATATCCTCTCAAGCCATTCCTTCGTAGAAATCTGGTGTTTCACTATTAAAACTAAATGCATGCGATTCTGCCTCCACCTCAACTGCCACAACACTCAAGGAGAGACAAACGTTAGTAGATAAAATTTACTCAATTTAAAATGTCTGTTATGGGTTTTTTTCTTACATTGACAGCATCTGCTAACGTTTACCGCCTCTTAAGCGTTGGCAAATGATAAAACATCATTGTTGCTGATGTGTATTACCTCATTTAACCTTCACAAAAACCAGAAGATATAAATATCATTACTTCTGTATTACAGACTAAAGTTTAAGGAGATTTCATAACCTGGACAAGATCACCAAGTAAATGGTAGGGTCTGGCTTTGAACCTAAACCCTCTGGTTCCAAAGTCTCATCTCTTAACCACTACTATACACTCTCTTCAAAAAACAATACACTAAAATGTTAACAATAGAATTACTCTAAGTTTTACTTTTTTGGTGTGTGGATTTGTGTTTTTGACCGATTGTAAGGCTTATGTGTAATATAAGCATCTTTTTTTTGTTGTTGTTAAAACTAGAATTATTCCATCTTTATGAAGGCAACACTGATCTCCACGAGCACAATCATCCAAACGGAGATGGGAACCCCTGTTCTAACTCTCTCAGAGGCCTGAAGTTAGTTTTCTAGCACTCTCTCTCACACAAGGGAAATGCGCTTACGGCCAGTTCAAAATCTGCAGTAACCTGTGTCTGTTTATTAGGGACCTCTTGGGCGCAGGTAAGACAATATTCTTTCCCTGCAGCTTGAAAGAAGTGAAATCAACGGATAACCACTACCGGAACAGAGTTCAGACTGCAACTCATGAGATCTCTCAGTCCTTTCCTTCAGTGAATTCTTCCGAGCCCTTTTCAGGTGCAGCTTTGAAGGTTAAAACGAGACACTAGGACCAGTGGGTCCCTAAGAGGCGGCAGCACAGACACAGGTGTGCTTCCCTGCTCCGTGGTTTTACGGACGAAATTCTGAAGCATCCTTAGAGACCAAGGGTCTACCCATGGGGTTCACCAGGCCTTCTTTCCCGAGGATCGGCCCTTGACTCAAAGAACTGGGGCGGGGGAGAAGTCGCTTTCTAGAAGCCGCCCGACCACACCGCCACCATATTCTCCTCTTTCCCTCCGCGGCTCCCCGCACGTTCCCGGGGAGAAGAGCTTCCAGTCTCTTCCGTGGACACCCAAAGACGCCGAGCCTCGGCTCCCAACCGGGAGCGGCCTCCGTGGCCGGGCCGCAGGCACTCACCGTCGTTCTCGTCGCTGTGCCGCCGCCGCGACATGCTGCCCTCCGGTGCGCCGCGGAACCGAGAGGCCAGGCGGTAAGCGCTGCAGGAACTGTCTGGCCGCTGGCCGACGCAAGGACAGCTGCAAGGCGCGCGGATGGGCCGGCACGCAGGCGCACTAGCTCGCCACGGCCCCGGAAGCGCAGGAGAGGCCGCCGGGTGGGGCTAGGCGCTGCGACAGCCGGCGTGAGGAAGCTCAGTGGGCTACGAACGTCTGGCACACATGCAACCGCCCCCTCGGGCTGCCTCCGCCTGCCGGCTACTTCTTTCTCCCGCCTTCCGCTCTATGTCCTTCCGGGGCCACGCAGAAAGTGCCGCCGCTTTGGCCACTCAGAGCCCCCGGGCCGCGGTCGTCGTACGCCTGAAGGCGGGTCGTGCCGGCGGCCGCTCTAGTCTCCGCCTCCGCTCAGGCCGGTCCTCCGGGGCTTCTCAATGGTTTCCCGGTGGCCTCTCAATGGTTTTCCCGGCGGCCCTTGCGCCGACGCCAGGAGACTTCCGGAGCTTGGTGACGTCACGAGCGAGCTTTTCTACCCAAATACGCGGCGGGGGAATAGGCTCGAGGGCGGTGAGCAGTGACAATTGCTAGGCGGAGACAGTGCAGGGAAGAGAGACCTTAGAAAGGATCAGGACTGGCGGGTATGTGCTCATCTACTCCCACTTTCCGGCTTTTGCCGCCTTGGGAAAAGTGGGAGGAGAGGTTGGGCCAAGCTCGGCATGCGGGGTGGGGCCTGGGCGGGAGGCGGTGCCGCACGTGCCGCCCCTTGGTATGGAAAGGCCGGCCCTGACGCGAGCGTGCGGCTCCGGGCTTGCCGGCTGGCCGTCATTTTCCTTAAGTTGTTTGCTTAGGAAGGAACAAATGATTGTTTTAGTAATCTGTTTTCAAGGGTTATTGGGTACCTATATGCCTGTGTGTGAGCGTCCCCTCCCCTGATGTCTTTATGAGCACCATACTGGCTTATCTGCTTTGTCCATGGCCATCTGAAATTTCACTCTCCCGGCCTAATTCTCCTTCGGTCTTACCCATTTCAGTAAATGACGTCATCCGTCGGCCGCTTAATCCAAAAATTTAGAGTCTTTCTTAGCTCTTTTCCCTCTTTTTACATAACAATTATCTGTAAACCCTGCCTGCTCTGCTTTCAACACAAATCCAGAATCAGATCGTGTTACTGCTTTGTTTAAAAGTCTCCTATGACGGCCGGGCGGGGTAGCTAACGCTTGTAATCCTAACACTTATGGGAGGCCGACGCGGGCGGATCCGCTTGAGCCTAGGAGTTCAAGACCCACCTGGGCAACAAGGCGAACACCGTCTTTACAGGAAAAAAAAAAAAATTAGCTGAGCCTAGTGTTTGGCGCCTGTAGTCCCAGTTACTCGAGGGGAGGGTTGGGGGCCGAGGTGGGAGGATCCCTTGAGCCCAGGAGGTCGAGAATGCAGTGAGCGGTGATCGCACACTGCACTCCAGCCTGGGCAACAAAGTGAGACCGTGTCAAAAAAAAAAAGTCTCCTACGACTTTCCATTGCACACTCCATGCCATGGCCTGTGGGGTTCTACTTCTCCTCACTGTACTCCAACCACTCTTTCTGTTCTTACAATAAGTCAAGCTTGTTCTTATTTTAGGAACTTATACTATTTCCTTTACCTGAAGGTCTCTGGTTCTAAATCTGCGTGGCTGGCTCTTGGTCACTTAGGTCTCAGCTCAAATGTCAGGTCCTTAGTGAGGCCTTCTTTGGTTACCCAATCACTGTTTTATTTCATTCAACGAATATTATATTTATTAGCATTTAGCACCTCCTAGGTGCCAGGCAGAGTTCTGAATGCTGAGGATGTAGAGGTGAACAAAGGAAAACCCCTGCTCTCTTGGCGCTGATATATTCTAACGACCCATTCAGGAATACCCACAAATAGTGCCATCATAGGTAGTGAGCAACGGGAGAGTGGTAGATGAGATCAGAGAGGTAGGGGGAAGGTGCTCTGTGAGGACTTTGGACATTATCCAAGTGAATTGAGAAGTCATTGGAGTATGATTTTTTTTTTTTGAGACAGGGTCTCGCTCTGTTGCCCAGGCTGGAGTGCAGTGGCACGGTCTTGGCTCGTTGTAACCTCTGCCTTTTAGGTTCAGGCAATTCTTGTGCCTTAGCCACCCAAGTAGCGGCAATTACAGACATGCGCCACCACACCAGGCTAATTTGTATATTTTTAGTAGAGATGGGGTTTCGCCATGTTGGCCAGGCTGGTCTTGAACTCCTGGCCTCCCAAAGTGCTGAGATTACAGGCATGAGCCTCTGTGCAGGGCCAGTCTGACTTATTTTTTTAATAGTTACTTCTCATGCTCCCAAAGGAGGAAGATAGTTCAGCTTTTGCAGTAATTCTAGCTGCAAATGATAGTAGCTTGAACTAGGGTGGTAGTAAAGATGGTGGTGCAAAGTGATCTGATTGGATTGTACTTCAAAAGCAAAGCTGGCCAGGCATGGTGGCTCACCCCTGTAATCCTAGCACTTTGGGAGTCCGAGGTGGGTGGATCACAAGGTCTGGAGATTGAGACCATCCTGGCCAACATGGTGAAACCCTGTCTCTACTAAAAAAAAAAATACAAAAATTAGCTGCGTGTGGTGGCGTGCAGCTGTACTCCCAGCTACTCGGGAGGCTGAGGCAGGAGAATCGCTTGAACCTGGGAGGCGGAGGTTGCAGTGAGCCGAGATCACCCCACTGCACTCCAGCCTGGTGACAGAACGAAAACCGTCTCAAAAAAAAGTATTTTCTGAACAAGTGAATGATAGTGTGAGAAAATAAGGAGTCAGGAATCATCCCAAAGTTTTTTTTGTCTGAATAACAGGAAGAATAAAATTGTCTTTTACTCAGATAAGGAAGACTGGGGAAGACGAAAGTTTGGTTTTGAACAGTTGTATTTGAAGCTGAAGCTAGCTGGCTTCACACACAGTGTAAAATTCACACACAGTGGGGTATATGAATTTGTAGTTTGGGAGAAAGGCCCAGGTTGAAGATATAAATATGGAGTCATTTATTATATAGTATTCTAAACAGAAAATTTCCTTTATGTTTCCCTTTTTTCTTTTCTCATGTAATTTTCAAATATTTACAGAAGTAGGGAAAATTTATGATGAAACCCCATGTACTCATCATCAACTTCAGTAATTCTTAATTCATGGGTAATCTGGTTTCATTGATATTACCTCCTCTCTCTCAATTATTTTGAGGCAAATATAGTTTTAAGTCCTTGGAAGTAGATGAGATCACCTGTAGGGTAAGTATAGATAGAGTGGTTCAACATTTAGAGGTTGGGGTAATAAGGAAGATCCAGCAAAGGAAACTGAGAAGCAGGGGCCGTTATCCCTAGCTGGTATTTTCATGATTTGTTTGTTTGTTTGTTTGTTTGTTTATTACTTACTTAATGTCTCTCCTTACCAGAATATAAGCTCCAAGAGAGCAGGTACTTCAACTGTTTCATTCATAGCTGCATTCCCAGGACTATTCCATGGGCCCGGCACATAGCAGAGGTGCCACAAATAATAATAATTCAGAGTATGTACATAAATCAAAATAAGCTGAGACTGAAAAAAGATGCAGAGTCGGAGGAGATCATTTTGGGGTGGTGGGAAAGGCACCCCACACTCAGGTGCAGAGACCTTGAGTCAGGAAAGAACATGGCTCATTTGTGGAACTGGGCATGGTCCAGTGTGGCTAGAGTAGGATATCTGATGGGGAATGGGGAGCATAGTCAGAGATGAGCCTAGAGTATAGGGAAACTAAGTTTTTCAGGCCTTCAAAGGAAGCAGTGACACAGGGTAGCAGACAAGACATAAGTGAAAGGTGACACTTGAGTTCAGTCTTCATATACATAGTAAGCATATGGGGAGGGAAAGAAGTGAAAAAGTAAGGGAAACAAAGCAGTGGAAAGCATAAATGCTGGGACAGACTACATCAGGTCATATAGAGGGAGATTGGAAAAGATGCTGGAGGTGGGACCGGATTGGATAGTAATTCCTTTCGACAATGTTACCTCCCAAATGTACTGCCCTTATAGGTAAATAAGTTATCTGTTTCTAGAACAATGCCTGGAACCTAGAAGACCCTCCATAAATATTTGTTGAATGAATTTTAATTTGGAAATGATATATGTACTTTCTCTACCTTTACAATAAAACAGCTTTGAGCATGGAGGAAGTGTGTTGAATAAGATTCTTCTACTTATTTTACTTCTGCCTGGAAGGCTTACAGGTTTGTGTAGAGTTAGGGATGTACTTTTTTCAGTGGGACTTTATATGAAAGACATTTTCATGAGAAAGGAAAGAGAAGCTAAAGAAGGTAGTATTTCTTCACCCAGTCTCTTCCACTTATTTTTCAAATACAAGAGAATTTAGGTTTAATAAATCTGTATTACCTTGCCTTACCCTTATAACAAAGCTCATTTTGAGCCCCATGAAAGCACCACTTAGCTGATTCAAATGCATTTTATGTGGTGCAAGTGACATCTTAATTTATGAATCCAAGGAACAAAGGTCCTTTATAAGAAAGTTGGTATTGCCTGTGTGTGTCTGTGTATGTTTAGTCTCCATCAGTCCTATCCAGCATTGTTAACAAGCAGTGTGTGTTCCCCCACACATAAACTGCTCCTTGTTGCCTTCACCTGGTTGAGGTACCCTGTAGGCAGAGTTGTGAATTGGCAAAGTTTGTCACCAGTGTCTCCCACCTTCCTTTCTCTCATTCTTAGTGGTGCTTTTTCTGCTCCCTCTTGTGGAGTTTGGGACTACTTTGCATGTTACTATTTTCAGAACCTTCAGTGTCCACCTCTGGCTGCCTCCTTCAATATTGTCCTGAAGAAACTAACTTTGCCAGTTCACTAGTAATATGAAATAACCAGTTGTTATGTTGTGGGGCAGGAATTTGGACAGGGCACAACAGGGACACCTTGTCTCTGCTCTCAGCTCAGAGGCCAATCTGGAATCTGAAGGGTCTAGTGGTTGATGCTGGCTGTCAGCTGGAGGCCTCTGTTCCTCTCCACCTGGTTCTCTGTGTGTGGTCTCTGCATGGGTTGGATTGGCTTACTCACAATACAGTGGTTTGGTCTCCTCAGCGTGAGCATCTCAGAATGAGAGCTTGCACTAGCGTATCCTTTTGAGAACCCAACCTCAGTCATACAGCATTGCTTCCATCACGCTTTATTTTTGGGAGTAGTTAACAAGCCTGCCTAGGCTTAGGGAAATGGACCAGAAATACTGCTGCAGCCATTTTTGGAAAATATAATCTGTCACAGCTAATTTTTAAATAAAATTTTAATGTTAAATTTAAAATACAGCATTCAATTAAAATATTAATAATATTACCATTCATTGAACCCTAGTTTGTGCCAGACACTATATATTAATATTTCTTTCCAGTCTACAGTACAGTACTGTAATGTAGATACTACAATGCACAATTTCCACAAGAGAGATTTAGAACTCAGAAACCTTAAGTAGCTTGCCCATGTTCACATGCTTGGCAAACTGCTGCAGCACAAACCAAAGCCCATACTTTTTCTCAGTGTGCCTCTTAGTGCTTGTCACCTGTCACCTTTGCTTTACAAAAGAACCAACATGGTATGATGGTTGTAGTGTGTCCATTTTGACAAGATTTGGCCACAGTAGCGATTTTGACATTTCTTCTGGCATATTACAGTGGGGCTGTCTTGGGAACTATTTCTTCTAAGGAAGGAAATTTTCATAGCTCTGAAATTAAGGGGCAAAAAGAAGAAAGTGTTTATAACTGAAGGTGCTGGCACACATCTTGATTGATTTGGGTTGTACCTGTTGCTTTTCTGGTATTATTTACCCTAATGACTGCATGGCTCGCTCCCTAATTCAGGTTTCTGCTCAAATGCTATTGCTGCAGAAAGGCTTTTCCTACTCTCTGTGTTCGAAGGGCTTCTCCATCACTGCCTCCCTACCCTGCTGATTATTCTTCATAACCTTTACACCATCTGACTTTAAAAATAAAAAATCAATTTATCCACTTGTTTACTTCACCCCACTGGAATGTAAACTCTAAGCAGGCAGAAACTTTTTCACTTTCGTTTACTGCTATATTCTCAGTGCTTAGAATAGTGCTTGACTTCGAGTCGTTCCTAAGTAAATACTATTGATTTAGTAAGTAAATGGATGGTTAGCTTGGGCTACTTTGCCCATGCTGATTTGCGTGATTGATTAGCTTCATATTTTCTTCAAGAAATCAAAGAATAGCATGGCTGCTTCTTTCTTATTTATATTCTAGGAGGTATTTAACTGAAAGGAATATCTGCTTCACTGTTGCAACCAAACCAGATGCCTTCTTCCACTTCACCAGACCAAGGAGATGACCTGGAGAACTGCATTTTAAGATTTTCTGACCTGGATTTAAAAGATATGAGTCTTATTAATCCCAGCAGCAGTCTTAAAGCAGAATTAGATGGCAGTACAAAAAAGAAATACTCGTTTGCAAAGAAAAAGGTAGAATTCTTATGAATGTTTCATGATCATGTATGTGTGGTTAACGCAGATACATTTGGAAGTCGGTTATCAAGGTTGCTCTCCAGCTCAAGGTAAAGTCTAGTCAGGAACATTAACCAGTGATGTTAATTCCATCCCAGGCAAAGGGTAATCATAGGCAAGGTGTGGTCCTGGAATAGCCATGGTGGAGTACTTGAGGAGGGTGGATCCTAGACAGATGGATTAGATTTCATTCCCCACCCCCCAGGTCAAAAAAGACCATAAACAAAGTTGAAAACCAAATGACAAGTGAAGAAAAAAGTTGGTAATTATGATCAACAAAAGATCACTAAAAACACGTATCAGTAAGAAGATAAATGCTATAATGGAAAAATAGGCAACAGATTTGAACAGGCAAGCCAGAAATAAACAAATAGATTAAGCAGGAAAAAGTATTCAGCATTACTACTAATCAAAAATATTAAAAAAAAAAATAGGGTAGCATTTCTTTTGCCTTTTATTTGGACCAACATTAAAAATATTGATGATAAAAAATACTGATAGAACTCAGTGAGGCTATGGATAAAATGGCACCCACATGCTTTTCTGGTTAGAGTATAAATTGGTACATTTTTCCTGGAAGTCACTATTACAGATTAAAATTTCATGTTCTTTGACCCCTCAATTTTTATTTTAGATATTCTAAGTAGGTGGTTAAAGATATAGAAAGATAGATGCATGGAATGCTCATTCAACATGGCTTTTAATTGCAAATATTAGAAACAATCTAAATGTTCATCAGTTGGTAACTGGTTAAGAGAATTTTCTGTTTGATTGTTTTACAATAAGCATAAGTAATTTTTATAAAAACAGTAATATTATTTTCCAAGAAGGAAGATATTTTGGTACGTTTCTTCCTGGTCTTTTTCAATGTACTTTTTAATGTGGTTAAGATTACATTGCATAAGCAATTTTATCCAATTTTTTTCACTTAATATTATATCATAAAATATTTTTCCATATAACTTAAAACTGGCTGCTTAATATTCCATGGTAAGCATACTTCATAATTTACTTTCCATATTCCTTTCGAAAATAACTAATAGTGTTATTTGTGATATTTTAGGCCAAACTGTATTATGTATTTTCCAGTGTGACTTAGTCTTATATCCTGAGAATAAAATTATGATGCTGAGAGTTATTTAACCTCCTCAATATAAAGCCTAGTTTTAATTTCTCTAATAGTCTCTTCTAAAGCTTACTAATAAGAGAAGTGTTACTTCTCAGAGAATTGTATAACATAATGGAACATAAAACTAGAAGCCCCTGTGGAAAGATAATCTAAAGAATCTTAGTGAGACTTCTATTAGCCATAAACCTAAGGTTATTTAACAGTGTTAGCATTTGAAATCTAATTGCAGGCCTTTGCCCTTTTTGTCAAAACCAAAGAAGTTCCAACAAAAAGGAGTTTTGAATGTAAAGAAAAATTGTGGAAATGCTGTCGGCAGCTATTCACAGACCAAACCAGCATCCATAGACATGTGGCAACACAACATGCTGATGAAATTTATCACCAGACAGCTTCTATTTTAAAGCAACTGGCTGTGACATTGAGCACCTCAAAGAGTCTTTCGTCTGCAGATGAAAAGAACCCTTTAAAAGAGTGCCTTCCACATAGCCATGACGTGTCTGCTTGGCTCCCTGATATAAGCTGCTTTAACCCTGATGAGCTGATAAGGTAAGATTTTCATTCTGTATTTTGGTTTGATTTAAAGTATTTTTCCAACCACAATGAGATACTACAATTCACCCATTAAAATGGCTAAAGTGAGAAAGACCAACTGTGTCAAATGTGAAATGAGGATGTGGAACAACTGGAACACCCAGTCACTGTTGGTGGGAATGTAATATGGCACAACCACTTTGGAAAAGTGTTCGGCAATTTCTTAAACATGCATCGTTCCTGTGGCCCACTCCTGGGTATAATACCAACAGCAATAAAAACATATCCACAGAAAGCCTTGTACAAGAATGCTCATAGCAGTTTTATTCATAATAACAAAAAACTGGAAACAACTGCAAATATCCATCAACAGGAGAATGAATAAACTGGTATAGTCATGTAAGAATATTGCACGACAATAAAGTGCTATGAACTGCTAATATTCAAGAACGTATATGGGTGAATGAGAAAATCCTTATGCTGAGTGAAAATAGCCAGACAATACATATTTTCTGATTTCATGTACTTGAAGGCAAAACTAATATATGATGATAGAAAGGTTCTGGCAGAAAGTTTGGGAATACACAAGAGATTTTTTGAGGTATTGGAAATGTTCTGGTTTTGATAGTGGTGTGGATTACACAGGTATACTTGTGTCAAAAATGATCAAACTTTACACTTAAGATCTGTGTATTTCACTTGTAAACTGTGCCATGCTTTAAACATTTTTAAATAAATAGGGCAGGAAAAACTAAGCAAAAAAAAGGGGGGGTTTCTTTTAAGCTAGATATCATTATCTGTATGATTTCAAATATACGTATCCAGAAAAATGCATCATTTACTAGGTTTATTGGGGAATGTAGCATTGCACATAGGGAATTTTTAAGAAAGCAGGTAAATGTAGCTTACATTTTAAAGCATCTAAACTTTCTTTGATTTAACCTTTTTTTTTTTCTGGAGTCTTTCAAACTGCATTAGACTCTTCTTTAATTGCATAATTAAACAGAGTATAGTGAATGTGATTGAACTTTTTGTGAGTGCTTTAATGCCATCAGGATGAACTTAAGTAGGATGCCAAGGTATAAAAGTTTGTCTTTTTACTAAGACGGCTCAGACTTACTCTTCTGTTACCTCTCCTCCCTCTCTTCTAATTCTAGATCCAAACTCTCTGTATTATTGCTATGTACCAAATTCAGCTTACAGCAGCATAGTTGGTGTTACTAGCTCAGAGTCTCTCATGAACTTGCAGTCATCTCATTGCTTGACTGGGGCCAGTAAATCTGTTTCCAGGTTCACTCATGTGGTTGGTGGCAGGCTTGTTTTTTCAGTGGCTTTTAGTCAAAGGCCTCCATTCCTCTCTGTGGGGGTCTCTTCATAGGCTGCCTGAGTGCTCTCATGACATGGCATGTGATATGTGAGAGACAGAGACACTTCAAGACAGAAACCACAATCTTTTATGACCTAATCTCAGATTGCCATACCATCACTTTTTATTGATGCTATTGGTCACGTAGACTAACCTCAGTACAGTCTAGGAGAGAACTATGCAAGGGTCTAAATACCAGGAGGCAGGATCATCAGGGATCATCTTGGAGGCTGGGCACCATACCTCAGAGTTGTTACTTTTTAGTGTGTATTACCTAGCAGCACTGCCTGCACTTTACCTATTCTTTCAGGATCTTAACTACTTGCAACAGCTAGATCCTTAAGGCACAGAATTCTAGAGGCCTAAGTTAGGCCAATAACATGCATACTATATATAGCCAAAGACCATAGCCTGTGCAGCAGCATATACCCAGTCAGTTGACATTGTTTGTGAGGTTTTTTCTTTTTTTTTTTGAGACAGAGTCTCACTCTGTCACCCAGGCTAGAGTGCAGTGGTGTGATCTTGGCTCACTTCAACCTCTGCTTCCCAGGTTCAAGTGATTCTCCTGCCTCAGCCTCCCGAGTAGCTGGGATTACAGGCATGCACCACCATACCCAGCTAATTTGTATTTTTAGTAGAGACAGGGTTTCACCATGTTGGCCAGACTAGTCTTGAGCTCCTGACCTCAGGTGATCTGCTCACCTTGGCCTCCCAAGTGCTGGGATTACAGGTGTGAGCCACTGCATCCAGCCTGTTTGCAAGGTTTCTTGGAGACCATTCTACATATTCTTTAGGGAGGAGAGGTAAAGAAAGAAAATTATATTATTTTCAAAAACAAGTGGGAAGACACAGAGACATTAATGATTCCTCTACCCTATGTAATGTCAGAGCTTAAAAAAGGGTTTTGTATTAGTCTGTTTTCATGCTGATAAAGACATATCCAAGACTGGGCAATTTACAAAAGAAAGAGGTTTAATGGACTTAACAGTTCCGCATGGCAGGGGAGACCTGATGATCATGGTGGAAGGCAAGGAGGAGCAAGTCACATCTTACGTAGATGGCAGCAGGCAAAGAGAGAGAGCTTGTGCAGGGAAACTCCTGTTTTTAAAACCATCAGATCTTGTGAGACTTACTATCACAAGAACAACATGGGAAAGACTCATCCCCGTGATTCAATTACCTCCCACTGGGGTCCTCCCATGACACGTGGGAATTGTGAGAATTACAATTCAAGATGAGATTTGGGTGGGGGCACAATCAAACCATATCATTCTGCCCCTGGCCCCTCCCAAATATCATGTCCTTACATTTAAAAACCAATTCTGTCTTCCCAACAGTCTCCAAAGTCTTATTTCAGCATTAACTCAAAAGTCCACAGTCTGAAATGTCATCTGAGACAAAGCAAATCCCTTCTGCCTATGAGCCTGTTAAAAGCAAGTTAGTTACTTCCTAGATACAATGGGGGCATAGGCATTGAGTAAATACAGCCATTCCAAATGGGAGAAATTGGCCAAAACAAAGGGGCCACAGGCCCCATGCAAGTCCTAAATCCAGCAGGGCAGTCAAATTTTAAAGCTCCAAAATGATCTCCTTTGACTCCGTGTCTCACATCCAGGTCATGCTGATGCAAGAGATTGGTTCCCATGATACTGGGCAACTCCGCCTTTGTGGCTTTGCGGGTATAGCCTCCCTCCTGACTGCTTTCACAGGCTGGGGTTGAGTGTCTGCATCTTTTCGGCACACGGTGCAAGCTCTCAGTGGATCTACCATTCTGGGGTCTGGAGGACCATGGCCCTTTTCTCATAGCTCCACTAGGCAGTGCCTCAGTGGGAACTCTGTGTTGGGGCTCTGACCCCACATTTCCCTTCTGCACTGCCCTAGCAGAGGTTCTCCATGAAGGCCCTGCCCCTGCAGCAAACTTCTGCCTGGGCATCCAGGTGTTTCCATACATCCTCTGAAATCTAGGCAGAGGTTCCCAAACCCTGATTCTTGACTTCTATGCACTCACAGGCTCAACACCACCTGGAAGCTGCCAAGGCTTGAGGCTTGCACCCTCTGGAACCATGGCCTGAATTCTACATTGGCCCCTTTCGGTCACAGCTAGAGTGGCTGGGATGCAGGGCACCAAGTCCCTAGACTGCCCACAGCAGGGGGACCCTGGGTTTGGCCCATGAAACCATTTTTTCCTCCTAGACCCTCAGGCATTATCGGGGGAACCAGCCCCCAATATGTCAACGTAGGTTCTTTTCTATTTTCTCTAAGTGTTGGCCGGCCTGAGAAATAAAGAGAAAGAGTACAAAACAGAGAAATTTTACAGCTAGGTGTCCGGGGGTCGCTTCACATGTTGGTAAGTTCTGTGATGCCCACCTGAGCCACAAAACCAGCATGTTTTTATTAGGGATTTCAAAAAGGGAAGGGTGTACGAATAGGGAGTGGATCACAGAGATCACATGCTTCAAATGGCAATAAAAAAGATAACAAGGGCAGAAGGGCAGAGCAAGGTCACAAGGCCAGGGCTAAATTAGAATTACTGATGAGGTTTCATGTCCCACTGTGCACGCATTGTCTTTAATAAACATCTTAACAGGAAACAGGGTTCAAGAGCACAGAACCAGTCTGACTAGAATTCGCCAGGCTGGAATTTCCTAATCCTAGCAAGCCTGGGGGCACTGCAGGAGACCAGAGCGTATTTCATCCCTCATCTTCAACCGCATAAGGCAGACACCCCCAGAGTGTCCGTCCATAGGACCACCCGGGAATGCATTCCCTTCCCAGGGTTATTCCTTACTGGGAAAAGAATTCAGCGATATTTCTTCTACTCATTTTCTTCAATAAGAAAAATATGACTCTGTTCTGCCCGGCCCCGCAGGCAGTCAGACCTTATAGTTACCTCCCTTGTGCCCTGAACATGGCTGTTACCATGTTCTTTTTCAGGGTGCCCAGATTTCATATTGTTCAAACACACATGTTTTACAAACAGTTTGTGCAATTAACACAATCATCACAGGGTCTTGAGGCGACATACATCCTCAGCTTATGAAGATGACGGGATTAAGAGATTAAAGACAGGCATAGGAAATTATGAGAGTATTGATTGGGGAAGTGATAAATGTCCATGAAATCTTCACAATTTATGTTTAGAGATTGCAGTAAAGACAGGCATAAATTATAAAAGTATTAATTTGGGGAACTAATAAATGTCCATGAAATCTTCACAACTTATGTTCTTCTGCCACAGCTTCAGCCAGTCCCTCCGTTCAGGGTCCCTGACTTCCCACAACAAGGCATGTGATAGGAGGGGCTGTCATGAGGACCTCTGACATGCCCTGGAGACATTTTCCCCTTTGTCTTTGGGATTAACATTTGGCTCCACATTACTCATGCAAATTTCTGTAGCCAGTTTGAATTTCTCCTCAGAAAATGGGATTTCCTTTTCTATTGCATTGTCAGACTGCAAATTTTTTGAACTTTTATGTTTTGCTTCCCTTATAAAACTGAATGCCTTTAACAGCACCCAAATCACCTCTTGAATGCTTTGCTGATACCCTAAATCGTCTCTCTCAAGTTCAAAGTTCCCCAAATCTTTAGGGCAGGGGCAAAATGCCACACCAGTCTCTTTGCTAAAACATAACAAGAGTCACCTTTGCTCCAGTTCCCAAGAAGTTCCTCATCTCCATCTGAGACCACCTCAGCCTGAAGTTCATTGTCCATATCATTATCAGCATTTTGGTCAAAGCCATTCAACAAGTCTCTAGGGAGTTCCAAACTTTCCCACATCTTCTTGTCGTCTTCTCAGCCCTCCAAACTGTTCCAGCCTCTGCCTGTTACCTAGTTCCAAAATCACTTCCACCTTTTTGGGTGTCTTTTCAGCAGCACCCCACTCTACTAGTACCAATTTATTGTATTAGTTCATTTTCATGCTGCTGATAAAGACATACCCAAGACTGGGCAATTTACAAAAGAAAGAGGTTTAATGGACTTACAGTTCCACATGGCAGGGGAGGCCACACAATCATGGTTGGAAGGCAAGGAGGAGCAAGTCACATCTTACATGGATGGCAGCAGGCAAAGAGAGAAAGCTTGTACAGGAAAACTCCCAGTTTTAAAACCATCAACTCTCATGAGATTTATTCAGTCTCATGAGAACAGCATGGGAAAGACCTACCCCCATGATTCAATTAGCTCCCACTGCGTTCCTCCAATGACACGTGGGAATTGTGAGAATTACAATTCAAGATGAGATTTGGGTGGGGACACAGCCAAGCAATATCAGGTTTTTATTGCCAGATACAGTTTTCTGAGCTGAATATGTTTTAGGAAGTGTATTAACTTTTAAAACTGAATCATAGGATTAGATGTTTAGATCCTGGCCTTGAAAAACTCACCAAGTCATATTACAGAATTCCAGAGGACAAATTTCTGACTTTAAGCAATTATTGAACTATTTGGTAAATAGAAATACAGTTGATCCTTGAAAAACACGGGGTCAGGAATCCAAGGATTAGGGGCAGTTGAAAATTTGCGTATAACTTTTAACTCCCCCAAAACTATACTAATAGCCTCCTGTTGACTGAAGCCTTATCAATAATGTAAACAGTCAATGAACACATCTTTCTATGTTATGTATATTATATATTGTATACTGTATTAAAGTAAGCTAGAGAAAATGTTATTAAGAAAATCATAAGAGGCCAGGTGCAGTGACTTATTCCTATAATCCCAGCATTGTGGAGGGCCAAGGCAGGAAGATCACATTAGGCCAGGAGTTCAAGACCAGTCTGGGCAACATAGTAAGACCCTGCCCTACAAAAAAAAAAGAAAAAAAGAAAATCGTAATACATATTTACTATTCTTTATGTTAAATGGTTCGTCATAAAGGTCTTCATCTTTGTCACCTTCACATTGAGTAGGCTGAGGAGAAAGAGGGATTGGTCTTGTTGCTGCATGAGTGCTAGAGGCACAAAAAGATCTACAAGTAAGTGGACCTGCACAGTTCAAACCCGCGTTGCTCACGGGTCAACTGTAGTCCAAATTTGATCAATTTTTGTCATTACTACTCAGTGCCACATTCCCTTTTACTTATTGGAAAGGAGCAAGAAAGCAAGTTGAAGTAGAAGTCACACTTGAGCTAGTCACTAAAATTTTCTGTACCTTCATTTCCTCACCTCTAAAATTGGAATAATAATGCCTGCCTTGCCTACCTCCCAGTACTGCAGAATGAGTTATATAGGACGGTGATAGTATAAGCAGTTGTGAACTACACTGTGCTATACAGATATGGCCCTTCCATTTCATATGGCCCCACACTTCAGGGAATTTACTTACTAGTTAGAAAAACAACGAAAAAGACACATGAGGCAATTAGCAGATGATAACGGGTTACATAATTATCAGTTGAATTGTATGTTACAGAGACTAACTTGTTATAGGAGCTTAGAGAAAGGAAAATAGGATCTAAAATAGACAAGAAGGTTTCATGGAGGAGCATGGAAAGCATGGAAGAGACTAGGCCCTGAAATATGATGAGGCTGTTGAGGAGGGACTCAGACTCCAGAGCTGGATAGGACCTTAATTGTCGTGTACTGTAGCATTCCCTAAAATATGTTCTGTGGAACACTAGTTCTAGAGGATGCTAACAAGGTATTGAAAAAAGGGGTATTAAAGACAAATTTGGGAAGCACTCAGTCAAAATGTTGTTACTGCAAGACTTCTCAGAGCCTTTAAGAGGCTTTGGCTGTGATTCTTAAGGAGGGAGATGCTGTCTGCAGGGTTTCCAAACATAATTTTATAGAACAGCTTCATAACATACTTTGGAAAATATAGTTTATTTCCATTCTCTGATTTTACAGATGAGGAAACCAAGGCCCAGAAGTGATGAAAGACCTGCCTAGCTAGTTAGTGTAAGACAGCCCAGTGCAGTAGAAAGAGTATAGATCTGGTATCAGAAGACTGGCGTTTAGGTCCTTACTATCACTTTCTGGCTGTCTGACTTGGGAGGAATTGGCCTCAATTTATTCAGCTGTTAAATGGGGATAATAATAACCTGCATCATAGAAAGAGGGTTATAAGAATAAATGGAAGTGAAACTTTTTTGTATGATGATTCATACAGATACTGCTTTATGTGAGAGGATAGGCCAGAATGGAACCAAATTTCTAACTTTTCTATGAATTGGAGTTACTAATACCTGTCTCTTGGATGTGACCATTAAATGAGGGATCAAAGTAAACTCACTTTTTGTAAAGTAAGTTCAGTGCAGATACTGTCTTCTGTAGAGCAAATATAAAAAGAAGTTGCTTCTCATTTCAGGAGGAGAACAATCATCACAGCAAAGACAGGCATGAGTGTCCTCATCTTAGCCTTCCCTCAGACTGCCTGGGTGTATTTTATGAATTGTGACTTCTTTATGCCAGCGACTCAAATGCTCTTTGCCTTGGATTTTCATTTTATAGTGGCCAGGGCAGTGAAGAAGGGGAGGTGCTCCTTTATTACTGCTACCATGACCTGGAGGATCCCCAATGGATCTGTGCCTGGCAGACAGCTCTGTGTCAGCACCTGCACCTCACAGGCAAGGTAACACCTTCTCCTATATTCCTTCCTTCACTGGGTCCATCTTGCCTGCCAACCTTGGATTGCAAATGCTGTGCTCATTATAAAAAAGATTCACTGTTGAGTTCTTAAAAGTTAGGGAAATTCTGCTGAGCATTTAAGTAGAATATTAGGCAGCCATTAACATGGTATTTTATAAGAATATTTACTGGCATAAACCAGGAGTCAGCAAACTTTTTCTTGAAGAACCAGATAGTAGATAATTTTAGGTGTTGCACAAAAAACTATTCAGTTTTGTTATAGCATGAGAGCAACTATAGATAATAATGTAAAAGAATTGGATGGCTGTGTTTGAATAAAACTATATGCAAAAGCAAGGATAATATGCCGACCCTGGTATAGGGAAATGTTTGTGATATATTAATTGGAAAAACATTTTATAGAACATAGAGGTGTGATTCCAAGTTGCTTCTTAATTTTCTGGAACCTGCCAGGGTCATTTACCAGCTCAGGGTATTGACATTTGCTGTTTCCTTCCTCTCTAGAGTGCTCTTCCCTGCACCTTCACATGGCGCATACCCCACTTCAGATCTCGGCTCACATATTGTCTCCTTAGAGCTGCAGTCTGAAGTAGTCCTCTCCAGATCTCATCACATTCTATCCCTTTCTGCTTTTCAAAGGATTTATTACTATCTGAAAGTATAATCTTCATTTATAAGCTTCATGAGGACAGTAACTTTGGTCTTAATTGATGTATTCTCAGTGCTGGAACAGAGCTTAGCATGTAGTAGACCCTCAGTAGATATTTGGAGAATATAGAATGAAGGAATGAATGCATGTTCATGACAAAACCAGAAGTGCATGTATAAACATGGAAGGTTGTGTATACCAAAATGTTAGTAAGGATTATCTAGGCATGTAGGATTATCGATGGTTTTTATTTTCCTAAAATATTCTCTGATTACATTATACACATGCATATGTCTATGTATTTTATATGATTTTCAAAATTTAAATCGAAAGGAAGTGAACTAGTTTCCCCCAAAACCCCCTCTGGTTATGACACTGTGCTGCCTTGTTTCATCTTTCCCAACATATGACCCAGGTCTGAATTGATCAGTGATATTTTTCACATCCATGTTTTCCAACAGATAATGACTTCATTTACCTCATTCAGTTCATCACCAAGGCCTGCCATTTCCACCTCTTCAAATATTCCTTAATTCCGTTCCCTTCTCTCTTCCACACTCACCACTTTAGACCAAACCACCACCCTCTCTTACCCAGTCCATTCAGTAGCTTTCAAATTACTCTTCAGCTTGCCATCCCTGCCTGCCACTTAATCCATTCTCCACACAGCCATAATGATCCTAAAAGGTGAATCAAATCACATCACTCCCTCCTCAAACTCTTTCAGTGGCTGCCACTTCTGGTGCATATGGAGGAAATCCAGTGCCTTAAAAATGCCCTTAGGTTCCTGCGTGAGTTGGCCCCTTCTTACCTTTTCCTCTCGTCTGATACTGTTCTTTGCTCATTATACTCCAGCAACATGGTCTTTCAGTTTTTTGGAACCCACCGAGTTCTTTTCTCTCCTTGGGCCTTCTTACAAGCAAACTATCTTCAAGGAACTCTCCTACACCCACTCTGCTGCTCCAGTCTGATTTTTACTCAAGCTTAGTTTTCAATTTTCATGACACTTCCTCAAAGAGACCTTTCCTGTCAATCTAAATTCATTTTTCCCAGTGCACTCTCTCATGGCATCTTGTAATTGTTTTTCATAACATTTGTCCATTTGTAACTTTTATTTTAATATCTGTGACCTCCCATAGTCTGTAAGCTCCTAAAGGGGAAAAGCTATATTTTTTTCAAGCACTGTATCCCTAATTCCTAGCACAATTCCTGGTGTAAATAAATAAATAATATTTAATACTTTCATCACCATTCCTATTCAGAAAACTTCCACACCCTGAAAGATGGATACTCTCACAGTAAACCTGAATGTACAAGGTTTGAAAACAGCCTCTTGGTTTAGAGGCAGATCATTTTTCTTGGCCCAACCCAAGTGCTAAATTAGCAATGAGGGATCTTACCCACAAGGTGGCAGCACTTGCCTAGATCTTGGATATAAATTCCTAGGTGTCAAGGATACATGCCCAGTTTAATGAGAGTTTTGTGTTTGGAGATTTGGCAAAATATCAGTGCCTAAGTAGGGAAAGAGAAGAACCTGACAGTTGTAGAATTATGGGAAAAAAGCCTCTACTCTATTGCTGTGTATTCTTTATTGCCTCAAAAAATTTGAGGGGATACATTGAAGGCTTTGGAAAGGAAAAGTTATAAGATTGGGAGCTAGTAAGATCTGGTTTTGAATCCCAGATTTACCAGCTATCAGCTATACCACTGGGCAAGTTACTTGATTTCTCTGAGCTTTTGTTTCCTTTTCTGTAAAACGGGGATTATGATATCTGCCTTTCAGGATTATAATGTAATGCTTCTGTCTCATAGCAAGTGCTGAATAAATGCTAATGATTGTTCTTCTCAGTTTCTTACAAGGCCTTCCTCACTAAGGAGCTTTGAAGGATTTCTGTTAGAGAATCCTGGGGGTTCAAAGTCTAGTGCACGAGTTTAGAGCATGCTCTGCCCTAGCTATATAGGGAGCAGATGTGCTTGTCTTCTCTTTGGGTTCTGAGATTAAAATAAATTAGAAAAGAATCTACTAGCCTACCCCAAGAGAGGTACTTAGACATACATACTTCATCCTACCTGCTGTAGTCAGAAACTCTTTTGGAGTGGGTTTTCTGACTCTTACACTGATTGGGCTCTATTTTTCTATGTAGTCCACTATAAGTTGGTAGTGGGGACAGTAGCCTGTGTAGCAGAGATGTCACAGGCTTCCTGCTTCCCTCTCCCATGCCCAGAACTGGCTTCACTAGACTGCAGCACTGTTTCTCAAGGAGTCTGGATGTGACCCGGAATCTTTGTCATGGAACTCTGGAAAACATTTTACAGTACTATACGTAGAGGTGTGATTCCAAGCTTCTTAATTTTCTAGAACCTGCCAGGGTCATTTACCAGCTCAGGGTATTGACATTTGCTGTTTCCTTCCTCTCTAGAGTGCTCTTCCCTGCACCTTCACATGGCGCATACCCCACTTCAGATCTCGGCTCACATATTGTCTCCTTAGAGCTGCAGTCTGAAGTAGTCCTCTCCAGATCTTGTCACGTTCTATCCCTTTCTGCTTTTCAAAGAATTTATTACTATCTGAAAGTATAATCTTCATTTATAAGCTTCATGAGGACAGGAATTTTGGTCTTAATTGATGTATTCTCAGTGCTGGAACAGAGCTTAGCATGTAGTAGACCCTCAGTAGATATTTGGAGAATATAGAATGCATGTTCATGACAAAACCAGAAGTGCATGTATAAACATGGAAGGTTGTGTATACCAAAATGTTAGTAAGGATTATCTAGGCATGTAGGGTTATCGATGGTTTTTATTTTCCTAAAATATTCTCTGATCATATTACACACATGCATATGTTTGTGTCTTTTATGTTCTTTCAAAGTTTAAAATTATATACCACTTCCAATGAGTTGGCATTGGCTTGTGCCATGAATCTTGTTTTATATCCATACCCTAAAGAGTTGATCAGGTAGGGCTGGGTGCGATGGTTCATGCCTGTAATCCCAGCACTTTGGAAGGCCGAGGCAGGCAGGTCACAAGGTCAGGAGATTGAGACCATCCTGGCTAACACGGTGAAACCCCGTCTCTACTAAAAATATGAAAAATTAGCCGGGCGTGGTGGCGGGCACCTGTAGTCCCAGCTACTTGGGAGGCCGAGGCAGGAGAATGGTGTGAACCTGGGAGGCGGAGCTTGCAGTGAGCCGAGATTGCACCACTGCACTGCAGTCTGGGCGACACAGCGAGACTCTGTCTCAAAAAAAAAAAAAAAAAAAGAATTGATCAAGTGAGGCATCAACTGATGTGTCTTCTCTGGACCCTAAAAAAGGACAGCCATTAAAAATTTTCAAATTATGAAGTACTGGTATATATCAGTGTTATATGACTAGAACAATATAGGACCTTGAATTAAATCATCTCTTTTTCCAGACAGTGCCATGATGCCACATGTGCTGCCCTTGCTAGCACTTTTCTTTAGAGAGCTCAGTTCCCTTTAAAGATGATCCATCTTTAAACTCATCCACAGGATTTTGTAGTACGAAAACAACCAACTCTGCAGGGCCCCCAGAACACTGCCTCTTAAGGCTGGGGCTTTACCCCAGGCTCTAATGTCCCCTAACCAGGGGAGCATTTCAAAGAGAATATGGGACTTGAGATGCCAAAGAGCCCCAGATATGGATGCATATTCATTTATTCAACAAATCGTATTGAGTGCCTACTATGTGGCAGGCACTGTTCTAGGGGATATGCTGGTGAGCAAAACAGACACACACCCATGTGGAACTTGTATTCCAGTGGATGGTTTGCAGTGGTAGGCTGTCCTCCAAACACCATGCAGAGATACATGCTCATGTATACCCTCAGCCCTCAGATGTACTCTGTGCTTTAGGATTTTGGTAGTATCTCCTCAGCAGTTCTTTTCATTTCTGGTGCTCTTTAGTTCCCTTTTTATTCATATAAAGAAATTAAGATTCAGAGAAGTCAATTAACTTTCTCACAGCTACATGCAAGTGAGTGGCAGAGCTTAATCTTGAGCCTAGATCTGCTGACCTCTGTGGAGGACTCTGTTAAGCTACCTGGATTTAGATTAAGCTCAGAATTCACTTCTTTGGCTGTTGGACTATTGTAGCTCCATAGCAAATGGGGCTTTCCAGGAGTTTTATTCACATTCTTTTGTTCAGCATGCATGAAACAGAATACCTCATCTGAACTGAAGGCTATGCCATTTTAGAAAAATACAAGTATCCAGCTGGGCACGGTGGCTTGTGCCTGTAATCCCAGCACTTTGGGAGGCCAAGGCGGGTAGATCACTTGAGGCCAGGAGTTGGAGACCAGCCTGGCCAACATGGCGAAACCCCGTCTCTACTAAAAATACGAACATTAGCTGGGCTTGGTGGCGCATGCCTGTAATCCCAGCTACTCAGGAGGCTGAGGTAGGAGAATCGCTTGAACCCAGGAGGTGGAGGCTGCAGTGAGCCGAGATTGTGCTATTGCACTCCAGCCTGGGCAACAGAGCAAGACTCTGTCTTAAAAAACAAACAGGTATCCATCTCACACCTGTCAGAATGGCTGTTATTAAAAAGTCAAAAAATAACAGATGCTGGTGAGGTTGTAGAGAAAAAGGAATACTTATACACTATAGGTGGGAGTGTAAATTAGCTCAACCGTTGTGGAAGACAATGTGGTAATTCCTCAAAGACCTAAAGACAGAACTATCATTCGACCCAGCAATCCCATTACTGGGTATGTACCCAAAAGAATATAAATTGTTCTGTTATAAAGACACATGTATGCATATGTTCATTGCAGCACTGTTCACAGTAGCAAAGACATGGAATCAACCTAATGCCCATCAGTGATAAACTGGATAAAGAAAATGTGGGAATACTATGCAGCTATAAAAAAGAACAAGATCATGTCTTTTGCAGGGACATGGATGGAGCTGGGAGCCATTATCCTTAGCAAACTAACGCAGGAAGAGAAAACCAAATACTACATATTTTCACTTATAAGTGGGAGCTAAATTATGAGAACGTGGACACATAGAGGGGAACAACAGACACTGGGGCCTTTTGGAGGGTGGAGGGTGGAAGGAGGGAGAGGATCAGGAGCATAACTAAGGGGTACTAAGCTTAATACCTGGGTGGTGAAATAATCTGCACAATAAACCCCCATGACACAGTTTTACCTGCAGAGCAAACCTGCACTTGTATCCCTGGACTTAAAAGTTTAAAATAAAAAAGAAAAACACAGATATCTTTGTCCAGTAACACTTTGGTGTCCTCATCAGCGTCTCTGCTTTTCCTGTTAAACTCATTGACACACATGAGCCTATTGTTCTTCCCTGGAAAGATAACCAAGCTAAGAACAATCTGTTCTCTTTTTCACCGTCTTGTGTCTCAGATTCGAATTGCTGCAGAAGGAATCAATGGGACAGTTGGTGGAAGCAAATTGGCTACCAGACTTTATGTGGAAGTCATGCTTTCCTTCCCATTGTTTAAGGATGACCTGTGTAAAGATGATTTTAAGGTAAGAGAAAATGAAAATTAAATGGATCTAGAGCCATCTGCTTCTGCCTCTGTGCATGTTATTGAAGAGGAGTTCAAAGTAGAGAAATAAGCAGTGCCAAATAAATACCCTTTCCCCTTTATTTTTTGGGGCTTGGGGAGTTTTTTTGTTTTGTTTTTTGACAGGGTCTTGCTCTGTCACCCAGGCTGGAGTGCAGTGGCGTGATCATGGCTCACTGCAGCCTCAACCTCCCTGGGCTCAGGTGATCCTCCCAGGTAGCTAGGACCATAGGCGTGCATCACCATGTCTGGCTAATTTTTTTGTAGAGACGGGGTCTCACTATGTTGCCCAGGCTGGTATGGAACTCTTGGGTTCAAGCAGTCCTCCCACGTCAGCCTCCTATAGTGCTGAGATATGGACGTGAGATACCGCACCTGCCCCCTTTCCCCTTTAAATGTGCTTTTCTCTTTAGGTTACGAGACAGTACAATAGAAGGAGTATGCTCGTCCCCATTCTTTCACTGAGTCACCATATGATTTTGGACCAGCTAGTGCTCTAGACCTCAGTATCCCTTCTTATAAAATAAGAATGTTACAGCTCATGCAATCTGGGACTCCAAATCTTGGACATATTAGCTCACTTGAGAGACCACCAGCCTGGTCAGCAGATCACTGTGTTTTTAGTAAATCTGGAATTGTAAGATTAACACTTCATACCACATGGGGGAATAAAGTTGTTGCTCTCACAGGTGGGCTGCTTTGTTTGAGTGACTTTATACCTTGTCATAATAAGTGATAAGGTGATGGGAAATGCCTTGCTAGCGTTCATGCTGGCAATGATAGGAAAAGAATGAAAACCGGGTATAGTCACATGTTAGAATTGCTCAGCGGTGTTGCAGTTTTATAATTAAATGCTTACACCTAAAGAAACACTTTTTCAGCTTAACATTCCTGCACATGGCAGGTATGCAGTAAGTATTTATCAATGTTGAATTATCTGGAACATTCTGGGCCCTAACTAGAGGTTTTTTAAGACTTCAGCTATTGTTATTACAAAACAGACCATCATTCTTATATTGGCACTTGTCTTATACCTGGAGATGGGACAGCAAGACTGTATTCTGTTTTGTTTCTCATTGGCTAGACCAGCAAAGGAGGAGCTCACTGTTTTCCAGAATTGCGTGTTGGTGTATTTGAAGAAATCGTGCCCATGGGGATCAGCCCCAAAAAGATCTCCTACAAGAAGCCTGGTATGCTTGCTTTTAGAAGATTGTGCTTTAATTCACAGGGACAAAACTTAATAGACAAATAAGAAAGCTAGGCACTGTGATCAGCAGCAGTCATGAGTCCTCTCTAAAGCAGCTGTGGGGTGGCTAACACTTGGCTGCATCCAGTGCTTATACTGTTTCTCTGTGGTGCTGTGGGGTTGAAGACTCACCTCTTCGAGTGACCTATCTTATTCCTCTTGGTGATGGTTTATCAATTAGTTGTTTGCTCTTTCCAAAGACAGCAAGCAGTTTGGGAAGAGTGTAATTATTACTTGTAAACAGTTCATTAGCAGAATAGAGCAAATAGGCCTTTTGCTACAGGAAACAAGTTGCTTTCAACACCACAGCAGTTTTCACTGTGCTCTAGAATGTTCTTTCCCCATCTTCTCCATGGTAAATGGTTGAAAGACATTTGTTTGGCAGGTTTTTGGGGGTTTTATTGTAGTTTTTACTATGAAAAATTTTAAACATTAAAAAAGTAGAGAAAATAATATAGTGAAGTTCTATGTACCTATCATGCAGCTTTAGCAGTTAACTGATTAATGGCCAGCTCTCACCTATACCCCATCCCTTCTCCCATCTTGGATTATTTTGAAAGCAACCCCAATGTCAGGCCATTTCATTTGTAAATATTTTTAGTAGGTATGTCTAAAAGATAAAAATTTGTTTTAAAAGATGCAAAACGATATCACATCTTAAAACATTTTAACTGATTCCTTAATAAATTATCAAATATCTAGTTGGTTTAGTCACTCAATTCCCGGTTGTCTCATACTTTTTAAGCTTCATTTCTATTAGGATTTAAATAAGGTTCATTCACTGTGATTCATCAGTATGTCTCTTTAAGTGTCTTTCAACCTATAGATTTGTTTCCATCTTTTTTTCCCCCCTTGCAGTTTATTTTTGAAGGAACTGGATCATTTGACCTTTAGAGTTTCCCATAATCTGGACAATAATAATTGTATTCCCAAGATATATTTCTCTGTCCTCTTTATTTCCTATAAGTTGATCATTAGATTTAGAGTAGTGCTAATAGAAGTATAATGTGAGCTACACAATTTTACATTTTCTAGTAGCCATGTCTTTAAAAGTAAAAAATAGATGAGATTAATTTAAATAATATGGTTTTCTTAATGCAGTATATCAAAAATATTATTTCAACATGTAATCAATATAAAAAATTATTAGTTTACTTTTTTTCATGCTAAGTCCTTGAGATTCAGTATGTATGTCACCCCTATTATAGCACAAGTGCTTGTCAGCCACATGTGGCTAGTAGCTACTGTATTAACAACCAGGACTAGAGACTTGATCAGATTCCAATTTGATTTCTTTTTCTCCCGCCACCAAGACTACATAAGCACTGTTGTCTTCTTTGATCAGGAAGCACAAAGGTCTGGTTGACTCCATGGTGTTCATTTTGTAATATGTAAAGTTTTGAAAGAAGTCTAAGAGTGAAGCCAGGGGGAAACGGGATTAGGATACAGGCATCTGGGAAAGAGACTCATGCATGGGGAGATGAGGGCCAGAAAGAGCTGTTGTCTGCTTACTGTTCCCATCTTAGCAGGAGGCAGTATGACTACAAACAGCTTTTCCTGGGCACTGCAGGACATTGCAGGCAGAGAGTGGGCTCTAGGCAGTGCTGTCTTGTTTTCACTTGAAGGAAGTTTAAAGGGACCTCTTTTTCTTTTTTTGAGACAGTCTTGCTCTGTTGCCTGGGCTGGAGTGCAGTGGCGTGATTTCAGCTCACTGTAACCTTTTCCCCCGGGGTTCAAGCGATTCTCCTGCCTCAGCTTCCCAAGTTGCTGGGATTACAAGTGTGCGCCACCACACCCGGGTAATTTTTGTATTTTTAGTAGAGATGGGGTTTCGCCACACTGGCCAGGCTGGTCTCAAACTCCTGACCTCAAGTGATCTGCCCACCTCAGCCTCACAAAGTGCTGGAATTATAGGCATCAGCCACCGCACCTGGTAAAGAGATGTCTTTTAAACACATCCATGCTGGTCACTGTCCAAACAATCGTTCTCAGGGCCAGTAGAACAACTGCAATCATAGCAGCAGGGAACAGGTTTGGTTTCCTGTGGCTTCCTGCAGGTAGAAGTCTTAGCACATTTCCATGCTTTTCATCCCATGTTTGTTTGTTTGAGATGGAGTCTCACTCTGTTGCTCAGGTTGGGGTGCAGTGGCGCAATCTCAGCTCACTGCAACCTCTGCCTCCTGGGTTCAAGAGATTCTCCTGCCTCAGCCTCCCGAGTAGCTGGGACTACAGGCATGCGCCACCACGCCCAGCTAATTTTTTTTGTATTTTTAGTAGACGGGGTTTCGCCATGTTGACCAGTTTGATCTGCAACTCCTGGCCTCAAGTGATTCACCTGCCTCAGCTTCCCAAAGTGCTGGGATTATAGGCGAGAGCTGCCTCACCCACGCCTGGCCTTTTTTTGAGACGGAGTCTCACTCTGTTGCCCAGGCTGGAATGCTCACTACAACCTCTGCCTCCCAGTTTTGTGTAGTTCTCCTGCCTCAGCCTACTGAGTAGCTGGGAGCTAAAGGAATGTGCCACCACACCTGGCTAATTTTTGTATTTTTAGTAGAGACGGGGTTTCACCATGTTAGCCAGGCTGGTCTTGAACTCCTGACCTCAGGTGATCCGCCTGCCTCAGCTTCCCAAAGCATTAGGATTATAGGTGTGAGCCACCATGCCTGGCCTACGTCCCATGTTTGAATCTCCCTTTTCACCCCACTCTTTTTGTATCCATGTAATTGTGTGACAGTACCTTATATAGAATCTGGCCTTACTACATTCTCATTACAACCATAACTCAGGCAGGTAGCAATCCAGATTCCTTGGCCTGGCTCTGGGCCCTCATCTCTCCTTGGTGTGGAGTAGTTTCATTGGTTGTTGGGGTTCCTCTCTGAGGGGAATGAGGCTCCTTTGGTGCTGTAAAGCTTTATCATGAGTGGTAGGTAACTGAGTCACCAGAGCCCCTGCCCATGAGGCATGGCTACCTCATAATGCAGATTCACCAAAAGTTCCTCACAATCTACTGAGATTTCTGGACCCTCAAAGATAGGGGAATATTTCTATCCTAGAGAGTTACAAGGCAAAGAGCCCCAGGAGACTGAGGTTCTCTCCTATTAGTCCCTTTGTATATATATTTTTTGAGACAGGGTCTTGCTCTATTGCCCAGGCTGGAGTACAGTGGTGTGATCATAGCTCACTGAGGCCTTGATCTCTTGGGCTCAAGGGGTCCTCCTGCATCAGCCTCCAAAGTAGCTGAGACTACAGGCACACACTACCATGGCCAGCTAATTTTTTAAATTTTTTTTAGAGACAGAGTCTCGCTATGTTCCCCAGGCTTCCCCTTGTATTTTAATACTTACCCATCTTCTAGCTTTCCTGTCTTTTTCTCTCCTTTACTTTCTTTCTCATATGTCGTTTCTGTTGTCCACCCCTCTTGCCCTTTTCTCTTTTACTCATGCACACACACTTAGACACATTCTTCTTGCTCCTTTGCATTAAAAATGTATCTATTCCAACTTTATTCCATAACTTTTTGCTCACACCTGCCTGTGGGTTCTTAGCCTTCAACGTGGGTTCGACCTTAATATAGAACAGTTTACAAAGCCTGTAGTCAGCCACGTACTTGCCCAGCTCCTCCATGTACAGTGACAATAGAGCAGTGGCCATTTCCTGACCTACCAGTGACCATACAATGGACCAGCAAATTCACATGGCAATTTAGATCCCAGTTGCCTGGTTTTTATCACTAGGGTTAGGCCAAGTATGAGGATGCAAAATTCTTTGACTAGTTATTTCTAAACTACCAGGTCTCCATTGCCCTCATTTTAGGAGGAGGGAGATTGAGGATACCTGGAATTACTGGAATTACTAAGTTATTTCATCATGATCATCAAGTAGTGTTCTTTTCAGACAGTTGTAATTATGAAGAGAAGAGATTTGGGTGGAAAGAAACAAAGCAACACGTAAGTCAGGCTGGGTGAGTCATGATTGGGTTTTGGTTTTTTTGTCTTTGTTTTAATATAATTTTTTTGGTTTGGTTTTAGGAATCCATTTATCCCCAGGTGAATTTCATAAAGAAGTAGAAAAGTTTTTATCTCAGGCAAATCAAGAACAAAGTGATACTATCCTTCTTGATTGCAGAAACTTCTATGAAAGCAAAATAGTAAGTAAAAGCCAGAACTGAGTTCTCTGAATTGGTAGATCTCCCCATTCCCACAGTGTGGTATATTTCCCAAGGGGACCTTGTGTGTGCCCACCTGTGGCCACATGGATCTCCTCCCAGTACTGGCAGCTTCAGAGAAAACCCAAGTCCTAAAACTCAGAAATCTGGTGAGAGAGTCTAAGAAAATATGAATTAAAGGCATCCAGGCACATAATATACTTTGTGACTCCCATGAGCCTGCCTTTGACATGTATCAAGGATCTTGCAAAGTTGCCTTTGGGCAGCCTCTCCAGTTCCCCTGAGGACCCTGGGAAGGTGACCCACAGCCCACAGCCTCGGTTTTAAGTTGAGATCTTGAAGTTGAAAGGTCAGAGTGGGGATGAGATTAGCAACTGGCAGGGGCTTCTTTGCTAAGTAGGGTTTGTTGGGTACAAAAAGAACCTTTGTTCCTACCAGGTATGTTTTTCTGATAATTTTCCTTTTGTTGCTCCTATGTTACAGGGACGATTCCAAGGCTGCTTAGCCCCAGACATCAGGAAATTCAGTTACTTCCCTAGCTACGTTGACAAAAATCTAGAACTTTTCAGAGAGAAGAGAGTGCTGATGTACTGTACCGGGGGCATCCGCTGTGAGCGGGGTTCAGCCTACCTCAAAGCCAAGGTGAGCCACCACCCCGGGGCACTGTGGGCATGGCAGTGAAGGAGGCAGCTCCACCAGCAGCTTACGTGGAGCTGTCCGCTGCCCCCAGTACTCCCCACCCCCAGGCAGCCAAAGCATGCCTTCACCCCTCGTATGGCTCCAGCATGGAGTTCGTAAGTACAAAATCTGAGGGTCTTTAATCTCAAGATATGAAAAACACTTAACAGTCATAGAGACTCATCAGATGTAAAAGGGAGAGATTAGTTAACATCTCCCTTTTCCTGATCCTTTTGCTTGATCCTGAGAAGAGCAAATTCAGTAACATTACATGTCCCAACAGGTGTCTTCCTATATTTAGGGGGCAGCAAAAATAGTTGGGCTTCCCAGGATCTAGAGGGTGAAGGCCCTGCCTGCTGTCATCACCCATCCCCCTAGGAGGCAAGATCTGGCCAGTTGGTGCCTTGACCCCTTGGTCAGCAATTCCTCAGTGTCCCGCAGTGGGAGCCAGGAGCCCCTGACTGATAGCAGCGGCCATGAGTCCTCTACGTCAGCACTCCTCGCCATGCGCCGTTCTTCCGTGAGCATCTTAACAGGTCTCTGCTGGCTCTTCAGATTTCCTGTTGTTTTTCCACACCTAGGGAGTGTGCAAGGAGGTGTTCCAGCTCAAGGGTGGCATCCACAAGTACCTGGAAGAGTTTCCTGATGGCTTTTACAAAGGGAAGTTGTTTGTTTTTGATGAACGCTATGCTCTGTCCTACAACAGTGATGTGGTGTCAGGTAGGTCAGCACAGGCTCAGAGCCCAAACTGAAATGAAGCACATTGTCAGTTCACTATTCTAGAAAAATGACACAGGGAAGACAGGCCAGTGCTCATTACTGAGCACTGAATAAGCAGGGAAAATAAGTACATTGTGCCACCATTTTCCCAGCTGTGGAGCTGAGAGAACCCTAGCCCAGGAGTCAGGAGGCCTGGGTTGGGATCCTGGCTTCACCATTGCTAGCTGGACAAGCCCATTAACATGGGGATCATCTCACCTGCCCTGCCTGCCTGTCTACCTGCCAAGAGCTGTACTACTGGGCTAATTCAGGGCTCTTAACCTGGAATTGGTACATAGATTTCAGGGATTCTGTGAATTTGGATGGAAAAATAATTGTATCTTTGTTTTCAATAACACCTCACTAAAATGAAGCATTTCCTTTAGTTATGAATGTAGGCAACAAAGTACCAGTTGTATTAATGTACCTGTGACTTTGTCTTCAGTAGGATTCACAATACTTTCATATCATGTTCTAGTTGCCTCAGATATCTCAAAATAGTATTTATACTCATCACTGCTTCAAAATGAAAATAGTTATTAGGCCCACCACTAAGAGTTGATATATAATGTGTTAATAAATGGCACGTCTTATTATATATTACAGATTTTGAAAAAGACTTTGATATTTTGTATTTCTGTATAGTTGGTTTCCTTTGTAATCTTACATATTTTATGCATTTAAAAATATTTTTCTAGGTCAGGCACAGAGGCTCATGCCTGTAATCCCATCACTTTTGGAGGCCAAGGTAGGAGGATCACTTGAGCCCTGGAGTTTGAGACCAGTCTGGGCAACATAGCTCACTATGTCTCTACAAAAACTTTTTTAAATTAGCTGAGCATGGTGGTGTGTACCAGATACTCAGGAGGCTGAGGCAGGAGGATTGCTTGAGCCCGGGAGGTTGAGGTTGCAGTGAGTTTAAATCATGCCACTGTACTCCAGCCTGGGTGACACAGCAAGACCCTGTCTCAAAAAAGTTTTTCTAGGCCAGGATCTATAGTCTTCACCAGACTACCAAGTAAATCCGTAGCACACATGATTTTAGGAACTCATAGCTCTCTGTGGACCCAGGTGGCATGCACATTTGAGTAAGATTTGCGTTTGATTGTCCTCTCCTACTTTCTTGGTCTTATTTTCATTTTAGTGGTTTTGAGTTGTCTCTTATTGATCACTACTTCGATCTGTTTTGGAGCTAGATGGAGTATAAATTCTAAACAAGTAGAAAGAGTAGATTTGATTTTACAGAGGTTATATTGGCTGGACTCGATGGGTACCTGCGTGTGAGTATGAAGGAGAGAGGGAAGGCTCAGAGGTAGCTTAGATAAGCAAGGTAAGGAAAAGTGAGGAAGAATGATGTTATCAATAGTAACAGGAGGTCATCAGGGAAAAACAGGTGAAGAAGATGGTGTGAGTTTTAGGAATCAGATGGTCAAGTGCCCTAGCAACAGCAGGAGAGACACAGGCCTCGGGGAGAGGGGTGTGGACTGCGCATGTTCACTGTAGGTGGGTTATCGCCTGTATTTAGGTGTGTTGTCCCCCCTGGAAAAGGGAACAATCAAAGAGGAAAAGACCACTTAACAAGGGGGTTGGGAGGTAGTTGGCCAGCTTTGGAATAGCTGGTGAGAGAGAGAAACTTTCATTACCATCTAGTTACCACCTGTTCTCTAGATGGGAAAAAGAAAAAAAAAGTCAGTAAATACTGGAAGCAGACAGTTACCAGAAGTCACCCCCACAAAAAAATAAGCTGGGTGGTGGGGGTGGTGGTTAGTTGTTGTTGCTAGAAGACAGAAGACTTACTATTTGGAAACCTTCCCCGGGTTCCACAGGATCTACGAGATTCTAGTCAGCAAAGGGAGCAATGCCTGTCCACGTGTGTGTGAATGTATGTGTTTATAATGATGGCTTTTCCTTCCTCCCCAGAGTGTTCATACTGTGGAGCCCGCTGGGACCAGTATAAACTCTGCTCTACTCCCCAGTGCCGCCAGCTCGTTTTGACCTGCCCTGCCTGTCAAGGACAAGGATTCACAGCCTGTTGTGTCACATGTCAAGACAAGGGGAGCAGGAAAGTTTCAGGCCCTATGCAAGACAGCTTTAAAGAGGAATGCGAGTGCACAGCCCGACGGCCACGCATACCTAGGGAACTCTTGCAGCATGTGCGACAGCCTGTGAGCCCAGAGCCAGGGCCTGATGCTGATGAGGATGGGCCAGTGCTTATGTGAGCAGCACCTTTGGCATTTTCCCAGGCCCTCGGTAAAAGTAGGTTTGGGGTGACTATACAGAGAAAGCATGGCAAGACTGCAGAAACAGAGAAATCGGGAACTTCAGTTCTGGCCGCTGCCACCGTGGCAGCCGTCTACACTTCACAGCGGGAGGGGAGGAGTCACGTTGTCTACCACTTACCTGAGACATTCTGATTTGGATGATGCTAGAGCACAGAAAATAGGTGAGCTGCATGGGATCCCAAAGCTGCTGAGGGATAGAGCCTGAGCCTGGTGGCCACAGCATATGCCCTTTCTGTTCCATGCAGCTGGGGCTGTTAGTAGTCATTGCCCTTGTCAGCAGACCTTCTACCCTGGTGGCAAACACATGAAAGCTGTGGCCCTGGGAGTGGCCTCCTAAAACAAGCCACTTAGGTCATCTGCCATCTACCCTTAACCTCTGTCTCTCGCCTGAGGGGAATCTGCAAGCTGTGCATTGGGCTTACCTCCTGCTTTTGTAGAAATAACCATCCTTTGGTATACATGGAGGATAGTTCCAGAACGCCTGAGTATACAAAAACCCAATGCATACTCAAGTCCCACAGTGGGCCCTACAGAACCCACGTATGTGATAAATCAGCCCTCCATGTACGCAGGTTTCGCCCCCTGCCAATACTGTATTTTCAACCTGTATGGTTGAAAAAAATCCATATATAAGTGCAGCCATGCAGTTCAAACCCATATTGTTCAAGGGTCAACTGTATAGTTTATTGAACAGCCACACCCATTCCTTTACACATGATCTATGGCAGAGTTGAATAGTTGCAACAGACACTATGTGGCCTGCAAAATCGGAAATTTTTACTGTCTGGCCTTTTACAGAAAAGTTTGCCAGCCCCTGATCTAGACCAGCAGCTCATCTGATAGAGGCAGAGGTGGCCTTAAAGATGTGGCCTTCTTCATTTTCTGTTGGTTTGGTTTCGTTTCTATGAGAGATTTCCTCTGATAGCTCTGCTTTCCCCAGCACTTACTCTCTGAGCTTTTAAATGTTCTCTCTGGGAGCTTCATATAAGCTCGGTGACATTTGAGCCACAGTTTTTAGATCAGCACCTGGAATACATGACACATTCTTACTGAGGTCATCCAGCACTGCCATGGTGGCTGCCCAGTCTTCTGGCCAGTGTGCCAGGCACATGTCCCTGTCACACAGGTTCCAAGAAACACATACGCAGCCATGCATAGACCAACAGATTTAATATTATATTGCAGTTTTCAGCGATGCAGAATGCAGCTGCAATTGTGTTTTAAGGAGAAGCCAAATGGGGATGGTTGTCCCTGCAACATGGTGCCACTCCTGGGCCATGTGCAGCCTCAGTGGACACTCTTCCATAGCGCTGAGGCCCTGGCCCCGCCTCCAGTTACCCTGTACTGCCCACTGCCTTACAGTTCAGTGCGCAGGCCTTCACCTTTTCATCACCAGCCTCTCTGCTCAGTGCTCTGGAGTTCTTGACCTTGTCCTTTATCATGAGATTTGCTGAAATCACTAATGAAAATAACTCCCAAAAGCAACAAACAAAAATATTAGTTTAACTGGCACTGTGGTATATTAAAAGGCACAAGGGCATTGTGGCTTAACACTTTTGCTGGATCCCAAGAGACGCACATGATGTTAAAAAGAGATCTGGCAGCAGTACTAATACTACATTTCAGTGTAATCATCTTGGGGTGGTTTGGCCAGGATTTCCCAATTCCTTGATATCTGGAGTTTCTTCACCATTGTCCGGCATCCTGCGGAGGCTTAATATACAGGCGTAAGGTCAGCAGCAATTTGTCTAATAAGTGATGAGATCAGTAGCTGAAGTCTCTAAGCTGGGCCATTACTAAATACCATAGCCATGTTGATCTGGAAATTTATCCCTCTAGTGTCTTACCTCACATAAGCCATTTGCCCACTGTGCAATATAGAAAGGTGTTTTCAAAAGTATTTGGCCGTAGATTTTCACATCCATCATAAGGTTGGCATTCAATAAGGAAAAAGTTCTAACTCCAGTATTAAATTGTACATAAATCCCAAATGTTCTTAAAGAACACTCAGGGACATGTTTGTTGCCTGGGATTGGTAATGAAAGGTTGGTTTTTGAAACTTGAAATTTCACCATTGGTTTTTTTCCTATCATTTCTGCATATCCAGCAAAAGGAATCTCATGTTGACTCCTGGCAGAGTTCAGTGGCTTCAGTCTGTCTATCTGTTCTGAGGGGAAAATTGTGTTCTGGATCCAGTAATCAATTTGGCAACTTTAATCGAGGTTTTCAAAATTCCAAGGAGGGTTAATAAAGAATGATAATCAGTTTTATTTGCTAATAGCTAAGACAAATTTGTAATAAAGTGTTTTATAATACTTCAAAAGCATGTGGAAGAGTGTGCCGTTTCTGTGTCACACATTTTAAATGCACTTGAAACACCACACAGCAAGGCCATTGAAACTGGGCTCCTGGGGCTAAGTCGCTGCTGCTGGAACATCATCTTCAGTAAGATCTGCTGGTTTGGGGGCTTCTAGTTTTTAAATAATAACCAGATTCAACTTCTGTGACTAAAGAAAAACTTCACATTAACGGTATTTTATAAAATTTTCAACTACAACCACTAGTCAACCTAAAACCTTAGTGCATAAAGAACTGAACCACAAAAGGGTTTCATGCTGCCAGCATTTTGCCTTCTGGTTTCCCCTGCAGAGCACAGGTCATCAATAGAACACATCCAGTTCAAAGGCATGGACTCCACCGCCACACACTAGACACCACTCCGGCACTTGGGAATGATGGGCCCAGTCAGGTCCGCAAGCCTCCTCTTCCTCACTGGAAAGGAATGGAGATAAGATATAAGGCACTTTTCCCTGTAGACCAGGGGCCAGCACTGTTGCTGAGAAAGCACTGTGAAACCTCGCACTAATTGGTTTGTTAACAGAGTCTGAAGTCTGTTGTTTTGAAAGGACAGTATGTGTGAGTTGTACAACAGCCCTCCAGTCTGTCAGTGTTCATTGATGAGGGTCTGTGGTAGTGGAGATTCATTCATAGATATCTGCTAAGTGGCTGACCACACAGTCCCACGTTATAAGTCGGCTATTTTCTTTGCTTACAGAAGCTCCAGTTGAAGATCTTTACTCCGGTGTTCAGATAAGAGTTAAAAGTTTAGTCAGTCTTCTTAATGAGATTAGGGTCTTAACCAGGTGGAAACATTTCCCCCAGCTATGTCTGGGAGCTCCTGGCCTACCTCCTGCCTATATAAACGAGAGTTTCCACCCGAAAGATTACCCTGCAGTATCTGTATCCCCTTATGTTTAACCTTGCCATTTTCCCCGGGGGCAAGACAGTTATGCTCAACACTGTTCAAGTGACAAAGTAGTTAAATGCCATGAAGAGGAAAGCACTAGCCAGGAGGTTGCAGGCTGGAGACGTTAGCTTAAAGGATGATGAGGATGCAGGGAGGGGCAGGAGGGGCTCTGTTTGTTGTAACAAGGGAGAGTGTTTTGAAATTAATTGTAGTGTCTGCAGATAAGACCAAGCAGCAAGCTCTATGAGCCACAAGAGAAAGGTCAAAGAAGTCTGTAGAGCCAGTAGGTGGCAGTCGAGAGGCCTGCTGGTGTTGGCAGAGACAGGAAGCTATGGTGGAGGGAAAAAAAGTCCGTCTATACTTAGATGTCTTCAGGTTCCCAAGCTGAGGCGGTAGACCTGCAGCCACCAGATCGATGAATACGAGCTGCAACAAAAACCAAATCAGCTTGTGCATGACACTGGCCATACAAAGCAGACCCACAAGGGAGGTGGGGCCAGCCCAGTTCCTTAGATGATCAGAATGTCCAACTTCTTGGGGGTAGATGTGAGGGGACAAAAACCAAAACCCAAAGAGCACAAGAGGTTTGCTCAACGTGACCAAAGAGTTTACATGAACCAGACTTTTAAGCATCTCCATAGTAGCTGTGCAGGCATGCCCACCAGGGCCATCCTCATTGCCTCATCGGAGCCCCTCCAACGCTGCTGGAATGTTAGTTACCATTCCCATTTTATGGATGAGGAAAGTATGGCAGAGAGGGTATATTTCTTGCTTAAAGCAATAAAGCTAGTACCAGACAGGACCAAGCCTTTTTTTTTTTTTTTTTTTTTTGAGATGGAGTTTCGCTCTGTCACACAGACTGGAGTGCAGTGGCGCAATCTTGGCCCACTGCAACCTCGCCTCCCAGGTTCAAGCAATTCTCCTGCTTCAGCCTCCTGAGTAGCTAGCATTACAGGTGCCCGCTGCCACACCCGGCTAATTTTTGTGTTTTTAGTAGAGATGGGGGTTCACCATGTTGGCTAGGCTGGTCTCGAATTCCTGACCTCAAGTGATCCCCCACGCCTCAGCCTCTCAAAGTGCTGGGATTACAGGCATGAGCCACCGCACCCAGCTAGAACCAAGACTTTTGACTCATCTTGAGCCTCAGTCCAGTGCCTCCCTCAGTAGACTTGAGCCTTGTGTGGGTAGGGTTTCCATATCCATATCGCATCTGATTCTCACAGGGAGGATTAGCTCCTTCTCCCTGCAGAAGAAAAGAGCCCCAGTCCCTGAGAGCTGGCAGCAGAGCCAGGACTGAAATCCAAGTCCCTGGCCCATGGTTGAGGGAACAGAAAGGACCCTATGGCTTGGTGGGGGGGTTATTTTCCATTACTTGCCCTCATTGTGTCCACTGGGCCGGATCTGTGTGTGTGTGTGCATGGTTCCCCTGGCACTGGCTTGCCTATTTTTTTTTTTTTTTTTTGAGACGGAGTCTTGCTCTGTTGCCAGGCTGGAGTGCAGTGGCCCGATCTTGGCTCACTGCAGTCTCCGCCTCCCGAGTTCAAGCAATTGTCCTGCCTCAGCCTCCCAAGTAGCTGGGACTACAGGCATGCACTGCCATGCCCAGCTAATTTTTTGTATTTTTAGTAGAGACAGTGTTTCACCATGTTGGCCAGGATGGTCTTGATCTCCTGACCTCATGATCTGCCTGCCTCGGCTTCCCAAAGTGCTGGGATTACAGGCGTGAGCCACCCCACCCGGCCCCCTGGCACTGGCTTTTTCAGGGACTGGATGGAGAGAAGGGAAAGGCATCCATTTATTCAGGTATTATTTTTTTCCCTTTTTAATGATGAAGGAAGTTGAGACCAGGAGAGGGAAGTAACTTATTCCAAGTTACGAATAAGTCACAAAACTGGGAGTAAAAGCTGGGTCTCCCAATATCCTCCTTCAATTCTGTCTGGTCTTTACTTTCTTTAAAAAACTCTTCACTGCTTATTGCAAGAGCCAGAGACTCCTTTTATTGTGAATGCCAGAAGGGCTCTCCAGTCGTCCGGACCAACCTCCATCTGCTGCTTGAACTCCTCTGCCACTTCTTGCCAAATTTGAACATTTCCATCATGTTTTTGGAAAGCACTTTCTATTCATTTAAATATTCGGCAGCATGTACTGAGTGCTGTGTGCCAAGCACAAGAATCAGAAGTAAAGACACAGTATAACAGGAACCAAGATATACAATGTTTGAGAACTACTGTTTGAGAAATATGAAGTATTAGAGATGCCCTGGCAGCTCTCTGAGGTATGAGAGGCATAAAGAATGAAGTGGTCAGACCTTCCCAGGTGGCAACTAACAGGTCAGCTGAATTTTAAACAACAAAAAGGTAGAGGATGGGAAGGTGGGGGGCATTGGGAGTAAAGACCCTCTAAGGGTAAGCTTTTCCTTGGTCACTTGGGGGCACTCAGGCTACCTGGAATGGTAGTAACATGGCAAAGGGATGGCTTGTTGGAGATGTCAAGAGACGACCTCCTGATGGGACCATCTCCCAATGTGGAGCACCCAGGCACTGGAGCCACATTGCCAATTCAAATCCCGGTCCTGCCCACGGATTGTGGGTAATGTTAATTACCTACTTCCCTAGACTTCTGTTTCCTTCTTGTAAAGTGTGGATAACAATAGCACCTGTCTCACCTGGTTGTGGGGAGGACTACATGAGCTAGTGAGATGGGAAGTATTCAGAACAGTCTCTAACACACAGTAAGTGCCATGTAAGAGTCAGCTATTATTAAGAGACTTGGGAGTCATTTCAAGGGGCCTGACTGAGAGCAATGGGAGGCAAGTGAGGGTTCTAAGTGGAGGGGTGACAAGGCAAGCTTCGGAAGGAGACTTGGGATGAGTGCCAGGGGTGCCTGCCCTGGAGGAGCTGGGGGCCTGAGGATGTTGGAGGAGATAACTGTGACGAGGGCTCAACATACACGGCAGGACACTGGGATTGGCAAGGAGGTGACTGGCTGGCTGGGGTGGAGGCAGCATCTAGGAACAGGCCCAGATTTCTGGCTTGGGTGGCTGTGAGGAAAGGAGTAGCCTTTTCTTTTTTTCTTCTTCTTTTTTTTTTGATGGAGTTTTCTTGTTGCCCACACTGAAGTGCAATGGTGTGGTCTTGGCTCACTGCAATTTCTGCCTCCCGGGTTCAAGCGATCCTCCTGCCTCAGCCTCCCAAGGAGCTGGGATTACAGGTGCCTGCCACCATGCCCGGCTAATTTTTTGTATTTTTAGTAGAGACAGGGTTTCACCATGTTGGCCAGGCTGGTCTCAAACTCCTGACCTCAGGTGATCCGCCTGCCTCGGCCTCCCAAAGTGCTGGGATTACAGGTGTGAGCCACCGTACCTGGCTGCCTTTTCTGAGATAGGTTTGGGGGACTATGATGAAACTGATTTGGGATCCAGCAGTCCCACTTCTGGATATTTACCCAAAATATTAAAATCAGTTGAAAAGATGTTTCACTCCATGTTCATTGCAGCATCATTCACAATACCCAAAATAAGGAATCAACCTAAGTGTCTATCAACAAGAATGGATAAAGAAACTGGGGGATATATGCACAATGGAGTACGATTCAGCCTTTTCTTTAAAAAAAAAAAAAAAAAAAAGGAAATTTGTTCATTTGCAACCACATGAGTGGAATTGGAGAACATTATACTAAGTGAAATAAGCCAGCCACAAAAAGACAAATTATATGTGGAATCTAAAACAATTGACCTCATAGAAGCAGGGAGTAAAACTGTCATTACAGAAGCTGTGGGTGGGGAATGGGGAGATAATGGCCACAGGATACAAAAATCTCAGTTGGACAAGAGGAATAAGGTGTTTTATAAAGCTCTGTTACACAGCATGGTGAATATAGCTAATAATAGTGTATTATACATTTCAAAATTGCTAAAAAATAAACGTTCTCACCACAAAAAGTATTTGAGGTGATGATATGCTAATTCACTTAATTTAATTTTTCCACATTGTATTCATAAATCATAACAGCACTTTGTATCACATAAATATATACAATTACAAATTGTCAATTGACAATAAAATACATTTTTTTTAGAAATTGCTTTGCAGTGTGCTATGTCTGGGCTGCTTGCTGCAAAGGTCTTCCCTGAGAATACTGTAAAATGGTGACTCCCAGGAAGGGATGTTTTCTGCTTTTAAACATGTTACTCTCCCTCCACACGATACCCCAACCCACACAACTGTCTTAACTCACAGGCTGCAATTCAGATTTTGCTAAGTGGAGAGAGCTGCAGTGGCAGATTTAGAGGACCTGAAGTGCCATGCTTGGCCTGGCTCTTTGCTATAAATAGTGTGGAGATGACAGTCATCTGAGGTATTGCTGTGGGAAAACGCAGATGGGATCCACAGCTCGGCTCCTCCCTGGCACCCTGCACTCACAGAACGCTCTGTTTAGAGCTTGGTGCCCAGGGTGGGGAGGACCGAAGACGCACTGGTCAGGATGCATCCTGGGCATACCGCCTGTCTGCAGAGCCAGTCGCTGTCCTCATAGCCTTGGGGACTCAATGTCCCCCAAGGAGGAGCCCAAGTACTGCAGAGGCCCCAGCCATGGGCAAAGAGCCAGCAGAGGCAGGTGAGAATGAGCAGGAGGCCTGAGAGGCCTGCTCCCTTCCCAATCTGCGCTCCCTGCTGCCAGGCCTGCTAACAGCCTCAGTCCCGAGGAGGAGCTGGCAGGAGGCTTTTACGATACAAATATTCAGTTGGAAAACATGAAGTCTGTCTGCTTCACTGCGGCATTAATGTAGGATGCAAATAATCTGTTGTAAAGTCAGGAGGAAGCTGAGGCACTGCCATAACAAACATTTCTCTTACAAAAATTAGCAGATGGGCGCAAATTTCATTTTAAAGCTAGAGATCCTACATCACCAAGTAGCACTCTGTTCCCTGTAATCACTGAGATGATTCATCTCTAATTCCTTCTGTAGGAAACCCCAAGGGAGCAGCTGCCCACAGTTCCCTGGGGTAACCCAGAGGCCCAATTTTATCACCTGGCATCACCGTCCAGGAAACTGCCACGGTCTCTGCTTCCCACCTGCTTCCATCGCCAGGCCCCTGAGCTTGACATTAAAGGCCTTGGGCTGCAGCCACCCAAACACCTACCCAGCCCCATTCCTTGTGAACATCCCATATACTTTCAACTGTCCTGCCTTTGCTCATGCTGTTCCCTCTGCTTGGAATGCCCTTCCCTTCCTACTTTGTGAACTCATTTTTCCTCCTAGGTCTAACTCCTTTTAACAGTTCCTCCAATCCTTTTAGATCCTTCTGTCTCTCCTTTGTACCCCCAGCACTACTTCCTAATACTCCTAGAACCCCCAGAGGGATGCCTCTAGACCTCCTCCATCAACCTATCTCTTCCTTTCAAGGCTGGCTAAAGCCCCATCCCCAACCAGCATGCTTTGCCTAACTGGCCTCTGTCTCAATAAATCATTTCCTCACTTTGTTTAGATAGAATTTGTAGGCATTCTTGAATTTTTAGGCATGCCTTTGAGTCTTTTTTTTCCCCTAAAAGGTTATAAAGCTTCTTCAGTCAGAGGTAGCCTTTCTGCTACCTCTGATATCACCTAGCACAGTCCTAGGCACACAAAAGTTGCCCAGAAAATGCTTGCTGTCACTAACAGCTGGTGTGACCTGACTGAGCTGCTGCCTAGACCCCCTACCCCCACCCCAGGCTCCAGTTTCTTTCTAAGGGAACTGGAGGGATAAGCTCTAAGTCCTTCTGGTTCTACCATCCTACATTCTTACAATGGCCTCTGAAAGTTCTTGGTGATGGGAGTCAGGCCTGAATTTTGGACTCTCAGATTCACAGGACTGGGAGAGTTTTCAAAGGCCATTTTGTCCAACTCCTAGATGATGCTGGTATCCCCCTGCAGCACCTGTGACCTCTGCTCATCTAGAGCCTCTATCCCCAGAAACAAGACCTCCATACCATCATGCCATTGGAGGACAAAAACTGGGTTAGCCCAGAGATAGGAGCCAAGGGGCACAGAAGAAACTTAACTGAGGGGGAAACAAATATGAGATTATTGCATATAGAATAGAAACGCAAGGCTTCTCCGTGCTGGTACTGCAGCCAGATCACAGCTGCTGGCCTTCTCCAACCATTCAGTTTAGCTATGACATCTGTGAGATGATGTAATAATTATGATTCTTATTTGTGTTTGTTCTTATTTTATTTCAAGTAAGGATACTTCTGATAAACCAAGACTCTGCACACATTTTAAAAAATGGGCTTTTCTAAACCCGAGGCTCTAGAAAATAGTGGCATTTGCAGTGAGCAATGAATGAATAGCTCCTGGGCTGTGACATCCTTACAAGCAGGAACCTATAGAATTTTGGTATATGTTTGTGGAATTTAATAACTCGATCTAAAGTGTGTGTGTGTGTGTAATCCTGTGGTTATCTGTGCATGTGGGGTCTGTGCACACCTGCCTTGAGCATTCACTCCTACACACTCATCTCTGTTCTTCGAGGGCTTCCAGGTAGTGACCTGGCCTCAGATAAATCACCAGGAAGTGACATACTTTGAGTGGAGCATTCATATTAGGCTCTTTGCATTTTATCGAGGGTTGGAAACCATTGTGTAGAGCAGGTTTGAATCTGATGAGAAACTCACTGAAGATGCTGTCCTTTAAAACACAAGTTCATTTCACAATGTAGTCCCAGAAAGAGGCTTTTCTTTTTTTTTTTTCAAACTCATTATGCTTCCTTCCCTTCTGTGATAAGAATAATGTAACTTGGCTTGGCTTCCTGCTGTCTTGGTTCTAGGAAACTCAGGGCTCAATATAATCATCATTCATGTTAATGATATAGACCTACTGCTTTTCTTGTTTTTTTTCCCCCTCTTGTTTTCCTATAGCCTTGTCAGTCATGCTCCCTTTGTTGAATGCTATATCAAATTCTTTTTTGGCAGCCAGCAGGAATATACATAAGCAATAACTACACAGAGCTTGTGAACAACCGGCATCTGCAAGTAAGATCATGATTGCTCAAACTTCATTCAGTTGACTTATATACCTATTTGTTCATATAGGTATATAAGTGTTCATTATCAAAAAATATTGTGATATTTTCATTTTCTTAATTTTTTTATTTTTTAAAATTTCCTGATAATGTCTCCTTCATAATAATTTTTCCTTTTAGAAAAAAACAAACTATGCCTTTAATTGAGATTACATTAATATACCCTACTTTTACTTTACTATGAAGTTGACATTTTCAACTTTTACCTTAAAATCAATGTGAAGTCTCCTAGGCTCAGATTTTGGTAGTCCTATTGGAAGGTAGTTTTGGGATTTGGGGCTAAATCTAGACTGTGTGACCTGGAGAGGACGCTATGAGTTCAGAAAAGGGTATTCAGAAGAGGAAAATACTCCCGGCGAGACTTGTGCCCTCCCAAATTTCAGTTCCTTCTGCAAACACACTTAAGTGTGCTCTGGGCCCAGCCTGTGCTGAGCTGTGCTTTGAGGAGGAGAGGACTCAGCCTTAGCTCCTGAAGTCAAGGAGCTCGTAGTCCAGGGTGGAGATGAGGTACAAACACAGAAAACAAGGAAGACGCGATCAATGTGAAAATCAAGGCTCAAGAAGACTCGGAGAGGCATCTACAGAATTTTCCCTGACATCCCCAGCACAGGTGGAGGGAATAACAGGACTGCGGGCAGGGCAGGAAGCATATTTCTACTCACCAAGGTCATTGTTGTTCATCATTGCGTTGGATGCCCGAAGCCGGGGTCCTTGCTGGGTAAAGTGGTAGCCGAATTTGAGAAGTGTTGCGTTTTTTTCCAACATGCTCACAATCTCCATTTCCACTTTGTTGCCCAGGGGCTGGCTCTTTAGTCAAGAAAAAATAAAAAATAAAAAATAAAATCACCACTCATTCCATGTGTACAGTGCCTAAACCACCTCTACCTGCAGAAACTCTTGAGTAGTGGGAGGGGATTTTAGCCTCCTCTCCAAGAGTAGGGAAATGGAAGTTTAGAGAAGTTGAAAGGTCACACGGCCAGGAGCAAATGAGCTGGGATTCAAATTCAGGTCTGCTGGATGCCAAGAACAGATCTTTTCACTGCTTTACAACAGCCTCTCTCTGAGCAGGTGCCCAAGTAAGAGCTCCACGACAGAAGAGTATTTGAAGGAGGACATTCAATCATCTAGTCCTAAGGAGACTTTTAAAACCCTGCTGTCCGGGCTATACCCCAAACTACCTGAATCAGAATCTCTGGGGAGTGGGACTCTGATGGCTGTGTTTTTAAAAACTTCTCAGGAGATTTCAATATGCACCCAAGTCTGATAACCAGTAATTTAGTCTCTTCAAATTATAAATGAAAAAATTGAGGCCCAGAGAAGGAAAAAAGGTTTTCCCAAGATCACATGGTAAGTTGACAATGCCAAAGTTAGCTTTCTAAAGCCCAATTCTGATCATATTATTAATGGTTCCCTGCCCCCAAATCTATAGTGATCATCTGACAAAGATATAAAGAAAAAAAATCAGAAAAAAAAAAACAGAAAGACCCAACAATGTTGGGAAGAATATGATGAGGATGTTCATCACAGTCTCAGTTATAATAGTGCCAGGAAAAGGGAAACAATTTCTTAAGAGGCCAGGCGTGGTGGCTCATGCCTGTTATCCTAGCACTTTGGGAGGCGGAGGTGGGCAGTCTGCCTGAGCTAAGGAGTTCGAGACCACCCTGGGCAACATGGTGAAACCCTGTCTCTACTAAAAATACAAAAAAAATAGCCAGGTGTGATGGCGGGCACCTGTAGTCCCAGCTACTTGGGAGGCTGAGGCAGGAGAATGGCTTGAACCCGGGAGGCAGAGTTTGCAGCGAGCCGAAATTGTGCCACTGCCCTCCAGCCCAGGCGACAGAGCGAGACTCTGTCTCCAAAAAACAAAAAATAAATAAAAATTGAAAAAAAAAGAATTCATAGAGAGTTGCTCAGATAAATGATAGTTCAACCATACTAAATAGAATGTGGGCAGCTCTAAAATGATGGTGCAAATCCTTGGCCATAGCATGTAAAGATGGCCATGAACCAATATTGAATGGAAAGAAAAAAAAAGAAAAAAAACCCTGGTCACAAAATAGACGATTTGTATGTAAAGTTGTCTATATTTTCCATATATATACATAATGCAGAAAAAAAACTTTTAAGTATATTGATAATGGTGGGATTTGGGGAGAAAGTTTTTGTTTCCTTCTTTATATCTTATTGTATTGTTTGGATTTTCTATTACCATATATAATAAAATAATAAAACATAAATATAATCTTAAACAGGAGGTAAAAGACAGAAAGCTAACATCATACTTAATAGTTAAAGACTGAAAGCTTTCCCTCCAAGATTAGGAACAAGATAAGGATGTTTGCTCTCACCAACATTTTACTGGGGGGGTCTAGACAGGATAATTAAGCAAGAAAAATAAATAAAATGCTTCCAGACTGCAAAGGACAAAGTAAAACTATCTGTATTTGCAGATGATATAATGTTGTATATAGAAAATTCTAAGAATACACACACACCCCTACACAAAATTAGTGAGTTCCGGCCGGGCACAGTGGCTCACGCCTGTAATCCCAGCACTTTGGGAGGCCGAGGCGGGTGGATCACGAGGTCAAGAAATCCAGACTATCCTGGCCAACGTGGTGAAACACTGTCTCTACTAAAAAAAAAAAAAATACAAAAAGTAGCTGGGCGTGGTGGCGCACACCTGTAGTCCCAGATACTCGGGAGGCTGAGGCAGGAGAACCCGGGAGGCAGAGGTTGCAGTGAGCAGAGATCGCGCCACTGCACTCCAGCCTGGCAACAGAATGAGACTCTGTCTCAAAAAAAAAAAAAAAAAAAATTAGTGAGTTTGGCAAAATTACAGAATATAAGATCAATACACAAAAATCAGTTGTACTTCTATACACTAGCAATAAGCAATCTGAAAATGAACCTGAGAGAATAATTAAATTTATAATAATATAAAAAATATTAATTCTTCTTCTTTTTTTTTTTTTTTTTTGAGACAGAGTCTCACTCTTGTTGTTCAGGCTGGAGTGCAGTGGTGCAATCTTGGCTCACCACAACCTCTGCCTCCTGGGTTCAAGCAATTCTCCTGCCTCAGCCTCCTGAGTAGCTGGGATTACAGGCGCATGCCACCATACGTGGCTAATTTTTGTATTTTTAGTAGAGACAGGGTTTTGCCATGTTGGCCAGGCTGCTTTCAAACTCCTGAACTCAGGTGATCCACCTGCCTTGGCCAAAGTTCTGGGATCATAGGCGTGAGCCACTGCGCTTGGCCAAAAAGAATAAAATACTAATTCTAACTTCTTTTGTTAGATTTATTTCTAACAAAAGAAGTAAAGACTTATATATTGAAAACTACAAAACAACACTGAAATACATTAAATAAGACCTAAATAAATATAAAAAACATCCCATGGATCTTAAGTCTTCATGGATCAGAAGACTTAATATTGTTAATATTGCAATATTACCAAATTGATTAAAAGAATCAATGCCATAGATCAATAGATGTTACACTTCATCAAAATTTAAAACTTTTGTGCTTCAACAGACACAAGAAAGTGAAAAGACAACACAAAGAATGGGAAAAATATTTTGTATTGATATTTGTAAAAATATTTGGTAGATATAGGATTTAAATATGAATATATAAAGAACTATTAGAACTCAACAGTAAAAACACAATTTATAAATGAGCAAAGGATTTGAATAGACACTTCTGTAAAGATAAAAATGGCAAATAAATATATGAAAAAGTGCTCATCATTAATAATTCAGAAAATGCAAATCAAACCACAATGAGATTCCACTTCACACATACCAAGATGACTATAATAGAAAAGACAGACAGTAACAAGTGTTGACAAGAATGTGGAGAAAGTGGCACCCTCATACATTGCTGGTGGGAATATAAAATGGTGCAGCTCCTTTGAAAGACAGTTTGTCAGTTCCTGAAAAAGTTAAACATAGAGCTACCATATGACCCAGCAATTCCACTCTTGGGTGGAAAATAAATAAAAACATAAGTCCACACAAAAAACTTGTTCATGAATGCTCATAACAGCATTATTCAGAATAGCCAAAAGAAGAAACAACCCAAATGTCCATCATCTGATGAATGGATACACACAACGTGGTAGATCCTTACAGTGGAGTATTATTCAGTCAGAAAGGGAATAAAGTTCTGATATGTGCTATTATACAACACGAATGACCCTGGAAAACATTATGCTAAATGAAAGAAGCCAGACACAAAGGCCATATATTGTATGATTCCATTGATATGAAATGTCTAGATGAGGCAAATCCATAGCGATGGAAAGGAGGTTAGTGGTTGCCAGGGGCTGGGGGAGGGGATAAAAGCAGAATGAGAGCTAATGGGTACAGAGTTTCTTTTTTGAGTGATAAAAATTTTCTAGAATTAGATAGTGGTGATGGTTGCAGAGCCTTATGAATACATCAAAACCCACTGAATTTTAAAAGGATGAATTGTGTGGTGTGTGAAGTACGTGTCAATTAGAAAAAAACTCCACAGTAAAAAAAAAACAAACAATTAGAAAACGGGGAAAGGATATGAAGAGACATTCACTGAAGAGGATGTACATATTGCAGATAATCACATGACAAGATGTTCAACATCATGACCTATCACAGAAATGCAAATCAAAATCACAATGAGATATCACTACATACCTATCAAAATCTCTAAAATAAAAATTAGCAACAACACCAAACGTTGGTGAGAATGTAGAGAAACTGGCTCACTCATAAACTACTGGTGGGTCTAGAAAATGGCACACTGTGCACAAGAGTTGAGTTTTTTAAAAATGCAATTGGACTCCCAGGTATTTATCCCAGAGAAATTAAAACATATGTTTACATAAAATCTGTACATGAATGTTTATAGCAGCTTTATATGTAATAGACAAACCTGGAAACAACCCAGACGCCCTTCAACAGGTGAGTGGTCAAACAAACCCTGGTACATCCACACCATGGAATACTACTCACCAGTGAAAAAGAGCAAACGATTGGTACATGCAACAACTTGGATGAATCTCCATAGAATTATGCCAAGTGGTGGGGAGGAGCCAAGATGGCCGAATAGGAACAGCTCCGGTCTACAGCTCCCAGCGTGAGCAACGCAGAAGACGGGTGATTTCTGCATTTCCATCTGAGGTACCAGGTTCATCTTACTAGGGAGTGCCAGACAGTGGGCGCGGGTCAGTGGGTGCGTGCACCGTGCGCGAGCCGAAGCAGGGCGAGGCATTGCCTCACCTGGGAAGCGCAAGGGGTCAGGGAGTTCCCTTTCTGAGTCAAAGAAAGGGGTGACGGACGGCACCTGGAAAATCGGGTCACTCCCACCCGAATACTGCGCTTTTCCGACGGGCTTAAAAAATGGCGCACCACGAGATTATATCCCGCACCTGGCTCGGAGGGTCCTACGCCCACAGAGTCTCGCTGATTGCTAGCACAGCAGTCTGAGATCAAACTGCAAGGCGGCAGCGAGGCTGGGGGAGGGGCGCCCGCCATTGCCCAGGCTTGATTAGGTAAACAAAGCAGCCGGGAAGCTCGAACTGGGTGGAGCCCACCACAGCTCAAGGAGGCCTGCCTGCCTCTGTAGGCTCCACCTCTGGGGGCAGGGCACAGACAAACAAAAAGACAGCAGTAACCTCTGCAGACTTAAATGTCCCTGTCTGACAGCTTTGAAGAGAGCAGTGGTTCTCCCAGCACGCAGCTGGAGATCTGAGAACGGGCAGACTGCCTCCTCAAGTGGGTCCCTGACCCCTGACCCCCGGGCAGCCTAACTGGGAGGCACCCCTCAGCAGGGGCACACTGACACGTCACACAGCAGGGTTTTCCAACAGACCTGCAGCTGAGGGTCCTCTCTGTTAGAAGGAAAACTAACAAACAGAAAGGACATCCACACCAAAAACCCATCTGTACATCACCGTCATCAAAGACCAAAAGTAGATAAAACCACAAAGATGGGGAAAAAACAGAACAGAAAAACTGGAAACTCTAAAAAGCAGAGCACCTCTCCTCCTCCAAAGGAACGCAGTTCCTCACCAGCAACGGAACAAAGCTGGATGGAGAATGACTTTCACGAGCTGAGAGAAGAAGGCTTCAGACGATCAAATTACTCTGAGCTACGGGAGGACATTCAGACCAAAGGCAAAGAAGTTGAAAATTTTGAAAAAAATTTAGAAGAATGTATAACTAGAATAACCAATACAGAGAAGTGCTTAAAGGAGCTGATGGAGCTGAAAACCAAGGCTCGAGAACTACGTGAAGAATGCAGAAGCCTCAGGAGCCGATGCGATCAACTGGAAGAAAGGGTATCAGCAATGGAAGATGAAATGAATGAAATGAAGCAAGAAGGGAAGTTTAGAGAAAAAAGAATAAAAAGAAATGAGCAAAGCCTCCAAGAAATATGGGACCATGTGAAAAGACCAAATCTACGTCTGATTGGTGTACCTGAAAGTGATGGGGAGAATGGAACCAAGTTGGAAAACACTCTGCAGGATATTATCCAGGAGAACTTCTCCAATCTAGCAAGGCAGGCCAACATTCAGATTCAGGAAATACAGAGAATGCCACAAAGATACTCCTCGAGAAGAGCAACTCCAAGACACATAATTGTCAGATTCACCAAAGTTGAAATGAAGGAAAAAATGTTAAGGGCAGCCAGAGAGAAAGGTCAGGTTACCCACAAAGGGAAGCCCATCAGACTAACAGCGGATCTCTCGGCAGAAACCCTACAAGCCAGAAGAGAGTGGGGGCCAATATTCAACATTCTTAAAGAAAAGAATTTTCAACCCAGAATTTCATATCCAGCCAAACTAAGCTTCATAAGTGAAGGAGAAATAAAATCCTTTACAGACAAGCAAATGCTGAGAGATTTTGTCACCACCAGGCCTGCCTTACAAGAGCTCCTGAAGGAAGCACTAAACATGGAAAGGAACAACTGGTACCAGCCGCTGCAAAATCATGCCAAAATGTAAAGACCATCAAGACTAGGAAGAAACTGCATCAACTAACGAGCAAAATAACCAGCTAACATCATCATGACAGGATCAAATTCACACATAACAATATTAACTTTAAATGTAAATGGACTAAATGCTCTAATTAAAAGACACAGACTGGCAAATTGGATAAAGAGTCAAGACCTATCAGTGTGCTGTATTCAGGAAACCCATCTCACTTGCAGAGACACACATAGGCTCAAAATAAAAGGATGGAGGAAGATCTACCAAGCAAATGGAAAACAAAAAAAGGCAGGGGTTGTTGCAATCCTAGTCTCTGATAAAACAGACTTTAAACCAACAAAGCTCAAAAGAGACAAAGAAGGCCATTACATAATGGTAAAGGGATCAATTCAACAAGAAGAGCTAACTATCCTAAATATATATGCACCCAATACAGGAGCACCCAGATTCATAAAGCAAGTCCTGAGTGACCTACAGAGAGACTTAGACTCCCACACATTAATAATAGGAGACTTTAACACCCCACTGTCAACATTAGACAGATCAACGAGACAGAAAGTCAACAAGGATACCCAGGAATTGAACTCAGCTCTGCACCAGGCGGACCTAATAGACATCTACAGAACTCTCCACCCCAAATCAACAGAATATACATTTTTTTCAGCACCACACCACACCTATTCCAAAATTGACCACATACTGGGAAGTAAAGCTCTCCTCAGCAAATGTAAAAGAACAGAAATTATAACAAACTATCTCTCAGACCACAGTGCAATCAAACTAGAACTCAGGATTAAGAATCTCACTCAAAACTGCTCAACTGCATGGAAACTGAACAACCTGCTCCTGAATGACTACTGGGTACATAACGAAATGAAGGCAGAAATAAAGTTGTTCTTTGAAACAACGAGAACAAAGACACAAGATACCAGAATCTCTGGGACGCATTCAAAGCAGTGTGTAGAGGGAAATTTATAGCACTAAATGCCCACAAGAGAAAGCAGGAAAGATCCAAAATTGACACCCTAACATCACAATTAAAAGAACTAGAAAAGCAAGAGCAAACACATTCAAAAGCTAGCAGAAGGCAAGAAATAACTAAGATCAGAGCAGAACTGAAGGAAATAGAGACAAAAAAAACCCTTCAAAAAATTAATGAATCCAGGAGCTGGTTTTTTAAAAGGATCAACAAAATTGATAGACCGCTAGCAAGACTAATAAAGAAAAAAAGAGAGAAGAATCAAATAGACGCAATAAAAAATGATAAAGGGGATATCACCACCGATCCCACAGAAATACAAACTACCATCAGAGAATACTACAAACACCTCTACGCAAATAAACTAGAAAATCTAGAAGAAATGGATAAATTCCTGGACACATACACTCTCCCAAGACTAAACCAGGAAGAAGTTGAATCTCTGAATAGACCAATAACAGGAGCTGAAATTGTGGCAATAATCAATAGCTTACCAACCAAAAAGAGTCCAGGACCAGATGGATTCACAGCCGAATTCTACCAGAGGTACAAGGAGGAACTGGTACCATTCCTTCTGAAACTATTCCAATCAATAGAAAAAGACGGAATCCTCCCTAACTCATTTTATGAGGCCAGCATCATTCTGATACCAAAGCCAGGCAGAGACACAACAAAAAAAGAGAATTTTCGACCAATATCCTTGATGAACATTGATGCAAAAATCCTCAATAAAATACTGGCAAAACGAATCCAGCAGCACATCAAAAAGCTTATCCACCATGATCAAGTGGGCTTCATCCCTGGGATGCAAGGCTGGTTCAATATACACAAATCAATAAATGTAATCCAGCATATAAACAGAGCCAAAGACAAAAACCACATGATTATCTCAATAGATGCAGAAAAAGCCTTTGACAAAATTCAACAACCCTTCATGCTAAAAACTCTCAATAAATTAGGTATTGATGGGACATATTTCAAAATAATAAGAGCTACCTATGACAAACCCACAGCCAATATCATACTGAATGGGCAAAAACTGGAAGCATTCCCTTTGAAAACTGGCACAAGACAGGGATGCCCTCTCTCACCACTCGTATTCAACATAGTGTTGGAAGTTCTGGCCAGGGCAATTAGACAGGAGAAGGAAATAAAGGGTATTCAATTAGGAAAAGAAGAAGTCAAATTGTCCCTGTTTGCAGACGACATGATTGTATTTCTAGAAAACCCCATTGTCTCAGCCCAAAATCTCCTTAAGCTGATAAGCAACTTCAGCAAAGTCTCAGGATACAAAATCAATGTACAAAAATCACAAGCATTCTTATACACCAATAACAGACAAACAGAGAGCCAAATCATGAGTGAACTCCCATTCACAATTGCTTCAAAGAGAATAAAATACCTAGGAATCCAACTTACAAGGGATGTGAAGGACCTCTTCAAGGAGAACTACAAACCACTGCTCAAGGAAATAAAAGAGGATACAAACAAATGGAAGAACATTCCATGCTCATGGGTAGGAAGAATCAATATCGTGAAAATGGCCATACTGCCCAAGGTAATTTACAGATTCAATGCCATCCCCAACAAGCTACCAATGACTTTCTTCACAGAATTGGAAAAAACTACTTTAAAGTTCATATGGAACCAAAAAAGAGCCTGCATCGCCAAGTCAATCCTAAGCCAAAAGAACAAAGCTGGAGGCATCACACTACCTGACTTCAAACTATACTATAAGGCTACAGTAACCAAAACAGCATGGTACTGGTACCAAAACAGAGATATAGATCAATGGAACAGAACAGAGCCCTCAGAAATAACGCCACATATCTACAACTATCTGATCTTTGACAAACCTGAGAAAAACAAGCAATGGGGAAAGGATTCCCTATTTAATAAATGGTGCTGGGAAAACTGGCTAGCCATATGTAGAAAGCTGAAACTGGATCCCTTCCTTACACCTTCTACAAAAATCAATTCAAGATGGATTAAAGACTTAAACGTTAGACCTAAAACCATAAAAACCCTAGAAGAAAACCTAGGCTAAATTACCATTCAGGACATAGGCATGGGCAAGGACATCATGTCTAAAACACCAAAAGCAATGGCAACAAAAGACAAAATTGACAAATGGGATCTAATTAAACTAAAGAGCTTCTGCACAGCAAAAGAAACTACCATCAGAGTGAACAGGCAACCTACAAAATGGGAGAAAATTTTCGCAACCTACTCATCTGACAAAGGGCTAATATCCAGAATCTACAATGAACTCAAACAAATTTACAAGAAAAAAAACAAACAACCCCATCAAAAAGTGGGCGAAGGACATGAACAGACACTTCTCAAAAGAAGACATTTATGTAGCCAAAAAACACATGAAAAAATGCTCATCATCACTGGCCATCAGAGAAATGCAAATCAAAACCACAATGAGATACCATCTCACACCAGTTAGACTGGCGATCATTAAAAAGTCAGGAAACAACAGGTGCTGGAGAGGATGTGGAGAAATAGGAACACTTTTACACTGTTGGTGGGACTGTAAACTAGTTCAACCATTGTGGAAGTCAGTGTGGCGATTCCTCAGGGATCTAGAACTGGAAATACCATTTGACCCAGCCATCCCATCACTGGGTATATACCCAAAGGACTATAAATCATGCTGCTATAAAGACACCTGCACACGTATGTTTATTGCGGCATTATTCACAATCGCAAAGACTTGGAACCAACCCGAATGTCCATCTATGACAGACTGGATTAAGAAAATGTGGCACATATACACCATGGAATACTATGCAGCCATAAAAAATGATGAGTTCATGTCCTTTGTAGGGACATGGATGAAATTGGAAATCATCATTCTCAGTAAACTATCGCAAGAACAAAAAACCAAACACCGCATATTCTCACTCATAGGTGGGAATTGAACAATGAGATCACATGGACACAGGAAGGGGAACATCACACTCTGGGGACTGTTGTGGGGTGGGGGGAGGGGGGCGGGATAGCATCGGGAGATATACCTAATGCTAGATGACGAGTTAGTGGGTGCAGCGCACCAGCATGGCACATGTATACATATGTAACTAACCTGCACAATGTGCACATGTACCCTAAAACTTAAAGTATAATAAAAAAAAAGAAAAAAGAAATAAAATAAAATAAAAAAGAATTATGCCAAGTGAAAAAAAAAAAGCCAGTCCAAAATGGTTACATAATATATGATTTTCATTTAGATAACATTATATATATAACATTCTTTAAATGACAAAATATTAAAATGGAAAACAGGTTAGTGGTTGCCTGGGGTTAAGGAGGCAGAAGGAAGAGACAAGTGAACTTGGCTACAAAAGGGCAATATGAGAGATCCCTGTGATGGAAATATTTCGTATCTTGACCTTATAAATGTTACTATCCTTGCTGTGATACAAAACTACAGTTCCCACCTAAACTGCATAGAGTACAAGGGATCTCTCTGTTCCCTCCCTCCCTCCCTTCCTTCCCTCCTTCCTTCCTCTCTTTCTTTCTTTTCTGAGACAGAGTCTCACTCTGTTGCCCAGGCTGGAGTGTAGTGGTGCAATCTCGGCTCACTGCAGCCTCTGCCTCCCAGGTTCAAGTGATTCTCCTGACTCAGCCTCCCAAGTAGCTGGGACTACAAGCATGTGCCACCACACTCAGCTAATTTTTTGTGTTTTTAGTAGAGATGGGATTTCACTATGTTGGCCAGGCTGGTCTCGAACTCGGCCTCAAGTGATCCACCCGTCTTGGCCTCCCAAAGTGCTGGGATTACAGGTGTGAGCCACTGCACTCGGCTCCTCTGTATTATTTCTTACAACTGCATACTAGTCTGCAATTATCCCCAAATTTTAAAAGTTTAATAATAATAATTTAAAAACCAGAAATAGAAACCAAACAGAAATACACAACCACCTCTAATGGCTCCCCACTGCCAAGAACTGCTGCAATTTACTGTGTCCCAGGCCCTGCCTCGTGCCCCACTTGCATGATCTCAGCTCATTCCCTCACTAAGCCAACAGGACACAGCCCCATCTCCTCAGCCTGGTACTCAAGGCTCACAAATGACTCTTTGCTTTCCTTCTCTCTCTCCTTCCTTACTCGGCCTGTTTATCTCTGGCAGTCTGATAATGGTACCTGGTGCAGACAGAGATCTACTCCAAAAAGCTCATGTGCCTCCATGTGGAATGCTTTTAGCCTCCCTGTAAGTATATCCCTATTGCCTTAATATGCACTGCAAATTCCCCCTCCCCAAGAGGCTTTTCCTGATCCTGACCCCAGGAAATGATCTCTCCCCATTCCACACTCAAGTGCACATTGGATGTCCCTCCCTACACCTGGCAGAGTCCATCTGCCTTACTTGGGTCACCTGCCTCTATAGCTGTCTCACCAATTAGAACGGTATTGTCCAATACAGTAGCTACAGTAGCTACTAGCCACATGTTGCTCTATACATCTAAATAATTAAAATGAAAACGATGTATAGTTCATTTCCTCAGTCCTATTAGCCACATTTCTAGTGCTTGATAGCCACTGGTAGCCGGGCACAGTGGCTCACACCTATAATCCCAGCACTCTGGGAAGCTGAGGCAGGAGGATCACTTGAGACCAGGAGTTTGAGACCAACCTGGGCAGGCAACATAGAGAAAACTCGTCACTACAAAAACCAGCAAACAAATAGCCACTGGCTGGAGACTACCATGTTGGTTAATGCAGATATGGAACAGTTCCATCATCACAGGAAGTTCTATTGAACAGTGCTGCTGTAGACCATGAGCTCTCGGGTAGGACATAGTACCCAGTTTCTCTCGGTCGAGGTGTGCAGAATTGAATTGAATGGAGGAAACAGGAACATGCTTGGGAGGGATAGAGGCGACGTCAGCCCAGCATCCAAATGGACAAGCACGAATTGCAGCTGAGACTCTTGATTGAGAACTCCCCCCAGGTATTCTGAGTTCACCAGAGCTCATCTGGGTTCAGACTGGGCTCAGAAAGCTGGCCACGGCAGGCAGAGGGACACTGGTGAAATTCCACCGGCCCCTCTGGCAAGGCTCCTGAGAATGCTGGGAAGAGGTCAGGTCGGTCCTTGGAGGACTCAGCACAGCCCTGGAATCTGGCCGTTTTGGCCTGGAGATGGCACAGCAACCATCTGAGGCCCCAAGAAGGAACTGGCAGCTCCTCCACCCACCCTCCCCAGTTAGCAGGAACCCTGGCCTCTCCTTGAGGTCTCTTGCTGCAAATGCCCTGCTAAAACTCAGGATGGGCTAGTCTCAGAAAGTACTGGTCTCCCCTGAGTGAAGGGGCTACCAGGGACTTCGAGGACTGCCTCTGCAAAGCTGATGCTTCGTGCAGAGTACAAAGCCCCTTAACATGCATTGCCCCCATTCGACCTGTCTACATCCCTGGGAGGTGAGCAGGGCAGGCAGGAGCCAGCATCTGCATCTTAGAGATGAGTATACTGAATCCATGTGTAGATGGAAGTTGGACCATGCTCCCTCGGCTTATTCATGACAGAGCCAAGGCTTGACCTTGACCTGGGGCTGAAAGGACTGCCCCAGGTTCCTCTAGGCCCAGTTCTCACATTAGTGTCCAGTACCCTAGATACACACAGATGTGTCTGGGCATGTGCGACAAGGTACAGGATTCCATTAGATAATCATGATCTTCCAGGAGTGTTCATCTCAGAGCAAACCCATTCTTTTTACATTAAGGAGTAAAATAGAACACGTGCATACACCTTACAGTAAGCCTTAAGATGTCAAAGAAGCTTCGGCCGGGCACGGTGGCTCACGCCTGTAATCCCAGCACTTTGGGAGGCCGAGGCGGGCGGATCACGAGGTCAGGAGATCGAGACCATCCTGGCCAACATGGTAAACCCCATCTCTACTAAAAATACAAAAATTATCTGGGCATGGTGGAGCGCACCTGTAGTCCCAGTTACTTGGGAAGCTGAGGCAGGAGAATTGCTTGAACCAGGGAGGCGGAGTTTGCAGTGAGCTGAGATCATGCCACTGTACTCCAGCCTGGTGACAGAGTGAGACTCTGTCTCCAAAAAAAGAGATGTCAAAGAAGCTTCATACCTGCATCTTTCTCTGACTCCGGGGACCCTGAGACTAAAAGGACTCATTCATTTTATAGAAGAGAGAACCAGTGGCTGGGGAGCCACGACTAAAAACCAGTTCTCTGACTTATTTTTCAAGTAACTTATTTAGTGATTACTGCATGCTAAACAATGTCATAAACATTTTACAAAAGCTAATTCATTTTTTCCTATCAATCTAAGGAATTTTTCCTGTCAATCTAAGGAAAACTACTATCGTTATTTTCATTTTATTTTATTTTATGTTATTTTTTGAGATGGAGTCTTGTTCTGTCGCCCAGACTGGAGTGCATAGCACGATCTTGGCTTGCTGCAACCTCTGCCTTCTGGGTTCAAGCGATGCTCCTGCCTCAGCCTCCTGAGTAGCACCACCACGCCCAGCTAATTTTTGTATTTTTAGTAGAGATGGGGTTTTACCATGTTGGCCAGGCTGGTCTTGAACTCCTGACCTCAAGTGATCCACCCACCTCAGCCTCCCAAAGTGCTGGGTTACAGGCATGAGCCACTATGCCCATCCTCATTATTTTCATTTTATAGGCAAAAAAAATTGAAGCACAGAAGTATTAAGAAATTTTTCCCAAATCCTAGCATGGGTCAGTTGCAGGACCAGGATTTGAATACAGGCAGCGAGCTCTAGAGTCTGTGCTGGTTTCCACCTCACTTAAGTGCCTCTGAGAATGACCAGAAGGCAGAAGTAGGACTGACGAGAGGAACTACACGCAGATGGTGTTTGGCTCAGCATGGAGGAATGCCTCTGACCATTAGAAGTGTCCACACGCTGAGGAACTGCCTGGTAAGGTAGTGAGCTGCCTGTGCCTGAAAGTGTGTAAAGGGGGAGAGACCAAGGGGTTGGTCATGCCCGGACTGGCAACAGTCTCTGGGCAGCAGAGCCAGGGACAGGATGGTTGGGAAAGAACTCTCATACTCCTTCAGATTTGCTTGAGAAGTAAAAAACCACTTGTGAATAAATATAACCACATTATTAACAATTCATATGATATTAACACAGATTGAGTAAAAGGAAAGAGTCTCCCTCACCCGATTTATTCCCAGTCCCACCCCCTTCCGTAGAAGTAACCACCATGGGCCAGGCGCGATGGCTCACGCCTGTAATCCCAGCAATTTGGGAGGCCGAGGTGGGCGGATCACAAGGTCAGGAGATCGAGACCATCCTGGCTAACATGGTGAAACCCGGTCTCTACTAAAAAATACAAAAAAAAAAATTAGCTGGACGTGGTGGCGGGCACCTGTAGTCCCAGCTACTCGGGAGGCTGAGGTAGGAGAATGGCGTGAACCTGGGAGGCGGAGCTTGCAGTGAGCCGAGATCGTGCCACTGCACTCCAGCCTGGGCAACAGAGCAAGACTCCGTCTCAAAAAAAGAAAAAAAAAAAAAAGTAACCATCATGGCCAATGAGTTGTGTTTCTATGCATGAAGTATATGACAGAAATGTACAGGGATTTGTTTTGTTTTGTGGTACTTGTTTCTTGTTTAAATGAATTCATACTATACTTACTGTTCTGCAACTTGCCTTTTTCATTTTATTTTAATATTTATTTATTTATTTTTTTGGAGACTGTGTCTCACTCTGTTGCCCAGGCTAGAGTGCAGCAGCACAAAGCAGTGCAATCATAGCTCACTACAGCTTCTGACTCCTGGGCTCAAGTGATCCTCCTGCTCAGCCTCCCAAGTAGCTAGGACTACAGGCACGTGCCACCATGTCTGGCTAATTTCCTTTACTTTTTTTTACAGAGATGGGGTCTTGCTATGTTGACCAGGCTGGTCTTGAACTCCTGGTCTCTAGTGAGCTCCCTCCTTGGCCTCCCAAAGTGCTGGGATTACAGGCATGAGCTGTCATGCCTAGCCCACCTTTTTCATTTAATATTTTGCAGAGCTCTTTCAGAGTCAGTATGTAGAGAATGACCTTATTCCTTCTATTGGCTTCACGGGACGCCCTGGTGTAGATGGATATTTAGGTTACTTCTGTTTTTTCGTGTTACGAACAACGTGGCAGTGGCAGGGGAGGGAGGGGGTATTCCTCAGGCTTCCTACGGAAATCAAAACTGCTAGGTTGAAAGATAGGCGCTTTCAAATTAAAATTGAGACTGCTCTGACAAAAGGATGTAAAAGTCGGCATGCCCTTCAGCAGTGTGTGACAGCTGTGTGTCCTCACACCTTTACCATGTCAGAGCATTACCCATCAGATGAGAAAGAGATCAGATTTGCTCTTGAACAAAATTACCAACCAACACCTTAGGTGTTACAAGGTGTATCCTGGAGCCGGTGGCTCTGAGGCTCCCTTTCTGGCCAGACGCAACAGGAACATCAAGAATCTCACTTTGGACATTTGACGGAGCCAATTCTGGCCATTCCCAGATGATATGGACAACTGGGAATACTTCAAAACACAACAGAAAGGAGGCCTGGGAATTAGGTTATCCAACTCCAGAGTCCCAGACCCTAACTGACATTAAAATTCCCTCCATCTCCCAGCTGTTTACACACCCCCAGGATGGGAACTCCTCCCCCTTTGAGATACCTGCTCCATCCTGAGGTAGCTTTGCTAGTTATGTGTCCGGAATTGGTGGGTTCTTGGTCTCACTGACTGCAAGAATGAAGCCGCGGACCCTCGAGGTGAGTGTTATAGTTCTTAAAGGCGGTGTGTCCGGAGTTTGTTCCTTCTGATGTTCGGATGTGTTAGGAGTTTCTTCCTTCCGGTGGGTTTGTGGTCTCCTGGATCAGGAGTGAAGCTGCAGGCCTTCGCGGTGAGTGTTACAGCTCTTAAGGCGGAGCCTCTGGAGTTGTTTGTTCCTCCCAGTGGGTTCGTGGTCTCGATGGCTTCAGGAGTGAAGCTGCAGACCTTCGCGGTGAGTGTTACAACTCATAAAGGCAGTGTGGACCCAAAGAGTGAGCAGTGGCAAGATTTATGGCAAACAGAGAAAGAACAAAGTTTCCACAGTGCGGAAGTGGACCCGAGCGGGTTGCCACTGCGTTATCCGGCAGCCTGCTTTTATTCTCTTATCTGGCCCCACCCATATCCTGCTGATTGGTCCATTTTACAGAGAGCCGACTGGTCCATTTTATAGAGAGCTGGTTGGTCTGTTTTGACAGGGTGCTGACTGGTGCGTTTACAATCCCTGAGCTAGACACAAAAGTTCTCCACCTCCCCACTAGATTAGCTAGATACAGAGTGTGGACACAAAAGTTCTCCATGTCCCCACCAGAGTAGCTAGATACAGGTGTCAATTGGTGCATTTGCAAACCCTGAGCTAGACACAGGGTGCTGATTGGTGTGTTTACAAACCTTGAGCTAGATACAGAGTGCTGATTGGTGGATTTGCCATCCCTTAGCCAGACATAAAGATTCTCCAAGTCCCCACCAGACTCAGGAGCCCAGCTGGCTTCACCCAGTGGATCCTGCACCGGGGCCGCAGGTGGAGCTGCCTGCCAGTCCCGCGCCCTGCGCCCGCACTCCTCAGCCCTTGGGTGGTTGATGGGACTGGGCGCCGTGGAGCAGGGGGCGGCGCTTGTCGGGGAGGTTCGGGCCGCTCAGGAGACCACGGCGTGGGGGAAGCTCAGGCATGGCGGGCTGCAGGTCCCGAGCCCTGCCCCGTGGGGAGGCAGCTAAGGCCCGGCGAGAAGTCGAGCACAGCAGCTGCTGGCCCAGGTGCTAAGCCCCTCACTGCCCGGAGCCGGCGGGGTCGGCCGGCCGCTCCGAGTGCGGGGCCCGCCGAGAGCACGCCCACCCGGAACACGCGCTGGCCCGCAAGCGCCGCGCACAGCCCTGGTTCCCGCCGGCGCCTCTCCCTCCACACCTCCCCGCAAGCTGAGGGAGCCGGCTCTGGCCTTGCCCAGCCCAGAAAGGGGCTCCCACAGTGCAGCGGCGGGCTGAAGGGCTCCACAAGCGCGGCCAGAGTGGGCGCCAAGGCTGAGGAGGCGCCGAGAGCGAGGGAGGGCTGTGAGGGCTGCCAGCATGCTGTCACCTCTCAGTTACAGAGGTCTTTCTGGTCAACTCCTGTGACACAAAATAATATAGATAATTCTTACTGTGATGACTTAATATCTGCAAAATTCTTTGATCCTCCCCCCTCCAAAAAGTGGTGTCTGATTTCTCTCCCCTTGAGTGTGGGTTGTGCTTTGTGACTCACTTTTAATAAACAGAATATGGTGGAAATGACTTTGTGTAACTTCCGAGGCTGGGTCATAAAAGGCATCTGAGGCTTTCTTTTTTCTCTGACTTGGCTCACTCACTCTGGGAGAAGTTAGCTGCCATATTGTGAGGACACTCCAACAGCCCTAGGCCGGGTGCACACGGTAAGGTGCTGAGGTCTCCTGCCCACGCTGTGAGGGAGCCATGGTGGAAGCAGTTTCTCCACCTCAGATCATGCACTCTGGGCGAAGTCAGCCAGCCACACTGCTCCTGGATTCCTGGCCCTCAGAAATGGTGAGTTAATACATGTTTATTGTTTTATGCCAGGATTCTGAGGCTGTTTAAGTTGCTATATTTGGGGATAATTTGTTACACAGCTACAAAAAACTGATACAATCGCAACGTTGAGTAAAAAAAGCCAGACACAAATCATCCAATCTGGGAAAACAAGACAGCACAATCCATCTACTTTAACTTCTCTTCAAAATATTAAGCACATCCTCATTGTCAAATATTGGAATAAAAAGTGGGGAATCTGGCCACTACCCCAGACATTATACATATTCTCATTTGTGGGACTCACCCCAGGCCTTGTCTGGCCTGGGGAGCAGGGTCCCTGGTGCCCTGGGGGTCCTGGGGAAGAGCAGCTCTGTGGGGAGTTTGGAGAGTTTGGTGAGAGCAGCACAGAAGCCGTGTGTGGAGATGGCCTGCTTGGCCTGGGCCGGGCCTGCAGGCTCCCTCGGGGCCCACAGGGTTTCTCCCATCCATCCATCAGTGCAGCCAGGATACTGCAGCTCCAACCGAGCTCTGCCACTAACCTGGCCTGTGGCCTCAGGCTAGTCCCATCCCTTCTCTCATCCTCAGTTTCCCCGCTTGTGAAAGGAGGACTGGGCTAGATGTTGTCTCAGTGCCTTCTGGCTCTGGGGTCTGCTCTGCCCTTTCCCAATTCACCATGGTCTTGGCGCAACCACAGGTGGCAACAGAACATTGCTTGGAGATAGAGAGACTATTTGAGTCAACAAACAGCTTCAAAGTCCTGGTTCCCAAACTGTGTCCTGAGCCAGCTCCGTGTCACCCTGGGCAGAACTCCCCAAGTCCCTTTCCCTGGCCGTATAAGGAGAAAGAAGGACAGAGACTTGCTGCCACAGGTTATAAGCACAGGACTGAGGAAAAAGCTCCCGTCTCCAAGGACCTCGGTGACTAACCAGGAATGAGGAATAAAGGAATAAATCAAATGCCACTCGCCACCTCCTCTGTGTCACACTGCCCTGCCTCCCCCCAGCCTGGGGCTGGGGCACCTGAAGGGGAGGCACAGGTGGCCTCCTCCTGAGCCTGAGTCAGCAGAGCCCCCTCCCTGAGACCTGCCTTCAGCCCTTCCCCTGCCGGACCCAACTCCAGTTAGGCAGGAGCGCCTCCCCACAGCCCCCTGGTCCTGGAGGCCATAGCTCCTGGCTGATCTCCTGGGCCCTGATACCCTCTCCTTGCCCCCAGTCCCCTCCCATCCAGCCAGAACCATCTTCCCAGAGCACAGCACAGCCCACTTTCCCTAAACCTACCCATTCAAAGCTCTCCGACTCCTAACCCCCTTTCTGGCTTTCCTCTGGGGGTACCGTGAGCCTGTGTGGATGGGCTCCATGGCTTTCCCCACTCCTCTCTGCACCTGGGATGCCATGGCCTCCATGTCACCTGAGATACTTTTCACCCTGTGGGTGGGAAGTCAGGGTCTACCCAGCATCTACGGGTTTATCTCAAAATCTGCCTCCTCCAAGCAACCCTCCCTGATTGCTATTCCTGACTAAGACTGCTCCCTCTGATGGACCTCACAGCCCACTGTCTGGCTGCTGGAGCACCTGGTATGATGGTCATTTCTGCAACCATCTTTCCTCCCATCCAGTGAGGAAACTTCTGGAGGGTGGACCTGGAGCCTCAGTCCTGCACACAGCCCAGCACAGTCCTGGCAAGCAGCCAGCATTCATCAAAATGTCAAGATGAACCAAAGAAGAGGCTCACTGGATGGCGGGTGGTGCTGACCAGTGCTCAGGCCCCAGGCCAGAGGACAGATGAGAAAAGCCAGGCTGACATCACATGAAACCACAGCTGCTTCAAGAACCCAGACAGGCATAGCATTATACATGGACTCTGGAGTCACACAGACCTGGGTTTGAATCTTGCCCCTCTTGCTTCTTGTGTGGCCTTGGGCAGGTTGCATAGCCTGCCTGGCACTCCGTTTCCTCATCTGTGATACAGGGATGGGTTGTAATGCCACTTACAGAGTCTTTGTGAACATTAAATTAGATAATAGACACAAAGTACCCAGTATGGTTTTGGCACATGATACCTGCTCAGGAAATTAACTCTTAGAATAGCATGTGAATCCCCTAGTTCACCTTCCCAGTGATTCTAAAAGTTAACAACTTCAGAGTTTACATCTGTTATCTCCTTAGGAGCAGAGATTCTTATAATCCTCATTTTACAAGCCAGGAAACGGAGGCTCAGGGAAGTAAATGTTTTTGAACCAGGGTATTCAGCTAAGGTAAGGGCAATGGTTAGCATGGGCTCCATCTTGGACTCTGGGGGGATAGTGTGTGGAGGGAAGGGGCAACTCCCTGGCAGCTGCCACCACAGTGACCTGCTCCCAGTCCTCTTTTGCTGACATTCTGCCCTGGGAGTTAAGTTTCAGCTGACTCTGGGTAGACCCTGACTTCCTGCCAGGCCAGGCTGGGATTCACATGAGTAGCCAATCCCAGGGCCTGGCCCAGGGCCACTGCCAAGCCTGCTGCATGCCTTTGTTCCATCTGCTCTGCCCCTCTTGCCTCCAGTGGAGCACAGTCAGCAATGGCTAAGGGAGGGCGCAGAAGGGGTAGGGGTGGGGAGGGCCTGAGAATGAGCGAGGCAGCAGCAAGACCACCGGCATGCGAGAGATGCAAGGAGTCCAATGCAGGAAATGCACGTGACACGGCTGCTGCCAGCTCATGTGACTGCTTTATATAAATTAGAAAAAAGTGCCCTCTCTGGGTGAACAAAGCCCCATACTGAGGCACACAGCTTGGAGAGTGGATTCTGGGTTGAATTTTGCTCTCTGCTACCTCATTGTGCTGTGAACAATATGCACGACCATCCAGGGCAAACTTACTTACCAGGCACTCCTGAAGGGCCAGGTCCTGAGCTGGGCACTGAGATAAGGAGATGCCTCAGACATAGCACCAGCTTCTGGGAAGCTCAAGGGAAGCCAAGGTGCTAGGGGAGCCCAGAGGAAGAGGTATCTAACTCTCTTTGGGCAGAGGTTTGGAGGAGCTATGGCAGACTAGTGGGAGAAGACAGTAGTAACCTGGCTCTCAAAGAAAAAAAAAAAGCCCTGATGCATGGTGTGCCAATTTGCCAATTTCCATAGTGTAAATACTCCCACCTACCATGAGCAATTCAAGGCACCAATGTGCCATCGCTGGTCTCAGGAAGAGATATCCACAATCAGATCTTGCAAGCTGGTTCAAGCTGTCTCTAGAACACCACTAAGATAAAGTGAAACTTCAACTAAACCCAGAAGGCAGAGAAGAGGGTAGAGGCAGGGGAGGACATTCCATGAGGAGGGAAAGGCATGGAGGCATGAGAGTGGGGAGCAAGTTGTGAATGGTTTTGAAAGGGTTATGGTTGGGAAGGGACAAAGTCTTCTGGAGGTTGGTAATGTTTTCGTTTCTTGACCTGGACAGGGGTTACATGCCTGTTATGATTCCTTAAGCTGTGCATTTAAGTTTTATGCACTTTTCTGTATGTTTGCCATGTTTTACAATAAAAAAGTTAAAAACTTGTGATAGTCTCACTCAGGTATAACCACTGTTTAGAATTTTGTAATATTTCATTCCAATCTTTTTCCCATGCATACATTTATACAACCATTCAGCAAAAATTTTCATGTAGTGGAAAAAAAAAAACTGAGTCCCCATTCATAAAAAAGAAAGCATTTTAACATCAAAAGCAACATGCTGCAGTGGAATAAGTGTGAGTTTTAGAGTCAAAGAGACCTGGATTCAAATCCTGCTTCCTAAATGCTGACCCTATGGCCCTGAAAAAGGGGCTTATCTTTGGCCTGTCTGGACTATTTTCTGAAAACTGAGACTGATGATACCCACATTCTGTAGGGTTGTTGTGAAGATCAAAGATGATGGATGTAAGATGTGTATCTCAGAGCCTGGTCCACAGTACACTCTCAACACATGTAACATGTAAGATGTTGTTATTAGCATCCTCTTAGAAAGTCAGAGCTGAAAGAGTTGCCCCGCAGATAAAATGATTGACCCACAGAAGTTACAGAGAAACAGTAACTCCATAAGAATAAAGACAAACTAGAATTGCCTAGAGAGTAATGTGAATGGTGAGGAAATTCAAAAGCCGCATTGAATGGGGGTGAATGAAGAAAACTGGGAATTTTAACCTGGAGAAGGAGAGCTTAGTGGTCCATGAGATCTGTGCAACAGATGTCCTGAGTGAAGCAGAGAACAGAGCTAAGCCCAACAAACAGGACTTACGGGGAGCTGACTTCTACCGGATATAAGGAAGAATGTTCTCATTGCCTAAGAATGGAAGTGATGATGTTGGTAAGGAGTGTGTCCCCCATCATGAGAGGGACTCAATCAGAACTGGAAGAGCACGTAGTGGAAGCGATGAAGAAGGAAGGTGAGCGTGGTAGAGGGTGTGAACTTTAGGGACCTTGGAGGTCCCTCAAAGCTGGGCTCTGAGCTTCTATCATCAGCATTCTCAGCTCCATCCAGCAGCATGGGAAACACTGCAGGCCAGCGAGCTGCATGTAGTAACAGACCTGAGGAGACCGTTGCCCATCTCACCTGGTTGTCAATTTTCATTTCCACCAGAGAAGTGTTGTATGGGAGGGCTTCTACCAGGCGCAGAATCCCAGCTCCAGAAATGAAGTTGGATTCCACATTCAGTGTCTTCAACACCTTGTTCTCCTTGAGCATCTCAGCAAGGGCCTTGAAGCACAAGAGAAAGCAAGGATACCCATGAGTCACCCCGAGCAAGGCTGGAGGCCCCTCTGGGTAGATCCTAAGACACCTAGGGGAACAGGAGGATGATCTCCACCATGTCCTTCACCAAGCACAACTCTGACTGTGTCTCTCCTCTCCTGCAACCCGCCATGGCTCCTGATCCCCCACAGGAGAATTCTATGCTGCTTAGCCTACATGCAAAGCTTCTATGACCTGGGTCTACTCCCCTGTCCAGAATCAACTCTCACTGCTCCTCTTCAGTGGGGCTACTCGCAGCTCCCCATGCCTGCTCGGTGCTTTCCCACTTTGTCTCTGCCCTTTCTTTCCCTCCCACCTGGAATTCCCTTCCCTTTCTGCTTCCCTGTCCAAGCTCTACCCATCTTTCGAGGGCATTCTCAATGTCTCTTTCTCCAAGAACTCTTGCTGACATTCCCCAGCTAGCTGTAGCCTACCCTCTCAAATCCTCATAGAATGGAGCCATACTTCCCTCATTGTGGACCTTGGATTCCTCTGTTCAGAGTTGTTTTCATACTGGTGTTGTCTCTGCTATTAGACTATATACTCCTGGTGGGCTGAAAATGCATCCTATCTATCCCATGTTGGCCACAGTACCCAGCATATAATAGGCCCTCAGGCATTGTTCACTGAGTGACCAGTGGAGCCTCAACCTCCTGTACATACTCCCCACTTGTCTCTTTATTGCCCTGTGGAAATTCCATGGAGACATGGTTTTCTTCATCTGAGCACTACAGAGCAGAAGAGGGAAGCCTGGGAAACCACCCACTGGGCAAGTGACCAGGGCAAACTGGAGAAGAGGAGCTTAGGTGGCCCCTAGCACGTTTCAGAGGAACTCAGCCAGGGGGTGTAGATGACAATCAGAGCCTCTGAAGGAAATGAGATAATTAGCAGTTGGTGGAAACGATGCGTCATGGAGGGAAAAAGACACCAGCAGCTGATAGGACATACTGATCGGTGGGCCCTGCTGCCTAAAATGATGCTCCGAGCCAGGAATACCTACCCCGTCGCCCCTGCCTTGCTGAGACCTGCTGAGAGGCTAGCTCCCAGGAAGCCCTCTGTTTTGAAATCATCGCCCCCTCCTCAGTGCCCTTCACTTCAGTGTGCCCCCGGGATGGCATGTCAGCTTTCTCTATGATGGCGTCTGTCTCTGACTTGGCTGGCCCTCCTGAGGGAAAGGACCCAGCCAGAGTCCTCTCTGTGTCTTCCACCAGAACCTTCCTGCTCCCAGGAAAGGCCTGGCCTGGCTTAATCAAATCTAATAAAAAAAATCAAAATAACAACCAGTAGGCAACCTGCTAGGCTGATCCAACTGGACATGCTGGTGGCTGAGCAGGTCCTGGAGGCCCTGTCTTGCCAGGTGTTAACTCCTTGTATGCTGGGTCCCAGTGGAGGAACCGGGGCCAGGAGAAAAGCTAGGGCAGGCGGTGGGGGCCCTGACAGAGCTCTGGCAGCCTGATTTACCAACTGGCCCAGAAGCATCTCAGTGTTTGACACGGGCATACTGGTGTGCATAGGCTGATATCAGCTGTTGGTCTGGCAGAGTCCATGCCCAAAAAACATTTGTGGACCTGAGCTGAGGGCCAGAATGGATGTGCTTGGTTTCTGACCCATGACATAGTAGCATACAGGGCATGTGGCTTTGCCAGCTGTGTTCCTATGGGCAAGGAACCATGGAGATCTGAGGTCAGAGGTCATCAATCCAGAGGTTCCCCACTGACAGCAATGAGAGACTGTGAGCTATTTCTATTATTTCAAAAATATGAAAGAACACTGTCTTACCTATTTTAAGAATCAGAAAAAAATCGATTGCTACTAAATGGTTAATTACTAGCCCTGATAAACTAGCTTCTGCCCTTCTTGCAGGAATCTAGCTTTGCAGTAATTGCACTGTACTGTTACCCTTTAGTTGTCTGCTTGGCCAAATGGACCAGAATCTTTATGAAAGTGGAAGCTGAGACTGGTCACAATTGTATTCCCAGAACCTAATTCAGCGTTGGGCACAGAGAGACTCTCAATACATATGTGCTGGATGTTTAAAAAGAAGAGTTGATGGCTACTTCAGAGTAAGTACAATTTAATTTGATCAGAAATATCTTTTGAGACTTATAAAATAAAATTGGTCATTGGGACCTGCTGATGAAACCATCATTTTTATTTTTTTAAATTTTTATTTATTTATTTATTTATTTTGTGATGGAGCCTCGCTCTGTCGCCCAAGCTGGAGTATAGTGGTGCAATCTCGGCTCACTACAACCTCCGCCTCCTGGGCTCAAGTGCTTCTCCTGCTTCAGCCTCCCGAGTAGCTGGGATTACAGGCATGCACCACCAAGCCCAGGTAATTTTTATACTTTTAGTAGAGACGGGGTTTCACCATGTTGGCCAGGCTGGTCTCGAACTTCTGACCTCAAGTGATCCACCCGTCTTGACCTCCCAAAGTGCTGGAATTGCAGGTGTGAGCCACTGCGCCCAACCAAAACCATTGATTTTAGAGATGGAAAAACTGAGGAACAGGGAAGGGCAGGCTCTTGTTCTAATATGATGTGCCGAGTGAAGATTTAGGGGTCACGTGACTGCACTGGACTTGCAGGTCCACCTCTCACTTGCTGTGTGACTGGACAAAACAAGTTGCCTGACCTCTCCGAACCCTAGATTTTTTAAGTGCAAAGTGGGGAGAACTGCACATCTGAGACCAGAAGTGGGTGTGAGGATTGGCCAGGATGACGTGTAGGTGGTGCCAGGTGATGGCTGTTCCCTCTACACCCCTCATGGCTCCTGGTCCAATGCCTTCCACTGTACCACATAGAGCTCTTTGTTAGTGGGATACAACCAGTCCTGAGGCCACATATTTCAACCCTTCTGTTTCAAGGCCCCCAGCCACAATGCAACAGAACAGAAAGGTACATACATACGCCACGGGGTCATTACTCCGTGTCCCCACGATGCTGAACTTCTTCACATATGAGTTTTCTTTCAGGGCTTCTGCATATGCCTTGAGGGTGGGGATGGGGATATTCTGCACAAAGAAAGGCAACAGAGAGAGTGACCAGAAGCCTCCTCTGGGACAGGCTGAGGCAGGTGGATTAGCCTGGCTACTCTCTGATTCCTGGCAAGTCTCTGGCCAAAAAGCTGAATGGGCAAAAGGTTTAGGCTTTGTCCCGGACGACTGAAATCTGGGGAGAACTTTCTGGTAAACAGATTTAGAAAATCCTCCCTGAAAATTTCAGATAAGACCTGTAACCTCTTTCTTTGTGCACTTGGGGGCCAGAGAAGAGGCAAAAATTAAGGCGTGTAGTATTGTGCAAAGAGCTAGGACTAGGGGTGTGAGAGGGGCTGGAACCTGGCCTTGGTCCCAATGATCGGCAATGTTCCTGACTTGCTAGGTGTCTCTGTGGAAGCCTCCTGCCCTCTCTGGCCCTGTTTCTGGAAAACAGGTAAGGGGGTTGCATATGATACTCTTTAAGAGACATCTACCCCAGGGGGTCTCTGCTCCAGCGGCACATCAGAGACTCCTGGGGAACTTTTACAAAATGGTGATGCTTGGGCCGGCCCAGAACAATAGAATCAGAATCTCTAGGGTCAGGCCTGGGCGTTGGTATATATTTTTTAATCTTCTCAGGTGAAAACCACTGATCTGGTCCAACAGGCTCACAGTGCAGAGGAGAAACTGAGGCCCAGAGGAGGCTGGGGCCTCACAGGGAGATTCCATCCCTCATGTGGCCCTGAGGCAGCATTCACTGCCAGTGGGCAGCATTCTGAATTGTGCCAATGTCTCCTACTGGGCACATGAAAGAAAACATGGCTGTGTTTTTACCAATCTCTCAGAGCGTCACTTTAGCTCCCATGGGAGCAGAGCATGGGGAGGCCAGGTGGGGGTGAACACTAGGGTGCAGGTTTCCAATCTGATGGTGCCGTGGGGCTGGCAGCTGCTTAAAATAAAGTGGAGAAGGAAAGAAAGTGGAGCAGGGGCATGGGGGGCTGGCTTCTAGTCTTACCCCCACCCCCCTCCCAGAACTAATCCACTGGTCTCTGGGCTCAGCAGGTGGGTAGAAAGCTGCATTTGTCTCTGAATTCTTCCTGCGGCGGCCTGTTCAGGGTGAGACTGCCTGTCCACCTGTCCCTCCCCTGCCCCGGGATCACATAAGGAAATGTGCACAGAGAAAAGGGCAGACAGCTTGGGATATCGCTTTGGACATTTTGGCCAACAGCTCCCTTCTGTGGCTGTAAAACAAGGCTGAATATGAACGTGATATAGCAGCAGCGATGGCACAGGGGAGGGGCCTGCCCAGGGCCTGTGTTACCCCCGAGCCTAGTGGGCACCGGACTTTTCCAGCCTTGAGATCCCATGCAGCAGCGTGTGTCTGACTCATGATTTTATCTCGGAGAATCTCTCAGTGTTTTGAATAACGTGGCAGGTTTCCAGATCAAAGCTGGGTTGGCCCGTGCTAAACATCTGGGCCTGATATCATCCTCAGAAAGAAACCAGGACTGCCAGATGCACTTGTTTACACTGCCCACCCCTCTTAAAGGCTCCCATTTGCAAAGGTTTTGTCCCTATTCCCAATGCAGAAACACCCAGAATCCAAACAGGACCCTGTTTACTCTGCACAACCAACCCTGGACCGTTTGCATTTGGGTGACATGGTTCCCCCTCCCCCAGCCACACACAGGTAAAGTGAAATAAATGGACCTTACCCGGATATTATTGAGGTTAACTTCTTCAAGTTTTGGGTCGTTGTTCTTTATCCGTTCCAGCGTTTCCTCTACGTCTGTTGAATTTGGTTCTTCGTCGGGCACAGGCTTGTATTGTGTGGGTTTAATCACGCCTAGAGTGACCGATGAAAGGGAGGTGGCTCACAGAAACAAGGGGCTCACTTTCTGCCAACACAAAGATACTGTGGAAGGGAGCATGTGCAGGGTTGGGGCACGTGAGGGCTGCACATCACAGGGGCTGGGTGGGGGTAGGGGGCACCACTCAGAAGAAGCCCCGCAAGGGAGCCAGGAGGCTGGGGTTCTACTTGGACTCTGCCTTTGACGTCCTGCAAGAACTGGGTGAATTACTTAAACTCTCTGAACCTTGGGTCTACATCTGTAAGGCAGGGCTAGTCATTTTCCCGGGGCTCATGACCTCAGTGGACTCTTGGGAGGCTAAGATGAAGCCCGGATGGGAAAGAAATGCATCAATCTTCCAGAGGGAGGAATAATTATTTTTTTTGGCAGCCTCATTTCTGTTTGGGGCCAAAATGCCAGCTTTGGAACAATGCAGTGGAGTAATTAAGGCAATGCAATATTGGCACAGGAAAGGACAAAAGGGCTCATGAAACAGAGGAGGCACCTAGAAACAGATCCATGTGGATGATAAAGGCAGGCCCCAAACTAGTGGGGAAAGGATAAATCTTGCAAGGAATGGTGTTGGGACCACTGGATATTAATTCGAAAAAATGAAAGTTTGGTCTCATCCCACAGCACACACAAACATGAACTCCAGGTAGATTAAGAAGTTGAATATAAGGCCAGGTGTGGTGGCTCATGCCTGTAATCCCAGCACTTTGGGAGGCTGAGGCAGGAGGATTGCTTGAGTCCAGGAGTTCGAGACCAGTCTGGGCAATGGTGTGACCTCATCTCCATACAAAATAAACAAAATTAGCCAGGCATGCTGGCATACACCTGTAGCCTCAGCTACTCAGGAGGCAGAGGTGGGAGGATCGCTTAAGCCCAGGAGGTCCAGGCTGCAGTGTGTCAAGATTGTGCCAATGCACTCCAGCCTGGCTGACAGAGCAAGACCCTGTCTAAAAAAAGAAAAAGTTGAATATAAAAAGTAAATCTCTAAAACTTTTAGAAGAAAATATAGGAGAACATTTCTATAATACTGGGATAGAGAAGGCCTTTGTAAACAAGACACAAATCCCAGGAGACTCAAAGGAAAGGATGAACAGATTTGGCTATATAACATGTTAAAACTTCTGCAATGAGCCAGAGAACATCAGTGAGTGGAGGAAGCAAGAAGCATGAGGTCCCTCCTGGGGGCGGGCGCATACTCACTGTTGAGCCCCTCCTTGTTCATGATGGAGCTGCTGCTCAGGGCCTGGTAGTACTGCTGGTTACTCATGAGCGTGTGCATGCCCAGGATCGCTGCAGGGACAAGGGAAGGGCTCATGATGTGCCTCTGCAGACAGAAGAGCCTCCTAGGGACCCACACTCCAAACCCCGGGAACTCTGGCTCACAGAAATGGCAAGAAACACTTGCATGAAAACTTCAAAATTTTATTTTACTTTTACTCTCACCTCTATTGATGTGACTCTGAAATCCCCAGCCCCAGCCCAGGCTGCTCTGCCCCTGGCCTCTGATTCCCTGATGTCCTGCTGGCACATCCAGCTCAACGTGGCCAAACCAGAATGGCTCTTTCCAGTGACAGCCTCTTTCTTTGGAAGGCTCTCTTTCCATCTTGTCATCCTGCCTGTCCCTCAGGGTAAAACATCAGGGAATGTGGCACCTTCTCCCCATAAGCCCATTTGACCATCCCAGTGTCTCTGAGATCTGTCCCCCTCCCATCCCATCATCTCCATCCTAATGGAGGCCTGATCATTCTTTGGCTGTATTGTCACAGCTGTGTCATCACGGGTGTCTTGGTCTTGGCCTCTTCCTTCCCTCTACCTCCCAGCATGCAGCACAAAGCAGCTGGAAAGCTCTTTCTGGAAATGCCAACCTGATCTTATTGCTCCCGTGCTCAGCCATTCTTTCATCCATTCATTTGTTCAACATGTAATGAGGCCCACCCCAGCACTGTGTGCTAGGCTCTGGTGGGGACAGTGGAGAATAAGAAAGACTGGGTCTCCGCTCATGGAGCTGAAAGTGTGCTGGGGGAGAGAGGAGCCAAGCAAGTTCCCACACAATGAAAAACCAGCACAGGGTATGCTGAGTGTGGTAGAGGAAAAAGTTCAGTCCTAAGACAGCATAAAAGAGGAACTTGGGATGCAAAGGAGGAGTAAGTGTTGGTCAAGTTAAGAGAAGGGCTATAGAACATTACAGGCAGAGGAATGCAGGTGGGAAAGCCTCGAGGTTCAGAGAGTGGCAGGCCAGTGAGGGAGGAAGGTCAGGTTGGCATTTCAGGAAAGACCTTTCCAGCTGCTCTGTGCTGCATGTTGGGAGGTGGAGAGTAGGAAGAGGCCAAGGCCAGGACACCAGTGATGACACAGCTGTGACAATCACTGCTGGGGGAAACAGGATAGAAGCTGGATGTGTGGCGGTAATAATCAGACGCATGGCAACACCACCCCTCTCACTGAGCACATGCTCTGGGCCAGGGAAGACACTTTGTATCCATCATTCCCAATTTGGCTGCACACTGGAATCACCTGGGGATCTGTTGAAATTCCTGATGCCCAGTCCCACCCTAGACCAATTAACCCAAAATATCTGGGGGTGGAGCTCAGGCACCTGCATTTTTAAAGCTCCCTGGATGGTTTCAATGAGCAGCCAAGGTTGAGAACCATTGCCTGACACTCCCCTCCTTGATCTGCCCAATAACCCTCTGGAGTAGATTTTATTCACCTAGGCAAGGTCAGATTCTACAGGGTCTTCTAGGCTGAGTAAGGAGTTCGGGTGTCTTTTCCTAGGAACAGCCTGGGAAGCCATTAGAGGCTTGAGCAGGAAGTGAGATGGTCTGACCTGAGTTCTGATTATTGTGTTGAGAACTCACTACAGAGGGGAGAGATGGATGTGGCTGCAGAGCTGTGAGGCTGTTGCAGCTGTCCAGATGGGAGGACAGTGGCTTGTACAGCCAAATCCAAACCCAGAGCCTGGCTTCACAGGCCTTCCCTGGGCTGGCCCCACCTCACCAGTGTTGTTGCACTCCCCCTCCCAACAGCTTCTCTGCTCCAGCTACACAAACAGCCCCTGCTCATAGCTGCTCCTGCTTTTGCTAGTACTCTCCCTTCTGCTGGTGATTCTCTGCACCCACTTGACTTGGAATTTTAGATAAACAACAAATTTTTTTTTTTGAGATGGAGTCTCGCTCTGTTGCCCAGGCTGGAGTGCAGTGGCGAGATCTCGGCTCACAGTAAACTCCACCTCCCAGATTTAAGGAATTCTCTGCCTCAGCCTCCCGAGTAGCTGGGATTACAGGAGTGTCATCCTGTAATTTTTGTATTTTTTATATATACAATATATAAATACTTTATATATATATATATACAATACAAAAAATATTGTATTTTTTGTCGTCCGGCTAATTTTTGTATTTTTAGTAAAGACAGGGTTTCACCAACTTGGCCAGGTTGGTCTTGAACTCCTGACTTCTTGATCCACCACCTTGACCTCCCAAAGTGCTGGGATTGCAGGCGTGAGCCACCTCGCCCGGCCAACACCAGATTTTTTTTTAGCTAAGTACGCCCCATTCAATATTGGGACATATTTGTTGTTCTCTGAAATTTGAATTCAATTGATCATACTGTATTTTATCTAACAACTCTATGGCCCTATCCTTCAAGACTAGGAGTAACTCTTCCTCCTCCAGGGAGTCTTCCTGGATTCCTCCTCTCCCTTTCTAATTCTCCCACAGCACCTGGTGTATGCCTCAGAATCTATGTGGTGTTAGACATATCTAGATACACGTCTGCTTCTGCTACTAGACTGTAGGCTTCTGGAGGTCAGAGAAGGATATTTTCTCTTCCACCTCTCCCTGAATACGGTATTTAGCAAATATTTGGTGGTGATTTTTTAAAAAATATCCAAGTCACTTGATTAGATATGGTTTCCTGTTAGAGAGACAATATGGGAGCCCTTAATGAAGAGTCAGGAAACCCAAGTTCCAGCCCTGACCATGCCCCTGATGTCAGTGTGACCTTGGGCAGTTCTCCTCCCCTGTCTAGGCTTCAACCTCTCTTTCCAATGAGGGCTTGAGACAAGACCAGTGGCTCTCGGTCAAGGCTGCACACATGGATCACCCAGGGAGCTTTAAGACCATATCAGTGCCTCTCTCCATCCTGGACCAACCAATCAGAATCTCTGGAGATAGATAGATAGATAGATAGATAGACATATATATATATATATATATATATATATATTTTTTTTTTTTTTTTTTTTTTTAAATTTTTGAGGCGGAGTCTCGCTCTGTGGCACAGGCTGGAGTGCAATGGCATGATCTTGGCTCGCTGCAACCTCCACCTCCCGGACTCAAGCGATTCTCCTGCCTCAGCCTCCCAAGTAGCTGGGATTACAGACACGTGCCACCACGTCCAGCTAATTTTTGTATTTTTAGTAGAGACGGGGTTTCACCATGTTGCCCGGGCTGGTCTTGAACTCCTGCCCTCAAGTAACCCGCCTGTCTTGGACTTCCAAAGTGCTGGGATACAGGCTTGAGCCACCACGCCCGGCCGATTTTTTTTTTTTTAAACCTCCTCAGGTGATTCTGTTGCTGAGTGAGAGTCGAAAACCACAAGATGAGATGATCTCAAAGTCCTTTCTGTTTCTCACATTCTAAGATTCTTCTCTGCTAAAATTAGACTTGCTTGTTCATCACTAAGAGAACTGGTGGGGAGAGAGGCATCTGCATTTTTTCAAGCTCTCGTGGGTTTTAATTTAGGCTGCATCTACGTGGGCAACAGAAGCTGAGGCCTGAGTCAGCAGCAGGTGAATCAGATCACCAAGAAGGAGTCCCATTCTGGGGCAGGCTCTCCAGCTCCCACGGAGCAGCTCACGGGGGTTCTGGGATGTGCTGGGGTTTCGTACAGGTTTTGCGGGGATCATATAAAAGATGTAGCCTCATATGGCTGACTGGTGTGGCTTAGAGTGGAGAGAGGTGGAAAATAGAAAGTGCATTTGGCACACAGATGCCAGCTTCCTGTGATGGTCTAGAAAAGGGATGGAGGCGGTGAAGTTACACGAGACTGCTGGGAGACCAAGAGGAAGCAGACCTGCATTTCAGGCTGAGCCTTGGTATGAATTTTCTGGGTAACCCTGTATAGGTCACTTCCTTTTTGGGGGCTGGGGGGACGCTCAGTTTTCTCACCTGTAAAATGGAGTGTTTAAACTGATCTCTTACCTACCCATAGGACTTAGTGACACAACAATTTCTCATGTTTTTATCCTGTTTGACTTTTACAGTAAGTATCCAGGGGCTGGGCACAGTGGCTCATGCCTGTAATCCCAGCACTTTGGGAGGCCGAGGTGGGTGGATCTCTTGAGGCCAGGAGTTCAAGACCAGCCTGGCCAACATGGTGAAACCCCGTCTCTACTAAAAATACAAAAATTAGCAGGGCATGGTGGCACACGCCCGTGATCCCAGCTACTTGGGAGGCTGAGGCAGGAGAATTGCTTGAACCTGGGAGGTGGAGGTTACAGTGAGCCGAGATCACGCCACTGCACTCCAGCCTGGGCAACAGAGTGAGACTCTGTCTAAAAACAAACAAACAAACAAACAAACAAACAGCATCCAGGGTAGCTGTGGTAGACCCCCCACCCCCAACTTTTCCAGCAAGCTCAAGAGGGAAATGGTTCGCCAAAACCATACAGCAAAGACTCTTGTGGCTTTTAAGTTAGTATTCTCATTCACTAGGTCACTAGCAGTTCTAAAGTTCTAAAACTTCCCTTTGACTTTGGCATCCTAAGGACAGATAACATATATTTATTCTAGGAGGTTACATATGTTAACAGCAGGGCTAAGAAGAAATAAAACCATTTTGCAGCTCAGAGGAAATTAGAATTACAAAAAGGAAGGACGAAAAGAAGAAAGGAGGGAAAGAGGAAGGAAGGGAAGGGCCCAGCTAGATTTCCACTGATGGGCAGAATGCCTGGGGCTAGTATTACCTTCTGCCAGCCCTAGGCACAAAATCGCAACTTTCCCTCTCACTTGGTTTTGTGCCACACTCCACGTCAACAGAAGTGAGTGACGGGAGAAAACGGCACATCAACATTGCCTGTTGCTTCATTCTTTGTAGATATTGGCAAGGCTGAATTTAGCACTGGGGAACTTGATTTTTTTTTTTTTTTAAGTCTAGATCTTCCTCAAAACTCAAAAAGGACTATTTTTGAACTCTGAAAAAGAACATTGAGTTCTGTTTCCTCTCCCTGCCTTGGCAGAGTTCACTCATTTGGTAATTCCACTCAGGACGCAGAGAGATAACAGCACACATCCCCGGCTCCTCCTGCTGCCAGCTGCTCGGGCTGGCTCTGGGCAGATGGCTGGAAGATGTTCTCCTGCATCCCAGGGACAGGTGGGAGAAACTGGCTCCAGCCCAGGACTTGGATGCAGTTGAGCTGCTCCTGGATAAGATACACCCTGCCACTGGCAGGGTAGCAGGACAGGTGCCTAAGCACACGGAAGTAGCCAGAAGCCAGGGGGTGGCCTGGCTAAGCCTGTCTCTGATAGCTGCAAGACCCCCAGGTTGCCAACTGCCCTTGGGGGTGAGTGGCCCGAGGCTGTCCCATCTAAACGATGAGTCTCCCTACCCCACTTCCTTCCTGGGTTCTGCCCCACCTGAAGGGTCCCTAAAGCCAGCCAGCATCACCTCCCTGAGTGGGCAGGGGAGGCACTGCGAATTACAAGTGCTTGCTGACTCCCAGCAGCCTCTGACCTACAACCCTGTAGGCTATGCGCCAAGAACTTAGCCCTGCCAGGAACCTGTGCACTCTGCTTGTTGCCCAGCAGGGACGCTTTTAATGTTGAAATCTACATGTTGAAGTGATAAAAGATTTTAAGGTTAAAAAAAAAATACATGTTTCTCGTCTGTCCTCCTCATCACCTCCTGGGCCTCCCAAAGGCAAGGACTGGCTCCTGTTCATCCTAGTATACAGTAGGAGTTCAATAATGTGCACTGGCTTAGTGAGCAGTTAGGTGAATACATGAGTGATGCATCTCACCCGTGTCACACCTGAGTTAGGAGGGCACACCTGAGCTTGCCCTCCAGGCTCCTCCCATCAGCAGATAGCAAGCCTGCCAGGCCACTCCGTTCAGAGGGGCCTGCCCTCCCCAGCCCGGAACCGCTCCTCCTGCCGCTCCCAAGCCCTGGACCTTCTCCGCACTTTCTCACTGCTACTCTTCTGCTCCTAGGCTCTTCTCCATAGCTCTTCCCTGGTCTCCCCCAGCCCTACCCCAAGTGCCTCCCTCACACGCTGTACTGATTCTGTTCAGACGCTCACTCTCATTTGTCATTTCATACTTACCTGGTGTTTGTTTAATGTAGACTCTGTGAGGGTGGAAACTGGGCTGTTTTCTTACCATTCTTTTGCCAGAGCCTAGTCCAGAGACTAAATGGACAGCACTGACTGTGTGTGTGAGTGAGCAAGCCAGAGCTGAGCTGATGGAAATGTTCCACTTGGGAGACAGGCCATACCAACTACAGGTGACCTGGACGCCCCATGTCCTCCTCTCCCTACTCTTCTTCCTCCAGTGAGTTACCCACACTCTTGGTCCCAGTCACCCGCTCTGTGAAAAAGGCTCCAACCACCCACCACTCTCTGGTGGGCCTGCTCCGCCCAGCACCTCCAACACCATGTTCGAAGTCCAGCCTTCATCTCATGCGGAGTTTCTGAAGTCAGCTCTCGGCAGAGCACTCCTCATCAGCCACCCAGCCTGTTTTCTGCTGCCTCAGGCTAGAAAGACTGGTACCATCTCAGCTGCTCGGCCTCTGAGCCGGCACTAGGAACAGCTGGGCTCTTGGTGAAGCTGCATCTCAGATGCAATCTCACAGCTCTGCCCAGGCCTCGGCCTCATCGAAGGCCTGCCTCCTCCATTCCCCCATCCTCCAGAACACCCCCTCCTCTCCACTCAAACTCCTGCTTCCATCTAGCTCTCCTTCATGCCCCTAGTCCCAAGTTTCATCTCCTTGGTGTGGCATCCAGAGCCTTTTCTAATGTGACCCCCTCCCCGGGTCCCCAGCCAACTTCTCCAGCCTTGCCCATCACCCTCTGTTGCCTACCCTCTGTGCTCTGTGTCCTCCCCTACCCTGGAGGGCTTCACTCAGGTGACACTGGGTGATGATGCTGCACATAGGCCCTAGAATGAAGTTGCCTGGGTTTAAACCCTTTGGGCAAGGCATTTAACCACACCTTGCCTACTTTCTCCATCCATAAAATGGGGACAGTAATAAAATTTCCTTCATAGGATTGTTTTGGTCAATAAATGCAATAAGGTCTTGAGAGCAACTCACATAGAACCTGGGACATGGTAGGTGGTCAAAAGTGTTCAGTCCCTCCTTCCCCAGAGATGCTGCCATCTTTCAAATGTCCAACATCAAATGACAGGCATCCAAGGTTAGCCAGTTAACACTGGTGTAGACTTACAGCTCCCCTCTCCTTCCCAGACTTCGGCAGCATATTGCGTCGTTACAGATAACAATAAATAGCCACGCCAACAAAAATAAAGAGAAGTAGTTTCAAGAAAGCCACACAGAAACGTAGCACAGAGTTGCAGCTCTGACCTGGCACAGGAACCGCAGGCGCCGGCAGTCATTTGATAATCCCTTTGAGCTGCCTAATGAGGGGAGTGACGTCATGAAGCGTGATTGGAGGAGAAAGTCCAGGGTAAAAACAGCCCCAGTCCATGTGGAGATGCCGCACCAAGGCATCAGCCACCTCCCTGCCTCACAGATTAACCCGACCTCAAGGGACTTCGGGGAGATGGTTTGGTTGAAGTGTGATGTATAATATACGGGCTCAATGGAGGATCTACTGTGACTCGTGTGGCTTCTGACAGAATAAATCCCTGCCCTAGCAAACTAGGTTCCGGAGTTAAGTGCTACCTTCCCAGCTGGGTGAAGCACTCACTGCTTCTGTACTTCATAGTGAAAGGGAAAACCATTCTCTCTCAGTCCCAATACCCTTCAAGCCATTGCCCTTTGTCCTTCAAATTCCCTGTCTCCTGAGGAAAGGGCTGTCTGGACTTGGGATCTACACACTGGCTTTCCGCATTCACTCCTCAGGTCCCCCAGACCTGGCTTCACCTGTCACCACCCAGAGTGCCCCTTGTGTATAGTTGAGTCTTCTCACTGCCCCTGCACATCCCCCAGTGGCTCCCCCACCCCTGAACGAATGTCACCAAAGTCATGCACAACACTACTCACAAGTCGCAGAAGGCAGCTGTGGCCTGTCAAGTCCCTGGTGCTGGTGCTGGTGCCCTCCCACCTCCGCCGTGGCCTCTGGGCTTACATGCCTCTGAGTCTCCTGGCCAGCCCTGAACCCTCACTCTGTCTCTGTGGCTCCTGCATCCAATTCTGCCCATCTTGATTTGGCCTTTGGTTCTCAGCCTATTTGTGGCTAACTGATCCACATTCCAGCTTTGCCCCATTCCCACGATTTGCACCCCCGCCCCCAACCCCCACCACCAAAGGCTTCTACAAGGGCCATGTATTCTTTCTGGAGCTTGACAACACTAATGATGCCCAAATCTCTATCTTGAATGGGAACCTCCTGTAGCACTCCAGAACTTCCTATACAACTGACCCTACTTGGGTGGCCCACAGGTGCCTCAAGTGCCACAGGTTGTAAACTGAACTCTGTATCTCCCCTCTTCCTGCTCCTCCCTTGCCATCCATCACTAATGGCACCGACACCACTTAGTGTCTGAGGTTACCCTGCTTCACTCTTCTACCTCACTCTCACAGCCAATCAGTCACAGGCATCCCCTTCTACCCTCTCCCCTGCCCACCTGCCTCGAGCCTTTCCCCACCCCGCCCACCCTCCTGCCATCACCTGGGCTATGATTAGCAGTCTCCAAGCCTGCAGAATAAAAACCCACCCACTCCCTGGATCAGAGAGCACAGTAGGTGGGGAGGGAGTGCACAAGGTGCCGGATGTGGCCAGAGCCTGACCTTCCTGTGGGGATGGAACACCACAGCAGTGGGACAGAAACTAGACAGGAGCAGCAGAGAAGTCGGGGGAGGCAGGGAGTGGGGCAAAGGGCTCTGAATATCAGGCCACCTTCTGGAGTTTTGGGGGTAGTTTTTGAAGATCATATGGAAACACATATGAAGATGGAGGGCATGGGGCAAATATGCGATATACAAGGGTGACCCCTCAAAGCCGGCTCACTGAGCCAACTGCAGGCAAAGTGCAAAGTTGTAAAAATCAAGCCCTTAGTGAGCCTCCCAAGCCAAAGAAACCAGAGGCCCTCTGTCTGTTTTCCCTCTATCCTCTCTTCCCAAATGGTTTGGGCAGGATTCAACGCTAATGGCTGGGAAAGGGCGTCTGTGGGCTCTCCCTGAGATACACCCACGTCCCTCTGGCATGGGGTCTCATGGCAACAGCAGATGGCTCCCTGGTGTGGTGGGTTTGCGTGGTTTTCTCTCTATTTTCCTTGTTTTGGTTTTTGAGAATGGATTGTTGTTTGAACACTCTCGGTCTCCTCTAGTTCTTGTTAGAAATAGAGAAGGTGTTCATGCTGAAATGAGCCCTACAAGGCTCCCTGCAGATGTGGGTCAAATCCTTCTGGAGGATGTGGAAAGCTCCTGGAACGCCTCTTACCTGCAATGTCACAGAGTTCTGCATCTGAAGCATTTGCCAAGGCTTCCTCCAGCTCCGGTTCCAGCGTCACACTTTCCAGCACAGGATCCAGTGGCTTCTGCTTAGGAACCCAGACCTTTCCTGCAAACACACAGGGGACCTGTTACGGGAGTGGCTGCAATGGAACAGCCTCTGGTGGACCCACAGCCCTGCGTGGACCATTGTAGAGCCCTGTGGGTCCCTCCATGCTGAGAGTCCCTTCAGGTTTCTCCCTCTGGGGACCAACTTCTCCAAAGAATAGGAATCAGGGATCTCCAACACAGCACCCCTCACACTTGAAAAGAATGATTTTATAACTTGGTCCAAGCTGACTACCCTCTATCAAAAGCATTGGTCATGACCAAACAATCTGTAAGTAGGAAAAAAATATGAAAGAAAAATATAATAGAATGCCAGGGTATGGGATACCTTAACCAAAGGTTCTGAGACCTTGGGAAATGAGAGAAAAATGTATAAACATTTCTAAACAAACAAATAAAATATGAAAAGGGAGAAAAATAATGCATCCTTGCCTCATTATCATATTTTTAAAGTGTCAGATTCATAACGGAATAAGGGGAGTAAAGAGGTACGTATGAGGACAGTCACTGTCATGCCCACCCATAGGAACTGGTGAAGAAATTATGGTGCATCCATACAATGGACTTCCAGCAGTTAGTATAAAGGATGATGGCAATTGCTACTTACTAAGAAGGAGAATGCCTAGGACAAATGTTGTGTGAAAAAGGCAAGCTTACAAAGTAGCATTAACAATTTAATTCCATTTATGAGAAATTGCATATGTATATTTATTTACTCAACAACATTTATTGAGTGCTTCCTATGTGCCAGGCACCTTTCTGGGGGCTAGGGGACAGCAGTGAGTAAAATCCTCAAAAGCTTCTGATGTAGTGAAAGGAGAGCAATAATAAACGTATAAAGATATGGAATGGTATTAAGCATTATGGAGGAAGACAAAGCAGGACAAGGGCCTAGAAGATGACAGGATGGGTTGTGGGTGGGGTGTGCACCGCTGTTTTGGGAAGGCTAGTCAGAGGACGCCTCACTGAGATGACAGCTTGTGACCTGGGACCTGATAGAAGTGAGGAAATGATCCCCTAAGATCAGGAACAAGACAAGGGTGCCCACTTTTACTGCTGCTATTCAACATTGCACTGGAAGTTTCAGTCAGAATAAATAGACAGGAAAAAGAAGTCAGTGGAATCCAAACTGGAAAGGAAGAAGTAAAATTGTTTCTATTTGTAGAAGACATAATCTTATGTATAGAAAACCCTGAATTTCCACACAAAAAAACCTATTAGAACTAACAAAGTCAGCAATATTGCAGGGTACAAGATCAACATACAAAAATTAGCAGTGTTTCTGTACATCAGCAATGAAAAATTTGAAAAGGAAATTAAGAAAACAATTTCATTTATAATACATCCAAAGAATAAAACTTGGGAATAAATTCAACCAAAGGGGTGAAAGACTTGTACAATGAAAATTATAAAACATTACTGAAGGAAATTAAAGACCTAAATAAATGAAAAAATATTTTAAGTTCTTGGATTGGAACACTTAACATTATTAAGATGGCAATGCTACCAAAAGCAATCTACAGATCCAATATAATCCTTATCAAAGTTCCAACAGTCCTTTTCCCAGAAACAGAAAAGGTGATCCTTAAATTCATATGGAATTACGGGCGACAAATGCCAAAACAATCTTGAAAAAGAGCAAAGTTAGAGCACTCATACTTATTGATTTCAAAACTTACTAAAAAGCTAAACAGTGTAGTGCTGGCGTAAGGATAGATAGATAGACAATGAAATAGAATTCAGAGTCCAGAAAGAAACTCAAACATCTATGGCAAATTGATTTTCAACTAGGGTGCAAGGTGCATTCAATGGGGAAAGAGTAATCGCTTCAACAAATGGTATTGAGACAACTGAATATCCACATGCAAGAGAATGAAGTTGGACCCCTATTTCACACCATATGTAAAGTTGAACTCAAAATGGAATGACTTAAATATAAGTTAAGACTATAAAATTCAGGCTGGGCGCAGTGGCTCATGCCTGTAATCCCAGCACTTTGGAAGGGTGAGATGGGCAGATCCCCTGAGGTCAGGAGTTCGAGACCAGCCTAGCCAACATGGCAAAACCCCATCTCTACTAAAAATACAAAAATTAGCCGGGCGTGATGGTGCGTGCCTGTAGTCCCAGCTACTCAGGAGGCTGAGGCAGGAGCATCACTTGAACCCGGGAGGTGGAGGTTGCAGTGGGCCAAGATTGTGTCACTGTACTCCAGCCTGGGAGACAGAGCAAGACTCCATCTAAAAAAAAAAAAAAAAAAAAAAAAAAAATATATATATATATATATATATAAAATTCTTAGAAGAAAACATAAGGTTATGTCTCTATGACCTTAGAATTGGCAGTGGAGTCCTAGATATGATAACAAAAACACGAGCAACAAAAGAAAAAATAGATCAACTGGACTTCATCAGAATTTAAAAGTTTTGAGCATCTAAGGATACTATCAAGAAATTGAAATGACAATACACAGAAGGGGAAAAATATTCAAAAACCATATATGTGATAAGGTCTAGTATCTAGAATACAGAAAGAACTTTTACAACTCAACAACAAAAGGAAAAACAACCCAATTTTAAAATGGGTAAAAGACTTGAATAAACATTTCTCCAAAGAGGATATACATATGGCCAACAAGCACATGAAAAGATGCTCAACATCATGGCTTGTTAGGGAGATGCAAATCAAAACTACAATGAGATACCACTTCACACCCATGAGGATGGCTACAATTTTAAAAAATGGAAAATTCATGTTGGCAACAATGTGGAAAATTGGAGCCCTCGTACATTGCTGATTGGAGTGTAAAGTGGTATGGTTGCTATGGAAAAGAAGTTTAGCAGTTACTCAAAAAATTAAACATAGAATTACTATATCATTCATCAATTCCACCCATAGGTATATACTCCCAAAGAATTAAAAACAGGTATTCGAACAAATACTTCTACAAGAATGTTCAAAGCAGCATTAATCACAATAGCCAGAAGGTGGAAATAACTGACTGTTTACCAGTGGATGAATGGATACACAAATTGTGGAATATCATTCAGGTATAAAAAGGAATAAAGCACTGATTCGTGCTACAACATGGATGAGTCTGGAAAACATTGTGCTCAGTGAAAGAAGCCAGACACACAAAGTCACATATTGTATGATTTCATTTGTAGAAAGTATACAAAATAAGTAAATCCATAGATACAGATTGGTGGTACTAGGGGCTGGGGCAGAGGGAGTGGGAGAGTAACTAACTGTAATAGGTACAGGGTTTTATTTTGGAGCAATAAAAGTGTTTTGGGCCTTGATAGAGGTGGTGGTTGCACAATGTTGTGGATTGTTCATTTTTAAATGGTTAATTTTATGTTATATAAGTTTTACCTCAATTTACAAAAACCTACACAGCTCACAGTAGCTGTTGATGGAGGATAAGCTGAAGGGAGGGCGGGTGGAGGTACGGAGATGATTAGGAGGTTGGTGTGGGTGCAATACCAGGGTCATAGTGGTGAAGGTTGAGAGGGAGTGGGAAGCGCATAGAGAAATGTCCAGAAAGATATTCCCTAAAATGGGATCAGTGCTTATTTTCAGTGAGGAAATGATTGTGAATCAATTAGCTTTATTGTGTAAACTGTTTACAGCAAATATCAATTACCTCTATCAGCAAAACACACAACAGAATCATTTGGGGAAAAAAATGTATCATAACCTCTGTTAATATCAGATTCCAGGGATCCAGAAAAGAGGAAAACACACAAGGAAAATAAAACCCCTAAAAAGGAACTCAAGTATTAAAATGACTAATGCAATGGCTGAGATGAATATTCAATAAATATTTAAGACCTGTGGTTTATTATACCCCATAACAGGTTCCTCCAGTGAGGATGGTGACTCTGAGCCACTGTAAGAGGTACCTAGACTTCTTCCCTTCATCTTACTAGTGGCATGTGAATGTGATGGCTGGAGCTTCAGCAGCCAGATAGACCATGAGGACAAAGACAGGTTGTAGGGGTGGCAGAATGAAAAGCTGGAAAGGGTTGTGATCCACGATGCTAAGGAATATGCCTTACTAGCCCTGGAATGCCTAAGAAAATTAAATTCCTCGATTAAGTCTCTGTTACTTTTATTTATCCCCCCAGCACATGCAGCCAAATCTAATTCTAATGAAAACATCCTGCCTGGAGCTATATTCTGGTCTCTCCCACTTGAATGAGAAGGCCTCCCTTTCCAAATTCCTCAGGGCTTTGTGCCAGTTTATGGCTCTTCCCACATACTATCAGGTCTTGCGGTGTGGGGTGCTGTTTCCCAGCAGCCCAAGCTGACTGTAGGCCTGGTGTGGGGGAAGTGCTTGGTAGAGGCTGGAGTGAATGGCCCTGAGCCTGCCAGTCAGAGCTGGAGGGTCTCCTGCCCCACTGGCTCTGAGACCTCCACTTATTCAAGTCATAAGAACTCCAACAACTAGCATTCAAATACTCCAAGATGATGATGATGATGACGATGATGATGAACCTTTTGGGCTTGTTGCTGTATGGAAGTAGAATGAATGCTAACTATTCTCCTTGGTCAGCCTGGTTTTTCATGAAGACAGTCCAGCTCTGGGAGGCTAGAGAGCTTTCCCCAGCTCTGCCCAGTCCAGAGCTGGAGGAGTGGCAGGACTGATTTCTGTACCGTTCAGACTCCCTTCCCCATCCCTCACACCATCCTCCAGGTCCTCCCCTGGGAGGGGTGTGGGTACATGAGGAAGTGGACACCAGCAATGACTCACCTCGCTAGGTGTCCACCCAGGTCTGCTGCCCATCCCCACTCCCTGCCCTCGTCCTCACCTTCTCTCCTGCCACCCCCTCCAGGATCCCTCTGACCACGCGATCCTTTCAAAATTCAGAAGTTCTATAATCTAGATGCCCCTTAGGCCTCCCTGGACTTCCAGTTTTCAGTGAAACCTGGACTGAGCTCCAAGTCCAGGATTTGGAATGGTTTGAAGTCCTCTGCACAATGTCTACCCCCATGTGCGTACTCATTTTATGAAGCAGCTACTTAGTGCTGGGCATTGTGCAAATACAACTGCGATACAGGGGAGCCAGCCACAGATGTGGACCTGGGGCTCACAATGCTTGCATTCTTAGGGGTGGAGGGAATGGAAGAGACTGAAAAGAAACAATTAATTACACAATTAATTAATTAGAATTAGTGCTTTCATTCAACAAATATTTATTAGGTGCCTTCTATGTGCTACGGATTTATTAGGTGCCAGGAACAAAATGATGAACAAGACAGATATGGTCTTTACATTCCTGTAGCTGGTATTCTAATGAAGTAGTGCACAAATCCATTAAACATTTATTTAATTTTAGCTCATCCATTCATCCAACAACTCTCTACTCACCCCTACTATATGGCAGGCCTCGCACTGGCTGCATGCTGGGAGTACCACTTGAGCAAAAACAGCCCAAGTGGTTGCCCTCAGGGAGTTTACAGGCTAGTGAGAGAGACAGATGAAAAATAAAGAGATGCTGATAAGATGTGAGTTGCTCTGAAGGACACACACAGGCTCCTGTGTTGGAAAATAACCAAGCCAGGAAGTTGGAGAGGGACTGCCTGTCCTGAACAGAGTAGACAGGGATGGCTTCCCTGAAAGAGAAGACTGTACAGTTGAGACCCAAAGGACAATAACAACTAATACTTAAGTAGCATTCATTTCCTGCCAGATGCTGTTCTAAGCGCTTGACAGAGATCTGAACTCACTTAACCTTCATTACAACCTCATGAGGCTGGTATTTTCATCATCCCTGTTTTACAGAGAAGGAAATGGAGGCACAGTAGGTTAAAACATTTACATATGTTCACACAGCTAGTAAGTGGTAGTGCCAGGATTGCAACTCAAATAGATGTAGCTCCAGGCTGTTTCTGACTATTATATCTTACCGGGCAGGAGGAGCCAGCCATGAAGAAGACAGCATGGAGCTGGGCAGCAGGACCAGCACTCCAGGCATAGGGAGTATGTGCAAAGGTCCTGAGGTGGAAAGTTTGAGAACAGCAGAAGGAGGCCTGTGGAACAATGGGATGAGGGGGATATTGGAGGGGGGCAGAGGGTTTGGAGAGCAACGGGAAGTCTTAGAATGGATGGTCAGGGAGGCCCTCTCTGTTTCCTGGGGCCTTCAAGATGGCTTGCCTCAGGCTGGAGCAGAGAGTATAATGGGACAGACGAAGGAAGGGAAGCTGCAGCTGCCAGAGAGAGGAACTTTGGAGAAAGAGCAGAGAGAATCTGGGTGGAGATGGTTAGTGCATCTCTAGTCCCTGGTTTGCATAGGATGGTCCCTGCTTAGGCTTCATGTCCTGATGTCTTTTTTTTTTTTTTTTTTTTTTTGGAGACGGAGTCTTACTCTGTTGCCCAGGCTGGAGTGCAGTGGTGCGATCTTGGCTCACTGCAACCTCCACCTCCTGGGTTCACGCGATTTTCCTGCCTCAGCCTCCTGAGTAGCTGGGACTACAGGCTCGTGCCACCATGCTCGGCTAATTTTTGTATTTTTAGTAGAAACAAGGTTTTGCCATGTTGGCCAGGCTGGTCTTGAACTCCTGACCTCAGGTGGTCTGCCTGCCTCGGTCTCCCAAAGTCCTGATGTCGTTATTAACAGTTTCTTCTTTTACTCTCAAAACTGTTTAGGTTTGCGTAAAAAAATAATCAGGACATCCTAGTGAAAGAGGGTTTAGGGAAAAGTTTTGCTGATTTGAGTGGATAGGAGTCTTTCCTCAGTCTACCCCCAAAACTTCATGAAATCTACATCATCCATAGATGCTTTTGAAGTTGGGTTTGGGTGTTTTGGCCAGGCAGGGATGAGGACAAGGAGGCCCAGTCACATTTGGCCCAACACAGGGCCTGGCAGGGCCTGGCATACAGTCGGCACTCAATGGTGCATGGGGAGTGGCATATTATAACAGTAACATTGTTCAGTACCTCGTTTTTCCCCTGTGTAGGGGACCAGATCTTCTCGGTCCTTAAACTCCTTTGCTTGCTTTTCCAAGTGATCCAAGAGCTCCTCTCTTTTAAAGGGGCCCGTGGGCGCCTTGGTGGTCTGATCCTTCTGCCTCAGGCCTGCAGGCAGCAGTGCATTCTACATTGGAGGTTGTGGGGGGGCAGGAGAGAGAGAAAGAGAGAGAGAGAAAGAGAGAGTGGTCAGCTGCTGAAGACTTGCACTTCTCCAGAAACTCATCATCGAACAGAAGGGACCTCAGAGCTCATGGAATCCATGGTGTTCCTCGTTTTACAAGTAAGGAATCTGAAACCCCAGGACAGGGAGGGACTTGTCCAAGGTCAAAGGCAGACAAGGGGCAGAGAGAGGCTAGGACTCAGGTCTCAATCCTCCAGCCCATCCCTGCCTCTAACATTTTTGAAGGAGAGGAGGTGAGGGGTCAAGGCAGCCGACTCCAGTCTGAGCACAGAGGGCACTGAAAGAGCATCTGCTGAGTGATGAATATGATTGAGTTGTTGTTTGGATGCATAAAGATATTCACAGGAGTTGAGTTGAGTATCAGGTGGCTCCGGAGAGAGAAGAAGCCAAAAGAGGGTTAAGCTGGGGCCCTGGATGGAGAATCAGGCAGGAAGAGGCAGACCAAAAAAAAAGCTGGAGAAAGGCCCAGGAAAGCAGCGAGGTGAGCAGTGCCCTGCAGAGCTAAGAGGAGGACGGGGCATGCTCTCTGGCCACAGTCCCTGCTGGCCCTACCCGCTGCCTTCTAACCTCCTGACGGGTCTGTGCTCACAACACACTGGTGGTTAAATATTTTGAACGTCGCCCCTGGAGATGGGTATCTCAAGAAACATAACATCAACCAATTGTTCCCTTCTCTTCTTCAAACATAAGCAGGCTTCTAGGTGTGGGCTTACTGCTAAAGCAGATTCCTATTGGGGGGATTGGAGTTATCCTCATGGGCTTCACTTTAACTCAGCCCCCAGTACCTTAGGGAGTCAAAGAAGTTTATAGCTGCAAGGATGCTTAGAGATCATCAGTGCACACACTCTCCCATTAGGGGAACTGAGGCACAGAGCAAGGAAAGATTTGCCCAAGGAATTTCAGGACAGATCTAGAACAAAAACCAGCGTTCTTCTTCAGATTTACGAGAGGAGGATGACCATTTCTAATCGTTGTGTGCTCCCTGTTCCCTGCATTTGCAGAGCTAGAGGAATACATGGGTGGCTGGTATGGGCAGAACATCACCCAAAAGATATGCACCCTCAAACTGACTAAACTGAAGAGTCATTCCACCTCCAACCTTTTTTTTTTTTTTTTTGAGATGGACTCTCGCTCTGTTGCACCCAGGCTGGAATGCAGTGGCGCAATCTCGGCTCACTGCAACCTCTGCCTCCCAGGTTCAAGCGATTCTCCTGCCTCAGCCTCCTGAGTGGCTGGGATTACAGGTGCCTGACACCACGCCCGGCTAATTTTTTGTATTTTTAATAGAGACAGTGTTTCACCATATTGGCCAGGCTGATCTCGAACTCCCAAACTCAAGTGATCTGCCTGCCTTGGCCTCCCAAAGTGCTGGGATTACCGTTCCCAGCCCCACTTTCAATCTTTGTACCATTAAAATGCATATCTTCAGTCACTGTCACAAACTCCATATCCTTTTCTGAAAGCTGCCTCTGTGAGGGGACTGTTATCAGGGATATGAAGATCACTGTATGCCTGGCACATAGAGGGATACAGCTTGGGAGGGAATACTACTGTTTAAGGAATCTTTTTAATTTTTTTTACTTTTTTTTTTTGAGACAGAGTCTTTCTCTGTCACCAAGGCTGGAGTGCAGTGGTGTGATCTCGGCTCAATGCAACCTCCACCTCCCGGGTTCAAGCAATTCTTCTGCCTCAGCCTCCCGAGTAGCTGGGACTACAGGCGCATGCCACCACACCTGGCTAATTTTTGTATTTTTAGTAAAGACAGGGTTTCACCATATTGGCTAGGCTGGTCTTGAACTCCTGACCTCATGATCCACCCACCTCGGCCTTCCTAAGCCCTGGGATTACAGGCATGAACCACCACATCTGGCCTAACTAATGCATCATTTTTTAAAAGGTGTACTATGCATAACACCACAGTGCTGTTTCAGTAAGAGTAGTGGCTGTAAGATCAGGAGACCGGGGTGTGATCCTGCCTCTGGGAGGGCTGTAAGTGAGCAGGGCCCACCCAGCACAGAGCCCGGACAGACAGATAATGGGCTTGGCAGGTGGTGCTGGTGTACTTGCAGAGAGATTTAGGCCACAGATCAAAAGAGACACTGGGAGTTGGAGCTTTTTATGAGAGGACAGTAGGTAGAAAATCAAGGCCTGACTGACTTTGGGGTGGGGGGCATCAGGAACATAAGTGATGCTCCACACATCCCACTTTTCCTTAAGCAGCAGTTCTCAGATATTGTCCACCATGATAGGCAGGACAGGTGATGCTCCCAGGTGAGCCATGCTTCTGTGGGCATGTCCCAGGTTTGATGGGACTTCCTGTAGCTAGCTGTGTGTGCCCACGCCTTCTCTTCCACAGCAGGGAGCTTATGGTGATGCAAGAGAGTGAGACAATACCTCACTGCCCTGCAAACATCAATGTGTGACTACCCATAATGAATAATCCAAAGTCTTTGTGACATGCCTGCACTTCACAGTTGACCCTACATCAGGCTTAAGCCCTGACTTGGAGTAATAATGATACAACTACACAATCTTGGGCAAGTCCCCTAAATCTCATTGTGCCTCAGTTTCCATGGCTGTAAAATGTGAATAATGAGAGTTGCTCTCTCATAGAGTGGTTGAGAAAATTAAACTAGATAATGCAGAAAATGTGCTCAGCACAGTGCCTAACATAGTAAACGGTCAAAAATTATTACTTATGATCCCTTCTATTGTTATATAATCAGGTAGAATATATGTTAATAGGAGATTGGTTACCCAAATATGTATGTTTAACAGGGAATGTATTATCCAAATATAAATTCAAAAAACTAAAACACACAATTATAAAATGAATTAAGCAGTGAAAGCAAGTGCTCATGCTTCTTAAGGATCCCCACAGGGAAGGCCTACAGATTTTCATTACCATAAAGGGTTTTAATGGCAGTAAGATGCTGGGGCATGTTCTGGCCCCAGAAAGGCTAAGTATTGCGATAGAAGAAATTCAGGGGTTGTAACTGAGGGGAGAAGGGTTTGCAAACTCTCATCTCTTTTCGAATCTATCTGGTAGAGGCCACGGATTTAGTTAAAGCAGAGTTTCTCAACCTCAGCACAACTGACATTCTGGGCTGGACACTTCCTTGTTGTGGAGGCCACTCTACCCACTGGAGATTGTTTAGCAGCCTTTCTGCTCTCTATCTCCTAGATGCTAGTAGCACTGCCCCCAGTTGTGACAACCAAAAATGTCTCCAAACATTGCCACATTTCTTTTATTTTCTTCCTTTTTTTTTTTTTTTTTTGAGATGGAGTCTCACTTTGTTGCCCAGGCTGGAGTGCAGTGGCGTGATCTCGGCTCACTGCAACTTCTGCCTCCCGGGTTCAAGCAATTCTGTCTCAGCCTCCCCAGTAGCTGGGACTACAGATGCCCACCACCATGCCCGGCTAATTTTTGTATTTCTAGTAGAGGCGGGGTTTCACCATGTTGGTCAGGCTGGTCTTGAACTCCTGACCTCAGGTGATCCACCAGCCTCGGCCTCCCAAAGTGCTGGAATTATAGGCATTAGCCTCCATGCCCAGCCACCAAATTTCCTTTGAGGGGCAAAATTGCCCCTGATTGAGAGCCACTGCATTAAACAAAAAGCCATATAATTATAACATGTTATATAATACAGATTTTTTAATGTATTTCAAAAATATTATTTACATAACATAAAAATATGGCTTCATTTATTCAAGTCTTTATTGAAAGCAGTTGATTTGTAAAAACAAAAATGTCAAAGGCCTTTTCTAATAACTCTAAGCTTATCACATTTTTAAAGTAAATATTGAGAATATCAGCCTCATTAGAGGTTAAAGTTTGTTTTCTTTCTATTAAATGGTATGTTTAACAAAATATCACATGATTGTCAGTAAAACCAAAGATAGATGCATATTTTTAAACTCCTGATTGTTTACCACTTTAACTCGTTTTCAAAAACAGCATGTGATCTCCCATTATATATAAAAACTCAAAGTGAATCAAAGACCTAGATATAAGAACTACACTATAAAACATTTGGAAGAAAACATAGGCATAAATCCTTCTGATTCTGGATTAGGCAATGGTTTCTTAGATAAGATATCAAAGCAATAAGCAACAAAATAAAAAAGTAGATTACTTGGACTTCATTAAAATTAAAAACATTTGTGCTGCGAAGGACACTAGTGAGAAGACAAACCACAGATTGGGAGGAAATATTTGTAAATCATGTATCTCATAAGAGTTTCATATCTAGAATACATAAAAATCTCTTACAACTCAATAATATATGACAAATAACCCAATTTAAAAATGGGCCAGGCGTGGTGACTCACACCTGTAATCCCAGCACTTTGGGAGGCCAAGGTGGGTGGGTCACCTGAGGTCAGGAGTTTGAGACCAGCCTGGCCAACATGGTGAAACCCTGTCTCCACTAAAAATACAAAAATTAGCCGGGCGTGGTGGTGCATGCCTGTAATCCCAGCTACTCAGGAGGCTGAGACATGAAATTTGTTTGAACTCAGGAGGCAGAGGTTGCAGTGAGCTGAGATCACGCCGCTAGACTCCAGCCTGATCAACAGAGTGAGACTGTCTCAAAAAAAAAAATAAAAAATAAAAAATAAAAAATAAAAATGGTCAAGTGGCTGGGCACAGTGGCCCATGCCTGTAATCTCAGCACTTTTGGGAGGCTGAAGCAGGCAGATCACCTGAGGTCAGGAGTTCCAGACCAGCCTGGCCAACATGGCGAAACCCCGTCTCTACTAAAAATACAAAAATTAGCCGGGCATGGTGGCGCACATCTGCAGTCCCAGCTACACGTGAGGCTAAGGTGGGAGGATCCTTTGAACTTAGGAGGCAGAGATTGCAGTGAGCTGAGATTGTGCCAATGCACTCCAGCCTGGGTGACAGAGCTCCATCTCAAAAAAATAAAAATAAAAATAAATAAATTTTTTAAAATGGGCAAGTGATCTGGATAGACATTTTTCCAAAGATTATATAAAAATGGCCAAAAAGCTCATGAAAAAATGCTCAATACTATTATCCATTAGGGAAATGCAAATCAAATCCAGAATGAGATACCATTTCACAGCCAGCAGGATGGCAATAATAAAAAAACACAGATAATAACAAGTACTGATGAGAATATAGAGCAACTAGAACTCTCATACACTGCTGGTAGGAATGTAAAATGATACAACCCTTTTGGAAAATAGTTGTGCAATTTCTCAAAAAGTTAAACATAAAGTTACCATATGATGCAGCAGATGTATGTCCACCCAAATGCTTGTACACGAACATTTATAACAGCATTATTCATAATAACAAAAGTACGAACAAGTCTAATGTTCACCAGCTAATGAATGGATAAGACAAATGTGGTATACCCATACAATTGAATATTATCAGCTGTGAAAAAAAACGTAGTACTACAACGTGAATGACCCTTGAAAACATCATACTAAGTGTAAGAAGCCAGATACAAAAGGCCATGTATTATACAATTCCATACAATATATGAAACGTACAGAACAGTCAAATCTGTAGAGACAGAAAGTAGATTAGTGGTTGCCTAGGGCTGGTGTTATGGACTGGAATGTGTGCCTCCAACTCATACGTTGAAGCCCTCACCCCCAGAGTGACTATAATTGGAGACAGGGCCTGTAAGGAGATCATTAAAGTCAAATGAGGTCATAAGGGTGGAACCCTGATCTGATAGGATTGGTGTCCCTATAAGAAGAGATACCAGAGAGCTGCTGCAACACCTCCTTCCCCAACCAGTCACCGTGAGAACACACAGAGAGAAGCTGTTGTCTGTAAGCCAGCAAGAAAGTCTTTACCAGAAACTAACCCCTCAAGACCCTGATCTGGGACTTCTAAGCCTCCGGAATTGTGCAAAAATAAGTCTCTGTTGTTTAAGCCACCTAGTCTGTGGTATTTTGTTAGAGCAGCCTAAACAGGTTAATACAGCTGGGAAGGTTGAAGGGAGATGGAGAGTGACAGCTAATGGGCATGAGGTTTCTTTTTGAGGTGATGAAAATGTTCTAAAATTGATCATGATGGTTATACGACTCTGTGAATATGCTAAAAGAACAAACCAATGAATGGCGCATTTTTGTTTTCTTTTTCTTTTTTTCTTTTCTTTTTTTTTTTTTTTTTTTGAGACAGAGTCTCACTCTGTTGCCCAGGCTGGAGTGCAGTGGCATGATCTCGGTTCACTGCAAGCTCCGCTCCCCACCTCCAGGTTCACGCCATTCTCCTGCCTCAGCCTCCTGAGTAGCTGGGACTACAGGCGCCTGCCACCATGCTCGGCTAATTTTTTGTATTTTTAGTAAAGACGGGGTTTCACCATGTTAGCCAGGATGGTCTCGATCTCCTGACCTCGTGATCCGCCCGCCTCGGCCTCCCAAAGTGCTGGGATTACAGGCGTGAGCCACCTCACCCGGGCTGAATGGTGCACTTTAAGTGGATGATTGTATGCTATGTGAATGGTATCTCAAAAAAGCTGTTTTTTTTAAATGGCATATGTTCATCTATGGGAGAATGATAAAAGTGGCTAATGCAGTAACTGCACCAAATGGTCATGGAATGCTGAGGCAAGAGGGCTCTTCATGTGCCAGTGGTTCACGGTGATGCTGAGACTGGCCAGGCTAGAGCTGGCCAAATTTCAAATGGTGCCTGTTTTACAATGTGATTTACCTTATTATGTAAATTACTTGTGGAGAAGTTAAATGAACCTGAAAATATCGCCATAGAGCTCTCATGATTATTAGAACCTAATACTGACTCTCACACCCGGGCTACTCAATAGGTGAGGAAAAGAGTTCCCACAACCATTCTGTTGTTGGCTCTGGCCAGGAGAGTATTTGGTGATCATGTATGCATAGAAAAGCACCTCTCATTCTCTTATTTCTTATTCATTCAATAAACATCTGCTAAATGAATGCTATGTGTCCAGGTAGTGTGTTAACATGTAGGGCTATGATCCCACAAAGAGAAATTAAAAAAATTGGAGTAACCAGGGAGATGAGAGGTGAATGGAGAAAGTAGAGTAAAATTAGAGAAAAGTTTTTCTTTGTTGATCTGTTTTGTTTGTTTGTTTGTTTTGTTTTGTTTTGTTTTGTTTTTGAGATGGAGTCTGGCTGTGCTGGCCAGGCTGGAGTGCAGTGGTGCTATCTCAGCTCACTGCAACCTCCACCTCCCAGGTTCAAGTGATTCTCCTGCCTCAGCCTCCTGAGTAGCTGGGATTACAGGTGCATGCCACCATGCCCGGCTAATTTTTTTTTTTTTTTGTATTTTTAGTAGAGATGGGGTTTCACTGTGTTGGCCAGGCTGGTGTCAAACTCCTGATCTCGTGATCCACCCACCTTGGCCTCCCAAAGTGCTGGGATTACAGGCATGAGCCACCGCACCTGGCCTAGAGAAAAATCTTAATTACACATAGTTATTCACTAAACACATGGTAATCAAGATCCTAAATGGAGGGGAAGGTCTACTTTACTGAATAGCAAAGAAGAATCTATAACAAGCCTATACATTACATTTAAAGGTACACTTTCATGGTGCCTGTGGGAAATTGAACTCATTTAACCTATAAGGAATTTAAATCTCAATCTTAAAATGTGCACAGGATAAATTTGCTGGGCAAGTGCTTTTTTTTTTTGTAGTTAGTTCAAAGGGAAGCATCAATCTGACTCCACCAAAGCAGCCGTCAATTCATGAGAGGCACTGAAAGTCACATGCACTTGTCACACAAACATCCTTACCCCAAAGACAGGTTGTGAGATTTGTATATAGGAATCTGAGGATATCTTTATGTCCTTATTTAACAATTGGAAATTTGCTCATCTGAGGAGGTCAGTGACTAATACCTGGATGATCTTTTTATCATTACCTGATAGGAAATTTAGCGCAGGTTTTAAGGAGGAGGAAATTCTAGATTATCTCTGATCTTAGGCTAAAATTATATAATAGCTGTGAGTTACGTGGGAGTGTTGGGGACTGGGGCATACTAGAGCGTTCATGCCTCCACACTACCCAGCTCCAGCGGACTGTTGACATGTAGGAATGTGGATGTTGTTATTAGATCTGCTCAGTTTTGTGTGAAACCTCTTGATTTTAAAATATTGACACGTAGTCCAAATATTTTAATAACAATGTTCAGGCCAAATAAAACATATCTGCAAGGCAGACTCAGCCCATAAACTGCCATTATGCCACATCTGATCTAAGGTTCCTAGCAAACTAAGATTCCATGTAAGAAAGCCAAAATATTCATTCATTTATTTCTCAAATATTTACTGAGTATCCTGACCATATCAGGTGTTGGGCTAGAGAAAGCAAGAGGTATACACATAGGTTTTAAATTTAGAATTTTTTAAATTTTGAAAATACAAAGTTTAATTTGTTCTTGAAAATGACTATAGAGGTGGAAATTAGGCAACTTTTCCTGTGTGCAGTTGCCAACTCCTGATTTTTAAAATGGTGGCTTCACCTTAAATGTTGTAGAATTATAACTCGGATGTGCAGCTTGGCAGGCTAACATCACAGTCTAATTTTCACACCCACACTCTGGAGTCCAGTTGTTCAAAGGACAATGGAAACTTGGACAGATCCTTAACTGTGCTGTTAGGAGCTCTAACACCCTGCAAACAGGTGCCAGTAAAGCTAAATATCAAGTATCTGCACAGTTATCATTGCTATAGATAGGGCTACGTGAGAAGCCATCCTGCCTAGAACCTTGTGGGCTTGTTCAGATGTGCACACAGAGGCAACACACATGCACACACACGTACATATACCCGCACACACAGGCACGCACGATCACACATGTGCACACATGTGCAGACATGCACACACGTGCACATGCATGCACGCACACATGCATGAACACACACAATGCATTAAAAGGATCACAGACTCCTGGCAGCTCGGAAATATAAAGCCCTAAAAGATCCTCTAGACCAATGATTTTTTTCATTTTCCATTGGGGAAACTGAGGCATAGAAAACTGAAGTCACTGGCCCAAAGTCACATAGCTTGTTAGCCTCATAGCTGGGAAGCCTGAGCTTACATAAAAATGACACTGTATATAATTAGCATGTATATATATTAGCATGGTCAAGGATCTATATAACTATCTTCAGACTGGTGGCTCACCATGCATAAAACCATGCAAAACCCCTTAACCTGGTTCCTCACAGTGACAAAAAAACAAGGAATTTTTATCACTTTTCCCAAATACATCAGCTATATCTAAGAACAAGGGAATGCAAAACGTGACCCCTGGGTCTGGGCTCTGGCGGTCCCAGGTTCCTATTCTGTGACTGAATTACACACAGCTTCTTGGAAGAGGACAGGACAGGTGGTAAAACCTCTTTATCAGGGATTGGAAGAAGCCAAGGGCCGGGGAAGGGAGGGGCCTCACTTGAAGTCATACGCTGGACCGAGAGCCCAGGACTCTTGACTTCCATCCCACAGAAAATTTTCCATCCCACCTGACTGCCGTCCTCTGGGAACAAATCCTGGAAACCAGATGTGGCCGCACGTGAGAGCCAGGTCTCCTCCACAAGTGTTAGAAAGCAGGGGAGTGGAGACTCCCCTGCTTATCAAATGAGTCTCAGTTTACACATGGAGAAACCGAGGTCCAGGGGCATTGAGTAATTGTCCTGGGGTAGGAGTGAAACCAAAGTGGCCTCACTTTTCGAACTTCCAGCTGACTCCTCTTCCCTCCTCCCATTTCAAACAATTTAACCTAAGTGTGCCCTAGACGCCCACCTGCCTCCACATCAGGCCAGGCCAGGCCAGGCCAAACCTATCACAGGCCAGCAACTCCCCTAGTTGCCTTTTACAAGGGATTTGACTGGAAAACAAAAGTTTTTAACTGGCCTTGAGGATTTTATTTTCCAGTTATCTGCCAGGTCGGTTTCTCCTTATGAAAAACTTAGGCACTTATGGTCCCATCCCAATATACAGAGTTCTGCCTTTGCATTACTGTCCAGCAGCTTCCAGATCCCACTGGAAATGATGCAGTGGAGCGCTCTTCTCACATACTTTAGCCTGAGAGTGTGGCAGGGGCAGCGGGGTGAGCCAACTCTTGCCTCAGTCACAGCGTCTTGATGTTACAAAGGGACCAGCAGGATCCAAACCTCTAAGAGCCCCACCCCCTCCAGACACAGCCTCTGCCCTAACATACACACTCTGGGACTCTTCCTCCCTCTCTTTGCTTTCTCTCCACAAAGAGCTAGGCCTTTGGCTCAGCTGCCCTGACCTTGATGCAGGGCTGGTGAAACTCAATAGCTGCCATTTCCCCAGTCAACTTTACAGGGCATTAATGCCGACGTCCAAAGGCACTCCTGTAGCTGAAACCCAATAATTGCTTGTGGTGGTACCTATTTGTCATAGCAGCACAGTCTCTCTCTGGTATTCAAGGTGGGGACAAACCTTCCCTCCCTGGCTTTCTCCAAATCCTCCTTTCCTGCCTCATGTGCAGGGAAAATGTTCCATGTTCCTGTTGTGCTGGGGACTGGGTATCCTGAGACAATGACGGTACGATCCCAGCCCAGAGGGGCTCACAGCCACAGGGGAGATACACATCTCAGTGGTGTGGTCACCTTACTCAGCCCTGGGCTTCCTGGAGGAGGTGGTCCTGAACTGAGTCTGAGGGACCAGGGAAGAGCCAGCCAGGTGAAGAGAGGGAGTGCAGGGGCATCGCAGGGAGAGAGAAAGCACAGTGCAGCAGAGGCCCAGCAGATGAGGGCGGCATGGCCTGCTAGGGGAGGCATTAGGGTCTGAGGCTGCAGTGTTCCGAAATGTCTCCTTCTGTGGGCATCACCCTCGTTCCAGCCCTTGTGAGTCTTGCCGGGACCAGCAGAGAAGCCTCCTGGCTGGTTTCCTGCTTCAGGCCTCTCTACCTCTGCTCCTTAGACTCCACTGACATGTGTACCTGACCACATCACTCCCCAGCATACTCGGAGATGCTCACCAACTTCCCTGACCTACGAATTCTTGACCAATTCATCAGCCAGGCATGAAGAGCTTTTCATGATTTGACTCCAACCTACTCCCACCTCTCCAGCCTCCTGAGCCTCTTCCCTTCATCAAGTAGCCCATGTTCTAGCCACTCCAGGCTGCTCCATATTCCACAGCCACGCCCTGCACTCTCCCACTGCCATGCCTTTGCTCAAGGCTGTGCCTTCCACCTGGAATTCTGTCACTCCAGCTCCCCTGCATTCATCTTTCAAAGCCCTTCCCTTGGGCACCCTGTTCAGCCTTTGCAGGATTCTCCAAACTGACCTGGTGAATCTTGCTCCAAACTCCCCTAGGCATCTTGCCAGTTCTTGAATAATGCTCATCTTACTCTGTGGAGCATATCTATGCTGTATCTCTCTCCCTAAGGATACTGGGTGCCCTTCAAGGGCCAGCTGGGATATATCTTAATTTTCTCTGAATCCCCAGCACCAAGCCATGAGTGCTAAGAGAATGTGGTCTGAGTTGTCCAGTCACACAACACTGATGCTCCAGCTGGGAACAGGATGGTATGACTTGGACTCCCTTCAGGCCCATGTTGCACCTGCTGTCCCAAGCCATTGGCTTTTCCACCCAGCTGCTGTCCCCAATTGGGTTTTGGGGAGAGGGACATATTATGAAAGATGTCAGAGTTGGGGAGTGTCTAGGATGAGACCAAGGTTCACTGTCGTGGGTTTTGGGAAATGCCAAGCTAGAGAGTGAGACCTTTATAATGTTTACTTTGAGGGCCTGGATTTGGTTAAAGTCCTGCCAACTCCTCTCAATCCATCTCAGGGCTTTCAGCAGAGTAGAACATCAGGCCATCACACTAGTGAACCCACAGTGACAGACTCCAAATCGTCCCCGATTCAAGCTTCCCCTTCTTTAGCAATAAAAGAAAGCCTCCACTTTTTAGTTGAGCTCTTGGCTGCTCAGATTAAAGGCTACACTTCACAGGCTCCCTTGCAGCTAGGTTGAGTCATATAATTAAGTTCCAGGCAATGATATGAGAAATGTCCAGTGGCAATTTCTGGTAACTTTCCTTAAAAGGGACTTGAATCATGGCTTTTCTCCTTTCTTTTATCCCTCCCCCTCCCCATCCCTTTTTCTCTATTTGGATGCCTGGAATGTGGCTATTATGGCTATAGGGCTACACCTTAGGAATGGCAGAAAGATGAGCTGGACAAAGTCTAGGACTCTGAGAAGTCTGGGGAGCTGAGCTCCATCCCAGCCCTAGATTGCCTACCTGTGGACTTTTACTTGAGGGATGGATAAAACACTGCACAAATCACATTATTCTGAGTCTCTGTTACTTGTAGCGAAGCTGCACCCTACCTGATAACCTGGGTTCTCAGCCCAGGGCTGTGAGGCCACAGACGGGGCACTGGTGCTCTCTGGTTTTGGATCCCCCATCTGTAAAATGAGGGTCCAGAGCCCTTTTATCTTGAAACCTCAGAATAAAGGTTTAAACTCCATATGGAAGCAGTTTCTTGCTATTCAGTTTTACCATCACTGGGTATGATCATTCACTTTCATTCAACTGAACAGACACTGCATTATGGAGGTGGTCTGTCAGGGCAGTCACATCTGGTTGTGCAGGTTGTGCACTGCACTAAGCCAAGGACATTATTCACTCTCTAGTCTATGTGAACAGTGTCTCCTGGAGAAAGTGTCCAACTTGCACAACTATACCTGGCTGCACTGTATCTGTGGCCATACAGTATGGTTCCCAGTCTCAAAAAACTTAGATTCTAGTGGACAAATCATATACTCAGGCTCACATTTATTAAGGACCACCACGTGCCAGGCACTGGGCTAGGTGCTTTTCATCTAATCACACATGTATATGTTTGTGTATGTGTCTATTTTTTATGCTAAAACAAACACCTGCCATAGGAGGTAGAACCAGAGCTGCAAACTGAGAGGCCTACAGGCCAATTAAAAGCTAACACTTGGTTGGGTTTGTTTGGTCTGTGCATTTAAATAAGCTGTCAGCATTTTAAAATAAGGAGCTTATACATTTTTTAAAAATCCAGATTTCCAACATCTCTGGAAACATTAGGTGACGTGGCAATACCAGGTCTGCACTCTCATACCGGCAACAATTAGTGGAGCTGAAAATGCTGGGCGCTTTAGACAAACTCCCATTTGCCTCAGTCCCCACCACTCCCTGTTTTCTCTGACACAGAGGCCACGGTCAGTTACTACATAGCACTGGTTTTGCTGTTGCTTTTAGTTCTGAAAATGTAAATGGTAAGTGAACATTTTCTTACATACACATACCTTTATAAAGTGAGAAAGTAATAGATAAGCCAAGATGACCACATGGCTCAAGAAAATTGACCCATCTTCCTTCCTTCATGTAGGTCACTTACATGATGTTGTGGATACTTGGTTTGCTGCCTCCCAATAGAAAGCGCTCAGTAGAGTGGCAGAGATGATGAATAGAAAGGGAGACAGAAAGGCAGGGTTTAAATTTTATCTGTAGTGATTTCTTTTTTTTTTTTAAGAATGATCAGAACCAAATAAGGCAAAATTTTAACATTTGCTAAATTCAGATGATGAGAAAATAGGTATATACTGTACTCTCCTATGTGTTTAAAATGTTTCCTATTCAACATGTCAAAATCAAATAGGAAACAGCTCAGTGTTGCCAGGGTGGAGCAGGTGCTGTGCTAGGGGTGTGAAGGTGAAAGAGTCTAAAAGGCTTCCCGAGGGAGGGGAGGAAAGGTCAAGCCTTGAAAAATGTGAGGAAGTGAGGGGTTCCAGGTCGAGGAGGTTCCCCAGCCAGAGGAGGGGTTGGGAGAGGTGGTCATGGGTCCAGAGGGCAGAGGGTAGGGTGGGGACACACAGATGCCTGGCCTGACTTGCCCTCACCCCACCAGGCCCATCCTCGGCTCTGTGCACAGCCAGCAGTGTTTCTAAGGATGTGTGCCTATTTTTAGAGGAGAGATTTATTTCTTTCCATTTCAACTGTTTACTTCTGTCCTGGGCTTGCGATTCTGCCGGTTTGTGTTACAAAGGAGAATCACGGCCCTGTGGACCAAACTTGGCTGCTTCCTGGATGGCAAGAGTGTCTTTGCCTTAAAGGATATGATTTGGGGCACAAGTAGGGAGGATTTTATGATCGTCTGATGGGAAGCCATGTGGAGTGACAGGAAGTACCAGGTGGGCGCCTTGGCTCGGCCGCTGACTTGCTGTGTGACCTTGAATGAGTCCTTACCCCTCTTTCCACTTCAGGGTTTTGTTGATGCTTGGATGTCTCATCAGTGAAATGGTAATAATGACACCTCACAGGATGGGTATGAGGATTTGATGAAATACATAAAACACCAAGTGTGTCCAGGACAGACTCCAAAATCAGGCTTTCTCTACCGGTACCGCGTATGTAGATGCCTGGGGTGGGGTACTGTTAGATGATTTCTAAGTGTCCTTGGAGCTCTGGGATTCTCCAATTCTGTTTTCCATATTTCGTCCTGCAATTCATGGCCCTTTGTTCTCAGAACTCTGTTTTTGAGATGGAGTCTTGCTCTGTCACCCAGGCTGGAGTGCAGTGGCATGATCTTGGCTCACTGCAACCTCCGCCTCCCAGGTCCGAACAATTCTCCTGCCTCAGCCTCCCAAGTAGCTGGGATTACAGTTGCGCACCACCACGCCTAGCTAATTTTTGTATTTTAAGTAGAGATAGGGTTTCTCTATGTTGGCCAGGCTGGTTTTGAACTCCTGACCTCAAGTGATCCGCCTGCCTTGGCCCCAAAAACTGCTGAGATTATAGGCATGAGCCACCACACCCAGCCTGTTCTCAGAACTCTTGACACATTATGGTCTAAGGAAAGCAGGGTCTGTCTGAATTCTATCACTTAATAGCTGTGTGATTCTGGGAACCTATTTCTTTATCTACAGAATGACATTAAACCTCATCCTATGAGGATCAATCTTGTAAGATCCTTGTAAATATTTTATGAAATGATGCCCATAAAATGCTTAGCATAGCACCTGGCATGTAAGAACACCTTAGCAGAGGCCAGGTGCAGTGGATCACATCTGTAATCCCAGCACTTTGGGAGGCCAAGGGGTGGTGGGGGGGGTGGGTGTGGATCACCTAAGGTCAGGAGTTCGAGACCAGCCTGGCCAACATGGTGAAACCCCATCTCTACTAAAAATACAAAAATTAGCCGGGCATGGTGATGTGCGCCTGTAAGTCCAGCTACTTGGGAGGCTGAGGCAGGAGAATCACTTGAACCTAGGAGGCGGAAGTCACAATGAGCCGAGATCACGCCGTTGCACTCCAATCTGGGCAACAACAGTGAAACTGTCTCAAAAAAAAAAAAAAAAAAAGCCGGGCCCGGTGGCTCACGCCTGTAATCCCAGCACTTTGGGAGGCTGAGGCAGGTGGATCATGAGGTCAGGAGATCGAGACCATCCTGGCTAACACGGTGAAACCCCGTCTCTACTAAAAATACAAAAACAATTAGCCAGGCATGGTGGCGGGCGCCTGTAGTCCCAGCTACTCGGGAGGCTGAGGAAGGAGAATGGCGTGGACCCGGGAGGCAGAGCTTGCAGGGAGCCGAGATCATGCCACTGCACTCCAGCCTGGGCGACAGAGCGAGACTCTGTCTCAAAAAAAAAAAAAAAACTCCTCAGTAGAAAATCATCGTTATTATTATTCAGGCTTTGCAGAGGGTCTGTTGTTTTCCATTATTGTTTCTATGGTTATATTGTGTCACAGATTCCTGACAGCTGACTTTAAAATCAACTCTTAGGACCCAATTTCTTTATAAGGTTGAATTATCTCTACCATCTTCTCTCCTGCGAATATTTTGAGCCTTTTACTGAGACAGTTTAAAAAATGTTCTGCCTTTCCCCAAATCCTCATTAACAATCAATATTTACAGTTAAATTCCTTGTGTTGGTGGATTCTTCTTTTCTTGAAAGATTAGTATTTATTGTGAAAATAACATAACAACTTCAAAAGAAATCAAGTTGGAAATAAGAATTTACGCATAATTCCCCAATCTGCTCTCTGAGTTTCCTTCTGGGCTAGTCTCAGAGGTGCTCCCAGGGTTAACAGCACAGGTTACTGGGCCAAGACTGTCTAGGTTGGAATCCCAGCACCGCTCAGATTGCATCCTGGGCAGGTTACTTTATATCTCTAAGCCTCGGCTTCTCCATCTTTAAAATGGGGCTAATGACTGAACCCTCCCAGAGGACTAAATGAGATAATCCACGTAGGGCTTTGCTTATGGCACACCCAGGAAGTATTGAGCGTCTATTACTCATATGAAAACTGTACACTGCTCCCTGCAGAAGTCACGATGACTTGTCATTCTCAAAACCTCTCTCTGTGTTGCCCCCACTGCCTGGTACAAAGGCAATCTGAACTGAGGAGCTGGCTCTGCTTCAGAGCAGCATCCACTTAACTCCAGAGAGATGAGAAAGGGCAGATCCTCTGGGGAATCAGTCAACAGCGGATACTTTTAGCACATGAAGCATTCCTTTCCCGAGGGAGTCCAAGTGCAACAATCTCATGATAAGCTCGAGTTTTTCCAGAGAGAGAGATAGAAAGTTTTGGGGACTTTTTTTTTTTTTTTAACGTGCACAAGTTTGGAATCCTCTGCTGCAAACAGAGCTGCTTTCCAAGTCCTCGTACTCCATTCTGCCACATGACACTGGGGCTTAACAATTGCATAACCAGAAACGTCACCCCTTGAAGTGTTTGTTGAATTCAGGTACTAAGACAGCCAGGAATGGTTCAAAGAAATCATATGTGGTTAGAGCTAGAGGGGGCTTCCAAGGCCATCTAGGCCGACTGTATCCATTTTACAGACAGGAAAATTGAGATCCAAAGAAGGAAAATCACGTACCCAAGTCCAGAGCAGAGCCAGGACTGGAACCTGGACTTCTGCACCTCAGGCTCTTTCCCAGAAAAAAGAGGGATTATTTTCCTACAGCGACCCCCAACCACAAAACCAGAGCACATCTGCAGTCTAAACTCTCTCCCTGAACACTCCCATGAGGCCTTGGAGTGGCATGGCTACGTCGTGGACTCCAGACCCACACGCAGTGGCTCTGCCATCGCCTAGTTGTGGGACTTTGGACAAGTTACTTCACCTCTCAGTTTCCTCATCTGTAAAATGGGGATGATAACAGCGCCTGCCTCCTAGGATCATGATGATGGTCAAATAAGTTAATATTTTCAAATTCCTTAGAACAGCACCTGCACATAGTGAGTGCCATCTAAGCACTCATTAAACAAAAACAGGAGGAATATGGACTATAACAGAGAGGGCAGTGGCCTAGGTGCCAAGGCACCAGGGTTCTGATCTGGTTCTGCTTGGATGTGTGACCTAGACCAAGTTCTTTCCCCTCTCTGGGCTCTGCTCCTGCTCTGAAGCCGTGGGAGGGGCAGACACCTGCTGGCTGGCTAGGAGTCTCTCATTGTCTGCATATCTTTGGCCTCTCCCTGTGCTGTGATTTCAGAGCATGGGCCAAGGGAGGGTGAAACTAGAACTGGAATGTTTGTGCTCTCCAAAAGAAGGGAGGCCCTCCAGGCCTTTTCGAAGCTCACATACTGTCTTGCAAATCAGGTAACAGAGCTGATCTTAATGAAGGGATCAATTGTGTGGCTGGGACAGAAACTCACTGGCCTCCATTATCTCCTATCCTCTCTCTGGTTTCTCTTCTCTTTTCTTTGAACTGAGAGAGAAAGGGGTCTTTGAAAATGCCAACTGGGAAACCACAGTGGTCTGAGAATCTCAGGTCTCAGATGGCCCATGCCTGCTCCCACACCCCTGTGCTCAATTACTTTTCTCCTGCCAGAGTGGGAGGTGCACACACTCTGGAGCCTGTTTGAAATCCGAGTCTCCGTGCCTGCCTGGGTCCTGCGACCGTCAGCAAGTTGAGCCCCAGGTGCTCTGTCCCTCCAGTAGCACAAGTGGAGTGTCCCTTCCCTGCTAATCACCTGGGCGGGAAAGCTGGCTGTGTGAGAGCTGCAGGGCCCTGGGTATTTGCTGCTGAGGCTGGATGCTCTGATATGTCGGGTGGCAGACCTGCGGGAGCTCTTTGCCAGTTTGGGGGTGAAACAGAATGCAGTTGCTGGTGGATGTATTTTGGGTTCTGCGAGGCCTCCTCCATCTGTCCCCCTCCACTCCCAGGTCTGTCGCTTGGCTCTGACCCTTGTCATCACCTGCCTTATTTGCGGTCACAGCCTGACCTAACCTCATCCCCATGCAGCATCTCAGGGCAACTCAAACAGCCCAAAAGGCCTGCAGGGCCCTCAGGTGCACTTCTCCCTGGGAATGGCAGAGATTCCCCCGCGGGAGCGCCTCCCACCTCTCACCCATCTCCCTGACACCCCTCCAGTCCATGTGTCCCCAGCATCAGCTCCCAAAACCCCTCTGAGTCTCTGACCCTCAAGGGCTCCCTGAACCCACTGAGCAAAGTCTAAACCCGTCAGTCGGCCTTGCCGCCCCCTCTTCCCCCGCGTTATCTATCCCAACCCCTCTTTCTAGTCGCATCTGACCCTCCACAGAAACCACACTAAGATTCCCATCCCCAATTCCTTCCCTACACAACACTCTCCTTGCGGCCTTTCTCAAAGGCCCTCACTCGGCATGGAATTAAAAAAATCCAGAGCTCAGTTCCAGTATCACCTGCTCTGTGATGCCTTGCACCAGTAAGAGTTAATCTCCTGGCACAGCTTCCTGTCTGCTCTGTGTCAAGCTCAGTGTATTATGCCTGTGTCCCCACCAGCCTGTGCTCCTGAAAGGCAGAGTCCCAGCCAGGCTGCCCTGTTGGTGCCCAGCACAGTGCTCGGCAGGTAACCGAGTCACATTTATTGAGTTAACTGGAAGTGGCTACATGCCTCTTTTGTTCTCCCTTTATAAAGTTGTTTGTTCTTGGAATTCTGTGTGACAGTGATCTAGGATAGAATTAGAACAGAATAATTTTGCAGCTTGATTTTTTTCTTGCCTACATGGCTTGTTTTTACTGAAACACAGGCTAATGGGGAGAGATGATGCGGGGGAAGAAAGAGAAATGCAAGGCTCTTTCCACCAATGCCGACTTTTGATCAACTTGAGCAGCCTCATCAGGAAACCATCTTCTCCTGGCAGGCAGGGGAAGATCGTGAATATCAGGAAGAGGAGGACACACTGTTGGAGAGATGTGTAATTCTATGGGGCCTGGGACCCAAGAGCCCTAGGCAAGGATTCTGAGTTATCTGGAATGAAGCCACTTAATCACACCTGGGTATAAGACCAGATTATAAGTCAGGTTAGCTTAACCCTGAAAATGACCAACCAACTCTGCTATTCCATGGCTGGGGACATTGAGGTCTAGGAAGGATGGCAGCTTGGTCCAAGGTCACATGGAGTGGAAGAGACAGGGTTGGGATTGGAAGCGAAACACCTAACTTCTAGTCCTGCATTTTTTCATCAAACTGTGCTCCCGGGATGTTAGCAGTGACCATCTCTGGGTGAGTGAGATTGAAGTGTTGTTTTCTTTATGGATCACTATTAAACCAGAGTTGAGCAATGGCTGGTTTAAAAAAAGGGTGTGATACATTCCATTTTTAATTAAAAATATATAACATGGAACATTTACTCAGTTCAGTAACTTTGATTATCTACCTTCTCTGTGCTGGTTATTGACCTGGGTGCCTGGGATATAGCTGTAGGATGAAGACCCTTGTCTAGGAGGCCACCTACGAACCCCTCTATGCCCATGCTCACAGTTCTAGTGTGACTTGCTAAACCACATACACAACCAAAGAGACTTTTGACTCTTGACACTGTGTACCCTGACTGCAGGGATGAATTCTGAGTATTAAACACACTTCTAAATGTGCCAACTATGAAATGCAATGATAAAACATCAAACATTAAATGAGAAGAATTATTCTGGTCCTTTATTTCTCAGCTCATTCATTCCATGACACATGTTCTCCACCATCCTGAAGCTGCTGGCTCGATATAACGGGGTAACGGCCTTTTGAAGACTCAGTTACAGTGCCAGCTAGGTGGCCACACCTTACAGGCCGGGGCAACATTCTCCAGAAGGCTGTATATGCTCTGAATCAGTGGGCAATTGCGGATGCCATTTCTCCCATAGCTAGGATTCATGGGTCAGGGAATCAAGATTGGAAATAGGAGTGGCACCACTCACCATTTCTCCTAGTGATGCACTAGCAAAACTTTTGTTCATTGTTCCCATGACCCTGTGGTCTGCTGGCCTAGAAGTCTTAGTTTCAAAGGACCAAAGTTCCACTAGGAGACACAACAATTCCATTAAAATGGAAGTTAAAACTGCCACCAGGCCACTTTGGGCTCCTCATGACTCTGAATCAATGAGCAAAGAAGGGAGTTACTGGGCTGGCTGGGGTGACAGATGCTGACTACCAAGGAGAAATTGGATAGCTATTGCACAAGGGAGGTAAGAAAGTATGTCTGGATACAGGAGAGCCCTTAGGGCGTTTTTTAGTATTACCATGCCCTGTGATTAGGGTCAATGGAAAACTACAACAAACTAATCCAGGCAGGACTACTAATGGCCTAGGCCTTTCAGAAATGAAAGCTTAGGTCACCCCATCGGGTAAAGAACCACAACCAGCTGAGGTGCTTGCTAAAGGCAAAGAATGGGGAATGAAACAGGGTAGTTATAAATACCAGCTACAACTATCTGAGTAGTTACAGAAATGAAGACTGTAATTGTCATGAGTACTTCCTCCTTATTTTATGAACACTTGTATTGTGTGTGTGTGTGTAGCAAATATCTTTGCTTTTTCCCTCTCTTATTCCCTTATCATGTAACACAAGATTGTTTGATACCGACTTTACTGTTATTGGTGTATTGGCTTTGTATAATAGGATTTAAGTATCATTAATTTTACATTATAATATTTAAGTTACAGGACAGCAAGGAGAAGAATAAACATCACTCATGGACTTTACCTCCTCTTCTGGGGAAGGTGATAGTGTGTTTTCCATTGTACCCAGGATAGTTGTATCATGTTAGGCAGAATTATGACATCGTTACTGTCTTTATTTGGAAATTAAGTATGGTTTAAAGAGATGTATATGTGTGCCAAGTTGACAAGGGGTAGACTGTGATGGTTAATTTTGGGTGTCAACTTGACTTGGCCATGGGATGCTCAGACATTTGGTCAAACATTTTTCTGGGTGTGTCTGTGAGGGTGTTTCTGGATGAGACCAATATTTGAATCAGTAGACTGAGTAACACAGATTATTCCCCCTGATATGGCGGTGGGGGGTGGGCATCCAATCAGTTGAAGACCTGAGTAGGGAAAAAAAGCTGACCCTCCTCCAAGTAAGCGGAAATTTCCTCCTGCCTGACTGCCTTGAGCTGGGACATTGGCTTTTTTCTGCCTTCGGATTCAAACTAAAACATCTTTTCCCAGACCCAACTCTTCCTGGGTCTTCGGCCTGCTGGTTATTTGTATTTGTATTGGAACTGTGCCATTGGCTCTCCTGGGTCTCCACCTTAGCAACTGCAGATCTTGCTGGTCTCTATAGCCTTGCAAGCTAAAGCCTTATAACAAATCTCTCTCTCCCCTTCTCTCTCTGTCTCGACACACACACACACATACACACACACACACACACACACACCCTATTGGTTCTCTCTTTCTCTGGAGAACCCTAATACAACACATTAAAAGAAAAATCTGCAAAGGCAAAGTTATACCAATGTCATTGCCATGGAAGGAAAAAGGAAGTGGTGGCTTTAGGAAGCATCCACCTGTCCCTCCCCAGGTCCCCTCGCTAGTGACAATGTGCTTCCCTTTAGCACCTACTCACATCAGGGTCCAGCTCATCCAGCTCATTTTCCAGGGTCCTCAGCTCTTCCTCTGTTAGGGCTCCAAGGATTTCATCTTCATCCAGGTCACGGTATTTCTCTAGTTCTCGTCTGTACGACATCGTGGAAGAACTTGTCTGTGTCTCCTGAATTTCTGTGCTGAGTAATACCTACCAGAAAGACAAGAACCTTAGAAAGACCCGTCTCAGATTTGCTCTCTCAGAGCAAATGGAGGCTCATCGTTCACACAGCGGCCTGGGTACATTTTATGAATTGCCAGGATAATCATTACTATGGTGGAATACTACACTAAGTTTGGCTAATTCTCTAATAAAACTGTGCAAGGTAAAGTCCTGAGAGCATGTAAGTTAATGAATTGTAATTGGTTAGAATTGGCATGGACATTAATTACAAGTAAATGGGCAATTGTAAATGGCTTATGAGTGCCTGAAAACAATGTTATTCTTTAAGGAGTTCAAATACTTTTCTGTGTAACTCTCCACCCTTCACCCTACACCCCAGAGGGAATCATGAATGCTGGAAACTCTGCCAAAACTGAGTTTAAAAGGGGCAGGGGAGTATCGGTGGTTAATTAAGCACCTACTGCATACAGGCCCCTCACCTACACCATCTCATTCAATCCTTACAAAAAGTAGTTCATAGAAATAGCTAACTTTTACTACTGCATATCAAGCTGTGTGTTCAGTACTTCACAAGGACTTTCTCATTTAACCTGTGAGGTAGGTATTACCATTATCCCCATTTTATAGAGAAGGACTTAGAGAGATTAAGTGACTTACCCAAACGACACTACTAGGAAGCAGCAGATCCACATTTAAACTCAGGTCTGCTGGCTGCAGACCTTCTCTGCGGAGTCACCCAATGGCGTGGCCAGGGGACTGCCTAGTCCAGAGCCCCCATTTCCCCCCAGAGGGAGCCGGTTCAGAGGGAAGAATTGGTTTGCCAGCAGGACCCTGGGGACCAGGGTTCACCTCTGCTGCTTCCCAGACTGCTCTCTCTTGCTGGAGAAGCCTACTGTTCATTTCCCATTTCACAGATGACACCCAACGCATTTGGACCCTGTGTGTTTGGACCCTGTCTCTGCTACTTCCCATAACCATGACATTTTCAGACCTGTTAACTCATCTGAGCCTCTCCACACACACTTTTTTTTCCCCTTTTTTATACCTTGAAGATCTTCTTGGATACTAATAGGTCTTTTAATTAAAACATTTTTATTAGTGAAAAAACTAAGGGATGGCCTAGGGCTTGACTCAGGACCCCTGACATCAGTCCGAGGGTGCTCTCTACTCCACCACACTGCCTCCGCTGAGCTAGGAGGGACAGCAGGACCTCGAGCGCTATTGTCCTCCAGCTTGGCTAAATGTAGTACTGTGCATAGAATCAGTGTGATGAGTTATATGTGTCTCCTAAAAACTCATATATAAGGCTGGGTGCAGTGGCTCATGCTTGTAATCTTAGCACTTTGGGAGGCTGAGGTGAGAGGATTGCTTGAGCCCAGGAGTTTGAGACCAGCCTGGGCAACACAGTGAGATCCTGCCTCTACAAAAAATACAAAAATTAGCTGGGTGTGGTCGTGCAGCACCTATAGTCCCAGCTACTCAGAAGGCTGAGGTGGGAGGATCGCTTTAGCCCAGGAGGTCGAGGCTGCAGTGAGCCATGTTCCCGCCACTGCATTCCAGCCTGGGTGACGGAGTGAGATCCAGTCTCAAAAAAGTAAATAAATAAATAAAATACAAATAAAAGTTCATATGTTGAAGTTCTAACCCCCAGTATCTCAGTAACCTAGCAACACATTGCAAGTTAGAATGTGACCTTACCTGGAAATACGGTCATTGCAGATATAAGTAGTTAAGTTTAGTCAAGGTCTTACTGGATAGAGTGGGCCCCTAATCCAATATATTTTACCTGGGATCCTTATAAACGGGAAATTTGGACACAGATATAGCACACTAAGAGAATATCATGTGACAATGAAGGCAGAGATTGGGGTGATGCTACTACAAGCCAAGGAATGCCAAAGATTGAGAGCAAGCCACCAGAAGGCAGCCCCAGAAGGAACCCACACTGCCGACACCTTGATCTCAGACTTCTAGCCTCCAACACTGTGTGACAGTACGTTTCTGTTATTTAAGCCACGCTGTGTGTGGAACTGTGTTCCAGCAGCCCAGGCAAACTTATGTAACAGATATGACCTTCTTCACAGCAACGTACGTATTTAGACCTCCATGCAAGCCAACCAACCAACCCACCCGTGGCTCATCTGTGAAATGATGATGGAATTTTCTAAAGTAGAGAAAAATGAAAACTAGGAAAGGACAGTCAACCAATCGATCCAAAACCTGGGAATAGTTGTTAATGAAAAATAATTAAAGGCATCTAAAACAAATGAAAACCAAAGTTCACTAAGCTAACAGAAAAAGTCTCTGTCTCAGAAAGCAGAGAGCACATTTTATCAGTGTAAGCCTGTGCATGTGTCGGCCTATTTGCAGGAGAAATCCAAGTATATGACAGCTGGCTTGATAAGAAGGACTTGCTTCCCAAATACAGAAACCTCAGTGCCATCCTTTTCTCTCAGAATGGCTCAGCTTGGCCTAACGTCCTCTTTGACCAGGCCCCAAGAATGCAATGCTCAGACCATAAATGGCCCCCCATCACTTGATCCATTTCTATTACTTCCAAAGAAAGCACAGCTGACAGTGCTCTGGTATCGACGAAAAAACCTTCCTGAAGGCCCTCAGAAAACAGCCTAATTTGGCTTTTCCTAAGTGAAGCCAGGATGGGGAGAGGATCCATGATCTCTGTGCTGGGGCCAAGAGGGACTCCAGTGAAGGGCTTGGAGTCTTCCAGAACCAACTCACAGAGATGTCCAGAACTGCCTTAAAACTAGCATCTCTTAGAGAGGCTGCAAACACAAGCTTTTGGTGCTCAAACGGGTTTTGGGTTATATGAAGTTCCCTAGGACTCTGGACTGCAGGACTTCTTCAAAAATGTTGGTATGTGGGTATACAATGGAGTCTCCAAGAGGAATAGGTTGCAAGCAGAATTCCCCCAGTCTTTTTTATCATAAAAGCACGTCTCTGAGAAACTGCACCCGGAAATGGAATCTCACAAAACCAAGTTTGGAAAACACGCTTTTTGCCTCACCTCTGGGTCACATCAGAACCACACAAGAAGGGACACAAGGACAGGACCAGCTGGGAAACACTTCTGGGGAACATCAGACAGGTTGGGAACCCTGGGAGTGTCTCATACTTGTTACCTCTTCCAGCTGCCTTATTTTCTAGATGCTTTATAGTAAAAGCCTTAGAAAAAGAGTCATGGACAGACCCTGGAGAATGGACCAGCCAGGCCGAGGGAGCAGGGGAGAAAGAAATCCTTTATCAAAGCCAGCTTGGGGAAAAGGGGCTGGGAAAAGAGCCAGAAAGGAAAGGAGGTGGCAACTATGAGGACTGCTGAAGGAGGGATATGTGGTGGGGCACTAGGCCTCCCCTAGAGATGCCACCCTGAGGGGGGCAAATCATGAAATTTCCTAAAGAAGTCTCCTCTTACTGCACCCAGGAAAGTTAATGCACCACATACACACCCCAAGGTGCTATTGATTTCTAAAATCCTATTTCACTGGATTTAAAAAGCCCTTTCTAACGTCAAGAGTCCTGTGAATATTATGGAGTGATGAGGCACAACATGAAATAAACTGAGAAGAACCAAAAACTCTAAGGTAAACTATGAAGCTGTCAGTTTCAAGCCACACTCATCGACTTGGCTCACAAGGACGGTTGCTACGAAGCAGTATTCTCCTGTGGTGGAGGAAATGGGAGAACTGGAGGTAGGGAAGACACAGGGTGGGAGGGAGGCGAAAACAGTGTGTTCAGAGAGCCCACTGCAAACTCGGTCTTAAAATATGGCTTAGAAGAGATTGTATTTTATAGCTGCTAATAAAAGGCCTCTGTTTCCTAAGAGAAGAGGTGTCAGGGATGGAGCACAGGCCTGAGCTTCATAGGACTTGTGGTTGGAGTGTTAATTGTGACAGTAATTCCCTGGGTGACCCTTGCTAAGTTCCTTCCCTCCTCTGAAAAATGAAAGCATTGACTGACCTGGCTGGTTTTTAAACTATGCCAACAGGAGATCTCAGGCTCTGAGAAAGTGCCTCCAGGGCCCTGCAAAGGGTTAGGGATAAGTGAGGGGGACTCACTCCTGATTTTACCTGATGTATTTATTTGGGTTCCATATAAAATTTCACTTGAAGAAAGGATTCTGTGGCTCAAATAAAAAGTGGAAAATCCCTGGACTGGGTTTCTTGGTCTGCATAGTGAGAGGCTAACCGTACTCGCCCCCGTAAGGTATTGTGAGGATCATGGGGTAGCAAGCAGATGAGGCTGTAGCCTGGGGTTGACTGGTGCAGTCAACTGGCTTCACAGATATTAGCCATTATTATGAGGCTGTCGCTGCTGGAGTCTCTACCTCCTTTCCCCGAGCCATGCTGTCGTCAGGCTCCGAGGTCCCTCAGGAGAGGACCCGTGTTCTATGTGTCTTCGTGTTCCCAGTGCCTTGCCCTGTGCCTGGCCCAGTGGTGTCACCTGAGGAATGGGGAATGAGCACCTCTGGGTCCTGGTCTAGGGTACTTGGAATCCTGGGCAAATCCCTTATCTTCTCAGATGCTCTGTTTTCCCATCTTTACCACGGCAAGATTGGACCAGATCTGGAGGGACTGAAAGTCTGAGAGGGGAGGGATGGGCAGGAAGGGGGTGATGAAGCCGCTGGGGCTCCCAGCATGGCCCACCTGCAGCAGCTCCTGGTGACCCTGAGCAAGAGTTGGTGAGAGCAATAAAAGGACAGGTAAATATATTTAAAACACCTTCGCAAACTCAAGTCTTCCAAATCTGGTGTCTATTTTACACTTACAGCATATCCGGCCACCCCGCTTCTCTGTGGCAGAAGCCTTAAGCCTCCGTTAAATATGAAAAAATAGAATTTACAAGCTGTGCCAGGAAGTAGCACTCGGCAGGTTGGACAGTGAAAATGAGGGAGTCAAAGGCTGAGGCCATCCATCAGGAAAGCCTCAGAAATGAAAGCTCTGAGAAGGAGCAGCTCCTGGAGTACACAAGGCTCTTTTAAATCTTTCACGGGCAGCCGGTCCAGTCACTTCTGCTAATGGCTTCTCCAGCATTGCCCGCCAATGTGGGAACACTCCAGAGGAGGCACTTACGCGGCATCATCTTGATTTATGGACTGCACTTCCTTGAGCTCAGGAAGAGCTGAGTCACAAGTTCAAATAAATATTTTCCAGTTATACTGACTTGTTATTTCAGCCACAGTGAACATCTTGAGGATGGGAAGGCAAGGTTGACTTAGAAAGTCCATCCTTTATGCCCCAGATATTTGTGGATTTGTCCCTGTCTTCCGGAAGACACTTTGGCCAAAGGGATTTTATGTCAGGTTCCCTCTACACTAAATTCTGTATCCCAAGACAATGCCATCTACCTCCCTCTCTGGAATCTCTCTTCCCTCGGCTGCAGGGATGCAAGAGCACCTGCAATGTCCCCTGTCCCTCCTGAGAGAGCTGTCTCCCCGCTACTCCCCTGCACCCTTTAAGGGGCACCTCTCAGGGCAGCCATGCTTCATATCACGGGTCACCCCTCCACTCTCAGATGACTGGGCAGAGGGGTGCCTGGCTCAAGGGTAGCCAATTGATTGGAAGGCCAGTGACAAGGTCCCAAGGTGGCCCAAGACAAAGAAAAAACCAAAAAGAGGAGTTGGGTAAAAGAGGAGTTCTTAGCTCATTCATTTCTTAGCATTTGTATTTGTTTCCTGGGGATGCCCCCGTCAAAGCCCCACAAACCAAGTGACAGAAACAACAGAAGTGTGTTGGCTCTCAGTTCTGGAGGCAGAAGTCAGAAATCAAGGGTCAGCAGGGCTGGCTCGCTCTGAGGACGAATCTGTTCCCAGCTGCTCTGTTGGCCTCAGGTGTTCCTTGGCCGGCAGAGGCTCCTTTCCCTGTTTTTTTCTTCGCAGTGTCTACCCTCTGCACATGTCTGGATCCAAATTTCCCCTTTTTCTGAGGACAGCAGTCATATTGCATTAGGGCTTCCCTAAGGACCTTATCACATTCACAGGTCACATTCACAGGTGCAGCTTTTTTGGGGACACAATCCAACCCATAATAACATGGAACTGGGACAGGAGGAGAAGATGGGGCAGGTGTTGGGGCAGCTGTGGTGAAGAGAAGCTGGGGGGCCCATCGCGGACGTGTGGAAGCTGAGGCGATGGGGGATGAGAATGGGCAAGGGAGTGGAGTCCTGAGGGACAGCTTGTGCTGCCCATGAGAGACAGAGCACACAAGACCCAACAATGCCCAGGCCCCCCTCCCTCAAGCCTGGATGGTACGGCTCAGCCTGTTTCCCACGAGCCCCCTGTCCTCCCATGAGCCTGTCCAGGCCCACCCATCTGGCCACGCCCACTCGCTGTCCTAAGGGACCTTAATGAGCTCCCACTCCTTGCAGCGAAGCTCTCCTGGTTTCCCTGCTTCCTTTCTGAATCCTCCCAGGTCTCCTTGATGACGCATTATTCTTGGCCCACCTGTTTCTCTGGGCTCTGCCCTCTTCTCACGTTCTCCCTGGCTGGTTCTCATCTTCTCCCGTGTGGGGCCTGCTACCTGTGATAAGCTGAGGACACTCAGATGGTGTCTATCCAGCCCAGGCCCCTTCCTGAGCCCCTGCTCCCTTCTGGGTACCTCCCCCTGGAGTCCTCAGGCCCCACATGCCCAACCCAGCATGCGTGTCCGGCTTTGGCACCACCACCCTCCCCTGGCCTGGTTTGCAGCTCCTCTTCTGCCTGTCAGTCACCCAGGCCAGACCCTTGGGGTCAGCATAGACTTCCCAGCCCACTCTCCAGCTCAGGGCCAGCCTGAGCCTGACAAAGCTCTTTCTCTTATTTTAAACTTTTTTTTTTTTCCCCCATCACCCACGCTGGAGTGTAGTGATATAATCATAGCTCATTGCAGCCTCCAGCTCCCAGGCTCAAGCAATCCTCCCTCCTCAGCCTCTCGAGTAGCTGGGACTACAGGGGTGCATCACCATGCCCAGCTCATTTAAAAAAATTTTTTTGTAGAGATGAGGTCTTGCTATGTTGCCCAGGCTGGCCTTGAACCCCTGGCCTCAAGCAATCCTCCCGCTTCAGCCTCCCAAAGTGCTGGGATTATACGTGTGAGCCACCATGTCTGGCCTCTCCTCCCCACCCCCACAGGCCCACTATCTTTTTGTTGTTATAGTTGCTTTTCAAATTGTGGTAAAATACACAAAACATAAAATTTGCCATTTTAACCATTTTTAGTTGCACAGTTCTGCGGCATTAAGTACATTCCTGTTGTTGTGCAACCGTCACTACTATCCCTCTCCAGAACTTTTTCATTTTCTCAGACTAAAAACTCTGTCCCTATTAAACACTAACTCCCCTTTCTCTCCTCCCCCAGCCCCTGGCAACCACATTCTCCTTTCTGTCTATGCGAATTGGACTACTCCGGGGGCCACCGATGACTGGAGTCATGCTGTGTTGTCTCTTTGTGACTGGAATCCTGTCTCTTTAACATCCTTGGATCTGTCCCTCCTCTCCCTTCTCACGGCACTGCCTCTTATGATCTCAGTGAGTACAGTGGTCTCCAAACTAGTCCCCTGCCTCAGTTCTCCCTCCTTCCTATCCTCACTCAACTCAGCCTCCAAATGATCTTGGTGAAAATCAGTCCTCATGCTACTCCCAAGCTGAAAACTCCAACTGCTTCCCAAGCTCCAACTCCTAAGCTCCAACTGCTTCCCAAGCTCCAACTGCTTCCCATGGATGGATAGAGAGCATGTCTTTAAAGCGCACCTCACCACACAGGCTCCCGGCACCCCTGGTTGGGATAATGCCCCCCTCTGCTCCCACACCTCTGTAGGAAGCTCTAAAGAAGCAGCGCTGCCCCTGCCTAGCGGAGGAGACTGGGACTCCCCACATCTCTCTGTGTTCCCAGATTGAGCCGGGCAAGATCACATCTGACATCTGCACATCTCAGCGCCCAGCCCCTGCCTGGCTCAGAGTGAAGGTGAAGTTACTGCAGATTGAACTGAATTGTCAGTCAGGGATACAGACCCCTGGGCGAGGGTGGAAAACTGAATCCTATCTCAGGCCAGTGACCGGCAGGGGAAGAAAGTCAACCAGCAATCGATTGGGTGGGCAGGGGTAGGGTAAGGTGTGGAAGGAGTAGACAAAAAGTAATGGAAGTTTGAGGGGGCTTAGCTTCCTTAGTTTTTAAGGCTGAGATCAGGGTCATAAAAGGTGGTGCAATAATTATGCCAATAACCACTCCTCCGATGTGCAGAGACCTTTGCAGCGCATAAAAATATAACTACTTTTATGCTTGCAGTTTCATGTCCCCGGGGGCGTGTTGTCACCTGTGATGGGTTCCAGATAGAAGAGAGCCGAGGAGAAACAGGGAGAGGGAGAGAGCTGAACTGAGAGGGCTGAGCTCTCTCAGTCACCAATGTCTTGATTCCAAACCATCCTGCTTCCCCTAAGGATCCCCTGTGTAAAATAGCTGAGGCTTCTCACTCTGCCTTGCTGAAAGATGCACCCAGGCAGGACTGGCTACGTAATTTGCTGGGTTCAGTGCAAAGTAAAACAGTGGGACCCTTTGCTCAAAAGGCAAGACAAAAGTGCCATTAAAGGTACCAAAATAGGCTGAGCGTGGTGGCTCATGCCTGTAATCCCAGCATTTTGGGAGGCTGAGGTGGATGGATTGCTTGAGCTCAGGAGTTCGAGAACAGCCTGGGCAACATGGCAAAACCCTGTCTCTACAAAAGATAGAAAAATTAGCTAGGCATGGTGGTGTGTGCCTGTAGTCCCAGCTACTTGGGAGGCTGAGGTGGGAGGATTGCTTGAGCCTGGGAGGCAGGAGTTGCAGTGAGCCAAGATCATGCCATTGCACTCCAGCCTGGATAACAGATTGAGACCCTGTCTCAAAACAAAAACAAAACAAAGTATCAAAATATAAAGCTCTTCGTTTCTCCCATGGTCTCTCTCTTGATCTGGCATGGTGGTTTGTTTTTTTTTTTTTCATTTTTGTTTTAGTTTACAAACTTTTGGTAGAGACAGGGTCTCACTATGTTGACCAGGCTGGTTTCAAACTCCTGGACTCAGTCAATCCTCTTGCCTCAGCCTCCCAAAGTGCTGGGATTACAGGTGTGAACCACCATGCCCAGACTGTCATGGTGTTTTTTATTTATTATTAATACCGTGATCCACATAGGTGTCCGTGTACTGCACAAGAAGCCCACTGGCTGCCAATTTCTTTCTCTTATCACACCCAGGACCGACACATCCTGCCCTAGGGCAGGGCCAGGAAGTCATGCCAGGCATTTCCCCTTCCCACGGTTCACTGGCCCAACACAATCTTCTTGTCTGCCCCGATCCAGGTAGTGAGTGGCCTGGTCCTGGCCGCTGCCGCAACACAATCCTTTCGTCCACTTCTAATTCAGATTACCTAATGTCCTGGCACAGCGACTGCAATATCATGGGCAATTCCCAACGGTATTACAACCCCTGTGCCAGGACATTAGGTACCTGTAAGAGCAGTGGATGAAAGGCTTGCCCTGCAGAGTTTCCAGCTGAATACACCAGGCGGCCTCACTGGCAGCCCAGCAGGAGTGGGAAGTGGGAGGCTGAATGGAACCAGAGGGTGCCAGGGGCGAGGGAGCTCTAGTCCAAGAACCCATCCCCAGGAAGCAGTGAGGCAACAAGAGGTGGGACCTCATGCAAGCTGAGGTTCTGAGCCCTGGCACATACTTCATTGAAACTTCACTTAAAAATATAAATTCAAAGATAAAATTATTAAGAATTTCGGCCAGGTGCGGTGGTTCACGCCTGTAATCCCAACACTTTAGGAGGCCAAGGCGGACGGATCACTTGAGGTCAAGAGTTCAAGACTAGCCTGGCCAACATGGTGAAACCCTGTCATTACTAAAAATACAAAAAAAAAAAAAAGAAAAAGAAAAAAAAGAAAACACAACCCCCCCCCCAAAAAAAAAACATTAGCCAGGTGTGGTGGCGGGCACCTGTAATCCAAGCTACTCGGGAGGCTGAGGCAGGAGAATCACTTGAACCTGGGAGACAGAGGTTGCTGTGAGCCAAGATCGTGCTGCTGTGCTCCAGCCTGGACAACAGAGTGAGACTCTATCTCAAAAAAAAAAAAATTTAAGACAGTGACTGCAGAACATTCCACCAAGCACAGTGTCCCTCTGAAAGCAGGGCTCTGTGCACCTGCACAGGTGTACAACCTGTTTCCAGCCTTAGCCCCAGGGCACACGCTCTGAAGGCCCCAGGGCCAGACTCAGCCTTGGCTTACATGTGAATGTCCTTTTCCTCCCTAGTGTCTTCCAATCCATTGAAATTTCTAGTCCCGGGGTCTCGAGGACACTAGGGCCACTGTGCAATGGCAGAAGGAGCATTGCCATAGAAGTCAGGGGGCCTGGTTACAAGTCCTGACTTTAGTTGAGGACCTGCCATATGACCTTGAGCAAACTGCTGTACTTCTCTGGATCTCAGTTTCTACAACCTAATTCACTGGGTGAGTATTTACTGGGTACCCACTATGGGGAGGGCATGCTGGGTCTTTTTGGGAGAGACAGAAATTAATAAGAAGTCCTAGCTCTCAGGCGCTTATAATTAACATGGGGAGATAAGACTCACACAGAGATCCTGGGATAATGTCACACCCGTCCTCTCTTCATCCACCACCCCTGGAGCAGAACAGATGCCCTGGGCCCTTAGTTTCCTTTACAGGTGAGGCCCCATCTTGGGTCAGCCTGGTTAAAGATGAGAGCTTGAACTAGGGGTCATGCAAACCTGGGCTGAAATCCCTACCCCTGGCTCTAGCTGACTGGGCAGCCTCAGGCATACCACTTTGTGCCTCTGAGATTCGGGGTTTCTTCTGCAAAGTGAGAGCAGGACACGGACTGAATGTTCTCCCAAGGGGTACTGTAAAGGGGACATGAGAGAAGGGATGATACAGCTCGATAACCGGTTTCCTTCACCTTCCTTCAGGCCCAGCCTGCAGCCTGCAAGCACCGGATGAGTGGACGTGGCTGAGCAGCCATGAGAAAGATGTGGGGCTCTCCGGTGACTGTAGACCCAGCATAAATCAACAGTTCAAGGTGCTCATCCCCAAAGCCATGGTGAGACCTTAGCTGCTGTAATAAAAGTGTAGTGCCAAAGTAAGGGCAATGACAGTCTTGCTTGGTTTTATGCTGGAGCTCAACTCTGGGCCACACTCTTTTGTGGGGGGTGGGTGGTAATTATCTTTTTTAAACAAGACACTGGCTATATACAGTCAAGTGTGCAAGGCTTAAGTATACAACTCATGTAATTTTCCCACATTTATATACCTATGTAGACATTCAAATGAAGATACTAAACATTTCCAGCCCCCAAGAAAACTTCCTTAAATTCCCTCCTGGTCAATCTCCCTCAAAAGTAACTATTTATAATATATATAAAATAATATATTTATAGTACTATTCTGACCTTTAAGACTGTAGATTAGTTTTGGCTTTTTGAACATTGTATGGAAACATATAGTGGATGTGTTTTTTGGGGTTTTTTTTTTTTGCATCTGGTTTCTTTCATTCAACATTGTATCTGTGAGATTCACCTGTGCTACTGTGTGTAGTAACAGTTTGTTCTTTCTCATTGATGTGTAGTATTCCATTATCTGAAATATACCATAATTTATTTATTTACTCTACTTTTAATGGTCATTTAGGTTATTTCCAGTATTTGGTAATTATAAACAGTGCTATGAATATGTCTTTTGGTAGAAATAAGCACTTCCTTCTTTTGGGTGTGTACCCAGGAGTGGAATTGCTAGGTCATAGAGTGGGCATATGTTTAGTTTCAGTAGATATTGTCAGTTTTCCAAAGTAATTTTACAATTTTACATTTCTACCAACAATGTATGATAGTTCCAGCTGCTCCACAACCTTGTCAACACTTGGTACTGTCAGCACCTTCCTGTTAGCCATTCTGGTGGGCAGGTAGTGGGAACTCATTGTGCATTTCCCTGACGACTAATGATGCTGAGCACATTTTATATGCCTTCTGGACATGGGGATGACCTCTGCTGTGAATTAGGCCTTCTCTTTTGAGTGGTGCTGAGTCCAGAGAAGGTAAACAAGGTGTCATATGAAGAACAGTTGAAGGACCAGGAGGAACATGGTCACACTCTCCAAACCTCTACTGGGCTCACCTGGGGAAGAGGGAACAGAAGAGGTCTGTGGCTCCCCAGAGGGCAGAAGACATAGATTTATTGAAATTACCAGGAAGTAGATTTCTGATCAGCACAAGGAACTTTCTAACAATAAAAACTGCCTGAGGGCCAGCTGGGCACAGTGACTCACACCGGTAATCCCAGCACTTTGGGAGGCAGAGGCAGGCGGATCGCTTGAGGCCAGGAGTTTGAAACCAGCCTGGGCAACACGGTGAGACCTTGTCTCTACAAACAATTTAAAAATTAGCTAGGTGTGATGGCGCACTCCTGTAGTCCCAGCTACTCAGGAGGCTGAAGTGGGAGGATTGCTTTAGCCCAGGAGGAAGAAGCTGCAGTGAGTCCTGTTTGCACCACTGTACTCCAGCCTGGGTGACAGAATGAGACACAAAAAACAAACAAACAAACAAGCAAACAAACAAAAACTGCCCAGGGGTACACTGGGCTAAGCCGGGAAGTAGTGAGCACCTGTCTCTATAGGCTGTGAGCAGCGATGGCAGAGCCCTAGATGAGGTCTTCCAGAGAGGGTTGATGTCTTGATTGATGGTGGTTATTGGGGAGTTGACAATACAGGATTTAAGGCCCTTTAAGGCCTAGTTCTATTATGACAGATGTGCGTGGAGCCCCTGAATGGAGGAGGATGGGGACTTAGAGACCAGCTATTGTTAACAGACTTGTTTTCTGGCTCATTTGCAGTTATTTTCACTGGCTGATTTCATTCTCTTAGTCATATGGGAAAGTACCTTCTAAAAAAACAAACACACTAAACATAGTGTTTGACTCCATCACTTTCTGCAGTTGCTATGAGCTTCATCCCAGAACACAATGAGCCATGCTCGATGCTCTAAACGTCAAAGTTGTCAAGTGGTTTAAATTGGAAAAGCCTGTGTGTGTGTGTGTGTGTGTGTGTGTCTGTGTGTGTGTGTGCGCGCGCGGGTGCATGTTTTCATTTTGCATCTCTTGGGGTCATCATGGTGTCTGAGTCACCACAGCAATCATCTGTAAGCAACAGGGTTCCAGGAAAAGAGTCTGAAGACATCTCCCTGTCTCAGCTGGCCTGCCCACCTGCCCTCAAACCATGCTGCACTCCACTCCTCCTATGTCTCTGCAACTTTTCTGGTTCAGGCCACACTTAGCTCTCCCCACGCTCTGCCCCTTCCATTTCATTTCCCTCCACACCAGCAGAAGAGAGTTCTAGGAAGCTAACGATTGTAGTACAAACAAGAGAGGCCATCAGAGTTCTTTGGGAGTTATTGCATTATCTTCAGGCACCCCTACTCCCACAAGACTAAAAGCTACCTGAGGACAAACATCTCTGTCTCCCATGGTCCTTCACAAAGCCCTGCACCTGTCCAGTGCTGAAGACATATTCGTTGAATGAATGAATGAATGAATAAATGCCTAGCATTATTATTAGCTTTGATAGCCGTAAGTCAAAAGCACTTGTAGAATAAAAGCTAACCTGTAGACCGGGTGTGGTGGCTCAGGCCTGTAATCCCAGCACTTTGGGAGGCTGACGTGGGTGGATCCCCTGAGGTCAGGAGTTCGAGACCAGCCTGGCCAACATGGTGAAACCCCATCTCTACTAAAAATACAAAAATTAGCCAGGCGTGGTGGTGGGCACCTGTAATTCCAGCTACTCGGGAGGATGAGGCAAAAGAATCGCTTGAACCTGGGCAGTGGAGGTTGCAGTGAGCCGAGACTGTGTCACTGTACTCTTGCCTGGGCAACAGAGTGAGACTCAGTGTCAAAAAAAAAAAGCTAACTTGTAGGAAAGCTTGTGGAATTCATTCCTATCCTCATTCTCCATTTTACAAACATGAACTTCATCACATAGCCTCATAGCAGGTGTTAATGTAAGATAGAGCTTTATGAAACATGTTTTTGTATTTTCCAAAAAACCAATATGAAAATTAATACGAACAATACCAAAAAGCAAACGGCAAGCTGGGGGAAAATATATTTGCTTCATATTAAACAAAAGGCTGATTTGTTTAATAGACAAAGAGTTCCTCCAATAAAAAAACAGAACAGGCCAGAAAATGTGGAAAGAGGAGAGGAATAGACAGTTCACACAAAAGGAAATACTAATGGCTAATACACATATAAATAATAACAAAACTCACTTATAATTATAAAAAAGCAAATTGTGGAAGGAGATATCAGTTCTATCAGATTGACAGAGATTTAAAAGTCTGAGAATTCCCAGTGTTGACAAGATGTGGGGAGACCAGTGTCCTCACACAGAAGAGAAGTTACATTGGTATACCCTTTTTCAGTTCAAGACCAGCCTGGGCAACATGGTGAAACCCCGTCTCGCCTAAAAATACAAAAAATTAGCTGGGCATGGTGGCATGCACCTGTGGTCCCAGCTTCTGGGGTTTGGGGGAGGACCACTTGAGCCCAGAAGGTGGAGGTTGCAGTGAGCCACTGCACTCCAGCCTGGGTGAAAGAGTGAGACCTTGTCTAAAAAAAAAACAAAAAACAAAAAAAAAAACCTCTATTAGCGAAGAAAAACCCAAAACCCCCAAAACGGCATAAAAATTCAATAAGACATTGAGTAAATAAATTAGAGACATACAACAGACTACTATTAACACCATCCTTGAGGCTACTGTTGGCCACTTGTCACTGTACCTTATAATAGAAGCTTTGTTTTGTTCTTACTGCATACCAGGCACAATGCTAAGCTCTTTACATGGATTATTTCTTGCAGTCTTAATAATTGTGAAGCAGATACTTTTATTATCCCCATTTTACAGATGAAGAAGTGCAGACTATGTTAGATTTATAGGGCTGCCATAATAAATGACCACAAACTGGATGGCTTAAAACAACAGAGATTTACTCTGTCTCAGTTCAGAGGACCAGAAGTCCAAAATCGAGGTGTCAGCAGGGTTGATTCCATCTGGAGGCTTTGACGGGGAATCTGTTCCATGCCTCATTCCTACCTTCTGGTGTCTGCTGGCCATCCCTGACAGTCCTTGGTTTGCAGCCACATCACTCCAATCTCTGACTCTATCATCATCTGTTCTTACTAGTTATGCTGCCTATATAGGTTTATTTTAAGCCATCTCAAGCCTTTTTAAGGGCGTGTGTCCACTCTTCTTCTTAAGACACCAGTCATAGGGTAGTTAGGACGTACCCTAATCCAGTGTGACCTCATTTTAACTTCATTAATTACATTTGTAAAGACCATATTTCCAGAGAAAGGTCACATTCTGGGGTGCTAGGTGGGCATGACTTTTGGGGGGGACCCTGTTTAACCCAGTAAGTACACTGACCAAGGTCACAAAGCTAATAAGTGGTAGAGCCAGGATTTACATCCAGGCAGGCCATCAGTACTCATTACCAGTACTCCATGCTGCCACCTTCCCATAATATAACAGCTCACGCTTACATAATATCCCAGGCACGTCTTAAGCATTTTACATATAAGAACTAATTTCATCCCCACAACAACCCCAGTTTATAGATGGGGACACCAGGCACAGAAATGTTAAAAGTTGGCTGGGTACGGTGGCTCGCACCTGTAATTCCAGCACTGTGGGAGGCCGAGGTGGGTGGATCACCTGAGGTCAGGAGTTCGAGACCAGCCTGACCAACATGGCGAAACCCCATCTCTACTAAAAAATACAAAAATTTGCCAGGTGTGGTGGTGTGCACCTGTAGTCCCAGCTACTCGGGAGGCTGAGATAGGAGAATTGCTTGAACCTGGGAGGCGGAGGTTGCAGTGAGCTGAGATCGCCCCACTGCCCTCCAGCCTGGGTGACAGAGCGAGACTCTGTCTCAAAAAAAAAAGAAAGAAAGAAATGTTAAAAGTTACCTGAGATTACAGAGCCAGTAACTAGTAGACCTTGGATTTGAATCCAGCAAGGTGGTCTCCAGAGTCTGTGTGTGTGTGTGTGTGTGTGTGTGTGTGTGTGTGTGTGTGTGTGTGAATCAGGAAGATAGATTGTGTTTCATTATGTGTCAATTGCTATTTAAGGCCCCCCAAAGGACTAATGAAGGATTTGAGTCTGCCCTTCATTGCTCCTAGGTTCCCTGGCCTTGTGCAGACTGATCCGGAGTCCGCCTTAACTACTATGCCCTCTGTCTAGTGGCCTGTCTTGACAATATACTGAGGATTGGGGTTAAGAAAATAGTTCCCTCTCCTGAAAGACTGATTGATGTTCTTCCTTCTACTATCAGACACCAAGAGTCCTCCCATTCATCTTGTCCCCCCCTTTCCCCTTGGCTGCCATGAGTCATCTCAGAGCCAATTTGAGTGTCCAAATACAGTTGTCATCTTCAGCCAGGGCACTGGCATAATTTTCTCTCTTTATTCTCTGTATCGGGTGCTCTTAACCCGGACTTTTGAATAGGCTTCAGGGGAATCACACACCCACTGAAATGATATGCAAATTGTTGTGTATATGAATATATTCATTTTTGTGGAGCAAGAATTCATAAGCTCTAATCAGATTCTCCAGGAGTTTCGTGATCTTAATCTTCAGGGTTTCTGCCTGTCTTTCTAGAATTTCTGTTCTTACTAGTTGCATTGGTCATGTAGTTTATTTTTTAAGCCATCTCAAGCCTTTTTAATGCTGTAAGTGGAATACAATGTAAAACCATAATAAGCAAATGCGTGCAATGTTGCTATCCATTCTGAATTTTTAAATCTCTCTTGGTTTGCATGGAGGAAGTCTGTCCTCACGTCTCCCTCTCTCTTACCTTCACTTTGCACACTTCTGAGTGGTTTTGATGTCTCAGGGTCTCAGGTGTCTCAGGTTCCCATCCCAGCACTGCCCAGGCACCCATCTTGTGCTCATAGATCCAAACTTGCAAGAAGTTTGCTGACCAGAAAGAGCCCTTGATTTTGATCCAAGGCACAAATGAATTCATTTGTAGATTTAAAAATCCACTATCTTAATGCAATGGCCAGGAGGAAGCTTTGTGGTAACTAGCACTCACCTTGGTGTTCAAAATGTGGTGGTTTGTAGATACTAGTCAACACCACCTGACTAGATGTTTATTAGAGCTTATTAGGAATTATTAAGTTTATTTTCTAATCAACTTATTAGAGCTTATTAGAAGCAAGGAGCTTTTTAGAAACTCAGACTCTCAAGCCCCATCTCATACCTACTGAACCAGAATCTGCATTTCTGAAAAGATCCCAAGTAATTTCAATGCACATTAAAGTTAGAGAAGCACGGATATAAAACAAGAAGACTCATTTCTCAAGTTTGTCAAACCCTGGAGAGCACTTCAGTTTTCTGGAATTGGATGACCTGGGACAATTCCTACTAGGGTTCACTGTCCCATTACAAAAGGTAGGTAACAATACTTGCTGTTCCTCCCTCATGGGGTTACTGTGAATTTCAAATGAGCTCTTGGATTCACACTAGCTACGTATCATGATGGGGCTGATAGGAGCTGGAGAGCTGGCAGTGGGGAGCAGAATAGGTGTGGTCTCTGCCCTCATAGAGCTGATGATTTGGTCGGGTAGGAGAACATGCTGTAAATGCTGGTTGGTGTTGTGTGACTGTCCTGGTTATCACAGAGCCTTCATTCATTTATTTCATGCATTCATTCATTCATTCGGTGGTCAGCCATTTATTAAAACCTGAAGTGCCTGTACTATGTCACACATTAAGCTCTGAGCTGCACATGGGGAAGCAGAAATAAATGAGTCAGAAACCTCGTCCTCAGGGAGCTTTTAGTCTAGCCAGAGACAGAGATACATCATTGGGTGGTTCCATTTAGAACACACTCTGGCTGGTGCTCTGAGTTGGCACAGGGGGCTGTGGGGGTACAGGTAAATCAATGAAGAACTTTGCTTTTAAGGGTGATTACAAGTTCACAGACTGAGAAGAGGGAGAACAGCACTGAAGGCCGAAAGAACAGCAGGGGAAAGGCAGGGAGGCATGAAGGCACAGCATGCTTTTGCCATGGCCAGAAGGTAAAGAGAATTTGGAGGAGTGCCTAGAGATGATTTTGGAGAAGTAGCTTGAGGCCCGGTCTTAGAGGCTAATGAATCTGGTCTTTATCCCTTAGGAAATGGGGAGTCCCTGAAGGGAGACAATTGACGCAGGTGAAGATCTTTTAAGAGCAGCATGGAAGAAGGAATGACTTGAGGCAGAAATACCTTTAAGAGGCTCTGAGAGCAGCTTAGGGGAGAGAGGAAGTCCTTACTGGGGTACTGGATGTGGCGATAGAAATGGATGTAAGAGAAATTAAGGAAGGTAGCATTGACAGGACTTGGTGGGCAAATGAATGGGGTGGTGAAGAGAAAGGAATCAGGAGGCAGAGATGTCTATAGATGAGGAGCACAGTCCAGCTTGATGCAAGAATTAGGGAGTTGGGAGGTGACTGGAGTCGTGGGAGTGAATGAGACTGTGAGAGTGTGCGGTGGAAAGAGAATAGGGGTAGGAGTGGCACCAAGGCACCAACAGCAAAGCGATGGGCAGCAGCGATGAGTCTATGAAGGAGGCTGAAGGATGCCCAGAGGCAGTTCTGCTTTCCTTCATTCCTTTGGGCATGGAGAGCAACAACGCAGTGGTCACAACTCATCACCCTCCAGAATCATCGCTAGAAACGGCCCTGGGGTCACCACCCTTGAAGCCCCAGAGTGAGTGGGGCCTGAGGCTGGGGCCCCTGAGAACATGAACTGAGACAGGGATGGACATGCGTGGACGGACGCAAGCCCTTGTCTCCCTCTCCCTCCCTCTTTCCTCCTCACAGATGGTAATGTCCAACCCTTTCACAAATCATTTTTTTCTCTGAAAGAAAACCAAAAGGACATAAGAGAAGGAGAAACAAAAGGCATGCTTGAGTTTGTTTAGTTTTTCAGATCAGACAAAAACCCAGCAACACCTAACACGAAAGAAAACCTCCCAGACCGTGTCCTAAGTTGACTCCAATGAGCTCATTCTCTCATTAAGAGCAAAGAGAATTAGGTTCTATCATGATTAGCCAAAGGAAGATTTTACAAAACAAAACAAAAGAGAGGAAATGGCCCGGAATTGTGCTATCTGGTTCATGCTTTTCCATAGAAACAGGCCTGTGGTTTTAAACTGATAATGGCTCCTAGCAGCCCAATAATTGATTTATCTGGTGTTCTGGCTTTAAGGGAAAAGTAAACTGGCCTCTTTAGAAATGTTGGCAGCCTGGCTGGTCCATTAGTAAGACTGAAAAGTCAAAACATTGACTGGAAAAGGCCATTACGACCGGGCTCAGCAGGAGTCATCGATAGATGATGTCATTTCAGAAATAAATAAGCCAAGGTTATGAGGCCCCAGAGCAGGGTCAAAACACTCTTCACAGCCCATCACCATCCTCCATCGCAGATACTGGTCTGCCAGAGACATAGGGGTCTGAGCCAGGATCTGCTTCGTTTTACCTTTTTTTGCTCATTCCAGGGGATGAAGGCCACCTGCAGAGTCTGTGACATTCTGCAAGTCACTAAGGAAGGTCCCCAATCCTCATTATGGGCACACCTTTTAGATTCCCCTTTAACTCTCTCCCCTCTCCTGGGTTCTTCTCACTACTTGCCATACTCTTTATCCTAGAATGCCTGCCTCCCTTCTGTTCCTTGTCCTCAGTTCCTGCTACCTTCCCTCTCCCTTCCTTTCTCATCCAAGCTTTTAGAAAGAGTTGCTGGCTCTGTTGAGAGCCTTCTTCAGCCTACAGCCTGAAGAAGTGGAGAACTTCTTCAGCTCCTGTTAGCTCCTGCCTTTCCCCCTCACCACAACGAATACTATCATTGCAATATCAGGCTCTGGGCTGAGGGCTTGCCCTGAATCATCTCACTTAATTCTCACAAGCAGCCCCTATGAAATGGGGCTATTGTTGTCTCCATTGTATGAGGAGAAAACGAGGCTCAGACAGGCTGGGTCACTGGCAGATCTCATTTTTTGAGCCTGCTGCAATACCCTGGTCTAAGTCACTCATGATCCCTGCCAATCCTGATGGTCTTTTCCCAGTCCTCATCCCCCTACTCCTGTCTCTCCACAGCAAGTGACACTGCCCACCTCTGTCCTCCCTTGGCACCTGGGAAAGCCACTGTCTCTCACTCCTTCCCCAGCTCCTCCTTACAGGATGGGTCATGCTAGAAAGGCTTCCAAGGAAGACTCTAAGCCCTCTCCACTCCAGGTCCACTAGAGACCACCTTGTCTGCCCCCTCATTGCTCAAGGTTCCTCTGAGTGGGTGGCAGAGTTGGGGCTGGAGCCAGATATCCTAACCTCCAGGCCAGTCCACCTCCCATTGCTCAGAGCTGCCACACCTACTTTGTGTTTTCTGTTTTTGCTGAGCTGCAAGAAAACGCCCTACCCTGAAGGAGGGAGAAGGTGTGAGACCCTGATAAGGTGGGGCGGAGGCTATTTTTAGAGGACACTGGCTTTCATCTTAGGCTGGGAGAAACTCAAGGGTCAATGACTCTCTAAAACACGGGTTTGTAAGACTAGCTCATTAAAGATAATACACCAAAGTGACAGTATTCTTGTTTTCACTCTGCCTGTTGGTTGTGTGGCTCTAACTGATGGAAACTTTATTATCTGACTCCATTTCCCGTTAATTCTTTTTTCTGTAAGTCTTTGAGATGGCTTTAGAAAAAAACACATAACAGAAAGTAAAGTAGAAGCAAAAAGGAAACTTCAGGATGAGGGCGCTATTGTCCAGACAAGGTAAAGTCCAGAACAGCAGCAGATTCAAGAAGAGGGGGCATTGATCGGGTGCTCCCAGAGCTCCCGGACCTGCCTGAGCAGTGGGAAGGGTGCGGAAAGAGATGGGAAAGGCTGGGAGACTGCAGAACTTCTGGCGTGACCGGCCCTGTGTGACCTTGAGCAGGGGGCTCTGCGGCCCTGCACAGAGGACAAAATGGCAGTCACCTCTGGAAGAAAGATGGGGTGGGGGCCCTAGGGGTTCTCACGCTGAGGGCCCAGCACCTGGGTTCAGGGTCTGGTTCTGCGATTCAGACACGGAGGAGCTTGGGCCAGGTCGTCTCCGAGAGTCTGAGGGCATAGGGCGAGGGCTGGAGACAGGGTCTGTAATAGTAGCGGTGGGTGAAGGGTGTAGGAGGGGGCGGCGCTGCGCAGGTTGGAGGACGCATCATAGGCCCGATATAGACCGGGAAACTGTGGCCAGGGAGCGGCTGTACTGGAACCACTGCCCCTGCCCAGCTCATCGCATCTGAAGCTGCGTGGCTCACAGGCTGCTTTGCCGGCTACGGAGCAGAGAGATGCCCATAGGCACCCCAAAAGTGCACTTCCTAGGGTTGTACGGCTTAGGATATCCGACGGCCTTAGTGAGTCCCAGGATACGATCGAGTCTGGGGCAGTCAGTCTCCGATTTCTGCAGCGTCTCCGCATGTGCGCGGCTGGGACCCCAGCGTCCCAGGCCCGGAGAGGGTGAACAGGTGTGGGGAGCGCAGGCGGCCAAGAGCGCGCCCTGCAGCTCTCAGGGCTTGGGCTCCCAGCTCCATCGCGGCTACCAAACCTCGCCCCTACAAATGGGAGACTGAGATCCAGAAACAAGAGGGGGATTGCCAAGGCCATGCCGAGAGCCGGCGACAACCTGGGGCTCCCGCCTCCAAGCTCTTTCCAGCTCCACTTGGCCGCGTAGCGCGTGTCGTGGTGCTTTAAACCTTGTCTCTCCCAGTTTGGGAAACTTCACCTGCCCCAAACACTCTCAGCGCGAACCTGGGATCCACGTCCAGTCGAGCCTTTACTCCCCCACTCCCACCCCCAGACTCTTGCAGGCGGAGAAGAGGCCGCGCCCCCGAGCCCAGCTCCGGCTGGCACCTGTACCCAGCTGAGCACCCCGCGGGCTCAGAGCCCCGCCGCGCTGGAGTCCTGCGGGTGGCGGGGGCGCCCCTCCGCCAGGACCCCAGCCCGGGGCGCCGTCTCCTCCAGAACCCCGGGTCCTTCTCGCGTTCACAGACGCGGTGCGGAGGTCCAGAGCGGAGGGCGCCCTGGCCAGGGCTGCGCGCGCGGGGAGGCGGGGACGGGAGCGCTGGGCTCGGAACCCCGAGACCCGGGCTCCCTAGCCCCAGAGGCAACCCGAGGCGGCAGCTATTTATAGAGGGAGCCACGCTCAGTCCCTCTTGGCGGCGGCGGCGACAGCTGAATATTTTGCCCAGATATGGCTGAGGCCCCGGAGCGGGGGCAGGGAGCCCCGCGAGCGCGAGGGGGACCCCAGGCGGGGTGGGGGCTTACCCGGACGCAGAGCTGTGGGGCCGGCGCGGACGCGGGCTGCGGAACAGGCGCGGGCGGCGGGCAGATGGACGCGGGCGGAGGCCGCGGTGCTCCGGCGGGCAGCGGGCGGGCGAGCGCAGCGCGGGGCTGGACGAGCTCCCGGGCGGCCGCGGGCGGGCGGGAGCTGTGGGCTCGGGGGTGGGAGCCAGGGGCGGGCCCGGCTCGGCTGTCACCGCGCCCCGCCCCGCCCGCCGCCGGCTCCCTCCTTCCCCCCCCCTCCACTCGGGGGCGCCCGGGCGCAGCGCACTTCCCCGTCGGGACGCGGCCCTGGGCCGGGAGCGCAGGGGAGTCGGGCTGCAGCCGAGCGAGCGCGGGCCCCTGCCTGGGTCTCCTCCGCTTCCCCGCTGGTACCAGGAAGAGTTTGAGCGACGGTAGAGTTATGTGGGAAAAGGTGGGCAGATTTGCATTCCTGTGGGGTTTAGAATTTAAGATTTTGAGAATCTGAAGTCCCCAGAAGTGATGGACCAAAGCCAGCTAAGCAGCTGCTGCACCTTCACCTCTGATTGAAGCGCCGCTCCGTCCGTTTCCCAGCAGCGCGGCCAGGTGGGCTCTGAGCCGCAAGCTTTAACCGCGATCGTTTTGTCTACACGTAGTTCCAACACGCAATCGAATACATTCTCTCTACACTGAGAGCGAGTGGAGTGTCTAAAATACTGATTTTAAATGACCACAACAAAAAGACCCAAGTTCTTAAAAGGCTTTTTTTTTTTTTTTTTTTTTTCAGAACAAACCACTTTAGGTGGTTTATTCCAAATACAATTTTAAGTGTTTTAATAAACAAATGTCTCATGCAAAGGAATTTATATAGAAATAGGAAAACGTCTTATTTTGGATTATTATGGGAAAGCTTTTGGTAGGGTAGACCTTAATAAAATCAGCTCTTAATCCTGATGTATAGATTATTAATGAGAAACACTCATTAACCAAATTTTGTTTCTCAAGAAAATGAATTTCTCTAAAGTCCTCACAATGAGAACGCTCTTTTCAAGGGGTATATGCCATACATTTAAAAATAAGCAGTGATCTAATATTTCAGATTATTTTAAAACATTTTTGTTGTGAATCGAACATATAAGAACATACAACATAAGTTATGTTGTATGTGTAAACAAAATAAATGTGCAGCTTCATGACTTTTTACAACGTGAACACCTGTGCAACCAGTCACTCAGAGAACATTGCCTACAGCCCAGAAGCCAACCTGTCCCTCCTGGGTCCCAACTCCCTTCTAAAGATGATCACTTTCTTGACCCTTACGGTGATCATGTCCTTGTTTTTTTTCTTCCCTCTGTAGTATGTCTTCATTTGTTCAAATCTGTTGTTAATCTGTGGTTTTATGCAGCTGTAGTTTTTCACTGTATGAATATGCCACAGTTTAAAAAAAAATCCATTTGACTATTAATGGGCATTTAGGTTGTTTCCAGGTTTTAGCTATTACAAATAGTGCTGCTGCGAACATTCCTTGCCAGAATCCTCCTGTCCACGCGCACAGCCTGCTGTTGGAAGTGCTGGGTGATAGAGAAAGCCTAACCTCAACTTCGGCAGAGATAAGCCTGAACTCTTCCAAAGTTATAGTACCATTGTACAGTGCAGTTTCCCATCTTCAACAACACTTGAAGTTACAAAAATTGAAACACTTTAGAAATTCTGATATGTGAGTAATGGTATCTCATTGAGGTTCAAACTTGCATTTCCCTATATCCTAATGTGTTGAGTATCACTTCATATTTATTGGCCAGTTGGATTTGTTTTGTGAATTGTTCAGATTTATTGTCCATTTTTCTTCTGGATAGTCCTGTGTATTGAATAGATTCAATGGTGTGTGTATCCTCAGTTATATTCCACTCTTTTGCCTTTTCACCTTATTAACGTATTTTGATAAACAGGTGTTCTTAAATACAGTCTGGCAATCTTTTCCCTTATTGGCAGCACTCTGTGTCCTGTTTAAGAACTCTTTCCTGTTCCTGGGTTATAAAGTTATCTTCCTATGTTATCTTCCCACCTTAGCCTTTCATGTTTAGGTTTTTTGTTTGTTTGTTTTTGTTTTTGTTTTTGAGATAGAGTCTTGCGCTTTGTTGGCCAGGCTGGAGTAAAGTGGTGTGATCACGGCTCATTGCAGCCTCAACCTCCTGGGCTCAAGCCAACCCCTTAACCCCCACATCAGCCCCTCAAAGTGCTGGGATTACAGGCATGAGCCACCATGCCCAGCTATTTAAAAAAATGTTTTTTGTAGAGATAGGGGACTTGCTATATTGCCCAGGCTGGTCTGAAACTCCTATGCTCAAGCAATCCTCCCGCCTCAGCCTCCCAAAGTGCTGGTATTACAGGCGCGAGCCACTGTGCCCAGCCTCATGTTTAGTTTTTTGTTTTTTTTTTTTGTTTGTTTGTTTTTTTTTTTTGAGACAGGGTCTCTGTCATCCAGGCTGGAGTGCAGTGGCGCGATCTCGGCTCACTACAACCTCTGCCTCCCAGGCTCAGGTGATCCTCCCACCTCAGCCTCCTGAATAGCTAGAACTACAGTTGTGCACCACCACATCCAGCTAATTTTTTGGTAAAGACAGGGTTTTGCCACGTTGCCCAGGCTGGTCTCAAACTCCTGGCCTTAAGTGATCCGCCCACCTCAAAGTGCTGGGATTACAGGCATGAGCCACCATGCCCGGCCAATGTTTAGGTTTTCAATCCATCTGGAATTGACTTTTGAATATGGTATGAGGAAGGGTTCATTCACATTTCATTTGTTTGTGTCACACTGACTTAGCACTAATTTTGTGGTTACATCAAGAAACAATCTATTGCTTTATTTTAAAAAGTAATGGACTCCTCCCCCTCCCCCTCCCCCTCTCCCTCTCCCCACAGTCTCCCTCTCCCTCTCCCTCTCTCTCCACGGTCTCCCTCTGATGCCCAGCGGAGGCTGGACTGTAGTGCCGCCATCTCGGCTCACTGCAACCTCCCTGCCTGATTCTCCTGCTTCAGCCTGCCGAGTGCCTGGGATTGCAGGCGCACGCCGCCACGCCTGACTGGTTTTCGTATTTTTTTGGTGGAGATGGGGTTTCGCCATGTTGGCCGGGCTGGTCTCCAGCTCCTAACCACGAGTGATCTGCTAGCCTCGGCCTCCCGAGGTGCCGGGATTGCAGACGGAGTCTCGCTCACTCAGTGCTCAATGTTGCCCAGGCTGGAGTGCAGTGGCGTGATCTCGGCTCGCTATAACCTCCACCTCCCAGCCGCCTGCCTTGGCCTCCCAAAGTGCCGAGATTGCAGCCTCTGCCCGGCCGCCACCCCGTCTGGGAAGTGAGGAGCATCTCTGCCTGGCCACCCATCGTCTAGGATGTGAGGAGCCCCTCTGCCCAGCAGCCCAGTCTGGGAAGTGAGGAGCGCCTCTTCCCGGCCGCCATCCCGTCTAGGAAGTGAGGAGCGTCTCTGCCCGGCCGCCCATCGTCTGAGATGTGGGGAGCGCCTCTGCCCCACTGCCCCGTCTGGGATGTGAGAAGCGCCTCTGCCCCGCCGCGACCCCGTCTGGAAACTGAGGAGTGTCTCTGCCCGACCACCACCCCGTCTGGGAGGTGAGGAGCGTCTCTGCCCAGCCGCCCCGTCTGAGAAGTGAGGAGCCCCTCCGCCTGGCAGCCGCCCCATCTGGGAAGTGAGGAGCGTCTCCGCCCAGCAGACGCCCCCTCCAGGAGGTGGGGGGCAGCCCCCGCCCGGCCAGCCGCCCCGTCCGGGAGGGAGGTGGGGGGGCGCCTCTGCCCAGCCGCCCTGTCTGGGAGGTGGGGGGGCCCCTCTGCCCGGCCGCCACCCCATCTGGGAAGTGTACCCAGCAGCTCATTGAGAACGGGCCATGATGACGATGGCGGTTTTGTCGAGTGGAAGCGGGGGAAGTGTGGGGAAAGGAAAGAGAAATCAGATTGTTGCTGTGTCTGTGTAGAAAGAAGTAGACATGGGAGACTCCATTTTGTTCTGTACTAAGAAAAATTCTTCTGCCTTGCAAAAAATAAATAAATAAATAAATAAATAAATAAATAAATAAAAGTAATGGAAACATTTCTAAAGTCAGTGAAATAGAAACCTTTTCCTAACCTGTAGACAATTTGAGGATTTTTCCATTTTTTTATTAGAGAATGAAACAATTATTAAAAACATACCAGTTTATTTCACTTAAACATTTCTGTGTTGGGATATTTTTATTTCATCATAAGTGATAAATCACTGGCATTCAGCACTCCTGAATTTTGAATCACTTGTTGTAAATACTGAGTTTTAAAAAGCTAGAGATAATTTTGACATGTTTAAAATGAAAAACTTCAAATATTTGGTCTCTACCTTCCTCTTTCTGTTCTCATTTGTTTCTGGATTTTTCTCAAATAAAAACAAACAAATGACATTGAGAATTTTTATTTCCAGCCTGGTTTTTGCCCCTGAAGTTTATTCCACATTTCCAAGATTCTGCATATCTTCACATGGAAGTCTATTAGCTCAAATTCAGTGTGTTCAAAATCAAATTTTTAAGCTTCCCACTCCCCCACTCCATCTGAGTAAGGTCCTAGGCTCTCATACCTTAAGACTTGGCTTCACTCTTCCCAATCTGTATCTAAGCTGTCTAATAATTGTAATTAAAAACTTTACAAGGTCATCAACACTTTTTCTTCAACACCATTGCTCCACTCTTAGTCCAGGGCCTCCCCACCTCATCTTTGGACCACTGCTAAAGCCTATAACCTGTCTGCCAATCTATCTGCCCATCAATTAGCAAGCACAAAAGGAGTGCCTGATGTGTGTAAGATGCCATTCTGACGGCTGTGGATGCTCAGACGGTGGTGTGCTGGAGAGCCTGTCATATGCGGTCTCAAGAGCTGCTTAGGTGAGTCTCTTCCCAACTCCACATTCAGTCTTGTCATATTATTAGCTGAAAATCAACAATGGTGGGACCATTTACAATATGAGAATTTTCAGACACTACAAATCAAGGCTCAGCTCCCCACTCAACAGAACCAGTTGTCAAACATTTACTGGTATATCACCGGAGATGACTAAGACCCGTCCCTCTTTCAGGGAGACCATGATCTAGCTGGGGTAATCGGTGCACAGACTAGTCATATACTATAAAACACAGTGACATATGGGCACCAAGAGAGGCATGATCAAAGTACGATGGAGTAGAAAGGGGTACCAGAGAAAGCTTCATGGTTGGCCCAGGAGGTCAGGCAGGACACTGACAAGCAAAAATGATGGGAGGAGAATGAGATGCAGGTTGACAGAATGGAATAAGCAGGGGTTCAGTGACCAAATAAAGGTACAGTGTGGCAGGGAGTGGTAGATAAGGAGGTTGGGTAGGAGGATTGTAGAAAGCCTGGGTCCTAGCTGGACTCTGTGGGCAATGAGAAGAGAAGCCACTCAAGATTTGGGTTGAGGGTCACGTTGGTTTGCCTGGGCTGCTCCTCTAGAAATGCTGATGTGTTAAGACTCAGGATAAGTCCTCACATGCTTTGGTGATCACTTGCTTTGAGATACACTACTACATCAGGGTAGAGTTAAGTCATAATAGTCTCAGCTTCACTGGAGAAGAACCCAGCTCTGCAAGGAAGACAACATGAAACGGAAGCTTTCATCTTAAGATCATGAAGCCTAGAAATTAAAAGGTAGTCAGCTTTTATATTGATAAACATTTTTATTCTAATATTATAGTAATAATTCAAGTACAATTTTCTTTGAAAAGTCAACTCTGTTAAAACAAAACTTGTTAAATATCTTTCATCAAACATAAGCATATTCTTTTCAATCCCCCACAGCAGTCAGAGCCATGTAGCAGAGTTAAGATTTTTTTTAAGCCTACTACATTTTGTTATTGCTAAAAAATCTGAATTAGTTGTCAAGGTTTCAGAGGCAGTCATTAATTAACTTTTGAAAGCTCTATCAGATACTCTGACATAAAATCATGAATCCAGGTATCGGTGTCTGGCAACGATGTGTCCACTAAGTAGACCACTACTTTCCGGTCCCAAGGGTTAGCATTTTCAATGACTGTCTGCACCAGTGCCACCAGAGGTTTCTTCTCCACATGATTTCGAAACACCATAGAAGCCTCCTCAGACCACTGGTTGCACTTCACTCCTAGGAGGAAGAGAGGAAGAAGAGGGAGCAGTGAGGAGTCAAAGGAGCTTTTCTTTGATCCATTATGATGGAAAATTATTTAGTCAATTCCAAAGTAACTTAAGCATCCCAGGTTAGACTTGCCTGAACTGAAAAACGGTTACTGAACAATCTTAAAACACTCCAGCTTATAGTTTTTCTACTCTGAATGGAGTCACTCTGGAAATCTTTAACTAAAAAACAAGTTTCATTTGAGACTTAACATTGTATTATAAAATGAGGTAATAATGACTACTGTACAACCCCCATAAAGTATATGCATATTTAAACTAATAACAGAATAAAATATCAATATCATATTAAATGACATTTCTTTCATTAAAAATTTTTTTTCTGATGGACCAAATATCATAAAAAAAAAGAATTATTGTATGATTCATTTACAGTATAGTTATTTAAAATTATACACAGCATCGTGGGAAAAGCACTGAATTGAAAGTCAACAGACTCAGTTACTATTCCCAGCTTTTCCTCTATCGGGTGGTGTGGTCTTAGGCAAATCAGCTGATCTCACCTATGATAAAAGAACCTGATTGGATCAGATCATGAGAAATCAAGTTAGAGAATTCTAAATTCGATTTTAAAACAAAACTGGGACAAGAAAGTACACATTGGCCGGGCACAGTGGCTCACACCTGTAATCCCAGCACTTTGGGAGGCCAAGGCGGGCAGGTATCTTGAGCTCAGGAGTTCGAGACCAGCCTGGGCAACATAGCCCAGCCCTGTCTCTACAAAAAATACAAAAATTAGCCGGGTGTAATGGCCTGTGCCTATAGTCCCAGCTACTCAGGAGGCTAAGGGAGGAGGATCGCTTGAGCCTGGGAGGTCAGGGCTGCAGTGAGCCGTGACTGCATCACTGTACTCCATCCAGCCTGGGTGACAAAGTGAGACCCTCTCGAAAAAAAAAAAAATATATATATATATATATACATATATATATACATATTTCAAGAAATACAATTAAGTCCACATATACTGGATTACATAAACTGTAAATTATGCCCCAAAGTAATTAAGATATGGAAATTTCAGACATAATTTTGGAAGACTTGCTATCTATATAGCAAATGGGCTAAATTCTTTGATTATTTATTTCCCACAAGAGAAGCCTAGAAATTTCATTTTATCTGCAGCAGCCCTGACAATCTTTGAGCCATGTTATTTAAGAAGAAAAAAGGTAACCCATTGGTAAGGTAAAAGATGATTCCACAGTATGGCTCCCTTTCTTCTAGGATTCAGAAAATTTTGTGCATGGCCATGGTGCACTGATGCAAAGAATGCCCAGGTCAAGGCCAGATGTAATGAAGCAACAACTCACTGGTGTTGTGGGAAGTCAGGAACCCCAAATGGAGGGACCGGCTGAAGCCATGGCAGAAGAACATAAATTGTGAAAATTTCATGGACATTTATTAGTTCCCCAAATTAATACTTTTATAATTTCTTACTCCTGTCTTTACTGCAATCTCTGAACATAAATTGTGAAGATTTCATGGACACTTATCACTTCCCCAATCAATACCCTTGTGATTTCCTATGCCTGTCTTTACTTTAATCTCTTAATCCCATCATCTTTGTAAGATGAGGAGGATGTATGTCACCTCAGGGACCCTGTGATGATTGCGTTAACTGCACAAATTGTTTGTAGAGCATGTGTGTTTGAACAATATGAAATCTGGGCACCTTGAAAAAAGAACAGGATAACAGCAATGTTCAGGGAACAAGAGAGATAACCTTAAACTCTGACTGCCAGTAAGCCGGGCGGAACAGAGCCATATTTCTCTTCTTTCAAAAGCAAATGGGAGAAATATCGCTGAATTCTTTTTCTCAGCAAGGAACATCCCTGAGAAAGAGAATGCGTCCCTGAGGGTAGGCCTCTGAAATGGCCGCTTCGGGTGCGGCCGTCTTTTATGGTCACTGCTGTAGGGATGAAATAAGCCCCAGTCTCCTGTAGTGCTCCCAGGCTTATTAGGACGAGGAAATTCCCACCTAATAAATTTTGGTCAGACCAGTTGTCTGCTCTCAAACCCTGTCTCCTGATAAGATGTTATCAATGACAACGTGTGCCCGAAACTTCATTAGCACTTTTAATTTCGCCCCGGTCCTGTGGTCCTGTGATCTCGCCCTGCCTCCATTTGCCTTGTGATATCTTATTACCTTGTGAAGCATGTGATCTCTGCGACCCACACCCTATTTGTACACTCTCTCCCCTTTTGAAAATCACTAATAGAAACTTGCTGATTTTACGGCTTAGGGGGCATCACGGAACTTGCGGACATGTGATGTCTCCCCCGGACACCCAGCTTTAAAATTTCTCTCTTTTGTACTCTGTCCCTTTATTTCTCAGACCGGCCGACACTTAGGGAAAATAGAAAAGAACCTACATGAAATATCGGGGGTGAATTTTACCCGATATCTGGCTGAAATTTCCCCCAATACACTGGGAACCTTGAAAGGGTGGGCATCCAGTGATCCCATTTGTGAGCGAGTAAGGGGTAATCCCAAGGTCCCTGGAGAATCCTTAAAGCATTCCAGTTTAAACACTCAGGGCATTCCCATGGGTTCCACTTAGATTCCACAGAGCTCCTTTACATCTAGAGATATTCCTAAATATGTCAAAGGGCTTGGCTAGGTGTGAACCAAGTCTACCAAAGTGATGACTCCAATGGCCATGTCACAACCAGTGACTTCCATGAAACTTCTAGTCTACCTCGCTTCTCTCTAGTGGATGCCTATGTTGGCCCAAGAGAGACATACTCTCCGCCACATATAGTTTAATAGTTCCAGTTCATATGTTTTCAATTAATTATAAAATGGAGGTCCTCCCTTCAAAATGGATAATGTGATACCCAGGAAGATTTTGTGACTTAGGAGCAAGTCAAAAGGAAGAAAGAAGGCTTGGCAGAGGTGAGCCTAGAAAAGGAACTCAGGACATGGATGGGACCCAACAGCAATGCTGTTTCAGATGTAAGTGTACAAAGAAACTTTCATGTATTTGGACTATGAGTTTTAGTTCAAAAGGCAATTTCATATTCACTTTTTCATCTGATCCACATATTAGTTCAGTCACATAGACAGGATAGGAATTTACTGGTAATTTTATAAATAATCATGGGGTAGGTTTAGAAGTTAAATGACTTGAATCTCAGCCTTTTGACTTCAAAAACCACACTTTTCATGGAGAAGGAAGTATACAGTGAAGAAAGGCACACACTGAAGAGGCAGAGTGCTGAGTTTAAGGCTGTGGTGTGGGATCTTGGACAAGATATTTAACTTCACTAAGCTGCTATTCCCTGATGTGTATAACAGTTATAGTAACAGTACCTAAACCTCCTAGCATGGGGAGAGTTCAATGAAGTAAAGCAGTTGGTAGAACTTCTGCCTACCGATCTGGCATGTAAAGAGCTTAGAAGTTGCTACTGCCTCCTAATAAGAAACAAAAAGCTGAACAAACAGAAAATCAACAACTACTCCTAGGTCCATCAGAGAAGGAAGGTCACAGGGCAATTCACTGTCCCCAAAACCAGAGAGACAGACAGGAAGATACTGAGAGTCAAAGCGTACTAGAGCAGAAACCAATGAGCAGAGGCCTGGAAGCCAGAGGAGGGAAACCTAAACTGTAACTGACAAATTGCTAGGGGTACATGTAAATAAGTCTGAGAGTTAAAAACTCCAGGGGAACCCAGTTATAGGGCCCTGTCTCCCACACTTTTGAGAGTTTTACCTCCAGAAGCACTACCTGGTACTCACAGTGAATATCAGGGAAAAATCTCCTCATGCTTCCAGTTGGGGGAGGAGAAAAGGAACATTTTGAAATACACCAGAGCTTTCTGTTTTTCTTAACAAGCTCTGTCCTCAGAAGAAACTATTTTACTAGAGCCTGACCTCACAGGGTTTTATAGAGCTTAACCTTCCTGGGGGAAGGGAAATACCCAACTCCACTCCCCTCTAGCCATCCTGCTCCACCTAAGCTAGGGGGAAAGACCCCAAGAAGCACTGGTGAAGTTCCCAGTCCAGGGGCACAGGCTCAACAAAAGACTGAGACCTAATCATAGGACTACATAACATCCCTCACACCCCAGACACACATTGCTGCTGCTACATTACAAAAGCCTTATTTACCCAGATTTCCTTTTACCCAATGTATCATGTCCACCTTTCAACAAAGAACTACAAGTGATATGGAAGGAAAAAAACACAGTTTGAAGAGACTGAGCAAGCATCAGAATCAGAGTCAAATATGGCAGGAATGCTGGAAATAATCAGACCAGGAATTTAAAACAACTATGATTAATACGGTACCAGTGTTAATGGAAAAGCAGACAAAATTTAAGAACAGATGGATAATGGAAGTAGAAACACAGAAATTCTAAGAAACAATAAAACAGAAATGTGGGCTGGGTGTGGTGGCTCACACCTGTAATCCCAGCACTTTGGAGGCCAAGGTGGGAGGATCACCAAAGTGGGTGGATCACGAAGTCAGGAGTTCGAGACCAGTCTGGCCAACATGGTGAAAAAGCCTGTCTCTACTAAAAATACAAAAATTAGCCAGGTGTGGTGGTGCATGCCTGTAGTCCTAGCTACTCAGGAGGCTGAGGCAGAAGAATTGCTTGAACCTGGGAGGCGGAGGTTGCAGTGAGCTGAGATCGTGCCACTGCACTCCAGTGTGGGTGACAGAGCAAGACTCTGTCTCAAAAAAAAAAAAAAAAAAAAAAAAGAAAAGAAAAGAAATGCTAGAGGTCAGAGGTCAGAAACACTATAAAAGAAAATAAGAATGTCTTGGGCTTCTTAATAGATTAGACTTGGCTGAGGGAAGATCTCTGAGTTCAAGGATATGACAACAGAAACTTTCAAAACTGAAAAGCAAAGAGAAAAAGTACTGAAAAAAAAAACAGAACAAAAATCCAAGATCTATCAAAGGTGTAACAAATGCATAATAAGAATTCTAGAAGGAGAGAAAGGAACAGAAACATTTGAAACAATAATGACTGAGAATTTCTCCAAATTAATGTCACACACTAAATCATTGATCTAGGAAGCTCAGAGAACACCAAGCAAGATAAATGCCCCCCCCCCCACCAAAATATATCTAGGCATATCACATTCAAACTTTAGAAAATCAAAGATGAACAAAAGTCTTGAAAGAGACCAGAAGCAAAAAACCACCTTATCCATAGAAGAACAAAGATAAGAATCTTTGTTCTGACTTCTCAGAGAAGCATCTGACTTTTCAGAAATCATGCAGCAAGAAGAGACTAGAGGGTTGAAAGGAAAAAACCCACCAGCTAAAGTTCTGTACCTTATGAAATTATCCTTCAAAAGTAAAGGAGAAATACAGACTCTCAGACAAACAAAAATTGGGAGAATTTGTTGCCAGCACACCTGCCTTGGAAGAAATATTAAAGAAGTTCTTCAGAGAAGGAAAATAATATAGGTCAGAAATTAATATCGACATAAAGAAAATCAGAGAATGAATAAGTGAAGGTAAAGTAAAACTTTTATATTTCTTTTTCTTAATTCATCTATTAGATAGGGTTTGTTCAAAATAATAGCAACAATGTATTTGATTCTGTATGCGTGTGTGTGTGTGTGCACGTGTGCACATGTGCATGTATCTGCTTATATGTAAGTGAAGTAAATGACTGCAATGATACAGGAGCCTGGAGGAAGGAATTAACATTATTTTGTTATTATACAGTACTTGCACTGTCTATGAAACAGTGCAATGTCACATGAAAGTAGACATGGATTAGTTCTAACTGTATATAGCAAACTCTAGAGCACCCACTAAGAAAAGGAAAAAATAGAGATATAATTGATATCCTAAGAAAGGAGAGAAAGTGGCATTACTTAAAATGCTCAATTAAAATAACAAAAAGCAGAAAAAGAGTAATGACAAAAATAAGAGCAAAGAACAAGGAAAACAAATAGAAAACAGTAACAAATATGGTAGATGTTAATCCAACTATATTAATAATCACTTTCAATGTCAATAGTCTAAATACACCAATTAAAAGACAGAGATTGTCAGAGTAAATAAAAAAAAATAAGACTCAACTACATATTATCTACAAGACCACTTTAAATATAAAGACACATATAGAGTAAAAGTAAAGGGATGGAGAAAGATATACCACGTTAACACTAATTGAAAGAAAGCAGGAGTAGGTATATTCATTTCAGGCAAAGCAGACTTCAGTGCAAGGAAAGTTATCAGGGATAAAGAGGGGCATTACATAATGGTAGAGGGGTCAATTCTCCAAGACGACATACTAATCCTTAATGTACATGCATCTAATAACAGATCATCAAAATACATGAGGCAAAAATGGATAGATCTGCAAGGAGAAATGAAAAAAATCCACTCTGATAGGTAGAGATTTTAAAACCCCTTTATCAGAAATGGACAGATCCAGAAGGCATAAAAATAAGTAAGGACATAAGTGAACTCAACAGCATCATAAGTCAACTGGATGTAATTAACATCTATAGAATACTTCATCTCAAAACAGCAGATTATACATTCTTCTCAAGCTCACATGGAACATTCATCAAGACGAACCACATTTTGGGAAATAAAACACACATTAACAATTTAAAAATAATACAATGTTTTCCCTCAGACCACAATGGAATTAAATTAGAAATCAGTAACAGAAAGATAGCTGGAAAATCCCCAAATACTTAAGAGATTAAGCACAGTTCTAAATAACACATGGGTCAAAGGATACATTTCAAGAGAAATGAAAAAGTATTTTCAGCTGAATGAAAATATAGCACATCAAAACTTGTGGGATGCAGCCAAAGCTGTACTTAGAGGGAAACTTGTAGCACCGAATGCATATATTAAACAGGAAGAAAGCTCTAAAGTGACTGGTAGAGCGCCTAGCACACCATAAGTACCAATAACTCTTAGCCACAATGCTGGTGATGGGGATGATGGTACCATGCACTCATTCTTCACAGAGAAGCCTTCTCTGGGGAGTATAACTGTCACATTTAACAAAATGTGTTGTTAGGAAAACCTGAGCATTAGAAAGTGAAAACAAAAAAAAAAAAAAAAAAACCATTAAATCTGAAGAAGAAGGTCTGAATCTAAACCACACTAACTGGTGGCCATGCTACATGACAGTGTTATTTTTGCTTTATATCCAATTACCATAGGATTTGCCTTTGAATTCTAGTAGGAAGACACAGAGAAGCTGGCAATATTTCAAAATAAGGCAATACACAGGCTTCCAATAAAAGCTGATCAATAAGTAAAAGAAGAACCTATATACACAATTTCTTTCATTGCTGACATCACATCACTTCTGTCACTGTGTTCCACATATGGGGCAAGGTGCTGAGGACTGTGAGCAGCAGCAAAGTGATCAGGGAGGCACCCCTCAACTCTTTGGGCCTCAAAAACCTCTGCTAACGCTACAAGGCCTCTGGGTTGAGCTTCATCCAGCTGTTCATGCTACATAATGGTAGGGTGCTCACAGGGGAGCCACCAACAGTTGTATTGCTTTCACAAAAGATAAAAGGGAAGTCTCATTAGACCACATTACAAGGAAGTGTCATTGTATGCCTGTTAAATTGGTTCCTCCCATTTTAATGACAATCAAGAGGCTGATGTGAATGTGGTGAAATTGCTCCCTTGTATGCTGTTAGTTGTGCTGCAAACTGGAAACTCACTTGGTCATGAAAATGGTCATATATTCCATGACCCAGGAATGTTTTAAGATTGCATAATACTCTATTATGTAGATGTATTATAATTTATGCGATAATAATAAAGTATGATCCTCCTACTGGTTATTATAATAGGTTGTTTCCATTGTTTTTTGGTTCGTTTTAGCTAGTGTAAAGATGCAGGGTTTTTCTTGATATTACAATAAAAATGTTCATCAATAGGGAAGTATTGATTAGATAGAATTTTTGCACCCATTAAAAACAAGTAGGACAACCATAAAACCACCCAGAAAGTCATTAGAAAACAACACTAGATGAAGAAAAGCAGAATGCAGTATTATATCTGTACTAAGATCACAGCTTTAGAAATATACTCATGCTTGAAACCAGAGACAGAAGGAGTAGAGAAAAGAGAAACAGCAGATATAATGATAGAGCACGACTGTAAGACATCATTAAAATTATTTCCATTATGGTTGCAATATTATTAGCACAAAAAAACAAAAACCCAACATACCTAAACTCAAGAGGCCAATGATTCAGTACTTGCTAAGTACCCAGGATAAAATGACAATATTGCATTGTTGTAGCATGAGTTCAGATTCCACAGAAATTACCTGCAAGTTGAGCTGTGACTGCTTGGAAGGGCAGCTTTCGGAACATGTCCACTAGGGGCTGTACTTTTCTTATGTTGACTAATTCGTGTTTGCCATAATCCAGCTCATACACAGATACCAGTCCATTGGTCAGGATTCCTTTTAAAAGCACCCTGTGCCACCTAGATGTACATTAAATTAAAAAGGAAGAGAAAACACATAAACTCAGTACCTGCTTTAAGGGCAAGAAATATTTTATGATAAAAAGAAAAATTAATGCAAATTATGTTTATCAAAATTTAAAACTATATTTTCAAAAAAGTTTTAAAAGCATTTCCTGCTCCTTTTTCCAAAGCTTACTATTCTCTGCTTTGCCACTGTCTTATTTGATAGAATTTGCTCATTCAAGAGACTTTTATAAGCCCCTGGAGTTAGTGAAGGAAAGAGACATATAAACTGTCAACCATCATTAATTAGAAGAAACAAACACCATGGAGGATGACCAGGACAAAGCCAGGGGATCCCTTCACTGAAGGAGGGTGGACAGAAGATGGCCACATGTTTGGATATGGTACATGCTTGGACGATGGAAAGAGAGAGGCAAGCAGGACCAGCTGGGGATGAAGAAATGCTTGAGAAGAAAAGCACAGAGGACTGGAGAGGGCATAGTGTTTTGGAGCAGAGCAAACCTTCCAGTATAGTTAGAGAGTGGAATGTGTGGAAGAATGGAAGAGAAGTCAGACTAGGAAGGCACGCTGGGGACAGATCAAATCAGTTTTGTACAAAAAAAGTTTGCAATTTTAATTATGACAAGGTCATTAAAAAAAGAACAAAACACAAGATTCAACCCACCACCTAAAATAAAGAACCTGGAAAAGGTAGAGGAGTATGAGGGAGGTGGAGTATGGCTTCAGATCTGGAGCTCAAGGCACCAGAAGGAAATCCACAGGAATCTACTTACCCCTACAGAAGCTACATCAACATCATTAAAATGAGAAAAACCCAGACTTCAAGGTTAATAATGAAAGATCACTTTAAAGTCCTATAGTCTCAAATACATGATTAAAAAGTATTACTACATGAAGGAAAGGAAGATTGTTCCTAACAGCTGAAAGAAAGTGTCTATGGAGGTGGTCTCTGCTGCTAAATGGTGGAAATTGGCCTCTAGTTCAGGTGGCATGGTCAGTCATTCTCTGGAACAGGTTTGCCAGCCAGAAGCCCACCAGAACAGCAAGCCCTGTACCACAACACACTGCTGGACTGGGGCTGGCTGGAATGGACTGTTTCTCCAGCCCATATACACCTAGTATAGGAAACCCATGCAGCTGCTATAGGATGAACTACAGAGAAACCCCGAAACAAAAAGGTCAGCTTTCAACACTGTAACTGGGGGCTTCTGAGGGAACTCCAGAAACTTTCAGACAGGCTCAAAGTGCAGCAAGCAATACTCCATGAGTCCCAGAGACAACTGGGACACAGAAAGGATACATAGTATGTACATGAGTTTTGGGGGCCAAATAGACCTGAATTAGAGTCCCACCTGGGCTCTTCATTTAAGCTCTGAGCCTCAATCATCTCATGTTTAATATTTAATGTAAATTCACTTACAGAAATAATACATGGAAAGTGCCTGGGACATTACTTGGCTAATAATAGGCACTTGGCAAATGATAGTTATCATCATTATTATTAAAATGAAGACAAGCTACTATAAATAAGAACTTCAGATCAAACTGAAGAGAAATTTTCACAGGTGGAAACACTTTCGGTGTAGGTTGCTAATTTGTGTAAGCACAAAAGGAGGTAAAAACACTTGGTTTCCACCAACAGCGTCATCTTAAAATTGTACAGGGCAAATTGGTGGTGGTCTGTGTTTTTAGTCCATAAATAAGTGGTATAGGGCAGTGAAGAGAGAGTCCCAGAAAACTGATGTGTTGTATTTCTATTTAGTTTTCAACTTTCAAAACTAATAGCTTAAGGGAAGACTTCAGTTTTGACTAGATTACTAAAATTCAGTACTGGCATCACCTGGAATTTGTTAACAACAGATTCTGGAGCTCCACCTGCAAAGATTCTGATTCAGAATGCCTGGGGTAAGGAAGAAGAATCTGCATTTTTAATAGGTTTTCCAAGTTGTTCTTATGCTGCGATAGATTTGGAAACCGCTGTAATAAAAATATGTATCTAAAATTTCTAAGTCTTAACTTACCATAGTTGGGAACAAAGTTTAGTAAATAGTCCTGAGTCTTAAGGAAGACAGAAGTTCTAAACATTTTATACTGATTCAGTTCATGAAGTTTTAAAAAAATCAGATTATCTGTTTTTATATACAAAACATCCCTTGATTATCTGGGACAAATTAACTAAAGTCCAAGAGTCCTGGGGCAGAATGGTTCAAAGCCATGGAGGGCAGAGTGGGGAGTGCAAGGGCTCATATTGGAGCTCTCCAGTTGATGTGTTCTCCTTCCTACCCAACCCCTTTACTCCAAGGAGGATCTCCTCACCTTTAATCATCAATCTGCCCCCCAGAACATTAGTTTGGTTTTTAACTGTGATTGAATTATCTTACAAAGAGCTCTGATTGAGGCAAACCTACACAAGCTGAATTAAACCTATTTATGCTTGTGGTTATAAATAACACAACAGTAGAAATGGTTTTTTAGAGAAGAAAAGCTTATGACATACAAATTGTATGTTTTTCGAAATGAGAGCTTTTATACGCTTCACTGAGAGTTAAAAATTAGTTTTTTTCTCCCATGAAAATGACAAAACTTTATACATGCCTATGTTTGCTATCTTAAAGAATTAAAACATTTCATATAAAAAATAAGCAGTTTGACCTTTTAAACTGAGTTTTGGGGTGTGTGTGTGTGTGTGTGTGTGTTGGGGAGGGGTGACTGTTCTTTGTGTTCAGCATTGATAAATAAGCTTGTTCATTTCTCCTAAGCAAGCTGGCAAAGGAACAGGATGGGCATTGTGCCATTTCCCAGGGCTTCATGGCCTGAGTGGAAAGTGGACAGTGGGGTGTCTGGGCTTCACTTGGATGAAACCAGCACATCCTGCAGGGCTTTGGGGAGGAGGGTGTGGACCCAAATGTGAAAATATTAGAAAAAACACTGAAGCGCTAAAGAAATGTAAGAGAAAGTATGTTCTCACAGCCCCAAGGCCAAAGAGTAGTGAAATAAGCATTGTTGCTCCTTATGAAAGATGGCACAGATGCCAGGATGCAGCTGACAACATAAAGCAAGAGTCTTGCCATCTTCCAACAAGTGACTTTTCTTCTAGGAATCTATCCCGTAAATAAATAATCAGAAATGCAAAGATTTACATTCACTATTATTTATAATAGTGAAAAATACAGGAGAGAAAACCTTACATAACAAAATAGAATGGTAAGTAAATTATGATTTCATTGGGAAAAAGGAATTCTGTATATCATGATTAAAATAGCCATTATAAAGGTTCCTGAAGAAATTTTATCACATGGAAAAATGTTCATGACATAATGTTAGGTGAAAAAAGCAGGTACAAAATTATACATACTAATAATATACCAACTATATAAATATGCACATATAAAATTAGAGGAAATACATAAGTAGTTTAACAAGTGTTATGTGTGGGTGGTTGATTTTAATTTCTTATGCTTTTTTTATATTTTAAAATTTTTCCATAATATTTTTATTTTTAAAATAAAAAGTCATTAAATGAAAAAATCTGGTTATTTTCTGAATAAAAATATTTTTCTAATAGAAAAATAGAAAAAATATTTAAACATTCATTTTAGTTATATAATTGGGTTTTAACAGGAATATGGCCAATAGATTTTTTGATAAGTGACATCATTTTAAATACTAGAAAATCGGAAAAATTACTGTGTTTGTTTCACATTCAAAATTCCCATTAGTACAGTTCGAAGTCCCCCCGCCAAGATTAAGACTCTGGCATCATTTTACACATTTTTCTTAGGAGTAGAATAAAATGCTTTGTCCAAGGACCTACTTATTTTCCACTTTTGCAGCATACACTTGGTCTTTCTCCACTGCTATGTGGCGCTCTTCAGACACGCTGTAATATAGAATCATCTCTTCCATCAGAACTTCCAACTTATGTATCTCCTGCCAAGGCTGGATGACGAAGTAGCCTGGGTGACAGGCCACAGGCACATACACATCCATGTGTTCCCCTGGCTTTGATAAGTGGACAGGAGGTGGCAGTTCCTCTGTGGAGAAAGCGCTCGTATGGTCCACCATGGACTTTTTGATGACATCTGTGAGGTTCTTTCTGAAATTCTCTCCAGTGTTGCCCGACATGGGCATGTTGCCATTTTTGCTGTTGGGAGAGTCAGCTCCACTGGATATGGCACTCAAAAACACATCCTTCTGATGCTTCCACAAGTCTGCATTTGTAATCTGGCGATTAATACTGCGATGAGGGTCAGGGAAGTTCTTAGGGGTAAATAAATAAACATGTGCGATCCCTCTGGTTTCATCCACTTTTGTAACCTTTGGAAAACACAAAAAATGATATAAGAAATACAAGTTCACATTAAATTTTGAGAGGCAGTTATAGTAACCTTAATCATTAAAACACAGTATTTTGCCAAAACCCTTGCTAAAATCCATTTTATTTAAGGAAAAATAAATTATCACAGCTTGGCAATGAATGGGCTCTGAAGTCAAAATAGTCTAGGGAACAGTGCAGCCTTATGGAAATAAAAAATTTACTAATCTTTAAAAAGTCTGAGAAAACTTTATAACTTGCTAAGGTCATTATCATTGACAGAAAGGATTCTATATATCATGATTAAAATAGTTTAAATTAATGATATTTCGAAACACTTAAAGTAGAAATGATAAGTATGATGAACCCTGATATACTCATCACCCAGCATCAATAATAAAAAACAATCACAATGATGGCAAAATGATTTATGAGCGTTCTGCTTAAGGCTGGTGTGTCCTCAAGACTGGGAAGGGAAGGAAAAAGCTCTGACAACCACCATATCTGTAAGCACCCCTCTTTCAAATTCCTTGTCTGGTCCTAGTATATGTCCTCACCCCTTTCCCCATCGCCAATTACATGGGAGGAGAGGGACCTGGGGAGAAAAAGAGGAAGCAAGCTCCACAGAACGGGTCAAAATTAGTTTTACACTTTTTGTCCAGGAGACCTCTGACTACCTAACCATCTTTGCTCTTTCGGCCAGAGGGGTGTTTGTATGGAAATATCATACATTAATAATTGGGACTGTACTGCTGTGTGTCCCAAGGAGCTAGGTGACTGTTGGCTATTCTCATCAGCAACTCTGGTTTATCTTAGGAATGATAAAAATAAGATACTTCCAGCCACATTTATCTTTTACCAAATAGGGCTAGAAATGAAAGGCAGGAACACAGGTCTGCGGAGAGGGAGATAACAGCAAGGCAACCCATCTACAGTGATTTACTTAAAATTTCTTTTTTTTCCCAACAAGATGCCTCTATTACATTCATCCTCTGAAGTACTAATTAAATACTGACTGCAAATTCATTTTGAAATTTATAATACAGAAGTACAGTTTTAAAAATTAACAAAAAGTACTTTTATTGAGTAACCATCCAATATTCTGGCTTTAGGAGCTTAAAGAGTAGCTGAGAAAACAGTATTATCATGTGACAACTGAAGAATATGGAATAGTATATAATTAAGCATGTAATTGTACACTATAAACCCCAGAGGAATACAAAGACAGAAAAATCACTGCTAGCTAGAATAATTTAGAGGTCTTCATGAAGATATTTTTCAAGGACATTTCATTTTAAATGTTTATATAAAACAGTCATACAATTTCCATCAGTTAACAGAGAAAAACTATCTTCTTAAATTTGTATTCTTGGATATATGAGCAATGTTTTTGATTTAAAGATGCAAAAGTACAGAAAAAGAAACAAGAGCTAGTGAAATAAGTATGGCAGATTAAATAAACTTTAGGAAAAAGAGGCTGAGAACCACAATTATAAATAAATGATTTGTTTATAATCTATTCTACTTTGTGAATAAAAAAGAAATAGAGGACTTATTTAAATGATCTTTAGAAACATTTATCAAGAGATCTGTGGTCCCTCTGTTGGGGACTTAATCCCTTATCATGAAGCAAAACAGAAGTGGAGAACCATCTCTTCTACATTAATAATGGGAAAAATTATAAGAAGGATTTAAAAATAATACTGGAGAGACAGGATAACTTCTTAAATAAGAATTAAACCATAAAATATCTTACAGCTACACATGTAGCCAATTTGCTGAATATAAAAAATGTGTTGGATGTGGAAGCATCCATTTTACAGTGAGATAAAATTCCTTCACAAAAACTAAATGAGCCCTGACAGCTGCCAGCTCCCTTTCTAAATGTATCAGGCCCAACAAGATAGCTAACCTTAATGCTACAGTCCGAGCAATTCAAAACAGAATCTCTTAACCACAGCACTGCATCTGGTGTCCACATGCCAATAGATTGTGGAAGATCTGCTAAACAGCACTTAATGGCCTGAAAAGAAAATATGATGGAAAAGTGAACACACCATGTTAAAATACCTAGTTATGAGTAATGTTAATATTATTTTCCTACAAATCAAATGGTACCAAGATAGACAGCAAGCAACAACAGCTAATAACGACAATCACAGTTCCTGGTTTGAGCATCTGCTATGTTCCTAACTCTATTTATATAACTACTATTGTCTTTACTCCTTTATGAGCCAGGGCTTACCCCCAGCACTCCATATACTTCCCACCGTACAATACTTCTGCATGACAGGTGTTGCAGCCCCATTTCACAGATGGGGAAATGGACTCAGAAAGACTGTATAAGATACCAAAGTTGCAAAGACAGGGTTGGGACTTTTATCAAGGTCTACCCTCTAGCTCAACTTAAAAAAAAAAAAAAATCAATTGTCATTTGGAGGAAATCTGACTCCTGTTGCTTCATTCAGCATTTCCTGAGTACCTCGTGGGTACCAGGCACATTTGTTTGCCTTTTGAACAAGGCTGTAATGAGAACTAAGGAGGGTGAGAAAAACTGAAATCCACAGGTCCCTAAAAGCTTCATTTTCCCCAGTGCTTTTTAGCTCCTACCACCACTATACAAGCATCTGTAGAATGGCTACAACAGAGGCTAAAAAGTGAACTCAGGGATTTCCTTCAGCTTCAAGCAAACCCTCGAATCAACGGAAACAATTTTGTGAAGGGGATGAAACCCAGTTCCAGGATTCCTTTTCCTCTCTGAGCCCCTTCCTGTCTTCCTGCCTTCCTCCCTCAGGAGCTCTAAGCCTTTCCTTGCTCTGCTGGCTGGATGTGGTACCTTTCTTGTTGGAGAGGAGGTCACTTTAGAGCAGGCAGCACACTTGAATATCTGCAGGGGCTGGGCAGGCAACGAGGGAGTGGGGCAGACCCGATGGGGCCAGCAGAGGAGAAGGCCCCAAACTCCTAAGGAGCACTTCCCCACAAGAAGAGTGCTCAGCAGTCAGATTTTCCAATTTGTCAAGAGAGAAGCTAGAAGTAGGAATTTTTGTGTGAAATTTCCTAATTTTAAAATCCTGGCAACCAGTTCACATTTTTAAAATACTGTAAGAGCCAAGAGCCAAAACTCAGTATTTAAGGGTTGGCTTTGGCTTACAGTCCATCAGTTTGGTACTCTGATTTAGACTCTTGGAGAGATGTTGTGAGCCAGAGGCTTGGGCTGGCTGGCTTTTAAAGTACTCCCAACCAACAGTCTTCCCATTTGTCAAATAATAAACCTACACAAGATTATGAAAAAAAAAAGTTTAGTGATTGTTAATGCCGTAGCATACAGGTGGTACTGTTGTGGACTTTCAGACAATCACAGCGGTGGGACAGATTCCCAACTGCCCTCCAGCCCAGGGGATCTTTTCTAGGTAAGCCTGGCCCTGCATGGCTGTTCCAACAAGAGGTATTATTAAGTCAGAGTAGCACTTAAAGGCCCATCAATTTCCAGAATTATGGCTGAACAATGGACAGTAAAAATGATTTTGAAAAAAGCTTCTCTGTAATAGTCACGGCTAGAAAAAGCAATGGTGATGGGAGGGAGAGACATGTCAAAAGCCATGCTAATTATGGACAATGTTTTATTTACTGAGTTTGATGGCAGAAGATGTCTTCTTGAAAATATTAGTAACTGGGCATCTTGAAGTTGTAGAATACCGCATTGTTTTATTTTTTAAAAGATATTAATTTCTGCACAAAATCCTCTATTTCTCCTAAAGGTAGTGAGTAGTTCTAAACAATTCAAAATATTCAAAATCCTTATCATCTGAACATTCATGAATAAAGAAAGGATCAGCCGAAGTTCATCTTTTAATTAAAATGTATGGTGGGGAAGTCACCGAGAAAATGATTATGTCTAAACAGATTTCCAAAGAAAATGGTTACCTAAATAAACTAAAAACTCTAAAAATAAACATTTATACACAATATTCTGGAACTGTACATAAGTCAGTACTGGCATCTAATTATCAAAATGGAACCTGTAACTGGACAACACAGCTTAATGACTGGATGCTCTTGAAAACAAACATTTCTCAAACAACAGTATGTAAATATGACTGGTCTTCTTGTCTAAGTCAGCAATGTTTTACTTCTGAAAACCAGCAGACAACCACATTTGGACAATTTCCAATTTTCTTAAAAATTAATGAGATCAAAACTGAGAAGGCATCTTACAATAAGATTATGAACACATCCAAATCTGTTCCAGCAAATCTCCCAGGCTGGTAACATAGTACCTGAGGTGGTATTGCAATCATTTCTTGTAGAAACCGAGGTGGAATTTCCCTGAGCTCTGACACTTTTACAGATGTCACAGTGCCAGAGTCCAGGAACTGAACATCAAGAGCCCGGCTGCTGTGAACATTTGTGATCTGAAATGAGATAAGTGTTGGCTCATTTATTAGCATATTCAAAAGACCAAAATGCTTCTGTGCAATTACATTTTGTACAATCCTGAATGCATATTAAAAGGAACAGACTATCAGTGTTAAAATTTTCCCCTAATTTAAAATGTATTTATTTACTAAATATTATTATTATTATTATTTTGAGACAGAGTCTTGATCTGTCACCCAGGCTGGAGTGCAGTGGTGCAATCTCAGCTCGCTGCAACCTCCGCCTCCCAGGTTCAAGTGATTCTCCTGCCTCAGCCTCCCAAGTAGCTGGGATTACAGGTGCCCACCACCACAACCAGCTAATTTTTTTGTATTTTTTAGTAGAGATGGGGTTTCACCATGTTGGCCAGGCTGGTCTCAAACTCCTGACCTCAAAAGATCCACCCACCTTGGCCTCCCAAGTGCTACGATTACAGGTGTGAGCCACCGCGCCCAGCCTACTAAACATTGTTTTAGAGTAGAATTGCTTTCAACATCTAGTTAATCAGTAATAATCAGCAAACTGACAATAAACAGTAAAATAAGTATAGTAATATTTATTATTTCTCCAATTCTAGGACGTGATTTATTATAAAATGATTTGATACATTATTATATATTGCTGATTATAAGATACAGTCTGTTCTCCAAAATATTAAAATATAAGGGAAAAACTATTGTTTTGGGGTCAAAACAATAATTACCTTTGCAATTATTTGTATAACTATCAAGAATAAATACATGATTAAACATAGGATCTGCTTTTCACTAATTATTTTTCCTTCTCTGACTTTCCATACATCACTAAGAGAATGAGTACTCAAACCTTTTGTCTACCTTGAAGGTAGACAATATACAATTTGATAATAACAAAAATAATACTAGATATTTATCTAAAATATTTGGACATACACTAAGAAGGCTTCTTTCTGCCAAAAATGCATAACCTAAATTTAAACATGAAGATACTCAAATTGTGAGATACTTTACAACATAATGCTATTCTTCAAAAAGTCAGGAATAGCAAAGAAAGGCTGAGTAACTGCCAGGGTGGAGTATACTAAGAAGACATGACAACTAAAGACAATGTGGGATCCAGATTGTATGCTGGAGCAGAAAAAGTACTTTGTGGGACAATTTGGGAAATGTATGTTCTGTGGATTAACTAATGGTTTTGTATTAATGTCAATTTCCTGGCTTTGATAATTATGCAATGGTTATATAGATGTTAACATTTGAGAAGGTAAAAGGCCAATGAGACCTCTTTGTGCTATTTTTGCAACTTGTAAAAAAGGAAAATTATTTCAAAATAAAAAGTTGAAAAAGTTAGTATGCATACACTTATATATTTTAAATTAAATCACACAGAACTTTAAGATCTGAAGAATGCCATGACCTTTTCAACGAGTCATGTTTTTGAAGTTTATACCTAGGCACATACCCCTTGGTCATATGACCCGAGATTTCAGCCTTCTGACATACAGTCACATTAATAGCAATAATTACTTCAAAACTGCTACTCTCATTCAAGTAGACATGACCAAGTTTTATTTAAATAATGAAAAAAATCAATTCAATTAAGTTATCAAAATGTTGCTGTGCAGCATTTAAAAAATTCAGTAAAGCAACGATTCTTACCTTTTGGGGGTTGATTTGAGAATCTTACAAAATTATGCATACTTTTCCCCCAAAATATATAATACAAGCACACACACAATTTGCATACAATTCCAGGAGGGTTGAGGGACCCCCCTGAAAGTTGAGGTCCTTGCATCTAGGTTAAGAACCTCTGTATCAAAGAAAAAAAAGAAAAAAAAAATCAAGCCAATGTTTTTTTCTTAATTTTTTTTTGTTTAGTTTTTTTTTTTTTTCTTTTTGGTTTTGTAGAGATGGTATGTCACTATTGTGACCAGGCTGGTCTCAAACTCCTGACATCAAGTGATCCTCCCGCCTTGGCCTCCCAAAGTGCTGGGATTATAGGTGTGTGCCACCTCAAACTAGATGAAGAGAGGGAGGGAAAGCAATCACAAAAATCCAAAACTTGCCTTTTTAAAAACATATAGAAACGCAAGATAAACCACAACAAAACTCCCTTCAAGTTCGTAACTGAGCTTGCAAGAAAATAAGACAATTGTTAGTGACTAGAAATAGAAGAGTATGTGAACTTTAAAGCCAAAATTGTCTTGGGCAGGAGACATGGCCTTAGATCCAGGCAGGAGGCAGGGAGGATCTGACACTGCCCCATGAAGCCACAGTTCTTAAAGGGATATACTCTCAATGGAAGGCAACTTTGGAGAGCAATTAAGCAAGATCTAGTAAAATTGAAGATATGCATTCCCAATACCTAGAAACTCCATTCCTATGTATGTACCCTGGAAGACACAGACAGGAAGGTTCAAAAAATTAGGAACAATCTAAATATCCATCATCAGGAAGATGGAGTGATAACGTTGGCATATTAATAGTGTTCAATCATACAGCAGTAAAAATAGATGAACTACAGCTGCACACATCAACATGAATGAATCTCACAAACATAATGAATGAAAAAGCATGACCAATACCTCTTACAACTTACATAAAGTTTGAAAATATTTATTCATTTAGTTACACTTATTCATTTGCCTTTATATTATATACACATATTCATTAATATATTTCCACTATTTAAATATTAAAAATATATAGTAAAAGTGTGTATCTACAAGTACAAATACAGTAAGAATATAAACAAGTAAGAATGAGAAAAACACAAATGAAACTGGGGTGGAGGCAGAAGAAAGGAGATGTAAACTTTCTTCGACCATAACTTCAACCAGGAAATTTCAACCATACTGGTCATGTTTTATTTCATAAACTGATGATGAGTCTGTGAGTATTTATTCAATTTTTTAAAAAAACCTATGTGTATATTTGAAATATTTCACAATAAGTTAAGATTAAAAAGCCAAGTGACTGATTTTTACCTCTACTCGTAACCATTTTCCTTTGCAATGGAAGAGGCAGATTTTCCCACAGAAGGGTAATGAAACAAAGCACTCAGAGGTCATGTGCTGCAAAACAGAAATGCATGATACTCTTATTACTCTTAGCAAAGAGCATATTGCTACACCATTAGAAAAACAGATCGCTGTGGCACTGGCAGACTTAACCGACATGTAGTCAGACTTCCAGCAATGGATGCAGCAAACACACAGGGTTATAAAACTTTTGTCTTGTTACTCATACATTTGTTGACATCAGTAGTTTACTCTCCCTACATGCACATGGCTCATAAATCAGCATTGTTAACATGTCTAAAAACATTAGCATAAGATCATTATGATTCACTTAGGCACTGGCTCCATCAGTTACACATGAAGAGAGGTGTTGAATCTGACAAAAAGAAGAACAGTGAGGAGGTTGCGAGAGCTGTCTGTGGGCCTATTCTTTTCATTTTCATCTCTTCACATTTAGATGCAAAGATAACATTTTAATTCCAAAACAAAGAAATGTTATCAACACAAATATGTATGTCAGTGCCAGTTAAATACCAACAAATCACAGCTGTAAAGATGAAGTCTCCTCATCTTCCTCTTCTGCTGTAGTTTGAAGTTGGGGGTACCTGTCCATGGTCTCTTTCTGTTCAGGGTGTGTGTTTCTACTCTCCCCAAAGGCAATGTCTCACTTAGGTTACGAGTGCAGTAGGAAATATCGAGTCCTTTTCACCACCAAAGGTTATAAGGACAACATCCATACAAATGAGTCACTAGAGTCAGCCAAGCTGGGGGTTTCAGATTTTTCAAAGATAGACTTAAAATTAAACCTCTGTAACACAGAACAAGATAAAGCTATAGGAATGTCTCAATTCCAGACTGTACTTTGAATGCGGGTTTAAGCTGATTCGGCACATATTTTGGCATACCTATTCTACATAAGACACTAGATTAGATACTGTAAGGGATGCAGAAAATTGGTAAGGCACAGTCTATGCCCTCAAGAAGCATACGGTCTAGAAAGGCAAATAAGTACCCAAATAGCTAAAATATAAACCTGAATATGAATGCCCTGAGGTGCCTGATGTGCTTTGTGGGTTAGAGGGAAGAGTTCACTTCCAGGGACGAGGGGGTAAGGGCAGAAGTGGCAGTAGGGTTTAGTGATTTGGAAACCACAGCATATTCTGAAATATGACCATAATGTCCTAATGGAGGTAAGGAAACCATTTTAGGAACTTAAAGCACAATAAAACCTCTACAGAGCTCGATTCAGAAAAAAATAGTAGAATTAAAGGATAAGGAGCTTATTAATACAATTTGAACTGCAGAACCAAATTTATCAGGTGGCAGGTTCTCAGGGTCCATAAAGAGCTCAAGGAGTGATGGGTAAGGAGGAAGATGAAGGCAGAACTAAGGAGGAAAGTTTTATTATCCTCCTAAATTCCAAGGTTTCTCCTTGCCTAAGGCAGAAGAGTCAGCTGGCTCTAGCAGACAGTCACAGGCAGCTGCACTGTGGCATCATCAACTGCATGTTATAAATAACACATCTACCGATTGCTGTGCACTGACTACATGCCAGGCACAGTGTCCTCAGGACAATCCTATAGGGTACACACTATTGCTATCTTCGTTTTACATTGCAGAAACTAGTGTTGTGTTTTTCTTTTAAAGCTCTGAAGTCTGGAGCTCTTTACCTACTATTCTAGAGATTCCATTTCAGACTACTAAAAAATCGTTCATACAAAAAAAATTGTTCATACTTATGCAATTTAGTAAATTACTCTTGCTTGTAATTTTAGGGCTAATTTTAGAGGTAGAAGAGGTTCTGCTATACCTTGCAATGGAAGTAGTCCTCTATCTTACGTAGAAGGTCACTGAGCTTGTTCAGACCCTTACAAGGCACCTGGCAGTAGAGTGTCCCATCAGAGCAAATATTAGTTACTTTGACATTTGTGTACATGGCGTCAACCTATAACAGACAAAGGATACCTCGTGAATGCTTGAGAGCAGAATGCAGCTCTTACCTACCTAAAGGGTATCTACCTAAACATCCCATAACAAGTCTTTGCATTTTAAAATCTTTAAGTTAGAGTATATGTAAGATGAAATGCAATTTATAGCTTAAATGTACAAAACTAATTTGGATTCTTTTCTTTTTAAAAGAAATGTCTAATATCATTTATGCCAAGCACAAAATAGACATTGTGCATACATTCCCATACTCCATTGTCTGAAAGGCCAAGACTATCTTTAATGTTGGTTTATTTTCTCCCCATTTATTTAGAAAAAGAATTACATAAACCATGTTTTGTAACATTAACAGAAGTGAAAATAAACTCTCACAAAATCAAATCCATCATCAGTCTACTTTCTAACCTGTGTCCAGAGGTCATATGAATTTGAGTAATTTTAAAAAACCATAATCAAAGTAAATATTCAATTTTACCCATTTTTAGTCAAACCATAATAAAGACATTCACAGTGGTTCTACTTATTAAAACAGAAGTTTTCCCATTGTTTCTATGAAATCTTTAAAATGACCATTTTTAACATCTCATCCTATTCTCTTGGGTAGATATTCTATAATTTATTTAAAGGCTTCCTTCTTTTGGGGCATTTATGTTCTTCACATTAAAAAAAAGTTAAAGCTAATAATCAACATCTTCATGGACCCAATTTTCCCTTCTTTTGTGTTATTTTTCCTTATTATCTTTACAAAATAATCTCATATAAAATCAATAGATGCTCATTGCAGGAAATGGAAAATAAAAAATCCAGTTCCTAAGAAACAATTACTCTGAACATTTTGGTACTTTTTTCCCTTCTAGCCCCACTCCCTCCTTTTTTCCCCTCAATGTAAATGTAATCTGTCTCTATCAATTGTTAGCCTAAAATGTATAATATTCTGGTGATTTTTCTCTCATACAAAATGTGTAACAAGCAACAACAGTGATCACAGTGGTACCTGCAGGTGAACCTCTAGTGACTTGTCACATATAGCCTTCAAGCAGGTGGCATTGATATTGATATCATCTTCTCCTGAGGTATCGTACAGAACAACAAGTGGAATGTCAGCTTTGTCAAGTATTTCCACTGCAAAGATCTTTCCACAAGTTAAAGATTCAACCACCTTCACTAGATCAGGGTCATCGCTTAGGACTTCCAAGCCTGAAAAATATTGAATCTTTTAATTTCTACTTAATTAGAAAAATCATTTCAAGATGAATAGATGGATTGTGTCTGTTTTGACCATTATTAAAATTATAAGCCTACTGCAAAATTATTAAATTTTATATGAAAGCTTTGTTTTACAATCTTTATCTTACCTCTTAGGTTTTAAAAAAATATAATGTAAACGCCCTTTTGAATGATACACTAAGGCAGGCAATCTTAAAACAAGCAGAGAAACGGATAATCAATCAGAATTTCTACCTTGGGAGAAACAGTCTTCACTTTATACATGAACACATATTTAAAACCAAAAAACTAACACATATGAGAAGCCATCAATTATGTCTTCCAGTCATATGTTTGTAATGCACTTCCTACATATATACAATTATTTTTCTTATAAAATGAACACACATTTATTGGAAATTGAGACAACCACTATTGTTTCTTTTTTATTGACCCTTAGGATACCAAAGAACCTTCTGATTTATCAAAGACAGATTAAGTAGTGTTTAACACAGGTATTAGATGAATTTTGTTGTAGTCCAACTACTCTTTAAATTCTTAGAAAATTATAGTTCCACATAACATATATGACAATTCTAAGTTAATGTATTAAATGAATTAAAACTAGCTCATATTCCCCCAATGGTACTATAATGCCTATTTCCATATTTTTCTACTTTAAATCCACAAGCTAAAATTCAGACTCCTCCGAGTTTTTTCTTCTTCTTGTTCTGTTCTCCAGACATATAACTTTGAACTTTTCTCAAACATTTAATTTCAACACCCTAAATCCTGTCCTATGCCCTTGATACGTTCTTTCCAACACCAACTTCTAAAAGTTGTTAACAAGTTTTTAAAATTTCTTCAGGTTAATCTCACAGATAAGAGTCAAACCCAGCTCCTGTGACATAAGAATTCATCCCACTGGGAAGGAGGCATTTCTTCAGAGTACTAATTTTCATGAAATAATTATGATCATTTTCTGCATTTGGCTCAAGTCCCCCCCGGCATGGTGCATATTTCAATGCCTTTCCTTATCACGGACATGACCAATGTGTCATCTGTCCTTTAAGTTTATCCCTACATGGCACTCTCATACAGGTGGATTCCTCTGTTTCCTTTAGGAGGAAGGAAAAGAACAATGATACATCTACTATGCCAAAAACTGCATGTGACCTGTGATCAAACCCATGCTTGGGCACATGAAGGTGTGTCAGTCACACCCTCACAGCATCACCACAGTACATCTCAGTGGGAAAGGGGCTGAGAGTCACCTCACAACATGCTGAACAACATATTGAAACTCATCAAATGTCATGAAACAGGGCCTCTATCAATTGTTACTAGGGCAGTTAGAACAAGAAAAATCCCTTTAAGATGGCTGAAATTTTTATAAGAAATTATAATACGTTTTTATATATAACACAAAATATAAAAACATAACATTTTTATAATGGTATCTTATAAAGAATACATTCGACATGAATTTAAACCTTTCAAGAAGTAACACATTATAACATGAGATACTTAGTCCATTTTAGGATTCAACTATCCAAATGTACAGTGGTAATAGCCTATTGAAATGGAGAGAGTTTTTTAAAAAGTTCCTCTTACCTGCAAGCTTACATTTTGTAGCTTGAAATGAGAGTGAACAAAACTTCGGGTTTAATTTGTATGCTTTGCTTTTTTCAACATTTTCACTAAAACCATAGTCAACATAGCATACCTAATGATTAAAAACACAGAATGTTTAGTTCTTTATCCTCTCTTTAAAAAATTCATTTGATACACTTAATTGGCTCAATCTTATTCCATGATCAGCAAGCTGAGTGGCAGAGTGGCACCTGGAAAAAGCTGGGGAGGTGCCCCTGACTTACCACAGAAGAGAAAGGCTGGAGCTGAGACCAAGGAAACCAGGGGTCCTAGTTCCAGGTCCCAGTCTTCTACCTCACCCTACCCCTTCAATGGGAAGAACAAGACTGCTCAGCCCTGCCACCTTGCTGTCGCCAGTCTTTCAGCAGCCTATCTACCTGGTTCTGCCAACTCTGCTCCCCTCCCCTTTGGTGCTTTCATTAATATCATAATGCCTATATCAGCTTATTCTTTTTTGAGTTACACATTTCCACCCGTTCCCTGGACAGCAGTATTTGTTTCTATGGCAGGCATCATCCTTGTGGTATTTATCAGATTCTAAATCCCCAAAGCAGCATTTGTGATGGCTATTCTCAGCTACTGTGCTTCCAGGGACCGAGATGCTTCATCAATGACAACAATGGTATCACTGCTGAACAACATGGAATTCTAAACTAAAAAACAGGCGTACCTATTTTTTTCAAGGGTGTGAAGCTGGGTTAGGTCTTCTTTCAGCTCAGCAAAAGGCCCTAAGTCTGCTGAACAGAGGTCTGTGTTTGCAGAAACCTGAACAACTTTTCCTCACCATTAGCACAGACTGTTAAGAGCCTGGATATTATTTTTAAGAATATTTATAGAATCTTCAGTTTAAAAGGATTATATAAACACAAAGCCTTTTTTTGAGAAAAATAAAAATCTAGAAACATTAAGCTATGGTTTAGAATAACTAAGAATCTAAGGGAAATGTTGAAAACCTAATATGCATCTCTAATTAAAGGAGATGATGGTTATTGAAAGAAACAAAGCAAACAAAACAACAAACACCAGGGCAAAGTCTTGGCCTTAATACCAAGTAACATGAGGTAGGTTCCTTTCACTGCCTCCCTGAAAATAAAGTCCACAGGCCAGCTTCTTAGTACCTAGATTATGGTACTAAACACACGAAACAAAAACCCTTCCCAGCAGAGAATCTAAGGGAAAAAAGCAGAAGACACCACTAACTCCTTTCCTTGGCCATGTGATAAGCGGGCCTGTGGGGCCTGTCTACCTTGTATCAGAAAGACCATCTCTTAGAATCCACATCTGACTCAACACTGACTTAGGCCTAGATCGCTGGTAGGGCTGCATGTCAGGCAGCTGGCCATTTAAGTGCACAAGTCTATTTCTCCAATCCTAAATTAGCACCTGCTTTTGCTTCTCATAGGCCTCAGGAGTCAGGCAGCTTTCATTTCCTTTAATAGCTATCACCACCTACAACTTAGATTCTGTTCTTCCCAGGCCCAAAATGGAGGTAACGTGGTCTGACAATAGGACATAGCATGTGAAATCATGACTCCTGGGAAATTCAGAATGTATTCTTAGCACAAGAACAGATTAAAGAATAACTGCTCCAAAGCCTCAAAAGAAAGTGTTTCTGAACTGTTTGTAGCTTCTTTTCTTGTTTTTAATCATACATGTTTGTATGGCAACTGCAGTTTATAAAACACTTGTCCATGCATTGGCCAGTGTGACTCTCACCACACTCTGCTCTGTGTCCTTTGCTCTGTGAGGGCTCAGTAGTCTCTCTCTCTCTAATGTCCTGGGATCAGGGCCAGTAGTCACATAATCTGGCATAAGGCCCCAGTCCATTCCTGGTTCTCTGGCACCATCAAGTGGCCAAAGGTCTCCCAGCACTACCTATCACCCAGCAGACTCCCCTGGGATGTGGGCCTGGGTCAGGCCAAACTGGCACCAGCCTCAGCGGGTGACCACATCTCCTGTTTCTCCTACTCACCAAGGATCTGACAGGGAAAGCAAGGAAGGAATCAGTACTTACCACCAGACAAAGTTCAATTCAAGCGAAGCAAGACTGGTGCTAAGTAGCTGGGGTTTCTCCAAATAAAGGGAGAAATCATCTCTGTCAGCTTCAAGGGGATGTGGGGAACAAGTTCAGGCCCGGATTGCTACAATCACCGCTGTCCCAAGAGCTTGCTACTGCACAAAATACCGAGCTACCTTTTTTATTCTTCACATCCAGCCCATAATTCTCAGCAGCAATGACGAGGCTGGTCACTCCCTTCTTTATGAGACGCTTTCTTTTTCTGGCTTCTGTGACACCACTCTCTTGGTTTTTCTTCTTTGGCCATCTTTACAGGCTTTTCTGCTCCCCTTATGCCTCCATGTAAATACTGAAGGGTTTCAGGACCTGGGCCCAGGCCCCTCCTCCTCTCTACGTGTATTCTCTCTCTAGGGGATCTCATCTTGTCCTGTGATTTCACATAGCACCTATATGCTGATGCCTCCCAACCTGACACATCTCCAGTCCTAACTGCTCCCTGAGCTCCAAATTCATCCATGTGACATCTGATAGCTATTCTCAAACCTAGCAGGTCCTATGAAATTCTCAATTGTTCTCCACAATGGTTTTTCTCTCTGACTTCCCAATTTCAACAAATGGCACCAATATCTAGTCAATTGCTCAAGCCCCAAACCCAGTAGCTTATCTTGAATCTTCTCTTTTGCTTACCATCCACTTCCAACAGGTCAGTGTCCTGTCAGTTCTACCTCCAAATATATCCTGAATCTCTTCCACTACCTCCATCTTCACTAATCCAGGTTACAAGGTAGCTGGCTATTACAACAGCCACCTAACCAGTATTACTTTCCTTCTGTGCCCTACTATAATACAATCCATTCCCCCACAACAGTCCCAGAATGATTTCTGAAGCATCTAAATGAGATCACATCACTCTGCCTATCTCTTGCTTCAGAGTTATTTTCTATCATAGTTATTTCCTTTATTGGTTATTTCCTTCATTGTACTAAAATTGTTTTGTGTGTTTACTGTATGCTTGTCATCTCTCTCTTCTCACTAGAATGTAAGCTTCTTGAGAAGAAGGACTTGTATGTTTTGTTCTTGGCTCCAGTAAAAAGTGAAAAAGTGTATCAGGTATATACAACACGATGGGAGTGTTTGAATTTACAGATAAGCAATCAGGGAAGTTAAATAACTTTCCTAAGGCCACACAGCTAGAAATGGCAAAGCTGAGACTCAGTTCTATCTGACACGAGAGCCTGAATTCCCAAAGTAGAAGGAGGGAGGGAGGAAAGAAAGTGACTGCCCTATAGACTTCAGACTGGGAGATATCCTTGTGGAATAGCTGCATTATTTATTGTAAATATTGTTACACTGTTAATGTGTCATTAGGATTTACGTATGATTCTTCTCTTCATAAGAAATCTCTGTGCCTCAAAATAGCTTAGCTTTTGTTGAACTTCCTAAGGGCCGGGGGAGTGAAATGGCCAGGAAACAGAAGTTTATCTAGGAACGTTTAGGGATAGTTATCTCCTATCAACTAGAGACCCAGAGGAATGGAGGGACTTGACCAAAGGCACACACCCAAATACAGGCAGACTCAGGACTAGTGCCCAAGCCCTGTGTTCTCCTTTGGTCCAGTGACCATTGTGGTCCTTAGCTTCTTCCAGGTTTCAAACTTTATCCAAGTATAATTTACACTGAATAAAAGATACCTGTTTACAATACAGTTTGATGGGCTTTGATCAATGTATACATCCATATAATCATCACCATAATCAACATATAGACCATTTACACCACCCCAAAAAGTCTCCTTTTGCCCTTTGCAATTAGCCCCCCTCCACCTCCTGTCCCAGGCAACCACTGATCTGATTTCTATCACTGCAGATGAATTTTACCTGCTCTTAGACATCATTTACATGAAATTATACATTACTCTCTTGTGCCTGGCTTCTTTTGCTCAGCACAAAATCTGTGAGGTTTGTCCATGAAACTATTTATATCAGTAGTTAATTCCTTTGTATTGTTAACAGTGTTCTACTACATGAATAAACTATAATTTGTTTTTATGATCCACCTGTTGGTGAACATTTGGGCTGTGTCCAGTTTGGGGCTATTAATAATAATACTGCAACACACATGTATGTACAAGACACCTTGTGGGCCTTAGGGGTCATATGGTTAAGTGTTCGTAAGAAACTGGCAAACTATTTTCCAATTTTCAGATTTTTAAAGTCAGTCAAATTACTTAAAATTTGTGCCTCTGTAGATTCAGCTGGGGAGTTTCCTAAATGCCTCTGCAAATGGGAAAGGGTGGCTGGGTGGTTGGGTGAGCTTACTTCTGGAGAGGGTCAGGGCCTCTCCTATTGAGCAACCTGCTAAGAAACAGCAGTATCCCTTTCTGACCTCCTAACTCCCACTTGTAGCTAGGGTTCAGTGGCCAGTAACTGATGGACTTAAGCCTGTGTTCAGGGACTGGTCATTTGCACTCAGTGACACATACAGGATTACTGGCTGGCGGCTGATAGTGGCACATGGAATAAGGTTTTGTATTATGGAACAGAGGCTGCAGAAATAGAAACATATTTCCCTGCTTGCAAAATCTAGAGAAAACCAAAAGATCTTAGATACATTCCCCTCACAGTCCAAGAGCGCTCTGTATAAATACAAGGGACTATAGAAGTGGGGAACTAGGGTCACCCTTCTACACAGTGTCCTTCCCATCATGAAGGACAGAAATGAACCCAAGTCTTAAAGCGCATTTCCCTTTAGGGAAGGGAGACATCTTAACAATCGAGAAAGAAAAGACTTTCTCTCCCTCCAAATTCTCTATCAAGTAGCAGGCCCATTATTCAAAGGATAAATTCCAAATAGACACACAGCTTCCACCAAGATAGAAAGAAGTAACACATTAAAAATACACTAGTACAACTGACCACACAGCACACGGAGCTAATACCTAATTTCTCTGCATGTTATTTGGGTGTTCCAAGGCCCTGAGACACTACCGCTCTCAGGGAAACTGTGCTTCTTGGTCTCTGCATTGACAGTATGAAGAGGCAAAGGGCAGAGGCTGATATCCACGAATGTAGCCAAGCCCAGAAGAGTCTGCTGATGGAAGCAAGTGGCAAACGGGCCCACTGGCCTTTTCAAGAGGGTGGAGAGGGCTACGCTGGGAGCAGCTGTGGAGAAGGACCTGTGTCTTGGCTACAGAAGAGGGAGAAGAAGAATTGTCTCCTTTGGTCTGTATGGCTTCCCTCACTCCGAAGTACTGGCCTTGATAAGAGGCCCACAGAGTTCTGGTCAGTATTCATTATACATCCCCTAGGAATAGGAAGTGTCTTTCCCTGATTGGATAATGTGTTATGAATACTCCCATGGGGAATTTATTTTTTTAACTAAAACTCTGAGATAATAATAACTACCACGAATTTAAAGGCTGACAGGGATAACCTTTTACAGATATTATCTTTTCAACTTCCATTGAAAACTACATTTAATTATAGGATACAACATTTAAATTTCAAAAATGTAAAAAATATTTACATTTGGAAAATAATAAGGTATTTGTATCCATAATGCTATGACAAAGTAAACAGTGCTTGCCTTTATTTTGTTCTCTTCTGTTGAGATGACCTGTGCCCGTAACCAGGCGTCCTCCTCGGCATTTACGGCCAGCAACTGCCCAACATTCACAGCCTGGACTGGTGTGATCTTAGGATTCTTACTGTAATATTCCTTCATCTCATCTTCCATTAATTCCTGAGCAGCAGAATAGTCTTTGCCCACATACCTGAATCAGTTAAAAGAAGAGAATGCAAATGAAGTAACCTAGAAGAAGAAAAGCAATAGGAATTCGTTTTTGTCCTTCTTTTTTCCCTGCTGCCATCTTTGGTTCCAGTCTCAGACTTGCTTATATCAACAGGGAGGAGAACGTGTATTCAGTGAAATACTTATCTCTTGAAAAAGAAGATAAGGGGGCTGGTCACAGTGGCTCACACCTGTAATCCCAGCACTCTGGGAGGCCGAGGCAGGCAGATCACAAGGTCAGGAGTTTGAGACCAGCCTGGCCAATATGGTGAAATCCTATCTCTACTAAAAATACAAAAATTAGCTGGGTGTGGGGGTGGGCGCCTGTAGTCCCAGCTACTTGGGAGGCTAAGGCAGGAGAATCGCTTGAACCCAGGAGGTGGAAGTTGCAGGTTGCAGTGAGCCAAGATCACACCACTGCACTCCAGCCTGGATGACAGAGTGAGACTCCCTCTCAGATAAGGGACAATGGAGACTGCACAAAACACACACCAAACAACACAGCAAACATTTGGTCCAACATATCCCACAACAAAGGAAACGTGGAGCAATCCAGACAACGAGAGGGCATAACAGGAAGCAGCGATAGTGTCCTCAGGAAGGACAAGGCTGAGAAAAGTCAGGAAGGGGAGAGAGGAGGAGACGTGGAAAATGGAGACACCAAGGGAGGCCTGGAGGCCAGAGAAGTGAGGGTCGATGCTGGATCTTGACTAAGGCTGCTGGAAATCTTTACAGATTACTAAGAAGAGACTCTAGAACATAGTTTTAACCTAACTAGGGCTGGGTCAAGCTTTGAAAAGCAATGAAATTTTACTAGAGAAAAAACAAAGCTGTGAGTACACTAAACACAACGTTGACACCCCCCCTCCAAACTTATTAAAGAATTTGAACAAATTACAACAAAATGTTGACTTCTGATACCCTTAAAAGAGGTACCATATTCTAGTCAAATGTCTCTAAAACTGTATGCTTGTTGAGAAATATTTTTTTTCAGGATTATGTCCTTATTCCTTTCTACACTTTTCTACTGTTGACAACTGTGGTCACCTTGTTCCAGTTCATGTTATCAAAACAGGCTACTGTTTTCTTGCGCTTTAGTCCTCAGAGATGATTTCGTCCAGGGTCTCCTTCTAGGGTGTAAAACCTGGCATATCAAGTTTGGGTCATGTAAGAGAAGCTGTCCCAGCCATAGGATCGAGGCCTTTTTAGCTGGAAGGCTATACTCTAACAGCACCAGCATCACTTGGCCCAGGAGACAGGGGAGATGCCACAAGAACCTTGTTCTTTGTATTGTTCCAGGTTTCACCCAGGCTCCAAGTAGGCCTGTACAGCTCTAAGAAATGGTTCCTTTAGGACTATTTCTATGTATTCTTGGTAATTATCAGCAGGGCAGAAGATGCCATAGTCAAGCTATTCATTACAAGGAGAAAAAAAAAAAAAAAAACAAAACTCAGAAAGTCCTACACAAAATGGAAACCATGTGCAATGGCTATTTTAAAATGAAATATTATGTGCATATTATTGGCTTCAGAAATAGCTGCAGAAGCTTTGCCATACTCTTATAGTTTAATTTTTTTTTTGAGACAGGGTTTCACTGCTGTGTTACCTAGGTTGGACTCTTGGGCTCAAGCAATCCTCCCACTTCAGCCTGCTGAGTAGTTGGGAGGATGTGTATGTGTCACTGAGCCAGGTATTATCATTTAAATGTATTGAGCTTTGCAAATACTAAGGCACTGCCTTGAATGCAGTTGCACTCTTGGCTCTGAAGTCCTCCAGAAGGTCTGCAACTGCACCCGACTGCCCATTTGCTGGGACCTAGAGTCTCACTGGGCCTCCCCCTAGTGCTGCTATGTAGCCCTGGGTGCTCAACTGGCAGAGGCCTGGGCTGCAGCCCTGATGTGGTGGTCTGCCAAACACAGGCTCCTGCCAGAAGGGAGGAAGGTGATGAGAAATGGCTTGGGATCTGCAGGCAGCTTCTCTTCTCTTAAGCAGCCAGGAGAGAAGGAGGGCTGCACAGATAGGGGGAAGATGGACGGTGTTGGATGAGGCACAGTGCAGGACTGACATTACAGCTTGTATGACAGTGGGTAATGACGAGAATGAGGTCATATATTATCCTCAAATTACCTGAGCAAGGGGGGCAAAGAATGATGGATAGGCCAATTTAGAGATGCCCTAAATACAAAGTTTTACAAAGTTAATTTCTGAGACAAGGGATTCCCATATTTGAGATGAGGGTTCTGCCATAGTACCCTCCAGGCCCTAATGAGCCAGAGATCCAGCTTCCAGTGCCTACTGCCTGCCTGGGTGAAGATGCCAGTACAGAACAGGGTTCAGTCTGGTGGAGGTTTGCAAAGTCTTGTGGGGAGGGCAGAAGCCAATAACCTAAGGTCAACCTAATGGCAGACATTACCCATCTTGCTTGCTGGTTGCCAGCCACTCTGCTGAACACATAAAATGCTGACTCCAGGATTTAAATTCCTACTGGGATAAGGTATTTAAATAATCTGACGACCCTGGACATAATCATCCTTGACAAACCTTGGTGTGAACAACAGAAACCATGTGATTGGTCTGGCCCGGTGCTTGGTCTCTGACTATGGCACCAACAGTTACTAGTTACAGATACCAAAGGATCCTGCCGTGTAAGTTTCTTTATAGTATAGTCAAATGGTAAAAGGTGGTAATGTGGCCTTCAATATCTTTCCTTTACTTCAATACAATAGTGAAACATATTGGGACCTCTAGCCTTCAGCAACCTATTTATATCTTCAGGCCACACCACATCTTAGAATAAAAGCTTTATCCTCTCTAAAGTTTCTGGAGGTTCTTCCAGTTTGAGCATCTGAAGATACTAGGTTCACTCTATTATCTACTCAGATTTCATTTGTTCAAATGGAAGAGCTTTAAATTTTTGAGCTCTTCTTTCATTGAAGGATTCTAATTATTTTTTGTGGTTCTTCTTTGGGCTTTTCCATCTCAGTTATGGGTCTCTGGAGGAGGGACAGCCCAAACCAAAGGACCATTTGGTTGAAGGAGCCCAGATTCTGTTTGCTTCAGCATTTTTCTGATCTGCCCAGCCATGGCCACACCCTGGACTGGTACCTCCAGGGGTTCAGCTACATAGGTTCCCATTCTTTTTCCCAAATGGAGACTGCAAATTATAGTCTTTCTATATTTTCCACGTATTCTGCATTTTCTCCAAAAGTCCAAGACAGGTGCCTGGAGCTGTACTGTTTTTTGTTATTCTAGTTATTGTTAGCTACCTAGGCAATGATGCCTTAGGCAATGACACCTCCTCTCAGGCAACGATACTGAAAGACTCAAATAAATAGAGCACCTTTGGGTCCAAGGTCTAATCTGATGTATTATACAAGGAAAGCAGCTCTGAGCTATTTTTACTTTTAGGAAATACTACATAGTCCCAGATTATAAATAGTATTATGCAGTGTGTAGGGCACTTGCCTTTTCTGCGAACTAGGTATTGCTTTTGACATAATATAGTTACCAACAAGCTTTTGACATGAATCTTTTTTTCAAGTTCATATTATCATTCCAATGTTTAAAGCTATTAGTAGTCTTAGGATAGCTGTATATTTTGAACAATTAACAAATATTAATACATTATTAAGCCTCACTATAACTCTATAGAACTAAGAATATGTTATCCTTTTTTTTTTTTTTGAGATGGAGTCTTGCTCTTTCGCCCAGGCTGGAGTGCAGTGGCACAATCTTGGCTCACTGCAAGCTCCACCTCCCAAGTTGACACCATTCTCTTGCCTCAGCCTCCCGAGTAGCTGGGACTACAGGCACCCGCCACCACGCCCTGCTAATTTTTTGTATTTTTAGTAGAGACGGGGTTTCGCCATGTTAGCCAGGATGGTCTCGATCTCCTGACCTTGTGATCCGCCCACCTCGGCCTCCCAAAGTGCTGGGATTACAGGTGTGAGCCACCGCACCCGGCCATATTATTCTTCCTTTAACCCTCAACATCCATGTGAAGAATAGACAAGTGACAAAAGTATATCAGAATCCTAAAGAATTAGAAAATGAAACTTGCCTGATAACCACTTCATTTGTGTTGCTCAGTTCAACCACCAATACAGATGGTGATGCTTCAGTTGGAATCATTAAAGGAGGAACTGTTATGTCCTCCATAAAGGTATTAGCACTTTCAGCAATGCTTTCTTCTACCTGCAAATACTCTTGTTCAACCATAGCCTTGATATCATTATCACCATGTGCTTGCCCTGCATCCTTTTGGATTTTGTCAGTGGGCAATGGAAGTTTAGCATAGAGAATGGCCTTCTGGGGATTTCCAGAAATGTAGTCTATGCTGCATACATCAGAAAGTGAGGCAAGATTTTTTAAGGCATCCTCAGGGAATTTCACTTTGTACATTTCCTCAAATGCTTTCGGAAGTGCACTGGCCCAAAGGCCACTTGTGTATTTCACCAGCAGGTCTGCCACTTTTTCTTTAAAGTCTCCTGCCATAACTGTTGGACACCCTTTCAACGGTGGTGTTTGTTTGGGACCAGGTAGTGGGGATAGAGGTACTTTCTCAGTATCCAGTTCACTTCTCAAAAGCTGCTTTCTCTTAGCTGGATAAAGAAGTAAATCTTGGCCACCACTGCAAGGTTTCTCCACCTGAAATTTTTAAATAAAGCAAATGACAGATATTTCAGTGACTATAAACAACCCACAAACACATTAATGCATTCTAAATTTGAGAGTCATGCTGTTTCCAAATTAATCAAGTGTACGATTTACTCTTTTCAATTGCTAGGACTTTAATGCATTATCTCCACCTGCAAATAACATGAGCCACATTTCAGAAATAAAAAGGAAAATAAAATAGTATTAAATTCATTTGTGCGGCATCGAGACTCCAGCTGCCCTAGAAAATCACAAGTGCTCTGCCCTGTAACGTGTACTCTCATTTAGTTGTTTCTGCCAAATCCAAAACAATAGCTTACAAAACTGACTAAAAATAAGTTGTGAAAAGGTATTAAAACTGTCAGGAATAAACCACTGGGAAGAAAACTAGAAAATATTTAGAAAAAATAGGAGTGCCATCTCTCTTCTTCTTGCAATAGCCTGAGAAAACCCTTGGCTTTCCATTATTTAGAAAAAGATGCTCCAGAGATAAGTACAGTTTTAAAACAACCACAGCAGAAAGTTTAGCTGCAAGTGTTGTCACTCTAACAAACAAGTATTAAAAATACCTAGCACTTGTATGTCATCCAATCTTGAATTTCATTTGCATGCCATTTCTGAGAGGCACAGCTTGATGACATATTTTTATGTAAGAGAAGAAGGAGAAGAGAAACTGATGTATGGCATAATTTTTCTCCCTGAGTTTTAAGCCTTTCTACTACTAGAGCAGAGGTCAGCTCTACTACTAGAGCATGGCCCAATGCAGTTCATGGCTCATGGGCTAAAAAATGATTTTTATATTTTCAAATGCTAGAAAAAAAATCAAAAGAATTATTTCATAACTTGCAAAAATTATATGAAACTCAATATACATAAAGTTTTATTGGAACACAGTCATGCTCATTTATTTACATATTCTCTCTGGCTGCTTTTGCTCTACAGTGACACAGTTGAATAACTGTGATGGACTGCATCTGTTAGTTGCAGCTCTTGGCCTGCAGAGCCTAAACATTTACCATGGACCTTTACAAAAGCAGTTTCTTGAACCCTGTACGAGACCATTAGACTGAAGTTAAAATTCCTTGCCTTCCAAAATATTTCTATTTTGTCAGATCCTATTTTACCTACCCCTTAGCTGCAATTTAACCCCTTAGGGTAATAATTACAAGTTTACATGAACCATGGTCCACCCAGAAGAACAGAATTTTAAAGTATGCTGGTTAGGTAGCTTATTAGTAAAGAACACTGACTTTTTACTTCACTCTCCATACAATGCTTAGGAAGAGTGAACATAAACATTTATGTACAAAGAAAGAAGGCGCTATCTTGTTATCAGAGAAGAGTTTTGACAAGTTAAAAGACATAGGCAACTTGGTAATAAAATTCCTTTTAGTCTGACTACATATTCTACATCACATAGGAAGTGAACGATATTAATATAAAACATTAGGTTTTCCTCTTCATACTTTTACCAATGTATGCTTAAGTTTTGAGGACTGAGGAAAACTTCCACACCTGGAAAGCCTAAAGCATCACTGAAAGCAGAGGTCTAATGGCACCTCCTGTAATCTGTCATGGTCTCCTGCTGGCACTCTGTGATCCCTCTAAATGGCATGTTATATGATTGGCGCAGTTTATGTCCCTCATTTTAAGCCATAGGGACACAAATAGTTGGAGCATTCCTCATCTTTCTCTTGATGGTTAGTCTACTTCTCTAGAGACCCATGTTTTAAAATCTGAAATCTTAAAATGCCAATCTTCGCTGTGCTTTATGACACTCAATAAGATACAAGAATACAGATTAGGTATCCAGAGGTTTGAAACGCACACTTTCGGAGCCAATGGATAAGGAAAACAGCATTATAAGTGAATGATTAACTTGCCATATAGAATCCCAATTAGTGTAGTCAGTCATGCATCACTTAACGATGGGAATACATTCTCAGAAACGTGTCATCTGTTGTGCAAATATCATAGTGTGTACTTATACAAACCTAGATGGTATAGCCTACTCCATTATATAGGTTCATTATAATCTTTTTTCCTTCTAAAAAAAATGGGATACATGTGCAGAATGTGCAGGTTTGTTACATAGGTATACATGTGCCATAGTGGTTTGCTACACCTATCCACCTGCCCTCTAAGTTCCCTCCCCTCAACCACCCTAATAGGCCCCTAATAACCCCCTAATAGGCCCTGGTAAGTGTTGTTCCCCTCTCTGTATCCATGTATTCTCAATGTTCAACTCCCACTTAGGAGTGAGAACATGTGGCGTTTGGTTTTCCATTCCTGTGTTAGTTTGCTGAGGATAATGGCTTCCGGTTTCATCCATGTCCCCGCAAGGAGATAATCTCATTCCTTTCTATGGCTGCATGGTATTCCATAGTGTGTACGCACCACATTTTCTTTATCTAGTCTATCACTGATGGGCATTTTGGTTGGTTCCATGTCTTTGCTATTGTAAATAGCACTGCAATAAACATACGTGTGTGGCCGGGTGCAGTGGCTCACACCTGTAATCCCAGCACTTTGGGAGGCCAAGGCGGGCAGATCATGAGGTCAGGAGTTCGAGACCAGCCTGGCCAACATAGTGAAATCCTGTCTCTACTAAAAATGCAAAATATTAGCTGGGTGTGGTGGCAGGTGCCTGTAATCCCAACTACTTGGGAGGCTGATGCAAGAGAATCACTTGAACCCGGGAGGCAGAGGTTGCAGTGAGCCAAGATCATGCCATTGCACGCCAGCCCAGGTGACAGTTTGAGACTCTGTCTCAAAAAAAAAATATATATATATTTGTGTGTGTGTGTGTGTCTTTATAGTAGAATGATTTATATTCCTTTGGGTACATAGCCAGTAATGGAATTGCTGGGTCAAATGTATTTCTGATTCTAGATCCTTGAGGAATTGTCGCCATACTGTCTTCCACAACAGTTGAACTAATTTACATTCCCACCAACAGTGTAAAAGTGTTCCTATTTATCCACAGCCTCACCAACACTGTTTCCTCACTTTTTAATAATTGCCATTCTGCCTGGCATGAGATAGTATCTCACTGTGGTTGGTTTTGATTAACATTTCTCTGATGATCAGTGATGTTGAGCTTTTTTTCATGTTTGTTGGCTGTGTAAATGTCTTCTTTTGAGAAGTGTCTGTTCATACCCTTTGCCCACTTTTTGATGGGGTTGTTTTTTTCTTGTACATATGTTTAAGTTCCTTGTAAATTTTAGATAATTATTAGACCTTTGTCAGATGGGTAGTTTGCAAAAATTTTCTCCCATTCTGTAGGGTGCCTGTTCACTCTGATGATAGCTTCTTTTGCTGTGCAGAAGCACTTTAGTTTAACACCATTTGTGAATTTTGGCTTTTGTTGCAATTGCTTTTGGTGTTTTTGTCATGAAGTTTTTGCCCAGGCCTATGTCCTGAATGGTGTTGCGTAGGTTTTCTTCTAGGGTTTTTATGGTTTGGGGTTTTACATTTAAGTCTTTAATTCATCCTGAGTTATTTTTTGTATAAGGTGTAAGGAAGGGGTCCAGTTTCAGTTTTCTGAATATGGCTAGCCAGTTTTCCCAGCATCATTTACTGAATAGGAGATCCTTTCCCCATTGCTTTTGTCAGGTTTGTTGAAATCAGATGGTTGTAGATGTGTGGTGTTATTTCTGAGGTCTCTGTTCTGCTCCATTGGTCTATTTGTCTGCTTTGGTACCAGTACCAACTTGTTTTGGTTTCTCTAGCCTTGTAGTATAGTCAGTCTGAAGTCAGATAGTGTGATGCCTCCAGCTTTGCTTTTTTTGCTAGGATTGTCTTGGCTATAAGGGGTCTTCTTTGATTCCATATGAAATTTAACATAGTTTTTTCTAATTCTGTGAAGAATGTCAATGGTAGTTTGATGAGAATAGCATTTAATCTAGAAATCACTTTGGGCAGTATGGCCATTTTCATGATATTGATTCTTCCTATCCATGAGGATGGAATATTTTTCCATTTGTTTGTGTCCTCTCTTATTTCCTTGAGCAGTGGTTTGTAGTTGTCTTTGAAGAGGTCCTTCATGTCCTTTGTTAGCTGTGTTCCTAGGTATTTTATTCTCTTTGTAGCGATCGCCAATGGGAGTTCATTCATGATTTGGCTCTCTGCTTGCCTATTGTTGGTGTAAAGAAATGCTTGTGATTTTTGCATGTTGGTTTTGTATCCTAAGACTTTGCTGAAGTTGCTTATCAGTTCAAGAAGTTTTTGGGCTGAGATAATGGGGTTTTCTAAATATAAAATCATGTCATCTGCAAACAGAGACAACTTGGCTCCCTCTCTTCCTATTTGAATACCCTTTATTTCTTTCTTTTGCCTGATTGCCCTGGCCAGAACTTCCAACACTATGTTGAATAGGAGTGGTGAGAGAGGGCATCCTCATCTTGTACCAGTTTTCAAAGAGAATGCTTCCAGCTTTTGCACATTCAATATGATATTGGCTGTGATTTGTCATGAATAACTCTTCATATTTTGAGGTATGTTCCATCAATACGTAGTTTATTCAGAGTTTTTAACATGGAGGGATACTGAATTTTATCAAAGGCCTTTTCTGCATCTATTGAGATAATCATGTGGTTTTTGTCTTTGGTTCTGTTTATGTGATGGATTACATTTACTGATTTACATATGTTGAACCAGGCTTGCATCCCAGGGATGAAGCCGACTTGATCATGGTGGATAAGTTTTTTGATGTGTTGCTGGATTCAGTTTGCCAGTATTTTCTTGAGGATTTTCACATTGATGTTCATCAGGGATATTGGCTGAAGTTTTTTTGTTGTTGTGCATCTCTTCCCAGTTTTGGTATCAGGATGATGCTGGCTTCATAAAATGAGTTAGGGCAAAGTCCCTCCTTTTCAATTGTTTGGAATAGTTTCAGAAGGAAGGGTACCAGTTCCTCTTGTATTTCTGGTAGAATTCAGCTGTGAATCCACCTGGGCCCGGGCTTTTTTTGGTTGGTAGGCTATTAATTACTACCTCAATTTCAGAGCTTGTTATTGGTCTACTCAGGGATTCGATTTCTTCCTGGTTTAGTCTTGGTAGGGTGTATGCATCCAGGAATTTATTCATTTCTTCTAGATTTTCTAGTTTATTTGTGTAGAGGTGTTTATACTATTCTCTGATGGTAGTCTGTATTTCTGTGGGGTCAGTGGTGATATCCCCTTTATCGTTTTTTATTGTGTCTATCTGATTCTTCTCTCTCTTCTTATTAGTCTAGCTAGAGGTCTATTTCGTTAATCTTCAAAAAGAAAAACTGCTCTTGGATTCGTCGATTTTTTGGAGGGTTTTTCCTGTCTCCATCTCCTTCAATTCTTCTCTGATCTTAGTTATTTCTTGTCTTCTGCAAGCTTTTGAATTAGTTTGCTCTTGCTTTTCTAGCTCTTTTGTGATGTTAGGGTGTCGATTTGAGATCTTACTAGATTTCTGATGTGGGCATTTAGACTATACATTTCCCTCTTAACACTGCATTAGCTGTGTCTCAGAGATTCTGGTACATTGTCTGTTTGTTCTTATTTGTTTCAAAGAACTTCTTGATTTCTGTCTTAATTTCATTATTTACCCAGGAGTCATTCAGGAGCAGGTTGTTCAATTTCCATGAAATTGTGTGGTTTTAAGTGAGTTTCTTAATCCTGAATTCTAATCTAACTGCACTGCGTTCTCTCTTTTATTGTGACGGAGTCTTGCTCTGTCCCCCAGGCTGGAGTGCAGTGGCACGATCTCGGCTCACTGCAAGCTCTGCCTCCCTGGTGCACGCCATTTTTCCTCCCTCAGCCTCCTGAGTAGCTGGGACTACAGGTGCCTGCCACCACACCCGGCTAATTTTTTGTATTTTTAGTAGAGATGGGGTTTCACCATGTTAGTCAGGATGGTCTCAATCTCCTGACCTCGTGATCCACCCACCTCAGCCTCCCAAAGTGCTGGGATTACAGGCGTGAGCCATCACACCCAGCCGAGACTGTTTTTTATAATTTCAGTTCTTTTGCATTTGCTGAGGAGCATTTTACTTCCAAATATGCGGTCAATTTCAGAATAAGTGCCATGTGGTGCTGTGAAGAATGTATATTCTGTTGATTTGGGGTAGAGAGTTCTGTAAATGTCTATTAGGTCCACTTGATCCAGAGCTGAGTTCAAGTCCTGAATATCATTGTTAATTTTCTGTCTTGTTGGTCTAATATTGACAGCGGGGTGTTAAAGTCTCCCACTACTATTCTGTGGGAGTCTAAGTCTCTTTGTAGGTGTCTAAGAACTTGTTTCATGAATCTGCGCGCTCTTGTATTGGGTGCATATATATTTAGAATAGTCAGCTCTTCTTGTTGAATTGTTCCCTTTACTATTATGTAATGCCCTTCTTTGTCTTTTTTTATCTTTGTTGGTTTAAAGTCCATTTTGTCAGAGACTAGGATTGCAACACCTGCTTTTTTATTTTTTTGCTTTCCATTTGCTTGGTAAATTTTCCTCCATCCCTTTATTTTGAGCCTGTGTGTGTCTTTGCATGTAAGATGGGTCTCCTGAACATAGCACACTGATGGGTTGCTCACTCACTGCCTCCCTTGGCTGGGGGAAAAGGGTTCCCCTTCCCCATGTGGCTCTCAGGTGGGCTGCCGTACCATACTGTTCTTCATTCTCTCTGTGAGTCATGCCAGCCTTCTACTCTACTTTGCTGAGAGAACCTGGATACCCTGGGTTGCCAATGAAGGATTCACACACTTATTATGGTTTTTTTCAATGGGAGCCTCCAAAAGCTGCTGCTTCTAGTCAGCTTTCTTGCCCCCCGCCCCCAGCTCCATTATAATCTTATGGGACCACCATTGTGTATACATACAGTCCATCATTGACCAAAATGTTGTTATGCAGCACTTGACTAATTTTAGATTTAGATGTGGTGGTTCTCTGCAGCCAAACCCAGATGAGCCTGTAAAGCCCACCTTAAAACTTTTCTTCAGTTTTCACATACCAATCTCAATACTTTCTCTGAAGTGGGTGGTAGAAACTACTTTCAGTGGACGATAACCCATCTTATCTAAAATAACTTCCTAAGCCCCATCCCCCACTGTCCATATAGCCTTCTTCTAACCCAAAGAAGGTAAGAGGGTTCTTCGGCTTTATTATCTTTTTCTTTCCAAGGAGTGTACTGAGAATCTGGGATGCTTCATTGCTTAGTCTCCCCTCTCCCAGTCCCCAGACTGCCATTCCATCTGTGCCTTAGATGTGATTAGTGCCAATTACCTAATAACATACCTATCAAACCTCTAACAATGACCTCTGACATGACCAGCACAAGTTCTTCCAAATAGGAACTGCTGTCTTAACTGAAGTTAGGGACGTTATGTCCACTTGAGTTGGTCCAGGGCAAGAGCAGAATTCCCATTTTTTTCTGGCTTTTATTCCAGAATAATACTTAAAGATCATCTGGAGGTACTAAGCTTCCAGGGCTGTGTCTGCAGCATTTAAGTCAAACTTTGCCAGTCAGCCTATAAAGTGAATTTTTGACCAATAAGTCTGAATTTACCCAAAGTACAAACCATAGCCAAATAATCATCTGAATTAGAAGACAGATTTTTTCCCTCAGCAGTTTTATATTATTCTTATTGTTTAAAGTAGATAACCATATCCCACTCTAATGACCAGTTCCTTGAATTGTAAGCACTTTCCAGTCTTTAATGGTTTATTCTTTTATCTCAAAACAGTTAGTTATGTGCCTACATTTCACTTGTTCTCCAATGATTTGGCTTCTATACATTCAAATAAGCATTTACTAAGATTAAACATAGGCCTAACAAGGCACCGAACCTGACTCTACCTGGAATTGATTCAGATATCCTTCAACACTTTAGGCAAATATTCACAGATAAATTTAGTGATATGGAAAAAATACCTGGTCCACATACTTCATTCCAATCTTTGGGGTTTCTTTTCTTTCTCTCTCTCTTTTTGTTAAGGCTGGGACTTGTTCCGTTGCCCAGGCTAGAGTGCAGTGGCGCAATCTCGACTCACTGCAGCCTCCACCTCCTGGGCTCAAGTGATCCTCCTGCCTCAGCCTTCTAAGGAGTTGGGATTACAAGCATGAGCTGCCATGCCAGGCCAGCTGAGGGGTTTTTCAATTCAAAGGCAACAATTCATGAAACTCCTTTTAAAGTTAAAAAATATAATTTAAAGCAAATATAATTCTTTTTCAGTTATGAGTATGGAAAACACAAACAAGTTTTTCCTATTTTCTCATTCAACAACAATCATCAACACAGAAGACTTGTGTGACCAAATGGGTGGGGGGGTCTCCCCACTTCAGTCAATCAATTAATTCTGCATTGGATATCAGCTGAATTCCACCAACTCAATTCTGACACTATCTACCTGGAGACAGCATCAGATCCCACAGGTTGAGGGCTCAGTCCCACAAGACTGTCTCCTCTTCAGACACCAGTTACAAGCCTGCGGCTCTGGAACTTCTGACCACCTGGATCAAGCTGGGGTTCCCAAGACCCTCTCTTTAGTTTTAATTTGCTACAGTGGCTCACAGAAATCAGGGAAACATGTTTACTGGTTTACTATGAAGGATATGGCTGGGTGCAGCAGCGCACGCCTATAATCCCAGCACTTTGGGAGCCTGGGGCAGGAGGATAACTCACTTCAGACTAATAGTTGAAGACCAGCCGGGGCAACATAGTGAGAATCTCAACAAAAAAATTTTAAAAATTAGCTGGATGTGATAGTGTGCATCTATAATCCCAGCACTTTGGAAGGCTGGGGTGGGAAGACTGCTTGAGCCCAGGATGTCCAGGCTGCAGTGAGTTATGATGGTGGCACTGCACTCCAGCCTAAGGGACAGAGCAAAACCTGTCTCTAAAAAAATACACGTGTGTGTGTGTATGGCAGATATATGTATAAATTAAAGGATATTACAAAAAAATACCAATGAAGAGATGCTTAGTGTGACGTATGCCGGAAGGAGTGTGGAGCTTCCATGCCCTCTCTGCTACCCTACAGGAAGCTCCATATGTTTGGCTATCTGGAAGCTCTTCCTGCTTTGGGTTTTTAGGGAGGCATCATTCCGCAGGCATGATTGGTTAAGTCATTGGCCACTGGCGATCAACCTAATCTTTAGGCCCTCTACCTTCCCCAGAGGTTGGTTGGGGCTGAAAGTCCCAACCCTCTAATCATGCGTTGGTCTTTCTGGTGACCAGCCCCATCCTAAAGCTACTAGGGGTTGCCAGTCATCACTCATTAGTTTAAAAAAAAAAAAAAAGAGACCTAACTTTGGAGAGTCACTTTGGATTTTAGGAATTGTATGCCAGAGAATGGAGAAGGCCAAATATATATTTTACAATATCACCCAGCTCAAACTCTCTAAATTTTCATATGAATAGAAATTTGCTTTTCCTGGGCATTCTACTGTGATCACCATCTGTCATCTACAAAAAGTGCCACCTCTTTTTAATTTTCTGGCAAATAGGTTTAGGAAAGAGACCTACTACTATATGTATCCCACAAGAACCTTGCTAAAGATAAAGAATTGCTATAATGGACAGTGTGGTGTCCATTCTTTACTGGGCTCTGGTGCATCTGAAAAGATTTACATGTTCATCTCCTGCCTCATTTCCCAAGACAGAACAGCCATCTTATGGTCTTCACAAATGACCAAGGCAAGCCAACATCTACTTGAAACATGGCTTTTATTATTTCCTTAGTGTGATAATCAACTGCTAACCACTTCAGGTAGATCTCTCAAAAGGGAACTTTTACGGCATCTAGTTCCTTTAGCCCACTTGATTCAGGCATATACCTAAGGAGGGAGTCAGAAGGCCTCCTCTACTGTGGGAGAAGACTCAGGACAATACTCCTATCCTTGTCCTTCATGTTTTCTTTGTTTTGTGGCTCTGTAATTTTCTCTTTGGTTCTGAATGTCCACCCAAAAAATCCATCAGTCCAACGACTGGGAACTAGCATGACTTGTAACTTCACGTACCATGTGTACACTCCCACCCCCACCTCCAGCAGGAGAGACAGGTAACATTAAAGATGAACTCCCTAGACCATGGAGTCAAGCCCTTTCCTTTGCTGATCATCAGAAGATGCTGTACCTAATACGCCTTAAACTTTCTATTCCCGTAAGTTCATGATAATCAGTTTGATTTCTGCCACAGTTGGAATCACAATTTGAATGAGACACTTCCCTCACACCCCTCTGGATTTCTGTAAGTTTGGAGCAGAAATACTAGGCTTGGCAGATGTGAGGCTGTGATACCGTGAAATATATATTTGGTCTTCCTTCCCAGTTTCCTAAATACAATTCCTAAAATCCCTGGAATCTCCAAAGAGCTTATCTTTTTCTATGCTAATACTGACTGAGAGCTTCAGGGTAGGGCTGCTTACCAGAAAGTCCAAGGCAGGATTAGAGGGTTGAAACTTTTGGCCCCACCATTCAAATGCCGGGAGGGAAGAGGCACTGAAGGTCAAGCTGATCACCAATGGTCAATGGTTTAATCAACATGCCTGCGTAATGAAGCCTCCATAAAACCCCAAGATGACAGGTTTGGAGGGCTGCCTGGAGGGTGGCAGGCCCAGAGAGGGCACAGAGACTCCATGCTGCTTCCCCCATTTATGCATTTCTTCATCTGTATCCTCTGTAATATCCTTTGTAATAAATCAGTAAATATAACTGTTTGCCTGAGTTCTGCGAGCCACTCCAGCAAATTAATCAAACCCAAAGAGGAGGTTTTGGGAACCCCAATTTGAAGCTGGTCAGTCAGAAGTTCTGGAGGCCTGGATCTGCGCAACTAGTGTATATGTAGAGGACCAGCAATTTTGGGGATTGAGCCTTCACCCTGTGGGATCTGATGCTATCTCCAGGTAGACAGTGTTAGTATTAAATTAGAGGGCACCCAGCTGGTGTCCGCTGCTTGGTTTCTGGGGAAAACGCCCACATTTGGTCACAGAAGCCTTCTGTGTTGATTGTTGTGGTGTGACAGCAGAGGAAAAACATAGTTTGAGTATTTTTTCCAAAACAGGCCCAAAAACTTAAAATATGAATTTCTTCAGGAGTCTGTTTGTTCAGACAAATAGAAGTCTTCATCCTACACGCCTAGAAACTTGCTTCTCCTTAACTCTAAGGGTCTTTACTTCTTTCTTTCTAGTTTTACCTGTGCTGTAAACTTAAAAGTTCTTGAAGCCAAACTCCTTTGAGTCTATGAAGGCTTACCTGCTAATTCTTTAGCATGGGCCTCTGAGGTAAGCTTACTCTTTCTTCTGAAATTAGAATATTCTTTAGGGTTCTATAACAGAATTGGTATTGTCCAGTTAAATCAAGCTTTCCAAAGCATTTATATGGGCACAGTTTTGTTTCCACAGGGTAGTAGTCATTTTTGTTGAAGTTTTAAATTAAGTTCTAAATTTCATTTTATATGGTCACCACCCAATACAAACCTGAGACAGTACAGCAAAATCACATTTACCTAGAGACCTGCTTTCTAGCACTGCAAGCATTAATAATGGTTATGAGCTCAAAACAAACAAAAACAACAAAGAAAAAGCAAAAAATAATCCCATTTTAAAACTTGACTTCAGTAGTGAATAAAAGATCCCTGAGTGCCTAGCAACAACTAAAACATCAAAGTCACTGACCAGAAGCTTGCACCCTACGATTAGCCAGTTCACAGAAAGGTTGACCAGCTGATGACTTCCTTAAGAGGTGGCCTTTTTATGCTAAAGCTGACGAGTGCTGGAAAAGTCAGACAACTGAGAAAGAGATAGGGAAATGGTCCCCAATGGCATCACTATGTCACAATGCAGATGCACTGATCAGGACAGATGTGAAACATGCAAGGGCAGCCGGTGTGGTGTACCCTGTATGCAGGAGCTAAACCCATCCAATCCACCGTTCCATATCACCTACAACCACAGCCATCTCTGCCAGAAGGTACTGAGGCTAGTGATGATAAGCCCAAGATATTCAGAAATGGTTACAGTTTTTCAGTCAATTCTCTTTGAGAAAGTTAAGGTTTTGTAGCATATTCCACAGAGACTTAATCAAAGGTAAAAGTAAAAAGATCCTTGTAGAGGGTAATCCTTGACTGTTGACAAACCATCTACTTAGAGAAACTCTTCTCTGCCATCTTAGATGAGTCATTTAATAGACTCCATGTACTTCAAGGTCAACACTTCCGCTTACTCCCACCCCTTTAACTAGGAAAGACCTTTCACCAATGCTCTTTAGACACACATTGCAATTATTTATATTAGGATAAACTTCAAGTCATTTCCCTTTAGCATGGCCTGAGGTTAGGCCTCTTGCTCATGTTCCTTAAGGAAGATAATGGAGTCTTCTCCTAGTTGAACATGTGCAGAGCTTTTTGGAATTGCTTTTGGCCAGTAGCTGTGGCTTTCAATGTGCATTGGACACATTCCTTGCTCTCATTATTCCTTGCTCTCATTACCTTGGGCAGGAGTTGGGGCAGGTGCAGGGAGGGTAGGGGGACTGGGATCCATTCATGGATTGTTAAAACGTCAGGAACTCTCTTTGGCTTGGAGTTTATTTTGACTTCATTTCCTCCACTGCTCTTTATTTCTTTTCAAGTTAAAGTTTTGTTTTTCCCTCTTTAGCTTTTCCTCTGTTTGTATTCAGTTTCCTTGTAGAGCTTGCTGGGCATGTCCCTGGTTGAGCAGTGGGTTTTGGCCTGCTTTAGGCTGGGGTGCCTCTCAAAAATTAACAGCAGTTGTCTTTTACTAAACACCTATTATGTTTCTGATACCACATTAATAGCTGCTTTATATATTTTATCTAATTCTCACAACCACCCTATGACATGGGTAGAATTAGTGACATTTTAGAGTAGATTGTGGCACTGAGAGGATGGTCTGTATGCTGAAAGGTATACAGCTAAGAAATGATAAGGTAAAAATCTACCTCAAAGCCCAAACTCCTTCTAGTGTACTATGGGGCCTTATGGGTAGTTTCTGTTTCAAGTTCCAGAACAGCAACTTCTCATTATTCCTCAACTTCGCTATTCTGATTTCACAACAGTGCTATTTTATCTTTTTTCTACTCAGACGTTCACCGAATTTAAATTTAAAAATTGTTCCAATCATGTGTTCATTATATATTTCTTTTCACTGGTGAAAAAATGGAAAATAAGTTAGATTCCATTTAAAAAATATTATGATTATACTTCCAAGTCTTCAGTTTACCTCTTCACTTCTGCTTCTGCTGGCATTATTTAGAATATATTCAATATATAGAGTATATTCAATACCACTAAGCCTGAGGATATCGATTGCTGTTTATGTTCCATTTCCTTAGAAATCCAAGTTGTTTTGGTTTTACCCCAGAAGTTCCAGGCTTTTTAAAAAGGCAATTCATTTTACATGGGCAAAAAGGTGCTTTATTATCTCATACAATTAATTACCGTAATTAAAATTAAGTTAGATTCCTGAACATCCCCAAATATAAAAACATCTCTATGTAAGTGACAGAAACTCTTGCCTCCTTTGATATTAGAGAAACTGCTATACTGATGCAACTCAGAATTTTAAGAATTTTTAAGAGTCTGCAGGATTAGATATGAAACAACTTAAAGCTCAGTGATTTCTAATGAATAGGAAAATGATATATAATAAAACCAGATTAACAGTAAAACATCCTTGTAGAAGCTATGAATAATTAGTGTAATTAGGCAGTTTTTCCTCATTCACAACATTTTATGTTCTATAATTTTGTCATTCACAAAATGTTATGTTTTATAATTAAGGCTTGGTGTGCCTCCAGCCCAACATAGAATGTTTCCCAGCTACCTGCTGGTTGCCTACCAGTAGGTCTTGGGGCTACTGACAGAAATTCTCCTTAGCTGAGTGCATCTAGTTCTGCCCACCAATGAGCCCCTCAGCTCTCTAACAGCTTCAGGCAAGACATGGGAGACAGATATTCTGGCTAATGTAAGAATGGAGAGGTTTCTTTACCCGTTTCAGAGAGTAGAAATTTTCAATAAAATCTCTGGTGTTCAGCAGTCATTGTTGCAGGATTTGGAATTTAAGACAGGTCTCATGCTGTCACCCAGGCTGGAGTGCAGTGGTGCCATCATAGCTCTGCAACCTTGAATTTCTGGGATCAAGCAATCCTCCCACCTCAGCCTCCTGAGCAGATGGAACTACAAGCATGCATCACCATGCCCAGCTAATTTTTTTAAATTTATTTTTTGTAGAGACAGAGCCTTGTTATGTTGCCCAGGCTGGTCTCAAATTCCTCACCTCAAGCAATTCTCCTGCCTTGACCTCCTAAAGTGCTGAGATTACAGGCATAAGCCAATGTGCCTGACCAAGATTTGTAATTTTTCTAGAAATCAAAGTCAGCCAGAGGCCATGGATCCTGGGTGACCTCAAGGCTGAGACCCGCTGTGTTTCCACCAAATGATGACTCCTTAATGAAGTGACCTGGCCTCTGCTTGCCTCTTCAGCTTCTTCCTGAGCAACTCTCTTCTTACTGAATTTCTTTCAGCTTCCTGAAAATACTATGCTTTTCTATCTCAGGGCTTTGGCACAATCTGTTTCTTTTGTCTGAGGTGCTTTTCTCCTCCCTCTTTACCTAACTCACACTAACCCATCTGTCAGGTTTTAGTTTAACAGCCACCTCCCCTGGAAGCTTTACTTGACTCATCAGACTATGTAGAGTCTCCTGTTTAGACATTCCCTCAGCATCCTGTACTTCTCCTTCATAACCATTGCAGGCTTATCATTATTTGTTCAATGTTTATTTTCCCATTGGACAGAAAGTTCCATAAGGGCAAGGACCATGTCTGTCTTGTTTACTGTTTTATCCCTAACACCCAGGTCAGTGGCTAGCACACGGAAGCATTTTATAAATACCAGTCAAGTCAAATACAACAGTTAAACGAGAGCACTATTAACAAGACTACTGCTCTAGAACAGCCAAGAGGTGTTGCTGTACTCCTAGGACCCAATGGGAACTCTTAGAGTGCAGTGTCCTTGATCTGCAGGCTTACTGTCTTGGAATCTTTGCCTTTTCAAGACAGTTTCTGCACAATTTCCACTTCCCTCACAAGTTGTCTAGGAATACCTTGGAGCTGGCTCATTGTTGTGAATAACTCTGTGTTCTCCCTAGCTTTGAAAACTCTCAGTACACATTTTGCTACTGGACAGACCCAAAAGGTTAAGGACAACAGATTCAAAGCATCCTTCTGCCTGCATCAAAATGTTTTCCAATATCCATGTGAAGCGGCTTACAGCATACTAATTAGAGCCTCCCTGAAGATAAAATTTCAAAGCTGCTATTTGGTCCCTAAAGCTGATGCTGTGCATTCTGATATTCAAATGGAATTCCTGTAAGTAGTAATCTCTGGGTGGTAGAATGATGGGTGATTTTTATTTCTCTTATAACTTTATTTTTCAATCTTTTAATATAGAATATTTTATCTGGTTGGAGGAAAAAACCCTTAAAAAAAGAAATACACTGCACTTAGATTTCTCCTTCAGTTACATGACAAGCCATATAGAGAGACAAGCCATAAAGAGAGATACCCATTACCAAGTTCTGTCTTATCCTAAACTTTTTGCACTGCCTTGAGACTATCTAATTTTGCTTGTAGTAACATCTGTCCTAGGCATGGTATCAGTGTTTCTGCTTTGCAGCAAGGTGAAAAGAAGAAGTTATAAGAAGGGGGAAAATAACCATTGTGTAAGTGTTTAAAGCTGTTTAAAAATAACCATGGTTTAACTGTCTAAAACTGTTTAACAACAGTCTGCTGAAAAATATTCAGAGGTTAAACAGTTTTGAAAGGTATCAGTAGACATCAATATGATTGGTGTTTTCTGGCATCCCACTTGACTAAGCAAATTACTATAACCTAATACTTGGTACTGATTATATCTGAACAAAGGTAACAGACACAATATATAGATAGGAAAGTTATATTGTGTTTCTGCTTCTGACTCTCATTGCTTGGACGGAATATAATAACGCAATAAAAGATGAATTCAAGTGCTATAAAAAGCAACCAAAAAAACAGTCAGTTGTTTTAGCACCAGAGGTTTAGTAGAAAACTATTCATTTTAGGAAAAGTTTTTAAATCAAAGAGATATATATTCTCTCATCTACAATCCTAGCAAGAGAAATTCTAGAATTGTGAAGGCATGTAGAGTAGCAAAGATTAAAATTTCCCAGAAAGGCCATAATAAAGCTACACAAATATTAGTATTATCATGGAATATAAAAAAACTAGAAACACATTACATTAAGAACCAGTGAAGTATATTTTTAAAGTTTTTACTCTAAAGACTTCTTTATCAGAGCTTAAAAATGAGTTATATATGTATCCTGATGATTAAAAAAATGCTCTAAGTTTTACAGAAAACTTTCTACGGTGTGCAAATACCCATGTAACAAACCTGCACAGGTATCCCCTATATTTAAAATAAAAGCTGAAATAAAAGAACTCATAAAGTTCTATGGATTTAAACCATAAAGGAGCCATATGCATTTCAAGAAGGGGCCACAGGCCCTGAACCTTCAAACTGAACAGCCTAATGAGACTTCTAAGGGAATACCTCAATGTCACTAAACCTGCATCGAGTGAGGAAAATTCTTCCCAGAATGGAGTATAAATGGAAAAAACTGAACTGAAAAAAACTGGAAAAAACTGAACTGAACTGAAAAAGTAACCCTGGGAATTTCCATTAGGAGAACTAACCCTATATTCCACATAAATCAGAGGTCACATTCTTACGAATATTAATTGTTCTTGAGTTTATTAGTAGGGAAACAGAGCCATATTTCCAGAGTTTAACATTCCTTATTTTCCCACCTTAGACTGTATATTCTAACATTTGTCACATTGTCCTAATCATTTTTTTCCCTATTTCCCTCACTACACTCCAAGTGTCTTCATCGTCTTTGTTCTTAAAACACCTAAGGCAAAAATTAGCACATGCAAGTGCACAGTAAATAGTATATGAGCAAATGGGATGGATGAATGATTGAATGACACCAGTCTCTAAGAGGCCACAGACTCAAGTGGAGGAAAAAGTGGTTACAAAAACACATGTTTTCGGCCAGGCATGGTGGCTCATGCCTGTAATCCCAGCACTTTGGGAGGCCGAGGTGGGCGGATCACCTGAGGTCAGGAATTCGAGACTCCAGCCTGGCCAACATGGTGAAACCCTGTCTCTACTAAATACACAAATATTAGCTGGGCGTAGTGGCTAACGCCCATAGCCCCATTTACTCGGAAGGCTGAGGCAGGAGAACCACCTGAACCCTGGAGGCGAAGGTTGCAGTGAGCCAAGATCGTTCCACTGTACTCAGCCTGGGTGACAAAAAGTGAAACTCCGTCTCAAAAAAAGAAAAAAAAAAAATACATGCTTTCTTTAGGCCAGGTGCTTATAAAGAGGGAATGCCCTACACTGCCCAACAGGCTTGGGGGCCAAAATATATGTTAAAGAAATAAAAGCCCTCTACCAAAGCATACATAATCCTCATGCATATTTAATTCTACAAGCCTAGAAGCATCGAGTAGCTGTTAATGTGACCATTTAAAAGTTATGTTTTAAATATATCTTATGTAAGCAAAACCACTAAGAAACATCTAAAAGTTAGTTACTTTGGTGTAAGAATCCAGTTGTCTCTACTTCTGGCTGAACTAAGATCTTTAATAAACTATGCTGATCCATAATCTTATAATCACAGACTCTGAAGTAGGAATAGAAATGGAAATTGATAAATCATTTTTAAATTTTTTTTCTAATTTCCAATTTTCTCTCTAAAGATAGCTTGTAAAAATTATAATATAAACACTATTATTAATTTCAAAATAAAAATTAAGAACTCTATATAATTAGTCAAAATAACTAAAATTTGCTCAGCTACAAGTCTTTAAAAATGCTCAAGAGTGAGCAAATAAAATTTGAGGCTAATAAAACAATTCTTCCCAATAAGTTCAGATTTATTAAAATGGCAAAGCTATCAGTGTTTACTGGTAACAGTTCAATCATTATAAAATGGTTTACATATTATCACATATTAAATGCATTTTAAAAATGACATAAAACAAAATATATAAAAATAGCAATTACAACACAGGAGAACCTTCAACTTTGACATACTTCTATAAATAAGAACTGACATATGTTAATCTTAAGAGATAAAGATTAATGAGGTAACATATGTAAAGTGCTTTGTCTTCTGGGGATAAAAGGTGATATGACTAATAACTCAAGATCTCAAAGTTGGGCAGGGAGGAGGTATCAGAAGGGAGGAATAAGGAAAAACATACCGTGCAAATATGAGGCCAGTGTTCAAACTGTTGTAAAATTCCTTGATTAAGGTCTTCTTTATATAACTCTTTGTAAAAATGTGGAAGCTTAGATATCCAAATGCCATTGTTATGCTTGTTTAGTATTTCCTTTATGCGATTTTGAACCTCATCCATTTTATAAGTGTAAGAGGCAGGAGGCTTGACATTGGGTTTTTCAACAGTCTGATTTAAATTATCTTTAAATTAAAAAAATAATAGAATTAACCAAAATGCTTAACATTTTAGATTATCCCCATTACCTAATATTTGCATCTTCAGGTTTTGCTATAGTGTGGGCTTGTGGTAGCCAAAGGACTTAGAAGGGAGCAGGATTAGGCAGAGCAGCACCGTGACAACTTCATTCTAAGTTTTAACCCTGAAATAACCAGCAGTGTTTCTTGTGGGTCAAGAAACACCCAAAGAGGGAACCTAGTCCCTTTATTTTGCAAGGATGCTTCATAGTTTAAACATCAAGATGATCTTGCTACATAAAGAATAATTAAATTATTTAACCAACCGTTTTCTACCTGCTGAGGAAGATTGCATTTTATATATTAGTTTACAGACAATACTGAATTTAAAGCTATATTCCACAGAACATAGGAATAATTCCTTAACAGATCAAATAACTTTTTGATCTTATACTAGTTTTGTAGAAGATAAAAAATTGCCTGAGTTTGAATATTATGATCAATTTTCACCTTTATTAATGGAAAACAAATAATTTAGCAACACACAAAAGTTAAAAAATTGATCCATCTATAATCATCATCATCCTAGCCTCAGTTTATAAACATAAAAGGTTTGGAACCCACAGATAACTTTTATTTCCCCAATATCAATCATTTATCTTTCATAAGTGTGTATTTATAAAGTTTTGGCTTTATAGCTATTTTGCATTTCGTTTTTACTTAAAACTTAGAATGTGAGAGTTAATATCCCCAGAAAATAAAGAAATCTGAGTGTTTACTATAGCTGACAGTCCTGGAATTTTAAGAACTATGAAATTTATTCCAAATCTCTACGAAATTTCACTGAGATACAGATCTGAGTATATTAAATATTACCATCTATATGCAAAATATATGCATATTTTAAGCAGATAGTATCTCTGCTGGGATTCAGTAATTTTTAATTTGCAGGTAGAGACAGTCTGATTTGGGGATGCTGCCTCTGAGAATGCCAGGAAGCCCAGAGTGAGCTATTCCTTGAGGACACTTGGACGCTGACTCTGCTCTTCCATCAAAGGGCAGGATCTGGCCTTGCTAAGTCTTAGATTGGCACAGAGAAGAGAAGGCTCCAGGATATCCACATATATTTCCTATTAAGGGTATAGCTAATTTATTTAAGTTCTTCCCAAATAATGATATAAAAGGACTGGGAAGGAGGAAAAGATTAAGTTTCTCATAACTGGCCAGACCTTCCCATAATGAGAATGTGTCAGCAGCTGACCGACAGCTGTGTCTGCAAATGCACTTGCTCTGTGGGGCCACTGGGGCCATCTAAGTCCCTGCACCTTTTGTTAAACAAATTAAAGTAGTAATGGAGGTGTCCATCATGTAGGAGAGGTTGTGTACACATGTGTGCCTATCAGCTCTGCCAGGTGAACTGCAATCCTCCTGAAATAAGTCCTCTTGTTTCTGTAGAAGTAGTTTATACTAATTTAAGCTTCTAAAAGGATATTCAACTTTGCCATGTAGTCATGTTTCAGAAAATGCCTATGTAAAAGTAATTCATGTAAACAAAAATCATATTGTTCAATTAATTTCCATTAAGAAATACTGGAGATGTGTTCTTATAAAAAAAAAAGCATTTCAACTAAGTAAGAATCACACTTAAAGCAGCAAATAATGTAAAATCACATTTACATTTCACACACTATAAGCACTGATACGAAAACACTGTCTCCCTGGGTGGGTCTATGAGCAGGGGATTTACACATTGGTTGGAGAAGAAAAGATAACAAGTGGTTGCATTTCTAACCTTCAGATTCTTTGACTTATACTATGTCTCCTATTGTTTTCCTAACAGCCCACTTGGATTCTATTACCCAAAGAATTATTTATATTCATATTTAGATGATTAGTGGTAACTGTACACAGTTTAGGGTGCTAGCTTTTAAGTGGTGGAGTATCTGAAACTCTTTTATAAATTTAAGTCCCATATTTATGCACTTTTAATCCACAGCAGATGTTTCCTTTATGTGAGGCCTCAGCCTCTGAAGTCTCAGGGGTGCACCCCCTAAGAGGTGAGAGAGTAAGGGACACAAGCATCTCTGCAGGCCACACATAGAGGTGACACAGAGTAGGGCTGGGGTGAGGAAGGCCTCAAGTCAGTGTTTAGATAATGATATCTTTGGGAGGCACCATTTTCTCTTAAGATCACTTTGATTCATGATGCAAAGCAATTAGGAAAAAGGGGAGGAAGGATATATTCCAAACAGGAGAAGGTGAGAGCAAATGTCAAAAGCCACCACCAGATATGTTTCTTGACTCCGGAAGCCAATATGTATCTCAAAAATGTTTGGAAAACATACCACTCATTTCCTTAGTAGAGGTTCTTGAGAGATGCATCTGCAAAGGTGGTTGAAGGGACGCCTTTGGGCTAAACCTAAGATATTAAAAAAAAAAAAAGTAAAATAAATGTAAATAACAAAGTCTATACCAAGTTTTAAACACTACACTTTTCATTTAAAGTCTCAGTGGCATTTAACAGCAAAACAAGTCATTAAAATAATTTAAAATCAGAAAAAATAAAAATAAAACCTGGCATCATCTTTCATGTTTCATATTCACTCAGAGAAAAGTATGTTAAAAGCTAAATTTAAACTAGGTCTTTGAAAGCCTCTTTCAAAACTTGGATGTCAGAATTCCAATTAATCACTTATAAGAAACTGGTAAAACAGAATAAAGAAGACCATGCAAAAATAAACAGTTGGAAACAAAGAACATTTTGGAATATAACCAAAAAATGAAGGACTTGCATCACCAGATGTTGAAATGCATTATGAAGTTACAACACTTAAATGAGTTGTACAGACAGGTAAAATGGTAGAGAACTTAGAAACATGCAATTTGCATTATATCTTGGTACATAATGAAAGTGGCATTTCAAAACAGACAGGTGAGGGACTGGTCAAATAACTATTTGAAAAAAAGAAATAGATCCCTACCTCATACCCTCACTAAAAATAAATTTTATATAAATTATACTGGATATATGTAGGAAGATTTTTCCAAATATGAAGACACATAAATAAACCCCACACACATCATTTATATTCATGTCTGTTTCCCACACTAGACTCTAAGTGTCTTAATTGTTTGTGTTCCCAAGTGCCTGGGGCAGAGCTTGATACATGCAAGGCAAATGAATATTGTAAGAATGACTGAATGAATCATGACCGAATGAATAAATGACTACAACCTGCCCAGCAGTGGGTACGGGACTATAGTGAGTGATAGTGACATGGTACACATAGCTGCCAGTTTTTGAATAGTATGGAACAGTCTAAAAATTAGATCAATTCCTTGAAATGAAGCACATTTTCTTATAAAATTTTAATTCTAAAAGAAATGATTAGGTTCTAGGCTACCAATAAAAACTTATTTGGTATATGCAATTATAAGATCATCCTATTTCTATATTAATATATCTGTGTAATAGCAGAAGATGCCAAAAATATATCCAACTCCTATTTTGCAGAACTGGTAGGGAGATAGTACTCCTTCCCGCACACCAGCCCAAAACATGTAAACTGGAAGCTTCCCCTGCTTTAAACAAGCATCGAAGGCTCCAGTAGAAGGTAGAGGGATATGAGCAAAGAGTGAGTACACAGAAACTATGGAAGGGACTGTTATGGTTCAGTCATCAAGAGGTCTACTGGAGAGGAAAGAAAAAAGTGTATATAGCAAAAGAAAGCTCTTCAAAGAAAACTGCTAGGATGCATGAAAAACAGACATAATAAAATAAGATGACAGAGGTCTAAGCAGTTTTATAACACTAAGAATAAAATATATTGTCTCTTAAAAGACAAAGAGTTAGACTGGTCCAGAAAAAAACCTTCCAAATCTAAACATATGTTGTTTATTAGAGACATATTTATAGCTCATAAATATTTAAGACATACTATGTGCCAGACATTATGTCAGACAGTAACTGTCAATGATCAGCAAGATAAACATGCCCTATTCTCTGGGACTACACGGTATAGTTGAGAAACGGACCGTGGTAAGTAGCTGCTGAGATAACCCCAAAGATTCTTCCCTCCAGGTATTCACAGCCTTGTGTAATCCCTTCCCCTTGAGTAACCTGCTTCTAATCAATAGAAGACTTCAAGGCTGAAGGGATCACAAATAACTAGATTACAGAAGATTCTAATTTCAACTTTGCTAGTATAATCTCTCCTTTGTTGCTTTGATGAAGCAAATGGCCATGTTGGGAAGAACCATGTGGCAAGAAACTGAAGATGGCCTTTGGCCAATAGCCACCTAGGGACTAATGAACAACTCAGAAGGAAGTACACTGTGCCAATAACCATGTGAGTAGGACTGAAAGCAGATTTATCTTTAACTGAGCCTTCAGATAAGATCCCAGCCATGGCTGACACCTTGACAGCAGCCTCATGAGAGACCCTGAAGCAGAGGACCCAGCTTGACCGTGTCTTCCTTCCTGACCCACAGAAACTATGAGGTAAGAAAATGTGTCTTGTTGTAAGCTAATAACTTTGGGGTAATCTGTAACACAGCAATAGATAATTAATGCATTGACAAAATCTAAGAACAAAGTCTACTAAGTGTTATGATAAGGGCAGTAGGTATAATAAAAGCACACAATGGAACTAATAAACCAAATTAGGAGATAGAGGAGGAAGTAGAGAGTAAAGGTTATTAGCACTTATTATGAAGTTATAATAATGTGAATAGCCTGGTACTGCAGAATAGGGAGGTAATCAATTATTCTGAATGGAAAGCCCAGGAACTGAACCATATGTTTATAAGGCTTTAGTACTGGTAAAGATAGAATTACAAACCAGCAGAGAAAGAAAGGATTGTGTAATGACTGATACAGGACATCTGGCTAACAATAAAAAAGGATTCCAACTCTCACACTATAAAATAAAATAAATTCTGGATGAATTAAAGACTAAAATGTAAAAAATGAAGCCACAACAATTACAAAAGAAAACAGAAGACATATTACATAATATTGAGTGGAAATGCTTTTCTAAACATAATACCTAAAAGCAGAAGTCACATAGTAAAAGATCGATAGCTATAAGCATGCAACATTTTAAAGTTTTTGTATACAAAAAATACAATAATTAAACAAACTGAGGGAATACTGTCAAGATATTACAAAGGGCCAACTTATTTAATTTATAAACCACTTTTATATGTTAGAAGGAAAAGAGCCAATAGAAAAATTATGTAAAGGACAAAGACATGTAATTCACATAAGACCTATAATGGGCTAAAAAATATATGACAAAAATGTAACTCCCTTAAGAATCAAAATCAGGGAAATAAAAATTAAAACATAAATAGATTTTTTTCACTTTTCAAAGTAGCAAAGCAAAAAACAGATGCCCAATATTGGCAGGCATACAAGAAAATAATCACTCTCATATTCTTCTAGAAGAAAACAAATTATTATAATCTGTTTAGAGAACAATTTAATAGGAGCCTTAGTACATATACCCTCTTCCCCACACATTTTATCTCTACTAATTTATTCTACAGGAAACTAGCCATGCCATTTTTCTAGAACTTTTCAATTTGTTAACAGGCAGGCATGAGTTCTTAACCGGAACTCTTGAGAATGAGCTTTGGGGGTTCATGAATCTACTGACTGGCACGAGATTATGTATGCATATGTAAATGTACATGTGTGAATTTTTCTGGGAAGATCATTTACAGCTTTCATCAGCTTTTCAAGAGGTTTGGTGACCTCAAAAAGTTTAAGTGTCCTTCATAACAGGTTTAACTGCTTTTTACTACATTAATATTTCATAAGTAGATATAGATGTTTCTGCTATTGTTCCATTTTGATATTTTGATTTTATAACTAGAAATGTTACCCATAACATCTGCCACTGGGTAGTATTTAGATTTCTCTTAAAAGATATCTTTCAAATACTATGTGCTTAAAAAAAGACTTGATTAAAATGTTTTACAACATCTCAAGCAGTCTTTAATTAAAATATGTAGCTTTTTTTTTTTAAGAGGGTCTTACCCTGTCACCCAGGCTTGAGTGCAGTGGTGTGATTATAACTCACTGTACCCTGGAACTCTCAGGCTCAAGTGATCTTCCCACCTCAATCTCTCAAGCAGCTGAGACTACAGGTGCACACCACCATGTCCAGGTAATTTTTTTTTTTTTTTTTTTAGTAGAGATGAGGTCTCACCATGTTGCCCAGGCTGTTCTTGTACTCCTGGTCTCAAGAGATCCTCCTGCGTCAGCCTCCTAAAGTGTTGGAATTACAGGCATGAGCCATGGTGCCTGGCCTGCTGTCAATTTGAAAACTTTTTATTCTGAAATACCTATAAATTCATGGGAAATTTCAAAAAGTGTACTTAGAGGTCCCATGTGTCCTTCACTGTTTCCCCTAATAGTAAAATCTTGCATAGTACATATCAAAACCAGAATATTGGCAATAGTACAATTCAGAGCTTATTCAGATTTCCAGTTGCATATGGATGTGTGTGTGTAGTTCTGTGCAATTTACCACACGTACAGATTCACGTGCCCACCAGTACAATCAACATACAGAACTGTCCCATGGCTACAAGGGTTCCTCTTGCTCTCTCTTTATAGCCATACCCATCCCTCAAATCACCCAAATCCTTAACCTCTGGCAACCACTAATCTGTTATCTATCTTTATAATTTTATAATTTCAAGAATGTTATATAAATAAAATCACACAGTATGTCGCTTTTTGAGATTGGCTTCTTTCACTCAGCATGATTCCCTTGAGATCCATCAGAGTTGCTCTGTGTATCAATAGTTCATTACTCCTTTTTACTGTGGAGACATATTCTGTGTACAGTTTGTTGAACCATTCACTTACCAAAGGATGTCTGGGTTGTTTCTATTTTTTGGCTAATATAAATAAAGTTATAGTGAACATAAGTGGACAGGTTTTTGTGTTAACATAAGTTTTCATTTCTCTGAGATAAATGTCCAGGAGCGCAACTGCTGGGCCCTATTATAGTTGCATGCTTTTAGTTGACAAGAAAAAATTGTATATATTTATGGTATGCAATATGATGTGATATTTTGATACGTGTACACTGTGGAATGGCTAAATCAAGCTGCTTAACACATGCATTACTTCACATGCTTATTTTTTGTGGTAAGAACACTTAAAATCTACTCTTAGCAATTTGCAAGTACACAATATATCATTAACTATAGTCACCATGAAATACAACAGATGTATTGAACCTATTTCTCCTAACTGAAATTGTGTACGTCCACAACCCCCATCCTAACCCCACGTCCCTGCCTTTGGTAACTGCCATTTTACTGTTTCTATGAGTTTGACTTTTTTAGATTCCACATATAAGATAATGTGGTGTTTCTTTCTATGCCCAGCTTATTTCACTTAACATAATGTCTCCCAGGTTCATCCATGTTGTTGCAAATGACAGGATTTCCTCCTTTATAAAGGCTGAAGAGTAAGTATTCCATTCAGTAGATACAACGCATATTCTTTATCCATTCATTCATTAATGGACACTTCAGTTGATTCCATGCCTTGGCTATTGTGAATGCTGCTGCAATGAACATGGGCGTGCAGATACCTCTTCAACTGATATACGGATTTCATAGCCTTTGAATATATACCTAGTAGTGGGATTGCTGACAGTTCTTTTTAAGTTTTTGAGAAATCTCCATACCGTTTTCCATAATAGCTGTACTAACCTACATTTCCCCCAGCAGTGTATTGGGGTTCCCCTTTTCTCCACATCCTTACCAGCACTTGTTATTTTCTGCGTTTTGATAGTAGCCATACTACATACTACTGGGTGGGAAGTGGTATCTCATTGTGGTTTTAATTTGCATTTCCCTAATGATTTGTGATGTTGAGCATTTTTCCATATACTTGTTGATCATTTGTATGTCTTCTATTGAGAAATGTCTGTTCAGGTCCTTTGCTCGTTTTTAAAATTAGGTTGTTTTCTTGCTATTGAGTTGAGTTCTCTATATTTTGAATATTAAGCCCTTATCAGGTATATGGTTTGCAATATTTTCTCCCATTCCATAGCTTGTCTTTTCACTCTGTTGACTGTTTCCTCGGTGGTGCAGAAGCTTTTTAGCTTGATGTAATCCCATTTGTCTATTTTTGCTTTTGTTGCCCGTCCTTTTAGGGTCACATCCAAAAAAATCATTCAAAATGTATTGCTGAAATGTAGGCACACAACCAGAGAATACCTCTGTCACATACTGGATTCAACTAGCACTTTGGGTCAAGATCTGTGTTTTAACTATGTATTTTCTAGACCTTATAAAAATTATAATAATTATAAATAATATTAAATGTATACCATTATAAAAATATTTAGGGTTACTTTATTAAAAATTCTGTAATATAAAAAATTAGTACCAACTCTACCTAACTTTTTTAAAAAATTAATTCTTCATAAATATTCTAGTATCTGGGGGAAAGTTCCTGGGGGGAAATTATCTTTCACAAAACAGAATTTTTGAACACTGATTTAAAGGAATATAATACAACAAAATTTGTTTTGAAAAGGCACAAGTAGGACAGAAGAATGTGATCTTGATGCATCTACATCAGGGGTCAGCAACCTTTTTCTGTAAAGGGTCCACCAGTGGATTTTTGGCTTTGTAGGCCATCTAGTCTCTGTACAACTACTCACTTCTGCCACTATTTTGCAAAAGCACCCAGAGGCATATGCAAACAAAGCAAAATGGCCATGTTCTAATAAAACTTAATTTACCAAAACAGGCTGTGGGCTTGATGTAGTCCATCGATTGTAGTTTGCCACCCTCTGAGCTACCTTATAAAACCATAGTTTTGAACCAGAAAGGAACTTTGAGATCATCTCGTTTAACATTTTCTTTGGACAAATGAACAAACCACAGACCCAAAAGATGAAACAACTTAATTTACCTGACTAGTGAATGGCAGCACCCAAACAAAGACTTATAGGTTGTCTTATTATTGCCAGTCTGGTATTCTGATGCATGGATGTCTGATGCTACTACATAATCATGGGCATGATATTTGCAGCACAGTGGAGTGTCTGAAACTCCATCAGATTTTACTTAAACCCACAAAATCGTTAAAAAAAGGTTTTCTGAAAAAGTTATAAGTTATACTGAAACAGTATCTCAAAACAATTTGTGAGAGCTTTTAAATGAACTTTACAAGGAGAGATTGACAATACAGAGAAAATATAGAATAGAGATGCACTTAGAGAATGATGTTCAGGCAGCTAGAAGTGAACTTAACTGGTAATGATGCATGTCTCTACTATATGTGAACTTAGATAAAATAGAAAGTGTTTCTTTCTTAACCTGAACATACATTTGTAACACTTTTTACCCTAGATTCACCAAACTTCTGTGAGTCAGAGGCCAAATACCTGTTGTTGGTGGACATGGTCACATGCCTTTGCACTGGAATGTCTTTGAATGCTTCATTTCCAAGAGTTGTGTGTAGCATATAAGGAGACATTTCAGCATCAGGCTTAACTCCAACAGAGTTTCCTTTGTCTCTTAACGGTGCTGGATTAGGTTTTTTGCCAACAGAAAAATTTGAAGCAAATCCTGGTTGTCTGAGGGTTGCTTTTGGTTTTCCTATGAAGTTAGGCATACATAACGAAATCAATTAGCATCCCCAAACCCCACTTTCATTATGACACTCCCCTGACCAGATGTTTTCTGTGGGTGTCTATTCTCAGAACAGTTTGTAAGAACACGAGGAGGTTGCCACTGGAGGGCTGGTCAACAGGGAAAGAATAGATTGGTGAGTATTTGGCAGATAAGGTTCTTCATCCATCAGACTGGCCAGTAACTCCTGCTTCTCACCAACTGAACACTTCAGTGGCAGCCACCTCATGTTCTTGCAAATACAGCACACTCAGCTATATCTTGGTCCTCCCGTCTCTTCCCCATAAATCCAAATTCTACCCATTGTTTGCGGTCTGGGGTCAAGTCTCCCCTTTGCCTTTTTCATTCAAAATGATTGCTCCCTTGTCCTAAATGCTCTCTGTGGCATTTAGTCATCTACTGCTTTGTATTATCATTGAACCACTTCATGGGAATTTAGTTTTAGAACTGATTGTAAGATCCTTGAGATAAGTGTTCGGTAAACAAAGGCTGAGTTGTCTATAACATTTCTCTGTACTACATAATTCATATATTTCTGAAACTAGAGGTTTTCTACCAGAAGACATAATTTGTCAAATAAGACATAAAATCATAGGTTCTTGGTGCAGCCAACATTCTGGACAAGACATTCCCTGAAATGAGCTTAAAAAAAATAAAACTACACACTACCGTAACAAGCTCAATTAAAATCTGTTCTGAGTTATTTCCCACTGTGTAATTACTTCACTTAGTAAGTCATGCTCAGCGCATTCACTTAAGAATTTCAAATGGAAATGCTAGCTTCAGGATCTTTCCCCTGACATATGTATGTTAACAGATACAAGTATTTATCATAATACAAACAATATTTCCATAATTCCCTATGATAATGTATTCGTAGACAGCCCTAAAAATTTTAGCATGTAAAAAGCTCCTACCTTCTAGAAAAAATGGCATGGTTTTCTTCACTCTCATCTGACAATTAACTTGACGCCCGGTTTTCCTTTTAGAACTCCTTTGACGAGCCACAAGCTGAGCAATTCTTGCAGTTTCTGTGCAGGCCATGGCATAGCAGGTAATCTATTCATTAGAGGCAGGGTAAGAGGAGAAACATTTCTCAGATTCCGTGTTGCCTAGAGGCCAGTTCTTAAAAGTGGATCTTAGTGAGCCTACATATCCCAAGTCAAGTGGTATGCAAATATTCATGTGTCTCGCTCCTTGATAATGCTAGAAGAAAATTATATTTTCTGCAAGAGGAATCTGGCATAGTCTAGTACATTGAATTATCTTTCCTAAACTGAAAATTCCATTTATTTTTAAATAGGTATTAAGCATCTACAGTGTACTAGATACTATGAGATTACCAAATGAACAAAAAGCAACCTATGATCTGATGTATAATATCATATAATCTGTGAGGTACATTTCATTCACACTTTACACATGGGAATGCAGAGGCTCGGGAAAGTTAAGCAACCTTCCAAGTCACATGGCGAGGCTCTTTGAGTCCAAAGTATGTACTCATAACTACTATGTTGAATACAAGACTACTAAATCCTTCTCTTGCCTCTGTGATGGATCTGCTGGGTGACTCTGGGCAAATCTAAGTATTCTCAGCTGTAAAACAGGGGTGGTTTAGACCTGGTGTTTTCAAACTGTGTTCATGGGAGCCATAGAGTTCTATGGAGAGGCCTCAAGGGGCTGCTACTGGCAGGGGCATGAGAGCAAGGCAGGGCAAGCAGGGTCTCCGGAGCTTCCACATCTCTCAAAACACTGTAGCTCAGCTCTGTATCTTTAAAGAAAAAATTGGTATGATATGATATCGAAAAAAGATTTGAAGATAGAGACTACTGGGACAAGATGCTCTCTACAGACCTGTGTAGTTTTCAAGTCTTTGACTCTAATTTGAAATCAAAAACAGGAAAACAATGAGGCTTTATGTCACAAGCTAAAATATGTTCCTACTCTTTGGCCCAGTATTTCTATTTCTGAGACTATATTACAAGAACATAATTTAAAAAAACAAATGTTACCTACCCAAGTATGAGCAACGGGGGTATTTTAATAGTCAAAACCTGGAAACATTTAAAATGTCCAAAACAGGGGAACAAAGAGTTGAGTAAATTACAGTATAGTAACTCTATAAAGCATTAATTTATTAATTCATTCAGCTATTCATTCATTCATGCATTCAACACAGATTTATTAAGCCCTTCATCCTTAATAAACTTATGGAGGAAAAAGAGAGAAGCAAGAAATTAAACAGAAAACATTGTGTCAAGTGTGATAACGGATGTATTACAAGGTGCAAGTAGACAGAAAGGAGGGCTTAAGTCTGTCTGGAACGATCAGGGATGCCAAAGCATATTTTATTATTCATATAACATTTAATTAATTTATATCTTCTCCTTAGGAAAATTATTAACTACAAGGTGAACTTCCCCTTTGACTACTTTCCTGCTCCTGGTTCCCTTGTCCTCCTCCACCACTGCCTCCTCATCCCCCCATATAGAAAAACCACTATGTCAGGTTTTGGTGAGAAACACTCCAGACCTGATCCACATATTTACACATGTAGAAACATACCCAGGAAACCATAGTGTATGAGGGGGTGTGGGTGTTTTTGTTTCTCTTTTGGTTGGTGGTCTGTCCATATCTATTATGCTGTACAATGGGTAGGTACCAAGAAGTGAAGCTGCTAGGTCGCAGTGGAAGAGCAATGACAGATCAACCGGCTACCACTAAATGGCCTATACTATCTATAAACTGTGTTCTTCCAGAGAGGCAGAAGGATTTAAAACGGTATAATGATATGATCATATTGGTGTGAAGGAGAGGAAAAGAACAGAAGAGAAGACACAACAGCAAGGAGGCCCCGGTAGTTATGAAAAGTGATGAAGGATCAGCTCTGGACTGACTAGGTCCAGATAGCAGGAATTGACTTGATGAGAATTTAAAACTGTCTATTAGATTTGGTGATCACAAGGTCATTAGTGACTTTGGCAAAAACATTTGTAACAGGTCTGTAATAGGCAGGTGTGATATTTATGCACTTAAGGCCTCCAGTACAACTATTTTGTTTAGATGTTGACATTGGGTAAATATTTTTAATTTTGTGTGGTTAAAATCTTATTTTTACAATGAAAAGAATTTGAGGAATAAGAAAAAGACATAAGAATGTAGGCTGTGCTTTACATGCTGTTTTCTCTGTCACTACCAATCCCAAACAACTAAGCTAGTACTTTCACTTAGACGTCTATCACAGGTAGGAGATTGGAAGTGCCAGAGAGGCAATTATGAATTGGTTTGATTCTTCTGACACGCACAATTACCTTCTTACCTCTCCAGATCTACTAGTCTCTATCCTGACCACTGCTGGCACACTTCTCAGATAGGCTTCTAGTGTAGGGAAACCTAGCTGTTTGAAGGGGATCCAGTCTCCAGTCAAGGATCTGTACTCTCCTTGGAGCCGGGGTAATGCTACTCCATTCTTATGAGACTGCAGAACAGCTCGTAGCATCTTTGAAACCAGATCTCCTTCCAGCATCTTTGCCTATAAGAACACAGTAGAAGGTTACTATAATATGGCTCATTCGTTTGTGAATTCAAATAGATTTTCAGAGCTGAAACTTGTTACTTTATAAATTATTACTGCATACTTTCTGTGCAATTACAATATGGGGAAACAACTGCCACGGTAGAGAAAAGCACAAATACCATAAGAATGCAGGGGAAAGTCAGAAGGCACAAGACCAGCCTGAAGAGGGAATATATCAGGGAATGTTCCCAGATTCAGGCGGGGAAGCCTGAATGGAGTCCTGAAGAGCAAGATGGAATCACCTAACAAGGAGGAAGAGGGTGGGCTGTGGGGCTGGGAGTGGTATCAGCCCAAGGAAGGGAACAGGATGTGCGAGTGCACAGAGGTGAGAGAGAAGCACATGGTGTGTTCCAAAAATTCCAGACAGTTAGGTGGCTGGACGTGACTGAACAAAGACTCCAAGCTGAGGGCTCAGAGGGCCAGGGAGGGGCAGACCCTGAGACTACTATATTATGCTCATGTTTGCATTTTTGCCAAAAGTAACGGGGGCCTTAGGGATATTTTAAATAGGGGAAAAAAATGATCAGCTCTGTATTTTAGAAAGATCACTACTCAGCAATGGAGAAGATAAATGGGAAGGAGAAAGATTAACAAGTTTTCAGAATACTTGGAAATGTGGAGGACCACAATACAGGGCCTTAGGAATAAATAAAAAAATCAATTTGAGAGGTAATTAGGAGGTGGAATCAGCAGGAATTGATTAATTGGTTTGGATGAAGAGGTGGGCTCCAATGTTTCCAGCTTAGAAGTAAGGTAGAGAGTAATGACCCACATTGAGGTGGGATAAAGGCAGGTTTGCAAGAGAGGAAGAGGCCAATTCATTTTGGACACGGAGAAGTTGGAATGCTTATAGAACAGCCATGCAGATATATTCACTAGGAAATTAGGTTAGAAGTCTAAGCTGGTCACAGATTTGTTGGTCTTTGACTTATATGGGGTACTTGACATCCAGGGAGTAAAAAACAAGGTTACAGATGGACCTCTGCAGAAGGCTACCATTCAAGAAATGGATAGAGGAAGACGAACCTATAAAAGGCTAAGAAAAAGGGACTAGAGAGATGGAAGAAAAAGAAGCAGAGTCATAATGCCATATGAATAAAAGGAGGAAAGAATCATTTCCTTTGGACTAATGATTACATCTAGTTGTAGTTTTGCAGAGAAAAAAAAAGACAAATTCAGGAGATACATTCAGAGAATGTATAGATACATACTAGGAGATACATTCAGAGAATAAGTAGCCTGGAAAAAATGGCTTACCCTTTTATTAAAGGAAAGAGGAAGGCAAACCATGGGCAATTTGTTACTTTTCCTTCAACAGTGATGTTCAATAGAACTTTCTGTGATGTTTTATATTATTGCAATGTCCACAATGTCCACATATGGCTCTGAGCACTTAAAATATGGCCAGGATGACTGAGGAACTAAAATTTTACCTTAAATTAAATGTGGCCACTGGCTACCATACTGGACAGCGGAGAATTCTAGACAAATAGCCATTTTCTTTCTCTGGCTTAGAAAACACAAAAGAAGAATGACATACAATTCTATCAATTCCATCATTCGTCCATCTTAAAAAGAAAACAAAATATCAGCCTGTTTGTCCTGCTATTAATTATAAACATAATATTGAAGTTACAGCAAGGTTTCAATAGCAAACAAAAATCTACATAGTCATGTGCCACTTAACAGTGTTTTAGTCAACAACGGACTGCATATATAAAAGAGGTTCTGTAAAATCATAATGGAGCTGAAAAATTCCTATAGCCTAGTAATATCTTGATAATCCTGGCCTTGTATAGGCCAAGGCTAATGTGTGTGTTTTTGTCTTAGTTTTTAATTTAAAAAGTTTAAAAAGTAAAAGAGGCCAGATGCAGTGGCTCGCACCTGCAGTCCTAATGCTTTGGGAGGCCAAGGTGGGCAGAATCACTTGAGCCCAGGAGTTTGAGACCAGCCTGGGCAACATGGCGAAACCCCATCTCTACAAAAAATAGAAAAATTAGCTGGATGTGGCAGCATATGTCTATAGTCCCAGCTACTCAGGAGGCTGTGGTGGGAGGATCATTGAGCCCAGGAGGTCAAAGCTGCAATGGAGCACCACTGCACTCCAGCCTGGGTGACAGAATGAGACTTGTGTCAAAAAAATAAAAATAAATGAAAAGTAAAAGAAATGAAAACTTTTAATAAATTTAGTGTCGCCTAAGTGTACAGTGTTTATAAGTCTACAGTAGTGTACAGTAATGTCCTAGGCCTTCACATTCATTCACCATTCACTCACTGACTCATCCAGAGTAACTTCCAGTCCTGCCAGCTCCATTCATGGCAAGTGACCTATATAGGTATGCCATTTTTTGTTTTATATACCATATTTTTACTGTATCTTTTCTACGTTTAGATACACGAATACTTACCATTGTGTTAATGGTTGCAGTATCCCTCTTTATCTGAATGTTAATAGCATTCAGTACAGTAACATGCTGAACAGGGTTGAAGCCTGGGAACAACAGGCTATATACCACATAGCTCAGTTGTGTGGTAGGTTCTACTGTCTAGGTTTGTGAGTCCACTCTATAATGTTTGCACAGCAATGAAACTGCCTAACAATGCATTTCTCAGAACATATCCCTGTCGTTAGGCAATGTACGACTGCATGCATTATGTACCTTCCATTACTAAACATTAACTCTTTTCAAATTATTATCACCAGGACCAACAACATTTAATTAATACTATAACCTACAAAAGCCCTATACTAGGTCTGTATTCTTATTCTTTTCACAGATGTGTGTGTGTGTGTGTTTGTGTGTATAGTCATGCGTCACTTAACAATGGGGATACATTCTGAGAAATGTGTCGTTAGGCAATTTAGTTATTGTGTAAACATTATTGAGTGGACTTGCAAACCTAGATGGTATAGCCTAGTACACACCTAGGCTATATGGTATAACCTATTGCTCCCAGGCTACACACCTGTACAGCATGCTACTATACTGAATACTGTAGGCAATTTTAACACAATGGTAAGTACTGTATGTCTAAACATATCTGAGCATAGATAAGGTATAGAAAAATACAGTATTATAATCTTACAGGACAAATGATTATGCAGTCCATTGTTGACCAAAACATTGTTATTGGCACAAGACTAAATATCAAAATCTTCCTTTAGGGAAAGTTTACCCAAAATAAAATTAACTCATTTTATATGTAGCACTTCTTGAGTTTTAAAAAATATACACACCTATGTAATCATACCACAATCAAGATACAGACATTCCCATCATCCAAAAAAATTCCCTCATGTGGGGTACATAATATATGTAAAAGTAAAATGTACAAAGGTAGTACGAAGAATAGAACCAATGGAAGGTTCTTACACTACACATGAGGCGCTGTAGTGTCATTTGAAAGCTGACTATGATAAAGAGGGATATTGTAAACCATATGGCAACCACTAAAATTTTTTAAAAAGGTATAATAATATGCCAGTAGTAAAGGTAAAATGTAATAAGACAATACCTATGCAAGCAGAAGTTAAAAAAAATTAGACAGGAAAAAGGAGAAAAAAAAGGGTAGAGAAAATAGAAAACATCCAGCAAAATGGCAGGTTTAAAGCCAATCATATCAATAATTACATTAACTGTAAATAACTGAAATAGCCCTATAAAACATTAGGGGTTGGCAGAGTGGATAAAAAAGCAAGACTTACTTATATACCACCTTCAAGAAACCCACTTTAAATATGAATGCATAGGTTAAAAGTAAAAAGAAAAAAGATGTACCATGCAAACACTATGACTGTATAAATATCAGAACAAGGAATCTTATCAGAGATAAAGAGAGACATTACATAATGATTAAGGGGCTAATTCATCAGAAAGATAAAACAATCCTAAGCATAGGTGCACCAAACATCAGAGCTTCCAAACACACAAAATCTGATAGCTGAAAAAACTTATTCACAATTTCACAATTATCGTTGGACACTTCAAAACTCCTTTCTCGTCAATAGATAGAACCAGTAGATCAAAAAAATAAAATCAGTAAGAAAATAAGAGAGCTGGCCGGGTGTGGTGGCTCACACCTGTAATCCCAGCACTTTGGGAGGCCGAGGTGGGCGGTTCATCTGAGGTTGGGAGTTCAAGATCAGTCTGGCCAATGTGGTGAAACCCTACCTCTACTAAAAAATACAAAAACTCAGTCGGACGTGGTGGTTCGTGCCTGTAATCCCAGCTACTCAGGAGGCTGAGGCAGGATAATTGCTTGAACTCAGGCGGTGGAGGTTGCAGTGAGCCAAAATCATGCCACTGAACTCCAGCCTAAACAACAGAGTGACTCCATCTCAAAAAAAAAAAAAAAAAAAAAAAAGAATATAAAAGATCTAAACACTATCAACCAAAGTGACCTAATGATATTGACAGAACACTCCACTCCAAAGACAGCAGAATATACATTCTTTTCAAGAGCACATGAGATGTTCACCAAAATAAAATATATTCTTGGACTTAAAATGATATTCAAACAACTTAAAATAACTCATATTATAAAAAGTATATTCTGTGAATAGAACAAAATTACATTAGGTATCACTAACACAAAGATATGTGAACAATCTCCATGCAAATTTAACAAGATACTTCTAAATAACCAAGGGTCAAAGAGAAAGGCTACCTCCAAAATTAGAAAAATATTTTTAAATAAATGAAGACACAAATGTAAAATTTTGCTGGATGCGGTAAAAGTATTAGAGGAAAATTTATAGCATTATGTTTCTGTTAGAAAGAAGAAAAGTGGCAAATCAATGATCTATTCTCCTACTTTGAGAACAAAAAGAGAAATTTATATCAAAAGTAAGCAGAAGAAAGGAAATAAAGGTGAGAGCAGAAATCAATTCTGAAATGATGAAACAGATCAATAATGAAGTTTAAAAATAGGAGAGAAAAGAATCATGAAACTAAAACTAGTTTTCAAACCATCAATAAAATTGATAAACTCCTAGAAACATAGAAAAAAAAAAAAGAAGGCACAAATTACCATAATGTGATTGAAAGAGGGGCCATCAATACAGATCCTACAGACATTAAAAAGAGAACATGATAAAACAGTTATGCCAGTAAGTTTGTAGCTTAGATGAAATAGATAAATTTATTGAAAGACACAAATGTCAAAGCTTACTCAAGAAGAAATAAATAACCCTCAAATATCCCTATAGCTATTAGAGAATTTGAATTTACAGTTAAAAATCTTCACACAAAGAAAACCTGAAGCCCGGATTGCTTTACTGGCAAATTCTACCAAACATTTATAGAAGAATCAATACTACTCTTACAGATTCTCCCAGAAAACAGAGGGAAGAGAACATTTCTGAACTCATTTTATGAGGCAAGCATTATGCTGATACAAAAACTATACAAAGACACTGCATGAAAAGTACAGACCATATCCCTCATGAACATAAATGCAAAAATTCTTAACAAAACATTAGCAAATAAAATCCAACAATTAGTGAAAAGGATAAGACATAATAACCAGTTAAAGTTTATTCCAGGAATGCAGGTATGGTTCAATATTCATTAAGTCAATCAATATAACTTACTACATCAACAGATTAAAGGAAATTAAACAACACAATCATATCAATAGGTGAAAAAAAGACAGCTGACAAAATAAAAAATGTATTTATGATAAAAAACTCTCAGAATATTAGAATAAAATGGGAAGTCCTTAACCTGATAAAGACCATCTGTGAAAAAACCCACAGTTAACATCATTACTCACAGCTAAAGAGTGAGTGCTGTCTCCCTAAGACTGGGAACAGGGCAAGAATGCCCATGCTCAGCACTCCCATTCATTATCACAGTGGAGGTCCTAGCCAGTGCAATAAGGCTGATTTCAAGATTTACTATAAAGCTATATTAGTCAAAATAGTATAATATTATCAAAAGAACAATCATATAGATCAATGGAACAGAATATGTAATCCAGAAATAAACCCATATATGGTAAACTGATTTTTTTTTTTGAGACAGGGTCTTGATCTGTTGCCCAGGCTGGAGTGCAGTGGCACAATCTTGGCTCACTGTAACCTCTGCCTCCTGGGTTCAGGTGATTCTTGTGCCTCAGCCTCCCAAGTTGGCTGGGATTACAGGCATGTGCCACCATGCCTGGCTAATTTTTTTGTATTTTTAGTAGAGACAGGGTTTTGCCATGTTGGCTAGGCTGGTCTCAAACTCCTGACCTCAAGTGATCCACCCACTTCAGCCTCCCAAAGTGCTGGGATTACAGGTGTGAGCCACCTCCGGCCTAGTAAACTGATTTTTAACAAAGATGCTAAGGAAATTCAATGAAGAAAGTTCAATGAACAGTGCTAGTAAAACTGGTCATTCATATGCAAATAATGAACTTCATATTATATATACAAAAAATTAACTCAAAATAAATAATTTAGGTCCTAAATGAAAAGGCTAATAGTATAAAACTTCTAAAAAATACACAGGAGTAAATCTTTGTGGCCTTGGGTTAGGCAAAGACTTTTGAGAACCATAGAAGAAAAAATTGGCTGGGCACGGTGGTTCACGTCTGTAATTTCAGCACTTTGGGAGACCAAGGCACATGGGTCACCTGAGCTCAGGAGTTCGAGACTCGCCTGGGCAACATAGTGAGACTCCGTCTTCACACACACACACACACACACACACACACACACACACACACACACAAAAGCTGGGCATAGTCGCACGTGCCTGTAGTCCCAGCTACCTGAGAGGCTGCAGTGAGCCGTCATGGTGCGACAGAGTGAGAACCTGTCTCAAAAAGAAAAAAAGAAGAAATTGACAAATTGGATCTCATCAAAATTTAAAATGTCTGCTCTTCCAAAAGCTGTTCAAAAATGAAAAGCCACAGATTGTGAGAAGATATTTTCATAACAGACGTGGTAAAGTTGGTAGTCATATATAAACAATACTCAAAACTCAATAATAAAACAAAGATCCCAATTTAAAATGTGCAAAACACCTGAATACATATGTCACTAAAGTAAAAATGAAGATGGCAAAAAAACACATGAAAAGATGCTCAACAGCATTAGTCATTAGGGAAATGCAAATTAAATTCACAATGAAGTATCACTACACATCTATTAGAGCAGCTTAATTTTTTAAAAAACTGACAATACGAAGTGCTGATGAGAAAGCAGAGCATTTAGAACTCTCATACATTTCTGGTGGGCATGCAAAATAGTACCTTGAAAAATAGTTTGACAATTTCTTTTTTTTTTTTTTTTTGAGACAGAGTCCAGCTCTGTGGCCCAGGCTGGAGTGCAGTAGCCCGATCTCGGCTCACTGCAACCTCTGCCACCCAGGTTCAAGCAATTCTCCTGTCTCAGCCTCCCGAGTTGCTGGGACTACAGGCACACACCACCTCGCCCAGCTAATTTTTTTGTATTTTTGGTAGATATGGGGTTTCACCATATTGGTCAGGCTGGCCTTGAACTCCTGACCTCAGGTGATCCACCCGCCCTGGCCTTCCAAAATGCTGGGATTACAGACATAAGCCACTGCCCCGGCCAGTTTGACAATTTCTTACAAAGTAAAGTATACACTTATATAACCCAGCAGTCCTCTCCTACATTATTGCCCAAGAGAAATGATGACATATGTCCACACAGAAACGTGTGTGTGTATATAACAGCATTATTTATAATTGCCCCCCAAACTGGAAACAATCAAAATGTCTATCAAAAGGTAAGTAGATAAACCAAACTAGTAGCGCCATACAGTGGAATACTATTCAGTAATAGAAAGGAACAATCTGTTGATACATAAAACATGCATGACTCTTATATTATGCTAAAGGAAAAAGCTGGACACAAAAGGCTACATACATGATTCTATTTATGTGAACATTCTGGAAAAGGCGAAACTACAGACACAGAAATTAGATCAGTGGTTGCCAAGGGCTGGGGGTAAGGGGAGGTGATTGGCTATAAAGAGGGATTTTTACTGCATGTACAGCATATCTTTAACCACCACACCCTCCCCCACCCGCCCCCCCCAAAAAAAAGTTCTTTTAAGCTATGCTTCTCTGTGGTCAGCCCTCTCTGGTTCATACACACACTGCCCTGGCTCCTGGCAACTACCAATCTGCTTTCTGTCACTATGGATTATTTTTGCCTAGTGCTTTGTGTTCCATCTATGTTACTGCATTTAACTCAGTTCATTCCTTTTTATTGATGAGTAGTATTCCACTGTATGGGTATACTACAATTTGTTTATCAATTCAAATGTTGATACACATTTGGGTTGCATCCAATTTTGAGATATTATAAATAAAGTTGCCTTGATCATTCATGTACAAGTATTTAGGTAGGCACATGTTTTTATTTCTCTTATGTAAATTCTGAGAAATGGCTTTTCTAAAAATCTAGTATCTATAATAATGCTGGGAGGCTATTATCCTCAACTTATAGATGTGAAAACCAAGGTTCAGATAAGTTAAATACTTAAGATATCGCGGGATGTAGATAAGCTAGGATTTCAATCCAGGTCTGTTTGATGCCAAAGGCCACACTTTTCCCATTATATCACCCTGTCTACTGGTACTGGGAAAAACACCCAGCAAACCCTGAAGAATTAAGAACAGGAGACAAGACAGGAAAGAAAGGGTAAGCAGAGTAAAAAAGAAAAAAACAGTGGTGTGAAATCCACAGCTGACTCCACTTAGTCACAGGGCTGGTGTGGATTCCAAGACAATGGAACAGCTGGAGATACTCAATAGAAATTCATGGCAGAGACAGAGAACTGCAGAGTCTGCACACCTCCACTACCTCTGAAGTCCACACTCTGAATGAATGCCAGGGAGCAGGAAAGAGGACAGCTTTGGGACCTATACTTCACGGTTGCCAGATGTCAATGCTGAAGTATGAATTTTGGGTCCTGAATAGTAAACTGATGACACGGAAAATAGTTTAACAATGGTTCATGACTCATGAGTCAAAGATCACTGAACTACTATACAGTTATTTCCACAAGTAGTAAAAGCAACAGTGGAGACTGGCCAAGTTTTAATTTGCAAGAGGACATACTAAAGCATCACTTGCTTACTCCTCAGTGCCAATCCACCCTGACTATCCATTTCTGATCTCCACCTTCCCCATCTATGTGCTCTTCTTCCCTTCAAAACCCAATCCCTCCCATCAGTTCATCTAGAGCTCTTCTGAGTGAAACTGGGCTTTGCATCTTTGTATATCCGTATGCCTAAGTGGGCCTTGGCTATCAGCTACATACGCATTACATATAGATATAATGTCAGGTGGTTAGCACACATCCAGGGAAAATATCCATCTGGGTGTGACCAGTGTAAACGACTCAAATTAGACTGTTCAATATATCTGACTCCTCCCTGGCCAGACTACTTTATATTCCCCTGCCAGAGTTTCAGTAAGAAGGCCTTACCCTTTGCCTTAAGAATAGAGTTTCCATGGTATTCTCCTTCCCTTCATTTTGGAAAGAGCATCTGCTCCACTGCCACCTCCCCTCTGTGGTCTACTTTTCTCAGCTACATTAGGAGTGGACAGCAACCATTAATTTATGGGGAAAAAATGTCGGATAAATGCATTTTACTAATGGGTGTCCTGTTACTAAAACCTAACAGAACACTGTGATTCAGGTTTGAAAGGACAGGTCCAGCCCTGTCTTAGAGTCTAATCAGAGGCTTGTTCTACAGGTTGCCCTCTGCGAAAGCCTTCCACTCCTTCCACCCTTGGGAGAACCATTTTAGACCACTGCCCCTGAAATGTCCCTTCTATCTTCCTTATTTCTGCTCTGAAACAGCTGCAAGCAGGGATCTCCCAAAAAGGGCACTTCACAATTTTTTTTTTTAAGGAGCGGCATTCAGGTAGAGTCTTCCTCTTGTCCCCACCCATGACCTGTTTAACGGCCAGAGCAGAGTGAGGTACGAAGCTTTGCCTAATGCTTGCTTCTCTAGTCCCACCCTCTTTAAATGTGTCTTCTCCTTTATATAGCAGATGTCTCGTGACCTCCATCCTAATTGTTCTATCCTTTGCCCCGAGACTCTTGGAAGAAAATTAAATAAAATACCAGTGTGAATCTGCACGGCACAGAAGTGCTCATCCTTATTTTTCACTTTTCCCACCCTATCCAACCTCACATTTACCCACCTTGATTTCTTGGCATTGTCAGACTGTTTTTTCTAAGTTATATTTCTCAATCTGACCTGAGAAAAGCTTATGCCACACACATACTTCCTACTTTCACTCCCCCTTTATTTTTCCCCCAGATAGAGTCTTGCTCTGTCACCCAGGCTGGAGGGCAGTGGCGTGATCTCCGCTCACTGCAACCTCTGCCTCCTAGGTTGAAGCAATTCTCCTGCCTCAGCCTCTTGAATAGCTGGGATTCCAGGCACCCATCACCATGCCTGGCTACTTTTTGTATTTTTAGTAGGGACGGGGTTTCACCATGTTGGCCAGGCTGGTCTTGAACTCCTGACCTCACGATCCACCTGCCTTGGCCTCCCAAAGTGCTGGGATTACAGGTGTGAGCCACCGTGCCTGGCCTTTCACCCCCTTTTTAATGCACATATTATCACAGTTAAAATCTACTTTAAAATATTTCAATAGTAAAGTTGCTAACACCTGGCCATTGATATATTTTGATTTGGTTTTGGGGGAAGGGCAGGGGATTGCAGAAGATTATGCCTGAGCCTCCTTTTACTTGTGTTCCGCAAGTTTAATGCCACTGCTCACTCATTTTCCTGGGATAAGCCCCTTCTCCTGGATCTCATTCTCTTTATCTGTAAGATGAGTGAGGTCAGTATTAGTTCTCAATCCTCCCCCAAGCAATGTGATACATAAAGATGGAAGGCGGATGTCTACAATTCCTTCACTCTTCACCACTTCCATGGCAGTTGTCCTAGTCCGTGTCAGCAACATCTCTTTCCTGGAGCAGAGCAGCTGGGCTCTTAGCTGGTCTCTCTGCTTCCACTTCACCTCCTAGAATCTGTTCTCCACATATCAGCCTGAGTGATCTTTTCATATAATATATACTATTATATCACGTCACTCAAAACCCTCTAATGCTTCCTGTGTTAACTCAGACAAAAAGCCAAGTCCTTACAGAGCCAAAAAGGGCCCTGCATAACCTGCAACCCCCACTTCTTTGCCCTAAGTTCTCTCTTCTCTTTATTTTCATTCACCCATCCTGGGCTCCATGCTTTTCCTTGAACATGCCTGAGATGGCCTCACAACAGGGCTTTTGTACTTGCCATTCTCTCTACCTGGGACATATTGACTCCAGGGGCACATGTGGCTCACAGCCTTACCTCCTTCAGCTAAAGTACGTGCTCAACTGTCACCTCCACAGTAAGGCCTTCTCTGGCCACCCTATTCAAAATCAAAACTGAGATGCCAGCTTCCCTGATTTTCTCCTTAGCACTTATCACCATCCAATATTCTTCTCCATTTAATGGTTTTATCTTTCTCCCCAACTTCAATGCAAGCTCCATGAAAGCAAGGATTTGTGTCTGTTTTGTTCATTGCTGAATCCCTAGTGCCTAGCCCACCGAGAGCTCAATAAATATTTGTTGAATGAATAAGAAATTCTCCATCCACCTACCACTCCTTTTCTCTCCTACTCACTAAAATACAGCATAACATAGGTGAGCTATTAAAGGCATAACTCTGAATCCAATTTAAGTTACTAAAAAATTATCTGCAAATGTTAACAATTCTTATAAACTGAATGAGACAGCCAATCGCAACACCAAACTGTGGTTGAGAATCATCAAGTAGATTATTTCTGAGCATGTCCACTCTGAGCCAGATTAGGCCCTGTCAGGGCCGCAGCATGATTGCAAGGAGCCCACACATCCTGACAAGCAGCAGGCACGGCTTGAATATTAGTAAATGTCTCACATGTACTTATAGTCCTGTTTTTCAGAGTGTGCAGATATTATTGGGATCCATAAACACAAACTGATATTAAATTCACAACAGCTTTTGGTAGTTATATGTTTAATTGACCAATGGATACTGCAAGCACAACTACTAGTGTATGAGGTTTCACGAAATTTTTCTAAAGCTACAAAAAATGGCCTCATACTTGAGGAGACTGAGAATCAACGCTTGACCACATGGTTGCAATCTGTAAATTAAGTTCCCTCCCCCTGCCTGCCTTTTTAAAGTATGCTATCTTTCATGGAGGACTATAACTCTCTATTTGCAAACAACTTTTTGAAGGGAAGGGGAATCCCTTGGAGTATAAGACTGTGGGTCTCCAAGCTGGTGAGAAGCAGTTAAATGCAGTAAAACCTGGAAGGCTAAATGTGATTGTATTCAAATGCACGACTTGCCAGTCTGATTTCAATTCCCACATTAGCAACATCACTTCAGGCAGTGAACGAAAAAGAAAGTGTAAGCTTTAAAAAAAATCGTCATTATTTTCTAAACTATATCACTTTGGAAATGCTCTGAGTTTTGTTACGTGGCTCATGATGACTTTTTTTTGAAACTTTCGGAAGATGGCAATTATACTCTCAAGGTATATAAGAATACTTTGTTCTAACTATAAAAATAAAGTTTAATATCTTAGACATCATCCATTAGAAGCATAAAAGAAAGTATATCATAGGAATTTCAACTGGAGTGCAGTGGCGCAATCTTGGCTCACTGCAACCTCCGCCTGCCGGGTTCAAGTGATTCTCCCGCCTCAGCCTCCTGAGTAGCTGAGACTATCTTTTTTATGCTTTCGTGCTTTCCTTTTTTTCTTCGCTTATACCCAGTTAATCTTAATTATCCAAGACACTAATAATGCACATGAGGTGGGGTGGGGAGTTGGGGAGTGATGACAATCTTTAGGGAAACAAAATTTAAATAATTTAAGTGGCCTAAAATAATTCTCACTCTACTTCAAAACTGCATTTTGTAAATTCACAGCTTTTCTCTTTACTATACCTGAAAATGGCCCAAGGAAGTCCTATTCTGAAGAACCTGGTTTTGGTGTATCCCAGATAAACGCCTTCTACCATTGATTGATCCTCCCTGGCTCAGTCATTTGCATGTTATCTGCTTCCTCTAACTACTGGTGTCAAAGGCCTTTAGCTGAGCTAGTCTGGCTTCCATCCTATGCCTTCTCTTTTCTAAGTTTCTTCTTGCTCAACTATTTCCAACTGTATGATTTGGCTCATCTTCCTTACTACATTTTTCATGTCATCAGTTTAAGTTGTCGAGTGGCACTAAATCTTAAAACAAATCAGAAGAATTATTAGGGTAAACTGAAAACACCAAGTAATCTCTCTTAGCTTCTTTTAGTTAGATGTTCAATTTTGAAGTATCTGGATATCTCTTTAGGGCATATACTTCTAATAACTAACTGCCCTTCTCCTTGAAGACACTATTTTAGCAACAGCGGGAACTTAAAGTCCCATAATGTCTGTGCTGACACATTTTAGGCATCGTCTAGGCTAACCCAAGCTCCTTATCTTACAAATCAATAAACTGAGCCTCAGAGGGAAAATTTTTTCCTAAGATCTTTACCCAATAAATGATTTCTCACCTTGCGACACTTTTAAATGCTCTTTTCTTTCTAATCATAGTCTGTTACCACTTCAATTACTCCTTCACCAACCGGTTTTTAAAGGAAAAAGATGATTAATACCCTCAGATGATGGTATACTTCCTTAAGAGTTTTTTTCAGGGAGTTATCTTTTTTATTCTTGTGATCTCAAGTTCCAAATTATTCGTGCATTTTAACTGCATACCACGAATGTACGTAAGTAAGGGATTTCCATAAGTCTACATACTAGACGAAAAAACCCTGAGATAATAAAGTGGCTTAGTAAGGAGTTTGTGTCTTAATCCTAGTTCCGCTACTGATTACCTGTGACAAGTCACTTCAGGTCTCTTTTTTTCACAAGGAAGATAAGAAAGGTGGGCAAGAGCCATGATTCTCAACTTTCCTTGGATTCACTGAAGGCTGAAATAAGGTCCAAATATGTAATGAAAACCGAGTTTGCTTACTCATGACAAAGCTGCACAGGCTAAAATGCCAAGCTTACTTTGAAGTCACACTGGGTAGCTTGCACTGATCAAGTTCTGATTGGCATATATACATGTCTTCAACTAAAAATTGCAAAATTAATTACTTTTAGTTTGAAAGACAAAACTGTAAACATATTTGGCTTACAGGGAAATAATGACAAGAATGAAGCTTTCAAAAGTACAGAGGTGGGAGTGGAGGGAGGAAAAAGCAGGTTTGGCACAAAGAAACAACAGTTCACGTAAATATAAAATTTCACCAAGGAACTTCTGTGAAAGTGTCCAGATGCAAAGCACTCTATGTCAAATCTCAATTCTTGAAAACAGCACTTGACAAACACAAATTAGGCACTCGGGGTTGGATTATATTTTTTCTTTATATTCACATTAAGTATCCAGCTAGATTATATTGCACAGAGAACTTAAAAGAGGGGTTCTGCAAGGAGTTTAAAATCTCTTGATGCACAATACAATAGTTCATTCAGCCATGTTCAACCTGTACACTTAAAAGGGCATTAGCAGGGGATTACACTTCATTTTCAATCTACAGAGACTGAAATCTGAAGGCACTGCCAACTGCTGCCTCACAGTCTCACCGTGCAACTACCAAAGACGGAGGCTGTGTGCCACCAAAGGGCCCTGGATTGGGGCACAGGAGATGTGAGTGCTAATCCAGCTGGCCCCAGGGGCAATTCCCTATACCCAGAACAGTACTTTGCACGTAACTGATGCTCAATGAATGTCAGCTGAGAGGAAATGCAAAAATATCCACCATGTGCCCATTTATATTATATAGTAAACACAAAGATCTTTGTGTCCCTGCCCTCAAAAAACTAAAATCCAATTATGTAAAACATGGACCGTTTGTTGGGAGGAAGAGAGTGAATACTGCTTGGCAATTATTATGAGGCAAAGGATATACAGTGGTTATCTTGGAAAAGCCTTGCAAAGTAAGCCAGGTACCTCTATTTGACACATAGAAAACCAGGCTAAGAGAAAGCATGTAATTTGTTCAAGATCACACAATTTGTAAAATGAGAAGCCCAGATTTCAATCCAGGTCTGCAAAGTTCACATTATTTGCAGTATGCAACACATTCATACACATCAAGGCAGCCCAGGACGAGACAGGGATTTGGGTCCAAGTTTTACTTCTGCTATTAAGCTGTTGCCTATCTCTCTAGAGAGAACATTTCTCTGCATTTTTTTCACCGGCACGATTGGAGAGCAGAGAGGTGTTGGTAGGAGGGTTAATGAACTAGATCTGTGGTTTTTTGGTTTGGTTTGGTTTGGATGGGCGGTGATCAGAATTCTTCTGGGCCAGGACTTGTTCTAATGTGGTTGTTTCCCTTCCCTGCTCTTAGAAATTATTTGAGAATGGTACCTTTAGCTATTAATGGAAATATACCTCTCAAGTGAATGGGAGCAGAAAGATATGCCGGCTCCAAGCTCCCTCCTAGCAAGCTGAAGCTGAGAGTCTGACCCTGCTGAGGGGATGCTACTGAAAGTTGAGAGACAACTTACTCACGGATCCATGTTTCCCTCCCAGCTGGGTGCTCTGTACCCACTGGGTGCTCCTCGTTTGAGAGAAATGGGGATGTGTGTCCTGCATTACTTAAGCGGCCTGCCTGGGGCTCGTCTCCAGATTATAGAGACCTTCAAGAGAAGTTCGTGGTGTAAAATACTTGGGTTCAAATAGGGGAGCGCGGACATCCCTCGCTGGGGGCGGCGGCTGCGGCCTGTCGCGCCGGTAGCGGGAACCACTTCCTGGTCCGCATCTCCCGCCCGCGTCCACACCCCGCTGCTGCATTTCCCCCACGGCGCAGAGCTTCCGAGGCGGCAGGAGGCTCCGTCCGACTCCCGCGTGAACGCCCGGCCCGGAGCAGGGTCCCTTCAGAGATTTAAAACACAACGCTCTGGAACTCCAACTCCCCCGGCGCCCAGCCCGGTTCCCAGGCGTCGGGGCGGGGGCAATCCCCTGCGGCTGCAGGGAAAAGGCCCCGAGCCTGTTGGAGCCCCCGGCCCTGGCCGCGGTCCCACCGGTGACCCAGGTGCGCCGCGCCCGCCCGAAATCTCGTCCGACGTCGCCCGGCACCTGTCGCGCCCGGAGCCCGCAGGACCTGCACTCACCTCGTTCCGGGGGCCCACGGCCCGTCCCCGCGTCTCTGGGCCCAGCTCCTGCCGCCGTCTCCGCCAGGGGCCCCGCCGCGGCCGCCGCCCACTTTCGGTTTCCCCGCACCACCGGAGCCGCCCCGCGGCTTGGGAATCACCTCAAGCCCCCGCCCCGCCCTGCTCGGCCCCGCCCCGCTTCGCCCCGCCCCGCTTCGAGGGCAGCCTGGCCTCGGCTCTGCGCACGCGCGGGCGCTCCGGCCGCGTCGGCCCACGCCGGCGTCCGCGCGTGGGAAGGGAAACCGTCGCCACCTAGCGGTTTCTGCGCGTGCCCACGCACCGGCCGGCGGCGGAAGACGCCTGCGGGGCGGGTGCGGGAGCGCCTCCTGGTGGACAACGCAGGTACGCGCGGGCCGAGCGAGCCGGGACTCAGCAGGGGGCGAGGGTGGCTCCTTCTATGGGGCTCACCCTCCTTCCAAACAGTTCAACTCCTGCACATTATTTTCTTCAACATCTGGAGCAGTTACTTTTTATTGCCCTAGACACACACTCTGTCCGCCCATATCCTTCAGGCCTTTCTCAAGCATTACCCTTTCAATGACGGTGGACACAGTCTCTAACATGTCAACCTCCTTCCTTGACTTTCCCTATCCCCATTCTCAACCTTATTTCTCCTTAGCACCTATCTAGCACACTATATGTATTTTACTTATGCTTTTATTGTCTGCTATCCTTCTAAAATTAAAGCTCTGTGAGCACAAGGATTTTTGTTTGGTTCCTTAACCTATTCCCAGAGCCTAGGATAGTGCCTAGCACACGATCAGCAATAAATATCTGTCAAATTTATTCATTCACTCTAAAGTTATTGAACACCTAATAAGTGAATACTTATTTATTCTGCACATTAATTCCACCAACACTTATTGGCACCTGCTTTGCATCCCTGCAGCCAACATTGAACACTTCTCTGCACCATTGGATATGCATTTACTGAGAACCTGCTGCTTATTCAACCGGTATTTTATTACAGCTTGACTGCCATGTATAAGACATACAATAAACTGAACGTTTAAAATGTACAGCTTGATAAATTATGCATTTACTGAGAACCTGCTGCTTATTCAACCGGTATTTTATTACAGCTTGACTGCCATGTATAAGACATACAATAAACTGAACGTTTAAAATGTACAGCTTGATAAATTATGCATTTACTGAGAACCTGCTGCTTATTCAACCGGTATTTTATTACAGCTTGACTGCCATGTATAAGACATACAATAAACTGAATGTTTAAAATGTACAGTTTGATAAGTTTTGATATATATATATCACTGTGAGACCATCACTGCAATCAAAATCATGAACATATCCATCACCCAAAAAAGTTTTACTGTGATCCTTTGTAATTCTTATATCTTGTCCCTCCCTGTCACTTGCCCCCTCAACTGCTCACCTGCTTTCTGTTGCTATAGATTATTTTGCTTTTTCTAGAGTTATATGTAAAACTTTTATGTATGGAATCGTATGTACTATCCTTTGGGGGGCTGCCTGGCTTCTTTTATTTAGCAAATTATGTTCATCCATGTTGTTACATGTATCAATAGTTCATGTCTTTCTATTGCTGAATGGTATTGTAGGGATGTACCAAACCTACCACGCAACCCAGCAATTCTGCTCCTGGGTATTTACCCAGGAGAAATGAAAGCAGATGTCCACACAAAAACCTGTACAAGAGTGCTCATGGCAGTTGTGTTGGCCGTAGCCCCACATGGAAAGAATACAAACATCCGTCAGAAGGTGAATGGACAATCAACTAATATATATTGAACACCTGCTGTTAAATAACAAATTTTCATGGATAAGCCTGTGCTTATAGAGCTTTTGATTCAGTGAAAAGATGCAGTAGGCAATACAAAGAAAAATTGGAAGTAAATCTGGAAAACCTGATATCCAGCTCTCAGACACTTGGATGTTTCCCCAAAGGCGGTAGGGAATTGTTCAGAGTTTTTGAACAGGGCTTTTCTTTGAACACTGTTCTCTTTCATATCCTAGATCTGGTCCCTGACTAAGTTTGCCTAAATGTCTCTCTCTGGAATTTCTCTGCATCTCCTTTGCTCTATTTCAGTCTATTTCAGATGTCTTTCTGTTCTTTCCCTTCCAGTCTACTCCAAACATTGCAGTGGATTTTTAATAGACTTTGCTATGGTCTGAATGTTTGTGTCCCTACAAAATTCATGTTGAAACCTAATCCCCATTCTTGCGGTGTTGAGAGGTGGGACCTTTGAGAAGTCATGATGGCTTCGTCCTTGTGAATAGAATTAGTGCCCTTAGGGGCTTAAGGGAGCCTTCTGCCCCTTCCACTGTGTAAGGATTCAGCAAGAAGGTGCCATCTTTGAAGAGGAGAGCAAGTCCTCACAGGATGCCAAATCTGCTGGCACCTTGATCTTAGACTTCCAAACCTCCAGAACTGTAAGAAAAAAATTTCTATTATTTATAAATTATCCAGTCTAAGATATTTTGTTATAGCAGCAGGAATGGACCAAGACAGACCTAAAAGACAACCAGCCCCAATTTGGTCTCTGCAGTACTCACAACATCCTGTGGCTCCACATTTTAGAAGGGAAAGATGTAAAAAGCAGCTGCCAAAGGAAAGAGTGCTAGTAGTAGCAGGAAATAAAAAAAAATTTCAGAGTCTAATATGTAGAATAAATCATAAAATAATGTGAGTTGAACCCAAGTTTGAGATCCTTTATCCTTGCAAAGATGTTCCATGTTTAGACTGCCCTATATGTAAAGAAAAATGAAGCTCTGCAGCTAGTTTTTTTTAAACCAGCTTTTTTGATAGTTGACATATAATACATATTTAAATGTACAGTGTGATGAGTTTTGACCAACGTCTTTAATTGTGTACCTACCACCACAATCAACATATGGGATTAGTTCATAATTCCAAAACTTCTCCTGTGCCCCTTTACAGTTAATTCTCTCCCCATACCTTTATCCACTAGCAGCTACTGATCTGATTTTTGTCATCATAGGTTTGCCTTTTCTAGCATATCATATAAGTGGAATCATGCAGGATGTCATCTTTTGTGTCTGGCTTCATCACTTAGCATGATGGTTTTGAAAGTCATCCATGTTGTTGCACATAGTGGTAGTCGGTTCCTTTTTAGTGCTGAATAGTAAGCCATTGCATGGCTTTATCACAATTTGTTTATTCATTCACATTTCATGCACATTTGTGTTGTTTCCAGTTTGGGCTGTTATAAATAAAGCTGTAATAACAGCCATATGCAGGTCTTTGTGTGGTGATGTGGTTTTTTGGCATAAAGACTTAAGTATAGAACATCTGGTTGTGGGATAGGTGTACGCTTAACGTTTTAAGAAACCGTCAAACTGTTTTCTAATGTGGCTGTGCCATTTTGTACTCCCACTTTTACTCTCTCCTTGGTAATGTGTAAGACTTCCAGTTGCTCTAAATCTTCTCCAATACTTGGTATTGCCTGTCTTTCTAATTTTAGCCATTCCAGTGGATGTATAGGGATAGCACACCGAGGTGTCAATTTGCATTTCCCCAGGACTAATGATGTTGAGCATCTCTTCATGTGTTTATTGGCCCTTCATATGTGTTCTTGGGTAAAGTGTCTGTTCTGCAGGTAGATTTTTGTCCAAGACATCAGGAGGTTCTCAGAATTGCCTGGGTATCTGACAGAGCAAGGGCAGATTAGAACGTTGTTTTTTTTGTTTGTTTGTCTTTGTGAAGTGGTCCAAGACCCAGGGAGTTCAAGAATTCACCCCCATACCCTGGATATAATTGGATTTCAGGAGAATTAAGAGATATCAGAGATGGAACAGACTGGTTACTCCGTAGGCACAATGGTTCTTACCCTTTTGTGGCGAAGTCAGAATAGATGAAAGCAAATTTTGATGTATGATTTCAGAGAGGATATAGAGTCCTTAAAGCTCCACTGTGAACCCACGTTAAAAATTTCCTTAGAGGAAAGCATATATCCTGGGGCCAAATAGCAGAGTTTTTGAAATGAACAGGACTCAGATGGAAGGCATTCTTCCTCTGCAAATGCCCAAGCATATCTTTGGACAACAAGGGCAGTGGCCAGGAGCATCTAGATCTCTTTTAAGAGAGGCAGGCATAATTTCCCATCCTCAAGGGCTGTAGAGAGGTCCTTGGTACTCTGCTTAATGTGGTTTTTAGGGTAGGAAAGGTAGATGGAAGGGGAAATTAGTAAAAGCTGGCCACTAAGCAGAAGGCTGGCAGGTCATTGTGCCTGTCCAGAGACAAGAGAGAGGTTATCGTGGGAAGGGAGTGCAAATCAAGGCCCAAGTATGGGGAAGGAAGACAGCTTTGTTGGTAGCTTATCCTTGGCAGAGAAAGATGGACATATTTCCAGTGTGAAACCTCCATCCAAAGCCCTTCATGCATTTTGTCCACACCTGAGGAGCCTATATATTTGGAGAGAGTCACATTGGATACAAACACCAAAATGCCTGTACAAAGCAGGCAGGACCAATACTATTGGTTGAGTTGAATCTCTGTCCTTCCTCTTTTTCATCTCTCATCAGCAAGCACCATTTAGAATGAGGGTGAGACAGCAAGCATGGTCCAGGAACATGTCTGTAGTTCATTTTTTTTTTTCTTATCTGATAGTTCTTTTGGTCTTAGCAATATAGCCCAAGAACAATACATTCCTCATCCTTTCTCTAAGAGCCTGTCAGACTTTACAACCACCATAGGCAGCTTTGTCACTTGCAAAATTTAGAGCAACAACTTGATAGACCTCTAGGTGCTGTCATCTCACTTCCCTTCCTCTCTATATTGACTCCTAAAAGAAAGCAAAAACCAAAAACAAAACTTTCATTTCTATCAGTTTATGACCCATCAAATGAACAGCGGGGACTTGGTAATAACATTATTCAATGTCTGGAGTAGTTCCTCTCTCAGGAAGCCTTCCTCGAATCCCCCACCTGACAATCATTGTTCCTTTAGCTGAGCTTCTAGACTGCTTTGTTCCTTAAATATATTTATAGCAGAGAGAACATAACAAGTGATTTTATATCTCATCTCCCTTGTGAACAACTTGAAAAGAGTTTACATTTTATTCATCTTTGGTTGCTGAGTTATTTGATTGCAAATAATTTTAACAATACCCCTATTTGAAACTAAACTACAGCATGTTTGAAATTATGTATACAGATGGAACCCAGCCACATGAGTACTTTTTGCTTACATAAGGTCAGGAAAAATAGATCCACGACAAAAGGAATCTTTGGACAGATCTACTTTTGGTTAATCATTAACACCATAATCACTGCCTCTCCCATCAGCTTTAATTGCCTCATGAACAAATGCAGAGGAATTTCTAGACAACTGCATTTGTTTCAACTGAGTAAGGAGAAAAGACAAAACAAAACAAAACAAAAAACAAAAGGCAGAGATTGCCGGAGCCCTGCTAAAATCCAGGCCCCGGTAAAGCTAAGGATGTGCTGATCAAGCAAAACCCCCTAATCTGCCCACAAAGCCCTCCAAGGTGAGTCAGCTGAAAGGGCCTAATCCCCAGAAGGGACTGATCACTAAAGCTTTAGAGGCCACACAGCCACAGCACACTGGAAAACAGGGGATAATGAAAGCTTAAAGGGATATTGTGTAGAGAAAGGTCATAGAACCAACAGAGGAGGGTCTTGGCTGTCTAAGAGGTCACCTTTGCCCTCTCCTGACTTGTAGTTCATTCATATAGCTCAGTCTTAGGACCCCAAAATAAGAATGATTCCAAGGATGTGGATATCGTTAAGAGTTAGCTGGCTTAGGGCCCCCGCTGTGGGGTGGGGTGTGGAGGTGAGGTAACTAATATTTTAAGCAAGGCAATCAACCACAATATGACTGATTTTGTAATAGTCAATAAACCAGATGGCACAAGAATTATACTGCAATAGCTGCTAGTGGTGAGGAATTGGGGAGGCAGTGAGGAGAAACTACATGGGTGCAGAGGAGGTGCTCAGTATAGGTGAGCTGACACTGAAAGAAGCAGACAGTATTCGAGAAGTGTGGGCTCCGATTAGAAGTGTACTATACAGGAAGAATCACTACCCGTTAGTTGCTTGCCCTGGATCATTTAGGACTTGACCTTTCGTTAAATTGGGAGGTTGCATAGAACTCCAGAGCCCTTTGGCTCTGGTTCTAGCCTTGGATTCCCTTATGTGGCAAAGTGAACACAGAAAGTAGTGAAAGAGGCTTCTCTTGGGGCTGTTTGGTCAATTTCTATTCATCAGTGGTTATCTATGGGAAATAACCACTCCCCATAGATACTCAACCACTCTTGAGACAGTGGGCTCTGCCCCAGTCCAAGCCCCCTGCCCCCAAGCCTGGGGCACGTTGTTTTGTACTTTTATGAGGTTATTTTTGGTTGTCAAAAAGATCAGGTGCACCTCCTGGCATTGAGTGGGTGGGGCTGGGATGCTTGTGGTACTTCCCCCATATCAGAGAAGTTCCCCTTGTCTCAACCAACATGTGGATGTCATGCCAGTCATCTATGTAGATGACAGACCTCTGCCTTATATATAAACACAAATAATTTTCCCCACAGTTTTACTATACAGTGAATTTTCCAATGCTATTTTTATCTGTGAATTTCACTTTAGGAAAGTAAATGAAGGGATTACAAAATATTTGTCATAAAACGGGGGTGCCAGGTCAGATAATACTGCTACTCGAAATCCCCCAACAGCCAACTCCACCCAGAGAGAAGCTGAGCAGGATATTCTTGTTTACACCAGTAGACATAGGGATACACAAATTTATCTTTACTAGATAAAATTACCTCACTTGCCCTAGTGCTCAGACCAGTTGAGGAAGTTAGAATCATTCTTTTTGGGGGTCTTTCTGGAGTTTACTTAGCCCCAAATTGTATTTCCCCTACCATAGGTACAAGAGATAGTCTTCTTCATCTTCCTCCCAATTCTCCCTCATCGCCTCACACAGTCTTTTTCATTTAAAACTGGACTCCTCACTCTCAGCAGCAACTTCCTTAAGACTGGATTTTTATATTTATAATTAGAAAAGTATAGCACCTGGGGGCTAGCAGTTGGCTAAGGAGGGCTAGCAAGCTGCTGGCTGGAGTAAGACAGTGCAGGAGATTTCCTCTAACGATGTGGTTCTTAATCTGAGAGTGATATGGTGTGTCAGCACTAACATGGTATTTTCCTTCCTTTGTACACTACAGGTTGAACTATAAGCTCACTTGTAAATATCACGGTAATTATGGGAGCTTTATTTACAAAGCTGTGTGTGTGTGTGTGTGTGTGTGTGTGTGTGTGTGTATGTGTGCATCCTTAGGAGTGGCGGCCCACATTCCTGGTGTGACTTGCTAGAGCTAGGGTAAGCAATAAGGACTTTGTCCTTCAAATATTAGGTTTTGTGTTCTGAGTGCTGATTTCTGCTTTTGATTTTTCAGGGGCCAGCACAGAGGCTGACAGCCATTGTTTCAACCTCCATGAGCTGAACCTCCAGGAAGCAGCTTCCTGGGGATTTAAAGAGACAATACTTGTGCTCCCACCCCCATGTCTTTTGGGAACCAGACATTTAAGGAAATCTTTGTCGGGTCACTGGTTGATTACAGAAATGATGGAACAGAAACTTTAGTGACCACAAACAACAATATATATCTTGCAAAAATAGTTTTAAAAAGTCATAAATAGATGACCCAGTCCTCATAAAGTACAAGAAATCTCTGAGGTATTGAAGAATTAGATATCCAGTTAGTGCAACATGGTATTTAAAATTTCTAGCTCTCAACAAACAATTACAAAACATACAAAAAAAGAGGAAAACATGGTCCATTCACAGAAAAAAAGAAGTTTACAGAAATCTTTTCTAAGAAAGACCAGACATTGGAATTATTAGTCAATGGCATTAAGTCAACTGCCTTAAATATGTTTAATGAGATAAGGAAAACCATAAACCAAGAACTAAAAGGAATCAGTAGAATTATATATGAACAAAGAAAGAATATCAATTAATAAATAGAAATAAAAAAGAACTAAACTGAAATTCTGGAGGTGAAAACTGTAATAACTGAAATGAAAAATTAACTAGAGGCATTCAACAGCAGGTTTGAGCAAGTGGAAAAAAGTGTCTATGAACTTGAAGACGGGGCAATTGAAATTATCCAGTCTGGGGAGCACAAAGACAAAAGAATAAGTAAAAGTGAACAGAGGCTAAGGGCCCTGTAGGACACCATCAAGTGAATCAAATTTACAATATGAGAGTTTCAGAAAGAGTAGAGAGAGTTGGGAAAGAAAGAACATCTGACGAAATAATGACTGGCAAATGTCCCAAATTCGATGAAAGAAATGAATCTACAGATCCGAGAAACTCAACAAACCTCCAAGGATAAACTCAACAAACTCCTAGGATAAACTCAAAGAGCTTCACCCCAAGACATATTATAATCAAAGTGTCAAAAGTCAGAGACAAAGAGAATCTTGAAAACAGAAAAAGAGAAATGATTAGTCACACACAAGGACTCCTCAATAAGATTAAGAGCTGCTTTCTCATCAGAAACCATGGAGACCAGCAGGCAGTGGAATGAAAAAGTGCTGAAAGAAAAAACTCAAGGAAGAATTCTCTCTCTGGCAAAACTATCTTTCAAAAATGAAGGATAAATTAAGACATTCACAGATAAAATCTGAGAACATTCACTGCCAGTAGACCTGCTCTCACAAGAAATGCTAATGGGAGTCCTTGGGGGCTGAAATGAGAGGACACTGGACAGCAAATTGAAGCCATATGAAGAAATAAAGATCTCTAGTAAAGATAACTGCATAGATTAATATAAAAACAGTATTGTTGCATTTTTGGTTTGTAACTATTTCCTATGCAGTTCAAAAGACAAATACATGAAAAGTAATTATAAATCTTTTAACAGGCATACATGTAAAATGTGTAATTTATGGCCAGGCACAGTGGCTCATGCCTGTAATCCCAGCCCTTTGGGAGGCCAAGGTTGAGCGACCACTTGAAGCCAAGAATTCAAGATCAGCCTGTGCAATGTAGAGAGACCCCATATCTAAAAAAAAAAAAAAAATTAAATTAAAAAAAAATAGCCAGGCATAGTGGCACATGCCTGTAGTCTCAGCTACTCAGGAGGCTGAGGTGTGAGGATTGCTTGAGCCCAGGAGTTTGAGGGTGCAGTGATCTATGATCACACCACTGCACTCCAGCCTGGGTGAACAGGCAAGACCCTGTCTCAAGGGAAAAAAAGATATTAATTGTGATAACAGCAACATAAAGGTAGGAGGGGATGAACCGTATAGGAGCAGAATTTTTGTGTGCTGTTGAAGCTAAGTTGGTATTAATTCAAACTAGACTGTTATAAATTTAGGATGCTACAGTGGACAGAATGTTTATTTTTTTTTTTTGTAGAGACAAGGTCTTATTATGTTGCTTAGGCTGGTCTCAAACCCCTGACCTCAAGCAATCCTCCCACCTCAGCCTCCTAAAGTGTTAGGATTACAGATGTGCGCCACCAGGCCTGGCTTGAAGTTATTTTTATCAAGATCAATTTTTTATGTAAATGACTTGATATTTTGGGGATCCACATCATAATTTACTGACTGTAGATTCTGCTATTGTAAGCTTTCTTTAGGGATTATTATTCCTACCAAGTCAATTTTCCTTGGTCAAATTATGCATATCAAAATGTTAAATATACTTTTCTTCCATCAATTTTCAGTCAATGATAAATTTTACCACGTGCAGTTTTAACCATTATCAGTTTTTGCTATAGACTGTTTGTGTCCCCCCAGATTCCTGTTTTGAAACCTGTCCCCCAGTATGATGGTATTTGGAGGTTTGACCTTTGGGAGGTGATAAGGTTGTGAGGGTAGAGCCCTCATGAATGGCATCAGTGCCCTTACAAAACAAGCCACAGAGAGCTCCCTTTCTGCCTTCTGCCATCTGAGGACACAGTGAGAAGACAGCTATCTGTGAACCAGGGGGTTGGCCCTCACCAGATACCAAATCTTCTGGGACTTTGAGCTAGGACATCCCAGCTTCCAGAACTGTGAGGAATAAATTTCAGTTATTGATATGTCATCCCGTTTATGGTGTTTTGTTGTAGCAGCCTGAATGGACTAAGTTTTATTTTGGGTGGATTCATTTTACTGGTAATATTTATTATGAGGGTCAAAGTGTCCTTGGGGTGAATACATTGTACTTTTAAAATTTACAGACATTCAATTTTGACCCAGCTTTTTAGGGACATGCTGCTTGTCTTAAAAGCTTCACAGCTCTCAGCCCCTCCCTGCCCCATTTATGAAACAGGAAAGGATGTTCTCAGATTTACTTACAAGGTACAAACAGATGAAAGCCAACACAGTGGTTCTAGACATTCTGCTAGGGAGTTGAAAGCAGGGGTCCCATTCATATATCCTGGTTTGGAACCAAGCTTTTTCTCTCTCTGTGAATGAATAAACAGTGAGAAAAGAGAGGCTGTGATAGGTAAACAAATGCCCAATTCATCTGAAAGCAACCCCATCCCTTCCTCTCTATCTTGGCATTTACTGTAGAGAGAGAGCACTGTTAGTTTCCACGGTTTTCATTCTCCTCTTATTCTTACATGCAGATGCTCAGTTTTATTCAGGACAGCAATTCACCAACTAAAAGACTAAAAAGTTCCCAACCTCTCTTGCAGCTAAGAATGACCTAAGTTCCAGCCAATTAGATGTGACCACAGTGTGGTGTGGGACTCTGGGGAGACTGCTCAGATGGAAGTGACCCAGCTGAGAGGGCCCCCTTTGCCCTGCCTTGCCTGCTCTCTGAAATGCAAAAATGGTGGCCGGTCGAGGCTGGAGCTCCAGCAGCCACATTGGACCATGAGACCGCATTGAGGATGGAAAGCACATACAAGATGCTCGAACAGAAACACATGATTTATAAACTTCTGTGGTGGTCAGTTCAAGGTCAGTATGGATGGCCTGTCTCTGTAAAGTATTGATCCTGGGTGTGTCTGTGAGGGTGTTGCCAAAGGAGATTAACATTTGAGTCAGTGGGCTGGGAAAGGCAGACCCACCCTTAATCTGGGTGGGCACCATCTAATCAGCTGCCAGCACAGCTAGAATATAAAGCAGGCAGAAAAATGTGAAAAGAGAGACTGGCCTAGCCTCCCAGCCTGCATCTTTCTCCTATGCTGGATGCTTCCTGCCCTCAAACATCAGATTCCTAGTTCTTCAGTTTTGGAATTTGGACTGGCTCTCCTCACTCTTAGCTTGCAGACAGCCTATTGTGGGACCTTGTGATTGTGTAAGTTAATGCTTAATAAACTCCCCTTTATGTATACATCTATCCTATTAGTTCTGTCCCTCTAGAGAACCCTAACTAATACATGTCACTATTATTTTAGGGATTCTAGTATATGTAGCCATAGTGAATGTTAACCAAATTATGAGTTTTGCCATTGCTCATTGTGTGACTTTGGACAAGACACCTACCTTCTCTGGGACATATATATCCCCGTGTGCCTAGTGGCAGAGGTAGATATGGGGTCTATATGTATGATTCTGAGATCGGGTGCTTTTATCTTTCTGACATCCAACTCATCTTCTATTGAAGACAGCACCTCAGTTTTTTTCTTAAGAAACTACCCCTCCCTGCCCTCACTCTTAGTGCTTAAGTGAGACTGACACCACTTCTTGGCTCCAGTGGTGAACATGTGACCCAGGCCCCTGCAAGTGTGGGAGGCACAGAGCTGGCTGCATGAGACCAACCTTGCCTGGGGCTCCCTTGTGTACTGCACTTGTGGACACAGTGAAGGAGGAACTCACCAGCATGTTCTCTTCTTGGTCCAGACACAGGGCCCCTTGAGCATGCCTGGCCATGGGCACTAGGCCTGGCTGTTATATGTGGTGTCCCTCAGCATCTGCCCGAGTTAGGGAGGCTTCTTCACCATATGCACCTGAGCCACCCCACCCTGACACCCCGTCCTGTATTGATGGAACTTGACGCTGCATCCTCACTGAGCACACTGAGGCAGTTTCACACCCATCCCCTCATTGTGCATTTGGGAAACCGAATTCCAGAAAGAGACAGGGCCTGGCTTAGACCACAGAAAATGCACAGAGTCTAAAAGGTAAGGGAGGGCTCCAGCTTCCTAGGCCAGTGCTGAGCCTCCTCCCAGAGGGAAAGAAGAAAGAGGTTGGAGGCAGCTCTGTTATGAGTCAGTGGCATCGGCAACATGCTCAGGAACCCAGGGCATGAGCAGGGCAGACATAGGGCTCCCTAAGGGCCCCAGCACAGCCTTGAGAGGCCAGGGCCGGGGTCCTCAGGCCATTGGTCTGGGCACCTGGAAGTAGGATGAGCCCTCCCTGCTAGTGCGGACAGAGACTATGGGAGAGAAAGCCTCCGTTTCCTCCTGTATTAATTGGGGTGCTTGGGTGAGTGACCCCAAGGGTTCCACATACTCAGAAAGTGTCTGTTGATATGGCTTATCCATCAGTGCCCATTGTGCTCTGAGACCCTGGGAAAATGCTCTCCACTCCCTGGACATCATTCAGAGCAGAGTTAGGTTTGGGGCTTGGGTGATGAGGGCTTGCTATAGGGCAGAGGGTGCCAGAGCGTCGGACACCGTGTCTGTGGTCCAGGAACGAGGCTGATCCTTGTTGGATCCTGAGTCTGCATTTGGAAGTAGGGGGAAGCATTGTCCTGGCCGAGATAAGGATGCTTGACGCCAAAGGAAGTGGAGGCAAAAAGGGGTCAAGGGAGGCTTCCGAGGTTCCTCACACTGCCCTTTGGAGCCTGCGGACCTGCTCCTTTGCCCCCTGGAGACCCCCAAAAAACCACTGCCTTGAGGTCAGCCAGCCGGAGTGTGTGACTTAAGTCGAGGCGCTCTGGCCTGGGGCTGCAGTGCTACGGCTGGCCACCAGGAGGCGGTCAGCCTCCTGTGTCCGCGGTGCCTACTCTGCTTTACCAGCAACTGGTGCCAGGGAAAAGTCACGCAGAGGTCACGCCTGCCGTCCTCCTTCCTCAGGTCTGACTCACACCTTTTATTTGCATTGATCATCTCCACAGTCTTAGCTGGTCAGAAGGTGGGGAGGTGGAAAGTCTGCGATCCTCCCATTTATTCATGCAGCAACTACGCCTGAGCACTCACCCTGTGCAGGTGCCCCAGTGGGCCCAGCATGCTGTGCTGAGATCAGCCAAGTGGTCCCTGCTCTCCAGGAGCTCACAGTCTGGAGGGGGAGATGGACAAAGGCATGTGAAAGAAAAGAGCAAGTGCTGTAGAGAAAATGAAGTCGAGTGCTGAGAGGTGGGCCTGGGAAGTCACTGGGTGGGCCTCAGAGGGGCCTTACTTTTATGCTGTGAGCAGAAGGACCAGAGGGAGCCAGCCCTGCACACATTTGGGAACAATGTGTCAAGGAGAAGGCACCACTGAAGCAGAGACTCCCAAACAGAGGTGGGTTTGGCAGAGGAGGTTAGAAAGAGCAAGTGTGTAGGCTGGGTGTGGTGGCTCATGCCTGTAATCCCAGCACTTTGGGAGGCCGAGGCAGGTGGATCACCTGAGTTCAGGAGTTTGAGGCCAGCCTGGCCAACATGGTGAAACCCCATTTCTACTAAAAGTACAAAAATTAGCCAGGTGTGGTAGTGTACACCTGTAATCCCAGCTACTTGGGAGGCTGAGGCAGGAGAATTGCTTAAACTTGGGAGGTGGAGGTTGCAGTGAGCTGAGATCGTGCCTCTGCACTCCAGCCTGGGCAACAGAGTGAGACTCTGTCTCAAAATAAATAAATAAATAAATAAGAAGAAGAAGAAAGAAGAGAAAGAGCCAGTGTGGCTTGGGGAGTGTGGCTTGGGGGAGCCCTGGAGGGAGGATGGGAGAGGAGGGAAATGATGGCAGGGCCAGATCCTGGGGCCTGGTAGACTAGGTGAGTTACCCATTCTTCTCACAACATTAGCAATGTGAAAGTACAAATATTTAATATCTCACAGTCTGTGGATCAGTAACCTGGGCATGGCTTACCTGGGTGCCTCTGCCTGAAGGTCTCCCATGAAGCTGGGACTGTGGTCTCAACCGAGGCTGGGCTGTGGGAAGAGCTGCTCCCAAGCTCACTCATGTAGGTATTGGCAGAACCAGTTTGGACTAAGCCTGAGTTCCTTTCTGTCTGTTGGCCTGGATGTTCCCCAGTTCTTTGCCATGTGGGCCTCTATGTCGGGTAGCTCCTGACATGAAAGCTTGCTTCCTCAGTTAGAGGACTGTGACAGAGGCAGCGAGAGGAGGAGGGACAGAGAAGGACAAGGAAAGGGAGGGAGAAACACAGGAGACAGCAAGTACGAGGGAATTGGTGCTTTTTTTGTAACTAAATATTGGAAGTTGCAATGGATTGAATGTTTACGTCCCCCAAAAGTCATGTGTTGTTAGCCAAATTCCCAATGTGATAATATTAGGAGGTGGGGACTTTGTGAGATAATTAGCTCATAAAGGTGGAGCCCTCATGAATGGGATTAGTGCCCTTTTCAAAGGGACCCCAGGGAGCTCCGTCACCCTTTTTCAACCATCTGAGGACACAACAAGAAGCTGGCAGTCTGCAACCCTGAAGAGGGACCTCGGCAAAACTGGACCATGCTGATACCCTGATTTCAGACTTCCAGCCTCCAGAACTGCAAGGAATACATTTCTGTTATTGGTGAGCCACCCTGTCTGTGGCACTTTCTTATAGCAGCCCTAACTGACTCAGACAGGAGAGACAACCCGTCACTTTGCTGTATACTCTTAGTCAGAAGGGGAGTCAGTAACCACTTTATGGTTAAACAAGGGCATGAATCCCAGCAGTGAGGTTCATTGCAAGCTGCTGTGCATGCATGCAGACTACCACATAGGCTGGGATGAGACACCTAGGTCTGATTCTAAATATAACAGGAAACCACTGGAAGGCTTTATGCCACAGGATGACCATATACCAGTTTCATTTTATGTTAACTCTCTCATGGTGCAGAATGAGAAATGAGGCCCAGAGTGGAAGTAACTTTTCCAATATTACACTGTTGGAACCCGGGCATGTCTTCAGTTTAAGTCCGTGCTGCATCCCATCTATCCTTATAATTCTTCCTTCTCTTGAGTTTGTGCATTTGTTACTTGTGACACCAACCTATGAGTGTTATGAGAATTATCTCATGTATGCCTGATGATGTCTCTGGGAAGCAGATGCTGGGATGATTTGCATTGTGCAGGTTAGGGGACTGGAGAGGCTCTGAGAGGTACAGTGAGTTTTCCAGGGCACAGAACTGGTAAGAAAAAGAAGGGTTGGAACCCAGCTGTATCTCCTCAAACCTAGGGCCCTCGCTGCATTTGGGTTTTCCCAGAGGGGGGATGTTGGCAAAATTGTGAACAGTTAAGGAGATGACATAGAGGAGGAGGGTGAGCAGTCAATGGCTCAGAGAGACCTTTGGGGAGGGAGCTCTTTGAAGGAAGGAGCCGAGGTAATGGAACCTTAGAGAAGTGACCTAACTTCCTTGGTGATAGGCCCCAACAGAACTTAGAACTTTGATAACCAGCACTCACATTCTAGAGACCCCCTGTCCAGCTCACTCGATGGGAGCCACTAGAGGGAATAAGATGTTCTCCTGCTGTATCCCGACTTTCTGAGGCTCTGACTCCAGGAAAGCCCGGCACGAGGGCCTTTTCCATTGCTGCAGGCTTTTTGGCTCAGCACTCACTTTTGGCACCTCTGGCCATTTGGCAGGAAGTACCCAAAGGTAACACAGAGAAGTCCGGGCCAGGCCACAACTGTGATCCCACCTGGGCAGCCCCACACCCCTCTCCATCGCCGTGTGTGTGGAGGGAGGCAGTGGAGGGAAGGCAAGGGATGAGCGTTGGGCCCTTCCTGGGCTGGAGCAGGTTGTTGGGTGTTGGAACCCTGGTGGGCCTGGCAAGATGGGAAGGTGAGTGCTGGGTGAAGGACATTTCCCCAGATGTTATCCTGTGCTCCTGAGACTTCAGCTCATTTCCTCTATGCAGTTGCCTACCTGTGCCTTATCTGGGGAGCAGAATTTCTAATGTGAGTTTCCCGCTGCGGTGATGGCCAGGCAGGGCCCTGATGTCTGATGATCTGGCTGCCGAGCATCATTTGTGCAGAGCTCCATGTGAGAGATCAGTGAGGAGCTGGTTGATGGGTTCAACTCCTCCATCTTCCTAGACAAGGGGTAGGTGCACCATGCCACCAATAATGACCAGCACTGGTCTGGAGTGAGAGCGGGCATGGGGGAGGGTGGTGGTGCTGGTGTCTCCACTGCCAGTATCACGAGATGAACAGCCCGGGTCCAGAACCCAGTTTTGTATACAAGGACTCCTGGGGTCTCTCAAGCAGGGCCTTCCCACTAGAGTGGCCCACAGTTCTACCCCGCAGAAATCTGGGCTGCCACTCCTCCTCCACCTGCAAATTGGTAAGGTGGAAAGACACTTCACACACTTGTAGGAATATCAGAGAAAAGACTTTTTCATTGTTTTCATATCACACCAGGCCATGAGCATTTTTGCATGTTGCTACTATTTTTGTTTTTTTAGCCACCTGCCCCAGATATCCCATGTAAGAATCAGCTCCCCTGCCCTTCCAGACCTGCTCCAAGCCTTAGAAATCATCAGGCTTAATAGGGTGGTTTATACACAAAAATGGAGGCGGTGGGGGTTGGTTCAGCTCTTCTTTATGTGTCTCTGCAACTTGTCATGTCCCAGAACACATCATCTTAGCCCACTAGGGCCAGAGCCTTGGCCTCACCTGTCTTCACAATATTCCAAAAGGAGGGCTTTTTTTTTTTTGCCACAGCAATTCCACCTTCCAATGCTGGTGGACCTGGATGTGATTCCATTCTGCTGCCATTTCAGCAGGGCTGCGGGGAACACCTTATGTGTGTCCTATTAGAGAGCACTGGCCTGCTAGGGCTGCCATAACAGTACCCAGATTGTGTGGCTTAAACAACAGAATTGGTTTTCTCACAATTCTGGGGCTAGAATTCTGAGACCAAGGTGTGGGCTGGGGCGGTTTCTTCTGAGGCCTCTCTCTGTGGCTTGCAGATGGCCGCCTTTTATCTCTGTGTTGACATTGTCTTTACTCTGTGCCTCATTTTTGTTGTCCTTGTTGTTTGTTTGTTTTTCTTGAGACAGAGTCTTGTTCTGTCGCCCAGGCTGGAGTGCAGTGGCTTGGTCTCAGCTCACTGCAACCTCTACCTCCCTACTCTGTGCCTCTTTGTGCCCTAATCTCCTCTTCTTATGAGGACATCAGTCAGACTGGATTAGAGTCCACCTCAATGAACTCAACCTTAATGACCTCTTTAAAGACTATGTCTCCAAATACAGTCACATTATGAGGTCCTGGGGGTTAGCACTTCAACATATGAATTTTGGGAGACATAATTTGGCTCATACCACATACTTCTTCCCTACAGAAGACAGACTCCAGGCATAGGGTTGCTGGTGGAAGGGTATGCATATGAGAAATCTTAAATCGCTTCAGCCAAATTACTTTCCAGAGAGGCTGTGGCAGTTGCGTTGCCACAGCAGTCTCCAATGGTGGCTGCTTCCCTGCATCCAGCCTGACAATGGGGGATGTCATTCATTTACATTCCTGATAATCTGGTGTCCATGTGGCAAATGCCACCGTATGCTTCCTTTGCTTTTTAATTTCCCACTTACAGGCTTGAGCACCTGTCAGTTGTTTGCCAGCCATTTGGATTTTCTCTTCCCCCAGTTGTCTGCTCGTGTTCTTGTTGCCGTGACAGCCCTTCTCGCACCCTGGAACCTCCAGGCATTCGCCCCTTTGCTGGATCTGGGATCCTCATAGCTCAGGTTCTCAAGACTGCCTTTATTGTAAAAGAAAGAAAATTAAGTGCCTTGCTTTGAAGTCTAAAGGACTCTCCTAGGGTGGGTGTTGTAGTCCATTTTGTGCTGCTGCAACAAAACACCATAGACTGGGTAATTTATATTGTACAGAAATTTATTTCTCACAGTTTTGGAGGCTGGGAAGTCCACAGTCAAGATGCTGGCATCTGGTGAGGGCCTTCTTGCTGCATCATCCCATGGCGGAAGGCTTCACAGGGCAGAAGGGCAAAGAGAGAGTGAGAGACAGCAAGAGGGGGCAGACCCACCTCCACGATACTCACATTAATCTACCCATGGTGGTAGAGCTCTCATGACCTAAACACCTCTTAAAGGTCCCATCTCCCAATATGGTCACAATGGCAACTACACTTCAACATGAGTTTTAGAGAAGACAAACATGCACACCATAGCAGTGGATCCACACTGTAAACTGGTCTCTCAACTTGGTGGGGGCAGTGGGGTGGGGAATGAGGTTCCCCCAGATCCTCTCCCTCCATGCCAGAAGAAGACTAAGCTTCAGGTAGCTTAGGGGGAAGGTGATGCGGCCCTAGCTTTGGGCAGTTCTTAGTTCTGTCTTGTGTGACCTTGAGCAGCCATTTGACATCCCTAAGCCTCTGTTTTCCATCTCAACAATGGGGATTTTTTTAGGACGCACTAGAGTGATGCTCTTCATACAAGCTCTTAATAGGGGAATGCTAACCTCTCTTGCTGTGGGCACTCACATCCCTCTTCACACACAAGTCCCCAAGGAGTTGGGGCTTCCTGGTCTGAGCTCTAGCTCACGATTCTCCTGGTGGTTTTTGGTGCTGCCTCTGACTCTGTGTCCTTCCTTGTCCCACTCAGTATAAAAATGAGTTAACCCTGCACCTGGGCGAGATCTGCACAATGTGGACCCTCCAGGTGGGCACTCAGGAGCATATGGTGGCATCCCTGGACCAGGCTTCCAGAGCAGACACATACCCTACAGCACCACCTTCCTGGGAAACCACTGGTTCTTCGTCTCTACCCCACAGTTCCTGGACTGGGTATTCAATAGGTGGGAGCCTGTCCCTTCGACAGCACAGTGGGGACTCTGCCACCAGCTAGCTGTGTGTCTCAGGAATTTTGCTGCACCTCTCTTAGCCTCAATTTGCTCCTCTGAGAAGAAAGGTGGTAAGAGGATGAATCTCACAGGGTTCTTGCAGGGACTAAATGGGGTGAGCCATGGCAGGTGCTGACCTGGTGCTTGGCTCTGTGGAAATGGCTGCCAGATGTGCTGTGGCTGTTATTTATTTTTTGAACACGAAGTAGCTCTCTGCCTCACTCATGGCCTTCCTATGTTTGGGAAAGCATATGGAAAGCAAACCTGTTTTCCCATTTGTGAAGAGGGTTTGAGTTTCCACATGGCTGATCCCTGTGCTTGGGGTACCCAGAACAGGGCTCCCTGGGGGCTGGTGGAGGGGCCCTACGCTAACTCAGATATCTGGGAAAATTCTGGTTGGGGTTCATTCTTTCAACAAATATACATTGAGCACCTACTTTGTGCAGGTACTTTTCTGCCTGCAGAAGGCACTCCCTGGGGATTGTCTGAATTCTAGCTGGGGAGTCATGGGTGCACTAGACATCATAAGCAGGCTGCGTCCACAGTATGTTGACATTGTGATGTCCTCCTGGCCTCTTCCAGATACACATGCATCCTGCCATATTCTGACAGAGATGATGGACCTCAGGATCAACTAAAAATGTCAGTGGACTTCAGGTCTAGAAGGACAGGCTCCTGTTTCCCCAGAACAGTTGGGGGCATATGGGAGTCTGTGGCTGGGGAGGGGCTGGCAGAACCCTGGATCTCATACATCTTAGGATTCCCATGAGAGGGCTGAGGTCTGGGGGCTTCCTCTGCAGGAGGAAATTAGTTAGTGAGAGTTATGGATAGGATCCAAGTCCCCTGGGAAGTGAAAGGGAGGCTGGGGCTCAGAGCCATCCCCACCACAGTCCCATCCCAGCTCTGCCCGCCTCCTTCCACATCCACCCCTCCAGACCCAACCTCTAGGGGACCTAGAACAGGAGCTGTAGTGAGCAACCCGCTCACACTTCTACCTCAAACCTCATTCCTGGTGCAGGTAGCCCTTCAGAGCAAGAGTCACTGGCAAGACCCAGCCCATGTAGGTTCTATGCCTGCCCTGCCTGAAGACCAGGGCTGTCTCTGCCAGGACAGTCACAGAGGGGTTGGGTGGGGCCGTCTCTGGACAGGCAGGGCAGGCACAGGGGCCCACATCCAAACAAGGTGCCCTAGAAGAGCAATGTGGAAGGAAAGGCCAGGTATGTGACTCTGCTGCCCCCCACCCCCACCCCCTAACACTATCTCTTCTATCCTGGGCACCTGGCCAGAAAAGTACCCTGAGGGCACTCCGGGGAAGGAGCCTGCTCCAGTGACAGCCCAAGATAGAATCAGTCCCAGAGCACTCCTGCCCCTAGCCTGGGACCATACAGAACTGGCCCAGTGAGGAGGTCCCCAGCCTCCTGGGGGATTCTTTCCTATGCTGGTGGCAGAGCAATTGACTCTGATGGATGCAATGAGCGCTGGGCTCTCAGGGCAGGGTTGGGACAGCCTCCCCTCTGGGACCTTTCCCTGAGCCTCAGTCGAATGATGCGGGCCCAATCCCATCTCCACCTCTTACCAACCATATGGCCTGGACTAGATTCTTAACCTCCAGACCTTCACTGTCCACATGTACAGGGCAGAGATGGGACATAACAGCACCTGCCACACACAGTGACTGTGCAGAATGAGAGGAGAGAGGGAAGGCAGGTCAGGGCCTGGTCCCTTTGTAGGTGGAGGGTGCTCACTGAGGAGCAGCCAGGTGCATGGGTTGCCCACTTGTGCTCAGGAAACCTCACCCACCTCAGCCCTTATTAGGCACCTAATGTGGATTCTAAGACAGACACTGAAACAAAGCTGCCCCTGGGGAAGACGACATGTATCCAAATGGGGAGACAGACTAGATGGCTGATCAAGAAGGAGACAGATGCCATCTGGGGAGGGACAGGCATAAGCCACTTTCTGGTGCTTGGAGTTAGTGAGGAAGGGCTGAGTGAAAATGCCACTCTCCTGTGCCTACCAATATTGGGTCCTGGGTCATCATGTGCTGGGTGCCCTCAGTGAACCACCATGTGATGCAGAGACCAGAGAGTGAAGGCCCGGGCCGGCGCAGGGTGGTGCAACTTTGAATCGAGGTGGCCAAGGTTTGCTGTGGGAGGCCCAGGGAGCTCCCGTCTGTGTCCCCTTCCAAATCTCATCTTGAATTCCCACGTGTTGTGGGAGGGACCCAGTGGGAGGTAACTGAATCATGGGGGCAGGTCTTTCTGTGCTGTTCTCGTGACAGTAAGTCTCACGAGATCTGATGGTTATTATAAGGGGGAGCTTTTCCTGCACAAGCTCTTTTTGCCTGCTGCCATCCATGTAAGATGTGACTTGCTTCTCGTCTTCCACCATGATTGTGAGGCTTCCCCAGCCACCAACCATGTGGAACTGTAAGTTTAATTAAACCTCTTTCTTTTGTAAATTTCCCAGTCTCAGGTGTGTCTTTATTAGCAGTGTGAAAACGGACTAATATGCTCCCTCTTGCAGCCTTGGGAATGGCCTCCTTGTCAGCTCTCAGGTGTGTGGTCTGTGGTCTAAGCCCCCACACAGTCCCTAGGCCTTCCTGTCAGGGGCATGCTGGCCTTGAACATGTGTCTCAGAGATGGGATGCTCACTTCCTACTGGGCTCCTTCCCTGTGAGTGTTGCTCACTAGGTCCCAGGTGTGCCCCTACTCCCTGTCACAGCTCCCCGGGGCTTCTGTCTCCTCCAGGAGGGGAGATGTCAGTGGAGGAGCTGGAGTGGAGCAGGGGGGATTCCAGCTCCCCACCTCCTGGCTCATTCTCCCTCCTCCCCAGGAGTGCTGAGTCCTCAAGAACTTCTCCTCACTCCACACCATCCTCTCTGCTCTGCAGAGTACCTCAATTCACATGGAGAGAAGTTTCCAGGTGAGAAGGCCTCTCTCTATAGGAGCACCAGGGTGGATCAGGGACATCCACGGGGCTGGGCTGGGCATTGCCTCTCAGTGAGCCTAGGAGGCACTGGGAGGCTGTGAACCCTTGAGGTAGGGACTGGGAACCTGGGTGGGGTCTCTGAGCCTCCCTGGGATCTTAGGCCAGCAGTTCTGCTTCAAATTAGGTTACCTTTCCTTACCTGTCAGATATAGGCTGGGGCCAAATCGGAGACTATCAAGAGCTTACCTCACAGCAACAAATTTCTCTGATGATTGAAATCAAAACTGGTCAAAACAGACCTGCTCAGCTGAAATGGGAGTGGGGGCCCAGTGGACCAACCTGAGACTCCCCTCCCCTCCCCAGTCTCATGGGGCCCTTAGACTCAGAGGAACCTGTTGGAACCTCTCATCTAGGGTGTTTGGGTCTGTGACTTCTTAAGTAAATGGGATTTGCACTCATACCCCTCCCCGTGATTCCCAAATTTCTCCTTCCTTCTTTCCCCTCTGCACAGGAACAGTCCCAGAAATTTCCAAGGTGTGTAAGATAGTGCACTGTGCAGGGTTCTGCTCACCATGGCAAAGTGGAGGAGGAGATGGGGGCAAGCCTTTGGGAGGGAGGGAACTGAGAGGGTGGAAGGACTGGACAGGGTGTGGTTTTTCAGTTTCTTATTGAGAGTTTCTTTGAAAATCTTCAGTCTCCATCTTTTCTGGATTCATAGCATCTTTTCTGGATTCATAGCAGAGGGACCCCTCTGGTCCATGGGCAGGCGGGGTGGGGGTGGGGGGCACTTCAGAGAGCAGGAGGTCCCAGCAATGGGTCATAGTGGTGGCTGTGCTGTGCTGAGCCAGGAGGGCTTGATGAGGTGGCAGATTGAGCAGGTCCCTGGCTTGGGTCCCTGGCTGGCCCATCGCACTGGCTGGTAGCCCCCTCCAGGCTGTTGGCAGATGGGGAAGGTAGAGGGTCCTCAGGAAGCTGGCCTCCAGCTGCTCTTCTGTCTGGACTGCAGCTCCAAGGGGAGGGGGCTCCCTGCCTGCACCAGGGATGGGCACTGCCGAGGAATCCCATAGGCCAGGTAGTCAAAAAGGCTGCCCAGCCATGGGTCCAAATGGCTAGAGTAGAGGACAGGTATGTGCACTCTGCAACTGCCCTCTCTGGCACCATAGCAGGCACTGCTGATCAGTCACAGATTCCGGCCCTGATGCCTCATTTGCAATGACACATATCCCAGATGGTTTATGAGGAGTATATGGGGACTAATGGATCCCCGGTGGCTACTTCCTGAGAGGATTTCACAAGCATCCACACAAAAGAGGAAGCAAAGTGGCCTCACCCATCACCCTGGGCACCCCTAGCCTGTCAATTAGAGATAGCACCTCGGAGTCCCCCTTCCTGAGTGGAGGAAGAAAGTGTTCTGTGCAGGGGAACTTCCTGGGGGTTTCCCTGGGGAGGTGGAGCCTTTGCATGGCCTCAGCCCAGCCTTTGGGGCAGAGAATCCTGTGGCTGAGGCAGGCAGGAGCCACTCATTTGGGCCTCCTGGGACTACCCTGTCTTCTCCCACCACGGCTGGGCCTGGCTGGGGGCCTGGACACACATCGAGAGCCCAGAGGATGGGACCCTGGTCAGCAGTGGTGCTGAGGGGCATGGTGAAGGCAGCTGGGATGGGGCCTCCAGCTAGGAGGAGGAAGCTGGCCTCTCCTATGGGGCCCTGGGCAAGTCACTCTCCTCTTTGGCCTCTGTTTTCTCATCTGAAAAGTGGAGGGATGATGGCCCTGTGGTGCAGGACTCACATGGTGACAATGGAGAGGAATGTGGAGGGCTTTGTGCCTGGCTCTGCCCTGGGGGAGGGGTGTGATGGCAGGAACAATGCTGTGAGTGCTAGGAACCAGGTGCTCAGGAGAGCCTGTGAGGCAGGTGGAGTTCCTGCCGCACTTTCCCAGAGGAGGAAACACACAGGTTCAGGGAGGCCAAGGGAGTGAAGCTGGAATCAAAGCGCCCCAGAAGTGGTGGCAGTAGTACTAGTACCAGCTGATCTGGCCAGGTGTCCAGGGCCCCAGGGTCAGGGGGCTGGGAGAATAAAGGGGTGAAGAGGATATCCTCACTGACCTTGCCCTCGACCCTGGCAGGAGGGGACCTTCAGGGTGGCCACCCTGGAGATGGAGCCCCAGAGAGCCCAGAAGAGGCAGCAGCTGCAGGTGGGGTGGGAGAAACTCCTGGGAGTCAGAGGGCAGGACTCCTCCCTCCCAGCGTAGGCCTCACATCAAGAGAGGAGGGGGCCTTGCTTCTCCAGCAGTGCCTGAAATGCCTCCAACAGAAGTGGCCAGAGCAAGGGTCAGGGAGAGCTGGGCTGGCGCAGAGGGTGGAGATGGTGGGTTGGAGAGGAGCAGGGAGAACCAGGGCTGGCCCCTCACAACCTTTGTGATTGCCAAAGCCGGCTGTAGGAGTGGCTACAGCGAGTTTGCTAGACGCAGAGAGGTGTGGGGACGGGTTTTGGGTGGGGGCAAATCTTGGCTGCTCCACGTGGGAGGCCTGGGTGGGTCCGGGAGGCTGAGTGTGAGGGATTTGATTAGGTAATTAGGGAGCTGCAGCTGCCCCAGGTGGCTGCAGATTGTTTGATCTGATCAACCCGAGGGCGGTACCGGAGAGCCAGTGCTCATCAACACCCCACCCCATGGGCACAGGGTCCGACCCCTCCTTGGCCCATTCCATCTGACCTGGTGATGCTGGGCACTGCGATGAAGGATTATCCAGATGCGATTGAGGCTGGGGAGGGGCAGGGCGGGGCCAGGGTCCTGAGCTTGGGAGGAGAGAGCCCCTCACCGAGTCTTGAGCTCTCGGCAAACCTCCTCTTAGGCGGTCCTCACACTTCCCCTGTGAGCCGGGCGTCGCGCCCACCGTATTGATGAGGGGAACGGAGGCTCCACGGAGCCGCCAGACCCCGTTCCCCGTGTAGTGAAGCGGCCCAGCTGCCTCGCTGCCCAGCTGCAGGAGATTGTAGCTGCGCTGGAGTCAGACGCTCCCTCGGGCGCTGTCCATGGTGGCAGGAGAGTGAAGTTAGAGAGCACGGGAGTAGGTGAACAATCCCTTCCAGCTCGATGCCTCGGTTTCCCTGTCTGTCATCAGAGAGGGCTGGGCTCTAAAGTCCCTGAGCCTCCGCTGCCGTGACCGCCTCCTCTGGAGCCTAGTCTGACCCAGGTTCAAGTCCCATTTTGTATGCACGCCCTGCCCCCTGGTGGACCCTGTTGGTACTGCAACGTGAGAGGAATGTGGTCGGGAGGTGGTCAGGGGCCAGGGACTTTTTGATGGGCTTTGGCTGTGTGACTTCCAGGCAAATCTGATCAACTTCCAGGAAAGGAGTTAGGTAAGCAGCTGTGGCATTCACTGCGGGAGGCTGGGGGCGTGGAAGTCGGAGACTCCCCGCCTGCCAGACACTCCCTGGACCCATCCCCTACATCTTAGACTCATTGGGAGGGCTTGATACAGAGCAGAGGAGGAACCATCCCACTGGAGGGTGGGGGTAGGCGCTGGAATCAAGGACAACTTCCTGGAGGAGGGACTGTTTGAACCCAACTCTGAGAACAAGTAGGGACTGGATGGGATTGGAGTGGAGGTGGGAGCCTCTTAAAAGCAAAGACCTAGAGAGGCCAAGACCCTTAGCCCCACTCCACACCCCCACCAGGGCTCCTCCAGCACCCCCCACCGGGCCCTGTCACCCTGCTGTTCTTCCCTCTGGCACCAGGAATGCACAGTAATTAGGGAGCTGCAGCTGCCTCAGGTGGCTGCAGATAATTTCCACCTGAGGACTTTGGAACCTGGTTCCAGACCATGGAGCAGCTCAGTGAGGATGAGAGATCAGGCTGGGGAAGGACTTGGGTGAGGGCAGGGGTCGACTCTCTCTGGTGGCCAGTAGCAGGAAGCCTGAAGCTATGGCTCCTGGTCAGAGTCATCCTCTAGTATGTGGTGACAGCTGGGCCATCCAGACTGCAGGTGCTGGGCAGGCATTGGGAGGGAGAGCTGAGGTGTGGCTCCAGGTAGTCTCAGGGCTGCCACCCTGTCCTGTAGCTATAAGCAGTCCTGCCAGTCAGAACCACCACCTGAGTCAGCCAGCAACGGCCTCAATGCCAAGGAGAAAAGGCCACAGTCAAGCTCAGGTGCCTGTGAGTGACCTGGTGTACTGGGCGGACTGTCCCAGGGCTCAGTGCAGCTTTGGGCTAAGTGTGGGTTTGGAGTGTCGGACAGCTGGCACTGGGCTCCCGGCTCCATCACTGAACAGCCCTGTGGCTGGGGCAGGGCACCTCACCTCTCAGGGCCTCGCTTTCCTCCTCTATGAAATGGGCTGATGCTAAATGATCACTCTCGGGACCGGGACACCAAGCACGCAGCACAGTGCCCGGAGCACAGAGTGAGAGTGGGTGGCAGGGTAGTCTGAGACCCTGGGGTAGTCCCCTCCAGGTCATCCTGCCCTCCCATCCAGCCACCAGGCCCCCAGAGCAGAGCCCTGGACCAGTGGCTGGACAGACACGAGGCACGCTCAACTGTGACCCCTACGTACGCAGCAGGGCACAGCTGGGCCCCCCAGGGACCCTGGGCCGGCTCCTCCAGCCCAGATGAGAAGGACAGCAAGGTGAGTCTTTTTCTGGGATCCCTTGAAGCCCAGGAGAACATGAGACACTCCTGTCCCCGCTCCCTAAGAGCTCTCCCCCAGCCCTGGCTGCTTTGAAGAGGGGCAAAATTTATTTACTATAAAAATGGATACAATAGAGATGAATACTGTATTAAAATCCTGTTTCTGTTACAGCCTAGGAGCTGTGGTTTTGTTCTTTCACTTCCTGTGTTAATTGGAGATACAGGCTCTCATATCCCTCCTAGAGATGAGGCATCTTGCAGGGGTGCCTGTGTGTTGACTGCAGGAGAAGGGAGATGGGAGAAAAGTAGGACTTCCTCAGGGCCCATGTTCACTTCTGTATCGTCAGCTTGGGCAAGAAGCAGAGACAGCCCCTCAGAACTCCCAGGTTAGCAGCTGAAGGGGCTTTCACACGGCATAGCAGCACCCTTGGGAATCTGGGTGTCTTTAAAAATACCCTTCCAGGGACCATTTCCTGACCCAAGACAGTGGCTACCTTTCTACTGCTTTGGAGGAAGAGGGAACATGTTGATTTGCTTACTGAGGTTTCCTTTGATCAACTATTAGGGACTTGTAGTTTTCTTGTTCAAACACTGGAATTGCATCAGTACTAAGTGTGTATGTGTGTATGTGTTGGGGCGGGGGGAGTGTAAAAAGATCCAAATGTGTAATGTGGAAAGGATAAGGCCAAAGGAGGATTATTTGCAAATGGACTTAGGGCAGGCTGGACATTGCATCTTCAGTTCACTTCCAGGAGAGCCGTGAGTGACCCTTGACCTTAGATTTGACTCCTCCTGGGATTCTGTCTTTGACCTTAGCACTTCTTTTCTTGCTGGTTTCTTATCCAGGGGGAAAGATTTTGCAATGCAATTTTTAAGGCTGCAGCTGGGCCTCATTGCATAAACATTGCTACTACCTAAGATCTAGGATTTCCAGCATCCCTGCAATTCCTGGTATAATTCCTTTCAAGGCGGAAATTCCCTAGAAGACTCCCAGCCTCTCTGTCAGGCACATCCTGGCCATTCCTTCCTGGCTGGAGCCTGATGAACCACAGGTGAGCTCTGGTTTGCCAGGATAAGGGTACTTATTCCTTGTCAACGACAGACCCCACACTCCCATACTGGCCAAGGTGAAGTCTGGGGTCCTGTGTTCCTGAGGTCCAAGGTCTTGGGGGTCCCCTGTTTACACACTCAGTTGTGTTGTTACTGACTTGTCCTAAGGGCAAGCTGGCCCGAGTCCTTAGAGCTTACAGCCCCCTGGATGGCTTTATCCTCTGTCCAGTCTTGTACTGTGGTTATTTCATGGGGCAAAGTGGGCAGGAGTGGGGGGGACTGTGAACTTTTCCCGTGGGGAGAGTTGAAGGTGAGGCATTAGGGGGGCAGTGAGTGGGAGGCATGGGAGGGCCCAGCAATTAGGCAAGAAAATAAAATGAAAGGCATTCAATATGTAAGATATAGGGAAAAAGTGGTTTTTCCCTCTACTCACACACCACTCAATACAATACGTCTGATAACGGATGTGTGAAGGTCATTTCCCCATACATCAAGCAATTCTGCAGTGTATTAGGCAGTGAATTAGGCATCCTCTAATTCAATTCCATTCTGATACTATCTACCTGGAGACAGGCTGAGTGCCCAGTCCCACAAGACTGCCCTCCACTTCAGATGCCCGTAGCAAGTAGTAGGCTGTCACCTGGTTAATACATTCTTTAGAAACTGGCTGTAAATCAGGGTTCCTGTAACTTCCTTCTTGGGCTTGATTAATTTGCTAGAGCAGCTCACAGAACTCAGGTAAACACTTTACTTACATTTAGTTGTTTGTTTATTTACTTATTGAGACGGAGTCTCATTCTGTCGCCAGGCTGGAGTGCAGTGGCGCTCTCAGCTCACTGCAACCTCTGCCTCCCGGGTTCAAGTGATTCTCCTGCCTCAGCCTCCTGAGTATCTGGGACTACAGATGCATGCCACCGTGCCCAGCTAATTTTTGCATTTTTAGTACAGATGGGGTTTCACCATGTTGGCCAGGATGGTCTCGATTTCTTGACCTTGTGATCCGCCCGCCTCAGCCTCCCAAAGGGCTGGGATTACAGATGTGAGCCACTGCACCTGGCCTACTTGTTTATTAATAAAGGATGCAGATAAACAGCCAGATGGAGGCAATACATAGGGCAGGGAATGGAAGAAGGGGCACGGAGCTTCCATGACCTTTCTGGGCGTGCCTCCCTCCAGGAATCTCCATGTGGCCAGCTATCTGGAAGCTCCCAGAATCCTGTCCTTTTGGGGTTTTATGCCTCCAAACTGATGATCCACAGGCATGCAGGGATACAGCCATACCAACTAAAATACTGAAATGCTTCCAATCAGGGTGGTAAACAGGCACTGCCCTGCACTCACCCCAAGTGCTTCCCCTCTGCTTCTCTGACTCTGTTCATTCCCCTCCCTGTTGTTTAGATTGGTCATTTCTGTTGTTCTTTTTGTTCATAGATTCTTTCTCCTCACTTTTGAAACCTGTTGAGCCTACACATTGAGTTTTTAAATTTTGGTTATTATATTTTTCAGTTGAAGCTTCCACTTGGATTTCTTTCTTCTATTTTTTTGTTACGATTTTCTAATTTTTCATTTGTTTCAAGTGTGTTTATAATTGCTTATTAAAACATTATTATTATGGCTATTTCAAACCACTGTCAGATAATTCCAACATCTGGCATCTTGGTATTCACACATACTGATTGTCTGTTCTCATCCAAGTTGAGATCTTCCTGATTCTTGGTGCGATTTTCTGGTGTGTTCTGCATAACTTCCTTGACTGTAGAGCCCTTGGTGGAGGGGGTCTGCAGACTTGAGGAAGGCCTTCTAAACCTAGTGCCAGGGGCTTCACTTTCCTTACCTAAAAAACAAGCTTCTCACTGGAGCAAGAGCCAGCATTCTCCAGGGTGCCAAGAGGGGGTCTCTTGTAAAGCTCAATGTAGACCCAGACATTTGTCTTGGCCCTGTTGGGCCTTGGCACCTTGGCAGCAACAGGGTACAGTTTAAGAGGATGAACTTGAAGTCTTAGTCCAGTTTCTAGGAGCCTCTTATAAAAAGAAAATTAAGTTTCAGGATCTTCCAAATTTATTATGCCAAAGGGAAAAGTCCTGGAAGCTGACTCACATAATATGACTGTTTTTCTTCTTTGGTGCATGACCTTTACTTTCTGACCTTTGCATTGAGATGTTATACATTAACCAGACTCTCTGCTCTTTATTCAAACCTAGACTAAAAGAGGTGCAGACAGAGACCCTTGGGACTGTTGCCTTTTTACAATAGAGTGTTAAACAACTCTCTTAGAGTGTAGTCAGTATATCCATATGTCAGCCTTTGTACGGACAGTGCTGTAGTTCTGTTCAGCACCTCTGTTTTGCCTGTATAAATGGTCCTCATTTTTCCCCACACACTGAAGCACTGATCACCATTCTTCATTGTAGCTCTGCTCCCCAGATGGCCACCTTCACACTGTGTGCTTGAATAAACTCTCTTTAAATCAGATCGTAACCTTTTAAATTATTTTAGATTGACACTCTGGATCTCAAGCTGGTTCTGCCTATGATTTGTTGGTGACTTTGAACAGTAACAGTGAATGTAATACACCATATCAACAGGATTAGAAACAAATATCACTTTTTTTTTTTTTTTTGAGATGGAGTCTTGCTCTGTCGCCCAGGCTGGAGGGCAGTGGTGCGATCTCAGCTCACTGCAACCTCTGCCTCCTGGGTTCAAGCAATTCTCCTGCCTCAGCCTCCTGAGTAGCTGGGATTACAGGCACACACCACCATGCCTGGCTAATTTTTGTATTTTTAATAGAGACAGGGTTTCACCATGTTGGCCAGACTGTCTTGAACTCCTGACCTCAGGTGATCCACCTACCTTGGCCTCTCAGAGTGCTGGGATTACAGGCATGAGCCACTAACACGTGGCCTAAAAATCACATTTTCAAAAAGCATCACAATCGATGCAGGAAAGGCAATTGACAATATCCAATATCACTTCATGATAAAAACTCAACAAATAAAAAACAGAAGGGAATTTCCTTGGCATAGTAAAGAACACCAGAAGAAATCCACAGCTAACATGATGCTGAATGGTGAAAGACCAGATGCTTTCCTTGCATGAACAGGGACAAGACAAGGATGTCAGCTCTTGACACTTTTATTCAACATTGTACTAGAGGTTTTAGCCTGGGCAATTAGGCAAGGAAATAAAATGAAAAGGCATCCAATATGTAAGATATAGGGAAAAAGTGGCTTTTCCCTCTACTCACACACCACTCAATACAATACGTCTGATACCGGATGTGTGAAGGTCATCTCCCCACACACCCAGCAATTCTGCAGTGGGCATTAGGGGTCCTCTAATTCAATTCCATTCTGATATCGTCTACCTGGAGACAGGCTGAGGGCCCAGTCCCACAAGACTGCCCTCCACTTTTAGATGCCAATAGTGAGTAGTACTTGAGAAACTTTAGATGCCAGTAAGTGAGTATTCTTGAGAAACTGGCTCTAAATCAGGGTTCCCATAACTTCCTCCTTGGGTTTTATTAATTTGCTAGAGCAGCTCACAGAACTCAGGGAAACACTTTACTTACATTTACTTGTTTATTAATAAAGGATACAGACAAACAACCAGATGGAGGCGATACTTAGGGCAAGGAATGGGAGAAGGGGCACGGAGCTTCCATGATCTTGCTGGGCATGCCTCCCTCCAGGAATCTCCATGTGGCCAGCTATCTGGAAGCTCCCAGAATGCTGTGCTTTTGGAGTTTTATGGATGCTGCATTACATAGGCATGATTGACTAAATAATTGATCATTGATCATTAGTTGATAACTTAGTTATCAACTCCTTGGGGTTTGGGGCTGAGAGTCTCAGTCCTCTAACCATGCCTTGATCTTTCTGTTGACCAGCCCCTGTCCTGAAGCTGTCCAGGGGTCCCCAGCCACCAGTCGTCTCATTAGCATACAAAAGACACTCTTATCACTCCAGAGATTCTAAGGGTTTTAGGAGCTGCACATCAGAACATGGGGAAGAAAACCAAACATGTATTTCACTATATCACAGGTGCCAAGACAATTTAATGGGGGAAAGATCAGTATTTTCAAGAAATGGTGCTGGAACAACTGGTAGCCAAATGCAAGAGAATAAAGTTGAACACTTACCGCTATGTACAAAATTAACTTAAAATGGATCAAAGACCTAAGTAGAAGAATTAAAACTATACAACTCTAGGCTGGGTGTGGTGGCTCACGCCTGTAATCCCAGCACTTTGGGAGGCCGAGGCAGGTGGATTATTTGAGGTCAGGAGTTCGAGACCAGCCTGGCCAACATGGTGAAACCCCATCTCTACTAAAAATACAAAAATTAGCTGGGCAGTAGTGGTGCATGCCTGTAGTCCCAGCTACTCGGGAGGCTGAGGCAGGAGAATCGCTTGAACCCGGGAGGAGGAGGTTGCAGTGAGCTAAGATCACACCACTGCACTCCAGTCTGGGCGAGAGAGTAAGACCCTGTCTCAAAAAAGAACAAACAAACAAATAAAACAACTATACAGCTCTTAGAAAACAGCAGTAAATCTTTGTGACTTTGGCTTAGGCAATGGAGTTTTAGATACAACACCAAAAGCACAAGCAACCCAAGAAAGAATAAACTGGACTTCCTCAAAATTATAAACTTTTGTGTATCAAAGGACACTATCAAGAAAGTGAATTACAACTGATCTAGAGATAATTTTGTAAGTGAAAACAACATACAATTGGGAGAAAATATTTGCAAATCATATGTCTGATAAGGGTCCAGTGGCTTGAATATATAAAGAACTCTAACAACTCAATAATAAAAGTAATCTAATTAAAAATTGATAAAGAACTTGAATACATTTCTCCAGAGAAGATATTCAAATGGCCAATAAGCACATGAAAAGATACTCAACATCATTAGTCATCGCAAATGCAAATTAAGACTATAATGAGATACAACTTCACACCTACTGGGATGGTTATCATCCAAAAGTCAGATAATAATAAGATTTGGCAATGATGTGGAGAAATCAGAGCCTTTATATACTGCCAAGACTGATATAAAGTGGTACAGCTACTTTGGGAAACAGTCTGGCACTTTCTCAAAAAGTTAAGCATACAGTTACTTTTTTTTTTTTTTTTTTTTTTTGAGACAGAGTCTCGCTCTGTTGCCTAGGCTGGAGAGCAATGGCATGATCTCGGCTCACTGCAACCTCCCCCTCCTGGGCTCAAGCAATTCTCATGGCTCAGCCTCCCAAGCAGCTGGGACTACAGGTGTGCACCACCACCCCTGGCTAATTTCGTATTTTCAGTAGAGACAGGTTTCACCATCTTGGCCAGGCTGGTCTCTTAACTCCTGACCTCAAGTGATCCACCTGCCTCAGCCTCCCAAAGTGCTGGGATGACAAGTGTGAGCCACTGTGCCCAGCCTAGAGTTACTTTTTGACCTAGTAATTGGTATATACCCAAGAGAAATGAAAATATGCATCCACACAAAAACTTGTTCATGACTGCTCATAGCAGCACTATCTTTTAGGCAATGGAGTCTTAGATATAACAGCACTATTTTTTAGTGCTGCTACGGGCAGTCATGAACAAGTTTTTGTGTGGATCTACAGTAGCCAAAAGGTAGACAAAGTGGCATTGGGTTCCTTCAGTGCTTGTCAAGCTGGGCCTCTTGAGCCTAAGGGGGTCCCTGGGGTACAGGTATAGGGGTGATGAGAGTCCAGTCTCACTCACTATTAGAAAAGTGATTTAGATATGATTTCTCACCAACCAAACCAGCAAAAAATTTCCCCCAAATCCTGAAACTAGAACCCTTGGTGTGGACGAGAAAAATGGGCAATGGGCAATGGGCAATGGGCACTGCTTAATGGTGGGAGGGGGTGGCCTGTTTCCCTGGAGGGTGACTTGGCACCATGTCCACAGCTGCCACCCTCTGATTAAGGAATGATTACAGATGTGTACAAAGAGCTAATGTGGGAGGATGTCATCTCTGCCTTCTTTCTAGGAGCCCTGCATGGGACATCCTCGCCCTTGTCCGACAGAGGCGATCTGGTTCCCCAGGCAGTGGGAACACTCTGCAGCTGTTTAAATGACAGTGTCCCACACTGCAATCAAAGCCCCTTTGTGGGCCATGAACTGAGTTAGTGGACTGGGCTAGGATTTAAAAAGCAGGGAGAAAATATTAGAAAGCAGCCTTTCTAGTAAGGTTAAGTGCTGTCCTGTGACCTGTTGGTCTCAAGTTGTGTATGTGTGCAAGGACCGTGTGTTTAGAACATGTTTATACAGTGGGTCAGAGTCAGAAAAGTATGAAAACCAATGATGTAAATGAATACTGAAGGATATGGCATAGGGTTTATCCAGTTAACATTTACCAAGCAGTTTATGGAACCTAATGCATGTTATGATTCCATTTTATAAAAATAACTCACATACATGGAAAGATGCTATGGACAGTGACTGTCTCTAGATTCCAGGATTTTATTATTTATTTATTCGTTTATTTGAGACAGAGTCTCATTCTGTTGCTCAGGCCAGAGTGAAGTGGCATGATCTTGGCTCACTGCAACCTCCACCTCCCAGGTTAAAGCGATTCTCATGCCTCAGCCTCCCCAGTAGCTGGGATTACAGGTGTGTGCCACCATGCCTGGCTAACTTTTTGTATTTTTAGTAGATATGGGGTTTCGTCATGTTGCCTCAGCTGGCCCCGAACTCCTGAGCTCAGATGATCTGCTCGCCTTGGCCTCCCAAAGTGCTAGGATTACAGGCGTGAGCCACCGCGCCCGGCTCAGGATTTTAAAGTTATCCTTTTGCTGGTTTCATAAATTCTTTTTTCTACAATGCGCATATATTCCTTTCGGAATAATAAGCAATGAAAGGTAGCACATTGGGGTGGGGGTGGGGGGAGCACAGAAAAGAACAGGAGATTGCTTTTGCCTTGATGGAAGGGGACTCCTCACTCTCCTGGCTTCAGTGCACAAAGGCCACCAAGCTAACCAAGCTAACCAAGCAGGGCCTCACTGGGTGGAGCAAACCAGGAGAGCAGAGTGAGTGTCCCCAGGTGAGGGAACTGCACTTGGAGGGTCACACAGCTTTCAGGGGCTGGAAATTTGGGAGCTGGGGCCTCCTAGGTCTATGGCTGAGGAAACCTGTCCAGATGACACACACAGCTACCGACAAATGAAGGCTGTACGCTCACGCCATGTAATTGAAGAAGAGAGTTGACGAACAAGAGACTGGCAGGCTGGAGGACTCCAAGAGAATGATCTGGGCAACACAGGACTAAAGGAGCCTGGAAGATTTTTTTTTTTCCAAAATATTGCAATTTGCTCAGACAAATTGTGGCACAAATACCAATCAACATTGGATTAGTTATTTGTTGGGTCTAGGAACCAGTGCAGAGTTGCAATTATAACCCATACTTGTTTATTCTGTTAAATTAAAATATCATTTTCCCATGACCTTTATTTCATTTTTCAAGATGACGTGCCCTGCCCAGCATGCTGTTTGGAGGTGATGTCCTTTGAAGCTCTGGTGCCTATTTGAAGTGACTGATTCCTGGTACTCACCCTCCCTGCTAACCACGTGGAATTCCCCTTTCATGCTTGCCTTCCTCATGGGAAGAGGGCTCCACGTGGGCAGGGACCATGCTGTGTCCTGTTCGCTGGTAAAGCTACAGTGCCCGGCACAGAGCAGGGGTGGAGGGATGAAGGGAGGGAGGGATGGACGGAAAGTAGGTAGGCAGGTAGATGGACAGGGAAGGAGTCTGTATAAGAAAGTGTTTATTCATGGTGGGGCGGAGGGTCACACATACAGGCCTTGGATAGTGTGCAGGGACTGCTTCCAGCTGTCCTTCCAGCGCTGAGCCTCCTTTATCTGAGATGTACAGTCATCCTGGATCCTCTTTAGCTCCTCCTCAAATGATGCTAAATATTTCTAGAAGGAAGGTAGCAGGAGGGGTCCACATGAGGAGAGACATCTGGACCCTCTCCCCTAGGGCAATGCTGTAACTTGCTGGCAGGTGGTTTTTAACCCATTCCAGGCACTGGCAAGAGTTCTCCAAGTCACTTCTCAGGTAGAAACCAGGTAGTCCTAGTTGTTTTCCCCATTTTACAAGACAGGAAAACTGAGGCTCAGAGCCTGGCCTGGGGTCACCCAGCTAGAAGGAGGCTGAGCAGGGACTAGGACCTGTGTCTATCTGACTCTAGGCTCAGCACTCCTTCCTGAGCTCTGTCCCACACTGTGGCCTCTCGGGAGCTCAGGGCTCCCGATTTTTTGGTAGGCTGGGCCTTCCAGGCCTCCCACCCTCACTGAACTCAGCAGGCCGAACTGCACCCTCTGCCTGGGGCTTGGAGGGGAAGCTGGGGGAGGGCTGACCCTGGGCACTTCAGCCTCTCCCAGTAAGGGGGCCAGCTGGTCTCTGGGCAGGACAAGGTTTCTCTCTGGACATCAGGACCAAAGGTCCACAGATCTTCAAAGCCAAGAGGTCCCTCAAGTGGCAACTGGGTGTAGCCTCCTCATCAGGCTGTCCCCAGGGGGTCTGACAGGCACTGGGATCAAATCCTGGCTCTGCCACTCTGTAGTGGCATAGAAGGGACAAGTTTCTTTAAGCCTCAGTGTCCTCATCAATGAAATGATAATAATTTTACCTCCCTTGTGGAGTTGTTAGGAGGATTCAGTGAGATGCCTCATGTCAAGAGCAGAAGCTCTCAGTAAGTACTTCCCAGTAAGTTCTCAGGAGCTGTGACTGCTCCTGCTGCTGTGTCCCCCCTGAGCCTACGGCTACCATTGCTTCCGTGCCTGGTGACAATGTTCCCTAGCTGTGACACTACTGTGCCTTTGGAAAGCCTTCACCCCTAATCTGGGTGGGATGTCCCTCAGCTGGGCTCCCACAGCATTGGGATCACGCCTCAGACCCACATTAATGTCCTCGTGCCTGTGAATGGTGACTGTCCTGAGTGTTGAGACCTGCAGCTCTGGGGTGTGCTGACATGTGTTGCCTGCTGCACCAGCCAAATGTTGGGTGCCGGGTGATGGGAAGCTCCCCCTTCCCAAGGCAGCCGACCTGAGCTGTGCTCCCTGGGACACGCCCACTCCACCCTGTCTCACCAGGTACACAGCATCTCGGGCTTCCACGGCCGCCAGGTGGCCCAGGGTGGTTTTGGTGGTGGAAATCGATGATGTTGGCTGGAGAAGAATCTTGTTTTGGATGGTGACTTCGGTGGGTTTGATCCCTGGCCACTTCCTACAAACAAACATGTGTGAAAATCTCACAGGCTTGTCTTCATCTTTCATAATCCACCTACCAACCCTGTTGGAAAAGCTTAGCATTTCTTTGAAAAAATTATCATGGCTTTAAATATCTTAATGAAAAGAAAAAACATACTGAATGTGAATGCTGCACTTGTTCAAGCTGTTTCATATTAGCCCCCACTGGTCTCATTGCTGTGCACGGTCTGGGGTTCTGGGGGGGGAAGGGGAGTGCCACAGCTCAAGTTGCTCCCCTTTCTGAGCCTCAGTTTACTCACTGATCTGCCAGCCAGGCGGTGGCCACCAGTGCCTGGTATGCTTTTCCTATGATGCCCTGAACACCACTTCTGAGAACATAGCTGGGCAAATCACTGCTCTGCTTCTTCTTGCAGAGTCACACTCTTGGGGCACAGGGAACAGGCACATTGCCAACTCTCTTCACACATGACGGACAGCTGGAGTGGCTCACAATGCCAGCAGTGACCCAAGAATGTGTCCCCCACTGAGCCAGGCCTCCCTTTCATCATGGGACCCTTTGGTGGGTCCTTATCATGTGCACTAATAGCTGTTGAGCTGTTTGTATGTGCTGGGGCACCCCAGGTACTACCTCATTTAACTTTCTCTTGATAATATCAAGGTAAGTGGCCATGCTCATTTCATAGATGAGGAAACTAAGGCTCAGAACACAATGCCTTTCCCAGGTCTGTCTGACTTCAGAGTCCAAGCCCCTAACCATTACACTGCACCACCCCCAGCAGATACAGCCATTTACAGTAGTCCTTGCTGCTCTTGGTTCTCACCTGCTTCCACGTTCAATCAGGGGTTTCTCACTCTCTTCCTTCAGGGAGAGCCCAGCGAGTTTCCTTCGTATGAGCATTGATAATTTCTGTTTGGGGGGCTCCATCCCTAGAGGCAAAAGACAGGCTAGTGACTGCAGCCTCACCGACAGCCTGAGATCGAGGGATTTCCCCTGGCATTACACTTAGAAAAGGGAGGACTGGCACCCCTCCTCCCACTTGGAGTTATGGCAGGCTGAGCCCTCTCCATGGAGAAGCTGAATGCACCAGCCACACAGCTCGGGGTGGTGACAGGGGCAGGGGGTCATGGATGGAGGAATCTAAGCGGTGGTGTGGGTGCTGTTCCCAGCTCCAAACCCAAGCCTGATGCTCTGACGTTGCTGCAGTTTCCATGAGTCCCCGGATATGGTTCATAGAGACTTCTTTGGCTTAGGCTAGCTCATATGGGTTCCGAACTAAGAACCTCCCCTGGAACAAACACGTTCAAGGTTGTCCCTTGACTATCTAGCTCAATAATCCAATCTTTGATGCTCTGATGTTCTTTCTAGATCAGGGGCGAGGGGGTGGGGGGCTCTGTGTGCAGAGAGCCAGCAGGTAACATGTACACTCCTCTGCCATGAATGGCAGGGCCCGGTGGCCTGGCTCAGAAGCCGAGTTGCAGAGTAGGCAGAGGCCTCCTAGGGCCTGGTGCAGGGAGTCTTCCTGGCTCAGGGGTTCCTTGCAAGGCACTGTGATCTGCTCCACTACCAGCTCACCTGCCTGTTCTCCCTGGGGTCTCGACCCCAGCATCTCTGCAAGGCGCTGATTTCCCAAACAAGGCTCACCTTTGACAGAGACCTCTGATAGAGAAAAGTGACCAACACTTCAAAAATCTGTACACACTTTGATCCAGACATCGCACTTCTAGGAGTCTGTTGCTCTAGAGATGCATGGATGCAGAGATTCTCTTCAGCACAATTACAGGAGTGGGAAATTGGAAATGGTCCAAAGTTCAATAGCAAAGGGACTAATTAGTAAGTTACAATGCTTATTACATTATGGTGTGCAGCAACTGAAAATGCTGAAGAGGAGGAGTGTTGACTGGCCAGCCCAGCCAAGGTTCACCTGCAGGGAAATCAGGTCGCAAAAGCGCCCAAGCCCTGTAATCTTCCCCAGCCACCCTGACACACAGGCCTGTGCCCAAAGGGAAAGGCCTGGCAGGATGAACAGCAAGTGCAAAGGGCGCTGCTTTCAGGGCGGAAGGACTGTGTTCTTCACTTGCTTCTTGGTTTATACTGATTTTCTTGTTTTACTGGAATGAACATTTATTGTTTTTGTAATTAAAAACCTTTACAAATAAAAAGGATGCATTTTAATTACTTTATAGATCAGTGATAAATGGATAACATTTAATGTATGATTTTAATCTTATATTTATAAAAGTAATATGCACATTATTAAAAATGTAAACATCACTTCATGATGAGAAAAAAGGTTTTAGGGATCTCTCTCAGTCCCACCCAGCAGAGGTGATCATCAGCAGTTTGGTACCTGTCTCTCTGTCTCTGTCTCTCACACAGATTCATTTAAACAGATGTGAGTATGCATGTTGATATCATGCATGTGTTTTAAAAGATGGGATCACAGACATGTCCTGTTTGTCCATTTGTTTTTTCACACAACAGCCCTCCTTCATGTCTTTCCATGTCAGCACATGCAGACCTACTTTAACAGCTGTGTGGTATTTACCTGCACATCTGGCACCCTCATTTATGCATCCAATTTTCGTTATTTTTGAGTCACGGTCTTGCTCTCTCACCAGGCTGGAGTGCAGTGGTATGATCAAAGCTCACAGCAGTCTCGACTTAAAGACTTAAGCAATCCTCCCACCTCAGCACCCTCCCAACCGCCCTCCACCTCTAGGAGCTGGAACTACACGTGCACACCACCACACCGAGCTAATCTTTAAATTTTTAGTAGAGATGAGGTTTTGTCATGTTGCCCAGGCTTGTCTCAAACTCCTGGGCTCAAGAGATCCACCCACCTCAGCCTCTCAAGTGCTGGGACTGCAGGTGTGGGCCACTGTGCCTGGCCCATTGAATTTTCTGTATATCAATGTTAGTGTTGCTTCCAATTCTTTGCCATTTCAAACAGTGCTGTGAACATTTTTGAACATATACCTTTGAAAAAGTGTCCAAGTATTTCTCTCAGATAAATTCCTAGAATTAGACGTGCTAGGCCAAACGTCTACACACTCAGAATTTTGACAGGGACTGACAAATTGTTCCCTATGACAGCGGTATCCATGTACGCTCTACCAAGAGTCTCTGCAGAGTCTCTGTTTCTTGACATTCTTTTACGTTGTTACCAAATGTAAAAACTTTGCCAGGCTATTGGTGAGAAATGATATCTAAATAATGCTTAGATTTTCATTTTTCATCATCAGTGAAGTTGAGCATTTTTTACAGTGACTAGCCATATGAACTGCTTCTCTTTTGAAGAGCATGTGTTTGTCCTTCGTCTCTTTAAAAATTTGACCTGTGAGAGTTCTTTGTACCACAAGGATATTAACCCTTTCTCTGATCTGTAAGTTGTGAGGAATACTTTTCCAGTTTGTGGTTTGTCTTTCCATCTTTTGACATTTTTCGGGATTTTTTTGGCTACAAAGAGCCAGCCATTCCCTCTATGGCTTCTAGCTCTCCTGTCATACTTAGAAAAGGTATCCCTAACCCCAAGAGTATGGGAGTGTTTACTTAATAGGGTTTCATTTTTTATATATAAACGTTGAGCCATCTGGCATTTGCTTTTTAATCAAAAAATTATTTTTAAGGAAAACAAAAATTAATCAGTCCCCTCAATGGATCACTTGTTTTCACTTTGATAGAGTTGGGGAAAGCAGACCCCTGCCCAACCTAGCCCTCACCAGCCCCCCAGGGCCATGACACAAGGCTGGTGGTGCCTCTTACTTGCAACCTGGACATCGTCAATGGTGACCACCTCATCCAACTGCAGTAGGAACTTCTCGGTGAAGGTGGCCAAGTTGGTTATGAAAACCTGGCCATTCCTTCTGGTACATTCCTGGAAAAAACATGGTGAGCACAGTGCTGCTAGGAGAGGATCATCCCTCCAAGGCCAGCTGAAGAGGGGATGGGTGAACTCTGCAGGGAGATCTGGGGACCCAAGCCATTATATCCACTGTGTCCAAGTAACCAGCATCTGGCCCTCAGCCAGGAGGCCTCTCCCAAGATGTGATCTGGTTTAAACATAATAAATGATTCAGAAACGGCCAAGGGACACACACAGACAATTCACAGAAGAGGAAATAAAACTAGACATGGATCACTAAATAAAAGTTATCGTCAGTAATTTTGTAATTAATTAATTTAGAAGTCAAAAAGTATACAAGTTAGGCCGGGCGCGGTGGCTCACGCCTGTAATCCCAGCACTTTGGGAGGCCGAGGCGGGTGGATCATGAGGTCAGGAGATCGAGACCATCCTGGCTAACACGGTGAAACCCCGTCTCTACTAAAAATACAAAAAAATTAGCCGGGCGCGGTGGCGGGCGCCTGTAGTCCCAGCTACTCGGGAGGCTGAGGCAGGAGAATGGCGTGAACCCGGGAAGCGGAGCTTGCAGTGAGCCGAGATTGCGCCACTGCAGTCCGCAGTCCGGCCTGGGCGACAGAGCGAGACTCCGTCTCAAAAAAAAAAAAAAAAAAAAAAAAGTATACAAGTTAAAACAGCCAATAATGGCCATTTTTACCTACAAAACCCAACCACGATCATGCCTGCTTTGGGCAAGATACCAAGAAAGGGCTGCACCTGGCACTGTCAGTGGCTGTCCATCGGGCTATATTTGGAGCATGCCTGGACTGGCGAATCAATGGTATCACTGACCTCCAGCTTCTCCTTGTTCATCCTAATCATGCTGTCCAGCTCTTCCTGCCTTTCCTCTTCACTTAAGTGTAGAGACTCCATTTCTTGGAAATGTACGGGGTGTCCAAGATTTAGATGGAGCTTCTGGGCATTTTTGTCCTTTAATCAAACAATCCAGAATTCAGTGGCAATGTTAACCCACCAAAAGTCACTGACCTGTGTCTTCTGTCAATTATGATTATGGCCAGACTCATGTCCTCTGACCTGGGTGTGTGGGGGTGATGGGTGGGCAGAAGAGTGGCAGAGGGGTTAAGAGGGGGGCATGGCTAGAGCTGACTCGGGGGTTTGGAAGAGAAAAGGCTGAGCATCTGCCCAGCACAATCAGAGTTTTAGTCCAGTGAAATCAGCAGTACCCATGTTCCACAGCTCCAAGGACCAGTGTGGACAATTATTGCTGTCTTAATGACTACAGCCCCACGGAACCCAGCACACCCACCCATTATAGCCAACAAGGAGTTTACTGAACACCTTCTATGTAGAAGCTGTTGGCTCAGTTCTTATTTCGCCAATGGCTCCTGTCCCTCAGCCCCCATCCAAAAATCCCAAGCCAAGCTCACCTTCTTCCCTTGGACTTGGCCCTGCCCACAACCTGCCACCATTTCTGAACTCCCAGTTCCCCTGGTCCTAGAGTGGAAGGGCTGGTCCTGGGGCCCTCACCTTTCTTTTCTCCAGCCGCTTCTGCTGTTCCTCGAACTGTCCTCGGATCTCCTTCACAGAGGTGAAAAACTTTTTCCAGTGGTGTTCCTTGAAATTCTCCATCACCAGCCAACACACTTGGGGCAGCAGCTCCTCAAATCTCCTGATCTGGATCCGTAATTCTGCCAGAAGTGCGGGTAAGAGGCCAAGGGAGGGAACAGATTAGAATCAACTTGCAGAGGCGATCTCTACAACAAAGGCCCAAAGCAGCTTCCCAAAGAGAAAATCTTGGTCTCCAACGTGGTAAGAGCTATTCCATCAAAAGAGGTCCTGAGGTCAAACCAGTATAGAAAATACAGGGTTAGCCAGCTGCAGTGGCTTACACCTGTAATCCCAGCACTTTGGGAGGCTGAGGTGGGAGGATTGCTTGAGGCCAGGAGTTCAAGACCAGCTTGGGCAAGACCCTGTCTCTAAAAAAATATTTAAACATTAGCCAGGCATGGTGGTACATGCCAGCTACTCAGGAGGCTGAAGTGGGAGGATTGCTTAAGCCCAGGAGTTTGAGGCTATGGTGAACTATAATTGCACCACACTCTAGCCTGGGCCACAGAGCAAGACCCTCTTTCTAACATAACATAACATAACATAACATAACATAACATAACATAACATAACATAACATAAAATAAAGGCTTAAATAAATTCAAAGGGCTTCTCCTATATACTCTGCGGACTTCTCATCTCATTTAAAATGCACTGTGTCTCTTGGCATTTTGGGCAAGTTCTCATCCATTATTTCAACTATTGCCTTGATTCTAGGTCTCCCTCTTTCTCTGTATCTCCAAATGGCCGTATGTTAGACCTGCTCTTTCATTCACATCCCTTTACCTCTCTCCCATATTTTCATCTCTTTATATTTCTGTGTTATATTCTGGTTATTTTCTTTGGATTTGCCTTCCAGTTCACCAATTCTACTTTCAGCTATATGTAACCTGGTAGTAAAGTCATGCATAGTTTTAAAATTTCAACTCTTAATTTTTCCTTCATGAAAGTTTTATTTTATTCTCTTTTATAGCTGCTTGGTCATTTTCATAGTCTTTTGCTTCTTATTCATGTTTCCAATTCCCTCTTTTATTTAACTAGAAGTATATTATTCTATGTTCTGTGTCCAATACTTTTAATATCTGCCAAGTCTTTGCTGGTCTCCTGCTGCCTCTTGCTCAAGGCATTTTGTTTCCTTGTGTTTATGGGGATTTTGTTGCTCTTTGTTTATTACTGTGAGCTCTTAGTCTGGGCATTTTATTTGTGGGAATCCTTTGAGGCCTGAACTGAAGATAGATTTTCCTAGAGAGAATTTGTTATATGTCCAACAAGCAAGCTTCTGAACACCACCAACTCAAGATCATTTTAAGCTCAGGTATTAGCTGGAGGTGTTTTGGATGAGCCACAAAAGCAAAATTGAATTCATGTTTAGATAAGTGTGAATTATCTAAACATAAATTTAGAAACCACACAGGGACTGGCATATAGTTCTGGATTTCTCTTTGGAGTTTTTTTTCTTCACCCAGTACCATGGTTTTTGATAAGACAGTTTCCTTCTGTCTTATGGAGGGACAGAGGGAGGAGCTTGGTTTCCGTCTCATTTGCCTTACTCAGGAAGCCCTGTTGGGTTCCAGCTATAGGTGGCTTGCTCCTTTTAGACTTCCCACTTTGGAGGTCTGTGGATTTGTCTCTTGTTCCCAATACCCTGGAGGCCATGAAAATAGAGGCTCAAGTTCACCTGGGAGTCAGCAAATGCCCCTAGGGCAATAACCAGGGTTACTACTCAATTTATCACTCAGAGTTTCTATTTTCACTTAATTTTTGGCTCTTGTGTGTTTCTCACTTTACAGATAGCTTGCTAATGCATTTAAAATATTTTATTACAAAAATATTTTATGCAGCATTTTACATGTTTTTAGTAGGAGAATGGATCCCCCATTAGCCTGCCAAGCTGCAGGAAACAGAAGTCTTCACTAGTTGTGAGTTTACCAGAGAGGGGTGCAGTCTGTAGCATTTTCCAAGCCCATTTGACCATGGAACCCTTGTTTTGAGGACAATCATGTAGGATGGGATCCCCCAGAGATCACTTGGGGGAAATTCTGAGCTAGAGAAACAAAACAATGCCTGTAGTTTCAATTCCAGTCATTCAACAACCACAGCTATGAGCACTATCGCTGCTTAATTCCCTGTACATGCCAAGTCTGTGTGAGGAACTTAATCCTCAAGAAGGCCTTCTGCGGTGGGTGTTATTAATATCTGCAGTCCACAGACAAGAAAACTGAGGCTCTGGCTGGGCGCAGTGGCTCATGTCTGTAATCCCAGCACTTTGGGAGGCCAAGGCAGGCAGACCATTGGAGGTCAGGAGTTCGAGATCAGCCTGGTCAATGTGGTGAAACCCTGTCTTTACTAAAAATACAAAAATTAGCCAGGCATGGTGGCATGCGCCTGTAGTCCCAGCTACTCAGGAGGCTGGGGCAGAAGAGTCTCTTGAACCCAGGAGACAGAGGTTGCAGTGAGCCGAGATTGCGGATCGTGCCACTGCACTCCAGCCTGGGCAACAGAGTGAGACTCTGTCTCAGAAAAAAAAAAAAAAAATAGAAAACTGAGGCTCAGAGAGGTGAGATCATTTGGCCAAGGTAATACAGCTGGGAAGTGGTGGGGCTGGGTCCTGGCCCAGTTCTGGCTATCCCCTGAACTCTCCTCCTTCTACCCAGAGGGCCTCTGAAACAGCATAGTAGACCACATCAAAGTGTGATAGATTCATACAATGGAATATTATTCATTGATAAAAAGGAATGAAGTACTGGCACCATCTACAACATGCATAAACCTTGAAATATTATGCAAAATGAAATAAGCCAGTCCCAAAGACTACATACTATACAATTCTATTCTCATGAAAGTAAAGAATAAGGAAGTCTATAGAGACAGAAAGTAGATTAGTGGTTGCTTTAGGCTGGGGAGGGGTTAGGGGATGGGGTTTCTAAAATTGACGGTAGCGGTGATTGCATAACTCTGTAAATAAACTAAAAACCACATTGAGTACACTACATGTGTAAATTTTATGGTACCCAAGTATCTCAACAAAGCTGTCAAAAATATCTGTAGAAGAAACAAAATATTTTTAGAGGTACAAATCACCATATTTCTCAAGAAAAGTGAACTTTTTTCTTGCATGGTCGCATTTCCCCAGTAAAATCTGATTATTGTTTTTACCTAATTTTAAGAGGTCAGCTTTTCACAGGGAAGCTCTTCTGCCTCCCCCAGAGGGGAGGATCCAGGCCACAAGGCCAAGGCCGAGCTCCACCACTGGCTTCGCGCCCCGCCCTGTTCCCCGTGCCTTCCTGCTGCCTATACTCACCTATGAGGCAGGAGTTGTGGTACTTATTTGCCTGGCTCTGATACTCCAGGATCTTTTTGCTAATGTTCTCGGCGCACTGGTCAAAGGTGTCACACATGCAGTCAGGCCTGGTGACTGGGCGTTTTTCTTTACGGTAGAACTCCTGCCAGAGAGGGTGACCATGTGCGGGTGAGGACTCCATGGGACTCTGGCCCTTGCTCCTGGGATCCACCAGCCTGCCCTCACCTCCACACTCCCTAGCCTTTGCTCGTGGCATCCCCTGTGGAAGTGACACGAGCAGACACTCCTCCTTCCCTGTCTGCCCGTGTCGCCTCCCTGGGCCCACCTGGAGTGAGTGGAGCCATGGCCAGCCCTCGTTATTTCCTGAATGAGTGACTGGCAAGAATCCTATTTATCCTTCAAGACCCAAATCAATGGAATCTCAGATTGGTGACCAGGTTGGGAGCTTACAAGGAAGTGCCAAGCTGGGTATAGGCTGCAGGCCACAAAGACGGGCGAGCCAGGGACCCTGCCCTGAAGGAGGCAGACAGACCCGTGGGAGGCAGACAGGAGAAGGCACTCGCACTACGGTGCAGGGCATGTGGGAACAGGGCACTGGGCAGCTTGTCTGGTGCCTGGTCCCACTGCCCCACCTCTTTCTGTGCCCCCGCCAGGTCTGTCAGCTTTCCACTGGGCCTGGGTGCCTTGGGGACAGAGGATGGGCTTGTTCCTCTTGGCACACACAGTACCTGACATGCAGTTGATATCTAAGAAATGTTTGGTGATCAATTAGATGAATGAATGAGGTTTGGTTTCTCAAAGAAAAAAACTCATAGGGAGGTGACAGAAGCTGGGGAGCTGTGGTCATGGCGGGGGTGGAATCCTCTCTTCCTCATTTTCCCCCAAGCGGCCATGATCAGCAGACTGCAGAAGGCAGGCGTGGTTTCCAGGGCAGGCACAGGCCATGGGTGGTGGTCCTCACCTCTGCGACTGTCAGCAGGTTCTCACTGCTCTCCCAGAGGAGGGTCAAGATGATCCCCTTAAAATCCCTGCAACACACACGAGACAGATCCCTGAGGGGCCTGGTCTAGACACACAAACATGGACAAAACCACATGAACAGAACTTTCCAAGTGCTCTGTTTTGGCCGTGACACTCCTTGAAATTACTCACTGCTGCCCCAGGACCTCTGCACACTCTGATTCCACTCCATAACAGCAGCTAACTTTCTTCTCTTCTTGGTTGTATTTGTTCCTGCCCTTCCTCAGACCCCAGCTCAGCTGCAATTTCTGACCACCTGGCTTTAATGATCTTGGATTAATGCCCCCTCAGCCTTATGACATGCTAATCAGGTGGATTTGGGATTGATTTGTGTGACTGGCTGATTAACCTCCATCTCTCCCAGCAGACTGTAAAGGCCACCAGGTGTTTAAGATCATAAACAGGAGGCCATCAGGCTGACACGGTTCCAGTGCCTGGAGTTTCTAGCTAGAAAACAAACGTAACTCAGAATGAATGGTCATAGTCTAGGAAAATGAAATGTAAGCTTAACCAATCAGAAATAGCCAACTTGGAACTTTTCACTTTAACCAAGCAAATATTTTCTTTGCCTTCCTTCTATAAACACCTTATAAAAGGTGTCCCCTGGTGTTCCCTCGGTGGATCCCTGAACCGCCTGGGGTCTGGCACTGCCCAATTCATGAATGACTGACTGTTCAAATAAACTCATCAACATTTTAATGTGCCTGAGTTTATCTTTTGACACAGGACATGGACCTGTCTGTACTTGTTCACCATGGAATCCCCAGCCCCATGGCAGTGCCTGTACCGGGCAGTGCCTCGATTAGCTGAAAGAATGATTACTCCTAAATAGTAATCAAATGAACAGGACTTCATGTAGGACCAAACATCCTCCTGCATCGAGCTATAAAAAATAGAGAGCCGAAGTATTCAGGGTGCAGGAGCGTCCTTGGGTGTGGGACGAGGGAACTGTCTACCTGCCAGCTGGAGGCCACACCTGGGTTGCCTGATGTCACAGCCATCCTTCTCTGCCAAGTTCATGACCCCCAGAGACGAGGTCTCCAGGGTGAGAGGGCTGATGAGAGGGGGCCGCTGTCTGGGGGGATCTCTGACATAGTGGGAGTGGGAGCTCCTTTGTGGTGCTTGACTTTCTCCGAAGGCTTTTTGTTTTCTGACCTTGGAATTTTGCTTGTTTGCTTGCAATGAAGCTATACTAAGTTGAACAGCTTTTGTTTTAATCACTGGAGTTACAATAAAGGAAAAGAGAAATGGGGGAAAGCACTGAAAAAAATTACAAAAAAAAGTTCAGACCTCGAATGGGGTCTCCTGCCCTACCACCAGGAAATGCTTGTTAGCTTGGAAAATGTGAAATGTTGATGAAAATGTTTCTCAACAAATTTAGGTGAAATGGGCTGAGACAAACTGACCTTGACCTTGCTATCTCCTCTCACCCCTCCTCTGCTTGGACCTGCCTTTCCCCTTTCTGATTTTTCCCCTCAGCTGAGTCACATTTGCTGCCCCTGCAACCCAAAACAGGTTAAATGCAGTCAAAAGGAAAGGCGTTGTTACTCACTCGGCAGCAGGGGGAGGCTTGTCCCCAAGCACCCGGTACTTTCTCTCCATTTTGTTGGGCTTGGGGTGCGGTGTGAAGCTGTGGGACAAAGGTGGGTGGGTGGTCTGGAGGCTGTGGACAGACGCAAGGCAGGTCTGAGCCTGCAGGATCCCTGCCTGGGTTTCTGGAGGCATTGGGCCTGCCCGTGGGCAACCGGACTTCCATTTCTAGGGCCTAGCCCTTTGGGGCGTTTCCCTTCTCAACAGCTGTGAGTCTACCTTACCGTAAGGTGAAATCTTAACCACCTTAACTGCTGAAACCCAACCACAGCTGCTGTGAGAGGGCAAGGGGTGGAGGTGCTCAGGCCCAGAAATTTGCATTCCTGCTTCCCCGTGATGAGGACCCAAAGAAAAAAAAACATTGAGCCACAGGTAGGGTTGCCAGATTTAGCCATAACAATACAGCACGCCCATTTAAACTTGAATTTCATATAAACACCGTAATTTTCAGCATTAGTGTATCACATGCAGTATTTGGGACATACTTATGCTAAAAAATTAGGTGGTGTTGATCTGAAATTCCAGTGTAGATGGGCACCCTCTCTTTTATCTGGCAGCCCTAGTGACATGGACTTTGTTTCGTAACCTCTCAGAGACTGAACATGTAAACAGGTCATGGCTGGATCATATAAAAAATAGAGCTCTGCCCCATGATGTGCAGCAACCTACCCAGAAGGCCACCCCCACCTTATCTCCAAGAAGCCACCCAGGAAGTCAGCCTGCTCTAAGTCAGATTTGCAGGAAGTGAGATTGTCATCTTTGGGGACAGTCCAGGAAGCTACACAATATCACCTATAACAGTAGGTCCCAAATGGCCAGGACTTAATTAATAAATGACAGCTTCCCTAATTTTTGTCCTCATTTCCAACTTTGGACCAACCAGAGAAAGCCAAACATGTCCCGTAACCAATCACGTGGGATGCCCTGCTTTCAGTGGGCAACCTCCAGCTTCCTCATGACAGCAGCCCCCAACCAGCGCACAGCTGGAGAGGAGGGCAATGCTTCCCACTCCTCTGCCTGCCCTGGGAGCTCTGCTGAAACACCCTGGATGGTGACTGACTCCCTGCTGTGGTCAGCTCTGAGTCAATAGCCTTTGCTCTTCTCATGTGGCTGGTCTTTGTTTCTTTCCCCATTGCACACAGCACGCATGCTCAAAAAGACCTTCTGGAGGGAAAGGCAAAGCAGGGATTCCCCTTGCCTTCTCAAAACCAGGAACAAACCCATGTCAACCAGGCTGACACAAAGAGCTAGTGAGTCTACTCAGCCATGGGGCTTCTGATATGCACCTTCCATAAAATATGCATGTGGGGTAAACTTTGAGTCTAACAACCCCACTGAGGCTTGGTGGGCAGGGCGCCAAGGCCCAGAACTCTTTCTGTGGCTCTGTGATGTCTCTCCAGGAAAGCCATCTGCCCCGTCTTTCTAACCATGACCGTGTGTGGAAGGTGGCACGGCTGAGATCCATCAGCACCATGGACAACCAGCAAACTAAGGATGGCGCTCACCCCTCACTGCGCCCCGTGGAGTCCCAGAGCCATGAGCATTGTGGTGCCTTCTGAGGAAAAGCCTGGGAAAGCCATAGGTCATCTCCTGCCTTTGTGTGGGGGGATGGACTGGGAAGGGGCGATTCTGGCTGCTTTGTGTCCTACCTGCCTGCAGAGGTAGCACTGGCACTGGGTACAGCCTTCTTCCCAGAGTTTTCTGGCTGGCACCGATGTCGCTTGAAGCCTTTGGGTGACGAGGGCCCAGGACAGGAGCAGAGGACAGGAGGTGAGCACACAGCACCACCAGCCCCTGCCTCACTGCTGCCCCGAGACCCACAGGCCCATGCGCCTCTACCTGTCTGGGACGGATCTTTGTCACAATGGTGGGTTGGCCATTTTGTGTTGGGAAGTCTGAAACCAAAGGAAAGGGTGTGAGCTCTTCTCCGGTGACCATGGGGGTAGCTCAGGCCAGGCTCTGAGCAGCATCCCAGTTAGTCCTCAGCGCCACGTCAGTCAGTCCTGTCACGAGCCCCATTTCAGATGAGAAACTGGGGCTCTGGGTGGGGAAGCCCTTTGCCTGAGGTCACAGGCTCTCAGGGGTGGACTCACGTGGGAACCCCAGTGTGTGGGGCCCCAAAGCTGGTCCCTGAAGGTCCAGGGCCAGGGGCAGGGGTGGCAGAGCCTTAGGTGCACCCTGGGGCCACTCACTGCAGGAGCTTCCTGATCACATCCACAGCTGGGTCCTCAATCAGGGGCTTCCCCACGCGGCTCAGCTGGGTGAAGGACTCAGGGGTGACCACGTCCAGCTTGGCCTCCTCTTCAAGGGCTTCTGAAGATGTCAGGATGTCACTGTCTTCCTCCTGGTCCTTCAGGATGGTGTTCTGCAGGCCAGAGAGAAGGGCCTGAGGGTGTAAGGACCAGCCCAGGTGCCAGCGAGGCAGCAGGCCGAATTCATGTTCCCTCCCACCCTGCCTCAGTGGAGTGGCTGCAGGCAAGCTAGCTGACCTCATTGAGCCACTATTTTCTCCTCTGTAAAGTGATCTCCCTTACAGAGCCATTCATTCATTCATCCGTTTATTCATGCCTTTAGAAATTTTCCCGGGTGCCTGCTCTTCACAAGTCTCTGCCCATGTTCTAGGAACACAGGGGCCAAGAGGCCATATATGATCCCTCCTGTCTCAGAGCTTGTGGTTTAGTCAGAAAAGACAGACATTTAACTTGCACTTATACCAATAAATGCTTCTCCAAAACTGGGACCAGTGCTGTGAAAGAAAAGTTCCAGTATCTTCTGTGAGATTGAAGTTAGACCTGCAGATGTGCCCGGTCAATGTTTTTGACCAAATGGATGGAGGAGTGAATGCCAGGCTGAGTGAGTGGTCAGCTCCCCTTGAGCAGGCTCCTAGAGAAAGTGTGGAATTGGCGCCCATGGTGAGCACCTAGGCTGTTCTCTGTTTCATTCTGAGTCTCATCTTAGCAATGGCCTGTCAGTCCCTTGAGTGAAGTCCTGGGAGACCTTCACTCAAAGTCTCCTAGTCACTCAATACCTTCACGCTAGACCCTTGGAGCCCCATGCTACTGGACACCCCACCAGAGGGAGATGGATGCCTAGTGCTGGCTGCATGGTGGGAAGGGCCTCCCCATGGAAGGAAGGTTGGTCAAGGCTTGGTGGTGAGAGCAGGGCCTAGCAGTGCTCTACTCTGCAGACATTGGCTGTCAGGCCCTTCCCTGGAAGTTGGCTGAGCATCTCAGCCCAATGTGAGGTGTGGGCAGGGGTGGGGGTGATGCAGGCTCTGCCCATAGAGGCTTGCAGTCTCAGGGCAGACAGCAACCGAAATGGAGACCCCATCGTGTGGGGAAGTGGGAGGTGCTATGGGCCGGGAGACCCCGACCCAGACCAGGAGGTGAGAGGAGGCTTGGTGGGGAGTGACATCTTAGGCGGAGTGAGAGGGATGAAGAGGCATGGAGGACAAGCCGTGGAGGCTGCTGTGTGTCCAGTGAAAGCGTTTGGACTTTGCCCCGAGGGTAGGGAAGTGACATGGTCTGACCAGCCTCTTCTGGCCATGTTCGGGGAACGGACCATGGGAGATGTGAGAGGATGTGGGCATCAGGTGGGCAAGAGGCAGGGGTCTGGATGAGGTGTTGGGGGTGCCATGGGGAGAAGCCAGGGCTGCCCCTGGGTGCAGGTGGGAAGGAAGAGGCTGAGAGGTGGGACTGGCTTGAGATTCCGTGGATAGGGTGAGTGAGGGTCCTGATGGAGCAGGTGAGGTAGTGCCAGGAGCTGAGGGGTCTCCTCTGAGACCAATGCAAGGAAGTGGCCCCCTGGGGATTAGAATCCAGCTCTGACTTCACAGCTTGTGATCTTTCCACAGCATCTCAGTAAGCCTGATGTCCCGCGGAGGCCTGGGAGTCCCCTCTTCCCTTTGGCTCTACTGAGCCCTGCAGGTCTCCTGGGAGCCCAGACAACAGCTCACCCACCCTTTCCTGCCACCCTATCCCATTCCTTACGGTAAAGACCAGTTCAGTCATGGACACCCTGTCCAGGCTGCAGTTAAGGTACTGAATCCTCTGGCTCAGTTTTTCCTTCCAAGTTTGGACGAAGCTGAGGAGTTCTTCTGTGGTCACTGTCTGGTGAGAAAAGGGAGGAAGAAAGCCCCAAGGAAGCAGACTGCAGGAGGGTGGGTAGATTCTGTGGGAAGTGCGGGAACAGGGGCTGGGCTGATGAGGATACCTCTTGGCTTAATGGAGGCTCCTCACATGCAGGGAAGGCCCTTGGGGAGTGGGGAAGGCTGGGCTGGCTCTGCTAGGCAGCCTTCACTTCACAGTGAAGGACAACGCACCCTTCACTGATGGGAACATCAGGAGTTCTCTTCCTGGATCTACAGTTTCAACTCTGAGCAAATAACTTAAACTTGCTCAACTTGTTCTCCCCATCTGTAAGATGGGGACACAAAATATTCCCTAGGATCTCCTCTGGCTCTCACATTCTATGTTTAGAAGGAAACATTTGACGCAGGTGGCAAGGGTGTGCAGGAGTGTGTAGGAGAGTGATCTGGCCACCTCCATGGCAATGTCTAACACGCACCCTCTCGGAGCAGCACCCCACAGGTGTGCAGGAATGCAACGGTGAGGATCTTCCCTCTCGCCACACATTCAAGGCATCACTCTTGTCCCCTAATCACCGCTCTGCAGACTGTCCAGCCAGCCTCCTCTGTCAACACAGGAATGCCCGCACACCCATGCTCACATGATCCTCACCTGGCTGGGAGGCTGGGCAAGCCCCTGGCACCCACCCAACACCCTAACAGGAGAGGACAGAGCAGGGGTTGGGAGGCGAGGATGTGAGAGACTGGACGTTTCTGTTCTGGAGAGGTAGAGCTGCCTTAAAGAGCCTGTTGAAGAGTTACAGCTGATTAACCTCATCTTCCCCCTGCTCCTCATTAGGGGGCTCATAAGGGAGATCAGGCAAGTCACAGGCAAAATATAGGAGCCACCCTTCCTCTGCACAACTGCACTGCAGGGCAAGTAATCTCAGTGGATGTGTAGAAACAAGTGCATGCATATACATAACAGGGTTTACAGTGCCTCTGTGCAAAATGAGAATAGTGAGAGGGACATTTATTCTGCAAACTATGCTTTGTGGGTGTTTACGCTTTTTTCAAGAGTCATGCAATAAACTATATAAGAAAAAGCAATAAAGACAGAAAAATAAACATCCTCTCAGTGCTAATAATAGAACTGCAACTCAGAGTCACTGAAATGGTAGAGAAAAGACAGAGAACGGTGAGGAGAAAGCTTCCCACTCCAGAACCTTCAGGCTGGGGTGTCTGGTTCTGGGAGCACCTGGCTGGACTGTTGAGGAATGGTTCCCTGGTGTGGCCTGGGCGACAGGCCAGGGGAGACTGAGTTGAGCAAGTTTAAGTCATTTGCCCGGAGTTGAACCCGTAGATCCAGGAAGAGAACTCCCGATGTCCCCCATCATTGAAGGGTGTGCTGTCATTCACTGGGGGACAGAGTCGTGCACTCATGGCAGAAAAAGCAGCACATAGACAACCAGAGACCTGCTCTGAGGATCAGAGCCAGGCGAACGCTTGGAACCACGCTCTCCACAAACTGTTCCAATTCTGACTTTTCATACTTTAAACACAGAAAACCAGTTTCTGTGCTACGATCAAAAGAAGCAAGTGAGGCCGAATGCGATGGCTCACACCTGTAATCCCAGCACTTTGGGAGGCTGATGTGGGCGGGTCACTTGAGGTCAGGAGTTTTGAGACCAGCCTGGCTAACATGGTGAAACCCTGTCTCTACTAAAAATACAAAAATTAGCCGGGTATGGTGGCAGGTGCCTGTAGTCCCAGCTACTTGGGATGCTGAGGCAGTACAATCACTTGAACCCGGAGGCAGAGGTTGCAGTGAGCTGAGATTGTGCCACTGCACTCCAGCCTGGGTGACAGAGTGAGACTTCGTCTCAAAAAAAAAAAAAAAAAAAAAAGCAAGTGGAAAGTCAAACAAAAAGTGGTTGTTCAGGGGGCAGGGCCCTGCTTCTGTCATGCATCTAGGACTGAGTTCTCCTTACAGCAAGGGACACCTGGTGACATCCCAAGGGAGTGAGGTCAGAGGAAGCCAGACTCAGGCCTCCCCCAACACTAGACGCTGCTCCATGCTTGCCTGGGAGGGGTTGGAGGTGAACAGTGGCTGCTTTCTCTTTTGTTCCTTTCTTCATTCCATGAAACAGGGGTTAAGTAGGAAGGCTCAGAGATGTCCCCCCACCCCGCCAACCTTGTGCTGGAGAAATCCTATACACACAGGTAAATTTATTTCACATTTATGACTTTAGCATGATATATCTTTATTATTCACATGCAGAATCTATTGAACACTTACGGTTTTCTCTCCCCTGGACTCTTGACAAGTTTTTATCTTGTTCTGAAGCTGTTGCAGAGAGAAATTTAATCCATTTGTTTGCGAATTGGATTTTGCCACCTAGAAAACCAGAGGTTCCGAGATTTTGTTTCTAGAATACATATTGTGATCTGGGAAACATTCTGTGAAACATACCATCTGAGAAACTGATTAAGCACTGAAAAAAATGAAATCAGGGAAAAATATGCAGTTTTACCAGACATTGATACAAATTAAAAAGATTTTTTTCCCCTCTCAAGTAAGTAAGGTTCAAGCAAAATTGGCACCCCAGAGTGTGGTGAGGGAGTTGGGAGGACAGGCTCTGCTTTAGCAGGGCCAAGGCTGTAAAGACTCCCTGGAAAGCTTCGAGAGCCATAGAAAGGTCATGCTCTGACCCAGGACTGTGGCTTCCACGAGGCACCCTAAGGATGCAGTCAGATTGTCCTGGCAAGTGCACAGGCTCTGCTCCAGCAGTGCAGAGCCAAGGCTGTAAAAACTCCCTGGAAAGCTTAGAGAGCCGTAGAAAGGTCATGCTCTGACCCAGGACTGTGGCTTCCAGGAGGCGTCCGAAGGATGCAGTCAGACTGTCCTGGCAAGTGCACCTCTCACAGCATCACCTTTCATAACAAGAAGCAAAATTCACCAAATGTTCCTCCAGAAAGGAATGCTTAAGTAAAAATGTCAACACATCCATGACAGAGAAGCCATCAAAATAGTGTCTTTGCAGAATATTTAAAGATTATACAGCTTATAAAACTGGTATAAATAGCAAACAGCCAATTTTGGCATATCCCCATCTTTTCATGTATAGGAAAAATACTCAAAAAATAAATTGAAATCTTAAACAGGGGTTATGCTATGTGGCAGAATTATGGTTTACTCTCTGTTTTGTATTTGTTCTATATTCCCAGTATTGTCCATGATGGAAATGTATTTTGTTTATCACAGGTGTTAGATATTTTGAAATGCAACCCCTGTACACTGTGAACAGTCCCCAGATATTAGCTCAGAAAAAAGAATCAGTGCCAGCACCAGCTGGAGGCCCATTAGGAATATACTCCTCAAACAAGAGTGTGGTGACATGCCCTGGAGCCGTGGGCTCTGCTCCCTGGAGCTGCCTCCTGCTCCTTCTGGAATGACTGGAAGCCAGTCCTGAGAGGCTCATCTGGGGCCTCCACCAGAGCCTGCCTTTACTGAGGATTCACTATGCTCCAGGGACTATGTCATGAGTTTAGCACATATCAGCTCCTTTATCGGTGCCATAATATTAGGAATTGCTTTTATGATTCCCATTTCACAGATGGATGAATTAAATGCTTCCTGGGGTGAAATGGGCAGGAAGCTGGGTCTGGAGTCCCTATCTCAGAGCGTGAGATGCCAGCAAACACTTCTTTTATCGAACTGCACTTGCCACTCCCAAAAGACAAGTCTGTCCTCACCTCGGCTTGTCCTAGTCCTAGTGGGCCCTCAAACATTGTTCCCTGAATGGGCATTGACCTATGCAGATAACCCAGGCCCTTCATTTCCAGTGTACCCCAAGTCCCTCCCATCCCACTTCCACTCAGCTCTGGAATCAGAATGTGTCCCTGCTGACATTGTGCCCAGGCCATGATTCTCTCCCCATCAGCCTCACACTTCTGCCTCACTCCTACCCACCTCCAGCCTTTCTGTGGTCAGCAGCCAGGACCCCCACCCTCGAAGTGCAGCCCTGAGCACACAGCCCCACCCGAACCCTTCCCAGGCCCCCACTGTCTGCCCGCTGGTGCTCTCCAACCACAGAGCTCCCCACTCTCCCTCACACTCTTGCAGTCCTGGGCTCCAGCCCCCTGGATTTTCTCCATCATCTCTCCAGAATGCTTCACTCCCCACCGCCTACCTGGCTGGTTCCTACTTCTCCCTCAAGCCTCTGGAATCCCCACTTTCTTAGCCCAGGTTAAGTCCTCTGGCCCCTCAATCCCCACGCAGCCACCTTCTCCTTCTGTTGCACAGATGGCCTGTTTGTGGTTAAGGCCATAAGCTCTGGTGTCGGTCAGACCTGGGTTCACATTTTGACTTTACCCTTTAAGAGCTCTGTGTTCCTACCTAAGTCACTAAAATACTGCCTCAGTTTATCTCTAAAATGGAGATAAAAACAGTACTTGCCTCCTATAGTTCTTGTGAGGACTAACACAGCTAATCAAAATAAGTTGCTTAGCAGGATGCATGGTGCTCAATAACTAGTAAACACTAGCAGTTATTAAGATTTTATTTTTGGCCAGGCGCAGTGGCTCATGTCTGTAATGCCAGCACTTTGGGAGGTTGAGGCAGGAGGATCGCTTGAGCCCAGGAATTCAAGATCAGCCTGGGCAACATAGGGAGACCCCATCTCTACAAAAAATAGAAAAAATTGGCTGGGCATGGTGGCGTGTGCCTATAGTCCCAGCTACTTGTGGGACTGAGGCTGGAGGATCTCTTGAGCCCAGGAAGTTGAGGCTACAGTGAGCTGTGTTCACGCCACTGCACTCCAGCCTGAGTGACAAAGCAAGACCCTGTCTCAAAAAAAAGAAAAAAAGAAAAAAAAGATTGTGTCTGTCTTCCTGGCTGGAGAGCAAGTCCCACACACGGGACAGAGACCACAATGGCCTCCTAGCACCGGGGACAGTGCCTGGTGTGCAGGTGTGTGTGATAAAGATCCTTGATGAAGAATGAATCTATCCTACCTGGCACTTGATTTTCACTTGCAGATTCGTCAGCAACCGCTGGATTTTCTCTATGAAAATAAGGTCCACAGACAGGTTATGGAATTTGCTTTCAAACTTGTTGATGACATCATTGGCCTGTACAGAGAGATAAAGGGTAAAGGACAGGGGCTTAATTTGGACCTTTTGGACTCTGAAGGAGGAGGGGGACAGGCCCAGTGAATGGTTGGATGGAGGGCTTGGCCCTCCCTTCAGAGGGAGTTGAGCAAGGGATACTGTGGAACCGGTTGGCCTGGGGCCTGGCTGGGGGCCCTACCTGGTCCAGGTACTCATTCTCCAACTTCTCCATGTTGAGCATGATGACACTTTCAACCAACTCTATCCGGGCAGCTTCCTTCTCCAGTCGGGAACACAGTGAATTGATTTCTTTAGGAGAAAAGTTGCCTCCCTCTGAAAACAATCTGAAAATAATCAAAGACAAATAAAAGCCACAGATCAGACCTAAGAGTTCTCATCTATCCCAAATACTGTGGCTGACACACACTTTTAATCTAGGCTTCCGGTTAGAGTTCAAGATGTGGGAAAATGAACACAGATAGCTTAAGGACAGGAGTAGGATTCATAAATAGTGCAGAATTTCCATTTTTGTCAGTTCATCAGGTTGGAGACTCTAACAGACCCAACTGAAACAAAATTCGAAATAAAAATAGCTTTCTTGGAACTGTATAAAGGTAAGAATTCCACATGAACTTGCCAGGCGCAGTGGCTCATAAGTTTGGGAGGCTGAGGCAGGAAAATCACTTGAGGCCAGGAGTTCAAGATTAGCCTGGGCAGCAGGACCCTGTCTCTAAAAAAGTAAAAAAAATTAGCCAGGTGTGGTGGCATGTGCCTGTGATTCCAACTACTTGGGAGGCTGAGATGGAAGGATTTCTTAAGCCTAGGAGGGAGAGGTTGCAGTGAGCCGAGATTGCGCCACTGCACTCCAGCCTGGCTGACAGAGTAAGATTCTACCTCAAAAAAAAAAAAAAAAAAAAGAATTCCAGATGAAGTGAAACTAGAAGGGGAGCTTGGAATGTGGGCAGCACCAGAAGCCAAGACTTTGCACCAGAGACTTGGAGGTTCAGTCTTGATGACTGCACAGGTGAAGGGATAGCCTAGAGCTGGATCCAGAGGACAACATTTGCATTGTAAGACTGAGGAAGAAACGAACCCCACCAGATACCAGGACTCTTGCCTGTCTAGATCCAAGGGCAAAGAGGAAAGAAGATCTCTGTCCCCTGAAAATTCATCACACAAACTAGACTTCACATACATTTACAAAATGAATTCATGTTCTCTGGAGTGACCCAAAAAACCTCAAGCAGAGAATTCTAATTGGTCCTGGGTAGGTAGTGCTCCCTGGTTACCCAGCAGAAACAAATAAGGATTCTCTCTGAAGGAATGCAATGTCCAGTCCAGGCCTCAAAGAATGCCACCCATAAAGTCCCAAGGAAAATGAGTGACTCGTAGTTTTAAAAATTGATAAGGAATCAAGATACAAGATACCATGCATGAGAAACAGTAAAACAATAGAGAACAGAAACAGACCTCCCAAAAACCATTAGATATTAGAAATATCAGATATAGACTATAAAATAACTAGGCTTAAGATGTTTAAAGGAATAAAAAGTAAGCTTCAAAATATGAACAAGGAGCAGGCAGTTTTGAAAAAGTATCAAATATAATTATAAATGGGCAGAGAGTAGTGGCTCACACCTGTAATCCCAGCACTTTGGGAGGCCGAGGCGGGTGGATCACTTGAGGTCAGGAGTTCAAGACCAGCCTGGCCACTATGGTGAAACCGTGTCTCTACTAAAAATACAAAAATTAGCTGGGCATCGTGGCACATGCCTCTAGTCCCAGCTACTCGGGATGCTGAGGCAGGACAATCGCTCGAACCCAGGAGGTGGAGGTTGCAGTAAGTGGAGACTGTGCCACTGCATTCCAGCCTGGGTGAGAGAGCAAGACTCTGTCTCAAATATATATATACGTATATATGTGTATATATATATATGTATATGTGTGTGTGTATATATATATATATACATACGTATATGTATATATCTACAAATGGAAACTATAATAATTAAAATTGAAAACTCAATGAATAGATTTGCAGAAGGTTCAACACAGTTACAGAGTGAATCAGTGACTAGGAAGAATAATATAAAGAAATTAGCTAGAATGAAGCTAAAATATACAAGACATGCAGAGATAAGCAAGGTAGAGATGATTAACATGTCAAATTATAGTTCTAGTTTTCGCTACTTTCCAAATTTTCTTTTAAAATTCTATTTTTATAATCAGAAAAATCTTAATAATATTTAAAACAAATGCAAGCTTTGCAGATACTGACATGGAAGGTGCCCACTCTTGGGGCTCAGAAAATGAAACCAAAAATGTGCTGCTTTGAACTTCAAACTGAGAGTACCTGGGGAGCAGCAAATGCAGGGAAGAGCTTTCTCTAAAGTTCACCTGTCTACCTAAAGGCTGGATCCTCCAGAAGATATTCAACTGTTGTGAATCCCTTCCCCAGATATCTCATCAACCAGGAGAAACTGATGCATAGTTGTAGGAAGGAAGACTGGAGTTGACACCACACCCAGAGCCCAGACAGAATTGGTCCCAGGCTATTGTCTGTTCTTTGGGTCCATTAATCTCCCCTAAACATCATTTACCCTTCCTCTAAAATTTCCTACATCTCCCATTTCTCACTCTCGTATGAAGAGGCTATTTAAGCTTCAACCACCTGGTCTTTGTTTGAGTTTCAAACTTTGTGTGACACCTACACACTTGCATGTTAATAAATTGGTTTCCCGTTAATCTGTTTATCGTCTTTATTGTTTGTTGTTGTTGTTGTTGTTGTTGTTGTTGTTTTGAGATGGAATCTCACTCTGTCTCCCAGGCTGGAGTGCAGTGGTGTGATCTCAGCTCACGGCAACCTCCGCCTCCCAGGTTCAAGCAATTCTCCTACCTCAGCCTCCCAAGTACCTGGGATTACAGGCATCTGCCACCATGCCCAGCTAATTTTTGTATTTTTAGTAGAGACGGGGTTTCTCCATGTTGGCAAGGCTACTCTCGAACTCCTGACCTCAGGTGATCCGCCCGCCTCAGAATCCCAAAATGCTGGGATTACTGGCATGAACCACTGTGCCTGGCCTTGTTTTATTGGCTCAAATTGTTGAAACTTCAGGGGTGGAAAGGAGGTTCCTTTATTCCCTACATCACCATGATTTGGTGATGCTGGTAGTGGGGGGCTGTGGGTCAGCATGTATACTAGGATTCCATTTCTGTACAAAACTAACAATTTTTTGCTCATGTATACATAAGTACAGGCACATAGAAAATATATTTTTGGAGGGCTTCCACTTTGTACTTTATATACAATCTGTGTTTGATTATGCTCTAATGATCAAAAGATTTGTGATTTTTAAAATAGCATAAGCCTTAAAAAATAAATATAGCCTTTCAAAAATGTCAAAGACTAAATCTAGGATTACTTTCATCCAGGATTAAGATTGCAGGGGTAAAAATAAGGGGAAAGAATGGCCAATAAACACATGGAAAGGTTAACAGCATTAATCGTCAGGGAAATGCAAATCAAAACCACAACATAGAAACACCTCACGCCCATTAACAGGTCTATTATAAAAAACAAAAAACACCAGAAAGTACAAGCGTTGGTGATAATGTAGAGAAACTGGAACCCTTGTGCATTGCTGGTGAGAATGAACATGGCGCAGCTGCTGTGGAAACAGTATGATGGTTCCTCTCAAAGTTAAACATAGAATTACCATTTAATCCAGCAATTCCACTTCTAGGAAATACCCAAAATAACTAAAACCAGGACCTTGAACAGGTATTTGTACACCAATGTTCCTACCACCATTATTCACAATAGCCAAAAGATGGAAACAACCCAAATGCCCATCAAAGATGAATGGGTAAACAAAATGTGATATATACACACAATGGAACATTATTCAGCCTTAAAAAGGAATGATTTTGTGACACATGATACATGATACATGGATGAACCTTGAAGATATTATGCTAAATGAAATGAGCCAGACAAGAAAAGGACAAATATATGATTCCACTTATATGAAGTACCTAGAGGTTTCAAATTCATGGAAACTGAAAGGAGGATGGTGGTTGCCAGGGGCCATGGGGAAGGAGGAATGGGGAGTTCTTGTTTAATGGTACAGAGTTTCAGTTTGGGAAGATGAAAAAGTTCTGGTGACCAGTGGTGGTGATGGTAGCACAACAACCAGGATATCCTTAATGCCACTGATCTGTGCACCTAAAAATGGTTAAGATGTTAAGTTTGATGTTACGTTTATTTTGTCAAAACTAAAAATTAAGGGGGAAACAAGACCACATCCCAATAGAGAAACTCAGGTGGCCTGAAGAGGCCCTGGACACTGGCTCCCACCTGCAGTGTTTGATGAACTCAATATTTGAGTAGCGGAGTTTGCCCAGACTCTCCTCCAAGTACTGCCGGAAGCTGCGCAGGGACACCTGGGTGACATCAACATAGCTAAGCAACTCCTGGTGCAGTGTGTTGCTGAGAGTGACCAGCCTGTGGGAGACAGAGGAGGAACAGGACAGTGATGGGGGACAACCCTGGGGGACAAGGGAGGGGCAGGTGGTGATGGTGATCAGCCTGAGGGACAAGGGAGGGGCCGGTCACGATAATGACCAGCCTGGGGACACAGGAGGGACAGGTGGTGATGGTGAGGATCCTGGGGACATGGGAGGGGCAGGTGGTGATAGGTGACCTTCCTGGGGGCACAACGCTGATGGGTGACCAGTTTGGGGGGCATGAGAGGGGAGGGTGGTGACCTGGGCCTGAAAGGAGGACAACCTGGGAGTCTATTTGGGCTCCACAAGCAGTGCCCAGCTGCACAGCTTCTCTGGGTAGCAAAAGCGGCAGTAGAAGGAAGTTCAAAATTCCAGTGTCTGCAGGACACATTCTGGGTGTGCTGGATCAGAGCACATCAAATTGGTGAAAGAATCCCAGAAGATCCTACTGGATCTTTGTCCCTGCTCCAATGGGCTGTGTCTGACCCCCAGCAAGGTGGCTCCTGCACCCATGATACCCCAAAAGAGTGCCCTGCGAGTGTCCTCTTTACAACCAAGTCCACCAGAAACAGCTGTCCCTCATGTGCCTGATGGCTGCGTAGACACTTGCCAGTCTCCTCCCTGTGACCTGCCTGAGGCCTCCATCTCATAACCCAAATGGCCTCTCTGGAGCCCCTTGCTCTGCCCTGAGCACGCTCCTACACTGAGCTGGGCCAGTGCTCTTTCACTGATTGTGGAATTCAACCCTCTCCCATCTTTCTCCATTCAGGGCTCCTCTGAGTTCATCTTCAATGCTGCCTCCTGCAGGAAGCCCTCCCTGATTTTTCCTGAGGGGAAGTGGTCTTCCCCACCACTGATATTTCATAGCACATGGTGTGCACCCTTGCATGCTGCCTGTGCATATACTTTGCTCTCTGGCTGCTCACTCCCTGCCCTCCCAAGCAATATTCCACACAGAGTTTGACTTGACTCTCTTGAAGAGTTTAACTCAAAAGAAGGCTCTGGAGGTGCCTTCTGCTTTTGTGTCTACAGGGAGGGGGGCTCCTTTGAAAGCAGCAGCCGAACTGGGATTCCAGAGCCACATGGCTGGGGTGGAGACTCCCAGGACCCCTTACTTTTGGCTCCTGGTGGCATTCAAGAAGATGTGCTCCATGTCATAGATCTTAAGGCGGAAGTTTTTGCTCCTCACGTTTTGCTCTTCTTGGAACTGGCAGAACATCAGCCGCTTCTTCTTCAGCGTCTCGGTCACCCCAGCACAGTGGCTGTCCAACTGCTCTTGATGAAGCAAAAGCTCGGCTGAAAAAGGATTAAGAGAGCTGGGGCCCCGGGGACCCGATTCACCTCAGCACATTGCTTTCCTGGAACAAGGCCCGCCTGCTGCCTCTTCCAGGCCAGCTGCAGAACAGGAACAATTCAGGTCAAGGCCCCTTGTCCTGCCCCTGTTGCCTTCATCAGGGCTTGGGCTGGAGAGGAGGCCTGGCCATGAGCAGGGAGCTCCTGTTTGTGGAGACACCCTGCCCGGAGCAGAGGGAACACAGCCAGGAAGATGGAGAGTCTGGGAAGCAGCTGAGTAGCAGGCAGGATGGGCAGGGGGTGTTGGGGAGGGCTGAGATCTAGGTGAGAGGGTCTGGTGGGTAACAGCAAGTACAGCACTGAGCAGTCTGAGTTTGCTCCTTAACATCAGCGGATACTTATGTCCAGTGAGCCTGAATTCCAACTGTCTTCCAAGGTAGAGTGGCAAGAACAAGGACTGGGCTTCCAGAGCTCCATCATGGGCCTTTAAATGAGCAGAGAGTCCCTAGACCCCCCCGACCCCGACCACCTCCCATCTGATCCCACTATCATCTGAAGTTGTGGAAGTGCTGTGGTCTCAGCTCTGCCAAAAATGAATGGTGAGATGCTGGGACTTTGCTTCTCTGGCCTTGTTTTCCACACTGTGTATTGGGTCAGGGGCCGTGGGAAGGAAATGGAGCCAGCCTTCAGGGAGCTTTTACTCAGTGCACATAGAATCCTTTTTATTCCTCAGTGCATTTAGCACACACATTTTCCAGATGAGAACAATGAGGTTCCAAATGCCACACAAGTTGCCTGAGCCCACAAACGCTGGGATTCAAGGCCAGTTGTCAACTTGCACAACTCTTTCCCTGCTCCAGGAATAGGAGTTTGCATGGGTTAGTGATGGGGCTCTCTGATAGCTCTAAAGGGCTTTGAAGGAGTTGGAGTATAATTTGGGTGAAAAACCAACAGAGGTCATTGAAGGATCCTACTGAAAACATGCCCCCCCCCCGCCCCGCATTAACAGAGTCCACCACATAGGTGTGAAATGCATGTATTTTTAAGTATGATAAATGATAAAGTAGAAATAATGGCTACCACTTTTGGAGGCTGTATCTTGTACAAGGTGCTCATGATTCCTTACTATACCATTTTAAAAGGGTTTATCACCACCTCCTTAACACTTCTATCAACCCCTTCTGCAGGTGAGAGAGGAGTCAGAGAGGTCAGGTAAGCTGTATAGGGTCACACGGTCACAGGAGTTGAAACTGAGAGCTTCAACTCCCTGAGCTATGAGCTTGCCTCTAGAACATCCACCATGCAGGTGTGTATCTGACAGGTGTATGAGCAGATCTGGGTTCCAAGAGCTAAAACAGTACAACACTCTTTGTTTTCAACTATAACACCCTCTTGAAAAAAAAATGGAAATGAGAAAAAAATCTCACAGAAGGATTTGGAGTACTACCTTTTTCTGCAAGCCTCAGAGGTGCGAACCCTCATGTACATCTTCCATGGTGTGATGAGAACATGCTAAACATTGCATGGTACAAACTGGGGCAGCTAATGAACATGGAGCCGCGGTGGAGCAGACGCTGAAGGAGTGGCTGCGGGCAGGGCAGACATTCCCAGGCAGCATCTGTACCTGCCCTGACGTTGTGGATGTCTTTTTCAATCTGCTGGGCTCTTGGCTGGTGCAGGTGCAGATGCAGCTCCAGTTCTGAATCCAGCTCATTGATTTTGGTGGCCACGGTGACCCGGGTGTTGAGGGAACACTGGTCAAACCACTTCTCAAGGTGCTCGAAGAAGCCAGCTCGAAGTCTGAGGGCGAGACCAGCCAGGGTCAGCCCTGCCAGCAATCATGACCCATGAGAGGTCTTTCCATATGGAGACCCAAAGTGCTTCCCCCTTTCACTCATTCTTCATTTCATTTCCCAGCTACATTGCATTTCATTGTGTAAATGGACCATTACTCTTTTAACCATACCACTGCTGGAGGACATTATGTATGTCAGATGTAGAATTGTTTCTTTGGATAAATGACCTTGAACTGGAATTGCTGAATCAAAGGTTAAAATACATTTGTGGTTTTGGCAGATATGGCCAAACTGTTTTCCACTAGAAGGCAATTTGTATTCTTATCAGCAATGTTCCTATTTCTCCACAGTCTCAGAGTGTATTGTCAGACGTCTAAATTTGACAATTTTGTTATATTATGATTGAGACTGAGCATATTTTCATGTGCTTAAGATTATTTAGGCTGGGCACTGTGGCTCATGCCTATGATCCCAGCACTTTGGGAGATGGAAGCAGGAGGATTGCTTGAACCTAGGAGTTCGAGACCAGCCTGGGCAACATGGTGAGACCCCCATCTCTATAAAATATTTTAAAAATTAGCTGGTCATGGTGACATGCGCCTATGGTCCCATCTACTCAGGAGGTTAAGGCTGCAGTGAGTCATGCCACTGAACTCCAGCCTGGGCGACAGTGAAACCTTGCCTCAAAAAACCCCAAGAGTATTTAATTTCTCTTTCTGTGTACTGTCCATGAATGTCGTTTGCCCATTTCTCTGTTGTGAATAGCTGTTCTTTTTTTACAAATCAATTTCTAGGAGCTCTTCATATACTAGGGACATGAAGGTCATTGACTTTGATGTGAGTTGCAAATGTTGCTTCTCAGCTTATCATTTCTTCCTTTTAAAAATGTATGGTACTTTTTTGGCCATGTACTGTTAAGATGTCAGTTTCCAAAAACTGATCTATAGATTCAATGCAATAACAAGAAACAACATCGCAGCAGATGTCTTATGGAAACTTGAGCTAATTTTAAAAATTATGTAGAAATACAAAGAGCCAAGAATAATGGAAGGAGAAGACTAAAGGTGGAGGACTTACACTATCAGATATTAAGGCTTAATGTAAAGCTGTAGTAATAAAGCAGCGTGAAGTCATTGGATAGACACATAGAGAACTAGAAAAGACACGTAGCAGAGCAGTGGGGGAGAGGAGAGTCTCCTCATTAAGTGACCCAGGATCAACTGGTTATCTGTATGGGAAAGAAGTGAATCTTGACCCCTATTTCACACCGTAAACAAAAAATCAGTTCCAGGTGGATTTTAGATGTTAATATGGAAGTTGAAAACAATAGCATTTTAAATATATAACTTCGGAGAACATCTCCATGTCCTTGGGGGTAAGGCACAAAGTAAATTAACCCTAATTTAAAAATTGATGAATTGGACCTTATTAGAAATAAGAACTTCTGTTCATTAAAAGATACACCTTGAAAGAGAGTTTAAAAAGGCAAGTGCAGAGAGGGGATGAACATTTGCCATTTATTTATCTGACAAAGCCTTATATAGAATATATAATTTAATTTTTTTTTGAGACGGAGTTTCACTCTGTCTCCCAGTCAGGAGTGCAGCAGCACTCTCTTGGTTCACTGTAACCTCCGCCTCCTGGGTTCAGGCGATTCTCCTGCTTCAGCCTCTTGAGTAGCTGGAATTACAGGCACACACCACCATGCCCGGCTACAGAATATATAATTAATTCCCATAAATTAATAAAAAAAAGACAGAAAATCGACCAGAAAAATAATAGGCAAAAGATTTTGCTAGGCATTTCCCAAAAAGATAACCAAATGGCCCAATGAGTATTTTTAAAGGTATACAATATCATACTCATCAGGAGAATACATATTAAAACCACAATGAAACACCACTATAACTATATCAGAACAGCTAAAATAAAAACCACTGACAATACCACTGACGTTGTGGAGCGATTGAAGTTCTCATATGCTGTTATAAACTGTAAAACTGTTAAAAACCACTTTTGAAAACTCCTTGTAGTATCTTTCGGCTCTATCTCCTAAAGACGGATATGGACACACACACTCTGTGAGTCAACAGTTCCACTCTTAGTTCTATATGTAACAGAAACATATACATATATTCACCAGAAGACTTGTACAAGAATGTTCAGAGCAACATTATTGGTATATCCCCAAATTGGAAAGACCAAATGTGTATCAGTAAAATGGATTAATAAAATGGATAACATTTTTTTATAACGGGATACTATACAGAAATAAAAACTGAACCCTAGCCACATTCAATAATATATATGTCTCATAAACATAATAAAAGAGTGAGTTCTGTATGACTTAATTTAGATAAAGTGAAAAAATAAGCAAAATAAACTCAGAAGTTATAATATTTGTTATCTTTGGGGAAGAGAGAGTGGTGACTTGGGATGGGTACACTTGAGGGCTGGTAATGGTTCTATTTCTTGTGGGCTTTGGGTATCAACTGTGTCATATTTGGGCAATTCGTTGAGCTATACACTTATGATTTTCATACTTTTATGAATGCATGTTATCCTTCAGTATGCAAACCCAATCAGTTGGACAGATAATTTTTTTTCTGGTTAGTCATAAGGCAGATAGCATAGTGGTTGGTGCAAGATTCTGGAGTTACAGGGTCTGTCTGGATTCATATCTGGGATCAAACTGCTTCCTGTCCTGGATATCTAGGCCAAATGACTAACTCTCTGAGCCTCAGTTTCTTCATCTGTAAAATGGAGTTAAGTATGGTAACTCTCTCACAGTTATTAAGGGGATTAAATACACTCAGTAAATAATAGCTCCTGTGATAGTCCTTGCTGGCCTTTGTCCTATCTGCTATGGAGAGGGCAGATGATGGCCTCTGGTAGAGGAAGGAGAGGGATGATGTTTGAGTCAAGAGACATTTCCAAGGTGAGATGCTGCTCAGGTGTAGGAGAAAGAGCCCAAAGGCCTGATTGCACTCCTTTCATTCCTTGTCTCCAGCCTCCTGCCCATGTTACATACAGGAGGTGAATGAACCAGGAGATCTCTAGCTGATGAGCCCTCCTATGACATTGTAGAGGCAGGAGGACAATGAGAACGCCATCCAAAAGGCAAACACAAATGTCCACATTTGATCCAAACTCAAACACAAAGGCCCAGAAACTTGGGAGTTAGGGGAAGTAAATTCTCAGTGGTGGGATTATGGGTCATTTCTCTATTCTTCATTGTTCTTATATTTTCTGCAAAAAAACTCTTTGGCAGTATCTTTTGGTCATGTCTTCTAGCGATGGACATGGATATACTCTATGAGTGAACAGTTCCATTCTTATATTTTGCACATACTGAGTACAAAATACCATACATGAGATATTTATATTTATGGTGTATATCTATAGAATTAAAATAGAAAAAGAAAAGAAGCCTATGATTACAGATGTACCAGGAACTAGAACCCAAAAGTATCTGTCAGGGAAAACACTGTATCTTATCTCCAAGGCCCAAGCCAGCAGAGAGCCTCCTGAGGTGGGTGCAGGGGGTCACTCTCACAGAAGATATCTGTGACTGCAAATAATTCCTGGATTTTGCCATTTTTTATTGTGTTTCTCACCCCTACCTTCCTTCAGTTACCTACATTTTTTTCTTTATCCAACTGATACCAGCCCAATCCTTTTTTTTTTTTTAATATTTCACCTTGTTTACAAAACTCAGAACAACAGGATGAGAATAAAATAGTTTTTTACTCACTGTTTCTTAATTTCTAAAATTAGTCTCGATGGAATTGTCACTTGTTCTATGAACTTGGCACTGGAAGTGTCGTTGATGAACATGGCTGAGAAGGTGGAATGGGACTTCCTACAATGCTCTTCTTCCAGGGGTACAAAGACAAAATAAGTGTTTCCACTGGAGATTGTGAAGGACTCCATGTCCTCATAGTATATCTCCTCTAGACCCTCTTCCTTGTCTTCTTCCTAAGCAGGCAATAACACTAAAGTTGACTTGATATCATCAAATGGACTTGGGAATGCCAACCACAGGTTCCTTGATATCAGAGGTTGTAAACCAAATTTTGGGCCAAGATTATGGGCCGAATCTTGCCTAGGTTTTTTCGCCCCCCACACAGTGCTTTTAAAATTGGGAAGTTCTACACAAAAATCTGGGTTTCTAATTTCTCTTAAAACATCAGAAAATATGTCAATTCTGAGCCTGCATTCCCACATGGCATCTTTAGTTGGAGCTGAGTAATGCCTGCACCAGTCTTCATCATTTGTCATTATTTTACACTTGGTCTCCAGCCCTCTTTTCTATTACATACCTGTGGGCATTTGAGTTTGGGATTCCTGCTCAAAAAGAAGTCTACAATTTTTCCACAGCAATATACAAAATGATTCTTCTGCAATTCTATGATTATGAAATTCAACTTATTGTTCTGTGATTTTGAATATGTTTTGAGGACAAGATTTATTTTATGAGAGTTACTTCCCTGCACTCAAAGGAGAGCTCTGTCTGCCAGCTTGAATATGGAGCTTTTGAGAATAGGAAAAGAGAAGAAATAAACAGACCAAGGTGAAGCAAGAGAGTTTAAGTTGATCTATTCAATAAAGAGGAATTGAGAAGGAGAGAGAACCAGGGAGGCATAAGGAAAGCCATACAGTTGAAGGTTGAAGAGTGACTTTAGAATAGGTTGCAGGGATATGAGGAGAGGAAAATGAATTTTAGAAAGCATTGCTGTGGCTGGGTGCAGTAGCTTACACCAGTAATACCAGCACTTTGAGAGGCTGAGGCAGTGGATCACTTGAGGTCAAGAGTTCGAGACCAGCCTGGGCAACATGGTGAAACCCTGTCTCTACTAAAAATACAAAAATTAGAGGTCTGTTCCAAGATGGTTGAATAGGATTGGGAGGCTGAGGCGGCAGATCATTTGAGGTCATGAGTTTGAGACCAGCCTGGGAAACATGGTGAAACCCTGTCTCTACTAAAAATACAAAAATTAGAGGTCCATTCCAAGATGGCCAAATAGGAACAGCTCCGGTCTGCAGCTCCCAGCACGATCAACGCAGAAGATGGGTGATTTTTGCATTTCCAACTGAGGTACCTGGTTCACCTCATTGGGACTAGTTGGAAAGTGGGTGCAGCCCACGGAGGGTGAGCCGAAGAAGGGCGGGGCATCGCCTCACCCGGGAAGCGCAAGGGGTCGGGGGATTTCCCTTTCCTAGCCAAGGGAAGCCATGACAGACTGTACCAGGAAAATCAGAACACTGCCACCTAAACACTGTGCTTTTCCAAAAGTCTTGGCAAATGGCACACCAGGAGATTATATCCTGCACCTGGCTCAGCAGGTCCCATGCCCACAGAGCCTTGCTCACTGCTAGTCTGAGATCGAACTGTGAGGCGGCAAGCCTGGCTGGGGGAGGGGCATCCACCATTGTTGAGGATTGAGTAGGTAAACAAAGCGGCCAGGAAGCTTGAACTGGGTGGAGCCCACCTCAGCTCAACGAGGCCCACCTGCCTCTGTAGACTCCACCTCTGGGGGCAGGGCATAGCTGAACAAAAGGCAGCAGAAACTTCTGCAGACTTAAATGTCCCTGTCAGACAGCTCTGAAAACAGCAGTGGTTCTCCCAGCACAGTGTTTGAGCTCCGAGAATGGACAGACCACCTCCTCAAGTGGGTCCCTGACACCCGTGTAGCCTAATTTGGAGACACCTCCTAGTAGGGGCCGACTGACACCTCATACAGCCAGGTGCCCCTCTGAGATGAAGCTTCCAGAGGAAGGATCAGGCAGCAATATTTGCTGTTCTGCAGCCTCTGCTGGTGAAACCCAGGCAAACAGGGTCTGGAGTGGACCTCCAGCAAACTCCAACAGACCTGCAGCTGAGGGACCTGACTATTAGAAGGAAAACTAACAAACAGAAAGGAATAGCATCAACATCAACTGTAGGGTCCAGCCCCACAGGGTCGGTGGGTCTCTCCCCGTGTGCGGAGAGGAGAGAGTGTAGAAATAAAGACACAAGACAAAGAGATAAAAGAAAAGGCAGCTGGGCCCAGGGGACCACTACCACCAATGTGCAGAGACCGGTAGTGGCCCTGAATGTCTGGCTGCACAGTTATTTATTGGATACAAAGCAAAAGGGGCAGGGTAAAGAGTGTGAGTCATCTCCAATGATGGGTAAGGTCACGTGGGTCACATGTCCACTGGACAGGGGGCCCTTCCCTGCCTGGCAGCCGAGGCAGAGAGAGAGAGGAGACAAAGAGAAAGACAGCTTACACCATTATTTCTGCATATCAGAGACTTTTAGTACTTTCACTAATTTACTACTGCTATCTAGAAGGCAGAACCAGGTGTACAGGATGGAACATGAAGGCAGACTAGGAGCGTGACCACTGAAGCACAGCATCACAGGGAGACGGTTAGGCCTCCGGATAACTGTGGGCAAGCCTGACTAATGTCAGGCCCTCCACAAGAGGTGGAGGAGCAGACTCTTCTCTAAACTCCCCCGGGGAAAGGGAGACTCCCTTTCCTGGTCTGCTAAGTAGCGGGTGTTGTCCCTTGACACTTTTCGCTACCACTAGACCATGGTCCGCCTGGCAACAGGCGTCTTCCCAGATGCTGGCGTCACCGCTAGACCAAGGAGCCCTTCTGGTGGCCCTGTCTGCGCGTAACAGAAGGCTTGCAATCTTGTCTTCTGGTCACTTTGCACTGTGTCCCCTCAGCTCCTATCTCTGTATGGCCTGGTTTTTCCAGGTTATGATTATAGAGCGAGGATTATTATAATATTGGAATAAAGAGTAATTGCTACAAACTAATGATTAATGATATTCGTATATAATCATATCTAAGATCCATATCTGGCATAACTATTCTTGTTTTATATTTTATTATACTGGAACAGCTCGTGTCCTCGGTCTCTTGCCTCGGCACCTGGGTGGCTTGCCGCCCACAATCAACAAAAAGGACATCCACACCAAAACCCCATCTGTAGGTCACCATCATCAAAGACCAAAGGTAGATAAAAACCACAAAGATGGGGAGAAACCAGAGCAGAAAAGCTGAAAATTCTAAAAACCCGAGCGCCCCTTCTCCTCCAAAGGATCACAGCTCCTCACCAGCAACAGAACAAAGCAGGATGGAGAATGACTTTGACGAGTTGACAGAAGTAGGCTTCAGAAAGTTGGTAATAACAAAATTCTCCGAGCTAAAGGAGGATGTTCGAACCTAATGCAAGGAAGCTAAAAACTTTGAAAAAAGATTAGACGAATGGCTAACTAGAATAAACAGTGTAGAGAAGATCTTAAATGACCTGGTGGAGCTGAAAACCATTGCACAAGAACTACGTGACGCATGCGCAAGTTTCAGTAGCCAATTCAATCAAGTGGAAGAAAGGGTATCAGTGATTGAAGGTCAAATTAATGAAATGAAGCAAGAAGAGAAGTTTAGAGAAAAAAGAGTAAAAAGAAACAAACAAAGCCTCCAAGAAATATGGGTCTATGTGAAAAGACCAAGTCAATGTTTGACTGGTGTACCTGAAAGTGACAGGCAGAATGGAACCAAGCTGGAAAACACTCTTCAGGATATTATCCAGGAGAACTTCCCCAACCTAGTAAGGCAGGCCAACATTCAAATTCAGGAAATACAGAGAACACCACAAAGATACTCCTTGAGAAGAACAACCCCAAGACACACAATTGTCAGATGCACCAAGGTTGAAATGAAGGAAAAAATGCCAAGAGCAGCCAGAGAGAAAGGTCGGGTTACCCACAAAGGGAAGCCCATCAGACTAACAGTGGATCTCTCAGCAGAAACCCTGCAAGCCAGAAGAGAGTGGGGGCCAATATTCAATATTCTTAAAGAAAAGAATTTTCAACTCAGAATTTCATATCCAGCCAAACTAAGCTTCATAAGTGAAGGAGAAATAAAATCCTTTACAGACAAGCAAATGCTGAGAGATTTTGTCACCACCAGGCCTGCCTTACAAGAGCTCCTGAAGGAAGCACTAAAATGGAAAGGAACAACCGGTACCAGCCACTGCAAAAACATGCCAAATTGTAAAGACCATCAATGCTAGGAAGAAACTGCATCAACTAATGGGCAAAATAACCAGCTAACATCATAATGACAGGATCAAATTCACACATAACAATATTAACCTTAAATGTAAATGGGCTAAATGCCCCAATTAAAAGACACAGACTGGCAAATTGAATAAAGAGTCAAGACCCATCAGTGTGCTGTATTCAGGAGACCTATCTCACGTGCAGAGACACACATAGGCTCAAAATAAAGGGATGGAGGAAGACTTCCAAGCAAATGGAAAGCAAAAAAAAAGCAGGGGTTACAATCCTAGTCTCTGATAAAACAGACTTTAAACCAACAAAGATCAAAAGAGACAAAGAAGGCCATTACATAATGGTAAAGGGATCAATTCAACAAGAAGAGCTAACTATCATAAATATATATGCATCCAAAACAGGAACACCTAGATTCATAAAGCAAGTCCTGAGAGACCTACAAAGAGACTTAGACTCCCACACAATAATAATGGGAGACTGTAACACCCCACTGTCTATATTAGATCAACAAGACAGAAGGTTAACAAGGATATCCAGGACTTGAACTCAGCTCTGCACCAAGCAGACCTAATAGACATCTACAGAACTCTCCACCCCAAATCAACAGAATATACATTCTTCTCAGCACCACATCGCACTTATTCCAAAATTGACCACATAGTTGGAAGTAAAGCACTTCTCAGCAAATGTAAAAGAACAGAAATCACAACAAACTGTCTCTCAGACCACAGTGCAATCAAATCAGAACTCAGGATTAAGAAACTCACTCAAAACCGCACAACTCCATGGAAACAGAACAACCTGCTCCTGAATGACTACCAGGTAAATAACGAAATGAAGGCAGAAATAAAGATGCTCTTTGAAACCAATGAGAACAAAGACACAATGTACCAGAATCTCTGGGACACATTTAAAGCAGCGTGTAGAGGGAAATTTATAGCACTAAATGCCCACAAGAGAAAGCATGAAAGATCTAAAATTGACACCCTAACATCACAATTAAAAGAACTATAGAAGCAAGAGCAAACAAATTCAAAAGCTAGCAGAAGGCAAGAAATAGCTAAGATTAGAGCAGAACTGAAGGAGATAGAGACACAAAAAACCTTTCAAAAAATCAATGCATCCAGGAGCTGGTTTTTTGAAAAGATCAACAAAATTGGCAGACCTCTAGCAAGCCTAATGAAGAAAAGAGAGAAGAATCAAATAGACTCAATAAAAAATGATAAAGGGGATATCACCACCTATCCCACAGAAATACAAACTACCATCAGAGAATACTATAAACACCGCTATGCAAATAAACTAGAAAAACTAGAAGAAATAGATAAATTCCTGGACACATACTCCCTTCTAAGACTAAACCAGGAAGAAGTTGAATCCCTGAATAAACCAATAACAGGCTCTGAAATTGAGGCAATAATTAATAGCCTACCAACCAGAAAAATGTCCAGGACCAGATGGATTCACAGCCGAATTCTACCAGAGGTACAAAGAGGAGCTAGTACCATTCCTTCTGAAACTATTCCAATCAATAGAAAAGGAGGGAATCCTCCCTAACACATTTTATGAGGCCAGCATCATCCTGATACCAAAGCCTGGCAGAGACACAACAAAAAAAGAGAATTTTAGACCAATATCCCTGATGAACATCAATGCAAAAATCCTCAATAAAATACTGGCAAAACGAATCCAGCAGCACATCACAAAGCTTATCCACCAAGATCAAGTTGGCTTCATCCCTGGGATGCAAGGCTGGTTCAACATACGCAAATCAATAAACGTAATCCATCACATAAACAGAACCAAAGACAAAACCCACATGATTATCTCAATAGATGCAGAAAAGGCCTTCGACAAAATTCAACAGCCTTCATGCTAAAAGCTCTCAATAAACTAGGTATTGATGGAACATATCTCAAAATAATAAGAGCTATTTATGACAAACCCACAGCCAGTATCATACTGAATGGGCAAAAACTGGAAGCATTCCCTTTGAAAACTGGCACAAGACAGGGATGCCCTCTCTCACCACTCCTATTCAACATAGTGTTGGAAGTTCTGGCCAGGGCAATCAGGCAAGAGAAAGAAATAAAGGGTATTCAATTAGGAAAACAGGAAGTCAAATTGTCCCTGTTTGCAGATGACCTAATTGTATATTTAGAAAACCCCATTGTCTCAGTCCAAAATCTCCTTAAGCTGATAAGCAACTTCAGCAAAGTCTCAGGATACAAAATCAATGTACAAAAATCACAAGCATTCTTACACACCAATAACAGACAAACAGAGAGCCAAATCATGAGTGAATTCCCATTCACAATTGCTACAAAAAGAATAAAATACCTAGGAATCCAACTTAAAAGGGATGTGAAGGACCTCTACAAGGAGAACTACAAACCACTGCTCAAAGAAATAAAAGAGGACACAAACAAATGGAAGAACATTCCATCCTCATGGATAGGAAGAATCAATATCGTGAAAATGGCCATACTGCCCAAGTTAATTTATAGATTCAATGCCATCCCCATCAAGCTACCAATGACTTTCTTCACAGAATTGGAAAAAACTACTTTAAAGTCTATATGGAGCCAAAAAAGAGCCTGCATTGCCAAGACAATCCTAAGCAAAAAGAACAAAGCTGGAGGCATCACGCTACCTGACTTCAAACTATACTACAAGGCTACAGTAATCAAAACAGCATGGTACTGGTACTAAAACAGAGATACAGACCAATAGAACAGAACAGAGGCCTCAGAAATAATACCACACATCTACAACCATCTGATCTTCAACAAACCTGACAAAAACAAGCAATGGGGACAGGATCTCCTGTTCAGTAAATGATGCTGGGAAAACTGGCTAGCCATATGTAGAAAGCTGAAACTGGATCCCTTCCTTACACCTTACACAAAAATTAATTCAAGATGGATTAAAGACTTAAATGTTAGACCTAAAACCATAAAAACCCTAGAAGAAAACCTAGGCATTACCATTCAGGACATAGGCATGGGCAAGGACTTCATGACTAAAACACCAAAAGCAATGGCAACAAAAGCCATAATTGACAAATGGGATCTAATCAAACTAAAGAGCTTCTGCACAGCGAAAGAAACAGGCAACCTACAGAATGGGAGAAAATTTTTGCAATCTACCCATCTGACAAAGGGCTAATATCCAGAATCTACAAATAACTTAAACAAATTTACAAGAAAAAATCAAACAACCCCATTAAAAAGTGGGCAAAGGATATGAACAGACACTTTTCAAAAGAAGACATTTATGCCGCCAACAGACACATGAAAAAACGCTCGTCATCACTGGTCATCAGAGAAATGCAAATCAAAACCACAAAGAGATACCATCTCACACCAGTTAGAATGGCAATCATTAAAAAGTCAGGAAACAACAGGTGCTGGAGAGGATGTGGGGAAATAAGAATGCTTTTACACTGTTGGTGGGAGTGTAAACTAGTTCAACCGTTGTGGAAGACAGTGTGGCGATTCCTCAAGGATCTAGAACTAGAAATACCATTTGACCCAGTGATCCCATTACTGGGTATATACTCAAAGGATTATAAATCATGCTACTATAAAGACACATGCACATGTACGTTTATTGCGGCACTATTCACAATAGCAAAGACTTGAAACCAACCCAAATATCCAGAATGATAGACTGGATTAAGAAAATGTGGCACATGTACACCATGGAATATTATGCAGCCATAAAAAAGGATGAGTTCATGTCCTTTGTAGCAACATGGATGAAGCTGGAAACCATCATTCTGAGCAAACTATCGCAAGGATAGAAAACCAAACACTGTATGTTCTCACTCATAGGTGGGAATTGAACAATGAGAACACTTGGATACAGGGTGGGGAACATCACACACCAAGGCCTGTTGTGGGGTGGGGGAATGGGGGAGGGATAGCATTAGGAGAAACACCTGGTGTAAATGACGAGTTGATGGGTGCAGCAAACCAACATGGCACATGTATACATATGTAACAAACCTGCACATTGTGCACATGTACCCTAGAACTTAAAGTATTAAAAAAAAAAGTTTTAAAATAAAAAAAGAAGAAATGGGAAAGAGTTTTTAATAGAGCAAAAGAAGGAAGAAAGCTAACATGGAAAGTCTTACTTTCAAAAAATAAAACAGGCTGGGTGTAAAAATGTGTGAGGGACTGGTAATTTCAATACAATATTACATAAGCTGAGATTTAATTTAATGAAATGTACCTGCTATTGTATCCAGAACAGTACTAGACATGAGAGAAATGTTTAAAATTTAGACCTTCTCTTCAAGATATATAATCTCTCTGAGAGAAGTGTGCATTCATGGATAACCATTCAAAGTAAGCTGCTAAGACAACAGAGAGTTGCTTCGGAGGTGTACATAATTCTACCCTTTGAAACTTTCTTGGTGGCACTGTTAAAGATGAAAGTCTAACGAGTAGACTATGTTTGGCCCTATGATTTTGTTCCTTATGTTACCATATTCTCAATGAAAACTATAAATAATGTAAACTATAATTTTCTGTTTCCCTATGACTCGACATTTCATCAGTGGGAAAAAATAGCCTATATAGGAAAACAGGAAACGTTAGCAAAAATGCAACTTAATATTATAAGGACATACATAGCCCTAAAGGGACATGTAGCAGAGCATAAAGGTGTATGTACTGGAAGGCCAGCATAGTAGCATTGGTTTGAGAAGGCAGTTAGCTTAGTGACAAAGAAGAACATGGATCCTGGAGTCAGGCTACCAGGGTTTGGAGCTTGGCTTTGGCATAGAAAAGTTGTTTAGCTTTGATAACTCTCAGATTCGTTGTCTATACAATGAGGATAAATGTAGTATCAACCTTACAGATTAGTCATGCAGATTAAATCATGTAATCCATGTAAAGTCCACAAAATGCCAGGCACATGACAAACACTCCTTAAAATACTGGCTATTGCTAATAACGGCTCCCTAGGGCTAAGTCGTATAATATAAAAAGAGTCCCAGCTTTTCCATTAGTAGCTGAGTGAGTTTGTGGAGTCCCTTATCTCTAGGATAGGAGCATTGTTTTGCATGCTTCTAAAAAGAGAATAATTAATAATATTTGCCTCACAGTGAAAATTTTACTGGGAAACAGAATAAGAACATGTATGCAAAAATACTTTGTAATAAGTAAAATGTTAAACATATATGGGTTATTATTTCACTTAACAATTCCCTTGTTCCCCCTTTAAAGAAAAAAAAAATACAAAAATTAGCCGGGTGTGGTAGTACACACCTGTAGTTCCAGCTACTTGGGAGGCTGAGGCAGGAGAATCACTTGAACCTGGGAGGCAGAGGTTGCAGTGAGCTGAGATCACACCTCTGCACTCCAGCCTGAGTGACAGAGTGAGACTCCATCTCAAAAAAAAAATAATTAAAAATGTTTTAAAAATGAAAAGCATTACTCTGAGTAAAGAATTGGATCACTGTTAGCAAAAAATAAAAAAGTATTAATACATTATCACTGACCCCGCAGAAATACAAAAAAAAACTCCAACAGCCATCAGACTACTATGAACACCTCTTTGCACACAAACTAGAAAATCTAGAAGAAATGGATAAATTCATGAACACATATACCTCCCAAGACTGAACCAGGAAGAAACTGAATCCCTGAACAGACTAATAATGAGCTCCAAAATGGAATCAATAATAAATAGCCTACAAACCAAAAAAAAAAAAAAAAAAAAAAAAAACCCAAACCCAGGACCAAATGGATTCACAGCCAAATTCTACCACATGTACAAAGAGCTGGTATCACTTCTGCTGAAACTATTCCAAAAAGTTGAGGAGTACAGGCTCCTCCCCAACTCATTCTATGAAGCCGGAATCACGCTGATGCCAAAACCTGGCAGAAACACAACAAACAAAGAAAATTTCAGGCCAATATCCTTGATTAACATTGATGCAAAAAATCCTTAACAAAATACTAGCAAGCTGAATCCAACAGTACATCAAAAAGCGAATTCACCATGATCAAGTAGGCTTTATCCCTGGGATGCAAGGTTGGTTCAACATTTGCAAATCAGTAAATGTGATTCATCACATAGACAGAACTAAAAACAAAAACCACATGATTATCTCAATAGACACAGAAGAGGCTTTTGATAAAATTCAACACCCCTTCATGTTAAAAACCCTCAACAAACTAGGCATTGAAAGAACATACTTCAAAATAGTAAGAGCCATCTATAACAAACCCAGAGCCAACATACTGATTGGGCAAAAGATGGAAGCATTCCCCTTGAAAACCAGCACAAGACAAGGAGGCCATCTTGCACCACTCCTATTCAACTAGTATTGGAAGCCCTGGGCAGAGTAATCAGGCAGGATAAAGAAATAATAGGCATCCAAATAGGAAGAGAGGAAGTCAAACTATCCTGTTTGCAGATGACATTCTATAGCTAGAAAACCCCATGGTCTCTTCCCCAGAGCCCCTTGATCTGATACACAACTTCAGCAAAGTTTCAGAGTACAAAAGCAACATACAAAAATCAGTAGCATTCCTACACACCAACAACATCTAAGCCGAGAGCCAAATCAGGAAAGCAATCCCATTCACAATCACCACAAAAAGAATAAAATACCTAGGAATACAGCTAACCAGGAGGTAAAAGGTCTCTACAATGAGAATTACAAAACACTGCTCAAAGAAATCAGAGATGACCAAACAAATGAAAAACCATAAACATCCCATGTTCATGGATAGGAAGAGTCAATATCTTTAAAATGGCCATACTGCTCAAAGCAATTTACAGATTTGATGCTATTCCTATCAAACTACTAATGACATTCTTCACAGAATCAGAAAAACTATTTTAAAATTTATATGCAATAAAAAAAGAGCCTGAATAGCAAAGGCAATCCTAAGTAAAAAGAGCACAGCTGGAGGTATCATGTTACTTGACTTCAAACTATACTACAGGTCTACAGTAATCAAAACAGCATAATACAAGCACAAAAACAGACACACAGACCAATGGAATAGAATGCCTCACACCTAAACCATCTGATCTTCAACAAAGCTGACAAAAACAAGCAGTGAGGAAATGACTACCCATTTAATAAATGGTGCTGGGTAGCCATATGCAGAAGATTGAAACTGGACCCCTACCTTATACCACATACAAAAATCAACTCAAGATGAATTAAATACTTAAATGTAAAGCCTAAAACTATAAAAACCCTGGAAGATAAAATAAGAAATACCATTCTGGACATAGGACTTGGCAAAGATTTCATGATGAAGATGCCAAAAGCAATTGCGACAAAAACAAACATTGACAAATGGACCTAATTAAACTAAAGAGCTTCTGCACAGCAAAAGAAACTATCAACAGAGTAAACAGACAACCTACAGAATGGGAGAAAATAATTGCAAACTATGCATCTGACAAAGGTCTAATATCCAGAATCTATAAAGAATTTAAATTAACAAGCAAAAACCAAACAACCCTATTCAAAAGTGGGCAAAGGACACAAACAGACACTTTTCAAAAGTAGACATACATGTGGCCAACCAGTATATGAAAAGGTGCTCAACATCACTAATCATTAGAGAAATGCAAATCAAAACCACAATGAGATACCATCTCATAACAGTCAGAATGAATATTATTAAAAAGTCAAAAAACAACAGATGCTGGCAAGATTGCAGAGAAAAGGGTATGCTTATTCACTGCTGGTGGGAGTGTATTCCAGTGTGGCAATTTCTCAAAGAACTTAAAACAGAACTACCTTTTGACCCCACAGTCCCATTATTGTGTATATACCCAAAGGAATGTAAATCATTCTACCATAAAGACACATGCATGCATATATATTCATTGCAGCACTATTCACAATAGCTAAGACATGGAATCAACCTAAACGCCCATTGACAGTAGGACTGGATAAATAAAATGTGGTACATATAAACCATGGGATACTATGCAACCATAAAAAGAATGGGATCATGTCCTTTGCAGCAACATGGATGGAGGCCATTATCCTAAGCAAACTAACAAAGGAACAGAAAACCAAATACTGCATGTTCTCACTTTTAAGTGGGAGCTAAACAAAGAACACATGGATACTAGGAGGCGAACAGCAGATACTGGGAACTATTTGAGGGTAAAGCGTGGGAGCAGGGAGAGGATCAGAAAAAAAAACAACAACTATTGGGTACTATGCTTATTAGCCCGCTGACAAAATTATCTGTAAATCAAACCCCCATGATACATAGTTTACCTAAATAACAAACTTGCACATGTACCCCTGAACCTAAAATAAAATTTTTTTAAAGTATGAATAGTATGAATATTTTTGTAATTCTCTTTCTGCACCTCTATGGAGACTGGGCCACTGAAGACCCCAGCTTACACTAGGGATAAACACAAAATGAGCATAGCAAACTTTCTCTATGCCCAAGAATGAATCAGTTGCTGGCTTACCTCACCCACAGATAAACTCTCTTGCTCTTCCTGTGCCTCCTTCTCCTCCTTCTCTTCCTCCAGCTTCTCCTCCTCCTCCTCTTCCTCCTTCTCATCTTCCTCCTCTGACTCCTCCTTCTTTTCTCCTTGACCCTTCACATTCTCCTCATTCAGGGATGGGTTTAAGGAGCCCTCTCTTTCAACCTGCATTTCTTCCAGTCCCTGAATAGAGCCTTCTTTGGACTCATCCATCTTAGCATGCAGTGGAGATTTTTTCTGCTGCCCCAGCACCTCTTCAGTTATGAAGGACTCCATTTCTTGATCGTTTTCTTCTTCCACCTCTTCTACTGACCTGGCAGTACTTGTCCCACTACTTATGCTTTCCTCACTTCTGGTCATGTCCTCTTTAGACCCTTGCTTCTTCCTCAGTTTTTTCACTCTCTTCTGGGAGGGTTTTTCATGTGCTTCTGTTGATGATAAACACCAAAGCACAAGGAGAGACAATTTACTGATGCTGCCTGGATTGGGCCTCCCAACCCACAAACGCGTAAGAGTGAAGTCTGGGAGAATAAAACTTGAATTGAAAAAGTGTTACCTGGTTGCCTGAATTTGAAAATGACTTCTCCAGCCAAGTTCTACAAGGAAAAACCAAGAGTCACTGAAGGACCTGCACTGCCTTTCTTCAGAGTGCCCCCCACCTTTTTTTTTTTTTTTTTTTTTTTGAGAGGAGTCTGGCTCTGTTGCCAAGGCTGGAGTGCAGTGGCGCGGTCTTGGTTCGCTGCAAGCTCCGCCTCCCAGGTTCACACCATTCTCCCGCCTCAGCCTCCCGAGTAGCTGGGACTATAGGCGCCAGCCACCACGCCTGGCTAATTTTTTGTATTTTTAGTAAAGACAGGGTTTCACCGTGTTAACCAGGATGGTCTCCATCTCCTGACCTCGTGATCCGCCCGCCTCGGCCTCCCAAAGTGCTGGGATTACAGGCGTGAGCCACCGCACCCAGCCCAGAGTGCCACTTTTAAGTAAAAGGACCCATCCCTCCCCTTTAATATCTGATGCAGGCCTTGACCAACTTAGTTCCCTGGGGTAATTGGGTTGTTCTCAATCCTAGGAACCAGTTTTTCTTAATTCCAAGAAGGCTAGCAAACCCTTATAGCACACAATGGGTAATCATGGAATTAAAGCTCATTATGATATATTTTTTGGCAGTGATCTGGAGCAAAGGGCAAGAAAAATATAAACTGAGGGATGCAAACAAAGGGCAGAAATCTGCTGCATTCTGTGCTAGATGGAACAGACACAACAGGCATGATTTACATGATCCTGAGAGCCCCCTTGTAAACCCTGCAAATTTCCTGTTTCACAGGCTCTGGGTGAAGTTTTGGATATTCTGTGTTATGGATAACAGTGCAGGCTGTGGAATTTGCAGGTCTGGATTTGATTCCCAGCTCCTGACAAGCTAAGTGATCTTGGGCAAGTCCTCTACACCCTATGGGGCTTAGTGTTATCTTCCATGAAATGGAGATCATAATGGTGCCTATACCTTTAACCCAGGTGATCCAAATGATCTCAAAGGGCAGGCAATAAGTTCGCCATCCTATAGCTTGAGCTTCCCTCTCAACCTAGGTGGCACAGGGAGCAGCTATTAGCAATCTAAACAGGAATCTCTTCTGGGAGGAGAGATGCTCAGGGAAGGAGCCAGGTGTCCTGTATATGTGGGAAACCTTTGGCCAGGTTCAGTGGCAACCATGAGTATTTCCATTCAGGCCAGGCAGGACTATGGCTGGTGTGCGGGAAAAGAGCCAAACTCTGGGGGATTCAAACCAGGGAATCCCAGGTATTCATGCATTTACCCAGAGAGCATTTATTGTGTCTGAATTATGTGCAAGACCCTTGTGCTAATGACAATCAAAATTGAATAAAAATTAAGGCATACTTGCCCTTTAAGAAATATATTATAGTTGGGTTCTCCAGACTCCTGTATTTGACAGCAACCAAGCACAAAAAAGTTCAGAGCTCTGAGAGGTGGCAGGGGCTGAGCAAGGTGAGATGAGGGGTCAGGCTGAATGAGTGGGAGCCTTTCTCTTGGTAGTGAATTGGAGGTATGGGTGGGTTTGGGATATGTGGAGACAGAGGGGTCCCAGCAGAGGGAGCACGATGAGGAAGGGCAGCAGGCAGGAGGCACATGCCAGAAGAGGGATGAGTCTGCTGGATGAGGGAGAGTCAAGGTGGGAAGCAGAGAGAGTGGGGCCTTTGTGGTTATCTAGGGACTGTAAGTTGGATTTGGTGGGGGCTGCACAGTTGGGGAGGGATTTTGCAGGAGAGTAGGTGGGTTAAAGCTATATTTTAGGAGAATTATGTGGCAGTGGTAGGTATGATAAATGGAATTCCAAGCACCATATAAATTAACCTTTTCATTATAAGTCCATTCAGGCTTGAGCCCTGAATTCTGAACCCTTCAGCCTCTTTTATACTGAGAAAGAGATGGTCTCTTTAGAGACACTTTCAGCTTCTTTCTTCTTGCATTGATTTGAACTCTGCAGCATTAGGAATGGCTTTCAAAGTCTAGGCAGATCATAACAAGAAGTCAGCCTCTCCCTTAGCTTCTTCATGAGTGGCTGGGTGTATCATCACCCTCTCCATACCTGTTCAAAGATTTCACGCACAAAGAAGTATTGGCTGAGGGCAGAGCTGTAGGAGTTGAGTTCTTTCAGCATGATCGCTGGGTACTCCATCACTTCCTTTGTCAGGAGGGTGTGAAAACATTCATACCTGGGAGGTAGGTAGGTAAGACAGGAGACCCCAGCTAGGAACCACACCCCTGACCCCAAGGAGATGGGCTGCAATCTGGCACACAACTCTGTGTAGAGCTGCTGTGTGGCTGCTCTTTTATAGCAGCAGTCCTTGGCTATGCTATTTTTCTGATCATACGAGAAATACATACTTTTTGTAGAAAGTTTGGAAAACACACACAAGAGACTTTTCTGCTTGTAACATGAGCTCCCTTTCCCTGTCCAGGGTCCTAACTCTGTCTTTGGTCTTAATGCTGTCCTCGAACTTGACGGTACCTACATTATTCCATCAAACTCGCAAATGCCCCAAGGTCCAGACTTCTATTTCTCAGAGAAGTAGACCAAGGCTCATAGGGTTACGTACTTGCCTAAAGTAATCAGAATTGCCTTCTGAATCTAAGTACTGCAATCAATTGGCAGTGTCGTTCTATTTCTGTGAACAGTCCTTACAGAATCAGCTGTACAAAGTCACAAAGATGCAAGAAAGTTCACAGAGAACTGCTTGTCATATTGAGAAATTGGAACCAATAGAAAACAGCTAATCAATTGAGGGATTGCTAAACCATTATGAAGTATCTACATTAATGAATGCTACAAGGCATTTAAAAAAGGAAGTATATCTGTAGTTATGGAACAATTTGCACGGTATAATCCAACCTTTATTTTAAAAACACTATGTATGTGTATATATTCATATATATAAATGTATATGCCCATAAAAAAGGAAAAGTGGGCAGGAATGAGGGAAAAAAATCTCTATATGTTTGCAGTGGTTAACTTCTTTTTCCCCCTTTAACAAGAATGTACATGTTTAAATTTTTTTTTGTTTTTGAGACAGAGTCTCACTCTGTCACCCAGGCTGAAGTGCAATGGCATGATCTCCTCTCACTGCAACCTCCGTCTCCTGGGTTCAAGTGATTCTCCTGCCTCAGCCTCCTGAGTAGCTGGGATTACAGGGACCTGCCACCACATCTGGCTAATTCTTGTATTTTTAGTAGAGGTGGGGTTTCACCATGTTGGCCAGCTTGGTCTTGAACTCCTGTCCTCAGGTGATCCATCCACATCTTTAAATTTTTAAAAGAAGGCCCCATGTTCTTGAACTTAAGCTGCATTGCTTTGAAACCTCCCTCCAAAAACTTTAAAAAATTCTCCCTGGAAGCTTCTTTGTTGGCTGAGAGTAGAGCTGCAGAGGGCCACATGCTTTCTAAAGTGAGAGGCACAATTTTCATCTTAAGCTGGCAGGCTCCTGGGCTCTTGGGCAGGCTGCCCTTGACCTTGAAGATGAATTCCTGACCATCCCTTCCTGCCTTCTGGAGTCTGGTTGGCCTACCTGGATTTCATGTTCTTCAGATAATCTTTGACCTTTTCCAGGTGAAACGCCAGTGTTTCTTTGTCACTTTGCTGCCTCAGTTGGTCCAAGAGCCTATCGAGGTGGGCCTCCTGCACCTGGAAGCCACCCCCAAAACAAGAGGAAGCAGATGTGACCTCCAGTGCTCACAGAGTGTAAGTGACCTGCAGGGACCCTGCTGCTGGAACTGAGGCCCAGGTGCCTCAGCAGACCCAGGACTTCCTTTCTACAAATGGGGTACCCAATCTGCCACCACCCTCCCTCTCTCCACTATAGCCCTCCAGACTTTTCTCTGCCTGCAGTGTTCTTCCCTGCCCACATCATACCCCTAGGGAACCAGCTCAGATGGGACCCCCTGGAGACAGGGCCCTCACACCCGCCCACCTGGTCAGGCCTGCACTACACCTGCTCCTCGCTCTTCTTCTCACCAGTCGTGCTTGAAATCAGAAGCTGAGTTTGTTCCCCCACCTCCTGGACTGTGTGAGAGCAGGCAAGGCAGGGGCCAGCTGACCTCCTGTGCAGGCAGGAGATTGCCCCAGTTATGGAGCTTTGAAATGATTCCCAACACGTGCACAATTTGCTACATGAATGACATGTTTGTCTGTAATAAGAACTTGGAGTGTCTTCCCCTTTTTCTTTCAGAATGTGATGTCTTATCAGACCCCATATAGGAGAACTTGGAGTTATTCCCCCCACTCACCTTGGGAATGTGATGTCACCCTTAACAGCCCCCCATATGTGAGTTAACCTTAACTACTGGACTTCGAAATACTCAAGAGTTTGACACTTCAAGAGCTTAGGCTGAGGCAGGTTTCACTCTGTCAGTGGCTTCTTTGAATGAGAGAGAGCTCAGGCTGTGATAGGCACTGGGGCTATGAAGCCATGCCACCAGCACCGGCACTACCCTCTGGCTTCCAGGGACCTATGTGCCATCACAGATGTCCACTGTGTTCGCTTGCAAGCCAGTTTCTCCTGAGAAACCGCACATAGAAAGGCACACCTGAAGCTTTTATTAGACTTCCCATGGAAGCCTGCATCCATCCTTATTGAACAACTAGACTTTAATAGCTTTGCAGCTCACAATGTGCCTAAAGTACCTTGTCTACTCCCTGTGGATGTATTCCTTTTGAGGTTGGTTCATGTTATTCTCCCCCTCTTTAAGCATTGTGAACCTATGAAAAAATTCTCTTTCAATGGCAATAAAGTGTGTGATTCGTGATACCATCCTTTAATCGTCTCCTCACTTGAACCATCTGTCTGTCTCTCATGCATGCTCTTAGAGACACATTTGGTTCCAGGAGATTTCTGCTACTCCCATCTGATCCCATGACCAACGTGAGCCTCAATGTCCCCATCTGCACAAATTTCATAGCTTAAGGTTCTCCATTTGGGTCAAGGATCTGTTTGAGTTCATTGCTGTTTGTGGTGTGAAACATGGAGCCCCGGGTGTGGGTCTCACCTGGCTCTCCAGGCTGTGCTTCTGCCGGTGCTGCTCCATCCTCTTCTCCAGCTCCAGCTCCTGCACCAACAGCTCGCTCTGGTGTGCCTCCCACAGTTGTACCACCTCCTGGAAATACTTGAAGAGGTGTGAACTCTGCCACTCTGTCTGATCTGCCAGAGTCTCGAAGGATTTCTGCAGTGGCAGAGCCCAGAGAAGGGACTTAAGGGCTGACAGTCCCAGGGCCAAGAAGAGGGCCCACCTGTGGGACCCCCTGTCTCTAACGACTGAACAGTATTGCCCAGACACCGTCCCTCAAGGTCAACTTCTAGGCCACACCTGTGCTCTTGGTCCTCCCTCCCTAGGGCAGCGTTTCAGGTCTGCCCAAGGCCCTGCCCTTGGTCTTGCTGACCCTCAAGTCCCATCTCTAGACATATCCTGTGCTCCACAAAAGTCTCTGACAGGAAGAAGATGGAGTTTGGGCCATTCCTAAAAACCAGGCTGGGCACTCAGGAGGCCACAGCAACACTGGCCTGGGCATCTTTCCTTCTGTGGAGTTCCCTCACTCATGGCATCTGGGCCAAACACCACACCTGCTGTGAAATCCTCCACACCACCCACCTTTTAAAAAAATGTACGTGTCTTATGCCCTCATCTGGGCCAGGGGTGGGCAAGCTGCCACCTGTAGACTAAATTTGGCCCTCTACCTGTTTTTGTTTGGTCCTGTGAGCTACACACAGATATTCCAGTTTTAAAATGGCTGGAAAATAATCAAAAGAAGATATTTAATGAGATGAAAATTACATACAATTCCAATTTCAGTGTCCATCAATAGTTATTGGAACACAGCCATGCCATTTGTTTCTGCATGGCCTAGGGCTGCTTTTGTGTGGCACTGGTGGAGCTGACAAGGTGCGTCAGAGACCTGATGGCCCACAGAGCCTAAAATAGTCACCATCTGGCCCTTCACAGAAAACATGAGCCAACCCTGGTTCAAGATAACACGTGTCTTGGGCTGGGGGCTTATTGTGCCTCCACAGCCCTTCAGTGCCCAGGGTCAACAATGGCCAGGGAGTGCTCATGGCATGGAGTTCTGCGCAGCACCCATGTCAGTGGGTGGCTGGGAGGAGTCCGGTGAGTGAGCTTGGAGTGGCCAGCGTAAGGGGGCTACTCTGAGAGGGGCTGACAAGGGTGAGCGGACACACTAGGAACATGCAAGTTGGAGTTCTTGGACTCTCCCTACAGCCCAGCAACCCCGGGGACCCCCAACCCCACCTCAGCTCCCCAGTGGAACAGTCCCCAGCACGCACGTCCAAGAGCTCCAGGTCCTCCTCCACTTTGCCCTGGAGTGCTCCCACCATCTGGAAGAAGAACTGGTTCACCAGGGTCTCTGCCTCCTCCTCAGTGAAGGCTTTCCAGTCCAGCAGCTGCTTCTGGAGTGTGTGGGACAAGGCAGAGCCTGGCTTAGGACTGAGGTCCCCACAGGCATCAGCTGCATCCTACAGGCCTCAGCGTTGCACAAGTCAGACCTGAGCTCCAGGTGAAGGGCCCTGCACCCCATGAATTCTGTTCCCCTTAGGGTCTGGAGGGCCAGGCATAAGCTGGCTGGAGAGGCATGCAGGAGCTCTCGGGAGGCTCCCCAAGTGGTGCTCTCAGCCGAACATGCTTCACAACAGTTAAGCTTTGGGGGTGGGGGCATCACTTACAGTCTTACCAAGGAGGCAGGAAGGGACATTCTGACTCAATAGTTCCCCTAACCCAGAGAACAAGTCACAGTCGTGCTTGGGTTTGGGAACGAGTTTACTGTCTCACTCTGTTATGCAGTGGGCAGGGTGCAGGGGAAAGTGGGGCCAGGCCTATCTATGAAGGGGGCGCATTGCAATAACCCCCAGGACATGACCTCCATTCATAAACAACGCCCAGTGCTGTGTACGACAGAGAGTCAAGGGTGAAGTCTGAGGTGATCTGAGAGCGCACACTTCATCTTACATGGGCTTCCTGGAGGAGGTGATGGGTTAAAACCTGAGAGATGGCAGGGATAGCTGGGGAGGGGATCTGGGCAGAAGGAACACCTTCAGAATGCCCAGAGACCAGTGAGCACCAGGCATTGGGGCTATGAAGCCATGCCATTTTCTTCCATGAGGAAGAAAAGCTTGGATGGAGGCTAAAGGGTGTGTGGGTGTGAAGTGGGGACATAGCTGGGGAGGGGAAGGCAGTGGGTATGGGGCCAGGGAAGGCACTTCAGGTCCTGCCCAGGATTCCTCTTCTCAGGCCTGCAGGAAGGGTGCCCACCTTACAATTCTGCACATGCATCAGGCACTCCTGCCATGTCTTCTCATACAGCAGGCGGATCCGCATCATGCAGTCCACGTGGTAGGTGTCTCCATGGGCAGAAAACAAAGCAAATCAGTCCAGAAGGAAGAGAAGATTAGAAAGGGGAGTGTCCCCTTTGCAAAGGAGCAAAATGCCTCCACAGCAACATTTATTTAGGTGAAGATCAGTGGTCCCGATTGAGATCAGGGGCTGGGGTCCCCTTACAAAGTTCCTGACATCCCAAGATAAGGATATCAAATGAAGAGCTTGTCCTTATCTGTTCTGAATCCATTCTGGCCCTAATTCTTGACTCGGTTTCAGGGCTGGTGAAATTCCTTTTGGGAAACTGCACCAAGTTGTAAACCAGTAATGAGAGTGGAGATCAATGAGCATTTACTGATCCTATCTGTGGTTCATCCCTGAAAAACGGAATGCACTAGCAGAATGCACAGAAGCTGGCTTTTTTATTTATTTTCTCTATTTCTCCTCCCTTCAGTTTCCCAGCTTATAATAAACTCAGTGTGACTCTGATGTCTAGGATAAGCAACTCTGGTTTAGTGCTGCTGGCAATTTCTAGAAACTGAAAGACCACACAGAGATTTTGTGGTGGTTGTTCTTTGTCCAGGGCTGGGGAGGAGGGCAGGGGGATGGCAGCTAGGTATAGATTTAGGATACCTGGGAGGGTTGACAGATGCTAGAACTGATGAAAAGAAGCTCTAAATCTGCTTCTTCCTGTCCCCAGGGCTAGTTCCTAGGCCAAGGTATCCACACCCTTCTGTGAGGCCACTGTGATGGGCTCTCCCAGGTCCCCCTGCTTCCACTACTGCATCCCTCTGGGCCATTTGCGCCCCCTGACATCATCACCCCCAGCTCAGAACCTTCCACTGAGTTCCCACTGCCCTCAGGATAAAGCCCAGACTTCCACATGCAGCCCACGTGGCCAGCAGAGTCCAGCTGCTTTGCATCTTCCAGCCTCCCCTCCCTGTTTCCAAAGGCCCCAGCCCTGTCTTGCCTCCGGGGCCCTGTACACTGTATCCCTGCTTGGAATGCCTCCTCCCTCTTGGCCTGGCTGACTCTTACCTCCCTTGCAGTTCTCAACCACTTCCTTGATACTTCCTTGTCAATGTTTCCACGATCCTGAACCAGCTGTGTCCCTAACTGTGGCTCCCATGGCTGGGGACCTGTTCATTCTCCACTTGCTCTGACTTCTGCTCTGGACTGGAAGTGCCGGAGGGCAGAGCCAGCTACTGAATGCCAGGGCCCAGCACAATGCCTGTCTGTAGGAGGCACTGAATGAATGGCAGCCATTGCTATTATTTAGGGTCCTGTGGCTCATACAGAAACACTCTTAGTATTATAAACCTGAGAGCCCTAGAAGCAATGGCAGGTACTACTAGCCAAAGTACCCAGGCTAAGTCTAGCTGTGACACTTCATTGGCTGTGTGACCTTGGGCAGGATACTTCACCTCTCTGTGCCACTAAACCCTTCTCTTACTACAAGAGGACAATGACACCACTGACCTCACTAGATTGTTGTTATCCTCTAAGGAGATGAAAAACTTTTTACATATCTTCTAGAGCAAGTCGTGGCAAACCTCATACAGTCTCAGTTGTAACTACAGATGTTCCTTTATTTACAATGGGGTTATGTCCCAATAAATCCACCATAAGCTGAAAATATCTTCAGTTGAAAATGCATTTAATATACCTAACCTACCAAACATCATGGCTTAGCCTAGTCTACCTTAAATGTGCTCAGAAAACATACATTAGCCTACAGTTCGGCAAAATCATCTGGCAACAGAGTACACTTGTTTACCCTCATGATCTTGGGGGGCTGACTGGGAGCTGCAGCTTGTCACCGTTGCCCAGCATTGCCAGGGAGTATCACACCACGTATCCAGGCACCACAGCCCCCAGAAAAAGAGCAAAATTCAAAATCTGAAGTACAGTTTCTGCTGAATGTGTATCACTTTCACACTACCATGAAGTCGAAAAGTCCCAAGTTGAACCATCCTAAGTCAGGGGCTATCTGCTTTCATCTCTGCCATTTACAGTGAAAACAGCCACACAATACATCAACAAACGAGGCAGTTGGGGGTCTAACAACACTTAGTTCCAAAACCAGCAGTCAGCACACACGCTACAGCCTGACTGCCCTTATTATAGAGCATTTTGAAACATCACCATTTGTGATTGAGGATTCTCTGTGTAAGCCAGGCACTGGACTACCACTGGACATCCACCCCACAAGTAGGGACCATTATTACTCCTCTTGCCATCCCTATTTTACAGAGGAGGACATTGAGGCTACCAGAGGCCCTGATTTTCCCAAGGTCACACAGCCTGGGAGGAGCAGAGCTGGGCATCAATACTATGTGCTCCACCTCACACTCTTGGGGCATGCCTCTGAGCCTTCCTCAAAGAGGGTATCAGAGCCATCTCTCTGTCTCCATGCTTGGGTCAGGGGTCAGGGGTCATAGGGTGCGGCTAGTGTAGCTGCAGGCTGGGCACTGAGGAGGGGAGGCCTTAGAAGGGAGGGGGGCCTTTTGAGCCCTCAGAGCTCACTTTTCCTGCCACACCCCCATCCCTCCTCCCCATGATGGCGGCGCCACTCATTTGGCTGAGCTTCAGCAAAGCAACTGCTTAAACAGTTCTGGAGAAATGCAGGTGGAGTCCTGCAGACGTCACTCACCTAGCTCCTTGTTCAGGGAGTTGAGGGAAGAATGCCACTCAGTCAGCTGAGTTTTGCTGTAACTGGGGGGCAGGAGGTCACTGGGAAGGAAGATACAGCAAGTAAGCCACACAGGAACAAACCGTTTACTCACCAAAATGGGTAGCATCTTCAAGGAACATAGCTCCAGAAAATCATGGATTTAAACACTGAAGAACAAAGGGAACTGCTGGGGATTTCCTGGTGCCAAAACATGACATGGCTGAAAGGTCTTTTAATTAACAAATTCTAAGTAACGAATTTGTTACTTAGATAAGAAAAGAACATAATTTTTCCAGGGGAAAAAACAAACTGTTCACATCCCTTGACCAAGGAAGCCTCCTTCTGGGACTTAATCTGAGATGGCATTATAGAATGCACATAAAGTTTATGTATTAAGATGTTCACTTAACAATGCTGTTCATAAACACACATGATGATTTAAAAACCTTCACATCAACAGTAGAAAACTAAGTACAGCAAATCCTCTTCTGAAGTCATTAAAAATAGTGTCATAAAAAAAGAATGAGATCATGGCCTTCGCAGCAGCATGGATGGAGCTGGAGGCCGTTATCCTACATGAACTAACACAGGAACAGGAAACCAAATACCACAGCTTCTCACAAGTGGGAGCTAAACTTTGAATACATATGGGCATAAAGAAGAAAACAGACACTGGGGCCTACTTGAGGGTGGAGGGTGGAAGGAGGGAGAGGATGGAGAAACTACCTATCTTGTACTATGCTTATTACCTGGGTGACAGAATAATCTGTACACCAAAACCCCACAACACGTGATTTACCTATATAACAAACCTGCACATGTACCCCTGAATCTAAAATAAAAGTTAAAAAAAGGACACCAAATTCTTTTTTAAATTTTTATTTTTATTTTAAGTTCCAGGGTACATGTGCAGGATGTGCAGGTTTGTTACATAGGTAATGTGTGCCATGGTGATTTGCTGTACCTATTAACCCATCACCTAGGTATTAAGCCCAGCATGCATTAGCTATTTTTCCTAATGTGCTTCTTCCCCTCACCTCACCTTCAGACTAAGCAGGCCAACTCCCAGCTCTCTGGCCCTGGGCTGGCCAGCTGGATCTAGAACACTCAGTGGGCACCCCACTGAATAGCTTTCTTATGAAACTGAAATCAGGGCTGGTTGGACCCACATCTGAGGAGAGTGTCCACAGCCTCCGACAGGTGCCTCCAGCCTCCAGTGTCAGATGCCTCTGACACATACCTCCAAACTGCAAAGCTCATGGAGCCACTCTGCTCCCCAGTGCCCTCAGAAAAAGGTCCAAATCCCTCCACCTGGCCACAGTTCCTGCGTGCTCTGATCTGTGCCTGCTCCTTCCTCACCCCCGTTCATTGTTTCTTTCAAGTTGCTTGGCAGCTACACTAAGTTTCTTCCTGCAGCAAATGGGCCATGGCCTTTCTTGTGAGTGGGGCTGAAATGGTCCAGGTGGCCAGCCCAGGGCCAGAGAGCTGGGAGTTGGTCTGCTTAGTCTGAAGGATGCCTTGGGGGACAGACTGCAGGCCACTTCTGCCTCCCTCACTGCACCCCAAGAAGCACCCCTCCTGGGCCGCCCCTCCTGCCCATACCAGATGGTGCAGAGATGCTTCAGCCGCCTTTGCTGCAGGACGTTCTGGGTCTTCAGCATGACCTCTAGCTCCTTCGTCACAGCCGGGGGAGTATGGATACTCTCACTGGCCATGAACTCACTGGTGGCCAGACATGTTGGCACCATAAAGGGGAGAGGAGGAGCAGGGCAGGAGTGAGAGAGGGAAAGAGAACCATGGTGACAGCATTCAGAGCCTCAGCACTCCTTCCCTAACACCACCCCCAGCCCCTTCCTCCCCAGACTTTGCCTCTTCTCTAGGACCCTAAAGAAAGGAGGGACAGAGGGTGGGTGGGAGAAAGCGGGGACAGAGGAATGGAGGAAAGAATGGAGGGATCGTCAGGTCAATGGAGCTCTGGCACCAACAGCATGAGACCAGCAGGCTCAGATTTGATGGGGTCCTGACCACCGCCTGCCTGCTCTGTAACTTTGGTCAAGTCCTTCTCCTACTCTGAACCTCAGTTTCTTCTTCTGTAAAATGGAACTCATGATAGTGCCTTTCTCGTTGGCACTTGTGGGCACTCAGTAAAATGATGCAAGCAAGCCCCCTAGCACTGTGCTTGGCTCATGGGAAATGCCCAGTAAACGGCAGCCATTGCTATCACTGTTGATGATGTTTGGCATTTATAACAGCTTCCAGGTGCCAGGCCCAGATAGGCACTTTCCATGCAGTATCTGGTTGGATCACTGAAACTCTGTCACAGGTCCATTAGGATGCCTGTTTTGCATAGGAAGAGACAGATTCCGAATGTTCAAGGGCTTGGTCAAGGTCACATGGAAAGGCAAGATGGAGGTAGGCCTTGGTACACTTTTCCTTCATCCACAGCAAAAGTGACACTTGGCAGAAGAAGCATGGACAAGGGACCTCTCTTCACACCTCCTCCCATGGGAGGGAGGAAACACGCTCCCCAAGAGTTGGGAAGTGTTTGCCTGAAGGATGTCCACTTGTTCAGGCCCAGTGTCCACAGGGTTATGAGTGATAATAAAGAGTGGAAATTATACAGATAATTGGATGAATGTTTTCCAGCTGTATGGAGCTCAGAGAATGGTCATGAAGCAAGGTTCATGAATAAAATATGAAACTGCATATACTCTATGGATCTAAAAGAGCCTGGGAGAAAATATACCAAAATATTTGCTGTGCTTCTCACTGTGGGGAGAGATTAGTGGTGATTTTTAATTTATTCTTTATACCTTTATCTATTTCTAACTTTAAAAAGAGCAGAGAGAAACAGCAGCATTTTTAAGTAATGGCAAAAAGTGAGGGAGAATGCCGCCCCTACCCTTTGCCAGCCCCCCTGGTGGGCTGGAGAAGGAGCTGTGTGGGCGGCACTGACCTGAAACTCTGCAGCAGGGCCTCCTTCTTGAGAGCCTTCCAGGTGTCCACCAAGCCTTGCCAGCGGTGGCGGCTGTCCAGCTCCTGCTGCAGGGTGGACTCCATCAGGTTGACAAACAGCTGGGCGAGAGCCTTCCGGTTGCCCAGCAGGGCATAGTTCATGACCTGTGGTCACAGATGGGCAGGGCTCTAGACAGGGCAGGGTCTCTCTCGGGTCAGGGCAAGGCTCAGTTAGAGAGGAGCAGTGGGAGGCTGGAGAGGGGAGGTGCAGGGTGAGGGCCAAGTGGGGTGGTTGCAGGGCCTGAAGGGGACTGAGGGGTCAGTGGGCACTCGATGAAGCTTCCTGGCACTGAGTAGCCATGGACAAGGGTCTTCCTTGAAGGCTTAACCACAGACCCTGACTGCATGAGCTTCAGCTCAGCTCCAAGGTCACTTCAGATGGTTTGTTAAAGAAGGTGAAAGGAGGCAGGCACTCAGTGAGCTCTAAGTGTTTACTCTTTTTTATAAATTTCTTCCAAAAGCAGAGTGCTCGTGCCATCAGGGACGAGCCACATATGGTTGTTAGGAGAACCGAGACCCAATGGCAAAATGAGGCCAGAGCTAGAACATTCTTCAGCAGTCCTCCCATGGCTTCTCACCTGGGCACCCCTGGCATGGGCGTGGGATGATCCTCCATTGCATGGCACTGTTTTGCCCTTTAGCATACTTGCCCCTGCTTAGATGAGAGTAACTTCCCCCATCCTCCCTGGCCCCAAATGCCTCCACACATTTCCCAAAGCCCTCCAGGGAGGTGGCAGTATGCTGGGGCAGTGGGTGAGAACCCTGCCAAGCTCAGAGACTAGAAATTCCAGTAATGCTTTTCAGTGGAGCCTGAGGCTTGATTTAGCTGTACTTCCTAGCTGGGTGGCACTGGCAAGTATTTCCTCAACCTACAGATCCACAGCCGTAAGATGGGGTTCATGCTATTTATAGCATAGGGATTTTGTGAAAATAAATGAGAAAAATGCAGGTAGAACAAGTAGCAAATGCAAGTTGTAATAATGAGTAGAAGCACAAGGAAGGGAAGCAGTGAAACACATCCGGGACACTGAAATCCTTGACTCTTCTATTGGATAAAATGTGCACAACTTAGGAGCCCTCGCTGATCTCAGAAGACAGCTACCACAGCTGGACCCTCTTTTATTATCCTCCCAACAAGTCCTGACAGGTATTACAGGCAGTCCCCGACTTACGATGGCTTGACATGATTTTTCAACTTTATGATGGGTTTATGAAGGTGTTAAATGCATTTTTGACTTTCTACATTTTCTACTTATGATGAGTATACTGGGATGTGACCCTATCGTAAGTGGAGGAACATCTATATTATCTTCATTTAACGACGCAGCAAGCTCCAGGCTCAGGGGCTGAGTCATTTCAGAAGCTTCCACATCTGGGCAGTGGAAAAGGCCTGTGCTCACTCCTTGCCTGTGCTTTATCTGGGTCGCCATGGAGCTGACATGGGCTGGACCCATCTGTGATTCAGAACACTGTCCTCTTTTCAGCCTACTGTGCTGCCAGGAGGCCCCTTTTCCAGCAAGCTCAGCTCACTGCACAAGACCAGGAAACCCACAGTGTGCCTTTGGGCAGCCAAAAGAGGAGTCCTCTCTAGCAGCAGAGGAGTTAGACTTTGCTCTGACCTTGGAGACATCATGAACAACCTTGAATTTTGTGTTTTCCACCCCAAGGAAAGCAGCTGTGGGGAGGGGTGCTAGGGGCATGGACAGGGGAAAGCAGTGGGGACAGAGCCAAGAGGCAGGCTCAGCAATGGGCACAGACCACTGGTAGGAAGAGAGGCAAGAAGAGGCAGAAAAGCCAGACATAGCAGGCAGAGCAGATCACTCATGAAGGTGGAAACCACCCTGAGACCACCGTAGCCCCCCGATGACTCCATAGTGTAGCGCCTATTGCATTGCACACAGTTGCTGAGACATGACCTAGTAGGTGCTCATTAACATCATCAGCGCTCCAGACGATAGCCCTATATTAGGTGTGCCTGGTTCAAGATGTCAGGGAAATATGAAATGTACTTTAGAAAGATCTCTATTGAAAAGAGAGATAGCAAGGACTACAATAGCAAGGACTCTGCTTCTCTACCTCAGAGGCCCACCTGAGCCCCTTAGAAACGTTATAGATGAGAAGCCCACCATTCCTGAGACACCAGACACCAGGCTCGGGGTGCCCTGGGTTCCTGGTCCTGCCCCTTCTCCCATGGGCTGATCCCTGCACAGGAAAACCACTCACCATGGCTTCTTCATTTATCAGCCTGTACACTTCGGGCCGCATGAGGTAGGAAGTTTTCTCTATGACTTCTGCATATTTCTTCAACACGCTTTTTAGCTAGAAATGACAAGGCACCATACTTAGTGGCTCACTTCCTGGAGAACTAAAAGGAAACAGAAGGATGCCTAATAAACCCGGCAAGTGACAGTCACCACACAGCCCACCTGCAGCCGACTTACTTTATCGGTTCGGGAGAACTCCAGCGAGTGCAGGGCCTCATCCAGCTCCTTAATCTCCTGCTTCCGGAGCAGTAACCGCCCGGCCACCTTATCCCACAGCTCCAGCAGGGCCTACGCAGAGAAGTTTGGGTCAGGCTAGGAGCCGGTGGGAGGCAGGGAAGAAGCAGGACCTGGGTGGGGCAGGCCCAGCCACGAAGGGACCCCTACTTGGATGGTGTAGTCCTCAAGGTTGGTGTCATTTTCCACCTTTAGGAAGAGACGGTTCATTTCTTCATCAGACTCAGTCAGCTTCTTCAAAAAAAGTCCCCCTGTGTCCACGATGAGAGGTTCCATTTCCTGCAACAGGCCAGGGGTATGATGGCCAAGGCATCAGCACCCCTGGGAAGGAGGGAGCCTTCCCTGTCATGGGGGAAGTGCCAGGCATGGTTCTATCTCAAAAATGATGATCATTGCCTAGACCTAACGAGTTGAGGCTCACTACTCAGCTCACAACCACGCCACACGCTCTGCGCTGAGCCCTCCTTCTTGGCTCATTTGATCCTCATCACAGTCTTTGAATTGGCTGCTGACATCGGGCCTAGCCTACGGTTGGCCCTCAACAAATATTCATTAAAGACGTGGCCAAATGAAAGAATGCCAGGTTTACTTCAGATGAGGAAACTGAGGCTCAGGTAGATGGCTTCACCAAAGCCACAGAGCTCAAGGGTGAAAGCAGACCTGGCATCTAGTTGGGACGTATGAAGAAACACGGCTGGAGAGCCTGTTCTTGGTGCTTTGGGCACAGAGCCAGCTCCAGGAATCCAAGGCAGGACAACACAGGTCAGAAAAGACTCAGGGAGAAGGGGACAAATGGAAATCTGGGGCTCAGGGCAATCCAGAAGGGCAAAGGCTGGTCTCGTTTAGGGAACATTCCAGACACCAGTGTGTGTGGAGATGAGGTCTCTGGAGAGGAATGAGAGCTGAATGGGGGGCAGTCCATAAGAGCCCAGCAGAGCTGGGCTATCAGCAAGGGGTGTGCCATTCTGCCCTTCATCAGAAGGACTGAGCAGGGAGGCCGAAGGCTAGGCTTTGGTGTCAGACCTGGAGGGAAGTTCTGACTTGGGCCCTTATGCACCAAGTCAGGTGAGACTCTCTGGGCCTCACTGCAAAAGGGGTAACAACAGCACATGACCTGTAGGGCTTTTCCAAGAACTATGGGGACCTGTGCCCACAAACACTCATAACAAGCCACTCAGGCACTCAGAGAGGGTTCCATGTCGTCTAAGGCTCTGTGAGCCCCTGAGGACCTCTCTGCTGGAGAGGGGGAGGAAGGCTGGGAGCCATGACACACCCACCTTTGGAATGGCACAGGAAGGGAAGAGAAGGGAGAGGGAGGATTCTCACCTTTCCCACCTGCGCAATCTCCTCCTGAAAGCTGGCCAGAGCGCTCTCGTAGCTCTTCCTCTTGTGTTCTGCTTGCCTTTGAAAGGTGCTGGTGCTTATCTTCTCAGGAACTGCGGAGCAACAACAGAGGTGATGAGGCTGCCTTCAGAGCTCTCAGGAAAAGGCAGCACAGGCAGACAGCCCCTGCACACTGAGGCCTGGCTCAGAAGGTAGACCCCAGAGCCAGGTCAGGGTGGCAGAGGCTTAAGGAAAAAGAGAAAAGATGACAGTGATTCATGAGTGCTAGAGGGACCGAGGCCTCAGATATACAGTTAAGAGCTGAAAAAGTTCCAAAATAGTATGCACAGAATGTTTTTTTAAAAAAAGTTCTATGGAAGCAAATACATATAGAAATGATAACTGCCAACACTTCCTGCATAGTAGGTATTGTTCAAACTCAGCTAGTCTTCATGCTGAGGCCAAGAGGTGGCTTCCATTCCTAGCCTCGTTTCACATGTGAGGAAACTCAGTCATGGGGGGTTGTAGAACCAAGTTGGCCAGCAGCTGAGCAGGGATCTGGGCCACTTGCTTCCAGGTCTGTGCTCCTGCCATATGCTCTGCTGTCCCCTTTATCCAGGTGGAAAGCCGGATGCCACGTGGGTTAACCGGGGGTGGGTTGGGGTGGGGGCTGGTGACTCTCTTTGGAGAAGAACAGGTGTCATGGTGAAGGGGAAGGTTTTACTTTCTCTTTTTCTCCTTCCTTTGTTTTTCTTCAGTGAGCGTGTATTACTTTTTTAATCATAAAGAAAAAAGGTTTCTATATTAGGATAAGGTCAAACTAGGACAATGCAGTAGGAAGGAAGAAAATGCAGATGAGAAATACTGTTGGGAACCTGCAAGAAAACGAGTGGCATCCTTTAATCACCTGTTTTGCATCAGTAACTGCCCTCCATGCAGGCGGCTCCCCTCCTCCCCCAGCTCTCTGCACAGGGGAGGACTCTTGGCTGAGATGCTCAGGGAGAATGCCCTCCGGGTGGCTGAGCCGAGGAACACAGTGGGAGCTCAGGGCCTTCCTCAGAGGAGTTGCCAGGAGACGTCCCCACCTCCTGCCCAGGTCTCATCCTGGCCCAGGACAGGCCTGCCTTGAGGCTGAATGGAGGCTCACCTATAGTATCCATGAGACCCCGCACTTCTCGGGCAGCGATGGTGTTCTCACTCTCTCGGGCTTTTTCCCTCTTGGCTCTTTCCTTTTCCCTGAGACACAAGCAGAGAAGAGTGAAGTCCCAGCTCCTGATGCCATCCATGGCAGCTCTGGCACATAAGGGCACCAAGGGGTGGTTCTCCAGAGGGACTGTGGGCAGCAGCAATGGACCAGGCACACCCCAATTCCAGAGAGCCCTGAGGCAGTGCCCAGGCTCCCAACAAACGCCGCCTGGGGTTCCCTGCCAACAGACACCGTGGGTCCCTAGGTGAGAGGTTGGGTCCCTGCCCTCAGGGAGCTTGCTCTGGCTCTGGTGGTCAAGTGTGGATGATGAGCCTGAGCCACTTCCCACCTGGGGAAACTGAGGATCAGAAGGGGTACGAGCAGCCCAGTGAAGCCAAATCATGCTAGCTCTTGGCATGCATCCTCATTTGCTCCTTCAGCAGCCCATCCTATGACGTACTTGAGGTAACCTCATTTTCCAGAAAGGCGGATGGGGCTTATAGGAACCACAGAATGCAACAGAGAGGAGACTCCAAGATCAATCCTTGTGACACTAAGGCCCATGGAATTTGGGTGAGGGAGGAGAGAGCTGGGGTTTCAGGAGGAACTATTTCAACAGGGAGGACCAGCAGGGTGGACGTGACATCAGCTTTGGAACTGGCATCTGTGAATGCCCTGTCCATGGGGCAAGCACCATAGAAATCCCGCAGCTCCCAGCAACCGCTGCTATTCCTTGGGCGCCCCATATGTCCAATACTTTCCAGTCAACTTCTCATTTAGCCCTCATGCAGACCTAGCAGGGAGGAAGCTGCTGGGCCTGGGCTGCAGCTGATGGGGCCCAGGCCAATCTTCTAGAGACAGGTCTTTCAGACCTTGTCATTCTAAATGCCCCTGGACCAAGGCAGCCCTGTAGGAGCTGAGATGATGACACCTGCTGTCAACTCCAGCTTCTTGGTCACTTGCTCCAGGGACTTGGGGCTTGGTTTATACCAGTGGTGATTTACCCCCTGGCCTGGGCTGGTATCCACCCACCCAGGAGTCTGCCCTGGGTGATGAGCACATAGGTGGACTGGCCTTAGCTGGCCGAATCTTCAAACACCTGCACCCTTTGCTTTGACGCCTGAGGGAGACAGGGTGCCCTGGCTCTGCCACTCATGTGTTCAGCCCAGTCTGGCCTCTGCTAGCCCTGCAGAGTGTCTAGAGGGAGCTGGGCCCTATGGGTAGTTCCTCTAGATTCCCACCTGGGACATCAGGCTGCCTGTAACCCTGGATGCCCACCTGGGGCATCAGGCAGGGTGATATGGGCTAGAGAACACTGACCTCGAGTCTGGGCTTGGGTGGGCCAGTGGATTTTTCTATCTGTTGGGAGTTCAGAGCATGAGGGTCAGGAGTTTTGGGGGTGGCTTTCCTGGGAAAATTCAAAGGCCAGGTCAGGGCAGAGAACTATACTCAGCAAGGGGTCTGTCCCTGCCCCAAAGAGGGTGAAAGGAACAACCAAGACAGGCAGCGGAGGCCTGCTTTCTATCTCAGAGTCCCAGGCCCAGCAAGGGTTTATGGCTTGTGTAGAACTCAAAGTGCCTAAGGGGAGCACCGCGCCTGCTCCATTCTCTCAAGAACCCTGGGAAGATCTGTTTCTTCCTTTTCCCCATAGCTGACAGTCAGAGCTCAGCGAACTGAAATGGCATGCTTAGGAACTTCTGAATTTGGAAGTTCACAAGAAACTCCTGATCTCCATGCCTGACCCCCGCCTGCTCTCATCTGAGGAAAATACATTTCTGCTGTTCACCCAGCACTCAGGCCAGAGACCAAGGGCTCTCAGGAGCTCTCTCCTCCCCTCCAATTCATCACTAGGTCTCATGGGTTCTGCCTCCAAGAGACACCCGAGGCCCACAGCTACTTTCCCTCTCACAGCCACCAACAAGGTTACAAGGACAACTGCAGTGTCCTGTGCCCTGGCCTTCCTGCCTCTTCTTGAAGCCCCCCACATTCTGCACAGAGCTGCCTGAGGGACTTCAAAAATGCAAATCAGCTGCTCACTGCAGTAAAGTTCAAAATACTGACTGTGGCCTGAAAGGCTGCTCCCAGCCTCATCTCCTGCCCTCTCTCAGGGTCCATTTACCTTCAGCCTTCAGGAGGGGGCCAAGACCACCTTTCTCAGAGCCTTGTCCCCATACTGCACCCTCTGGTTTCAGCTGATCCTCCTCCTCAGAGAGCTTTCCTGACCCCTGTCCCATAGCCCCATCCCCTTAATCAGAGCTTTTCTGCCATTGGGGGGATGTGCTTATTTATTTACTTTCGAGGTCTCAAGTTTCATAAGGGTGGGATCCCCATACCCAGTGCCTGGTCCTAGGCACTTAATCAATAATGACTGTGGGAGTGGGGGAATGGGGGCGAGAGAAGCAAACCATCCTGCAAGGTAGGTATTAGCCTCCCTGCTTTAGGGGTGGTACTTGAGACTTCATTCCTACAGGCTACTCATCTTGTGCTGGCTCTTTTTGAGTTTTTGAAGGCTCAGGTACCCTAGTGCATGGGGGTGAGGCATGGACAACAGGACCTACCTGTGGAGAACAGGGTTTTCCATGATCCAGTCGTTGGGGAGGCTGTGCATCCACTTCTGCTGTCGGGGAGACATCACCTCCCCTTCAGGAGTCTCCACCTTCTTCATCATGGGTATCCTGCCACTCTTCAGGGTCACAGAACGCTCTGCAGCCCGCTTCCTGGTGGCCGCCAGGGAGTGGACCAGCTGCACCTGAATCCAGGGAGGACCAAGGATGGGGGAGTGGTCAGAGCTGCTGACTTCCTAGCACTCTCAGGCTGATGGTGGCTGTCTAGAAAGACATCCAGAGAGCTGCCCCCAGGAAGGTACTTTTCAGGAGGCCTTCAGCCCCAGGTCATATCCCTATAGGAGAGCTCTCCTCCCAGTAACAGTCACTCAGCCACTTCAAAGAAGGCCTCTTTCTAAGAACCTTAAATGAAGATCAAGATGAACATCTCAGCCTTTTTTATAATCACAAGAAATTGGAAAAACAGAACTGACTAATAATAGGGATTGGCTGAGTAAACATGGTATGTCTGTTTGATGGAATGTTAGGCATTTGTTAAAGATGAGACCCACAAATAATTTTTTATAACCTGAGGAAATGCTTAGGAGATGATATATGGTTAAATATATCACTTACATGCATTAGAAATTATAGAATTATAGAAATTAGAAATTAGAAATTATAACCAAAACTATACCGTATGATCTCAAAATTTAAAACGCATAGGAAAAGGCCCTGGGGGAAGTATGCCATGAGTTAAGAATGGCCTTAGAGAGAGCAGGATCATGTGAGTGATGTAATTGTTGTTTTGGCTTCTTTATACTTTTATAATTTCCAGAGGTTTTACAGATAATTATTTAAGGCTTAAATTAGGAATGCAAATCCCTTTTAAATAAGCAGTACAGAACTTCAAAGGAAGAATTTGGGTCTGTGTGTTTCTTTTAAGATCTTGTTTTGTCTATACAGTGCTTTAGAGAGAACAAGGCAATTTCAACAACCTACACTGTTGTCAAGAGGGCTTTACTTTAATACAGTTATGGGAGTCCTAGGTCAACAAGTGGGGAGCTGCTCAGTATGGTGAAATACATGGGCGCCCACGGGCATAGAAAAGGGTCTGTGAGATACTGTTATGAAGAAAAAGCAGATTTCAAAACACTAGTACAGAATGAAACCTATTTTTTAAATACAAAAATTAGTCATGTTTTTATGCATGGGAAAAACAGAGGTCACCCAGTGGTTCCATCCAGGCTATTTCTGAGTAATTTACATTTAAAATTTTAATTTAAGTTTTCTAATTTTCAAGAACTGACATTCTAATTTTGTATTGGTACGATTTAAGAACAAGCAAGAATTATTTTTAAAATCAAAGTAATTTCAAAGCCCTTGTTTTATTCAATTTCCAGTAGGGAAGCCCTGGGAGGGAGGGAAGTTTGGAAGAAAGCAAGGGAAGGGGGATGGAGAAAAGCGGGACAGAGGGCGGCTCCTACCTCAGCCTGGAAGATCTGCTGGTAGGCTTTCCCATTCGGAACCTGGGTCACCTTCCCCACTGACGACATCTTGGCCGCTGGCTGGATGCCCCTGCCGGGAAGCCGTCGTCCAGGAAACGCGTCTAGGCTTTGGTGTCTCAATTCCAATTCCTGAGGTTGGGAAATCGCCCGTCCCAAACTCAGGTTCAGGTCCAGGCGGGACGACGTCTGGCCTCGAGGCGGCACCCCAGGGCAGGACTCCCCGGGGAAGGACTCTCTGCTGGGGGGTAGGCGGCTGGGGAACGTCGACTTAGGGTTTTAACTTTCAACGAAACGATGAAACTAACCTCAGATGAGCTCTGAACTCGAGCAGGAGGCCGGTTCTCCCCGCCGCGCATGGCGCAAATCCGAAGGGACTCTGGGAACGCGAATAATACAGGATTATTGCTTGTGCTTCACTCTGCCATGCTCTTCGGGGAAAAGTTAACGGCGCTCAAGGTGTCGGTTGGGACTGGAACTCTAATGCGGCGCAGAATTCGCATCCGGGACCCTAATCCACCCTCCATGGGACACAGGGAGGAGAATTGGAGGGAGAGAGTAACCTGATTCAGGTCACGCTAATTAGGCGCCTACTGTGTGCTGAGAAGACCCAACCAGCCTCTGCCATCCCCCTCCCTAGCCCGCCAAGTAGACTGAGCAGCCCCTGGCCGTCCCCCTGAGCCCGGTAGATTGGAGGGAGGCCTTGCGTCCGGCCTGGCCGCGTCCCCGCCTGCAGAAAGCACCTCTCAAGGCAGCCAGGGCCGGTCCAGCGACAACTGCAGCTGGACGCCCATGGTCTCCAAGGCAACGCGGAGGGGAGGGACTGCCCCGGCCCCGCCCACGCTTTTCTTCCCAGGGAGGGGAGATTGCTCTTAGCAATGGGAGCGCCCCACGTGGCGTAGTGAAACTCAACTATTTCTTTCAATGCCAGTTCCTCCTCTCTACAAGGACTACAACCCCAGGGCTGCCAGGAGCAGCACTATTAAATGTTCTGAAAGGTGGTAGGATATATGAGATGTAGCACTGAGCCATCACGGTCAACAAAGTCCATCCTAACTTATTTGCCTTGGTTAAAACCAATCTCTGCTGGGGGACAGCATACGGTAGTGTTTGCCTGTAAGTTAGAAGCTGAAAGACTCTGGAAGAAACCATCTCTTTCTCATTTTAAAAGAGGTTGAGAGCTCAAAATTCAGGGATCAAGGCTTGCCTGGCCAGAGATGAAAATGCTTGTGGTTGGCACTGAACGTGGCCTCGGGTTTCCCATACATATGAGACACCCAGTGCCGCCTTACAGAATCCCTCCCTTTGGCAGTGATATGTTACAACTGCTAATAAATGCTCCCTATGCCAATTTTCTAGAATGAGTGATTGTTCTGTCCAGACTAGAATCAGAAATTAAGAAATGGTGAGTATAAAACCCTTTTATTCTCATTCTTCAGTCCTGGGTTTTATTAACAAGGTGAAGTACTGTAACAAAGATTAGATTCATTTTAGCTGGAAAAAGAAAACGTGTAGGTGACTGAGGGAAGGGATGAAAACACAATAACAAATAGGTAATGTCCAGGAATTACTTGCAGTCTCATATCTCTTTCCCATCCAAGGAGGCCCTACTGGCTTTGGCCTTGAACACTAGAAACTATTTTCCCTACCCAGATGCTTTCTGGGTTCTGGTTCCAGGCACATCTGTAATTTAGGGGTTTCTTTCTTTTTAAAAATTATATGGCTATAAATAGCAGGCATGGACATGTGAAGTATGGGATTTTGTTTTGATTAAACTCCATATTTATTGTCAAAAATTAAAAAAAAATGAAAAACTTCAATGGAGAAAGTAAAAATAACCCATAATCCCAGCACTGAGAATTTACCTCCCTTAACTTCCAAGTTTTTGAGACTGTGTTTGAGTTTGCATCAAACGTGGAAATTCGTGTTTGCCTTTTGGATGGCATTTCCATTCTCCTCCCAACCTGATAATATCATAGCGAAAGACTAACCAGTTAGAGATCATCTGGTTAGTCCACCTCCTGTGTTTAGATACGGGCAAAAAGCCAGAGATAGGGAACGGAAAGAATGACACCAGGGCCTCTGGATCTTTTTCTTGTAGCTCAGCATCATCTTTGATCTTTTCCCTCTCACTCTTAACTTTGAAAATGTCTCTTGACCCCATCCTTTTCCTTCCTCTATCCCAGGCTATTGTCTGTCTTCTGCATAGTCCAGACAAAGCAGAGCAATGAGGACCACCACAAGAGGCAAATATTTAATGAGAAGATTTAATGCCTGTAGTGACTATGAGAGGGGTGCCTTAAGTAACCCATTTTACTGATTAAGAAACTGAAATTCAGAGTCAGTGACTTGGCCAAGATCTCCAAGATAGGAAGATCTAGGATATGAATCTAGACCCTGTAATTCAAGTCTTGAACCATCTGACCTGTGACTAGCCAGAAAAAAAGTTATTTAACCAACTGATTGGATGTGCATGTTGAAGCATAGCGTACATATCTAAAAGTATAGAAATCATAAGTGAATAGCTCAATGAATTATCTGAAAGGAACGTGCCTAGTAAGCAGTACCCATAAGAAACAGAGCATTACCAACTCTTCAGAAGCCCCTTTTGTGTACCTTTCATGTCACTGCCCTCTCTTCCCCCAGGATAACAAATATTCTAACTTCTGAATTGGTTTTGCTTCTTTAAAAATTTTATTTAAATGGAACCATAGAGAATGGACTCTTTTATGTTGGGCTTATTTCATTATGTTTGTAAGTTGTATACTTTTTTTTTTTATTGAGACGGGGTCTCATTCTGTCACCCAGGCTGGAGTGCAGTGGCACAATCATAGCTCACACTGTAACCTCAGACTCCTGGGCTCAAACAATCCTCCCACTTCAGCCTCCCAAGTAGCTAGAACTACAGGCATATACCACTATACCTGGCTAATTTTTATTTTTTGTTGAGACAGAGTCTCACTATGTGGCCCACGCTGGCCTCGAACTCCTAGATTCAAGTAATCCTCCGCCTCAACCTCCTGAAGTGCTGGGATTACAGGCATGAGCCACCAGGCCAAGCCCATATATATATTTTTAATGTGTCTATGGTTTATTTCTGTATAGTATCCTATTATTAAAAAATATATACCCCATTTTATTCATCCTATTATTGATACACATTTGGATTTTTTCAATTTGGAGACTACCAATAATAATGCTGCTCTGACCATTCTTTTGTATGGTGAACATATGCAGGCATTTTTATTGGGTGTATATTTAAGAGTGGAATTGCTGAGTCATAGAATATGTGTATGTTCATCTTTAAGAGATACTACCAAAGAATTTTTGAAAATGTATCAGTTTACATACAGCAGTGTATGAGAGTTCCAGTTGCCCTACGTCCTTGCCAACATTTGATATTGTCTCCTGTTTTTATTTTAGCCACTACATGGTAGTATCATCCTATGGTTTTAATTAGCATTTTCCTTATTAGTAACAATGTGGACACATTTCGTATACTTGTTGGACATCTGGATGTCTTTTTGTGGAATGTCTAGTCAAATCTTTTGCCCAATTTTCCTGGCAGATTGTCTTTTTTCTTATTAATTTATGGGAGTTAGTTACGTATCATAAATATGAGGCTTTTTCACATAAATCTGGCAAATATGTATTCCCATTCCGTTCTTGCGTTTTTACTCTCTTGAAGGTGACTTTCAATGAAGTGATGTTACAACTTGAATAGGTCCCAATTTATCCATTTTTGTCTTTATGTCCAGTACACTTTGTGTCCTGCTTAAGAAATCCTTGCCTGTCTCAAGGTCATGAAAATATTCTCTGATATTATCTACTGTAAATATTGTTTTAAACTTTCACATTTAAATTTACAATCCACCTGGAATGGGTTTCTGTTTATAGTGTGAGTTAGGAGTCACGATTCATTTCTTTCCCATATGGAGAACCAGCTGACCTGGGCCGCTTACTGAAAAGACTGTCTTCTCCCTACTGCTCTGCACACCTCTTTCATCATACATAAAACATCCAAATGTGTGGGTCTGAGTTGGGCTCTCTATTTCTCTTAGTTTCTATCTTTGCACTAGCAGCACACACAGCCTTCATTACTATAGTTTTAAACTAAGTCCCAATATCTGGTAGTGTAAGTCCTCCACTTTATAGTAGGGTGCTGAGAGTGGGGCCAGAAAGTCATTGGGTGGGGGGGTTCAGAAATGTTCTCATTGAGGTTACATTTTTTGCTGTGACCAGAAAGAACAGAGGAAGCCAGCCCTGCCCAAGTATTTGTGTGATGGTTACTTTTATGTGTCAACTTGACTAGGCTAAGGGATACCCAGATAGCTAAGAAAACATTATTTCTGGGTGTATCTGTGAGGCTATTTTCAGAAGAGATAAGCATGTGAATCAGTAGGCTGAATTAAAAAAAAAAAATGACCTTACCAATGTGAGTGGTGATCATCCAATCCTTTGAAGGCCCAAGTATAACAATAAGGTGAAAGAAGGTGAATTCTCTCTCTCTCTAAACTAGGACATCCTTCTTCTCCTGCCTTTGGACATCAGAGATCCTGGTTCTCATGCCTTCTGACTGTGGAATTTACACCAGCGGCTCCCCAGGTTCCCAGGTCTTCAGACTCAGACTGAATTACATCACTACCTTTACTGGTTCTTTTGCTTGACTATAACATAGTGTAGGACTTCACAGCCTCTGTAATCATATTAGCCAACTCCCATAATAAATCTTTTCTTAGCTATCTATATCTATATATCTCTCTCTACTTATCCTATTGGTTCTGTTTCTCTGGAGGACCCTAACTAATACAGATTTTGACACTAAGAGAGGAAAAGAATTTTAAGGATTAGTTTTCTGAACTGGTTTTGGGGTTTCTGAAAATGGCTCTCTAATCTGTTTAGACATAAAGATGCTAATGACTTCATTTCCAGTAGTAGAGAGAGCACTGATAGTCCATGTAGTGAACTATTTATAGAGATGTGCAAAATATCTGGATTGGGTACTTCTAATTAACCACTTATAAGAAGGAAAGAGCTAAGTAAGTCTGTGTATGACACTTCCAAACATTTTTTGAAAACTAAGAAATATAGTTATGTTGGTTGATTGCTTTCACTACTGGATAAAGCAGTGAAAGAAAAGCTATCTGAGTCAGGTATTTGAATTCCAAGCTCAAGAGCCACATAAATGACTTAATTAAGAGTGTCTAGGTGTGCCCTGAGGGAGAGGCTTATCTCCTGTAGATGCAGGACTGAAATTACTGAAAATCAGACACAGGATCTTATCCCAGCAATTGGACGAATTACAAGCAAGTTGAACCCCAAGCCTCCCAGGGTGTCCAGTTAAAAGTTCAGGCCTTCATTGGGAAACAGGGTTCTATACGTTGGGATGGGGATGTGTGAGAAAATTTTGATGAAGCTGGGGACACTGAGCTCCTAAATTTTGAAGTCTTCTTTGCCAATGGAAGAGGTATCCCCACTCCCAGAAAAAGTGGCTTTCCCACCCCCAACAGAAATAGCTTCCCACCCACAGTGGTATCAGCTGTTCAACCTCTATCTGAGGGCCTCAACCCTGCATTGTCTGAAGAAATGATGGCCTTATATGAGGTAGTTACCATGAAAGATAATAATGATGATTCTCCTCAAGATCTACCCCCACTACCCGTCTCTAGACCTCTAACTAGACTCAGGTCCCAGCAGGCCCCTAAGGTTAGGTACAAAGTGTGATGCATGAGGAGGTACACTACACTCCAGAAGATCTGCTTGAGTTTACTAATTTATATAAGCAGGGATCCAGAGAACATGTGTGGGAATGGATGTTAAAGGTATGGGATAATGGTGAAGGAGCATAAAGCTGAACCAGACTGAATTTATTAAATGGGCTCACTAAGCAGAGATTTTGCAGCTTGAGAAGTTAGAAAGAGCACTAACAATTTGTTTGGTTAGTTTGCTGAGTCATGGATCAAAAGATGAGCAAATTGGAAATGACTGATCTTTCTTGGTTTAAAGTAGAAGAAGGGACTTAAAGTCTCAAGGATATTGGAATGTTAACGTGAATTTGTCATTTAAAACCTAATCGCCCACACCGAAGGTTCCAGAAGACATGTTTTTCTCCCATACTTTGAGAAATAAATGAGGAGCTCCAGTATCCTTAAAGAGCTCTGCAATCTCTCTTCTCTGTAGGCCAGACCTTAAAGTGGAAACACAGTCACTCAACTGGAAAACCTAAATGCAATAGGAGTATTTGGATTTTGGACTGGCAGGGGTCAAGTGGAGGCTCAACAGCCCAGACAAGGTGGTCTAAATTACCATAATGAATAGCTGAGTCAAAAAAACAATCAGAATTATCTGAATTGCACAGCCCTATAATGTTGGCTACTCATTTACACCAGTGGCTTCCCAGGTTCTCAGGTCTTCAGACTCAGACTGAATTACATCATTACCTTTCTGGGTTCTTTTGCTTGACCACAGCATATTGTAGGACTAGTTAATTACAGTGTTCTTAGAAGTGAAATAGATAGGAAGTCTACTAAATTCTTATATGATCCATATAAGCAGAAAAATTCCAGGTCAAGTCACCAAAAGTCTAATTTGAATCTAAAAACAAATAATCATGGCTCCTCAATCAATTCCAAGTTTTGAGCCTGTTTATACACTTGAAATCCTTTGAATGAAGGGGAAGTTGGGCCTCCTCAAGGAAGGACACAACTGAAAATTTAGACAGTACTGTTAATCTCTCTCTCAGCCTTCCACAAGGGACATACAGCTCTTTACCACGGTAACTGTGTATTGAAGAAAAGGAAATAATCAGACATTTCAGGGACTACTGGACACTGGCTCCGAACTGACATTGATTCCAGGAGAACTGGAACATCTTTGTGGTATCTTGATCACCCTTCCTTGCCATAAGATATCACACTAGTCTATTACGTTAATGACATTAGACTGATTGGATCTGATGAATGAGAAGTAGCAACTACTCTAGACTTATAGGTAAGACATTTGTGTGTCAGAAAAGTGGGAAATAAATCTAACTATAATTCATAAGACTTCTACTTCAGCGAAATTTTTAGGGGTTGGGTGGTGTGGGGTACGTCAATCTATCCCTTCTAAAGTGAAGGGGAAGATGTTGCATCTAGCTCTTCCTACAACCAGAAAGAGACACAATGCCTGGTGGGGCTGTTTGGATTTTGGAGGCAACACATTCTTCATTTAGGTATGTTACTCTGCACTTTCCAAGTGGCCCAAAAAGCTGCTAGTTTTGAGTGGGTCTGAAAACAGGAGAAGGTTCTGCAAAGGTCCAGGCAGCTGTCCAAGCTGGTCTGCCACTTGGTCTGCCACAAGTACCATTGCTCCAGCAGGTTCAATGGTACTTGAGGTGTTAGCAGCAGAGAGGGACGCTGTTGGGAGCCTTTGGCATCCTACAGGTGAATTGCAGCTCCTGTCTTTAGGATTTTGGAGCAAGGCACTACCATCATCTACAGATAACTAATCTTCTTTTAAGAGATAGCTTTTGACCTGCTACTGGGACTTAGTAGAAACTGAATGCTTGATCATGCGTGGGCCACTAAGTTACGATGTGCCCTGAGCTGCCCATCATGAACTTAGTGTTATCTGGTCCACCAACCCATAAAGTTGCCATACACAGCAATACTTCATCATCCAATGGAAGTTATATATATATATATATATATATATACATACATACATACACACACATATGTATATGATTGAGCCTGAACAGGATCTGAAGGCAGAAATAAGTTATAAGAAGTGGTCCAAATGCCTGTGGTTCCTACTCTTGTTACAATGCCTTCTCTCTCCCAACCTGTACCTTGTGGCCTCATGGGGAGTATCTAATGTGGAAGCTGACAATACAAAATGGAGTCACTTATGTCAAAACTCTAACCAAAATGGTGTCAGGGAGGATCCATAAAGAAGAAGCCCTCATGGTTGCATTCTAAAATACCTGCATATCTCCTTCACACCTTGCTAACAGAATAACAGAATAGAACTTATCACAGAAATTTTCTCTGATCTGCAGTATTTCAGATAAGACACTTGGGGCCAGGACATTTGCCTAGAAACAGCTATTTTCTCCCAGTGAACTAACACCAAGTCCTGAAATGAGTCACTGAAACCAATGAGCTTTGTTTCAGAGCAGCTTGCATGTACTTCTTGATGATCGTATGATTTCAGTCTTTTAAAATTTAATAAGACTTTTAAAGGGCCTAACATATGGTTTATCCTGGAAAAGGTTCCATATACACTTGAGAAGAAAACGTGTTCTTTTGTTATTGTATAGAGTGTTTTGTATGTATTGATTTATGGTGTTGTTCAAGTCCTCCATTTCCTTATGAATCTTCTGTCTGGTTTTTATATCCATTAAAAGTGAGGTATTGGCTGGGCACGGTGGCTCATGCCTGTAATCACAGCACTTTGGAAAGCCAAGATGGGTCGATCACTTGAGGCCAGGAGTTCAAGACCAGCCCAGACAACATGGTGAAAGCTCGTCTTTACAAAAAATACAAGAAGAAAGAAAAAATTAGCCAGGTGTGGTGGCGTATGCCTGTAGTCCCAGCTACTCAAGAGGCTGAGGTAGGAGGATTGCTTAAGCCCAGGAGGTGGAAGTTGTAGTGAGCTGAGATCACACCACTGTACTCCAGCTTGGGCAATGAAGTCAGATCCAGTCTCAAAAAAAAAAAAAAAAAACAGAAAAGAAAGAAAGAAAATGAGGTATTGAAGTCTCTAACTATTATTGTAAAACTGTCTATTTCTCTCTTCAATTTTGTCAATTTTGCTTCATATGTTTTGGAGTCTAATATTATATATGCATATGTTTATAATTGTTATATATTCCTGGTGGGTTAAACCCTTTATCAATATATAATGCACTTCTTTATCTCCTTAACCCATTTTTTCTGAAAATCTTTTTGTTTTGATAATATCTAGCCATTCTGGCTCTTTTCTGGTTATGACTTGCATAGAATATCTTATTCCATCATTTTACTTTCAATCTTTTTTGTTTATAGATCTAGAATAAGCCTCTGGTAGACAGTATATAGATGGATCATGTTCTTTATCTTCTCTGCCAACCCCTGCTTTATAACTGGATGATTCTAATACATTTAAATTTAAAGTAATTACTGAGAAGGAAGGATACACTTCTGCTACTTATCTATTTGTTTTCTCTATGTCTCGTATGTTATTTGTTCTTCAGTTCATTCATTTCAGCCTTTTTGTGTTTAGTTGATTTTTTGTAGTGTACTATTTTGATTATCTTCATTTCCCATTTCTGCATGTTTTTAGTTATTTTCTTAGTTGTTACCTTGGGTATTAAAATTAACATCTTAAACTTATGACAACCTAGTTTGACTGATGCCAACTTAGTTTCAATTATAAACAAACTCTGCTCTCATACATTTTCATCCCTTCCCCTTTATGAAGTTACTGTCATAGATTGCATTTTAATACAGTGTGCCCAATAACATAGATTTATCATAAGTGATTCATGCTTTTGCTTTTTCAATCATAGAGGAAATAAAGGCACTCTAAATGAAACATACAATAATACTGGGTTTTCTATTTATTAATGAGGTTGCCTTTATCAGTGATCTTTATTTCTTCATATGGCTTTGAGGTACTATATACTTTTACTTCTGCATGAAGAACTCACTTAAAATATTTTTATGGCAGGTCTATTAGTGAAAAACTACCTTGACTTTTGTTTATCTGGAAATATCTGAATTTCTTCTTCTCTCAAAGGATAGGATTTTCTAAATATAAAATTTTTGATTGACAGTTTTTTCTTTCATCAGTTAAGATGTATCATCACACTACCTTCTGCCCTTCATGGTTTCTGATAAGATATCCACTGTTAATCTTATTGAGGACCATTCACTTGTGGTGAGTCTTTTCCCCTTTGCATCTTTCCAGATTTTTTTCTTTATCTTTGATTTTCAACAACTTGGCTATAATGTGTTTCAGCGTATATCTCATTGAGTTTATCCAGCTTCATTAAGCTTCTTGGGCGTGTAGATTCATGTCTTTCATCTGATTTGGAAAATTTTCAACCATTAATTTTTTCAAATATTTTTCTTCTCATTTTTCTCTTTCTTCCCCTACTGGGACTCTTATAAAATGTGTATGTTGGTTCTTTTGATATGTCCCCCAAGTCCCTCAGGTTGTGTTCATGTCTGTGACCTGGAAGGCTACCCAGGGTCTTCAGACACCTTTGGTGTCTTGTCTGAGCCTGCCTGAGGGTGGCATGGGAATAGAATAAGGTATAGCAGGTAGTCCTGAAGCTCTACTACCTAAGATTGACACTGGATTCTTTTGAATATTGTGCTTCTCTTAATACATTCTATGTCTACCTCATCTCATCCCTAGAAAGCAGTGAGGCCTAGTGGTCCCAAAATAAAGATTCTTCATGTTGAGTGTCTTCATCTAGCATGATCTCCAAACTCCCAGGAAACTTCAAAGCTGGAAGGTATGCCTTGCCTTTTCCCCAACACAAATAAGAAATGCCCTATGTCACATCCTGTAGATTCCAGCTCCCATGCCACTTCCTCTGGAAAGTCTTCACTAACTTTACACAGGCAGAATTAGTAGTTTTCTTTTCCAAGTCTCCACAGAACTTTGTACAAGCCCATGTTATTACATATAGTGGGTTGGATCACAGACAGCTGTTTACATATTAGCCTCCTCAATTCACGGCAAGGTTTCCCATGGGTATTCACTCACTATTCATTAAAACCATGATGCCAGGATTGATTTTGGTAAGTGAATTCATACTCAAAAGAATTATTCATCTTGATCTCATTATTTTATTCATTCCAAGATCTTATTATGTTATAGGTGTGTGCTTGGTGATAGTAAGCAAAACCTGAGAAGGCCTCTTTCTTCATGGAGCTGGTATCTTAGTGAGGGGGTGAGCAGATATTAATCAGATCATCACGAAGTGTTATATGACAAATAATAATAGTTAATATCTATTGAGAGTTTAGGATGTGTGAGACACTATCTTAAGAGTGTTTGTCTCTATTAACTCATTTTTTTCCTCAAAACAATTTTAGGTGTTAGGGGGTATTACTCTCTTTTTATAGATAAGAAAAGTGAATAAAGGCAAAGTAATTGAGCTGCTGGCACACACCTACAAAGTGGTGGCATGAGAATCCCAACACTTTGAGTCTTGGTTTTCTCAGTTTCTAAAAAGCAGGATGATAAAGCTCAGTTACAGAGATTAAACTAAGAGACAATGCTGGCAAACACCTAGCAACAGGACTAGGTTTTACATTAGGTGCTTAACAATAACAACTGAATTACAATTGCTCTTGGATTCATGAGGGGAATGGGGATTCCCCTTTGTCTTGTTGGTGGGATCCTCATAATATCTGCAGAAGCTTCATAAGGAATTTTGAATGGACAGATTTTGTACAGGTCCTGGGCCAGGTTTTTGTGCTTCAGCATGAAATGTGGTTAAGTACTGGGCTTTGCACAGGACAAATGTCCAAGCCTCCTGGCATGACATTTGGCCCTTCTTGGGATGGTCCTGGCCAGCCCCTAGAGTTCTGTACCCCGACATGTCACATGGCTCACCCTCCTCAAACATGCTTGGGGCTTGCTTGCTCACAGAACTTTACTCTTGTGATCCCCCACCTGGAATACCTGCCTACCCTGTCTTTGTATCTTCAGACAGGTGGCTTTTCCAAGTAATCCCACCCTTATTAGAGAGAATCTGTGCATCTGCTTTATGACTAATGCCCAAGTTAGCTCTGATCCATTCCTCATCTCAGTGGCAATGGGAGAGAAAGCCTGTTGTGTGCCTGCTTGTCTAAAAACACTGGGGACCAGGATCATGGATTTCCTTTTTTTCCATCCACCATAAAGCCTGGCAAGAAGAAAGCAATGAGGATACTGTCAGATTGAAATCCACATTCTGTTCCAGAGAAAAATTAGGATCTGATGGTTAAACTCTCCTGATGTACACATTTTACCACCTTCTCCAGTGACATAAAATTCTGCTTTGTAGGTAAACTAAGTGCTTTTTAACAAGTAACTCTCCAAGGCTGCCTACCCACAATGGATAGTGGAAGTCATTAATGGGTAAAGTTTGTTCAACAGACTTTTCTTTAGTTTTTTAATCTTTTTTGCCAAGGGAGTGAAATAGTCCTGAAACTTCATCCCTCAGCCCAGGTGGCCATCCCATGAGTGACCATTGTTGTCTGCCATCTGCATGGATGGTGCCTGTGCCATCCCATTTCATTGCAGGGGACAGCTGCTGGTTAGATTGAGCCCTCTCTTGGTGGCAGATGTCCTAGCCTGGCTTTGGAGCAGATGATGGGGGCCAGCGTCAGCTCTCCGAGCATGCCATCAGAATTTGGGACTCCTGGGAACTGTGCCCTAATTTTAATTTTCTGTGCATGGTGAGTCTTGGGTTGTCGATTAGGGTCTGCAACAGGAACCACCTTGTTCTGGACCTAGCTGAGACATGGGGACCTAGGATAGAATCAGAGCAGACAGACTGAAGGAGTGAGGGGTCTCAGGGAGGGGAACTCCCTCTCCAAAGTGTTTGAAAGGGCTGCCTGGAATGTGTAAGATGTGGCACATTCATGTGAGACTGGGACTCCTGCAGACATGAGGGAGGTTGAAGGGATGTAAGTTGTCCTTTAGAATTGAGTATCTGCAGTGTTGGGAATAGCAATGAACACAGTCTGAGCCCTAGAGAGGCAGAGAGCCTCAGAGATCTTGTGGTAAGCAGCAGGGCAGAATCATCAAAATGTAGCCTCATCTTGGAAGACATCTGCCATGTAGCCTGGGATATGGGTTGGAGACTCAAACACATGGGATATGGAGAACTCCACTAGCAGAGCTAGAGTTCACTTCCAGGAACAAGGCAGGAGACCAGTTAACAGGACAAGGACACAAAGCCTGAGTGGGTCCCATCGTCAGGTTGACTGGGAGCTAAGCCTCCTGGGCTTCCTAGCTCAAGGGCACCCAGGGCATGGAGTATAGAGAAAAGGAGCAGGAAAAGCGGAACCTGGGGCACCTCAGGGATCCCAGGGAGCCTCAGGGTATTTACTTCCTGGGGTCTGAATCCAGCGTAGGTTCAAACAGGAGCCGTTACCTGCCGATTGATTTAGGCACCAGTATTTGGTGCTCTGCTGCAGCTTCTTCTCCCTGTGATTTGTGATCAGGATGTGGCAAAAGCTGACAAGCACAGGGTTGATGTGATAATGGTCCATGTAGAGCATCCCAATCCATGCACTGAACCCTGAAATTCAGAGGCAGGTCAGGCCAGGCAGTACCTCCTGACATGGCCCCATTTGTGCTTTTCAGATATAACTGCAGAGCCAGTTTGCTCTCCAATGGTGCCTGAGTCTTTTCTGAGAATCTAGAAAATGAGGTATAAAGATCTGCAGGACTCTTAGAGATCATATTCTAATCTGCCCATTTTATGGGGAGCTCAAAGCTCAAAGGGTTAGGAGCTGCTGTGGCTAATCCCAAGCAAGCATCAGTACATTTATTGAATAGATGAGTGAATGAATGACTGTGGGCTCAAAACAGAACAAAAACTACTTTTGCTTCCTCAGAAATGGCTTTGAATTTGCAGCATTTCAACTGAATGGAACATCTTCTGCACTGTTTCCAACTAACAACACTAATAATTCTGAGATATGTTCTTCCTAAAAATTTTCAGAGCTGTGCATTCATAAATTAACTTCTAAGTGTTCAGACAGAATTTGACTACCTTTGACTACTCTTCCTGTATACCCCAAAGGTCTGCCAAATGGGCAGGAATTTAATAGCCTTGAACTCTCTTTTGACCAGGGGGCTGCATGTGTCTTTACTACTCAGCTTTATAGCCTCTGCTGGAAGATAAACTCTGAGCATAAATGAAAGGCATGAACTCTGGGCCTCTGATACTCGTCTTCCCAGGCAGCTGCCACAGAGGTGCAAGACCAGCCCTCTCCAGAGGATGTGGCCAGGTGGGTGCTGGTCACTTACCCATGTCTGCTCCCTCATAGCCACTCTGCATGATGGTCCTGTCGATGCGGGCAATCAGCCACATGCCGAGGAGGCAACTGATGAGCAGCCTGGAAAGGCAGGCACCCAGGCCCAGCAGCACGTTGTAGAAGAACAGAAAGTAGTTGAAGTTGTGGAACGCTTTCCTGCAAACAGAAGCCAGCCCAAGGCACCACCTTTCAACCTTTCAGTAGAGCAAGGTTGCTAGGCAGGTAGGCTCTGGAGTCCCCCAGACCCAGGGTCAAATCCTACAGGTCCAGGCTCAAAGCTTTGTGACCTCGTGCCATAAAGGGGAGCTGATTGCCCTCACCTCACAGCACTGGTGTGAGGAATGGCTCAGGTACAGTGTGGGGGCCACTGAGCACAGTGAAGAATGTATGTCAGTGGGGACAGTCATTGTTTCATGCGATCCTTGGAGTTTGAGGCTTCCTGCATGATAAGGAATTTCACAGGGCTGCAGCTGGGTCAGTGATTATGGCAGAGGGTGGGGCTTCCCCACTGTCTGTTGCACGAGGGACCTATTCCTAGCTGCAGCTGTTCCAAAGTCTTCCAAAGGAAATTTCCCAAATGACCGCCTGATCATGTGGTTTCCTGTTGCCTCTGGAATAAAGCCCAAACTTTGCATCCTGAGTTTCAGCCCCCTCACTGCCCCCAGGGGTGTGGTCTTGTCACTTTGTGTCCCCTTCCTGTCACTCACTAAGTCCACTGCATGGCAACCATTTGCGATTCTCACTCTTCTAACACATCCTGACCTTTTGTGGCTTCCTGCCTTTGTCCTTGCGGTGTTGGCTGCCGGCCATACCCTCTCATCTTCTCTGCCTGTAGAAATCCTACCATTCTGCTGACCTCAGCTCCAGAGTCCCATCTGCAGTGGCATTAACCACCCTCGCCTCTCCTCCTCCGGGTTTCTCTTGTATTCCTTTTGCACTCCCTGGCATCCTCTGTCCTTGTTGTTTATGTGCCTGTTGTCTGTTCCAGTGGACTGAGCTTCTCACAGGCAGATTGCGTTGGGATTATTTCTTTACCCTCATGCCCATGTTGTTCCCCCAATGAATGGATGGCTTTGAATGAATGAATTAGAAAGGATTTCCACGTGCTGAGCACTATTGTTCTAAGTTCATATTTTAACACAGTTCATCCTCACAATGCCTCTTTGAGGTATGCACAATTATTTGTAAATGGGGAAACTGAGGTTCATAGATGCTGAGTAAGCTCCCACATGTCACATGGCTCCTAAGGGGTAGAGCCAGGATCTGGACCCCGGCAGTCCAGCTCCAGAGCCCCCCACTGACCCACTGTACCTCACCCTCTCAGAGTGTAGAGCCTGCCCAGGAATCTGTCATGGGGGACAGGGAAGGACCCAGAGATGGCTGAAGCCAAAGGCCTACAATTCCCTCATTCCCTCCTTCACTGTCACCTGTTGTTGAGAGCCAGGGGCTTCTGCTTGTCAGCCGTGCCCAGCTTTGGCTGTAGGAAGAAGCTGGCAGCGATACACATCTGCAGGATCATGAGACCCACAACGATGGATATTGTAAGGCTGAAACACAGGGTGGGGCCATCCTGAGGCAGCCTTTTCCCTTCTGCCAGATCCTTCTCTGATGCCCAGTGAGAGAGGGGAGACAGGTTGACCACCCGGCAGGACAATGGTAATGTGAGTTCCATGCTTTACACTTACAAGGCATTCCCACGCCCATTGTGCAGAGGAGAAAACTGAGGCTTACAAAGGGGAGGTGACCTTCCCAAGACCACATGGTTAGGTCTTCTAGCTCCAGATCACAGACCATTACTCCAGGATTTCACTGATGTCCCTTTCATCAGGGGTGGCAGCTGGGTGAGCAGTTTAACAGGTTGGGAATTAAAAAATGGAATGCAGTTCTTGGAAGTTCCTGAGAAGACCACAAGAGAGTGGACAGGACAGGCTCTGCCCCCAACTCACAGGTGGTTCGAGGCAAGTATGGAATCAAGAAGCTCAGAGCAGGGAGGGGCCCCAGAGAGCACTGCATGCTGTGTTGACATCCCCTGGAGTGGCAATGAGAGGCAGTGGCTAAAAGGAGGCTTTGGTTTCAGATTGCCCAGCTCCCAATCCTGAGTCCTCCCCCTGCTTGGAGGAAACGCTCAGTCTCTCTGTGCCTCTGTTCCCTGGTCTGCAAAATGGAAGGTAACACAAGCACCAAGTTCATAGGCTATTATGAGAAAAGATGCATACTAAATGCTCAATGAAGCCAACATTACTTTGTCTTCCAGATATGTAAACTGAGGTGCAGAGAAGTGGAATAACTTACCCCAGGTCACACAGCAGATCCAAAAGCTTTGCCAGGATTCCCTGCTTCCTTCCATCATACTGTCTTGCCTCTCATTTTACTTTCCTAAACCTCAATTTTCCCAGCTGGAAAATGGACATATGTATCCCCCACCCCATACATGGTTGTGAGGGCATTGTGGAATGGTGTGAGAGGCAGCCTTTTGTGAACGCTGTTTCCCCCCACCATGAGTTACTATCATGGCCCATCTCTGGGTCAGGGCCAAGACCATGGGTCCACATAGCAGTTGGGGGGACCCCAGCTCTCAGAACATGTCAATGACAGGATACCCGCCCAGCACTTACATCCCAATGCCCAGCCCTTGCAGCATTTCCAGGCCCTGGTTTGGACGATGGGTAGCACCAGGCTGTACATGATTGCCATGCCACATAGGCTCTGTACCATGTGAATGATGAGGTAGCCTAGGAGTGAAGGGAGCCAGTGGTAACTCAAGGTCCTTCGTGAGCTACCCCCTATACCCCTCCTTGCAGGCCACCCTCTACCCTCCTCCCGCCAGACACCCTGGCACGCTTGCTTATCTGTTTCTTCTACTGGCAAGGCCTCACATTCCTTCCTGTTCACGTCCTACTCTACCTGCCAGGTGCAGTTCGAGTGTCAACTCCCCTAGAAGGCACCTGAGCCCTGCCCTGGGGCTGGATAGTCACTTTCTTCTCTGGGTCACCACCACCCTTAGCATATGAACTCCCTGGGTTCAGGACGGGTGGTGAGGAGGACCTCGAGACTATGTTTCTCCTTCTGTCCTGAAGGTCCCTCAAGGGCAGAGGCTAGGGCTGCTTCTGACCACCTCTCTCCTCCCCACTCACAGCCAGGACTTCCTAGGTGATGAAGGGATGTGTGCTGAATTGGATGGGTCACATAACGGCACTTACCCCACAGAATATAGGCTATTTGCCAGCCAGAGTACCTTGCAATGGCCACCTGAGGTTTAAAAGGAAAAAAGGGGTCTCAGAGCAGGAGGAAAACTTCATCACCTCTGCAACATGTGCCCAGCATCCCTTTCTCATTGGAAGTTCACCCACCAATCCAGTGAGGCAGGTGTCATGCTCACCCTCAGGTTTTGGCATATGGCTTAGTCTCAGATCAGAGAGAGACCTTGGCAGACTCACCATGCTCTCCGACGAGGCCGGGTTATGGAACTTCAAAGGAAGAAAATGTTTATCTCCTGCCCATAGCCTCTTCATGTGCTTTCTGGAAAAGACGTAGGACATTAAGTAGTACCCATAACTGATGGCTCTTTGTGCATAATTGGAGTCCCATAGATAGCACAGTAAGGCCTGCGGGGCTGATGGTATGCACCCTAGCCTCCCTGTGCTGATTGCAGCTCACCAGGTAGCCCCAGGACTGCATTAAAAGTCTTGATCTTTAGTCTAGATTATATTTTGTAAAAATAATATGTATTTATTGAGTCATAATGGTGACTGAATCTGATAGATGAGATTACGTGTGGCTTGTTTCTTTTTCTTTTCTTTCTGTCCTTTCTTTCCTTTTTCTTTCTCTTTTTCTTTCTTTTCTTTCTCTTTCTTCCTTCCCTCCCTCCCTTTCTTCTTTCTTTTCTTTTCTTTCTTCCTTTCCTTCCTTCCTTTTTTCCTTCCTTCTTTTTTTTTGACAGGGTTTCACTCTGTCACCCAGGCTGGAGTACAGTGGCACCATTTTGGCTCACTGCAACCTCTGCCTCCTGGGCTCAAGTGATCCTCCCACCTCAGCCTCCCAAGTAGTTGGGACTACAGGCACATGCCACCATGCCCAGCTAATTTTTTTATTTTAATTTTTTGTAGAGACAGGGTCTCACTATACTGCCCAGGCTGGTCTCAAATTCCTGGACTCAAGCCATCCTCCTGCCTAGGCCTCCCAACGTGCTAGGATTACAGGTGTGAGCCACTGCACCTGGCGTATTTTTCTTTCTATATTTTCTTATTTTTCTATGATGAATATGTATTACCTATGTAGTAAGATTTAAAGACAGTTGAAAACGTAGCCAGCTGTGGTGGCACGTGCCTTTAGTCCCAGCTCCTCGGGAGGCTGCGGCAGGAGAATTACTTAAACCTCGGGGGCAGAGGTTGCAGTGAGCCAAGATCACGCCACTGCACTCCAGCCTGGGTGACAGACCAAGACTCTGTCAAATAAATAAATAAATAAATAAAGTTGAAAACAGAAAACCAATTTCACTGATTGCCTAACCTTATAACAATGTAAAGGAAAATGAAAAAGGGGAAACAACCCCTCACAATCCCACCCCTTACAAGTCACAGCTTCATTTTTCAATGTTCTAGCCCAGTCCTTGGCCCTGTGCATAAAGGTGAGGTTGACAGCATTATGTTCATAGTCTATACTCATATTTGTGTCCTAGTTTTTTAATTTCACATTCTCTCTCCAGCAGTTTTCAGCCTGTTTTGTACTTTTCATGACCACTAAATTGGAAAGACTTGGAACAAATACAGAATGTAAATATCTCAATAATAATTTTTGTATATATTACATGTTGAAATGATAATATTTGAGATATATTGGATTAAATAAAACATTATTAAGACTAATGTAACCTGTCTATTTTTAGTTTTTAAACAGAGGCTACTAGAACTTTCAAAATTGAACATGTGAATTTCATTTTGTTTCTGTTTGGCAGCATGGAGTTGAGTGTGGTACCACCAATACATACAACACACACAGAGCACACACTCATATTTGCATTGTGCATGGAAAATTTCTGGAAGTATGCACAGAAAACAGTTAACAGTGGTTATCTTAGGGCAAAAAATTAGGGGTTTGAGTAGGAGGAAGACTTACTTTACGCTAAACATTTTTTGTAATATTTTTTAACGCACCTGTATGTAGGTTGGAATAATAAAAACTACAATGCTGACACAATGCTAGTGCTCTACAGTTTGTAGTGTGTTTCTCATCCTTGGTGTCCTCTGCCCCATGGTTCTGATAAGGAAGCAGGGCAGGCATCATCACTCCTGGGTGACAGGTAGGGGCAAGGGCAGCCTGGACGGGAATGCAGGCCTCCTCTCCCTGTGCCCTTGGCCACACATCCATGTCCATGCAGCTTCCTTTGCATCGTGCTTGTCCCTGGTTGTGCTCAAATGTCTCAGTGAATATCTCCCAGCCACATGCAGACTAATGAGGGAAGGAGGAGACATGTGCACACATCAGGCAGGGCAGAGGTAGTAGCAGTATCCAGACCACCTGTGGGGTCCAATGAGAAGAAAGTAGAGAAAGGGAGCAAGGCAGGGCTGGTGGAGAGCTGGGACCCTTCATGCCAGGAGAGTCTTCTTGTGGGTGTCCTCTGCAAGAGACTCACCCTTTGGGCAGGCATAAGAGGAGGATGTAAAGGCAGGATGCTCTTCAGAGCTGGATATTGGCCTGGGCTTCCTGTAAGACTGTGTGTGTGTGCGTGCGTGTGTGCATGCATGTGTGTGTGTGTGTGTGTGTGTGAGAGAGAGAGAGAGAGAGAGGTGACCAGCAGGTACCTAAAACCCAACTGATATCTGCGTGCAAATGCTCACACCATGTTTAAAGCCATTCCCTCTTCCTATACTGCTTTTCTTGAGATGGATGTCCTTTGTCCCCTTGATTCAATATTCACTGATGTTCCCTTGAGCCAGATTCACCTGCTGGGGACCCAGTGTTACTAGCCCTGTAGAGCAAGGCAGGTCTGATACCCAATAGAGGTGTCTGAGTGTACAAGAAATAACAAGGTCTCTGGGGTCAGAAAGACTTGATCATCTGCTAATTGCTTGGGCAAGTTATTTAATCTGGTTGATTTTCAGCTTTCTCAACTGTAAAAATAGGGATGAAAGTACTTATCCCTCAGGGTTGTTGTGAAATTCAAGTGAAGACTCTAAGCATAATGTTAGCTCATTGTAGAAGTTCAAATCAATAATGCTTTTCTTCTTCCTACTAAAAGATGTGGTTAGTCCTGGACCTTGCATTCACTTCCTAGGCCCACTGCAGGCACTATTTGGAGATTCTGAGGAAAGCTTGTCATACATATTCCTGGTGAAAGACAAACAAATGACTCTGAGAGTACTCTTACCTGTAACAGACCAAAATGTGGAACAGATAGCTCACACACGTGAGATACGCGGGCAAAATGGTCGCCACCCAGACTCCTGAAATATGAAAAGTGATATGAGAAGCCTTGAAAAATAAACATGAAATAGAATTTTTAAAAATGCGGAATCCTGCACCAGAAAGTTCTAAGCAAATCAAGTAGACTTTAACACATTTCTTGTGTAAGTAAACTTTTGCTCATTTTCTGTTTTATTTTAGCTGCACACACGCTTAGTATAGTTCCTGCATACTCCTCTCATTTTGTACTAATATTTTCGCTCTACAGTGAAGAAAGGAAGAAAAGTTATGGAGTATTTCCCACATATCATACATAGCCTCTGTGCATGAAAAACATATTTGACCTCTAATTGCCACTTTTTTGGGAGGGATGTTGGTTATACCTCAACCGGGTACAAAGATAGCTGGGATCAAGATGTCTTGGCTATTCACTCACCCACCCTTCAGCAAGTTTTGATATTGAGAATCTAATTTGCTTTTAGAGAGATTGTGTGCGTTCATGAGAGAGGGATGTAGAAACAGGGAAGTAGGATGATTTGTTGGTTTAAAAACTTGTGTAGAGGCCGGGCACGGTGGCTCACGCCTGTAATCCCAGCACTTTGGGAGGCCGAGGCGGGTGGATCATGAGGTCAGGAGATCGAGACCATCCTGGCTAACAAGGTGAAACCCCGTCTCTACTAAAAATACAAAAAATTAGCCGGGCGCGGTGGCGGGCGCCTGTAGTCCCAGCTACTCGGGAGGCTGAGGCAGGAGGATGGCGTGAACCTGGGAAGCGGAGCTTGCAGTGAGCCGAGATTGCGCCACTGCAGTCCGCAGTCCGGCCTGGGCAACAGAGCGAGACTCCGTCTCAAAAAAAAAAAAAAAACTTGTGTAGAAGTTGATTATCAATAGGTGCAAAAAAAGTATTTGACAAAATCCAACATCTCTTTACAATTAAAAACATTCAACATCTGGTGTTCTGTTGCACAGTACAGAAACTATAGTTAACAATAATGTGTTGTATATTTCAAAATAGCTAGAAGACAGGATTTCGAATGTTCTCACCATAAATAAATGATAAATGTCTGAGGGGATGGGTTTACTCATTTAATCATCAGTCAATGTATATACATATCTAAACATCACATTGTATCTAATAAATATGTACAATTTTTATGTGTCAATTAAAAACAAAACAAAACAAAACAAAACACTACTCAACCTATTAGGAATACAAAATAACTTCCTTAGCCTGATAAAGAGCATCTGCTAAAAACCCACAGCTAACATCATACTTAGCAGTAAAAGACTGAATGCTTTCCCCCTAACCTCAAGAACAACAACAACAACAAAAAAACATATCTACTCTCCTCTAGCCAAAATTGTACTAGAGGTTTGAGCCAGTGCAATTAGGCAAGAAAAAGAATATAAAATGCATCCAGATTGGAAAGGAAAAAATAAAACTCTATTCACAAATGCCATGATCTCATATATAGAAAAAGCAGGAAATATACAAAAAAACTATTAGAACTAATAAATGAGTACAGTAAGGTTTATAGAACACAAAAGAAATATATAAAAGTCAATTGTATTTCTATACACAAGCAATGAACAATCTGAAAATGAAATAAGAAAATGATTGCATTTACAATAGTATCAAAAATAATAATATTAAATTTAGCAAAAGAATGTAGAACTCATACACTGAAAACCACAAAAGATTTTGAAAAAAATTAAAGAAGACATAAATTACTGGGAAGACTTCCCATGTTCACATATAGGATATTCATTGTTAACACAGCAATACTACACAAATGGATCTATAGATTCAACTCAATCCCTATCAGAATTCAAATGCCATCTTAGCATTAATTGACCAGCTAATCCTAATATTCATATAAAATTGAAGGAACCAAGAATAGGCAATAAAATTCTGTAAAAGAAAAAGAAAATTACAGGACTTGCTGTTTCTAATTTCAAACTTACTACAAAGTTACAGTAATGAAGGCACTGTGATACTGACATAAGGACAGACAAATAGATCAATGGAATAGAATTGAGAATCCAAAATAAACCCTCATACTTATGGTCAATTTATTATCAACACAGATGACAAGACAATTCAATGGGGCAAAAATGTGTTTTTTGACAAATGGTGCTGGAACAACTTGATATTCACATGCAAAACAATGAAATTAGACTCCTACCTCAAACCATACATAAAAATGAGCTCAAAATGGATCAAAGGCCTAAATGTAAGAGCTAAAACTAAAAAAGTCTTAGAAGAAAATATGAGAAAAATCCCTGTGACCTTGGGTTAGACAATGATTTCTTAGATATGACACCAAAAGCACAAGTGACATAAGAAAAAACAGATATGTTTGGCTTCATCGAAATTGGAAACATTTGTGTTTCAAAAGATATCATCAAGAAAAGTGAAAAAGTAACCCACAAAATGGGAGAAAACATTTTCAAATCATGTATCTCATAAGGGATTTGTATACAAATTATTAAGCACACTTACAGCTCAATAAATAAATAATGCAATTTTTAAATCATCAAAGAATCTGAATAGACATTTCTCAAAAGAATATATACAAATGGCCAGTACGTGTAAAAGTACATGTAAAGATACCAAACATTATTAGCCACTAAAGAAATGAAAATAAAAACAATAGTGAGATTCCACTGCATCTCCACTAGATGGCTATAAACAAAAAAGATGGATAATAATAAGTGTTGACAAGGATGTGGAGAAATTGGAATTTCCACAATGCTGGTGAGACTAAACAGTGATACAGCTGCTTTTGAAAACAGTCTAGCAGTTCTCCAAAAGGTTAAACATAGAGTTTTCATGTGTTTAACCGGCTATTCCACTCCTAGATATATACCCAAAATATGTAAAAAAAAAAAAATATATAATACTTGTACATGAATGTTCCTAGCAGTCTTATTTGTAATAGTCAAAAAGTTACAGCAACCCAAATTTTTATCAACTGATGAATGAATAAATAAAATGTATATTCATAGAATGGAACAGTAATTGACAATAAAAAGGAATAAAAAATAATTTAAAAATTTGGACACATGCTGTGATATGGATGAACCTTGCTACATGAAAGAAGCCTGTCACAAAGGGTGACGTATTGTAAATAGAAGGAATAAGTTCAAGAGACCTATTGTACAACATGGTGACTATAGTTCATAATGATATATTATATTCTACAAAAATGCTGAATGAATGTTAAGTGTTCCATCACAAAAATTGTAACTATTTGAGGTAATATATTTGTCAATTAGCTAGATTTAACCATTTTAAAATGATATATACTTCAAAACATTATGTTTTACAGAATAAATGCATACAATTTTAGAAGTCAGTTTAAAAAATAAATTTGAAAAAGAGATGACATTATCACATTATTCCATTTCTATGATAGAGCTGGAATAGGCAAATCCATAAGGATAGAAAATAGATTCATAGTTGTTTAGGACAGGAAAGGTTGGAGGGAAATGGGTCATGATGTTTTGGGGAGGTGATGAAAAATGTTCTAAATGGTTGCACAATCTTGAGAAAATACTAAAAACCATTGAATGGTACACTTAAATGGATGAATGTATGGAATGTGGGTTATGTCTCCATAAAGGTGTTTCAAGGCCAGGTGCAGTAGCTCACATCTGTAATCATAGCACTCTGGGAGGCCAAAGTGTGAGGACTGCTTGATTGCAGGAATTTGAGACCAGCCTGGGCAACATAGCAAGACCCTGTCTCTACAAAAAAATCAGCAAATTAGCTGGGTGTGGTGGCATGTGCTTGTGGTCCCAGCTACTTGGGAAGCAGAGTGAGAGGATTGCCTGAGCCTGGGAGGTTGAGGCTGCAGTGAGCCATAATCATGCCTCTGAGCCTGAGTGACAGAGTGATACCCTCTCTGGAAAAAAAAAAAAAGTTTCTTAAAAAGAAAGAAAATGAAAGTAGATTTCCTTTCCTTTCAAGTTCCAAATGTGTCCTTGTCCTTGTCCCAGGATCACTAGGACTAGGCAAGTGCTACATTCCAAATCTCAACCAACCCAAAACTGCCATAAATCCTACCCCAGAGGATGCAGGGAAAACGTGTTTGGAAGGGAAGGATGAGACGAGTCTGGCTACAAGAAGGGTGAGTGCAGAGTTGCTCCAGCTAACAGCATGAACACCTTATGCATTTAATTTAATGCCTTTATCTTCCCAGGCAAAGGTGAAGTATGGTCAGCTTGAAAGTTTCTCTTGGCAAATGGGTAGCTGTTTTAAAGCTGGAAGAGACCAGGATAAAGAAAAATTTAATGTTTTGATTCTCAAAATGTCTGTATGTGTGATAAATACATCAAAACATGAGTGAACATGGTGATATATTCACCATAAAGCACAGAGACCAAGAAAGTGAAGTTTCCTTTAAAATTTTTTCCGAAAACAGAGATGAAAATGTGTATTTCTAAAAGTAAGATTTAGAATGGGTATCACTGAAATTAAAGATTATAATATACTCTCTCAGTGTTATACTCAGGGACTCATTATGTTGAACATAAATCTCCACTGAAGATGAATAAAACTGTTGAAGAGCAACAGTAAACTATGGTACTGCGGAAGGGGCAGTATCTGTTCAGTGCTCATGTAAAAGGTAACTTTCCATGACACAAATATGTGATTTCACAGATGAGGAAACTGGGGCCAAGAGAGGGGTCCTGACTTGTCTTATGACACAGAGTGAACGTATCCAGGCATCTTGTCTAGGGTCCTTTCTCATCTGGGAATAATGAACAATTCTCATCCCTCCACAGGCAATAGACATAACACTCAAATATGTCATTTTCAAAGAAAGTTTCCATTTTAAGATAAAGTGCCTTTCTTATTGCCTAGGGCAAAGGACCTGAATAGACATTTCTCAAAAGAAGACATACCAATGGCCAACAGGTATATGAAAAAATGTTCATCACCACTAATTATCAGGGAAATACAAATCAAAACCACAACAAGGTATCATCTTATACTTGTGAGAATGGCTACTATCAAAAAGACAAGAGATAAGTGTTGGCAAGGATGTGGAGAAAAAACAACTCTAGTATACTGTTAGTGTGAATGTAAATTAGTACAACCTTTTGTAAAATAGTATGGAGGTTCCTCAAAAAATTAAAAATACAATTATCATGTGATCCATCAATCTCACTACTGGGTATATATCCAAAGGAAATGAAATCAGTATATTGAAGAGATATCTGCACTACCATTTTCATTGCAGCACTGTTCACAATAGCCAACAGATGGAATCAACCTAAGTGACCAACAACAGATAAATGAATAGAGAAAATGTGTTATACATTATATACAATGAACTACTACTGAGCCTTTAAAAACAAGGAAATCCTGCCATTTGTGACAACATGGATGAACCTGGAGAACATCACATTAAGTGAAATAAGCCAGGCACAGAAAGACAAATACTGCATGATCTCACTTACGTATGGAATCTAAAAGAGGTGAACTCATGAAAGCAGAGTAGAATGGTGGTTATCAGGGGCAAGCAGGGGTGTGTGTAGGGGGGTGGGATTGGGGAGATGTGTGTCAAAGGATACAAAATTTCAGTTAGACAAGAGATTAAGTTAAAGAGATCTATTTTTAAGTGACTTTCAAGTAAAATTTGAAAGATATAAATAAACATTTCATAAAGAAAGGTCAAGGTTTGGTGTTTTATTTTTTTCCAAATGGAAAATATAGAATCATTTTAGTACTTGCCATTGGCATTGAGACAAAATGGGCAATTTAAGATGAGAAAATTTTCAGGGCATGTTCATTTCAGCTCCAGCTTCATTAAAGAAACGACTGTGTCTTGACCCCTTTGTCTTTCTAGTCAATCCAGGGAGGTAAATCAGCTCTAACACATTTTTCTCCAAGTGTGGTCATCCCAGCCAGGTATATCAATGCTAGCAGCCACAAATACTACACGTGTCCACCTGCCATCAGTTACAAGCCCCTCTCTCAGTTTCCCACACAGGTGTGAGAACAGGTGGCTTATGGTTTTACCTTTGGTGACACTGATCAGCTCTTTCACCTGCAGGATGACTGGGGTCAGGACCCCTGAATGGTTCGTGAAGGTGATGTAGCTTTCCAGGTTGTTTTCAAGCACATCCAACTCATCTCTCACGTACACAAACACGCAGAACTCGATGACAATGAACTGGGGACACAGAGCAAAGGTTTCCAGGTCTCACCTGAGTCCAACTCAGCATGGGAATAACATATGGATTTTCCTTTGGGGTCAAGGCCAGTGTCTTCTAGGCATTCAAAACTCTTCTGAAAATGATTCTAGACATTGACTATTCTAAGATGAATGGGATTTTGAGTTTTTGGGAGACAGAAATTACTTCAAGGTCTGTTCTTTATCCTCCAGCAAACAAGACAAGGGCCCACAAGGGCTCAAGAAACTCTACAAACATTCATGGAACCAGTAAAAAAAGAATGACTAACTTTGAGTAAGGGGTGATCTGGGGGACAATTCCAGCCCTATCTCACTGATCCCCTTCACTGATCTTTGCAGGAGCCACACTGGAGAAATGTACAAATATTTCTTGTACAAATGTCATGGTTGCCCAACTTCTTATCATCCTGTTGTCATGCCATTGCTTCTATAGTTCCTGCTGCCAGTTCACTCACAAACCTAATCGCGTTTATCTCTGAAAGTGGAGCTCATACACTATCATGTTCATGCACCTGCTCGATCTTGAATGATTTGCTAAACTTCCAGAGCATTTCACTTTATCCTTTTTCTCTCTTAAGATGGCAGGTCCCTCATACCATGTCTTATCTCCTTCTCATAGACCATGAGCTTCTCCCAGCCCAGGACTGAGCTGAATCAGCTCTCTGCCCTCTTCCAACTCTTAGTCCAGTGCTTGGCATAGAGTAGATATTCCATAAATACTTAAGAAACAATGTAATCCCAAATTTGTTATTCATTGTTACACAGAACTATAGTTGTCCCTTAAAATCCATTCTCCCTTCTTTGGGCACAGAGCTAGACTACATTTCCCAGCCTCCCTTATATTGGGTATGGCTACATGACTAGGTTCTTGCCAACAGAAGAGGAGTAGAAGGAATATATGATACTTCCACACCTAGTCCATGGAAACCCTCCACAAGCATCTCTCCTTGCTTTGCCCCTTTCTGTTGACTATATGCAGATTGTGATGAGGTCCTCCAGGATGGTGAAGGCACATGATGGAAGAATTCTGGGTTTCCGAACGACCACACAGAGGAGTGCAGCTTCCCCTACCTGAACACTGAACTCACCACTGTTGTGTGGGTAAAAAAATATATACTGTTAAGCCACAGGAATTTAGGAGGTTATCTGGCACTTCAGCATAACCTACCTAATACACTCACCTAAAAACTTAATCACAGGATTTACTTAAATAGGTATTCTCCTACTACATTTAAAATGAACAGAAGACAATTTAGCCTTGCCATTTTTATGCATCCATTTTGACCCTACTTTTAACTCAGCCATTTTATCTCAGATAACTTTGACCACACAAAATGTTTTGATTCTATTCTTAATAAAATATTGAAGTCAGAATTATGCCAGCACTTAAAATGTCTTGTTGAGAAAGCAAACTTAAAAAAGAATGTTTAATCTGCTTAAAAATATAGTATGGTAAACCAATTCTAGTTATCTGCTTTTATTTTTAATTCAATTAAAATAAATTCAATTATTAATTTATAATAAGTTCAATAATTTTAAATTCAATTATTGAAAAAGAATTGAAATTATTTTTTTAGAATCAATTATTTTACATTTAAATGATTTGATTTTTGCTCACAGAAAAATTTATTGATCACAGATTCTACTATTGTAAGTTTTCTTTAGGGATGACTATTTCTACCAAGTAAACTTTCCTGGCTCAAATTTTGCATATCAAAATATTCTTAAATATATTTTTCTTCTATCAGGTTTTAGTTGATAATAAATTTTACCATGTGGCATTTTAACCATTATAGTTTTATTTTTTGTGGATTATTTTTACTAGTCATATTCACCATGTGGGTAAAAGTGTCCTTGGAATCAAAATGGTGGGGTTGAAGCATTGTACTTCTTTGACTTATCAAGATTCAATTTTGACCCAGCTCTTTAGGAACATGCTGCTTGCCTCAAAGACTCCATAACCCCATCCCCAACCCTGCCCCATTTATAAAATATAAAAAGGTTTTCTTAGAGCTACTTACAAGATACAGGCAGATGAATGCCAACACAATGGTTCCAATCATTCTGCTTGGAAATTGAAAGCAGGGATCCCACTCATATATCCTGGTTTGGAACCAAGACTTTTTTTTCTCTCTGTGGATAAGAAATAAATATCAAGAGATGAGAGGCTGGTAGGAAAATGAATGCCTGATTCATCTGAAAATAACCCCACCTTCTTTTTAATCTTAGAGTATATTATAGAAAGAGAACACTGTTAGCTTCCATGGTTTTCATTCTCCCCTTATTCTTAAGGACAAAAACTGGATTTTATTTTGGGCAGAAATTCACCAAACTAAAAGATTAAAGTTCCCAACCTGTCTTGCAGCTACGAGTGACCAGACTAAATCCAGGCTAATGACATGTGACCACAAGTGTGGTGTGGAACATTGGAGAGGCTGCTCAGATGGAACTAACGCAGCTGGGAAAGCTGCCTTGTCTTGCCTTGCCTGCTGTCTGAAATGCAGATGTGGTGGCTGGTCCAAGCTGGAGCTCCAGCAGCCACATTGGACCATGAGACAGCACTGAGGATGGAAAGCACATACATGATGCTAGAACAGAAAGACAGGTGACTGGTGAACTGCCATGGTGGGCAGTCCAGGGTCAGGATGGACTGCTCACCTTCAGAGTTTTTTATAAGAGAAAGTAATAAATCTCTCTCTTGGTTGTGCCACTATTATTTGTGGTTTTCTACTACATGTAGCCAAACTGAATTCTAACCAAAGTACTAGCTTTGCCACTGTGTGACCATGGACCAGACACATCCCTTCACTGGGACATATGCCCACATGCATAGTAAAAGGAGCAGATGTGGTGGTGGCTTGTATGATTCTAAGATCTGCTGCTTTTGCCTGACAACATCTATATCCTCCTCTACTGGTAACAGCACCTCAGTTTTATGTTGTTTGTTTCTTTTGTTTTTGTTTTGATACATGGTCTCGCTCTGTTTCCCAAGCTGCAGTGCAGTAGCGTGGTCATTGCTTACTGCAGCCTTGACCTCTCAACTCAAGTGGTCCTCCCACCTCAGCCTCCCAAGTAGCTGGGACCAGACGTGCACCTCCACACCTGATTAAATTGCTCATTTTTTGTAGAGACGGGGGTCTCATCATGTTGCCCAGGCTAGTCTTGAACTTGTGAGCTCAAGTGATTCTCCCGCCTCGGCCCCCCAAAGTACTGGGATTACAGGCAAGAGTCGCCATGCCCGGCCTAACACCTCAGTTTTAATTTGGGGAACCACCACTCTCTGACCCTGGGTCTTAGTGGGTAAGTGATGCTGATCCCACTTCCTGGCTCCACGGGAAGGGGAGGGACATGTGACTCAGGCTTAGCCAATCAGTGCACTACAATCACTGCCACAGTAAGTGGTTCTGGGGTGGCGTGTGATCCAATTTGATCCAGTGAAATACATTTGTGGGACTTTTGTTTGAATAACTGGAAAGGAGCATTCGTCTTTCTTCTGGGCTTAAACCAGGAGGGTATAAACTTAAGAGAGTCTGGGCACCACCATGTGGAGGAATCCCACCTAACTGTGAGGCCCACACATAAAAGCAGAGCTGAGGGGAGATTGAGGGAGAGAGACCTAGTTCTGATGATATCAATTAAGCCTCTGGATCCAGCTTGCCTGAAACTGACTACCTCTAGACTTTTTAGTGATGGGAGCCCATAAATTTCCTTTCTTGCTTTAATCCAGTTTGAGTTGGGTTTCTGTATTTAGCAAATGAGAGTCTTGACCACTACAGTGCCTTTCTGGTCATCCCAGGCTCTGTCGCATCATCAGAGCTCACCAGAGTGGGAGCAAACCTGCAGGTGAATGAACAGAACTGTGGCTTACTGAGGGCGGGGTATCCTCAGGAGCTGCTTGACGTGCTCTCCCTGGTGCACTTCCAGGACAGATTTTTCTTCCTGTAAGAGAGCAGACAGGCTTACACTTTGGCTCACAAATTCTTGTTAGTGTTTTGATCTTAAGAGGGGGCAATGGCCACGGAGGGCCAGATTGGGGGTAGGAGTTGCTCTTTTGGATTTAGCCACGCTGTGGTCAAGATAGGTCTTTTCCTCCCCGCTACACCCCACTGTTGAATTTGCCCCATGCCAAAGAGGCTGTGTTTGACAGTGGTTAAGGAAGAGGCTCCACAACTGAACTGTCTAGGTTCCATTTCTGGCTCTGCTACAGGTTAGCCATGTGAAAGGAAAATATCTTGGGCCCCCAAAATTACTAAGCTAAAGGGAAAAGTCAAACTGAGAACTGCTTAGGGCAAATCTGTCTTCCATTCTATTCAAAGTCACCCCTCTGCTCACTGAGATAAATGCATATCTGATTGCCTCCTTTGGAGAGGCTAATTAGAAACTCAAAAGAATGAAACCATTTGTCTCATCTACCTATGACCTGGAAGCCCCTTCCAGTTTTCCCGCCTTTCCAGACTGAACCAATGTTCATCTTACATATGTTGATTGATGTCTCATGTCTCCCTAAAATGTATAAAACCAAACTGTGCTCTGACCACATTGGGCACATGTCAGGACCTCATGAGGCTGTGTCATGGGCACGTGTCTTCAACTCTGACAAAATAAACTTTCTAAATTAACTGAGACTTGTCTCAGATTTTCAGGGTTCACAGCTGGGTGACCTCAGGCAACTCAACTCACCTCTCTGCATCCAAGTTTCTGAATTCAGAATGTGAGGTGTAGTAACAGTACCTGCCTCTCTGGCTGTTGTAGAGATTAAACCCACCAGCACATGCAGTGCTCATACTTAGTACTCACCACCTGGAGCTCCCAGCCGAGGTGCACCCTCAGAGCCTTGACAAACATATGCAGGAAGCGGCCCAGCAGGAAGGCAAGGCACAGCAGCGAGGGCCAGTAAAACACGAGGGTCTCATAATTCTCCACAAACTGCAACAGAAGCAGATCACAATGCAGCTCCAGGCAGGTGGGGCCGAGCCACCTGCTGAAGCTGCAGGACTCTGCCTGCCCCAGCTTGCTCCAGCAAGGCCCCCTCTCTCAGGCTTGTGAGTCAGTGGCCAATCCCTGATCCCCCAAACCCCCATCGTCAGAATGGGCAGTGAACTTGGAGCACAGCAACCCTGCATTCAAGTCTTGGCACCTTCATTTTATTTTATAAAGCTAGCTTTCCAGTCTGGGTGACAGAGCAAGACCCTGTCTCAAAACAAAACTAGTTTTCAAGGTATTTTTTTCCTTATTAGGAAGTTATTAATAAATACTCCTTTTGGAAAATATATGAGTGAGAGAGTCGGAGGTGGGTAGGTAGATGGGAGGAGGAGGCAGAGAGGGAGAGGGAGAAAGAGAAACAAAGAGAGAGGAAGAAATGGAAGGAGGGAGGTAGAGAAGAAGAAATAACCCATAATTGCCATAGGCTGGGAGCAACACAAGCTGAGGGAAGAGTAACAGTTCTCTCAAGATGGTACTCATCGGTTTTCTGTGTTTTTAGTTTTATTTTGATGAAAAAGATGGTTTTTCACTGTCTCAAAACAAATAATATTGTGACTTATCTTTTATACTTTACTGGTTTGTTTCATGTTTTTTACATTTCCAGAGTCATATTTCCTCCCACGGGAAATTGGGGTTTGACTTTGTGATGTTAAGGTGCAGGATGGAGATATGCTGAGATGCAGGGCTCATGTCTTCCCGTGATCCTCCTCTCCAACATATGCTTATGGCTAGATATGACCACTGTCAACATTCCTGTGTCTTTCATCTATATATCTATATGTACTATAAATTGAGGTTGTACCAAACATAAAGGTCTGCATATATGCGCTCCTGGCCCAGGTGGCTTTCTTGAGCTCCCCACAACCTGCCTGGTAGCATTTCTAGGTGCATTGTGACATCCCTCTTTCAACTCACTCCTTTTCTGGGGTCCAGGGCTAAGGAGATGAACCAGTTCCCACCAATTCTGAGGACAATGCATGGCAAAGTTGGAAGGGGCTCATCTGGTCCAAGTCTTCCATTTTATAGAAAAAGAGATGAGCTACATAGAGTGAAAAGAAATGGACTTTGGAGTCAGCCAGACCTGCCCTCAATACCCAATTCCACTGCTTCCTGTAAGTGACTTAATGTACTTGAACCTCACTTAATATACTAGTTTCTCACCTGTGAACTAGGTTTGATGAACTTCCCACCCTTCCAGGGCTGCAGAGAAGTAAAGCTGCACAGCTACAACCATCTGATCTTCAAAAAAGCCAAAAAAACAAGCAATGGAGAAAGGACTCCCTACTCAACAACTGGTGTTGGTATAACTGACTAGCCATATGCAGAAGATTGAAACTGGACCCCTTCCTTTCACCACAAACAAAAAGCAACCCATGATGGATAAAAGACTTAAGTGTAAAACCTAAAACTATAAAATCTCTGGAAGAGGGCAGGTGTGGTGGCTCATGCCTGTAATCCCTGCACTTTGGGAGGCCAAGGCAGGGGGATCATGAGGTCAGGAGTTCGAGACCAGCCTGGCCAACATGGTGAAACCCCGTCTCTACTAAAAATATAAAAATTAGCCAGGCGTGGTAGTGTGCATCTGTAATCCCAGCTACTGGGGAGGCTGAGGCAAGAGAATCGCTTGAACCCAGGAGGTGGATGTTGCAGTGAGCCCTGATTATGCCATTGCACTCCAGCCTGGGCAGCAGAGGAGGACTCTGTCTCAAAAGAAAAAAAAAAAAAAACACTATAAAATCCTAGGAAATACCATTCTGACACAGGACCTTGGAAAGATTTCATGATGAAGATGCCAAAAGCAATTGCAACAAAATCAAAAACAGACTAGTGGAACCTAATTAAACTAAAGAGCTTCTGCATAGCAAAAGAAACTATCAACAGACTAAATAGACAGCCTACAGAATGGGAAAAAAATGTTTGAAAATTATGCATCTGACAAACGTCTAATATCCAGAATCTATAAGGAACTTAAACAAATGTACAAGCAAAAAACAAACAACCTCATTTAAAAAGAAAAAGGGCAAAGGACACGAACAGATACTTCTCAAAAGACATACACACAGCTAACAAACATGAAAAAATGTTCAACATCACTAATCACTAGAGAAATGCAAATCAAAACTACAATGAGATACCGTTTCATACCAGTCAGAATGACTATTATTAAAAAGCCAAAAAATAGATGCTGGCAATGTTGCAGAGGAAAGGGAATGCTTATACACTACTGGTAGGTATGTAAATCAGTTCAGCCATTGTAAAAAGTAGTTTGGTGATTTCTCAAAGAACCTGAGAATTACCCTGAGACTCAGTAATACTATTACTGAGTATATACCCGAAAGAATAGAAATCATTCTACCATAAAGACACATGCACACATATGTTAATCACAGTACTATTCACAATTGCAAATATACAGAATTAACCTAAGTGTCCATCAATGGTGAACTGAATAAAAAAATGTGGCATACATTTACCATGGAATACTATGCACCCATAAAAAACACTATCATGTCCTTTGCAGCAATACAGATGGAGCTGGAGGCTATCCAGCTCCAGGTTAAATTCTAAGGTAAGGAAACTGGCCAGGCATGGTGGCTCACACCTGTAATCCCAGCACTTTGGGAGGCCAAGGCAGGCAGATCACAAGGTCAGGAGATCCGAGACCATCCTGGGTAACATGGTGAAACCCCATCTCTACTAAAAATACAAAAAATTAGTCGGGCATGGTGGGGGGCACCTGTAGTCCCAGCTACTCAGGAGGCTGAGGCAGGAGAATGGCATGAACCTGGGAGGCGGAGCTTGCAGTGAGCTGAGATCGTGCCACTGCACTCCAGCCTGGGTGACAGAGTGAGACTCCGTCTCAAAAAAAAAAAAAAATTATTCTAAGGAAACTAACACAGGAACAGCCAACCAAATACCACATGTTCTCGCCTATAAGTGGGAGTTAAATATTGAGTACACATGGACACAAATATGGGAACACTAGACATTGGGGCCTACTTGAGGGTGGAGGTTGGGAGGAGGGTGAGTATCAAAAAACTACCTATCAGGTACTATGCTTATTGCCTGAGTGACAAAATAATCTGTACATCACACCCCCATGACACACAACTTCCATATATAAGAAACCTGCACATGTACCCTTGAACCTAAAATAAAAAGTTAAAAATGAATTAAATAAAATGTGCATATAAAAAATAAACTGGATTTAGGCATGTCTATTTGTATATAAAAATGGAGCTACTGGCACAGTCATGAACCAACTAAAATATATCTCAGTATATTAAAATGGCTAATATTGATGTAAAGACAATCAGTAAGAGAAGAGAAAATATTTAAGATTGGATTTAGGGTTTTACATAAAATTATCAAAGGCGGGTTGCGGTGGCTCACGCCTGCAATCCCAGCACTTTGGGAGGCCAAGGTGGGTGGATCACCTGAGGTTGGGAGGTCGAGACCAGCATGACCAACATGGAGAAACCCCGTCTCTACTAAAAATACAAAATTAGTCGGGCATGGTGGTGCATGCCTGTAATCCCACTACTTGGGAGGCTGAGGCAGGAGAACTGCTTGAACCCAGGAGGCAGAGATTGCGGTGAGCCAACATCGTGCCATTGCACTCAAGCCTGGGCAACAAGAGTGAAACTCCATCTCAAAAAAAAAAAAAAAAAAAAAAAAAAAAAAAAAAAAAAAAAAAAGAAAAGCAAAGAAAAAGAAAGAAATTATCACTGCTGGAAAACCAACAGATTACATGTCAGATGGATCACAGCAGATGTGTGAGGACTGAAATAATGTGGAATAAACATTTTTAAAAAAGCTTCAACAACAGACTACATCAAGCAGTATAATAAATTTCAGAACTTGAAGTCAGATCTTTTAAAATTACCCCATCAGACAAAAATAAAGAAAAAAGAAAAAAGGAATGAACAAAGCCTACATGACATATGGGACACCATAAAGCAACCAAACATTTGAATTTTCAGTGTCCCAGAAGGCAAAGAGCAAACCATGGGGATAGAAAAGCTACTTAACAAAGTAATAAAACTTTTCAAGTCTACCAAGAGATTTAGATATGCAGATACAGGAAGCACAGAGATCCCCAAACAGAGGGTGGATCGCTTGAGCCCAGGAGTTTGAGACTGGCCTGGGCAACATAGTGAGATTCTGTCTCTACAAAAAAATACAAAAGTTAGCCAGGCATGCTAGTGTGTGCCTGTAATGCCAGCTACAAGGAAGGCTCAGGTAGAAGGACTGCTTGAGCCCAGGAGGGGGAGGTTGCAGCGAGCTGAGATTGCGCCATTGCATTCCACCCTGTGTCTCCAAAAATAAAATGTCTTGAAACAAATGAAAATTGAAACGCAACATACCAAAACCTATGGGATACAACAAAAGCACTGCTAGGAGGGAAGTTGATAGCAATAAACACCTATATTTTAAAAGTAGAAAGATTTCAAATAAACAAACTAATGATACACCTCAAAGAACTAGAAAAGCAAGAACAAAACAAACCCCAAATTAGTAGAATGACAGACATAATAAAGATCAGAGCAGAACTAAATGAAATATATTTTGAAAACAATACAAAGAATCGATGAAACAAAAAAGGTAAACAAAATCGATAAACTGTTAGCTAGACTAACCAAGGAAAAAAAAAAGATGAACAAAGTAAACAAAATCCAAGATGAAAAAGAAAACATTGCCAGGCACAGTGGCTCGTGCCTGTAATCCCAACATTTTGAGAGGCTGAGGCAGGTGGATTGTTTGAGCTCAGAAGTATGAAACTAGCCTGGGCAATGTGGTGAAACTCAGCCTAAAAAAATACAGAACTTAGCTGGGCATGGTGACACATCCTTGTGAGAGGTGACAATGTGCTAGCAGCCCTCGCTTGCTCTTGGTGCCTCCTCGGCTTCGGCGTCTGCTCTGGCCGTGCTCGAGGAGCCCTTCAGCCTGCCGCTGTGCTGTAGGGGCCTCTCTCTGGGGCTGGCCGAGGCGGGGGCCGGCTCCCTCTGCTCATGGGGAAGTGTGGAGGGAGAGGCGTGGGGGCGGGGGGTTGGGGGGTGGGGAGGGGAGCCGGGGCTGCCCGCGGGGCGCTCGCAGGCCAGTGCGGGTTCCGGGTGGGCGCAGGCTCGGCAGGCCCCGCACTCGGCTCGGCAGGCCGGCGCCTGCTGGGCTTGATCGGGGTACGAGCTCCCTCTGGGCTGCCAGAGTGCCCGGGCTAGGTGCACAAGTGGGATTTGCCCCAAAAATGCAGAGGTAGTTCAACATACACAAATCAACAAAGATGACACATCACATCAACAGAAAGAAGGACAAAAACCATAAGATCATTTCAAGAGATGCAGAAAAAGCATTTGATACAATTCAAAATCTCTTCATGATAAAAACTCTCAAACTAGGCATTGAAGGAGTATATAATACCTCGACATAACAAAGCCTACATATGACAAACCCACAGTTAACATCATACTATCACAGCTTTCAGCTTTTCCTCTAGGAACTGGAACAAGACAAGGATGTCTATTTTCGCCACTCATATTCAACACAGTACTGGAAGTCTTAGCCAGAGCAATCAGGCAATAGAAACAAGTAAAAGACATCCAAATTGGAAAAGAGAAAGTAAAATTGTCCCTCTATGCAGATGACATGATCTTGTATCTACAAAAACCTGACAACTCCAGCAAAAGCTCTTAGATCTGATAAATAAGTTCAGTAAAGTTGTAGGATATGGCCAGGCGTGGTGGCTCATTCCTGTAATCCCAGCACTTAGGGAGGCCAAGGCGGGAGGATCACCTAAGGTCAGGAGTTCAAGACCAGCCTGACCAATACAGTGAAACCCCGTCTCAACTAAAAACACAAAAATTAGCCGGGCATGGTGGCATGCACTTGTAGTCCCAGCTACTCAGGGGGCTGAGACAGGAGAAGCACTTGAACCCAGCAGGCAGAGGTTGCAGTGAACCAAGATTGCTCCACTGCACTCCAGCCTGGGCTACAGAGCAAGACTCTGTCTCAAAAAAAAAAAAAAAAAAAAAGTTGTGGGATAAAAAAATCAACATACAAAAATTAGTAGCATTTCTATACACCAGTAATAACTAGCTGAGAAAGAATTCAAGAAGGAAATCCCATTTATAATAGCTACAAGAAAATAAATACTTAGGAAAAAAATTTAACCAAGTAGGTGAAAAACCTCTACAAGGAAAACTACAGAACGCTGATGAAAGAAATTGAAGAGGACATAAAGAAATGGAAATCAAATCCATGCTCCTGGATCAGAAAATATTAATATTATTAAAATGACCATATAATCCAAAGCAATCTACAGATTCAATAAAATATCTATCAAAATACCAATGCCATTTTTCACAGAAGTAGAAAAAATGATCCTAAAATTCATATGGAACGAAAAAAGAGCTCAAATAGCCAAAGCAATCCTAAGTAGAAAGAAAGCTGGAGACATTATACTATCTAACTCCAACGTATATTACAAGGCTCTAGTGACCAAAACATCACGGTATTGGTATAAAAACAGGTATAAAATGAAACAGGATAGAAAACTCAGAAATAGATCCATACATTTACAGCCAATTGATTTTCAACAAAGGTGTCAAGGACATTCACTGGGGAAAGGACATCTCTTCAATAAATGGTGCTGGGAAAACTGGATATCCACATACAAAAGAACGCGACTAACCTCCTACCTTTCACTATATACAAAAATCAACTCAAGATGGATTAAAGACTTAACCATAAGGCCTGAAACCATAAAACTACTAGAAGAAAACATAGGGGGAAGCACTTAAGGACACTGGTATAGGAAAAGATTTTATGGCTAAGACTTCAAACGCACAGGCAACAAAAACAAAAGCAGACAAATTGGACTATATTAAACTAAAAAGCTTCTGCACATCAGAGGAAACAACACAGTGAAGAGACAACCTGTTGAATGGGAGAAAATATTTGCAAACTATTCATCCAACAAGGAATTAACATCCAGAATACACAAGGAACTCAAATACCTCAACAGTAAAACATGATAATAATTCCATTTAAAAGTGGGCAAAGGGTCAGGCATTATGGCTCATGCCTGTAATCCTAGCACTTTGGGAGGCTGATGCAGGTGGACTGCTTGAGTCCAGGAGTTTGAGACCAGCCTGGGCAACATAGCAAAACCCCATCTCTACAAAAAAAATACAAAAATTAGACTGAGTCTGGTGATTCATGCCTGTAATCCCAGCACTTGGGGAGGCCAAGGCGGTAGGATCGCTTGAGCTCAAGAATTCAAGACCAGCCTGGGCAACATAGTCACTAGTTGCAGAGAACAGGAATCTATAAACTCATACCCTTATTGTGTATATATATATATGTATACACACAGTATATACAGGCTCATGCCTGTAATCCCAGCCCTTTGGTAGACTGAGGCAGGCACATCACTTGAGTTCAGGAGTTCCAGAACAGCAACATGATGAAACCTGTCTCTACAAAAAAAAAAATTAGGCAGCTGTGGTAGTGCCCGCTTGTGGTCCCAGCTACTGGCTACTCATGAGGCTGATACAGGAGGATCACTTGAGCCTTTCCTGCTTGCTTCGCTGAAGGCATCAGGCAGTTTCATGGCTGAGATCAACTCTTCTCAAAGAAGGTCCTAGCAGGACTGGGTGTCCACACCCAGGATATGGGTCCTGCAGAGAGTTTGTAATACTTACCCCTCAACCTTGGGGAAGGAGGAGGGGCTGGTGCCTTGAGGACTTACTGTCCTTCTGACCAGTCCTGATGTTTCCAAGGCACTGGGGTTTTCAGGACTGGATAAGACTGTTCTAAGGCCACAGTGTGGCAACTGCAGTGTGGCAACTGCAGCGAGTCACAGGTCAAATCCTCAACTCAGGCACTGTCTAAAGTGCCTTTCTTGGCCAGGTGCAGTGGCTCATGCCTGTAATCCCAGCACTTTGGGAGGCTGAGGTGGGTGGATTACCGGAGGCCAGGAGTTTGAGACCAGCCTGGCCAACATAGTAAAACCCTGTCTCTACTACAAATACAAAAACTAGCCAGGTGTGGTGGCACACGTTTGTAATCCCAGTTACTCGGGAGGTTGATGCAGGAGAATTGCTTGAACTCCAGAGGCAGAGAGTGCACCGAGCCGAGATCACACCACTGCACTCCAGCCTGGGTGACTATACATACACATACACATACACACACACACACACACACACACACACACACACACACACACCAAGTACTATTCAGCCAGGCTGGTCTCGAACTCCTGACCTCAAGTGATTGGCCTGCGTTGGCCTCCCAAAGTGCTGGGATTACAGGAGTGAGCCACCACGCCCAGCCCTCTTTTCTTTATGAATTACCCAGTGTCAGGTATTCCTTTATAGCAAGGCAAGAACTAACACAATCTCATAGGACAAAATAAATACCCATAAATCCATATGGATATAAATAAATAATTCATAAATAAATGTATGAGAAGAGACACTTCTTCCTTACAAAATTCCAATTAATCAATGTAGAAGGAATGAGTAAAATACAAAATCCCCACTTGAATACCACATTAGTAACTGTTGACAAGATCCACCAACGAAAGCGAAAATCAGCAGCCAAAAGTTTGAGAAGAAACAGGATGCTACCACAGTCTCAAAGCATCTCTCCAAGATGTTTATCATTTACAGAGGGAGAAAAGAAACCTGGGAGATGCCACCTTAACCAAGTGATCGTGGTAAATATCACTAATAAGCCACGTTGGCATCCTGTACCCGATAGGAAATAACAAGAGCATTTCACCTTGTGATCTTCTTCCCCCAAACCCATCACCTTAGTCTAATCATGAGGAAAACATGGACAAACCCAAACTGAGGATCATTCTAAAAAACAGCTGACCAGTACTCATCAAGAGTCCATGAAAGACAAGGAAATATGGAGCAACTGTCACAGATTGGAGGAAACTGAGGGGACATAGAAACGAATACAACGTGGGATCTTAGATTATATCCTGGAACATTAAAAAGGCATGGTAGGGGATGGGAGGAGATGGTGAAAATCAAAGGGCTGTAGTTCAATTCATAGTATTGTATCAAAGTTAATTTCCTCATTTTGATTATTGAACTATAGTTACATAAGTTTTTAACAACAGGGAAGCAAAGTGGTAGATATATGTGAACTCTGTACTATTTCTGCAACTTTTCTGTCAGTCTAAAATTATTTCAGAAATAAAATAAATACACACGCATGCACAAAATAGTAACTATGAAGAGGTGATAATAGGCTAATTAGCTTGACTGTGATGATCATTTCACAATGCATGTGTATATCAACCATCAAATTGTACACCATATATAATTTTATGTCACTAAATCTGTTAAAATATATAAAAATAAATGAATTAATCAAATAAAAAATAAAATAACTTAAAAATAAGAATAAGCTCCATCTGAAGCACTACTTGCATAGGGCACACTAAAAACCACATTCTGCTGCTGCTGGCTGGAGGACTTGAATACCATTCAGAATTTTCCCTAACACTGTGCAGCTCTTCATCTAAAACCGTAACTACAAAATTGCTGGCAAGGTACTCTCCCTGGTCCTCAATTTTCCACACCTATAAAATGAAAGCATTAGGAAAACAGATATTTTTCTTTCTCAGTTTTGACATTCTATGCTTTGTGCTTCATAATTCCTGACTCTTCTTAGCTTGGCCTTCATTGCGAAGTGAGGCTAATAGCTTTGGTATAGAAGTGACCAGAGGTTACATATGCCAGTTTGGGGCTCAGTATGTCACCATATTAACCAAAGTCAGGCAATGTATGCAGCAGAGGTCATTGGGTTCTTAGTTTTCTTTTCTTTTTTTTCTTTTTGAGACACAGTCTCACTCTATCACCCAGACTGGAGTGCAGTGGCACAATCTTGGCTCACTGCAACCTCCGCCTCCCGGGTTCAAGCGATTCTCCTGCCTCAGCCTTCCAAGTAGCCGGGATTACAGGCATGCACCACCACGCCTGGCTAATTTTTGTATTTTTGGTAGAGACAGAGTTTCACCATTTAGCCAGGCTGGTCTTGAACTCCTGACCTCAGGTGATCTGCCTGCCTCAGCCTCCCAAAGTGCTGAGATTACAGGTGTGAGCCACTGTGCCTGGCCAGGTTCTTACGTTTCAATATCTCAGAAAGCTAATTAAAGATCTTAATCTCATTTAAATCTCTTGATTTTACACAGTAATAACAGCAAACACATGGTGAAATCTGGCCAACTTAACTCAGAAACTTCATTTTAGGATGATATTTCAAACTCCTTTCCCATCTAGGCATTTTTCAGTAGCCAGACATGTGGCACACCTGACTCCCTTCACCTCCCTCTTAGTGAAGGTTTAGGGATTAGAGATGTCCTCAAAGCCAGAACTCAGTGGCCTACATCACCAATCCCTGGATTACTACGATCTCACCTAGAGTCTAAAAGAACAATTCTCCTTATGCCCATTGTGACCCTGGAGAAATTACTTCTCTCCCCAGTTGTTGTTTCTCACTTAGCATCTCATTTTGAAAATCTTTGTTTCACTGTGGCCACTATGACATCTGCTCCACTGAGCTTTCTGGCTTTAATTTTTTCCCCTTCAATCAGTTCCAAAGAGCCCTACTGAAGTAGCACCAGAAACTTGCATTGGTATTCCACTCTTTAAACTCTAATGATTTCTCATTTAAATATTAATTACCACTCCAACATTCCTGCATTTGTGGTCATCTTGTCAGCATATCTCACTGACCTAAATGAAGAAATTCTTGTTCCTTTTACTCCAGATTATCCATATAATTCTTCTTAAAGCCATTCTTGGGATATACTGAGGAAAGTACCTCAATTTTGGAGTCTGCTGATCTAGGGTTTAAGTGTTGACTGCACCACTTACTTCGCAAATTTCAGAAAGGTATTAAATTCCTATAAATGCGAATGTCTACTTTATAAGGTGTTTCAAAAATTCAATGATAATGTATGTGATATTCACACCACAGGGTCAGTCTGTCAAGCAGTACCCTGTCACTGGTGGCTAAGAAGATGAAGATAAGTACCCATGGGATTCCATGAACAGAGCAGTCATCTCTACTGACCTCAGCCACAAAACACCAGCCCTTCCAGCTTCCCTGGATCCTTTGCTAACTGTGCCTTTTTCTGGGATAGTATGTGGTTCTCTATTTGGCTTGAGAACAGAACACTCCTTCAAATGGTTGAAGTATCTTCATTATATACATGGTCTGCGCTTTATCACACTAATTTTTTTTTCGAGGCAAGTTCTCACTCTGTCGTCCAGGCTGGAGTGCAGTGGCATGATCACAGATCACTGCAGCCTTGAACTCATGGGGTCAAGTGATCCTACTGCCTCAGCCTCCTGAGTAGCTGGGACTATAGGCACACACCACCAGGTCTGGCTAATTTTTTATTGTTATTATTTTTTTTTAGAGATGGGGTCTCACTATGTTGCCCAGGTTGGTCTCAAACTCCTGGGCTCAAGCGATCCTCCCACCTTGGCCTCTCAATGTGTTGGGATTACAGATGTAAGCTGCCTTGACCAGCCCTAAATTTTTTTTCTTATGGTAAAATACACAAAAATGTACCATCTTAACCATGTTTAATTGTGCAACTCTGTGGTGTGAAGTACATTCACATTGTTATGTAGCCATCGCAACTATCCATACCCTGAACTTTTAAAAGAATCATCCCAAACAGAAAGTCTATACCAATTAAACACTAATTCTCTATTCTTCCCTATCCCCAGCCCCTGGAAACTACTTTCTCTCTCTACGAATTTGCCTATTCTAGCTACCTCACATGAGTGGAATCATGTATTTGTCCTTCCGTGACCTGCTTATTTCACTTAGTATAATGTCCTCAAGGTTCATCTATGTTGTAGCATATGTAAGAATTGCACTTTTTTTAAGGCTGAATCATATTCCATTGTACATATATACGTCATGTTGTTTATCCATTCATCCATGGATGAACATTTGGGTTCCTTCCACATTTTGGCTATTGTGACTTTATCCTGTTTTATATTCTGCAGCAATTTACATCTTTATTTTCAGAACTATTAAGTTTCTTCATATTAACAGTCATAGGAAAAGAGCAATGAAAGACTTTTATTTGATTTCATTTTGTGGCCATTCCTTTTTTTTTTTTTTTTTTGGCAGCCACGAAGACTGGGATTTCTAATTCTATGTTATGATAAGTAGACAATTTAAGCCATCTATCTTTTTTTCTGTTTCCTTTTTAAAAAAAAAGAAAATAGCATTTTTCTAAAATATGATCATGTCAGTTTGGTCTATTTTTATACGTGTTAAGGAGAGCACTAACAGACAAAAGAATAACAATATAGCGATTAGGTATTTAGTTTTAAAAAAAAAAAAAAAAAAGGTTGACGATGGGGCAATAGATAGCCTGCCTCTTCTCTAACCAAGTTGTGAACTGTTTAAGAAATTGACAATAAAGAGTATGGCATATGGAGACCAGAACATTCCTTTTATTATAAACAAAGTTGATTTGGGAGAATGCAGCTTATCTCTACTTGCAGGCAGATGGCCATCTTAATTCTATACCTCAGAATTAAACAGGTCTCCCAGCCACTCATAGACAGGTCTCCAGGAAAGAAGGAAAAATTATCAACTGACAAACAGTCTGATTAAATGCTTGTCTTTTATACCTGCTATGGTTTGAATGTGCCTCCTCCAAAACTAATTGTTGCTAATGTGATAGTATTAAGAGGTGGGGCCTTTAAAAGGTGATTAGGCCACGAGGGCTCCTATCTTGTGAATGGGATTAGGTGCCCTTATAAAAGGGCTTGAAAGAGGGAGTTCATCCCTTTTTGTTCTTCTGCCTTCTGTTATATGAGGACACAGCATTCTTCCCCAACTCCTCAAGGATGCAACAGTCAAGGCCCCATCTTGGAAGCAGAGAGACTAGACCCTCACCAGATAAATGAACCTGCCAGTGCCTTCATCTTGGACTTCCTAACTTCCAGGACTGTGAGGAAACAAATTCCTTTTCTTTATAAATTACCCAGTCTGTGGTATTCTGTTATAGCAACTCAAAACAGACTAACACAATGCCCTCAACCCACTTCTCTGCCTTGGTACCCATCATATTGTGTAGCAATGAATCTTGGCCTGTCTCTTTCCTATGAGCATGTTGCTTTCATCCATTCTTCCACCAACTCAACTGCTTTTATGAGTGCCTGTTTTGGGCCTAGCAATACACTAGGTCTTGCATTCAAGACCTGACAGAGGTGACAGAAACTGACATGACACCTACCCTTAAGGAGAGCAGAACAGAAAATATCGCAAAGGAGACAGAGTGTGGCGCTAGACAGTAAGAAGGGCAGAGTGACTTAACAAAGTGGGAGAAGGCTTTTCTTGGGAAGTCACATTTTTTATGATGCCTCAAGTTCAAGGAGCACTTCACCAGTATATTATACTCTGGTGTCCAGTAGAGGCGTACAGCACGTAGCAGAGCTCAATAAATGCTTAACAAATTAATGAATCAGTGATATATGTGAAAGCACTTTATACGCAGTCAAAGTACCACACAGATGTTAATCATTATCATTTAGTTAATATGGAGAGACCCACTTTTATTCAGCTTCTCTGAAACACCCAAAAAGATACATGGCAGTGTCTGGAGACATTGTGAGTTGCCACAACTGGAGTTGAAGGGAGATGTGGTAATGAAGTCTAGTGAGTAGAGACCACAGTTGCTACTAAACATCCTACAATATACAGGGCAATCCCCCAAAATGTCAATAATGCCACTATTAAGAAATCCGATTCTAAAACAATTACTGTGTTTACATGTGCATTCACCTGTTTTACAGTGGAGAAACGTTTCACTGTATAAACATAATACAACTAATGCTAACATTTTTGCATTCATTCATTCAACAAATAATTACTAAACACCTAGTATAAGATGGTATAGTCCTCAAGACGGTGGGGATTTTTATTTTATTTGTAGAGAAAGGGGCTTGCTCTGTCTCCCAGGCTGGAGTGCAGTGGAAGGATCACAGCTCTCTGCAGCGTTGAACTTCTGGGCTCAAGTGATTCTCCGGTCTCAGCTTCCCGAGTAGCTGGGACTATAGACATATGCCACCACTCCTAGCTAATATTTTTTTATTTTTTATAGAGACGGGGTCTCACTATGTTGCCCACACTGGTCTGAAACTCCTGGCCTCAAGCCATTCTCCCACCTCGGCCTCCCAAAGTGCTAGGATTATAGGCATGAGCCACCACACCTGGCTGGATTTTTAAAATATTAAAGACACATCTTCGACCATTTGGAAGTATGTGAGATACTTTAAGAAAGTTACTAAAGTTCTAAATAAATAAATGTGCTAAAAGCTCAGGAGAGACCACACCTGACTGTGAAGAGGAAAGGCTTTATACACCCTGAAGGGCTTTGGAGGGCAAAAGCATTTGCAAGAGGCACAGGGAATGGCCTAACTGGAGCACTGGGGTATGCAAGGACACCACATAGGGGAGTATGGAGAAGACCAATTTGCATCAAGTTCAGGACTTGACTTGAAAAAAAATCAGAGCAGTGAAAAATACGATAAAAAAAGAAGCAGAGTCGGGCGCAGTGGCTCACACCTGTAACCCCAGCACTTTGGGAGGCCGAGGTGGGCAGATCACCTGAGGTCAGGAGTTTGAGACCAGCCTGACCATCATAGAGAAACCCTGTCTCTACTAAAAATACAAAATTACCTGGGCATAGTGGTGCATGCCTGTAATCCCAGCTACTCAGGAGGCTGAGACCTGGGAGGCGGAGGTTGCAGTGAGCCAAGATCGCACCACTGCACTCCAGCCTGGGCAACAAGAGCAAAACTCCGTCTCAGAAAAAAAAAAAAAGAAAGAAAGAAAAAGAAAAAGAAGCAGAAGGCAGACTGTTAAGAACTTCTGAATGCTAGACTAAGTTCACTTATTAAAATGAAAAATTAATAGTATCCTAATAGCATCTTTTACTCTCTAATCAAGGCTAGTCCCCTGAGTCTATCCTTACCCCTAAACACACACTCACATAGTATTTATATCTACCTTTTGTTTTCTTTATTCAAATAATGCTCTCACCTCTATTTTTAACTGGCTAAAATCAGCATTTTTAACGCAAATATTAAAGTAAGCACCATAACATTATATAAAACAGTTTAAATGAAGAATTGAGTTAGAATGTTATATTCTAACTTTTTTCTATGAAAAGGATCATTACTTTTGCAAACAGAATTAAAAAATCAAAAGGCAAACTTAACAAAAAGAGAAGCCCATTCACCACTAGGTTCTTTGACTTCTTTTTATCAGATGACTCATTTAAACTAGCAATTCCTAGTAATCTTTATACCATCTACTTTTAGCAAAAAGACCTTCAAAATTTGCACCTAAAATACCCTAACAAAGTGCTAACATAGGGAAAGTTGCCAACATTTTTAATCAGACATCAAGTGATGGTATGTGTATGTGGGGTATGTGGTCTCAAGTGTTTATTTTTATTTTCTTTAGGAGCAAAGAAATGTAATAAACAACTGTTTTCATAACAAGAAAAATATAAAACCATGTCACTGGGATAAGGGCAGAGTATAGTATCTTTAGTGTAATTTACATGTTTAAACTCTACATACATAAAAACAAATATTTCATAAGAATCTCTAGAATTCCCTAAAGTAAACTATGATTTTTTTTTGAGACAGAGTCTCTGTCACCCAGGCTGGAGTGCAGTGGTGTGATCTTGGCTCACTGCAACCTCTGCCTCCCGGGTTCAAGTGATTCTCCTGTCTCAGCCTCCCAAGTAGCTAGGATTACCAGCGTGAGCCACTGCGCCCAGCTAGTTTTTCTATAAAGTAATATACCATCAATAATTTCTCATACACAGGATTAAGTGATAGTACTCTGGTTACTTTAAGGCTGGGATATTTATCAAAAGGAGACAGAAATTCAGTAGCTGGCAATGACACAGCAACAGTTACTGAAAAGAACTGTTAATATTATCTGAAAGATTAAAACTGCATCTTGCACCTTTAATTTTCAACTCATCTGAAAAATGAGGGCCTGGAAAGTACTGTGTTCATCAACACACTAAACTTGGCCACAGGGCACCCTATATTCACACTTCATGTTCCTGTAACTATGTACACATCATCTATAAAAAGTTCCTTGTTTCACCTGAAAAGCAGCACAGACTAGTATTCACATCTACTGACAGCCATCATAACCTGAGTAAGTGTGCAGCATAAACAAAGAGGCCTTTATAAAGCCAAAGGAAAAGCTCTTAGTAACGACCCGTTTCAGCTGAGACAAGCTGATCTCCACTTTTGAAATTATACTTAATCATTCACCAAAATAGCTGCATGTAATAAAGCACTTAAAGCATCTTTTTTAGAAAGGTAAAGGGGGCTGGGTGCAGTGGCTCACGCTTGTAATCCTGGCACTTTGGGAAGCTGAAGTGGAAGGATCACTTGAGCCCAGGTAGTTGAGACTGCAGTGAGCCATGATAGTGCCACTGGACTCCAGCATAGGCAACAGAGTAAGACCCTGTCTCCCCCAGCAAAGGAAAAGAAGGGAGGCGCTAATTTTCTATGAATTCCTTTTTACACTTAATTCACTTTCAATGCTTGCACTTTCAAATGTTTCAATGTTTTTAAAAATGAAGTTTTAAGTCTTGATTCTGGGAGATAGTTCTAGAACTAGCACTAGTCCAATTTCAGAGGTTTTTATTGCAACCATTAAGAAACCATTCCATTTTCATTTAAGTCAAAAATACTTTAAAAGTTAACTTAAAACTTTGGTAGTTTGCTTGAATGTTGCTCTCATATGTACCGGGAAAGTTCTCGAGGTGTTAATATCCCAAAAGAGTATTCACGGGTTATCAATAAGAATCCCTACTGTGCTGGATCATTAGTTCTCAACATTATACGTATTACCATCCATCCACCTCTAAAGTCTCCTCTGCATAGCACAGAGTTTAATTTTTTCCAATGAAAGAAACTTCAAAATTAAAGAGATGTCATTACTCTTACACAATCATGATATCCAGACACCACCATCTTAAGTGGGAAGATTCCACTTACCACTACTGACTAACATGAAGAGATCTTTCCCAGAGACTAAAGAGCTGGGGCAATTTATTGGCAAACTTTTGAGAAACATATACTTCAAGACTGTACTCATTAAATAATTGTTCCCCGATCTTCAGAATGCAACCTTCCCAACATACTCTTACTGAGCTCTTTGCACGTTTCATTGTTACATCAAATTCCTTTGTCTGATAATAGCTCAGTCTTCCTGAGCTCAAACTAGTACATCTACCTTCTTTGTTTTTAAACTAAAATCTTTTTATAATCATTTTTTAAATGCAAAAAATGGCAACGAATGGCGAAGACCTGAAAAGTCTTCTCTCAAGCTTCTAACAGCTCATTTCAAATATTTGCTGAGTACCCACTCTGAGCTAGAAACAGTGCTGGTACATGAGGACACAGCCTCTTTTCTTCTTAAAGTAGTTAATCAGAAGAGACATTCCCATAAGTAAAAAGATTCCAGTACGTGTCATGTGTAGTGATCGACCTATGTATCAGGAAATAATGAGTTATCCCGAGGGAAACAGGCTAAAATGTCATCAGTCGTGAGTCTGAGTGATTACTTCCTAAGCTCCTTTATCTTTTCCAGATTTTCTGTGATATGTTATAATATGCATTTACTGCTTTTACAGCCTGAATAAAAATCTAAATAACCAAAATAAAATAATAGAAATAGTACTAGTAACATTTATTGACTTTTATATAATACCCTGTGTGCTACATGCTTCACACATGCATTATCTCACTTAATAAAATCACCCTATTAAAAAAAAAAGACTGTTATCCATATTTCAGAGAGGAGGAAGACAAAATATGAAATAATTTGCTGGAAATGTCTTTTTCAGCTAGAATTTTTACTTATTTCCTCAGAAATAAGCAGGGGTTGGGACAAAAACAATCAGTTGTGTAAACAGAAAAACTTGGAAATAGGTGCCATTTGTTGGATGTATAACCATAAGCAAGCAACTTAATCTCAGCGAGCCTCAGTTTCTCCTATTGTATTGTATTGCAAATGACTTAGTAGGCCCTAACTTATTTAGGTTCTCAAGAATAACTCATTCAGGGTTCTCAAGAATAAATGATACTATGTATAAGAAAAATGAAGAACCCTGTCTGGCAAATAACTGACAACAGAATGCTAGTTATCAGTATCTTCATCAGTATAATCCGAAAAACCTGGACAAATTATTTAACATCTCTGAGCTCAGTTTCTCTACCTGTAAACTGGGGATAAAAATACCTACACCATGCAGTAACTATGAGAATTACATGAGATAATACACAGTACAGTGCCTGCAATGTGGTAAAACAGTCAAAACAGCTATTATAATTATCCACAGGACAAACAAAATGGAGCTGGCTAAATAAGGTACAGTACATGCATACGATGAAATACTTTGCTGTTGAATATGTAAGGACATGATAAAAATATTGACAATGTATAGCTGTTTAAAAATTATGTAGAGTAAAAGTATTCTTTAAAAATATATAAATATATGTTACAAAATATATCAAAAGTAACAAGAATACATTCTAAGATCTATGATTTGTGGATTCTTAACTAACTCAATTAAAAAAATTAAACAATTCTCACTATTATCACCACCACTATATGAAGCAAGATGTTAAAACAACAATTTTTAAAATTCCCATATATATGTATTCAGACAAGCAGGAGCATCATGCCCAGATACCCCATTCCATTACATTATCACTAGGATTCTTTAACATACATATATTCTTCTCTGAACATTAAAAAAAGGGATTACTTTAAAACTTCACAAATTTTAGTAAAAGAAAAGGAGGCTATTTTGCTTCTAAGACATACATTTTTAATTCCCACAATTCCAGGCTTTCACATTTTGTATTGTTTAATACAGAAAAATTATTCTGACTAAAAATAGGAATAAAACAACATTTCCACAAGGGCAAATTCACCCCAAAAGACTGAGAATTCTAATTCTTAAAGGGAATAAAAATTAATGTCAGGTGTGGTGGCTCATGCCTGTAATCCCAGCATTTTGGGAGGCTGAGGCGGGCAGATCATGAGGTCAGGAGTTCGAGACCAGCCTGCCCGTCTCTACTAAAAATACAAAAAATTAGCCGGGCATGGTGGTGTGTACCTTAGTCCCAGCTACTCAGGAGGCTAAGGCAAGAGAATTGCTTGAACCCAGCAGGCGGAGGTTGCAGTGAGTCGAGATCATGCTGCCACTGCACTCCACCTGGGCAACAGAGCAAGACTCTATCTCAAAAAAATAAAACCTAATATTTAAAATGAATATTTCACAATATAGGTGACACTAAAGTCACAATTCTGAGACTGTGATCAGAGAAGAGTGTCATTAAATTAACAAGATGAAATAAAAAATTATAGTTTCTTAATTTCTAAAAAATTAATAGGCTAACATGAAAGGTGATATTCAGCGAAAGGTAGAAATAACTATCAGAGATACTGAAAAAACATGAATCCTGGCTTGGAAAAAACATATTAGATATTATATTGTAAAATAGTTAAGAAATGCTATTTCATTAATTTCAGGGTTTTACCTCTTTCTCTTCTTACTTTCATCGCAAATTATATATCATTCAAATTAATAACATTCAACCACCGACTGACTACACATGGACATGCAACATTCATTCAACCTTGAAGGTGGGAAAGAAAAGAGAATTCTCAAAAGCACAGAAATCACTCTTTTAAGCTGCAAATTTTACAGAAGCTCTAATACTAAGCAGATTCTCCCCAGCAAAATGCATCTTTTCTTAATTCACAAAGGTCCAAGATATCCAAACAGTGAAACACAATCAAGATATCTGAATATATGAAGAGCAAATTATTTTAGTACTGTTCTCTCTTAGTGTCCACAAAGTAAGCCTCAGATTTTATTTTCAGTATTCTAATACTGTCTCCCTCTACTGTATAAAAAAGGAAATTGAAAGATTTTTATCATTTATTTCCCTTAAGACATAATTAAGAAAACTTCTTTCAGTTTGTTTTCCCCCAAATAGTTTTTAGAGTTAGTAATCTAACAAGATTATGTTTGTGTGTGTGTGTATATATATATATAAAATATATATATAATATATATTATATTACATATATAATATATAATATATATAAAATATAATATATAAAAATATATAATATATATAAAATATAATATATAAAAATATATATTATATATAATAAATATATATAAAATATATAATATATAAATATATATTACATATAAAATATATATAATATATTATATATACAAAATATATATAATATATAATATATATAATATATTATATATAATATATTATATACATAAATATATACAATATACAATATACATAAATATATACAATATACAATATACATAAATATATACAATATACAATATACATAAATATATACAACATACATAAAATGTATATTGTATATACAACATACATAAAATGTATATTGTATATACAACATACATAAAATGTATATTGTATATACAACATATAATATACATAAAATGTATATTGTATATACAACATATAATATACATAAAATGTATATTATATATACAACATATAATATACATAAAATGTATATTATATATACAACATATAATATACATAAAATGTATATTATATATACAACATATAATATACATAAAATGTATATTATATATACAACATATAATATACATAAAATGTATATTATATATACAACATATAATATACATAAAATGTATATTATATATACAACATATAATATACATAAAATGTATATTATATATACAATATATAATATACATAAAATGTATATTATATATACAATATATAATATACATAAAATGTATATTATATATACAATATATAATATATATGTATAAAATATGGAGATTCCAGGGACAGGACAAGAAAAATAATCATCCTTTAGAACAAATCCTTAGAATCTAAGTTCTTCAATTCAAAACTTAGGAAAAAAACTAAGCAAAGGTGTACTAGTTTGCTTGGGAGTCAAGTGTATGTATGTCTCCTGGGCCAGGCTGAGCAATTTAGTTAACTAGGTAAACTTAGGGAAAGATTTAGAGTCCATTAACCTCAGATTTTTTTTTCACCTGCAAAACTAAGAATAAAAATACTCTGCCAGTACCACAGGACTAAAACTAGAACCCAATTTTGATTGATTCACTGAACTAAGCACCCACTGTGCAATACACATGGCAAGGGCTGCCAAGTTTAGCAAACAAAAATACAACACAGAACACACTTATATAATAAAAAATAGGCCAGGTGCAGTGGCTCACGCCCATAATCCCAACATATGGGAGGCCGAAGTGGGTGAATCACTTGAGGTCAGGAGTTCGAATCCAGCCTGGCCAACATAGTGAAACCCCCTCTCTACTAAAAATACAAAAATTAGCCATGTGTGGTGGCTCATGCCTGTAATCCCAGTTACTCAGGAGGCTGAGAAAGGAGAATCGCTTGAACCAGAGAGGCAGAGGTTGCAGTGAGCCGAAATTGGGCCACTGCACTCCAGCCTGGGTGACAGAGTGAGACTCTGTCTCAAATAAATAAATAAATAATTCATTGTTCATCAGAAATACAAACTTAATTGAGCATGCTGTACTTTATCTGGGAACCCTAACTGAGGCACATACAAACATGCAAATAAGACACGCTTCTTAACCTCAAAGACTTACATAGGAATGAGGGATATGAAATGTATTCATAAACTACTATACAAGGAAGAAAAGTAGTTGCTTAGCATTTAAAGAAGAAAGGGGAAGAAAGGCAAACTGAGAACATAGTAAGTAGGACTGAAGAATGGTTAAAATAAACAAATGCAAGATTCAAAACAGAAAAAAGAATGAGAGATGAGAGTGCTTAATTACATCCTCAACTCTAGCCACACAGATCTGTGTATTTACCACACATGCTATTCTTCCACCAGTGTATGAGATGGCTCAGTAATGCAAGCTCATTATCATTTATTCACACTCAATTTAAATTACTTCAAATGGACACGCATTACCAATCTCTTGATAGACATACACCAAAAAAATCAAATTCATAATTTTTGGAAATATCTCCCTTTCAAATCTACCTAGAGTTTTGTGCTTGGTTACTCAAAATTATTTTATTAAACAAATTCTACACCATGTGGATATGACCAGAAACAGACCAAAATCCTGATAAGGGCCGGGCATGGTGGCTCACGTCTGTAATCTCAGCACTTTTGGAGGCTGAAGTGGGTGGATCACCTGAGGTCAGGAATTCGAGACCAGGCTGGCCAACATGGTGAAACCCCCGTTTCTACTAAAAATACAAAAATTAGCCAGGCATGGTGGCGTGTGCCTATAACCCTAGCTACTCAGGAGGCTGAGGCGGGAGAATTGCTTGAACCCAGGAGGTGGAGGTTGCAGTGATCTGAGATCATGCCGCTGCACTCCAGCCTGGGCAACAAGAGCGAAACTCTGTCTCCAAAAAAAAAACTTGGTAAGATTTCATCCCTTTTCTCACTTTCTATTGTCCCAAGCAGCTATTTCATAAATCTGCCTCATAATTAACCAGCTCTGTTCTTCACAATCTTTAAATAAATAAATAGGCAGATCCTTTTTAGCTAGATGCAAAAAAACTACTTCACTTTGCACTTCCTTCTCCAACCCTCTGAACCTGTCTCCTTTCTACAGGTCTAGTTACCATTCTTCATGACACAGGCCAACCCTGATCCTATTCCACGATAGGAAATTTCACATGTCCTTAGAACTTCAACTTAATAAATAGTAACAGTATGCTGCAGAACTTTGTATAAAAAAGGAGTAGTGGCCAGGCACTGTGGCCCACACCTGCAATCCCAGCACTTTGGGAGGCCAAGGCGGGTAGATCACTTAAGGTCAGAAGTTCGAGACCAGCTTGGCCAACAATGGTGAAATCCCATCTCTGTTAAAAATATAAAAATCAGCCGGGCATGGTGGCAGGCAACTGTAGTCCCAGCTACTCAGAAGGCCGAGGCAGGAGAATCACTTGAACCCAGGAGGCGGAGGTTGCGGTGAGCTGGGGTTGTACCACTGCACTCCAGCCGGGGCAACAGAGAGAGTCTCTGTCTCAAAAATTAATTAATTAATTAATTAAACATAAAAAAGGAGTAGTAATGGAAAAAGCCTACCTATATCATTTATTCGCCTGAACTCATTTATCATTATACCTTCATATAATTTTACAGCTGAAAGGACTCCAGAGCTCATTTGGTCCACGGACCTCCTTTCAAAGGTACTAAAAATTTAGTCATAGTCATTTTGTGCCTAGAGTAAATTCTCAGGGCTAGCAAAGATCCAGAGTCAGATTTCTTGATTTTCAGTTCAGTACTTTTCTTACTAAATTACACTATTATCTACATTTTTTTTTTAACTGAGGCAGAGTCTCACTCTGCCACCCAGGCTGGAGTGCAGTGGCGTGATCTCAGCTCACTGCAACCTCCATCTCCCAGGCTCAAGTGATTCTTCTGCTGCAGCCTCCAGAGTAGCGGGATTACAGGCGCATGCCAACACGACCAGCTAATTTTTGTATTTTTAGTAGAGATAGGGTTTCGCCATGTTGGCCAGGCTGGTGTATAACTCCTGACCTCAGGTGATCTGCCCAACTCGGCCTCCAAAAGTGGTGGTATTACAGGTGTGAGCCACCACGCCTGGTTATTATCTACATGCTTTGAGTGATAGTTAAATATTCTCCGAATATTAATTCTATTGTATAGCTTTATTTCTTTTTGAAAATATAAAGGAATCTAAAACTTAAACTGTAATTTTTCATTGTTCCCTCATAATGAAGTAACATAATATTTAGCTTAATTAAAAAACAAAACAAAACAAAAAAGCAGATTCATCTTTATGGTAGTTTGTCCTTTTTTTTTTTTTTTAGACGGAGTCTCACTCTGTCATCCAGACTGCAGTGCAGTGGCATGATTTTGGGTCACCGCAACCTCCACCTCCTGGGCTCCAGGGGTTCTCCCACCTCAGCTTCCTGAGTAGCTGGGATTACAGGCGCCTACCACCACACCTGGCTCATTTTTGTATTTTTAGTAGAGACAGGGTTTCACTATGTTGGTCAGGCTGGTCTTGAACTCCTGACCTCAACCGATCCACATGCCTTAGCCTCCCAAAGTGCTGGGATTACAGGCATAAAAATCTGCACTCAGCCTAAAAAGCTTTTTAAAGAAATAGAATATATTAGCGGGCTTGGTGGGGTGACATGCACCTGTAGTCCCAGCTACTTGGGAGGCTGAGGTAGGAAAACTACTTGAGCCCAGGAGTTTCAGGCTGCAGTGAGCTATGATGGCACCACTGCACTCCAGCCTGTGTAACAGAGCAAGACACTGTCTTTTAAAAAAAATAAAATTAAAAGTTACTTTTATTCAATTCCACCATAATTTTTAATAACTGAAAAGACTTGAAGGTCTTCATGCCCAAAACAATAAACATTACACTGAATTAAAGATAAACATTTCCAATTTTCCTTAACTTTTGTCTTAGCCTATCATAAAAAGCCCTACAAGTGATTCAAACTGTTGGACCTAAATAAATGTAATAAGGTTTTAGTAAGGAACAGATAAATAATCATTTTGACCATACTAAAACATACGAAATCGATTTTAACCACACGATAAATTCATTAAAATAGCCCAATAAATTTCATGACTAGAAACTTCCATATTTATGAAAAAATGGCTTTATTTCAGTTCCTAGAGGAACCAGTACTTAAATGGAATTGCTTAATATTTAGCTGACAGAGAGCTCATCCTGAGTCCTGTCTCAAATATATTGGGTACTTGAAATTTAACCTAAGTAAATAAAAACATGAAGAATGAAAACTCTGGACTTACCACCTCAGATTCCGAGCCTATTAAAACATAAAAAGGAAGAATTTTCAGTTAACAGTACATTTAAAGGCAAAGGTATTTATATGATTTTTATTGCACAAACATACTGATTAAGCAAGCCAATTCTCCATACCTTTCAACTAAAGAAAAGTGGGTTCATTTTGCCTCCTGAATTCATTTTAGACTCCTTAGTAATTTCTTTTTTTGAGACGGAGTCTCGTTCTGTTGCCCGGGCTGGAGTGCAGTGGTGTGATCTTGGCTCACTGCAACCTCCGCCTCCTGGGTTCAAGTGATTCTCCTGCCTCAGCCTCCCGAGTACCTGGGGCTACAGGCACGCACCACCACGCCCGGCTAATTTTTGTATTTTCTTAGCAGAGACGGGGTTTCACCATGTTGCCCAGGATGGTCTCAATCTCCTGACCTCGTGATCTGCCTGCCTAAGCCTCCCAAAATGCTGGGATTACAGGAGTGAGCCACCGGGCCCCGGCCTAGACTCCTTAGTAATTTCTTACTGATATGTCATACCAGCAAATTCACCCAAATCTCCTTTTCAACCTAAGAAGCTAGGCAAAAAACATTATATTTTTGGTAGTCTACATTTAAGGAAACATGTATTATTTAAAATAAATTATAAAGGTAAAAACAAATTTGTTTAAACCAAAAAATTTCAAATGTTTACTTCTTTTTAAATTGAAATACCATGGGAGATCTACATACCATTCTGAGCTTCGACACCTTTTAATCCAGTCACTGAAATTAGCATCTGCACCTAGAAAGAAAAACCTATCACATCACTCATCTGCACAACCTGTTAATCAGCAAATACTTATTAAATACCTATTACATCCCAGGCACTGTTCTAGGCACTGGGGAGTCAGCAGTGAATAAAACCTGTCTTAACAGAACTTATGGCAAACTCTGTTATAGCTATAAACATACCAATAGTTTAACACTTGGTTGTTTATCCTGAAACATTTTGATTTTTTTAAATTAATTTTAACTACAGTAAACCTCACTAATTTCATAGATATAAATAATGCACATTTCCCTCAATCCCTCTGCCCTTAGAGAAGCTTCCTCATACACACAACAAAGTCAGATCTAAATCAGACTCCCAAAATGCCATTAGTTAGGGTGGGGAGGAGGCTTGGTAACTGGGAGCTGAGTTGAGGTCCTTAAGCCTTTCCCAGCCCCAGCTCACTCTTCAATGCAGCTACCTATTCAGTCCACTATTCTCTCAGTGGCTTTATCTGTTCCCATCCCTTTCCTACCAACACCAAGAAGCATCTTTAAATTCTGTGAAGTTTTCTCATATATCCAAGTTACATGGGGGTCAAGAGGCTACAGGTGATAAATTATATACTTACAGATAATAGTGTAAATGTAGGCGTAAACAAATTATTCACTTCTGGAGACACAGAACAACGATTACATCTATACACAGTGCATAGTGAAATACGTTAAAAACATCGAGAGTACTCTAAATAAAAGCCTACTAATTCAAGTTAACTCCAGCCAAGAGTAATCTGGAAATTTTAAATTAAAAATCTCTTAAAACAAAATTTTCTAATTTACTAATTTATAAAAGAAATACAACTACATGGGCCTTAATAAAAATTTTAAATATACTGTCTCACATACACTATATTCTAGAGAAGAGGGTTTGAATAACTTATTATTTTAAATAATCAGTAACTAAAATCAGGCAGTCTAACATACAAAGAGGGGAAAAGGTAATATTCTGAGTTATAAATTTTTTACCCTGTCTGATAAAAATAGAAGCCTAAAAGTTTAACTTAAATTTTTCCTGGATTTAAATGTAAAGATAAATTTGTTTTTTAGTGAAATATCCTCAATAGCAATTTTACCAAAGAGGCCTTCTTCTGAAGGCCACCTCTGAAGTAATTAGAGAATAAATGTCAATGGCATGATATTAAGATATTATTCGGCCGGGCGCGGTGGCTCACATCTGTAATCCCAGCATTTTGGGAGGCTGAGGCGGGTGGATCACGAAGTCAGGAGTTTGAGACCAGCCTGGCCGACATGGTGAAACCCCCATCTCTAATAAAGATAAAAAAATTAACTGGGCGTGGTGGCACGCACCTGTAATCCCAGCTTCTCTGGAGGCTGAGGCAGGAGAATCACTTGAACCCGGGAGGCAGAGGTTGCAGTGAGCCGAGAATGCACCATGCACCATTGCACTCCAGCCTGGGAGACAGGGCGAGACTCTGTCTCAAAAAAAAAAAAAAAAAAAAAAAAAAAGAAAGAAAGAAAGAAAGGAAAAAAGGAAGGAAAGAAAACTCAAGAAAGGAAAGAAAACTCAAGAAAAGAATTTAGGGGCCAAGTGCTGTGGCTCATGTCTGTAATGCCAGTGCTTTGGGAGGCCAAGGCAGTAGGATCACTTGAGGCCAGGAGTTCAGAGACCAGTCTGGGCAATGTAGCGAGACCTCATCTCTACACAAAAATGTTTAATGAATTAGCTTAGTGTGATGGTACATGCCTGTATTCCCAGCTACTCAGGAGGCAGAGGCAGAAGGACAGCTTGAGCCCAGGAATTCAAGGCTGCAGTGAACTATGATGGTGCCATTGCACTCGAGTTTGGGTGAAAGAGTAAGGCTCTGTGCCCCCAGGTCCAAAAAGAAGAAAAAAAAAAAGAAAGGAATTTAGGCAGGAAACTTTTCTATTGCTCTTAAAAGTAATAAGGCCTAGAAATGTAGAGGATGAGGTCAGGCATAAAGGCTCACGCCTGTAACCCCAACACTTTGGGAGGCTGAGGCAGGTGGATCGCTTTAGCCCAGGAGTTCAAGACCAGCTGTTGTAACAGGGCGAAACCCTGTCTCTGCGGAAAAAAAAAGCAAAATTTAGTGAGATGTGGTGGCACGTGCCTATAGCCCCAGTGACTTGGGGGGCTGGGGTGGGTGAATCACTTAAGCTCAAGAGGCGGAGGCTGCAGTGACCCAAGATCACACCACTGCATTCCAGCCTGGGCAACAGAGTGAGACCTTGTCTCAAAAAAAAAGAAAATGTAGAGCATGGTATGACCCACGTTTTTTCAGGGTTTTCAAGTATGTATCAAGGCACTAGATAACTTGACTCTGGAATTTGCTAGGAGTGTAGATATGCTGTCTTCCTGACTGAATAGCCCTATTATTCACATACCAAAACTGAAACTGGGATAAGCAAATTTGACAATAAGCCCTGTCACCCAGACCTTTCCTTTCCTAATTTGTAGCTTCCATTTGTGTAATCAGGCCTAAAATCTCTTTTTTGAATAGGTATACAGCAGAAAAGCAAACATTCAAAGCAGTACAGAGTAAGAATTTAACATATAATACGTAAGAGCAGAGCTTCTTAACTCAGCACTACTGACATTTTGAACCAGATACTTCTCTGTTGGGCAGGACTGTACTGGCCATTATGGGATGTTTCGTAGTACCCCCTGGTTTATACTCATTAGATGTCAGTAGCTCCTCCCCCATCCACCATTCATGATAATAAAAAATTTCTTCAAACATTGCCTAAAGTTTCCTGGGAAACAACTGCTTCCAGTTAAGAATCACTGCTTTACAGAATTGTGATAAAACTCTATCATAACATAAAGATAAAATAATAGTACAAGTAGGACTATGTAGTCTACAATTTTCTGGGATTACTCATAACCTCTGTCTTAGTATTTTTCCGATTTTAAAATTCTTGCTCTCACAATTCCTATATATGTCTAAATATCCACAATGCTGTGATAATTTTCATATATTCCCCTCAAAAATATAACATTAAAAACTAACAATACTCTCAAAACTCTGGGTTTCTTCTGTACTCTCTCATAATTTATCCAAATGTACACTTCACTTCTCCATAAAAACCTTATTGTTAAGATTTCCCATCTCAGCATTCTTAATAACTTAAAATGAACAGACTTCTGACCAAGAAAGCAAATCAAACTCTCATTTCTCCATTAGAAAAAACAAAGCCAGGCCAGGTGCTGGTGGCTCACACCTGTAATTCCAGCACTTTGGGAGGCCGAGGCAGGTGGTTCACGAGGTCAAGAGATCGAGACCATCCTGGCCAACATTGTGAAACCCCACCTCTACTAAAAATACAAAAATTAGCTGGGCATGGTGGCACATGCCTGTAGTCCCAGCTACTCAGGAGGCTGAGGCAGGAGAATCGCTTGAACCTGGGAGGCAGAGGTTGCAGTGAGCCAAGATTGTGCCACTGTACTCCAGCCTGGGCAACAGAGCGAGACTCCGTTTCAAAAAAAAACAAAAACAAAAAAGAAAAAAAGAAAAAGATGGTTTTTTGTCAGTTATTTACAGATTCTAGCAAACATACACGGAATACGGATCAGTTTTAGATTTCTAAGTTTTCGAGTTGATAGAAACACCAGATGGTTTTAAATTAGGAAAAGCTAATCCAACACAGAATTCAAATAAATATTACTCTTGTACCTTCCTTTTGGCTTAACATTTAGCTTCCTTCTTAAAGCTCTTCGGTCAGTGAATAAAGCTGTGTGACAAAATTCATCTCCTTTTCTCATTAGCATCATTTACGTAATTTGGCCGGGTGCGGTGGCTCCCGCCTGTAATCCCAGCACTCTGAGAGGCTGAGGTGGGCGGATCACCTGCGGTCAGGAGTTTGAGACCAGCCTGGCCAACATGGTGAAACCCCGTCTCTGCTAAAAATACAAAATTAGCCAGCCATGGTGGCATGCACCTGTAGTCCCAGCTACCTGGGAGGTTGAAGCAGGAGAATCACTTGAACCCAGGAGGCAGAGGCTGTAGTGAGCTGAGATCGTGCCACTGCACTACAGCTTAGGCAATAAGAGCAAAACTCCATCTAAAAAAAAAATTCAGTTTTTCCCTATCCAGATTCTTCATCAGAATAATTTTTAAAGTTACACAGTACAGGAATACATTATTTTTTAATATAGATAGGGTCTTGCTATGTTGTCCAGGCTAGACTCGAACTCTTGGGCTCATGTGATCCTCCCGCTTTGGCCTCCCAAAGTGCTGGCATTACAGGCGTGAGCCACCATGCCACACTACACTCTTTTTTATAAAAAAATACAAAGAAGAGCATTTCATTTTAATACTCTGTCAAATAGTAAATGTGATACTATTCTTTATCAGCCTACTCAGTAACTATGAATGAAACCTATATACATTATCCACCCACTGAAGCAAGAAGAGACATCCATAAAATTTAAATAGGTGTTGCTCAACATATCTGTCACACTTGAGCTACTTTACCTTGTATGAAAGACCAACTCAAAAATCCTCAAAGACAACCTTTATTTTATCTGATTAATTGGTTATGGGTAAAATGTATAAGTAACTTATTAAAAAGGGGCAATATACTTTATAAGAAAAATTACCACAGTAATTCCCAAGAAGAATGTGACAATAAGCTCTTTGACGATAATATTGTGCATCATCTGGTTTCTGTTCCAAAGCCTTAGTCAGTTCCTACAAAAACAAACATGTTGAGTGTCAGTAAAAGGTATTCAAAAGCCATCAAATTCTAATTAAAACATAATTTTTAAACAAATAACTTATTATCAGAAACTATTTGGAGGAAAGATAACAGGGAGGTAATCTTGGAGTTTTTCCTCATAAGAGGATCTCCCCTTCTGCTGCCCCTCCTCCCAAAAGTAGACAATCTAACATAGTATTTCTGTACTGTAAAGCATTTAGGGGTCAGGTATGGTGGCTCATGCCTGTAATCCCAGCACTTTGGGAGACTGAGGCAGGCGGATCACCTGAGGTCAGGAGTTCGAGACCAGCCTGGCCAATATGGTGAAACCCCACCTCTACTAAAAAAACAAAAATTATCCAGGCATGGTGGCGCATGCCTGCAATCCCAGCTACTTGGGAGGCTGAGGCAGGAGAATCACTTGAACCTGGGAGGCAGAAGTTGCAGTGAGCCGAGAACACACCACTGCACTCCAGCCTGGGCAACAAGAGTGAAACTCCATCTCAAAAAAAAAAAAAAAAAAAAAAAGCATTTAGTTCCTGACCTACAGAACTCAATAAATGGTAATTATTATCACCTCACATATTCTGAAGAGTTTAACTGATATGCATTGACCATTACAGATTTTCTCCTTCTAACTTGGAGAAGATTCAAACATCATATGGAATTTGAAATTCCTAGAAAATGTGAAGCTGTCCAATAAAGAAAGACTAAAAGTTAAATCTAGAGCTCAGGGAGGTTAAGACAATCAATATCTACACCATCAAGCTTACCTGGCCCTCTCTTATCCTCTATCAATAGCACACAACTCTAATAAAATTAATAAAATGCAATTAAACATCCTGTTCAAAGCCGAGATATAATCTAATAGATGGCTATGGCAACTGATCAAGAGTTAACATTAGAGAGATTAAAACTTTTTCACCCTGTGCAGTCATAATATATAGGTGTGGTAGCTGGAAAAATAATGATGTAAGAGATTATACAATTAGGGAGATCAAGGGCAGATGCAGGAACACAGGAACACTTTTATTTTCTGCCAACTACCTACAAACTCTAGGGATTTGGTAGTTTTCTTAAATGGTAAAATTATTTCAATAGCCACATGTGTCACTGACTTTGCTTTAACCTAATAGATAACTCTCACCAAGCAATGAATACAGATGCCCCTCAACTCACCTGGGGTTGCATTCAATCAACAGAAACAAAGTGTGGCTCAAACTAAGAGAGCAAAGAAGCTATAAGATGCTACTTCAAGGGCCTCACTTTGTACCTTGCAGGCTGTTATAAGGAATTTGGACCTCAGGTGTGATGGAAAGCCATGGAAAGTTCATTGTTAGTAGGAGAGAGAAATGGTCCAATTTACTCTTTTCAAATATCATTCTGGTTGCTGTATGGTGAATACATTATAACAAATCAGGACTGGAAACACAGACTTCTTAGGAAACTAATACATTAAGTCTAGGCTAGAAAAGGATGTTAGCCATAGAGGTGATGAAGAGAAATACAATGAGCTGGAATATATTAGAGCCAGCAAGACTTGCCAATGTGGGATAAGAAAAATTGAAGATCACTCCAGGATTTGGGGCTTACTTAGATCTATACCTGGCATCCAGTAGGCACTCAATGAAAAGTATTGATTTCTCTCCTTGCAGACTTTTTCCACCTTTTCCCCAATCTCTAATTTGACCACATCTCCTTGGCCACAAAATATAAAAATGTTTGCCTCTCTAGTCTTAATCTTCTCAGAGCCACTAGTAACCCCTTATCAAATCCAACTGATTCCTATCTGACTTGATCTCTCTGTGGCCCCTGACAATAACCAGACCTTTCGGCTTACCATTCTGTTGCTTTTTAAAAACAAAGGTTTCCGGGCTGGGCGCAGTGGCTCACACCTGTAATCCCAGCACTTTGGGAGGCCGAGGCAGTTGGATCACCTGAGGTCAGGAGTTCGAGACCAGCCTGATCAACATGGCGAAACCCCATCTCTACTAAAAATACAAAAATTAGCTGGGCATGGTGGTACATGCCTGTAATCCCAGCTACTTGGGAGACTGAGGCAGGAGAATCGCTTGAACCCAGGAGGCGGAGGTTGCAATGAGCCAAGATCATGCCATTGCACTCCAGCCTGGGTGACGAGCGAAACTCCATCTCAAAAAACAAAAAACCTAATGTTTCCCTTGGGCTCAGTACTTAGACTTCCTCCCCTTTAGAAACATTCTTTGACTCTTTAAGTGGTGTCGGAGGCTTCACATATGTCTTGAATCATCCTGATGACTCAAGTCTATCTTGAGAGCCTAGACAGTGCTCCTGTACAATATCAGCATAGTTTTCTCTAGACTTCACCCAAAATGTCCCAGAGGCAATTCAAATACAAATATTCAAAATCTAAAACTAATTCCTCCCTTCAAACCTATTCCCCCATGCTGAATGCAGTCTTCTAAGTGCTATCATCCTAGGTGCTATTTAAGTGAAAGGCACCAATTCCTACTACATTCCCCCAGCCAGAAACTCAGGAGTCATCCCTTATATTCCAATCATCACCAAGTCCAGTGCATTTTACATAAAACAACTCCCCTCCATGCCCACAATCACTGCCCTGCATGCAGATATTCATCTTTGACCTGGTCTGTACCACCATCTTCCTGCTATCCACTATCCCTTGTGTCTCCTCCAATTCATTATCTACTCTGCTTTTAAAGTAGGTTTTGTAATTCAGAAAATTTCATTCCCTTCCTCCAAATTCTTCACAGGTCTCCATGATCATATGATAAAACTGAAAACCATCTGTTGAGATTTAATGCCTTTGATGGCCTGGCCTCTCTCCACTTGTTTAACCTTTATCTCCTAGCACTTGCCTCCTCACATTTTATGTGCTAATACTACTGAACAACTTGTATTATTCCCCAAACAGAACAGTTATGTAGTATTTACCATGTGCCTGGCACTGTACTAAGCATATGATACAGGGTACCTCACTTATCTTCAAAATAAACCTTTCAAGTAGGTCCTATTTGTTCCCATTTGACAGATGAGAAATCTGCTCTGGACTGATGACAGGAACCTTACTGAAGTTACACCGTTATCATGAAACCAGAACTTTGACCCAAGAGTCTCTGACTCCAGAGCCTGGGTTCTTAACCACCACACACACTGGGCCCTGAACGATTCTCAAAATTCACACGTTTTCTCTCCCTACTGAATTTTGCAACCTCCTCTGTAAAGTTTTTAACTCCCTCAGTCGGATTCTATTCTGCTACGCTCATTTTATACACAACCCCATTACAGTAGTTACCTTATATTTTAATGATCTGTTGACTTGTCTTTCCACTAGACTGAAAACTCACTCACTGAAGCTTATCCATCCTTAGATTCCTGATTTCCAGTACAACATTCACCACTTAATGTTCATTCTTTGTTGAATGAATGAAAAATGTGAAACAGCCTATGTGATAAGAACATTCCCCTTTATTCCTAATTGGATGACCTTATATCAAATATACACATTTTAACTCACATGATACCAAGTGACCTGAATCCCAAATGCCTGTTAAAGTAGCCCTTGGGACAATCCAGGAGAAATACACTCACATTCATCATCAAAGTTTCGGCCCTACTTATCATTACCAATTATTTAATAATTTACATTGACCTGTTCATCTTTGTGAGGTCATCTCACAGTTTAAAAAGAACATTTCTTCTTAACACAGCTGGTTCTTATCATGATCATCCTCCCCACACCCAGGGTTTCTGATTCTGGGTCTGTGGTGGGTCCTGAGAATTTGCATTTCTAGGGCCAGGCATGGTGGCTCACACTGTAATCCTAGCACTTTGGGAGGCTGAGGCGAGTGGAACATTTAAGGCCAGGAGTTCGAGACCAGCCCGGCCAACATGGTGAAACCCCATCTCTGCTAAAAATACAAAAATCAGCTGGGTGTGGTGACACACGCCTGTAATCCCAGCTAATTGGGAGGCAGCGGCAGACTCACTTGAACCTGGGAGGCAGAGGCTGCAGTGAGCTGAGATTGCACCACTGCATTCCAGCCTAGGCGACAGAGCAAGACTCCATCTCAAATAAATAAATAATTTGCATTTCTAATATGTTGATGCTGCAGCTTATCTGGAGCCCACACCTTTGAGGACCACTGTTCTATAGCACTAGACTAAAATTTGGAAAACCTGTGTCCTAAGGCCCCCCCCTTCTGCCTGTAACTGGTGTGTCTCTATGACAGATCATTTGGATTTATTTGAATCTCTGTTTACTTTTTAAGAAACGGGGTTTCTTTATGTTGCCTAGGCTGGTCTTGAACTCCTGGTCTCGAACTCCTGGTCTCAAGTGATCCTTCCACCTCAGCCTCCCAAAGTGGTAGGATTATAGGCATGAGCCACCACGCTTAGCAAGGTCTGCTTTCTTATGTACACTGGGAAAAGGAAGAGTAAGAAGTACTGGACTACATGAGTCATAAGGACTTTTTTTTTTTTTTTTTTTTGAGATGGGATCTTGCTCTCTCACCAAGGCTGGAGTGCAATGGTACAATTTCGGCTCACTACAACCTCCACCTCCTGGGTTCAAGTGATTCTCCTGCCTCAGCCTCCCAAGTAGCTGGGGTTACAGGCGCCTGCCACCATGGCCCAGCTAATTTTTTGTATTTTTAATAAAGACGGGGTTTCACTATGTTGGCCAGGCTGGTCTCAAACTCCTGACCTCAGGTGATCCACCCGCCTCAGCCTCCCAAACTGCTGGGATTACAGGTGTGAGCCACCGTGCCAGGCCCATAAGGACTTTCAATAAGAATCTGCACTTCTAGTGAATTGCCACGTCATGCTGTTACTGCTGGCCCAAGAGCCACACATTAAAAACCAAGGTACCAGTGCTAACCACATGACTATTCTATCCAGTTCTACTCCTAGGTATATACAATCAAAAGAAAGAAATGCATGTGTTCACCAAAATACACAAAAGAGTACTCACAGAAACTTTATTTATGCTAGCTAACAACTAGAAATAAACCAGACGTCCAATTAGAATAAATTGTGCTATACTTACATTTATACAACATATATTTATACAATTATACAATGGAATACTACACAGCAATGCAAAAGAACTACTGCTTCACACAATATGGATGTATACTCATGGAATGATTAAAGCAAAAACAGACTGCGTACATTGAACAAAGCACCTACTATATGATTCTGTTTATGAGTCCAGAACAAGCAAAACGAACAGATGGTGATGGAGGTCAAAACAGTAGTCAGCAGGACAGTAAGAAGAACTGCTGGCTGGGAAGGAGCATGAAGGAACCTTATGAATGGAAATGCTCTATATCTTGATCTGGGTGGTGTACACGTATCTAAAAACTCATCAAACTGTAGACTTAAAATTTGTGTTATTTACGTATGTCATATATGCCTCAATAAAAAATTTAAGGCCGGGCATGGTCACACCTATAAACCCAGCACTTTGGGAGGCCGAGGTAGGCAGATCACCTTAGATCAGGAGTTTGAGACCAGCCTGGCCAACATGGCAAAACCCCATCTCTACTAAAAAGTACAAAAATTAGCCGGGTGTGGTGGTGTGCGCCTGTAATCCCAGCTACTTGGGAGGCTGAGGCAGGAGAATCGCTTGAACGTGGGAGGCGGAGGTTGCAGTGAGCCGAGATCATGCCATTGCACTCCAGCCTGGATGACAGAGTGAAACTCCGACTCAAAAAAAAAAATTAATAAGTAAAAGAAGATAGAAAGTGACAATGAAGTTTATTATATTAATATTCTTTAAAAGCAACTTTTTTTTTTTTTAAGACAGAGTCTCACTCTGTCACCCAGGCTGGAGTGCAGTGGCACAATCTCAGCTCACTGCAAACTCTGCTTCCCAGGTTAAAGCAATTCTCCTGCCTCAGCCTCCTGAGTAGCTGGGACAACAGATCCACACCACCACACCCCGCTAAAGTTTGTTTTGTATTTTTAGTACAAACAGGGTTTCACCATGTTGGCCAGGTTGGTCTCAAACTCCTAACCTCAAGGGATCCACCCTCCTTGGCCTCCCAAAGTGCTGGGATTACAGACATTAGCCACCGCGTTGAGCCTAAAAGCAACTTTTATACAAACTGGATTTCCAAAGGATGCACTAGCCCTAACATGACAATTAAGAAATGTAAATTCAAAGTAATAGCTATCTAATATAAGAAATTACAGAGAAAAATTTTCACTGCTTCCTGTAACATTATCCCAAAACTGATCCCAGAAGCCTTATTGCTGGTATCTAAAGGTCTATATATTTAGATTCAAAAAACATACCTGGGCCCTAAAAGGCCATACAGGACGTGGCTCCGAGTTTCCTGTCCAACCTTATCTCCTAATCAAATGGGCCCTCTAATAAAAAGGGCCTTTTTGCTGCTCCATACACAGGCCAACTTCATGCCTACTTCAGGATCTCTGCACTGGCTCTTGGTCCTGCCTGGAATGCTCTTTCCCCAGAACTTCTAAGCGAATTCTCTTGCTTCTTCAGGTCTCTGCTCAAATATCACCTTAACAGAGGCTCCAGCACCCTATGGCACATTTCTTATAAAAGCCATAGCTAGAAAAGACGCCGTCTTGCCTCAAATTGTTAACGTTACTTATGTTAGATTATAACAACAAAACAGGGTGTCCTTTTTTATGTGCTTTAAAGCAAAAAACAAACAAACAAAATGAAAAACAAAAACCTCCTGGTTAAATTCTGTGACCCACAGCATCATTTATCTTTAGGCTCTTCTTTAACTCCTATTATTTAACTCTTGCTCTTTTACATTCCTTTACAGCTTTATAGTTTGTCTTCACTGCACACCTGCAAGAAGTGATTTCTTGGTTAGCTAAGTATATAACTAAGACTAACCCATAGCAATCAGCGCCTTTGCACACAGCAACTCCTAAAACATTTTTTGATGAATAAACAAATGAGTGAATAATGAACTATGACAAGACATCTGGAAAGTTTCAGGGACGTGAGGGAAAAGGTTTTTGTTCCAGTAGACTGACTTCATACCGGCACTTTTACATAAGAATGGCAACAATGATGTCAAACGAAAAAATTAATTTTCATCGAGCCCAGAGTCCACTTTTCTCTTCTAGTCATAACTGCCATTAAAAAAAAAAAATCCTTTCAGCCCAACTACAGTTGTCAACCATGTTCCCAATAAATGGAGGAGGTTTTTCTCAGAAGTGCAGGAATGCAAGAGTCTGGAAATGGAAAGGGCAAGACAGGAGTCTGAGGTAACGCGAGGAGACTGAGAATCTCAATACTGGGGCGGACACGCAGTAACCACAGGACCCTGGGTCCCAATCAGGTGCTGCTGGGAGGAGGCGCGTCAGCCAGGGGTGGAGGAAGCAGAAAAGGCTCTCTCACCTCTAACGCCGCAGTGGATTAGAGCATCTGAGAAGCTCTGGAAAAAACCTCTCAGGAAAACAACGACTTCAGCAGGACCCACTAGCCAAGGAAAGGGGATAAAATAAATAGCAAAGGGAAGGAAAAACACGCACCTCTGGGATGCTGCAGGTCCTGTTGCAGCCGCCGCCATCCCTCGAAGCCACCGTTGCTTCTGCCAGAGCTGCTACTAGCGCGCTTATCAGCTCCGCCACCGCCCAAGGGGGAAACTTCTGCAGAAACCCCAACCGAGCTTCCGTCGTAAGTAGCCAACGAGCAGCCACGCAGCGTGCTGCTAGCGGGGCGGGAGGCTACGCGCGGGCGCGTGGCCTGCTGGGGCAGTGGAGGACCGAGTCTTCCCAGCCCGCACCCTGGCCTGGGACCCGCGCTCCCAGTCCCGGGACCCGCGCTCCCAGTCCCCGCCCCTAGCAGCCATGGTTATGGAGGCCCGGGCCAACACGTTCTCCTTCTCTTCCACCGCGCCCACTGCTGCGGTCACTCGGACCAAGCCTCCAGGAGTAGTAGCTCAGAAGCACTTTTGTAGCATACCGTTACCCCTCAGGAGCTTAGCGGTTAAGGGCGTTTGCATGTCTTTTAGTAACACAAGCTCCAGGCCGGGCGCCGTGGCTCACGCCTGTAATCCCAGCACTTTGGGAGTCCGAGACGGGTGGATCACGAAGTCAGGAGTTCAAGACCAGCCTCGCCAAGATGCTGAAACCCCGTCTACGAAAAATACAAAAATTAGCCGGGCGTGATGGTGGGCGCCTGTAATCCCAGCTACTGGGGAGGCTGAGGCAGGAGAATCGCTTGAACCTGGGAGGCAGAGGTTGCAGTGAGCCGAGATCGCGCCACTGCACCACAGCCTGGGCGACAGAGCAAGACTCCTTAATAAATAAATAAATAAATAAAAAATAAATAAAATAAGCTACTTCGAGCTCCGTTTTCCCTAGGTTTTATCATGGCTGCCACAGGTGGCCAAGCCCTTTCGTCTCCGTGATGTCACTGGAGGCTGCGTGGTCTTTTCAGGGAACAGAGGGGCCTGGATGGCGCCTGGATTCCGGCGATCGTTGCGCTGGGAATGGAAAAGGGCTGGGACTCGCTGGAAGTCGTTCTGAACTAATAGAGCTAAAGGCCTTCTGGTTCCTGGGGAGACGCGCCTGGCCCCCGTGTACTATTCATTCCCTTCCTCATAACTCCACAGCCCAGGCTTTCTTCTTAGTGGGCTTCCTAGACCGAAAGTGATCTCAGGGCCGCTTTGTTTCCCATCCCGGTCGGTCAGGCCCTCCGTCAGCGCCCTTTGACCCATGCAGATCGGATGGGGAAAGCTGCCAGCGCCTTCCAGGGATGGGGGCAGAATGGGGAGCTGGAGGGAGTGGTCTTTTTCTAACTTTATACCACTATCAAACTGTGTTAATTCATGTAGCTTTATAATAAGTCTTGAAGTCCTGTGACTTTATTCTCCCAAGATTGCTTTGGCTTATTCTAAGGCTATTGTATTTGTAGGTGAATTTTGGAATTAGCTTGTCAGTTTAAAAAAAAAACAAAACTGCTAGGATTTGTACTGGGCTTGCGTTGGATCTGTAGATCTGTTTGGGGAAAACTAGTATATTAACAATACTGTCCTTCAATCCATTAATATCATTATTTCCCACCATTTATTTAAGTGGCCTCTAATTTTTCCTGGTAATATTTTGTAGATTGTACACATATTTATATCTTAATGTTTGGATCCAAGTTGTGCTTGGATCGATTGCAGTATAGAGATCAAACATATATTTCATTAGATTTATTCTTGAGCAGTGTTTTAAATGCGATGTTAAATAGCATTTTATTTTTTTATATTCTCGTTTGTTGTAAGAATATAGAAATGCTATTGATTTTTACATATTGATGTTATATTCAAGCATGTTGCTAAGTTCCCTTATTATTTGTAAGGGACAAAAAGACTACAGAGTCTTTTGGAATTTATGTGATTACAATCTTCCAATCTGTGAATAGAGATGGTTTAACTTTCCTGTAATCTTTATACCTTTTAGTTTTGTTGCTGGCTAGTATGTCCACTATTGAATAGAAATAGTGATAATGGACTTCCTTGTCTTGGTTGTAAAATCAAGAGGAAAGCATTCAATATCAAGTGCTTTTTCTGCCTTTATTGAAATGTTCATATGTATTTTTAATAATAATATGTTACTGTTATATAATAATAATTTTAAAATAATATTTTAATAATAATGTTACAATGTAACCAATTACATTGGTTAATTTTCAAATGTTATCTAAATGGCCAATTGTCCTTCCGGATCCCCATTGATTCCGATTGGGATGGCACTGTAAGAGAGGCAGAACCAGTGAAGGAAACAAGGTTTTTTCAGGAGTTATATACAGGGGTGGTCCAGTGGTGGTGGGCTGGCCTGGAGAAATACTACCGTTCGTATTAAAAAAAAAAAAGCATGTAGTCCATATAGCATATAGCATTTTCACTTAGAACCCTCCTTCTAGCAATCTCCATTTAACCCAAAACAAAGGGCCTCGATCACCTGTACAGCCTGTGTTCCAAGGGATGGGGCAGGGATATGGCTGTCCTTCATAGATAAGTAGTGAATCTCAGTGTTGGCTACTCCCGGATTCCTTAGCCTGGGACTCCAAACACACTTAGAATAGGGTAATTCTCAGGTATGCTCCAGTTATGGCTCAGCCATACACCAAGGTGTATACACCAACCCCTGCCATGCACCAATATGCATATAAATATGAATAGCCTCTGAAAGGGCGAATTCCTAGATTGACCTATAGGCCCACATGAAAAGTTCTATATTAATAGCTATGTCATGACTGGGTGCAGTGGCTCATACCTGTAATCCCAACACTTTGGGAGGTCGAGGTGGGTGGATCCCTTGAGGCCAGGAGTTGGAGACCAGCCTGGGCAACATGACAAAACCCCATCTCTACTAAAAATACAAAAATTACCTGGGCTTGGTGGTGCACACCTATAATCCAAGCTACTAAGGAGGCTGAGGCACAGGAATCACTTGAACCTGGGAGGCAGAGGTTGCAGTGAGTGAGATGGCACCACTGCACTCCAGCCTGGGCAACAGAGTCAGACTCTGTCTCAAAAAAAAAAAATAGCTGTATCATGGACATTGAAATTATAATGAGATACCAAAACTACCACCAGAATGACTTAAATTAAAAGGATTTCCAATACCAAGCATTGACAAGGATATGGAGCATTTTTTAGAGAGAATGACCAAGGAGTTGGCTACAGTCAGGTGCTGCAGAATCAGATCTGTGGACCTTAATGTGCATCTGGTGAAATAAATAACTATAATGGTGATGAAGAAAGCAATTGCCCAGGAATCCTACTGTGGTCTGAGATAAGAAGATCATATTCCTATTGCCACATCCCTGGAGGCCATTTGTCTTTTTTCAATGACTGATCATCCTATTCAGAGTGAGAGGATCTGGCATGGAAACAAGAGGCCTGTCGTACCATGGCAACTGAAAGCCACTCTTTCCCACTTACCATTGTTTTCAAGCCATTAATTTCCTATTAAACTTCATTTTCCTCTTCCTGAGAGTTTCACTATAAAAATATATGTGTGTATAGATATATATTCCTAGCATAAGAGTACTATAATAGTGTTTTACATAGAACTTTTACAACAATTCTTTGAAGTGCTTTATTGTTCCCATTTGACAGGTGAGGCGATCTCAGGCACAGGAAGGCTGAATGACATTTCCAAAGTCACCTCCTTGTAAGAGGCAGTGTCAGAAGCTGACAATGGACTTGACCACTATGCTGTCGTAGCAACAGAGAGAAATAATTTTTAAGACAATCCATGTATTTAAAAAATATTTTTGTACCTCTTGTGAGTTTTTAAAAGAATCGTTTTGAGTTTTTTCTTTTTGATTGTGATTGAAAACACCAATACTTGTTTTATAGGCAAATATCATCTATAGTGATCAGAGATCCAAGTAAAATATAGATAGTCTGATCTTAGCATAATCTTAGAAGAATAATTATATACAACCAAATGGAATTTCTTAAATGCACAAATGGAATTAAAAGAGGAGGTTCTTTTCCATCTTAACCAAGAAGGAGGGCATAATGGAATGACCGTGTGCTAAGCAAGGGAGAAGGAAAACGAGTAGGAGGGAAAGCATTGCAGAGGAGAAACTAAATTACCATGAGTGTAGAAAAAAAAAAGTGAGGACTGGAGAATGTGAAAATATCAAATATAGTATTTCAATGTCAGAACAGTTCACTATATTAAAACTCAAGTCCATTATGCACAAGAAAAACTGGAGGTAATGATTATACATTGACCCAAAATGAGCACTGAGCCTGGGGATGACATGAAAACATTTTTAAACAAGAGGAAAGATAAAAAATAATGCAATTCTGAAAACTGCTGAGGAGCATAATGTTTTTTTCTAACACAAAAAGCTAAATTCAGTTACTTTTCTTTGCTGATTTAATGAGGGAAAAGAGTCTCACCATAATAAAGAGACAATAGATTTTTTCTGTCATGACACACTTATGGTCTCCATTTGGTATATTCTATGCACAGAGTTGTTGAAAACACTATATTTACTATTTCTGAACAGAATAAGATAATTCAATCAGCTACATCTTATACATGATCACAGGCATGGAGGTGTCATAGAAACACCTCTACAAATCTTGGAAATGTTCATGCAGATAAGACAGGGCAGCGGGCAAATTAATTTCCAAATTATATTAGAGAACTTAAAAATAGGCTGGATGTGATGGCTCACGCCTATAATCCCAACACTTTGGGAGGCTGAAGCAAGAGGATTGCTTGAGGCCAGGAGACCAGCCTGAGCAACATAGGGAGAGCTTGTCTCTACAAAAATTTTTTTTAAGTTTGCTGAGTGTGGTGGCACATGCCTGTGGTCCCAGCTGCTCAGGAGGCTGAGGTGGGAGGATCGTTTGAGCTGAGGTATTCGAGGCTGCAGTGAGCCACAATTGCACCACTTCACTCCAGCCTGAGAAATAGAATGAGACCCTGTCTCAAAAAAAAAAAAAAAAAAAGATTTCATGACTTTATTCAAACCAACAATGATGAACAGTGAGGATTACATTAAATGAGAAGCAGTTAGGGGCTGGTTTATGGTCTTGACCTCCATTCCTTCTCCACGAGTGCAGCCCACGACCCAGTGATGATTTCCCCTTCCCTGCATTGCGTTGGCACCGACTTAGTTTCTAGCCCAGAATTCCGTTTTCCAGACAAAAGACCCTGCTCCATCTCCCAGCACACTTCCTTCCTTTGCAGGCTATGCCTTCTAGACTGAAATAGAAAATACTCACCTGATTTTTCCCTTGTTGCTGTGACAATAGGTGCAGGGTGATGCTCAGGACAGCCAGTGGGTGAGTGCGTGGAGGAAGGCATCCAGGTCTCAGATATGGGTTTGTGTCCTGTGACCTCACCTTTTTGCAGCACTGCAATGAGCATTTCACCTGCGGCAACAATGACAGTGCATATTTGGGGAGCTAAAGATATTTCAAGAAACTTTGTCCCAGTTACCAATTACCAAAAACAAGTACAATTTTCTATGAAGGGGGCCAGCCCCTCCACACCTGTGGGTGTTTCTCATCAGGTGGAATGAGAAACTGAGAAAAGAAAGAGACACAGAGACAAAGTATAGAGAAAGAAAAGTGGGCCCAGGGGACGGGCGCTCAGCATATGGAGGACCCGCCCTGGCACCAGTCTCTGAGTTCCCTCAGTATTTATCGATCATTACCTCTACCATCTTGGAGAGGGGGATGTGGCAGGACAATAGGGTAATAGTGGGGAGAGGGTCAGCAGGAAAACATGAACAAAGGTCTCTGTGTCATAAACAAGGTTAAAAAAAGGTGCTGTGCTTTGATGTGCACATACACAAACATCTCAGTGCATTAAAGAGCAGTATTGCTGCCAGCATGTCTCACCTCCAGCCCTAAGGTGGTTTTCTCCTATCTCAGTAGGTGGAACATACAATCGGGTTTTACACCGAGACATTCCATTGCCCGGGGACAAGCAGGAGACAGATGCTTTCCTCTTATCTCAACTGCAGAGAGGCCTTCCTCTTTCACTAATCCTCCTCAGCACAGACCCTTTACCGGTGTCGGGCTGGGGGATGGTCAGGTCTTTCCCTTCCCATGAGGCCATATCTCAGGCTATCACATGGGGAGAAACCTTGGACAATACCTGGCTTTCCTAGGCAGAGGTCCCTGTGGCCTTCAGCCTTCGCAGTATATTATGTTCCCGGGTACTTGAGATTAGAGAGTGGTGATGACTTTTAACAAGCATACTGCCTTCAAGCACTTGTTTAACAAAGCACATCTTGCATAATCCTAAATCCATTAAACCTTGAGTCAACACAGCACATGTCTCTGCGAGCACAGGGTTGGGGCTAGGGTTACAGATTAACAGCATCTCAAGGCAGAAGAATTTTCCTTAGTACAGAACAAAATGGAGTCTCTTATGTCTACTTCTTTCTACATAGACACAGTAACAGTCTGATCTCGCTTTCTTTTCCCCACATTCTAGTGGGCATCTCTAGCAAGATGAGAGTGTTTGGCAGAGGCTCTTGCTTTCCATAATCCCTGGAGGCAACAGGAAGGGGCTCCTAGGGAGGGAGCAGGAAGGGGTGAGTCTAGACTGAGGGGCTAGCAGCAGAGCACACGCGTCTTACTAGAGTCTGTGCTTTCCTGAGATGGTCCCCTACAGAAAACCCAATTTTCTGTTAATCCTCAGATTCCTGAGCCAAACTATTATTTCACTGTGAACAGAGAAATGGGATCATGCGAGGAACTTGAGAAGGATATGTGAACAGATTACAGTGCAAACAGCAACTTGAAGTCAAATACTGATATGAAAAATAAATGGGAACAATGTTGGGCATTCCAATGTAAATTAACAATCAAATGTAGATGTTATATATTCTATAAATATATATTTTATTAACATTTACCCCTAGAGAAATAGAGATTCTAAATTGTATAATATTTATAAAAGAAACAGAGACATTTATCAGAGTCCCTCATATACACAGAAGCACCAAGTTCATATGATCCAGAGAGAAATTCTACTAGTAAACTAACTGATAACCTGACGCTACCTAAACTATTCAAGTCTTAGTCAATCTTCCCAATAGTTTTCAGGAAGGGTGCATAAAGGTGATATGAGATCTTACCCTGGTTTGAGCCATGTATTACAAAAGTATAGGACGTGTGAATATAAATGTAAACTTTTAAATATTAGAAGCCATTGTGTCAGCACATTGAAACATTACATCATAATCCACTGCCTTTTGTGCCAGAAATGCAAGTGAGAGTCAACACTTGGAAATCCATTAATACAATTAATTATGTTAAGAGAATCAGTGAGAATGTTATGTGTTCATGTCCATAGATTTAAAAAAAGACATTGCCAGGATTCTGCAGAAAATCATATTTTAAAAATTAATAAGGAACTAGTGTAAAATATATACATATTTTTAGACAGGGTCTTGCTCTGTCACCCCAGCAAGAGTGCAGTGGTGCAATCATAGTTCACTGTAGCCTCAGCCTCCTGGGCTCAAGTGATCCTCTTGCCACAGCCTCCCCAGCAGCTGGGACTACAGGCACATGCCAGCACACCCGGCTAATTTTTTGTTTTTTTGTATTTTGTAGAGACAGGGTCTCACTATATAGCCCAGGCCAGTCCTGATCTCCCAGCCTTAGTGGATCCTACTGCCTCAGCCTCCCAAATTACATGCATGAGCCACTGCGCCTGGCCCTAAATGTTTCTTGAGAGCAAAATCTACTTTCTATAAAGGCGGGCATGAGTCAACCCTTTCAAAGCCATTAGGGGCCAGGTGTGGTGGCTCATGCCTGCAATTACAGCACTTTGGAAGGCCGAGGCAGGTGGAACACCTGAGGTCAGGAGTTCCAGACCAGTCTGGCCAACATGGCAAAAAACCCCTTCTCTAGAAAAAATACAAAAATTAGTTGGGCATGGTGGGCACGCCTGTAGTCCCAGCTCCTCAGGAGGCTGAGGCAGGAGAATTGCTTGAATCTGGGAGGCAGAGGTTGCAGTAAGCCGAGATTGTGCCATTGCACTGCAGCCTGAGCAACAGAGCAAGATTCTGTCTAAAAAAAAAAAAAAAAAAAAAAAAAAAAAAAAAAAAAAAAATTAATAAACTATTAGGACAGTCTTGGAGGAAAAAGTCTTGGAAGAAAAAGTCTCTTGGGTAAGGATTAATTAACTGGTACACAGGCTGGCAAGGTGACCCTTAGTGGTCTGCCAGTCTCAGAAAAAAATTTATGCATCTAGGGAAAAATTGGTCACAACTAGGCAATTAGATCACAGCCTGCCCAGCAAGTAAAACAAAATTCTGTGTCAAGCACACCGTAAAAAAAAAAAAACACTGGTACAAACCTTAAACATTCCCTGATAGGCATCGTAGACTTTTTTGGTTTGTACTGCTTTTTGTTTTGTTTTTTGCTGCCTAGACATTAATCAGCAGAATGAGACCCTCAAATTTCAAAGCATGCAATAATGGTCCCCCCATTACTGGGACCCCTGCTAGTTACATGTTTGAAAATTAGTTGATAACTGATTTTGGCCAGGCGCGGTGGCTCATGCCTGTAATCCCAGCACTTTGGGAGGCCAAGGCAGGCAGATCATCTGAGGTCAGGAGTTCAAGACCAGCCTGGCCAACATGTTAAAACCCCGTCTCTACTTAGTGGCAGCACAGACCTGGAATCCCAGCTACTCTCGAGGCTGAGGCAGGAGAATCGCTTGAATCTGGGAGGCAGAGGTTGTAGTGAGCCGAGATCATACCACTGCACTCCAGCCTGGGTGACAAGAGCAAAACTCTGTCAAAAAGAAGAATGAAAGAGAGAAAGAGAAAAGAAAAATTAAGGTCCTCTCTCATGCATGTTTTAATTTGTATTTGTATACATTTAAGGGGTACAAGTGTAGTTTTGTTACATGGACATACTGGGTAGTGGTGAAGTCTGGACTAGTAGTGTAAACATTCCCTGAAGAGTGCACATTATATCCACTATGAAATTGCTCAACCCTCACCCCTCTCACTCACACACCCTTCTGAGTCTCCAATGACTATTATTCCACTCTCTGTGTCCATGAGTATGTGTTATTTAGCTCCTATTTATAAGTGAGAACATGCAGTATTTGACTTTCTGTTTCTGTTATTTTACTTAAGATAATGAACTTCATTTCCATCCATGTTGCTGCAAAAGACATGATTTCATTCTTTTTTAAATTTTGAAGTTTATTTTAGACATAGGGATACATGTGCAGATTTGTTACATGAGACTACTGTGGATTTTATTGTTTTTATGGCTGAATAGTATTCCACTGTATGCATACCACATTTTCTTTAGCCAATCATCTATTGATGGACACTTAGATTGATTTCATATCTTTGCTATTGTAAAGATATGGAATACAGCAATCCTGCTACTGGATATATACATAAAGGAGAAATACTATATAAAAAAGATACCTGCACTTGTATGCTTAGAGCAGCACTTAGGTTGATTCCATATCTCAAAGATGTAATACTTCTCTTTTATCTACATATCCAGTAGCAGGATGCTGCATCCAGCCTGGGTGACAAGAGCGAGACTCTGTCTGAGAAAAAAAAAAAAAAAAGAATGAAAGATAGAACCTCACAACAGATTCAACAGAAATTTTAAAAGAATTTAAGGTATTATGATGAACAACTAATGTCAACAAGTTTAGCAACATAAATGAAATAAGCAAATTCCGACAAAGACATTAAGTAGCAAAATTGACTAAAGAACAAATAGAAAATCTTAATAGATGTATATAAAGTAAAAAAAAATTGAATTAGTAATTAAACATATTCCCTCTGAAGAAGAGTGTAGTGCTAGAAGCCTTAACCCATGAATTCCATCTAACATTTAAGGAAGAAAGTATATCAGTCATACACAAACATTTCCAGCAAATACAGAAGAGAAGATATGCCAAAACATTTTAGAAAGCCAGTATTAGCTTGATACCAAAGCAGGATGGAGACATCAGAAGAAAAGGAAAGTGCCAAACAATGTCTCTCATAAGTTTACCTGCAAATATGTTTAACAGCCTGGAAGCAAATTACATCCAACAGTATGTAAGACGATCATACACTACATGTCTCTGGAATTAATACTAGTAATGCAAATTTGGTTTACTATCTAAAACACAATGAACATAGTACATCATATAAATAAATAAAGTAGAAAATCAATAGAATCATGTCAAAAGACATAAAAGAATTTTGGCAAAATCCAACACTAATTCCTGATAACTCACAACAAACATGCAGAAAAAAAATAAGTGACAAAACTAACATAAAGGACAAAGGAGAGTAATTGGAATTATACCATTTTAAGGCTCTTATCTTTAACAAAAGTGTTAAAATATTAATTCAGGCCGGGCGCGGTGGCTCACGTCTCTGATCCCAGCACTTTGGGAGGCCGAGATGGGTGGATCACAAGGTCAGGAGATCGAGACCATCCTGGCTAACATGGTGAAACCCCGTCTCTACTAAAAACACAAAAAATTAGCTGGGCGTGGTGGTGGGCGCCTGTAGTCCCAGCTATTCGGGAGGCTGAGGCAGGAGAATGGTGCGAACCCGGGAGGTGGAGCTTGCAGTGAGCCAAGATTGTGCCACTGCACTCCAGCCTGGGCAACAGAGCGAGACTCCGTCTCAAAAAAAAAAAAAAAAAAAAAAAAATATATATATATATATATATATATATATATACTCAAGGTAGACTGTGATAAAGATACATACTGTAATTTTTTTTTTTTTTTGAGACGGAGTCTCACTCTGTCACCCAGGCTGGAGTGCAGTGGTGTGATCTCGGCTCACTGCAATCTCCACCTCCTGGGTTCAAGCAATTCTCATGCCTCAGCCTCCCAAGTAGCTGGGATTACACGAGCATGCCACCACGCCTGGATTGGTTTGTATTTTTAGTAGAGACAGGGTTTCACCATATTGGCCAGGCTGGTCTTGAACTTTGGGACTCATGTGATCTGCAGTCCTCAGCCTCCCAAAGTGCTGGGATTACAGGTGTGAGCCACCACGTCTGGCCTACGTATTGTAATCTTTCAGCTAACAATTTAAAAAATTGAAACAAACAGATATAGCTAAAAAGCCAGCAGAAGAGAGAAAACAGAAGACTAAAAAATAATCACACTAAAGGAAGAATCGAGAAAAAAAGAAACAGAGACAGAAAACAAATAGCAACAGGGTACACTTAAATCTAGTCATTTCAACCATTACATTAAATATAAAAGGGCCCAGCCTTCATAGCTCATGCCTGTAACCCCAGCACTCTGGGAGCTGAGGTGGGAAGATGAGTTGAGACCAGGAGTCTGAGACCAGCCCTGGCAACATAGTGAGATCCTGTGTCTGCAAAAAAAGAAAAATTTAAATAATAAAAAATTAGCCAGGCACAATGCCATATCCCTGCATTCCTAGCTACTCAGGAGGCTGAGGTGAGAGGATCTTTTGACCCTAGGAGTTCAAGGTTACAATGAGCTATGATCATGCCACTGCAGCCCAGCCTGTGTGACTGAGCCAGACCCTGTTTCTAATACATGAATATAGAAGGACTGGATATCTCAATTTCAAAGTTCAGATTTTCAGATGAGATTAAACAATAAATAAATAAACAAGACCCAACACTATGCTGCTCACAAGAACCACATTTTAGATACAGACACAACATTTAGGCAAAAGTATAGATGTAAATGTGCCATGCAAATACTAATCCTAAAAGAGTTGGTATGCCCATATTAATATTAGATAAAGTGGTCTTCAGAACAGGAGTACTGCCAAAGATAAAGGTGTCGAGTCATAATCAAAATAGGCCAGTTCATAAAATTAACAATCTTAAATGGGTGAACCTAGTGAAACTTCAAAATGTGTGAAACAGATATCAACAGAGTAAAGGTGACGATCATCAGATCTACTTTTCAAGTGTATGTGGAACATTAATCAAGATAGATTAAATACTGGACCATAAAATAATTCTCAATAAATATAAAAGGATTTAAATCATAGACAGTTTGTACTCTGAGCAAAATAGGACTAAATTAAGTCAATAACAAAAATATATTCAGAAAAACCTTAATATTTGGCAATTGAGCAAATAACTTTTAAATAAAAATGGATATAGGAATTCTCAGATCTATATTTAAATTTTTAAATTGTGTTAAAATTTTAACTTTAAGTATATAATTCAGTAGCATTAAGTACATTCCCAGTTTTGTACAACCAGCATCTTCATTTCTATCACAAACAGAAATAAAGTACCCATTAAACAATAACCCAGCATTGCTACCTCTCCCCAGTCTCTGGGAAACACTAATCTTCATTCTATTTTCACAAATTTGCCTATTCTAGATATTTCATATCAGTGGAATCATACAACATCTGTCCTTTCGTGTCTGGCTTACTTCACTCAGCATCATATTTCCAAGTTTCACCCATGTTGCATGTATCAGAACTTCATCCTCTTTAATGGCTGAATAATATTCTATTATTTATGTATCATATTTGTGTATCCATTCATTTGTTGATGGACACGGGTTGTCCGTGCCTTTTGGCTATAACGAATAACGCTGCAATTAACTTGGGTGTAAAAATATCTGTTCCAGACCCTGCTGTCAATTTTTTTGTGTGTGAATAATACCTAGGAGTGGAATTTCTGTTTCTCTGTGTGATTCTGTGAGGAACCACCAAATTGTTTTCCACAGCAAGTGCATCATTTTCTATTCCTAGCAGTCAGTTCACGAGGGCTCCAATTTCTCCACCTCTTTAGCAACATTTATTTTCTGTGTCGTTGTTATGAAAGCCTTACTAGTGGATGCAAAGTGGCATCTCGTTTTGATTTTGTCTTGCATTTTATTAATGAATAATGGTGCTTAGCATCTTTTCTTGTCCTTCATAGACATTTATGTATCTTCTTTGGAGAAATGTCTATTCAAGTCCTTTGCCTATTTTTTAATTGGGATGTTAGAAATTCTGTTGTTGAGTTGTGGGATATTAAGCTTTTATCAGATACACACTTTGATTTTATCAGATACGTATTTTCTCACATACTATGGGTTGTCTTTTCAGTCCCTTGATGGTATCCTTTGATGCATAAAGGTTTTTTATTTTGATTAAATCTAATTTATGAGTATTTTCTTTTGTTATCTGTGCTTTTCTGTCATACTTCAAAATACACTTAAAACTCAAAGGTCATAAAGGTTTACCTTGTGTTTTCTTCTAAGAGTTACATATTTTTAGTCCTTACATTTAAGTCTTTTATTAATTTATAATTAATTTTTGTATATACTGCAAGGTAGGGTTCTAACTTCTCTCTTGTGCACTGACATCCAGCTGTTGAAGAGACTGTTCTTTCCTCCCTTGACTAGACTTGGCCACCTTGTTGAACAGTCATTGACCATATATGTGAGGACTAATTTGTAGGATCTCAAATCTATTCTATTCTATTGGTCTAAAAGTCTATTGGTCTTATGCCAGTACCACACTCTCTTGATTACTGTAGATTTGTAATAGGTTGTGAAACTGAAAAATGTGAGTTTTCCAATATTCTTTTTCAAGACTGTTTTTGTCTGTCAGATCCTTTGAATTTTTGTATGAATTTTAGAATGAGTTTCTTTGTTTCTGCAAAGATGCCTTTGGGATTTTGATGGTATTGCATTGAATCTGTAGATTACTTTAGATGGTATTGTCATCTTAACAATATTGTCTTACAACCCGTGAACACAGAATGTCTTTCCAGTTATTTCCACTCTCTTTAGTTTTTTTCAGCAAAGTTTTGTGTATACCACCATGATTAGATTTATGCCTGAATAACTTATTCTTTGATGCTATTATAAATGGAATTTTTTAAATGTTTTCATAGTTCTTTACAACTATATAGAAATATAGCTCATTTGCATATGTTTGTTTTGCATCCTGCCTCTTTTATTAGTTATAATCGGTTTTGTGTTTTGTTTGGAGCTTTATACACATAAGATCATGTGTAGATATAATTTTACTTCTATTTTTTATTTCTAATTTAGATGCCTTTTATTTCTTTGTCTCGCCTGATTGCTCTGGGTAGAACTGCCAATGCTATGTTGAATACAAGTGGCAAATGCACCATCCTTGTCTTGTTCTAGGTGTTAGGAAAACAGCTTTCAGTGTTTCATCATTGATCATGATATTAACTGTTGGGTTTTTATACATCCCATTGTCAGGTTGCAGAAGTTCCCTTCTATGCCTAGTTTATTGAGTATTTTTATTATAGAAGGGTATTGTATTTCATCAATGTTTTTTCTTCATCAATTGAAATAATCATGTGCGTATTCATTTTACTGTTACAGTACATTATACTGATTGATTTTTTTATATGTTGAGCCACCCTTGCATTTTGGGGATAAATCTCACAGGGTGATAGTTTACAATCCTTTGATTATACAGTATTGCTGCTAGTATTTTGGTAGTATTGCTAGTATTTTGCAGAGATTTTTGCTTATATATTCATAAGGGATATTGTGCTGTAGTTCTCTTTTTTGTGCTCTCCTTGGCTTTGGTATAAGGATAATGCTATTATCAAAAAATGAATTAGCAAGTATTCCTTCTTCACATATTTTGTCAGAAGACTTTGAGAAGAAATGGTATTAATTCTTCTTTAAATGTTAGGTTGACTCACCAGTTAATGCAGCTATTTGGTCATAAATGTTTCTTTGTTAATCGCTTTCGATTACTAATTCAATCTCTTAGGTTATAGGTCTATTCAGATTTTCTCTTTCTTCTTGAACCACTTTAGTAGTTTGTGTCTTTCTAGCAATTCGTCCATTTCATCCAGGGCACCTAATTTGTTGTTAGACAGTTGTTCACAGTATACTCCTGTAATCCTTTTGTATTTCTGTAAAGTTGGTAGTAATGGCTCTGCTTTCATTTATTATTTTAATAATTAGTCTTCCATCTTTTGCTCAGTCAATATAGTGAAAGGCTTGATCTTTCAAATAATCTATGTTTATTTATTCTACTGCTCTCCAACATTCTATTTTATTGATTTATGCTCTAATTATGCTCTTTATTATTTCTTTCCTTCTGCTAGCTTTGGATTTAGTCTTTTTTTGTTTTCTTCCATTGCCTTTAGGTATAGAATGAGGATATTGATTTGAGATTTCTTCTTAAATGTAGTTGTTTATATCCATACATTTTCCCTTGAACTCTACTTTCACTGCATTCAATAAGTTTTGGTATGTTTTGTTTTTATTTTGTCTCAAGATATTTTATAATTTTGCTTGTGATTTATTTTTTCACTCACTGGTAGTTTAAGACTGTATTGTTTAATTTTCACATTTTTGTGAATTTTCCAGTTTTCACTTATTTATCTGTTGTTTCTTCCATTGTGGTTGTAAATTATATTTTGTATGATTTCAAACTTTTAAAAATGATTAGGACATATTTTGTGGACGAAGATATGGCCTATCCTAGAGAAAGTTCCATATACACTTGAAAAGAATGTATGTTCTGCTGTTGTTGGATGGACTGTTCTGTATATGTATATTAGCTCTCAATGGTTTATACTGTTGTTTAAGTCTTGTATTTCTCATAAAGCTTCTGTCTGGTTTTTCTATCCATTAATTAAAATGAGGTATTGAAGTGTCCAACTGTTACTATAGAACTGTGGGTTTATCCTTTCGATCCTGTTAATTATTTCAGCTTTACTGAGGTGTAATAGAGAAAATTGTACATGTGATGCGTTTATATGCACATTCTGAAATGATTACCAAAATGAAGTCAATTAACATGTTAATTACCTCACAGAATAGTTACCTTTTTGTGTGCATGCCTGGGATAAGAAAACTTAACTCTATCCCCTGTGACTGCAGAGTGGCCATTCCAGCTGCTCCAGGCTCCAGCAGAGGAAGACCGGGTCAGGTGGCACCAGCAGGAGGGCCCTCAGGTCTGGCGCGCACGCATTCCAGAGGCCACCCAGACCATGCTCCGCCGCCTGGGCGCCCAAGCTGCAGTCGCCCTCTGTGTGCAGGCAGCAGCTGCCTGGCAACCTCCGAGCCCGCTCGCGCTCCCAGCATCGCAGAACCAGGGCCAGGTGTCCCAGTGGCTGCAGCCAAGCCAGGCATTCTGCCCAGCGGCGGCTGCACAGGAGCAGAACCGAGAACCCGCCGCTCAACCCCACACGGGGTGACTGCCGAGTGCCCATGCCAGCGGCCCCAATCCCCCTCAGGTGGAGGAGTGGGCGGGAGGCACGACCTGGGGGCCCTCAGGCTGGGCGCGCTGGCGATCCCGAGGCCGACCAGGCCATGCACCTCCAGCCCGCCTGGGCACCCAAGCTGCAGCCGCCTTCTGTGTGCAGGCAGCAGCCTCCAGGCAACTCTCGAGCCCGCCCGCACTCCCCACATCTCAGAACCAGGGCCAGATGTCCCTGTGGCTGCGGCCAAGCCAGGCGGTCTGTCCTGCAGCAGCTGCACAGGGGCGGGAACCGGCCCTCAGCCCCATCCCCGGTGGTTGCAGAGGGCCCCTGGCTAGAGGTCTCGAGCTCTGGCAGAGGAGGAGCCGGGTGGGGGCAGGGTCTGGCGGGCTCTCAGGCCAGGGGCACTCGCGATCCAGAGGCCGCCCAGGCCATGCTCCACCACCTGGGCGCCCAGCTACAGGCGCCAGGCAACTCCCAAGCTGGCTGGCGCGCCCAGCCTCGCAGAACCGGGGCTAGATGTCGCTGTGGCTGCGGCCAAGCCAGGCGGTCTGCCCGCGGCGGCTGCACCGGGGCAGGAACCGACCCTCAGCCCCATCCCCGGTGGCTGCGGAGAGCCCCTGCCAGCGGCCCCATCTCTCTTCGGAGGAGGAGAGGAGCGGGAGTCACGGCCAGGCGGGCCCTCAGGCGGGAAGGGATGCGCGCCTGCGATTCCGGGATGTCCTGCGCGAGCCCAGGAGAACCCGCAAGCCAGCGGCGCCTGCGCCCGAGCTGCAGCCGCCCTCTGCCGTCCACGCGAGCTCGAGAGCGGCTCCCGGAGTCCGGGCTAGCGCCGAGCTGCAGGCGCGCGCCTAACCGCTTTGCTGGGCTCACGCGGTCTGAGAGGTCGGAGCGCCCAACTGCTGGCACGCGAGTAACGGCTTAGTTAAGCTCACTCGGTCTGAGAGGTCGGAGGCTGCGAGTGTCGCTGCTGAAGGCTGTGGTGGACCGGGCTGGATCGCGGATTCTGAGCTACATCGCGGGGTTGGGGGTGGATCTTGGGTTTGGGGGTGGATTGCTGGTTTGGTGGTGGATCTTGGATTTAGGGGTGGATAGCGGGGTGGGGAGGGGGATCGCGGATTTGGAACTTGGTCGGGGTGGAAAGGCCACGAGGAGCCGCGGCGGCTCAGTAGCGGGTGGTTGGCGTCTGAGAAGTCGCCACCATGAGGAAACTCTTCAGTTTCGGGAGACGCCTGGGCCAGGCGCTCCTGAGCTCCATGGACCAAGAGTACGCGGGTCGGGGGTACCACATCGGGGACTGGGAACTGCGGAAGATCCACAGGGTGGCCATCAAGGGCGACGCCGCGGAGGTGGAGCGCTGCCTGACTCGCAGGTTCCGGGACTTGGATGCCCGCGACAGAAAGGACAGGTAGCGGGGGCTCAGCCCGCGGTGGGAGGGGGCCCCCAGGCCCTGTTTGCCCGCAGCGCCTGAGGCGGGGGCCTTGGAGGTCGCCGGGCCCTGGAGCCGCGAAGCCAAATGGAGCCTCAGCTGCTTTCCATCCCTGGCAATTTCCCGCCTGTAGCGCTTGGTGGATAATTTGAGTGATTTAACTCACAAAGTTAAGTATATCCATGTTTACATGGAGCTATATACATGATAGGGAGGTGCCTAATGAGAACTCATTCCCATGTCAAAAATACCATGAGCCATTTTCAGTAGGCGAAGAGTTCTCAGATTAAACCCTGTGTGGGTTTTACATCCGAATCCACCTAGGTAGATAGGTTCTTTACTGGGGCTTCTTAGAGGGACACTTGGAAGTGGGAGGTGGGTTCCTTGAATGAGAAGACTCAGTTTTCTCAAAATGTGAGCTCTTAATATGTTTATCAGTTTTACATAAACCGAATGAAAAATCAAGGTTTTATCATTTTTGCATGACACTTGCTGTCTATCTTACCATTGTGATGACATTTAAAAATTTTTATAATGGAGTGAAAAAAGACTTGCTCTTCTAGATATCAAAATGTGCTATTAATTCTCACAATTATTTACTAACAGCTAAAAACACATATAAATAAATGGAACAGAATAGGAAATCCAAAAACACTGAAATATATGTAAGATATATACACAGGGATTAATAATGGTAACATTTCAGATGAGTAGGAAAGGATGAGTTATTAATAAAATGCCTGCTGTGTGAAGAAAACTAATGAAATTTTATGTCGCAAAAATGAGTTCCCGATGAAATTCCGACTGAAATTTTTACATATGCAAAATGAGAAAAGTACCAGAAGAAAACACAAAGACTTATTTATACAGATACATTTTACGTTAACAGAGGCCTTCCTAAGAATGACCTTACAAGCAGGCATTCTGAAGATTGATTTAGCAAACTAAAATTAAAATCCCCTGTGTATCAGAAAAAAATTAACAAAAGATAATTTCATGCGCGTCCGTGTGAAGAGACCACCAAACAGGCTTTGTGTGAGCAACATGGCTGTTTATTTCACCTGGGTGCAGGTGGGCTGAGTCCGAAAAGAGAGTCAGCCAAGGGAGATAAGGGTGGGGTCGTTTTATAGGATTTGGGAAGGTAAAGGAAAATTACAGTCAAAGGGGGTTTGTTTTCTGGTGGGTAGGAGTGGGGGTCGCAAGGTGCTCAGTGGGCAGGAGTGGGGGTCGCAAGGTGCTCAGTGGGGGTGCTTTTTGAGCCAGGATGAGCCAGGAAAAGGACTTTCACAAGGTAATGTCATCAGTTAAGGCAAGGACCAGCCATTTACACTTCTTTTGTGATAGAATGTCATCAGTTAAGGTGGGACAAAGCATATTCACTTCTTTTGTGATTCTTCAGTTACTTCAGGCCATCTGGGCATATACCTGCAAGTCACAGGGGATGCGACGGGTTAGCTTGGGCTCAGAGGCCTGACATTCCTGCCTTCTTATATTTATAAGAAAAATAAAACAAAATAGTGTTGAAGTGTTGGGGCGGCGAAAATTTTTTGGGGGGTGGTATGGAGAGAGAATGGGCGATGTTTCTCAGGGCTGCTTCAAGCGGGATTAGGGGCGGCGTGGGAACCTAGAGTGGGAGAGATTAAGCTGAAGGGGGAGGTCTTGTGGTAAGGGGTGATATTGTGGGGATGTTAGAAGAAACATTTGCCATATAGAATGATTGGTGATGGCCTGGATACGGTTTTGGATGAATTGAGAAACTAAATGGAATAACAGAAGGAGAAAAACAGGTATAAAAGGTCTAAGAATTGGGACTACTCAGGATATCTGATTAGAGAGTGCCTAAGGAGATTCAGCATAGTCCTGCCAGCAAAGATTATTTATTTACTTCAAGAGTTAACAGTGGCAGTTTGGGGATAGCACCAGGAGATATAAGCTGAGATGGCTTGGAAAAACAGTGTAAACCGGCAGTGTAAACAAGAGCAGGGCATGTATGAGTAGTTGAGAACAGTGAATAGGAGTATGACTAGACAGAAGATAGTAAGGATGACAAGTTTTTTTGGGGGCACAGTCTAAGTTGGTCTGGTGTCTGGAATGAGACTGGGGCCTAATAAAAAGGAGCGTCTATATAGGAGCTCAAATGGGCTGTACCCTGTAGCATTCCGAGGACAGGCCTGAATTCTGAGAAGGGAAAGTGGTAAAAGTATTGTCCAGTCCTTTTTAAGTTGGTGGCTGAGCTTGGTGAGGTGTGTTTTTAAAAAACCTTTAGTCCATTTTACTTTTCTTGAAGTTGGAGGACCATAAGGGATATAAAGGTTTCACTGAATACTAAGAGCCTGAAAAACTGCTTGCCTGATTTGACTAATAAAGGCTCGTCTGTTATCAGACTGTATTGAGGTGGGAAGGCTAAACTGAGGAATTATGTCTGACAGAACGGAAGAAATGACTGCGGTGGCCTTCTCAGACCCTGTAGGAAAGGCCTCTACTTATTTTGAGGGCCTCTAAAAGTATTAAAGCAGCGGTAGCCACTGCACGCAGACATGAGGGCTAGGCTAAAACAGTAAGGTCAAGTTGTTTGGACAGAAAGGCTACAGGGTGTGGTCCTGGCTCTTGTGTAAAAATTCTGACCTCGCTAACCATGCCTAGGAAGGAAAGGAGTTGTTGTTTTGTAGAAGATGCTTGGGTTTGAGAGATCAGTCGGACACGATTGGCAGGGAGAGCACGTGTGTTTTTATGAGAATTATGCCGAGGTAGGTAACAGTTGAGGAAGAAATTTGGGCTTGATTGAAGTAACGGGGGCTGTCTGTGAAGCTTTGCGGCAGTACAGCCTAGGTAATTTGCTGAGCTTGATGGGTGTCAGGGTCAGTCCAAGTGAAAGCGAAGAGAGGCTGGGATGAAGGGTGCAAAGGAATAGTAAAGAAAGCATGTTTGAGATCCAGAACAGAATAATGGGTTGTGGAGGGAGGTATTGAGCATAGGAGAGTATATGGGTTTGGCACCACGGGGTGGATAGGCAAAACAATTTGGTTGATAAGGCGCAGATCCTGAACTAACTTGTAAGGCTTGTCTGGTTTTAGGACAGGTAAAATGGGGGAATTGTAAGGAGAGTTTATAGGCTTTGAAAGGCCATGCTGTAGCAGGCGAGTGATAACAGGCTTTAATCTTTTTAAAGTGTGCTGCGGGATGGGATATTGGCGTTGAGTGGGGTAAGGGTGATTAGGTTTTAATGAGATGGTAAGGGGTGCATGATCGGTCGCCAAGGAGGGAGTAGAGGTATCTTATACTTGTGGGTTAAGGTGGGGGGATACAAGAGGAGGACGCAAAGGAGGCTTTGGATTGGGAAGAAGGGCCGCAATGAGATATAGCTGTAGTCCAGGAATAGTCAGGGAAGCAGATAATTTAGTGAAAGTGTCTCAGCCTAATAAGGGAACTGGGCAGGTGGGGATAACTAAAAAGGAGTGCTTAAAAGAGTATTGTCTAAGTTGGCACCAGAGTTGGGGAGTTTTAAGAGGTTTAGAAGCCTGGCTGTCAATACCCACAACAGTTACGGAGGCAAGGGAAACAGACCCTTGAAAAGAAGGTAATGTGGAGTGGGTAGCCTCCGTATTGATTAAGAAGGGGACGGACTTACCCTCCACTGTGAGTTACCTAAAGCTCGGCGTCCGTGATGGTCTACGGGGCTTCTGAGGCGATCAGGCAGCGTCAGTCTTCAGCCGGTAAGCCAAGAAGGAGTCAGTCAGAGAGCCTTGGGCCAGAGTTCCAGGAGCTCTGGGAGTGGCTGCCAGGTGAGTTGAACAGTCCGATTTTCAGTGGGGTCCCACACAGATGGGACATGGCTTAGGAGAAATCCTGGGCTGCGGGCATTCCTTGGCCCAGTGGCCAGATTTCCGGCACGTGTAGCAAGCTCCTGTGGGAGGAGGTTCTGGAGGAACGCCTGGCTGCTACGGTCCAGGCGTTTGGAAGTTCTTGTGTGCTGGAGATGTGGCTGGGGTTTGTCTCACAGTGGAGGCAAGGAATTGCAACTTTTTTCTATTATGGTACACCTTGAAGGCGAGGTTAATTAAATCCTGTTGTGGGGTTTGAGGGCCGGAATTTAATTTTTGGAGTTTTATTTAATGTCGGGAGCAGATTGGGTAATAAAATGTATTTTGAGAATAAGACGGCCTTTTGACCTTTTAGGGTCTAGGGCTGTAAAGTGTCTTAGGGTTGCTGCCAAACAAGTCATGAACTGGGCTGGATTTTTATATTTGATGAAAAAGAGCCTAAACGCTATCTGATTTGGGATAAAGAAAAAGGAGCATTAACCTTGACTATGCCTTTGGCTCCAGCCACCGTTTTAAGAGTAAATTGCTGGGCAGGAGGGGGAGGGCTAGTCATGGAACGAAACTGTAAGCCGGACCAGGTGTGAGGAGGGGAGGTGATAAAAAGATTTTAAGTCATGAACTGGGCTGGATTTTTATATTTGATGAAAAAGAGCCTAAACACTATCTGATTTGGGATAAAGAAAAAGGAGCATTAACCTTGACTATGCCTTTGGCTCCAGCCACCGTTTTAAGAGTAAATTGCTGGGCAGGTGGGGGAGGGCTAGTCACGGAACGAAACTGTAAGTCGGACCAGGTGTGAGGATGGGAGGTGATAAAAAGATTATAGGGTGGAGGAGCAGAGGCTGAGGAAGAATTGGGACCTAGCTCGGCCTGGCGAGGAGCAGCCTGGGGAGGAAGGGAGAGGTCAGATGGGTCTGTAGAAAAGGAAGATTAGAAAGACTCAGCAACACTTGGGGTTGGTACTGAGGGGACAGGCGGGAGGGAAAGAAGGAAGATTTGGGACGAGTTGCACTGGGCACAGAGACTAGGAAGGGACTGATGTGTAAAAGAATGCCTGGACGTCAGGCACCTCAGACCGTTTGCCTATTTTATGACAAGAATTATTTAGATCTTGCAGGATGGAAAAATTCAAAGTGCCATTTTCTGGCTATTTGGAACTACTGTCGAGTTTGTATTGGGGTCAAGCGGCATTGCAGAAGAAAATAAGGCATTTAGGTTTTAGGTCAGGTGTGAGTTGAAGAGGTTTTAAGTTTTTGAGAACACAGGCTAAGGGAGAAGAAGGAGGAATGGAAGGTGGAAGCTTACCTTTAGTGAAGGAGGCAAGCATAGAGAAAAGAGTAGAGACACGGAGAAGGGGTGGGGGGTTCTTGCCCTCCAGAAAAGCAGAGAAGGGGTTGGGGCACAGAAATAAGGGATTGGGGCACAGAGATAAGAGGTCAGGGTGCAGAAATAAGGGATTGAAGCACAGAGATAAGAGGTTGGGGTGCGGAAATAAGTGATTGGGGGTTCTTGCCTCCTAGGAAAGCGGGACTTGCTGCTAAGGGTGAAGGAGAAGGGGTTGGGGGTACTTGCCCCTGCCCCAGGAAAGCGGGACTTGCCGCTGAGGGTGAAGGGGAAGGGGTTGGGGTACTTGCCCCTGCCCCAGGAAAGCGGGACTTGCCGCTGAGGGTGAAGGGGAAGGGGTTGAGGGGTACTTGCCCCTGCCCCAGGAAAGCGGGACTTGCCGCTGAGGGTGAAGGGGAAGGGGTTGAGGGGTACTTGCCCTTGCCACTAAGGGTGAAGGACCAAGGCAGGTGTCCCTGCGTGGTCTGACACCCTTGAAACGTGAGTGTATAATCAGAGAGGCGTCTCTGCAATGATTAAACACCAAGGGAAGGCTGCCTTCCTAGTCCATGACCGGCGCTGGAGTTTTGGGTTCACGGATAAAACATGTCTCTTTTGTCTCTACCAGAAAATGAAAGGAATTGAAATTAAGAGAAGGGAGAGATTGAAGTGTGGCGCCAAGATTGAAAGGAGAAAGAGGTTGAGGGATAGTGAGGGAGGTCGGAGAAGAGAGTAAAAAGAGGCCGCTTACCGGATTTGAAATTGGTGAGATGTTTCTTGGGCTGGTCGGTCTGAGGACCCGAGGTCGTAGGTGGATCTTTCTCATGGAGCAAAGAGCAGGAGGACAGGGGATTGATCTGCCAAGGGAGGTCCCCCGATCCGAGTCACGGCACCAAATTTCATGTGTGTCCGTGTGAAGAGACCACCAAACAGGCTTTGTGTGAGCAACATGGCTGTTTATTTCACCTGGGTGCAGGTGGGCTGAGTCCGAAAAGAGAGTCAGCCAAGGGAGATAAAGGTGGGGCCGTTTTGTAAGATTTAGGTAGGTAAAGGAAAATTACAGTCAAAGGGGGTTTGTTCTCTGGCGGGTAGGAGTTGGGGTCGCAAGGTGCTCAGTGGGCAGGAGTAGGGGTTGCAAGGTGCTCAGTAGGGGTGCTTTTTGAGCCAGGAAAAGGACTTTCACAAGGTAATGTCATCAGTTAAGGCAAGGACCGGCCATTTACACTTCTTTTGTGGTGGAATGTCATCAGTTAAGGTGGGGCAAGGCATATTCACTTTTTTTGTGATTCTTCAGTTACTTCAGGCCATCTGGGCGTATACGTGCAAGTCACAGAGGATGCGATGGCTTGGCTTAGGCTCAGAGGCCTGACAGATAACACACCTGAAAAATATTTACCATATATATTTTTACTAATATATAAAAATATGTATTCAGATGAAAAGTGTATCTTCATCCTACAGGGAATTTATTCTTTATTATATATAATATATATATTACTGATTATATGTATAACAAATTGTATGTATTACTAATATAATGTTATATATATCAGTTATATATATATACAGATAAAAAGCACAACTTTATTTTACAGGGAATTCTTTCCAATCAAATCCGAAAGAAAAGAAGTCTAAAAGTGAGCAAAGTACTTTTTGCAGATCCACAAGTTACTTATGTACATAGGAAAAATTCCTTAGTGTTTCTCATAAGAGAATTTAAGTTAAAAGAGGAATGAGACTGTTTTCCATCCACAGTGTTTGTGAGAATAAAGAGCAGTGGCACTTACACTGCTGCTTGAAGTTTAACTTGCTGATGACTTTTCAAGTGGATAATTTGGAGATAATTACCACATTTTAAAAATGTATATGCCCTTTACCCATCAATTCCATTGTAATAAAATACCTTCAGAAAATAGAGATACATGCACTTTTTTCCCCAGCATTTATGTTAACAAGAACCCATAGAACGGATATGTGGCCATTGAAGGTGGCAATAGGTAGAGAAGTATGTTGATGTGTGAAAATGCATTTTGTTACAGCCAGTGAGGAAAAAGAAATCAGTTTGCTTGCACATACACACAAACATACTATGGTCTGGTGTTAGGTAAAACTATGTACAAAATAGGATAAAATTTGTAACTTCTGAGCATTTGTATTTTAAAGTTTTTTGTTCCTTTTTCTTACGTTTGATTTCTGAAGTGAGCATTTATAAAATTTCTAGTAAAAATATATTATTAATGGAATAAATTTTGGGAAGAGAGAAATGTGAATCTTGTATAGATAAAAATAATTTCTCACTATTTTTTATCATTATTATTGTGAGGGTTGTTATCTTGTTTGAACTTTTAGCTTCTTCAGAAGTAAAAAGGGAATCTTTTTATCTGCTTGCAGATTTTATGTATATACTTTATTATGTGTATATGTTTTTCTTATGTATAGATTCATTACATATAGGCAAACAATGATAGATTAATAATTTCATTATAGTTGTAGTCTTATAAAAATAACAAATAGCAAATATTATTACTATCACAAAAATATTGGTTTATAGAAGTTGTATTTAAAAATATTGAGCTCCCCAACTCTATTCTATCAATCCATTTATTCATCAAACATAACCTGAATATGTTATGTAGCAGACTTTTTGCACTATCTCCCAGGACCCTTCCATACTTAAAAACTTTGTTTACCTGTTCTGCCTCAGCAAGATGAGAGATTTAAAATGGGAATAGTAGGACTTAATCTTATTGAAGCTTTTCCTCCCACCTTTCAAGCAAAAGCATTTCTGAAGGTAGAAAACAATAAGAGATAAGCTTTAACTGCCCTTTTGAAAATTTATCAGTCTTAAATACTAATATTAATCATTGGAAAGTCTGATTTGCATATATTCTGTAAATCTAAGTGTTCACTAAAATGAGCCATACCTGTTCATCTCAATCATGAGTTTCCTTTAGCTTCACGGTTTTTTTGTTTTGTTTTGTTTTGTTTGAGACAGAGTCTTACTCTGTCGCCTAGGCTGGAGTGCAGTGGCGTGATCTCAGCTCACTGCAACCTCTGCTGCCAAGGTTCAAGTGATTATCCTGCTTCAGCCTCCTGAGTAGCTGGGATTACAGGTGCTTGCTACCACGCCCAGCTAATTTTTGTAGTTTTAGTAGAGACGGGGTTTCACCATGTTGGCCAGGCTGGTCTTGAACTCCTGACCTACAGATCCACCCACCTTGGCCTCCCAAAGTGCTGGGATTACAGGCATGAGCCACCGCACCCGGACAGCTTCACATTTTTAAAAATCAGAGTAAGAAGTAATTTGTTTAAAAAATATGTTGTTATTTCAGTGCTCTTTCCCCATGGTACTTTTAGGAATTAAAATGTATTTAAGTGTCAATTAGATGCCTAGAACTGCCCTAGACCTGCTGTGTATACAGTATTCTACTTACTGTAAGGCCTCATGGATTGTGTGATACCCTACTATTTTCTATATTAAGAAGATGATTTTTAAATGCTACCAATTATAGTTATAAAAAATTATGAATTATAAATACTATTCCAATATCAGATGCTCTGAAATGTGACCTAATCTTTAAATCATCCTGCAAAATAGCAATAATTGTATCATTTTACTTAATTAAAATGTTTTTGTTAAGGAGTAGTAATAGTAATAATTATAACATCTGGCTGAGTGCGTGGCTCACAGCTGTTATTCCAGAACTTTGGAAAGCTGAGGTGGGAAGTTCCCACCATGCTAGGAGTTTGAGACCAGCCTGGGCAACAAAGTGACATTCCTACTCTACAAAAAAATTTTAAAAATTAGCTGATCATGCTGGTGCACTCCTGTAGTCCCAGCTACTCAGGAGGCTGGGCAGGAGGATTGCTTGAGCCTGCGAGTTCCAGGCTGCAGTGAGGCATAAATACACCATTGCACTCCAGCCTGGGCAACAGAGCAAGACTGTCTCAACAAACAAAAATCTAACAATTATTGAGTTGTTGCTTGTTCTGGAAGTGGTTCTAAATGCTTTACATAGAGTCTCATTTAAGCATCACACTGGTGTCTTGTGAGCTAGCTGCTTTGTCATCTTTATTAATGAGGAAATTCAGGCACAGAAAGGCTAAGCAATAGCTGGTATGTGACTGAGTTCAAAGTGGAACTCAAACCCTAGTTGAACTGAATCCAAACACCAAGCTTATTCTATCCAAATAGGCTGCTGTTTCATTAAGGTAGGGAGCAGTAAGAGCTAATAAATATTGTACTTTCTTCAAAAGAAAATTGTTTGTTTTGAAGGCAGAGGAATAACATGCCATTCAATGTATACAATTACATGAACCATTGTAGGTTTTGAGATACTGCACTACATTTCCTGAAAACTCCTCTCGCTCACTTAGGACTGTTCTACATTTGGCCTGTGCCCATGGCCATGTGGAAGTGGTCACTCTCTTGCTGGGGAGAAGATGCCTGATTGACATCTGTGACAGACTAAACAGGACGTCTTTAATGAAGGTACATAGTAGCCAACTCTTTCAGCATGAAATGCATTTGATTTAAATACATAGAATTAAAATGAATTTTATTTTATTATTATTATACTTTAAGTTTTAGGGTACTTGTGCACAATGTGCAAGTTAGTTAACATATGTATACATGTGCCATGCTGGTGTACTGCACCCATTAACTCGTCATTTAGCATTAGTATATCTCCTAATGCTATCCCTCCCCCCTCCCCCAACCCCACAACAGGCCCTGGTGTGTGATGTTCCCCTTCCTGTGTCCGTGTGTTCTCATTGTTCAATTCCCACCTATGAGTGAGAACATGCAGTGTTTGGTTTTTTGCCCTTGCGATAGTTTACTGAGAATGATGATTTCCAATGTCATCCATGTCCCTACAAAGGACATGAACTCATCATTTTTATGGCTGCATAGTATTCCATGGTGTATATGTGCCACATTTTCTTAATCCAGTCTATCATTGTTGGACATTTGGGTTGGTTCCAAGTCTTTGCTATTGTGAATAGTGCCACAATAAACATACGTGTGCATGTGTCTTTATAGCAGCATGATTTATAATCCTTTGGGTATATACCCAGTAATGGGATGGCTGGATCAAATGGTATTTCTAGTTCTAGATCCCTGAGGAATCGCCACACTGACTTCCACAATGGTTGAACTAGTTTACCGTCCCACCAACAGTGTAAAAGTGTTCCTATTTCTCCACATCCTCTCCAGCACCTGTTGTTTCCTGACTTTTTAATGATTGCCATTCTAACTGGTGTGAGATGATATCTCATTGTGGTTTTGATTTGCATTTCTCTGATGGCCAGTGATGATGAGCATTTTTTCATGTGTTTTTTGGCTGCATAAATGTCTTCTTTTGAGAAGTGTCTGTTCATGTCCTTCGCCCACTTTTTGATGGGGTTGTTTGTTTTTTTCTTGTAAATTTGTTTGAGTTCACTGTAGATTCTGGATATTAGCCCTTTGTCAGATGAGTAGGTTGCGAAAATTTTCTCCCATTTTGCAGGTTGCCTGTTCACTCTGATGGTAGTTTCTTTTGCTGTGTAGAAGCTCTTTAGTTTAATTAGATCCCATTTGTCAATTTTGTCTTTTGTTGCCATTGCTTTTGGTGTTTTAGACATGAAATCCTTGCCCATGCCTATGTCCTGAATGGTAATGCCTAGGTTTTCTTCTAGGGTTTTTATGGTTTCAGGTCTAACATTTAAGTCTTTAATCCATCTTGAATTGATTTTTGTAGAAGGTATAAGGAAGGGATCCAGTTTCAGCTTTCTACGTATGGCTAGCCAGTTTTCCCAGCACCATTTATTAAATAGGGAATCCTTTCCCCATTGCTTGTTTTTCTCAGGTTTGTCAAAGATCAGACAGTTGTAGATATGCGGCGTTATTTCTGAGGGCTCTGTTCTGTTCCATTGATCTATATCTCTGTTTTGGTACCAGTACCATGCTGTTTTGGTTACTGTAGCCTTGTAGTATAGTTTGAAGTCAGGTAGCGTGATGCCTCCAGCTTTGTTCTTTTGGCTTAGGATTGACTTGGTGATGCGGGCTCTTTTTTGGTTCCATATGAACTTTAAAATAGTTTTTTCCAATTCTGTGAAGAAAGTCATTGGTAGCTCAATGGGGATGGCATTGAATCTATAAATTACCTTGGGCAGTATGGCCATTTTCACGATATTGATTCTTCCTACCCATGAGCATGGAATGTTCTTCCATTTGTTTGTATCCTCTTTTATTTCATTGAGCAGTGGTTTGTAGTTCTCCTTGAAGAGGTCCTTCACATCCCTTGTAAGTTGGATTCCTAGGTATTTTATTCTCTTTGAAGCAATTGTGAATGGGAGTTCACTCATGATTTGGCTCTCTGTTTGTCTGTTATTGGTGTATAAGAATGCTTGTGATTTTTGTACATTGATTTTGTATCCTGAGACTTTGCTGAAGTTGCTTATCAGCTTAAGGAGATTTTGGGCTGAGACAATGGGGTTTTCTAGATATACAATCATGTCCTCTGCAAACAGGGACAATTTGACTTCCTCTTTTCCTAACTGAATACCCTTTATTTCCTTCTCCTGTCTAATTGCCCTGGCCAGAACTTCCAACACTATGTTGAATAGGAGTGGTGAGAGAGGGCATCCCTGTCTTGTGCCAGTTTTCAAAGGGAATGCTTCCAGTTTTTGCCCATTCAGTATGATATTGGCTGTGGGTTTGTCATAGATAGCTCTTATTATTTTGAGATACGTCCCATCAGTACCTTATTTATTGAGAGTTTTTAGCATGAAGGGTTGTTGAATTTTGTCAAAGGCCTTTTCTGCATCTATTGAGATAATCATGTGGTTTTTGTCTTTGGTTCTGTTTATATGCTGGATTACATTTATTGATTTGCGTATATTGAACCAGCCTTGCATCCCAGGGATGAAGCCCCCTTGATCTTGGTGGATAAGCTTTTTGATGTGCTGCTGGATTCGGTTTGCCAGTATTTTATTGAGGATTTTTGCATCAATGTTCATCAACGATATTGGTCTAAAATTCTCTTTTTTGGTTGTGTCTCTGCCCGGCTTTGGTATCAGGATGATGCTGGCCTCATAAAATGAGTTAGGGAGGATTCCCTCTTTTTCTATTGACTGGAATAGTTTCAGAAGGAATGGTACCAGTTCCTCCTTGTACCTCTGGTAGAATTCGGCTGTGAATCCATCTGGTCCTGGACTCTTTTTGGTTGGTAAGCTATTGATTATTGCCACAATTTCAGATCCTGTTATTGGTCTATTCAGAGATTCAACTTCTTACTGGTTTAGTCTTGGGAGGGTGTATGTGTCGAGGAATTTATCCATTTCTTCTAGATTTTCTAGTTTATTTGCGTAGAGGTGTTTGTAGTATTCTCTGATGGTAGTTTGTATTTCTGTGGGATCAGTGGTGATATCCCCTTTATCATTTTTTATTGCGTCTATTTGATTCTTCTCTCTTTTCTTCTTTATTAGTCTTGCTAGCAGTCTATCAATTTTGTTGATCCTTTCAAAAAACCAGCTCCTGGATTCATTAATTTTTTGAAGGGTTTTTTTGGTCTCTATTTCCTTCAGTTCTGCTCTGATTTTAGTTATTTCTTGCCTTCTGCCAGCTTTTGAATGTGTTTGTTCTTGCTTTTCTAGTTGTTTTAATTGTGATGTTAGGATGTCAATTTTGGATCTTTCCTGCTTTCTCTTGTGGGCATTTAGTGCTATAAATTTCCCTCTACACACTGCTTTGAATGTGTCCCAGAGATTCTGGTATGTTGTGTCTTTGTTCTCGTTGGTCTCAAAGAACATCTTTATTTCTGCCTTCATTTCGTTATGTACCCAGTAGTCATTCAGGAGCAGGTTGTTCAGTTTCCATGTAGTTGAGCAGTTTTGAGTGAGTTTCTTAATCCTGAGTTCTAGTTTGATTGCACTGTGGTCTGAGAGACAGTTTTTTATAATTTCTGTTCTTTTACATTTCCTGAGGAGAGCTTTACTTCCCAGTATGTGGTCAATTTTGGAGTAGGTGTGGTGTGGTGCTGAAAAAAATGTATATTCTGTTGATTTGGGGTGGAGAGTTCTGTAGATGTCTATTAGGTCCGCTTGGTGCAGAGCTGAGTTCAATTCCTGGGTATCCTTGTTAACTTTCTGTCTCGTTGATCTGTCTAATGTTGACAGTGGGGCGTTAAAATCTCCCATTATTATTGTGTGGGAGTCTAAGTCTGTTCGTAGGTCACTCAGGACTTGCTTTATGAATCTGGGTGCTTCTGTATTGGGTACATGTATATTTAGGATAGTTAGCTCTTCTTGTTGAATTGATCCGTTTACCATTATGTAATGGCCTTTTTGTCTCTTTTGATCTTTGTTGGTTTAAAGTCTATTTTATCAGAGACTAGGATTGCAACCCCTGCCTTTTTTTGTTTTCCATTTGCTTGGTAGATCTTCCTCCATCCTTTTATTTTGAGCCTATGTGTGTCTCTGCATGTGACATGGGTTTCCTGAATACAGCACACTGATGGGTCTTGACTCTTTATCCAATTTGCCAGTCTGTGTCTTTTAATTGGAGCGTTTAGTCCATTTACATTTAAAGTTAATATTGTTATGTGTGAATTTGATCCTGTCATTATGATGTTAGCTGGTTATTTTGCTCGTTAGTTGATGCAGTTTCTTCCTAGCCTCAATGGTCTTTACAATTTGGCATGATTTTGCAGTGGCTGGTACTGGTTGTTCCTTTCCATGTTTAGTGCTTCCTTCAGGAGCTCTTTTAGGGCAGGCCTGGTGATGACAAAATCTCTCAGCATTTGCTTGTCTGTAAAGTATTTTATTTCTCCTTCACTTATGAAGCTTAGTTTGGCTGGATATGAAATTCTGGGTTGAAAATTCTTTTCTTTAAGAATGTTGAATATTGGCCCCCACTCTCTTCTGGCTTGTAGAGTTTCTGCCAAGAGATCCGCTGTTAGTCTGATGGGCTTCCCTTTGTGGGTAACCCGACCTTTCTCTCTGGCTGCCCTTAACATTTTTTCTTTCATTTCAACTTTGGTGAATCTGACAATTATGTGTCTTGAGTTGCTCTTCTCGAGGAGTATCTTTGTGGCGTTCTCTGTATTTCCTGAGTCTGAATATTGGCCTGCCTTGCTAGTTTGGGGAAGTTCTCCTGGATAATATCCTGCAGAGTGTTTTCCAGCTTGGTTCCATTCTCCCCGTCACTTTCAGGTACGCCAATCAGACATAGATTTGGTCTTTCACATAGTCCCATATTCCTTGGAGGCTTTGTTCATTTCTTTTTATTCTTTTTTCTCTAAACTTCCCTTCTCGCTTCATTTCATTCATTTCATCTTCCATCACTGATACCCTTTCTTCCAGTTGATCACTTCGGCTCCTGAGGATTCTGCATTCTTTACATAGTTCTCAAGCCTTGGTTTTCAGCTCCATCAGCTCCTTTAAGCACTTCTCTGTATTGGTTATTCTAGTTATACATTCTTCTAAATTTTTTTCAAAGTTTTTAACTTCTTTGCCTTTGGTTTGAATTTCCTCCTGTAGCTCGGAGTAGTTTAATCGTCTGAAGCCTTCTTCTCTCAACTCGGCAAAGTCATTCTCCGTCCAGCTTTGTTCCGTTACTGGTGAGGAACTGTGTTACTTTGCAGGAGAGGCACTCTGCTTTTTAGAGTTTCCAGTTTTGCTGCTCTGTTTTTTTCCCCATCTTTGTGGTTTTATCTACTTTTGGTCTTTGATGATGGTGATGTACAGATGGGTTTTTGGTGTGGATGTCCTTTCTGTTTATTAGTTTGCCTTCTAACGGACAGGACCCTCAGCTGCAGGTCTGTTGGAGTTTGCTAGAGGTCCACTCCAGACCCTGTTTGCCTGGGTATCAGCAGCGGTGGCTGCAGAACAGCGGATTTTCATGAACCGCGAATGCTGCTGTCTGATCATTCCTCTGGAAGTTTTGTCTCAGAGGAATATTCGGCTGTGTGAGGTGTCAGTCTGCCCCTACTGGGGGGTGCCTCCCAGTTAGGCTGCTTGGGGGTCAGGGGTCAGGGACCCACTTGAGGAGGCGGTCTGCCCGTTCTCAGATCTCCAGCTGTGTGCTGGGAGAAGCACTGCTCTCTTCAAAGCTGTCAGACAGGAACATTTAAGTCTGCAGAGGTTACTGCTGTCTTTTTGTTTGTCTGTGCCCTGCCCCCAGAGGTGGAGCCTACAGAGGCAGGCAGGCCTCCTTGAGCTGTGGCGGGCTCCACCCAGTTCCAACTTCCCAGCTGCTTTGTTTATGTAAGCAAGACTGGGCAATGGCGGGTGCCCCTCCCCCGGCCTTGCTGCTGCCTTGCAGTTTGATCTCAGATTGCTGTGCTAGAAATCAGCGAGACTCTGTGGGCATAGGTCCCTCCGAGCCATGTGCGGGATATAATCTCCTGATGTGCCTTTTTTTAAGCCCGTCGGAAAAGCGCAGTATTAGGGTGGGAGTGACCCGATTTTCCAGGTGCCATCTGTCACCCTTTTCTTTGACTAGGAAAGGGAACTCCCTGACCCCTTGTGCTTGTGCTTCCCGAGTGAGGCAATGCCTTGCCCTGCTTCGGCTCGCGCACGGTGTGGTGCACCCACTGTCCTACACCCACTGTCTGGCACTCCCTAGTGAGATGAACCCGGTACCTCAGATGGAAATGCAGAAATCACCCGTCTTCTGCGTCACTCATGCTGGGAGCTGTAGACTGGAGCTGTTCCTATTCAGCCATCTTGGCTCTTCCACCGAATTAAAATGAATTTGTCTCATTTAAATTAGCTAGTTGGTGGAACCTGTGGAATATGTATTTTGAATTATTAGAATTTATAGTCTAATTTTTTATCTAACACTAATAGGCTGTACACTGCCAGGAAGAGGCTTGTGCCATTATTTTCCTGGAACATGGTGCCAATCCAAACATTAAGGATATCTACAGCAACACTGCTCTCTATTATGCTGTGTATAATAAGGGGACTTCACTGGCAGAAAAACTGCTTTCCCACCATGCAAATATTAAAGCACTAAACAAGGTACAGATCAGTCAACTTTCTTTTCAAAATGTTTGTTTTAACGTTGACATAGGTAAGAGTCAATTTTTCATATTTGGAACTCAAGTTTTCCTGAATGAAAATGTTTTGAAATAACTTAATTGTCTAAAATTTTACTTTAAATATTGATACTTTTAAAGAAGTATTAGAGGGCACAGCTATTTTAGTGCACTTATGGGAAGTATTTGTGAATTTGTTAAGGTAAAACTTCTTTTCAAGTATTTGTTTCCTACCCCCGGTGTATTTTTTTTCTAATTAGTGTAAAAACATCACAGGAAAAAAAATTGCCCTGGAAATAGGCTTTATCTTAAAACTCAAAACTAAAACAACTTACAATAAATGGAAGTCTTGCTGCTGCTGATGGTCTTCTGACAAAATGGATGTATCTTTCATGGGCAAGGTTTAAGAGGGAAAAATAGGAAGGGAAAAGGAGAGCAATCAAAAACATGCAGGTCACTTGGAAATTAGGTAATGAGGGAAAATGCCAAGAAGAGGTTTTGTTTTTTAGTTTGTTTTTTTTCCAGTTTATGTATTGAGACAAAACACTCTTCAGCTTTGGGGTAATCATTTTTGGTTTGGTAAAAAGAGTGACTGAAACTTGCCTAAAGATTAATTTTTAGAGGACTCTGAGGAAACCAGATTGGCAGTGAATATACAGTGATGAAGTGAGAAACACTTCAGCAAAGGGTGGAACAAATTAGTAACTGACTTACTACACATCCTGGCAAAAACAGCAACTTAGCTAAGAGTCTAAACTCTCCTTTCAAATCTAGAATATCTTGGTGGGAAGGTGGGAGATGAGCAGCTTATAAATAGCAAAATCAACTGGGATTTTGAGTTTACTTGTCCCTGTTATACCCACACCCAGGAAAATTCACTGGAGTTTTAATACATAACTCTTATCTCATACTCTTCTCTCTGGCCACATCCCAAGCTAATAAAGGATATTGGCTGTGTGGGTGAGAGATGAAACTGAAGTGATTGTCTGCTGCAGTAATTCTCAGCAAGAATTGTGCATTACAGTGACCTCGGGAAATTTTGTTAAAAGTCTACAAGTGTAGGCTTTCCCCTGAGGATTTTGATGTTATAGATCTAATAACTTCTGAACACGTATGGTTAAAAATATTTTCTTGAAGCCATGCACAGTGGCATGCTCCTGTAGTCCAGCTACTCAGGAGGCTGAGGTGGGAGGATTGCTTGAGCCTAGGAGTTTGAGTCCAGCCTGAGGTGGGCAGATCTCGAGGTCAGGAGATGGAGACCATCCTGGCTAACATGGTGAAACCCCATCTCTATTAAAAATACATAGTAAGGCTCTTGTCTCTTACAACAAGAGCAAAAAAAAAAACCTAAGTGTTCGAATACACTCCTGATTAAGAAGCACAGAATAGATAAGTGCAGTATATAAATTCCCGTATCTCAAAGACATAAGAAATCTCTAAAAGAGTTGGCATTTGATAGGTGCTACTTTCTTCAAAGTTCTCTTTTCCAATAACATTAACCTGACTTATCTGTCTTTCTCTACGTTTGTGACTGGGAAGTGAAAGGAAATATCACTGGCAACATCTCTCAGCTTACAGAATAACACCTTTTGCTTCCCACCATGAATCATTCACTGCCATTCAGAAAGTTTTTAGCAATTTACTTGTGGGTAATCTTTCAACAAGTAGAGACTGACCCTTTCACAATTTCATGTTCCTTTGTCACCATTCAAGCGATTATGTGTCAACAAGTGTTCATTACAAGTGAAATTTTCTCAATTAGATCAGTAGCAGATCTTGAACCTTTTTTTTTCAGTTGCAGTTGTATTAGGGACTATCTCAGTATGTCTATTAAGTTTATAGAGCTTTGGCATTATCAGGATGTCAGTTTTAAACACTGAAATCCTTGAAGTCAGTGAGAATACAATAGGAATTATTTTAATAATTTAGTTTCAGCATTCCTATGAAGTAATTATCTATTTGGTTAACAATCTGGGAAAATTATATACACATAGATTGCAAATGAATAAATGTTGGGAAAATTCTTGAGGTGGGTATTATGAGTGTTAACAGCAATTTTTATTATGTATATATCAGGGCCTGAGTTTTTTTATTAAACATATGATACTAGAGAAAGAAAAAGTTCCACATGCAAGTACTTGGTTTATACACAATCATTTAGCAACACATTCATGGCAAATATAAAAACACAAGGGCTGTAGTCTAAATGTGGCATATAGATTTGTTCTTTGCCTCTTTGAATTGATTCAACATGTAAACTTTAGTGGACTCATGCAGAAATCTGGACATCAGGCTTAAGAATCAAATCTGGTGTCCCCTGAACCGCATCACTGCTTGGTCTGCTGTGCAGAGGTTGCCCTGTGTAGGAGGCACATATTCTCCAGTTTGCTACTGTGTCCACCTGAGTACTTCACTTACTTAGGTAACCTCCTTCATCCTTATAAGTATTTGAGTTTACAACTCCTTTTTTATCGTATGTTTTCATAAAGAATTCAAGGTTTTCAAGACACCATATATTGGTTCATAATATATAGTCTATAGTTTATATAAGTCCCTCAATTATAGAGTTGAATTTTAGAATTCAGAAGTCTTTTTAACTCTTTTTTTATATCTATACCACAAATAGTCATCTGCTCATAAGAATGCCTACCTGTTTTTTTATATCTATACCACAAATAGTCATCTGCTCATAAGAATGCCTAGAAGCCTTTTTAGGTTATTCCTGCTGAGAAGTGGATAGATTATGAATATTGCAGACATTATATCTTTCTTCTTAGCAATGTCCCTTAAAAATACAAGTGATGGCTGGGTGCGATGGCTCATGCCTGTAATCCCAGCACTTTGGGAGGCCAAGGCAGACAGATCACAAGGTCAGGAAATGGAGACCATCCTGGCTAACACGGTGAAACCCCGTCTGTACTAAAAATACAAAAAATTAGCCGGGTGTGGTGGCAGGCACCTGCAGTTCCAGCTACTTGGGAGGCTGAGGCAAGAGAATGGCATGAACTCAGGAGGTGGAGTTTGCAGTGAGTGGCGATCATGCCACTGCACTCCAGCCTGGGTGACAGTGTGAGACCCCATTTCAAAAGACAAAAATGCAAGTGACTTACTGGCTTTTATTATGCTAGAAATAAGCCCTATACATCAGTATTAGAACTTTTTTTGATAAGCCATTGTATTTTTATTTCTGATTTATATTTTGCCTAAAGTAAAAAAAAGTTAAATAGCAATTTAAATGGAAATCAATACGAATGGATTTAAAAAGTAAAGTTGCATTAGCATCCCAGGATTATCATTATAATTGAGAATAGAATTTCTTCCTGAGCTTTGCTTTTTAATATTTATTTTCAAAAATTTTTAACTGGTCTGTCTTACACAGAACATACTGAGCTTTCTAATAGTTAAGATTAAAATCTATCCTCTTGTATTAGGAAAAATCCCATGGACTATTTAATAATAAGGAAAATAAGTGATTTTGAAGCCAATCTCTCTTAATTCACAGCTCATTTCCTTAGTGGCCCCTTTGGATCAGGAGTGCCTGACATTGGCATCCTGACAACATTGATAGAAGTAAATCAAGCAAGTTTGTGCCACCGAGAGGAAACCTCCACTTGTATTGGGAAGCTCTGGCAACTGTATCCCTGAAACTCTAGTTCCTAAAATGTTAATGTTTGCCACAAAAAGTATTGTCAAATTGAGATTAGGCAAAGTTCAAGGGATTTCTAGATTGTTGGCCATGTAATATAATTTTGTAATACTTCTCAAATGCAGATGATCATGGAATCTTTTTGTTGGGGTACAGTTCTTCTGGTAAAACAAATATTCTTCGAAATATAGTTTAAGAAACACGGCTCCAGAGATAATAATTTAGATCATTAATTTATTTTAAAAACTTAAAGCATTCACTACTATGTCTTAGGTTTTAGGGTTATAGAGAAAAAAGATACAGCCCTTGCCCTCGAGAAGCTCTTGGTTTCAGTGGGAAACAATGAAATAATTACAATGTACTGTGCTAAATGCTGAGACAGAAGCAAGGATTTTTGGGACTGGTAAAAAAGGGAGTTTTGGAGATGACCGAAGTTAATGTGGGGAGGCAGAGGAGGGGTGTTCACAAGACAGTGTGTGGGAAAGCACAGAGGAGTGAAAAGGACGGGACTGCTTTGCATTTACTTTCTCTCTATATTGCATGTTTAAGTTCATAGCATCTTATAGAAGATTTTTAGTTCAGTTGAGAAATACATACTTTTGTGAATTATAAATTGTTTTTGCTTTTTACAGGAGGGAAACACTCCACTTTTGTTTGCTATAAATTCTGGGAGACAGCATGTGGTGGAATTCTTATTGAAGAACCAGGCAAATATACATGCCGTTGACAATTTCAGAAGGTGCAATAGTTTTTGTTTTTGGTTTGTTTGTTTTTTTTCCTAAAAATCTGAGTGTTCTAGAGTGGTAAGAGTCACTCAAGTCAGAACTGTTAATAAGATTTAACTTATAATTATTGGCATATAGTAAAAAATAACATGAATAATCAGTTAGGTAGAAAAGCAGTTATTTGGACTGAGCAACATAAAAAACAGTATATAGTAGGATTCATCTTCTCTTATAGACTGTTATTTGTAATTTGATGTTTTTGGTCCTGTAATCTTATATTAGCTAAAGGGGTTTTGTATTTTATTAATTTTATAAAGTGTAGACTTGGCGCCGGCCTCTTCCCAGCCAGCTTGAAAGGGTTTGCGTTGCCGGCCTTGTGGGCCCTTGAAGCGCTCTGTTAAAGCGCTCTGTGGGCGGCCTGGCCCCAGCTCCTCTAGTCTAGGCGCACGAAGGGAGTTGCTCCTAGGTCTTGTCCGTGCCGGGTTCGCTTTTCTTTCCTTCCCGAAGCCTGGCCCTTAGATCTACTATCGCAGAGTCTGCGGCCGCCAGGAAGCCCAGATTCGAGTGTCCGGAGAGTAACCGGAAGTGCTGTCCCCAGGCCTAGGGGCGGCGCCGGCGGCTGCCAGGGAGAGGCAAGAATTGAGTGTTGTGAATAGTTCTGAACTAGAGACCTTTTGAAACCAAAAGGAAGATGGTCTTGAGTCTTTCTTGTTACGAATGCTATCTTCTTTGAGAAGTCAAATAGTCAGGATCAGGAATGTATGTTTTCTTCCATCTGGATTCTAGGGTTGGAAATACCAAGTAAGGAATTAACATATATGATGCTGGAAACTTGTAGAGGCTCATGATTGAAAGGCCTGAAACAGATGTATCTTCCAAGTTCTTATCAAGAAAATGACTGTGAGGGCAACGATGGGTCAAGAAGACCAGCGGAAAACTCCCTAGGAGAGAGCCATAGAAAATGTACACTTCAGAAGAGAAATGTAATCAGAGAACTCAAAAAAGGAAAATATATAATGTATGCCCTCGGAAGGGTAAAAAGATTTTTATTCATATGCATGAGATTATTCAGATAGATGGTCATATATACCAGTGCCTTGAATGCAAGCAAAACTTGTGTGAAAACTTAGCTCTTATTATGTGTGAGAGAACCCATACTGGGGAGAAACCTTATAAATGTGATATGTGTGAGAAAACCTTTGTCCAAAGCTCAGATCTTACTTCACACCAGAGGATCCACAATTACGAGAAACCTTATAAATGTAGCAAATGTGAGAAGAGCTTTTGGCATCACTTAGTGCTTTCAGGACATCAGAGAACACATGCAGGTAAAAAATTCTATACATGTGACATTTGTGGCAAGAATTTTGGTCAGAGTTCTGATCTGCTTGTCCACCAGCGAAGCCATACTGGCGAGAAACCATATCTATGTAGTGAGTGTGACAAATGCTTCAGTAGAAGTACAAACCTCATAAGGCATCGAAGAACTCACACAGGTGAGAAACCATTTAAGTGTCTCGAGTGTGAAAAAGCTTTTAGTGGGAAATCAGATCTTATTAGCCACCAGAGAACTCACACTGGGGAAAGGCCCTACAAATGTAATAAGTGTGAGAAAAGTTACCGACACCGTTCAGCCTTCATTGTACATAAAAGAGTTCATACTGGGGAGAAGCCCTATAAGTGTGGTGCCTGTGAAAAATGCTTTGGCCAGAAATCAGACCTTATCGTGCACCAGAGAGTCCACACAGGTGAGAAGCCGTATAAATGCCTGGAATGTATGAGAAGTTTTACTCGGAGTGCCAACCTAATTAGGCACCAGGCAACTCACACTCACACTTTTAAATGCCTTGAATATGAAAAAAGCTTTAACTGTAGCTCAGATCTTATTGTACATCAGAGAATTCACATGGAAGAGAAACCACATCAGTGGTCTGCGTGTGAGAGTGGCTTCCTCCTAGGAATGGACTTTGTTGCCCAACAGAAAATGAGAACTCAAACAGAGGAGCTACACTATAAATACACTGTATGTGATAAAAGCTTCCACCAGAGTTCAGCCCTTCTTCAACATCAGACAGTACGCATTGGTGAAAAACCGTTTGTCTGTAATGTGAGTGAAAAAGGTCTTGAGCTTAGCCCTCCCCATGCGTCAGAAGCCTCACAGATGTCTTGACCAGGCGAGAAGCTGTAATACCAATATTAAAAATTATTTATGTATCAGAGAACTCATTAAGATGAGGACAAATCTCAGACTTTGCTCAGAGCTCAGAATTCAGTGGGGACCAGAGAGCCTGCAATTGGAAATATGAGAAATTCTTTGCCCAGAGAGCTGCCCTAACAGAACACTTCATCCTCACTCCAACGAGAAATCTACAGATGCCCAGAGGTTTTGAAAACTTACCGTCTGAGCTCAAATTTGATCACTCACAAGAGGATTCATACAAGTGGGAAACCTTAGAAATGCACTGAGTGTGAGAGAGCTTTCTACTAATGCTCAGCCCTTCTCGTTGTAAGAGAATTCACACCGGAGAACAACTTTTTAAATGCCTTCAGTGTCAGTTGTGCTGCAGACAGTATGAACATCTCATTGGACCTCAGAAAACCCACCCTGGGGAGAAGCCCCAGCAAGTGTGAAAAAAGCTTCTAACAAAACTCTGACTTACCCATCAGAGAAGCCATACTGGTGAAAAATTGTATATTTGTCTTACGTATGGCAAAAGCATTCATTGGAGAGCCTTACTTGGGTTTGCACCCAAAAAAAAAAACCCAATCTGAGGAAAGACTGCAAGTGTCTGAATGAAGAGTGCTTGTCAATGATCAACTCTTGTGGTACATCAGGGAACTCACATAGGTGAAAAAACCCATACTTACCTTGAGTCTGAGAAAACCTTTGGTAGAAGCTCCTGTCTTATCAGGCCCCAAAAAACCTGTTCTGCAGTGAGAGATTTAATTGTGGGTGAGAATCTATGTACATATGTATGAGAAGACTGTTCTCATAGTTAGTTGACTCATATGGTAGAGAGGACTTTACATGAAATCAGTATGAAAATAGTTTTTTAGATACCCAGAAGCTTGTTCTGGGAGAAGCTAGGGCGGGTCAGAGTAGACCTGATGGGTAACTCAGGTAAAGATGCTTTTCTTTTATCTGAACTACTTAATGATTGCTTTACTTTTACTTTTTAAAAAATTCAGAAATCCAATAAAGGAAAGGACGGTAACCTTATGATAGAAGGTGTGGCATGTGTTACTGTTGGGGGAAAGGAGTATATTGACTTTGCCTTGGTTGATATTTTTATGCTTGTCTAGGATGGGACTAGAGTGTTGATAGTAACATGGCAGCCTTTTGCTGGCAGTGAAATGAACTTAAGAAGCTAGGGAGTAGCTATCCTAGATCAAAACTCTCCCAATAGTTTTTCCTTTGCAGGACCAATCTTATAAAGAAACAGCATACTCAGCTTTTTACTTAGTGTCAGTTGAGGCATACTCTCAAAAGTTTTTTCCCCTAAAATATCTTTCAAGTTATTACTGGTATTTGAAATTTCAAGTTTAGAAATTCATTTCTTTTTAACTCAAAGTGCAAATTTCATATAATGATTATGATGGTTTTAGTGTCCATATTTTTGTGACTTCACTTATCATCTCTTTCAGCAGTAGCTACCCACAGTCAGCTCCTAGTAAAATGGCTACAGGAAAACTGAAAGAAAAGTTTAAGCCTGAGTAGGCATAGAGTAAAAAATGCATAATGATGCATTATTAATATAAGAGTAAGGCTTTTTTTATTTTGAGTATCCTAACTCCAAACCTAGTGTTCTTTTCACTCCATTATCCTGCTGTTTATAGCAAATCAAGACCCATAATGATACGTCTTTCATTTATTTCAGTTCTGCCAAGGAAAGAGAAAATACCTTTTAATCCCAGGGAAAGGATTGCAATCACCACATTATAAGGTATATGGCGTGGAATGCAGAATTCTAAATACTAGAAGGGAAAAGTAGTTGGCAGATTCATCAGAGGCTTAAGGATAAGTACTTGTTTCCAATTTAAAAGTATAATTAGGATTGTCTTTAATGTTCTCTAGAAATACTATAATTAATCTAGAGATCTATCAATGGTCACATCTCAGTTTTTTTCTTCCCTGAGATTCAAAGACGTGTAATACCAATACTTCAGATTCCTATAGTATTTGGGACTTTGTAGACTAGTGAATAGATACTTTGTTGCTAGTCCAAATCCTCTGATTTTGGTTTGATTTGTCCTAGCAGATCCCTGAACTTCAGAGAGTATTGCCATTTGGATTCATGGAGTTGGCGAACTGCTACACTGCTACCTTGTGTATGGCTCTAAGCTTTGATCCTAATGACTGGTTGATGATCATGATAATATTAGGGCCAGTGAATATAGCTCATAGTGATAATAAGGATTCTAGGGTATTTTTTTTTTCTTTTAGAAAAAGATCCTGGAAGTTTATTTGATCTGACATGTTTTTGTAATATTTAGAAATAGCTCTTGTATCATAAAAAGTTGCCCAGTATAAGACACACAAGATGTATTTTTTTCTCTGGTGAAAATCATGCCTATCACTAGTATATGTTTGACATTTGTAGTATACTTAAAATAGTATTGGGTGTGAGGCATGGTGGTGATGAAAAGTAGTCCTTACGGCTACTTGTTAGTCATTAGAGAGAACATGGAGAAGGGGTCAAAGTTGGTATCATTAACAGGGCAATGACTTGACCCTTCTTTCAACTGATCTTACTGGTAGTTGTCTCTAGTTTTTAAGTAAATTAATGATGGACCATCCCCCAAACAGAGAACTATGGGGGTATGAAACAAGGCTGAAGGCTTTTAACCATGGGAGAAAAAGGTGTTGGTATTATTCATATAGCATAACCTGAGGTTGGAGAGGACCACTTGGGAGCCTGTAACCAAAACTAGAAGGTAACTTCTGGGATGGACGGAGGTTCCCTTGAAGCAGTGCCAACCTAAATCTACCTCAGGTAAGTAGTTAGATTAACTTTTTCAAGATTTCAGACCAAACAAGACAACTTGTATTCAGTTGATGTATTCCTATGCTTTAATGTTTTTGTTTGCCCTTAATTATTAAATAAACATTTGTTCTGAAAAAAAAAAAAAAAAAAGTGTAGACTTTAACTTTCAGTTTACAACTACTGCTATTACCATTATCATTATTATTATTATTATTATTATTGTTGTTGCTGTTGTTTTCAGTATGCAGATAGCTCTTACTTATTTGATCCCTAGCTGACTTTGAATTACAATATATCAGACTAGGAAAGCAATGGGGAAATCTTCATCTAAATCTTTGCCTACTTTAGATAAGTGACCTCAGCACAGTTTCTTGGCCATCAAAGGACTATAAATTAGCAACTTGTATTGTGTCATATCCCAATGGAACATGAAGCTTGCTTGTTGTCCCTGCCGTTTAGCCTTGGTGGTAATTTACCCAGATGAACACTTTAGCACCCAAGATGCTTATACACATAAGCTAGTACATGTAAATGGTTACTATGTCTATCCTGACAGGCAAGATATGAAATTGGTAAAATGTATCCAATTTGCCAATTAAATATCTTTATTAAAGTTCTTAAGTGCTGTTATTTCTTTATTATTTTAGAACAGCCCTCATGCTTGCAGTACAGCATAGCTCGTCAAGTATCATCAGCCTCCTCCTTCAACAAAATATAAATATCTTTTCTCAAGACATGTTTGGCCAAATGGCTGAGGATTATGCTGTTTATTGTGATTTGAGAAGGTATGTGCTTATATTAAAAGACCAGTTAATACTAAATTAAGGTTTAAAACAATTACAACTATTGCATCTTATATATTAGGTGACAGTTCATAATTTGGTTGAGGTAGTTTGGAATGGCAACAAGTTAGTCCACTTTTTAGCCAGAAATCAAACAGAAATCTAGACTAGTTAGAAGTAGCAATGAGTGCAAGATTCTTTCTGGACTTTTAAAGACCTTTATCCCTAGGGATCTCAGTGTTCATTTTATTCCAAGTATAACCCTTATATGTGAGATAGAAATAATGTCACATCTTTTACTTTTTCTTTCTTTTTTTTTTGTTTTTGAGACAACATCTCACTATGTTACTCATGTTCCTGAGCTCAGGTGATTCTCCTGCCTCGGCCTCGCAAACTGCTAGCCATCGTGCCTGGCCTGACTTTTCTAATTAGTTATTGGGTCTTGAAATGTCCACTTTAGCAGAAAATCTTGTATTATCCCCTGAGGCTATCTCCTATGCCTTCCTCCTTTGAATTTTTCAAAAAGCTAAGGGGTTCCCTAAGCCCAAGGAAGACAATCTTGCTTTACAAGTCAGAAGAAGGGGGGAAAAGGCCATTCTAATCATTCTGTTGTTTCCATTGATTCACTTACTGTATTGCTGCCATTGTAACTGGTCCTGCAATCTGGTAATGATTGACTTTTGCCACCAGGATGCCCTTACTGATTCAGATCCATCACTCTTCATGGTGACTCATACACAGAGTCCACAGCTACAGTGTTTTGTTTTGTTTTGCTTTTTTGAGACGGAGTCTTGCTCAGTCGCCCAGCCTGGAATGCAGTGGCACAATCTCAGCTCTCTGTAAGCTCCCCCTCCCAGGTTCACGCCATCCTCCTGCCTCAGCCTCCCAAGTAACTGGGACTGCAGGTGCCCGCCACCATCCCTGGCTAATTTTTTTTTGTATTTTTAGTAGAGACGGGGTTTCACCATGTTAGCCAGGATGGTCTCAATCTCCTGACCTCATGATCCACCCGTCTCAGCCTCCCAAAGTGCTGTGATTACAGGCATGAGCCACCGCACCCAGCCCACAGCTACAGTGTTTTTTAGTTCATGTACATAGGCTCAGCCATTGTTCCCAGCACCCTGCTCTGGCAGCGAGGCCTCCTGGCTCTAGCCACACACATAGTGGTAAATTGACCTTCCCCCAACATTAAAAATCTTATTTGTAGCCCACCTCTTGGCTAGGCTTAGCCTATACCTTCATGGTATGTTATCCTTTGAGACCAGTGTCCATTTTCTCTAGCAAATGTTAATTGGGATTTTACTCAACAGTTAGGGATGTTCAAATAATGTTGCAGGAAGAGAGAAGAGGTCCCTTTGCCTTTTGTTATCACATCTGTACCTTGAGGCTTTTTTCTGACCTGTGTAGCAGCTTTTGTTAGATAGCAAAAGGTTCCACATTATCCTTCAATAGAGTAATGGGCACCTTGGAGTTGGCCCCTCAAGTAATGTGTTTCCATAATAATGAAAATCTCTCAGGCTACTTGCATCTCTACCTCAAGTGTTTAAAATATTTTAAAATTTTACCTCACAGAAGTCATTCAATAGAATTCTCTGTATCTAAAGTAGGTAATTTGGGTTTAACAGAGCTAAGCCTTACCCATGACTCATCAGTATCCATGTATAAAACAGGGCTTTATACTTGTTTCAGCAGCACATATTCTGAAATTGGATCAATACAGAACAGATAAGCATGCCTGCTGCCTAAGGAGGGCACACAAATTCAGAAAGCATTCCACATATTGCACAGTCCCCAGAAGGTCATTTGACTATTTGTTAACTAGCTTCTAGGAAACAATGTGAGTCAAACCAAAACGGGAGACACCCGAGATGGAAATTGTTATTATGATCATTATAAAAGTATTCATGTAAGGTGATCTGTGAAATGAGAACAGAGCTGAGTAGCACATGGGATGTTACATGCAAATATGTTGTTAGTACATGACTTGGAAATGAGGAAACATCAACTTGCAGCTCTTTCATGGAACTGAAAAACAATACAAGCAGGGCTTTGTCTTGTATGTCAGTCGGAGAGGACCAAGAAGATGCAGCCCCTAACACAGACCTGCTGGCTTTGAGTTTGAGGAGGTAGAAAAGGAATGGTAGTTGTCCCAGCCAGGTTTTGACACCTATTAGTTTTCTGCCCTTGGTGTGATTGATGAGCTCAGTAATAGGGGACAATTAGGTTATATGTTTTAATGAGATAATAATATATTTATATATAAATTTAGTTACAAGTTATGAACTAGCTAAAATGCTCTGAACTACAAGCCGCAATGAATAGAACTAATATAACCAAAATTAGCACATTCTCTGAAAACCGTGACATTCAAATATTAGAACCTATGGAAAAACACTCATCAGGTTTTATTTGAGATTCCAAAATGGTTTCAGCAATGCAGTTCAAGAATAAATTTTTCCATTGCTTTACTATTTCTCTGAACATTTAAACATGTTATCTCATTACATCCTCCTAACGACCTAGTGAAGTCAAGTAGTAAAATCTTTATTTTTTGGAAGAAGCCATGGAGCCTAAGAGAAGCAACTGGTCTGAAAATAAAATACCTATTGGTTACAGAGCGAGGACTTACTCTGAATGCAGGACAGTTTCCAGACTGTTAAGCTAGCTAACTAGAATTAATTTACTGAGCTATGCTTTTCTCAGTTTATGAGTACTTCCTGTTTTTCTTCTTTAATTAGAAGCTTAATAAGTTTATAGAGCTTAAAATTTTAAAGTGTATTAGACATTAGAGTTCTGATATTAGCTCTGATATTGTCTGAAATGCTTTAAGAATTTAATCTGTTTGGTAAAGATTTTTCATATCACTATTAAAATACTAATTTTATTTATTACATTTATTATGCATAGCATTCAACAACAAATTTTGGAACATAAAAATAAGAAACTTAAAAATCATCTTTGAAATGACAATCAAGGTAAGACTTCTGATAGTAAATTTCTGATTTCCCTTGGTGATCTTACTGATTTTAAAAAAGCAAAATTACAGGCCAGGCATGGTGGCTCACACGTGTAATCCCAGCACTTTGGGAGGCTGAGGCGGGTGGATCATCTGAGGTCAGGATTTTGAGACCAGCCTGGCTAACATGGTGAAACCCCATGTCTACTCAAAATACAAAAATTAGCTGGGTGTCATGGCGGGCGCCTGTAATCCCAGCTACTCGGGAGGCTGAGGCAGGAGAATCACTTGAACCCAGGAAGTGGACATTGCAGTGAGCTGAGATTGCACCACTGCACTCCAGCCTGGATGGAAAAGCAAGACTCTATCTCCAAAGAAAACAAAAAAAGTAAGATTACATATTTTTAATCATAAAAGAGCAGTTTAAAATATATATGTTTATATATAAATTTTTTAAAATTTCTTTAGTTTAGAATTCAGAGTTATTTAAGAAGTTAGTTGTAGCTAATTCTCAGTCTCAAACAGTATTGTCTGAAAAAATTCATTTACCTACTTATGATCCCTGAAATTCTACATATTTTTGTATTAATATAAATAAGAAATTAGATTAAGTTAATATGTTGCATTTTCTTCTATACATTGTTACAAATTGGACTTGTTATGCAAATGGATCTTCTATTTAATTTTTATAGTAAATGGTTTGCATTTAGTAAATAAATCTTAATTACAGTTGATTCTTGAATATTGTGGGGGTTAGGGACTCTGATCCCTGTGGAGTTGAAAATCTGAGTACAACTTCAACTCCTTCCAAATGTAACTACTAATAACCTACCATTGACTGGAAACTTTAGTGATAACATAAACAGTCAGTGAACACGTATTTGTATGTGTTGCATTATTACATACTATGCTTTTAGAATAAAGTAAGCTAGAGAAATGAAGCTGTTATAAAGAAAATCATAGAAAATAAAAAAATATACTTACTATCCATAAACGTAAGTGAATCCTCCCAAAGGTCTTCATCTTTTTCATCTTCAGGTTGATTAGGCTGAGGAGGAAGAAAATGGTTGGTTTTGCTGTCTCTGAGTTGCAGAAGCAGAAGAAAAATCTGCATATAAGTGGACCCTTGCAGTTCAAACTCTTGTTGTTCAAGAGTCAACTGCATTACATAGGAATTTGTGTCACTAAGAAAGTAACTGTCTTTAGAACTAGGAATTCGAAAATCCCTTTCTGATACCATAAACAAATGGCAATAAGAATCATAAAATGGAGCCAGTGTGCACCCATACAAATAGAAGATTATTTTTGAAGATACCTACTGAATGCAGAAGACAGAAAAGTAATTCCTTTCCAAGAAGCAGAAGTTATGTTACATATTCTTATACAAACAAGGTCTATTTTTAATTTATTCACCGTAAGTTGGAACTTCATGAGATATATTCACTTCTTAGAACAAGCTGTGTTTTTTTATGTGCTGGATAATTATCATAATAATAGTAATTTTATTGGAACAAAATAATCTGTTACCAGGCTGGGCGTGGTGGCTCATGTGTAATCCCAGCACATGGGAGGCCAAGGAAGGCATATCACTTGAGGTCAGGAGTTTGAGACCAGCCTGGCCAACATGGTGAAACCGTATCTCTACTAAAATTACAAAAATTAGCCAGGCATGGGAGTGGGCACCTGTATTCCCAACTACTCAGGAGGCTGAGGCAGGAGAATTGCTTGAACCTGGGAGGTGGAGATTGCAGTGAGCCGAGAATGCACCACTGCACTCCAGCCTGGGTGACAGAGCAAGATTCCATCTCAAAAAAAAAAAAAAAAAAGTTACTCTGTTACCATTAGGCAAGAGATAATCATAATAAATATTCCAATAGCCAAACTCTAGGCTCAAAAAATTATAATAAAATTATAAAAATGGTTCACAATAACAAAAATATAACACCTAATGCATTGTACAATCTGAACTATATAAAGACACCTTTAATTTAGTACATATTTATCAAACCACTTCTATAAGTTAGGTTTGGCAAATTGCAGGAGACAAAGATGGAATTGACATAGTTTTTGTCTTTAAGGTGCTCATAATAGAATATAGATAACTTTAATTTTTGTGTTTTTTCAACAGAATTTTTAAGAAAAATAATTCATTCAAATACTTGTCCATTTAAATAATAACTATCATGTATCTGTTATAGACTAAGCATTTTCCAATGTTTCAAAATGCATTTAAAAACTAGAGTTAGGAGATTGTTATTACCACTGTTATTTATTTTATTTACTACCTGAAATAGTGCTTACTGTGTGTCCAATGTCATCTGGGAGCTTATAGTTATTTATTACGTATGTATCATGTTCAGTATGTGCCAGGCACGTTTATGTTTGTGGTGATGAATGCAATCTTCTAAAATGTGGGTAGGATTTAGGGTAAGTGTGTAGAGTGAGTGGAACTTTGCCAGGTAAGGAGGCAGAGGGATGATGCTTGGCAGAAAGAGTATCTAACAAGCTTGCATGTTTGACAGAAGCAGAAGCCACGAAGAATGAAAGTTTTAAAACACAAGGAGCAAGTTCAAAAGATAGGACACCTGAGTGAACTTTGTAGAGTTTATGAGCAGTTCAAATTTACTAGTGCAAAAAAAAATATGGAGTGCTTGGTAATGAGGTGAAAATAGCTTATAGTTATTATTTATTATGTATTTATTATGTTTAGTATGTGTCAGTGAAGGCAAGCTTAGGAAAGACTTTGTTGTTGTTTTACCTGTGTCTAGAAACCAGTTCAATAAAAGACTTTTAATAGTATAGAAATGAGTAGATCTTATGCTGTAGGCCAGGGGAAACTTCTGAGGTAGAATGCTTTTGGCTACAAATACTAGAAGACCTAACAGTGGCCAAAACCATAAGAACCAGACTTGTTTTGGTTGTCCGGTGTTATTATTGGATCCCACTTGTTCCTCTTTCAGCTATGCTGTTGGCAGTGTCTTGTTGATGTCTCCCTTCATGGTTGGCTACTTAGCAACAGCTCCAAACATCATGTTCTCACAAGACAGTATCTAAAGGCTGGAAGGGATGCTTTTCTTCACGTGTCTTTTAAATTGGGAGAAAACTTGCAGGGGACTTTTTGTAATTTTTTTTTTTCCTTTGGGGATGTAGTCTCGCTCTATCACCAGTCTGGAGTCCAGTGGCATGATCTCAGATCACTGCAGCCTCCACCTCCCAGGTTCAAGCAATTCTCCTGCCTCAGCCTCCCGAAGAGCTGGGACAACAGGCACATGCAACCACACCCAGGTAATTTTTGTATTTTTAATAGTGATGGGGTTTCACCATGTTGGCCAGGATGGTCTCAGTCTCTTGACCTCTTGATCCGCCTGCCTCAGCCTCCCAAAGTACTGGGATTACAGACATGAGCCACCGTGCTCGGCCCTTTCTGTAATATTTTATTAGCTGGGTCACACCACATGCTCATTCCTAAACCAGGCACTGGGAAAGCAAATGTAGTTATGTGATTAGCTTAGAATAATCACTTATCTTTTGAAGCTGAGGAGGGAGAGGTATTGGGATAATAAATACCCAAACAGATTTGTGATTCTCCAGCAAGAAACAACAAGGAACTGCTCTTGGGTAGGGAGCCAGCAGTGTTTGCTCTAGAAATTCATTGGAAAAGTGTAAACAGGGGAGGCATTAGATTCAATTTGAGATATAGGGCATTCTGTTGAGGGTATAAAGCAGGGATTGGCAAGCTTTTTCTGTAAAGGGCCAAATAGGAAATATTTTAGGCCATGTGGTCTCTCTCTCTCTCTCTTTTTCAAGAAGGATTTAATGATTTAAGCAGCTGAAGGCCATGTGGTCTCTGTTGTAGCTACTCAACCCTGGCATTGTAGTGTGAAAGCAGTCATAGATAGCATGTCAGTGAATAGGCATGACTGTACTCTCATAAAACTTCATTGAGAAAAAACATATGGTAGGCAGGATTTGGCCTGTGGTCTGCAGTGTGCTGACCCATTATGTAGAGGGTAGACGGAGGATAGATGTCACCTGGGAGCATATAGTTATTATTTACTAGGTATTTATTATGTTCATTAGATGCCATTCACTTTTGAATTTGTGTTGATGAGTGCAAGCTTATAAAAAAAAATGGGTAGGATTTAGGGTAAGCACGCAGAGTAAGTGAAACTTTGCCAGGTAAGGAGGCAGAGGGATGATGTCTTCCAGAAGGAATATCTAAGAAGCTTGCATGTTTGACAGAAACAGCAGCTATGAAGCCTGCAAATTTGAAAAAAAGAAAAGAAGGTGCAAAAGGTAAGACACTTGAGTATCTCCACTCTTAACCATGTAAAGAGACTGGGAGACAAGGGAAGCTTCAGCCATAGTTAATGCTATAGTTTCCTTGTCACAAATCCATGGAGTACATGAGTCTATTACAAAGTTTTCACCCATCCATGATAAAATAAAATGATAGAGCTCCAGTTTATTCATTTGAAAATATTGGTGTTGCCGGGGATGGTGGCTCCTGCCTGTAATCTCGTCAGTGTTGGAGGCTGAGATAGAAGCATCCCTTGAGGCTTGGAGGTCCAGCAACCTGGGCAACATCACCAGACCCCGTGACTATTTTTTCAAAAACTGTAGCTGGATGTAGTGTTCTGCACCTGTGATCCCAGCTACTTGGGAGTCTGAAGCAGGAGAATTACTTGAGCCTAGAAGTTTGAACCTGTAGTTAGCTATGATAGCAACATTACACTGTAGCCTGGGTGGCAGAGTGAGACCCCATCTCTAAGAAAAATCAAGTCAAATAAGATAAGATACAATCAAATAAAATGTTGGTCTTTTTCTTGCAATTACGCTTTTCTAATTTGTTTTGCTTTTTTAAAAAATTTAAGAAATGACAGTAATAGTTGGTTTATATAAGGCTTTCAGAAACTGGCTTCATCTTCTGCAGCCCTTTCTCTGTCTGCCCCTTTTTCTGGCATTACTGCGCTGCTGGTGATGCCTCTGTCACCATCCTTCTCATGTAGATAAATACATATGCTCTGGGAGGCTTCTCTCCCTCTCTTGCCACTGCCTGGCATGTGTTATCATTGCTGCCCTCTGCCTGTTTTAGTCTGGTGAACCTCACTGTCTAAGTCTCAGCCCAGGCATGATCTCTAGAAAAGCCATCCCTGACAGCTTTTATTCTCATTCTTTAAACCCCAGTGCCTACCACTTAGCAGGAACTCAATAAATGTTTAGTAAAATAAAGACTGTTTATACAAAGATGATTGCTACAGTCTAGCAACAAAGGGGATAGACATGCAAAGACATGATGTGCAGCTCAGATGGTGAAGTGACACTAGAAAAATTCAAAAAGTACTAAGAGAGCCCCAAGGAAGGAGACACCTGTGTATGTGGAGAAAGATAGCCAGATTCAGGGAGGACTTCACATAGCATTTTGAGCCTTTTTTCCTTTTCTGTTTTTGGAAACAAGTTCTTACTCTGTCACCCAGGGTGGAGTGCAATGGCATAATCGAGACTCACTGCAAACTGAAACTCCTGGGCTTAAGGGATCCTCTTGCCTCAACCTCTTGGGTAGCTGGGACTACAGGTACACACCACCATGCTTGGCAAATTTTCTATAGAGTCAGGGTTTCACTATAGTCTCCAGGCTGGTCCTAAACTCCTGGCTTGAAGCAGTTATCCCACCTGGGCCTTCCAAAGTGCTGGGATTACAAGTGTGAGCTACTGTGCCCAGCCTGCATTCTGAGTCTTAAAACACAAAAATAAATTTGTCAGAATAGTAGAGGAAAATATTTCAGATATAAAAAACAGGGTGTACACTATAAAGATGTAACAGTAACAAAAATTTTGCAAATTATTAGTAAATAACAACTTACTTAGCATGTTAAAAAGATACTATTATGAAGTAGAGAATAGTAAAGTGTTACTTTATATGTTTTTACTGTATTTTTAAATTTTGTTTTGTTTCCAGCAGTTTCGTTTTTTTATATTGGGTGGAATAATTTTTGGATGACCCTGAGACTTTTGCATGGCTTGAACCTGCTGATATCTAGTGTCTCCCCAAGTGGTTTGTTAAAGTTTTAGATAATTAGAAGTGTTTCTTAAAAATGTAAATATTCCAGTAAACATTAAGCTTCATTTAAACTCTCAATTTATAAAAGTATATGTTGTTTTGTATCAATTTTTATAAAGATGATAGTCTTTATTTTAAGTCATTGATTTTAACTAAACATATGGATTTGTCAGCAGAACACGACTTAAAAGTGCCTTCAGAGGAAAAGCAAGAAAGGCTTGAAAGAAGTGAAAATAAACAGCCACGGGTATGTAACAATTTAAATTTCTGGTTTAATACTGGTTTGTTTGTTTTTCTTTAATAACATAGCATAGTCCAAATGAAGTGACCTTTTAGACTATCCTTTTAGAATCCAACAGAGCATAATTTCATATTGAATTTTAAAACATTTTAGCCTGTTTTAAAATTTAAAATATTCTTATAGTCTGTAGTAACTCACAGCTATCTGTACCCTTGGAATTGAGGCCAGAAATTTCCAGAACTCTCTTTGCTCTTTTATTTTTATAACCTTCTTCATGATAAAGAAGGTAACATCAAAAATGGAGTTGTATTACTAAGCAAGAGAAATTATGAACAATTGAACAGTGATGGCCACTGAGTTCACCTCATGTTAAAGGAGTCATCATTCCCAGTGGTTCAAACTTTGCAGTCTTATGTTGCTGGTCACCAGTGCTGAGGTTAAAGACTTCATCTGTTTTTTGGTTTCTGGTTGCCTTCGGTGTCTATGTTCAGGGAGAGGATGGGGTCATAAAAGCAACCCAACTGCCTACTGACAGAATTATGCCTTCCAGAATGGGACTTTGGTGTCAGGGTACAAACAATAACTTTCTTGTTTTAACATAAATAGAAAATGCTATTAAAATTTTTAACCCACTGTCACTAGTGGAGCTTAGAATATATTAGATGTGGATATACGCAGATAATCTATCTAGATAAGACTATCATATTACAGTATAACATTTGAAGTAGAATCTAAAAATTTTCTTCTCTTTCTGATTGGTATTCATTTTGGCTTCTAATAATTTAACATTTGCCTACTCTTTAGTTAATCCTCAGAAATATGAATTCACTGTAGGGGTTCACTAGTTAGGGTATGCTGAGGTAAAAATCTTTTCAAGAGAGAAAGCCTTTAGAATACTACATATCATCTGTGAACCCATTTCTGTCAGATTTAATTGATAATGAATTAAATTTACTCCAAACAGAGTTAAGCTTCCTGGTTCATGTTTTTCTCCTATATTAAGCCAAGGCAAATTACTTTTTACTTCTTAGTTATAATCCAGTAACTTGGGGTAGTAAAACATAGATTAAGTTTCACAGTTCAATTTTAATTATTTTCTATTTTTCTTTGTTCATACTTAATTTAGAATAAAATTAATTTTAAAACATGCACCCTGTCAGAAAAGACATCTGAGAAACAAAAGAAGCAAATTAATTTTCCACTTTTGCACCTGCAAAAAAATGCCTCAAGAACCAGAAATGAGTAAGAATTGTAATAAAGAAGATATATCTATATATTCGGGACTTCCTTTAAAATTCATTACAATGCCAGGTGCGGTGGCTCACACCTGTAATCCCAGCACTTTGGGAGGCTGAGGCGGGTGGATCACCTAAGGGCGGGAATTCAAGACCAGCCTGACCAATATGGAGAAACCCTGTCTCTACTAAAAATACAAAATTAGCCAGGTGTGGTGGTGCATGCCTGTAATCCCAGCTACTCAGGAGACTGAGGCAGGAGAATCGCTTGAACCTGGGAGGCAGAGGTTGTGTTGAGCCAAGATCATGCCATTGCACTCCAGCTGGGCAACAAGAGTGAAAGTCCATCTCAAAAAAAAAAAAAAATTCATTACAAAAAAGTTCAACTGAAGATTGGTGAAAGTTTTGAAAAATGCAGAATTACTGTTTGTCCTGAGGAAGAGCTCTTACATTGTAACTTTAAAGAGGGACAAACTTAAAGGGAGTGCCCCATAATCTGATGAATCCTATCCCTGATGGTGAGGAAGCAGATGCACCTGGAGTGTCTAACTCTGTGGTATTCCAGGCATTGCCTGAACAGAAGGAGCCCATCTCACTCAGGTCTTGTCATTGCATTTATACTCTGGGTCCCTCCAGCACACTTGCCAGTCATCTTCTAAGCTTTATTCAAATGAAAATAGATCAGACTGTAAAAATTATAACAAAGCAGACATGTAGCCTGTTTCTCACAGAGATGAAGAAGAAAGAGAATTGTAATGATATAGAAATTGAAAAATTAAGGAACCCAGTAGTTATGGCTGAAATGAAAAAAGACCAAGAGTTTGATATGCAAATACAAGAAAATATAACCCAAAATACCACAGATTGGAAATTAGTCATTAGACATTGGCCTCAGTCTGGAGATCCAAAAGTTCTTTTTGATTTGTGGTTTGCTCACTCCAAAGAATGGAGGCATGTGATACAAATAGAAAGCTACAGTATTTCTGCTGTTACAGACACTTAACAAAAACCGAAAACCAATACAGCGCTTCCACAAGCCACATGGAACTTAGAAGCTCTTCTAAAGCTTAGAAGGTGTTTGGCAAGTGTGTTTCAGGGACCCACATATGACAGTCCCACTGCTAATATCTATGAAAGCATGAAACCTGAATTAGAAAATGTGAGTTATTCTCCACCACATAGTGACAGAACATCAAAAGCATATGTAGAAGAAGACTTACAGCAAGATATGCAAAGGCTTAAGAATGAGATGGGCTTGTTACAAGTAGAGTTCCTGGCTTTGAAGAAAAAAAGTTCAACTATAAAAAGAAAGAGGTTCCCTTGCTGCTTCTCTTATTATAAGTTATCTGATTCGTTCTGGTTTTCTACTCAAGAAAATCTCATGTGCATAGTTACAGTGGGGTTATCTAAATGTGTAATTATGTGTCAAAGTAGATTAGTGCTGCTATCTAAATGACGGTTCTGGAAAACATTCTCATAATCTTTGATCATTCATTAACCTAAGTCTCACTGTGAGTCTTCCAGGTGGCATATGGGCTGGGAAAATTATTTAGCCATATACCATGTGACCTTCTGAACCAGATAAGCATAAGGGAAATTGCTAAAGAAATAATGTCTAGATTCTTTTTTCTAAATTCATTTAAAGATGAATTACATTTATTTAAATGATAAAATGGTAATACAATGGGAGGGAAGCAATGACTGAGAAGAGACATGAAAATGTATCTGACCTTGAGAGTTGCAACAAATATTCCCAACCAAAGAAGTCTGTTTAATGTGCATTCATGCATGCAAGTTTATCTGTTTGACTCAAACTGTTTAAACTTATACTTCCATCATGGCCACTTTAAATATTTTTGGAAACAAATATATATACATTCACATATTTAAGAAAATCACCACTCTCCAGTGTTTCTGTTGAATCAAGAGTTTTACATGATGTTGTTTAATAAAATATGGTAGGTTTTGGCATGTATGATTTTATCATATAAGTAGCATAACTCCTCAGCCAAAAATTTAGCATTTGACTCTATAGTAGAAGGCTGAGTTCTGTACATTTTGTTCTAAAGACAGACAAAAATCTAGAGATTCTCCTCTTTCAAAGTAAAAGCAGATGAGGCCCCACCACCACCCTCTGAGCCATTAAATTGCTTTGCCAAAGTCACACTTTTAATTTATTTGACAGATTTGATGTATTTATCTGGTAATTTATGTAATTCAGCAATATGTAATTGTATCTTCCCTTTTGGTGCCATGAAATACTAGGTAATGCCACCTTAGGAGCTTTGGATGAGTTACTTAATATTTCTTGGTTTTACTTCCATTATCAAGTAGATAATGGGGCTAGAGTGGACAACTCTACTGTATATCTTCCAGCTATAAACTTTTGTGGTAATTGAATGTAAACTTGAGGAACATCTCATTTTCCAGGATTCTGCACTAGCAACTCAGCTGTTTCACTCAGCTCCTTGTGTTGTGGCAAACTTTGGTTCCTCTATTTCAGTGAGCGCCTTCACTTTTTTGGTATCCCAGGATCCAAAGGAAAAAATAAGCTTAGTTCAGAAATGGGAAAGCTTCTTTTCTGTTTCTGAAGACCCACAAGGTCACATCCTCTCAATCTGGCTATTCCATGGAGAATCCAGGTGACAAAGGCAGAAGACACATTTTATGCCTGTGTCTTTTTGTTTCTCTGTTTTTGTGTTGATATATTTACACCATAGAAGTAACCGTGATCTGATGTAGAACTAGAAGTAGAGTCAGAAGCCCTGAGGAAAATCCTGCAGCTTGCTTATATATTTATTCTATTGTCAAATCACAATAGAATATGATCAGGGAAACAGAACTTTTAAAACTTTGAGAGATTTTATCTGTCCAAATAGATGTGGAGGTAAAGCTCTTACTATAGGGTGGTGTCTGGGTTAGGTATCAGAGTATAAATGCAATTTTCTTTTTCCAAGATTTTAATTTAGTCAAATTTTTTAACAACTTCATGCTTTGAGTTTGTTGTGATCCAGAGAAAGGCTTTTCCAATTCTGATATTCTTAAAAATTCTCTAGAGTGTGTGTGTGTCTGTGTGTGTGTATGTATTTTATGGATTCATTGACTTCAAATAAATTTTTGAACTTTTTGAAATGTATGTTCTCTAAGGTTTAAGGTTTTGCTTCAACTTTTTCTCCAGTTGGATATCCACTTACAGCAACTTTTAATTGCATGAATGTACAGGTTGTTCTTTCATTTCAGAAATAACCAACATATGTTGTTTTATTGAGTGCTAGCTAAACATTTCTTTTATTTAGGATTCTCAAAGTTATGGAAAAAAGAAGGATGTGATGTATGGAAATTATATGTTGAAGAGAGACATTGCCATGCTCAAACAGGAATTATACGCAATAAAAAATGACAGTCTCAGAAAGGAAAAAGAATATATTCATGAAATTAAAAGTATTACAGAAATAAATGCTAACTTTGAAAAGAGTGTAAGACTCAATGAAGAAATGATAACAAAAACAATTGCCCAGTATTCACAAGAGCTCAATGATCTGAAAGCTGAGAATTCAAGGCTGAATTCAAAATTGGAGAAGGAAAAACACAACAAAGAGAGACTAGAAGCTGAAGTCAAATCCCTCCATTCTAGCCTGGCAACTGCTATAAATGAGTACAATGAAATTTTGGAAAGAAAAGACCTAGAACTAGTTTTACAGAGAGCAGATGATGTTTATGGACAAGAAAAAATGGGTTCTGATATTTCTCAACTAACAGATAAGAATGAGTTGCTTACTAAACAACTTTCTAAAGCTCGGGTGAAGTTCAGTACCTTAAAAGCTAAGCTGCATGAGACAAGAGATGCTCTCAGGGAAAAGACATTGGCTTTAGAAAGTGTACAGATGGACCTAAAGCAAGCACAGCATCAAATAAAGGAAATGAAGCAGATGCATCCAAATGAGGAAGCTAAGGAGAGTCAATCCACTGGAACGCAGAACTCTTTAGAGGAGAGAATATGTCAACAAGAACTCGAAAATCTCTTGCTTGAACAACAACTAGAGGATGCTCATAAGGAAGGCCATAATGAAGAGATAGTCATTAATATCCAAGGAGGCTGTCTTGAGAATGGAAAGGAAGATCTTCTAGAAGAAAAAAGTATGGAATTAATGAATGAATATAATTATTTTAAAGAAAAACTTTCAGTATGAAAAAGAAGCAGCAGAAGGAGAAGGAAGTATGAAGAAAACTATTTATAACCTTCTGGAAAGAAAATTTAAACATTTCATTCTGGCTATATGTTGAACCTAGTTCAATATAAAAATAAATAGATGAAAATGTGTTTACCATACTTTGTAAGTCCATTTACATGAATCATCCAGGAAATACAGGTATAGGGACAGAAAGAAGATTAATGTTTGTATAGCCCTGGGGCTGGAAGTGGGTCATGACTGCTAATGGGCATGAGGGATTGTCCTGGAGTGATGAAAATGTTCTAAAGTTGAATTGTAGAGATGGTTGCACAACACAGTAAATTTACTAAAAATCTTTGAACTCTTTGTTAAAACAGATAAATTCTATAAATCATATTTCAACAAAGCTGTTTTAAGAAAAATCATATTTCAACGAAGCTGTTTTAATAAACCAAAAAAAGTGCTTACTGTATCAGCTTGGAAACATACTTTGTTTTCAGGAAATAAAAGGTGGAGCTGAGAGATGCTTTCCTTTGAGTAAAGACGTTATGTCACCTGTGAAATTTTAGTAGATACAGAGCATTGTTGATAAGGTATGTAGTCTTATACTACTGAAATAATAAAGGTAATGTCTTTATGTTGCCACATTTTAAGACCATAATGAAGCGGGTAAGTGGAAATGCTTGTACCTGAAATGTGTATTTTGAAATTAAGATTCAATTAAGTAAGCCGCTTTGACACTTAATTCTAGATTTCCCAGATGAACTGAAGTGTGTTGCGGTGTCTTGTGATGCTTTTCCTTCAGTGGCTCTCTCTTTTATGTATTTTAGTTGGTATAACTTTGTTTTGATTCATACCAATGTGACTTAAGTCTGAAAATATGTCAGTCTCACATTATGTATTTTTCTGACCACTTAGTATTTTAAAGACTTCTACTTGTTATAAAATCCAATTTGGAATAAATGTGGTAAATTTTAGCAAAAGATATTTGATGTAATGTTTCCACTGGTAGGTGTTTATAATTTACTGTGAATATTTTTATGAATAATTAGCTCATAATTTACATTTTAAGTCTCAATGAGTATCATTTGGATATAACTCTTTCCAGTACAAAGATACTTGTAGCTGTCTGTGATTTATGAGTTTGACATTGAATCCCCATTTTCAGACTAATGAGGGGTGGCAGAGTTCACGGAGAGTGGGATTGAAGTTTGTACAGGACAGAGTTGTAGGAGCTGAGGTCAGGGAGGGAGGTAGAGGCCATGTTACCTAGGGCCTTGAAGGCCGTTGGAATTTTAATTTTATTCTGAGATAGGAATCTGTTGGAAGGATTTCAACAGGTGACTGAATATGTGAGGACCTCAGGTTGAGTTGAGGGTCTAAGGTGAATGAATAGCGGGCTGAATCAATCTGTCATGTAAGAGAATACCAATTTGGCAGGAAGATAAAAACTTCTATGTCCCTCACTGAATTCAGTAATAAAGAAGAAAGTGTACATATAAGGGAAAGAAAGTGAATCTGTGTGTGTGGTAATAATTTTCAAAGTATGTATGCTAGAGTTAAATATGATTAACATAATTTAATAATAAGGTACTTTATAAAATTGGTAACAAAAATATTTTGTCAGGTGATTGTAAGACAACTTCAAGAAGAACTGGCTGATCACCTTAAAAAATTTTCAATGTCAGAGTCTCCACTGGAAGGTACATCATATTGTCATATTAATTTGGATGAGACACGGACTTCAAAGAAGAAATTATTTCAAGTAGAAAGTCAAGTATGTATGGAATTTAACATGTAGACAGTTAATCTGTAGCTGGTTGAATAATATAAAGTGTTTTAGGATACTAATTTCAGTGGACAGCTTGATTTTGTATTTTCATTATAATTGATCATTACCATTTTATTATCTTTATAACGTACTTACTTCTTCAACTCTGGCTCTTGTCCTGCCGTTTTGAAAAATAGTTGCATATGTTTTCTCTTACAATATCTACTCTTGGGAAAGTTGAGAATGATACATCATTCCTCACAGAAAATTGACTTTTTTCCTGTTAAACAGTATTTTTAGATAATTTCCTTAATGCCTTGGTGAGGCAAGCCAGATTAAGTCAGAAGAGAATGTTTAATGGAATATTCCAGAAAGTTGTCTTATTTCTTCACTTTTGTGAATGGACACAGAAGCTGTGCCTATTCATTTCATGGATTCTAGATTAACTTGTACAGAAAGGCCATCATACTGTTCTTTGAAATGCACACGTTTTAGGTTAATTTACAAACTACTTGAAAAGTTAGGCATTGCCTTCATCTTCTTTTCATTTAAAATATACTGTAATGGCATAGAAATACTCAGATCTAATAGAGTATGTACATCCAAAATAGAGAGCTCAGAAAATTATCTGGATCCTACCATGGGATTTTAAAAACAGTTTCACTGAGAGATAATTCACATGTCAGACAGTTCAACCATTTAAAATGTACAAATCAGTGTCTGTTAGTATATTCACAGTGTTGTGTGGTCATCAGCACAATCAATGCTAGAACATTTTCACCACTCTCAAAAGCAACCCCACATCTCTTAGCCATGACTGCAACCCCACTCCATGTCTCTCCACCTACTCCAGTTGTAGGCAACCACCATCCACTTTTGTCTCCATAGATTTGCATGATCTGCATATTTTATATACATAGAGTCATACAATATGAAGTCTTTCTGACTGGCTCTTTCACTTAGCAGAATGTTTACAGAATTTTATCCATGTTGTAGCACATAACAGTAGTTTATTCCGTCTTATTGTCAAGTAATAGTCTATTTCATGGCTACACCAGTTTTCCATTCATTCATCAGCTGATGGACCTTTAGGTTGTTTCCACTTTTTGGCTATTATGAAAACAGCTGTTGCAAACATTCATTTACAGGTTATTGTATGGACATATGTTTTTAATTCCCTGCTACTGGACTTTATCCTCAGAGTTAACTGGGCAGATGTCAGCACCAGTTTTACCCATGCTGTCCTTCCTGCCTTCTCAGTTCCTGCTCATCTAGCCTCATTCATTCAGACCTGGCAGGCAATTTCCTCTTCATGAAGCTTTCTCTGACTGTTCTCTCACTGACTTTACATCTAAGCACTTGTTTTCCAGTCTGCAGAACAACTTAGCTCTTAATTTGACATGGCTTTTAATTTTTAATGGAAGATAATTTTGTCTTAACATAAATTTGCTTAAAGGGAAAATAATATATGACATGCATGTCACCTATCCTTGTATAAATTGAAAATATTTTAGCTTGGCAGCTTTCAGCATAGAACAAAATATACCATACCAATTATTTCTTCTTTGAGACATTAACACAGTAAATCTTTTATTCTAAGTGTATTTTCAGCAATTAAATATGAAATTAAAAGCAATTAGTCTAATAGAGGAGAATTGTTCAATCAAATGCTCATGTTTTTCTCAGTATGAAAAAAGAATCTAAATTTGCCTCCCTTCACTATGTAGCCAAACTGTATTTCTGGATGGTTGCCAGTTTGTCAGCTGAACAGTTCTGGCTGCAGCTTGTCTGATGAAGGATAGCACAGCCCCTTAATCTGAGCGCTCAGCAGAGTACTCGTGAAGGCAGTGCCACAGCAACAGCTGCTGGGAGGGGATTCAGAAGCCTTGATTTAGCAATAGAGTCCAGGGTTTTCAGTTCCGTGGCTCAGCCCGTCTCTGCTGGTCATGTCCGTTATGTACTACTCAATCCAGGAGGTGCTGTTTACATTGTAGTACATACATGACTGTTGCCCACTGAGTCACACAGAGAGAAAAGTAAGCTATAAATTATATGCTCCCCATTTGCTGCCACTTTCAGTAGTGTGAAGAATGATTCAGTGCAGCTATAGGAGACCACCTCCATTGGAATGCCACCTGTCTAAACATACAATGGTCAAGATATAAAAAACAGTAAAAATTATCACGCTAATAGCAAATATTGTCTGTAGCTCACTATGTACATGTACTCTTCTAAGTGCTTCTAAGCAAATCTTATCTGTAGCTCACCATGCACCACGTACTCTTCTAAGTGCTTCATGTCAGTCCCTGGTTTAATCTTCCCAACATCCCAGTGAAGTAGATGGTATTATTCACTCCATTTCATAGATATAGAACCAGAGACACAGAAAATTAATTTGCTCAAGGTCACACAGCTAGATAGATCTGGGATTCAGACCCAGGCCTTCTGGCTTCTGTGTAGAACTGCCTCTCAAACCATTCCATGGAACACCTGGTTGGTGAGGTGGCTCATGCCAGTAATTCTAGCACTTGGGGAAGCTGAGGCAAGAACAGTGCTTGAGCCCAGGAATTTGAGACCAGCCAGAGCAATATAAGTGAGACCCTGACTCTACCAAAAAAAAAAAAAAAAACAGTTAGCTGAGGGATGGTGGTGCATGCCTGTAATCCCAGCTACATTGGAGGCTGTGGTAGGAGGGTCACTTGAGCTTGGAATATGAAGGCTGCAGTGAGCGGTGATCGAGCCACTGCACTCCAGCCTGGGTAACAGAGCGAGACACTGTCTCGTAAATAAAATGTTTTGTATAGATTCCCATAGAATTGAGTTAGACATCAGGCATAGAATTATTAGCCACTTTGATGTCTGCCTTGGGAGTAAAACATATAATAAGGGGCAGCTTTAAACCATTTCAATCAATAGCCTCTAACTTCTCCAGAGGTTCTTATTTTATGAATTCCTAAGCAGGAGACTACCTGGATTAAGACATTTGGTGGACACCATTCTGAGATGAAGAATCTCGATTAGGCGGAAGGGAGATCTCTACTTGACTGGAGCTTCCCAATGACATAGTTGAGTGTCCCCCAAAAGAAACTTTAGAACAAGATGTTTATCATGCCATATCTCTATGGAAAAGGAAATTCTTTAAAAGAAAACAAAGGCAAACAATTGATAATCTGTTTCTTATGGGAAAGTTTTCATTATAAAAGAAAAAAAGGGCTGGGCACCGTGGCTCACATCTGTAATCCCAACACTTTGGGAGGCTGAGGTGGGTGGATTTCCTGAGGTCAGAAGTACAAGAAGAGCCTGGCCAACATGGCGAAACCCTGTCTCTACTAAAAATACAAAAATTAGCTGGTGGTGTGCAACTGTAGCCCCAGCTACTTGGGAGGCTGAGGCAGGAGAATCACTTGAACCCAGGAGGTAGAAGTTGCAGTGAGCCGATGTGGCACCACTGCACTCTAGCCTGGATGACAGAGTGTGACTCCATCTCAAAAAAAGAAAAAGAAAAAGAAAAAATGGACAAAGTATACTGGTCCAAAAAAGAAGAAAGAAAGAGAGAGAGAGAGAGAAGAGAGACAGAGAGAAAGAGAAAGAAAGAAAGAAAGAAAAAGAAAGAAGGAAAAGAAAGAAAAAGGAAGGAAGGACGGACAAAGTATACTGGTGAATATCCTAAGGGTGAGACAGTCCCCTTCAAGATTAGAAAATAACACTGTACTCAAAGTAACATCCATAAGAATCAACATAAAATAGACAAGATTCACTATCTACAAAAGTAATCTGCACCAAGTAGCAATGTATGAGTGTGTGGTTGAGAATATTGCCTATAATATGTGTACTAGAGGGAAGAGGGCTCAGTAAAAAGGTCAGAGCTGGAAATTTATATTAGGGAATCCAGGTTAACGTTTTGAGATTTTAGCAGTTATGAGAGAATTTAAAAAGAGGAGTAGCAGCCGGACATGTTGGCTCACACCTGTAATTCCAGCACTTTGGGAGGCCGAGGAAGGCATATCATGAGGTAAGGAGTTCAATACCAGCCTGGCCAACATCGTGAAACACCATCTGTACTAAAAATACAAACAATTAGCTGGGCAAGGTGGTGGGCACCTGTAATCCCAGCTACTCGGGAGGCTGAGACAGGATAATTGCTTGAACCCAGGAGGTAGAGGTTGCAGTGAGTGGAGATCACACTGTTGCAGAATCAGGAGGACCAGAGAGAGACCTTGGGGTGTATACAGGAGGATGTCTTTATCGAGTGTACTCAGACCCAGCGGACTCAACATCTGACAAACTGGGCCCAGAACAAAGACAGCACTTGACTTTTATACACACTTCAAAAATGGGATGGGCTAGCTTGAAGCAGGCTTACAGTTACAGTGGTGTGAAAGCATGAATACAGAGGCAGAACAATTAATTAAATTGTGACAGGTTCATAATTTAGGATTACACATGACCTTTGCCAAGCAACCCAGATGTCTGTTATCTAGATTTTGCTCTAAAGAGCCTTGCACTGGTTTATCTCAAGTTTCAATATAAAAACACAATAAGTGATAAAAAATAGATCTCTGGATGAGACCCTGTGTCATAGAGTCCAATGGAAGGGGAGAAACAGGATAATAGAAAAGCCACAAAAAGTAGATAAAAGTTATTATTTATTATAGAAAAAATAAAATTTGTTTAAAGAGAAATGGTTAAGAGACAGGGAAAAACTGAAACCTACAGGTGAATACTTACAGAGAATGACAGTATTTAGCTCAGCCTGAAGACAGATGAGGATCAAAAATGTAATGGGAACTAGATAAGAGTTTTCTAAAAATCATCTTAGTAAGATGTAATTTAACTTGGAATATCTTAAACTATTAATGACAAAGTTTTTAGAGCATCTTTAAAAACTAAAATGTAAATATAAATATAACTACTCTTAATTTATCTTACTAACCCTTAGTATTTTATGTGTAAAAACTCTCATTTTTAACAAACATTTTTGGCAGTTTAAATTTCAGAAAAGATAATGATGAAAGTGTGAATATTTTTTAGCTGTTTTCAGAAAATGACTAGTTTTGAAATCTGTCGTTATTGGCATCAGGTTTATAAAATGCACTTCATACAACTGCCTAAATACATATTATTCATCAACTTATGAGAAATAATATTTTTAAGATAGAAGAGGGTCTCTAGATTTTACAAAAATAATTTTAAACACTTTTTTTTCAAGCCTGAAGAAAAACATGAAGAACTCGGAAAACTTTTTGAGTTAATATCATCACTGGACTGTAATGTAGATCAAATAAGAAAGAAAAATCATGAATTAGAAGAAGAGGCAACTGGGTATGGTTTTCATATTGTAGAACATTTTAACCATTTAGTAATTGATTTAACTCTAACTTTACTTGACTGAAACCTTGATACAAATTCATTTTATGTCTGCATTTTCATAATTAAACGAATTCTATTTTTAAATGTATTTCAGAAACTCACAACTTTATAGGCATGTGAGCGGGAGTCCATGACCCTTGGACTTTTTTGTTGGAATTATTTAAAAAATCAAATTTCAGTATAAAAACAAAATAAGTGATGAAAAATAGATCTCTGGATGAGACCATGTGTCATAGAGTCCGATGGAAGGGGAGAAACAGGGGGTTGGAGTCAGCTGAGCTGCTGGGGCGAGGTTGGGATGAAAAAATTTATATTAAAAATATGTGAAAAAAGAACACAGTCTGAAATTTTTTTGAAAGCCAAAACATTACACTTATTTTTATTTATTTATTTATTTATTTATCTTTTGAGACACAGTCTGGCTCTGTCACCCAGGCTGGAGAGCAATGACATGATCTCGGCTCACTGCAACCTCCACCTCCTGGGTTCAAGTGATTCACTTGCCTCAGACTCCTGAATAGCTGTGATAACAGGGGTGCACCACCCCGCCTGGCTAATTTTTGTATTTTTAGTAGAGATGGGGTTTCACTATGTTGGTCAGGCTGGTCTCGAACTCCTGACCTCATGATCCACCCTGCTTGGCCTCCCAAAGTTGGCATAAGCCACTGCACTTAGCAACATATTCTTTAATGGTTTTGAAAACAATAATGACAACGCTTTGACATGTAATGTCAAGTGCACTCTTCATTATCTAGTTTGAACTTTTATTTCTGAAGACATTTTTGCTATATTTGGTCATCTTTTCTTCCTTTTGTAATATTCTCTGCTGTATTCAAATTTTTTAAAGACCTATTTGTGTCCTTCTTTAACATCAAAATTTATCTTCATATATAGCTTGTATTTTGTTTCTGCTTCTTTGTTTTTCTTTTAGATATAAAACATATCATGGAAATTTACTCATTTTATGTGGGTACCTCCATTGTATACATGAAGTATACATCTTATTAAACTTCTGTTTTACAGAAATAAATTTTATATATAAAAAAAGTATAACCTAAAGAAAAAGAGTAAAATGAGCATTCATGTTTTGATCACAGATTTTTTTTTTAAAAAATGGAATGTGTCTTTGAAGCCCTGAACGCAGCTACTTTTCTATGTATTTACTGAGCACTTAAGTTGGTTTTCTGATTCTAATCAACATTTTTCTGTCATTGCCTTTCTCTACATGGTTTTGTATCTTTCATTTTATTGACATTATGTCAGTAAAGATCTCTAGATCTCTTCTTCAAAGTCTTTAAATCATCACATATCTCTCTCCACCTTTCCTTTTTTCTAAAACTGCCTGTTTTCTTTTTCTCCTCAATTCAGACATTAAAGATGTTTTCTTCTCTTTTTCTACATTGAATAATGTCCTTGTGCTTTTTGTGTGTACTTTTTTTTCTTCTTATAGACTGTGGTCAACGGATATCAAAATGTATTTTTGTGTCTTTCTCAAACATATATGTGTTTTACTTTTTTTTAATCTTGGTTACTCAACTCTTGGTTATGCCTTATATTTACTAATATGTTATTTTATCTTAGCATACCAAAATGGATATGAATAGTTTATAAAAAACTGTATGGTTAGGCCAGGTGTGGTGGCTCATGCCTGTAATCCCAGCAATTTGGGAGGCCAAGGCAGGTAGATGATTTGAGGTCAGGAGTTCAAAACCAGCCTGACCAACATGGTGAACCCCATCTCCACTAAAAATACAAAATTAGCCAGGCATGGTGGTCCATGCCTGTAATCCCAGCTACTTGGGAGGCTGAGACAGGAGAATCACTTGAACCCAGGAAGCAGAAGTTGCAGTGAGCCGTGATCACACCATCACACTTCAGCCTGAGCAACAAGAGTGAAATTCCATCTCAAAAAAAAAAAAAATAAAACTGTATGGCTATAATATCACTTTACCTGCCATATATGCCATAAAATTGTTCTTCATATTATTTATCTAAGATTATAATTTCATATAGAATGCTTTCAAACTATGTTCAGTTGAAACTGAGAGGATCATAGTTTATAGATTTGTTTCTTTGATATGCCATAACATAATATCTGTTTAAACAATTATTAAATATTTACTCTTAAAAATACTTGACTTACTAGTTCTTACATTTCTGCAGATGTAAGAAATGCCTAGAAACGACAATAAATATGTTAAATGTATTTGGAAATGAAGACTTCAGTTGCCATGGAGACTTAAATACAGATCAACTGAAAATGGATATTCTGTTTAAGAAGCTAAAACAGAAGGTAATTTAAAAAAATTATTATTTTATCTTAAGGTCTAGATTACATGTGCGAGAGGTGCAGGTTTGTTACATAGGTAAATGTGTGCCATGATGGTTTGCTGCACATATCAATCCATCACCTAGGTATTAAGCCCCATAGGCATTAGCTATTAATTTTGATGCTCTCCCTCCTGACCCCAACAAGCCCCAGTGTTTGTTGTTCCCCTCCCCAAGTCCTTGTGTTCTCATCATTCACCTCCCACTTATAAGTGAGAAGATGCAGTGTTTGGTTTTTTGTTCCTGCAGTAGTTTGCTGAGGATAACAGCTTCGAGTTCATCCATGTCCCTGCAAAAAGCATGATCTCATTCATTTGTATGGCTCCATAGTATTCCATGATGTATATACACCACATTTTTTTGTCCTGTCTATCATTGATGGACATCTGGGTTGATTCCATGTCTTTGCTATTGTGAATAATGCTGCAATGAACATACAAATACATTTATCTTTATAATACAATAATTCATATTTAAACATAAGGTAATTTTAAATCAGTTTGGGGATTACAATTATGTAATTTGGAGAAATATTAATGATGGATAAACCCAAATTCGGCCAAAATACATTTAAGGAGGTTGATTCTGAGCCAGTATGGTGACTGTGGCCCTGGATTACCCAATCTCAAGAGCTCTGGAGAATGTTTCATGAGACAGTCACATTACAGTTTGGTTTTGTACATTTCCAGCAGACAGAGTTGTAGGGAAAATCATAAATCAATATGAGGAAGGCATACATTGGCTCAGCCTAAAAGTGGGACATCAAAAAGAGGGGCTAACAAGTCATAGGTGGGTATTAAGGATTCTTTAGGTGACAATTGATAAAGAAAATCTGTTGTCTAAAACTGGAAATAGGTATAAAGGACGGCCTTAATTAAGATAAGGTCATTATGGAGGTTAAGGTTCTTATTATGTAGATGAAGCCTCCTAGCTGGCAGCCCTCAGAGAAAATAGATGGTAAATATATCTTTTCAGACTTTAAATGCATCAGGATCTTAGTTAATCTTCCCTAGATCTGGGAAGACCTAGAAGGGGAGAGATTGGGCTACATTAATGAAGACTTCTTACAGATGCAAATTCCCCCACAAAAGACAGCTTTGTACGGCCATTTGAATCTCTTGGCCCTGCAACAGCCATTTCAAAATATGTCAAAAACTATATATTTGGGGGTAAAATACTTTGATTTTTTTCAGCTCCTTCTCTCTGTGATGCTGTGCCAGAATCAGGTTAGAAAGTAAGCCACATTATAAGAGTTAATAAAACCCATCTGATGAGATTTGATTGAAGGGTGTGATTCCCAGACCCTTTAGATAGAAATTGGGACAAAAGAATACAAGGTCTTGCTCCTCAATATAAATCTCTCAGTACTTTCAGAAGTGAAAGATTATTCATTTAATTTTACAGACTTGATACTAATAAAAAGGATACTTTAAAATATATATATGTATATATTTTTCTATACAAAAGACATGCTGTTGATTCTCTTATGTTTTGAACCCTGGCCAGTGATCTGAAACCAAGCAGCCCATGTCTCCAGATCACTAGTACCAAATAAATTTCGGGGTGTAACAGGTTTATTGAGAAATAATTAACACACCATGCAATTCACTCCTTTAAAATATACAAGTCTTTGAATTTTAGTATTTTCAGAGAGTTATGTAATCATCATTACAATCAATTTTAGAATATTTTCATCACCCTAAAAACAAACCCCACATCATTTAGCTATCTTCACTAGTTTTCCCTTCCTCCCTCAGCCCTAGGGAACCACTCACCTTCTTTGTATAGATTTGCCTATAAGCCTCTGAAATAAAAAGCAAGTGGTCTACTGTGACTGGCTTATTTCACTTAACATAATTTTTCATGCTGCATCTGTGCTGTAGCAGGTATTGATGCAGGGCTTTTGCTCCTTAGTTCAGCTAAATCTGGGTTCTTCTCTCATGACCAGGAAAAATTAGCCATGTGGACACATTGAAGGGTGAAAAGGACAGAATTTATTAAGTGAAAGGGAAGCTCTCAGCAAAGAGAGGGGTCCTGCAAACAGATTTCCACCTCACAATTGAATACCAGGACCAGCACACATTAGCTGAAGAGGCCAGGCTCCTCCTCTGCATAAGGCATGAATTCTTGGTGGCTCCACCCCAGCTCCCCAGTGCATGTGGGCCTCCAGTCTGCTGCTGGCATGTCCAGGCAAGCCCCTGTGCAGGTTCCCTTATCTGCACCAGATGTTTTATCTGTGGTAGACACTTGTGTGCCTGGAGATTCTCTGGGGACCCTTCCATATCTGCCTAGGCATTTTGCTGTCTCCTGCTTCTATCAGTATCAGTACTTAATTTCTTCTTATTGCTGAGTAATATTCCATTGTATGGATGCATCAAACATTTTATGTAACCATTCATGAGGTGATGGACCTTTGGGTTCTTTCCAGTTTTTGATTCTTATTAATAATGCTGCTATAGGCCAGGTGTGGTGGCTCACACCTGTAATCCCAGCACTTTGGGAGGCCAAGGCAGGTGGATCACGAGGTCAGGAGTTCAAGAGCATCCTGGCCAACATGGTGAAACCCTGTCTCTACTAAAAATACAAAAATTAGCTGGGCATGGTGTTGCATGCCTGTAATCCCAGCTACTCAGGAGACTGAGGCAGTAGAATTGCCTGAACCTGGACCCAGGAGGCAGAGGTTGCTGTAAGCTGAGATCACGCCACTGCACTCCAGGCCTGGGCTACAGAACAAGACTCCGTCTCAAAAAAAAAATAATAATAATGCTGCTGTAAACATTTATGTATGAGTTTTTGTGCTTGCATATGTTTTTATTTTTCTGGAGTATATACTTATGACTGGAATTTCTGGGTCATATGGTAACTTCATGCTTAACCTTTCGAGGAGCTGCCAGTTTGTTTTCCAAAGTGGCTGCACCACTTTACATCCCCAGCAGCATTGGTTAAGGGCTTTAATCTCTTTACATTTTTCCTAACACTTATTTTCTTTTTTTATTGAACAAAGATTTCATCCTGTGGTGTGAAGTGATACCACAAGGTGGTTTTGATTTACATTTTCCTAATGACTAATTACATTAAGCATCTATTAATGTGCTTATTATCCATCTTTATATCTTCACAAAGATTTATACCAATGTTTTCTTCTGAGAGTTTTATAGTTTTAGCTGTTACATTTAACTGTTTTATTTTGAGTTAATTTTTAAATATGATATTAGGTGAGAGTCCAACTTTATAATTTTTTTTTGCACGTGGATACCCAGTTGTTCCAATATCATTTATTGAAAAGTCTATGCTTTTCCTATTCTGTTTTTTTGTTAACCTTGTATAAAATCAATTGACTGTAAATGTGCAGGTTTATTTTTAGATTATCAATTCTTAGTTTATGTCTATTCTTATACCAGGACCAAATCAAATTTAATGAGAAAATTTTTTCAATCATGTTGCCTATTACCAGTTATCTTATGTCATAATAAAAATTAAATGTAGTAGAATATCTTTAACTTCACCTTTTGTATCTCAAAGGAGTCTCTGGCCAGCTTATAACTTACTTACTCTAAGACATGATGGGAAGTCAGCCTTACAAGACACACTATTTCTTTTTTTCTCCATTCAAACCCTTAGTCTCTTATCCAGTGCCTCCCTCTATAGTTTCATTTTCAGTAAATTTTGGTCACAGAATCTGCTGACATAGTCTACTATTTGGTGCCTTATGTTTTACTAACTCATTATAATTCATAGAATCATCCATAGATGTTTACCATCCAAGAAGGAGAAGTTTAAGTCTGAGCTGCCAGCTTTCCTCAGTGGAAATCAAGTGAAGTCATCATCTTTCAGTTTGCAGATCCTCTTTCCACCTGGTAACTGGTTCTCTTGGGTAGCACTGTGGCTAATCCTTTTCTTGGTGCAGATCTTGCATTCTCAGAAACCACAGTTTCTGTATTGACCTCCTTTTACTGAAACAGAGATGCACAGCTCTGCTTTCTAGCTCAGTAGAGGATTCTTGGAACAAAAAGTTTAACTCATTCCAAGAAAAAGTTTTAGGAGTGCAGCACTTAAAAATCAGGTAATATTCAGGCAATTTATCAGAGACAAATAGTAGATTAGTATTTTGAATTTCAAAATTTCAGAGCCAAGTTGTGTGCTATAGAGAAGCATTGTGGTATAATATAGAGATGGGATGGTCTTAACGTCTCCATACAAACAAATGTGAAGTAAGGTAAAGGAGAAATTGCATTTGATGTCTTAACACTCAAAGTATGCTATGTTTATTTTACTTCTGTGAAGAGTAAAAGTCATTCCATAATTTTCTCCTTATTTCCTCATTGAGAAAAAAGGAAAATGAAAATCGAATACTAGATTGATTAATAAATACTCAAAGCTTCTTCTTTTAGAATTTTCATTAATTGAAATCAGGTAAATGTCTGATTTTGGTTATGTAACCAAGCATTTCCAGTTGTTTTTCAAATCATACGTCTTCTTGCTTCACAGTCTTATTTCCTAACTTGTGGGGAAATTGTAAGGAGACACCCTTGCCTTGTTATCAGAGTTCATAATTGAAGGGGGTTTTAGGAAAAGTTCCTCCTCAGCAGCTTACATCTCTCTCCTGGTTATCTGCTGCTTCTCAATAATGTTTCTCATCAATAAATTAATCTCAACATTTATTAGATCCTATTTTAAAGGAGACTCTTTTCTGCTACATAAGTTATGTTTCCTGTTGTCTCTTTTTTAAACTTATTTTTCTAACAATTACCCAGAGTTTTGTGGCTTAAAAGAAAAACATTTATATTGTTCATGAACCTGTGGTTTGGAAAAAGATTGGCCAGGACAGCTTGCCTCTGCTCCCCTAAGCTTCCCTAGGAAGTTGGAGAAATTGAATCATCTGAAGCTTTGCTCACCCATGTGTTTGATGGTTGATGCTGGCCATTGGCTGGAACCTTGGCTGGGGCAGGCAGCATGAACACTGACACTGGCACTCCCAGGCTGTCTTTGTGGACTGATCTCTCTCACAATCTGGGGGCTGGGTTCAAAGGGAAAGCAGTCTGAGATGAGATAGGGAAGCCACATGGTATCCCTTGTACTGCATTCTATTCATTTGGAGAAGGCCATCAGTAAGGATGACCCATATTCTATTCTTTTAATGGGATGAATATAGATTCTCTTTTGTTTTAATTGATATGTATATACATAATTATGGGCTATAGAGTGACATTTTGATACATTTATATGGTGCGTAATGATCAAGCTAACTAGCATGTTTACTACTTCTTACTACTTCAACCATTTTTCATTTCTTTGAATTGTGAATATTCAAAATCTTCTAGCTTTTTAAAAATATTCAATAAATCATAGTTAACCATATTCACCCTACAATGCCACAGAACATCAGAACTCATTCCTCTTATCTAACTGTAATTCTGTATCCATTAACCAGACTCCCTCCCTCTACTTCTATGAGCTTTTTTGTTGTTAAGAGACAGGGTCTTGCTAATGTAGTCTGGGCTCTGGGCAACTGTAGTCATCCAGACTAGAGGGTGATTTGATCATAGCTCACTGCAGCCTCAAACTCTTGGGCCCATGTGATCCTCTGACCTCACCCCTCCTGAGCAGCTAGGATTATGGGAGTGCACCATTGCACCTGTTTGATTTTTTACTTTGTAGAGATGTCTCTCTATGTTGCTCAGGCTGCTCTGGAACTTTTGGCTTCAAGTGATTCTCCTGCCTCGGTGTTTCAAAGTGCTAGGAAATTACAGGCATCAGCCATGTTGCCCAGCCCTCAATTTTTCTTTAGCTCCCACACATGAGTGCGAATGTACAGTATTTATCTTTCTGTGTCTGCACTTAATGTAATATCCTCCAGACTGATCCATGTGGCTACAAGTAAGAGGATTTCATTTTTTTATATGGTGAGTATTCCATTGTGTATGTGTACCACAATTTTTTTGTCCATTCATTTGTTGATGGACATGTAGGTTGATTTTATACATTAGCTGTTGTGAATAGTGCTACAATAAACATATGAGGACAAGTATCATTGTGATCTATTGTTTTCTTTTCTATCGCCTGAATACCCAGTTAGTGGGGTTGCTCCCTCGGCAGTTCCATTGTTCATTTTTTGAGAAAACCTCATGTTGTTTTCTATAGTAGCTGCACTAATTTACCTTCCCACCAACAGCATGTAAGAGTTCACTGTTCTCTGAAACCTCACCAGCACTTTTTTTTGTGTTTTCTATGACAGCCATTTATTGAAATGGAGCAAGATTATATCACATTGTAGGTTTGATTTGTATTTCCCTGATGATTAGTGATACTGAACATTTTTAAATGTATTTATTGGCCATTTGTATTTCTTTTTTTCTCTTAAAAAAAAGAGAAATATCTAATCAGATCTTTTGCCTAGTTTTGAACTCAGATTATTTTTGTTTACTGTCAGGGTATTTGAGTTCCTTGTGTATTTTGGATATTTGTCTTTTATTAGATGAATAGCTTGAAAATATTTTCTTCCATTCTACAGGTTTTCTCTTCACTCAGTTGTAGTACCATTTGTCTATCATTTGTTTTTTGCCTATGCTTCTGATGTCTTACCTATACAAATCTTTGTGCAGACTAATGTCCTGAAGCATTTTCCCTATGTTTACTTGTAATAGTTTGATAATTTTGGGCCTTACATTTCAGTCTTCAATCAATTCTGAGTTTATTTTGCTATATGGTGTTAGATAGGAAGCTAGTATCATTCCTCATATGGATAGTTTCCCAGTGTCATTCATTTGAAGAGGGTGTCCTTTCCCCAATGTATGTTCTTGGTACCTTATTCCAAAATAAGTTGGCTGTAAATATGTGGATTTATTTCTGGGTGCTGTATTCTATGGCCTTTACCCCAAGAATCATTACTTCTTAAAATGCAATTCAAATTAGCATGAAACCTGTGCGGTTTGGGGAAAGGCTTATGGTATCAGAATTCTTATTTACAGGATTCATTATTTTGTGTTTTTTTGAGATATGGTCTTTGTCTATCATCCAGGCAGAAGTGCTGTGATGTGGTCATAATTCACTGCAGCCCTGAACTCTGGGTACAAGCCATCCTTTTGCCTCAGTCTCCCAACTAGCTGGGTCTACAGGCCTGAGCCACCATGCCTGGCTAATTTAAAAAAAATTTTTTTTTGTAGAGATGGGGGTCTCACTATGTTGCTCTGGCTGATCTCAAATTCCTGACCTCCAGTGATCTTTCTGCCACTGCCTCCTAAAGTACTGGGATTACAAGCATGAGCTACCATGCCTAGTGTAGAGTATTATACTATTTTCAAAGTTTTATTCTGAGAGCCATTTATTGACTTTGGCCTAAATAACTCAATATGATATCTCTGAAAGTTTTTTTGACAAATTTTGGGGAATGATGATGAGGGAAGAGGGTTAGACACTTTTTACTAAGAGATAACTTAGTGCCATTTAAGGAGGAACAAAAATGAATTATTAGAAAAATAAAAGTAAAAGCAAGTGCAAAAGTTCCGTGGCAAAGATGATGACAGTAAAGCATATTTTTGTGACTCATGGTAGCTTTAACTTTGTTCTTAAAATTCTGAGTAATTTAAGGGTTCACATTTGAAGAATCTACTGCATTATAGATAACATTTTAATGCAAGTCAATGCATTTCAAAATTTGCTATTGGTTTTGTATTAGATTATTCTCAGCCTACTTCATTATCAAGCTCTATTATTTTATTAATGCAATTTGATGATCTTATGGCCGAGAAGGAAGCTGTATCTTCAAAATGTGTCAATTTGGCCAAAGACAATGAAGTTCTTCATCAGGAGTTATTATCTATGAGAAAAGTACAAGAGAAATGTGAAAAACTTGAGAAGGATAAAAAGATGTTGGAAGAAGAAGTATTAAATCTTAAGACACATATGGAAAAAGATATGGTAGAACTTGGTAAAGCACAAGAATATAAATCGGAGCTGGATGAAAGGGCAATGCAGGCAATAGAAAAATTAGAAGAAATCCATTTACAGGTTAGGTTTTAAAATCAGGTAAGTTTATCTGTAATGGGCTTTCATTTATTTCACTGCAAACTATATTTTGGATATGTATATATTGTGTTTCCTCTGCCTCTTTTACGGCAATTTCTTTGTAGAGTTCTAGAAAAAAAAGTGATGTTTTTTCCTTTTAAATATTTAAATTTCCATTATTATTATAACAAAATCAGTCTTTCAAAGTAATGATTCTCACTATAGAGTAAAAGGGGGGATTTGATAATTAAGATGAGTTGGCATAAGAGAAAACTGTGATTTAGAAATTATATGATACTTTTGAATTGGTCTTAAGCTACGTTGTTCATTGTTCACTTTTTAAAATTATAAGTGGATTCTATTACTTTTTATAGGACCAGATTACATTAATACTAACATAATTATGATTTCAAATTTTTATAAATCAGACTTAATTCTGAATTCAGTTATTAGTTTTGTTGATATTGCTGATAAATATTTTAAGCTTCAGCCTCTTTTTAACATATTCAAAATTGCTCTTCGAATCACTGATTCAAAATGAAAGGCAACAAACATATGGTAATTAACTTATAATTGTTTTAAAAGTGTATTTTCATTTTAGGAACAAGCAGAATATGAAAAACAATTAGAGCAGTTAAACAAGGATAATACGGCTTCACTAAAAAAGAAGGAACTCACAGTTAAAGATGTGGAATGTAAATTCTCCAAAATGAAAACTGCTTATGAAGAGGTTACAACTGAATTAGAAGAATATAAGGAAGCCTTTGCAGTAGCATTGAAAGCTAACAATTCCATCTCAGAAAAAATAATGAAGTAAGTCCAAACATATACTCATAGAAAATGAATTAAGCTCATTAATTTGTTTTGAAAGCATAATTTTTAGTGAGATGGCTTCAGGGGATCAGTAGGAAGTGAATGCTAATTTGATAATGTAATTTTGGAAAATAATGTTAGTAAATAATCCTACCTTTAAAATGTTCATCAAGGATAGTTTCTGTCTCTCTTCTCCTTTTTTGTTTTTATGTGGCTTTTTTCCCCTGAAAAGTCTCATGTAGTTAACCTGACCTGTTAGTTTTTTTCGCTAAGTATTTTTGAAGCTTTATGATTAACAAAGTGATCTTGTTATAAAATTACTTGTCAGAATTTCCCTAAATGGAAATATTAACGAGTTTAATTTATTTTTTGGTAGATCACAACCTAAACCCAAAGTGTCAAGTGATACTGCTACTCTGGGCACATCCTGGCACTCAGGCAGGGACTGTTTTTGATTGTGATCTTTAGGTGTTATCACTAGAGGGTGCCTCAAGAAAGACTATTTGCATAACATTTTCAAGATGTTACATAAAGGCATCCTTGTGAAATAGGGAATAATTATCACAGGAATGAAAAGAAGTGTAATCCACAAGGTGGTTCAAAAATAACACTTTGTTCAGCCTGAAGGGGTGTGTGGAAGGCAGAAAGAACAACCCCACCTCCAGTGCCTTGGTCACAGTGTTGAGGGCTAATTGCCTTCAGAGATGTTTTAGTTCTTTTTGATCACCAACCAGTCTAGTTCTACCCCAGGAGTTGTTGCTCTGAGTTATTCCTCAGTGCCAAATACTTAAGTGTTCTTAGATAATGGGTGAAATGTACAAGGGTGAAACATGAAACTGGTTTACTAAACACAAGTATTTCTAGATTATTTTTGTTCATTTTAGTTTTCTTAATCTACATTATTTAAGGAGTACAACATGATGCTTTGATATAATTATTTATAATGAAGTGGTTCTTATAGTCGAGCAAATTAACACAATCATTTTCCCACATAGTTACCCTTTAAATACAAATATTTCTAAAGGAATCTTTAGAATCTTACAAGTAGAGCTATTTTAGAAGGCAGCTAGGTTACCTACTGAGCCATACATCACTGATAGCCATTTCTCTTCCCTGTCTACTTTGAACTGCTTGTTCAGTAGAAATCAACTTAGAAACACATAGACTTATTTAGAATGATTTTAAAATTATAATTACTTACAAGAGGTATGCTCTCACACATATTAATGTGAAAACACTGTTTAGTGGGTAATTTGGTTTACTCTAAGGGCAACTTTTCAAAAAATGCAAGTCACTAAGAATCATTCAAGGAAAAATGAAATACTAAGCATTTGTCTTTGCTCTCTTTACAGATCAGATAAGAAAATAGCAGTGATCAGCACCAAGCTCCTTATGGAGAAAGAACGGATGATATTTTCTCAGCACTCTTCCTATGAGGCCAGACCCAGAGTTACCTTGTGTTGAAAATCTTAATAGTATAGGACTCAACAGAAAATATATTCCCAAAATGCCCCTAAGAATTCCTACTTCAAACCCACAGACTTCAAATAACTGCAAGAACTCCTTGACTGAGGTTAGTTATGTGACCGTTTCTCTTTTGGGTTTCATTTCTCTAATATAATTCTTGTTTTTAATTTGGTGAAATACTGAGTTGTTCTGTTGACTTATGCATGCTAACTAAAGATTATAACTGGCTTTGTTAACACAGAAAGGAAATGGGAACTTTACATTTTTTAACTCCCCAGAGCTCTCATTTTCAAGAGGCACCCATTGGCTAACTTTATTCAATAAATGTGGCTAAACTGACATATTTAAAATTTCTTTAAAAGCTGCATTTAAGTTAGCTTTTAGAAATTGCATGTTATTGCCAAATAACTGATGGTATACTTGGAGATGCTTTGTCTTACTCTACTTGATTGTAGTTTGTCTGTGGGTCATATCATTTTTTTTTTTTTTTTTGAGATGGAGTCTCGCTCTGTTGCCTAGGCTGGAGTGCAGTGGTGTGAACTTAGCTCATTGCAACCTCCGCCTCCCAGATTCAAGTGATTCTCCTGCCTCAACCTCCCAAGTAGCTGGGGCTACAGGTGCCAGCCACCACACCTGGCTAATTTTTGTATTTTTAGTAGAGATGGGATTTCACTGCATTGGCCAGGCTGGTCTTGAACTCCTGACCTTGTGATCCACCTACCTCAGCCTCCCAAAATGCTGGGATTACAGGGGTGAACCTCCGTGCCCAGCCCATACCACTTCTAAAGTTTCTTTGCACCATCTTAACTCTGTCCACCTATAATCACAAGTGAATGACTGGCAACCAAACACTTAACCACATATAGATATTTATTATTTAATAGAATCCAAAATAAGTGCATTTTATGAATTAAATAAACAAAACATTGAAAGGTTCATTTCCATTTTTCTGTTAAAAGCTTTGTGCTTGGCCAGGTGCAGTGGCTCACGCCTATAATCCCAGCAGTTTGGGAGGCAGAGGCAGGTGGATCACCTGAGGTCAGCAGTTTGAGACCAGCCTGGCCAACATGATGAAACCCCATCTCTACTAAAACTACAAAAATTAGCCAGGCGTGGTGACAGGCACGTGTAATCCCACATGCAGCAACCCCATTACTATACTAGGGGTATACCTAAAGGAAAATAAACCATTGTAACAAAAAGATGCATGCACATGTATGTTCATTGCAGCACTATTCACAATAGCAAAGACATGGAGTCAATCCAGGTGCACCCAAGGTAGATTGAAAATCCAAGGTAGATTGGAAAATTCCATATATACCATGGAGTACTATGCAGCCATGAAAAGAACAAAATCATGTCCTTTGCAGCAACATGGATACAACTGGAATCCACTATCCTAAGCAAACTAACGCAGAAACAGAAACCAAATATCTCGTTTTCACTCATATGTGGGAGCTACACATTAGGTGCACATTGACATAAACATGGGAGCAATAGACACCGGGAAATAAGAATGGGGAGGCACAGAGTGGGCCAGGGTTGAGAAACTGCTTCTTGGGTCCTATGCTCACTACCTGTGTGATGGGTTCAATTTTACTCCAAACCTCAGCATTCCTCAATATACTTTTGGAAGAAACTTACACAGGTACCACTTTAATTTAGAATACAAACTAGAAAAAAAGAAAACTTTACTATACAAATTTTTTTAATAAGTAAAGAATATAAATTTCTTTTTAAGAAAAAATTTATTGAAGTAAAAAAATGGATTAAACTTTTATAAAGAACAGAGTTTTGCTAAGAATTTCAAAGCAATGCATTCATTGCAAAATATGACTTTAATTGTTTAACCTTTTTTTTTTTCTTTTTTTTTTGAGATGGAGTTTTGCTCTCTCACTAGGCTGGAGTGCAGTGGCACGATCTCGGCTCACTGCAACCTCCACCTCCTGGGTTCAAGCCATTTTCCTGCCTCAGCCTCCCAAGTAGCTGAGACTAGAGGCACGCACCACCACGCCCAGCTAATTTTTGTATTTTTAGTAGAGATAGGGTTTCATCATGTTGGCCAGGATGGTCTCGATCTCTTGACCTCATGATCTGCCCACCTTTGCTTCCCAAAGTGCTGGGATTACAGGCATGAGGTGTCATGCCTGGCCATTGTTTAACCTTTGTACTAATAAAACACCACTTTTCTAAAATTATTTATATCTAATAGACCAATATTATCTATTTTTGTCAGATTACTCTAAACAGCATTACACAGAAACATCCTCTATTATCTCAACTTAAAATAAGTAGAAATTTTACTTTACTTATGTGATTATTTTTCTATTTAAGCAAACTTCATGTTATGTCTAGTCACTAAAAATACTAAAGGCCACATTTTGTAAGTGATATATTAATCTCATGATAATGTCTCTTGTTTAACTTAAACATTATCATGTTTTTTTACTTATTTTAGATGGAGCCGGACTGTGTAGAACAAATAATTACAGAAACAAAGAAAAGTATGTTGCCAAAATGTATTAATTAAATTTAGGTTTATTTTAGTAATAAAGTGTAAATAGCAAATGGCATTCCTTTTCATTGTTGGGTTAGTAGATACTATGGTATCTTTTTCTTACACATATCTAATGAAAGATGTGAAAACAAAAACTTTAACAGTGAAGAGTATACTTATGCACCATTAATTCATAGCTTAAAAAATTCCCAAGAAGTGTATCCATCTCTTTTTACTGTTCCATAGCTTAAAAAATTCCCAAGAAGTGTATCCATCTCTTTTTTACTGGCTCTACAATTTCTTCACTTTTGCCATCCTCATGGAACTGTCAGCTGGCACACTGAAACGATTCTCCAAAAACAAAGGCATCATCAGGTTCTCAGGATTTTGGTAGAGATTGAAGGCCAACAGGCCTCAGATTCATTTAGAAATACTTAGCTGAGCAATAACCCTTCATAAGCAGTCACTTGACAGGTGACATTTTAAATATCCTGTCATTTACTGTGTCATTGGCTTACATCTGTTCTCAGGAAAAGTTCCAAAAATTTCACCATGAAATAAAAACACCCATGTCAATGTAATTCTTGTCAGGTTACTCAGCCTTGTCTCTTGCCACTTACTGCACTCTGCCCTTTGCTCTAGCACCAAAGTGGACAGAGTAGAACTCCACAGGGCTCTTTGTTACCTCAGGCTCTTTGCTTTCGCCTCTTCCCTCTATCTGGCAAGATTTTCCTTGTCCTTCAGGCATCAACTTATCCATCCCCTCCACCAGAAAGCCCATGATATTGACACAAAAGTGGGATAGATGTCCCTTCTGTGTGTTCCAGTAGTGCCCTGCTGTATACCTGACATGGTATTTATGACTCTATATGGACATTACCTGCCTGTCTTTTAGGTTATAGCATATGACTATTGGGAGGTGGACCATGCCATCTTCATCTTGTAATTCCAGTGCTCGTTCTAGTACCTTAGCATGTGGCTGTTGAGTACATGAATGAAGAATGAAAAAGCTGTGATATTTAACCACAATTAGAATTAATGCCATGTGTAAATTATTTAATAGTAATTTTGTATTGTAATTGTACGTACATATTTCTCATTCTTATTAACTCTGATAACGTTCTCAACTCTTTAGATTTTAAACTTACACTTTGTTAACTGAAATGTTTTAGGTAAAGAACATAATTCTTTCTTTTTCTTTCCAGCTTTTGCTGTGTTGAACACTTGCTCCCATCTCCTTTCTTCTCTAGAATCCACTGGTAAGCCACATCTAATGAAGAGAATATTTAACCATAAAATCTTAAGGAAAAGCATGAATTAAAAGATCATAAAACTTTATTACTGGGCTATTTACATGAAATTTTAATTGTTTCTCATAAAATATAAAACATCACAATCTTTACTAAAGTAGAATATTTTCATATCATGTATGATGAATATTTATATGTTATTTTAAATGATGTTTTTTAGCCTCCTTAAGTTTTAAGTGGATCTTGCAAATGAACACCAGTATTATTGAGTTTGACCTACTCAAATTGCCTGAATGCCAGCTGTTTAAACAGCCAAACAACCAAGTCATCATTGATACTTTAGTAAAGGTCATCGAAGGCTTCTTTGCATTTTACAGTTTTTATTACTATATATAGTAGGAGACTTAAAGAGTATCTGCCAGGTTCGTCCATACTAATGTTACAATTTTCTTTTTGTAGTTCAACAGTATTTTTTGTGGAGATACTTTGAGGCTCTGTAAATATCTGGTTACTCCTCAAAACACACTAGATTTAGCATTTCATGGATGACTTGTGTTTGAACAAGTGTTACTGTGATGGTTGCCAGATGATTATTTTTCTTATTCTCTTCTTTGTTCTACATGGTGAAATAAAACCAATAAATAAAGGTGAAGGCAAAGCTCATGATTCTGGTGCTCCAATTCCCTGAGATTAGGCCAGTGGTAGACATTTCAAGCTGACTTTATGTCTTTTTGATTTGTCCCCGTTACTCTGTCAGCACTTTTTTAATTTCTGGCACAAGATGTTCTAAACTAATCTTGTGTTTTCTCTGCCCTAGCCCTAGAATGAGTAATTTTTCTTATAAGCAGAGTTGGAGCCACTGAGGAAGCACAGGAGAGCCCTCCCCAGCACGCGCTCACTAGTCCCCAACAGAAGAACCGCTGCCCCATCCACTGAGGTACCAAGAAACTAGCAAAGGGCCTTCTAGCTGTCTGGGGACAGTCCTCATGTGGTCCCTGGCTCAGCCTCAAGGGTTCTGGATTAGTTTCCCTGCAGCCTCTGTGCTGTGTCTCCAGATCAGGGCTCTGCGGGAAGGGCCCTGGGAGACCCAGCAGCACAGGGTGTCTCGTCTGCCAAATGTCCCTCCCTTCCTCCCACTCTGACACTCAGGAATAGGCTACATGGCATGTCTAGGCAGTGCCAGGCCACCTCACTGTCTCCTTTGAGATGGGCCCACACGGCCTTGGGGGGCGAGTGTGAAGCTGGGTACCTGGAGCCTGAGGCTGACTGTCCCTCCCTGTGTCTTGGAGGAGAGGCCTTACAGCCCAAGAAAACCCCCAGGGCCTGACCTCTGGGCACACATGCAGGAAGGAAGGGTCTGTGGGCTGATGGGGGCATTGTAATGAGACTTTGAACACAGCTGCTCAAGGGCCTCATCAGTGGACCATGGTCAGAGATGACCTAGCCATCAGGACCTGGTCAGTTGGGACCTGATCAGCAGGGACCTGGTTAGCGGTGGCCTCCTCAGTGAAGATCTCATGAGTGGGTACCTTGTGACCTAGTCATTGGAAGCCTAGTCAGTGGGGACCTGGTCAGTGGTGGCCGCCTTAGTGGGGCCTGATCGGTTGGAACATAAACAATAAAAAACTGGTCAGTGGGATCTATTCAGTATATTAGGGGTCTGGTCAGTGTGGGGCCTTAGACACTTGCAGCCTGGTCATTGAGGGTCTGGTCAGAGGGGGCTCGGTCAGCTGGGGATTGATCCATGGAGAATTGTTCAGTGGAGGTGAGGTGAGTGGCAACCTGGTAAATTGTGGTCTTGTCAGTGGGAACTCAGTCAGTGGGGACCAGGTCAGTGAGAAATTGGTCAGTGGGGTCTGGTCCATGAGGCCTACTAATGGGGGCCTGGTTAGGGAGACAATGGTCAGTGGAGACTTGATCAGTGGGACCTGGTCAATGGAGAAGTGCTCATTAGGGGCCTCATTGGGGGCACCTGGTCAGTAGGAACCTGGCCAGTTAGCCAATGTGTGACCTCAGGCACGGGGTTTGTCTGTGGAGCCTCCTTGCCTCCATCTGTAGGGAAGCTGAGTCAGGGCACCCTGGAGAGTTGCTGGAAAGAGAATGTGAGAAGATGTGTTGAATTCAGCACTGCTTGGCAGACCTCCAACTTTACACACGACCTGGGTTCCACCTAGAGAGGGTGCCAGCCCTCTCTGCTCTGCTCAGCGCCCCTCCTCTGTCTGCATCCCCAGGACCACCCTCGGTGGGGAGGGCAGAGATTGGGGAGCACCTATGGAGGCTCTAATCCTGGCCCTGGGCCCTAGTGGTGTTAGTGATGAGGACCTGGGTGCTCCTGTGAGTGGAGCAGCTAGGCCTGGCCAGAGAAGCAAGACAAACAAACACACCCATATGCACATACACACACACATACACAAACACAACGCATGCTCACATGTCAGTTCAGGGGATAGAGGACACTGACTCTTGGCCCTCTTGACCCAAGCAGGCTCCCGTTGTGGTGGGTTGTGTCACCCCACGATGTCACTCTTTCTGAGTCCCCATCGCCTCTGTGTTGTGGAGCACTTAGAGACACACAGCAGTCTCTGTGAGTGGCTCTGCGTTAAGGATTGTTTTCTAGGTGAAAGGCGCATCTCAACACTGATCAGACTCAGGTGAGTGGGACCTGCTCTCTTCTCTTCCTCCTGGCTTGGGAACAGTCGCTATCAGATGGTTGGTTTTGGCCTCTGCAGCTACTGAGGGTAATCCCTGAGCACTCACCGTGTGCCTTTTCTGTGCTGACAGTCATCTCATTCATCCTTGCAGCAATTCCATTCTGCATCTCCTCTGGACACTCCCAGGACCACCAGGACAACCCCATCACGGCCCTGTCACCAGGCCCAGTCTGGCTCCATGATAACCAAGACGCAGGTCCAGAGACAACCGCCCTGCACGGTGCCTGCATCTGACCCCCTTGGTGGGTAGTGACCAGCACAACATGGAAGAAGCCAGGGCAGCAGGCAGCCAGCTGCCCTGCAGCCCCAGATGGCACCTGGGCCTTGGGAAGTCATTCTTAAAGGGGAAGCTGGAAACTTTGATGTCCCCGGAGGAAAAGGTGAACGTGGCATCCGAACAACCCTGGCAGCCAGCAGCATCTTCTCATCCAACCTGTGGGACAGAGGCCCCCTGCTGGGGAACAAAGATCCATACTTAAAGGGTCCTGGCCCAGTCAAGCCTCATCCTGGGCCCTGGGACGGGAGGGGCACTATGGGCCCCCCAGCAGCAGTCAGGATTACCACCCAGGGGACTCAGCCTTCTGTGGCCCTGGCCAGAGTTAGAATTTGGCCCAACACAGGACAAGCTCACTCAGCAGCGTGTCAGTACCCAGGACCTGTGCATGCCAGGCAAGGCCAAGCTGGCTCAAAGAGCAACCAGCCACCTCTGCAAGGGTGTGCCTGGAGCAGATGGATCAGCCACCAACCTCACCCACTCAAGGAAGCAGGGGTGGCCAGGTTCCCACAGCCTGAGGGGCTGCCACCTGACGGCTGATGGAGTGGAGGCCTGAGGAAAAGCAGATGGCACTGGGGCCCTACCTCCAGGGCAGAATAACTGATTTACCCTGACTGGCAGTGAGTGAGGTTGGTGGCTGGTCCACCTGCACCTGGCACACCCTTGCAGAGGTGGCTGGTTGCTCTTTGAGCCAGCTTGGCCTTGCCTGGCATGCACAGGCCTCAGTGCAACAACTGTGCTGCAAATGGAGCCACATAGAGGAAATGAGCAGCAGGCTCAGGAGCAGGGTGTGCACTGCCTTTGGGGCTCCAGTCCATGCATCAGGGCTCCTACAGCACTGTGGGCTTCTTGGGTGCCAAGAGGCAGACCACAGGCCATCTTGAGAAGGACTCTATGTTCAAGTGCAGAAAGGGCCCAATCTGGTGGATGAACCACACGGCCAGCTTCTGGGTGCAGGCACAGTGCCACATCTTCCATCACTTCCTGATGTGCCACACCAGCACTGAAGAGACAGCCTGGAGACAGGGCAAGAGGAAGGCTAAGAAGGATGAGATGGTGAATTCCAGCTTCTTTCTGACCCTGAGCCCACCCCCAAGGTGGCCCTCAACCTTTAGGAGTGGGAGAACAAGATTGACGGCTTTGAGTGCTTTACCAAGAAGATAGACAACAGGGCACTCAGCTCAATTTCTCAGCCAATGAGTTGACATGCAAGCAGATGATGGTGATGGGCTTTAAGAAAGTGCATCAGAAGGTGGCCAGTTCTTCATCCTCAGCCAGGTCTTGCAGCTGGAGCAGGCCATCACTTCACCAGAGATGCCTTCAACACTGTCGGTGAGTTCTTTGCCAATCAGCCCAGCCAGGAATGGGACCCAGTCATGGACCTGTTAGTGCTGTCTCAGGGACACCAGGCCAACATCCCGGACATCATCCACATACACAAGGAAGCTCTAACCAAAGTCACGGAGAGTAGGCAACATGTGGCAGAAGGGAAGACAGAGGTGCAGAGGCTGATGATGTCGGAATCACAGGAACAGGATTTCTTTGGACACTGTGGCTGAAATTCACCACTTCCATCCAATTCAAGTGAGAAACATGGACTCACAGATGCAGCATTTCTTGCAACAAGAGATACTATTTTTTCAAAAAGTCACCCGGGAATTTATAGTGTTGAATGACTAGATACTTGATTGTGGACTGTTTCCAGTTCAAGGATACTTTCTACAGCAGAACAATAACACTAGCAAAGAGCTAGTGCCAGGTATTGGTGGTAGTACAAGGATGGTTTTGTTCTCAATTGAAACTCAGCTGAATATAGAATTGTGTAGGAAACAGTTAATATGGTGATAGAGTAGAAACAGTAGCAAACATGACCTAAACCATGCTATGAATTCCTACACTACCATTGTAACTTTTGGAAGAATGATACCACTTACTTTATTGCTTTTTGAAGTATGAATATTTTAGTGTATATGCTGTAGACCCCAAACCCTGTGAAGAGTCTCAAAGAAGCTGGCTGGGTAAAGCCTGCTATGGATGTCTTTATATTCAAAGATTGATGATGCAATTTGAATATGTGTCCCTACCAAATCTCATGTTGAATTATATTTCCTAACGTTGAAGGTGGATCCTGGTCTAAGGTGATTGAATCCTGAAGGCAAATTTCTCATGAATGGTTTAGCACCATCCCCTTGCTGCTGTCCTCACAATCATGAGTGACTTCTCATGAGACCTGGTCATTGAAAACTCTATGTCACCTCCCTACTCCGCATGTTTTCCTCTTGCCATGTGAGACAACTCACTCTTTCTTCACCTTGCAGGAAGATTGGAAGATTACTGAGGCCTCCTAGAAGCAGAAGCCCTGTGCTTCCTGTCCACCCTGCAGAACCATGAGCCGATTAAACCTCTTTTTCAAAATGAATCTTACAGAAAATGGCAAATGAGGACTGAAGCATTACTATAAAGATACCTGAAAATGTGGAAACAGCTTTGGAACTAGGTAATGGACAGAGGTTGGAAGAGTTTGGAGGGCTCAAAAGAAGACAGATAGATAAGAAAATGTTTGGACCATCTTAGAGACTGGTTACACGGTTGTGACAAAAAATCCTGACAGAAACAAGGACAGTGAAGGCCAGGTTGAGGAGGTCTCAGATGGAAATAAGAAGCTTTCTGGAAAATGTCTTCCTTTTGGATACGGAAAGCTTACACAATGCCTGTACCATCATTGTACCTTAGAAGCAGTGATCTTGCATTTTATTTCAGAGGCTTATAGGCAAAAGAGGCTATAGCCTTGACTCGGATGAGACTTTGGACTTTGTAACTTTGAGTTAATGCTGAAATGAGTTAAGACTCATGCTGGCAAGGCATGATTGTATTTTGCAATGTGAGAAGGACAAGAGATTCATGGGGTCAGGGACAGAATAATATGGTTTGTCTCTATATCCCTATCAAAACCTATGTGGAATTATACTCCCTAATGTTAGAGGTGGGGCCTAGGTGGAAAAAGATTTAGTCACAAAATGGTGCAGGTAGATCCTTCATGAATGATAAGGCACCATCACCTTGATGCTGTCCTCCTGAGAGTGAGTGAGTTTTCATGTGATCTGGTTGTTTAACAGTCTGTGGAACCTCTTTCCTCACTCTGTCTTCCTCCTACTCCTGCCATAGGAGACATCTCATTGTCACTTGGCCTTCTGGTGTAATTAGGAGGCTCCCTGACTTCTCCCAGAAACAAAAGACACTATGCTTCCTTCACAGCCTGCAGAACCCTGAGTCAATGAAACCTCTTTTATTCAGGATAATACAGAAAATTAGAACTGCAGAGAGGAGCTGTGAAATGTCTTCAAGGCCTTTTTCCCTTTGTCTTTGCTATTAGCACAGGGCTTCTTTATATGCAAATTTCTGAAGTCTTCTTGAATGTTCCCCCTTAAATCGGGTTTTGTGTTATTACTACATAGCCAACCTGCTATAGAGATACCTGAAAAAATAGAAGCAGGTTCAGAAGTGGGTAATGAACAAAGATTGGGAGGGTTTGGAGGGACTGGAAAATGACAAAAAGATGAGGGCCTGGTGGGAGTGATTTAATCGTGGATGGGAGGTGGATGGGGTGGAAGGAAAAAGAGGTGGGCAGGGTGGGGAGGAGAAGGCTGGCTGTAGGGTTGTGGAAGGGTGGGATGTAGTGGGAGTGGGGAGTCACCTGCTGCAGAGGCACAGCCTCATAGACAACCTCTACTAGGGCAGTGCACCTGTGGCTTTGCAAGTTTAGCCCCCGCGGCTGCTCTCATGGACTGGGCTAGTGTTGAGTGCCTGTAGCTTTTCCACAGTGAGGGTGCAAGCTGTTGGTCGGTCTATGAATCTGGCTCTGCCTCTGTAGCAGGCTTCTGCCTGGAAACAGTGGGAGGTGGAGGTGGGTGTTGGGAGGGCGGATCCTTCACCAGTGGTTAAGCACCATCTTCTTGATGCTGACCTTGTGATAGTGAGTTCTCATGAGATCTGGTTGTATAACAGGGTGTGGCACCTCTTTCCTCTCTCAGTCTTGCTCCTACTCCTGCCATATGAAGCATCTACTTGCCCCTTGGCCTTCTGGTATGATTGGGAGGCTTCCTGAGTCCTCCCAGAAGCAGAAGCCACTATGCTTCCTTTACAGCCTGCAGAACTGTGAGCCAATTACACCTCTTTTCTTTATGATTATACACAAAATTAGTGCTGTGAAGTGGAGCTATGAAATGCCTTCAGAGCCTTTTCCACATTATCTTGGAAACAAGCACTCAGCTTCTTTTCATAAAGATATCTGAAGCCTTTGTGAATTTTCCCCCTGAAAATGGACTTTTCTTCTTTTACCACATTACCAGGCTGTGACAAAGATATCTGAGAATGTAGAAGCAGGTTCAGAAGTGGGTAAAAGAGAGAGAGGTCGGGAGAGTTGGGAACCCTTAGAAGACAGCAAGATGAGGAAAAGTTTAGACCACTGAAAATAACTGTTAAATACTTGGGATCAGAAGTCTGACAGAAAGATGGACAGTGAAGGCCAGACTTAAAAGGTCTCAGATGAAAATGAGGAATGTCCTGTGAACAGGAGCCAAGGGTACATTTGATTGGCCTTAGCCCTGGAGATCTCTGAAACTGTGAACATGGGGGTGATGATTTAGGATGTATCTGGTGGAATGAACATCTAGGCAGCATAGCTCAAGAGGTGTCCTCTCTACATCCAACAGCCTGTGTTCTTATGTGTGACCTAAGAAATGACCTCAAGTTGCAACTTCTATTTAAATGAGAAGTGGAGCTCAAAAATTTGAAAAATTTGCAGCCTAGCCAAGTGGTCAAAAAGAAAAGCTGATTTTCAGGGGGGAAATTCAAGAACGCTTAGAGTGTTTGCATAAAAAAGAGCCCAGTGCAAATAGCCAAGACAATGGGGAAAAGGCCTTGAAGGCATTTCAGAGATCTTTTCAGCAGCCGTTGCTGTCACAGGCCCTAGGGATGAGGAGAGAATGGTTTCCTGGGCCAGCTCCATGGCCTGGCTGCTGTGTGCATCCTCAGGACACCGCTGCCTGCATCCCTGCAGCTCCAGCTCCAGCCATGGCTGAAAGATGCACAGGTACAGCTTGGGTCACTGCTCCAAGCCCTGATGGCTTCCACATAGTGTTAAGCCAGGAGGTGCACAGAGCAAGAGACTAGAGGCTTAGGAGCCTCCGTCTAGACTCCAGAGGATGTACAGAAAAGCCTGGGTGTCCAGGCAGAAGCCTTTCCAAGAGGCAGAGCCTCATGGGAAACCTTTACTAGGGCAGGAAAGAAGGGACATGTCAGGTTGAAGCCCTCACACAAGGAGGCACCATCCTTCAAACCCCAGATTCATAGACCCACCAACAGTTTGCACCCTCAGTGTGGGAAAGATACAGACACTCGACACCAGCCTCGTCCATGAGGGCAGCTGCGGGGACTTATCACTGCAAACCCACAGGTGGAGATCTGCCCAAAGCCTTGGGAGCCCAGCCCTCACACCCCTGTGCCGTGGATGTGGGACAAGGATTCCAAAAGGATGATTTTGGAGCTGTAGGATTGAATGACGGGCCTGCTGGGTTTTGGACATTCATGTATCCTGTGAGTCCCATCGGTGTTTTGTTTTTGTTTCTGGCAATTTTTCTTCTGTTGGCTGGGTATGCTTACCCATTGCCTGTACAATCATGTACCTTGGAAATAGTTAACTTGCTTTATAATTCAGAGGCTCATGGGCAGAAGGGACTGTATCCTTGTCTCAGATGAAACTTTGAGCTTTGCACATTTGAGTAAATGCTGGAATGAGTTAAGACTTGGGGGACTGTAGAGGAGGCATCATTGTATTTTGCAATGTGAGAAAGACATGAGATTTGTGGGGGCAGGGACAGAATAATATGATTTGGCTCTTTGTCCCACTGATGTGGAATTGTAATGGGAAATGTTAAAGGTGGGGGAGGGTGGAAGGTGATTTAATCATTGTGGAGAGTGGAGGTTGGAAGATGGGGTTGGTGGGGTGAATTGGGAATTATGGAGGGGGTAGGGGTGAAAGGCAGGGGTGGGGGCAGATCCTTCACAAATGGCTAAACACCATCTCCTTAATGTTGTCCTTCTGATAGTTCTCTTCATGATTTTGTAGCTGTGAGACTGAATGAATACTGCTCTGCTGGGTTTTGGATGTGCATTGGGCCTTTGGTCCCATTTGTGTTATTTTTCTGGGAAATTTCTTCCCTTTGGATTAAGAAAGCTTACCCAATACCTGTATCATCATTGTACCTTTAAAGAAAAGAACTCCGTTTTAACTTCAGGGACTCATAGGCAGAAGAGACTAGCCTTGTCTCGGATGAGACTTTGAACTTTTTATATTTGAGTTAATGCTGGAATGAGTTAAGGCTTTTGGAAACTTTTGAAAAGACATGATTGTATTTTACCCTGTGAGAAGGACATGAGATACAGAAAGGTCAAGTTTGGAATACTATGGTTTGGCTGTGTTTCCCTAGAAAAACTCATGTGGAAGTGTAATCCTGAATTTTGGAGGTGAAGCCTGGTGGGAGGTGATTTAACCATGGATGGGAGGAGGGCAGGGGTGTAAGGAGAAAGGGGTGGGGAGGGTGGGGAGGAGTAGACTGGCCATAGGGTGGTGGGAGGGTGGGAGTAGTAGGAAGGGGGAGTAGCCTGATTGAGAGGCAGAAGCTCATGGAAAACCTCTACTAGGACAGTGCACCTGTGGCTTTGCAGGGTTTAGCCCCAGTGCTGCTCTCATGGGCTGGGCTGTTGTTTAGTACCTGTAGCTTTTCCATACTGAGGGTGTGAGCTGTTGGTGGGTCTATGAATCTGGGGTCTGGAGGATGGTGGTATCCTGCATGGGGGCTCCAAGCCCACATTTTCCTTCTGCACTGCCCTAGTAGAGGTTTTCCAAGAGGCTCTGTCTCTGCCTCAGGCTTCTGCCTGGAAACAGCAGGGGGTAGAGGTGTGTTGGGGGGTGGATCCTTCACCAATGGTTAAGCACCTTCTTCTTGATGCTGACCTAGTGATAGTGAGTTCTCATGAGATCTGGTTGTACAACAGGGTGTGACACCTCTTTCCTCTCTCTGTCTTGCTCCTACTCCAGCCATATGCAACATTTTATTGCTTCTTGTCCTTCTGGTATAATTGAGAGGCTTCCTGAGTCCTCCCAGAAGCAGAAGTTACTATGCTTTCTTTACAGCCTACTACAGAACCATGAGCCAATTAAACCCCTTTTTGTTATGATCATACAGAAAATTAGTACTGCGAAGTGAAGCTATGAAATGCCTTCAATGACTTTTCCCCATCATATTGGCTATTAATACTGGTCTTCTTTTTAATGCAAATATATGAAGGCTTCTTGAAGTTTGCCCCAGAAAATAGACTTTTTTTTTCTTTCTACATTGCCAGGCTGTGATGAAGATAGGTGAAAATGTAAAAGCAGGTTCACAAGTGGCTAACAGCCAGAGGTCGGAGAGTTTGGAGGACTTGGAAGAAGACAGGAAGATGAAGGAAAGTTTGGACCATTGTAGAGACTTGTTAAATAGTTGTAATTAAAATGCTGACAGAAGGAGGAACAAAGGCCAGGCTTATGAGGTCTCAGATGAAAATGAGGAACTTACTGGGAACAGGAGCCAAAGTTACTTTTGTTTTGCTGTAACAAAGAACATGGGTGAGGGTGACCTTGCCCTTGAGATCTGTGAAACTTTAAACTTGAGGTTGATGATTCAGGGTGTATCTGGTGGAATGAACATCTAGGCAGCAAATCTCAAGATGTGTCCTGTCTGTGTCAAACAGCCTGTGCCCTTATGTGTGACCAAGGAAATGACCTCAAGTTGTAACTTATATTTAAATGACAAGCAGAGCTCAAAAGTTTGGAACATTTGCAGCCTGGCCAAGTGGTCAAAACAAAAGCTGATTTTCAGAGGGAAAATTCATGATGGCTTCAAAAATTTGCATAAAATGAAGGCCAGTGCTAATAGCTGAGGCAATGGGGGAGAAAGCCTTGGAGGCATTTCAGAGATGTTTGCAGCAGCCCTTGCTGTCACAGGCCCTGGGACCTAGGAGAAAAGAGTGGTTTCCTGGGCCAGCCCCATGGCCCTGCTGCTGTGTGCAGCCTCAGGATACAGCTGCCTGCATCCCTGCAGCTCCAGCTCCTGCACCAGCCTTGTCTCAAAGATGCACAGGTACAGCTTGGGACACCACTTCAGAAGGTGCAACCTATAAGCCTTGGTGGCTTCCACATAGTGTTAAGCCAGTGGGTGCACAGACCACTAGTTCAGAGGCTTGAGATCCTCCATATATATTTTGGAAGATGTGTGAAAGTGCCTGGGTGTCCAGACAGAAGGCTGCCAAAAAGCCAGAGCCTCATGGGAAACCTCTACTAGGGCAGTGCAGAAGGAAAATATGGGGTTGGAACCCCCACACTGGAGGCCACCATCATGCAGACCCCAGATTCATAGACCCACCAAGAGCTTTGTACCCTCCATGGGTAAAAACTACAGGCACTCAACACCAGCACAGCCCATGAAGGCAGCTGCATGGGCTGAACACTGCAAAGCCACAGGTGCAGAGCTGCCCAAGGCCTTTGGAGCCCAGCCCTCACACCCTTGTGCCCTGGATGTGGGACAAGGATAAAAAAGGGGTGACTTTGGAGCTGTGGGTTTGAATAACTGGCCTGCTGGGTTTTGGACTTTTCATGGAGCTTGTAAGTCCTATTTGTGTTTTGTTCTCTCAGGCAAAAATATTCCTTTTGGCTAGGAATTCTTAATGCCTGAACAATCATTGTACCTTGGAAGTAGTTAACTTGTTTGTATTTCAGAGGCTCAGGGGCAGAAGAGACTGCCTCATCTCAGATGAGACTTTGGGCTTCAGACATTTGAGTAAATGCTGGAATGAGTTAAGACCTTGTGGCACTGTAGGTAAGGCATCATTGTATTTTACAAAGTGAGAAGTACATGAGACTGGGGGAGGCAGGGACAGAATAAGATTTGGCTGTGTGTCCCTAAAGAAACTCATGTGGAATTGTAATTGGAAATGTTAAAACTGGGACAGGTGGAAGGTGATTTAATCATGGAGAGCAGTGGGTGTTGGAAGGTGGGGATTGGGGAGGATGGGGGGATTTTGGTGGGGGTGAGGGGTGAAAATGGCTGTTGGGGGAGGATCCCTCCCAAATGGTTAAACACCGTCTCCTTAATGCTTTCCTCATGATGGTGAGTTCTCGTGATGATTCTGGAGCTGTAAGATTAAATGGATACTGTCCTGCTTGGTTTTGGACTTACACTGGGCCTGTGACCCCACTTGTGTTACTTTCCTGACAAATCTCTTCCTTTTGGATTGAGAAAACTTACCCGATGCCTGTACCATCATTGTACCTTGAAAAAAAGAACTCCCTTTTAAATTCAGGGACTCATAGGCAAAAGGGACTGTAGACTTTTCTCAGATGAGATGTTGAACCTTTTACATTTGTGTTAATGCTGGAATGAGTTAAGGCTTTTGGAAGCTTTTGAAAAGGCAAGATTGTATTTTACTCGGTGAGATGGATATGATATTTGGGGGATCAGGGTTGGAATAATATGGTTTGGCTGTGTGTCTCTACCAAAACACATGGGAAATTGTAATTCTGAATGTTGCAGGTGTGGCCTGGTGGGAGGTGATTTATTCCTGTACTTGAGAGGGGTGGAGTTGGAAGTAAAAAGAAGTGGGTAAGTTCGGAGCAGTAGGTTGACTGTAGGGTGGTGTGAGGGTGGTGGGTAGTAGGAAGGGGGAGTAGCATGCTACAGAGGCAGAGGCTCATGGAAAACCTGCACTAGGGCAGTGCACCTGTGGCTTTGCAGGCTTTAGCTCCCATGGCTGCTCTCATGGGCTGGGCCGGTGTTGATTGCCTGTAGATTTTCCCTACTGAGGGTGGGAGCTTTTGGTGGGTCTATGACTCTGGGGTCTGGAGGATGGTGTTATCTTGCGTGGGGGCTCCAAGCCCATATTTTCCTTCTGCACTGCCCTAGTAGAGGTTTTCCAAGAGGATCTGCCTCTGCCTCAGGCTTCTGCATGGAAACGGGGGGGTGGATGTGGGGTATTGGGTGGATCCTTCACCAATGGTTAAGCACCATCTTCTTGATGTTGATCTCCTGATACCGAGTTCTCGTGAGATCTGGTTGTATAACAGGATGTAGCACCTCTTTCCTCTCTCTGTCTTGCTTCTACTCCTGAAATATGAAACATTTCATTGCCACTTGGCCTTCTGATATAAATGGGAGGCTTCCGGAGTCCTCCTAAAAGCAGAAGCCACTGTGCTTTCCTTACAGCCTCCAGAACTGTAAGTCAATTCAACCTCTATTATTTATGTACATGAAGAAAGTCAATGCTGTGAAGTGAAGCTATGAAATGCCTTCAAGGCCTTTTCCCCAATCTTTTGGCTGTTAGCACTGGGCTTCTTTTATGCTAATATCTGAAGCCTTCTTGAAGTTTTCCCCTGATAATGGACTTTTCTTCTTTTACCACATTGCCAGGCTGTGACAAAGATAGCTGAAAATGTAGAAGCAGGTTCAGAATTCGGTAATGGCCAGAGGTTAGAGTGTTTGGAGAGCTTGGAAGAAGACAGGAAGATGAGGGAAAGTTTGGACCATTGTAATTACTTGTTAGTTGTGATTAAAAAGCTGACAGAAGGATAGACAGTGAAGGCCAGGCTTAGAAGGTCTCAGATGAAAATGAGGAGTTTACTGGAAACAGGAGCCAAGGTTACATTTGTTTTGCCTTAGCAAAGAATGTCGCTGCATGATGCCCCTAACCTGGAGATCTGTGAAACTTTGAACTTGAGGGTGATGGTTTCGGGTGTATCTGGCAGAATGAACTTTTGGCAGCAAAGCTCAAGAGGTGTCCTGTCTGTGTCCTGGTCTTCTGTGTGACCAAATAAATGACCTCAATTAGAAACTTATATTTAAATTAGAAGCAGAGCTTAAAAGTTTAAAAAATTGCAGCCTGGCCAAATGGTCAAAAAGAATAGCTGATTGTCAGTGGGAAAATTCAAGACAGCTTCAGAAACTTGCATAAAATGGAGCCCAGTGCTAATAGCCAAGACAATGGGGAAAAGGCCTTGAATGCATTTCAGAGACCTTTGCAGCAGCCCTTGCTGTACAGGCCCTGAAGCCTAGGACAGAAGAATGGTTTTCTGGGACAGAATGGTTTCCTGGCCCAGCCCAATGGTCCCCTGCAGTGTGCAGCCTCAGGACACTGCTGCCTACATCCCTGTAGCTCCTGCTCCAGCCATGGCTGAAAGATGCACAGGTACAGCTTGGGTCACTGCTTCAGGGTTGCAAGCTCCAAGCGTTTGTGGCTTCCACATAGTGTTAAGCCAGCAGGTGCACAGAGCACAAGACTAGAAACGTAGAAGTCTTCATCTAGACTCCAGAGTATGTATGGAAAATCCTGGGTTTCCAGGCAGAAGCTTTTCCAACAGGCAGAGCCTCATGGTAAACCTCTACAAGGACAGTACACAAGGAACATATAGGGTGGGAAGCCCCCACACCGGGAGGCACCATTCTCCAGACCCCAGATTCATAGACCCACCAACAGCTTGCACCCTTAGTGTTGAAAAGCTACTGGCACTCAACAGCAGCCCAGCCCATGAGGGCAGCTTTGGGGAAAGACCTTGCCATACCACAAGTGCTGAGCTGCCCAAGGCTTTGGGAGACCAGCCATCAAACCACCCTCTGCTCTGGATGTAGGATGTAGATTCAAAAAGTATGATTTAGAGCTGTATGATGGAATGACTGGCCTGCTGGATTTTTGACTTGCATGGGGTCTGTAAGTCCTATCTGTGTTTTGTGCTTCTTTCTTTGGCAAATTTCTTCCTTTTTGCTGGGAATGTTTACCCAATGCCTGCACAAACATTGTACCTTGAAAGTAGTTAACTCGCTTTGTATTTCAGAGGCTTAGGGGCAGAAGGGACTGCAGCCTTGTCTCAGATGAGACTTTGGGCTTTGGACATTTGAGTAAATGCTGGAATGAGTTAAGGCTTTGGGGGACTGTAGAGAAGGCATAATTGTATTTTGCAAAGTGAGAGTAACATGAGATTTGGAAGGCCAGGGGCAGAACAATATGATTTGGCTCTGTGTCCCAACCAGAACTCATGTAGAATTGTGATGGGGAATGTTAAAAGTGGTGCTTGTTAGAAGGTGATTTAATCATGGTGGACAGTTGAGATTGGAAGTGAGGGTGTGGTGAGTTTGGGGGGTTTAGGCTGGGGGTGGGGGTGAAAGATGGGGCTGGGGGGCAGATCTTTCACAAATGGTTAAACAGTATGTCCTTAATGCTGTCTATGTGAAAGTGAGTTCTCATGATGAATGCATACATACTCTCCAGGTTTTTGGGCTTTCATTGGACCTGTGTCCCAATTGTGTTATTTTTCTGGAAAATTTCTTCCCATTGGACTGAGAAACCTTACCCAATGCCTGTACCATCATTGTATCTTGAAAGAGAAGCACTCCCTTTTACATTCAGGGACTCTTAGGCAGAAGGGACTGCAGCCTCGTGTTGGATGAGACTTTAATCTTTTTACATTGAGTTACTGCTGGAATGAGTTAAGACTTTTGGAAACTTTTGAAAAGGCTTGTTTGTATTTTATTCTGTGAGAAGGACGTGAGATTCAGGGATTTTATGGTCAGAGTAATATGGTTTGGCAGTGTTTCCCTACAAAGATCATGGGAAATTGTATTCCCAAATGTTGGAGGTGGGGCCTGGTGGGAGGTGATTGAATCATGGATGGGAGGGAGTTGGGGGTAGAAGAAAAAAGGAGGGGGTAGGGTGGGGAGGAGTAGGTTGGCAGTAAAGTGGTGAGAGGCTGGTGGGTAGTAGGATGTGGGAGTAGCCTCCTGCAGAGGCAGAGCCTCATGGAAAACCTCTACTAAGGCAGTGCACCTGTGGCTTTCAGTGTTTAGTCCCATGGCGGCTCTCATGGGTTGGGCTGGCCTTGAGTGCCTGTAGCTTTTCCATACTGAGGGTGCAAGCTGTTGGTGGGTCTATGAATCTGGGGTCTGGAGGATGGTAACCTCCTGTGTGGGAACTCCAAGCCCATATTTTCCTTCTGCACTGCCCTAGTAGAGGTTTTCCAAGAGGCTCTGGCTCTGCAACAGGCTTCTACATGGAAACAGTAGTGGGGTGGGGGTGTTGGGGGGGGCCAGATCTTTCACCAATGATTAAGCATCATCTTCTTGATGCTGATTTTGTCATAGTGAGTTGTCGTGAGATCTGGTTGTATAACAGGGTGTCACACCTCTTTCCTCTCTCTGTCTTGCTCCTACTTCTGCCATATGAAACATCCCATTGCCGCTTGGTCTTCTGGTATGATTGGGAGGCTTCCTGATTCCTCCCAGAAGCAGAGGCCTCTATGATTCCTTTAAAGCCTGCAGAACCATGAGCCAGTTCAACCTCTTTTCTTTATGATCTTACAGAAAATTAGTGCTCGGAAGTGGAGCTATGAAATGCCTTCAAGGCCTTTTTGTCTTATTGTCTTGGCAATCAGCACTCAGCTTCTCTTCATGCAGATATCGGATCCCTTTGTGAATTTTTCCCTTGAAAATGGACATTTCTTCTTTTTACCACATTGATAGGCTGCAACAAGGATGGATGAAAATGTAAAAGCAGGTTCAGAAGAGGGTAACAGCCAGAGGTTGGAAAGTTTGGAGGCCTTGGAAGAAGTCAGGAAGATGAAGGTAAGTTTTGACCATTGTAGAGACTTGTTAAATAGTTATAATTAAAAGGGCGACAGAAGGATGGACAGTGAAGGCCAGGCTTACAAGATCTCAGATGAAAATGAGGAATTTACTGAAAACAGGAGCCAAGGTTACTTTGGTTTTGCCTTAGCAAAGAATATCACTGCATGATGCCCTTAACCTGGAGACCTATGAAACTTTGAACTTGAGGGTGATGATTTAGGGTGTATCTAAATCATAGGGTGTATCTAAATCACAGACATGAACTTTTGGCAGCAAAGCTCAAGAGGTATCCTGTCTGTGTCCAAAAGCCTGTGGTCTTCGGTGTGACCAAATAAATGACCTCAAGTAGAAACTTAAATTTAAATGAGAAGCAGAGCTTAAAAGTTTGGAAAATTTGCAGCCTGGCCAAGTGGTCAAAAAGAAAAGCTGATTTTCGGTGGGAAAATCCAAGACAGCTTCAGAAATTTGTATAAAATGGAGTCCAGTGCTAATAGCCAAGACAATGGGAAACAGGCCTTGAAGGCATTTCAGAGACCTTTGCAGCAGCCCTTGCTATCACAGGCCCTAAGGCCTGAGAGAGAAGAATGTTTTCCTGGGCCAGCTGCAAGGTCCCACTGCTGTGCTCTGCCACAGCACACAGCTACCTGCATCCCTGCAGCTCCAGCTCCAGCCATGGCTGAAAGATGCACAGGTATGGCTTGAGTCACTGCTTCAGGGGTACAAGATGCAAGCCTTGGTGGATTCTACATAGTGTTAAGCCAGCAGGTGCACAGAGCAAAAGGCTTGAGCCTTGGGAGCCTTCGTCTGGACTCCAGAGCATGTACAGAAAAACCTGGGTTTCCAGGCAGAAGCTTTTCCAAGAGGCAGACCCTCATGGGAAACCTTTTCTAGGGTAGTACAGAAGGAACATATGGAGTTGGAATCCCCACACATGGAGGCACCATTCTGCAAACCCCAGATTCATAGACCCACCAACAGCTTGCACCCTCAGTGTGGAAAGCTACAGGTGCTCAACACTAGCCCAGCCCATGAGGGCAGCTGTGGGGGAAAGACCCTGCAAAGCCACAGGTGAAGAGCTACCCAAGGCCTTGGGAGCCCAGCCATCACACCCCTGTGCTCTGGATGTGGGATTTAGATCAAAAAGAGATGATTTGGAGCTGTACGATGGAATGACTGGCCTGCTGGGTTTTTGACTTGCATTAGATCTGTAAGTCTCATCTGTATTTTGTGCTGCTTTCTGGCAAAGTTTTTTCTTTTGGCTGGAAATTCATACCCAATGCCTGTACAATCATTGTACCTTGAAAGTAGTTAACTTACTTTGTATTTCAGAGGCTCAGGGGCAGAAGGGACTGCAGCCTTGTGTCAGATAAGACTTTGGGCTTTGGATACTTCAGTAAATGCTGAAAGGAGTTAAGACTTTGGGGGACTGTAGAGAAGGCATCATTGTACTTCGCAGTGTGTCAAAGATATGAGATTTGGGAGAACTGGGGTCAGAATAATATGATTTGGTTCTGTGTCCCTACCGATACTCATGTGGAATTGTAATGGGGAACGTGAAAGTTGGGACCTGGTGGAAGGTGATTTAATCATGTTGAAGCCTGGGTGTTGGAGGTAGGGGTGTGGGGAGAATGGTTGAGATTATTTTGGGGGTGGGGTTGAAAGATAAGGATGGGGGGCAGATCCTTCACAAATGGTTAAACACTATCTCCTTAATGCTGTCTGCATGATAGTGAGTTCTCTTGATGATTATGGAGCTTTAAGATTGAGTGAATACTGTCCTGCTGGATTTGGACTTGCATTTGTATTATTTTTCTGGGAAATTTTTTCCCTTTGGATTGAGAAAGCTTACCCAATACCTGTACCATCATTGTACCTTGAAAGAAAAGAAATCCCTTTTGAATTCAGGGACTCATAGGCAGAAGAGAATGTAGCCTTGTCTCAGATGAGACTTTGAAGTTTTTACATTTGGAATGAGTTAAGACTTTTGGAAAATTTTGAAAAGGCATGATTGTATTTTGCTCTGTGAGAAAAACATGAGATTCTGGGGTATCAAGGTCAGAATAATATGGTTTGGCTGTGTGTCCCTGTGAAACTCATGTGGAATTGTAATCCCAAATGTTGAAGGTTGGGCCTGGGGGAGGTGATTTAATCATGGATGGGAGGGGGTTGGGGGTGGAAGGAAAAAGGGTGGGAAGGGTGGGGAGGAAAGGGGTTGGCTGTAGGGTGGTGGGAGGGTGGTGGGTAGTAGGGAGGGGGAGTAACCTGCTGCAGAGACAGTGGCTCATGGAAAACCTCTACTAGGACAGTGCACCTGTGATTTTACAGGGTTTAGCCCCTGTGGCTGCTCTCATGGGGTGGGCTGGTGTTGACTACCCATAGCTTTTTCACACTGAGGGTGTGAGCTGTTGGTGGGTCTATGAATCTGGGGTCTGGAGGGTGGTGGCCATCTGTGTGGGGGCTCCAAGCCCATATTTTCCTTCCACACTTCCCTAGTAAAGGTTTCCCAAGAGACTCTACCTCTGCATCAGGCTTCTGCCTGGAAACAGTGGGAGCTGGGGGTGGAGGGTGAATCCTTCACCAATAGTTAAGCACCATCTTTTTGACGCTGACCTTTTGATAGTGAGTTCTCATGAGATCTGCTTGTATAATAGAGCATGGCACCTCTTTCCTCTCTCTGTCTTGCTCCTACTCCTGCCACATGAATCATGTCATTGCCCCTTGACATTCTGGTATGATTGGGAGGCTTCCTGAGTCCTCCCAGATTCAGAAGCCGCTATGTTTCCTTACAGCCTGCAGAATCATGAGCCAATTAAACCCCGTTTCTTTCTGATCATAGAGAAAATTAGTACTGGGAAGTGGATGTGTGAAATGTCTTCAAGGCCTTTTCCCTGTTGTCTTGGCAATCAGCACTCAGATTCTTTTCATTCAAGTATCTGAGGCCTTCTTGAATTTCCCCCCTGAAAATTGACTTGTCTTCCTTTACCACATTGCCAGGCTGCGACAAAGATAGCTGATAATGTAGAAGCAGGTTCAGAAGGGGGTGGCAGACAGAAATCAGGAGAGTTTTGAGGGCTTCAAAGACAGGAAAATGAGGAAAAGTTTGGATCTTTGTAAAGAATTGTTAACTACTTGTGATCAGGAGGCTGACAGGAAAATGGTCAGTGAAAACCAGCATTAGAAGGTCTCAGATAAAAATGAGGAACTTACTGGGAACAGAAGCCAAGGTTACTTTTGTTTTGTTGTAGCAAAGAACATGGCTACACAGTGACCCTGCCCTGGAGATCTGTGAAACTTTAAACCTGAGGGTGATGACTTAGTGCATATCTGGTGGAGTGAACTTCTAGGAAGCAAAGCTCAAGAGGTGTCCTCTCTGCATCGAACAGCCTGTGCTCTGATGTGTGACCGAGAAAATGACCTCTGGATGGGACTTACATTAAACAAGTCACAACTCTTATATTAAATGAGAAACAGAACTCAAAAGTTTGGAAAATTTGCAGCCTGGCCAAATGGTCAAAAAGAAAAGCTGATTTTCTGGGAGAAAATTTAGGAAGGCTTCAGAAATTTGCATAAAAAGGAGCCCAGTGCTAATAGCCAAGACAATACGGAAAAGCCCTTGAAGGCATTTCAGAGACCTCTGCAGCAGCCCATGCTGTCACAGGCCCTGGGCCCTAGGAGAGCAGAATGGTTTCCTGGGCCAGTCCTGTGACCCCCCTCTATGTGCAGCCTCAGGACACTGCTGCCTGCATCCCTGCAGCGCCAGCTCCAGCCATGGCTGAAAATGCACAGATGCAGCTTGGGTCACTGCTTCAGAGGGTGCAAGCTAGAAGCCTTGGTAACTTCCTCATAGTGTTAAGCCACTGGGTGGATGGATCATGAGACTAGAGGCTTGGGAGCCTCTCTGTAGACTTTGGAAGATGTATGGAAATGCCTGGGTGACCAGACAAAAGCATCCCCAAAAGGCAGAGCCTCATAAGAAACCTCTACTAGGACAGTGTAGAAGGAAAATATGGGGTTGGAGCCCCCACACTGGAGGCCACCATCATGCAGACCCCAGATTCACAGACCCACCAACAGCTTGTACCATCAGTTGTGAAAAGCTACATGCACTCAACACCAGCGCTGCCCATGGGGGCAGCTGTGGGGCATAAACCCTGCAAAGCCACAGGTGCAGAGCTGCCCAAGGCCATCAGAGCCCAGCCCTCTTGTCCCTGTGCCCTGGATGTGGGACAAGGTTTCAAAAAGGGTGATTTTGGAACTGTAGGATTGAATGACTGGCCTTCTGGGTTTGGAGTTTCATGGGGCCTGTAAGTTCTGTACGTGTTTTTTTCTTTCTGGCAAAATTCTTCCTTTTGGTAGAGAATGCTTACCCATTGCCTGCACAAGCATTGTACCTTGGAAGTAGTTAACTTGCTTTACAGTTCAGAGGCTCATGTGCCTAAGGGACTGTAGCCTTGTGTCAGATGAGACTTTAAGCTTTGGACATTTGTATGAATGCTGGAATGATATAAGACTGGGGGGGACTGTAGGGAAGGCATCATTGTACTTTGCAATGTGAGAAGGACATGAGATTTGGGAGCCAGGGACAGAATAATAAAGTTAAAGGTGGGGCCTGGTGGAGGGTGATTTAATCATGGTGGAGAATGGGGGTTGGAAGGTGGGGGGTAGGCAGAATGAGGGGATTATGGTGGGGGTGAGGGGTGAAAAGTGGTGGTGGTGGGGCGGATCCTTCACAAATGATTAAACATCATCTCCTTATTGCTGTGCTTATGATAGTGAGTTTTCTTCATGATTTTGGAGCTATGAGATTGAATGGATACTGGCCTTCTGGGTTTTGGACTTGTATTGGGCTTGTGGTTCTATTTGTGTTTTTTTTTTTCCTGGGAATTTTCTTCCCTTTGAATTGAGAAAGCTTACCCAATGCCTGTACCATCATTGTACCCTGAAAGAAAAGAACATCCTTTTAAATTCAGGGACTCATAGGCAAAAGGGACTGTAGACTTGTCTCAGATGAGATGTTGACCTTTTTACATTAGAGTTAATGCTGGAATGAGTTAAGACTTTTGGAAACTTTTGAAAAGGCATGAATGTATGTTGCTCTGTGAGAAGGACGTGAGATTCTGGGGTATCAGGGTCAGAATAATATGGTTTGGCTGTGTTTCTTTACCAAAACTCCTGTGAATTGTACTCCTTAATGTTGAAGGTGCGACCTGGTGGGAGGTGATTTAATCATGGCAGGAGGGGGTTGGGGTTGGAAGGAAAAGGGGTGGGTAGGGTGGGAAGTAGGTTGGCAGTAGGGTGGTGGGAGGGTGGGGGGTAGTAGGAAGGGGGAGTATTATGCTTCAGAGGCAGAGGCTCATGGAAAACCTCTACTAGAAGAGTGCACCTGTGGCTTTGCAGGCTTCAGCCCCCATGTCTGCTCTCATGGGCTAGGCTGGTGTGGAGTGCCTGTAGCTTTTCCATACTGAGGGTGTGAGCTGTTGGTGGGCTTATGAATCTGGGGTCTGGAGGATGGTGGCCTCCTGTGTGGGGGCTCCAAGCCCATATTTTCCTTCTGCACTGCCATAGTGGAAGTTTCCCAAGAGGCTCTGCCTCTGCAGGAGGCTTCTGCCTGGAAACAGTGGGTGGTGGTATGGGCGGTGGTTCCTTCACCAATGGTTAATCTTCTTGATGCTGATCTCCTGATAGTGAGTTCTCATGAGATCTGGTTGTATAACAGGATGCGGCAGCTCCTTCCTCTCTCTGTCTTACTCCTACTCCTGCCATATGAAATATCTCATTGCCGCTTGGCCTTCTGGTATGTTTAGGAGGGCCCTGATCAGTGTGGGCCTCATCAGTGGACCTAGTCAGTTGGGACTTGGTCAGTGAGGCCTATTTATTGGGGGCGTGGTCAGCAGGGGTCTGCTTAGAGAGGGTCTCATTAGGGGGATCTAGTAGTGGGGTCTTGGTGAGTGGGGACCTAGTGGCAGCCACTAGTTTGGTGTCTGGTCAGTGTAACACTGGGCTGCGGGGCTTTGTCAGTGGAGACCTGGTCAGCTGGGGCTTAGTGGTGGCCTTGTCAGCATGGGCTGGGTCACTGGTGACCAGGTCAAGGGGTGCTATTCAGTGGAGGCCTGGTCACATGGGACCTAGTCAGCAGGGCCTGGTGACCATGTCCTCATCAGTGAGGCCCTTGTCAGTGGGGCCCTGGTCAGGGCAGCCTAGTCAGTGGAACCTAATCAGTGGGGGCCTGTTCAGAGAGAGCTTGGTCAGTGGTGGCTTTTGTAGCACTGGTCTATGGGGTGACCTGGTGAGCAGGGATCTGAGCAGTGGGTGCCAATTCAGTGGGGCCTGCTCACTAGGGTCACAGTCAGGGGCATCTGGTCACCAAGGCCTGGTTAATACGGGCCTGGTCAGTGGCAGCCTGTTCCCTGGAGGCCTGGTCAGTGGGGCCTCATCTGTGGTGCCAGGCAATGGGATCATTGTCCAGTAAGGGTCACCCTACTGCCTGTGGTGCCAGGCAGTGGGGTCACTGACCAGTAAGGACCTGGTCGTGAGGCCTTGTCAGTAAGGACCTGGTCGGTGAGGCCTTGTCAGTAAGAACCTGGTCGGTGAGGCCTTGTCAGTAAGGACCTGGTCAATGAGGCCTTGTCAGTAAGGACCTGGTCAGTGAGGCCTTGTTAGTAAGGACCTTGTCAGTGGGGCCTGGTCAGTAAGGTCCTGGTCAGTGGGGTCCTGGTCATTGTGGGCCTGGCAGCAGGGGCCTGGTTAGTGGGGCCTGGTCATGGGGTTCTAATCAATGAGGGTGTGTTCTGGGAGGACCTGATGTGTGGGATATGGTCAGCAGGGACCTGGTCAGTGGGGGCTGCTGAGCACTGCTGGGAGATGTCAGGTGCAATGCACGTTATGGAGGGCCCTGTGGATAGTTGGGATGGCCCAGTAGTGCCCAAAGTCCCAGTCAAAAGTGGACAAAGCAGGTGTTTGGATGGACCTAGGAGATCTTGCTCAGAGATATTGAAAGGACAAAGGTAAAGGAAGGGCCAGAGTGGCCAGATAGATGGTCACAGTCTATCAGCTGCACAGGATAGAGGAAGCCAGGGAACAGGCAGGGTGGGCAGCTGGGGTGCAGGGAGAGGCAGGTGCATGCTGGGAGGTCAGACCTTGTGAGGGCTGTGGGGGTGTCAGGTGGGGTGGGCTCCAGGTGCACCCTCAGTGCACTGGGCAGATCTCAGCCCAGGCTTCCTGGACCCTGGTCGGGTGATGTGGTCACTCCCTGGGGGATTGCTATCAGGCACTGGGCACCCACCATGGGCAGCACTGTCCCATCTCAGGACTGGACTTTCTCAGATCCTGCAGAGGGCACAGCTTCCAGCGCAGGAGGGGCAGCCCCATGGTGCAGCCCGAGCTCTCCGTGGGCTTGGAGTGTCCCCTGCCAGCCCTGCGCTCCCTCTTCTCCTGGGTCCCACTTTTCCAGTGTCAGCCAGCAGAGAGGCTCCATCCTCCCTTCCCTATGTGTCTCCTGGGCTGAAACTTGCAGCGGATTGGGACAGGGATGGTGCTTCCCTCAGGCCCATTTAGGGAGGGGACTGGCTCCCAGCCTGGCACAGGTCCTCAGCTCTGCCTTGGTTGCTTTAGAGTGAGATGGATCAGTCAGTGTCCTGAAGGTAAACGTAAGAGACTGTCCTTGCTGTGTGGGAGGCTGGTCTAGAGATGAAGGACTTAACAGGTCCTCCCAGTCCGTCAGGCCTGGACAGTACTGTCGTGTCTCAGGACTCAGCCCAGTCCTAAATGGGACGGTGCTGCCCAGGGTGGGTGGCCGGGACCTGACAGCAGTACCCCAGGCAGTGACCACATCACCCAGCCAGGGTCCAGGGAGCCTGGCCTGAGACCTGCCCAGTGCATTGAGGGTACACCTGGAGCCCACTCCACCTGATGCCCCCACAACCCTCCCAGGGTCTGACCTCCCAGCATGCACCTGCCTCTCCCTACACCCCAGATGTCCACCCTGCCTGTTCCCTGACTTCCTCCATCCTGTCCAGCAGGATGTGCTGGGCAGTGGGACAGCCTATGTGCACATTTTGTGGCAAGTAGGAGTGACACACCATCCCTGGGTGGCGCCATGGTTCCTGCCAAACCCAACCCCAGAACTCTGTCCCTGAGGTGGTTTTACAAAACCCAAAACCCAAAACTGTGGTTGTGGCTCAGGGGTCAGCACCTGCTAGTACCAGGACACTACTGGGAGGCTGGGACCTGACCAAAGCCCATGGTGTCTGTGGCCTGAGGACAGGGTGTCTTGGGGCCATAAGGCCCGGCCACCAATGGCCATTGGGTCATAGGGCGTCAGCCCCAGTGTTTGCCCTTCCCTGGCTCCTTCTGGTTCAGTCCCATCAGGGCCCTGGAGCCCAAGACCCAGCACCCAAGGTCCCCTCCAGGAATCCTGGCGTCTTGGCTTCCTTTATCATGTTTCATCTGAGAGCAAAAATGTCAGATCGGATGCACAGAAAAATGGCCCAAAGTGCTTAATGACTAGAAGAAATCTAGCTCTCCCTCTCCCTCTCCCTCTCCCTCTCCCCCTCCCCCTCCCCTTTCTTTCTTTGGTCTCCCTCTGTTGCCAAGGCTGGACTGCACTGCCGTGATCTCAGCTTGCTGCAAACTCCCTGCCTCAGGCTCCCGTGATTCTCCTGCCTCGGCCTGCTGAGTGCCTGGGATTGCAGGCACGTGCCACCACGCCTGACTGGTTTTTGCATTTTTGGTGGACACGGGGTTTCGCCATGTTGACCGGGCTGATCTCCAGCTCCTGACCTCGAGTGATCTGCCTGCCTCGGCCTCCCGAGGTGCTGGGATTGCAGACGGAGTCATGCTCACTCAATGCTCAATGTTGCCCAGGCTGGAGTGCAGTGGCGTGATCTCAGCTCGCTACAACCTCTACCTCCCAGCCACCTGCCTTGCCTCCCAAAGTGCTAAGATTACAGCCTCTTCCCGGCCGCCACCCCATCTAGGAAGTGAGGAGCGTCTCTGCCTGGCCACTCATTGTCTGGGATGTGAGGAGCGCCTCTGCCCGGCCACCCCGTCTGGGAAGTGAGGAGTGCCTCTGCCCGGCCGCCACCCCATCTAGGAAGTGAGGAGCATCTCTGCCTGGCTGCCCATCATCTGGGATGTGAGGAGCGCCTCTGTCTGGCCGCCCCGTCTGGGAAGTGAGGAGCACCTCTGCCCGGCCGCCCTGTCCAGGAGGTGAGGAGTGCCTCTGCCCGGCCGCCACGTCTGGGAGGTGGTGGGCACCTCTGCCGGGCCGCCCCGTCTGGGAGGTGGGGGGGGCGCCTCTGCCCGGCCGCCCCTCCTGGGAGGTGGGGGGCGCCTCTGCCCGACCACCCGGTCTGGGAGGTGAGGGGCACCTCTGCCTGGAGGAGCGCCTCTGCCCGGCCGCCCCGTCTGGGAGGTGAGGAGCGCCTCTGCCCGGCCACCCCGTCTGGGATGTGGGGGGCGCCTCTGCCCGGCCGCCCCGTCTGGGAGGTGAGGGGCGCCTCTGCCCGGAGGAGCACCTCTGCCCGGCTGCCCCGTCTGGGAAGTGAGGAGTGCCTCTGCCCGGCCGCCCCATCTGGGAGGTGTACCCAACAGCTCCGAAGAGACAGCGACCATCGAGAATGGGCCATGATGACGATGGCGGTTTTGTAGAAAAAAAAGGGGGAAATGTGGAGAAAAGAAAGAGAGAACAGATTGTTACTGTGTCTGTGTAGAAAGAAGTAGACATAGGAGACTCCAGTTTGTTCTGTACTAAGAAAAACTCTTCTGCCTTGGGATGCTGTTAATCTATAACCTTACCCCCAACCTCCTGCTCTCTGAAACATGTGCTGTGTCAACTCAGGGTTAAATGTATTAAGGGCGGTGCAAGATGTGCTTTGTTAAACAGATGCTTGAAGGCAGCATGCTCGTTAAGAGTCATCACCACTCCCTAATCTCAAGTACCCAGGGACACAAACACTGCAGAAGGCCGCAGGGACCTCTGCCTAGGAAAACCAGAGTCCTTTGTTCACGTGTTTATCTGCTGACCTTCTCTCCACTATTATCCTATGACCCTGCCACATCCCCCTCTCCGAGAAACACCCAAGAATGATCAATAAATACTATAAAAAAAAAAAAAAAAAAAAAGAATATATTTTCTAAAAGTTGCTACAATTCAATAATAAAAAGACTAATATCCAAATTTTAAAATGTATAAAAGCTTTGAACTGACAATTTACAAAATAAGATATATGGCAGATCAGCACATTAGAAGATGCCCAGCATCATTAATCATCAAGGAAGTGCAGATCAAAATCGCCCCCTGACCTACCAGAATTGCTAAAATGAAACAGGCTAATCACTACTAATGCAACAGCAACTCTCATACACTACCGTATGGTGTAAAGTGATACAACCATTTTGGAAAACTGTTTGCAAGTTTCTTAAAACATTTATACATACCTCTTCCACTTAACCACAGCATCTACAGAAATGAAAACACATGTCCACAAAAAGCCTTGCACAAAAGTGTTTACAGCAGCCCCAAACTAGAAGCAACCCAAATGTCCATCTACTGGGAAGTGCATAACCAAACTGTAGTACATGCATGCAACTGTCTTCTGCTTCCAGGCTAAGTTCTTTGCTTTTAAGGGCTTCTGGGATTAGATTGGACCCACCCAGATAATTCCAGATAATCTTACTTTCAGTCCCACACCACCTCAGCCCTCCTGCTCTTCAGAGCTCAGTGCACAGGGCTCATTTCCTCTCGGATGACCTTCTCCGCTAAGTCCATTTATACAGGGTTCCCTTCTTGTGCAGAACTAGGCCAGCTTCCCACATGTTCCAGGGCAAACTCACTTTGAGCAGGCTGTGTGTGTGTGTGTGTGTTCCCGGCTTTCTGCTATAAATTGAAGATTGTGGAGGGCAGGGACTATGTCTTTTTCTTCTTTTTGCCCTCCACTTAGCCCCTTGACTTTTTGCCCTCCACTTAGTCCCTCACACAGTGCAGCTTAGTGGAGAAGCACATGGCCTGTAGAATCAGATGGAACCATGTGAGGTTTGGGACCACAAGTGGATACACAAAACAGGAATCCTCTCCAATAAGGATACCCTTGAGCCAACCACTGGGTAAGTGAGGAAGGCATAGCCGCAGGGGAATCTGGGAAAGGCTCTGCAAGTACACAGGCCCTGGGGCCCGCACGTGCTGAGTGTGAGAAAGAGCAAGAGGCCAGGGTGGCTGATGAGAGTGAGGGAGGGGCCCATGTTAGGAGGCAGTGGGGACAGATGGTGTTGACCCTTTAGCTCAGGGAAGGGCTTGGGTCCATGTTATGAGTGAACCAGGATGCCATTGGCGGGTTTGAGTGGAGGAGTCACATGATCTGACTTTTGTTTAACAGGAGCATCTCCTGAAGCGCTGAGGATAGACTGAACAGCCAAAGCATGGAAGTTAGGGCAGAGGTGACTGTATGTGCAGCAGCTTCCCCTCGTCACCTGAATCTTCAGTATTGTTTGTGCAGGAAATGGAGGATCAAGAATCAAGATTCTTTCCCTTCATTTACCAATTATTATAGCAATCAGTTGGTTCCCTAGCATCCTCCAAAGGAAACAAATGGGGCTCTTTTTTTTTTTTAGAGACAGGGTCTGGATCTGTTGCCCAGGCTGGAGTGCAGTGGCGCAATTATTGCTCACTGCAGCCTTGAAGTTTTGGGCTCAAATTATCCTCCCACCTCAGCCAAGTAGCTGGTATTACAGGCATGTGCCACCATGCCCAGCTGACTTTTTTATTTTTTGTAGAGTCAAAGTCTCACCATGTTGCCCAGTCTGGTCTCAAACTCCTGGCCTCAAGCAATCCTCCAGCCTTGGCCTCCCAAAGTGCTGGGATTACAGGTGTGAGCCACCACATCCAGCCTAATGAGCTTTCTTAATATCATTATAAAGTCTTGAGTTTTTCAAATATTTGATGTGTTTCAAAACATTGCAGTTATTATCATTTTTACAGCTCAAATTATCCCATATCTGGCCAGTGAGAGCCTCTTCACGTTGGTGTCTGGACCCTTTAGACATGTGCCCAGTAGTCCTTGATGGCTTCTTGGCATCTGTTTATAATAAGATGCTGCAGGCTCATCTGGTACATTTCCTGCCCCAGATAGAGAACCAACCATTTCTCTAAGGATCTCTAGTTCCTTTTAGATGGAGATAACATTTAGAGTCCACAATGTAGACAACAGGAATGCTTGTTGCTACTAGATTTTTGTCTCCTAGAATATTCAGTGGATAGAGGTAGAACATATGTATTGTTAATTAAAATTTTAATTTTAAGATAATTGCAGATTCACAAACAATTTTAAGAATATTATTTACACAGATCTGCATTCCAGTTACTCAGTTTCTCCCAACAATAATATCTTGCAAAGCTATATTGCAATATCACAACCAGGATATTAGCATTGATGCAGTCAAAATGCATTGCCTTCACTGTAAAAGCCCCCTCAAGTTTTCCTTTTCTAGCTACACCCACTTCCCTCCTGCCCCCAGGCCCTCCTTCATCTCTGACAACCACTGAATCTGTTCTCCATTTCTATAGTTTTGTCATGTCAAGAATATTATATCAACAGAATTATGCATTGTGTATCCTTTTGGCATTGGCTTTTTTCACTCTGTAATTCTCTGAAGATTCATCCAGGATGTTGTGCATATCAATAGTGTATTCCTTTTTATTGCTGAATAGTATTCTATGCTATGGATGTACCACAGACTGTTTAATTGTTCACGAACTAAAGGACATGTAGGTTGTTTCCAGTTGGGGCCACTACAAATAAACTTGCTCTAAACATTTATGTGCAGGTTTTTGTGTGAACACAAGTCTTCATTTCTCTGGGACAAATGCCCAAGGATGCAGTTGCTGAGTTGTATGGCACTGCCAGTTTCATTTTTTTTTAATTGCCTAACTTTTTTCCAGAGTGGCTGTACCATTTTACATTCCCATTAATAGTAAATAAGGGAAAGAGTTTCCCTTCATCCTCACTAGCATTTGGAGTTGTCACTATTTTTTATTTAACCATTGTCATATGTGTATAGTAATAGCTCATCATAATTTTAATTTTTATTTTCATAATAGCAAATGATGTTAAATGTCCTTCCTTGTGCTTATTTGACATCTGTCTGTGCTTTTTGGTGAAATGCGTGTTCATATCATTTGCCCATTTTCTGTTTGTTTGTTTTGCTATTGAGTTTTAAGAGTTCTTTATGTAATTTAGATACTAATCCTTTGTCTGCTATATGCTTTCAAAACATTTTGTCCTAGTTGGTAGTTTGTTTTTTCATACTCTTAGCAAGGTCATTCACAGAACAAAATTTTTTTCTTTAATTTTGATAGCGTCCGGTTTATCTATTTTTGGTTTTATTGATGATGCTTTTGTTGTAAAGTTTAAAATATTCTTTGCCTGGCCCTAGGTCCTGAAGGGTTTTAATGTATTTTTCTAAAAGATTTGTAGTTTTACATTTAAGTCCGTGGTCTATTTTGAATTAATTCATGTATGGAGTGTTAGGTTCATGTCACCATTCAACTTTGCTTATGGATATGCAAATGCTCCAGCAATATTTGTTGAAAAAACTTCCTTTCCCCACACTGAATTACTTTTATGCTTTTGTCAATAACCTGTCAGTTATATTTATGTGGGTCTGAGTTCTCTGTTCTGTTTAATTTGTCTGTGTATCTTTCACTCTACCAATATCACGTGCTGTTGATTACAATAGCTACACAATAAGTCTTGTAATGGGATAGATTGATTCTTCCAACTTGGTAATTCTTTTTCAAAAATGTTTTAGCTATTTTAGTTCCTTTGCATCTCCAAGACAATTTTAAAATAATCTTGTATTCATCTACAAGAAATATTGCTGAAATTTTTGTAGGAATTGTATATATGAGTTTGGGGAGAATTAACATCTTTGCTATTTTGAGTCTCCAAATTGAAGAACATGATGTGTCTCATCATTTGTTTAGATCTTTGATTTCTTTCATCAGAATTTCTAATGTTTAGCATTCAAGTCTTATGAATGTTTTGTTAGAATTTGAAATGAGTATTTCCTTTTCTGAGCAATTATAAATGGTACTTATTGTATTTTTAATTTTTATATCCAAGCGTTCATCACTCAAAGTACACTTGATTTTTTTGTATATTTATGTCGTATCCTGTAGCCTTGCTGAATTCACTTACTAGTTCTAGGAGTTGTTGATTTTGGTGTTTTAAAATAGATTTCTTTGGATTTTCCACATAGCCATCATGTTATCTGCAAAAGTGAACAGTTTTATTTCTTCCTTTCCAATCAATATGCCTTTTTTTAAATGCTTTACTGAACTGGCTAAAACTTCCTGTGCTGTATTGAATTAGAGTAGTAAGAGCATATATCTTTGCCTTATTCCCTTTCTTAGGAGAAAAGCATTCTTTCTTTGACCATTAAGTATAATGTTAAGTGTTGGAGGTTTTGTAAAAGCTCTTTATCAAATTGAGGAAGTTCCTCTCTATTGTTATTTTTCTCAGAGTTTTTATTTTTATTTTATTTTTTTCAGACAGAGTCTCACTCTGTCACCCAGGCTGGAGTGCAGTGGCTCAATCTCAGCTCAGTGCAACCTCCACCTCCCAAGTGCAAGTGATTCTCATGCCTCAGCCTCCCAAGTAGCTAGCATGCATCACCACACCTGGCTAATTTTTTTGTATTTTTAGTAGAGACAGGGTATCGCCATGTTGGCCAGGCAGGTCTCAAACTCCTGGCCTGATGTGATCTACCCGCCTCACCTCCCAAAGTGCTGGGATTACAGGTGTGAGCCACCACACCTGGGATTTCTCAGAGTTTTTATCATGCATTTTGTCAAATGATTTTTCTGCATCAATTGATACGATTATGTGATTCTCTTCTTCATCATGTTAATATGGTAGGTTACATTGATTTTCACATATGGAACAAGCCTTGCTTTCCAGGAATAAACTGCACTTGCTCATAGCATATAGTTCTTTTTACATATTGCTTAATTCTGTGTCTATATTTATGAGGGATATTGGTCTGTAGTTCCTGTTTTGTTTTGTTTTTTTTAACTGTCTTTGTTTTTGGTATCAAGGTAATACTAGCTTTTAAAAATGAGTTGAGAGAAGGAGAAGGTGGGATTTGGGGGGAAAAGGTTGCAGACTTTTTGACTCAGGTCATTGTGGGCTTAGTCTCTATTGAGTGGCTGGGTTACTGCAGGAAGCCACTCTCCATTCTTAGGTGCATTCTTGTCTATTAAAGGAGAAAGTTAAACGCCTCTGGAAAACCTCAGGTTTATTTTAGTGCTTAAAGTCTGTGGCTCTAAATTCAGATCCAGAACTCATGTGGCCTGGCCAGGGAGGGTCACGGAGTGCTTTCCTCACACCTTTGTCTCTAGGCTCTGTAGACCTAGAGGTGTGGGACGTAAGAGCAGGCCCTTACCCATGGAATTTACATACAAATGGTGGAATAAGACAGGAAGTAAATAAATGTGATTATTCTGATAATGGTAAAAATAATAAATGAGATAAATAAATAAAATCACTTGAGAAGTATTCCGCTGTCTTTCTTTTCTCTGGAAGAGGATATACAGAATTGGTATCTATTATTCTTTAAACTTTGGGCAGAATTTTCCAGTGAAACCATCTGAGCCTGGAGATCTTATGTGGGGCTATTTGCATTATTTGTTTTATATTGATAAGTTGTGGTAGTTTATGCTTTTCAAGAAAGTGGTCTATTTCATTTAAGTTGCCAAATGTATGTGTTTAGAGTTGTTTGTAGTATTCATTTATTATCCTTTCAACATCTACAAGGTCTTTAGTGATACCTTCTGTGTCATGCCTAATATTTCTAATCTATAATTCTCTCCTTTTTGCTTTGTCACTCTTGGTAGATGTTTGTGAATTTTATAGATCTTTTTAAAGAACCAGCTCTTTGTTTCATTGGTTTTCTTTATTGTTTTTCTGTTTTAAATTTCATTGATTTCTGCTATTATAGTCATTATTTCCTTCCTTCTTATTTTGAGTGGTTTTTTTTTCTCTTATTTTCTACGTACTTCAAGTGGGAGCTTAAATTATTGGCTTGATAATTTTCTTATCATCTAATTTATGCATTTAGTTCTATGAATTTCCCTCTCACCCTGCTTTATACATACCCACAAATGTTGATGTGTTGCATTTTCATTGTCATTCACTGTATTTTTTATTAAGACATATTTATTAATCCAAAGAACAAATTTTATTTTTCATTTTCCCCAAACACTAAAATAGCACATGGCATAGTAATTAAGCACACAACATAAACTGATATATGCAATCGCTAATCCCGAAAATGGTTAAGTCTCACTTTGGGAGTCTTTAAAACCTTATGCCCTTAAATGACCTTTATTAAAGTTATCAACAGACAACAAAAGGAGTCACCTGGAAAAATTTTAGGGTACAAGATACTGCAATTCCTAGAATCTGGGAAACTTTTTATCTGGGAAATAACTTGATTTGCTTCTCTGTAACTGAGCTACTTTTTTCTCGAGCTCATTTTTTTTTTTGAGACAGTCTCGCTCTGTCGCCCAGGCTGGAGTACGGTGGCGCCATCTCGGCTCACGGCAAGCTCCACCTTATGGGTTCACGCCATTCTCCTGCCTCAGCCTCCCGAGTAGCTGGGACTGCAGGCGCCCCCACCACGCCCGGCTAATTTTTTGTATTTTTTTTTAGTAGAGACGGGGTTTCACCGTGTTAGCCAGGATGGTGTCGATCTCCTGACCTTGTGATCTGCCTGCCTCAGCCTCCCAAAGTGCTGGGATTACAGGTGTGAGCCACCGCGCCCGGCCTCTCGAGCTCATTTTTAAGGTAACGCTGCTAGGGTTCTGAGTTTGAGAAGGGATCTTCTAAAGGTAAGCTTAATATTGCAACTTTCACCACAGGGCCTCTGTCTAAATTGCATTTCAAGTGGAAGGAAAGGGGTGTAAGAAGTGAAATAGAATTTTGCTGCAGACCAAAATCATTCTACAAAATGTAGAAATGATAATAGCTTACCACAAATTCAGCAAGATTTAACGCCAAGTACAGCGGTGTAGACTTTACAAGTATCCACTTCCGTTGGGTGATCAGACAAGCTGAAGGGACACACAGGATTTGGGACAGTAGCCCTTTAGACAATGCTGGGTGTTGAAGACAGAACTTCATCGTAAATCCGTATGTTCTAATCTGATATTTATACAGGCTATGATCGTCTCCTGAAATGTTTCCCAATTCTTTATATGTCTTTTAAAGCACAATTTAACATATGCTAAAAAATTTCCTTCCGCATCCACCAGTTTTGAATTTAAACTCAACTAAGTCTGCCAGGTCGTACAAACCACACCTTAATCATTCTAAGACAACTCTTAAAATTAATCTACTTGTATTGTTCTGCTTGTACCTTAACTATGGCATAATGAATTTGCTAATTCAAAATGTTGCAGAGCCAGTAACCCCAGTGTTATCTGCAGACCATCTGAGGTACTTTTAAGCATTTTTTTGAATTCTATTGTTTGCTTTGAAAACATGGGGTTTAAACGGTCAAGGAAAATGCGTTTTGTCTCGTCATTCAGGAGCTCTTCGGGACACGCCTGCAGTGTTGCAGACAGGATGGAATGCAGGCAAGAGGGTTCCAACTCAGAGCGCAGACCCTTGGGAAAAGCACTTGGTGGGTCATCCTGAAAACTTCCCATTTCCGGCAGTTTTTGATGGCATGGCAGTCGTGACACCTGAGGCTCTCCTTTGGGGCACTGTCCTCTGTGGCCGTGGGTGGCCCTGGGCCCTCCTCCCAGCCAGTCCCGCCCCAGAGCTTCAACACCACTGCAGGACACCCGAGCAAAATACTCTGTTGGAGCAGGGAACAAACCCACGGCTGCGCTCGGAGTGGCTGCTGAGGCTGGATTTCTTCTTACTGATTCTTTCACATATGGAAGAACTGGGCCGCCACTGGGAAGCGAGAGGCCAGCCCTGCTCGGATCCTTTCTCATTTCCAGTGATAATGCCTCACTCTGAATTTCCATCAGCCGCAGGCTTATTCATCCAGGAGGGTGCATCTGCAGGCCAAGGGCCCTCCATCGGCATTCTTTGCTTAAGGCTGTATGACAGTTTGTCCGAGTCACCTCCTCCGGCCCACTGCACTTGTGCCAGGCAGGTGCCGAGGGGCCCTCTTCTGTCCCTCATGCTTCGTGTTCTTGGATGCCGTGGGCCTGAGGTCACGCCTTCGTCAGTCCGGGAGGGCCTTCAATGGATCTCAATATGAACCTATAGGCGGACGTTGAGCATCATGGAAGCCACGATGTAGAAGTAGGGGAAGTTGATGCGCAGCCACCAGGCCAGATTGAAGAAGACAGCAGCTTGCGAGTCAGCCCCTTGCGTAAGACTCCACAGGAGCGGGCGGCGGCTGAGCGCTAGAGCCGGACAGCCAGGCGCGACAGAGCCGCCGCCATATAGAGACCGGCGCTCCCACAGCCCGCCTGCCCTCTCCGCGCCGCGTCGCTCGGGCCGCTGGCCTTCGCTTGGCGGGCTCAGGGAGCGAGGGAGGCGGCGGCTAGACTGGCGGGCGAGCGGGCTGCGGGAGCGGAGTCCGCGCGTCACGCTCGGAGAAGCACCTCCGCGAGCTGCCGCCTGGTCCCCCAGTTCACTGTATTTTTTAAATTTTCTTTGAGACTTCCTTTTGACCCATGGATTACTTAAAAGTGTGTTGTTTTGTTTCTAGTCATTTGAATATCTTCCTGTTATCTTTGTTATTGATTTCTCATTTGATTCCATTGTCATTACAAAACACACTCTATATGATTTCACTTATTTAAAATTTGTTGAGGCTTGTTTGATAGCCCAGGATATGACCTATCTTGGGATATATATTTTGTGGTCATTTGAAAAGAATGTGTATTCTGATGTTGCTAAGTGGAGTGGACCATAAATGTTGATTTGATTTTGTTGGTTGGTTCTTGAGTTGTTCTATATCTTTACTGATTTTCTGCTAGTTGTTCTATCAATCATTGAGGGAGAGGTATTGAAGTCTCCAACTATAATTGTGGACTTGTCTATTTTGTCAGTTTTTGATTCATATATTTTTCAGCTCTGTTGTTTGGCTGGCATCACATTTAGTATTGCTATGTCTCCCTGGTGAACTGGTCTTTATGTGGTTAGATACCGTCCGTCTCTATCTGCTAACTTTCTTTTCTGTGCTCTAAAATCTACTTTTGTGATACTAAAGAAGCCATTTCTACTTTCTTTTGAATAATATTTGCAAAACATGTATTTACCATCCTTTAATTTTTCATTTTAACCTGCTAATATTATTATATTTGAGATGATTTTCTTATAGACTTCATACAGTTGTGTCATGTCTCTCAATCCACTCTGCCAATCTCCATCTTTTTTTTTTTTCTTTAGACAGGGTCTCACTCTGTTGCACAGGCTGGAGTGCAGTGATGCCATCTCAGATCACTGCAACCCCTGCCTTCCAGGTTCAAGCAATTCTTGTGCCTCAGCCTCCTGAGTAGCTGGGACTACAGGCATAGGCCACCATGCCTGGGTAATTTTTATATTTTTGGTAGAGACAGGGTTTCACCATGTTGGCCAGGCTAGTCTTGAACTTTTGACCTTAAGTGATCCGCTTGTCTCAGCCTCCCAAAGTGCTGGATTACAGGCCAATCTCCATCTTTTGATCAATACATTTAGACTATTTACATTTAGTGTAATAATTGATGTATTATGGTTCATGTCAGACATTTTATTTTGGGTTTTGTTTGCTCTTTCTCTGGTTTCTCTATTTTATATTTTCTTCCTTCCTATGGATTACTCAAACTTTTGTTTAGAATTTCATTTTCATTTATCTGTTGTGTTTTTTAGGATATCTGTTTGAATATCTAGTTTAGTGGCTGTTTTAGATATTACGTTATAAACATAACATCACAATCTACCAGGGTTGACATTTTACCACTTCAAGTGAAGTATAAAAGCCTTATGTCCCCTTGTGTTTCTTTGCCCTCTCCATATTCCTTTGCCCCACCCTCATTTAAGATGATATAATTGTCTTAAATATTTTCTCTTTCTACTTTTAGAACCATATCTACCAGTTTTCTACTTTTTGCTTAAACTGTCAACATAATTTAGAAAACTCAAGAGAAGTAAAGCCTACAGTCATTACCTACACTTTGCTTACCTTGTTCTTTCTTCCTTCTTGATGTTCAAACTTCCTGCTTTTACCATTTTATTTTTGTTTAGAGAATTTCCTTTAGCTATCTCATTAAGTGATTTCGGCAGGTGACAAATTCTCCTAATTTTCCTTCACCCTGGGATATTTTTCCCGTGTATAGGGTATTTTCTTTCAGGACTTAAAACGTATTTTGCACACCCGTTTGGCCTCCATAGTTTCTGGTGAAAATCATGTTGCCGTGCAAATTGTTTTCCCTTTGTTGATAAAGTGTCGTTTTTTTCTGACTGAGTTTCAGACTTTGCTTTTAGTTTCTAGAAGTTGAATTATGGATGTGTCTTGACATGGATTTGGGGGATTTATCCTGTTGGAATTCACTTAGCTCACTGAATTTGTGGGTTTATGTCTCTTGCCAAATCAAATTTGGGAGATTTTTGGTCATTATTTCTTCAAGTACTTATTTTGCCGTTGTCCTCCTTCTATTCTCCTTCTGGGACAACAATGTCTTAAATGTTAGATCCTTTGTTAGTCCTACAGGTTCCTGACACTCTGTTCATTTTTTTTTTCCCATCCCACTTTCTCTCTGTTCTTCAATTGGGGTAATTTCTATTGTTCTATCTTGAAGTTCACTGATTTATTTTCTCTATCCCTTCCATTCTGCTGTTGAGCCCATATGTTGAGGTTTATATTGTTATTTATATTATTATTTTTCAGTTCTCAATCTCTTCTTTGTATCTTCTCTTTCTTTGTAAGCAAGTTTGTATTGCTTGTTGGAGGGTTTTTTCTTCTTTTTTTTTTTTTTTTGAGATGGAGTCTCATTCTGTCACCCAGGCTGGAGTGCAGTGGCACGATCTCGGCTCACTGCAACCTCCGCCTCCTGAGTTCAAGAGATTCTCCTGCCTCAGCCTCCCGAGTAGCTGAGACTACAGGCGCATTCCACTATGCCCAGCTAATTTTTGTACTTTTAGTAGAGACAGGGTTTCGCCATGTTGGCCAGGCTGGTCTCGAACTCCTGACCTCAGCTGATCCACCCCCCCTCCGCCAGGCCTCCTAAAGTGCTGGGTTTACAGGCCTGAGCCACCACACCCGGCCATTGGAGGCATTTTTATCATGACTGCTTTAAAACATCTATCAAATCACTTGAATTTCTTTGTCATCTTAGTGTTTGTACCTATTCATTATCTTTTTAAAAAACACCTTTTAACAGACTTTATTTCCTAAAGCAATTATATGTTCAAAGCAAAAATGAGCCCAAAGTACTGAGAGGTCCTATGTATCCTCTACCCCTTCCCCACATGCGCAGCCTCACCAACTGTCAACATCCTATATTAAAGTGTTACATTGGTTCCCATCAATGCACTTACACTGACACATCATTATGACCCAGAGTCCATAGTTTACATTAGTGTTCACACTTGATGTTGCATATTCTGTAAATCTGGACAAATATAATAATGACATGTATCCACCTTAACAGTATCATACAGAATTGTTTATTGACCCCCAAAACCCTTAGTTCTCCACCTGTTCATCCCTCACTCTCCCTAACTCCTGGCAATCACTGATCTTTTTACTGTTTACATAGCTTTGCCTCTTCTATAATGTGTAATTGGAATCATGCAGTATGTCGCCTTTTCAGATTGGTTTTTTTTCACTTAGTGATATGCTTCCCAACTTCCTGTTTTGCAGCCAGGCACAGTGACTCAATGCTGTCATCCCAGTACTTTGGGAGGCTGAGGTGGGCATATGGCTTGAGCCCAGGAGGTTGAGGCCAGTCTGGGCAACATGGCAAAACTCTGTCTCTACAAAAAATACCAAAATAAAAAAAAAGTTTCTCCATGTCTCTTCATGGAGAGAGGGTCTCACTCTGTCACCCAGACTGGAGTGCAGTGCTACCATCATAACTCACTGTAACCTCAAACTCCTGGCCTCAAGCAATTCTCCCACCTCAGCTGCCTAAGCAGCTGGGACTATAGGTATGCACCACTACACCCAACTCTTTTTTTTTTTAATTATTTACATTTTTGTAGAGACGAGGTCTGGCTATGTTGCCAGACTAGTCTCTAACTTCTGGCCTCAAGCTATCCTCCTGCCTCAGCCTCATTTCTTTTTAGTGCTGAATATTCCATTGTCTGTATGTGCCATAGTTTATTTATTCATTCATCTACTGAAGGACATCAAAGTTGCTCCTGAGCTTTAGCACTTAATGAATAAAGCTGCTATAAGAATTTGTGTTTAGGTCTTTGTGTGGACATAAGTTTTGAACTCATTTGGGAGTTATTTTTAATAGATACAAAGTCTCAGCTTTGCAAGATGAAAAGAGTTGTGAGGATGGATAGTGGTAATGGTAACAGAGCAATATAAATGTCTAATACCACTGAACTGCATTCTTTAGTGTATTTTACTGCAATTTTTAAAAACTAAACAACATGACCCTCATACAAAAATGTACCACCTCACTTTCTCAGTAAAATTATTTTAGCAAAGTTCCAGTGGTAACAGAAATCAAAATCTTAAAAATACGTATATTCTTTGAGTCAGTAATTCCATTTCTAGATATGTATTCTAGAAAATCTGGCAAGGGAATAATATTGTAAATACACACATTTGGCGTGGTTTTTTTCAAACAATGACAAGTGGAAAACCACCTCAATATTTCAGAATAGGGGATTGGTTAAATATCACTCTGATTATCACCACACAATTAGCTATTTACAATTATGATCTAGATGGAGAACTGTAACATGAAATTTTGTTCCAATATTTTGTTTTGTTGAAAAAAGCAGATCACAAAACTGTGTGTGTGTGTAATGCTTTTCAAGTAATTAATCTAGAGAATTATCTGACAAGCATCCAGAGATCATGTTAAAACTTTACGCAGATGAAGCTTGGGGAACCTGTCTAACATTTTATTCGCATAAAAAACATCTCTGAGTGCTCATTCTGGGCCAGGCCTTTTATGTATACAGCTCATTTAGTCCTCACAGCAGCCCTTCATGGTGGACACTTTCATTATTTTTTTTTCCTTTTTATACTGTGCTAAAATATACATAACATAAAATTTGTCATTTTTACCATTTTTAATTGTGCAATTCGGTGACATTAATTACAGTAACAATGCTGTGCTACCAACATCACTGTCCTGATCCAAACTGAAATTCTGTATCCATTAAACAACTGCCAGTTCCTCCTTCCTCAGCCCCTAGTAACCTCTATCTCCTTTTACTCATGAATTTACTAATTCTAGCTCCTTCACAGAATGGAATCATGCAGTATTTGTCTTTTTGTGTTGGGCTTATTTCATGTAGCATATAATGCTTTCAGTTTCACCAATATTGTGGCAAATGTCAGAACTCTTTCCCGTCTCATTGTTGAATAATATTCCATCCTATGTGATGCCACATCTTCTTTATCCATTCATTTGCTTGTGGACACTTGGGTGGTTTCCATCTTTTAGCTATTGTAAGTAATGCTGCAATGAACATTGGCATGTAAGTATCTGCTTTAGTACCTGCTTTCAGTTCATCGTATATATACCTAGAAGTGGAGTTGCTGATAATTCTATATTATAATATCATAGAATAATTCTATGTTTGATAGCTATGACAAGTCTATGTTTAACTTTTTAAGGAAACACCAAACTGTTTTCCACAATGGCTGTCTCATTTTAGTGTCTCCCAGCAGCAATGCCCAACGGTTCTAATTTCTCCACATCCTCATTGACACTTGCCATTTTCTGTTTTTTTCATAGTAGTCATCCTAATGGTTGTGAAGTGCTATCTCATTGTGGGTTTGAATTGCATTTTCCTAAGTATGGAGGATGTTGAGTACCTTTGCATGTGCTCATTGGCCTTTTGTTTATCTTCTCTGAAGAAATAGTTTTACTCATTTTTTAATTGAGTTTTTTGGTTGTTGATGAGTTACAGGAGTTCTTGATCTATTCTGGATATTAATCCCTTATCAGATTTATGATTTGCAAGACTTTTCTCCAATTCCGTGAGTTCCCTTTTCACTCTGTTGAGTGTGTCCCTTGATGCACATAGTTTTGTGCTTTTTGTTTGCACATAGTTCTTTTGTTGTGTGTCCTCTTAGTGTTTAGTGGAGGTTCATACCCTCTTATTTTTTCTGCATTTGTGGTTTTTGAAAAATTTTATACAAAAAGTATTTTAAAAAATAGTCAAAATGATTGTGATTGTATCCAGCCTCTATCATTTTACATTCCATGTGATTTTAAGGAATAGTCTTAAGCACCCTGAGTTTCATTTCCTTCACCCTTAAAGGGGATTATATCTACTTCATTGGGTGTATGAGAACTGATATCCTATTATGTATAAAATGCTGAAAACAATTCCCAGCACTGAACAAAATTTGCAAACTAATATATCATTGTCATCAACAATAACAAAAAATAATAGCAACATAGTATACTATTATAGCTCATTGCACCATGTTCCTATTTTGTGTGTTGTCTATTATTTTCATCAAAATAGAATTATCAAGTTATTTTAAGTCATTATTTATGCTTCTGATTATTTCTTGGAATATTAAAAAACAATTTGGGGGATTGTCTTAGTCCATTTCTACTGCCAAAACAAAATACCACAGACCGGGCAATTTATAAACAATAGAAATTGATTTCTCATGGTTCTAAAGACTGGGACGTCCAAGATCAAGGTACCAGCAGGATTGATGTCTGGTGAGGGCTGCTCTCTGCTTCCAAGATGGTGCCTTGTTGCTGCATCCTCCAGAGGAGTATAACACTGTGTCCTCACATGGTGGAAGGGATGGAATGGGACAAACTCACTCTTTCAAATCTTTTTATAAAGGCCCTAAACCCATCCATGAGGGCTCCACCCTCGTGACTTAATCACCTCCTGAAGGCCCAACTGCTTAATTCTATCACATTGGCAATTACATTTTAGTACTTGAATTTGGGGGATCGGTGGGTATAAAACAGTTTAAGAATACTGAAGCCTGTAGCCAAGTTGCACTCCACAAGTGAATCACCAATAGTAAAAGAAAAAAGTATAATTATATTGCTATATTTTTACAACAGCAGATTTGTAAATTAAAATGTTACCTCACCAATTTGATGGCATAAAGTATTACAAAATGTTCTCATTTCAACATGAAGTTGCAAGTAATTTCATATATTCCTCATTTTTTCTTCTGTGCATTCTGTCTTTAGCCATTGATTTATGAATGGTCCATGTAATAATTTAACCTTGTATTTCTCATATATTTTTAAATATTTTTCTAGTTTGTCTATTCTTTTTAATTATGCTGTGCTATGCATGAAGAATTTCTAATTATTTTAATTTAATCCATTTAATTTTTCTTTTTTTTTTTTTAATTTGAGAGAGTCTTATTCCGCTTCCCAGACTGGAGTTCAGTGGCACGATCTCAGCTCACAGCAAACTCTGCCTCCCAGTCAAGTGATTCTCCTGCCTCAACCTCCAGAGTAGCTGGGATTACAGATGTGCACCACCACGCCTGGTTAATTTTTGTATATTTAGTGGAGACGAGGTTTCACCATGTTGGTCAGGCTGGTCTCTAACTCCTGGCCTCAAGTGATCCGCCGGACTCAGCCTCCCAAAGTGCTGGGATTATAGGCGTGAGCCACTACGCCTGGCCTCTTTCTTTTCTTTTTTGATTTGCTTAAGAATTCCTAAGACCTCTCAAAAAACATGAAATTTCTATTATAACATAATTAATTGTCCAGCTGTTAAGAACTTATTTTGTTTGTATGTAAAAATTGTCAAACAACTTTATAGCCTCCAAATAATTACCTGGTTTCCACAACACCATTCAGTAAATTATTCTAAATTTTCCACCAAATTTATAGCATCAAATTATCAGGTACTTTATTTTTATTTATAATATAATTATTTTCTTTTCTCTGTGTTCTATTTCTTTTAGTTATCAGGTTATTTCTATACTCATAACTTAATTATTTATCTTTTTTTATTACTACATGAAATGCATTGCATATACAAAAGTTCATGAATGAACTTTTCTTTTCATGATGAACTTTTCCAGTGTAACTTATTGATTATACTTTCCTATTTATTACTCCAAATTAATTTCAGAATATCTTTTTTTTATAACATATTAGCTCCTTGAATACAATTCTATCAATAAATTGAATTTGTAACATTTGGCAGCTTTTCAATACTTAATCTTTTTTCCATCACCCTCATATATTTTTCTAGGATTTTAAAGTTTTCTTTATGTCATTTCCTAAGTTCATGGGTTCTTTTATCCGGTTTATTTGTACTTCTCTGTGTTTCTAAAACATCATAGTTGCATTGCTATTTGGGTAGAATCCTTCCTCTGAATATTCCCTAATCATTAGCATGAACACTTTTTGCCTACTTCTTTGTTCCTAAGTTATGGGAGTGCCTGTTGTGCTTTGACCTTTGAAGGAGCATTTTATTTATTTTTATTTTATTTTTTATTGTTTTTTATTTTTTTGAGACGGAGTCTTGCTCTATTGTCCAGGCTGGAGTTCAGTGGCTCAATCTCGGCTCATTGCAGCCTCCACCTTCCAGGTTCAAGCGATTCTCCTGCCTTAACCTCCCGACTAGCTGGGATTACAGGCACGTGCCACCACGCTTGGCTAATTTTTGCATTCTTAGTAGAGACGGGGTTTCACCATGTTGGCCAGGCTGGTCTCAAACTCCTGGCGTCAAGTGATCCACCTGCCTCGGCCTCCCAAAGTGCTAGGATTACAGACATGAGCCACCATGCCCGGCCTGAAGGTGCATTTTAAATGTCAGTGAAGGTCGCTGAATTGGGGAGAATGAAAACACACAGAGGCTTGGGATTAAAGCGGGCATGATGGGGAAGCAGAGGGGCTTTCTCCTAGTGTGTTTCTCTTCCCTGTGGGGAGTGATGAAAACAAGAGAGACATGAGGGGTGGAAACTGGAAGACTCTTCACTGCTAGGTTTGCCACAAACGGCTGCAGAAACTTTCCTCATCATCCATAAATTTCAGTTTTTTCATTTGTAAATGTTAATGCTGGGAACAGATCATCTCTTAGGTTCCATTTAGAGCCCACAGAGCCCAATGGTGAAGGGCCTGGTCCCAGGAGGCATGCTGAGCAGAGGCTGATCCTTTGCTGAGCAGAGGCTGATACTGTGCCTTTCGGGTTACTCCAGGCAGGTCAGTGGGAAAACTTCAGTTCATTGACAGGGCCTTAATTGTTGGGACCTTGTCAGACACCCCTTTGCAGACAGTGTCACTGAGACTGCGGCTGCGATGATAATCACAGCTGGCGTGGGAAGGTCTTTTCCAGGATCCTTCCCTATATCTGGGGACCTTCTCTGTCATTGCCCTCTAGGACCCTGCTCTCAAAGGCTCCGTGTGTGTGGGGAGGCGGCTGCAGAACAGCAGAGTCCCCTTTGGTAAGAGCCTCACCTTTCCAAGTCTCTGTGCGTGAGGAATGCACAAAACAGGGACGTGTTCCAGTAAGTTATAACGGTGTATTAGGTTACTGTTACTTTGTGGTTGTTGAGGATCTTGATGGTATATTAGCTAACATTGTCTTAGCCAGACACGCTCTTTGGCATTTTATGTATAGTACTGTATCAATTCTCACACATCTATTACGGTAGCTGTAATTATAGTCCCCCTCTTAAAGATAAAGAAAATAAAATTCTGATTCAGAATATTGCTTGAAGTCCACAGTGGGTAAGTAACAGAGCCTGGTTATAATCCCAGTGAATTTGAGTAGTTTTAAATAAACACCTTATTATGGAAGTTTTTTTCTGGCATCCATGGTTTCTGATGTCACAGGAATTGTCCTCATATAGGAAATAGAGCATTTCTCTCTGGTTTTTTCGAGTTTTCGGAAATCTGGTCATGGTGTATCTGGACATGGATTCATTTGAACATGACCTCTTAGTGGTTATCTTATCTCCTTGAATTTATGTATTTCACCATGTTTGTGACTTTTTTGCCACTATTTGTTCAAAAATATTTTCAGTCCTGTACTTTTTTTTTTTTTTTTTGAGATGGAGTTTTCCTCTGTCGCCCAGGTTGGAGTGCAGTGGCATGATCTCGGCTCACTGCAACCTCCGCCTCCTGGGATCAAGCAATTCTCCTGCCTCAGCCTCCCAAGTAAGCTGGGATTACAGGCATCTGCCACCATGCCCGGCTAATTTTTGTATTTTAGTAGAGACCGGGTTTCACCCTGTTGGCCAGGCTGGTCTCAAACTCCTGACCTCAAGCAATCCACCTGCCTCGGCCTCCCAAAGTGCTGGGATTACAGGCATGAGCCACCACGCCCGGCAGGTACTCCAATCATTTGAAAGTTAGACCTTTTGTTATTTTCCCACAGGTCTCTGAGGCTATATTCACTTTTCTCCATTGTGTTTTGTCTCCTCTATTCTAACAGGACAATTTCTGTTAAACTTGTCTTCAAGATCCCTGATCTTTCCTCTGTCATCTCCATTCTCTTGAGTCTGTCCAGTTCAATTTATTTCTATTTTTTTCACTTCTAAAATTTTCGTTTAGTTCTTGCTAGTATCTTTCATTTCTTTGCCATGAATTCATATTTTTCACTTGTTCCAAGTATGCCTGTAATTGCTTGTTGGAGCACTGTTGTGATAGCTACTTTAAAATCCTCATCACATAATACCAACATCTGTCTCATCTCAATGTTGGTGCCTGAAGATTGTATTTTCTTGTGCAAGTTTATTGTTCTATAGTCCTTGGTATAATGAATAACTTTGGACTGTATCCTGAATGTGCTGAGTATTATTATACATCATGAGACTGGACACTCTTCACACCTGTTATTTCAACAGAGTCCTTAGACAGAGAGTCCTCAGACAACAACAACAGAGAGTGCTTAGGTTCATAATACAGCTCAGTGCACTTTTTGGGCTGTGGTTCAGCTCTCTCTTGATCTTTAAATGCTTTGCGGTGATGCTCAGGCTTTCCCCGCTTGCCTGCTTCCCAGAGCCTCATCTCACACCTGTGTGAGTTCAGACCAGTGCTAAATTCTCACACATTCTGCTGTGTTGTTTCTGGTCCCTTTCAGGCACAGACTGCTCAGATTTCTGCCCAGAAATTCACACACACATCGTGGAATTGTCCTCAGTTTTCAGGAGTCAGCTCAAATATTACCCACTCAGAGAGGTTTTCCCTGGGCCCTTGTCTAAAGTTGATTCTTCTAGTCCTTTCCATTGCTTCATATAATATTTTCATATTTATCCCAACTTTATTCTATGTTTCCTTACTTGCTACTAGTCTATCTTTTCACTCCCGCCTAATAAAATATTAACTACGTAGAGATAGGGATTTTTTAAACTAATTATTCAGGACCTAACACAATGCTCGACAAATATGCTCATATTTCAAGAAATTTGTACAATATCTGCACTACAGTAACTGCTCTGTATACATTACCTTGTTCAGCACAGTTTTTCTGATGCTAAGTATACAATTTTAAATTTTCATTTTAACTTTCTTTTCTCAGAAGAAAATTTATTCATATTAACTAAATATTTAAAAATCACTCTTGATGGATATATAATATTCTATTACAACTAATATTCTACTGATATAACGAGTAAGCCCTTGAACCCTGGATTTATTGAGCAAATATTTAGTAGGCTTTAAATCTAGCTGGGACTATTGTAGGTAATTAAAGACACATACAAGACTCCTTTCTTTGCTGGGTGCACTGGCTCATGCTGCAATCCCAGCACTTTGGGAGGCCGAGGCAGGTGGATCACTTGAGGTCAGGAGTTCGAGACCAGCCTAGCTAACATGGAGAAACCCCATCTCTACTAAAAATACAAAAAAATTAGCTGGGTGTGGTGGTGAGCACTTATAATCCCAGCTACTGTGGAGGCTGAGGCAGGAGAATCACTTGAACCCAGGAAGAGGAGGTTGCAGTGAGCAAAGATCGTGCCACTGCACTCTAGCCTGGGCAACAGAGGGAAACTCTATCTCAAAAAAAAAAGAAAGAAAAGACTCCTCTCTTCAAATAGCTTACATTCTAGTTGAGGGAAGGAGTTAATAAGTAAACAAATTAATAAATAGATTAACAAGATAATCCAGTGCATAACAATTGATGTGGGAAATTAGAGTAAGTATATGGAGAGTGACTAGGGAGGTGGATTATTGGGTACTTGAGACAAAGATGAGTTTCCAGAGAGAAAAACCAGACGTGTCAGAAGTCCAGGAAAGGACCTTTCAGAAACTAGTCTCTGAGCAGCACATCTTCTTTTGTTCAAGAAAGGGTAGGAAGCACAGTGTCGCTAGAGGGCAGGAGCAGAACAGAGGAAGGAGAGGGGTGGTGCCACCGGGCTTTGTTGTGGTCAAGGAATCTCTTGTATTCTAATTGAAATTGGAAGCCCTTGGTGACATTTGATGCATGTCACTGTACTTCATTTTTATTGCTGTGTAGTTTTCTGTTGTATGAATATCCCAATATGTATATACCTGTTCTAGATTTGATAGGCATTTGGTAATTCTGGGGTTTGGGCTATTGTGAATAACTCTACTATGAACATTATTGTTCATGACTCTTGGACATAAGTACCCACTTCCTTCCAGTGTATGCCTAAGAGTGATTTGCTAGGTCATAAGATGTACACGTATGTGTGTATATTTGTGTGTGTGTTTATCTTTAGTAGGAACTGCCAAAATATTTTATAAGTCACTCAAACAATTTATCCTTTTACCAACAAGGTAAGAAGTTCCAGTTGATCCAAATTCTTGCCAAACTCAGTACTTTAGGCCTTTTAAATTTTAGACATGATGGTAGGTGTATAGTGGCATTATTGTTTCATTTACATTTATCAGGTGACTAATGATGTTGAGGACTTTTTTATATGATTAGCATGCATGCAGATATCCTCTTTTGTGAAATAGATTTTCAAGTATTTTGTCTATTTTTATTTGGGTATCTGTCTTTTTAAGTTGATTTCTAGGAGTTCTCTATATATTTTGGATATTAGTATCATCGAATATATGTATTACACATATCTTCTCTCAGTTTCTGGATTCCTTTTACAAAAGATAATTATAGTAAAATCTGCATACTGTGAAAAGCAAGTTTGTAATGTACACTCCAGTGTGTTTTGATAAATGTTTATATCCATTCAAAATATAGAAAAGTTCCGTTACTACAGAAATTTCCTTTGTGTCCCTGTCAGTCACCATGCAAAAAATCATACCGCTGTTGCGATTTCTATGACCATGTATTTGTTTGGCTGTTCTTGAACTTTATATATAAATGAAGTCATACACAGTATGTACTTGAGTATGTCTGGCTTATTTTATTCTGCATAGTATTTCTGGTAGTCAGTCATGCTATTGCATGTATCACAATGTGGTTTTTTTTTTTTTTTTGGTCACCTCCATGTAAACTAAATGTATTCTTTTATTGGTGAGTAGGATTCCATTGTAGGAATATGCCACAGTCACTTTATTCATTATCCCTTGATGAATTTATGGTTTATTTCCAGTTTTGCTTATTACTAAGAGCAACTATAAATATTCTAGTACAAGAATTTTTACGATTATTTTTTCATTTTGCTGTGAGGAATTACCTAAAGTGGAATTGCTCTATTATGAATTAAGTGTGTGTTAAAGAAACTGTGAAAAGTTTTCTAAGTGGCCGTGTGACCCTCCTCCAGGCAGGACTTTAGAGTTCCAGTTGTTCCACGTCATCTCCAGCGTGCTCAGGCCTTCATCTCAGCCTTTCTCATGGGTGTGTGGTACTTTCTCATTGCACTGCGGACTTTGACTGCATTTTTTGCTGTTTGACTCCTGACAGTCTCACCCTTCCCTCTTCCCCCTATGCCCCACATGTGGGCAGACAAGAAATGCTGCTACTCCTTTCCTTTGGTGCCCATGGAAAGGAGATTCAGCCCACGCAAGTCCTTGCCCTCATGTGAGGCCTCTCACCCCAGACCACCCCTAACCACAATAAAATCCCAGAGCAGTCTCTTTTTCTTGCTCTTTCAAGTCATTTTGGATCTGCTCGAGAGTCCTGCCCTGGGCTTCCCAGAGAATTCAATTATGTCAGCAGTGAACCTTTTCGTATCTCTTGGTGTGTGTGGCATCGTCAGTCTCAACATCTGGGCCAAGTTTTGAGTGGAGGTCCCTCCTGCTTTTTTGGGGTGACCATGGCACTCACTGTGGTTTAATATGTTTCTCTGATGATTGGTACCATTGGGCACTTTTCCATACACTTGCATTCCTGTGTGAGGGTCTGTTCAAGCCATTTTCCCACTTATTTGGTTTGCCTGTCTTTTCTAAATTTAAAAATATTTGTTAATTCAGTCAAAATGACAATAAATCACATTTATAAAAATTACCTTTTTTAATGAAAAAAACTATATTTCCCAAAACAGAAATTGCATTGACAAGTTGTGTTGTTTTACATTCTTACACATCTCCTAAATGTCTGTTTCAATGGAAAATAGCTGACTTCTCATATCTACTTCTGCATTCATTATTTTTATTATTAATATTTGAGACAGAGTGTCACCCTTCACCCAGGCTGGAGTGCAGTGGTGCCACCTTGGTTCACTGCAACCTCTGCCTCCCGGGTTCAAGTGATTCTCGTGCCTCAGCCTCCCAAGTAGCTGGGATTACAGGCATGGGCCACTATGCCCAGCTAAGTCTTTATATTTTAGTAGAGATGGGGTTTCACCATGTTGGCCAGGCTGGTCTCAAACTCCTGGCCTCAAAGTGATCTACCCACTTCAGCCTCCCAAAGTGCTGGGATTATAGGCATGAGCCACTGCGCCTGGCCTATTATGTTTTGACATGTGGTTTTGATTGAAGTATATGAAGAAAATCTCACTTCACGTAGACCTTTAGTGGGAAAATGGAGTTTAATAGACTTTCCTGAGGATTTTCCTCTTGGATGTCAGACCAAACTCAACAAGTGATAGTTTTTGAAAGTTAGCTGCAATGTGGAGTCTGAAATCTTGTCAGTGAACTTTTTGTACACTTTTACATTAATATCCATTGATTATCTTGCACTTTGGCTCTATTTTCCTTGACATATTTGAAAATATTTTATGACTGAACTATGCAGAATTTTCAAATATTGACATTTCATACACTATCCATAAATCACATTCATTCATTTCACCACAGATCTCCTTAGAAACGTTAAGTCATCAGAACTTCTGAAGCTCACCTTCTGAATACTTAATGATTCCAAAGTTTTCCAAAGTTCTAATTTTTGCTTGAAAACATGAATTCTGTTAGTGGCAACAGTGATGGACTTGCATCCTTCATTTTCAAGACAGCTTCTGCTAACTATTCTAATCTGAAAAATCAGTTTGTCCACCCATCATTCTTTCAAACCAAATGCTGTTCCATGCAGCTGGTCCTGCCCAGACTCCCGAGCGCTGTGCCTTGAGGCAACCATCATGCTACAATACGCAGCAGCGAAGCTTTGTGGACTCCATGCATTTCATCACTCAGAATACTAAAGAGGCATTTTTTATAGGGGCAGGATGAAGAAGACTAATAAAAGTAACTATCTTTAGTGCCTCGTTTTCAGGACATTCTTTTTTTTTGAGATGGAGTCTCGCTGTGTCACCCAGGCTGGAGTGCAGTGGTGCGATCTTGGCTCACTGCAACCTCTGCCTCCTGGGTTCAAGCAATTTTCTGCTTCAGCCTCCCCAGCAGCTGGGATTACAGGTGTCTGCCACCATGCCCGGCTAATTTTTGTATTTTTAATAGAGATGGGATTTCACCATCTTGTCCAGGCTGGTCTTGAACTCCTGACCTCGTGATCCACCCGCCTCAGCCTCCCAAAGTGCTGAGATTACAGGCGTGAGCCACCGTGCCTGGCCGTCCAGGACATTCTTAAGAGAAATTGCCTTTTTTTCTTTTAATCCCCAGTGTGTGGCAGGGAAGAATGCTACCACTACTAATTTGGTGCTGGTGCCCCTGCCTTGATCTGTGCCCTGGTGCCAGCCATTTTCTGTCATGCCTTTTGCACCCAGAGTGCAAATATAAACAAAGTTGTTCCAGAACAACCATGATATTCAATAAAGTTATTTAACTCTGAATATTTATCACTACTTACATTTGTTGCTGAGCATTCACATTAAAAAAAATCCTTTGAAGAGTAGTGGGTGCTGATACAAGTCCAGCCAGGTCTGTAGATTTGCTCATTTGTTCGGTGAAAGTCAAATTCTATAAACAAGATACCAGCTCAAACCATATGTTTGCAGTTGAATCTTTAACTTGATGAGTCAGAGTAACATCAGAAGTGGCACTGCCCTGATTTTTCCTGATGTTTCACCCAGTGGGCATTCAGCAGTGTCAGCTACTCAAGAGAAATTGTCCACGTTAAATATGTGCAATTCCTTGTGTGTCAATTGTAACTCAATGATGCTATGAAAAATAAATTTTAAAAAGAGTTTTTTACTGTTTCTGCTTCTGTGTGGGCTTCTCCAGCCAAAGCACTATGATAATTTACCCTGTAAGAGATTTCAGTGAGTTTCATTTCAAGTTAGAAAAGCTGGAACAATTTTTCACTTTTGAAGAGCTCATAGTACATACATTTAAAATATTCCATTTTTTTTCTTTAAACACTGAATGATTAGTCTCAAATGTTACCTGACTTTTTTAAGTGATAATTTATTTTTTGATTCTTGATACAAGTTATTTAACAAATACCAGGCCGGGCACAGTGGCTCATGCCTGTAATCCCAGCACTTTGGGAGACTGAGGTGGGTGGATCACCTGAGGTCGGGAGTTCAAGACCAGCCTGACCAATATGGAGAAACCCTGTCTCTACTAAAAATACAAAAAAAATTAGCCAGGTGTGGTGGTGTATGCCTGTAATCCCAGCTACTCGGGAGGCTGAGGCAGGAGAATCCCTTGAACCCAGGAGGCAGAGGTTGTGGTGAGCCGAGATCGTGCCATTGCACTCCAGCCTGGGCAACAAGAGCAAAACTCCGTCTCAAAAAAAAAAAAAAAAAAAAAAAAAAAATATATATATATATATATATATACATATATATATATATATATATCTCAGTATTGCAGCTACAGTGTATTCTTTATCTCTGTTACTTGCATTTTTATTTTCTTCCTTTAAAATTTATTTTATTTTATTTTTTTAGAGATGAGGTCTTTCTATGTTGCCAAGCTGGTCTTGAACTCCTGGGGTCAAGTAATCTTCCCACTTTGGCCTCCCAAAGTGCCGAGATTACAGATGTGAGCCACCATACCTGGCCCATTTTTATTTTCTTCATGGTGCTTTTGCCTTTAGATGAAGAGAAGATTTTTAAATTTTCATAAAGTCCTATTTATAATTTTTGAGGAGTTAGTGCTCTTTTAATGTTATAAAGCTATTTCCCTTCTACCTTTTAGAAGTGCTTAAATTATGTTGGGCCTAAAGCTACCTCTTTTTGTATTTTAAATTTGAATCAAAAGGTCTCTCCATACATAGTGAACTGGAACAGATTGTAACCTACTCTTGTGCCAAAGGCTGCCAGCTGTTCAAACCATGTTCAAATAAGGCACATGCCAAACTGTAACCAGTCCAATTCTGTATCTCTCTTTTGCTTTCTGTAGGTCACTTTCTTTATTCTGTCCATAAATCCTCCCCCACCGTGCAGCAGCAAGGGAGTCGGTTCAGGGGCTGCCTGATTTGCAAATCGTTCTTTGCACAGTTAAACTCTGCTCAAATTAATTTGCCTGAAGTTTTTCTTCTAACAAAGCTTAAAAGACATATGTTTTATGCTTAGGTCTCTAATCAATCTCTAATTTTAAGTATGGTATGAAGCAGTAGTTCAGGTCCATTTCTTTCTGTATGTTTATTCAGTTTCCCCAGAAAAATTATTGATAAGAATCTTATTTCCCTCATTAAATTGCATTATTACTTTTGACAAAAAACAGCCAACTACGTATGTGTGAGTCTGTGGATTCTCTCTTCTGTTTCATTTTTCCCTTTGTCGGCTTTGCGTGAGCAGACAACTATCACACTGTTGGGATTACTGAAGCTATCCTAAGTTTTTGAATCTTTATATAAATGTTAGGACCAATGTTTTAATTTGTACAAAAATGCATGTTGGGATTTTGATGAGAGATTACATTGACTCTATAGATCTACCTTGTGCAAATTGAAATTTTAACGATATCCAGTACCTGATCTTTGTAAGTAGTGTATCCTTCCATTGATTGGTGGTTGTTGTTGTTGTTGTTGTTGTTGTTGTTGTTGTTGTTGTTTGAGACTGAGTTTCACTCTTGTCCCCCAGACTAGGGTGCAATGGCATGATCTTGGCTTACTGCAACCTTCGCCTCCCAGTTCACGTGATTCTCCTGCCTCAGCCTCCAGAGTAGCTGGGATTACAGGCGCCCGCCACCACGCCCATTTTTGTATTTTTAGTAGAGACGGGGTTTCACCATGTTGGCCAGACTGGTCTCGAACTCCTGACCTCATGATCCACCTGCCTCAGCCTCCCAAATTGCTGGGATTACAGGCGTGAGCCACCGCACCCAGCCATTTTGTTGTCTTTATCTGAGAAATGTTTTGTAGTTTTCAGTTCAGTGTATGTGTTTTGCATGTTATTTGTTAAATTTATTCCAAAGTGTTTTATACTTTCGATGCTATTTATTTCATTTTGCAAATGGGTGTTGCTCTTTAATAAAACACAATTGATTTTATATGCAGAACTTTTATACTCCAAACTTGTTTAATTCATTCACTAGTTCGTGTAGATTTTTGTAGATTTCTTTGTTTTTCATATACACAGTCAAGCTATCTGCAAATGAAGATGGTCTTCTTACTTTCCAAACTATCTTAGTATTTTGTTTCATCTTTTTTCCTCGTTGCACTGGCTAGGAGCTCCAATACAATGTGGAATAGAAGTATTGGGAATAGAAATCCTCCTCCTGTTCCCAATTTTAGGAAGGACATATACAATAATTCATTATTAATTATAATATTAGCTGCACTGGGTTTCTTTGCAGACTTTTAAAAATCATATTGGGGAAATTTATTTGCTTGAAATTTTATTGTCATTAGTGGGTATTGAATCTCATCAAATGTTTCTTTGTACAACAGTTCAGATGATCATATGCTTTTTCTCCTTTATTCTATAAATGTGATTAATTCTTTGGACTTATTTTTAAATACTAAAGCAACATTGCATTCCTGGGATAAATCCCCCTTGGTCATGATATACCTTTATATATCTTTTACCTTTTGCATATGTTTATGCCTTTGATGGTGATGATGGTTTCTGGATGTATACTTACCCAAACTCATCAGGATGTATATGTTAAATATATACTGCTTTTTATATGTCAATTATGCCTCAATAAAGTGGCTTAAATTTTTTTTCTTTTTTTTTTTTTTTTGAGATGGAGTATCGCCCTGTTGCCAGGTTGGAGTGCAATGGCACGATCTCAGCGTACTGCAACCTCTGCCTCCCAGGTTCAAGCGATTCTCCTGCCTCAGCCTTCTGAGTAGCTGGGACAACAAGCACGTACCACCACACCCAGCTAATTTTTGTATTTTTAGTAGAGATGGGGTTTCACCATGTTGGCCAGGATGGTCTTGATTTCTTGACCTTGTGATCTACCTGCCTTGGCCTCCCAAAGTGCTGGGATTACAGGCATGAGCCACCATGCCCAGCCAAATTTTTTTAATTAAAAAAAACCCACATGAAATATCTTATGTGAGCACAACAGTATTATAATAAATTAGAACTCATTATATTATACCTTTTATATATTTCTATATTTATTTTCTCTATACTTATACCTTTTATATGTCTCTATATTTAGAGATTATACCTTTTACATATCTATTTATTTATTTATTTATTTTATTATTATTTTTTTTTTTTGAGACAGAGTCTCTCACTGTCGCCCAGGCTGGTGTGCGGTGGCACGATCTCAGCTCACTGCAACCTCCGCCTCCCAGGTTCAAGCCATTCTCCTGCCTCAGCCTCCCAAGTAACTGGGACTACAGGCACGCATCACCATGCCCAGCTAATTTTTGTACTTTTAGTAGAGACGGAGTTTCACAATGTTGGCCAAGATGGTCTCGATCTCTTGACCTCGTGATCTGCCCGCCTCAGCCTCCCAAAGTGCTGGGATTACAGGCGTGAGCCACCGCCGCCCGGCCCTTCTATATTTATTTTAAACATTTTATATATCTCTATATTTATTTTCATATATTTTATTATATATGATATCTCTACATTTTCATATATTTTATTATATATGATATCTCTATATTTATTTCCATATATTTTATTAAACATTTTTGCATCTCTTGTTCTTGAAGAATATTGGTCTCTATATTTACTTTGTGTAATGTATTGGTACCAAAGTTACACTGGTCACTTAAGTTAGAAAGCATTCTTTATTTCTAAAAATACTTTTACAAAATTGGTATTTCTTTCTCAAATGCTTCAAGAATTCACTAGTGAATTCACTATTGTTTTGAAGTTTTCTTTTTGGAAAGGTTTTTCATTATGAACTCTCTTCTTTAACATATATAGAACTACTTAGCTTTCTCTTCTATGTCAGGTTTAATGAATTGTGGCTTTCAAGAAATTTATTTTTTCAGTTATTTAATATATTGGCATAAAGTTACTCATAATATCTTATTATAATTTTTAATATCTGTAGGAATTGCACTTATGCCCCTATTTTATTCCTGGTATTAATAATTTGTGCTTTATTTTTAGGGATTTATTCATTTTAATGTCATTTTAAATGTTCAAATTTTGGTTTCAATTTTCTCTATTGAGTTTTTTCCTATTTTATTGACTTCTTTTCCTTTCTTTAGTATTGCATTACTTCTATTTATTTTTAGTTTATTTCTTCTTTTTCTAGCATCTTAAGTGAATCATTGTTTAATAATTTATTGTTTAAGCATTTTTCATTCAGTACTTCCTTAGATAGATCTCACATTTTTTGGCATTTGTTTTCATAATTGTTTAGTTCAATAAGTTTCCTGATGTCCATTGTAATTTCTCCTAGTAACCATGGATTATTTAGAAGTGTGTAATTTAATTGTAATGTTTGGTGATTTTTCTCAGTACCTGATCTCTAACTTATTTATTTATCTGTCTATTTATTTTTGAAACAGAGTCTTGCTCTGTCACCCAGGCTGGAGTGCAGTGGCACAACCTCAGCTCAGTGCAACCTCCACCTCCTGGGTTCAAGCAATTCTCCTGCCTTAACCTCCTGAGTAGCTGGGATTACAGGCGCCTGCCACCACACCCAGCTAATTTTTGTATTTTTAGTAGAGATGGGATTTCGCCACGATGGCCAGGCTGGTCTCAACACCTGACCTCAAGTGATGCACCTGCCTTGGCCTCCCAAAGTACTGTGATTACAGGTGAGCAACCACACCTGGCCCTGATTTCTAATTTATTATAATACTATTGTGCTCACATAAGATATTTCATATGGGTTTTGGTAATTAAAAAAATTAAGCCACTTTATTGAGGCATCATTGACATATAAAAAGCAATACATATTTAATGTATACATCCTGATGAGTTTGGGTAAGTATACATCCAGAAACCATCATCACCCTCAAAGACATAAACATATCCATCACCTCCCAAATTTCCTCCCACCTCCTTTATTATTATTTGTTTTTGTATGGCTTTAATATTTTAAAGTATATTGAAATTTATTTTTATTTCCCAGAATTCTGCCATTTTTACTCTGCCATTTTGTGGTGTAATACTCTATAAATGTCAGTTGAGTCAATTTGACTTGTTCAGATCTTTTACATTCTTACAGTTTTTTTAGTATTTCATTAATTACTGAGATAATGGCATTGAAACATCCAACTATGATGTGTGTTGATACAGTTTTTTATTTAGTTCTGACAGATATTGCTCACCGCATTTTGAAGCTGTTACAGATAAATGCACATTTAGAACTTCTGTGACTTTTTGATGAATTGACAGTTTTATCATTAGGAAGTCTCTTTCTCTGGCATTTCCGGTTTCTTCAAGTGTATTTTATTTGAAATGAATATAGTCACACAAGCTTTATTATGTTTAGTGTTGTGCATATCTGTGTCTATCTATTCAAACTGTATATGTTTTAGTATATATGTAGGTCTTGCTTTATAAATATAAAGCAAATAATGTCTGTATTTTATTTAGTTTATTTACATATAGTATAATTACTAATACAGTTTAGTTTAAATCTATCATCTTACTATTCGTTTTCTCTTTGCTCCATCTGATCATGTCCCAGGAATTCATGTCTACTCATGTCTTTTGCTTTGTTTTTATTTTTTGGTAAGATTTTCTTCACTGTTTTTAAAAGCTTATAGACACACACACACACACACACACACACACACACACACCTGATGTTAACCAATTATCTATGAACAGGTTACTAATATTTTTCAGATTTATATGCATTTTGACTTACATTATTTTCATCATGCAAAAGTTCTTTAGGTCAATTTTTAACAACTCTTTTCTTATTTTATATGAACTTTTTATCTTGGAAACATTACCCTTGACACTAGTTAACAAGTAATTCTCACATATTTTCTTCTAACCGTCTCTTGTGTAATTCCAGATAACTACATAAAGAGCTTTCTGATTTTTAAACACATGAAATTATTGGCCGGGCGCAGTAGCTCACACCTGTAATCCTGGCACTTTGGGAGGCTGAGGTGGGTGAATCACCTGAGGTCAGGAGTTCGAGACCAGCCTGGCTATCATGGTGAAACCCCGTCTCTACTAAAAATACAAAAATTAGCTGGGTGTGGTGGTGTGCGCCTGTAATCCCAGCTACTTGGGAGGCTGAGGCAGGAGAATTGCTTGAACCCAGGAGGCAGAGGTTGCAGTGAGCTGAGATCATGCCACTGCACTCCAGCCTGGGCCACAGAGCAAGACTTTGTCTCAAAAAAAAAAATAATAAAAATAAATAAATCAATAAATAAATACATGAAATTGTATCGTTTCATGTATTGATATACTCTGTGTATTCAATCCATAATTAATGGGTTGCCCTAGTCTTTTGCTACTACAGAAAATGAATGAACATTCATTGCAGTGAAAAGTTTATTACAGTGAATAACTTTTTAAATAAAAATTTTACACATATGCAAGTATACTTAGAGGATAAATTTGTGAATATGAAACAGTTGACTGAAATGGTAAGAGAAAAATGTACCTTTTGTAGGAAATGTTATGAAAGTACATTTTACCCAACAACTCTACCAACAGAAATGAATGGCTACCTTTTTTTAAGAAATCAGTCTTATTATGTTGCCCATAAATTTTTTAATTAAAATTTTAGTCTTAGTCATTCTAATTGTCAAAGAAATGGAATTGAAGTTTTGATTTGCATTTATCTCATTATACATATGTATGAAAATATGTTCCTCTAAGAGTCATTTTATTTTCTTTTTCTGTGAACTGTAACCTCGTACCCTTTGCACATTGTTTTCTATTGGGTTTTTGTTTTATATCTTGATCATTTTTAGAACCCAAAAATATTGAAATTCGCCCTTTGTATCTGGTAAGAGTTGCAGATTTTCCATTCTTCTCTTACCAGTTGTCATTTGAATTTGTTCATTGTGTTTCTTCTACTTAGGAATGAGGTTCACTAATGAATATTCTAGTGCCAGAACATTTCAGCGAATTAACAGAGGAGAAACAGTATGATTAGAAAATCACTACTTTGTAACTCTAATGAGGACTATGTCTAAGCAACAAACATGAATGAATACCAAGCATTTAACAGGTTGATGAGGAATCTGTATAACGGATGACTCAGGCTGATAATACTTGGACCCAATAATCAATTTTAATATCACTAAACAGATATTGTGCTTTCTGTTTTGATGCAAAGGGAAGTACGCAGTACTATATATGAAATATTCTCAATAAGACAAAAATGAAATATATCAAATTTGTAGATACACTTAAAAGTCCATGCAAAATATAGAGGATGGAGATACAAGTAAAGTGAAACCATGAGTAAAACTGTCTGTCAAATCTAGATTATGAAAAACTTGGCAGGCCAGGCACAATTGTTCATCCCTGTAATCCCAGCAGTTTGGGAAGCCAAGGCGGGAGGATTGCTGGAGCCAGGAGTTCAAGACCAGCTTAGGCAACATAGTGAGACCCTCTCTCTACAAAAAAATAAAAATCTAGCCAGATGTGGTTGCTGACACCTGTAGTCCCAGCTACTTAGGAGGCGGAGGTGGGAGGATCACTTGAGGTTACAGTGAGCTATGATTGCACCAGTGCACTCCAGTCTGGGTGATACAGCAAAACCCTGTTCTAAAAAATGAAAAATTAAAAAAGAGAAAAAAAGAAAATTCTACAGTAATAGTGACATGATATCTTCAATTTGTAAATATAATAACAAAAAAAGAGAGAGGGCGGCCCAGCCCTCTCAGAGGAATAAGTAGCAGATTTATTGTTTCACCATCAACAATTGTCAAAGGGGAAGAAAATAAGCAACTGTGTCCAGGTTTTGAAAAACAGACAGTACAGACTACAGTTCCTTTTATTTATTTATTTTCTTTCTTCCTTTTATTTATTTATTGAAGACAGAATCTTGCCCTTTGGCCCAGGCTGGAGTGCAGTGGCTCCATCACAGCTCACTGTAGCCTTGACCTCCCGGGCCCAAACAATCTTTCCACTTCAGCCTCCTGAGTAGCTGGGACTGCAGGCACACGCCACCACATTTGGCTAATTTGTCGTAGAGACGGAGTCTCACTATGTTGGCCAGGCTGAATGACTATAATTCTTAAGTGAAGGGAACAGAGCCATGAGCCAGGAAATGGAGCCCAAACATAGAGCAGAGATCTTGTGGGATGATGAAACCTATCAGATGTTGGGGCTTTTGAAGTGGCTGAATTTTATGTGGAAAGTCACCAGAGAGGAAAGAATGGGGCAGGGAAGGATCCCCAGGATTGCATGCAGGTCATGTGATGTCCTGGTTGTACACTAAGCTGCACATGCACAAGGACACAAGGCAGGACCCTGAGAGCTCAGAGAGGATAAATCAGGGGCCGGAGCGAAAGGGAGAGGAGCACTTGGGGGTTGAATGGAGAATTCTAGATTGCACTGCTCCCAGATAGAGTTCAAGCAGCCAGAACAGAGACCATGCATGACTGTTTCTTTATATTTCCCATCGTTACGGTGTTTGTTCTTGTGTATAGTGTGGGAAACTAATCCGACTTTTTCAAATGGCTATGCCATTGGAAAAATAAATGGCTACATCATTTACTTAAAAATTCCCCTTTTTAGCCCAATGATTTGAGATATGAACTTTTTATGATTTACTAATTTTCCATAATATTTGGATTTTATTTGTGTGCTTGATTTTAGTTCTATCTCATTCATCTATTTGTTTAGTCGTGGGCCATTATTATTGTTTTAATTATATAGTCTTTGCAGTTGGCTTAATATGTGGTGATGTTAATCCCCCTCGTTTCTCTTGATAGTATTTTTCTACCCTTGTGATTATTTTTCCATATGAACTTCAATATCAACTTGTCTAGATCCAAAAACCCAACCAAAAGAAACTACTGTTGTTATCTCAATTGGGATTGCATTGACTTCATATGCTAAATTACTGGAGAACTGACATACTGATGATATTGAGGCTTTCTATCCAAATGTCTCTACATCTGTTCAAGCCACTTTTATGTTTTTTAGAAATGTTTTACAGTGTTTTTTTGGTGTGTGTGTTGCTGTTTTTTGTATTTGAGACAGGGTCTTGCACTGTTGCCCAAGCTGGAGTGTAATGGCATGAAACAGCATCCTGCAGCCTCATCTTCCTGGGCTCAAGCAACCCTCCTGCCTCAGCCTTCCTAGTAGCTGGGACCACAGGTGTGCACCACCACGCCCAGCTAATTTTTTTTATTTTTTGTAGAGACAAGGGTCTCACTTTGTTGCCCAGGTTAGTCTCAAACTCCCAGGCTCAAGCAATCCTCCTGTTTTGGCCTCCCAAAGCATTGGGATTACAGGCATGCACCACAATTCCTGACCTACAGTTTTCTTCTTATGGGCTTTGTACATTTCTTGGTAAGTTTATTCCTAAGTATGTTTTATTGCTATTGTAAATGTAGTTATCTCTGCCCTTATAGCTTCTGACTGTAATTTGTATGTGTGAAGGCTATTTATTTTTGTACAATTGTCTTCAAATTTTTAATATGTATTTTAAATTGCTTTGCCAAAGATATCAACACTTGATCCCCATTAGCATTATAGGAAAATTTATTATCTTACTGGACCTTTTCATTTTTGAAGCAGATTAATTTGGAAACTTTTACAAATTGATGAGCAAAATTATTTGTTTCCATTTGAATTGATTTAATAACTGAAAAAGTTATTTTTCATGTTTTTATCACTTATAAACCTTCTATAAATTTATCTTTAATTTCTCTTTTCCACTTTTCTGTTTCAGCCTCCTGGTATTTTTAAGGAAATGTAAGAGTGTGAATCAGGTACTGATGGTTTTGACTTCATTATGATCAGCATCTTTGGCTTCCATCAGAGTAGACACTGAACGTTTTCATCCAACCGGATGATGAGTGCATTAGTGAGTATTTATTTAGTTCATAATACATGTTCCTGCCACACTCCACTGTAATTTGTTTCAGACTGACTAATGTAATGAGAAATCTTACCAAATATAAATGGCACTGCAGATCAAAACCCACTTGATTTTTCTCATTTTATTCTGGGTTCTGGAGAGAGACTAATTATTACTGCCAAAATAAATGTGTGTCATAAATGAAGGCTTATTTGCTATGGAAATACTCATTATTTCCTATTGGCCTACATCATATCCCAAAATTACCTGTGAACATTGAGAGGGATAATTGGTTACCATGGAACTTTCCAACATGATATTTAATATAGTTCTATTCTTTTCGTATTCCCTTTTAAAGGAACTACATAAGAGATGAAATCCTTTCTCCCTGGGACATGTATCCTTTTGTGTTCTGCTTTTAATTTGATGTTTTTCAGTCTTTTCAGGCTGAAATATAATATTTGTATCATTCTGAGAGCCTGTAACACCATGCTTTCCAGCAATACAATTATGGAAATTTTTTTCCTCTCTCATATTGACATTGGGATTTGGAGGAACTTACTGCTACTCCTGATGCCTATTTACACCTTTTTGATATGTCCCCAGCAGAAGAAGCCCATGGGCTTGCTTTTCCTTCACTTGTCTGTTGCTAATACGATGACACTTCTCCGCAAAGTTATTCCATTGGCAGTAAAATCTTTCAACACTAAAAATCTTTTGAATTATACTGGATGTAGGGAATTTGAATTTTTATATAGAGTATCTTGGGGACTTCCCCTATGTACGACATACCTCCTAAGCATGGTGCAGGCCCTCCGTGGGAGCCCCAGCAAATCCAGGTGGACGTGGCTGAAAGACAAAATGCTCAAAACACCACTGTGCTTCTTCTTACACTCTGGGTCATCAACAGTCTCATCTACATCAAGCTTGTGCCATTTGTTGACACTATCAAATATGGCAGTGTCACCAAGAATCTCTCCATAAAAATGTGTTTAGCTACACCACACATGGGCAACACAATTGCTGTCTCTCATACGAGTGTTATCACATTCCAGGACTTAATTTTTCTGGTTCTCATGAGTTGAGCCAGTGGCTACTTGGTGATTTTCCTTCACAGACACCAGAAAAATAATCCACATCTTCACAACAACAGCTGTTCCTCTATAGCCTCCCATGAGACCGGAACCATCACGACTGCGCTGCTGCTTATGATTTGCTTCGTTGTATTTAATGTGAGCAACTCGTGCCACAGCATTTACCTAAGTACGGTGAAGAAAAGGGATCAGTTGTGGACCATCTCAGATTTGATTTCCTCATGTTACCCCATTTTTTGGTCCATTTTTGCTCATTGGTAGAGAAAGTCTTATCCTGAATTCAAAATCTATGAAGTAGAGAAAGTCGTCTTATCCCATAGATATGTCAAAGTAAACTTTCACCAATATAAACTTTTTCCAAAACAACATTCTATAAAGAGTTGGTATTCTGAAGAAATGATGGGATTTAGGTCTGAAAAATGAGATATTTCTCAGTTCACTGCATGAAATATAATCTAATGACCTTTACCTTCAGTAAAGACAATATTGCATAGCTTAGTATTTAATGTTTGTATACATAGATATAATCATTTAATAGACAAGTAGATAGATAATTTTTCATGTCAGATGTTATAATGGACTTCTTGCACTAGTCATTCAATATCCATATTTTTCTTACTTTAATTTGTGTTCAGCATGAAAAATCATTTCAAAAGGAGATCAGGGACTCCAGGAAGCAGAGCGTAACTCCCCACTTCTAAACTGTGGGCTTCACATAATGACATCCTACCAAGAAATCAGTATAGCAAAGGAGGAAAAAGAGTAACTTCGCATTGGAGAAACCTAACAAACACTGTCTCAGCCAGGTGATCAAGGCCACTGTGAGCAGTGATCAGTCAAGTCGAAAGTGCATATCATATGACAGGATGAGAATGGCATTTTACCTCGACATCTTCCCTCCCAAAACTAATAATCCTACTACATCAGACAAACCTCAGCTGAGAAACAGTTTCCAAAAACACCTGACTAGTACCCCCTAAAACCATCAAGGTCATCAAGAACAATGTAGTCCTGAGAAATGATCACAGCCGGGAAGAACCTAAGGACTTGGTGTCCTTTGGTATCCTGATATGGAATCCTGGAGCAGAAAAGGACATTAAGTAAAAACCAAGGAAATAGAAATAAAGTATAAACTTAATAATATATCAATATTAATTCATTAATTGTGACAAATGTAACATAGTAATGTAAGACATTAAAATGGGGAAAATTGGGTATGATGTGGAGGAGAACTCTGTGTATTCTATTTGCAACTCTTCTGTAAATGTAAACCTATTTGAAAATTAAAAATTTATTTTTTAAAAAGAAAATTAAGAAACCTATATACTTAAATTTGAGGAAACAAAAATTACTTTCCTTGCCTAAAGTATGTGTTCTACATTTTAGGATTTACCTGACATCCTAATGAATAGACTTTTTTAATGTATACAATCTTATGTCACTAATTTAAATGTAAATGTTTAAGAGTTACAAGGTTCAGTCTATTAATTTTATTAACTTGGCCCTTGAAGAAGACTCATATAAGAAAGAGGATGTTTTGACCTGAATTATTTCTATACAAAGCACTCTTTGATGAGGACAGTACACACTTCATATAATAACCAGCACAAAATAAAATTCCAGATAAATATTCATACTATCAAGCATGTAAGAAAAAAAGCAACGCAGGCTTCTGCTTAATATGCTAAAACTTTCTAAGATTTCCCAGAGCCAAGCACATTTGTCTGAAGTTCAGTTTTTAAAAGTTATTTTAACTCTGTCCCCAGCTGACACGGTTGATGAGTTGGAAATGTCATAAATGAAGTCATATTTCAGCAAGTACACTAGGAACGGAAGAGATAAAGATCACAGCAAGTTTAGTGATGAAAATTTAACTCCATTTGGTACTGTGTCTCAAGTGTTAAGCTAAAATAGAAATATTGTTGGTTCATCAACATAACATTATTTTGGTTCCCTGACCCTCTGCTATGTAAACAGCCCTTCCATTTTGCACAAATGCATGCACGCATGTAAATCTAGAGAAGAGAAGATGATGGTGGTTGCTACGGGTGAGTTGGAGAATTGAGTCTCAGAATTTGGGTACAGGGACTCCTGGTTTTTAAAAGAATGGATTGGGGGAGAAAATTTGAATTTTTAGTCTCTTTTTGTAATACTTCAGGATCTTAAATTCTAATGTCATAAACCCACCTTGAATTAATTTGGGTAAAAGATGACTTTGTTGACTCACAAAAGTCAGAGGAAGAACAGAGCAGCTATAATGTAGGAGGGTGACAAAATAATTTGGGTTAAAAGTAGAGCTAGATATTGGCTGTTGTTATTTCCCAGCTTTACTTCATTTTTTTAATGATACAATATTCTAAATTCCCAGGAAAAATTTCCAGTTGGCCCCTGATGGAAAAGTGCTCATGTGAGGTGCATCTAGCTGTAGACAGGGAATAAATTCATGTCAGAATCTATTACACCAGCAGGAACCATTTTGGTCAGGTGGAAAATTACCAGATGGGGCTTACCATCTCACAGAGAAAGAGTCTTGGGGTGATGTTCAGGTAATATACAGGCAATGTCTAATTTAGAACTTAGTAGAAAAATTGGCCAGGCGCAGTGGCTCATGCCTGTAATCCCAGCACTTTGGGAGACTGAGGCTGGTGGATTACTTGAAGTCAAGAGTTCAAGACCAGCCTGGCCAACATGGTGAAACCCTGTCTCTACTAAAATTACAGAAATTAGCTAGGCATGATTACAGGTACCTGTAATCCCAGCTACTTGGGAGGCTGAGCTGGAAGAATCACTTGAACCCAGGAGGCAGAGGTTGCAGTGAGCCAAGATCACGCCGCTGCACTCCAGCTTGAGAGACTCCATCTGAAAAAGAAAAATCAGAGGCTAACCCATATGACAACTTTGTCTTATTGGAGCTATTGATGAATGTCTGAGTTTTGACATACTTTGGCAATGATGGAGATCTTGTTGCACTAACAGTGCAAGTTGAAGGCCGTATGACATAGTGTGAGGGGAAAAGTTCCTTTCTCCAGTTCAGACCATTTTACTTGAGTCAGTCAAGTGCATACACAAGGGGTTTTACAGAAATAAAAATAATCTCATTTATGTACTCGCAATATACTTATTAAGTTGTTGCCATACTTGAGGCCTGTTCTAGGAACTGGTGATACAATGATGAACAAGATAGGTTAGGTCCTTTTCCACATGAAGAACACATTTTAGTTGGTGAAACAGACAATAAAAAAGGAAAACCTATGTGCATTGTAGAGATTGTGACAACTTTTACATGAAAACAAAAATACACAAACTATAAAAGAAAGGGGAAAGGATTTTGCTATAAAATATTAGATACCTTTGAGGGACTAAAACAACCCAAATCAACTAAGAAAATTTATTCACAGTTCATATGTATGATAAAAAAAAGCTCTTCCAAGCTGATGAAAAGTCAAAAATCCACTTGAAAAACTGCAAATTATGTGACTAGCACCCAAATATACAGATATATAAAGCATATATTGACAGATCCAAAGGGAGAAATTGAGTGCAATACCATAATAGTAGGAGACTTCAATTCTCCACTTGTAATAATAGAATATCCAGGCAGAAGAGCAATACAGAAACAACTGACTTGATCAATGCTATATTCTGAATGGATCCAACAGACACATACAGAACTTCCCACATAGTAGCAGAATACACATTCTTCCCAAATGCCCACAAAACTTTCCTAGGATCACATTAGGTCACAAATCTTAACCAATTTTAAAAAGTTGAAAATCGGCCGGGTGAGGTGGCTCATGCTCATAATCCCAGCACTTTGGGAGGCTGAGGCAGGTGGATCACAAGGTCAGGAGTTCGAGTCCAGCCTGGCTAATATGGTGAAACCCCGTCTCTACTAAAAAATGCAAAAATTAGCTGGGCATGGTGGCGTGCGCCTGTAGTCCCAGCTCCTTGGGAGGCTGAGGCAGGAGAATCGCTTGAACCTGGGAGGCAGAGGTTGCAGTGAGCCAACATTGTGCCACTGCACTCTAGCCTGGACAACAGAGTAAGACTCCGTCTCAAAAAAAAAAAAAAGGTTGAAAATCATACCGAGTATCTTTTCCTACCGCAATGGAAGAAAATTAGAAACCAATAATGGTTAGAAAACAGGAAAATTCACAAATAGATGGAAACTAAATAATACACTCTTGAGCTACCAGTGGGTCAAAGAGAACATGAAAAGGGAACTTTAAAAATATCTCAAGATAAACGAAAATGTTTAAATGAATGATGTTGAATCTCAGCTGCTTGCCTGACACTGGAACTAAACTTAATAAGTAGTCTATGAAGCTGACTTCACTGCCTGCCCACTTAACTGACTGAGTGACTAACTTTATCACCAATCATTTCTGACCTGATGGTCAGGATGACAGCCTGCTGGGTTGTGTAACCCACCCAGTCAGAGAAGTCAGGGGGTGTTGTCAGAGCAAGTTGCTGCCTGTGCTGCTGCTTCATGCCTGGGCTCCTCTGCATTCCAGATCCATGCCTATCCGCTCGCTTGAGCACACTTACAGATGCTAGGATCAGGTAACCAGCAAATAAATATTCTGAGATGCCTCCAGCCCCTTCCTAACCTAAGAACCATCAGTGACCTGCAGAGAGTCCATGAGCCACTGAGTTTGCGCATGTTGCTGTGGTGAGAGCTTATGGTTTCCATCAGATTCTTGATGTCATTGCTAACTTAAATGTCCCAAAAATGTCAAAAAAAAAACACTACTCAAAAGAGACTCCTGCCAAAAAAATGCTCGTGAATATCTACATTGCCACTGCACTGTACTCTGCTGCTCTTTGGGGTCAAATGAGGGGGAGAAAGAGCAGGACTCTGAGTTGACCCCCAAGCTCCACTTGGAGCTCTGTTGTTCGGGGTGGCCTCTGATTCTCGTTATTCCCACTCAGTGTCCAGGAGGGGAGGTGTGGGCTGAAGTCTTCCAGAGAAAACCCAGGAGAGCCTGACAGCCTGTCTTGCTGACGGCCTCCTTATTCCAGCTGACTGTGACTTCTCCCTTCATGACAGATACTCTTCACTCTCAACTCAGGGAAAAGGACCCTGACAGGACACCCTCCTGTTGGAGCTAACAGATGTGCACCTTTGAGAATGATCATTGAGAAGGTAATTTAGATAGATTTCTGTCTCTGAAAATGTCCGTTCATTGTGTTGTAGAATTACACTCGTGTGTTTGTGCTCTGCATAGCAGTGTGTGCATCCTATAGTCTTTGCACAGAAGTGTATGTGTCTGTAAAAACATAGAGTGTAATGTCTGACACATAGACACTGAGTAAACTCAGAGTATGACTTAATAACATTTAATCTTTACTTATGAAACTTGTTACTCTTTTTTAAATATAATATTTTTTGTAAGAAGCAAGTATGAATATGAGTATCAACTTGACCTGTTTCACTGGATAGCACCAACTCAGGGTGCTCACACAGGAGCTGTAGAAGGAATCCTTTACCTCTTTCTTCTCCTAACCCCCCAAAACAAAAACTGATTCCTTTCCATTTTTGCCTCTTAGGTACCTAACATTTTTCCTTTCTTCTCTTTATCCCTGAGGCCATCATCTTATTCCAGCAACCTCAGGACTTATTTCAGAAGCCTCTTAACTGCTTCTAATCTTAATTCTTTCAGTCCACTGTTTGCACAACAGCCACAGTGATTCTAAAAGGCTCAATACCTGTGACTACCACTCTGCTGATGACAGTATCATACCGAGCTACTTGCACTCAAAAACAACTATCAAAATTGACAATATACGACACAATTGTTTTCAAGCATTGCACACAGCAGGCGTTTGGGGACAGTGATCCTTGAGGGAAGAGAAATGCATGATTTCAGTCCCTCTATCCTCTGTCTCTTTGCTTTGTGGACACTTTCCTGCTGTGGCACAATGAGATTAAGTTCAAATGGAGCAATGGTCTTGCTGAGCTGCTGAAGGAATTTGAATCTGGGTCAGGATTAAGAAATGGAATCTCCAGTATGTGGGAAGGAGAGGTGTGGCAAAAGCTTGTCTGGAATTTGTGCTGTTTTTACTCACAACACTTTGGACACCAAATGTGTGGGGGGTTTTCTCACACCAACCAATTATCCAACTCTCCAGACACCAAACACCTGTCCAGTGACTCAGTTCACTTCTGACACTAAGCTCCCAGAGTCAGCGTCAGACTCCACAGGAAACAAACTCAGTCCCACAAGTGCCCCCTCACTTCAGATGCCAGTTGCAAGTATTGAGTCCCCAGGTAACCCACATTTCTGTCCAGCGTGGCTACAAAGTCAGGGGATTCCCAAAGCACTGCACCCTTTCAGGTGTGATAACTTGCTGGAATGGTTCACAGAACTCAGGAAAACACTTTACTTAAGGCTTACTGGTTTATTCTAAAAGATGCAACTCAGGAACAGCCAGATGGAAGAGATGCATAGGGCAAGGTATGGGGGGTTCTGTGGAGCTTCCATGCCTCCCAGGCATGCCACCCTCTCAGCAGCTCAGGGTGTGTGTCACCCCAGAAGCTCTCTGAATATCATTGTTTGAGCATTTATAGAGGGTTCAATCTTTAGCACCCCTTATCCCTTCCCTGGAGGTTGGATATTAGGGCAGAAAGTTCCAACTCTCTAACAACTTGGTCTTTCTACTAACTAGTCCCATGCTAAGGCTGTCTTGGGGTTCACCCTAAGTCACCCCGTTACCATAAGCTCAGGTGTGATGAAAAGGGGTTTGTTATGAATGACATAAGATGCTCCTGTCACTCGGGATATTCCAAGAGTTTAGGAGCACGGTGTCAAGAACTGGGGAGAAAGAGCAGATTTTTTTTTGTATTATACCACAGTTTTCAACATGTAATAGTGAGCAAGAGCAAGTCTAATTACACAGGCTGAGGCTTCCTGAGCCCAGCAGAGGTCATCTGCTTGGGCTGAGAGGTATGTGAGCACTTCTGGCTACTCAGAGAGGAGAGACCTTAAGGAACACCTTGGCATTTCAATGAAACTATAGAAGAGTGAAGACTACATCTTAGCAAAAGGACCATGCCCTAAGATTAAGCTCAATGCCATCATAAACCCAGCCTATCAAAGTATGAACAAAGCCAGACAAAAAGGGTTTCCAGTAACTCAACTGACTGCCTGAACAAAACTCAAGGTCCTAGAGATGAATAAAAACACAATCCAGAAACCACATAACATCGCATCCCCACTGTCCAGCACACGGTCATGAACCAGTAGACCTGGGAACCTGGACAATGGAATCCAAAATCCTGGGAAGAAGTACCCATAAAAATACCTGAGAGGATACAGATCTTGGAATTAGCAGACAGATTTTGAAGGAGCTATTTTGAGTTTATGGACTTAAATATTATCATAAGGAGTGAGCAGATGGGAAATTTCAGTAAACTAAAAACTGTTTTTTTAAAAAAGGAAATCCTTGGCTGGGCGCAGTCGCTCACGCCTGTAATCCCAGCACTTTGGGAGGCCGAGGCGGGCAGATCATGAGGTCCAGAGATCAAGACCATCCTAGCTAACACAGTGAAACCCCATCTCTACTAAAAATACAAAAAATTAGCCGGGTGCGGTAGCGGGCGCCTGTAGTCACAGCTACTCAGGAGGCTGAGGCAGAAGAATGGTGTGAACCCAGGAGGCGGAGCTTGCAGTGAGCCGAGATCGCGCCACTGTGCTCCAGCCTGGACGACAGAGCGAGACTCCGTCTCAAAAAAAAAAAAAAAAGGAAATCCTTGAACTTTAAAGCTGAGTATTTGGAATGAAACATTACTGAATGGCTTATTTATGAACTTGAAGATAAATCCATAGAAAGTATCCAAACTGAAAATTGGAGAAAAGAATAGATTGGACAAATGTGAACAGAGCCTCAGAAGCACTAATTTCATAAATTATGAAACCTCTGTGTAATGAGACACAGGGGAAGGACTAATGGCAAAATCTTTAAAAAAAATAACGGCTAAAGATTCTCAAAATACAGTGGGAAATACCACCTTATAGACCCAAGAAGCTCAGTAAAACCCAAAGAAAGTAAATATGAGGAAAACCATATCTAGGCAGAACATAGAAAAACTTTTGAAAACCAGAAAGAAAAAGAAAACCTTAAATACTGAAAGAAGGAATAAAAAGGCAAGTTACACCATGGAGAACACCAAACAAATGACAGCAGGCTTCTCATCAGAAACAGTGGATGCCCGGCTATGAGGGAATGATGTCTTCAAATGATGAAATTTTTTAAAAGTATAAACCCAGAATTCTCTATCAAGGAAATTATATCTCAAAAGTTAGGATGAAATAAAAACATTTAAATAAATGAAGATATTTCATTGCCAGCAGATTTGCACTAAAAACAAAAAACTGAGATAGTTTTTCAATCTGAAGAGAAATCATATCACACAGCAACTTGGATACATAGAAATGAATGAAGAGCATTAGAAATGGTGAATATATGGATAGATTTTTTTTAAGACTACATTTTTCTTAGCTTTTTTGAAAGTTTAAGGCACAAATGACAGGATTATATCCATCATATGGGATTTATTAATATGTAGCTATAAAATATATCACAACAATGACAAAAAGGACAGTAAATAAGTGGAATTCTATTGTTGAAAGGCTCTTAAAGTGAAGTGGTCCAATTTTAACTCTAAATAGATTGCGATAAACTGAGGATACATATTGTAATCCCTAGCATAGCCACTAAAAAATGCAATGAAATATAATAAATATCCAATAAAATAATAAAAATGGAATATTTAAAAATATTTGATTAATCCAAAAGATGGCAAGAAAAGTGAAACAGAGGCCCAAATGAAAAACAAACAAAACACAGCGGGCAACTAGAAAATGAGTTTTTAGGTGGTAATCTTACACTTAATCATTTCAAGAATTGTATTCATACTGAAGTGGGGACAGTGGGCATTAACAACTGGTTATTTCAAGAGATAAAAGGTGATATATCACAATCTTAATACAGGTTAATTTCTCCAGGAAACACAATCATCATAAAGATGTTTATACCTAATAAGAGAACTTCAAAATACACGATACAAAAACTGAGAGAACGAAAAGAAAAAATAGACAAATCCACAATGTTGCTTGGAGATTTAACAAGTGTCATAGCGACATCTGTCAACTAGAGTAAACTATAGTGCCCTGTGTTGGTTAATTTTATCTGTCAACTTAACTGGGCCACAATGTGGCCAGTTGTTTGGTCAAACGCTATTCTGGGTGTTTCTGCAAGGGTGTTTTTGGGTGAGATAAACATTTAAATCGGTTGACTGAGTAAAGCAGATTGCCCTTCCTGATGTTGCTGGGCCCCATCCAATCAGTGAGAGGCCTGAGGAGAAGCAGAAGGCTGACCCGCCCCCAAGTAAGGGAAGATTTCTGCTATCTAATGACCTTCAAAGAAGGACAGTGGCTTTCTTTATTTCCTGCCTTTAGACTCAAACTGAAACATTGGCTCTTAGGATATCGAGGCTGCTGGCCTGTAGACTGGAACTATACCATTGGCTCTTCTGGTTCTTGGGCCTTAAGACTCACACTGGAACTACACCATCAGGTCTTCTAGGTCTCCAGCCTGCCAACTCACCCTGCAGATCTTGGGACTCTCCAGTTTCCATAATTGCATGAGCCAACTCCAAATAAGTAAATAGATAATAGATAAGTAACCAAAAATTAAACAAATATCAATTAAGTAAATATACATGTACACACACATATACAGAAATCACAGACACACAAACACACCTACATACACACATACCCTATTGTGCTTTTCTAGAGAACCCTGACTAACACATGCCCAGTTGCTTCAGCAAACACCAGCCTAGATGTTGTGGGGAAGGTATTTTTTAGATGTGATAAACATAGTTTGAGGCTTTGAGTAAAGTCCATTACATTCCACCCTCCATAGTATGGGCAGGCCTCATCCAATCAGTGGGAAGCCTCAAGAGAAAAGATTGAGGTCCCCCCGAGGAGAAAGGAGTTCTGCCTCCAGACTACCTTCAGATTCAAGACTGCAACATATACACACACATCATAATGGTTCTATTTCGCCTAACAATGCTAATCCAAAGTTTGCTACCAAGAATAGCTCTACAGGAAAAAAATCTTAAGAATAAATTTTCTGGATTGGCTCTGAGGTTTCTGGAATTGGTTCTCTAATCTGATTAGATTTAAAGACATCAATTACTCTATTTCCATTAGTGAAGAGAGCACTGGCATGATCTGGCAATAGAGACACACACAATGTCACCATTAGATACTCTTAATCAAAAGCTCATAAAAGACAAGCTACTGGGTGACCATATATTTAATATGTTATAATATTTTTTCAAACTAATGAATAGAATAAAATTTGCTAATTGCTTCTAATTGCATTGGGGAAAGAAAAGGATGAACTCAGGGATTCAGTACAAAGGGTGACCCATGAGGAGGTTCACTACAGATGGATAGATTGCAAAAAATTTCTCCCATTCTATAGGTTGTCTGTTCACTCTGATGATAGTTTCTTTTGCTGTGCAGAGGCTCTTTAGTTTAATTAGATCCCATTTGTCAATTTTTGGTTTTGTTGCAATTGCTTTTTGCATCTTTGTCACAAAATGTCCTGAATGGTATTGCCTAGATTTTTCTTCCAGGGTTTTATAGTTTTGAGTTTTACATTTAAGTCTTTAATCCATCTTGAGTTGATTTTGTAAGGAAGAGGTCCAGTTTCAATTTTCTGCATATGACTAGCCAGTTCTCCTAGCACTATTTATTAAATAAGGAATCCTTTTCCCATTGCTCGTTTTGGTCAGGTTTGTCAAAGATCAGATGGTTGTAGGTGTGCAGTCTTCTTTCTGTGGTCTCTATTCCATTGGTCTATGTGTCTGTTCTTACACCAGTACCATGCTGTTTTGGTTACTGTAGCCTTGTAGTATAGTTTGAAGTCAGGTAGCATGATGCCTTCAGCTTTGTTCTTTTTGCTTAGGATTGTCTTGGCTATTGGGGCCCTTTTTTGGTTCCATATGAATTTTAAAATAGTTTTTTTATAATTCTATGAAGAATTTCAATGGTAGTTTAATGGGAATAGTATTGAATCTATACATTGCTTTGGGCAGTATGACCATTTTCAAGATATTGATTCTTCCTATCCAGGAGCATGGATTTTTTTTCCATTTCTTTTTGTCATTTCTGGTTTCCTGGAGCAGTGGTTTGTACTTCTCCTTGAAGAGGTCCTTCTCTTCCCCTGTTAGCTGTCTTCCTAGGTATTTTATTCTTTTTGTGGCAATTGTGAATGGGAGTTTATTCATGATTTGGCTCTCTGCTTGCCTGTTTTTGGTGTACAGGAATAATTGTGACTTTTGCACATTGATTTTATATCCTGAGACTTTGCTGAAGTTGCTTATCAGCTTAAGAAGCTTTTGGGCTGAGACAATTGGGGTTTTCTATATATAGGATCATATCATCTGCAAGGAAAGATAGTTTTACTTCCTCTCTTCCTATTCGAATACCTTTATTTCTTTCTCTTGCCTGATTGCCCTGGCCAGAACTTCCAACACTATGTTGAATAGGAGTGGTGAGAGAGAGTATCCTTGTTTTGTGCCAGTTTTCAAGGGGAATGCTTCCAGCTTTTGCCCATTCAGTATGATATTGGCTGTGGGTTTGTCATATATGGCTCTTATTATTTTGAAGTATGTTCTTTCAGTACCTAGTTCACTGAAAGTTTTTAACATGAAGGGATGTTGAATTTTTTCAAAGGCCTTTTCTGCATCTATTGAGATAATCATGTGGTTTTTGTCTTTAGTTCTGTTTATGTGATGAATCACATTTATGGATTTGTGTATGTTGAACCACTCTTGCATCCTGGGGATGAGGCCATCTTGATTGTGGTGGATAAGGTTTTTGATGTGCTTCTGGATTTGGTTTGCCAATATTTTATTGAGGATTATTGCACCAATGTTCATTGAAGATACTGACCTGAAGTTTTCTTTTTCTGTTGTATCTCTGCTAAGTTTTGGTATCAGGATGATGCTGGCCTCATGGAATGCATTAGGGAGGAATCCCTCCTTTTCAACCATTTGGAATAGTTTCAGGAGAAATGATACCAGCTTTTTTTGTACCTCTGGTAGAATTCAACTGTGACTCCATCTGGTCCTGGGCTTTTTTTGATTGGTAGGCTATTTATTACTGCCTCAATTTTAGAACTCATTATTGGTTTATTCAGGGTTTCAATTTCTTCCTAGTTCAGACTTGGGAGGGTGTATGTGTCCAGGAATTTATCCATTTCTTCTAGATTTTCTAGTTTATGCACATAGAGGTGTTTATAGGATTCTCTGATGGTTGTATTTCCGTGGGGTCAGTGATGATATTCTTCTTATCATTTCTGATTATATTTATTTGAATCTTCTTTCATTTCTTCATTAGTCTAGCTAGTGGTCTATTTTATTAATTTCTTTAAAAAATCCAGCTCGTGGATTCATTGATTTTTTTTTTGAAGGATTTTTTTTGTGTGTCTCTATCTCCTTCAGTTCAGCTTGGATCTTGGTTATTTCTTGTCTTTTGCTAGCTTTGGGGTTTGTTTGCTCTTGGTTCTCTAGTTCTTTTTGTTGTGATGTTAGGTTGTTAGCTTAAGATCTTTCTAGCTTTTTGATGTGGGCATTTAGTGTATAAATTTTCCCTTGACACTGCTTTAGCTGCATCCCAGAGATTCTGGTACATTGTATCTTAGTTCTCAATAGTTTTAAAGAACTTCTTGATTTCTGCCTTAATTAATCAACAAGAGTCATTCAGGAGCGGGTTGTTCGATTTCCAGGTAGTTGTGTGATTTTGAGTAAATTTCTTAATCTTGAATTCTAATTTGATTGCACTGTGGTCTGAGAGAATGTTTGTTATGATTTCATTCCTTTCACATTTGCTGAGGAGTGTTTTACTCCTGATTATGTGGTCAATTTTAGAGTAAATGCCATGTGGCAATGAGAATAATGTATATTCTGTTGTTTCAGGGTGAAGAGTTCTGTAAATATCTATCAGGTCCACTTGATCCAAAGCTGAGTTCAGGTCCTGAATATCTTTGTTAATTTTCTATGCTCTCTTAACTAATACGGTTAAATCTTCATTGAGACCATTGACAAACATGGAGTTAAGTGCTACTTAAGTGGCATCAGTCTGTTCTTTTGAGAGACCAGAATTTTATTTAAATATTACTTTCTAGTTTGTTGGAATAACCATGAACTAGTCTGCCTTCTCGTTGAGCACAAGCCAAAATTTTATTCCAATCTACTGGCTTTGGAAAAGCCATGAGAATAACTTTAATTAATGTGTCAACCAATTCTTTGGCTTTTTCTATATCTTGGAGCAAATCTTGATTTAAATCATCATAAGAGGCCAAATGTGAGTGGTGGGTGCCTATAGTCCCAGCTACTCAGGGGACTGAGGTGGGAGGATCATTGAACTCAGGAGTTCAAAACCAGCCTGAGTAACATAGTGAGTCTCCATATCTAAAGCAATCAATCAATCAATCATCAGAAGGATTTTCCCATCCTGCCAATTTTTGCCCAATGTCTCCCTCCTCCTGGTCCCACCAGCAAATGTATCAGCTGATAGAAATTGAAAACTCTAGGACATAACTTGTACAGACTGTCGAGAATTCCTCGGCAAATCTGAGAGGTCCTCAGTCACCTTGGCAAATTATTTGGCTGTCGTATCACAGGCAACTCAGAACTGGACCAGAGTGTAAGATGCCACCAGTAAATTCTCTTTATTTGGGGAGTATTGGAAGGGGTATGTAGGAATTGGGACAGGGGTAGGGAAGGTCATCATAGGGATTGCTAGTCTAAGTTTTGGTTCAGCTGTTTTAGGTGGCTGTAAAGGGGAGGGAATAGGAATGTTGGAGTTCTGCCGGCGGGGCATATGATAAGGCTGAGCATGAACATTCTCCTGAAGATTTGATTATTATTTTTTGTGACAGTGTCTTACTATATTTAGCCCAGGCTAGACTTGAACTCCTAGGCTCAGTGATCCCCCCGCCTCAGTCTCCTGAGTTGCTGGGACTACAGGAACATGCGTGCCCAGCCTCCTGAAGATTTTTATCTCCTGAAGATTTTTATTTAAATGCTTGTTTTCTTTTACTAACTTAGAAACAGTGTCTTGGGAAAACTCTTTTAGATTTCATGGTCTTTTTTATGTGTATCCCTTCTGAATGCTAATTAAAGTATGCTTCCCATACATTCTGAGAAGTGCAAACCTTTTTATTTCCAAGATGTTATCTTTAAATATATATATATGTTTGAAAAGTTCAAATGAGCCTCCAAGGGGCCACTGTAACTCCAAACTCTGGTCCTTGTCTTTACAAACTGTGAATAGGTTTTTCCTGACCCACTGATGCAAAAGGACTCTTCTGCTAACAATTAAAGAATTCTTTATTTATGAAATAATCTGGCAAACAATTTATGTAATCTAAATAAGTTTCTATCGATGTGAGCCCTTGCTCTCTTGGGTGGTACAGTCTCTCATTGGTACCCAGGTTGCAACCCACATTCCTGAGTAAACACTTATTGGCCTGACCGGCTAATTCCTCCTTTTTATTACTAGGGAAGCCATGTGACTTCATCCTCCGTGGCTCTGGTGGTCTCTTCGACATCTGTGAGATACTCACTAAAAGCTGGTTGCGCTTTGAGATCTGGGCGCCTGCTGGAACCTGGAGCCACAAGTCTTCATTCATGCTAAAGAACTCCTGTCTTGGTGGAGGTATTTGCCTTTGTTTGAGTTTCTTGGTACTGCTCTCCATCTTTTTGCTTGCTCTTGCTTTGTTTTAAGTTCGGACAAGGTGAGAATGGGAGCCTCTGCTTCTAAGCAAATTGAAAGTCCCCTCTCTCCAGGGACTCCAGCTGGTTACATGTTTAAACATGATGGCCCTCTTCTTGTTCTTTTTATCTAAATGACACAATTTCACTAACCAGAGCTTGGAGTTACAGTGGCCCTTTGGAGGCCTTGTATAATGTGTTGTATACTGTTAAGAGCATGGCTGCTGGTGAAGAAAGTGTTTCTCATAGTTCCTTTGTGGGTCTCAGAGTTCCCTAGCAGTTCAGTATGGAGTCAGCCCTGATGACAGGACTCCCTGATGTCAAGCCTGCAACGGTGCTAAGCTCACGCTAGTCAGGCCCCTCTAAGCCCTTAAGGTACCAACCTGGGGCTCTGACCTTGGCCTGCTTATTCAAGACTCTGTTGAGTCAAATTAGGCAAAATTCCCACCACTACCAAGGTCTCTGATCATCCTTGATACCTGATCAAATTCCTCAGCCCCTACCGTCAATATCGTTATCATCCCGGCCCGCCGTTAGGAGGCCGCAGCGGCCCGGCAGATCCAGCTGTGGCTTGCAGGCGCCTCCCTGCTGCGGGCTAGGCCTGGCTCCTGCCTCTGCAGGGGCGATGCTTCCCGCGGCCGGTGGATGAGCCAGGAAAGCGGGGAGACCCCCAGTACTCCCTGCCCGGGGCCAGACAGCAGCGTTAGCAGCCTCTGTTACCTGGAGCTGTGTGACCTTGAGCGGCTCTGCACCCCCTCTGGGCCTGGGCCATCAGTTCTGACCCACAAACGACGGCCTGGGGTTCTGGGGAGCTTCTTGGCTGAGGGGGTTCTGGCTTTCGCGGCTCGGCTGCTGGATCGCCGAGATAGGCCGCGCGGCGCAGCCTGGACGCCCTGGCTCCACCCACAGCTCTGAGACCTCCAGCGAGCTCTTACCCTTTCCGCGCCTCAGTTTCCTCATCTGTAAAATGGAGATAATATCACCATGCACTCAGCCCTAGCCACTGCATTGCTGTTACTGATACCATTACTGCTGCTACGTCGTTTTTTTGATGGCTCAGCCCTTAGGGAAGGGGGATCAAGGGAGAAGCCCGGACCTTCCCGCAGGAGGTGGGCTGGGCACAGCCCTGAACCATGGAGGTCACCCACCCTGAGGTCGGGACCTGGGTTCCCTTCCTATCCACTGGGGGTCCCAGCCGTTGTCTTCATCTCTCCAGGTCCCAGCCCTTCACAGTGGGCACTTCCCTGCCTGTGACGGAGGCCCCAGCCATCTCCAAAAAAAAAAAAAAAAGGCTGTGTAGCCAGTATTTATGGACGCTAAGTTGCTTATTAAAAATTATCCCATTGAATCCTACCAAGCAGGTAATTTACTGTACCCATTTCGCAGATGAGGAAACTGAGGCACTGAGGTTTCTCAGCGCCAGCAGGTAAACCAGACATTTGGCCTGAGTGACAGGCCGGTGCAGTGCTCTGCGGCTTAGTCTGCACTGAGCGCCTGCCGGGTCCTCACAGCGATCCTGGTTTGTACCCCCGCCCACAGTGGCTCGGCTGGCCCGTGTATGGGAACCCATGAGGCTGTCCGCGCATCCCGAAGTGTGACCTTCCAGGCCCACAGGGTGGCTGGCGCTGGGCTTCTTCGTGGCCCGCGACAGTCCGGCCACCTTCATCGGCCAGTGGCGCACGGATCTGGGCGACTCCGAAGTGCTCCGCGAGCTGGCAAGGGAGACACTGGGACTCTGCACCCGCTCAGCTCCCCAAGATAAAGGCCTCGGAGGGGAAGTTCCGCGTGGGAGACTCCGGCCTGTTGGTCTCTGTGCTGGTGCGGGGGAGCCGCGTGACGGCGCGCGTGGGTGTGGCGACCCGCTGGAGCGCTACCTGGACCGTCAGGACCCGCGCTGCCGCTCCTCCACTACCCACTGCCCGCCCCCGTCGAGGGTCCGCACCCTGTCCCCGCAGAGGGTGTCGCCCACCCCTAGCCCCTGCCCTGGTAGCCTGGTCCCCTCGAGAGAGCGCCGGCGCTCCGGGCCCTAGGTGACCCCTATTCGCTTACAAAGCATAAAGCAGGTGCCGAGGCTCCCAGGCCCTGGGATCAGCTGCCCGCCGCATCCCCGCTCCTACTCCGAGGACAGTGACTCCTCAGCTTTCTCAGCCCAGAGCCGCCCCCTTGGTGCCCGCAGCGAGGATGAGGCACTAGGCCCGGAGGAAGCGATCCAGACGGGGGCTGACCACCACCACCTGGCCTCTCCGAGACGGCCCCCTGCCCCGCGCAGCCAGTCCCGGGACCGGCTGGATCCGGGTCAGCCCCGGGGAGCTCCAGAAGAGAGAGGAGGGGAGCCCAGCTGCGGGCCCTCAGCCCTGCCCCGTGGGCGCAGGAGCAGGTTGGGCGCAAGGATGGAGATGGGCAGCACTCGTGGGAGCCACAGGGCAGGGGCAGCGGGGCTCGGGCAGGAGCACTCCTGGGCTCTCCGTGCCCACCACCCTGAAGCACCCTGGCTTTCCCAGTCCAAACCCAGTGTAGAGTTTAGCACCACACGCGCCAGCGTCTTCCGCACACACCAGAGCAGCTGCTCTGACGCCTGGACGAGGAGTTTCTGGCCAATGCCGGGACCCATAAGGCTGTTGCTAGCGGGACCTCCACTAGACCAGCCCCTAACCGGGCTCCAGCCCCAGACCCTCTAGCTCCTGACTCGGCCTACAGATCCTCTAGTTCCTCCTCTTCATCCCTCATTCTCTTGTATGGCAAACGTGGCCAACGTGGGGACTCTGGCCTTAAGACCAATGGGCTGCCCGGCCCGCTGTCAAGCCCTTCCCAGCTCCTCCTCCAATGAAGGAAAGCCCTGCCCTAGCATGGGAGGGGCTACTAGATGCACCTGGGAGCCCCCTGACTGGTCCAGAACACTCGAGGACCTGAGCACTGGGTAGGATGGACACACAGCCAGACTGCAAACCCTCGGGCATCCCCATGCCTAGGGTCTCCCCCGGGTTCCTCCAGACCCACAGAGTTGGGGGGTGCGGGGGGAAGGGGAAGGGAGCTTGCATGCCTCCAGCCAGGTTCCTGGACCAGACCAGCTGCCCCCAAACCCTGTCCCTTCTCCTTTTCGTTTGTGGCCTTAACCCTCTTTGCATCAGGGGGCCCCCTCTGCCTCTTGCGTTCCTGACCTCATGGGACCAGACTCCTCAGGAATGTCACAATGGGACCTCTATTGTACATTACAGTTGGGGGATGAGCTTTGCTATTTAATTACTAATATTATTGAATGCCTTAGAGGAGGCCAGAGCAGCCTGGTATCCTGAGGACACGTGGCCCAGCAGAGCCTCTGAACAGTAAAGTTTTGCTCCAGCCAAAATGAGAGAGAGAGAGAATCTATTAAGTTAGTTTAACCAGAACCCCCCTTATCCCTGATGCTTCCTGTTAGTAATTTTGTATCCAGTGACCCCTGTCCCTTGGCCATAAATTCCTACTTGTGCTTGTTCTATTTGGAATAGAGCCCAGTTCTGTACTGATGTCTCTTTTCCCCAACTGAGATAGTTTCTAAATAAAATTTGCCTTTGCTGCTTTAACTTCTATCTGACACTGGTTTTTGCTTTTTTTTTTTTTTTTTTGACAATAGTCTGCCCTGCCCCATGATCTTGCCTCGGCCATCAGTCTGAATTCAAAACATTCTCCGCAGCTAGGAAAGGCAGCACAGGGGGGTTTTCTTCCGGAGGAGGAGAGAGCTTTCAGGAATGGCCTTGAACAACAGAGATCATGAATGCCTTCCCCCTTCCTGGACCTTCCAGTTACTAGGATTTTGTTTTTTCTCTCATTATTGCAAAATCAGTGTGTCCTTTTCAGCAATCATTACTTTACATTTTTGAAATCATACCTGACTTTCATTCAGACATGTCGTCAGGAAGGATTGTCTGGAAGAGGAATAAAAACATTGTCGCAGGAAAACATTATTATGCAATTTAAGTAAAAAGACATGCCACATTCAGAAATTAGGACGAAATCTTGAATTTAAAAAAAAATTCAAGGCCGGGTGCGGTGGCTCACGCCTGTAATCCCAGCACTTTGGGAGGCCAAGGCGGATCACGAGGTCACGAGATCGAGACCATTCTGGCTAATATGGTGAAACCCCGTCTCTACTAAAAATACAAAAAATTAGCCGGGCATGGTGGCGGGCACCTACATGTAGTACCAGCTACTTGGGAGGCTGAGGCAGGAGAATGGCGTGAACCCGGGAGGCGGAGTTTGCAGTGAGCAGAGATGGCGCCACTGCAATCCAGCCTGGGCGACAGAGGGAGACTCCATCTCAAAAAAAAAAAAAAAAAAATCAAAATGGGTTTACACAGATCACCTTGCTTTACTGAAGTGCGTACACCAGGAGAAACATAAGGAAGGCTGTTGTTGCAAGCTGCAAGTAATCCAGAAAGCCAAATAAAATAATCAACAGACAGCAGCAAGACCCCCAAAGGGGGTCAAGAGTCCAATCTGCCAGGAGTGGGCAGGGAGTTCAGAGTCCCTGTGATGTGTTCACCCCAAACTTGTTTGGGGCAGAAATCACAAGTTTAGGAATGCAATTAGTTTTTGGGTCAGACATATGAGGCTGATCAGAAGCCTGATTGCAGATGGTCCTGTAAGAGAACAAGCCCTTTCTTGTGGGCATTTGTGTGTGATGCACACAGTCCAGCCAGCATCCATGATGTTTTCTTAGTTTGGGATCCCATGCAGGCATGTCCTAATCTGCAGTGATACCAGAGTCTGAGTTCTGTTTATTGTGCTTATAGAGTTTTTTGTCCAGCACAGTTTGTGCTGAGGCTGAAAGAGCCAGCAGCAGATAGTGTAAGGTTTCATCTCAGAGTCAGGTCCAGGCAATTAGGATCTGTGAGTTAGGATACCCCACAAAAAGCCAACAGATTTTGTTCCGCTGTAGCAAAGCCAAAGCCCTGCAGAGTGGGAAAGCGGTGTTGCTGGTCCCAGTGACGGGCAAGGCTTTCCTAAGCCCTGTTTGGCTTGTTATTTGCTGAGTCCAAATGGACCCACTCAAAAATATGCTCAGAGGCCAGAAAATTATCAGCCTCTAAGGCGCAGGCATCTGATCTTACAAGAGCTCATTAGGAACTAAAAACTAATATTTAAAATTCTAAAAGTGTATCTCCAATTAGAGAGTGCCTGTCTTTTCATATTGTCTCCCCTTTTTCAGAGGCTCCCATAGGTGAAAATCATACTAAAAATTGTCAGTTATGGAAATTATTTTCCTTTTCATATTCAAAAACTTGCATTTCAATTCCCTCACCAGCTGCAACAAGCAAGGCAGTTGTATACCATCCTGGGTTTTGTTTGCTTTTGGCAGCTTCCCTGATGAGGATGATTCCTCCAATGTTTATGAAATTACAAGCATAGAATATGGTTTTTATCATATATCTAGATGCAGTAGCCATAAGACACAAAGCCAGCTTTTAAAAACTCTCTTTCATTTCAAGTTTTTTAAATTTTCCTTTCCAAGTTTACTCAAACCTTCAACAGTGCAATTGGCATTTGAGAGTTAACATTACAGCTGCCAAGAAATGCCTAGAATGGGGGATAGGAGACTCTCGCAACATCTGAAATGGGTTTTTCTTTTCTTTCTTCTTCTTTTTTTTTTCTTTGTTTTTAGGAGTTTTTCTTTTCTTTTTTCCAGTTTATCTAATGCTTTGCCCCAGCCCTAGTACCTAATTTAGCTTTTTGTAGAAGAGAACAACACAAACTTTTAGCATTTTAGGTCCACCTGAAATTCACCTTTGGGAATGCTTGGGCCCCTTCTTTTCCTACCTAGAGGGAAAAACAAAAACCTAAGGCAACACCTGGGCTTTTTGTTTTTTGCCCAACTGGCAGGTGTTTACCAATTTACTCTTCTACTGCCAGGATTTGAAAGAACACAGGCTTTCCACCCAAGTTTCTCTTTAGAGGTTGGAGAATGTGCTGTGCACAGCTGAGAATTTGACTCTACGCTGTTTTGTATTTATCTTTTCTTAATAAATATATGTAACATAAAATTTGCCATTATAAGTATTTTGAGTTACAATTCAGTGGCATTAACGACATTTACAATGTTGTACAGTCATCACTGCTATTTCCAAAATTTTTTCAAGAATGGCTACACTCCAGATCTGAAGCTATTCTAGAGCAGAAACACACATCAGGGTGGCACTTTCATCACTCACATAAACACACCCTGCAGACCCCAGCTTCCATTGTTCATATACACACACCCTGCAGACTCCAGTTTCCATAGCTCACATACACACACTGTGCAGACCCCAGCTCACATCGCTCACACACACGCACCCTGCAGACCCCAGCTCACATCTCTCACATTTACACACCCTGCAGGTCCCAGCTCACATCTCTCACATACACACACCCTGCAGACCCCCCCAGTTCACACTGCTCACATACACACAACCCTGCAGACCCCAGCTTCCATCGCTCACGTACACACACACTGCAGGTCCCAGCTTGTAGTGGAGGTGATTTTGTTTCCTGTGATTCCTTGAAACTCACGAAGTCTGCTCCAAGTTCTCTTCACCAGTGGAATGACATTACAGTGCCCTCCTTGACAAGGAAATTTTAGTGATTGGCACCTGCTTTGGCTCTTAGTCACTGTGAAAAGTGGTGATTTCACAACTGTGATAGTTATCTATTGCTGCATAAAAATACACAATTTCTTATCACACAGTGTTTACGATTGAGGAGTCCAGGCACAGCTTAGCAGGTCCTCTGCTCAGGGGCCCCCCTGAGGCTGTAATCCAGGTGTCTGATAAGCTGCACGAGGAAAGAGTCTGTTGTTGGCAGAATTTCAGTTCCACGGGCTGAAGGACTGAGGGCCTCAGTTTCCACTGTCTCTTGACAAGAGGCTGCCCTCGGTGCCCTGCCCGTTAGGCACATGGACCCTCTAAGTTCAGTGCAGTGGGTAGGAGCAGACATGTGAGCACTAGAGTGCTTTAGAGAGGTATTCCTGGATAAAAAGCACTGATGTCTAAAGACATGGAATTATCGTTCTCAGTAGAGCAACATCAGTACTGAGAAGACAAATTCATCATCTACTGGTACCTACTTCTATGCCTGCAATAGCTATTTTTGTCTCAATTTTTAAATTATTCTTCAGCTTCCCAGCTGCTAGAAGTGGAATAGTCATCTTTGTGAATGAAAATGACTAACCCTTCCCGACAATTCCAACTCCCTCCCAAACAAGGCTCAATATTTCTCATTTGTTTTAATTTCAAAGGAACATATATGATTGTAAGACCAGGCACCTGTGGCTCACACCTGTAATCCCAGCACTTTGGAAGGCTGAGGCAGGAGATCACCTGAGGTCAAGAGTTCGAGACCAGCCTAGCCGACAGAGTGAAACCTCATCTCTACTAAAAATACAAAAAATTAGCCGGGTGTGGTGGTATGTACCTGTAATCCCAGCTACCCAAGAGGCTGAGGCAGAAGAATCACTTGAACCCCGGGGACACAGGTTACAGTGAGTCAATGTTGTGCCACTACACTCCAGCCTAAGGAACAGAGTGAGACTCTGTCTCAAAAAATATATATATGATTGTAAAATGACTTCAGTACAACAGTGTAAGGCATATTGTTAAAGAAAAAAGTGCTAAACCAAATATAATATATACTTTATGGTGGGAAAGAAAAAGAGAGAATAAGAAGCTCTATTTCTACTTGGTCTGATATGCATAAATATGTCTGGAAAGGTTCATAAAGAAACCAACAATGCATATTATAGGGATAGGGATGAGGGTGGAGAAGCGACCCATATATTTTCAAACCTTTCATTTGTTATATTTTTTGGAAGAGGTGTGGAACCAGCAACTTACCTGTTGAAAAAAAGTACTTTGTTTAAATTATGACAAAAAGGCCTGGCACAGCAACTCACTCCCGTAATCCCAGCGCTGTGGGAGCCTCAGGCAACAAAAATTAGCCAGATGTGGTGGTGTATGCCTATAGTCCCAGCTACTCAGGAGGCTGGGGCAGAAGGATCGCTTCAGCCTGGGAGGCAGAGGATGCAGTGAGTCAAGATCGCACCACGCACTCCAGCCTGAGCAACGCAGTGAGACCCTGTCTCAAATTTTAAAAATAAATAATAAATAATTTTTAAAATTAAAAAATTGTTCCCTACACAGCATCCTAATGTCCCTATCAATGCTAGAGATAATTGCCAATATTCTTATAGCAACTTTCAACCAGGGCTTCTCAACCTCAGTCCTGTTGATTTTGAAGCCAATTAATTCTTTGCTACGAGTTGTTTATCAGCATCCCTGGCCTATTCATCTAGGCATGAAAATCAAAAATATCTATTGACATTTGTCAATGTCCCCTGGTCCGAAATCTCCCCGAGTTGAAGACCACTTTACTAGACTCTCTCTATGCATATTGCTACATCTGCATATCAAAATACACATATGGTAATTTGTGGCATTTTTCACAGCTTTTCTTCATTCTTAAATTCATTGTTCTAAAAATATACTTTATTTTTGAAAATGATAAAACAAAAGCTTCAACTATGAACTGACAAAATAGAGGTGAGTTGGTACCGGTGGGCCAATTCTTAACATGGACATTTTAAAATGCTCTGTTCCATATTACATTAAAATGATTTGCAATAAGAAATTGAAAGGGGGCGCAAAGGAGGGTGCAAAGCATGTACTGAGGTCTTTCTACAGGTAAGTGATAGAACGCTGATTCAGCATGATAAAATGTACTTTGCAACAGTGGCCTTCAAAGTGTGCTAGAGCAAGCGTACCCCAAGGAACCTGTGAAAATCATTTTTTAATTATTCTAAACAGAAAAAGTGGTACCCACTTAAACACAAAGTAAAACTTCATGGTAAGATCTGCTGTAAAGCTACTTGCTATAGCCCACAGATTCAGTTTGTTCAACAACCTCCCTCATTGACAGAAAAAGTCAGCAAATAAGACTTAGGACAAAAATGTTTTCTATCAACCTCCACGTGAAAAGACCACAGCTTTAATGATTTTACAATCCTTAAGCTTAACCACTGGTCAGTCCAGATTTCCATATCAAGATCAAGTCATGAGCTGTTCACAATAGCTATTCTATACTAAGATGCTAAACGTTTTCTTTCCAGTATGTCTTCCTATGAGGGAAATAAAATAGCGGGAAGTTTTCCTCTTTGCCTGTGAGGGGATTTATGAAAAGCCTTCTAATCTACAAGTGTTCTTCTGCAAAACTAAAATACATTATGAAGTCAAACAGGTAAATTAACAACAAAACCAAACTGATCTCAACAGTCTTGTTTCCAAAGTAAAATCTATTAAGAACAAGTAATATATAAGCACAAGAAATTACAAGAAATGAGGATCACAGTTGGTTACAGATGCAAAGTAGTATCTAGCATCCCAAGCTTTTGGACATAATAATTAAAATCAAATTAATAAGTTAGTTCAAATATTATGTACAATTTTGATAAGCTGGTCACGTGTTATTTGAATACACACCATATGTGGTAAACCTAAAAGTATATTACCTTTTCTCCTCCTTTAATATTTGTAGATACATGCCAATATGGGAAAAAATTTATTTCCATTTATGTACTAATAACAGAGAATAACAGAATTTCTACTGTGTATATTTCACACTGTTAAAAAAAAAGTTGGCCGGGTGCAGTGGCTCATGCCTGTAATCCCAGCACTTTGGGAGGCTGAGGCGGGCAGATCATAAGGTCAGGAGTTAGAGACCAGCCTGGCCAACACAGTGAAACACTGTCTCTACTAAAAATACAAAAATTAGCAGGGCATGGTGGTGCACACCTGTAGACCTGGCTACTCAGGAGGCTGAGGCAGGAGAATCCCTTGAACCCAGGAGGCAGAGGTTGTAGTGAGCCAAGATTGTGCCACTGCACTCCAGCCTGGGCAACAGAGTGAGACTCCATCTCGATAAATAAATAAATAAATAAATAAACAAACAAACAAACAAACAAACAAATAAATAAATAAATAAATGGCCAGGCACGGTGGCGCATGCCTGTAATCCTAGCACTTTGGGAGGCTAAGGCAGGCGGATCACAAGATCAAGAGATCGAGACCATCCTGGCCAACATGGTAAAACCCCGTCTGTACTAAAAATACAAAAATTTGCTGGGTGTGGTGGTGTGCACCTGTAGTTCCAGCTACTCGTGAGGCTGAGCAGGAGAATAGCTTGAACCTGGAAGGTGGAGGTTGCAGTGAGCCGTGCCACTGCACTCCAGCCTGGTGACAGAGTGAGACTCTGTCTCAAAAAAAAAAAAAAAAAAATTAGGGTATATTTTCCTTTAAGAAAGAAAAAAAATAAATTGCCAGAAGTTTAATTTATAAAAGTTTAATATCGACTTATTTATAAAAATGAAAAAAAGTTTTAAAACAGATCCCATACAATTATCCTGTGGTCTCCCTACTGATCAGGAACTACAGAAGACAATTAAGGAAGGGATGCTGGGTCAAAAACAAAGCCTAACCCGCGGGATGTATGTTGCTCTAAAAATCTGATTTGCAGGAAAACTAGTTGCTTGTCCTAGGTTTAAGCTAATTACAAAATCCGTTTTCTTAGTGGTCCAGATATTTTGCCAATTTTTGCATCTCAACAGAACTTCTGTTGATTTCCACATTCATTACAGTCAACAAACGTTGTCATTGGTTCACCAGCACTGCAGGCTTGTACCTGTGTGGAAGTGCAATTCTTCTTTTTACATTTGGCACATGTGAGCGAATCAGGCTGGGTTCCACCTGTCTTGGCCATCTGATGCTCTCTGATGGCTTCTTTCGTCAAGTTTTTGTGCATCTCTTTGAGCTCATCACTAGCCATTTCTTCTGCTGTCATTCTAGCAAGTAAGTCAGGAGGAATATTCCCACACGGTGCATTTTTCCTTAAATCTGGATTCTTTGCATCTGTAAGATTTGATATCTTACTTTGGACTCTATTTTTGTACTTCATGCCTGTATTCCCTCTTTCTGGATCTATTGCTTCCTCAGTTCGAGATCCTAATTCTTCCTCATCAGTTCCCATTTCAATGCAGTCATCTCCTGTTCGAAGGGCTGCAGGAAGCATCTCCCTGTACTTCATCCGCACAGAATCAGAAGTGCTTCGTGCCAAGGAACAGATGAAACAAGTATCTCAAGCATTTGTCTTATCCTTTCTGCCGCTTACATTGCCGCCGGAGCTACTTTCTTTTGCTATTCTGCGATGTCATTGCAGGTTCTATTTGCTTTTCTTTAGGGTCTTTCTCACTTGATGGCTTATCTGGTAACTTTTTCCAGGATTTGACGAGAGACTTTGCTAAAGATGTAACTTCTTCATCTGCACTCTGCTTGAGACTAACATTAAGTAACATTCCAGTTCCTGTGGACCGCAGTAATTCCAGAACATTCTGAAGCTCTGTTAACAAACCCAGTGCTCCGGCCGTGTTCTTCTCCTGCACCATCTTGTCCATCTTCTTGGCACTGCGGGCCACCTCATCTTCCGTGGCTCCGGCAGGTCTCCCCTGTGCCTAGCCCGCTGGCAAGGGGAAGTGGGCGAAGCTGGAGCAGAGGAGAGGGCGCGAAGCAGCCCCGTCGAGGCAAGACCCACCACCGCAGGTCGGGCCTAGGCCTCCTCCTAGACCAATCCCGCCGCGGCTCTTCCTTCCCAGGCAGCGCCATCCCAGCTCCGCACCTTTCCAGCTTCATTCAAGTATGACTGACAAATAAAAATTGTATATATTTAGGATATGCAACATGATTTTTTGTTTTGTTGTGTTTTATACAAATAAGAAAACTGCAGTTCAGAGAAATATTGCATTTTGAATGCCTAACTTTTCTGTCAATGCTTTCAACATTGCTTTTCTTTACTTTTGATTGACAAATCATAAACATTTATGGGGTACAATGTGATGTGTGTATATATAGGATGATTAAATCAAGCTAATTAACCTATCCATCACCTCACTTCTTTTGCTTACCACAGAACCATAAAGTCCAAATCTCTCTCTCTCTCTTTTTTTTTTTTTTTTTTTTTTTTTTTTTTTTTTTTTTTTTGAGACAGGGTCTCGCTCTGCTGCCCAGGCTGGAGTGCAGGGACACAATCTCGGCTCACTGCAGCCCTGACCTCCCAGGCTCAAGTGATCCTCCCACCTCAGCCTCCTGAGTAACTAGGATGACAGGCTCGTACCACAACATCCAGCTAATTTTATGTTTTATTATTTTTGTGTGTGTGTGTGTGTGGAGATAGGGATCCCCTATGTTGCCCAGGCTGGTCTCAAACTCTTGGGCTTTAGTGATCCACCCACCTTGGCCTCCCAAAGTGCTAGGATTACAGGGGTGAGCCACCATGCCTGGCCTCTTCTTTTTTAATGCAGGCATTTCTTGCTATAAATTTCCCTCTTAGAACTGCTTTTGCTGCATCCCATAAGTTTTGGTATGTTTTGTTTCCATTTTTCTTTGTCTCAAAATGTTTCATTTTCCCCTTTGATTTCTTCTTTCACCCATTGATTGCTTAGAAGCATGTTTGATTTCCATGTATCTGTGAACTTTCCCGTTTTTCTCCCGTTATTGATTTCTAGTTTCATAACATTGTGGTCCAAAAAGATACTTGATATGATCTATATCTTCTCAAATTTATTAAGATTTGATTTGTGGCCCAACATTTGCTCTGTCCTGGACAGTGTTCCACGTGTGCTTGAGAAGATGTGCATTCTGTTGTTGTTGGATGGAATGTTCTATTTATGTCTGTTAAGTCCATTTGGTCTAAAGTTAATTCAAGTGTAATGTTTTCTTTCTTACTGTTTTCCTGTCTGAATGTTCTATCTATTGTTGAAAGTGGAGTATTAAAGTCTCTTGCTATTATTGTATTGCTGTCTATTCCTCCCTTTAGATCTGTGAATATTTGCCTTATATATTTAAGTGTACCCGATGTTGGGTGCATATTATTTACAACTGTTCTGTCCTCTTTATGAATTGACTCCTCTATCATTATATAATAACCATCTTTGTCTTGTTAGTTTTTGACTTAAAGCCTATTTTGTCTAGTATAACTACCCCTGTGCTCTTTGCTTTCCATTTGAATGGAATATCTTTTTTCATCCCTTCACTTTCAATCTGTGTGTAGCTTTAAAGGTGAAGTCAGTCTCAGTCTCTTGTAGCAACATATAGTTGGGTCTTGTTTTTTCTTTTTTTTTTTGAGACTCAGTCTCACTCTGTCTCCCAGACTAGAGTGCAGTGGCACAATCTTGACTCACTGCAACTCTGCCTCCCAGGTTCAAGCAATTCCCCTGCCTCAGCCTCCCTAGTAGCTGCAACCACAGGCATTCGCCACGACACCCGGCTAATTTTTGTATTTTTAGTAGAGACGGGGTTTTACCATGTTGGCCAGGCTGGTCTCGAACTCCCAGCCTCAAGCAATCCACCCACATCTGCCTCCCAAAGTGCTGGGATTACAGGTGTGAACCACTGGGCCTGGCCTTGTTTTTGTATTTTTTAAATCCATAAAGCCACCCTGTGTCTTTTGATCAGCAAATTTAGTTCATTTACATTTAAAGTAATTATTGATAGAGAAGGATTGATTATTGTCATTTTGTTCATTGTTTTCTGGTTGTTTGCAGCTCTTTCATGATTTTTTTCCTCTCTTGCTATCTTTATTTGTGATTTGAGGATTTTCAGTAGTGGTATGCTTTGATTCCTTTCTCTTCATCTTAGTGTATCTGCTAAGTTTTTGCTTCCTGATTGCTATGAGGCATATTAAAACATCTTATAGTTATAATAGTCCATTTTAAGCTGATAACAACTTAACTTTGATCCTGTATAAAAGCTCTGCACACACACATACACATTCTGTTTTTGATATCACACTTTACATCTTTTATGTTGTGTATCACTTAATGAGTTATTGTAAAGTTACTCTTAATACTTTTGACTATATATGTACCTTTACCAGTGAATTTTATACTTTCATATGTTTTCATATGATTAATTAGCAGCCTTTCATTTTCAGTTTGAAGAACTCCTTTTGGTATTTCTTGTAAGGCAAGTTTAGTGGTAATGGACTCCCTCCCTCTGTTTGTGTGAAGAAGTCTTTATCCCTCCCTTATTTATGAAAGAGAGTTTTGCCAAATAATGTATTATTATTTTGGTTTTTTAATAGGATCATACTATAAACATTGTTCTGAAGTTTGTTTTTTTTGTACTTACAGTTATCCTGCACACCTTTTCATTACACACAGATACAACTATACACACAGATACAACTCATTCTGCTTAACCATCACATGTAACCATAATTTAAAATCTCATTATTGATAAACTTATAGATTCTTTTCAGTTTTTTATATTATAAACTATGCTACAGAAAAATCTTTGAATATGTGAATATAATATCCATGCTTGTGTGACTACTTTTATAGACTATAAGTGGATTTATTGAGGCAAACAGTATGTACTTTTTTACAAAGCATAAATATTCCCAATTTTTTGGTCAACAAAATTACATCAACTTACCAGTAAATGAGGGGACCCACTTCTCCACACTCACACCAACCCTAAATATTATTTAATCTATTTAATTTTATAAAACTTAGAGGTTAAAAATAAGAAGTTATCTTACTTTAATTTGCATCTTTTGGATTTGAGAGAAGCTGAGCATCTTCTCCTGGAATCTTGTCTCCTTTTGTTTTCACTGTGAGAAAAATAGTGGCCATAAGGTGGAATCCCTGGAGGAAGTATGGCTTCCCCTCCTAACACCCTGACTTCATCAAAGTTTCATCACATCGGAGGAGGAGCAATGAGATGTCAGTGTCATCTAAGACAGAGGTGGAAAATTGAAGTGCTGGAGGGCCCTATAGGAAAATACAAATGTTCAAGCAAACCTGTAGATAGCATAGAGGACTTTGGCAACTGGAGGGAGCATGTCTTATCAAAAGGAATTCACAGCTGGGTGTGGTGGCTCACGTCTGTAATCTCAGCACTTTGGGAAGCTGAGGTGGGCAAATTGCTTGAGCCCAGGAGTTCCAGACCAGCCTGGGCAACATGGCAAACCTCACTTCTACAAAAATATAAAAATTAGCCAAGCGTGGTAGCACACACCTGTAGTCCCAGCTCCTCAGGAGGCTGAGGTAGAAGGATCGCTGGAGCCCAGGAGGTCAAGGCTACAGTGAACTGAGATCATGCCATTGCACTCCATCCTGGGTGACAGAGTAAGACCCTGTCTCAAAAAATAATAAAAAAAAGAATTCGTGTTTTAAAAATTGTTCATGGTTGGGCACGGTGGCTCCTGCCTGTAATCCCAGCACTTTGGGAGGCTTAGGCAGGTGGACCATGAGGTCAGGAGATCGATACCAGTCTGACCAACATGGTGAAATCCCATCTCTATTAAAAATATAAAAATTAGCTGAGTGTGGTGGCGCGCACATGTAATCCCAGCGACTCAGGAGGCTGAGGCAGGAGAATCACTTAAACCCGGGAGGCGGAGGTTGCAGAGAGCTGAGATCATGCCACTGCACTCCAGCCTGGGTGACAGAATGAGACTCCGTCTCAAAAAAAAAAAAATTGTTCATGATTGTGTAGACTCTTACAGGTCAGTGGGTCAGATCTGCACAACTTGCACCAATTTGCAAAATGTACTGGATTTTGGATTCTGTAGCAAATGAAAAAATTTCTGTTTAAAATTCTAATTTTCAATTAAAATTTTTGACTTTTAATTTTTAGAAAACATGTGAAATACATTTTCTTCATTACCTGAAAAGGGATACCAAGTAAGAACAAGCATGAATTTGTCCAGAAGCAAGTATTAGGAGTGTGCTAATTTTTATATTAACAGATACCTATACTGAAACATATACATTCTGAGAATTCTTAAACCTTTCATTAGGTTGAACCATGTAAAATTGCACTTTTGGAGGTCGAAAATTTTCAAATTTTTGGTAAACCAAAAACTTACCTATTTTTTTCTTTTTTTTTGAGACGGAGTCTCACTCTGTCACCCAGGCTGGAGTGCAGTGGTGTGATCTCGGCTCACTGCAAGTTCCACCTCCCGGGTTCACGCCTTTCTCCTGCCTCAGCCTCCCGACTAGCTGGGACTACAAGTGCCTACCACCACACCCGGCTAACTTTTTGTATTTTTAGTAGAGACGGGGTTTCACCGTGTTAGCCAGGTTGGTCTCGATCCCCTGACCTCATGATCCGCCCACCTCGGCCTCCCAAAGTGCTGGGATTACAGGCATGAGCCACTGCACCAGGCCTCCATAGCCTGTTTATTTTAAGATGTCCATACCTTTCCACAGGAAGGTGGGAACAATACCATTGAAGTGTTAAGACTCACATGAATTCGTTTATTTGTTTTATGATCTGATTCAGGCTCTTGCTCCATCTGTTTGTTCAGCTAATTGCCAATCAGTGTGGGAGTTTGGGTAGTAGTTTTGGTAGAAGCCTAAATCAAAGCAAACAGCTGTATCTCTTACATGAAACGTCTGCCTACAGGGTTGATTTTTTTAAAAAAAAACAAGTTGTACTCTTCAGAGAAGGCTTTTCAGCTGTGAATAGAAATGACTAGGCCCTGGCAGGCAAAATGTTCCATGTTGCTCTGAGGTATGAAACATTACCTGTTTGGTGAAGCCACATTACATAACTGCTGAACCTGGGACTCTCCAACCAAATGATTCATCAGTTTTATGGGGCCAAATGATTCATCAGTCAACATCATTATTTTGTCACCACCAATTAGCATTTGCAGGGTACCCACACAGAGATGACACTGGATTTGATGCTTGACAGAACACAAGGAAGACAAAGAGTACAGCTGATAAAGTAAACTGTTGGAACTATACATCTGAATATGAAACAAAGCACAGGCATACCTGTAAATCCATGCCTGCCTGAGCCACACGTGGTGGAATAAACTCACGGAAACTCACCATGGAGCTTCACAATGGTTCTTTGTGTTGCAACAGAGGATGAAGCAGGTGCTCTTCCACAAGGAAGATGTGAGAAAGGCTCCAGGTCCCCTTGGGAATCCCAGAATAGACCCTAAAACTTTGGAAGGGCCTTTGTTGAACACTGAGTCAAACTCCCCAGAATCCTTTTACAGAACCCCTGTCCAGCAAGTGACCAGTGAGTCTCTAAAGACTTTGAGAATTTGCAGATTCTAGGGAAGACTTCATAGGTTCAGAGATGGGAATTTTGGAGCATTCTAGAAAAATTCTGGAATACAAACAAATTTGGAATTATCATAGGAAGGCTATTATGCAATTATTTTCCAGTTAATAGCTCTTAATAAGAGATCTAAGGTGGCCATTGGAGTTGAACCAAGACAATCTTCTTCCATTGTTGCCATTCTAATTTCAGAGTTCCTTGCTGTTTTATTCCTCCTCAATTCCATTTTGGACTAGTTAGAGATAGAATAGAAAGAAAAACTGAGCCACAAATTCCATTTTTCCCTGCTTAAAGGGTAAACATCTGCCTGAGAAGCACACTCAAGTTTTCCAGAAGATTCCAACAGGGGAGTCCCAGTTTATAAGCAGGTTGTGTGTCTTTGGTGTGTGGTCAGTCAGCTGTGTGGAAAACAAGATGTATTTTCCCCCAAAGATGGTGCACTTAGTGGTTGGGTACTGAGGCTTGTACATGACAACCTGCTTAACTGGGCGCGCACCTGAAGGGTGGTGCCCTGTCAATGACATACAATGCAGCCTAGCCCTTGTGGGCCACAGTATTTCCCTAGGTAGCCAGGCACACACCTGTCCCAGTGCAGTAGGATCAAGGCCTCCCTCCCTCCCTGCTGCCCAGTGCAGGGCATTGAGAGATGATGAGCTCTTCTCAGCACCATGTCCTAACGGTGCAGGCTGGGAAAGAAGAGAAATGAGATTGGGGGGTTCAGTTAGCCTCTGGTGGTGAGCGGGGCTGGAGTAATCTTCTTGTCTGTCCAAGTAGGTTTTCCATTCCTCCAGCCTAACAGATTTGTCTAGCATTCTTTCTTTGCTAAGGATTTGAAAGTAGCCTTGGTGGAGAATGCCCAGCCCTGTGAGGTTTTCTGAATGTTTATAGCCAGTAAGGAAGCAGAATGTAATGAGATGGAGAGCCTCTCCTGCCCATTTGGCGATGTGGGGTTTCTGGTCCCAGGACCAGGTGCACACACTCAGGGACAATGACAAAGGCCAGAGTCTACAACTCTGCAGCTGGGGAAGCCACCCAAAGATGGGAGCCAAGGAGCAGGGGTGGAAGCTGGTGCTCTGTCCTCTCCTTTCCCCTCCAAGGATCCAGCCCCTGTCCAGCCTGGGCACTGGTGAGAATCAGGCCAGTGTGGGTGCACCAGGGTGTGCTCCTCTGTGGCAACCTGGGCGGTGGAAGGGAGCAAGCACCTCCAGGGTGGTAGAGAACGAAGAATGGTGTCTCCAGCCATTGGTGGCTCCAAATGGGGAATTTGGTGGGACAAGATGCACTCAAGAAGCTTTAAGAAAAATAAAATCAACTTTCATATTATTCATTGCCTTTCAAAAACTATGCTTCTATACATCTCTGATGAAAAAAATCAATGACCCAATAAAAATGGGCAAAGGATATAAACTGTCTATTTTAGAAGATATACAAATAGCCAGTGTGAAATTAGAACAAAACGCACTAATGATCAAACCTGAATCTCAGAAGCATTGTGCTAAGTGAAGGAAGCCAGACACAGAAACATACACACATCTATTCTATGAGATTCTAATAAAGGCAAAGCCATAGGGACAGAGCTGATCAGTGTCTGGCAGGGTCCAGGCTTCTGTTCTTCTTCATATTCTAAATAATTATTGTGATGGTGGTGGTGGTGACACAATTGTATGCATTTTGTACGTATGTATTCAAAACTATCAACATGTATACTTAAATTTGGTGAATTTCATTGTACGTAAACTATACCTCAATAAAGCTGTTAATTAAAAAAAGATTTTAAAGCCTAATCATGGATATTAAGCAAACACATAGTTTAACCTGGTTAGCTCTAAAAAAAAAGGTCCTTTTTAGGTCTAAAAAAAGACCCAACTCCTACCTGTTATATTTTATAAATAAGAAAATGGAGTTCCAAAGAGATTATTATTATTATTATTATATTAAATATCACACAGCCTGCTAGAGGTAAAGCCACATTCCAGCACTCAGACCTGTGTTTTTTCAGTCTTGTCTTGTCTTTCTCTTTCTTTTCCTCTCTTTCTCTTTCTTTCTTTTTCTTTCTTTCTTTCTTTCCTTCTTTTTTCTTTCTTTCTCATTCATTTGTTCCCTTCCTTTCTTTCTTTCCAGAGAACCTGGACCATGACGCAGGGCCTGATGCCAGCTTCACTCTGGATCTGCAGAGTCCTTCCTGCAGTGACCACCATGACTCATTCTTCAGATGAGACTCACCCAGGTGCAGTGTGCAACAAGAGATCTTTTCAGTCTTTCTCTTTTGTCATCCTCCCTAGCACATTGAAACTATAAACTGTGTTCTCACACAATCCAGAGGCACTGTGAAATACCTTGCAGATATATAGTACTTTAGTTTCTAACACACGCCCATTGTGCTCAAAGAGGCAGAGCCAGTGGGAGATACACATGACAAGATTTATTGCAGGGAATTGGTTTATGTAATTGTGGGGCCTGGCCGGGCAAGTTCAAAATCTGTAGGGTGGGCTCTCACGAAAACCATGCTAGGACTGTCCAGTATAGCCAAGCCCATGAGTGGAATTTCTTCTTCCCCAGGGAAGCATCAGCTTTGCTCTTAAAATATTTCAACTGATTGGATCAGGCCCACTCAGATTATCTGGGATGATCTCCTTTATTTAAACCTAACTAATATGGACTTTCTTCATATCCACAAAATCCATGCATACCACCTAGATTCATGTTTGACTGAATAACTGGGAACTGTAACCACCCAAATTAACAAGCAAAACTGATCATCACGCCTATGTAGTAGAGAAGGAAGATATTGCCATTTACTTTTTTCTACTGGGGAACTAGAAGCAGAGAGAACTGAAATTATTTGCCTAAGGACACACAGCTAACTCACTTTTTGTTTTTCAGTTGGAGAATGGATTAGCAATTCCTACTTGGTGTGATGTTGTGAGGAGTTAAATCCATTCCAGTTGTGTATGTACAGACCCTCAATTTTGTATAAAAAACATCAGCCAGGTGCAGTGGCTCATGCCTGTAATCCCAGCACTTTGGAAGACCGATGTGGGCAGATCACCTGAGGTCAAGTGTTCGAGACCAGCCTGACCAACATGGTGAAACTTCGTCTCTACTAAAAATACAAAAAAAAAAATTAGCTGTGTGTGATGGCACATGCCTGTAGTCCCAGCTACTTGGGGAGGCTGAGGCAGAAGAATCACTTGAACCCAGGAGGCGGAGATTGCAGTGCACTCCAGCCTAGGCGACAGAGGGAGACTCCATCTCAAAAAAAAAAAAAAAAATCCAGCTATTAGGTCATGTTCTACCTATAAAGTGAGCTGATTTATGAGTTGTGAGGGTTATAGACATTCTCTTTAACTACAGAGGGAGTACACATTAAAATAACTTTTTTCAGCAAGTAGTTCCATTTCCAGAGATTAGTTTTATTTCTATTTTTATTTATTTACTTTTTTTAGATGGAGTTTTGCTCTTGTTGCCCAGGCTGGAGTGCAATGGTGCATTCTCAACTCACTGCAACCCCCACCTCCCGGGTTCAAGTGATTCTCCTGCCTCAGTCTCCCGAGTAACTGGGATTACAGGCATGCCCCACCACGCCCGGCTAATTTTCGTATTTTCAGTAGAGACGGGGTTTCACCATGTTGGCCAGGATGGTCTCAAGCTCCTGACCTCAGGTGATCTGCCTGCCTTGGCCTCCCAAAGTGTTGGAATTACAGGCGTGAGCCACCATGCCCGGCCCAGATATCAGTTTTATAACAATATTTTTAAACATCTATAAAAACACGTGCACAAAGATATTCATTGCAGTGTTGTTTGTAAGTGAAAAAAATTTAAATGTCCATCAACAGGAGAAAAAGAGATTGTTAAATGAATTTGATGTGGTCTAACAGTAGAATGCTCTATATATATCGACAAAGAAAGGTGTCCATGGTATATTAGATCTAAAATAAAAGATCTCAATAGAAGATCTGTTAAGTCTATTAGATCTAAATAGAAGAGTGTGTGTTATTTGATGCTCTTTATGATGTTAGACATTTTTCTGCTGCCTTTGGTGGTGGGCAGCAGATGGGTCCTTTCTCATCATTAAAATGGATGCTTTGTCCCTGAGGAGGAACTCTAAGGTGGTGGGGGTGTTTGAGTTGAAACTTCCAAGGCTGCAGGCCTCCAATAGCTGCCCCATCCACACCATGACCTGTTCTCCCCGAGTGGGAACCTCAGCCATTATTTGGAAATCACCAACAGGAGTCGCTGTGCAGGAGCCTGGGGTTCCACGGTGCAGCAACGCAACTCCTTGAAAATGGAGACCAGATACCAGGTCACAATAGGGTAAGCTAGAGCAGAGCTACCTGACAAATGGTTAGGGCTGAAAACCTGAATTGGCAAGGCACATTCCATTCATGATGAAAGGTGCCAGGATGGCCAAGCGCAGTGGCTCATGCTTGTAATCCCAGCACTTTGGGAGGCCAAGGTGAGCGGATCACTTGAGGTCAGGAGTTCAAGACCAGCCTGGCCAACATGGTAAAACCCCGTCTCTACTAAAAGTACAAACATTAGCCAGGTGTGGTAGTGCACGCCTGTAGTCCCAGCTACTCAGGAGGCTGAGACAGAAGAATCGCTTGAACCTGGGAGGCGGAGGTTGCAGTGAGCCAAGATTGTGCCGCTGCACTCCAGCCTGGGCGACAGGGCAAGATTCCATCTCAAGAAAAAAAAAAAAGGCACCAGTAGCCTTGGTCAGAATGTCTTCTGAGACAATGGGTAGCATGGTGTACTTTTACATAACATCATTCAGGACTTCTCTTTTTCCTGATGGGATTGCTCCATCCTAGGCGACAGAGCAAGACTCTGTCTAAAAAAAAAATTATATAAAGTCCAGGCACAGAGGCTCACACCTGTAATGCCAGCAGTTTGGGAGGCTGAGGTGGGCAGATCACTTGAGGTCAGGAGTTCGAGACCAGCCTAGCCAACATGATGAAACCCCATCTCTACTAAAAATACAAAAATTAACCAGGCATTCTGGCCCAGCTACTTGGAAGGCTGAGGCAGGAGAATCGCTTGAACCCGGGAAGTGGAGGTTGCAGTGAGCCAAGATCACACCACTGCACTCTAGCCTGGGTGAAAGAGCAAAACTCTGTCTCAAAAAATAAAAAATTATATAAAAAATTATGTATTATGTTTTTGAGACAGGGGTCTCTGTCACACAGGCATATATATATATATATATCTCACCACAGTGGTGGTCTAGATTGCAGGCAGCAATATTAGCCTAGTGAGTGCTTCCCCCCAGTCCACTCCCACTCCCACTCAGATGAGGTAAGGTTACATAGGTATAAACTAATGAACCCAAATTTTGTACAACCCACTTCTATCAGGCCCTTAGAAATGCCGGCATAAAGTTGAGAAACACAGCTACAGTTTGTTGCTTAGGAGTCATCCCTGCTTCCTGCACTTGTACTTGTAGCCCTCATCCTAGGACCACTGCATCAGGTAGGGGAAAAAGAAACCTGAGGTGATGTGGAGAAAAAGGAAAAAATCATAGTCATTATACTAGTGTACTCTTCCCTTGTCAAGAATTGCAGTCATACCAGCATCCTCCCTGCCCCTCCTTTCCCAGGTCCACTAGAAAAATAGAGGAAAACTGAATGGGGACCCTTCTTTAGCCCCACTCCTGGTACATAAAAGCACACACTTGTGAAGGCAGGTCAGCCAACCCTTCATGGTCTTATCTCTCCCTGGTTCAGATAACCAAGGCCCACTCCACTTCCCTCTCAAACTATAACTCTGAGGGGGACCTCTCCTTCCCACTGTCAGACAGCACGGGCTGTACCGTGTGTTCCTTCCTCTGGAGAAATGATGGTAGGCTTCCACATCTGTGTAGTATCTCCTGCTCTGGAGATCACCCTGAGTCCTTGCATCTCCCACCAGGTAAGCCAAGCCCAGTCCCGAGCCAGCGTCCATTCCCGTCAGAACCCGTGTGTTGCCCCCAGGGCCACCCCATCAGTCTCACTTGCCAGCTGTGTTCAGGGCCTTCCCACCACCGAACCTATCCCGGAGCCATCGGCAGTGTCTGTCTGTCTTGCGGGCAGACAGAACAGTTCTTACTGGCATCTTGTGCCTGAGAGGGTGCAAGAGGAACGTGTCTAGACTCAGCCCATCTCTGCGCTGCTGTAGTTCCCATAGCCACTCATTTCACGGAGCCAGGTGGCCACCCTGAGTGAGAACAGCAAACAGGGATATCTGCCAATTCCAGGCGACTTTCCAACCTGGAAGGGAGATTTTCTGATGGGCGTTTGATGTGTTGCTTTCATGCAACCCTCAGATTTCCACAGGGCCGGGCCCCATACGGGCATCCCTTTAATAGACCAGGTTTCCATTGCCCCTCTGCCTGACCATGTCGCCAGGCCATTGGCCACTGCCCATGAGTCAGTGAAAACCAGACACAGAGGCTTCGCCACCGCTCAGTCACTGCTAGGAAAGCAGCATGCAGGTCGGCCACCGAGCTGATTTGCTTTTGACTTCCTTGATCAGAGTGGCAGCTTCCAAACAGAATGTTGTCCCCTTGCCTGGAACTGCCGTCCACAAACCAAGCAGTTGTTTATCATTCAGTTAAGAGGTATTTGTAGGGCAAGTGGAAATCGGTACCAGCAGCTCTTCAGATGGTTTCAAAGTCAATCTTGGAGGAAAAGAGGCCACCTGCTTGTGGGGATGGTGGGTGCCTCCCTGCATTCCCCCAGTAGCATGTCCCTGTATCAACTATTTTCTTTTTTTTTTTTTTACACCAAGTCTCACTCTGTCACCAGGATGGAGTGCAGTGGCGCAATCTCGGCTCACTGCAACCTTCACCTCCCGGGTTCAAGCGATTCTCCTGCCTCAGCCTCCCAAGTAGCTGGGACTACAGGCGCAAGCCAGCTAATTTTTGTATTTTTAGTAGAGACAGGGTTTCACCATGTTGGCCAGGATGGTCTCCATCTCTTGTCCTCGTGATCCGCCTGTCTCAGCCTCCCAAAGTACTAGGATTACAGGTGTGAGCCACCACGCTGGGCCAACCATTTTCTTTTCATGATGATGGAGCTCTTCTGGGTACTGGGTACTCAAGTGGAGAATCTGTCTCTCCAGGCACTCCAGCTTCTGCTGTCTTCTGTGTGGGCTCAGGTAATCTTACTGGTTCCCCTTTAGCATGTCTAATTAATATTGTTTTTAGGATGGTTCACATGCCTTCTGTTTTCCAGAAATAAGTAGGGAGAATATTCCCCACTCACATACAATGTCTGTTCCTATAAAACATTTAAGTAAAGGAAACACAACTACTTTACATGAAGGCGGTGTAAACATTCCAACTTTCTTAATCTTATCAATGCTTACATTTTTATGTTCTAGTCCCAGGAACTTCGCTCTCCATCCCCAGACCACTTTCACCCTCTCTTATATAAAAGGCTTTTGGTCTCCAGCAAGGGTCTGGCCAAGTGACTCTGGTCTCTGCTTACCTTGATTAGCCAGTCTATTGCCCCAGGCAATTCCAGGTGGGATTTCTCATAGTAATCTTTTTGCCTTTTAAAATTCCTCCAAACTGGGGAAAATACAGAAAACTGGTTTGCGATCCTTTAATATGGGGGAATGGGGGCCGGACTCCCTTTGGTCCATCCAACCTTTGATAGTATTGTGTTAAGACCTTTCTTTCAACTCCATCAAGTTATTTATTCATTCCATTTTTAAATAACCGTCTAAAGATTTCCACCCTGCTGGGATGAGTCCCATGACTCTCTCCTTTCCTTTTCCCCTGTGTTTCACCTTTATCAGTTTTTAAAAACATTCACCTTATTTCTTAATAACATATAAAAATGTTTTTATTTTTTAAATTTAAACATTTCCACTTCCTGGGATGAACCTCTGACTCTCCCTTTTGCCTTTCCCCGTTCTCTTGTTAATTACCCTAATGTTTTATTAGCATCTGTAAGCCCCATGAGGGAAAGCTGTAAATTACGTAAGGCTTCTCTGACCATAGCTGGATTTTACAGCAATAAAGTTACACGAGGTGCCCATGCAGAAGGGGTCCCCTTAACCACAGCATTTACCATGACCTGGGTAACAGGCACATTCAGCAGGTGAATATTCATTCATCAGAAAACCAGTCCCACATGGCTTACATATGAAGGATATCAATTGCTTCATCTGGGTTGCTCCACTTGGCATTTACAGGGGGAGAGGGACAGTTTCCCTTCTCAGGGTAAACAGACCTTACAGTGGCTTTTTTCCAATCCACCAGGTTGGCTGTTTCCTCGGAAATAACCTCCTCTGTGTCTGCATCATACATAGCCATCTGTGATGTTCAATAGTGAACTGTGGGTCCCTCATCGACCCAAACATGCTCTTGCACCCTGTAGCATACAAAACCAAAGACCCTGCTCCTAAGTCAGTTACTTCAGAATCCGCTTTAGTAAAAGCTAATGATACTGGTCTCCAAAATGAACAATTCCTTCCACCATACCCTCTGGTTTCAACAGTTACTTGGTTTTGTCCTCCCCCCGCACTGACTACTTTCTTGGTAATCATGGGTCTCAGAGGTATTTCTGTTGTCCCTGCATAATTTTCTCCTTTGTGCGTAGCTTTGAGGCTAGTGGCCAAAGCTCAGACTCACTGAAATCTGAGCTTGGTCTAGCATCAAGCTCTGACCCAGCACTCTCTTTTATTTTCATTTCAGCCGTCAGAAAAAGAAAAATATGAAAAAAAATTTTTTTGAGACAGGGTCTCACTCTGCTGTCCAGGCTAGAGTGCAGTGGCACTATCATGGCTCACTGCAGCCTCAGCCTCCAAGGCCTCCACCTCCAGGGCCTCCACCTCAGCCTCTCGAGTAGCTGGGACCATAGGTGCATGCTGCCACACCTGGCTATTTTTTTTTTTGAACAGTTTTTGTAGAGACAGGGTTTCGCTACATTGCCCAGGCTGGTCTCAAACTCCTGGGCTCAAGCAATTCTCCCACCTCAGCCTTCCAAAGTGCTGGGATTATAGATGTGAGCCACTGCAGCCAGCCCAGAAAAAAATGTTTAGGCGATTCAAGATGGCTGCAGGTTGGACATACAGGCAATAGATACTAGACCTGTAAGCTAAAGCTCAACCCTCCCCTGCAAGGCTGGAGTCTCAAATATTTCACTGGCAGGTACTGATGACAACATTGCCTATCAGATGAAGCCCAAAGGCAGGATAGAATCAATCACCCCTCTCCAGACCCTAAGATGCCTGCATACTTCCTAAGCCTTTCAACCCATAAACATTAACTGCTCATTTGCTTTATCTTAGGTACAAAGCAACTGAGCACCAGTAGAATTGGAACAATGTCACCTTTGCCTTACTCTTCCCGTCTTCTATATAAAAGAACACGTAAATAGAATTGGAACAATGTCGCCTTTGCCCCCTCCTCCCATTCCCAACATGTAAATAGTGCACGGGACACATTCTCAGTTTGCACTGAGTTTCTGTTTCTTGGCTATTAGTCCTCAAACTTGGCTCAGGATAAAAGTAAGTTTCTTTAAGTTTATAGTGCGTGTTATTTCAACTTTTGGTCTGCATAGCTATTACAGATAACAATAACCAAGGGATTGAATATTTTGCTTTTTACTTATCAGTTTGCATTTTCTTATGCATCCGGGGAACCAACCCCCTGAGAGTTGGATCCATCTCTAAATTCCACCGGTGGCCAAATGTGGTGGCTCATGCCTGTAATCCCAGCACTTTGGGAGGCCAAAGCAAGAGAACTGTTTGAAGCCAAGAAGTCAGCTGCCGTGAACCACAGTGGCACCACTGAACTCCAGCCTGGGCGACAGAGCCAGAGATCTTGTCTTTAAAAAAAAAAAAAAAAAAAAAAATTCTGGTTGACAGAGCAGGAGCACCATCATCTCAGACAAACACTGCCTCTTTAAGTTCCAGCTCCCTTTCTAGCCTCATGCATTTCAAGAAAATCACTTCTAACAACAAGCAGCCAGAAAAGCAGACAATGAAACACAGATAAGACAGCTCTGGCACAGAGCGGGGAGTGGGGGAAGTCTCTTGGGTAACTGCCAAACTTCACCCTCATACAATGGGCCCCAGTAAAACAGTGGGTCTTGATTAGCACATTCCTTTCCCTGCAGGGGCACTAAGATAGGAAAGCTAAAAGCAGACTCGGGGGATACGCCTGCAGCTGCAGGAAGATGTATGGGAACAGACACACAACTCTCCCTCCCAGATAAGCACAACAAAGAGATATAGAAGCAGTCCAAGCCTCTGATAAACTCTCCCATCTTGAATCCTTAAAAACTCTTAGTCTGTAAGAGAGTAGGGGCCAGGCACAGTGGCTCACGCCTGTAATCCCAGCACTTTGGGAGGCCGAGGCAGGTGGATCACCTGAGGTCAGGAGTTCGAGACCAGCCTGGCCAATGTGGTGAAACCCCATCTCTACTAAAAATACAAAAATTAGCCAGGTGTGATGGTGGGTGCCTGTAATCCCAGTTAATTGGGAGGCTGAGGCAGGGAGAATCCCTTGAACCTGGAAGGCAAAAGTTGCAGTGAGCCGAGATCATGCCATTGCACTCCAGCCTGGGGGACAGAGCAAGACTCCATCTAAAAAAAAAAAAAAAAAAGTCCTTTGACCTAACGGCCAGAATCACCTCTCAGGTTTATTTTCTCTAAAATATCAAGCCACCTTTTGTGTTTCTTTCTTCTTTTGTTAATTCTTACACCAGTAATTTTTACCTTTAGTAACTCAACAGCTCCACACTGTGCATGACCATGTGGCCACCCAGGAATCAAAGGATTCTGGTCTTATCCCTACCCTTGCATCCTTTCTTTCACCAAACCATGTGTTTCCATGAGCCAGAGCCAGTCTAACAAATCCCACTCCTCTGACACCAGATGTGAAACTGGAAAAACTCAAACTGTGTTTTTCTCTGCTTTCACACCAAAACAATCAACACAGAAGACTTCTGTGACTAAATAGGTGGTCCCCACCAGCAAATGAGCAATCAGTTTTGCAGTGGACACCAGCAGGGTGTTCTTCAATTTAATTCTGACACTATCTACCTGGAGACAACATCAGATCCCACAGGTTGAGGGCCAAGACCAAACCCCCACCCCTGAACCCAGCCAAAAGCTTGCCCTCTGGAACGTCTGCCCGACTGGCTTCAAGTGCATGTTCCCACAATGCCCTTTTTGGGTTTGATTAATTTACTAGAGTGGCTCACAGAACTCAGAAAAACTTACTTACATTTACTAGGTTATTATAAAGGATCCAGTTGAAGAGACGCGCAGGCCAAGGTACGGGGGAAGAGGTGCAGAGTTTCCACGCCTTTTCCATGTATTACCCACCAGGAACCTCCGTGTGTTCAGCCATCTGGAAGCTCTCTGAATCCTGTCCTTTTTGGATTTTTATGGAGGCCTCATTATGTCAGCATGATTGATTAAACCACTGGCCATTGGTAATCAATTGAACTGTGAGTCCCTCTCCCCTCCCTAGAGGTTTCGGGGGTGAGGCTGCAAGTCCTACCCCTCTAATCCTGCCTTGTTCTTTCCTGTTACCAGCCCCATGCTGAAGCTATTGAAGGGCTGCCAGCCACCAGTCAATCATTAGCAAACAGAAAGACACCATTTTGGTGTTTCTAAGGATTTTAGGAGTCATATGTCAGGAAACAGGGTCGAAACCAAATATATATTTCACAGTTTCACAAGTGGGATAGCAGGTGGGCAAGAATGGTTAAAGCAATAAACATGGTCAGTATATAGAATTTCAATGGCAACAATTTTCACAGAAAAGTTACTCTGCCTTTGGATTGAATGTCACTTCTCAAAGATATGCCAATTTTCATGGGAGAAATTTCTATAGATGGCTGACTATATCAACACTTGTGTTCGCTCGTTTAATTTTTATTTATTTATTTATTTAGACAAGAATCTCACTCTGTCACCCAGGCTGGAATGCAGTGGTGCAATCTCAGCTCACTGCAACCTCTGCCTGCCAGGTTCAAGCAATTCTCCTGCCTCAGCCTCCCTATAGCTGGGCCTACAGGCACATGCCACTATGCCTGGCTAATTTTTGTTTTTTTAGTAGAGACAGGGTTTCACCATGTTGGCCAGGCTGGTCTCGATCTCCTGACCTCAGGTGATCCACCTGTCTCGAGCCCCCAAAGTGCTGGGATTACAGGTGTGAGCCACCATGCCCAGCCTCTCATTTAATTTTTAATACTACCTTATGGGGTAGTTGATATTGTCCACATTTTGTAGTGGATGAAACCAAAGCTCTGAGAAAGTAAGTCAGTTGTACAAAATTTATGCCTACCAGAAATGGGATTGGAAATAGCTACATTCCAAAGCCAGTGATAATTTGGGTCAAGGAGTACTGATAATTGTTGCTCCTATTGGTTCATTTTCTACTGAGCTTCTTTTTTCACTTACTATTATTACTTTTATTATTATCTTGTGATTTCATTTCACAAAATTATAAGTTTGCATTCCAAAAGCACCTAGTTCCTGGCTCGATCCTCATCTTTGCAGGAGATTCTGAAGCTTAATTGCTTTACATGTTTCAGACTAACCACTGAGCTTTTTTCATTTAAAAATATTTAATTGATAAAGATTGTATCTATTCAAGGTGTACAATGTGATGTCACTGTTTCAGTGCAGACATAGCTGTAACATAGAGAGCTTTTAAAATGAAAGCTTTTGGATAGTCTGTCAGTTTGGTTGTCAAAGTTTGGTATTTCCAGCAAACACTTATTTATCAACTCACTCTTTTATTACCACAATCAAAATAATAAATAGTAAGAAGGGATAGCATACATGATTTATTTTTCAGCGCTTCTCCAATCCAAAAGAAAAAAACAAAAGTATAAAAACAAATGAAAGATCACAGAAGTCCCCAATTTTCTTCTCTTTCATCAGTTGGGCAAAATAACAAAATGTTCATTTTCAGATGGCAACTCCCCTTTGTGCTTACAGAAAGGCTTTGTTGCCTGTTGGGTGCAAAGCTTCTATCTCTGTTACCTAGGGTATAATGCCCTAGGATCTCCTAGATCCTAGGGGAAATGGAACATTATTATCTCAAATGGATTTATTATGCTGCATATTCTTGGATATCTCTAGATCAGATACTAGGTTAAGATGCGTCTTACCTTAAGTAGCCTCTGTGCTCATTTGTACCATTAACTTCATGCATCCTAAACTGTTTTCTTCTCAATGTCCCTCCAGGGCTCTCTGGGGTAGGAGCAGCAGAAGAGGGCCCCACCTCCCTGGGTGTGAAAACTACTGGGATCAGGCAGGAGTGGGAGCCACCTGGCCGGCCATCCTGAGAAGTCACCTCTACAGGCCTCTTGCATTGCCCTAGTGGACTCTGGCAGAGTTCTAGCATTCCTGTGGATGGGGTGCTGAGGCTGTACAGGACCCTTGCTGAAGATGCTGGCTGGCTCCTGGTTGTGGGGACTCTCTAAGAAACAGAGGACATCGGCCTGATGCATGGCTCACACTTGTAATCCCAGCACTTTGGGAGGCCAAGGCGGGCACATCACCTGAGGTCAGGAGTTCAAGACCAGGCTGGACAACATGGTGAAACCCCACCTCTACTAAAAATACAAAAATTAGCTGGGCATGGTGGAGGGCACCTATAATCCCAGCTACTTGGGAGGCTGAGGCAGGAGAAGAATCGCTTGAACATGGGAGGCAGAGGTTGCAGTGAGCCGAGATCGTGCCATTGCATTCCAGCCTGGGCAACAAGAGAGAAACTCCATCCAAAAAAAAAAAAAAAGAAAGCAACAGAGACTTCTAAGCTCCCTGAGGCATTTCTAAGCATCTAAAGGACAGCAAGGAGGATCTAGGATTTGTGTGTTGTGGGGGCAGAGGAAGTTTCCCAAGTTCACCTGAGGCCCACTGAGCTCTAGGCCAAGTGCCAGTTTCCATAAAGTTGTAGCCAAATTAGCAACAATTCCTCTCTTAGCCTAAAAATTGCCATTCTGCGATGCTATTTACTGGGCATCTATCATACACTGGGGTCCCCAGTGCTATAAAACAAAGTCTTTGTCCTCAATTCACTTGGTTAAGGAGAAAGAATATGCAACTTAGTTTTGCTTGCCCTCCCAGTGTAACTAAAACACTTTCCTTATATCATTCAAATTATCATTTAGTTCCATTTCTCTCTTTGAACTTGGAGAAAAACTCTTTTTACCACTATCTAATTTTTCTTGGTCAAATTTCTCTCAGTTTCCTCAGAGCCATGCAACCATCACCAGATGCTAACTCATGAATGTTGCGTATCAGCAACTTTCTACACAGAGTGCATGGAAATTTAGAAGCTGAGGAAGTGTGCATGAGGAGAAGGGTGCTGTGCAGAGGTGTGGGTGGGTTGAGAGGACACGCAGGCCATATCCGCAGTATAGAAGCTAATTAGCCTGGGAAAGGTCAGCTTGTATAGTCTTTGCTCCATTGATAGCAAACCTGAGGTGCTGGCCGAGGGAACACAGGCAGAACCACCCGACTCCAAGCCTTGCCAAATCACCTGTGCCTTCTGCCATCGCCCGACTCTTCCTCCTAGAGTGGGAGATAAGTATCTGGGCAGAGGATCTTATGAACAGAAAATGCATTTAAAACAAGCAATTGAGGCTGGGTGCAGTGGCTCATGCCTGTAATCCTAGCACTTTGGGAGGCCAAGGTGGGCGAATCACCTGAGGTCAGGAATTCGAGACCAGCCTGACCAACATGGTGAAACCCCGTCTCTACTAAAAATACAAAAGTTAGCCAGGTGTGGTACCAGGTGCCTGTAATCCCAGCTCCTCTGGAGGCTGAGGCAGAAGAATCTCGCTTGAACCCGGGAGGCAGAGGTTGCAGTGAACCGAGATAGCGCCACTGCACTCCACCCTGGGCGACAGAGCCAGACTCCATCTCAATCAATCAATAAAGCAATTGTTCCTCCTCGGATCAGAACTGTGAGTTTTATACTGAACTGTTACATGTTGTTTCCTCTTTCTATCTTAGCAATGATCAAAAAAAGATCAGATTCCTTTTGCAGAGGGTGGGCTAGTTCTCCTAAGGAGAAGCTGGGTCCTCAGTGGATCCTCTGGATTTGAGGATGAAGTTTAGAAGTGCTTGGGACCACAGCTGTGGGTCTGATTTGAGGACAAGAAAACCAAAACAAGGGGGCAGCACTGGTGTGGGGAGGTGGGAAGGAGAAAACAAGGAACATAAAAAACAAAACCACCAATGTGGAGTTTGTAGCTCAGAAAAACTTTCAAGCTTATACGGAGAAGATTTCCCTGTTTTGATTTATAAGGGGATCATACAGAGAATCACGGATGCTTGATTATCTGGTTCTATTTCCTTTCTGTGGTCTCAAATTTTTTTAAAAGAATATTTTATGTGTTTGTTTTTAAAATTGGTGAATGAATAGACCTCACTTTTTATAATACCTGGGCTTCTCAGAACCATGAGTCATTGACGTATTATCATTGGAGCCAGGCTTAAAATCTGACATTTAATTAGCACAGGTAAGAGGCAGAGCCTTTGTCTCCTAGAAATGATCAAGCACAAAAACACCCACGAAGAACCGGGCAAAAACGCCCTCCTGGAAGCTGGTGGGGTAGGAAGGTGTGGAGGCCCAGTCCTGCCTGGGCAGCCTGCCTGCTGCATGACTCACCTGTCTTCTATTCCTTTCAGTGTGAATCCAGCTGAGCCTCATTCACACTGAAGTGGAGAGACTGCCCTGGGGAGCCTCGGGGCTTTACCTGCACGGCCTTGGTGCTCACATTCCAGCTCTCTTAGTATCCTCTGGCTCCCAGAGTCCAGTTTGCCAAGCAAGTGATGGGCACTGGTGGAGGGACCAGGCAAGAGCCCAAAAGCTCAGCTTCCTTGTCTAAGCCCTGATGGCCTAACGTGCATTAAGTTATTTATTCACTTTAGAAAAGAGCCTGTCCCCACCCTTGATTCTGTATCTCCCACTGCCCTGACCACCCTCATCTATGCCCTGACCTAAAATGGGGCATAGAAGAGCCCGCATCTCTTAGGGCAGTGGTTTTCAAAGTGGGTTCCCCTGCATCCCTTGTGAAGTTTTGTTTTTTTTGTTTTTTTGTGTGCGTGGTGGTTGTTGTTGTTGTTGTTGTTGTTTGGGGAGGGTGGGGGACGGAGTCTTGCTCTGTCGCCCAGGCTGGAGTGAAGTGGTGCTATCTCAGCTCACTGCAACCTCCGCCTCCCGGGTTCAAACAATTCTCCTGCCTCAGCCTCCTGAGTAGCTGGGATTACAGGCGTGCACCACCACACTGGCTAATTTTTGTGTCTTTAGCAGAGACAGGGTTTTGCCATGTTGGCCAGGCTGGTCTGGAGCTCCTGACCTCAGTGATCCGCCCACCTCGGGCTCCCAAAGTGCTGGGATTACAGGCATGAGTCACTGCGCCCAGCCCACCTTGGCAAGTTTTTAGAAAGCAAATTCTGGAACCCCGTCCCAGACCTACTGAATCAGAAACTGGGGGATATGTTCAGCAACCTGAGCTTTCAGGAGCCTCTGGGTGATTCTGATAAAGCTGGTGTTTGAGAACGAGCATCATAGGGTTGTTGGGAAGATGACCTCAGGAGCACGTGTGAAATGCTCAGAACAGTGCTCACACCTAAGAATTCTTTAGCTATTGGAAACCCAGGAAGTCACAGATAGAGACGCTCTTCCTCTGGAGCAACCCCAGGACAGGTGCATCTGCAAGCTGAGCCTCTCACAGCACAGAGCCTTCTCTGTCTTCACCACTCACTAAAGTGACACGGGGTGTCAAGGGGAAAAAATGCAAGTTCCTACATTAGTAAGGAAAGACTTTATTAATACAAGATATTGCAACAAGGAGATGCTCAAAGCCGAAACCAGAAGTGTCTCAGGAAAAGGGTGGGTAAGCAATGCTTTTTTATGCAGAGACCATGGGACAGCTGGCTGTGAAAAGAATAAGGAGGGGTTGTAAAAGCTGCTGTGTGGGGATCTTGAAACTTTTTTGTTTTTTGAGACAGGGTCTCCCTCTGTTGCCCAGGCTGGAGTGCAGTGGTACAGTCATAGCTCACTGCACCCTCAACCTCCTGGGCTCAAGCCATCCTCCCACTTCAGCCTCCTGAGTTGGTGGGACTATACGCACGCACCGCCAAGCTTGGGCTATTTTTATTTATTTTTTGTAGAGACAAGTTCTCCCTATGTTGCCCAGGCTGATCTCGAACTCCTGAGCTCAAGCAATCCTCCCGCCTCCGCCTTCCAAAGCGCTGGGATTAGAGACATGAGCCAATCACTAGGCCTGGCCAGGGTCTTGAAACTTAAAAGGCCGTGTCAAGCATTGCAAGGGAAACACAAGGCAGAAAATGTTGCCAGTACTCAGGTACATGAGGCAGGGATCTGAGGCTGAGATGGAGCAAAAAAGTCACAGTGTGGGAAGTTCCCAGGGAGTGTAGGGTCCAACTCTCTTAGTCAAGCCAGCCTTAAGTTATTTTATTTTATTTTATTTTATTTTTATTTTTTAATTTAATTTTATTTTATTTTTTGAGACAGAGTCTCACTCTGTTACCCAGGCTGGAGTGCAGTGGCATGATCTCGGCTCACTGCAACCTCCGCCTCCAGGGTTCAAGCAATCCTCCTACCTCAGCCTCCCAAGTAGCTGGGATTACAGGCGCCCGCCACTAAGCCCAGCTAATTTTTGTGTTTTGAGTAGAGATGGGTTTTCACCATGTTGGCCAGGCTGGTCTCAAACTCCTGACCTCAAGTGATCTGCCTGCGTCAGCCTCCCAAAGTGTTGGGATTACAGGCATGAGCCATCGCGCCTGGCCAGCCTCAAGTTATAATAAACACAAAGTTTTTATCAGCATTGTCAAGAAACTGATTTTAATTTTGCCACGTGTACCAGGATGTTTATAGCCCCCACTGACAACAGGTCTTAATTCCTGGCCCCTGAAGCTGTTATCTTAAACAGCAAAGACTTTGTAAATGTGATTCCATGAATAGTTCTGAAATGGAACGGTTATCCTGGGTTACCTGAATAAGCCCTAAATGCAATCACAGGGTCTTTATAAGAGGGAGGGAGATTAGACACAGACAGAAGAGATAGCAATGTAGTCACAGAGATTAGAGTGATGTGGCCACAAGTCAAGGAATGCGAGCAACCACCAGTGCTGGGACAGGCAAGGCACAGATTCTCCCCTAGAACCTCAGGAGGGAGGAAGGGAGGGAGCCCTATCACACCTGGTCTTTAGCCCAATGATGCCTGTTTAGGACTTCTGGCCTCCATAACTGTGAGGGAATAAAGGACTCCTGTTTCAAGCCACCAAGTTTGTGGGGATTTGTTATAGCAGACACAGGAAACGAATACACCTTGTTTCTTGAAAGGACTTTTTGAGGTTTGAAGAATTTTTCAGATTTGGCTGAGAGTTTGTGGATTACTGTTTTAGAGGAGGGGAGAAATTCCACCATTTCTCTTGTGAATTGGTTTCCTTGTTACTTGCTATACAAAGATGCTTCACCATAGTTCCATTTAAATATATCTGTCCTGTTCAATTTGCTATAGAACTGAAATTACTGTAGTGAACCACATATTTAAATATGGAAAGGCTGAACCTCAGAAAGCTGTTAGGAAAGCTAAGAATGTGGAAGTGAATGCTCATGCTACACCAGAAGAGGAGAACTGGTACCGAGTAAGAGCTGAATTCTCATTGATTGATTTACGTGCTTGATGAATTGGCTGATAGTTTAACTCTACAGGAAAAGCACAGTTACAGTAACCAAGAAAAGTAGTTATTTCATAAGTGGTTTTATATGAACCTCAAATCATAAACAGGCTGTTTGCTATACGATTATCAATGGTGACAAACCATTTTGCAAGTGGACAGTTTGCTGGATAATGCTTCTTAAGAGTAATTCTTGGCTCAGTGAATTTAAACAAATCGGAGGGGGTTATTATACTGGGGAGAGGTGTTAAGTGATGTCAGGGTCTTGAATGCCACCACACTAAGTTTGCCAGTTCCCCTATGGTTTAAAATTTCCGGAGACTGGGTAAAGAATCACATCCTCTTTTATTTATTTATTTATTTTTGAGACAGAGTCTCACTCTGTTGCCCAGGCTAGAGTGCAATGGCGCAATCTCGGCTCACTGCAACCTCCACCTCTCCGCGATTCTCCTGCCTCAGCCTCCCAAGTAGCTGGGACTACAGGCATGCACCACCACACCTGCCTAACTTTTTTTGTATTTTTAGTAGAGACAGGGTTTCACTATGTTGGCCAGGCTTGTTTCAAACTCCTGACCTCAAGTAATCCACCCACTTCAGCCTCCCAAAGTGCTAGGATTACAGACGTGAGCCACCATGGCTGGCCTATATCCTCTTTTAATAGTGAGTAAAAGAAAGCTACACAGATGCACGTGAGAATATACTTTCACAGGCACTGCGTTTTAAATAGGAATCAGGAAGTTCTGCCAACTCCATTTTATTAAAGGCATAACCAAGGCTTGGTTGCTTCACTAACATGTGACTGTTCTAAAAATTATCACTCATCAAAATTATTTTGCAAAGAAATAGGAATAGAAGAGTAGGGAAAGAAACAAATATTTAAATACAACTGTCCTGGCTAGTAATACCACATTTCTGTAATGCATTTTTTTACAGATGTGTATAAATAGATATAAATAGGTGTCCTAAGTTGGAGCAATAACGTCTTCCACCCTCTTGCTTATTGGCTTTCTCCCATATTTCTTCTGCATTTACATATTTCTGGTATAATTTTAGATTTGGGGCACACTTGGTTTGAAAAGGGTCTATGTTTTCTCCACTACTTTTGTCTCACATTCCAAAAAACAAAGGGGATGCCATTCTTCAGGGCAGCACCTGCCACTCATCTGCTGTCAGGCTATTGCTTAAGGCACAGATCTTAATGGCCTGGCAGGTTTCTCCACCCTACAATCTTAGGGAGCTGTGGCCCAAGGGCAACTGTAAAACCCACGTGTTAGAATAACTTAGCTTTCTTGTGATAGACTGAGTAAACAAATAGACAATGGCCATAGTATATGGCAATAGAACTCTGACCCACAGAAGAAATGAAGCATAATATCTGCAGAGACCAACTCAGAACAGTCAGGACTTACTCAGTGGCTGACAGCTTCCTCATTTTTGCCTCTGCTTCCAACCCAGGACAAACCAGAAAAACCAAATATACTCCACAAACAAATCACATAAGACGCTCCATCTCTAGTTATCCCTCCTTCAGCTTCTCCATGACGACACTCTGCAAAGAGGACATAGCTGAAGTTGCCCCCTTTTTCCCCTAAAGCTTTTCTTCTCCCTCGTCTTTGAATTATCTCCTTTGTTATAGCAAGTTCTGAATATATGGCCTCTGTTTGTTCTTAGGTGGTGGTCTTCATTTATTTCCACATGTGAATGATGATTGTGTTCAACACAATGATTAATTTTTAAAAAAGAAAAAAAACAGCTATTTGCAGTACAAGATGCTTTTTTTTTTTTTTTGAGACGGCAAATTTGCAGTACAAGTACAAGATGCTTTTTTTTTTTTTTTTTTTTTTTTGGGACGGCATCTCGCTCTGTCACCCAGGTTGGAGTGCAGTGGCGCATGCTCTGCTCCGCTCACTACAACCTCAGTCTCCCAAGTAGTTGGGACTACAGGCATGCATCACCATGCCTGGCTAATTTTTGTTTGTTTGTTTTGTATTTTTGGTAGAGGTGTGATTTCGCCATGTTGCCCAGGCTGGTCTCAAACTCCCAGGCTCAGGAGATCCACCTACCTTGGCCTGCAATACAATATACTTTTGTATTTTTTATATAACCACCTGACAGCTTTGGCCCCTAGTTGTATTTGAGAGGGAAAAGCTGCTATTTATTTAAAGGAAGGACATATAATTATTAATAAATTGATTTTTAAAAAGATGTATTTGCCTGATGGTGCTTCTGAAAAGTTGTCAGTTTAATTGTTTTTAATTTGTTAAAAGAAAATCCATAGCCAAATTAAATTTAAGAGAATTTAATTGAGCAAAAAACAATTCGTGAATCTGGCAGCCTCCAGTGCCAGAGTAGGCTCAGAGAGACTCCAGTGCAGCCACATGGGGGAAGATTTATAGACAGAAAAGGGCAAGTGAGGCACAGAAACTGCAGGATTGGATACAGCTCCATGTTTGCCTTATTTGAACATGGTTTGAACAACTGAACCTCTTTGATTTACAGAAATTCGGGGATAGGCACAAGAGCAGGCTACAGTCTGTTTACACCTCCATTTAGATTACAATTCGCTATGTACAGAGAAACCTTTAGGCCAAACTTAAATCACATGGGGAGGCAGCTTTAGGCTAAACTTGATTTCACAAATTTTCAAATTAACAAGTAAAAACTGTGGATATTATTCAATTTAATCTTTAAGAGTTTATTAATCAATATGCATTATAACTTCATTTTTGTAAAAACAAAAAAAGATATGCCTAGAAAAGGGTTATGGAGAGGGCACAAGGGACGTTTATTTTCTAAAACATATTTTTTATAATGGATTTTTTTATATAACTTTAAAAAGAATTAGAAACGTTTCTGAATTATTAATGATTTCCTTAAATCTTTAGCTACATATATTTCTCCATAAAGAGCAGTTCCTCAAACTGCATCACCTCAACCCTGATATTATATATTTTTATTTTTATTTTTATTTTTTGAGACAGAGTTTCGCTCTGTCACCAGTCTGGAGTGCAGTGGCACGATCTCAGCTCACTGCAACCTCCGCCTCTCGGGTTCAAGCAATTCTCCTGCCTCAGCCTCCTGAGTAGCTGGGACTACAGGCGCCCGCCACCACGCCCAGCTAATTTTTGCATTTTTAGTAGAGACAGGGTTTCACCATGTTGGCCAGGATGGTCTCGATATCATGACCTCGTGATCCGCCCGCCTCGGCCTCCCAAAGTGCTGGGATTACAGGTGTAAGCCACCGCGCCCGGCCGGTATTAAACATTTTTAAAGTAAATTTATTAAATCTCAAAAGAAGCACACTTTGAATACTGAGGAAGAGACGTTGTAACCCATAAGCAGAGAGTAGGTAAGTAAAAGCAATTTCCACCACTCTCAGACTGGGCGTAGTGGCTCACGCCTGTAATCCCACCACTTTTGGGAGGCTGAGAGGGGAGGATCGCTTGAGGCCAGGAATTCAAGAGCAGCCTAAGGAAACTTAGCCAAACTCCATTTCTACAAAAGAAAAATTTTTAAAGCAATTTATTTCACCATTCTCAACGCTTTTCTCTTTTTTATTAACCAAATATTTCTGTAACTCTTTTTTTTTTTTTTTTTTTTTTTTTTGGTATTGAAAGACATGGGAGAAGGAAGAATTCCTGAATGCAACAGACTGGGAAGGACGCACCACAAAACGCTCCGCGGTCTCTGGACACCCTATCAGCTAGTCCCGTCCCTCCTGGTGTCCGGTCTCGACCATCCATCCCGTGTTTTGGGAGTGCCTTTCCTTACCAGATTCTTCTAAAGCCCTGATGCACCCACCCTTAAGTGGAAGGTAATGCTTCTGCTGGGGGCTGTGCGTTCTTCCACTCCGTCCCACCTTTGCCGTGGACTAAACAGGAGCCACTGAACGAGAGTACCCTGGCTCCCGGCCCTGCAGATTTTCACCAAAAACTCTAGGACTAAGTTAAAGTAGGGACTGAAATACCACACAGAGCTCGCTGTAAACCACCCGCTCAGCGCAGTAAGTCGGGATAGTCAGTAGATCTGAGCCCTTGAGGGAGGCGCCTCCCCCTCCTCCGCGCAGCCCCCGGGCGCCCGGCCCAGCTTCCCGCAGCCAGGGTGTATTGAGGTAGGCGCGCCCAGACCTGAGACGGGTTGGGACTGGGCTGCGTCACGCGCGGGCTCTAAGCGCCCGGGGCCCCGCCCAGTGGCCGGCACAGCCAATCGCAGCGCGGGAAGGCGGTGGGGGCGGGGAAGGCCGCCTGGAAACTTAAATCCCGAGGCGGGCGAACCTGCACCAGACCGCGGACGTCTGTAATCTCAGAGGCTTGTTTGCTGAGGGTGCCTGCGCAGCTGCGACGGCTGCTGGTGAGCGCCCCCGACCAGACCGAGGGACAGGGCGAAGGGGGACTGGAGGAGGGAACCCCCCTTTAGGGACACTGAGAGGAGGCGGGCGCTTCTGGGAGTGAGAGCTTCTGCCCGGAGCTCTGCCAGCCTCGAGGTGGGGAACGGGGGAGGGCGGTTGGAGACCCCAGGGAGGCGCCGGCACCACTGGGAGGGCCCGGGCGGGGCAGGTCAGTCATCCTGTGGGCTGAAGCCGGACCGGACCGGGCGGCTTCATGCCCCCAGCCTGGCCGCGGAGCCCCCGCTCCCTGCACCGCCGCAAACATTCTCGGGGCGCGGCGGCGCGTGCAGAGGGCGAGAGCAGGCGGTGCGGCCCCGGTCCTGGCCCGCCCGGAGCTCCGGGAGCTGCCTGCCTCGGTCCGGGCCCTGGCCCTGGGGCCCCTGGCTTCCAGCGGCGCGGCCTTGTGACCCTGCCCCGGTTTAGGGGAGCGAGTAGCACAGACCCAAGTGTGGGACGGCGGGAATAGTGGGTGCTCTCCTTCCCAGTGTCTCCTGGAAAGGGATTCCCGAAAGGTTTTATTCCAAAAGGAGAGGTTGGAAGACATAGCTCATCTCCTGCTGTGTATCAGCCAAGAAGGTGTGAGGTGGTGTTCCTTGGGGATCCGCTTGCATCTACTTGGGATGGTACGTCTTCATTAGTGAGGTTTTGCCTGGATGACCTCAGTACAATTGGTGCAAAACCTGGACCAACTCTTTCCTAGTTTTCTAGTTGTTGCCTTAAGCTTCTCACCCGTCAGGTATCTTTCACACCCTTCTCATACCCTAAATTATCGCATATGCTGTTTCAACGCCTCCAACTCTGCAGGCTGCTTTTAATTTTGGTGGGCCCATCAAATACCTCCACTTGGCCTGTTTCAGCCTCTTCCACAGTCCTTGGGGAAATGCTAGGGAGAATAATTGAAATATTTCTATTCCACGGGGGCTGTAAGATGGCTTTTTAGGATTGGTCTAATCAGATACTCATTTCTTTTCTCTTTCTAGGTTTTGAAACATGAATCTTTCGCTCGTCCTGGCTGCCTTTTGCTTGGGAATAGCCTCCGCTGTTCCAAAATTTGACCAAAATTTGGATACAAAGTGGTACCAGTGGAAGGCAACACACAGAAGATTATATGGCGCGGTTGGTAACATCTGAAACTGTCCAGAGGGACTCTGGAGAGAATGGTCCTCGCTGTTGGGAGTTGATAGCCAGAGAGTAGCTTCTAGACACCAGACCTTACCAGGCAATAACCTAACAGCACCCATTATAGGTGCAATATGGGCATATATCTCCATTGTGTCTTGGCTTGGAGAACAGCTCCCAGAGAAGTATCAACCCATCCCTGGCCATGGTTTCTCTTCCATTTCTGCCCGCAAATCGGCTTGGTGAACATGGGTTGGGTAAGTAGACATAAAGTCCACCAGCTATATGTTTGCCTCTAGAATGAAGAAGGATGGAGGAGAGCAGTGTGGGAAAAGAATATGAAAATGATTGAACTGCACAATGGGGAATACAGCCAAGGGAAACATGGCTTCACAATGGCCATGAATGCTTTTGGTGACATGGTGAGTGTGGCAAGGATTGCTGAACTCTGTGCTGCTTCTCAGTTCTTCACCAAAATAGTCTTGCTTTTAACATTTTATTTACTTCTCCTTGAAGACCAATGAAGAATTCAGGCAGATGATGGGTTGCTTTCGAAACCAGAAATTCAGGAAGGGGAAAGTGTTCCGTGAGCCTCTGTTTCTTGATCTTCCCAAATCTGTGGATTGGAGAAAGAAAGGCTACGTGACGCCAGTGAAGAATCAGGTGAGACAGCGTCAGATTCAGACCCTGTCTCCACAGGAAAGCCAAGAAGGAATTGGTGTCATTGCTGTGGTAGATGGTGGCACAACATATGGTGATGGGTTTTTTGTATTTTTGGTTTTTGGTGTTTTTTTTGTTTGCTTGTTTGAGACGGAGTTTAGCTCTTGTTGCCCAGGCTGGATTGCAATGGCGTGATCTCGTCTCACTGCAACCTCTGCCTCCTGGGTTCAAGAGATTCTCCTGCCTCCACCTCCCGAGTAGCTGGGATTGCAAGTGCTCACCACCATGCCCAGCTAATTTTTGTGTATTTTTAGTAGCGACAGGGTTTCACCATGTTGGCCAGGCGGATTTCAAACTCCTCTCCTCAAGTGATCTGCCCGCCTCGGCCTCCCAAAGTGTGGCGATGGGTTTTTTTTTTTTTTAAAGAATATTAAGGTAATTCAATTATGGGGTACTGTATTTGTATTGGTCTTGTAAATTTACAGCTTTTTTTTTCTCCCTTTTTAGAAACAGTGTGGTTCTTGTTGGGCTTTTAGTGCGACTGGTGCTCTTGAAGGACAGATGTTCCGGAAAACTGGGAAACTTGTCTCACTGAGCGAGCAGAATCTGGTGGACTGTTCGCGTCCTCAAGGCAATCAGGGCTGCAATGGTGGCTTCATGGCTAGGGCCTTCCAGTATGTCAAGGAGAACGGAGGCCTGGACTCTGAGGAATCCTATCCATATGTAGCAGTGGTAAATGGAGCTCCTTATCTTGTCATTCGTGCTCTGCTTTTGGAAAGTGGAACACTTTCAGAGATAACAGATACTTTTTTCAGAATTCACATTTTATATGGTAGAATCTACATCTGCAAACCGTGAGTATTGTCATTATAAATTATTAGCCTTTGGCCAGGCGTGGTGGATCACCTGTAATCCCAGCAGTTTGGGAGGCCGAGACAGGCGGATCACGAGGTCAGGAGATCAAGACAATCCTGGCTAACACAGTGAAACCCCGTCTCTACTAAAAATACAAAAAAATTAGCCCGGCCTGGTGGCGGGTGCCCGTAGTCCCAGCTACTCAGGAGACTGAGGCAGGAGAATGACGTGAACCCGGGAGGCGGAGCTTGCAGTGAGCCAAGATCGCACCACTACACTCCAGCCTGGGCCGCAGAGCGAGACTCCATCTCAAAAAAAAAAAAAAATTATTAGCCTTTGCACAGTTCTCTGGTGAGATGGTCAACAGCTAATGGTTACCATATAAGTACCATTAGATGGTTAACACACAGCTGTTCTTGCTTTTACATAACATGGAGAATAAGCAAACCATTCTACATATAATAGAACTTTATCCATTGTGAAAAATTTTTTATGGACAGATTGACCTAGGGGTTCTCATTGAAGAAATGTCAACTAATTTTTCATTTTCAAATCAACAAATAGCATTTTATTTCATGGGACGATTTATAAGGGTGTTGATTTGGAAATCCTAGGTTGCAAATTGCTGAGTGTTTCGGTTCTAGAACTAATGTTCCCCAGGAGGTAGATGGTAGTGATCAAGTCTCTCCCCCTTTAACTTTAAAAGGATGAAATCTGTAAGTACAGACCTGAGAATTCTGTTGCTAATGACACTGGCTTCACAGTGGTCGCACCTGGAAAGGAGAAGGCCCTGATGAAAGCAGTCGCAACTGTGGGGCCCATCTCCGTTGCTATGGATGCAGGCCATTCGTCCTTCCAGTTCTACAAATCAGGTAAGTGTCATTTTATTATAGAAATTTAGGCAGAATTGGGAAGCATCACTGTGATTGATTCTTGGATATGACATCCTGCTTTGCAGGAATGTAGTATTTTGAGAGTGAGCATTTAACATAGTGATGTTTGCATTTGACATGAGAAAATACTTAGTTATGTTAAACTTCTCATAAATATTTTTAAATGGCTATGTAATTGTATAGAGACAACCTAATTTTCCAAACTATTTTCCAGTTGTTGGGCCTTTTTTTCTCAAAGTTTTTTACTACTGTAATTAGGACTGTAAAGAATCCCCTTCAAGTTTTTGTTTGTTTATTTTGGTGCTATTTTAGACTGACATCCTAGGAACAGAAAGGGATTATGCGAGTTGGTATTTGGGCTCAGAGATATCTAAATCACCTTAGCTGTAAACAATAGGTTTTATCTTTTGGATTTTCATTTTTTTTGGTAGAAAATATCTTGAACTTAGTTGAAGTTAGTTGATTTCTAGTGAGTTGAGGTTGACTTTTTTCCTTTATCAGCCATTACTGTTTTCCGGCCAATATTGTTTGGGTCCTTATTTGGCATTTGTTTATGACATTTTACTGAATTTAGAGATGCCTCCCTTATGGAGGGTGGTAGGGTGGGTTACTGTCACATGTCGCTTGGAGCTTCTCACCCCAGCATTAATTTTACTCTCCCAGGCATTTATTTTGAACCAGACTGCAGCAGCAAAAACCTGGATCATGGTGTTCTGGTGGTTGGCTACGGCTTTGAAGGAGCAAATTCGAATAACAGCAAGTATTGGCTCGTCAAAAACAGGTATAAAACTCAAAATTGAAAAGGGAATTTTTGTTCCAAATCAGTATTTGGATACAAGTTCACAAAAGCTCAATTTCAAAATTCCGAAAGTCTTTCTTCTACTTAGAGTGAACACAGAAATATTAATGTTTGATTATAAGATTCCGTACCAAGCTTTTTGGAGTTATTGCTATGTATTTGTAATATTTTATTACTAAGTTTTGAAAATTTTTAAATTCTGAAACACATTAGTCCTCAAGGGTTTCAGACAAAGGACTGTGGACCTGTAGGTTTGAGAGCTGATTGCTTTTTTCTGTCTAATTTTTCAACAAGGAATAGTAAGCAGAAACATCTGCCTCTGCTGGTTCTTTGTTAAGTCTGAGAGATCATCCGGGAGTCCAGTGGTCTGTGTGCATCCTTCTATTGTCATTGGATGCCCTGTCATCGAATTTCACTCCCCAGCTCTCAGGCTTTGAAGGTTGTCAGAATCTATTTTCTCACAATTAGCATTCTTTAATTGAGATGTGACATAAGGTAGTATGTGGGGACAGACTGCTACAGTGGAATTCCAGTTCTGCCTCAGTATCTTAAATAGTTAAGGACCCACAAGAATCAATATATTCATTCATTCATTTGTTTATTTATTTTTTGAGACAGAGTGTCGCTCTGTCACCCAGGCTGGAGTGCAGTGGCACGATCTCAGCTCACTGCAACCTCTGCCTCCTGAGTTCAAGTGATTCTCCTGCCTCAGCCTCCCAAGTAGCTGGGACTACAGGGATGTGCTACCATACCCAGCTAATTTTTTTTGTATTTTTTAGTAGAGACGGGGTTTCACCATGTATGCCAGGCTGCTGTCGAACTGACCTCATGTGATCCGCCTGCCTTGGCCTCCCAAAGCACTGGTATTACAGACATGAGCCACCGTGCCCAGCCAGTTTTATTTTATTCTGAGATGGAGTCTTGCTCTGTCACTCAGGCAAGAGTGCAGTGGTGCAATCTCGGCTCACTGCAGCCTCCACCTCTCGGGTTCAAGTGATTCTCCTGCCTCAGCCTCCCAAGTAGCTGGGACTATAGGCATGCGCCACCACGCCTGGCCAATTTTTATGGGGGTTTTTTTGTTTGTTTTTTTCTTTTGAGATGGAGTTTTGCTCTTCTTGCCCAGGCTGAAGTGCAGTGGTGCAATCTTGGCTCACTGGAACCTCTGCCTCCTGGGTTCAAATGATGATTCTCCTGCCTCAGCCTCCCAAGTAGCTGGGATTACATGCCCGGTTAATTTTTTTTTTTTTTTTTTTTAATTTAGTAGAGGCAGGGTTTCACCATGTTGGTCAAGCTGGTCTCAAACTCCTGAAACCTCAGGTGATCCACCCGCCTCAGCCTCCCAAAGTGCTGGGATTACAGGCATGCACCGCACCTGGCCAATTTTTGTATTTTTAATAGAGACGAGGTTTCACCAGATTGGCCAAGCTGGTCTCAAACTCCTGACCTCAAGTGATCTGCCCACCTCGGCCTCCCAAAGTGCTGGGATTGCAGGCGTGAGCCACTGTGCCCAGCCTCAGGACATTTATAAATGGATATTAACAGCATTTAGAATAGTGCCTGACACATGGGAAGCACTGTTTAAGTATTAGCTATTATTATTAATGGAGCCAATTTTCCCTTGATTCCTTGTATAAAATGGAAAACCTGCTCCTCTTTCAGCTGGGGTCCAGAATGGGGCTCGAATGGCTATGTAAAAATAGCCAAAGACAAGAACAACCACTGTGGAATCGCCACAGCAGCCAGCTACCCCAATGTGTGAGCTGATGGATGGTGAGGAGGAAGGACTTAAGGACAGCATGTCTGGGGAAATTTTATCTTGAAACTGACCAAACGCTTATTGTGTAAGATAAACCAGTTGAATCATTGAGGATCCAAGTTGAGATTTTAATTCTGTGACATTTTTACAAGGGTAAAATGTTACCACTACTTTAATTATTGTTATACACAGCTTTATGATATCAAAGACTCATTGCTTAATTCTAAGACTTTTGAATTTTCATTTTTTAAAAAGATGTACAAAACAGTTTGAAATAAATTTTAATTCGTATATAAAGGTGGGCCTTTTTTTAATGCATTGGCTTTTTGTGTAGTCAGGAAATATAATTAAGCTCTGAAATAATAACTTCATGTGCCAATGGTATGTTAGGAGAAAGATGCTAGCAGAAAGCTGGCTTCCTGGCTCTTGAGTAGTTATAAAAATACAGACTTTATATCAGCTGCCCAGTTACTGTGTGTTACCCAACTCCTGAATCTACCAAAATTTGATAAACAATTTGGAAGGACAAACCTACATTTTTTTTTTTTATGAGACGGAGTCTCTCTCACTCTGTCACCAAGGCTGGAGTGCAGTAGTGTGATCTCAGCTCACTGCAACCTCTGCCTCCCGGGTTTAAGCAATTCTCTGCCTCAGCCTCCCGAGTAGCTGGGATTACAGGCGCGTGCCACCACGCCTAGTGTATTTTTAGTAGAGAGAGGGTTTCACCATCTTGGCCAGGCTGGTCTTGAACTCTCGACCTCGTGATCCACCTGCCTCAGCCTCCCAAAGTGTTGGGATTACAGATGTGAGCCACTGCGCCCAGCCCCTAAATTGTTTTAGTAAAGAAGAAAGCAGTTGACTTTTTAGAAAAGGAAATGTCTTCTTCCTTTGACACATAACCTCAAGATGGTTAGGTTACGTGATAAAAAGTGAAGCTGCTTGTTACTGGAGCCTCTCTGAATTGCTGGTGACCACTTTGCAGTCTGAGGAAGACGCAGGTGCAAGTAAGTTACCAAGGGTATTTTGTTTTCATTCCAAGTCTCTGATGACATATTCCACCTAGCTCTTCTAGAAAAGCTTATTTGTTAACTAGTGTTAGCAAAAATAAATGGTGTGGTTAACAAATCTCAGGCATTTGACAGTAGCTGGAGAAATTTGTTCAAGGTCCACAAGAGATGAGGCTGGGCTACAAAAAGAGGCCTCTGGCCGAAGATGGATAAGAGATCACAAGTGAAAGGTCAGAAGTCACTAGGCCAGACTCTGGCTACCTAATCCCTGAATTAAAAATAAACTCAAAATGGGGGGAAAAAGGCTAAGCATATAGTTACACAGGTAGTAAATACAAATAAAACGATATTTTTGCATATTTAAAATACTGGAAGAAAGTACACCAAACTTGTGGGTGAATTATGGGTGGTTATTTAACTCGTTTAGTGAAAAGCATGTATTTTTATGAGCAGGAGAAAATAGTAAAGATATACCCACATTCTGCAGGCTAAAGGAGAGCCCTGTGTGTGTTTTAAAAGCCCATGTTTCCAGTCAAATAAAAAATTACCGGGGATGAGCTGGTGAAATTTAATCGAAAGGTGATCCATTGTGAATGCAATGGGAGGGAAGGGGCATGTGGGACTGTGTATCCCAAAAACCCTTTGATAGCCTATGTCCACAGCCATCTCTGGAAAATCCAGTCTACCATATTCAGTCTTGAGTTTTCTCTGAGAAAGGATTCCTTCGTCTTTGCAGCAGCAGGCTAAGTTGGTACTCTCCACAGATTCTTGGAACAACAACCCAGGCTCTAAGGAAACATCTAGGCACTAAATTGAATGAAAGAGTGATGGCTTTTTATTCAAATAAAAAAATTTCAAATCTGTCAAAACAGCACCCCTCGGAAAACTAAAATAGAGATATTTCAAGATTTTATAATTTTCAAAGACCTTTGAAATATTTTAAACTTGTGAAAAGTTACAAACCTGATGTGTTGTCTAAAAGCGTTTTTCAAACAAGCCAGTAGACTTGAAAAATCTAGTCTGAAGCACAGACTTAACCAATATTTGCTGGGGATATGCCCCCAAATCTGGCCATAAACAAAATCTCTGCAGTACTGTGACAGGTTCATGATGGCCATGACGCCATGCTGAAGGTTTACCGGAATGAGAGCAAGGAACACCTGGACCACCCAGGGCGGGAAAACGGCTTAAAGGCGTTCCTAAACTACAAACAATAGCATGAGCGATCTGTGCCTTAAGGACATGTTCCTGCTGCAGATAACTAGCCAGACCCCATGCCTTTGTTTCGTTTGGGAAGGAATACTTTTAGTTAATCTATAATCTATAGAAACAATGTTTATCACTGGCTTGCTGTCAATAAACATGGGTAAATCTCTGTTCGGGGCTCTCAGCTCTGAAAGCTGTGAGTCCCCTGATTTCCCACTCTGCATGCTATATTTCTGGGTGTGTGTCTTTAATTTCTCTAGCGCCTCTGGGTTAGGGTCTCCATGACCAAGCTGGTCTCGGCAAATATTTCCTATACTCGAACATCTAAATTGTTTGTTTTCTTACTTGAATTGCAAAGGAAGTAAGGAAGGGTGAGATAGAAATCACTGAGCATATTAAGAGGGAGGAGTTTGCTGATGTGGGAGTGTAGTTATGACACTTGGGCATCATACTAGAGGCTATGGACTTAGCAATAAGGAAACATCCACTCAGCCCTATGTGTGGTTCATGTGTATGTTTTGCCTATGAAAGTTGAAACTGTTTTCTAAATGTTATTTCCTTTTGTAACTGATAAAATTTCTAAAAAGCAAAGAAGAAACTTTTCTGTATTAAAAATAACAAACATTAGTAAATGTATATATACAGTCATGTGTTGCTTAATGATGGGGATACATTCTGAGAAATGTGTCTTGGGTGATTTCATCGTGACGTGAACATCATAGAGTACACTGACACAAACCTAGATGGTATAGCCTATTACACACCTAGGCTATATGGTACAGCCTGTTGCTCCTAAGCTACGCACCTGTGCAACACATCACTGTGCTGAGTACTGTACACAGTTGTAACACAGTGGTAAGTATTCGTGTATCTGAACAGAAAAGTACAGTAAAAATATAGGATCATAATTTTATGGGACCACTATCATATATGCAGTCACTGACCAAAACATCACACAGCACATGACTTGTGTGTATGGATATCTCAATTGTAAACAATTTCACAAATGTTCATTATCTCTTTTTAAGTAAGTTAATAAGTAAAACTATTACTAAGCTGCAACGTGTTCTTGTTCTGCAGTGTATTTATTCATTTGGATACAGTTGATTCTTGAACAATGCAGAGGTTAGGGGCACCAACCCTTGTGCAGCCAAATATTTGCATATAACTTTAATTCCTCCAGAACTTTTCTACTAATAGCCTACTGTTGACTGGAAGCCTTGCTGATAACATAAACAGCCAATTAACACATATTTTGTGTATGTATTGTAAAATACTGTATGCTTACAGTAAGCTAGAGGAAAAAATGTCATTAAGAAAATCATGGCCAGGCACGGTGGCTCACACTTGTAATCCCAGTGCTTTGAGAGGCCGAGGCAGGCAGATCACGAGGTCATGAGATCAAGACCATCCTGCCTAACATGGTGAAACCCCATCTCTAATAAAAATACAAAAACAAAATTAGCCGGGCGTTGTGGCCGACACCTGTATTCGCAGCTACTCAGGAGACTGAGGCGGGAGAATGGCGTGAACCCGGGAGGCGGAGCTTGCGGTGAGCCAAGATCGCGCCACTGCACTCCAGCCTGGGCAACAGAGCGAGACTCCGTCTCAAAAAAAAAAAAAAGGCAATCACAAGGAAGATAAATTATATTTACTAAGTGAAAGTAGATCATCATAAAGGTCTTTATCGCTGTTGTCTTCACATTGAATAGGCTGAGGAGGAGGAGTAAGAAGCAGGGTTGGAGTTGCTGTCTTGGGTTGCAAAGGCGGAAGAAAATCTGTGTATAAGTAAGTGGACCGTCAGTTCAAACCCATGTTGTTCAAGGATCTACTATTTATTGGGCTCCTATGCAATAGCACTGTGCTAGGCTCTGGGGACACGAGTGAAGCAAATAGTCACACTCCCTCCCTTGCTTACATCCTTATGTTGCTGAGCCCATGCATAACCTCTATTCTTGCCACCATGGCCACTTCGTTCGTGAACCCCAGGGTGGCTGGGGAAAGAGGCTGACTGGTATCCAGAGAAAGGTCATCCTATTCACTCAGTTATTAAAATCCTCCTCTGCTGAGGTCACCCTTTTGTGAGAATTCACATGGGATACAAATATCTTCACTTGTTTTTTGTTTTTTTTTTTTACCCATTCAGAGATATCTGTTCAGATAGGCGTTCCCCAGACCCCTTTATCACCAATTTGCCAATCATGTTCATTACAAGTCTGTGGTCACCCAGCCAAATCATTAACCGTAGCCCATAGAATGGTATATAATCATACGCCTGGCTATTTCTTCTTCCAAGCAAAATGAACAACCAAGTACACTGCTGAAAGTTTTGTTTCCCTTCACCTCTGTTCTTGAAGGATGTCTCAGAAACGTGCTGTAATCCCGCAGCATCCATTGGTTGGTGCCTGGATATTGTACAGAACCATCTATAAATCAGGCCCAAGTTTTCTCTTCCTCACCCAGTTGATGATAGGGAACTCTGAGGACATAGGTGTGGGCTGGGAAAGAAAACATGATGTAGCAGGAGTTAGGACTGTCAGTGTTGGGACCACTTCTTCCTGTAACTTACCTGTGCCTTCAGGGCCTCCTCATGCCCCATCACACATACAGTCATCCCTTGATATCCATGGGGGATTGGTTCCACAACCCCCTGCAGATACCAAAATCCACAGATGCTCAAGTTCCTCATATAAAATGGTGTAGTATTTACATATAACTTACATACATCCTCCCTTATACTTTAGATTCCTTATGATACCTAGCAACATTGTAAATGTTATGTAAGTAGTTGTTATACTGTATTTTTTTTTTTTAGGGAATAATGACAAGATAAAGAAGTCTGTACATGTTCAGCACAGACTATCCTTTTAAAAAAAAAAAAAAAAAATTGGGCTGTGCGCAGTGGCTCACGCCTGTAATCCCAGCACTTTGGGAGGCCAAGGCGGGCAGATCATGAGGTCAGAGATTGAGACCATTCTGGCTCGCACAGTGAAACCCCATCTCTACTAAAAATACAAAAAATTAGCCGGGTGTGGTGGTGGGCACCTGTAGTCCCAGCTACTCGGGAAGCTGAGGCAGGAGAATGGTGTGAACCCGGGAGGTGGAGCTTGCAGTGACCTGAGATCGCGCCACTGCACTCCAACATGGGCGACAGAGCGAGATTCCGTCTCCAAAAAAAAAAGAAAAAATTTCTACCCGAGGTTGGTTGCATCCCACACAGTTTGAACTGTAAGGACTCACAGATGCAAAGGCAGGAGCTCAGCTTCACTCACAGCAGGATTCCTAGTGCCAAGAACACCATAGGTGCATAGCAGGTGATCAAAATAATTGTATGTGGCTGAATCAGTGAGAGGTAAGAGAGAGGACTTGATCCTAGCTGCAAACTAAGAGACCTCATTAAAACCTAACATGTGGCTGGGTGTGGTGGCTCACGCCTGTAAGCCCAGCACTTTGGGAGGCCGAGGGGTGGATCACCTGAGGTCAGGAGTTCGAGACAAGCCTGGCCAACATGGTGAAAACCCATCCCTACTAAATATACAAAAAATTGGCTGGGCATGGTGGCGGGTGCCTGTAATCCCAGCTACTTGGGAGGCTGAGGCAGGAGAAACACTTGAACCCAGGAGGCGGAGGTTGCAGTGAGCCGAGATTGCACCACTATACTCCAGCCTGGCAATAAGAGCAAAAGTCCGTCTCAAAACAAAAAACAAAAAAACAAAAAACACCTAACATGTGAGGCCCAGCATAGTGGCTCAGACCTGTAATCCCAGGATTCTGGGAGGCTGAGGCTGGAAGATTGCTTGAGCCCAGGAGTTCAAGACCAACCTGGGCAACATAGCGAGACCCTGTCTCTGGGAAAAAAAAAAATTACCTGGGTATAGTTACAGTCCTAGCTACTTGGGTGGTGTATGTGTGTGTATGTATGTGTATGATATCAGAAAAAAATAACGTATTCATGGTGGGGGAAAAAAGAGCCTGACTTTTGAGGTGTATAAGCATGGAGTCGGGTTCAAATCAGGCTCTGATCTTTCTGGCTCTGTGATATGGGGCAGGGCATATTACCAAGCTCAGCCTCAGCATCTCTACCTGTGAAATGGGCTTGATTCAGTATCTACCACACAGGGCTGCTGTAGTATGTATGAATTAATGTTTGTGAAATATTTAGCATGGTGCCCGACACATGGTACTCAGTAAGAAACAACTATTGCTATTAAGTGCTTTGCACTTTGGTTTTCACAGAGCTAACAATTTTTACTGTCTAGCTTTGTGTCTTTGAAAGATTTTTGAGCTCTGAGAATGACCTTTTAAGACCTCAGCACTTCTGGAAGAGGTCACACTTCGAGCTTCAATAGCTAGCATTTTTGTCAATTAGTTAACAGTGTGCTGAAAGCAAGTCCCTGTAGAGAGTGTTCACGGGCATGAGCCACAGGGAATACAATGTGAGGCCTGTGGAGGTGGCAGCTGAGGATGTCAACAGGGAAAGCACAGAGTACCAAAGACAAAAGTTGCCCAGGACAGTTCTGTGTTAGCTACCTGGTGGCAGCCTGGACACGCAAAGATAGAGCTGAAGACACCTCTAATACAAGAGGCGGATGCCCCGGAGACGTGGCTGATTCCTTGGCTAATTTCCTCAGCCCCACCGTTGTGCAGCTTTGTGACTTCCTGGAGAGCCTACATGCAAACAGAAAGGTCCCAGGATAAAGAAATGTGGATATTCCACATATTTTAAAAAGACCTGGAGGGATGAAGAGGACAAGCTGTCCCAGTAGGCCCCGGACTGCCCTGGTTTTAACACTAAATGTCCGACATCCTGATAACCCTTACTCCCAGGCAAATCAGGCCAGTTGGTCATCTAATTGGAGGTTATCAAAGGAGGTGGGTTTTAGCATCCTCTTTCCTTTCCTGTTACATTGAGACCATGGGGTGCTATTGAATAAACTTGATTCGGTTTCTTCAAAAAAAGCCAGAAATTGATCTAATAGGTTTTGCTCATATTTGGTAATTGAATTGGACTGTATACAGTCTGCACGTTTACCTTATTTTCCATTATGTAATGGTACCAAATATCACAATGATTTTCAAAAATTAATGTTTTTAGTGGTGGATTACTAGGTGTTGAAATTCTTTATAATATACTTACGAAAACATTTATACAAATAATTTCATCCTCCACATGACATTTAGAAAAGTTTAGTCTGGCTGGGTACAGTGGCTCACTCCTGTAATCCCAGCACTTTGGGAGGCCAAGGCAGGTGGATCACCTTAGGTTAGGAGTTCGAGACCAGCCTGGCCAACATGGTGAAACCCCGTCTCTACTAAAAATACAAAAATTAGCCCGGTGTGGTGGCGTACACATGTAGTCCTAGCTACTTGGGAGGCTGAGGCAGCAGAATCACTTGAATCTGGGAGGCAGAGGTTGCAGTGACCCAAGATCACGCCACTGCATTCCAGCCCAGGAGACAGGGTGAGACTCTGTTTCAAAAAGAAAGAAAAGAGAAGAGAAAAGATGAAAAGGAAATGTTTAGTTTGAAATTCCGTTACCGAAAGTTCTCGGGGGTTGGGGGAGGTGGGAGGCAATATCTTTTTGCTATTATATTTCTTATAGTGCAGTGTCAGTGAAACTATGTCATCCTTTGTAAAATCAATAAAATCCCTGTCAATTTATCTGGCCATTCGATACTTTATCATCTATAATTTTTCAAGACATCTATTTGGTTGAAGTGTCTTCATCAATTGATGGACTGTACATCAGTCTGGTTTGGCAGTTTACATTGTATTTTCCTCTGAGTTTATCTTCTCTGTTTCATGGACTTCACTAGGGTCAGTGGTTCTTAAGTTGGATGATAAGAAACCCCAATCTTCCATACAGGGTACAGTTTGGCCATTGGTTTTAACTCAGGTCATGGCATAGCAGTTGCATTTCTATGGAAACAAAGCTAACCTTGGAAATGGACTCTAATCAAAGACTCACTAACATCAAACAAGTCATAACCACATTAAGTAATGTCTTAAAGGCAAAAATCAATAGTAATTCACTTTGAGCATTTAAAGAGTCAGGCTCTCAGTCACTGTCTTTGAGATTATGAGAGCATAGTAGAAAACAGCTTGTCCAACTGCCTTATTTAATAGATGAGCTCATAGAAATGAAGTAACTCAGTCGAAGTGACATTGGTTTTCATGGCTAAACACAGGAACTGGAAAATAATGGGAGTATTGTTAGAGATTACAATAATATTGAAATTTGACTTCAAGCTAATGAGTCAAGTATGAAGATATTAACTTCACAAACTCGATAGCAAACATGTCCTAAGAGATAAGACAATTTTATTTAGCACTATCTTTTTTGTAAAAGATTTATAATAAGAATAAAGAAAACAAAGTTTGTATGCTAAGAGAACAATGCAATACTTCCATAATTTCTTGAACAACTGTAGTGAAGCCAGAGTATCCCAAGCTTCCCCAGCCTGAAACAGTCTACCACATGAATGTGAGGCTGTAGCCTCACACCTCCGAGCACCTCCTCACCATCCACATCTGCTCATACCGGTGTTTAGTCCCTACCTGAGTGTCACCTCGTCTTGTCCACGAGGACAAGCCCAGTGGACTCAAGTGCAAGTCCATCTGTATTCTTGGGCCTCTCTCTCATGATGGTGGCTTTCACTGTGATGCTTCCATGCCCTTTGAGCCCTGAGTGCAAGGCCAAGGTGCCCCCACAGCTTCCTAGTTGCTGCTGAGTTCCCCACCCCCTAGATGGGAGGTATGCACCTCCCATTCTGGGTCTCAATAGATCACCTGGGCCCTGGTCCTCTGAAAGCCTATTGAATACAAGTAAGTAACACAAGGCTGTTTTGTTCATTACCCCTGTAATTCAAGAAATCCAATTTGCGAGACAGAATTGACCTGAGGCCAAAAACTCCAGGGTCATTCTGCCCCAACTTGAATCCTGGCACCACTTACTGCTATATGATCTCAGATGCCATAACTAATCTCTCTAATTCTATTTCCCTGCATTTAAAATGCAGGCAATGCCCATGGTTTGCCCTAATGACTCAATGACTCTGTATTAAAGGGCTTACTATTGGCCTGTCATGTCTCAATAAATGTGTTACTGTTCTTTCTCTGTGTTGACACTGGATGTACAATTGCAAATAAAACACACACTTGTCTTGGGGATGCTTGCAGTCTAGTGGGCCAGTTGGATTTATTTCAGTTCAACTATTGGTTAACAGATGAACAATAAAAAGTATTGCTTGTAAAAAAGATGAACGTCCAGAAAGAAAGAGTCTGTCTGGTATACAAATAATTGTGATAAATACAACAAAAAAATGTGCACAGGGTAAAAAGTAACAGGGAGAGTGACCAGGAAACTTTAAAATTATAGTAATGTGATCCAGGCTACATTCACTGGCATTTCCCAAACACTCTCCACAGGGGAACCAGGATGGGATCAACCCTAAGACCTTCTCACTCATCCAACTAAAGGCAGTGAGGAATGGGAACAGACAGAAAGGGATGGTTTAAGCCAACACTCAAAGTGTTAAAATCAAACCAGTGGAAAAGGATCAGCTGACCAGGCTGAAGGGAGAGGTAAACTAACCAAATGAGGTACCACATTGCTCAGCGAGTCAACAGCAAAAAGACAAGGGTCTCGGCTGTGGCTTCCACTGGAGTTTGGAGGTACGGAATTTTCCTCCTATGCAGTGGCCTTCAGTGTTGTGCTTGTCGATCCTTAAAAGAATGTTGATCAGGTGCGGTGGCTCGTCCCTTAAACCCCAGCACTTGGGGAGGCCAAGGCAGGAGAATCCTTGAGGCCAGGAGTTTGAGACCAGACTGAGCAACATAGTGAAACCAACCTTGGCTCTACAATGACAACAACAACAACAACAACAAACTAGCTGGGCATGGTGGTGCACGCCTGTAGTCTCAGTTACTCTGGAGGCTGAGCTGGGAAGATTGCTTGAGCCCAGGAATTTGAGGCTGCAGTGAAGTATGATCATGTCACTGTACTCCAGCCTGGGTGATAGAGTGAGACCCTGTCTCCTAAGGAAAAAAAAATGTTAATAAACTGTTTAACGTCCCCCCCCCTACACTTTTAAGTTGACATTTACATTTATCATTAGTTTGTGATAAAGAATGTATTTTCCAGGATATTGTAGACTGGCTTTCAGTATATTTTTGTCAGACTTTTGAGGCCAATTTGGCTCTTTTGCTTAATGGAAAATGGGAGTGTTTAGGTCTCAGGGTGTGCTCATGAGCAGGCTGGGATGGGTGGGAGGCTTTGGTGAAGTGGCAGAAGGGTGATTGGACTGGGAAGAAAAGAGGAACTTGCAAAACAGAGACACTTCAGGGAGCAGGTTAGCTGTAGGAAAGAGTACACACCTAGGACGAGGGCCTGGAAATTGGTCATCTAAAAGCTATCCATGGCCACGTAACCCCTGAAAAGTCTTTCCATATTACAAGGGGTATACATACCCCAGTTTGAACACCAACGCTTAAGTTCTCTCAAGTTCACAGTATATGCCAGGATTGAGTGAATTAAAAAGTACAGCATCAGGGTAAACAATGATAGTGCTAGGCAAAATTACTCAAAACGTGGAAACAAAGTAAAGAGATTCCACTTCCATCAATGTCATGCTATAAGACGATTGTCTGACAAACCCATCCAAGGGTCTTCTGACTCTCAAAGGGTTTTGACTATTTATTTTTGACATTATTACTGATAGGCTCAGATATTTTACAGCCCTGTAAAGTTAGAAATTATCTCCTAAGAAACTGATGAGTTGGTTTTCTTTTCCATGGTGGAAAAATGAGATCACCCCAACTGCTACAGTTTAATTGCCCAATAGGACATTAACTAGGGCTGCATCTAATGTGCCAATATTAATTCATCCTTCCATTTTGTTCACATTGACTGTAATAATCCTCGTCTTTCAAATTCTCTTTTGAACCGACTTTATGGGTTCCCTTATTACCGAGATAAATAAAATGTTGGCATGTGCTCACTATCTCTTTGGATAAGATTATGTTTTTTGTTTGTTTGTTTGTTTTTGTTTTTTGAGACGGAGTCTTGCTCTGTCGCCTGGCTGGAGTGCAATGGCGCAATCTTGGCTCATGCAACCTCTGCCTCCCGGGTTCGAGCAATTCTCCTGCCTCAGCCTCCTGAGTAGCTGGGATTACAGGCACCCACCACCAGGCCCAGCTAATTTTTGTATTTTAGTAGAGACGAGGTTTCTCCATTTTGGCCAGGCTGGTCTCGAACCCCTGACCTCAAGTGATCCACCCGCCTTGGCCTCCCAAAGTACTGGGATTACAGGCGTGAGCCACTGTGCCCGGCAAGATTATGTGTTTTTTTGTTTTTTGCTTGTTTTTTGTTTTTTTTTTTAAACATTCAGAGAACTATATGTTGACAGAAATCTAAACAAAGTGTACAGAAGGTGCAAGGAAAGGTTTTGCAATATGGAAAGGAAACTTGGGGAAAACCTGGTGGAGACCATACCTGAGCTGAGTCTTAACAGGAATTAGAATACCTATAAACAGGAATTAGATAAATGGCTGGAGGAGAAGGAGAAAGAGGCTATTTCAGACTGAGGGAGCCTGACAGATGATGGGAGCCCAATGATATGGGTGTAGAAAAATGCCAGGAGATAAGGCTGACAGGTGGGGAGAGGCCAGAGCCTGAGGCATTCATGTCATGCTAACGCACCAGAGCCTTTTCCTTCATGAAAACGGGATATCTTGAAGAATTTTTAGCAAGAACGTGATGTAGTAAGATAGATTTGTATTTTAGAAAGAACATTTTTTTCCCCAAACTTTTAGGTTCAGGGGTACATGTGCAGGTTTGTTATATAGGTAACCTAGTGTCATGGGGGTTTGTTGTACAGATTATTTTGTCGCCCAGGTACTAAGCCTAGTACCCAATAGTTATTTTTTTGAATCCTCTCCCTCCTCCCACCCTCCACCCTCAAGTAGTCCCCACTGTCTGTTGTTCGCCTATTTGTGTCATTGAGTTCTTATCAATTAGCTCCCACCTATAAGTGAGAACATGTGGTATTTGGTTTTCTGTTCCTGTGCTAGTTTGCTAAGGATAATAGCCTTCAGCTCCATGAGTGATCCAGCAAAATATATCATCTCATTCTTTTCTATGGCTGCATACTATTCCATGGCATGTATGTACCACATTTTCTTTATCCAATCTGTCATTGATGGGCATTTAGGTTGATTCCATGTCTTTGCTATTGTGACTAGTGCTGCAGTGAACATTCACATGCATGTGTCTGTATGATAGAATGATTTATATTCCTCTGGGTAATATACTCAGAGATGGGACTGCTACGTTGAATGATAGTTCTGTTTTTAGCTCTTCGAGTAATCGTCACAGTGCTTTCCACAATGGTTTGCACTAATTTACACTCCCGCCAACAGTGTAAAAGCATTCCCTTCTCTCTGCAACCTTGTCAGAATCTGTTATTTTTTGACTTTTTAATAATAGCCATCCTGACTGGTGTGAGATGGTATCTCATTGTGGTTTTGATTTGCATTTCTCTAATGATAAGTGATATTGAGCTTTTTTTCATATGTTCATTGGCCACATGTATGTTTTCTTTTGAAAAGTGTCTGCTCATGTCCTTTGCCTACTTTTTAATGGGGTTGGCTTTTTTTTCTTGTTGATTTGTTTAAGTTCCTTATATTAATAGAGCCTGGATGTGAGACTTTTGTCAGATGCATAGTTTGCAAAAACTTTCTCCCATTTTGTAGGCTGTTTACTCTGTTGACAGTTTCTTAACTATGTAGAAGCTCCTACATTTAATTAGATCCCATTTGTCAATTTTTGCTTTTGTTACAATTGCTTTTGGTGAGAAAGACTAATTTTGTGTGAAGAGTACATGCATAAGTGGAAGTGAACCCAAAGATGTACAGCAAACTGCTGAGAAATGGGAAGGGTATGAACTAAGGCAGTAAGCAGGCACAGAACAATCTGACATATAAAATAAATAGGGCACAACAGTTGCTTTGATGGAGTGGTGAAAGAGATAGGAGGTGAGAAAGGGCATAAGCAAGATTTGATCATTGACTATGCGAGGGTGACAAGGAAAAAGAGGGGCTGACCTACATTAGCAATTCCTGCTTCTGGCATAGAGATGGTATCACTTCTGTTGCGAAGACTACAGGGACAGCAGGCAGCAGGCTGTATATATTTCTAGCATGTGAAACGGAAGTAGGGCAAGGAAAAAAGTCCTTACGTTCCTACTTTTTACATGGTTCACACACATTGTAGAATAAACCCTTTGCCTGGGTCACGTAAAATTCTACCTTTTTATTATTATTATTATACTTTAAGTTCTAGGGTACATGAGCACAGCGTGCAGGTTTGTTACATAGGTATACATGTGCCATGTTGGTTTGCTGCACCCATTAACTCATCATGTACATCAGGTATTTCTCCTAATGCTATCCCTCCCCCTGCCCCCCAACCCACAACAGGCCCCCATGTGTGATGTTTCCTGCCCTGTGTCAAGGTTTTCTGTCCTTGTGATAGTCTGCTCAGAATGATGGTTTCCAGCTTCATCCATGTCCCTACAAAGGACATGAACTCATCCTTTTTTATGGCTGCATAATATTCCATGGTGTATATGTGCCACATTCTCTTAATCCAGTATATCATTGATGGACATTTGGGTTGGTTCCAAGTTTTTGCTATTGTGAATAGTGCCACAATAAACATATGTGTGCATGTGTCTTTATAGTAGCATGATTTATAATCCTTTGAGTATATACCCAGTAATGGGATCATTGGGCCAAATGGTATTTCTAGTTCTAGATCCTCGAGGAATTGCCACACTGTCTTCTACAATGGTTGAACTAGTTTACACTACCAACAGTGTAAAAGCGTTCCTATTTCTCCACATCCTCTCCAGCACCTGTTGTTTCCTGACTTTTTAATGATCGCCATTCTAACTAAAATTCCACCCTTTGTATAAAACATTTGCCCGGTCCATTTGACTCTGAATCACCTTGGTATGTATAATTACCAAATATACTTTTTTTCCAGATGGCAATTCACATCTGCCTTTTAGCTTAGTGCTGAAGGCAAATAATTGAGGAGGTTCAGTAAGGATAGTTCTCCATTAAAAAAAAAAAGAAAAAAAAAGAGAAAAAAAAGCACCAACCTAACTGAATACTCTCAAATAGGACTGATAATGCATTGCAAATACTGAAAACAAGTTTTGATTAGAACATTATCTTAAACTAAAATCTGTTGCCAGTCGCAGTGGCTTACCCTTGTAATCCCACCACTTTGGGAGGCCAAGGCGAGCAGATCACCTGAGTTCAGGAGTTCGAGACCAGCCTGGCCAACATGGTGAAACCCCATCTCTACTAAAAATACAAAAGTTAGCAGGGCGTGGTGGTGGGCACCTGTGATCCCAGCTACTCAGGAGGCTGAGGCATGAGAATTGCTTGAACCTGGGAGGCGGAGGTTGCAGTGAGCTGAGATTGTGCCACTATACTCTAGAGTGACAGAGCGAGACACCGTCTGAAAAAACAAAAAAAATATCTGGGTGTGGTAGTATGTGCCTGTGATCCAGCTACTTGGGAGGCTGAGACAGGAGAATCGCTTGAGCCCGGGAGGCGGAGGTTGCAGTGAGCCAAAATTGCACCACTGCGCTCCAGTCTGGGCGACAGAGCAAGAATCCATCTCAAAAAAAAAAAAAAAAATTATCTGGGTGTGGTTGTATGCACCTGTAATCCCAGCTACTTGGGAAGCTGAGACAGGAGAATCGCTTGAGCCTGGGAGGCAGAGGTTGCAGTGAGCCAAAATTGCACCACTGCACCCCACACTCCAGCCTGGGTGAGAGAGCGATATTGCGTCTCAAAGAAAAAAAAATCTGTGAAAATAAGTTTATCTTAACACATTGTTATAATTGCAGTTACAAAGTAGTGCTCGGAACAAACAAAATTAAGTGAAGTGTGTTTTAAACATTTAGACAATTATCGTAGGACAGTTTGTTATCCTTTCACACAGGGAACAGTAGATGGGTGGAGAAACAGAGCAACAAAGATACCATGTGAAGGTATTGCTTTATACACCTTGGCTTGGATCTGGGCTCTGGATTTCCTTCCCAGCAGACAACTGCCAGTACAAGGAGACTCACAGACATTATTGAACAACCCAATTGCATCATACTTTAAAAAAGATTCAAATTATATATAAAAAGTGATGAATTCAATACCACTTACCCCTTTCTGTTGATTACAAATTGACCACACAAGGGAATATTTAGGGTCTTGTGGCAGTAGATGCATAACTACCTATTTCTCTTGAAGTCCTGGTCTCAAGTGATCCTCCCACCTCGACCTCCCAAAGTGCTGGGATTACAGGCCTGAGCCACTGCACCTGGCCCATCCATTTGTCAAAATCCACAGAACAATACACTGCAGAGAGTTAACTTTATGCAAATTAATGTGGGATCTTAGGATAGAATGGCCGGCATGACAAATGAACTTAATTATATTACAAAGGTATGGCATAACCTCACCAAAGTGAGTGGGGAAAAAATAAATTGAGTAAATAAATAAATAAAATTTTGATTGATTACTCAATCAAAAAAGAATTGATTTGAGTAAACAAGAAAGAAATTGAATTGATTTGGAAAACTGTTTTGACTGGCTACTTTCAGGATAAAAACAAAAAGAACCGTACATAAACACTATAGTTGGAAAACTTGCTTCCACGGAGTTAGAAATTCTGAAACTACATGTATTGTTAACACACACATAAGTAGAGAGAGAGAGAGCACAGCACCCAGATCCATATCATTGCTGGGAGAATTAGGTGCTGCCCATAGACTCTACTCAGAAAGGACAACTGGAAGCTTGTGCGTGGTCTCTCGTGGACTCTGCTGCCTCTTACCTTTGCTATTTTCATCTGTATCCTTTCACTATAATAAACTAACTATGAGTAAAATAGCTTTTTGGGGTTCTTCTAGTGAATCATTAAACCAGAGGATAGTCTTGGGGATTAAAGACTCTCAGTTATTAGATACCCTATTTTAGCATTATGTTTAACCCAATCTTAAAATCCAGCTTTAAGACCAGATGATTAATTTATTTAAAGCGAAAAATCTCAACAAAAGTATTAAATAGAAATCAGCAAGGCTAGGCACGGTGGCTCATGCCTATAATTCCAGTACTTTAGGAGGCTGAGGTAGGAAGATTGCTTGAGCCCAGGAGTTGGAGAACAGGCTGGGCAACACAGTGAGACACTGTCTCTACCAAAAATTAAAAAGGTAGCCAGGCATGGTTTTATGCACCTGTGGTCCCAGCTACCCAGGAGGCTGAGGTGGGAGGATCACTTGAGCCCAGGAGGTCAAGGCTGCAGTGAGCTGTGATCGCGTCACTGAACTCCAGCCTAGGCGACAGAGCAAGACTCTGTATCAAAAAAAAAAACAAAAAGATCAGCAAATTGTTTGAATTTCTCCTCTTAGGAAAAAGAACTGTATTAGAATATATTACTCTGATATAGCTGATATGGCAATATCAACCATCAAAGATATAATGGTATACTTATCTGGTATAATTTATAAGTTTGCCTCAGTAGAATCACAGCCTATTCCATAGTTAAAAATATACACTGCTAGTATTATAGCAAACTTTAGTGGCTTTTGTGATAAAGAAAATAAACTTCAAAAAACTCCATTATTCCCTCTAGGATAACTTTATTGTAAGTCTATTTAAGAAAACAGTCCAGGCTGGGCATGGTGGCTCACCCAGCACTTTGGGATGTTGAGGCAGGCGGATCACTTGAGGTCAGGAGTTGGAGACCAGCCCAGCCAACATGGTGAAACCCTGTCTCTACTAAAAATACAAAAATTGGCTGGGTGTGGTGGCAGGTGCCTGTAGTCCCAGCTACTCAGGAGGCTGAGGCACCACAATCGTTTGAACTGGGGAGGCAGAGGTTGCAGTGAGCTGAGATAGCGCCACTGTACTCCAGACTGGGCAACAGAGCGAGACTGTCTCAAAACAAAACAAACAGTCTACAAAATTTTCTGTTTCATGGATACAGGAATCAGAAACTGATACCCAAGCTCATAAGTGGCATAAACATAATACTCAAACAGCATAACATAATACATATATTCCCTTTGTGTTTTGAAAACTATTTGTTAAAACAATCATTCAGAAAAGTAGACAAATCAGGCTGGGTGTAGTGGCTCAGGCCTGTAATCCCAGCACTATGGGAGGTCGAGGCGGGTGGATCACCTGAGATCAGGAATTCAAGAACAGCCTGGCCAACATGGTGAACTTGTCTCTACCAAACATACAGAAGATAGCCAGGTCGTGGCATGCACCTGTAATCCCAGCTACTCGAGAGTCTGAGGCAGGAGAATTGCTTGAACCCAGGAGGCACAGGTTGCAGTGAGCCGAGATCCAGCCACTGATCTAGGCTGGGCGACAAAAGCGAAATTTCGTCTCAAAAAAAAAAAAAAAAAAAAGACCAGGCCGGCTTGGTGAGCCGAGGGGGGCGGATCACTTGAAGTCAGTAGTTCAAGACCAGCCCAGCCAACATGGTGAAACCCCGTCTCTACTAAAAATACAAAAATTAGCCGGGCATGGTGACGCGCACCTGTAATCCCAGCTACTCCGCAGGCTCAGGCAGGAGAGTCGCTTGAATGCGGGAGGTAGAGGTTGCAGTGAACCTAGATCACGCCACTGATCTAGGCTGGGTGACTGTAGCTTGGGTGACAGAGCAAGACTCTGTCTCAAAAATAAATAAATAAATAAATAAATAAAAGTAAAGACTTCTGCAAAGTGTGTGTGTGTGTCTGTGTGTGTGTGTGTGTGTGTGTGTGTGTGTTTGGGGGTGGTGGGTGGGAAGCGAAAAAGAAGCTTTTTTTTTTTTTTTGGAGACGAAGTCTCACTCTTGTCACCCAGGGTGGAGTGCAGTGCACCATCTCGGCTCACTGCAACCTCCGCCTCCTGGGTTCAAGCGATTCTCTTGCCTCAGCCTCCCAAGTAGCTGGGATTACAGGCATCCGCCACCATGCCCGGCTAACTTCTGTATTTTTAGTAGAGACGGGGTTTCACCATGTTGGCCAGGCTGGTCTGGAACTCTTGACCTCAGGCGATCCGCCCACCTCTGCCTGCCAAAGTCCTGGGATTACAGGCGTGAGCCACCACGCCCAACCTGAAAAAATTCTTAAATGAAATGACTTTAATTCAATTAAAATTACTAATCCTGTTAATAGAAATAATTTTATTCTTTTTTCTATTGATGTTTGTAAAAAGTTTTTTTTTTTTTTTTTTTTTTTTGTGAGACAGAGCCTCACTCTGTCGCCCAGGATGGAGTGCAGTGACGCTATCTCGGCTCACTGCAACCTCCGGCTCCCAGGTTCAAGCTATTCTCCTGCCTCAGCCTCCCGAGTAGCTTGGATTACAGGCGTGCGCCACCAAGCCCGGCTAATTTTTTTGGTGTTTTTTGTTTTTGTTTTTGTTTTTTAGTAGAGACAGGGTTTCACCGCGTTGGCCAGGCTGGTCTCTAACTCCTGACCTCAGGTGAACCAGCCGCCTCGGCCTCCCAAAGTGCTGGGATTATACGTGTGGGCCACCGCGCCAGGCCTGTAGGCTTTTTTATATTTCAGTATTAGGTGCATATCTTTCAAAATAAATAAACATAAAAAGCCAGGCTTTTCCAACTGTGTCCTACACATTCTGCAAGATATTAATCATGTGTCAAGAATAAAAAGTGTTGTGTTCAAGTACGTTTGGGAAACATTGCTATTATATTATTTTCTTCTTGGAGAACCATAGAAAAACTTGAGAGGTTGGCGGGTTGGAGCAAACCAAGACCAAAACTGAACTGCAATCACTACCAAACCCCCACGAGTTTGCCCCTCCTCGCTTGCTAGCCTCAGTCCAGATTCTCCGGAAAAAGAAATTAGTCGTACGGGCTCTCGAAATGACGTACTTCCCGCGCGCCGCGAAGTCCTGATGCCAAGGGGCCAGTCGCGAGGTAAAGGAGGGGTCTCTGAAGTGGGCGTGGCGTCGCTGGAGGCTACTCAGGCGCGGGACTCGTTCTCGAGGCGGGAGCTGAGGTGCGGGGTGGGGCCTCCAACCGTGCAGCCCGCCCCTGACGCCGCCGGTAACTGCGACAGTCGGGGTCGGTGCGGTTTGCTAAGTGGTCGGTTCCTGGAGCTGCGGTCTTCTGCTAGCCTGATCCGCAGCTTCAGCCTCCGCCGCCTCCTCAGCCCTCGGCGCCGCCGCCTGACCCGCAGGCCGCCGCGGGCCGCAGAGCCCATGAGGGCGCGGGCACCGCCGCCGCCTCCGCGGCGTCGCCGTCGTCCCGGAGCGCCCCGAGCTGGCGCGGGCATGGCCGCGGCATGAGCGTGGAGCCGCCGCCGGAGCTGGAGGAGAAGGCGGCGTCGGAGCCCGAGGCGGGAGCCATGCCGGAGAAGCGCGCGGGCGCGCAGGCCGCGGGGAGCACCTGGGTGAGCGCGGGCGCGGGGCCCGGCGGCCTGAATGCCGGGGAGGCTGGGTGGGGTCGCACCCAGGGCCCGCGAGCCCGCCGCTCCGGGCAGGGGCTTCGGCTCTTGGAAAGTCGGTCCTTTTCTGGGGGGGAGGCGAATTCATCACGAATACAGGTTTTTCCTAGTGACTGCTCATCGCAGACAAAACTTTACAGGATTTGGTTATTGTTTCAAAAGGCGCTAGACATGGGACAGTGAATATAAGTAGTAATTTGGTTATTTCGGAGTTCTCCGTCCCTGTAACAGTTGATAACAGTTTTCCTGGCGCAGTTTCTCTCCAAGTCTACATGGAAAACAGGGAGCATTTGAATCAGACCGTCGACGGGGAAGTTGGCGGCAGATGCCGGGCAGCGCCTTGCTGCTCCTTCCGTGTTCTCCCGGCGTCGGAGGGGCGGTCCTAGCGATGGGGAGCAGAGTTTCCAGGGGCGTTGCTGGGGACCAGCCGAGGAGCAAGTTAGGCTGGCCTCTTTCTCCAGTTTTACTTTTGCTTGAGGTGGAGATGGCTTCTGACAATAATACAGAAGCAATTGAGCCCTGACTTAACTGGCCTGGTTTCGGCAGAACAGGCCTTGTCTGTGTCAGTGGTTTCATGTGGTGGAATATTAAGCCTAGAGGGTTTGTCGTTTCTTCAAGGCCTAAGTTTAAAAAGGATTTTTTTTTTTTGGTCTTAGGACCTGAAATATAGGGAATGTTACAGTGAATAGAAACTGACACAATGGGAAAGTTTTTCCAAAGAAAAGTAGAAATTTTATGGAAATTAAATACATGTTTTTGGCTTTAGATTTTTAGCTTACATATCTGATTTTGTGTTTAGTTGAAGAATGCTAAGTGTTTACATGAACGTATTTGGGGATGTAAATCCCTATTAGTAGGTTGGGAGGGCAGCTGAAGCAGAAGGAGCAGTAGGTAGAACGGATCCGGCAGAGCTGGTTTTTAGTCCTGGTTTTGCCTGAACAGTGCGCACTCTGGACAGGGTATTGAAACAGCCTTGCCCCTCAGTGCCTCCTCTGTAAAATGAGGACTTAGTTGAAGTCCCCTCCCAGCCCAAGTGACTCCCTATTTTGAAAAGCATTTCAAAGTTAAGATCTCTGTAATATGAGAAGCTTATCTTGTCGAGGGAGAGAAATTCTGTATAATTGCTTGCTCTCATTTTGATTCGCGTTAAGTAGACTTGTCCTCTTCCTGCTTGCTACACAAAACTAAAGCACCAGTTCCTCCTCCTGTCTCATGAATTGATGGACAGTAATTACTAACCAGTGGCCCAGCTAGTAACCTGCGAGGTAGCTTCCTTCATCCCTTCCCATACTTAAAACAATCAGAAAGTCTAGCTAAGTTTATTAGATACAGATTTTAGGTTTTTATCCTCTCCTATGCATTCTTATGCTCAGAATTTCCTCAGCATTTTTGACCCAGACTTTGACTATCTCTTTCAAGACCCTTGTTCACCCCAGCGTCAGTCCACCTTGCACGTGGCTGAGTAGTGTGTTCTAGCATGTAAAGATGATCATTACTGCTGTCCTTAATTTTTTTCATTGGCTCCTTATGGCTTACAGAATAAAAAATAAATTGGCAGGTTGAAGCATTATTAGTATAGTGATTAGACGAGCATGCTTGAAATCCCAGTTTCCACAGTTCGATAAGTTAACGTAACTCCTGATTAATAATGGCATTTACCTCAGAGGGTTGTGAGGGTTGCTGCAACTTGGCATCTAGTAAGCCCCTTAATACATACTAATGTTGTTAGTATTTTGTAATATTCTTTGCATGTATGATTGAATGATCACAATCTATAGGTGATCTGACCGTGATAAAAGTAGTTGTCTCCCATTTCCTAGTGTTGACAGGAACTAGACCCCAACCTAGAAATTAAAGTTGCTAAATTTGTGTGCTTAAGAGCAGAAACTTGTGAGGGATGTTTACTCAAAGAAACCTAGACTCAGTTTATTCCCCAGTTCTTTCTCCGTTGGATCCTGATGGTAACCTAATTTTGGGCACAGGTAGATTCCTGCCTGGTCTTTCCTCCTCTCTGAGAACGCATGGAGTTGATGTTAATTGTGATGAATACTGAGTTTTCTTGGTGTTTGCTGTAGATAGTGAGAAGGCTAGCATGAGCAGGTAGCAGTGTTTTTCTGAGTGTGTGGACGTTGGGAGAACAGTGAATGCTTTTAATCATATATGTTTGTATCATATGCTAGTACCCCTGAATTATGTGTTTTTCCTGTTTGCAGTTTCTAATGTCACCTCCGGGTGCTGTGTCCTATAGCCCCTATATGAATTGATTTCATTTTAATGTGTTGGAATTTCCTTACAGCTTGGTTTCAATGACACTCATGATTTCAGGTTCTTAGATGCTACTAGTAATCACAGGGAAGATTGTCCAGCTGATAACTTTTTTCTTTTTTGTTTTCTGTGTTTTTTTTTTTGAGATAGGGTCTTGCTGTCATCCAGGCTGCAATGGCCAGTCATGGCTCACTGCAGCCTTAAATTCTTGGGCTCAAGCAGTCCTCTCACCTCAGCCTCCTGAGTAGCTGGGACAACAGATATGTGCCACCATGCCTGGCTTTTTTTTTTTTTTTAATTTATTTTTTGTAGAGATGGAGTCTTCCTCTGTTTCCCAAGCTGGTCTCAAACTCCTGGGCTCAAATGATCCTCCTGTCTCAGCCTCCCAGTTTTGGGATTATAGGTTAGAGCCATGATGCTTGGCCTGACAACTTTTTTCTACCTTATTTGGCAAAGAGATATATTGACCAGAAAAAGATACTGGCAGAGAGATGTCATAATCTGAAAAATAAAAGAGAATCAAGTATTTACTCCAAGAGATCATTTCCTTCTAGAAAAGGGAGGTGTGTCGCCGGGCACGGTGGCTCACACCTGTAATCCCAGCACTTTGGGAGGCCGACGTGGGCGGATCACAAGGTCAAGAGATCAAGACCATCCTGGCCAACATGGTGAAATCCTGTCTCTATAAAAATACAAAAGTTAGCTGGGCATGGTGGCAGGCGCCTGTAGTCCCAGCTACTCAGGAGGCTGAGGCAGGAGAATCGCTTGAACCTGGGAGGCGGAGGTTGCAGTGAGCCGAGATCGTGCCACTGCACTCCAGCCTGGCGACAGACTGCACTCCAGCCTGGCGACAGAGCGAGACTCCATCTCCAAAAAAAAAAAAAAAAGGAGGTGTGTGTTAGCTGTTTGCGTTGCTGTAAAGGAATACCTGAGAATACCTGAGACTGGGGAATTTATCAAGAAAAGTGGTTCTTTAGGCTGTACAGGAAGCTTAGCACCAGCATCTGCTTCTGGTGAGGGCCTCAGAAAGCTTGCAATCAGGACAGAAGGCGAAGGGGAAGCAGCTTATCAAGTGTGGGGGAGGGAGCAAGAGAGAGAGGGGAGGAGGTGCCAGGCTCCTTTTAGCAATGAGATCTTGGCCGCGTGCGGTGGATCACTTAAGGTCAGCTGGAGACCAGCGTGGCCAACATAGTGAAACCCCGTCTCTACTAAAAATACAAAAATTAGCCGGGTGTGATGGTGCATGCCTGTAGTCCTAGCTACCTGGGAGGCTGAGACAGGAGAATTGTTTGAAACTGGGAGGCACCACTGCACTCCACCCTGGGTGACAGAGTGAGACTCTGTCTCAAAAACAAACAATAAACAAAACCAATCACATCTTGTGGTAACTAATGGAGCGAGGACTCACTCATTACTGTGAGAAGGACACCAAACAACTGAGAAGAGATCAGCCCCCATGACCCAAACAGCTGCCACTAGGCCCCACCTCCAACACTGGGGGTCACATTTCAACATGAGATTTGGAGGAGACAGATATCCAAATGCTATCTGCCTTAAAAACAAATTGGATAGTTTGGTTTTCTATTCTGTGGAAGAATTTGTGTAAGATTGGTAATACAGTTCTAGAACTTTATAGTTCTTGGCCTTTTGGAGATTAATTCTAGAACAGCGTAGGTTTTCTGTTTGATTTTTAGTTCTGTCAGTTTCAGTAAGTTGTGTTTTGTTGGGAATTTGCCCATTTTATCTAAAATGTCAAATTAGTTGGCATAAAGCTGTGAATAATGACCTCGTAGGCTCTTTTCACCTTCTGTAGGGATTCTTGGTGTGCATTTCCTTTTTTTTTTGAGACGGAGTTTCACTGTTGTTGCCCAGGCTGGAGTGCAATGGTGTGATCTTGGCTCACTACAGCCTCTGCCTGCCGGGTTCAAGTGATTCTCCTGCCTCAGCCTCCCATGTAGCTGGGATTACAGGCATGTGCCACCATGCCCGGATAATTTTGTATTTTTAGTAGAGATGGGGTTGCACCATGTTGGCCAGGCTGGTCTTGAACTCCTGACCTCAGGCGATCCACCTGCCTTGGCCTCCCAAAGTGCTGGAATTACAGGCGTGAGCCACTGCGCCTGGCCCTTTTTTTTTTTTTTTTTTTTTTTAAGAGGTGAGGCCTCACTCTGTCATCCAGGCTGGAGTGCAGTGGCGCACAATCATAGCTTGCTGTAACCTTAAACTCCTGGGTTCAAATGATCCTCCTGCCTCAGCCTCCCTAGTAGCAAGGACTATAGGCACGTGGCACTATGCCTGGCTAGTTTTTAAATTTTTTTGTAGAGATTGGGTCTCACTGTGTTGTCCAGGCTTGTCTTGAACTCCTGGCCTCAAGTAATCCTCCAGCCTCAGCCTCTCAAGAGTGCTGGGATTATAGGCATGAGCCACCATGCCTGGCTGGTACTCTGCATTGATAACTTGTGCTTTGTCTTTCAAAAAATATTTAATTTTGCAGGATCTTCTGGATAAATATTCACAAATATTGCATGTGTTGATAATTTTATATCTTATTTTGATGTTAAATGAACTAGAATATCCAGAAAAGTATTCAATGGTAATGGTAAAAGTGCATACAACCTCCTCTACGTAACAGGAATACATTAATTTTTTCTTACTGTTAGGTATCCTTTTGGCTGTATACACGTAAACATGCTTTATTACCCTATGGAAGCATTTTTGAAATTTCTCAGTTTCAGCTGGACGCGGTGGCTTACGCCTATAATCCCAGCACTTATGGAGGCTGAGGCAGGCGGATCACGAGGTCAGGAGATTGAGACCATCCTGGCTGACGCGGTGAAACCCTGTCTCTACTAAAAATACAAAAAAATTAGCCAGGCGTGGTGGTGGGTGCCTGTAGTCCCAGCTACTTGGGAGGCTGAGGCAGGAGAATGGCGTGAATCTGGGAGGTGGACCACGCTTGCAGTGAGCGGAGATCGTGCCACTGCACTCCAGCCTGGGCGACAGAGCGAGACTCTTTCTCAAAAAAAAAAAAAAAGAAATTTCTCAGTTTCTTACATGTGTTCTCTCTTCCCCTTTTCCTCTTCCCTTCCTCCAGTTCAGCATGTCATAGAACTTTCACAAGTGGTTATGAAATCTTAGATATGCTATGGAGAAAGAGGTTATGGCATAGCAAGAGCATTGTTCTGTGAGAATTGGAGAGAAATCTATTCTTAATGTGTATTTATTTATTTATTTTTGAGACAAGAGTCTTACTGTTTCATCCAGGCTGGAGTGCAGTGGTGTGATTATGGCTCAGTGCACCCGGGAACTCCAGGGCTCAAGTGATCTTCCTGCCTCAGCCTCCTGGTAGCTGGGACTACACGTACGTCCCATCATGCCTGGCTAATTTTTAAATTTTTATTTGTAGAGATGTGCTCTTGCTTTGTTGTCCAGGCTGGTCTCGAACTCCTGGCTTCAAAGAATCCTCCTGCCTTGGCCTCCCAAAGCATTGGGATTGCAGGTGTGAGCCACTGTGCCCAGCATTAGTCTGACTTTTTTATAGTTAGCTTTGTATTTGCTTGTCTTTTTTAAACAACCTTATTCAGTTTAATTGACATAAAATAAACTGTATGTGTTTGGAGTGCACAGTTTTGTGTTGTGACATGTCTATACACCTGTGAAACCATTATCATAATCAAGATAGTAAACATATTCATCACCCTCAAATGTTTCTTTTTACCTCCCTCTACACCTCCATTTCCAGGCGATAATTTATCTACTCTGTCACTATATATTGGCTTGAATTTTCTTCCCCCTTTTTTTTTTTTTGAGATGGAGTTTCACTCTTGTTGCCCAGGCTGGAGTGCAATGGCGTGATAACGGCTCACCACAATCTCCGCCTCCTGGGTTCAAGTGATTCTCCTGCCTCAGCCTCCCAAGTAGTTGGGATTACAGGCATGCGCCACCATGCCAGGCTAATTTTGTATTTTTAGTAGAGACGGGGTTTCTCCATGTTGGTCAGGCTGGTCTCAAACTCCCGACCTCAGACCATCCGCCCGCCTCGGCCTCCCAAAGTGCTGGGATTACAGGTGTGAGCCACTGCCCCCAGCTGGTTTGAATTTTCTAGCTTTTTTTTGTTGTTGTTATTTTATAAATACAGCATATTCTCCTCTTTGGCTTTTAAAAAGTTCAGCATAAATTATTTTGAGATTTATCAGTGTTATGTAAATCGGTAGTTCATTCTTTTTAATTACTGAGTAGTAGTCCATTTGTGGATGAACCACGATTTGTACATTCCCTTGTTGATGGACTTTCGGCTTCTCACCAGTTATTGGCTATTACAAATAAAGCTGCTGTGAACATCTGTGTGCCAATCTTTGTACAGAATACACTTTTTTAAAAGTAAATAGGAGTGAAATGGCTGGGTCATATGGTAGATGTATTTAACTTTTTAAGAAACTGTTGGCTGGGCATGGTGGCTCACACCTGTAATCCCAGCACTTTGGGAGGCCGAGGCAGGAGGATTGCCTGAGCCCAGGGATTTGAGACCAGCCTGGGCAACATGGTAAGACTCTGTCTTTAAAAAAATAATAAAATAAAATAAATTGCCAAACTAATTATTTTAAAAGTAATTGTACAGTTGTACATTGCAGCTAGCACTGTATGATAATTCTAGTTCATCCATATCCTTACCAACACCTGACCAATTTTAGCCCTTCCAATTGGTCTTTAGTGATGTCTCATTGTTCTTTTAATTTGTGCTTCCCTATGGCTAGTGGCATTCAGTATCTTTCCATAAGTTTTTTTTTTTTTTCCTCCTCCGGCAGAGTCTCACTTTGGTTGCCCAGGCTGGAGTGCGGTGGCGTGATCTTGGCTCATTGCAGCCTTGACCTCCTGGGAGCAGGTAATTCTCCCACCTCAGCCTCTCGAGTAACTGGGACTACAGGCGTATGCCACCATACCCAGCTAATTTTTTAATTTTTTATAGAGATGGGGTCTTACTATGTTGCCCAGACTGGTCTTGAACTCCTGGATTCAAGTCGTCCGCCTGCCTCAGCCTCCCAAAGTGCTGGGATTACAGGTGTGAGCCATGTGCCCAACTTCCCTAAGCTTATATGTCTTCTGTATATCCCTTTTGGCAAAGTGTCTGTTCTTGTCTTTTGCCTATTTTTTGTTGTTGTTGTTGGTTGGTTGTTTTCTTGTAATTGAGTTTTGAGAATTCGTTATATATTTGGGATGCAAGTCCCTCGTCAAATGATTTGCAAATACATTCTCTCTAGGCCGTGGTCCATCTTTTCATTCTCTCAGCAGTGTCTTGAAGAACAGGAATTTTAAATTTTGATGAAATTTATCAATTTGCTCTTTTATAGATCAGGGTTTTGGTTTCATATTTAAGAAATTGTTGCCTAATCCCAAATCATAGGAATTTCCTTCTATTTTTTCTTTTTTTTTAGACGGAGTCTCTTTCTCTGTCGCCCAGGCTGGAGTGTAGTAGCACAATCTCTGCCCACTGCAATCTCCAGCTCACTGCAATCTCTGCCTCCCGGGTTCCAGCGATTCTCCTGCCTCAGCCTCCCGAGTAGCTGGGACTACAGGCATCCGCCACCATGCCTGGCTAATTTTTTGTATTTTTAGTAGAGTTGCAGTTTTAGTAGAGGCGGGGTTTCACCGCGCTAGCCAGGATGGTTTCAATCTCCTGACCTCGTGATCCACCTGCCTCGGCCTACCAAAGTGCTGGGATTACAGGCATGAGTTCAGTCTCCTGACCTTAATATCCATCCACCTCGGCCTCCCAAAGTCTGGGATTACAGGTGTGAGTCATTGTGCTTGGCCTTCCTTCTATGTTTATGGAAGCTTTATAGTTTTAGATTTTACAATTGGGTTTGTGTTTAATTTTGATTACATTTTTATATGGTGCAAAATAAGGATGGAAATTATTTGTTTATGAACAGTTGTTCATTTGCTGAAAAATATGTTTTTATTCATTGAATAGCTTTTACATCTTTTTTTTTTTTTTTTTTGAGATGGCGTCTTGTCCCATCGCCCATGCTGGAGTGCAGTGGCGCAATCTCGGCTCACTGCAACCTCCACTTCCCAGGTTCAAGCGATTCTCCTGCCTCAGCCTCCTGAGTAGCTGGGATTACAGGCGCATGCCACCACACCTGGCTAATTTTTGTATTTTTAATAGAGACAGGGTTTTACCATGTTGGCCAGGCTGGTCTCGAACTCCTGACCTCGTTATCCACCCATCTTGGCCTCCCAGAGTGCTGGGATTAAGGGTGTGAGCCACCGTGCTTGGTCTACTTTTGCATCTTTGTCAAAAATCAATTGTCCATATATTAGTCAGTCTCTGAACTCTTTATTCTGTTCCTTTGATCTATTTGTCTTTACATCAGTACCCTGCAGTCTTGATTACTGGAGGTTCATAAGACTTGAAAACTAACAGTCCCCCAATCTTGTTATTTTTTAAAGTTGTTTTAGTGATTCTGGGTCTTTGCATTTTAGAATTAGCCTGGCAGTTTCCACAAGAAAGCCTTTTGGGATTGTTATTGGTATTCTTTTGCCGTGAAGATCTGTTTGGAAAGAATTGATCAAGTCTTCTGATGCATGAATGTAGTATCTCTCCATTTATTTTAGATCTGTAATTTCTTTCAGCTGAGTTTTGTAGTTTTCAGTTGACATGTCTTTCCCATCTTTTGTCAGATTATTCCGTTTCATATTTCTTGACGTTATTGTAAATGGTATCATTACATAAATGTAATTTTTTAAAATTTAAATTCACAATTGTTTGTTGCCAGCATATAGAAATACGGTTGATTTTTTAAAAATTGTTTAATTGTGGTAAAATACACATAGCAAAGAAGTTACCATCTTAACCATTCTTAAGTGTAGACTTCAGTAGTGTAAGTATATTCACATTGTTCTGCAGCCAATTTCCAGAACTTCTTCTTTCAAAACAAATTCTATACCCATGAAACAACAACTTTCCATTTTTTGCCACCCTCCCATTCCCTGACAACCACCATTCTCCTTTGTTTCTATGTGTTTGACTTACTTTAGATACCTCATATACATGGAATCATACCATATTCATCCTTATCTTTTTGTGATTGACTTATTTCATCTTGCATAATGTCCTCCAGGTTTGTCCATGTGTGCCGTGTGTCAAATTTTCCTTTTTTTTTTTTGGAGACATGGTCTCTCTCTCTCTGTTGCTCAGGCTGGAGTGCAGTGGCATGATCACGGCTCAGTGGAGCCTCGACCTCCCCAGGCTCAGGCGATCCTCCCACCTCAGCCTCCCGAGTAGCTGAGAGTACAGGCGCACACGAGCAGGCCCAGCTAATTTTTGTATTTTTTGTAGAGCTGCAGTTTTGTCATGTTACCCAGGGTGGTCTCAAACTCCTGGGCTCAAGTGATATACCCGCCTTGGCCTCCCAAAGTGCGGGGATTACAGGCATGAGCCACCATTCCTGGCCTCTTTGCCCATTTTTAAATTGGGTTATTTGCGTTTTGTTTTATTGTTGAGTTGTAAAATTCTTTATACATATATTCTGGATATTAACTCCCTGCTATGGTGGGAATGTCTCACTTTGAAACTTAATTGCCATTGTAATAGTATTAAGAGGTGGGACTGTCAGGGCTATTGAAGAAAATGGTTAAAAAAAAAAAAATAGTGGGAACTTTAAGAAGTGATTAGGCTGTGAGGGCCCTGCCCTTAATTAATGGATTAATGCAGTGAGTTTTGTTATCCTGGTAGTAGGTTCCTTATAAAATAATGAGTTTGGCTCCCCTTTGTCTCTTTTTTGTCTTTCTGCCTTCTCCCTTGGGATAACGCAGTGAGAAGGCACTGGCCAGATGCTGTTCCCTCTCTCTTGAACTTCTCCTCCTCCAGAACTGTGAGCCAGTAAATTTCATTTCATTATAAATTACTCAGTCTGTGGTATTCTATTATAGCAGCACAAAATAGACTGAGACACTCCCTTGCAGGTAGTTGATTTGCAAATTTTCTCCCATTCCGTAGGTTACCTTTTGACTCTGCTGATTGCGTCCTTTGATGCACATAAGTTTTAAATTCTGATAAAGTCCAGTGTATCTATTTTGACTTTGTTGCCTGGGTTTTTGTTGTCATATCCAAGAAGTCATTGCCAAATTCATACTATGAAGCTTTTGCCCTGTGTTTTCTTCTAAGTTTTATAGTTTTAAGCCTAATGATAGGTCTTTGGTTCATTTTAAAAGTTTGTGGTTTGAGAAAGCCCAACTTCTCTCTCTCTCTTTTCTAGTATTTTTAGTGTCATATATAAGAATCTATTACCAAATCCAAGATTTATCTCTTTTATGTTTTTAGCTCTTATGTGTAGGCCATTAATCCCTTTGAGTTAATTTTAATATATGGTGTGAAGTAGGGGTCCAGCTTTACTCTTTCACATGCCAAAAATTAGTTGCTCTAACAGCATTTGTTCAAGAGACCATTCTTTTATGGCACCCTTGCTCAAAATCAGTTGGCCATACATGGCTTATTTCTGGAGTTTCCATTCTGTTCCATTGGTGTATGTCTATCTTTAAGCAAGTCCCACACTGTTTTGATCACTGTAGCTTTGTAGTTTTGAAATCAGGAAGTGTGTGTTTTCCAATTTTGTAATTTTTCAAGACTGTTTTGGCTGTTTGGTGTTCTTTGCAATTCCATATGAATTTGAGGTGATCCTGAATTCTGAATAAGGACCTCCTTGTTTTTCTTTACTTATTTTTTTGAGAGAAGGTCTTGCTGTGTTGCCCAGGCTGGGGTGCAGTGGTGTAGTCATGGCTCACTGTAATCTTAAACTCCTGGGCTTTTCCATTTCTGCAGGAAAGTCTTTGGGAATTTGATAGGGATTGTATTGAATCTGTAAATCACATTGAATAGTATTGATAGCTTAGTGATAGTAAGTCTTCCTTCCTGTGGACATAAATGTCTTTATTTAGGTGAAATTTGTTTTCGGTAACGATTTGTAGTTTTCAGTGTATGAGTCTTTCACCTCCTGGGTTAAATTTATTTTTAGGTATTTTTTTTTCTTTTAGATGCTGTTATAAATGAAATCACTTTCTTAATTGCATGTATGTATAGAACATATCATGTGTTTGTATCGTTTTTCTGCATTGTCTAATCTGCAGTTATCTTATTAGGCACATTTGGAGCAGTGCTCATTGTAGGACTAATTATTCTCCACTACTCAGGCAAGGTTTTCCTGATTTTGTACTCAGCACTATGTGAGTGAAAAAAGTTTTTTAAGGTTAGATGGTGGAAACATGCATAGGCTCAGAGTGACATCTGGCCAGATCTGTATACTGTTCAGATGTTTTTTCCCTGGTTTTTGATAGTTACGTCACATGCATGTGCTTATCAGTACCCTGCTGAATTCTTGAAGTGGATCTTCTGCAGATCTCTGGGCTTCCCTCTGTCTCTCTTCCCTCCATTACTCTGTTCTGCCTTGATCTCCATTAGCTCTCACTTTCATGTCAACTCAGAAAGTTGTCCTCCAGGCTTTGTCTGGGTTCTTCCTACCAGAGCAGAGGCCTAGAATCTGTATCAGGCAGTAAGCTGGGATAATAGTACAGCACATCTTTTCTTTCCTGATTTTCAGGGATCTCTGTCCTTCATTGCCTGGCATCCAGTGTGTCTTGGTTGTATAAAGCAGAAGGGTAATTTTGATTACTGTTAACTATTTTTTTTTCCACTTTGTTAAAGATTGATTTTGTGGCTCTTTCTTGAGATGGATGAAAAACTTAGCTTTTCAGACTTTTTTTTCTACTATCCATTTATATTAATTTTACATTAACAGTTGTCTTCTCTCTGGCTTAAAAGTTTCTTCCTCTTACAAAATCAGTATTTCAATATGAATATTACTATTTTGCCCCATATTCGGTGGTTTTCTACCTTTTCTTTCCTTTCGCATCAGCCCTGGGCCATCCTTTTAATATTTTTGTGGAGAACACTCTCATGTCTACTGTGACATTCATTAAGGTGGGTGGGAAGGGGCACTTCCTAGGAAAGGCACTATGTATGATGTAAAAAAGTTTTTTCCCTCACCATCTTCATTTTCCTATGCTTCCCACGTCCCTTTCTGCACTTACTTCTTTTGAAATGTACTGTTCTACTAGAAATCATATTAATATTGTTTATATACAGTATTAGACCTTTCCAATGAGGCAGAATAACTAAGCACCTAAAAACCTGGATGTTTTCCTGCCTTTTAAATTTAATCTTCTTAATTGAGTGTATCTCACCTGGTTTTGCTATTTTTTTTTTTAGAATTCATGAATATTCTAATGAATGTTCTAAGGAATGTGATACTCTTTTATTGACTATGACTCATCAATTCTCATGATAGTTTTGAAGTAGGTGATAGAGCAGTGCATGATTTAATGGTGAGAAACATCAGTGCATGGAGATAAATTGACTTGCTGAAAGTGACCAGGCTGACTGAACAATGGAGCTGGGACTTTCCTCATCTCTGTTCTCAAATCTAATTTTTATTTGACAGCTTAGTTCCTTATGTTGCCTATATAGGCAATTTTGTTTTTCGTATTCAAGAGTAGAGGTAGGAAGAAGACTCCTGAGTTGTCTGAGCATTGTTTTTTGTTGTCATTTGTGTACTGTCACAGAGTTAGGCATTGTCATGTAGTCACTCCGTGCCTAAATAGCTCCCCTGCTCTACATTGTCTATTGTTAAATTAGGTCAAGCCACGAGGAGATCTGAAGAAAAACTTAAAATTCTGTGGATAATGTGCTTCTTGGTAATTACTATTCATCTGACTAATTGCTTCAATTTAAAAATAGCAAAAGTATGAATTTTATATATTAGTAGTTCTTTGTGCATAGATCTTTGAAGTACTTAAGTAATTAATGAAAGTATCTTTTGCACGTAATGTAGAATATCTCTTTATACTGTGATGCAATAGAAGTACAGAAACTTCATTTAAGATCTGTAGCATGGTAATATGTTCCCTGAAGAAAAATAGTGGCTTTATATTTTAAATTATTAGTCAGCCAGATACATGTGAGTATCATGGGTCATGAAAAAAGAGTCATAAAATGTTGTGTGGTGAAATGTGAAGATTATTTTTAGCTTTAGGCATCTTGAATACTGCTTTGGAGAAATCTTCAGTTCTTAAATTACCATTCTTTTGTTATATACTCCTTGGGTGGGAAGCTTATGGAGGCCAGTTAATGTACACTAAAAAAAAGCCCATACCCATTGACCTGGCAGTCACTCTTCAAGGAACTTACTGTAAGGCACTATTGGGACAAGACCACAGAGGTATATTTGTAAAATATGTATGTACTAATTGTATATATTCATGAAAGATTGTAATTTAAAAGGGACTTGGTGAAACAGTTGTGGCACATACATTAGGTGGAGTACTAAGCTGCCGTTAAAAGTGATGAAATGACTATATGCCTATTGATATGAATATGGTGAATTTATTTTTATGTAAATCGGCTACACAACTTTTATCACATTAAAAATACATTTATATATTTGCATGGAAAAATGTCTGGAAGGGTTTATACCAAACTTTAAAACACTAGTGATCATTGCTGATATTGAGATTTTTGTTGATTTTAATATAATTTCTTGCCTGTTTCTTTATTTTCATTTATACGTTTTCTACTAAACATGTATGAGTTACAAAGCCAAAAGAAAAAAAATAAAAAGACCAGTGGAAAGGATACATGACTACTGGAAGTTAGACACACCGTTGCCTCACAGACTTCCTGGTCCTGAGTGTTTGGGTTGCCTCAAGCTCTTTCTTGTTTTCTGACCTATCTTCCGTCCTTCCTCATTGCCTGTCTAAGGATCCCCCTTTTGTGTGAGTTGATCCTGCTTTCAGATATATATGCACTAGAGGCTATAAGGGGCCTTAGACGCCAGTCCTAGTTTTCTCAGTATATGTATGAGAGCACTAAAGGCCAGAAAATTGGTTAAAGACAGGAAGCTATTAATAGTTAGCAGCAGAGCCAGGAATAGAACTCAGGTTTCCTTGCTTCTACTTGAGAATTTTTTCCATATTATGTGTGCTCTTCATAAGTAGGGTGATCAGACATCTCAATTTATGCCTTTTGTCTGCACTTAATTCTGGTTTTTTTTTTTTGATACAGAGTCTCATTCTGTTGCCCAGGCTGGAGTGCAGTGGCGGGATCTCAGCTCGCTGCAACCTCCGCCTCCCGTGTTCAAGTGATTCTCTTGCCTCAGCCTCCCAAGTAGCTGGGACTACAAGCATACACCATCACCCCTAGCTAATTTTTGTGTATATATATATTTTTTTCAGTAGGGACGAGGCTTCACCGTGTTGGCCAGGCTGGTCTTAAACTCCTGACCTCAAGTGTTCTGCCCACCTTGGCCTCCCAAAGTGCTGGGATTACAGGTGTGAACCTCCGTGCCCAGCCTGTGCTTAATTCTTAAAAAGGACCCCCTTTTATTCCTTATTTACTTGAGACAAGGTCTTGCCCTGTTGCCCAGGCTGGAGTGCAGTGGTACGATAATGGCTCACTTTAGCCTCAAACTCCTGGGCTTAAGTGATTCTCTCACCTCAGCCTCTGGAGTAGCTAGGACTATAGGTGTGCACCACCATGCCTGGCTAATTTGTTGTTTTTTTTGCAGAGATGGGGTCTCACTATGTTGCCCAGGCTAGTCTCAAACTCTTGGCCTTAGGCAGTGCTCCCACCTCGGCCTCCCAAAGTGCTGGGATTACAGGCATTAGCCACCATGCCTGACCCCTCTTTTACTCTTAAAAGTGTCTTGGCTGGGTGCAGGGGCTCATGCCTGTAATCCCAGCACTTTGGGAGGCCGAGGTGGGTGGATCACGAGGTCAAGAGATTGAGACCATCCTGGCTAACACAGTGAAACCCCATCTCTACTAAAAATACAAAAAATTAGCCGGGCGCGTTGGCAGGCACCTGTAGTCCCAGCTACTCAAAAGGCTGAGGCAGGAGAATGGTGTGAACCCAGGAGGCGGAGCTTGCAGTGAGCCGAGATCGCGCCACTGCACTCCAGCCTGGGCAACAGAGCAAGACTCCATCTCAAAGAAAAAAAAAGGTTCTCGTTTGTGTGATAAATGTTTACCCCGCTCATAAGGGAAACAGGCATAATGGAAAGTGTCATACAGACTAACCCTGTAACCAGGATCCATGAATAGAAATTGGAATGGTTGGAAGGAAAGGCTGTTTGTAGAGTAAGGTGCTTTTCATATGTTGAATTGAAGGTGTTGCCAGGACATCTAAGTCATTATTTTCTAGTCGGTAAAAGTAGCTGAGACGTCATTTAGAGAGGGATATGTTTGTGAGCATTTTTTGTTTGGAGATGATAGTTGAAGCTGCATCAAGACAGTCCATTCATTTTTAATCTTATTGGGGGAGGATTAGTGAGCTCAGCTTAGGAAGATGAAAGAACGGGCTACCCAGTATGATATGCGTGCCTGAGGACACATGTTGATCCCATATATGGATGTGCACATGTGACTGCTTTGATTTTTGTCTAATGTAGACATGCCTGAACATTTATGTTTTGAAATATGTAATACTTTGTTAAATTTCTTTTCTTTCCTTCTCCTTTATGTCACAGACCATGAAACAACTTTTTTTGATAGTGGCTGGAAAGTGTCGGGTAGTACTGATACATGCAAGGCTGGTTGATGAAGAGCACGGTCTCTAGGAATTAGGAGTACCTCAATTCAAAGGCTGCCTGTGTAACTATGCATAGCTTATTACTTCCTTTCTTCACAAGTTTAGACAAGTTTGATCATGGGAACAATGAGAAACTATGCTCATGATTGTTCTTCAGGAAGATTTATCTGATGCAGTGCCTGAGTGTGGAGAGACACAAGAGTTAAGTGATTGATAAGGAGGCAAAACCTTGGGAGAAAAGAGCTTCTGGACCAGGGTCTTGACCTAGTGGAAAAAGATTGGCTGGATGTGGTAGCTCACACCTATAATTCCAGTACTTTGGGAGGCAGATGCAGGAGGATTGCTGGAGCCCCAGAATTTGATACCAGCCTAATGTCTCTACCAAAAAAAAAAAAGAGGCTGAGCTTGGTGGTGTGTGTCTGTAGTCCCAGCTGCTTGGGAGGCAGAAGGATCACTTGAGCCTGGGAGGTTGAGGCTGCAGTGAGCTGTGATCAGGCCACTGCACTCCAGCCTGTGCAACAGAGCGAGACTCTGTCTTAAAAAAAAAAAAAAAAAAAGGAAAAAGGAAAGTGATTAATGTGAGAGATGTTAAGGAACTAGTAGAGGAGCTAGAAGCAGATTGAATTTTGGGGAATGAGAAAATGTAATCAGGTAAAAAATCAGTACAGTACTATCACTAGAGAAGTCAGGAGGAGAAATTAATTACTATGATTAGTTTTCTTTTGGTTTTGTTGATTTTGAGAGTGCTAACTGCACTTGGATGTGAACTCTTTAAAAAATATTTTGGCCAGGTGTCGGGGCTCAGGCCTGTAATCCTAGCACTTTGGGAGGCTGAGGCGGGCGGATTGCCTCTGTTCAGGAGTTTGAGACCAGCCTGGCCAACATAGTGAAACTCCGTCTCTACTAAATATACAAAAAATTAGCCAGGTGTGGTAGTGGGCACGTGTAGTCCCAGCTACTTGGGAGGCTGAGGCAGAAAATCCCTTGAACGAGGTTGCAGTGAGCCGAGATTGCGCCACTGCACTCCAGCCTGGGCAACAGAGCGAGACCCTATGTCAAAAAAAATTTTTTTTTTTTTGTAGAGACAAGGTCTCACTAAATTGCCCAGGCTGGTCTTGAACCCCTGGGCTCCAATGATCCTCCTGCCTTGGCTTCCCAACGTGTTGGGATTACAGGCATGAACCATTGCGCCTCCCCCTCACCCCCTTTATTTTTTCCTGACATGTGTTTTTGAGGCTGGATGGTGAGAAAATCTAGAGAGAGGAATCAGGGAGAGATGTTGGAGGTAGAGACACTGGTTATTTGTATCAAAGTTGTAGTGTCAACTGAGCCCATAAGATTGAAAGAGAGCAGGAGATTGAGGGGTGGGAGAAGTGATACTCTAAAGAAACTCTTGGGAATGCTGACATTTCTGATATTTTGCTCTCGTGATACATGCTGTTCATCCTTATTATTGATACTTGTTCTTGATCCTTCCTAGTGGTGGGCTTCCTATTTTCAGCATTCAGACTATACATGCCTTGTACCTTCTCTTAACTGTGGCTCCACCCTGACTTCTCATGACTCCTTAGACTGCCTTTGAGGAAGATTATAGCTGTTGTTAAATGTGTGATATCTGTCCCAAGATCTTCAGTTGAACTGAAAGATTGCAGTGTAGTGGGGGTATTTTCTTTGTATTTAAAAGCATTTTTTTTTTTTTTTTGAGATGGAGTCTCACTCTGTTGCCAGGCTGGAGTGCAGTGGTGTGATCTCGGCTTACTGCAACCTCCGCCTCCTGGGTTCAAGTGATTCTCCTGCCTCAGTCTCCCAAGTAGCTGGGACTACAGGCGCCCGCCACCATGCCCAGCTAATTTTTGTATTTTTAGTAGAGACGGGGTTTCACCATGTTGGCCAGGATGATCCCGATCTCTTGACCTTGTGATCTGCCTCCCAAAGTGCTGGGATCACAGGCATGAGCCACCACACCCGGCTTAAAAGCAATTTTAAGTTAAGATTACACAATGATCATCTTTAGTATTTCCTCCCAATTAAGGCATCTTATCTAGATTTTACTTTATAGGAATGGTCACATTTTGTGTCTGGGACTAATAACATGCTGCTACCACCCCCTTCTAAAAATTATCTCATGAAAAGCTAGTGATTAATTCTCTTACTGAGGTGGTTATCTTGTCTGTCCATTAACCTCTGAACTCTTCTTGGCCATCCATGTGGAATTAGAAAGCAGGCAGAGCCAAGGAGGAGGAACAGCCATGACACTGCATGTCCAGGGGAAATGACAGTCTATCTCCTTTTGCTTTCAAGTTGCTGATATTTACTGTGTATTGTGATCTTTGAGTTGGCCATCATGTGTGGGAACAGCTTCCAACCTTATCTTTTTTTGATGGACAGCAGATGACCTGATTGATTGAGAAAAGCCAGGTGCCTAGTTCATCTGAACTTTTTGGGTCATATTGAGAAAGTAGGCGAAGGGGTTGGTAGAGACTGCCCTTTTGCTCAAGTACACAGTAGCAGGTTAGAACTCCTTAGTGTGGGGAACAGGGTTAGTGGTCAAGTGAAGGTCTACGCTTTGCTTTGCCTGAGGAACTAGCTACATTTGACTCCTGTCACTTACTCAGGTTGCTGCAATGCAGGCTGGCTGCCATATGTATGTACTGATTCTATTTGTGGAAACATTTGGGCTGTATAAGAAAAGTAATGTATTACAGTGGTTAGTAGCACATACTCTGGAGGTGTGTGACTATCTTGGTGGAATACCAGTTCATGCACTTACTATGTGAGTTGGGAAAGTTGCTTAAATTCTCTGCATCTGAGTTTGTCATCTATGAAATCGGGATAATAATAGTTCCTATCTCAAAGGTTGTAGTGAGGATAAAATGAAGGTATGTATATATAATGTGCTTTGGTTAGGGCCCCGCATAATATCTGTTGCTGCTATTGTTGCTGCTGTTATAGGATAATTATACTTTTTGCCCAGATATTGCTCAGGGGTCTTTGTAATATACTCAATAACCTCTGTCCTTTTCCTTCAGAGCGTATATTTCCATTTATAATTTTACATTCCGTGAAATGAGAGCAAGGACTGTATCCTGTTTCTCACCATTGTCCCCAACACCTAGCTGGTATAGTCAAGGTTAACAAATGTTTGTTGAGTGAATGAATCGTTTGGAGTTGAGTATTTTCACTCTTATAGAATGTTGGACATATACACCTACTATGTACCCACAAAAAAATAAAAAAAAATCTTGGTAGAGATAAGAATATTTACAAAAACAGTTCTTGGCCTCTTAGTTTGCATTAATTTGGGTTGTGGTTAATAAATTGTTTGAAAAGTTGTGAAAAGCAGTTATTTTGTAAATATTTAATGAATGCTGCTTGGTCTGTCCAATGAGATAGGCATGCCATTTATTCAACCATTTAATACAGTGCTGAGAAAATTTTTATAATTTTTATAGAAAAGTTATTTTATCTGGAGAGATAACCAGTAAAATTCTTTTTTCTGCTTGTATTCCAATATTATTATTAGGTAGGGGGAGAAATTGCAAAGTCTTCAAGTATATAGTCATTTGTTTGGTTTTTAAAATGGTTCATCTTCTACATCCTTATGTTTATGTAAAAACTTTCAGATAAAGAATTTTTTTTTTTTTCAAGATGAAGTCTCGCTCTGTCACCCAGGTTAGCGTGTGGTGGCAGGATTTCGGCTCACTGCAGTCTCCACCTCCCAGGCTCAAGTGTTCCTCTCACCTCAGCCTCCTGAATAGCTGGGACCACAGGCATGTGCCACCAGGCCCAGCTAATTTTTGTATTTTTAGTAGAGATGGGGTTTTACTACATTTCCGAGGCTGGTCTTGAAGTCCTGAGCTCCTTTGCCTCCCAAAGTGCTGGGATTACAGGTGTGAGCCACTGTGTCTGGCCCAGATAAGTAATTTTTTAGATGGAACATTTTACTAACCAGATAGCTATAAGTGATATAGGCAAAAAATAGCAAATATGTGAATTATGAAGATATTGGCAGCTTACAGTGAAACATACTTTTTAATATATGTCTTCATTACTAATACAGAAATGACTATGAGTCTTGTGGCAGTACTTTTTTTGTTTTTTTTTTTTTTTTTGAGACGGTGTCTTGCTCTGTCGCCTAGGCTGGAGTGCAGTGGCGTGATCTTGGCTCACTGCAACTTCCACCTCCTGGGTTCAGGTGATTCTGCTGCCTCAGCCTCCCGAGTAGCTGGGACTACAGGCGTGCACCACCACACCTGGCTAATTTTTATATTTTTAGTAGAGAGGGGGTTTCACCATGTTGGCCAGGCTGGTCTTGAATTCCTGACCTCAAGTAATCCACCCGCCTCAGCCTCCCAAAGTGCTGGGATTACGGGGATGAACCACCATGCTTGGCCTTGTGGCAGTATGTTCAAATTAGGGAGCACTAGTTTTCAATTTGAATATATTTTAGAATAATTTTTTTTGTTGTTTAGAAGTACAGTAGAGTCAACAGTTTAGACAGTTATATTCTTGATTTCTTAACTTGCTCATAAAAATAAAACTTGAATATTTCATTTTAAATAAGTTAGCATTGTGCAAAATGCCTATACATGATGTATTTGATAATAAGGGGATTTATTATTGCACATAAGAACTCCAGGAATAGAGTGCTTAGCACAGCAGCTTAATGATATTGCTGAGGACCTGGACTCATTATATTCTTATTTGCTCTCCCCAGTGTGCTGGCTTTTGATCTTCAGGATTGACCCCTTGTGGTCTCAAGATGACTGAGCAACTGTAGCATATCATTACACAGCAGTGCCCCCAAATTGGAAGTAAACTGTTTTGTTATGCGTCCCTTAGAGAGTGAAAAGCCGTTCACAAGCCCTCCCACATGTCTTCCCTTATATCTCATTGACCACAGTTGGGCCATGTAGCTCATTCCTGTCTTAAATCATGGAATTATTATGGTTGAATTAGATTCATCTCCAGGACCTAGTGAGCTCTCTGGCCTGCAGTCTCAAGATGGTGACCATGGTCAGCTTAAGCATGCAGTTAATGGAACATGAACAAAACTGAGAAGATGTTAGCAAGCGATCCTCCTCAGCCTCCTGAGTAGCTGAGGAGTGGGCAGTGTAGGAAGCCAGCCTTTTCTGCCACAACAAATGTCTGTTATCTCTGAGTTCAGGATACGTTTAGAGAAATATTACTAGAGCCTGTCTTTGAAAGAGTTGTGTATTATAGGAGGAGGATGTGTGCTAAATGGAAAAGAAGCTATAGGGATATGGCAGTGAAGTACCTGCCTCTGCTCAGGCAAGTCATGGGATATCAGCAGCTGCTCAGATAATAAATTATATGAGTATATTTGTGATATACCCATATAATTGGTATTTGTGAACTCTGCATTGGGTTCTATTTATTCAAAGTGGAGTTGGCGCCAGGCGCAGTGGCTCACACCTGTAATCCTAGCATTTTGGGAGGCCGAGGCAGACGGATTGCCTGAGCTCAGGAGTTTGAGACCAGCCTAGGCAAAATACTGAAACCCCATCTCTACTAAAATACAAAAATTAGCCAGCTGTGGTGGCACGCACCTGTAGTTTCAGCTACTGGGAAGGCTGAGGCATGAAAATGTCTTGAACCCGGGAGGCGGAGGTTGCAGTGAGGTGAGATTGCACCATTGCACTCCAGCCTGGGCAACAGATGGGGAGACTCTGTCTCCAAAAAATTAAAGTAAAATGAAAACAAAGTGGGGTGGGGTTGGCAAACTTTTTTTTGTAAAGGACCTGGTAATAAATGTTATAGGGTTTTTTTGGCCATATGTTACTCAGCTATGCCAGTATAGCACAAAAGCAGCCATAGACAGACAATATGTAAATGAACGAGCATTGCTAAGTATCAGTGAAACTTTATAAAAAATAAGCAGTGGACTAGATTTGGACTGTGGGCTGTAGTTAGCTAACCCCTGCTCTAATGTATTTTTTTTCTTTTTTGAGACGGAGTTTCGCTCTCCTTGCCCAGGCTGGAGTGCACTGGCAGGAACTCGTCTTACCACAACCTCTGCCTCCCAGGTTCAAGCAGTTCTCCTGCCTCAGACTCCCAAGTAGCCAGGATTACAGGCATGCGCCACCACGCCCAGCTAATTTTGTATTTTTAGTAGAGATGGGGTTTCTCCATGTTGGTCAGGCTGGTTTTGAACTCCTGACCTCAGGTGATCCACCTGCCTCGGCCTCTCAAAGTGCTGGGATTATAGGCGTGAGCCACCGTGCCTGGCCTCTAACATTTAATAGTACTAATTTTTCCTCTGTCCCTTTCTTTTTCTCCTTCAGGATGTTTTTATATTCTTGTCCATTTATTTTTTAAAATAAAACTTTTTTATAGAATAGTTTTATATCCACAGAAAAATTGCAGATAGCATAGAGTTTTCCTATACTCCATACCCATATTCCCTTATTATTAACATTTTACATTGGCATGGTACATTTGTCAAAATTAATGAGCCAATGTCCATGCACTATTATCAGCTAAAAGCAGCCAGGCATGGTGGCTCACACCTGTAATCCCACTACTTTGGGACGGTGAGGCCAGAGGATCACTTGAGACCAGGAGTTCAAGACTAGCTTGGGCATCGCTCTTCAAACAAGCAAAAATTACCAGGCATGGTGGTGTGTGCCTGTAGTCCCAGCTACTTGGGAGAGTGTTTGGAAAAAAAAAGAAAAAAAAAATCCACTGCCAAAGAAAAAAACCCTAAAGTCCATACATACTTTACTGAGATTTCTTGTATTTTACTGAATGTTCTTTTTCTGTTCCAGTATCTCATGCTACTACATTACATTTAGTTGTTGTGTCTTCTTGGGCTCCTGTGGACTGTGACAGTTTCCTAGGCGCTCCTTGTTTCTGATGTCCTGGACAGTCTTGAGGAGGACTCATCAGGTGTTTTGTAGAATGTCTCTCAATTGAGATTAATCTTGATGTTTTTCTCATGATTAGAGTGGAATTATGGGTGTTTGGGAAGAAGCCCATAGAGATGAAGTACCATTTTCATTATATCATATCAACAGTATGTGCCACTGTTGATGTTAAGCTTGATCACCTGGCTGAGATACTGTTTATCATATTTCTCCACTGTAAAGTTGCTCTTTTACCCGTTTCTATACTGTACACTTTGGAAGGAAGTCACTATGTGCAGCCCACACTTTCAGAATGAGTAGTTATATTCCACCTACTTGGGGGCAGAGTGTCTGCATAAATTATTTGGAATTCCTCTGCATGGGAGATTTGCTTGTTCTTTTCTATTTAATCATTTTATCAGTATGAACTCATAGATATTTATTTTGTACTTTGGATTATCCCCAAATCCAATATTGCTTTATTTTCTTGTTCAAATTGTTCTAGCTTTGGCCATTGGGAGTGCTTTGACATATATAACCCTATCTTTGTTTTTTTTTTAAAACACTTATGTTCCTGGACCAAACTGAGAGTTGGGCTGCTACTTCTTAAGGCCCAATAATGAGATGCAGATGAACTGGGGAGGAAGAAAGTTTTTATTTCTGCAATGGGTTACAGGGATAATACCTGGAAATTATCACCAGGCCAACTCAATATTACAAAGTTTCCGTAGCTTATATACCTTCTAAGTTATATGTCTACCTGTAAGTGTGCATTCATCTTAATGATTAACTTCTTTTGGTCCATAACTAAGGTCTGAGTCTTGAAGACCTTCCTCTGGAGCCTCAGTAAATTTACTTAATCTAAATGGGTCCAGGTGCTGGAGTGATTACCGTTATCTTGTCTCCTGCTAAATCACGGAGGTTTGGGAGTTCCTTCACACCCCAATAAACTTGTTTGTGGAGGCCTGGGAAGTTTCTTTAGACCCACAGTAAAACTTGTTTAATCCTAAATGGGCCTTAAGAATTCCTTCATTATTTTGTCATGCTTTAAGGCCCAGGAAAGGCCTAGGCAAAACTCTTGGTGGGCTTTTGTTAAATTCCAGCCTTTGCATAAGGGTACTGGCTCTTCCCCTCCCCCCCGTCGCGCCCTCCGAGATGGAGTCTTGCTCTGCTCTGTCACTGAGGCTGGAGTGCAGTGGGGCAGTCTTGGCTCACTGCAACCTCCGCCTCCTGCGTTCAAGCGATTTTCCTGCCTCAGCCTCCAAAGTAGCTGGGATTACAGGCACCTGCCACCACACCCAGCTAATATTTTTGTATTTTTAGTAGAGATGGGGTTTCACCATTTTGGCCAGGCTGGTTTCGAACTCCTGACTTCAGGTGATCCGCCCACCTTGGCCTCCCAGAGTGGCTAGGATTACAGATGTGAGCCATTGTGCCCGGCCGGCTCTTTCAGCTTTTAACATTTAACTTAACTACTCAGTCTGTACAGAAACAGTTGTTTTGGGGGCCTGAGTTAGTGAGACCTGGCCTGCCATGCTTATATTCTGGGATTACAAGATACTCCACGCTCCTCTTACATATTTCCCACTCTAGTCCCAGAATTAGCTGTTTCTCCAAGGAGCCCTGGTTTCTTTTATTTGAGAATGGCATTTGAAACCAAGATGTGTCACACTAGATACGCTTATTGCTGTTGAGTTTCTAGGGTGTAGTTTCTTTCAGGCTCTTTCAGCTGATACAGTGAGGAAACAGGTGTATATAATACACACATTTGTAAGTATTTCCATTTGTGACCATCTGTATCTATATGAAGTTAAAAATGAGTTCATAATGATGTGCCCAACTCTAATCCATGATTACATGGATCATTCTTGCTTCCTTCTCTTGTTTATTTGTAACCTTCCACTCCAGCAGTGAGAAACCTGGCTCCCACCATCTGCCATCCAGTTTATTTAATTGGTCAATCACAGCATACATGGTTCCAGAATTGTTAATCTTTATTTCCATGGGGTACAACTTTCAACTATAGCATAACAGTGTTTAAGTTACAGAAATGCCAGGTGGTCGATCTAGGTCCTGTTTCTCGCCACACAGAAAGCCAATCACTGAGTTGAGTATTGCCAGGGAAAAAGCCTTTTTTTTTTTTTTTTTTTTTTTTTTTTTTTTTTGAGATGGAGTTTCGCTTTTGTTGCCCAGGCTGGAGTGCAATGGTGCGATCTCAGCTCACTACAACCTCTGTCTCCTGGGTTCATGCGATTCTCCTGCCTCAGCCTCCCGAGTAGCTGGGATTACAGGTGTGTGCCACCATGCCTGGCTAATTTTGTATTTTTAGTAGAGATGGGGGGTTTCCCCATGTTGGCCAGGCTGGTCTCAAACTCATGACCTCAAGTGATCCGCCCGTCTAGGCCTCCCAAAGTTCTGGGATTACACCCAGAGCCACTGCGCCCGGCCAGAGAAAAATTTTGCCTTTTTATTTAGGTGTTGCCTACTGAAGAGAATGGGAGATCAGTTTCGAATCTGCCTCCTCGACCAACTAAAACTGGGGAGTTTATGTACCGAAAAAAGGAATGTAACTATGTGTGAGGAAAACAGCAATTAGAAAAAGGATAAGGAAGCAGTCCTGACCTATGAGGGGAAAGAGGTGTCTGGGGTCTCATTGTCAAATGGTGATTTGGTGAGTTTCAGTCCGTTGCCTGAGGAAAGAACTCATTGGAGACAAATATAAGTTTTAGGTTTTAAAACTGGAAGGGTCAGTTTCTATGTTTATTCAAAGACCTGTACACATAATTTCTATGGGGAAATTGAGCCAGTTTCATTTATGCGCAACTTTTTTTGCCTCCAGTCTTAAAGGAAAAAAAAAAAACAACTGATAATATTTGTTGCCTATGATAAAATTCCAGCTTCCAAATGAAAAAAAAAAAAAAAAAAAAAGACTCCACTATTTCCCAGAGTTACTTGGATCACTGCCTTTCCCCATACCCCCTTTAGTGAGGTTGTTTCATGTGTTTGTACTGCAATTAGATTCTTTTGCTACATTCTGCATTCCATCCTGGGATTCTCCACCTCTGAAATGTTTTCTAAAAGTTAACATGTACTGAGGCTCACTCTTGTTCTCTGAAGTTCTGCTGGTTTTGAAAAATGCGTGGTGCCGTTTACCTATCATTAAAATATCATACAGAACAATTTTACTACCTGAAAGTGTCCTCTGCTTCATCCATTTAACCCTACCCTCCAACTCCAGCTACCACTGATCTGGTACTATCTATAGGTTTGCTTTTTCCGGAATGCCCTTTAAATGGTATCTTACAGTTTGTAGCCTTTCAGACTTGCTTCTTTCATTTAGCAATATGCATTTCAGATCCATCATTCTAACACTCTTGTTGTTTTAATTTGCATTTTAAAATGACAGTGACACATAATGAACATCTTTTTCTTTTTTTTTTTTTTTTTTTTTTGAGACGGAGTTTCGCTCTTTCATGTGGGGTCAACTGCAATAGAAAAGAGGACCCTCAAACACAGGCTAATTTTTTTGTTGTTGTTTTTGAAACAGAGTCTCACTCTGTCACCCAGGGTGGAGTGCAGTGGCGTGATCTTGGCTCACTGCAACCTCCGCCTTCCAATTTCAAGCATTTTCTCCTGCCTCAGCCTCCCAAGTAGCTGGGATTACAGGCGTCCGCCACCACAACCAGCAAATTTTTTTGTATTTTTAGTAGAGATGGGGTTTCACTGTGTTGGCCAGGCTGGTCTTGAACTCCTGACCTCAGGTGATCAAGACCTGGGCCTCCCAAAGTCCTGGGATTACAGGCGTGAGCCACTGCGCCCAGCAATGAACATCTTTTTATAGGCATATTTGCCATCTGTATATCATCTTTGAGGAGACTGTTGCGGTCCTGTCACCCCTCCCCCTTTTTCTTGTTGACGATCGGGATTTATTACCTCATTTAACAAGAAATCTGATGGAAAGACAGTTCCAGGATTGGTCCTTGATTTTGCGTCAAGGACCAGGTTCTTTCCATCTTCGGTGTGTTGATTTGTCTGGCTCTCATGGTCTCAAGATGGCTGCCATAGTTCAGTTACAGGAAAGGGGTCCCAATCCAGACTCCAAGAGAGGATTCCTGGATAGACCTCGAACAAGAAAGAATTCAGGGCAAGTCCCTAAAGTGAAAGCAAGTTTATTAGGAAAGTAGAGGAACAAAAGAATGGCTACTCCATAGACAGAGCAGCCCCGAGGGCTGCTGGTGCCCATTTTTATGGCTATTTCTTGATTATATGCTAAACAAGGGGTGGATTATTCATGCCTCCCCTTTTTAGACCTATAGGGTAACTTCCTGACGTTGCCATGACATTTGTAAACTGTCATGGCACTGGTGGGAGTATAGCAGTGACGATGACCAGAGATCACTCTCATTTCTGTCTTGTTTTTGGTGGGTTTTAGCCAGCTTCTTTACTGTAACCTGCTTTATCAGCAAGGTCTTTATGACCTGTATCTTGTCCTCCCTATCTTCATCCTTTGAGTTAGAATTCCTTAACTGTCTGGGAATACAGCCCAGTAGGTTTCAGTCTCATTTACCCAGCTCCTATTCAAGATGGAGTCGCTCTGGTTCACATGCCTCTGACAGTTCTAGGCTTCACATACAGTTAAAGTATTCCAGAGGCAGAAAAAGAATCTCTGCTCTCTTTTCTCTCTATTGCATTTTAAAAATTGAGATACATTCACGTACCATACAGTTCATCATTTTAAAAGTATACAGTTTGGTTTTTTAATATATATTCACGGTGTTGTAGAACTATCACTATCTAATTCTAGAACATTTTCATCTCCCCAAAAAGAGTCCCTATATCTATCCATTAATGTCACTCTCCATCTCTCCCTTTTCTCAGATCATTTGCCCATTTTTTAATTGGTTTGTTGTATTAGTGACTTGTAAGGGCGCTTTCTATGTTCTTAAGTTCTTTATCAGATAAGATTGTTGCAGATACTTTCTTCCAATCTGTGGCTTATCTTTTCATTCACTTACCAGTGTCTTTTGCAGAGCAGAGGTTTTTAATTTTAGTGAAGTCCAATATATCAACTTTTTCTTGCATGTGGCATGACTTTAGTCTTGTACCTACAGACTCATCTTGAAACCATGTGACCAAGTTCACTTATATTTTCTCCTAATAATCCTCTAGAAGCTAATAGTTTTGCATTTTATTTTTAATGCATGATGTAGTTTGAGTTACTTATTTTTATTTTAGTTTATATGCATAACATAGTTTTTAAAGTTTCAGTTCAATAGCATTAAGTACATTCACATTGTTGTGTACTCATTACCACTGTCTGTCTCTAGAATTTTTTCATCATCCCAAACTGAACTCTGTGCCCATTAAGCAATAACTCCCTAGCCCCTGGTAGTCACTATTCTACTTACTGTCTATGAATTTAATTACTGTGGGTACCTCATATAAGTGAAATTATGCCATATTTGATTTTTTGTGACTGGCTCCTTTCTTTTCCTTTCCATTTCCATTTCACTCTTGTTGCCCAGGCTGGAGTGCAGTGGCGCGATCTCGGCTCACTGCAACCTCCGCCTGCCGGGTTCAAGTGATTCTCTTGACTCAGCCTCCCAAGTAGCTGGGATTACAGGCACCCGCCACCACGCCTGGCTAATTTTTTTGTATTTTAGTAGAGACGGGTTTGCACCATGTTGGCCACGCTGGTCTCAAACTCCTGACCTAAGGTGATCCACCCACCTCGGCCTCCCAAAGTGCTGGGATTACAGGCATGAGCCACCGTTACCAGCCGTGACTGGCTTATTTCACTTACTACAACGTCCTTAATGTTCATCCATGTTGTGACAGTCAGTCTCCTTTTTTTTTTTAAGGTTGAATGATATTCCATTGTATACATGTACCATATTTTGTTTAAACATTCATAAGTTGAACACTTGGGTTGCTTCTACGGTTTGGCTGTTGTGAGAGAATTCTGTGAATTTGGGTATATAAAAATCTGTTCAAGTCCCTGCTGTTGTTTCTTTTGAATAGATAGCCAAAAGTGGAATTGCTGGGTCATGGAGTAATTCTATTTTTAATTTTTTGAGTACCTGCCAAACCGTTTTCCATAGGGGCTGCACCATTTTACATTCCTACCAACAGTGTGCAAGGCTTCTAATTTCTTCATGTCCTTGCCAGCACTTAATTTCTTATTTAAGAAAAAAATCACAGCTACTGTAGTCTGAATGTGTCTCCCAAAATTCATGTGTTGGGAACTTAATTCCCAGTGCAGGAGTAATTGGGAGGTGGCGCCTTTTGGGAAGGGTTTATGTCATGAGGGCTACACCATTATCAATGGATTAATGCTGCTATTAAAAAGGCTTGTGGGAGAGGGCTCACCCGCTTTTGCCCTTCCACCTTCTGCTTTGTGAGGATGCTGTAAGACTGTCCACCCCAGATGCTAATACCTTGTTTTGGACTTCCCTGCGTCCAAAACTGTGGGAAAATAAATGTCTGTTATTTATAAACTACCCAGTCTCAAGTATCCTGTTACAGCAGCACAAAACAGATTAAGACAGTAGCCATCCTAATGAGTATATGGTGATACCTCATGGTTTTGATTTGCATTTCCCTAATGATAAGTGATGTGTATCTTTTCTTTTTTCTTTCTCTTTTTTGTTTTTTTGGGGGACAGATTTTTGGTCTGTCTCTTAGGCAGGAGTGCAGTGGTGCAATCTTGGCTCACTGCAAACTCCGCCTCCCGGATTCAAGCAGTTCTCCTGCTTCAGCCCCCAGAGTAGCTAGGAACACAGGCATGCGCCACCATGCCTGGCTAATTTTTGTATTTTTACTAGAGACAGGGTTTCACCATGTTGGCCAGGGTGGTTTCAAATTCCTGATCTCAAGTGATCTGTCTGCCTCAGCCTCCCAAAGTGCTGGGGTTACATACATACATGAGCCACCGCGCCCGGCCTATGTGTATCTTTTCATGTGCTTCTTGGCCATTTGTGTATCTCTTTTAGAGAGGTCTATTCAGTTTCCTTGCCTGTTTTTAATTGAGTTGTTATTTTGTCTGTGAGTTGAAAAAGTTTATTATATATTCTAGGTATTAATCTCTTATCAGATATGTGATTTGCATGCATTTTGTGCCATTCTGTAGATTGCCTTTTCACTGTCTTGATAGTATCCTTTGATATATGAAGGTTTTTCATTTTGATGAAGTTTGATTTTTATGTATTTTTTCTTTTGTTGGCTGTTCTTTTGGTGCCATATCCAAGAAGTCATTGTCAAATCCAATACCAGGAAGCCTTCCTCCATGTTTTCTTCTAAGGGTTTCATAGGTTTTGCTTTTATGTTTAGATTTTTGGTCCATTTTGAATTAACTTTTATATATGGTTTAGGGTAGCGATCCAACTTCGTTCTTTTTAATGTGGATATCCAGTTTTTCCATCACCATTTGCTGAAAGACTGTCCTTCCTTTCTTATTAAATGGCCTTGGTACCCTTGTTGCATTATCATTTGTGACATATATGTATTTACTTCTGGGCTTTTTATTTCCAGGCTTTTAATTTATTTTTTTAAAAGACTAGGCCGGGCGCAGTGGCTCATGCCTGTAATCCCAGGACTTTGGAAGGCTGAGGCGGGCAGATCACGAGGTCAGGAGATCGAGACTATCCTGGCTAACATGGTGAAACCCCGTCTCTACTAAAAATACAAAAAATTAGCCGGGCATGGTGGCGGGCGTCTGTAGTCCCAGATACTCGGGAGGCTGAGGCAGGAGAATGGCATGAACCCGGGAGGTGGACCACGCTTGCAGTGAGCGGAAATCACGCCACTGCACTCCAGCCTGGGCGACAGAGCGAGACTCCGTCTCAAAAAAAAAAAAAAAAAAAAAGACTGGGCTTTGCCATGTTGCCCAGACTGGACTTGAACTCCTGGGCTCAAGTGATTCTCCTGTCTAAGCTTCCTCAGTGGGTAGAAATACAGGCACACACCACCATGCCCACTTGGGCTTTTTATTCTGTTGGTCTACATGTCTGTTTTTATGCCAGAACCACACTGTTTTGATTGCCATATGTTTATAGTAAGTTCTGAATTCAGAAAGTGTGAGATAATTTTTTTTCTTTTTCAAGATTGTTTTGGCTATTGGGGGTCCCTTAAGATTCTATATAAATTTTAGGATGGAGTTTTCTCTTCTTGCAAAAAGCATCATTGGGATTTTGATAGGACTGGCATTGAATCTGCAGATCACTTTTGGTAACAGTGATACCTTAACTATATTAAATCTTTAAATCCATGAACATGGGATGTCTTTATGTTTATTTATACCTTCTTTAATTTCTTTCAGCAGTGTCTTACAGTTTTAAGCATAGAGGTCATTCACCTTCTTGGTTAAATTTATTCCTAAGTATCTTATTCTTTATGATGCTATTGCAACTTGAATTTTTTTTTTTTTTTTTTTTGAGGCTGGGTGTCACTCTTGCCCAGGCTGGAGTGTAGTGGGGTGATCATAGCTCACTGCAAACTTGAACTCCCAGTTTCAAGTGATCCTCCCACCTCAGCCTCCTGAGTAGATGGGACCACAGGTGTGCGCCAGCACGTCTGGCTAAGTTTTTTGATTATTATTATTTTTTGAAACACAGTTTCACTGTCGTTGCAGGCTGGAGTGCAGTGGCACAATCTCGGCTCACCACAACCCCCACCTCCTGGGTTCAAGCGATTCTTCTGCCTCAGACTCCCATGTAGCTGGGATTACAGGCAGGCACCACCACACCCAGCTAATTTTGTATTGTTAGTAGAGACAGGTTTTCACCATGTTGGTCAGGCTGACCTCAAACTCCCAACCTCACATGATCTGCCTGCCTCGGCTTCCCAAAATGCTGGGATTACAGGAGTGAGCCACTGCGCCCAGCCGTTTTTTGATTATTAGTAGAGACAAAGTCTCACTATGTCGCCTGGGAGGGCCTCAAATTCCTGAGCTCATGCTGTCTTCCTGCCTTGGCCTCCCAAAACATTAGGATTACAGGTGTGAGCCACTGCACTCAGCCCAATTTGAATTTTTTAAGTTTCATTTTAACATTGTTAATCTTTAGTGTATAGAAATGCAGCTGATTTTTAATGTTGATTTTGTATCTTGTAACTTTGTTAAATTCATTTATTAGTTGTAACAGGTTTTTTGTGTGTGGAATTTTTAGGGTCTTATGAGATCTTGTCATCAGCGAACAGAGATAATTTTACTTCTTCATTTCCAGTTTGGATGCCTTTTCTTTCTTTTTCTTGCCGTATTACTCTGGCTAGAATTTCCAGTATTGTATTATACTGAATAGAAGTGGGGAAAGTATGCATCTTTGTCTTGTTTCTGATCTTAGAGGAAAAGTTTCCAGCCTTTTTCCAGCCTTTCCCCATTGAATATGATGTGAAGTATGGGTTTTTCATATTTGGCCTTTATTATTTGAGATAATTTTATTCTTTTCTTAGCTTTCTAAGTGTTTTTATTATGAAAGTGTGTTGAATTTTGTCAGATGCTTTTACTGCATCAATTAAGATGATTATGTGGGTTTTTCCTCTTTATTTTAATGTGTTGTATTACATTGATTGGTTTTCATAGGTGAACTGTTATTACATTCTTAGAATAAGTCCTTGGTTATGGTGTATAACCATAATAAACTGCTTAATAAACTGTTGAATTTGGTTTGCCAATATTTTGTTAAGGATTTTTGCATCAATGTGCATAAGGAAAATTGGTCTGTAGTTTTCTTTTTTTTTTTTTTTTGAGATGGAGTCTTGCTCTGTCACCCAGGCTAGAGTGCAGTGGCATGATCTCAGCTCACTGCAACCTCCGCCTCCCAGATTCAAGCAATTTTCTGGCCTCCATCACCTGAGTAGCTGAGATTACAGGCACGCACTACCACACCCAGCTAATTTTTGTATTCTTGGAAGAGGCGTGGTTTCACTATGTTGGCCAGGCTGGTGTCGAACTCTTGACCTTGTGATCCACCCGCCTCGGCCTCCCAAAGTGCTGGGATTACAGGCATGAGCCACTGTGCCTGGCTCTATAGTTTTCTTGTAGTGTCTTTGTCTGGCTTTTTTAGAGTATGGCAGTACTCCCTGATCTGTGATTTTGCTCTCTGTGGTTTTGCTTTCCATGGTTTCAGTTACCCGAAGTGGGCTGAGGTTTGATAATCCTAAATGGAAAATTCCAGAAATAAAAATTCGTAAGTTTTAAGTTACACGTCACATTCTGAGTAGTGTGATGAAATATTTTGCCATCTTGCTCCATTCCTTCGTCCAGCATTTACACTCTATATGCTGCCCATCTGTTAGTCAGTCAGCCATCAGTTATCGGATGGACTGCAGTATCACAGTGCTTGTGTTCAAGTAGCCCTTATTTTATTTAATAATGACCAAAAGCACAAGAGGACTGTGCCTAATTAAAAATTAAACTCAATCATAGGTGTGTGTAGGAAAAAACAGTATATACAGATGGTCCCAAATTTGATGGTTGGACTTCAGATTTTTCAACTTTACCTTCATGCAAAAGCAATATGCATTGAGTATGCACCTCTACTTACGATTGGGTTGTCTGGATAAGCCCATCGTAGGTTGAATATATCATAAGTCTAAAGCGACTTTCAAGTTAGTATATTTTCAACTTACAGTCGGTTTATTGAGACGTAACCCCTTTGTAAGTCGAGGAACAGCTGTATAGGGTTTGGTACTTTTCGAGGCATCCACTAGGGATCTTGGAATGTATCCCCCTTGGATAAGGGGGCAACTACTGTAATGCTGGCTTCAGAGAGTGAGTTAGAAAGTGCTCTCTCCTCTTCATGTCTTGGGAAGAGGTTTAATTCTTTAACTCTGCTGGAATTCTGGGAGGTTTTTGATTACTGATTCAGTCTCCTTACTAGTTATAGGTCTATTTATATTTTCTGTTTCTTCATGATTCATTTTTAGTAGGTTATGTGTTTCTAGGAGTTTGTCCATTTTGTTTCATTTATCCAGTTTGTTGGCTAATTGTCTATGAGACTCCCTTATAATCCTGTTTCTGTAAGGTTGACCATTATTATCTTCTGTTTCATTTCTGGTATTAGTAATTCAGGTCTTCTGTTTTCTTGGTTTGTCCATTAGTTTGATATTTTCATTAAATCAATTTTGGTTTTGTTGATTTTCTCTTCCCTTTCCTTTTTCTGTTTTTTTTTTTTGTTTTTTGTTTTTTGAGACGGAGTCTCGCTCTGTCACCCAGGCTGGATTGCAGTGGCACGATCTCTGCTCACTGCAAGCTCCCCTGCCTCCTGGGTTCAAGCGATTCTCCTGCCTCAGCCTCCCAAGTAGCTGGGACTACAGGCATCCGCCACCACGCCTGGCTAATTTTTTTTATTTTTAATTTTTAGTAGAGATGGGGTTTTACCCTGTTAGCCAGGATGGTCTCGACCTCCTGACCTCGTGATCCACCTGCCTCAGCCTCCCAAAGTGCTGGGATTACAGGCCACTGCGCCCGGCCTCCTTTTGTTTTTTAAGGCAAGGTTTCACTCCCTTCTCCCAGACTGGAGTACAGTGGTATGATGATGGCTCATTGCACCCTCAACTTCCTGGACTCAGGCGATTCTCCCACTGCAGCCTCCCAAATAGCTGGGACTATAGGTGTATGTGCCACCATGCTTGGGTAAACTTTTTCTTTTTTGTATTTTTAGTAGAGACAGGGTTTCACCATGTTGCCCAAGCTGGTCTTAACTCCTGGGTTCAAGTGTTCTGCCCGCCTTGACCCCCCAAAGTGCTAGGCTCACACTGCACCCGGCCTGATTTTGTTGATTTTTCTGCATTGCTTTTCTATTCTGTATCACGTTTGTATCTGCTCTGATCTTTCTTTCCTTGCTTTGAGTTTAGTTTGCTCTCTTCTAGTTTCTTACGGTGGAAAGTTAAATTATTGATTTGAGATCTTTTATAACCACACATCTATAGCTGTACACTTTCTGTTAAGCGCTGCTTTAAGCTGCATTCAACTGGGGTGTTACATTTTCATTTTTGTTCAAATGAAAGTTTTGTAACTTTCCTTGTGATTTCTTTTATCTGTTATTTAGGAGTATGTTTAAATATTTTAATATTCATGAATTTTCCAAATTTTCTTAAGTTAATGATATCTAATTTCATTCTGTGTGGTCAAGAACATAGTTTGTATAAATTAACTCCTTTTAAATTTATTCAAACTTGTTTTACAGTCTTCTCATGTGCACTTGAGGATTTATATCTTGTTGGGAAGAGTGTTCAATAAATGTCTGTTAGGTTTAGTTAGTGTACAGTGTTACTGAAGTCTTCTATTTCTTGCTGATCTTCTAATTGTTCTATCAGTTACTGAAAATGGGTATTGAAGTCTCCAGCTATTGTTGATTTGTGTATTTGTGCCTTTTATTTTTAGAGAGTATTGATGCCGGTAGGTGAGGACGATGGCTTTTTTTTTTTTCCTAAACGAGACTGGAGTCTCACTTTGTGGCCCAGGCTAGAGTGCAGTGGTGCAGTCATAGCTCATTGTAGCCTTAAACTCCTGCGCTCCAGCGATCTTCCTGCCTCAGTCTCCTGAGGAGGTGGTACTACAGACACATGTCACCATGCCTGGTTAATTTTTAAATTTTTTGGAGAGATCGAGTCTCACTGTGTTGTCTATACTGGTCTTGAACTCCTAGCCTCAAGTAAATCTCCCACCTGCCGCCTGAGCCTCACAGAGTGCCAGGATTACTGGCATGAGCTACTGCACTGGGCCTATTTTTTTTCCCCCCTAAGAGATGGGGTTCTTGCTGTGTTGCCCAGGCTGGACTTGAACTCCTAGGCTCAGGTGATCCTTCCAAATAGCTGGGACTACAGGTGCACACCACCGCTCCTGGCTGAGAATGATAATTTGATGTTGCATTGTATAAATGTTTTTAATATTGATTCTAAAGGGGTCCTATAAATCAATATGAAAGATTAAAGTCACCAATAAAAAATTGACAGAAGATGAATAGGCAGTTCACAGAAAAAGAAATGCAAATTCCTAATCATGGGAAAGAAGCTCAGCTTCATTGGGAGTAAGGGAAATACAAAATAAAATTAGATAACCATTAAAAAAATCAAATTAGCAAAAATTTTAAAATTATTATTATTTGAGATGGAGTCTCACTCTGTCCCCCAGGCTGGAGTGCAGTGGTGTGATCTTGGCTCACTGCAGCCTCCGCCTCCTGGGTTCCAGTGGTTCTCCTGCCTCAGCCTCCTGAGCAGCTAGGATTACAGGCACTTGCCGTCACGCCTGGCTAATTTTTGTATTTTTAGTAGAGATGGGGTTTTGCCATGTTGGCCAGGCTGGTCCTGAAATGCCTGCCTCGGCCTCCCAAAGTGCTGGGATTACAGGCATGAGCCACCGCACCTGGCAAAAAATTAAAAAATTATTATGCAGTCTTAGGATATGGCAGGACAGGTATCCTCCAGAATTGTTAAGGAGACTGTAAGTTGTTCTTTTTTTAAATTGTTAATGAGACTGTAAGTTCTTTTCTTTTTAGCAATCTGTTTAAAGCTTTTTTTGTGGTTACCTTTACATATTATTAGGAATACCTCCCCATATTCATCACCCTACTGCAACAAGGCCAATCTTGTTTTACCTGCATTTTCTGTATACTGGTTTATGTCTTGACTGCATTGAATCCAGGTTTTTTGTTTCACTTTGTTTTTTCAAAGAATACTTCTTAAGTGGTGGTATTTTTTTGTTGTATTACATCATGTGGCAAATGATCTCTGTCTGTGATGTTATGATTGATCAGGTTTCAGGTGTTATCAGTTTGATTATTCCCTTGTACCTTGTCAGCTTTTACCCAGTGATTTCAGTGGCCGTTAATGGTCATGGCCTAGATTCACTATTTCAGTAAGGCTGTGAAGTGGCAGGATTCTAAGTTAATTATTCCTTTCTTCATTCGTTAGCCGATGTTTTTTTTTTTTTGAGACAGAGTTTCGTGCTTGTTGCCCAGGCTGGAGTGCAATGGCGTGATCTTGGCTCACTGCAACCTCCTCCTCCCAGGTTCAAGCCATTCTCCTACCTCAGCCTCCCTAGTAGCTGGGATTACAGGCACCCACCACCAAGCCTTGCTAATTTTTGTATTTTTAGTAGAGATGGGGTTTCACCATGATGGCCAGGCTTGTCATGAACTCCTGACCTCAAGTGATCCGCCTGCCTCAGCCTCCCAAAGTGCTGTGATTATAGGTGTGAGCCACTTCCCCTGGCCCAGAGTTAAGTTTTGCTGTTACAGTGTTTTAGCTTTGTGCATATGGCACCTCATAGTTTAAGGATAAAGTAGAATTGTTGCTTCAAAGGGTAAATATATAATTTGTCTAGATGTTGCTGAATTTTCTTCCATAGTGGTGTACCATTTTTCATTCCTATTTGCAGTTTGTGTTTCTTTTCAGTTGCTTCATCAATAGTTTACAAACGTTTGAATTTTTGAATTTTTAATGTCTGATACTGAGAACTTGTGTTTGAATTTAGCTTAATTTTGCATGTTTCTTAATACAAGTGAGGCTACTAAGGGACATTTGATTTCAGTGAACTGGTTCATATTTCTTGCCAATCTTTTTATTGGGCTGTTAGTCTTTTTCTTAACATTTTTAGAAGCCTTTTATATGTTAGAGATAGTTGATTAGGTGACATAAGATGAAGTATTTTTTTGACTCCTAATTAGTGAAACCTTAAAATTATAATTGGATTCTAAATTAGAATGTGTATATTCTTTGGCCCTGCAACTTCACTTCTAGAAATTTATCCTAGAATGCTAATAAAAGGATATTAATAGTCCCACCATTTTCACCCTTATGTGTATAGCCAGGGGAACTGGAAACATGTTCATACAAAAACTTGTACATCAATGTTTATAGCAGCATTATTCATAATAGCCAAAGATGGAAACAACCCAAGTGTCTATGAACTGATGAATGGATAAACAAAATGCAGTATATCGATGCAGTGGAATATCATTTAGCTATAAAATTGAATGAAATACTGACACATGCTACAACATGGATGAACCTTGAAAATATGCTGATTGGAAGAAGCTAGACACAAAAGGCTACATGTTGTGTGATTCCATTTATGGATTCTATTTATGTATGATCCCAGAATAGGCAAATCCATAGAGACAGAAAGTAGATTAGTGGTTCTGAGGGGAAGTAGGGGGAGAAGGAAATGAAGAATGTCTCCTAATAGGTGTAGGGCTTCTTTTGGGGGGTGATAAACATGTTCTGGAGTTAGATAGTGGTGATGGTTGTATAATCTTGTGAATATTCCAAAAACCGCTGACTTGTGTGCACTTGAAAATGGTGAATTTTATGAGATGTGACATATTTTTATAAAATAAAATGTATAACCTCAATCTAATCATGAGAGAATATTAGATTAATTCAAATTGAGGGACACTCTATAAAATTATTGGTGAAGAGTATACTAGTATTCCCTGAAAGTATCAAGATCATGAAAGTAAAAAAATAAAAGTCTTGGGAACTGACTTAGATTGGAAGAGCCTAAAGAAATGTGAGAACTAAATGCAGTGTTAAATCTTTGATTAGATTCTGAACCAGAAAAAGAAAATGGGAAAAATGGCAAAATTCAAATAAGATATGTAGATTAAAGTTTTGTAGCAATGCTAATTTCCTGGTTTAGATAATTATGCCATGGTTATAGAAGATTTTAACATTTGGGGAAGCTGGGTGAAGGATATACAGGAACTCTTGGTTTTTGCAACTTTTCTGTAGGTTTAATATTCCAAAATTTAAAAAGTTAATTGCAGCAGTTTTAAATAAGTGAAAATTCCATGTACTCCTATCAATATTCGATTGGTTAAAATTATGGCACATTCATACAATGAGATACTGAGTAGTTAGCTATTAAAAAGAATGTGGGCCGGGTATGGGGGCTCATACCTGTAATCCCAGCACTTTGCGGTAAGCTGAGATCACGCCACTGCACTCCAGCCTGGGCAACAAAGCGAGACTTCATCTCAAAAAAAAAAAAAAAAAAAAAAAAAAAACTAATTAAGAAACAACCCTTATACTTAATGGCTTAAAACAACAACCATTTATTACTATTCTTTGGGTTAGGGGTTTGAGTGGAACTCAGCGAGAGTTCTTCACTGATTTCTCTCGGTGTGTCTCATGCTTCTGCAGTGACCTGCAGGCCTGATTGTAATTGGGTCGTCTAAGATGGCCTGGCTCCTATGTCTGACAGTTGGTGATGGCTGTTAACTGGTTTGTCTGTGAGGCCTTGATAGGGAGAGTTTCTTATCCTCTCATATGCCTGTGGCAGGAAGATATTTCTCCTTGTGGTAGTCTTGATCTTTGGCAATCTAGGTTCAGAAATCCATGTTTTGTCTTCACCTGACTGTTGGTTAGAGGAAGTTGTCAAACCAGCTTTGATCTAGGGACATGGAGAAACAGATTGAACCTTTTGATGGAATTGGCAGCAAAGTCATATTGTGAAAATGTGTGTGTACAGGAATGAGAGCAATTTGTAGCTCTTTGTTTTTGCAGTTCCTTGTTTTCGCAGTTTTCCACAGGAGTGATGGAATAAGATTTGTATTTTTAAAAAGTTCACTCTGAGTGTAATGTCACCACAAGTTTGGAGGGGACAGGGAAAACGAGTCAAGGCAGGGTTAACAGGTCATTGCAGTAATCTGTGGGAGAGATGATAAATAAGAGCGTGCAAAGACATTATTGCACACTTTTCATCCTCTGCTTCTAAACATCTCTAGAATTGGGATATCTCAAGATATTCCATACTGATTTAAAGTCATCCGAGCTGCCCCTCAGGCCTTTGAGCATGTGATGCCCATACCCATCTCTCTTATTATGTCGGTAAAGAAACTTCAGCCCTAGAGAAGTTAAGTTGCTAAGGAACACGTAATTCGTAAGGGACAGAGCAGTCAGATCTTGGAAACTTAGTTTCTTGAAGATCCAGTTGATTTTCTACTAAAGCTCCAGTGATTTGCGTCGATGGGATAGATCGAAAGTCTATAATCTTTTTTTCTTTCAAGATGGAATCTTGCTATGTCGCCCAGGTTGGAGTGCAGTGGCGGGATTTCGGCTCACTGCAAGCTCCGGCACCCGGGTTCAAGCAATTCTCCTGCCTCAGCCTCCCGAGTAGCTGGGACCAAGTAGCCCGCCACCATGCCTGGCTAATTTTTGTATTTTTTAGTAGAGGTGGGGTTTCACTATGTTAACCATGCTGGTCTTGAACTCCTGACCTTGTGATCTGCCCGCCTTGGCCTCCCAAAGTGCTGAGATTACAAGCTTGAGCCACCGCGCCCAAGCGAAAGTCTATAATCTTAGCATCTTCCCTTATTAGGGAAAGTGAAGGCATCAAGGATAACACAGAATGAAGTTTTATTTTAAATGACAGAGGTAGGCCCTAAATTTTTTTACACATTTTTACACATTTTTTTCTATACCATTTTAAGATAATAGATTTCTTATATTTCTTTGCTAATTTTCATAATAACTTTCTTTTTTAGCTACAAGGCTTTGGCCCACCAAGTGTGTACCATGCTGCTATTGTCATCTTCCTTGAATTCTTTGCGTGGGGCCTTTTGACAACTCCAATGTTGACTGTAAGTATTGCTGAACTGGGTTTGTGTTTTGTAAGAGAAAGAGATAAGTTCTTAGGCATGTATCACTGTGTATGTCTAGATACGTGTTTGGGAGTAGCTCTTGATAGTGATTTAAAACAGCTTGTTTCATTGGTTTTTTTTTTTTTTTTTTTTCCATTGTGGTTTCTGAACCACATGTAACACAAAACACCTCTTTAAATATTCCTGGGTAGCACTGCACTCCTATTGAAGTAAACTTGGGGGTGCTGTTATACAAATGAACTGTATATGTTTAGGAAGATCTTTAAGATACTCTACAGCAGCAACTCCCAAACTTTTTTAGCACTAGGGACTGGTTTCGTGGAAGACAATGTTTCCACAGAATTGGGTTGGTTGGGGGATGGTTTCAGGATGAAACTGTTCCACCTCAGACCATCAGGCATTATTAGTTAGATTCTCATAATGAGCGCAACTTAGACCCCTCACATGCGCAGTTCAGAGTAGGGTTTGCACCCCTATGAGAATCTAATGCCGCTGCTGATCTGACAGGAGGCAGAACTCAGGTGGTAATGCTCGCTCGCCTGCTGCTCTGTGTGGCTGGGTTCATAACAGGCCATGGACTCATAGGGTCCTGTCCTACAGGAAATTGCAGAGCATTGTTGAAGTCTGTAACTTCTTTAGGAGGATGTTAATGGTCTTTGACTTAAGAACATAGTAAATAGCAGATTGGTGAGTACTTTGTAACAATGAGTAATAATTGTAGGAATGTCTAAATTTCAGTTTTTCGTAGCTTATCTATAGCCATTTCTTCAGAGGTGGTATTGAATATCTTAGCAAGAACTTGTACGTTTCATCTATGATGTAGTTAGAAGGAAGAGAGATGCCAAAGAAAAGATGGCGGGGGCAGATCTTAGGTGGCTTACAACTATTTAACACTTAATTTTAATAAAATATTTTAAACTGGAGTTAAGTTTCAGTTGTCTTAATTATTCTTTAAAAATTATTGATGGGCGGGGTACAGTAGCATATGCCTTTAGGCCCAGCTATTCAGTAAGCTGAGGCAGGAGGATTGCTTGAGCTCAGGAGTTCAAGTCTAGCCTGGGCAACATAGCAAGACCCCATCTCTAAAAAAACAAAAATTAAAAAAAAAAATTGGAGCTTAACTCTTCCTAATCATCATTTTGCCTTACTAAAGAATCCCTCTGGGTACGGATAATCTTTGTTCTTAAATAAGGTTTAGACAGCAGAGAACTTTAGAGGGTGGCTGTTAGCCTGTTAGCCTTACATAAGACTTTGTTGTGAACCTTTTAAAGTTTTTAATTCTTCTGGCACAGTTAAAATACAGTTTGAGGCCTGATGCGGTGGCTCACGCCTGTAATCCCAGCACTTTTGGAGGCCAAGGCTGGTGGATCACCTGAGGTCGGGAGTTCGAGACCAGCCTGACCAACATGGAGAAACCCTGTCTCTACTAAAAATACAAAATTAGCTGGGCATGGTGGCGCATGCCTGTAATCCCAGCTACTCAGGATTCTGAGGCAGGAGAATTGCTTGAACCCAGAAGGTGGAGGTTGCAGTGAGCTGAGATCGTGCCATTGCATTCCAGCCTGGACAACCAAAGCAAAACTCCATCTCAAAAAAAAAAAAAAAAATACAGTTTTATTCATTAAAAGTATAACTTGGGTGGAACACGGGACTTAAAAATTGCCTGCATCCTTAATCCTTTTTTTCTTATTACAGTAGTTTTTCCTTCATAGTAGGAAACCTATAGTAGGTTATTAGTTATTAGTTAATGAGGATAATTAGTCCCATTTTGAGTTTCATGAGATTCTAATTTTCCTCACTGTTTGCATAGTGCTGCCTGGGATATAGTCGGTGCTTAATAAATATATTCTTTGAACAAATACATGTGTTTTTTCAGGACACATTTTTAATATGAATATAGATAAACCAAATCACTTTTTTTCCCATTTAAAAAAATTATGGTAAAATACACATAACAAACTTACCATTTTCACTGTTTTGAAGTATACAGTTCAGTAGTATTAGATACATTTCATTATGTTGGGTATCTGTCACCACCATCCATCTCTAAAACTCATTTCATCTTTTAAAAGTGAAACTTTAGGCTGGGCGCGGAGGCTCACGCCTGTAATCCCAGCACTTTGGGAGGCTGAGGCAGGTGGATCGCTTGAGGATGGGAGTTCGAGACCACCCTGACCAACATGGTGAAACCCCGTCTGTACTAAAAATACAAAATTAACTGGGCATGGTGGTGCACGCCTGTAATCCCAGCTACTCGGAAGGCTGAGGCAGGAGAATTGCTTGAACCTGGGGGATGGAGGTTGCAGTGAGCCAAGATCGTGTCATTGCACTCCAGCCTGGGCAACGAGTGCAAAACTCTTTCTCAAAAACAAACAAACAAACAAACAAAAAAACCCAACTCTGTGATAGTTTGACTATGCTATAATGTGTGTAGGTGTGAATGTCTTTTTTGTTTATTTTACTTGGGGTTTGTTGAGCTTCTTGTTTCTGTAGATTAATGCTTTTCATCACGTTTGGGAAGTTTTTGACCATTATTTCTTCAAATATTTTTACTGTCTCTTTACTCCTTTTGAGACTCTCCTTATAGGTAAGTTCCCACCCCACCCCCCCGACAGAGTCTTGCTCTGTCACCCAGGCTAGAGTTCAGTGGCGTGATCTCAGCTCCCTGCATCCTCCGCCTCCTGGGTTCAAGCAATTCTCCTGCCTCAGTCTCCCGAGTAGCTGGAATTACAGGCGTGTGCCACCACGCCCGGCTAATTTTTGTATTTTTAGTAGAGACAGGGGGTTTCACCATGTTGGCCAGGCTGGTCTCGAACTCCTGACCTCCTGATCCGCCCGCCTCGGCCTCCCAGAGTGCTGGGATTACAGGCATGAGCCACCGTGCCTGGTCATAGGTAAGTGTTTCACACTTGATAATGTCTCATACATCTCTGAGGAGCTGTTTATTTATTTTTATTTTTTTGCCAATTGTTTTCTAAGCTTTTGTTTGAATAATTTCTATTTATTTGTCTTCAAGGTTACTGTTTCTTTCTTTGTTCATCTTAAATTGTCTGTGTTGTCACTTTAGTGGATTGTTGATTTTGATTACCAAATTTTTAACTGCAGCATTTCCACATTTCTTTTTTATAATTTTTATATTCTATTTGAAATTTCCTATTCACTGAGTGATTCACATACTTTTTTTTTTTTGGAGACGCAGTCTTTCTCTGTCACTCAGGCTGGAGTGCAGTGGCATGATCTCGGCTCACTGCAACCTCCACCTCCTGGTTTCAGGCGATTCTCAGCCTCCCGAGTAGCTGGGACTATAGGTGTGTGCCACCACGTCCGACTAATTTTTGTATTTTTAGTAGAGACAGGGTTTCACCATATTGGCCAGGCTGGTCTCGAACTCCTCACCTCAAGTGATCTGCCTGCCTCGGCTGGCCTCCCAAAGTGCTGAGATTATAGGCGTAAGCCACCACACCTGTCCCATACTTTCCTTTAATTCTTTTTTTTTTTTTTTTTTTTACGAGTGGGGTCTCACTATGTTGTCTAGGCTGGTCTCAAACTCCTGGGCTCAGGCAGTCCTCTTGCCTCAGTCTCCAAAAGTGCTGGGATTACAGGTGTGAGCCACCACACCTGGTCTCTTCTAATTCTTTAAACATGGGTTCGTTTAGTTCTTTGAACATATTTATAGTATCTGCTTTGAAGTTTTCATCTGCAATATTCAACATCTGGGAACACTCAGAGACTCCTCCTGTTGACTCCCTTTTTTTACCTGAGTGAGTTATATGTTCTTGTTTCTTTGCATATTGCAATCATTTTTTGTTAAAACCTGTATATTTAGATAATATAGTTTTGCAATTTTGGATTTTTTTTTTTAAGAGACAGGGTCTTGCCCTGTTGCCTAGGCTGAAATATAGTGGCACAATAATAGCTCACTGCAACCTCAAACTTCTGGGCTCAAGCAATTGTCCTGCTTCAGCCTCCTGAGTAGCTAAGACTACAGTTGTGCACCACCACGCTTGGCTAAAGCTTTAACTTTTTTTTCTTTTTCTTTTTTTTTTTGAGACAGTCTCTCTCTGTTGCCCAGGCTGGAGTGCAGTGGCGCGATCTTGGCTCACTGCAACTTCCGCCTCCTGGATTCGAGCGATTCTCCTGCCTCAGCCTCCCGAGTAGCTGGGATTATAGGCGCCCGCCACCATGCCTGGCTCTTTTTTTTTTTTTTTTTTGTATTTTTAGTAGAGACAGGGTTTCACCGTGTTAGCCAGGATGGTCTCGATCTCCTGACCTCGTGATCCGCCCGCCTCAGCCTCCCAAAGTGCTGGGATTACTGGCGTGAGCCACTGCACCCGGCCTTTTGTTTTTATTTTAGGGATGGGGCCTTGCTATGTTGTCCAGGCTGGTCTTGAACTCCTCCTCGCCTCAGACAGTCTTCTCACCTCAGCTTCCCAAAGCATTGGGATTACAGGCATGTGCCACTACACTTGGCCATGGATTTTGATTTTTTTCTCACCTTGAAGGTTGTTTTTGTTTTGCTTGTTTAGTAACTTGCTTGGACTAAATCTGTGAAGTCTCTACAGTATGCAGCTGCTGATGTCTCTTTTCAGTTTTTATTTTTATTTTTAAGCTTGGCTTCCTTGGGTTCTCTGTCTCCATTATTTAGGGATCAGTCAGATTGGTAAGAGATTATAGTTAAACACCTCGAGCCAGTAAACTTTCAGCTCTCTGCTAATGGATCTGTATGTGAGCTGGAAGTGCATTCTTACTTCAGGCCATTTTCAATTCTTCCCTGGCTTTTGCTCTCTGCCAGATTCTCTTGAAATCTCTGTATGTGCAGCTTCTGATGGCCAAGGATGTATGAGTGGCTTGAGTGTGTTCCAGTCTCTTATATGTGTGTGTATCGTCTAGAGTCAACCAATTTGGGGAGAGCTTTTCAAGCTTCTTGTGGCTGTCTCACCTCCTACAACTACCTGTTACATCCCTGGCCTAATCCACCAGTCTGCCACTAGTCTTCCGTGTTTGCCCCGTTAACTTGACAACACTCCAAATCCAACGAGTCCTCTCAGGCAGCAGCATGCCCTGCTTAAACTAATACCCACAGAGCTGGCGTTGGGGGAAGGGCAGGAGTCTGGTAGCAGCTCAAAACTGAAAACCACCATTTCTGCCTGAAGTTCAGTAACTTAATAAATAAATGCTCCCAGTTTGTTTTATGCCTTTGGTTGAATTCCAGAGCACTGAAATAGGTTTATACAGCTGTACTGAAAGATAATTTGTTAATCTTTTTATACTGTCATGTCAAATGTGAGAAGTCTGACAATTTTTTTTTTCTTGTAGATACTGGGTTTATAATACTTTTTTTTTTTTTAAATAAATTCAAGGCCAGGCGTGGTGGCTCACGCCTGTAATCTCAGCACTTTGGGAGGCTGAGGTGGGCAGATCACGAGGTCAGGAGTTCGAGATTAGCCTGGCCAACATAGTGAATCCCTGTCTCTACTAAAGATATAAAAAGTAGCCAGGCATGGTGGCATGTGCCTGTAGTCCCAGCTACTTGGGAGGCTGAGAAAGGAGAATCGCTTGAACCCAGGAAGCAGTGATTGTGGTGAGCCGATATCATGCCATTGCACTCCAGCCTGGGCAGCAGAGTGAGACTCTGTCTCAAAAAAATTAAAGTTAAAATTAAAAAATAAATAAATGAAAGAAATTCAAATCAAACCATTAGAGGGTTCCTATAATATTTCTGAGTAATATAGTTAGAAAAACCAGTGGATTAGCTGATATCTCAATACTTTATGCACTTTTCAATTTCTGTATTTCCCTGATTGTCCTAAAAACCAGAAAATAGGAAAGCTGTTCTCCTACCCTCGCAATATAAAATTATAGGATTTTGAGCTGTGTTAGGAGTTTGATCTGAGGAAAATATGATTCTATAGAATGATATATTTTCCTAAAGTTTCCTCATGGCTAAAATAAAATAGGAACCAGATACCTTTTTGTGTAAGCTTTTAATGGAAGTATAATGTGTACAGAAAGATGTACAAATGATAAATACACAGCTTGATGAATTTTTGTACAGTAAGTACACTTATATATCCAGTACTATGCTACACTCCCAGAAACAATCCTAAGTAATTTCTGTCCTTGTCACATTTCTAATATGACAGTTTGGCCTTTGTGTTTGTGTGTTTAATATTATATAAGTGGAATCATACAATGTATACTCTTTGTTGTCTGGCTTTTTTGGCTTAGTACGTTTATGAGAGTAATCCATGTTGTATGTAGCAACATTTCATTGTTGTATAGTGTATTCTTACATAACCACATATGATTTTCTGTTATCTTGGGCAGGAAAGGATTAATTCAGCAGGCCCAAGTTGCTCAAGTCTTTCATGTTCCCAAGAGGACCATTTTCTGTGACTGTTCCTTGACAGGCCAGAATTGAGCTCTTGGAATATTTTGCGTTTTGTGTGATTGAATCTTTGAACTTGACTGTTCCAGTTTGTGCAAACAGCATTATTTATGGTGAACACCTTTCCTTCTCGTGAACTAGAGAGCTTTGGTAGCTGGTCATTCATTGTGTGCCTTGAAGATCACCCACCAAGAAAAACCCTGGACTCCTAGGCTTTTGTGAGCTTCCATAGCCGACAACACTTCACATAATGTTGTTATAGTTTCTCTTTTTCTTTTCTTTTCCTCCGAGACAGAGCCTGGCTCTGTTGCCCAGGCTGGAGTGTAGTTGCGCTATCTCGGCTCACAGCAGCTCCGCCTCCTGGGTTCAAGTGATTCTCCTGCCTCAGCCTCCCGAGTCCCGGCTAGTTTTTGTATTTTTAGTAGAGATGGGGTTTCGCCATGTTGGCCAGACTGGTCTCAAACTCCTGGCCTCAAGTGATTCACCCGCTTCGGACTCCCAAAGTGCTTGAGCCACTGTGCCTGGCCATTGTTACAGTTTATTGCTGGAGGGATTAAATGCTTTATGTGTGACTCCACTGGGAGAGGACTCTTAGAAGCATGCACCTGGCTTCCTCCAGACTTTGCCTGATGTCCCTTTTGCCTTTGCTGATTTTGCTTTGTGTCCTTTTGCTGTAATAAACTGTAAGTATAACAGTTTCAGAGTCCTGGAATCCTCTTAGCAAATTGCTGAACTTAGAGATGGTCCTGGAGTCTATTGACACAAATCCATTCTGGTGTTGGACATTTGGGTTTCCGGTTTTTGCCTATTACAAATATTGCTGTTGTAATATTTCTTGTATATATCTTTTGGTGAACATGTATACGTGTTTCTTGGAGTATATATCTGGGAGTAAAATTGCATGGTTGTGTTCAGCATCACTATGTAGTGCTAAAAGTTTTCCAGAGTGGGTGAACAATTTACTCTTCAGCCAGGCAGACTCCATGTCTTCACCAGCAATTTGAATTCTGGTAGGTACATTATGGTCTTAATTTGCATATTCCTAACGACCAATGAAGTTAACCCCCTTTACGTATAACATATATTTATTGGCCGTGTGAATATCTTTTTGTTAAGTGTCAGTTCATGTGTTTCATCAGTTTTTAAAAAATTGGGTTGTGTCCCTTTTTCTTATTTGTAGGAGTTCTTTATATATTCTAGGTACAATTTTTTTCATGTGTACGTTCGTCTCTATACGCACACATATACTTATTATTGATATCTTTTCCTTATTCTTGGATTGTCTTTCTTCCTTTTTTTTTTTTTTTTTCGAGATGGAGTCTTGCTCTTGTTGCCTAGGCTGGAGTGTGCAGTGGTGCGATATCGGTTCACTGCAACCTCTGCCTCCCGGGTTCAAGCAGTTCCCCTGCCTCAGCCTCCCAAGTAGTTTGGAATACAGGCGCGTGCCACCAAGCCTGGCTAATTTTTGTATTTTTAGTAGAGATGGGGTTTCACCATGTTGGGCAGGCTGATCTTGAACTCCTGACCTCAAGTGATCTGCCTGCCTTGACTTCCCAAAGTGCTGGGATTACAGATGTGAGCCAGAATGCCCAGCCTGGGATTGCCTTTCTGTTCTCTCTCTCTCTTTTTTTTTTTTTTTCAGGGTAGGTAAAGTATTTTTATTATAAATTTCAGGATCTAAAAAATGATTTATTACATTTGCTAAGATTAAGGTGACCTTTTTAAACCAAGCCACGTGTGCCCTGCATAGTGACGTCGTGACCCTCGGGCATGGAAAAAGACACAGGTCTACCCAGATAACCCGGATAACCTTCTGAGGTCTCTTCAGCCCTTTTCGCTAGTGGTCACCCACCACTATGGTTACTTGCCAGCAACATCTCTATCGCTGGATGGTCCCTGTGTATAACCCTGGTCTAGTATATTTTTTCCAATATGTGACCTCAGTCTTACTACTGACTAGTTCTGTGGGTCTCTTGCTAGGTGGTAAGGATTTTTATACTTGGGCTTATAGAGCCAGTTAGATCATAACTCTTATGAAATATAGAGTGTCCTAAATATCACTGAAATAAAAAGTAGGAAAAAGAAGCTTGAATTTTAAGACTGAGGCTGCTCTGAAGATTCTAGTTTGGCTTTCAGAGTTCAAGAATGGCAGCATCTTCACCTGAATTCTTCAATGCCAGGGCCTTTCTGTTCTCTTAATGCCTTTGGATGACACTAATTTTAATTGAATTTAAGTTTTTATGTAGTTGAATTTATTTTTGCTTATGGTTAGTGTTTTTAAAAAATCCTGTTTAAGACAACTTTTTCTACCACAAACCTTAATTGGTTTATTGTTCTCATGTAGTCCTATCATCCAAAAAGATCACTGTGTTTGGTAGGGGGTCAGTATTCACTTTGGTTGCAGAAGAATATATAGTTGAACCAGCATCATTTATTGAAAAAATTCTTCTTTCCCCACTGTACTGTGTCACTTTTGTCATAAATGAGACAACCGTCCATATATGGGTTTGTTTCTAAATTTTTTAGTATTCTGTTGAGCTATATTTCCTTGTGCCAACACCATCCTGTGTTAACTTCTATAGTAATATGTTTTTTTTGGCCGGGGGGGGAGCAATGGAGTCTCACTCTATCACCCAGGCTGGAGTGCAGTGGTGCGATCTCGGCTCACTGCAACCTCTGCCTTCTGGGTTCAAGTGATTCTCCTGCTTTAGCCTCCTGAGTAGCTGGAATAACAGGCATGCACCACCATGCCTGGCTAATTTTTGTATTTTTAGTAGATACTGGGTTTCACCATGTTGGCCAGGCTGGTCTCGAACTCCTGACCTCAGGTTATCTGCCTGCCTCAGTTTCCCAAAGTGCTGGGATTGCAGGTGTGAGCCACTGTGCCCAGCCATAATATCTTGTATAAATTCCTTAGTGTGGTTCATTTTCCTCAAGATTGCCTTGGTCTAAGCCTTTTTTATGTCTGTATATATATATTTTATAATCAGCTCTTCAATACCCACAAAATAATCTGCTAAGAATTTTGATTATGATTGCATTGACTATAGATTGATTGTGGAAGAATGGACATATTGTTTTCTGCTTTTTTTTTTTTTTTTTTTTTATTCTTTGATTGAGAGTCTCACTCTGTTGCCCAGGCTGGGGTGCAGTGGCTAGATCTCAGCTCACTGCAACCTCTGCCTCCTGGGTTCAAGTGATTCTCCTGCCCCGACCTCCTGAGTAGCTGGGACTACAGGCGTGTGCCACCACAACTGGCTTTTTTTTTTTTTTTTTAAATAATAAATACGGGGTTTCAGCGAGGCTGGTCTTGAACTCCTGGTCTCAAGTGAGTATGTTGTGGAGAAATACTTTGAGACTATCCAGATATCTTGTTCCTTTTCTGTTGTCCTACTAATTTTAGCATCCATAAATGCTTGTCTGCAACAGTTTTTACTGTGGTATTTGTCTAATGACATCTGTTTCCCTATTTTGTTCAAGATCAACCTCGGCGAAACCCCATCTCTACTAAATTAACCAGGCATGGTGACTCACTCCTGTAATCCCAGCTACTCGGGAGGCTGAGGCAGGAGAATCGCTTGAACCCGGGAGGTGGAGGTTGTGGTGAGCCGAGATCGTGCCACTGCACCTGAGCCTGGTGACAGAGTGAGACTTTGAATCAAACAACAACAAAAAGACAGTATGTCTGTTCTTTCCCAATTATTCTGTGGTCAATGCAATCATAATCAAAATTCTTCGCAAGTTATTTTGTGGCTATTGAAGAGCTGATTATAAAATATATGGAGACATAAAAAAGGCTTAGACTAAGGCAATCTTGAGGAAAATGAGCCACACTACAGAATTGGTCATGGATGAAATCATGGGGCGTTGAAGCTGTCTTCTTGAGTTGAGTCAGTTCTTGAGTTGGGGCCACAAGATCAGATGAGCCAGTTTATCGATCTGGGTGGTGCCAGCTGATCCATTACGTGCAGGGTCTGCAAAATATCTCAAGCAGTGATATTAGGAGCAGTTTGGGGAGGGTCAGAATCCTGTAGCCTCTAGCTACCTGATTCGTAAACCATAATTTCTAATCTTGTGGCTAATGTTGGTCCTACAAAGGCAGTCTAGTCTCCAGGCAAGAAGGAGGTCTGCTTTGGGAAAGGGCTATTACTGTCTTTGTTTTAAAAAACTATAAACTAAGTTTCTCCCAAAGTTCATGCTATGCCCAGGAATGAGCAAGGACAGCTTGGAGGTTAGAAGTAAGATGGAGTCGGTTAAGTTAGATCTTTCACTGTCTCAGTCATAATTTTGCAAAGGCTGTTTCAAGTTTACAGTCAGGCTGTAGCCAGTTTTCCACCTGTAGTCTAGATACCTGTGGTTACTAGAGTGTAGTTCTTCAGCCCAGGTGGAAAGCCTTATTCCCTAAAATTTAATGCAGGGACTGGTTATAGGCACTCTTGCTCTGTGAAAGTGTGGATATTCTAGAGTACTGAAGTACTCTATAGGATTATGTGGTCATAGGACTTTGTGCACTTTTGGCAGCCATAAGAGATCTGGGGCACCGTCCTTTTTGAATCTCATTCCATTCAATCCTGCAAGTATCCCACTTAGAAGTCCCACAGTTTTCAGAGAACTATGCTTGTGATTGTTATCCTGGTGCCATATCTGTAGGTCAGCAGCTTTGAGAGGAAGACACCAGGGAGCTTACTTTGTGACCTTTTAGTACCCTTTCATTTATGGCTATTTTTTCCTACTCCTCTGATTTGGGAGGTTTCTTTCTGGGTTCTGGAAAATGAACTTCTTCAAGGTCTTCTATTTCACCTTCAAGTGCTACTTTTCTTCAGCTCTTTTTTTGTTGTCAGTCTTTTCTCATCTGTTCTGTATCATCCAGAAGCGCCTTATGATTCTTGGCTTTCTAGGAATGCTGTAAATTTAATTTCATGTTTTTTCTGTTATATCTGTGCAAGTGGAGAAACACAGCTCTGTGTATGTTTATTACATGTAGATATTTCTAAGCTTTGTTGTACTGGAAGACAGTTCATTTCTTAAAACTTTATAGTTACTGTTTTAAAAGTGATAAGCAAGTGTCATTTTTTTTCTTGTAAAATGTTTCCTATTTTTTTCAGGAAAACGCCATTTTATTTTATGTTTACTGTAGTCCTTCTCAAGAATACTTAAAGGGGATATTTTCCTTGAGTTATTTTTATTTATTTATTTACATAGATAGATAGATACAAGGTCTTGCTCTGTTGCCCAGGCTAGAGTGCAGTGGTGCAATCATAGCTCACTGTAGACTTGATCTTCCGGGCTCAAGGCAATCTTCCCACTTCAGCTTCCTCAGTAGCTAGGATTACAGGTGTATGCCACTGTGCCTGGCTAAGCTTGAGTTTTTTTTCATATAGAGATGTTAAAAATGAAAGCTTTGATCTTCTCTGAGATATTTAATACACCTTTTATTATTAGGTTTACTTTATTCTGATAACATTTGTTGCCTTTTGTAGCTAAATTATTTACAGACTTTATTTTGGTTTTTAAACTTTATCATAAGCCTGAGTAGAATATATCTGTTTTATTTACAACTGCTTTATTTTATGAAGGTTAGCCTTTTAAAATTATTACTGACTTGTTTTACTTTTTTCTTTAGTAAGATTTCACTGTTTCCTTTTTTGGGGGAGGGTGGGTAGAAAACAGTAGAAAAGTTTTTAAAAGCATGGATTGAACATTTTTAGAGGAATTGCCTGCATGGTAGCTTGATTGCTCAGAAATGGGCCCATGTGGTCAGAAATTACATGAGATCTATTTAGTGTGCAACTCATTAAGTATGTATTTTGTCATTCATCCATAGATACGGTTTTGCCAAATTAAAATGATGATCTCTTATTCCTAAACTGCATCACCTGTACAAAGGGAATGCAGGTTTGCATCATTTTCCATGTAGAATTCTAGCAGTGGTCTGAGGTCGAGAGGGTGAGGTTTGAGGTGGGGGCAGGGAAGGATCAGCACTGCTGCTCCTTTGACAGCATGAGAGAACCCTGGAGGTGTTGGTGCAGTGTTGACCAGCACTCACTCCACCCTGTATTTCCCACTGAAAGAAACTAAGAGGAAGCCTGTCGGGAAAGGGAGTCAGAGGAATGTCCATAGTCTCTTATCTCTGATCTGATAGAGTATAGAAGGGAGAATGTGGGACTGAGAGACAATGGGTTAATAATGGACATGATCAGGCCGGGAGCGGTGGCTCACGCCTGTAATCCCAACACTTTGGGAGGCCAAGGTGGATGGATCACAAGGTCAGGAGTTCAAGACCAGCCTGGCCAATATGGTGAAACTCCACCTCTACCAAAAATACAAAAATTAGCTGGGCGTGGTGGCAGGTTCCTGTAGTCCCAGCTACTCGGGAGGATGAGGCAGGAGAATCGCTTGAACCTGAGAGGCGGGGGTTGCAGTGAGCTGAGATTGCACCACTGCACTCCAGCCTGGGCGACAGAGTGAGACTCCATCTCCAAAAGAAAAAAAAAGTTGACATGATCCGATAAGCATTTTTTAAAAATACGTTTTTGTTTTGCATTTTACCATGTTTTTGTGATGCATGTGACAAATCAAGTTATTCAACAGTTCTAGTCTTTATATTCTTTAAAGAAAATTTCTGTATCTCTGTGACTTACATTTATTATTTTTGGAAGATTTTTTCTTATAACTTTGGTATTTCACTTGAAATATTTGGTGTCCTTCATTTGCTTTTCTTTTTCTTCAGTACAGGCAAGTAGAGTTCAAATGTCAGTAGCTGAGATGACAAACTTTTTCTAAACCTTAAAAATAATGTTGTTAGAGGAAAGGTTGGAAATAATTTGTGAGTAGATTTTAATTTCCGTTTTTTAAAGACTTAATTTTTTAAAGAGTCATTTAAGGTTCACAGCAAAATTGAGAGGAAGGTACAGAGATTTCCCCTGTATCCCTTCCCCTACATATGCATACCCCCCCCCTTTTTATTTTTTTACTATGGACATTCCTTTCTAAAGGGGTACATTTGTTTTATTTGATGAACTTACATTGACATACTGTTATCACCCAAATTCTGTAGTTTAGGTTTCACTCTTGGTATTCTATATGCTGAGTTTTGATAAATATATAATGCATGTATCCACCATCATAGTATCATACAAAGCATTTTCATTGCCCTAAAAATCCCCTGTGCTCTGCCTATTCATCCCTCCCTCCTTCACAGTCCCTGGCCACCACTGATCTTTTTATCGTTTCCATAGTTTTACCTTTTCCAGAATGTCATATACTTGGAATTATACAATACAATATGTAGCCTTTTCAGATTGGTTTGTTTCACTTAACTATGTGCATTTGAGGTTCCTCCATGTTTTTTAGTGGCTTGGTAGCTCATTTCTTTTTAGTGATAGTCTGGATGTACCACAGTTTGTTTATTTTTATTTTTTTTTAATTGATATTTTATAATGTTTCATTGCAGGGCTCATTTATGTAGCATGCCATTAAGAGAGGCAGAAAATTTTTCCTTTAACTGAAATTTGAATTTGTCTTGATGTTTGTTTGCTTTTTGTAGGTTCTACATGAAACATTTTCTCAACACACATTCCTCATGAATGGTCTCATTCAAGGTGTAAAGGTAAGAAAAAATTTTTATGTGGTTTGTAATGAACCAAAGTCAGGAATCCTTGGTAGTTTAACTCTGGAAGTTTTAGTGGGACTTTGGGAAACAAATACTATTTGTTCTGGAGACTGAAATCTAAATTTTTAGCTGGGTTATTAAAAGTCACTTTAAAATACTACACAAATACATAAGGCATAGAATGGTTTACTGGCAAATAGCAGTGTGAATACTCTATAGGCCTAACTTCATTTTTATTATTGTGTACACAAAAGGGCTTAATTATTATGTAACTTTTAACTTCTCTGCCTATCAACAGAATAAAGTGGGCAATTGCTACCATCTTCTTTTTAGGTGTACTAAAAAGAAGTATATCTGAGGAAGAAGGAAGCCAAGCTGGTAACACTGGCCATGGCTTTGTAATAACTCAGCCACTTGATTTAATTAGTCTTAATTCATTATGTCGATTTTAATATGATATATATAAAAACGGCTTTAAACCGTTTTCCTGTTTGCACCGAGAATACTCACCAGCGGTGCTGCATTTACTCCAAGATAACTTTGCCACAAAACATGTTGCTTTTATTATTATTTTTGCATTGCTTTAGTATATAGACTTTGGAAACAAAAGACATCATTCTATTGATAGCATTCTTTTTCCTCATTCTTTATTTATTTATTTATTTTTTTTGAGATGGAGTCTCGCTCTGTCACCAGGCTGGAGTGCAGTGTGGTGAGATCTCGGCTCACTGCAGCATCCGCCTCCTGGGTTCAAGCAATTCTCCTGCCTCAGCCTCCCCAGTAGCTGGGACTACAGGCATGCACCACCACGCCCAACTGATTTTTGTATTTTTAGTAGAGACAGGATTTCACCATGTTGGTCAGGATGGTCTCGATCTCTTGACCTCGTGATCTGCCTGCCTTGGCCTCCCAAAGTGCTGGGATTACAGGCGTGAACCACCGCGCCTGACTGTTCCTCATTCTTTTAAATAATTTTTTTTTTTTTGAGATGGAGTCTCACTCTGTTGCCCAGGCTGGAGTGCAGTGGTGCGATCTCAGCCTACTGCAACCTCCATCTCCCGGGTTCGAGCGATTCTCCTGCCTTAGTTTTCTGAGTAGCTGGGATTTCAGGTGCCCACCACTACGCTCAGCTCATTTTTGTAATTTTAGTAGAGATGGGGTTTCACCATGTTGGCCAGGCTGGTCTCGAACTGCTGACCTCAAGTGATCTGCCCGCCTTGGCCTCCCACAGTCTTGCAATCACAGGCATGAGCCACTGCGCCTGGCCTGTATTCTGTTTTTAGTAGTGGTGTTTCCAGTTACAAACTATAGTAACACTCTATCACTGAAAATGTCAAATCCTAGAAAACGCAGCACTTCTACCTGTGATGTTAACATTGTTCTCGAACAGTTACCGGCTGAAGATTCATTTGATGAATCCAGTTTTTTGAAATAGACAATTCTGATGATTCAGGTGATTCTGATGTTAGTTCTGTTTAGAAATAACTCCAAGAACACTTTTTATATTTTATTTTCACATTGAAAAATCAATCATATTTGCTTCAGCCTCAAAGAGTGTGTGTATGTAAAATCATATGAATGCTGGCAGTGAGCTGCACTTGTTTTCTCTAAATAGGAAAAGAGTTAAATAGGGGTTTAAAGTATAATAGTATTTTTTAGTCTCTTATAGTAAAGCATATGAGTATAGGGTCTAATTTGTGCTTTCCAGTTTAGATAATGTCAATCTATGCATAATTATACATTGTACTGAACAACATACTTAAAATTATTCCCAAGGCTGCATGCGGTGGCTCACGCCTGTAATCCCAGCACTTTGGGAGGCCAAGGCAGGCGGATCACGAGATCAGGAGATCGAGACCATCCTGGCTTAACATGGTGAAACCCCATCTCTACCAAAAATACAAAAAATTAGCTGGGCGTGGTGGCAGTCCCCTGTAGTCCCAGCTACTGGGGAGGCTGAGGAAAGAGAATCACTTGAACCTGGGAGATGGAGGTTGCAGTGAGCTGAGATTGCGCCACTGCACTCCAGCCTGGGCGACGGAGCGAGACTCCGTCTCAAAAAAAAAAAAAAAAATTATGCCCTAGTAATGTGCTGAATTTAGCCATTGTAATTCGTTATTTTCATAGCTCTTAAAAAACATTCATATAATAAATAATGTTAAATATTAATAAATCATATTTATTATTTGCCTGTTTTCAAAAATAATTTGAGGATATTTATATGTAAAACGGCATTTTATTTATTTTTTATCATTTGGGTACTTTTTTTTTTATAGCTGTATGTCTTTTTACTAAAGCCGAGTTCAAATGCCCAACAGTAATTATGTTGAACACTTAGTACACATAAATAGACCAAAGGCTACTGAGAACACTGGACTTAGATAAAAGTGTTATAGGTATAACTACAACTTAATTTATGAATAAATAAGAAAAAAGTCCCTGGCTGAAAAGGATAGTGGAGATTTATTTCTCAATATTCTTTAATTTGGACCACCCCCACCAACTGAGCCGACGTCCCAGCGTTAGATCAAAATGACTGCTCTCCCCACCAGCAATTACAGTATTTGATACCACTAGCTCCACTGGTTCAGAGGAGAGAGTGTTTGGCCCGTGGCTCTACCTGGTTCCAGCTTCAGGAGGCCAACCCATGCCTTTGGTCACCTGAGACTTTTTAAACAGCGTTGGCACTTGTAGCTGGTCTGAACCATTTTGAATGCTACCACCCAGCAGAGAGGAGGCTCTCATTAGATTCTACATCTGCTATTTAAATTACTTTTCAATTAAAAAAATAAACTTATTAGAATAATGCCACCTAGGAATGTTGTTAATCTCTCCGTTCAGCTTTTGGCTGATATATGAGACTACAAATATTAAATATAGCCTTTCCCACAGGTGCAGCTTCTGGGGATTGGTCTACAGTGTTCAGAAAGACACATTGCATTAAAAAAAAGTCAGGCTAGGTCAGACGCAGTGGCTCATGCCTGTAATCCCAGCACTTTGGGAGGCCGAGGTGGGCTGATCACCTGAGGTTGGGAGTTTGAGACCAGCCTGACCAACATGGAGAAACCCTGTCTCTACTAAAAATGCAAAATTAGCCGGTTGTGGTGGTGCATGCCTGTAACCCCAGCTACTTGGGAGGCTGAGGCAGGAGAATTGCTTGAACCTGGGAGACGGAGGTTGCAGTGAGCCGAGATCGTGCCATTGCACTCCAGCCTGGGCAACAAGAACGAAACTCTGTCTCAGAAAAAAGAAAAAAAGTCAGACTACTGCAGGAGCTCCAGTGGCTTCTGCAAATGAGGGCTTGGCAATTATCAGTGGACGGACACAGAGTGTCCAGCACCAGGCCATGGGCCTTCCTGCTTCCTGAGTTTCACAAGTAGGATGCACATGAGGGGTGCAACCCATACCTCTGTTGAAGAAAGGCTGTAGTACTTTCCAGGACACAGCCTGGACGAATGATGCCAAACTTTCTATGCACAGATAAGTCAACCACAGTTGAGCCAAGGTAACACTCAGGGATCTGGCTATCCCTAGCTTGTCCCCCATCAATGACCAAGGACAACTGAGGCCAGAGGTCTTATAACTCCATGGCATTCAGAGAACTGTCCTGGGAGCTGAGGTTGGCACTAGTGAGAGCAAGAGGATGCTCATACATCTTGGCCAAGTCTTGCATAAAGGCATAATCAGGAATCCGGATACCTTGTAAGAGGAGTAAAGGGGTTTAGGTCGTTGTTGAGCTCCTCTGAACGTTCCATCACCAGGGACACTCGTCCTGGCACTAGGTCTTTGAGGAGCTCCTGGGGTACTACTCTCATACAGCCAGTAACTTGGCCTTCCTGCAGCCCTTGAGACGGTACACAATGCGCAGGGCCACTGAGCAGCTTGCCGGGCAGGCCAGGCCATGTGGCATATTGGTGGGATGGCTACCATGGTGCTGGTGTGCAGCTCAGCCATGGCTGAACACTCTGGGCTTGCCCCCTCGCTCTGTCCCACACTGGCAGCCACTGTGGCCCTCGGATCCCCCTGGACTGACTACAGATAACAAATACAGCCTTTCCCACAGGTGCAGCTTCTGGGGCTTGGTCTACAGTGTTCAGAAGGACACATTGCGTAAAAAAAAAGTCAGGGTAGGTCGGGCACGGTGGCTCATGCCTGTAATCCCAGCACTTTGGGAGGCCGAGGTGGGCGGATCACCTGAGGTTGGGAGTTTGAGACCAGCCTGACCAACATCGAGAAACCCTGTCTTTACTAAAAATGCAAAATTAGCTGGGTGTGCCAGAGACATCCTCCCATTTGGGTACTTTTTATTATTTAACAAACACTGGATACATAAACAAGTGAAACACAACCTGGACATGATTTACAGACTTTCTGTTTCCAGTTAAAACAGAGAACTATGACTAAAGTATTAGTAGCATACAGAGTTTATGCATAAGTACATCTCTAAATAAAATTCCCAATTTGCCACTCTTTAGTTTGGAATAATCCTCACAAAACCATTAGAATCCTAAAGTAAAAATACATTTATTACTTACATCAGAAACAACGAATTCAGAATGGAAAGTAGTTAAAAATCTGAAATGTTTTTTCTCATAAACTTGGAAAGAAACAATGAATTCAAAATGGAAAGTAGTTAAAAATCTGAAATGTTTTTTCTCATAAACTTGGAAAGAACTACCTTCTACTTCCATAAATACATTATGCTTTATAACAATGTATTGTGTTGCCACATACAACAGACCTTTATGAACTGCTAATACAACTTTTCAGTCTCACTCTGAACAATTCTAGATTGTTGAGAAACCTTTTGTTGCTGTTGTTGAAGTATATTCTACAAATATAAAAGAAAAAATTGTGAAATAACAATTAGGGTAAAATTTTAAATTTGGCAAAAAATATTCTACATTAAACTTAAATAGTTTTAAAATCAATACTTTAAAAATTTTGTTTTTAACAACTATTATGACCAAATTTAGGTAATTTGTGTTTACCACTAATGTGCAACAATATAATCCTACCAGTGGCTGAATAGGAAATTTTAGCAATATTCAAGACTTGTCTTTTTTTTTTTTTTGAGACGGAGTCCCACCCTGTCGCCTAGGCTGGGGTGCAGTGGTGCGATCTCGGCTTGCTGCAACTCCCCGCTGTCCGGGTTCAAGTGATTCTCCTGCCTCAGACTCCCAAGTAGCTGAGATTACAGGCACACACCACCACACCTGGCTAATTTTTGTATTTTTAGTAGAGACGGGGTTTCACCATGTTGGCCAGGCTGGTCTCAAACTCTTGACCTCGTGATCCTCCCACCTCGGCCTCCCAAAGTGCTGGGATTACAGGCGTGAGCCACTGTGTCTGGCAAAGACCTGTCTTATTTCTTGGTGGTTTCAGTATCCACACAGATTATCCTTCCAATAATAGTGGTCTTTCAGTTCCTTGATCTATTTCACTCCACCCTGTTAGCCATTCACTTACAATAACTCTAACCATTACACAGTATTAATAATGGCAAACTTTCTAAGGGATAGGTACTCATTATTCCCTTTCATAGGTAAGTAAATTGAGAGAGAAAGATAATTTGCCCATTGTTTCACAGCTGCAATTGCTCAAACCAGAATTTTATCCCAAAAAGTATTGCTTCCAGCATCCAAACTCTAACCATTATACATATTGTTTCTCTATATATCCTAGTATTCAACCACTACCTCCTTACCATTCTAGCTTACTCTATTTTTTACTACAGCTCAGTATATCAGCACTGAAAACCCATCCTACCTGCCTTTCACTGTCACCCCTACCCCTGTATCCTCACTTGCATCTTTCTTGGCTTAAATTCTGTGGTCAATCATTATAATTACTGCTTTGCATATAAAGCATGCCCTCTTTTTACTCTGTCACACTTGGTTGGCTAAACCCCAACGCTTGAAAATTTAATTCTCCAGCTACTCTGTCTGTAGGCAATACCTTTTCCACCATCTAATGACCTTAACTGTGTCACTAAATAAATAGAAGCAATGCAAAGAGAAATTTCAGTCTCCCATCACCACATCTACTATCCACCTACATGTATCTGTTCTCATATACTCTACTTCCTCTCCTGTTTCTAAGGATGAACTGTCCTTGTTCCTTGCTAAAGCCAGCTTCTTCACATATCTCATCCATTCTCAAGAATTCAGCAGTTATGCCTTTTTTCCCCAGTATTTTAAACTTTCCCTCTAAATTATTCCTACCAGCATACAAGCATTCTAGTTCTCCAATCTAAAAACAAAACCTCTTTTCCTTTTCTCCTCAGGCTACTACCCCATTTCTTTCTTTGCCATGCTATCTTACATTCATTACAAGTAGACTTCCACACTCACTTTTCCACCAGAATTATTCCGAACCTTTTTCCTTCTTTTTTTTTTTTTTTTTTTTTTTTTTTTTTTTTTTTTTTTGAGATGGAGTTTTGCTCTTGTTGCCCAGGCTGGAGTGCAATGGCACGATCTCAGCTCACTGCAACCTCCGCCTCCTGGGTTCAAGCGATTCTCCTGCCTTAGCCTCCCGAGTAGCTGGGATTAGAGGTGCGCACCACCATGCCCGGCTAATTTTGTATTTTTAGTAGAGACGGGGTTTCACCATGGCCAGGCTGGTCTTGAACTCCTGACCTCAGGTGATCCGCCCGCCTCAACCTCCCAGCGTGCTGGGATTACAGGCGTGAGCCACCATGCCTGGCCCCTTTTTCATTCTTAAAAGGCTTTCTTTACTTGCTTTCTTCACTTGACCTAGCATAGTTTTCTTTCTACCTGTTAGGCCACTCATTCTCAGTCTTCTTATACTCTTAATTCATCTCTAGATGACTTATAATACCTAATACTGTGTAAATAGTTGTTAAACTGTATTTTTTAATTTGTATTTTTTATTGTTGTGTTCTTATTTTTAATTGTTTTCTTCCAAATATTTTTCATCCATGATGGATGAATCTACAGATACGGAGCCTCCATATACAGAGGGTTGGCTGTGTAGAGATTTAAACTAGTTGCATGGACAATGGGCAAATGATCCAAACTAGATCAGTGATATTTCTCCAGAGGAATTTTCTGCTAGAGGTATTGCGATTTTCTCAGTCTACTGGGGTTACTTAACTTGTAGTAAGCCTACGATTGCAAAAACTGTCCTGCTTACTACATTGAGACACCTTACTAAGAATTGGTGAGAGAACCCAGATGACACTATATGAACAAGTCCTTCCCTGTGTCCATCTAGCTATGCCTGAAGCTAAACTTACCCACAGCTTCTTTTATATAAAGTATTAATAATAATCATTCTTTTGTACGAGGAAGCTCTCTTCTTTCATTTGCCTATTAAACTTTCCCCTCCTTCACCCACCCATGTGTGCCCATGTCCTTAATCTTCTTGGTGCAAGATGATGAACTGCAGGTATTTCCCCAGACAATGAAGCTGCTTCACTTTGAGTCCCTCCTCTTATCAGTTTACCTATGTCTGCTGTCCTGGGTTAATCAGTTGGTGGCTGATAGGGGATTGGAATCTGTTCCTTTTTCTTTCCAATTATGTGAACTTGGAGACTTCTGTAAGTTGATTTTCTCTGAAAAGTTCTATTCAATTCACCAAACGTATTTGAAAACCAGTGTTTACCAGGCCCTGTGATAGGCACCACGGGTACAGAGATAAGAAGAAATGTCATCCTTCTGACCTTATTCTCAATTTCGAATCCAGCAGAGAAGGTAGACAAATAACAAGTGATTTAATGGAGTGCTGAAATTATAATAGAAGAGCTAAGAGACTAGATAGAGGAGGAGGTGCTTCTCTCCCAGGGTTGGGAAGAATCACTAGCAGTTTCCAGGCTCCAAGTGTGGGATGGATGTGCGTGCAAAGGCCTGTTGGCACGCAGGAACATTGTATGTCCAGAAAACTGGAAGTATCGCATGCAGCCACAGCAGAGGATGTGTGTCAGGAGCCGGGTTTTGGAGTGTCCTATTTATGTGATGTGCTGAGGAATTTTTAAGATGTATCATGAAAATTCAGATACACAAAAGAATAGTGTGATGAATACCTGTGTACTCATCACCTATTTCATTATTCATCAGCATTTTTCTACTCTTGTCCATCCCTGCTCTCCCCACCCTGCTGCTTATCTGTAGCATTGAAATGAAGGTGGCCAGCCAACAGAGTGACTGGCAAATAGTGGGCAAGCAGTGAATGTGAGTTCCTTGACTTCCTTTGCTTCTGTGTGGTGTTATCTATGTCAGATTCTCTTCCCCTTAGTTTCAACTGTAGTTGTTGTTCAGGTTGGATTATCTCCTTCTTCCTAAACTCATCAGGCAGAACTTTACTTTGACAAAGTTGACAAAGAATCTAGTTTTCTTTTGATCATTAAGCATATGTACACTCCTCTTCTTTATCCCTGTGAGGCCCTGGGGATAGTATATGGTGTACATTCATTTGGGTGTCATTGTACCAGTTAATGCAGTTTTGTGCAGAATTGATATGCCATATATATTTATTAAAGTGATTCAAATTTCTAGCTTCTTCCCGTATGCTTGGTGTGTGTTCGTCTTAAGGGTCAAATGTGGGTATATATATATCATGTCATCGCTCTTTTCTAATTTCTTCTGGAAAACAAGCTTTTTTACTTCTTCCTTCCCTTTCTGATAGAACATTTACATTTTTGGTTATAATTTTATTTTAGATTTTATTTTAATTAGACAACAGTTTTGCTCTTGTTGCCCAGCCTAGAGTACAAAGGCGTGATCTTGGTTCACTGCAGCCTCTGCCTCTCGGGTTCAAGTGATTCTCCTGCCTCAGCCACCTGAGTAGCTGGGATTACAGGCGTCTGCCGCCACGCCCGGCTAATTTTTTGTAATTTTGTATTTTTAGTAGAGACGAGGTTTCACCATGTTGGCCAGACTGGTCTTGAACTCCTGACCTCAAGTGATCCACCCACCTTGGCCTTCCAAAGTGCTGGGATTACAGGCATGAGCCACCACGCCAGGCCTAATTTTATTTTTTTAGTTGTAGTTTGTATTTAATGTTTCAAAGTATTATTCTGTTTTGGGGGCAGTACAATGAATTAGAGCTAATGCATTTAGAAAATATGAATTACAGGTAATTGAGGGATCAGATTATAAAACTAACCTTTGCTTTGGTTTCTTCTCCAGGGCCTGCTCTCTTTTTTGAGTGCCCCACTCATTGGTGCCCTGTCTGATGTGTGGGGGAGGAAGCCCTTTCTCCTCGGCACTGTATTCTTTACCTGCTTCCCAATCCCACTGATGAGGATCAGCCCATGGTGAGTGACTTGGCCCTTCACCTCCTGACTGCTTGTTTTGAGTCACATGTAAATTATATTTGCAGAGCACTTCTTAACTATTACAAAGCAGTTGTGCTTGTGTTTTCATTTGATCTCTCTGGTAATACTGAAAACCAGTTTGGACAGTTGTCATTATATCCATTTTATAAATGGGGTAGTGAAGACATTCTAGAATTAAGTCTGAGATAAGTTACTTAGGTGAAGAAATTTTATTTTTTCACATTGCTAGAAGAAACATGCTAGATACTAGAAACATGCTAGAAGAAAACTTGGATGAAATAATCTTTAACCTGGTATAGGGAGAGGCTTTCTAATTCTAAATCCAGAGCCAGTAAAGGATTAATAAATAATGTCTACAAATACCAAAAAACGTTTGCATGGACAAAGTGTACCGTAACATCAAAAGACAAATGACTACAAAAAATCTTTATCAACATGTAAATCACCATACTTCACTGATAAAGGGTTAATCCTGAGGCCGGGCATGGTGGCTCACGCCTGTAATCCCAGCACTTTGGGAGGCTGAGGAGGGCGGATCACCTGAGGTCAGGAATTTGAGACTTGCCTGACAAACATGGTGAAACCCTATCTTTACAAAAAATACGAAAATCAGCCAGGCGTGATGGTCCACATCTGTAATCCCAGCTACTCGGGAGTCCGAGGCAGGAGAATTGCTTGAACCAGGGAGGCGGAGGTTGCAGTGAGCTCAGGTCGTGCCATTGCACTCCAGCCTGGGCAACAAGAGTGAAACTCCGTCTCCAAAAAAAAAGAAAAAAAAAGGGGTTAATCCTTACTTTGTAAATGTTTTAAAAATTGAGGGGAAAAGATTAGAAATCCTATAGAAAAGTGGGCAAAAGTCATGCACAGACTCTTTACCAAAAGATGTATAAACATATGAAAAGATGTTCGTTCAACTTCACTCATGGTAAGAGAAACGTAAATTACAACTACACTGAGATACCATTTCTCACCCATCAGATTGTCAAAAACTTAAAAGCTTAACCGTACTCTCTACGGATAAGACTGTGGAGAAACAGGCATTTTCATACATTGTTGGTGGGAATGCAAAATGTTTTAAGTCCTATAGAGGGAAGTTGGCAGTATTTAATTAAATTATATATACACATACCTGTTGACACAGCAAGCAAGCGCAGGGATAAATAAGAATTTATCCCTTAAGAGTCACCTCCAGGCCGCATGCAGTGGCCCACGTCTGTAATCCTAGCACTTTGGCAGGCCCAGATGGGCGGATTGCCTGAGCTCAGGAGTTCGAGACCAGCTTGGGCAACATAGTGAAACCCTGTCTCAACTAAAATACAAAAAATGAGCCAGGTGTGGTGGCAGTTGCCTGTATTCCCAGCTACTCAGGAGGCTGAGGTATGAGAATTGCTTGAACCTGGGAGGCAGAGGTTGCAGTGAGCTGAGATCATGTCACTACATTCCAGCCTGGGCAACAAAGGGAAACTGGGCCGGGAGCTGTGGCTCATGCCTGTAATCCCAGCACTTTGGGAGGCCAACACGAGGTCGGCAGTTCAAGACCAGCCTGACCAACATGGAGAAACCCCATCTCTACTAAAAATACAAAATTAGCCAGGCGTGGTGTCGCATGCCTGTAATCCCAGCTACTCGGGATGCTGAGGTCCTGAACCCAGGAGGCGGAGGCTGCGGTGAGCCGAGATCATGCCATTGCACTCCAGCCTGGGCAACAACAGCGAAACTCCATCTCAAGAAGGAAAAAAAAGAGTCACCTCCAGTGATACGAATTACAGGTGCACATGATTACTTGTCAGCGTTATTTATAGTTGCAAAATATTGGAAGTTGCTTGGACATTCAAGCATAGGAAATGGATTGAATAACACATGATGGAGTCAAATATAACCGTGAAAAGAATGAAGAAGGCTGGTCGCGGTGGCTCACACCTGTAATCCCAGCACTTTGGGAGGCCAAGACGGCGGATCACAAGGTCAGGAGATCGAGACCATCCTGGCTAACACGGTGAAACTCTGTCACTACTAAAAATACAAAAATTAGCCAGACGTAGTGGCACATGCCTGTAATCCCAGCTACTCAGGAGGCTGAGGCAGGAGAATTGCTTGACCCCAGGAGGCGGAGGTTGCAGTGAGCTGAGATCACACCACTGCACTACAGCCTGGGTAACAGAGAGAGTGTTTGTTTCAAAAAAAAAAAAAAAAAAAAAAAAAAAAAAAAAAAAAACAAATGTTTTAGAAGATAATTTTAAGATATGTAAATAACCTTTTTTTTTTTTTTTGACAGGGTAGGGTCTTGCTCTGTTACCAAGGCTGGAGAGCAGTGGAACAATCATGGCTCACTGCAGCCTCTACCTCCCGGGCTGTAGCCATTTTCCCACCTCAGCCTCCCAAGTAGCTAGGACTATAGTCATAGTCTGGCTGGAGTGCAATGGCGCAATCTCAGCTCACTGCAACCTCCGCCTCCTGGGTTCAAGCGATTCTCCTGCCTCAGTCTCCCGATTAGCTGGGATTACAGGCTTGCACCACCACACCCAGCTAATATTGTATTTTTAGTAGGGACGGTTTCTCCATGTTGGTCAGGCTGGTCTCGAACTCCCGACCTCAAGTGATCCACCCACCTCGGCCTCCCAAAGTGCTGGGATTACAGGCGTGAGCCACCGTGCCAGGCCCATGTTAGTTTTTAATATTTTTTAATATGAGTGTGCATATAGTTGTTAGTATGTTATTTTATTATCTCTTAAATGACTACGGGATCTGTGGTTATATCTCCTCTTTCATTGCTGGCATCATTTTTTTGTTTTTTTGTTTTTTTTTTTTTTGAGACGGAGTCTCGCTCTGTTGCCCAGGCTGGAGTGCAGTGGCGCGATCTCTGCTCACTGCAAGCTCAGCGTCCTGGGTTCATACCATTCTCTGGCCTCAGCCTCCCGAGTAGCTGGGACTATAGGAGCCCACTACCACGTCCGGCTAATTTTTTTTGTATTTCTAGTAGAAACGGGGTTTCACCATGTCAGCCAGGATGGTTTCGATCTCCTGACCTCGTGATCCACCCGCCTCGGCCTCCCAAAATGCTGGGATTACAGGCGTGAGCCACCGCACATTGCTGGCGTTCTTAACTTGAATCTACTCTATTATTTTAGCATCAGAAGATTATGAATTTTACTGATTGTATTAAAAAACAATTTTAAGCCAGATGCGGTAGCTCAAGCCTGTAATCCCAGCACTCTGGGAGGCCAAAGCAGGTGGATCCCTTGAGGTCAGAAGTTTGAGACCAGCCTGGCCAACATGGTGAAACCTCATCTCTTCTAAAAATCCAAAAATTAGCCGGGTGTGGTGGCGTGCACCTGTAGTCCCAGCTACCTGTGGCAGGAGAATGGCTTGAACCCAGGAAGCGGAGGTTGCAGTGAGCCAAGATCACACCATTGCACTCCAGCCTAGGCATGGTGAGACTCCATCTCAAAAAAAAAAAAAAATTAAATTGTATTGATTTTCTCTTTTCAATTTTATTGATTTCATCTTTTACCTATTATTTCCTGTCCTCTGCGTGCTCTGATTTTATTTTGCTCTTTTTCTGGTTTCTTTAGGTGAAAGCTTAAATTATTGATGTGAGACTTTTCTTCTTTTCTAATATATGCTTCTAACGCTGATTATTTCCCTCTTCACAATGCTTTATCTGTATCTTACCATGTTTTATATGTTTTATTTATATTTAGGTCTTTATTATTTTTAATTTCCCCCAAGATTATAACTCATGAGCTATTTAGAAGAATGCACTTCAATTTCCAAATGTTTGAGAACTTTCCTTTCCTTCCCATTTTTATGTAATTAAAGCTTATACTATAGACACATTAGATTAAAATTCAATTACACTTGTTTAGTTACATTGTATAGGTTGTTCAAGTATCATTGGAGCAAACTTTTCAAATATTAACTTTATGTAGTGGTTGTCAGTCTTTTGCACTTGTAGAGTGGCAAGTAAAAAATACCCTGAAAATATGGCCCTCAGGCCGCTGGAGAAGCTCACAGAGACAGAAATAGTGGGAATTTTCTGAGTCCTCAGTGCTCATTACTTTCTAGGCCAGCACACAGGGATCCAACAAAGCCAGAGTTAGTGTTCATTAAAGGGCAGTGGGATAGAAGGATGGAGAATGCCCTGGTATCACCTAGCTGGTTCTAATGACCCATGCAGGATCCCATGGTATAAGCTGGCTTGTAACATAACTCGTTCAAGACTCCTTCTGTGCATTAATGAGTGAATCTGTATTTGAACATGTTCACATGAACAGATTGGAAGAGACGATAAATTTACCATGAGCAATCCCTTTAGGACTGGTTTTAGGAACTTACTGATCCTGTATTCATCTTGGGCATTTGTCTGTTGTATTTGCTGTCACAGAATGTCTTTTAATCCCAAATACACTTCTACAGATACATCCAATACAAGTCCCTAGTCGTGATCTTTGGAATGAAGTAATACATTTCAAAGAACATTAGAAGGAAGGACTATGGCAGGAGAGATGGAATTGGTCCTTCAGAGGACTGGGATGAAGATGAGAAATGAACCAGCATTAGGACAGCCTTAGTCTCAATACATTTGCCTAACATAAGTTCAAAGGGCACAGTTGTGTGCACAAAGTATCCTTGATGACATCATAACTCAGAATTCAGTAAAACAGCTCATCAGGTCCCTCACAGGGGATGTGCTAGGGTGGTGGCCACTCTTGAGACTCTGTGCCCAGTGATGAAAAATAGTATGAAGGTTGTTTAAAAACGAAAAATAGAATTACCATACTATTCAACAATCTTACTTCTCAGTATATAACCTAAAGAATTAAAGGCAGGATCTCAAAAAGATATTTGCACACCCATGTTTATTGCAGCATTATTCACAATAGCCAAGAGATAAAAGCAATCGAAATAACTTTGGTGGATGAAAGGATAAAATATGGTGTATATATGTGTATTTGTGTAAATATATATAAAGACTAAGCAGCCTTCAGAAAGAAGGAAACCATGTCACATGCTAGATAGAACATGGGTGAACCTCAAGAACATTATGCTAAGTGAAATAAGCCAATCACAAAAAGACAGATTTTTTTTTTTCATATGAAGTATTTAAAGTAGTCAAAATCACAGTAGTGGTTGCCAAGAGCTGGGAGTGGGAGTGGTGGTGGTGGGATTAGTGTTTAATATGTACAGAACTTTAGTTTTGGAAGATGAAAAATTTCTAAAGATTAAGAAGTAAGAATATACTTAACGGGAGACTATTTCTGCAAATTATATCCTGTAAAGGATTTAAAAATATATATATATAAATAAAATATATATTTTCTTTTTATTTTATATATAATATATATATTTTTTTCTTTTTTCTTTTTCTTTATTTTATATATATTATATATATAATATATATAATATATATGTAATTATATATATATTACATATATATATAATTCACAGTAGCCAAAAAGTGAAAACAACCCAAATGTTCATCACCTGATGAATGAATAAGTTTCAGGATATCCACCAATGGAATATTATTCAGCAATAAAAAGGTTTGATGTAATGATAGATGCTAAAAACATGGATGAACCTTGGAAATATTTAAAGTAAAATAAGACAGGTGTGAAAGACATACATTGTATGATTCCATTCATATGCAAGTCCAGAGCATGTAAAGCTATATAGAAAGTCAGTTCGTGGTTATGTAGGCCTAGGATGTAGATCGGTGGGGGGCAGGGAGTGATAGCTAAAGGACAAGGGGTTTTTTTTCTTCTTCATTTTTTGAGATGGAGTCTCACTCTGTCACCCAGGCTGGAGTGCAGCGGCACAATCTTGGCTCACTGCAACCTCCGCCTCTCCGGTTCAAGCGATTCTCCTGCTTCAGCCTCTCATGTAGCTGGGATCACATGTGTGCCACCATGCCCAGCTGATTTTTGTATTTTTAGTAGAGGCGGGGTTTCACCATGTTGGCCAGGCTGGTCTCGAACTCTTCACCTCAAGTGATTCACTCACCTCGGCCTCCCAAAGTGTTGGGATTACAGGCGTGAGCCACTGCACCCAGCCTAGGGGTTTTCTTTTTGAGGTGATAAAAATGTTCTAAAGTTTATAGTGATGATGCTTGCAATTTCTATAAGTAGACTTAATGCAGTGATGGTTGCAAATTCTATAAATATATTTAATGTGGTGATGGTTGCAAATTCTATGAAAAACCCAAATTGTACAATTTCAATGAGTGAAAGCATGCTATGTGAATGTCTTCATAAAGGTTTTATTTAAAAAATGAGCAAACGGTAGAATGTTAACATGGCCCACGTCTATGTGGTGTCTATATTGGTTTCTATTATATGTTTTCTATGTGGTTGAAACATTCCTAATAAAATGTGCATAGTTTTTTAAAAAAGAAAACACATCAGTGGACGTGAATGCAGGATGTCTTATGAATGCTCACACAGAAGCTCCCATTCGTGAGGAATGCAGGGAAAAGCAGAAGATGGAGTAGGAGTTGGCATGGCCCAGCTAGCTCAGATGACACACGATGGTCCCAGTGGCATGACTTGGTTTGTGTGATTTGTGCCTTGGGGTTTTATTTTGGCACATTATAAAGGAGTAAATAAAGCCTGTATACAGTCAGTTTCTGTCTATTCTAATGAAGGGCAAGGGGATGAAGGGATTTACCTTGAGTAACCATCCACTTACATTTATTAGGAATCTTGTGATCCTATCGTCACCCGTGAGATTTCTGTGTTGTTTGTGTTTAATGTCAGAGAATATCTTTTAATCGCTCATACAGTTTATGCAAATACCGTATACGTGATAAACGTCCCTACAACATGATCTTTGGAATGAACTAAGACAAAGGAAACTCTGAGGAAGGACCATGGCCTGAGAGGTGGAATTCATCCTTCCGAGGACTGAGATGAGGACGGAAAATGAACCATCGGTAAATACAACCTTAGTCCGGATACATTTGCCTAAAATGAGCTCAAAGGGCACAAGTGTGCAGACAAAGCATGCTCAATGACATCATAACTCAGAATTCAGTAAAACCCAGCGTATCAGCTCCCTCACAGGGGATGTGCCAGGGTGGGGGCCACTGTTGAGAGTCTGCACCCAGTAATGGTCAGGGACTCAGTGACAATGACTCTGGCAGCCCTGGCCGGGTATCAGCCGATTGGCCAGGAGGGGGCAGCCTGGCCCAGATCCCCCAAACCAGGTGACTCTCACTAACATTGCCCAGGGCACCAAGACCTGAAGGACATCATGGGATGCTGAAGTTAGAATCAAAGTGCAGCTACAAAAGGGCAGCCACCTGGAGCAAGTCCATCCTGGTAGCTGTCAGAAAGCACTGCATGTTTACTAACGGGGGCCGGCCTTGCTCACATTGTCAGATGGAGTTTCTCAGGAGGCCATGGCTTCTTCAGGGATCTGTCGTCCAGTGGTGAAGGGAGTGGTTTCTGGAGGCAAACCTGCCCGGGGCCGCCCCAACTGCACTGGCTCCCAGAGAGTGACCTGGCTGCGTGAGCAGGGAGGCCAAACCCACCGAGAGCCTCAGCATACCCCCAGCACCTGCTGTGAGCAAGCTGCTTGGCTTCCCCAAGTGTGGATATGACGATGTCATGGGTGTTTACAGATTCCCTTGCACTGTGTCCCACAGCAGTACTGGTTCACGTGTGATACACTGCACTTGGGGTGGAGGTGTGCTGACAGTCGTAAAGAGCCGAGCCTTTCTTCATTCTTTCCCATGGCTCTGATACAGTTTCCAGATACCAGTCAGGAAGGAAGTTCCTGAGATGATGGACCTTGTCCTAGTCACATAGGGCTGCTAGGACAAAGTGTCCTAGACTTGGTGGGTGGGGGAGGCGGTGCGTATTAAGAAACAAAATGTATTTGTCAGTCTGGAGGCTGGAAGTCTGACGTTAGGGTCACAGCAAGGTGAGGTTCTGGTGAGGGCTCTCTTCCTGGCTTGCAGACGGCTGCCTTCTCACTGTGTCCTCATGTCAGGGAGAGAGAGAGAGTGCTGGGATCTCTGCTTCTTACCATGGCCCTAATCCCATCATTAGGGCCCCACCCTCATGTTCTCTTCTAACCCTGAATAACTCCCAAAGGCCCCATCTCCAAATACCATCACGTTAGGAGTTAGGGCTTCACCACAGGAACTGGGCGGGGGGGACACATGTTAAGTCCATCAGAGTCCCCCAGTCAGCCCCACTGTGCCCATTTAGGGGCAGATTGTAGGGCTCAGGCGGGACACAGAGGTGAAGGAAGCATAGGTTCTGCCTCTTGGAAATGGCTCAGCCAAAACAAGGACAGGGACAGTGGGGCAGGAAACAGCTAGTGGGGTAAACCAGCAGAAGCCCCGAGGTGTCACTAAACCAAGGTATCACTTTCACACTTAGGTGAGGAAGTTGGCTGAGCACCCACACACGCCAGAGTACGGACCACATTCCCTTCAAACACGGCTCACTTAACATTCCTAAACCCTGCAAAGGGGAGGTGTTACCTTGTCTCCTGAGGATGGCCCTGAATGTAGAGGAGTCACGGGAGCTGCCCACATCACCCACCAGTGACTCTTCACTCCCCACATTTTCCCCAAGGGCCTGTTGTGCCCTCAGCTGGGGAAGCCCTGCCAAGATAAACTCTCCTTCCCAAAGGCGAAAGCGGGTGGCAGGCCTCCGACACTGCCCACATGCAGCAGAAGGGATGGGGCAGAGAGGCATCTGTCTGGCTGACTGCTGTGTTCTGTGGGCAGATGGGGCCAGAGAGAACCCAAACATGGCTCCCTTTGTCACTTGGCAGAGGGACCAGGCCGCCATATACCAGAGAGCTTTGCCCCATCAGCTTCTGCTGCTGGGCCAACTCCCAGCACCATGACCACAGCTCTGCATGCAGGCAGTGCTGGGACCAGTGCTCTGGCAGTCACAGCGGTCCTGAGCCAACAAGGGCCCTGGAGAGGAATCAGAACTCAGACTGTGGAGAAGAAGGTGTTGGCCAGGAGGGAACCAGGGCAGGTGCTGGGTCCTGTCCATGCTGGGATCTGAGATTCTGAGAGGTGGGTTAGGGGTAAGGGGGGCAGAGGTCGGCCACATGGGGTGAGGGGAGTTCAGCAGAGATGGGGAGGACAGGACAACCTGGGAAAAAGCAGAGTATCCTCCCCAGCCTCAGTCCCTCTCCTGATGCAGTCCTCATCTCACTCATAGACTCCAGAAGTCTCCCTTCAGTGAACACCTGGCCCCCGACTCTCAGGGCACTTCCAGACAGCCAGTGCCACATCCCAGGCAGCCCCTGCTCTGCCCTTGGGGTCTGTGCCTGGCAGAAGGGCGACTGACCCTCGGCCCCTCTCGGCCTGGGCCCCAGCTTCTCCTGGCCCTGGGACCAGCAGACACACCCACCTTGCGCCTGGCAGGCTGGTCATGCTTGTTCCCGTTGGTGATGGTGTGTTGGGAGGGAACTGTTTTAGATGCCAATGTAAATCTGTGTCTACATCAATTCCACACGAGTTCAGTCATCATATGGGAAGGGAATCATAGCTGTTGGGGGAGCTCCATGCAAGACCCTGAGGGCCCCTGAGGCCATTCCATGTGGCCACAGCAAGGAGCATCTGCTTCAGCCAGTTGGACAAGACTCTCTCCTGCCCAGAAACAGGCCCCTGCTCTGCGCCCCTCATCATATCCCAAACACACCCATGTGGACGGTCACCTCAACGTCTCCCCTCAGCCCAGTGCCCGTGCTCTTCCTGATGAGGGTTAAGCAGGAGCAGCCGCCTCTCCCCATGTCCATGTTGCAGGCAGCTGCCTTCTCCTCAGCTCCCACCGAGCAGAAAAAAAGCCAGCCAGCTCTCTCCATCCCAGGATTTTCCAGGGATACTGATAATGATGGGAGGCCCCGAGAAGCCTCCCTAAAGCAGGCGGGGCCTTGTGAGTGGATGGTGGGAGGGATCAGGGCTTCCTCAGCATCTGTCAGTCCCCAGAGCATCTGAAGGGGCCCCCTATAACAGGAGAAAAGAGTGGGGCCAGCCCCTGTGGGTTCCCAGTGCCTGGCCTCTCCCAGTTCCTCAGCCCTGAGGCCTCACAGACACCCTCCACAAAGCAGCACAACGCCAAGGGCAGAGGCAGCAGCCCTGAGAGCATTTTCCAAAACAACTACATTTATTCACATTTACACACAAGGCCCCCAAGGCACTGCTTCCCACCCCCCAGGCCCTCCCTTCCTGCCCTCCCCGTTCAGCCACCTTCTCCCTCCCCTCCTTCCCCTACCCTCCAAAGCTAAGGCCCAGCAAGATCAGCACTGGAGGAGAAGCAGCCTTTGCTTTGGGGCACCGGGTGCCATGAGGGTCCGAGACTTCAGAGCCCCACTTTTGGGGACTGGCATCAGAGAGTCTGCCCCATGGCGGCCCCTACTGGCTACAATGCCGCTTCTTCTTCCTCCTGGAGGCCAAGGGGTCACCCTTTCTCTTTTGAGACTGTGAGGGGCCACCCAGCCCCCAAGCCAGGGATTGCTCCCCAGAGACCCTGAGCCCAGGCCCTGGGTGCGGTGTCTTTTCAGCAGGGGATGGGCTTCCAAAGAGAGGTCGCTTCTTGGACTTGCTGGCAGGAGAAGGTGATGGGCTGAGGCCTCTTTTCTGAGCAGATGGAGATTGAAGAGCTCCCTGGGGTCCTCTCCCTCCTGGGCTGAGAAGGCCCGAGGAAGGGACAGGGCTCTGGGACAGCCTCCAGGGCCTCAGCCTGTGGTGGGAACCCACGACATAGACCATGCCAGGGAGTTCCGTCTCCTCACTTGACCCCTTAGCCAGCCCATGTGACTCCTTGACAGGAGACTCTCCAGGGAGACCCAAGGCGTCCTTGGTCCCCAGGCCGGGGCAGGTGGGTCTGTGGTCCTGGGGAGGAGAGGTTGGCCGGACAGCCTTCAGCCTGGGGGAGTCCTGACATCCCAAAAGCACAGCAGGGTCTTCGGACCTGGCCATGCCAGTGCGCACTCTGCCCTGTCCCTGAGGGTCCTGGGCAGCCGTCTGGGGTGGGGAGGTTTCCACGCTGACCCTTTGTTGGGGGTCAGGGACCTCTCTCGCTGCTTCTTGGCCAGCTGCAAACTCAGAAGGACTTGAGTCCAACCTGGCCGTGCCATGTCGAGGGGCTGCCCTCCCGCACCCTTTCTCCTTCAAGGACAGGAGGCGCTTCTCCACTAGCTGCGGAAGGAAAGGGGGCACTTACTGGCGCTGCCCCAGGTGTGAGCAGGGCCCAGAATGGTGGAGACCAGGGCACTTGGGTGGGAGGCAGGGAAGCCTGAGGCAGCTGGGCTTCATGTCAAAGAGAGAGGGTGTGGCTCTGCCGGGCATCCCGTTGGGCCTCACTGCAGCTTGCATCCTGACTCCCCTCCCTGGCTCCTCTCCATCCTACTCCCTCTGAACCTGCATCTTCCCACCCCGGAGTGGCTCCCCAAGAAGCTGAACATCCCCAGCAGGGTGGGCTTAGACAGTCGGGTGGGCCTTGTGTGCCGGGTCCCTCCTGCCCCTGGAGTACCTGGGTTCCCCTCCCTCTGCTGCTCTACCTGGGCAAGGGTGAGTCCTTCCTCCTGCTCCAGCTCCTGGCTTAGGGCCAAGAAATCCATCTGTGGATCTGGGGAAAGCAATTCTTCCAGGAATCGGGGGTGAATGACGGCCTCCACCTGGAAACAGAAGGAAGAAGGTGTGAACTTCCTGGGGAGGGAGTAACCTGGAGCCAAGGACACCCGGAGGAGATGCAGAAAGCAGGGAGGGCCCCATTCCCACCCTCCTGGGGCTGTTTCATATCATGGCGACCACCAGCTACACGCACAGACCACAGACCTCATAGCATACACACATACAGAGACACACAAACCACACACAGACACACAGACCCATGTACAACACAGGAAAAGACAGACACAGGTAACATACACACTCCAGACTCACACCCACACCCACACAGACACACAAAGACACAGTAACAAATCACAGACACAAACACACAGCAACACACAGACACACACAGTCACATACACAGACACTCAAATCCATGGAAATACACATACTACTGAGTAGCTAAGGAACAGAGCTTAATTCCAAGGACCTGGAAGTGCCACCCCCTGGAATCCTACAGACCACAGCACTCCAGGCAAGCCCACCTTGGTGACAAAGTCTTCCTGGGAACACAGCTTGTCAATGTAGCTCAGGAGGCCCGGGTCTGAGGTCATCCCGTCCTCTTCCTGCGGCTGCTCCACTTTGCCCTTTTCCCGTTGTCCCTCAGGCTCCCCTGTGTCCCCAGGGTGAGACCCCAGCAGCTCCTCCATGATGTCCACATACTCCTGCACCACTTCAGGGGGGATCTCCTCAGGGACCTTGGTCTCTGCTGGCCTCGGGGGCCTGGGTGGTGGCAGGTGGGCCTTGGTCTCCGCTGGCCTCTGGGGCCTGGGTGGTGGCAGGCAGGCAGTCGGGGCCTTGGGGCCATCCTTGCTGGGAAGGTACACTGAGGCAGAGAGGGAGGAGGATGGGTGTGGTGAGGGCCGCTCCTCCTGCCTGCACCACACAGGGGAGGGCAGGGCTTGGGGATGTGAAGTGGGTCCCAGCTGGGTCAGGACCACCTGAACCACAGCGCCCCGGAGGAGACGCCGCAGGAGGGGCACATCTGAGACAGCATCGCTTGGGAGGAAGTTTGGAGCCACCGATATGCCGTGTACTCTCCCGGCTCATCTCTGCTTCCTGGGCAGAGCATATGTGGAGTTTTGGACAGGCAAGGGGAGAGAGAAAGTAGGAAACTTGGCCCGGTCAATACCCTGCTTCGTGATCACGGGCCACCCATGAAGTAGGTATTGACCTGGTCAATACCCAACATACAGTCCCGGAAGCTGTCCTGTTGGAGGGAGCAAATCCCCCTCTTGAAGGGAAGCATGGGATGTGGGGACAGTGGCCTCCCTTGGCCCCTTTGGCCTTTGCCATGGCTCCTGTGGGAATGTGGGAAGCTGTACCTGGCTGCTTGACCACCTCAGGGGCAGGGGGTCCTCGAGGTTCAAGCCTCGGCGGGGCTGGAGGAGGCAGGCTCTGGGGCCCCTTCATCCACTGCGATTTCTGAATCTGCATCTCCTCCTCAGCCTCAAACTCCAGGAACCTGGGGGTGAAGGAGGCCCAGGCTGTGCTGAGAGGGTCCAGGCCCCCTCCCCCCAGGACCAGGCAGCAGCCGAGGGCAGGGATGGGAGGGAGTGCCTCCGGCGGGCTGTCTAGGCCCTCACTGGGACCCATCCCCCAGTCCCAGGAGGGAGCTGCTCCCAGAGTTCTGGGCTCACCCTCCCTCACCCGGCCCCTGCAGAGCCCATGGCATCAATGGGGCTTCCTGACTCAAGTCAGGGCCACGAGGTCCAGGAGGGTCCCGGGAACCCCTCCTCCAGGTATCAGCTGGCCGGGGGTGGGGTTGATGGCAGAAGGCGTCAGGGATGATGCCCAGATGCAGGAGTCCTGAGGCTGGGACTGTGGGCCCCTGAAGGATAACCCAGGGACACGAGGCCCGGGAGACCCCTGGTCAGGAGGAAGCAAAAGCTGAGCCCAGAGGACAGGGCCCGTTTCCCCTGAGGCTGCTGTCTGTCTGTCTTCACGGACGGTTCTGCCCAGGAGCAAAGGCAGTCAGGCCAGAGAGGGGTCTCATGGTGTCCCAGGTACAGGTCTCCCCTGACCCAACTCCCTGGCCAGGCTGGGATGGGAGAAAACCGACTTCCGGCCACTGCTGTGAGGAGCCTGCCCCCCACTCTGTCTTTAGTCACTAGCGCCCCTTCTTCCCATCCCCACAGCTGGAGGAGACCCCCTTTGGGCTGCGATGCTGGCTGCTCCCGCCATGACCCCCAGTGTCAAGGCAGCGGTTGGCCCCAGGCCAGGCAGGGGGTGCTTCCCAAGAGGGCGGGACAGAGACCCCAGAGCACTCTAGGTGGCAGGAGCAGCTTCCTGAGGGAGCCAGGGGCCCAGGGCGTCCTGTGTTTGTCCACACCCTCCTCATGCTCCACGCTGAGAAGCCACCACGGCCACCGGGCCTCTGTCATTCACTCTCACCCCGCCACACGGGCCCTGCCCCCAGGACCCCAGACTCACTTTGCCGCCATCTCGTAGAAAATCATCCGGTCAAAGTTGCTCGTGTGCTGCCATTCCCGCATGGCCCGCCACAGTCCCTCCTCCAGCGTCATGGTGGGCTTCCGCCGGGCCAGGGATCGGAGAACTGGGCTGTAAACCAGTGCAGTCAGTCCCAGTCTGTAAGCCCACCCTCCATCCCGGGCCCACCTGGTCCCAACACCTGGCTCCTGTCCTCCCCACACCTGTCCTGCCATCTGTCCCTGTCCTGTTCTCCCCCATGTGGGCTCCTCAGCCTCCAGGACACACCCCCAAGATCCAACATCAACAGAAGCCACTGAGTGGCCTCTCCGACTGCCCCTCAAGTCCTCGGTGTTATGATGTTGACAAGTGAACTCAGTGCTATGGGTGGAACATGTGTGTCCCCAACATTCCTGTGTTGAAGCCCTCAGTGCCAGTGTGTCAGTATTTGGAGGCAATCAGGGTTAGAGCAGGTCATGAGCGTGGGTCCCAGTCATGGAATCCGAGCTCTGATAAGGGCAGGAGGAGACACCAGGGCTCTTGCTCTCAGCCACAAGAGCACACAGCCAGAGGCAGCTCTCTCCAGCCAGGAAGAGGGCCCTGACCAGACACCCAATCCGCTGTCACCTTGATCTGGGACTTCTGGCCTCTGGAACTGGGAGACATGAATGTGTCTTGATAAAGCACCCAGTCTATGGGATTCGTTACGGCAGAGCCTGAGCTGACTGAGACACCATGCACACAGAATGACCTGGGAGCGAGGGTTAAAGTGCAGGTTCCTGGGCCACAGGACTGAGCATTTAACCAGCTTCCTGGGGACTCTGGAGCAAGGCAGCCCCTGGGGACACAGCCTCAGGGTCCTGGAGCTTGAGGAGCAGGAGCACATGTCCAGAACCAAAGCAGAGCGGTGTCCAAGCCACTGCAAGCAGCCAGGCACAGCTTCCCACATTCCCACAGGAGCCAAGGCAAAGGCCTGTGAGCCCGGGGCGGCTACACTCCAAGAATCAGGGTCCCCAGTGCACCGGGACTCCGCTCCAAGGGGGGATGCAACCAGTTCCAGGGTGTGGGGGCAGCGAGACTGTTGGGGAGGAAGACGGGACCGCCTTCACCTACACCCCAGGCAGGGGACTCCCCTAGGGGAACGGCCAGTGTGTTGCACGGTGGATATGCTCAAGCTCCTGTTTGCTCATCAGCGGGAAACAAAGGGTCACAGAGGTGCCGTGGGGTGGAGAGAGGCAGGGACTGGGAATGAAACCACAAACTCTCCCAGATGCTGATGTTGCTGCCTCACAGTCACCACAGTCCACGGCTCTGGGCTGCTGGGCTCGTGGTGCACTCAGAGCTATCACTGGAGCCCGTGGCTTTGGGGAGCACTCTCCTAGATGGCCTAGTCCTGATAATGGTAGTAATGGGGACAGTAATCCTAATTGCTGTCATGTAATGTGTCATAGTATGTGCCAGGCACTGTGCTACGTATGTCATATGTGAGTTCAAGTCATCTCTTTGCCATCCTCTGAATGAAGCACCATTGTCCTTTTTTCTAGGGGGGATTGACGGTGAAGATGCTAATACCTGCCCAGCATCGACCCTAGTGCGGGTCCCAAGACCATCCCCCTGTGCAGGCTCCACCACCGCTGTGCTAACTGGACCGCGGCAGAAGAGTGGGTGTGTGCCAGGTTTCTGCTGGGCCCTGCAGCTCCTCCCCCCAGCCCCATGTGATGTGCCCCTGGCCATTGACACTCAGTTCGAGGGAAGGCACTGGGGTGTACACTCAAAGACCTAAACCCAGGGTGGGTGCGGTGGCTCACGTCTGCAATCCCAGCACTTTGGGAGGCTGAGGCGGGTGGATCACAAGGCCAGGAGTTCAAGACCAGCCTGCTTAACATAGTGAAACCCCGTCTCTACTAAAAAATACAAAAAAATTAGCCGGGCATGGTGGCGGGCACCTGTAATCCCAGGTACTTGGGAGGCTGAGGCAGGAGAATTGCTTGAACCCAGGAGGCAGAGGTTGCGGTGAGCCAAGATCGCACCATTGCACTCCAGCCTGGGTGACAGTGCGAGACTCCATCTCAAACAAACAAACAAAAAAGACCTAAACCCAAACCGTGGCTCACGTCACACCAAGAACCCTCTCTGACCTGGGTCTTCTGTAAACATGGTTGTGAAAATTATTGAAAGTAAAAGCCGGGCACGGTGGGTCATGCCTGCAATCGCAGCACTTTGGGAGGCCGAGGCGGGAGAATCACCAGGGCAGGAGATTGAGAGCATCCTGGCTAACATGGTGAAACCCCGTCTCTACTAAAAATACAAAAAAATTAGCCGGGCATGGTGGCGGGCACCTGTAGTCCCAGCTACTCGGGAGCCTGAGGCAGGAGAATGACGTGAACCTGGGAGGTAGAGCTTGCAGTGAGCCGAGATCACGCCACTGCTCTCCACCCTGGGCGACAGAGTGAGACTCCATCTCAAAAAAAAAAAAAAAAAGAAAAGAAAAGAAAAGAAAGTAAGTATTGGGGCGGGGCATGATGGCTCATGCCTGTAATCTCAGCACTTTGAGAGGCTGAGGCGGGCAGATCAACTGAGGTCGGGAGTTCAAGACCAGCCTGACCAACATGGAGAAACCCCATCTCTACGAATACAAAATTAGCCAGGCATGGTGGCACATGCCTGTAATCCCAACTACTCAGGAAGCTGAGGCAGCAGAATCACTTGAACCCAGGAGGCGGAGGTTGTGATGAGCTGAGATCGCGCCATTGCACTCCAGCCTGGGCAACAAGAGTGAAAGTCCATCTCAAAAAAAAAAAAAAAAATTAAGGATTGGCTGGACTCACGGGACAGTGACAGGCAGTTGACATGAGGCCCCTGACAGTCTGTCCTGAGCCACAGCCAGATTAATGTTGCTGAAAATGTACCTTCCCATAGCACAACCCATCACCCTCACAACCGCCCTGCAAGCTCCCCTGAACAGTGTGACCTCCTGTCCATCCAGCAGCCTCTTTATGAGTGAGCTGCAGGACAAGCTCCGGCGCCCCGAGGACACTCACATGAGGAAGCAGGAAAGCGCTTCAGTGTCAGGACTCTGGGGAAGGTGCCTCCGGGCCAGGGGCTTGTAGTGCTGCCAGAGTCGGAAGTTCTCATAGACACTCTTGGGTTTACAGGAGTCGTCCGGCCGGGCCTTGGCCTGGGAGGGAGCCAGGCTGCCCTCTCCATGAGCCCCTTGTGGCCATGGCCCAGCGTTCCCTGGGGACACGATGGGGGCCACCTGGGCAGCCGGTGGTGGTGGTGGAAGAGGAAGGCCATGGGACCAGCCTCCCTCACAGGCCTGGGTGCCCCCAACCACCTGGGCAGAGGTAACGGGCACCCCAGGAGCAGCTGCCAGGAGTAGGGGAGGTGGACACATGACACCTCCACAGAGGGTGCCTGGAGCCTGCCAGACGAGGGGGGCCTGAGTTAGGATCAAGGTCTGTGCCTGAGGGGGCTTCACAGGCCCCACTTCTGTCCTCATCTGGACAAAGACGTTGGAAGCCCCAGCCCCACTTGGGCCGCGGCCATCCTGTCCTGCCACTAGAGGGGTGCTGGGGAAGGCAGAGAGCACCAGAGGGCCGGCTGGAGGAACCACTGCAGTCACGAGGGGCGGCCTGTGTGTTGGGCCGGGAGAGGGTGTGGCAAAGGGCAGAGCCGTGAACACAGACAGGGAGGTGCCAGGGTTCACGGTCACGCCGGGTCCCAGCACTGGGTATGCTGTGGAGACAAAGGAAAGAGGTGAATGAGCTGGCGTCTCCAGGTCCACTCTAGTCACTGGGGAATCAGGGGAGTCCCAACAGCTGAGGGCATGTGACAGGGAAACTCTGCAGCTTGCAAGTGTCCCTGAGTGTGCATCAGATGCTCTGTTCCTCCACGGCAGAGTCGCTCCACTAGAGAGCCTGGCGCCAGTCACCAAGACTCCCTGACCCTTGTCTGCCAAGAAGAAACAGCCAAGCCTTTGCTGTCTCTGAGGGTCTCCCTCGGGTGTCCCTGGCAGACTGCACCAGCCTCACAGGCATCTCCCAAGCCGTGGGTCAGGGATGAGTCTCTCGGTGGCTTGGTGGCTCTCAGTGTGCTCAGCAGCAGGTGAGGGGCCTACCCCAGGGCAGTGCTCGGCATTCAGAAGGCCGACAGGAAACCAGAAGTTTCCGAATATTATGGCCCCATCTCCTCTTCAGTCTTCCTTTCCCTGAAGCTCTTGTAAACCCCTTTCTTTCCTAGCTCAACACAACAAAAGAAAACCACTGGATAGGCCGGGCATGCTGGTTCATGCCTGTCATCCCAGCACTTTGGGAGGCCCAGGCGGGTGGATCACCTGAGGTCAGGAGTTGAAGACCAGTCTGGCCAACGTGGTGAAACCCCATCTCTACTAAAATACAAAAATTAGCTGATGATGCGTGCCTGTAATCGCAGCTACTCAGGAGGCTGAGACAGGAGAATTGCTTGAACCGAGGAGGCAGAGGCTGCAGTGAGCCGAGATCGTGCCACTTCATTCCAGCCCGGGTGACAGAGCGAGACTCCGTCTCAAAAAAAAAAAAAAAAAAAAAAAAAAAAAAAAAAAAAAAACCACTGGATGGAAACTCGCCCAAGCCAGCGCCCTAGGAACCCTGAAGATAACCCATAACACATAACGCCCAGCATGCAAGTGATTGTCCTGGCACCACCCACACAAGTGTTAAATAGGGGTCAGATTCAGGCCACCCATTCCTCAGTGCTCAGTGGTCCCAGCTGCCACTCAGGAAGCTCAGTTCCCAGGGAGCAGATCTGAGAAGCAGTGGTGGAGTCCCCTGAGATATTGTCATTGTGTAGCCAGCAACAGCTGCACATGACTAGAACACAGCCAGCAAATGGTGAGCAGCAGGGCTATCAGGGGAGGTGTCTAGGGATTTTCTTTTTTTTCTTTTTTTTTTTTTTTGAGACGGAGTCTCGCTCTGTCACCCAGGCTGGAGTGCAGTGGTGCGATCTCAGCTCACTGCAACCTCTGCCTCCCAGGTTCAAGCACTTCTCCTGCCTCAGCCTCCTGAGTAGCTGGGATTACAGGCTCCCGCCACCATGCCCAGCCAATTTTTGTATTTTTAGTAGAGACGGGGTTTCACCATATTGGTCAGGCTGGTCTTGAACTCCTTGACCTCGTGATCCACATGCCTTGGTCTCCCAAAGTGCTGGGATTACAGGCGTGAGCCACCGCGCCCGGCCAGGGATTTTCACAGCTGCTAGTCATGTTACACTAAATAGTGGGACAGGGAGCCCATCTCTGGTCCTTCTCCTTTGAGCTCCCAGTAACTGAACATAGGGACCAACGAAGAACCAGGGGTTCTTGGGCCACAGGCCAGGTGAGGCAGAGTTGTCTGGAACTCATCCCTGTTCACTAGGACCTCATGCAGTCTCTAGCCAAGGGGAATAAGGGATACAGCGCATGCACCTCATCAGTCAGGACACACATCCTAGTTTGAATAATAATAATAATAGGACTGTCTTCCTATTTGTGCGCTACTCTCCTTCCTCTACTGAAAAGGAAACCAGCCTTTTCAGAGCCTTCCACTGAGAACCAGCAAGAATCCACACCTGTCGCCCGTTCATGAGGTAGTATAAATGGAACAGGAGCAAATTCTTCACCTCCACAGTAACACAAAGTACAGAGGACGGGCCACGAGCTAGCTGACGAGAGGAAGTGGGTCTGAAGACCTGAGCTTCCACCAAAGGGCAAACAATTCAGAACAACTCAGGAAACCCAGGCCCTGTGTTGCCTGAACTTCCCCATTCTGCCCCCACCCCTGTTAAATCAAAGCCAACAGCTACCTGAACTGACGGAGAAGCCATCTCTGGGGAGGAAGCTGAGAGGCTCTGGGCTGTGGCAGTTACAGTGGCCCCCAGCCTTGCCCACCCAGAGGCTGTCACTACATGCTCTGTCACAGCCAACCCACCCAACAGTTTTCTGGCTGAGACCACTTCTCCCCACTCCTCTCTAAGAACTAGAAAACTCCAGTCCAAATCCCTCTAAACACTATGGAAGGGCACCTTCCAGGTGCCTGAAGACACGGCACAGGGCTCAGGCTTGCCCGTCATTCTCCCTGGGCCACCAGCACAACACGATCCCACCACTCCCTACAAACACAATGACGTGACCTGTCCCCCTCTAGAAAGGATCAAGCCATCCTCTCCATCCTTTCCACTACACGGTGTATTCCCCCAGGCATCTTGGTCCGCCTCTAAGGAGCCCTCCTCCCTAACCACAGACTCAGGGTGCCATGGCCATCCCCAGGTGTGATGTCCTTGGGGACATCCAGTGCTCCCTCAACATCAGCCCTATAAGCTGTCCCCAGGGACAGTTCAAATTTGAATTCCCAAGGAGTTGAGGCAAGGCAGACTAGGATAATGCCCCATCCCTACAGGCTCACCTCCATTTGAAGCCATCCCCTCAGGCTGGGCACTGACCACCACTGTCTGGCAGCTTCCGCAATGAAAAAAGTCAAGGGCAGGACCCAGAGAGTGACCTGACTCAGCAGATCCTCCTGAGTCCAAGTGGAGCAGGGATAATTTGCATATAAACAGGTTTGGAACACAGGACCCCAGACATTCTGCAGAGGGGGAGGGGCAGTGGGCAGCCGGGCTTGGCGGGGGTGGGGGACATTCTGTGAAGGGCTCTGGCCAGTAGGCAAGAACCTGAGGTTCCCTTGGTTCAGTTGGTTGCCATCCAACTGGATGGCAGCAACACAGACAGTGTGCGCCTCTTTAGGCAACTTTTAAATTGTCCTTCTGACTCACAGCAAAAGCTTCTACCTGATGTCCCCTTTACTTCCATTCTTTATCAACAGACCTACTTTTGTGCCAATCAACCCATGCTCCTTCCCACTTTGGCTCTTTCCCACTCTTGATGAATTTCAACAGGGGCCACACTTACTTAACAAAATTCAGAACACGTTTTCAGTCTGAGAAACACAGGGGTTCTTAGGAAGGCAAGGGGACTGAGTGTTTGAAATCAGAATGGCCTCAGCTGATCCAGGCTATTAGGTGGCTGTGTGCTCATCATTGTTTAGGAAGCAGTCCTTGTGCCCCCAGGTCATGTATGTTGCTGGAATCTGTCCACACCAGTAGGCCAGCCTTACTTCCCGTCCCCTTTCTTAGGAAGACTCAGTCCAGGAAAGAGTGGCTATGTGACCTACAGCACCGAGACCAGAAATCCTTTCATTTTGTTTCCCAGCATATTGTGCTGGTGTTAAATGTTTATTTTGTATCTTTTACATGATTTTAACTTAACTAAGCAATACTTTTGCATGGTTCCAAATTCAAATTGTGCACAGTGGAATAGGCAATGACCAGCCTTCCTCCCACCTCTTTTCTCTGGCCACCACATTTTCTTTCCTGGAGGAAATAGGTGTTACCTGATTCTTTTTCATCTTTCCAGAGATATATTATGCAATCAAAAGCATAATGAAGCTATTTTTGCTGTCTAAAAATATTTTCAGTTTTTTGGGGGTAAAAATTAATATATTAATATGTTCTAGTATTCTTCTGATATTTGCAGTGACTGTATTTGTCCCAGTAATGTGGTTCCTCTCTTTATTTCTGTAGGTAAATTGCTAGAATGAGATGTTGGACTGTTTTTTAAAATTAAAAATACATGAAAGAACATAGTGGCCAGATTTAGCAAGTATGAATAAAGAATACCAAGTGGAATTTGAATTGAAGATAAACAGTGAATTAGTTTTTACTATAATTATGATCCATATGACATTTACAGTACACTTTTACAAAAAAAATCTGTCCTTTATCTGTGCTATTCACATTTCACTGGGATCTTGCACTTTATCTGGTAACTCTTCCCAAAAAAGTGTAACATATTAGGCAATTATTGTTAACTCTCCACTGTGAGAGTGCAAACTTGCAGTAAGGAGACTCAAGTGTGAATCTTGGCTGCACCACAAAAAGATTCTGCACCACAACCATTGCAGAAAACAATAGCAGGCTGATTTGATGAAAGGAAGTCAGGAGTAGCCATTATACTGTTCTCAGCTTCCAGGTTTAGTGGCAGTACGCACAGTTTTAAGGGACAGGAGAGCAGAACACCGTCTTTTTCTTTCCTAACATAAAGTGGCTTACAATTCCTAGAACTCTGGTTTCTCCAGGAGTTAGAAATCCACAACCCACGTCCATTCTGAGACAAGCAAGGATGCTAACCACCAATGTCCCATCCCCATTCTCATGCATCCCCTCGCATGTGTGAATCCTGGCTGGAGTCTCTCAGCTCATTGCTGTCCTCATCTTCATCACAAGTGTCATCACATGTGGTTCTCAGCATGGGAATTATTGTAGCCTGTCTTTAAAAAAATCTTCATTCTCATTTTCACACAGAATTGCTGTTTATCAGCGTCAGAATGACAGGAAAGAGCACTCATGTTCTGTGTTGTGAACAAGGGGAGTGTTAGGAAACTGGCCAAAGGAGATGAGGAGTGAGTACTCAGAGCACAGCAAGAAAATCTGAGACACAGATGTCACTCCCTGCTGGGCAGCAGTCTTTTGCACTGATGGGTGGGTGTTGGGGAAGGGAAGAGGCCTTCAGCCGGACCAGTGCACACTGTGAACATTCACTGAAACACACCCTGTTGGCACTTAAGAAGCATTTGCCCCTTTCGAAGACATTTGGACTCAAGAAGGCAGAGTTGCAGAAAACGTAACAGGCCACACTGCAGGGGCAGGCAGTGGATTGCAAGTCTCAAGCCCAGGGTTCTCCCCTCCTTGCCTGGGTTGTGGGAAAAAGTCATTTCCTAACTCCTATCCAATATCCTCATGAGTTCTCGGTTTTGTCCCAACTCTAAAACTGAATGGTCCAGCGAGCATTTCTATGAAATGCCTCCACAGTGGCCACTGGGAGGGGAGTGTCCTCCACACAGTGACTGCCTGTCTGGATGCTCCCAGGCCTTTTGTCCTCCGAGACAGAGCTGCCTCCTTACATGCAGCCCTCTTCTGCTGTGCAACTCTACCTCGATCTTAGCTGAGAAGATCAACGGAGAGCAATTCAAGCAAAATCATGGTAAACTTACCAAAACCAAACCAAACAAACAGTAAATGCTTTGGAGATCTTTCTGAGGACGCGATCTTTTATCACGGGGCAAAAACTTAAATGATTTTCAATCAGTAACTTCATCTAAGAGGGATGTTGAGGCAAAATATCACACTCAGGCACTGAAGAAGGGCAGAATTCTTGTTTGCTTCCTCCCTTGTCAAGTTAGTCAGTCAATGCTTTCTCAAGATGCTCACACATGGCTTTGATACAGGATTTGAATGAGTCTTTTTCTGAGCCACTGATACAAAAAGTATATTGTGGAAGTGTCTTGTTTCAATTCTGCAATCGCTTCTGTATGTGTTTGAAGTCCTAGACCCCAGGAGGAGAGACAATCAAATTAGCCAAAGGTAATTTGTGAAGACTGGCCATAGAAGGTGGTGGCTAAAAGTCCTCTGGCCCCTGCTCTCTGAGCATGCCCACAGAAAGTCCTGGGCCACACTGACTGCTGAGAAACATCATCTCAGGGCTTGGATCCCCTGTTCAGAGGACAGATGCTCTTCCACCCAATCACTGAACAGTAGAGGAATGGCGGCTCCATGCTGTGTCTGGCAGAGCTGTCAGTCTCTGCACTTGAGGCCCTAGGCCGTCATAGACGTGAAGGCTCTTCAGCGTCATCATGTGGAGACAGACGGTAGGAATCCTGCAAATGAGCAGAAAGGATCTGATGATGAAAGTTTGTTCTGAAGCTACTACAAACTCAAGTCAGTGAGTTGCTTCTGTACCAGTTTTTTTTTTTTTTTTTTTTTGAGATAGAGTCTTGCTCCCACCTTGAAGTGCAGTGGTGTGATCTCCTCTCACTGCAGCCTCCGCCTCCTGGGTTCAAGCAATTCTGCCTCAGCCTCCCAAGTAACTGGGACTACAAGTGCGCGCCACCACGCCTGGCTAATTTTTGTATTTTTGGTAGAGACGGGATTGCACCATATTGGCCAGGCTGGTCTCGAACCCCCGACCTCAGGTGATCCACCCGCCTCGGCCTCCAAAAGTGCTGGGATTACAGGCGTGAGCCACCGCGCCCGGTCAGACTCTCTCGTTTCTAGGAGGGACGGTCTTGGAGGCTCCAAGGAGAAGGCGTCGCCTGGCCCCAGGAAGCGCCCTGGTGAGGCGTCCCTCCATTTCCCCATCTCCTGCGGGGCCCTCCCAGGGCGGGCTCCACGCCTGCCCCGCGCGCCTGTGTAGGAGCCTCGAGGCGGGCGGGGTTCCAGCGCGCAGCCGGCCGCCCTCAACCGCTCCCAGCATCGGTTGCCGGTGGTTCGGGGCAGGGAGACGACGCAGCGCGAGCGGAAAGGGCGGTTACCCAACGGCCTTAGCTCTCATGGCGTCCTCCGTGGTGTTACCTAAAAATAAAGTTATTTGTGATTAGAAGGTAATCGCCTCCTGGTCATGCTTCCGCTGGTCACCAGTGTCTGCGGGGCGACCCCATCCTTGTGGCCAGAGAGGGCCTGTGGCTGCGCTCAAGGCGGGAGCGGTCCTTAGCGGGGCCCTGCGGGACGCCCAGGCCGCGCTCCTTTCCCTTGCTCACCTGGCCTTGAAGTGAAGGGGGAGGTTTAACAATGCAGTGGGAACCCCAAAGTTTGTCTCGGCCGTGCTGCTCACATTCCAAACAATGCAAAAGGTTGCGGAAAACCTCAGCAGTTGAAACCGTGATGCATTTCAGCAAAGAAGTAGCTCCTGTCCTCGTAAAATCAGTGAAGTTCTCACGGACGACCTCATTGAGTGAGTTGTGAAGCTTGTTGCCTTAATCAGAATGATCAGCCAGCATGCATGCTCTAATATGCTCGTTTGTCAATGATATGAGCAGCTGCAAAGTGGAAGAAGAGGCCTTTACTCATAGTCTGTTCACTTGGTAGCACAAGTTGGTTGTGGAAGCAAGAGTGTGGCCAAAGTCAAGAAAAGCTTCTATGAGAATCGCTTACTTATGTGGAATTTAAATAAAAAGTAGTGTATATTATTATTTGTAAATTGTAGACTACACATGTATTATATCTAAAATTTACTGCACACACGTGTGTGTCCTGGGCAGTTGGTCAGTGTGTGTACTTGAGAATGTGAGAAAGATTTGTTTTGCATTTTGGGGGGTGTGAGATTTGTGGGGGTGGCTGTGTGTATGTGAAAATGTGTTTATATGAATGCTTAGTTTGGAATTTGTTGCGTATTTAATTCGTGAGAATCTAATATGTATTCACCTGTGTGGGTTGGTGGTGTCTGTGTGGAGATTGCAGATTAAAGAAGGTCATAATTGGGCTGGGCATGGTGGCTCATGCCTGTAATCCCAGCACTTTGGGAGGCTGAGGTGGGCGGATCACTTCAGGTCAGGAGTTCAAGACCAGCCTGGCCAACTTGGCGAAACGCCATCTGTACTAAAAATACAAAAATTAGCCAGGCGTGGTGGCATGCACTTGTAGTCCCAGCTACTCGGGAGGATGAGACAGGAGAATTGCTTGAACCCAGGAGGCAGAGGCTGCAGTGAGAGGAGATCACGCCACTGCACTTCAAGGCAGGAGCGAGACTCCATCTCAAAAAAAAAAAGGAAAAGTAAAGAAGGTCATTCATAACTATTCATAACTGCTTTTGTGAGAGTGTGTAGGTGTGAGTGTTTATATTTGGAGGATATGAGGTGTAATATGTGTATACAAGAAGAATTGGGGTTCGATATTTGTGATTTGGGTTGTGAAGATGTATTTTCCATAAGTTTTCTGAAATGAATGTTGGGGATTTGTATTTGTCTAATGTTTGGCAGATCTGGAAGAATTACCTTGTTGTGCATGTGGGCAATAATAGAGAAAGTGCTTGTGTCTATTTTTGTGGATGTACACTGTGGTTTACATATTTGGGGAATGTAGGAAGACCATTTGTGTGCTTAGGATATGTTGCATCATTGTGTGTGTTTCTTTTCACGATTTTCAGGGGTTGTGTATGGCCATTTCAATGTGTGAGGGCAGATCCATGACTATTGGGGGACTGGTAGAATGAATGTGTGCAGTTGTGAGGTGGACTTTGTATGATTCTGTGTCTTGGAAAATGGAGGAGTTACTTCTGTGTGAGCATTTAGAGGTGTGATTACATATGTGCAGGTATTGTGGGACTGGATGTGTATTTGGGGATATGAGGTGGCATGTTTGCATATTTGTGGCGTGTTAGCTAATCGCAGGTATACTTAGGGCATGCAGGGAACTCCATGAGTATTGAGTGTGTGTGTGTGTTCAAGGGCATGGCAGTTTGGATGAATGTTTTGTGGAGCTATGTGCTTGTATTTTTCAGTGAGTGGTTATTAGGGTTATATATTCTGGGAATGTAGTATATGTGTCTCTGATAGAGAGATGGGGTTCTGTGTTTATACAGGAGAGTGAGAGAATTGAATTTATATGTATTAGAGGTATGTGATATGGTTATTGGTTAGTACTTGGCGATGTGAGAGACACTCCCCTCGTTTACAAAGCAGTGCCCAGCTGGTTTGTGCGAGTGGAGAATATGGTGGACCGGTTCCTAAGGAACAGTGACCTGTGCTACCGGTGAGCAGTAAGATGTGTTTCTTCGTAATGTCTTTTGTCATGTGGTTAGTGTGGTTTACACTTCCCCCAAGTTATAATTTTTTTTTTTTTTTGAGACGGAGTCTCGCTCTGTCGCCCAGGCTGGAGTGCAGTGGCGTGATCTCGGCTCACTGCAAACTCCGCCTCCCGGGTTCACGCCATTCTCCTGCCTCAGCCTCCCGAGTAGCTGGGACTACAGGCACCTGCCACCAGGCCCGGCTATTTTTTTGGATTTTTTTAGTAGAGACGAGGTTTCACCGTGTTATCCAGGATGGTCTCGATCTCCTGACCTCGTGATCCGCCTGCCTCGGCCTCCCAAAGTGCTGGGATTACAGGCGTGAGCCACCGTGCCTGGCCTTCTTTAGATAATTTGAACCAGTTTATAACAAAAATTTTAAAATAGACTACAACTAAGTAGAAGACAGACCACGACATAGAAAGTAGAATGAAGTTAAAATTCTGGGCTAATACAATTATGCTGGCTAAACATCGTTAGAAGCAACAAGGTATAACAGAGAATGTAGATTTTGAAGTCAAACACATTTGTTCACCCCTTCCTTACTGTATAATGTTGAGGAGTTGCTTAATTTCTGAGATGTAACATCCTCCTCCACAAAATGATGTAACAATTATGTTGTAGAGTGTTGTGAGAATTAAATAAAATGACATTATATGTATTCTGGATGATACTTAATCTATTTTCTTTCCTTTAAGCTGTTGTTTGAGATAAAAGGGAGACAGAATTATGCAAATTTTGTTGTTGAATATAGGCTTTGTTTCCGTGATTCTTGGAAGTGTGGTTCCTGGACCATCAGCATCAGCATCACCTGGGAAGCAGTTAAAAATGCAAATTATCAGCCGGGTGCAGTGGCTCACACCTGTAATCCCAGCACTTTGGGAGGCCAAGGCGGGTGGATCATGAGGTCAGGAGTTTGAGACCAGCCTAGCCAACATGGTGAAACCCCGTCTCTACTAAAAATACGAAAATTAGCTGGGCGTGGTTGTGGGCGCCTGTGATCCCAGCTAGTTGGGAGGCTGAGGCAGGAGAATTGCTTGAACCTGGGAGGCAGAGGTTGCAGTGAGCCAAGATTGTGCCACTGCACTCCAATCCAGCCTGGGTGACAGAGCGAGACTCCATCTAAAAAAAAAAATAGAGATGGGGTTTCACTATGTTGGCAAGGCTGGTCTCAAACTCCTGACCTCAAGTGATCTGCCCGCCTTGGCCTCCCAAAGTGCTGGGATTAGAGGTGTGAGCCACTGTGCCTGGCAACAGACTTTAGTTTAAGATAAAGTTCTTTTTTTTGTTTGTGTTTTTGAGACGGAGTCTGGCTCTGTTGCCCATGCTAGAGTGTAGTGGCGTGATCTCGGCTCTCTGCAACCTCTGCCTCCCGGGTTCAAGCAATTCTCCTGCCTCAGCCTCCCGAGTAGCTGGGACTATAGGCATGTGCCACCATGTCTGGCTAATTTTTGTATTTTTAGTAGAGACAGGCTTTCACCGTGTTAGCCAGGATGGTCTCGATCTCCTGACCTCGTGATCTGCCCGCCTCAGCCTCCCAAAGTGCTGGGATTACATACAGGCGTGAGCCACCACACTCGGCCAGAATAAAGTGATTTAAAAAAAAAAAAATTATTTTGGACCTTTAAAATTAGACCATACTATAAAAAAAAAAAGTCCACACTCTTTTATGTTCAGCAAATTCATACTAAAATATTCTGTTTTTGTAGGATAAAGGCCAAGAAAACTTTACATATGCTACAAGTTTATTACATGTATTTACATGGCTCTTTCTTCCCTAGTTACTTAAAACTTTCACATTATACAACTCTCCAAAGCAAGCTTCCTCTCCCCAAGGCAAGCTTTGCAGAAATGATGAGGTCGTATTACTATCAGAATAGCTTAGGCAGTGCCATAATATAAAAATGTTTTGTTTTTGAGATGGAGTCTCGCTCTGTTGCCTGGGCTGGAGTGCAGTAGCGAGATCTTGGCTCACTGCAATCTCTGCCTCCTGGGTTCAAGCGATTCTCCTCCCTCAGCCTCCTGAGTAAGCTGGGATTACAGGCATGTGCCACTGTGCCTGGCTAATTTTTGTATTTTTAGTAGAGATGGGGTTTCATCATGTTGGTCAGGCTGGTCTCGAACTCCTGACCCTGGATCCGCCTGCCTCGGCCTCCCAAAGTGCTGGGATTACAGGCGTGAGCCACTGTGCCCAGCCATAAAAATGTATTTTGAAAGCTATTGAGTGACCGTTAAATGATGTTTTATTTTTTTAAAAATGGTTTTGGGCTGGGCGCGGTGGCTCACGCCTGTAATCCCAGCATTTTGGGAGGCCGAGGCGGGCGGATCATGAGGTCAGGAGATCGAAACCATCCTGGCTAACATGGTGAAACCCCGTCTCTACTAAAAATACAAAAAATTAGCCGGGCATGGTGGTGGGCGCCTGTAGTCCCAGCTACTCGGGAGGCTGAGGCAGGAGAATGGCATGAACCCAGGAGGCAGAGCTTGCAGAGAGCAGAGATCGTGCCCCTGCACTCCAGCCTGGGCAACAGAGGGAGACTCCATCTCAAAAAAAAAAAAAAAAGGTTTTGGTGTATTTGTTGGCAGACACCTATCCACTGCATTTAGAGAAAGGGACATTGGGGTATACTCTGCCTCGTTCTAATAAACCCCAAGTGCCCTTTCCAGTTTCACCACTGTACTAAAATACAACTATTAGGAAAACTTCACATTTTCTTTTGGCAGTGCATCAGGTTGTTGGCATATTACTGGTTTGAGTGCTTCTAGTATACTGAACTTTCAGAAGTTTACCTACTTCTTAATCCTGTGTCTTAGCTAGATGTTTACAATCTGATTCACTTTCAGCAATCTATTATCCATGAATAATAATCTTATATTACTATTTTCCCCCAACATTCAGTAGAAAAAGTTGATGCCCTTGCTAGTCCCCAAATCTAAACTTGAATGGTTTCACTTAAAAGTTACTCATTTGAGGCTGGGTGTAGTGGCGCATGCCTGTGATCTCAGCACTCTGGGAGGCCAAGGCAGGCGGATCACTTGAGGTCAGGAGTTTGAGACCAGGCCAACATGGTGAAACCCCGTCTCTACAAAAAATATAAAAATTAGCTGGGCGTAGTGGTACACGCCTTTAATCCCAGCGACTCAGGAGGCTGAGGCAGGAGAATCGCCTGAACCCAGGAGGCAGAGGTTGCAGTGAGCCAAGATTGCACCACTGCACTTCTGCCTGGGTGACAGAGCAAGACTCTGTCTCAAAAAAAAAAAAAAAACTCATTTGAGAACCCTTAATAATTAGTACAATTATTAATTTAGTTACTTTAAGTTGCACTGATGCTATCATTACATCACAGTGCACCCAACACATAAAACAAATGAGATGAAGTCAATTTTATTTTTTATACTAATTAACAGTTCTACACTAATACATTAATCCCTTGGTGTATTTGTTTTAGACCAGTTGACAACTATCTGTAAACATAGCTAAATGTAAACATTAGTACTTTATCTTATTTTGTACCTGTACTTTAAGTAAGGTTTTAAGTTAAAATGTCATTATTGCCTTATCGGAAGAATTAAAGGAAACAGCTTGGTGGTTTGGGAAGAACACTTGGTGATGGAGGTTCACTACATTTGGCCCTGGCAAAGTTCTGATTAGCTTGAGATTTAAAAAGTAAGCTGGGACCTGAAAAGTTCAGAGTTCCAATTTTGATTTTTTGGAAAATTTTTGTTCTTTCCCCCGTCTTGCATGGCCTGCCCTGCAGCTGCTGATGAGTTATATCCCTGTCTTCTTTCTTTTTTCTTATGAAGAATCTTCATTGGGGGATTCTGACTCTTGGTCTGTTAAGCTGTTGTTGATTCTACTAACATTTCTAGGTTGAGGGGCTGGAATGTTACACCTCTCTCTACCACTTGTCTTCAGTTTCTTTATCACTTGTCCTCTTTCTTAGTGTCAAGTTCAGGACAATAGGTGTTGCTTTCTGACAGATCCTTTCCTTTGTCTCAATACAGAAGTTTTCATGGGCTGAGCTGCTGAGTTCAGCCTGGGAACTGAGGCCAACAAGGGAGTCTCCTCGGCACACAAGTTTGAAAGAAGTCCTGGTGACTTCAAGCTCAGAACCATGGACGGCAGGGCTCCCTCTGGATGTGGAATTCTCCGTCCCTTTCCAGGGAGGGAACAAAGCCCACAGCACCGGTGAGTGAACTGCTGACCACCCCCGCAATTTAAAACATATCCTTTTGTCTCTTATCTTTGCAAAAATAACACGGCATAAAATTTATTCCTAGCAGCCAGCTACCTAGAGATACCACTTTCCTGTCTCTGCCCATCCATATTATGTCTCCCTGTTTTCTTCTGAAGCCCGCCAAAACCTGTTTTGTAAACTGCTTTCTCCTTACTCAATATATAGTGGGCTTTTTTTTTTTTTTTGAGATGGAGCCTCCCTCTGTTGCCCAGCTGGAGTGCAGTGGTATGATCCCAGCTGACTGCAACCTCCGCCTCCGGAGTTGAAGCAATTCTCCCCCCTCAGCTTCCCAAGCTTCCCAAGTAGCTGGGACTACAGGCACAGGCCACCTCGCCCAGCTAATTTTTGTATCTTTAGTACAGACAGGCTTTCACCATGTTGGCCAGGCTGGCGTTGAACTCCTGACTCAAGTTATCCACCTGCCTCGGCCTCCCAAAGTGCTGGGATTATAAGCGTGAGCCACCGCACCTGGCCTATAGTGAGCATTTTCTGTCAATCATAAATATTCTCCCATAAAATGACTTTAAATGTGCGCAATAAATTCTACCAAAAGGCTGGGTGTGGTGGCCCATACGTACAATCCCAGCACTTCAGGAGACCGAGGCGCAAGGGTGGCTTCAGCCCAGGAGTTCAAGACCAGCCTGGGCAACACAGACCCCCATCTACACACACACACACACACACACACACACACACACACACACACGCCAAGGGTGGTGGTATGAATCTGTAATCCCAGCTACTCAGGAAGCTGAGGCAGGAGGATTGGTTGATTCCAGGAACTGGAGACTGTAGTGAGTCATGATCATGCCACTGTGCTGCATTCTGGGCAAAGAGTGAGACCCTGTCTAAAAAAAAATTTCTGGTCGGGCACGGTGGCTCATGCTTGTGATCCCAGCACTTTGGGAGGCTGAGGCGGGTGGATCATGAGGTCAGGAGTTTGAGACCAGCCTGGCCAACACAGTGAAACTCCGTCTCTACTAAAAATACAAAAAATAGCTGGGCGTGGTGGTGGGCGCCTGTAATCCCAGCTACTTGGGAGGCTAAGGTAGGAGAATCACTTGAACCCGGGAGGCAGAGGTTGCAGTGAGCCGAGATTGCACCACTGCACTCCAGCCCAGGTCACAGAGCTAGACTCTGTCTCAAAAAAAAAAAGTTTTACTAAACGAATTTCCATGATTTAGAATCAGTCGCCTATTGTTAGTTATTTATGTAGCTTCCAATTTTTCTACCACAAATAGCCTTGCTAAACATCCCTGAAAATTAACGTATGCATATATCCTGGATTGTTTTTCATTTGAATACATTTCTAGATGCGAATGAATGAGACCAAATGTAGGTAAGAAATGGAAAGGTTTAGGTGGGCCCGGGTGCGCTGACAGCAGCACCACAACAGCTCAGTGACAACACAGTGGCGGGGACCTCATCAGCGCCCAGTCCTTTCTTGATTTACCGCGTTGCTTCCTCCCTCTTCTCCCTAGTAATTATTATTCAGAGCTTCCCAGAATAAAGCCGGGGCCCTGATTTTACCTAGACAAACAGTGCCACAGGTTTCCCCGACGGAAAGACTGAACCCAGCAGAGAGAAGCGGGTGAGGGTGGGAGTTCCAGAAGGGAAGGGGCACAGGTGGGGCCTGGATCCAGATTATGGATGGATGCCCCTCCCAGGTAGCACCCAGGCCCAGCCCTGCCCCTCCCATGCATGGGAGTAGCAGGAGGTTGTGATAGTGGCCCTGACAACAGGTAGCCGGCCCTCTTTTATGCCATTGACCATGGAGTGCTGTAGTCTCTGTCTTCCTTCTTTCTCCTCACCCTCCCTTGCCCCACACCTTTGGCCCTCCTCCCTTCCCCCTTCACCAGGTCTAGGTGAGTGGGATGAGCCCAGCCTCCGCAAAGGCCTCGGGCTGGGGAGCCGCTGCACACCGCAGGCATCTAGCTATAGGAGTGTCCAGGTTGCAGCTTGGGACCAGCCCTTGGAGGAAGAAGTCTAACTCAGTGCTCTTTACCTGCACACTGTAATGGGGTGACTGGTTTCTTTTGGTGGTGTTTTTCTTTTTGACGGAAGGCGTTCCGGATATCAGAAAGAACTTCTTTTTTTTTTTCCCAGAGACAGAGTCTTACTCTGCCATCCAGGCTGGAGTACAGTGGCACAATCTCAGCTCACTGCAAATCCGCCTTCCAGGTTCAAGTGATTCTTATGCCTTAGCCTCCTGAGTAGTTGGGACTACAGGTGTGCGCCATCATGCCTGGCTAATTTTTGTACTTTTTGTGGAGACAGGGTTCACCATGTTGGCCAGACTGGTCTCGAACTCCTGGCCTCAAGTGATCCGCCCGCCTTAGTCTCCAAAGTGCTGGGATTACAGGCGTGAGCCATTGCGCCAGGCCAGAAAGGAGTTCTTGGGACAAGACATCAAAACCAGCTGTTAGCCAGTTCCCCTATCCTTGCTTTCTGTTTCACTGGTTGTTCAGGGAGTGAAGAGACGAAGCTTTAAGTGCAAGTATGATGCAGGTCACTCACTTACCTGGCATTTCGTGATGTTTTTTCCTTATTCACTTTCCCTAAGTCTGATTCTCCTGTTTATATCCTTCACTGCTGTATAAACTTCTCCAATGCAAGGGACCAGCTCTTACATTTCTTATGTTGTTTCCTAGATAGATAGATGGATACCTATAGATATATATAATATAAATAATATATGATACATATTTGTATATATTGAATATATATTTTTTAATATATGACATGCCCACTTGTATACTACTGCTTGGGCAAGAGAGATAGCTAGGAGTAAAACAGCAGTTGTCCTACGTGGCAGTCAGCTGCTTCTCCTGCTCACTGCCACATGAATCATCACTAATGGGAATGTCCCCTGAGCACTACTGAGAACTGGGGGGATATATGGTTCGATACTTTACCTGGATTACTGCCCTTCACCTGGCTGAATGCCACCTCCTTAAGTCTCAGCTTAACTTTCACTTCCTCTGGGAAAGTAGTTCTGATTTTCCCCCACAAAACTAGAAAACATAAGTCCACAGGAATCCCACTGTTGAATGAACTAAGGAAAATGGGTGATTTTTAGTAGAGACGGGGTTTCACCATGTTGGCCAGGCTGGTCTCGAACTCTTGACCTCAGGTGATCTGCCCGCCTTGGCCTCCCAGAGTGCTGGGATTACAGGTATGAGCCACGGTGCCCGGCCTAGGAGACTTTTTGAAATGCAAAAAAACAAAAACACAATTACAACAGCTCTACCCTGTGTACGTGCTTTAGAAAATAATGCTATTTACCTTAATTTTCACATTTTCAACAAAGAGCAGGCACGATTTGCTAGTGAACAGGACCCCAATTTATTGTTTCCCTTATTACTATATTTCTCTACTGTTCTTATGATTCTACTTTAAGAAGACATTAATTTAATACTATGGAGTTGTAATTTATTATATTGGATACCTAAAAGGGGTAGAATCAGGTTGAACAAAGAATTTTCTTGGCATAATTAGTACAAATGTTTTGTTTATGAAGTGCAGCAATATCTCCTTTAGACCCAGGCAAGAGGGACCCTGCTGTGAACCCTGGCACCCCGACACATTTTATGCACCCCAATACCTATGTTGCTTTGTTACAGGCAAATGGTGCTTTCGTCTCTCAGGACCCCATGCCCTGTGCTGGCACAGCATGACCTAAAGCCCTAAACACCAACGCTTATGTGCAACACTGCTCACCAAGGGATATCTCTTGACCTATGCTCCCAACACACAAGGCACCTGCATACAAAGGTCATGAGAGTTTGTGGGTTGTATGCCACTGATGTCAAAGCAGATACTGTTCCAATTAGAGGAAGGATTCCAGAGGAGGAAGCACTTAAGAAAGAAAAAAACATAATTGCCTGCCAAATCCTTACACGTGGTTAGCATGAAAGCAATTAGCTCTTGCCTAATTGAAATATTGGTATGCTGAGCATTCGTGTTCTTTTCACATTCCAATTCTGATTCCTGAGGTACTTAAATCACTTTGGTATTCACCACAGTTGCGTATAGCACCTGAGAAACATTTTCTAACACTGAATGATGCATGCTATTCTTACATTTGTATGTATGTAGGACTAGATGTAACAAGCATCTATACCGTCAGTAGAGCATAAATTATGTGCGGATTTCAATTATAATAACATAAGTGGGCCGGGCGCGGTGGCTCACGCCTGTAATCCCAGCACCTTGGGAGGCCAAGGCGGGCAGATCATGAGGTCAGGAGTTGGACACCAGCCTGGCCAACATGGTGAAACCCCGTCTCTACTAAAAATACAAAAATTAGCCTGGCATGGTGATGCATGCCTGTAATCCCAGATAATCAGGAGACTGAGGCAGGAGAATTGCCTGAACCCAGGAGGCGGAGGTTGCAGTGAGCCGAGATCGCGCCACTGCACTCCAGCCTGGGTGACAGCGTGAGACTCCGTCTTGGAAAATAAAATAACATAAGTGAAGGCCCAAAAAAATAATAATAATGCAATATGTATTTTATTTTATTACTCGTCCCCTAATCACCAGCTTATCATCAGAGCATCCGGACACATTCAACCATAATCACACTCAATTATCTTGACATTTTGCCTTTTTTTTTTTTTTGAGACAAGGTCTCGCTGTGTTGCCCAGGCTGGTCTCAAACTCTTGAGCCAAGCAATCCTTCTGCCTCAGCCTCTTGGGTAGCTGAGTTTATAGGTGCACACCATTGCACTAGCTCCATTTTTTTACCTTAGGAGAAATAGAGCTTTAAACCAATTTTAAAAGTTTAATGTTCTGTAATCCCCGCACTTTGGGAAGCTGAGGTGGGCAGATCACCTGAGGTTGCGAGTCTGACACCAGCCTGGTCAAAATGGTGAAACTCTGTCTCTACTAAAAAATTACAAAAATTAGCTAGGTGTGGTGGCCCATGCCTGTAATCCTGCTACTTGGGAGGCGGAGGCAGGAGAATTGCTTGAATTGCGGGGGTGGAGGTTGCAGCGAGCCAAGAACATGCCACTGCACTCCAGCTTGGGCATCATCAGAGCAAGGCTCCGTCCCCTCCAACCCCCCGCCAAAAAAAAAAGCTTAATGTTTTAGAAGGGCGCATTTGTCAAGCTAGGAAGATAGAGCATGTTTTCTCTGACAGTTTAATTCGATTTGCAACTTAAATACCTGGATATAGGATATTTGGGCCTTCTTTTGCATTCTTAGTCTGGGCCCTGCAAGTGTTAGGGGAAGGTCTGAACTACTCTAATGGTTTGATTTTATTTTTAAAATTTTTTGAAATGGAGTCTCACTCTGTCACCCAGACTGTAGTGCAGTGGTGTGATCTCGGCTCACTGCAACCTCCGCCTCCCAGGTTCAAGTGGTTCTCCTGCCTCAGCCTCCCAAGTAGCTGGGATTACAGATGTGCACCACCACACCTGGCTAGTTTTTGTATTTTTAGTAGAGACGGGGTTTCACCATGTTGGCCAGGCTGGTCTCGAACTTCTGGCCTGAAGTGATCCTCCCTTCTCAGCCTCCCAAGAGAGCTGGGATTACAGGTGTGAGCCACCGTGCCTAGCCATAGTTTGATTTTAAATACCAATAACCTTGATATTTTTGAAAGCCTACTTGTTTATTTTCTCTCTGGTATATTGCAACTATTTTTTTAAGAACAACTCAGCAAAATAAAATTCCTGTTTATTGTTGGACAACATTGTTTCATGCATATATCAAACAGGCCAAAAAAAACCCCAGCAACTTTATAAACAAAAAAACGGAAAAAAAAGGCCGGGCGCAGTGGCTCACGCCTGTAACCCCAGCACATTGGGAGGCTGAGGTGGGCAGATCATGAGGTCAGGAGTTTGAGACCAGCCTGGCCAACATGGTGAAACCCCGTCTCTACTAAAAATACAAAAATTAGCCAGGCGTGATGGCATACGCCTGTAATTCCAGCTACTCCAGAGGCTGAGGCAGGAGAATCGCTTGAACCCGGGAAGTGGAGGTTGCAGTGAGCCAAGATCGTGCCACTGCACTCCAGCCTGGGCAACAGAGCGAGACTCCATCTCAAAAAAATAAAAGGAAAAAAAAGAAGCCTTTTATCTCTGGCCTTTTTGTTTTTGAGATGGAAACTCACTCTGTCGCCCGGGCTGGAGTGCAGTGGCACGATCTCGGCTCACTGCAATGTCCGCCTCCCGAGTAGCTGGGATTACAGGCGCCCGCCACTACGCCCAGCCAATTTTTTGTATTTTTAGTAGAGACGGGGTTTCGCCATGTTGGCCAGGCTGGTCTCGAACTCCCGACCTCATGATCTGCCCGCCTTAGCCTCCCAGAAAAAAAAAAGGCCTGAGATTACAGGTGTGAGCCACTGCGCCTGGCCTGTTTTTTAGTTAGTTTTTTTTTTTTTTTTTTTTTTTCGAGACGGAGTTTCACTCTTGCCCAAGCTGCAGTGCGATGGCGGATCCTGGCTCACCACAACCTCCGACTCCCGGGTTGAAGCGATTCTCCTGCCTCAGCCTCTCCAGTAGCTGGGATTACAGGCATGAGCCACCACGCCCGGCTGATTTTTTGTATTTTTAGTAGTGATAGGGTTTCCCCATGTTGGTCAGGCTGGTCTTGAACTCCCAACCTCAGATGATCTGCCCGCCTCGGCCTCTCAAAGTGCTGGGATTACAGGCGTGAGCCGCCATGCCAGCCGGCCTTTTTAACCAAATCATATAAACCAACTACTTATAGTACAGCTAAGTACATACACAAAAAAGTTACTGCAATGGTGGGAATAAGATTGTTTTTCAGGGCTGGGCGTGGTGGGTCACACCTGTAATCCCAGCACTTTGGGAGGCTGAGGTGGGCGGATCACGAGGTCAGGAGATGGAGACCATCCTCGCTAACACGGTGAAACCCCGTCTCTACTAAAAATACAAAAAATTAGCCGGGTGTAGTGGCGGGCGCCTGTAGTCCCAGCTACTGGGGAGGCTGAGGCAGGATAATGGCTTGAACCCGGGAGGCAGAGCTTGCAGTGAGCCGAGATCGCGCCACTGCACTCCCGCCTGGGAGAAAGAGCGAGACTAACTCTCAAAAAAAAAAAACAAAACAAAACAAAAACAAAAAAAAAACTTGTAAGAAAAGCAAAAATGACAACAGAAAAACAATCTTTTTTTTTTTTTTTTTTTTTTTGAGACAGAGTCTTGCTCTGTTGCCCAGGCCGGAGTGCAGTGGCGCGATCTCGGCTCACTGCAAGCTCCGCCTCCCGGGTTCATGCCATTCTCCTGCCTCAGCCTGCCGAGTAGCTGGGACTACAGGCGCCCGCCACCGCGCCCAGCTAATTTTTTGTATTTTTAGTATAGATGGGGTTTCACCGTGTTAGCCAGGATGGTCTCCATCTCCTGACCTCGTGATCCGCCCGCCTCGGCCTCCCAAAGTGCTGGGATTACAGGCGTGAGCCACCGCGCCTGGCCCTTTTTTTACAAGTTTTTTTTTTTTTCCTCCTTTGAGATTATAATGAACATGGTCACACCACAAGTAAAGTCAGAAGTAGGACGGAGAACGGTCCGAAGGCTGGTTTGGTCATCCGAGATCATTAAAGGTGGCTGACCCTAACAATATGTACAAAAATATAAAATGTAAATTAAAAATACAAGCAAATTTCTTTTTTTAAAGTACTTTTAAGAAAAAAAGCAGGCCGGGCGCGATGGCTCACGCCTGTAATCCCAGCACTTTGGGAGGCCGAGGTGGGTGGATCACGAGGTCAGGAGATCGAGACCATACTGGCTAACACTGTGAAACCCCATCTCTGCTAAAAATACAAAAAATCAGCCGGGTGTCGTGGCGGGCGCCTGTAGTCCCAGCTACTCGGGAGGCTGAGGCAGGAGAATGGCATGAACCCGGGAGGAGGAACTTGCAGTGAGCCGAGATCGCACCACTGCACTCCAGCCTGGGTGACAGAGCAAGACTCTGCCTCAAAAAAAAGAAAAAAGAAAAAAAGCAGGGCCTTGGAAGTTTTGGTTGTTTTTTCCTCCCCTGTTGCAAATTCTTACGGTTTAGGTTGGGTGGTGGAGAGTGTGTGTCATCTGTGGGTGGCACTGCCCATGGTGGGGGGGTACCGAGCTATACTGGAAGGTGACTACGTTTAGATTCTGAGACAGGAAATGGAGGGTGAATAGGTCATGGCGGCCTTTTTTTTTTAGTTTAACTTTTCCTTTTTTGCTGTCTAGTCATCCTTGTCGGTCTTCTGCTTCTTGGTATCGACATCATCATCCTCATCATCTTCAGCTGCCCGCTTGCCTGTAGCAGACTCAGCTTCCTCTTCATCTCCATCCTCTTCCTCACCATCACCTTCTTTTTCCTCCTCCTCTTCCTCCCCACTTTCTTCCCCTTCTTCATCTACCTCCTTGTCAGCCTCCTGCTCCCCATTTTCCTCATTAGCATTCCCGTTAGCAGGGGCGTCTCTTCCATTTTCCGCCTCTTTCACAACTTCCTTCTTCTCCTTTAAGTCCTTGGCAATGATTTCAGAGCTGGTGTCTACAGCTGCATCTGACATGGTGGGGCACGCCGGTGATCTGATGCAGGGGATTAAAAAGAAAACGAGAGTTCAGGGACTCTGGCGATAAAGCTGCCAGAGTCTGCGGTGGAGGCAGCCGCGGCGAGCAAGGAGCTGGACAAGGAACAATGCAAAGATGGCTTTTCAGAGCAGCCAATCGGGATCTTGAAACTATTAAGGCCTAAAATCATTAGCACTGTTTTCTCCCTCTAAGACATATGTGGCTTTTCACTTTATTTTCAGCTGAATGCTTTTGCTGTTTTGGGTTTAGCAAGCTTTTGGTCTTAAAAATATCCAACAATGCAGTTAAGAGGCCAGATGACTTTATGCATGAAACATTGTTAAGATGAGGAATTTTCCCATAGAAAGGTGACCAGATTTGAGGAAATTATTTAGTCAGTATAAACTTTTCTCTGGATGTAAACAGTACAGATTTTACTTTCAGGCTTTCCTAATAAAGTTTCTAACAGACCTGGAAAGGAGAAGGAAGAGTAACATCTGTTGCAAAACCCCAGTTACGTGTAGGACAAATAAGAATCTGGGAGAGAGGTGACTTGCCCAAGTGACACACCGATTTGGGATATATTAGGGAGAACCATTAATTCTTGTCCATAAGGCTTGATTTAGAATTGTTTTTTATTTTAATGGAAGTTCTGTAGAAAGAAAGGAATACTTGGAAAAATTGAGCCACTTGTAAATACTTGGAAGATGAGAAAAGAGAATGGTTTAAAATCTTCTTACCATATCCCTATTCTCCTCCTCTTCCTCCTCATCATCAGAATCACAGTCAGTCAGTCAAGGTTGGCACTTTATTAGTGTGAACAAGGTCAGTATGAAAACACAAAGTATAGGGAAGTTGTGACACCCAATGTGTACAATTTCTAAGTCACACCTCTCTGTTTCACATTTATTTATTTATTTCTCAGTTTCATTTTAATATGGTTATAGGACCACCAGGTTCGATTGCCTGTTGCATGGTAACAAACCAATGCACCAGAACAGTGGAGATTGCAGCAGAGAAAGAGTTGAATAACTGTAGGGCAGCCGAATGAGAAGACAAGACGAGAGGAAACTTCAAATCTGCCTCCCTGAGAGGTTTGGGGATGGGGATTTTAAGGGGTCTGGACAGGTGATGGGCTAAAGTATGGGGATTGCTGACTGGTTGAGAAGTGGGGAGTGAAGTCATGGGACCAGGAGATGCTGAGTCGTTTTCTTGGTAGGGGTTTTCAGACGGTTGGCATCAGCCATTCTGCTGGAATTCAGGATCTGAAAAACACCTTAAGCAATTCTTGGGTAAAATGTCCAGTGTCAGATTCTATCTATGGGAGCAATGGGGGAGCAGGTGGTCAGTGTGCTGCATGACCCTCGATTAGTTAGCAGCTGCAGGGAAATGAGTCAGAGCACACCAGTGCATGCTGGTTGATGCCTGACTACAATACAAGCCTAAAGCCTGGCTTGTAATTCTCATTAACCCTGTGAGGGTGGGTTTTCCCTTGGGCTTTTGCCCCATTCTAAGCAACACTTCTATGGATATTTTTGACTACATGTTTTTTGTAGTGCACACTGGAAAATATTCTGTGTGCTCAAATTAATTTTTTTCCAAGACTGTTTCTCATTTTAATATCCCAGAGCTTCTCTTGCATTTTAGGCTGCAATGGGTGAAGAAAGTTATATCTTCATTCCTTTGTCAAAAATTTACTGAGTGCCTGGGCACTCAAGTGCTGTAATCCCAGCACTTTGGGAGGCTGAAGCAGGAGGATAGCTTGAACCCAGGAGTTCAAGACCAGCCTGGACAGGAGGATCACTTGAGCCCAGGAACTGGAGGCTGCAGCGAGCCATGATTGCACCACTGCACTCCAGCATGGGCAACGCAGCAATACCCTGTCTCAAAAACAAAAAAAACCATTTATTGAGTGCTTACTCAATGGTAGTTAGGCACTGGCCTGGGCACTGGAAAACAGAGAAATATAACATGTCCCCATCTTTCTCAGCATAAAGCTTATCAGACTGTGTCCATTGTGTTTATTTAAGAATATATTTCCAATACTAGTAGTTCTGTTTATAGCTATCCATCTTACCTCACCCCCTTCCCCCAGATAAAAAATAAGCAATGTTCAATTTTAAGACACTATCAAGGCCGGGCACGGTGGCTCACACCTGTAATCCCAGCACTTTGGGAGGCCAAGGTGGGCAGATCACCTGAGGTCAAGAGTTCGAGACCAGCCTGGCCAACATGGTGAAACCCCATCTCTACTAAAAATACAAAAATTAGCCGGGTGTGGTGGCAGGCTCCTGTAATCCCAGCTAGTCGGGAGGCTGAGACAGGAGAATCGCTTGAACCCGGGAGATGGAGGTTGCAGGGAGCTGAGATTATGCCATTGCACTCTAGCCTGGGCGACCAAGAGTGAAACTCTGTCTTACACACACACACACACAAAAAGACACTATCAAGTTACAGAAATCAAGGCAGTGTGGTATTGGAGAAGACTTAGACATATAGATCAATGGAACAGAATGGGACCCACACATAGATCCTCACAAATATGGCCAATTGATTGTTTTAAATTGCGGTAAACTACATGTAACATAAATTTACCATCGTAACCATTTTTAAGCATACAGTTCAGTATGGTTTAATATATTCATATTGTTGTGCAACTAATTTCCAGAACTTTTTCGTCTTGCAAAACAAACTCGATTTCCGTTAAACAACAACTGCCCCTTTCTCCTTTCCCCAGCTCCTGGCAACCCGCATTCTACTTTCTCTTTCTATAAGCTTGACTATGTTAGGTACCTCATATAAGTAATCATATAGTATTTGTGACTGGCTTATTTCACTTAATGTAATGTCCTCAAGGTTCATCCATTTGTCAGAAATTCTTTCCTTTTTAACACTGAATAATATTCTCTCGTTTGTGTATACAACATCTTGTTTATCCATTCATTCATGCATGGACACTTGGGTTCCTTCTACCTTTTGGCTATTGTGAATAATGCTGCTATGAACATGGGTATACAAATATCTGTTCGATTCCCTGCTTTCAATTCTTTTGGGTATTGTTGTACTGTGAAATATATATTTGGTCTTTGTTCCAATTTCCTGGCATACAACTCCTAAGATCCTTGGAATCTCCAAAGTGATGTCTTTTTGTGTGCTAATGAGTTGCCAGATGGCTGGCAGCTCCTAGGTAGCTTCAGGATGGGGGCTGGTCACCAGAAATGATTAGACGGTTGGGACTTTTGGCCCTAGCCCCATCCTTTAGAGAGGAAAAAGGGGCTCAAGGTTAAGTTGATCACCAGCGGTCAATGGTTTAATCAATTATGCCTACCTAACAAAGCTTCTATAAAAACTGCAAATGACAGGGTGTGGGAAGTTTCTGAATAGTTGAACTCATGAAAGTTCCTGGAGGGTGGCATGCCTGGGAGGATATAAAAGCTCCACGTCTATTTTCATCTCTTACCCTAGGCATCTTTTCATCAATACCCTTTGTAATATTCTTTATAATAAACTGGTAAATGTAAGTTAAAAGTTAAGTGTCTTCCTGAGTTCTGTGAGCCACTCTAGCAAATTAATCGGACCAGAGGTGGGGATCCCCCATTTATAGCCAGTCAGTAAGAAGTGCAGGTAAAGCAACCTGGGGCTTGCAATTGGCATAGGAAGTGGGGGGCAGTCTTGTGGACTGAGCACTCAACCTGTGGGATCTGATGCTCTCTCCAGGTAGATAGTGTCAGAATTGAATTGAATTAGAGGACACCCAGTTGGTGTCCATGCTGCAGAGGTGGTTACTTACTTGGTGTGTGGGGAGAACCCCATACACGTCTGGTGTCTGAAGTACTCTGTGTTGGTGAGTATAGCAGGATAAATCAAGTTTGGTTATTATTAGTAGTATATGTTATTTAGCATACATTATTATTAATATACACCCAGAAGTAGAATTGCTGGATCATAGTGTAATTCTCTCTTTAATTTTTTGAGGCGCCACCATACTGTTTACCTTAGTGGCTACACCATTTTACATTCTCATGACAACAGTGCTCAAGAGTTTCAGTTTCTCCATATTCTCAGCAGTGTTACCAAAAAGGGGTCCTGACCCAGAGCCCAAGAGAGGGTTCTTGGACCTCTCCCAAGAAAGAATTCACACAAGTCCATAGAGTAAAGTGAAAGCAAGTTTATTAAGAAAGTAGAGGAATAGGCCGGGCACGGTGGCTCATGCCTGTCATCCCAGCACTTTGGGAGGCCGAGGCGGGTGGATCATGAGGTCAGGAGTTCGAGACCAGCCTGGCCAACATGGTGAAACCCTGCCTCTCATAAAAATACAAAAATTAGCTGGGCATAGTGGCGCATGTCTGTAGTCCCAGCTGCTTGGGAGGCTGAAGCAGGAGAATTGCTTGAACCCAGGAGGCAGAGGTTGCAGTGAGCCAAGATCGCGCCACTGTACTCCAGCACTCCAGCCTAGGTGACAGAGCAAGACTCAGTCTCAAAAAAGAAAAAAAAAAGTAAGGGAATAAAGAATGGCTACTCCATAGGCAGAGCAGCGGCATGGGCTGCTTGACTGGAGTATACTTATAGTTATTTCTTGATGATATGCTAAACAAGGGGTGGATTATTCATGAGTTTTCTGGGAAAGGGGTGGGCAGTTCCCAGAAATGAGAGTTCCTCCCTTTTTTAGACCATATAGAGTAACTTCCTGACATTGCCATGGCATTTGTAAATGGTCATGGTGCTGGTGGGAGTGTCTCTTAGCATGCTAATGCGTTATAATTAGTGTAAAATGAGCAGTGAGGACCACCAGAGGTCACTGTCATCACCATCTTGGTTTTGGTGGGTTTTGGCCGGCTTCTTTACTGCAACTTGTTTTATCAGCAAGGTCTTTGTGACTTGTATCTTGTGCTGACCTTGTATCTCATCCTGTGACTCAGAATGCCCAACCTCCTGGGAATGCAGCCCAGCAGGTCTCAGCCTTATTTTACCCAGCTCCTATTCAAGATGGAGTTGCTCTGGCTCAAATGCCTCTGACACCAACACTCATTATTTTCTGTTTTTTGTTTTGTTTTACAGTAGTCATTCTGATGGGTATGAGGTGATGACCAATTGATTTTTGACAGAGGTGCAAAAGTAATTCAAAGGAGAAAGGACAGTCTTTCCAAAACCAGTGTTGGGATAATTAGTCATCCTGCAAAAAAATGAACCTTGACCTAAATTTCACCTTATACACAGACTAACTAAAAATTGATTTTACACGTAAATGTTAAAATTCAAAGCATAATATTTAAAAAAGAAAACAGAAGAAAATTTTCATGAACTGAAGTTAGACAAAAAGTTCTTAGATATGATGTCAAATGCCTGATCCACTAAAAAACATGACAAATTGGATTCATAAAATTTAAAACCCATGCTCTGCAAAATACACTGTGAAGAGAATAAAAATACACACCACAGACTTGGAGAAAATGTTGAGAAATCACTTATCTGACAAAGACTAGTATTCAGAGTATATAAAGACCTCTCAAAACTCAACAGAAGGAAAACAGAGTTTAAGTAAAAAATGGGTAAAAGACTTGAGCAGATACTTCATCAAAGAAGTTATATCGATGGAAAATAAGCACAAGAAAATATTTTCAACATCATTAGCTATCAGGAAGTGCAAATTAAAACCATAGTGAGGCTGGGGACAGTGGCTCATGCCTGTAATGCCAGCATTTTGGGAAGCTGAGGCAGGAGGATTGCTTGAGCTCAGGAGTTCCAGACCAGCCTGGCCAACATAGTGAGACCCTGTCTCTACTAAAAATCAAAAATAGCTGGGCATGTCTCTACTAAAAATAAAAAATAGGTGGCATACCGCTGTAGTCCCAGCTACTTGGGAGGCTGAAGTGAGAGGATTACTTGAGCCCTGGAGATTGAAGTTGTAGTGAGCTATGATAGCACCACTGCACCCCTGCCTGGGTGACAGAGTGAGACCTTGCCTCCCAAAAAACAAACCAAAAAAACCATAGTGAGACACCACACCATCAGCTAAAATAGAAAAACTGACCTGACCAAGTGATGTGGAGAATGTGGAGTAACTAGAACTTGCACACATTTCTGGTGGGAATGGAGAATGACGCAGTCACTCTGGAAGAACACTTGGCAGCCTTTTATAAAGTTAAACATATACTTACTATATGACCCACCAGTCCCACTCCTAGGTATTTACCTTAGCAAATGAAAAGTTATGGCCGGGTGCGGAGGCTCATGCCTGTAATCCCAGCACTTTGGGAGGCCGAGGCAGGTGGATCACAAGGTCAGGAGATCGAGACCATCCTGGCGAACACGGTGAAACCCCCTCTCTACTAAAAATACAAAAAATTAGCCGGGTGTGGTGGCGGGCGCCTGTAGTCACAGCTACTCGGGAGGCTGAGGCAGGAGAATGGTATGAACCCAGGAGGCGGAGCTTGCAGTGAGCCGAGATTGCGCCACTGCACTCCAGCCTGGGCGACAGAGCTAGACTCTGTCTCAAAAAAAAAAAAAAAAAAAAAAAACCAACATAAAATTAAAAAAAAGAAAAGTTATGGTCACATGAAAACTTGTATAGCGGTGTTTCATAAAGCTTTGTTTGTAATACCCCCAAACTGGAAACACTGAAAACTTCTCCCACTGGTAAATGAGTAAGTAATCTTTGGTACATCCATACAGTGAATGGAAGACTACCCGGCAAAAAAAGGGACCCAGCAACTTGATTGATCTCAAAGGTAACATTCTGAGTGAAAGAAGCCCGTCTCAAAGGTTTACATATTGTATTATTTCATTTATGACAACCTCAAAAAGATGCAACTATAAATGTTAGGCAACAAATCGGTGGTTGCCAGGAGTTAGTGGGAGAATGTGGCCTTAAGGGAGCAGCATGAGGGAGTTTCTTAGGGTGATAGAGCTCTTTTGTATCTGCATTGAAGCAGTGGCTATATGAATCTGTGTTTTTTAAAACTTCAGGAACTGGCCAGTCATGGTGGCTTATGCCTGTAATCCCAGGACTTTGGGAGGCCGAGGCTGGAGGATCACTTGAGCCAAGGAGTTTTAAGACCAGCGTGGGCAACATGGCAAAACCCCATCTCTACAAAAAATAGAAAAATTAGCCCGGTGTGATGGTGCATGCTTGTAATCGCAGCTACTTCGGATCCTGAGGTGGGAGGATCGCTGGAACCCAGGAGGGGGAGGCTGCAGTGAGCTGTGATCATGCCAGTGTACTTCAGCCTGGGTGACAGTGAGACCCTGTTTCAAAATAATAATAATAATAATAATAATAATAATAATAATAATAAACTGATAGAACTGTACACAAGAAAAGTCAATTTTACTGTAGGCTAACTTAAAATTAAAATATATAAAATAATGTTTACATGAATACAATAAAAATGTTAACATAAATAACAGTTATGCAAAAAATAACTTCACAAAAGAATTTCCAAAAGAAAAAAGTTATAGTGAGAAGAATGACATTGTTTTACAATTTTGCAAAGAATTTTTTCTGCCTTAACAGAAGACACAGGATTCAATTGTATATATGTAATTCTATGTATCTTACAGGCTCAGCAAAGCTCTACTCATTGTCTACACTCATGAGACAATGAAAGTAAATTAGACAAGTCATTCCCAGTATCTTTTTTTTTTTTTTTTTTTGAGATGGAGATTCACTCTTGCCCAGTCTGGAGCACACTCACGTGATCTCAGCTCACTGCAACTTCCACCTCCCAGGTTCAAGCAATTCTCCTGCCTCAGCCTCCCAAATAGCTGGGATTATAGGTGTTTGCCACCACACCTGGCTAATTTTTGTATTTTTAGTAGAGACAGGGCTTCACCAAGTTGGTCAGGGATCCTGACCTCCAGTGATCCGCCTGCCTCGGCCTCCCAAAGTGCTGGGATTACAGGTGTGAGCCACTGCGCTCGGCCCCAGTATTATTTTGAGAATACTTTTGACCTCATAGACCGTTCTCCTAAAAAAAGATTTGGGGATTCTCCAGGGTTGCCTGTGCCACACTTTGAGAACCACTGGCCTATGTTATAACTTTGCACTAAAGGAAGTACTTTTCTTCTTATGATTGGTTTTAGGGAAAATATTACTTTATCCTTCATAGAAAAAAATCATTTAACATATTTATTGATTGAATTATGATATATAGTCATAATTTTAAAAGTCAAATTCAGATGTTTCTTTTTTTTTTTTTTTTTTTTGAGACAGAGTTTGCCCAGGCTGGGGTGCAATGGCGCGATCTTGGTCACTGCAACCTCCACCTCCCTGGTTCAAGCCATTCTCCTGCCTCAGCCTCCCAAGTAGCTGGGATTACAGGTGTGTGCCACCATGCCCCACGCCCAGCTAATTTTTGTATTTTTAGTAGAGACGATGTTTCACCACGTTGGCTAGGCTAGATATACAGATGATTCTTATACTTAAATGGTCACTTTGTTTATGATTTCCAGCAATAACCAGCCCTAGGAACCTTAAAAAACCTTCCATAAAGTTTTTTTATCAGGCTGGGCGCAGCGGCTCACGTCTGTAATCCCAGCGCTTTGGGAGGCCGAGGTGGGAGGATCTCCTTAGGTCAGGAGTTTGAGACCAGCCTGGCCAACATAATGAAACCTCGTCTCTACTAAAAATACAAAAATTAGCCAGGCGTGGTGGTGCACATCTGTAGTCCCAGTTACTCGGGAGGCTGAGGCAGGAGAATTGCTTGAATCTGGGAGGCAGAGGCTGTAGTGAGCCAAGATTGCACCACTGCACTCCAGCTTGGGCAACAGAGAGAGTCTCTGTCTCAAAAAAAAAAAAAAAAAAAGTTTTTTTTCAATTATAGGACAGTAGATGTTTTCATCATATGAGAGTAATGACTTACAAATTATTTACTGTCAAAACTGTAACATAGCCATTTCTTTTTTTTTTCCACCCCGAGACGGAGTCTTGCTCTGTTGCCCAGGCTGGAGTGCTGTGGCCTGATCTTGGCTCACTGCAACCTCTGCCTCCCTGGTTCAAGCAGTTCTCCTGCCTCAGCCTCCTGAGTAGCTGGGATTACAGGCGCACACCACCATGCCCAGCTAATTTTTGTATTTTTAGTAAAGACGGGGTTTCACCAGGTTGGCCAGGCTGGTCTTGAACTCCTGATCTCATGACCCCTGACCTCATGATCTGCCTGCCTCAGCCTCCCAAAGTGCTGAGATTACAGGCATGAGCCACCACACCTGGCTGCCATTTCTTTTTTAAAATGAATAATGGGATTTCTTGTAAGGAGTGGCCTATCATGGGTGAAAAGATGCTTGTATACCCCATTTCAGGTTATACTGCAGTGTTTGTTTTGTTTTGTTTTGTTTGAGACAGAGTTTTGCTCTTGTTGCCCAGACTGGAGTGCAATGGTGCGATCTCAGCTCACTGCAATCTCTGCCTCCCAGGTTCAAGTGATTCTCCTGTCTCAGCCTCCCGAGTAGCTGAGATGACAGGCATGCACCACCATGCCTGGCTAATTTTTTGTATTTTTAGTAGAGATGGGGTTTCTCCATGTTGATCAGGCTGGTCTCGAACTCCTGACCTCAGGTGATCCCCCCGCCTCGGCCTTCCAAGGTGCTGGGATTACAGGCGTGAGCCATTGCACCCAGCTCATACTGCACTATTATGTGAGCAGTACTATTCTTCTTGGAAGCCATTTGCTGTCTATAAGTCAGAAAGTTTTACTTCCTAAGAAACTTCATGAAATCTATAAGCAGCTTCTTTGAAGATGGCCTTTTGTAATCTGCATATGACCCCCGATTCTGAAACTGACTAGGACTGATTGCAGCATCAGGAAGGAGGAATTTCCTGCCTCTGTGAGGGTTGGGCAATGCAGAGGTTGGGGCAGGTGCCACCACCCTGGGGCTTAGACTCAGTTAGTTTGCCTGGGACCCAGCTCTGTGAGCTTAACCAATATCTCAGAGTAAAGGCTATTAAATAGGACAATCTGATCTGGTCTGAACTAATTTTGGCCTGGTACAATGGCTCACGCCTGTAATCCCAGCACTTTGGGAGGTCAAGGTCAGAGGATTGCTTAAGCCCAGGAGTTTGAGACCAGCCTGGGCAACGTGGCAAAACCTCATCTCTACTAAAAATAAAAAATTAGCGGGATGTGGTGGCACACACCTATAGTCCCAGCTACTCAGGAGGCTAAGGTAGGAGGATCACGTCAGCCCGGGAGGTTGAGGCTACAGTGAACCAAGACGGTGCCACTGCACCCCAGCCTGGGAGACAGAGGAAGACCCTGTCTCAAACAAACAAACAACACAAGAAAATCCCATTATATTTGGAGTTGGCTGTGTTTCCCTCAGTAGGCAGGTTCATTATTGAGAGTTGGAGGTTTACCATCTAGCTAACATTTGTGGATGGTTAGACTGCTTTTCCCTGCCAGTCTCTTGGAAGCAGTCAAGGCAACCAGGCCTTTAGTGGAAAAAGGAGAAGAGACAGGAATACCAGAGGCAGTCCCTTAACCTTGGATTTCTCAGCCTCCATAACTGGAAGAAATACATTCATTTTATTTATAAATTACCTGGTTTCAGGTATTCTGATATAAGTAACAGAAAATGAACCAATATAGTACCTATGGTCCAAGATCTTTAAAGAGAGCTCCTAGGTCCAATATCTGGAAGAAATGTTACAACTAAACAACAAAAAGATTAAAATATGGGTAAAGGACTTAGACATTTCTCTAAAGATATACAAATAGTCAACAAGCACATGAAAAGATATTTAGCATCCTTACTTATTAGGGAAATGCAAATCAAGACCACAGTGAGGTACCACATCATACCTACAAGGATAACTATAATTTTTTTTTTGAGATGGAGTCTCACTCTGTCACCTAGGCTTGAGTGCAGTGGCGTGATCTCAGCTCACTTTAAAAAGAAGGAAATTTTGGCACATGGATGAACCTTGAAAACATTATAGTAAGTTAAATAACTCAGTCATAAAAGGAAAAATACTATATGATTCGACTTATAGGAGGTACCTAGAATACTCACAATCGGGCAGACAGAAAGTAGAATGGTGGTTATCAGGGATTTGGGGGACAGGGAGTGGAAAGTCTATAATGGACTTGGAGTTTCAGTTTGGGAAGGTGAAAAAGTTCTGGAGATGGACAGTGGTGACGGTTGTCCCAAAATGAGAATGTACTTAAATATTACAGAACCGTGTACACTTGGAAATGATTAAAATGGGCCAGGCGCGGTGGCTCACGCCTGTAATCCCAGCACTTTGGGAGGCCCAGGTGGGTGGAACACTTTGGGAGGCCCAGGTGGGTGGATCACCTGAGGTCAGAAGTTCGAGACCAGCCTGGCCAACATGGTAAAACCCCATCTCTACTAAAAATACAAAAATTAGCCGGGCATGGTGGTGCATGCCTGAAATCCCAGCTACTCGGGAGGCTGAGGCATGAGAATCGCTTGAGCCCGGGAGGCAGAGGTTGCAGTGAGCCAAGATTGTGCCCCTGAACTGCAGCCTGGGCAATAGAGGGAGACTGTGTCTCAAAGAAAAGAAAAAAGGAAATGGTTAAAATGATAAATTTTTGTTAGGTATATTTTGCCACAATTTTTAAAAAGAAATGAGGTATTGATACTTCATTGACAATGTAGATGAATCCAGAAAACATTATGACAAGTGAAAGAAGGCAGAAATTGAAGGTCATATGTTGTGGTATGGTTCCAATTATATGGAACGTCCAAGATAGGTAAATTCATAGAAACACAAAGCAGATTGGTGGGTACCAGGGGCTGGGGTAGGAGGGAACAGCGAGTGACTGCTTGATGGGTACGGGGTTTGGTCTCCTTTGATGTGAAGAAAATATTTTAGAACTACAGGTGATGTTTGTCACAACCTTGTGAAGATACTAAATGCCTCTGAAATGTGTGTTTTAAATTGGCTCATTTTATATTATGTGAATTTCACCTCAATTTTTTGCAACAGAGACTCCTTCAGGGTGAGCAAAGGCCTGGAAACCTGTATGCAGTTAAAGAAAAGGAAAGAAAGAGATAATCAGTGCATGCAGTTGTCAGCTGGCTGGGACCTGAGGAGAGTCACTTGTGGAGGCAACTGGTCTTTATCCCTATTGTCCGGTACAAGGCAGGCATTAATCCTGTGATCCTTATCTGAAGCTCAGGTTTGATTTTATTCTTTTCTTAAGGACCTAGTGTTATCCCCAAGCTTGTAATAATAGTTTAATTGTTACAGCCAATATCTCACCTTCAGAAATAAGATGCTTAGGAAACCAAGACAAGGAACTGTGTGTTGCAAACAGCATCACCCTGGAGAAGAGGTGGCAGGAGGTGACCTACAGAAAATGGAGCAATAGCCTAGAGCAAGAAACACAGAACAAAAGAGAAATGAGGGGTTAGGCAACCTCCTGGAGCACCACCGGGACAAGCACATATTCAGGGGCCTCCTAACAGACTCGACTTCCAGCATCCTCAGATGGGGCTAGACACGTTACATAGACATTCAAGAGCAGAGAACTCAGGGACTTCTGATTTATATCAAGAAATGCATACACAGCAGACGTGTGCCTGTGGAGTGGAATTCTGGAAAAGCTCACAGCCCAGAACATAATGCAGACTCCCCCAGCCACAGCACCTTCCAATCCTGAGAAGAGTGCTGATTCTCCATCTGAGCACCCATTCTCCTGCAACATCAGGGGAGAGGATTTCACCTAAGGGTCAGACCAGCGTCTCCAAACCCAGCTCCCCACCTTTGCCTGTTGGTGGCACTTGTGGGAGAAGGGGAGATGATATGAAAAGAGCCACAACAGGAGTCACCTGGACAGGGTGGAGCTTGATGGAAACTGACATTTGTGCCCATTGGAGGCAAATGTAGAATTTGGTATCTTCCGTAGCGTCAGGCACATGAAACTCTCCAGTGCCCATGACTTTTGACAGTGACTTCAGAGCACATCTGGGAGACCCATGTGGCCCAGGCTCCACACAGAGGATACAGAGGACCAACTGTATACCACTTCATGTGATGTTGGAGTGCTGTTCTGCACGCCTAACTTTATGGCTTGGTGGATCAGACAATGCCCAATGTATGATGGAAAGCTCAGGTTGCAGGGTAGCTAGGTGGCCCATGCTTGAGCAGTCTCCACTAAGTCCCAGGAGCAAGCCAAAACTGCTTCTGAAAAGGAGAGTAGTTATCAGCGGAAGATGGCATGCTCCACAGTTCTAGGGTCCACACTGATTTGCCTGTAGAGGCCTGCCAGTGGCTTCAGATAGTATCCCTATCTGCCACTGACACTTCAAGCACCATTGGATCTCCTGAAACATAAAGCCCAAGTGGGAGAGCAGCTTGCACAGCAGCCTGGACCTGTTGCAGAGCCTGCTTTTATCCTGGGCTTAAAACTAGCAGCTTTTTGGGTCACTTGGCAAATAGGTCAGAGAGTAACACACTCAATTGAGGAATATGTTGCCTCTAAAATCCAAAGAGGGCCTAATGGTGTTATGCCTCTTTTTTTGGTTGTACAAGGGGCTAGATGCAACAACTTATTCTTCACTTTAGAAGGGATATCTCGACCACTAGACTCCTAGAAATTTCGCTGAAGTGAAAGGCCCTTGAATTTTTATAGGATTTATTTTCCACCCTCTGACATGCAAATGTCTTAGTAGTAAGTCTAGAATAGTTGCTACTTCTTACTGCTTCCAGTCAGCATTATGTCATCAATGTAATGGACCAGTGCGATTGATATAGAAGGGAAAGGCAATTAAGATCCCTTCAGATTAAATTATGACATAGGGCTGGAGAGTTGGCATACACCTGAGGTAGGACAACGAAGGTGTATTGCGAGCTTGCCACCTGAAACCAAACTGTTTCTGGTGGTCTCTACTAACAGACATCAGGAAAAAAAGTATCTGCCAGATCAGTAAGTGCATACCAGGTACCAGGGGATGTATTAATTTACTCAAGCTATGAAACCACATTTGGAACAGCAGCTGAAATTGATGTCCCCACCTGATTAAGTTTCCAGTAATTTACTCTCATTCTCCAAGATCTATCTGTTTTCTTCACAGGCTAAATAGGGGAGTAGAATGGGAATGTGATAAAAAGTACCACCTCTGCATCCTTCAAGTCCTTGATGGTGGTACTAATCTCTGCAAGCTCTACAAGAATGCAGTATTGTTTTTGGTTTGCTGTTTTTCTAGATAGAGGCAGGTAAGTGGCTTCCACTTTATAGCGTAATTGCCCTCACTCTTCAGGTCAGGAAACCAGTGTAGGGATTCTGCTAATTGTTGAGTATGTCTATTCCAATTATTCTGCAGCTACAGAGATAACAAGACGACCCACTGCAAGACAGACCTAAACTAAAACTCCATTGATCACCTAACCTCCCTAAGCCCCTACTCTCACTTGTGAACCAGAGTGATGCATTAGTTTTCCTGGGGTACCCTGAGTCTGAGTTCAGAACCAATGTCCAGTAATTCCCCCAAAGTCTGATTATTCCCTTTTCCCCAATGCACAGTCAACTTGGTAAAGTGCTATAGGTCCCTTTGGGGAAGGCTGAGAGAAAAATGAACAGTATACAATTTTGGTAATGCAGTGGGGACACAGCCTCCTCATTATTTAAGGAGATATGGGTCTGCAAACTGGCCCAAGTCTTGGAATTGATTCAGGAGCTGTGACTCCGTTTTTTTGATTCGAGTTAGACTTTTATTCACTTGATTCTTCTTTTTATACAGAACAGATAAGAATTTAGTAGGCTTTCCATCTCTTTTATTTCTATGGATACTATGACCAGCTAGCTAATGCCATAAGTCTCTGTAAATCGGACTTTCTAACTACAGTTTTGACTTTACTGTCCATTACAGTAACCATGTTCACCTTGTCTTTGGTGATTAAATGCTGCCACTTGGCCCCTGCCATCCTGGGATCCAGTTACTCTCCTTATACTTAAGAATCCCATTCAGTGGCAGCAGTTCCCACTGTAATTTCTGACCTATACAGAAGAGCAACCACAGAGCTCTTTAAAAATATTGGAACTCCCTCACAAATTTATTTCTCATAGTCATAACAGAAAGTGTGTCCTGAGCTAGATGTGGTAGCTCACACCTATAATCCCAGCACCTTGGGTGGCCAAGGTAGGAGAATCGCTTGAGCTCAGGAGTTTGAAGCCTGCTTGGGCAACGTAGCAAGACCTTGCCTCTATAAAAATTTTTAAAATTAGCCAGGTATGATGGTGCATATAGTCCCAGCTACTCAGGAGGCTGAGGCAGGAGGGTCTCTTGAGCCCAGGAGTTTGAGGGTACAGTGTGCTATGGTCACACCACTGCACTCCAGCCTGGGCAATAGAGTGAGCCCTGACTCTAAAAAATAATAATAAATAGAAAAAGAAAGCATGTCCTCTTGTTAAAGATTTTTCAATGACACTTGTTCAAGGATGGTAAGGCTGACTTTTTCAAGATCATCAGAATAGATACAGGGACCAATGCAATAGCATTTTACAGCGAGGGAGAGAGATTGGGCTCAACTCTGAATACAGTTTGGGTAAGTGGGAATTTATTGCCAAGGAGTAGGGTGGGGGTCAGTGGATTGAAAATTACTAAGAGGAAACTTCAAGAGTAAGGAAAGATTCTGGCTTAACTGACCTAACAGGATTCTTGCTGAAAACAGGCTGGGGTGTTGAGACACTACCTGGGAGATGGTGGAGGATGAAGCCCTGATCAGATATGGAGGATGATCAGATATTGAGCATGGAGGTTCTTTTTTTTTTTATGCTTTAAGTTCTAGGGTACATGTGCACAACGTGCAGGTTTGTTACATATGTATACATGTGCCATGTTGGTGTGCTGCACCCATCAACTCGTCATTTACATTAGGTATTTCTCCTAATGCTATCCTTCCCCCCTCTTCCCATCCCACAACAGGCCCCAGTGTGTGATGTTCCCCGCCCTGTGTCCATGTGTTCTCATTGTTCAATTCCCACCTATGAGTGAGAACATGCGGTGTTTGGTTTTCTGTCCTTGTGATAGTTTGCTCAGAATGATGGTTTCCAGCTTCATCCATGTCCCTACAGAGGACATGAACTCATCATTTTTTTTTTTTTTTTTTTTTGAGACGGAGTCTCGCTCTGTCACCCAGGCTGGAGTGCAGTGGCGCGATCTCCGCTCACTGCAAGCTCCGCCTCCCGGGTTCACGGCATTCTCCCGCCTCAGCCTCCCGAGTAGCTGGGACTACAGGCGCCCGCCACCGCTCCCGGCTAATTTTTTGTATTTTTAGTAGAGAAGGGGTTTCACCGTGCTAGCCAGGATGGTCTCGATCTCCTGACCTCGTGATCCACCCACCTCGGCCTCCCAAAGTGCTGGGATTACAGGCGTGAGCCACTGCGCCCGGCCTTGAACTCATCATTTTTTATGGCTGCATAGTATTCCATGGTGTATATGTGCCACATTTTCTTAATCCAGTCTATCATTGATGGACATTTGGGTTGGTTCCAAGTCTTTGCTATTGTGAATAGTGCTGCAATAAACGTACATGTACATTTGTCTTTATAGCAGCATAATTTATAATCCTTTGGGTATATACCCAGTAATGGGATGGCTGAGTCAAGATGGTATTTCTAGTTCTAGATCCCTGAGGAATTGCCACACTGTTTTCTACAATGGTTGAACTAGTTTATAGTCCCACCAACAGTGTAAAAGTGTTCCTGTTTCTCTACATCCTCTCCAGCACCTGTTGTTTCCTGACTTTTTAATGATCAGATAGCCTCCTATTTTTTAACTATGAGTTGGAATTTGCTGCTTTTGATATGATAAGAAAGTTCAAAGTTTCTCTTCCTTGCTTTGTTGTGTGTTCTAATTCTTTTCTGCCCATCCCCCAGTAAAGAAAAGGCTCAGTATGATTTCTTGAATAGATTGTTTAAGCTATTTTCAAAACAGGACTTGGTCAGGGGCAGGTAGTCTTAAATGTTCAGAAGCCACTGGATGGAAAATTGTGAGCACATAAGTGTTTTTCTTGGTCAACCATGTCATTTTATAGCCAAAGTTTGACTTGACATACTGGAATTAATCCACACGACTTTGAAAAGAATAAACTCTTTAAAAAGAGAGTGAGCGCTCCGAGGGTGTTATGAGAGTCACTGTCTGAAACCCTATTGATCATATTGTGGCAGAAGAAATAGAGTCCTGCCATGAATTATACTTTTCAGGTTAAAAAAAAAAAAAGCAATTTGTAGGACAGTTTGAATAATTTAGTACAATTGTTAAAAATACAGACATGCACATTCCTGTATGTGCATTTTTAAATGTTCACGAATGATATAAGCCAGATATATTTCTTAGAGGTGCTTGAAAAAAGTTATTTCTTCTTGGGCTTTATTATCTCAATTTAAAAAAATTAAGATGCATAATTCTCATAAGATAACAGATTCAGAAGAATATAGTTCAAGAAAAAAAATTAAAGAACTCATAAAGGAGAAGGAGGAGGAGGAAGAGAGTGTGAAACAGGAGCCTCAGATAACTTGGTAAAGGCATGTCTCCCATTTGGGAACTGATGTTCCTAAGATCCGCACTGACGCTGCTCAGCCGGTCCATCACACAGCAAAGGCGTGAGGAAGGGTCACTGCCCAGCTGGACTCCAGGGTGGTCCACGCATGACAGTCACACCGAACCTTCATGAGGATGTGAACTGTTGGCTCCAATTTACCATTCCCAGCAATTCCACTCAGATATTTGTATACTAATGTTCACAGCAGCGTGAACTCCACAGCAGGTGGAGTAATGTTCCATTGTGTGCATATGCCACATTTTGTTTATCCATTCATCTGTTGATGCACATTTCGGTTGTTCCCACCTTTGGGCTATTATTAATAATGCTGCTGTGAACATTCCCAAGAGAAATAGGAAGACGGCTTTGCTAAGAACTAAAAAAGGGATGGACAACAAGGGCATATACCCAGGGGCAGTGTTCTATCATGACAGCTTTACTGAGAGCAGAGTAGTTCTGCTCAGAATCAGAACACTTGTTCCCTATAGCCCCCCTGATTGCCCCACAACCACCACCGCATACTCCCCTTTTCCCAACCATGGGCAGCAGATTGAGCTATTAACAGAAGTGTCCTTTCGCTGGATTTCTCAACCCTTTCCTCATCGTCCACATAGAGAAACAGTAACAGATTGCTACTCACCCAACACCCAGGTCAAGTCCAATGCAGGTAGGAATAACAGCAAATCCTTCAATTTCTTGATTCTGCTCTTAAAAATCTTAACAGAGGCCGGGCACGGTGGCTCACGCCTGTAATGCCAGCATTTTGGGAGGCCGAGGCGGGTGGATCACCAAGACCAGCCTGGCCAAGATGGTGAAACCCCGTCTCCACTAAAAATACAAAAATTAGCCAGGCGTGGTGGTGGGCACCTGTAATCCCAGGTACTCGGGAGGCTGAGGCAGAGAATTGCTTGAACGCGGGAGGCAGAGACTGCAGTGAGCCGAGATCACACCACTGCACTCCAGCCCAGGTGACAGAGCAAGACTCCATCTCAAAAAAAAAAAAAAAAGACTTAACAGAGCATTTCACGGGGAAGGGCCATGAGGGAACATCACCTGGGTGATGGTAACATTCTGTATCTTGATAAGGATTTGAGTTATACAAGTATATACATCTGTCAAAATTCAAAGAATGTACACTCAAGATCTGTGCATTTCATTATATGTAAATGTTACATTAAAATGTTGTAAACAAATATTGAACAAATATACGCATGCTAAAGTATTTAAGAGGAAGTACTGGTGTCTGCAAAACAAAAATTTTTTTTCCATTTTCTGTGGTAAAATATACATAATATAAATGTATTATTTTAAGTGTACAATTCAGTGGCATTAAATACACTCAGAAAGTTGTGCAAACATCCCATTTATTCATTTCCACAGATTTTTTAATTCTCATTCCAAACAGAAGCCCTGTACCCAAAGAGCAATAACTCCGCATCCTCCAATCCCCACTCTCTGGTAACCTCTATTCTACTTTCTGCCTCTATGAATTTGCCAATTCTAGGTACCTCATATAAGTGGAATACAGTATTTATCCTTTTGTGTCTGGCTTCTTTCACTTAGCATAATATTTTCAAGGTTCATTCATGTTTTACATGTATCAGAATCTTGTTTTTTCAGGTGGAGTAATGTTCTATTGTGTGCATATGCCACATTTGGTTTATCCATTCATCAGTTGATGCACATTTCGGTTGTTCCCACCTTTGGGCTATTATGAATAATGTTGCTGTGAACACTGGTATACAAATATCTGAGTGGAATTGCTGGATCATATGGTAATTCTGCATTTAACTTTTTAAGGAACTGCCAAACTGTTTTCCACAGAGCTGTAACATTTTACATCCAAACCAGCAATAGGACCTGGATAAAAGGTGGCTAAGGCACAGTTAAATAAAATACTGTTAGTTACTGCCCATTTGCATTGGGTTTCTAGTGGCAAATAATCTAGCCGTGTCCTTGACTGGATCTCCCAATGATTCTTTTCAGTCATTTGAATGAGTATGGTGGTGGTGACACTGGCAGGAGGCTGGAGGGTACTTTAATTAACACGCGAACACACACAAATCCATTGCACCCCACTAAGCCGCCCAAACACACATGAAACACAAAAACTATCCTTGCTAGGGAAACACAGCCCTGGAACAAACCCCCTGGACCCCTTGTCACCACCAGCCCATCCTGTAAGAAAATGATGGTTGAAGCTGCAGTGACAGAATTGGAGAGATGCTCTGTTAGACAAGTCTGTCAGCTGAAAGGGGCAGAAACCATTGTTGAACTGCTTATATGAGAGGAAGACCTGGGTGGCACAGGCCTGGCTGGACGCAGGGCTCACAGAGCGTCATCAGCACTTCATCTCTTCCCCTGCGGGACCTGCTGTCCTCTGCGTTGCACACACCCCCCGCCAGGCTCATCCCTGTATCCTCCTTGGAGGAAAGTGCCAGGCTGGTGCTACTTGGCCCTGCCTGGGTCACACGCCTGCCTCGGGATGTGGAGGATGGTCAGCCCAGCCACAGCACATGGATTGCTATGTGAAGGATGATGTTCCACAAGAAAACCAGGACGGCTTCACCAGGGAGGCAAGAGCAGCAGATGCCCATGACAGAGGGTGTATACTCTGAATAAAAGAATTTGGATTTTTAAAAAGAGACAGGAAGAAAAGGACTTCCAAACTCTAGAAAGTTTAAAACTAGTAGAATGAAACATATTGTGTATAAATGTAAAGCTCTTTGTTGAGATTAAATATACGTATCAGTTAAATTTTATTTAAACATATATATACACATATACACACACACACATACATATATATGACCCAAGTACAGGATAAAGATGAAATTAATAAGTACTCTTTAAAAATCTTAGTTTTGGGGCTGGGCGCGGTGGCTCACGCCTCTAATCCAAGCACTTTGGGAGGCCAAGGCGGGCGGATCACCTGAGATCGGTAGTTCGAGACCAGCCTGACCAACGTGGAGAAACCCTGTCTCTACTAAAAATACAAAGAATTAGCCGGACGTGGTGGCGCATGCCTGTAATCCCAGCTACTCGGGAGGCTGAGGCAGGAGAATCGCTTGAACCCGGGAGGCGGAGATCGCAGTGAGCCAAGATGGTGCCATGTCACTCCAGCCTAGGCAACAAGAGCAAAACTCCATCTCAAAAAAAAAAAAAATTAGTTTTGGGATACCAGTAATTTCAGTATTATTAACAACCTGACTTGGGCACCCCAAAAGTTTGCAATAATGGCATTAAATGGCTGGATAGAGAAAGAGATGGTGGCGTGAATGCCTGCTTCCTGGTGTCATGTCTGGAATTTCATGTCCAGTCCTGAAAGCTGCATTTTAGGAAGGGTGCTACTGAGCGTCCAGAGAAGACAGCATTTCGCTTGGTGAAGGGAGTGGGCTTATGATGCATGGCAGGAGGAGTAATGTAGAAAGAAATAAGCTTTGCGGTGCATAGTGTAGAGAAATTCCTGCTTTGCGTCAAACAGACTGACCAGGCAGGCCTCACAGTTTTGCAAAGCCCTGGAAGCACAGGCTTGGCTGCAGATGTTGGATGACTTTCCAGACCAGTTTTGGAAAAAGCTCTTGAGGATCAGAAGCTCCTGGGATTTCTGTTATCACCTGATTTCATGGAGAGAGACAGTCCAGGGCCGGGAATTATGTGGCATCTATGTGTTCCCCAGTTGTGGGATCCATCTGGCCGATGGTTATGGTGGTCAGTGACTTTCAGAGGCCTGGAATTCATGACAGATGCTTTTGCTAATGTGCTTGGTGCCCCACTGAGGCTGCTGAGCAGTGCTTACCATGCGCCCGATGTCTCTTCTGTGTGCCTCTGAGAGCAAAAGTGGCCTCAGAGTCTGAAGGAGGGCAAAGTGGCCACAGCTGCAGACACAAAGTCCAGACTAGCTCTTGACCACATCCAAGTGCATCCTGCATTAAGCTCAGGCACATCAAACCTGCCCAATCAAGGTCTGCCAAAGGAAGGAGTCTGCAAATGACATTTCTCATAATCAAACACACTCTTAATTTGTTTTTATATTATTCACTCCATTTTTTGATTATTATAACTTTTAAAATTATGTCTAGTAGTTTTATCAATTGCTGAGAAGAGTGTTGAAGTCCAACTTACAATTGTGGATTTGTTGATTTCTTCTTTCAGCTTTATTGGTTTTGGTTTATGCATTTTAAGGCTCTGCTCTTGGTGTGTACACATGTAAAACCATTTTGTCTTCATAGTAAATTAATTTTTAAAAATCATTATGTAATGTCCCTCTTTGCTCCAGTAATTCTTTGCTCTGAGGTCTACTGTATTAGTATTAATATAGCGACTTCTACTTTTAAGTTAATATTTGCATGGTACATTTATTTTAATGCTTTTCATTTTCTTTTTTTTTTTCTTTTTTTATTATACTGTAAGTTTTAGGGTACATGTGCACAACATGCATGTTAGTTACATACATATACATGTGCCATGTTGGTGTGCTGCACCCAGTAACTCGTCATTTAACATTAGGTATATCTCCAAATGCTATCCCTCCCCCCTCCCCCCACCCCACAACAGGCCCTGGTGTGTGATGTTCCCCTTCCTGTGTCCATGTGTTCTCATTGTTCAATTCCCACCTATGAGTGAGAACATGTGGTGTTTGGTTTTTTGTCTTTGCAATAGTTTGCTGAGAATGATGGTTTCCAGCTTCATCCATGTCCCTGCAAAGGACATGAACTCGTCATATTTTATGGCTGCATAGTATTCCATGGTGTATATGTGCCACATTTTCTTAATCCAGTCTATCATTGTTGGACATTTAGGTTGGTTCCAAGTCTTTGCTATTGTGAATAGCGCTGCAATAAACATACGTGTGCAAGTGTCTTTATAGTAGCATGATTTATAATCCTTTGGGTATATACCCATTAATGGGATGGCTGGGTCAAATGGTGTTTCTAGTTCTAGATCCCTGAGGAATCGCCACACTGACTTCCACAATGGTTGAACTAGTTTACTTTTCATTTTCAGTCTACCTATGTCATTGTATTTCAAGTGAGTTTTTGTAGATCCAGCATAATGTTGTATCATGTTTGGTTTTTTGTTTTTTAGTCCACTCTGCCAATCTCTGTCTTTTAATTACTGTACGTAGACCACTTGAAGAATTGCCTTGTAGCAATTCTGATATATGAGGGCTGAAGTCTGCCATTTTGTTATTTGCTTGCTGTTGGTTTCGTATCTTTCTTTCTTTCTTCCTTCCTTCCTTCCTTCCTTCCTTCCTTCCTTCCTTCCTTCCTTCCTTCCTTTCTTTTTTGCAATGGAGTCTTGCTCTTGTTGCCCAGGCTGGAGCACCTGGGTTCAAGCAATTCTCCTGCCTCAGCCTCCCGAGTAGCTGGGATTACAGGCGTGTGCCACCACACCTGGCTAATTTTTGTATTTTTAGTAAAGACGGGGTTTCACCATGTTGGCCAGGCTGATCTCAAACTCCTGGCCTCAGGTAATCTGCCCATCTTGGCCTCCCAAAATGCTGGGATTACAGGTGTGAGCCACCGCATCCGGCCAGTTTCCTGTGTTTCTTGTTCATATGTCTCATTTCTTCCCTCTCTGTGGGTTATTTGCATATTTATTAGGATTCTATTTTGTTTTATTTATAGTTTTTTTTTTTTTTTTCGAGAGGGAGTTTGCTCTTGTTGCCCAGGCTGGAGTGCAGTGACGCATCCTGGCTCACTGCAACCTCCACCTCCCAGGTTCAAGCGATTCTCCTGCCTCAGCCTCCTGAGTAGCTGGGATTACAGGGACATGTCACTACGCCCAGCTAATTTTTGTATTTTTAGTAGAGATGAGGTTTCTCCATGTTGGCCAAGCTTGTCTCCAACTCCTGACCTCAGGCGATCCACCTGCCTCGGCCTCCCAAAGTCCTGGGATTACAGGCATGAGCCACCATGCCCAGGCTTATAGTGTTTTTGATCATACAGCTTTGGATAGTTTTCTGAGTGGTTGCTCTAGGTATAACAATACACATATGTAACTCATCACAGTCTACTAGTACTGATGTTTAACCAATTCTAGTGTGGTTTAACAACCTTTTCTACATTTACACCCCTTTACTCTCTCCACTTTTAAAATAAAATTTCTGTGGCATTTCCTCCATATACATTGAACACCATATTAGGTGTAGAGTTTTTGCTTTAACACTCAATTATCATTTAAGAAACTCATGAGAGGTTGGATAGTCTGTCATATTTGCCCTTATTTTTACTCATTTTTGATGCTCTTTCCTGTCTTAAGTTTCAACTTGTGAGCTATTGTGTCTGGCCTCATTCTTAAAGGATATTTTCACTGGATGTAGAATTCTGGGTTGACAGTTCTTTTTTTTTTTTTTTTCTGTACTTAAAAATTGCTTTCTACTTTCTTCCAGCTCCAGGGTTTCAGATTGAAAATGTTGGGCCAGGTGTGATAGCTGATGCCTATAATCCCAGCACTTTGGGAGGCTGAAGCAAGAGGATCACTTGAGCCCAGGAGTTCAAGACCAGCCTGGGCAACATAGGGAGACCCTGTCCCTACAAAAAATACAAAACTTAGTTGGGCATGGTGGCATGTGCCTGTGGTCCCAGCTGCTTGGGAGGCTGAGGCTAGAGGATCACTTGAGCCTGGGAGGTTGAGGCTGAAGTAAGCCATGATTGCACCAGTGCCCTCCAGACTAGGCCACAGAGTGAGACTCTGTCTCTGTCTAAGAAAAGAAAGGAAGAAAGAAAGAAAGAGGAAGGAAGGAAGGAAGGGGAAGGAAGGAAGGAAGGAAAAATAAGTTATTTAAATTGAGGCTCTGCAAGTAATGTGTTGTTTCTCTCTGATGCTTTCAAGACTTTTTTCTTTGTTTTTTTTTGTTTCCAGAAACTTAATTATTATGTGTCTTGGCATCAATGTCTTTGGGCTTACCATGTTTGGGAATCACTCAGATTCTTCAATCTGTAGATTTATGTCTTTTCCCAAATTTGAGACATTTCAGCCTTTATTTTTTCAGACACTTTTTCAGTGCCTCTCTCTCCTACTGGATCTCTGTTAACACAAATGTTAACCCTTTAGTTATTGTCTTATAGATCCCTGACATGCTGTAATTGTTCTCTTTTCTTACCTTTTTTTCTGCTGCTCACATTGGGTAAATTTTATTGATCTGTCTTCAGGTTCATTGATTTTATCCTCTTTTATGTCCACTATACTATTGAGCATATCCAGCAGGCTTTTTATTGTGGTTATCATATTTTTCAGTTCTCTAACTTGTATTTGGTTTCTTTTTGTAATTTTTGTTTCTTTGGTGAAATTTTCTATTTTTTTACTCCAAAAAAATCGCAATTGCTTGTTGAAGCATTTGATAGCTGCCCGAAAACCCTTGTTAGATAATACTCTATCTGATTTCTCTTGGTGTTAGTATCTGTTATTTTTTTCTTGTTTCTGTAGGATTTTTCCGATTCTTGGCATTTTTTTAATTGTATCCCAGATATTTTCTATATTATGAGACTGTGAATTCTATTTAATCTTTTTTAAATTTAATCCATTTAATCTTTTTTAAAATTGCAATTGCTTGTTGAGGCATTTGATAGTTGCCTGAAAACACTTGTTAGATAATACCCTATCTGATTTATCTTGGTGTTAGTGTCTGTTATTTTTTTTCTCATTTCTGTGGGATTTTTCTGATTCTTGGCATGTCAAGCATTTTTTAAATTGTATCCCAGATATTTTCTATATTATGAGACCATGAATCCTAGTTAACCTTTTTTAAGTGGGTATAGTGCCAGGGTCAGGTGGGTGTGTTTGTTCAGCTTCCTAATAGACTCCTCCAAACCATCCTGGTAAAAATGGGGCACTGACTCACACTGCATTGTTGCAGATGGGTGGGGTGAAAGTTCAAGTCCTTCTTCATCCCACAGTCATCTTCCTGGTCAAAGTGGGACGCTGACTCACACCACCTTGTTGCCTCTGAGTGTGACTATGTGACCAGCTCCCTGACTGGCTCCACTGCCTTCGGGGTTGTGGGGTGGGAGGGAAGGTAGGAAAGGTGGAAGGCTGACTCACACCACCTTGTTGCTATGAGTAGGAGTGGAGGGTCAGCTTGGCTCTGCATATTGTTGATATCAGGAAAGGGGAGAAGCAAAACATCAGCTACCCTTCCTTATGACACTCTATTCTGCCTTGTTGTTGCCAAGTGGAGGTGAAGGGTCAGCACCCAATGGACCTTCATGACAGGGCCTGGAGGGGTGAAGCCTCATTGTAACCAGCTCTGCCTTTTACTGCATTGTCAAATTTCATTGCTGCTGGGTGGGGGTGAAGGCTCAGCTCACTGTTTGACCCCACTGACACTACCCCTGTGGGGGAATCAGAGCACTGTCTGCTTCCAGGCAAGGCATGGAATCTCAGCTCCTCCTGCCACCCACTTCTGCCAGGCAGAGGATGCAAGATTAGCTCTGTGCTCGGCCCTGCCAATACCACCAGATTGGGAAATCAGAGTTCCCTTGCTTGCTTCCACAGGGTAGAGGGTAGTACAGCTTTTCTGTTGGTGTTTGGCTGGTGTAGGGCTGATATTGCTAAAAGCTTTTCTATTCATAGCCCATCCATTCCAAGACCTTTGGCTAAAGAGAACACACTTTTCTTAAGGCTTTTGTTTCATTGTCTGTGCCTATTGGTAGTTCTGGGTTGGAGGTTTCTGTAGTGCCCTGTCCATGGCATATGAGAAGCAGAAGGAAACAGAGAACTCATCACCCTGCAGTTCATCAACTCTTGATGTCTCTGGACAGCCCATCTTCTTCCATGTATCTTTTCAGAGTTTTGCTATGCTTGTTTATTGTTTTGTTTCCAAAGATTTCTATGTGTAGTAGGAAGGACTTTTATTTTTTATGTCGTTAGTTTTTCTGAACTTTCAGAAAGAGATGTGAAGGTTTCTGAATTTTCTGAAAGAGGTGTGAAAAGCCTTTCAAACTTCACAGAGCTCCCTTCTATTGGTTGTGTCTAGGGCTCAAAAATATGTCAACTTGGCTTTCTGAGATGTTCTGCCTTTATTCTCCTCCGTCCCTTTAGTCTAAACCTTCTCTCTCTGTCACCTTTGTTGTCCCTATCCTGCTTGATTTTCATTCCACTAGAAGCAGTCTCTCTTCAGTGTAGGTCCCTGCCCTAAAAGGGATCCCTGGCAGGTGATTTCAGAGGAGCTACACTGCTCCATCCCCTTCAGCTTATCTTACACAAGCCCCTTGAGCCCTACTGGTATTGGAGAAAACAAACCCCTCCTTTTAGAGCTGCTGTTCTGGAATCATCCCACCAATGCTTTCCTTGCTTCCTCCTACACAAGATGTCACTTGTAGTCAGGTGGCTTGTCTCCACACCCCATATTTTGGGATTCATGAAAACATCCTGTCACCATGTTTTTAAAAAATATATTGTCCTTGGTGTTTCGTGTTTAGTTTTGTTTCGATGTCTAGCTGCTTTGTCTTTCCTTTTTTTAATGTGGCAATGCAAAGAAACTAAACAACTTTACTGCAACTGTTGTCTTGCAGAATTCTGTCTTTTCATTCTTCATCTCCTATTGTCCATTCTTCTCATGACAGCCAGTGTGGTGTCTTCTCTGCATTGTTCCTTCATGAACAAGGTAACATCACTAGTTTTCATGGATTATCCAAATCAAAGAGAGAATTCTCGTTTTAAGTCACTGACACATTTAAACCACCCCTCCTACAAGTTCAGCAATGATAATTAAGGTGAAGAAAAACTTCAGCTAGTCTTTTGAGGCCACAGTGTCCAAGGACAAGATGTACTTTTTAAATTTGAAATTTCTATAATGGCATTGACATTTTACAATAAGACGTAACTAAAATATGTAAGCATGCAGTTAAAACAATCATGGAATGCTCTTGCTACATGACTGAGACCAAGAGATTGATTCTTTCCTACTGATGCTTTCAGGAATATTTTCAATTAGAGGCTTGATATTTCCATAGTTTACAGTGATTAGAGATTAAAATGTATAATACTATCACCTTTTTAAATAAAATGGGAGTACATTTATAATAAATTAATATAATCTCTGTAATTTGCTAATTTACAATGGAAAAGAGAATCAAAAGATAATTCAAAATACCTGATTAAAGGAAGCCTACTATTTTAAAAAAGAAATGCCTAATTTTTTATTGGTGCTCAAACTTAAAAGGAATTTATCATATGAAATATGCAAAAGGAAATAATGCGAAATGTACTGGCCAATGGCTGCTAATATGGCTTTATGGTGAATCATAGTAGACATGTATGCTCGACCTCCAAATAACTAAAGCTGCTTCTGTCCAATATCTCAGAAAGTCATTTTTATTTTAAAAATGCAGATCTAGTAACTTTTCTCATAACCTTTAACATCCCTTTTTCACAGAGACTGTCTTAATGAATTTAGGCCTTTTTTGGTGAACACATTCTTTAGTCACCTCAATCTATATAAATATTAAATAGTTAACTATTGAAAGCCTGAACACTTGTATTAAAAATATTATTTCCTAATATTATTTTTTAGATTTCTGATTATATGTTATTACAATGAGTATACACACACACACACACACACACACACACACTCATACTTCCAAAATAGTTCATTTTATACAATCCAAGCTCTTGTGTAAATTAACAAGGAAGGCTTAACATTTATGTGGAAATGCAGAAGACGTAAATAACCAAAACAACTTTATGAAATAAAACAAAGCTAGAGGATTTACATTTTATTTAAATAATTAATATAAAACTACAGTATTTACGATAGTGTGATATTGGCATAAGAATGGACATATAAATAAATGGAGGAGAATATGAAGTCCAGAAACAGAAAATGAACATTTATGGTCTGAACAACTGATTTTCTACAGAGGTGCCAAGATACCTCAGCAAGGGAAGGATAGTCTTTTCCATAAATAATGATGGAACAATTAGATATTTGTAGAGGAAAAAAAGTTCAAGCCTTACTACATGTTCCATATCATACACAAAAATTAACACAAAATGGATTATAGTCTTTAATTTTTTTCCATTGGTTTATGCAACTTTATTGAAGAAAAGTAAATCAATTACCAGCAGAGCTATTGGTTGATCACTCATCCATTCACAATTTGTATCATTTACAACATAATATCTATTGGATGCACCTAAAGCTGTGCTTATAAGAAATTTAGAACATTAAATGTTTATATTAGAAAAGGAAAAGTCTCAAATTAACAATGTAAGTTTCTACCACAAGACAGAAAAAGGGAAGCAAAATAAACTAAAAGCTAGAAGAAGAAAGGAAATGATAAAGATAAGAGGAATCAAGAAAATTGAAAACATAAAAACAAAAGAGGAAATCAACCCAAAAGTTGTGGGGGGTTTTGGAAGAGATAAATAAAATTGATAAACATCTAGCAAGATTGACAAAGATGAAGAGAAGATGTAAATTACCAACGTTAGGCAGAAAACAGGGGTTCTAACTATAGAACCTACAGACATTAAAAGCTTAATAAGTGAATAATATGAACAAGTCTATCCAAAATTCAATAACTTAAATGTTCTAATTGCTTGAAAAACACGAAGAAGACTCACCAACTATAAAATAGATAATTTAAGTAGTTTTATATTAAAGAAATGGAATTCATAGTTTAAAACATGCTGAAAAGGAAATCTCCAGGCATAGATGTCTTCCTTGGGTAATTATACCAAACTTTTAAAGATGAAATGACATCAGTTTTACATAAATTATTCCAGAAAACAAAAGTGGAGAGAACACTTCCCAGCTTATTTTACAAAGCCAACATTATGCTGATATCAAAGCCAAAGACAGTACAAAGAAGGAAAACTATAGACCAATTCTTCTTCTGAACATGGACACAAAGTTTACAACAAATATCAGTAAATCATAGCTATTAATACATAAAAAGAAAGATACACTACAACTAGGTGTGGTTTATTCAGCAAATGCAAGGCTGGTTCAATATTTGAAAATCAACCAATGTTATCTGCAATTTTGACAGACTAAAGAAAAAATAAAACACCACAGGATCATATCAGTTGATGCGGCAAAAGCATTTGACCAGATCAAACATCCATTTATAATAATAACTCTCAGAAAACTAGAGCTAGAAGAAAACTTTCTCAACCTAAAAAACGAGGAACCACAAATTAACTAAAGCTAGCATCACACTTGATGGCTAAAGTCTCAATGCTTTTCCCCTAAAATCAGGACCAAGGCAAGTGTGTCTGATCTCCCCACTGCTATTCAACATAGTACTGGGAATCCTGGCCATTACAATAATGTAAGAAAAGAAAAGCTATACAAATTGGAAAGAAAAAATAAATCTATCCTTATTTGCAGATTGCATGGTTGTCTAGATAGAAAATCCCAAGGAATCTAAAAAAAAAAAATCTTAAAACTAATAAGTGGGTTTAGCAGGATCACAAAATGCAAAGCCAACACATAAATATCAACCATATTACGTATTAGCCAAAAACAATTGGAAACTGAAATAAAAAACATAATGTTATTTACAGTTGCTCCAAAAAAGCTCCCCACTACTATTCAACATAGTACTGGGAATCCTGGCCATTACAGTAATGTAAGAAAAGAAAAGGCATACAAATTGGAAAGGAAAAAATAAGTCTATCCTTATTTACAGATTGCATGTTTGTCTACACAGAAAATCCCAAGGAATCTACAAAAAACAAAAAAAAATCCTAAAACGAATAAGTGAGTTAAGCAAGATCACAGAATGCAAAGTCAACACATAAATATCAACCATACTACATATTAGCTAAAAACAGTTGGAAACTGAAATTAAACATAAGCTTATTACAATTGCTCCAAAAGAGCGAAACAAATCTAACAATGTTCCTCTTTTTAAGGCCATAGCTCTTGTTGGGATGGTCTTTTTTGCCAGGCTCTGGTAACATTTCCTTCCCCTCACATCAACCCTGGCGGTGATAATGACTTCACTGTCACTAGTCACAGGGCGTCTCACCAACTCTGCCCAGGCTTTGTAAAAGTCCCTTTTATTAGATGCCTTTAAGTGTCCCATTGTTTCTTTTTTTGTTTGTTTTTGAGACGGAGTCTTGCTCTGTCGCCCAGGCTGGAGTGCAGTGGCGCGATCTGGGCTCACCGCAAGCTCTGCCTTCTGGGTTCACGCCATTCTCCTGCCTCAGCCTCCCGAGTAGCTGGGACTACAGGCGCCCGCCACCAGGCACGGCTAATTTTTTGTTGTTGTTGTTTTTGTTTTTTTAGTGGAGACAGGGTTTCACCGTGTTAGCCAGGATGGTCTCGATCTCTTGACCTCGTGATCTGCCCGCCTAAGCCTCCCAAAGTGCTGGGATTATAGGCGTGAGCCACTGCGCCCGGCCTAAGTATCCCATTGTTTCTTAACAATTGACTATGCCAAAGTGAGGATTTTTATCTCTTTTATTCCTTGTTATTATGCCAGCATCTACAATGATGCCTGTCACACAGCAGGTTTTCAATAAGTGTCTGTTGAATGAATATATGTTTGGACCACTTTCTTTCCATTAAAACATGAATAGTAATTCTTTAAGCATTGTGTTTTTCTTTTTTTAAAAGAAATTTATGGTGCACCATTTGATGTTTAACCTTAAGCATTTCTATAAATCGGTTACCAAAAATGCTTGCTATCTGGTGTTGGAGTGGATGTGAGGAAACAGCATAAACTGATACAAGCCTCTTTGAGGACTCCCTGTTAGCATCTGTTACATGTTCATTTGTACACATTTTAACTGCACAATTCTATCATTTTGGCTCTTGTGCAAAGAAATAATCTCACAAATATCAAAAGATGCATGAACAATGCTATTTGCCACATATTATTTATAATAGTGAAAACTGGAAACAAACATCCATCACAAAGAATTGATTAAATAAACATGATATTCCCTACAATGTAGTTAAGGAACAGAAAGATTTCCTTCTCTATAGCCTGATCAGATAACTCGATTAGGAGACAATTTTACATGTTAAAAGAAAATTGTAAAGAAGTTGTAACCATGTTTTTAAAAATGCATTGTTTGCTGTAGCCTAAAGTGCAGAGTTAGGCATCAGTGGACAATTGGTCGTACTTGGGAGGTGGGCTGGATATTAGGAGGGGGAGCTACATTATAGCTTTATGCACTGCTATAATCAAATTTGCAGTGTCTAAATTTTTTAAAGAAACGTTTAAATGTATTTACTTTAAATAATAAGCAAGGGAGTCCGGACGCGGTGGCTCACGCCTGTAATCCCAGCACTTTGGGAGGCCAAGACAGGCGGATCACCTGAGGTCAGGAGTTGGAGACCAGACTGGCCAACATGGTGAAACCCTGTCTCTACTAAAAATACAAACAATTAGCCGGGCGTGGTGGCGCGCGCCTGTAATCCTAGCCACTGGGGAGGCTAAGGCAGGAGAATCTCTTGAACCCGGGAAGCAGAGGTTGCAGTGAGCTGAGATCGCAGCATTGCACTCCAGCTTGGGCAACAAGAGCGAAACTAGGCTTAACAGCCTTTTTCAGTACAGAACTTAAGGAGAATAAAATAACAAGTTAACAAGTTGCCAAGTTGCCAAGCTTACTACAAAGCGAACAAATATGGTTGGGTTGACTGTTTATTATACTGTTACCTTTAGTCTTTACGAGTTCAAGGATTTTTATATGGAAGACTGTATTTAATAAAACAGAAGCAGGGTATTTGAGTATTAATAAGCCAATTAAGTTGTTTATAGAAAATATATTTTTTTGTCCTTCCCCCCAAAAAGCACACATGATACCGAGTAAGCTTCATTTTTGCACAGACGGAAAATTCCGTCTGATGAAGAGGCACATCCACCGGGAACGACCCCAGGCAGGGAGACCAGTTTCTTTCCCGCTGTCCCGGGACTTTGCCGGGAAATTGCTTCAAGACCGCGGACCGCAAGGAACGGACCCCGCCCGAACCCCAGCCCACGGGGCCCCCAGATCTCGCGGAGCGAAGCCTGAGGACGCGCTCGGACGCGGGCCTATGGGGAAGCCCCCAGTCTTGGCGGAGCCAGGCGGGAGACGCGCGGAGGAAGCGGCGCGGCAGGGCGCTCGCTGCAGCCCCCTCTGCCAGGTACCCCCAGGAGGCTGGAGCCACGCGGGTCCGGGGGCGGCTTCGCCCCGCTAAGCACCCCGAAGCCGGGCTCCTGGGTGCCCCGCCAAGATTCAGAGGTCAGGGCCTCTACGTCTGGGCGCGTCCCCTGTCCCTGCGCAGCGGCATCTGGGGGTGTTCCTTCGCCCGCGGCCCCCAGGAAAGTTGCTGGGAAGCAAAGCTTCACGGGTGTGTTCACGGGGATCGCACTGACTTTGTGACCAACCCTTGGGTGAATAGGTGCCACTATTTAAATTTATCATCTCACGGAAGAAATTATTGATGTTACGGAATAATATTGAGCAGATACATGCTCAATATGTATAATTTAGTAAAAAGATGTTCCTATGATATTATGACCGTATTTCCCTGGTTTGGTTAAAAAAATCAACAGGTGCTCATGTAAAGTTTAAGTAGGGACATCTCTGGGAGATCCATGATTTGCCTGATAGCCATTTTTTTTTCTTTTTTCTTTTCTTCTTCTTCTTTTTTTTTTTTTTTTTTTTTTTTTTTTTTGAGTCGGAGTTCCGAGTTCAAGCAATTCTCCTGCCTCAGCCTCCGGAGTAGCTGGGACTGCAGGCGCCCGCCACCACACCCCGCTAATTTTTTGTATTTTAGTAGAGACGTGGTTTCACCGTGTTGCACAGGCTGGTCGCGAACTTCTGAACTCAGGCAATCCGCCCGCCTCGGCCTCCCAAAGTGTTGGGATTACAGGCGTGAGCCACAGCGCCCGGCCATAGCCATTTTTTTCTTATTTTGCGTTGTGCGTATTTTTTGGTTTTTGTTTCTTTTGTTCCCCTTTCCTGAAACCCTGTTGGTCAGGGTCACAGGTACTATTCTTTTATAGTAATGCTGTGCTCCGTGTGCAAGTATTTCATTCACATTTCACAGCCTTATTCCCAAGACATATTTGTATGTACCTTAACGTCTAGGGGCTGCTTTGAGTTGAAAAGGCAAACTGATGGAGGGAGGATCCTTGTTTTTCTTTCTTTCTTCCTTTGTATTGAAAAATGTTTAAGCACACAGAAACGTAGGAAACGGTAAAATGAGCATCTATCTATAGCCATGCATGTCCTTGATTTAAGAAAAGTTAACCTTTTGCCATATTCGCTTTGTTAGTTTTTGCTGAAAAATTGTAAAGTGAATTAACTATCCTTTCAATGTTAAATGCTTCCCTGTGCATGTCTTTATAAAAACTAGTATTTTCCAATATAACTCCACTTAACAGTTAAGAATAACGGCAATGTTCTTTAATATTTATAATTGCCAGTACACATTCACATTTCCCAAATTGTTTCCAACGTGTTTGGCAGCTGTTTTTTCCAATCGGGATTTGATGGAGGACCACGCACCGTATTCGGCAGCAAAGTTCAAATTTAACCCATAACCTCTAGGGGCTCTGGCAGAACCTGGCCAGGCGAGGCAGTCAGGAACATCTTCCAATCATCCAATAGAGAAAACGCTGCGAAGTAAGTCGTGGCGTGGAGGTTTCTGGGAAACGTAGTCTTAAATCCGAATGGCTCGCGCGCCACACTCTAGGAAAGGGTCTTCTGGATGACGTCTGCGCATGTGCAAGCTTAGCTCGCTGCTTCACGCCTAGCTAAGGCTGAGAGGTGGTCCCGGGGCCCTTGGGTGTCGCGGGCGGGGAAGGTGCTCACCTGAAGTGGGACGCGGGGAAACCAGGTCTCCCCACAGCCTGTCAACTTCTAGTGAGAATGGGGCTTGTGATTCAGAGGGTGAGAACGGGAAGCCCGGGGGGACCCCAGGATCGACCCCCTCACGCTAGAGGTCCCGGGGACGCAGGTGGAGCTGCGCCCCCTTTAGGAACAGGTGTTCAGTGCGAACCTTGGGGAAAGCGCATGCCCGCGGCGGCAGAGGAGAGCCCGTTTATAAACGTTGACCAAAGTGCCAGAACTCGTGGGCGCTGTGTCTGTGGCAAGACCCCGAGCTGTGGAGACCGAAAGAGCTGCATAAATTCCAGCTTTATTACCTGTAAGCGGGGGGCGAGGGCGGGAACCGGGTAAGAGGTTTCTCGCCTGAAAATGAGGGTGTTAATGCCTGCTTCATGGCGTTGTTTTGAAACTTAGGTAAATCATACACTTGGCTGTAAAGCAAACAGCCAAGTGCAGTTACTAAACCCTGAGTAAGTGACAGCTGCTATTGTATTTAGAAGACACTTTGTTCTTTTCATTGGATGACTCACCTAAACCTCACAAGTACTCTATGAGGCCGGCATAACCGTCTGCATTAAAAATAACAACCGAGGTTCAGGTTGGAGGAACAGTGCGCCCACGTCACAAGCTAGCAGTGAGGAAATTTAGGTTCAAGGGCAGGTGTGATTTATTTCCGGTCTCAGGTGCTGTCGAATATCACACCTGCCTAAAACCAGCCCTGCGGTCTTTACAGCACTGAGCAAAGTGACATGACCCAAAATACACAGGGAAATAATGGGAAGTGAATGTGGGTAGAACCTTACCTTGTGTCAGATATATTTTAGGCTTTCTGGTAGTGTCTGGTCAGATCCGTTGGGTCACACGAAGGCGCCTAGCCACTCTGGCACTACCAAGCTGTCTATGTTTTCAGTCCAATGTATTGAATTCCAGAGGGCCAGGTTTGTGTCCCTAAAATTTGTTTCCCAGGCCCTGGTCCCAGCTCCCAAGAAATAATTTCACTGTAGAGCAAAGCAGCTCTTGTGAATTAGGAAGCAGGGGGCCACTGGGAACAGGAATCTTTCCTAGAAAGAGAACACCCCTCTGACCTTACCACTCTCCAGAGCTTCCCAGCAGAGGCAGAAAAGCCCAGACAGGACGGAGCATAGCCAGAAACAGTGCTTGATCCACCCGCCAGAATGAGCTGGATCTGGTGATGTCATTATCTCCAGAAACCACTAGAGTCTGTGACAGTGGAATGCCTGGACCAGCTTTGAGAAGACCAAGGGGAGACAGGAGGCCACTTCAAAGGAGAGCTTGTGGGGAGGTCTAGGGGTAAGAGGTAAGCAGGCAGAGGGTGGAAATCCTGTTTCCTCCATCTCTAAACAACTCCCACTCTTGAAAGACACTGCACTGCTCTCACACCTGTCCATAACCACGTGACACTAGTCACGCTAGTCTTGATATCTTAACCTCACAGAATTCCACCGTGATGGTTCACGAAAGGTGTTTATGGTCATCTACTTGTGACTCATTTGAAACCATTAAGAGATTGGACCTCAGAGTGTCCATGAATTATCCAGACCCACTTAGTTTGTGTCAGATCCACGAGTCAAACACAGTGCCATTTAGTCCGTCACAGGTCCAGGTCATCCATGTTTTAGTAGCTTGTTCTTTTGTATTGATGGGTAGTGATCTATTGTCTTTTCCTTGTAATGAAGAGGTAAAAGTTTTAGTTCACACAATACCAGAGTTAAAAATTTCACTGGTGTCTGTATTACAAAAGTGGAAATAACCCTAAAAATGAAAGTAAATTTGAGCTTTGGTAGTCAGATAATCTTTTTCATAGTCTTGTGTTAGACAACAAATCTTTCCCAGATATCAAACTCTAAGAAAACTGCCATAGTTACCACCCTACTAGAAACTTAGTTTCCATACCCCAAACATTTGTCAGAGAACCTGCCCACTTTCAGTCACGTTTATATTCTTATTCTAAATTGACCCAATTTTCCATGTATCAAAATGACTGTATTGCCTTCTAGAATTCAAGCCAAAGGGGAGAGCAATGTTAGTGGTCCTTATTCTACTGACTTACTCTTTTGTGTGTGTGTGTGAGACAAGGTCTCGCTCTGTCACCCAGGGTGGAGCGCAGGCATGCTCACTGCTCACTGCAACGTCTGCCTCCCAGGCTCAAGCGACTTTCATGAATCAGCCTCCCAAGGAGCTAGGAACATCGGCAGATGCCACCAAGCTTGGCTAATTTTTGTATTTTTAGTAGAGATGGGGTTTTGCTACCTTGGCCAGGCTGGTGTTGAACTGCTGGACTCAAGTAATCTGCCCACCTCACCCTCCCAAAGTGCTGGCATTACAGGCATGAGCCACCACACCTGGCCCTGACTTACTCTTGAAGTCATGGATTTATGTCCAGTGCCCCTCTCCCAAACTAGTTTTTTAAACCTTTGACCACTCATGTATGTCAGGATCTCTACTTAGTTATTGCATATTACATGGTGCAAAGCATCTTATAAACAGGGATTCATGATAGACTTTTTCTTCTAAATCAGATCACTGATTCTAGTCTGCAGTTTATCAAGATGAGGTGATGAGTTATTTAAAGATTTTACCTTAGGTACTAAAGAATTAAAGTAGATGAAAATATACCAATATTATTAGGATTTAGTGAGAATCACTGAAGCTAAGTGGCTAGACTCTTAGTTCTAAAAAAAAAAAACTAACAGTGATTTGATATATTTTTAACTAAAAGGTAAGCTTGAAAGCAGTGTGCTAAAGTCAAATTATGTGGTCTGAGCCACCCTCTGTACAACAACTTTAATTCTACTTTCTGTACTTCCACTTTTTTTCTGTGTAACTGTTTGAAAACCTCAAACACCCTTGTTCTAATTCTACACTATTCCTGGGAATCCTTTCTCTTTGGTGTATTGACCTAATTTTATATTCTAACATGCTTTTTCCTCTCAGACACAATAACCAACTATTCAAAGATGCCATCTAATACGCTATGCCACTAAGTATTGTGGCCAGAGAGTGATTTTAAGTGTAATAAATTATCTTAAAATTGAAAAGAGCTTAAGCCAGAAAAAACAAATATTATGTCTTACATAGAGGCATGGATTAAACCAATTTGTGAATAGTCCAGGCAACTTATAAAAATGCTTTAAGACATATCAAGACTGACTTGAATCATTTAAGTTACGCAGAGATGTAACACTATGTGAATAGAAGAGTTAAAAACATACTAGTCACAATTTTTTTTTTTTTTGAGACAGAGTCTCACTCTGTCGCCCAGGCTGGAGTGCAGTGGCGCGATCTTGGCTCACTGCAACCTCCGCCCCTCAGGTTCAAGCAATTCTCCTGCCTCAGCCTCCAAAGTAGCTGGGATTACAGGTGTGTGCCACCACACCCAGCTAATTTCTGTATTTTTAGTAGAGATGAGGTTTCACCACGTTGACCAGGCTGGTCTTGAACTCCCGACCTTCTGAACTACCTGCCTTGGCCTCCCAAAGTGCTAGGATTACAGGTGTGAGCCACTGTGCTCGGCCCACTAGTCACATTTTAATTAAAAGTTTATTAGGTTTTCTTTTAATGTAAACATGAGAAATAAAAACCACATAAATTGTAGCATTTACCTTTTGAAAATAAAACTGCAGTCAATACTTCAATCTCTAAGCTCTGCACTCCATAAATGATAATTTTTTTAGGAGGTAAGGTTCCTAAGGTTTATGGACATAAAATATGATACCTGCCTCCAGGTTAACATGCGGGATAATAAAATGTATTAGATCATCTACTACTATTAAGGTCCAGTTCCTTCAAATTTGTTACATGTGCATTAAAACTGATCCTATTCTGTATCACATCTAGAGAAAATAATTTTGGGTGATCAATGCAGATGAAAGCCCTGCAAAGAACTACTTCAAAAGAGAAAAGGGCACTTTATAAAAATACAACAATTCCAAAAGGCTTAGTGTAATTTTAAGCTTTGATACTTGTAGAAGTATCAATGCTACAAATATTTACAAAGCATCACTGAAAGGTTTGTTATATTTCTTTTACCTTTATTTAGTTTTGCCATTTTTTAGAGTGACAGGGTCTCAGTATGTTGCCAAGGCTGGAGTGCAATGGCTATTTCCAGGCACAATCACAGCGCACTGCAGCCTCCAATGCTAGGCCTCAAGTGATCCTGCCATTTAAGCCTTATGAGTAGCTGGGACTACAGGCATGCCTAGCTCCTGAATATTAACCTTTAATTTTTTGTTTCAGTCCTTCTTGACGATAGCAGATATTGATGAGACAAAAAGTTAAATGCTTAATATTCAAATTCTGCAAAATGAAGCCAGAGGTGGTGGTACACACCTATAGTCCCAGCTGCTTGGTAGGCTGACATGGGAGGATTGCTTGAGGCCAGGATTTCCAGGCTGTGGTATGCTATGACTGTGCCTCTGAATAATCATTGCACTGTACATTGGGTAACATACTGAGACAACATCTATTTAAAAAAAAAAAGAAGAAATACAATTAAAATTTCAAATTATATTTTGTAAAGGTTTATAGCCTGCATATGTATGCTTCAGTGCTCTGGAGGGCACAAGCATACTATGTTAAAGCTAAAAACTGTCCTGAAACTTTCAGGACACCTCATGTTTTATCATTTTTTATTACCACTGGATCACCATGTTGCTTGGCACTATGAAAACATCTTTTAATACCTTTATTTAAAAAATAAGAAAATTTATCAGCAAATGAGAACCATTATAGTTCACAAGAAATACACCACAGACCCTAATAAAAGTAGATAATCAATAACCAATATTTTCTCTTTTTATGACCCCAAACATGCTAACTGCTAATAAGAAGTGCTTACAGAGGATATGAATGGCAAATGTTATCCAGAAGCTTTTGCTTAAAATGATTGCCAGTAACTAGTAGCTTCGATTCTAAGAGTAGGAAGGAAGAGCCCCTTCAGTACCTGACAATGCTGCATCTGCTCCTAGTGGCTTTATGAGTTGTTAAGAGTCCTATGTTTTAATGGTAATATGATGCTAAATGCATATGCAGCAATATTGGGGGAAAGAAAAATATAAAAGAAACAGAAAAGTTATCTTTAAAATCTAAAAATTTAAACCATTGTTTTAAACCCTTACATAGTTCACTGCTATCAGCTCACATAGGAGCCTTCACTTTGGAGTGGTTTTTATAACTCTCTTTACATTAAAAGGGACAGAAGAGTGTAAGAGTGTGTTGTTGCATTGACAAGGTCCCATTCTTTTCTATGAAGTGCAATCCTAGTTGTCCTTGAGTTAACTTGAATTGTAGGTGTTTCTTCTTTTGAAAGTACTTTTCTAGTTCTTCAGCAGGAAAGGTGATATTTTCCTGTCTTTTTTGATGAGGGGTTCAGATGTTATATAACCCCTCACTTCTTCCTTCAGGAGAGGATGGCCTTAAGGCACTGAAGATCAATTAAATCATCAGAACTCAAAGACCTTTTCCTTTTGTTGGCAGTACCATAGAAGTCTTTGTCTTCCAACCTTGAAACAACCTAAGAAAGACAATCAAATAGAAAAGAGGTACAATTTCAAAAAGGATTCCAACCTGTAACAATCACCATTGATGATAAGCCACACATGCAGACTCCCTTAGATAGTTCAGTAACAGCTATTTTGGCTGAGGTTTACAATGCCAAGTTCTGTCAACTCTCTAAGGTAGTCTCCTTTAAGGGCTATAATTAGATTGCTGGAGCAAAGGGGGAACTTGTTTTATTAAGTTATTTAAAAATTGGGCTCCTAAAGATGTCACAGTATTGTGACAGTCTTCTAACAGCAGTATCATCTGTTACCTGTGCACTTGTTCCTTAAACATAATGAATGCACACTTTTGCAAAAGTTAGTTTATGAATGTATTCAAATTCTACCCAATCTGTAGTAGTTATTATATACTCAAAGCAAATTTTAATGAAGCAGGTATGTGCTGGACTGCATTGGAATGTCAAATAAGTCTAATGACTAAAGCATCAAAAGGTGTTACTTCACTTGGACATTAATTATGGTAGAAAATGTATTATTTCAAAATACTTCCCAGCTACTACCGAAAATGCCTATTTTAAATGTTCATCCATGTCAGTTGTGAGTAATTTTGCTGTGTACTCACCGAAAGTCACAAACCATAAATATTACTTTGCCCCATAAAAGTTATCATTTCCGGTAGAATCCCATGTACTTCCTGCATCCAGTACTTGAGACACACATACCTTATACAGTCTAAGTGCAGGTCTCTTGGCTTAGGCACTAATGCTTTGTCTAACAAACTCATGGGACTCACTGCACTGTGGTATATTACAGTAGAAAATGATATAAATTTGCAAACTAAATGATAACAAATAGTAAAGAATGTTAAGTGCATTATATATGTAGATATTAGGAATACAACTGCAAGAAATCACTTATGTATGATTATTTGAAAGGGTAGCAGTTCAAAAGGAAAACCATTAAGGATGAATTAAACTTGATTAAAATATTCTGAATTATGGTTACAGAAGAGATGATATCTATAACTTTTAAATAATGTGAATCTTTGTATAAACCATAAACTACATGCCAAAAAGGTTAATAAGCTCTTCAGTATGTTAATTTTGAAGCTTTTCATTTTTCTAATCACTTCTTAATATGATCTAGTTGCAGATGTTGGCATTGGTGTTTGACTGAAAGCCCACTTAGTACCTTCATAGCCTTACCTTCAGTTCCCATGCTCTTTCTATGTCAAGAAGACAAAATGGCAAATATAGGCTACTGTCGTGTGCCAAGGCGCAAAGGTCAAAGTAGCATTTGGTATAAACACTGCCAGGAACATCGACATCATTATTAATGAAGTGGGAGAACTGGTTTCCCAACTCAAGCCTGGGGAAGGAGAAACACAACAAAACCAACACAGGACAATGTTAGTCAACTGGGCTATCTTCAAAAACATTATTCTCATGTAAGAAATGTGGTAAAGCCGTCATATGCTCTAGTTTATTAGAACACATAAAAGAACTCACACTGTACAGAACCCTATCGATGAAAGAAACACAAGAAAGCATTCAACTTTCCCAGTTCTCTTTGAAAACTTAGAAAAACTTGTATTGGAAAAAATAATGAATGTAAAAAACGTGTTAATGAACTTGATTTTCCCACATCTTTTCAAAGGCATAGTTGAATTTTAATACGTAGAAAAACTACATAATCTTAAGAAACATAGTCAAGCCTTCAGCTTTTTCATTTCTTTGAAAACATGAAAGGATTCAAGGGAGAAAACCCTTATAAATACAAACATGTGGTAGGGTCGTCAGTTGTTCCAGTTCCACATGAAGACAAGAACTCGTTTCTGAAATAAAACCTATGAATGTATAGAATGCAGAAATGCCTTCATTTACGTGATATTTGCTCCAAGACCTATGATAACACACATTGTAGACTGGCCTTATAAATATAAGAAAGCACACTGGATTGGAACTCCAGTAGACTACAAAATACAGGAAAGTTTTCAGTTTTAATGATTTCTTCAAAATTTATGTGAAAACTCCCCCTACAGGGAAATCCTATCAGTATTCCTAAATTGGAAAGCCTGATGCAAATTGATTATTGTATAATCTTCAAAAATGCACATAAGTAAATCTTATACTACTTATGAATATTTTGTGTTTCTCAGCGATTCTTTGAGAGAGTCTCTCTACTTATTTCCACTTCTTTTGCAAGAAAACATCGAGGTTAGAATTTTGTAGATACTCTCTAAACAATACTATATGAGTTTAATAGGCAGTGTTTTTTTGTTAAGTCAGTTAATAAAATTTTTCTCCATTTATTTAAAAATATCACAGTGAGCTACTAGAATGGCTCTAAATTCTGCTTTGAAACAAATGAAGGCTATGCAGTTGGATTCCTACACTAATGTCCAAACAGGACACAGCTGCTTGCAGTCCATTCTGCATCCAGCACCCCAAGTTTGGGACAAGCAGAAAGGTGACAGCCTCTAATGCACCCATGCTGATGATATAGGGCTCATTCTTCAGAGTTCCCTTAGTGCAGCTGCACAACTCAGACTCCATGCTCACTCACAGAGCACCACAATAGTGATCAGATGAGAGAAACGGTGGATGCCATTTACTAGTCGTCACTATTACAGGGCAGTAAAACTCTTTAAACTTAGGAAAGCGGAAAGATCAAAGAGAGACATCTTGGCTAGACTAAACCCGTTTTATGATATGCCTTTTGGTAGGGTGTTGGACTTGCACAGTGTATTAGTCTGTTTTCATGCTGCTGATAAAGCATTTATGCTGATAAAGCATAAATACCCGAGACAGGGCAATTTACAAAAGAAAGAGGTTTACTGGATTCACAGTTCCACATGGCTGGGGAGGCCTCACAATCACGGCAGAAGGCAAGAAGGAGCAAGTCATGTCTTATGTGGATGGCAGCAGGCAGAGAAAAGCTTGTATAGGGAAACTCCTTATAATACTGTCAGATCTCATGAGACTTATTCACTATCACAAGAACAGCATGGGAAAGACCTGCCTCTATTATTCAATTACTTCCCACCAGGTCCCTCCCACAACACGTGGAAATTCAAGATGAGATTTGGGTGTGAACACAGCCAAACCATATCATTCTGTCCTGGTCCCTCCCAAATCTCATGTCCTCACATTTCAAAACCAATCATGCCTTCCCAACAGTTCCCTAAAGTCTTAACTCATTTCAGCATTAACTCACAAGTCCACAGTCCAAAGTCTCATCTGAGACAAGGCAAGTCCCTTCTGCCTATCAGCCTGTAAAATCCAAAGCAAATTAGTTACTTCCTAGATACAATGGGGGTACAGGCATTGGATAAATACAGTCATTCCAAATGGGAGAAATTGGCCAAAACAAAGGGGCTACAGGCCCCAGGCAAGTCCGAAATCCAGCAGGGCAGTCAAATCTTAAAGCTCCAGAGTGATCTCCTTTGACTCCATGTCTCACATCCAGGTCTTGCTGATGCAAGACATGGGTTCCCATGGTTTGGGCAGCTCTGCCCTTGTGGCTTTGCAGGGTATAACCCCCCCTCCTAGCTGCCTTCATGGGCTGGCATTGAGTGGGGTTTTTCCAGGCACACGGTGCAGGCTGTCAGTGGATCTACCATTCTGGGGTCTGAAGGATGGTGGCCCTCTTCTCATAGCTCCACAAGGCGGTGCCCAGGTAGCGACTCTGTATGGGGGCTCCGACCCCACATTTCCCTTCCACACTGCCCTAGCAGAGGTTCTCCATGAGGGCCCCACCCCAGCAGCAAACTTTTGCTTGGTCATCCAGGCCTTTCCATACATCTTCTGAAATCTAGGTGGAGGTTCCCAAACTTCAATTCTTGACTTCTGTGCACCTGCAGGCTCGACACCACATAAAAGCTTCCAAGGCTTGGGGCTTCCACCCTCTGAAGCAACAGCCCAAGCTGTATTTTGGCCCCTTTTAGTCATGGCAGGAGCAGCTGGGACACAGGGCGCCAAGTTCCTAGACTGCACACAGCTGAGGAACCCCGGGCACAGCCCACAAAACAATTTTTCCTCTTAAACCTCCAGGCCTGTGATGGGAGGGGCTGCCACAAAGGTCTCTGACATGCCCTGGAGACATTTTCCCTGTTGTCTTGGTGACTTACATTTGGCTCCTCATTACTTATGCAAATTTCTGCAGGTGGCTTGAATTTCTCCTCAGAAAATGGGATTTTCTTTTCTATCACATTGTCAGGCTGCAAATTTTCCAAACTTTTATGCTCTGTGTCCCTTTTAAAACAGAATGCCTTTAGCAACACCCAAGACACATCTTGAATGCTTTGCTGCTTGGAAGTTTCTTCTGCCAGATACCCTAAATCATTTCTCTCAAGTTCAAAGTTCCAGAAATCTCTAGGGTGGGGCGAAAATACTGCCAGTCTCTTTGCTAAAACATAACAAGAGTCACTTTTGCTCCAGTTCCCAACAAGTTCCTCATCTCCATCTGAGACCACCTCAGCCTGGATTGTCCATATCATTATCAACATTTTGGTCAAAGCCGTTAAAGAAGTCTCTAGAGAGTTCCAAACGTTCCCATATTTTCCTGTCTTCTTCTGAGTCCTCCAAACTGTTCCAACCTCTGCCTGTTACCCAGTTCCAAAGTTGCTTCCATATTTTCGGGTTTCTTTTCAGTAGCACCCCACTCTACTGGTATCAATTTACTGTATTAGTCTGTTTTCACACTGCTGATGAAGACATACCCAAGACTGGTCAATTTACAAAAGAAAGAGGTTTATTGGACTTACAGTTCCACATGGCTGGGGAGACCTCACAATCACTGCAAAAGGCAAGGAGGAGCAAGTCATGTCTTACAAGGATGGCAGCAGGCAAACAGACGAGCTTGTGTAGGGAAACTCCCTCTTATAATACCATCAGATCTCATGAGACTTATTCACTATCATGAGAACAACACAGGAAAGACCTGTCTCCATTATTCAGTTAACTCCCACTGGGTCCCTCCCATAACATGTGGGAATTCAAGATGAGATTTGGGTGGGACACAGCCAAACCATACCACACAATGTTTCTCCCGAGTTGGAAATGAAACTCTAAGGTGTTCAGCATCTGTCACCCTGGTCAGAAGAGAATGTGGGGATGAGTTGAATGCACTGAGAGAAGAACAGGCTGGGAGCAGCCCTCTACCACATGATTATTCAGCTGCCCTGGCCAAAGGTGTTTTCTCATTTTTTTTTTAAATTTTAAGAGACAGGGTCTTGCTCTGTCACCCAGGCTAAAGTGCAGTGGCATGATCCTAGCTCACAGCAGACTCAAACTCCCAGCCTCAAGTGATCCATTCACCTAAGCCTTTCAAGTAGCTGGGACTACAGGCTCATGTCACTGAGCTGGGATTTTTTTTTTTTTTTTTTTTTTAGTTCTTTTTGTGGAGATAGGGTCTCACTTTTTGCCCAGGCTGGCCTTAAACTCCTGTGATCAAGTGATACTCCCACCTTGGCCTCCCAAAGTGCTAGTATTACAGACATGAGCCACTGTATCCAGCACTTTGTCAAATGTTTAAATAAATATAAAACTAGAGTAATCTTACCACTTTCACAGTAATTCCTTACTGTGAAATTAAGTAAAGACTTAATTGTATAAAAATAATCAATACCTGAACAACACATTTGGTTTCTTGGTTTTAAAATTTTAATGTTTTATCCACTGGCTAAGTCAACAAATGCTTGATGTTCTCTGGTATGAAGAGTAGTTAAGATATAAGCAGATATGTTGTTTTCTCATTTGTTTAACTGAAAACCTGACTAAATCTCCTTCCAGCATTAATTTCTTATTCATATAACCATAAGGCTATAGAAATGTAAGTCAGATAATGTTTTAATAATCAGCTAATCAGGACTTAATTTACTATAGGAATATATGCACTTCATAAACTCTTTTATGTTTTTCCAAAAACATATTTTAATTGTGTAAAATATAGTGTTTTATAGAATCATCATGTTTATTAATAGAGGCTTAGTTATCGAAGAAAACCATTATGCCTACAGATATATCTTCTCAGTTTTTGTTGTTTTTTAAATGGCTGAATAGCATACCCTTTACAGGAACAGCAAATTTTCTGAATAGGAGCTGCTCAGTTTGAATTAAATGTGTATATATATATAAAATATATATATATACGTTTTATATATTTATATATAAACAAATATATGTGTGTGTATGTATGTGTATATGTACATATGCATATATATATATTTGTTTACCAATAATGGTTTTTAATTTTATTTCAATAGTTTTTGAGGTACAGGTGGTTTTTGCTTACATGGATAAGTTGTTTAGGGATGATTTAGGAGCTTCTGGTGCACCTACCACCTGAGCAGTGTACACTGTACCCAATATGTAATCTTTTATCCTTCAACCCCCTCCCGACCTTCCTCCCCAAGTCCCCAAAGTCCACTATATCATTCTTATGCCTTTGCATCCTCATAGCTTAGCTCCCACCTATAAGTGAGAACATATGATATTTGGTTTTCCATTCCTGAGTTACTTCACTTTGAATAATGGCCGCCAGCTCCATCCAAGTTGCTGCAAAGGCCATTATTTCATTCCATTTTATGGCTCAGCAGTATTCCGTGGTGCATATATTCTATATTTTCTTTTGCTCACCATTAATTGATGGGCATTTAGGCTGACTCCATATTTTTGCAATTGCAAATTGTGCTGCTATTAGCATGCTTGTGCATGTGTCTTTTTCATAACTTATTTTCCTTTGGGTAGATACCCAGTAGTGAGAGATTGCTGGGTTGAATAGCAGTTCTACTTTTAGTTCTTCAAAGAATCCCCACACCGTTTTCCATAGTGGTTGTACTAGTTCACATTCCCATCAGCAGTGTAAAAGTGTTCCCTTTTCACCAAATCCAAGCCAACATGTATTTTTTTTTTTTTATTTTTAAATTATGGCCATTCCTGCAGGAGCAAGGTCGTATCACATTGTGGTTTTCGTTTGCATTTCCCTGATAATTAGTAATGTTCCTGAAAGAAAATATATTCTAAAAAGACAAATAGATGTCAAAAAGTTTTAAGAAAAATCTGATAGACGCTAATTTTTAAATGGTTCAATTTACAGTCAAAAAGAGACCATTATAAATAATCAACAGAGGGACAAGATAAATGTATGTTAAGTACTTTGTTGTAATGTTTTTCAATTTCCAAAGATCATGAACATTGCTACTGTTTGGAGCATAGTTCCTGGTGCTTCTGCGTTCACAAATAGCATTGTGTAGAACTGGGCATCTTGGAGCTGGCCTCTGCCACCACTGCTTCTGGAGCTCACATCTATGGAAACCTGCACATTTCCCTGTGTATTTTCTGACCTTGTAACTAGAGCTAGAGCCACCCACCGCCGCCAGATTAGTTGCAGGTTTTGAGAACAATTTAGCTGCCATTATAGCAGAGCTAAGTGTTCATAATTATGAATTTTGCTTCCTTCAAGAAACCAGTTTATACAGTGACGAAAACTGTAGTGATTAAAGGCACACTAGCTTCTTCAACTTTCAAAGTACACCTATTTGTTTCAAATTCATTTGCTGTTATGTCCTTTGCTAAAATGGCTATTAGCAATATCACCATGACAACTCAGTTTATATACTATTAGCAAAGTGGTAATTTAGCAGCCATTTCAACAGAAACAAACCATCACTAGTCTCTTCTTAGTCACAAGAAGCCTCGCTTCACTTGTAAATATACAGTGTGGTAATTCTGAATGACAGTCTTCTAAAAAATTTGTTGGTACACTGTAGGTGTATGTATTTATGGGGTATATAAAATATTTTGATACAGGCCTACAATGTGTAACTGTAGGGTAAATGAAGTATCCATCACACCTCAAGCATTTATCCTTTGTTTTACAAATAATTCAATTATACTATTTTAGGCACTATAAAATGTACGATTAAATAATTATTGACAGTAGTCAACCTGTTTTGCTATCAAATACTGGACCTTATTTATTCTTTCTAACTATGTGTGTGTGCCTATTAACCATTACTCTTTACCCCCCATCCCCCATACTACCTTTACTAGCCTCTGCCAACAATTCTACTTTAGCTCCCACAAATAAGTGAAAACATGTGAAGTTTGTCTTTCTTGCTTCGCTTATTTCACTTAACATTTCCATCCATGTTGCTGCAAATAACAGGATCTCATTCTCTTTTATGGTTGAATAGTAAGTACTCCATTGTGTATATGTACATTTTCTTTGGCTACTCATCTGTTGATGGACACTCGGGATGCTTCCAAATCTTGGCTGTTGTGAACAGTGCTGCAATATCCATGAGAGTGCAAGTATCTCTTTGATAATACTGATTTCCTTTCTCTTAGGTATATACCCAGCAGTGGGATTGCTGGATCATATGGTAGCTCTATTTTTAGTTTTGAGAACCTCCAAACTGTTCTCTATAGTGGTTGTACTAAATTACATTCCCACTAACAGTGTACGATGGTTACCTCTTCTCTATATCCTCACCAGCATTTGCTATTGCCTGTCTTTTGAATAAAAGCCATTTTAAATGGGGTGAGATGATCCCTCACTGTAATTTTGATTTGCATTTCTCTGACAATCAATGATGTTGATGTTGAGTATCTTTTCATATACCTATTTCCCATGTGTATGCCTTTTTTATTTTTGAAACAGGATCTCACTTTGTCACTCAGGTTGGAGTGCAGTGGCACAATCACAGTTCATTGCAGCCTCAACCTCCTGGGCTCAGGTAATTTTTGCCCTTAATTCTCCCAAACAGCTGAAACTACAGGCACATGCCCCCATGCCTTGCTAATGTGTCTTCTTTTGAGAAATGTGTATTCAGATATTTTGCCCATTTTAAAAATCAGATGATTAGATTTTTTTCTACTGAGTTATTTAAGCTTCTTAAACATTCTGGTAATTAATCCCTTGTCAGATAGTTTTCAAATATCTTCCCCCATTCTGTGGGTTGTCTCTTCACTTTGCTGATTGTTTCTTTTGCTGTGCAGAAGCTTTTTAACTTGATGTGACCCAATTTGCCCATTTTTGCTTTGGCTGCCTGTGCTTATAAAATATTATTCAAGAAATATTTGCCCAGTCCAATATCCTGGAGAGTTTTCCCAATGTTTTATTTTAGTTTTATATTTGAGGTCTTTGATTTAAATCTTTTTTAAAATTTTTTTTTTAAGAAATAGAGACAGAAACTCACTGTGTTTCCCAGGCTGGTCTTGAACTTCTGGGCTCAAGCAATCCTCCTCTCTCAGCCTCCCAAAGTGCTGGGATTACAGGCGTGAGCCTCTGCACCAGCCAAGATTTAAATCTTTAATCCACTTTGATTTTATGTTTGCATAAGATGAGAAATAGAGGTCTAGTTTCATTCTTCTGCATATGGATATCCAGTTTTCCCAGCACCACTTATTGGCGAGACTGTCATTTCCCCATTGTATGTTCTCGGCACCTTTGTTGAAAATGAGTTCACTGCAGATGTATGAATCGGTTTCTGGGTTTTCTATTCTGTTCCATTGGTCTATGTGTCTGTTTTTATGCCAGTGCCATGCTGTTCTGGTTACCATAGCTGTACGGTATAATTTGAAATAAGATAATGTGATTCCTCCAGTTTTGTTTGTTTTTTGCTCAGGGTAGCTTTGGATATTCTGAGTCTTTTGTAGTTGTATATACATTTTAGGATTCATTTTTAAATTTCTATTTCTGTGAAGAATGTCATTGGTTTTTGCAGACTTGTGGAGGCACCACATTGGTGGTCTTGGATCAGACCTGGAGGAATTGTCTGGATTAGCAGGCAGAGACTGACTTCTTCCCTTACTTTCCCACAAATGAAGTCTCTCTCTCTTTGTGCTAGGCTGCCTGGAGTTGGGAGAGGAGCAATACAACACCCCTGTAGCCACCACCACTGGGACAGCACTGGGTCAGACCTGAAGCCGGCACAGCGCTGTGACTGCCCAAGACCCCCACTGTAACAACAACCCAGCTGCCACCTATTTCACTCAAGGCCCCAGGGCTCTCCAATTAGCAGGTAGTGAAGCCAGCCAGGCTTCTGTCCTTCCCTTCAGTGCAGTAAGCTCCCCTGGTCCCTAGATGCATTCAAAGGTGCTGTCTGAGAGCCAGGGCTCTCAGTCATAAACCTTATAAATCTACCTGGTGTTCTGTTCTACCATCGCTGAGCTGGCACTGAATCCACCCGGCAAATCCCTTCCCACTCTCCCCTCCCCTCTCCCCAGGCAGGGTAGTCTGTTCCCACCTACGACGTCATCACAGTCTCATGCGGATTACTGCCAGCTCACCACTGATGTTCACTTAATGCCTCAGGGCTCTCAGTCAGCTTGTGGTGAATGCTGTCTGGCCTGGAACTCACTCTTCAGGACAGTGGGCTCCCCTCTGGCCCAGGCTAAGTCCAGAGATGCCATCTAAGAGCCAAGGCCTGAATCAGGGACTCCAACAGTCCACTGGGTGCTCTTCTCCACTGTAGCTGAGCTGGTGTCTAAGCTCCAGAAAAATCCTCTTTACTCTGCCTTCGGCTTTTCTCAAGCAGAGGGAGTCTCTCCTCACAGACACCACAGCTGGGAATGTGCGGGGTCACACCTGATGCCAGCACATCTCTGAGTCTCACTCGAGGCCCATGGCATGTACTACCTGGTTACCACTGCTGATTATTCAAGGCCCAAGGGCTCTTTAGTCAGATAGTGAAGAATCCTGCCATTACTGAGTCCTTCCCTTCAAGGAAGCAGGTTCCCTTGTAGCCCAGAGTTTGTCTAGAGATGTTATCCCAAAGCTGAGACCTGAAAGGGGGGTCTCATGACTCTGACCAGTGCCCCCTCCTACTGTAAGCTAGTATCCAAGATGCAAGACAAAGTCCTCTCCTCTCTCCTCTCCTCAAGCGGAAGAAAGAGGTCTCTGTCAGAGCTGCGAGCTGCACTGTCTAGGGTTGGAGGAGGGGTGGGCAAGCACTCCATAGCTGCCCTAGCTGCTGTTTCTCTAGGTCACATGCCCCCAAATACACTGGCTCCAAGCGCGGCACAGCACTAGGACTTGCCTAAGAGTTGCAGTCCTTGTGGCTTAGACAGCCTTTCAGGTTTATTAAGGACCCCGAGTACTTTATCCTGCAGTAGCCAGGCTTTCCACAACTCAAGTTCCAACCACTGGGATAAACAATTCCCTTCTGGCTAGCACTAGTGTAAATGTTTCCTCTGTGGGTGGGCACTAGTGTAAATGTTCCCTCCGTGGGTGGGCACTAGTGTAAATGTTCCCTCCGTGGGTGGGCACTAGTGTAAATGTTTCCTCCGTGGGTGGAGGCATCAGATGAGTGCAACCTTGTTTTGCTTTCTGCTACAACAAGGCAGCACTGAGTTCAGTGCAAAGTCCCACAGCTGCTGTGCTCTCCCTCCGCCAAGCACGGACTCTCTCCTCACCACAGGTCCACTGCTGAGGCTATTCCTGTGGGGAGCACAGCTGGCAGAGATTTCTACTTAGCCATCAGGCTCCACTTCTGTGGCTGCATACATTCTGAATGACAGTCTTACCTACAGGCAAATGTAAAACAAACAAACAAACAAACAAAACCTCGCGCCACTGCCTGTCACGATCTTGATCTTCATATGAGGTGTTCCTTCATATTTTCCTAAGCGTCACCCACAAAGCCATTCTCACTGTCCAGTGGGCACTCTGAGAGCCTTTGCTAAAAATGCCTCCCTGGCTCACCCTGCCTACCAGCTCCAAGGCCCTTCCCTTTACAGCAGTCATGAGGCCAGACTGGAAGAAAGACCCCATGAAGCTCATGTTTCTGTGTCCAGTTGGTGCCATCTGTGAGCAACCCCCTGACTCAGCAAGATTTATTGCACTCTCATAGGTAACTCAAGGACCCCAAAGTGCTGTTGTGGTTGTATGAGTGCCCTAGGAAGCTCTTGAGTGAGGTGAGCATTGGGTGATGTCCAGCAATGCAATGTTTCTCAGACTGCCTGAGGAGAGCTTCTAACTCATCAGCCCAATCTCTAAACACAGGCAACACTCCTGGGGGAGGGGATAGGGGCACAGGGATCTGTGGCTATTCTGTATGTCAAGGTTTCTATAAAACAGATCTTCAGATAAAGGCAGCGGAAACACCAGCAAGAGCAAATGCACAATGTATGACTCAGGGTGAAGCTACACATTTTTCACAGTCTAGAGGCCCTAGACCTGTCAGCGGCCAATTATTTCAAAGGCCAGACATGTGCACCTTAAAGAGAGACTGGAACTTGCAGACGGCCTCTAGAAAGCCATAAAGATATTTACTGTACTATTATGTTCTGGTAGTATACTTGGAAGATAACTGCCAAAAATCACCAGAAAAATACTTTTCAATTTATGAGCAGATTATTACAAGAGCAATTTACCAAGACCTACCAATGAACAATGAAAACTATGAACTGTTATTCTAAAGCTAATAGAAAGATGTGGTTTTCATGTCCATTTCCATCATCTGCACAATGTAACCTTTAAAAATATTTCTTAAAGTGTTAAGTTTATGGGAGCAAAAAAATATTGAAAAATTATCAGAAAGTTCACAAAAACCTTACAAACTCACATGTCATCAGATTAAATGTTCTCAGAGAGCCTGCAGTTTTTCACACTCCCTGCAACCTCATGGTCATCGCTCCACAGCAAGATAAATGGGTGACAAGACAATCCTCTTCTAGTTTGGTTGGACAAATGTCAATATCAGCATAACTTTCAAGTCTTTCTATGTAAATCTGCAAAATAGAGCACTGGCCTTTGATTTAGCTTAGTTTGAGTGCTGTAATAAGAACTCTTAGGAATGACAGGTTTCTTCTGGTTTTGACCAGAAAGTAAGTGCCTTTTATTCTTATGTTCTACAGAGACTTTGCTTGATCAGGCAGAGCAAGAGGCCATATCACAATCATAGGTCAGATACTTCTGCTACCTACTGTGCCCATAGAAATGTACAGCCCAGTTTTAGTCACAAGAATGATGGTCATCTCAGCCAAGGGCATCATGAAAAGAGGCAGTGTTGTCACCTTCACACTCATAAAAGGCAGCACACACACAGGCCCAGTGTGGATTTAAAGTCATTCAGTAAATCCTCAAGTGCCTACCACATGTAATGTCTGACACCTAGCTGGTAGGCAGATGGGAACTTTACAAGTACGTCAAGCTTGAATATGTAAAACCCATGTGATAGTGAGCAAATGTTAATCTTTTCACAAAAACTTACCCTTCTATATAGGGCACTAGCTTAAAAAACTGCGGTCAAGAGAGCCCCCCAGTGGCTGCTGTGCAGAGCAGCATGGCAGGCGCAGGTCTCTGAGGTTGTAAAACATTCCCCATAGTCAGTTGTTGGCTTGATAAGGAATGCACGTGTATAAAGAATGGTCCTTCTTACAGCCCCTATTTTTCACATCTTCATGATCACATCATAAAAATTGTTCTGTCTTACATCATCTGCAACTTAGACAATTCTGTTGGTTTTAAGGTGGAAACAGCTGCCAGTCTATGTATCCCTGGGATTCCTCTAACCCTGCTAAGCAGGGTTACTCATGAATTACTTTACATCTATCAATCATCTGTCCTACAAAGAACTGGGCAAACCTTCTTGGAAGGCCAGAAGGTTTTGCAAAAGCTTTAGGAAAGGGTTATGGCTGAAGGCAGCCTGATCCTCTTACCTTGAGTTAATAGTAAAAAGCAAATAACAAGGGAATGTAGAGGAGTTTATCTAAATAGCTTGTTTTCTCATTGTTGTCCTAAGACTGACCTTTGATCATTCGCATGCAGGACTGCTCTCTCTGGGGAGGGCGGGAGAAAGGGAGCAGAATCTCTGTAAAATGTGATGTTCAATAACCATTTGTTTTTGAAAACATTTTTGAGGTTGGTAGCTTAGATCTGGCAATGTTCTCCCATCTAATAACCATCAGACAAGAAATAAACTTGCTTAGAATAAACTTTTTTCCTTTTGTTTTGATTTAAAGAGTTCAAGTAGCTCATGGATATACTCTTCTGCAGAGCACCCTCTGAGGTAACAACACCTCGCAGCTCACCTTTAATCTTTACTCAGCTGTTCACTTTGCCCAGAGAGTGGGAGAAAATCTTCACAATCTATATATCTGACAAAGGACTAATATCCAGAATCTACTACGAACTCAAACAAATCAATCTCATCAAAGAAAAAAAACAAACAATCCCATCAAAAAGTGGGCTAAGGACATGAATAGACAATTCTCAAAAAAGATATACAAATGGCCAACAAACATATGAAAAAATGCTCAACATCACTAATGATAAGAGAAATCCAAATCAAAACCACCTTACTCCTGCAAGAATGGCCATAATCAAAAAATCAAAAAATAGTTGATGCTGGCATGGCTGCAGTGAACAGGGAAAACTTCTACACTGCCGGTGGGAATGTAAACTAGTACAACCACAATGGAAAACAGTGTGGAGATTCTTTAAAGAACTAAAAGTAGAACTACCATTGGATCCAGCAATCCCACTACTGGGTATCTACCCAGAGGAAAAGAAGTCATTATATGAAAAAGATACTTGCACATGCATGGTTATAGCAGCACAATTTGCGATTGCAAAAACGTGGAACCAACCCAAATACCCATCAATCAACAACTGGATAAAGAAACTGTGGTATGTATCTGATGATATACTACTTAGCCATAAAAAGGAATGAATTAATGGCATTTGCAGCGACCTGAATGAGATTGGAGACTATTATTCTAAGTGAAGTAACTCAGGAGTGGAAAAACCAAACATCGTAGTTCTCACTCATAAGTGGGAGCTAAGCTATGAGAATGCAAAGGCATAAGAATAACACAATGGGCTTTGGGGACTTGGCGGGGAATGGCGGAGGGCAGCGGGGCAAGGGATAAAAGACTACAAATGGGGTGCAGTGTATACTGCTCAGGTGATGGGTGCACCAAAATCTCACAAATCGCCACTAAAGAACTTACTCATGTAACCAAACACCATCTGTTCCCCAATAACCTACGGAAATAAAAAACAATCAGCAAAAAGCAAGAAAATTCGTTAATGCGCATGGAAACCTAAGATAATTAACATTAAATTTAAATATGTTGAATCAATAAGAGAATTCGGCAAGAAGCAATGTTAAGGGATAAAAACCAAAAGCTTTTCTCTAACACCTGCAGCACCGGGCTCGACCCGCCTTAGAACCCTCACGCCTGGGGGCGCCAGGACAGGGCTCACAGGTCAATGGGTCGGGTAGGCTGTAAAGAGACAAGGTGGAGGTTCCAGGTTGAAAATGTATAAAATTGTAAAGTAAATTCAAAGTTATATCATTTCAATGCTAAATACTTCAGTAGTGATCCCTTTTTTTAAAAAAAAAATTTCTACAAAATTCTTAATTTTTTTTCACAGTTCACAAAAGTAATGGTACTTTTTTTCAATATTTGCAATTCCCAATCCATATTCAGCTTCCCAATTGTCTCCGAAAGTCTTACGGAAAAAAAAAATGTTGGTTCAACCGGGAACCAATGGAGGGCTACTCTTTGTATTTGTCAGTAGCGTTTAAGTTTTAACCTTTAACTTCTCCCTGTTCTTGGAGAGCCTGAGCGGGAGACTTCATAAAAACTCCATCCCCGCCAATTCTGAATCGCCGAAACGTGAGGAGTCACGTCGAAGGCGGACGCAAGAGCTTATGGGAAATGTAGTCCTGAATGAGTCTGGTTCGCCGCGCAGCACTCTGGGATGGGGCTCCTGGGCTCCTTCTGCGCCTGTGCAGCCAGAGCCCCGCCTCCTCATTTGGGTTCTCGAGACTCCCGGGAAGCGGTTTGGGAAGCTCGGGGGTCGGCTCGGAAAGTAGAGGGGGCGCAGCTGGGGCGGGAGGACAGCGTTTGTGCCCGGAAGCGGGAGAGGAAGCGGGAAGTTTGTGGGATCCCCGCCCCCTGTGTCAGTGGATGCGACCGGGCGGGCCCTCGGCCTTCCCGGCCGCTGGAGAGGGACTTCGGCCGCTGGCTCCCGGGGCGGCTGAGGCTGAGCGTTGGTCCGGAGCAGGTGCCGGGTGCGGGCCGCGGTGTGCGGGACCGGAGCCCGGCGCGAGCGGCGGCGGGGGTGGGGAAAGCGCATTTGTAACGCGGGCGACAACGTGCCCGAAATCCCCGGACGGTGGGTCTGCATCGAGACCCCGAGCTCTGGAGCTGGAAAAACCCGGGTAAGTTCCATCTCTGTCAACTGGAAGCCGAGGCGAATGTAGGGACGTGGATGAGAGTCAGGTTTCTCATCTGAAAGTGAGGGTATTAATAATGACTGCTTCATGGCGTTGGTTTAAAACTTTAAGTCACCACCTGTAAAGCAAACAGCCGACTGTAGGCTACTAAGCCATGAGCGGACTGCTGCTGTTATATTTAGAAGACACTTTGTTCCATTCGTTGGGTGCCTATGTATACCTCACAACCACATCTGCATTAAATATAACTGAGGCTCAGGTCACAAGCTAGCAGTGAGGGAGCTGGGGTTCAAAGGCAGGTGTGATTTATTTCCCGTTTCAGGCGCTAATATCACACCTGCCTAAAACCAGCATTGCAGCCTTCACAGCACTTAGCAGAATGTCATGTCCCCAAATACTCAGGGAGTGGATGTAGATGGAATCTTACCATGTGTCAAATGTAGTCTGGATTTCTGGTGTGTCTTCAGATCTCTTGGGTCAGACAGGTTCCTGGCCCCTTCTGCATTGTCAGGGTGTCTCTCTTTTAAGTCTGATGTAAAGAATTCTAAGAGTCAGATTTTTGCCACTAACATGGTTTCTCAGGTCAGGTCGCAGGCTCCTTGAACAGAGCAGCCCTTGCGAGGTGGGAAGCAGGGGTCTCTGTGAACAGTTTTACCTGGAAGAGAACACCTCTCAGACCTAGGCCTCCCTCCCGAGCTTCAGAGCAGAGGCAGAAGAGCCCACAGAGGAGCAGATCCTAGATGTGTATGGTCAGAAGCAGTTCTTGATCCTCCTTCCCAGAATGAGCCAGACTTGGTGAAGCCTCCAGAAGCCACCACACAATGGGTGACAGTGGGTGGTTTGGGCCAGCTTTGAGAAGAGCAAAATGGGCTAGGTGGTGGCCAGGGACAGGCTGCTCAGGAAAGGCCACATCATTGCATAGGTCTGAGGGTAGGGGTAACCGGAGATTCTGTCCCCAGATCCCAAAGTAGCCCCCAGTCGCTTTGTTCTCCACTCTTTACAGATGCCATACTGCTGTTAACATATGTGACACTGGAGACTTTGTCCCTACCTCATAGAATCCCATGCATGATGATACATGAAGGGTTTTCCGTGGCTATCTACTTCTGATTCTTTTGAAAGCTTTAAAGACATTGGGCATGAAAGGTTCAGTGAGTTTCCGGGGATCCCTCGTTTGTGGTAGAGCCAGGAGGAAAACAGTTCCGTTCATTCTTTCACAGGTGAGTCACCAAAAGCATCTTATCCAAAGGGCCTTTTGAGAAATACATCCCAGTTAAAACATCTAAAACTCTTTGCCTTAAAGTATCTCATCTCTTTTATAAGACTTTCTGTGGATTGTCTATACCAAGGGTAAATAATATTACTAAGAAAAATAGTTAAATGATGCACACTGAATATTTTTCTGCTAAGTTAATTTTGTGTTTTGGAGACAGAGTCTCATCCTGTTGTCCAGGCAGGAGTGCAGTGGCACAAACATGGCTCACTGCAGCCTCTACCTCCTGGGCTCAAGTGATCCTCCTGCCTCAGCCTCCCAAGTAGCAGGGACCACAGGCGCATGCCACCACACCTGGCTAATTTTTTAAGTTTTTATTTTCTGTAGAGACAAGGTCATGCCATGTTGCCCAGGTTGGTCTTGAACTCCTGAGCTCAAGCTGTCCTCCCTCTTTGGCCTCCCGAAGTGCTGGGGTTACAGGCTTGAACCACAGTACCTGCTAGGTTAATTTTAATGAAAGAATAGTGTCTTACCCTGTGGTGTACTTTAATTCAACTAATCCTGTATTGTCTTTATTTTTGTGTGTGTGTTAGAAGCACATGTGCATTGTTAAATCAATTGGGAAAAGTTTATGTTCACTCAATAAAAAACAGCAGTTTAAGCCCCATAATTATTTCAGAGTTGTCGTAGACAGTGCCACCTCTACGTGGTGCTTCTCATGCCTTTTCAAGGCCTGAAGGGCCCTGTTACCTTAGGAAGGCTGCTCTCCAACTGGGTTGCTGAGATTTGGGGAGGCTAATCTAGGAGCTGTGAGGTAGGCGAGACCGTGTGACATCCTCTTTCTGTCCCCCCAGCTGAGGCTTTACAGTTCTCTATACTCTCCCAAGAGCCACAGAAAATGAACACATTTCAGGTAAGCTTTTTATTCATTCCCCACTTTGTATTGTAATGGATTTTATGAGGTTTAGATAGGCCCTTGCATTAAATGGAAAAGGAGAAATAGATAAGTAAATCTTGAGGGAAAATATATACAGTTTCACCATGAACTCTGCTGTCAGCTTTGTCAGGGTTAGTAGGTTCCCTCCAGTTACCAGTTTGCCAAGATGTCATGTTAGTCATGAATGCACATGAATTATATTAAATACTTTTTATGTATCAGAATAAATCTATAGCTGTGTCCTTGAATCTGTAAATATTGTGAATAATATAATGGATTTTCTAAAAGTAACTTGAATTCCTGTATAGACCCTAGTTGCTAATGAGTGTAGTAAGTTGCTTCTTACATGTTTTCCTAGCACTTTATGGTAATAATTTAGGATTTTTATTTCTGTGTTCACAAATTGGATTAAACTATACTTTCCTGTTTCCCTGTTCAGTTAGGGTATCATGGTTGTCTCATGAAAGGAAATGGGGCACTTTTTCTTGTTTCTTCTTTTCTAATAATTTAGAAAAATGAGAACATTGTGTTATATGTAGATTTTATGAAACTCACCTATGAATTTGGACCTTGCGAAGACTTTTTGTGTGAAGATTTTGATTATTGAATAAATGTATTAGTTCATTAGTCAGCTTCTTATAAGCTTATACTGGAGTTGTACTTTTTCAATATAATTTTTGTCATTACATTTTCATAGAAAATTGTAATCATTTACTTTTTTTATTTTTTTTTAGATTTAGTAAATGTTTATTGTTGGTTAACCATTATCAAACAAGATTTTTCTTTGTCAGTATGCATTAAGTTATAGATGTACAGAGAGACAAGGTATAAACCAAGAGAAAAATAAAATGAGATACTAAGATATTTTATTTTAAAAACCACCTTGCATACACAAATTATAAAAATTTATAATTTTCACACCGCTTTACCATCCTTGTGCTAATATACTTTAACACTGAAGATGCAACTTGCCTACTTACTTAGCACTTTACTTAGATATATTTATTAAGATGCAAAAGTTTTCATAATATTGTATGTTTACTAAAACTGGAAAGATTTTTCAATTTTAATACAAAACGTATTTGAAATTTTCAACTAAGATTCTGAACATTTTACTTTTACATTTTATTTTATGTATTTTACTACCCAGGGTCTAAAAGAAGTCAAGACAGGCCTTAACTAAAATGAAAGAGCAAGACTAAAATAATCATAATAAATGCTGTCTTTTCTTTATACTTTAAAACATTTCTTTAAAATGTTTTATTTCAATAGCTTTTGGGGTACAAGTGGTTTCTTGTTACATGGATGAATTATATAGTGGTGAATTCTGAGATTTTAGTTCACCCGTGGTCTGACAAGTAGTGTACATTGTGCCTTATAGGTAGTTTTTTATCCCTAGCACCTTTCCCTAGCCTCCCACCCTCCCCTTCTTGGTCTCTAAAGTCCATTATGTCACTCTGTATGCCTTTGCATACTCATAACTTAGCTCCCACTTATAAGTGAGAACGTACGGTTTGGTTTTCTACTCCTGTGATACTTAGAATAACAGCCTCCAGCTCCATCCAAGTTGCTGCAAAAGACATTATTTCATTCCTTTTTATGGCTGAGTAGTATTCCATGGTGTATAGGTACCACATTTTCTTTATCCACTCAGTTCATGGGCACTTAGGTTGGTTCCACATCTTTGCAATTGTGAATCGTGCTGCTACAAACGTGTGCTGGTTTCTTTTTCATTTATGATGACTTCTTTTCCTTTGGGTAGATACCCAGTAGTGGGATTGCTAGATCGAATGGTAGATCTACTTTTAGTTCTTTAAGGAATCTCCATACTTTTTCCATAGAGGTTGTCCTAATTTACATTCCTACCAGCAGCGTATAAGCATTCCCTTTTCTTCACATCCATGCAAATATCCATTGTGTTTTGACTTTTTAAAAAGGGCCATTCTTGCAGGAGTAAAGTGGTATCTCATGGTGGTTTCAATTTGCATTTCCCTGATGATTAGCGATGTTGAGCATTTTTTTTTCATGTGTTTATTGGACATTTGTATATCTTCTTTTGAGAAATGACAATTCATGTCCTTTGTCCACTTTTTTATGGGATTTTTTTTCTTGCTGGTTTATTTGAGTTCCTTGTAAATTCTGGATACTTTGTCAGATGTCTAGTTTGTAAATATTTTCTCCCATTCTGTGGGTTGGCTGTTTACTCTGGTAATTATTTCTTTTGCTGTGTAGAAGCTTTTTAATTTAGTTAGGTCCAGTTAATTTATTTTTGTTTTTGTAGCGTTTGCTTTTGGGGTATTAGTCACGAGTTCGTGGCCTAGGCTGATGTCTAGAAGAGTTTTCCAAATGTTGTCTTCTAGAATTTCTATGGTTTCAGGTCACAGATTTAAGTCTTTGATCCATCTTGAGTTGATATTTGTATAAAGTGAGAGATAGGATCCAGTTTCATTATTCTGCATGTGGCTTGCCACTTTTACCAGCACCATTTATTAAATAGGACAGGAGTCCCCAATCCACAGGGCCACGTGGTCTGTTAGGAATGGAAGGGCACAGCAGGAGGTAAGCAGCAGGCTAGTAAGCATTACCACCTGAGCTCTACCTCCTGTCAGATCAGCAGCATCAGATTCTCATAGGAGAGGGAACCCTATTGTGAACTGCACATGCAAGGGATCTAGATTGGGTGCTTCTTATGAGAATCTAACTAATGCCTGATGATCTGAAGTGGATCAGTTTAATCTTGAAACCATCCCCACCCCACCACCGCTGGTCCATGGAAAAATTGTCTTCCAGGAAACCAGTTCCTGGTGCCAAAAAGGTTGGGGATTGCTGAAATAGGATGTCCATTCCCCCGTTTGTGTTTTTGTATGCTTTGTCGAAGATCAGTTGTTGACTGTACATATTTGGCTTTATATTTCTGGGTTCTCTATTCTGTTCCATTGGTCTGTGTGCCTGCCTTTATACCAGTACCATACTGTTTTGGGAATTATAGCCTTGTAGTATAATTTGAAGTCTGGTATTGTGGTGCCTCCAGATTTGTTCTTTTTGCTCAGGATTGCTTTGACTATTCGGGCTCTTTTTTATTCCGTATGAATTTTAGGATTGTTTTTTCTAATTATGTAAAAGATGTTGGTATTTTGATGAGAATTGCATTGAACCTGTAGATTGCTTTGGGCAGAATGGTCATTTTCACAATATTGATTCTTCCAATCCATGAGCATGGGATGTGTTCCATTTGTCTGTGTCACCTGTGATTTCTTTCAGCAGTGTTATGTAGTTCTTGTAGAGATCTTTCACCTCCTTGGTTAAGTATATTATTAGGTTGTTTTTTTGGTGGTGGTGGTGTTATTTTGTTTTTGCAGCTGTTGTAAAAGAAATTGAGTTCTTGATTTGATTCTTAGCTTGGTTGTTGTTGGTATAGCATTGCTGCTGATTTGTTTACATTGATTTTGTACCCTGAGACTTTACTGAATTCATTTATCAAATCTAGGAGTCTTTTGGAGGAGTCTTGGATTTTCTAGGTATATGATCATATCATCTACAAACAGCAGTAGTTTGACTTTTTCTTTTCCAATTTGGATGCCCTTTATTTCTTTCTCTTGACTAATTGCTCTGGCTAGGACTTCCAGAACTATGTTGAACAGGAGTGGTGAAAGCGGGCATCCTTGTCTTGTTTCTGTTCTCAGGGGGAGTGCTTTCAACTTTCCCCATTCAATATGGTGTTGGCTGTGGGCTTGTCACATATGGCTTTTATTATTTTGAGGTAAGTCCCCTCTATGCGTAGTTTGTTGAGAGCTTTTATAAAGGTACACTAGATTTTGTCAAATGTTTTTTCTGCATCTACTGAGATGATTATATGATTTTTGTTTTTAGTTATGTTTACATGATGTATCACATTTATTTACTTGCATATGTTAAACCATCCCTGCATCCCTGAGGTGAAACCTACCTAATCATGATGTGATTTTTAATGTGCTATTGTATTCAGTTAGCTAGTGTTTTGTTGAGGATTTTTGCATCTATGTTCATCAGGGATATTGGTCTGTTGTTTCCTTTTTTGTTGTGTCCTTTCCTGGTTTTGCTATCAGGGTGATACTGGCTTCATAGAATGATTTAGGGAGGATTCCCTCTTTTGCAATCTTGTGGAATAGTTTCTGCAGGATTGGGACCAGTTCTTCTTTAAATATCTGGTAGAATTCAGCTGTGAATCCATCTGGTCCCAGGCTTTTTGTTGTTGTTGGCAATTTTCAAATTTTTAAATTACTGATTTAATCTCTCTACTTGTAGTCTATTCAGGGTTTCAGTTTCTTCCTGATTTAATCTAGGAGTGTTGTATGTTTGCAAGAATTTATCCATTTCCTCCAGGTTTTCTAGTTTGTGCACATGAAGGCGTTCATAGTAGTCTTGAAAGATCTTTTGTATTTCTGTGGTGTCGGTTGTAATGTTTCCAGTTTCATTTCTAATTGAACTTATTTGGATCTTCTTTCTTTTCTTGGTCAATCTAGCTGAAGGTCTATCAGTTTTAGCTTTTCAGGAACCAGCTTTTTTGTTTCATTGATATTTTGGGGTTTTTTTGTTTGAATTTCATTTAGTTCTACTTTGATCTTTATTTCTTTTGTCCTGCTAGCTTTGGGTTTAGTTCCTGTTTCTCTGGTGCCTTGAGGTATGGCAATAGGTTGTCAATTTGTGCTCTTTCAGGCTTTTTGATATAGGCATTTAACACTATAAACTTTTCTCTTAGCACTGCTTTGCTATATCCCAGAGGTTTTGATAATTTGTGTAATTATCATTCATTGAATTTGTAAATTTCTATCTTGATTTTATTGTTAACCCAGAAATCATTCAGGAGCAGATTATTTCATTTCCATGTATTTTTATAGTTTTAAAGGTTCCTTTTAGAGTTCATCCCTAGTTTTATTCTGCTGTGATCTGAGTAGATACTTGATATGATTTCGATTTTTAAAAATGTATTGAGACTTGTTTTGTGGCCTATCATATGATCTGTCTTTGAGAATGTCCCGTGTGCTGATGAGAAGAATGTATATTCTGCAGTTCTTGGAGAGCATTTTGTAAATATCTGTTAAGTTCGTTTGTTCTAGTGTGTTGTTTAAGTCGATTGTTTCTTTGTTGGCTTTCTGTCTTGATCTGTCTAGTACTGTCAGTGGTCTATTGAAGTTTCCCACTATTATTGTATTGCTGTCTATCTCATTTCTTAGGTTAGTAGTAATTGTTTTGTGAAACTGGGACCTCCAGTGTTAAGTGCATATAAATTTGGGATTGTAATATCTTCTTGTTGGATTGATCCTTTTATCATCATATGGTGACCTTCTTTGTCTTTTTTTTACTGATTTTCTTTGAAGTCCGTTTTGTCTGATATAAGAATAGCTACTCCTGCTTGCTTTTGGTTTCCATTTGCATGGAATATTTTTTTCCTTCCCTTTACCTTGAGTTTATATGAATCCTTCTATGTTTGGTGAGTCTGTTGAAGACAGCAGATATTTGGTTTGTGATTTTTTTAAAATCTGTTTTGCCATTCTGTATCTTTTAAGTGGAGCATTTAGGCCATTTACATTCAATGTTAATATTGAGATGTGAGATACTGTTCTCTTCATCACATTGCTACCTAGTTTGCTTTTTTCATTGAATTATTGGTTTATAGGTCCTGTGAGTTTTAAGCTTTCAAGAGGTTCTGTTTTGGTGCATATCAAACTTTTGTTTCAAGGTTTAGAACTCTTTTTAGCATTTCTCATAGTGCTGGTTTGGTAACGACAAAGTCCCTCAGCATGCATTTGTCTGAAATAACTTTATTTCATTGATGAAACTTAGTTTTGCTGGATGCAGAATCCTTAGCTGACAGGTACTCTGTTTAAAGAGGTTGGAGATAGGACCCCCAATCCCTTCTTTCTTGTGAGGTTTCTGCTGAGAAGTCTGCTGTTAGTCTGTTAAGTTTTCCTTTATAGGTTACCTGATGCTTTTATCTTAGTGCTCTTAGAATTTTGTCCTTCATGTTGGCTTTAGACAGCCTGATGACTATATGCTTTGGTGAAGATCTTTTTGCAGTGGATTTTCCAAGAGTTCTTTGACCTTCTTGGATTGGGATATGTAAATATCTAGCCAGGTCAGTGAAGTTTTCCTCAGTTATTTCCTCAAATAAGTTTTCTAGACTTTTTGTTTTCTTTTCTCCCTCAGAAACATCAATTATTCTTAGGTTTGGCCATTTTACATAATTTCATATTTCTTGGAGACTTTGTTCGTTTCTTTTTATTCTTTTTTCTGAGCTTTTTGTGTTATGTATCATGCTGCATCTCTGTGTACAGCTGCACGAGATAATAATGAACAGATTTTCATTCTTGTAAAGATTCACTTCCCAGCTGGGCACTATGGCCCACGCCTGTAATCCCAGCACTTTGGGAGGCCAAGGTGGGCGGATCATGAGGTAAGGAGATCGAGACCATCCTGGCCAACATGGTGAAACCCCATCTCTACTAAAATACAAAAAACTAGGTGTGGTGGCATGCACCTGTAATTCCAGCTACTTGGGAGGCTGAGGCAGGGGAATTGCTTGAACCCAGGAATGCGGAGGTTGCAGTGAGCCGAGATCGCACCATGGGAAACGTATGCAGGAATCCTATTTATAATAATTTTACCTAAAAGGGTACTAAGCTTCCTCAGTATATTAAGTAACAATGTATGTGTATGATTGTAAAATAAATACAAATAAGAGCATGAGAACAAATATGTGTGCTAATTATGCATTTCAAAAGTAAGGCAGAATTAGGGCCTTAATAAGAATCCCTTATAGCATTTTGTTTTAAATTCTCAACAGTAAACATAATGAGTTAGTTTCCGAAAACGTTTTCCTTTCCTTGATTCTGAACACTCAGATTAATTAGAAATGCGCTGTTACAGGCATCAGTGTCATTCCAGGACGTGACTGTGGAATTCAGCCAGGAGGAGTGGCAGCACATGGGCCCTGTTGAGAGGACCCTGTACAGAGATGTGATGCTGGAGAACTACAGCCACCTCGTCTCAGTGGGTGAGCACAGCTTACCATGGGGTTCCCTCCAGAGTGCAGTTCTGTTTCTCCTCTCTTTCTCTCTCTCCATACCGTACCATGTGACTCCCTCTACAGTGCAATTCTGGTTTTCCTTTTTTATATTAGTCACTTTTATTGAGGTATACTTAACAGAAAATAAAATTCAGCACCTTTCAGTGTACAAATCAATGAGTTTTGAAAAATGTATACATTGATTACCACAATCCAAATCATGGTTTGGAATATTTTTATCACCCCCCAGAAGATTCTTTGTAGCCCTTTGCAGTGAGTCCCCTCCCTCCATCCCTTCCTCCACAACCCCTGGCAACTACTAGTCTGCTTTCTATTGCAATAATTTTGCCTTTTCTCAAATTTCATATAAATGGAATCATAAATTATATACTCCCTTTTGTCTGGCTTTTCTTTAGTATAATGCTTTTGAAACTCATGCACATGTGTGTATAAGTGGTTAATTATTTTATCCTAAGTAGTGCCGCTTTGTGGGTATATACTGCAATTTATTATCCTTTATCAGTTGGTCAACATACGGAATTTTTTCCCAGTTGGTGCTTTTCTGAGTAAAGCTGCTATGAACTTTCACATACAAGTCTTTGTGTCAACATATGTTTTCATTTCTCTTGTATAAGTACCTAGGAGTGAGCTTGCCAGGTCTTTGGTAAGTTTATCTGTCTGTAACTTTATGAGAAACTGCCAAATGTTTTCAAACTGGCTCCACAGTTTTTCATTTTCATGAACAGTGTCTGTGAGTTCTCATTACTCTTTGGTTACCATTATTTGGAAAATTTTGCTGTTTTTAACAGTTCTAGTTGGGTTTTAATTTGCATTTTCCTGATGACTAACAACATTGAACCTCTTTTTATGTGCTTTTTAGCGATTCATAAATCTTCTTTAAGTGACCAGTCAAATCTTTAGCTCATTTTTGTTTCGTTTAGTTTTTAGTATTTTTGTTTGTTTAGTTGAAGAAGTTCAGACCTTTATTAGATATATGTTTTACAGACTTTTTCTTGCCATCTCTTGCTTCTCTTTTTAAAGAGAAAATGTTTTCAGTTTTTGATTTTTTGCATATATTTTAAGAAACCTTTTTTATATTGAAATAATTATAGATTTATGGGAATTAGCAAAAATTGTGTCCTCACTTTAGCTTACCCCAAAGGTTACATGTTTTATAACTATAATACACTATCAACACCAGTAAATAGACACTGGTACAATGTGTGTGAATAGCTCTGTGCCATTTTATCACATGTGGAGATTGATGTAACCACCACAGTTACAATTCAGAACTGCTCTATCACCACAAAGATCTCTTTGGTGCTACTCATTCATAGTCACACCCATGCTGTCTCTCACATTGTTCCTGATCTCTGCTGACTACTAATCTGCTAGCTCTATAATTTTGTCATTTTGAGACTGTTATATAAGTGGAATCATACAGTATTTGACGTGTTGAGACTGGCTTTTTCACTCAGCGTAATGCTCTTGAGATCCAAGTTGTAGTGTATCCGTAGTTCATTCCTTTTATAGCTACGTAGTATTTCACTGTATGAATATCATTGTTTAGCCATTCACCTATTAAAGGACATTTTGGTTGTTTCCATTTTGGGGCTATTATAAAGTTGATGTGAACATTCATGTTCAGATTTTTTGTGAACATAAGTTTTTCTGGGATAAGTGCCATGGAGTGTGATTGTTGGATTGTATGGTAAGTTATGTTTTATTCTTTAAGAAAGTGCCAAACTATTTCCCAGAGTTGCTGTACCATTTTGCATTTCCACCAGCAATGTATGAGGGATCCAGTTATTCCCTATCCTTTCTGGTACTAGGCATTGTTGCTATTTTATGTATTAGTCGTTGAACAGGTGTATAGCAATATCTCATAGTGATCCTAATTTGCATTTCCCTAATGGCTACTGATAATCAAATATCTTTTCATGTGTTCACATGCCATCTGTGTATCCTTAGTAAAATGTCTGTTCATGGCTTTTGTCCATTTTTTAATTGGAAGTTTGTGTGTTTTACCATTGACTTTTGAGAATTTAGATAGTCTAGATATGAGTTTCTTTGTCAGATGTGTGGTTTGCACATTTTTATACCAGTCTGTAACTTGTCTTTTCATCCTCTTCATGGGGTGTTTTGTAGAGCATAAGTTTTTAATTTTGATGAAGTCCAGTTTATCAGTTTTGTAAAAATGTTGTCCTATCTAAGAACTCTTCACTAAGTCTTTGGACCAAAGGTTTTCTCCTATTTTTAAAAATTGTGTAATATATTTTACATTTTAATTATGGTACATTTTGAGTAAATTTTTGTATAGGGCATGAAGTGTAAGTTGAGATCTTTTTTTGTTTGTTTTTGCCTATGGATATCCATTTGCTCCATGCAACACCATTACCCTTCATTGAATAGCTTTTTCACCTGTGTCAAAAATCAGTTGGCTGTACTTGTATGAGACTATTATATTCCCACATTATATTTCTTTTTCAATATTGTTTTAACTATTCTAGTTACTTCACCTTTGCATATACATATTGTAATAATATCATTATGTTAAAATCTTACTGGGTGTTTGATAGGAATTAAAGCTATAAATTATCAATTTTGTGACAGTTAACATCTTTACTGTTTTGAGTCTTGAGGCTTATAATCCATAAACACAATATATTTCTCCATTTACTTAGATCTTGATTTCTTGCTTCAGTGTTTTGTGATTTTCAGTATAAAAGTCCTGTACATGTTATATTTATACCTCAGTATTTCATTTGGTTGAGTAATTGTTAATGGCATTGTGTTTTAAATTTCTGTTTGCTTACAAAGGTTGCTAGTTTATAGAAATGTAATTGATTTTTGTATGTTTGTTCTTTTATGCTGAGATCTTGCTGAACTTTCTAGGGAGGCTTTTTGTAGATTCCTTGGCATTTTTTAACATAAGCTATCATGTCATATATGTATAGGGTCAGTTTACTACTTTCCTTTCTAATCTGTATGCTTTTTATTTCCTTTTCTTGTTGTATTACACTGGATAGGACTTCTAGTACTGTGTAGAATAAGAGTGGTAAGAGTAGTCATCCTTGCCTTGTTCCCAACCTTAAGGGGAAAACATCTAGTCTTTCACCAAATGATCTTTTGTAGATATTCTTCATCAAATGGTGGAACTTCTTCTGTATTCCTAGTTTTCTGAGAATATTGATTATGAATGGATATTGAATCTTGTCAAATACTTTTTATGTATATACTGCTGTGATTACATGGTTTTTCTTCATTACTCCATTAATGTAATAGACTTTGTTGACTAGTTTTCAAATATTGAACCAGCCTTATATACTTGGAATAAACCTTACTTGGTAATGTCATAGAATTCTTTTTATTTATTGTTTGATTCTATTTGCTAATATTTTGTTAAGTAGTTTTGCATTTATGAGAGAAATTGGTCTGTAGTTTTGTACTGCCTTTGTCTGGTTTTCATATCAGCATAAGTCTGGCCTCATAAAATTAGTTGGAAAGTGTTCCTTCCAATTTTCTGGAAGAGGTTGTATAGAAGTGGTGTTTATTCTTCATTAAATGTTTGATAGAGTTATCTAGTGAAACCATCTGGGCCTAGAGACTTCTTTTTGGGAAGTTTTACAAATCAATTTATTTAAGTCATATATATGGATATTCAAATTATTTCTATTAGGTGAATTGTGGTATTTTTGCTTTTCTAACAATGAGTCCATTTTATCTCAGTTGTCACATTCATATGTGTAAAGATGTTCAGACCATTCCATTATTATCATTTTGATGTCTTCAGGATCTGTATTTATAGACCTGTTTTATTCTTTATATTGGTCATTTCTGTCTTCTTGCTCTTTTATTTTTTTGTTCACTCTTCCTACAGGTTTTACAAGGTTACTGCTCTTTTCAGCCAACCAGCTTTTTCTCTCATTGATCTTTCTCTTTTGTTTTTTTGGTTTTAATTTAGTTGATTTCTACTCTTAACTTTTTACTTTTGCTTCTGTTAGGATTATTGTGCTCTTTGTCTAGCTTTTTAATGTGAGATCATGCACTATTAATTTGAGACTTTTTCTCTTTTCTAACGTACACATTTAGTGCCATAAAAAATTCAGCACTGCTTTAGCTGCAACATGCAAATTGCATATCGGGTTACTAAGACGTGTCTCTTATTTATGTCTAGAAGACATATTTCTTCTTTGATTGAACACTCATTCATATAGTATGAGACTGTATGAAGAAATGCAATTAAAACTTAACAACTGTTTAATTAATATCCACTTTTTGATAGACACCAGTGCAGTTCTCAAGTTATTCAATAGCACAGCCTTAATTTTCATAGGGTGATTTGAAGAGTTTCTGAGGTTAAGAAAACCTTTCTGTTAAAAAAAATTGTAATTTTTTTGAAGCTGGGTGAAGGATACATGAGGGGAGGGGTTCACTGAACTCTCTTTTTTACTTTTTCAAAGAAAATTTTCAAATTCAAAGGAAAAGATAAGTGTTGCTTGAGAAAAACTCTAAGGATGTCTAGGAATAAGCTAAATAAGGAAATATAAACACTCCAAGCAGAGAAAAGAACAAGCACAAAGACCCCTAGTAGAAGAAAAGATAGTGAGTACAGAGACCTGAAAAAGAACCAGTACACCTGGAACAAAGAAAGCAAGAAGGAATATGGTACAAGATGTGGAAGTGGACCAAGTGAATATATATTATTGAGGCCATATTCTGGGTTTAAAGCAATAAGTAGTCATTGAGGGCTTTAAATAAAATAGTAATCAACCATATCTGCTAAGAAATGTAATTTTTTGGCACTAAAAGAAATTACAGGTGCATTAATTTTTACTCAGCAACATATACAGTACTCAGCAACAATACCTGCATAAACACAAAATGATATATACACAAGGTTATTCATTGCAGCATTGTTTGTAAGAGCAATAGAATATCAACAACCCAAATGTACATCATTGACTAATTGGCTAAAAGTGTGTTACTTCTACACACAAATGAAGACTATGCAACTATAAAATGGACAAGAGCCTGTATACAAATAAGGAGTGATACTCAGTAAATATTAAGTCAAAAGAAGCAGTAGAATGGTGTGCATAGGAAGCCATCTTTGAGTAAGGAAAGAGAGAAGAATATACGTAACTGTTGATATTTGCAAAAATGAAACACTGGGAGAAAAATCAGAAAGTAATAAAATTTAGCAGGTGGGGGGGGTGAGTGATTAGAGCAGGAATGGAAGTGAGACTTTTAATATACCTTTTTATACAATTTGGATTTTTGAACTACATACGTTTTGCATATTGAAAGATTACACTAAATTTAAAAGGTAGTTCTTAAATGTGAAAGTTTTAGAGACTGATGGTTCCAGATAAGATTGATTACAGATACTTCTTCCTGTTCCTCCCTTTAAGTACAGCTAAAACCACTAGACATTATATACAAAACACATAAGAAGACTTTGAACAGTGAGAGAAGGACACAGACAAGCTAGGGACATTGGAACCCAAGAAATGACACCTCTTTCTCAGTTTTATTTTTGCCTAATGTATCAGCCTGAAACACCAATTGGTACAGACAAAAAAAAAAAAAAAAAAAAAGTCCCAAGTAAAGCCTGCTTCCTCTAGACAAAAGAACAGGAAAGCAACCACCCAGAAAGACAGAAAATTTTAGACAACTGCCCTACCCTAGCTAAACACTATGGAAAAAAACTGCAGCTCTCTTCCATCACCAAAAACTGACTTCCACCCTGGTTCTAGAGTATCAGAGTACTCCTCTAGCTCTCTAATGGGGTGATTTCAGATGAGGCCTAGTGGTAAGCCAGGACTCTTCCTACCAACTGACAGTAAAAAGTTGCCTGGATAGGCCAGGCGCTGTGGCTCACGACTGTAATCCCAGCACTTTGGGAGGCCGAGGTAGGTGGATCACGAGGTCAGGAGTTCAAGACCAGCCTGGCCAACATGGTGAAACCCCATCTCTACTAAAAATACAAAAATTAGCCAGGCGTGGTGGTGGGTGCCTGTAATTCCAGCTACTTGGGAGGCTGAGGCAGGAGAATCACTTGAACCCCGGAGACGGAGGTTGCAGTGAGCCAAGATCACTCCACTGCACTCCAGCCTGGGCAACAAGAGCAAGACTCTGTCTCAAAAAAAAAAAAAAAGAAAAGAAAAATACATCAGGCTAACACTAATCAAAATTGAAATAACTATTAATTTCAGACAAAGCAGACTTCACAACATGGAAGATCATCAAGGATGGAAGAATATTACATAGTAATAAATGGCTCAATTCTCTAAGAAAACATAACAGCCCTAGACATTTATGCAGTTAAAAACAGCTTCAAATTATATGAGGTAAAAAACTGATAGAACTAAAAAGAGAAATACACAAATCTACAATTAAAATAGGGAGATTTAAACACCGCTCTGTCAGTATTGGTAGATCAAGCAGGCAGAAAATTGCTGAGGATATAAATGACCTGAACAGCAGTGTCAGCCAACTTGGATCTACTGACATTTTTAGACTACAGCAATAGAAAAATATACATTCTTCTCAAGTGCATGTAAAACATTCATCCAAAGAGACATTCTAGGCCATAAAGCACACTTTAACAAATGAAAAAGTACAGAAATCATAAAAAGTGTGCTTTCAAACCATACCAGAAATCAAATACAGAAAGATAGCAGGAGCATTTCCAAATATTTGGAAATAACCAACACACTTGTCAACACATGAGTCAAAGAAAAATTCTCAGTATAATTTTTTGAAAACGAAAGTACAAGAAATTTGTGAAATGCAGCTAAAGCAATAATCAGAGGTTAATTTAAGTGTTAAGTGCACATAAAAGAAAAAGGCAGGGCACAGAGGCTAACACCTATAATCCCAACACTTTGAAAGGCCAAGGTGGACGGATCACTTGAACCCAGGAGCTCAAGACCAACCTGGGCAACATAGGGAGATTCTGTCTCTACAAAAAAATATAAAAATGAGCCAGGCATCATGGTGGCATGTGCCAGTAGTTCCAGCTACGTGAAAATGAATAACAGAAGGAAGACTAGAAATGTTACAAATATGTGAAAAATTAACAAACTCTTTAACTACCAAGGGGTCAAAAAATCATAAGACAAATTAGAAAATACCTTGAGAGAGATGAAAATACAACATAGCGTACCTTCTGGATGCAGTAAAACCAACAATAAGATGGAAATGTATAGCTATAAACGCATACATTAAGGAAGAAGAAAGATCTCAAATAATAACCTAACTTCACGTCTTAAGAAACTAAAGAAAGAGCAAACTAAACCTAAACCTAGCAAAAGGAAACAATAGTAGAGATTAGAAGAGAGATAATGAAAGAATAGAAAAACAATAGAGAAAATCAATGAAACCAAAGTTCTTTTTTAAAAAACCAACAAAATTGATAAACTTTTAACTAGATCAGTTCAGAAAAAAAGGGAAGACTCAAATTACTAAACTCAGAAATGAAAATGGGGACAGTATTAGCAATTCTACAGAAATAAAACTGATTATAAAGGAATGCTGTGAACAACAAATTAACCTAAATGAAAGAGACAAATTACTTGAAGTACATAATCTACCAAAACTGAATCATGAAGAGATAGAAAGCTCAAATAGACCTGTAAGTAGTGTCTAGTACCATTCACCAAGTAAAGGAACCAAGATTCCTTGGGAAAATGGTTGATTCTAAGGGCTAGGCGAGAAATGTACAAGATGAGTGTGGGGCATCTTGTAGAACCAGAAAGTAAGGAAATTGCTCAAAAAACAAAACTATGGGAGTGTCTCAGTCCAGTTTGTGTTGCTAGAACAGAATACCTGAGACTGGGTAATTTATAAAGAAAAGTTTGTTTCGCTCACAATTCTGGTGGCTGGAAAATCCAGGATTGGGCAGCTGCATCTAATGAGGGCATCATACTGCTTCAACTTATGGTGGGAAGTGGAAGGGGAGGGGCCATGTGCAAAGAGATCACATGGCAAAAGAGGAAGCAAGAGAGAAACCAGGCTCTTTAACAACCCGTTCTCACAAGAAATAATCTATTCCTATGAGAGTGAGAACTCAACCCTTTGGGAGGGCATTAATCTGTTCATGAGGGATCTACTCCCATGACCCAAACATCTCCCACTAAGCCCCACCTCCCAACACTGCTACATTGGGGATCAAATTTCACCTTGAGTTTTTGCAGGGATGAACCACACCCAAACCATACCATTCTGCCCCTAGCTCCCCAAAACTCATGTCCTTCTCATATACAAAATATAATATTCCATCCCACTAGTCCCAAAAGCCTTAAGTTTTTCTAGCACCACCTTAAAAGTCCAAAGTCCAGCTACAAGCCTGTAAAATCAAAAATAAGTTATTGGGCAGGCATGGTGGCTCACACCTATAATCCCAGCACTTTGGGAGGCCAAGGTGGGTGGATCACCTGAGGTCAGGAGTTCAAGACCAACATAGTGAAACCCCGTCTCTACTAAAAATACAAAAATTAGCCAGATGTGGCATGCGCCTATAGTCTCAGCTACGCGGGAGGCTGAGGCAGGAGAAGCGCTTGAATCCGGGAGGTGGAGATTGCAGTGAGCTGAGATCAGACCATTGCACTCCAGCCTGGGCAACAGAGCAAGACTTGGTCTCAAAAAAAAAAAAAAAAAAGTTTTTTACTTCCAAGATACAATGGTGGAATAGGCATAAGGTCTGAAACCCAGCAGGGCAGACATTAAATTTGAAAGCTCCAGAATAGTCTCCTTTGACTCCATGTCCCACATCCTCAGCACACTGGTGTGAGGAGTAGCCTTCCAAGCCCTTGGATAGCTCCACTCTCATGGCTTCTCTCTGCCCAGCTTACATTGCTGCTCTCACAGGCTGAAGGCAAATGCCTGCAGCTTTTCAAGACTGAGATTGCATGCTACTGGTGGCTCTACAATTTTGGGGTCCTAGCAGTGGCCCTAATCCTGAAGCTCCACTAGGCATTGCCTTAGTGGAGACTCTGCAGTAGACCTAACCCAAATTTTTGCTTGGCCTTGCCCTAGCAGAGGGTCTCTGCAGTGGCTCTGCCCCTGCAACAAGTCTCTGCCTGGGCCTATAGGGTTTTTCATACATACGTTGAAATCTCAGTGGAGTAACACACACCTCCATGGCTCTAGCATTCTGCAAGCCTGCAAAATTAACACTACACGGACCCCAAGGCTTACTGCTCATGCCCTCTAGACATAAGCCAGGGGATGTAAGGCTTATGCAGCACAAGCCTTACTGGAGCCACTTGACCCCATGGCTGTTTCAGCTGAAGCAGCTAGGATGCAGGAAGCTGTGTCTCAAGGTGTCCCAAGTGCAGCAGCCTGGCCCTTTCCCCTGAAACTATTCTGCCTTCTTAGGCTTCTGGGCCTGGAATGGGAGAAGCAACTTGAAGATATTCAAAATGACTTCAGGGTCTTTTTCCCATTGTTTTGACCTTTTGCTTATTCTAATCTCTTTAGCAAGCAGTTGCTCAGCCACATCAATGGATATCTTTTCTAAAAATTCTCCTTCATTCTCTTCCACACGGCCAGGCTGCAAATTTTCCAAATCCTTCTACTTTGCTTCCTTTTAAATTATAAATTCCATCTTTAGATTATCCCTTTGCTAGTATAACTCCAGCATAAGCTGTTAAAAGTAACCATGCCACTTCTTGAGCACTTTGCTGCCTAGAAGGTTCTTCCACCAGTTATACTAGTTCACCACTCTTAAGTTCTGCCTTCCATAAAGCCCTGAGGCATGGAGACAATACAGCCACCTTCTTTGCTACTGTGTAAAAAGGATGGCCTTTTTTCCAGTTCCTAATAATGCTTCCTCATTTCCATCTGAGATCTTAGCAGAATGGTCTCTACTGTCATATTTCTAGCAGCATTTTGTTCACAACCATTTAACCAATTTGTAAGAAGTCTGAAAGTTTCCTTTGTTTTCCTGTCTTCATCTGAGCCTCAGTAGAATCACCCTTAACGCTCCATTCATGGCAATACTGGCCTGCCCCTCCAAATTTTTCCAGCCACTACCCATTACCCAGTTCCAAAGCTACTTCCGCATTTTCAGGTGTTTGTAAAGCAACAACCCACTCCTTGGTACCAATTTTCTCTCTTAGTCTGTTTTGTGTTGCCGTAACATAACAAGTGAGACTAGGTGATTTTTAAAGAAAAAACATTTATTTAGCTCACAATTCTGGTGGCTGGGAAGTCCCAAATTGGACAGCTTCATCGGGTGAGGACGTCATGCTGCTTCAACTCATGGCAGAAAGTGGAAGGGGAGCAAGCATGTGCAAAGAAATTGCATGGAAGCAAGAGTGTGAAACTGAGGAATCTCTAAATAACTCACTGTCACAGGAACTAGTACATTCCTGTGAGAGCAAGAACTCACGCCCATTGAATGGTGTATTAGTCCATTCTTATGCTGCTATGAAGAAATACCTGAGACTGGGTAATATATAAAGGAAAGAAGTTTAATTGACTCACAGTTTCACATAGTTGGGGAGGCCTTAGGAAACTTGCAATTATAGTGGAAGGCACCTCTTCACAGGGCAGCAGGAGAGAGAATGAGTGCCCAGTGAAGGGGGAAGCCCATTATAAAACCATCAGCTCACGTGAGAACTAACTCACTATCACGAGAATAGGATGGGGGAAACCGTCCCTATGATTCAGTTTTCTCCACCTGGTCCGTCCCATGACGTGGGGATTATGGGAACTACAATTCAAGATGAGATTTGGGTGGGGACACAGCCAAACCATGTCAGAGGGCATTAATCTTTTCATGAGGGATCCAGCCCCGTGACCGAACACCTCCCACTATGCCCCACCTCTCAACACTGCATTAAGGATCAAATTTTAACATGTATTTTGATGGGGACAAACCATACCCAAACCATAGCAGGGGATACGTCAAAGAACAGGGGAGCCAACTGAAAGATCTCCCAGTAGCCAAAATTGCAACAGTTTGAGTAATAAAATAAACAACATAGTATTGGTTCATAACCCAAAGTATGAAAAACTCGTGAGTCCATATTGATATAAATAATTGAATAAATAAGAGAGAATAGAAAATCTCCCAAATAGAAAAATTCCTAATAATTTATGTAGTTACTCCTCTTCAAGGAAGTGGAGCATAATTCTCCTCTGCTGTAGTGGACTGTGCCTGGTGACAGTCTTCTAAAAAGTATAGTATGCATACTGGAGAAAAGGAATAACTATAATGGAAAATCCTGGCATCCATTACCTCCACCAGGTGATCAAAGTTATCGTCAGTGATAAGTCTGTTGATGGCATATTCCCTTGATGAGATGTGATGAGAATGGTAGACACTTTACCTCTGTGGTCTTTCTCTGAGGAATACATAACCCCACTTTAGTTATGAGGAAAACATCAGATAAACCAAAACTGAAGAACATTCTACAATGTCCTTTAAACTGTCAAGGTGACCCAAAATACCACAAAACACTTATAGTTTACAGGAGCCTACAGAGACAGGATGACTGAATGTAATGTGGGATCTTGGATGAAGCTATAGAACAGGAAAAAGACATTAGGTAAAAAGGAGCTCTGAATAAAGTGTGGACTTTATTTCATAATGTATCAGTATTATTAGTTATGAAAAAACTGCCATCGGAATTTCTGATGTTATATGAGAAAACTGGTAGTTTCAGTTGTTAATAGCGAGGGAAATTGGTTGCTAGGTATACAAGAATTCTTTCCATCCTTGCAACTTTTCTGTAAATCTAAAGTTACTCTAAAACTTTTTAAAAAATCATTACATGTGCACAGCAGCAGAAGAGAGAAGACGGAGAGAAGAATTGCTGAACTTTATGACAGAACAATAGAAATGAGTCATTCTTTACAGAGAAAAAACTAGACTGAATAAAAATGAACAGAACCCCAGAAACTACAAGAAAATCTCTAACGTTTGTGTAATTTGAATCCCATAAGAAAAGGCTAAAAAAAAAATTCAAAGAAATAATGGCTAAAATTTTCACAAATGTGGCAAAGGACATAATCCTAGAGATTCAAGAAGCTGAGTAAATTCTATACAGGATAAACCCAAAGGAATTCATGCCAAGAAGCATAATTATGAAACTTCTGACAACTAAAGATAAAGAAAAAAATCTGACAAGCAACTAAAGGGAAACAATATATTACTTCTGGGGAAAAAGAATTTGAATACAAGTGGATTTCTTATTAGAAACCACAGAGAACACATTTTTCAAGTGCTGAAAGAAAAGAATTGTTATCACAACTCTTTATCCAGCGTAAATATCTCTTGGAAATGAAGGGAAAATTGAGACATTCTCAGATGAAGGGAAACTAAGAGTTTATTGCCAGCATACCTACCCCGAAAGAATGGAAGGAAGGAAGTTCTTGGAACAGAAATCATAAAAGGAATCTTTCAAGCATCAGGAAAGAAGAAAGAACAATGCAAAGAGTAAAAATGCTGGTAGATACAATATGCCTGCCTTCCCTCTTGAGTTTTCTAATTTTGTTTGATGGTTGAAGGGAAAAATTGAACATTCTCTGATGTGCTTCTCAATGTATATAGATGAAATAGTTAAGATTATCATATTATAAACAGGAAGCAGATAAGGGACTTAGAGTCCCTTCATCTTTACACTCCACCTCAACCAGCAAAATATTGACACTTGTCACAGTGAACTGTGGTAATATGTGTATAATTTAATATATAGAGTAACCACTAAAAAAACTACATTAAATGGTATACTCAAAAATATTACAGAAAAATAGATAAGTAAAAAATGGAATTCTAAAAAAAATGTTCAAGAGAGAAGATCAGGGAAAAATGAATAAAAATTCAAGGGAACAAAAAAAACAAATAAAATGGCAGCTTATCAAAAATTACGTTAAATGGTCTAAATATACTAATTAAAAGACAGATTGAAAGAGTTGGTTTTTAAAATTCACCTAAATGTATGCCATCTACAAGAAATTCACTTAAAAAATAATAGGTAGATTGAAAGTAAAAGAACAGAAGAAGGTATACCATGGAACATTAATCATAAAAAAGCAGGATTGGCTATGTTAATATCAGATAAAACAGACTTCAGAGCACAGAAAATTATTGGTAACAGAGTGATGTTACATGTCAGTCTGCCAAGAAGACAGCAATTTTTTTTTTTTTTTTGAGACAGAGTCTCACTCTGTCGTCCAGGCTGGAGTGCAGTGGCACTATCTCAGCTCACTGCAACCTCCACCTCCTGGGTTCATGCCATTCTCCTGCCTCAGCCTCCTGAGTAGCTGGGACTACAGACGCCTGCCACCATGTCCAGCTAATTTTTTTTTTGTATTTTTAGTAGAGAGAGAGTTTCACCATGTTAGCCAGGATGGTCTCAATCTCCAGACCTCGTGATCCGCCCGTCTCGGCCTCCCAAAGTGCTGGGATTACAGGTGTGAGCCACGGCGCCCAGCCTAAAGACAGCAATTTTTAAATCCTAAATGTTTCAACATTCTGAGAGATACATCTTATGCAACTGTAGTACAATGTCAGTATCAGGAAGTTGACATTGGCACAACAAGTGTATAGTTCTGTGTTATTTATCACATATATAGATTGGTGTAACCACCACTACAGTCAAGTCAACAGAACTATTCAGTCACCACAAAGAGCTTTGTCCTACCCCTTTATATAAAGTCAGCCCAACTCCTTTTACTATCCCTTAACTCATGGCAGTCACTAACTTGGTAAGCTATCATTTCTTTTTAGACTTTTCAGCCCCTCCCTTTCTCCCTTTTCTCCCCTCCTTCTGAAACTTCTATGACACAATTGTTAGATATTATGTTATAGTCTCACAGGTCCCTGTGGCGTTAGTCTGTTTTCTGTCTGTTGTTCAGATTGGGTAATTTCTGCTCTTCTATATTAAAATTCATGGATTATTTCCTCTGTCCTCTTCATTCTGCTGTTGAACCCATCCACTGAGTATTTAGTTATTTTTCAACTCTAAAATACCTACTTCATATATCTTCTCTTTCTTTGCTGAGACTTTCTATTTTTGTTTCATGTTTCTTATTGTTTGTTTAAACATTTATATGATGGCTTATTTAAAGTCTTTATCAGATATTTTTAACTTCCATGCCATCTCAGTGTTGGCATCTATTGATTGTCTTTGCTCAATCAAGTTGAAGTTGTCTTAGATCTTGGTATGACAAGTGATTTTAGATTGAACCTATTTGGAAATTATAAGATCTGTGTCTGATTTAAATCTTCTCATGTAGCAGGCATTCTCTGACACCACTGTGGCAGGGGAGGTTGGGGGGTGCTGCCTTATTATTAAAAGGTGGGCTGAAAGTCCAGGTTTCCTACTCAGCCTCTGTCGGCACCTAGAGGAGGAGGGATTGTCATTACTGCTGAATGGTAGTGGTGGTTCAGCATCCCCATTATGCCTTCACTGATAACACCCTGCATGGTAGGATCTGGAGTGCCTCATTACTGCTCCCCATGGGGCTTCTACTGACACTGGGGGGCAGGGGACCTTGTCACTGCCTGGCTTGGAGACATGTCTCAGCCCCGTCAGCCCTCTCTCACATGACCCTGGTGGAACAGTAAGGGAGCCTTCTTACAGCCTGGTGAGCACAGACATTTGAGTTCCCCACTTGTCCTTTCATGGCAGCAGTAGAAGTGGAGAACATATTTTTTATTTTGTGTTTGGCTGAATTAAGAACAGTCGTTGTCTAAAAGTTTTCAATCTTGTTAGGCTGCCTCTTTCCTGAACCTCTGGCTTGAGAGCACAAGCTTTGGGTTTTATGTTTTGTCTTGTTTTTCCATCTCCACATTCATGTTGTTTGTTGCCAGCTTCTCCAGCTTCTAATTTGGAATATATGAGGCCAAAGAGAAGTGCGGGGAACTCATCATTGTCATTCCTTGAGTCCTGAAGTCCTTGAACAATCTGCTGTCTTCTCTCTACCTTTCAGCATCTTATGTTTTTAAATATATAATATCCATAGTTTTTAGCTATACATGCCAGAAAAGATAGGAGAAAGTACCTCTACTCCATATTTCTACTAGAATATGGCTTTTTTATTTTAAATTTTTGGCTCTTTGAAATTTTTTTTACTATTATTGCTTTCTCAATTCCTATTTGGAGAGCAAGATTTTTTAATCCTTTTAAAGTTTATTTAAACTTGTTTCAGGGCCCATCTTATGATTTATCCTGGTTAAATGTTTCATATGTATTTGAAAATAATGTGTTTTCCTTTTGGATCGGTGTTCTGTAAATGGAGGTCATGTTGGTTGATAATATTCTTCAACTCTTCTGTACTTCTTCTTATTTACTTGTAATCTACTTCTATAAATTATTGAGAAAGGAGTTTTACTGTCCAGCTACAATTGTGGATTTGGTTATTCTTCCAGTTTCATCAGGATTTGCTTTATGTATTTTGAAGTAGTGTTATAAAATGGAAAAACATTTGTGATTGTTATATCCTCTTGATTAATTATTCCCTTTATCATTATGCAGAATTTCTCTTTATATGTGCTATTTATATATTATAAAACCCATAATAAATAATATTGTCTAAAAAGATAACTTGAAAGATAATGTTCTATTTAAAGAAAAGAATTCCAAGAATGAGAAAAGTATATTTTGTTTTCATCCTCTTTTTTCCAGTTTATGGTGCTCTTTATCTCTATAAATTTTTTTATATAAATCAGAAATTTTCATAGTACCATTTTTCTTCTGTCTGGAAAATTTAACATTTCTCGTAATACACATCAGTTGCTGATAAATTGTTTCAGCTTTTTTTTTTTTTTTTTGGTCTGAAACATCTTATCTTTGCCAAGTATAAAATTTTAAGTTGATTTTTTTTCTTTAAGTACTTTAAAAGTATCACTTCACTGTCTTCCAGACTGTAAAATTTCTAACAAGAAGTCAGCTTTAATTCTCTTTGTTCTTCTGCATATATTATGTCTTTTTCTGTCTACATAAAATTTTCTTTTTTTCAGCAGGTTTTAGCAATTTGATTATAATGTACATTGGTGTGATTTTATGTTTCCTCTTGGCATTTATTTAGCTTCTTGGATCTGAGGGTTTATATAGGTCATTAAAATTAGGAAATTTTGGCCACTGTTGCATCAGAATTTTCTCTCCCTTTCCTTTTTTTCTTCTGGAATGCTGATTACATATATGTTAGACTACAAATTTATTTAACCACAGGTCACAGATAACTCTGTTTATTATTTTCCAGTCTCTCTATGTGTTGCCCAGGCTGGTCTTGAACTCCCAGCTTCAGGCAGTCCTCCTGCCCCACCCTCCCAAAAAACTGGGATTACAGGTGTCACTGTGCCTGGCCATATGGGCCATTTCTTATTTGGTTGTTACTGATTGATTTTTCTCCTTGATAAGAGTCTTGTATCACTGCTTCTGTTCATACCTAGTAATTTTGTGTTGGGTGCTAGATATTGTGAATTTTACATTGTGAGTTGCTAGATTTTGTTGTATTCTTTTACATATTTCTGAGCCTTTTCTGGGATGTAGTTAAGTTACTTGGAATTAGTTCGATCATTTCAAGGTACACTTTAAGCTTTGTTGTGTTGGATTCAGAGCTCACTTTAGAACTAATTTGGCCCCTCTACTAAAGCAGTACCGTTCTGGTTATTCTACCCTGTTGGTCATTAATTAGGAGGTTTTCTACCCTGGTTGGTGATGATATAAACTTCCTGCCTTTGTGTATGCTGTAGTGATTTTTCAGCCTATTCTTTTTCACTGGTCTTTTCCTAACCTTGAGTGATTCTCTTATATGCTTATACAGGTCAGTACTCAGGAGACCCTTCTGCAGATCTCCAACATTTTATATCAGTATAGCTCTTTCTTCGCTGGCATTTACTCCCACAAATTCTAGTTGCCAGGGCTTCCTTAAACATCCAATTTTGTCACATCAGCTTGCCAAGTCTGCCAGGCTCTGTTTTGGTATTCTTTTTCCGCTCTGGTTTGGCAACTCTCTCACAAGTAGCCTGTGATAATCATAGGGCTCACCTCATTGTTTCTCTACTTTCAAGGATCCCTGTCTGCACTGCCTCTTGGCTAAAACCTAATTACCATTTTTTATATTTTGTTTGGTTTTTTAGTTGTCTGTTATGGAAATCAGTTCCTTTTACCCTGTTACAGCCAGATATGGAAGTCCTTATGAAATCTCTTCCTCAATAACCAAGACATTGGCCATTTTAGAATTTTATGTTACTTAGGTGTGCAGTTCAGGGGTTCAAGGAGATTGATCATTTATGAGAATAAGAAAATGTTTTTTGGCCAGGTACAGTGGCTTATGCCACCGTACTTTGGGAGGCCAGGGTGAGACGATTGCTTGAGGCCAGGAATTCGACTCTATCTTTACAAAAAAACTTTAAAAAATTAGCCGGGTATGGTGGTGCACACCTGTAGTCCCAGCTACTCAGGAGGCTGAGGCAGAAGGATTACCTGAGCCCAGGAGTTTGAGGCTGCAGTGAGCCATGGTGGCACCACTGCACTTCAGCCTGAGTGACATAGGGACCCTGTCTCTAAAAAAAAAAGTAAGAAAAGAAAGAAAATGTTTTTTGTGGTTACTTCCCCAAGGAAGGTCCAGTGAGCACCCTGAATATGCCCCTTCTGAAGCTGTACCTTCTTCACATTCAGAAACAGTAGAACCTATGCAACTAATGCAAATGCTAAATTGTTTCCCATTTATAGGCTACTGCTTTACAAAACCAGAACTGATCTTCACATTGGAACAAGGAGAAGATCCATGGTTATTAGAGAAAGAGAAAGGATTTCTAAGCAGGAACTCCCCAGGTGAGTTACTGAATTCAACAAGAAGAAGGTTCTCTGATTCACTAGGAGTACTCACACAACTCAGCGTATAGTCATAATAATGGTTAAAATTTATACACTGAAAAAATACAAACAAAAATCAGCAGAGATAAAAGGTGCATGGGGCAAAGTTCGTAGGAAACAAGCTACAAGCTTCTGAGAGTTCAGATAGTTCCCCAAGCACAGTTTCCTAAACAATGAATTTTGAAAACATATGTAAAATGTTGTCTACCCAGAACTGGTGCCCAGGGTTTTTATTGTGGGCTAATCATGTAGACACCCTCTGTCTAGCATCTGCCAAAATTACAGACTGTGAGATGGAAAACTGGTGTTCCCTATCATATTGTTTGTGCAGGGCTGGCACGGTGAGCCCCTCGGCAGTTATGAGAATCTTGTTTCTAGATGCCAGCCAAGGGCAAACCTTACAAGAAAGCCTTTCTAAGAGTAGCAGTCTCAGGCCTGCTGAATCAACTCTTTTATTTATTTATTTATTTACTTATTTATTTTATTATTATTATACTTTAAGTTTTAGGGTACATGTGCACAATGTGCAGGTTAGTACATATGTATACATGTGCCATGCTGGTGCGCTGCACCCACTAACTCATCATCTAGCATTAGGTATATCTCCCAAAGCTATCCCTTCCCCCTCCCCCAACCCCACAACAGTCCCCAGAGTGTGATGTTCCCCTTCCTGTGTCCATGTGTTCTCATTGTTCAATTCCCACCTATGAGTGAGAATATGCGGTGTTTGGTTTTTTGTTCTTGCGATAGTTTACTGAGAATGATGATTTCCAATTTCATCCATGTCCCTACAAAGGACATGAACTCATCATTTTTAATGGCTGCATAGTATTCCATGGTGTATATGTGCCACATTTTCTTAATCCAGTCTATCATTGTTGGACATTTGGGTTGGTTCCAAGTCTTTGCTATTGTGAATAATGCCACAATAAACATACATGTGCATGTGTCTTTATAACAGCATGATTTATAGTCCTTTGGGTATATACCCAGTAATGGGATGGCTGGCTCAAATGGTATTTCTAGTTCTAGATCCCTGAGGAATTGCCACACTGACTTCCACAATGGTTGAACTAGTTTACAGTCCCACCAACAGTGTAAAAGTGTTCCTATTTCTCCACATCCTCTCCAGCACCTGTTGTTTCCTGACTTTTTAATGATTGCCATTCTAACTGGTGTGAGATGGTATCTCATTGTGGTTTTGATTTGCATTTCTCTGATGGCCAGTGATGGTGAGCATTTTTTCATGTGTCTTTTGGCTGCATAAATGTCTTCTTTTGAGAAGTGTCTGTTCATGTCCTTTGCCCACTTTTTGATGGGGTTGTTTTTTTCTTGTAAATTTGAGTTCTTTGTAGATTCTGGATATTAGCCCTTTGTCAGATGAGTAGGTTGCGAAAATTTTCTCCCATTTTGTAGGTTGTCTGTTCACTCTGATGGTAGTTTCTTTTGCTGTGCAGAAGCTCTTTAGTTTAATTAGATCCCATTTGTCAATTTTGGCTTTTGTTGCCATTGCTTTTGGTGTTTTAGACATGAAATCCTTGCCCATGCCTATGTCCTGAATGGTAATGCCTAGGTTTTCTTCTAGGGTTTTGATGGTTTCAGGTCTAACGTTTAAGTCTTTAATCCATCTTGAATTGATTTTTGTATAAGGTGTAAGGAAGGGATCCAGTTTCAGCTTTCTACATATGGCTAGCCAGTTTTCCCAGCACCATTTATTAAATAGGGAATCCTTTCCCCATTGCTTGTTTTTCTCAGGTTTGTCAAAGATCAGATAGTTGTAGATATGCGGCGTTATTTCTGAGGGCTCTGTTCTGTTCCATTGATCTATATCTCTGTTTTGGTACCAGTACCATGCTGTTTTGGTTACTGTAGCCTTGTAGTATGGTTTGAAGTCAGGTAGTGTGATGCCTCCAGCTTTGTTCTTTTTGCTTAGGATTGACTTGGCGATGCGGGCTCTTTTTTGGTTCCATATGAACTTTAAAGTAGTTTTTTCCAATTCTGTGAAGAAAGTCATTGGTAGCTTGATGGGGATGGCATTGAATCTATAAATGACCTTGGGCAGTATGGCCATTTTCACCATATTGATTCTTCCTACCCATGAGCATGGAATGTTCTTCCATTTGTTTGTATCCTCTTTTATTTCCTTGAGCAGTGGTTTGTAGTTCTCCTTGAAGAGGTCCTTCACATCCCTTGTAAGTTGGATTCCTAGGTATTTTATTCTCTTTGAAGCAGTTGTGAATGGGAGTTCACTCATGATTTGGCTCTCTGTTTGTCTGTTATTGGTGTATAAGAATGCTTGTGATTTTTGTACATTGATTTTGTATCCTGAGACTTTGCTGAAGTTGCTTATCAGCTTAAGGAGATTTTGGGCTGAGACAATGGGGTTTTCTAGATATACAATCATGTCGTCTGCAAACAGGGACAATTTGACTTCCTCTTTTCCTAATTGAATACCCTTTATTTCCTTCTCCTGCCTAATTGCCCTGGCCAGAACTTCCAACACTATGTTGAATAGGAGTGGTGAGAGAGGTCATCCTTGTCTTGTGCCAGTTTTCAAAGGGAATGCTTCCAGTTTTTGCCCATTCAGTATGATATTGGCTGTGGGTTTGTCATAGATAGCTCTTATTATTTTGAGATATGTCCCATCAATACCTAATTTATTGAGAGTTTTTAGCATGAAGGGTTGTTGAATTTTGTCAAAGGCCTTTTCTGCATCTATTGAGATAATCATGTGGTTTTTGTCTTTGGTTCTGTTTATATGCTGGATCACATTTATTGATTTGCGTATATTGAACCAGCCTTGCATCCCAGGGATGAAGCCCACTTGATCATGGTGGATAAGCTTTTTGATGTGCTGCTGGATTCGGTTTGCCAGTATTTTATTGAGGATTTTTGCATCAATGTTCATCAAGGATATTGGTCTAAAATTCTCTTTTTTGGTTGTGTCTCTGCCTGGCTTTGGTATCAGGATGATGCTGGCCTCATAAAATGAGTTAGGGAGGACTCCCTCTTTTTCTGTTGATTGGAATAGTTTCAGAAGGAATGGTACCAGTTCCTCCTTGTATCTCTGGTAGAATTCGGCTGTGAATCTGTCTGGTCCTGGACTCTTTTTGGTTGGTAAGCTATTGATTATTGCCACAATTTCAGCTCCTGTTATTGGTCTATGAATCAACTCTTATCTACACAAAAGCTATGCAGATCCCTGGCATAACGTAGAGTAAGACAAACATATTTGCCATATCAACTAATGTTAAGTGGATTAAATTCACCTATTAAGAGAAAATGCTATTAGATTTTGTTAAAGAGGTATATTTTAAAAATAATTTGAGAAGTTCAAAATACGGTTATGAATTGCTAAGGCAATAAACTAAAATAATTCAGTGTTTATTTGCTTTAAATTCCTACCTCTATAGCGTAATCTTGGAATACTTTACCCTATACTTTATCTCTTCTGTTTGTAAACTCAATAACACTAAAGTTAAATTCAGGTCAAAAAACAGAGAAGAGAAAGGGCATTTTGATAATGCTAAAATAGACAGTTTTAAAAGGATATTTTAAAAGTAGAGAACTTTAAAATATATTTAAGAGTTTTGAATATTTGTGCACTAAATTTTCATCAGGTGTCATAAAACAAAAAACTGCAAGTGTTCTGAGGAAAAATGGAAACATATTAGGTCACATAGACTTTAATTTACCTCTTTGATTTCATACCAGAGCCAGTGGATCACAACTGAGTTCCTAGACTAGTGCTCAGCAAATGAGGACACAGGTGAAATTCTACCTGCTGCCTATTTTGGTCAGGAAATATTTTTCTAGAACACAGCCATAGCTATTCATTTATGTGCTCATGCTACGAGGTAGAATTGAGTAGTTACAACAGAGACCACATGATCAGCCCAGTGGAAAACATTTACTCTCTGGCCTTTTACAGAAAAAGTTTACTGACTCCTGCTCTAGAAGTTATAAATAACATATTTTATAAAAATGAATCTGATGTGTCTTTCACAACTCTGCTCTGGAAACAGAATGAACCCTTTTTAAAATGACCATGGGACCCTGACAAAATATAAAAGTATTTTGTGCAAAAATGAATAAATCCACAAAGATATTATTGTCCAGTAAAACTGCAAATTGCAAACAATGTAAGAAGAATTAAAGTCTATCTTAAACTCAATAAGGAATATATATCTTTAAAAACATATTTAATCAAAGAGTAAATGAAAATCAAAATTGTCTAATATCCAGAAAATTTCAAAGATAAAAAACATGCATATTAGAACCTTTGGGATATAGATAAAGCAGTGCTTAGAAAAACTTTTAGTCTTATATTAGTCTTATGTACTTGTTTTTAAAAGTGAAAAAGTTTTCAAAGAAAACTAAGCAAAGCAAAAGATGTAATAAAAATAAGACTATATTAGTATAAATTTTAAAGCCAAAAGCGGTTCTTGCAATAAAAATAACTGAATAAAATAGTCTCAATTCGAAAAAGGGGGAAAGCACTATTACTCAAAGTTTTGATTTAAATTCCTACTTCTGTGGTATAGTTTGAAATACTTTAGTGTATGCCTTATCTCTTCTTTTTGTAAACTCACAACCTACTTGATAGATGTGTTAAAAGAAAATGAAACACTGTGCCAGAGAGCACATAGCTATGAATGTGCTCCATTCCCACCTGGATTATAACCCACTAAAAAGAATGGTCTCTGCTTTACTCTTCTATATATTGAGTCCATGCAATATAACATGTAAGTATTTTTAATAATATTGTGTATTAACTTCAAAGCCACTCGGGAGAGGTGTTTCATATTGATTCATTCAAAAAACATGATCCCTAAATGCAAACACCCCAGTCAAATTTCTGAGACTTTTGAATAATCAGGTGTAGGTTAGCATTGAGTCTGAGCACTTGTGTAGGAAAGAGGAGGTAATTTTGAGGCACACTGCTTTTTAACAGTCACTGTCTTCATATAAATTACAGAGAGATATAAAGTATATCAGAACGAAGGTTATATTTTGGAAAGGAGAACAAAGCTGAATAAAATAATTAATGCTGTTGATTAAAAAGTGAACTATTGGCCAGGCGCGGTGGCTTACGCCTGTAATCCCAGCACTTTGGAAGGCTAAGGTGGGCAGATCACGAGGTCAGAAGATCGAGACCATCCTGGCTAACATGGTGAAACCCCATCTCTACTAAAAACACAAAAAATTAGCCGGGTATGGTGGTGGGCACCTGTAGTCCCAGCTACTCAGGAGGCTGAGAATGGTGTGAACCCGGGAGGTGAAGCTTGCAGTGAGCCGAGATCGCACCACTGCACTCCAGCCTGGGTGACAGATCAAGGACTCTGTCTCAAGAAAAAAAAAAAAAAAAGTGAACTATTATTTGACGTACAACTAAGAAAGAGAAAATGCCATTTAACCATGCACGTGCCGTAAGTTTTAAAATGCTTCCTAATTTGAATGATGATAATTTTTTCTTAAAAAATCATGAGTGTCAGATATATGAGTACTATCCATATATTCCTTGTTAAAATGAATACTATAGACAGTAACTACTTTCAGATTTTAAATAAATGTTCCTTATATTTGTGGGAAGACACAAGAAGCCTTTTGTATGTGTGTGTAATTTGGGAAATGCTTTGCATTGCCTGAAGGACATCTAGAGTCTACATAGGTCTAAGGCTAAAAAGCAGAGTGATTCAGAGAAAGAATATAAGATTATTGCTGAAAATATACTATTTACTGGTGATATCCTGTCAAGACTAGAGCAGAAAAGACTGTGGGCTGTTGCAGTGAGAGCTACAACATGTAATGAGCCTACAGTTAGTGTAAAACCTTCTTTTCCTGAATATCTGTTAGGGCACTAAGGCAGTATATTTAAGGCCTTGGAATATTTTTAGCACAAGGCTGACATTTTTGCATGGAATGCGGGTAGCAGTAGGGCAATAGCAGTCAAATATACACAGGAAATCTATGATAAATAAATATAAAGGATATGTGTAAAGTTTCTAAGTCCAGGTTAAAATATATGATCCGTAAGGTTCACATAGTCAATAAAAACTAGCAATGTTAAAAAGTAGATTGAAAGCAGAATTAAGGATTGGACAAAGACAAAGCTGGTTTTAGGGAAATGAGTGAGCAAACTGAAAAGACAAAAGTTAAGATTTGATGATCTAAAAAGATTCACTATTGGCCGGATGTGGTGGCTCATGCCTGTAATCCTAGCACTTTGGGAGGCCAAGACAGGTGGATCACCTGAGATCAGGAGTTCGAGACCAGCCTGGCCAACATGGCAAAACCCTGTATCTACTAAAAATACAAAAATTAGCCGGGCATGGTGGCACATGCCTGTAATCCCAGCTACTCGGGAGGCTGAGACAGGAGAATCACTTGAACCCAGGAGGCAGAAGTTGCAGTGAGCCAAGATCACGCCACTATACTCCAGCCTGGGCGACAGAGCAAGACTCTATCTCAAAAAAAAGAAAAAAAAAAAAAAAAGATTCACTATTGAACAACCCTGACATAATAAACCAAGTCACCAGAGCTAGGGCAGAGCAGTGAATCCAGTCTAGGTGGAAAAATGACTTTAACTCCCATCAATTTTACATTTCCACTTACACATGTGTGTTCCTTTGATGATAATGCAGACAGAATTAAAATGTTGTCTATAGTAGTATTTCTTTTAACATGAGGAAATTGGTGTCATTATAAATTTCTTTTGTGATGTGTAGAATGGAAATGGAGCTCCAACTGAACTATTGCAGGCTAATGATTATCCTACCATTGTAATTTATATTTGTATAAGAATCTAGACTAGCGTTACTCCCTACGGCAAACCCTGTCTCAGATAAAACCACTAATCCATTGATTTTTGTTGTTGTTATCTACTTCATGTTGGTAATCTTTTTTTATTCATCCCATTCTCTGATTTTCCTGTTCCCAGGATCCAATGCTCTTACGTATACACCATTCTCAGTCATTTTGTTGATTTATATCCTCTTCTCTATTCAGTTTTGAAAATTCTATTTTAAGATGCCAAATATGTATATATATTCATTTCCCATTTCTTTTTCTACTACAAAAAAAAATTTAAGCTAAAAAGGGAATATGGGGAATATGTACTTGAAATTACTTTATTGTTGAGAAACTGAGCCAGAAACTAAGGAATCAAATACATAATAGGGCATATATATACATATATGTCCCATTCCATAAGAAATGTGTTAAATATCATAAAGTTTGTTTAATTTTATCATTTTTAGAAGACTCCCAACCTGATGAAATCTCAGAGAAGAGCCCAGAAAATCAAGGCAAACATTTGTTGCAAGTTTTATTCACCAATAAATTATTGACTACAGAGCAAGAAATTTCAGGAAAACCACATAATCGAGACATAAACATTTTTCGTGCAAGAATGATGCCTTGTAAATGTGACATTGCGGGGTCTGCTTGCCAGGGGCTCAGCCTGATGGCCCCACACTGTCAGTATTCAAAAGAAAAGGCTCATGAGCGTAATGTTTGTGACAAATGGCTCATCAGTATTAAGGATGGCAGAACTAACACTCAAGAGAAATCTTTCGCTTATAGTAAAATTGTGAAAACCCTCCATCATAAGGAGGAAGTTATTCAACATCAGACAATTCAGACTCTGGGGCAAGATTTTGAATATAATGAAAGTAGAAAAGCTTTTCTTGAAAAGGCTGCCCTTGTTACATCTAACAGTACCCACCCAAAAGGAAAATCTTACAATTTCAATAAATTTGGGGAAAACAAATATGATAAATCAACCTTTATTATTCCTCAGAACATGAATCCAGAGAAGAGTCACTATGAGTTTAATGATACTGGAAATTGTTTCTGTAGAATCACTCACAAAACTCTCACAGGAGGGAAATCCTTCAGCCAAAAGTCACACATTAGAGAACATCATAGAGTTCATATAGGGGTGAAACCCTTTGAATATGGAAAAAGTTTCAACCGTAATTCAACCCTCCCAGTGCATCAGAGAACTCATGCAACAGATAAATACTCTGATTATCACCCATGTACAGAGACATTCAGCTACCAGTCAACTTTCAGTGTACATCAGAAGGTTCACATAAGGGCAAAACCCTATGAGTATAATGAATGTGGGAAATCCTGCTCTATGAATTCACACTTGATTTGGCCTCAGAAAAGTCACACAGGGGAGAAACCCTATGAATGTCCTGAGTGCGGGAAAGCCTTCAGTGAGAAGTCACGCCTAAGAAAACATCAGAGAACTCACACGGGAGAGAAACCATACAAATGTGATGGATGTGATAAAGCTTTCAGTGCAAAGTCAGGCCTAAGAATACACCAGAGAACCCACACAGGGGAGAAACCATTCGAATGTCATGAATGTGGGAAATCTTTTAACTATAAGTCAATCCTCATAGTGCATCAGAGAACTCACACAGGGGAGAAACCTTTTGAATGTAATGAATGCGGGAAATCTTTCAGCCATATGTCAGGCCTAAGGAATCACCGAAGAACTCACACAGGGGAAAGACCATATAAATGTGATGAATGTGGGAAAGCTTTCAAACTGAAGTCAGGCCTGAGGAAACATCATAGAACACACACAGGGGAGAAGCCCTACAAATGTAATCAGTGTGGAAAAGCTTTCGGTCAGAAATCACAACTCAGAGGACATCATAGAATTCACACAGGGGAAAAACCCTATAAATGTAATCATTGTGGGGAAGCTTTCAGTCAGAAATCAAACCTCAGAGTACATCACAGAACTCATACTGGGGAGAAACCCTATCAATGTGAGGAGTGTGGAAAAACATTCAGGCAGAAATCAAATCTCAGAGGGCATCAGAGAACTCACACTGGGGAGAAGCCCTATGAATGTAATGAATGTGGAAAAGCTTTCAGTGAGAAGTCAGTCCTAAGAAAACATCAGCGAACTCACACCGGGGAGAAACCATATAATTGTAATCAGTGTGGGGAAGCTTTCAGTCAGAAATCCAATCTCAGAGTACATCAGAGAACTCACACAGGGGAGAAACCCTATAAATGTGATAAATGTGGGAGAACTTTCAGTCAAAAATCAAGCCTTAGAGAACATCAGAAAGCCCACCCAGGGGATTAAATGTATGCATATAAAGAATACGAAAAAACTCTGAGCTGGAAATCAAACCTCACAATACATAAATGAACACACAGGAGAGAACTGTTAACATAGTGAGCACTGGAATTTCCTCTACAATTTCAGCCTCCACCAAATATCAAAGAATAGAAGATAAATTGTTGAAATCTATTTTATATGGGCATTCTTTCAGCCAGAGCCCAGTCTTCTATGGATATACAGAACTCACACAGCAAAGAAACCCTATAAACATAATGAATATGGAAAATACTCTTGCGAACTCACTCCTCAGAAAACTCACGCTGCAGAAAAGCTCTGAGAAAGTAATAAAAATGTGAAAACTTTGTGCCAACAATCAAAACTCATTCACCATCAGAGAAATCACACAATGACAAAAGCTAGAATATAATAAGTGTGTGATAAACTTTAATGAAAAGTCAGTACAGCAGAAAATACATTCAAGATAGAGACCTCATAGTATATTAAAACAAACAAGAAATGAAGTTAATGGATGTGGGAAATTCTTCTGCCATGTCAACCCTCATTTTAACCTACACAGAGGTAATCCCTATATGTCGTATAATAACTATTGAAATGTTCACTAGTAATCATTTTCACTTCTCCCTCATGCCACACCTGGCCTAAATTTCTCAACCACTCTCTCATCTAAACGGGGTCATATTGTTACCCTCTAGCTAGTGGAATATGGGGTCAGTGACAGGTCTTAAATACATCAGTCAAATTCTCAATATTTTCTTCTATCCCTCATTAGAATGGAATGGAGGAAAACCTTGGGACTCAGGCTCTGATGATGGAAAGTACAAGATGGTAGGAACCCGGGTCAGAGAAGGATCCTGTGGCATGGAGTTTTCTCCTCCCTGTACACAGTTGGACTTCTTGCAGTGAGGAAATAAATGTGTTCCCTGCTGAACTTCTAAAGGTTTGGGTATACTTGATACTGACAGAAACTCAACAACCCTCACATAATAAAACTTAGGAGTATGATTTTTCAGGACATCTGAACTCAGTGTATGTCAGAAAAGTCACATAGGACAAATCTCGGACAGCATCCTGAATGACCATGGCTTTTATCCCCAAAGTCTTCCTCATCAGACAGGTAATATCATAAGAAATCTGACATTTTAACAAATATAGGAAATTCTTCACACACACAGACACACACTCACACATACACACCCAAAGTCTCATTAAATATATGATAATTTAGTTTTGAATGTGTAAAAGTTTTCAACAAATTATCATATTTTATATCAGAGCTTGTTACAAGGAGAAAATCTATCAATTTGAGAAAGGTAAGTAATAGCCTTTATCTAGATATTGCTTTATCAGAACTGTTGTTTCACATATAATATCAAAACTTTTAATGAAATATAAGACATTCACTATAATAAAAAGCTTAAAAAGAACAAAAAATAAACTGCATAAACTGAAAAGCAGTGTTGCAAATATGTGAATGTTTTGTGAGTTATTGATTGTTTATGTATGTATATATGCATGGTACTTACCAGGTATTTGTTTTATGTTTCTTAGACCTCAACATTGCTGTAAAAGAATTGTGTTCCCCTTGCTTTATAACTACTTTGACATCAGCTACAATTTGCCACATGAATATTAATAACAAACCTTTTACAGAAAATATCTGATACCACATTCCCTTTCTCCTGCTGCCTTCTAACATGTCTGTCTAGTAAAGGCCATTGTTACTAAACTGCCTTTTTTCAAAGAAGCCAGTGTCAACCAATATATTTCTCTCTCTCTTTTTTTCTATGTGTGTCTCTCACACACAAATACACAAGCAAATATATATATATATATCTTCAACATCACTGATTCTTTCCTAGCAGTGTTGAGTATAATAATGGACCTTTGGAAGGCATTCTTCATTTATGGTACTGTGTTTTTCATTTTTAGCATTGTAATTTTATTATAGTTTTTATCTCTCTGCCACAGTTACCTACCTGATACTGCATGTTGTCTAGTTTTCCCACTGGAGTCACTTTATATGGCATTTGGCATTCTTTCTCTCAGTTAAAAAACTGCTTGGATCTTTGTTTCTCTCTACAACCACCTAGTTTTCCAGATAGCTTTTTGCCCTGTGGCTTCAGATATTTGGTGCATTGAAGAAAAGTTAAAGTCTTCCCAACTATTTTCTTGTTTTATGAATAGAAGCAGTGCTCTTGCCTGCTATTTCTCTGAGTTGTAACTGAACATCATCAGTTGTTTTTTGACAAATGTTCCAGGGTAATTTGATGGGAAAATGATGATTGTTTTCAAAAATGATGCCGCTGGGCGCAGTGGCTCACGCCTGTCATCCCAGCACTTTCGGAGGCCGAGGCAGGCGGATCACAAGGTCAGGAGATCAAGACCATCCTGGCTAACACGGTGAAAACCCATCTCTACTAAAAATACAAAAAATTAGCCAGGTGTGGTGGCGGGCGCCTGTAGTCCCAGCTGCTCAGGAGGCAGAGGCAAGAGAATGGCGTGAACCCAGGAGGGAGAGCTTGCAGTGAGCCAAGATCACGCCACTGCACTCCAGCCTGGGTGACAGAGCAAGACTCCGTCTCAAAAAAAAAAAAAAAAAAATGATGCTGAGATAATTGTATTACTCCATTCTCTCACTGGTGTGAAGAAATCCCCAAGACTGGGTAATTTGTAAAGGAAAGAGGTTTAATTGACTCTCAGTTCTGCATGGCTGGGGAGGCCTCAGGAAACTTATGATCATGGCAGAAGGCAAAGAAGCAGGCATCTTTTTTACAGGGCAGCGGAGTGAGTGCAGCAGGGCAAATGCCAGATGCTATAAAACCATCAGATCTCATGAGACTCAGTTGCTATCACAAGAACAGCATGGGGAAAACTATCCCCCATGATCCATTTACCTCCAGCTGGTCCTACCTCTAACACGTGGGGATTATGGGGATTACAATTCAAGATGAGATTTTAGGTGGGGACACAGGCAAACTGTATCAATAATGATACTTGTATATTGTAAATGCAACTTGATCTTTACAACATGATTTAAAACTTACTCAAAATAAATCACAGATCCAAACAAAATCGCTAAAAGTACAAAATTTATGATAGAAAACAAAAGAAACTGACCGGATATGGTGGCTCACCTGTGTAATCCCAGCACTTTGGGAGGCCAAGGCAGGAGGATTGCTTGAAGCCAGGAGTTCAGGACCATCCTGCACAACATAACAAGAGCCTATCTCTACAAAAAATAAAATTAACCAAGCATAGTGGCACATGCCTGTAGTCCTAGTCCTAGCTACTTGGGAGGCTGAGGTGGGAGGATTGCTTGTGCCCAGGAATTTGAGGCTGTGGTGAGCTGTGATCATGCCACTGTACTCCATCCTGGGTGACCGAGCAAGACTTTCTGTCTCTTAAAGGAAAAAAAAACAATGTTTATAGTACAGAAAATGCAGTTATAATGGACCAAAAAAAAAGGAAAACATTAAAATAGATATTTCACTAAAGATATATAGTTAGCCAATAAATACTAGAAACAATGTCCAAAGCTTTGGTCAGCAAGAAAGTGCATGTTCGTGTGATAGCAATACAAATCCATTTCATAGTTCCTTATAAAGATAACAGTACCTTACCTACAACCAGCAATTTTCATTCTAGGCATTTACCCCAGAGAAAGACAAAGAATTATATGCAAATGTTCATAGAATCTTTACTCATACTAACCCCAAATTGTAAATAATTGGGTTATTTATCAGCAGAAAAATATGTAAACAGTAATATTACCATATAATGCAATACAGCTGTACAAGGAAGAAACTGCAAATGCATGCAGCAACATTGATAAATCTTCAGATTGTGCGGAGCAAAAGAAGCCAGGCACAAGAGGGTAGAGCTGTATTATATCCTATTTATATAAAGTTCTACGAAAGACATCAAGTCTAGAGGGATAGAAAGAAAGTGGACCATTCATTGCCTAAGGCTGGGGGCAGCGGGGTGTGAGGATACACTGGTTAGAGGAATAAGGGAATTTTTTTATTATGATGGAATGTTCCATATATAAATGTTGGTGATCTTTACAGAGCTGTATAAGTTTTTAGAACCCATCAAAATATACTAAAAATTTGTCTACTTTGCATAAAGTATACCTCTATACAGCTAACTTGTAAAATAATAAAAGTGAGTTTAGGGTCCCCAATATGTTATGAGACCCAGCAGATTCTCAATTTACTAAATGGCTTATTGACATCACTAGATTATTCATTCCCTTTCTTCCCATATGGCTGTGACCTTGGAAAGTCAGTTCTTTAATATGTCTCAGTCTCCTCATTACCATAATAATGGTAATTACCTACAATCCTTTCTGAAAGAATTGTCTCAGTTCATCTGTGTCTGTTCCTTAATACGTGGCACAGAATAAGTGAGCAGTAGGTAATAATTATTACCATTATATATTTTACCAGTATTATTAAAAATCAAAGACCTGTGTTCCTTAAAAGAGCCTCAAGAAAGATTATAACTCATAAAACAAAAAGATAAATTAGGCCTAAAGGAGATTCAGCCATGATGTGATGGGGGTGTGTGAGTTCCTCATACTATAGTAACATCAATTTTTCTTTAACACTCTGGTGAGACCGTTTCTGAAAATTTTAAAACCTTGAGCCTTTTATTCTTCTGTCAACTGGCTGACATGACTTAGCCCAGTTTGTTGAGTTCCCAATAAATTGCTTTTCCACAAAAAGCTCCTGCATGACTTCATGCACCCCCAGCCTTCCTCTCCTGGAAGTTTTAAGAATCCAGAACTAAGCTGGAGTATTGTCAACCTTGGGTTTTTTTGTTACATTCCAGGATAGAAGTTACACACCAGATATCTAAATACTCTAGAGAAAAATCATTTCAGGTATTGAAGGATAGCACACACCCACCCCTTAGCTTTTTTCAGCATATAATGGCCACTCTTGCCCTGAGTTCTGTTTCCTGGTTACACTCGAGATGATTTCAGTTGGGTCCCGTGATGCGTTTTACACAGGAACTGCATTCTGAGTTATCTAGGCAGTAGAATCACATCACAACAACTTCTAAAAGAAAAGAGAATTCAGAGACTGGCAGTTGAGTTGGCCCCATCATGGGCAAAAAGAGTGAAGTTTCACATTAGCTATGGTTTGAATGTGTCCCCCCAAAGTTCGTATGTTGGAAACTTAATTCCTATTGCAACAGCGCTCAGATGTGGAACCTTAAAGAGGCGATTAGGTCATGAGTGCTCTGCCATCATGAATGGATTAATTTCTCTATCACATGAGTGGGTTCATTATCAAGACAGTGACTTTGTTATAAAAGCAAGTTCAGCCCTCTCATGCTCTCTCATGGGCACTCTCACATGTGATGCCTTCTGCCATGTTATGACATAGCAAGAAGTCACCACATGTGGCCCCTTGATCTTGGATTTTCCAGCCTCCAAAAGTGTTTTAAAAAAAACAACAACAACTTTTATTCTTTATAAGCTACCCAGTTTCTGGTGTTCTGTTAAAACAACACAAAATGGACTAAAACAGCAATCTTCACACATGTCAGGACCTGAAAAAAAAAACATCATTTCAAGTAGTAAAGGGAACCCTGCCAGTGTGTAGAGTTCATGGGGGCATGACTTGGGCCAGGTTTTGAGAACTCATCTTCCGGGTTAGTGTAGAATTTTAACAAGGATTCTGAGAGGAGACTGAACTCATAAAGGCCATTCCATATTCCGAAGGGGAACATTTTTATCAGTGATACGGATATGACAGTACTGGTGAGGTGAGGAAGTTGAGCTGAGTGATGACACATAGGCAATATTTCATTTGGTAGTATAAGTTCTTTTTATATCAAAATTACTGGAACAGGACAGAAGACAGACAATAGTCACAACGTATAGGAAAACAAATACTGAAGTTTATATATAAAACAAAACCATTAAGTTGCCATCAGTTTAAACTGCCAAACATTTTTCCCTCACTAATACTTTACATACACATCTTTTTAATGGGGAGTAGGGGGCTCAGCTCATTTTTCCATTTGCATCATATGCTTTGGTAACGTCCTTGGAAAAAGCAAAGTTGAGTGTTCACATCACCATAAGAGGATGAATAATGTGTGATGCTGGGACTGCAGGCCAAGTGCTTGTCTTCCAGAAGCACCATGCCAGCCAAAAGTCCTGGGCAAGATGTGCTTGGTACGGATAACATAAAGATTGATGTCTTCAAACAAACCAACCAGGTAGCAAGCAAAGCCCCAATAGCCAGGATCTAAAGAAGCAGATCAGATTACAGTGTTTGAGCAACTTCCTGAACCCATATTTGGAAAGGGCTCTTGAGGCTCCTGGGATTTCTGGTACCACCTGATTTCTTGGAGAAGGTCTAGGGCAGGGAAGGATGTGGCATCTATGTAACCCCTCATGGGGGCTCCGTCTTGCAGGTGGTTGTGGTAGTCAGGGACTTGTATTGGTCTGAGATCATAGCAGGTGCTTTTGCTGGTGGGCTTGATACACCACTGAAGTTGCTAAGTAGTGCTTCTCAGCACCTGCCTTCCCTTCTGTGTTGTGTCCAAGAGCAAGAGTGGCCTCTGTGCCTAAAAGAGAGTAAATGTGGCTGCAGCTGCAGACACGAAGTATGACTTTAGCTCTGGACCACATCCAATTGTACCCTGCATTAAGCTCAGGCATATCACACCTGCTCAATAGAGGTTGGTCAAACAAAGGAGTCAGCAAATGACATTTCTAATGAACACATTGGTAATTTGTTTTTATATTCTATTTTTTCTTGAAAGAAATGAATACAACTTTTTAAATTAAGTCTAGCTTAGCCAGACTCCTTGGCATGTTTTTCCAATCTTTTTGTATTATTTAGCTTTAAATTTTCCCCCTTACTCCTACTTTTTCTGTATCCCATGAGTGTTTATATTTTTATTTTTCATCTTCATTTGTTGCTTTTTTTTTTTTTTTTTTTTTTGAGACAGGGTCTCGTCTCTCATCTTCTCACCCAGGCTGGAGTGTGGTGGTACAATCAGCTCATTGCAGCCTTGACCTCCTAGGCTCAAGTGATCCTCCCACCTCAGCTTCACGAGTAGCTAGAACTACAGGTGTGCGCCACTGTGCCTGGCTCATTTTTGTTTTTTTGTAGAGACCGGTACTCTGTCTGTTTCCCAGGCTCGTATTGAACTCCTGTGCTCAAGCAATCCTCCTGCCTCAGCCTCCCAACATGCTGGGATTACAGGCATGAGCTACCATGCCTGGCCTATTTGTCTCAAGTATTTTCTATTTTTCCTTGTAATTTCATCTTTGACCTGTTTCTTGCTTGAGGACATCTGTTTAATTTCCACAAATTTGTGAATATTCCCATTTTTCCTCTGTTATTCACTTCTAACTTGTTTTAGAAGAGGTTTTGTATGATTTTTTTTTTCAATCTATTGAGGCTTCATTTGGGTACTAACACATAGTCCATCCTGGAGAATATCCCATGTGCACTTGAGATTAATATGTATTCTGTTATTGTTGGGTAGAGTGTTCTGTATATGTCGGCTCTAGTTGGCTTATCATGATGTTCAGGTCCTTCCTTATTTGTCTTCTACCTGGTTGTACTATTCATTACTGACAGTAAGGTACTAAAGTCTCCAACTATTATTATACAACTGTATTTCTCCCTTCAATTTTGTCCATTTTTGCTTTATATATTTTGATGGTTTGTTATTAGGTAGATAAATGTTTATAATTTTTATATCATCTTGCTCTACTGAATCTTTTTATTAATATATAATCTCCTTTGTCTCATGTAAACATCTGATTTAAACTTTATTTTGTCTGATAATATAGCTACTTGCTATCTTTCAGTTACCACTTGCATGAAATATATTTTTCTGTCCTCTCACTTTCAACCAATTTGTGACTTGGAGTTAACATGAGTTTCTCATAGGCAACATAGAGTTGGATCTTGTTTTTTTGTTTTTGTTTTTGTTTTTGAAACGGAGTCTCGCTCTGCCGCCCAGGCTGGAGTGCAGTGGCGCCATCTTGGCTCACTGCAAGCTCCCCCTCCCGGGTTCATGCCATTCTCCCGTCTCAGCCTCCCCAGTAGCTGGGACTACAGGCGCCCGCCACCTCGCCCAGCTAATTTTTTGTATTTTTAGTAGAGACACGGTTTCACAGTGTTAGCCAGGATGGTCTCGATGTGCTGACCTCGTGATCCGCCCGCTTTGGTTTCCCAAAGTGCTGGGATTACAGGCGTGAGCCACCGCGCCCGGCCGGATCTTGTTTTTTCAATCCATTCTGTGAGTCTCTTGATTGGAGGATTTGATACATTTATATTTAAGGTAACTACAAATAGGCTGGCGGAGTGGCTCACACCTGTAATCCTAACACTTTGGTAGGCCAAGGCAGGCAGATCACTTGAGGTCAGGAGTTCGAGACTAGCCTGGCCAACATGGTGAAACCCCATCTCTACTCAAAGTACAAAAATTAGGCAGGCGTGGTGGTGGGCGCCTATAATCCCAGCTACTCAGAGGCTGAGGCAGGAGAATTGCTTGAACCCAGGAGGCAGAGGTTACAGTGAGCCGAGATTGCACCATTGCATTCCAGCCTGAGCGACAGAGTGAGACTTCATCTCAATAATAATAAAAAATAATAAATAATAAAGTAACTACTAATAAAGAGAAACTTCTATTATTTTGGTACTTGTTATCTATATACCTTATAGCTTTTTGTTCCTCATTTCCTACGTTAGTCATCTTTTGGGTTTAGTTAATTTTTTTTGTAGTGAGACATTTAAATTCCCTTCTCATTCCCTTTGTGGACATTCTGTACCTACTTTCTGGTTACCATGGGCATTACAATTACCTTCCTCAACTTATAACACTCTATAGAATGTTATAACTTGTAAATTAACATACATACAAAACAGCTTAACAACATACAAAAAACTTGCCCCTATAAAGCTTTATTTTCACTACTTTTCAGTTGTTGATGTCACACAATTACATATTAATGCATTTTGTATCTAAAAACAGACTAGTAATTTTTTAAATATTAGTCTCATAAGTCATGTAGAAAACAAAAAGAGTTACAAACCAAAGTTATAGTAACACTTTTATGATTGTATATTTCCCTTTTTCAGAGATCTTTATTTCTTCATATGGCTTTGAGTTACTATGGTTCATTTAAGCCTGAAAGAGTCCCGTTAGCATTTCTTGCAGGGAGGCCTATTTGTAATAAATGCCCATAGTTTTTGTGTGTGTGTGTGTGTGTGTGTGTGTGTGTGTGTGTGTATGATAACCTGGTTTTTTATATACAGTGAAATGTTTACTACAGTCAAGCAAATTAAAAGACCCATCATCTTACATACTCTCTTTTTGTGGGAATAGAACTTAAAATATACTCTCTCAGCAAAAATTCCAAATACATTAAAATATTATTGACTATACTCCTCATGCTGTACATTAAATCTCTAGACTTATTCTACATACCTGCAAACTTGGTATCCTTTGACTCACCTCCTCTCATTTGCTCCTCACTCCTATTAACCCCCTGGTAATGACCATTTTATTCTCTGTCTCTATTCTACTTTTTTTTTTTTTTTTTTTTTACATTTTACGTATAAGTGAGTGAGATCATGCTGTATTTTTCTTTCTGTGTGTGGCTTATATCACTTAGCATAATGTTCTCCAGGTTCATTCATGTGTGGCAATTGGCAGCATCTTGGGCTAATATTCCATTGTATGTATGTGTATACACATGCCACAGTTTATCCATTTACCCATTGACATTTGGGTTGTTTCTATATTATGGCTATTGTGAATAATGCTGCATTGAGCACGGGTGTGCAGATATCTCTACAAAGTGCTGATTTTGTGTTCTTCAGGTATATACCAAGCAGAGGGATTTCTGAGTCAAATGGTAATTCTATTTTTAATGAAACCTCCAATACTTGTTTTCTGTAATGGCTACACTAGTTTTCATTCCCACTAACAGTATACAAAAGTTCCCTTTTATCTATACCCTTACCAACACTTGCTACTCATCTTTTTTTATTATAACCATCCCAACAGGTGTGAGGCAATATCTCATTGGGGTTTTGATTTTCATTTCCCTGATGATTGGCGATGTTGAGCACATTTTTGTATCCTTGTTAGCCGTTTGTATGTCTTTGGAGAAATGTCTATTCAGATTCTTTGCCCAGTTTTTAATTGGGTTCTTTATATTATTTTCATTTTGAGTTTGCAAGTTCTTTATATATTTTGAATATCAACCCCTTATCAAATGTATGGTTTGCAATTTTTTTTTTTTTTTTTGTAATCTGTAGGCTGCCTTTTTTTTTTTGCTGGGTTTTTGTTTTGTTTTGTTTAGCTGTGCAGAAGCTTGGGCTTATTTTTGCTTTTATAGACTGAGCTTTTGATGTGATATCCAAAGAATAATTTCCAAGGCCATTGTCAAGAATCTTTCCCCCTTTGTTTTCTTCTGGGACTTTTATGGTTTTGGGTATCCCATTTAGGTCTTTTATCCATTTTGCATTGAGTTTGTGTATGGTATATGATAAGGGTTTGATTTAATTCTTTTGCATGTGGATATCCAGGTTTCCTGCCACCATTTATTGAGACTATCCTTTCCCCATTGTGTATTCTTGGGTCTTTGTTGAAAATTAGTTGATCACATATATTTGGGTTTCTTTCTGGGCTCTGTGTTTTGTTCCATTGGTCAGTGTTTCTGTTTTTATGTGGTTTTGCTTGCAATACTTTTGTAAAGAATTTGAAATCAGGAAGTATGATGCCTCCAACTTTGTCTTTCTTTCCCAGAATTTTTTGACTATTCAGGGTCTTTCTAGCTGGCAATCATGTTCAACATATGTAAATCAATCAATGTGATACATCACAATAACAGAATGAAAAATAAAAACCACATAGTCATCTCTATTGATACAGAAAATGTATCTGACAGGGTCCAACATACTTTATTAGTAAAAACTCTCAACAGTTTAGGTACAGAAGAAAAGTTGCTCAACATAATGAAGGCCATTCATGAAAAACCCAGAGCTAACATAATAATCCATGGGAAAAACCTGAAATCTTTTCCACTAAGATCTGGTACAAGGATCTGTTTTTCTTCTCAATTGCTGTGGGAGTCTTTTGTGGTTCCAAATGAATTTTAGAATTGTTTTTACCATGTCTCTGAAAAATTACATTGGAATTTTGGTAAGGATTATGTCAAAACTGTATATTGCTTTGAGTAGTACAGACACTCTAACAGTATTAATTGTTCCAACTTGGTACCCTTTGACTTACCTCCTATTTGCTCCTTACCCCGAGAAACCCCCTGGTAACCATTTTATTCTCTGTCTGTATGTACTCAACTTTTTTTTTTTTTTTTTTTACATTCCACATGTAAGCGAGATCATGCTGTATTTTTCTTTCTGTGTGTGGTTTATTTCACTTAGCATAATGTCCTCCAGGTTTATTCATGTGTGGCTAATGGCAAGATCTTTTTTAAGGCTGAATAATATTCCATTGTATGTATGTGTACCAGGAACATAATACATCTTTCCATTTATTTGGGTGTTCAATTTCTTTATTAATGTTTTATAGTTTTCAGTGTACAAATCTTTCACTTTCTTGGTTAAATTTATTCCTAAGTATTTTTTTCTTTTTTATGTGATCATGTGTTCTCAAATTTTTTTTGGATAGGTCATTATTGGTATACAAAAATGCAACCCATTTTTGTATGTTGATTTTATATTCTGCAACTTTACTGAATTCCTTTATTCTAACAGTTTTTTGGTGGAATCTTTGGAGTTTTCTTCTTATAGGATCATGTTAACTGCAAATAGAAATAATTTTACTTCTGCCTTTCTGACTTATATCTCTGATGAGCATAGATGCAAAACTTCTTAATAAAATACTCACACACTGAATTCGACAATGTTCAGTTGCCTTTTATTTATTTTTCTTGCCTGATTGCTCTTGTTGTTACTTCCAGTACTACTTGAATACAAGTGGTGAGAATGGGCATCCTTGCCTTGTCTTAGAGGAAATCTTTCTTAAATCTTAGAGGAAAGCTATCTGTTTTCCCCCATAGATTATGATGTTGGCTATGGGCTTTTCCTAAATTTCCCTTATCATATTGAGGAAATTTCTTTCTATACTTATATTGTTGAGAGCTTATAATCAAGAAATTATATTGAACTTTGTCACATGCTTTTTCTGCATCAATTGAGATGATCACGTGGTTTTATTTTTTATTGTTTTAATGTGATGTGTCACATCGATTGATTTGCATGTGTTAAATCAGCCTTGCATGCCACAGATAAATCCAACTTGGTCATGCTGTATAATCATTTTGATCTATTGTTGAATTCAGTATGTGAGTATTTTATTGAGAATTTTTGCATCTATACCCATCAGAGATATAGGCCTATAGTTTTCTTGCACTGTCTTTTGTTTCATTATCAAGGTAATGCTGGCAACATAAAAATGTATTTGGTAGTATTGCTTCTGGTTATATTTTTGGAAGAGTTTAAAAAGGATTGGTATTAATTCTTCTTTGAATGTTTGGTAAAATTCAGCCATGATGGCATCTGGTCCTGGGCTTTTCTTTGTCAGGAGGTTTTTAATGTCTCCTTCAGTCTCTATATTTGTTATCAGTCTGTTCAGGCTTTTCATTTCTTTCTGATTCAATGTTGGTAGGTTGTATTTTTCTAGGATTCATCCATTTTCCCTAGTTTATCCAGTTGGGTGGCATGTAATTGCTCATAATAATACCTTGTGATCCTTTTTATTTCTGAGGCATTCGTTGTAATATCTTCATTTTATTTATTTGAGTCTTTTTGGCTATGAATTTATTGGTTTTATTTTTTAGAGAAACCAACTATTAGTTTTTTTAAATTTTTTTTCTGTACTTTCTCTGTTTCCTATTTGATTTATTTCTGCTCTGATCTTTATTATTTCTTTCCTTCTGCTAACTTTGGTTTTAGTTATTCTTTTTCTAGCTCCTCAAGGTGTAATGTTAGGCTATTTCTGTGAGATCTTTCTTTTTAAATGTAGCTGTTTATGGCTATAAACTTCCTGCTTAGAACTGCTTTTGTGGTATTCTGTAAGTTTTAATATGTTGTATTTCCATTTTTGTTTGTCTCAAGATATATTTAACTTCCCTTTTGATTTCTTCTGTGACCCATTGATTTTTGGGAGTGTGTTGTTTAATTTCCACATATTCATTAATTTTCCAGTTTTCTTCCTGTTATTTCTAGTTTCATAACATGGTAGTTAGAAATGATACTTGATATAATTTCAGTCTTCTTAAATTTTTTCAGACATGTTTTGTGTCCTAACATATGATCTATCCTGGAGAATGTTTCAGTTCATTTGAGAAGAGTGTGTGTTCTGCTACTGTTGGATGGAATGTTCTGTGTATGTCTGTTCGGTCTATTTGGTCTAATGTGTAGTTCAGGTTCAATATTACCTTGTTAATCATCTGTCTGGTTGATCTCTCCAGTTTTGAAAGTAGGGTATTCAAGTCCCTACTATTATTATATTACTGTCTATTTATTTATGTCCACTAATATTTGATTTACATATTTTGGTGTTCCAATATTAGGTACATATATATTTACAATTATTATGTCCTCTTGATCCCTTTACCATTATGTTATGAACTTCTTTGTCTCTTGTGACAGTTTTTGACTTGAAGTCTATTTTGTCTGATGTTAGTATAGCAACTCTTCCTCTTTTTTGGTTGTTATTTGCATGGAATATCTTTTTCCATCCCTTCATTTTCGGCCTATGTATGTCTTTCTAGTGAATTCTTATAATTTTGTGTTTCTTTGGCATTTATTCTAAATCTAGGTTGTACTTCCTCATACTAGAAGCAGGGGTCCGTCACCCCTGCAACAGTTTCTAGTTATCTATCTCTTTATTGTTCCTCATCATGGTTGATACAGGTATCTGCCTTATACAACCACCTCCTGGTGACCACCTCCCTATGGGACAGTAGATACAATGTTCTTGCTTTGTACCACTGACCCCTACACGCCACATGGATCATACAGATATTCAGTGACCACCTCTAAGTGATAACCTGCCTCCATGGAACTCATACCTGATTGCTCTAAACCTACCAGTTAGAAGTCTCTGTGGGAAAACTTCTTGGGTAACACCCTGGGTCCCAATAAATGCCTCAAACCACAGGTCCATGTCTCTCTCTTTTGCTCCCCACCCACTGGTTGTGTATGCATCTCCCAGATGGCTCCCCAGTTCCCATTGTCCTATGAAGCATGCTTTCCTCTTCTCTCTGGGATCAGGAAGTAATAAACTACTTCTGTTACTTCCTGTGTTTTGTTGCATTGCCTCCTCTGTGTCTCACCTAACCAACACACAGTAAAATAAATTCTGTCCTGGTCAGGGCTCTCCTAGAGAGTGGCTGTCTTGGCAGGAATAAGCTGAACACAGGATAGACAAGAGCATCTGCCAGTATAAACAAGTTTCCTGTGAGAGGGACACGTGACCACAGGTCAAACACTTAGGCATTAGACTGTCTGCCAGAATAAAGAAGTATCCTAAGAAAGGTACAATGTAAACATCCATCACCAAATCCTTTGGAGTTCCATCATTAAAGAGCTAGAGTCTGTATAAACTCTCTTGAGAGAGATCTCAAGAGCAAATTAGAAAGAAAACACACACACACACACACACACACACAATAGTTCTTAAAGCTAAAGTGAGTTTCTTATAGGCAGCATATAGTTTAATCTTTTTTTTTTTTGTACTTTAAGTTTTAGGGTACATGTGCACAATGTGCAGGTTAGTTACATATGTATACATGTGCCATGCTGGTGTGCTGCACCCATTAACTCATCATTTAGCATTAGGCATATCTCCTAATGCTATCCCTCCTCCCTCCCCCCACCCCACAACAGTCCCCAGAGTGTGATGTTCCCCTTCCTGTGTCCATGTGTTCTCATTGTTCAGTTCCCACCTATGAGTAGAGAACATGCGGTGTTTGGTTTTTTGTCCTTGAGATAGTTTACTGAGAATGATGATTTCCAATTTCATCCATGTCCCTACAAAGGACATGAACTCATCATTTTTTATGGCTGCATAGTATTCCATGGTGTATATGTGCCACATTTTCTTAATCCAGTCTATCATTGTTGGACATTTGGGTTGGTTCCAAGTCTTTGCTATTGTGAATAGTGCCGCAGTAAACATACGTATGCATTTGTCTTTATAGCAGCATGATTTATAGTCCTTTGGGTATATACCCAGTAATGGGATGGCTGGGTCAAATGGTATTTCTAGTTCTACATCCCTGAGGAATCGCCACACTGTCTTCCACAATGGTTGAACTAGTTTACAGTCCCACCAACAGTGTAAAAGTGTTCCTATTTCTCCACATCCTCTCCAGCACCTGTTGTTTCCTGACTTTTTAATGATTGCCATTCTAACTGGTGTGAGATGGTATCTCATTGTGGTTTTGATTTGCATTTCTCTGATGGCCAGTGATGATGAGCATTTTTTCATGTGTCTTTTGGCTGCATAAATGTCTTCTTTTGAGAAGTGTCTGTTCATATCCTTTGCCCACTTTTTGATGGGGTTGTTTGTTTTTTTCTTGTAAATTTGTTTGAGTTCTTTGTAGATTCTGGATATTAGCCCTTTGTCAGATGAGTAGGTTGCAAAAATTTTCTCCCATTTTGTAGGTTGCCTGTTCACTCTGATGGTAGTTTCTTTTGCTGTGCAGAAGCTCTTTAGTTTAATTAGATCCCATTTGTCAATTTTGGCTTTTGTTGCCATTGCTTTTGGTGTTTTAGACATGAAATCCTTGCCCATGCCTATGTCCTGAATGGTAATGCCTAGGTTTTCTTCTAGGGTTTTGATGGTTTTAGGTCTAAAGTTTAAGTCTTTAATCCATCTTGAATTAATTTTTGTATAAGGTGTAAGGAAGGGATCCAGTTTCAGCTTTCTACATATGGCTAGCCAGTTTTCCCAGCACCATTTATTAAATAGGGAATCCTTTCCCCATTGCTTGTTTTTCTCAGGTTTGTCAAAGATCAGATAGTTGTAGATATGCGGCGTTATTTCTGAGGGCTCTGTTCTGTTCCATTGATCTATATCTCTGTTTTGGTACCAGTACCATGCTGTTTTGGTTACTGTAGCCTTGTAGTGTAGTTTGAAGTCAGGTAGCATGATGCCTCCAGCTTTGTTCTTTTTGCTTAGGATTGACTTGGCGATGCGGGCTCTTTTTTGGTTCCATATGAACTTTAAAGTAGTTTTTTCCAATTCTGTGAAGAAAGTCATTGGTAGCTTGATGGGGATGGCATTGAATCTATAAATGACCTTGGGCAGTATGGCCATTTTCACCATATTGTTCTTCCTACCCATGAGCATGGAATGTTCTTCCATTTGTTTGTATCCTCTTTTATTTCCTTGAGCAGTGGTTTGTAGTTCTCCTTGAAGAGGTCCTTCACATCCCTTGTAAGTTGGATTCCTAAGTATTTTATTCTCTTTGAAGCAGTTGTGAATGGGAGTTCACACATGATTTGGCTCTCTGTTTGTCTGTTATTGGTGTATAAGAATGCTTGTGATTTTTGTACATTGATTTTGTATCCTGAGACTTTGCTGAAGTTGCTTATCAGCTTAAGGAGATTTTGGGCTGAGACAATGGGATTTTCTAGATATACAATCATGTCGTCTGCAAACAGGGACAATTTGACTTCCTCTTTTCCTAATTGAATACCCTTTATTTCCTTCTCCTGCCTAATTGCCCTGGCCAGAACTTCCAACACTATGTTGAATAGGAGTGGTGAGAGAGGGCATCCCTGTCTTGTGCCAGTTTTCAAAGGGAATGCCTCCAGTTTTTGCCCATTCAGTATGATATTGTCTGTGGGTTTGTCATAGATAGCTCTTATTATTTTGAGATACGTCCCATCAATACCTAATTTATTGAGAGTTTTTAGCATGAAGGTTGTTGAATTTTGTCAAAGGCCTTTTCTGCATCTATTGAGATAATCATGTGGTTTTTGTCTTTGGTTCTGTTTATATGCTGGATTACATTTATTGATTTGCGTATATTGAACCAGCCTTGCATCCCAGGGATGAAGCCCCCTTGATCATGGTGGATAAGCTTTTTGATGTGCTGCTGGATTCAGTTTGCCAGTATTTTATTGAGGATTTTTGCATCAATGTTCATCAAGAATATTGGTCTAACATTCTCTTTTTTGGTTGTGTCTCTGCCTGGCTTTGGTATCAGGATGATGCTGGCCTCATAAAATGAGTTAGAGGGATTCCCTCTTTTTCTATTGATTGGAATAGTTTCAGAAGGAATGGTACCAGTTCCTCCTTGTACTTCTGGTAGAATTCAGCTGTGAATCCATCTGGTCCTGGACTCTTTTTGGTTGGTAAGCTATTGATTATTGCCACAATTTCAGATCCTGTTATTGGTCTATTCAGAGATTCAACTTCTTCCTGGTTTAGTCTTGTGAGAGTGTATGTGTCGAGGAATTTATCCATTTCTTCTAGATTTTCTAGTTTATTTGCGTAGAGGTGTTTGTAGTATTCTCTGATGGTAGAGAATTCTCTGATGGTAGAAAAATTCTCTGTTTATATTTCTGTGGGATTGGTGGTGATATCCCCTTTATCATTTTTTATTGCGTCTATTTGATTCTTCTCTCTTTTTTTCTTTATTCATCTTGCTAGTGGTCTATCAATTTTGTTGATCCTTTCAAAAAACCAGCTCCTGGATTCATTAATTTTTTGAAGGGTTTTTTTTGTCTCTATTTCCTTCAGTTCTGCTCTGATTTTAGTTATTTCTTGCCTTCTGCTAGGTTTTGAATGTGTTTGCTCTTGCTTTTCTAGTTCTTTTAATTGTGATGTTAGGGTGTCAATTTTGGATCCTTCCTGCTTTCTCTTGTGGGCATTTAGTGCTATAAATTTCCCTCTACACACTGCTTTGAATGTGTCCCAGAGAGTCTGGTATGTTGTGTCTTTGTTCTCATTGGTTTCAAAGAACATCTTTATTTCTGCCTTCATTTCGTTATGTACCCAGTAGTCATTCAGGAGCAGGTTGTACAGTTTCCATGTAGTTGAGCGGTTTTGAGTGAGTTTCTTAATCCTGAGTTCTAGTTTGATTGCACTGTGGTCTAAGAGACAGTTTGTTATAATTTCTGTTCTTTTACATTTGCTGAGGAGAGCTTTACTTCTAACTATGTGGTCAATTTTGGAATAGGTGTGGTGTGGTGCTGAAAAAAGTGTATTTTCTGTTGATTTGGGGTGGAGAGTTCTGTAGATGTCTATTAGGTCCACTTGTTGTAGAGCTGAGTTCAATTCCTGGGTATCCTTGTTGACTTTCTGTCTCGTTGATCTGTCTAATGTTGACAGTGGGGTGTTAAAGTCTCCCGTTATTATTGTGTGGGAGTCTAAGTCTCTTTGTAAGTCACTCAGGACTTGCTTTATGAATCTGGGTGCTCCTGTATTGGGTGCATATATATTTAGGATAGTTAGCTCTTCTTGTTGAATTGATCCCTTTACCATTATGTAATGGCCTTCTTTGTCTCTTTTGATCTTTGTTGGTTTAAAGTCTGTTGTATCAGAGACTAGGATTGCAACCCCTGCCTTTTTTGTTTTCCATTTGCCTGGTAGATCTTCCTCCATCCTTTTATTTTGAGCCTATATGTGTCTCTGCACTTGAGATGGGTTTCCTGAATACAGCACACTGATGGGTCTTGACTCTTTATCCAATTTGCCAGTCTGTGTCTTTTAATTGGAGTATTTAGTCCATTTACATTTAAAGTTAATATTGTTATGTGTGAATTTGAACCTGTCATTATGATGTTAGCTGGTTATTTTGCTCGTTAGTTGATGCAGTTTCTTCCTAGTCTCGATGGTCTTTACATTTTGGCATGATTTTGCAGTGGCTGGTACCAGTTGTTCCTTTCCATGTTTAGTGCTTCCTTCAGGAACTCTTTTAGGGCAGGCCTGGTGGTGACAAAATCTCTCAGCATTTGCTTGTCTGTAAAGGATTTTATTTCTCCTTCACTTATGAAGCTTAGTTTGGCTGGATATGAAATTCTGGGTTGAAAATTCTTTTCTTTAAGAATGTTGAATATTGGCCCCCACTATCTCCTGGCTTGTGGAGTTTCTGCCAAGAGATCCGCTGTTAGTCTGATGGGCTTCCCTTTGTGGGTAACCTGACCTTTCTCTCTGGCTGCCCTTAACATTTTTTCCTTCATTTCAACTTTGGTGAATCTGACAATTATGTGTCTTGGAGTTGATCTTCTTGAGGAGTATCTTTGTGGCGTTCTCTGTATTTCCTGAATCTGAATGTTGGCCTGCCTTGCTAGATTGGGGAAGTTCTCCTGGATAATATCCTGCAGAGTGTTTTCCAACTTGGTTCCATTCTCCCCGTCACTTTCAGGTACACCGATCAGACGCAGATTTGGTCTTTTCACATAGTCCCATATTTCTTGGAGGCTTTGTTCGTTTCTTTTTATTCTTTTTTTCTAAACTTCCCTTCTCGCTTCATTTCATTCATTTCATCTTCCATCACTGATACCCTTTCTTCCAGTTGATCACATCGGCTCCTGAGGCTTCTGCATTCTTCACATAGTTCTCGAGCCTTGGCTTTCAGCTCCATCAGCTCCTTTAAGCACTTCTCTGTATTGGTTATTCTAGTTATACATTTGTCTAAATTTTTTTCAAAGTTTTCAACTTCTTTGCCTTTGGTTTGAATTTCCTCCTGTACCTCGGAGTAGTTTGATCGTCTGAAGCCTTCTTCTCTCAACTTGTCAAAGTCATTCCCTGTCCAGCTTTGTTCCGTTGCTGGTGAGGAACTGCATTCCTTTGCAGGAGGAGAGGCTCTCTGCTTTTTAGAGTTTCCAGTTTTTCTGCTCTGTTTTTTCCCCATCTTTGTGGTTTTATCTACTTTTGGTCTTTGATGATGGTGATGTACAGATGGGTTTTTGGTGTGGATGTCCTTTCTGTTTGTTAGTTTTCCTTCTAAGAGACAGGACCCTCAGCTGCAGGTCTGTTGGAGTTTGCTAGAGGTCCACTCCAGACCCTGTTTGCCTGGGTATCAGCAGCAGTTCTGCAGAACTGCGGATTTTCGTGAACTGCGAATGCTGCTGTCTGATTGTTCTTCTGGAAGTTTTGTCTCAGAGGAGTACCCGGCCGTGTGAGGTGTCAGTCTGCCCCTACTGGGGGGTGCCTCCCAGTTAGGCTGCTCGGGGTTCAGGGGTCAGGGACCCACTTGAGGAGGCAGTCTGCCTGTTCTCAGATCTCCAGCTGTGTGCTGGGAGCACCACTGCTCTCTTCAAAGCTGTCAGACAGGGACATTTAAGTCTGCAGAGGTTACTGCTGTCTTTTTGTTTGTCTGTGCCCTGCCCCCAGAGGTGGAGCATACAGAGGCAGGCAGGCCTCCTTGAGCTGTGGTGGGCTCCACCCAGTTCGAGCTTCCCAGCTGCTTTGTTTACCTAAGCGAGCCTGGGCAATGGCGGGCGCCCCTCCCCCAGCCTCGCTGCCGCCTTGCAGTTTGATCTCAGACTGCTGTGCTAGCAATCAGCGAGACTCCGTGGGCGTAGGACCCTCCGAGCCATGTGCGGGATATAATCTCCTGGCGCGCCGTTTCCTAAGCCCGTCGGAAAAGTGCAGTATTAGGGTGGGAGTGACCCGATTTTCCAGGTGCCGTCTGTCACCCCTTTCCTTGACCAGGAAAGGAAACTCCCTGACCCCTTGTGCTTCCCAAGTGAGGCAATGCCTCGCCCTGCTTCGGCTCGCGCACGGTGTGCTGCACCCACTGGCCTGCACCCACTGTCTGGCACTCCCTAGTGAGATGAACCCAGTACCTCAGATGGAAATGCAGAAATCACCCGTCTTCTGCGTCGCTCACACTGGGAGCTGTGGACCGGAGCTGTTCCTATTCGGCCATCTTGGCTCCTCCAGTTTCATCTTATTTCATTATCCATTCAGCTACTTTATGTCCTTTGATTGGTGAATTTAGTCCAATTACATTCAAGGTTATTACGGATAGGTGAGGATATACTACTGCCATTTTGTATTTTGTTTTCTAATTGTTCATGAGCTCTTTGACTTTGAGTGGCAGAGTGCAGTAGTGACATGGCTCAGGGAATTAACAGGTGCTTTAGAGGCTCATGCCCCAGAGTGTGGGGCAGAGAATCAAGTTAGGTCACAGGAGTGTCAGTGCAGCAGCAACTCAGGCCCCAGGGAACAGGGCACCACACAATGGTGACTCCAAATCTTGGGCTAGTGGAACATCACAGTAGCCCAGGTTCTGGGAGACAGGCTACAGTGGCGGCAAGTACCCTGGAGTGGCAGGGCACAGCTATAGTTCATGTCTCAAGAGGCAGGTGCCACAAAGATGACTCCATTCCCCAGGTGGAGCACCTCAGCAGCTCAGATTGCAGGGAGTGATCCTAGTTTCTAGAGAGGCATCACACAACACAACTGCAGTTTTGGTTCCTGGGGAGCGGGGGCTGCACAGCTCATCTGAGGTTCTGGTTTCTGGGTAGCCGGTAGCCATGGGGTACCATGACACTTCAGCCTCAGGAGGTGGGGCTATACAGCATAGCCACGGCTACAGTTTCCAAAGAGGTGGGGCACTGTGTCAGCTCAGCCCCAGGAAGTGGGGCTGCATCACTTAGCCACAGTTCTGATTCCCAGCAAGGCAGGGCACAGACTCCACTCATGACCAGAAAGGCCAGACACAGCAGCAACTGGGACCCAGGAGGATGGAGCAGCTGTGTGTTAGTCTGGCCCCAGGGAGTGGGGTACAGCAGCAACTCAGCTTAAAAATGGTGTATCACTGTGCAACCCAGGCTCTGGGGGTATTGGGTGCAGTGGCAGCAAGTCCCAGGAATGAAGGGCACAGTGTCTTCTAAGGTCCCCGAAGTAGAGCACAGAGCAGCAGTGGCTCCAGTTCTAAGATGTCATAGCACCATAACAGCTCAGGCCATGGAGACAGGGTGCAGCTGCAGCTCCCTCTTTGGGAAAAGCACCAGGAACATCTAGTCATTCATCTTTCTGACATATCTCCATCCAGATAGGATTCTTGGTTGACAGGGTTTTTTTTTTTTCCTTCAGCATTTTGAACATATCAACTCACTGCCTTCTGGCCTCCAAAATTTCTGCTGATGATCTTATTGGCATACCTTGTGATATGGTTTAGATGTTTGTCTCTTCTAAATCTCATGTTGTAAAAAGAATAATAAGCAAAAAAAAAAAAAAAAAAACCACACAAACACACACAATACATTTCATGTTGTGGTGTGATTCCCCATGTTGGAAGTGGGGCCTGGAGGGGGAGGTGATTGGATCATATGGGTACATTACTCATGAATGGTTTAGCACCATCCCCTTGGTGATAAGTGAGTTCTTACTCTGAGTTCACACAAGATCTAGTTGTTTAAAAGAACGTGGCACCTCCTCCCTCTGTGTCATGGGAGGAACCCAGTTGGAGGTAGCTGAGTAATGGGGGCAGTTATCCCCATGCTGTTCCTGTGATAGTGAATGAGTTCTCATGATATCTGATGGTTTTATAAGGGGCATTTCCCCCTTTGCTTGGCACTTCTCCTTCCTGCTGTCATGTAAAGAAGAATGTGTTTGCTTCCCCTTGCATCATAATTGTAAGTTTCCTGAGGCCTCCCCAGCCATGCTGAACTGTGAGTCAATTAAACCTCTTTCCTTTATAAATTACCCAGTATTCAGGCAGTTCTTTATAGCAGCATGAGAACAGACTAATACACCCACCTTGAGTGGCCATCACCACCAGCATGAATACACACAGAGGGTGCACACAGTCCTGCGGTCATCAGCGTCCCACCCCTGTGCTAACACCACAACTGGCATGAATGTGCACACAACTGCTGGAGGGGCCTCCACCCACCCCCATGCCATACTACCATGGCCACTTCTGTGAATGTCCACAGAGAGGCTCGCACCTGCAGAGAACTGGCACCCGCTGGCACCATGCTGCAACTGATGAGCATGGACCACAGTGTGCTTCCATTGCCACTGCTGCTAACACATGCAAATGAGGATGGATCCTGCTGCCACCACCCTACAAAGTGCTTTGGCTGGGACCTCCCATCAGAGTGTTGTGACCTTTGGTCTGGGAGCACCACAGCCCCTCCAGCACAGCAGGTTCCTAACGTCAAGGAGCCAGAGAACAAAGCTAGGGCCTGATATAAGTCCCCCAGAGTTAGAGCATGCAGTCCAGGAGTCCTGAGGTGAGTCTTGGCCCCCTAAAATCTTCCAGTAACGAAGCCAGTCAACTCAACCCACCTTATGCCACAATCAAACCCATAAGGTCATCAAACAGGATAAAAGAAAAAAAAAATCTAAAAGACAACAACTTAAAAGACTGAAAGAACATCAGCCCACAAAGATGAGAAAGAACCAGTGAAAGAACTCTGACAACTCAAAAAGCCAGAGAGTATCTTCTTTCCTCCTAATGACTGCATTAGTTCTCGATCAAGGGTTTTTAACCAGGCTTAAATGATTGAAATGACAGAAATAGAATTCAGAATATGGATAGGAATGAAGATCATTCAGGAGAATGATGAAACTCCATCTCAGGAAGCCAAAGCTAAGATTCATAATACAACAATGCAAGAGTTGACAGGCAAAATAGCCATTATAGAAAAGAACATAACTGACCTGATAGAGCTGGAGAACACACTACAACAATTTCGTAATCCAATCACAAGTAATAATAGCAAAATAGACCAAGGTGAGGAAGGAATCTCAGAGCTTCCAGACTGGCTTTCTGAAATAAGTCAGACAAGAATAAAGAAAAAAGAATGAAAAGGAACAAACATAACCTTGAAGACATACGGGATTATGTAAAGAGATCAAATCTATGACTTATTGACATCGCTGAAAGAGATTGGGAGAACAGAAACAACTTGGAAAACATATTTCAGGATATCATCCATAAGAACTTTGCCAACATAGCTAGAGAGACGAATATTCAAATTCAAGAAATGTAGAGAACCCCTGCAAAATACTTCACAAGAAGATCATCTCCAAGACACACAATCATCAGATTCTCCAAGGTCGGCATGAAAGAAAAAATGTTAAAAGCAGCTAGAGAGAAAGTACAGGCCTACAAAGAGAAGCACATCAGACTAACAGCAGACCTCACAGCAGAAGCCCTACAAACCAGAAGAGATTGGGGGCCCATGTTCAACATTCTTAAAGAAAATAAATTCCAATCAAGGATTTCATATCTGGCCAAACTAAGCTTCATAAGTGAAGGAGAAATAAGATCCTTTTCAGACAAGCAGATGCCGAGGGAATTTGTTACCACCATACCTGCCTTACAAGAGCTCCTGAAAGAAGCACTAAATATGGAAATAAAAGACTATTACCAGCCACTACAAAAACACATTTCATTACACACACCAGTAACACTATAAAGCACCATGCAAACAAGTCAGCATATTAAATGACTAACAATATGATGACAGGATCAAATCCACACATAGCAATACTAACCTTGAGTGTAAATGGCTAAATGCCTCAATTAGAAGGCACAGAGTGGCAAGCTAGATAAAGAAGCAAGACCCAATGGTATGCTATCTGCAAGAAACCTATCTCCCAAACCTACCATATATATGCACGCAACACAAGAGCACTGAGATTCATAAAGAAAATTCTTGGAGACCTTCCAAGAGACTTGGACTCCCATGTAATTTTATGGGAGACTTCAACATCCCACTGACAGTATTAGATCATTGAGGCAGAAAATTAACAAATATATTCAGGACCTCAACTCAACCTGTTAGACCAAATGTACCTGTTAGACATCTACAGAATGCACCACCCAGAAACAACAGAATATATATTCTTCTCATCACCATGTGGCATTTACTCTAAAATCGGCCACACATTTGGACATAAAACAATCCTCAGCAAATGTAAAAGAACCAAAATCATACCAACCACTCTCTCAGACCACAGTGCAATAAAAACAGAATTCAAAACTAAGAAAATAGCTCAAAACCATACAATTACAGGAAAATTAACCTGCTCCCAAATGACTTTTGGGTAAATAATAAAATTAAGGTAGAAATCAAGAAGTTCTTTGAAATTACTAAGAACAAAAATACAACATACCAGAATCTCTGAGACACAGCTAAGGCAGTATTAAGAGGGAAATTTATAGCACTAAATGCCCATATCAAAAAGTTAGAAAAATCTCAAATTAATAGCCTAAAATAAAAACTGAAAGAACTAGAGAAGCAAGAACAAACCAACCCCAAAGCTAGTCAAAAACAATAACCAAAATCAGAGCTGAACTGAAGGAGAATGAGACACATACACACACACACACACACACACACAAATATTCAAAAGATCAATGAAACCAGGAGCTTATTTTTTTAAATTAATTAGACCACTAGCTAGACTAATAAGAAAAGAGAGAAGATCCAAATAAAAACAATCAGAAACAGCAAAGGGGATATTACCATAGACCCCACAGAAATGCAGATAACCATCAGAGACTATTATGAACACCTATATGCACATAAACTAGAAATTCTAAAAGAAATGGATAAATTCCTGGACACATACACACTCAAGACTGAACTGGGAAGAAACTGAATCCCTAAACATGCCAATAACAAGCTCAAAAACGGAATCAGTAATGAATAGCCTACCAACGAAAAAAAGCCCTGGACCAGACGGATTCACAGCCAAATTCTACCAGATGTACAGAGAAGAGCTGGTACGATTCTTACTGAAACTATTCCAAAACATTGAGGAGGTGGCACTCCTCCCCAGTTCATTCTGTGAGGCCAGCCACATCCAGATACCAAGACCTGGCAGAGACACAACAAAAAAAAGAAAATTTCAGGCCAATATCCTTGATGAACATTGATGCAAAAATCCTCAACAAAATATTAGCAAACTGAATTCCACAGAACATCAAAAAGCTAATTTGCCACAATCAAGTAAGCTTTATCCCTGAGATTCAAGTCTGGTGCAATGTACACAAATCAATAAATGTGGTTTATATGTCACATAAACAGAACTAAAGACAAAAACCACATGATCATTTCAATAGATGCAGAAAAGGTTTTCATTAAAATTCAGCATCCCTCCAGGTTAAAAAAAAAAAACTCTCAACAAACTAGGTGTTAAAGGAACATACCTCAAAGTAATAAGAGCTCTCTATGACAAACCCACAGCCAACATCATACTGAATGGGCAAAAGCTGGAAGCATTCCCCTTGAAAACTAGCACAAGATAAGGATGCCCTCCATCTCTCATCACTCCTGTTCAACATGGTATTGGAAGCCTAGTCAAGGGCAATCAGGCAAGAGAAAACAATAAAGAGCATCCAAGTAGTAAGAAAGACTATTGCTGTTTGTAGATAACATGATTCTATATCTAGAAAACCCCAAATTCTTGGCCCAGAAGCTGCTTAAGCTGACAAATTCAGCAGACTTTCAGAATACAAAATCAACATACAGAATTGACTAGCATTCCTCTACACCAACGACAGCCAAGCTGAGAGCCAAATCAGGAGCTCATTCCCCTTCACAGAAAGAATAAAATACCTAGAAATACAACTAACCAAAGAGGTGAAAAATTTCTACAATGAGAATTACAAAACACTGCTCAAAGAAATCAGAGGTTACACAAATGAATAACATTCCATGCTCATGGACAGGAATAATCAATATTGTCAAAATGGCCATACCATCCAAAGCAGTTTACAGATTCAATGCTATTCCTATCAAACTACCAATGACATTCTTCACAGAACTAGAAAAAACAATGTTAAAATTCATACGGAACAAAAAACAAGCCCAAATAGCCAAAGGAATCCTAAGCAGAAAGAACAAAGCAGGAAGCATCACACTACCCAACTACAAATTATACTATTGGGCTACAGTAACCAAACAGCATGTTACTGGTACAAAAACAGACACATTGACCAATGGAACAGAATAGAGAGCCCAGAAATAAGGCTGCACACCTTACTGCCATCTGATCTTTGACAAAGCTTAGAAAAGCAATGGGGAAAGGATTCCCTATTCAATAAATGGTGCTGGGATAACTGGCTATCCATATGCAGAAGATTGAAGCTGGACCCCTTCCTTATACCATATACAAAAATCAACTCAAGGTAGATTAAAGACTTAAATACAAAATCCAAAACTATAAAAACCCTGAAAGACAACTTAGGGAATACCATTCTGATCATAGGAGCTAACCAAAATTTCATGAGAAAGACTCCATAAGCAATTGCAACAAAAGGGAAAATTGGCAAATGGGATCTAATTAAAGGACTTCTGCACAGCGAAAGAAACTATAAACAGAGTAAACAGACAACCAACAGAATGACTGAAAACATTTGCAAACTATACATCTGACAAAGGTCTATTATCCATCATCTATAAGGAACTTAAACAAATGTACAAGAAAAAAAAACCTCATTAAAAAGTGAGCAAAGAACATGAACAGACACTTTTTAAGACATACATGTGACCAACAAGCATATTAAAAAAGCTCACCAATATTACCAATCATTAGAGAAATGCAAATAAAAACCACAATGAGATACCATCTCACACCAGTCAGAATGGCTATTATCAAAAGGTCAAAAAACAACAAAGGCTGTCAAGGTTGCAGAGAAAAGGGAACACTTATACACTGTTGGTGAGAGTGTAATTCAACCATTATGGAAAGCAGTGTGGCAATTCCAAAAAAAGCTAAAAACAGAACTACCATTTGACCTAGCAATCTCATTACTGGGTATATACCCACAGGAATATAAATCATTCCATCATAAAGACACATGCACGCAGGTGTTCATTGCAGCACTATTCACAATAGCAAAGATATAAAATCAACCTAAATGCCTATCAGTGGTAGACTGGATAAACAAAATGTGTTGCATAAACACCATGGAATACTATGCACCCACAAAAAAGCACAAGATCATGTCCTTTGAAGGAACATTGAGGGAGCTGGAAGCAATTATGCTTAGCAAACTAATGCAGGAACACACACAAAAAAACCACTTGTTCTCACTTATAAGTGGGAGCTAAATTATGAGAACACATGGACACATAGAGGGGAACAACAGACAGTGAGGCCTACCTGAGGGTGAATGGTAGAGAGGAGCAGAAAAAATAACTATCGAGTACTAGGTTTGTTACCTGGGTAATGAAATAATCTGTACAACAAACCCCCAAGACATCAATTTACTTATCAGCAAACCTGCACATGTACCCCTGAACCTAAAAGTCTTTAAAAATGTAGCTATTAAAATTATAATATAAATTTATCATTGAAAAATGTTAATACATTAATTTTTAAATTTTTTGTTTAAAAATTCTGTATAATTGGCTTCAGTGTTCAGAGGGAAAAAATGTTAAGGTGTTCATGTGCAGACCATGGTCTAAAATCCAATTCTGAAAAGAGCACATCTTATAGGAAATTTAGACTCAAAATGTACATTCATTTTTCTTTTTTATCTTAATTGTTATGTTCCAGCTAGTGAGGGATATCTGACCAGCCTTTCTTTAGCAAAAAGGAAAGAGAAAAGGAAGTAAAGTAGAAAATTGCCTGTCGACTTACTGCATGTCATTCTTTAAAAAAAACATTTCATCACCCATATTTTCTTCTAGCACTGTCACATTTTTCTCTTTTGGAAAATGGTAAAAATTTTCATAGATTTTCACTTAATTATTCTTGAGAATAAGTCCCAACTAAGTAAACTGCATACTTCAATTCACTGTTAGACTTTAGCAAGGTGGTAGAATAAATATCAGATTTATTTTATGTAGGGAAATATTAAAATGTGAAAATTTTTAAAGCTATATAGAAATGAGTATAAAATTTTAACAAGTAGCTTTATGAATGTATAAGGGGATGTCAAGTACATGAAAACACTGTTAGAGTGGTAAAATATTTTTCTTTAAAGATTTTTCCTATACTAATTTAATCGTCCTTTTCCAATTATAAATACATATCTCTAAGATAATTTAGAAGTATAAAACTGCCAAATGTATTTTCCAGAAAGACTAAGAATTCCTGCAGTTTTTCAGCTCCTACCACTTCCTCTTTCCCTCCTTCCTCAGGTTGACTGTTTGGATGAGCATGGGGAGACTGGAACCTCCTATAGTGTTAGTAAGACCATACATTTATATAACCTTTTTCAAAGGCCATTTGGAAATATCTATCATACTTTTAAATGTACTCATTTTAACTGAACAGTTCTCTAGTTTTGGAATGTGTACTGTTAAGGAAAAAATACTCGTAATAGTTATTGAACATGGTTAGTCCATTCTTGCGTTGCTATAAAGAAATACCTGAGGCTAGGTAATTTATAAAGAAAAAAGGTTTAATTGGTTCACAGTTCTGCGGGCTGTACAGGAAGAATGGCACTGGCATCTGCTTCTGGTGAGACCTCAGAAGTCTTCCAATCATGGCAGAAGGTGAAGGGGAACCCAACGTTATCTCATGGTGAGAGGAGAAGCAAGAGAGAGAGAGAGTGGGGAGGTGCCACACACTTAAACAACCAGATCTCATGTGAACTCAGAGCAAGAACTCACTTATCACCAAGGGGAGGGCACTAAACCATTCATGAGGGATCTACCCCCGTGATCTAAACACCTCTCATCAACACCTGCCTGCAACACTGGGGATTACATTTCAACAGGAGATTTGGAGGGAACACAGACCCAAACCATATCAGATGGTACGGAAGACTGTTCAGGAGAAGACTATTGAGATAGGTGTAGGTACCACTGTGGCATTGTAATGGTGTTTTGCAGTAGGGGAGAGAGATTGGGCTCAACTCCGAATTCAAGGAAGAGTGAGAATTTGTAGCCAAGAAGCAGGGTCAGTGGATGGAAAATTACTAAGAGGAAACATCAGGGATAAGGGGGAATTCTGGCTAAGCCAATTAACAGAATTATTGCTGCAGGCCGGCCAGGGTGATCAGACGTCACCTGGGGGATAAGAGTATGAGGAACCTCAGTAGATGTCAAGGATGGCTAAACTGACTTAGCAGGATTCTTGCCAAAATTAATTTGTAAAAGAGCTCAGAGGAGTCTGAGTAGAGTTTGGTCAAGGAGAGAATCTTTCTAAGTACCACAGAACTAATCACCCAAATGTGCAAAGTCATATCATAACCCAGGGGCCCCAGGTTTTCCGCATGTGTAACTGTTGCACCTTCAGTTCTTGTTTCAAAAAGTTCCAGGAAGGAGCTCAGCCCCCAAAACGGGTTGGATCCAGACATGCCTGAGTTGGAGATGGACTTTGGTGAACTCTCCTCATTACCACACTAGAAACCCTGCCCAAGGAGGAGCTTGTTTGCTATTTCCTTTTTTTTTTTGAGACGGAGTCTTGCTTAGTTGCCCAGGCTGGAGTGCAGTGGCACGATCTCCGCTCACTGCGAGCTCTGCCTCCTGGGTTCACGCCATTCGCCTGCCTCAGCCTCCCAAGTAGCTGGGACTACAGGTGCCCGCCACCACGCCCAGCTAATTTTTTTTGTATTTTTAGTAGAGACAGGGTTTCACCATGTTAGCCAGGATGGTCTCGATCTCCTGACCTCGTGATCTACCCACCTCGGCCTCCCAAAGTGCTGGGATTACAGGTGTGAGCCACCGTGCCCGGCCTTATTTGCTATTTTCTATACATACCACGTATGTAGAAACATGATCAGCGACTGTGCCTGTGCTGCCCTTACTCCACCTCTACATACAATGACTCAGCTAAGCAGCCTAATAAACGCCCTGTTTTCATTTTTGAGGAAATTATCCCGTGTCCTTACTTGTTGCAAGTAATAAAATCCCCTTTTTATAATAAATCCTCCTTGGTTGTGGTCACTGGACTGTCACCCCCCACCCCAAGCAATTGAACCCCTTCATTATGTGGGTAATGACAAATATATTCAGTGCACATCGTAACAGTGAAAACTGGATGTAAACTAAAATTCCATCAAAAAGGGATTGGTTTTAAAACATGATACACTCATACAATGAAAAAAATATGCAACTAAGGAAAAAGAATGAGGTAGTCCTAAGTATCCAGGCCATAAAATGATGTACATGTAAAACCAAATTATAAATAAATCATTTGGTTACTTCTTGGCTTTAAAAAAAAATTTGTGTGTGTATGACTACATTAAAACCTGTCTAGAAAGCTAAGTTCCTATTAACATTAGTTGCTTCCAGCGAGTGGGAGGAAGCTGTCATTTTCCACCCAGCACTGTTTTGTTTTTGTTAAACTGAGTAATGTTTAATTAAAAATAAAGGTTTAGACTTCCAGTTTTACCTTGGAGATGTAGAGGGCTGAAGGTGTTACTCCCACATTTAAAACAAGGCACCCACAGGAAGAAACAGGACTTGAGCATTTGCTTACCTAGGACTGTGGCTACCAAGACGCTATTGAAACCTGAACGATTCAGCTGAATTTTTAACTGAAATACTAAAGGCTAGGCATAGGCTACTGTGAGAGCAAAGCACTGGAGGTAGCAGATGCGGGGAGGGGGCTGCAGCCTTTCAGGTTGTGCTTCAGGAATCTCACCAGGTGCTTACAGAGATTGTCAGAATCTTAAGAAAGTTTCCACTGGCTGCAGCTGCTGCTATCCAGAACCGCTCTCCTATTTTCCGTGTGGAAGTGCCTGTAACCTTTGGGCTATAGTAGAAAGTTACTGCAGCTGACTGACTAAAAGGAACCACAACAAAAGCAGTCCTAGGTAAGCTAAAGGACAGAGCAGTATATTGGTAGTTGTCAATATAGCAGTGCTAGCCCTCTCTACATAAATAGAGAAATGGGGTTAGCCATAGAGGTTAAAACTACCTGGTTATCCCGTGTATTAACATTAACTGGCTCTTGGATACACAGCCATATTTAATGCTTTACGATCTAGCCTTTCCAGTACAGGCACTTTCTGAAAAACCTTTGTCCTCACTGGGGTCATTTTGTTGTCAGGTTTTTGTGTTTGTTTTTGTGGGTATTTGCCTCATTCTACCCCTGAGCTTTTGGGTAGACAGATGTGATTCAAAACTCTGTTCTAAGGTGTTTATTGTAGCAGAGTAATGGGTTTGCAGTAATAAGTCATACTTTTCCACTGAAGAGGAGGGCTTGGGAATCCCTGAGACTAGCTAAAGTTAAGTTGTTGGAAGAATTCCTTGACTGGAAATTTTACCTTTGTGTTTTGTCGCTCTGTTTCCTGAAAATAACTCAGGGGTGCTCCTGGTTTGTCCATCTATTGCTTTGATTCCTTGGATCCCACTCATTCTTTCACTTTAAGAAAAAACAAATAATTGTTGCATAGGCCTCTGTATTTTGCAGCTGCCCTTATATAAGAAGCACTTTCACCCCCCCCAAAAAAATTAAGAATAATAGAAAATCAGTAAGGATATAATGTGCACTATACTATATCAATTTAAATTAATTGGCCTTTGAAAAGCACAGTATTCACTAACAGAATATACACTATTCTCAAGTACGCATGGAACATTCTTCATAACAGATCATACTCTGAGCCATAAAACAAACGTACACAAATTTAAAAGAATAAAAAAATCAAAGTACTAAAAAGCACTTTTTGATGCCATAAAGTAATTCACCTCAAAATTAATTTTTAAAAATATAATAAATTTTAATTTAAACATCACACTTTGAAAAGCCCATGAGTCAAAGAGGAAGCCTAAATGAAATTTTTAAAATATTGTAACCATAATGAAAATAAAAATAGAACATAAAATTTCTGAGATGCAGTTAAACAGTGCTTACAGGGCTGTTTGAGCATTACTTGCTTATTTTAGAAAAGAAGGATCTAAAACAACCCAAGCTTCCACCTTATGAAACTAGAGAAAAGAAATTAAATTCAAAGGAAGCAGAAAGGAGGAAATAATAAAAATTAAAATATAATGAAATTGAAAGCAGAAAAATAGAGAAATCAAAACAAAAGGCTAATTCTTTGAAAAAAAATTATTATTGGCATACCTCTAGCAAGACTGACCGAGATAAAAAGAAAGATGCCACAAATTAACAATATAAAGAATGAAAGAGAGGACATCACTACTAACCTCACAGACATTAAAAGGAGAATAAGGAAATACTAGGAACAATTTCATGACTATAAATTTAATAACTTAGGTAAAATGAACCAATTCCTTGAATTGGTTCAAACTACCAAAACACGTTGAAGAAAATGAATAACCCAAATATTCCTATATCTATTAATGAAATCGAATTTGTAGTTAAAAACACTTACAAAAAGAAAACTCCAGACCCAGGTGGTTCCACTGGTGAATTATGCTAGACATTTAATGAAGAAATAATACCAGTTCTACACAATCTCTTTCAGAAAACATTAGAGAGCAACAACTTCCTATTCGTTTACTGAGTCCAGCATCACCCTATAACCAAACCAGTAAAAAACATTCACAGAAATCTATAGAACAATATCATTCATGAATATAGATGCAATAAATACAGCAAATGATATATTAGCAAATCGAATACATCACAACCACATGGGGTTCATCCCAAAAATGCAACCTAGTTCAACATTTGAAAATCTGCGTTCAATAAAAGTGGTTGGGAAAACCGGATAACCACACGCAAAAGAATGAAGTTGGACACTTCATTTACACAGTATACAAAAATTAACTCAAAATGGATCAAGGGCCTAAATATAAGAGCTAAAATTATAAAACACTTAGAAGAAAACATAAAGGAAAAGCTTCCTGACATAGGATTTGGCAGTGATTTCTCACATATGACACCAAAAGCACAGGCAACAGAACAAAATGATTAATAAATTGGACCTTGAAACTTCTGTTACATTAAAGGACACTACCAAGTGTGTGAAAAGACACACAATGAAAGAAAATATTTGCAAATCATATATGACATAAGGGATTAATATCCAGCCTATACAAAGAACTTCTACAACTCAACAATAAAAAACAGCCTACTTCAAAAATGGGTAGAGGACTTGAATAGACATTACTCCAAAGACAAATAGACAATAAGCACTGAAAAGATGCTCAGCATCTGTATTAGCCAGGCCTTTTATTTTCTCTATTCTGATGATTTGACATCACCCCTTGCTGACGTTGGGGGGACTGCCCTCCCAGGGCTAGAAAATGTCTTGAAATAGTAGTCAATTTGACATGAGGGCACTTTTCAAATACAAACGGACAAGTCTAGAACTCATGCTCCAAACACCTCCTTTATCAGGCTGTCACACTCTGAGCCAGTATCCCCTGCACAAAACACCTCAGAGCTGAGTACCAGAAAACTAGCGGAAGTCCCTCTGTCCCAAAGCCTGCTGAAATGATTCAAACTAGCCAGTCCTAAGCCTGATTACCATGTCTTGCCCATTCCTTCCCAAATGAACCACGGTAAAGGCTCGTACCGATAGTTCTCTTCTCTCCCTCTGCCTCTTGGCTGATTTTGGTGCTTCCCTGTGTGGACCCCATGGTGTGGTATACCCCTTTTTCTTTCCAGTGGCTGTTGTGTCCTAATCTATTGGCCTTACTATATCTCAAATTTTCCATTAATACACTGTATTTTAAAACATCACTAATCATTAAGAAAATGCAAATCAAAGCCACAAGACACAACTTTGCACCCATTAGAAAAGCTGTCATAAAAGTTCATTATAAACAGAAAATAAGTTGATGAAGATGTGTAGAAATTGGAACTGTTTTGCACTGCTGGTGGGAAGGTAAAATGGTGTAGCCATTGTGATAAACAGTACAGTGTTTTCTCAAAAAATTAATAGAATTACCACAAGATCCAGCAATGCCACTTCTAGGTATATACCAGAAATAACTGAAAGCAGCATGATATGGTTAGGCTTTGTGTCCCCACCCAAATCTCATCTTGAATTGTAATCCCCAGGTGTTGAGGGAGATACCTGGTGGCAAGTGATTGAACTATGGGGGAGGTTTCCCCCATGCTGTTCTTGTGATAGTGAGTATTCTCAGGAGATCTGATGGTCTTATAAATGATAGCTTTTCCTGTGCTCTTCTCTCTCCTGCCGCCATATGAATAAGGTCCTTGCTTCCCCCTCACCTTCCACCATGATTGTTCCTGAGGCCTCCTAGCCATGTGGAACTGTGAGCCAAATAAACCTCTTTCCTCTGTAAATTACCCAGTCTTGGGTATTTCTTTATAGCAGTCTAAAGACAGACTAATACACAGGGACTCAAACAAATATTTTTACGCCAATGTTCATGATAGCATTACTAATAATAGCCAAAAATGGAAATGACCCAAATGTTCACTGACAGATGAATGGATAAACAAAATATGATGTATACATATAATGGAATATTATTCAGCCTTCAAACAAAATGAAATTCCAATATATGTAACAACATGGATGAACCTTCAGGACATTTGCTAAGTGAAATAAGCTAGACACAAAATGACAAATATTTTATGATTCCTCTTAAATGAGGTACCTACAATTCATAATGAAAGTAAGTAGAATAGTGGTTACAGAGGTGCTAGGAGAGGCAGGAGTGGAGAGTTGTTGAGTGAGTGTGAAGTTTCAGTTTGGGGTGATGAAAGGCTCTGGGGACAGAAAGTGTTAACAGTTGCACAACAATGTGAATAGGCTTTTTACCACTGAATTGTACACTCAAAAGTGTTTAAAATTGTAAGCTTTATGTTTTGTGTATTTTACAAGAAAAAAATTTTTAATCAATGAATGTAATTCACAATATTGACAGACTAAATAAAAATAGCCATATGATCATATCAATAGATGCAGGACCATATCAATAGATGCAGGACAGGTATCTGACACAATTCAACATATATTTGTTGTAAAATCTCTTAGCTAATTAAGAATAGAAGAAACTTCTAATGTAGGGTATTTACAAAAACTTTTAGCTAACATCACACTTAATGATCTGAATAAGGCAACTGCTATGGTTTTAATGTTTGTCCCCCTCCATAATTCAAATGAAAAGTTAATTGCCATTGTAACAGTTTTAAGAGAGATTGCTATGCATTTTCAACTTTAAGAGATGATTAGGCCACGAGGGCGTCACCTTCATGGGTAGGATTGGTGCTATTATAAAAGGGCAAGTTTGGCCCTCTCTTGCCCCTTTCTCTCTTCTGCCATGTGAGGAAGAGCATTCTGTTCCTCACCTCACCCCATCCCCCAAGGATGCAGCATTCAAGATGCCGTCTTGGAAAACAGATTAAGATAACAATGCTCTCTCAGTACTCCTATTCAACATCATCCTACAAGTCTTGGCCAGTGAAATAAAGGAACAAAAAGAAAGAAAAGTCATACAGTCTGAAAAGGAAGAAACAAATGGTCACTATTTGCAGACAAAATGACTATATATGTAGAACATTTCAAACAATATACCAAAAAAACTTATTTAATTAATAAGCAAGTTTAGCACGTTTTCAGGATAAATGTCAATATACAAAAGTCATCTTATCCCTGTATACCAACAGTGAACAACTGGAATGTGACATTTTAAAAAAATCTATTTAAAACAGAAGAAAGGAAGAAAGAAGGAAAAAAGAAAGGTACACCTCTGTACAAATGTATCAAAATGTGTGCAGGATCTATATATATATATATATATATATATATATATATATATACTGAAAACTACAAAACACAGCTGAAAGGAAAGAAAGATTCACGTAAAATATCCCATTTTCTTTTTTTTTCTTTTTTTTTTTTTTTGAGGTGGAGTCTTGCTCTGTTGCCCTGGCTAGGGTACAGTGGCCCGATCTTGGCTCACTGCAACCTCCACCTCCTGGGTTCAAGCAATTCTCCTGCCTCAGCCTCCTGAGTAGCTGAGATTACAGGCACGTGCCACAATGCCCGGCTATTTTTTGTATTTTTAGTAGAGATGGGGTTTCACCATGTTGGCCAGGCTGGTCTTAAACTCTTGACCTCAAGTGATCTGCCTGCCTCAGCCTCGCAAAGTGCTGGGATTACAGGTGTGAACGACTCCACCCAAAGTACACCAATTTCACTCATTGAGAGACTCAATATTGTTAAGATGCCAGCTCTCCCAAATCTCAGCAATCTTTTTGTAGATGTCAACAGGCTGATTCTAAAATTTCCATGGAAAGGCAAAGAAACTAGAATAGCCAAAATAATTCTTAAAAAGAAAAAATTGGAGAATTTACATTATGAGATTTCAAGGCTTTCTATAAAATTAGAGTAATCCAAACAATATATCTGCAAAAGAATAGACAGACCAGGCAACACAAAGAAGAAAGGATTTTTTAAAGTGAATTGAAATTTTATTTTTATACAAAAACCTGCGTGTGAATCTTACATTACAGGGTTATTCATAATTGTCAAAAACTGGAAACCACCAGCTGCCCTTCAACAGGTGAATGAAGAAACACTACTAAATTAGTGAGTGATACTTTAAGAGAAACATGATGTTTTATAGCCTCAAAATATCTCACTGCAGGCCAGTCATGGTGGCTCGCGTCTGTAGTCCCAGCACTTTGAGAGGCAAAGGTGGGTGGATCGCCTGAGCCCAAGAGTTTGAGACCAACATGGACAAAAACAAAGAAAGAGAAAGAAAAAGGGAAAGGAAGGGAGGGAGGAAGGGAGGGAGGGAGGGAGGAAGGGAGGGAGGGAGGTCCAAAACTTAGCTACTTGGGAAGCTGAGGTGGGAGGATCACTTGAGCCTAGGAAGTCCAGGCTGCAATAAGCCGTGATCGCACCACTTCACTCCAGCCTCGGTGACATAGTGAGACCCGGTCTCAAAAACAAACAAACAAACCAAACCTCACTGCAAATATTTATCAGCTGCGGTGGTGCTGCATCTACACACACAGCGCCGAACTTGGAAGTTGGCGGAGAGCAGCTCTTTGGGCACCAGGCAAGGTCTCAGCCTTCAGACAGATGTGAAGGGCGAGACTTTCCTTGGAAAGGAATTAAAGGGTTTATCTTTTTAAAACACCTGTTTCTCTTAAAAACTTAAGAAATGTATAATTTAAAAATTTAAAACTTTGATATTATTAATTGCTTATTGTTGAATGAATCCTTGTGAAAATTATTGATTGTAATGTTAGTGCCATGGATATGTCCTTTGTCCCAGCACCTATCTCATTGTCCTAACAAGGTTACTGAAGGTTCTCTTTCCACTGCTTTAAAAGCCAGCTGATACATACTACATTCTTTCTTTTTCATATAGTTGAACTTTTACTGCACCAGGATAAATTTTTAAATATTTAGTGATAGTATACATAGTAAATATAGAGATATTGCTATGCATTTTCAATTCTTTTCTGATCATTACCATAAGTTTTTATTAGAATGAAAATTGGAATAGTTCCTTTAGGAAAACAGGCAAAATATATAAATGTCAAAAAAAGAAAATATATACTTAGAAAACATAGATGATTAGAATTTTTAAAAACAAATGTTAGTCTTTTCCTCCAGTATCTATTAAAGTGTTTTTCAGTGTCAACAGTAAAATTTTATACCTTGATTCATATATACTGCACTAGTTTACTGTTGCCATTAATCTTTTTTCTTGCTAATCAAAACTTATCATTGCCATATAAAATAACCTGTTAGAAAGTATCAACCGTGTGTGTGTGAGTGTATGTGTGTTACTAAAAAGAGTGTCATAAAATACTGTGCTGAGAGGTTCCTAATTTGGTTCCTGATTTCAGAAGCATACCACATAAGATTTAAGCAAGCTCATCTCTAGGAGATGCATAATTTGTGGATAACGGTTTTCTTAGTTGGGATTGTGTGTACTTCAGGTATTATGTAATGCTGAACAGCTTACTTGCTTTTTCTTTTTTTCCCCCCAGAGATAAACTGAGGATCACAAATATTATTCTTTTATGTTAATAATGGTTTCCATTTTCTAGTATTTGTTACATTTTACGGCTTTATTCACAAAGCTGTTTATGTATTTTTGTGGCAGCTCTAAGTTAAAAGGCACACTTGTAACATTACAGTCCCAATTTTCCCTTTATCAACTTTATATTATAAAATTTTCCAACACATAGTCAATAAGCATGTCCATATTCTAGAAGTAGATATTCTTAACATTTTGCCATACTTCCCATTTCTAATTATTTTTTAAAAAGAACTTACAAACGGGCCGGGAGTGGTAGCTCACGCCTGTATACCCAGCACTTTGGGAGGCCAAGGCAGGCGGATCACTTGAGGTGAGGAGTTCGAGACCAGCCTGGCCAACATGGTGAAACCCCGTCTCTACTAAAAATACAAAAATTAGCTGGGCGTAGTGGCGGGCGCCTGTAGTCCCAGCTACTTGGGAGGCTGAGGCAGGAGAATCGCTTGAACCCGGGAGGCGGAGGTTGCAGTTAGCCGAGATCGCGCCACTGCACTCCAGCCTGGGCGACAGAGTAAGACTCCGTCTCAAAAAAAAAAAAAAAAACCAAAAAACCCAAAAACTTACAAACATAATACAATCCTAAATACTTACATAGACATCTCTTTATGAATAAGCAAGATTACCTACATAATCCCAATGCTGCCACAATTAATTAATAATTCTAATTTCCAGTCCGTATACAAATTTTCCCAATTGTTTTCAAACGTCTTCCGCGGCTCTTGCTTTCTGTAACCACACGCTGCATTTGCTGTTATGTCATCAAGTCTAACCCACAACCTCTGGGGCTCTGACAGAACCCGGGCTCCAGTTATCAGGACGGTCCATGTTATTACGCCATAAATCTTGGGGGAAAAACAAACAAAAAAACACTGACAGCTGGCGCCGTACTGCATGTGAAACGTAGTCTTGCATGTTATGGGTTACCGCGCAGCATGCTGGGAACGGATATGCGCGTTTTCGTCTGCGCATGTGCAGTCAACCCCACTTTCCGGCTTCTCCCTGTTAGTGTTTGCTGGTGCAGAGGGTTCGCAGCTCAGGTGAGAGCGCCGGGCCTCCACGCGGATTGCGGACCTGCAGGGAGGGATGTGCTAGTGTCCAGGGGGCGGGAACGCGACGTCCCGGGAACTCCCCCAAAGCAGGCCGTCGCTCCCTGTGCCTCGGCCGGCCCGGGACCTCAGCCTGAGAAGGGCCGGTGGGGGCGGGCTCCGGGGGCGTTAGGTGGGGCTGAGTCCTAGTTGGAAGATGCTCGGTGCGGGCCGAGGTATGGGCGCCAGAATGCAGCCAGGCGTCGGAAAACGCGGTGCTGGCTTCAGGAGGGGAATGCGCGTTTATTGTATTGACCATGAACCTGCCACAAAGCGCGTACAGCCCGTGGGTCTGCGGTGAGAGGCCGAGCCTAGGAGCTAGAAGGACCTCGTGAATTTTGGCTCTGTCACTTGAGCGTTTGAAAATGAGGATATTAGTAAAAACTGCTTTGTGTCGTTCAGAGGTAAGCCATCCCCTGTAAAGCATTTAGCTAAGCGCTAGTTACTAAGCAGCATGTAAATGTTGATTCCCGTTATATTTGGAAGACACTTTGTTCTTTTCATGTAGTATTTCGTTTAATTCTCACAACCACCCTATTTATATCATTAAAAATGAAGAAGGAGGAGTGAAAAGATAGAGCCAAGCTCACAAAGGATGAGAGAGCTAGGATGTCAATACATAAACACTTTACTCCCCGAATCAGGCTGTTTGTAATGGCCTACCTACCTAACCCAGCATTGCAGCCTTCACAGCACTGAGTGATTGTCCCCAAAACCCCAGGACAATGATTGTGAAGTCAGTGTGGACAGAATCTTACTATGTGGCAAGTGTATTTGTTGTGGGGTTTCTGGGATGTCTCCAGAGCCTCTGGGTTAGACTGAGGCCCCTGCCACCTCCTGTGCTGTCCCTCCTGTCTCTGTCTTTAGAAGTCAGTCTGATATTCTAGGGCAGTGAAGATGAGTCACATACGTAATTTTAAATGTTAAACTAGTAGCTACATGAAAATCTAAAACATGAAATTAATTTTAAGAACATACTGTGGTTTTCTCAGTGTATCCAAAATGTTATTTCAACATGTGGTCCTAGCCACATTTCCAGTGCTCAGTAGTTGATGTGATTGGAGGCTGTAGTCATGGATAGCAGGGTTCTAATTAATGCCAAGAGAATCAGGTTTAAGGCCTTAGGTCACTTCTTCACCAGGAGGATTTTGCTCCCTAGGGAACTTTGGAAATGTTGGAGACTTTTTTGGTGGGGGGAGAGGGGACTGAGTTTCTCTCTGTCGCCCAGGCTGGAGGGCAGTGGTGTGATCTTGGCTCACTGCAACCTCCACCTCCCAGGTTCAACTGATTCTCCTGCCCCAGCCTCCCAGCTTGTAATCTCAGCTGGAATTACAAGCATGCATGGCCATGCCCAGCTAATTTTTTGTATTTTTAGTAGAGGTGGGGTTTCACCATATTGGCCAGGCTTATCTTGAACTCCTGACCTCAGGTGATCCACCTGCCTTGGCCTCCCACAGTCCTGGGATTACAGGCGTGAGCCACCACGCCCGGCCTGGAGACGTTTCTGATTGTCACAACAGGGAGAAGGGGTGTCCTAGTGTCTAGTGCATGTTTAGAAATGCTCTTAAACATCCTGCAATGCACAGGACCACTCCTTATGTCAGAGGATTATCCAGCCCAAAATGGAAGTTGTGCTGACGTGAAGAACACTGTTTTCCATGAAAGTTTCAACTAAAATAAATTTGTTACCCAGGCATCAGCCCCAGCTTCTCTGGAGCAAAGCAGCTCTTTATGTTGCAGGAAGGAGGGAGCCCCAGGAACAGGAGTCCCACCGAAGAACTGCTCTCTGACAGAACAGAGACCTCCTCACCAGGGCTTCCAAACAGATGCAGAAGAACCCAGAAAGGAGCAGGTCTTGATTTGCCCAACCAGCGGCACTTCTTCATCCCCTTGCCCAGAGAGCACCAGACTTGGTGATGTCGCCACATCCAGAAGCCATCACAGATTGTGTGACACTGAACACTGTGGGCCAACTTGCAGAAGGTGGTAAGCTGGGGTTGAGAGGCGTGGGTGACTGTCAGACTGCACAGGAAAAGCCACATTACTGGAGGGCTTTTCTCCATGGTCTCCAAGGAAGGCATAACCAGCCAGGGCTGAGGAAATTGTCTCTAATCCTCCTCATAGAGCCCCCATTTTCTTCATTCTTGCCTCACTCTTTCCAGATTCTGAGTCACTCTCACACAACATCCATCACATGTAGCATCTAGAAATTTACTAAGGTTGCCTCTATCCTGAACCTGTAGAATCACAAAAATGATAATACAGGAAAGGATTTCTATTTCTGACTCTTAAAACCTTAAAAAGTATTGAACCTAGGATGAACAGTTTGTCCATGGTCACTCAGGACAGAGCTTGGAGCAAAGCACAGTGCTGTTCACTCTGTCACAGGTGAGTCACCAGAAGTGTCTTATCGAAAGTCTTTTGAGAAACTATAAGTTAGAACAAAAATATTTTAAAATAGTCTTTCAGCATCTCCTTTTTTTCAGTTTTGTGTTTTCTATTGGTGTAAATAATATTAACAGAATATTAATGTTAATTCTGTTTAAGTTGTTAGTCAAAGAAGACATACATTTTAAATAAATCAATAGGAAAATAGTCTACAATCGCCTGATGAAAAACAGCAAGGGGCCAGGCCTGGTGGCTCACCCCTGCAATCCCAGCATTTTGGGAGGCCAAGGCGGGCAGATTGCTTGAGGTCAGGAGTTCGAGACCAGCCTAAGCTACATGGTGAAACCCCATTTCTACAAAAAATACAAAAATTAGCTGGGTGTAGTGGTGGGTGCCTTTGGTCCCAGCAACTCAGGAGGCTGAGACGGGAGAATTGCATGAACCCAGGAGGCAGAAGTTGCAGTGAACTGAGATCACACCGCTGCACTCCAGCCTGGGCAACAGAGCCAGATCCTGTCTCAAAAAAAAAAAACAAAAAAACACACACACACAGCAAGGGTTCATCCACATGATCATATTAAAGATGCACATATTCAGGAGGTGCTTTCTCTGTAGTGCTGCTTGTCCCTTCTCAAAGGTCAAAGGAACATTTTTTGTAGAGAGGCCTTTTTCCCCAGCTGGTGTGATGACATTGGTAGGCAGGTAAGATGGAGGCTGCCCAGATCTCTCATGACTCCTTCCTCACCCCCAGGTTATCCTTTACGGTTCTCCACACTCTTTCAGGAGCAGCAGAAAATGAACATATCTCAGGTGAGTTAATTACTAATACCTTTTTCATCATGGATTTCATAGGTGTTTAAGGGTCCACATATTAATATGGAAATGTAGAAATGGATCAAAATCATTCAAGGAATATATAGAAAAGCAGGGCAGTAGCACAGCAGAATTGGCATGTGGAAAGATGGAGGTCGCCTGATGTTACAGATTTTCCAAAATGGAACTGCAGTTTTCATTCTTTCTGATAGCCATGGCAGAGAGCCAGACAGACAGTATTTTTTTTACAGATTTGCATTGATGAGAAGCTTAAAACCAGGCTGATTCCTCATGGAATCTAAAGTTATCAAAGTCAGGGAAAATGTCTTTGTTGGTCTTCATGTGTCAGTGCAAATCTTTCTCATAACAGCCTTGAAATAAATGCAGTATGTTGCTTCTGCTTTTTCCTCAGTGGAAGTAGACGGCTTAGTGCCAAACTCAGGCTTTTATTAATACAGTTTTTCAGTTTTATTATTAATACAGTTTTTCAGGTAATGGAAACAGACGTTCAGGTAGACAGACTGTCAAAGAAAGGAGAGATCGATGGTGTAGGCTCTGTTGATCAGAGGTGGAGAGTTTAAAAGGATTTTGTCCTGAAAAATGGGTAAGGTTTTCATTGTTGCAGTACAGGAGATTACTGCATTTTGAGAGCAGGCTAAACAAGGCATGCAAGGTCCATTAAGAATCTTTGCCTATTGCAGTTTGGACTTCCTCTTAGGGAATAATAAGAGAGGGGAGGGAGATAAAGGTTAGAGCCTTAGTATTAGTTTGCTAGGGCTGCTATAATAAAGAACCACAGACTGGGTAGATTAAACAGCAATTTATTTTCCCACCATTCTGGAGACCAGAAGTCTGAGATCAAGATGTCATCGGGGGCCGGGTGAAGTCTGAGATCAAGATGTCAACAGGGGCCGGGTGCAGTGGCTCACGCCTGTGATCCCAGCACTTTGGGAGGCCAAGGAGAGCAGATCACTTGAAGTCAGGAGTTCGAGACCAGCCTGGCCAACGTGGTGAAACCCTGTCTCTACTAAAAATATAAAAATTAGCCGGGCGTGGTGGCGGGTGCCTGTAATCCCAGCTACTCGGGAGGCTGAGGCAGGAGAATTGCTTGAACCTGGGAGGCGGAGGCTGCAGTGAGCTGAGATCGTGCTACTGCACTCCAGCCTGGGCGACAGAGCTAGACTCCATCTCAAAAAAAAAAAAACAGATGTCAACAGGTTTGGTTCCTTCTGAGAGCTGTGAGGGAAGGGCCTTGCTCCGTGGCTTAGATGTCTGTCCTCACATCATCTTTCCTCTGTATGAGTCTATGTCCAAATTTTCTTTTCCTGTAAGGAATTGAGAAATTGTTCAAATATAGAAAGATACAAAGAAATAATATAATAAATATGTTCCCACCTTCCCAAATTACCAACTATATATATTTTGCTAAATTTTTGTTTCTCTTGTATGCACTCTTTTTTCCTTTTAAAAACTTAGTTCTTTAACTGAGATGCAGTTTTAATACCAGTAAAGTGTACTCTGAAGTGTGTAACTGGATGGATTTTTACATATGTAAATTCATGTAATTTAGTACCCAGATTAAGATAACACCACTGCTCCCCTCTACAGGGCAACCACAATTCTGACCTCATATGTTAGGGAAAAAAGATAAATTCATTTTTGAATATGATACCAGTAGAATCATACAAAGTGTATTCTTTTACAGTTTTCAAGGGAATGTTTTGCTCTGTATCTTAATATTTCCCTTTTATCACTGGGCTGTATTTCATTGTATGAATAGACCATAATTTATTTCCTCATTCTCCTCTTAGTGCATTTTTTCATTTGTTTTTCCTGTTTGAGGCTATCAGGAATAAGGCTGCTGTGAATATTCTTTTGTGTCTTTGGGTATGTCCTCATTGCTTTTGGGATATACTTAGAAATGGAATTGCTGGTTCATAGAATAAACATATGTTCAGTTTTAATACATACTGCAAGTAGCTTGCCTAAGTGGTCAAATCAGTTTACATTCCCACTAGCATTCTGGCTGTACCAGATTCTGAGCAACACTTGTTATTATCAATCTTTTTGTTTTTAGCCATTTTGGTGGCTGTATAGTGTGGTATCTTATCAAAATTTATAATTTGCTTTTCTATGGTAAATACTAATGTTGGGCACCATTGTTTGTGTTTTGGACATTTAGACATCATTTCTTTTTATGTAATATATAAAGTACCTATTCAACTCTGTTTTAATTGGGTTATTTGCTTTTTTTAAGTAGGAATTATTTCAATATTTTCAGTAAATGTTTTTTGCCATGTGTGCATTACTGATGTTCTTGGATTCCATGGCTTGCTTATTCATTTTTTAAATAATATATTTGACAACAAAGTTTTTACATTTAATAAAGGTCAGATCGTCTTTTCTTTAATGGCAGTTCCTTGTGTATCATATTTGAAAGCTCTTTCCCTACTCTTAAGATCAGATATTCTCCTATATTGTTACTACATACTTGTTTATTTTAGCTTGATCTACATAGAGTTAGCTTTTGTGTTTGGTATAAGGTGAGTGTCAAGGTTCATATTTCCATACGGATATCCAGTTGCTCTAGCACCATTTGTTAGAAAGACCATCTTCTGTCAACTGAATTGCAGCTGTTTTTTGTCAGTCAAGTGACTTGTATGCGGGTCTAATGTAGACTGTATATTTTCTTCCTTTGGTCCAATTAGTTTATCTTTTTGCTAGTACTTCACTGTCATAATTACTGTTGCTTTATAGTAAGTCACAAATTTTGTGAATTTATTTACTATTTTAGGTCCTTTTCATGTTCATGGAAGTTTTATCAATTTTCACAGAAAATCCTGATGGAAAGTTTTTCAGAGTAGAGGTGAAGTCTTTCACATCTTTTATTATATTTATTCCTAGGTATTTGATCTATTTTGATAATAGCACAAATGATACTGCATTTTAAATGTCATTTTCCAGTTTATTGTTAGTTTATTAAAATACGATGGATTTTTTTAGTATTGATCTTATACCTAGGCATTTTACAAAATTCACTCATTCTAATAGCTTATCTGTGGATTCTTTTGGATTTTAAATGTGCAAAATTTTTTTTGCAATAAAGACAATTTTACTTCTTCCTTTACAGTTTTTATATCTTTAATTTCTTTTTAGCCTTACTGCTAGGACTTCCAGTAAAATGTTTAGTACAAATGGTGATAATAGAAATCCTTGTCTTATACCTCACCTGAGGGGTACTCAGTATTTCACCATTGAGTCTTATTTTAACTACATGTTTTTTGTATATGTCCTTAATTAGAATAAGGAAGTTCCCTTTTTTATTTTTAGTTTCCTGAGTTTTTTTTTTTTTAATCATGCATGAGTATTTTGTCAGATGGCTATTCTTGCTTCTAGTGAGATAATCATATTATTTTATTCCTTTAGTCTGTTAAAGAGCTGAATTATATTGATAGATTTATCAATGTTTAACCAACCTTGCATTCCTGGGATAATTCCCACATAAGGTAGTGCTATCACTTTAAGTTATTTCTGGATTCAATTTGTTAATATTTCAATTAATATTTTTGTGTCTACATTAATGGAAAGATACTGGCTTGCAGTTTTTCTGTCATGTCATGTCACGTTTTGGCGTCAACATTATATTCTCAAAAAATGAGTTTGGAAACAGTTATTCATTTTGTGTTCTCTGAATGAGTTTAAGATTGCTGTTATTTCATCCTTAAATGTTTGGAAAAATATACCTGTGAGGTAGTCTAGCATTGGAGTTTTTCTTGTGCCTGGTTTTTGCTCATGAACTCAGTTTCTTTAACAGGATATAGAAAATCCAAATCGTGCTACTTATTCTAGTGTCCTTTATTTTTAACAGCTTTATGGAGATACAATTCACATACCATATAATTCACACTTTTAAAGTGTACAATTTTGTGGTTTTTAGTATATTTGTAGAGTTGTGCAGTCATTGCCACAATCAATTTTAGAATGTTTTCATCACTTCAAAAGGAAATTCCATATCATTTAGCTATCATCCCCCATCCTGACATACACAATCTCAGCCCTAAACAACAAGTAATCTGTGTTCTGTTTCTATATGTTTGGCTATTCTGGACATTTCTAATAAGTGAAGTCACATAATATGTGATCTTTGTGACTATTTCTATATATATATATATTTTTTTTTTGAGACAGAGTTTTGCTCTTGTCGCTCAGGCTGGATTGCAATGGCACGATCTCAGTTCACTGCAACATCCGCCCCCTCAGGTTCAAGCAGTTCTCCTGCCTCAGCCTCCCAAGTAGCTGGGATTACAGGCACCCACCGTCATGCCTGGCTAATTTTTCTATTTTTTTTTTTTTTTTTAGTAGACACAGGGTGTCACCATGTTGGCCAGGCTGGTCTCGAGCGCCTGACCTCAGATGATCCGCCCACCTCAGCTTCCCAAAGTTCTGCGATTACAGGTGTGAGCCGCCACACCTGGCCCTTTGTGACTATCCTTTTTACTTAGCATACTGTTTTCAAGGTTCATCCATGTTGTACGTATCAGTACATCATTCCTTTTTGTGACTGAATAATATTCCATTGTGTGGATATACCACATTGTTTATTCATTCAACTGATGAGCATTTGGATTGTTTCTCCCTTTTGACTGTTATGACTAGTGCTGCTATTAACATTCATGTACAAGTTTTTGTTTGGACACCTGTTTTCTCTTGGGACTAATCCTAGAAAAGGAACTTCTGACTCATATGGTAACTCTTGACTTATCTTTTTTGGTAACTGCCAAACTGTTTTCCACAGTGGCTGCACCATTTTACATTCCCACCAGCAGTGTATTAGGGTTCCACTTTCTCCACATCATTAAAACCACTTGTTATTTTCCCTTTTTTTAAAATTATGGACATCCTAGTGGGTGTGAAGTGGTATCATTTAACTTTGATTTGCATTTCCTTGATTAATGACATTCAACATCTTTTCATGCGCTTATTGGCTATTTGTTTATCATCTTTGGAGAAATGTCTATCCAAGTCCTTTGCCCATTTTGGATTACATTTTTTGTTGTTCAGTTATAAGAGTTCTTTATGTATTCTGGCTACTAGACATTTATTAAATGTAGTATTTGTGAATATTTTCTCCTATTCTGTAGGTTCTTTTCACTATCTTGATGGTATCCTTTGCACAAAAGTTTAATTGTGATGAAGTCCAATTTTTTTTTCTTTGGTATCATATCCAGGAAGTCATTGCCAAATCCAAGGTCATAAAGGTTTACTCCTGATTTCATCTAAGAGTCATGCAGTTAAACTCTTATATTTAGGTCTTTGATCCCTTTTAAGGCCAATTTTTTTTTTTTTTGGAGACGGAATCTTTGTCTGTTGCCCAGGCTGGAATCCAGTGGCACGATCTTGGCTCACTGCAACGTCCTTCTCCTGGGTTCAAGTGATTCTCCCACCTCAGCCTTCCGAGTAGCTGGAATTACAGGCATGCACCACAATGCCCGGGTAATTTTTATATTTTTTCAGTAGAGACGGAGTTTCACCATGTTGACCAGGCTGGTCATGAACTCCTGATCTCAAGTGATCTGTCTGCCTCAGCCTCCTAAAGTGCTGGGATTACAGGTGTGAGGCACCACACCTGGCTGTTTTGAGGCAATTTTAAAATACAGTATAAGGTAGGAGTCCAGCTTCATTATTTTGATGAGATTCAGTTATCCCAGCATCATCTGTTGAAAACTATTTTTTTCCTAATAAATGGCCAATGTATGGGTTTATTTCTGGGCTCTCAGTGCTATTCTGTGGATCTGTATGTCTGTATTTATGCCAGTACCACACTCTCTTGATTACTGTTGCTTTATAATAAGTTTTTAAATCAGGAAATGTAATCCCTCCAATTTTTTTTCTTTTTTTTCTAGATTGTTTTGACTATTCAGGGTCCCTTGCAATTTCATATAAATTGTAGGTTCAACATTTCTGCAGAAAGGTCATTAGGATTTTGATATAGATTTCACTGAATCTGTATATCACTTTTGGGAGTATTGTCATCTTAACAATTTTAAATCTTCCAATTCATGAACACAAGGTGTCTTTCCATTTATTTGGGTCCTCTGATTTCTTCTAGCAGTGTTTTCTAGTGTTCACGTATAAGTCATGTACCTTCTTGGTTAAATTTATTCCTATTTTATTATTTTTTGTTCTATTGTAAGTGGAATTGTTTTCTTTTTTATTATTCATTGCTAGTATTTAGAGAGATAAATGATTCTTGTGTGTTCATCTTGTATCCTACAATTTTGATGAATTCATTTATTGGCTCTAATAGTTTTTTGTGGCTTCCTTAGTCTTTTCCATGTATTAAATCTCATGGTCTCTGAGAATAGAGATAGTTTTACTTTTTTCTTTCCAATTTGGATGCATTTTTGTCTTACCTATTTCCTCTAGCTAGAACTTCCAGTATAATGAATAGAAATGATGAAAGCAGGCATCCCTGTCTTATTCCTGATATTTGGAAGAAACCTTCTTGTTTTTTAGCCTAGCGTATTCTGTTAGCTGTGGTTTTTCAGAAATGCTTTTTATTGTGTTGCAGCAGTTCTATTCTAGTCCTACCATGTTAAATGTTTGTTTTTATCATGAAAGGATATTTTTGTCAAATGCTTTTTCTGCATCAGTTGAGATGATCGTGTGACTTGTTTTCTTCATTTTATTATTGTGATATATTACACTGATTTATTTTCTTATGGTGAGCCACCTTGCATTCCTGGAAATAAATTGTACTTGGTCATGGTATATAGTACTTTTTATTTGTTGCAAGATTTGGTTTGCGAGTATTTTGTTGAAAACTTCTGCACACATATTCAGAAGGGATACATATCATAGTTTTTGGGTGATTTTTTTATCTGGCTTTGGTTCAAGGTAACTCATAGAATGAGTTAGGAAATGTTCACTCATCTTCTATTTTTGGAAGAATTAGAGAAGGATTGGTGTTAGTTTTTCTTTAAATGTTTGGTAGAATTCACCAAACATTTAAAGACAGACTGACAGTTGGTCTTGAGCCTTTCTTTGTTGGGAGGATTTGGATTACTGATTCAGTCTTATATCAGTCTGTTCGGATGTTCTGTTTCTTTTTGAGTCCATTTTGGTGGTTTGTGTGTTTCTAGGAATTTGTCCACTTCATCTTGGTTATGTAATTTGTTGCTATACAGTTCACTGTATTCTTTATTATAGTCTTTTTTATTTTGTAAGGTTAGTAGTAAGGTCCCCACCTCATTTAGTTCCTTAAAGTATACAATTAGGATACTGATTTGGGATCATTTTTAATATAGGTGTTACAGCTATAAATTTCACACTTAGCACTGCCTTAGCTGCATCTCATGCATTTTGGTATTTTGTGTATTCATTGTGAGTAATCTCAATGTATTTTCTAATTTCTGGGTCTCAGGGGTTTGTTTTGTTTTGTTTTGTTTTGTTTTTTTGAGACAGAGTCTCGCTCTATCACCCAGGCTGGAGTGTAGTGGCACGATATCAGCTCACTGCAACCTCCACCTCCCGGGTTCAAGCAATTCTCCTGCCTCAGACACCCGAGTAGCTGGGATTATGGGCACGCACCACCACACCTGGCTAATTTTTCTATTTTTAGTAGAGACAGGGTTTCACCATGTTGGCTAGGCTGGTCTCGAACTCCTGACCTCAAGTGATTCGCCTGCCTCAGCCTCCCAAAGTGCTGGAATTATAGGCGTGAACCACCATGCCCAGCCTCATTTCTCTTTTGATTTTCCCTTTGATCCTGTAGCGAGGTGAAAATCCACCTATGTGTATGGCCCCCAGGGACTTCACACACTCAAACTAGTACACATTTGCCTTTAGCAGGTTAAATTTTTCTAGTTTTATCTTCCTAATTGTATTAGATGGAGTTGAGTAGCATCTGCTCCAGTAAGCAAATGAGCACATCCTGATTCTCCCTGCAGGTGCCTGTCTCGTCTCTCTCTCTCCTAATAGTTTGAAAAAAAGATACTAATTTTCTGTTTTCCCAGCTATGTTCTTGTAAGGATGTTAGCGTTGCTTTTATCAGCTCTCTACATCTCTAAGCTAAGATCTAAAGCTACGCTGTATGATTGTAATTTTTTGTAATTTAGTGAGATAGACTGTCCTTTTTTTTTAATGTGCAAAGGAAACCAGAGAGTTATGTTATGCAGAGGTTATCCTATATATGTCAGTCAGGTTGGTTAATTATGTCTTTTCAATCTTCTATATCAGTGGTCAGAAAACTTTCTGTAAATGTCAGATAGTAGCCTTTGTGAGAGATACAGTCTCTGTTGCATCTACCAAACTCTGCAGCTGTAGTGTTAAGCAGCCATAGATAATACATAAACAAATGAATGTGGCTGTGTTCCAAGAAAACTTTATTTACAAAAAAAAAAAATTGGTAGTGGTGGTATTTTTCATTTACAAAAAAAAAAAAATAGTAGTGGTGAGCTGGATTTGACCTTTGTGCTGTAGTTCACTGACTCCTGTTCTATATCCCTGTTGGTTTTTCTTAATCTGCTTTTCTATGAGTTACTGGGAGAGTTACATTAAAATCACTAATTAAAATTGTAGATTGATATCTCATTTCTATCAACTTTTGTTTATATACAGTCAGTTCTCATAATTCTCAGTAGTAATGTTCCAAAAAGTCACTACAAACACTGAACTAATAAATACTGAACCATTACTCAGAGGAGAAATATGGGGTTAAGCCTCTAGTCACATTTTTGTCAGCCAGTCAGTACATAATCTTTTTGTGTGTCTTTCTGCATAAAGACACCTTATTTAATATTGTTGGTTTATAATGATTGAACTAATGGCCAACAACACCATAACTAATGCCTGAATGAATCTTATCTAACATAGATATTTTCTCCATGAGCCATACCACAGGCTTCTTGCACATAGGCACACTAGACAGCACATAACTGTTATACATATAGGCCATTTAAAAAGTGAAATCATCGGCCAGGCGCAGTGGCTCACGTCTGTAATCCCAGCACTTTGGGAGGCCGAGGTGGGTGGATCACGAGGTCAGGAGATGGAGACCATCATGGCCAACATGGTGAAACCCCATCTCTACTAAAAATACAAAAATTAGCTGGGCGTGGTGGCACGTGCCTGTAGTCCCAACTACTCAGGAGGCTGAGGCAGGATAATTGCTTGAACCTGGGAGGCGGGGGTTGCAGTGAGCCGAGATCACATCACTGCACTCCAGCCTGGCAACAGAGCAAGACTCTGTCTCAAAAAAAAAAAAGAAAAAGTGAAATCATCAAGAAAAAGCACAAAAATGCAGTAAATATGGCACTAAATAGACTGAGAAGTGGACACTTATTTACAGTATCAGAGCTGAAACAAGAAAGCAGATCACCTTGTTGAGCCTCATCTGGGAACATGTAGGTCAGGCAATTCAAATTTTTTACCTTCCTGTACATGTCCACAAATGACTGCAAAATAACTGCAAGTGTTGATTTTGAGGTTGCAAATAATTTTAGTGTGTGAATTTACAAATACGTAATCCGTGAATAATAAGAAATGCTAATTGGACGCTATGTTTGCCAGGTGCATAGCAATTTTGATTTGTTGTATCTTCTATTGAAAGGACTGTTTTGTCATTACAAATCGTTACTCAGTTTTTTGTTGTTGTTGTTGTTGTTGTTTTTTATACAAGAATCTCACTCTGTCACCCAGGCTGGAGTGCAGTGGCGCGATCTCAGCTCACTGCAACCTCCGCCTCCCAGGTCCAAACGATTCTCCTGCCTCAGCCTCCTGAGTAGCTAGGATTACAGGCACTCACCACCACACCCGGCTAATTTTTGTATTTTTAATAGAGATGGGGTTTCACCACGTTGGTCAGGCTGGTCTCAAACTCCTGACCTCGTGATCCGCCTGCCTCGGCCTCCCAAAGTGCTAGGATTACAGGCATGAGCCACCGCACCCGGCCCGTTACTCATTTTTTATACCTCTTTCTTACCTTAAAGTCTACTGTATATGATAGTAATGCAGTCATATCAACTATCTTTTGGTTTTGATTATATGGTATATCTTTTTCCATCCTTTTACTTTCAATCTCCATAATCCCTATATATATAATGTTTCCTTTGTTGTTGTATTATACTTTATCTTTTCTTTAATACTATTATTTAGTCCAGAGAATGGTACATTTTTTTCTATAAAGGCAAGTAATAAATATTTTCAGTTTTGACAATCATAAGGTCTCTGATGGAACTTCTCAGTGCTATTTCAGCACAAAAACAGCCATAAACAATGCAACATGATTGGGTGTGCCTGTGTGCCAACTGACTTTATTTAAAAAGCGGTAAGTGGCCAGGTACAGTGACTCACACTTATAATCCCAGAGCTTTTGGAGGCCAAGGTGGGAGGATCACTTGAGGCCAGGAGTTCAAGATTAGCCTAGGCAACATAGCAAGACACTGTCTTTACCACACATACACAAAAAACTGGCAAGCCAGATTTGGCCCAAAGGCCATAATTTGCTGACTCCTGCCATGATGTATGCCCAGGGTAGTCTGTTGGGATGGAATACAAATTGTAGGAAGTTTATTTACATTTTTTGGCTACAAAAATAAGAATAAAAAAAAAGTTTTAGTAATGTATCTATTTATAGTATATGTATATAACTCATAAATATATATAGATCATTTATAAACATTTTCTTTGAGACAAGGTCTTGCTCTGTCACCAAGGCTGGTATACAGTGGTGTGATCATGGCTCATTGCAGCCTCAACCACCTGGGCTCAAGCAATCCTTCTGCCTCAGCCTCCCAAGTAGCTGGGACTACAGGCACATACCACCATACCTGGCTAATTTTTTAAATTTTTTGTAGAGACAGGGCCTTGCTGTGTTGCCCAGTCTGGTCTTGAACTCCTGGGCTCAAGCAGTCCTCCCACCTTGGCCTCCCAAAGTGCTGGGATTACAGGCATGAGCCACTGCACCTCTCCTATAAAAACTTTTACCAATTTAATACCTTCAAAGTCTAAGATTAAATTAGATTCAAAATAGGCATCCTTTACATTCGTTTAAGCTTTTTAGAGTTAAACCTGATAAGAATTGTTTTCATGGCTATTTTCTACATCATCTAATTCTGAACCCTTCAGATTGAATAGAAATGTACTGTTACAGGCATCAGTGTCATTCAAGGACGTGACTATAGAATTCACCCAGGAGGAGTGGCAGCAAATGGCCCCTGTTCAGAAGAATCTGTACAGAGATGTGATGCTGGAGAACTACAGCAACCTCGTCTCAGTGGGTAAGCATGTAAACATAACTTACCCTTGTAACTCCATATAGAAGGTATTTCTTTTTTAAGTGCCAATACATGTGAACAATTTACTTAAAGTTTAAATTATTTAGGCTTTTCATTCAGGATTCCAAAGTAACTATGCCCTGTCGAGGACTAGAAAGAATGTGTTGTCAACTCCCAGTGATAAATGCAAAGGAGCACTTTCAGGATACTGCTTCCAAAGCTGTATTTTCTTCCACTTTTGGAGACTAAAATCTCATATATCTGGTCTAAGTCCTCGATTGTGTTTTATTAACAGGGTACTGCTGTTTCAAACCAGAGGTGATCTTCAAGTTGGAGCAAGGAGAGGAGCCTTGGTTCTCAGAGGAGGAATTCTCAAACCAGAGTCACCCAAGTGAGTTACTGAGCAGTAGTAGACATAATTCTGCAGGAGTGGTTAGACTCCAGGTCACTTTAGGGGTGAACACCTAAATATTGCAAGACTTTTCTTAGAAAGCCTAAAGGCACAAAAAGCAGCAGTTAAAAGAAAATAATTAATAAAGTTGATTCCATTAAAAGTAAGAAATTTGTTAATATATTATTCAAAAGGTGAAAAGACAAGCCACCAACCAGCATAATATGTATGTAGTGCAAATAACTTAGAAAGGATATGCTTCCTGAAAATGTAAAGAACTTCTGCGAGTCATTGTGGGAAAAGATAGGCAACCCAGATGAAAAATGGGCAAAAACATTGAACAAGAACTTTTTAATATGTATGCCCAGTAAATCTTTGAAAATGTGTTCAATCTCATTAGTTTTCATGGAGCACAAAATAATATATGAAGTGAGATATGAGGTGAAATAACAGATATGAAGTGAGTTTACAAATATGGCAATGCCAAGTCTTGGTGAGGATATGGAATGTTAGACACCCTTATCCACTGATTGATTGGAAATATAAACTGGTAAAACCACTGTGGTATCAGGAGGATGTTTTCTTTTTCTTTTCTTTTTTTTTTTTTTTGAGACGGAGTCTCCCTCTGTCACTCAGGCTGGAGTGCAGTGGTGCAATCTTGGCTCACTGCAAGCTCCACCTCCCAGGTTTACGCCATTCTCCTGCCTCAGCCTCCAGAGTAGCTGGCAGTACAGGCACCTGCCACCACACCCAGCCAATTTTTTGTATTTTTAGTAGAGACAGGGTTTCACCATGTTAGCCAGGATGGTCTTGATCTCCTGACCTTGTGATCTGCCCACCTCAGGCTCCCAAAGTGCTGGGATTACAGGCATGAGCCACTGTGCCTGGCCTCTTTTTTTTTTTTTTTTTTTTTAATTTCCACAGGTTTTGGGGGAACAGGTGGTATTTGGTTACACGAGTAAGTTCTTTAGTGGTGATTTGTGAGATTCTGATGCACCCATCACCCAAGCAGTATACACTGCACCCAATTTGTAGTCTTTTTTCCCAGTCCCCCTTCCCACCCTAAGTCTCCAAAGTCCATTGTATCATTTTTATGCCTTTGCATCCCACCAGGATGTTTTCTAATCAAGGTAAACTTTTGCATATGTTGTAGCCAAGTAATTCCTTTTCTAACTGTATGACTGACAAAAAGATATGATTATGTTCTCTGGAATACATAAAAGAATATTAATGGAAGTATTGTTTATGTTTGGCAAAAATAGTGCTCATCAACAGTAGAATGGAGAAACAGTTGTATTCTTTAAGGAAAAATTATACAGCCACATAAAATCTTGTACACTGATTACAAACATAATATTAACCAAAAGAAAAAATATGCATATATGGCTATATTTATGTAAAGGTCAGAAGCAGGCAAAATTCAATGACATTTTAGGAATTCATATATTGTTGATAAAACTATGAAGAAAATCAAGGAAATTATTACATAAATATTAGGAGACTGGTGAATTCTAAGCATAGAGAAGTTGTGTGAATTCTAAGCATAGAGAAGTTGTAACCAAGCATAGGTAAACAGGGATTTTTGCAGAGCCATTTGTGTTTCATGACATGGTTTCTGATTCCATGAGTGTTCACTTAATAGTATTAAGTTGCACATGAAAGTTTTATGCAGATATATATTGTTTCATGCTTAATAAAATGTTAAGAGGTAAGCGAGAAGTGGCAGATGATATTTGCAATATGACCTGTCAAGGATAGGCATTTAGAATGCATAAAGAATCCAGACCTCTCTTAAATGTCATTTTCACAGTAGAACTTTCTGTGATACCCTATTTAAAATTGTACCCCTCATGTCAGATTGAAATGTGGAAACTCAGGATGGGATGATCAGGTTCACTTAGCACTTAGTTCTGATGGAATAAATCAATGCTATGACAGCCAGAATGGAGCAGTGCATCTAAGTTAGTTGCATGAATGGATTTTATTTTCAACAATTTTATACTTGCTTGTATTTCTATGAATCACAACCATAAGACAGGTTAGAGCTATAAACTTTTTCATTTAATCATAAAGGAGTTGGTGCTGTTATAAATTTAATTTGATGTTGAATTGATGAGGGATATCAAATTGTAAGAATGTAGACAATAGACTATTCTAACCATTATAATCTAGATAATGTCAAGACCTAGACTGTAATTTACTTTCAGCTTCTAAACCCCCTCCCTGTTGAGTCTATTCCAAAATTCCTGTTATCTCCTGATTTTCCTTGTTATACTACTTACATTTAGAGTTTTTGTTGTATTTATCCCATTCTCTGTTTTTCCTGCTCCCTAAAATAACTACCCCTATAAAACGCTTAGTTTTATTTTATTTTCTTTCCTCTATCTATCCAGTTAGGAAAATCTTACTAATCACATGCAAAATATGTATTCATTACCAGCTTCCTCTCCCATTTGCACTATATCAATATTATTTTTTAAAGGAGGGTGGTCTGAGATATATATATTTACACACACATACATCTGAATTATTTAATCTTGATAAATCAAATAATTAGGTGCAACATAGGCTGTATGTTGATAAAGCTCTACCCACAGAAGATGTAAGAGTCATAAGATGTTTTCAATATTTCTGTTTTAGAAGATTACAGAGGTGATGACCTGATCAAGCAGAACAAGAAAATCAAAGACAAACACTTGGAGCAAGCAATATGTATCAATAATAAAACATTGACTACAGAGGAAGAGAAAGTTTTGGGGAAACCATTTACTCTGCATGTAGCTGCTGTTGCTTCAACAAAAATGTCCTGCAAATGCAACTCATGGGAAGTGAATTTGCAAAGTATTTCTGAATTTATCATTAATAATAGAAACTATTCAACAAAGAAAATAGGTTGCGGTAATGTATGTGAGAATTCACCTTTCAAAATTAACTTTGAGAAAACTCAGACTGGAGAGAAATTTTATGAACATAATAAAAACATGAAAGCTCTCAATTATAATGAAAATCTTCCCAAGCATCCAAAGTTTCAAACTTTGGAGCAAGCTTTTGAATGTAATAAAATTGGAAAAGCCTTTAATGATAAGGCTAACTGTGTTAAACATAACAGTTCTCACACAGGAGAAACATCCTCTAAAGATGATGAATTTAGGAAAAATTGTGATAAGAAAACTCTCTTTGACCACAGGAGAACTGGCACAGGGAAGAAACACCTGCATCTTAATCAATGTGGGAAATCCTTTGAGAAGTCAACTGTGGAGGAATATAATAAACTTAATATGGGTATAAAACATTATGAATTAAATCCAAGTGGAAATAATTTCAACAGAAAGGCACACCTCACTGATCCTCAAACAGCTGTCATAGAAGAGAACCCATTGGTAAGTAATGACAGAACACAGACTTGGGTTAAATCCTCTGAATATCATGAAAATAAGAAATCCTACCAGACGTCGGTTCACAGAGTTCGCCGAAGAAGTCACTCAATGATGAAACCCTATAAATGTAATGAATGTGGGAAATCCTTCTGTCAGAAAGGACATCTCATTCAACATCAGAGAACTCACACAGGAGAGAAACCATTTGAATGTAGTGAATGTGGAAAAACTTTCTCCCAGAAGTCACACCTCAGTACTCATCAGAGAATTCATACAGCAGAAAAACCCTATAAATGTAATGAATGTGGAAAAACATTTGTCCAGAAGTCAACCCTCAGGGGACATCAAAGAATTCACACAGGAGAAAAACCCTATGAATGTAGTGAATGTGGGAAAACTTTTGTTCAGAAGTCCACCCTCAGAGATCATCACAGAATTCACACAGGGGAGAAATCCTTTCAATGCAATCAATGTGGAAAAACATTTGGCCAGAAGTCAAACCTCAGAATACATCAGAGAACTCACACTGGGGAGAAAACTTACCAGTGTAATGAATGTGAAAAATCCTTCTGGCGAAAAGATCATCTCATTCAACATCAGAAAACTCACACGGGAGAGAAACCATTCAAATGTAACGAATGTGGGAAAACTTTTGCCCGGACATCAACCCTCAGAGTGCATCAAAGAATTCACACTGGGGAGAAACCATTTAAATGTAATGAATGTGGGAAGAAATTTGTCCGGAAAGCAATCCTTAGTGATCATCAGAGAATTCACACAGGGGAGAAACCCTTTCAGTGTAATAAATGTGGGAAAACTTTTGGCCAGAAATCAAACCTCAGAATACATCAAAGGACTCACAGTGGGGAGAAATCTTATGAATGCAATGAATATGGGAAATTATGTAAGAAGTCTACCCTAAGCTTATACCAGAAAATTCAGGGAGAGGGGAATCCCTATTGATGTAATAACTAGAAAATCCTTTTGACAAAAGGAATACCCCATTTGATATCAGAGATACACAAAAAACCAATTGAGGGTAGTGAATGTAAGAAGACAGTCCCAGAAGTAAACCCTCACTGTGAATCAGAGAATTCACATAGGAAAGAAACCAGATGAAGATGAATGCAGGAAGAATTGTGTCCAAAATGCAACCTTCAGAGTGTATCAAAGAATTCAGACAGGCTTCTGTTTTCAGAGTACTATGGATAGGCCTGAATGAAGTCATACCCTATTAGATAGCTCCCACACATCACACAGGCTGGTAATCTCTTCACCAGCACCAATTTCATTTTACTCCAGGCACATAGTCCAGATTTCCCAATCTCCTTTTCATCCAGGTTGGTCTTTGTGACTGGCTACTAAGATGTGGATGTCCATGATGTATATCACATCCCAGTCTGAAACATAAGAGACTTCCCTAATAAATTACCAGGGCCCTGTCACAACAAAATGGATATCATTTCTAGGACAAGCTTGGTGCCGTGCTTTAATGTGGCATGGTACAAGATAAAGAAGTCTGTGCCTGAATGAATACACGCAGCAAAATTCTCCTCTTCTGTGTCTTTCCCAGTTGAACATTATGTGAGCAAAATTTAAGCTTATACAGTAGTCCCCCCTTATCTGTATTTTCACTTTACGCAATTTCCATTAACCATGGTCAACTGTACTTTAAAGTTATTAAATGGATCCAGAAATAAACAATTCCTACATTTTAAACTGCACCCGATTCTGAGTAGTGGGATGAAGTCTCATGCCCTCCTGCTCTCCCATGAGGGTTATTGAATCATTCCTTAGTCTAGCATATCCACAGTGTATACACTATCTGCCAGTTAGTCACTTACTTGACATTTTAGTTATCAGATCACCTGTCAGGGTATGACAGTGCTTGTATTCAAGTAACCCTTGTTTTACTAAATAATGGCCTGAAATTGCAAGAGCATTTCTGGCATGTTGTTGTAATTATTCCATTATTAGTCCTTAATTTATAAATTAGGCACAGCAAGAGATTAAACTATCATAGGCATGTGTATATGTAGGAAAAAAATATAGTATATACAGGGTTCAGTATACCCGTGGTTTCAAACATCAACTTGGAATTCTTGGAGAGCATTCCTTGTAGTTAAGCAGGGACTACTGTATTCTGTTGAGCTTTCACATGTTTGAGTCTATTTGTTTCTACACATAATTTAGTTATCTTCTGCTAGGAAGGCAGAAAGCTTCTGTGTAAGCCAGGCTTAAGTCAATCAGAGGGCACAAACCTTATTAGGAGGCTAGAGAGTCAAGGAGAACCTCAAATATGATCAGAGAATTGTGGAAAAGACATCCTTTCAATGTAATGAAATTGATAGTACCACCTGATACAGGGCTTTGCATGAACCTAAAAGTCTTTTGGCTGAATGGTGAGCAGCCACTGTGCAGTTCAACGTAAGTGTGCCTTAATTGCACAGAGGTACTGCCCCCACACCTCCTGACACCTCCATATACCCCAGCTATATCTGCTTTAAGGAGTTTTCCCTGGCTCCAAAGGCCATTGGCACCCACCCAAGTATTATGGGAAACCTCCAGAGAGGGGAGGGACTCAGATTTATATGGCTTTATTGAATCCATGCCCAAGGCAACATCTTACTAGTTCCTGTGGGGGTACAGGACACCTAGATTTAGCTAATGGGGTTTGGCAATGGGAAGGCAAACAAATTTAATAACTTTATGGGTGAGGTACTTTGGGCCAGTAGAGTATACTACAGTTATGTTTACATCTGAAAGTGTAGTAGGGATTAATTCCCATAAGTTATAGAGAGAATTCTAATTCCCTGTAATTCGCATAAGTCATAGAATTCTAATCAGGAATAATTGTATGTAAAGATACCTCTGAGGTCCAACAGCTCTGATCATTTTGGGCTTCAAGTCTCTCTCTGTGACTGGTGATTTTGTGGGTTGAAACTTCTGGCAAAAGGGGGCAGCCCTTGGGAGCTGGGGGCCAGGGGATTGACTTGGTTCCCTGACAAGGGTACCAGGTCCACCCCTTCTGAAAAGCAGCTGTTAGTTTACTCTTGGGCTCTTTTACACATTGGATATCTCTTCCTTGGGTAGAGGGTTCTGACCTAAAATTCCACTTTAGGAGTTTGTCGTCTTGGACTCAACAACTAACAAAATGAAAAGGACCCAGCAAGCCTCACTTGTGGAATGAAAATGGGGCATTCAGGAAAGCACCTGTCCTGGCCCCACAGTATGTCAGCTGTATAGGCAATAGTAGTAGCTGTCTCTTAGAAGGGAAATAATGTATCACCTCTTTCCAGAACGAAGCAAAGTTGCTGGCTTAGTAGAGCCCTCAATTCATAGAGGTTACTGTAATTGGGCCTGGCTCACTGATGCTTTCGCCAACTGAAACTACTAGGATCCTGTGTGTGTTCAAACTCAGTGCCATTAACAAACCCAAAGTGAAGCGGTCACTCCTCTCAGTGGAAAGAGCACGAGGATGTTCTCAGCTCTGGCCAATACTCCATTTCATAAACCATGTTACATTTTTGTTAAGCCTTGGCTCTGGATGTGGCCTAGATATTTGATATTCTAATTGGAAATTACAGATTAAAAAGCACCCTTTCTTTGTACAGTGGGGGTAAAAGTCACAGCTGCTTAGTACAACCATCTGGGTTGCTCAAGTAGATGCCCATAATAAGAGACTATTTTCTGATAAGACTGACTGGAATCAAGCTGCCGACAGCTTTCTCCATCCAGATTGTGACGGTTGCTACCTGGATCCATCATTTTACTGGTATGGCAAAAAATCACCCATGTGACACTGGGTGACATGGTAAAAGTACATGGTACTTTTACAGTACCATGTACTGTACAAAATAAAGGTCTCTTTATCTGACGCTTCCATTGATGTCATTGGATATAAGAATTTACAAAACTTTTTTCCTTCTGGATAAATAGCCAGTACTTCATATGCCATTGATTAATTCACCTTTTTCCCACTGATTTTAAATATATACTAAATTGTCATTTGTAAAGATAGTGCATATGACTGATTAAACATTCTGATATTTTAGTAACATCATTTTGTGAATAGGACTGGCATGTATAGGAACCATAATACCCATCTTTCTGGCCTGCTACTGAATTTTTCACAGAAGGATAATTGAATCAAGTTTGGAAAAAGAATACATCTTAGGACTTAAGAAATAGAATATCATAGGCCAGTTACATTGTAACTGTAGAACTGCCAGCAGCCTTACCAAGAAAATGCATTGACAATAGGAGAGCATAAGGTTACCCCTGGAGAGAAGCAGATATGACAGGAAGATTAATGGTACACAAGCCCAGTTAGTACCTGTTAGGACCAGTTAGTCCCTGAGAATCAAAACATCACTGTTTACTCTGTTTTTGTAATACTTCCTAATATAAAGCAAGTCTGTCTTTAAACTTTTTTTACTCAAGACACTTTCTGAAAGAAAATATTTAGAATCATCTCTCTTCCTGCCCCTTTTAAATAGGATATTTGAGGATTATGACTGGGTTTGGTATTAAGGATCAGGAACCCTGTAGGGTGGAACTGATTCACCGAGGTGGCCTGAGTCATTGGGAGGCCAGGTGGCAAAGCCCCATGACTGGGGACTCAGGCTTCACCTGCTGTCCCTTAGCAGAGGGCGGCCCACAGGATACCTTTCCATACAATACATCACCAACTGGAGACCATGGTCTGTGCTCTAGTCATGTATGCTCCCTCTCCTTGCCTGGTTGATCTCCTTAGCAACTCATGGTCTTTTACTCTAGCAGATGGATGCCTCATCTAGAGACTCTGGAGGAGCTGATTTTCTGTCTGCCCACCCACTAAGGGCCTTCAAGCTAATAAAGATAGAAAACAAGGCAGGAATTTTTGTCTGTTTTATTCACAGTGTATCTCAAACACATGAAGCAGTCCCTCTTCGTATTAGGCACTCAGAAATACTTGCTGAAGGTACAGTTATCAAACTGAAATCTGAGCATTTTTCCTTTTGATGTTCCAAGTTATCTTTTGGGTGATTATTATAAATAGGTAAAATATTGCTATAAGTTCCCTATTCACGGGTATTTTATAAATTTTTAAAACTTGTTCTTAATCTTCAGAAGTGTACAGAACTGTTCTTCAGATCTTTGTCAACCAAAACATGTATTTTCAATAAATTGAGATTCCCAGTTCAAAGTTATGTCTACACATTTAATCAGTTTATTAGTATTGTAGAGTATAACCTTTTTTTTTTTTCTGCTTTGCTTCCACACAAATACTTTGTAAGTACCAGTCTAAGCAATTTTGCAAAACAATAATGTAAAATCCTATTTCCAAGATCAACCAGATGGGCATGCAAAGAAAATCTGGGGATCATCACTTTAATCCAACTTAACAATAGTTCCCCTCATTTTTACTCTCCAAATAATCCTTCTCACAGTTCAAAAGAGAAGTTTTTTGTTACATTCAGATATCTTTGCCCTTGGAGAGACATGTTACCCTGAAAGAAGGGGTATAACACCTTCATGTGACTTCCTGCCTCTATGTTTGTCTTCTCTGATACCTTGTCATATTAAATGTCTTCCCAGAACCCCAGAAGAAATAGTATCTTCTGTCCTTGTACTAGGGTAGCCTTTTATAATGGGAGAGAAATTTGTTTTCTTGTCAGATTGCACAGTCTTCAAGTACCAACAGCCTGCCTGGCCAACTGGCTATTTTAGTGATCTTCCAGTATTCTAAGGAGCACTGACAGAACTGTATAACTAGCTTACACATCAGCTGACTGACCCATTGATACTTAAACTAGGAAACTGGTTGGCCTGATTTCTTGGCAAAAGACATCTGCCAAAATAAATTTGACTAATCAGATATGCTGGGACTGAGTGACAGGTTCAGGATAGGTAATGTCATCGCTAACTAATGAAGCCTTCCTATCCTCATTTAGTTCCTTATTCACCAGATGTCTCCAATGCATACATGCCTAACAATTCAATCCCTCAAATGGCAAGGGTGAAGAGGCTATGCTCTTTAAAAAAAAAATATTTAATGAGCCAAAAGGATTGAGATGATGACAACCTTGTACATACCTTCAGCATACCTAATTATGGTTTACTTCTCTCTTACTTGATGTTCAGATGCACTAAATTAAATGCTCCAAACCAACATACCAATCTCTCAGTCCTCACTGGAGCCAACTAATGATCAGTCTTTTTCCCCTTTGCCTCATTGATGTAACCTGCCTGACATCTGTGGCATGAATCTGCAAGCCATGCCCTAATCCATTTTACACCAAGTAAGTTGTACCCTCAGGAATCCCTTATTTCCTTAGAAACATGCAATATTCTTTAGAATATGACAGTTGTTAACCATCATATTCCTAATCCCTCCGTTAATGGTAACAATCCTTGCCCCGAAGTCATTTACTGCCTCTCTTACCAACTTTGATCTTATCTTTTACCACTTTCCTAGTGTCTCTGTCACTTTGTATTGCCTTGTCAACAATGACTTGTAACTGCCTTCTCTCTGGACAATGTGGGCTTTAAGGACAGGTCATGATTTAATAAGAAAAAGGAGGAGGTATCACAACAATCACATTTGAAAAATACAAATTGTAAAAGCAATCCACTTTGATAGCTCTTAGTGGACTTCAACTCCCCTCTTTCAATAGTGAGTGAAACAATAGATAAGAAAGAAGGTCAAAAGGAAATAGAGGATCTGAACTAAACCATAAACCAGTTATACCTTACTTAACATCTATACAGAACACTTCACCGAACACCTCCTGCATACAAATTCTTCTCAAGTGTACATGAAACATTCTCTAGGATAGACCATGATGTTAGAGCACAAAACAAGCCTAAATGAGTTTTAAAGGTTAAAGTAATATAAAGTACCTCCTGGGGCCGGGCACAGTGGCACACACCTGTAATTCCAGCACCTTGAGAGGCCCAGGCAGGAGGATCTTGAGCCCAGGAGTTTGAGACCAGCCTGGGCAACATGGCAAAACCCTGTCTCCAAAAGATACAAAAATTCAGCCGAGCATGGTGGCATGAACCTGTAGACCTAGCAACCCAGGAAACTGAGGTAGGAGGATCATTTGAGTCTGGGAGGTTGAGGCTGCAGTGAACCAAGATTGTGCCACTGCACTCCAGCCTGGGTGATGAAGTGAGACCTTATTTCAAAAAAAAAAAGTATCTTCTCTGATCAAAACAGAATGAAAACAGAAGTCAGTAAGAGAAGAAAACTTGAAAAACTAAAAAACACGAGAATGTGGAAATCAAATGACACATTTTTAAAAAATTAAAAGATTAAAGAAAAAATTACAAAGGAAATTAGAAAATACTTTGAGATGAATGAAAATGAAAATCTACCACAATGTATGAATGTAGCTAAAGCAGTGCTTAGGGAGAAACTTATAGCTGAAAACACTTACATTAAATAGATCAATAACCTAACTATATATTTTAAGGAACTCTTGATAAATAAGTGCAAACTTAAACCAAAGATAGCAGAAGGAAAGAAAGAAGAGAGATAAACAAAATAGAGAATAGAAAAACAGTAGAACAAAACAAAATTGGTTCTTTGAAATTAACAAAATTGACAGACCTTTAGATAGCCTGACCAAGAAAAAAAGGACTCAAATTACTAAATCAGAAATGAAAGTGAGAACATTACTACCAACCTTTCACAAATAGGCTTATAAATAAAAAGGAAGTTGGAGAACTCACACTTCCTCAATTTCAAAACTCATTACAAAGCTAATCAACACAGTGTGATACTGACATAAGAACAGACATATAGATCCATGAAATAGAATTGAAAACCCCATACATCTATGCTCCATTGATTTTTGACAAGAGTGGCAAGACATTTCGATGAACAAACGAGTCTTTTCAACAAATGGTGCTGGTACAACAACTGTGTATCCATGTGCAAGAGTGAAATAGACCCCTACCCAACACCATATATAAAAATTAATTCAAAATAGATCAAAGACCTAAATATAAGAGCTAAAACTATGAAACTCTGAGAGGAAAACATAGGGATAAATCTTTTTTGAGACAGGGTCTTACTCTGTCACCTAGGCTGGAGTGCAGTGGCACAATCTTAGCTCACTACAGCCTCAACCTCCTGGGCTTAGGTGATCATTCCACCTTAGCCTCCCAAGTATCTGGGACTACAGGTGTGTATCACCACACCTGGCTAGTTTTTGTACTTTTTTTGTAGTGATGGTGTTTTGCCACGTTGCCCGGGGTTGTCTTGAACTCCTGGGCACAAGTGATCCTCCTACCTTGGCCTCCCAAAGTGCTGGGACTGCAGACGTGAGCCACTGTGCCTGGCTAGGAATAAATTTTTTACATTGGGTTTGACAATCATTTTTTAGATATGGCCCTAAGAACACAATCAGGAACAACAAAAAATTGATAAATTGAACTTCATCAAAGTTAAAACTTTTGTGCAGCAAAGGACACTCTAAGGGAAGCAGAAAGACAACCCAATGAATGGGAGGAAAAATTTTCAAATAATATATTTGATAGGGGTCTGGTATCCATAATATATAAAAATTCTAAAGACAATCCAGTTCAAAAATGGGCGAAGACTTTAATAGACATTTTTCTAGAAAAGATAACAAATAGCCTACAAGCACATCAAAAGATGCTTAATTACATTAGTTATTACGGAAATGCAAATTAAATCCACAATGACATTCTACTTCACACCCACTATGATGGTTGTGATTTTTTTAAAAAATAGAGGCTGGGTACAGTGGCTTATGCCTGTAATCCCAGCACTTTGGGAGGCTGAGGCAGGCGGTTCATGAGGTCAGGAGATCAAGAACATCCTGGCCAACATGGTGAAACCCCGTCTACTAAAAATACAAAACTTAGCTGGGTTTGGTGGTGCACACCTGTAGTTCCAACTACTCAGGAGCCTGAGGCAAGAGAATCACTTGAACCCAGGAGGCAGAGGTTGCAGTGAGCCAAGATTGTGCCACTGCACTCCAGCCTGGCGACAGAGTGAGCCTCCATCTCTAAATAAATAAATAAATAAATAAATAAATAACAACTGTTGGCAAAGATGTGGAGAATTTGAAACCCTCATACATTGCTGGTAGGAATATTAAATGGTGCAGTCACTCTGGAAAATAGTTTGTCTGCTCCTCAACATGTTAATCATATAATTACCTTATGAGCCAGCAGTTCCACTCCTATGTGTATATTCAAAAGAATTGAAAATGTGAGTTCAAACAAAAACTTGTATATGAATGCCATAGCAACATTATTCACATATATAATAACCAGAAGGTGGAAACAAGCCAAAGGCCCATCAACAGACGAATGAATAAAGAGAATGTGGTCTAATCCATTCATAAAATGGGATATTATTTAGCCATGAAAAGTAATGAAGTACAACTGATATGTACCACAACACAGATGAACCTAAAAACATGTTAACTGAAAGAAATCAAACATTAAAGGTAGTCTTCAAAGCAAAGGATATTTCCAGGGTGGAGGGTTATATTGCATCATTATAGAAAAGCTCCATGCACCAAGAAGACAAAAATCCTATGTGCACAAAACAATAGAGCATCGATATACATGAAACCAAAACTTACAGAATTAGGAGAAATAGAAAAGTCTACTAACATAGTTGGTGAGTTCAATATGCCTCTCTCAACAATTGATGGAACCACCACACAGGAAATTGGCAAATATATAAAAGAATTCCATCACTCAGCTGAAGATAATATACATTTATAGAACACTTCACCCAACAACTGCAGAATATACATTCATTTCAAGTACACATGGAGAATTCAACAAGTTAGATCATATAATGTGTCATAAAGCAAACTGTAAATTTTTAAATATCGATATCATGCAGACTATGTCCTCTGACTATAATGGAATCAAACTAGAAATAAGTAACAAAAAGATTTTTTTTAATGTAAGCACATAGAAAGTAAACAGCATACTTTTAAAGCATGCTTTTAAATATTCCACAGGATAAATAGGAAGTTGCAAAGAAAACTAAAAAGTAATGTGAAGGAATAAAAAGATAAAACCTTGTCAAAATTCGTGCCATGGGCCGGGTGGCTCACACCTGTAATCCCAGCACTTTGGGAGGCCAAGGCGGGTGGATCACGAGGTCAGGAGATCGAGACCATCCTGGCTAACATGGAGAAACCCCCTCTCCACTAAAAATACAAAAAATTAGCCAGGCGTGGTGGCGGGTGCCTGTAGTCCCAGCTACTCAGGAGGCTGAGGCAGGAGAATGGCGTGAACCCGGGAGGCGGAGCTTGCAGTGATCTGAGATGGTGCCACTGCACTCCAGCCTGGGCGACAGAGTGAGATTCTGTCTCAAAAAAAACACAAAAAAACAAAACATTGTGCCATGGAGCCAAAGCAGTGCTGTGGGGGAAATTTATACCACTAGATGTTTACATGAGAAAATAAAGGTCTCAAATCAGTAGTCCAAGCTCACACCTCAGGAAACACAGTAGAGCAAAATAAACCCAAAGCCAGCAGAAGGAAAGAAATAGTTAACATAACCACAGGATTCAATCACATTAAAAACAGAAAAACAATAGAGAAAAATCCATGAAACTTGAGTTGATCCTTTGTAAAGATCAATAAAATTGATGAAACTCTACTATGATGGGAAAAAAAAGACACAAATTACCAATGTGAGGAATGAAAGAGGTGATATCACTACAGACTCCACAGACATTAAAAGGATAATAGGAACAGCACAAAAACTGTGCACATAAATTTGACAATTTAGGTGAAACTGACCAATATTCAGGTCAATACCTCAAAGCCACAAATTACCAAAATTCACCCAAAATAAAACAGATAATTTGAACTTTTTAAAACCATTAAATAAATAAAATTTGTAGTAAAAACATTCCAGGAAAGAAATGTTCAGGCCCAGTTTATTTCCATGGAGAATTCTCACAGATTTACAGAATTAATATCAATTCTACACAAACTCAGAATTGAAGAGGGAATACTTTACTACTCCTTTCATGAGGCCTGTATTAATTTCATACATGTAATAAAGACAAGAAAAGAAAGAAAACTAAAGACATATCTCTTTTTCATGCATGTGAAAAAAAATCCTCGAAAAAATTTTAAACAGTAACACAACAATTCAATTCGAAAATGGGAAAAAGACATGAGTAGTCTCTGTTTTGTCAATGAAGATATACCAATGTGTGTTACATTTCCCACCGTGTATATTATGTTTCGGCATTTTAAAAGAATCCCTTCAGCCTGGGGAGTGACTGCCTCTCCCAAGTCTAGCTAACTCTTAGAGACAGCAAAGGGCCCAACCAGGTGCATGCTTTTGATATGCAAACTAATCAATCCAGAGCCATACCTCCTCTGTCTTGCCTGTATATCCCAGAAGACAATATTCCTCAACCTTAATCATCCAGGGCCAGGTACCAGGCAACTAAGGGACCACTCCTTTAGTTGAGAGCCCACCAGAATTATTCAACCTACCTAATCTTAAACTGTTTACCCTGCCTTGCCTTGTCTTTTCCATGGAAACCCCAATAAAGACTCCAGTCTCAGCTTTCCCCTTGCTCCTGTCTTCTGCCACCTGACCAAACCTGGTATTCCTCCCATGGCCCTGTGGAGCATGCTATGCCTCTTTTCTAGGGGAACTGTCAGTTACATTAAACTTTTCTTTCAATGGCATTGACCTTTATATGCCATCACTCAGTCACCACATAAGTAAGACCTGGGCACAGAATGCAATGGCAAATAAATGAAATGACATTCAACATGATTTGAAATTAAGGAACTACAAATTAAAACCACAATGAGGTACCTATTAAGATGGCTAAAATTTAGAATGTTGACACTAACAAGTATTGACAAAGACACAGAACTAGATCTCTTATATACTGGTGATAGAATTAAAAATGGCATGGCTACAAAAATACTTTTTCAGTTTCTTACAAAATTAAACATACATGTACCATACTACCAAGCAATCCTACTTGTGGGCATTTATCCTAGAGAAATGAAGTTACGTTCACACAAAAACTTGAACACAAATGTTATGTGATTTATGTGTAATAGCTAAAAACTGGAAACTCAAATGTCCTTCAGTGGGTGAATATAAACACATTGTGGTGCATCCATATTATGGAATACTACGTAGCAATAAAAATGAACAAACTATTGACATACACAACAATTTCCATGGCTCTACACAATTTCCATAGCTCTCAAGGGAATTATGTTATGTGAAAGGTTACATATTTCATGACTATTTATATAACATTCAAGAAAGGACATAGAGATGGAAACCCGATTAGTGGTTGTAAGAACTGGGGGGTGAGGGAGGGAATGCCACGATAATGGGCATGGCCATAGACTGACCTAAGGGGAGAGAGTTGACATCTCCTGAGCCTGGAGCTCACTGCAAGCCAGAGATTCTAGAGCTCGCCTCCTTCCTGGGGCCAATGGGGAGTGACATGGAGAGAAAGAGCCATCCCCTGGGGCTGTACAGAGGAGGCCCCGCACATCTCCTAATATTGGGGGACACTGTTCTGTCCTGGCTCTGGTAACCTTGGCTCATACTGGTATCATTCAAAAGTAAACCTTTACTGGCCCAGCGTGGAGGCTCAATCCTGTAATCTTAGCACTTTGGGAGGCCAAGACAGGTGGATCACTTGAGGTCAGGAGTTCAAGACCAGCCTGCCCAACATGGTAACACCCCGTCTCTACTAAAAATACAAATATTAGCTGGGCACAGTGGTGCATGCCTGTAATCCCAGCTACTTGGGAGGCTGAGGTACGAGAATTGCTTGAACCCGGGAGGTGGAGGTTGCAGTGAGCCAAGATCGTGCCAGTGCACTCCAGCCTGGGTGACAGAGCGAGACTCTGTCTCAAAAAAAAAAAAAAAAAAAGTAAACCTTTCCTGACTTTTTTTTTTTTTTTTTTTGAGACGGTCTCACTTTGTCACCCAGGCTGGAGTGTAGTGGCATTATCATGAGTTACTGTAGCCTCGACCTCCCAGGCCCATGCGATCCTCCTGCCTCAGCCTCCTGAGTAGCTTGGGACTACAGGCACATGCTACCATGCCCAACTAGTTTTTTTTACTTTTTTGTAGAGACAGGGTTTCCCTATATTGCCCAGATGGTCTCAAACTGCTGGGCTTGAGTGATTCTCCCACTTGGGCCTCCGTAAGTGCTGGGATTACAGGCATGAGCCATCACACCAGGCCTAAATCTTTAAACATAATAAAACAGCTGCTTCAAAACCCATGTTTTCTCATTACAACATTTAGGTCATCTCGGGCCTTTTCCATTGGTAGGCTTTTTCCCTCTTGATTTTGCGTCACATTATTCTGCTTAATATGTCAGGCATCTGAATTATGTTAGACATTACAGATAAAATATTGTAGAGATTCTAGATGTATTTATTTCCTAGGGCTGCTGCAACATATTACCACAAACTTTGTGGCTTGAAGAAACAGAAATTTATTCTCTTACAGTTCTGGAGACCAGAAGTCAAAAATCAAGGCCACACTCTAAAGGATCTAAGGAAGAATACTTCCTTTCTTCTCCCAGATTATTGTGGTCCTGGCATTCCTTGGTTTGCAAGCACATCACTCCAATCTCAGCCTCCGTCTTCACACTGTCTTCTCTGTGTCCTAGTGTGTCCTTGTCTATTTCTTGTAAGAAAACTCTCATTGGATTTAGGGTCTGCCCTAATCCAGGATACGCTCATTTCAGTCATTATCCTAATTACATCTGCAAACACCCTATTTCACTAAGATCATGTTCAGAGGTTGTAGGTAGACATGAACTTTGTAGGGATACAATTCAACTCACTACCCTGGATAATGCTGACTTCCATTATAGGATGTTGACTGTTTTGCTAAACCAAGTAATTGAATTACATGTGGATGCTTCTGGCCCTGTCAGGCTTTGTTTAATCTTTTGTCGCTGTGCATCTAATATGGTCTTAAACATAACTTTAGAGCATGGTCCTTTCTGTAGGGTATCACTTGACAAACTTTGTATGTAAGGAGTCATAAATATTTTAGATTGCATGGAAAAAGAGACAAATGAAGGCTATTACATGGGTCCTTATATAAAAGGAGAAAAAGAACTTACACAAAATTGTTATTCATGAAATTTGAAGTTTAATTAAAAGGTGCAAGTTTAGGTAGTATAGGTCTACTAAGGAGAATGGAATTCTACATTTTGTTGAATGCAATTCAGAGTTAGTATGTGTCCCATTTATCAAAATCAGTTCAAATGTTCACCTGTTAATGATGATCGGTAATGAGATTTTATATATTTCATCTTTTGAAAATGTTTCTCCACTGTGGGAGGCTGAAGCGAGAGGATCACTTGAGCCCAGGAGTTTGAGACCAGGCTGGGCAACATAATGAGACCTCATCTCTACAAAAACTTTAGAAAATTAGCCAGGCACGATGGTGAGTGCCTGTGGTCCCAGATACTCTGGAGGCTGAGGTGGGAGGATTGCTTAAGCCTGGGAAGTCCAGGCTGCAGTGAGCCATGATCACAGTGAGCAATGTCAGTGCAGTGACAGAGTGAGACCTGGCTCAAAAAAAAAAAAAGTCTCTCCATACAAATACATACTGCCAAGTACTGATTCTTGGCATACAATTCTATTTAAGGCTATTTTGCGCTAGGAAGGTATTGACAGAATTGTATCTGATTGTCCTCTGCACATCAGCTCCTCAACATGTATTACACTGCAGATCAATCGCTTCCAATTAAACATTAGGTGGCAGCACCTCAAAATTTAATGCTTTTGAAGTATGGAAATTTCCTTTTTATTTGCATCAAACTTCTCCCAAAATGCTGCTAGAATAGTAGTTTCAGCTTCTAAAGCATGGGAATGGAGATCTCTCTTCTTGCTGTAATTTTTTAAGAGACAGGGTCTTGCTATGTTACACAGGCTGTACTCAAAACTCTTTTGCTCCAGTGATCCTCCCACCTCAGCACCCCCAAGTAGCTGGGACCCCAGGCAAGTGCCATCACACCCAGATCTTGTAATTTTTGACAACACAAGAGTGTACACAGCAGGTTGACGTTACTTGCGATTCAAACATTAGTTGTTGGAATGACTTAACCACCATATCTAAATTTCACATATAAGTGCTATTTTGCCTTGTAACTTCAAGCTGAATTCAGAAAGATTATCAAACCTATGGCATTCACAGTTTATTAATAGTGCTTTAGGGCAGATTTTCTCATTCAGAAAAATTTCAGTCTTGGCTATAAGCTTTAAAAATTCACAATAAGTGTTTACCACTGCTAAGTCATTGATCAGCTATGTGACAGGACAAGACAAAACATTCAAATTCATGGATCTCATCAGAGTTAAGTCAATGAGACCAGCAGTTTTACTGTTACACTACTCACTCAGTAAGACATGACAGACTGAAATGTTTTCAGCAATGTTCCTGTTGATGAACGATATAATGAATAACCATAGGTCTTCAACACCTTATATTTTCACAAGCTCTGTAGATTTGCACAACTAAGCTTTTTTCTGTTCCACATATTTTTACCACCATCAGTTGAAACACATCTTAGCAATTCCACCTCAGGTTGCACTAAGTGTTTTCACAACTTCTCTTTAAAATATTCTCACCTGTAGTTGTTCCATTCAAACTATTAATAGAGATTAATTCTTCACTCACTTCAAACAACACATCAAATAAATAGCAACAGAGCAGTATTGGTAACAATTGTGGGCTCAACAACAGCTAAGGAAGACCACTTAAATCATTCATACTGTTTCTTAATTGACTGTTAAATGTTGCTTCTACTCTCCTCAAGCAAGTGTTCTCACCAAAAGGAAAAGAATCTTTAAAAAGTTTATTTCTTCTAGAAATACCTCTTCACCTGCTGCAATCAAACACAACATTGCTAAACAGCTTTCCTTGCTTAGCTAACACACTGCTATACAAAACATTCACATATATACACACCTACAATGCAATCTTATACACAAATGAACTCATTATTAACTAGAAGTCATAGACCAATACCTACCTAAGTCATTTTCTCACAGATTATTCTCAAAGGTTCACTTTCTTTAGCCACACAGGATGGTGCTATATCAAGATCCTCACATCCTACTTGAGACTGAAGAATTTCTGCCCTGAAATTATCATCCTGTGGTAAGGAAGGCCACCAGCAAGAACAGAGCTGGTGGACTGCCCTGGGCCAGTCTCTGGAAGACTTTGATCAAGCCTTGCTCTTCACAGGCACTGAGAGCAATCTTTGAAACCTGAGTCCAAACAGAAGAATAGGTCTCTAGGTGCTGCTCAAGAGTCAGCCAGACACTCTTAACTTGTTGCATAGCACTCTGACCCCTGAGATGGCAATATCATACATCGGAGTGGCTGTGAAATGGAACATGGGGGTTGAACATAATAAATGTAAGTTTCTTGGAGGTCACTTCTGAGCAGCAGATGAAAATTGTAGTAGTCCATTCTCACACTGCTGAGACTGGGTAATTTATAAAGGAAAGAAGTTTAATTGACTCACAGTTTTGCAAGGGAGGTCTCAGGAAACTTACAATCATGGTGGAAGGGGAATCAAACACGTCCTTCTAATTACATGGTGGCAGGAAAGAGAAGAATGAGAGCCAAGTGAAGAGGGAAGCCCCTATAAGACCATCAGATCTTGGCCAGGCGCGGTGACTCACACCTGTAATCCCAGCACTTTGGGAGGCCGAGGCAGGCAAATCACTTCAGGTCAGGAGTTTGAGACCAGCATGGCCAACATGGTGGAACTCTGTCTCTACTAAAAATACAAAAATGAGCCGGGCATGGTGGCACAACCCTGTAGTCCCAGCTACTCAGGAGGCTGAGGCGGGAGAATCGCTTGAACCCAGGAGGCAGAGGCTGCAGTGAGCTGAGATCATGCCACTGCACTCTAGCCTGGGTGACAGAGCAAGACACTGTCTCAAAAAAATAAATAAACATTTTTAAAAATAATAAAACCACCAGATCTTGTGAGAACTTATTATTATGAGAATAGCATGGGCGAAACTGCCCCCATGATTCAATCATCTCCCACTGGATACCTCTCACCACACATGGGGATTATGGGAACTACAATTCAAGATGAAATGTGGGTGCGGACACAGCCAAACCATATAAAAAAATTATAGGTAATAGGTAACTAAGTTATTAAATATTTAGAAATTTTGAAAACAGCTATGCACTATCTTCCCAGAAACCTGCACATATAACAGAAAGTTATTCATGAGCTTCCTAGGGGTCTCTCCTGAGCAAAAGTTCTTGACAATTTTGCATCATTAGAGTAGCAATCATTTTGAAAATGTGACAAAAACCATGAATCTTCATGCCAGAAGTATGCGCACACCCACCTACAGCCATAAATTTGAATATCTCAGGCAGCTAATGAATTCCCTGTAGCTCATTTATGGGACTCAAGTTAGCAGTGGGCTGCAGGTGGTTCTGAATGTTTATTGCCTAGTTACCTGACACTAAAAACTGTGCTCAAGAGGGCAGAGTAAGGGGCTCCACAATGCAGAGGAGCCTAAACTGATAAAGAAGCAAGCAGCTATTTATCCTGGCAACACTCCCTAAGTTCCCTCCATCTATGTGGTTACACAGCTGGGTTGTCTGTCACTCTGTCAGGTCACATATGGTTGATAATAGTTAGACACTTATTCACTTAGTCAACTAGACAGGCAGCTAAGATACAGTATCATTCTTTCAAACAACAGACAGGAAAGAAAAAGGTGTGCTGGGTGAGTGCTGAAGCGTGAAAATGCTCCTCATCTGCAGAGTCACCACACGCAGCAGTGTGGAAACCCTGCGGAAACAGGCTGCCTATGTGCCTGTAGTGACATAAGGAGCCTAAAGAAGGAGGTGAGCAGGAAATCTAATTCCTCCAGGGTCTCCAGGTGATCCTACCATTTGTTGGAACAAAAGTTTAGACACAGGTAAAAAAGATCTATAAAGCAGAGAGGGGGGAAAAAAAGGAGCATTAAAAACATTTAGGGCCCGGAAAACATTCCCTAGTGGGTGATGTGGTACTGGGTGGGGAGTATTCTCTGGACATTGGTCAGCACAGAGGGAAACTAGGAAAGGCCTGAGCCCCATATGGCTAGACTGTGTCTCTGGGTTTCCACAGAAGGAATCTAGGCCAGTGCATTGAATTGGTTATACCTATGGGCACCTGATTGAGACAAAATTAAATGAAATTCTAATCACAATCTTAAAGGATTTCTTAAGAGGGGCTTAGAATTCTAAACATTGTAAGGAAAAATCAAAATTATCAAAACAAGTACAAGAATGGTTTGGTAAAAGCAAAAAGATACCAGAAACATGACAAAAGGACACAGGAACAATTTAAATGCCCCACAGGCTTCGTCTCAGATGATTTGAGAATAAAAAACAAACAACCATACTAGCTAAGCATTATAACCCACTGAATACAGAAAGCTGAATCTATACAGACATAAATAAAAATAAATAATAAATGCTGGAAAAAAGAAAACTATTTTCTATACCATGATAAACACGTGAGGAATAATGGAACTAAAAATAACAGGTTTTGCGACTGTGGTAATAAGTGACTTGGGCAATGATCAGGAGTAAACACTAAAAGTAATGAGTAGTGACTTGAGGATTGAGAGGATACATGCATAGCCTGAACATATCTCCTCACAAGATTTTTCTTCTAATTTTGTTAGATACAAGGTCTTGCTTTGTCACCCAGACTAGACTGCAGTGCCGCCATCATAGCTCACTGCATCCTCGAACTCCTGAGCTCAAGCGCCTGTAATCCCAGCTACTCAGGAGGCTGAGGCAGGAAAATTGCTTGAACCTGGGAGGCAGAGGTTGTAGTGAGCTGAGATCGGCCACTGCACTCCAGCCTGGGTGACAGAGGGAGACTGTCTCAAAAAAAAAAAAAAAGAAAAGAAAAAAGAAAAGAAATCTCAACACTTCTGTTACTTATGCTGTATGTCTACAAAAGGTAGATAACCTAAATGTAATCACAAGGCAACATCAGACAAATCCTGTCATTTACCAGATGAGTAATGAAGAGTTGTGGGCAATAGCTAATGATCAGTCAGGATGTTGTCAGGGGTTTCTCCCATGAGGCTTTTGATATCGTTTGGGCGTCTGCCTCCTTCAAATCTCATGTTGAAATTTGATCCCCAATGTTGGAGGTGGGGTCTAGTGGGAGGTGTCTGGGTCATGGGGGTGGATCCCTCGTGATCAACTTGATGAGTGAGTTCTCACTCTATTAGGCTGCACAAGATCTGATTGTCAAAAAGATCCCGGCACCTCCCTTCTCTCTCTCTTTCCTCGTCTTTCCAAGTGAAGCCTGCTACCCCTCTTCCCCTTCTGTCATGGGTGGAAGCAACCTGAGTCCCTCACCAGAAGAAGATGCTGGTGCCATGCTTCTTGTACAGCCTGCAGAACCATGAGTCAAATCAACCTTTTATCTTTATAAATTACCCGGCCTCAGGTATTCCTTTATAGCAATGCAAATGGACTAAGACACATATCAACTTCACGCTTTTCAAGGAAGTCATATTCTTAGCTTGTATCAGCTGAGGGATGTCTAGGATATGTCAGTAACAAGTAGACCCAAACCTATAACAGCTCAGCAGAGAACAAGTTTGTTTATTCCTCATAAAAGGCTGCCAGAGAAGTAAGATGAGGAAACTGTTCCACACAGTGATTCTTGAACCTTGGCTCCTTCCATGTGGTATTTTTCATCTCTAGTATAGGAACAAGGAGAGCAAAAAAACATATAGAATGAAGATATCTCTCATAGGACTTGTTTTACCACTGAAATCCACATTCCACTACCCCATATAGATGGAAGAGTGGTTGTTGGCCTAGGGACAAAAGGAAATAGTTCTTGGTGAACACACAAGAATATGCAAACACGCAAGTAGGTGCCATAGGGGTCTCTTTTATTTACTTTATATATATATATATCACATTGTGTGGCTGCATTCTGGAAGAAGGATTTCCCACATCCATTACCTTCATATGATTTATTTGGTCTGGTTGATATACTATGAGGTCTCTACTGCTGCATACATTTTCTTTGAGATGGAGTCTTGCTGTGTCACCCAGGCTGGAGTGCAGTGGCACAATCTCAGCTCACTGCAACCTCTGTCTCCTGGGCTCAAGCAATTCTTCCTGCCTCAGCCTCTTGAGTAGCTGGGATTACAGGCACCCACCACCAAACCTGGCTAATTTTTGTATTTTTAATAGAGACGGGATTTCACCATGTTGGCCAGGCTGGTCTTGAACTCCTGACCTCAGGTAAACCACCCGCCTCAGCCTCCCAAAGCACTGGGATTACAGGCACGAGCCACTGCACCCAGCCTGTATACATTTTCTGTTGCACTGAGAAAGGTGGGTTTGAGCTGAGATTACCATACATTTATTACATCCTAGGTTTTCTCCATCGTTTAAATTCTCTGCTCAATGACGTTCAATCAAGGACAGAAAGCATCCATCTTTTCATTTCTTTCTCAGGATTCCTCCATAGTGTAAGTTTATAAGGGTTTAGTTCACATAGGATATTTTCTATATTCATTACCTTCATAGCGTTTCTTTCCTGGGTGAATTATCTGACTCCAATACGGACTAAGCTTATACTTAGTGGCTACAAGACTATCCACATGCAATACATTTCAAGGCTTTCCCTCCAGTGAAAGTTCTCTTATGTTGGCTGGGCATAGTGGCTCACACCTGTAATCCCAACACTTAGTGAGGCTGAGGTAGGAGGATCCCTTGATCCCAGGAGTTTGAGACCAGCCTGGGCAACATAGTGAGACGCTAAGAAAAACATTTTTTAAAAATTACCCAGGCATGGTGGTATGCACCTGAAACCCCAGCTGCTCAGGAGACTGAGGCAGGAGGATCACTTGAGCCTCAAAGGTTGAGGCTACAGTGAGCCATGATTGCATCACTGCACTGCAGCCTGGAAGAAGAGCAAGACGCTGTCTCAAAACAAAAAGTTACATGTTTAGTGAGAAACTTCCACGTTCATTTGGTAAATAGGTTTTCATCCCCTGTCTGAGTTCTCCAGTCTTTTCTTAGCTCTGACTTGTGGCTGAAAGTTGTCCTACATTCATCACCTTTATAGAATTCCTCCCATGAGTTCTCTGATGTTCTTGGAAGTGTGATTTCTGCCTAAAAGTACTCCAAGATCCATGACACCGGCAGGCCCATTCACATGTGTGAGTTCTCTGATACAGTGCAAGGTTTAATGTGTGGCTGAAAGCTTTTCCACACTCATTATGTTTATAAATTTAATCCCAGTGAGTTTTCTGATACTTTTCATGTTTTTACTTCTGGTAGAAATCTTCCCTACTACATCATATTTATAGGATTTCTTCATTGTGGGATTTATCTGATGGCTTTTTACAACTGAAAACTCTTTGAAAAATTTCCCACATTGATCACATTTATAGGATTTCTGATCTTTGTGAGTTCTCTGATGCACTCTAAGGCCTGATTTCTAGTTGAAAGCTTTACCACATTCATTATTCAGAGGGTTTCTTCCCTGTGTGAATTCTCTGATGTATAAGGTTTGACTTCCTACAGAAAGACTTCCCACATTCAGTACATTCAAAGGGTCCTCCTCTGAGTGTGTTCTCTGATGTACTCTAAGAGATTATTTTCAGGGAAAATTGTCCCACATTCATTACATTCATAGGTTTTCTCAACTTTGTGACTTATTTGATGTATAAGGAATGATCTCCTAGAGAAGAATTTTTGACACTGAAGATACAAATAGGACTTCTCCTTTATGTGAGTTCTCTGATGTATATTGAAGGTCGACTGAGAACTGAGTTTCCCTGCATGTGTTATTATGACAGGATGTCTTCAATGTGTAAGTTTTCTGATGATGTACTGTAAGGGCTTAAATGTGGCTGACGTTTTTCCCAAACTCAAAACGTTTCACCCCTGTGAGAGCTCTCTGATATTCTCTGAAGAGTACTTTTCAACTGAAAGTTGAAAAGAAAAAAAAGAAAGGAAGAATTCTTTGTATTGATCTATCATGTAAAAATTCTGGTGTATACCTGACTGTCACCCTGCTGCTAGCCATACTTCATTAACAAATTAAACAAAAATTAAAGAAAAGAAAAGAAATAATTAAAAAATCAAGTAAGGGTCAGAAAAACAACACAGGAAGCTGGGCACGGTGGCTCATGCCTGTAATCCCAGCATTCTGGGAGGCCAAGTTTTTTTTTTTAATGATAGTGTTGGGGCTCAGAAAATGATACCCCAAAGGACTGAGCAGCAGCCTCAGAATCAAAATTTCTCTTTCTCTTGCCCTGTGTTTCTTCCCCATCATTCTCCTCCAAGGCAAGCCACAGAAACTCGAATTCCTCTTCCCCAAGGCAAGTCATAGAAACTATTAATGCAACCCTTTTCCACAGAGCTAGCCATAAAACCTAAATATATTACTCTAATTTTCCCCCATTTCTGTGTAAGACCTGGCTATGAAGAAAATCTCTCATCTACCTTGTTTGATAATAGGTCATAAACCCTCCATTCCAGAAAGGATACTACTCATACCTGGGAGAAATTAAATGCCATTCAGAGAGGCCAAGAAGAATCTGAACCACACAGGCCTGCTGGGTTTCCTCACTCAGTCTATTAACACTGGCTTATAACCATTTTTGTCCAGTCACACTTCTACATGGCTGTCCCTGCTTCATTGAACCCAAGCATAAAACCAGATCATTTCCCCTGTACCTCTGAGTCCTCATTCTGAAGGCTCCCATGTCACGTAAAACTATGACCAAATAAATTATATTTTTCTCTTTTTAACCCATCTTTTATTATGGAGTGTCAGCCATGACTCTTATGAGGAGGGGAAAGGCATCACACCTTTCTGTCCCAAAAATAGTAAGGAAATTATGAACAATTTCATACCATTAAACCTAAATAATTCAGATGAAACTGAAAAATTCCTTGAAAAACACAAATTACCAAACCTCATTTAAAAAATAGATAATATTCAAAAGTTTACTCAAAATAGACCAAATACCTAAAGGTAAGAGCTAAAAGTATAAAATTCTTGGAAGAAAGCAGGAAAAAATCTTCATGACGTTAGATTTGGCAGTGATTTCCTGGATATGAAGCCAAAAAGAAGCGGCAACAAAAGAAAAATAGATAAGTTGGACTTTGTCAAAATTAGAAACTTCTGCTGGGCCCAGTGGCACATGCGTGTACTCCCAGCTGCTCAGGAAGCTGAGGCAGGAGGATCGCTTGAGCCCAGGAGTCTGAGGCTAAGGTGCACAGTGATCGTGCCTGTGAATAGCTAGTGCACTCCAGCCTGGGCAACAAAGTGAGACTCTGTCAGACAGGAGAGGGGAGGGGAGGGGAGGGGAGGCGAGGGGAGGGGAGACTCTGTCAAAGAGGAGGGGAGGGGAGGGAAGGGGAGGCGAGGGGAGGAGAGACTGTCAAAGAGGAGGGGAGGGGAAGGGAGAGGAGGGGAGAGGAAGGGAAGGGAAGGGAGGGGAGGGGAGGGGAGGGGAGGGGAAAAGAAACTTCAGTACACTATTGAACAGTGAAGAGGTAACCTATAGGATAAAAAAATTGCAAATCATATCTGATAAGGGATTAATATTCACAAGATATGAAGAACTCCTACAACTCAACAACAAAGAACAAACAACTCAATTCAAAAAGGTAAGAGTCTTCTCCAAAGATATACAAATGGCCAGTAACACAGGAAAAGATGCTCAACATCACTAATAACTAGGGAAATGCAAATCAAAACCACAATGAGATACCACTTCATACTTACTGGATAACTGTTATCAAAATATCAGAAAAAAGGTATCGGTGAAAACACGGAGAAATTGAACCCTTATGCATGGTACGTGATGGCAGGAATATAAAATGATACCGCCATTGTGGATAACAGAATGGTGATCCCTCAAAATTAAAAAGCATTGAATTGTCTGGGTTTGGTAGCTCATGCCTGTAATCCCAGCACTTTGGGAGGCCAAGGTGGGTAGATCACCTGAGGTCAGGAGTTCAAGATCAGCCTGGCCAACATGGCAAAACCCAGTCTCTACTAAAAATACAAATATTAGCTGGGTGTGGTGGCGGGCGCCTGTAATCCCAGCTACTCAGGAGACTGAGGCAGGAGAATCACTTGCACCCCGGGAGGCAGAGGTTGCAGTGAGCCAAGATCACGCCACTGCACTCCAGCCTGGGTGACAGAGGGAGACTCCTTCTCAGGGGGAAAAAAAAATGCAATGAATTGCTATCACTTCTGAATATATACACAAAAGAAATCAGGCACATGAACAGATACTCGTACAACAATGTTCATAGCAGCGTTATTCACAATACCCAAAAGGTGGTATCAACCCAAGCATCAACCAATGGATGAGTGGATACACAAAATGTGGTACAAACATACAATGTAGTATTTTTCAGCCTCAAAAAGGAAGAAAATTCTGACACATGCTAAACACGGTTGAATTTTAAAGACATTATGCTAAGTGGAATAAGCCAGACACAAAAGGATAGGTATTGTATGATTCCAATTATATGTGATACATAAAGTAGTCAAATTCATAGAGACAGAAAGTAGAACCAGTGGTTAACAGGGGCTGGGGAAAAGGAGGAATGGGGAGTTAGTGTTTAACGGGTAGTTTCAGTTGGAGAACATGAAAAAGTTCTGGAGCTACATGGGAGTGGTGGCTGTATAACAGTAGAAATGTAGCTAATGCCACAAAACTGTAGAGTTAAAATGGTAAATTTCAGGCCAGACACAGTGGCTCACACCTGTAATCCCACTTTGGGAGGTCGAGATGGGAGGATTCCTTGAGCTCAGCAGTTCGAGACCAGCTTGGGCAACATAGGGAGACCCCACCTTTATAAAAAAGAATAAATTGGCCGGGCGCAGTGGCTCATGCCTGTAATCCCAGCACTTTGGGAGGCCGAGGCGGGTGGATCATGAGGTCAGGAGATCGAGACCATCCTGGCTAACACAGTGAAACCCGTCTCTACTAAAAATACAAAAAAAATTAGCCGGGCGTGGTGGCGGGTACCTGTAGTCCCAGCTACTCAGGAGGCTGAGACGGAAGAATGGCGTGAACCCGGGAGGTGGAGCTTGCAGTGAGCCGAGATCGCGCCACTGCAGTCCAGCCTGGGCGACAAGAGCGAGACTCCATCTCAAAATAAATAAATAAATAAATAAAAATAAATTAAAAACTTAGCCAAGTATATTGGCACATGCCTGTAGTCCCAGCTACTCAGGAGCCCGAGGTGGGGGAAGATTACTTGAGCCCGGGAGTTCAATTCTGTAGTGAGTCATGGTTATGCCACTTCACTCCAACCCAGGCAACAGAGCAAGACCCCATCTTGAAGGGAAAAAAAAATGGTAAATTTTGTTATGTATATTTTACTATAATAAAAAAAGAGATAACCGGATGGGTGCAGTGGCTCATGCCTGTAATCCTAGCACTTTGGAAGGCTGAGGCGGGAGGATCACTTGAACATGGGATGTTGAGGTTGCAGTGAGCCATGATCACACCATTACAATCACACTCCAGCCTGGGCAACAGAGCCAGAACCTGTCTCAAAAAAAAAAAAGACAACCCAAATAGTATTATAACTAATAAAGAAATTATACTTTTTTTTTTAAGACAGGGTCTTGTTGTGTTACTCAGGCTGGAGTGCAATGGTACAATCTCAGCTCGCTGCAAACTCTGCTATCTGTGATCAAGCGATCCTCCCACCTCAGCCTCTTGAGTAGCTTGGATTATAGATGTCTGCCACCATGCCCAACTAATTTTTGTATTTTTAGTAGACAAAGGGTTTTGCCATGTTGCCCAGGCTGGTCTTGAACTCCTGGACTCAAGCAATCCACATGCCTTGGCCTCCCAAAGTGCTGGGATTACAGGCATGAGCCACCGTGCCCAGCCAAGAAACCACACTTTAAATAAAAACTCTCCCACAAAGAAAACTGTAGGTCCAGAATGATTCTGGGGTGAATTCTACCAAACATGTAAGGAAGAAATATATCAATCCTATCCAATTTCTTCTAGAAAATAGTACAAATGGTCAAACTCATTTTACAAACCAGGCATTGCAACAAGAGAGCAAATCAATAAGAAGACAAGGCAAGAAAATCTACAAATATCCTTTATAAATATAGGTGCAAAAGTCCTTAAAATGCTAGTGAGCCATATCCAGCAACATAAAAATAATATAGCACAAACAAGTGAGGTTCATCCCAGGAACTCAAGGTTAGCTGAACGTTCAAAAAACCAATGTAATTCACAATATTAGCTGAATAAAAAAGAAAAACCATATGATTATCTCAGTAGAATCAGAAAAAATATTTGACAAAATTCAATGATGATATTTATCAAAGAATGAAAACAAGATTTCAGCAGACTAGGGAATTTCCACAAACTGATCAGTAGAATCATAAAACATATACAATTAACTTAGTTCACTATATCACAGTGCAGTTTGAATGTTTTCCCTCCAAGATTAGAAACAAGACATGGGGGTGGGCACATTGGCCCATGCCTGTAATCCCAGCACTTTGCGAGGCTGAGGCAGATGGATTACTTGAGGTCAGGAGTTCAAGACCAGCCTGGTCAACATGGCAAAACTCCATCTCTACTAAAAATACAAAATTAGCCAGGCATGGTGGTGGTGCCTGTAATCCCAGCTACTCCAGAGGCTGAGGCAGGAGAATCACTTGAACCAGGAGGCGGAGGTTGCAGTGGCCAAGATTGCACCACTGTACTCCAGCCTGAGCAACACAGTGAGACTCTGTTTCAAAAAAAAAACAAAAACAAAAACAAAAGAAACAAGACATGGATGTCCTCTGTCACCACTTGTAGTCAAAGTTATATTGGTAGTCCTAGCCAATTATTAAAGAAAAAAAAAAAGACATACAGTTGGGAAAGGAAGAAGTAAATATATCTTTATGTATAGATAATTGTGGGCACAAAACATTCTAGGGAACCTCCAAAATATTTACTAGAATAAATAAAATTAGCAAAGTTATAATGAAACATAATGTGGCCAGGCATGGTGGCTCACGCCTGTAATCCCAGCACTTTGGGAGGCCGAGGTGGGTGGACCACCTGAGGTAGGGAGTTTGAGAACAGCCTGGCCAGCATGGTGAAACCCTGTCTCTACTAAACTACAAAAATTAGCTGGGCATGGTGGTGTATGCCTGTAATCCCAGCTACTTGGGAGGCTGAGTCAGGAGAATGGCTTGAACCCAGGAGGCGGAGGTTGCAGTGAGCCGAGATCACACCATAGTCTAGCCTGGGAGACACAGCAAGACTCCGCCTCAAAACAAAATTAAAATTAAACAAAACATAATGTAATATACATAAATCATCTGGAGTTCTACAAACATCCAACAAATAATTAAAAATTAAAATGGTAAAATGCATATTATTTATAATATCAAAATCATGAAACACACGTAACAAAATATGTATAAAACGTATACTGGGCTGGGCACAGTGGCTCACGGCTGTAATCCCAGCACTTTGGGAGGCCGAGGCAGGCCGATAACCTGAGGTCACGAGTTGGAGACCATCCTGGCCAACATGGTGAAACCCCGTCTCTACTAAAAATACAAAAATTAGGCGGGCATGGTGGCCCACACCTCTAATCCCAGGTACTCGGGAGGCCGAGATAGGAGAATCGCTTGAACCCGGGAGTCAGAGGTTGCAGTGAGTGGAGATCACGCCATTGCACTCCAGCCTGGGCGACAGAGGGAGACTTCGTCTCAAAAAAAAAAAAAAAAAAAAAAAGTATACTGAAGGCTACGAATCATTGCAAAAAAAAAAAAAATTAAAGACCTAAATAAAAGGAGGCAAAGGATACCTTAATGGATCAGAAGACTTAATATTGTTAAGATGAAAATCCTCCCTCAGACTACCTCAGACTATTATTAAAATTCAAGACAGCTGGGCACCGTGGCTCATGCCTGTAATCCCAGCACTTTGGGAGGCCAAGGCAAACCAATAGCTTGAGGTCAGGAGTTCAAGACCAGCCTGGTCAACATGGGGAAACCCCATCTCTAATAAAAGTACAAAAAAAGTAGCCAAGCGTGGTGGTACACGCCTGTAATCCCAGCTACTTGGAAGGCTGAGACATGAGAATCGCTTGAACCTAGGAGGCAGAGGTTGCAGGGAGGCGGAGATTGCAGTGAACCAAGATCAAGCCACTGCACTCCAGCCTAGGCAACAAAGCAAGCCTCCATCTCAAAAAAAAAAAAAAAAAAAAAAAAGATTCAAGACAATCTCAACCAGGATTTCAACAAGTTTTTGAGGAAATTAACAATTCTAAAATTTATGTGGAACAACAAAGAATGGTATAATAATCAAAAGAATTTTTAAATGAAGAGCATACTTAAAAGACCAAAACATTCAATAACTTTCCACAAAGCTACGTCGTAAGAAAGATGAGTTACAGACATACAAATCCATTAAACAGAATAGAGTCCAGATATAGAACTACCGACATATGGTCAATTTGTTTTTTACAAAGGTGCCATGGCAGTCCAATGGGAAAATAATAATCCTTCCGGCAAATGGTGCCAATATAATTGGACATCAAGATGTAAAAAAATAACCAAAATTTTATTTCACACTATATAGAAAAATTAACTGTAAATGAACCATAGGCCTACATGTAAAACCTAAAATTTCTTCAGGAAAACATAGGATAAAATCTCAGTGGCCTTGGACAAGGCAAAAATTTATTTAAAAGGACACACAAACCATGAAATAGAAAATAAAAAACAATGACATATTTAAAAACAAATGAAAAACTTTGCTCTTCCGAGACACTATTAAGAAAATAAAGGCCAGGGACAGTGGCTCATGCCTATAATCCCAACACTGGGAGGCTGAGACAGGAGGATCTCTTGAGCCCAGTAGTTCAAGGCTGCAGTGAGCCTTGATCACACCATTGCACTCCAACCTGAGTGACAAAGTGAGACCCTGTTTCAACAACAAAAAAAAAAAAAAAAAAGAAAAGAAAAGAAAGAAAAGAGCAAGCAACCCACGGGGAGAAAACACTAGCAAAATCTTTATCTGATAATGGGCTTGTATCTAGATTATATAAAGAATTCTTTCAACTCAACAAGACAAAAAAAGGGGCTAAATATTTTAACACACTTCTAAAAGTGTGAAACATGAAAAGATGCTCCCCTTCATTAATCATCAGGAAAATACAAATTAAAACCCAATGACACCCACTATAATGTTTCTTTTTTTAAGACAATACAAAATGTTGGTGAGGATGTGGTGCAACTAGAACTATCATACATTGCTAACACACAAGCAAACTGGCAGAGCAACACTGGAAACGCTGGCAGTTTCTGACAGTGTTACACATACACTTACCCATAAGACGGATAATACCTTACTCCTAGGTATTTACACAAGACAAATGAAAACAAATGTCAACACAAAGACTTGTACTCAAGTGGCCATAGCAGCTCTACTCATAATACCCCAAAGGGGACAAAACTTACATGCCCGTCAACTGGTAATGCATAACAAATTGTGGTATATGCATGCAAAGGAACACTACTCAGGAATGAGAAGAATGATATACAAAAAACACATATGAATCTCAAAAGCATTATGCTAAGTGGAAGCAGGAAGAAAAAAGTGTAAATATAATGTATATAAAATTTCTAAGGCAAAACTATTGTGAAAGAAAACAGATCACTGATTGTGAGGGGCTGAGAGGGCGAATGACTGCAAAGGGCTACAAGGAAATCTTTCGGGGTGACGGAAATATTTTGCCATGATTTTGGTAGTGGTAATCACCTATATACATTTCTGAAATTCATCAAATTGTACACTGAAACTTAATAACTTTTATTTTCTGTTAGTCACACCTCAATACAAGTGATTTAAAAATTAAAAGGGAGGGCCGGGTACAGTGGCTCACACTGGTAATCCCAGCACTTTGGGAGGCTGAGGCTGGTGGATCACAAGGTCAGGAGTTCCAGACCAGCCTGGTCAACATGGTGAAACACCATCCCTACTAAAAATACAAAAACTAGCCAGGTGCGGTGGCACGCACCTGTAGTCCCAGCTACTCAGGAGGCTGAGGCAGGAGAATTGCTTGAACCCGGGAGGCGGAGGTTGCAGTGAGCCGAGATCGTGCCACTGCACTCCAGCCTGGGCGACAGAGCGAGACTCTGTCTCAAAAAAGTATATATACAAAAATACAAAAATTAGCTGGGCATGGTGGCGGCCACCTGTAATTCCAGCTACTAGGGAGGCTGAGGCAGGAGAATCACTTGAACCCAGGAGGTGGAGGTTGCAGTGAGCCAAGATTGCACCATTGCACTCCAGCCTGGGCAACAAGAGCAAAACTCTTGTCTCAAAAAAATAAATAAATACATAAAAAGGAGGTGAGAAAGAGAGGAGAAACATAACTGCACTCTGGAGGGAACCCCATGGTAAGCTGTGCTCACCCACTGAGACGAGGTGGCTGTAATTCTCCAGCACCACGTCTCTGTACAGGGTCCTCTCAACAAGGCCCAGGTGCTGCCACTCCTCCTGGGTGAATTCCACAGTCACATCCTGGAATGACTGACGCCTGTAACAGCACATTTCTATACTTGATCTTAGCCAAAAGGCCAAGAAGTGATACAACAGCACATTTCTAATTAATCTGAAGGGTTTAGAAACTGTACTGTGGAAAATGCCTTTGAAAACAAATTTGTATTGTGTTTATTGTTGAGAGTTTAAATGTTATAAAGTACCCTATTATGGCTCTGCCATTGTCTTATGCTTTGGGGTACTCATATAATTGGTACAAATATTATTCTCATGCCCTAATGCATGTATATTTATTTATAAATTATATACATAGACTGTCAGCTAATATACTATGGATAAGATTTAGTGTCTCTGTTTTAGATAAAGTTATTTTAGTTAGGCTTTCTGCCATCTTTCCTACACCTTAGTGGACCATCCTGAGAACTCTCTAGGATATAAAAACCTCATCACAGTTCTCTGCTAGGTTAAGAGGGAACCAACAAAGGATGCATGTAAGCCCTGGAAGTATTACACATGATCAAACTTGTCTTTCAGAAGCAATATTCCAGAAGAGTGGGAATGTCTTAAGGAGCAAAACAGATGAGAACAATCTAACAGATGACCTACATAGAGGTAAAGCAATGAGGTTCAGACTGGGAAGCTAATCCCTGTGAGAGAAGGGAACAACATTTTTCATTATCATTTTTGTGTGCAATTGTACATAGGCTGCATGAGCAAATGGTTAGATGATGATGCTATATACTAAGATAAAAAGAACAAGAAAAAGGAAATGGGTATTTAACATCTGTGAAGATACAGGTGGAATTATATACCGCACCATTGGTTACATGATTTTGGAATACAGAAAGAGGTTTAAAATTGATCCTCAGAGTTAATGCAACCACACACAAAGTCACAGCAAGTTTTGAAGACAGAAAGGTAGACTCTAAAGTTGTAAGCAGCAAAGGACTTAGAATATCCAATACAATTTTGAAAAGGAATAAGCTTGGGAGATTCACATTCTGAATACAAGACTTATTTTAAAGGAATAGTAATCAAGGGGGGCATACTCGCAAAAGGACTGGCACAGATCAACAAAAGAGAATACAGACTCCAGGCCAGGCACAGTGGCTCACACCTATAATCCCAGCACTTTGGGAGGCCTAGGCGGGCAGATCACTTGAGGTCAGGAGTTCAAGACCAGCCTGACCAACATGGTGAAACCCCATCTCTACTAAAAATACAAAAATTAGGTGTGGTGGCAGGTGCCTGTAATCCCAGCTGCTCGGAAGGCTGAGGCAGGAGAATCGTTTCAACCCGGGAGGCGGAGCTTGCAGTGAGCCGAGATCGTGCCAGTGGACTCCAGCCTGGGCAACAGAGGGAGACTCTGTCTCAAAAAAAAAAAAAAAAAAAAAAAAATCCCCAAAAAACAAACAAACAACAACAATGAAAAAAAGAGAATACAGACTCCAGAAACAGAGCCACAAATAATAAAAAGTCAAATGTTTCCAAAAAATGGTGCCAATGCAATTCAATTGAGAACAAATATTAGAACTCTCAGACATAAACAAAAATAAACAACCTTGATATTGCGGGTGAAGGGAGAACTCTGCCTGTACTAGCCCAGGAGAGGGAACAGATAAGGAAAGATTCCCCATTTTGAGGCTGTTTGAGATCACCTGATTTTTTTTTTAATTGTGTTACAAAAAACTAACTTTAAGTTTTAACTGTTTTCAACAGGGAAAATAACACACTCCTCGGGGAAAGGTGAAGGGTTGAGAAGACAGGCCCTGGGTAAAAATTTTTACAACACCTGGAGTTGATAGGCCTACCTAGGAGAGAACACAGGCACTGCCACACCAGCACAGGGGACAGCTGCTGTCTGGGGTCAGCAGACCAGTTCACACGCCACACAAGGTTGCTATAGATCCAAATCATAAAAATCTTCCAGCTCATCATGAAACAAGTCCCACTCATCTTCAGAGTCTGCCAGTTCATCATCCCCACCTGCAGCCAAAAGCATAAGCAACATCTCGCCCACCTCAAGAGGTGACAACCTCTTCATCATTGTCAAAAGGGTTGCTGCTATCTCTTTCCTCAGTGAGTTCTCAGAAGTGGTTCCTTCATTGGACCCAGTTTCTGCTTGATGTTCCCACTTTCTGTCTCTGTGGCTTCTCTGTAAGGCCATCAGGGTACGCATGCTTGTAAAAACAATTCCTTCCAAATGGGCAGCTCCCACGTCCTTCATCAAAATACCTGCAAGCCTTGTTGCTCAATGCCTCCTTGTATTTCTGAATGAGTTTCTGCTTCTCTTCTTTCTCCACCCAGGACTCACTTGGAATGACAAAGTTAGATGTGATCTGGCAATCTAGGCAGGACTTTATAATCTTGCTCTGAAATTGCTTAGCACTGCTCCACTTGCGAATGCACTTGAGACAGTAGGCATGGTTGCAGTTGGAGAGAATCCCGAAGCAGCACTCACTGGGGTTTGCTTTCTCATAGACCACCTCCATGCAGATCCCATACACCACGTCCTTGCTGCGCTGCACAGCAAGTGAGAGCTCCATGTCCTTCTCATGGGCCTCAATGCACAATTTTATATGCTGTGATCTCTGGGCAGCAGCCATGGGATGCAGGACCTGCAGTCCACACATGTCACATGAATCTCCATGGAGAGGCACACAGTTCTCCCCATCTCAGCACTCTCTCACTGCAGCACAGGGGCACAGCTGCTTCTTGGTTTCCACAGCAGTTTTTCTCTTTCTCTGATTCTTCCTTGGTCACTGAGTCCTGCAGAGGTGCTTCAGTGCAGGAAGGCACAGCTGAAAATTTTCAAGAGGGTGGTAAAGGTCCAAACTAATAAGACAGATACATGAACTACAAGGGAACTGAAAATCTAATATAGCCAAAGTAGGGTTGCCCAGGAACAAACTCAATAGCATGCACCCAGTCCTCTGAACCTGCTCCTACAATTGCAAAGTTTGAATTTCTTGACTCAGCTTCACCTGTATTCATTTCAACAAGTGGTCCGACTAACGACAAGAGACTTGAGGAAGCAGCAAGGGATGATATTGTAGTTAGCTCTGTAGCAGCTGCTTCTTCCTGTTTCAATGGCTTGCTATGTTCATATCTGCAGCGGTCTCCATAAATACAGTACCCTCACTGAAAATACTTGCACACTACACCACACGGACTGTCAGAGAGGTCATGGGAGTAGCGACAGTTATCACCTTCCTTACAAACCCCAGCATAAAATACCTGCAGGTGACCTGTTTAATCCAGCTGCCTCCCCTGCTGTCGCTGCCGCCACCCCCTCCGCCCATCCCTGGGGATGGGGTGGTGACCAAGATCAGCTGATTTAGCTGGAATAGGATGGCTGGCTGACTCCACAGGAGAATTTAGAGTGAGAAAGAGAAAATCTGAGTCATCCAAAACATGTGAATTTGCCGTGAATGAGCTTCCACTGTCAGTTGCGTCACACGTAGGCATTGAGGCTACCGATCAGAAAATATAGGAACAGCCTTTCTGCCTTGCAGGCAGGGCTGCTGGCCCTATTCACTCTCTGGCCTTCAGGCAACACCAGAGAGCAGCTCCAGCCAGTTACCATCAATTGCCAGGAGATACTAGAAGCCGGCTGCTGAAAGACTAAAGACAGAATAAACAGGTTTCTCACCTGAACAGAAGGTGGCCATCAGATGCTTCCACATGGACACCGTTTAGTCCCATGGGAGTGTAGCTCCAGCAGGAGACCTAGAGTTGTCTTTGTGCGTAGACACTTGTCCACCAAGGGTCCCAAGTTGGGAAAGGGAAAATAAGAAGGGAGAGTGTTTCCCATAAGGGGAGAGTCCCCCATACAGTCATGCGTGAGTGGCAACTATCTGGGCTGGTGGCACAGGAGTAAAAAGAATTTACCAAGACAGTTGTAGGTAAAGAAAAGCAGATTTATTAGAGAAGGTATGAAAATGCATTGCGAGAAAGCAATGGATTGAATCAGCAAGAGAGAAGCTGACTGCTGGGAGACAAAGACTTGCTGCAGACTTTATAGAATGGAATTTGGGCTGATGGATAACGCAACTGTAGCAGGAAGCTAACTTGCGTTTTTCTGTCTGCTGAGGTGTTTGATGAGAAATTGAAGCATTTGATGATAAGCAGGAAATCTGTCAATTCTATACATTATCTACACAGGAGGGCTATATGTCCTGGGCCATAAGGAGTACAGCAGACTTACAGTTTATCTGCTTTCTATTTTTGTTTCTATGTCCTGGACCAGGAGGAAAGGCAGACCTTATAGCATATCTGCTTTATTTCTTTGCTTTCCCCTGGTCACGCCAGCCACTCCTTTTCCCTAATTAGGACTCCACACTTGATCTATACCTTGTAACAAAAATAACAATGAATTCAAAATGATCACAGAGGGTCAGCCATGGTGGTGGCTCATGCTTATAGTACCAGCATGTTGGGAGGTCAAGATGAGAGAATTGCTTTAGGCCAGGAGATCAAGACCAGCCTGAGCAATGATGTGAGACTCTGTCTCTACAAAAAATTTAAAAATCAGCCAGGCATAGTGGCATGCACCTGTAGTCCTACCCTAGCTACTTGGGAGGCTGAGGGAAGAGGATCACTTTAGCCTAGGAGTCCAAGGCTGCAGTAAGCTATGATCATGCCTGGATGACACAGAGGAAGACCCTGCCCTCTACCAAAAAAAAAAAAAACATAGACATAAATGTAAGACCTGCAACTAAAAAACATGGGAAGAAATCTTTGTGACCTTGGTTTAGGCAAAGATTTCTTATACATGAGCAAAAAAGCATAAGAAAAAAAGGTTAAAGTTTTTGAAAACTTGATTGATTAAACCCTTCTTTTTTAAAGACACTTAAGATATGAAAAGATTGTCTTTCACAGCAACACAGATGGAACTGGAGGCCATTATCTTCAGTGAAATAACTCAGAAAGTCAAATACCACATGCTCTCACTTATTCATGGGAGCTAAACAGTGGGTACACATGCACAGACAAAGTGGAATAACAGGCCCAGTGCAGTGGCTCATGGCTGTAAACCCAGCACTTTGGGAGGCAGAGGTGGGCAGATCACCTGAGGTCAGGGGTTCGAGACCAGCCTGGCCAACATGGTGAAACCCCATCTCTACTAAAAATACAAAAATTAGCTGGGTGTGGTGGCAGGCACCTGTAATCCCAGCTACTCAGGAGGCTGAGGCGGGAGAATCACTTGAACCCAGGAGTCAGAGGTTGTGGTGAGCCGAGATCGCACCACTGTGCTCCAGCCTACACAACAGGAGCGAAACTCCGTCTCAAAAAAAAAAAAAAATGTGGAATATCAGACACTGGAGACTCCAAAAGGTGGGAGAGTGGGAGGGGGTGAGGGTTGAAAAACTACCTATTGGGTACAATGTTCACTCTTCAGGCAATAGTACACTAAAATCCCAGAATTCACCACTACTCAATATACGCACTTAAGAATCCTGCATTTATACCCCCTAAATATATAAAAATAATTTTTAAGTAAAAAAAAAAAAGAATATGAAAAGATAAGCTACATGGTGAGAGGAAAATCCAGGAGCTCTTGACCATTTAGTATTAATAACTGATGTTATTTTCAAAATCTGCACACAAAAATCCCCCCACAAACAACAGGCAATTTTTTTCATATTAAGTTACAGGGAGAAAAACATCAAGGAAAGAAAAAAGGAGGAGAAAAGTGACCCCATTCCTTTTATGAGGCTAATAGAGCCATAACACCAAAAAGGGAAAAGGAAATTATAGGTTCACCTAACTTATGACAAAGACATAAATATCCTAAATATAGTACTGGTAAAGGATCCCACTCAACACACATTCAAAGCAACTCACCATACTCATCAGCATGTCAGATCTATACAGGAGATCAATAATAAATATTAGAAAATCAACAATAAATATTGTGATTAGCATAAGATTAAAGAAAATAATCTGGGCTTTATTTCAATAGAGATAGAAAAGATACTCAACATAACAAAGTACATTCATGCATGACTAAATGAAAGTCTAAGCAAACTAGTAAGTAGAGGGAACCTACTTATCAACAAAGGTTACCTAGCAAGAGCCAGTGTTTGGATGTGTGGTTTGGATATGTGTCCCCACCTAAATCTCCCATTCAATTGTAATCCTCAATGTTGAAGGAGGGGCCTGGCGGGAGGAGGTGACTGGATCATGGAGGCCGATTTCTCATGAATAGTTTAGTAGCATCCTCCTGGTACTAACCTTGTGATAGTGAGTTCTCCCAAGATCTGGTGGTTTAAAAGTATGTGGCACCTCGCCCCTCACTCTCTTGCTCCTGCTCTGGCCCTGTGACATGCCTGCTCCCCCTTCACCTTCTGCCATGATTGTAAGCTTCCTGAGGCCTCCCCAGAAGCGAAGCAGATGTCAGCATCATGCTTCCTGAACAGCCTGCAAAACCATGAGCCAATTAAACCTCTTTTCTTTACCCAATCTTAGGTGTTTCTTTATAGCAATGGGAGAATAGACCAATACACAATGTTCCACACACAATGGGTGGGTTTGATCACTTGGCAGGTGACAGATCAATGAACACAATCAAGGGGGACATAATAAGGGGATTTTATTACTTGGAACAAGTAAAGAGGACATGGGAATGGTTCCCCAAAGCAGTGTCTCCCCAAACAGAGTGAAAACAGGCCTTTTATTGGGCTGGTTAGCTAAGTCATTATATGTAGAGGTAGAGTAAAGGCAGTGCAGGTGCAGTAGCTGATCATGCTTCTACCTTTGTGGCATGTGTAGAAAATGGCCAAAAAGCTCCTCCCTGGGCAGGGTTTTTAGAATGGTAATGAGGAGAGTTCGCCAAAGATCCAACCAGTTTTTTTGTTTTGCAAGGGCTGAGCTTCTTCCTGGAACTTTTTGAAACAACAAGAACTCAAAGTGCAACAGTTACAAGTGGGTTCAAAGTGGGTTCAAAGAGTGTACAGGAAAATCCAGGGAACCTGGGTTACACCAAGAGCAAATATCAGAGTTTATGTTGAAACCACATATATTTTCCCTCAAGACTGGGTTCATCTATTTCTATTTTTATTTCATTTACATACAGACCCTTATAAGCCTCATAAATCCATTACAATGCCAAGTGGAGAATGAATAAAGAGCTGCCTGGGAAATGAATAAAGAGCTTGTGTGAGATTGGCTGGTTTTCTGCAGCTTGTGGGAGAGCATAGAACTGTGATGGCTCAGCAGGGAGGCCCAGGAAGAACTGCAGAGGCAGCACCACCTACCACCTAAGACTCAGAAATGCTCAAGTGGACTAAAACCTACGCTTTTCATCAACGGAATATGCACTTTTCCATGGTTAAATGATACTTCAGTTTTTCTGAATGACTAACAGAAACAACACAACAGAGGATTAATTAAAGTACTTGAAGGATAAGGCACTGTTCTTTTATTAAAATTAACACAGCAAAACACTCAGGCTGCACCACTTAACCGTTTTCCGATTAATACTGCTTGTCTCTCATGGGAGAAAATCCACAGAAAGCCAAGTAAAATGAATATGGAATGCTTTAAGGCAAGAATTTTTAACTAGTTTTAACGGGGTTACAGTTTCTCAAAAGGTCTTTTTATAGGATGTTTTTGGTGACTCACCTGTGACAGTGAACTGAACTGTGTTTTCCTCCCGGCTCTGCACAAACTGGGTGTCCCTGGACAAGGTACTGAACCTCTCAGGCACAATTTCTTTAAGCTTTCAAGAGTCAGAAGTAAATAACCAGGGAAGCCCTTTGTGAGCCATCATCCTGGGATCTTGTGAGGTCAGAATAAAATCCCTGGTGTCATATGCGGGGATGGACCTACGTGGCATTAGTGCAGCATCGGTGAAGAGTGGAAAACCAAGCGACTGGGGATGCTTTAGGAATAGCCCAATTGGATTTCTACCCTCTGCCCGCTTATCCCTTAACCCTCGACCTCACCCTCGCAAGTTCTGCCATGGAATGGCTTTTCCTGGGCAGCCTGCTCCAGGAAGTCCCAGCTCACCTTGCTCTTCTCAAAGCTGTTCCAAATCTCCCACTGTCCCAGAGTGTGGTAGCGTCTGGAGGTGGCCAAATCTTCGAATCTAGCCAAGAGGATCAAGAATTGCTTCTGGCCATGCAAATCTTGGACCTGCTCCTGTTTGCACACTTCTGCCTCTTCTCTGAAGCTCTGGTGAGGGAATTAAGAACAGGATGTTGTTCCCTTCCGGGTAAGATTCCTGTTCCCTGAGCCCCCTGATTCCTACATCACAAGACGGGCTTTGATCTAAGATAATTAGTCTCTCAATATCTAGGAAACAGACCCGCTTAGGGCCACAAACCTGACTCTCTTGGAATTCACTCTATCAGAGTGAAAACACAAACCACCTGCCAGTGCAGGAGGAGCTAGGAGTCTCCCTCTGCCCCAGGGATTCTGAGCAAACACCAGAAATCCCAGAACACACTCGACAAGAGGAAGTTTCACATTCACTTCCCATTTTATCCCTGGGTATTTGCAGACAGGTCACTCTGCTAAGCGCTGTGAAGGCTGCAGTGCTGGTTTTAGGCAGGTGTGATATTAGACAGGGCTGACACGGGAAATAAATCACAGCTGCCCTTGAACCCAGCCTCCCTCACTGCTAGCTTATGACCTGAGTGCACTGCTCCACCAACCTGAGCCTTGGTTGTTATATTTAATGCAGATGGTTATGCCGGCCTCACAGAGTGGTTGGGTGCTTTACATAAGACACCCAGTGAGTAGAAAACAAAGTGTCTTCTAAATACAATACTAGCTGTCACTGAGGCCTTGGGAAGCTGCACTTGGCTACTTGCCTTACAGGTGATGGATTTTCTAACTCTCAGAGCAAAGTCATCTTTTCAAATGAGAAACCTGACCGGCTTCCTTCCCTCGCCCTGACTCACAGGTGCCAGAGCTGGAACTTAGCCAGGGCTCCAGGGCTCCAGAGCTCGGGGGCTCGCCGCGGATCCAAGCACTCTGGCGTCTGGCACGTTCGTTGCCGGCATCAGAAACGCTCTTACCCCTACCGCCGCCAGCATGGGCTTTTCTCTGGTTGGGCTGCAGGGTGGGCCCGGCTCACGCTCCCGCACCCCCGGGACGGCACCAAGCACCTGCCCCTGACACGCGCCCCACCCCACCCGCGCTTCAGGAGCCCGCAAGGGCAGTTGTACAGGCCCGGGCTGGGCTCCAGCGCTGGGGAGTCCCGCCAGATGTTGGGGGGCTCCCGAGACTTCTCGCTCCCTCCTCCCCAGGCACAAGCCGAGCACTCCACGCTGGTCCCCGCCGCGCAGACGCCCCATCACCCCCGCGCTCTCCCCTGGGGCGCGGACCCTCTACATCTGTGGGGAACCAGGAGCCTCTGAGATCCTCTGCACCCCACCGCGCAGGAAGAAGGTAGGGGAAAAGACAGACGGAGCCCAGGAGACGCGTCCGAAACCACATTTCCCGCAGACCTCCGCTCAGCGCCTGAAAGCGACTTCGCAGCCTTTCCGCGTTTTTAGACCGCAGAAGATGTCCGTGACCTTCTCTCCTGCCCAGATTGTTTCAGCGCCCTGGGACCTTAGGGGTTAAAGTTTACCGCCAAATGCAACGCGTGGTCCTCCATCAAATACCCATTAAATAACCACCACCTGCGGAAGACATTGGAGAGGAGAAGGGAGCGTGCACTGGGTTACTCTTAATTGTGAAAATAACGTTACAATCAAGTAGGAAAACGTACTGGTTTTTATCAGGGCTGGTGCAACATCAACACCCATTATGTTGGCTGTGGCTTTGTACGAAAAATTTTTTTAAAGAAAATCACTAACATTAAGCAGATTAATAGAAAAAGCATACAAATTTATGTAACAAGTATACACCGGCGCCTTCAGAATGAAGACCCAAAGCCACAGGGGAAATTGTCAATTTTTATGCTTAGGTTCAACAAAGTAAAGCCGTGCAGAAATATGATTGGACAAAAAGAGTAGGACCTAATGCTAAAAGATGGAGTGGGAAAACCCAGTGAGACCTGTTTGTCGGGGGCAGGGGTATCCAATCTTCTGGTTCCCCTGGGCCACTTTGGAAGAATTGTCTTGGGCAACACATAAAATACACTAACGATAGCTGATCAGCTTTAAAAAAAAAACCTCATGATTTAGGAAAGTTTCCAGACCGGGTGCGGTGGCTCACGCCTGTAATTCCAGCTTTTTGGGAGGCCGAGGCCGGCGGATCACGAGGTCAGGAGATCGAGACCATCCTGGCTAACACGGTGAAACCCCGTCTCTACTAAAAATACAAAAAATTAGCTGGGCCTGGTGGCGGGCGCCTGTAGTCCCAGCTACTCGGGAGGCTGAGGCAGGAGAATGGCGTGAACCGGGAGGCGGAGCTTGCAGTGAGCCGAGTTTCCGAATTTGTGTTGAGCAGCATTCAAAGCTGTCCTGGGGCGCAAGCCGGCTGTAGGTTGGACAGGTTTGGCCTAGAGTTTTCTTGGCCTCTCTAAGCATGCTTCCTTCCTTCTGAATATGGGGCAGGACATTCTCTGGAATAGGGGTCTTATGACCTACAGTCAAACAACATGGGTCAGATAATTTAATTTATTCATGGCCAGTTTTTACATGGAAAGGCAAAAGGAAAATTACAATAACATTTTTCGGTTTTAGGGCTGGCTCTGGGGGAAAGGCATTCTGGATCCTAGTTTCTATGGCTAGCCTTGGGGGAGAATGAGACTAAGATACGGGAGAGTGCAGGAGAAGGTCAGAGGAAAACCTGCTTCTGAGGCCCTCATTTGGGGGTATTGTTTTCTGAGCTGAAATATTTAGGATTGAAGTTATGTCTTTGTAAATTGACTTAATGAATTTTCAGAAAAAGCATTAGACTAAGCAAATAAGGCAAAATGTTGAGTTTTCTTATGTACATTGAGGAAATGCATATACATAGATGCATATTTTACCATTTTCCCAGTGTTTGAAAATGTTGCAATATGAAGTAAAAAGAGATATAGGGGTTCTACCTCCATCAGGGTATCTTATAAATTCAAAGCTACCAAGAGAATTCAAGGTGCGTAGAAATGTTTCTTGGGAATAAGGCTATGAAATGGGAATACAAAACTTGAAATGGAGCACAGCAGTACTGTAAATGAAAAGTATCCATAAGCAGCAGTGTCTGCCTCAAGAAAGAAAAAAAAAACTTTTCAAATATACTTAATACATGAAAATACTCACGATGCAAAATAAGAAAATAGTTATGGGCCCAGCACGGTGGCTCACGCCTGTAATCCCAACACTTTGGGAGGCCAAGGCAGGTGGATCTCTTGAGGCCAAGAGTTCGAGACCAGCCTGGCCATCATGGTGAAACCCCATCTCTACTAAAAGTACAAAAATTAGCTAGGCATGGTGACATGCACCTGTAATCCCAGCTATGCAGAAGGCTGAGGCAGGAGAATTACCTGAACCCAGGAGGTGGAGGTTGCAGTGAGCTGAGATAGCGCCACTGCACTCCAGCCTGAACCACACAGCAAGACTCTGTCTCAGAAAAGAAAAAAAGAAAAGAAAAGAAAATGCTTATGTAGGTGGGGCACGGTGGCTCATGCCTGTAATCTCAACCAATACTTTGGGAGGCTGAGGTGGGAGGGTCTCTTGAGTCCAGAAGCTTGAGCCCAGAAGCTTGAGACCAGCCTGGGCAACACAGTGAGACCCCATCACTAAAAAAATAGAAAAATTAGCCAGGCATAGTGGCACGTGCCTATGGTCCCAGCTACTTGGGAGGTTGAGGCAGGAGGATCACTTGAACCTGGGAGGTTGAGGCTGCAGTGAGCTGGATATTGCCACTGCACTCCAGCCTTGGTGGCAAAGCAAGACCTCATCTCTAAAAAAGAAAATTACTATGCAAATCATTCAGCTCTTGCCCTTATGTGGGCATCCTCTTGTCTTATAACCAAATTAGAGACATGTGGTCATATAACATGAACATTCTTTTTTTTTTTTTTTTTGAGATGAAGTCTTGCTCTGTCACCAGGCTGGAGTGCAGTGGCGCGATCTCGGCGCATTGCAACCTCCGCCTCCTGGGTTCAAGCGATTCTCCTGCCTCAGCCTCCCTAGTAGCTGGGAGTACAGGCACGTGCCACCACACCCGGCTAATTTATTGTACCTTTAGTAGAGACAGGGTTTCACCGTGTTAGCCAGGATAGTCTCGATCTCCTGATCTCGTATCTGCCTGCCTCAGCTTCCCAAAGTGCTAGGATTACAGGTGTGAGCCACCATGCCCAGCAACATTCTTTTACTAAATTACATATGAGCATTTTTTGATACTTCTTTTTTTTTTTGAGATAGTCTTGCTCTGTCGCCCAGGCTGGAGTGCAGTGGTGCCATTTTTTTGTACTTTTAGTAGAGACGGGGTTTCACCGTGTTAGCCAGGATGGTCTCGATCTCCTGACCTTGTGATCCATCTGTCTCGGCCCCCCAAAGTGCTGGGATTACAGGCGTAAGCCACCGCGCCCGGCCTGATAGATACTATTTTATAGCATCAGTTACTTCCTCCATGACATTGATTTTTGAAATTAGATCTTACTAATACTGAGGTGTGGGGACAGAATAAAATCATCAAGAAGTTACATTGCCCTCTCCTCCCCCTCCCCGTCCCCCTCCCTCTCCCACTTTCCATGGTCTCCCTCTGATGCCCAGCAGTGGCTGAACTGTACTGCCGCCATCTCGGCTCACTGCAACCTCCCTGCCTGATTCTCCTGCCTCAGCCTGCCGAGTGCCTGGGATTGCAGACACGCGCCGCCACGCCTGACTGGTTTTTGTATTTTTTGGTGGAGACGGGGTTTCGCTGTGTTGGCCGGGCTGGTCTCCAGCTCCTGACCTCGAGTGATCTGTCAGCCTCAGCCTCCCAAGGTGCCGGGATTGCAGACGGAGACTCGCTCACTCAGTGCTCAATCTTGCCCAGGCTGGAGTGCAGTGGCTGACCTCGGCTCCCTACAACCTCCACCTCCCAGCCGCCTGCCTTGGCCTCCCAAAGTGCCGAGATTGCAGCCTCTGCCCGGCCGCCACCCCGTCTGGGAAGTGAGGAGCGTCTCTGCCTGGCCGCCCATCATCTGGGATGTGAGGAGCCCCTCTGCCCAGCCGCCCAGTCTGGGAAGTGAGGAGCGCCTCTGCCCGGCCGCCATCCCGTCTAGGAAGTGAGGAGCATCTCTGCCCAGCCGCCCATCCTCTGCAATGTGGGGAGCGCCTCTGCCCCGCCGCCCCATCTGGGATGTGAGGAGCGCCTCTGCCCCGCTGCCCCGTCTGGGATGTGAGGAGCACCTCTGCCCAGCCGCGACCCCGTCTGGGAACTGAGGAGTGTCTCTGCCCGACCGCCACCCCGTCTGGGAGGTGAGGAGCATCTCTGCCCGGCCGCCCCGTCTGAGAAGTGAGGAGCCCCTCCGCCCGGCAGCCGCCCCATCTGGGAAGTGAGGAGCCCCTCCGCCCGGCAGCCGCCCCGTCTGGGAAGTGAAGAGCGTCTCTGCCTGGCAGCCGCCCCGTCCGAGGGGGAGGTGGGGGGCAGCCCCCGCCCGGCCGCCCCGTCTGGGAAGTGAGGGGCCCCTCTGCCCGGCCGCCACCCCATCTAGGAGGTGTACCCAGCAGCTCACTGACAACGGGCCATGATGACGATGGCGGTTTTGTCGAATAGAAAAGGGGGAAATGTGGGGAAAAGAGAGAGATCAGATTGTTACTGTGTCTGTGTAGAAAAAAGTAGACATAGGAGACTCCATTTTGTTCTGTACTAAGAAAAATTCTTCTGCCTTGGGATCCTATTGATCTGTGACCTTACCCCCCAACCCTGTGCTCTCTGAAACATGTACTGTGTCCACTCAGGGTTAAATGGATTAAGGGCGGTGCAAGATGTGCTTTGTTTAACAGATGCCTGAAGGCAGCATGCTCGTTAAGAGTCATCACCACCCCTAATCTCAAGTACCCAGGGACACAAACACTGCGGAAGGCCGCAGGGTCCTCTGCCTAGGAAAACCAGAGACCCTTGTTCACATGTTTATCTGCCGACCTTCCCTCCACTATTGTCCTATGACCCTGCCAAATTCCCCTCTCTGAGAAACACCCAAGAATGATCAATAAATACTAAAATAAAATAAAATAAAATAAAATAAAATAAAAAATTTAAAAAAAGTTACATTGGGAACACTGACAAAGATCCTTGGCTTGAGCAAAATTTAGTCAGGTTTCTGAACCTTCTCCTAGGCACATCTGTGCACTTGCTTGTAAAGCCTAATTTTAGCAAGAAGCCCTCCATCCTCCAGATCTGGTTGCCCCAGGTGATGTCTGATCACCCCAGCCTGCCTTCAGCATGAATCCTGTTGGTTCATTTTAGACAGAATTCTCCCTACCCCAAATGTTTCCTCTTAGTAATTTTCCATCCACTTATTCCCACCCTACTCCTTGGCTGTACATTCTCAGTTGTCCATGCTGTATTCAGAACTGAGTTCTAAATCCATTTCTTTTCCTCTATTGCAATAGTCCTGAATAATATCTGCTTTTACTGCTGTAACTACCATCTAGTTCTGGTTTTTCTTTGACAACACAAGCCTAAACCTTTACTCCTGACATTAAGGAGAACTTGAATCCCAGTATTTTTTGTTTTTGCTTTTTGGTTTTTTTTGAGATGGAGTCTCACTCTGTCACCCGGGCTGGAGTGCAGTGGCATCATCTCAGCTCACTGCAACCTCTGCCTTCCGAATCAAGCAATTCTCCTGCCTCAGCCTCCCAAGTAGCTGGGACTACAGGTGCGTGCCACCACTCCCAGCTAATTTTTGTATTTTTAGTAGAGACAGGGTTTCACCACGTTGGCCACAAAGGTCTCAAACTCCTGACCTTGTGATCCACCCGCCTTGGCCTCCCAAAGTGCTGGGATTACAGGCGTGAGCCACCGTGCCCAGCCTGAATCCCAGTTTTCTACATGAGAATACTAAAAATTCCTTGCCAAAATTCCAATTTGAATCTCAAAATGTTGTCAGATTGTTTCCTTTTTGACATTTCGTTTTATTTTTGACCTAAAAGAACTATCCCAAACATCATTAGGACAAAAATAAACCTAATATAATAATCAGATGTGAAAGCTGATCATTCAAATTGAGTCACTGTTGTCAGACCCAACTAAAACAGTGTCCAGAAGTCTGAGGGAAGGGGGGACATTCTGGACCCATAGCATTGCTCCAAAAATGTAATTCTCTGCAAGCCTAGTTGCTGTAACCTAAAACCAGTTTTATCTTGTGAGACAAAGTAGCAAATGTAAGAAGACATGTTTGCTCATTCTACTTGCCAGAAGAATTTCACAAAGCTCCTGATGCTTACTGAGCACAGCCCTCTGGAAGAATGCCCTGAAAACCATAAGCAGAATAGAGCACAGGTTCCCACCACTCTTGCCTGAATCATTACATATTTTAAAAAGATAAATTCAATGATTCTGGGCCTTTCTCTCCCTGTGCATAAAATAATGTCTGACAGAATTCGTGATTATGCCTCTATAATCTATAACCAGATATACCCTTGCACACAAACCTTGATGAGATTTTGCTCTAATGTAATTCCTGAGCATATACAGAGCCACCATCACGTGTATATAAAATGGGCTATAACACTACTCTGGAGTAGGTTCACAGAAACGCTCCAGCTCTCCCAGGTTACAATCCTGAGTAAGACTTCTAAATAGAACTAACTTTGGTTCTTCTCTTTTTTCTTTTTTTCTTTTGAGACGGAGTCTCACTCTGTCACCCGGGCTGGAGTGCAGTGGCACGACCTCAGCTCACTGCAAACTCTGCCTCCCGGGTTCAAGTGATTCTCCTGCCTCAGCCTTCTGAACAGCTGGGATTACAGGTGCACACCACCACACCCGCCTAATTTTTTTTTTTGTATTTTTAGTAGAGACAGCATTTCACCATGTTCGTCAGGCTGGTCTTAAAATGACCTCATGATGGGCCTGCCTCAGCCTCCCAAAGTGCTGGTATTAACTTTAGTTCTTTAAAGGCCTGATATTTTTCTTTTTCTTTTTGAAACCGATCCAATAATCCCATAGACAGTTTCTTGGATAAGCATAGAAATTGACCCTTCTGGCTTGAAACTTCCATTTTTTTAATCTGAGTTCCTTCATGAACTCGGGATGGTCAGGAAATGACCATCAGGCCTCTCAAAAAAAGCGTCAAAGAACCGAAACTCTCCAGATCACCACATGCAGACTGTGAAATGCTGGACCCCTCATTCATCATGATTGCTTCCTTCCCCTGCCTAGTCCCTATTTTCTTACACATTGTTTCATTTCTTCCCTGCTATGTAAGCCCCTAGTGTTAGTCCTCAGGGAGATGGGTTTGAGATTGAGCTCCCATCTCCTTGGCTGCAGCACCTGATTAAAGCCGCCTTCCTTGGCAATACTCGGATCTGTCGCTGGCTTTCTGTGTGCAGCAAGCAGCAGGACCCAGGCTGTACCCTGGTGTTTTGGTAACATTTTCTTTGGTGTTTTTCTGCTTTGTTGGGTTTTTTGTTTTGTTTTGTTTTGTTGTTGTTGTTTGTTTGTTTTTTCTGAGACAGGGTCTCACTCTGTCACCCAGGCTGGAGTGCAGTGACATGAACAACGGCTCACCACAGCTTCGACCTCCTAGGCTCAAGGGATCCTCCTGCCTCAGCTTCCTGGGTAGCTGCAACCACAGGCACACACAAACATGCCTGCTAATTTTTAAATTTTTGTAGAGATGGTCTTGCCATGTTGCCCAGGCTGGTTTTGAACTCCTGGGCTCAAGCAGTCCTCTCACCTCAGCCTCCCAAAGTAATGGGACTACATGCATGAGCCACTAGACACAGCCATGAATTTTTCTTTAGTTAACAAGCAAATGACTACTGAAACAACCCGCTGTGTTGTACCCACTGCCTTCACTTGCCAATCCAAACGTGCCAGCTCCCCAAGACCTAACTAGTTAGTACCAAGGAACTTTCTCCAAGAACAGTAAGTAACATTTCCCTTTTTCATAAAACCTCTAACCTTCTCTTTGTTCTTGAGACATACTGAACACCACCCGGTCTACATGGATGCCCCAAATTGCAATTCTTTCCTCCCAAATAAGATGTTTTAATTTCAGATTCATTTCCATATTTTATTTGACTTCAACACAGAAGTTTCGAAAAGCACAGCAATGTCTGTCACACATTAATACACATGATTGCTAAAACATTAAACAACTTTCCTGGCGCAACACAGGTCCAGAGAGAAAAGAAAGGGAGAAGGTGGCATGTGTCTCAGCTGGCAATGGGAGCAGTGGGAAAGGGAACTTCCAATAGCCTGGTGAGAACCACAGGGCTGCACTGGAGTGGAGTAAGGCCATATACCACAGCGCTTAAGTGAGACAAATAACTTTCAAGATTTAAATGTTCCTAGGGGCTGGGCACAGTGGCTCAGGACTGTAATCCCAGCACTTTGGGAGGCAGAGGCGGGCGGATCACGAGGTCAGGAGATTTAGACCATCCTGGCTAACACGGTGAAACCCCGTCTCTACTAAAAATACAAAAAATTAGCCGGGCGTGTAGTCCCAGCTACTCGGGAGGCTGAGGCAGGAGAATGGCATGAACCCAGAAGGTGGAGCTTGCAGTGAGCAGAGATAGCGCCACTGCACTCCAGCCTGGATGACAGAGCAAGACTCCACCTCAAAAAATAATAATAATAAATAAAAATGTTCCTAGGAAAGTACTATGTTCTTCGAAAAAACATTCATTTTGATTGTGGTAATCATTGCACAGTGCATACATATATCAAATAATCATGTTGTACACTTTGAATAAGAATATATTCAATCTTTGTCAATTAAATATTTTAAAATTAAAAAGCAAATATGTTTTATAAATATAAACATATAAATATCAAACCCTCAGCACCTTTCCTAGGAAACACACATCCCACTCCCCACAACCCAGGATCACAGGACCCCAGAACCCATGTACCAGCTTGACTCTAGAGCCTAGCCTGGTGGTACTAAGAGGGACAGGCAGAGCTGCCCCCAGGCCTGCAACACACTCCACCTCTTCTGAGTCAGGTGCTGCAGTGTAGACGCACAGTGGGCCTTGAGGGAGAGCAGCCCGTGGAGCCTGGGGGCAGCTGGTAGAGAAGAGCTCGCTCCACTGAGGATCCCTTGGGGCATCCTATTGAACATCTATTATGTGTTGTAACTACCCAATGGGTTCATCTTGCCCACTGCCCAGATACAGCTGATTTATCAAGACACGGAAATTGCAATAGAGAGTTTAATACACATAGAGCCAGCTAAATGGGAGATCAGAGTTTTATTTTTACTCAAATCAGCCTCCCCGAAGGCTCAGAGATTAGAGGCTTTCAATGTTACTTTGGTGGGCAGGGGACTAGGGAACGGGTATTGCTGATTGGTTGGGGATCATAGAGGTGTGGAAAACAATCTTCATGTGCTGGGTCCACCTCTGGGTGGGGGCCACAGGACTGGTGGTATCATGAGTCCAGGTGGAGTTCGCTGGTCATCAGAAATGTGAAAGTCTGAAAAGGCATCTCAAAGGCCAACCTAAGGTTCTACAATAGTGATGTTATCTGCAAGTGTAACTGGGGAAGTTACAAATCTTATGACCTCTGGAACAATGGCTTGTTATTGTTTATGCCTAAATTTTAGCAGAATTCAGGCCCTTCTCATAATCCTAGCCTTGTAGGCTTTCATTAGTTTTATAAAGTCAGTTTAGTTTTAGGAAGGGCTACTATCATCCTTGCTTTAAGGTTAAACTATAAACTAAATTTCTCCCACAGTCAGCATGTCCTAGGCCCAGGAAGGACCAAGGGCAGCTTGGAGGTTAGAAGCAAGATGGAGTCAACTATATCAGATTTCTCTTACTGTGATAATTTTGCAAAAGTGGTTTCAGTGTCAGATATAGTTCTGGATACTTGAAAATTGCGTTCTTCAAATCTTCTCAACAACCATCCAAAGTGAATATCATCCTCAGGTGAAGTATGATAAACCCAAAGCTCTTCAGTGTTCATGCGAGCATAACTTATGCCATAATTTTAATTTCAACTCACACCTTCCCACCTCCCAAGTCCATTTTAAGCCCCTGCAATGGCAAGCTATCTACCGAAGATGCAAACTTCAGGTAAAGCTTGGCAGATTGTGAGTAGCTTAGTGTGTTGCCTGTGTGACGCACCAGGGTCAATGTGTAAGAAAGAGCTGGAAATGTAAGTTGAGCCAACCAAGGGTAATGACAGTGCATGTGCATGAGGAGGTATAAGACAAATGCATGAACTGGAATTGGTGATAAAACTTGTGTTTAGGGAAGATTATTTTCACAGCAAAGTGAAAAAAAGATTTAGAGAGAGGAAAAACTAGAGATTAGTGAGGAGGTAACTACAACAATACTGAGGTCTTGGAGTGTAAATTAGTAACAAGAAAAAGGGGTGAGATCCATATGAGGATAGACCTGCAAACTCCTTGAATATGGATATTCATGAAAAAAAAAATGAACAGTGCTACTGTTAACAAATCATGAAAACCAAGAAAATCAGTTTTGGGGACAGTTGTTTTAACTTTTAAGTGTTATAGAACCAAAGTGGGGTCCACTCTCCTGCCACAGTAAAACCACATATCCACACTGAAGTTTGCAGCAATAGAAAGGTGTTTATTGCAGAGCACCAAGCAAGAAGGACCAGGCAGCTAAATGCTCAAATCCTGACCTCCCCAGTGGCTTCCAGACAAAGGATCTCAAAGGCAGGGGTGGATTTCAGGAAAGCAGAAGCTGTAGGCAAAATTGTAAATCAATACATGGAGGTTGCTTTAGGCCTAAAAGGATGGAATATCTTGAAGTGGGGACTTACATGTCATAGGTAGATTCAACGATTTTCTGATTTGCAGATGGTTGAGGAAGAGAAGCTTTGTTTAAAAATTTGGAGTTGGTAGAAAAATGTTAACTGGCTAGGGAGTGTGCCTTTCTCCAAGCCCTTCCGGATGAAATGTTTACACCAAGAAACATTATATATAAGGTCTCAAGATAGTAGAAGGGACTATGAGAGATGAAATGAGAAGATATGGGGTTTTTCTGGATGGGAAGTGGGGGATTACAATAAACTGCTACCCCAAGACAGAGAGCACAGCAAATGAGAGATGATGCAAAGTGGAGTTAATGTGAGAGAAGTCAGGGAGAGCCTCTCCCTCCATCCCTCCATAAGCATCCATGTGGAGCCAGGGGAGTAGCTTGGGGGTCTTTCTTTTCCATGTTTGGGCACTCCACTTTGGGAAATAAGAACAGCAGTTGAAAAGAATAAGGACTTATAACTTTTTTTCCATCCAGAAAATTGGATTAGAAACCAGAAGGTTTGAGTCTTGTCTGGACCCCAGCACTAACTTGCTGTGTGACTTCAGTGAAGTCACTGCACCTCCTTGGGCTGATATTCTTCTTCAGTGAAGCAGGAATAGAATTATTACAGGTGGGATTCTGGATGATAGGAGCCAGTTTGAGGGGCACACACAGCCAGGTGCCAGTATGCACCCCATGCAGAAATGCTCAGGTAAGAGGCCCTTGTGCTGACCTCCACCTCTCACAGACCCTCCCATCCCTCTCTACTTCCCTCGACTTGGGAAACTGAACTCTCGCTTCTTCCTGGAGGTGCTGGAAAGAGAAGAGGGAGGGAGTTACATACTTCCCATTCCTCACCCCCACTGAGATCTCAGGGAGAAATGTATGAGCACCTTTCAATACACTTTCCCAGAGACTGAGAGCACAGTTGTCTGTCCCAGGACACTGCCACTGTGTGTTTTTGTAGGTTTCTGTAAAACTATAAAGGACTATATTCTGTACCAAAGAATGAGACACCTCCACTGCTGTCACTGGAACTTCTTTAATGCTTTGTAGGGAATAAGAAACAACCCTTTTGTCTCACTTTCCTCTTAAGATAGAGTTTGCCAGAGTGCAAATCCCTGTGCCATTGGATACAGCAAGACAGGAAAACAAACAGAAAAACCAAGTCTGGAGGTTTTCTCAAATTCTCTGTTATCTTTGGCATTTTCATCCCCTGAAATCATGAACCAAGCTGTTTATTCTGAAGCTGACTTCAGAACTGAGTGGCAGAAAGGGAGCTGTGTAATGCACTTATCTGGAGAACTCTGGTAGACAGACACCTGTGGCCACCATCTTCGAATAGAGGTCAGTGTCTCACCACAATTGAAAGGAAGTTCTAGGCTTTCAAGTGCTTAACTGAGAGCCCACTCATACCTCTACGCACTCTGTCAGCAAGGTCCCCCAAACAGCACCCCAGGCAACTTCCAGGATACAAGGGATAAATATACATCGTGTGTGTCGGCCCCCCGCCCGGCCAGCCGCCCCGTCCGGGAGGGAGGTGGGGGGGGTCAGCCCCCCTGCCCGGCCAGCCGCCCCGTCCGGGAGGTGAGGGGCGCCTCTGCCCGGCTGCCCCTACTGGGAAGTGAGGAGCCCCTCTGCCCGGCCAGCCGCCCCGTCCGGGAGGGAGGTGGGGGTGTCAGCCCCCCGCCCGGCCAGCCGCCCCGTCCGGGAGGGAGGTGGGGGGGGGTCAGCCCCCCCGCCCGGCCAGCCGCCCCATCCGGGAGGTGAGGGGCGCCTCTGCCCGGCCGCCCCTACTGGGAAGTGAGGAGCCCCTCTGCCCGGCCAGCCGCCCCGTCCGGGAGGGAGGTGGGGGGGGTCAGCCCCCCCGCCAGGCCAGCCGCCCCGTCCGGGAGGTGAGGGGCGCCTCTGCCCGGCCGCCCCTACTGGGAAGTGAGGAGCCCCTCTGCCCGGCCACCACCCCGTCTGGGAGGTGTGCCCAACAGCTCATTGAGAACGGGCCAGGATGACAATGGCGGCTTTGTGGAATAGAAAGGCAGGAAAGGTGGGGAAAAGATTGAGAAATCGGATGGTTGCCGTGTCTGTGTAGAAAGAAGTAGACGTGGGAGACTTTTCATTTTGTTCTGCACTAAGAAAAATTCCTCTGCCTTGGGATCCTGTTGATCTGTGACCTTACCCCCAACCCTGTGCTCTCTGAAACATGTGCTGTGTCCACTCAGGGTTAAATGGATTAAGGGCGGTGCAAGATGTGCTTTGTTAAACAGATGCTTGAAGGCAGCATGCTCGTTAAGAGTCATCACCAATCCCTAATCTCAAGTAATCAGGGACACAAACACTGCGGAAGGCCGCAGGGTCCTCTGCCTAGGAAAACCAGAGACCTTTGTTCACTTGTTTATCTGCTGACCTTCCCTCCACTATTGTCCCATGACCCTGCCAAATCCCCCTCTGTGAGAAACACCCAAGAATTATCAATAAAAAAATAAATTAAAAAAAAAACAAAAAAAAAAAAAAAAAAACCACAATGAATACCTCACACCAGTTAAAATGGCTTTTATCAAAAAGGGAATAGGGTTCCTGGCAAGGATGTGGACAAAAGGGAACCCTCCTCCGTTGTTGATGGGAATGTAAATTAGCGCAGCCACCATGGAAAACTGTGGAGATTCCTGAAAAAATTAAAAATAGAACTATCATATGATCCAGCAATCCCACTGCTGGGTATATATCCAAAAGAAAAGAAATCAATATATTGAAGAGATGTCTGCACTCCCATGTTTATTTCAGCACTACTTACAATAGCCAAAAGATGGAATCAACCCAAGTGCCCGTCAATGGATAAGTGGATAAAGAAAATGTGATATATATACACAATGGAATATTCCACCATTAAAAAAAATGAAATCCTATCATTTGCAGCAACACGGACGGAACTGAAGGTCACTGTTAAGTGAAATAAACCAAGCACAGAAACACAGATATCACATGTTCTCACTCAGATGTAGGAGTTAGGAATGTGGATCTCATAAAGAATGGTGGTTACCAGAGGCAGGGATGGGTAGGGGGAGGGAGGGATGAAGAGAGGTCAATAAATGGCTACAAAAAAATACAGGTAGATAGAAAAAATAGACCTAGTGTTTGATAAGTCAGTAGAGTGACTATAGTAAAACATCTATTGTATATTTCAAAATAGTAGAGAATAATTCAAATGTTTCCAGCATAAAGAAAAGATAAATGTTTAAGGTGATGGATGTTCCATTTACCCTGATTTGGTTATTATACTTATATTAATAATATCAAAATATCACATGTACCCCAGAAATATGCACATCTATTATGTATCAATAAAAAATAAAATTGCCACAGTCAAAAAAAAAAAAAAAATATATATATATATATACATCATGTGCCCTATGTAAGAGCTCACTGTCAAGATGCACAGGGATGTGAGGGGGCACCAGAAGTCCTCTCATCTGCCTTACTATGATCATGGGTCCTGGGCCTTGTGGAGAACAGATCGTTATTGTTTGAGATCAAGCTTGATCCCCAGGGATGAAGCTTCTACACATGCACTTAGCATTTCTACTTCCCAAGAAACAATAGGATATTGGGAAGAGTTTTGCACCAAACCATAACAGATGTGGTTGGACCATTTCAGAAGCAACTGATCTGCACAGTACCTAGGCCTTAATAGGATAAGGATTGCTTGAACACAATTTCATTATCTCACTGATTCCCAGTCAAGGAACGACCTGTGGGAGATATCATAAAATACCACATGAGAATACATTTGAACCTCTGATACCTAGGGACCAAAAATACAAGTTTATAGATTTTTAAATCAATTTCCATTGCAGTCGGAACACTTATTCTCTAACATTTCTTTCTTTCTTTTTTTTTTTTTCTGAGACAAAGCCTTGCTCTTGTCCCCCAGGCTGGAGTGCAATGGTGCGATCTCTGCTCACTGCAACCTCCGCTTCCCGGGTTCAAGTGATTCTCCTGCCTCAGCCTCCCGAGTAGTTGGGATTACAGGCGCCTACCACCACGCCCAGCTAATTTTTGTATTTTTAGTAGAGACGGGGTTTCACCATGTCAGCCGGGCTGGTCTAGTCTCCAACTCCTGACCTCAGGTGATCCGCCCACGTCGGCCTCCCGAAGTGCTGGGATTAAAGGCGTGAGCCACCGCGCCCAGCCTATTCTCTAACATTTCAATCTTCAGAATTTGTTGGAACTTCTTTAAGGCCTAAAACATAGGTTATCCTTGTAAAGGTTCCACGTACATTTTAAAACAATGTGTATTCTGCAATCCTTGGATGTAGTGTTCTACATATATTGTCAAACTGGTTGACAACATTTTTAAAGTCTTCTACCATCCTACTGGATTTATTTTTTGTCTAGTTTGTTCTATCAATTACTGTGAGAGATATCAAATCTCCAAGCAAGGTTGTGGATTTGTCTCTCTTTTTAGTTATCTCAGTTTTTGCATTGTGTATTTTGACACTTTCTCTCAATTTTTCATCTTTAGAGACAGGCTCTTCATCTGTCACCCAGGCTGGAGTGCAGTGGCATGATCACAGTTCAGTGAAGCCTCAAAATCCTAGGCTCAAGCCATCCTCCACCCCAGACTCCCTAGTAGCTGCTGTGCCTAGCTTGTATTTTGAAGCTCTTTTATTAGGTACACACATATTTACCATTGTTACATCTTCCTGATAAATTGACCCTTCTTAACATAATGAATTGTCTTTTTGAAACTCTATGACAATACCCATTGTACTGCGTCCATGTTAGTAACACATATTATATTTCTTATTTTTTTTGCAGAGTATACTTCTTATCACCCTTTTACTGTCAATCCACCTGTATCTTTACAGTTAAAACACATCTCTTTTAGACAAGATACAGTTGGATCACGCTTTTTTATCCAGCTTGAAAGCCTCCATTTTTAAATCTGAGGTTTAAGTCCATTTAGTGTAATTACTGATATAGTAGGGCTTAAATCTGCTACTTTGTTATTCATTTTCCAGTTGCCTCATTTGTTTTGCTTGTTTGATGGTTTTGTTCCTCTGTTCCACTTTTTTTGTCAGCTTTTAAATATTTTTAGAATTCCATTTTTATTCCTCTATTGGATATTTAGCTGTACTTCCCCATATTACTTTTTAGTGGTTAGTTTATAAATCAAAATGTTCATTCTTAATTTATCATAATCTATTTAGAGTTAACTAGATTAGTTATATTATATATTTAGAGTTATATTAATATTGTACCACTTCTCAAAAAATTTAAAATCCTTTCAACAGTAAAATTATACTTGTGCCCTGTCTTTTTGGCTATTGTCATATATTTTATAGCAACATATGTAAGAAACCCTTACATATTATTTTTGCTTCAAAAACTAAGTTATCTTTCCAAAATTTGAACAGAAAAAAATAAAGGAAAGTATTTTCCATATATCTACATATTTAGGATTTCTGGATTCTTTTAGTGAATCCAGATTGGTATCTGACATGGTTTCCTCTTGTCTACTGGCAACAAATTCCCTCAATTTTTGTTTGTTCATTTTTCCTTCAATTTTGAAGCATAATTTCACAGGATACAGAATTCTCGGTTGGTAGGTTTTTTCCTCACCACACTTTAAATATTTCACTCCACTCTCTTCTTGCTGGCATCGTTTTTCAAAAGTCAGGTGTAATTCTTATCTGTGCTTCTTTATGGGTGTTTTTCTCTTCTGGCTTCTTTCAAGGCTTTTTCTTTTGTTTTTTTTTTTTTGTTTTTGTTTTTGTTTTAACAGAGTCTCACTCTGTCAACCAGGCTGGAGTGCAGTGGCACGATCTCAGCTCACTGCAACCTCCGCCTCCTGGGTTCAAGTGATTCTTGTGCCTCAGCCTCCCGAGTAGCTGGGATTACAGGCGTGTGCCACCCTGCCTAATTTTTGTATTTTTAGTAGAGATGGGGTTTCACCATGTTGACCAGGCTGGCCTCGAGCTCCTGACCTCAAATGATCCACCCACGTTGGCCTCCCAAAATGTGGGATTACAGGTGTGAGCCACCATGCCTGCCCTTAAGAATTTTTTTCTTTACATTTTCTGTAGTTTTAATATATGTCTAGGTGTATTTTCAATTAATTTATTTTGGCATTTATCCTGCTTGATGTTCTCTTAGCTTTCTGGATCTGTTTTTGTTTGGTTTGGTGTCTGACATTAATTTGAGGAAAATTATCAGTCATTATTGTCTCAAGTATTTCTTCTGTTCCTTTCTCTCTTCACCTTCTGCTGTTCCCATTAATTGCATTTAAACGTTTTGTAGTTGTCCCTCAGTTCTTGGATATTGTTTTTCAGTCTTCTCTCTTTGCTTTTCGGTTTTGTAGGTTTCTATTTACATATACTCAAGCTTGGACATTCTTTCCTTGGATACATTTAGCCTCCTAGTGAGCCCTTGAAAGGCATTCTTCATTTGTTACAGTGCTTTTGATCTCTTGCTTTTTGTTTTTATTTTTTGAGACAGGGTCTCATCCTGTTGCAGCTGGAGTGCAGTGGCATGATCTTGGCTCACTGCATCATCTCCCAGGGTCAAGCGATCTGCCCACCTGGCCTCCTGAGTAGCTGAGACTACAGGTGCATGCCACCACACCTGGCTAATTTCTGTATTTGTAGTAAAGGCGAGGTTTCCCCATGTTGCCCAGGCTGGTCTTGAACTCCTGAGCCCAAGTGATCCACCTGCCTCAGCCCCCCAAGTGTTGGGATCACAGATATGTGCCACTGCAACTGGCCCTTTTTTATTCTTTCTTAGACTTTCCATCTCTCTGCTTATACCATTCATCGATTCTTACCCATTGTCCACTTTTTTCCCTTAGAGGCTTTAACATATTAATTATAGTTAATTTAAAATGCTGAACTGATAATTATAACATTCCTGCTGTATCTGACTCTGCTTCTAATGTTTGACTGAAAATCAACAACTCTTCTTAGACCCATCAGAGAATTAAGGTCATAGGACAAACCACTGCCCTCCAAACTGAAGAGTCTTTATGTATTTTGTTTGTTTTGGGATTTTTTGTTGTTGTTGCCTTTTTGTTGTTGTTGCTTTGTAATTTTTATTTTTTTTTTGAAAGCCGAATATAATGTACTGGGTGAAACACTGCAGTAAATAGACCTTTAGTAATGTGGCAGTGAGATGTAGGGGAGGGGAATCATTCCACCATCTTGTAATTAGCTCTCAGTCTTTTAGTGAGTCTGTACCATGGACTATCAATTTCACAAGTGTTTTTCTGTTTCCTGCCCCCTTTCAGTGGGAAGAGGGTGGTTAGAGGGAGCCGTCGATGGATATGTCTCTTCCTCCAAGTCAGTTAGGCTCTGGTAAAATTCCACTCAGGTAGGTTCTGGTAGTTTCTCTTGAGCATAAACCTTGTTAAGATGAACAGAATGCTCGACATACTTCAAAATAGCTACTTTTCCTGTATGCTTGCCAGAAGCACAAGGGGCTTTTTCTCTGATCGTCTGTGTGAAAACCCGGTAGGGCTCTTGTCAGTACAACTCAAAAAGTATAGGCATGCTCCCTTAAGACTGACCCCAACCCCAAGAGTTTTTAACCCTCAAACATGTCTAAACTGAGCCTCTAGCAATTTGTCAATTACATTTCTAGATTTTCTATCCCAGGTAATAGTTCTCACAGAAGTTTCCCCTCAGCTGTCTCCACTCTGGTAAATTGTGTTTCTCTGTATCCACCTGTCTTCTTCACTTTGGGGGCAGTGTTTTGCCCTGTGACCTCAATTTTCTGATGGATCTAAGAAGAGTTGATTATCAATTTGTTCAGCTTTTAATCTGTTTAGAACAGAGCGATGACTTCTAAGGTCCTTATGAGAGGTGACAGCATGCTGGCAGTCCTCAGAGCCCTCGCTTGCTCTCGGCACCTCCCCTGCCTGGGCTCCCACTTTGGTGGCATTTGAGGAGCCCTTCAGCCCCCCCACTGCACTGTGGGAGTCCCTTTCTGGGCTGGCCAAGGCTGGAGCCCACTCCCTCAGCTTGCAGGGAGGTGTGGAGGGAGAGGCACGAGCGGGAACCGGGGCTGTGTGCAGCGCTTGCGGGCCAGCTGCAGTTCCGGGTGGGCGGGGACTTGGTGGGCCCCGCACTCGCACTCGGAGCAGCCAGTCAGCCCTGCTAGCCCCGGGCAATGGGGGACTTAGCACCTGGGCGACGGGGGACTCAGCACCCGGGCCAGTGGCTGCGGAGGGTGTACTGAGTCTCCCAGCAGTGCTGGCCCACTGGCTCTGCGCTGGATTTCTCCCCAGGCCTTAGCTGCCTTCCCACGGGGCAGGGCTCGGGACCTGCAGCCCGCCATGCCTGAGCCTCCCACCCACTCCATGGGCTCCTGTGCGGCCCGAGCCTCCCCGACAAGCACCACCCCCTGCTCCACAGCACCCAGTCCCATCAACCACCCAAGGGCTGAGGAATGCGAGCGCCCGGCGCGGGACTGGCAGGCAGCTCCACCTGCAGCCCCGGTGTGGGATCCACTAGGTGAAGCCAGCTGGGCTCCTGAGTCTGGTGGGGACGTGGAGAGTCTTCATATCTAGCTCAGGGATTGTAAATACACCAATCAGCACCCTGCGTTTAGCTCAAGGTTTGTGAGTGCACCAATCGACACTGTATCTAGCTGCTCTGGTGAGGACGTGGAGAACCTTTATGTCTAGCTCAAGGATTGTAAATACACCAATCGGCACTCTGTATCTAGCCCAAGGTTTGTAAACACACCAATCAGGACCCTGTGTTTAGCTCAAGGTTTGTGAGTGCACCAATCGACACTCTGTATCTAGCTGCTCTGGTGAGGCCGTGGAGAACCTTTATGTCTAGCTCAAGGATTGTAAATACACCAATCGGCACTCTGTATCTAGCTCAAGGTTTGTAAACACACCAATCAGCACCCTGTGTTTAGCTCAAGGTTTGTGAATGCACCAATCGACACTCTGTATCTAGCTGCTCTGGTGGGGCCTTGGAGAACCCGTGTGTGGAAACTCTGTATCTAACTAATCTGATGGGCACATGGAGAACCTTTGTATCTAGCTCAGGGATTGTAAACACACCAATCAGTGCCCTGACAAAACAGGCCACTCGGCTCTACCAATCAGCAGGATGTGGGTGGGGCCAGATAAGAGAATAAAAGCAGGCTGCCCGAGCCAGCATTGGCAACCCACTCTGGTCCCCTTCCACACTGTGAAAGCTTTGTTCTTTCGCTCTTTGCAATAAATCTTGCTACTGCTCACTCTTTGGGTCCACGCTGCTTTTATGAGCTGTAACACTCACTGCTAAGGTCTGCAGCTTCACTCCTGAAGCGAGACCACGAGCCCACCAGGAGAAACGAACAAGTCCAGATGCACCGCCTTAAGAGCTGTAACACTCACCGCGAAGGTCTGCAGCTTCACTCCTGAGCCCAGCGAGACCACTAGCCCACCAGGAGGAACGAACAACTCCAGATGCGCTACCTTAAGAGCTGTAACACTCACCGCGAACGTCTACAGCTTCACTCCTGAGCCAGCGAGACCACGAACCCACCAGAAGGAAGAAACTCCGAACACATCTGAACATCAGAAGGGACAGACTCCAGACGCGCCACCTTAAGAGCTGTAACACTCACCGCGAGGGTCCGCGGCTTCATTCTTGAAGTCAGTGAGACCAAGAACCCACAAATTCCGGACACACTTACCTCCTGCCTGGGTTGCCATTTTCCTGTTGACAGTATCCTTTGATGCACAAAAGTTTTTGTCTATTTTTTGTTGTTGTTGTTGTTGTGTTTTTCCTGTCATATCCAAGAAATCACAGGCACATCCAATGTCATGATTTTCCCCTATGTCTTCTTCAGAGAGATTATGGGCCGGGCACAGTGGCTCATGCCTATAATCCCAGCACTTTGGGAGGCCGAGGCAGGCAGATCACCTGAGGTTGGGAGTTCGAAACCAGCCTGGCCAACATGGTGAAACCCATCTCTACTAAAAATACAAAAATTAGCCAGGCACGGTGGGGCACACCTATAATCCCAGCTACTCAGGAGGCTGAGGCAGGAGAATCACTTGAACCCAGGAGGCGAAGGTTGCAGTGAGCCGTTGCACTCCAGCCTGGACAACAGAGTGAGACCGTCTCAATCAATCAATCAATCAAGAGATTTATTATTTTAACTCTTATGTTTATCAGGGTTGTCCAATCTTTTGGATTCCCTGGGCCACATTGGAAAAATAAGAATTGTCTTGGTCCACATATAAAATACGCTAACACTAATGATAGCTATGAGGAAAAAAAAATTCATGTTTTAAAAAAGTTTACAAATTTGTTTGGGCTGCATTCAAAGCTGTCCTGAGCCACATGTGGCCAATGTACCAAGGGTTGGACAAGCTTGGTTTAGATGTTTGGTCCATTTTGAGTCAATTCTTGTATATGGTTTTAGGGAAAGGTCCAACTTCATTCTTTGGCATGTCAATATCCAATTTTCCTAGAGCTATTTGTTGAAAAGACTGTTATTTCCCCCCATCAAATGGTCTTGGCACTTTGTCAAAGATCATTTGCCTGCATATATGAGTTTATTTCTGGACTGTCTATTAGATTCCCTTAGTCTATATATCTGTCTTTATGCCAGTACCATACTGTTTGGATTACTGTAGTTTTGTAGCAAATTTTGAAATCAGATGTGTGAGTCCTCCTACTTTGCCCTTGTTTTTCATGGTTGTTTTGGCTATTTAGGGTCCCTTAAGATTCTATATGAATTTTACAGTACATTTTTATATTTCAGAAGAAATCATCATTGGGATTTTAATAGAGATTTCACTGAATCTGTATATTGCTTTGGTTGATATTGATATCTTAACAATATTACATCTTCCAATCCATGAACACATAATGTCTTTCCATTTATTTATGTTTGCTTGAATGTCTTTCAGCAATGGTTTGTAGTTTTCAGTGTACAAGTTTTTTACTTCCTTGGTTAAATTAATTCCTAAGTATTTTATTATTCTTGATGCTATTGTAAATGAAATTTTTATTAACTTCCTTCTCAAGAAAGGTAGTTGTGTATACAGATGCAAATGATATTTGTATATTGACATTGTACTCTGCAACTTTGCTAAATTAGCTTTAATAGTTTTTGTGTGAATTCTTTGGTTTTGTTATATATAGAATCATTTCACCAGTGAAGATAGTGAGTATTGTTTGTTTATTTTGTTTTGTTTTTTGAGACGAAGTCTTGCTCGGTCACCCAGGCTGGAGTGCAGTGGCGTGATCCCAGTCTCTGCAACCTCCGCCTCCCAAGTTCAAGCGATTCTCCTGCCTCAGCCTCCTGAGTAGCTGGGACTAGAGCTGCCTGCCACCATGCCCAGGTCATTTTTGTATTTTTAGTAGTGCTGGGGTTTCACCATGTTGGCCAGGCTGGTCTCAAACTCCTGACCTCAGGTGATCCACCCACCTCAGCCTCCCAAAGTGCTGGGATTACAGGCGTAGCCACCACACCCAGCCGAAGATAGAGTTTTATTTCCCCCTTTCCAACTCAAAAGCCCTCTATTTATTTTTCTTGCCTAATTGCACTGCCTGGAATTTCCAGTGCAATGTTGAATAACAGTAGCAAAGGCAGGCATTTTTGTCTTACTCCTAATCTTAGGGGTAAAGCTTTCAGCCTTTACTGAGTGTGATATTAGCTGTGGGTTTTTCAAAAAGCTCTAAATCATGTTGCACAAGTTCCCTTCTATTCCTACTTTGCTTAATGTTTTTATCATGAAAGATGTAATTTTGTACATGCTTTTTCTGCATCAATTGAAATGATCTTGCAGGGTTTCCCTTCATTCCATTAATGTAGTGTATCACGTGGATTATCTTTTGTTGAACCACCCTTGCATTCCTGGAATAAATCACACCTGGTCAGGGCATAGAGTTCTCTTAACATGCTGTTCGATTTTGTTAGTATTTTGTTGAGAATTTTTGCATCTATGTGTATAAGAAATATTAAGGCTATAGTTTTCTTTTCTTGAGGTGTCTCTGTCTGGATTTGGTATCAGGATAATCCTGGCTTCATAGAATGAGTTTCTCTTTTTTTTTTTTTTTTTTTGAAGAGCTTGTGAGGGATTTGTGTTCTCATGTTTGTAAAATTCACCAGTGAAGCCATAAAAACCTTTCCTTCTTGGGAGATTTTTGATTACAGATTAAATTTCTTAACTTGTTATAGATCTGATTCTCTCTTTCTTAGGCAGTTTGGTAATTTGTGAGTTTCTAGAAATTGTCCATTTCATCTAGGTAATCTAATTTGTTGGTATACAATTGTTCATAGTTTTTACTTATAATCCTTTTTATTTCTATAAATTTGGTAATGTCACCACTTTCATTCTGACTTTACTTATTTGCAGCTTCTCTTTTTCTTAGCCCAGCTAAAGGTTTGCCAATTTTGTTGACCTTTTCAAAGAAACAACTTTTGGTTTTGTTAATTCTACTTTTCTATCCTCTGTTTTGTCTATCTCCACTCTAATATTATTTCCTTCCTTCTGCTTGCTTGCTTGCTTTTCTAGTTGCTCTTCTTTGTCCAGTGACTTAAAGTGTAAAGTGAGGTTATTGATTTTAGGAATTTTTTTTTAATACAGGCAGTCACAGCTATAAGCTGAGCACTGCTTTCACTACATCCATCAGTTTTGGTATGTTGTTTTCTTTCATCTCAAAATATTTTCTAATTTTCCATGTGATTTCTTCTTTGATTCACTGGTTGTTTAAAAGTTTGAGACCAGCCTGACCAACATGGTGAAACCCCGTCTCTACTAAAAATACAAAAATTACTGGGAGGAGTAGTGCATGCCTGTCATCCCAGCTACTCAGGAGGCTGAGGCAAGAGAATCGCTTCAACACAAGAGGCGGAGGTTGCAATGAGCCAAGATCGCGCCACTGCACTCCAGCCTGGGCGACAGAGCGAGACTCTGTCTCAAAAAAAAAAAAAAAAAAAAAAGTGTGTTAATTTCTGCTATTTACTTTGAAAAGTCCTTATACAGTTGCTTCATTGATTCTGTTAAGAACTTATCATTGCATTCAGCAGTAGAAACAAAGTGGGATATATTTATTCTACCATCTCTAGAACTGGAATCTTCTCTTTAGGAGAGTAAAAGCTTCTAGAGGTTTTTTCAGTATCTAGTGGAGAACTGTAGGCAAATGAGGTAAAATCTGAGAAGCAGGCATTCGAATCCAGGATATCAGGATATTGGTGACCTTATGAATGGAAAACCCTGATGCTGGAAGACCAGAAAAAAGCAGGAACTCCTCAAAGATATTACCAACTTTCTGCGGGTGGAAATTGTGTTCAACTTGTAACCATCCACATTCTGGTGGCCATGTGGTTCCCTATAACTGGTAGCCTCTAGTGCTAACACATGGATAGTTAATGCTGCCCTACACTTTATTTTAATCTCCATGTTATCTCACAGAATAAACAGACCACAAATAACTTAACCATTTCTTTACTGATGAGAGTTCCAGGTTTTTTTGTAACTGTTTTGCTATCAGGAACAAAACTAGAATAATTGTTCTAGTACATATAATCCTTACCTGATAGAGTATTTTTTTGAAAATGGAATTGAGAGTTAACTTTTTCTTATTTCTATTAATAATTGACACACAACAATTGTACGTATTTATGGGGTACAACATGACATTGTGCAACAAGTATACAATGCGTAAAGATCAAATCAGGGTAATTAACGTATCCAACATCTCAAAACTTTTGTAACTTCTTTGTGTTAGAAACATTCAAAATGTGCTCTTCTAGGTATGTGAAAATATACAATAAATTGTTAATTATAGTCACCCTGTAGTGCTAGAGAACACTAGAACTTATTACTCCTATCTAGCTGTACTTTTGTATTTGTTAATCAACTTTTGGGTATCCCACAGCCCCTAGTAAAAACTATATTCAGAACGAATTTGCTCAATGTGAAATTATATGTACTTTAAATTTCAATATATATTGTCCTTGCTTTCCAGGCTAGCAATTTTTTTCTTTACAACTTTATCCAAAATTTTATCTTATTACTTCTTGTACTTTCAATATTGTCCATGCATCGGTACCTAATAGGGTTTTTTTCCCACTTATTTTTGTCACAATTATTGTTGTCTCATTTCAGTCCACATTTCCCTACTGAGAAAAGTGTGCAGCTTTTCATATAGTTGTTGGCCATTTAGATTAGTTCCTTTAGAATATACTGCTCATGTTTTTCCTGTTTTTTTGTTTTATTTTGTTTGGAGACAGAGTCTTGCTCTATTGCCCAGGCTGGTGTACTGTGGCGTGATCTCAGCTCACTACAACCTGAACCTCCTGGGTTCAAGCGATTCTTGTGCCTCAGCCTCCTGAGTAACTGGGATTACAGGCATGTGCCACCACATCCTCAGTGCTGGGATTACAGACATGAGCCACTGTGCCTGGCCATAAAGTTCAGAGCTGGGCATGGTGGCCCATGCCTGTAATCCCAGCACTTTGGGAGGCCGAGACAGGCAGATCACTTGAGGTTGGGAGGGTGAGACCAGCCTGGCCAACATGGCAAAACCCCATCTCTACTAAAAATACAAAAATTAGCCGGGCATGGTGGTGCATACCTATAACCCCAGCTACTCAGGAGGCTGAGGTACAAGAATCGCTTGAACCCGGGAGGCGTAGGTTGCAGTCAGCCAAGATCATGCCGCTACACTCCAGCATGGAAGGCAGAGTAAAACTGTATCTCAAAAAAAAAAAATTAAGGAATTTTTTTATTATGGAAAATCCCAAACATTTAGCGGTTCATGCCTGTAATCCCAGCACTTTGCAAGGCTGAAGTGGGAGGATCACTTAAGCCCAGGAGTTCATGACCGGCCTGGGAAATATAGTGAGACCAATTCTCAACAAAAAAATATTAAAAACTAGCTGAGCATGGTGGCGCACACCTGTAGTCCCAGCTACTCAGGAGGCTGAGGTGGGAGGATCACTGAGCACAGGAGGGGGAGGCTGCAGTGAGCTGAGACTGTACCACTGTGGTCCAGCCTGGGTGAGAGTGAGACCCTGTCTCAAAAAAAAAAAAAAAAGTAAAAAATGTAGTATAATAACCCCTGTGGACCCATCACTCATCTTCAACAATTATCAATATTCTGCCATTTAAAACTCCATCCACTCACTATTCTCCAATTTTTAGTATTAACTTTGTTTTTTAGCCATTGCTTTTAAAGCCAATCTGTTACCTGATTTTCTATTTTTTACATAAATCACATTCTTAACTTTTACACTAGTTACGTAAAATTTGTAGTAGAAATATCCATTTGTAGTAGAAATAGATAGATACCAGATACTCTCTTGGTATCTACTGATATCTTTTTTCTCTTTTTTTTTTTTTTGGAGACAAAATATTGCTCTGTCACCCAGGCTGGAGTACAGTAGCATGATCTCAGCTCACTGCAACCTCCACCTCCTGGATTCAAGCCATTCTCCAAGCTCAACCTCCTGAGTAACTGGGATTACAGGCGTGCACCACCATGCCTGGCTAATTTTCTGTTTTTAGTAGAGATGGGGTTTCACCATGTTGGCCAGGCTGGTCTCGAACTCCTGATCTCAGGTGATCTGCCTGCTGTGGCCTCTCAGAGTGCTGGGATTACAGGCCTGACCCACCACGCCTGGCCTACTGATATTATCTTAATATTATTTAACACTGAATATTAAAGTTGAATATTAAATGTTATGATTTCATATTGAAGTCCCCTTGCATTGCTGAAATAATGATTAAATAATGTTACACACACACACAGACAGAAGTTTGTTGGGAGCAAGCCCCTCAAAATCTGGCCATAAACTGGCCCCAAAACTGGCCATAAACAAAATCTCTGCAGCACTGTAACATGTTCATAATGGCCCTAATGCCCACGCTGGAAGGTTGTGGGTTTATAGGAATGAGGGCAAGGAACACCTGGCCCGCCCAGGGCAGAAAACCGCTTAAAGGCATTCTTAAGCCACAAACAATAGCATGAGCGATCTGTGTCTTAAGGGCATATTCCTGCTGCAGTTAACTAGCCCAACCTATTCCTTTAATTCAGCCCATCCCTTCGTTTCCCATAAGGGATACTTTTAGTTAATTTAATATCTATAGAAACAATGCTAATGACTGGTTTGCTGTTAATAAATATGTGGGTAAATCTCTGTTTGGGGCTCTCAGCTCTGAAGGCTGTAAGATCCCTGATTTCCCACTTCACACCTCTATATTTCTGTATGTGTGTCTTTACTTCCTCTAGCGCCGCTGGGTTAGGGTCTCCGTGACCGAGCTGGTCTCGGCAGAGGTTATTTTTATTTTTATTCTTATTTTTATTTTTATTTGAGGCAGAGTCTCACTCTGTTGCCCAGGATGGAGTGCAGTGGCACAATCTTGGCTCACTGCAACCTCCGCCTCCCGACTTCAAGTGATTCTCATGCCTCGCCCTCCCAAGTAGTTGGGATTACAGGCGTGTGCCACCACACCCAGCTAATTTTTGTATTTTTAGTAGAGATGGGGTTTCACCATGTTGGCCAGGCTAGTCTCAAACTCCTGGCCTCAAGTGATCTGTCTGCCTTGGCCTCCCAAAGTGTTGTTATTACAGGCATGAGCCACCGCGCCCGGCCAAGATTATTCTTTTAAATGCAAACTGACATTTTTTTTCTTTTTTTTCTTTTTTTTGGAGACAGAGTCTCGCTCTGTTGCCCAGGCTGGAGTGCAGTGGTGTGATCTTGGCCCACTGCAAGCTCCGCCTCCCGAGTTCACACCATTCTCCTGCCTCAGCCTCCCAAGTAGCTGGGACTACAGGCACCCACCACCACGCCCGGCTAATTTTTTTGTATTTTTAGTAGAGACGGGGTTTCACCGTGTTAGCCAGGATGGTCTCAATCTCCTGACCTCATGATCCACCCATCTCAGCCTCCCAAAGTGCTGGGATTACAGGTGTGAGCCACCGCGCCTGGCCGCAAACTGACATTCTGATTTTTAATAGGATTCAGCCTCTTTATATTTAGTGAAGCAACTGAAACGCTCCTTGTGACAGGTCAATTTGAGGGCAGCAGTGCAATGTACATGTGGGGTTTGGTGCAATCCTAATTGCTACATCAAACAAGAGAAGAGAAGAGTGAGATGGAAGTAGGGGCATAACATAACCACCCATTACTTTCCATATAGCCTGAACAGACACATAAACAGAAGAATGCAGTAGGGAGGCTAAAGAAAAAATAATAGTTAACTGGGGAGCGAAGAGGACCCTTTTGAGAAGACATGTGATTACTGTTGAATTTTTAGGATGAAGCCAGTGGATACAAGGATAAGCTATGGTGTTTGTGTATGAAGTTGTTACGACAGGTAACAGAGCCTATGGGGATAGGGAGAGACCCATAAACACCTCCTCATTCCCTCAGAGTTGAGACCTGCCAGGGACAGAGCTTATACTTTAAGGTCCAGAACACAAAGACACTCAGGCAGAAATTTGAACCCCAGGATACTATAGTTGAGGCCTTGTCAACCTTGCCTACCCGCCCCACATTCCTTATTCCCATCTCCTCCTTCCCTAAAAAACTCCCATAGGAACTCTTGAAACTGGTTCCTAGGTAAATTCAGGGAAAGATCCAAAAGAACCCAGCAGGTCTCCAGTAAAGCCTTCTGGAATCCCTCCTGGACCTTCAAAGCTCCTGAAGTCTCATAACAGATCCTGATACCAGCTGAAAGACTTCAGGCCAGATTGGCTCTTAGATCAGAGCTCCTGTATGTCCTCCTCAGCCTTTCAAGGAGCATGACAGCAGACAGTGCTCTGTAGACCCACGTCCATTATATCCCTCAGGCCTGCACATGCCTGAAGGATGAGACAATCAGGAACCAAACTCCTGTCCTGAAACAGAGATTCCTCAGGGAATCTCCCTGTTCTTAGCCAGTTTTAAGTGGGATTGACTCTAAGGCCACCTTCAAGGGTAGTTCTAATTGGCTTAATCCAATAAGCCAACCCCTCTAACATACTGATTGGATCAGGGATAGACAAGCAACCCAGTGTGTAAACTTGCTTTTGCTACAAAACCAAACTATCCCAAAATTTAGTGGAATAGTTTAAAACAACAAACTTTTTTTACTTCTCACAGTTTTGTCAGTTGGCTTGAGTGGTTCTTCAGGTCTGGACTGGCTCAGCTAAGAACTAATGGTCTGGGTCTAAGGGTGGCAGTTAATCATAGGAATGAGGTGATGCTTATCTGGGACAGCTCATTTCTGCTCCACATGGTCTCTCAATCTTCATGCTTCTTCACATGGAAATCTCAAGGTTCCAAAGAACAATTTTCAAATCTCTGGTTGCATCACATAAAAAGATATTATATTGGCCAAAGTCAGTCATATGTTCAAGCCCAGACTCAGTGTGCAAGTGACATGCAAAAAGATATGGTTACAGGGAGGCAGGATCACAATGGTAGTCATTATACCACATACAGTATTATCCAGGAGTCTTGAGTCCTTCTGAAAAAGTCAAACTTCCTCTCTCTTCCTTGGGGGCTACTAGGAAAGATCTTCTTCCCATGGTCAATACAACAATAAGGAGAGAATTTAAAGCTGCTAGATTGGGTAGGAAGTGGGCCTCAAGTAGAGAGTAAGGATTCAATGAGAGAAGAGGGACAGAAGGAAACCAGAGTCCTAAAAAAATGTTTGAGATACTGAACCAAGCTCTGCCTAAAGATTTTTCAGTCACTTAAAACAGGACATTTCCTTTTGCTTAAGCCAGTGGGAGTTGTATTACCGCTACATGCAACCAAAAGCATCCTCACGTGGTTGTGAAGACAAAGCAGATATGGTCAGAGAAAGTGTAGATACAGGGGTCAAAGAAGTTGTTATTTTTCAGATGAGACACATTGAAACGTGTTTATATGTTGAAATGAGGTGTTTATATGTTGAAATGAGCAGAGGAAAGACTGAAGATACAAGAAAAGAAGCTGACAACCAATAAAGTAATTCCTATGGGAAAACAGGAGGTAGTAGGATTTAGGACACAGGTGAAGGGATTATTTTCCTTTAAACAGAACGGTATGCCTGAGAGCAACTGGAACAACACAGACACTCAACAAATGTTTGCTGAATAAATGGATTGAAGAGTTGGGATCTTCTGATACCTCTTTCTCTCACAAATCAATATATGCCCAGTTTACAGAAAGCTACCTTAATCCATGGCATTCTCAGTCTTCTCAATCCACTTTTGGAAGATAATCTTGATTCTGGCTTTCAGATTACCTTGCTTTTGCAACCATGCACTGTTTACCCCACGTATTTCAGGAAGAATCAGAGGAATGAGTACCTAATCTTGAACTCATTACACAATCTTGAGTTCTCTCTCCCACCAGATCAGTGTTTTTCAAAGTATAACCCAGACAGCTTGCAACAAAATCACCTGGGGGCTTACTGAAATGCAGATTCCTGACCTCACTTATTGAGTTGGACTCTGAAGGAGAGAATCTGCATTTTAACATTCTCTGTTCTCTAGCTGGTCTTTACGCTGCTCCACCAGATGTAAACTGCCTAAGGGCAGGGGCAGGGTCTGGTTGCCTTTGTTTCCTCTGCACATTTCTTGGCATAATGTTTATCAAATGAGTACTTAAGTCAGGGAATCCGTGCTACTAAATATGAGTTCACAAATTAACCTTTCAGAAAGCACATCTTTATGATTCCAACAGTACGTTGATGTATATTTCAAATCTGTCATGTGTTGAAGGGAGAAAATGGTAGAGAAATACTGTCCTATATTTGGCAAGGCAAGAGTCTGACTTCATAACATCTTAAAACCTGCTTCTACTTATTAAAAAAAAAATTTAAATACAAGGAAATTCAAGTTTCTCCCTTAAGCAAAATTGATATGTACAACCCAGTCATAGAGTGTGAAGCCATGCTGGCAAACGTTTCTTCATGATTAATACCCAAGAGTTTTCCCAGGCTCATTTGTACCACCCTGGCCCTGTGGCCAATCCTGTCTATCACGGCTGGGAAAGGCTGCCTTGTGAATGATTTTTTTGTTTTGTTTTGGAGGCAGGGTCTCACTCTGTTGCCCAGGCTGGAGCATAGTGGTGCAATCACAGTTCACTGCAGCCTTGACCTCCCAGACTTAAGCAATCCTCTCCCACCTCAGCCTCCAAGCCCAACTGATTTTTGTATATTTTCTAGAGACAGGGTTTCACCATGTTGCTCAGGCTGGTCTCAAACTCCTGGGCTCAAGTGAGCCACCCACTTTGGCCTCCCAAAGTGCTGGGATTATAGGCGTGAGCCACTGTGCCCAGCCTGATCTTCTTTTCGTAAAAACAAAACAACAAAATGTATATATAGAAGAACAACATCAGTCATCCACCAAGATGCCTCCTGTGATGGTTAATTTTATGTCAAGTTGGCATAACCACAGTACGCAAATATGTGGTCAAACATTATTCCAGATGTTTCCATGATGTTTTTGGATGACATTAACATTTTAATACGTGGACTTTTGAGTAAAGCTGATTGCCCTCCATAACGTGGGTGGGCCTCGTCCAGTCAGCTGAAGGCCTGATTAGAACAAGATTGACCTCCCCCTAGCAAGAGGGAACTGCAGCAGACAGCTTTCAGACTTGAACCACAACGTCAGCTTTTTCCTGGGTCTTCAGCCTTGAACGGCAGCAATGACTCTTTTCTGTGTCTCCAGCCTGCCAGTCCACCATGCAGATTTTGGATTTCCTGGCCTCCTTAATTATATGAGACAATTCCTTAAAATAAACCTCCTTATCCACACACACACACACAACCTTTGGTTCTATTTATTTGGATAACCCTGACTGATACACCCCCTCCAATCACTTTGTACCACTTCTGTGCACACACACCTGCCCCTTCACTCAACTTCAACCTGCTTTCACTTTCAAATGCCCACACTGAAGGGTCATCTTGAGAGGACTGCCTTTGTTCAGCCTATTAAACTGCTTTCCCTAAATGTGCAGAGCTAGGCGTGTCTGCACACTTACATCCTCTTCAGCGGCCCTTAACCCATGAAAAACAAGGTAAGTGTATGAAAGCCCAGCTCCCTTGTCTCTGGCCGAGATAACTCTTGAGATATCACCTATACTCCCTAACTCCCCTGTGAAGTCATACTGAAACGATCCTTTGCAAAGGTCCGCCTCAGATTTCATACTTCTTGCCTTCCATTCCCCATCTTGCTTGCTCCACTTCTTTACGAGAAGTTTAGAGCCAAAACGAAGTTAACAGCCTATCGTTTTTTCCTGCCTTTTCTAATCCATTTTAATCCACTGCACTTATCTCTCTAAAATACACATCACATCACTCTTTTTTTTTTTTTGAGACGGAGTCTCACCCTGGTGCCCAGGCTGGAGTGCAATGGCGCGATCTCGGCTCACTGCAACCTCTGCCTCCCGGGTTCTAGCGATTCTCCTGCCTCAGCCTCCCCAGTAGTTGGGATTACAGGCGCGCGCCACCACGCCTGGCTAATTTTTTGTATAGGTAGTAGAGACGGGGTTTCACCATGTTGGCCAGGCTGGTCTCGAACTCCTGACCTCATGATCCGCCCGCTTCGGCCTCACAACACTCTTTAAATTAAAAATGCGTTTACACAAGGACAAAAAACCAAACACCGCATGTTCGCACTCATAGGTGGGAATTGAACAATGAGAACACATGGACACAGGAAGGGGAACATCACACACCGGGGACTGTTGTGGGGTGGGGGGAGGGGGGAGGGATAGCATTAGGAGATATACCTAATGCTAAATGACGAGTTAATGGGTGCAGCACACCAACATGGCACATGTATACATATGTAACAAACCTGCACGTTGTGCACATGTATCCTAAAACTTAAAGTATAATAATAATAAAATTAAATTAAAAAATGCGTTTACAATAAAGTCCAAACGCCTCAAATACGGTATTCAAAGCAATATTTTAGCTGCTGCATCCCTCTCCCGCCTCATCCCCACTTCACCCCTACGCACTTTACTGAACTTTCCGTTCTCTGAACCCAGAAACCGTTCTACCTGGAAGGCGCTTCCCTCCTCAAATCCTCGCTGTGTGTGACGCGTCCTCGAGGCCCCGCTCAACTGGCATTCGCACACCCAGACGTCTGCCGTGGGAGATTCGCCTCTTCCGAGCGGGCGGACGGTCCTGTTAAGACCCGAGACATTCCTGTTTCGCTCAGGTTAAAACTCTGAAGTACCTGGACTGCTCATTTGGATTTGGCTCCTGCAGACACACCTTTCGCCCCAGCATGAGAACTCGATTTCCCGCAGTCGCCATCCGGATGCCCAAAAATAGACCAGCGCGCGTCCCCGCCTCTGACGCTGTGCCGAGGGCGGGGCGGGGCGGGACGGGTCGCGCTTCGCCAGCGCGGGGCGGGCAGTAGGGGGGGTTCCTGGCGCTTTGCGCGCGGTCGCTGTCGCGCGGCGTGGTAGTGCGTCAGCCTGTCCGCCTTGGTGAAGAAGCGGAAAGGCCCGGGCGGCAGTGAGGACCAGAATCCGGTGAGGTCGAGGCACGGTGCTGGGGCTCCTCAGAGCATTTGGTTCCATTGCATTCCCCTCATAGCCGCAGCTTGGCGCCCCCTGCAGCTCGGCCTGGGCCAGGAGACACACCTTCCAGGCTATTAAATTAGTATTTGTAAAAATACACTGCAAACTTGGGAAGAAATTGCCACATCGCGGCCTGTGCAGCGGCTCACGCCTGTAGGCCCAGCTACTCGGGAGGCCGAGGCGGGCGGATCGCTTAAGGTCAGGAGTTCGAGACCACCCTGGGCAACATGTGGAGACCCCCGTCTACAAAAAATCCAAAAAGTAGGCGGGAGTGGTGGTGCACGCCCGTAATCCCAGCTGCTCAGGAGGCTGAGGCAGGAGAATCACTTGAACCCGGAGGCGGAGGTTGCAGTGAACCGAGATCCCGCCACTGCACTCTAGCCTGGGAGACAAGAACAAAACTTAAAAAAAAAAAAAGAGAAAAAATACCTTGGCACATAGCTTTAAAAGATTATTGGAAGTCTTCCTTAGTAAAGCATTTACTAAACATTTTTTCTAGCCTAGTCCGTGAACTAGACTGGGAAACATTTCCTTCCTTCGTGATTTTCCACAGAATTTTGAAGAATTGCGAAGAATTGCGGTAGAGAGAATTTTACCTGAGCCACAAAGAGCTTCCTGCAAGTGGGCGCTGGTGGGGATTGCAACTTTAAATCCAACCAGAAAAGATTTGTCTATAGAAGAAAACACACTCTTAGTTCGTAGAGAATACCTAATACATTTTAGCAGTAATTTTAACATAACACTTTTTTCAGCCACTTAACTGCCACTCTTAACAAAAATGGAAGCAGTTACCAGCGTCTTCTATGTAGCTATGTGTTCAGCATTATGTCAGGTTCTAGGAATCAAAGACAAATGATTCCTGCCCTCTGGAATTCTGCACAGTCTTATGTCTTTAAAACAAAATTAGTGCATTCTGGGGCCCTTTCTTGACGATGGCACTTTGGGAGTCCCCATCTAGTTCTGGGTAGTCATTAACTGAGCATGGTACTGTGTTCTTGTGAAAAACAGTAAGTTCAGGCCGGGCGCAGTGGCTCACGCCTGTAATCCCAGCACTTTGGGAGGCTGAGGCGAGCGGATCACGAGGTCAGGTGGTGGAGACCATCCTGGCTAACACGGTGAAACCCCGTCTCTACTGAAAATACAAAAAATCAGCCGGGCGTGCTGGCGGGCGCCTGTAGTCCCAGCTACTCGGGAGGCTGAGGCAGGACAATGGCGTGAACCTGGGAGGCGGAGCTTGCAGTGAGCCGAGATCGCGCCACTGCACTCCAGCCTGGGCGACAGGGACTCCGTCTCAAAAAAAAAAAAAAAAAAGCAAAGAAAAACAGTAAGTTCTAACACATCACTAAGTGTTCAGTGTGTGTGTGTAGTGTGGATCTGAGTCTGCACTGGGCGGTTAGGTGGGCACCAAGGAGACCCTTGTTCCTAACTTCTCCAGATGAGAATCTAAGCCATGATATCAAAACATTTACTTCAAGTGAACTTTACCGGTGGTGAGACCAGTGAGCCTTCTAGAGCATAATTCTCCAAGTGCCTTCCTGAACACTCTGTGTATCAGAAGTTACATGGGATGGTTGTGCAAAATGCAGAACCTGGGTTCCCCTGCCCCAAACCTACAAAATCAGACCTGCTGTTGATGAATGCATAACTCTATAAAAAGAAAGTTGATGCATCCATTTTTACCAAGCATGCACTGCACAAAACATCCATACTCTGTAACCTGCCCTGTTAGCCTCTGAATGGTTTATTCTTACCTCTGTAACATCACCTTATTCTCTCCCCACTTTCCTGCTAAGCTACAGCTACACTTAGCGCTTTCATTGCTTTAAAAAAAAAAAAAAAAAAAAAAAAGTCAAGCTGCCGGGCGCGGTGGCTCACGCCTGTAATCCCAGCACTTTGGGAGGCTGAGGCGGGCGGATCATGAGGTCAGGAGATCGAGACCATCCTGGTTAACACAGTGAAACCCCCGTCTCTACTAAAAATACAAAAAATTAGCTGGGCATGGTGGCGGGTGCCTGTAGTCACAGCTACTTGGGAGGCTGAGGCAGGTGAATGGCGTGAACCCGGGAGACAGAGCTTGCAGTGAGCTGAGATCGCGCCACTGCACTCCAGCCTGGGCGACAGACCAAGAGTCCGTCTCAAAAAAAAAAAAAGTCAAGCTGCTTACGGTTACGAGGCCCTGCCTCTTCTATCTGATACCTCTGTGTAGGAAGCTGCTTCCTTCTTCCTTCTACCACCTTGAAAAAAAGTCCGTTGTCTTCAATGCTATCACCCTAGAAAAGCCTTTCCTATTGGCCCGGCGCGGTGGCTCACGCCTGTAATCCCAGCACTTTGGGAGGCCGAAGTGGGCGGATCACAAGGTCAGGCCAATATGGTGAAACCCCATCTCTACTAAAAATACAAAAATACTAAAAATACAAAAATGAGCCGGGCGTGGTAGCAGCTGCCTGTAGTCCCAGCTACTCGGGAGGCTGAGGCAGGAGAATCACTTGAACCGGGGAGGCAGAGGTTACAGTGAGCCGAGACTCCGCCACTGTCCTCCAGCCTGGGTGACAGAGCGAGACGCCGTCTTAAAAAAAAGGAAAAGCCTTTCCTAATCACCCTATCTCAAGAAGTCTTCCCCCTGCATTCTCTCAATTTCCTTCTTGGCACTTAACACTTTTTTTGATTACTTACATGTTTATTTATTTGTATATTGTGCCGCCTAAGGCCATGAAGGCAAGCGTGATATGTCTTTTGTTTACTATTGTATATCTAGTACTTTTCATATTGTTACCATATAATACTTATGTATACTGAATGAATGAGCACCTAGCATGCTTACAAGACTTCTGAGATTCCATGTGACTTTCCTTATACTTAGCCATTCAATCTTATCTTCTTCAACTTGAATCTCCCTATCTAGCAGTTTTCTTACTAATGCCTCATGCCAGATAACTTAATGCTTCTGATGCTCAGAATTCCCTCATGAACCCTCTGCTTATCCATATTTTTCACATCCTTCTACTCCTATGTGTGCCTTCTGAAGCCTTCACCAGCTATTTCAGCCTCAACGATAACTTTGTTCTTTGGTCTATGTGAAAGTTGTCAAATTCAAAATGGAGTCACTTGTGTCAAACTCTAGTATAACGGAGTTAGGGAAGGCAATGAAGGGAGGGCTCTCACACATGATTTGGCTGATAACAGGAACTATCACAAAAAAATTTTCCAAACCACAGCTTACTACATGTGTCACACAAGGACAGCTAGCAGCACAAGGACAGCTAGCCATTATATGAGAGCATCTGCCTGACACACCCAGTCCAAAACTGGAAGAGCCTAACTGTAACTCCAAGATTACAAGTCCTATCTAGCAACTGCTGACACTCATCAATCAGAACACACCAGCTATAAGACGCTGCCAGTGCCAATGAACTTCCCTTAAGAAAACAACTTTGAGGTTGGGCAGGTGGCTCAGGCCTGTAATCCCAGCACTTTGGGAGGCCGAGGCAGGCAGATCACAAGGTCAAGAGATCGAGACCATCCTGGCCAACATGGTGAAATCCCATCTCTACTAAAAATACAAAAAGTAGCTGGGCATGGTTGGCGTGTGCCTGTAGTCCCAGCTGCTCAGGAGGCTGAGGCAGCAGAATTGCTTGAACCTGGGAGGCAGAGGTTGCAGTGAGCCGAGATCGTGCCATTGCACTCCAGCCCAGGCAACAAAACCGAAACTTCATCTCAATAAATAAATAAATAAGAAAAAAATCCTAACTGCATGAAATTCACTGTAGTACATACTGTAGTACTATAATAATTTTGTAGCCATCTTCTGTTGCTATCGTGGTGAGCTCAAGTGTTGTGTATAGCCACTTGAAATGTCATGTGACACTAGTCATGTCTGTGTGGGCATTTTGTCTCCAGTAAATTGTATATCACAGTAAAAAGTGATCTCTGCTGGTTCTCAAAAATAGGTGCTACTCACAACACTTAGAGGCACTTCATATGGGTTCCATGGAGTTATTAAAGGTTTACAGTAAACATGCTGTACTTGCTGTACTATAAACCTTTAATAACACCATGCAACCCATATGAAGTGCCACCAGTGATGCTGTAAGTGCTCCCAAGAAGCAGAGAAAAGTCTTAATATTATGAGAAAAAGTTAAATTGTTTGACATGTACCGTAGATTGAGGTCTGCAGCTGCAGTTGCCTGCCATTTCAGACAGATGATTCATCTTGTAAACAGACGATATAAACTTATGGCATTGATAAGTACAGTACAGCATTGTAAATGTATTTTCTCTTCCTTATGATTTTTTTTTTTAATTTTTTAGAGACGGGGTCTTTGTTGCCCAGGCTGGAGTGCAGTGGCACAGTTATACCTCACTGCAGCCTCAAACTCCTGGGCTCCAGCGATCCTCCCACCTCAGCCTCCCAAGTAGCTGGGACTATTGACACATGCCACCATACCTGGCTAATTTTTTTTAATTTTTTGTAGAGATAAGGTCTCACTTTTTTGCCCAAGCTGGTCTCCAATTCCTAACCTCAAGTGATCCCCCTGCCTCAGGTTCCCAAAGTTCTGGGATTACAAGTGTGAGTCACCATGCCTGGCCCTTACGATTTTCTTAATAACATTTTCTTTTCTCTAGCTTTATTTTAAGAATACAGAATATAATATACATAACATACAAAATTGTGTTAATCAACTGTTTATGTTATCAGTGAGGCTTCTGGTCAACAATAGGCTATTAAGTTTTTGGGAAATCAAAAGTTACACATAGATTTTCAACTATGTGGGAGCTTGGTACCCCTAACCCCTGCATTGTTCAAGGGTCAGCTATATTTTTTTAATATATATTAACAGCCTTTATAGTTTTTTTGTTTTTGTTTTTGTTTGAGACAAATTTCACTCTTTTGCGCAGGCTGGAGTGCAGTGGTGTAATCTTGGCTCACTGCAACTCCCGCCCCCCAGGTTCAAGCGATTCTCATGTCAGCCTCTCAAGTAGCTGGAATTACAGACACCTGCCCCCCTGCCTGGCTAATTTTTGTATTTTTAAGCAGAGATGGGGTTTCACCATGTTGGCCAGGCTGGTCTCGAACTCCTGACCTCAAGTGATCCGCCCACCTCAGCCTCCCAAAGTGCTGGGATTACAGGTGTGAGCCACTGCTCCTGCCCATGCTTTATTTTAGGATTTCAGGATTGATCACATTTATGTTAAGTGGGGCTTTCAAGCAGTGTGAATGAAACTGCTCAGGAAGAAAGATAAGGCAGATGTGGTATCTGTACCCAGACAAACCTAGAGAAGATTGGGCATTAGCATTGTTTTAAGCAGATATGTAGTTCAGCTTAAACTTGATACACTGTGGTGTGCCCCCACCCCCAATCCCACCCAGGCCAATCTCCCAGGAATTGTAGAGAAGCCTTTCACTCCCGGAGATGAGGTAAAGGAGAGCCACTGGACATATCACTGACCCACAGGAACAGTGAGGCAGTGGGAAGGAAAGCTGCAGGGCACTGATGAGTATTAGCTTTACTGATAGCAGTTACTGGATAGATCATCAAGCCCCACAAATGTTTGATGGATTTTTCACATCTGCACTTTTGGAAGGACTTTTGTGTATTGGTATGTTCAGGTATATGTGACAGTTGTAAGGCTTCAGTAGACTATAAAGGACTTATTTATCATGAACAGCACCACAGAGAATTTCACCAATAAATTTTTGTGCAGTAACCAAGTTGTGAAAAGAGTATCTCTTTCATCGCTTCTAACAAAGCCTCTGTTGTTCCTAGACTGGTCTTAACATAGGATTTAATGTGGTAACAGAAGTGTCTATGCTTATCAGATATAGCTGCTTATCGGTTTGTAGCAGGTTAGCCATCTGTTTGGTTTCTGGTAAAAAAAGGAACATCTTTAACAGGGAGCAGCATCAGCTCTTTACATTTATAACAGGCATTTACTGTTTGTAATACTTATTACATTTAAAGGAAACCGATAGAGTGATAGTGTATCCAAATCCACCTATGTGTCTTCAGAACAGGAGAAATTGCTTACCAGTGTTCTTTCTGCATTTATTTTCCAGTTTATATAAAAGTAATATGAAAAGGGGAATAATAGTAAAGAATTTGAAAGCCATAAACTTACAAATGTTGTTCTGTAAGAATCACTGTTTTGTTATTGAGTACCTTTAGATTGTTCTGCAAGCTAAAACTTTTCAGGACTTTTGTGTGCTAGCTTTTTCTAAGTAGAAAGTGTTACATTTAATGACTACTTCATTGCGATACAATTCACGTAGGCTAATGTTCACCTTTTTAAAGTGAATGATTCCACATTTAAAGTTTTCGGTATATTCACCAAGTTGTGCATTGATCACCACTGTATAATTTCAGAACATTTTATCATTGTCTTAGTCTTAGCTTATGAAAGAGGAGGAACTGAGTGGCTGCAGGTGTGACTGAATCCAAGGTGCCTTAGTATATTTTCTGTTGCTATAACTGAATATCTGAGACTGGATAATTTGTTTGAAAAATAAATGTATTTGTTACAGTTTGAGATTCTGGGAAATCCCAGGTCAAGGAGCCACAACTGGTCGACTTCTGGTGAGGGCCACGTGTTGTGTCTGAACGTGGCAGAAGACATCTCATGCCAAGAGAGAGCCAACCTAGCTTTTATAACAGACCCGGTCTCGTGATAACCAACCCATTCCCACGATAACCCATCCATCCATTAACGCCTGAATGGATTAATTCATTCATGAGAGCAAAGCCCTCAAGACCCAGTTACCGCTTAAAGGCCCCACCTCTTAGTATTGTTACATTAAGGATTAAGTTTCAACCTGAGTTTTGGAGGGGACAAGCATTCAAACCATAGCAGTCATCCCAAAAAGAAACCCCATAGCCATTAGTAGTCACTCACCATTGCCCTCCACCTTCAGTCCCAGATAACCACTAATCCTTCTTTCCCTGTGAATTTTTTTCTGCTTTCTTTGACTTAGCATAATGTTTTTAGGGTTCATCCCTGTTACAACTTGTATCAGAATTTCATTCCTTTATAGGGCCGAGTAATATTTTACTGTACAAATATTCACATTTTGTTGATCCATTCGTCAGTGGATGGACATTTGGGTTGTTTCCACTTTTTGGCCATTATGAATAATGCTGCTGTGAAGATGTGCCTAGAAGTTTTTGACAACGTGTTCTCAGTTCTCTTGTGTATATACTTAGGAGTGGCATTGCTGGTCATGTGGTAATTCTATGTTTAATTTTTGAGGAACTCCCAAGCTGTTTGTCAATGTGGCTTTACCATTTTACATTCCTACCAGCCAGTGTATGAGAGTGCCGGTTTTTCTGCCTTCTTACCAGCACTTTTTACTGTCCATCTTTTTTTGTTTGTTTGTTTTTGTTTTTTTGAGACGGAGTCTCGCTCTGTCGCCCAGGCTGGAGTACAGTGGCGCGATCTCGGCTCACTGCAAGCTCTGCCTCCCGGGTTCATGCCATTCTCCTGCCTCAGCCTCCCGGGTGGCTGGGACTACAGGCGCCCGCCACCACGCCCGGCTAATTTTTTGTATCTTTAGTAGAGACGGGGCTCCACCGTGTTAGCCAGGATGGTCTCGATCTCTTGAACTCGTGATCCGCCCACCTCGGCCTCCCAAAGTGCTGGGATTACAGGCGTGAGCCACCGTGCCCGGCCGTCCATCTTTTTTATTATAGCCTTCCAAGTATATATGAAGTGATACCTCATTGTGCATTCAATAGGGATTTCCCTAATGATTAATGATTTTAAGTAGTGCTCATAGGCCATTTGTAGATCTTCTTTGGAGAAATGTCCATTAAGATCCATTGTGCCCACTTCTTAATTGCATTGTCTCTTTATTGTTGAGTTGTAAGAATTTCTTATGTATTCTGGATATAAGGCCCTTATAAAATATATGATTTTTACAGATTTATGCTTTCTTTTCTTTTAAGAGTTGTATCGTTTTCACTCTTATTTAGGTCCCTGATTTGTTTTAAGTTGATTTTGTATATGGTGTAATGTAGGGGTCCAGTTTCATATATTTGATTGGAGACAGCTAGTTCTCCCATCAGCATTTGTTGAGAAGATTATTCTTTCTCTATCAAGTTGTATTGGCATACTGGTCAAAAATCAACTAACAATGAATGTAATGGCTTATTTCTGGACTCTTAGTTTTACTCCATTGATGTAGATCTGTCTGCCATTGTACTAGTACCACTCTGACTGTCTTGAATACTGTATCTTCATAGTTAGCTATGAAACTGGGAAATGTTCTTTTTCAAGACTGGTTTGGCTATTCTTTGCCTCTTGAGTTTTCATATGAATTTTAAGATCAGCTTATCCTTTTTTTGTTTTTTTGAGATGGAGTCTTGCCCTGTCGCCTAGGCTGGAGTGCAATGGCATGATCTCAGCTCACTGCAACCTCCGCCTCCCAGGTTCAAGCGATTCCCCTGCCTCAGCCTCCCAAATAGCTGGGATTATAGGCACACGACACCATGCCCAGCTGATTTTTTTTCCTTATTATTTTATTTATTTATTTATTTATTTTTATACTTTAAGCTGTAGGGTACATGTGCACAACGTGCAGATTTGTTACATATGTATACATGTGCCATGTTGGTGTGCTGCACCCATTAACTCGTCATTTAGCATTAGGTATATCTACTAATGCTATCCCTCCCCCCTCCCCCCACCCCACGACAGGCCCCGGTGTATGATGTTCCCCACCCTGTGTCCAAGTGTTCTCATTGTTCAATTCCCACCTATGAGTGAGAACATGCAGTGTTTGGTTTTCTGTCCTTGCAATAGTTTGCTCAGAATGATGATTTCCAGCTTCATCCATGTCCCTACAAAGGACATGAACTCATCCTTTTTTATGACTGCATAGTATTCCATGGTGTATATGTGCCACATTTTCTTAATCCAGTCTATCATTGATGGACATTTGGGTTGGTTCCAGGTCTTTGCTATTGTGAATAGTGCCACAATAAACATACATGTGCATGTGTCTTTATAGCAGCATGATTTATAATCCTTTGGGTATATACCCAGTAATGGGATGGCTGGCTCAAATGGTATTTCTAGTTCTAGATCCTTGAGGAATCGCCACACTGTCTTCCACAATGGTTGAACTAGTTTACAGTCCCACCAACAGTGTAAAAGTGTTCCTATTTCTCCACATCCTCTCCAGCACCTGTTGTTTCCTGACTTTTTAATGATCGCCATCTAACTGGTGTGAGATGGTATCTCATTGTGGTTTTGATTTGCATTTCTCTGATGGCCAGTGACGATGAGCATTTTTTCATGTGTCTGTTGGCTGCATAAATGTCTTCTTTTGAGAAGTGTCTGTTCATATCCTTCACCCACTTTTTGATGGGGTTGTTTGATTTTTTCTCATAAATTTGTTTAAGTTATTTGTAGATATTAGCCCTTTGTCAGATGGGTAGATTGTAAAAATTTTCTCCCATTCTGTAGGTTGCCTGTTCACTCTGATGGTAGTTTCTTTTGCTGTGCAGAAGCTCTTTAGTTTAATTAGATCCCATTTGTCAATTTTGGCTTTTGTTGCCATTGCTTTTGGTGTTTTAGTCATGAAGTCCTTGCCCATGCCAATGTCCTGAATGATATTGCCTAGGCTTTCTTCTAGGGTTTTCATGGTTTTAGATCTAACATTTAAGTCTTTAATCCATCTTGAATTAATTTTTGTGTAAGGTGTAAGGAAGGGATCCAGTTTCAGCTTTCTACATATGGCTAGCCAGTTTTCCCAGCACCATTTATTAAATAGGGAATCCTTTCCCCATTTCTTGTTTTCGTCAGGTTTGTCAAAGATCAGATGGTTGTAGACATGTGGCATTATTTCTGAGGGCTCTGTTCTGTTCCATTGATCTATATCTCTGTTTTGGTACCAGTACCATGCTGTTTTGGTTACTGTAGCCCTGTAGTATAGTTTGAAGTCAGGTAGCGTGATGCCTCCAGCTTTGTTCTTTTGCATGCCCAGCTAATTTTTTGTATCTTTAGTAGAGATGGGTTTTCACCATATTGGCCAGGCTGGTCTCAAACTCCTGACCTTGTGATCCACTCGCCCCAGCCTCCCAAAGTGCTGGGATTACAGGCATAAGCCATTGCACCCGGCCCAGTTTATCCACTTCTAAGCTAGCTGAGATTCTTATATGTATTGCATTGAATCAATTTGGAGAGTATTGCCATCTATAAAATACTATTTCTTCTGATGTATGAACATGGGATATCTTTCCATTAATTTGGATCTTCTTTAATTTCTTAAAATATTTTGTAGCTCTTTGCATACAAGTTTTGCATTTATTTATTTTATTTTTTTGAAACAGAGTCTCACTCTGTCACCCAAGCTGGAGTGCAATGGCACAAACATGGCTCACTGCAACCTCACCCTGCTAGGCTCAAGTGATCCTCTGCCTCAGCCTCCTGAGCAGCTGGGACCACAAGTGTGTGCCACGCCTGGCTAACTTTTCTTATTTTTTATTTTATTTTGTTTTTCTGAGATGGAGTCCCACTCTGTCGCCCAGGGTAGGGTGCAGTGGTGTGATCTCAGCTCACTGCAACCTCTGCCTTCTGGGTTCAAGTGATTCTCCTGCCTCAGCCTCCCAAATAGCTGGGATTACAGGTGCCCACCACCATGCCTGGCAAATTATTTTGTATTTTTAGTAGATACAGGGCTTCACCATGTTGGCCAGGCTGGTTTTGAACTCCTGATTCAAGTGATCTGCCCACCTCGGCCTCCCACAGTGCTAAGATTACAGGCATGAGGCACCATGCCCAGACAAACTTTTTTTATTTTTACTTTTTGTAGAGACAGGGTCTAATTATGTTGCCCAGGCTGGTCTCAAACTCCTGGGCTGAAACCATCCTCTCACTTCAGCCTCCCAAAGTGCTGGGATTATAGGCTTGAGCCACTGTGCCTGGCCTATTCCTGACTATTTTGTTCTTTTTTATGCTATTGTATATGGAATTGTTCTCTTAATTTTATTTTTGGATTGTTCTTTATTAGTGTATGGAAATACAATTGATCTTTATATGTTGATTTTATGTCCTGCAACCTTCTGAATTCATGTATTGGCTTTAATGATTTTTTTTTCTGTGTGTGTGTGTATTCCTTAGAATTTTCTACAAATAAAATCATGTCACCTGTAAATAGAAGAGTTGTATTAATTTTAGATGGTTTATCTAAGGAAGGAAAGAATGGTCCTCAAATTGAGAGATAGACTCTAAGAAAGAAGAAAGCAGATACTTTGTAACTATTACTTTAAATTCAGCCTTAGAACTTTTAATTTGTACAGCTCCATAAGGAGAGCCTTAAATAAAATGTGTTTAATCATTTATTAGTTATATTTTTATTTTTCTTGGCAGAAGGAAAAATTAAGGCATAAAGGTTTTGTATTTTTAAATCATGACTCAGCCATGAGTCAGGAACTGCTTATGTTCAAATCCTACCTCCTTCATTTATTAGCTAACCTTAACTTCTTTGTACTTAATTTTCTTACCTCTAAAATGAGAATGATACTAGTACCTAATTTTAAGATTGTTATGAAGATTAAATGATTTCATATATGATTCTTAGTATCTGGCACACAGTAAGTGCTGTATAAATGTGAGCTGTTCTTGGTATTAGTTGAGCAGCAACCAGACCAAGTATCTTTTTGTTGCCTTTCTTAGTGACTATGCCAACTTGGAGAAAACCTGGCAGAGCTTATTGTGATGGTAGCTATGACTCATTACTTAATGGCACTCCCCTCTCCTTCTAGTATCAGTAGAGATCACCAGGGTCAAGGAACAGGAGTGTCTGGAGTTGCCAAATTAGAGTCTCAATGTAATGGCCAGAACACATATTGCTTGTTGTCAATCATTAAACACCAGAAATATCAAATTCCTGTTTTCTTTTCTTTTCTTTTTTTTTTTTTTGAGATGGAGTTTTGCTCTTATTGCTCACACTGGAGTGCAATGGCTCTATCTCAGCTCACTGCAACCTCCGCCTCCCAGGTTCGAGCGATTCTCTTGCCCCAGCCTCCCTAGTAGCTAGGATTACAGGCACCCGCCACCATGCCCAGCTAATTTTTTGTATTTTTAGTAGAGATGGGGTTTCACTACATTGGCCAGGCTGGTCTTGAGCTCCTGACCTCAGACGATCCACCCACCTCAGCCTCCCAAAGTGCTTGGATTGCAGGCATGAGCCACTGCGCCTGGCTTGAACCACCGTGCCTGGCTTCCTGATTTCTGTTTTAATTACTAAAAATACAAATTGTCTTGAGGAACTTTTGGGTTTGTCATTAAAACCCATTCTTTTCATCCAGAAGAGCCCCAACACATGCTGACTGTGCCATGAATTAATAAGGGGGATCCTAAGGGTAAGAATTATAAGAGAAATTACTGTTGTAAATATGCTTCTCATCATTCTCTGAGCATCAGTAGTTCTGTGGTGTAGGATAAGAAATGGGGTCAGCATGAGAATTCTTCAGCAGCTAGAAATACTGAAAACTACCTTTTCAACTGAGAAAAATTCCCATAATCGTGCCCTTTATTTGCAAGCATAAAGCTGTATAAAGGATAAAGCATGGATCTCACTGTTCTTAGATGTTATTTCTTGGCTGAATAAAATTCATGTGACCTTCTGCCCCCTTAGTGAAGCCAGCTGGACTTCCTGGGTTGAGTGTGGACTTGGAGAACTTTTCTGTCTTACAAGAGGTTTGTAAAATGCACCAATCAGTGCTCTGTAAAAACGCACCAATCAGCGCTCTGTAGCTAGCTAGTGGTTTGTAAAATGCACCAATCAGCACTCTGTAAAATGCACCAATCAGCACTCTGTAGCTAGCTAGAGGTTTGTAAAATGCACCAATCAGTGCTCTGTAAAATGGACCAATCAGCACTCTGTAAAATGGGCCAATCAGCAGGACATGGGCGGGGACAAATAAGGGAATAAAAGCTGGCCACTCCCCCATCCCCTCCCCCAAAGCCAGCAGCGGCAACCTGCTTGGGTCCTCATACAGGCTGTAGAAACTTTGTTCTTTCTGCTCACTCTTTGGGTGCCACCTTTAAGAGCTGTAACACTGGCCAGGCGCGGTGGCTTACGCCTGTAATCCCAGCACTTTGGGAGGCCGAGGCGGGCAGATCACAAGGTCAGGAGATCAAGAACATCCTAGCTAACACGGTGAAACCCCATCTCTACTAAAAAACACAAAAAGTTAGCCGGGCATGGTGGCAGGCGCCTGTAGTCCTAGCTACTGGGGAGGCTAAGGCAGGAGAATGGCGTGAACCCGGGAGGCAGAGCTTGCAGTGAGCTGAGATCATGCCACTGCACTCCAGCCTGGGCAACAGAGTGAGACTCCGTCTCAAAAAAAAAAAAAAAAGCTGTAACACTGTGTAACACTGACCACGAAGGTCCACGGCAAGCCAGCGAGACCATGAACCCACCGGAAGGAACAAACTCTAGACACATTAGGAACCCTTGTCCCTGGCAAAGTGTGAACACAATGACCCTGAGGAGAAAGAGCCACCTGTGCGTCAGCCCATGCCCTCCTATGACACTGAGACATCCAGCAGTGACAATGAGGTGGGTGTGGAAGGGCCAGACCCTAAGCATGGCTGGGCGTCCGAGGGTCTCTCCTCACCGAGATGTTTACTGACTTTCAAGGGGGAAAATACTTACCTGTTCACTGACTAAACAAAAGTGACTTGAGCAAATTTCCAACCAAGACAAAGTTAGCTTTTAAAAAATGTTTTATTTGAACTACTTATAGAAGTTACAAAAATAGTACAATGAGTGTCCATATGTCCCTCTCCATCCTTCCCCAGTGTTCACATTTTACATAACTATCCCTTGTCAGTTTTTGAGGTAACCACAAACCAAGTGAGAAAGTCTCCAAGCAGTTTTGTCCAACCCTTTGTGTGCATCTGTTGAAAAAGCATGTTCAACTGTCTTGAAAGGCAAGCCACAGTCCGCCTTGTGGCGATTGAGATCTTGAATGACTTTCCTCCTAAGAGTCAGAGCCCATGCTCCTCCCTTCCAGTCCCAGACCCACGTGCCCGTGGGCATGTTTCAGGTACTCCAGTCTGTCCTGTGTGCTTCCACATTGGAAATACTAGCCTCATCCATTATGACCATTTGTGAAATTTGCCTGGTCTTTGAAATGCGTCATGAATTCTTTGGCCCAGGGGCTACTAGTTAGCACAGAATATCTTAAAAATAAAGCAAATCTATCTCTAACTGTTTTGGAGAAGTAAGAAAGTAATTCACAAGCTTTAATAGTGCTCCCTTCTGCAAGAGATCTTAGTGATACTGATGAGACTCAACTTTGAGGCAGCCTTAGAGACTTTAGAGTGCACAGGAGACTTCTCCCTCCAAATAAATCTTCATACTTTTCTAAGGTGGATAAGAGCCAAGTGTCATCGTGGGGTGAGGTGAATACATATTTATTTGTAGTTTCTGCCAACTCTTTCCATTTTCTTCCATAATTTTTTTTAAGTTTTGTTTGAGATAATTGTAGATTCACCTGCAGGTACAAAAACTCTTACAGAGAAATCCCATGTACCCTTTACCCAGTCTTCAGCAATGGTAATATCACCAAAACTATAGTACATTACAACCAGAATGTTGACATTGGCATAGTCAAGATACTGAAAAATTCAGTCACCACATGGATCACTCCTGTTGCTCTTTTATAGCCACAGCCACTTCCCTCCCATCTCCACCCCTTCTTTACCCCTGGAAACCACTAATCCTTTCTTCATTTCCATAATTTTGTCAGTTGAAGAATGACAAAGTGGAATCATACAACATGTAACCTTTGGAATTAATTTTTTCACTTGGCGTAATTCTCAGGAGCTTCATCCAGGTTGTTGTGTGTGTCAGTAGTTTGCTTTGTTCTTTTTTATTGCAAAGTAGTATTCCATGATGTGAGGTTGCCACAGTTTGCTTAACCCTCACCTATTGAAAGACATCTGAGGCCAGGCGTGGTGGCTCATGCCTGTAATCCCAGCATGTTGGGAGGCCAAGGCAGATGGATTATGAGGTCAGGAGATCGAGACCATCCTGGCTAACACAGTGAAACCCAGTCTCTACTAAAAATACAAAAATTAGCTGGGCATGGTGGCACGTGCCTATAGTCCCAGCTACTCAGGAGGCTGAGGCAGGAGAATCATTTGAATCGGGAGGCAGAGGTTGCAGTGAGCCGAGATTGCACCACTGCACTCCAGTCTGGGCAACAGAGCAAGACTCCGTCTCAATAACGAAAAAAAAAAGACACCTGGATTGTTTCCAGCTTTTGACTATTAGGAATAGGCCAGGAGCGGTAGCTCATGTCTGTAATCCCAGAACTTTGGGAGGCCGAGGCAGATGGATCACGCGGTCAGGAGATCTAGACCATCCTGGCCAACATGGTGAAACCCCGTCTCTACTAAAAATACAAAAATTAGCTGGGTGTGGTGGTGCGCACCTGTAGTCCCAGCTACTCGGGAAGCTGAGGCAGGAGAATCGCTTGAACCTGGGAGGCAGAGGTTGCAGTGAGCCGAGATTGCAGCACTGCACTCCAGTCTGGGCAACAGAGCAAGACTCCATCTCAATAAAAAAAAAAGAAAAAAACACATCTGGATTGTTTCCAGCTTTTGACTATTAGGAATAGGCCAGGCGCGGTAGCTCACGCCTGTAATCCCAGCACTTTGGGAGGCCAAGGCAGGTGGATCGCGGGGTCAGGAGATCTAGACCATCCTGGCCAACATGGTGAAACCCCGTCTCTACTAAAAATACAAAAATTAGCTGGGTGTGGTGGTACACACCTGTAGTCCCAGCTACTCGGGAAGCTGACACAGGAGAATTGCTTGAACCTGGGAGGCGGAGGTTGCAGTGAGCCAAGAATGCACCACTGCACTCCAGCCTGGGCAACAGAGCAAGACGCCAGCTGAAAAAAAAAAAAAAAGACACGGATGCCAGGCTCAGTGGCTCATGCCTATAATGAAAGTACTTTGGGAGGCCAAAGCAGGAGGATCACTTGAGCCTAGGTTCAAGACCCAGTTTGAACTGGGCAACAGGGAGACTCCATCTCTACCAAAAAATTGTTTTAAATTAGCCAGGCATGGTGGCACAAGCCTGTTGTCCCAGCTACTTGGAAGGCTGAAGTGGGAGGATTATCTGAGCCCAGGAAGTTGAGATTGCAGTGCACCATGATCCCACCGCTACACTCCAGCCTGGGCAACAGAGCAAGACCTTTCTCCAAAAAAAAAAAAAAAAAAAAAAAAAAAGACTGGGAAGAGCAAAAGCTGAGTGGATTAGGGATGGCCTGATCCCCACATCTCAGGAGCTCCCTGCAGAAAGAAACATGTGATCACATCTGTGCACAACTTAATCCTTCAAGTCTGGAATGTTACCTTATCTGGTAAAAGGGACATCGCAGTGCTGAGACCAGCTCAGTCACGGAGACCTAACCCAGCGGCGCTAGAGGAATTAAAGACACACACACAGAAATATAGAGGTGTGGAGTGGGAAATCGGGGATCTCACAGCCTTCAGAGCTGAGAGTCTTGAACAGAGATTTTACCCATGCATTTATTAACAACAAGCCAGTGATAAGCATTGTTTCTATAGATTATAGATTAACTAAAAGTATTCCTTACGGGAAATAAAGGAATGGGCTGAAATAAAGGGATGGGTTCTGGCTAGTTATCTGCAGCAGCAGCATGTCCTTAAGGTACAGATCACTCATGCTATTGTTTGTGGTTTAAGAACGCCTTTAAGCGGTTTTCTGCCCTGGGTGGTCCAGGTGTTCCTTGCCCTCATTCCAGTAAACCCACAACCTTCCAGCGTGGGCATCATGGCCATAACGAACATGTCACAGTGCTGCAGAGATTTTGTTTATGGCCAGTTTTGGGGCCAGTTTATGGCCACATTTTGGGGGCCTGTTCCCAACATTGCAGTTGTGATTAAGTTAAGGATTTTGAGATGGGGAGGTTAGCCTGGGTTATCCAGGTGGACCCAAGGTAATCACTAAGTTTTTTTTTTTTTGAGATGGAGTCTCGCTCTGTCACCCAGGCTGGAGTGCAGTGGCGCAATCTCGGCTCACTGCAAGCTCCGCCTCCTGGGTTCACGCCATTCTCCTGCCTCAGCCTTCTGAGTAGCTGGGACTACAGGTGCCCGCCACTAGGCCGGCTAATTTTTTGTATTTTTAGTAGAGATGGGGTTTCACCGTGTTAGCCAGGATGGTCTCGATCTCCTGACCTCATGATCCACCCATCTAGGCCTCCCAAAGTGCTGGGATTACAGGCATGAGCCACCACGCCTAGCCTGTAATCACAAAGATCTTTATAAAAGAAGGCAGGAGATCACAGTGAATAGTAGGAGATGTGACAATGATGGAAGCAAACATTGTAGTGATGTAGGGAAGAAGTCACAAACCGAGGAATGCAGGTAGCCACTAGAAACTGAAAAAGCAAGAAAATCGATTCTCCCCTCATAGCTCCTGGGGCGCCGGCCCCGCCAACACCTGGACTTTAGCCAAATGAAACTGATTGCAGACTTCTGACCTCCAGAACTCTAAGAACAAATTTGTGTTGTTTTAAACCACTGAGTTTGTGTAGTTTGTTGCAACAGCAATCGGACGTTAATACCCTATCTTTGAGGAGGAACAGAACTGAACAAAGCTTCACCAAACTGAAAGGAAGCTCAGGGCCCTGTGCGGGCGTTTGAGTGAGAGCGCTTGGAGACTCCGCGCCTCCTCCCTCAAACATGGTCCCTCAGCGTAGATGGCACCACACGGCACGCAGTGGCGGGGGTTGGCAGGGAGGGAATCTCCCCCCTTTGGCAGGAATTAATTGGGCTTCTTAGATGCGTAAGGAACAGTCACACTCAGGTGATGGTACATCAGAGTACATGTGGATGGGAGGAGGCATCAGAAGTTCATTCAAGGCCGAGCACAGTGGCTCACGCCTGTAATCCCAACACTTTGGGAGGCTGAGGCGAGTGGATCAGTTGAGGTCAGGAGTTTGAGGCCAGCCTGGCCAACGAGGTGAAACTCCATCTCTGCTAAAAATACAAAAATTAGCTGGACGTGGTGGCACATGCCTGTAATCCCAGCTACTCGGGAGGCTGAGGCAGGAGAATCACTTGAACCTGGGAGGTAGAGGTTGCAGTGAGCTGAGATCATGCCATTGCACTCCAGCTTGGGCAATAAAGTGAGACTCAGTCTCAAAAAAAAAAAAATTCATTCAATCAAATAACTCAGCAGCCACTCAGATTAGTACTTTGTGAAGATATTCAGGAGACATTGCAGGAAACATGAACCATCGTTGTTTGACCCATGACCTGCCCTTTATGGGAGAACCTGTACTTGCCATAAATAGAACCTATATTTTCCAAGAGTTCTAGGAGATGGGATTGGGTCCATTTTCTGGCTTCCCAGGCAGAGCACTCTTATGGGGCAGTGGTTTATCCCCAAGCAACCCCTCAGAATCACTTGACACAGGGCTGCCTTTGAATCCAGCTCAGTCCCCAGCCAGGGCAGCAGGACTGGTTTTGTCGAATGTCCAGGGCAGGAGTGAGCCATTTGGGCAGGCATTCCTTGGAAGAGCACATGGTCGGAGTGTGCCTTGAGAGCCTCACGACACCACTCCAGAACAAGGAGTAAGAATGGAATTGGAACATAGGAAGAGACAGATGGCAGAAGTGTTTACCCTCCCTTTATTCGTTAAATGCAGTGTCTGGTGTCACTCATATACTACCCACTGTTCCTGTGCTCTACCTGAAGGCAAGATCTTTAAAAGGCTGAATGAATGACCTTGGCCCCTCAGCTTCATGTGCTTCCTGGGGGTGCACCAGAGCAGGGTTGCCCACGACTGGCAGCCCAGCATCTGTGAGCCCTGCTTGCTGACCATTCCAAGGGAGGGAAATGTTTCCATTGTCTCTTTTATTGCTCCACTCACGACATCCCATCTCAAGCTGCTTTTGGTTTGCTTGGGATATTTTCTCCAGGTGAAGTTCAGGCCCTCAGTTCCCTCTCACAGTTCCTCAACTGTGCTTTGTTTACCTGATGGTTCTTCTTCCTCCTTCAAACCTTAGTCATCACAGCAACAAATAAAGCAAAAGTAGCAGGGATTTTCTGGTGAGCCCAGTGTGCTGGGGCACCCCCATAAATTAGAGCTAATTTTACACTGGCCTGTCTGGGTCCCCGCAAACCTTTCAGTTTGGCCTCCAGTTACTCTCCTCAGAGGCCAGAGGGAGCCCTTTGGCCTTCAATGTCCCATGCTGCAGGGAATTTTGACTCCTGCAGGGAATCCCAGTGGCCACCTGGATGTGCTGGATGGGATGACCCCAGCTCCAGCTGCCTTGGCTGTGGAGAATCAGAGTTCAAACCACTTAGAGTCTGCGGTTACTACTTCCAGCAGGCCAAGATGGACACCATAGCCCTGGTATAAACTTCTAGTCTTATACAGCTCCACAAGGCACTGATACCTTCTTTAATAAATGTTGGGCCGGGCGTGGTGGTTCACGCCCATAATCCCAGCACTTTGGGAGACTGAGGCAGGCAGATCACGAGGTCAGGAGTTCGAGACCAGCCTGATCAACATGGCGAAACCCCCTCTCTACTAAAAATACAAAAATTAGCTGGTCGTGTTGGCAGGCACCTGTAATCCCAGCTACTCAGGAGGCTGAGGCAGGAGAATCGCTTGAACCCGGGAGGCGGAGGTTGCAGTGAGCCGAGATCACACCACTGCACTCCAGCCTGGGCAACAAGAGTGAGACTCCATCTCAAAAAAATAAATAAATAAATAAAAATAAATGTTTAATACTGCCACCTTCAAACTGACCACAAGAAGGTGCTGTTCCTCCAATCATGCACAGAAAGGTCTCTGGTTTCTTAGAAAACCCAGTGACACAGCTGAAACTGAGCTGAGACCTACAAATGGGGATTTACTAAAATCTGAGAAAAGGAAAGGAAAATAAATCTTGAGACTTTCACAACCCAGTTAATCTGGTGTATAGGTCAGTTTTCTCACCGTCAGCTCACACCTGACCACAAGGAGGCCTCTGGTCCTAGTTCCAGGGCTGTGCTCTCAGAAGGGACCATCTTTTTTTTTTTTTTTCAGATGGAGTCTCGCTCTCGCCCAGGCTGGAGTGCAGTGGCGCAATCTTGGTTCAGTGCAAGCTCCGCCTCCTGGGTTCACGCCATTCTCCTGCCTCAGCCTCCCGAGTAGCTGGGACTACAGGCGCCCGCCACCACGCCCGGCTAATTTTTTGTATTTTTAGTAGAGATGGGGGTTTCACCGTGTTAGCCAGGATGGTCTCGACCTCCTGACCTTGTGATCCGCCTGCCTTGGCCTCCCAAAGTGCTGGGATTATAGGAGTGAGCCACCACGCCCGGCCCAGAGGGGACCATCTTTACCCTCACCACCAAGGAACTTCTTGGGGGGACACCTCTACCCCTAATGTCTAGCCCCAAGAAAGGGGGGAAAAGAGAGGTTGACACATCCCTTCTCCAGTTTACTATTAGGAAGAACGTCCTCCCAAGACTAAAAGACCCAGCTCACTCTCAGTAACTAACAGCAGCAGCCATGCTCCCTAAAGATTCTGCCTCACCTGGCAAGGCCTCACTCCTCTAGTGTGGTCTCCAAAGTCCCAGAATATTGCTGGGATATTCTGGAATATTCCTGTCAGAGCATATGTAACTGGACAGGCACCAACTCTCACAAACTCCCTTTGAAGCCCAGTACTCAGTTCTCATCTTCCCATCTCCCTTCTCAAAAAGGTTTCCTGTCTGAGGATCACAATCTTCCCGGGGTCAGCCCCGAACACATTTCCCTGCCTCAGCATTTCTCATGGTGGGTAAGGAGGACCGCAGATCGTTCAGCCTGGCGAGCCACACCACTCTGAGCAAATAGGGTTTTCAAGAGGTAAGCAGGTGTGCCAGTGAGAAATGTTTATTACTAGAATCTGGCCTGGGGTGACAGAGGTACACATGATAGTCAGAATCATATTGTCCAGGGATAACGAGTCTATCAGGCTCTCTACCATATTGCTATCAGATCTGAGTGAAGATGTTTGATAATATTATATGTTTGCCAAGATGGGAATGACCACCAGAACTAAGAAAGGAGGTCTCCTCAAGAATCCTCTTTTGGATTTCCTTCTCCTACTGAAAACAAAGTGCAAATGAGCTCCCAAAGTCCTCTTATTAGGCAGGTGAAGTGGCTCATGTTTGTAATCCCAGTGCTTCGGGATGCCAGGGTGAGAGGACTGCTTGAAGCCTGAAGTTCAAGACCAACCTGGGCAATAGAGTGAGACTCCATTTCTACAAATAAAATAAAAAATTAGCCAGGCATGATGGTGCACACCTATAGTCTCAGCTACTTGGGAGGCTGAGGTGGGAGGATCACTTGAGCCCAGGAGTCTGAGGCTGCAGTGAGCAATGATCACATCACTGCACTCCAGCCTAGGTGACAGGGCGAGACCCTATCTCTAAAAGTAAATAAAATAAAAATAAAGCAGCCACAAAAAAAGAATAAAACCATGTCCTTTGCAACAATATTGGTGGAGCTGGAGGCCATCATCCTAAGTAAATCAACTCAAACAAAATCAAATACTGCATGTGTTCTTACTTATACTTAGTGAGCTTAAACTTACAAGGGAGCTAAAGTGTAAGTAGAAACTTATAAGTGAGCTAAACAACGGGTACACATGGACATAAAGATGGGAATAATAGACACTGGGACTCCAAAAGCAGGGAAAGTGGGCGGGGATCAAGGGCTGAAAAATCACTTATCAGGTCCACTGTTCACTATTTGGGTAATGGGTTTACTAGAAGACCAGTCTCCACCAGTACACAATGTACCTGTGCAACAAACATGCACATGATCCCCTCAGTTGAAAATAAAATAAAATTTAAATAAAGTCTGGGCATGGTGGCTCATGACTGTAATCCCAGCACTTTGGGAGGCTGAGGTGGGTGGATCACCTGAGGTCAGGAGTTCGAGGCCAGCCTGGCTAACATAGTGAAATCCCATCTCTACTAAAAATACAAAAATTAGCCAGGAGTGGTGGCAGGCACCTGTAGTCCCAGCTACTCCAGAGGCTGAGGCAGGAGAATCGCTTGAGCCCAGGAGGCAGAGGTTGCAATGAGCCAAAATTGTGCCACTGCACTCCAGCCTGGGTGACAGAGCAGTCCACCTCAAAAAATAAAATAAAATAAAAAATTTAAAAAAGTTTAGGTCCTCCTATTTATAATGTATACAAGCAGTACCACCCAGTATATGCCTCTTGTGACTTCTCCAATAAAATCCTTTATTTGTACAATATTTGCCAGTTCTTCTAGATAAAAAAATGATTCTTTATAATTTGCTTTTTGTCTTATTTAAAGAGCCAATCTGATGTATGAAATATAATGAGAATTCTAATTCATTTTTTTCTGACCTGCCAGGATAGTTCACAAAAATTCATGCACTATTGGGTTTCATTTCACTTTTAAGCCATTTCTAGATGTTTATTTTCAACAACAAACAGAAGAGATAGCAAGTGGTGACTTCACTTTGTCCTAACGTATCAGGTATCTTCAGGAGGAACTCAGTCATAGGTGCTGGGGTTACGGAGAACAATGTATACGACAGGATCTCCTTGAGCTCTAGGGGACCAAAGTCACCATTATCCATAGAATCAGTATAATTTCTGCAGTTAGGGCCGGGCGCGGTGGCTCACGCCTGTAATCCCAGCACTTTGGGAGGCGGAGGCGGGCGGATCACGGGGTCAGGAGATGGAGACCATCCTGGCTAACACGGTGAAACCTCGTCTCAACTAAAAAATACAAAAAAATAAATAAATAAATTAGCCGGGAGCGGTGGCTGGCGCCTGTGGTCCCAGCTACTCGGGAGGCTGAGGCAAGAGAATAGCGGGAACCGGGGAGGCGGAGCCTGCAGTGAGTGGAGATAGCGCCACTGCAGTCCGGTCTGGGCCAAAGAGCGAGACTCGTCTCAAAAAAAAAAAAAAAAATCTGCAGTTAGTTAAAACACTTGGTTACAAGTAGGAGAACAGCATAAAATCAACTTAAAGTCAAAGAGGGAAATTTGTTATCAGCATTTAAAGGTGACTCACAGAACCAGAGGCAGAGATGCAGCCAGGGCTCAGTAATGGACTGGAAGCAAAGACTCTGCTGCATTGGGAATCTTTCTCCTTCAGGGACTCTTCATGTGTGCTTTGCTCTTCTTCCTTTCTTAGCAGGCTGGATTTCTGTGTTCCCCAGGCAATGTAGCAAAATGCGTATACTACCAAATCATGAGTTTACATCTGTCCTGTTTACGAGTCAGCCAGAGTGAGGCTGGAAAGAGGGAGTGGGAGACCGAGAACCAGCCCAGTAGGTCAGGTTCCCTACAGCTGGCATTTTTCTTTTTTTCTTTCTTTCTTTTTTTTTTTTTTTTTTTGAGATGGAGTCTTGCTCTTTTTGCCCAGGCTGGAGTGCAATGGCGTGATCTCAGCTCACCACAGCCTCTGCCTCCTGGGTTCAAGCGATTCTCCTGCCTCAGCCTCCCAAGTAGCTGGGATTACAGGCATGTGCCACCATGCCTGGCTAATTTTGTATTTTTAGTAGAGACGGGGTTTCTCCATGTAGGTCAGGCTGGTCTTGACCTACTGACCTCAGGTGATCTGCCCACCTCAGCCTCCCAAAGTGCTGGGATTACAGGCGTGAGCCACCGCGCCCGGCTACAGTTGGCATTTTTGAGATCATCTAGTCTAGTAGTTTCTCTCTCTCTCTGTCATCCTCTAACTCTCTTTCACTCTGTTTCTCAGTTTAATGTTAGACATACTCTTACAGTCAAATATTCATGTAATCCATAAGTATATGGAGGAAAACACGAGAGGCCTCTCATAACCTCACTTCCCTCTTCACAGGGGTAGCCACTGTTAACAAGTATATACACTTCCAGTTCCTTTTCTGTGCATCCATATCAATATAAGTACATGTATATATCAGTTTTCTTTATTTCACTTAAAGTGGCTTGTATTATATGCATTGATACTTGCCTTTTTTACTAAATATGAATTGAAGATCTTTCCATGTCAGTATATACAAATCTACTTCATTCTCTCTATAAATCATAATGAATATGTCCTCAATTATGTAACCAGTTTGTGTTGATGAGTAATTAGGTTGATTCCACTTTATGATGGTTAATTTATGTGTCAACTTGGCTCAACTCTGGTCCCCAGGGGTTTGGTCAAACACCAGTCTACACGTTGCTGTGAAGGTATTTTTTTTGCTGTGATTAACATTTAATGATTGCTTCTCTGAAAAACAAACCTAGAGCTTCATCCTCAGAGTAGCTGAATTACAACACAAATGGGACAACACAAGTTAGGACCTGGAGGGAACATGATTAGAAAACTGGTGATAAGGAGGTCTGGGGAACAAGTGAATGGACCCACGTCTCCGAATAAGTGAAAAACGAAAACATTTGTATTCCATGAGGAATACTCATCAAAGGGTGACCTCAGGAGAGGAGGATTTTAATAATCAAGTGGATAGGTTGATTTTTGTGTGGATACTAGTCAGCCTTTTTCCACAACCCAAAGTTGTGCATGGCAGTGGTGAAGGTATGCATGAGTTCAGCAACGTGGACGTTCACTAGCCAGGGCCAAGCTGGCCACAGCTGCTGCTGAGTAGGCCTAATCTGCCAGAAACAGAAATCGACACTGTGCTCCCACTGTGGCACCCTTCTCCAGGGTGATTCCAGCTACCTGGTGGCAGGTGGATTATATTGGACCACTTACACCATGGAAGCAGCAGCATTTTGTTCTTACTGGAATAGACACACCCTACATAAGGATTTGCCTTCCCAGTACACCGTGCTTCTGCCAAAACTATCACTTGTGAACTTACAGTATGCCTTATCTACTGTCATGGTATTCCACACAACATTCCTTCTATTCAAGGAACTCACTTCAAGACAAGTGAAGTACAGCAGTGAGCTCGTGCTCATGGAATTCACTGGTGTTACCATATTCCCCACCATCTTGAAGCAGCTGGCTTGACAGAACAGTGGAATGGCCTTTTGAAAATTCAGTTACAGCCGGGCATGGTGGCTCACGCCTGTAATCCCAGCACTTTGGGAGACGAAGGCAGGTGGATCACCTGAGGTCAGGAGTTTGAGACCAGCCTGACCAACATGGAGAAACCTCGTCTCTACTAAAAATACAAAATTAGGGCCAGGGGTGGTGGCTCATGCCTGTAATCCCAGCACTCTGGGAGGCCAAGGCGGGCGGATCACGAGGTCAGGAGATCGAGACCATTCTCGCTAACACGGTGAAACTCCGTCTCTACTAAAAATTACAAAAAATTAGCCAGGCGTGGTGGCAGGCACCTGTAGTCCCAGCTACTCGGGAGGCTGAGAATGGCGTGAACCCGGGAGGCAGAGCTTGCAGTGAGCCAAGATCGCACCACTGTACTCCAGCCTGGGCGACACAGTGAGACTCCATCTCAAAAAAAAAAAAAAAAATAGCCGGGCCTGGTGGCGTGTGCCTGTAATCCCAGCTACTCGGGAGGCTGAGGCAGGAGAATCTCTTGAACCTGGGAGATGGAGGTTGCAGTGAGCCGAGATCGCACCATTGCACTCCGGCCTGGGCAACAAGAGTGAAACTCCATCTCAAAAAAAAAAGTGAAGGGGAGGGGAGGGGAGGGAAAGGGAGGGGAAGGGAAGGGAGTTCAGTTACAGCACCAGCTAGGTGACCATACCTTGCAGGGCTGAGGCAAGGCTCCCCAAGAAGCCGTGTATTCTCTAAATCAGTGTCCGATACATGATACTGTTTATCTGACAGACAGTATTTACAGGTGCAGGAATCCAGGGGTAGAAATGAGAGTGGCACTACACAATATTTGCAAAGCTTTCGCTTCCTGTTCCCATGACCTCATGCTCTGCTGGTCTACAAGTCTTAGTTCTGAAAGGAGGAATGCTTCCACCAGGTCACACAACAATTAACTTCATTGAACTGGACAACAAGACAACCACCCAGCCATTGCAGGCTCTGCATGCCTCTGAGTCAACAGGTAAAGAAGGGAGCTACTCTACTGCCTGGGATGATTTTTTCCTAATTACGAAGGGTCACTGGATTTCACAATAGAGGTAAGGAAAAATATGGCTGGGATGCAGGACATCCCTTGGGGTGTCTCTTAGAACTAACATTCCCTCTGATTAAAGTCAATGGAAAACTACAACCCAATCCAGGCGGGACTATGAATGGCTCAGCCCCTTCAGGAATGAAGGTTTGGGTCATCCCACCAGTCAAAAAAACCACACAACCAGCTGAAGTGCTTGCTGTGGACAAGGGAATATGGAATGGATAATAGAGGAAGGTATTTATAAATATCAGGTATAATAAACACGTGACCAATTGTTTAAATGAGAATGGTAGTTGCTGTGAATATTTCTTCTTTATTTTCTTATGAATATGTCTGTGTGTGTGCGCATGTGTGCGTAAAATCTTTTCTGTCTTCTTTAGCCCCTTATATACTGTAGGATGTATTAACTTTACACCACAGTATTTAAATACTCTTAACTTTTTTATCATAGTATTTAAGTTATAGGATATTAAGAAGAGTGAAGATCATCCAAGGATTCTGCATCCTTTTCTGGGGGAAAAGTTAATGCGTTTTTCAGTTCTTTTTTTTTTTTTTGAGACAGAGTCTTGCTCTGTCATCCAGGCTGGAGTGCAGCGGCATATCTCGGCTCACTGCAACCTCCACCTGCCAAGTTTAAGCAATTCTCCTTCCTCAGCCTCCCAAGTAGCTGAGATTACAGGCGCCTGCCACCACACTCAGCTAGTTTTTGTATTTTTAGTAGAGACGGGGTTTCGCCATGTTGGCCAGATTGGTCCCGATCTCCTGCCCTCTGGTGATCCACCCACCTCAGCCTCCCAAAGTGCTGCGATTACAGGCATGAGCCACTGCGCCCGGCCATTGCATTTTCAGTTCTATGCCAGATAGTTGTATCCTGTTAGGCAGAAGTATGACTTTGTTATTATCTTTATATGGAGATTAAGTGTGGTTTTAGGGGATGTGTATGGGTGCCAAGTTGACAAGAGATAGACTGGTGATTAACTTTATGTGTTAACTTGACTAGGACATGATATCCAGTCATTTTGTTAAATGCTAGTCTAAGTGTTGTTATAAAGGTATTTTTTAGATGTCATTAACATTGAAATCAGTAGACTTTGAGTAAAGCAGATTACCCTCCATAATGTGGGTGAGTTTCATCCAATCAGAGAAGGCTTAAGCAAAAGCAGGTTTCCTGAAAAAGAAGCACTTCTCAAAACTGCAAGATGATTCCAGCCTCTTGCCGTGCAAAATTAGGACTCAAGACTGCAACACCAATACTTACATTCATTTACAGCCTGCTCACCTGCCCTACACATTTCAGATGTGCCAGCCCCCACAATCACTAGTAAGTTTCTTAAAAGAAATTTGCTCTCGGCTGGGCACGGTGGCTCACACCTGTAATCCCAGCACTTTGGGAGGCCGAGGGGGGTGGATCACCTGGGGTTGGGAGTTCAAGATCAGCCTGGCCAACATGGAGAAACTCTGTCTCTACTAAAAATACAAAATTAGCTGGGTGTGGTGGCACATGCCTGTAATCCCAGCTACTTGGGAGGCTGAGGTAGAAGAATCACTTGAACCCAGGAGGTGGAGGTTGCAGTGAGCCGAGATTGCGCTATTGCACTCCAGCCTGGGGAACAAGAGCAAAACATCGTCTCAAAAAATAAATAAATAAATTCACATACTCTCTCCATTTTATATATATGTATAAAATGTCTCTATTTATATACAGAGAGATATATACATACACATATATATAGATCTATATATCGATATATACATCTATATATCGATATATAGATGTATATATCTCTCTATAGAGAGAGATATATCGATATATATGGTCTGGTTCTCTTCTGGAGATCCCTAATATAACACTCAAAAAATTAATGAATTGTACACCCACATACACAGTAGCTTTATTCATAATACGATAGACACAACCCACATGTCCATCAACAGATGAATGGATAAAGAAAATGCGGTAGATACATTCAATGGAATATTATTCAGGCTTAAAAAGGAAGGAAATCCTGACAAGTGCTGCTACAAGGATGAACCTTGAAGAGATTGTGCCAAGTGAAGTAAGTTAATCACAAATGGACAAATACTGTATGATTCCAGTTACACAAGATAAATAGAGTTATCAAACTCATAGAGATAAAAAGTAGAATGGTGGTTGCCAGGCGTTAGGTAGAGCAGGGAATGGGCAGTTAGTGTTTAAAGGTTATGGAGTTACAGTTTGAGATGATGAAAAAGCTCTGGAGATGGATGATGGAGCAGGCTGCACAACAGTGTGAATGTACTTAATGCTAATGAATTACACATTTAAAAATGGTTAAAGTGGGAAATTTTATGTCATGTATATTTTACCACAAAAGGGGGAAATATTTTTTAAAATTAACAAATTAAGAAAAACTGTACACACTGTTTGTATTATCCCCTCAGAGCTGTATTCTTGGCAGTTGAATCTCTAGTTGGACTTGTCAGAAGATATTTTGGAGGACGCTTTCTTGAGCAACACAGTAGTTACACTGGCAACTCTACAAACATGTAGTGCTGTCTCTGTATTTTTTAGTGTGTGTTCTTTGATTTATTTTAAACCATGGACATATGAAGTTATACCACCAAATATTAGCAGGTCATTCCTAAATAATAACAGAACGGAAACAGTAATAGTTTACATTTACTTTTCCTTAATCATAGTATCTAAAGGTGCTGTATTAGTCTGGGTCCAATAACGAGATTTAAACCACACTGTAGGTTAAACAGGGAAAGTTTAATATAATGAATGAGTAAACTCTGATCAGGTGACATGCACCTGTAATCTCAGCTACTCAGGAGGCTGAGGCAGGAGGAATGCTTGAGGCCAGGAGTATGAGACTGTAGTGTGCTATAATCATAGCACCTGTGAATAGCCACTGGACTCCAGCCTGGAAAACATTAGTGAGACCCCATCTCTGAAAAAACAACAACTCTGATTAAAGTGTGTCTAGAAAATATAAGGAACCTATGGCTAAGGACCAATACTCAAAGAAGACAAACTTGAAAGGGACCCCTTCCCCAAATCTGGGTTTCAGATCTGACTGGAGCAGGTATAGTTCAGCCTACTGGATAGCTATGTGTAGAAGTTTGATGGCTTGCCCAGGCTGGATCTGGTATACAGTCAAGGGAAAGGCAGAAAGGAACCCACTAGAATGCAGGCAGGGCATAGGTCATCAGCAAGCAGTGGATGAGAGCAGAGGCAATGGTGATGGGTACAGGTGAGCCAACGGCTCTACAGAGAGCGGTGGCTCGATGGGAACAGGTGAGGAATTGGGGGCACAGGTGAGGAATTGGGCTGCTAGTGGAGTTAGGAGTGCGTTCAAGTTCCAGTTTTCACATCAAGTGAGGTGCTAGGTTATTGCTAGAACAGCCAATAGTTGCAGTGTTGCCAAGGAAGTGTGTATCCTGGTAAAGTGCCAGAGGCAGAGCCCCACCCGCTACCCTCAGGAGGCTATTTGAAATCCCCTTCCTCCTGCAATGTCCTGCCAACACTGTCTATTGAAAATGCTTAATATATTGCCCATTGCAAAGGTTAGATGCTTAGAGGAAGTCTGTCCATTGTCACAGAGTATATAGTGAAGGGTTGATTTGGAGCTGAGAAGCAAGTTGATAACTGTCACAGGCACTTCATCTCTCAGTGTCTCATTCAGTCATGTACTGATGCTCCCTAGACAATACCTTCTAATTTCTGCATTTCTGCATGGCTACTATTCCTCCTACAAAACTATTTTTTGATGATGTCTGAGTTCATCACTCTGCAAAAACTAAGTCATGTGGCTCTTTGTATTTCAAAATGAAATTGTCTAACCTGTAATTTATTTCACATGAAATATGACACTGAAAGCAGTAATGTCAAAGAAAATTTTTCATTCATTGATACCAGCAATTAATCAGAGCTGCCAAAATACCACCATTCTTATCTGTATATCAATTTCTGCTTACCAAAACACTGCTTACAATAAATTTGGTGACATCTGGCAAACTGCCTGTTGTGAGTGCTATTCATCAGCCTGCACTTTGGTCATGCATTTATTTCCAAAAACTCATAAAGCTCCTGGCCAGGCCCAGTGGCTCATGCCTGTAACCCCAGGACTTTGGGAGACCACGGCAAGAGGATTGCTTGAGCCCAGGAGTTCAAAACCAGCCTGGGCAACATAGGGAGACCCTTGTGTCTACAAAAACAAATCTAAAAAAAAATTTGCCAGGCATGGTGGTGCATGCCTGTGATCACAGCTACTTGGGAGGCTGAGGCAGGAGGACTGCTTGAGCTCAGGAGGTGGAGGCTGCAGTGAGCCATGATCGTGCCAATGCTCCAGCCTGGGCGACAGAGCGACACCCTGTCTCAGAAAGAAACTATCTTGACTTAGAAACAGATCTATGCTTAAAATTTTGTAAACACGCTGCAGAGCTTCTCAAACAGAGCACTTAATGTGTGCTCAATAAAGTATAAAATCTTCACACAGGTGAAAGCCAGAGGATGCAGCATCCCCCTTTCCTGCACTTTGTGGCAGAGTCACATCAGTCACATAGACCTGCCTAGCACTCCGCCCCAGAAATATTCTTCAGCTCAACAAAGGCCATAGATAAAGGATGTACTTTCTGAACCCCAAATCCATACACAAGAGTGAGTAAACTTATGAAGACAAAGAGCCTGAATGTTATCTGGTCCTGCTCTGGAAATCTTGGACACACAGTTAGCACCCATGAGAAACCCCAGAGAAAGATGAACCTCTAAATCCAGGGCCAGTTTGGTCTCACAAAGGCTGAGATCCCCAGATTTCCCTATGCCTGCCTACCCACCCCAGGAGAAACTGAATTGGAAGTGTGGGATTTCTACAAAACAGCTGCTAAGTCATCTAACTTCATCATCCTCATCCCACCCAGCTCACCTTTTATTTCTTTATTTTTATTATTTATTTTTTTAAAAAACGGAGATGGCGTTGCCCTCTGTTACCTACCCAGGCTGGTCTCGAACTCCTGGCCTCAAGTGATCTTCCCGCCTCGGCCTCCCAAGTCGCTAGGATTACAGGCCCGGCCTGTGTGTTTACAAAACGTGGGCCTGGCCCTAGCCCACCTTTTACACATACACCCATTAGTTCTCGAATAGGTGAGAACATCCGCTCAGGTGGCCATGGAGGGCGCGGGCGGCTTTCTTCCTCAATAATGCTTGCTCGCCGTGGACGGACCTTACTTTCTCTCTCTGTCCCCTACCCTGAGAGCTGAGTCAGAACCGCCCGTGGGGTTCACTCCGACAGCTCCCAGGCCCGCGCCGCGCCGCGGAAACCGTGACTTGCCAGGCCCCACCTCTGCACGCCCCGCCCCGCCCCCCGCGCCCAACCTCTGCGCGCCCCGCCCCGGTCCGCGCTGACAGAGCGGACCCAGGCCCTCGGCCGCCCCGCGTCATGGCCGCGCCGGCCCCGGTCACGCGGCAGGTTAGCGGCGCCGCCGCCCTGGTCCCGGCCCCGAGCGGCCCCGACAGCGGGCAGCCCCTGGCGGCCGCCGTGGCCGAGCTGCCGGTGCTGGACGCCCGCGGGCAGCGGGTACCGTTCGGCGCGCTGTTCCGGGAGCGCCGCGCCGTGGTGGTGTTCGTGCGGGTGAGCGGGCGGCGGGGCTGGAAGGGAAGCGCGGCCCAGGGTCCCGGGCAGGCTGCCGGGATGCGAGCCGCGCCTCCTGCTTCTTAGGACGGAAACGGGAAGGCAGCCTGCCCAGTCGCGGCCGCTTCCCAACTAGGGCGGGGCAGGGAGAGGGCGAGGGCGAGGCCCGCTTCCCACGCGCCGGGCGCCCGAGCCGCCGGTCCCGGCCCCGCGGGCGTCGCCTTTGCTCGCGTCACGCACGGCGAAGTACAGGGATCCTTCGGGGCCCGAGGGTGCTGCTTTACTAACTTGCCCTTTCTGCCGTTTTGGCTTTCAGCATTTCCTGTGTTACATCTGCAAGGAATACGTAGAGGATCTGGCCAAAATCCCCAGGAGTTTCTTACAAGTGAGTTTCCCAGCGTGGGCGGCCCAGTGCCCGCTTCTGCAGACCTTGCGAGCGGGGCGGGGGAGGACGCGGCTCCAGCGCGGAACTTGCAGCCTGGATTGCCCCTCCCCGCAGCTCTCTCCACCCTCGCCCCTCCAAAAGGAGTGAGACGTCAGAGATCTATTTCTGCCCTAACTCATTGGGTGCTGCCTGGTGGTAAACGTACTAACAATTGTGGTGTTGCCTGGTAACCTAGTGCCTGTTCTCAAATGTTGACTGATAATGCCCTAAAACAAATGCTGGAAATGGTTATTTTCTTCCCTTTATTTTTTGTTACACTCCAAATAGCTGCTCATTATGGGAAAATACTAATATATCGTAAAGGTGCAAATGTTTATGTTAATAGGCTGCAAGTTCCATGTCCCTAGGACAAACCACATAGTTGTTTTTCTTGAGGCACAGATAGGTTTGTGCCCAAGTGAGCTTTTTGAGGAAAGGCATTGAGCAGCCTTTATAAAACAGATGTTCTTTCAGCAGACCTTGTCAATCAGGATGTGAAAAAATAACATTGATTAAATAACTGTGCGGCCGGGCACGGTGGCTCACGCCTGTAATCCCAGCACTTTGGGAGGCCGAGGAGGGCGGATCACGAGGTCAGGAGATCGAGACCATCCTGGTTAACACGGTGAAACCCTGACTCTACTAAAAATACCAAAAATTACCCGGGCTTGGTGGCGGGCGCCTGTAGGCCCAGCTACTCGGGAGGCTGAGGCAGGAGAATGGCGTGAACCCGGGAGGCGGAGGTTGCAGTGAGCCGAAATTGCACCACTGCACTCCAGCCTGGGCGACAGAGTAAGACTCCGTCTAAAAAAGAAAAAAAAAAAACTGTGCTACAGAGTTTTTAAAAAAGAATGTCTTTGGGGAGAATATAGAGAATTATTTACTATATCATTTTGAAAACAATGTTTTGACTGTTCCTCTGCGTATCCTTTTATTCTCTTTTTAAAAATTGACATATATAATTGTATGTGTTTATGGGATACAGTGTAATATTTTCATAGGCATTTACGTTGTGGAATGATTAAATCGAGATAATACATCCATCATGTCAGATAGTGATTTTAGTTTTTTGTGATGACAGCGTGTAAAAACTAGTCTTTTAGCAATTTTGAAGTATACATTGTTAACTATAGTCACCATGGTGTGCAGCAGATCTCTAAAAGTTATTCCTCTTGTTTAACTGAAACTTTGTACCCTTTGATCACCTCCCTTTTCCTTATCCCTGAGTAACCAGTCTCTGGTAACCATCATTACACTCTACTTTTTTCGTTTCCATAGGTAAATGAGATCATGCGGTGTTTTTCTTCCTGTGCCTGGCTTATTTCACTTACACGATGTCCTCCAGGTGCATCTAGTGTTGTCGCAAATAACAGAAAAATGTCTTTCTTTTTTATGACCAAATGTGATACCGTATTTTCTTTTCTTCTTTTTTTTTTTTTGAGATGGAGTCTCACTCTATCGCCCAGGCTGGAGTGCAGTGGCGCGATCTCAGCTCACTGCAAGCTCCGCCTCCCGGGTTCACGCCATTCTCCTGCCTCAGCCTCCTGAGTAGCTGGGACTAACAGGCGCCCGCCACCACGCCCGGCTAATTTTTTGTATTTTTAGTAGAGACGGGTTTCACCGTGTTAGCCAGTATGGTCTCCATCTCCTGACCTCGTGATCTGCCCGCCTTGGCCTCCCAAAGTGCTGGGATTACAGGCGTGAGCCACCGCGCCCGGCCGATACCGCATTTTCTTTATATTTATCCATTGTTGAACACTGAGGTTGCTTCTATATCTTGGTGTTGTGAATCATGCTGTAATAAAACATGGGAGTGCAGATATCTCTTCAACATACTGATTTCATTTCCTTTGAATAAATGCCCAGTAGTGGGATTGCTGGATCATATTATATTTCTATTTTTAATTTTAATAACTTCCAGACTGTTTTCCGTAATGGCTGTACTAATTTACATTCCTAACAACAGTGTACAAAAGTTCCTTTTTCTCCACATCCTCACCAACACTTATCTTGCATCTTACTGATAGCCATTTAACAAGTGTGAGGTTATATCATTGTAATTTTAATTTGTATTTCACTGATGAGTAGTGATTTTGAGCATCTTTTCATATATCTCTTGGCTATTTCTTTTTTTTTTTTTTTTTTGAGGCGGAGTCTTATTCTGCCCCCCAGGCTGGAGAGCAGTGGCACAATCTCGGCTGACTACAACCTTCGCCTCCTAGGTTCAAGTGATTCTCCTGCCTCAGCCTCCAGAGTAGCTGGGATTACAGGCACATGCCACCACACCCAGCTAATTTTTGTATTTTTAGTGGAGATGGGGTTTCACCATGTTGGTCAGGCTGGTCTTGATCTCCTGACCTCAGGTGATCCACCTGACTTGGCAAAAGTGCTGGGATTACAGGCGTAAGCCACCATGCTCAGCCCTTTGTCCATTTTTTAATCAGGCTATGTTGTTTTCTTGCAAAGTTGTTTGAATTTCTTTTACACTTTGGATATTTGCCCCTTATCAGATGTATAGTTTGCAGATATTTTCTCTCAATCTGTGAGTTGTCTCTTCTCTGTTGATTGTTTCCTTGGCTGTGCAGAAGCTTTTTAGTTTGATATAGTCCCATTTGTCTATTTTTGCTTTTGTTGCCTGTATTTTTGAGGTCATATTCTACAAATCATTGTTTACACCCATGTCATGTAGCAGTTTTGTAGTTTTCTTCTAGTAGTTTTATAGTTTTAGGTCTTATGTGTAAGTCTGGAAATTCCTACTTAGCAAAAGAAGCATCTGAATTAATATTTTACTATACATATCTTTGCATTAACTCACACAATTTTGCTGTGTATTCCATTCCTCTAGAAGCCTATAGGTGGCATTAGAATGAAACATAAGAGTTGGGTTAAGGGATGTTGTATAAAACATGCATAATTTCTAATGATATATACATGTCCTTTTTTTTCTCCTAAGGAAGCAAATGTCACCCTTATAGTGATTGGACAGTCATCCTACCATCATATTGAGGTAAATATCTAGTACATTGGGAGACTAATGAATAAAATCTGTTTCAGACATAAAAATTACATTATTTAAACCACTAAATGTAGGCTAAGTTGGCTGAAGTTAGAGTATCATTACTTTTCTCTCATTTGTTCTTGTAAAAATTCCAACCATTCTCTCTTTTCAGCCTTTTTGCAAGCTGACTGGATATTCTCATGAAATCTATGTCGATCCTGAGAGAGAAATTTATAAAAGATTGGGAATGAAAAGAGGTGAAGAAATTGCTTCCTCAGGTAAGACATAACATGTCTCAAATAGAAAACACTGGTGGTGTATGTTCATATTTGTGTATATATGCATAGGGAAACATGGTCAATTCATAAATCAGGCTTTTTTGTTTTTTTTGAGATGGAGTCTCACTCTGTTGCTGGGGCAGGAGTGCAGTGGTGTGATCTCGGCTCACTGCAACCTCCACCTCCCGGGTTCGAATGATTCTCCTGCTTCAGCCTCCTAAGTAGCTAGGATTACAGGTGCTTGCCACTACGCCCAGCTAATTTTTTATATTTTTAGTAGAGACAGGGTTTCCCCATGTTTGCCAGGGTGGTCTCGAACTCCTGACCTGTCTCGGCCTCCCAAAGTGCTGGGATTATAGGCATGAGCCACTGCACCCAGCCTCAGGCTGCTTTTTATTATTCTAATAAGTGGTCCAGATACACCAGGCTCCAGAAGATTCATTTTCTGGGTGTAATGACATGGAAGGCTGTTAGCAAAGCACTATTCAATGGAAATAAGTTGCAGAAGTGTTTTCAATGTGGTTCCATTTTTGTGAAAACAAAAAGGATTTTCATAAAGATCGTGTGTGCACGCGTGCGCACATGATGAAATAGGTTTTAAAAGATATGGTAGTGTTTACCTCAAGGAGGGGAGTGAGAAAATTGGCTTTTGTATTTTTTACAAGTATATTTTACTTTTGTAATTAAACGGAAAGTAGTATTAAGTTCACATAATTTTATACCTCAGTACCATGTCTTTAATATCCCATCTCCTTTAATTGAGGAAATCCCACTTATCGTTTGAAATCACCCAACTGAAAGGGGCTCTGAATCACTCTTCAAGCAGAAGTCATTGCTTCCCTTTTGCTTTCACAGCACCCTGCACTTTATTATATACTCTATTATTGCACTTAAGGGGACCAGAGAGTATAGTTAGTTGAAGAGTTTCATGTTTATTCATCTTTACATTATCTGTGTTCTCTGCCCTTGCCACAGTTCCTTGTAATTAATAGAGCTTAGAAAACTTGAGTTGTACTGCTTGTGTGTGTTTGTGAAATGCCAGATAAGAGAACTCAATTCAAACAAAAATCAATAATTTTGAATAAATATTATCGACCTCTTGTTTGATACCCACTGTGTTGGATGCTCCCAGGAGGACAGTGATAAAATACATAGTCCCCACCATGCAGACTCATCATCTACTCTGGGAGACAGGCACAAACAGCTAATTACAATACCATCTAAGGGCCAGTGATGGAGGGAGGCATTCCTGACTAGAAATACCTTTGTCAGCAATTTAAGTGGGGTAGGATCTGGGAGGGCTTCTCAGAGGAGATGAAGTCTCAGCTCACTCTGAAAGGAGTTAGCTGGGTGAAATGAGGGTGGGGAAGGGTGCTCTAGACAGAAAGTAGCATGTGCAAAAGCACAAAGGCATGAGAAAACATGACTCCTTCAGAAAAATACAGGTCCCTTCCTCTGGCCAGAGTGTAAGACCCAGTTAGGGGAATTGGTGTGAGCCAAGGGATAAGTTACAGCCAGTTCATGTTGAGCCTGGGGTAATGTGCCAAGGAGTTTGGATTTATTATGAAGCAGCTGGGGAATTATACAAGTGTTTGAAGCAGAGAAGTGAGACAGTCATATAACCCATGTGGAGCAGGGATTGGAGCTGGCCAAACCAGAGCCAGTGATATTTGTGACAGGGTTGTAGGGCAGACATAAGCTAGAAAGAAATGACAAGGCTTGAAGAGGGGATAGAGAGGAGGGGATGGGTCTGGGAGCTGTTTGTGAGGCAGAGTTGCTGATCCCTTTATTGATGGGTTTTTTTTTGTTTTTTGTTTTTTGTTTTGAAACAGAGTTTCACTCTTGTTGTCTAGGCTAGAGTGTGATGGTGTGATCTCGGCTCACTGCAACCTCCACCTCCTGGGTTCAAGTGATTCTCCTGCCTCAGCCTCCGGGGTAGCTGGGATTACAGGCATGCACCACCATGCCCTGCTAATTTTGTATTTTTAGTAGAGATAGGGTTTCTCCATGTTGGTCAGGCTGGTCTTGAACTCCCGACCTCAGGTGATCCACCCACCTCGGCCTCCCAAAGTGCTGGGGTTACAGGCATGAGCCACCGCACCCGGCTCCTTTATAGATGTTTTTAAAGAAAAAGACCTAAACTTGATCAGAACTAATGATGAGCTGGCATAAACATAGAGTCTGCTTGTTTCTCTCTCTTTAGTATAGGAAATCATAGCAGTACAGATTGTGAACCTTACTTTTTGGTACACAGTTTTCATGTGCTGTAACAGAGTCTCAACATGTGTAAGGTCTGTTTAATTATTTAGCACTTTAGGGCTGGGCGCGGTGGCTCACGCCTGTAATCCCAGCACTTTGGGAGGCCAAGGCGGGTGGATCACCTGAAGTCAGGAGTTCATGACCAGCCTGACCAACATGGAGAAACCCTGTCTCTACTAAAAATATGAAATTAGCCCGGTGTGGTGGTGCACATCTGTAATCCCAGCTACTCGGGAGACTGAGGCAGGAGAATTGCTTGACCCCAGAAGGCAGAGGTTGTGGTGAGCCAAGATTGTGCCATTGCACTCTAGCCTGGGCAACAAGAGCGAAACTCTGTCTCAAAAAAAAAAATTTAGCACTTTATATATAAACTGTGAGTTTCACTTTAGTAACACCTCACTATTCATTGTCACAATAAAGATATGGAATTGCAAACTAAATAGATGAATACTAAGTTGAATATATGCTTGTAATTATAAGAGAGGGTGTATTCAAATCTTCACTACTTCAACCTGTGTTGAAGGACTGCATTGCCAAACAAAATATTAGGTTCTCATAAAATAATTTTTTTGAGGTTTCTCCCTAAAAAAAACATAAAGCATAAATCTCAAAATCAGTCTCAGAATAGTCTTACTTGAAAACTAAGGCACTAAAAATATATTATATAATTATAATTTAAAATTAATGGTGCCTATTTTAATAAAGATGAAGAATAAGAAAATGAAGCCATTACATACAAGGGAGTACTGGGTTTGTAGAAGACTGAAAAACAGGAATTTGACACAAAAGAAGTAAATTCAAACTGGCAAAACTAGATTGTGCTTGACAACAAAGATTACTTAGTTCTAGGCTATGGAATCTCAAGTTGAATTTCTAAAATTTCTGAAATATTAATTGACCCCTTCTTTGGACATAAGAAGAGAGTTTGGGCTGGGTGTCGTGGCTCACACCTGCATTCCTAGCACTTTGGGAGGCCAAGGTGGGAGGACTTCTTGAGTGTAGGAGTTCGAGACCAGCCTGGGCAACATGGCCAGACCCTGTCTCTACAAAAAAATACAAAAATTAGCTGGGCATGGTGCATGCCTGTACTCCCTGCTATGCGGGAGGCTGAGGTGGGAGAATCGATTGGAGCCTGGGAGGTTGAGGCTGCAATGAGCAGTGATCGTGCCACTGCACTCCCGCCTGGGTGACGGATTGACTCCCTGTCTCAAAATTTTCTTTTGCATTTTAAAAAATAAGGAGAGAGTTTGGATTTCTGAGCATTTATTTCACATGTAGAATCCTATAAGATAGTAAAATTCAAGGCCAGGCATGGTGGCTCACACTTGTAATCCCAGCACTTTGGGAGGCGGAGGTGGGAGGATCACTTGAGGCCAGGAATTTGAGACCGGCCTGGGCAACAAAGTGAGACCCCATCTCAACAACAAAAAAAAATTTTTAATTAGCCAGGATTGGTGGCATGAACCAGTGGTCGCAGCTACTTAGGAAGCTGACGGGGGAGGATCGCTTGAGCCCAGGAGTTTGAGGCTGCAGTGAGCTATGATTGTGCCACTGCACTCCAGCCTGAGCAACAGAGCATGACCCTGTCTCTTAAAAAACAAAGTAAAACTTAATCTTTTACTCAAGTCTCTATGCTAGTGAGCCTGTATTTGTTTCTTGGTAAGATAAATGCTCATTATAATGTAAACATGAAAGAAATCAAAGAGTTGAAGAGATGAGGAGAAATAATAGGTGTTTGGAAATATTCGGAAATTAGGCAGGCCAAAGGCTGCATAGTCATTAAAATAAAAAGTTAAAAGTAAGACATACATGGCAAGGATAGGAGAAAAATTAATTACAAGAAGAATAAAGAGACTGAGTCTCTTTGCTCCAATGAAGTGGAAATTAAGTATTAGCCACTGTGATAACAGAAATAGAAAACTGACAGCCAAGGAGAAGTGAAGAGGTAGCTGCAGTGGCTGTTGTCACAGCTAAGCCCCCATGTCTCAGTAGCATGACATGGTAGGAGGTTATTTCTTTTTATCTTAAATTTCAAGAACGGGACCGGCTGCGGTGGCTTATGCTTGTAATCCCAGCACTTTGGGAGGCCAAGGCGGGCAGATCACCTGAGGTCAGGAGTTTGAGACCAGCCTGACCAACGTGGAGAAACCCCATCTGTACTAAAAATAGAAAACTAGCCGGGCGTGGTGGCACATGCCTGTAATCCCAGCCACTTGGGAGGCTGAGGTAGGAGAATTGCTTGAATCCAGATGGCAGAGGTTGCAGTGAGCCAAGATTGCGCCATTGCACTCCATCCTGGGCAACGAGAGTGAAACTCCATCTCAAAAAAAAAATTTTTTTTCAAGAACGGTTTTTCTATTTGGATGCCTTTCCTCTTGAGCAGCAGTTCCGGGATCCAGGCACCCTCCATCTTGTGCTTTGCCACCTTCAACCCAAGCCTTCCAAGAATGTAGAAGGAATATGAGAATCACTTGTGGGAGGAGCTTGGCCTGGAAGCAGCACAGATCATTTCATTCATTGTTTATAACATAGTCACATGCCTTGCCTAACTGCAACTAAGACTGGAAAATATACTTCAGCTGTGGGCCCAGAAAGAGGAAACAGGTTTTGACCAACACGTAGCAGTCTGTGTCACAATGTCTCTTGAAAAGGACTGTAGCTGCCTATTAATAAGTGAGACTAAACAGAGTATAAATGGGGAATTAAAATGGAAAGCACTGCTAATTTGAGAAGTCGATAGTTGACATTTTTCTGTGGCAGAAAATGATGTGGGTCCGTCATCACGTTTCCTTTAAAGCAGTAGTTCTTAACTGGGACATTTACTCCTCTCTCCCTTGGGAGACATTTGGCATTGTCTGAAGACATTTTTGGTTTTTACAACTTGGTAAACGGTGCCACTGGTATTTAGTGGGTATAGAAGGCAAGGATGTTGCAAAACACCGTATATCGCACAGGACAAAGAATGATCTGAGCCAAAATGTTGATGGTAAAAGATTGAGAAACCATTCTTTAAAGGAAGAAAGAGAATGTTTTCTAGAAATACATTATCTTCTTAATATCAAATTGAATATAAAATGACATCTAAAGACAATTTTCGACATTTCAGGACAGAGCCCCCACATAAAATCAAATCTACTCTCAGGAAGCCTTCAGAGCCTGTGGCGGGCAGTGACTGGCCCTCTCTTTGATTTTCAAGGAGACCCAGCTCAGCAAGGTGGAACCCTCATTTTAGGTCCAGGTAAGCATCAAAGCCCAGGTTCAGCAGTAGACGTCTTGTGCTTTTTACAAGTTCAGAGGCCGCCATTTTCTTTTCTTTTCCTTTTTTTTTTTTTTCGAGAGGGAGTCTCGCTCTGTCGCCAAGGCTGGAGTGCAGTGGCGCAATCTCGGCTCACTGCAAGCTCTGCCTCCCGGGTTCACGCCATTCTCCTGCCTCAGCCTCCCGAGTAGCTGGGACTACAGGTGCCCGCCACGACGCCCGGCTAATTTTTTAAATTTTTAGTAGAGACGGGGTTTCACCGTGTTAGCCAGGATGGTCTCGGTCTCCTGACCTCGTGATCCACCCACCTCGGCCTCCCAAAGTGTTGGGATTACAGGCATGAGCCACCGCGCCCCACCCAGAGGCCACCATTTTCTTCATAAAGCAGACACCCTGTACAAATGGACATCTTGGCATTACAGCCAGGATGCTGTGCTTTTGTAGGGGGGCATCTTTTGTTTTCAAAGGCTTCTGTATATTTTGATGTTTATGTATTTGATGAGCGTGCCCATCATCCCATGCCTAGATGATTTCCCACAGTCACCTGTGGGCTGGCGATCTGTATATGGCTGTCACACACTCCGCTATTTAGGAATGTTCAGTGGAGATGAACATTTCTGAATAGGGGAAAATCGTCACGTGCCTTTTTTTTCAAGAAAAGAATCCAGCCGGGCGCGGTGGTTTACGCCTGTAATCCCAGCACTTTGGGAGGCCAAGGCGGGCGGATCACGAGGTCAGGAGATCAAGACCATCCTGGCTAACACGGTGAAACCCCGTCTCTACTAAAAATACAAAAAAAAATTAGCCGGACGTGGTGGCGGGTGCCTGTAGTCCCAGCTACTCGGGAGGCTGAGGCAGGAGACTGGCGTGAACCTGGGAGGCGGAGCTTGCAGTGCGCCGAGATCGCACCACTGAACTCCAGCCCTCCAGCCTGGGTGAGAGAGTGAGACTCTGCCTCAAAAAAAAAAAAAAAAAAAAAAAAAAAAAAAAAAAGAATCCATGTAGTTATTTATACCTAACAAAACTAGGAGACTTACTCAGTGTCAGCAAGTTAGTCAGTGCTAGGGACAGCTCATCCCATAAGATTGGGATTGAGGCCGGGCATGGTGGCTCACACCTATAATCCCAGCATTTTGGGAGGCTGAGACTGGTGGATCACTTGAGGCCAGGAGTTCCAGACCAGCCCTTGGTGAAACCCCATCTCTACTAAAAGTACAAAAAATTAGCCGGGCGTGGTGGTGCATGCTTGTAATCCCACCTACTTGGGAGGCTAAGGCAGGAGAATCACTTGAACCTGGGAGGCGGAGGTTGCAGTGAGCCCAGATCGTGCCACTGCACTCCAGCCTGGGTGACAAGAAGGAAACTCCCTCTCAAAAAATAAAAAAGAATGGGATTGAGGTCCGACTATAAGCCACACACTGTTAACTTTATTGATGGGTGTGGACCACCTGAGATTGCTTTGGCTCGTCTCTGCTAAGTGTTTGAACAGATGTATTTGAACAGATGTAGGGATTGTGGACATCTAAGTGTATTGTAACTGATTAGATCTCTACTGTGTTCCAGCATTGCAACAAAGGACAAACACCCTTATCAGACAGGGCCCAAAAGCCTAAATCACTATGTTGTAAGACCATCTTTTTGTTTTTTCTTCCTCTTTAAAACTGTCTGCTTAATGAGCATAGCTTATAAGAGTTATATGAGTAATATTTACTTTGATAAATACCTTTTTTTTTTTTTTTTTTTGAGACAGAGCCTTGCTCTGTCACCAGGCTGGAGTGCAGTGGTGTAATCTCGGCTCACTACAACCTCCGCCTCCCGGGATCAAGCGATTTTCCTGCCTCAGTCTCCCTAGTAGCTGGGACTACAGGCGCCTGCCACCACACCCAGCTAATTTTTGTATTTTTAGTAGAGGCAAGGTTTCACCAGGTTGGCCAGAATGGTCTCAATTACTTGACTTCGTGATCTGCCCACCTCTGCCTCCCAAAGTGCTGGGATTACAGGTGTGAGCCACCACACCCAGCCAATACCATATTTTTTAGAAGGAGGGTTTTGACTGAGTAATATGATTTTTGGGCTTTTTGCAGCTGGAACATTGTAGCCAAAATCTCCCTTTGCCTCCCTCTCATGAATTTATAACAGATTCGTTATAAAAAGAAGCCCTGATGAATGAGAATGAATCCTATGCATTAGCCCAGAATGACATTAGCCATATTTCTGAACAACTTATTTCCATCCTCATACCCAAAAGGGGATGTTTTTGAGTCCCTTATCTCCATGTCTCTGAATCATTTGTCCACATCTTCTGTTGTGTAAGAATAAAGAGTACATGGGCTGGGCGCAGTGGCTCACACCTGTAATCCCAACACTTTGGGAGCCCAAGGTGAGCAGATCACAAGGTCGGGAGATCGAGACAATCCTGACTAACACGGTGAAACCCCATCTCTACTAAAAATATAAAAAATTAGCCGGGTATGGTGGCATGCACCTGTAGTTCCAGCTACTAGGGAGGCTGAGGCAGGATAATCGCTTGAACCTGGGAAGTGGAGGTTGGCAGTGAGCCAAAATCACACCACTGCACTACAGCCTGGGCGAGAGACCAAGACACTGCCCCCAAAAATAAATAAGTAAAGAAGAAAGAGCACATGGAGAGCATCATTTGTGTGCCAACTTGGGACCATTCAGTCATCCCTCAGCATCCATGGCGGATTGGTTCCTGGACCTGCAGTGGATCCCAGAATCTGAGATGCTCAAGTGTCTCACATAAAATGCTGTAGTATTTGGATCTAACCTATGCACGTCCTCCCCTGCACTTTAAATCATCTCTAGTTTACTTATAATACCAAATGCAATGTAAATAGTTGTTGTACTGTACTATTTAGGGAATAATGACCAGGAAAAAAAAATGTCTGTACATATTCAGCAGATATGCAGCTATCCTTTTTTTCTGAATATTTTCAATCCGTGGTTTGTTGAATGAGGATGCGGAACTCATGGATGCAGAAGACCAGCTGTGCTTAGAAAACATGCCTCATGGCCGGGTGCAGTGGCTTACACCTGTAATCCCAGCACTTTGGGAGGCCGAGGTGGGCGGATCACAAGATCAGGAGATCAAGACCATCCTGGCCATCTGGTGAAACCCCGTCTCTACTCAAAATACAAAAATTAGCTGGGCGTGGTGGTGCAAGCCTGTAGTCCCAGCTACTCGGGAGGCTGAGGCAAGAGAATCGCTTGAACCCAGAAGGCGGAGGTTGCAGTGAGCCGAGATCATGCCACTGCACTCCAGCCTGGCGACAAAGCGAGCCTCCGTCTCAAAAAAAAAAAAAAAAAATGAAAACGTGCCTCATACACTTAATCTAATGGTTTAAGTTAAAATTCTGGTCTTGAGTTCAAGAATCAAACAGAAACTAGATTGTAAATTTATGATTATAAATTATAAAATCTGTATTTGAACAGATGTAAGGATTGTGAACATCTAAGTGTATTATAACTGATTGTCTTTTAAGGCCTTATTTTAGAGCCTCTTTTGGGCTATGGTTATAATACAGATAGCCTGTTAAATCAGTATTTCGGAGTGGATTTTTTGAAGTGAGTGATTTATTTCCTTATTATATTTATTCTATTATTAGATTTAAGAAACAGATGTGATTTTCCAGCTTGATATCTATGTGAGTTCCGTATTCTGCCCGTCTGACAGGACATTTTATTTAATTATATTTAATAAAACCTAACAGAAGGTTATAATTTAAAAATCTTTCCCCTTGGATCTCATAAAACATCAAGTATGGCTCTTATTTAACCATAATCCTTGTCATACTTTATTACCATGATTTAAAATTATTATGGCATTATATAGAGAATATAATGCACTCCAGGTAATTAATTTTTCCCTTTGGACTAATTAAAGGTTGAAAAGCTTCCTTGATTTTAGTAAGCAGTAAATCTGATGAATAATACTATGCCTCAGCCTTTTATTCTTATTCTCTTCTAGGTAACAACATCCATTTTATACACCGCGATAGGAATAGGTTGGATCACAAACCTATCAACTCTGTTTTACAGCTTGTAGGAGTTCAGCATGTGAACTTTACAAACAGACCTTCAGTTATCCATGTGTGACTTAAAATGCACTCAGTCACTTTCAACTGGACCTTCTGGAATGTGACCTTCAATGCCTGGGTGTAATATCCTCGTGCAGTGTCTAACCTGCTGTCCCTTCCCAGCCTTTGAGGAGTTAGGGAAGCATAAAGGGGGCTTGAACCTGTTGAATTGCATGCTGGGAAGCATCAGTTGTCAAAATATGTTATATACTTCCATTTTATAACTTTTAACATTTTATACAAAAAAAATGAATATACAAAATATAACTTTAAAAGCTATAAAATCATAAATACTCTAAATTATTTTACATTATGGTATATTCAGTCAATGAAAGAGTTTTTTGGCAATATAAATTCTGACAGTATATAAGGGGACAGGAGAACAACACAAGACCATTATATTCAGTGAAGAAGGCAAAATATCAAATCTGTCAACAATGTAACTGCATTTTTATATGTATATATTTGTATTTTTGTATGCTTTGGAAAAAGACAGGAAATAAACACCAAAATGTTGCCAGTAGGTATCTCTGTGTTAAGATTAGTGTTATTATTTTCTTTTCTGTACTTTTCTGTATTTCCCAACTGTTATATAATGAGCATGATTAATATTGTAGGGCCAGGAAAAGGTCTTTAAACATTATAGGACAATTTTATGCCACATAACAACCTTCACAAAAGAGCAAAATTATATAAGCTGTAGTCCACTTTTCCATCGTAATTGCTTTACTCAGAGGAAGTGTGGCAATCCGAACATTTCACATATAGCCAGTGTCCACAGCACCTTCTCAAACTACATACTTGCTATCCGTTTCACTAGGATTTTGGGGGGTTGGGGGAGCTATGGAGAAAAAAATTGTTTTAGATATTTAAGATATGTATTTAAAAATATGGTCAGTGTGCTTTTTGAAAGGGAACTATAAGAATTTTTTTTTTTTTTTTTTTTGAGATGGAGTCTCACTCTGTTGCCCAGGCTGGAGTGCAGTGGCATGATCTCGGCTCACTGCAAGTTCCGCCTCCCGGGTTCACGCCATTCTCCTGCCTCAGCCTCCCGAGTAGCTGGGACTACAGGCACCCACCACCACGCCCGGCTAATTTTTTGTATTTTTATTAGAGACGGGGTTTCACTGTGTTATAACAGCCAGGATGGTCTTGACCTCCTGACCTCATGATCCGCCCACCTCGGCCTCCCAATGTGTTGGGATTACAGGTATGAGCCACCTTGCCTGGCTTTTTTTTTTTTTTTTTTTTTTTTTTTTTTGAGATGGAGTCTTGCTCTGTCGCCCAGGCTGGAGTGCAATGGCTCAATCTCAGCTCACTGCAACTTCCGCCTCCTTGGTTCAAGCAATTCTGCCTCAGCCTCCCAAGTAGCTGGGATTACAGGCACCCGCCACCATACCTGGCTACTTTTAGTAGAGACGGGGTTCCACCATGTTGGCCAGGCTGGTCTCGAACTCCATACCTCAGGTGATCCGTCTGCCTCGGCCTCCCAAAGTGCTAGAATTGCAGGCGTTAGCCACCATTCCCGGCCAAGAATTGTTAAAATTTTTTAAAACTTGGTAACTTAAATGTACACTATGGTTTAGTTATGCATTCCTAGAGAACTGCTATTTCTCACCCTCAAACTGCTCTTATTTGGGAGACTTGTTATCTTTCATTTTTCTAGAATTTTTTTTTTTTTTTTGAGACGGAGTTTCACTCTTGTTGCACAGGATGGAGTGCAATGGCACGATCTCGGCTCACTGCAACCTCCACCTCCCGGGTTCAAGTGATTCTCCTGCCTCAGCCTCCTGAGTAGCTGAGATTACAGGCATGCGCCACCATGCCTGGCTAAGTTTCTATTTTTTAGTAAAGATGGAGTTTCTCCATGTCGGTCAGGCTGGTCTCGAACTCCCGACCTCAGGTGATCTGCCTGCCTCAGCCTCCCAAAGTGCTAGGATTATAGGCATGAGCCACCGCGCCCGGCCTATTTTTCTAGAATCTTAATATGTTTAGTTGGGAGGTGTCCCAGAAATCCTGATGAAAAGTATAGCAAAATCAGAATTTTGGTAATGATTAGCAAGTATAATACTGCTTTGAACTCAGTACTTTTATATGAAGCATATAAAGTTACAAAAAAAACTAATGTATTCAAATATTTGAATATATCTTCATGTTTGTATAATGTTTTTATTCAATAAAAATGAAATTTCTCATTTAAACTATTTTGTGCTTTTTTTATATACTAAAGGTGACCTTTGCTGATTTTAGACTTCATACTGCTGAATCACATGCTTACACAAAAATTATATACAGTTGACCCTTGAACAACATAGGTTCTACACGGGTCCAGTTATATGTAGATTTTTTTTTCAATTGAAGTTATACCAAGTGTGGGCCGGGTACGGTGGCTCACGCCTGTAATCCCAGCACTTTGGGAGGCCGAGGCTGGCGGATCACGAGGTCAGGAGACGGAGACCATCCTGGCTAACGCGGTGAAACCCCCGTCTCTACTGAAAATACAAAAAATTAGCGGGACGTGGTGGAGGGCGCCTGTAATCCCAGCTGCTCCGGAGGCTGAGGCAGGAGAATGGCGTGAACCCGTGAACCCGGGAGGCGGAGCTTGCAGGGAGCCGAGATGGTGCCACTGCACTCCAGCCTGGGAGACAGTTATACCAAGTGTGCCTGGCTCCCCTGTCACCTCTTCCGCCTCTGCCTCACTTGAGACAGCAAAACCAACCCCTCCTCCTCCTCCTCCTGCTCCTTAGCCTACTCCAGGTGAAGATGAGAATGAAGACCTTTTTTTTTTTCCTTTCTCAGCACATCGTGTCCACTACCAAGAAGGAATTATAAGGCATATGAAAAGACAAAAAACAATTTGAAAAGACAGAACGAGCACTAGAACCAGATTCAGATATTGCAAGAATGTTGGAATTAATCAGACCAATTTTTTTTTAAACTATGATTAATGTGCTCAAGACTTTAAAGGAGAAACACAACATCCAAGAACAAATGAGTAATGTAAGCAGAGAGATGGAAAGTCTAAGAATCAAAAGAAATGCTAGAAGTTAACAACATTGGAATAGAAATGAAGAATGCCTTTGATGGGATTATTAGTAGACTGGATGTGGCTGAGGAAATAATCTCTGAGCTTGAGGATATGACACTAGAAACTGAAAAGCAAAGGCAAAAAATACAAAACAAAATCCAAGAACTGAGAGACAACTACAAAAGACATAACATGAATCATGGGAAATCATAAGAAAGAAACTAACAGAAGAAATATTAGAAGCAATAAAGACTGAAAATTTCCCCAAGTTAATGTCAAACATCAGACTGTAGATTCAAGAAATTCAGAAAACAGCAAGCATAGTAAATGCCAAAAAAAAAGACACCTAGGCATATCGTAGTCAAACTTCAGAAAATCAAAGATAAAAAATCTTGGCTGGGCGCAGTGGCTCACACCTGTAATCCCAGCACTTTGGGAGGCCAAGGCAGGCAGATCACTTGAGGTCAGGAGTTCGAGCCCAGCCTGGCCAACATGGTAAAACCACATTTCTACTAAAAATACAAAAATTAGCTGGGTGTGGTGGCACATGCCTGTAATTCCAGCACTTTGGGAGGCTGAGGCGAACAGATCACCTGAGGTCAGGGGTGATCAGCTTGGCCAGCTTGGCCAACATGGTGAAACCCCATCTCTATCAAAAATACAAAACTTAGTTGGGCACGGTGGTGTGTTCCTGTAATCCCCACTACTTGAGGGTGAGACACGAGAATCACTTGAACCCGGAGGCAGAGGTTGCAAGGAGCCAAGATTGCACCACTGCACTCCAGCCTGAGTGACAGCATGAGACTCTGTATCAAAAAAAAAAAAAAGAAAAGAAAATTTGAAAGAAGGCAGAGGGAAATAAACCACCTTACCTATAGAAGAGCAAAAATAAGAATTACATCCAACTTCCCCTCAGAAACCATGCAAGCAAGAAGAGAGTGGAGTGAAATATTTAAACTGTTAAGAGGAAAGTCACCAATCTAGAATTCAGTACTCTGCAAAATTATCCTTCAATAACTTTCTAACAGGAGGAAAAAAATTATCCTGTGAAGGATAACTAAAGACATTCTTCAGACAAAAAATGAGGGACATTGTTGCCAGTAGACCTGTCATGCAAGAAATTTAAAAGAAGTTTCTCAGAAAGAAGGAAAGTGATACAGATTAGAAACTCAGATCTACATTAAAAAAAGGAAGGGCATTGGAAAATAAGTGAGTGAAGGTAAAATACTTTTCTTTTTCTTTTTTTTTTTTGAGACAGAGTTTTCCTCTTGTCACCCAGGCTGGAGTGCAATGGCGCGATCTTGGCTCACTGCAACCTCCTTCTCCCAGATTCAGGCGATTCCCCTGCCTCAACCTCCTGAGTAGCTGGTATTACAGGTGACTGCCACCAAAACTGGCTAATTTTTGTATTTTTAGTAGAGACAGGGTTTCACCATGTTTGCCAGGCTGGTCTCGAACTCCTGACCTCAGGTGATCTGCCCACCTCTGCCTCCCAAAATGCTGGGATTACAGGGGTAAGCTACCACGCCTGGCCTTATTTTTCTTATTCTTAGTTGATCTTACAGATAACAGTTCAAAATAATAATACCAACAATGTATGTGTGTTTATGTGTGCTTATGTATGTATATATATTTATATATAGATATGCTTACATATGCTTATATATAAGTGAATGACACTTACATATAAATGAATAACAGCAAAGATACAAGAGACAAGATGAGGGAATTAGAAATATTTTGTTATTGCCGGGCACGGTGGCTCATGGTGAAACCCTATTTCTACTACAAATACAAAAAATTAGCTGGGCATGGTGGCGGGTGCCTGTAACCCTAGCTACTCAGGAGGCTGAGGCCAGAGAATCGCTTGAACCCGGGAGGCGGAGGTTGCAGTGAGCCGAGATCGTGCCATTGCACTCCAGCCTAGCCAATAAGAGCGAAACTCTGTCTCAAAAAAAAAAAGTATATGAATGGAGAAAGATTTAATGTGCTAACACAAATAAAAAGAAAGTGGGAATAGTTATAGTGCTCTCAGACAAAGCTAAGTTCAGAGCAAGGAAAGTTATCAGGGATGAAGGGAGCTATTACATAAGGATGAAGGGGTCAGGAGTCAGTTCCTACTGAAGACATAGTAATTCTCGATGTGTATGTTCCTGACAACAAAGTAAAACCTGATAGAACTGCAAAGAGAAATAGATGAATCCACTGTTATAGGTGGAGATTTCAACACCCCTCTATCAGAAATGGATAGGTCCAGCAGGCAGAAAATCAGTAAGCACATAGTTGAACTCAACAGCACCATCACTAAACTGGATATAATTGACATTTCCAGATTACTTCATCCAATAGCAGAATAGCACACATTCTTCTCAAGCTCACATGCAACATGCACCAAGATAGACTGCATTCTGTACCCTAAAACACACCTTAACAAATGTAAAATAATAGAACTCATAGCATGCCTGCTCCCAGACCACAACGGAATTATACTCAAAAGCAATAACTGGAAAAATCCCCAAATACTTGGAGATTAAAAACATACTTCTAAATAACACATGAATCAAAGAAAAAAAAATCTCAGTGGGGCATGGCAGCTCACGCCTGTAATCCCAGCACTTTGGAAGCCTGAGGCAGGCAGATCACTTGAGGCCAGGAGTTTGAGACCAGCCTGGCCAACAGGCAAAACCCTGTCTCTACTAAGAATACAAAAATTAGCTGGGTTTGGTGGCACACAGCTGTAATCCCAGCTGCTTGGGAGGCTGAGGCAAGATAATGGCTTGAACCAGGGAGGCAGGGGTTGCAGTAAGCTGAGATCACGCCATTGCACTCCAGCCTGGGTGACAGAGCAAAACTGTCACAAGGAAAAAAAAAGAAAATGAAGACCTTTATGATGCTCTGCTTCCACTTAATGAATAGAAAATATATTTTCTCTTCCTTGTGATTTTCATAATAGCATTTTCTTTTCTCTAGCTTACTTTATTGTAAGAATATAAGTATGTAATAAATATCACATATAAAATATGTTATTGACAGTTTATGTTATTGGTAAGGCTTCTGGTCAAAAATAGACTATTACTAGTTAAGTTTTTGGGAGGCCCAAAGCTATATGCAGATTTTTGACTGTGTAAGGGATTGGCACCCCTACCCCCAACATTGTTTAAGGGTCAATTGTATTTATAAATGTGCACCACATTTTTCTAAGATAAATACATGTTCTTTATGTGGCTTCAGGGAGGTACAGGTACATAAGTGTAGTGCAATGGCAAATTGCCTACCCAAACACATTTTTTAAATATAAAATTACCTATAACATGTACTGTTAACTTTATAAACATACTTCCATATCCAGTCATATACTGGACTTGAAATTCTGAAGAACCTCTCTCACAAATACATGGAGACATTGGATAAAAATAAATAATATCATCAAACATTTTATGGTGGTAATGATTTGTTAGGTACTATTCCAAGTGCTTTACATACATTAACTCTATGGAACTGATATTGTTATCATCACCATCACCATTTTGCAGAGAAGAAGCAACAACTTTTTTCAAGCTGAGCTTACAACAAAGTGAAGAAATGCCACTAGGGCCGAAAGCGAGCAGAAGCTAGGCTGAAGAGCATGCTTGGAAGCCATGGACTGCACTGCAGAGCAGGAATTCATCCCAGGAATTAGAGAAGGTTATTCTTTGGCCAATTCAAAGGTCTGGGACAGTAGAGAATTAAAACTAAGGCTCTAGAGTAAAGTAGGACCTAAGACCTGTGCCTGAGACTGGAAACTTTTGAAGGGCTAAAACCTTGTAAGAATAAGGTCAAATCCATCCACATCCAAGGAATCTAGTGAGGAAATTCATTGTATGGCTTGTGTGATGAACTGCTATGGAAACAAGAATTTCAATAAAATGAAAATGCATGGTTTCATTTTTAAAATCAAATATTTTGTTGTTTTTCAAGAAAACTGATGATACACTAGCAACCTGCATAAAATGTTTGTTCACATTACCATTTACAATGGGGGGCAAAGAGGTATCACTGACTACATGAAAACTGGAAGACACATTTTCCGAAGAAGTAACATCATTTACTTCAAAGTTAATGGCTATTTTAAAAAGAGTGTTCCAGAAGGTAATTTAAGATATGAAGTTGAAGAATGTACATAGACACATCATTCTGTGAAGAATGATTTTTCATTTAAATCAAGGAGGTTTTTTTTTGTTTTGTTTTTTGTTTGCTTTTCTCACTCTGTTGCCCAGGCTGGAGTGCAGTGGTGCAATCTCGGCTCACTGCAACCTCACCTCCTGGGTTCAAGCAATTCTCATGCTTCAGCCGCCCAAGTAGCTGGGATTACAGGTGTGTGCCACCACACCCGGCTAATTTTTGTATTTTTAGTATAGATGGGATTCTACCATGTTGGCCAGGCTGGTCTCAAACTCCTGACCTTAAAGGGATCTGCTCACCTCGGCCTCCCAAAGTGCTGGGATCACAGGTGTGAGCCACTGTGCCAAGCCAAAGAGGTTTTTCTAATTAATTCCAATCTTTTTCAAGTCAAGTTTTCTTATGGACATACTAAAAATGAAGTGTAGTAGCTGTTCCTATACTGGTTCTGTTAGAAACTTCTGAAAAAAGTTACAGGCTGCCAGTTTTATGTCAGTATTACCAAATGCTTTAAATAGAGAATTTGATTACATTCATTTCTTTTTAAAAAAGGAGCTAATAGTTACCTTTTCTCATCCAGTTTACAAAGTCAAAGCAAAATGTTTGGAAGCGTATTCTCTCAAAGGTGAAACATCTGACATTATTGTGAATGCTACTCTAAATTCAACTTAAAAATTCACATGGTTGGGCATGGTGGTACATACCTATAATCCCAGCTACTCGGGAAGCTGAGGCAGGAAGACTGCCTGAAGCCTGAAGCCTGGAAGTGAGGCTACAGTGAGCTGTGATCGTATCACTGCACTCCAGCCTGGGGCAACAAAGGGAGACGCGCGTGCGCGTGTGTGTGTGTGTGTGTGTGTGTGTGTGTATGTTTGGGGTTTCATTTTTTGAGATGGAGTCTTGCTCTGTTGCCCAGGCTGGAGCACAGTGGCATGATCTTGGCTCACTGCAACCTCCACCTCCCGGGTTCAAGCAACTCTCCTGCCTCAGCCTCCACAGTAGGTGGGATTACAGGCGCCAGCCACCACATCCTGCTAATTTTTGTAATTTTTAGTAGAGATGGGGTTTCACCATGTTGGTCAGGCTGGTCTTGAACTCCTGACCTCAGGTGATCTGCCTGCCTCGGGCTCCCAAAGTGCTGAGATTACAGGTGTGAACCACCATGCCCAGCATATATATATATGCATATATATAATGCATTTATATATGCATTATATATATATAATGCACATAACTACAAAAAAGATTAATACCAAAAATATATCGGAATGTCTACAAGTCAATTTTTTAAAACAAGACAACATAATAGGATAAATGGGCAATACAGACAAAACATTGCAAAGTTAGAGGGTACAATGCACAACCCACCCTCATTTCTGACACCAACTACAGATGGTTTCCAAAACCACACTCAGGTTTGATAATTTGCTAGAAGGACTCACAGAACATGCTAAGAGCTGTTATACTCACAGTTACAGTTTACTGTAGGGAAAGGATTCAAATCGACAGGCTTTTAAAATCTTTGAAAGGTTAAAATAAGGCTGGGTGCAAAGGCTCACGCCTGTAGTCCCAGCACTTTGGGAGGCAAAGGCAGAATTGCTTGAGTCCAGGAGTTCAAGACCAGCCTGGACTATGTAGCAAGATCCTGTTTCTATAAAAAAAAAAAAAAAATTGGCCAGGTGTTGTGGTGCACCTGTAGTCCCAGCTACTCGGGAGGCTGAGGCAGGAGGACTCCACTCCAGCCTGGGTGACAGAGTGAGACCCTGTCTTTTAAAAGCAAACAAGCAAAAAAAGAACATGCAGCTTTACTAAGCTCTCCTTTCAGTTCGCACCCAGAGTGCTACAGTAGCGTCTTTATTTATTTATTTATTTATTATTTTTTATTTATTTATTTATTTTTGAGACGGAGTCTTGCTCTGTTGCCCAGGCTGGAGTGCAGTGGTGCAATCTCGGCTCACTGCAAGCTCCGCCTCCCGGGTTCACGCCATTCTCCTGCCTCAGCCTCCCGAGTAGCTGGGATTACAGGCGCCTGCCACCACGCTCGGCTAATTTTTTGTATTTTTAGTAGAGACAGGTTTCACCGTGTTAGCCAGGATGGTCTCGACCTCCTGACCTCGTGATCTGCCTGCCTTGGCCTCCCAAAGTGCTGGGATTACAGGTGTGAGCCACCGCACCTGGCCAGTAGCGTTTCTTGTTCGAGATTTGTGCTGTAGTATTGCCCTACAGGTGATGTGGTCTGATAAGGAAAAGATGGTTTCAAGTGCTTATATGTGTTGATACCCTGGGAGATTTAAAGGACAGATAAGGCAGAATTTCTGCCTTTAATCATTCAGGAGCTATTTGGGGAGGGCAGGAAGAACGTCAGGGTAGGTAACAAAAGAGGGCAGGGATGATAAACTGTCCTTTGCACAGTGCAGTAAATCTCACAGCAAATTTGAAGGTCTTGGAGGGATCATGGATGGAAGTGTTCAAAGAAGGCTTGCATATAATTTTTTAAAGCAGCTCACATAGACCATAAGTGTAATTAGCCTTATTCATCATGAGGAGGTATTTGATCAAAGCTCTTATGGAAGTAAAACTTGTTTCTAGAAAATGATTTTAAATATTATGCCAATCTTCTTACAATGCCATTTTTAAAAATAGGTAAGTAAAATATTTTTAAGGTTTCTTTAGAAATCATTACAGAACACTGTTATTTAACTTTACTCTAAGAGCAGCCTGTAATCACTAACATTTTCTGGATTTTGATGCCTAAGGATTTAAAATGCCAAATGTGGCTGAGTGGGGTGACTCATGCCTGTAGTCCTAACAATTTGGGAGGTCCAGGCAGGAGGACCTCTTGAGCCCAGGAGTTCAAAACTAGCCTGGGCAACATGGAAAAACCCCATCCCAGCACTTTGGGAGGCCAAGGCATGAGGATCACTTGATGTCAGGAGTTCAAGACTAGCCTGGCCAACATGGTGAAACCTTGTCTCTATGAAACTACAAAAATTAGCCAGGCGTGGTGGTGGGCACCTGTAATCCCAGCTACTTGGGAAGCTAAGGCAGGAGAATTACTTGAACCCAGGAGGCGGAGGTTACGATGAGCCAAGACTGTGCCACTGCACTCCAGCCTGGGTGACAGAGTGAGATTCCATCTCAATACAAAAACAAACAAACAAACAAAAAAACAAATTAGCCGGGCGTGGTGGCATGCACACCTGTGGTCCCAGCTACTCAGGAGGTGGAGGTGGGAGGATCACTTGAGCTCTGGAAGTCAAGGCCGCAGTGAACTGGAATGGCACCACTGCACTCCAGCCTGGGTGACAGAGTGAGACCACTCCATATATGATCCCCCTCCAAAAAAAGTAAGTCAAATGTGAACATATTTACTGACTTTATGTAAATAAGGAATAGCTTCATATTTCTAAGCAATGTGTATCCATGTCTCATAAGCATAACATTAATCCTACTTTTTGCTGAATCCAGTGGGCTTTCCACTTTATTTTCCTAAATTGAAAGCTCAGATTTTGATATTTGTTGCTCTTGTCTATATCGGCAAGTACAAAGACTTCATGTGAATTAATAATTTGCCACACAGTAAGAAAATGAAACAAAAGCAAATGCTTTAAAAATGTATTGGAAAAAATGATGAATGCTGTATAATTTGGAAAGTAAAATATAGCACCGGAGACATTCTGGTAGAGAGACCTGTGACCGGCCAGGCGTGGTGGCTCACACCTGTAATCCCAGCACTTTGGGAGGCCTGGGTGGGCAGATCACAAGGTCAGGAGATCGAGACCATCCTGGCTAACACAGTGAAACCCCTTCTCTACTAAAAATACAAAAAATTAGCCGGGTGTGGTGGCAAGTGCCTGTAGTCTCAGCTACTCGGGAGGCTGAGGCGGGAGAATGGCGTGAACCCAGAGGCGGAGCTTGCAGTGAGCGGAGAACGCACCACTGCACCCCAGCCTGGGCAACAGAGTGAGACTCCATCTCAGGAAAGAAAAAAAAAAAGTTATTTTGGCAGCTAGATTTAAGTCAGATGCATGACTTTTTCATATAATGTGTATTTATTCATTTACTTATTTATTTTAAAGACAGGGGTCTCCCTCTGTTGCCCAGGACAGAGTGAAGTGACACAATCATAGCCTTGAACTCCTGGACTCAAGCAATCTGAAGGCTCAAGCCTTTTGAACTGCAGCCTTGAACTTCTGGGCTCAAGCAATCTTCCCACGTCAGCCTACCAAGCTGCTGGGACTATAGGTGTGTACTACCACACCCAGATTTTTTTTTTTTTTTTGAGACAGAGTCTCGCTCTGTCACCCAGGCTGGAGTGCAGTGGTGTGATCTTGACTCAACGGAACCTCCGCCTCCTGGGTTCAGCTAATTTTGTATTTTTAATAGAGATGTGTTTTCCCCATGTTGGCCAGGCTGGTCTTGAACTCCTGATCTCAGGTGGTCTGCCCACCTCGGCATCCCGATAGAGTCTCACTCTGTGGCCCAGGCTGGGGTGCAGTGAGGTGATCATGGCTCACTGTAGCCTCAACCTCCAGGGCTCAAGCGTTCCTCCCACGTCAGCCTCCCAAGGAGCTGAGACTACAGGTGGACACCACCATGCTGGGCTAATTTTTAAAATTTTTTTGTAGAGATGGGGTTTTGCTATGTTGCCCAGGTTGGTCTCAAATTCCTGGGCTCAAACGATCTTCCAACCTCAACCTCCCAAAAGGTATGTAATATTTAATAACGCACAAACTAAAATAATTAATATATAAATGTGAAAACAAATTGCCTTTCTTTAAGTATTGTTAAATATTCATTTGCTTCTATTTCTAGAAGCTGACTGCCTATATAAGGGGCCATTTCAGCCTTCTTCATTTTTTTTATTTTATATAGCCCCTAACTTTGGATAAAATAATTCACTGCTCATTTGAATCTGCATTTAAAAATGGAAAGAGGAACTTAATAGAGAATCCAACCTAATCTGCCCAAATGTATGCTCTGGTATCACTGAAGAGAAAAAAAAAATCATGAATAGAGAAAAACTTCCCACCATATGAGAATGCAAAACTATAGATCTGTGCATTTTGGTCATTCCTGATCTCCTTTTTCCTAAGGAGAACTCTGGTTGAGTGGGAACCCAGTGCGCTAGGATTTCATCACATTCGGAAGAATTTGTAACAAAAAGAAAAATCACCCGATATTTTAGAATTGGTTGCTGGTTCTCTTCCAAAACCAGAAAAGTCATTGCAAGAAGTTTTCTTTCCAGCCACAACAGGAGATAAAAAATAAATTGCCTTCACCCTTCCACAACTACAGAAGTGACTTGAAATTGATGCCTTTAATTCACTTCTAATTGTGTGGATAAGGGGAGAGTCAGACAAGGATGTCTTTCTTGTCCTGCAATGATTGGAAAGAAAACCGTGTAGAGGATAAAGGAGGCTGTTAGCTACCTCGGATTACCTGATGATCTCCATTGATTATGACTGTGAAGCAGGCTCTCTGCTGTCTTTCCCATTCCCCTGAGGGAGGAGACCTGGGGGGTGAGCCTGGCAGCGGGGGCCAAAGGCAGGGACAACTTGGATTTGTAGCAAATGTTGCAGAGCCCAAGAGAGAACAGCCAAGTTCTGTCTGAAGAAGAGGACCGAGACTCCAGCCAGCAGAGCCTGTCCAACTTGGTCAGAGTAAGCAAGCCAGAGGTGTTTCCGGAGCCGAGGTCTGGTGCCAAACAGGTGTCAGAGACTTGACAGCGGCGAAAGAGATGGAGAGATGTAAGAGAGAGGGAGAGATGCCAGAGAGATGGAGAGCGGCAAGAGAGATGGAGAGCGGTGAGAGAGATGGAGAGATGCGAGACAGTCGGAGAGACATGAGAGAGATGGAGAGATGTGAGAGAGATGGAGAGCAGTGAGAGAGATGGAGAGCAGTGAGAGCAACAAGAAGAGAGGATGCAGCAAGAGATAGTCAGGAGAGAGGGCTGACCAGGAAACCATCCTTAGCTTTGCAAGGATGGCTTTTTTTTTTAAAAGTCCTGTTGCTCCTATATCTTCTTTTTGGACGGTGGTTATACAGGTGTATATATTTTTAAAACTCATTGAACTAACACTGAAGATCTTTGCTTTTGCATGTTAATTATACCTCCTTTTTTTTTTTTTTTGAGACGGAGTCTCGCTCTGTTGCCTAGGCTGGAGTGCAGTGGTGTGATCTCAGCTCACTGCAATCTCCACCTCCCGGGTTCAAGCGATTCTCCTGCCTCAGCCTCCCAAGTAGATGGAATTACAGGCGCAGACCACCACGCCCGGTTAATTTTTTGTATCTTTAGTAGAGACGAGGTTTCATCATATTGGCCAGGCTGGTCTTGATCTCCTGACCTCGTGATCCGCCCGCCTCGACCTCCCAAAGTGTTGGGATTACAGGTGTGAGCCACTGTGCCTAGCCAAATTTTTGTAATTTTAGTAGACGGGTTTTCACCATGTTGGCCAGGAACTCCTGGCCTCACGTGATCCACAGCCTCTGCCTCCCAAAGTGCTGGGATTACAGGCATGAGCCTCCGCACCCAGACTGTTATACCTCTTTATGGTTTTTTTTTTTTTTTTTTTTTGAGACCGAGTCTCGCTCTGTTGCCCAGGCTGGAGTGCAGTGGCCCGATCTCAGCTCACTGCAACCTCCGCCTCCCAGGTTCAAGCAATTCTCCTGCCTCACCCTCCCGTGTAGCTGGGACTACAGGTGCCGGCCACCACGCATGGCTAATTTTTGTATTTTTAGTAGAGATGGAGTTTCACCATGTTGGTCAGGCTGGTCTCGAACGCCCAACCTCAGGTGATCCGCCTGCCTCAGCCTCCCAAAGTGCTGGGATTACAGGCATGAGCCACAGCGCTTGGCTTGCTGGGATTACAGGCGTGAGCCACCACGCCCAGCTTCTGTTTATCTATCACAAGTCCCCTCACCCACTTGGACAAATTTTTTTCCATGACATTTACTTGTTAAAGAGACAGTTTATAGAAAATCCCACATTCAAGATTTGTCAGATTGTTTCCTTATGAGTCATTTAACATGTTCTTCCACCCCCTATATTTCCTGTAAACCGAAGTTAGATCTCAAGGCTTGATTCAATTCAGGATAAACATTTTGGATAGAACACTACTTTATAGGTAATCCAGGGTATATCATGTTGCCTTGCATCAGGAAGCATCATACCTCTCTCTCTTTTTTTTTTCTTTTAGACTGAGTCTCGCTCTGTTCCCCAGGCTGGAGTGCAGTAGTGCAATCTCAGCTCACTACAACCTCCGCCTCCCAGGTTCAAGCGATTCTCTTGCCTCAGCCTCTGGAGTCACTGGTACTATAGGCACACAACACCATGCCTGGATAATTTTTGTATTTTTTGTAGAGAAGGGGTTTCACCATGTGGCCCAGGCTGGTCCGAACTCCTGTCCTCAAGCGATCCACCCTCCTCGGCCTCCCCAAGTGTTGGGACTACAGGTGTGAACCACCACTGCACCATCCAGGAAGCATAATATCATGCTGACTCACTCTAATGAGGCAAAGTTTGACGTCTAGTGTAAGGTGGTGATAGCCATATTTTGAGTATTGTTGGAAAAGAAAAATATTAAAATACAATATATATCATTCCTAGAAGCCTTAAAAATTGGTAAAATGTATTTGACATTAAAATAGATAAAACTGGCTAGGCTCGGTTGCTCATGCCTGTAATCCCAGCACTTTGGGAGGCCAAGGGAGGAAGACTGCCTGAGCTCAGGAGTTCAAGACCAGCTTGGGTAACATAGTGAAACCTCATCTCTACAAAAAATTAAAATAAAAAAAAATAGCGGGGTGTGGTGGCATGGGCCTATAGTCCCAGCTACTTCAGGAGGCTGAGGCAGGAGGGCCACTTAAGTCCAGGAGGTCCAGGCTACAGTGAGCCATGATTGTACCACTGCACTCCAGCCTGGGTGATGGAGCAAGACCCTGCCTCAAAAAAGCAAAGCAAAGCAAAACAAAACCATAAAACTTCTGTAAACCAACGTGAATAGAGCAGCAAGACAAAGAGTAGATATGCAGGCATCATCTGCAAAGGGTGAAGGGGCGATATCCATAATATATAAAAAGCTGCCACACATCTACAAAAATAAAATCAAATGCAGCCGGGTGTGGTGGCTCACGCCTGTAATCCCAGCACTTTGGGAGGCCGAGGCGGGCAGATCACCTGAGGTCGGGAGTTGGAGAAAAAACTCGAAAAAAAGAAAGCAAATACAAAACAGGCAAAGGACATGAATTAAAAATTCTTAGAAAAAATACTGCAAACATCTAATGAGAACTTTATAATATGCTCAACTTCACCAGTGATCAGGAAAATACAATGAAACTAATAGTGAGACTTTTTAATTCTTAAACTTAAAAAACACGTTGTATCCAGTGATTTCAGGGATGTGGGAAAATGGGATTCCTTTTTATTTTGTTTTGTTCTGAGATAGGGTCTTGCTCTGGAGTGCAGTTGGGTAATTATAGCTCACTGCAGTCTCGACCTCCAGGGCCCAAGCTATTTTCCTACCTCAGCCACCCGGGTAGCTGGGACTGCAGGTGCACACGGCCACACCCAGCTAATTTTTTTCTTTTTTGTTGAGACAAGGTCTTCCTATTTTGCCCAGGCTGGTCTGGTACTCCTGGGCTCAACCCATCCTCCCACTTTGGCTTCCCAAAGTGCTGGGATTACAGGTGTGAGCCACTGCACCCAATCAGCTCAGCTATCCTTAAATATTGTTGGTATCAATGAAAAATTAAAAAGTGAGTATCTTTGATTCAGCAATTCCACCTCCTGTGGATTGCCATATGTTAGGGTATTCATTGCAGGTACATAACAGCACTTTTCCTCCCAGCCCCCATGCAACTTAACCATCCATCCACAGGAAAAGAAATGATGGAAAAGATACAAGGGAAACTTTGCAGCCATTAGCATGAATGAGGCTGGTCAAAAGGACTGAAAAGGAAAATTTTCAAGATCCAGTATTAACAAATCTGGAAAAAAAATGCAGTATTATGTGAAAAAAAGCAGCTCATAGAACAATATGCCCAGTATGAACCATTTTATTTTTAAAAATCTGTTTTTTTTTGTGTGTGTTTTTTTTTTTTTGAGATAGAGTCTTGCTCTGCCACCCAGGCTGTAGTGCACTGGGGCGATCTTGGCTCATTGCAACCTCTGCCTCCCAGGTTCAATAGATTCTCCTGCCTCGGCCTCCCGAGTAGTTGGGATTACAGGCACCCACCACCACACCTGGATAACTTTTGTATGTTTAATAGAGACGGGGTTTCGCCATGTTGGTCAGGCTGGTCTCAAATTCCCGACCTCAAGTGATCCGCCCGCCTCGGCCTCCCAAAGTGCTGGGATTACAGGAATGAGCCACCATGCCCGGCCCCAAAATCTGTTTTTATCTAAACACAGATCATTAGCAGCAGTTATCTATGAGCATAGGAGGATTGGGGTAGGAAGGTAAAGGAGAACTTTTAAAATAAACATATATATATGTTTTTTACTTAAATTTTTTAAAAATATAATCACATGTTCATGTATTATTGTGGGACAAAACCAAAGAGAAAAAAATTCCTTACGTACAAATCTTTGAAGTAAAATTACAAAATAAGACCTAGATTTAAGAAGTGAAGTCCGGGCGTGGTGGCTCAGCTTGTAATCCCAGCACTTTGAGAGGCTGAGGCGGGCGGATCACCTGAGGTCGGGAGTCTGAGACCAGCCTGGTCAACATGGTGAAACCCCGTCTCTACTAAAAATACAAAAAATCAGCCAGGCATGGTGGTGTGTGCCTGTAGTCCCAGCTACTCGGGAAGCTGAGGTCGGAGAATGGCTTGAACCTGGGAGGCGGAGGTTGCAGTGAGCCGAGATCGCACCACAGCACTCCAGCCTGGGTGACAGAGCGAGACCCTGTCCCCCCCTCAAAAAAAGAAAAAGAGAAGCGAATAGTGAGGAGGGTGAATAGAGAGGAGGCAGCATTCAGTAGCACCGGTGGAAGCATTTAGCCAAGACAGCATGAACTTGTGGAGTATTGTTTCCCATTTCTCCCATATTATTAAATTCAACTCTAGAGACATACTGACTACCTGACAGTATGTAGAATGCATGTCAGCATCTTTCTTTTTCTTTTTTTTCTTTTTTCTTTTTTTTTTTTGACACAGAATCTCGCTGGAGTGCAATGGCGCGATCTCTGCTCACTCCAACCTCTGCCTCCCGGGTTCAAGCGATTCTCCTGTCTCGGCCTCCCGAGTAGCTGGGACTACAGTCACGTGCCACCACGCCCCGCTAATTTATCAGCGTCTTTTAAAAGTAACGCAAGCTGGGCGTGGTGGCTCATGAGATCGTGCCACTGCACTCCAGCCTGAGGGACAGAGTAAGACTCCATCTCAAAAAAAAAAAAAAAAAAAAGGTAATTCTTGAGGAAGATTTGGGTATCATTCAGTCCCTTGAGGCTCAGACCTCTGTGGCTTTCAGGTAAAGGCATCTTCAGTCATACTCTGAACACAAGACTTAAAATAACCAGAATTCTCATCGTCCCCTACCCCTGCCCCCTGGCATTTCATTATTATTATTTATTTTATTTACAGTCATGTACCACAAAGCAATGTTTTATTCAACAGACCACATACAGGACAGTGGTCCCATAAGGTTTTAATACCATATTTTTGCTGTAACTTTTCTATGTTTAGATGATGTTTAGATACATGAATACTTACCAGTTACAGTCACCTACAGTATTCAGTATAGTAACATGCTGTACCTGTTTGTAGCCTAGGAGAAATTGGCTCTACCATACAGCCTAGGTATGTAGTAGACCATACCATCTAGGTTTGTGTAAGTACACTCTACAATATTTGTACAATGATGAAATAACCTAATGACACATTTCTTAGAAGCATCCCCATCGTTAAGTGATGCATGATTGTAGTTATTTTTTAAAGCAGGAGTGTATATAACCAAAAAACAAATCAACCGCAGAAATATTGTTTTAAAAACCTACAATATTACGGTGTGGTCTGAGATCCAAAGGCGTTCATCCAAGTTTCTGACATTTTACACAACTATACAGGTTATTTAATTTCAGAAGCCCACCTGCAAGGCAGGATCCCTTTAGATCCTGCTCTTGTCAATGAAGAATGATGCCAGCCCCTCAGTACTCGAGCCACGTGTGGTTCTGTATCCTGGGTTTCCAAACCAAACTCATTTAGTGACCTAGGGTAACTGCCATGACCTCTCAAATGAGAATACCACGGAACAGGGCATGAGTATGAAGCCCCTAGCATGTCTAGTATTTGCTGGTAGCTCAACAAACATTCATTCCTTCCATTTTTATGGTTCTAAAAGATTTTCATCTTAAGGGGCATGAACATGGCAGACTTCAGATTAATGTTGGGATTGCCAGGATAGCCAATGAAACAAAACCAACTCTTTTTTTGTTTGTTTGTTTGTTTGAGACGGAGTCTTGCTCTGTGGCCCAGGATGGAGGGCAGTGGCGTGATCTTGGCTCACTGCAACCTCCGCTTCCCAGGTTGGAGCAATTCTCCTGCCTCAGCCTCCCAAGTAGCTGGGATTACAGGCACGTGTCACCACGCCCAGCTTATTTTTGTATTTTTAATAGAGACAGGGTTTCCCCATGTTGACCAGGCTGGTCTTGAACTCCTGACCTCAGGTGATCTGCCCGCCTCAGCCTCCCAAAGTGCGGGGATTACAGATGTGAGCCACCACGCCCGGCCAAAACCAACTCTTTTTATATATGAAAGTGAAGACTTCAGTGTGTGCCCGTTTTCCCATATGACTGCCACCTAAGCCCTCTAGTTTTATGGAAATTTAACCTCTTATGGAACGTACCATATTTATCAAATTTAACTTTTTATGAAATTAACCAACTTATGGAAATTGACTTTGTACAACTTATTTATCTTCACATAATTAAAATTGTAATTCACGGATTCTGAAACTTACATTATTTGAAATTCATATCACGTCTCTATCAACCAGTTGCTACTGATTTTAGCGTAAGATTTCACATTTTCAGAATATGCTCTATCTGGAATATACATATAAGAAAATGTTCCGCCGGGCGCGGTGGCTCATGCCTGTAATCCCAGCACTTTGGGAGGCCGAGGAGGGCGGATCACAAGGTAGGAGATCGAAACTATCCTGGCTAACACGGTGAAACCTCGTCTCTACTAAAAATACAAAAAATTAGCCGGGCGTGGTGGCAGGCGCCTGTAGTCCCAGCTACTTGGGAGGCTGAGGCAGGAGAATGGCGTGAACCCGGGAGGCGGAGCTTGCAGTGAGCCGAGATCGCGCCACTGCACTCCAGTCTGGGCGACAGAGCGAGACTTCGTCTCAAAAAAAAGAAAAGAAAAGAAAAAAAAAGAAAATGTTCCACAGTTGTTTTCATTTCAGGGTAAATTTACCTAGGAAAGATAGGAATATTTTAGAGAATCCCTCCTTTTTTTTTTTTTTTTCCTTTTCATTGTGCTGCCATAATGTTGAGAATCAACCAGACGCATCTGTTCCCTAAGCGCCACAGTTCAGGAAAAGACAAGCCAGATCCTAGAGAGTTTTGGTTCCCACCCCAGCCTGGCCACTGCCACTCATCTGGGTCCCCGTGTCCTCACTGTGAAAGGATAGCCTTGGACCAAATATTGTCTAAGGAGCTTTCAAGCTCTAAAATTCTATGATGAGTCGTCAAGCAATGAACAACAAACTAACCAGGGAAGCAAACTAAAATACATTTCCTGTGGCCAAATTCTCAGAGCCCAGGAGTCAACTTATCAAAGAGGGGGAGGAGTCAAACAGTTCAAGAGCAGTGCCACACACACAAAACAAGTATCAGCTAGGAAACAGCACTTTTCTGCCTCTATCTAAACATGACCTAAAAACAAAATATAAATAGGGTTTAAAACTTTAATGTGTATACTCAGCACACAGACTTCCTATTCACAAGAAGGGAAGATACTTTCGCGTAATTACAAAGTGTAGTCCTATACTTTGTCTGTTCCTACTATACAAAGCATAAAATTATATACTTGCAAAGTATGAAAATATTTAAATGGTATAATTATCTGTATTTATGACACTTTTTTTTTTTTTTTTCTGAGACGGAGTCTAGCTCTGTCACCCAGGCTGGAGTGCAATGGCACGATCTCGGCTCACTGCAACCTCTGCCTCCTGACATTTAAACAAATTACTCTCAAAAGATCATAATGTCATGGAGGTAGTTTCTCTGTACTTCCAGGGAGCCACACGGACCACTCTCCTGTAATATCTATTCAAAACAAGACCCACTCATTTAAAATCCCTGGTAGTCTGGGAAACTGGGTGGCTTTCCAATGCTGAGCCCCTAGGCCGGTCTGAAAGGTCTCCTCCTCCTCCTCCAGGTCAAAACAAAGGACTGTGACCCTACCGTTTCTGCTCTCTAAAACTTACTTGCGCAGCGCCGCACAGCCTCCCACGTCTCTAGCTTCTTTGCTGCCCCTACAGACAGACATGTAGATCATTTTAAATTTAAGGCCTTCACTGATTTCCTTAGGGGAAACAGAGGAAGAGTGAACAGGAGAACCAACCTTAAGAAAAAGTGCTTACAGAGTTGCTGATCTCTAGCTTCAGACACAGCCCCCCTACTTCCTTATTTAGCCGTGCTTAAGGTAAAAGCCCACAACAATAGAAGTCAAAGAGCCCCTTCCTGAGGTGCTCTATGAAAATTTGCATTTCTGAGAGGCTTCCAAGGGGACTGACTCAAATTCATCTTTCTTTTCCCCAGGCTGGCAGTTAACTGCGGAACTGCAGGATAAAACGTTCAAGTGCTGGTGAAAAATAGGGACAGCTTGCAGATGTTGTAAAATTTGGGGCCGTGAAATCTTAACACTGCCCTCCAATCTTCTCACCCTTTTAGATGCTACCATGGACGTTTGTTTAAAGGCCCTCCAAAATGACAGTTTTTGGTTAAGTTCCAGGAAGATAGGGCATTATTTTAATCCAGTAGAAAAAGAAGAGGATATGACCCTACAGTGTGCCAGATAAAGAAGTTTAAGGACAAAACTTGCCCCTTGCTTCAATACTTCATGATATAATCGGACCTGTCGACACCTCAGTATACACAGCAATGAGTGTATAAACTTACTGAATTAATGTGGGCGCTGGATTCCGAGATGAGAAACTCTGAGGTGCAAACAACCACGGTATATTGTGGTTCCACGGAAGTTTCATCGGGTCCTTAAGAAGCCCTTGCTTGGCCTGTTTGAATGCTGGGCATAGGTCGATAAATAGAGCGTAGTTGTTTAAATAGTTTTACTTAAGTTCTGAAATCAACTCTACTTTAAATCTATATAGCTGCAGGTAATGTAATCAGGCCATCCTCTTCCAAGCTGGCAGCCATGGCAAAAGTCCCTTTCTCTTGGCGCGAATTACAAGGAAATTCAAGAAATACTTTAAGATATATATATGCCAAAGACCTGGAGTTAAGTTACTAGGGTGGGGCTGTGTAAATGTTTGGTGACTCACTAAAGAAAGTTGGGATCTGGGGTGCTGGCACCTGGAGGACACAGAAGAAACAAAAGTTGGGGGGCTGGCGAAGGTCGCTAGCACACTTTATCTCTGATTGGCGGAAGCCCTCAGAGTTTTCTTTATGGCGTCACCGAGTACCTGCCTGTAGAAAGGCCCCGTCTCCGTGACGTCACGCCGCATTGGCCAATGAAAGGCCTCAGTCTGCGGGCCCCGAGGAGGGTTGTGGGCCCTTTTTTGTGAATGAAGCGCCACGGAACAGCCCTCCTGGGGTCCCCACGAGCCGCGTCCTGCTGTGCCCCGGCGCCTACGCAGCAGCGGCCGCGGCCGCGGTGGGCACGCACGGTTACCCCGGGCAGCTCCGGCCGCCAGCTGCAGCCCCGTCGCCTCGGCCGCGCCAGCCGGCTGCGGGCACCTGGGGGCGGGCTGGGGGCGCCGGCCGCGGCAGGAGGCGCTGTAGCGAGGGCTGCGGCGCCGGTCCTGCGGCGGCCGCGGGAGGCAGCGGGGCAGGCGCTGTGGGCCGGGCTCCTCCTCCGGCTCCTGCGCGACCGCCTCCCGCCGGGCTCTGCCGGCGCCCGCCGTCCCCGCAGCGCCGCTCTGCGCCCGCCGCCCCGAGCGCCCGCGCGGGGCTGGCGGGAGCCTCGGCGGGCGCGCGGGCGCGCGGGGCCATGGTCGTGGCCCCCTGACGGGCCGCGGCCGCCTCCATGAAGCGGAAAAGCGAGCGGCGGTCGAGCTGGGCCGCCGCGCCCCCCTGCTCGCGGCGCTGCTCGTCGACCTCGCCGGGTGTGAAGAAGATCCGCAGCTCCACGCAGCAAGACCCGCGCCGCCGGGACCCCCAGGACGACGTGTACCTGGACATCACCGGTGAGCCGGCCAGTGGGCGCGCGGAGGGCCCCGGACGGCCGCACCCGGCGCGGGGCCCTGGCCCACCTCCCACCGGGCTGCCCGGGGCCTCCGGGGCCGGGCCGAAATGCCTTCGCCCCCACCCCCTTAAACGCCCCGGCCGCCACACCCCCTTTAGGAGCCTGGCTCCTGAGGAGCGCCCCCCGCCCCGAGTTTCTAGCTGCGTGGGCTGCGAGCTTTAACTTTAGCTTGTGCACCCTCCTCCACCAGCAAGATGGACCGAGGGTCACCTTTCTAAGTTGCGGGCGTCAGCCCGGCGCCTCGAACCTGCAGCTCCTCCCCGCGGGCTGCTTCTGAGTTCCTGTGGATTCCGCCTTCAGGGATTGCGAGCCCGGTTGGCCCTCGCGCGAGTCACAACCTCTGAATCAGCCCCTGAGGATTCCCCGAGCGCGCTGAACGCGCCTGGCACGGGAGCTGCCCCTTTTTGGCGTTGGCCAAACCCCCGCTGCTCCGTAGCCTTGGGACCCTGGGCGCCGCGTTGCCCGTCCGGCGCGTAAGCCCGAGCCCCTCTCCTGGGCCTCCCGCGCCCTGCCCCCTAGCGCGCCCCCCGAACGCCTCCGCCTCCCGGGGTCCGCTCCCCGCCGGGGCCTCGAGAAGGAAGGTGTCACGTTGGTGGCATTCGAGCCAGCCGGCAAGACGAATGTCCGGGTTGTCACTTTTGAGAAATCCCAGCCAGCCAGAGCAGGTAGCCAAGCAGCCCTTCGATAGCTGTTCTGTTAGTGCTGATTCGACTGTTCTTGGAGACTCATAAATCCAATTTGGCAGCTGTTAGGTTTGCTGGGATTGACAGTGACGCGTGTGAAGGCATTAAATGTGATGATGTATGTGGCAACGCTGTGTAAACAGCAGAGCTGTCCACGATTTTGAGGGAATTGGCAGTCTGTTTTCAGTGGCGGGGAATGTGTCAACCTCGGTGCGTGGCGTTATTAAAAACTGTTTCCAGCCCCTAGCCTTTGATAAACCAGGTAAGCTGGAGTGGCGAGAACATTAAGTGGAAGTGTTTAGACAAACACAGACGTTTAGGAGAAATAATATTCTAGGTTCATGGACAATCTGGAAACTAAGTTCGTTTTGAAATGAAGCTGAGAGCAGAGCGGGTTTCTCGGCTTTGGTGGATGGCCCTTGGGAACCAGAGCGGGCATAGGAAGGGGTTGCCCTGAGTACCAGTCCCCGGCCGGTAGCTGCGGGGGGTGTGCGGGAGGTGAAGCCTGCTGAGACTGAGAAGCCAAGTCCCGCTAACGTTGTGCCCTTCCCAGGAGAGGGCCTCGCCGAGGACGGATGGGGCTGGGAACGGGTGGGCCTATACATAGTTTCTGCCCGTTATTGTTTATACCTCTTGAAAGGATCTGTGTTGAATGGGATTTAATTTTAGGACAAGTAATGCATTTACATGGTACAGAACTCCAATTCTAAAGGTGCACAGGAGTACGTGCAGAAAAGTTGGTCTCACAGTCTCCAAGTGTCCTTCTCTAGAGGCAACTACTCTTCCCAGTTTCTTGTGAAGCCTTCTAGAAATAGGCTGTGCATGCATACTATATATACTATATATTCTCTACCATACACGTGCGAGTAGCACACATGTTGTTTTGCACATTTTTCCGTTTTCATAGTGTTTCTTATTAGAATGATTGTTCTGAGTTGGTGCATATAAGACTGGCTTACTTGATTTTAATTACTGCTTAGGCCAATGTACATACGGTTTTATGAATAAAACCATTAACAAGTACGTATGGATTTAAATGTTTATGTAGATTTGAATGTTTTTTAACCTATTTAGACAGTCCCTGTTGATGAACATTTGGGTTTTCAATCAGAAGGTTTGTGACAGCAAAGTCATTGGAATAAATCTTTCTTCTTGATGGAGATGAAATATGTGGCTAGTCTTCGTGAGGCAGTCACCAATTAATCAACTTCAGAAAAATAGAACCAAGCAGAATACTGAGGAGGGGTGCGTTACAGGAAATAAAAATGCTATCAGAGGGCAACCCGCTCTGGTCCCCTTCCACGCTGCGGAAGCTTTGTTCTTTTGCTCTTCACAATAAATCTTGCTGCTGCTAAAAAAAAAAAAAAATCCTATCAGATTGCAAGCCCTAATAACGGAAGGGTCCAGCTTTAATGTAAGGGAGCTCCAGGGGAGTAAAGGTTATAGTCACCTTTCCCTGTGACTTCTCTAGGTGTCCCTCAGTGATAGTCTTGGCTTCCTGGAAAAATGATACTTAATCAGTCTGTTGCAGTGTGATATACAAGGCCAATTAAAGTATCTTCAGATACAGAGTTCAGATTACTTTTTATTGGGCTTTTGGGGGAAGGCTTGAGGCCTGTCCTCAGCAAGTGGCAAACTGGTCCCTTCCTTCTCAACGTGTTTTTCCCTCCATTATTGTTTTCTTAATTTAAAAAGCAGTGCATGCACACTTCTAAAAAGTCAAACATTATCAAATGAGTTTTTTTTTTTTTTTGAGACAGAGTCTCGCTCTGTTGCCCAGGCTGGTGTGCAGTGGCTCAATCTCGGCTCACTGCAACCTCTGCCTCCCGGGTTCAAGGGATTCTCCTGCCTCAGCCTCCCAAGTAGCTGGGAATACAGGCGCCCGCCACCATGCCTGGCTAATTTTTGTATTTTTAGTAGAGACAGTGTTTCACCATGTTGTCCAGGCTAGTCTCAAACTCCTGACCTTGTGATCCGCCCGCCTTGGTCTCCCAAGGTGCTGGGATTACAGGCGTGAGCCTTCACCCAGCCTATCAAATGAGTTTTATGGAGTCTTCCTCCCTTGGTAATGTTTTTCCTCCTTCAATTTTCTGTGCACATTCAAGTTTCTGGAAATTGTGCCATACCAGCAAGATTAGTTCTCTTTTTTTTTGAGACGGAGTCTTGCTCTGTTGCCCGGGTTGAGTGCGGTGGAGCTATCTCGGCTCACCACAACCTCTGCCTCCCGGGTTCAAGCAATTCTCCTGCCTCAGCTTCCTGAGTAGTTGGAACTACAGGCATACGCCACCATGCCCGGCTAATTTTTGTAATTTTAGTAGAGATGGGGTTTCACTATGTTGGCCAGGCTGGTCTGGAACTCCTGACTTCGTGATCCCCCCCAGCCTAGATCTCCCAAAGTGCTGGGGTTACAGGCGTGAGCCACCGCCCGCAGCTGATTAGTTATCTTTTGATGGCTGCATTATATGGCCAAATCATGATTTATTTAGTAGTAATAAATAGCTGGTTATTTGGGGGTTTTCCAGTCCCTATTGCAAATGGCTGCAGTAGCATCAATGTATGTGTCTGTTTATATGTGTGACTATATCTATAGAGTGTATTTCTAGAGGTGAAAACGCCAGGCCAGAGTACATATGGACTTTATCCATTCCTCAGTGGACTTTTTGGCTATTAGGAATAATGCTGCTGTGAACATTCATATACAGGTTGTTGCATGGACATGTTTTCAGTATAACACCCAGGAGTAGAATGGCAGGATCACATGGTATCTCCACGTTTAATGTTTTAAGGAACTGTCAGACTCTTTTTCCGAATGGCTACGCCGCCAGCGTTCCCACAAGCAATGCACCAATTATTCCACATCCTTGCCAGCACTTAATATTGGATTGACAAGATTCTTTCACAGTGGAGTAGGTTTGTAAAAATTAATGCATATTGTCACTTCTGTCCACCCTGCCCTTAAATACATCATTTTTTAACTTAGTCCCTTGACATTTTTATTGCAGCCTATTTAATCTGTAAATTGAATTCCCATAGATCCCAGGATACTTCGTGTGTGTGTATTTAATATAGGATGCTTAATCCCTATTTTTGTTCCTGTCATCATTTGTTATATAATCACTATTGTTTAGTATCTAGCCACCCACACCACTATACTGGGCATTTACTCTTACTAGGAGCAGACTAAGGGGTTTAACTCTCATTCCAACCCCATCCACCTCTCACGGAGCCATTCATTCACCTCTTGCCATGTGCAATGACACGGATTTTTTTACTTGAACTATACTGCTAGTTCAGTTTCAGTCCACCATGAAAACAAAAGGTCATAAAGACAGTGTAGGCCGGGCACAGTGTCTCACGTCTGTAATCCCAGCACTTGGGGAGGCTGAGGTGGGTGGATAACCTGAGGTCAGGAGTTCGAGCCCAGCCTGGCCAACATGGTGAAACCCCTTCTCTACTAAAAATTCAAAAATTAACTGGGCATGGTGGCACGTGCCTATAGTCCCAGCTACTTGGGAGGCTGAGGCAGAAGAATCTCTTGAACCAGGGAGATGGAAGTTGCAGTGAGCTGAGATTGCGCCACTGCATTCCAGCCTGGGTGACAGAGTGAGACTCCACCTCAAAAAACAAAACAAAACAGGCGGTGTAAACTGTAAGCATTAAAGCTAAAAAGATGCTGGGTACAGATCAGAATGAGCTGTTACTAGTCTAGGAAACTGGAGGAAGTGGGGAGGTTGAGGAGGGTTTTCAAGGAAAAAATACTAGATTTTTCTATGAACCTCCTTAATGTCAGAGGTCTGAATCTTTATCTCTATTTTCCCATCCCTTAAATAGGGACCTCCATTCATGGCAGTGTACTTTCTCCTTTCCTCAGGAAAAAAAAATTTAAAGACTCTAACACTACTGCATATATCTATGTTTGATAATTTATAAGATGTAATAGTTGTTGCAGAGCTTTGATTTATTTTACTATTTTTATTTTTAAAATTTCTGATTAGGCTGGGAGCAGTGACTCATGCCTGTAATCTCAGCACTTTGGGAGGCCAAGGCGGGCAGATCGCTTGAGCCCAGGAGTTCAAGACCAGCCTGGCCAATATGGCAAAACCCCTACTCCGGAGGCTGAGGTGGGAGAATCACTTGAGCCTGGGAGTTCAAGGCTGCAATGAGCTGTGTTCATTCCACAGCACTCTAGCCTGGGCAAAAGAGACATAGTGAAACTCCGTCTCAAAAAAAAAAAGAAAGAAAAGAAAAATTCTGATTAGTAAAGAATATTGGTAATAGCTACTGGCTAAAAGATTCTTGGTGGTTTGTGTTAAATTTCTTTACCTTTTTAAAAACAAGTTTTCGAGTGTCTGCCATGATCTAACTTTTAAAGACTGTCTGTATTATAATAGTAAATAATTTTATTGGAAAAACACTAATTGAGGTCAGGATTGCCATTTTAAAGCACTAATTAATGGTGATATATTGGATACTCATCAAATAAACAAATACAGCATTGTCTCCTCCCTCCTTCCTTTTTAAGATCTTTAAAATTCACAGCAGACATTAGACAGGGAAAATTTATTCATTAATTCAAGAAGTATTTATTGCATGCTTACTATGTAAAATAGTCATGCATATTCATTGCAGTGATGGAAGTATATTTTTCTTGATAGAAAAGGAATGCTGTTATGTAGAACACTGAGTCAAGGAAAAAAATTGCTTTTTCTTCAAGAGTTTTGTGTTATAGTAGATTATCCAGTTTCAGGAATTGAAGCCCATCATAGTGTGTAGTGTGCATTTTTCTTCTTGCCTATGTCTTGGTTCTCCTTTACTTACACTTAAATTTGTCTGTAATGTGAATTTGTTTTCTTGATTTCTATGCTTGCTTAATTCTTCAACATCTTCACTTCTGATATTCATGTTAGTTATCTGCTTTAAATCTAATTCCTCAGGCACTCCAACACCACGTGGAGGCAACAGTTTGACAGTTTCAAATGTCACTCCTTAAGTGGACATACAGAGTAGTTGGGCACAGACATGAATGGAAGGTGGAATAATTGTGTTGCAGAAATGGTACTGATGCCAGGGAGTTGCCAGTCAGTGCAAATTGTAATTGCTCTGTGCTTTTGAATGGGAAGGAATGTTCCCAGTTTCTGCTGGGGTTAGGAAGAGCTGGACTGAAACCACACTGTGGATTTTTAGGATGGAAGAAAGGCATTGATGCACACAAGTGACATTTCTTGGAAATTTCTGAGATAGTCTGTGGGAATCACTGAATTGATAGGACAGGGGAAAGAATTTCAAGAGATCAAAACCCTCCACATTCCCCTGTGAAGAAGCCAAAGGGCCAGAGATAAAATTGGGCCACAATGATGTAGTTTCTTTTTGGCAAAGCCATGACTACCTGACTTTTACTGTTGCCAGCAGATAAAGCTGCTTCACAGAGTTGTACATAAATGATTTATTGGATATCTCCTAGTTAGTCCTGTGCTACTTAGGCTAGGAGATGAATAATTACCTACTGAATTTGAGGAAAATGAGCAAAACAAGTACATCATTCAGGTCTTCTGCAGGTCATGCTGTTTTCCAAATTGACTGTCATTAACAGCCCCAGTTTTCCGGATATTTTATTCATTCAACAAATGCATAATGAATATGTGCAAATGAATACCTACTCTGCCAAGCTTTCTTCCCCTCAAGTGCTAAAAATAGAGCACTGCTAGAGATAGTCCCTGCTCTCATGGAGTTTATGTTTTCAGTGTTAATTGAGAAAATAACACTGGGAGGGTCTGAGGGAGAACTAGCATATAGAGTAACCATATCGCATATTGCGGTTGAAATCTTTAGGGAAGAAAAACTTTAATCAAAGAGTTTTTGAAGAGCCAATTCTATGAGGCCAGCTAAGCTAGCCACTAGGCATGAGGACACTGGGGAAACCTAGTCTCTGCCCCATCCCAGGGTTGAGCACAGACAGATTATTAGTAACCTTTTGGAGCCTCGATGCTTTCATCTGCCACAGATTTGTTGTGAGAATGAAATGAAGGGGATGCATATGAAGTGCCTGGCTTGATGCCCATTGATGGCCAGGGCTGCATCAGTGTTCTCTTGTGTCACACGCGTGACAGCAGCTGCGAGGACAAAGGGCAGGCTGAGGCACAGTCATCACGGCTGGAAGGGTTTCAAGCTAAGAAGCAAACATTCCCGTGTACTTGCACAAAAGGTTCAGTGAATCAGCACAGTGGAAATGCAGTGTGTTCCTCTGTCTGCTTCTGAGAGCGAGCTCAGGGCAGAAATGCTCCAGATGAGGCTGGCTCTGTATTTGTCAGAGCAGCGGAGGAGGTTTGGTGCCGTGGTGATCATCTTTTCTGCCTTGGGATAAATGTTAGAGTTTCTCTTTAGAAAGATTCCCTGTAAAAGGAGGAATAAACCAAAGCTGTTACTTCATTCTTGAGGCTATTGTTATGTATTTTTATTATACTGAAGACTTATATTGCCTAATATTAAATTGCAGCTAAGCTTATTGTTGGGGAGGTCTTCTTAAAGATGGGAGACCCCTCTACCATGGGAGAGCCTGAGGTAGAAAATAAAACAATATATGAAATTATTTACTGATAGAATATAAATTTTCAGAGTGGTTAATTTAAAAAATGCTCTTGTATATGTTTTAAAATAGTGTTTCACAGACGATTATCCAAAAGATTTGAAACTAATGGTGCATATTATTGGCAGACAGGGTCTTTTTTTGTTTTTTTGTTTGTAAAACAAATTGCTTTCAAAGGACCTTTCCATGCTTAATGTGTAGCAGAGAGACAAGTTATTTGGAAAGGTTGGGAATAGGATATAAAGAAGAAATGAGATCTTTAAATCTATTTTTTATTACCCTGGGAAAAATGAATTTTAGTAGCCAGTATTTTTTGTTTTCCTTCCCATCTTAGCTACTGAATATTTGTATAACCTAAGTAAATCCTTCACATTAACATTGTTATAAGGATCTGTAAGTTGACATGCAAACATGGACAGACCATCTGAACATCTCAAAGCCACGCCTCATCTAGATCAGGCATCTTTATGAATGAGGTAAGTAGGTGCGGAGTTGTTGAGGACAAATATGGAAGAGATTGTATTAGAGACAAACAGACTGGTTCGCAGGAACTAACTAATCTTCAAATATTGTTTCTTTCCACTATTTCATTTTTAGCTTCCAAAGTGAGTCATTTGATTTCTAGTGTTATAAGAAGAATTGACGTCCATATTAGGCAGGGATTACTTTTGAAAACATTTTCCAAAATTGATTGTAACCTTCCTAAACTCAAGGATATTGAACTGGAATGTGTAGATCTCATCTGGACTCTCTAGTTTATATGAAAGTTTTACGCCCTTTTCTCTCTCTCTTTTTTTTTTTTCTATAGCTTTTCATGGATACTGCTCCAACAAAGGTATTCAGATCATTGACTACTTTGCAGTTCTTTTATATGACTTTAAACTGTAGAATTTAATCTGTTAGTTGTCATTCTTGGTTCCGTCCTTTCCTGTTTGCTGGTCTTAATCTTAGGTAGCAGATTCAGTTTTCTGTAACTGTAGAGCAGCATTGGTATGTTTATGACTTAAGTTGAAATTTGTCTTTATATGAAAGGTTTTGTTGGTTTCTGTGATAGTTAATACTGAAAGTAGTTTCTGCGATATTTCATTGGATTAATATGAATGCCAGGTTTTGGGTGGTAGATATTTTTTGGTAATATTCAGTTTTTCTTTTTAAATTGAATTTCACTTTCATAGGCTCTTGTGGAAAGGGTACTCACAATGAGTTGTTATAACTATAACAGCTACTCCTGTTTTTTTTTTTTTGTGGTCATTTAGTTCTTTCTAGACATTTATTTGACTAATAGACAGATTTATATCCTATTTACTGAATTTGGCAAGAGGGAAATGTCATGAAATGCTAACTTGGGAAACAGGGAAGTGCTTCTATATTCTTTTTTTAATTTAAAAAGTATTCTTGCCGGGTGCGGTGGCTCACGCCTGTAATCCCAGCACTTTAGGAGGCCGAGGCGGGTGGATCACGAGGTCAGGAGATCAAGACCATCCTGGCTAACATGCTGAAACCCCATCACTACTAAAAATACAAAAAATTAGCCGGGCGTGGTGGCGGGCACCTGTAGTCCCAGATACTCAGGAGGCTGAGGCAGGAGAATGGCGTGAACCCCTGGGGGCAGAGCCTGCAGTGAGCTGAGATTGCGCCACTTCACTCCACCCTGGGTGACAGAGTGAGACTCCATCTCAAAAAATAAATAAATAAATAAATGAAGTATTCTTATTCACGTTGACTTTCAAATGCCTCAGATACGGGCAGTAAGCAAAAAACAAATCTGAATGGGTGTGTGTGTGTGTGTGTGTGTATCTATATATCTTTCCAATTTAAAACAATTCTAACTTTAATCTCTTGGTCTTTTATACAGCTTCTTTAATCTCAGCATTATTTATATTCTAGAGGAGCAGTTCTCTTAGAGAATGCTTCATTCACCAGTTGGCTCAAAAATTTGGTCCTATTCATTGTCTTTGAGTCTGAAAAGCTGAAGAAGCTAGGCTGGATAAATTAATTCTAGTTGCATAAGATCACATATCAACTTCATTTCTCAGGTAGTTCAGTTTTATACCATTAAAATTTGGTTGGCAGTGTACTTTTTACAAAATAAAAACATCTTGTTCCTGATGTCTGTGATATTTATTGTTCTTTCAAGTTCTCATTTGAAAGTAACATTACTTTCTTGGCACTGCTTTGCAATTTATGACATTGATCTTTTTATATCCAATCCATAATGCAATACTATCATTACAAATTCTGAATTCTGCAAAGCCTTCTCTCAATTTTAGGACCATCTCAGCTGAATCATTCTTTGCGTTTTGCTCATTTATTATCTATATTTATATGAATGGTGCTATGGAATTAATTAATGTATCCATTCAACAAGTATTTATTGAGTAACTACTTGAATTGGGCCAAGTGTTATTAAAGAATGGAGGGGCAAGGGATGTGAAGATTTATAACATGCCCCTTTTCCCTGAAGACTGAGAAAGAATACACTCTTAAATCATCATCTGAATGAAGACAGGTAATGAAAGAATTAGTCATTATGTAGTTTTGCTCTTTTCATCATTTAAATAGCATCAGTTTGAAAGAATTGTGTGTTGGAAATGTCACTCGATCATTCCTATACAAAATGAATAATTTGGTCTGGGCGCAGTGGCTCACGTCTGTAATCCCAGCACTTTGGGGATGCCATGGCAGGTGGATTACTGGAGGACAGGAATTCAAGGCCAGCCTGGTCAACATGGTGATACCCCATCTCTACTAAAAATACAAAATTAGCCAGGCGTGTTGGCATGCACCTGTAATCTCAGCTACTCAGGAGGCTGAGGCAGGAGAATCACTTGAACCAGAGGTTGCAGTGAGCAGAGATTGTGCCACTGCACTCCAGCCTGGGTGAAAGAGTGAGACTCCATCTCAAAAATATATATATATGAATAATTTTTCCAATGTCTGGTGAAAATCTGTCTTGTGTGTCTTTTCGTGTGTGTGTGTGTGTGTGTGTGTGTGTGTGTGTCTGTGTTTTAACCTTTAAACAACAGGGAATAGTGTCATTTTGGTATGTAACTGATCATATATAAGTATATGTTAATAATTCACCGAAAACCCTATCTCTATTAAAATACATCTAAAGGAAAAGGTCTACATTTCAATTAGTTCTATATCTCTAATTTGGATCTCTTGCTATCCCAGAGGATATAATTTAAAATAAGATTTCTTGTTTATTCTCGGTAAGAAGTAATTACAGAGCACCTTTAAGCTGAGTATTGCTTCTTAAATTGAAGGCACTAAAGATAAAGATTGCTAAATATTTCGGGAACTAGATTTAACTGTGTGACTTGAACTGAAAAGCATTCTAATTTTCCATTCTTTTATGGGTGCTGGGGAAGAACTGCTTTGACATGAATGTATAATAGAATTAAAATGTCGGTCTTAAATTTTGGGGAGTTGTTCTCAGTTTGCTCTTGGAATTTATTATTGTAATACTGTCATTAGATAGTTTGTTGGAAGCAGCTAATACGTGAAAGTGAAGCATCTTAATATGCATCTCTTTTCTTTCTGACAATGAACTGTCAAAAAAGCTTTGAGTTTATCTAACAAACACAGCTGAGGCTGGGATTTTAACTCCACTATTAATATATTCTAATTTTAAACTACTGTAACTGAAAGGGCATACAGCACTAATTCAATCCAGACATGTTTGAGTGCGTTTGATAGTCTCATCCTTGTAATAGCTGCTGAAAAAGATGTGGTAGAGATTTCAGACTGGACCACTGACGTCTGGGAATTGACACTAGCACACAGACTGGGTCAGGCAAGGTACAACCTGGTGCCGCCAGCTGTTTTGCATGGAAGACCTTATCTGTAAAACTCATAGAGAGTCAAACAAGATGTGTGCCTCTGAATGAATGGGATCCTTGGAAAGGAGTTTTAAAATAGGTTTTAAAGGTTTTCTATTTTCCCCTCCAGAACCAGCAGGAACTGTTCTGGATCACAGCAACACGAGTCTGCTTTCTGCTTCTTGGCAGAGCCGTTGCCCCTGTGGTGGCAGTTGTGTGGTGGGTGATAGCTGGGAGTGGGAATCGACTCTACTCCAGCATGAGGGAGAGATTCTTTTCCAACTTCCCCAGACCCGTCCCACATTGCTCGTGTATTCTGCCACTAACAAGAATGAAGACATCACATTGGCCGGGCGCGGTGGCTCACGCCTGTAATCCCAGCACTTTGGGAGGCCAAGGCGGGTGGATCACGAGGTCAGGAGATCGAGACCATCCTGGCTAACACAGGGAAACCCCGTCTCTACTAAAAATGCAAAAAAAAATTAGCCAGGCGTGGTGGCAGGCACCTGTAGTCCCAGCTACTCAGGCGGCTGAGGCAGGAGAATGGCGTGAACCCTGGAAGCGGAGCTTGCAGTGAGCCGAGATGGCACCACTGCACTCCAGCCTGGGCGACAGAGCGAGACTCTATCTTAAAAAAAAAAAAAAAAAAAAAAAAAGACATCACGTTTAACCTGAAGTGAATAACAGCTTTGCTCCAAAATGAAAAAAAAAAAAAATTTAATGAAATCTGTCTTACTGAGGAAGGCAGGAAAAGGAAGAAATACCTCAAAGCATCCCTTATCCATGGGGGCCTTTTCAGGTAGCATTGATCAGATTTTTAGAGCTTAAATTTATGGATTCAGAAGACAACCATTTCCTGCCACAGTGCTAATAGAATTTTTTCTTAATGTGAGAGTTTTGGGAATTTCCAAAATAAAGATATGTGGGATATTCTGAAAGCTAACCATTAAATTCCCAATAAACTCAGATTTTTTTTTGTTTTTTTTAATCAAAGCTCTGGATTAGGAATTCTTATTTAAATTTTTTTTTTTTTAAATTTTTTTGAGACACAGTCTTGCTCTCTTGGCCAAGCTGGAATGCAGTGACACAATCATAGCAGCCTCCATTTCCTGTGCTCGTGATCCTCCCACCTCAGCTTCCTGAGTAGCTGAGACTACAGGTGCACACCACCATGCCCAGCTAATTTTTAAAAAAATTATTAGTAGGCCAGGCACGGTGGCTCACGCCTGTAATCCCAGCACTTTGGGAGGCTGAGGCAGGCAAATCATCTGAGATCGAGAGTTCGAGACCAGTCTGACCAACATGGAGAAACCCCATCTCTACTAAAAATACAAAATTAGCCGGGCGTGGTGGCGTGTGCCTGTAATCCCAGCTCCTTGGGAGGCTGAGGCAGGAGAATCGCTTGAACCCGGGAGGTAGAGGTTGCGTTGAGCTGAGATCACACCATTGCACTCCAGCCTGGGCAACAAGTGTGAAACACCATCTCCAGAAACACACACACACACACACACACACACACACACACACACACACACACACACAAACTTTTAGTAGAGATGAGATCTCATTCTGTTGCCCAGGCTGGTCTAGAACTCCTGGGCTCAAGCTGTCCTCCTGCCCAGGCTTCCCAAAGTACTTGGATTACAAGCATGAGCACTGCACCTGGCTGGAACTCTTAGTTTAAAATGATTTCAGAGAACAAATAATATTCTTTTTTTTTTTTTTTTTTTTTTTTTTGAGATGGAGTCTTGCCCTGTTCCCCAGGCTGGAGTGCAGTTGTGCGATCTTGGCTCACTGCAGCCTCTGCCTCCTGGGTTCAAGTGATTCTCCTGCCTCAGCCTCCCGAGTAGCTGGGACTACAGGCACACATCACCACACCCGCTTATTTTTGTATTTTTAGTTGAAATGGGGTTTTGCCATGTAGGCCAGGCTGGTCTCGAACTTCTGACCTCAGGTGATCTGCCCACCTGAGCCTCCCAAAGTGCTGGGATTACAGGCATGAGCCACCATTCCCGGGCAGCAAATATTATTTTAATATAGAGACTTATGAATATAAATATTAAGTTTTGTTGTTTAATGCTATAAAAGCTATTTTTTAGAAAAAGCCAATTTTTTGTGTACCTGTTACACATCCCATTGAACATAACACCATCATGCAGTGCTGCTTCGTTGTAACTATTTGTCTTTGAAAAAAACAATTTTTTTTTTGAGGCAAAATTTCGCTCTTGTTGCACAGGCTGGAGTGCAGTGGCTTAATCTTGGCTCGCTGCAACCTCCACCTCCCGGGTTCAAACGATTCTCCAGCCTCAGCCTCCCTAAGTGCTGAGATTACAGGCATGAGCCCCTGCCCCTGGCCCTTAAAATATTTTACTAAAACTAAGTAGGCATATATATGTCTGCAGTCAGTGTCTTGCTTTGCATTCCCCAGAACAGATGCTGAGTCAAGGATCCAGTGAAAGTACTTCCTTTGGGAAATGATCCCAGGAAGCACTCACAGGGGAGTGGGGAAGTGAGATGGTAAGGAAAGGCAAGCCACAAATAGCTCATTATCAGGCAGGTTACTACTGTGGGAATGGAGTTAGAGGCCGCAGGGGAACCCTGGGAGCCAGTATAGGACACACGCTGCAGAGTTTTCCTCACTGAGGGTTGAGGGCGTGGGATATTTATATGCCAGTCACTTACCCCTGCTTGTGTCTTGCTGGGGAGTGGGGAATGATCATTTTCAAGTCCTATGACAGTAGGCAAAATGGACTCTTTAGGCCAGAGAAAGCCCTGAAAGAAATAGTGGTACAATTGGAAATTGGAAATTGTGCTGAAAATGGGAAGGGGATATGGCTGGTTCTTAACAGCGCCTGCTGCATTCCATTACGTTATTGTTATTTTTTTTTTCCTCTGTGCTCTTAGTGCTATTATTGTAAGTTCTTAGCTGGTTCCCTCTCAACCATTATCCTTAAATTGAATGTGTTATTGTCACTATGTTGTGTCCTGGTAGGGCATTTTTGACAGTGAATGTTGAGAAAGCATATGCATGTGACAGGGCGGATTTGTTAGAAGCAGTGGAAAGGTGAGTACTAAACTGGGTGTTTAAAATGCAAGCTTCAGCTGGGCACAGTGGCTCACACCTGTAATCCCAGCACTTTGGGAGGCAGAGGCGGGTAGATCACCTGAGGTCAGGAGTTCAAGACCAGCCTGGCCAACATGGTGAAACCCCCTCTCTACTAAAATACAAAAAAAGTAGCTGGGCATGGTGGTGCATGCCTATAATCCCAGCTACTTGAGAGGCTGAGGCAGGAGAATCGCTTGAACCCAGGAGGCTGAAGTTGCAGTGAGCCAAGATCGTGCCACTACACTCCAGCCTGGGGGACAGAGCAAGACTCTGTCCCCCTCCTGCCCCGCCCCCCGCAAAAAAAAAGGCCAGGTGTGGTGGCTCATGCCTGTAAGGCAGGTGGATTACGTGAGGTCGGGAGTTTGAGACCAGCCTGATCAACATGGAGAAACCCTGTCTCTACTAAAAATACAAAATTAGCCGGGCGTGGTGGCGCATGCCTGTAATCCCAGCTACTCGGGAGGCTGAGGCAGGAGAATCGCTTGATCCCGGGAGGCGGAGGTTGTGGTGAGCCAAGATGGCACCATTGCACTCCAGCCTGGGCAACAAGAGGGAAACTCTGTCTCAAAATAATAATAATAATAATAATAATAATAATAATAATAATAATAATAATAATAAATGCAAGCTTCACGAGGCCTTTTCAAGGAAATGTTTAAGGAAACCAGGTAAAGATAAGTATGCAATTAAGGACTTGGAAGTTGTGTGATTTTTATGAAAGGCTTTATAAACATCACTGTAGCTTGGAAGTTTGACTAACAGTTGTGTAACTAGAATTATGGCCAGTGACAGGTCCTGACTTCGGTGAATGTGGAGTGACTGGAAGAGCTGAGCCATTGCCAGTGTAGCATGCCAGGAATGGATCTCCACAGAGACTGTGGATTCCGTTCAAGTTCCATTTCCAGGAACTCCTCGTCCTTAGCTAGACAGAGTGTGTGCCTGTAAAGTCAACCACTTTAAGTCTTTTATTTCGAATAAGGGAAGATAACAAATACTTTGGCACTCTTGGGAATGTTTCAAGGTGGATCTACTGGTTTAATTGTTCCAGGGTTTCTAATCTGTGTGTCACATGCTTACACGAAGCTAGGCAATAGGGAGATCACAGGTTACCGCATGTGATGTCACTCAGTGCTGTTTACTATCGGTACCTTTTTGGATGCTTTCCTCTCTTTATTAAAATCTTGCGCAGTGTCTTTTCATTTTTTCTTCAGAGGTAATTCAGTCTGTTCTTACTGGAGGGGAAAAATAAGTCATAGTGCTAATCTTGTAAGAAGTGGAATTTAACATGCTCAAGCTTTCACATGGGATCAAGATTCAATAATAAAAGCCTTGACGTTGGAAGCTTAATAGTTTTAGAAATAATTTTTCTGCAGTTTCTCGAATGTCAGTGGGCAGCATTTAGAATGTGTTTGACTAAGTAGTGCTGGTCTTCCTCCCCTTTAAGCCTGCACTTGTGGTACAGCCAGGTTTCTAGTTTCATGACGCATTTATCATTGGCCTATGCCTGGCCCTTGGTTAGGCTTCCTGTATTTTTCAAATGTGGCCAACTAGACAGCATTATACCTCTTCACCTAGAGTTGCTTTCTTTTTTTTAAGTTTTTCATTTTATTTTGTTTATTTTTTAATAGGTAATATATGCATGTAGGTTCAAAATTCAAAAGATAACAAAAGAGTAAACAACATAGACTAAGGCACTTTCCTGTTTTCCCTCCCCATAATCTGTCAATATTACTAACCTCTTGTGTGTCTTACCAGAGATGTTTTGTGTATTTGTGTGTGTGTGTGTGTGTGTGTGTGTGTGTGTGTGTCCGTTTCTATCACCTCAAATGACACCACATTATTCTCATTGTTCTGCATCTTGTTTTTTTTCACTGCTCTTAGGTTACTCAATGAGCACAGAATTGGAACAAAGGGAGATGGAAGATCTTAACGGATGGTTAAGCTTCTGGTTTCCATCCAGTAGCTGGCTGGAAGCTGATGGTTTCAAGCTTCTCTAAGTCGAGATGTGGTGATAATAGCCTTGGTGTAGTTACTGTCTCTTCAGTGCTAAGGCTCCTGCTAAACCTGCGTCTCTCCCCAGCCCACAAATAAAGTTTCTATGATATAGGTGCTCATTACTTTTAAAAAAAGAACGCAGAGAGAGAGAAAAAAAATCATCAGTGATCCTAATAGCAAAGAATAGCTAATTCCATTAGTTAGGTTAGACTTGGTTGTGTGGTGATATAGTTTGGCTGTGTCCCCACCCAAATCTCATGAATTGTAGCTCCCACATTCCCATGTGTAGTGGGAGGGACGCTGGTGAGAGGTAATTGAATCATGGGGGCAGGTCTTTCCTGTGCTGTTCTCATGATAGTGAATAAGTCTCATGAGATCTGATGGTTTTATAAAGGGGAGTTTCCCTGCACAAGTTCTCTTCTCTTGTCTGCTGCTGTGTGAGATGTTCTGCCATGATCATGAGGCCTTCCCAGCCACGTGGAACTCTGAGTCTGTTAAACCTCTTTTGTAAATTGCCCAGTTTCGGGGATGTCCTTATCAGCAGCGTGAAAACGGACTAACATATGTGGTAATAAAAAATAAGACCCCCAAATCTCAGCAGCTGAAAATACAGACGTAATTCTTTTTTGCAGAGGTGCTGTGCTTCAGCAGGGAACTGTGCTTGTTGTGACTGCTTGGGGACATGGGCTGATGAGCAGCATCTTCTCAGTATTGCTGGTCCCTGTGCAGAGGGAAAAGAGCTGTGGAAGGTCTGGAATTAACATTTAGATGCCTTTTTCCACTCATAGCTCACAGGCCAGAAGTAATCAAATGGTTCCATCCAACAGGCCAGAAATATTTGGTGAACAGCACTAATGACTACCACAGTTAGTTTTTGTTTTGTTTTGTTTTTGTTTTTGTTTTTGTTTTTGAGACTGAGTCTCGCTCTGTCGTCCAGGCTGGAGTGCAGTGGCGCGATCCTGGCTCACTGAAAGCTCCGCCTCCTGGGTTCACGCCATTCTCCTGCCTCAGCCTCCTGAGTAGCTGGGGTTACAGGCACCCACCACCATGCCCAGCTAATTTTTTGTATTTTTAGTGGAGATGGGATTTCACTGTGTTAGCCAGGATGGTCTCGATCTCCTGACCTTGTGATCAGCCCACCTCGGCCTCCCAATTTTTTTTTTTTTTTTTTTTTCGAGACAGCGTCTTGCTCTGTCGCCCAGGCTGGAGTGCAGTGGTGCGCCCTCAGCTCACTGCAAACCCCCACCTCCTGGGTTCAAGTGATTCTCCTGCCTCAGCTTCCCGAGTAGCTGGGACTGCAGGCGCCTGCCACCACACCCGGCTAATTTTTGTAGTTTTAGTAGATGGGGTTTCACCATGTTGCCCAGGCTGGTCTCAAACTCCTGACCTCAAGTGATCTGCCGCCTCGGCCTCCCAAAGTGCTGGGTTTACTACAGGTGTGCCACGCCCGGCCCTTTTGTAAGTTTTTTTTTTGAGATGGAGTCTCTTTCTGTCACCAGGCTGGAGTGCAGTGGTGCAATCTTGGCTCACTGCAACCTCTGCCTCCCGGGTTCAAGCAATTCTCCTGCCTCAGCCTCCCAAGTAGCTGGGACTACAGGCGCACACCACCATGCCCAACTAATTTTTCTATTTTTAGTAGAGACGGAGTTTCACCATGTTGGCCAGGATGGTCTCAATCTCTTGACCTCATGATCCGCCTGCCTTGGCCTCACAAAGTGCTGGGATTACAGGTGTGAGCCACCACACCTGGCCCCACAGTTAGGTTTTTAGATTGTTCAGAGCATGTTTAGATACACAGATATGTCTATAGAGAAATACACTTTTTTTTTTGAGAGGGAGTCTTGCTATGTCGCATATACTTTCACATCAACAAGATAAATATTCCAAGTACTATCATATCATTAGTTTCTTCCTATTTCATATAATGTAGTGGAATATTTTATTGTCATAAACACTTCTAAACATGGATATCTTTTTTTAGTGGATGCATACTGTTCCATTATATGGTTGCATAATAATCTGTTTCCTTATGTATCCTCTACTGAGAAAAATGTACATAAATTCATTTGCATAACATTGGGTAGAGAATTTTAGGAGTTGTGGACACCATCCCTAGCCAAGCCATGGATTGCTGTTATAGTTTATAGGTTATAAACACAAACGCTAGGCCGGGTGCGGTGGCTCACACCTGTAATCCCAGCACTTTGGGAAGCTGAGGCAGGTGGATCACTTGAGGTCAGGAGTTTGAGACCAGCCTGGCCAATATGGTAAAACTCTGTCTCTACTAAAAATACAAAAATTAGCCGGGCTTGGTGGCGCACACCTGTTATCCCAGCTGCTCAGGAGGCTGAGGCCGGAGAATCGCTCGAACTCAGGAGGTGGAGGTTGCAGTGAGCCAAGATCGCACCATTGCACTCCAGCCTGGGCAACAGAGTTAGACCCCATCTCAAAAAAAAAAACCACAAGCTCTATTTAGAATACTCTCTCCTTATCCCATTAATCTCCCTCACAAAAGTGTAATAACTTTTTACACTTGATATTTTGGTAGGTAAATAAATTCACATGGTTCTGAGAATAAGTATAAAGTGAAGAGCCTCTCATCAGCCCCTCCTTGCCCTCATCTGTCCAGTTCTTCTTACCCCTGCTATCCCTCACAGATTTTAATTTCTCATTTCCCTCCAGAATTTTTTTAAAAAATGTATTTGCATAAAATATATATATATATATAATTTTTTTGGTAGAGATGGGCTCTTGTTATGTTGTGCAGGCTGGTCTCAAACTTCTGGCCTCAAGTGATTCTCCCACCTCGGCCTACCAAAGTGCTGGGATTACAGGCGAGAGCCATCATGCTCAGCCAAGATTCTTTAAAAAGTTATTATTTTACCCTTTTTATTTTGGAATAAAATTGGATTTATAGAAAAGTTACATTTAGAAATAACGGCCAGGTATGGTGGCTCATGCCTGTAATCCCAGCACTTTGGGATGCCAAGGTGGATGGATCACGAGGTCAAGAGATTGAGAGCATCCTGGCCAACGTGGTGAAACCCCGTTTCTACTGAAAATACAAAAATTAGTTGGGTGTGGTGGCATGCGCCTGTAGTCCCAGCTACTTGGGAGGGTGAGGCAGGAGAATCGCTTGAACCTGGGAGGTGGAAGTTGCAGTGAGCTGCGCCACTGCACTCCAGCCTGGTGACAAAGTGAGAATCCGTCTCAAAAAAAAAAGAAAACAAAAGAAAAGTTACAGAAATAATACAGAGAGCTCACCCGGTTTCCTGAAATGAAAGCATCTTATGTTGCCGTAGCATGTTTATCACCACTAAGAAGCTAACATCATTGTGAATTATTAACTAAACTTCAGATTTTATTTGGATTTCCCCAGGTTTTTCATTAGTATCTTTGTTCTGTTCAGGATACAGTCCAGGACACTACATTGCATTAAACAGATTCTCTTTGAATTGAGAGATAGCATGTGCTCCATGTGGTTCTGCATTTAGTGTTCTCAACTGATGATGTCATAATTCATTGATTTCAAAATCCAATGGAATGTAACTATTATTTTTGAGTACTTCTTCTCCTTTTTTTTTTTTTAAACGGAGTTTCACTCTTGTTGCCCAGGCTGGAGTGCAATGGCGAGATCTCGGCTCACTGCAACCTCCGCCTCCTGGGTTCAAGTGATTCTCCTGCCTCAGCTTCCCGAGTAGCTGGGATTACAGGCACCCATCATGATGCCTGGCTAATTTTTTGTATTTTTAATAGAGATGGGGTTTTGCCATGTTGGCCAAGTTGGTCTTGAACTCCTGACCTCAGGTGATCCGCCCACCTTGGCCTCCCAAAGTGCTGGGATTACAGGTGTGAGCCACCACACCCGGCTCTAAGTACTTCTAAGAAAGGAAAAATGCTGCCAATTATAATTGTAAGTTACTAATTATAAGATACGGCATAATTTCAGAGATGTTCAAATGTGAGAAAAGTACATTTTAGATTTAATGGAATATGATACATCTTGGAAAGATTTCAACTTTATTTCACAGAATTTTCTCATTCTTTTTGTACCTACATAGAATTTCACTTTATAATATACAAAAGATCTTTAAGCAAGCCCTTATTGATACTCATGTGGATTGTTTTCTGTCTTTAGGTATTAAAATGCTGTATTCAATAATTTGGGACATATATGTCATTTCACATATATACAGATGTGTATCAGGGTGACATTCCAAAAGTGCACTGCTGAGTTAGAGGTATATGTATTTGTAATTTTGATGGAAGCTTTACCAATTTACAGTCCCACTAGCAATGTATGAGAATAGTTTTTTTTAATGACTTCACAAATAGGCCGGGCACAGTGGCTCACACCTATAATCCCAGCACTTTGGGAGGCCGAGGCAGGTGGATCACAAGGTCAGGAGTTCAAAACCAGCCTGGCCAAGATGGTGAAACCCTGTCTCTACTGAAAATACAAAAATTAGCTGGGTGTAGTGGCAGGCGCCTGTAATCCCAGCTACTGGGGAGGCTGAGGCAGGCGAATGACATGAACCCAGGAGGTGGAGCTTGCAATGAGCCAAGATCGTGCCACTGCACTCCAGCCTGGGTGACAGAGCGAGACTCCATCTCAAAAAAACAAAAAACAAACAAAAAACACTTCACAAATAAAGTAGGTTACCAAACTTTTAGATTTTTGCCAATCTAATGTTTGGAAAATTATAGTCTCAATGTAGTTTTCATTTGTATTTCTCTTATGAGTATAGGTTGAGTTTCTGAAAACTGGCCATAAATATTCTTTGCACATTTTTCTATTGGGCTGTTTCCAATTTTTATGCATTAGGCTCTTTCAGTATTAGTGACATTATTATCTGTGATGAATTACAAATGTATTTTCTTTTTGTCGTTTACCTTTTGATTTGCTTATACTTGATTAGTGCTTTGTGTTTGCCACACAAAGTTTATAGCTGACTCTGTTAATCTTTTCTATTATGGCTTCGGGATTTTAAGTCATAATTGTACTCAAGAAATTTATTAAGGAGTTCCTCTATGTTTTCTTCCATTTCTCCCATCCTAGCCTTTATGCTATTGTCCTTATGAATTTTACTTTTACATATATTATAAATCCTGTTACTTTTGTTAATTTTGTCAAAATAATCATCTTTTAAAGCAACTTAAATGAGGACAGTAAACTCTTAAACATTTCTCCATGTAGTAGTTAGCATTTCTAGGGCCATTCATTCCATTGTATAAATACAGATTTCCAACTGGCATTTTCCTTCTACCTGGAAGATATCTTTTAACATTTTTTATAGTGTAGATCTGCTAGTGATAAACTCTTTCATCTTCTGAATGTCTAAAAATGTCTTCATTGTGCCTTTGTTTTTGAAGATTTTGCTTAATGTTGAACTCTAGGTTGACATTTTTCATTTTTTTTCTTTGAATACTTTAAAGATGTTTCTCTTCTGTCTTTTTTTTTTTTTTTCTTTTTTGGAAACAAGGTCTTTCTTTGTTACCCAGGCTGGAGCGCAATGACACAATCTCGGCTCACTGCAACCTCCGCCTCCTGGGTTCAAGCGTTTCTCCTGCCTCAGCCTCCTGAGTAGCTGGGATCACAGGCGCATGCCACCATGCTCGGCTAATTTTTGTATTTTTAGTAGAGACGGGGTTTCACCATGTTGGCCAGGCTCATCTCGAACTCCTGACCTCAGGTGATCCACCTGCCTCGGCCTCCCAAAGTACCGGGATTACAGGCGTGAGCCACTGCGCCTGGCCCTCTCCTGTCTTATCACTTGAATTGGTAGCAACAATAAATCTGATAGCCTTCTTTGCTTCCCTGTGTGTAATATTTCTTTTTTCTCTGGCTGCTTTTAAGATTTTCTCTTGTTGGCTTTGAACAGTTTATGATGTGCATTGGTGTGGTTTTCTTTATGTTTCGTGTGCTTGAGATTGGTTGAACTTCTTGGATCTGTGTGCTTACAGAATTCATCAGTTTAGAAAGCTCTCAGCCATTACTTATGTAAATATTTTTTCTGCCTCCTTCTCCTTAACATATAATTATCTGCTTATTAGACCATTTTATGTTGTTGTATAGCTCACTCTTACACTTTTTTTTTTTTTTTTAAAGATAGAGAAGGTCTCCATCTGCCGTCCAGGCTGGAGTGTAGTGGCGTGATCATAGCCCACTGCAGCCTTGACCTCCTGGATTCAAGTGATCCGCCCACCTCAGCCTCCTGTAGCTGGGACTACAGGCACATGCCACTACTCTTGGCTAATTTTTGTATTTTTTGTAGAGACAGGATTTTACAATCTTATCCAGGCTGGTCTCCAACTTCCGGGCCCAAGCAATCCCCCCTCCTTGGCCTCCTAAAATGCTGGGATTGTAGGAGTGAGCCACTATGCCTGCCCTTCATTTTTTTGTATTGTTTTCCCTTCTCTTTTCATTTGTAGAGTTTCTAATGCTGTGCCTTCAGGTTCACTAATCTTTTCTTATGTCTTATCTGCCATTAGTCCTATCCAGTGTATTTTTCATCTCATAATTGTAGTTTTTATCTTCAGAAAAGTTCAGTTTGGGCCATTTTTATATCTTTCATGTCTTTTTGTGTGTTTTTTTTTTTTTTTTGAGATGGAGTCTTGCACTGTCTCCCAGCAGGCTGGTGTGTCGTAGCACAATCTCGGCTCACTATGACCTCTGCCTCCCGGGTTCAAGCAATTCTCCTGTCTCAGCCTCCTGAGTAGCTGGAACTACAGGTCCGTGCCACCATGCCCGGCTAATTTTTATATTTTTAGTAGAGACAGGGTTTCACCATGTTGGCCAGGCTAGTCTCAAACTCCTGACCTCATGATCTGCCCCCCTCAGCCTCCCAAAGTGCTGGGATTACAGGTATGAGCCATCATGCCCAGCCTTTTTTCTTTTCTTTTCTTTTTAAATAACAGCTCTAATTCACATATCATGCAGTTCACCAACTTAAAATGTGTATTTCAATGGTGTGTTTGTTGAAAGTTATATTTTATATAGTATTCAAATGTCAATTATTTAACTTTAAATATTTTTAAAGCTTTTTTAAATAAATGGAGTATTTGTAGAGTTGTGTACCTGTTACCATGATCTGATTTTAATATATTTTCATTATCCCCTCAAAAATGCTCATACCCAATGGCAGCTATTCCCTTCCCCTCACCTCTCCCAGCCAGGCGCAACTACGAATCTACTTTCTCTCACTACTTATTTCCTATTTTGAATATTTCATATAAATGAGATCGTACTATTTGTGTTCTTTTATGCCTGGTTTCTTTTCATACAGCATGTTTGTGAGGTCCACCTATTTTATAGTATGTATCAGTACGTATTCCATTTTATGGCTGAATATTGCATTGTATGACGGTATCATATTTTGTTTACCAGTTGATGCACATTCAAGTTGTTTCTCCTTTTAGGCTATTATGAATAGTGCTGTTAAGAACATTCACGTACAAGTTTTTATGTGGGTGTGTATAGGTAGATGCCTATCTTACCGATATATGGAATGGAGTTATAGTAACTTGTAGCGTCTTTCTCTGCTGACTCCAACTGTATGTCAGTTCTGAGTCTGTTTTGGTTGATTATTTTCTTTACGTGTCATGCTTTTCTGCTTCGTTGTATGCCTGGCAGTCTTTGACTGGATGCTGAATTTTACTTCATGGGTGTTAAATATTTTCGTATTGTTATAAACCTTAAACTTTCAGAGACGTAGTTAAGTTACTTAAACAGTCTGATACTTTCAGGTCTTGCTTTTATGATTTGTTAGGCAGACCTGGACCAATGCTTAGTTGAGGGCTAATTTTTCTTTTTCTTTTTGAGACGGAATCTCGCTCTCCCTCCAGGCTGAAGTGCAGTGGTGTGATCTCAGCTCACTGCAACCTCTGCCTCCCGGGTTCAAGAAATTCTTCTGCCTCAGCCTCCTGAGTAAGCTGGGACTACAGGCACGTGCCACCACACCCAGCTAATTTTTGTATTTTAGTAGAGACGGGGTTTCACCATCTTGGCCAGGATGGTCTCTGTCTCTTGACCTCGTGATCCGTCTGCCTCAGACAGCCAAAGTGCTGGGATTACAGGTGTGAGCCACCGCGCCCAGCCAAGGGCTAATTATTATTTATTTCCCGAGTACTCCGTTCAGTGCCCCATGATGACTTAGGAGTGCTGAGAACAAGCACTCATGCCAGCCTGTACGATTCTGCTGTAATTCTTTCAGATGGTTCTCTCCTGGGCTTTTTTTTTTTTTTTTTTTTTTTTGAGACAGCCTTGCTCTGTTGCCCAGGCTGGAGTGCAGTGGCGCAATCTCCGCTCACTGCAACCTCTGCCTCCCAGGTTCAAGTGATTCTCATTCCTCAGCCTCCTGGGTAGCTGGGATTACAGGCATGCATCACCACACCCTGCCAATTTTTATGTTTTCAGTAAAGAGGGGATTTTGACATGTTGCCTAGGCTGGTCTTAAACTCCTGGCCTCAAATGATCCACCTGCCTTGGCCTCCCAAAGTGCTGAGATTACAGGTGTGCACCAACTGCGGCCACCCTCTCCTGGGTCTTTAGTAGTTTTCTCACTTGCATGTTCTATGTTCTGTTGGATTCTGTTGGATACTTTGGACCCTTTGCAAATCTCTAGGGTTCTCTATTCTGTGCAGCTTTCTTCTCTTTGGTTACTCTGTCCTGGGAGCTCTTGCTGCCTTGATTTTCCCTGGACTCAGCTCCATGTCGTTAATTCAGGGCATCTGCCAGGTTCTGCCTCAGTTTACTCTTTGTGCAGCAGCGGTAAGCCAAAGCAGTTGCAGGGCTCACCTTTTTGTTTCCTGTGTCTCAGGGATTGCCTGTGTCCTTCATTGCTTGATATCCAGTCTTGAAAAACGTATAATGTATTTTGGTTTTTATAATTTAAGTTAGTTGCTTTTTCCAGAGGAATAGTAAATCTGGTTCCTGTCGCTCCATCTTGTCTAGTATTGGAAATCTTATGTTTTGTTACAGATTTTTTGTTTTTATTTTCTTACGTCTAAATATTTTCTTCATTTTAAGTTTACTCAGTTGTGAGGTGAGAGTTACTTTATCTTTTCAGATGGCTACCTAATACCATTTATTTACATGACATCTGGTTTATCATCTTTATCATGTATTACATTCCTGAATGTGTTCGGGTCTATCTTAGGACTTCTCTTGACATCTCTTCTTTGTGTATGTCTGTTGGATGCCAGCAACTGTCTGTTTTAGTAACAGAGGCCTTTTAATATCTTTACATATCCAGGTGTGCTATCCCTTTTTAGAGCTTTTTTCCCCTCCCAGCTTTCTCCCAAACTCTTCTTGTTTGTTCTTCCTTATTTTTCCATATTAACTTTAGGATCCACTTGCCTTCCACGAAGAAACAAAAAATCCTGTTAATTATTTATATGAATTAACTTAGGCAGAAAAAAATATTTATAATGACTTGTCTGTTCACAAACATGGTATGGCTTGCTTTTTTTTTTTTTTTTTTGAGACCAAGTCTTGCTCTGTCGCCCGTTCTGGAGTGCAGTGGTGCCATCTCAGCTCACTGCAACCTCTTCCTCCTGGGTTCAAGAAATTCTCCTGCCTCAGTCTCCCGACCAGCTGGTACTACAGGTGTGCACCACTACGCCCAGCTAATTTTTGTATTTTTAGTAGAGACGGGGTTTCACCATCTTGGCCAGGATGGTCTCTATCTCTTGACCTCGTGATCCGCCTGCCTTGGCCTCCCAAAGTGCTGGGATTACAGGCGTGAGCCACCACACCTGGCTATAGTATGGCTTTTTGACTGCTGAAGTCTTCTTTTGGGTCCCTCAGTAATATATTAAAATTTCATACCTGTCTTGCACATTACATGTTAAACTTTTTCTTAGATATTTAGGAACTACAAATGGGGTTTTTAAATTCTATTTTATTTCACATATGAACCATTTTCTGAGCAGTTAACAACTCTTACGGCAAACATTTTAATTTTATTTAACTTTGACTCCTCAATGTTTAGAAATTAAAGACTGAGGAGTTATTGTAACCTCCATAATACTACATTTACATTGTAGATGAATACCAAATGGCTTTTTTTAAATTTAATAAAATTATAGGAATTAACCTTTCTGATCTTGTAGGTATTTTATCTTATTATAGCCCTTATAAATAAGACTTTATTAATGTCCTTGTTTAGCAACCTGTTTTTTTGTTTTTGTTTTTTGAGACAAAGTCTCACTCTGTTGCTCAAGCTGGACTGCAGTGGCGCGATCTTGGCTCAATGCAACCTCCACCTCCCAGGTTCAAGTGATTCTCCTGCCTCAGCCTCCTGAGTAGCTGGGACTACAGGCACCCACCACCATGCTGACTAATTTTTCTATTTTTAGTAGAGACAGGGTTTCACTATGTTGGCCAGGCTGGTCTTGAACTCCTGACCTTGTGATCCACCCACCTCGGCCTCCCAAATTGCTGGGATTACAGGCGTGAGCCGCTGTGCCTGGCCAGCAACCTGTTTTTGAAGAATAAGTTACAAAACTGATGGTGAACATATTTCAGTGAATAGATTTCTTTGCTCGATAAGTGCATAGGAATTTGCTTGAGAAGCAAAAACAGCTTTTTGGCTGGGTGCGGTGGTTCACACCTGTAATCCCAGCACTCTGCCAGGCAGAGGCGAGTGGATCACTTGAGTCCGGGAATTCAAGACCAGCCTGGGCAACATAGTGAGACCGTGTCTCTACAAAAAATACAACAATTAGCTGGGTGTGGTGGCATGTGCCAGTAGTCCCAGCAATGTGGGAGACTGATGAGGTGGGATCGCTTGAGCCTGGGAGTCAAGGCTGCAGTGAGCTGTGATTTTTCCACTGTACTCCAGCCTGGGCAAAAGAGTGAGACCCTGTCTTAGAAAACAAAAAAACCCTTAAGGTTTTACATTGCTGAAAGAAATTAAAGACAGGCCGGGCGCTGTGGCTCATGCCTGTAATCCCAGCACTTTGGGAGGCCGAGGCGGGCAGATCACGAGGTCAGGAGATGGAGACCATCCTGGCTAACACGGTGAAACCCCATCTCTACTAAAAATACAAAAAATTAGCCGGGCGAGTTGGTGGGCGCCTGTAGTCCCAGCTACTCGGAAGGCTGAGTCAGGAGAATGGCGTGAACCCGGGAGGCGGAGCTTGCAGTGAGCCTAGATCGCGCCACTGCACTCCAGCCTGGGCCACAGAGCAAGACTCCGTCTCAAAAAAAAAAAGAAATTAAAGACACAAATAAATGGAAAGACATCTTGTTGCTTGTGAATCGGAAGACTTAATATTGTTAAAATGTTAATAACTACCTAAAGCTATCTGCAGATTGAATGCAGTCCCTATCAAAATCCTAATGGCATTTTGTGCAGACTTAGAAAAATAATCCTAAAATTTATATGGAACCTCAAAGGATATTGAATATCCAAAACAAGCTTGAAAAGGGGAAAGAAAAAAAAAGCTAGAGGCTTCAATTCCTGATTTCAGAATATATTACAAAGCCACAGTAATCAAAGCAGTATGATACTGGCATGAGGACAGACCAATGGAATAGAGTAAACAGCCCAGAAATAAACCCTTATGTATATGGTTAAATGATCTTTGACAAAGATACCAAGAATTTGTGTCTTCAACAAATGGTTTGGGAAAACTGGATGTCCACCTGCAAGAGAATGAGGTTGGACTCTTACCTTACCCTAGATACAAAAATTAATGCAAAGTATCTTAAAGACCTAAACATAAGACCAGAAACTATAAAAGTCTTAGACAAAAGCATAGGAAAATGCCTCATGACGTTAGATTTGGGAATAATTTATTGGATATGATACCAAAAGCACAGGCAGCATAAGCAGAAATAGACAAGTGGGATTACATCAAACTTTGAAACTTCTGCTCGGCAAAGAAAACAGCAGAGTGAAAAGACAACCTAGAATGGAAGCAAACCGTATCTCTGATAAGGGGATAGCACAAGGGGCTAATATATACAATATATACGCAACTCCTGCAACTTAACAAATGAAAACAAACCAATTAAAAAATACGCAAAGGGCTTGAATCAACAGTTTTCTAAAGAAGATATACACATGACCAATGAGCGTATGAAAACTGCTCCACAGCCAGAGCTGTGGCATGCACCTGTATGTAGGCCCAGCTACTTGGGAGGCTGAGGTGGAAGGACCACATGAGCCCAGGAGTTCCAGGCCAGGCTGGGCAAAAGAGACCCCATCTCTAAAAAAGAAAAAAGATGCTCACTGACACTAATCTTTAGAGAAATGCAAATCAAAACTACACCTTTTAGGATGGCTGCTGTCAAAGGAAAAAAAAAAAAAACCAGGAAATAAATGTTGGCGAGGATGTGGAGAAATTGGAAGTCTTGTACACTTTTGGTGGGAATGTAAAATGCTGCAGTTGCTATGGAAAATAGTATAGAGGTTCCTCAGAAAACTAAAAATTGATCCAGCAATCCCACTGCTGGTTATACCACCAAAAGAATTGAAAACAGGATTGCCCAGTGGTACTTTTACACTTATGTCCAGTCCAGCATTTTTCACAAGAGCCAAGAGGTGGAAGCCACCTCAATATTCATCAACAGATGAATGGAAAAAGAAAATCTGGTATGTATCTAACAGTGGAATATTATCCAGCTTTAAAAAAGAAAGAAATCCTGTCATATACTACAACATGGATGAAGCTTCAGGGCATTATGCTACGTTCAATAAGCTTGTCACGAAAAGACAAATACTGCTTGATTCCATGTATATAGGGTATCTAAAGTAGTCAGACTCCTAGAGACAGAAAGTAGAATGGTGGTTTCCAGGACCTTTGGGGGATAGGGAAAAGAGGAGTTCCTGTTCAGTGGATATAGAGTTTCAGTTTAGCACGGTGAAAAACTTTGAGATGTATTGCGCAGCAGTGTACATACAAGTTAACATTATTATACTGTGCTCTTAAAATGGCTAAGATGGTAATTTTTATGTTGTTTGTTTTTGACCACAATTTAAAAACTTTTTTTTTTTTTTTGAGATGGAGTCTTGCTCTGTTGCCCAGGCTGGGGTGCAGTGGTGCAATCTCAGCTCACGGCAAGCTCTGCCTCCCGGGTTCACGCCATTCTCCTGCCTCAGCCTTCTGAGTAGCTGGGACTACAGGCACCCGCCACCACGCCTGCCTAATTTTTTTGTATTTTTTTAGTAGAGACAGGGTTTCACCATGTTAACCAGGATGGTCTCGATCTCCTGACCTCATGATCCACCTGCCTGGGTCTCCCAAAGTGCTGTGATTACAGGTGTGAGCCACCGTGCCCGGCCTAAAAACTTACGGTTTTTAAAAGCTCGGTGTTACATCTATTTCTATTTGCAGACTAATCTTAATATTCTATTTGTGTAGCTATTCTTTCCTAAATTACATTAGGCTCCTGAAGATCAAGAGTCCAGATTTCAAAGAATATTTTACTTGGACCTTAAGCAAATAAGTGCATACACCTGACAAATGAAAAGGTTACTTTTAGGAATGGAATGGAAATATGAAATTAGAATTGTTTAGGAAAATTTAGGCTGTGTGATTAAGCATAAACAGAATTCTTGCATATTCATTCAAGTTAAACAAAAAACCAAATATACTTACTAGGTGTATTTTTTTTTTTTTTAAGACGGAGTCTCACTTTGTTGCCCAGGCTGGAGTGCAATGGCGCAATCTCAGCTCACTGCAGCCTGTACCTCCCAGGTTCAAACAGTTCTCCTGCCTCAGCCTTCCAAGTAGCTGGGATTACAGGCGCATGCCACCACGCCCAGCTAATTTTTTTTTGTATTTTAGTAGAGATAGGGTTTCACTGTGTTGCCCAGGCTGGTCTTGAACTCCTGAGCTCAGGCAATCTACCTGCCTCGGCCTCCCAAAGTGCTAGGATTACAGGCATGAGCCACTGCTCCTGGCCACCAGGGTACTTTTAATCAAAATGTTTAATACTTTATGAATTTCATTCTACAGAAAGATTTAACTCCTGCTTTCTAGTGGTATTTTGTCTATGATAACTATCCAAATGATACTACAAAATTTAAATCTACTTCATAGTTACAAGCTAAACATCACTTTGTTATAAAATAGATAATAAATATAATTCAGTATTGACATTAAAATTCCCAGATTTTTACTGACTTCTTCTAAAACCGCCCTTTTTATGTAAGAAAAGGTAGTGTTTTAAAAACTACAAATTTGGCTGGGTGCAATGGCTCACGTCTGTAATCCCAACATTTTGGGACGATCACTTGAGCCCAGGAGTCCAAGACCAGTCTGGTTAACATAGCAAGACCTTGTCTTAGCCAAAAATACAAAACTTAGCCAGGTATGGTGTTGTGTCCCTGTGGTCCCAGCAACTTGGGAGGCTCAGGTGGGAGAATCGCTTGAGCCCAGGAGGTGGAGGCCGCAGTGAGCCTTGATTACGCCACTGCGCTCCAGCCTGGGCGACAGATGAGCCCTATCGCAAAAACAACAAGAAAAGCCCTATAAATTTAAGTACACTTCCTATTCTGGATAAAACTAACTCAAAATTTTAATGTCAATTTGGGAAACTTAGTGAGCTTTTTGCCCTCAACATCAAAGTATAAGCAAATTTCTCTTAAAATCCTTTGGCTTCCAGTGGAGTTGCTGACAGGCTATGCACAGCAGTGGGCTGCTGCAGAGAGCTGAATGTTACTGCTGTGGAAATGTGTTGTTGTAAAAGCCGGCTTATAAGTAAAAGCAGCACACTCCTTTGCTGAAAGCCCTGCGTGGGTTAATAGGGGGCTTTCAGTGAACAGCCCACTCCCTCTCCTGCGTTTCCACACAGTTCTGCTGCTTCCTGCCCCCTCCCCTGGACCCCCAGAGTGTTTCTTCTGTAGTATTGCAGCCCCCACAAGAAGCAAAGCTTTGAAGGGAATTGAAACTTTCTATGATGTGGGTTTCAGGGTTTTTTTGGTTTTCCTTTCTGGAATAGAAAAAAAAAATTAAATCTTGAAAGCCATATCGTATAAAGTAGGCAGTCTGGAAGTCACTTACCTGAGCCACTTAATTATTTTTCCATAGGCTTTCCTTGAAATAACACTATGATATAATAATGAGAAATTGTGGGGGCGGGGCGGGGAGTTGGCTTCCTTTAAAAAAATTGCTCTGGGGCACTTGTTGATATATGTGCTCCTTCGTATTTGTTGATTCGGAATACATTGGCTACATATGTTCATATATCACCCTGTCATCACAAGCCCTGTGCAGGCTACTTACTCTTCCTTGGTGCCGCCTCTCCCATTCGTAAAATAAGGGTGCTAAGACCTATGTCATCAGACTGGTGAAAGGTGAAGGAGATCACATGTATAAAGTGCCTAGACTAAGATGTACTCCATGGAGCCCAACCTCTGTGTACATATTCACTTGTTTATGAAACAGGCATTAGCTGAGTGTCTGGTGTGAGCTCAGCAGTGCAGGGCCAAGTGTATCTGCCCAGGGGTGCAGTGATGCCTGGTGCTGGGATCAAGGCTCTTGGCAGCAAAGGCCCTCAAGGCAGAAGGAACACTATTTGCTCCTTGCTTCCGTGGAGGCCTTTTGTCTGTCAGGATCCCCCTTGTCAGAGGCTACAGATTAGAAACTGATAGGTTTATTTCCTCCGTGTGTGCTGTCCATTGTAGTGACCACTACCCACATGTGGCAGTGGCTCCTGTATTAGACAGAGCAGATAGAGACTTTCCCTTTCTTGCAGAAAGTTCTTTTGGATGGTGATGTTTTAGGTGGTGAGAGAGCTTGGCCTAGTCACTGTTTTCTCTTTTTTTTTGTTGTTTTTGTTTTCGAGACAGAGTCTCACTCTGTTGCCTAGGCTAGAGTGCAGTGGTGCAATCTCTTTTCACTGCAGCCACCGCTTCCTGGGTTCAAGCGATTGTCCTGCCTCAGCCTCCTGAGTAGCTGGAATTACAGGCACACGCCAACACGCCCGGTTAATTTTTGTATTTTTAGTAGAGACAGGGTTTCGCGGTGTTGGCCAGGCTAGTCTCGAAATCCTGACCTCAAGTGATCTGCCCACCTCAGCCTCCCAAAGTGCTGGGATTACAGGCATGAGCCACCGCGCCTGGCCTGTTTTCTCATTTTAAATCCAGTTCATGTTTTTTTAAAGTAGTGGGGTTGATAGAATATAGGGAATGGCAGATAATCTATTAAAGCTAACTTAGGCCCTATTTCCATGAATTTTCCTTTGTGCCAATTTTAGGACTTGAAGAGCCACTTTTTAAAATTTTTAAAATATGGACTGGGCATGGTGGCTCACACCTGTAATCCCAGCACTTTGGGAGGCTGAGGCCAGAAGATTGCTTGAGCCCATCCTGAGCAACATGGCAAGACCCCATCTCCACAAAAAAATTTAAAAATTAGCTGAGTGTGGTGGTGCACACCTGTGGTCCCAGCTACTCAGAAGGCTGAGGTGGGAGGATCGCCTGAGCCCAGTAGGTCAAGGCTGCAGTGAGTTGTGATTACACTACTGCACTACAGCCTGGGTGACAGTGAGACCCTGTCTATAAAATAAAATTATTTAAGTAAACGTCTTTTGCAGACTGAAGAAGGATACAATTACTATTTCAAGAATCTTTAAAAGAATTTTTCTACTTAACCACATTTATCTTTTCTGGTAGGTCTTTTAAAGTTGCAATGTCATTTACTGTCAACAGTCTGTAACAGATACTAAGGTCAAGATAATTCTCAATTATATTCTTTACAGAATACTTCATTAATTCTGTAGCCTTTTCATGGATCTGTATCAGTTAAGAGTTTTTGGGTGGCCTTCCCTCCCCCACCCCAGGTTTTAAAAAAATCAAGTGTAATTTGCATACAGTAAAATGCATGGATTTATGTGTAGTTTGAATTTTAGCAAGTGTACAACTACGCTAAAGTTCCCTGGGTCTTTCCTGTCATCCCACTACCCCAAGCATCTGCTGTCTGGTTTCTGTCACTATAGATTAGTTTTACCTGCTCTTGAACTTGATGCATATGGAATCATAAAACAAACTCTTGTGTCTGTCTCCTTTTGTGTATCAGTACTTCATTCCTTTGTTACTGCTGAGCGGTGTTCCCTTGTATGAATATATGCGGTCTATCCATTGTCTTATTGATGTACATTTGGGTTGCTTTCAGTTTTTAGCTTTTATAAAGCTGCAGAAATATTCATCTGCAAATCTTTTTGTAGACACACATACTAATTTGCCTTAGATATATACTTAGGAGTAGAATGTCTGGGTCATAGGGAAAGCCTGAGTAACTTTGTAAGAAACTGCTCAATTTTGCCAGTGTCTACATACCATTTTACATTCCATTAGCAATGTATGAATTCTAATTGCACTACATCTTCTCCAACAATTGGTGTTGTCATTTCTAATTTTAGCCATTTTAATGGGTGTGAAGTGGTATTTCATTGTGGTTTTAATTTGCATTTCCCTGATACTGAATGCTTTTTTCATGGGCTTATAGGCCATTCCTGTATCTGCTTTTGTGAAATGTATTCAAAACTTTTGCCCTGGTTCCCATTTTTAAAACTTCAATATGTACCTTACAATGAGAACACAGGGACACAGGGAGGGAAACATCACCCACTGGGGCCTGTCTGGGGGTTGGGGGCAAGGGGAGGGAAAGCATTAGGACAAATACCTAATGCATGTGGGGCTTAAAACCTAGATGACGGGTTGATGGGTGCAGCAAACCACCATGCCACATGTATACACGTTCTGCACATATATCCCAGAACTTAAAGTTAAAAAAAAAAAAAGTGCCTTAATCCCTTCCACACCATTTTCTTTAAATAAACAACAACAGTGCAATTGGCATGACAATGCATTTTAAATCTCTCTGAGAAGTTGTTTTCTAAAGAAAGAATTACTTATTAATATGTTGAGTGGCCTAGAATTGTGAATGTCCTAAATAATGTTAGGAAGGATTTGAAATATCATTGGAGATAAAATATTATGAATAATTTTGCTTCCGATAAGGCAATTATGTATTCAAAATACTCATTGAAGTAAGTCTTGGCCAGGCGTGGTGGCTTATGCTTGTAATCCCAGCACTTTGGGAGGCCGAGGCAGGTGGATCACCTGAGGTCAGGAGTTCGAGACCAGCCTGACCAACACGGTGAAACCCTGCCTCTACTAAAAAGACAAAAAAATTGGCCAGGCATTGTGGAACGCACCTGTAATCCCAGCTACTTGGGAGGCTGAGGCAGGAGAATTGCTTGAACCTGGGAGGCAGAGGTTGCAGTGAGCCAAGATTGTGCCACTGCACTACAGCCTGGGCGACAAAGCGGGACTCCGTCACAAAAAATAAATAAATAAAATAAAGTCTGTTTTATTAATTGCCAAGAAATTTGAAATGATATAGACACTTACTTATCTTTTTTCCCCTTTGAAATGCTTATTTAGATGGAAAAATTAGAATGTAACCTATCAGAGTTCTTGGCTTATCCTAGAAGAATATCTTATCTGCTGAAAGTGAATGCTTTCTTCCTCTGTGCCTTCTCTTCTCTGGGTCAGGAGTCTGACTTTCTTGACTATGATCCAAATGTTTTAGGGCATATTAGTGATACCATATGTAATCTAATTCTTTGTACCATACTGCTGGAAACGGACCTGAGCCAATCTGGTCATCCACACCCCTTAGGACTTTTTGATAGGTTACAGTCACAACCAAAAAGACTTGAGGTAGATGGAGTTTAGCTGCTTCCCCACAACACTGCTACCAAGTTATAATAAAAGCTAGCCTCAGATGAAAAAGTCTGCCACTCAACAGTCGTTCATTCAATGCATATTTATTAGCAAGCAGGCACAAAACAGATGATTCGTCCTGTCCTGAAAGCTTAGCTCTTGCATTTTGTGGGTACTCTGACCCCTTTTATGAAAAGCTTACTTGAAGCACAGGTATAGGGTTTGTCATGCTTATAGTTGGTTCCAGTCAATCAGAAATCCTCACAACCGCCAGGCGCGGTGGCTCATGCCTGTAATCCCAACACTTTGGGAGGCCGAGGCAGGCGGATCACGAGGTCAGGAGATCGAGACCATCCTGGCTAACATGCTGAAACCCCGTCTCTACTAAAAATACAAAAAATTAGCTGGGCATGGTGGTAGACGCCTGTAGTCCCAGCTACTTGGAAGGCTGAGGCAGGAGAATGGTGTGAACCCGGGAGGCGGAGCTTGCAGGGAGCCTAGATCGCGCCACTGCACTCCAGCCTGGGCGACAGAGCGAGACTCCGTCTCAAAAAAAAATAAAAATAAAAAATAAGAAATCCTCACAACCAGGCCAGGGCCCTTGGCTCACGCTTGTAGTCCCAGCACTTTGGGAGGCTGAGGCGGGCAGATCACTTGAGGTCGGGATTTCCAGACCAGCCTGACCAATATGTGAAACCCGGTTTCTACTAAAAATGCAAAAACTAGCCAGGCGTGGTGGTGCGCACCTGTAGTCCCAGCTACTCTTGAGACTGAGGCAGGAGAATCGCTTGAACCCGGAAGGTGGAGGTTGCAGTAAGCCGAGATCACACCATTGCACTCCAGCCTGGGCTACAGAGTGAGACTTAGTCTCAATAATAATAATAATAATAATAATAATAATAATAATAATAATAAATAAATACAACCAGTAGCCGGAGGGTGGCGCCGGTTTACGCATCCAGACTGACATTTCAAACACTATCCCTGAAGACAGTCTCGTTAGATTCCTCTTATCTGTTCATGCAAATGTGGGGTGTATCCATAAAATATTTTAGACAAATCTGCATATGTGGATAGTCACTAATTTCACCAATGAGAGCCCATTTCTTACAGGGATTATTCTGATGAACATGCCACTAATTTTACCAATAAAAATATTTTTGATGCCCAGTATTTGAATTATAAATTTTCCAGAGGTATGCGTAACAGAAGAGCTACTGTATTATTTCTGGAATGTGACTCCCTGCTTTAATAATGGCCATCCGTCTCTGGAGTGTAAGTTTCTGATTAGAGCAACTGCCACCAGATCTGCCCGATCGGCTCCCTGTTGTAGCTTAAACCAATCATATATGTTTTATCCTTGTCCCTGCAGTTAAAGTAAATAAACAACCCAGGCCCATTATATAAAATTAGTAAGAGGAATTCATCTGGATAGTCCATTCTCTATCCTGATCAATTTAATTAGTAAATCTGGTAAAAGTCTCAGATGAGAGTTTAATTATACAGCATCCAGTGACACAGGAAACTAAGGTCTTGAACTCTGATTTTGCTTTTGTGTTGTTTGAAATGTTTGTTCCTCAGTGCCATAAAGAAATAGCACTTGAACATACATTTAATTTTTTTAGTAAGGCCTTTTTTACTTCCTGCAGAAAGGGTACACTCGCCAGCAGTTTTGTCACGAAAGTACACCAAACAAAGGAGACAGGGTCATTTATAACTTGACGCATCCACCCTACTGCTGTGTCCAGTTTCCATTGACTGGAACCGTACCTTACATTCTGTATTTGTCCCAGTTGACTAGCAACTTAGAACTTTTTAAAAGAGGCAGAGGTAGAGTGGAACAAAGGAAGGAGGAAGTAACTTGTGAAATGCTGAGAAAGGTAAAAACACTTTAAAGAGGAACAGGCTATGACCTAATGCTTGCTTGGACCAGTATAAGCATGCCAGGGCAAATATTTAGGCTAAATTGTGGGAGCTAAGAACATAAAGTATATTGATTTTTTTATTATGGTTAGCAGATATTTAAGAATGTTAGCATAGGTCTTTGGATAAATTTTGCTTCTAAGAAAAGTTACTATTTATTCCTAATTGGACGGGGAGGAAAGTCTTTGAAGAGGAACCTCTACTTTACTTTTTACAGTGTCACATTGACAGCATGTGGGACGGGGGCTGGAGAGGTTTTTTCCAGTGACTTAAGTTTCAGGGCCCTTTGTCGTAAAACAGGAGGAGAAGCAGAGAGCTAGCTGATGGAGCCGTCCCTTGGTTCTCACCATGAAGCGCACTGGGAGTCAGCTTTGTGTCTCCAGCCCAGGGCTGCAGGGGATAAACTAGGATAAGGAAGGATGATGATGAAAGGCAACTAGCTGGAGTTGTTATCGCATCTTTCCATTTCAGAGCACTAGCTACCAATGCTGTATTTAACCTTATATCTGTGCTGGGACGGTGGATCTTGTCCTGGCAGGAAATAGCTGTTGTTTGACCACACTGAACAGGGATGCAGAGGACACCAAGGTTAAGGGGGACATAACTGTGAAAGATGAAAGGCTTCCTCCTCATCCTTCCCTCACTCCCCAGAGGAATATATTTTCACTTATGGACTAACACCAACACGTTCAAACCCACCTAATACTCAAAAAGTAAATACTTCCTTCCCTGCCCCCAAATCCTTGATAACCACTGTAACTCTTTACAGTGGCCATCTCCTTGGTAACCACTGTAACTCTTTGGGAGGGGCATTTTTCTGTTGTCTTTTTTTAATTTTTTAATTTTTAAATTAATTTTTTAAATTTAATTAATTTAATTAATTAATTTAATTTTTTTAGAGACGAGGTCTCTATCGCCCAGGCTGGAGTGCAGTACTGCAATCATAACACACTGTGGCCTCAACCTCCTGGGCTCAAGTGATCCTCCTGCCTCAGCCTCCCAAGTAGCTGGGACTATAGGCATGAGCCGCTGTGTCTGGCCCTCTGTTTATCTTTATTTTAGAAGATTATTTATTTATTTTCTTCTTTGTGCTTCATTGGATACAAATCTGTTAATTTTGTTTTTCTTTTTTGAGACAGAGTCTCCCTCTTATTGCCCAGGCTGGAGTGCAGTGGTGCAATCGCAGCTCACCTCAACCTCCACCTCCTGGGTTCAAGCGATTCTCCTGCCTCAGCCTCCTGAGTAGCTGGGATTACAGGCGCGCGCCACCATGCCTGGCTAATTTTTGTATTTTTAGTAGAGACAGGGTTTCACTATGTTGGTCAGGCTGGTCTTGAACTCCAGACCTTGTGATCCACCCGCCTCTGCCTCCCGAAGTGCTGGGATGACAGGCATGAGCCACCGCACCGAGCTTAAATCTGTTTATTTTTATACATATAAATTTACCTTAGAAATAAGGCTTAGTTTTGATTTATTCTGTTTACATATATCATGCAATTAGGTTTTTTAAATACTTAGTTGATCTTTGTATGACTGTGGAAAGATTACATATTGATCTACTTTATTAACTTTAAGTGATAGTATGATTGCCATGGTTTAATTATTCCCATATTAATGACAATTATTTCCATTTAGTCTTACTGCAGACACTGCTATAGTGAACACCTGTCCATTGCTTCTTAGTACTCCTATGCCAGTATTTCTCTCGGGTCGATTTCAATAGAGGGATTGGCTGGGTTACCGGTTACATGCATAACAGATACTGCCAGATTGCCCTCCAGAACGCCCCCATCAATTTACAGTCCACCTTCTTTGTATAAAAGTAGCAATCTAGCCGGGCGCAGTGGCTCGCGCCTGTAATCCCAGCACTTTCAGAGGCCGAGGTGGGCAGATCACCTGAGGTGGGGAATTCAAGACAAGCCTGATTAACATGGAGAAACCCCATCTCTACTAAAAACACAAAATTAGCCGGGCGTGGTGGTGCATGCTTGTAATCCCAGCTACTCGGGAGGCTGAGGCAGGAGAATCGCTTGAACCTGGGAGGCGGAGGTTGCGGTGAGCTGAGATTGGGCCATTGCACTCCAACCTGGGCAAAAAAAAGAGCGAAACTCCGTCTCAAAAAAAAAAAAAAGTGGCACTCTCCCCACAACCTTTCCCTAGGATTGCTATCAGTATTTTAATTTTTTTCCAACTGGATGGCATGAAATGAAATTTCATTATTTTGTAATTTTCATTTTTCTAATTACTAATTAGGCCAAATATGTCACATGGATTTTGGTCATCTGTATTTATTTTTCTGGTTTGCCTTTTTAATATATGATTATTTTCATCGGACTGTGTGTAATTTTAAGATTTTCATAGAAATAGTTTTTTATTTATATATAGTCCTTGTTATATAAGCTACAAATAGTTTCTCCTAGTCAATTGCTTTAAAAAAAAAACTTTTAGAGTTACAGAAAAGATAAAAATAGTAGAGCATTCCTCTGTCCGCCTCACAGTTTCACTTTTCTCTAGTGTTGTCATCTGTCTTCGTCATCTAGGGCTGCTGTGACAGAATACGCTATGCATAGTCTGCGTGGTGTAGACAACAGAAATGTATTTTGTTACAATTCTGGAGCTTAGGAAGGCCAAGAACAAGGAGCCAGCGGGGTTGGCTTCTGCTGAGGCCTCTGTCCTTGGCTTGCAGACTGCCGCCTTCTCCCTGTACCTCCACGTGACCTTTCCTGTGTGCATTCAGTGGGAGAGAGTGCTCTGGTATCTCCCTTTTTTTTTTTTTTTGAGACAGAGTCTTGCTCTGTCACCCAGGCTGGAGTGCATTGCGTGATTTTGGCTCACTGCAAGCTCCGCCTCCCGGGTTCAGGCCGTTCTCCTGCCTCAGCCTCCTGAGTAGCTGGGATTACAGGCACTCGCCATCATGCAGGCTAATTTTTTGTATTTTTGGTAGAGACGGGGTTTCACTGTGTTAGCCAGGATGGTCTTAATCTCTTGACCTTGTGATCTACCCGCCTTGGCTTCCCAAAGTGCTGGGATTACAGGCGTGAGCCACTGCGCCTGGCCTGTATCTCTCATCTTATAAGGATATCAGTCCCACCTGTATGACCTCATTTAACCTTGATTTCTTCCTTAAAGGCCCTATTCCCTGTAGTCACGTTGGGGGTCAAGGCTTCAACATAAGAATTTTAGGGACACAATTCAGTCCATAACATCATCTTACATTACTGTGGCACTTTAAGAAACCAACACTGGGCTGGGTGCGGTGGCTCATGCCTGTAATCCCAGCACTTTGGGAGGCCAAGGCGGGAGGATCACCTGAAGTCAAGAGTTCGAGACCAGCCTGGCCAACATGGTGAAACCCTGTCTCTACTAAAAATAGAAAAATTAGCCGGGCTTGGTGGCACATGCCTGTAATCCCAGCTACTTGGGAGGCTGAGGCAGGAGAATCACTGGAACCAGGAGGCAGAGGTTGCAGTGAGCCGAGATCGCGGCATTGCACTCCAGCCTGGGCAACAGAGTGAGACTCCGTCTCAAAGAAAAGAAAAAGAAACCAATACTGATGTGTTATTATTAATTATACTGCAGACTTTATTGGGATTTCACCAGCTTTCCCATTAACCTTTCTCTATTCTGAAATTCAATCCACATTGCATTTAGTTGTCATCTGCCTAGTCACCTAAGGTCTGTGAAAGTTTCTCAGTCTTTCCTTGTTTTTCATGATCTTGACAGTTTTGAGGAGAATGGGTCAGCTATTTTGTAGAATGTGCCTCAAATTGGGTATGTCTGCTTGTGCTTGTTTTCCTCATGACTAGACTGGATTTTTGGCATGAATACCACAGAAGGTGAAGTGCCCTTCTATCACATCTTGTCAGAGGTACATGAAATCCACACGACATCACGGGTTAGTCACGAGCATTTGGTTAAAATAGTGTTTGCTAAGTTTTTCTTCTGTAAAGTTACTATTTTTCCCTTTCCACACTGTATTCTTCGAAACAAGTCACCTAAGTCCAGTCCACACTCAAAGGGGACTAAGGAGGGGTTAAGCATCACTTCTTGGAGAGAAGTAGCTACATGTGTATAATTTGGAATTGTTCTATGAGGAAGATTTGTCTCCTCTCCATTTACTTACTCAATCACTTATTTATGACAGTATGGATTCATGCATATTACTTTACACTTTGGATTAAAATCCAATATTATATACTTACGTTGTTGCTCAAATTGTTCTTTATTTGACTATTGCAGTTTTTCAGGTTGGCTCCAGTATCACACTCTTCTCCCACCCCCTTTTCTTAAAAGATATTTTTATAGTGTGTTCTGTAAATTTGGTTTTCAAATCTACATAAATGGAATCATGCTGTATTTACTCTGTTTTTCTTCCAGCTTCTTTCACTAAATGTTTGTGAGCATTGTTTGTGATGTGTGTGGCTGTAGCCTCAGGCACTCTCATTGCCATATAATATTCCATTGTAAGTAAGTTCCCATTTGGGCTGTTTTCAGTGTTTGCCTATTATAAATAATGATTCTATGAGCTTTTAAAAAATACCTTTCTTGGTGAACATATGTATGAATTTCTGTTGTATGTAAATCTAGAACTGGAATTACTAAGTCAGAAGATGTGCTATGTTTATTTTTTGTATGTAAATACTGTCAGCTTTCTAAAATGGTTGTACTGCCGCTGTAATCTTAAATGCTGCAGGATAGAGGGAGAGTTCGGTGGGGTCTTGGCACCATGGATTAGTGGTCTGGCCTGGGAGTGGCATTCTCACCTCTGTTCACTTAACCACAAAGCAGTCAGCACAAGCAGTCCCACCATGGCCTGGGATGTGGAGAGCCAGAATTATTATGTTCAACTTTTTAATCCAGAAATAATTAATTTTTTTTGAAAAATGGTGTGATAGAGGGAGACATTTTTAGGCAAATCATTTTCTTCAGATTTTTGTTTGACTACATTCCGTAGATTTAAATAAGAATTCTTACTGACATTAATTTATGTTGAGTTTTCTTTTAATGTCCCATTATTGCAAGTTATTTAGAAATGGGTTTTAAGTGTTTCCATATTGATAGATTGATAGATTTTTTTATGATCTTTTCATCAAAACTTTTTTTTTTTTTTTTGAGATGGAGTCTCGCTCTGTCACCCAGGCTGGAGTGCAGTGGTGTGATCTCTGCTCACTGCAACTTACACCTCCCAGGTTCAAGCAATTCTCCTGCCTCAGACTCCCGAGAAACCGGGATTACAGGCACATGCCACCACGCCGGCTCATTTTATATTTTTAGTAGAGATGGGGTTTTACCATGTTGGCCAGGCTGGTCTCGAACTCCTGACCTCTAGTGATCCACCCACCTCGGCCTCCCAAAGTGTTGGGATTACAAGCGTGAGCCACTGTGCCCCGCCAAAACATTTCTTTTATTGTATTGTAGTCATTGAACATGGTCTATGTGTATGGTTTCTGCTTTCCAGAATTTGTTGAGATCTCCTTGTGACCTAACACATGACAACTGAATACCCTATTTGAAAAGTTTTTGTGTTCTATATTGAAAACAGTTCTATCTATTGGGTCATGCCACTAATTCCTTATTTCATTTTTTTGAAGTGTGTTTAGTCTTCTATGATTATGGATGTACTAATTACTCCTATTTTCACTTGTTTTTGCTTGATAGATTTAAAATCTGTTATGTGTGATGGTTATAATTTTTTTGGTAAATTATATCTTTTTTTTTTTTTTTTTTTTTGAGATGGAGTCTCGCTCTGTCGCCCTGGCTGGAGTGCAGTGGCTTGATCTCAGCTCCCTGCAGTCTCTGCATCCTGGGTTCAAGCAATTCTCCTGCCTCAGCTTCCTGAGTATCTGGGATTACAGGTACCCATGGCCACCGTGCCAGCTAATTTTTGTATTTTTAGTAGAGAAGGGGTTTTGTGATGTTGGTCAGGCTGGTCTCAAACTCCTGACCTCAAGTGATCCACCTGCCTCAGCCTCCCAAAGTGCTGGGATTACAGGCATGAGCGACCTTGCCTGGTGATTATATATCTTTAAACATTAAACACCTTTGTCTTTTAATTGCTTTTTATTGTGAATTCTTTTTTTTTGAGATGGAGTTTTTGCTCTGTTGCACAGGCTGGAGTGCAGTGGCATGATCTCGGCTCACTGCAACCTCCGTCTCCTGGGTTCAAGCAATTCTTCTGCCTCACCCTCCCCAAGTAGCTGGGATTACAGGTGCCCGCCACCATGCCCAGCTTAATTTTTTTGTTTTTAGTATTTAGACGAGGTTTCACCATGTTGGCCAGGCTGGTCTCAAACTCTTGACCTCAGGTGATCCACCCGCCTCAGCCTCCCAAAGTGCTGGGATTACAGGCGCGAGCCGCCAAGCCCAGCCTGTGAATTCTGTTTTATCTGATGTTAATATTGCTACTTTCTTTTTTCCTAGCAACTGCATAGCATACCTTTGTCTATCCTTTCATTTCAGTTTTTTCTGTAAGGCTTTGTTTTTATTGTCTTTATTAAACATATAGCTTGAGGACTTTTTGGGGTTTTTTGGTTTGTTTTTGATAGAGATGGTATCTCACTTTCTTGTCCAGGTTGGTCTTGAACTCCTGCATTCAGGGGATCCTCTTGCCTTAGCCTCCCAAAATGCTGGGATTATGTGAGCCCAGCCTAGCTTGAATTTTTTAAACTCATTTTGAAAATCTTGTCTTTTAACAGGTGATTTTTTTTGCATTTTAAAATTATAACTCATATGTTTGGACTTATTCCCACCATCTTATTCTGTTTTGTTTGCCTTAATATATCTTCTTGCTATTGGGTGGCTTGCTCAATTTTCTTAGTGTCATTTTCTCTCTTGCTGTAGTGATTTGGAAAGTATGAAAACTTATATAGTTCTTCTAGTGCCTCCCTTAAAAAAAGAACTTACAAAGTATTTCAGAGATACAAATGAGTATGGAGACTAACAATGTTGGGGGAGATGTCCAGGGCTTCTGTAGATAAGATTACTTTTTTCTACCTTAGTTCCAGACCAGCTGATTGAGAAACACAGGAGTCAAACAGACAAAGATTAAAATTACCAGGCTTGGTTTATCTGTGTGGGCATTTAGATCCGAAGGCAACTGGAATTACTTGCGCAAGCAGCCACTGGCACATCGGACAACCACAAGGACAGATTCTAGACAGTGTGTCTGCAAATGGGTAGAGCCTTCAACACCCCGGATCCATGGGTGATTGTGTAGAATAGTGCCTCCTCCACCCTCTTATCTCCGGAGGACATGTAGCACCGGCAAGAAATAAACATCCGTTGTAAATCACATCACTAAGATTTCAGGGTTATTTGTTGTCACAGCTTATTCTGACGAATAAACTCAATTCATCATAGGGTATAGAGTGAACCAGAACCATCCTAATTGTAGGTTTGGTCAGTCTGAAAAAGAGGAGCAGGAAGGATAGTTAGGCTTCTTCATCTTGTGCATTTCTTATCTCACTCTGTGCTCACGTATTTATTGGGGTGTTAGCTTTTTTCTCTTTGATGTATGGTGCTTTGTAAATTCTAAATACTGACACTTTATTGGTTTTATACATTGTGTCTATCTTCTCCTATTCTGTGAGTTATCTTTTTAAATTTTGTTTCTGGGCTCCTGTGTTAAACAGAAACATTAAATCTTTTTTTTTTTTTTTTTTTTTTGTGAGACCGAGTTTCGCTCTTGTTGCCCAGGCTGGAGTGCAATGGCGCAATCTCGGCTCCCAGCTAATTTTTGTATTGAAACACTAAATCTTTATGTAATCAAGTTTCTCAATCTTTTGCTTTACAGTTTGGGTCTTTTTTGTTTTGAGTAAAAAAGAAATCCATCCCTGTTTCACTAATATGAGTTATTTTCCTATATATTCTTATAAAACTTTTAAAGCTTTTCTTCTTATATCTAGGTTTTTAATCCACTTGAGGTATTTTTTTGTCTTTGGTGTGTAGTGGTGTATGGTATGAGATAGGGATCAAATTTCTTCCCTCCCCCACACCCAAAAACATGGACAACAAGTTGTCCCACGTGTATTGAATATTCTTCTCCCATTGATTTGTAATGTCCCTAATGTCATATGAGATGTTTTCATTTATATGTGGCTCTCATCTTTGCCTATTATATCTGTGCCAATAGTACACTGTGCCAATACTGCCTAAATTCTTCTAAGTTTTAATATGTGATAGAACAGGAGCCCCCTTCTTGGTCTTTTTTTTTTTTTGAGATGGAGTCTCACTCTGTCACCCAAGCTGGAGTTCAGTGGTGCGATCTCGGCGTACTGCCAGCTCCGCCTCCCGGGTTCACACCATTTTCCTGCCTCAGCCTCCCGAGTAGCTGGGGCTACGGGTGCCCGCCACCATGCCCGGCTAAGTTTTTGTATTTTTAGTAGAGACAGGGTTTCACCACGTTAGCCAGGATGGTCTCCATCTCCTGACCTCGTGATCCGCCCACCTCGGCCTCCCAAAGTGCTGGGATTACAGGCATGAGCCACTGCACCCGGCCTTCTTGTTTTTTTTCACAATGTTTTTTGTTCTTCTTGGTCCTGTGATCTTCTGGATTAATTTACATGTATTAACATGTCATATTCCATGTAATTTATTACATGTAACATGTAAATTTATTACATTTAATTCATACATCAGCATGCAATTTACATGTATTAGCATGTCAGGTTTCATGTAGTTTATTACATGTAACATGTAAATTTATTACATTTAATTCCTTTATTAGCATGTAATTTACATGTATTAACATGTCAGGTTTCATGAAAAGACCTGTTGAGATTTTGATTCGAATTGCATTTCTTTTGAGGGAAATTACTATCTTTATGATATTGAGTCTTCCTGTTGATAAACCTGCTTTATTTCTCCATTTATCCATAAGGGATATGCACATCTTTTTTTTTTCTATTACATTTCGTAATTGCTTATTACAAGTAGATAGAAAAGCTATTGGTTTTTGTGTATTAATCTTCTGTATCTAGAAACATTGCAAAACTTTATTATTTATTTGAGTAGTTTATCTGCCGATTCTCATCTGTATTTTTTTTGTTTTGTTTTGAGACAGTCTTACTTGGTCACCCAGGCTGGAGTTGAGTGGCATGATCTGGGCTCACGGCAACCTCTGCTTGCCAGGTTCAAGTGATTCTCCTGCCTCAGCCTCCCAAGTAGCTGGGATTACAGGCGCGGGCCACCCATACCCAGCTAATTTTTTGTATTTTTAGTAGAGATGCTGTTTCACCATTTTGGTAGTGCTGGTCTTGAACTCCTGACCTCAGGTGATCCACCCGCCTCGGCCTCCCAAAGTGCTGGGATTACAGGCATAAGCCACCACGCCTGGCTTCGTGTCTGTATTTTTTAGTAGACAGTCATCTGCAAACAAGGACAGTTTTGATTCTTCCTTTCCAGTTTTCTCTGATTTCCTTTCTGTATCTTGATATCAGCTAGCACTTCCACTTACTACATTGTTAAAAAGAGGTAATGATAGTGGGAATTTTTTCTTGCTTTTTATTTTATAAGGATGCTTCCAAAGTTAAGGCATAAAGTGTGATATTGGCTGTTGGAACAGTCTTTATCAGCTTAAGGAAGTTCTCTTTTAGCTCCATTGTGCAAAGACTTAATTGGAAATGAGTGTTGATTTTAATGACTTCCTTCTCTGTTTTTAATGAGATAATCGTGTGACTTTTTCCTGTAATCTGTTCATGTTGATAGGCTTTTTTTTATGTTGAATAAGATTAATTTTCTTTTCATATGCTATTGACCATTTGTATTTCTTTTCTGAATTGAGTGTTCATAGCCTTCCTAGATTTTTTATCTCTTAGGTTGTGTTAGGGAAAAACTCAAACTGTTTTTCCTCTGCTGTCACATCAACACAGCAATTATCAACACAAAAGACCTCTGTAATATGTGTGGATTTCTGTGGCAGACACCAGTTGGGTGTCCTCCTATTCAATTCTGACACCATCTACCTGGAGATAGCAGGTTGAGGGCTCAGTCCCCAAGACCACCCCCTCCTTCCCACAAGTCACAAGTCCGGGCCTCAGCAACTTCTGACTGACTGGCTTCAAGTTGGGGTTCCCGGTATCCCCTGTTTGGGTTCAATTAATTTGCTGGAGGAATCGGGGAAACTCACTTACTAGTTTATTATGAAGGCTATTTTAAAGGATACAGATAAACAGCCACAGGAAGAGATGCGCAGGGTGAGGTCTGGAAGGGTCCCAAATGCAGGAGCTTCTGACACCGTGGAGTTGGGGTGCACCACCCTCCGGGCATGTGGATGAGTTCTCACTCACCATCCTGTCAGCCTCCGTGGTTCAGCTCTCCAGGAGCCCTCTGAACCCTGTCCTTTGGGCCTCTAGTGGAGATTTCATTGCTTGTCCATGACTGAAGGATGGACAAGTGTGTTGAAATATGATTGGACAAAAAGGGTATAATCTACACCCAGCAAGGCCTGTCTGTTCAGATTCTTCCAGCCTCTCTGGGCAGCATTCCTTCCTCCAGGGTATGGGGTGGGATGCTTTGTGGAATGAGGGTCTTACAGCTCACAGTCATATTAGAGCCCTGCCTTGGGTTGGGGAAAGGAGAGCAGGAAAACATCAAAGAGACTCTGTTTCCCAAGGCCGGCTTTCTGAGGTCCACAGCGCCCAGCATATAACAAGATGTTGTAACAAAACTTATGGGAGTTGGGAGCTAGGAACTGTGGATGAAAACCAATAAGTATATAATTATAATATCACAGATTGTGATATTGCTTTGGAGAGACATTTTATCTGTTGTGATAATTAACTTTTATTATAGGTCTTTTCCCCCAAGTCTCTCCTAGTTTTTCCCTTTGTGACTTGTTTTTTGTCACACTTTAAAATTCTGTGTGTTAAATTATAAAATTATTCATTATAGCCCAGGCGAGGTGGCTCACCCCTGTAATCCCAAAACTCTGGGAGGCCGAGGCGGGCGGATCACGAGGTCAGGAGATTGAGACCATCCTGGCCAACATGATGAAACCCCATCTGTACTAAAAATACAAAAATTAGCCAGGTGTGGTGGCACACGCCTGTAGTCCCAGCTACTCGGGAGGCTGAGGCAGGAGAATCGCTTGAACCCAGGAAGCAGAGGTTGCAGTGAGCTGAGATTGCGCCACTGCACTCCAGCCTGACAACAGAGCGAGACTCCGTCTCAAAAAAAAAAAAAAATTTTTTTTTCGTTATAATTTTATAGTTGTCTGACAGCTTTTTCAAAATCATTTCATCTGTGTTTTATAAATATGTGATATTAGCATCTCATTTTCTTTTCATATATGTTAACACCTGCCGTATATTGGATAAGGCCTTCTTTGTTACTGAATTGAAATAATCAGTTTTCTTGTAAGTGTTCATATATCTCTGGGTCCAGATTGTACGTTGCTGTGCTAAAATCCTATTGTTTTAATTACTGTTGATTTATATTTGGGCAAGTCTTTGAGGCTGGGACTTAATCTTACGCTTCAGATCCAATAGCCTGTGTTCAAATCCCAATTCTGCCACTTCCCAGCAGCTTTGTGACCTTGTGCAGGTTAGTCACTCCACCTCCTTAGAGCTAGTTGACCCTGGTAGTGCTAACCTCACAGGGTATAATGAGCTGAATACAATACGCGACACTAAACTCTCCATCATCGTTGGTTATCATTGTCATTTGAGTGGGTAATGCTGCTGCCGCTTCTTTGTTAATCAGTACTTTGATGAACAGTTCTTCCTCTGCTCCCCGTGTTCTTTCCTACCCTCAAAAAACAAGTGGCTAATACAGATGACAGCCTGATGTCTATGGTCCTGTCTCTGAGGGACAATCTGTTCAGGTGGAGCCTGTTCTCTCCTGCTCCCTAGCATGTAAAATCTCCTTTCTGCCTGTCTGTGGTGAACTCAGCAGAGGTTGACTTCCCCTAGCTGTAGGGAAGCTGTCCATTTCTCCATTGGCTCTGCCAGGACCTGTGAAGGCCATACACCCAGTTCAAGGGGGAAATACAAAGTGTCTCTAGGTCCAAATAGGGTTCTTCAAATCTTTCCTATTAACAAGCACATACGGTATTATAATTCCCACCGACTCCTACATATTTCTATGTTTTATGGTTAATTATCCCCAAATACCTATAGCTGTTATCCAGGAAAATGTTTTTCATTTCAAATTTAACAGATATTTGCTAAAGGAAGAGGTAGTCAACCTGGAGGCCCAAAAGTCAAATCAGACCTACAGACAAATTAGGCCCAAGGATGGATTTTAAATATTTTTATTAACATTTTTAAATCATGAGATTTTGTTTCTTTCTCCTATATCATGTTACTCAAAGAAGAAGTAGTGATGATGTGGTGCGACAGGGATGTATAGGCAAAAAGATGACTGCTGCTTTCTGTTTCTGACAACAGAAACATCAATGGGGGGATACATGGATTTTTAACAGGATTATAAAGTTAATCGTCAAGCTTTAAGCAAACTTTGTAAAGAGCCCTGTTTCGGCCAGGCGCGGTGGCTCATGCCTACAATCCCAGCACATTGGGAGGCCGAGGCGGTGGATCACTTGAGGTCAGGAGTTTGACATCTTTACTAAAAATTAGCTGGGAGTGGCGGCATGTGACTGTAATCCCAGCTACTTGGGAGGCTGAGGCAGGAGAATCGCTTGAGCCTGGGAGGTGGAGGTTGCAGTGAGCCAAGACTGCACCACTGCACTCCAGCCTGGGCAACAGAGCGAGACTCCATCAAAAAGAAAAAAAGAAGAGCCCTGTTTCTGGTTCCAGGTTCCTAATAAATGGCCCTCAACCCAGCACCATAGTCTCTGTAGTACTTTATTGATGTGTTACTCTAACAATAAAATATTGGCATTATGTAGAGATAATTGCACATCAGAAATCAGTGATTTCCCCCGACCTGTAATATATAAAATACTCCTTAAGGAATTGAACTTAAGGTTTGGGCTGGGAGGGAAAATTTCTTCCCATTTCCATCTAGCTACTTTTCTAGTTTCAATTGGGTTTTTTGAAAGAAACTGGAATTTCAAGAGATAGGTAGAACCCAAAACTTGTTACTAACCAGTTCCCTTGTTTAAATGCATACGAAGGATATTTTCCAGGTTGCCTCATACTGTGCTCATTATATGCTTCCTATCTTGATCAAGAGTCGGCTTTGGAAAAACACTGTTAGCCTGCAAGTTGACTTTTTAGAAGCAGTGTAATTTTGAATAGGTAATACATCGTACAATGCAAAAGCTGTAAAAAGGCATAAATCTCTCTTATTCCCTATTTCTAGACACCGACTATGAAGGCATTGATACGTTTCTTGTGGCTGCTTCCACAGACTTGCTACCTACGATTTCATCCACAATCGTATACATGTGTATATAGGATTTAAACTCACACATAGAAGTGGTAGCGCTTAACAGTCCATCTTGGCTATCTTTAGTTTTCAGTTTTCTTTTTTTTTTTTCTTTTGAGATGGAATTTCATACTTGTTGCCCAGGCTGGAGTGCAAAGGCGTGATCTTGGCTCACTGCAACCTCCACCTCCCGGGTTCAAACGATTCTCCTGTCTCAGCCTCCCAAGTAGCTGGGATTACAGGCATGCACCACCACGACTGGCTAACTTTTTGTATTTTTAGTAGAGTCAGGGTTTCACCATGTTGGCCAGGCTAGTCTCGAACTCCTGACCTCAGATGATCCATCCTCCTCGGCCTCCCAAAATGCTGTGATTACAGGCATGAGCCGCCACGTCTGTCTAGTTTTCAGTTTTCAGTCTTAAACATTTCTCCCAAACTTCCCATTTGTTGGCTCCATGGAGGTGGCCCAGTTTATATTCCCACCCACAGGTGACGGATGTGAGTGCTCTCAACCTCCCGACACACTGCAGCACCTTATCCAACTCTCTTGAGTTTTGCCAGTCTGAGGAAAAAATAGTACCTCATAGTGGAACTTTGCATTTCTGTTACTTTTGTGATAACAAATTGAGGTTAGGTATCTTCTCAATGAATTTAACATATTTTTCCAGTTTATCTCTTGATTTCGTTTATGTATCTTTTGCCATGAAAACTACTTAAAAATGTGTTTATGGCTTTTAGATTTTGTATCATTTAGCAAGGTCTTCCCCAGTTGGAGAGTATAAAAAAGAATTCATGGTTTAAAAAATGTATTTTAAAAAGTCTTTGATCCATCTGGAATTGTAGAATAAGATTAGGAGGTATGCAGGTTTACTTTTGAGGCAAAAGTATGTATAAAGTAACACTTTTCTATAGAAAACTTGGGAAAATACAGGAGGGAATGAAAATGAACCCCAATCCCAGCACCTTCTTATCTATAACAACTGAGATCATGCTTATGCTGGGATTTCAATTTTTTTCACTTGAGATTAAAATACAAACATAGGTTTAGAATATATTTTAATTTATTTAATGTTTTTATGGGTACAAGTAGGTATATATATTTATGGGGTACGTGAGATGTTTTGATACAGGCAGGCAATGCACAATAATCACATCATGGAGAATGGGGTATCCATCCCCTTAAGCATTTATCCTTTATGTTACAGACACTCCGGTTGTACTCTTTTAGTTATTTTTAAATGTACAATTAAGCTATTGTGGACTGTAGTCACCCACACCCTATTGTGCTGTGAAATAATAAGTCTTATTTATTTGTACTATTTTTTTGTGCCCATTACCCCCACACTACCTTTCCCAGCCTCCGATAACCATCCTTCTACTCTCTATCTCTACAATAATTTTAAATGGTTGTTTAAAAAGGGTGTCAACATTTTTGTTTTTAAACCATCCCAAACCGTCCCTTTAAAGGAATGCATGACCAGAGGGTTGCCTTTAAATCTTGCACAATTAAAAGCGTTTTCTCTGAGGCAGCTGATCTCAGGAAATCTTGCACGATTTTGAAGATGCCCGTTTCCCATAAGACCCGGCCCTGCGGGGGCACTTGGCGGGTCTTGGCAGAGCTAAGGGGCTGGGCCCTGCTCCGGGAGGGCGCACTGCAGGGGCCCGGGCCTGGCGCGGCTGCAGCACCTCCTGGCAGCAGGAGTGCGGCGGGGGAGGCGCCAGGAGGCCCCTGCCCCGGCTGCCATCACCCTCGGGTCTGTCCCTGGCCTGGGGCAGAGCCCTTTTGCTCGAAGTCCTTTAATCGCTAAGGAGCTTTCCCAGACTCTTCCCTCTGCAGGCCCGCTGGCCTCTGACGCATGTCCCCTCTGCGGAGCGTTTGGGCACTGGAGGAGCCCTGGTTGGCACAGGCCGCCCCGCGTTCCCAGCTGGGGAAGGAAGGCGGGCGGCCAGGCGGGGGGAAAGAAAGCGGGAGGTGGGGCGGGGTGCTGTCCGTCCCCACGGCCTCGTCGCGCGCGGGGCTTTTTCCAGGACTTGGGGACTTCCGGGGTTGCGCTGTCGTGTCAGGCCGTTGGGCCGCCGAGGGGTGTCGCTGCGCCCGCTGCCCCGCGCGGCCCTTTAAACTTTGTTTTTTAAACTTCGGGGGTGTGGTCGCGGCGCCTCCCCTCTCGGCGGCTGGCAGTCCTTGCCTCTGCCCCGCCTTCCAGATGCTTTGGAGTCATGAGCCGGGAGGGCGCGGGGGCAGCTTTGGTAGCCGAGGTGATCAAAGGTGAGCCGGGAGGGCGGGGGCTTCCCCTGGGGGCTCCGGCACCCGCGCTGGGACAGGGCGGGCAGTGCTGGCTTGGAGGTGCCCCTAGTCTGGGCCCCGGCCGCCCTTGTCTCCTGCGTGTGGGTGGCCTCGGCACTTGTCCCCAGGCTCTGGGCTACAGCGCTCATGGGCGGCTGTGACCCTTGCGTGCCTGCACCTGAGCCTAGTAGGTGAGCTGCACCTCCCCGCCCGCGGGAGCGAGATCCTTGGGCTCTGTCACAGGGATCAAAGGTCCTTGTGGTTGGAAAGGATTAAGCCCTGTCACCCATTTGAGTGTTTGTGGTTGCAAGAAGTTTTAGCTGAGGAGTTTACAAGGAAATAAACGCAGTAATTGCATGAGTTGAATTGCAGATCAAAAAAAAAAAAAAAATAGTTTACCATTTGGGGAAAGGGTGCCAGCTGGCTCTGCTGAAAGTATATATATTTTAAAGGCTGTGCTTGATTTTGCCACGTTGTGAGTGTAAGTATTTTCTTAGCACCACTAGTATTACTATTAGATATTGTGGATGACTTTATTTCACCCGAGGATTTTTAGGCAAGGAATGCGGGTGGAGCCTCCTGAGCCTTACTACTCATTACCATTCTTGCTAACCTCACAGCAGCCTAACTGCATTTATGCAACACAAGTTCATCTCAGACCCATCATGCAGAAACCTCATTGCTTCTGTTTTAATGGTAATTTGTCTAATTGTAAAAATACCGAAGTAGTGATTCCAAGTTAGAAAGTAGTGATCCCTAAGAACAGTTGGAGAAACATATGGTTTGTTCTATAGCTGTAAGCGGTAATTTTGAAGCAATTTTGAAAGCATTCTTTCCCTTTAAGAAAAAAATAGTTTCTTACTGAAATGACTTTTTAGGATGTCTTGAAAAACGTAGTGAAATTCATCTAGAAACTTACAAGGTTGATGCTAGCCATCACATGCATGCTGCAATTTGCTGAAATGTCTTGATCCAGGGGAGCTAAACTTTTACAAAAATAGGTTTGTTTAGAAGTCATATCACTACATGAAAAATCACCACTTTTGAAACTTACGGTTAAAGGCAGTTTCTCTTTTAAAAATGTGCTCATTGATTATTCCCACCCAAATAGCCAGAATATTTTGTAATTACCCATTACCACTCCTACCATCTGAAACGTGCATGAAAAAAATGAAAAATTGACTTCATCTGAAAAGAGTTGTGTCATGATATATGAAACGTTTTTTGTAACCTCCAGGAAGGAACATTGCAATTTTTCCATTTCAGATCGCCTTTGTTTTGCCATTCTCTACAGCAGACCAAAGAGTGCATCAAATGTACATTATTTCAGCATAGATAATGAACTTGAATATGAGAAGTAAGTATTGCTCTTTAAAAGATTTTAACTTTTTGTTTTTGAAGAATCTAAAGGTATGGTTATAAATGGGATGGCCTGGGAAAATTATAAATCTATTGATTGCTAATTACAGGATGCTTGTTTTTCACCTGTAGTAATAAAATAAACCTTTAGAGCAAAAAAAAAAAAACCTCCCTAAATTTAAACATTTAGATTTGCTAGTCTAATATTTACACTACAATGAGATATAAATGTGTACTAAGTAAGATATTGTGGTTTTGCCCTTGGAAATATGTGTGGAAAAACAGCTTTTTTAATTTAGAAGGTATGTTCATGTTCATTGAGGTTACATGTAGGCATTATAGCACTTGTGGCATTTTTAAGTAGGCATTATTTACCAGAATAGTCTTCCACCAGTAAAACAGTACCTTTAAGTTGTATTGGCCCATAACAATTTGGTATATGCTTGCTTATCTTAATTTGATCTTGTAGACCCAAAAAAGGCATTTATATTCAGAGCATCTAGAATGTACATCACATTTTTATTTTTCATTTTTAAAGCTTCTACGCAGATTTTGGACCACTCAATCTGGCAATGGTTTACAGATATTGTTGCAAGATCAATAAGAAATTAAAGGTAAAGTCTTTAAGATTTGACTTAAGTAATCATTGTTAGCTTGATCTGGGGGACGAAAGTAAGGAAAACATCTCTTTTTAAAAAGGAAATGACATGTTTTTCACTGCAGTGGTGTTTGGGACATGCACATGGTTTTCTTGTTTTATAAGATCATAGTGTATCTATTTGTTTTCTAGAGTTTTGAATGAACAGTTTAAGTTTGGGTCGTTTGGTTCTAGTTTGAATTAGTGATGCCCAAATACTTGAAAAGCCAAAGTGGGAATCAGTTAATTAAGTGAACCTCGTATTGTCTGACCTAATAGAACTGAAACTTAACAAGAGAAACTCTTCCCTTGCTGTGGCCATTGTTCTTTCTGCCTTCATTTTGATGGGGAGTGATAGCAAACTAACAAGAAAGCTGGACTCATCTTACTTTCTCTCCTATTTTGAAACTCCCATGATACTGTACTACATGATCCTTTATACATACGATTAAGGGGCGTGAGAATCTAGGGCAAATAAGCATGTCATTAAGGCTGTATTACTGAGAGTTACACAAGTATATTTGTATTGGTTTGAACTTAGACCACATTCATGTATGTAAAACACTGAATTGTTGGCCATGCACGGTAGGAAGTTATGTATGTACTGCTTACTAGCAGTTCCAAATCAGTCACTGTAAATTCTCAACTGGAAAATACTGCTTTTTGGGACAGGCACTTAAAAAAAAAATTTAATTGAATACAGAGAGGAAATAAAATTTATTTTTAATTAGAATTTTAACATGCTTTAATTAAAAATTCATGGGTAAGGCAGATGTTTTTCCTTGACCATGAAAGCTATATTGCTACAGAGCTGGAGACTCTTCTTTTTTGCCTTTCTTAAATAGGAATATAACTATTTATGGCCTTGTGCATTTGAGTTCCCCCTCCTTTTTCCAGTTGCCAGTGGCAGATCTTTTGTTTCATGCAGGACTAGGAAGCTAAAAATAATTCTCTCTTCCTCCAACATTTGTTCCTTTGCTTTAATTTTGGAAAAAAATTTTTTTCCTGTACTCAACCATCTGTGGACTTTTAGTCTTTGGGTCAACCAAAAATGTATCAGTCCTTTTTTTCTTCTTCCTTTTTTTTTTTTTTTTTTTTCCCGTGAGACAGAGTTTCGCTCTTGTTGCCCAGGCTGGAGTGCAGTGGAGCAATCTGGGCTCACTATAACCTCCACCCCCCTGGTTCAAGTGATTCTCCTGCCTCAGCCTCCCAAGTAGCTGGGATTACAGGCATGTGCCACCACGCCCAGCTAGTTTTGTATTTTTAGTAGAGACGGAGTTTCTCCATGTTGGTCAGGCTGGTCTCGAACTCCTGACTTTGTGATCCATCCGCCTCAGCCTCCTAAAGTACTGAGATTACAGGCGTGAGCCACCGCACCCACCAGAAAACTTTTTAACATATAAATAGAAATATGTACACATCATGGATGTAGAGCTCAATAAACTTTCACTAATGGAATATACATAGATGATTATCTTGATCACCAGTCAGGAGCAGTGCACTGGCGGCACCCCATAGCAGCCCTCCATGCTGTCTTCCAGTTCCTGTCTCTGCACACCCCTCCCCTGGTTATTCACTGCCCTGGCTTATAACACTGTAGATGATTCTGTATACCTTTTTATTTTAACTTAAAGGCTTTGGGGACAGATTTCTTTAAAAACCAAACAGAAGGAAAGGTGGTCTTTTCTACCACTCTTGGTTTGCTCTTTCAGAAGCAGCCCATGCTTTAAGCATGTGTCCATTCATGTCCCCTCCCCTCTTCTCTAATTGTATGTTCATTCTCATCCCAGAATGTGCCTTTTTATGGGAAGATATATGGTATTTGTGGGTATCAATGTTAATCTTTTCAAAGGTCTTGCTAATAATATGAATGGTTATGGGATTTGGAATTGATCTTCATCACAAAATGAAATTGTGGAAGACTTGAAATTAAAAAGAAAATGCTAACAGTTATTTATTTTTATGCAGTCCATTACAATGTTAAGGAAGAAAATTGTTCATTTTACTGGCTCTGATCAGAGAAAACAAGCAAATGCTGCCTTCCTTGTTGGATGCTACATGGTAAGTATTTGTTTTCCTAATGTATTCATAAAAATGCACACAACAGTGGTTCTTTACATTTGCAGTTGGAATTTTGAAATCAAGATAATGTCTTGATTTCTCTTCAGAAAGAACGTGTTTTGCTTTTAAAAAATTGACCAATTCAAGGAAGCTGTGCTTATGTGGAAGTAGCAGGTAGATGAGAGATCTCCTGTACCTTCCACTTAATTTTGCTGTGAACCTAAAACTGCTCGGGAAAAAAGCCTATATTTTTTTAAAAAGTGCCCAACTACTTTGGCAAAGGTTTATGTTTTATGGCACTAAAGGTTGGAAAATAGTGCTCCAAAGCTATTTCTATTCACTCGTGATCCATTTAGTGAGTTGTAAAATCATCTTACTGGGGTCAGGACCCCACTATTAATTTTCTAAAAATTTTTTTAAAAAGTGCTTTCTAAAATTTGAATCTAGGCATTTTTCCCCTAATTAAGGTCATCTCCTTTCTCATCAAAACATCTAGCAGGAGGCCACGGGATGTCAGTGTTGTCAGAAGATGGGTTACATACCACACGGATTACATACATATGCCATCAAGTGCTCCATTTGGATCATTGGAAATGTACTTTGGAATAGCAGTATTTACATAAGAGTTGTGAATTTCATTTATTTGTAAATATGATGGAAAAGATTTATTTTTTGAAGAGTCACATTTTGTTTGGCACCCAGTGGATTTGTCTGCAGGGGCCCTGAAAGCTGCAATTTTTCCAGAGCCAGCTTAGAGCTCCTCCAGAGTACTACCCCCTGTGTCTGGTGGTGAGAAAGCTGGCCACGCTGTTCAGTGGGGAGTAGCCAGGGGATGTTTCTTCCACCCCCACCCCACCATCAGTGTAATAGTTATTCTCTCTGAGACTTGAAAAAAAGGGTTGTTTTGGCCGGGCGCAGTGGCTTACGCCTGTAATCCCAGCACTTTGGGAGGCTGAGGCGGGCAGATCATGAGGTCAGGAGATCGAGACCATCCTGGTTAACATGGTGAAACCCTGTCTCTACTAAAAAAAAAAAAAATACAAAAAATGAGCCGGGCGTGGTGGCGGGCGCCTGTAGTCCCAGCTACTTGGGAGGCTGAGGGAAGAGAACGTCGTGAACCCGGGAGGTGGAGCTTGCAGTGAGCGGAGATCGCGCCACTGCACTCCAGCCTGGGCGACAGAGCGAGACTCCGTCTCAAAAAAGAAAAACAGGGTTGTTTTTGGAGCTCTTTAGGTTCTTTCTTCCCCACTTCTAGCTTGCTCCTTATCTCTGGCATGCCTTACCGGACCATTTTAAAATTATTTTCTGGAGTATAGTTTGATAATCTGGAATTTACAAAGACTAGTCCAAAAGTTGGTGATATTAGTTGAAATCGTACCTCAAGATTTAATAATTTTCTTTTTTATGTATAAGGTATATCATTAACAGCAGTGGTTAAGGTCTTTGTTTTGTTTTCCTATTTATGCTCACAAAAGTTGAATTAAATGCTTCTGATTGGGAGGCCGAGGCAGGCAGATCACTTGAGGTCAGGTGTACGAGACCAGCCTGGCCAACATGGTGAAACCTTGTTTCTACTAAAAATACAAAAATTAGTTGGGCGTGGTGGCACATGCCTGTAGTCCCAGCTACTCGGGAGGCTGAGGCAGGAGAATCCCTTGAATCCAGGAGTTGGAAATTGCCCTGAGCTGAGATCGTGCCACTGCACTCCAGCCTGGGTGACAGTGAGTGAGACTTTGTCTCCAAAAGAAAAAAAAAGTTTCTGAGAAAACTTCAAAATTTATTATCATCCCTGAAAGTATGAAACATAGGTTATAGATTGTCTATTAAAATTTGGTTTCATAAGCTTTCCCAGACGTATTGGTGTTTTCCTTTCTCCCAGCCTCTCTTGGTGTTTCTCGTACTTGCAGCAAAAGCCTTAAAAAAAAAAAAAAAAGTTTGAGTAGTTTGGCAGGCGTGGTGGCAGGCGCCTGTAATCCCAGCGACTTGGGAGAATGAGGCAGGGAATTGCTTGAACCTGGGTGGCAGAGGTTACAATGAGCCGAGATCGCACCACAGCACTCCAGCCTGGGCAACAGAATGAGACCCCGTCTCAAAAAAAAAAAAAAAAAGAGAAAGAGAAAAGTCTATGTATGAACCCAAGAAAGAAAAAGAGTATGGAGAAGTGGGTGTTTTAACTGGGACATTTGGTCCTATTACTTGGCCAGTCACTGGGGAGAGGAACCTCATAGATTAACATAAATCATGACAACTTTATAGAAAAAGGAATTCAGCCAGAATTCTTGAGATTCATAAAATATTAAAGGGAACCCTGGAGAAATGGTCCTTGGTGTGACAGAAAAAAGTTCCAACCGTTCTTTGTGGATCTTGCCTTTACACTGACCTGGACAAAGTCTGGATGGCTGAAGTTCCATCTAGGAGAGAGTGCTCCTGAGCAGAACTCCAAAGCAGAGGGGCCAGACCGGGCCACTTCCGGGTCAATTGCTGTCTCTGGTCAGATGAGATGTCCCTGAGATGGTAGGGTCTTGAGGAGCCAGGCACGAGGACTACAGCGTGAAGAACCTCTCTGAAGGTGGCTATGGGCATAGTGGGAACTCAGTCAGGGTTGTCTTAAAAACAGAAACAGAATGTGTGATAAGTTTATAAATAAGAAATCACTCTTTTTAAGTCTTGTTGCTGTCGTTTTTAAACTACTAGTGAACAAACAACAACCCCTTGACGTATGTATTGAAAATTTTTTGGCATATTTGTTTCCAGTTTTATATTGGCCTTTTGACTTTGTTTATGGTTGTATTTTGGACCACAGAAGCTTATTTTTCTATAGTTAATATATCTTAGATTTAGAAATCCTTCCAGAATTTCACACCTTCAGGTTAGTACTGATTTGATTGGTTAGGGAAGTGCCAGGTAAGCAAATTTGGATCTTCACTCGCATTTATTACTTACCCAGTGAGGAGCTAGCTTGGCAGGAGGATTATAGCTCTTGGCTGTGACAGAAGCCTTTGCAGCCATAGCTGGCTGCTAAAATAGGAATTGGGAGCTGTAATGTTGATAGGCAGGAAAGCAGGAGAAAAGCTTCTAAGAAAAGGAAATGTATTCATAGTAGAAAAGCAGTGTCAAGATATAATATGGACACCTGAAAAGATAACACATCAAAGCAAGTGAAGCTTTGATCTGGTTAAAATACGTTAAATCCTCTGGTTAAAGATTTGTGGAGATGAGTGCTAGTTCCCTATAAACTGATCCGCATCCTTGATAACGTTTTCTGGAGTCGTCAGGAATTTTGGAGAGAGTAAGGTTCTTTAGTGTTCGACTTGGCATGGTAATGTTAAAACAAAACCAAAAAAATCTGGAGGAAGAATCTTTAGGAAAGAAATATTCCAAATAGACTGACTCTGTTTATTTTTATCAGTCCTTTTTGAATTCAGGGCTTCTGAAAGTAACGTGTTTCCTTCATCCTTGTATACACAGAAAGACCTAATGTGGGTTGGGCAGAGAGTGTGAGGTAATCCTTTATGGCATGGAAATAAAGTGTTATATTTATTTTTTATCTTAAAAACAGAAGAGGTGAGGCTTCAAAAATGTGTAAAATATGAATTGACATGCCCACAATTGGTCTTTTTGACAGATGGTCAGGCGTCATGTGTGTTACAAGAAGTGAGAAGAGTGAGTTGAGTACTCATTTGTCTTTATTGTATTTCAAAGTATTGCTCTTCATGTGGCCTGGTAAATGGCTTTCCCATTCAGCTATCTGAATGGTAGACTCTTTGGTATCAAATTAGAGTGAAGCTAAAAATCTTTTGCACCACTGTAAGAGTTGAAAAATATAAAAGATGACTTGAGCTTTTGTTTGTTTGCTTATTCACAAAAAGGTAAACATACTATATTGTTTTACAAAATAAGTTTGCTGCCCTATTTAAGCCAGTGGCTATGACCTGGCCAGATTGAGGGATAATGATACTTAACCTGTCATTTCAAAGTAAAGGTGAAATTTTAAGTGGAAAATTTTAAGTGCTTTTCAAAACAAATTCATAATAAAAATCCTTTTGGAAAGAAAAGTTGGAAATTTTGTTTTGTTAATTTTGTTGTAAAAATGTCATACACAAAATCCATATTTGCACTCTTGAGAAATTTAAAAAATCTTTTAAAAAGAAGTTTTTATATTTCTAGAAACAAGACGTGCACGTGTGTGTATATGCACAGATGTATGTTGTGTACGTATATGTTTTATGTTTACAGTACAATTTTAAAATTTTTTATTGGTACATAATTGTACATATTTATGGGTTACATGTGATAGTTTTATACATGTATATAATGTGTGACAGCCAAATTAGGGCAGTTGCAGTATCCATCGCCTCAAACATTTGTCATTTCTTTGTGTTGAGAGCATTTTAAATCTTCCTTTCTATTTTGAAATACACAGTAAGTTATTGTAAACTATAGTCACACTACTGTGCTATCTAACACTAGAACTTGTTCATTCTAACTGTACATTTGTACCAAAGAACCAACCTCTCTTCACTCCCCCTGACCACACACGCCCTTCCCAGCCTCTGATAACCCTTATTCTACTCTTGGCCTCCATAAGATCAACTTACTTAGCTCCTGCATATGAGTGAGAACATAATGGTATTTGTCTTTCAACTTTGGTTACATCTTCCTGCCACAGCAGTTAGATTTTCTGAAGATACATGGTATTCATCTCTTCTATGGGTTAAATGTACTTTTGAGGGCTAGCCTGGGAAATTAACCACCATTTCTAACATCTTTCTGTGTATAAAATAAATGCCAAGCATTTTGTGTAAAAAATAAATGACACAAGCAAACTTTTGGCACGTAGCTTGCAAATTTGCTTTCCTCTAATGTTTAATAGATTACTTTGGTAGAGCTAATTGTAACATGTAGGTTCCCTGTTCAAAATTTATCACTGTATATTATTATTTTTTATGTTTAAGCAGTTTTTATAGCTGTAAGAATGGCTTACCTTGTAAGCATTTATGTTGAAAATGATGATACTAATTAAATTTAAGAATATATTAACTCAGCAATCTGTGAGAAGAATTCTAAACTGCATTAAATTTGAGATTGCCTCTACAGTTATGATAAGAGCTCAGGGACTTTGTTATTTAATGATGATCTTTTGAATCTGTGGTCCCACTTTTTAAATGATTTAATTATCTTGGACTCAGAATAGCCAGTGCCTGCAGGAGGAAAGGATCAGTTGGGAAGTTAAGACAAGGGAACAGAGAACGAGGATCTAGACGCAGTGGGTAAGAATCCAGTTCAGCAAACAGCTGCCCAGATGGGACAGCAGAGGCTGGAGGACAGAATGAGGTCATAACACCCTTCCTGGGTGTCTGTGAAAGGCAGGGCAAACAGCACGAGGCAACCGTCAGTAGTAGCCAGGCCCCAGCTAGTGTGAGGCGAACTGGGCTGAGCAAAGGGACGGCACAGGCCCTCAGTGGGAAGCCAGTGCTTCCTTGGGAGCCGGCCCTGTGGGAGGCAGCTGTCTGCCCTGCTCACAGTGCATCACAGTTTGACTTCCCTTGCCACCCGAGGGCTTCTGACGGGCGTTTCCACTGCCCGTGGTGCTTGCTGGGTGCTGTTAACTTGGGGAAAAAGTGAAGAGAAATGGCTCTCTGATAGCTTAAGATCCTTGACTGCAGATCCGTTAAGCTTTCTGGAATTTTGGGTCCCATCCTTGTTCCGGTCATTGTTTTAGATAGGATGGGTTCCTGTCTATAAATACGGCCAGAGGAGCAGGCCCTCTTCCATCAATAATAGGCGGTGTGATCTTGGATGAGCAGTTGATGCCAAGGTCTGGAAAGTTGTAGCCTGCCAGTTTTATGAAACTCACAGAGCATTATAAATAGTTGTGGGTTTTTTTTCCTCTGTGGTTAAAATTTAGGAGATTTCATTTTTTAAAAAATCAAGATTTTTTTCTTGGTCTTTAAAAAATGTCCCTACCACTCAAATGTGTACTAATTCCCAGGGCCAATTCACTATTTTTATTAGCAGACTTGGTAGATACGTGTTTGCTACTCTGAACTTCCAGTTTCATTTTGTCGAAATTGAGGATCATTATATATATCATTATATATATGTAAAAGTAATTTTAAAAGTTAAAACTATTGAAATATAAGTTCATCTGAGGTTTTTTTTAACGAGTTTTTTTTCTTAACCAGTTTTGTGCAGGAGCTATGAAAGTGATTTTATTTACTTTTTTATTCTCTGTGTTCTTTCCTCTGCTCACCTTTTTTATTGAGCAGTTGAATGTGTAAGCCTATCTTCAACTTGCATTGATTTGTGAGCATTCTTTGTTAATCTGGAGAGAGTGATTTTTTTTTTTAATAATCAATCAAGTTCTTGGCGTAGGAAAGACTGTATCATCTGGCTGACATGAAAATAGTCACAAGAGTCTTTAAGTGCTGGAAACATTGTGACATCTCTCCAGGATTTCCTGGTTACTCAGGCTGCCACATTTGTTGCTGGAATTTCAATATCCTTTGTCACTCTCAGCTCTAGGGTGAAATGACTTGTGTAACGTTTGGGTTCTAAATTGTACAGAGGCTCTCTAAGTATATAAATAAAGCTTCAGAATCCTGTGCATAAGAGTAGAAATAGGAAGCACATGTCTAATTGGGTTTCCATGATTTGAGGCCCGGCTTGTCAGCATTGAAACATTGAAAGGAGAAGTAATGCAGCTGGGATCCTGTTGCTTCTGTTGCTTGTTCTTCCATCACTGCTAGTTCAATACCTCCGAGGTTTTGAAACGTATGTTAGTAATCGAGGGTCCAGCGTTCTCACAGGGACTCTGGCATGCAGATGGTGATTTTAGAAAGTGGGGGTGGTGGGAAGTCCTGGGAATGGTTGAGGTATTGTTCAGCAAAAAAAGAACTTTGTGCCATGACTTTGAAAACCACACCAGTCTCAAGCATTTTCAACCACAGTATTTGCGTGTGTTTGTGTGATATTTGCTCGTTCAGAGAGAGTCTTTATCCTAGAGAAACAAGGTCTTACTGATGCCTCCTAAGCTGCATCTCTGTGCTTACGCCTCATGTATTTGTCTATTCACTTTTAACAAATGGAAACGGCCATTTCCTTAAATTGAGTGTGCTACTGCACACTATTGCTGCCCAGCAAATTACTGCAAAACTTTGTGACCTAAAACAACAGTACGAATTGTCTTAGACCATGTCTATGAGTTAGGCATCTGGGAGTTGCTTAACTTGGTTGGGTCTGGTCTGGTTCTGTACCGTGTCTGGGCTGCATTCACCTGGAGGGTCCATGTCTAAGGGGGCTCAGTCACATACCTGGCAGGTTAGTGCCGATTGCTGGCAGGAGGCCTCTCTTCCATACCACGTGGGCTGCTTGAGTATCCTCCCAAAATAACAGCTTGCTGTACCCAGAGCGAGGGTTCTAAGAGAAAGCATGACAGGAGCTACCTCTTTTATGATCTAGCCTCTGAAATCACACCCTATTACTCCAGTATCCTGTTCGTTACACAGGGGCACCCTGTTCACCGTGGGAGGGGACCACACAAGGGTGGAAATGCCAGCAGATGAGACTCTTTGGGGTTGCCTGGGAAGCTGGCGATCACAGCTGGTCAGCAGCTCTCTTGGTCATCATTTGTTGTTTCCTGTTCTTAACTAGCACTGTGGAATTAGAGTGGGCATTCTATATATATAGCTTCTCATGAAAATATATCAAAAGAATTTGAGAAACGCCAAGTGTCCAGACTGCCAGAAGCACGGTGATAGATCATAAGTTGCATCAATTTAGAGTTTACTAATCTGAGAATTTGTGTTAATGTAGGAGTTATTTATAGGATTCTTCTTTAGTAACAAATTTAGAATGATTTCATTTGGGAAGGCCTTTTGAATCAGCAAGATGAGTAGGTGTAAAAGTAAAAGTTACTTCCTTCATGCCTGGCCAAAAAAGAAAAAAAGGTAAAAGTTATAGATTGGCAAATATATCTTTGATAGTTATATAAGTGGATTTGTTCTGCATCTGTAAACTTCCTTCAGTTTATCTAGTTATGCTTTACATTATTTATTTATGTGCCAGCATTCCCCAACTGGATTTTTAAATTACAGTCTTTTAAAGTTCATCGTCAGGAATTTAGGGGTTTTTTCCCCCATAGGAAAAAAATGTTACATTGTTCTTGTGGTTTTTTGAATCAAACTAGTGTTCCAAGGCTAAACCACAGTCCTTAATGTATTACAGACTATTTTTGCTTTGAAAGTTAGGAGAAAGTAATACCATTGCAATTTTACTAATTAAAGAACCCAAAGAACTGTAATCACAAGCAGGAAAAATTATCTTAAATTAGTGCTTAAGGAAAAATTTGTATAATTTGAGAGAAGGCCTTAGAAATTTAGAGAAATTCCTAAATGGGTCTCTAGATTTCATTTTAGTACACAGATGAATCAGACTCTATTCTTATTTTTATTGGCTTCAAGGTGTTTTTTTATTTGGTTTTGTTTTTTGGTTTTAGGGTTTTGTTTTGTTTTTTTGTTTTTGCCTTTTGAGACTGACTCTTGGTCTGTCGCCCATGCTGGAGTGCAGTGGCGCGATCTCGGCTCACTGCAACCTCCGCCTCCTGGGTTCAAGGGATTCTCCTGCCTTAGCCTCCTGAGTGGCTGGGGTTACAGGAGCCTGCCACCATGCAGGGTAATTTTTTGTATTTTTAGTAGAGACGGGGTTTCACCGTGTTAGCCAGGATGGTCTCCATCTCCTGACCTCGTGATCTGCCTGTGATGGCCTCCCAAAGTCCTGGGATTACAGGCGTGAGCCACCGCACCCTTCCGGTTTTAGGTTTTGTTTTTTGTTTTTTTTTAATCTGCTAGGAAGTCTTAAAATAGAATGGAGAAAATGAAAGACTTTACTGATGTTATCTGGTAAGTGTTAGAAGAGGCATACATGCATCGGAGACTGGAAGGGAATAAGGGAATTTGGAAAAAACAGGCTGATTTTTTTAAATGTTTTAATTTTCATGACTTATAGGTTGATGCTTAGAAGATCTGTGTGTAGGCCGGACATGGTGGCTCATGTCTGTAATCCCAGCACTTTGGGAGGCCGAGGCAGGCGGATCACCTGAAGTCAGGAGTTTGAGACCAGCCTGGCAAACATGGTGAAACCCCATCTCTACTAAAAATACAAAAAAACTAGCCAGGCGTGGTGGTGCACGCCTATAGTTCCAGCTACTCGGGAGGTTGAGGCAGGAGAATTGCTTGAACCTGGGAGGTGGAGGTTACAGTGAGCTGAGATCACACCATTGCACTCCAGCCTAGGCGACAAGAGTGAAACTCCATCTCAAAAAAAAAAAAAAAGAAAAGAAAAGAAAGAAACAGAAACAGGCCAGTCATTGGGAAAATTTTCCGTTTATGAGTCTTGAGTCAGAAAATTGGTGAAATGCCCTTTGGAAGCTGAGTCAGTGCTTATGACTAGTTTTAGGATATGTCTGTTTCTGAGTTTCTAAGATCCTTGCTGGATCTTTGAACTTTGAAAAATTTCTCTTAGTCCAGTGATAGTTTCACATTGATATCAACTTTTATTAAACATTTAAAATTTTCCTAACTATTGTAAGTAGATTTGGGTTCAGCTAAGTACATCAGTGAATCGGATTGGTGTGTAATGAAACCATAAGACATGGGTCCCAACTTCAGAATGCTTCACATTTGGTTGTGGAAACAGGTCACATGTATCATGTTAAGTAATGGAGATAAAAAGTTTGCAATTAACTTTTTTTAGTGATTTCTTTTTTTTTATTAGTGAAATTTAAAATCTATTTCCCCAAAGTAATCTTTGGAGTTCAACCTAATTTTAGTGATAATATATGTGCCAGATTTAATGCTGTTTCTCCTTCCCACCGCTCCCGCCTCCCCAACCCCAACCTTCCGTACATTAGTTGAAAGGGCCCTGCAGGAAGGTTCTGAAGTCCCAGGCAAATGTAATAGGGGGTAGGCAGAGGACTTACTTAGAGAGATGGTGGTGAAAGTCTCAAACTGCAGATTTCTAGAACAAACAGGTTACTTGTAAGAAGCAGACAGAGATACTTAGATCAGTAAAATACTTCTGTAACACTAGAAGTGAGAAGACATGAGAACGTTATCTAGAAACTATCAAGAGGAAATGACTGCAGACCAAAAATCCTACGCATAGTAGTCAAATAAAAAATGTCAAGGGAAAAAAAAAATGTTTGGAAAGGCAAGGAATACCAACTATAGACCTCAAATGCTGAAGAATATACTTGAGGTATTCTCCCAGGTTAAAGTCAAAGCATAGCATAGTTCTAAGGACAAAAGAAGTCAATGAGCGTCGAAAACAAGTGCAGTTTGATAATCAACTTGTTCAGTATTGCAAGCCCTCACACCTACATGGACAGAGTTAATCACAGTCTGTGTTCTGCCTTTGTGTCTCTTTCCACCTCACCCCAGTCTAACCCCATCCCCATCTCCTACACGCTGCTTAGCTGTCATTTCAGTGGACTTTCAGGAAGGAGGGGAGGTAAAAGCATGGGATCAGTCTAACGTCTTGATTTGGAAAATCTGTTTTTAAAATACTGTGCTTCTTACCACAAAAGGTTGCTGTGAAGAGTTGTTGGTCAGGGCTTATACTGCAAACAACAGAAACCAGCAATGGAGGATTTAAACAAAAAAGAAATCTATGGACAGGATTCTGGGTGATTCCTAGGCTCCTGGGGAAGGCTGGAGAACCCTGCTCAGTTGGTTGGAAATTGGACAAAATTTACTTCGCAGTGACAGCACTGTATCTTCACTTAGAAATAAATTGCCTTTTTCTTCTTTTTTCAAACATAGGTTATATATTTGGGGAGAACCCCAGAAGAAGCATATAGAATATTAATCTTTGGAGAGACATCCTATATTCCTTTCAGGTAAATATAAGAATGATGTGGTAGATTCAGGTAATCAGATCCTTGCCAGAAATATCTTGATAGTTGTTTCTGAAAAAAGAAGATCTGGTAAATAGTCATTTTAGGATGAGCGCAAATAACACCACAGATCTGGGTTTTTCCACAGTGACACTGTTGACGTTTTGTCATGGAGGCTATCTTGTGCGTCGTAGCATGTTTAGTGGCCTCCGTGGCTTCTGCCCACTAGATGCTGGTAAAATCCCCACACCCACTCTAATTGTCAAAACTCAGAATGTCTTCAGACATTGCCATATATCCCTGTAAGTGACCTTGGGGGATGGAGAGCAAAATCTCCCTACGCTGAGAACTACTGCCATTGATGAAAACTAAGCTTTGGCTGGGCACAGTGGCTCATGCCTGTAATCCCAGCATATTGGAATGCCAAGGTGGAATGATTGCGTGAGCCCAGGAGTTCCAGACCAGCCTCGGCAACAAAGACAGACCCCATCTCTATAAAAAAATTTTAAAAAAAATTAGCCAGGCGTGGTTGCACATGCCTGTAGTCCCAGCTACTTGGGAGACTGAGGCTGGAGGATTGTTTGAGCCTAGGAGTTCGAGGGTGCAGTGAGTGAGCTATGGTCATACCACAGCACTCAAGCCTGGGCAATAGAGAGATAACTTGTCTCAAAAAAAAAAAAAAAAAAAGCAAACCCCAAAACCTAGGCTTTGTATCAGGTGAGAATCCTGGGTTATTGTACTCAAAACTACCACTGAGGAGTGTGGTTCCTGAGAAGTTAAGAAACGTTCCCAATAATCAGTAGTTACTTTCTGGGACCAAAATGAACCCCTTTTTTCTGGGGACACAGTCAGTAGAGACAGTCGATAAGGTTGCTAATGCAGTACCACTTCCAGAAAAACCAGTCAAGTCACTGTGTTCCAGAGGTGGTAGTTAGTGATGTCTACAGGAATGGATGACATCATCTCAAACTTAGCATGCGATTGTGTTGAAGATATTTCTAGAAGACTAGTGCTTAAATCAAGTTCTAAAAATTTTTCTGCTCGTTTATCAAAATACTTGACTTAGCTCTATAGTTTAAATACTTGTATGGTACTTAATGGGTAATAAATGTATGAAATAATTTTACTCATTGAAGACTTTGATATTTTCAAAAACTGCTTGTTCTTCCATTCACAAATTAATAATAACTATTGCTTATTAGTTCATTGTTCAAACTAATTAGTTCGTTAGTTTATCGTATTAGGATTGTTACATAAACCACAAATGCCTGATTTTGAATGTATGGCCCTAACTTTAAAAAAGGGAGTTTGTGAATCTGACTTTATTGTAGATGAGCCTTGGGATGGGTATTTCTAATTATTGGCAGAATCTCCCTTTCAAATAACTTTATAGGCCTGCCTGTGGACTTACTCCATGAAATAACAATTTGTCAGGGCAGTCTGAAGACTTCAGTAATACGCTGCATGAAAAATTGTGAAAATCTGTGATTGAGCAAATTAGAATTGGCTTGAACCCAGTATCATCCCTTTCTGCTAGCTCATGGCTCATCTTAAGTATTCTTTTATTTGAGGTGGGTAGGAAGGGAAGAGGGGGAAATAAAGATCATTTTCTAAGCTGGAAAATTCTTCTCAACCTATAACATAATAGCAACCACATTCTTCCTTTAAAAGAAATGCTTGTATTTTTGGTCTTGAGTCACAGGCACCTTGGTCATCTCTTGATGTAGTGACATTTGTTCTATAGAACTCTTCTTTATAATGGTAATCTTTTGTGATGCCACTCTTAGATTTACAGCACAAGGTCCTGAAATAGGAACATGCTCACACATTTCGCACTGTGCAATGAAGGATCCATGGAACACTGTTGATGTGAAAAAAGACGTTTTGAGTTAATTTAAATACAGGTGCCAAAAACAGAATAAGCATTGCTTACTGCCTTGCTATGTTTCAAATTATTAAAGTTTGGCACTGAGAAATGAAGTTAGTTCCTTTTGGTCCCAGGAGCATCAGTCAGTAATTCTCCAAAAGGCAAGACTTAGCTAGAAACCATTCAGCTTTGTGGAATTTGAATCTCTTCTATTGTAGATACTAGGTATTTGATTTATCTAAACAGTGTTTCTTTCTTTTTTTTTTTTTAGACGGAGTCTTGCTCTGTCGCTAAGCTGGAGTGCAGTGGTGCAATCTGGACTCACTGCAACCTCTGCCTCCCAAGTTCAAGCGATTCTTCTGCCTCAGCCTCCCGAGTAGCTAGGACTACAGGCGTGTGCCACCACGCCTGGCTAATTTTTGTATTTTTAGTAGAGAATGGGGTTTCACCATGTTGGCCAGGATGTCTTGATCTCTTGACCTCATGATCCGCCCGCCTCAGCCTCCCAAAGTGCTGGGATTTCATAAAGTGTGGCCTGTGAACTGGTGCCGATCTGTGACATTTTGTTACCAGCCTGTGTTGAGATAAATACAGAAGTTGAGAATAAGATTTTAGAAACATTTATAGTTATCGAATAGAGCAATTTTATGTCTGTAGAATCAAATAGTAGAAGAAATTTGAGCTTGTATTTTGTTTTTTTTCCCCTTTCATTTTTCTAGTAATTTATTTTATTCACAAAAATAAGATTATTGCATTACTGGATATGTAATAGTATAGTACTATTGCATTTCATATTTATCTTACAAAAGTGTCAACCTGTGATAGACTTAGTTTTTAAATTTAGTGCTTCTTCACATAGTGTTCTATAGAACTTATCAATTAGAAAGTAGTCCAATCAGAATTAATAAAGCCTGATAATATTTTGATAGAAATGACATTATATTCTTTGTATCTTGCCACTTTAAGTACATAGAATAAATATGACCAACAAAGTATTGCTAACACGACGTTGTGCAAGAATGGCATTCATTTATAGCAAATAAGTTCTTTTATGTTCTGTAGCAATGTTTTATTTAATTAGATTTAATTCAACTTAGATAGAATTCTCTCTCTCTCTTTTTTTTTTTTTTAAAGACAGATTCTTGCTCTGTCACCCAGGCTGGAGTTCAGTGGCGCAATCTTGGCTCACTGCAACCTCTGCCTCCCAGGTTCAGGGAATTCTCATGTCTCAGCCTCTAGAGCAGATGCCACCATGCCCGGCTAATTTTTGTATTTTTAGTAGAGATGGGGTTTCACTAAGTTGCCCAGGCTGGTCTCAACCCCCTGGCCTGAAGTGATCCGCCTACCTTGGCCTCCCAAAGTGCTGGGATTACAGGGGTGAGCCACTGTGCCCAGCCTTCTTTAACCACTGAGTTTTAAAGTGTGTGTGTATGTATGTGTGTGTGTATGTGTGTATATGATTTCTTATTGAGTTATATTAAATATTTCTCTGTGTCTGGTCTGCATAATTAAATAGTATAAAATATAGTTTAATTTTTTTTAAATATCATAGGATCATTGTTATGAACAGTGTGTATTTCTGTTCTCTGGTATTATCTGTTATAATACTCTTTGCTTCTTAGTTGTTTTTGTGTGTGTGGGGCTTGCCTCTGCTTCCTGTTTTCTTGAGAGGTAGTATTGTATATTTGTTAATAGCTTGACTTGACATCAGACAGATGGGAGTCTTGCTGTCAGCTCTGCTACTGACATCTCTGTGGTCCTTTACAGATTTGAGCCTTGGTCTCCTAGTCTTTAAACAGAAACAATAGGCTGGGCGCTGTGGCTCACGCCTGTAATCCTAGCACTTTGGGAGGCTGAGGTGGGCAGATCACAAGGTCAGGAGATCGAGACCATCCTGGCTAACACGGTGAAACCCCGTCTCTACTAAAAATACAAAAAATTAGCCAGGCGTGGTGGCGGGCGCCTATAGTCCCAGCTACTCAGGAGGCTGAGGCAGGAGAATGCTGTGAACCCGGGAGGCAGAGCTTGCATTGAGCTGAGATGGTGCCACTGCACTCCAGCCTGGGCAACAGAGCGAGGCTCCATCTCAAAAAAAAAACAGAAACAGAAACAATAATACATTCTCTCTCAAGGAGTTGTGAGGATGAAGTGACATCCTGCATATAAAACACTTGGTATAGGCTGGGCATGGTGGCTCATGCCTATAATTCCAGCACTTCGGAAGGCTGAGGCAGGAGGATAGCTTGAGGCCAGGATTTGGAAGATCAGCCTTGCAGCATAGCAAGACCATTTCTCTTTGGGGAAAAAAAAATTAGCTGGGCAGGGTGGCATGTGTCTGTAGTCCTAGCTACTTGGGAGACTAAGGCAGGAGGATCCCTCAAGCCTAGGAGGCTTCAGTGAGCTTTCATTATGCCACTGCACTCAGCCTGCACAACAGAACAAGACCGTATCTTTTTTTTTTTTTTTAAGACAGACTCTCGCTCTGTCACCCAGGCTGGAGTGCATTGGTGTGATCTCGGCTCACTGCAGCCTCCACCTCCTGGGTTCAAGCGATTCTCCTGCCTCAGCCTCCTGAGTAGCTGGGATTACAGGTGCCCGCCACCACACCTGGCTAATTTTTTGTATTTTTAGTAGAGATGGGGTTTTGCCATGTTGGCCAGGCTGGTCTTGAACTCCCGACCTCAGGTGATCCACCAGCCTCGGCTTCCCAGAGTGCTGGAATTACAGGCATGAGCCACTGTGCCTGGCCAAGACCCTGTCTCTTAAAAAAAAAACAAACACTTGATATAGTACCTGGCCTTTAACTAATATTTGTTAAATATTCCAACCTTCCCCCTTTTAAGTTGACTGTCATTTAGCTACTTTTTTTTGAGTCGGAGTCTTGCTCTGTCGCCCAGGCTGGAGTGCAGTGGCACGATCTTGGCTCACGGCAAGCTCCGCCTCCTGGGTTCACGCCATTCTCCTGCCTCAGCCTCCCAAGTAGCTGGGACTACAGGCGCCTGCCACCACGCCCAGCTAATTTTTTGTATTTTTAGTAGAGACGGGGTTTCACTGTGTTAGCCAGGATGGTCTCAATCTCCTGACCTCATGATCCTCCCGCCTCAGGTTCCCAAAGTGCTGGGATTACAGGCATGAGCCACCGAGCCCGGCCATTTACCTACATGTTTAAAAATCACTGTCGTGGCCGGGCGCGGTGGCTCACGCCTGTAATCCTGCCACTTTGGGAGGCTGAGGCAAGTGGATCACCTGAGGTCAGGAGTTCAAGATGAGCCTGGCCAACGTGGTAAAACCCTGTCTCTACTAAAAATACAAAAATTAGCAGGGCATGGTGGTGCACACCTGTAATCCCAGCTACTTGGGAGGCTGAGGCACGAGAATCACTTCAACCTGAGAGGCGGAGATTGCAGTGAGCTGAGATCGTGTCATTGCACTCCAGCCTGGGCGACAAGAGCGAAACTCCGTCCCCACCCCACTCCCCGCAAAAAAAAAAAAAAATTCTCTGTCTCCTAGATTTCCCTCCCACCCCTTTCCAGTCAGTCATCACCCCCAGCTAATCATTGCTCTGACTTCTACCACTATCAGTTTTGCTTGCCTTTGAACTTGATATTACTGGTATGCATTTTGGGGAGCTGTCAACTGGATTTCACATATGTAATGTCTATGAGATTTACCTGTGTTGTGGAAGGTATCAGTAGTTCATCCTTTTTTATTCCTTTTGTAGCATTCCAGTCTATGAGTATACCACAATTTATTTGCCTGTGGTCCTTTTGATGGATATTTGGGTCATTCGTAGTTTTTGGCCGTGGTGAATACGAGCTGTTACGAAAGCTGCCATTCTTTAAAACTAGTATTTGACATTGTTGTGCAGTTTCTAAGCAGTGCCCATTTATTGATTCTTACGTGTTTTCCAAATTTGTTAAATGATCTTGGTGACAAGGATCCCTCCCCACTGCCCAAGGCTTATAAACTGAGCCTCAGAGTTGCTGTTCTGCCTATTGGAAGAAGGCTGAATGCAAGGTGGGAGGAAGATGTGATGTGGGTGTGTCTAAAATTGGAGGTGCTAATGAAATACACTTGAGTGAGCAAAGATTCTTGTCGTATATTCAGATTCTATGATGTATGAGGCAGGACTTCAGCAGGGCCCAGATGAAAGCGTGTGAAATCATCACAGATTGGAGCGGGGCTGTGCCCCACAGTAGGTTCTCAAAAAAAAAAAAAAAGCATTGAAGAAATTTGCCAAAATGTCACAGAGACTGAATCAACATGTCTTTAACTTGATTGGAAAAGATTATCAGTAGGTTAAGAAGATAATCAAGCCAGGCGCAGTGGCTCACGCCTATAATCCCAGCACTTTGGAAGGCCAAGGTAGGTGGATCACGAGGTCAGGAGATTGAGACCATCCTGGCTAACACAGTGAAACTCCATCTCTACTGAAAATACAAAAAAATTAGCTGGGCGTGGTGGCAGGCGCCTGTAGTCCCAGTTATTTGGGAGGCTGAGGCAGGAGAATGTTGTGAACCCAGGAGGTGGAGCTTACAGTGAGCCAAGATCGCGCCACTGCACTCACTCCAGGGGGAGACTGTCAAAAAAAAAAAAAAAAAAGAAAATAATCATACTCCTTCACAGAGAAGACATGGTTAAAATCATTGGGATCCAACTTGAGGGTTTACCCCATTTCCATTGATAATTTTGATTTGATTTAGGCTAAAGTACTTCATTTTCCTGCCTTAGTTTCTCTACCTAAATGGGTTCTTTATTCCATGAACACCCTATTTCTACAAAACCAGGATTTGTGTTGATTTGTAGGTTGGTGATTCATAAACTTGAACACAATCACAGACAACTAGAGGACCTGTTAAGACACAAATTACCTGGCCCTATCCCGAGAACTTTGATTCAGTAGATGTGGGGTAGCCCTGAGAATTTGCATTTCTAACAGGTGGGGTGGTCCTGGTGCTGCTGGCCTGGGGACCACTGCTGGAAGTCCTTTTGTTTTTTTCTTTCTGAATATTGCCAATAAAGTGTTGGTAAAATCGTGGCCTTTTAGGTTAAAGACTTTTTCTAGGATGTGGAAGAGAAGTTTTTCACTTCAGAACCTTACAGAACAAAAATGGTGTGTTCTAAGACCTTGTGTTGGCTGAACGCAGTGGCTCACACCTGTAATCCCAGCACTTTGGGAGGCTGAGGCAGGCAGAGTGCTTGAGCTCAGGAGTTCGAGACCAGCCTGGGCAACATGGTGAAACCCCAACTCTACCAAAAAATACGAAAACTTAGCCAGGCCTGGTGGTGTGCACCTTTGGTCCCAGCTACTCCAGAGGCTGAGGTGGGAGGATCGCTTTAGCCCAGGAGGTCAAGGCTGCAGTGAGCCATGATTGCACCACTGCACTCCAGCCTGGGCAACATAGTGAGACCGTGTCTCAAAAAAAGAAAACAAGACCCTGCATTCTGTCCTCATGAAGGTTCGCATAGCTCAGTAATTCTAAGCAGCTCAGTCAGTAACATTGAAGACGATTTTAGCTAAAAAGGATGCCTTTTCTTGCCCTCATTGCTGTAGTTTTGGCCCTTAAGGTTTGAGCAAGAATTAAAAGTTTAAAATGTGGTTTAGTTTTTATTCTAACATTTGTGGAATATTCATTTTCCCCTTTTAAGTTAATGTATAACTTATAGTTTTTAACAAAAACACTAATCTTTTTTTATTTTATTTTATTTTTTTGAGATGGGAGTCTCGCTCTGTCACCAGGCTGGAGTGCAGTGGCGTGCGATCTTGGCTCATTGCAACCTCTGCCTCCCAGGTTCAAGTGATTCTCCTTCCTCAGCCTCCCGGGTAGCTGGGACTACAGGTGCGCGCCACCATGCCCGGCTAATTTTTATGTTTTTAGTAGAGACAGGGTTTCACCATGTTGGCCAGGATGGTCTCAATCTCTTGACCTCGTGATCCACCTGCCTCGGCCTCCCAAAGTGCTGGGATTACAGGCGTGAGCCACCACGCCCGGCCTCAAAAACACTAATCTTAAGTGTACAGTAGTAAGGTTTTACATGTATTTATGTAACTACCACACAGTAAGAAATATTACAGTGTGAAGACCCAAATAAGGTGGGGAATTAGTGATAGCTCCACCAGCAACCCTGTTTCCCCAGGAGCAAATGAGTACCATTCAGATAGGCACAGTTTTTCTGCATGCCTAGCTTAATCATAATTAAATTAATTTTTATGTTGCCTAATTCCAGAAGATTTCATCTTGTAATGGCTCAAGGTAGCCAAAAAGGAGAAGCAGGGTAGGGGTCGGGGTGCCTTATTTCTCTGGGTAAAACCTTACTTGATATTAAGAGATTTGTATAGGAAGATTTACTGGTATGTATTGATGCAGTGTTTGGCTGGAGTTGTCTGTAAAGTAATATAAGCACTTTCCCAAAACTAGAGTGATCCTGTGGAAGGTAGTTGACTTGTTAGTTCCTGTGGTTTTATTGGTATTACTGTCCTTTAAAAATCAGAAAGAAGGTAGGGCACAGCTGTTTACACCTGTAATCTCAACACTTCGGGAGGCCAAAAAGGTGAGAAGACTGCTTGAGGCTAGAAGTTTTTTTTTTTTTTGAGACGAGTCTCGAGTCTCGCTCTGTCACCCAGGCTGGAGTGCAATGGCGCAAGCTCCGCTCACTGCAAGCTCCGCCTCCGGGTTCACGCCATTCTCCTGCCTCAGCCTCGGAGTAGCTGGGACTACAGGTGCCCCCCACCACGCCCGGCTCATTTTTCGTATTTTTAGTAGAGACAGGGTTTCACCGTGTTAGCCAGGAAGATCTCGATCTCCTCACCTTGTGATCCACTTGCCTCGGCCTCGCAAAGTGGTGGGATTACAGGCGTTAGCCACTGTGCCCAGCCAGTTGTGTGGGTGTTTTGGGCTTGTTGTTTTTTGTTTTTTGTTTTTTGAGATAGAGTCTCACTTTGTCGCCCAGGCTGGAGTGCAGTGGCATGATCTCGGCTCACTGCAACCTCCATCTCTCTTGTTCAAGCAATTCTCTGCCTTAGCCTCCTGAGTAGCTGGGATTACAGGCGCCCACCACCGTGCCTGGCTAATTTTTGTATTTTTAGTAGAGACAGGGTTTCATCATCTTAGCCAGGCTGGTCTTGAACTCCTGACCTCGTGATCCACCTGCCTCGGCCTCCCTAAGTGCTGGGATTACATGCCTGAGCCACTGCGCCCGGCAGAGGCCGGGAGTTTAAGACCAGCCTTGGTATCATAATGAGACTCCATCTCTACCTTAAAAAAAAAAAAAAAAGTTAGCTAGATGCGGTGATACATGCCTGTGGTCCTTGCTACTGGGGACACTGAGGTGGGAGGATCACTTAAACCCAGGAGTTTGAGGCTGCAGTGAGCTGCACTGCACCCCAACATGGGCAACAGGGCAAGACGTTATCTCTATAAAAAAGTTTAAAAAAAAAACCCAGAAGTTACCCAGTTAAATGGGTAAAAGTCTTTAGGATAACGATAGCAACAAAATGCTTATGACCTTCTACCTAATATTTTAAATGTGACCTTGATTTCTCAGTATTTCTGTCATACTTGGTTGGAGACACACACACACAGACAGACACACGTATAAATAGACACACATACACACATATGTTTATTACAGGATCAAAAAGCAGTCTTTCCCAGTAAGATTTTCATACGGTATTTTCCAGTTTAAAGAAAAAATTCAAATGCTTTGCCCCTTTGGGGGAGAGATAGGTATTGATTTGTTGAATTCAAGAAGGTGGCTCAGCTGTTAAAGCCAAAAATAATCCAGAGAGAACATTTGAAATTTAGGAAGTGGTCATTATTGATCCAGGCCCATAAAACAGTACCTATTGGAATAGGTAGAAACTGCAGTGAAATTTGTAATTGATTTATCTTTTATTTAAAAGTCAAAAGGCGAGATTTTTTTCTTCTTGATAATGGTTCAGAGTGTACATTTGATTTTAAATTCTAGTCACCTTTGTCTTAGGTAAGTGTAATTGCAGAAAATTAACTGATCTACATTTTATTACTCTTGGGTTTCAGAGATGCTGCCTATGGAAGTTGCAATTTCTACATTACACTTCTTGACTGTTTTCATGCAGTAAAGAAGGTGAGTGACATGTAGGATGCACCCAGTGTTGTGTTGAGGAACTAACATGCGGTCCAAGAAAACTAGGCCTTCTTCCCGAGATCTTTTTGTTAGTGTTTCTTCCAAGATGCCTATGGTGACAGAGGTGCTCCATTTCCCAACTAATGTCAGAATGAGACCAAACCAGGAAACAGTTTATTCTGAATTTCTGAGTGCTTCTATGTATGAGTTGGGGGAAAAGTCACTTAAGAAACAGGGAAAATAAGAGTTATACGATTAGGTTCTAGATCCAGAATTGGTTTTGAGTATATTATGATCTAAAAGAACAAAAGTAAAGATGACTTGTTTACTGGTAAGTTCTCTTTGATTTGTATATTCTATATACCTGATTCCTGCCAATACCATTACAACAGACGTAACACAGTCACTGTCAAACACTTCATTTTTGTTTTGTCAGGCGTTCAATTTCTAGTTCAACAGAATTTGAATGCCTCAATTAGTTTGTTATACAGTTTTATGTGAAACTAAGTGGGTCACTGCTGCTTTGTCAAACTATTTCCAAGTGATTCCTTGGGTCATAACCAGGGCTGCTGTGTTGATTCCAGGGGACACCCTCCCTATCACGTTCTACGTGAACAGGGTCCCCTGGGGTCACACAGTGCAGCAAGTCCTGGTATTAATGTCAGGACAGCAGGAGAAACTAGAATGGTAAATCAGTAGCCCATGGATCAAATAAGCCTTTGACAGCATTTTTCTGTAACTTGTGCTTTTAGAGCCAAAAGGAACCCAGGTTTACTTTCTTGTATAATGAAACATGGTGGCTTGCTGGGAATTGTGACAGACATGTCTTAAAACGAGAGGACTAATCAGCATACAAATTCAGAGACTAATTGATATACTTTTTTCCCTGTATCAATCAATGAGGTATGGGCACATTGTTTGGATTTGAGCCCAGTGACTGTGGGATATGGAGCTGATTGGGGTAGTTGCCATGAGCTCTGAGGCGGCTCCATGGGCCCTCAGTGTGGGCAGGTATGGGGCACTGGTGGAAATCAGGAGACCAAAGGGCAACAGGTGTAAATGGTACCTTCTGGTTGCAGTTGCAGCCCCTGCCAGGTGGGCTCATGCAGGCAGGCACACTCACCTTTAAAAAGAGAAAAGTAAAGCTTTGAGGGGTTTGGAAATGATCTATTATAACACCATATGGCAGCTTCTATTATTATTTTTTGGCTTTTTTTTTTTTAATTGGGTATTGCACCCAAAGTCAATTAGCTGGTACGATAGGTCAAAGATTGCCATTTGCATACTATATTTTGGGTTTTTTTAAAATTAAATTTTCATTTTTTCTGCTATGCTCAGCTAATTTTTATATTTTTTGTGGAGATGAGGTCTCACTATGTTGCCTAGGCTGGTCTCAAACTCCTGAGCTCAAGCGATCCACTCACCTTGGCCTCCCAAAGTGCTGGGATTACAGGCGTGCACCACCGCACCCAGCCACTATATTTAGTTTTATTTAAGGGTCACTATCTTCTGATTTGCAGTGTAAGCATTTTTTATTTGTGACTGATTTTGAATATTGCATATATGAAGAAACATGCATCAATGTAATTATGTTTTCAGTGTGATTCACTTCCAATAAGATCACCTCATGAAATTCAAAGGAAAATAGGAATTCCTTATAAACTACTTTTTTTTATTGTTTCATTCTATTAGAAATAGCTGTAGTCCAAAATCATGAAATATATTGCAGTCAAGGAAATAAATTTTGTGATTGACTTAGTCTTGGGATTAGTGTTTAAATAACTATATAAAATGAAGACCTTTTTAGTTGATATTCTAGCCTTCTTATTTTACATTTGTATTTCAGTAGTTTACTTTTGAAAACTGGGTGTACAAAAGCCCCCTCTTTGAACCAAGAATACCTTGTGGATCAGCAATTCTTGCTTCCCTCCTGTTTGGCTCAGGGATCAGCAGCCAGGAGGATATTTCTCAGAGGCTGCTAGGTCTGTTTGTCCTTGTCTCAGAAAATAGACACTCTGCTTATTTTGGTTATCATACTCTGCCTGCTATCACACAGAGTAAGGCTATAGGATAGGACAGAAATTTTTTTTGTTTTATTCCTATGGAAAGAATATCTTTTTTTTCCTCAAAAGTTTTGATTTTAGTGTTGATGTCAGAGCTGTTTACTTTAGGGAACATTGATTAAAGACTGTTCGGAAGAATTTGAAAATGAAGATATGGATGAAGTATGAGGGTTTTGTTTGGGATAAACTAGCACATGGATTCTCTCCTCTTTCTTATCGATGTAGAGACCATTGGGTTGTGCATTATATTTGAATCCTAAACTTCTGAATTTTCAGCCAGGGGTGGTAGTGATCTGGTAAGAGAAGAGGATTACTTTCAGGGCGTGATTATTTAACAATACATGGATAGGATGACTGGTGAATGAAAATAAAAAAGCACATCTCACAAACAAAATCCAAACAAAACACAACAAACTTATTACATATAGTTATAATTAATTTCCATATAAAAGAAGCACTTAGAAGACGCCGCCCACTTCCTTTGAAAGCTGTTCAGTGGAAAGTAATCTGATCATGACAATACTTTCTTGGGGGGCCCCTGATATTTAGTATTCTGAAATTGGATAGGAAACTGTTTTCTTATTTGCATCCTTGTTCTTAAAAGCTTTCTTTTGGATTTTAGGCAATGCAGTATGGCTTCCTTAATTTCAACTCATTTAACCTTGATGAATATGAACACTATGAAGTAAGTCTTCAAGGATCATGTTTTCAACTCTTCCTCCCCCCGCCCAGCTTTATTGAGGGGAATAATTGACAAATAAAACTTATATATACTTAAGATGTACAAAGTAATGTTTTGATATATGTATACACCATGAAATGATTACCTAATCAAGCTAATTAACATATTCATCACCTCACATAATTTAGTCTTTTGGCGTGTGTGATGAGAATACCTGAGATGTACTCTAGCAGATTTCAAGCATACAGTACACACATTAGATCTCCAGAATTTACTTATCCTCTGATGGTTTGTACTCTGACCAAAATTTCTCTGCCTGTTTTTAATTTTTCTTTTTTTAAATTGAAAAAAAAAGAGAGAGACCAAGTCTCGCTCTGTTACCTAGGCTGAAGTGCAGTGGTATACATGGCTCACTGCAGCCTTGAACTTCTGGGATTAAATGATCCTCTCTCTTCAGCCTCCCAAGTAGCTGGAATCACAGGTATGTACCACCATGCCAGGCTAATTTTTTAATTTTTATTTTTGTAGAGATGGGGTTTCACTTTGTTGCCCAGGCTAGAGTTGAACTCCTGGCCTCAAGCACTTCTCCCACCTTGGCCTCCCAAAGTGCTAGGATCACAGATGTGTGCCACTGTGCACGGCCCTGTTTTTAGCTTTCTTAATCACCCATTTCACTTACAGAAGCAATATTCTTGTTTTGTTTTAGACGTGTATAGAGTGAAAAAAAGTCAAGTCTTCATCTTCTTATCCCTATTTCTCCTGTCCCAATTCTCAGTGGGAATTTCTGCATTTGATGCACAATTCTAGAGTGAATGAGTGTGCCCCGTGTGTTCTTTATACTGTTTAGTTTAAATGTATTTTAGTATTGATGGCTGTCACACAGTGATTGAGATGCTTTTAAAACCCTTAGCATAGAATAAGATGAGATGAATAGTCATTATACACCTAATTATCTCTGGAAAATATCTTTGTTTTTGCCATAACCTTCGGTTTGTCAGGACACTTCTGGTTGCAAGTTACAGAAAGTAAACACAAATAGCTTAAATAAAAAAGGAAAAATCTGCCAGGCGCAGTGGCTCATGCCTGTAATCCTAGCACTTTGGGAGGCCTAGAGGGGCAGATTGCCTGAGCTCAGGAGTTTGAGATCAGCCTGGGCAACATGGTGAAACCTCATCTCTAAAATACAAAAAGTTAGCCAGGCGTGGTGGTGGGCGCCTGTAGTCCCAGCTACTCAGGAGGCTGAGGCAGGAGAATCACTTGAACCCGGGAGGCAGAGGTTGCCGTGAGCCAAGATCACCCCACTGCACTCCAGCCTGGGTGACAGAGCAAGATTCTGTCTCAAAAAAAAGGGAAAAATTTACTGGATTACATAAATTAAAAGTCCAGGAATAGGATTGGCTTCTAGCATGCCCCTTCAGGTGCTCAGACACTTAATCAGAAATTGGACTTGAAGTTAGTTTTATTCTCAGGCCAGCCTTCTCCAGTAGTGATAAAGATGGCCACCAGCAACTTTGACCTGCCAGTTTGGCAAAATGATCAGAAAAGTGTAATCTTAGCTCCATCAGAAGGCCCAGGAATGCCTCTCACTGGCCTGACTTACGTCATGTGCCCATCTCTGCACCAGCCTGTGTTCTTTGGCAGGGCAGGGCTAAGGAATACTCTGGCCAGCCTTAGTTCTCTGGCCATCCCAGGAGCCTGGGGCATAGGGTCAGCCCCATCAAACCAGCCGGACCAAAAAAAAATTTATTTTCTAACAGTTTTATTTTATTTTATTTTTCTTTCTTTCTTTTTTAGAGACAGGGTCTCACTCTGCTGCCCAGGCTGGAGTGCAGTGGTGCGATCTTGGCTCACTGCATTCTCTCTCCCAGGTTCAAGTGATCCTCCCACCTCAGCCTCCCAGTAACGGGGACTACAGGCACGTGCCACCATGCCCAGCTAATTTTGTAATTTTTTTGTAGAGATGGGATTTCGCCATGTTTCCCAGCCTGGTCACAAACTCCTGCACTCAAGGGATCTACCTGCCTCAGTCTCCCAAAGTGCTGGGATTACAGATGTAAGCCACGGCACCCAACCACACAAAATTTCTTAAAAACATAGGACAGGGCCAGGGAGAGATAAGCCAGGCAAAACCACAGGTGTGTTCTATGTTTTTTAACATAGTATATATATTTTAAAAAGAATAAATAATTTGATTCTACAGCTTTATCCTCCAAATAGGGAATGAGTAAGATACTGTGCTAAAGCCCTTTTCAGCCCAGAGTAGTTGTAGCCTCCTGTCTTCTTACCCTGCTGTAGTTACCTTGAGCAGACTTGCTCCCCAGCACTGGGGAGATGATTCCTCAAACAGCAGCACTTCATGTGGCAGCATCTTGAATCCTCAGAGAATTCTTTTTCACAACGTCCAAAGTAAATATTATTTCAAACTCTTACGTTTAACTGAACTGTTTTTTCAATTTCAGTTAATAATGACACTCAGTTGTTTCTGTGATGTACCAAAGATGTAAGAATACATTGTAGGATTCATTAGGGCCAACCCTGTCTTTACTTCTCTGATAGCAGTCCATTTCTAAAGTACAACGTACATTTAACTAGCACCTTAAACTTACAGAATATAGCTAAGTTATTAACACCTTTTTTGCGCTTGTCCTTAAAACATTAAACATTTGAAACAAGTTACTTTGTCTATGTAAGCAAAACTGCTAAAAACACTAGTTGGTATTTGTTCCTTTTGTAGTGATGCCTTTGTGTGCTATTAATGAATAATATAGGCACTAAGTAACTCCCCTGTTACTACTGTAGAGATTGGAGGGTCTGGGCTGGGGGGTAGCAGGGGCACACCACAAACGTCTTCACCTCCATGAAGCTGTGTGGTGACACAGGGAACTGTTTAGGTTCCCACACACCAGTTCAGTTATTATAGTGTATTTAGAAATTTGGGGATAGTGTCATTCATTGATTCTACAATGCCCATTTTTTCCTATTTCAGCTCCTCTGAATTCAGGATGTATCTTAATTAATGGCATCAGCAATTCAGTGAAATCTAGTTGTTGCCAACAACTGATCACGGGTTTGTTATTTAAAAGTCCAGATTTCTGATTTCACTTTAAAATCAGAATATCTGGCAACAGCTGCCCTCATTCCTGCTTTGACCTTTCCTTTTCTTTTTATTTAAAGAGAGAGGGTCTCACTGTGTTGCCCTGGCTGGACTCAAATTCCTGGGCTTAAGTGATCCTTCTGCCTCAGCCTCCCAAGTAGCTAGGACTACAGGTGCATGCCACTGCACCCGGCTGTTTAGACCTTTGTATTATGGAACATGGGCTGACTGATTCCCCATGTTGATCATTAAGTCCAGTAAACTGGTTTGGGATTACCTGCTTGGTCCCTGTAGATATTCAAGAAACTCTGTTATTTTTTACTCATTTTTAGGTACACGTAGAAACACCCCAATTTCAAAGCTAATTTATCTGTTGTTTTTAATCACGAGTCCTCTCCTTCTGCACTATCAAGTGTCTTCTACTTCCTGCTTAAGTCTCTGTTGTCCATTTCATTAAGACAGAAGTTTCTATTATTGTTAAATTTGAACTGTATCTATGTTATAATAGTAATGGTAACTCAATCCAAAGGACCTAATAACAGGAAGTAACATGTCTTACATATCAGTTTATATTTGTTTTTTTGTAGGGACATACTGTGATCTTGGTATACTTGTAATTTTTTAGTTTCCTGGTCGGTTCAGTGCATTTATTTATTTATTTTTTTAATTTTTGTTTTTTGAGACAGAGTTTCGCTCTTGTTGCCCAGGCTGGAGTGCAATGGCACAATCTCGGCTCACTACAACTTCCGCCTCCTGGGTTCAAGCAATTCTCCTGCCTCAGCCTCCCGAGTAGCTGGGATTACAGGCATGCGCCACCATGCCTGGCTAATTTTGTAGTTTTTAGTAGAGGCAGGATTTCTCCATGTTGGTCAGGCTGATCACGAACAAATGAACTTTTTAAATTGGTTGCCTTATTAAATAGTTAGGAAGATAGTGGAAAGATATATCTCTGTAAGTAGGTAAGTAAGTAAATATTGGGAAGCCAGAAACCTAAGTAGATAGTTTTTCCCCCTTTATTCGTGGAGTCAAGATTGCTCATGTTGGAAGCCAGTTAGTCATTCAGGAAAACAGGGAAGTTCCCAGATTCCTTATACTGGAAAAGTTTGCTTGCTTTCTTATTAATTAGCAGCAACTATAATGAGAATTGATTCAGATAAAATAACCAAATAGTATATTTGTATGGCAGCAGTCAGCTCTGTATTCCAAGGGCTGATACCCTAGCAATGAAACACTGTTAAAAGAAGATGATTAGGAACAGGATATACGTCCATTCCCTAGATATACTTATAGCAGGGCAAATTGAGATTCCTGTCTCATGGCAATTTGTAAACAGCTTTTCCGCTAAAGCAAATGAGTTTGAAGTCCTTCAGAGACTCAGTCTTGAGTAGAGAGGTTGTGGGGAGAATACATTTAAAAACGAATTGTGCTGGTCTTCCCCTTGCAGAAAGCAGAAAATGGAGATTTAAATTGGATAATACCAGACCGATTTATTGCCTTCTGTGGACCTCATTCAAGAGCCAGACTTGAAAGTGGTATGTGAAATTATGGCATTAATCTCATTTTGTTATTGAAAATATCTATCCTATATTTTCTTTTGAAAGAGTTACACCAAGCTTGACCAAGTGTTAATTATTATTTAAGCATACTTGGTCACTTCAGTAGATCATTCTGACTGGATTTTAACTTTCTTTTCTTTTGTTTTTTACAGTTATAATCAAATTGGTATTTAATTCCCAGTCCAGATACTGTTTCCGTTCAGTTACAGGTGAAACTATTAGCCATTGTTTTCTTTATGTGTTTTATAAGATCTGGTGCATTTCTTTATGTAGGTTACCACCAACATTCTCCTGAGACTTATATTCAATATTTTAAGAATCACAATGTTACTACCATTATTCGTCTGAATAAAAGGATGTATGATGCCAAACGCTTTACGGATGCTGGCTTCGATCACCATGATCTTTTCTTTGCGGATGGCAGCACCCCTACTGATGCCATTGTCAAAGAATTCCTAGATATCTGTGAAAATGCTGAGGGTGCCATTGCAGTACATTGCAAAGGTATGTTTCTAGGGGTGGTTAAAGAATAGTATACAGTATGAGTATATGAATATGTAGAAACAGACCATATTCATTTAGTTTATGTGTCAGAACATGAAACTGCCTTTATTTTTAGAGTGCCGTGAAACCTTTGATTTCAGATGAAAAGTATAGTAACTTATTTTCATAAGTAATTCTACAAATACATCACATTGAAATGCATTTATTTATTCATCAAATATTTATTGGGTGCATCCTATATAATTCTAGGATACATCAATGAGTAGCGTAGACTGTAAGAGCCTGTCTTAATGGAAACTATATTCTTAACAAGTTGCTCTGTTTTCAGCAATTGTAACAGTGCCTGGCACTTAATAGATATTTTTTGAATAAATGAATGACTATACAATAATAAATGGTATGAAGATAGTAGGATTTATTTAACTCTCTTGTTAGTTAATTAAGAAACAAGAAATATAGTTTTGTTACAAAAATCCAATATTGGAAAAAAAGCTCAGCAAGCCTTGGGGAAAGGGGGAGACTGATCTCCAGAGTTACTGCTGTATTTGTAGTTTTAAATATAATGGCAAAACATCACATTTCAGTTTTTATTGAAAAATTACATGGCATACAAAGAAACAGGAAAGTATAGCCTATTCAAAGGGAAGAAATAAATCCAGGCCGGGCATGGTGGCTCACGCCTATAATCCCAGCACTTTGGGAGGCCATGGCGGGCGGATCGCCTGAGGTCAGGAGTTTGAGACCAGCCTGGCCAAAATAGTGAAACCCTGTCTCTACTAAAAATACAAAAAAATTAGCTGGGTGTGGTGACGGATACCTGTAATCCCAGCTACTTTGGAGGCTGAGGCACAAAAATCACTTGAACCCGGAAGGCAGAGGTTGCAATGAGCTGAGATCATGCCACTGCACTCCAGCCTGGCCAATAGACAGAACAAAAAAAAGAAGAAGAAATAAATCCACAGAAGCTATCCCTGAGAAAGATCAAATTGTGGACTTAGTAGGCAAAAAATTTTAAATAACCATCTTAAAGATACCCAAGAGTTAAAAGAATATGTGGGAAAAGTCAAGGAAACGATTTATGAAGAAATACTAATATCAGTTATAAAAAGAACACATAAAAGGGAACCAAAAGGAAATTCTGGAAATGTACTAAAACTGAGATGAAAAATTCACTGGAGGGATTCAAAAGCATATTTGAGCAGGCAGAAGAATCAGTGCGTGTGAAGCTAGAATCATTAAAGAATTAGCAAGTCTGAGGAACAGAAAGAATAAAGAGCATAACATAAATGAACAGAATTTAAGGGATCCCTGAGACACACCCAAGTAGACCAAGATACAGATCGTGGGAGTTCCAGAGGGAGAAGAGAAGTAAAGGAGCAGACAGATGATTTGGCTGAAAACTCCCCAGATTTGATATATGCAGGAATATCCAAGAAGCTCAACAAACTCCAAGCAGGATAAACTCAGAGGCCCATGTGAACATGCATTATAATCAAGCTATAATGCCACAGACAGTCTTGAAAGCAGCAAGAGAGAAGTGACCTACCACATACAGGGGATACCACTGAGATTGTCAGCAGATCTCTCATCAGAAACATTGCAGGCCAGAAGGCAGTGGGTTGATATATTCAAAATGCATAAGTGAGGGAAAACCTGTTAAGAATTCTACATCTGGCAAAACTCCTTCAAAAATAATGGAAAAATTAAGACTTTGCCCAGGCAATCAGTTTGCCTTTCTGATAAAGGCAAATACATGGACCATTATAAAAGCTAGTATTATCGTAACGAGATAATTTGTAAAATATTATTACTGTAACTTGTAAATATTGTAACTTGCAAAAAACAAATAGAAAATCTGAATAGACCCCTAACTAGTAAGGGGATTAAGTAGTCCAAAGCCTCCTGACAAAGCAAAACCTTGGATATAATAACATCGCCAGTAAATTCTACCAAACACTTAAAAGGGAGTTTTTAATCACTAGATCTGACTTGCAAGAAACTCTAAAGGGGGAGTCTTTTAGGTTGAAATGAAGGCACACTAGACAGTAACACACAGCCATTTGAGAAGAGGAAATAAAGATTTCTGATAAAGGCAAATACAAGGACCACTATAAAAGCTAGTTTTATTGTAACAAGATAATTTGTAAAATATTATTACTGTAACTTGTTATTGTAACTTGCAAATATTATAATATGTAAATTATTGTAATTTGTAAAATAATTTGTCGTTTGCAAGTAGTATAATTTTTGTGTATTATTATATACAAAAATTGCAAGTAGTATATTATTGTAATTTATAAAATAGAGAGTAGAAAACCAATAGAGAAAATGAACAAAACCAAGGGTTGGTTCTTTAAGAAGAATAACAAAAATGATAAACCTTTAGCTAGAATGATGAAGTATAAAAGGAAGAAGACTCAAATTACTAAAATTAGAAATGAAAATGGCATTACCACTGATACTACAGAAATAAAGCTGATCAGTACGTAAAAATGATCAGTATTGTAGGACAACAAATTGGATAGTCTACATGAAATGGACAAATTCCTAGAAAAACAAAACACCAGAACTAAATCATAAAGAAATAGAAAATCTGAACAGACCCCTAACTAATAAGGAGATTAAGTAATCCAAAACCTCCTGAGAAAGCAAAACCCTGGACATGATAGCATCACCAGTAAATTCTACCAAACACTTAAAAAACTAAAACCAGTCCTTCTCAAACTCTTCTGAAAATTTGAGGAAAAAGGAACACTTTCTAACTCAATAAGGTCAGCATTACCCTGATACCAAAAACAAAAAGACACTATAAGATAACTAACTATAGGCCAGTATCCCTTACGAACATCGATGTGAAAACCTTGAACAAAATACTAGCCAATGGAATTCAGCAGCATATTTAAAAGGATTGTGTGCCATGACCAAGTAGGATTTATCCCATGATTACAAGAGTGGTTCAACATATGAAAATCAATCAGTGTGATATACCACGTTAAGGACAAAAACCATACGATCATCTCTGCACAAAAAGCGTCTGACAAAAGTCATTACCCTTTTGTGATAAAAACACAGTACAAACTAGGTATAGAAGGAGATTACCTCAACATAAGAACCGTATGTGAAAAGCCCACAGCTAACATCATACTCAATGGTGAAAGACTGAAAGCTTTTCCTCTAAGCTCATGAAGAAGACAAGGAGGCTTGGTTTTGTGGCTTCTATTTAACATGGTAATGGAAGTTCTAGCCAAAGGAAGTAAGCAAAAAAAAAAAAAATCGAAATTAGACAGGGGGAAGTAAAATTATCTTTTTGCAGATGATATGACTTATATGTATTATAGAAAACCCTGGGCCAGGTGCAATGGCTCTTGGCTGTAATCCTAGCACTTTGGGAGGCCGAGGTGGGTAGATTGCCTGAGCTCAGAAGTTTGAGACCAGCCTGGGCAACACGGTGAAACCCCGCCTCTACTAAAATACCAAAAAAAAAAAAAAAAAAAATTAGCCGGGCGTGGCGCATGCTAAGGCAGGAGAATTGCGTGAATCTGGGAGGTGGAGGTTGCAGTGAGCTGAGATCTCGCCACTGCACTCCAGCCTGGGGGACAGAGCAAGACTCTGTCTCCAAAAAAAAAAAAACAGAGAGAGAACCCTCAAGATTACGCACACACACACAGAGCCCCTGCTAGAATTAATAAATGAGTTCAGCAAAGAAGTAGCAGCATATACAATCAACAGGCAAAAATCCCTTGTTTCTAAGCCCTGACAATAAAAATATAAAAAAGAAACTAAGAATACAGTTTCATTTATAATAGCATCAAGAAGAATCAAATATTGGGGAATTAACCAAGGAGATGAAAGATTTGTATAAAACATTTTTGAGGAAAATTAAAGAAGATGTAATTAAATGTAATGACATCACATTTGTGCACTGGGTGACTTAATATTGTTAACATGTCAGTATTGCCCGAAGGGATATACAGATTCAATGCAAGCCTGTCAAAATTTCAACATTTCTTGCAAAAATAGAAAAATGATTCTGAAATTCATTTGGAATCTCAAGGGATGCCAAATGGCCAAAACAATCTTGAGAAAGAATAAAAAGGTTGGAGGACTCACTTCCTGGTTTAAAACTTCATACAGGCTGGGCATGGTAGCTTAACACCTGTAATCCCAGTACTTTGGGAGGCTGAGACAGAAGGATTGCTTGAGCCCAGGAGTTTAAGACCACCCTGGACAGCATGGCAAAACCCCATCTCTACTAAAAAATACAAAAATTAACTGGGTGTGGTGGTGTTTACCTGTAGTCCCAGCTACTCGGGAAGCTTAGATAGCAGGATCCCTTGAACCTGCGAGGTTGAGGCGGCAGTGAGCCATGATTGTGCCATTGCATTCCAGCCTGGGTGACGTAGTGAGATCCCGTCTCAAAAAAAAAAAAAAAAAAAGGCTTAGTACAAAGCTACATCAATCAAGATTGTGTGGTACTGGCATAAAGACAGATACATAGACCAGTGATAGGATAGAGAGCTCAGAAATAAATCCTTGTGTATATGGTCAAATGACATTCAAGAAGGATACAGAAACCACTCAATGGGGAAAGGACAGTCTTTTCAACAAATGGTGCTGGGAAAACCTGATATCCACATGTAAAAGAATGAAATTGGGCCCTTACATAACACCATATACAAAAATTAAAATGGATCAAGGACCTAAATATAGGACTTAAAACTATAAAACTCTTAGAGGAAAACAGAGGGTGAAAACTTCATGACATTAGATTTGGCAGTAATATGACACCAAAGGCACTGACAATGAAAGAACAGACAAATCGGACTATATAAAATTTTAAAACTTTTGTGCATCAAAGTATACTATCAGCAGAGTAACAAGGTAACCCATGGATTGGGAGAAAATATTTGCAAATCACTTCTGATAAGGGATTAACATCCAGAAGATATAGAGAAAACGCCTAAAAACAACAACAAAACCCAGTTCATAAATGGGAAGAGGACTTGAATACACCTTTCTCCAAAGATATAAAATGGCCAGTGAGCACAAGTAAAGTTCTCAGCATTTTTGACTTATAGGGAAAGTCAAATCACAACCACAGTGAGATACCACTTTATACCCATTGGGATGGCTGTTATCTAAAAGAACAAAAACATCACCACCAGAAAATTACAAGTGTGGAGATGTGGAGAAAATTAGAAGCCTTGTGTACTGCTAGTGGGAGTATAAAACAATGCAGCTGCTATGGAAAATGGTGTGGCAGTTCCTGAAAAAATTAACGTCATTCAGCAGTTCCATCTCTGGTTATATGCTCAGAAACAATTGACAGCAGGGATATGAACAGATATTTTTACACCCATGTTGTAGCAGCATTCTTCTTCTTCTTCTTTTTTTTTCTTTTTTTTGAGATGGACTTTCACTCTGTTTCCCAGACTAGAGTGCTGTGGTGCAATCTTGGCTCACTGCAACCTCTGCCACCTGGGTTCAAGTGATTCTCCTGCCTCAGCCTCCAGAGTAGCTGGGATGACAGGCACGCACCATGACATCCAGCTAATTTTTGTATTTTTAGTAGAAACAGGGTTTCACCATGTTGGCCAGGCTGGTCTCGAACTCCTGACCTCAAGTAGTCCACCCGCCTTGGCCTCCCAAAGTTCTGAGATTACAGGTGTGAGCCACCACGCCCGGCCAGCAGCATTACTCTGAATAGCCAAAAGGTGGAAGCAATCCAGGTTTCCATCAGAGGAAGGCTAAAGAAATGGCTAAAGAAAATGTGCTATATCATACAACAGAATATTATGCATCTTTAGAAATGAAGAAAATTCTGACACATGTACTGCCACATGGATGAACCTTAAAGATATTAGGCCAATTTAGGTTTGCCAGTCAGAAAAGGACAGATATTGTATGAATCCAGTTGTATGAGATACTTGGGGTAAGAGAAAGTAGATTGGTGGTTGCCAGGGCCTGAGGGGAGGCAGGGATTGGTAGTTATTGTTTAATGGGTCCAGAGTTGGCTGGGCACGGTGGCTCACGCCTGTAATCCCAGCACTTTGGGAGGCTGAGGTGGGCGGATCACGAGGTCAGGAGATCAAGACCATCCTGGCTAACACGGTGAAACCCCATCTCTACTAAAAATACAAAGAATTAGCCAGGCTTGGTGGTGGGCGCCTGTAGTCCCAGTTACTCGGGAGTCTGAGGCAGGAGAAGGGCGTGAACCCGGGAGGTGGAGCTTGCGGTGAGCTGAGATTGCGCCATTGCACTCCGGCCTGGGCGACAGAGCAAGACTCCATCTCAAAAAAATAAATAAATAAAAATAATAAAAAATAAAAATGGGTCCAGAGTTTCCGTTTTGTAAGATGAAATACGTTCTGAAGATGGATGGTGGTAATGTTTGTACAACAATGTGAATGTACTTAATGCTACTGAGCTGTACACATAAAAAGTGGTTAAAATGATATTCAGAAACTTACACTAAGGAAATACAAGTTTCCGAATTAACCAATACAGAATTTTTTTGTTTTTGTTTTTGAGACGGAGTCTTGCTCTGTCGCCTAGGCTGGAGTGCAGTGGCACGATCTCAGCTCACTGCAACCTCTGCCTCCCAGGTTCACGCCATTCTCCTGCCTCAGCCTCCCCAGTAGCTGGGACTACAGGCGCCCGCCACCGCGCCCGGCTAATTTTTTGTATTTTTACTAGAGACGGGGTTTCACTGTGTTAGCCAGGATGGTCTTGATCTCTTGTGATCCACCTGCCTCGGCCTCCCAAAGTGCTGGGATTACAGGTGTAAGCCACCGCACCCGGCCCCAATACAGAATTTAAAATAACTGTCTTAAACATGTTCAGTGAGCTAAAACAGAATTCAGACAACTAAATGAAATCAGGAAAATGATGCCTGAAGAAAAATGGTAAATTTTATGTATATTTTACTCCAATTTTTAAACATAATTAAAACAAAAGCCAGCATTGCTTATTTCATTTTTTAATTATAAAAAGCAGTTGAAGGAATTCTTCAGCAAGGTCCTTTTGCACCCCAACCCCATCACACACCCGACATTTGGCAACCTGCAGAGACCTTTTTTGGGGGTTGGGTACCACGGGCATCTGGTGGGTAGAGATCAGCGATGCTGCTAAACATCCTACAGCGCACAGGACAGCTCCTCACTATAAATAATTATCCAGCCTCAAATGTTAGTACTGCTGAGGTTGAGATACCCTGAAATAGAATGATGACCAATTAAAAGCCTAGAGAGGATCTTATTTGATTGCATCTTTGTTTAGGGAAGAAAAATGATGACAGTATGAAAATTGGGCTGTACAGTGAAAATTGAGATTCATTAAGAGGTATATTAATCTGCTGGGGCATATCACCAACTGGGTGGCTTAAACAACAGAAGTTAATTCTCTCACAGTTCTGGAGGCTAGAAGTCTAAGGGCAAGGCACTGGCAGGGATGTTTTCTGGGGAGGCCTCTCTCCTCGGCTTGCAGTGCAGATGTCTGTCATCTCTGAGTCTTCTCATGGTTTGCACTTAACTCCTGCCGTCTCTTTCTTTTATTTTTTTGAGATGGAGTCTCGCTCTGTCTCCCAGGCTGGAGTAAAGTGGCGCGATCTCAGCTCACTGCAAGCTCCGCCTCCCGGGTTCACGCCATTCTCCTGCCTCAGCCTCCCGAGTAGCTGGGACTACAGGTGCCTGCCACCACGCCCGGCTAATTTTTTGTATTTTTTAGTAGAGACAGGGTTTCACTGTGTTAGCCAGGATGGTCTCAATCTCCTGACCTCATGATCTGCCCTCCTCGGCCTCCCAAACTGCTGGGATTACAGGTGTGAGCCACCGCACCCGGCCTATCTCTTTTTTTTCTTAGAAGTACAACAGTCCTATTGGATTAGGGCCCCACTCTGTGACCTTATTTATTTCCGTAAAGGCCTTATCTGCAAATACAGTTGTATTGGGACTTAGAACAATATATGGATTTGGGTTAGGGGGGACACAATTCAGTTCATTATATTCTGCCATCTGGCCCCCCTCAAATTTATGTCCCTTCACTTCAAAAATACATTCACCCCATCTCAACAGTTCTGAACATCTCAATTCATTCCGGCATCAACTCCAAGTTCAGAGTCTCATCTAAATAGCATCCAACTCAGGTATAGGGGAGACTTGAGGTATGATCCATCCTGAGGCATAATTCCTCCCAGCTGTGATGGGATGGTACAGGCACAGGATAGACATTACCATTCCAAAAGGGAGAAACCAGAAGAAAGAGCTTCTAAGCAAGTCCAAAACCTAGCCAGGCAAATCCCATTACATCTTAAGGCTAGAGAATCATCCTCTTTGGCTCCACGCTCTGCCCTCCAGGCCCTCTAGGGTAGTGGCTTTGTCCCTGAGGGCTGTGGTCAGAGGCAGCTGGGTTTGCTGTAACTAATAGAGGTGGCCCTACCCTGTGAAATCAAGGAGTAGGCAGGCCTTCCCTGAGCTTATATACTCTGTGTCTCGGTGGCAGTGGCAGCACTGGGGGTCTCTAAATTGCCCTTGGGATCATCCTTCCTTTTCTTGAAGGACAAAGAATGTTTGCATCCAGGTAGCTCTGCTGTCAGAAGTCCAAAAGCCTTACTTTATTTTATTCCATGTCCATCCCCTTTAGTGCAAGATGCCAGTGTCTCTGCTGGTATAATCCCATCTCTTGTCCTTGCTTCTGCTGAGATGGCTGATTAAGTCTAGGTAATCTCTTTAGAGGGGGAGTGTCCAGCCACACCCTTGACTTTTCTCTCTGTAACACTCTTATTTTTTGCAATATGGATAGCCTGAGAATTTTCTGACTCTAGTTCCTGATTCCCTGTTGCTTAACAATTTCTTCTTTAATTCGTCTTTTTCCTTTTGCATTTTACAGTAACCAGTAAGGAGAAACCAGGTTGTATCTTCAACACTTTCCTTACAAATCTCCCCTGCTAAATATGCAAGGTTGTCAATCACAAAGCCACTTCTCCATTTCTATGTAGTTGTTACAGTGACCCCTATCTCATGATCCAAATCTGTATTTAGGGTTCTCCAGAAAAACAAGCAGTAGGATTTTTTTTATATGTAGGAGATTTATTAAAAGGAATTGGCTCATGCAAGTATGGATTCTGGTGAGTCCAAAATATGCAGCGTGGGCCAGCAGCCTGGAAACATGGGAGAGTTGATGGTGCAGATGAAAGCCAAAGGCAGTCTCTTGCTCAGGAAAGTCAGGGTTTTTGTTCTGCCCAGGTTTTTCAGCTAATTGGATGGGGCCCATCCACATTATGGAGGGAACTGTGCTTACTGAAAGCTCACCAACTTAAATGTTAATCTCCAAAGATTCATTCCGGATTGACACATAAAATTAACCATCACTGGAGGTAATGATAATAGTCTAGATAAGACAGGCCAGCACCAATAGAGGTTTAAAAAAATCTGAGTGAAAATGGGTATTACAGACCAGAAAACATAATTGGATGTGGGAGTAAGTGCAAAATTACAAGCCTTTGGTTTTGCAAAGATGGTGGTACCGTTTTTCTAAAATGCCCAGGGCAGAAGACACTGCACTTACTGAGAATCATTGCTCAGAAAGTGATTCTCCACCTCGGCTACACATAGAATCATCTGGAAGATTTTAGGAATCTCTGTGTCCAAGCTATGCTGCATACCAGTTAAATCTAAATTCTTGGCGTAAGGCCAGGCGTGGTGGCTCAAGTGTATAATACCAGCATTTTAGGAGGCCAAGGCAGGCGGATCACCTGAGGTGAGGTGAGTTTGAGACCAGCTTGGCCAACATGGTGAAGCCCCGTCTCTACTGAAAATACAGACATTAGCCGGCTGTGGTGGCACATGGCTGTAAATCCCAGCTACTTGGGAGGCTGAGGTAGGAGAATTGCTTGAGCCCAGGAGGTGAAGGTTGCAGTGAGCTGAGATTGCATCATTGCACTCCAGCCTGCTGGGCAACAGAGTGAGACTCCGTCTCAAAAATAAATAGATAAATGAAACAAATAATAAATACATTCCGGATGTGAGACCGGGCATCAGTATTTAAAAACCTCTCTAGGTGATTCCAGAGTGTAACCAGCCTTGAGAACCACTATTGAAAGAAGCAGAGTCATGAGAAGCCTTTTAAAAAAATTCTGCCTGCCCAACAAAATCCTGGAGTACATCAGCCCAAGTTTCATTTCTGTGCTTCTTTATTTTCCTAGCTGGCCTTGGTCGCACGGGCACTCTGATAGCCTGCTACATCATGAAGCATTACAGGATGACAGCAGCCGAGACCATTGCGTGGGTCAGGATCTGCAGACCTGGCTCGGTGATTGGGCCTCAGCAGCAGTTTTTGGTGATGTAAGTAGTAGCCTACGTCTGTAGTTCCCAGGGAACATGTGGGGTTGGAATCTGATGGGGAGTGGAATTTCCTTTAGTTTCCAACAACAACAGATAATCTGGTAGGAAGAAGTTGTTCATGTATCTTTCTGGAAAGCTCTATTTTGATGTTATTTAAATGCTCTAGGAAGCAAACCAACCTCTGGCTGGAAGGGGACTATTTTCGTCAGAAGTTAAAGGGGCAGGAGAATGGACAACACAGAGCAGCCTTCTCCAAACTTCTCTCTGGCGTTGATGACATTTCCATAAATGGGGTCGAGAATCAAGATCAGCAAGAACCCGAACCGGTAATCAAGCCGTTTCTGTTGCGATGTTGTTACTGCTTTAACTGCTATTGAGAACCTGTCAGGGTATGGAGAAAACCGTAGGTAAAATAATAAAGCAGCTCTTGGATGATTGTCAGTTTTTTATATTTATAACCCTCTCTAGGCACTTTTTACCCAAAATAGTGGAAACAAGGTTGTGTGTCCATAAAACTATGTTTTACTTACTCAGCAGGTGCATAAAAGGTTGTGAAGTGAGCTCTTCAGCCAGATCTACCCCTGCCCCTCACCCCTTTTTGCCATTTCACAACAGCTGATTTAGGAAAGCAATCATTCTCAAATAGAGAGCTTTTAACAAATCAAAGGCTTAGGGGGTAGCAGTACTACTACATTAAGTGGTAGTAAGTACACTGAGATTTTAAAAAGAGCGTTTTCAAACTTGAAAGCCCATTAACCCTCTTCACTGTTGATGTGTTTTCTAACAAGAGTGCTGCTGTGTTGTCTCTGAAAGTCAACTTTGGCTGTCTTAAAATGTCACCTGAAGCTTGATTGTGAAAGGGAAAAATATTCTAGAGCTTGCAGAAACTTGGACTGTGTTCATGTGGATAAATTGCTGCTCTGCTGTACTGCATTAATAAGTGCAACTTAAATCATTAGCTCAGTGTTTTTTTACTTACACAGTACAGTGATGATGACGAAATCAATGGAGTGACACAAGGTGATAGACTTCGGGCCTTGAAAAGCAGAAGACAATCCAAAACAAACGCTATTCCTCTCACGTGAGTCTGGGTTCCTTTGTTGTGGTTGATGTTTCTTCATATGTGTGTGGGGTCCTTGGTGAGGGTTTTTCCTGTACATTTTTCTCCATAGTTGCAAGCCCATGATGCCACTTTGAAATGCTTGCCTATGTTATTTAAAACCTAGGGGTGCTGGCCTTGGAAGCTCTCAGCTGTCCCTTGTTTACCTTGGTCCTCATGAGCCTTTATGGGTGGGAAGGCGACATCAGGGATACTTTTTCTCCATGAATAATCAGCATGGGGCATCCTCAGGAGCGCGACAGCAGATGTAAAGCCCAGGATGCCAGACTTGTCCATAGTTACTAAAGTGGTGTATTTCTTTACATTTGCCATGTTGCAGATCATTTGTTTTGATAAGCATGACATGATGGCTTAATGACATTATGTTGTTTTGGGGCAACAATGAACTGGTCTAAACTATATTTTGGGTTTTTCGTTTGTTTCTTTGGGGAATGATTTTCTAATTATAGAGGAAGATTTAGCCTGAGAATAGGAAATGTTGTAGTACTGAGTGTATGTATGTCTATGTGTACATTCTTGTGAATGTGTGTTAGTTGGGATTCAACCTGATGGAGCATCCAAGATTGTTAGAAAAATATGCAGAAGCAAAGTACATGACCATGGTATTTTTTGTAGGCTGTTCTTTAGTAAATGCTCCCACTTGTTGCCATTGGATTTCTTCCTTCTAGTTACTTCCTTTTTCATTGTGGGACACCAGATTTCCAGCCTTCTTTTTTGCGGGGAGGGAGTGTGATGGACATAGATCATTTATTCAGTAAGCATCTTGTAATATGGTAAGGAAGTATGATATAATATACCATTTATATTGGCAGAGAACAGGTTTTCTTTTCAATTAAAAGTAATTCCTCACTAGTGTCTCGTCATAAAAATTCTGAAGTAGAATTACACCTAAGGCATGTGTCATTATGGGTTGCTCCCCTGGGAGGTTCTTCTTAAAAGACCCAAGGCAAAGAATTGAGTTTTACAATATGCAGTGTTATGTGAATGAATGTAGGGCATCCATTTTGATTATAGGCATTTATTAAGCATTTCTTTTGCAACTTAGTGGTACTTTAGTCAACTATACTTTTTTAAAAATGGTGCCTTTTGGCCAGGTGTGGTGGCTCATGCCTGTAATCCCAGCACTTTGGGAGGCCAAGGTGGGCAGATCACCTGAGGTCAGGAGTTCAAGACCAGCCTGGCCAATATGGTGAAACCCCGTCTCTACAAAAATACAAAAACTAGCCGGGCATGATGGTGGGAGCTGTAGGCATTATAGGATCCCAGCTACTCGGGAGGGTGAGGCAGGAGGATCGCTTGAACCCGGGAGGCAGAGATTGCATTGAGCCGAGATCGTGCCATTGCACTCCAGCCTGGGTGACAGAGTGAGACTCTATCTCAAAAAACAAACAAACAAACAAAAATAGTGCCTTTGTATAATTTACTTAACTCCAAATGCCATTTTGTTTTTAATTTCCTTATTAAAAGTCTTCACCTAAGGCCTTAATGGTTTTTCTTTGGAAGTATTATGGTGGCTCCAGGTAATCATCCAGATACTAATTCTGGATGTGGTGGAGGAGGCAGGCAGCACCCTCGAGCAGTGCTTCTCAGACTTCAGTGTGCAGGAGGCACCCGGGCGCTTGTTGAAATATGGGTTATGATTGGTGGGGTGGGGGTGGGGCCCAAGAGTTCACATTTCTATCCGAGGCTGCTGGTCCAGGGACCACACATTGAATTGCAAGCCCTAGGAAACTGATGCTTTTGTGGGTTGATTTTAGCTGTGTCTGGGATTTTTTGTTTTGTTTTTCAGAATCAGCATCATCAGTTTATGTTTTAATATTTTGTTGCCTGCTGTTCAAAAGTCAAGTTGAGAGTCAGGGGATACAAATCCTGCTTAGTCAAAAGTTTTTGTTAAATAGGAAATTTCCTTTAGTCACCCTCTGAATCTGCTACTCTCATTAACGTGAGTTCAAATCTAGCTGGGCGTGGCTGTGCGCACCTGTAGACCAGGCTATGCGGGAGGCTGAGGCAACAGGACTACTTGAGCCCAGGAGTCTGAGGCTGCAGTGAGCCATGATCACTGCATCCAGCCTGGGTGACAGAGTGAGACCCTGTCTAAATAAATAAGTAAAATCAAGTACAATGGTAAAAGTTAAAAAACAAAGAGGTAGCTCAGGATTCCTTTTGGTAATATCCCAAAAACAATATATATAAATAGCCCCACATAACACAAATAACAAAGTTTTAGGCCACACTTTTAAAGAAGAAAGCGAAATGCTAGTTTTTCTAAGCTCTGAGTTATGTGTATAGACCCGAGGGGATTTTTGATGAGTCTCAGCAAATCTCCTTCCTCCTCCCTTACAACATTTTGCTTATCCCCGTCTCTGCTTTTTCAAACCCTCTCTGCTATTATTTGCAGTTTTTTGGCCCTAGAAAAGATCAATTGAAGATTTTCTTTCTTTCCCTCTTGTGTCTATGTTGTTATTTTAGGAATAGAAGTCCCTGAGGGACTGTTCTCAACAGTTGCTTGGGTTGAAAAATACAAAATCAATTTCTTCATCCAAGTTTGACTCATTGATTTCTGTGAGCAAGTTATTTTGCTTTAGCATTGGCACTTAGCCTTATGAAAATACAGTACATGCAAGAAGGAAAGTTAGTGAGAAATACACAAGTACTAGTGATTCTTAGGAGAAGGTTATAGTACATAAAATATTATTCCAATGATTGGTTTCTCTTTTTTTTTTTTTTTTTTTTTTTAAGACAGAGTCTTGCTCTGTTGGCCGGGCTGGAGTGCAATGGTGTGCCCTCGGCTCACTGCAACCTCTGCCTCCCAGGTTCAAGTGATTCTGCTGCCTGAGCCTCCGGAGTATCTGGGATTATGCACCACCACACCCAGCTAATTTTTTGTATTTTTAGTAGAGACAAGGTTTCACCATGTTGGCCAGGCTGGTCTCGAAATCCTGACCTCAAGTGGTACACCCACCTCAGCCTCCCAAAGTGCTAGGATTACAGGCATGAACCACCGGCGCCTGGCCGGTTTCTCTTTTATAAATGGTCAGTTTTGGGGGAGAGTTTAAGTTTTTAGTGATTATAAAATGGCCATTTGCTCAGCCTGTCTGATCCTGACTACAATGATGACAGGAAACCATGTGGCACCATGACATTGAGCTGATCTTCAGGACGTGATGACAAGTATATTGTCTGTGCTAAAATGGATTTGGTAGATTGCATAACTTGAGCCATGAGGCCTGTCGTTCTGCATACTGATGGTTTTGGTAGGTTTGGAGATGAGTATATCTGTTAGCAATGGAAAATAATTCTTTTTTTATTTTTATTTTTTATTTTTATTTTTGAGACAGAGTATCGCCCTGTCGCCCAGGCTGGAGTAAAGTGGTGCGATCTCGGCTCACTGCAAGCTCCGCCTCCTGGGATCATGCCATTCTCCTGCCTCAGCCTCCCAAGTAGCTGGGAATACAGGCGCCCACCACCACGCCCGGCTAAATTTTTGTATTTTTAGTAGAGACAGGGTTTCACTGTGTTAGCCAGGATGGTCTCGATCTCCTGACCTCGTGATCTGCCCACCTTGGCCTCCCAAAGTGCTGGGATTACAGGTGTGAGCCACTGCACCCGGCCGGAAAATAATTCTTAAGCCATGAGGTTTACTAGAGGAAAAAGTAACCATCTATAATGCTGACACTTGGACATTCGGGCCATTCTGCCTTTAAGGAACTGAAGGTGAAGGCTGGGATCGGTAGAGAGTTCTCTAGGGCTCCCAGACCATTTATTCATTCCATTTAAATATTCACCCCTGTGATCTTTATGTATATTAGTAGCTTGTTTTTTTTGTGGGAAGATTAAATAAGATGGTGTGGGTATAACTTGTGGGGTAAGGTTAGGCTGTATTTCGAGTTCACCCTTTAGTCTAATCCCTTTCCACAATATAGGATGCCTGGCATGTAATTTCTTTTTCCCCGAGACAGAGTCTTGCTTTGTCACCCAGGCTGGGGTACAGTGGCGTAATCTTGGCTCACTGCAACCTCCACCTTATGGGTTCAAGTGATTCTCCTGCCTCAGCCTCCTGAGTAGCTGGGAATACAGGCACACGCCACCACGCCTCGCTAATTTTTGTATTTTTAGTAGAGATGGGGTTTCACCGTGTTGGCCAGGCTGGTCTCAAACTCCTGACCTCGTGATCTGCCCGCCTCAGCCTCCTAAAGTGCTGGGATTACAGGCGTGAGCCACTGCGCCTGGCCTGACATGTAATTTTTAATGATGACAGTGATGAGGTCAACAATAAAAATGACATGATAAGCCAAATCAGCCATTTCCAAATTGATTAGCAGTACTCTGCACACAGCAGATGCTCAGTAGAGGCTCTAATATTTGGTCACAGATGTATCCAGGTGACCATTTGGAAGTATAGTCATTGGAAAGAGCTTCTGCCCTTCCAAATGGGAGGAGGTTTCCTTCCTCACTGCTAGAACCCAGACCAATGGATTAAGAAACACCAAGCTGAGGCTGGACACAGTGGCTCATGCCTGTAATCCCAGTGCTTTGGGAGTTCAAGGCAGCAGGATCACTTGAGCCCAGGAGTTCGAGACCAGCCTGGCCAACATAGTGAGATTCTGTCTCTACAAAAAAAATAAAAAAAAAAAACTGGGCATGGTGGCATGAACAGGCAGTCTCAGCTGCTACTCAGGAGGCTGATGTGGGAGGATTGCTTGTGCCTAGGAGTTGGAGGTTACAGTGAACTATGATAACGCCACTGCACTCCAGCCTGGGCAACAGAGCAAGACCCCTGTTTCTTTCTTTCTTTCTTCTTCTTTTTTTTTTTTTTTTTTTTTGAGACGGAGTCTTGCTCTGTCGCCCAGGCTGGAGTGCAGTGGCGCAATCTTGGCTCACTGCAAGCTCCACCTCCCAGGTTCATGCCATTCTCCTGCCTCAGCCTCCCGAGTAGCGTGGTGCCTGCCACCACGCCCGGCTAATTTTTTGTATTTTTAGTAGAGACGGGGTTTCACCATGTTAGCCAGGATGGTCTTGATCTCCTGACCTCGTGATCCGCCCGCCTCAGCCTCCCAAAGTGCTGGGATTACAGGTGTGAGCCACCACGCCCGGCCTTTATTTTTTTTTATTTTTTTTATTTTTTGAGACAGAGTCTCGCTCTGTCGGCCAGGCTAGAGTGCAGTGGCATGATCTCGGCTCACTGCAACCTCCGCCTCCCGAGCTCAAGCAATTCTCCTGCCCCAACTTCCCGAGTAGCTGGGATTACAGGCATATGCCACCACGTCTGGCTAATTTTTGTATTTTTTTAGTAGAGACGGGGTTTCACCATGTTGGCCAGGCTGGTCTCGAACTCCTGACCTCAGGTGATCCACCTGCCTCAGCCTCCCAAAGTGCTGGGATTACAGGCATGAGCCACTGCGCCCGGCCGACCCCTGTTTCTTAAAAATAAAAAAGAGGCAGGGTGAGGTCAGGAGTTCAAGACCAGCCTAACCAACATGGAGAAACCCCATCTGTACTAAAAATGCAAAATTAGCTGGGCATGGTGGCACATGCCTGTAATCCCAGTTGCTTGGGAGGCTGAGGCAGAATTGCTTGAACCCGGGAGGGGGAGGTTGCAGTGAGCCGAGATCACACCACTGCACTCCAGCCTGGGCGACAAGAGTGAAACTCCATCTCAAAAAAAATTAAATAAATAAATAATAAAATAGAGCTCAGGTGCGATGGCTCACGCCTATAATCCCAGCATTTTGGGATGCTGAGGCAGGCGGATCACCTGAGATCAGGAGTTTGAGACCAGCCTGGCCAACGTGGTGAAACCCTGTATTAAAAATACAGTACTTAGCCGGGCGTGGTGATGTGCGCCTCTAATCCCAACTACTCAGGAGGCTGCAGTGGGAGAATTGTTTGAACCTGGGAAGCGGAGGTTGCAGTGAGCCAAAATCACGCCATTGCACTCCGGGCTGGGTGACAGAGCAAGACTCCATCTCAAAAAATTATAATAATTAAAAAATAAAAAATAAGAAAGAAACACCAAGCTGAAAGCCAACTAGTATGAGGAAAATGAGTGTGGAAAACAACTAAGAAAAGTCTATAGTATGCATACCTAAGTGAAATTTTGCTCATTTTGTGTTGCCCTGGGTTAAATGTGAACCATATTATAAAAATGTGCCATTCCCTTAGCTTCCTGGATGGCTCAGGAGTTAGTAACTCCCTTGAAGTGAGATCAGTTCTGCTGTATTACGTTCATTTTTAGTTGTGCCTCCTGTGATTTTGTTAACTAGTCTGGGGTTTTGTGTTTTTTTGTTTGTTTGTTTTTGGTTATCTGGTTTTGCCTCCTTTGCCCCTTGTGGTTTGCTTTAGTTTTCTGTGTGTGCACATCTTCTGCTTTTTGAAGAACCTCAATCATTTATCTGTGACTGATTTCAGTATCATAAAGTTAAATTAACATGGGGTAGTTATCTCACTAGTGACTGAGTCCCAAAGTATGAAACCTGTTTAAACACAGCATTTTTTTATTCAACATAAAATGGCAAAACTCCATCCTTGTTGACCACCCCTTTGTATCCCTGTTGCTGTTGGCTGGGCTTTTAGGGTGTCTAAAATTCACATATGGCTTGATTGATTGATGATTGCGTAATTTATTTTGGCTTCCCAATTTGAACATCTGTTCTTTCCCCTTCACCCCTTTCCAGATGTCCCCTAGCTGTGCTGACCTCTGCACTGTGTAGTGTTGTCATCTGGTGGATTGTTTGTGACTACATTCTTCCCATCCTGCTATTCTGTCTCGATGGTTTCAGAACACAGTAGCCATCAGGACCCCCTGACAGATAGCTGCTGTAAGTGTCCCGTTCTGTTTCTCTGCCGTTGCTTACTTCTGGTGCCTAGTGTGGTTCCCACAATGCATGTTTTTCTCCTTGTCAGCTCCTAGCTTTGTTGGTTTGCCTATTTTCAAAGGTTCTTTTTCTGAATCTTTTCAATTAATGGGATGGTGGTGGGGAGGGAAGGTGGGCTTCACTGTTCCTCTCATAGAAAGGATATTGAAAGTAACATACGTTGTTTTAAAGTTATGCTTATCCTTAACATATTTCAAAATAGCAGTTGATAAAGACACTGAAACAGTTTTTCTTCACTGAAACAGTTTTTCTTCCCTATCAAAAGTAGTTAGCTTAGGATAATTGGGGTGGTTTTATTTTCGTCAGTTGGCTATACAATTTCCCTCTAGTTTTCTGTATCTTGAGTATGTCCTTCCCAGTCTAGCAAAGAAGCATTTTTCCCACTGATCTACTTTCATTAAATATGTGATTTTGTAGCCTCGAAATCTGCCATTGTACAGCAGCTCTCTCATAAGTCTTCTCTCTTTAGTGTGCAGAATTTCCTGCTCTGTCTCATTTTCCTCCTCCCCTTTAGGGAATACAGTAAGTACAGTGTGTAGCACTTGATGCTAAATGAAAGTAGGAGGTCGGAGCTGAGGTCGCCTGTTTAAATTGGTGCATTTCCATATGATGGTCATTGTTCCTGCTTTTCTCCTTGCCCAGACATAGCCAGAATGCCTTTAATAGGCTAATAGCAGCAAATCTGTATTCTCTTGAGATCTTTCATCTTTGAAATGAAGACCTTAACAGCGAAGAGGCTTTATTTCTGCAGAAGAATGTACAAGAGGCCCACTTGTGGAACAGCATGTTGAAGACCCCCAGAAGGCGGGTGTGTCCGTGTCACGGGGTCCACCGCCACCCTTCTGTGTCTGAGCTGCGTTCTTCCTTCTCTGAAGCTTTTTCCTTAACTCATATTTTAAGAATTTCTTCTCTTGTCTCCTCTTGGACTTGGAAGTTATGAAAGAATGCAAAAGTTCCTTGCAAGATCTCTTCCAAAGAAAAATTCCATTGCAACCAACTCTGGTACTTTGTGGTTTCACTGAGTATTTTCACATAGCTGAGAAAGATTTAAAAATCAAGCTGATTTCACTCTTCAGAATTAGGCAAAACCTGCTTAACTTGCTCCTATTTATGGCATTTTCTTGAATATCTTACAAATAAAAGCTTATTGTCGCGCATTCAGACCTGCTGTATTTCTGAGATAGATTAACCTTTTGGGTGTTTTCTTCTTTACTTCTCTTAGTCAACTACGATTGCCACATATTCTGACTCAAGAGCATCATGCACTACATAGAGTTATTCTTCTCAAACTGTTCCAAGTGGCAAAGATGTTCTGAATGGGTGGAGCAGTTGCAAATAATGCTTAGGCACTTTGTGGTTGAATGATCATTCCCAGGGTAAGTTTAAACATGGTCTCTATCAGGCTCTCTTCTTTTCAGTATTCCATGTAAACTATACCTTCTGTTGTTATTGGTAATGACGTTTGCCATTGTATTTCTAGACCCAAGCAGAGTATTCAGTTCAGCCTGACTAATTATTTGGAATTTTGAGAAGCAAAAAGCTTGTGACAGTTACAGTGGTGTTAATCAGTATCATCTTTGTAGCACCCCCATGTCTTTCTCTCAAAAGGGTTTTATTTGTAAGGTGGTGACTCCTGAGCTCCACCATCCTCTGTCATCACCACCCACCTCTGCTGGCAGTGGACGCAGGTGGTGTGGCATCGTCTGCTAAGTTGTTTCCAGTGAAAAGCTCCTGTTATGCAGCATGCCTGGAGAATTAGGCCATAACAACACTTCAGGCTTCTGAGTCAGACTCAGAGATAGTGGGAAAGCCTTCTCTGGAGGCTGCAGGGCCTCAGGGTCACCTTTGTGCACGCTCTTGTGGTGTCCGGAGTGGACAGCCAGTATACATAGTGCATAGTTGCCCTGATGGATTTTTTTCTTGGAATTGGACATTTATGTTCGAGACCTGGCTTTTTAGTTTTTGGCTTTGCCGTGTTCCTTGGGTTGCAGATTTCACTATATCTGAAATCTCAGAGTACCGAGGCTCCAAGGATGCTGCAGAGAAGAAGGTGAACTGGAATATAGGCAAGAGGTAGGTAGGATGGAGGATTTTGTCAGGGCAGATGGGAAGGAAGAAAATACATCTGCTGCACACTGCTCTGCAAAGCCATGCTTGGCCTGGGTTGGAAGGCAGAAGGCCGCGAGTGCCCGGGTTCCCTGTGACAGAGGCAACACGTCACCCTCTGGTGCCTGTCAGGTGGTGTGTGCTGTCACTCATGATAGCTCAGTGGAGTTCTCCCCCAACCCCGATTTCATCAGTGCATAACCTGCAGTTAGGATAAATACCGTGTTGTCAGTGCAAATAACTGGAGTCTTCCGTGGTGTGGTTAATACACTCAAGTTCTATCATTCTCTTGGTTTTAAAGTTCCACAGAAATTACTAGCTATTTAATATTATTATTATATTAGTTCACTTTAATTTACACTAATTTTATAGAGAAATAAATACTTTTAAAAAGATGTTTTCCAGCAGCCTGAGAATGACTACAGGATTTAGCAGTAGTGTCTTGTTTTGAATGGCATTTAAACACTTCAGTCATAGTTTTAATTTGAGAAATCAGGATTCAGATTTCCTAAGCAGGCAGTGTATCAGCTCTTGTTTTTTTCTCAGATTAATTATTTTGCAGTGTGATTGTTGTCTGTACTTTTGGCCAACCGTGGCCTCAAATTATTTGAGAATTAGGTGTTGTATTTAAAAAAAAAAAGCCAACAGGAGTCTTGTTTTCTCCGTGCGTAAGGGAGTGGCCGAGGGGAGCGGATGAGAACAGTGGCAGCACGAGTGCCCCGGCCTGGGCTTCAGAAGTAGCAATGAAGCAGCAGCAGTTTGTTTTGTTTTGTTTGGTTTTATGCAAAATTCTATATTCAAATTCTTAGCAGAGATGAATAAATATTTCCCCATCACTTTATATAAACAAATAATTTTTAGGGATGGGCAGACTGGCTCATGCCTATAAATCCCAACACTTTGGAAGGTCGAGGAAAGAGAATCACTGAGGCCAGAATTTTGAGAATAGCCTGGGCAACATAGCGAGACCCCATCTCTATAAAATAAAAAATGAAAAAATTAGCTGGGTGTGGTGGCATGTACCTGTGGTCCCAACTACTCTGGAGGCTGAGGTAGGAGGATCAATTGAGCCCAGGATTTGAGGCTGCTATGATTGCGCCACTGCACTCCAGCCTGGGCAACAGAGTGAGACCCTGTCTCTTAAAAAAAAAAAAAAAAAGAAAAAAAATTTTAAAAACAATTCCTTGTTTTTAGAAGTAGAATTCACAAGCCAGGGTAATAGTTGTCTTTAATCATACAATTAAGATGCATATACACTCTTCTTTTTTTTTTTTATACAAAGTCTCTATCACCTGGCTGGAGATCGGTGACACAAACATGGCTCACTGCAGTCTTGACCTCCCAGGCTCAAGTGATCCTCCTACCTCAACCTCCCAAGTAGCTGGAACCAAGGCACGCCCCACCACGCCCGGCTAATTATTATTATTATTTTATAGAGAGGATGTCTCACTATATTTTAGAATTTGGGCTTCTTAATGGTGTCTTGTTTCATGACTGAAAATCTGAGAAGCTACTTTTACTTTTGGGCATAAAGACTTGTTTGGCTGGTGGATTTCTTTGGTGTGGGAATTGCTTAAAATGTCCAGGCTGGTCTCGAAATTTTGGCCTCAAGTGATCCTCCTGCCTTGGTCTCCCAAAGTGCTGGAATTACAGGCATAAGCCACCGCAACCACCTCCTTTTTCTATTTTGTTAGAACATTCAACATATCAGATGATCACACTCTAGGAGAATTTCTGAACCAAACATTGGCTGATTTATCCAGGATTCATGTCCCTCTGTGAGACAGAAAGCTAGTTTCATGGGGCCCTCAGAAATCCTGCATGAGTAAAGTGAAATAGTGGGGAAAGCTGCCCATCCCCTTCTCCCCAGAAGGCTTGGGACCGCTGGCCCAGACAAGCTCCAGGTTATGCTCTGGTTGCGGAGTCTCGCTCTTTGGCCCAGGCTGGAGTGCAGTGGCACGATCTCGGCTCACTACAACCTCTGCTGCCCAGGTTCAAGCAGTTCTCCTGCCTCAGCCACCTGAGTAGTTGGGATTATAGGCACCTGCCACCACACTCGGCTAATTTTTGTATTTTTAGTAGAGACGGGGTTTCACCATCTTGGCCAGGCTGCTCTTGAACTCCTGACCTCGTGATCCAACCACCTCGGCCTCTCAAAGTGCTAGGATTACAGGTGTGAGCCACCGTGCCCAGCCTCTTGTTGCTTTTTTAGTGATGAGATGTTTAGCATTTTACTAAATGTTGGATATGCTTTGGTTTGGGTCATGCTAAGGTTGTAGAAATTTATTAATCTTAGCCTATTTTAAGGCCCTGTCTTTGGTATATTAGCCAGCATGGTGGTAGCTGAGGCCCGTGAGGTGGGATGCTCACTAATTGTAATGGTTCAACTTTTTACTCCTTTGAGCTGGGTTCTCATAAGTTGTTATTGGCTTTCTCACCTTTATGTTTGAATAGGAGAGAAGAAAGCTTGTTAAGTCAGTATTTTCTCTTTCAGAGAATTAAAAGTTGGTATCTATAAATGTGTGTATATGTGTTTAGTTTGTCATTGATTATCTCTTGAAGAAAAGAATTGCATATAGGCCTGGTGTGGTGGCTCACACCTGTAATCCCAGCACTTTGGGAGTAAGTGAGGTGGGCGAATCACCTGAGATCAGGAGTTCGAGACCAGCTTGGCCAACATGGCAAAGCCTCATCTCTACTAAAAATACAAAAATTAACCAGGTGAGGTGGTGGGCGCCTGCGGTCCCAGCTACTCAGGAGGCTGAGGCAGGAGGATCGCTTGAACCTGGGAGGCAGAGGTTGCAGTGAGTCGAGATCACGCCACTGCACTCCAGCCTGGGCGACAGAGCAAGACTCCATCTCAAAAAAAAAAAAAAAGAATTGCATATAAAATCTTTTGATGTCTTCTGCTGTTTTCCCTATAACAATTTAAAGAGGAAAGAAAAAAAAAAACCAAAGGACCATCTGCCTCTTAAAGGACATTCCGTGTGGCCTTTATCTCAGGATGTTCTTTTCTGATTCATCGTGTGCTTCCTCCTGGGCAGCCTACTCTCATATGCACCAGTTTCTCAAGCTTTTTAGAGTTTAATTAAGGCAAGCTTTACAAAATTTAAGTGTTTTCACTTTCATTTTAGTGGCACTTGGAGATTTAGTAAGTGTTATATATAATTCAGGCAAAACTCATATTTTGCTTAAACACTTTCTAAAATTTTGAAACGTTATATAAAATTAGTATTGATTTAGTGGATTATTACCCATACTTACAGCTTTGAAGAGTGAATATTGTATAGTTATTTCCTAAATTTATGTTCCTATTCTTTAGAATTTGAGCTCTTAATGGTGTCTTGTTTCATGACTGAAAGTCTGAGAAGCTACTTCTACTTTTGTTGGGCACAAAGATTTCTTTAGCTGGTGGATTTCTTTGGTGTGGGAATTGCTTAAAATGCCAAGTCATTCGCCTTCCAGGAGCAAAGCCCTCTGGTTGTCTTTGTGTAACCTTCAAAGAGAAACGAGATGCTTCATTTTAAAAGGCCTTGATGTGAAAATGTGTTTCAGATTTTTTTGGTAAATGTGTTGATGGAAAATCCTCTCAATTCTCAAGATAATTTGCACTAAAGTGCAAAAATACTTTCCTCTGTCAAGTATTTGCAAATGGTTTCAGTGAATATAATCTTATTTTTTTCCAACTATTTTCAGAGTAATTCTTCAATCCAGTGTTCAGAGCTGTAAAACATCTGAACCTAACATTTCTGGCAGTGCAGGCATTACTAAAAGAACCACCAGATCTGCTTCAAGGAAAAGCAGTGTTAAAAGGTGAGAAAAGAATCCTACTCTTCTGAAAAGTTGCAAGCGTTTGTTTTCCAGTTTAATATTTGGACCCTACCTCTGGAGACTGACATGAAATTAGGAGAAAGTAGAGTCTCTGTGATGGGAAATTCATCAAATGTGTATTCCTTGTTCATTATCTAAGAAAATCTGGACCATTTTAATGTAGGCTTTTGTTTTGTTTTTTAGAAGTAATTCTCAACACTGGAAGTATGGTCTCTGGGTCATGATATGGGAAAGTTTTAAGTTAAGAATTTCCAAAGCTGGCTGTCAGGACTTGGAGGACATTTTTCTAGGTGTATATCAGATACAGCATCATTGCTGGACGATTAGCTGCAAATGAATGTGATGGTAGAAATGAGATAACCAGAGAGTTTGAAGATCCTTCTCTACCTAGTGACTCTTTGTCCTCTTGGCCACAGCCCACACCCGAGGCACTAGTTCTTTCACTGTCGTCACTGTCTTCAGTGAGTGTAGGCAGAATTTCACAAGGAAACCAATGTGTTCTGTGGCCACGTCGGTGACTCTGTTGTCTTTGGATATTTCTCATGAAGTGGACATGTCATTTTTAAAGTATTCTGAAAACAGATCCCATCTGAAGAGAGAATAAATAGCCCAGGAGTGGAAGTGGGGATAGATGGCTCAGGAGTAGAAGGGGGCACCTTTTCATCGTTGCCTGGTGTTGGCAGCCCATGCAGTCCTGTTTCTGTCCTCCTGGTAAAAACGATCTCTTCTAATAGACATGAGCGACCTGAAGATAATCAGAACCAGACTTTAAAATGTCCTGCACGTGTACCCTGCTTCTTTTCAGCTTCCCTGCCATGTATATCCGAGGCTTTGGGCCTAGGGGCCTTATCAGTGTGAAATTAGTCCCCAGTGCAAAGCAGCCAGTCTCCCAAGAGACCTTGGCAGAGCTGGGAGTTCTGTGTGCTTTGCCTTTTGAAGACTCATTCAGCTCTGCCATGTCTCCTCTACACTGTTTTGTACAACCTTACTGCACACTTAACACTCGCATGGGGATGCAGCAGTGCCCCGGCATAAGGATTGGAGGACTGTCAGGCACTGACTCATGATTCCAGGATTTAAAATTTTTCATTAGAAATGTACCAAATATTCCTATTTCTTTACTGTTTGATTCTTCTTGAGAAGAATATTAGAGAAATACTGACCAAAGGTCAAAGATTTCGGTACATTGGAACAATAGCGGAGTGTTATTTATAACAGTGAGAAACAGGAAATGGGCTCAAGATTGTTACATTATGCCAAATGAATTGGGAGTCATACATTTAGTTTAGTACACGAAGCAGTAAGTGAAAAGAGCCATGCATAACAATTCTGAAGTATGGGCCGGGTGCGGTGGCTCGCGCCTGTAATCCCAGCACTTTGGGAGGCGGAGGCAGGTGGACCACTTGAGGTCAGGAGTTTGAGACCAGCCTGGCCAACATAGTGAAACCCCGTCTCTACTAAAAATACAAAAATTAGCCAGGTGTGGTGGCAGGCACCTGTGGTCCCAGCTACTCGGGAGGCTGAGGCAGGAGAATCGCTTAAACATGGGAGGCGGAGGTTTCAGTGAGTCATGATCACACCACTGTACTCCAGCCTGGGCGACAGAGTGAGACTCTGTCTCAAAAAAGAAAAAAAAAAAATTCTGAAGTATGACTCTAATTTTGTAAGCGTAAGTATACTATATATGTATAGAAATATAGAGATGTATAAATATTTATATACCTACAATACATCTGTATTTATAGATGAGTAAGTTTCTATATATGCATAGAAATAAGACAGGAAAAATATGCTATGATACTAATAAAAGTTCTGGTTGGTGGGACAGTTGGGATTTTTTTCTTTTTTATCGTCTTATTTTCCAATTTTTCTACAATAAATGAAGGGAAATGGGAGTGTTTTAACTGACACTTTTTGGTGAGCCAAGCTATTAAAAATTCAGGCTGGGCGCGGTGGCTCACGCCTGTAATCCCAGGACTTTGGGAGGCCGAGGCAGGTAGATTATGAGGTCAGGAGTTCAAGACCAGCCTGGCCAAGATGGTGAAACTCTGTCTCTACTAAAAATACAAAAATTAGCTGGGTGCAGTGGCGGGTGCCTGTAATCCCAGCTACTCGGGAGGCTGAGGCTGGAGAATCACTTGAACTTTGGAGGCGGAGGTTGCAGTGAGCTGAGATCGCGCCATTGCACTCTAGCCTGGGCAACAGAGCAAGACTCTGTCTCAAAAAAAAAAAAATCAAATAAAAAGCCTATCGTTGATGACAGTTAATTGTTAATTTTGACATGTCTTGAAGGGGCATATTCTTTTTAGGTATGAGTGCTCAGGCTTTTTTTTTTTTTTTTTTCCTTTGACATGGAGTTGCCCAGGCTGGAGAGCAGTAGTGTTTTCTCGGCTCACTGCAAACTTCGTCTTCCAGGTTCAAACCATTCTCCTGCCTCATCCTCCCGCCTCATCCTCCCAAGTAGCTGGGATTACTACTTGTGGGTGGCATGTGCCACCACACCTGGCTAATTTTTGTATTTTTAGTAGAGACGGGGTTTCACCATTTTGGCCAGGCTGATCTTGAACTCCTGACCTCAAGTGGTCCACCTGCCTCAGCCCCCCAAAGTGCTGGGATTACAGGCGTGAGCCACGGCGCCCGGCCGCTCAGGCTTTTGTTAACAGCGTAGTGTGTCTTGCACATTTAATTCTGCTGTTTGCTTTTTTAGATTATGCTTTTTAGGTTACAGAAGAGTAGAGTCCGGGAGCCTGGCTGGCACTTGCCAGGTCATATCGTCTTCCTGTGAGGAAGGAAGGGCTGGCCTTGCCTCTGTTTTTCTATCTAGGTCTCGTTGCGTTTTCATGTCACTCTAGTAACCTGAACTCCTGCCTCTCTGGAGAAGTGGTTCCTGGTTGCAGCAAGCATCTGCCTCAGGTCCCTGGCAGGGATGCTTTGAGGGTCCTAAGGTAGATTTCAGAGTCAGTAATCTGGACTGAATGTTGAAATGACCCAAAGCAGCTTCCAGGAATTTGGGATAGTTCTGAAAACCAAAAAGACTTCTTTTAAATTCCAAAATGGACTTTCAGAGATGATGTGGAGAGCAAAAGGAGTCTAACAGTGAGGATTAACTGGGACTCACAGTTTATTTCCCCACCTTCCTCTAAGTGGGTTCTTTCTTTGTGCCTCTTTTGGGACTTTGTCCTGTGTTCACATCACCCTACCTGTTATCCACCTACAGCTTACAAAAGAAAGGCAAATTATGTATAGGTTTTAAGAATTGGAGTTAGCCAAGCTGTAGCCTGGAGCTTTTATCCTACTGAATATTATTCATAATATCATACTAAATAGTATTCATTTCTGTTTGGAGGGCAAGAGGGAATTAGTATATTGGTGCACGGTCTGATTCTGGACAAAATAGTATGAGCTAAGATTGTTGAGTAAATTTAAAGTATTGAGTTGAAATCTTTAAACAGCAGTAGAAAAAAAAATAGAGCACCCTTTTGGGGTCCTTTCATCCCTACCTGCAACGTAGCAGGTTTACCAGTTCCTACTGGTTTGTCATCATCTCTGCGGCACATGGGAACTTGACCTTCCATTTTCATGTTCCTTGGCATCCAGGATGAAGACTCCACCCAAACTCGCTTTGCGCTTAATTGGTGCTTTTGATTTTTGGTTTTACTGAGAGGCTCTTCAGCTTTGGGGAACTTTTTCAAAAACGTCAAAAGAGCAATTACTTGGGGCAGCTGAAAAAATAGGAGTGATGTCTTAACTATTTGTCTTTGGGAAAAGGTGCCACTGTTTCTCACAGAAGATGACTATCCCCTCGTGTATCCATTTGAAGCTGTGCCACATCGAAACCTAAATCTCATGTGGCCACAGGTCTGGGACGGCGGCCAGGCAGCCTGTGTGGCCCTCGGTCCTGCCAGGGCTCTGTGTGGCACCTTCTCATTCCCTTCCCTGAGTCTGGAGAGGGAGGTGAGTGGGCTTCTCTACCTCCCACTTCCTGTTAGAGCTATAAATCCATGCTAACCTTTCTCTTTTAAGAATTAATAAATCCAGTGAATAATTGGCTCCGTTGAATCGGCCTGTTTTCAGTGTTCTCACATGACCTCTCTGAAGAGCTCTCTTAGAACAGTCTTGGAAATTTCATCATGCCCCGAGTGAGAGCCTGCAGCCACCTCATTTGCTCGCATTCACTCATGTCTTCACGCAGCCCTTCCGCTGGTGCGTGTTTGTTAGCTTATGCTGTTTCTTTTGGGCAGGCTCTTCTTTTTTTAAAATGATAACTTCATTCATTTTCTAAGAAACTGGCATGTACAAGTTACTTTAATTCTGAGTTGTATCACTAGGAACCATCACTTTCTGCTGCAGCTGCCAAACCAAACCTAAGGTCCGGGGCTCTGGAGTGCTTTGTACCTAATTCTTCATATTGTGGGGGCTGGGGAGAGAAATGCTCAGGTTCTTTCCTTAGCATCTTTTTTTTTTTTTTTTAAATGAGACAGAGTCTCACTCTGTTACCCAGGCTGGAGTGCTGTGGTGCGATCTTGGCTCACTACAACCTCCACCTCCCAGGTTGAAGTGATTCTCCTGCCTCAGCCTCCTGCATAGCTGGGAATACAGGCGTGCATCACCACGCCTGGCTAAAAATTTTCTTCTGTATTTTTAGTAGAGATGAGGTTTCACCATGTTGGCCAGGCTGGTCTTGACTCCTAACCTTAGGTGATCTGCCTGCCTCGGCCTCTCAAAGTGCTGGGATTACAGGTGTGAGCCACGGCGCCCGGCCTCTTTCCTTAGCTTCTAAAACCACGAGTGTTTTCAGGAGCCCTTCAGTTGGGAGCAGCTGCATCTAGGACCTCTAACTTCTTCAGTGTTCTCGGGTGGCTTTGCTGGTGTCACACCTGCCACTGCCTCTTGACCCTCAGAGTCTCAGATCTGGGCACCTGTTCCGTTGCCTCTGGGTGTTAATTTTTGGCTACTGCCATTATCTCCAAAGTCCATCAGGAGAGGAGTCCCAGAAGGTTGTCTCCAAATGTTTCTTTGTAAAATACTGTTTCTCTCCAGTGTTTTAAAATATTAATGATCCTTTGAAATTCCAGATATTTTCCCACTTGTCTCACTAGCTGGTCTGGATCTTTGACTCAGTGCTCTGTTGGGATCTCTGAAAACGAAATGATCGATTCAAACGCTTCTCCTTGAAGAGCGCAGCAGCAGCAGCATCGGGCGAGGAGCCCTCCAGATTGGAAGTGGTTTTTCTGACTCTTATTTTGGTTTTGTTTGCTTTCTGAAAGTTGTTACTGACCTGAAAGTGTAGCGTCGTGAACTGGGGAAGGAGAGAAGAGAGGCAGGATGAGAATCGTGGAGTGCGGAGGCAGGTAGCCCGTGGGGTGCCTCCTGTGCTCGGTGGAGCTGGAAGCCGCTTAGGTGCCAGAGCTTTTTCTGTGACCAAATTCTGGCTTTTGAAATAACCCAGTAACAGTTCTCTATCTTTTCATTCTGCCCGCTCCTCCCACAGCCTGGTCCCTCAGAGGAAAGGAAGGACAAGGAGTGCTTTGCAGCACGTGCCCCTGGCGGCGTCATGGTACTTTCCTGGCCCTGCTGCCCCTGCCCGTCCGTCTTTTATGATTTTTATTTACTCGTATTGGTTTTTTTAAATTTCTATTTTTTGCAGAACTGAGCCTTTTTCTGCCCTGCCTTTCTCCTGTTTGTCTTTCCTTTGTGGTTGATATTGTGTTGTCTTCTCCAAAGTATTTGTCATTAGAAACTTACAGCAAGCGTATACTTTTTAGCATGTCAGTATTTTTATTATGTTGCCCTCCTTGTCTTTGATAACTGCCTGTGGACGCTGTGTAAACTTTCTGGTAAAAATCCTTTTTTTTCCCCCTGTAGTCTCTCCATTTCAAGGACTAAAACAGTCTTGCGTTAAGTAAAAACCTGTGACCAGAGCTGAAGGAAGACTCTAGGACTGAAAACTGCAACAGAAATTAGCACAATTTGAAAACAAAACAAAATTGCAAAAGCCTTAGTTGCTTTTTCCACCTAAGAAGTTGATCAATGGAGAAAATGTCCACTGGAGTTTGAATAATGAACTTTGAGTTTGGGTGCAAGCAAATGACTCAGAGAAGGGTCCAGCTCTCAAGCTGAATGACAAACATGCTGTTGTAAATTTAGTCTCAGGTGTAAATACCCAAGCCCTCTGGTACCCAGGGAGCTGGCTGGTCTGTGGTGCATGTGTGTCCCTGTGATGGCAATCATTGTAGTTGCTGGCCTTCAGAAGAATTGAGGATCTGATGGAGGTTTTTTATGTATTTATTTTCTGTTCACCTTGTGACCCTGTGTCAAAATTTATAAAGATACAAAAGGCATTACTGAAATGGTACTTTCTGTAATTTGATACTATTTGGCTTAATCATCTTCACTTGACTATTTGTAATACTGTTGTAATGTTAACTCTGTTAAGTACCCAAGCTGCTTGTCTTCCACCAAAGAGTGCTTTATTAACAAGAATCTGTGAAAATCACATTTAAACACTGTTGCATGTTGTAAGACCAGGTGGTACCTTAGTAACCTAAAACTTGCAAGAGAATATTAATGGTAGCTTTAGAAGACTCAGGAGGAGAAACTGACTTCAGAGTTGGAAGATGTTGCAAGTCGTTCCTTTTTCTGTCCTTCAGGGACTGAAGAACTGGGAGGCTGCCCATTGTTTGGTTGCCAGTCATACAAATTAAAATCATATTTCCTTCCATGAATGGAAGAAACACACTATTGGTTTTTCCCCTTGGAAACAGCAATCCCAAATAATGTCGGCTTACAAAAAAAAAAAGTTACCACTTTTTTAGAGTCCTTCCCTGTAACATTGGATTTTTTTTTTCCCTTATGAGATCCACCTAAGGCCATTGACGTGGCCTGCGATCTCAGTGACAATGATCTGCTTCTGGATCTCACTGTTGCCTTTGGTTAGGGAACACAACTAGTAACTCTGCAGAGTGCCTTCTCCCGCAGCCCTACTGGAACACAGCAGAGTCTGTGCCATGAAGCAGTTACAGAAACAGAATTGATGTGCTGCTAAAAAAAAAAAAAAAAATGGGGCCCGAAATAAAAGAATATATAGTACTCACCTCAGTTCCTTCCATAAGAAGTGGGTGGTTTAATGATTGTTAAGCCATTTTTGCCTGTGCCGGGAGCATGGAGGGCTGAGATGTCGACAGGCAGTGGGAAACAAATGCCCTCCTAAGCCACAAGGCGTGCGCCAGATTAGTAGGCAACTCCATTTTAAGAAGCTGCCTTTTTCACAAAACTGGAAGAAATAAAAGCGGTTGGAATAAACAAGTTAAAAGTCTTTAATGCAAAAAGTAATTGAAAGGCAGTGCCTCCATTTTGGTGTACTTTCTTGGAAGAAAGTATAAAATTGACCGGCATCATGAGAGACGGAAGATGCCGTGTTCTCAGCCAAACAAGCAACTCTTTCCCCGCCAGGCACTGTCGGGTGGGGTCAGGCCAGCTTTTAAACACTGGGGACTGGATCACAGAAAAACAGTGGTTTTCTGTCCCTGGAAATGAATAGGCACAAAGACCCACTTGGCTGTGGGCAGACTACTCTTCAATAAGATTTGGGTGGGAGGAGGAACATTCCTTTTGCTATTTTGAGCTGAGACAATATAAATATTCAAACTGTGCCATGCATAAAGCATTGAATTCTCAGGGCACCTCTTCTTCCCCTTACCCCTTTTAAGGCCATCCCCTCCATTAATAATAATCCAGGTAGTTGTGAAAATCGTGCTTCTATCTGATCCCTTCTTAGTTTGGCTTTTCATCCCATCAGAACAAGTAAACGTAGGCGCCACAGCTCTTGTGAGTACTGTCTCCCTCACGGTGAATGAGCCTCCTGGTGTTTCGTCCAAGAAAAGAAAGGGTGTCACTGGAACCACAGCCCTTTTTCATTTTATAAACTGCCTCTTCATGTTGCCTGCTCAAGTTTCCACCTAGAATTGCTATCACTGTGGCTCTTTCTAAAAATCTTTCTATTTAACTGGTTCACTGAAATTAGTCATAGAAAACTTGTGATTTGGTGAAGAGGCATTCCTTGTAATAACCAAATGACTTGGGATGGTGTGCATAGCAAGGGCAGTGTTACACTTATGAGGACTGTCTCTAGCATCCAGGAAGTCTCTGGGTCTGAGGGATGGAAAGTTCTTCCTGCTATGAATGAGAGTGGACTCTTCCCCTCACCCCCAACTGAAACCACAAACAACCAGAATCTTCTGGAATTCTGACTTAGAGTCGTTGTTATAGAAGACCTTGTTGCTATGGAACATGAAACTGTGTGTCAGATGGAGAGATCCCCTTAACCTAAGAGCCTTAAATAGCCCTGAAAGTACACTGGGACGGTTTGCGATGGAATTAAAATTGGAAGTGAATATTTTTAGGTGCTCTTGAAGCTTTCTGGGGACTCAAAATTATCAAAAGTCAGGGACAGTCCGGAGGAAGAGCGTCTGCAAAACTGGGTTCCTAGAAGTATAGACGGACTTAGCTTTTTGTAGAATTTGGTGAGGAGCAGCGCCTCGTGAGAGCAGAATGGCCTGGCGTGGCCAGTGCTTCCCGGCAGCACGCAGCTCTGCGGCCTCCAGAATTCCCCTGTTCTGAGCTTGATGCCCCTAGCCTGTCCCCTACCTACTTCCTCCCCTCCTCTCTAGCCCTCTCACAGGGGTGATTGCTACCTCTCTGTTTTCTTGGGCCTAGGCAAGTTTTAGAGGAGTTCCCAAGCATTGTTATGAGGCCAGTGTGCTCGCTGGGCTGGGCGGGATGGCCTGGGCTTGTGTGTGGCCTGAGGGCTCTCCTGGGGCCTTCTCTTTTCCCAGTCACCTTTGGAGCCACAGAAGCAGTGCACTCATTGGATGTCTGTTCTTAACACAGCTTCTCTTTCTACATTAAAAAAAATCATTATTGCATTTTGGAAAGCAGTGCTCATCAAAAGCAACTTTTAAAACCTATTTTATTGTTCCTTTAAATGTTCTCTCCCGCTGAAACTGCCCTGGAGAGGCTATCTGCTGCTCTTCCATTTACCCACATCAGGTTATTCTCCATGTCACTCAGTGGAGATGACTCCAGATGTGTTTAAAGACTGGACAATTCACCTATACTGTGTAGGAAATTACCTCCTTAATTACCTGGTAGAATTGTCAGCAGACATGTTCATCCGATGATAGTACTGCAGTTTTCTATTAATAATTTGCAGACTTTTATCTAACCTGCACTCATGTACAGATTATTAAAAGTTTTAAAATGTAACTGATCAGTATTGATCAATCATTGTCTTGATTTTTTTTTACAGCGTATATTTCTAATCATATTTTTTAAAGCCAAGAGAACTGGTTGAATGAATGTTTATTTTCCTGAAGGTATTTTTAAGATAAAGCTTCCTAATGGCGTGTAAACTTTGCATATGTATGTAGTTTGATACATATTGTCACATTTGAAAATCTTGTGGGTTGTAACTGGTTTTATACAAAATATCGAATAGTGGAAATTGTATAATTACAATCATGTAATTAAAAGTATTAACCCAACAGCCTTTTTGTTTATTGTGTTACTTACCAAGCATTTTGAATTCTGGTAGGCAGTGGGTTAGATCATAAAGCAGAGGTAACCCGGAATCTGTGTAAGTTTTCTAGGACGGCCATAATGGAATACCCCAGACTGGGTGGCTGACACAGAAGTTCATTTCCTCACAGTTCTGGAGGCTGCAAGTCCACGACCAAGCTGTGGGCGGGCTTGGTTTCTCCCAAGGCCTCTCTCCTGGGCTTGGAGGCGCTGCCTCCTCGCAGGGCCTCTCTTTGGTGCCTGCGTGGCCCTGGTGCCTCTCTTCCCCTCTACTCCCCTCTCAAGAGGACACCAGTCAGATTGGATTGGGGCTTACCCCGATGGCCTCATTTTAACTTCACCACGTCGTTAAAGTCCCCATGTCCACATAGAGCCACATCTGAAGGGGCTGGGGTTAGGGCTTTAGTGTTTGAATCTGGAAGTTAGTCCAGCCCCCTTCTGTAGGGTAAGGTGGTGAGTGACAGGGGGCTCCTGCTGCCAGGCCATTCCTCACACCCCAGCACCAGCTCACACAACACAAAGTTTTGACTTTCTGCAGACCTCTAAAGATAAGACTTAAGTCAGTCAGGCTCTTGGGATCCTGCAGGGCATTTTGCCTGCCAAGGTCGGGCGGCACCGGCCCCAGCACCCTCCCCAGCTTGTGGTCCAACCCCGGACGCCAGACCCCTGCTTTCTACCTGCCTTGCCTCTGGTGCCGGGCAGGACCCCAAGGGCTCAGTGTCCACACCTCACACACAGCTTACTGCTGAGACTCAAGACCCTGTGTTCTGTCGAGTTCTACCCAGTTCCCCCAAGGAGCTGTGCTTGGATTCACACTGGGTTACAAGTGTCCAAAGTAAAAACCAGAGACCTGCCTTCTCGCCCCTCTCCCGACTCCACACCACACATGACCCCCCAGAGTGTTCATTTGCAGACCCTGGCTCTGTGGGAGCTGTGGCCTCTCCCTGCCCCTCCATGGCTTCCCCTGAGGCCACTAGAGCTCTCCCCTGACCCACTAGAGCTCAGGCAGCTGGCGCCACCACGCAGCTCCGTGAAGTCCCTGAGTGCTGCAAAGGGGCCGGCTTGGAGGCATTGTTTGAGATGAAACCACGAGGCATGTCTGTTCCTCCTGGGGGGCTGGGCCTTCTAGGCCTGTGGCTGGGAGGCAGCAGGCTGCAGGGACCCCTGGTCCTTAGAGACTTGTCTCCTTCCCTGTCATCTAGAGCCACTCGGCCCAGGGCCCATCCACCTTGTGCGGGATTTGCTCATCCCCTCTGCTTCCATTGCTTAAGTGAAATGGAAATGAAAAGAATCCCTACCTTAGCAGTTGGTATGAGAGTTAAAATAACACGTGGAAAGTGCTTAAAACAGTATCGGGGCATATCTTTCAATTCGCTACTTTGTCATATATTTTAGGTCATTTTCTCTAGATAATTGGGGAAAGAATGACTGATAGCAGATTACAGTCCCTCAGTTTCTGATATTTTTGGTACCTGCAGCATAATTTTATGCACAGGTAATGGTGTAAACATTTAAAAAGAGGTCACGTAAACTATTTTGCCTTGAAGTGGGGACCCACACGCTGAAGCTAAGTCTCGAGAGTGGTTGTTCAGAGGCAAGCTTGGGCCATGGGAGAGGAGCTGCAAGGGACCCTTCCCGCGGCCCCTCAGTGGACTGAAATACAAGTTGCCGTGGAAAGTGCAAGTCCCACTGGGCGTATCTGCCCCAGCTCCGCCACTTCTGTGGCCTTGGGGACCCTTGATCTGCTGGCCGAGCCTCACTTAGTTCAGTGGTACAATTGGACTAGTGAGCACCTAGCGTTTGGTTTAACAGAAGTACGTGGCTGTGCCTTAGCTGGGGGACTGTGACATCAACTTTGCCGTCTCCCCCTCCTCTGTGTGTCTAAGTGCAGCTATGGGTGCATTGGAAAGGAGCATCTAGGGAGGAATTCTCCAAGAACACGAGCTTTAGCTCCTCTGTAGCACGCCCTGACTAGCTGCCACACTCTCCCGGTTGACGTCTTACTGTCAGAGCACTGCATCCGTGTTCTGCAGAAATTCTTCCTGGGCGGTGCTGGCTATTTCCTTAGGATAAATTCTTACAAAAGGGGTTTCTGGGTCAAAAATTTGTAAGACGTTAAAGCTTTTGCTGTACACTGTGTGAAAAAGCAGCTTGGTACAATTGTTGAGAACATGCATTCTGGGCCCAGGCTGTTTGCAAACCTAAGTGCTGCCACTTAGCTTAGATTTGGGCTAAGTGACTTAGGCTCCCTAAACCCGTTTCTTCTCTGAAATGGGGATGGCAGTATCCATCTTAGAGGGTTGTGTGAGGATGAAATGAAAAGTTAATATTTTTCATAGCTGAGAACAAGTGTCTGGCACACGCTAAGAGCCATATATATTTTGCCTAGTAAAAAAAATAAAATTAATGCTGTCCAGGAGAAGTGTAAAAATGCACAGTCGCCGCTGCCCGCTCCTCTCCCGTTAGCAGCTGTTGTGACGCTGGTGAGCTGCTCAGTTAATAGCAGGACGCTGGCCTCAGCGCCGTGGGTAGGGGGTCACGCTCACTGTCCTGCTGTATTATGTCGTCCTAGCTTTAGCTTTTCCACATTGATTTTGGGCATTTTGTCTTCCAAGCGGTTGGCGCAGCCTGCCCTTACGTCCTAGCCTCCCTGTGTCTATCCGTTTATTGGGGGAGAAATGGATCCCCCTGAGCAAAGCCTTCCGGATTCCTCCCCAGCGCCTCGGGGGTCCCTGGCCTGTGTGGGAGTGGGGGGCCTCCCGCCTCTGCCTCCCCGCCCCTGCCTCCCCGCCTCTAACCCCGCCTGACTCTTTGGCAGCAAGTCTGCATGGCTTTGACACGCTTCTGGACGACGCGTGCTGGGTCCACACCTAAATCCCCAGGTAAGGAGGCCCCGGCCTGGCCGCGGAGGCTCTAATGGGCCAAGTCTGTTTCTAAAGGGGTAGACGACTCCGCGTGGGAGGGCCACCGTGTGCTTTGTGCGTTGTGGGACTCGGGGAGGACAATGGTTTCTCCTGGCCCTGGGTGTGTTTCTCTGTGTTAAACGACGTCTTTTCAGGCGGGGCCGTTCTCCCTGGCGTGGGACTCCGGGGAATGCAGCGTGTCTGGCGTCCTGGCACCCGCCTACTCGGTGCCACCGGACGGTCCAGGCCCCCATGCGTTTCCCTGGCCCCGGGCTGTTGCTGCCCCCAGCTGGGAACGGCTCACTCGCTTCCAATGCCGCTTGTCCTGGGCAGTACACAGGACAGAGAAGCCGCCTCGGTGCTCTCGGGCCGGCGGGCAGAGGAAGGAGCTGGAGGAAGGGGCTTCTCGGAGGGAGGGCGCGGGACGGGCTCCCCGGGAGCGGGTCCGCTGCACCTCCTCCAGCGGGGACTTCAGGGTGGCCTGGGCGGTGGAGCCAGCGGGGTCTCCCTTGCCTGCGCCTGGATTGCGGGGTCAGCCGGGACCCAGCCGGAGGGAGACGCACGGAGCGCCCCGGCAGGACCGCGGTTGGCGTGTCCTTAAGTAGCCGCGGAGTGTCCACTCAGCACTCACTGGCCAGGCTGGAGGGTAACGGCTGACGGCCGTTCTGGGCCCCAACCCAAGTTTGCCTTGCGGTTGAGAGTTAGCGGCCCAGGAAGCTAGTCCTTGCCGTCCACACAAACTCAAGCCCTGAGACAGGCCCTGTGGTGGTGGTGGTGGTGGTAAGTACAGCGCTGTCCATCTCCTCCCTTTTCCAGCGATGGTTGGCTGTCCCAGGCTGTCACCTTTCTAGACCGGCTTCTGATCTGGCTCGGGATCCACAAGGACTAGACCTGCGGGGAAGGTCTCTCCTGGACACGCCCGTTGCCCACTGCAAGTTCTCTCCAGGTGCAATTGAAGCCTCTCAGCAGGTGCGTCTGCCTCATTCTTCCACTGGGTATTGAGCCATCAGCCCAGGGCCTTCCTTTAGGTGGGCCTCGGCCTGACTGGGTTGGGAATGGCCGGGCTGACACCCACCCTGGGATGGTAGGAGGCCCATTCCAGGCGCAGCAGGGCAGTGCTGCTGACACTTTCTTAGGCTAGGAGCCCCTGTGCGATGATCTGATGGAAGCTGAGGCCCCTCCATCTCCCCAGAAAAGTTCGCACCAAATTTTTGAAGGCTGCATCGATGGGTCAACTTAGTGACTTGCTGGCTGTGGCCACACACCCCAGGTGTGCTGTTTGTACAGATGCCGTGTGGAAGGCACCCCCGGAGATATGCAGTGATGGCAGGGTCTATTCATCAATCAGCAACACCCACGCAGCCTCACCCTGCCTGGGCCTGCCGGGGAGCCTCAGTAAAAATTCCCAGGGCATCTTTCTACCTTGGTCACAGCAACCCAGTTCCCCAAGCATGTCCCTCATAGGCCACACGGCGTTCCCATTTCTCCTGCTGTCTTTCTATCCACCTTCCCTCTTCCTGAAAACTTCCCCAGCATCACCGCTGGCTCCAGCTCTATCCTCTCACCAGCAAAACATGCAAGTTGTGGTCAGTTTGCTTAGAACTTGTCTCAGATACTTGAAACGTTTTCCTCACTGTTGCTCTGACGCAAGACCCGTGGCCAGTATCCATGTGGGCCGCCAGTACAGTTGTGCAGGTTGTTCATCGCACAACTCCAGGGAGTGCCAGGCACACTGAAGTCAATGTGAGCCAAGTTCCTGGGCAGGGGCGGGGGGCGGGGGGGGGCAGCACACATGGGTGCCCAGAAAGGGCAGCCTTGCTGAAGGCGCCCTCAGTCCCTTTGCAGGGTGGTGGTTCTTGAGAAATGTCTTACCCTGCCTCAGTGTCTGAGAACATTTGAGACTCTCAGAAGCCTCCTGTGGGTTTATGTACAAGTTGATGCCACATGGCAGGCACTCCTTACCTTACAAATGGCTTTGAGCTCCCAAAGTTATGTAATTCAGCCCTCTGGGATTGGGCACAGTTTTGTAAAGAAAGTGTTCAGGCCAGGCGCGGTGGCTCACGCCTGTAATCCCAGCACTTTGGGAGGCTGAGGCAGGTGGATCATGAGGTCAGGAGATCGAGCCCATCCTGGCTAACACGGTGAAACCCCGTCTCTACTAAAAATACAAAAAATTAGCCGGGCGTGGTGGCAGGTACCTGTAGTCCCAGCTACTTGGGAGGCTGAGGCAGGAGAATGGCATGAACCCGGGAGACAGAGCTTGCAGTGAGCCGAGATCGCGCCACTGCACTGCAGCCTGGGCGACAGAGCGAGACTCCGACAAAAAAGAAAGGGGAGGGGAGGGGAGGGGAGACGGGATGGGACGGGACGAGACTGGACAGGACGGGAGGGGACGGGAGGGGGGAGGGGACGGGAGGGGAGGGGAGGAAGAAAAGGAAGGGAAAGAAAGGAAAGGAAAGGAAGAAAGAAAGAAAGAAAAGAGTGCTCAGATGGCAGTGGTTCCCTGATTTTCCCCACAGAGGACTGATTGGCCCAAGGCGTAGCTGTGGGGGGTGTGAGAGCCTTTGCAATCTGGTTTGGGAAATTCCTGTCATCTAGAGTCCAAGGAAACTTTGTGGCCAGGCAGAGAGCTTTCCAGGAGCAACAGGAGATGTGCAGAAAAGCTGGGCTGGGCAAAGCAGGCAGGAGCCGCTAGGCCTTTAGGCCTAGGGAGCCAAGTTTTAGTCCCATCCGGTTTACATGGAGAATACCTGAGCGTGGGCCCTCTGCACTGCTGCAGTGTGCAGTACCCTGCTAGGCACCATGGCCATCGCCACATGGCTCAGAGTGGCTGAGCACAGAGGCAAACACTCCATGTCTCCTTTCATCCCCTGCCTGAGGTACAGGCATCCCTTTTCCTGTCCCCTCTCCTAACAGCTTTGCCCAAGGGACTAGTCCTTTCACTGGAAATTTCAGGAGTGTGTAGAAAGGATGTGGGGCTCAGGGACTGAATCTGGTTTCAGTTTCTACCTTCCCTAATAGTAGCCAGGTAGCAAGAAAGACAGCGTCCTTGCCTGACTGTAAAATGACAAGGCACGACAAGACAGGGCTCCCAGGCTCTCAAGCAAACGCTCTGCTCCTTCAGTAACCAGGCTTTGCCATAGGTGCAGGGGGAAAGCGGGTAGGAGGAGGGGCATCCTTCGGACTTAAAGTCTGAAAGACTTCTTTGAAAAGGCAGCACTGGCGTGGAGGGGAGCGCCTGGAGGCAGCGCGAGTCCTGGGAGCGCGGGGATGAGGTGGTGATCAGCATGGTCCACGTGGCCAGGCTTTGGAGGAAAACGTGGTTACAAGGCAGTTCTGCACTTTTTTTAAGAGATGAAGTTTTTCTCTGTCACCCAGGCTGGAGTGCAGTGGCATGATCATAGTTCACTGTAACCTCAAACTCCTGGGCTCAAGCCATCCTCCTGCCTCAGCCTACCAAGTAGCTATGACTACAGGTGTGTGCCACCCACCTAATTTTAAAATTTATTGTAGAGACATGGTCTTACTGTGTTGCTCAGGCTGGTCTTGAGCTCCTGGCCTCAAGCAATCCTCCCACCTCAGCCTCCCAAAGTATTACAGGTGTGGGCCACCATGCCCAGTCTAGTTTTGCACTTTTATCTGTATCTTATTTGATAATAAAAAGGCTTTAAAATATCCCTGCATTTTTTCTTCCTCATTCCCTTTTCCACACCTCATCCTCCATCCACAACACAGGCCCCCTGTGGGACACAGCCAGGCCAAAGCCTCTCACGCCCGCAGCCCACCCCAGGTTGTCTGAAGCAGGCATGAGTGTCGGGAGGGTTCAGGGAAGGCTGTTCACATGGGCCACGGTCCTTGCAGAAGGCTGAGAGGAGACAGCAGCAGCCAAAGAAAATGAGCAAATCTGTCTTCTGTGTCTACAGCGGAGGCCGCCATGTGGAGAGAGCAGGCAGGCCCACTGCTGCTGAGAACAGGGCAGGCACGGGCAGCTCCTGTTCTGCCTTTCCCAGCTTCGGAGACGCAGGCTCAGCTGCTCCGAAGCACCTGCCAGCACCGCACAGTACAGTTTCAGAGGACAGCAGTCTCCTTCCCGTGAAGCTCCCATGTGCTGGAATGGCATGGACTTGCTGATCAACAGAAGGAAATGGTCTGAAGTCTGACCAGCACAAGGAAGGAGGCTGGCTGGCTCAGAGGGGCCCACCTTGCGTGGAATGAAAACGCCAAAGGCTCATGAGCAACATTAGGCTAGAGGGGTCTTGTTCAAAGCATCCAACTCTGACTTCGGAGGCATTCCCAGCCGGCAGCAGTGTGTCCAGCCTGCCTCTTCCCAGGCTGGTCTGACATGCAGCTTAGGCTTTCATCCCAAGTTAGGTACTGACCCCTCCCTCTTGGGCAGCACCTCCCTTTTTAAAAAAATTTTTTTTTCTTCCAAAGACAGAGTCTTGCTCTTGTTGTCCAGGCTGGAGTGCAGTGGCGCGATCTAGGCTCACTGCAACCTCCTTCTCCCAGGTTCAAGCGACTCTCCTGCCTCAGCCTCCTGAGTAGCTGGGATTATAGGCGTCTGCCACCACGCCCGGCTAATTTCTGTATTTTTAGTAGAGACAGGGTTTCACCATGTTGGCCAGGCTGGTCTCGAACTCCTGACCTCAAGTGATCTGCCTGCCTTGGCCTCCCAAAGTGCTGGGATTACAGGTGTCAGCCACCGCACCCAGCCAAGCACCCCTATCTCTAGAGGATCTGGCCCCCCAGCCCAGTTACTGCAGGGCAGCTTTCCCCACCTGGTGACAGGCTGTGCGCAGCAGCCCCAGGACCTCACCCTGAGCTGAGTCTTCAGGAGCCGCCCTGGTGGCACAACTCAGACACCCCTGAGGCCTAGCAGTCAACTCCTGATTCAGACATGATCCAGTCCAGCCTGGGCTTGGCTATAACCAGCTCAAACTTGCTTGACCTCCACTTTTCAGGAGACTTGGGGACGACAGCCCTCATCGGCGTCTTTCATGGGGTTAATCTGCTTGAGTCTAAGTCGCCAGCCAGAAACGTGGTGCCCAGGGTGCCCTGCCTCAGGACATGTCCACACCCACGTCACAAGCACCTGAGGAGTCCGGCCGGGGCACTGTGGTCCAAAAGGTCCTGCCGCCTCCGCATCTGACTGTCCCAACGGCATGCTGGTGACACCCCCCTGCCCTTCGCTTCTGTCCTCCCTGGCTTCTCTGGGGCACTTGGGGCTATGTACAACCTGGCACGATCCAGAAAGGGTGCAAACAAAATGCCTACATCCAGGCACACGACCAAGTCAGCGAGAGCTAGCCCTGGTAAGCAAACATAGCCCATTACAGGTTCAGAACGTGCACCGGGTTCCCCAAAACTGTCTTCAACCACATGACTCAACAGCTCTATGGGATAGGAACTGTCAGTGTTTTTGCAACTGCAACATTAAACCAAGTGCTGTGGGCTTTTCAAGTATTATTCACAACACTAAAGGAAAGTTTCTTCAAAGGGCTCTCTGGCTAATCTTCAAAGCCGCAGTTAGGCAAAATGACAGTGTGACAGCTTCAAAGCCACTGACTCATGACACAGCCCTGATGTTGTACCGGCTAGGTTCAGATTTCAGAAATCAGGGCACTTGCATCCATTGCCTTTTCCAGGAAAGGGAAGAAAACACTCAGTTGATAAACCTTAGTACTCAGATAATAAATAAGAGACCAAAAGTAGGCTATCACCCAAAGCAAACATCCTTAACTGACCCTAACGTGTATGGATTCAACTTTGATTATTCAACAAAATCATGACCGACTGCTGTGGCCTGGAGTAACCAAAGGACTGTTTTCTCTACACAAAGTCAGGAGCGAATACCAACCTTTATTTGCACTTGGGTTCCAGTTCAAAGCCACCTTAGACAGTGTGGCAAAGTGGGAAAAAGCACAGATCCTGGGACCAAGGTTCAGATTCCATCTCAAGCGAGCATATGAACTGTGTGACAACAGGCAGACAGTACCTCTGTGTCTATGAGAAAGCGGGGAGAGCAACACCCCAGCTTCTAGCAGCTCTACAGCTGCCTGGACCTGCAGGCCCTCCTAGGCCCACTTCCTCCCCAGCACAGTGTGTGTTCCCGGGCGTGTGTGGCTCTGGGTCCAGCTCTGTTCAGGGTGGGACTCCAGGTGAATTACTGAACCTCTGAGGTGTACCCCCAACCCCAAACTTTCACCAAAAGCAATAAAGAGGAACTCTAGAACTGGAGCCAGGACTAAGTGAGAAAAACTGCTTATAAGTGCTTAATAAATACTAGTTATTTACAACTTTTGCTCAAGCCGAGGGCAGAGGCCTTTGTACGCAGCTGCCGAACTCTGACTCTAGTTCTGCGGAAGAAAAGGATGCGGTATTTGCTTTTGCCATGATCCCTTTCCATTTGATTGGCAGGTTAAATAACATGGTTTTTGAAGTCACATACTTAATATTCTTCCTAAAAACCACCCAAACACTAGATGTGTGTGTGCACACACACAGAAACCACGAGGTAGTTTAAATCACCATTAAAAATCAACGCTTTCTCTGATTCTGTGTCACAGAGTGGTGGCCAGTGGCTACACAATAGCGATTTTTAAATGATTGGTTAAGTGAAAACCAGAACTCAAAATATTCCAGGAGAGAAGATAACATTTACAAGTAAACAGTAAGTGCAATTGTATTTTAATTTCTTGGTCTCCGAAAACTCAGCTGTGACTGCTTTCCATTAACAGTTCCAGCTCTATGTGTTTCCTCTAACGCTAAAGGCACAGCCCCCGGGAATCTACTGCTTCCTAAGAGTCTCCATGGAGTCTATTTTACAACCTCCTTTCCCTCCATGCTTCCGCGGAGGAGTCTATACTATCTCTATATACACATTTTAAACATTATTCTTCATTTGAAATTCCTTCAATAAAAACACAGTCACCATTCTTCATCTTCTTGGGAAATGGCCTGCTCTCGAGCCTCTGGAGAAGCCCCTCTAACAGCTCAGCCCAAAAAAGTGCAACAAATTTACATGACACGGGAAAAGCAACATCTATTGTTCTTAGAGTCTGACTCCCTTGGCCCAGCTGGAAAAGTCTCCCCACAGGTGTGCAGTGCAGCTCCGCGGTGCTGGGAAACAGGGCTCTTTCAAGACAGCGCAGGGAAATCTTCCGGGTCATCTGGGTTGGGGGCAACATCTTGCATCTAAAGAAAAAAAGAAATACTTTGAAATCCACTGCCCCTTCATCCATTCCCGATATCCCAGTGGGATAACAAGGGCCTGGCACCAACGCTGAGGGGCCTGCATTAGAGGCAGGACCCACAGTGGGAAGGGGAGAGTCACAGGTCACTGCTAACCCAGGAAAGTACAGCTCCCCCTCCCACACAGGCCTCCAGCCTCCTCGAAAAAGGAGCTGCCTCCCTTCCTACGTCCTGCAAGCTCTTACTGGGGGTTCTGCATGGGCACGTCCTTCATCGAGTAAATAGAATGGTTACTGCGTGCCGGGCACTGGAGGAGCACAGACAGTGCCTATCCTCGGGGAGCTCACGGTGCTGGAGAAACTGACCATCGAATCAGGAGCTTCACTAACACGTCCTGGGAAGGAGGGGCCACAGGAGGGCCATCCAGTGCAATTTGGTGGCACAGTGGACACCAAGGTCAGGCAAGGTTTTGTGGGAAGAGAAGGTTCTCCCTGGGATGAACCTCAATGGATGAGCAAAGGGAACAAGGACTTGGATTGGGAAACAGTGTGACCTGATGGGGGCGGGGGCGGGCCCTAAGGGCGGTTCTGAGGTGGAGGGATGCACAGGTTGTGGAGGTGGGGACAGATGCCAGTGAAGAGGTGGGTGGCACTGGATCTCAGAGTGGTTTCCCAACACACTCCCTGGAGTGCTGCAGGGGACAGAGCTCCGCTATAGGAAAGGAGTGAGGGTGTGTTTCCTATCGCAGAATAGACCCTATTTCCAACCTGGCCCCAAATATACCCCTACACCCCCCGCCCAAAAAATTGTGTTTTTGCTCCTGCTTAAGCAAAAACAAACCATAGACACTGCTTCCAGGGGCTGCTCCCTAGAGCGAGGGAACCGGGCAGCAGGAGGAGCATTGCCAAGACCAGCCACAGAGAAGGGGTCTGTGCCATGGGGCCTCGGGGCTGATTTCCAATGAATAAGTGTCCATACCACATTAGGAAGCACCTACTACATGCCAGGCACTGCGTGGCACTGCGTAAACCGGTAATGAGCAAAAGCAGCCGCTGACCGATAGCCACACCAGTGAGAATACAGCCGCACACGGAGATCAGGCTTCAATGAAAAGAAACTCCTTTGCTCCGAGACCTTGATCGGTCTAGGAGATGTGATCAAAGAAACCTGTGAGGAAGTGAGGCTGGAAGGATGAATGGAGGCCAGCAGGCAGAGGCCAGGGGTAAGGAGCGTGCTGTGTTGAGAGCTAGAATCAGGCAGCCTTGGCTGAGGACGGTGTGAGGCAGGTGAGCCGGGGAGGGGTTGAGGAAGGTCCCCTCACAAAGGGCTTGAGATCTTAGGGAGGATTCTGTCCACTCTGACAGCATCACCTGAGCCCAAGGCACACAATCAGGCCACAGTAAGCAAAACGTCAGGTGCTCCAGTTCAATCCCAAGCCTGGGGATCTTGTCTAATGCGGGTGACAGTGAGTTTCTCTCTGATCCCGGGAGTGCCTTCACAGCAGACCCTGGAAGCCAGGGCTACAGAACGGTCTCTAGGCAAGATGTCCATGATGCTACAACACCGTCCAAATGCCCCAACATCAGTCCCACACTAGCTACAGAAAGAAGTGACTGCAGAAACTCATGACCCTCTGAAATTAGACCATCCTGGGCCCAGGGCACTGTCCTTATTAACTTCTTTCGCCAAACCGTCAATACAGACACCTACCACCACTTCTGCTCTGGGTCCATAGTTCTCTGCCCTCCTGATCCTTCCCCGGCCTCCCCGGGTGCCTCCTCTGGCTCCACGCCCAGGACGAGGGAGGTTACCAAAATTAATCTCCAGCTGGGATGTGATGTCATTGGCGGGTTTCCGGAAAACATGGGAATCGTCCTCATAGTCATCTTTTACCATCTGAAACACAATTACAGCATCAAACACGCACAAGTCCACAGCCATCCCCACACTCATCTGGCTTAGTGGCTGCAGTGTGCTACACAGGAGCTAAAACACCATCAGGGGCTAGTCAGAGCCATTCTCTGGATTTGTCTCTGGCCCTGGGCTGCAGAGCTGGACAAAGGAAGACAGCACTGCTGTTCTGATTCTAAGACAGTGAGTTCTGTATGTTCTAGAGTCCCACATTCTTGCAATTACAATCTTAATCCAAACATCTTTGAACTTATTATGATTTCAAGTGGGACCAAATTTCTATCAGCTGAGCAGGTTAAGATATAAGATTTGGCATGACTAATAATAGCAAACAATATACATGTTTTATATCTAAGTGTATTTTGCTGAGATAAAAAAGTTTTCATTTCTGCTTATTTTCTGTCTTATCTGTTCACAAATGCTTTGATAAATAAGGAAATATCCCCTTCCCAGAACAGAACTTAACAGAGAAATTCCTTTCAGCATGGGTGCTGATTATAATACCATGTGCTAAAAATCACATGATTTATAATAAACAATTCTGACTCAAAATATAGAGAAACTTTATAAAAACAAGAGTATGGTTACCTGAGTGTTCTACCAACACTGCACAAAGAAGTCAAGCTGCTTTTTAAGAACTGCTTTCATTAAAATTCTATCTCTTGTGACAGCTATATTAAATAAATTAATTAAATCTGATCCAAATTTGATTTGGCTTCAACTCATAATAATGGGTATCACACACACACACACACAAAAACCCCACTTTAAGTAAAGTAAAAACCTACAGAAAGGAAGATATGTCAGTGATTTCAGATGAGAATCTCCAAAGTGCTACAACATTAAACATTCCTACAACCAGGAAATGGAGCAAAGTTTCCACGAGCATATCAACACCTTTAGGCCATATGCTCATGACAGCCTTCATGTTTAACATTTGTGTCCCCTTTGAGGTCTCAGGTTAAAATAAAGCAGAGGCTTTAGGTAGTTGGATGCTTAATGCTAAAAAGGTGAAGAAAAACAGTCCAGGAGCACTGGCATTCTGTAAAAAGATACACACAAAAAATAGTAACAGGCAAAATACTCAACCCTTGCCTTGTTTGGCACTCAGCAGGGAAGCGCTGGTAAGGTCTCCCTGGGGTCCCTGCTCTGAGTCGCCTCCCACTGCAGGAAGGGGCAGGAAGGGCCTCGGGGCAGTGGAGCAGGGAGTGGACACAGTCTAAGGCTTGGGCTCCACTTGCAGCTCCAGCTGGCCCTGGCCCAAGTGCTTTCACCGCCCAGTGCCTTACGCGAGGTTGTTACTAGGTCTGAACTTTGCTAGGTATTCTAGTGCTTCTGCCTCTTCAGGTGTCCAGAACAAAGTAAACTGATGAACCCAAGATCTGGCTTGTGTTGCTTTAAGAACAATTCCTAGCTAAAATCTTCAATCCTCCAAGATTAACAAGGACCAAGATGTGTGCTTCACTGAGACCAGGCTTGATGACTCAGCTAACCCACTTGCTTCAAATATTCTGGGAGACCTCTGGAGCCCGGGAGGACAAATCTGGTGTGGATTAAGAAAGAGCAGCTTCTATTTTTACCTAACATGTCAGCTGCATATTTCAATCCTGACAGCACATTTGTTTTAGAGAAATTTTTATTTACAATGCCTAGAACAAAAAAGAACAAAGGAAGTGGACAGGTTAAGAACCAACCCAGCTTGCTAATGGAGTTAGAAAACACCTCCCAGAGATTGCCAGGGAAATAAAGCTCCGGCCGCCTATGTCTACAAAAAGCCATTTCTTGTGGAACAGCTCAAAACTCAGTAAGGCCTCCTACAGCTTGGACTGACCAAAACAAGAGGATGGGAGAGAATCCTGTATCTTTTTTTTTGTTTTGTTTGGAGACGAAGTCTCACTTTGTTGCCCAGGCTGGAGTGCAATGGCGTGATCTCGGCTTGCTGCAACCTCTGCTTCCCGGGTTCAAGCGATTCTCCTGCCTCAGCCTCCCGAGTAGCTGGGACTACAGGCACCCGCCAACCGCCCGGCTAGTTTTTGTATTTTTAGTAGAGACAGGGTTTCACTATGTTGGCTAGGCTGGTCTCGAACTCCTGACCTCAGGTGATCCACCTGCCTTGGCCTCCCAAGAACCCTGTATCTTAAATGACACCTAATCAAAGTACTCACTCAGAAAATGAAACTAACCAAAGTGTAAATGACAACTCTACAATAGCATAACATTCCTGAGATTCCACATGAAAATCAATAACTAATACCCCACAGAGAGGAAGAACCTGCTACCTGCTCACTCCCACCTCGAAATAGTGACTGGTATCAAGCTGTAGATGGAATGATACAGATTCTAAATCCCATAATGGGAATGCTTCAGTGGACCTAGCCTTAAGTTCAGTAACAAGTCGGGGACTTGATGACCCCATGGCATCCCTATCAACATATGCTGCTAGATGTTTCCCCGAAACCTCTCCCTGCAAAACTGAAGCTTCTGAGAAGAGCTGGACGTAAGCCGTGAGCAATAAGGCCTCACAACACGGAGGAGCTCCCTGAGCAACCCCTGCAGCACGCTGGCCGCTGTGGCAGTGCCTGACCGAGCAGCCAAGCGTTCGGGGACTCATCTCCCGCCACGTCTGCAGTTAGGCAGGGGGCGCAAAGCTGCTGAACCAACATGGGAAAGGCGTCAGAAGTGCATGGAACCTCAACCACAGTTTAAAAAGTCATCAACTACTCGGCCAGGTGCAGTGGCTCACGCCTGTAATCCCAGCACTTTAGAAGGCTGAGGCTGGTGGATCACCTGAGGTCGGGAGTTCAAGACCAGCCTGACCAACATGGAAAAGCCCCGTCTCTACTAAAAATACAAAATTAGCCGGGGTGGTGGCGCATGCCTGTAATCCCAGCTACTTGGGAGGCTGAGGCACGAGAATCGCTTGAACCCGGGAGGCGGAGGTTGCGGTGAGCCAAGATCGCGCCACTGCACTCCAGCCTGGGCAACAAGAGCGAAACTCCATCTCAAAAAAAAAAAAAAGTCATCAACTACTCAGTGAAATGCTCTTATCAAGAAACAGAGTTGAAAGTAACCTACTCAGGGGACACAGAGTGTAGTTCTCCTTTGATTAACTCTGAATTGTACAAGACACAATCTGTAACTCTCCCTTGAGAAAAATGAAATACAGTTAATACACAGTATGTGTACAGTACCCGCATAGTCCCAGGGTGAGCAGAAGATGCACTGTCACTCTAACTGCTCTGTGCATCTGTCAATACCTCAAGTTTCAATTCCTTTTCTTAATGAACAATACAGTAAAATTAGGCATGCATCATCTCTGATTAGAAACAAAGACTGCCAACTACTAATGTTCCATTTTCAAGACAGAAGTGGAAAGGTACATTTCACTTCCAGTAAGGTAAAAGTAAAGATTACCTCTACATACGAAATGCAATGCTTACATCATCTCTGTATTTTGACTTGTGAATCACCACGGCTTTGGAAGGAACAGTGGATTCTGGTTTCCGGATGTTAAACTCAGGCTTTGGTCTGGTCTGTTCTTGAAGATTTTTCCACTCATCTAAAGTCATCTCTTGAACTTGGGTTTCTTCTTCTACCTCCAACTCAGGAACTCTATAAAGAGATATATAATCATAAAGAATACTTTTTGATGGTACTAAAATGTCTACTTTATAAAGAAAAAGTTATAACCATTAATTCAACATATTTTTGTGGTACTGCATTTCAAATGCAAATAAGGTAAGGAAATCTTTGACTCACAAGCTTCCATATTTCATTTTCAACATTTTATGTCATCACTGCCAACAGAAGATACTTCCTATCTGTGTTCAAATCAATCTTTGAAAAATGGGAACATCACCATCCTGATGACATTAACATCACACTTCACCACTGGCACTCCCTTCCAGACAGCATGACAGACAAAATGAGGTAATTATGGACAATGGGTTGAAATAAAATACAGGAAACCATAAACAAGTTTTAAAGCAGTGGCTCATGAATGCATACTTTTGCAAATATCCTCTTTAATGAGTTTTAAAAAGAAAACAAAAGACAGAAATATAGATTGAGAGCAAAGAATTCAGAGTCCAGAAATAAACCCTCACATTTACGGTCAACTGATTTTTTTTTTCCAACCGTGGTGCCAAAGACAATTCAATGGAGAATGAAAAGTATTTTCAACAAACGGTGCTTGGGCAACTGGATATCCACACACACCAAAAGAAAGAATGAAGTTAGACCTACCTCACACCATAAATACAAGAGCTAAAATATAAAACTCTTAGCAGAAAACCTAGGCAGAAACTTTCTTAACCCTGGACTGGGCAATGGTTTCTTCCACATGACACCAAAAAAACAAGCAACAAAAGTACATACATTGAACATCATCAGATACTTTTATACTACAAAGGACACCATCAAGAAAGTAAAAAGACAGTCCACAAAATGGGATAAAATATTTACAAATAATATATCTCACAAGGGACTTGTATCTAGAATACATAAAGAATTCTTTATGAACAGCCAAGCGTGGTGGCTCATGCCGATAGTCCTAGCTACTCAGGGGGCTGAGGTGGGAGGATCGCTTGAGGCCAGGCATCTGAGGCTGCAGTGAGCTATGATCACACGTGTGAATGGCCACTGTGTTCCACCTTGGGCAACAGAATGAGACACTGTCTCTTTAAAAAAAAAAAAAAGAATGCTTTATGAATTCTAGATACAAGTCCTCTTTAGTTGAGACAAATGACCACCCTCCCCCCAAAAAAGGCAAGGATCTGAGTGAACATTTTTCCAGAGAAGATATACAAATAGGCAGTAAGATGTTGCACATCATTAGCTATTAGAGAAAGACAAGTCAAAACCACAGAGCTGCACCAGTCCACACCCAGTGGGATGGTTAGAACCAAAACGACATTTGACAAGCGTTGGGGAGGATGTGGAGAAACTGGAACCCACATACACTGCCAGTGGGAATGTGAAATGGTGTAGCCTCTTTGGAAAGCAGTCTGGCGGTTCCTCAAAAATCTAAGCTGAGTTAGCCTCTGACCCGGAAATTTCACTCCTGGGTTTATACCCAAGAGAAATGAAAACACACATCCACATGAAAACTTAAACCCAAGTGTTCACTGCAGTGCTATTCATAATAGCCAAAAAGTGGACACAACCTAAATGTCTATTAACTAATGAGTGGATAAACCAAATATGGCACATTTTTTGGAATATTATCTGGCAATAAAAAGAAACAAAGTATTAATACACATTACGACATGAACAAACCTTGAAAAAATGATGCAAGTGAAATAAACCAGGCAGAAAAGACTTCTGTGTATGATTCCATTTACATGAAATATTCAGAGGAGCCAGATTCACACAGACAGGAGGCAGGTCAGTGGTGGCCAGGGCTGCAGGGAGGGAGGATAGGGAGTGACTGCTGAATGGGCATGGGGTTTCCTTTTGGGATGATAACAACCTTCTGGAGCCAGATCATGGTGATGGTTGCATAACACTCTGAATGTACTAAATGCCACTGAATTGTACACTTTAAAAGGATTAAAATCGTAGATTTGAAAATCATCACAAAAATACACACAAAAAAAGAAAAACAGAAATGAAGACTGGCACATGCTACAACATGAATGAAGCTGAAAACTTGATGCTAATAGTTAAAATAAGCCAGGTGCAAAAGGAACATTGAACGATTCCACTTAGATGAGGCACCTAGAATAGGCAAATTCATAAACACGAGTAAAATAGAGATTACTACATGCTGAGGAGAAATGGGGAGTTAGTGTTAAATGGATATAGAGTTTCTGTTTGTGATGAAAAAGTTCTACAAGGCCAGGCACAGTGGCTCAAGCCTGTAATCCTAGCACTTTGGGAGGCTGAGGCAGGCGGATCATGAGGTCAGGAGTTCGAGACCAGCCTGGCCAATACGGTGAAACCCCGTCTCTACTAAAAAATACCAGAAAAATTAGCCGGGTGTAGTGGAATGTGCCTGTAGTCCCAGCTACTCAGGAGGCTGAGGCAGGAGAATCGCTTGAACCCGGGAGGTGGAGGTTGCAGTGAGCCGAGATCGCACCACTGCACTCCAGCCTGGACAACAGAGTGAGATTCCATCTCAAAAAAAAAAAAAAAGTTCTAGAGATGGATGGTGGTGATGGTTACACACAATATGAATGTTACTGATGCCATTAAATTATATATATTAAAATGGTAAAAATGGCAATTTTTATGTTATTTTTACTGCAATTTTAAAAAATTAATAATGTAACATACCCCAAACCATCCATCCATGCATTCAGTCGTTTACTCATTTATTTGTTTGATACAGGCTGGGTTTCACTCTGTTGGCCAGGCTGGAGTACAGTGGCATGATGATGGCTCACCATACCTTCAACCTCCTGAGCCCAAGGATCCTCCCACCTCAGCTTCCTGAGAGTAGCTGGGACTACAGGTACGAGCCATCAGGCCCAGCTAATTTTTACAACCATTTTGTAGAGACGGGGTCTCTCCATGTAGCCCATGCTGGTCTTGAACTCCTGGCCTCAAGCTATCCTCCTGCCTCTGCCTCCCAAAGTGTTGGGATTACAGATCTGAACCACCACACCTGGCCTATATACTTAGAGATTTGAGTGCTATAGTACGAGAATTATATCTCAAAAGTGTTTAAGGGGAAAAAACAGGCCGGGCGCGGTGGCTCACACCTATAATCCCAGCACTTTGGGAGGCCGAGGCAGGTGGATCATGAGGTCAGGTGTTCAAGACCAGCCTGACCAACATGGTGAAACCCCGTCTCTACTAAAAATACAAAAATTAGCTGGGTGTGGTGGCACACGCCTGTAATCCCTGTAATCCCAGCTACTCGGGAGGCTGAAGCAGGAGAATTGCTTGAACCCGGGAGGCGGAGGTTGCAGTGAGCCAAGATGGCACCACTGCACTCCAGCCTGGGCGACAGAACAAGACTCTTTCTCCAAAACAAAACAAAACAAAACAGTAGGTGGGGAGTGGGGAATCAAATCTGTATCTTCACTGAAGAGCTGATGTAATTTAAGGTTCTATTATAGAAATACACAGATCAATGTTATGAAAAATATAAGCAAAATCAGTAGAGAAACCTAACCACAGAGCATCCAAAATAGACAAATTTGCAGTGACTCTACAATACCAAGCTGATGGTAGAAAAAACATCAAAGCAAAGATAACATGAAGGAATATGAAAGAACTTTCTGGCGTGATTGGTAATGTTCTGTATTCGACAGGAGTTTGGATTCCACAAGTACATGCATTTGTCAAAACAGTGAATGTACACTTAAGATTTATACATTTCATAGTATATACATTTTATATCAGAAGAAAAAATTGTAAACAAATATTAATTCTATTTAGTGATATGCATGTTGAACTATTTAGGGGGAAGTGTACAGATGTCTACAATTTATTATGAAATGTGTCAAAAAACATGGACTAATGAATACTTATGTAAAATGAATATATAAGATATAAATGGTAGCATTTAGGTAGTGGTAAGTATAGATGTTCGCTATAAAATTCTTTAAACTTTGCTGTGTTTTGAAATTTTCACAATAAAATGCTGGAAAAATACCAATATCAAAATATAGATCTCAAATATATATTGGCAAAAATATTAAAAGATACTAAGACATTGGAACAGCAAATTAATGGAAATAACCCAAACCTATCTAGAAAAGAACTTGGTGAAAAAACTATAGTATAGCAGCTAAAAAAGGAATGAGGACTATCTGTATATACTGCTATGGAGCACCTTCCAGAGTGAATGAGAAAAAAGCAAGGAGGGGTGTACAGTACCTTGGAGAGCCACACAAATATATATGCATAGCACCGATAGAGATAGATAGTTTTTTTGTTTTGTTTTGTTTTGAGACAGGGTCTCACTCTGTCACCCAGGCTGGAGTGCGGTGGTATGATCTCTGCTCACTGCAACCTCCACCTCCTGGGCTCAAGGGATCCTCTCACTTCAGCCTCCAGAGTAGCTGGGACTACAGGCATGCACCACCATACCCAGCTAATTTTTGTATTTTTTGTAGAGACTGGGTGGGGGAGGGTCTCACTTGTTGCCTAGGCTGGTCTCAAACTCCTAGGCTCAAGCAATCCACCCACTTTGGCCTCCCACAGTGCTGGGATTACAGGCATGAGCCACCGCACCCGGCCAGCATTTTTTTTAAATTGGAATATAAGCCAGGAAAACAATAGGGATAAAAGCTATTTGAAAATACCATGTTTTGGCTGGGCACGGTGGCTCCTGTCTGTAAACCCAGCACTTTGGGAGGCCAAGGCCAGTTGATCACCTGAGGTCAGGAGATCGACACAGGCCTGGCCAACATGGTGAAATCCCGTCTCTCCTAAAAATACAAAAATTAGCTGGGCATGGTGGCAGGCACCTGTAATCCCAGCTACTCGGGAGGCTGAGGCAGGAGAATCGCTTTGAACCCGGGAGGCGGAGGTTGCAGTGAACTGAGATTGCATCACTGCACTCCAGGCTCGGCAAGAGTGAAACTCCATCTCAAAAAGAAAAAAAAAAAATCATGTTTTTCAGACTGAACTTTGGAAACATGTAAATATTTTACATAATTATAAAACAGATTTAAATTAAAATTCAATCTCTAAAATTTGAAAGTAAAATGAATCAAAGTAACCTAAATGTTTATGAAACTGGTGATATAACCATCAAGAGAACTATTTCAAATGATTTTGAAATACAAATTTGATTACTCATCTCCCTCCTCGACATAACTTTTCAGTAACTGTGTTACTGAAGGTAATGTTGGTAATGCTGTGACTGTTTTATGTGCAACAAATGATTAAAAGCACAATGTTACTCAGAACTAGAATTTTCAGTATGTAAGAAAAGGAGAAACAAGCAGTCTAGGTAAAAATCCCATATCTTAACTTCGAATTGGAAATATTGAATGAACTCATATTTTATCTTATAATGTGTATGTGTGTATTTCCCATCTCTGTCCACCCAAATGCCCTGGAAACAATCAAGTCCCTGGTGGCAGTGGTTCTTTATCAAAGCAGCTTTACTAAAGAATACAGATGGGAAATACCACACAAAAAATGCTCAACATTATTAGTCATTAGGGAAATGCAAATTAAAACCACAATGAAGCTAGACACGGTGGCCCACATCTGTAATTTCAGCACTCCAGGAGGCCGAGGCAGCACTTGAGGCCAAGAGTTGGAGACCAGCCTGGGTACCAAAACGAGACCCCATCTCTACAAAAAGTAAAAAATAAGCTGGACATCAGGAGGCTGAGGTGGGAGGATCATTTGAGACCAGGAGTTCGAAGTTACAGTAAGCTATGATCACACCACTGTACTCTAGCCTGGGTGACAGAGCAAGATCTTGTCTCTAAAAAAAGAAAAAAAAAAAAACGATGACAACAAAAACCCATAATGAGATATGTACCTATTAAAATGACTGAAAGTTATAAAAACTGACCATAGCAAGTTCTAGCAAGGATGTTGGAAAAGAGTTCAGCAGCTTCTTACAAAGTGAAATATACGCATACCATTTGGTCCAACCATTCCACTCCTAGGTATTTACCCAGGAGAAATGAAAGTGTATATCCATATAAACACTTGTATATTAAAATGTTCAGGACGGGCACGGTGGCTCACGCCTGTAATCCCAGCACTTTGGGAGGCCGAGGAGGGCGAATCACAAGGTCAGGAGTTCGAGACCAGCCTGGCCAACATGGTGAAACCCCGTCTCTACTAAAAATACAAAAATTAGCTGGGTGTAGTGGCGGGCGCCTGTAATCCCAGCTACTCGGGAGGCTGAGGCAAGAGAATCGCTTGAACCTGGGAGGCGGAGGTTGCAGTGAGCCGAGATTGCACCACTGCACGCCAGCCTGGGTGACAGAGTGAGACTCTGTCTCAAAGAAAAAAAAAATGTTCATAGCAGCTTTATAGCAAAAACTGGAAACCACCCAGTGATCACCACCAGGTAAACAGATAAATGGTGGTCCACCTGTATAACAGACTACTACTCTGCAATGAAAAGGAATGAACAGATACAAATCACACAGTAAGTATGCTCGGAGAAAGAACACAGACCAAAGAAGAATACAAGCTGCATGATTCCATTCATATAAAATTATAGCAACTGCAAACTAATCTGTAGTGACAGAAAGTAGATCATTGGCTGCCGGGGGGAAATGGGGCAAGAGAGAGGGCCTACAAAGGAACGCCAGGAAACTTTGTGGGGCGATGGCTATGCTCATGATTTTGCTCATGGTGATAGTTTCACAAGTGTACAAATATATCAAAGCTTGTAAAACTGTACATGCTAAATATGTGCCATTTATTGGATGTGAATTATATCTCAAAGCTGTTTTAAAAACAGACATGAGACTAACCAATTGACATGTATATTTCAATATTATTTCAAACAAATAAATTATCTTTTTAAAAAGTTTTGAAGACAATCAGGGAAACTGAAGAAGTGTCTTGGAATTAATGATATCAAGTATATTAAAAAAAATTTAATGGAGTAATGGTATTCCAGTTATGTTATTAAAAAAGAGTAGCAGGTATAACACTGTGAAACATTTATGAGTGGTATATGATACCCTGGGGGAGGCAGAAGTTGGTAGAAATATGCATGAAACAGGAGTGGCCGTGATTTGGTAACAGCTTTAAGCTGAACAACTTACTTACAAGTTCTTTATACTACTTAATTTGTATAATTTTCCATAATATAAAATTTTAATACACAGCTAAAAATAAAGAAATATTAAGGAATCATAAATCTTCTTTAGCCTACTTGTGACAGAATTTTAAAAATCAACAGAACTGAATGCTATAAATTTGGTAATTCTTTCATACTTAAGACGACCTAATACAAGTTTATAAATTCCAGAAAATTCAATTCTAGAAAGAATAGATTTTACATTAAGGCCACAGAAGTAGTTGTTATTAACAGAGTTTGTTTGTTTGCTTAAAGGACATCATATCTAAACAAAGAACTAGATCAAAAAAGGACAAGGTATATATGAAATGCAAGCTTGAAACTGTGTATAGACACATAAAGTAAAGCATATAGTGTAATTCAGATTAGTTACAAGTTACAGCCTCCTTCAGCAGTATCAGCTTGAAGCTGTTGACTGGAATGCACCTCATTCAAGAATAGAGGCACAAATGCCCCATATCAGAGGCACGAATGCCCTGCTTATCAGCTGCAGTTTCAACAAGCCACGTTGAAAGCAGCATAGTATCACCAAGGACAGGCTCCTTAACCTTATTCCCTACCCACTAAAAGTTATTAGCAAACACACACTATGACAATCCTGTGACGCATACCCCATTTCCCATTTGATTGGTTCTGAGTACAGTTTTACCGGCAGTTTTAGCAATGACTAAATATTCAACAGGAAGAGATGTATCCTTCGATTCTAGGAAGGACTCATGCAAGTATATTTCTAACAACTGAGAGCCTCATAACTGCTATTGCTTTAACACCCCCATTTTTGAGTAATTCAAAGACCTTCACAATTCTTGGTTTGTTATAAAAAACTTTTGGGAGGGAATTTTCCATCAAAATGACTTATGGATATAAGGTGGTCAAATCTATGGTAATGTGAATAATGCTATATACAAATTTGATAGTTATATATTTGTTTCTAAACGTGAAATTATAGAAATCATACTGCTTTAACCACAGTTCCCTTTATTTAGAAATGGATGAGACTAGCTAACACTGTATGCTTACCATGTGCCAGATGCTGTTCAAAATGCTTTATATTATTTCATGATATCAATAGTTAGATATAATTAATATCCCATTTTACAGATAAGAATATCGAGGCAGAGAGAGGTCACATAGTGAGCAAATAAATAGAAGAGGCAAGTTCCAATCCTGTCATTGCGTTTCCAAAGCCCACACTCAACCTCTGTGCTCCACTGAGATTCAGGGAATAAGGGGGCACAGAAAAATACCTAGATGGAAAACAGTCATGATATGCGCAGAAGAAAGATACAAAACATCAATTCAAATGTCCACATTTCCATTCATGCAATACCTTTTCACCTGAATATATGAAAGAGTGCAGTGAATCAAAGAAAGTAGGTTCCAGAAATAAAGCTTTACTAATCGGATATTTAACTGGGACAAATGAATTTAACCTAAAACATAAGAAAATCTTCATTGTTTAAGCAAATACACTAGGAAACCGATTACAATAAAAATAATTTATTGCAGATAGTTTGTATTACTGTTTGCTCACAGTTTCTTTTAATAAAGTATTTTTCAGGAAGGATGGGAGTTGATGCTCCATATTCCTGAGTAGGGAAACGCTCAGAGATCCTGGCAGCTCTTACCTTCCAGGGCCAACATCTTTTGCCCTCTCCTGAGTTACCAGCAGGTGTTCTGAACAGCACTTTTTGCTATTCCTACCACTCACTAGAGGAGTATGAATGCCTATGCATCTGCCTGGTTCAAATTCCGGCTCTGCACATGAGCCAGGTGACCTTAGGCAGGTATTGAACCTCTGTCCCAGTGTGAGAATAGCAGTAGCTCCTCCTTCATGGAGTGGCAAAGAACTGAATGAATTAAGACATGGTAGCATTTACAGCAGTTCTTGGCATACAGCAAATGCTCTAAAAATGTTATTCTTTTTCTTCTTTTTTTTTTTTTTTTTGTTGTTGTTGTTGTTGAGACGGAGTCTCGCTCTGTCACCCAGGCTGGAGTGCAGTGGCACGATCTCGGCTCACTGCAAGCTCCACCTCCTGGGTTCACACCATTCTCCTGCCTCAGCCTCCTGAATAGCTGGGACTACAGGTGCCCGCTACCATACCCAGCTAATTTTTTGTATTTTCAGTAGAGACTGGGTTTCACCGTGTTAGCCAAGATGGTCTTGATCTCCTGACCTTGTGATCCACCCACCTCGGCCTCCCAAAGTGCTGGGATTACAGGTGTGAGCCACCGCGCCTGGCCAATGTTAGAGTTATTCTTAAAACAAAATACAAAGAGTCGTCACAGGTATCGTCGGACACTAGAACACTATGCAACAAGGAACAGTTAATACTTCTGTAATGAAAGGAGAAGATGGAAGGATGGAAGGGCATTGCACATATAATTATCAGTAAAATATGTCCTATTTGAGGAAAATGGAAGTGCACTTTGGGTTGTGTGTTTGAACATAAGTGAGAGTACATTAGATTCATCTATCAAGACATTCTAGAACTGAGAGGTACACTGAATGTACATTCAGGCTAAATGCCAGAAGCCAGAGTGCAAAATCAACATTCAAACAGGGCTGACACCAGAGAGCATCGCTATCACTCAATGTATTTCTCGGATACCAGCCCAACTTTTAGAGTATCAAAAAATTATAATTGTATTATTAGAAATTTTAGTAATAATGTTAAAATTTGACAAGGCAGTGCAGAAAAAAGAATCTCTCGGCACGGTCACTCAATACCTGCATTGCACTTGCAATTCCAAATAGATGCTCACTTTCCCCCCAGGTCAGCAGAAAAGAGAGAGAAAGATTTTCCAGCTAGCTCTCCTGGGATACTGCAGACAGACAGTCAACAAGCTTTATTTTCTTTCACAGTGACTAAATATTTTTGTCTAATATTATGAATACTAGAGTATCTCAATCAATTCTATAGATTAGAACAATACTATAATTTACTCTCTATTATTCTGCCTTATATTACCTGAATTTGTATAAATGTTTATTGGCTCAAAAAGGATATAATGTTCTCCTGAAGGTATCCAGTTAACTTTCTCAACATTCATATAAACTGTTAATCTAGTTCCTTAGTTAGCTCACTGTCTAAATATTCATATTAACTGTTACTCCTATTTATTTAATGAAACACATTTCTTGTTTTGAATAATACATTGCAATTGTTTTGAATACAGCTTTCACAATCATCAATCACTGTGGCCTTTCACTCTTGAAGTAAGTAACAATAATAAGAGCAGATACTGATAAAGCACTAGCTACATGCCAGGCACCACTCTAGGACACAGATATAAACGCACGCACACACACAAAATCTTTACAAGAACCCTATAATGTAGGTACGTTATTATTCCCATTTTACAGATGAAGAAAACTGAGCCACTGAAAAAGAAATTAAATAACTTGCCCAACTAGTAAGTGGCAGAGCTGGGATTTCAACTCATCACACTGGTTCAATGTCTGTGCTCTTAACCACTAGACACCCTGCCTTTTGGCAGCTGAAGGATGAGTAAGAGACAGATAGGCGAAGAGTAAAGGGGGTTTGGGAAAACAAAGAAACAACACTTGTGAAAGCTGTATGGCAAGTGTGAGGGCAGGGGTGGGATAAAAGTACATTTGAGAACATGAAATAAAGGCCTCATGGTGAACCCAGAGAAGGCACAGGAATGTCTGAACTTGAGGGTTTTGCAGGGGCCAGACCACACAGGACTCTGCAGGTCAGAACAGGGGACAGAAAAAGGACAGGAAGACATTGGAGGGTCTTAAGCAAGGGGTGGGGGCATGACAATCAGAATGCGGTGTGAACACCACCTTGGCGTAGGTGAGGATGCAGGGAGCCCTGTGAGGGGCTCCAGTGGTGGTCCAGATAACAATGGCTTAGACGACGCTGGTGAGTGGTGATGCTCGGTATTTAGGGGTACAATCACCAGAGCAGAGGGAAGGACTGGGTTTTGGAAAGAGGAGGGTCAAGAAGACAGAAGTTCCAAGGATGACTCGTAGGTTTCTGGTTTGTACAGTTGGATGGAAACACTGAGTGAGGACCAGAGGTGTGGGGAGGAGTCAGCTCAGTCTCGGTCAGGCTGGGCACAGGAGCATCTGGGATGTCCCAGGGAAAGTGTCCAGTAGGCAGATGGAGCCACAGGCCTGGAGCCCACATTGAAGTTAAGAGCCAGAGATACATATTCCAGAGTTAGTGTGTAAACGACAATTTAAGTCACAGAAGTGCATAAGATCCTATAAAGAAACTCTACAGAAAGAGAAGGCCTAAGGCAGGGCCCTGAAGAACTTAACATTTTAAAAGACCCGAAAGACAAGGATGAGCCTGCAAAGGAGATGCTGAGAGGCAGAAGGAAAAGAAGAGCAGAGTGATCACAGAAACCAACAGGAGAGCACGTTTACGAAGAAATCAATAAAGTCAAATGCTTCTGAGAGGTCAAGAAAGACGCAGACTGCAGCATCCATTAGATCTGGAGACATGGTGACTGTTTCAGAAGGACAGTGAGGACAGAAGCCAGGCCTGGACTAAAGGGAGGAATAAGTGGAGGGGAGGAAGTGAAGAAGGCCACATGCAACTCTGAAAGAGGCAGCTGACGGAGAATGTGGGGTCCAGAGGACACTTACGCAGGAGAGACTGAGCATGTTTAAATGCTGACTGGAAGACTAGGGTTGGGAGGAAGGAGATGAATATACCAAAAAAGGAAGGAGCTAACTAACAGTATGAAGTTTTCATGAAGTCAGTAGGAAAGATCTGAAGCGTGAAGAGGTCGGGGGGGATGGCAGCCCGATGGTTAGCACGAGGGAAGGAGCCCAGGAGGCGTGCAGGTGTAGCAGTCTTGTATCTTTGGCAGTGGGAGGATGATGAAGTTGCCACCTAATGGATCATAATTACTCTGTGATATAGAAGGAAATGTTGCATCCAGAAAATGAAAGAGGACGATGGCGGAAGGGTACAGTGGGAGGCAGTGTCAGGGTTTTGAGGAGAAATTAAAACAGTCATTAGAGAAGGTGAGAGAAAGAGTGAACCCAAGAACCGGGGATCGCCAAGGCCTGGTTTCAGAATATCAGTGACCGGGAATTTACTGGGGTTCCAACCAGGCCCACGATGTGACTTGTAGTGCTCAGCTTGTGGGAACAGGCAGAGAGAAGGCAGATAGTGGAGTCACCCAGGAGGGGTTTTGCTAGCAAGTTACAGCAGCAGGTCCAAAGGGCCAGAGAGTTGAAGGCGCATGGGTATTTAAGAACTTGGAGGCCAGGCACAGTGGCTCATGCCTGTAATCCCAGCACTTTGGGAGGCTGAGATGGGCGGATCACCTGAGGTTGGGAGTTCAAGACCAGCCTGATCAACATGGAGAAACCCCGTCTCTACTAAAAATACAAAATTAGCCGGGCATGGTAGCACATGCCTGTAATCCCAGCTACTCAGGAGGCTGAGGAGGAGAATTGCTTGAATCTGGGAGGTGGAGGTTGCAGTGAGCCAAGATCGCGCCATTGCACTCCAGCCTGGGCAATAAGAGTGAAACTCTGTCTCAAAAAAAACCCCAGAAAAACAGAACTTGGAAGGGTGCTGGAGACGGAGCCGGTATCTAAGCTACATAATGAAAAGAGAGGGAGGGAGGACTGGGAGAGCACAGAGGGGACAAGACACTAGAGGTCCATACAAGAGTCAGGCTACTCCAAGTCAAGGAATTTAACAAGCTGCTGGAAAAGAGCTTGTGAGCAGAGGACAGAATGCCCAACTTTCACCCATTAATTATCATTGATATTCATTAGGTTGTCTGAACTAATTATTAATTAGTTTGATCACCAGTCATTCATACATTAAGGTCAGCCCTCTGTGATAGGATAAGGGGTTGAGATTCCCAGTCTGTGAAGAGCTCTTAGAAATCATCAAGAAAGGCCAGGTGCGGTGGCTCACCTGTAATCCCAGCACTTTGGGAGGCTGAAGCGGATGGATCACTTGAGGTCAGGAGTTCGAGACCAGCCTGGCCGACATGGTGAAATGCCATCTCTACTAAAAATGCAAAAATTAGCTGGGCGTGGTGGCGCACGCCTATTGTCCCAACTACTCAGGAGACTGAGACAGGAGAATCGCTTGAACCCAGGAAGTGGAGGTTGCAGTGAGCCAAGATTGTGCCATTGCACTCCAGCCTGGGTGACAAAGCAAGTTCCATCTCAAAAAAAAAAAAGAAATCATTAAGAAGAGAACCAACACCACAATGGGGAATGAACAAAATGCCCTACTTGGCTGGAGACTCCTCTTCCGGGGTGCCCTGGGACTCCTCCACCACTGTGGGTTCCTCCATCGGTGCAGTTGGCTCCACATCACTGAAAAACAGCAAGACCCTCTCTAGTCACACAAATACATTCATACCAATGCCTTTGTATGTTTAAGAAGGAGAAAACATTGTTTTTTTGGTTTTTTGGGTTTTTTTTTTTTTTTTGAGACTGAGTCTCACTCTGTCGCCCAGGCTGGAGTGCAGTGGTGCAATCTCGGATCAGTGCAACCTCCCTCCCAGGTTTAAGTGATTCTCCTCCCTCAGCCTCCTGAGTAACTGGGATTACAGGCGTCCACCACCACGCCCAGCTAATTTTTTTTGTATTTTTGGTAGAGACAGGGTTTCACCATGTTGGTCAGGCTGGTTTCGAACTCCTGACCTCCCACCTCGACTTCCCAAAGTGCTGGGGTTACAGTTACGAGCTGCTGTGCCTGGCCTATTGAGGGCTTTAAAGTAAGTTTTTTTTTAAAAGTAACCACAAATTGAACTACAATAACAGAAAAGACTTTTTCAATTTAAATAAGTATTAAATTCTCAACTCCAACCTACTGAAATCAATTCTTTAAAAACTCACTCTTTTTAAAACAAAACTTGAATAATTAACTTTTGTTTTTTAAAATGAAGGTTCCAGGCCGGCAGGGTGGCTCACGCCTGTGATCCTAGCATTTTGGGAGGCCAAGGAGGGTGGATCACTTGAGGCCAGGAGTTTGAGACCAGCCTGGCCAACATGGTGAAACCCTGTCTCTACTAAAAATACAAAAATTAGCTGGGCATGGTGGTTGGAGTGCGGTGGCGCCATCACAGCTCACTGTAGTCTCGACCTCCCGGGCTCAAGAGAACTTCCCACCTCAGCCTCTGGAGTAGCTGGGACTACAGGCGCACACCACCATGCCCGGCTAATATTTTGTATTTTTTGTAGAGATGGGATTTCACTTTGTTCCTCAGGCTGGTCTTGAACTCCTGGGCTCAAATAATCCATCTGCCTCAGCCTTCCTAAGTGCTAGGATTATAGGCATGAACCACAAAAAACTGAGTATTTCTTAAACTTCAGCAATTAGCTGATTTTACAGAAAAGAAAAATCATAGATGTCCTCCTATGTTGACCTATTTTATAAATGAATATAAAATATTGTGCCTACAGCTATCATAGAACTGTATGATCAAAACTGAAAGACAATTAAGTTTCAAAATTAGCAGCAATTAATTTGGCAGGTTCTGCTATTTTGTTGAAAGTAAATCATCCGGGCGCGGTGGCTCACACCTGTAATCTCAGCACTTTGGGAGGCCGAGGCAGAAGGATCACGAGGTCAGGAGATTGAGACCACCCTGGCCAACATGGTGAAACACCGTCTCTACCAAAAATACAAAAATTAGGTGGGCGTGGTGGCGGGTGCCTGTAGTCCCAGCTACTTGGGAGGCTGAGGCAGGAGAATCACTTGAACCCGGGAGGCGGAGGTTGCAGTGAGCCGAGATCATGCCACTGCACTCCAGCCTGGAGACTCTGTCTCAAAAAAAAAGAAAAAAAGGTAAATCACCAATGTTGGATTTATCAGAAGAAAGATATAACCCCAGGGCCCATGTCTATATTTTGACTTCATTTGTACTAGTGCAGAAAATGCCTATTTGTGCACATATGTTCCATAAAATGATGTTACACACTTCAAGGCTTTGTTACCTAGTTCAAATTTAATCAGACCTCAAACTTAATCAAATCTCTGACAACAACAGATTTTCATCAAATTTTGCTTTGAGAACAAATAAAACTGTCTTGCTCTTCACAATAAAAGTTGAAAGGCAGCATTATTGAAAACTGCGTTCATGGGTGTCTACTCCAATTTTAACAAGAAAATAATATCTGATACACTTTTTAAATTATTGCAGATGGAAAAATTCTATTTCAGCACAGATAAATAGAAAAAATTCTATTTTACCGCTGTCAAACTGTTGAAGAAAAGCAGTATTACTGAAATGGCTCAGTCATACCAGTTTGAAGGCACTTTGTCCTTAAATCCAGTTATTGCTGTCAGCGTCTTCAAATAGGAATACTCGACTACAGCAAAGCCCTTACACCTTTAATACACTGGGAAGCACTTGGGCTTTGCCAGCCACAAACACATTACTTACTGTGTTAGGCTCACCTCCACTTTCTTCTCACTAATCAAAAGTAGCACATAACTCCTTCGCATACATCATTTTCATGACCTCAAGCCGATTTACTAAGAAATAAATTTCTTACTCACTTTATAAAGAAATGTATGAAGTATATGTATACATACATAAAATTTATCTCTATTTATTAATTAAGAAATTAGTCTTATTCTAAGAAAAGCTTTCCATTACAAATTATAACCACCTAAGAGCTTTGACTAGCTGAGTGTGGTGGCTCACGCCTGCAGTCTTAGCTCTTTGGGAGCCAAGGCAGGTGAATTGCTTGAGCCCAGAAGTTTGACACCAGCCTGGGAAACATGGCAGACCTGCATCTCTACTAAAAATACAAAAAAGGCCGGGCACGGTGGCTCACGTCTATAATCCCAGCACTTTGGGAGGCTGAGGTGAGCGGATCATGAGGTCAGGAGATTGAGACCATCCTGGCTAACAGGGTGAAAACCCATCTCTACTAAATATACAAAAAACATTAGCTGGGCGTGGTTGCATGCGCCTGTAGTCCCAGCTGCGGGGGAAGCTGAGGCAGGAGAATCGCTTGAACCTGGGAGGGAGAGGTTGCAGTGAGCAGAGATCATGCCACTGCACTCCAGCCTGGGCAACAGAGTGAGACTCTGTCTCAGAAAAAAAAAAAAAAAAATGCTGGGTGTAGTGGGTGTGGTGGCATGCGCCTGTAGTCCTAGCTGCTCGGGAAGCTGAGGTGGAAGGATCAACTGAGCCCGGGGTTTCAAGGTTATGGTAAGCCAAGATTGAGCCACCATACTCCAGCATGGGCAACAGAGTCAGACCCTGTCTTAGAGACAGAGAGAGGAAAAAAAAAAGAGCTTTGACTTTATAACTCACAAACCAATCCAAAATGAGTGCCATGGGGCACACGTCATTTTAACACTGAGACATGCCAGCCTGCCAGGGCCACAAGTGGTCACCTCTTAACATTACAAGGCCAAGGCTGGCCCTCTAGGATAAGTAACCACTTAGAGCCAAAATGATTTTAAGTTCAAAGGCAAACTGAAATGAAGTGGTAGTATTAGATAAGGTGGTAAATCAGATGATGAAGAAAGAAGGTGCCCAAGCTGGGCACGGTAGCTCACGCCTGTAATCCCAGCGCTTTGGGAGGCCAAGGCAGGTGGATCACCTGAGGTCAGGAGTTCGAGACCAGCCTGGCCAACATGGTGAAACACCATCTCTACTAAAAACACAAAAATTAACCAGGCGTGGTGGCGGGCACCTGTAATCCCAGCTATTCGGAAAGCTAAGGCAAGAGAATTGCTTGAACCTGGGAGGTGGAAGTTGCAGTGAGCTGAGATCGCACCACTGCACTCCAGCCTGGGTGACAGAGTGAGACTCCGTCTCAAAAAAAAAAAAAAAAGGAAAAAAAGAAAGAAAGAAAAAGAAAAAGAGAAAGAGAAAGAAAGAAAGAAGGAAAGAAAGTGCCTATATTACTTTTTAAAATATATTATCAAAGTAAAATAAAACAAAATTAAAAGATCTGTCATCAAGATCCTATGGAACCCCAGATAGAGAAACATTCAACAAGTTTCTCTTCTTTTCAAGGAGAACACAAATGAGCAATGGTAGTAAATCTAACGCTGTTACATTTGATATTAGTTTGTACATTTGTCTTTAAGGACAACAATTTAAGAAAAATAAGTTCATGTAAAAAGCTTATATTCTGGCCAGGCACAGTGGCTCATGCCTGTAATCCCAGCACTTTGGGAGGCCAAGGCAGGTGGATTACCTGAGGTCAGGAGTTCGAGACCAGCCTGACCAATGTGGTGAAACCCCGTCTTTACTAAAAATACAAAAATTAGCCAGGCATGGTGGCGTGCACCTGTAGTCCCACCTACCTGGGAGGCTGAGGCAGGAGAATCACTTGAACCTGGGCAGCGGAGGTTGCAGTGAGCCGAGATCGCGCCATTGCACTCCAGCCTGGGTGACAGAGCAAGACTCCGTCTCAAAAAAAAAAAAAAAAAAGCTTATATTCTTCAAAAGAAGAAAAGTGGAAGCCTGGATCCCCTCAAGCCTCTGCACTAGCGGGAAGCCTGCCCTGTAGCACTGCTCACACTGCACTGCCTGCAGCATGCCCTACCTCTTCTTCTGCAGACACCAGGAAGGCATCATCCCTCCAGCTGTGAAATAAAACAGAGCAGAACCATGTATCCACTCTAACTAGCAGAAGAATTGGCACAGATCTAAGGCACCATGAAGCCTCAGAGAAATGTCCAACTTGAGCCTCAGGTGAAACCTGTCACTAAGCTTCAATCTACAAATGATTTTATGAAATGAAGATGTGTCAAGGATCCACATGAACTTTGAAAGGTAAAAACATATAGAATATCCAGGAATTTAAAAAGCATTTTAGGCCAGATGTGGTAGCTCATGCCTGTAATCCTAGCACTTTGGGAGGCTGAGGCAAGAGGACTGCCTGAGCCCAGGAGTTCAAGACCAGTGTGGGCAACATAGTGAGATCTTGTCACCATTTTAAAAAATAATGAACAAAACAAAAAGCTTTTTTTTGTTTTTTTGAGATGCTGTGTCTCGCTCTGTCACTCGGGCTGGAGAGCAGTGGTGCCATCTCGGCTCACTGCAACCTCTGCCTCCCAGGTTCAAGCAATTCTTCTGCCTCAGCCTCCTGGGTAGCTGGGACTACAGGTGCCTGCCACCATGCTCTGCTAGGTTTTGTATTTTTAGTAGAAACGGGGTTTCACCATGTTGGACAGGCTGGTCTCAAACTCCCGACCTCAAGTGATCCGTCCACCTTGGCTTCCAAAGTACTGGGATTACAGGCGTGAGTCACCGTGTGCAGCCAACAAAAAGCATTTTGAGGCATGTGCAAATGTACAGTGCCATATGTTTGAGGCATCAGCAAATACATGGTCATCTGTCACAAATTTGTTTGGCTAAAGTAATAGAATTTTAAAAGCAGTTTAAATCTAACTGCAACATAGCAAACCTGTTTTAAAAACTTATCTCACGAAACAAAAGCCTAAAATCAATCTCTACTTAGGGGCACACAAGTATAAAGCACAATACAGAAGACATCATTTTCAAGAAAAGCAAAGATCCAGAGATTTCCACTTAATTGCAGGTTCTCAGAGGGCACACACTTACACCGTACCTGGTATCTTTACCCGATCCCCAGGTTCGAACTCCACATCCACCCATGTTGTCTTCAGTTCTGACTGCTCTACGGAAAGAAAGAATAGTCCCTTAAACCAGAAGCTAGTCTCCAGTCAATCTCCAAATCAGAAAGAGTGGTTCATAAAAGTCCCAGGATCAGCTTCTCACAAGAATAACAGCACAGTACTATAAAGTTAACTAAATATTAACACATAATAGATTCATACCACGTGCTGACACCATCTTAAAGTGAAAATAGCATTTACAAAGAAACTTACATTTTGTCATTCCCACCATATCTTTCAAATTCTCGCTTTCCTCTCTGGTCAAAAGCGTCAAAAACTCTGTTCCCAGGGCCACCTCTGCCTCTGCCGCGCATACCCCCTCTCGGGCCTCCACGTCCTCTCAACGGTCTGTCTCGATCAAACCTATCACCTGGTCTAGGAAGGAGTGGATATAATAAAAACTGGTAAATTAAAGGTCTAAGGTCTCTCCAGAAAAAAATTCTAAAAGAAAATCATGGTTATAGTATACTGGAAAGAATGGTGGCTTGAATCACAAATTAATAGTTAACCTTTAGTGAGCGCATACTATAGACTATATACCTGGCATTGTTCTGAGCACTTTACATATAGTAACTGGATTCTCACAAACAAATCTTTAATATACAATTATTGCCTATAGATGAGGAAACGGAAGCAGAGAGTAGGCTAAGTGGTGGGGCCAGTCCAGGAGAAGCAGGTGCTAGACAGGCATAGTACTAATCTGAATGGGGCATTCCTTTCTCTCTCTGGATCTAGTTTCCTTACTCAAAAAATGAGAATGTTGATAAATAAATTCTAACGTTCATTCCTGTTCTAATACCAAATCTTTAAGTTAAATTTGGAATGTTTTGTGTAAGAAAAATGGTTAAACTTCAAATTATGCCCCTTTCCAAATCTCCCTCCTAAACACACAACCAGCCGGTAACATTTGGAACTGTGAAAACCTTAACCTGCCTTCCACCTCATTACTCCACATAAACGGCCAAGGGCAGCTGAAGACCTCTTTAAGCCCAATAGCAACTTTTGTCTTCATGTCATTTGACCCCAGTGTCATATGACACTCCTGGCCACCAATCTTCCTGACTTTCTGGCTTCTCTTTTTCTGCCTGCCCTTAGAAAATTATTTTTGGAATAGATAATACCCAAACATGGTACAAAACTCACATTGTTCCTCAGCCACGCAATTCCACTTCTCAGAGGCAGCCAATTCAAGATTCACAGAAGGGAAAAGTTCTCCGTCTGCCTCTCGTGCCTAACCACTTGTCTTGGTGCTCTATACGGATACCCATCTGTCCTTATCCTTGTGGGCACTCTCACTTTTCTTTTATTAGAACCTTACTTTAGATTTCTTTTTTTGAGGCAGAGCCTTGCTCTGTTGCCCAGGCTGGAGTGCAGTGGCAGGATCTCGGCTCATGCCACATCCGCCTGGCCCCCCATGCTAATGCTAACTGGCCCTGTGTCTCTCATCTGATTGCAGGACATGAAGCCAGTTACTTCCTAGACATCTCCACCCGGACATCCCCAAGTCAGGCACACACATGCCCAACGCGGAGCCCTTATTCCTCCTGTGATTCCCAACTCACAATACGAGCGAGAGCCCAAGCCACTCCTCCCTCTTCTTCCTCTGCCACATCAGAGCCTGGACCCAGGACCTGATTGCCCACCCACTCCTCCCTGCACCGTCGCTGGGCACCAGCACTCTTTCTGAGGACTTGTCTCTCCTTCACTAAGCTCTAAGCTCTTTTTCACCATTGTAACAATAGTTTAATAAATGTTTTCTAATTTGGAAAGGCTTTTAAAAACATTTAAAATCACAAGAAATTACTTATTTAATGGAGGTCCTGGCATCAAGAAACCTAGTGGCATTAGTAGCTCAAACACCAGCAGTAGAGGTATGTTACAATCTACTTTTATGGCTAAAAGTGTTACATTAAGAAACCGCTATACAATAGTGGGTAAAAGTATACAAAACTCGCAATCTTCCTTACTCAAAAAATAAAGAAATACAGAAGTACTGATCATTAACGTCATGCCAGTCTCTTATAAGAAACACAACTTAAATAAATTCTCCAAGTTGGCTTTTCTGTCTCCCACCTCCTGTAACCAAAACCTGATTCTAAACTATAGCAAATATCTAAAGCAAAACCTGATCCTAAACTATAGCAAATATCTAAAGCAGGCTGGGCTCGGTGGCTCACGCCTGTAATCCCAGCACTTTGGGAAGCCGAGACGGGCAGATCACTTGAGGTGAGGAGTTTGAGACCAGCCTGGCCAATATGGTGAGACCCCATCTCTACTAAAAATACAAAAATTAGCCGGCCGTTGTGGCGGACGCCTGTAATCTCAGCTACTTGGGGGACTGCAGCAGGAGAATCGCTTGAACCCAGGAGGCAGAGGTTGCAGTGAGCCGAGATGGCACCACTGCACTCCAGCCCGGGCAACAAAGCGAGACCTTGTCTTAAAAATAAAAATAAAAAAACTAAAGCAGGCTAGGAGTGGTGGCTCACTCCTGCAATCCCAGAACTTTGGGAGGCCAACGCAGTTGGATCGCTTGGGCCCAGGAGTTCGAGACTAGCTTGGGCAACATGGCAAAACCCCATCTCTACTAAAAAATATAAAAATTAGCCAGGCATAGTGGTGCATGCCTGGTAATCTCAGCTACTCAGGAGGCTGAAGTGGGAGGATTACTTGAGCCCAGGAGTGCAGTGAGCCGAGATCCTGCCACTGCACTCCAGCCTGGGAAACAGAGCAAAAAAAGAAATCTAAAGTACAGTTCTAAAACAAAAGAAAAGTAACAGTAATTTTTTTTTTCAGACAGTATCTCACTCTGTTGCCCAAGCTGGAGTGCAATGGCCCAATCACTGCTCACTGCAGCCTTGATCTCCCAGGCTCAAACAATCTTCCCATGTCAGTCCCCCAAGCAGCTGAGACTACAGGCATGTGCCACCACACTCGGCTAACTACCCTTTGTAGAGATGCGGGTTTCACCATGTCGCCCAGGTTGGTCTCAAATTACTGGGCTCAAGAGATCCGCCTACCTAGGCCTCCCAAAGTGCTAGGACTACGGGTATAAGCCACTGTGCCCAGCCAACAGTAAACTCTCTCTCTTTTTTTTTTTTTTGAGACAGAGTCTCGTTCTGTCTCCCAGGCTGGAGTGAAGTGGTGCAATCTCAGCTCACTGCAGCCTCTGACTCCCAGATCAAGTGATTCTCATGCCTCAGCCTCCTCAGTGGTTGAGATCACAGCTGTGCACCACCACGCCTGGCAATTTTTTTTTTTTTTAGAGACAGAGTCTCATCTGTCACACAGGCTGGAGTGACGTGGCACAATCTTGGCTCACTGCAACCTCCACTTCCCAGGTTCAAGCGATTATCCTGCCTCAGCCTCCAGACTAGCTGGGATCACAGGCGTGTGCCACCACATCCGGCTAATTTTGTATTTTTAGTAGAGATGTGGTTTCACCACGTTGGCCAGGCTGGAATCGAATTCCTGAGCTCAGGTGATCTGCCTGCCTCTGCCTCCCAAAGTGTTGGGATTTCAGGTGAGAGCCACTGTGCCCAACCTACAAATTCTTTTTTTTTTTTTTTGAGACAGAATCTCACTATGTCACACAGGATAGATTGCAGTGGCATGATCTCGGCTCACTGCAACCTCTTCCTCCTGGGTTCAAGCGATTCTCCTGCCTCAGCCTCCCGAGTAGCTGGGATTACAGGCGCACCCCACTAATTTTTGAATTTTTAATAAGGCGGGGATTCACTATGTTGGCCAGGCTGGTCTTGAACTCCTGACCTCAGGTGATCTGCCTGCCTCAGCCTCCCCAAAGTGCTGGGATTACAGGCATGAGCCACTGTGCCGCCAAGAGCATTTCTTATAGCACTTTCCCCAAGCTTGAATATGATAAAATTTGATCTTTGCTCATCTGATAGTGAAAAAGGGTGTCACCTTGAGTTTCTTTAATACCTATACATGTTTATTGGACAGAATTATAGAATCTTTATAATCTCGAAAGATTATCTAAATTCAGCCCTCTCCATTTTTCAATGAGAAAACAGACCCAGAGTTTCAGCAATGTGTGTAGTAGTCTTGTCACAGCCAGCTGCCATGGATTTCTATTCTACCCAGGCAGAGAACGTGTTTTCCCACGGAAGCAATGTCATAAACGGCGCTGGGATTAACGGGCATGTCTCCGCCCCCGAGATCTGCTATATCATGTGGTGCACATATTCTGGGAGTAAACTACTGTTTTTAATGCAGTAGGAATTTTTCCTTAGGCTCCAAATAAACTTAACTGAACTCTTAGAACAGACTATTAGGAGATTAGTCTGCCTCTGTCTAGATGAATTTTGGCTCTTCCTTTCTGTAGTTTACTGGTCATTTAAAATCAATTCCTGTTCTGAAAAAAAAAATCCCTCAGATGTTTACCCTCCCCCCATTATTAACAAGCTTTAAGCAAATTGTGGTAAAATATACATACCATAACATTTACCATTTTAATCATTTTTCAGTGTTCAGTTCTGTGGCATTAAGTACATTCACACTGTTGTGCAACTATCATCACCATTCTTCTCCAGAACTTTTTATGTTTTCAAACTGAAACTTGGTATCCACACTGAACTCCTCATTCATACTTTCATGGGCTTCAGGCTTCCCACTTGTGAAACAGGCATCATGTCTACTTGCTAGGACTGTTGTAAGACAGTGAATCACAAGTCTATAAAGCAGGATGCTTGGCTCAAATGTTATTTTCCTTCCTTTTGCTTGTGAGTTTGTCACAAATAAAACTTTATATGTTTTATTTATTAAGAGTGTTTTTATTATTAGTTAAGAGTATTATTTATTGAGGGTATTTTTTAAGAAACTAAGAAAATGTTTTCTGATATCAAGATTCAGATTTCCCTGAAAGTGAAAATCCCCTACATATCTGTACTGCGATGCGCTGAGAACACATTACTTCTGTGGCATTCCTGCCAAAAGTGCGTAACCTCATTCCACGAGGAAACATCAGAAAAACTCAAAATCTGGGACATGTTATAAAATAACTGGCTCATACTCTACAACATGTCAAATTCATAAGGACAAAGGAAGGCTAAGGAGCTGTTCCTAATTAAAGATGACTAAATACAATGCATTTGCCTGGAGTGGATCCTGAAGCAGAAATGTTTTCTCTTTTGTGAAAAGACATCACTGGGACAATTGGTGAAATCTGAGTAAAGTCTGTAGACTCCGTAATTTAGAGAATTAGGTAACAGTATTGTATTCATTTTAATGACTTTGAAAATTGTATCATGTTTTTAGGAAATGCATTTAAAGTATTTAGGAGTAAGGGGACATTCCTACACCTTATTCTCAAATAACAAAGAAAGGCTGTGTGGTGTGGTGGGGGATGAATGATAAAGCAAATGTGGTAAACAGTTAGTATGTGGGGGGTCTCGAAGGGCAGATGGAAATTCTTCGTATAATTCTTAAAACTTTTCTGTAATTCTGACCTTATTTAAATTAAAAAACCCCTCCATAATTCCATATCCCACCTTACTCTTCCATATATGTATTATTTCACTTAATAGCTATTTTTTCATGTCACATATAAAGATCTATTTTATCCTTTTTAAAGACTACACAGTCTTGCTACTAAAAAAGGGGGGAAACATGGGTTTGTGCAAGTGAACTATAATTTCCTCATTTCCACAGAATCCCTAAAGTGAGGGGAAAATAAATACCCAAATGCTTCCAAAAATAAGCAGCTCTGCTACAAGAAGCTTTGCAGAAACAAGGAGACTGTGCTTACTACACAGCAGATTTGAAGTAATCACCAAAAAAGGTGCAAAATTAAGGCTTTCTGTAAGTTTCTCCCTCCAACATGGTTGCAGATAGACTATCTCAATGTCTTGAATGTGTAACTTCCAGGTGAACAGTTCTGCATGAGTCATCACCTGCTCAGCCCACCCAGGCTAAGTTACTCTCTGCTGGACTTTTGTTTTGTTTTGTTTTTAATAGGCTCTATAGTATAGTTTTACAAAGCCACATTTTTTGGTTAAAACTTGTAGCCAGAATCCTAAATGGAATGGAATTAGCAGTCAAGAAGCAGAAAGAGTTTGGAAAAATGGCTCCCTTGACATATAACTGTTCACTATTCTAGTCTTCCTTAGCTTGTTTAACTTTATTTTCCTTGAAATGTGATTCACTACTTGTTTCTGTTTAACATAAACAGGTTTAATGATTAAACAAAGACTTTAAGCAGCAAGTGCCAAACATAAGACACAACCCCTCCCCGTGTTGAGGTGGAGTGCGGTGGCCACCATGCTGCCACATCACTAAGCAGCGACGCAACACTCCACCAGCCCACGACTTCTGTCCATGTTAGAGTACTTCGGAGAGCAGCCATGCCCTCCAGAAATTGGTATTACACATCATAACAGACTCTTCTTCAAATTTCATCATGGCAGCCTACTGACCTGACCGTGGAGCTAGGAATTTATTTCAATCCATTGAGCAGTCTAAATTGGTAATGTGAAATCAAAAACCATAATTATATCCCTAGTCCAAAATTATATCTCTAATCTAGAACTTCAAAAGAAAACCAGTTCAACACACTCCTGTGTAATTTCTTTTTAAGAGTGCTCTTCAGTTACCAACAAGCAATTCATTTTTAATTGTACAATCATTTCCTGAACCAAGACGTAAAGGCATCTATGAGGAAAAAGGAAGATCCTTCCCATCATCTAAGGTAACATGAATTGCACATAAATTAGTAAAACATTCCTAGGACTGGTACCACAAAAAGCAGTAGCCAGTAGAAAGTTGTATTTTCTGGGCCGGGCATGGTGGCTCACTCCTGTAATCCCAGCACTTTTGGCAGGCCAAGGCAGGTGGATCACCTGAGGTTGGGAGTTCAAGACTAGCCTGACCAACATGGAGAAACCCCGTCTCTACTAAAAATACAAAATTAGCCGGGCGTGGTGGCACATGCCTGTAATCCCAGCTACTTGGGAGGCTGAGGCAGGAGAATTGCTTGAACCCGGGAGCGGAGGTTGCAGTGAGCCGAGATCGCACCATTGCACTCCAGCCTGGGCGACAAGAGCGAAACTGTCTCAAAAAAAAAAAAAAAAGAAAGAAAGAAAAGAAAAAGAAAGTAGCATTTTCTCAAAACCTTTCTGGTTCCCCACCCGCCCTGCTGAGGACTGCAGCACATACTTTTCATCTGGAAACTTCTCAGCTGTGAAGTCTGCCTGCCTCTCTGTCTCATAGGGTCGGTATTCCCTGTAGGATCTCCGCTCAGCTCTTTCGAGCATCCCCTCCGGCCCACGGCTGTCATTCCATCCTTGCTGCTCCCCTCTTCTAGGAGTCCGCTTCTGGCCTACCAACAGAAAATCAAAGCAGAGAGCTGGAACACAACATCTGCAACAGCACACTATTAAACTTTACAGGTACTTGTAAATTTCATTTTTCTAGAAATCAACGTCATAGGAGAATTCAGGAAGTTTAGAAAACTTCAAAGAAAAAAGTTGCTGATACTACAACTGCCCACAGTCTACTTTTTAATAGGATGTTACTATTAAATCATGCTTTCCCTATATCCTAGAAAGTATATGACCAACTAAGCTCACCTATAATTACAGGCATCTCCCAATAACTGTGACAGCCATGGGTACATTTTACTAAATAAGCTACAGTTCACAAAAGCAGTCTTACAAAAACACAGTGTGTAAGCCGTACCTAGAAAATGAAAGAATACCCTATATTTCAGACTGTACTTTTAGAATCCCAACTGCACATTACATAGCAACTATGGCTTATCACTGGCTACTAAGGTTTTTGTTTTTATTTTGTATTTTTTTAATTTATTTACTTAATTACTTATTTTGAGACAGAGTCTTGCTCTGTCACCCAGCCCGAAGTGCAGTGCACTGTTTAATCTTGGCTCACTGCAATCTCCGCCTCCCAGGCTCAAGCAATTCTCATGCCTCAGCCTCCCAAGATGCTGGAATTACAGGCATGTGCCACCATGCCCAGCTAATTTTTGTATTTTTAATAGAGACAGGGTTTCACCATGTTGGCCAGGCTGGTCTCGAACTCCCAGCTTCAAGCAATTCACCCACCTCACCCTCCTGAAGCACTGGGATTACAGGCATGAGCCTCAGCGCCTGGCCAAGGTTTTTGTTTTTAAAGTTTGTAGTGCTTATATTTTTACTTTGAAAACAGATTTTCCTGCTATTCTATGAGATATATAGACTTGCAGTTATAACTTCCTGAATATGAACCAAACACTGCTATTTGGCAACTTGCCCAAGAGTCAGCCAGTACTTGAGGGCATCTCTTTTTGTCCACTCAGTCCAGCACTTGGACACTGTGCTGGGACCACAGACTCTGGTTTTGTTCTTGTGTTTTTTTTTTGAGACTGAGTTTCACTCTTGTTGCCCAGGCTGGAGTGCAATGGCCCGATCTCGGCTCACTGCAACCTCCGCCTCCCGGGTAGAGATTAGCTGGGATCACAGGCCTGCGCCACCACGCCTGGCTAATGTTGTATTTTCAGTAGAGACGACGTTTCTCTAACCTGGTCAGGCTGGTCTCCTCAGCCTCCCAAAGTGCCAGGATTACAGGCGTGAGCCACCGTGCCCGGCCGAGACTCTGGTCTTTTCCTCTGTCCTGTCACCTTGCTTTACTCCCCTTTAGTTTTAATGCTTTAAACATCTTAAGCAAAGTCTATGTTTGAAGCCATCTAATACTTGGTAAATACATTGTGGAGAACTTTGTCACATCTTTAATCTTCAAAAAAAGTCTATCTTTTTTTATATACATTTAAAAGATCTCCTCTCACTATGTGCAATATTTACTATAGTGGCTTCAATTTTTCTTGGTACAAATTACTCTCCACATTAGTTGTATAGCTATGACATTTATTCAAGTTAATGGATATATATATATATATATATATATATATATATATATATATATTTTTTTTTTTTTTTTTTTTTTGAGATGGAGTCTTGCTCTGTTGCCCAGGCTGGAGTACAGCGGCGCCATCTCGGCTCACTGCAAGCACCGCCTCCCGGGTTCACGCCATTCTCCTGCCTCAGCCTCCCCAGTAGCTGGGACTATAGGCGCCCGCCACCACGCCCAGCTAATTTTTTGTATTTTTAGTAGAGACGGGGTTTCACCGTGTTACCCAGGATGGTCTCAATCTCCTGACCTCGTGATCTGCTCACCTCGGCCTCCCAAAGTGCTGGGATTACAGGCGTGAGCCACTGCCCTTGGCCACAGTTATATTTTTTAACTATTAGACTTCCCTCCCACTTAGATACACATAAGACCTTAAGGAATATATGTAGATACACACTTTTCTATTTTCCCATTTAATATTTTCTACCAAAACTTTATCATCTGGGTACAGGTAAATCTTAACCGGTCTCATTTTAAAGCAAAAATGATGTTTATGACATCACTAACATAAAATTATATAATTTATTCCTTGTTAAAGTATTTTTTTCAAGTGTGAAAGCTGCACAACAGATCTAAATTCAACCTACTATAATTTTAATTTCCCATAACCTAGAAATATTTAAATTCAATTCATATCCTGTAGTGAGGTCATAATCTGAGGCTTGTGATATGTTTAGGATATGGGAAAGATGTTATCATAAGTGGAGCATAATGTTTCATTTATTTATTTATTTATTTTTTGAGACAGAGTCTCGCTCTGTCACCCAGGCTGGAGTACAATGGTGTGATCTTGGCTCACTGCAACCTCCGCCTCCCAGGTTAAAGCATTTCTCCTGCCTCGGCCTTCCAAGTAGCTGGGATTACAGACATGTGCCACCATACCGGGCTAAGTTTTGTATTTTTAGTAGAGATGGGGTTTCACCATGTTGGCCAGGCTGGTCTCGAACTCCTGACCTCAAGTGATCCACCGGTCTCGGCCTCCCAAAATGCTGGGATTACAGGCATGAGCCACTACACCTGCCTTTTTTTTTAGACCAAGTCTCACTCTATCACCCAGGCTGGACTGCCATGGCACCATCTCGGCTCACTGCTACCTCCAACTCCCTGGTTCAAGTGATTCTACTGCCTCGGCCTCCTGAGTAGCTGGGATTACAGGTGCCTGCCACCACACCCAGGTCATTTTTTTGTAGTTTTAATAGAGATGGGGGTTCACCATGTTGGCCAGGCTGGTCTCGAACTCCAGACCTCAGGTGATCCACCCGCCTCAGCCTCCCAAAGTAGTGGGATTACAGGTGTGAGTCACTGTGCCTGGCCACTTTTTTTTTTTTTTTTTTTTTTGAGACAGTCTCACTCCGTCACCCAGACTGCCAGGCTGGAGTGCAGTGGCACAATCTCAGCTCACTGCAACCTCTGTTACCCAGGTTCAAGCAATTCTCAAGTCTCAGCCTCCCAGGTAGCTGGGATTACAGGCCTGTGCCACCACGCTCAGGTAATTTTCTGTATTTTTACTACAGACAGGGTTTCACCATGTTGGCCAGGCTGGTCTTGAACTCCTGACCTCAGGTGACCCACCTGCCTCGACCTGCCAAAGTGCTGGGATTACACACATAAGCCACTGCACCCAGCAGAGTATTATGCTTTGATTGCAGACATATCAAGATAATGACACTTTTCTTTTTTTTCGACAGGGTCTCTGTCACCCAGGCTGGACTGCAGTGGTGTGATCATAGTTTACTGCAGCCTTGACTTCTGGGGCTCAACTGATCCTCCCACCTCAGCCTCTCAAATAGCCAGGACTACAGGCTGCACCATCACACCCAGCTAATTAAAAAAAAAATTTTTTTTTGTAGAGACAGGTCTCATTTTGTTGCCCAGGCTGGTCTTGAACCCCAGAGCTCGAGTGATCCTCCCGCCTAGCCTCCCAGTGCTGGGATCACAGGCGTGAGCCACCACGCAGCCCCCACTGTGACTGACACTTGTGCCCGGTTGCCTAGGAGTGTGCAACATCAGATCTGGGGGCACGTGCTTTATTAAGAGTTCAGAACTGGGGCCAGGCGCGGTGGCTCATGCCTGTAATCCCAGCACTTTGGGAGTCCAAGGCGGGCAGATCACAAGATCAGGAGATTGAGACCATCCTGGCTGACGCGGTGAACCCTGTCTCTACTAAAAATACAAAAAATTAGCCAGGCGTGGTGGCGGGCGTCTGTAGTCCCAGCTACTGGGGAGGCTGAGGCAGGAGAATGGCTGAACTCGGGAGGTGGAGCTTGCAGTGAGCCAAGATCGTGCCACTGCACTTCAGCCTGGGCAACAGAGCGAGACTCCGTCTCAAAAAAAAAAAAAAAAAAAAGAGTTCAGAACTGGAAAAGGCATTCAAAATGTAAGGCAGAAAAAGCCACTAAGAAAGTTAATTACCTAACAAGTTGAAAATTATAACAGATCATGACATAACAGTCATCAGAAAATTTGTCAACAGTAACAATACTTTTCCATACTTTTACCCCAGCGTAAAAAGAGTTATTTTAACATAGTTTCAGATTTCCTATTTCCAACCCATAGTTTTAAAAACATCTTTTATTATCTCCACTCAACTACAGAATTACTTATAGGTGCTTATCCCACCTTTCTGCTTCCTCCAAGTTATTTTTTAATTGCGTCAAATTTGGAATTCATCAAACTTAAAATAGGACATTTACTGTACACCATATTAAAGCCTTTTCCAACAGTATAAAACTGAAAACTGTTAAATACAATTGGCTACTTATTAGAATAATTATCAATATCAAGCAAACATTTCATTTTCCCTCCCAAACCCCCCAAAACAAAGATAATTAGAATAATGATCAGTTTTGGGCAAACATCTCGTTCTCCTTCCCAACTCTCCCAAAACAAAGATAATCAGCATCCAATTTTTTCCCCACAATTTAGTACTAAGAGATCAACACTGCCATGAATTGGGCTTGTTTTTCTGTGCTGGATCAGCAGCTCCAAGTGGAGAATGCAAGCACTGCATTTCACTAACCTCGCCAAGAAAAGGCTGGCACATGCATTCATCATCATCTAAACCAAGCCCAGGTAAAGAAACAGAATACAATAAAATTTACAGTAAGATTTTCCACAAAATAAAATTGACCTTTGTTTCAAAGAACATAATTCTGAAAGGCTAGGAAAAGCAAAACTGAAACGGCCTCTCATGACTTTAAGAATGAACTTATTGAGCAAGGCTCACCCAAGGGTTTATATACATATTGCTAGACAGATAGTCAGACATTAAAAACCTACATTTTTGGCCAGGCATCATGGCTCACGCCTGTAATCCCAGCACTTTGGGAGGCTGAGGCGGGCGGATCACCTGAGGTCAGGAGTTCAAGACCAGCCTGGACAACATGGTGAAACCCCATCTCTATTAAAAATATAAAAAATTAGGCCAGGCACAGTAGCTCACACCTGTAATCCCAGCACTTTGGGAGGCCAAGGCAAGCAGATCATGAGGTCAAGAGATCGAGACCATCCTGGCCAACATGAACATAGTGAACCCATGCCTCTACTAAAAAATATACAAAAATTAGCTGGGCATGGTGGCGCATGCCTGTAGTCCCAGCTACCCAGGAGGCTGAGGCAGGAGAATCGCTTGAACCGGGGAGGCAGAGGTTGCAGTGAGTCAAGATCCCGCCACTGCACTCTGTCTCAAAAAAAAAAAAAAAAAAAAAATTAGCCGGGCATGGTGGCAGATGCCTGTAATGCCAGCTACTAAGGAGGCTGAGGCAGGAGAATCGCTTGAACCCAGGAGGTAGAGGTTGCAGTGAACCGAGATCATGCCACTGCACTCCAGCCTGTCTCAAAAAAAAAGACTCTGTCTCAAAAAAAAAAAAAAAAAAAAAAAAAAACCCTTTTCCATAGGAAAAGCTTGTGACTTCCACATTCTTTCAGGATTAACATTTCTATGATATGTCAAACATGTTTTATTTTTGTCTACACTAAGCATTCACTTACAACATTCTAACTAGATAAAAAATTTTGAATGTTAGAAAAGTACAGTGCTTCTTATCAACTAGGGTTACAAAACCTTGAGAGAATAGCTCCTTGACACCCATTATAGATAAATTTAGTACAGTAACTACATAAATGGAAATTAATGAGCTGTTTGCTCCTGAAATAACACATACTTGAAAAAGAACTTGAATGATAAAATTTCCGTTCTAACTACAAAATCAACTAAATACCTTTAGTTGATTTCAAAAGCCAGATCACTTAGACCTAACAACTGACAGAAAAAAAAAGTTACGAGTGTACTACATGACAACATCAAGTGCAGGAAACAGGTTGCAACCCAGTTTATATCATTTAAGTTTAGAAAGAAAAGAAATAGCTCTGTGCATTTATGTATATAAATGCAAAGTGTTAGTAGGAAAAATAAGAGGATTTTCACTTAACCTCATACATTTTGGAATTGCTTAAAATTCTTAACACAAAAATGCATGACAATTTTAAAAAGGCTAAAAATCAATGTATTAACAGCACTAACTCGTCTCACGTTTTTCTGAAGCACAGAATTTTTTTTTTTTTTTTTTTGTGACGGAGTCTCGCTCTTTCTCCCAGACTGGAGTACAGTGGCTCGATCTCGGCTCACTGCAAGCTCCGCCTCCTGGGTTCACGCCATTCTCCTGCCTCAGCCTCCCGAGTAGCTGGACCTACAGGTGCCCGCCACCACGCCCGACTAATTTTTTGTATTTGTAATAGAGACGGGATTTCACCGTGTTAGCCAGGATGGTCTCGATCTCCTAACCTCGTGATCCGCCCGCCTCGGACTCCCAAACTGCTGGGATTACAGGCGTGAGCCACCACACCCGGCATTTTCATTTGTTAAAAAATAAAGGGTGAAGAAAAGCTTAGCCTTCCTCAATTCCTTTATTATATTGATGTAAATAAGTTTAAGAGAAAAAGATAAAAAACAGGATATAAAATGCACAATGTATCTCCAGTCTCACTGTTTAGATAGGCTCAGAAATTTACTGGCCTACCAAAGTGTCGTGAGATAGTAAATAACATTTTTTTAAAAATCATTTTCAACATCTTTATTGTAGTGACTTGATTCTCAAGTGATGACTCTGGATTTAGCTTTTCACAAATAAAGGTAAACATTACCCAGCTGCACATCAAAGCCCTAATACTTAAACCTGAGACGTTTCCTCAGGGCTGCGATGCACAATTTTTATCAAGCAAGGAACAAACCAATAAAGCCAAGTTGAACACACTGGCAAACGTCGGCAGGAATGGTCAACCTACACATCTTAATCCTAACACTCTGCAAACCTTGGGACCGCTGCCTCATTTCAAGAAAACAGGAAACACAGGTGGAGTGTTGCTGGCTCTGCCACTGACGCAGTTCGGTGAGAGAATGAACTCTGAAGCACCCTCCCCGTCCACAGGCAGCAGGACACCACGCTGCGCACCGGTTTTTCTTGCTAAATAGGGAGTGGGGAACTCCGAATATTCTTGCTGGAAAGGTTAAAAACGCTTTTCTTAAAGCAGCCTTGAGCTATTTATAAGTTGCACATCCCATCAACACCACACGAAGTACTGAAATACGATGCCGGCTGCCTCCTGGAAGCTACCGGACGGAGAAGGGGCGAAGGCGCCAGGCCGGACCGCGCCGGGGACCCCCGCCCGGGCCCCGACGTCACAGGCCGCCCCGCGGTCGCCCAGGCCTCCGGCATCACAGAGGCCCCCAGCCCCGGGACCAGGCGCCCTCCTCCTCCCCACCGCGCTCTCGGGTGGCTCCGACCTCAATCTTGCAGAGGCTGGGCTGGAAGATGAAGGTCCCCGCCAGGTCTGGATGTGGGAGCCCCGGGGTAGCGACCTCAGCCGTTCGCCCCCACACGCCACCCAGACAACCTCCCTCAACTTCGTCCAACTTGCCGTAGAGCCTCAGTGCCAGGGTTCGAGGGCCCTATCCCACCCCAAGCCAGCGTTTCCCCCGGAGCCCCGCACGAGGCTGGCGAGAGCTGGAAGGGGTGTGACCCCTGCCCCTCTCCTCCTACCTTCGGCGGCCACCAGGACCCTCAACTCTCCCTACTGTTCCCGGGCCCCTCCTCCTGAAACCGGCCCCCGGGACCCCAGTCTCACAGCGGGCCGAGCCGTGGTCCGCTAACCCCGCTGTCCCCGCGTACCCGGCGCCTGCAGGCCGCCCCCGGGGCTATCGGGCCGCTGAGCGACGGGCGCCGGGAGGCTCTTGCGCTCCTTCTGCGACTCCCTCCGGCCGCCCGCGCCGGCTCTGTGGCCCGAGGCCCCGGCTGGGCTCCTGCCGCCGCGGGGACCGGCCCCGGCCGCCGCCGCCGCCTCGTCGCGCCTCTTGCGCTGCAGCTGCTGCTGGCGCCGGCGCTCGGCCTCGCGCAGGATGTCGAACGGGTCCGACTCGTCGTCCAGCAGCTGATGGAAGCGGTTGGCCACCACGCAGCCGAAACTCTCCTGCATCGCGGCGCCAGCGGCAGCCACGGGACTCCCCAGAGCGCCCTTCATGCCGCCGCGACCACTGCGGGCCCGGGAGGGCAGCCCACGCGAGCGCGTCTCAGCGAAGCCGGCGGCCAGGACCCATGCCGCCCGCTCCGCCGCCACCGCCCTCCGGGCCCTACCCTGTCCGGCCCCTACCGGCGCCCGCCCCCGCGGCGCCGCCGCCGTCCGCCCCGCTGCGCCAGACAGCCAGTCAGCGCGCGCGGGTGCGCCCCCTTTCCGACACGGCGCGCCTGGAGACCCAATCACCGACCGGCTGCTGTCACGTCACGCGACCTCTGGGCCCCGCCCCGTTCGCTCAGCAGGGAGGGGCGGGGCCCAGGGGCGGAGCTACTGGCTGGTCCAGGCGGCGCCGACGAAGCGGTGGGGTCTCGGCTGTGTGTGCTTTCTCCCGGGACTGCGACCGTATTTGCTATGGGCCACTCTGCTTTGAAGCTTATGTATACATTTAGCCGTGCAACAGCTACATATTGCGCACTTACCGTGTGCCAGGCATTATGTTGTAGGAAATACTAGCTCCGTGTTGTCACAGATCTGAGTCTGTAGATGGAGAAAAAGTGCCCTGAAGGACAGGCGCAGAGCTCTCTACGGGCTGCAGCAAAGGGATCTGACCTAATTGGGAAATGACAGTTAAGCCGAGGGAGAGGGGTGACAAGGGGTTGGAGGAGGAACAGCAAGTGCAGCAGTCTTGAGGTGGGATGTGCACAGCCTATTCAAGCTCAAAGTGGTCTCTATTCTAAGAGCAGTGGGAAGCAAGTTTTGAGCATGAGCAGATTTGGGTTTGAAAAGGCCACCCTACCTGCACTGTGAACTAATAGTTTGGAGGGAAATACAAATGGATGCTGGGAAGCCAAACATGATTGTTGCAAAGCTCCAGGGAAGAGTTGATAGTGACTGGGATTAGGATGGTGGCGGTGGAGGCGAAGAGAGTAGATGGATTCAAAGACTTGGTGATGCGCTAGAGGTGGTGATGAGGGAGAAGAAGATACGGTGACTCTTATTTTCCTGGCTCCAGCATCTGAATGATAGTATTAGTTACCACTGGAAGACACTACTTTAACGGGAATCATTAATTCAGTCTGGGACACGTTGAGGTTTGGATATTTGTTTTCTTTTGAGATATTCAGTTGAGGCCTGGAGCTTAGAGAACGCCGGACTGGACTTCCTCCAGGAAATCTTTGCATAGGCAGCGGTGGAGACACGCTTGGCTGCCTATCCTACAGCCGTTCTTTCCCTCTTACATTTTTCCAGAGCCTGTATTTTGTTCAGGCATCATATTCCCCAGGGGAAGAGGGCCCCTTCCAGCCTCAAACTTGATTAATCATACATTATTCATTGCACCTGATTCCAATTCCTTGCCAGTAATTGGCTTAGGAATAGGCTGTGGGGCAAATCGGGCAGAACAGATCTGAGAAGTATTCTGGGAAAGTTTTTCTTGCACCTAACAAGGGATTGAGAAGGGATCTCCCCCCCTTCTGTTCCCTGGTCTTTGTTCCATGAGAAGACATGATGCCTCGGGTGGCTGTTCCTTAGCGTGGCCATGAGGATGGCAGAGCAGGATAGAGAAAGGCTAGATCCTTGATGAGGTTGAGCTGCCGACTGGACCCACTTGGGAACCTCCCTACTTGAGGCTTATGATGTAAGGTGACAGATGTGATTGCGCTTAGTTGTGTTTGCTTGTTTCATCCGAAAGCATCCAGTTAGAGCATCTTGCCAGGTGCTCTGTGACCAGCTTTTACTTTCCTTAATAGCAAAGGAATTCCTAATCCTAAATGCTGTAAAGTCTGTGTGTTACTCACTTATTGAATTTTGTGTTATTCCCAAGGAGGACAGGGATGATGCCTGTCTTATTCACTGCAGTATGTATTCCCAGTGCTTGGCGTTCTAAGCAGCTATAGAGTAGGTTTTCAGTAAATATTTGTTGAATGATTGAAGAATTTAAGATATTTGGTCATCTCCTTTTGAGTGAGCAAAGATTAATGCCTACGCTTTCTACCCAAAAGAATTAAAAGCAAGTGTTCAAACCAAAACTTGTACATGAGTATTCATAGCAGCACTATTCACAATAGCCAAAAGACAGAAACAAATAATATACATGTCACCCGATGAATGGATAAATAAAATGTGGTACAAAAAATATTATTTGGTCAAAAAGGAAGTATTGATACTTGTTACAACAGGGATGAAACTTGAAAACATTGTGCTAAGTGAAAGACGGACAAAAAGGGCCACACGTTGTATGATTCCATTTATATGAAATGTCCAGAATCTATAGAGACAGAAAGCAGATTGGTGGTCACCAGGTGTGGGGGTTGGGAGTGTTGGAAAGTAACTGCTTAATGGGCATGGGAGTTTCCTGTGGGGTGATGAAATGTTCTGGAACGAGATAGTGGAGATGGTTGCACAAAATTGTAAATTTAGTAAATGTCACTGAGTTGTACACTTTAAAATTGTAAAAATAGTAAATTTTGTGTAAAATTTAGTAAAAATAGTAAATTTTTTGTAAAAATAGTAAATTTATCTTAATGAACCAGAGTAAAAATAGTAAATTTATCTCAATGAACCAGAATCACTACATGCAACAGAGACCACACTTTGAGAAGCACTGCTTCAAGCTAAAGTTATCTTTGGTATCTTTAAACTGCTCATCACCAAACCACAACACCAAGGAATCATGATCATGTGAGAGAAGGGCCTGTCGTCTTCCCACTGGGCATCTGGAGTTAGCCTGCTCCCCTGTTTTCTTCTTATCTTCCTTACAGCATAACCAGCCACTGTAAGTTCTTAAAGCATGCCCTGTGAGCACTGCCGCCTCATTTCCAAGTCACAAATGCCCCAAATGGTTGTAAGAGAACCAACTCTCGTTGCTTCAGGATTCAGAACATCTTTAGAACTGAAATAGAGATGAGTAATCCTTACCTGGTATTAGATGGCCACAAGTTTCTTTTTTTTCTTTTTTTTCTTTGTGTGTGTGTGTGTGTGTGTGTGTGTGTGTGTGTGTGTGTGTGTGTTTGGCAGAGACAGGGTTTCACCACGTTGGTCAGGCTGCTCTCAAACTCAAGTGATCTGTCCACCTCAGCCTCCCAGAGTGCTGGGATTACAGGTGTGAGCCACCGTGCCCGGCCATGGCCATGAGTTTCTTACGGGGCTATTGACTACTGCACAATTTACTGAGAGTAAGGTTAAGCACCCTCATATTTTTTACTGATTGTTTTTTCTTCTAGGAGATTGCATCCTTAAATGCATTCCTAAAATACAACTCTACCACATTAGCATAAGTTATTCACACATTGTGTTTAATGTGGTCAGTTTAATAGACTGATCTTTTTCATAATCTGATATATGAAAACAGCTTTTAGTAATCATAATACCAAACAATAACACACATCTTATAGCATGGAAAAACAAAGCACATCAAAAATGCTGTGAAGTGTGGATGCTGAATAATACTACCAGCCCTTCCATGATTATTATATATATTCCAGTGGTTATTTATTACCACCAATGGAAATGCAGTGAAACTTAACTGTATACAAGATGTAAATTACCTTGAATTACTTAATAGAGGAGTCCCATTAGGAATAATAAAATACACTAACATCTTCCAGATTGACTTGGAATTCACAGAACCATTAATTGAGAGTTTAGACACATGTAGCTTCATTACTTTCAATTACATGCAGGGAGCAACACCTGGGTGAGAGCCAAGGAGGAGAGGCCAGGTCAGGCTGGCGAGGATGTGAGTTCTTGTTAATTACCAAAGCACTGCATTCAATCTGCTCTGTTTTGCCGCTGAATTCCTGCTCTCTCTCTCCTTACCTTTTTCTTGTCCCTAAAGTTAGGATGATTATAACCTGTCTTGCATTCTTCATATAGTTGAATGGAAGACAAGACCAAAGAAGTCAATTGAAAAAGGTAAAAATAAATCTCACTATTTTATAATTGTTTCTACTTGCATAATATATGCAAAAACAAAAGTATTTTTCCTAACTCTAAGAGGATCTGATCTTTTATGCCAGTTGAGTCAATTATGACAGGATCAATGAAGTTACATAATAGTTCCTGGTTTCACTATTCTAAGGGTGATAAGTGAGTTCAAATTCAGTTTCCCACAACAAATGAATAAAGCAAGTAGCAAGTACATAGGCTCAAAGTCAGGAGTTGTAGAACCATAAACCATTAGTTAACAATCAGGATGCACCAGAAGAACTTCTAGCAAGCGGAAATCCATTCATGATGATCAGATACACAATGTTTAAATCATGAAATAATTTCCCCAACCTGCTAATAATATTTGTATTCTTGGTGTCATTGAGGGTCTTTCCAACTTGCCTTCTTATGACAAAAGGTTACTGGATAGCTTAGTGCTTTGTATACTCAAAGCAATTGTGCCAATAGAAATTTTTATTCTCTCCCATTCCTACTATTAAAAGTTTGATCTCTAGTTGTAACTTTAATCAAGGCCAAATAAATAATTGGGGATTTAGAACTTTTTATTTCCTCATTTATTCTAGATCCTTCAAGTTGTGAGCAACAGAAAACCCATCTGGAATAAGTAAAACCAAGGACTTTGTTGGCTCAATAAAAAAAAAAAAAATCTACCAGGAACAGTGATTCGCTCCAGAAATTCCAGACCAGCCTGGAACTCCTGAGCTCAGGCAATTTGCTTGCCTCAGCTTCCCAAAGAGTTGGGATTACAGCCATGATCCACCATGCCTGGCCAACTTGACTTTATTTATTCATTTATTGAGATGGAGTCTCACTCTATTGCCACAGCTGGAGTTCAGTGGCGCAATCTTGGCTCACTTTAACCTCCACCTCCCAGGTTCAAGTGATTCTCCTGCCTCAGCCTCCCCAGTAGCTGGGATTACAGGTGTGCACCACCACATCCAGCTAATTTTTGTATTTTTAGTAGAGACAGGGTTTCACCATGTTGGTCAGGCTGGTCTCGAACTCCTGACCTCAGGTGATCCACCTGCCTCAGCCTCCCAAAGTGCTGAGATTACAGGCGTGAGCCACCATGCCTGGCCGACTTGACTTTAGTGCATGCACAGAAGTCCCAGAATTGAATCACGGGCCTATGTCTTGGGTCACACATACACCATTGAACCCAGTTGCTGTACTGAAGATCATTTAATTCTCTCATCATCCAGGCTTGATTACCAGCCCAAGCTGGAGTCTGATTGAAGTCATCACCCCCTGAACCACTGGAACTGAGAGTTGATGGGGTGGTTCCCTGAGGAAAATAAGGTTTCTAAACCAGCAGGTAGGAATAGATGCTGGGCAGGTAGCAAACAGAATTCCTTGCATGTGATGATGAGCATGAATGTGGTATTGCTGTGCCTCTTGTCACACTGGATTATTGGCCTGCATTATAGTTCTTTGTCCTTATTTCTCCTCCCTAAGGTTAGAAATAGTGTCTAATTCATTTCTGAATCCCTTCCTTCCCTTCTCTCTGGTTTCATCTTCAGTGCCTTTTATTCAGGAAATATTTGTTGTTTGGTGAATGAATTTCTTGTTTATATACATGTACTTATGACAAGTAATTTTACATGTGTTAAAAATAAAAATGTGGCTGAGTGTGGTGGCCACATTTTTACTTTAATCTCAGCACTCTCGGAGCCCAAGGCATGAGGATCACATGAGCCCAGGAGTTTAAGACCAGCCTGGGTAACACCATGAGACCCCATCTCTACAAAAAAATTTAAACATTAGCCAGCTGTGGTGGTGTACACCTGCGGTCCCAGCTATTCGGGAGGTTGAGGTTGGAGGATCACTTGAGCCAGGGAGGTTGCGACTGCAGTGAGCCATTATCATGCCACTATACTCTAGCCTGGGCAACACAGTGAGACCCTGTCTCAAAAAAAAAAAAGTAAAAATGCAGCAAATTAATTAATAGATGAGAAGCTGATAAATGCATATTATAAGACAAACAGATGTGATACTGTTTCTTTTTCTGAAAGATTTATTATTTTACACATTTGTGGATAATTGTAAGCTGAATCTTATATAGTGCTTACTGGGTACGAGTAATAATTTCTAATCATTTCTAAGCATTTTGTATCTGTTCATTTAATTCTTTTTTTTTTAGATGGAGTTTCGCTTCTGTTGCCCAGGCTGGAGTGCAATGGCGCGATCTCGGCTCATCGCAACCTCCGCCTCCCAGGTTCAAGCGATTCTCCTGCCTCAGCCTCCCTAATAGGTGGGATTAGAGGCATGTGCCACCACGCCAGGCTAATTTTGTATTTTTAGTAGAGACGGGGTTTCTCCATGTTGGTCAGGCTGGTCTCGAACTCCCGACCTCAGGTGATCTGCCTGCCTCGGCCTCCCAAAGTGCTGGGATTACAGGCATGAGCCACCACGCCTGGCCTGTTCATTTAATTCTGAACCTGATGAGGTAGATGCTTTTTCAGTCCCATGGTATGCTGAGATGAATGCCTCAGCAAGTGGAAGAGTCAGGCTCATGAACACGTCTAACTGTCATGCTCTACTGCTAAGCATTGAGCTAAAACATGGGGTGTTAGTAGGACATAGTCTCTCTCCTTAAAGACCTATGCAAGCAGGAGGCAGACATCACTGTGTATATAAAGCACTAGTTCTTAGAATCACTCTAAAGGGAACCAGTCTCAGTGGCTCACACCTGTAATCTCAGCACTTTGGGAAGCTGAGGCGGGTGGGTCATTTGAGGTCAGAAGTTCAAGACCAGCCTGGCCAACATGGTGAAACCCCGTCTCTACTAAAAATACAAAAATTAGCCAGGCGTGGTGGTGCACTCCTGTAATCCCAGCTACTCGAGATGCTGAGACAGGAGAATTGCTTGAACCCGGGAGGCAGAGGTTGCAGTGAGCCAAGATTTCGTCATTGCACTCCAGCCTGGGTGACAAGAGTGAAACTCCATTTAAAAAAAAAAAATTGCTGTAAAGGGGAATTGTGTGTAAACCCACAGCTAGATCACTAATAGAAATGATTTCAAGACAAGCCTGAGCAACACAGTGGGACCCTGTCCCTACAAAAAATTTAAAAATTAGCCAGGCATGGTGGCATGCTCCTGTGGTCCCAGCTACTTGGGAGACTGAGAGATGAGAGGATCACCTGGACCCAGGAGGTAGAGGCAGCAGTGAACCATGTTCACACCACTGCACTCCAGCCTGGGTGACAGAGTGAGACCCTGTCTCAATTAAAAAAAAAAAAGAAAATAAAATAAAATAAAAGAAAGAAAAAGAAATGATGGACTGGGCACAGTGGCTCACACCTATTATCCCAGCACTTTGGGAGGCCGAGGCAGGTGGATCATGAGGTCAGGAGATCGAGACCATCCTGGCTAACACGGTGAAACCCCGTCTCTACTAAAAATACAAAAAATTAGCCGGATGTGGTGGCGGGCGCCTGTAGTCCCAGCTACTCGAGAAGCTGAGGCAGGAGAATGGCATGAACCCAGGAGGCGGAGCTTGCAGTGAGCTGAGATGGCACCACTGCACTCCAGCCTGGGCGACAGAGCCAAAAAAAAAAAAAAAAAAAGAAATGATATGAGGATATGCTTACTGAGGCCCTAGTGGGGGCAACTGGTATACACAGACCTCCCACAAAATATCATTTTGCAGAGTGAAAGTTATACTGTGTCTGTGCTAACATTGGGCTAAGATGTTGAAATAGGGCTGTTCTCCTATTTAGACTACACTTCAGAAGTGTGTTCATAAGCTAACACCTCACTTCTTTAAGGATGGTCTGTGGACCAGCAGCTTCCACATCTGAGAACTTTTTAGAAATGCAGAATTTCAGGCCTATCCCAGAGCTACTGAATTAGAATTTACACTTTACAACATCTGTAGGAGATTCCTGTATACAGTAAAATTTTAGAAGCATGGAGCTAAAGTAAAGATACACAGTCAGAAATTAGATCTGTCAGTATCATCTGGATAGATACCCAATCGTCCTTTTTGGCTGAGGCAGTTTAGCCTTATCCAGCAGCTGGTACATTTAATGTGTTCAGCCTGGGACCTAGGCACATCATTGAAAAAGATAGCCTGACTACCGCATAGGGACGGAGGTCCCTTTGCTGGAGCGCAGGCCCCATGTGTTCTGGGGCTCCTGGCTATCCTGCCACTACTGCTTAAATTGAAAGCTGGAAAAAGTAGAAGCCTAGCAGGCCGTAGAGAAAAAAACCACTTGGGGCCAAGTGGTGAGGAAAAAAGTGTGCTCTGCAGGAGCCTGGCAAGCAAGCTACCCCAGATCTAAGAAAAGAAGTATTCTTTCTCCTCCAGTGTCCCTCTAGCTCCCTCTACTGACAGGGCTTAACATCAAACTTCTGGCAAAGGAAAACAATTTAAAAGGTCCAGCCAGATGCATTTTTCACAGTGCAGGCAATAAAGGGTGAGTTTGGTGCTGCCAGGCAATACCTTAATAACTTGCATACTATAATGTACTTAACCAGTTCCCTAGTAGTGGACATTTTAGTGTTTCCCATTTTTCACCATTCTCAACAATGTTGAGTGACTGTAGACATATATATTCTCACACTTGAATGATTATTACACAAAAATTTTAAATTGAGGAGAGGGACATGAAGAGATTTGCATCCCATTCTTGGATTAATCAATCAAAGTAGGTCCTGGGATAAATTTGGCCAGAGAAAATGTGGAAATCAGCAGCAGCCTGGATTACTTAGAGATATCCAAGGGCTTTGTTAAGAGTTGGCCACAGTTGCTTTCTTAACAATCACTGTAGCTGCTAGGAAAAATTGTCTGTTTAAGAAGTCTTTAGGCCAGGCACAGTGGCTCATGCCTGTAATCCCAACACTTTGGGAAGCTAAGGCAAGAGGATCACTTGAGCCTAGGAGTTTGAGACCTGCCTGGGCAACATTGGGAGACTTTGTGTCTACAGATAAAATTAAAAATTAAAAAATTAGCAGGGAGGCTGGCCACGGTGGCTCATGCCTGTAATCCCAACACTTTGGGAGGCCGAGGCAGGCAGATCACCTGAGGTCGGGAGTTCGAGACCAGCCTGATCAACATGGAGAAACCTCGTCTCTACTAACAATACAAAATTAGCTGGATGTGGTGGTGCATGCCTGTAATCCCAGCTACTTGGGAGGCTGAGGCAGGAGAATCGCTTGAACCCAGGAGGCGGAGGTTGCAGTGAGTCGATTGTGCCATTGCACTGCAGCCTGGGCAACAAGAGTGAAACTGTCTCAAAAAAAAAAAAAAATTAGCAGGGCATTGTGGGACATACCTATAGTCCCAGCTACTCAGGAGGCTGAGGTGGGAGGATCTCTTGAGCCCAGGAGATTGAGGCTGCAGTGAGTCATGATTGCACCACTGCACTCCAGCCCGGGGACAGAGTGAGACTTTGTCTCAAAACAAAATAAAAAGAAGTCATTATAGGCTCAAGGATTCACTTCCCATCTCAGAATGGTCATCTAAGTCCAAGCTCTTAACCAGTCGAGCCTTTCCCAGTGTAACACACCCCTACCCAGCCACACCTAGGACCATCAGAGCTCTTTCAACTCCTTCAGGTTTATTTAATACCTGAGGAGGTGCATTTTTACTCTTAGGAGATTAATTTATTCCCCTTGGGAATATTTTTAAAATTGTATTATCATATTACACATAACATTTTATAGATGTTTGTAAACAGAATTAAAACTGTTGGCCAGGCACGGTGGCTCATGCCTATAGTCTCAGCACTTTGGGAGGCCGAGGCTGAGATCAGGAGTTCAAGACGAGCCTGGGCAACATGGTGAAACCCTGTCTCTACTAAAAATACAAATATTACCCAGGCGTGGTCCAGGCACCTGTAATGCCAGCTACTCAGGAGGCTGAGGCAGGAGAGTTGCTTGAACTCAGGAGGTGGAGGTTGCAGTGAGCCGAGATCATGCCATTGCCCTCAACCTGGGCAACAACTCCATTTCACACACACACACACACACACACAAAGTGTAGAAGGCCCCATTTTCTGCATGAAAGCCTTCTTTTTCCTGCTCACCCCCACCCCAGTTCCTACCTACAAATTCCTCAGTTCAGCCTATTGGTGTTCACTTCTTAAAGAAATATCTCAATCCATTAATCAAGTGAGCACCCACATTATGCCAGGAAATCTTTACAAAGATCCTGGAAAACTGGCATCATGATCATCATTTTATACACAAGGAAACGTATGGTCAGACACCTAAATGATTTGTCTGAGATCACAGCAGTAGCAATTAGTAAAGCTGGAATTTGACCTCAGATTTTCTAAGTCTAAGCCAAAGCCACTGCCATGTTGTAAAACATATATAGGCTGGGCACGGTGGCTCAAGCCGATAATCCCAGCACTTTGGGAGGCCGAGGTGGATGGATTGCCTGAGGTCAGGAGTTCAAGACCATCTTGGCCAACATGGTGAAACCCCGTCTCTACTAAAAATACAAAAAATTAGCCGGGCGTGGTGGCGTGCGCCTGTAATCCCAGCTACTCTGGAGGCTGAGGCACAAGAATTGCTTGAACCCAGGAAGTGGAGTTTGCAGTGAGCTGAAATTGCACCACTGCACTCCAGCCTGGGCGACAGAGTGAGACTCTGTCTCGAAAAAACAAACAAACAAACAGAAAACCCCATCATATATAAATAGTCTACGGGGCAAAGACCCAGTAGACTTGCTATCTTCTACATTGGCTTAAAAGGCCTCACCATGTGCTATGGTCGCTGAAGTCGCCTGTGAAAGCCCCTCCCTGTCTGTTCTGGTCCTGGTGGTCCTTCCTTCAGGGTCCCTTCCCACAGACATCTGAACACCTCTTCACACATACAGAGCCCCCTCCTAAGTCTTTGCCCCTCTGTCCTTTGGAGTTCTCAATCCTAGCCAGGTCTTACTAGAGAGGGGACAGAGGTTACTTCTGAGGGGATGAGCCCTTCCTTCCCAACATCTTTTGGAGCTATGACCCAGCTGAGAGATTAGCAAGCAGTGAGGATGTTGCCAACCTTTATGGAGCATCAGCTGAGAGTTAGGCCTTGCATGTGCAGAAGTACAAGATGTGGACCAACCGCCCTTGTTTTTGATTATTGATCCCCAGGAGCTGGCTACCCTTTTGTTTTCTTACACATTTTTTTTTTCTGATTACAAATTTACATAGACACACACACAGGTAAAAAGAAATTCAAATATTATCAAAATATATGACCAAATATCCTTGTAATATACCCCTCCCCCATCATTATTAACAGTTTAGCATATTATTTGTTTTGCATTTTAAAAAACTGTAATAGACTACTTTTAGAGTGGTTTCATATGCACAGCAAAATTGACCAGAAAGTACAGAGCTCCATAAGCCCCCTGCTTCCACTCACAGCCTCTCCACTGCCAACATTCCCCGCCATAATGGCACACGTGTTACAATCACTGAGCCCACATCCATGCATTGTTATCACCCAGAGTGTGTAGTTGGCACTAGGGCTCAGTTGTGGGGATGCACATTCTGTGTGTTTGGACAAATGTATAATGACATGTATCTACCATTATGGTATCACACAGAGCAGGGCTGCTGCCCTAAGTAACCTCTGGGCTCTGCCTCTTCATCCCACCCTCCCCCATCAACCCCTGGCAACCACTGATCTTTTCACTGTCTCCATAGTTTTGCCTCTGGACATATCCTTCCAGAATGTCATAGAGTTGGCTAGTACAGGAGGTAGCCTTTTCAGATTGGGGAGCTGAAGAACTTGCCCAAGGTCACCCATGATGTAACATCAGGCTACACTAAACATCAGGCTCTACTAAAAATACAAAAATTAGCTGGGCGTGGTGGCATGCATCTGTAATCCCAGCTACACAGGAGCCAGCCGATTTTTATATTTTTAGTAGAGACGGGGTTTCACCATGTTGGCCAGGCTGGTCTTGAACTCCTGACCTCAGGTGATCCACCAGCCTTGGCCTCCCAAAGTGCTGGGATTACAGGTGTGAGCCACCACGCCCAACCCAGATTGGCATATTTTAAATAATTTTTTGTCCTTAAGTATACATGATTCTTTGCTTATTATTAATTAAATAGAGATAATGGCAAATATATTGTTCAGCAACCTTGTTCAGGTAAAACTATTGGCTATATTTTCTTGTCAGTGTATATAAAATATAATGATAGTAATAATAATAGCTAATATGATTGAACATTCACTATGCACCACGTGCTGTTCCACTGTAAATGTTTTCCATGTGTGTTATGGGCTGAATTTGACCCGCTAAAATTCATATGTTGAAATCCTGACCCCCAGTACCTTGAGATGTGACTATATGTGGAGATGGGGTCTTTTGAGGAAATTAAATTAAAATGAGGTCATCAGGGTGAACCCTAATCCTATATGGCTGTTGTCCTTATAAGAAGAGAGTAGGGCACAGACATGCATAAAGCAAAGGTTCTGTGAAGACAGAGGGAGAAGACAGCCAGCAGCAAGCCCAGGAGAGAGGCCTCAGAAGAATCTAGCCCTGCCAACACCTTGATCTGGGACTTCCAGCCTCCAGAACTGTGAGGAAGTAAATTTTCCATGGTTAAGCCCCCCAGCCTATGGGCCTTTGTTATGGCAGCCGGAACAAACTGACACAGTGTGTAACTCAGTTCTTCTCACCAGAGTCTTGAGAGGTTAGCACTATTGTCCCCATTTTACAGGTGAGAAAACTGAGGAGCAGGGGAGCTGAAGAACTTGCCCAAGGTCACCGGTGATGTAACATCAGGCTAGACTAAGATATTCTGTGGGCCGGGCAGGCAGAGTGGCTCACACCTGTTATCCCAGCACTCTGGGATGCTGAGGCGGGCGGATCACGAAGTCAAGAGATCGAGACCATCCTGGCCACCATGGTGAAACCCCATCTCTACTAAAAATACAAAAATTAGCTGGGCGTGGTGGCACACACCTGTAATCCCAGCTACTCAGGAGGCTGAGGCAGGAGAACGGCTTGAACCTAGGAGATGGAGGTTGCAGTGAGCCAAGATCGCGCCACTGCACTGCAGCCTGGTGACAGATCGAGACTCCGTCTGAAAAAAAAAAAAGATATTCTGTGGCAAAGAACATCTGACATCTCAGCAGTTTCACACAACAAAGGTTTATTTCTCACGCACGCAGCAAGTCTGGCAAGGGTTGGGGTGGACACATGATCCCCCCGGTTACTCAGGGGTCCAGGCTGATGGAGCCTTCATCTCAACACCCTCTCCGCTCCCTGAGGTAGAGGAAAGGGCCTGTGGTGAATCTGGCATTGATTCCTGAAGCTCTGCTGCTCAGCTGAGGCAGGTCACGAGACCACCCCTGTCTTCAAAGGGTGCACGGAAGCACAGTCCCACAAGTGTGCTGAAGGACAGAAGAACCAGGCCTCACAGCGACTGGCGACCACACAGGGCAGGCAAACCCAGACACACTCCAAAGCCTGCACTCCTAACCTGTATTCACAATACAGCAGGGTGCTGTGCGGTGCAGAATTCACTTCCTCTGAAGAGAGGCCTGGCCTTTGTGCGTGTGGCTACTGAGAGGTGACTTGGGGGTCCCTGGAATATCCTGCCTTATAGTTATTTATTTGCCTGGAGTGCTTTTGCGATCAGACAACCATAATCATGTGATTTCTGGTGGGGGCTTTGGGACATGCCCTATCAGTTGCGACCTCCGGAGGGGCAGAGACTAAAAAGGTCAGCCATGCAAACAGTGTGTGATCAAGTCCCAGTAAGAACGAGGACATCAGAGGCTCAGCTGAGCTTCCTGGGCTGGCAGTCCTCCAGTGCATTGCCACACGTGGACACCAGGCCGGTAACCATTCCTGAAGACAGGAGCGCTGCACATGGGGATCCACTATGGTTTTCGCTTGAGGTGTCTCTTCCTTTGGCTGGTTCTGAGTTGTAGCCTTCCACTGTAACAAAGCTATAACCACAAATATAACACTTTCCAGAGTTCTGTGAGTCATTCTAGTGAATTATCAGACCTGAGGGTGGTCATGGGAACCCTAATTTGCAGCTAGCTGGTCTGAATGAGGGTGGCCCAGGGAGCCCCCAAACTTGAGGCTGGTGTCTGACTTGAGGACACTCTTGTGGCACCTATCTGCTCTGACTCATCGTGGCTGTTGTCTGCAGTCTTAGGCAGACTTGGCAGTCTGAAGGACTGTGCCCTTCACCTCGAGCTTGGCTAACTCATTTTCAGATAGAACCTTTTCTTTATTTTTTTCTCTTTTGTTTTTTTCCTTGTTTTCATTCATTCATTCTCTCTCTTTCTCTCTCTTCTCTCTCTCTATTTTATTTTATTTTTTCATACAGAGTCTTGCTATGTTGCCCAGACTGGTCTTAAACTCCTAGGCTCAAGCAATCTCAGCTTCTCAAGTAGCTGGGACCATGGGCATGTATCACCATGACTAGCTATACTTTCTTAATCATATGCCAGCTTTCCTCTCCAGTTTTTTCCACCACCTTCTCCACCCTCTCATATGATCCTTACAGGACTATGTTCTACAAACATCCCTGGCTCCTTCAGGCCTCAGTGACCTCACGTATGCTGTTTCCTCTGCTTGACTTACCCTCCCTGAGCTCCTCAGGGAGACTATTCACCATTCCAGAGAAAGCTTGGAAGCCACCTTTACTTCAAGGTTGTTCGTTCCCCCACCAGAAAGTGTTAGTCCTTCCTTTTACTCTGCCTCATACTTTGTACCAGCATGTCCTGTGGGCTTTCTGTTTGATTATCCAACAAAAGTAAATATACATAAAGACAATGCAAATGAGAAGGTGTTAGGACTGTTCTGCAGAGATGGCTCACAATGAGGTACACCTCGCAGTTCTCGTGTGTTTGTGCAGTCACCTCCCTCATTGAATCTGGACTGGCTGTGACTCATGTTACCTAATAGAATGTAGTGGGAATGATGCTGTGCCAATTCCGGACCTAGCTTTTAAAAGAAATGGCAGCTTCTGCTTTCTTTTTCTTGGGATTCTCCTTGGACCCAGCTGCCATTCTGTAAGGAAGCCCAAGCAGCCACATGGAAAGGCCACTTGGAGAGGAGAAGCCCTAAAACTATATGGGGAAGGAGAAAGACTCAGCCATTCCTTTATTACTGGCAAATTTCCAGATCACTTTAGCCCCATTTGCCATCTGACTGCAACTGCCAGAGACATACAAAACAAGACCAGCAGAACTGCCTAGTTGAGCTCAGTCAACCCACGGAATTATAAGAAAATGAAATGGTGGTTGTTTTAAGTCACTTAAGTTTTGGCCTTACAGATCATTAAGCTGGGAAGTCAGTAACACAAAGATACCCAATATCCTGGGTATTTCCACAGCATAGGCAAAAATCCAAGAGGACGGGAGATGAACATCGTGAGAGAGAAGTGTGCTTTCTGTGACACAGAAGGCAGTTCAGTTCAACAAATGTCCAGCTGGAAAGCCATCTCTTCTGGTTGTTCTTCCCTGGCCAACTAAATTTTTCAAGCACTTCATGATGTGTGTAGCTTAAGTAAGCCCTTTAGGTAAAACTTCAATTTATTAAAGAAGAAAGACAAAGTTGTCTGCATGGTGAAGACATAATGATATGTAGAATGAATAAATAAAATGATCAATATTTTATTCTTAAAAATATTTGACATTTTTTAGGTAACAGAGGCATAGTAGCTTTTACTATTTATTAGAAATATTATTTTAAATAAAAGTAATCATGTAAATACAAGACATTCTTCTCACTACCTTTAATATTGGGGGAAAAGTTGAGAGTTATTGGCCCTCCTCTGGATCACTTGGGAATGAGAGAATTTGTCTTCTACACTTTTGTTTTGAGGCGGAGTTTCGCTGTTAATGTCCAAGCTGCAGTGCAATGACACGATCTCCGCTCACTGCAACCTCCGCCTCCCGGGTTCAGGTGATTCTCCTGTCTCAGCCTCCCAAGATGGGACTACAGGCGCCCGCCACCATGCCCAGCTGTTTTCTACACTTTTAAGAATGAAACTCACACCCGTAATTCCAGTACGTTGGGAGGCTGAGGTACGTGGATTGCTTGAGACCAGGAGTTTGAGACCAGCCTGGGCAACACAGTGAGACCTTATCTCTACAAAAAAGTAAAAATTAGCCAGGTGTGGTGGGGCATGCCTGTAGTTCTAGCTACTCGGGAGGCTGAGGTGGGAGGATTGCCTGAGCCTAGTTCAAGGTTACAGTGAGCTGTGATCATGCCACTCCTCTCCAGCCTGGGCGACAGAGCAAAACCCTGCCTCTTTAAAAAAAAAGAGAGAAAGAGAGAGAGAGAGAATGAGAGAATTTTTTTCTCCTGCCCCAGGGCCTTTCTACTGTTAAAGGATGTTTCTACCTGCTGTTTGCTCTGCTCAGAGCCAAGTTTCCCTAAGATGGCTCACTCCCTAAATTCTTTTAAGTCCCTGCTCAGATGTCTCCTAATCAAAGAGAACTTCCCTGACCAGCTTTTCTTTTCTTTCTTTCTTTCTTTTTTTAAGAGATGGGTTCGGTTGGGCGCAATGGCTCACGCCTGTAATCCCAGCATTTTGGGAGGCCGACGCGGGTGGATCATGAGGTCAGGAGTTCAAGACCAGCCTGGTCAAGATGGCTGAAACTCCGTCTCTACTAAAAATACAAAAATTAGCCTGGTGTGGTGGCACTCGCCTGTAATCCGAGCTACTTGGGAGGCTGAGGCAGAGAACTGCTTAAACCTGGGAGACGGAGGTTGCAGTGAGCCAAGATCGCACCACTGCGCTCCAGCCTGGGCAACAGAGCAAGACTCCATCTCAAAAAAAAAAAAAAAAAGATGGGTTCTTGCTCTGTTGCCCAGCCTGGAGTGGAGTGGCACAGTCTGCAGCCCCCAACTCCAGGGCTCAAGGAATCTTCCTGCCTCAGCCTCCCTAGTAGCTGGGACCATAGGCACACCCCACCACACCCAGCTTCTGACCAGCCTCTCTGCCCCATTTTCCACCTTTTCTTCCTCCATCGCATTGTCCACTGTGTATATGCATTTGTTTGTTTCCTGGTCCCTTCCACAAGAGTTTGAGCTTCCTGAGAGCAGGGATTGTTTTGCTCACTGCTGTATTTCCAGTGCGGAGAACAGAGCTGACACGCAACTGACACTTAATAAATATTTGTCGAATAAATAGGGGGTGAAATATCTGAAAACTCTTGCTTCCAACTAAATAGAAATGCTGAGCAACACAGTGTACTTGATTCTTTTGCTTAGCATCCAATATCATTTCTGCCATTACAGTAAGTCTTTAAAAGTGGTTGGGTTTTCTAAATTCATTATATAATTACCCTCTTAAGGCTGAGTGAGCACTTAAAAATGCAATTCCTAAATTGTTTTTGCCTACATGATATCTCTGCTATTGATGTTATCATTTATCAAACACTGTGATGGGACATATTATTAAAACATATCTTAAAAGAAATTCAGGCTCTGATGAGCACTACGGCATAAAGCAAAGAAGAGTGGATTTGTGCCAGTCCTAGCCCTACCCCATGTGAGCCATATGGCCTTAGCAAAGCCACTTAATCTCTTTGATATTTTTCTCTTTAGCTATAAAACGCAGATACTCTGCTAAGTCAGCCCAATAAGAGATGTTGTGAGGGTCGAATAAGAAAATACATAGAAGAGCTTTGAACACCTGCAAAGCATCATGAAGGGTTATGATTATATCAAAATAATAGTAAGTCATCAACTTTTGAGCACCTGATATAGCCAGGGAATTCGGCAAGAGCTCTGGAGCCATCTTTATCTAAACTCCCAGACAAGCTTTCCATGTAGTTGCGGGGGATGGTGAACAGTATGCACACAAAATACGTGCACATCTTGGCCCGGCACAGTGGCTCATGCCTGTAATCCCAGCACTTTTGGAGGCCAAGGTAGACAGATCTCTTGAGGTCAGGAGTTCAAGACCAGCCTGGCTAACATGGTGAAGCCTTTAGTAGAAGTCTCTACTAAAAATACAAAATATTATCTGGACGTGGTGGCGCACACCTGTAATCCCAGCTACTCAGGAGGCTGAGGCAGGAGAATGGCTTGAATCCAAGAGGCAAAGGTTGCAGTGAGCCGAGCTCATGCCTTGCACTTCAGCTTGGGTGACAGAGCAAGACTCCATCTCAAAAAAAAAAAAATTTGCACATGTGTCTAATGACACTACATTAGATTCTAAAATGTACCTCAGATAAAAATGTAATTCTTGAGGATTGGCTGACTCAAACTGTATCTTGGCATGCTAATTTATACCAAAAGGGACAGATTGAACCATAGACCCTATGTACTAGACACCTACCAATTAGAGACTACCCTTTTGTGTGTGTATGTGTGTGTATCCCCTCTGGGTCTTATTCTTTTGTCCATATTGCTTTTTAAAAATTATATAGGCCAGGCACTGTGGCTCAAGCCTGTAATCCTAGAACTTTGGGAGGCTGAGGCAGGCGGATCACCTGAGGTCAGGAGTTCAAGACCAGCCTGGCTGGCCGGGCATGGTGGCTCACACCTGTAATCCCAGCACTTTGGGAGGCTGAGGCGGGCAGATCACGAGGTCAGGAGATCGAGACCATCCTGGCTAATACGGTGAAACCCTGTCTCTACTAAAACTACTAAAACCCCGTTTCTACTAAAAATACAAAAATTTAGCCAGGTGTGGTGGTGGGCGCCTGTAGTCCCAGCTACCCGGGAGGCTGAGGCGGGAGAATGGCGTGAACCCGGGAGGCGGAGCTTGCAGTAAGCCGAGATTGCACCACTGCAGTCCAGCCTGGGAGACAGAGCAAGACTCCTCTCAAAAAAAAAAAAAAAAAAAAAAAACAAAAAAAAAAACAGTCGGGCGCGGTGCCTCACGACTGTAATCCCAGCACTTTTGGAGGCCAAGACAGGCGGATCACGATCAAGACCATCCTGCTAACACGGTGAAACCCCGTCTCTACTAAAAATACAAAAAATTAGCCAGGCCTGGTGGTGGGCGCCTGTAGTCCCAGCTACTCGGGAGGCTGAGGCAGGAGAATGGCATGAACCCGGGAGGCAGAGCTGGCAGTGAGCCGAGATTGAGCCACTGCACTCCAGCCTGGGCGACAGAGCGAGACTCCGTCTCGAAAAAAGAAAAAAGATAATATTATTACCTCCTTAAAAGCAGAGAAAGCCTTTGGAAAAAAATCCACATACATTCGTCATAAAGCACTCAGGAAGATAGGAATTAAAAAATACGTTCTTAACATAATTGAATGTTATTCCTAAAATTAGTTTCTTATTTAATGGGGATACACTATAGGGAATTCTAGCATTGGAAATAAGGCAAGGATGTTCACTATCCACTACTTTTCAACATTGTATTGGAGGTGTTAACTACTATGATTAGATGACAGAAATCAATTACAGGTTGAGCATCCCTAACCTGAAAATCCAAACTTGAAAATGCTCCAAAATCTGAAACTTTTCGAGTGCTCACATGATGCCAGAAATGGAACATTCCACACCTGACCTCATGTGATAGGTTGCAGTCAAAATGCAGTTGCACAACATGGTTTATTCAGCATCCCCAACAGAAAAAAAGACCCTCCCGGCCCCTTTCAGCTGTGGTATATCTTTTCTGTGCATGCCCAGATTACCCCCCAACAAGCGTGCCTGTAAAGGGTAATAAAATTGTACATATGCAGCTGGATGCACCAATGGCAGGTTCCCCACAATGCCCCATATAGGGCCAAGACCTATGTGCATTACTCACTGTGTTTTTTTTTTTTTTTGCTTATTCTCTGCTCTGTGTTTAAAGATATTGTTGGAAATGCCAAAAAGATACCCCTATGGGTAACAGTGATAAGAAAAAAAAGAAGCACTTATGTTTATCTATAGCACAGAAAGTCATGCTGTTGGAAAAATTGGATGGCGGTGGAAGTGTGAAATGCCTTACAGAACAGTATGGTGTTGGAATGACCACCATATGTGACCTGAAGAAACAGATGGATAAACTGTTGAACTTCTGTGCTAAAAGTGATGGATAGAAGTTAATGAAAAATAGAAAAACACTGCAAAGCTGAAAATGAAGATCTTGATCATGTATTGAAAGAGTGCATCCATTAGCATTGCAGTGAGCATATGCCACTTAATGGCCTGCTTATCATGAGACAAGCAAAGATCTATCACGATGAACTGAATATTGAAGGGAACTGTGAATATTCAGCAGGCTAGGTGCAGATTTAAGAGAAGACACAGCATTAAATTTTTTTAAAGATTCGTGGTGATCATGAAGCAGCAGAGAAATTAACTAGTGTGCCAAGGTCATTGCTGATGAAAATCTGACAGCAGAACAAGTCTATAATGCTGATGAAACATTATTGTTTTGCTGTTATTACCCCAGAAATACATTGACTACAGCTGGTGAGACAGCCCCTACAGGAATTAGGGATGCCAAGGACAGAATAACTATGTTGCAATGTGCTCATGCAGCAGGCACACATAAATGTAAACTTACTGTGACAGGCAGGTGAAAAAGCTTGCTGTTTTCAAGGAGTGAATTTTTTACCAGTCCATTGTTCTGCTAACAAAAAGGCAGGGATCATCAGGGACAGCTTTTCTAATTGTTTTCACAAACATTTTGTACTAGTGGCATGTGCTCACTGCAAAGAAACTAAACTGAATGAGGACTGTAAGATTTTGTTATTCCTTGATACCGATTTTGCTCATTCCCCAGCTGAAATTTTCATCAAAAATGTTTGTGTCGGCTGGGTGCGGTGGCTCACGCCTGTAATCCCAGCACTTTGGGAGGCCAAGGCAGGTGGATCGCCTGAGGTCAGGAGTTCGAGACCAGCCTGGCCAACATGGTGAAACCCCATCTCTACTAAAAATACAAAAAAATTAGCTGGGCGTGGTGGCACATGCCTGTAGTCTCAGCTACCTGGGAGGCTGAGGCAGGAGAATCGCTTGAACCCAGGAGGTGGAGGTTGCAGTGAGCCGAGATCGCTCCACTGCACTCCGGCTTGGGCGACAGAGCATGACTCCGTCTCAAAAAAAAAAAAATATATATATATATATATGTGTGTGTGTGTGTGTATATATATACACATATATACATATATACATACATATATACATATATACATACATATATACACATATATACATACATATACATATATACACACATATACATACATATACATATATACATATATACACACACATACATATATACATATATACATATATACACATATATACATATATACATATATACACATATATACACACATATACATACATATACATATATACGTATATACACATATATACATATATACATATATACGTATATATACATATATACATATATACGTATATATACATATATACATATATACGTATATATACATATATACATATATATACATATATACATATATATACATATATACATATATACATATATACGTATATGCATATATATACATATATACATATATATACATATATATACATATATACACATATATACACAATATACATACATATACATATATACACATATACATATATATACATATATACACATATACATATGTACATATATACATATATACATATGTACATATATACATATATACATATATACATATATATACATATATATATGTAGTCTGTGTCAGAGCTGGAAGAAGTGGATATTCAAGACGTTTTTAATGAGCCTTGTTCCTTCACTAACTGAGGGTGAAATATCTGAGTTGGTTCTGAACCAAGGTGATCGTGATAACAGTGACAGTGAAGATGATGATGTTAACACTATAGAAAAAGCACCTATAGAGGACCTGGTGAAAATGTATGATGGGCTTATTGAAAACTAGGGCAGTGTGCATTCACAACCAAACAAGAAATCATGTCAATTCATAAAAATCAAGAGAGACGTCTAAGACAGAAACTGGCCGGGGTGATGGCTCATGCCTGCAATCCCAGCACTTTGGGAAGCCGAGGCGGGTGGATCACCTGAGGCTGGGAGTTCGAGACCAGTCTGACCAACATGGTGAGACCCCGTCTCTACTAAAAATACAAAATTAGACAGGCGTGGTGGCACATGCCTGTAATCCTAGCTACTCAGGAGGCTGAGGCAGGAGAATTGCTTGAACCTGGGAGGTGGAGGTTGCAGTGAGCCAAGATCGCGCCATTGCACTCCAGCCAGGGCAACAAGAGTGAAATTCCATTTCAAAAAAAAAAAAAAAAGACAGAAACTGTTGTTAATGAGGCAGATGATGCTGAATGAAACATTTTCAAAAGCCATCCAGCAGATGCCTCCTCACCCCTATGGGACCCACTTCCTGATCCTTTAACTGCTACTGATGTTTTTTTTTTTCACTGAAAAAAAGAAGATACAGTGTACAGCCTTTCAATCAAAAGGTAGTATCATAGGTAGAGACCAGAAGCTGCTGTTGTTTAGCCACTGATGCAGGTATCTGGTGATGCTATCTTGGGTGCCCTGAACACATTATTTTTTCACTGCATTAATGAAATGTCATATTTTTTACTGGTAAGTACGTATGTGTGAGTTTAAGAAAATGATTGGTTATTGGTATCATATAAATGCAGAGTCAGGAAGCATGGGGATGTCCACATTGGTGGCTGAGATAGTGACATCTTCGCCTCTGATGGTTCAACATACACACACCTTTATTTTTATTTAAAACGTTGTATACAATTACCTTCAGGCTACGTGTATAAGGTGCACATGAAATGTAAATTAACTTCATGTTTAGATTTAAGCCTCATCCCCAAGATATCTCATTATGTATATGCAAAAATTCCATAATCCAAAAAAATCTGAAATCCCAAACACTTCTGGTCCCAAGCTACCTGGGAGGCTGAGGCAGGAGAATCGCTTGAACCTGGGAGGTGGAGCTTGCAGTGAGCCGAGATTGCGCCAGTGCACTCCAGCCTGGGCGACAGAGCAAGACTCTGTCTCGAAAAAACAAAAAACAGAAATCAAACAAACAAACAAAAACCCAGGCAAACAGACTGGTAGAACAGAATGTAAAGTTAGACCCAAATACATATGGAAACTTAGTATATGAAAAAGGTGGCATTTCAGATCACAAGGATAAAGATAAATTTTTAAATAAAGTCATGTGATAAAAATTTCATGAATGAAGTCAAAAGACAACTGATGACAGCTTGGGAGAAAATATTCACAACATATACTACAGACAAAAGGGCAATGTTCTCATATATATAGAATTCTTAAAAAAAATTAAGAGACAGCTTGGCACGGTGGATCACGCCTATAATCCCAGCAGTTTGGTAGGCTGAGGTGGGTGGATTGCTTGAGCTGAGGAGTTTGAGGCCAGCCTGAGCAACAAGGCGAGACCATGTCTGTATCAAAAAAGATGCAAAACTTAGCTGGGCATAGTGTTGTGCACTTGTAGTCCCAGCTATTTGGGAGGCGAAGGTGGGAGGATTGCTTATGCCCGGGAGGTTGAGGCTGCAGTGAGCCATGATTACACCACTGCACTCCAGCCTGGGTAACAGAGTGAGTGCAGCTGCTTTGGAAAAGTTAAGTCGGATCCCCAAAATGTTAAACCCACGGCTGCTCTATGACCCAGCAATTCCACACCTAGGTATAACCAAAAATAAAAATAAAAACATATATCGACATAAAAACAGACACACGAATGTTCACAGCACCACTGTTCATAATAGGCAAAAAGTGGGAGCCACTTAAATATCCATCAAGTGATGAATAGATAAGCAAAATATAGTATAGCTATACAATGAAATATTATTTCTCCGTAGAATGGAGAAAGGATTCTCCATTGGCGCCCAGCCAATTTCGTAATTCTGACCAATTCGGAATTATGAAAAACAAGGGGCTGGGTGTGGTGGCTCACGCCTGTAATCCCAGCACTTTGGGAGGCTGAGGCGGGCGGGTCACGAGGTCAGGAGTTCGAGACCAGCCTGGCCAATATAGTGAAACCCCATCTCTACTAAAAATACAAAAAATTAGCCGGGCTTGGTGATGGGTGCCTGTAATCCCAGCTACTTGGGAGGCTGAGGTGGGAGAATCGCTTGAACCCGGGACACAGAGGTTGCAGTGAGCCGAGATGGCACCATTGCACTCCAGCCAGGGCAATAGTGTGAGACTTTGACTCAAAAAAAAAAGGAAAAACAAGGAGCCACTGAGCCACTGAAGAACTGTTACTCACTGCAGGGAACTAAGGACAAATAATCCCTAAATGCTATGTAAGATCCAGACAGGATCTTGGAACAGAAAAAAAGACATTAGTGGAAAAAAAGAAAAAGATTAAAATAGAATAAGGGGTGTAGTTTAATAAATAATATGGTACACATGTTAATTTCCTGGTTTTGATACGTGGTTGTGGTAATATAAGATGCCAGCATTAGGGGAAGTTGAGTGAGGTATGTGTGAAAAATTTACTATTTTTGCAACTTTTCTGTAAGCCTCAAATAATTCAGAGTAAAAAGTAAAAGACAGAATATCAGAAAAACAACAATAATTGTACTGACAACCCACTCTCCAAAGTTGACCTCTGACACACAGAAGTGAGGAGGAATAGAATTTAAACTAAAAATGTCTATGTCCTTACTTACCTTAATTAAATGGCAATAAACATGATGAAATACCACAGTGGAAAGTCTTCCTGGATGTAAAATGTACTGACTACCTTTGGCACAAGCTTACAACTAGGGCACTCGAGATACCCGCAGATCCTAAGTGTGATAAAACGGGAAGCTGTCCCAAGAGTCAGTTCAATGACCTCTTATAAGACTTAAGTGCTTCTTGAAAGTATTATGAATCTGCTGTCCTAATTAAACTGCTTCATTTAAATCTACTTTGGATTTTATTCTAACAAGTCAAATTAGTATAATTTACAGTGTAGAGCCACATATTATTTTAAAGTTGATTCCATATCCAGCTGATAATTGATCATTGTGGGTCTAAGATAATGAAACTGATGTTTTTGTGGAGCATAAGAGAACCAATATTAGTACCTCACAGTCACTCAGTCAGTTAGTCATTTTCTTTTTCCTTTCTTTCTTTCTTTTTTTTTTTTTTTTGAGACAGAGTCTCCCTCTGTTGCCCAGGCTGGAGTGCAGTGGTGCAATCTCAGCTCATTGCAACCTCCGCCTCCTGGGTTCAAGCGATTCTTCTACTTCAGCCTCCCGTGTAGCTGAAACTACAGGTGTGCGCCACCACGCCTGGCTAATTTTTGTATTTTTAGTAAAGATAGGGTTTCACCATGTTGGCTAGGATGGTCTTGAACTCCTAAACTCATGTGATCAGCCTGCCTCGGTGTCCCAAAGTGCTGGGATTACAGGCAAGAGTCACCTGGCCCACTCAGTCACTTTCAAGATTACAGAAGGGTCAAATGGTCCAACCTCCAGATCCTTGAAGACAGTGGGGGTGTCAAGGAATGCTTAGAAGATGGGTCAGTCCCCCAAATCACCACCTGTGTCACCAAAAGCAATTCCAGAGGTGAGCAATAATAGTAGAATTCATTTGTAGGAGTAACAGAAACTTTCTCAATCTTGTGTAAGTTTTGCAAAAGTATTTACTATTTACTATTTTGTATTGGTACATAACTTATACTTTAAGTAAAAACATCATGCTTGTAGTTAGGCTCCATGGAGTCCCAGCTACTTAGGAGGCTGAGGCAGGAGGATTGCTTGAGGCCAGGAGTTTGAAGCTGCAGGGAGCTATGATGTGCCTGTGAATAGGCACTGCACTCAAGCCTGGGTAACATAGTCCTCATCTCTTAAATTAAAAAATTATATATATATGTACATATATACACACACACATATATATATGTACATATATATACTTGCTATGGAAAGATAGTTTCAAGGCAAGTCCTTGGGACAGCCTTCTGAATCGGACTGTCATTCCCAAGCTGTCTCACTGACAATTCTGGAGGCCCAAAGTCCCTATATTACTAGGAATGTGGTGATCTCAGGTTGAAGGAGGTTTGGTAGGTTATCCCTAATGTGGTTAAGCAGCTAAAAATGATTTGTTTATAGTTAGTCAAGTTATCTGTTAGCCAAGAAGATTTTACCGTGCTCCCATGAGGGGAAGACTACCTTATCTGAGGTTTACGTGGGCCCCAAGTTTAAAGTTTGGGTGATATTTTAGTCCTCTTGTTACAAAATGTCTTTTGTGGGACTCAGTCACATAGCAGGGCCTGTGCAAACTTGCAACTGTGCCCTGGAGCAGCGGTCTCCAACCTTTTTGGCACCAGGGACTCGTTTTGTGGAAGACAACCTTTCCACAGATGGAGAGAGGAAAGGGAATGGTTTTGGAGTGAAACTGTCCCGCCTCAAATTACCAGGCATTAGATTCTCAAAAGAAGCACACAACCTAGATCCCAGATCCCTCACATGCGCAGTTCACAACAGGGTTTGTGCTCCTATGAGAATCGAAAGCCACCGCTGGTCTGACAGGATGCAGAGCTCAGGCAGTAATACTTCTTTATCGCTGCTCAGCTCCTGCTGTGTGGCTGGTTCCCAATAGGCCACACAGTCCACGGCCCGGGGGTTGCAAACCTGTGCCCTGGAGAACATGTCTTTCAGCATCTCTTCAACATGTGGCACTGGAGTTAACAGCCTGGCACCACAGGAGGGCATTCACACTCCCAGACTGTGAGGGTGTTAATGGCCCAATTCTTCACTCTCCCTTGTATCCACACCCTCAGCCAAGTAACTTTGCAGTGTCCTCCCACCTAACATCAGGGCATAATTCTCCAGTCTTGGGCTGAGCCATGTGGCTTGTTTGGCCAATGGGATGTTAGCTGATGTAAAGCAAGCTGCTAGGAATGCATCGTTAGTCCTAGTTAAGTGGGGGAGAGATGAGAATTAGATTGAGGACTGCCTATAATCCAGTGCTTTGGGAGGCTGGGGGGAGGAGGATTGCTTGAGGCCAAGAGGTGGAGACCAGCCTGGGTAACATAGTGGTACCCGTTTCTACAAAAAATTAGTCAGGTGTGGTGGTGCGTGGCTATAGTTCTACCTACTCAAGAGGCTGAGGTGGGAGGATCACTTGATCCTCACTTGAGATTGCATTGTATCTCTCATCAATAAAACCAAATGCTGGGGTCCGGCACCATGGCTCATGCCTGTAATCCCAGCACTTTGGGAGGCCAAGGTGGACGGATCACTTGAGCCCAGGAGTTGGAGACCAGCCTAGCCAACATGGTGAAATCTCATCTCTACTAAAAATACAAAAATTAGCTGGGTGTGGTGGCGCATGCCTATAGTCCCAGCTACTCGGGAGGCTGAGGCTGGAGAGTAGCTTTAACTCAGGAGGCAGAGGCCGCAGTGAGCTGACATCTTGCCACCGCACTCCAGCATGGGCGACAGAGCTAGACTCCCTCTCAAAAACATAAAAAATAAAAATGGGCCAGGCGCGGTGACTCATGCCTGTAATCCCAGCACTTAGGGAGGCCGAGGCGGGCGGATCACAAGGTCATGAGATCGAGACCATCCTGGGTAACACGGCGAAACCCCATCTTTACTAAAAATACAAAAAAAATTAGCCGGTCGTGGTGGCAGGCGCCTGTAATCCCAGTTACTCAGGAGGCTGAGGCAGGAGAATGGTGTAAACCCGGGAGGTGGAGCTTGCAGTGAGCCGAGATCGCGCCACTGTACTCCAGCCTGGGCGACAGAGCGAGACTCCATCTCAAAAAAAAAAAAAAAGTGTGTGTGTATGTGTGTGTGTATATATATATATACACATATATATAAAATTAAAAATAAAATATTTTATATATATTATATATTATATAATAAATATATAATATTTAATTAATATATAATATATTATATATTATATATAATAATTAATACATATTATATTATATATTTATATACACATAATTAATATATTATAATAATTAATATATAATATTTAATATATTTATATATAAATGTGTATATATATATATATATATAATTAAAAATAAAAACAAAGTGAAACAAAAAACCTTGCTTTTTTTTGTTGTTGTTGTTGTTATTTTGAGATGGAGTCTCACTCTGTCGCCCTGGCTGGAATTCAGTGGCGTGATCTAGGCTCACTGCAACCTCCGCCTCCTGGGTTCAAAAGACTCTCCTGCCTCAGCCTCCCCAGTAGCTGGGACCACAGGCGCATGCCACCATGCCCAGCTAATTGTTTTTGGATTTTTAGTAGAGATAGGGTTTCACCATGTTGGCCAGGATGGACTTGATCTCCTGACCTCAGTTGATCCATCTGCGTTGGCCTCCCAAAGTGCTGGGATTACAGGTGTGAGCCACCACCCCTGGCCTGCTATGTTTTACATAGACTTTAATAACTGCTGCTTTGTCTTACTTCAATTTTATCTTGAAACTTTAAAATACATTTTTTTTAAAACGGGGTTTGAGGTTTCTATCTTTATCAGAAGGGGTATATATATGTAAAATATATATATACATATATATAAAATATATATATATACATATATACATATATAAAATATATATATCTACTTATATATATAAAATATATATATATCTACTTATATATATAAAATATATATATATATCTACTTATATATATATATATTTTTTTTTTGAGATGGAGTCTCGCTCTGTCGCCCAGGCTGGAGTGCAGTGGCGTGATCTCCACTCACTGCAACCTCCACCTTCCGGGTTCACGCCATTCTCCTGCCTCAGCCTTCCGAGTAGCTGGGATTACAGGCGCCCGCCACTACGCCCGGCTAATTTTTTGTATTTTAAGTAGAGACGGGGTTTCACCCTGTTAGCCAGGATGGTCTCAATCTCCTGACCTCATTCATGATCTGCCCACCTCGGCCTCCCAAAGTGCTGGGATTATAGCTGTCAGCCACCGCGCCCAGCTGAAGGGGCCTATATTTTTAAGAGTTGAAAATGCTACTTTAGTAATATAGTAAGTATCCTGAGATAGGTTTCAGTATTTTTCAGATTTAGTATGTATTGTTGTTACCGGAAAGGGGTCCTGATCCAGACCCCAAGAGAGGGTTCTTGGATTTCTCACAAGAAATAATTCAGGGCGAGTCCGCAGTGCAGAGTGAAAGCAAGTTTATTGAGAAAGTAAAGGAATAAAGAATGGCTACTCCATAGGCAGAGCAGCCCTGAGGGCTGCTGGTTGCCCATTTTTATGGTTATTTCTTGATGATATGCTAATCAAGGGGTGGATTATTCATGCTTCCCCTTTTTAGACCATATAGGGTAACCTTCTGACGTTGCCATGGCATTGTAAACTGTCACGGCGCTGGTGGGAGTGTAGCAGTTGAGGAGGACCACAGGTCACTCTCATGGCCATTTTGGTTTTGGTGAGTTTTGGCCGGTTCCTTTACTGCAACCTGTTTTATCAGCAATGTGTTTATGACCTGTATTTTGTGCTGACCTCCTATCTAATGCTGTGACTTAGAATGCCTTAACCGTCTGGGAATGCAGCCCAGTAGGTTTCAGCCTCATTTTACCCAGCTCCTTTTTAAAATGGAGTTGCTCTGGTTCACAGGCCTCTGACATTATGGGCTGTTAATATCTGAGACAGAACAAAGACATCAGGAATATGATCCATACACTTCAGACAGCTTCTTCATTGCATGAAAATGGAGCCAAACAAGCAAAGATCTGGTATGACCTCAGCTTTGCTCCTGGAATCACCTTCTGCCCAGTTCACACATTCCTGGCATGTCTTTCATTCTCTTGGGGAAGAGAGCAAGTGGAGTTGCCAGGTTACTGTTGATGAAGGGCAATTTTTAGAAGCAGAAAGTCAGCATCCTGTGCTGGATGATTCATCTTGCCCTCTGGGGCATGCTCTGAATGTTAAACAGTAACTATTTGTTGGTGATTAATCTGTTGGATTTTGCTCAACCCCTAATTCGAGTGTCCATGATGGATAGATCACTTTTTTCTTTACACTACTTGTCAAGTATAAAACAGATGGATAACATTTCCCTTCCAACTGATTCAGAAAAATATGTTTTTTGGTATTAAACTGTAAAAACAAAATGTATGTTTACTAAATTAGGTGAAAGTAGGGCTGAACTTTCAACTTTCTAGATCAACCATTACAATATGAAATTTGCCCCTAAACCCTGAAAGTTTTGGAATATGAGAAACGGGACCGAGAAATGTGTGAGTCCCATTTTTCAGCCTTTTCCTCCTTTTGCTCAGCAGACACTGAATATAATCCACAGGCAGTACAGACTTATTCTTCCAAAGGATTTATTATGTAATCTTGTACAAGCCTCAACTTTTCTCATTTATAAAATGGGAAAAATATCTTCCTTACCCAATTGTTGAGTGAACTGTGAAACATCCATATGTATTATTGTGTATCAGTACATATATGCTATTTTTGTAGTAGGCCTCCAGAAAATGGAGGCTATATACTGTTTCATTTCTTAAAAGGATACTTTCACTTGGTTCAAAGTTCAAAAGATAGTTATATATTGTATTTCTTGAAATCTTTTCACTTCTGTTCCCAGCCACACAATTTCCCTCCATGATCCATGTTTCTTTTGCATCTTGCCAGATATTTTATGTACGTCTAAAAGTAAAAACGTATTTTCCCCACTTTAACAATTTTACATAAAATCACACTATTGCTTGTTTTGCCTTTTAAAATAAAAATACATTTTTGAAATTGTTCATATCAGTACAGTTTCCTTTATTTGTTTTTAAACAATTGTGGCTTAATTTAGTCATAGCTGTGCATTTGTGTGTCTTTCACAGAGAGAAAAGCTATTCAGCTTAGTTATCTGTTATTATACAGTCGTGTTCTAACTTAATTACCAATCCTAACCCTTAACCAATGGATATTCATTCATCCATTCAGCAAATATTTATTGAGCCCCTACCGCGAATCAGGCGGTGCCTGGGAATCTGTATTCCCAAGAACAAAACGCAGCTCCCCAGGCCACATCTAGCGGGTAGGAAGCCGGGCAACCCCTCCGCCCGGTCCTTCCTCTGCAGCCTGCGAGCCCCACCCGGGCCGCGGTCGGCGCCAGCCAGGCGGGGCTGGGGCGGGGCGGGCAGAGGACGTTGGGGCTCCGCGCGTCCCGGCGCGAGTACTAGGACGCGGCCGGGGCAGGTGGGGGCCGAGCAAAGTAGGGCGCTGCCCCGACTCCCGGAGCAGCCGCTCGGTAGAGCGGGGTCGCCGGGGTGGGGAGATCCCCGAGGCAACTTCGGGGCATCAGTCCAGGGTGAGAGTGTCTACTCTCGCCCGGCTCTTGTGGCCTCCGCGCCGCGAGCGGCCCGCAGGGACTTCGGAGGCCACTTCCTGGACTCTCCCCTTTCCACAGATGGGGAACCGGAGGCCCACAATCGGCCCGGAGGAGTCAGGGCGGTGCTGACAGGGCTGGTTCACAGAGCGTGCAACAGCTGAGCAGACGGAACTCGATTAAGAAACCAGGCACGCCGGGTGCCCATCAGGACCTCGGGCAGCAGAGACTCCAGCCGCCGGGCGGGTGGTGGGACCGAGGGCGGGGCGGGCGGCGGGGCCCCAGCCCTTTAAACTCCCTGCGCGCGGGAACCGCGGCCCAACAACCAACGGCGGGCGGGGCCGAGCGGGGCGCGCGCCTCCACCGCCCAACGATCACCACCCCCCCCGACCCCGCCCCGCCGCTGTCCAATCAGCCGCCCTCTTGCCGCCCTCCCCGCCGCCCTTGTCTCCCTGGCCCGGACTAACCACGCGGAGGGACGGCGGGGCGGGGCGGCAGGCGGGTGTGTCCGGGCGAGTGGAGACGCCGCGCGCTCCACTGGAGTTTCGAACGCTGTTGGCCCTCCAGACAGAAAAAAATATAAGAGCGGCGGCCAATGGCGAGGTGGGAAGGACCCGCGCGCAGACCCGGCCCCGCCCCGGCCGGCTGGAAAGAAGGCCAGGCCTGGCCATTGGCTCGCGCCGCCTGTCACTCGCCGGTGCGGCCAGCGGGCAGCGGCCTCGCGGTGACTGGTTCCGCCCAGGCGCGAAATGTAACGCGGGAAAAGCCGGGGCAGGCACCGCGGCGGCAGGTTGTTATTTTTGGGGGCTCAGCGCCGCGCGTCCTGCTTTCCTGTCACCGCAAGGGCCGGGCCGCCCGCTGCTTCCCACCCCTGCAGCCTGCGCTGCGGAGTACAAAGAGCGGAGGGCGCGCTTGACCTGGGGCTGGGGTCCAGCCCTGCCCGCCGGTGCCGTCTGCTCAACTAGTTAGGTGGCTGCTGCGCAGGATTCCGGGAAACGTCAGTCTGCCATGAGCCGGCAGGACTGAGCCTGCGACTCGGAGCAGAGCGAGTGAGGGGCAGAGCGGTGCTCAGGAGTGCGGCCCGGGGCCGCCGGAGCTGGGGGTCGGGCCGGGCGATGATCCGGGGCTTCGAGGCGCCCATGGCGGAGAACCCGCCGCCGCCGCCGCCGCCCGTCATCTTCTGCCACGACTCCCCGAAGCGGGTGCTGGTGTCGGTCATCAGGACGACCCCGATCAAGCCAACGTGCGGCGGTGGAGGGGAGCCGGAGCCGCCGCCGCCGCTCATCCCCACCAGCCCCGGCTTCAGCGACTTCATGGTGTACCCGTGGCGCTGGGGCGAGAACGCACACAACGTGACGCTCAGCCCTGGGGCCGCGGGGGCCGCCGCCTCGGCCGCCCTGCCTGCAGCCGCAGCCGCCGAGCACTCGGGGCTTCGTGGCCGGGGCGCGCCCCCGCCCGCCGCCTCGGCCTCCGCCGCCGCCTCGGGAGGTGAGGACGAGGAGGAAGCGAGCAGCCCAGACAGCGGCCACCTCAAGGTGAGCGGCGCGGGCGGGCGGGCGGGCGGGACGTGGGGCAGCCGGGGCCCGTTAACGGTGCGGCGGGCGGGGCGGAGTTGAAAACGCGAGGTCGATCCGGCTACGGCGGGGGCTGCGGCTGACAGGATGCTGACGTCACTGCCGCGCGCCAAAAACCGGCCCCAGTCGGGGGGGGCCTGTCACGTGACAGGCGGGAGCGGCGCGGGAGACCGTCCTTGCGGCAGGTGCAGTGGGCGGGAGCGCGGCCCGGGGTCGCTGGGGAGGCCGGGTCAACGGCCACTGACATCCTCCCGGCGGGCTGCCGAGTCCTCAGTTCCGAGAGGAAACGAGAGGGATGAGGGCCTTGAGTTGTTCCACCGACTGCGAGAGGGCAGGGAGCGCACAGTGTTTGCTCCATTACTGCAGATCGCCCTCGCCCTGTTAAAAGATGCCCTGCAGAGACAGCCGAAGAGCAAGAAAGGACTTCTGGGCCTGTTCTGCGGCTGAAGTTGTGCCTTCGCTGCCTTTCATTTATCCAGCATACTACTTGCTAGGTGTTGAGAGCACATAGTGGAATGGGACGCTAAAATTGCTTGCAGTCTCCGACTGCTTAAAGCTGGGAAGGTCGTTACCACTGGTTCAAACCTATTTTACAGATCAGGCAGCTGGGGCTTACAGTGATTAGTGAGGCGACCTTCCCACGATGGCACAGCTCAGTAGTGGAAGAGCGGGGACTAGGTCGAGGTTTTGTGGCTTTTAGTCCTGCATGTGTTTGGGGTGACTTTCTGCTGACTTATACTGAACTCTGTAGACTGTAAGCTCCAGGTGAGCCAGGAGTATTTCTATCTAGAAGACTATATGACTTTACTACCTTACATTCTGTAAATGCTCAATAAAGGTGCTCAAAAAATATTTGTGTAATGAATGAATGGTGCTAACAGAAGGGTAATATCCAGGTTCCATTTGTTAAGTGGCTGTATAAGATAAGCAATTTGCAAGAGATAACAAGTAAATCACATAGTGGATAACTGCATCTGTATCAGCACATAATGTATAAGTTGAAACGAGTTTGATCATTTTACATGCAGTCACAAGGATGTTGAAACTACATTGTTTGGGTTTTGAGGAAATTGATATATTTTATGTGGCATTATTATTAAATAATTATAAGGTTATAAAACTATAGGTTTTTATACACTTCAGCTCTTGAAACTGCACCTCAGTAAACATTTGAAAGAACAGAACCTGGGCCGGGTGCGGTGGCTCACGCCTGTAATCCCAGAACTTTGCGAGGCAGAGGCGGGCGGATCACGAGGTCAGGAGATCAAGACCATCCTGGCTAACACGGTGAAACCCCGTCTTTACTCAAAATACAAAAAATTAGCCGGGCTTGGTGGTGGGCGCCTGTAGTCCCAGCTACTCGGGAGGCTGAGGTAGGAGAATGGCGTGAAGCGGGAGGCGGAGCTTGCAGGGAACTGAAATCAGGCCACTGCGCTCCAGCCTGTGCAAAAGAGCGAGAATCCGTCTCAAAAAAAAAAAAAAAAAACAACAAAAAAAAAAACCATAACAGAGCCTGGTGAGGTGGCTCATGCCTGTGATCCCTTCAGGAGGCTGAGGCTGGGGAATCACTTGAGACCAGGAGTTCAAGACCAGCCTGGGCAACATAGACCGCATCTGGCGGCCTGCACCTATATACGTAGCTACATGGGAGGCTGAGGCAGGAGGATCACTTGAGACCAGGAGTTTGAGGCTACAGTGAGACATGATAGCACCACTGCACTTCAGTCTGGGTGACAAAGCAAGACCTCAACTCTTTAACAAAAATTGAAGAAACTTGCCAGGTGCGGTGGCTCACGCCTGTAATCCCAGCACTTTGGGAGGCTGAGGCGGGTGGATCACCTGAGGTCCAGGAGTTCGAGACCAGCCTGACCAACATGGTGAAACCCTGTCTCTACTAAAAATATAAAAATTCGCCGGACGTGGTGGCGGGCGCCCGTAATCCCAGCTACTTGGGAGGCTAAGGCAGGAGAATTGGTAGAACTCGGGAGGCGGCGGTTGCAGTGAGCCGAGATTGCGCCATTGCACTCCAGCCTGGGGGACAGAGTGAGACTCCGTCTCAAAAAAAAAAAAAAAAAAAAAAAAAAAAAAAAAAAATGAAGAAACTAACGATAGAAGCGTTGATAGTATTGCTGAGTATTACTAAAGGCTACAGTTGCTGTTGGGCTGCCTCTAGGTATCCCCTAGTGAGATGTAAGATGGATCGGTATCCACCGGGTGGGTGGCTCACGCCTGTAATCCAAGCACTTTGGGACACCGAGGCAGGCGGATCACAAGGTCAGGAGATAGAGACCATCCTGGCTAACACGGTGAAACCCCGTCTCTACTAAAAATACAAAAAAAAAAAAAAAAAAATTGGCCAGGGGTGGTGGCTGGCGCCTGTAGTCCCACCTGCTCGGGAGGCTGAGGCAGGAGAATGGCGTGAACCCGGGAGGCGGAGCTTGCAGTGAGCCGAGATCGTGCCACTGCACTCCAGCCTGGGCGACAGAGCAAGACTCTGTCTCAGAAAAAAAAAAAAAAAAATTTGGATGGGTATCCTAGGTATTTTTGTGTTAACCATTTATAAGTTTTAGTCTTTTAAAAAAAACACTAAATTAGATTATGTAGTTGAACAATATAAAGGCATACATTCATAAGTTCTTGTGTAAGATTTTGCCTTTATGGTTTTATTCTTATAGATTAATCTAGTTCTGGATCACCCAAGAAGATTAATGTTATATAGATGAAATCTATAGGTATGTTGTTTTTGGCCTAAAACAGACTTGTCCTTACCCAGACATTTTATAAAAATTGCTAACTGTGGCCAGGCGCGGAGGCTCACGCCTGTAATCCCAGCACTTTGGGAGGCCGAGGCTGGCTGGTCACGAGGTCAAGAGATCGAGACCATCCTGGCCAACATGGTGAAACCCTGTCTCTACTAAAAATACAAAAATTACCTGGGTGTGGTGGCACACCCCTGTAGTCCCAGCTACTTGGGAGGCTAAGGCAGGAGAATCACATGAACCCTGGAGACGGAGGTTGCAGTGAGCCGAGATCGTGCAACTGCACTCCAGCCTGGCCACAGTGAGACTCCGTCTTAAAAAAAAAAAATTGCTAACAAGATGCATGGGTTTGAATTGTATTTCCATGCTGTACACCTCTTTTCAGAGGTAAAGTATACCAACGGTTGTAAAAAACATGTAAAAGTGAAATGGCTGTTTTATATTTCTGCTTTTTTCTTTTCTCATGTAGTTTTTCCTGTTGTAACTTTCATAAATTATTTGGTAAATTGATTTGAATATGTCTTTCTATTGATGAAGCAATCCACATGCAGCTCCAAAAATTCATTTATTTAGCTTTCCCACCGTAAGACAGAAGGGTCTGGAATACACCTTTATTTAAGAAAGTTGCTAGCTAGACTAAGCTTTGTGGGGGCAAGAAGGAAAAAGAAAAAAATAAGGAAGTTGCTTAGTTTGATTTGTGGTCAGTACACTGAACTACAAAGATAGAGAGTCCCAGCCTGTTTTACTGTTTTGCTTCTTTAAAGTACTTGTAGTTCCTTATCTCCATGTGCATCATCAGGGAATTGTGCTGAGTCTGCTCATTTTTGGGGAAGAGAGGAGACAAGTCTGCAATATAGCCAGTGCCAATAACATTCTCCCAATATGCCACATAGAGGCACTAACAGCTGTGGGTTTGAGAACAATATTTGCGTTCATTTACTGTCTATTCTTTGCCACTTCTCCCAGGGGAGGTGTCAGCGTCTGAGTCCTGCACACCCTGTGTCAGCTTTCTCTTGCTCTTTTGATTGTTCCTGCCCAACACTGCCTCCCTCGCCTGTGGGAACACCTACTAGCTTATTTTGGCTGCTCATCACACGAGTGCTTAGCACTGTTGGCATATAATTATATATTATCTTCTTCTGGATTGTAGAATTCTGAGAGGGAAGAAAGCAGGTCTAACTGCCTTCTGCCACAAGTTGTTCCAAGGCTCCCCACCTTGTCCCTGTGCCCTCTACTAAGACTGCATTTGAAGTTACTTCTTCACTGGGGCTGGTGGGGTCTGGCTTCTCAGATACTATTCACCCTACAGGATCTACCGGCTGCCGTATCCTACTTCCCCTTTCTGTGTCACCTGAACACTTCAAAACCTAGACTGTACATACTGTTACGAATAGCTGATTTTTAAATACTTTATACATAATACATAAATTCATAGTATTTATGAATAGTAATGTTTGAGCACCATGTTAAACCTAACATCATGTTAACATAGTAGGCACTATTTATTGCCTGGCACAGAGTAAGCATTTCATAATGTTAGCAGCAAACTGCTGGGCTCTGTGTTGAGCATTTTGAATTCTTTAATTCATTTTATCCTGTTTACCTGATGAGGAATGAGAAATTAGAGTCCCCAAGACAAAATCTAGTTAAGATTGTATGGTAAGTGGCAGAACTGATCGGAACCTTCTAGAGTCCCTGTTCTTAGTCCCTATACTGCACTGCTCCTGGGACTATCACATGTAAATAGACTTCAGGGGTTTATTTTTGTTTTTTAAATATTAAGCTGAGATAAGTAGACATAAGAAATACATACTATTGGCCGGGCATGCTGGCTGATGCCTGTAATCCCAGCACTTTGAGAGGCCAAGGTGGATGGATCACTTGAGGCCAGGAGTTTGAGACCAACCTGGCCAACATGGTGAAACCCTGTCTCTACTAAAAATACAAAAAAATTAGCTGGGCATGGTGGTGCACACCTATAGTCCCGGCTACTCGGGAGGCTGAGGCATGAGAATCACATGAACCCGGGAGGCAGAGGTTGCAATGAGCTGAGATTGTGCCACTGCACTCCAGCCTGGGCGACTAAGCGAGATTCTGTCTCAAAAAAAAAAAAAAAAGAAAAGAAAAAGAAAAAAGAAATACATACTATGTATAGCTTATCTATGTCTCAATTGAGATGCTTTATAAAAGTGCACTCAATTCAATAAACTGGAATTAAAACTTGAGAAGTTGTGAAGATAGGTCAGGATGGGAAGTAGGTAGTTACAAGTTAGGAAGCATGTATGCAAGTCATGGGAAGTTTGTATCTAAATCTGAATGTGAAAAGGTTCACACGCCTCCCTCTGAGACCTATTTTTGTTTTCCTTCTAGGTTGTGCTTGTTCCCTTTATTTGAATTCTACTTATAAAAATGTGTCAAGGACTTTTAGGTTTTTTAGTTATCACATGACTAAACACTTTCAAAATCACTAATCAACCTTCTAGAGGTATGGAGATTGTTTTTAAAATTATAATTACTAAGGTATGCAAAAGTTTTTGGCAATTTAATAATTTTGTGTTGCGAATCGTCAACAGTCTTGACAAGATCTGTCCTTAGCCTCCAGGTGCACTTGGCTGCTGAGTGTAACACTCTGTAATTGTCCGAAGATGCCTAGAAACATGGTTTTCTCATTGTTAAGGCCAAAAGGAAGAGGGTCCTCTTTAAGTAACATTGCTTATTTTAATATGTATTGTTAAAAGATGGTCTTTATTCATTTATTTAGGGCATTATATGATTATTTGTTTTGTCTTATTTTCTGAGCTAAAATAATGCACTTATTAATTAGCTGGGCATGGTGACGCTTGCCTATAGTCCCAGCTACTTGGGAGGCTGAGGCAGGAGAATCGCATGAACCCAGGAGGCGGAGGTTGCAGTGAGCTGAGATCATGCCACTGTACTCTAGCCTGGGCGACAGAGCCAGAGTCCATCTCAAAAAACAAAAACAAAACAAAAAAACCCAAAAGAATGCACTTAGTGAACCCTTCCCTGTATATGGCCAGTATGTTGTATTATGCTGTATATTTCAGCACTCACTCCATTTCTCATTTGGAAAATATAAATGTGTTGCTGGTGGCAGAAACAGTCTCTTAGAGTTGCTGGGAGGCAGCCATATGGTTAACTTTTTTTTTTATGTTAACTAATCAGTTATTTCAAATTGCAAAAGTCAGCAATATGTTCTTGCATATTTATTTGTTTACTTATTTTTTATGTTTTTCAGACGAAGTCTCACTCTGTCACCCAGGCTGAGTGCAGTGGCACTGTTAGGGCTCACTGCAGCCTTGAACTCCCACTCTCAAGTGATCCTCCCACCTCAGCCTCAAGTGATCCTCCCACCTCAGCCTCCTGAGTAGCTGGGACTTCAGGTGTATATCACACCTGGCCTTTTTTTTTTTTGTAGACAGGGGTCTTGCTATGCTGCCCAGGCTGATCTCAAACTCTTGGACTCAAGCAATTCTCCTGCCTCAAATTCCCAAGCAGTGGGATTACAGGCATGAGCCACGGCGCCCAGCCTTTCTTACATATGTAAAAATACTAGGAAAGGGATCCTTTTATGGCAGAGGACTTGTATCACTAAGGTTTTTTTGTTTGTTTGTTTTGAGACAAGGTCTCTGTCGCCCAGGCTGGAGTACAGTGGCGCAATCATGGCTCACTGCCGCCTTGGCCTATCGGGTTCAAGTGATCCTCCTGAGTATGGGACCACAGGTGTATGCCACCACACCTGGCTATGTTTTTTTTTTTTTTTGTAGAGATGGAGTCACACTATGTTGTCCAGGCTGGTCTTGAATTCCGAGTTCAAGTGATCCTCTTGCCTTGGCCTCTTAAAAGTGTTGGGATTACAGGCGTGAGCCACTGTGGCCAGCCACTATGTTTTTTTTGTTTTGTTTTGTTTTGTTTTGTTTTTGACAGAGTCTCGCTCTGTTGCCAGGCTGGAGTGCAGTGGTGCAATCTCGGGTTACTGCAACCTCTGTCTCCCGGGTTCAAGCGATTCTCCTTCCTCAGCCTCCCAAGTAGCTGGGACTATAGGCGCGTGCCACCACACCCAGCTAATTTTTTTTTGTATTTTTAGTAGAGACGGGGTTTCACCATGTTGGCCAGGATGGTCTCGATCTGTTGACCTTGTGATCCACCCACCTCGGCCTCCCCAAGTGTTGGGATTACAGGCGTGAGCCACCGTGCCTGGTCTATGGTTTTTTTTGTTTTTTTTTTTTTTTTTTGAGACGGAGTCTCTCTCTGTTGCCCAGGCTGGAGTGCAATGGTGCCATCTCGGCTCACTGCAAGCTCCGCCTCCTGGATTCACGCCATTCTCCTGCCTCAGCCTCCCGAGTAGCTGGGACTACAGGCACCCGCCACCACGCCCGGCTAATTTTTTGTATTTTTTAGTAGAGACGGGATTTCACCGTGTTAGCCAGGATGGTCTCGATCTCCTGACCGCGTGATCCACCCGCCTCGGTCTCCCAAAGTGCTGGGATTACAGGCGTGAGCCACCACGCCCAGCCAGGCCTATGGCTTTTTTTTTTGAGACAGAGTTTCACTCTGTCGCCCAGGCTGGAGTGCAGTGGTGCGATCTCGGCCACTGCAACCTCCGCCTCCCAGGTCCACGCCATTCTGCCTCAGCCTCCCGAGTAGCTGGGACTACAGGCGCCCGCCACTGCGCCCAGCTAATTTTTTGCATTTTTAGTAGAGACAGGGTTTCACCATGGTCTCAATCTCCTGACCTCGTGATCCACCCACCTCGACCTCCCAAAGTGCTGGGATTACAGGCGTGAGCCACCGCGCCTGGCCTGTGGTTTTTAATTGTCCTGATTTCATGTTCTGTTTCTTTCTTAACAGAATCAGCTCCTATTTTTATTGATCACAGATGCTATATTCTTTTATATTTATTTTGTACTTATTAAAACAATTATTCATGATATGACCATAACCAGCAATAATCCATGAAATTATTGTGGCTTAATAAATGATGGCAATGAAGATTTCACTCCTGTGTAGCTCCTTCTGTCTGACTCTGTGTTAATAATTTTAGCAAGCAAGACTTGAGCTATATGTGGCTACTGAGGATCACAGCCAAGGAGTAAAGAAGATGAAAGAATTTGATGACCACCAATCATGGCCAGAAGTTGATTTGTTAATTTGTACTTTAATAAGTCATGGTCCATTAGGATCTTGCTAATTCCTGTTTCATTATGCATGGGAATTTCTTGAGTAATTAAGTAAGGTTGATGAGCTTTTTGTTTCATCAACAGATATTCGTTACTAACCCACTGAGTCAGTTAGCTCAGGCTAAAAAGCAGGCTGCAGAATGCAACTTCAAGATGGCAATCTCAGCCTCAACATGGCTCATGTTATGTGTCCTGGGAGGGTTGACCACTGGTGTGCTCCACATTCTGTTCATTCTAGGATCCTGAAGGAATCTCTCCAAGCTGGGACAGATGGGTCTCAAAGCAGAGAGAAAACAGAGATGGTAGAACCGTATGTTGTATTAGTCCATTTTGCATTGCTATAAAAGAATACCTGAAGGTGGGTGATTTATGAGGAAAATAGGTTTATTTGGGTTGTAGTTCTGCAGGCTGTACCAGAGGCATGGCACCAGAATCTGCTTCTGGTGAGGGACCTCAGGGAGCTTCGAATCAAGGCAGAAGGCGAAGGGGAGCAGGTTTCACATGGTGAGAGAGGGAACAAGAGGGAGGGGAGGAAGTGACAGGCTTTTTTTAACAGTCAGATCTCATGGTAACAATATGAGCGAGCACAGCGTCTAGATGTTCATGAGGGATCTGTCTTTATGACCCAGACACGTTCCACTAGGCTCCGCCTCCAATACTGGGGATCAAATTTCAACATGAGATTTGGAGGGGACAAACATCCAAACTACACAGGCTATTTTCACTCACATTTTATTGGCCAAAGCAAGTCATATGGCTAAGTTGCACTCTGGACCCACAGTGAAAGGGGCAGTGAATGTTTTTGCAATAATATCTGCCACAGTGCCTTCTGACATTTTAAAAATTGTGGCAAAAACCCGATAATATTTTCTACCTTAACCATTTTTAAGTATACAGTACAGTAGTGTTGACTATATGTAAACGGTTGTGCAACAAGTCCCTAGAATTTATTCATCTTGTAAAACAAACTCTATACTCACTGAACTTGCCTTTCCCCCGCCCCTCTCTAGTCCCTGGCCACCACCACTCTTCTAAGAGTTTGATGACCTCAGATACCTCATATAGGTAAAATTATGCAGTATTTGCCTTTTTGTCACTGGTTTGTTTTACTTAGCATAATTTCCTAAAGGTTCATCCATGTTATGGCATATGGCAGGATTTCCATCTTTCTGAAGGCTGAGTAGTTTTCCATTGTTACTAACACACTGAGTTTGCTTAGGCTAAACTGTATATAGCACTATTTATCCATTCATCAGTCAGTGGACATTTGGGTTGCTATCGATTGTGAATAATGCTGCAATGAACACAGATGTGCAAATATGTCTTTGAGATTCTGTTTTCATTTCTTTTGTATATGTAGCCTTCCCACATTGTTTTTTAAAAAATATTTATTATTTATTTATTTATTATACTTTAAGTTCTAGGGTACATGTGCACAACGTGCAGGTTTGTTCCATATGTATACATGTGCCATGTTGGTGTGCTGCACCCATTAACTCGTCATTTACATTAGGTATATCTCCTAATGCTATCCCTCCCCGCTCCCGCCACCCCGCGACAGGCCCGGTGTGTGATGTTCCCCTTCCTGTGTCCAACGTTTATTTATTTATTTATTTATTTATTTATTTATTTATTTTGTGTTCCATTAAAACTTTATTTACAGAAACAGGCTATTTGCCAATATTTTAATCTATTAAAAATTACTCACGTTGGCCGGGCGCGGTGGCTCATGCCTGTAATTCCAGCACTTTGGGAGGCTAAGGCGGGCGGATCAGAGAGATCGAGACCATCCTGGCTAACACGGTGAAACCCCGTCTCATTGGCCTGATGAATCTTTCATATTTAGGTGGTTTTCTTGTAAAGCCATCTCCAACAAAGCACACGTTAGTAACTATCCTCTTCCATGCCTTCTTTCCTGTTCGAATAACTTTTAATACTTCTGCTTCTCCCTGGGCACGTACTTTAGGCAGAGGGACTTCCCATTTTCCCGCCTTCTCTTTTCGTTTCTGTTTAATCATATTGGAAAGTACTTTAGCTCGAGATTGTCCCTCTCTGTCCAGCAGATAGGCAGGTACTGCTCCCTGTGGAGTCTTTTCATCATTCTTTTGTTTGGTGTTTTTCTTTTCATGCATCTTTGATAGTCTTTTTTTCATTTATATTTTCTCAGCATGGCGCTGTTTATGTTAAAGCTTAGCCTTCAGACCAATCATTTTCTTTGCCTTCTTTGAACGTTCATGAGCCTCTCGACTTTCCTTCTTTCTCTTTTTCTCATGGTAATCCAAACGGTATCCATAGCGTTTACGGTGTAATTCAATATATTCGTTCTGTGGCATGGTGACGGCCGCAGAGCCGCCAGGAGCAGCCCCTGGGGTGCGAAAATGCTCTCAATTTTCGGGTCTCAAAGACCCACAAGCCCACGCCACGCAGGCCGGGACAGGAAAGCTATTTATTTATTTAATAATAGAGATGGGGTCTTGCTATGTTGCCCAGGTTGGTCTCTAACTTCCGGCCTCAAGCGACCCTATCACCTCAGACTCCCAAAGTGCTAGGATTACAGATGTGAGCCATTGTGCCTGACCCCCACGTTCTTTTTTTTTTTTTTTTTTTTTTTTTTTGAGATGGAGTCTTGCTCTGTCACCCAGGCTGGAGTGCAGTGGTGCGATCTCGGCTGACTGCAAGCTCTGCCTCCCGGGTTCACGCCATTCTCCTGCCTCAGCCTCCCGAGTAGCTGGGACTACAGGCGCCCCCCACCGCGCCCAGCTAATTTTTTGTATTTTTTTAGTAGAGATGGGGTTTCACTGTGTTAGCCAGGATGGTCTCAATCTGTTGACCTCGTGATCCGCCTGCCTCGGCCTCCCAAAGTGCTGGGATTACAGGCGTGAGCCACCGTGCCCGGCCCCCACGGTCTTAATCATTAAAAAAGTTAACTGTAATGGCTAATGAGAATTTACCAACATAAAACATATTTCTTCAGTTATTAATAATTTTTAGGTGTTCCTGTTTAGTACGCTGCCTGAATCTAAAGACTAAAGGAAAAATAGGTAAAGACTTCATTAAATCTTTTGAAAACTTTCTTTAGACTTTCAGAATAAAAGTAGTAAGTGTACAACTAATTTGAATATTCATGGTATAAGACTGAAATCAGGTCATTAAGTTGTGCTGAATATAGATTTTAATATCTAAGGATTTTCATAAAACATGATTTATCCTAGAAGATAATTCATCCATGTAGGGATTGAACTTTTCTTTCAATGTGAAAATTTGATTGAAGGGAATTTTGCTGTAGCTTATTACTATCCTTCAAGGTTTCAGGCTGATGTTTAAGCTTTTGGAAGGCTTTGAGTTTTGATATTGAAAGCCCTAAAAGCATCTTCATTTTAGAAGTAGTTGTATATGATCCTTTTATGATTTTTTTTCATGTAACTTGTATGTGTGAAAGTTCACTTAACTGGGAAACAAAGTTTCTTTCAAGTAAATGTTTATTTTATATTAGTTTTAGCTGTATAGAAAAGCTGTGAAGGTAGTACAGAGAGTTCCCATAAACTGCACACCCAGCTTCCCTGTTAACATCTTACACTAATGTGGTACATTTGTTAAAAATTAATGAACCAATGTTGATGCACTAGTATTAACTGAATCCCATAGCATATTCAGATTTCCTTAGGTTTTTAATCAATGTAAAATTACATAACATTAAATTAGTCATTTTAAAGTGTACAATCTAGTGACATTTAGTACATTCATAATGTTCTAAGAGTTCCAAAACATTTTTATCACCTCTAAAGAAAACTTGATCTGTTAGACCACGATTCCCTGTTCCCTACTACATGCAGACCTTGGAAACCAACAACCTACTTTCTGTCTCTATGGATTTACCTATTCTGGATATTTCATTAAATGAAGTCACATAATATGTCGCCTTTTGTGTTTGGCTTCTTTTTTTAGCATACTGTTTTTTAGGTTCATCCACTTTGTAGCATATATTATTTTCATGGCTGAATAATTTCATTATATATGTATACATATTCCATTGTGTATGTATATGTATATATATATGATATCGATACAAAACTATCAAACTTTTCCACAGTGGCTGAGCCATTTTACATTCTCATCAGTAGTATATGATGGTTCCAATTTCTCTACATTTTTAATAAAAAAACTATTTCCTACTTATTTTCCTTTTTTTCTCCCAGTATAGTATAACCTCGTTGGTGCAAAGCAGTATCTCATTGTGGTTTCAATTAGCATTTTCCTAAATGATGAATAATTTTGAGGATTTTTTTTTTTTTTTTTTTTTTTGAGACAGAGTTTTGCTTAGTTGGCCAGGCTGGAGTGCAGTGGTGTGATCTCGGCTCACTGCAACCTCCGGGTTCAAGCGATTCTCCTGCCTCAGCTTCCTGAGTAGCTGGGATTACAGGCACTCGCCATCATGCCTGACTAATTTTTGTATTTTTAGTAGAAACGGGGTTTCACCATGTTGGCCAGGCTGGTCTTGAACTCCTGACCTCAGGTGATCCACCCACCTTGGCCTCCCAAAGTGCTGGGATTACAGGCGTGATACACTGCATGTGGCTGATTTTCAGCATCTTTTTATGTATTTGCTGGCCATATAACTGCATTTGTTGGCCATATAACTGCTTTGGAGAAATGTCTGTTCAAGTCATTTGCCTATTTTTTAATTGAGTTTTTTGTGTTTTTTGTTGTTGTTGAGTTCTAAGAGGTCTTTTTATATCCTTGATACTAGGCCCTTATCAGATGTATGGTTTGCAAATAAATATCTCCCATTCTGTAGGATGGCCTTTCGTTTTCTTTGTAATGTCCTGTGATGTACAAAAGTTTTACATTTTGATTCAGTCCAATTTATTCTTTTGTTGCTTAGCTCTTGGTGCCATATCTAAGAATCCATTAAAAAAATACAAAGTCAAGAAGAGTCATCCCTGTTTTTATTTTAAGAGCATTACAGTCTTTTTTTTTTTTGGAGACGGAGGCTCGCTTTGTTGCCCAGGCTGGAGTGCAGTGGCGTGATCTTGGCTCACTCTGTTGCCCAGGCTGGAGTGCAGTGGCGTGATCTCGGCTCACTGCAAGCTCTGCCTCTCGGGTTCACGCCATTCTCCTGCCTCAGCCTCCCGAGTAGCTGGGACTACAGGTGCCCGCCACCGCGCCCGGCTAATTTTTTTATTTTTAGTAGAGACGGGGTTTCACCATGTTAGCCAGGATGGTCTCGATCTCTTGACCTCGTAATCCACTCGCCTCAGCCTCTCAAAGTGCTGGGATTATAGGCGTGAGCCACTGCGCCTGGCCAAGTTTTTGTACTTTTAGTAGAGACGGGGTTTCATCGTGTTAGCCAGGATGGTCTTGATCTCCTGACCTCGTGATCCGCCCGCCTCGGCCTCCCAAAGTGCTGGGATTACAGGCGTGAGCCACCGCGCCCGGCCTTGTTTTTGTTTTTTTGAGACAGGGTCTCACTCTGTTGCCCAGGCTGGAATGCAGTGGCATGATCTTGGCTCACTGCAACCTCTGCCTCCTGAGTAGCTGGGACTCCAGGCATGTGCCACCCTGCTCTGCTAACTTTTTGTATTTTTGGTAGAAATGAGATTTCACCAGGTTGCCCAGGCTGATCTCGAATTTTTGGGCTGAAACAATCCACCCACCTTGGCCTCCCAAAGTGCTGGGATTACAGGCATGGGCTACCGTGTCCAGCTAAGAGCTCTATAGTTTTCGTTCTTATATTTAGCTCTGTGGTACATTTTGAGTTAGTTTTTGTATATAGTGTAAGGTAGGGGTCTAACTTTATCCTTTTGTATATGGAAATCCAGTTATCCCAGAACCATTTGTTAAAGAGACTATTCTTTCTCTGTTGAATGTTCTTGGGTCCCTTGTTGAAAATCAATTGGCCTTTCATGTATAGGTTAGGTTCTGTACTCTAAATTTTATTTCATTGGTCTATATGTCTTTCCTTATGCCATTACCACACTGTCTTAATTGCCAGTGCTTAGTAGTAAGTTTTGAAATTGGGAAGTGTGAGTCCTCCTGTTTTGTTCTCTTTTTCAAGATTATTTTGGCTATTTGGAGCCTCCTATAATTCCATATGAACTTGAGGATAGCCTTTTCCATTTCTGCAAGAAAAAAAAAGAAAAAAAACCCCTGGAATTTTAATAGAGATTGCATTGTGGCTGTAAGATTGCTTTGGATAGCATTGCTATCTTATCAATTTTAAGTCATCTAATTCTTGAATTGTATCCTATAAGTTTGGTATGTTGTGTTTTTGGTATTATTTGTGTCAAGGTATTTTCTTTTTTCCCTTGTGATTTCTTCTTTGACCCATCGGCTATTTAAGAGTGTGTTGGGCTGGGCACGGGGGCTCATGCTTGTAATTCCAGCACTTTGGGAGGCCAAGGCGGGTGGATCACGAGGTCAGGAGTTCAAGACCAGCCTGGTCAATATGGTGAAACCATGTCTCTACTAAAAATACAAAAATTATCTGGGTATGGTGGCACACACCTATAGTCCCAGCTGCTCAGGAGGCTGAGGCAGGAGAATTGCTGGAACCTGGGAGGTGGAGGTTGCAATGAGCTGAGATCATGCCACTGCACTCGGGCCTGGGCAACAGAGCAAGACTCCGTCTCAAAAAAAAAAAAGTGTGTTGTTTAATTTCTATATATTTGTTCCTGTTTTCCTTCTGTAAAGTTTCATTCCATGAGGTCAGAGAAGATACTTGGAATGCTTTCAGTCTTTTAAAATTTAGTGAGACTTTTTTGTGGTCTAACGTATGGTCTATGTTGGAGAATATCTTTGTGGATCTTCTGCCTAGTTGTCTTATTCATTATTGAAAGTAGGGTATTAACTGGGCACAGGGGCTCACGCCTGTAATCCCAACACTCCGGGAGGCCGAGGTGGGCGGATCACTTGAGGCCAGGAGTTCAAGACCAGCCTGGCCAACAAGGTGAAACCGTCTCTACTAAAAATACAAAAAAAAAAAAAAAAAAAAAAAAAATTAGCCAGGCGTGGTGGTGGGCACTTGTAATCCCAGCTACTCGGGAGGCTGAGGCAGGAGAATCGCTTGAACCTGGGAGGTGGAGGTTGCAGTGAGCTGAGACTGCATCACTGCACTCCAGCCTGGGCAACAAGAGTGAGAACCTGTCTCAAAAAAAAAAAAAAAAAAAAAAAAAGAAAGAAAGAAGTAAAGGAAGTAGGGTATCGAAGACTCCAGCTGTTTTTGAACTATTTCTCCTTTTAATTCTGTCACCTTTTGCAGGAGGCTCTGTTCTTAGGTGTATATATATTTCTAAAAGTTATAAGTTTTTCTGTCCTTTCACAGTTCTTTCTTCTTTTCTTTTGTTTCTTTCTTTCTTTTTTTTGGAGATGGAGTCTAGCTCCGTTGCCAGGCTGGAGTGCAGTGGTGCGAACTCGGCTCACTGCAACCTCCGCCTTCTGGGTTCAAGTGATTCTCCTGCCTCAGCCTCCTGAGTAGCTGGGACTATAGGCGCGTGCCACCATGCCCAGCTAATTTTTGTATTTTTAGTAGAGTCAGGGTTTCACCATGTTGGCCAGGTTGGTCTTGATCTCTTGACCTCATGACCTGCCCACCTCAGCCTCCCAAAGTGCTGAAATTTAAGAGATAGGGTCTTGCTCTGTTGCCCAGGCTGGAGTGCAGTGGTGTGATCATAGCTCACTATAGCCTTGAACTCCTGGGCTCAAGTGATCCTCCTGCCTCAGCCTCCTGAGTAGCTGGGACTATAGGCACACACCACTGCACCTTGCTAATTTAAAAATTTTTTTTTTTTTGGAGATGGCATCTCACACTGTCTGCCAGGCTGGAGTGCAGGGGCGCAATCTTGGCTTACTGCAAACTCCATCTCCCAGGTTCAAGCGATTCTCCTGCCTCAGCCTCCTGAGTAGCTGGGATTACAAGTGTGCGCCACTACACCTGGCTAATTTTTTTTTTTTTTTTTTTTTGAGACGGAGCTTCGCTCTTGTTGCCCAGGCTGGAGTGCAATGGTGCGATCTTGGCTCACCGCAACCTCTGCCTCCCAGGTTCAAGTAATTCTCCTGCCTCAGCCTCCCGAGTAGCTGGGATTACAGGCATGCACCACCATGCCCGGCTAATTTTGTATTTTTAGTAGAGACAGGGTTTCTCCATGTTGAGGCTGGTCTCGAACTCTTGACCTCAGGTGATCTGCCCGCCTCGGCTTCCCAAAGTGCTGGGATTACAGGCTTGAGCCACGTGCCCGGCCTAATTTTTGTAGTTTTAGTAGAGGCAGGGTTTCGCCATGTTGGTCAGGCCGGTCTCGAGCTCCTGACATTGTGATCTGCCCACCCTGGCCTCCCAATCAGCTGTTAATCTTATCGAGGACCCCTTTTACATGATGAACCACTTTCTTTTCCTTTTGAGGCCTGGTCTTGTTTTGTCCCCAGGCTGAAGTCCAGTGGCGCGATCATGGCTCATTGCAGCCTTGACCTCCCAGGCTCAGCTGATCCTCCTTCCTCAGCCTCCTGAGTAGCTGGGACCACAGGCGTGTACCCCCACACTTGGATAATTTTTAAATTATTTGTAGACATGAGGTCTCCTTACGTTTCCCAGGCTGGTCTCAAACTCCTGGATTCAAGTGATCCTCCTGCCTTGGCCTCCCAAAGTGTTGGGATTATAGGCTTGAGCCATGGTGCTTATCCAAGTCACTACTTTCTTGCTGCTTTCAAGATTCTTTTTGTCATTTGACAGTTTGATTACAAAATGTCTTGGTGTGGATCCCTTTATTTTTCTTGAAGTGTATTGAGCTTCTTGGATGTTTAGATTTGTGTCATATCAAATTTGGGAAGTTTTCTGTCATTATTTCTTCAAATATTCTTTCCCTTTCCTCTCTTGCCTCTATGACTCCAGTTATATGTATGTTGGTATGCTTGATGGTGTTCCATAGGCATCTTAGACTCTGTTGATTTCCCTTCCTTCTTTTTTCTTTCTGTTCTTCAGACTGGATAAATTCAACTGACCTATCTTCAAGTTGGCTGATTGTTCTATCAGTTCAAATCTGCCACTGAAATCCTCTAGTGAAGTTTTTTTTTTGTTTGTTTTAGTTATTGTATGTTTCAGCTCCAGGATATCTATTTGATTCTTTTTTATAATTTCTGTCTCTTTGTTGGTTTTCTGTTTGTTGAGACATTGTTCTCCTGGTTTCTTGTCATTCTTTTTCCTTTTTCTTTTCCTTTTTTTTTTTTTTTTTTTTGAGACAGGGTCTTGCTCTATTGCCCAGGCTGGAGAGCAGTGGTGTAATCATGGCTCACTGCAGCCTTGACCTTGCAGGGTCAAGTAATTCTCCCACCTCAGCCTCCCAAGTAGCTTGGGAGAAGTGCCACCATGCCTGGCTAATTTATTTTTATTCCTTTTAGAAAGGGGGTCTTGCTATGTTACCCAGGCTTCTTGTTCTTTGTCCATCATTTCCATTAGCTCACTGAACACATTTAAGACAGTTGATTTAAAATCTTTGTCTAGTAAGTCCAGTGTCTGTTCTTCTTCTCAGACTCTTTGTGTTAATTTCTCCTGTGTATGTACCATACTGTTTTTATTTCTTCACATGCTTTGTAACATTTTGTTGAAAACTGGAGGTTTTGAATATTATAATGTGACTCCGGAAATCAGACCCTTCCTTCTGAGTTTTTGTTGTTTGCTATGAGTTGTAGTTGTTTAGTGAGTGTTCTAAACTCTTTCTAAATTCTGTGTTCTTTGTTGTGTTTGTTCTCTAAAGTCTCTTTCTTAGCCTGTGTTCAGCTGATGCTTTGTTTGTTTGTTTTTTGTTTTTTTGAGATGGAGTCTTGCTCTGTCACCCAGGCCAGGATGCAGTGGCGCGATCTCAGCTCACTGCAACCTCCACCTCTCGGGTTCAAGCAATTCTCCTGCGTCAGCCTCCTGAGTAGCTGGGACTAGTGGTGTGTGCCACTATGCCTGGCTAATTTTTGTATTTTTAGTAGAGATGGGGTTTCGCCATGTTGGCCAGGCTGGTCTTGAACTCCTGACCTCAGGTGATCCACTGGCCTCAGCCTCTCAAAGTGCTGGGATTATAGGCGTAAGCTACCACGCCCGACACTTTGTTTTTTGTTTTTTAGAGATGGGGTCTCACTCTGTCACTCAGGCTACAGTGCAGGGGCATCATAACTCACTGTAGCCTTGAACTCCTTTGCTCAAGTGATCCTCCCACCTGAGTCACTGGGATTATAGGCTGAGCCACCACTAGTGTTTTGACAGACTTTTTTGAATACCTAGAGCTTCCCTCCACCATCCCCCAAAAAAGAGTAGACAGAAAGGAGGACAACCACCTTCTCCCAGTCTTTGCAGAATGGCTGTGTTGGGGGACACTGTGGTTGCTTAGCCCTGCTGTTTACAACTCTACTGTAGCCTCATTTCCTGCTTGTGCTGAGCCGAAAGTTCAGCTAAAGGGTCTTTTCAGATCTTTTCTGAGCATGCTTCCTGCCCTGGGCATATATGCATGACTTTCTAAATTCCTAACCTTAGTATAAGTGGACATTGTTGAATGCCCAAATTTCCAAAAGAAACTTTCTCCCAGCTTTTCCTCTCAGGCTGTTGGTGTGTCTGTTTGCTTCAACTGAAATCTTTTGCCCCAGGTGGCTGCAGATTATTTGCCTTACAAGTTTTTTGAGCAATACCCTCTGAAGAGACACCTCTCTGCCCTGTTCCAAGTTAGGGAAAGCAAAGACCAATGTCTTGTGTCAGTCCTTTAGGTAACCCGCAGGCTCAAAACAGGCAAACGCAATTCTTTCAGAATTTCTTCCTCTGGAAGCAGGGACTAAAGGAGTAGGTTCCCAGACTGAGAATGCAGGCTGCTGTCTTCAAGACTGCCACTGGGGAAGGGAAAGAGAGAGGGCAAGTCAAAATGCTGCAAAGCTTTTCTACTGTTTCAAGTTGCTTTTTTATTCAGTTTGCTGAGTTGCTATAAATGTATTTTCTGGAGTTGTGACAAAGCTGATCTGACAGTTTTTGCTTGATTTTTTAGTCATCTGTGGAGGGATGGGCCATTGGAGTTACCTGCCTCACCATTTTTACTGATGTCCCTTAAGAAAGGCTTTTGCTTTGTTTTTAGAGACAAAACAAAAATGTTTTGTGCTATGTTGCTTCGAACTCCTGGCCTCAAGTGATCCTCCTACCTCAGCCTCCTAAATAGCTGGGACTATAAGTGTGTGCCGCTGCGCCCAGCTCCCAAGAAAGATTTTTGAAAGTTATATTATGATACGTTGCTTTAATGAGTAGCGTTAAATAAATTATATTAATGTTTATAAAAATTATCAACAGGATGGAATCCGACGTGGTAGGCCCAGAGCAGATACTGTCCGCGATTTAATAAATGAAGGAGAGCATTCATCCAGCAGAATCCGTTGTAACATCTGTAATAGGGTGTTTCCACGGGAGAAATCGCTCCAGGCTCACAAAAGGACTCATACAGGTAAGTTGAGCAAATTTTATAGAGACTGCCAGAAGTAACACTTTTTTTTTTTTTTTTTTTTTTTTTTTTTTTTTTTGAGATAGTCTCGCTCTGTTGCCCAGGCTGGAGTGCAGTGGCGCGATCTTGGCTTACTGCAAGCTCCGCCTCCTGGGTTCAAGCAATTCTCTTGCCTCAGCCTCCTGAGTAGCTGGGATTACAGGTGTGTGCCACCACGCCCAGCTAATTTTTGTATTTTTAGTAGAGATGGGGTTTCACCATGTTGGTCAGGCTGGTCTCGAACTCCTGACCTTGTGATCCGCCTGCCTCGGCCTCCCAAAGTGCTGGGATTACAGGCGTGAGCCACCGCGCCTGGCCAGAAGTAACACTTAACTGAATGCTGATTTGATATTGAGTAATAAATTAACTTTTTAGTTGCTTTATATTTTCTTATTACCACTATTAGTTGTGAAGTTTTTTAAAAAGGCAGTATAGTCAGTTTCTTTTTGGTGGAGAGTGGTGGTTTTATGAATACTGGTTACATGTGATTTCTAAAGTTATCATGGTAATTAACCTAGATGTCATAGTCATGTTATTGGCAAATTTAGTTTTACCCCCTACTTGCCCAAATTGTACTTGATATACTTTTATCTATGTAATTGTTAAAATTCATCTGTAGGCCAAAAACATTAATTGTCAAGTTTTTAATAGAATGTTTAGAGTCCTCACTGTGCTATCAGGACATTTGACCTAAGCATTAAATCTGTGGTGAACTATGGTAGGCAGCCATCTCAAGATTATGGTACATCTTTATTTGCATATGGAAATTATATTTGCATTTTAAATATCATTTAGAGAGCCAAAAAAAAAAAGTATAGAGGGCCCTTGTTCTCGCTATAAAGTTGGCCCCAAAGGAAGGAACCTTATAGTTCATCTAATAGTTTACAGGTGAGGAAACTGAAGTGCCAAAAATCCAACTACTACCGGCTTACAATCAGTCTCTCATACCTTTAAAGCTAGAGCTACACTGCCCCATACAGTAGCCACTGTGACTCCTGAGCACTTGAAATGTGGGTAGTCTAAATTGAGATGGGCAGTAATATAAAACATACTTAATATGAAAAAAAGAGTAAACAATAATTTTTACTGTTGATTATGTATTGAAATGACACTTTTAGATAAATTGGATTAAATAAAATACATTATTAAAATTAATTTCATGGCTGGGTGCGGTGGCTGACGCCTGTAATCCCAGCACTTTGAGAGGCCGAGGTGGGTGGATCACCTGAGGTCAGGAGTTCAAGACCAGCCTGGCCAACATGGAGAGACCCCATCTCTACTAAAAATACAAAATTAGCCAGGTGTGGTGGCACATTCCTGTAATCTCAGTTACTCGGGAAACTGAGGCAGGAGAATCACTTGAACCCGGGAGGTGGAGGTTGCGGTGAGCCAAGATGTGACATTGCACTCCAGCCTGGGCAACAAGAACAAAACTCAATCTCAAAAAAAAAAAAAAATTTATTTCACCTCTTTCTCTTTACTTTTTCTAATGTGCCTTCTAGAAGTGGTTCATATTGTCTTTCATTGGGCAGTACTGGTTTAGAACTTAAGCCTGTAACCCTCAGTCCCCTATTTTTTTCCACCATGTTTATGGTGCTCACCTGTTTCTCACTTTTTTTTAACTTGTGGTTTTTGAAAATATATATTTAAATGATATGATAGAATAGAGGTTTTTTTTAAGTTAAATCCCTGGAAAGGGGTAATGTTTGAATTTTAAATCATTATAAACTAAGGTGTCTAGAAGTTTTGACTTTGGATACCATTAGTAAAATGATTACTTAATGAAACATTCTAATTTTGAGAATTTTTATATATTTTTTTCAATCTAAATATTCTAAAATATCCCCTGGATAACTGGTTTGTAGGCCGTAGAGTTGCCAGTGTGGGTAAGATTCAAGACTATGTGGCAGAATGAAGAAAGGGCTGAGTGCCGTCCTGATCACCACTACCTCACTGTGTCACCTGATACCCCAGGCATCAGCCTAGATGTCTGTACATCAAGGAACTGAAAGGAGGATCCCTAAGGGATAGTTGAGCCCTATTAGCATATTTTGTAAAAAGCTTTTCCCTTACTATTTTAAACAATCCCCCTATATCTGTGTTTTATTTTAACTTGTATTCAACTATCACAACCATTTATTATGTCTCTAAATAATGAGAAATTTAGGGAGGACTTGTTATTCTTTGAGTTATACTGGAAAATGCAAACTAATGTACAATTGTTGATTAAATAATGTTTTTTTCAATAAATAATGTTTAATTATCATTAACAAATTTTTCAGCACTTGAGCCTGGCACTGTGTTGTCTATAGGAATTTAAGTGAAGTATAAGGTACTAGGAATCTTTGCAGGAGACTACCATGACACATAAACAACACAGGACCCCAGGTTAATGAAGGTATACAAAGTTCAATTATTTGGAGGTAGATAGGAAGAATTCAGTTATTTGGGGAGATAGGAAGAATCTCACTGAGAGCCTACAGGATTGGGAAGATTTGAATGGGCAGAGAAAATAGGATTTTCAAGGATTAGAACAAGATGAGGAACTGCCTCCTGGCTGGAATGATTCTCCAGGAGGGAAGTAAGGATAAACTCTGCCCCTTAACCCCAGTAGCTAATGAGGTTGGTGAGATTGCCTAGAGTGCCGATCTTAGAGGACCATTTAAGTCAGCAGATAATTTTTAGTTGTCCAAGGTGTGTAATAGGATTTGGGGGTGGTTCAGGAGCTAGTTGGTATGACAAAAGCAGATTTCTATGCCAGCTACTCTGGGATTGCTGTGCAGGGGGAGAAACAAGAGGCCGGCCAGGAGGCTGTCGGAGGGTTCATCCTAGTGGGAGGGCTGCCCGTCTGACCAGGGGAAGCTGAGTGGGAAGGCAGGAGTGGGTGGAAGACATAGTGAAGAATCAGCAAGATCTAGTGATTTGGAGTATGAGGGAGAAAAAATATGGGATAAGCTCAAGATGATAACCTCAAGGCCTAAAGAATAGATTGTGTTCCCCAGCAGATAGTCATTGATGCCACCCAAGTGCTGCCATTAGCATTTCCACCTGCAGCTCAGTAGGGGCCATGACATGTTTTATTGTTATTGGGAGTCATGACCTATATAAAGGCTGATTCTCTCCCCATCCCCCTCCTCTTCTGGCCTTATTATCTCAGATATAATATCTAACATCTGTCTACTTAGGTGAGAGGCCCTATCTGTGTGACTATCCAGACTGTGGAAAAGCCTTTGTTCAAAGTGGACAGCTCAAAACACATCAGCGTCTTCACACCGGAGAGAAACCTTTTGTTTGTTCAGAAAATGGTACGGTGTTAGAAGTTAAGTTTATGGAATAACTAGTTGTGACTTAACAGTTAAAATATCCTTTCCTTGAATTTTTTTGAGGGGAAAGATTTTTTAATATAAATTTTATAAAACTTTATAAGCTTTCTTCTTTGATAATTGTGATACATGCTGAATTTCTCAGAAATGATTGATTTTAAAAATTTGTTGGTTTTGATTTTTGTGGGTACACAGTACGTATACATATTTACAGGGTACATGAGATACTTGATACAGACATGCAATGCATAATAATCACATGGTAAATGGGCTATCCATCCTCTCAAGCATGGGTCCTTTGTGTTACAAATAATCCCGTTATACTCTTAACTTATTTTAGAATGTACAGTTAAATTATTATTGACTATAGTCACCGTGTGCTATAAAATACTAGGTCTTATTCATTCTTTCTATTTTTGGTACCTATTAACCATCCTTACCTGCCCCTCATCCCCCAGTTCCCCTTCCTAGCCTCTGGGCACCATTGTTCTACTGTCTATCTCCACGAGTTCAATTGTTTTGATATTTAGATCCCACAAATAAGTGAGAACAAGTGATGTTTGTCTTTCTGTGCCTGGCTTAAGAAATAATTGATTTTTAAATAAAGTAATCCTTTTTGATGAAACCTTAAAGGGCAATTAAAGATACTATATCCAGTTGTAGGCAGTAGAAAAATCTGTAAAAGTAAATACAGCCTTTGGAGCAACATTTTAAACTTTTTAATTATTAAAGTGAAGTAAGCATATTATCCTAAGTGATTTTCTTAATCTTTTATCAGTTTCTAAAGATGCACATTTTTATGCAGTTACAGTATATTTGAAGTTCCGTGCAATCTGTCCTGTTGCTCTGTAATTTTCTTGATTATTACAAATGTTGCAAAAGTCTGCAAAGTTTTCATCCAGCAAGTTTGCTTAAGCCTATATGCAATGGTTTCCTCTATGTTGAATAATGAATATTTGTTTATTTATTTTTTGAGACGGAGTTTTGCTCTTGTTGCCCAGGCTGGAGTGCAATGGCGCCATCTCAGCTCACCGCAACCTCCGCCTCCTGGGTTCAAGCGATTCTCCTGCCTCAGCCTCCCGAGTAGCTGGGATTACAGGCATACGCGACCATACCCAGTTAATTTTGTATTTTTAGTAGAGATGGGGTTTCTCCATGTTGGTCAGGCTGGTCTTGAACTCCCAATCTCAGGTGATTCGTCCACCTTGGCCTCCCAAAGTGCTGGGATTACAGGCGTGAGCCACTGCGCCCAGCATTTATTTATTTATTTATTTTTTATTGTTTTGAGATGGAGTCTCACTTTTCGCCCAGGCTGGAGTACAGTGGCACGATCTTGGCTCACTGAAACCTTCGCCTCCTGAGTTCAAGCAATTCTCCTGCCTCAGCCTCTGGAGTAGCTGGAATTACAGGCTTGTGCCACCATGTCCGGCTAATTTTTGTATTTTTAGTAGAGATGGGGGACCATGTTGGCCAGGCTGGTTTTGAACTGCTGACCTCAGGTGATCCACCCGCCTCGGCCTCCCAAAGTGTTGGGATTACAGGCATGAGCCACTGCACCTGGTCTGAATATTTAATTTGTTTTTTAAATGTTCTTGTTACCAACAAAGCTGAGGGGAATGTTTTCACACGTGTAGCTTTGTTCATCTTTTGGGATGCTTCCTTATGTTGGAATCCACAAATGGAATTCTCGGGTCTGAGGTTTTGAACTCCACCCGACCCCTGCGATGGAGTCTGGCTCTGTCGCCAGGCTGGAGTGCAATGGCGTGATCTCGGCTCACGGCAACCTCTGCCTCCTGGGTTCAAGCTATTCTCCTGTCTCAGCCTCCTGAGTAGCTGGGATTACAGGCAGAGACCACCACACCCGGCTAATTTTCGTATTTTTAGTAGAGATGGCATTTTGCCGTGTTGGCCAGGTTGGTCTCTAGCTCCTGATCTCAAGTGATTCGCCTGCCTCGGCCTCCCAAAGTGCTGGGATTACAGGCGTGAGCCACCACGCCCTGCCATTTTGAACATTTTGAACTCATGCTAATAAATCACTTTCCAATGGTGTTGGACACACATGGCCACGACCAAAATGTGACTGTCTTCCTGTCCCCGCTCTAGCACTGATGAGACTGTGCTGGTTTGATTGTTTTCTCCTCCAAATTATAGATCCTAAATTTCACCATATTAATTTACTTTTCTGGATACCAGTGAAACTGAATGTTTTCCACATGTCTATGTGCTGGATGTCCAGATCCTGACAGGTGTTAACCTTGTGTTTTGAAGGCTGCCTGAGCAGATTCACCCATGCAAACCGCCACTGTCCGAAGCACCCCTACGCCAGGCTGAAGAGAGAGGAGCCCACGGACACACTCAGCAAACATCAGGCTGCCGACAACAAGGCCGCGGCCGAGTGGCTGGCGAGGTCAGGAATGCTGCCTTTAGTCCACCGTGAAGATGCACAGCGCGGGCTGGGGCTATGTCAGGGACCTGGACATGCCTCTCATTTTAAATAAGCTGCATTTATACACATTTTATAACATAATTAGAAATGACCCCTGATTTTCTATAAAATTGTTGTGAGTGGTATTAGGATCTTAGGATCTGTGTGTGATAGAAAATTACAATATAATTAGAGTGCCCAGACTACAGTTTATTTTAAAAGGAAGAGTTTTCCTATTTTGAAAAAATGTTTTATATGTATTGTATTTCATTCGTCATGAATGCAACCTTTTTCATTTTCTTTATGTTAGCCTTAGCTACGTGCCAATTAAAACAGGGATAGACAGCCGAGGTGGGTGGATCGCCTGAGGTCAGGAGTTTGAGAACAGTCTGGTCAACTTAGTGAAACCCCATCTTTACTAAAAATACAAAAATTACCTGGGCAGTAGTGGCACGTGCCTATAATCCCAGTTATTCGGGAGATTGAGGCAGAAGAATCGCTTGAGCCTGGGAGACGGAGGTTGCAGTGAGCCAAGATGGCCCCACTGCACTCTTGTACTCCAGCCTGGGTGACAGAGTGAGACCCTGTCTCAAAACAAAGCAAAACAAAACAAAAAAACACCAGGGATAGATGTTAGTGGTTCTTCTTAGGTGAGGTTCCAAAAACACCAATTTAATTTTTTCCAATGGCAACAAGGGGGCCAGTATAAAAGAATTTCTCTAAGGATATTTCGGTTGAAGGGCCTGTCTGCTGTACACGAGCCAGCAGCAGCTGCTCAGGCCTCACCCAGGCTTCACTGGCTGCTTAGGGTAAAGTCCAGGATTCCTAGCTGTGCTGCCATAGCCCTGCCTCCCTCTGATAAGGCAACTGTCCCCTGCCATGCTGGGCTGTGGGTTTCTCAACACAGGTGCCTTTGTATGAGGGCCTGTGTGCACCCTGCTTCCTCTGCCTGGAGCACTCACTCCCCACTTGGCTAAGCCTCTTGCTCACCTTCATCTCTTACTCAGGAAGGCCTCCCTGACCTGCTCAGCAACAAACGGGCTGGGACCAACTTAACAGATGCTTTCATTTTCCTTTTCAAAACATCCATCACACATTTATTTGTTTATTTTATACCTTCCCTGCCAGACTGAAAGCTTCCCCGGGCAGGGATATTTGTCTTGTTTATTATGGTAAGCCTAGGGCCTAGCAGAGCTTCTGGGCCTTGATAAATATTTGAAGGAATAAACTCTGTTTTGTTTGGATAAAAATACATAAGAATTATATAATGGAATCTGGAAATACTATTTGATTATTCACGTCCAGGGAAATTTGTTAGCACTGTCATAGAAATTGTTTAGATGGACAATTCTAGGGGTACCTTAAACTAAATATCTCCATCACTTCCTCCCCTCCTCTTTCTCCTGGTTAGCTCCTACTGCCCCATTATTTCTAATTGTGTCCCAGCCAGAAGCTTACTGGTCATCCTTGTCTTTTTTTTTTTTTTTTTTTTTTTCGAGACAGGGTCTTACTCTGTTGTCAAGACTGGACTGTAGTAGCAGGATTATTAGCTCATTGAGCCTTGACCTCCTGGGCTCAAGTGATCCTCCCACTTCAGCCCCCTGAGTAGCTGGGACCACAGGTGTGTGCCACCATGCCCAGCTAATTTTTAAGTTTTTTGTAGAGACTGGGTCTTGTCACGTTGCCCACGCTGGTCTCAAACTCCTGGCCTCAAGTGATTCTCGCACCTTGGCCTCCCAAACTGTTGGGATTACAGGCATGAGCCACCGCACCTCGCCTCCTTGTCTTTCTGCTGTCTACTCAGTGACCAAGTTATGACATCTACCTCCTTACTAACTCAAATTCAGCCACTTGAATGCTCTCAATCCATTTTCCATGCTGCTGCCAGAGGGATCTTTCTAAAATGTCAGTATGATCCTCAGTCTAAAGCCTAAACCCTTTATTATGGAATTCAAAGTCCTTCCTTACCTGGTTCCTGCTGACTTGCTGAACTTATCTTTTGCCATTCTCCTCTTCTAGTCATCCTTCAAGTCATACTGAACAATTTGCACTTTCTTTTTTTAGACCTCTGTGGGCATTGCCAAAACTTTTCCACTTTAAGTAGTCTGGATTTCCTGAAATTTGGTAGTTGTATTTCTTTTTTTTTTTGGTATGTAATTTTAAAAACAGCTTTGTTGGGGCTGGGTGCGGTGGCTCACGCCTGTAATCCCAACACTTTGGCTGAGGTGGGTGGATCACCTGAGGTCAGGAGTTCAAGATCAGCCTGGCTAAATGGCAGGACCCTATCTCTACTAAAAATACAGGCCTGGTGCGGTGCCTCACGCCTGTAATCCCAGCACTTTGGGAGGCCTAGGCAGGCAGATCACCTGAGGTCGGGAGATCAAGACCAGCCTGGTCAACATGGTAAAATCCCGTCATTACACTCTAGCCTGGGCAAGAAGAGTGAAACTCTGTCTCCAAAAAAAAAAAAAAAAAAAAAAAAATTAGCCAGGCATGGTGGTGGGCGCCTATAATTCCAGCTACTCAGGAGGCTGAGGCACGAGAATAGTTTGAACCCAGGAGGCGAAGGTTGCAGTGAGCCAAGATTGTGCCACTGCCCTCCAGCCTGGGTGACAAAGTGAGACTCTGTCTCGAAAAATAAAATAAAAATAAATAAAAACAGCTTTGTTGGTATATAAGTAGCATATAAGAAATTATGATACATTTAAAGTGTACAGTTTAATACATTTTAAAGTATACAATTTGATACATTTTTGACATGTATATACTGTGACACCATCTCCACAATCAAGATGGTGAACATATCCATCATTTCCAAGTTTCTTCGTGCCCCCTTTGTGAACTGAACTACACATTCCTCCCTGTCCCCCTTCCCCCCATACAACACTGATCTGCTGTCACTATAAAATAGTAGTTTTATACAAATGTAGTTTGTTTATTCTCTCGATGGGCATTTGGGTTATTTTTGGCTATTACATATAAAGCTACTATGAACATTAATATACAAGGCTTTGTATGGACAGTTTTGTATGATCTGTTACTGTCATTTAAAATGCATTTTTCTTTTTTTTTTTTTTCTTGAAACGGAGTCTCGCTCTGTCACCCTGGATGGAGTGCAGCGGCCCGACTTCAGCTTGCTGCAACCTCCGCCTCCCAGGTTCAAGTCATTCTCCTGCCTCAGCCTCTGGAGTAGCTGGGATTACAGGTGCCTGCCACCATGCCCGGCAAATTTTTTTGTATTTTTAGTACAGAGGGGTTTTCACCATGTTAGCCAGGCTGGTTTTGAACTCTTGACCTCAAGTGATCTGCCTGCCTTGCCTCCCAAAGTGCTAGGATTACAGGCGTGAGCCACTGCGCCCAGCCTAAATACTCATTTCTTTAGTTACCAAAGAGTTGAGCATTTGCATTTTCTCTTGTAAATTATCAGTTGGCCATGTAACAGAATAAGGGTAGTGTTTTTAAGTTTTTGAATAAACTCTGTGTCACAGATGTTAATCACTTTTTCATAGTTTGTGGGTTTAATATTTACAGCGTTAACGCTGTCAGAAGTTACCATCCCTCTGTAGATAGGATAAATAAGTTTCTAAAGACTGTTTTTTCTACTATTTCTGTATTTTACTCAAGTCCATTTCACACAGGCTCTTTAAGGCGGTGATAGTTTAATGGCAAAAACGTGATTTGAGAGTGAGTAGAAGATCTAGAACTGCCAGGTTTATTGTGGAAACCTGAGCACGTCTCTTAACCTCGTTGAACTTCAGTTTCTTTCCTCTATAAATAGGAAATTTATGTTAAATCACTTTATAACTTTATAAACTGAACCACATAAAAGTAATATTGTGGTATGGAACTTTTTAAAAGAAAAGTAAACATTTGGAAATTTCATGTCTGCCATGTAACTAATGTTGCTGCATTTCACATAGGTATTGGGAAATGAGAGAGCAGCGCACCCCCACTTTGAAAGGCAAGCTGGTTCAGAAGGCTGATCAGGAGCAGCAGGACCCTCTGGAATACCTTCAGTCTGATGAAGAGGACGACGAGAAGAGAGGGGCCCAGCGCCGGCTGCAGGAGCAGCGGGAGCGCCTGCATGGAGCCCTCGCGCTCATAGAGCTTGCCAACCTGACTGGGGCGCCACTCCGACAGTAGCTTGGACACTGACTCTTCCACTGTACAAAAGTACTGCCCAGCATACTTAAAAAGTAGATCCTTGGGCATAAGCTAAGCACCTTATTTGCTTATCATAGGCTGCTATTCTGTAGAAATTTATGAAGAATGTTATTGCCCCAGAATATGGGGTGAGAGAGAACTGCACTTTTTTAATATGGAAATGAATTCATCGTAAAGTTTAAAATATTTTGTAAATATGGACTGCACAGTACAGGGTAGAAAACTACATATTGTGGGAAGCTAGATTTTGCAAGTTTAATGCATTCATTGGAAGCAGTTCTCACAGGAAGCACTTTCTGAATAAGACACTTGTTTGAAAAACAGAATGGTACAAATAGCCAAAGAAGATTAAAACAGATTATTTATAAGATCATTTTTAACAATATATATTAGTATGTTTAACAATACTGTAAACACTGAAGCAAGCAAGAAAGTATAAAATATGTAAGATAGATAATTTTAATTGCAAAATACTGTGCCCACTAAGGCTAGAGAAATGGGAGGCTATTTTGGAAGATGTTCTAAGTAATGGACTTAGAAGAAAATAGATATTTGAGGCTCTTGGTAAGATGCACAATAGTTCAGAATTTTTGAAATTGGAGCAAAATCAGTCTTATTCTATCTGGGGCTTTACAACTCAGTATAATGTTTAAGTTTGAAAAGCACTTGTCATCCCTAGCATGTTAACTTGGGAACTTTTGCACATTTCATATTTCTCATTTGCTGAAATTGAGTGATTAATCTTGCAAAGTCTAGGTAACATAGTAATTGGTAATTTTAAAAATACATATTAAGGGCCCTGTAATGAGATTTGGCACTTGGATTTTTACTAAAGGGACACCTGCAGGGTTGTTTTGTAGTGAAATGTTTTAGATCTTTTGTTAGCAAACACTACATTTTAATTGTACTGCTTGTTTAGAATTATTAGCAAATGGAAGCCTCCATATTTATATTTTCAGTGCATAAAGCCACCTTCTTGCTTTACTTCAGAGTAACATGCCAAGCTATTTTGTGTTCACTAAATTTAGCTATCAGTTAAACACTGCAGAAAATATTAGCTACTCAAATAAGTAGGCTTCTGAAATAGTTTTAACTGCAAGTGTGTTAACTTGTGTGGTGGTTTGAAGCCATTTTTCCAAATAAAGTTATTAAACACCACTTTATGTACTGAAGCATGAACAGAAAAATCAAGAGCTGAGCAGACCACCTCCTTTATGTAGGCAAAACTTCCATCATTTTGGCTTTTGTTCTAAACAGAACTAAATGACATGCATAGCATGGTAACTTACAGATCGCTTAATTGGAGTAAAACTCAGAGTAATAGAGGGAAATATGGGCTCTTCAGTGCCTTTTTAGCTTTTTTGAGTTGAAGACGTTCCTACAGATGTAGTTTAAACATTACAAAGTAGGCTTCTTTATCCAAAAATCCCAATGTGTCATAGTACACAGATAGTTTAAAATATGTAGCCACGGGGAAGGGGAGGCATGTAAATGTCTTGAAGAGGAGAAAAAGTATGAAAGAAGATACGATAGTTACGAATAATGTGTATGATGAGGACATACTTTAAAAATGTAATTCCTCTGTACAGTAAATTACAAATCTTTAGGGATTTTTTTGTAATAAGAGAATTTATATTTGTAATGGTCTAAGAATTTTTTTGTAATGTGGTATATAGAATTTTAATTTGGAGCACTTATAAGCTGGTAAGAGAGACTATAGCATCTGAATTATCTTGGTTTATGTTTCAGCATTTCCTCTAGAATTTTTGCTCTCAAATATGTGATTTAATGAACTAAAAACAACACTCATCAGTCTTGGGAAATTTGAACTTTGATCAACTTAACTAAAGAAGGAAGGGTAGTAAGAATTTTTCAAATACAAATATTTGCCAATTCACAGATGATAACATTTAAGGCCTTCAAAAGTAAGGGTTTTTCCTTGTTTCTCCAGTCAGCTTTTGTCAACTCTAATAGTTTTTTCATAAACATTTTTTATTTGTATAATTGCAACAGTTTAAGAAATTATCACAACTATTTAGAAACATTTAAAATGTTCTTTTTGATATAAGCTATATACTTGGAAAAATACATTGGTATCTAAAATTTGAGGTGTGTTAAGACTGCTTTTTGTTTTAAAAAATGGTTTACATTCAAATTTTTGAAGTGTTTTATGCTTCATATGGCTAAGTTGTAGTTTGGCAGAGTTAACAGCATAAGAATAAACATGCTGTAATTTTAAAAGATGCTTTGAATAAAAATTTATTTTAATTTAAAATTTAAAGTACACGGTCATTCTTAAAGCCTTTATCATTTGTTTTCCTATCGAAAATATAATAACCATGATATAAAAAAATTTAAAAGATAGAAACATCACCTACAGCCTTATGTTCAGCCATCAGTATTATTTCAGTACATGTTTGCGTAGTTGTAAGTACAGTGTGGATTGCTTTTTCTTACTTTAATTATGGCTTTTAAGGTTATAGATATTTAACTTCCTCATCGGGTTCATTACTACAGTGTTAAAAATATACTGCTGTGGATAAGTATTGAACTATTGCCACCCCATTTCCAGGCCTTAAATTAGGGTAATAAGGAAAAGGGATTTCATTTCACTTACATTTAGGATGGGTTGTCTCTGGGGTCAGCTCCTCAAGAATCCATTTAAAGCCTGTGTACTTTTCTAAGAGTCTAGCAAATTGGTTTTCTTTTTTCATCAGTTATTTTTGGTAGATCTTTAGTTGTGTATTTGCAGTGGCAAGGGTCAGCCTGTCCTACCCTTGTGCAGAAGAATATCACAAGCAACTCCTTAGTGTGAGTTGCTGTTTAAACAGGGTAAGGATGGGATTTTGACAGCGAGGTAAGGTCCTGGAAGTATGTGTATACAATCAAACTAAATGCAATTATGATGAAGGTCATCATTAAAAATAACTTTAAAATATTCTTTTTGCAGTCAAAACATTTGGAGACTCACAAGAAAATTGAATGTTCTGAGGAAATTAACCAAAATGACCGATTTCCTGTTTAACTTGAATATGGATTCATTTTCTCTTTTAAAACGGACTTAACATGTCTTTTCTTTCTTGTTTTGGGTAACTTGGGCACTTCTGGTCTTTTTAATGCTAGCTAATTTTCACGAGTTCTGCTTTAGTTCTTATCAGGGCTGAAAATGTTTCCCAGTTTTCATTCTCCTGGTTGTTTAGTGCCTAAGGGTAGAAAAACAATTCTCTGGGCATCTATATAGTTAGGCCCCAACTTTTATTTAACTTGAAATCTTAAGCTTTTCTAAGAAGCTAAAAGTTCATATATATATATATATATAATATACATTATATATTAAATATATAATATATATATTTTTGAGACGGAGGCTTGCTCTGTCGCCCAGGCTGGAGTGCAGTGGCGCGATCTCGCCTCACTGCAAGCTCTGCCTCCCGGGTTCACGCCATTCTCCTGCCTCAGCCTCCTGAGTAGCTGGGACTACAGGCGCCCGCCACCACGCCCGGCTAATTTTTTTTGTATCTTTAGTAGAGACGGGGTTTCACCGTGTTAGCCAGGATGGTCTCGATCTCCTGACCTCGTGATCTGCCCGCCTCGGTCTCCCAAAGTGCTGGGATTACATGTGTGAGCCACCGCGCCTGGCCAAAAGTTCATATTTTTTAAAGACTGACAAGGGTAGGCGGTTCTGGGAAGCTGTCCTTCAACTGACCTGACCCGAAGGCAAACGGCCCTCCGCGAGGAATGCACCTACCACAAAGCACCCAGAGGACACCCAAGTCCCAAGGCTTCACCCACCTTACTCCTAGCCACTCCACTCCTAGATATTTATTTAAGAGAAATGAAGACACAGGTCCCACAAACGCCCACGAATTTTCATGGAAGCATTTTTCCTAATGGTCCTAAACTGGAAACAACCAATGGATACACAATTTGTGATACTATTCAACGATTAAACAAACCACATGGTCGAGTCCAAAGCATAGAGTGAAAACCCCTGAGACCACATGCTCATTCATAAATTCTAGAAAGCACCCTGTTTATTTGAAATTCCGGAAAAGGCAAACCTAACCTACAGCAATAGTCATCGATGAGATGCGGGCGTTAACTTCAAAGGGGCAGCAAGGGGAATTTTTGGGGCGATGGAAATGTTGTTTTGAGTAGTTACTCCTGTGGATGCCTTTGTCGAAGCTCATCTCAAACTATGGACTGGCAAGATGTGTACACTTCATTGTATGTAAATTATACACTAAACAAAAAAGTTGTAGGGAAAAAAAAAAAAAAGCAAAACAAGCCCTGAGACTTACTGAAGCGTTTCTTTCCAGGAAAGCCTGGAGGAAGGCAGCGCTTTTCAACTCCCCAGCGCATTGCCGGCCCTGGAGACCGAAGGAGGTGCCTGGAACCAGGGTGAAGTCCAGCGCGCAGGGTCCTCCCGCGCCGGCCTCGGGCGCTCGCAGGGGGCGGGTCGGGACCTGGGATTGCGCCGGGCTCTTCCTGTTCCTGCCGCGCCCTCTTCCCCGGCCCGGCCGGGCGGGACCAGTGCGCAGCCGGGGCTGGCGGGCGGCGGGGTCCGCGGGGCCGCAGGAGATGACGGCCGGCGGCCAGGCCGAGGCCGAGGGCGCTGGCGGGGAGCCCGGCGCGGCGCGGCTGCCCTCGCGGGTGGCCCGGCTGCTGTCGGCGCTCTTCTACGGGACCTGCTCCTTCCTCATCGTGCTTGTCAACAAGGCGCTGCTGACCACCTACGGGTGAGGCGGGGCCCGGGGCCGGGGGGTCTGCGGGAGTGCGGGGCTGCCCCTGTCCTCCGTGCGCTTCAGCGGCGCCCGGGACAGGGCGGGTGGGGACAGGGACCCTCGAGTCTCAGCTGGGCACATTGGTCGAGTTTCCCAGGCGCCCTCCAGAACTCGCTCAGCTTTCTACACTCAGGCCACAACCTGAGAAAGTCGTTCTCTTCCTGAGCGCGCCTGCCCTGCTGCGAGGCGCCCTGTCCTAGGTGGGCTGGTAGAGCTCAGACAGATTCTTTCATACACCCAGCGAGCTGAAAACAGGGATTCAAATGCCTGCTTCAAAGGACGCAATTCCTTACACAGATCTCCATGTTCAACGGTCAGGTACTCCTGAGCCAGTAAGTCTGTATTGATTGACTGTTCATTCTCAGATGACCAGCGTGTTCATGGAAAACTCGGGAAAACAATTGGAAGTTCATATGGAGTACTTTTTTGGATTAGTGTGAAGTAAACGCAAATTTGTGCTGCCTTGAACCTATTTGTAAGGACTAGAAAATCCTGCTTAATTCTGCTACCATTGTAGCGGCACTGAGAAAATTGTGGATTTAGACCCAGCTCCACCGGTTAACACCTGTCTTTTTGGACCAGTCTCACAGTCAGCAATTTTTTTCAGATGCAAAAAACCTGAATGATTACAATCGTGTTAATTACCCTCCAGGGCTCTGCACGAGCTGTTATATGTGAAGGCTCTTTGTAAACTCTACTATGTTACAAGAATATGCCATCAACATTTTAGAGCCCAAAGAGACCTAGAGTGTCTTAGTTAGAGAGTATCTTAGAGTATCAGCTTTCTTTTTTTATATATACATACAGATTCAGCTTATGTGGGTCTCACTTTTCTCGAATATAAAATACGAAAGCTGAGGCTGGCTGAGGTGGTTTGCACCTGTAATCACAGCATTTGGGAGGCCAAGGCAGGCATATATATATATATATATATAGTGTGTGTGTGTGTGTGTGTGTGTGTGTGTATAATATTTTTTTGAGACAAGGTTTCACTCTGTTGCCTAGGCTGGAGTGTAGTGACACAATCATGACTCACTGCAGCCTCGACCATCTGGGTTCAAGCAATCCTTCTGCTGCAGCCTCCAGAGAAGCTGGGACCATAGGTGTGCACCACTGCACCGGCAATTTTTTTGATTTTTTGTAGAGGTGGGGTCTCAGTGTGTTTCCAAGGCTGGTCTAGGCCTGCTTTGGCCTCCCAAAGTGCTGTGATTACAGGTGCAAACTATCTCATCCAGCCTCACCTTTCTTATTTTATATTCGAGAAAACTGAGGCCCACATAAGCTCGATTGGTTGTACCTCCAACAGATATTTATTAAGCACCTACTAAATACTGAGCCCATTGCAAGCACCAGGGAAGCCTCTGTGAACAGCACAAGGTCCCTGCTCTGGAGATTCTGCTTCAGTGGTGGAGACAGAAAATAAACAGGTAGGTTCATGAATAAACGAGACACTTTCAGATCTGATGTGAGAGTGCCTGGGCTGGAGTAGCTGTCACAGAGCATTCCAGGTAGAAGTGAGCAGCAAGTGTACAATGTGCTGAAGTGGGCATGAGCTTGGCTGCTGGAGGAACAGAGAGAAGATCACTGTGCCTGGGCGGGGAGGTAGGCAGGGAAGGCAGGAGTCAGCTCTTTCTCTCATTTTTGATAGCTTTCACTAAGCACTTGTGATGTACCAGCACTGTTCGAGGAGAACAGTGTTTTCCCACCGTTCTTGGGAAAGAGAAGTGAAAAGAGCAGATCAGAATCCTTAACTTCACGGAGCTGCATCCTTGTGGACCAATAAATGAGCCAGTAACATTTACATTATGTCAGATGTGACCAAGGTGCTGGGGAAAAAATAAAACAGGAAAGGGAGTGAGGGAGAGAGGGAGGGGAGAGTATGCAGTGTGAGCGTGATCAGTGGAGCCTCAGAAGGAGGTGGCATTGGAGCCAAGACCAGAGTGAGGTGGGGACATAAGCCACACTGGGGGACGGGGGAAGAGCATTCCAGGCCTGGAGGAGTGAAGAGTTTGAATGGGAATGGTAGCAGATGGGGTCTGAGAGTAATGGATTGCTGGCCTGTGTGGGGCCTTGGGAGGCCACCGCCAGGGCTCTGGCATCAGCTCTGAATGAGATGGGAGCCACGCAAGGTGTCAGGCAGGGGAATTACATGATCTAAATCACTGTGGCTGCTGTGTTGAGAGCCGACATCTGGGGACCAGGGTGGAAGGATGAGACTGGATAAATAGTTGTAGTTTCATGCTAAATGCAATTAGAAGTCCCTTGGAAGGTTTTGACATGGGAGTGACCTGACACAATTTGTGTGATTAAAAAGATCTCTCTGGCTGGCAGGCGGGTGGAGAACTGACAGTACTGGCATCAGGGAGAGGGGCTGGAAGCCACTGCAGGGCTGCAGGTAAAGACGGCGTGGACTGGGCAGGGCATAGCAGCGGAGGTAAAAGGAAGGGATGGATTTGGGATATTTTTTGGTGATCCTGTGGCCGTCAGTATTCTTGGCAAGGTCTCTCCAGTGTGTTGCAGCCTGCTGCCTGGTGTCCATGGAAAACACAGCCCTGCCTCAAGGAAATGAACATGGACATACTGTACCTAAACCTGGAGCATTTGACATGGAAGCTAATGAAGGAAAAAGAAAACTTAAACACTTAGGATAAAAAAAAAAGGCCGGGCGCGGTGGCTCACACCTGTAATCCCAGCACTTCGGGAGCCTGAGGTGGGCAGATCATGAGGTCAGGATTTCGAGACCAGCCTGGCCAGCATGGTGAAACCCTGTCTCTACTAAAAATACAAAAAAAACAAACAAAAAAAAACTAGCTGGGCATGGTGGTGCACGCCTATAATCCCAGCTACTTGGGAGGCTGAGTCAGGAGAATCACTTGAACTCAGGAGGCAGTGGTTGCAGTGAGCTGAGATCACACCACTGCACTCCAGCCTGGGCGATAGAGTGAGACTCAGTCTCAAAAAAAAAAAAGAAAAAATACCAGAAAATGAAAATGCTATTGATGGGCTTGTTTGGGAGTGGCCAGTCATTATGTCAATGATGGTTGAAGATAAGTCTTCATTTTGTGCACCTGAGTGAGCAGGGTGCTGACTGACCATGGCAGTCAACACCTCCAAAACCCAAGTCCTCTTATTGGAAGCAGGCACCAGCAAACCATGGTCAGTGCTTTGAAGATGAAGGGCAGTGTTTAACCAGGAAGACTTATGATATAAGACACCTCCTAAGAAAGGCTCTAAGGGCCGGGCGCGGTGGCTCACGCCTATACTCCCAGCACTCTGGGAGGCTGAGGTGGGCGGATCACCTGAGGTCAGGAGTTTGAGACCAGCCTGACCAACATGGTGAAACCCCATCTCTACTAAAAATACAAATATTAGCTGGGTGTGGTGGCAGGTGCCTGCAATACCAGCTACTCAGGAGGCTGGGGCAGAGAATCACTTGAACCTGGGAGGCGGAGGTTGTGGTGAGCTGAGACCACGCCATCGCACTCCAGCCTGGGTGACAGAGTGAGACTCTGTCTCAAAAAAAAAAAAAAAAAGGCTCTAGCCTTTCTATCTTTAACTTATTGAGTTTCATGATTGAAGGAGAAAATGGAGTTCTTGCCATAGGAAGGCCAAAACCCTCATAATCCTTTTAAATAAACATTCCACATTTCTGTAATGTAATATACAGTTGGAGAACCCTGTTCACATAACATTGTTCATTCTTTCCTCTCAAAATGCTTTAAGCTCACATTATTGAGGGGAGGAGGAGTGGGTTGATGTGGTTACAACAATAAACCATAGAAATCGGATCCAAGCATGAGTTGTCTGAGGATAGAATGTTGTGTTGTAGGATAGAAGAAAGGACCTTTTGGTAGTTACCTAATTCGCAGGGTCATGGGAATGTAGCTCAGGGGATACTTTTTCCTCTTTCATTTTGGGCAGATTGTTTCTGGTCAGGGTACCAAATGAATGGGTGATCTTAGTGATTTGTTAGTTTTATAATTCATTGTAATGCCAGATTTACCTGGTTGGACAGAGAGGCCTTTGAAGGCTGTGAACTGTGAGAACCTATTGGGGCGAGAGGGGAAAATAAGGGCATTTCAGAGTTTGTGGCCAGTTGGTTATGTCTTATTTTTTTTTTTTTTTGAGACAGGGTCTCACTCTGTCACCCAGGCTGAAGTGCAGTGGCACCATCACAGCTCACTTCAGCCTCTACCTCCTGGGCTCAAGTGATCTTCCCACCTCAGCCTCCTGAGTAGCTGAGACTATAGGAGTGTACCACCACACCCGGCTAATTTTTGCATTTTTTTTTTTTTCTGTAGAGAGGGGTTCTTGCTATGTTGCCCGGGCTGGTCTTGAACTCCTGGGCTCAAGCAATCCATCCGCCTTGGCCCCTTGAAGGGCTGGGATTACAGGTGTGAGCCCCCGCGCCTGGCTTGGTTATACTCTTGGTCCTTTGGGATCAAGTTCATAAGTGTTGTACAGTTGTTCTGGAGTTGTGCAGTTTTTTCTCTTCTTTCTTTTGAGACTGGGTCTTGTTCTGTTGCCCAGGCTGGAGCGCGGTGGCATGATCAAGGCTCACAGCAGCCTCTACCTCCTGGGCTCAGGTGATCCTCTCACCTCAGCCTCCTGAGTAGCTGAGACTACAGGTGTGCACCACCACTCCTGGGTCATTTTTGAATTAAATTTTTTTTTTTAATTTTTAATTTTTGTAGAGACGAGGTTTTGCTCTATTGCCCAGGTTGATCTCAAATGACTGAGTCAAGTGATCCTCCTGCCTCAGCCTCCCAAAGTGCTGAGATTACTAGCGTGAGCTACCACACCAAGCTGGTCTTTTCTGCTTTAACATTATATAATATTATACTCCTAGTCTGTGACATGGAAGAATTTGCTAATGATGCTTAATAAAAATATCTAACTTTACTGTATTCATTTCAACAAATATTTGCTCACTATTTACTATATATGTTTAGTATGCATCCAAAGGCTTTGAGGTTTTTTTTTGTTTGTTTTGTTTTGTTTTTTGAGACAGGGTCTTACTCTGTCACCCAGGCTGGAGTGCAGTGATGCAATCTCGGCTCACTGGAACCTCTGCTGGCTCAGACAATCCTCCAAAGTCAGCCTCCTGAGTAGCTGGGACTGCAGGTGCACACCATCGTGCCCAGCTGTTTTTTTTTTTTTTTTAGAGATGGAGTCTCAGTATGTTGCTCAGGCTGGTCTCGAACTCTTGGGCTCAAGTGGTCCACCTGGCTTGGCCTCCTAAAGTGCTGGGATTACAGGCATGAGCCATTGTGCCTGGTTTAGACACAGTAATTTCCAAACCTGCCCAGTAGTCTTAATCACTTGGAGAGGTTTTTTTTAATAAAAGGTACTGAATTGGAATCCTCAGTGGTGGGAACTGGAATTCTGTATCCCAAACCAAAAGCAACTCCTAATGTGCTCTTACTTTAATGAAAACCTGACTCTGTCCCGAAGATGTTGCTTCCTTCACCCCCCTTGATGGAGCTGGATCTTTGCCTTACCCACCAGGCCTAGGCCAGGAGATGGGATTGGGTCCTCCTAGCTCCCAGCTGCTCATGCTCTGTTGAGACTCTGGATGTGCCATCCTTTCTGTCTCCTGTGGAATGCTGCCTGAGCTTCTGGTGACTGATTATCTAAGTCTTAGCCTTCCTCTCCACCTAGCTCAGGTCACCCTTCCTGTGGCTTCAGGGCCCACACACTGAAGTGTCACAGTCTACTCTGGTCTCCAGCAAACTCTCCTGAACCTTGCTTCCCATGACTGCTGCCAGGATCCTCTCCTTACAAGTGTCAAAGTCAAAATAACAATGTGGAGACAAGGCTGTAAATTTAATGTTTTATTTGGGAAGAAAGAATTGCCATGTGAGTCATACATACAATCTGGGTGATCTTTGGAATGTCTGAAGAACAAAGAGAAGGTTCGAGGTTTTGCTGAAAAAGAAGAAATGTTACATACTGTGCTGGGAGAAAGTTTATTGGCACTGTCAGGGTTTGGGGAGCTGGCAAACAATGACTGGTGAGCAAAGGTGGTGGACAAAATTAGTCCTGGAGTTGCAGCAAGTGGTCTCAGAAGCTAGAGATAAAACTGGTTTCAGGTTACAACAAGCAGTTCCAGCAGTTGGGCTTGCAGAGAATTATATTCTTGGAGCCATATTTTGTACCCGAATGCTTTTCCTACCTGGTTACTGTTTTAGTTTGGTATGACAAGAGTGGCCCGTTTCGGATGATCAGCGGTAACACGAGTAACTGCACCTCTCCGAGATCTCCCCTGCAGGCTGTCCACACTTGGCTTCCCCAGGCCTCCTCCTCAGTCCCTTCTCGCTGCTGTGACTGTGCCTCCTGGCATTGTTTCTCTGCTTGGTCCGCTGAGAGCCACTCTAGGAGGGACACGTGAGACTCTTTTCTTCTCACTTTGGCATGCACTTGTCTTCTGCTTGCTTCTTTCAGCACTTGAGCAGCTCTTGAGTGTTGTGAGCCGAAAACCACATCTGGCTGGCTGGTTTACTTTCAAATTGTTGACCCCATGGCCGGGCGCAGTGGCTCACACCTATAATCCTAGCACTTTGGGAGGCCGAGGCGGGTGGATCACTTGAGGTCAGGAGTTCGAGACCATCCTGGTCAGCCAACATGGTGAAACCCCGTCGCTACTAAAAATACAAAAATTAGCCAGGCCTGGTAATCCCAGCTACTCAGGAGTGCAGTGGTGTGATCTCGGCTCACTGCAACCTCTCCCTCCTGGGTCCAGGCAATTCTCCTGCCCCAGCCTCCCGAGTAGCCGGGATTATGGGCGCCCACCAACCTCCTGGCTTATTTATTTATTTATTTAGAGTCAGAGTCTCTCTCTGTTGCCCAGGCTGGAGTGCAATGGCACGATCTCGGCTCACTGCAATCTCCACCTCCCGTGTTTAAGCAGTTCTTCTGCCTCAGCCTCCCAAGTAGCTGGGATTACAGGCACCCGCCACCATGCCTGGCTAATTTTTATATATTTTTTTAGTAGAGACGGGGTTTCACCATATTGGCCAGGCTGGTCTCGAACTCCTGACCTCGTGATCCACCCTCCTTGGCCTCCCAAAGTGCTGAGATTACAGGCGTGAGCCACTGCGCCCAGCCAGTTTTTGTATTTTTTTTTTTTTTTTTTTTGAGACAGAGTCTCACTCTGTCACCTGGGCTGGAATGCAGTGGCTCCATCTAGGCTCACTGCAACCTCCACCTCCCGGGTTCAAGCAATTCTCCTGCCTCAGCCTCCCGAGTAGCTGGGATTACAGGCGCCTGCCACTATGCCCAGCTATTTTTTTGTATTTTTAGTAGAGAAGGGGTTTCACCATGTTGGTCAGGCTGGTCTCGAACTCTTGACCTCGTGATTCGCCTGCCTCAGCCTCCCAAAGTGCTAAGATTACAGGCATGAGCCACTGTGCCCGGCCAATTTTTGTATTTTTAGTAGAGATGGGGTTTCACCATATTGGCCAGGCTGGTTTTGAACTCCTGACCTCAAGTGATCCACCTGCCTCGGCCTCCCAAAGTGCTGGGATTACAGGAGTAAGCCACTGCGCCTGACTCCCCGGCTAATTTTTTTATTTTTAGTAGAGACGGGGTTTTGCCGTGTTGGCCAGGCTGGTCACAAACTCCTGACCTCAAGTGATCCACCTGCCTTGGCCTCTCAAAGTGCTGCGATTACAGGCGTGAACCACCACACCCAGCCAGAATCAGAAGACTCTTGAAGGAGTTCTGCCCACATGATCTTCACTTCCTCATGTTCACATCTACAAGAACTCAGTTAAAACATTGGGGATACAGAAATGAGCAAAGAAGACAATAATAATTCCCACTACCTAGAATCAATACCTTTTTTTTTTTTTGAGATGGAGCTTTGCTTTTGTTTCCTAGGCTGGAGTGCAATGGCATGATCTTGGCTCACAGCAACCTCCATCTCCTGGGTTCAAGTGATTCTCTTGCCTCAGCTTCTTGAGTAGTTGGGATTACAGGCATGAGCCACCATGCCCAGCTAATTTTTGTATTTTTAGTAGAGACGGGGTTTCATCATGTTGGCCAGTCTGGTTTCGAACTCCTGACATCAGGTGATCCACCCGCCTTGGCCTCTCAAAGTGCTAGGATTACAGGCGTGACCCACTGCACCCGGCTGTCAGTACGTTTTTTAAGAAAAGTTATTCTGTTGTGATTATTATAAAGAATTCAGGTGGGCGGATCACCTGAGGTCAGGAGTTTGAGACCAGCCTGGCCACCATGGTGAAACCCTATCGCTACTAAAAATACAAAAATTAGCCGGGCATCGTGGTGGGCGCTTGTAATCCCAGCTACTTGGGAGGCTGAGGCAGGAGAATGGCTTGAACCCGGGAGGCAGAGGTTGCAGTGAGCTGAGATTGAGCCACTGCACTCCAGCCTGGGCAACAGAGTGAGATTCAATCTCAAAAAAAAAAAAAAGAATTCAAACAAAATAGAAATATTAGGGTAAAATTTAAAAAAAATTTACTATAATGAACATGAGGCAACAATTTCAGACATCTTTTTGGATGGATGGATATAGATAAATAGGTGGAGACATAGAAACATAAATGAATTTTTTTTTTTTTTTTGAGGCGGAGTGTCGCTCTTGCTCTTTTGCGCAGGCTGGAGTGCAGTGGCGTGATCTTGGCTCACTGTAAGCTCTGCCTTCCGGGTTCACGCCATTCTCCTGCCTCAGCCTCCCGAGTAGCTGGGACTACAGGCGCCTGCCACCACGCTCGGCTAATTTTTTTTTTATTTTTTTAGTAGAGATGGGGTTTCACCGTCCTAGCTAGGATGGTCTCCATCTCCTGATCTCGTGATCCACCCGCCTCGTCCTCCCAAAGTGCTGGGATTACAGGGGTGAGCCACTGCGCCTGGCCTACTTTTTTTTTTTTTTTTTGAGACGGAGTCTCGCTTTGTCGCCAGGCTGGAGTGCAGTGGCACGATTTCGACTCACTGCAACCTCTGCCTCCCAGGTTCAAGCGATTCTCCTGCCTCAGCCTCCCAAGTAGCTGGGACTACAGGCGCAAGCCACTATGCCCAGCTAAATTTTGTATTTTTAGTAGAGACGGGGTTTCACCATGTTGGCCAGGATAGTCTCTATCTCTTGACCTCGTGATTCGCCTGCCTTGGCCTCCCAAAGTGCTGGGATTACAGGCCGTGCGTGAGCCACCACACCCGGCCAATGAATTACTTTTTATAAAGATGGATTCATATTATAGAAGCTATTCATTTATAAATTATTTTCTTTAATCCAAAAAGGAGTTGGAAATGGGGCCTTTGATTTAATTATTTAATTTTATGAGGATTACTTAGATTCCTCCTCTCCCAAACTTTTTATTTTGAAAAGTTTCAAGCATACTGAAAACGGGAAAGCAAAGGAGGAGTGAACAGGGCACACACAGTACTGGGATTCCCCTCCAGCCTTTGAAAGTAAGTTGCAAGCATCACAGCACTGCACTCTGAAATACTTCAGCTTGCCTCTGCTGAGATCTTAGGATATTCTCCTACATTGTATCATTTGACTTTTAACAAACTTAACAACAACTTCCTAAAATAATCTACTACCAAATCTATAATCATCTGGTCCCCCTAAAGCGAAGAAGCTGAGGGAAAATTAACGTAGAGAGCTTATTTGGGCTGAGGTTGAAGATTGCAGCCTGGGACACTTGAAACACTTCTGGGTTTCCTTGGGGACTGCTCAGGAGAACAAAAGAGAAGCTCAAATTGTTTTTTTTTTTTTTTTTGAGAGAGTCTTGCTCTTGTCGGCCAGGCTGAAGTGCAATGGCGTGATCTCTGCTCACTGCAACCTCCGCTTACCAGGTTCAAGCAATTCTCCTGCCTCAGCCTCCCGAGTAGCTGGGATTATAGGCACCCGCCACCACACCCGGCTAATTTTTGTATTTTCAGTAGAGATGGGGTTTTGCCATGTTGGCCAGGCTGGTCTCGAACTCCTGACCTCGTGATCCGCCTGACCTGGCCTCCCAAAGTGCTGGAATTACAGGTGTAAGCTACCACTCCCGGCCGAGAGGCTCAAGTTTTTAAAGAAAAAAAGGACATATCAGGGGAGGGGGTGATTACAAAAGTGGTTTGTCAGGAATTCTCATTGTTTGCAGAAATAATATTGGTTAGTGATTGGCTACACATTGTTGAACTATAGGGTGTATGGCATTTTATGGCTACTTGGTATCGTTCTAGCTCCACATAGCAAGTGGCTTTAAGAGGTAATTATTGGGCCGGGGGTGATGGCTCATGCCTGTAATTTCAGCACTTGGCAGGCCAAGGCGGGTGGATCACCTGAGGTCAGAAGTTCAAGACCAGCTTGGTCAACATGGTGAAACCCAATCTCTACTAAATATACAAAAATTAGCCAGGCGTGGTGGTGGGTGCCTGTAATCCCAGACATTCGGAAGGCTGAGGCAGGAGAATTGCTTGAACCCAGGAGGCAGAGGTTGCAGTGAGCCGAGATCATGCTATTGTACTCCAACCTGGGCAAGAGCGAAACTCTGTCTCAAAAAAAAAAAACAAAAAAACAAAAGAACAAAAAACCCGGGCATGGTTGCTAGTGCCTGTAATCCCAGCACTTTGGGAGGCAGAGGTGGGCGGATCACCTGAGGTCAGGAGTTCGAGACCAGCCTGGCTAACATGGTGAAACCCCGTTTCTACTAAAAATACAAAAAATTAGGCAGGCGTGGTGGTGCGCGCCTGTAATCCCAGCTACTCCGGAGGCTGAAGCAGGAGAATCGCTTGACCCTGGGAGGCGAAGGTTGCAGTGAGCTGAGATCATGCCACTGCACTCCAGCCTGGGCAACAGAGTGAGATTCGTTCTCAAAAAAAAAAAAAAAAAAAAAAAAAAAAGTAATTATTTAATTATTTAGCTCAGAGAGGAGCAATATGAATGCTGTTACATTCCAGGGCCTCTCTGGGCCTGATAATTCCTTAGATAAAAAGTTTCTTTTCTTCTTTTCTCCCCACAATCCCAGTTGTCCCAAAGATGTTTTTTATGGTTTTATGATCCAATCAAGGCTCATGCAATACATACAGTTTTGTCTTTTTAGTTTCTTTTAATGTAGAAAAGTTCCCTATCCCACTCCCTCCCCGTAATATTGACTTTTTGAAAAGCCTGGACCAGTTGTTTTGTAAAATGTCCCATATTTTGGATTGTTCAGTTCATCTTTTGAAGTCTCAATTAACTTATCTTTCTCATTTTCTAACTGAAAGTTAGATCTAAAGACTTTATTTCATTTGGTTTAAACATTTTTGGCAAGAATACTTGATAGCTACCCTGGGAACGTCGTCTTACACTGTATCAGGAGTGGCCACAGCTCGGGTCATGCTGGCTGCACTTGAAGAGTTATTTAGATGGGTATTGCCATAGCATGCATGTATGAAATTTAGTTTTAACCAGGCTGGGCGCGGTGGCTCACGCCTGTAATCCCAGCACTTTGGGAGGCCGAGGCGGGCGGATCACGAGGTCAGGAGATCGAGACCATCCCGGCTAAAACGGTGAAACCCCGTCTCTACTAAAAATACAAAAAATTAGCCGGGCGTAGTGGCGGGCGCCTGTAGTCCCAGCTACTTGGGAGGCTGAGGCAGGAGAATGGCGTGAACCCGGGAGGCGGAGCTTGCAGTGAGCCGAGATCCCGCCACTGCACTCCAGCCTGGGCGACAGAGCGAGACTCCGTCTCAAAAAAAAAAAAAAAAAAAAAAAAAAGAAATTTAGTTTTAACTGAACTGAATGGAGAAAAGAGAAGTAGAAGTTCAACTGAAAGAATTATTGACTTTCAAAGATATATATTTCTTTACTACAAGGATTAATATGTCTTAAAAGTGTTAAAAGATCCCTCTAAATATAAGAGGTCTAAGATCAATGAAAAATATTAAAAAGCTAAAGTTATTGAGTTTCTTTTAGATCCAGTGTTTAAATTTTTTTTTTTTTTTTTTTTTTTTTTTTTTTTGAGACAGAGTCTCGCTCTGTCACCCAGGCTAGATAGAGTGCAGTGGCGTGATCTCAGCTCACTGCAACCTCTGCCTCCCAGGTACAATTCAAGTGATTCTCCTGTATCAGGCTCCCAAGTAGCTGGGATTACCAGTGTGTGCCACCACGCCTGGCTAATTTTTGTATTTTTTAGTAGAGATGGGGTTTCACCATGTTGGCCAGGCTGGTTTCGAACTCCTGACCTCAGGTGATCCACCCGCCTCGGCCTCCCAAAGTGCTGGGATTACAGGCATGAGCCACTGCATCTGGCCTATTGAGTAGTTTAATAACTCTGGTGGTTTAACTTAAATTATAGAATGGAATTCAATATAAAGTTATGGAATATAGTCTTCTAAATTCCAGGCCTACTAACTAGCCCTGTATAGTGGTGGTTTTCTGTCTTCCAGATCAATTTATCTTTTAAAGTTGTTTTCCTCTGCATGCACTATGATCACCTCAGGTGTTGGTCATTCCATTTTCAGCAGTCGCCATGTAGCTCCTGGGTGTTTCTAAAGGTATTTCCTTATGTGGCAGTTAGGTTGTTTGGTCTTAGCTGGTTTCCTTAGGTCTGCATGCTTTCTTTTAATCTCCTTTGACTGTCATATCAACTCAATTTTGAGCTTTTGTTTTATTGGTTTTATTCTTTCTGAGGTGTTCTATGGCCTGAAGCAATTAGCAAGACTTCCTTCTCTTCCATGCATTAAATTTTCTTCTAGGCTGGGCTCTTTGACTTATCTTCTGTGAGCCTTTTTGTTGTTATTTTACTATTTTTTAAAATTTATTTTTTTTTATTTTTTGGAGACAGAGTCTTGCTCTGTCGCCCAGGCTGGAGTGCAGTGGCACGATCTCGGCTCACTGCAACCTCTGCCTCCTGGGTTCAGGTGATTCTCATGCCTCAGCCTCCCAAGTAGTTGGGACTACAGGTGCCCACCACCACGCCCGGCTAATTTTTGTATTTTTAGCAGAGACGGAGTTTCACCATGTTGGCCAGGCTGGCCTCGAACTCCTGACCTCAGGTGATCTGCTCACCTTGGCCTCCCAAAGTGCTGAGATTATAGGCATGAGCCACCACTCCTAGCCGGGTGACCCTTTTTGTTGTTGTTTTACTGTTTGTTTATATTGTTGCCTTGTGATTTTGCTTCATGTTACAGGTTGTATTCTCAGAGGCGTAGGAAATATGTTAGGAAGTGATGCCAGGAGGCAGAATTAGGCAGAGGGAGAAGTTGGGCTCTGAGGCAGTCACAGCAAAGGCCTCATCCCAGGGGCCTTGAGTTGTACTGGCTCTGCAGAGCTGTCCTGAATTGGGGCAGGGGTGTAGCCGTTATACCCCTGCAGAGACCAACAGTTAAAATGCAGGCCATGCTCAGGGAGTGGACATGCTATTATCCGGCAGCTTTCTGCAGCAGAGGACCCAGCTGGGGAATGGTTGCTTCTGTGTGGAAGAGGGTATGGGTGGCATGACCCAGCACTCAGTAGAGTTAATTTTATTTGCATGGTGGTACTGTCCAGCCATTCATTCTGTTTTCTCTGATAAGTTAGGTTTATTCTTTATTCTCTTCTTAGACTGTCTGAGACAGGTGTGTTTCCCTTCTGACATACAGATTGAGGGCTGAGTTTTGTGGGGTATTCCAGCTTTGTGAGTAGCCTGAGAAATGACTGGGAGCCAGTGAAGGGTTGAGCCAGTGCAGGTGCGGTCCTGCCTTGTTAAAATATGATGTGAGGTAGGGGTCAGAAGTCTGCATCCAAATCACCCAGTGCCGTTTGCTGAAAGATCGTCTTTTCTCCACTGCTCTGCAGCATCATCTATGTCATAAATCAGGCATCCATATATGTGTGTCCCTGTCTTGACCTCTGTTCTTTTCCATTGTCCCATTGGATTATCTTTGTGCAAATACCACACAATCTCATTTATTGTAATTTGAACATGAATCCTGACATCCATTAGAGTCATTCCTCTGACTTTGTTTATCTTCAGGATTGTCTTGGGTGATATGTTGGTGCCCTTTGCCTTTCTTTTCATTCAGCTTTAGGATCAGATTGCCAGTTTCCACAAAATATCTGCTGATATTTCTGCTGAGATCGCACTGATTCTATAAATAAGTTCGGGGATAATGGACCTCACTACAATAGCAAGTTTCCAACCCATGACCTTTATTTAGATCTTTAATTTTGAGAATATTGATATATAATTTTTTATACAGATGCCTTTCTTGCAAATCTTTGATTAGATTTGTTCCTGGGTTATTATCTTTTAAAACTAGTATAATGAATCACTATGTAGCGATTCATTACCCAGTGTCCACAACCTTGCTGCATTTGTGTCCATCTCCCACTCACTCCACCATCTCCCCCCAGAGTATTTTGAAGCAAATTAAAAATATATCAGGTTTAGCTGGGCACAGTGGCTCCCGCCTATAATCCTAGCACTTTGGGAGGCCAAGGCGGGCAGATCATTTGAGGTCAAGAGTTTGAGACCAGCCTGGCCAACATGATGAAACTCCGTTTCTACTAAAAATACAAAAATTAACCGGGCATGGTGGTGCGCGCCTATAGTCCCAGCTACTCGGGAGGCTGAGGCAGGAGAATCGCTTGAACCCAGGAGGTGGAGGTTGCAGTGAGCTGAGATCGTGCCACTGCACTCCAGCCTGCGTGATAGAGTGAGACTCCATCTCAATGTGTGTGTGTGTGTATATATATATATGTAGAGAGAGAGAGAGAGAGGGAGTATAATATATATAATATATATATAATATACACATATATATATGTGTGTGTGTATATAATGTTTAGCTGGGTGTGGTGGCATGCCCCTGTGGTCCCAGCTACTAGGGAGGCAAAGGTGGAAAGATGGCTTGAGCCATCACACCACTGCACTCCAGCCTGGGTGGCAGGAAGCTGAGGTGGGAGCATCTTCTGAGCCCAGAAGGTTGAGACTCCAGTGAGCCATGTTTACACCACTGCATTCCAGCCTGGGCAACAGAGCAAGACACTGTCTTAAAAAGAAAAAAAAAAAAGAATTAAATGAAAAGTGAACAATTTGATAAATTTTCATTTTCTCAGATTGTTTAATAACTTGTCATTATTTATTATGTACTATCTTCAGAGTTTTATATTTGCTCAACTGATTTGTTGTTCTGTGTCCTTTGTAGTTTCCCGTCACCAATTTTCCTTGGAATTGGACAGGTGAGTGAAAAAAAATAGAATTAACCTCTTATTTTGTTATCAGTATTCATAATGACATTTTAAGTCCTTTTGTTTAAAGCTGTGGTTTGCAAATTTATTCAGCTGGCAGAGGACCAGAGGGTCATGGTACTCCTGGTGAGACAACAGGACATATTGACACTTATTTTATTTCAGTCTACAATTTAGGAACAATTGTATTTATGGGAAAAACAGCTTCTTATTTTAAGTTCCTTAACTGAATTTAATTACTCTAAAGCAGGGGGCTGCAAGACTCAAAGCCTCCAAGGCCTGGAGGGTAACACATGAGTTGGCTGAGGACTGGGTGGGAGAGAGAATACTTGTCCCACTCAAAGTGTCAGCTTGATACTTAGTTTAAGCCATTGTGCCTGACAGGAAAAGAGTTGAGAGATGGGGTGGGACCCACCATGCTGCCCTTATTATTAGCATCAGAAGGTTTTCAAGAGAGAGTTTGAATTTTTTTTTTTTTTTGAGACGGAGTTTTGTTCTTGTCGCCCAGACTGGAGTGCGATGGCACAATGTCGACTCACTGCCACCTGTGCCTCCCAGGTTCAAGAAATTCTTCCAGCTCAGCCTCCCAAGTAGCTAGGATTACAGGCACCTGCCACCATGGCCAGCTATTTTTGTATTTTTAGTAGAGACGGGGTTTCGCCATGTTAGCTAGGCTGGTCTCGAACTCCTGACCTCAGGCGATCCGCACCCACCTTGGCCTCCCAAAGTGCTGGGATTACAAGTACAAGGATGAGCTTGGGTAAGCTTTCAAACTACGCCCATTTGGCAGTTTCTGAAATTTCCCATTTATGTTAATTTGTGGCTTGTTTATTCTTGTGGTTGTATACTGGTGATTTCCAGATAAATAAATAGTAACAGATACCAATGTTTTTTGTTTGTTTGTTTTGATTTTGATTTAATTCATAGAGGGAAAAGCTTAACATTATGAAAATAGTACCTGTTAACTAAATTTTTAATTGTGAATCTGGAAAAGCCTGTCGTTTATGTGAGTAAACATTATTCTTTTTTTTTTTTTTTTTTTTGTGACTGAGTCTCAGCCTGTCGCCCAGGCTGGAATGCAGTGGTGTGATCTTGGCTCACTGCAGCCTCTGCCTCCTGGGTTCAAGTGATTCTTATGCCCCAGCCTCCCGAGTACCTGGGATTACAGGTGCGTGCCACCATGCCCAGCTAATTTTTTGTATCTTTAATAGAGACAGGGTTTCACCATGTTGGCCAGGTTGGTCTCCAGCTCCTGACCTCGTGATCCACCCACCTCGGCCTCCCAAAGTGCTGGGATTACAGGCATGAGCCACTGTGCCTGGCCAAATAAACATCATTCTGATTAAATGTCTTGCTAATAAATACCTCTTTGCAACATCATTTTAGGGAGAAACAATCATAACAAGAATTTTCTTACAGTAAAAAAATTATCTTTATATTTCAATGTAAAAATATTAGGAAAAAGCACGTTAAAAAAAAAAAGATCAGGCCGAGCACGGTGGCTCATGCCTATAATCCTAGCACTTTGGGAGGCCGAGGTGGGTGGATCACTTGAAGTCAGTAGTTTGAGACCAGCCTGGACAACATGGTGAAACTCAGTCTCTACTAAAAATACAAAAATTAGTCAGAAATTGCTTGAACATTCACTGGGAGGCAGAGGTTGCAGTGAGCCGAGATTGCACCACTGCTCTCTAGCCTGGGTGACAAGCAAGACTCCGTCTCAAAAAAAAAAAAAAAAAAAAAAATCAGTGATAAGGTGTCCTTTGTAGTCTCTAAGTGAAATAAATTCATTACTCTTTAACCCAGTGGCTTATACTCAAAGGTAAAGCCTTTCTGATTTGCAATTTGTTGAGGGAAGAGGCCAGTTAGATCTAATTTTAAAAGTCTGAATTACATTTAAGTGTTAGTATATTTATTTTATTTTATTTTTATTTTCTTCCTTCCTTCCTTTTTTTTTTTTTTTTCCAGTGTCTGGCTCTCTTGCCCATTCTGGAGTACAGTGGTGTGATCTTGGTTCACTGTACCCTTCACCTCCTGGGCTCAAGTGATCCTCCTGCCTCAGCCTTTCAAGTAGCTGGGACTACAGGCATGCACCACCACACTGACTAATTTTTGTATTTTTTGTAGAGATAGGGTTTCGCCATGATGCCCAGGCTGGTCTTGAACTTCTGGGCTCAAGCGATCTGCCCACCTTGGCCTCCAAAGTGTTGGGATTATGGGCGTGAGCCACTGCGCCTGGCCAATGTTATTGTATTTCTTTAAGAATTATAATGTGAGGCGTAAGTACAAAGTACAGTTATAATTCAGGATGGGCTTAATTACATAAATATATTATAAGTTTTAAGTTTGTAAACTCAGGAGCAAGGTATAGGATTATAATCGTGTTGAAGGAGTCTTAAATTTTCACATCCTAAAATGGAGAGAATTGAGTAAGTTCTAAAACTTGCATGAAAGATGACATTAAATTTTTATTTCATAATAATGATATGGAGTATTTCCAGTATACCTAGGGTACTCCAGATTAAGAGGATTTGAAGGAGACATTTTTGCTATACCAGCTAGATTGAAAAGTAAATCTTTAAAAGTAAAGTTTAAAGAACTTTTTTTCCTCTTTGTTGGTCTTCTGTTTTATGGAAATAATGGACTTTTTAAAAAATGTGCTTAGGTGTGGAGTTTCTTTTAAAAGAATGTTCCCGTGCCTTTATGGGGGAGGATGCCATATGCTTAGTATATGGGAAATATGGTCCAGGATCATTGTGTCATCTCACTGGCTGTGATCACTTTTGCACATTTGTCACTGTCAGGGAGACCATTCCCTTTCTCCCTCTGCCACAGTTCATTCCTAGAGCCCCGTGAGATAATGTGTGTGTGTGTCTATTGGATATTACACTTTTTTTTTTTTTTGAGATAGAGTCTTGCTCTGTCTCCCAAGCTGGAGTGCAGTGGCATGATCATAGTTCACTGGGCTCACTGCAGCCTTGACTTTCCGGGCTCAGGTGGTCCTCCTACCTCGGTATCCCGAATAGCTGGGACCACAGATCACCAAGACTGGCTAATTTTTTGTATTTTTTTGTAGAGATGGGTTTTCACCATGTTGCTTAGGCTGGTCTGGAGCTCCTAGGCTCAAGTGATCTTCCCACCTCAGCTTCCCAAAATGCTGGGATTACAGGCATGAGCCACGGCACCCAGCTGATATTACCTTTTTTTTTTTTTTTTTTTTTTGAGACAGTGGTGTCTCACTCTGGAGGGCAGTGGTGTGATCTTGGCTCACTGCAACCTTGGCCTCTCAGGTTCAAGCGATTCTCCTGCCTCAGCCTCCTGAGTAGCTGGGATTCTGCGTCTGCCACCATGCCCAGCTAATTTTTGTTTTTTAGTAAAGACAGGATTTCACCATGTTGGCCTGGCTGGTCTTGAGCTCCTGACCTCAAGTAATCCACCCATCTTGGCCTCCCAAAGTGCTGTGATTATAGCTGTGAGCCACCGTGCCCTGCCCGACGTTACGTTTTTTGCCTGGAGTTCTGATGGAATCTGTACTGTGGCAAGGAAAACAATGTTAATATTCTAAGAAATAGTTATTTTTTTCTGGAACCTAGAAAATGAATTTTTTGCTATATTTCTTTTTGATGAATGTGTTTTCTTTTGATGATGTCATTGTACCTCAAGCAATCTTTGCAGATATTTTGCTGAAGTTTCTCTCTCCCCTTTTCTTCAGATGGCAGCCACCATAATGATACTATATGTGTCCAAGCTAAACAAAATCATTCACTTCCCTGATTTTGATAAGAAAATTCCTGTAAAGGTAAGTAATGAAAAGTATGTATGACTGTGATAGAAGATGTGAAAATACACATTGATTTTAGAGTACAGGTCAATTTCTATACACACTGTACTTCCTGCCTGCACTGGATAGAAACTTCTTTTTTTGTTTGAGATGGACTGTCGCTCTGTCGCCCAGGCTGGAGTGCAATGGTGTGATCTTGGCTCACTGCAATCTCCGCCTCCTGGGTTCAAGTGATTCTCGTGCCTCAGCCTCCCTAGTAGCTGGGATTACAGGTGCCTGCCACCATTCCCAGCTAATTTTTTTTGTTTTGTTTTGTTTTTGTATTTTTAGTAGAGATGGGGTTTCACCATGTTGGTGAGGCTGGTCTCGAACTCCTGACCTCAAGTGATCCACCCACCTTAGCCTCCCAAAGTGCTCGGATTACAGGTGTGAGCCACTGTGCCTGGCCAAGAAACTTTAATAAAGACTGTATATCATTTAGTTGTCCATTTATGTAATGCAGTAAGTAGTAGTAAAAGTATGTGCTTAACAACTGACATCAAATAAATGAATACTGTGTGTCTTGGGAAGTGAGAGAACTCTAAATTAGGCATTGGCAAACTTTTTTGGTAAAGGGTCAGACCATCTCTTGTAATTATTCACCTCTGCCACTGTACCATGAAAGTAGCCCTTGATGACATTTAAATGGGTTGATGTCCATGTGTTCCAATAAAACTTTATTTACATAAACAAGAGCTGGGCTGGATTTGAGCTCTAGTTTACTGATTTCTGTTTTCAGTTTTCATTTTTATCCTGGACTGACAAAAGCTGTGAGTGGAATGAAGAATGCAATTTGATATACATAGAAATACGCAGTTTTTTCCGTCCTGGAACTAGAAACATAAAATCTGCCATTCCTTCGTGGACTGTGGAATGGAACTAACGTTTGTTGAACAGTTGCTGGGTTCCAGACATTAGGGCAGGCATTTAATTCTTAGACCAGTCCCATACAACAGGTGGTATTTATGGATTATGACAGCATTTAGGTTTAAATCAGACTGTCAGTTCCCTGAGGGTGAGGATCTCATGTGGCTGGTTTGCTGCTGTTTCTCTAGTGCTTGGAAAAATGCCAGCATCTAGCACTGGATTATTTATCAGACAGACCAAAGAAGCACATGCTTACAGCATCAGTAATCAGGGGAGCCCAGTGTGGTGGCTCACGCCTATAATCCCAGTGACTCGGGGAGATCAAGGCAGGAGGATCGTCTGAGGCCAGGAGTTGGAGGTCAGTGTGGAGAACGTAGTAAGACGTTGTCTCAAAAAAAAAAAAAAAATAAGCCAGGTGGGGTGGCTCACGCCTGTAATCCCAGCACTTCGGGAGGCCAAGGCAGGCAGATCACGAGTTCAAGAGATCAAGACCAGCCTGGCCAACATGGTGAAACCCCGTCTCTACTGAATATACAAAAAAATTAGCCGGGCGTGGTGGCGCACACCTGTAGTCCCAGCTACTCGGGAGACTGAGGCAGGAGAATTGATTGAACCCAGGAGGCAGAGGTTGCAGTGAGCCAAGATTGTGCCACTGCACTCCAGCCTGGGCGACAGAGTGAGACCCCATCTCAAAAAAAAAAAAAACAAAACAGGGACATCCAGAAAAAGAGAAAAATACAAGGTTGAAGTATATGAAAGCTGTCAACCTAATCATCATGAGAAAAACCAGAATATTACTGGGCTTACTTACTCTTACTTTGTGGTATAGTATAATTAAAAAAATTTTAAAATGGTAAAATCTAATCTATACATAGTGAAAAAGGCATCCTATTTGAATGTGTAGTTGAATGAATAATTACCCTTGTAAACCATTATTTAGGTCATGAAATGGGATCACAAAGTCTTCCTTACCCACTATCCTAACTTTTCTAACAATAATTTTCTTGCTTTCTTTGTAATTATTCTAAATCTGGATGCATCCCTAAATTCTTTTTTTTTTTCTTTTTTGAGATGGAGTTTTGCTCTTATTGCCCAGGCTGGAGTGCAATTGTGCAATGTCAGCTCACTGCAAACTCTACCTCCTGGGTTCAAGTGATTCTCTTGCCTCAGCCTCCCGAGTGGCTGGGATTACAGGCATGCGCCGCCATGCCCGGCCAATTTTTTATTTTTAGAAGAGATGGGGTTTCTCCATGTTGGTCAGGCTGGTCTTGAACTCCTGACCTCAGGTGATCTGCCCGCCTTGGCCTCCCAAAGTGCTGGGATTGCAGGCTTGAGTCACTACACCCAGCCACATCCCTAAATTCTGTAGTCTCGTTTTACCTGCTTTTAAACTTGAGATAAAGGGAATCTAACTCTATGTTCTTAGGTATCTTGCTTCTTTCACTTAATATTATGATGGTGAAATTCATCTGTGTTGTGTGTGGCTGTATTCTTTTATTTTCATTGTATGAATATACCACAATTTACTTATCTGTTCTATTGTAATTTGGATGTTTCCAGTTTGAGGGCTAGAAAAATAAAAAGTACCACTCTGAACATGCTTCTAGTTGGACCCTGGCGTACATGTGTTAGCTGAGGCTGCCGTAACAAAATACCCCCGGCCAGGTGGCTTCAACAACAGAAATGGATCTCCTCACAGTTCTGGAGGCTGGAAGTCCAGGACCAAAGTGCTGGCAGGGTTGACTTCTGGTGAGGCTTTGCGTCCTGGCTTACAGACGGCCACCTTCTCACTGTGTCCTCAATGGCCTTTCCTCTGTGTGTGCACTCCTCGTATCTCTTCCACTTCCTTTTTTTTTTTTTCTGTTTTTGTTTTCATTTTTTTAATTATTTTGAGACAGGGTCTAGCTCTGTCACCCAAGCTGGAGTACAGTGGTACATCCACAGCTCACTGCAGCTTCGAACTCATGGGTCCAAGTGATCCTCCTGTCTCAGCCTCCCAAGTAGCTGGGACTACAAGCATTTGCTACCATGCCTTGCTAATTTAAAAAATTTTTGTAGAGACGGTCTCACTATGTTGCCAGGGCTGGTCTTGAACTCCTGGGCTTAAGCTATCTTCCTGTGTTGGCCTCCCAAAGTGTTAGAATTACAGGTGTGAGCCACCGTGCCTGGCCTCTTCTCTTCATATAGGGACACCAGTCTTGTTGGGCTAGGGCTGTACCACTATGCCCTCATGTAACCTGAATTACCTTGGTTAAGACCTCATCTCCAAATACAGTCACATTGGGGATTAGGGCTTCAACATATAAATGTGGGGAAAAACAAGATTCATTTCATAACAGTGCATATGAGTGAGGAATGTATCTATCAGAGTGGAACTGCTGGCCCCTGGGGCATGCATATCTTCAGCTTTAATATGTATCGTTGAACTGTTCTTCATGGTGGCTATACCAATTCACCTTCTGACAAACGTGCCTGAAAGTCCCTGTTGCTTCATATTCTTGGTATGTGAGTCATTTTAAATTTGGCTAATCTGGGCTGAGTGTGGTGGCTCACACCTGTAATCCCAGTACTTTGGGAGGCTGAGGCAGGCAGATCACCTGAGACCAGGAGTTCGAGACCAGCCTGGCCACCATGGCAAAATCCCATCTCTACTAAAAATACAAAAAATTAGCTGGGCATGGTGGCGGATGCCTGTAATCCCAGCTACTCGGGAGACTGAGGCAGGAGAATTGCTTGAACCTGGGAGGTAGAGGTTGCAGTGAGCCAAGATCACACCATTGCACTCCAGCCTGGGCAATAAGAGCAAAACTCTGTCTCAAAAAATAAATAAATAAATTTTGCTAATCTGATGGGTGTGTCGTGACATCTTATGGGCTTTAGTTTGCATTTCCCTGATGACTAGTGAGAAGGCGCACCTTTTCTTTTTTTTTTTTTTTTTTTTTTTTTTGAGATGAAGTCTTGCTCTGTTGCCCAAGCTGGAGTGCAGTGGTGCAGTTTTGGCTCACTGCAACCTCTGCCCGCCGGGTTCAAGTGATTCTCCTGCCTCAGCCTCCCGAGTAGCTGGGACTATAGATGTGTGCCACCATGCCCAATTAATTTTTGTATTTTTAGTAGAAATGGGGTTTCGCTGTGTTGGTCAGTCTGGTCTCGAACTCCTGACCTCGTGATCCGCCTACCTTGGCCTCCCAGAGTGCTGGGATTACAGGCGTGAGCCACTGCGCCCCGCCAAAATCATTTTTTTAATGCCTGTTTGAAGATCCTCTCTGGTGAAGTATCTGTCACCATTTTTATATGTGAAGGAAAATGCTTATTGGAGTTCTAACCAAATATTTCTTCTTTTTTTTTTAATGGAAGCTGTTTCCTCTGCCTCTCCTCTACGTTGGAAACCACATAAGTGGATTATCAAGCACAAGTAAATTAAGGTAGAGTATAGGATAATGGCTGGTGGAAAGTTCCTCACCTCTGTGCTGCCAGTGGTACAAAGACCAAGATTGATTTTTGCCATTGATAGTGCTTGTACCATATATAGAAGACAATAATATTTAGTAGTTTAAGAAAGTAAGGTGGAGTTTTGAGTTTAATTGGCCAATGATTTTAGGAATGTTAAAAAGCTTATTTTTTTAAATTATATTCAAGCCTGAACATAGAATCTGAGAGCTGTAGACATTAAGGTAGAGAAGGTCTGATTTATCCAGGTGGGATTGTTGGTGTGAATATGATTTTGTGTGACTTTTGGTTTCATCTCAGTTTTATAAGAGCAGGAACATCTCCTCAGCCTTGGTGTAGACCAGGTTTGGTGCAGGGAAAAATAATGACAGACATTTTCAAGTGTGTGTTATAAACTTCTGAAATTTGCATCTGCATTTATTTCAGGGTCTTTTTTTTTTTTGAGACAGAGTCTCACTCTGTCTCCCAGGTTGGAGTGCAACCTTATCTTGACTCACTACAACCTCCACCTTCTGAGTTCAAGCGATTCTCCTGCCTCAGCCTCCCAAGTAGCTGGGATTATAGGCGCCTGCCACCACGCCTGGCTAAGTTTTGTATTTTTAGTAGAGACAGGGTTTCACCATGTTGGCCAGGCTTGTCTTGAACTCCTGACCTCAGGTGATCCATCCGCTTTGGCCTCCCGAAGTGCTGGGATTACAGGTGTGAGCCACTGTGCCCGGCCCATTTCAGGGTCTTTTGATTATGGGGCACATAATACCTTATCCTTCTTGGAATGCTATTAAATGGATCAGTTTCACTGTTAATGATTTTTTTTTTTTTTTGAGACGGAGTCTCGCTCTGTCGCCCAGGCTAGAGTGAGTGCAGTGGCACAATCTCGGCTCACTGCAAGCTCCGCCTCCCAGGTTCAAGCCATTCTCCAGCCTCAGCCTCCCCAGTAGCTGGGAGTACAGGCGCCTGCCACTATGCCCGGCTAATTTTTTGTATTTTTAGTAGGGACGGGGTTTCACCGTGTTAGCCAGGATGGTCTCCATCTCCTGACCTCGTGATCCGCCCGCCTCAGCCTCTCAAAGTGCTGGGATTACAGGCATGAGCCACCGCACCCGGCCACTGTTAATGATTTTAAGGGGTTGATATCTTATCTTTTTTTTGAGATGGAGTCTTGCACAGTCACCCAGGCTGGAGTGTAGTGATGTGATCTTGGCTCACTGCAACCTCCACCTCTTGGGTTCAAGCGATTCTCCTGCCTCCCAAGTAGCTGGGATTCTGCACCTGCCACCGTGCCCAGCTAATTTTTGTATTTTTAGTAACGACGGGGTTTCACCATGTTGGCCAGGCTAGTCTTGAACTCCTGACCTCAAGTAATCTGCCTGTCTTGGCCTCCCAAAGTACTTGGATTACAGGCATGAGCCACCACACCCAACCTAAACTTTTTCGATAAGAACAAATTTTCACCACTTCATATAGGAAAAGCAGGATAAAAGCTTCCTTTATCAATGTTCAGACTAATAAATTAGTGTCCTGACACCTTCAATAGTGACCAGGAAGGGTTGTTTTTTGTTTGTTTGTTGTTGTGTTTTCCTATCATGGATTCATGGTTTTTCATTTACTTGATACAAGTCCTTTATCAAATATGTGTTTTGCAAATATTTTTTTCCTAGTTTGTGGCTTATCTTTTTATTTTCTTAACACTGTCTTTCACAGAGCAGAAGTTTTTAATTTTAATGAAGTTCACAATCATTTTTTTTCTTTCATGGATTATACTTCTGGTTTTGAATTTGAAACTCATCATCAAACCAAGATTACCCAAATGCTATCTTCCAGAATTTTTATAGTTTACATTTTACGTTTAGGTCTCTACAAATTTGCCTACTCTAGACATCTCATAGAAGTAGAATTGTACAATATTTTTGCCTTTTTTGTCTGGCTTATTCTCTTACATCATATTTTCAAGGTTTATCCATGTTATATTAGGTATCAGAATTTAATTCCTTTTTCAGGCTGATTAATATTCCATTGCAGGTATATATATATATATATATATATATATAAAATATATAATATTTTGTTTATCCATTTATAAAAATATTATTATTATTTTTTGAGACAGGGTCTCCAGGCTGGAATGCAGTGGTGCGATCACAGCTCACTTGCAGCCTCACCCTGCTGGGCTCAAGCGATTCTCCTGTCTCGGTCTCCTGAATAGCTGGGGCTACAGGTGTGTGCCACCACGCCTGGCTTATTTTTATGTTTTTTGTAGAGACTAGGTCTCACCATGTTGCCCAGGCTGATCTTGAACTCCTGAGCTCAAGCAGTCTGCCTGCTCCAGCCTCCCAAAGTGTTGGGATTACAGAAATGAGCCACTGTGCCCAGCCTGTAAAAGTTTTAATTTTTATGAATTCCAGTTTTTCTATGTTTTTCTTTTGTTGCTTGTACTTTTGATGTTTTATCTAAGGCTTTGCCTAACTGAAGGGTCATAAAGATTTACTTCTATACTTTCTTCTAAGAATGTTATAGTTTTAGATCCTATGTCCAGGTCTTTAATACATTTCAATTAATTAAAAATTTTTTTCTTTTAAGTGATGGGGTCTTTCAATGTTGCTGTGTTACCCAGACTCAAATGCAGTAGCTTTCACTGGTGCAATCATGGCTCACTGTGGCCTCAAACTCCTGGGCTCAAATGATTCTCCACCTCAGCCTCTCGAGTACCTGGGACTGCAGGCACGTGCGACTGTACCCAGCTCTTGGGTTAATTTTTTATATGTGGTATGAGATAGAAGTTCAAATTCATTTTTTTTGCATGTGGATGTTCAGTTGTCCCAGCACTATTTGTTGAAAAGACTGTTCTTTTTCCATTGTATTGTCTTGGAACCCTGGTAGAAAATCAGTTGATCATAATTTTAAGAATGTATTCTATTGATTGTATATCATCTTTATTTATTTTTTATTTTTTGAGATGGAGTTTCGGTCTTGTTGCCCAGGCTGGAGTGCAATGGCACGATCTCGGCTCACCGCAACCTCCACCTCCCAGGTTCAAGCAATTCTCCTGCCTCAGCCTCCAGAGTAGCTGGGATTATAGGCATGTACTACCACGCCCAGCTAATTTTGTATTTTTAGTAGAGACGGGGTTTCTCCATGTTGAGGCTGGTCTCGAACTCCTGACCTCAGGTGATCCATCTGCCTCGGCCTCCCAAAGTGCTGGGATTACAGGCATGAGCCACCACGCCCAGCCTATCTATCTCTATTATTATTTTTTTGAGACAGGGTCTTGCTCTGTCACCCAGGCTGGAGTGTGGTAGCACAGTCACCACTCACTGCAGCCTTGACCTCCCAGGCTCAAGCGATCCTCCCACCTCAGCCTCCCAAGTAGCTGGGACCACAGGTGAGCACCAGCACACCTGGCTAATAATTGTTTTAATTTTTTTTGTAGAGATAGCATTTCACCATGTTGCCCAGGCTGGTCTCGAACTCCTGGGCCCACGGGATCCACCTGCCTCAGCCTCCTAAATTGCTGGGATTATTGGAGTGAGCCACCATGCCCAGCCAGCTATCTATCTAGATATCTTTAAACCAGTACTAGCTAGTCTTGATTATTGTAACTTTGTATTAAATTTTGAAATTGGAAAGCATAAGTACACCAACTTTGTTCTTCTTTTTCAAGATAGTTTTGATTTTTTAATTCTCTTGCATTTCCTTATTAATTTTAAAATTAGCTTGTCAATTTCTGCAAAAAAAAAAAAAAAAAAAAAGAATAAATAAAGCCAGCTAAGATTCGATAGGGATTGTGTTGAATCTGTGACTTAGTTTGTTAGTGTTGCTGTAAAGGACTACCTGAGGCTGGGTAATTTATGAAGAAAAAAGGTTCGTGTGCTTCACAGTTCTGCAGGCTGTGCAAGAAGCATGGCGCCAGCATCTGCATCTGGTGAGGGCCTCAGGCCCTCCTGGCAGAAGGGGAAGGGGAGCCAGTGCGCGCAGAGATCCCATGGCAAGAGAGGGGGTGCTGTCAGGCTCCTTTAACAATCAACCTTCATGGGAGTTAACAGAGTGAGAACTCACTCCCCCTGCCCCAGTTGATTAATCTATCCATGAGGAATCAGCCCCCACAGCTGAAACATTGCCCACCAGGCTCCACCTTCAACATGGGGATCCAATTTTAACATGAGGCATAAAGGGTCAGATATCCAAACTGTAGCAATCTGTGTATCTATTTGAAGAGTATTTTTAATAACATAAGGTTTTAATAACTTAAGGTCTTTTGATCCATGAACATGGAGTGTCTTTCCATTTATTTAGGTCTTCATTACTTTCTTTTTTTGATTTAAACATTTTCTTAGAAGGCCAGGCACAGTGGCTCACGCCTGTAATCCCAGCACTTTGGAGGCCAAGGCAGGTGGATCACCTGAGGTCAGGAGTTCGAGACCAGCCTGACCAACATGGTGAAACCCCATCTCTACTAAAAATACAAAAATTAGCTGGGTGTGTTGGTGGATACCTGTAATTCCAGCTACTTGGGAGGCTGAGGCAGGAGAATTGCTTGAACCCAAGAGGTGGAAGTTGCAGTGAGCCAAGATTGCGCCATTGCACTCCAGCCTGGGCGACGAGCGAAACTCCGTCTCAAAAAAAAAAAATTTTTTTTTTTTCTTAGAGACAATATCTCACTCTGTTGCCCAGACTGGAGTACAAGTGGCATGATCATAGCTCACTGCAGTAGCCTCGACCTCCTGTGCTCAAGCCATCCTCTTGTCTCAGCCTCCCAAGTGGCTGAGACTACAGACATTCACTACTGTGAATTTAAAAAACATATATATTTTTTGGCTTGGCGTGGTGGCTTACGTCTGTAGTCCCAGCACTTTGGGAGATCAAAGCAGGTGGATCACTTGAGGTCAGGAGTTTGAGACCCAGCCTGCTCAACATGGTGAAACCCCATCTATACTAAAAATACAAAAATTAGCCAGGCATGGTAGTGCACACCTAAATCCCAGCTACTTGGGTGTCTGAGGCACAAGAATCGCTTGAGCCAGGAGGCGGAGGTTGCAGTGAGCCAAGATGACGCCACTGCACTCCAGCCTGGGCAATAGAGCAAGACCCTGTCTCAAAGTAGAGACGGGGTCTTGCTCTGTTGCCCAGGCTGCTCTCAACCTCTTGGCCTCAAGCAATTCTTCCACTTCAGCCTCCCAAAGTGCTGGGATTACAGGCATGAACCACTGCACCTGGTTTTTTAAATTTTTTTAACAATGTTTTGTAGTTTTCTGCACACAAGTCTTACACTTCTTTTGTTAAAATTGTGTCTAAGAATTTTATTCTTTTTGATGCTATTTTAGATGAAATTGCTTTGGTAACTTTTTTTTTTTTTTTTTTTTTTTTTGAGATGGAGTCTCACTTTGTTGCCCAGGCTAGAGTGTAGTGGTGCGATCTTGGCTACTGCAACCTCTGCTTCCTAGGTTCAAGCAATTGTCCTGCCTTAGTCTCCCAAATAACTGGGATTATAGTCACGCACCACTACGTCCAGCTAATTTTTTGTATTTTTAGTATAAGTGGGGTTTCACCATGTTGGCCAGGCTGGTCTTGAACTCCTGACCTCAATTCATCCACCCACCTTGGCCTCCCAGAATGTTGGGATTACAGGCGTGAGCCACTGTGCCCAGCCTAATTTCATTTTTGGATTGCTCATTGCTAGTGTATATTCAGAGTTGACTTTTGTATATTCGTTTTGTTTCCTGCCTGTTTGCTTGATTCACTTATTGTGGTTCTAATAATTTTTAAGTGGATCCCTTAGGATTTTCTGTATAGAAGGTGTTCTCTGCAAATAGAGATAGCTTTAGTTCTTCCTTTCCAAATGAGATGTTTGTTTTTTCTAACTGCACTGTCTAGAACCTCAAATACAGTGTTGAATAGATACAATAGTGAGAGTGAACATCCTGGTCTTGTTCCTAATCATAGGCGGAAAACATTCACTTTTTAACCATTAAGTATACCTTATTTGCTTTTAAAAGGCATAATCTAGAATACTTTTCGAATGCAATTGAAAATATAAAGCGTTTTGTTGTTGTTGTTGCAGCTTTGAAAAATGTAGGTCCAGCCAGTCTTGTAAGACATCTTTAGGTGTGAATATAAAGTTCCTGAACATTCTTTCTGCAGCTGCTCTCTGGATGCAGTGTGGTTGATGATGTGAAGCCTGTGCTGGGGTATGGGTGGCTGAGCTGCCACTCTCCTCCTGTGCTGCTGTTCCAGCTCTGACTTTCTTTCCCTAGCTCATCGGCCGCTCAGGGTCGCATCTAGAAGCAGGTGGAGATGGGCTGGCATTTGGCAGCCCTGGCAGTCTGTTGACTATGCGCTGAGCTGCATCGTGGAATCTCTGGGTGTTAGGAGTGGGTAGAAGGTTCTTAACTATATATTTTAAGGCAGTTTAGCCTTACTACATAAAATTTGGGGAAGAAAATCACCCATAATCTACCTTTTAACACACAATTTTAAATACTCATTTTCAGCCCAGTGCGGTGGCTCACGCCTATAATCCCAGCACTTTGGGAGGCTGAGGCAGGTGGATCGCCTGAGATCAGGAGTTCGAGACCAGCCTGGCCAACATGGCAAAACTTCATTTCTACTAAAAATACAAAAATTAGCTGGGCGTGGTAGTGTAATCCCAGCTACCCGAGAGGCTGAGGCAGGAGAATCGCTTGAACCCGGGAGGTGGGGATTGCAGTGAGCTGAGATCGCGCCACTGCACTCCAGCCTGGGTGACAGAGTGAGACTCTATCTCTAAATAAATAAATAAATAAATAAATAATCCTTTGCAGCCCTTTTCTGTATACAGAATGTATCTTGTTACAGTTGTAGATCCTACATGGTTTTGTATCCATTTGTTTTATTTAATATTCATTTTCTAATAGTATTTGTATTACAGAGTTATAGTATCATGTTCCCTCAACTGAATGTATCATAATTTATTTAACTATTGTGATGTCTGACATTTAGGTTGTTTCTGATGTTTTTCCCACAGACACTGCAGTGAACACATTTATGCATGTGGTTTTTTTTTCTTTTGATTATTACCTTAGAATAAGTTTCCCAAGAAGAAGTAATTAGGTCCAAGGTCAGAACTTTTTTTTATTTTTTTGAGACAGAGGTTGCAGTGGTGCGATCCTGGCTCACTGCAACCTCCGCCTCACGGGTTCAAGCAATTCTCCTGCCTCAGCCTCCCGAGTAGCTGGGACTGCAGGTTCACATCACCATGCCTGGCTAATTTTTGTATTTTTAGTGGAAACAGGGTTTCACCATGTTGGTCAGTGTGGTGTCAAACTCCTGACCTCAAGTGATCTGCCCACCTCGGCCTCCCAAAGTGCTGGGATTACAGGCGAGAGCCACGGTGCCCAGTCGGTCAGGACTATTTAATGATGACGCATAGGCCTGACTTGATTTGTCAAAGGATGTATTGGTTCACATCATGAAGTAGTTTCAGCACAACCTTTAGAATGGATGGACAGAACGGTGTCTTAAATTGCCAAGTGAAGCCCAGGTGCGGTGGCTCACGCCTGTAATCCCAGCACTTTGGGAGGCTGTGGCGGGCAGATTACCTTAGGTCAGGTGTTTGAGACCAGCCTGGCCAACATGGCAAAACTCTGTCTCTTCTGAAAATACAAAAATTAGCCGGGTGTTGTGGCGCATGCCTGTAATCTCAGCTACTTGGGAGGCTGAGGCAGGAGAATCGCTTGAACCCGGGAGGCAGAGGTTACAGTGAGCCGAGATTGCACCACTGCACTACAGCCTGGGCAACACAGCGAGACTCTGTCTCCAAAAAAAATAAATAAATAAATAAAAAATAAGTAAATAAATTGCTAAGTGAAAGTGGTATGAAATTATTTAATCTCCATTTATTTTTATTATTTAATGTGATTTGTTAATGGTAAATGTGAAAATTGATTTGGAAAATTAGTAAGCTTAATTAAAAATGTAAAACATGTAAAAGATAAAACCAATCAACCAACCCTTGGTGTCTGACATGCTTCACTCTTTTCCTGGCAGCCTACCGATGTTCACCGTGCTCAGGAAATTCACCATTCCACTTACCTTACTTCTGGAAACCATCATACTTGGGTGATTTTGTTTTTCCTCCATTCTTCCAGTGTGCCTCCCACCCACTGCATTTCTTTTACCCAGCAAATTCTAGTAGCCATTGCTAGTTGCAATAATTTAAGGACAAATGGTTTATTCATTTAAAAGTAGTTTTGTGCTTCTGTGATTCCCTAAGAACTTAATGAGGGATTTTTTAAAAGTTGTAATTTTACCATAGACAAATAATGCATGTTTGTGGTAGAAAATCGTAAGAAAGTAAAAGAAACACTCCAAAAAGGATGTAAACCTGTTTCCTGAGCCAGATGGAATATAAACCAATTTTGGAATACAGAAGGGAAACTGTCCATGTATACATACAGGATAGTTGTGCAGGGTATGAGGGATATCAATTCTGACGCAGTAATTATAATATCAGAAGAAATTAATTTTTATATTGTTGGTATAAAATTTTTCATAAGGATATTTAGTCTGATATCCAAAAAGTTGATTCTTGATTTTGCTGGGAGGATTATTTAGAAATGAATTTTGGTTGGTGGTTCAGTGTTTTAAGCCCTTGTATTGAATTTTATCATAATCTTTGAATACTCACTATCAGTCCATGCAAACTAGATCCACCAGCAGGAGCGCTTCTGTATTTTGTCCCAGTATCTCTCTAGTGAGAACAGAGAAATCAGTTTGTAATTAGATTAAGAAAACTGCTTAAGAAATAATGTAAATTTAGTCTGACTTAGAAACACTTTTAGTGCTTTCTCTGCATCAAGCATTGTCTGCTGGATTTTAGCTATAAAAATGCTGATGTCTATTTTCAATTTGTTTAAAAAATATAATCATATTTCAATGTTTTCCTCTCTGCTCCCTTTCCTTTCTTATTTGTGTATTTATTACAGGAAGCAGTATTCACTCAACATCATCCTCAGTGTCTTTGCCATTATTCTCGGGGCTTTCATAGCAGCTGGGTAAGACTTTGGACTGTTTCTGCTCAATAACTTCTTTGTGTCTTTGACAATAGGCCCAGCCCCATCCTCAGTTTTTCATTTTCCATCTGGCTGCTGTTGAATTGAGCAGGCAAGAGACAAATCTGTTGAAGTTAGTGGAATCCCCATGTGTTCCTATGAAAGTCAAAGTGGGTCCCACATTGGCCAGAAAATTTCTGAGAATATATGAAGAGAGCATTGCAAGATATTAATATAGCTTTTCTTCACAAAAAGCAGTGAACTGTTTACATTTCTTACTGAATGTTTGTCTTCATTATAACAACTTTACTTGAGAAGTTCTTAGGCATTTGATTAATAATAACAGACTTACAAAGCCTTTGTCTGCTGATTTATTTTATTATTCCATGATACCTTAGCAGTTGCTGTTTCCGATGGTAGAATGCTAAATATATTTGTACGTTTGGGATATGAGCCAACACTGGTGCATGACTACTACTTTAATAATTATTTTGCAAAAGGAATAACGAGGACTCCAAGTCTTCGTGGGCAGGCAGGTGCTCAGATTTCTGCTATAGCATGGTGGATAGTGCATGTGAATAGTTACATCCCTGGGTTCAAAACTTAGCTCCAGGCTGGGTGTGGTGGCTCACCCCTATAATCCCAGCACTGTAGGAAGCCTAGGTGGGAATATCACCTGAGCCCATGAGTTTGAGATAAGCTTGGGAAACATTGTGAGAACCTATTTCTACAAAAAAAAAAAAAAAAAAAAAAAAAAAGGAAAGAAAATTAGCCTGGCGTCGTGGTGTGTGCCTGGAGTCTCAGCTACTCAGGAGGCTGGGGAAAGAGGATCTCTTGGGCCCAGGAGTTTGAGGTTGCAGTGAGCAATGATTGCACCACTGCATTCTAGCCTGAGCAAAAGAGTAAGATCCTGTCTCTAAGAAAAACAAATCATGCTTACTGTCATTATAAATGTATTTAGTCCATTGTGTAGACTAAGGTTTATTACTTACGTGTCATCTGTACCTTTCTCTCCCCTAGTCCTAGCCAGGGGCTGAGTTTTACTGCTTGAAAGCTGGCTCTGGGGTCTCAGTGCTCCAATTCACACCGCAGGTATAGGGCCAGCACCCATTAGACAGCAGTTCTCAGAGCCTCATCTAGTCATGACAGGCTTTTTTTGGAATGAAATTTTATAAGTAAAGTAGTTTAAAGAGGGAGGAGTTCTGTGGAGGATGCTCCAGGGGCTAAGGGAGACAGCTTCCCCTTCTACTCTCTGAAGGTTCATTAAAAAAGGAACTGACAGGCCGGGCGTGGTGGCTCATGCCTGTAATCCCAGCGATTGGGAGGCCCAGGCGGGTGCATCACCTGAAGTCAGGAGTTAGAGACCAGCCTGGCCAACATGGCAAAACCCCATCTCTACTAAAAATACAAAAATTAGCCAGGTGTGGTGGCAGGTGCCTATAATCCCAGCTACTCAGGAGGCTGAGGTAGGAGAATCGCTTGAACCTGGGAAGTGGAGGTTGTAGTGAGCTGAGATTGTGCCATTGCACTCCAGCCTGGACGACAGAGTGAGACTCCATCTCAAAAAAAAAAAGGAACTGACAAAAGAGCAGATTGAGAGGAGAGAAAGACACACAGATTTACCTTCCCATGCCTGGGGTAGAGATCACGGGAGAGCGGCCACCCAGTGACCCAGTGGGGTGCAGGTGCTTCTATATCCTTCTTCAGGGGAGGGCAGGGAATGGGGACAATGCTTTTGGGAGTTCAGAAATGATGCCTGGAGAGAATGAATGGACCTGGGAGACAAAAATTGTAAAGGATTGATTCTCTTTGGAATTTGCACCCGAGAGGCAGACATTATATTTTTAAAGTCTGCCCAGATGTGGCTGCATTCCTTGTCTTCTCTGCAGTAGATTTCAGAGAGGGGGATGGAAAGCAAGTGTGTTCTCATGGGTGGGCGCACTCTTTTAAGATTGAAAAGGGAGTATCCAAGAAAAGCCTCTTCAGCATCTGCTGCCCTTCAAAGGCTTTCCATGTAAAATAATCTGTATGCCAGGGTACCATATTTTTGGGGTGAAATTCCCTGGGCTTCTCCCATAGCACTCTGAGGTCTCCCCGGCACAGCCCCTCTCTTCTAGCTTCCTTAGGGCTCATTTTGAAAACCACTGACTTACAGCCAGTTAAAGACTTTTGCAAAAAATGGTTTATAAAACTGTGGTAAGTCTTTGGTGAGGAATGGCCCTTCAGTTACCGTGGGTATGCAGGTGCGTTTCCAGAACCAGTGATCAGAAATCCAGTCCGTGCTTCACATATGTAAGGACAGTCTACAAACAATCTAAAAGGGTAAATCGGGGTTCCTAAAGCATCTAACTTTCAACCAAGAGCCAGCCTGGAGTAGCCATGCTCAGCCTGGCTCTTCCTCTGGCACTCACAGAATGGATCCCCACCTGGTAGCTGGCATTCATAGTGCTTAGCCACAGTGCTTAGCTACAGATCAGCAGTGAGTGCTTAGCTACAGACCAGCAGTGACCCTATCCTGCTCTCCTCTTACATTAGCACATCCAGATGCAAGCAGTGGCAGATCAGACTGTTGGATGAGCAGGTGATGCTGCTGTAACAAACAACCTCCACACGGCAGTAGCTTCACTCACCAGATGCACCCCATCCACGCCATCCACGCTGTCCAACACTAGGCAGTGCTAGTGCGAGGGCTCTGCTCCATGTGTTCACTCAGGGATCCAGGCTGATGGAATCCCTGCCTCAGAGGGCACTTCCTTTGCCAAACAAGCAGGAAAAGGGAAGGTGGGGAATTATGCACTGGCTCTTAAAGGTTTCACCCAGAAGTGACGTGTCACCTTCTCTTACATTTTATTCAAAAACAAGTTACATGGCCAGAAAAAGTTAAAATACATCTGGGCTGGGTGTGGTAGCCCATGCCTGTAATCCTGTTACAGGAAAGGGTCCTGATCCAGACCCCAAGAGAGGGTTCTTGGATCTTGTGGAAGAAAGAATTCAGGGCGAGTCTGCAGTGCAGCGTGAAAGCAAGTTTATTAAGAAAGTAAAGGAATAAAAGAATGGCCACTCCATAGAAAGAGCAGCCCCAGAGCTGCTGGTTGCCCATTTTTAATGGTTATTTCTTGATGATTTGCTAAACAAGGGGTGGATTATTCATGTCTCCCCTTTTAGACCATATAGGGTAGCTTCCTGACATTGCCCTGGCATTTGTAAACTGTCACGGCGCTGGCGGGAGTGTAGCAGTGAGGATGACCACAGGTCACTTTTGTGGCCATTTTAGTTTCAGTGGGTTTTGGCCTATCAGCAAGGTCTTTATGATTTGTATTTTGTGCCGGCTTCCTATGTCATCCTGTGACTTAGAATGCCTTAACCGCCTGGGAATGCAGCCCAGTAGGTTTCAGCTTCATTTTACCCAGCTCCTATTTAAGATGGAGTTGCTCGGGTTCACACGCCTCTGACAATCCCAGTACTTTGGGAGGCCCAGGTGACGGGATTGCTTGAGCCCAGGAGTTCGAGACCAGCCCTGGCAACATAATGAAACCCTGTCTCTACAAAAATAAAAGTAAAAAAATTAGCCGGGCATGGTGGCACATGCCTGTAGTCCCAGCTACTCAGGAGACTGAGATGGGAGGATCGCTTGAACAACTGCAAGGGTTACATGAATCTGCTCTAATTGATTAAACAAGTAAATTCTTCAGAAATGTCTGTGCTGTCACCACTGGCCTAAACAAACAGTGGGTAAGCTGCCTGACAGTGACCCAGGCTTCCGGGAGTGGGAACAGCGCTGCTGGGAACTCTTGGTCCCCTGAGTAGGAGTTCCCCTGCAGCTCTCCCAGGAGGTGGGCAGCATCTCCCCCCATCCCCTTTCCACTCACTTGGCTCTGCTGTCTCAGGGGGCGGCAGACTCTGCTCTTCTTCACGCTGAATCACATGTGGGTAGGTAAGAAATTTGGAAGACCCTTATTTTGAAGAAAATCCTTTTGAGACAGAGTTTCGCTCTTGTTGCTCAGGCTGGAGGCACGATCTTGGCTCACCACAACCTCTGCCTCCCTGGTTCAAGTGATTCTCCTGCCTCAGCCTCCCAAGTAGCTGGGATTACAGGCATGTGCCACCACGCCCAGCTAATTTTGTATTTTTAGTAGAGATGGGATTTCTCCATGTTGGTCAGGCTGGTTTCGAACTCCCGACCTCAGGTGATCCACCCACCTTGGCCTCCCAAAGTGCTGGGATTACAGGCAGGAGCCACCACGCCTGGCCAAAAATCCTTTTTTTTTTTTTTTTAAATTGTGACTGAGGGAGAATTCTGACTTATGATGACTAAAATTAATTTCCCTTCTCACAAATATATTTGTAGATAATAATGTGTGGAGGCGTCAAGCAAAAATCCAATTTAATTTGCATTCAGATTTTGGTAGAATTTTTGCTCTGTGTTTCATTCTCTTTGGTTAGAAATAATCTTATTTTGACATTGAAGAAGATTCAGGGTATGCCACTGCAAACTGTGCCACTGTGAGATCAGGATTATTTTGAGCCGAGAAAGATTGAGAATCAACAGATCAGGAAGTTTGCTGCCTTCTCCTTTCTGCCTAAAAACCAGGGAATCAATTTCCCATTGTGAAGAGGACCGCTTCTCCCATCCCAGGAAGAGGAGAGCAATTCCTATCACTGGACGGAGGGTCGGCCCTGAGATGCATCTGCATAAACAAACCCTAAAAGAACCCTTCTCGTTCATCATTTCCACCATAGGTTTCCTAGTTACTTTCTAACAATTACACAATTTATTTGTTCCTTGAAGCCCAAATCCTCTTTCCTTTTTAAAACGTAAGTCCCCAAGTCTAACTGTTTCTTTGAGTTTCACTTCTTTTCTGTGAACTTCAGGGAACATATTAATAAGATTCGTATTCTCTTTCTCCTGTTAATCTGTCTTTTATCAGTTAAATTAGCAGGCCCCCAGACACTGAATCTAAGAGGGTACAGGAAAAGGTTTTCCTCCCTGGCAATGTGTATTTCTGAATTATGACATGGCCTAGCACTGTCTGCAACGATCAAGTGCAGGTGGGTGGGCCACATCATGGCTCAGCTATTGCTCTTCCTCTTGTTCCTGTCATAGATCCCCAAACGTATTTATGCTGGTGCTATTTATAATGGAAATGGAAGAGAAGCTGTTTCAAAAGAATGGGAAGAAAGGAGCCATAGAGGGGTCACATAGAAGGATGGATACCTGCCTTGCCATTTTGATGGACGGGGTGCGGTTTGGGCACCAGATGGAGGTGTGGCTGCCTCATGCGACCCCTCTTACCCAGCCTCTGCCCAGCTGCCCCTCACTGGCTGCACCCTGGAGGTGGCCCTGTTCACTACAATAAGCAGAGCCCCTGGGTGGATCGGGGCGAATCACTCCCCTTAGGAAAGTCAGGGCTCACCAGTTATTATGTGGATTCATCAGCTAGCGAAAGAAAGGGGTTGCAGTTGAAGGAAGATGCTTAATGTCGCTCTGGTTTTAAGCCATTCACGATTGAGTCGAAGCCATCTGATGGGCTGGTTTGGTTTTTGTCTGGAGGCAAAGCAGAGGAATTAATCATTCACTACCACAAAGCGGGGAAAGTGTGCCACAGAAAAGTGGGTTTGATTAGGGAAAGGTAGATCAGGCGGGCTTGGAGGCCAAGTTGTGAGTTTTTGAGTAATCATTCTCCCTTTGTGGTCTCCCTCCCAGGTCTGACCTTGCTTTTAACTTAGAAGGCTATATTTTTGTATTCCTGAATGATATCTTCACAGCAGCAAATGGAGTTTATACCAAACAGAAAATGGACCCAAAGGTACCAGACCTTGCCTATGGCTTTTTGGCTCTGTCATCTGGCCCCTAGAATTATATGAAAAATGAAAATGAATGTGTACAGTTGGAATGTAATTTAATTTATATAATATGACCTGTAAATTCCTTATTTTCAATTATCTTGTCTGTATAAGTTATTATTTGCGAAATTTTGGGTGAAAATGAGATATGATGGGAAAAGCCACTAGTTTAGATGCACACTCAGAACATATAAAAAGGGATTATTCTGAAAGGCAAATTAATTTTTTTACCAGCATCATCAATCACCAAGGCAAGGTCAGGGGTCACGATATTTGTTCAGAGAGCGCTAGTTTGGAGTCTGGAGATGTGGGCTACAGACACAAGTTTTTCTACTTACTGACTGTTGTGACTTTGAACCTTAACTTCTCCAAACTTCAGTTTCCTTATCTGTGGAATGAAATGACTGCAATGGATAATTTGTAAGGTCTTGTCCAGCAATAGCTGCTGCTTCTGATGATGAGGGGTGGGGCAGAGGAGCTTTGCTTTTGTGTGGCTGCCTGTCACGTGGAGGCCCCATCCCTCCCCCTCCCCCATCCCTCCCCCACCCCCAGCTGTTACAAGGAAGCCCGGAGGATGAGTCAGGCATATGTTTCTTTGTTCCAAGCTCTTTGTGCTGGATGAGGGAGTTCACTCTGACCAACAGGCTTATTTCCATGAGCTATTTTTTTTAATCTGCTCTTTTTTTTTTTTTTTTATCTGCTCTGTTTTTTTTTTTTTTCCCCTGCATGGCCTTTTTTTTTTTTTTTTTTTTAACGGTAGAAGTTTTGCAAAAACAGGTTTGTTGTCTTTTGAGGATCACAATATGTCATCCTTTTTTGAAAATGGTGAAGTGGTGTGGCCACTTTAATGAAAGTAAATATATGATGCTGCTGTCCTTTAATGGAAAGAGCAGATGTTTTTAAAGAGTTTTGTTTATATTAACATTTTTAATGTTCTTTATTTTGTTCCAGATTTCCCATTTTGAATTACATGCTTTAAAAAAAACCCCACATAATTAGAATGCTGGAGATGAATGGAACCCTAGAGGCTTCCCACTGCCATGCGTTTTCTCTGTAGTTTTGGTGTAAAACAAATGTTTATTCCAAAATCTCAGTACCCTCAAACCAAAGCATTTTATGTCAGAAATTTGCTGAAAATATTCCAAAAGAGTTGCTCAGAATGCACATTCTAACTTCGCATGAATATGCAGTTGTATAAATGGCTCCAGGAAATCTGTGCCTCACGTTTCTGAAACTGAGTGGTTTTTACATTTTTGTTTTTGCAGGAGCTAGGGAAATACGGAGTACTTTTCTACAATGCCTGCTTCATGATTATCCCAACTCTTATTATTAGTGTCTCCACTGGAGACCTGCAACAGGTGAGCTGATGACAATCATTACAGTTTTCCTTAGCTGGCTTTAAAAAATTTAATATTTAACATTTGATATGCACTGAAACAAAAAGTGTAAAGTTAGCTAGGACTACCAGGAGGGTACATGATAACAAGATGTTTGATATCCCTAGTAACACCTTTTGGCACTACCCTTGCATTGGCATTTATCCTTAGCCACATATCAAGGAGAGCCAAGAACTCTGGACTTGGTACTTTTTGGAAAACAACAATACAAATCTGAGTTTGAATTCCATATCCCCCTTTGCTAATGTGGGGACCCTGGGAGAGCTACTTACCCTAGAAGGGGATTTTGATCATTTTAAAACATAGGTTTGTTTATTTATTTGTTACTTTCTATTACGGACATTTTGAAACATGCACAAAATAGAGTAATTCAATGAGTTGTCAGGGACCCACCACCTAGCTTCAACACTTTGGCATTTTGCCATCTTATTTTATCTGTCCTCATCCATCCCCAGCTTTTTGTTCCTCTGGAGTATTTTAAAACCTATCCCAGCCATCACGCCATTTTACCTCTAAATATTCCAGGATCCACATTTGAATTTTGGGAAGGTGTTGTTCTTTCAGCATTTGCCCTGAAACCGTATCTGCTGCTGGTGAGAGACAAATAAAATGGTAAATTAGTGGTAAGATCTGAGGCCCAGTGGAGCGGTGGAGGCCAAGTCTCTCAGGACGTGTGGACATTCTCCATAGTGACAGCTCCAGTGGCCACCCCGAAGGGTGCAAGCCCGGACTTCTTCAGGAAGTCGCGGGCCACACAGCCTCTGAGAACTTTGCTGATGTGTAAGTGACTGTGAGAAACGAGATGCGATGGGCAAAACCCTCCTCAGCGGGACCTCCACCCACAGACTCGACTCCGGACACAGCCCTGACCAGCCAGGCGATAACCCCGTCATTGCTGGCCTGGGGCTGGGGCAGCACCCATTTACCCATGGACAGGACAGTGTTTCCATATTTAGCAATCAGCATGGGTGTATGTTGCCCACCAGTTGAAAGTCAATCCCATTTGCAGCTCTTTTAGGGTCTGAGTGACTCTGAAAGGCTGCAGGCTGCTGTGGACTCCTGGGCAGCTCCTTGTTCTTTCTCCAGCTGGACTTTCTCACTTGTCCAATTCTCTTCCCAGAAGGAGGGATCAGCAGAAGGGCTTAGCAACCTCGTCCCCGGGCACAAACAGCCATTTCCACGGGTTTATATGGAAAACTACCAAGTGGCACCAATCTCGATAAAGAGCTCTCTTTTTCGGGTTATTTAGAACGTTGTGAACCTGAGCCTCCCTGTTAATTCCGTTTTGGAAGATAAAGCGGGCACCTGCACCTCTCTAGTAAGAATGAGCAGGGCATGATACCTGAAAACACAGTATTTGTTTTTCAGCTACCATCAATCAATTTTAAACTGAGTCAGTGCTCCAACATTACACAAAACAAAATTATGAACTCTTGGCCAGGCGAGGTGGCTCACACCAGTAACCCCAGCACTTTGGGAGGCCGAGGCAGGCAGATCACCTGAGGTCAGGAGTTTGAGACCAGCCTGGCCAACGTGATGAAACCCCATTTGTAGAGAGTATTTTTAGTAGTAGTAAAAATACAAAAATAAGCCAGGCATGGTGGCGGGTGCCTGTAATCCCAGCTTCTCAGGAGGCTGAGGCAGGAGAATCACTTGAACCTGGGAGGCAGAGGTTGCAGTGAGCCGAGATCACGCTATTGCACTCCAGCCTGGGTGACAGAGCGAGACTCCATCTCAAAAAAAAAGGAAAAAAGATAAAAAGAAAAATTATGAACTCTTAATGAAGTGGTCCTAGAGGCTTGTCTCCTTTCATTATTATAGAAACGAGGGTTTTTTTTTGTTTTTGTTTTGTTTTGTTTTTTTAAATCAGCGGAGTTTATCTGTTCTGAAATTCTGGTATTTTAGATATATATATATTTTTTTTTTCCAAAAATATAAATCTAGAAACTCCTAAATATTGTTAAAACATCTCACTGGGGCTAAAAGCATATTTCCCCATGGCAACAACACTATGAAAGGCATAGTGACCAGAAACTGAATTTTAGGTTCTTTATGAGTAAAATAGATTAGGTGTATTATGTTAATAATGTATAACATTGTTTCAGAAGAAATATGTGTTCTTACATCAACGTCATTGACTTATAAACTTGTAGCATGGTGTTTTCAGAAGTTGCCCTCTGCCTGTAATGATTATCATGTGGAATCTTCTGCTTTCTCATGTGATAATAATAATAGCTAATACTTGCTGAGGGCTTATTATGTCAGACATTTTTCAAAGCATTGTTCATGAACTATCTCACTGCATTTCCACAGCAGAAGAGAAGGTCCTGTTACTATTTCTATCGTATAGGCAAAGCATCTAGGGCATTGTGCTTAAATACATTCCCAAGGATAGCAGGTGGTCAGTCCAGGCACTCTGGCTCTAGAAACACATCCTCCACTGTCATCTTTATTTACTTCATTTGTATATGAAAAGTGTTTGTTTTCTCCTTCATGTGTGAAAACATATCCTTCCCTTATAGAAAGTACAAGAGACCTAACATATACTTTATTTTTATTTATTTTATTTTATATTTTTGAGACAGCGTCTCACTCTGTCACCCAGGCTGGAGTGCAGTGGCATGATCTTGGCTCACTGAAACTTCTGTCTCCCACATTCAAGCAATTCTCCTGCCTCGGCCTCCTGAGTAGCTGGCATTACAGGAGCGCACCACCACACCCAGCTAATTTTTGTATTTTTAGTAGAGACGGGGTTTCACCATGTTGGCCAGGATGGTCTCAAACTCCTGACCTCAAGTGATCTGCCTTTCTCAGCCTCCCAAAGTGCTGGGATTACAGGGGTGAGCCACTGTGCTCAGCTAACATATACTTTATTAAATCCTAATGCTCTAGGAGAATATCCTCCTCCTATTCTGGCTTGTGGTACTGGAATATCCGAATATTTACCCTGTTTAGCCTCTTCTATTTGATCAGACTTCAAAGATTTCAAACAGAAGTTCCTTTAGAAAGTCTGTAAGTACCTTCGAGCCGCCAGAGTGACTGCTAATCATTGAAATTCCAGATGGACCAAAGTGCTAACTATATAGATTTGTTTTTCAAAACCAATAAGAAAAATTATAATTAGAAGATATAGAGTATAGTTATAACCATAATAAAAGGCCTTCTATAAAATAACAAAGTACAAGTCAAGTCATGGAGTTAAAAATTTGACTAGTTTTTTTTTTTTTTTTTTTTTTTTTTTTTTTGAGATGGAGTCTCCCTCTGTTGCCCAGGCTAGAGTGCAATGGCATGATCTCGACTCACTGCAACCTCCGCCTCCTGGGTTCAAGCGATTCTCCTGCCTCAGCCTCCTGAGTAGCTGGAACTACAGGCGCCCGCCACCATGATGCCCGGCTAATTTTTGTATTTTTAGTAAAGATAGGGTTTCACCATGTTGGCCAGGCTGGTCTCGAACTCCTGACCTCGTGATCTGCCCGCCTCGGCCTTCCAAAATGCTAGAATTACAGACGTGAGCCACTGCGCCCAGCCAAGTTTGACTAGTTTTTAAAAGTATTGTATGACGAGATGCCAAAATATATGAGACACTCACTGTAATCTGCAAGAAAAAAGCCATCAACCCCATATAAAAAACAAAAAGCAAAAAACAACAGTGAGATTTCCACTACTAACATTGCTCTGTATTCACTGAATCAGGGCAAATTTCTTCCCATTGGTCCCTTTTGAATGTGGTGGAATTCATTTTAGATTGTAAACCAAATAGGAGAAAGAAATGAATTAGGTGTGTTAGCCTGTAATATAAAATTGCTTTTTGTTTACCAAGTTTGGTTTGAGTGTTCTGAAAGCTGATTAATGAATTAGAGCAAAATGTTAACTTCTCTTGTTAATGGAAAGAAACTTGATGAGTCATTTTCCCTGGTTAACTGGGACTAGGAGCGATGGAGAAGATCAGAGATTGTGGTAAATGTGTGTGTGTGACTCATTCCTCCGGGAATTCAAGCCCAGACTTTGGACTTACACAGTCAATAGATCTATTAACAGTGCCTCAATTCTATCTCTGATGAACAAAGTCAGAGATGACAGCTTCTCTTGTTAACAAATTAGGCCCTTGGAAAATACTCAGCGGGTGAACTTTCTTTAGTATTTGAATCACTGCAATAGGTTCAAAGTACATCTAGTATATTACAGTTGATGAATAGAGATAAATAATAGGACTTTTTTTCCCTGATTAAAAAACCCTGAGTGCAAAGTGAAAAAGACTCACGTTCCAACAGTAAGTCTAAAGGAAGAAGGGCTTTATTGTTGTTTACCTTTGATTATTTCTTTTTAAAAATAAATAATGCTACATTATTTTTTATGATTTAAAAATAAATCATGCTGCATTATTTTAAAAATGCCACTAATACCGTCTCATCATTATTAAGGAAATAAAACTAAAATCTATAAAAATTTAGGTTGGGGCTGGTCACGATGGCTCACGCCAGTAATCCCGGCTCTTTGGGAGGTTGAGGCGGGCAGATCATGAGGTCAAGAGATCGAGACCATCTTGGCCAACATGGTGAAAACCTGTCTCTACTAAAAATACAGAAATTAGCTGGGTGTGGTGGCGAGTGCCTGTAGTCCCAGCTACTTGGGAGGCTGAGGCAGGAGAATCGCTTGAACCCGAGAGGTGGAGGTTGCAGTGAGCTGAGATCGTGCCACCGCACTCCAGCCTGGGCGACAGGGCGAGACTCCATCTCAAAAAAAAACAAAACAAAATTTAGGTTGGTGAAGAATCTAAATATTTTATGAGAGTCACAAAATAGCCCTCAATGGATTTTGTAGTATCAGGAACACATATAGAGTTTTTATTTATTTCTTATTAATGGATTGATTGATATTTTACTGTTTGCATAAATACTTTTAGCTCTTTGAGAGAATAGATGTTTTTCTACCCTTGGTTTGAAATTTAAAACTTAAGTATTTCTCTTATTCCCAATTTTATTTTAATTTCAGACACTAAGTGTTTCCCATGATTTTTGTGGTTTTGTTTTGTTTTGGTCTTTGACTACCTTAAGCATAAACTTTTTGGCTTTAATTCTTTTGGAAGTTTTCTGCTCCTTTGATTAGCTTGGGGCTTGCTGGAAAGACAGATTTATATTTATTATATTTTTCTTTCATAAGTGAACATTTAACAAAAAGTGTTATGACGCAAGGAAACTGTCAAACATATACAGAAGGAGACGGAGTGACATGACAAACTCCACATATATGCCCATCAGCCAGTTTCAACAATTAGGAACATTTAACGTGTATTTTTTTTTTTTTTTTTTGAGACAGGGTCTCACTCTGTTGCCCAGGCTGGAGTACAGTGGTACCATCACAGCTCACTGCAGCCTCCATCTCCTGGGCTCAGGTGATCCTCCCACCTCAGCCTTCCCAGTAGCTGGGACTACAAGTGTGCACACCACCATGCCCAGCTAATTTTTGTCATGTGTATCCTTTTGAGAAGTGAAGTGGGCAAAGCATTACTCATGAAACAATGACAGTGAAATGTGACAAGATGGTACAGATTGGAGAAGAGAATTCTACCTTAATTGTTTAAAAATTTGAATTATAAACTTAAAAGATTTCATTTTAAATACATTGAGTTTCTAAAACTTGGCTAACAAAGTATTGCTTAATAGAAAGTGAGTAGAACTTATATTCGATCATGTTATTGAGCACATACTTACGGGCAGTCTTCAGACACTTTCAGATCGTTTTTGGATACAGGCAGGGGCCAACCATGAATAAAATACTCCTTATTGTCACCTGTCACCTCAAGAGGGTTAATTTTATTTTCTCAGCTAGGGATTAAATTCCTGGAGAGCAGAAATTGAGTTTTTTTTTTTTTTTTTTTTTTTTGAGGTGGAGTTTTGCTTTTGTTACCCAGGCTGAGTGCAATGGCGTGACCTCGGCTCACTGCAACCTCTGCCTCCCGGGTTCAAGTGATTCTCCTGCCTCAGCCCCTGTAGTAGCTGGGATTACAGGCACCTGCCCCTGCGCCTGGCTAATTTTTGTATTTTTCGTAGAGATAGGGTTTCACCATGTTGGCCAGGCTGGTCTCAAACTCCTGACCTCAGGTGATCTACCCGCCTCGGCCTCCCAAAGTGCTGGGATTACAAGCGTGAGCCACTGCGCCCGGCCAAAAATGAAGTCTTAAACTTCTTTGTCTACCATGTCCTCCACCCCAATTACTTGATTGCTTTATAAGTAGCAAATAATAGTTTATTTGTTCACAATACTTCCTAAGCATGTGCAAGTTCCTGAGAACAGTTTATGACCTTAAACTTTTCTTGCCTACATTATTAATTAAGAATAAACTTTTTGGCTGGGTGTGGTGGTTCATGCCTGTAATCCCAGTACTTTGGGAGGCCAAGGCAGGCAGATGACTTGAGCCCAGGAGTTTGAGACCAGCCTGGGCAACATGGTGAGACCCTGTCTCTACTTAAAGAAAAAAAAAAAATTAGCCAGGCATGGTGGCCTGTGCCTGTAGTCCCAGCTACTCAGGAGACTGAGGTGGGAGGAACTGATTGATCCCAGGAGGTAGAGGCTGCAGTGAGCCATGATCACACCACTGCACTCCAGCCTGGGTGACAGAGCAAGACCTGGTCTGAAAAAAGAAAGAAAAAAAAGAGATAATTAACTTTCTTCTAAAACGATTTATAAAAAATAAACCCAACCTTGAATTTGGGACCACAAATTAAATTAGTAAAGGTGTATAAAGTCAGTGAATCAATGATAGCCTCAGCGATAATAGCGTTTGCGATTTTGTGCTGGCCATCAGCACAGTCCTAAACAATTTCTTTCAGTCCTTATATCAACGTTTTGAGGAAGGCTTTCCTTTTTTTAAATAAGCTAGATTTTGTAAAATGAATCTGAAGTTCAGGGAAGAAAATAAATTTGCCCAATGTCCCACAACTAGTATGACCTAGGATTTTTAGCTTTATGTTTTCTGTTTGGGAAGATGGTTCCTGTATCAAAATGCAGTTTGGTAAAACCAGTAAATTTAAACTGCAGTATTATTAACCTAATCATTAGTTTTTTTCTTTTTAATAATAGGCTACTGAATTCAACCAATGGAAGAATGTTGTGTTTATCCTACAGTTTCTTCTTTCCTGTTTTTTGGGGTAAGAAACCATAGATAAGTAGAAGCATTGGTCAACAGTATCTCTTGACAAGTCAAATCAAGATATGCCTTCTGTCTATTCTGTCAGAATTCCTTTGTGTTTCTCTGACTTTCTCTGGAAAGTACCCCTGCAGCAAAGGAGGTGTCAGGGACCCAGGATACCTGGAAACCCAGCCTGAAAGACCAGGAACAAGCATACAACTCTTGTTTTTGAAAGTCATGCTAATGTCCTGTTCTTCTTCAAAATATGATGTTGCCTATTGATTTCTGAAAGTTTGTCTGAAATGAAGTCAGCTGACATTTCAAGTTCAATGCTGAGGATTTTTTGGTTTTTGTTTTTTAAGAGATGGGGTCTCACTGTGTTGCCCAGGCTGGACTCAAACTCCTGGGCTCAAGCAATCTTCCTACCTTAGCCTCCTGATTAGCTGGGACTACAGGCTCCTGCCTCCAGGCCTGGCAGTAATATGTTTTCATCTTTGTCACCATGTCCTTAGTTTTTCAAGATCCCTTCCTCAAATAATTATGTGACTATGACAGCCTTTTCCTATAGTGCTATACCTGCTATATTCAGGAAAATTTCTAAAGAGAGATGTCCAGGCTGTTGTATTGTCCAACAGTTAGGCTTTTTTGTTCTTGAAATTTTCTTTCTTTCTTTTTTTTTTTTTTTGAAGATGGAGTCTTGCTTTGTTGCCCAGGCTAGAGTATAGTGGCACAATCTTGGCTTACTGCAACCTCTGCCTCCCAGGTTCAAGCAATTCTGCCTCAGCCTCCCGAGTAGCTGGGATTACAGGCATGCACCACCACACTTGGCTAATTTTTTGTATTTTTAGTAGAGATGGGGTTTCACTGTATTAGCCAGGATGATCTCAATCTCCTGACCTTGTGATCTGCCCACCTCAGCCTCCCAAAGTGCTGGGATTACAGGCGTGAGCCACCGCGCCTGGCCCCGTTCTTGAAATTTTCTTTAGGTATATCTTCTGGTTGAGAGACCATATAGTTTGTGTCTATTTCAGTCTTCTAAAGACTTGAAAATCCCTTTGCATGAATAGGTGATACATGCAACTAGGAAATCATTAAAAAGGTGCAAAAGAATAAATAGGGAGGCTGAGGCAGGTGGATCACCTGAGTTCAGGAGTTTGAGACCAGCCTGGCCAACATGGCATAACCCCATCTCTACTAAAAATACAAAAATTAGCTGGGTGTGGTGATGCACACCTGTTGTCCCAGGTACTCAGGAGTCTGAGGCAGAAGAATCGCTTGAACCCAGGAGGTGGAGGTTGCAGTGAGCCAAGATCGCGCCACGGCACTCCAGCCTGGGTGACAGAGGAGACTCCATCTCAAACAAACAAACAAACAAAAAGAATAAATAGGGAACACCAACTCCCCTCCATTCTTCCTCGCCTCCACACTGTAGTTTTCTTCCCCAGAGGCAACACTGTTGGAAATCTTGGGAGTATCCTCCCTGAGCGGGCATTCATTCCAATACAGGCATTGGTACCTTCTCCCATACTGAAGGGGCCCTTGAATTCCTATAGCAGGGAATTACTCATCAAATGATTTTTCCTGTGAAGGAAGATGGATTCCCTCTCACCTGCCACACTTTTCATTCTGTGTAAATGAACAAAGACAACTCCTGACCTCTTTGATCAACACTCTTCAATTCTCAAACTTGATTTCAATTGCAATGATGTACTCACATGCAGTAAAAACATTTCTGTCTATCTTCCATTCATTAGTTCTCTCTTTAGCTGTGTCTGATTTAATGATTTAATGTTGATGGAGTTTTTGATTTTAACAATTTTATATTTTATTTGTAAAAGTTCCACAGTTTTTTCCCAAACGTATCTGTTCATTTAGAATACTCTCACTGGTGATCCTTGTGACTGTGCCTTTTATTTCTTTAGGTGTCACACACAGCTATTCCATATTCTGTATCTGACAATCCCAGCATTGGCAGCAGCTCTTGAGAATTTAAGCATGCAGTTTTTTTGTTTCAGGCGATGTTCATTGTGGTTTGCTTTCTTCTGTGTTTGGTGACCTGTGATTGTGAGCATTTTGCTTAAAAAAAATTTTTTTTTTTGAGATGGAGTCTCACTTTGTCTCCCAGGCTGGAGTCCAGTGGCACGATCTTGGCTCACTGCAACCTCTGCCTCTTGCATTCAAGTGATTCTCCTGCCTCAGCCTCCTGAGTAGCTGGGATTACAGTTGCCCACCACCACACCTGGCTAATTTTTGTATTTTTAGTAGAGACGGAGTTTCATCATGTTGGCTAGGGTGGTCTCAAACTCCTGACCTCAGGTGATCCACCTGCCTCGGCCTCCCAAAGTGCTGGGATTACAGGCATGAGCCGCCACACCCGGCCCATTTTGCTTAACTTTGATCAGTCCCATGAGCTGAAATTGGGAATTTGAGACACTTTTCTATAGGGACAAGTTGTATTTGCTTCTGCTGGTAGCCAGGGGTTGCCCCAGACCTTGATCCCTTTAGGCCTTTTGGGAGTCTGGGCTCAGTATCCCCTCCTCCCCCTAGAGTTTGGCCCCAAGCCAAACTTCCTCCCCATTCATGGAAAAATTGTCTTCCACAAAACCGGTCCCTGGTGCCAAAAAGGTTGGGGACTGCTGCCTTAGAGCACTTAGCCATTGTTGGAAGCATAAGTTTAGTAAAATACCTGTAGTTTACCCAGTTGTTGAGTGGGAACATTTAACCTTGAAAAAAAAATCTAAGCCATGCTTGTGAGTCACCCTTTGTCAAACCATCTCTTATTTTTCTCTCTAATCGAAAAATAAGAAGTCAACCCTTAGTACACAAACTTAGACTAGCACCTTTCCCTGGCTAAGCCCATATTCCTCTGTGAACAGGAGAGCAAAGTTTCAAAGTCTTCTCATGTCATTGTAAACTTGATGAGATATTGGCTTTTTTGGTTTGTTTTTTGTTTTTAACATGCACTTCACCGTTTAACCATTCCATGAAGGAAACCAAGAAGTGGACCCTCTGAGGTCAGCTGTCCTCAGTGGGTGAGGGCGGGCAGCCTCGCTGTGAGCTGTTACCCTCCAGGGCTTGCCCATGACAGGCTTGATCCCATCTGTCTACAATTGCATACTTTTTTTTTTTTTTTTTTTTTTTGAGACGGAGTCTCCCTCTGTCGCCCAGGCTGGAGTGCGGTGGCGCGATCTTGGCTCACTGCACGCACCGCCTCCTGAGTTCACGCCATTCTCCTGCCTCAGCCTCCTGAGTAGCTGGGACTACAGGCGCCCGCCACCACGGCTAATTTTTTTGTATTTTTTTAGTAGAGACGGGGTTTCACCGTGTTAGCCAGGATGGTCTCGATCTCCTGACCTCGTGGTCCACCCGCCTCAGCCTCCCAAAGAGCTGGGATTACAGGCGTGAGCCACCACGCCCGGCCTACAATTCCATACTTTTTTTCCCCATTTAATAATGTGTTTCTTAAAAACAAATGCCCTTTTGATAAGAATTATTAATACATTATTTTATCAGTAGTCATTTTAGAAATTGAAAATTCAGGCCAGGCGCAGTGGCTCATGCCTGTAATCCCAGCACTTTGGGAGGCTGAGGTGGGCAGATCATGAGGTCAGGAGATTGAGACCAGCCTGGCCAACATGGTGAAACCCCATCTCTACTAAAAATACAAAAATTAGCTGGGCCTGGTGGCATGTGCCTGTAATCCCAGCTACTCAGGAGGCTGAGGCAGGAGAATCACTTGAACCACAGAGTTGGAGGTTGCAGTGAGCCGAGATCGTGCCACTGTACTACAGCCTCGCGACAGAGCGAGACTCTGTCTCAAAAAAAAAAAAAAATTCGCAAAGGTGTAGTTATTATAAGTAAAACAGTAAAAATGATGAAATCATTAACATTTCAGGTTTACTCAAGTTTGATGAAACAAGGTGGATGTTAGTTTCCAAAGTGGGTCTTTTTTGTTTTAAGATGGAGTCTCGCTGTGTCACCCAGTCTGGAGTGCAGTGGCGCGATCTCGGCTCACTGCAACCTCTGCCTCCTGAGTTCAAGCGATTCTCCTGCCTCAGCCTCTCGAGTAGCTGGGATTATAGGCACCCACCACTGCGCCTGGCTAATTTTTGTATTTTTAGCAGAGACAGGGTTTCACCTTGTTGGCCAGGCTGGTCTTGAACTCCTGATCTCAGGTGATCTGCCTGCCTTGGCCTCCCAAAGTGCTGGGATTACAGGTGTGAGCCACTGAACCCGGCCAACATGAACTTTACCTTTAATGGTAAAGTTTTAAGTCTGAAACTGCACTGCAAGGAGACTTCCATTTTGGCATGGCGGCTTTTTCAGAATACTGCTTTCTTGTAGTTTCTCAGTCAAAGTATGCTAGGATCTGATCATCTGCATCTCCATAGTAAGCTTCCCAGCACATCCTTGGCTTTGGGGACTGGTGCTGGACTTGGGCTGTCTCTTCTCTCCTGACGGGTGCGAAGGGATGTTTTAGGGTTAACACACACACCGCAACTCCAGACTCGAGGCGAGCCCACTCAGCCTCTTACCTGCTTTCATTGCTTTCAGGTTTGCATTTCGGACTTGCTCTTTTCAGCCACCAAACCTCTATTCTGAGTTGAAAATATAATTTAAAAATTATTACGCTTTGAAATGTTTTGTTAAGAAGCCGACAGAATGGTGAAAGGGCCAGTGCCAACCACAGTCCTGAAAGACACTGTAAACCAGCAGTCCCCAACCTTTTTAGCACCAGGGACCGGTTTCTTGGAAGACAATTTTTCCATGGATGCAGGATGGGTAAGGATGGTTTTGGGATGAAACTCTTCCACCTCAGATTATCAGGCATTGGATTCTTATAAGGAGCATGCAACCTACATCCCTCAAATGCGCAGTTCACAATAGGGTTTGCGCTTCTATGAGAACCTAATGCCATCACTGATCTGACAGGAGGCGGAGCTCAGGCGGACATGCTTGCTCACCTTTTGCTGTGCACCTGGGTTCCTAACAGGCTGTGCACTGGTACCGGTCTGCGGCCTGGGGCTTGGGGACTCCTGCTGTAAACCAAAAAGTGTGTGAGACAGGTCTCAATCTATTTAGAGGTTCATTTTTCCAAGGTTGAGGATGCACTTGGGGAAAAAGAAACACAAATCACAGTAGGATCTGTGGCCTGTGCTTTTTCCAAGGAGAATTTTGAAGACTTCAGTATTTAAAGGGGAAAGGGTGGCAGGAGGGGCAGAGGGAAAGAAAAAAAAAGGGAGGGAGGGTATGTCAGGAAGTGAGTGGTTACATTCTTGTAAGGTGAGTGAGTCCTACATTCTTGCAAGACTTTGATTAGTGCTCACTGAATCCACGTGTTACATGTGAAAGGAGGGGTCGAGGAACAATTATTCATTTGTCTGGCTTTCAGCAAATCTGCATTTTACATAAGATAAAAGCAAGCATACAGGAGAAGGAGGAGGCAATCACGCATTTGTCTTGGAGTGGGCAGAGGGATGATTTCTAGTTCTGTCTTTGTCCATACCTGTTTAAGATAAGCTATTAATTTACATCATCATGCGGGCATGGTGGCTCAAGCCTGTAATCCCAGCACTTTGGGAGGCCGAGGTGGGCAGATCACTTGAGGTCAGGCGTTCGAGATCAGCCTGGCCAACATGGCGAAACCCTGTCTCTACTAAATATACAAAAATCAGCGGGGCGTGGTAGTGTGCCCCTGTAATCCAAGGTACTTGGGAGGCTGAGGCACGATAATCTCTTGAACCTGGGAGGTGGAGGTTGCAGTGAGCCGAGGCTGTGCCATTGCACTCTAGCCTGGGTGACAAAAATAAATAAATAAATAAATAAATAAAATCAGGGTGAAATTCAGCAGAACTCTGTTTTAGGGTGAAGATTTTGGGAACTGCAAGGAACTTCCTTGTGAGCAATTTGCGAGGGAGGCCACCTGGGGAGATGTGTGGCCCTCTCTCTTTGCAGCTATCTATTGAGGAACAGAATGGAAGGCAGTTTTTGTGTGACTCAGTTTCCAGACTTAACTTCTCCCTTTGGCATTGTGAGTTTGGGGTTCTGAGATTTAATTTTCCTTTCACAACACTATCCTGAATGCCATAACCCCCAAAAGATCTAACTTCAAAAAATTATAATCCTGAAAGAGTAGAATCTCAAATGTTGAAATCCTGAAAGCTGAATTCTGGGGAAGGGATTGTGTATTTCTGTTGTATGCAGGATACATGTTGTGTCACATCAGATGGATGCAACTAAATAACAAAATTTCTTTGTTACTGTCTTCATTCGGAAACTTAAGTATGGTTTAAGGCGATGCCTGTGGGTGCCAATTGACAAGCAGGGGGAATTGTGGAGTTAAATTCAGGTATCAATTCGACTGGATTAAGGAATACCTGGGAACCCAGTGAAGCTTTATTTTAGGTGTCTGTGTGTGTGTATATGTGTGGGGGTTTCCACAGGAGATTGGCCTGTGAGTCTGAGTGGACCAGGTGGGGAGGATTTGCCCTCATGGTTGGCAGGCACCAGCCAATTGGCCATGGGCATGGAGAGATCAAATACAGAGGCGAATCCATCCCTCTTTGAAATCTGGGACAGACTTTCTTCTGCTGCCTTGGACATCAGAACTCCTGGCTCACTGGCCTTGGGAATCTAGGGCTTCCACCAGCAGTCTGTGGTCAGGAGGCCTTTGGCCTTGGACCACCAAGTTACACCAAAGGCTTCGCTCGTTCTCAGGCCTTTGGACTTGGCCTAAGCCACGCTACTGGCATCTCAGGGTCTCCAACTTGCAGATGGCCTGTCTTGGGACTTTTTAGCCTCCATAATTGTGGGAGCCAATTCCCCTGATAAATCCCCTCTCATATATCTATACTTGTGTGTTCTATTGGTTCCGTTCCTCTGGGGAACGCTGACTAATATAGATTCCTTTATTGAGGAAGCCAAATATCATTCCTTCTTACTGTATTCCTAACAACACAACAGAAAAGATCTGTGAAAATGTTCTCTCACAAAAGGGCTGTGAAAAATAAAAGTTTAAAAGCTAGTTATTATTGGTGCCGCAAAAGCAGAACATTGCTTAATTGCAATGGCTGAGCAATTATCAAACTTGCAAATGGACAGCGTATGCTTACAAAATCCGTGGGCCACAGCCACTCTCCAAGTACCAGTGGAGGAGTGTTTTGAAGATCATAGATGTGAAAATGCAGGTGAGAAATACAAGAAATCTATGCCAGACACAGTGGCTCATGCCTGTAGCCCCAAAGCTTTGTTTGGGAGGCTGAGTGGGAGGATCACTTGAGGCCAGGAGTTTGAGACCAGCCTGGGCAACATATGAGAACTCATTTCTACAGAAAAAAGTTAGGCAAATGTGGTGGCATGTTCTTGTAGTTCCAGCTACTCAGGAGGGTGAGGCAGGAGGATTGCTTGAGCTCAGGAGTTTGAGGCTGCAGTGAGCTATGATGGCACCACTACACTCCAGCCTGGGCAACAGAGGGAGAGCCTGTCTCTAAAAAAAGTATATATATAAAAAAGTGTGTATTTATATATATAAAAGTATATATGTATATGTGTGTGTGTATATATGTAAATGTCTCCTGCCAAATTATTCAATCTTGTAGAATTTCTGTCCTTTAAAAGACATAAATAATGTCTTTTTTTTTTTTTTTTGAGATGGAGTCTCACTCTGTTTGCCCAGGCTAGAATGCAGTGACGCGATTTCATCTCACTGCAACCTCCGCCTCCTGGGTTCAAGCGATTCTCCTGCCTCAGCCTCCTGAGTAGCTGAGATTATAGGTTCCAGCCACCAAGCCCAGCTAATTGTTGTATTTTTAGTAGAGACGGGGTTTCACCATGTTGTCCAGGCTGGCACTCTGTGAGTTCTTAGGAGTGAGTTCTTCCTAGAGATGGTGAGGATGGGGTTCCTTGGAATTCTTTGAAATCTGGAATTATAAGAGAATGATGTGCTTGGGTACCATTGTGGATGGTGGAAAGAATGCAAAAGTGGCCTGTGAATATTTGAACGTTTGTTGAGTTTCTATATTTGTTGGGGCAGGGAACGGTAATCAGTGACAAGGTATAAACTAGGTCATTTGAGTTCTGTTTGTGACTGCCACAATGTTGGGTAAGGCAGTTACTTTTTGTGCTGTTTTTAGAACAGGAAGAAGAAGGCTTTGAGCAGAGGCTCTGGTCCAGGAGTTTCTACTTGGGCACCTCCACCCTGGGGGCCCTAGAAGCAGAACACTCAGCTGGCCTCTGTTGTCTGAATAAATGTGCATCAGATGTATGTGCTGTTATATTTCAAATGTACACAGATAATATCATGACTTCAAAATACAGAGCACGCTGGGCGTGGTGGCTCACACCTGTAATCCCAGCACTTTGGGAGGCTGAGGTGGGAAGACCACCTGAGCCCAGAAGATGGAGGCTGGGCTCATGTGAGCCCAGTGAGTTGTGATTGTGCCACTGTACTCCAGCCTGAGCAACAGAGTGAGACCCTATCTAAAAAATATAGAATGGTAAAAAAGGTTACTAAGAATTCAGCAATACTTTTAAATATCTTTGTATTTTATTAATCTACAGATAGTAAAATCAAAGCTAGTCATGTGGAGGTTGATATTTTCAGTAATAAAAGTGGTGAGGTTTCCCTTGCACTGAGTACTGAGTTAACGAAGGTTCTTTTAGTTCAAAGTCTTGGTTTTGGCCAAAGAACTATGCAAGTTTTTTTTGCATATAGAAATAGATTCTTTTAAAAAATGTAATATACTGCTACTTTGAGCCTGGTGGTTCTATATTTGCCCTCTCTGGGGACATCTAGTGGGTATATTAAGAAGTGCAAGCTGGGAGTGGTGACTAATTCCTATAGTCCCAGCACTTTGGGAGGCCAGAGAGGGAGGATTGCTTGAGCCCCAGAGTTCCAGATCAGCCTGGGCAAGATAGCAAGACTCTGTATCTAGAAAAAATTTAAAAATTAGCCAAGTTTAGTGATGTGTACCTGTAGTCCCAGCTTCTTGAGAGGCTGAGGTGGGAGGATTGCTTGAGCCTGGGAGGTGGAGGCTGCAGTGAACCATGATCACACCACTGCGCTCCAGCCTGGGCGAAAGAGTGAGACCCCATCTTTAAAAAAAAAAAAAAGAAAAAGAAAAAGAAAAAAGAAGTGCAGCCCTTCTATCTAGCCGCCATCTGTTGCTAAGGAGGATGGCTGCTCACTGAGGCTCACTCCAGAATGTTAGGGAGGGATTCTCCTCCCTTGGCTCAGCCCAGCTGGTGAGTGATGTCCTAGTCACCCACACTCATGATGGATGGGTGCTGGGATCTTAGATCCATGATGTCTTCTGATTCTGAATGCAGGCTGAGGTGGTTTCACTAAGATGGAGCTGGGTGTGACGACACACATCTGTAGTCCCAGCTACTTGGAAGACAGGCGGGAGGATCACTTGAACCCAGGCATTCATGTCCCGCCTGGGTAATATAGCCAGATCTTGTCAAGAGATGAGGTTCCCCCCAACCCTTTTTTAAGAAAAGAAAAATGGAGGATGGAGAAAATGTTGCATGATTGGAACCCTGGAGTTGGAATTTTAAAGCAAAAGTGGAAATAAAGAACATCCATGCTGTCCTTGGTTTAAGGCTGTGCTGGTGCATAGGCGGCCTGCAGGAAGCTCCTCTCTGCCCCTGCGTTGGGCTGGGCCCTGTGCTGTGCTCCCGCTGCTGTGCAGCTCTCTCCTCTGATCTGGGTCTGAGTGGCTCCGGGGCAGGTGCTGTGGATGGGATGGTCCCCTCTGACAGCCAGGGCCTGGCAGAGCAGGCACTCAGTGGCATCAGTTTGAGTTTTTTAATTTTTTCATTGTATGGATAAATAGGATTATTTATAGCTCCTGGGAATCTAAATTAATGTTAGATTTATTAAAATTATAACAATTTGAGAAACTTGGATTTTCTTTTTTTTTTTTTTTTGAGACAGAGTCTCGCTCTGTTGCCCAGGCTAAAGTGCAGTGGTGCGATCCCGGCTCACTGCAACCTCCGCCTCTCAGGCTCAAGCAATTCTCCTGCCTCAGCGCCTCCGAGTAGCTGGGATTACAGGCGCATGCCACCATGCCTGGCTAATTTTTTTTGTATTTTTATTAGAGACAGGGTTTCACCATGTTGGCCAGGATGGTCTCAATCTCCTGACCTTGTGATCTGCCTGCCTTGGCCTCCCAAACTGCTGGGATTACAGGCGTGAGCCACCACACCTGGCCGAAACTTAGATTTTTTCTTAAGCCTTAAAGTTCAACTTACAAATATTATTGCCTTATTTAGAAGGCTAACAATTTTTCTATAAAAGAACATTTACTTTCATTATTTGATAAATGGCTTATTAACTCAAGTTTAGCTGATTAAAATCCCCTAAACAATGTACTGTAAATCAGTTCCATTTACAACTTAGTGAATTAAAAGAATTTAAGCATTTTCAACTGTTTTTACAAATGGGAGCTGCCTACTTTTTCTTCAGCAATTCCAACCCCTGAGGCCAATTAACAAAGCTAGTAGATTGCTTTCTGTACTTAAGCAACTCTTTGAAATAGAATAAACCAAATTTAGAAATGGGGTAAATCAGCTTCTTAAAAACATTCAAATCCTGATGCAGACTTCGACGCTCTTCTTTCAAATTAAAATTGCAAGTCTAATATCAATTATATATTTCAAATTAGAACCACAGAGTTTCTTTAACTTTTCAAATTGTTTTAATTACAATGCACACAGTATTGCAAAGATTACAAAATTTAAGTTTGAAGTTAAGTTTATTCTTCAACTTGTAAAGCTTGATATTCTGATTTTTTTCCCTCTACCACCTCTAGTAATAAACACACTCAGGCCAACAGAGGTTATCGTGTTGAAGGTTTGTGACTGTGATCTTCACCAGAGATTTGAGCCTAGGACCAAGACCGAGTGTTGAATTCTAGCAGGATTCTAGAATTAAATAAATTCTGTGCTTACCCAAGTGCAGGTGCACTAACCCCTTTGCTAGAGTTGAGTTCACTTCTCTCTGTCAATGGTGAATCCAAGTTCCTGCCTTTAACCTGGGACTAATTAATTAATTAATTAATTGAAATGGAGTTTCGCCCTGTCACCCAGGCTGGAGTGCAGTGGTATGATCTCAGCTCCGCCTCCTGGGTTCAAGCAATTCTCCTGCTTCATCCTCCCGAGTAGCTGGGATTACAGGCATGTGCCGCCACGCCCGGCTAATTTTTGTATTTTTAGTAGAGACAGGGTTTCACCATGTTGGCCATGCTGGTCTCGAACTCCTGACTTCAGGTGATTCACCCACCTCTGCCTCCTAAAGTGCTGGGATTATGGGCATGAGCCACCGTGCCGAACCTGACCTGGGATTTAGCTTTTCAAATCTCACACATCTTGTACTCTCCTTGTACCATCCATGTTTCTTTCTCAGCCAGTTTGTAATCCCTTTCAACATTCCATCATCTGATCTGAGTTGCAGCTTAGGTGAGGTTGCAGCTAATTTCCATCACTGCTTGACTGGAATTAGCTCGCTTCTTTACCTGACTGGATTTGGCATTCTTTACCTGTGTATGTGTTTTCTTGTCTGGCGCTCATCCACAAGGCTGTAGTCATTTTATTGGCAAGTAAGTATCAATACCTACGGTCATGTTAAGTGCCTGAGTTAACTTTGGTAACAGTTACAGGAGCATTATCCACAAGTGGAATCTATTTCAATCTCCTCCGTCCAAGGCAGCAATCGCTCAGCTGATTTTCTCTTCTGACACCAGAGGTCCTCTGCTCTGGCTACAGATCAGAATCACCTGAGGATCTTTCATATCGTGCACGGTCGGGGCCCCACCTCAAACCATGTGAAGCAGAACCTCTGCCAGGCATCGTTCGTTGTGTGTTGGAAGTGCAGCAGGCGGGCCAGGCGCGGTGGCTCACGCCTGTAATCCTAGCACTTTGGGAGGCCAAGGCGGGTGGATTGCCTGAGCTCAGGAGTTCAAGACCAGCCTGGGCAACATGGTGAAACCCCATCTCTACTAAAATACAAAAAAAAGTAGCTGGGTATGGCGGCATGAGCCTGTAGTCCCAGCTACTTGGAAGGCTGAGGCAGGAGAATTGCTGGAACCTAGGAGGTGGAGGTTGCAGTGAGCCGAGATTGCACCACTGCACTGCAGCCTGGGTGACAGAGCGAGACTCCGTCCCCACCAAAAAAAAAAAAAAAAAGTGCAGCAGGCGATTCTGAGGCACAGAGGATTAAAAACTCCAATTCTTAACTTCATTTAACATGCTGATAAATGAGAGATTTCAGGTCATTAAACCTTGTTCTCCTTACTCCCATGTTGTGGAAACATTCATTGGAAATGTACAGAGAAAATGAGAAGGATACCTTAAGTAGAAGGTTTAGCTAATTCACAGCTGGACCATTTTCCTGTCATAAGACCAATAGCAACATATCTTAAGATGTGGGTTACAAAACCTTTATGATATGTGTTTCTTTTTTCTTCGCTTAAAGTGCTTGTGTGGGGGTCACTGCTGGCCTTAACCTATTTGTCATTACCCAGCGTAGTGAGGCACACACTCCAGTGTCTGCTTCCTTGTCACAGGTTTCTGCTGATGTACTCCACGGTTCTGTGCAGCTATTACAATTCAGCCCTGACGACAGCAGTGGTTGGAGCCATCAAGGTGAGTGGATGGAAACTTGGAAGGGAACAACTGAGTCAAGGAATGGAAATCCAAATATTCCATGGGAGGCCGGGTTTGATTTTGTTGTTGGTGGTGGTGTAAGAACGAGGGCTGTGACCTTTTCAGCTCGGCCTGTGTGATCCCATCTTACTTCTTTTTTTTTTTGAGACAGAGTCTCGTTCTGTTGTCCAGGCTGGAGTTCAGTGACACGATCTTGGTTCACTGCAACCTCCACCTCCCTGGTTCGAGCGGTTCTCCTGCCTCAGCCTCCCGAGCAGCTGGGATTACAGGCGCCTGCCACCACACCCGGCTAATTTTTTATATTTTTGGTAGAGACCAGGTTTCACCATGTTGGCCAGGCTGGTCTTGAACTCCTGACCTCGTGATCCACCCACCTCGGCCTCCCAAAGTGCTGGGATTACAGGCGTGAGCCACCGAGCCCGGCCCCGTCTTACTTCTTCTAATCTATTGCATAGAATAGAGGGACAGATTGCTAATTTATAAAGGAGAGATGAATTATAACTTTTAAGTTGGGGGTGGCTCAGAGGGGGTGGGTCTGGGAAAATGAAGTAAAAAGCTAAAAAGAATAAAATCAGTCCAGGTATCAATGATTAGCAAGATACCTTGTGATCCATAATTTGGTTTTCTGGGAGAACCTGCCCACTGAGAAGTGGAGCCCTTGTGGAGGTGTATGCTGTGTGGTGAGATCATGAGCTGGTGGGTTGGTGTGTGGGTGTTTGCTTGTGTGGATGCATCTGAATACACACACATGCACATGAATGAATAGGGGGAGAGGTGTTCTGGATTCTATTCCATAATTGCTTCATTTTTCTATTCACATGAAGTCCTAGAGTGTGTGAAAACACTGCCTGCTTCAAGAGTTTACCTGTCCCCTGGGTGCCCAGAGGTCTCCTAGAATGCACTGGGCAGAGCACGGCCTGGAATTTGTTGACTGTCTCCACTCTGCTCAAGTTTACGATCAAGATAATTAACTCACTACTTGGCCCTGTTGTGTCCACAGATTGCAGTGTAGTGTGGGAGCCCAAGGTTGAAAAAAAAAAAAAAAAAGAAAAACCAGGCACAGTGGCTTATGCCTGTAATCCCAGCACTTCGAGAGGCCAAGGCAGGCGGATCACCTGAGGTCAGGAATTAGAGACCAGCCTGGCCAGTATGGCGAAACACCATCTCTACTAAAAGTACAAAAATGAGCCAGGCGTGGTGGTGAGTGCCCTGTAGTCCCAGCTACTTGGGAGGCTGGACTGGAGAATCTCTTGAACCTGGGAGGCAAAGGTTGCAGTGAGCTGAGATTGTGCCACTGCACTCCAGCCTGGGCAACAGAGTGAGACTCTGTCTCAAAAAAAAAAAAAAAAAAACCCCAGAAAACCTCACTACCCAATGATAGTAAAGAGATAGGAACCTGGCAAGCTGATGACAGCCCCACTCTTCCTCTTTTGCCTGCATGCCAACTGGATCAAGAGAGAGAATAATGCAATTTTCTGTTGTTATCATACCATAATTTACTGCATTTATTTAGTAAGCCCCATATGTAATGGCTTATTTATTTATTTTTCTGAGGCAGGGTCTTGCTCTGTTGCCCAGGCTGGAGTACAGTGGCATGTAGCTCACTGCAGCCTTGACTTCCTGGGCTCAAGCAATCCTCCCACTTCAGTCCGTGTGGAGTAGCTGGGATTACAGGCATGTGCCACCATGCCCGGCTACTTTTAAAAAATTTTTTGTAGAGATGGGATCTCACTATGTTGCCCAGGCTGGTCTTAAACTCCTGGGCTCAAGTGATCCTTTGACTTTGGCCTCCTAAAGTATTGGGATTACAGGCGTGAGCCATCATTCCTGGCCTGTAATGGTTTTTATTTTGTTCAACCACCTGTGAATATCCCTATGTACAAGTCTCTATGCAAAGTAACTAAAATGTCTAGTTTCAGGTTTTACTATTTATATTTTCCCCTAAACAGTTTACTTTTAAAATGACGAATCCTCTCTCTTTTTCTGCAGAATGTATCCGTTGCCTACATTGGGATATTAATCGGTGGAGACTACATTTTCTCTTTGTTAAACTTTGTAGGGTTAAATATTTGGTGAGTGGGAATTTTTAATGGACTCGCTTTGGGAAGACAAGAACCTTAAACACTCTGATTAATATGTAATAAGCAAAAGAGCCTGGAGAAGTCTTTCACGTTAAGCCAGGAGGCGTTTTGACATTCTAATTTCTAAGATAATTTTACTTCATCACTGGGTTCATCCTCATGCAGATCCATGGGGACACGTGTGATGGCAGTTTGCGGGGCTGGGATCGGAATTTAACTCACCTGTCTTCCTCACAGCAGGCCCCTGCGTTCTCTGCCCTCCTCCTATAAAGTGGAGGGTGTTAACCTTTGTGCCCACTAGGCTCGGCATGCAGGGGGTGTGGACTAAGCCAGCTTTGAAAGGCATTTGGGGTCTCAGCAGTGGGATACTATTTAAGGCTAAGGGTATGTAGTTTATTCAGTAGAAACCAAGTGCTTATTTTCTCTCTGAGGTTCTGCATTAGATTTGATGACTCTTTTTCTGCCTCCAAAGGCTTGTAAATAAGGGGAAATTCTCATCAAGCAATCCACAAACTTGAGGAGAAACACAGATATTGGAATAATTCCCTCCGCATGAAGCAGGTGTATTGATAAAAACGCCAGCAACTGCTGCTGGAGCCCCTGTGAAATTCCCAGTCATTTATTTTCACTTTTTTTTCTCCTTTCAGCATGGCAGGGGGCTTGAGATATTCCTTTTTAACACTGAGCAGCCAGTTAAAACCTAAACCTGTGGGTGAAGAAAACATCTGTTTGGATTTGAAGAGCTAAAGAGTCTGCAGCAGGATTGGAGACTGACTTGTGACTGCGGGCTGGGGGGGCATTCCCAGTAGGAATGTGAAGCCAGAGGTTTCGGATTCGTGACATCCACCCCCTGGGCAAGTGAGAGCATCTGCAAAATGCAAAGAGAACTACCTCATATGCAGGATGAGCCAATGGCAGTCTCAAGAAATGTACTCGGGCGACACCTTACCTGTGGAAAGCAAATCTTTTCAAAATAAGCCACTGGGACTCGGTAGGTGGAGCCCCAGCTGCTCTTCTAGGGACCTATGGGGCCTTCGTGGCATCTCTGTGCTGTGTGCTGGGGAGGAGGTTGATGTAATGGTGACTCTTTTCTGATCAGCACCTTGGCCGTGATTCCCAAGGTCCCAGCCAAAGCAAAGGGCCAGTTGTTTCAGTTTAAACAGACATGTCTTTAGTCTAATAAAATTAGTTAACTGCCAGTAAAGTTATTTGTTAGCTTTGATGAAAGCTATGTTGGTATCTTTCCCTAATCATCAAAGTAAATAAAAAATCATTTCTATGTATGCCTCATCATGTGATATTATTGGAGGCAGAAAACGGTGCCCATCATTCACAATGTAACAGAATGTGTCACCTTGAAGGGACAATTCCAGACTCCTTTATGACTCGAGGTTGGGGAAAGCTACAAAGTAACTCAATGGGAAAAAAAAAATACTCAGGCTTTATCCTGTTAGCTATTTTTTTTTTTTTTTTGAGACAGAGTCTCACTCTATTCCCCATGTTGGAGTGCAGTGGTGCAATCTCGGCTCACTGCAGCCTCTGCCACCCGGGTTCAAGTGATTCTCTTGCTTCAGCCTCCCGAGTAGCTGGGATTACAGGCATCTGCCACCACGCCCTGCTAATTTTTGTATTTTTAGTAGAGACAAGGTTTGGCCTCATGTTGGCCAGGCTAGTCTTGAACTCCTGACCTCAGGTGATCTGCCCACCTTGGCCTCCTAAAGTGCTGGGATCACAGGCGTGAGCCACCGAACCCGGCCAATCCTGTTAGCATTTAAGCGCTCACCTGTTTGTTTCTTCTCATCTCCCTCCAGGTTTGTTCAGGAGCTTTTACCACAGGTGCATTTCCTCACATGCTCACCTACCGCCAACCCCTGGTGTATGGGAAGGAGGCCCAAATGGATAGGGTGCCTTTTCCCTCCCTGCGTGGGAATGGGTGTCCCCACTGGAACTGGAGTGCGGGATAGAGCCACAGTCTGGGAGTCAGGAGCCAGACTAACTAATCTTGTCTCTACTATTAAACTCGGGAGACCTTTCCCAAGTCACTTGGCCCGTTGTGGCCTCTAGTATTTTAATCTGTAAAATTCAACTAGATCTCTAAATCCTTGCAAGCTGCAACTTTCTGAGTTTCGAGAAGCTGAGCCAGATCTGGAGCAGGCCAACACAGGAAGGAATCGTGTGGATTTTTATGTGGCTGGGTGCGGCGGTTCACGCCTGTAATCCCAACACTTTGGGAGGCTGAGGTGGGAAAATCGCTTGAGCCTAGGAGTTTGAGGCCAGCCTGGGTAACATGGCCGAAACATCATCTCTACAAAAAAATTAGCCAGGCATGGTGGCGCACACCTCTGATGCCAGCTACTGGGGAGGCTGAGGTGGGAGGATTGCTTGAGCCTGGGAGGTTGAGGCTGCAGTGAGCTGTGGTCACGCCACTACACTCCAGCCTCAGTGACATGGTGAGACCCTGTCTCAAAAAAAACTTTTTTTTTAAATTGTGGTAAAATACATAACAGACTTTACCATCCTAACCATTTTTAAGTGTATACAGTCCAGTAGGAGTAACCATACTGATTGTGCAACCTACCTCTAGAACTTTTTCATCTTGCAAAACCGAAACTCTGTACCCATGAAACAAGAACTCCCATTTCCCCATCCCTCCGGCCCCTGGCAACCCCCATTCTACTCTCTTTGTGAGTTTGACTATTCAAGATACCTTATATAAGTAGAATCACATAGTTTTTGTGACAGGTTTATTCACTTAGCACCATATCACCGAGGTTCATCCATGTTGTAGCATGCAGAGCATCCTTCCTTACGTCTGAATGTGTGGTGTGGATTTGCCGCATTCTGTTTATCCAGTCATCTGCTGATGGACACTCGGCTTGCTTCCACCATTTGGCTATTATGAACAATGCTGCTATTAATATGGGTGTTCAAATATGTCTTCAAGGCTCTGCTTTCAATTTTTTTAGATATATGCCTAGAAGTGGAATAGCTGGATCCTGTGGTCTTTCTATTTTTAGGTTTTTGAGGACCTGCTATGCTGTTTTCTATAGTGGCTGCACCATTTTACATTCCCGCCATCAAGGGTTCCAATTTCTCCACAACCTCAATAACATTTGTTATTTTCTGTTTCATTTTTACTAGTAGCCATCATAATGGATGTTTTAAAAAATAATTTATTTTTATTTTATTTTGTTTTTAGAGATGGGATCTCACTATGTTGCCCAGGATGGTCTGCAACTCCTGGGCACAAATGATCCTCCTGCCTCAGCCTCTGGAGTAGCTGAGACTACAGGCTCACCTGCCTGGCTGTGTTTTGGTTTTGATTTGTATTTCCCTAATTAATCGATTAGTGGTGTTGAGCATTTTTTCATGTACTTGTTGGCCATTTATTTATCTTCTTAAATAAATGTCTATTCAAGTCCATTGCCCATTTCTTAATCAAATTGTTTGTTTTATTGTTGTTGAGTTGTAGGAGTTCTTTACTGTTTCAATACGCTTTTATATTTAATTTATTTTATTATTATTATTTTTGAGAGAGAGTCTCACTCTGTCTCCCAGGCTGTAGTGCAGTTGCATGATCTCGGCTCACTGCAGTCTCCATCTTCCAGGCTCAAGCGATCCTCCCACCTCAGCCTCCCGAGGAGCTGGGACCACTACTAAAAAATTAGCCTGCCTAATTTTAAATAGTTTTTGTAGAGACAGACTCTTGCCCTGTTGCCCAGGCTGATCTCGAACTCCCAAGTTCAAGTGATTCTCCCACCCTGGCCTCCTAAAGTGTAGGGATTACAGGTGTGAGCCACTGTGCCCAGCCTTCAATGTGCTTTTAAGAGGCTTCTGGAGGGCTGGGCATGGCAATATGGCAAGATCTGTGTCTACAAGCACAAATAGTAAGATAAAATAATTAAAAGGCTTCTGGAGTGTAAACTTGGAGCTCCCAGACTTTTTTTTTTTTTGAGACAACGTCTTGCTCTGTCTCCCAGTCTGGAGTGCAGTGGCATGATCTCGGCTCACTACAATCTCGAACTCCTAGGTTCAAGTGATCTTGTGTCTCAGCCTCCCTCCCAAGTAGCTGGGATCATAGGCGTACGCCACTACGCCTGGCTATTTTTTTTTTTTTTTTGTATTTTTGGTAGCGACTGGGTTTCACCAGTTGGTCAGGTTGGTCTCGAACTCCTGGCCTCAGGTGATCCACCCTCCTCGGCCTCCCAGAGTGCTGGGATTACAGGCTTGAGCCACTGTACCTGGCCATCCAAACTTTTGTTAACTACCTCCTGTTGCATCAACATACTTTTTGAATTCCAGAGACCAAAGATGCTAAGCAAAACAAACAAAAACTAATTTCCTTCTTTCTTCCAATTTTTTAAAAAAATCTTTAATTTTTATTCTTGGAATTCTTAAAGATGTGTTTTAAGACTTTTACACTTGCTTCCACGTGTGGCCAGCAGAGGGCACCCTAAGAGCAGCCCAGCAGCCCTAGGAGCTGGGTTGAAAGTTGAAATGTTTGCTGTACAGCTAAAGAACTTGGGTTTAAGGGAGGAGGGAGGTTGAAGGAAGCTCCAATCAGGCTTTTGAACTAAGGTTAGTTGGGGGTGCTGGAGGTGGAGAAGTGGTATGGAAAGGCTCTGCAAACCCCATCGAGGCTGAAGAAAAAATGTAGGTCCAGTGACCCAGGTCTCCAGATATAATTTTTCCTGGTAAAAACATTGTAAAAACCACTAGTGGATGGGACACAAACATTAGTTTACTTACCTTGATATTTTGCACACCTCTTGCCATGGTACTACAAATAACAGTTACACCATTTGTTAACTTGGACTATTTCTTGCTGTTTTAATACTTTTTTTTTTTTTTGAGAGGGAGTCTTGCTCTGTCTCCCAGGCTGGAATGCAGTGGCGCGATCTCGGCTCACTACAAGCTCCGCCTTCCAGTTTCACACCATTCTCCTGCCTCAGCCTCCCCAGTAGCTGGGACTACAGGCGCCCGCCACTACACCCGGCTAGTTTTTTGTATTTTTAGTAGAGACGGGGTTTCACCATGTTAGCCAGGATGGTCTCGATCTCCTGACCTCATGATCCACCTGCCTTGGCCTCCCAAAGTGCTGGGATTACAGGCGTGAGCCACCACACCTGGCCTGTTTTAATACTTTATATATATATAAAGTATATCTCAAGCATTGGAGCTTTTTCACAGCTGAGGTTGATTAAATAATAGGACCTAGTTTAGAGAAGAGTGAAATATATATTTTTTGTGCCCTCAGGCACACACACAAAAAAGGCACCTCCAGGCCAAAGTCGTCACCAGGATAAGCCCTGAGGCTTTTGTCTGCAATCTGTGGTCCCTTCACCAGAAGTGGCATTGGTAACTTGGGGGCTCTTAGAAATGCAGACTGTCAGGGAACATTCACTGAATCAGAACCTGCATTTATCCCAGGGGATTTGAAAAGCACCAGCCACCCCAGGCTGTTGGTCCAGACCATCTTCCCCCCCTTTTTTTTTTGTTTTTTTGAGATGGAGTCTTGCTGTCTTGCCCAGGCTGGAGTGCAGTGGCATGATCTCTGCCTCCCGGGTTCAAGGGATTCTCCTGCCTCAGCCTCCTGAGTAGCTGGGATTACAGGCACATGCCACCATGCCTGGCTAATTTTTGTATTTTTAGTAGAGATGGGGTTTCACCATGTTGGCCAGGCTGGTCTTGAACTCCTGACCTCAAATGATCCACCTGCCTCAGCCTCCCAAAGTGCTGAGATTACAGTTGTGAGCCACCATGCCCAGCCTGGGCCATCCTTTAAGTAGTAGGGATTCTTAACCTGGAGTTCATGGACAAGATTTAGTGAGCTGGTGCACACAGCTAGGGAAAGAATACATCCGGATTTTCCCTAACCTCTAACCAACATTTAGCATTTCTTTCCATTTGAATGTAGGAGAAACCACAGTAGTATTAGCTGTACCTGTAACTTTGTTACCAATAGAATTAAAGATATTTGCATATTGCATTATGGGTTTCACAGAAAAACCATTTATACCCTACTTGTCATTTACTAGTTGTTAGACCCTCCATTGGTTCTTGTTATTTAATATGTTCATAAAGAGGCATATTTTCAGTACATCACATTAAAAATAGTGTGTATCTGGTTTTTGGTAATTGGTTTCCGTTATAATTCTATGTATTTAATTTTGTGCATTTAAAAATATTATTCAAAGAAGGAGGCTGTGACTAGACTGCCATTGTGGTCCATGGCATAAAAGAAAAATAAGGATCTAGCCAGGTGCGGTGGCTCACACCTGTAATCCCAGCACTTTGGGAGGCCGAGGCGGGTGGATCACAAGGTCAGGAGATGGAGACCATCCCGGCTAACATGGTGAAACCCCGTCACTACTAAAAATACAAAAAATTAGCTGGGCGTGGTGGCAGGCACCTGTAGTCCCAGCTACTCGGGAGGCTGAGGCAGGAGAATGGTGTGAACCTGCAAGGCAGAGCTTGCAGTGAGCTGAGATCGCGCCACTGCACTCCAGCCTGGGCAACAGAGCGAGACTCCGTCTCAAAAAAAAAAAAAAAAAGTCTGTGAAGGCCGGGCACAGTAGCTCATATCTGTAATCCTAGCATTTTGGAAGGCCAAAGCAGGCGGATGGATTGCTTGAACCCAGGAGTTTGAGAACAGCCTGGGCAACACAGTGAGACCACCATCTCTACCATAAAGTACAAACATTAGCCAGGCATGGTGGCGCATGCCTGTAGTCCCACCTACTTAGGAGGCTGAGGTGGGAGGATAGCTTGACCTTGGGAGGTTGAGGCTGCAGTGAGCCATGATTGCACCACTGCACTTCAGCCTGGGTGACAAAGGAAGACCTTGTCTTTAAAGAAAAAGTCTATGAAAAGGTCAGATGGCAGCGTGAGGAGTCCTGTGGACTCATTCTTCTGTGAAACAAGCAAAGCTGGCAAAAACTATAAAAAGAGAAGTAATTACAGTCTCCAGACATTATAAGGGCAAATGAGGAAACATTGATTCAGGTAAACCTACTAACACTTGGTAAGAACGATAGGCAGCCGTGGCATTTGAGAATTGACCCCACTCCTCTCTTTTCCTTCTCCCAGCTCGACTTGGTGGAAGTTCTGCCTCAGGTGGGCATAGCCAAAAAGGGGTCATTCTCTTCTCGGTTCCTGGGGAATTGGATCCAACTGGGAGAAGACCACCTGAATTCTCATCCCATCTAAGTTGAAGATGCTATTTTTTAAAAATTTAATTTGTAATTTTAAGTTCTGGGATACATGTGCAGGATGTGCAGGTTTGTTACATAGGTAAATGTGTGCCCTGGTGGTTTGCTGCACCTATCAACCTATCACCTAGGTATTAAGCCCCACATGCATTAGCTATTTATCCTGATGCTCCCTCTCCCGCACCCCCCTAACAGGCCCCAGTGTGTGTTGTTCCCCTCCCTGTGTCCATGTATTCTCATTGTTCAGCTCCCACTTATAAGTGAAAACATGCAGTGTTTGGTTTTCTGTTCCTGTGTTAGTTTGCTGAGGATAATGGCTTCTAGCTCCATCCATGTCCCTGCAATGGACATGATCTCGTTCCTTTTGATGGCTGCATAGTATTCCGTGGTGTGTATGTACCATGTTTTCTTTATCCAGTCTATCATAGATGGGCATTTGGGTTGATTCCATGTTTTTGCTGTTGTGAATAGTGCTGCAGTGAACATACACATGCTTGTATCTTTATTTTTAAAAATCTTTTTTTTTGAAGACAGGGTCTGGCTCTGTTGCCCAGGCAGGAGTACAGTGGCATTATCTCAGCTCACTGCAACCACTGCCTCCCAGGCTCAAGTGATCTGCCCTCCTCAGCCTCCTAAGTAGCTGAGACCACAGGGACACACCATTACACCTGGCTAATTGTTGTATTTTAGTAGAGATGGGATCTTTCTATGTTGCCTAGGCTGGCCTCAAGTGATCCTCCTGCCTTGGCCTCCCAAAGTGCTGTGATTACAGGTGTGAACCACCATGCCCAGCCAGAGATGCTCAATTCCTGGTGAGTGCAGCTGAGGGGCTAGGGCCCTCTCTACCAAGCCCCTACCCATTAGATGCAGGCTCTACCTCAAGTACAGCAGGCCACAAATACTGGGGTCCCCATTACCCTTGCCCCAGCTCACTTGGAAGGCTGTTCCACACTGGGGAGAGATGATCTGACAAGACCAGAGGCTACCACCCTGTCCAGCACCCAGACGAGTGGCTCAGAGAGGCTGCCCAGGGAGGACGCAGCCTGTGCAGTAAAGAATTTAATCTTGCCCAAAAAGATGTCTGGTCTTTGCCCTAAGCTTCTTGGAATATCATGCCAAAGAGGAGTGTCTTTGTTTGCCTGGGGACCTTGGGTTACATTAGATAGTCTAACAATGTGATTTCAGATGGGGGCTGGCTACACCAGAAAGACCAACAGGGTGGTTTAGGGTGAAGGCTTTGGGTGATACCTGGGGAGTCTGGAGACAGAGATCAGCCATGTGGGCAATCAGTGAAGTTTATGTAATGAAGCCCTAATAAAAACTCTGAACACTGAGGCTTGATTGAGTTTCCCGGGTTGGCAATACTCCGTGCATATTGTCACACATTGTTGCTGGAAAGGTAATGATGTGTCTTGATTCTGTGAGAGAAGACAATGGAAGCTCTACATTTGGCACTTGCCCACACACTGTCCAATCCAATGCTTTTCTTGGCTCATTTTAATCTGTATTCTTTCCTCATAATAAGCGGTAACCACAAGTATAACAGCTTTCTGTGAGGTCTATGAGTCCTACCAAATGATCAAAACTGAGGCTGTTTTTGAGAACTCCTCAAACTTGCAGCTAGTATCAGAAATGAGGGTGGTCCCATGGGGGCTGTGTGCCCTTAAACATTGTAGTTGTCCAAATTAACACAAAGTCCACGAGAAAAAAGAGCTCCAGGGCACTCCTTAAAGGAACTGACTTTATTTGAAGCAGAATGTGGGGAAAATGCATGTCTAAGAGACTCTTGAAGATGATGCCTCTCTTAATTAAGAACAACAAGCTAAATCATAGTCCAACTGGTTCACCAGGGGGAACCAGGGAAAGAGACAGCAAAGAAGAGCTCTCGTGGAGTCAGAACAGACCTCAAAAACTGGCCTCAATAACTACCCCTGCCAGAATTTAATTGGATCAGACTGCTAGGCAATTTATGCCCCAGGGCACTATCAAAAACAATAGAGCAATAAACTGGTAATTGGGGCCTGATGGACCCGGGTAATAACCAAGTCAAGCAGACAGCTTAAAATATAAATCAGGGAAAGAGGCAAAGAGAACCCCCTTAAACCCAGTGTCACTGCAGGGAGACAGTGTGCAATCAAGCCTCAGCCTCCAAGGAGTGACACCAAAGGGGAAAATGGACTTTACTAAAATATTCTAGTGTGTAGCCAAGTCACAAAATAAACAGAACAACAAAACCAAGCTCCAGGGAGAAGGGAGGGGAATCAGTATCCAGAGTTCCTGCAATATATTACCTAAAATGTCCAGGTTCAACAAAAAAGTATAAGACATTCAGAGAAACATGAAAGTGTGACCCATAAAAGCAGACAACAGAAACAGCTTATAAGAGGGACCAGGTGTATTTAACAGATAAAGACTTCATTATAAATAAGTTCAAAGAACCAAAGTACACATGATTAAATAAGTGAAGGAAGGTATGAAGACAATGTTTCATCAAACAGGGAAATCAAAAAGTGAAAGTATTAAAAAAGAACCAAATAGATATTCTGGAGTTGAAAAGTACAAAACCAAAATCAAGCATTTATTTGGGGGCTTAAGAGTAAATTTGAACCTACAGAAGAAAGAATCTGTAAATTTGAAGAGAGATCAATAGAGATTATTCAATTTAAAGATCAGAGAAAATAGAATGAAGAAAAATGAAAAGAAAGCAAATCAACATTTGCATAATTGGTGGGGCAGAAGGAGAAGAAAATGAGAAAAGAGTTAAAAAAATTGAATAATGGGTAAAAACTTCCTAAATCTGTTGAGAAACATGAATTCACACATCCAAGAAACTCAACAAACTCCACAGACAAATGCAAAGAGATCCACATCAAGACATTGATGTAAAAATACTAAAAGCCAAATACACAGAGAAAATCTTAGGAACAGCAAGAGAGAAACTACTCATCACTTACAAAGGAACCCTAATAAGATTAACAGCGGACTTCTTTTTTTTTTTTGAGATGAGTCTCACTCTGTCACCCAGGCTGGAGTGCAGTGGTGCAATCTTGGCTCACTGCAACCTCCGCCTCCCAGGTTCACGCCATTCTCCTGCCTCAGCCTCCTGAGTAGCTGGGACTACAGGCACCCACCACCATGCCTGGCTAATTTTTTGTATTTTTAGTAGAGACAGGGTTTCACTGTGTTAGCCAGGATGGTCTCGATCTCCTGACCTCATGATCCACCTGCTTCGTCCTCCCAAAGTGCTAGGATTACAGGCGTAAGCCACAGTGCCCGGCCTAACAGCTGACTTCTCATCAGAAGCAGTGGAGTCCAGAAGGCAGTGGAATAACATTCAAAGTACTGAAAAGAAAGTCCATGAAAAAGAATAGAGTGTTTTATAGGCATGACATTAAGTCTGACTTCATTATGCATATTTAGTGATATGGTTTGGCTGTGTCCCCACCCAAATCTCATCTTGAATTATAGCTCCCATAATTCCCACATGCCACGGGAGGGACCTGGTGGGAAGTAATTGAATCATGGGGGTGGGTCTTTCTCTTGCTGTTCTCATGATAATGAGTAAGTCTCACAAGATGTGATGGTTTTATAAAGCAGAGATCCCCCTGCACACACTCTCTTGCCTGCTGCCATGTAAGATGTGACTTTGCTCCTCCTTCGCCTTCTGCCACGATTGTGAGGCCTCCCCAGCCATGTGGAACTCTGAGTCAATTAAACTTCTTTCCTTTATAAATCACCCAGTCTAGGGTATGTCTTTATTAGCAGCATGAGAACAGAATACTACACTTAGGAATACTGCTGTGTCTGGCATGCCCTCATAAGGAAGAGTAGACAGAGTTACATAAGGAACACAGTCATATTCATCTCCTCCCTCCACCCCAGGATCTGAGAAAACCCTGTTATTAACTCAGTGATATCAATAAAGTTCTAGAAACCATGTTCTAAACATAAATATTCCTCTTATATATTTTAGTTTTAGTGATGAGGTTTATAAGCTCTGGTAACTGTATGCATTTGGAAGCAAAATGGCTCACAAAGGTCTGATCGGCACTGTTCAGTAAAACTTTCTGCACTGAGGGATGTGTTTAAATCTGTGCTGTTCAATACATGTGGTTATTGACCACCTGGAATGGCTAGTGCAACTGAAGAGCTGAATTTTAAATTAAATGAAATCAAATTAAAATTTAAATAACCACATATGGCCAGTGGTTAGTGATTTGGATAACACAGCTCTGGCAGCTCCAAAACCTCTTTCTTTTCCCCTGGTTATCTTTCTTGAGTAAACTATGTAGCTTACTTTGTGTGGTGAGCCTTAGTTTAATAAACATTTTCAGTATAGATAAGAATAAATTACCCTGAAAAAGAATAGAAAGAAACATTAGTAAGCACCTGCTACAGAAAAGCTTGTTGCTATTTGGCTTTTCACTGATTCTGGGACAGAAAGACGTGATTCCTGAAGTGGAGTTTATGCCCATAAAGCTGGCTCTAAAAACTCTAAATTGAGTAGAACAAGGCCTGGTACACGGTGCATACAGAAAGATCCTTGTTGAATGAATGAATAGACCATATAATCAAAGGGCAAGCTTCAGGATGTTGTTTTTCTTCAATGAATTTCTCTTAACGTAAAACGTAAATGAAGGCGAAATTCTCTCTTCTTAAGTAAACTAAACTTGGAATATTCATGAGAGTTTATTTGACAGGGTGTGGTTCCCTGCTCTCTTCTTCTTTGTGCCTCCACATGTTCACCCCTGGCATGAGAGAGCCTGCATATTAGCAAGATAGAGTTGGGTTTCTGTGTAGGATGTTTACGAACGGGAACTTCATAGGATAGGGACAGCTAGCAATGATGAGCTGAACGGAGGCCAAGCAGGCCTTGAAAGGTAGTTGGATGGGAGCAAGAAGCGAGTATTTATCCCATCTTCTAGACTCCCAGGGTGTCCTTGATCAGCTGGTAGAAGGACCCTTTTTATTGATGGGCTGAGACTGCACACCCTTTCTGCCATTGCTAGCCACTCACAATTATAGAAATGCTTGCTCCTCCAGGTTTTGTTAAATGTGATCACATCTGCAATAGCAATACTGTTAATGACAACTACCATTTACTGAGTACCCGTTCTGTGAGATCCAAAAGTAGGAACCAATCCCTTAGCGCTCTCCTCCAGGGGGTTTCCCACTCTTTCAACCCCAGCACCCCCTGGTTAGTGCTCCCTCAGGCCAACACTTTGAAAAAACCTTCAAAACATAAAATTGTACTTGTGCACAATCTGTATTTTGTATTTGTCAAAACTGTGTGATTCCCAATTAGAATTTCTGGTTGACATGAGATAGCTGATGTTACTAACCAGCTGACTGGAGTTAATTCTAGCCAAAAGTACGGAGAGTTGATGACTGTCTTAATCCTTACAGCTTTGTGATAGAAAAGTCTTCTGAAAATTTGACTTTTGGGGGATACTGAAAATGACTTGAGGATGGCCATTCTTGTTTTCAGGAACTCTCTAGTGATTTGGGAACCTTAGTTCAGAACAATTCTTCTAGACTGACTTGTTCTTGCATTTTCATCTCAAACTTGGGGTACTGGCTTGAAGAGCAGGGTGGATGGGGTCACCTTGAGAGTTGAATAAGATCATCCAGTCCTTGTGCATTTTATCAAGGAAACCAACCAAGGAAGCTGCTGACATCGGGATGGCTGGACTTTCTAAAGGTGCCTTATTCTCCTGTTGTGATGGTGGAGGTGGGCAGAAGTTGTGTGATGACAGCCTCTGGAATCAGACGGCCTGGGGCCACGTCCTAGCTCTGCCAGTTTTAAAAAAACAGCTTGATCGAGGTATTATTTAAATATCTTAAAGACCAGCAATTTTAAGTGTACAGTTTAATGATTTGGGGGTTAATTTATAGAGCTGTGCAACCATCACCCCAATACAGTTTTAAAACATTTCCATGACCCCCAAAAGATTCCCCTTCCCCTGGGAAGCTGTGTACAGAGTGTATTTCAGAAAGCCTCTGCTGTTTAATCTACACCACGGAGGCACGGAGGAGAGTCTCAGTTCCATTGCAACCTCATGAGCACTGCATGCGAGCCTGATGCTCTATTTACTAGCTTATGTGTATGTAGTATTTTACTCATTCAGTTGACATTTCTAATAATGTATGAGGTTAAACATTCCACACATTTGCATACTAGTTGTATTTCTTCATTTAATTTTCTGCCCATGTCTTTTTTTTTTTTTTGAGATGGGGTCTCACTCTGTCACCTGGCTGGAGTGCAGTGGTGCGATCTCAGCTCACTGCAACCTCTGCCTCCTGTGTTCAAGCGATTCTCCTGCCTCAGCCTCCCAAGTAGTACAGGCGCCCGCCACTATGCCCGGCTAATCTTTTGTATTTTTATTAGAGACGGGGTTTCACCATTTTGGCCAGGCTGGTCTTGAACTGCTGACCTCGTGATTCGCCTGCCTCAGCCTCCCAAAGTACTGGGATTACAGGCATGAGCCACTGTGCCCGGCCAATTTTCTGCTCATGTCTGTTACTTCAAGATGTTCTTTGACCTTTGAGTTGCTCCCTTATGTCCTGCATCTAAGGCCTTGTTTGGACCCATATCAAGCTTGGTTTACTGACTTTATGTGTTTTCTCAGTGCTACCAGCTTTTCCATATTTGTTCTTGCCTCTGCTCCTCCTAGCTTTACTGTAGTGTTGTGGAGAGGGTACTCAGTGAACTTGGTTATTGCATTCTGTTCACTGTCTCCTCACCCACTTCAATCCCAGCCCCACTGCCCCACCAAGTACATGCACACTGCACTTAACTAAGTTAATTCACCTCCTTAATCTGAAGCCTCAGACCTTTCATCCACGGGCCCTTGGAGGGCTGCAGATGTGTTTTATTTTGTCTATGCGGTGTTAACATGGTTTCGGAGTTTGTTGCTTTATATTCCAGTTGTTATTTTCATAACATTTTTTATAAAAATGGAGACATGTCTTATTAGAAACTGGATTTTTTTTATCACTTAAAAAAAATCACAATTTGCCTACTAGGCCACAGTTCCACAGGACAGCTGGAGCTGGGTGGAGTGGACAGTTTCTGTTTCATGTTCTCCATGTTCCCTGTTCTCTATGTCCCACGAGTGGAGGCTTAGGGTCAGTCTCTATCCTTCAGGGTGTTTGTAGTGTCATTTCCTAAAGTAGAGCTGAGAGGAAAACAAGAAAATAAAAGCTAAATCAAGAGAGACAAGATTTCAAAGACAATGAAAGAGAGTGCATTTGTCTGTGGAAGTGAACATTATACCTGCTCTGTGTCTGTAGGGAAAAGTGTAGCACAAGGCCAGGCACGGTGGCTCACGCCTGTAATCTCAGCACTTTGGGAGGCCGAGGTGGCGGATCATGAGGTCAGGAGTTTGAGATCAGCCTGGCCAACATGGTGAAACCCTGTCTCTACTAAAAATACAAAAATTAGCCAGGCGCGATGACGGGCACCTGTAATCGCAGCTACTCAGGAGGCTGAGGCAGGAGAATTGCTTGAACCCGGGAGGCAGAAGTTGCAGTGAGCCGAGATCACACCACTGCACTCCAGCCTGGGCAACAGAGCAAGACTCTGTCTTGAAAAGAAAAAAAAAAAAAAAGTACAGCACAAAGTCCCTGCCCTGTTTCATGGACTTACATCACCTGCCTTCCACCACTGTGAGCATCTGAGTTTATGATCCCTGTTTTGGAGATCCAGTTCTCAAACTGTTTTTCTCTGCTTAGCAACTATGCAGAGTTGCTAGATGTATGGTAAGAATTTTTTTTTCTGGTTACTATTTATTGAGTTTTGAAAATCATGTATTTAGAAGTTTTACATCGGCATTAATGTTATTGCTATAATAATATCAGTCATTCAGTCACATTTCTCAAGTGGAGCAGAAAACAACAGCAAACATATGCTGGGGAAATAACATGTCTCCACGTTGAAGAATTTAATTTTTAAACGCTCCCATGTACTCTGTGTCAGGTCGGGCTGCTATAGAAAAATACCACAGACTGAGTGGTTTAAATGGCAGAATTTTGTTCTTACAGTTGTGGAGGCTGAGAAGTCCAAGATCAAGGTGGTGGCCCACTTGGTTCCTGGTGAGGGCTCTCTTGCCGGCTTATAGACAGTGGTCTGCTTGTTTGCTTGCTGTGCCCTCATGTGGTGGAGAGAGAGAGGGAGATCTCTTGTGTCTCTTCTTCTTCTTCTTTTTTTTTTTTTTTTTTTTTTGAGATGGAGTCTCGTTCTGTCGCCCATGCTGGGAGTGCAGTGGTGCGATCTTGGCTCACTGCAACCTCGGCCTCCTGGGTTCAAGCAATTCTCATGCCTCAGCCTCCCGAGTAGCTGGGATTACAAGCGGGTGCCACCATGCCTGGCTTATTTTTGTATTTTTAGTAGAGATGGGGTTTCACCATGTTGGCCAGGCTCCTCTAGAACTCCTGACCTCAGGTGATCCACCCACCCTGGCCTCCCAAAGTGCTGGGATTACAGGTGTGAGCCATCGCACCCAGCCTTGTGTCTCTTCATTTAAGGGCATTAATCTTACCATGAAGGCCCCACCCTCATGATCTCATCACCCCCAAAAGGCTCTATCTCCAAATATCATCACACTGGGGGTTAGGCCTTCAATACATGAATTTTGGCTGGGGCCAGGGGGTAGGTGATACAAGTCATAGCATCTTGCAAATAGAAAAATACACATTTATTTAAAAGCTTTGCTGAATTCACAGTCAGATATTGGTATGTAATTTCTCAATCTATTACATGGGGTTGGATATAGTTTTTGATGCTGAAAAGTAAAAGTGGGGAAATCTTGGTCTGTGACCAAGCACACAAATGAATTGCGGCTTACAGTTCTGGTAACGGAAGTCTAAATTATCCACCATCCAAAGAATAACTGCAGGATAAAATTTGTTTGAAGTTTCCAGATAATTTACATGCAATAAATTGCACAGAGCTTAAAAGTGTACAGTCCAGTGAGTTTTGATTAAGGCATGCCCTTCCGAACACATTGCTTATCAAAATATAGAACATCTTAATCAACCAGAAAAGTTCCCTATGACCCTTCTAGCCAATCCCTTCACCTCTACCAGGCAACAAGTGTTCTGATTTTATTTTACTGAAGATTATGTTTGCCTGTTCTTTAACTTCCTATAAATAACATCCTATGGTATGTACATGTAGAAGGCAGTTTCTATAATGGATCTCAATGATCCCCACCCGCTATGTTCACTCCCTTGTGTGATCTTTTCCCTTTGAATATGGAGTGGATCTAGGAACTTGCTTCTAATGCACAGAATGCAGCTAAAGTGATGGAATGGCCCTTCCGAGATCAGATTACAAGAGTGTGGCTTCTGCCTTCTCTCTCTGTCTGATTCTTCTCACTGGCTAGATCTGATGAAGCAAGCTGCTCTTGGGAGCTGCCCTGTGAGGAGGCCCACACAGCAAGGAACAAAGGAGGAGCAACCGGATCCTGCAACAAACAAGTGACTGGGCTGCTGTTTCCCCAGGTGAGCCTGGAGATGACGGCCACCTGGCTGGACTTTATTGCCACCTGTGAAAGACCTTGAGCTAGAGGATCCAGTTGATCCATGCCTGGATTCCTGACCCACAGAAATCATGAGATAATACATGGCATTGTTTAGGCAACTAAGTTTTGGGTTAATTTGTTATACAGAATAGATAACTAATGCAGTACTTTTCTGTGACTTCTTTTGCTTGACAAAATATGATTTATCCATGTTTTTGTGGGCAGAAGAGATATTCTCAAAGAGCTTATTAAAAGCATTAAACCTATTAAGATAGTCAAAAATTTCAGTATAAGAGAAAGCAGCAATACAGAGAGGTAAATTGAGCACTGAAGCCACATAAGCCCTGCATTTGCTGGACGGGGTGATGGGGAGCTTCAGTGGTGATGGTATGGGACAGAAATGAAGGTCAGGAAGAGTCTAATAGATGAACATTCCATAAGGCCGGGGTCCCAAAAGGTTTCTACATCCTCAGGGTAACCGTGGTCCAGAAGAAACATGCTCCCGGACTACAAGGAAATGCACCTTGGCACTGAGCAGAGGAGGTGGTGGTGGGTGGAGATGGCCAGAGAACCGTCCTATGGGTTTATCAACACAGGCCAGGGTGGGGTGTCATGGCAGACCAAATTCACTTCACCTGCATGGTTTAGAAAACTATGAATTTAGCCATGAATTTAATTTTCCAAATTGGAAGTTCCTCTAGGTATCTGGTAGAAGCAAAACCACCTCCTCTATGGAGGAATACAGCTTCATCAGAAAACCTCACAGAGAAATTTCCAAGCAAAATGGGATGTGCACAGGTGAAAATTATCAAGCACACAAGGAAACAGGGCACCATGAGTGAGACCTACCAGAGAGAGGAGACAGCAACAGAAAGGCTGATGTAGGTACTGGAATTGTTAAAGCCAGATCATAAGACAATTATGCTGAGGTAAAGAAAGTCAAAATTAAAAATATCTGCATGGAGCAGAGAACCATAAGAAGAAAAGCCTCAGTTTTGCAAAAAAGAAAAGGAACTTTTAGAAATGAAGTTAAGGTCATTAAAATAAAAACCACAATGGGCTGACTTAACAATGATCAGACACACCTGAAGAGATAATCAATGACCATGAAGGACAGAGTGAGCAGGTCGAATTTCTGACTAATCAGAGTCCTGAAACCATCTCTAAATACAGAGAAGGGAAAGACCAAAAACCACATAGAAAAACGGGCAGGAGAGAGAAAATTCACAAAGAAAACAGTGAAAATAGCTCTTAGGCTTAAGAAAATCTCTCCAACCTGGCTGATAAGATAATTTAAACTTAAAACAACATTGGATGCTACTTCTTACCTACTGGGTGGCAAAAGTCCCAAAGCTTGACAACATGCTTTACTGCTAAGGCAGTGGGAAAACGAACATGCTCACGTGTTGTTGGCGTGAATGCAAAATGAAGGCAAATCTGACAATATCTAGCATAAAGACGTATGAATCTATGTTCTGGCCAGCAATTCTGCTTCTAGGGTGAGCGCAAGGCTGTTGATTGCAGCACAGAGTGAGCTGAGAGTGAGCACAGGCAGAAATGAGAGAAGGCCAAGGACTGATCCTGTGGCCTCTGCAGGGATGACTTCAGTATCCTGGCTGCCCTTGCTTCAGTTGTCACACCCACCCTCCATCCCACCCCCAGAAGGACATCTTCCCTCAGCATCCAGTGGCCTTTTAAAAGCATAATTCAGAGTATAGAACTCTGTTTCCTAAATCTGTGCAATGGCTTCTGGTTGCTCTGAAAGTCCACACTCACCCGTAGGGCATGGCTCCTCCCTCCTGCTCTGGCCTTTTCCTCCCTTACTCTCTGTGGCCAGTCCCTCTGCTGTGTTGTCCTAGTGTTTTTTTTTTTTTTGAGATGGAGTCTTGCTCTGTCGCCCAGACTGGAGTGCAGTGGCACAATCTCAGCTCACTGCAACTTCCACCTCCCAGGTTCAAGCGATTCTCCTGCCTCAGCCTCCGAAGTAGTTAAGATTACAGGCATGCTCCACCACACCCAGCTAATTATTGTATTTTTAGTAGGTCTCAATCTCCTGACCTTGTGATCCGCCTGCCTCGGCCTCCCAAAGTGCTGGGATTACAGGCGTGAGCCACCATGCCTGTCCTGTCCTAGTTCTTATTCCTCAAATACGTGGATTTTTCTCACTTCAGGCATTGTACTAGCCGTTCCATTAGCCTGGAGGGGGAAACTCATCTTTGCGGAGCTGGCTCCTTTTCATTCAAATTTCAACTAAAAATGCCACCTCTTCATGGAATTCCTTCCTGAACACCCTCTCTGAAGCATTCCCTGAGTAGCTACTCAAACACATCATTCAATAGTGCTTTTTCATAGCACTGATGTTATCTTTTTTTTTTTTTTGAGACAGAATCTCACTCTGTCACCCAGGCTGGAGTGCAATGGCGTGATCTTGGCTCACTGCAACCTCCGCCTCCCAAGTTCAAGTGATTCTCCTGCCTCAGCCTCCCAAGTAGCTGGGATTACAGGTGCCCACCACCAGGCCTGGCTAATTTTTGTATTTTAAGTAGAGATGAGGTTTCACCATGTTGGCCAGGCTGGTCTTGAACTCTTGACTTCATGTGACCCGCCTGCCTTGGCTTCCCAAAATGTTGGGATTATGGGCGTGAGCCACTGCCCCATCTGATGTTATCTTATTTATCTGCTCATCATCTGTCCCTGCTACCAGAATCTAAGCTCCAAACCAGAGAGACCCTCTGTGGTCACTATTAACTTCCTAATGCCTTCAAGAGGGGACTCCACCTGGTAGGCAGTCAATACATAGTGCTAAATGTATGAATAATTGCCTTGGATTCTGCATCCTTTTTAACTTTCCCAAATTCAGGGAGAGAACTGTGGGCTGCCATTTTATATTTGTCCAGGCTTTGTTTTTTTCCCTTCATGTCCACCTTTTACTTTTTCACCAGCTCCTCCACAGTAACAAAAGCCTTATTCAAAGGCCTGTGAGTCAGAGGATTATGTAAAGAAGTTACTTTAATCTAGATGCCCCTGACTTGATGGAACACGTCCAGTGACTCCTGGAAGAAGATCTGGAGGTCTCCAGAGCAGCGTGGTCCCAGGAGGCATACACAGAGAGCCACGGCCAGGGCTGAAACAGTCTGTTGAGTGCAGCCATGGGGGACGTCCTGGAACAGTTCTTCATCCTCACAGGGCTGCTGGTGTGCCTGGCCTGCCTGGCGAAGTGCGTGAGATTCTCCAGATGTGTTTTACTGAACTACTGGAAAGTTTTGCCAAAGTCTTTCTTGCGGTCAATGGGACAGTGGGCAGGTAAGGGAGTGTTCCATCTCATGTTTTTTTGCTGCTGTTGTTCCTGCTTGTTACTATTATTATTATTTTTGAGACAGACACTTGCTCTGTCACCCAGGCTGGAGTGCAATGGCGCGATCTTGGCTCACTGCAACCTCCGCTTCCCGGGTTTAAGCAATTCTCCTGCCTCAGCCTCCCAAGTAGCTGGGATTATAGGCGCCTGTCACCACACCTGGCTAATGGTGTTTTTTTTTTTTTTTTGAGACAGAGTCTCACTCTGTTGCCCGGGCTGGAGTGCAGTAGTGCGATCTCTGCTCACTGCAACCTCTGCCTCCTGGGTTCAAGCAATTCTCCTGCCTCGGCCTCCCAAGTAGCTGGGATTACAGGCACACACTACTACGGCTGGCTAATTTTTTGTATTTTAGTAGAGACAGGGTTCCCCCATGTTGGCCAGGCTGGTCTCGAACTCCTGACCTCATGATTTGCCCACTTTAGCCTCTCAAAGTGCTGAGATTACAGGCGTGAGCCACCGCACCCAGCCAACGTTTTGTATTTTTAGTAGAGACAGGGTTTCACCCTGTTGGCTAGGCTGGTCTCAAACTCTTGACCTTGTGATTCACCCGACTCGGCCTCCCCAACGGCTGGGATGACAGGCGTGAGCCACCGCACCCAGCCCCTGCTTATTATTATTTATGTCTCAAAAGGGATATTGCATTTTTTTCTCTTTGAGAGCAAAGAAGTAATTCCTTTGGGTAATTTTAATTGGGGGGATTAGAAAAGTGTGAGTGAAATTAGAATGGTCTGCAACACAAGCTGTAGGGCATTAGGGGAACACTAGGGCAGAAGGCTACCCAGCCCTTGCTAAGCACTTATCCTCTCAACCCCATTAGATGAGTTTTCTTCTTTTGGGAGTTTCCTGCTAATACAAATAATAAATAATGCAGAAATTTCTGCATCCTCATCTCTAAATTTACAAAAAGCCCAGGGTGCTTTCACTTTACTAAAAGGTGTTTCCAAATTTTGAAATCTAAATAATTTTAACTCATTGTATTAAAAAAAGGATCCAAGTGTTTTTAAGAAATGAAGGTGTTACAAAATCAAGGCAACGCATAACTCTATGGAGCCATGTTTTCAGGATGGTATGGAATGGAATCTGGGTCTGGCTGGTGTCAATTAATGCTGCCTCCCCATGGGATTTATCTACTGGAACGCCCATGCAGAACTTCAGCCCTATGACTGAAGTTAAGGTGAAGAGCATGAGGCCATGGTTTCAGCATCTCCTTGAATATCTGAAATGCTAAAGTCTTTGCAGGGCCTTATATTTCAAATTTGGACACACACACACACACACACACACACACACAAAGAATCCAATGACAAAAATGATTAAGTGACTTTAGAGATATTATCTAGGCAAAATAGGAAAGATTCTAATATGCTTATAGGGCTGCCAGATAAAATACAGGATACCCAGTTAAATTTAAATTTCAGAAAAAAAGGAATACTTTTTTAGTATAACTCACATATGGCATGAGACATGCATTAAACAATTCATAATTTACCTTAATTTCAAATTTAAGTGGGCATTCTGTATCCTTATTTGCTAAACCTGGCAACCTTAAAAACTTAGCAATGGAAATTAAAAAAATTACCGTGTGAGAAATTGTTTGGGATGACAAATGGATTTTTGACTTCTGCGTCTTATATTTGCTGTGTGCGTGTGTGTGTGTGTGTGTGTGTGTGTGTGTGTGTGTGTGTGTGTCCTCTTGGGGTATTATGCTGTCAGGAGTGAACTTGCTTGAACTTGCTCAGCAGCTTGACCTGAGTGTTCTGGATTTAAATACCCCACTCCACACAGATTCAGATGCCCACGTGTGGGTGGACGTAGCACTCTGCACAGCTGCTGTCGTTTGTGTAGGGAAAGCCCTTCTAAAAACCTACATTCTAAAAGAAGTTCAAATGGGGACAGAGACTAAGAGCATTTGGTGACTCAAAGGAAAAACATGATCTTAACCTGTTTTTATGAGTCAAGATGGATAGAGTTACCTCTAGCAGGAGTAAAATATGTTTGGGCAGAGGCAGATATCAGGGAGATAATATATTTCAAGTAGGGGACAAAAAAGAAACGCAAGAACTAGAGGCTAAATTTTTAATTCCTCAGATAGAGTACCCTGAGCTCTGTGCTGGATTTCCTAATTCTTTTCTTAGTGTATATTCATAGACTCAGGGCCCCAAAGTCAGACAGCCTGGGTTCAAATCCTTGTGTCATCATTTTTAGCAGTGTGACCTTAATCAAGTTACGAACTTTTTCCCCTTGGCTTCCTCATTTATAAACTAAGGATAATGATGGTCCCTGCATTTTAGGTTTGTTTTGAACATTAAATGAGATGATGCATCTAAAACACTAGAAGCAGTACATGGCAAGAAGTGAGTGTGTGACCGTTATCCGTCGTTATTATTGATGGTATCATCTTGCCTGTAGTGTAGGCCCTGTATTGGGTGAATTGAAGATTCCCCACAGGGAGGGGAAGGTAAGGCCCAAGATGCCCTGAGCATAGTTCCTCCACCCAGAGCTGCAGACGGTGTGCATGGAGCCTCTTAGAAGTTCCTAAACGAACAGACACATCATTAGTAATTATTAAAGCCAGTGTGGTCCGTGAGGCTTGTACAGCTTGGCCTGCACTCACTCTCAGGTGAGCTAAATGTACCTTTTGTTCACACTTTTTGAAAGCATGCCCTTTAATTGTTGTTGCAAGGGTAAATTGTAAGTTTTACGATATACCGAATTGTAGTGAATTTTGAAATTGTGACGTTCTCACGAATGAAGCGTATACTAGAGCTCAATCATTAAATATGTCTGTAATGTTGATATGAAAGGACTAGCAGACCTATTTGACTGTTGTATATTAACAGATAGTTCTATTGAGTACAAATTCTTCAGGTTTCTTCATTTCACTGCATTTTCTTTTTGCATTTTGGTATTTTCCTCTTTGCTAAATTCCCTACCTTCCATAGGCCTTTAATTGCTGCTGTGGGGTGGGGGTGAGAAGTGGGCAGAGCTCCACTTTTAGAAGGAACCTTGAAATGTCCTTACAATGACAGATGGGTGCCTGGGCAGAGAGATAATGGGGAACACTGCCTGCCCTTGTGGGGTGAAGGCTCACAATATCTGCATCCTCATGGGGCCTGCAGGAAATGTTCCCTGGCTGCGGATCTGTTTCATTTTGGAACATGTTTTCCACAGTCTCGCCAATCCCTCCAAAACACCAACTAACCAACCAACCAACCAACCAACAAACCAACCAACCAACCAACCCACCCACCAACCAAACAATCCTTTCACCTGAATGTTTAGTGAGGGGCTTCAAGGGCGTGGGCTGGAGAGCAAAGGGATGAACCTTTGGAGTACTGACTGCCCTGGAGACTAGGCTTGTGAGAAAACGTGGCCAGTGAGAAAGAGAAGTTTAAAGATGAATTCTGTCTTTTAAAAGCATTCTTGCTTTTCACAGTGATCACTGGAGCAGGCGATGGAATTGGGAAAGCGTACTCGTTCGAGGTAAGCTATCTTCCTGGGGACTTTCTCCTCCCTTGTATTGAACAATCACAGTCCTGAGACATCCACCCCAACACTAGATTTTTGAATATAAAAGCAGTATGCATTCATTTAAAGGAGAAAATATACTCTATGGAAAAGCAAACAAAAATAATAATCTCACTCCCTGGATCTCTTTTTTTAAACACAATGATATTCAAAGGTGACAGTACCTTGCCTTAGGGATTGTTTTGGGAATTTGTGGGGCATTGGTATTTTCTAGTGTAATTGTGCCATATCAGCTTATATACTTTAATTTTTTCAAAACATTATAAACTACTTTCCTTTTATTTATTATTTACATTAAGCTAGGGCATATATTGATTTTTTAAAAGTCACTTGCTTAGGCAAAACATATTATCAGTGACTTTCATTTCAAGGACATTAATGGCATTATAGCATATTCTATAAAAAGAAGGTCTAATAGAACTGAGAGTCACTAGAATACAATTAGTATTTTTGAGTATTTGCTTCCACGCTTATTTCTCTGTAGATAGATAGATTGATAATTATACTTTAAAAAATGCATTTATAACATATGTGGTTTTATATGCTATTATAATTATAAATTTCACATTTTTATTAATGAAACATTGTTTCCTGGAATTCCTATGTATTTTATTTCTTCCTTATGCCTATTACACTGATGTCTAGAACCATGTCAAATACAATAGAAGAATAGAAAGAATTCTAGAAACTGTAAGAGGAAAGCTGTTTAAAAATCAATAACACCAGCTGGGCACGGTGGCTCACTCCTGTAATCCCAGCACTTTGGGAGGCCGAGGCAGGTGGATCACCTGAGGTCAGGAGTTCGAGACCAGCCTGGCCAACATGGTGAAACCTCATCTCTACTTAAAATACAAAAATTAGCAGGGTGTGTTGGCAGGTGCCTGTAATCCCAGCTACTTGGGAGGCTGAGGCAGGAGAATCTCTTGAACCTGGGAGGCAGAGGTTGCAGTGAGCTGAGATCGCACCATTGCACGCCAGCCTGGGCAATAGAGCAAGACTTTGTCTCCAAAAAAAAAAAAAAAAAAAAAAGAAATCAATAACACCTTAAAAATATAATGAAAAGCTTTTCCATTTGCAATAGAAAAATAAGTAATCCTAGAAATACAGTTAACATAAAATTTGTAGGTCTTTTTCAAGAAAACTGTAAAATTCCATTGAGAAATATGAGATATTCCAAATAAGAGAAAAAAATACCACATTCTTGAAGAGAAAGATATTTGAAACCTAACAGTTTCTCCTAAATTTATCTCAAATCCCAGATTATACATACCATTATTTTTTAAATGTTACATTAGTTGTGAGCATTTTCTTATGTCAAAACTGTGGGTTTTTTTTTTTTTGAGACACTTGCTCTGTTGCCCAGGCTGGAATGCAGTGGTACAAACACTGCTTACTGCAGCCTTGACCTCCTGGGCTCAAGCAATCCTCCCACCTCAGCCTCCCGAAGCAATGTGTCCTCCTGGAACTACAGGCTCATGTATTTTTTGTAGAGACAGGGTTTCACTGTTCCTCTGTTGTCCAGGCTGGTCTTGAACTCCTGAGCTCAAGTTATCTGCCTGCTTTGGCCTCCCATAGTGCTGGGATTACAGGCATGAACCACTGCAGCCTGCCGAAAACCCTGATTTTTAAATGGCAACATAATATTCCATCAAATGGATGGTCCATAATTTAACCATTTTCTTGGTAAAAATTTTAATTTTTTTCTGAATTTTTCTTCATTTTATATAAAATTGGGAGTAAATACAGAAACTTTTCTGCTTATATCCAATTATTTTGGGAGCTATTTTCTTGAGGTGGTCTTGCTGGGTTAGAGGTTGTGAATATATGTAAGGTTCCAGTGCTTTCCACTATGTTATAGTAATTACACCCATTTCTGAGACAGATGTGGTCTTCATCAGCTTCAGCTGCAGAATGAATTCCATAAGCTGAGTGGCCTAAGCAAGCATGTATTTCTTAGGGTTCTGGAGGCTGGGAAGTCCAAGAGCGAGGTGCCAGCAGATCTGATGTCTGGCAAGGGCTCTCTTCTTGGTTTGCAGACAATTGTCTTCTTGATGTAGCTTCACACGGCAGAGAGCAGAGAGAGGGGAAGCAAACTCTCTGATGTTTCTTCTTCTTTTACTTTTTGGAGACAGGTTCTTGCTCTGTTGCTCAGGCTGGAGTGCAGTGGTGCAAACAGCTCACTGCAGCCTCAACCTCCTGGGCTCAAGTGATACTCCCACTCAGCCTCCTGAGTATCAGGGACTACGGGCGTGTGCCATCACGCCTGGCTAATTTTTAAATTTTTTGTACTGACAGGGTTTCACCATGTTGCCCAGGCTGGTCTTGAACTCCTGGGCTCAAGTGATCTGCCTGCCTCGGCCTCCCAAAGTACTGGGATTACAGACATGAGCCACCATGCCTGGCCTGGTGTTTCTTCCCATAAGGACATTAATCTCATCGTGAAGGCCCCACTCTCATGACCTGATTACCTCCTGAAAGCCTTACCTCCAAGTGTCATCTCATTGGGGGTTAGGATTTCAGCATATGAATTTTGGGGGGGCCACAAAACATTCGGTTCATATGAAAAATGCATTCAACTACAGTACAGTACCCATGCCTTTTCTTGTCCCAGACGGCTTGCATCATAACAAAGCCATCTTATGTGAAACAGCAGTGCAAGGCATCTGGGACGCACTTGCTAGAAACTTGGCGTATGTTAACAAACCTCAAGCATGTCAGTTAAAAAAGCTCCTCGTGGGCTGGGCGCAGTGGCTCACGCCTGTAATCCCAGCACTTTGGGAGGCCGAGGAGGGTGGATCACCTGAGGTCAGGAGTTCCAGACCAGCCTGGCCAACATGGTGAAACTCCGTCTCTACTTACAATACAAAAATTAGCTGGGTGTGGTGGCGGGTGCTTGTAATCCCAGCTACTTGGGAGGCTGAGGCAGGAGAATTGCTTGAACCCAGGAGGTGGAGGTTGCAGTGAGCTGAAATTGTGCCATTGCACTCCAGCCTGGGGGACAAGAGTGAGACTTCGTCTGAAACAAAAACAAAAACAAAAACAAAAACAAACCAAAAAACTCCTTGTGGCCCGGTGTGGTGGCTCACGCCTGTAATCCCAACACTTTGGGAGGCCAAGGTGGGCAGATCATGAGGTCAGGAGTTCCAGACCAGCCTGACCAACGTAGTGAAACCCCGTCTCTACTAAAAATACAAAAATTAGCCAGGCGTGGTGGTGCTTACCTGTAATCCCAGCTACTCAGGAGGCTGAGGCAGGAGAATCGCTTGAACCCAGGAGGTGAAGGTTGCAGTGGGCCGAGATTGTGCCACTGCATACCAGCCTGGCGACAGAGCGAGACACCATCTCAAAAAAAAAAAAAAAAAAAAAAAGCTCCTCGTGTCTGACCCCCGTCCTTCATCTGCTGCTGATGATTTTTTGACACTGACCCTTCTATCTCATCTCTGTTTATTTTTAAGATAAGGAGTTATTTGCTTTTATTCTAATTCATGTATAGCAACTTACTGGTGAACAGGAGTGGCTGACACTCGGTAGATGAGTGGTCATATTTGAGTGTTGAAGTTGGAGAGACCACCCAGCAGTCACTTTTCAAAACAATGTGTCTTCCATTCCCCCAAATCAGAAGGAAAATGTTTCTAGCTATTTGCATTAAAACTATATAACCTTTTATATAACGATTTCTCACCCTGGACCAGGTTTTGGAAAGACCTAATATGTCAACCAAAAGGTTCTTCACCTTACCTCTAAGTTCCCTGGATTGCCAAGCAATTCTTCACGATTCTCCAGAATCTTTTCTCAAGTTCATGCTGACCTGACCTTCCTGTGGTCCCTTGCTATCGCAAGACTCAGACACTCTTCTTTCTGCTTAGGGGAGACCCCATGTGGAAGCTGTCCTTAGCCATTCATTTCTTTATTGTTTCACAAAGCAATGGCCCTGGGGGTCAGGAGCTGTGGGTTCCAGTCTTCACCATGATGCTGTCTGGAGATTTTGGACAAGTTACACATCCATTCTGCGCTTCTGGGTCTTTGCCAACTTTGTGTTCTGTCCTTGATGAATTCTTGCTTTGTACTTCTCCTTGTGGACTTTTTTCCTCTTTGCCTTTTTATTTAATTTTTTTTTTTTGTAGAGATGAGGTCTCACTTTGTTGCCAGGCTGTTCTCAAATTCCTAAGCTTAAGCAATCCTCTTGCCTTGGCCTCCCAAAGTGCTGCGATTATGGGCGTGAGCCATTGTGCCCAGCCTCTTTATGTTCTTTACTGAGGCTGTGTTAAACAATTTTCTGGGCTCCCAACCTCTCCTTCATGTAGGCTTTTCTCCCTTCCAGAGATCCTGTTCTCTCCCTGCTAACTGCTGCTCCAAGGAGTGCAGCTGAGCCTGAGATGCTGTGGACTGTAATGGGTAAAAGCCTGAGGTTGGGAATTGATCAGATGTGTGTCAAAGCCTCCCTCCAAGGCTCACTGGCTGAATTTCCACATCAATGAGCTGGAAGTGATAACAGTCTCACCTAGGTTTTTGTAAGGGTTAAATAGGATGAGACAGGCAAAATGGTTTGCTCAGAGTAAGCTTTCCAAGGTTAGGTTTTGTTCTTATTGGATATTTAAACTGTGATTCCTTTCACATATACGGCTTTTTTTATTTTTTGAGAATGTATTAGTCATGGTTCTCGAGAGAAACAGAATCAATAGGATGTGTGTCACACACACACACACACATACACACACAGACACACAGACACATAGAGACAGCTGGGAGTGGGGGCAGGGGAGGAAGGGAGAGAAAGAGAGTGGGGAGGAAGGGAGAGGGAAGGAGACAGAGAGAGAAGAGTGGGAGAGGAAGGGAGGGAGAGGGAGAGGAGAGAAAGGTTGATTTATTTGAAGGAATTGACGCACATGGTTATGGAGGCTGGTGTGTCCCAAATCTGCAGTGTAGGCTGGCAGGTTGGAGACCCAAGAAGAGGCAAAGCTGCAGTTCAAGTCCACAGGCCATCTATCAGGTGACAGAATTCCCTGTTCCTCCAGGAAGGTCAATCTTGTTTTCTTAAGGCCCTCAGCTGACGAGACGAGGCCCACCCTCCTTATGGAGTGTAATATGCTTTACTCAAAGTCTACTAATTTAGATGTTAATCTCATATAAAGATAGCTTTACAGAAACATAATAATGTTTGATGGAGTAGCTGGGTATCATGACCTAGTCAAGTTGAAACACAATGTTCACCGCTACAGAGAAGAAGAATATCTTGTATTTACCAGTATTTTCTCTTCCTGTTGCTCTTTCTTTCTTCCCAATGTCCCAAGATTCCTTTTTAAGTCACTTTATTTCTGTTTATAGAATTTCCTTTAGCTATTATTTTAGGGTTGGTCTGCAGGCAACAAATTATCTTAGTTTTTCTTCATTCGAGAATGGCTTCATTTCCCCTTCATTCCTAAAAGATTGTTTTGCTAGATACAGGATTTGCAGTTGACAGTCCTTTTCTTTCAGCACTTGAAAAATACTGTGGCACTTCCTTCTGGCCTCTGCGGCTTCTTATGAGAAATCTGATATTATTTGAATTGCTTTTCCCCAATAAACAGGGGAGTGTTTCTCTCTTGGCTTTCAAAATTTTTTCTTTGTCTTTATTTTTCAAAAGTTTAAATACAATGATTCTTGGCATGGATTTCTTTGGTTTTACCCGTTTGGGGTTTACTCAGCCTCTTGAATCTGTAGGTTTACATCTTTTCACAAATTTGGGCCCGGTGTGGTGGCTCCTGCCTGTAATCCCAGCATTTTGGGAGGCTGAGGCGGATGGATCACCTGAGGTCAGGAGTTCAAGACCACCCTGGCCAACATGGTGAAACCCTGTCTCTACGGAAAATACAAAAATTAGCTGGGCATGATGGTGGGCACCTGTAATCCCAGCTACTTGGGAGGCTGAGGCAGAACTGCTTGAATCCAGGAGGCAAAGATTGTGCCATTGCACTCCAGCTTAGGTGACAAGAGTGAGACTCCATCTCAAAAAATAAATAAATCAATAAAAACAAATTTCAAAAACTTTCATCCATTATTTATTCAAATACTTTTTCAGCCCTGCCCTCTTCTCTCCTTGTAACACTCCAATGGACATGAATATTAGACCTTTTTATAGTTCAATGGGCCCTTGAGATTCTGTTCAATTTTTTCAGTGTATTTTTTCTCTGTTGCTTATATTGGGTAATTGCTTTTTTTTTAATCTTCAAGTTCATTGATTCTTTTCTTAGTCCCACTCTTTCTGCTACTGAGCCCATCCATCAAGGTTTTAACTTTAGTGATTATATTTTTCAGTTCAAGTATTTTCATGTGGTTCTTCCTTACATCTTCTATTTCTTTGCAGAGATTTTTCTATTTTTGCCATTTGTTTTGTGTGTTTATAATGGTTTATTGAACTTTTTTTTTTCTTTTTTTGAGATGGTGTCTCACTCTGTCACCTAGGCTGGAGTGCAATGGTGCGATCTTGGTTCACTGCAACCTCTGCCTCCCGGGTTCAAGTGATTCTCCTGCCTCAGCCTCCCAAGTAGCTGGGATTACAGGTGCCCACCACCACGCCCAGCTAATTTTTGTATTTTTAATAGAGACGGGGTTTCACCTCGTTGGCCAGGCTGGTCTCAAACTCCTGACCTCAAGTGATCCGCTTGCTGTGGCATCCCAAAGTGCTGGGATTACAGGCATGAGCCACATCACCCAGCCTACTGAAGCATTTTTATGCTCCAAACCTTGTCAGATAATTCTAATGTCTGTGTCATCTCTATGTTGGCATCTGTTGTTAGTATTTTCTCATTCAGATTAAGATCTTGGTTCTTTGAATGATGGGTGGCTTTTGACTGAATCCTCAACATTTTGGTTTTACGTTATGGGACTCTGGATCTTATTTAAATCTTTGGTTTATATTGGTCCATACTGACATTGCTGTGGGAGGGAGAGGAGGGGGAACTGACTAGTTTCTACCAGGTGGAGTGGGGGCTCAATTCTCCACTTGTGGAGAGCTGCCTACTTCTTACTGTTGGGTGGGGGTGGGGTTCTGGCTTCTTCCTGGGCCTCTGCTGATACCACTCTGGCTGGGAGGGGCAGAAACACTTCTTTACTGCTCTCCACAAGGCCTCCGATGACACTTGGGAGAGGTGGCCTCGTTCCACTGGGCAGTGGTGAAAGTCCTGGCTCTCCATGAGGCCTCCTCTGTTATCATCCCTGGCAAAGGAAGAGGACAAAGAGGGGAAGAGGTGCCTTGTTACTGCCAGGTGGGGGTGGAATTCAGATCTCCACAGACATTCGCGGGGATGGTGGCAGCTGCAATGAAAGTCCCAGGATCCTTGCTACAGAGCCTCACCAGCGTGGAAGACCCAGCTCCCCACCCAGCCTTTACTGGCAGGGGTGTGGGTGGGGTCATAGTTTTTCCCAAGGTGTTTGCTTGGAGTAGACAGTTGCTGTCTAAATGTTTTCTGTCTCACTAGACATCCCCTTTTCTGGTCCTCTAGTTAGAGAGGGCAGGCTTTTGTTGAGACTTTTTTTTTTTGAGACAGAGTTTCGTTCTTTTGCCCGGTCTCACTCTGTCACACAAACTGGAGTGCAGTGGCGCGATCTCGGCTTACTGCAAACTTTGCCTTCTGGTTTCAAGTGATTCTCCTGCCTCAGCCTCCCGAGTAGCTGGGATTACAGGCACCCGCCACCATGCCTGGCTAATTTTTGTATTTTTAGTAGAGATGGGGTTTCACCATGTTGGCCAGGCTGGTCTCAAACTCCTGACCTCAGGTGATCCACCTGCCTTGGCATCCGAAAGTGCTGGGATTACAGGTGTGAGCCACTGTGCCCAGCGAGACTTTTTAATAACTGCATCTGTTGGCATTTCTAAACTGCCAGTTTCTCCAGCAATGTCTGGGATATGTGGAAAAAAAAAAAAAAAAAAAAAAAGCCCAGGAAATACCACAGTGCCCTTCCTCAGGTTCCGAGGCCCCTAAATGAACCTCCTCTCACATCTGGAGTCTTCTTCTCTTTGTTTTATGTATTGTGTCCAGGTTTTTTTTGATGGACTTAATGGTGGGAATAGGGAAAGCACTTCTCCTCCGCCCTTCCAGAAGCTTATTCTTCACTGCATTTAACCGAATCTGCGTTTACATTTAGAGTGGCAGGAGAGGCTTTGCTTCCTGTTAAAAGAATTTCAAGCATTACTTGAGGCAGGTGGGAAAAAATTGTGGAGAGGGATGGGCCTGGGGTGGAGGGAGGAAGAGAGTGGGCCCACTCTTCCATACCTCTGAAGCCACTGCTCACCCTATTTTTCACACCGTTTCCACTCCTGTAGCACCTGAATTCAAGCCCTTTCTTTTATTCTTGGCCACACAGAGGAAGCCCTGTTTTTCCTGGCATTCCCACTACCCGCTGTAGATTAGCAGCTACAAGCACCTTCCTTGACCCAGGCCCCAACATACAGGAGAAGGAAAACAAGGCCCATTCATCCCACGGCAGCCGTTCTGCATCAGGATGGGGCCCCGGCAGTGAATTCTGGGAAAGGGAGGCTTTTGCAGCTTAACTTTCTGAAAAGGGGGTGGCAAAACCTGTGTATGGAGCCTGTCAGCCTGGACATTCTGGAAATAAGATTGAGTCCTGTTCAAGCAGACAAAGGGAACAATGCCAGCCCAGACAACCAAGTGTTCTCGGGCGCCCCCCTCTTGGCCCAGACCACTTCACATGGAACCTCTAAAAGGCCTGTGGCTCTTGAGAGAAACAAGCCCACCAGGCAAAGAGCATCCTTTGTGCTGAAAATGCAAATGGACTTTCATTTATTGGGCAATCTCCTCTTCAGGAGGCTGATGAAGTGAATTGGGAGACAAAGGTGCTTAATTCTTTAGCCATCCTGTTGATGGATTCCAAGACTCAAAAATGGAGGCTAGAGGTGGGGGTAGGGAATTTTCCATGGAGAGAACAAGAGAGAAGACTTGGGGATGTCATTGGCAGGGGTCAGTCTTGAAATAGGACTGTCCTTGGTTTAGTGTTCTTTTTAAAATGAAAAAACATTTTTAATGGACTTTATTTTTTAGAGCAATTATAGGTTCATAGAAAAATTGAGCAGATGGTATAGAGGTTTCCCATAGGCCTTCTGCCCCCACACACGCAGTCTCCCCCATTACCCACTTCCATACACACACACATACACACACACACACACACACACACACACCAGGAAATCAACTGTTTAAAGAAACAATTGATGCAGCATCTAGTGACTGCCTATCTTTTTTTTTTCTGTTTTTGTTTTTTTTTAGGGATAGGGTCTTGCTCTGTCATCCAGGCTGGAGTGCAGTGGTGGGATCACGGCTCATTGCATTCTTGACCTCCTGGGCTCAAGTGACCCTCTCACCTCAGCCTCCTGAGCAGCTGGGACTACAGGCTGTGCCACCATGCTCGGCTAATTTTTTAATTTTTTTTTTTTTTTTGAGACGGAGTCTTGCTCAGTCACCCAGGCTGGAGTGCAGTGGCGCAATTTCGGCTCATTGCGAGCTCCGCCTCCCGGGTTCACGCCATTCTCCTGCCTCAGCCTCCTCAGTAGCTGGGACTACAGGCGCCCACACCACGCCTGGCTAATTTTTTTTGTATTTTTAGTAGAGATGGGGTTTCAACATGTTAGCCAGGATGGTCTCGATGTCCTGACCTTGTGATCCTGCGGCCTGGGCCTCCCAAAGTGCTGGGATTACACGCATGAGCCACCGAGCCTGGCCTAATTTTTTAATTTTAATTTTTGTAGAGATGGTGGTGGTGGTGGGGGTGTCTTGCTGTGTTGCCTGGGTTGGTCTTGAACTCCTGGCCTCAAGTGATCCTCCTGCCTCGGCCTCCCAAGGCTCTAGGATTACAGAAATGAGCTATCTCACTTGGCCTAATTGCTTGTCTTTTTAATGGAGTGAAACCTCACTGTGGAGATTGCAGGTTGGGGGGAACTTGTGACAATACCTTTGTGGTGTTAACACCTTCAGCTCTCCAGAGTCATGGCTGAAAATCACCTGTGAGAGTGAATATAATTGACTTTTTAAAACTTCAGGATCGATGGTGTCATATACATGTGGGTCAGTTTTTTAATCTTGAACAGCTTTTTGAGATATAATTTATATACCATAAAATTCACCCAAGTGTACACTTCAGTAATTTTTAGGAAATTAACCGAGTTGTTTATCATCACCACCATCCGGTTTTGGAACATTTCCATCACTCGAGTAAGATCAGGTACACCTGGTTGCTATTAATCCTGCATTCCTATCCCTAGCCCTAGGCTGCCACTGATCTTTTCTAGACATTTCATATGAAGGTCACCATACAACATGCCGTTCTCCGTGACTGTTTTCTTCCACTTAGCATATTGTTTTGGAGGTTCATCCATATTGTAGCATGTGTCAATAGCTCTTTAATTTTTACTGCAGAATAATATTCCATTGTATGGATATACTCCATTTTGTTTATTCATTTTCCAGTTGACAACTGTTGGAGTTGTTTCCATTTTTTTTTTTTTTTTGGCTATTATGAATAATGCTGCTGTGAATATTGACACTTGAGTTTTTGTGTGGACACTTTTCTCTTTCCTTTGGGTAGATTACCTAGCAGTGGAGTCTCTGGGTTGCAAGGTAAAGTTGTCTTTTTAAAAAATTTTATTTATTTATTTATTTATTTATTTAGAGACGGAGTCTCGCTCTCTTGCCCAGGCTGGAGTGCAGTGGTGTGATCTCAGCTCACTGCAACCTCTGCCTCCCGGGTTCAAGTGATTCTCCTGCCTCAGCCTCCCTGGTAGCTGGGACTACAGGCGTGTGCCACCATGCCTGGCTAATTTTTTGTATTTTTAGTAGAGATGGGGTTTCACTGTGTTAGCCAGGATGGTCTTGATCTCCTGACCTCGTGATCCGCCTGCCTCGGCCTCCCAAAGTGCTGGCATTACAGGCGTGAGCCACCACGCCCGGCCAGTAAAGTTATCATTAAGGTCGGCTGGCGACAGTCACATTTCTGCAGCAGTTGGGTAGCAGCTGGAGCACCCTTGTCTGCTCCACCCAGTGGCTGTGTGTGTTGGTGTGTTCGGTCTCACCTGCCTGCCCCTGTGGGTCCAGTCTCTGCCTGGGAGGCTGACCTGCACCACTGGGCTCCCTTGGCCTCTGGTTTCAGCTGGGTTGGCCAGTGGGGAACACTGGCAACAGGTAAGAGGGAGAGTAAAGCGGGAGACTGTGCTGTCTCCCTGGTTGTGGAGGGCAGCTTGTGTCTTCTGCTGAAGGTCACCACCCCTGTTGGGTGGACGTCTCTACACAGTTCTTTCTCCAACACTTTCAGGCCCCTGGTTGTTACAGGAAAGGGGTCCTGATCCAGACCCCAAGAGAGTGTTCTCGGACCTCATCAAAGAAAGAATTCAGGGCAAGTCCATAAAGTGAAAGCAAGATTATTACGAAAGTAAAGGAATAAAAGAAGGGCTACTCCATAGACAGAGCAGCCCTGAGGGCTGCTGGTTGCCCACTTTTATGGTTATTTCTTGATGATATGCTAAACAAGGGGTGGATTATTCATGCCTCCCTTTTTTAGACCATATAAGGTAACTTTCTGATTTTGCCATAGCATCTGTAAACTGATATGGTGCTGGTGGGGGTGTAGCAGTGAGGATGACCAGAGGTCACTGTCATCCTGCCATCTTGGTTTTTTTTTTGTTTTTTTTTTTTGAGACAGGGTCTCCCTCTGTGGCCCAGGCTGGAGTGCAGTGGCACAGTCTTGGCTCACTGCAGCCTCTGCCTCCTGGGTTCAAGCAATTTTCCTGCCTCAGCCTCCTGAGTAGCTGGGATTACAGGCATGTGCCACCATGCATGGCTAAATTTTTGTATTTTTAGTAGAGATGGGGTTTCACCATATTGGCCGGGTTGGTATTGAACTCCTAACCTCAAGTGATCCACCTGTCTTGGCCTCCCAATGTGCTAGGATCACAGGCGTGGGCCACTATGCCCAGCCAGTTATGGTGGGTGGGTGGGTGTTAGCTGGCTTCTTCACTGCAACCTGTTTTTTTTTTCCTTTGAGACAGAGTCTCACTCTGTCACCTAGGCTAGAGCGCAGTGGTGTGATCTTGGCTCACTGCAACCTCCGCCTCCCGGGTTAAAGTGATTCTCCTGCCTCAACCTCCTGAGTAGCTGGAATTACAGGCACCCACTAGCACACCTGGCTAATTTTTGTAGTTTTAGTAGAGATGGAGTTTTGTCATGTTGGCCAGGCTGGTCTTGAACTCCTGACCTCAGGTGATCTGCCCGCCTTGGCCTCCCAAAGTGCTGGGATTACAGGCATGAGCCACTGCACCTGGCCCTAACCTGTTTTATCAGCAAGGTCTTTATGACCTGTATCTTGGGTTGACCTCCTATCTCACCTTGTGACTTAGAATGCCTTAACCACCTGGGAATGCAGCCAAGTAAGTCTCAGCCTCATTTTACTCAGCTCCTACTTAAGATGGAGTAGCTCTGGTTCAAACGCCTCTGACATTTTTCCCCTCCCTTTCATAAGAGAACCCTTAATCCTAAAGGTTGCAGAGGGATGAAAATCCATCTTCTGTAACTTCTTCAGGCTGAATAGGGGCAATGATATTCCTGCTTAACTATTAGGGTCTCTTGTATTCAGAGTAGAGAGGAGCTCAGTGAGAAGGCATCAATATTGTGAGGGTCATTCATAACTCCAAGTTCCAACAAAAGGTGGTATCTGGAAGATTAGTAAGTGTCCAATTTAAGAAAACGGTGAGCAAACTTGTCTGCATTCCTACACAAAGAGTACAACTGCAATATGTTCCACAACAGCAAAGCAAAATAAGTAAAATTATCCCAAGTAAACTAAATTAGAAGGCTTTCCATGAAGTGAGAAACTGTTGGAACCAAGCTGATACGGGGTTGCTAGCTGATTCCAATGTTCCCAGAATTAGAGGACTGATTCAGATTTTTATATTACCCATTCCTCTTATTTCTTCTGAACAGCAGTCAGAGATCACTGGTTGGTTCACTGGAATAAACAGGGTTAGTCTAAATTGCAGAAACAAACTTAAAAACAGCTGATGAGACTAGAATTTGATACACGTGTACCATAGTTCTTGAAACATAATATTTCTCTCTCCGTTTTCCCATTTTTAGTAAAGACAAATCATGGTAAGACTGATTTGCTTCATTATACTTGGCCTGATTATTTGTATAAAGTACAGCAAGAATAATTATTTTTCACATTAGCTTTTTTTAAAAATTGGCTTCAGCTGGGTGCAGTGGCTCACGCCTGTAATCCCAACACTTAGGGAGGCTGAGGCAGGCAGATCACTTGAGATGAGGAGCTCAAGACCAGCCTGGCCAACATGGTGAAACCCCGTCTCTACTAAAAATACAAAAATTAGCCAGGCATGGTAGTGGGTGCCTGCAATCCCAGCTACTCGGGAGGCTGAGGCAGGAAAATTGCTTGAACTGAGGAGGTAGAGGTTGCAGTGAGCTGGGATCACGCCACTGCACTCCAGCCTGGTCGACAGAGCAAGACTCCGTTTCAAAAAAAAAAAAAAATTGGCTTTGATGAAACTCTGTTCCATAGAAGGAATCTCGATAAGACTTTTTAGAGCTGAACCCTGTCATGGGTTTGTACCCTCAAATACCTATGAGTTGAGTAAATTCCTCCCCTCTTGGGGGTCCCAAGATAACTTGGGGCTTCTGGACCTGTTAGAAAGTGATATTCTTTACTTACTATGGGTCAGAAACCTTGTACTGGCACTGCGTAGGCAAGGTATGAGGCCAGTTTCTCAATGGACTCTTACTGGCTTTACAAGTCAAGTATGATTCCTTAAAGGAAAGCACACCATTCCAGTTAAAGCCTTGGTAAAATAACCAGTTTCTCTAATTGTGTCAATTTGCAAAAGAAAACAGATTCTTTTTGCACTTATGCAAATAGCTATACTGTCATTAAATTAAGAATACTCGCAACTAGTTTTCAAATTCTGGAGAAATCAGGTAGAGAGAAACAAATGTGCTCCAAATTTTGTTCACAGTAGTATACTTTACTCAATTGTTAAAAGCTTTAAATAGCTCAAAAGAAAAGTTTTCTTGACTCTGAAAAACAAAACAAAACAGTAACATTTTAAGCAAAAAGTTTAAAAAGATTACTTTAGTCTTTTTTTTTTTTTTTTTTTTTTTTTAAGATGGAGTCTCACTTTGTCACCCAGGCTGGAGTGCAGTGGCATGATCTCAGCTCACTGCAACCTCCCAGGTTCAAGCAATTCTCCTGCCTCAGCCTCCTGAGTAGCTGGGACTACAGGCACCTGCCACCATGCTCAGCTAATTTTTTTTTGTATTTTTAGTAGAGATGGGGTTTCACCATATTGGCCAGGCTGGTCTGGAATTTCTTGTGATTCACCTGCCTTGGACTCCTAAAGTGCTGGGATTAACAGGCAGGAGCCACTGCACCAGCCACTTTAGACTTTTACTGGTTCAGTCAATTCAGGTTAACTGCTGTTCTGCTTGATATTCATGAACATTTCAGCTCTTCACGAGAGTCCTGAAAGTTTTTTCCTCTATTCTAATGTCACAATTTCCAAAGTTATCAGAAACCTGCATTTAAGAGCACTTGTTAGAGCTCTATAACTAGTTATAAACCATCTTCCAAAGAGGACCAAAACAAGACAACAATTTTTTTTGTGGATGACAAAAAGTTTTAGGACAGCCACAGTAAAAAACATGATTGACAAAGGAAATTTGGTTACCTTTGTGGCATACAATGATTTTATGTAACAATTATAATTATTAATTAACATACAGTAAGTCATATCAGAATTATAGGAATTTCCCATTATTTTGGAACACAGAAAGCCACACACTATTTTATATTTGACAGTGCTCCCTGTATGATTTTTATACCAAATAAGCCAAATGTCACTTTTGCATTAGTGCATTATTGATGTCAGACTCAATTCTTAATAAAACCTTATAGACAAATATATTTAATCTTCATCAGTTTGACCATAAGGTAAGATTTTCATAAACCTTATATAAACCTTTACAATTTTTGTTAAAGAGCAGATTATAAGCAGGTTTTTGCTTTAAGAGAAATGGCTGGGCGCAGTGGCTCATGCCTGTAGTCCCAGCACTTTGGGAGATTGAGGCAGGTGGATCACCTGAGGTCAGGAGTTTGAGACCAGCCTGACCAACATGGAGAAACCCCATCTCTACTAAAAGTACAAAGTTAGCTGGGTATGGTGGTGGATGCCTGTAATCCCAGCTACTCAGGAGGCTGGGGCAGGAGGATCGCTTGAACCCAGGAGGCAGAGGTTGCAGTGAGCTGAAATTGCACCACTGCACTCTAGCCTGGGCAAAAAGAGTGAAACTCCATCTCTAAAAAAAAAAAAAAAAAAAAAAAAAAAAAGAAAGAAACCTGTTGTGCTTTTATTCCAATGTTGAGTTTACAGAAAAACTGAATAAAATACTTCTCTTATTTTAGCCAATATGTTTACACACAGAATTTCTTTTACAATATTAATTTTTTTCACAAACCTTCCAAAATTTCCTTAAACTTTTAACCTTTTAATCCAGGCAGAAAAATCCACATTCCCATGACTTCTTATTATCTTTTACCAAAAACACATTCTGCTTTCCTTACATGCCTTACAGGTAGAACTGTTTCTTCAGTAGTCTTAATTACACGTTACAATGTTAACCCTTAGCAACTTTTACTTCTGGTGAAAAACCTGGTTAGGAAGCAATTTTAATCATGTGCCAAGTGTGGAGCCTAGCTCAGGACACACCAGGCAGAAGTGCAGATGAGGGCTGACTCCAGCATAGCTAGGGGGTGTGGCTAACTCCACATGTCCCTGGCCTTATCTAGAACTAATGCGCCAAAGTAGGTAAATTGAACAATTTTCAAAAGTCAAAGAAGCAGTTTATGACCTTAAAGCATTAAGTAAACTTAATATTTGACCTATTTAACTTTAGACCAAATGTCTTTATTTTACCAATATTTTTAAAACTATCTTTATTTCTCAAAGATTACTTAAGTCACATGAACTAAAAGACATTACACTTTTTACTTTTCTCATAAAATATTTGATTTAAGCGCTTATTATTTTTAAACCAATTAATCAAAGCTCTTTTATATCACATATGCAACATATATAAATACACAGACAGAGAATAAAGGACTCATCCCTAAGACACGAATCAAACCTTGAACCCAGGCCACCATTCTGAAAAGAGAAAGCACGGCCATATGGTTACAAGGTCAAGCTCCCAAGGACATAACTGACCAGTTTGCTGGGCCATCTTGAAAAGCGGGCTTACAGGTGTCCTATGCCCATGTTCTATCCTAAGTTACCCCTCTTTGTGGCAGAACAATATAGAAAGACACACAAAGCACACCAAATTTGCTGCAGCTTACGACTAGCCTCACAAATCCTTTTTCCCATTAATCAAAACTTTACAGAGGAGACAAGCAGTGATTTTTACCATTTAACCAGTTTGCAGAGAGACAGAGGGAGACAGAAAGGAAAGCATTGCCTGAGGCAGGGTGGGGGAGGCGAGACGCTCACAGAGCCCAGAGAAAAAACCACCCATTGCAGCAACGCTGAAAAGTTCAGGTGGCTGCTTGTCAGTAGTGAAGGGATCTTTTCCTGCAGTCTCATCAGCTCTTAAGTTCCCCCTTTTAGGGAGGAAAAAGTTCCCCGTGTACCACAATGCTGTACATGCCTAATCCTGTCACCCACAGCCATTAGCAAAGAGCGAAAGGCAGATTATTCCAAAGAGAAAAGCAGTTAACATCCCGTAGGGCCAAACCCATTCTTAGCCAAGAGGGACTTTACGAGAGGGACTTTTCTGAGAGGGGACTTTAACCCCCTAAATATTAGAAGGGACTCTAACCCTCCTAAGTTAGGACTCTAACCCAAGGCTAGTCAAGTGCCCTTGCCTTTTATTAAGAAGGGCCTCTAACCTGCTCTGTCTTAGGAGAGGCTCTAACTCCCCTAAGTTGGGCCTCTAACCCAGCCCCATCCTTTACCCGGGTAAATGCGCCCCACTTACCCAAAGCCATCCAATCAGTGCTGTAGTCTATTTTTTTTGGGTCGGGGGCTTCTTTAGTATTGGGGCTTCTTTAGTATTGTGCCTTCAGGGTTAGTGAGAAAGATGTTACCAGACCCCACCACTTACCCAAAGTTAGGCTTTGGGAAGGGGGTTTTCACACTATAATCCCTTTGTGGTCACCAGAAAGATGTTACAGGAAAGGGGTCCTGATCCAGACCCCAAGAGAAGGTTCTTGGGTCTTGAGCAGGAAAGAATTCAGGGTGAGTCCATAAAGTGAAAGCAAGATTATTAGGAAAGTAAAGGAATAAAAAATGGCTACTCCATGGACAGAGCAGCCCTCGGGTTGCCCATTTTTATGGTTATTTCTTGATGATATGCTAAACAAGGGGCGGATTATTCATGCCTCCCCTTTTAGACCATATAGGATAACTTCCTGACATTGCCCTGGCATTTGTAAACTGTCACGGCGCTGGTGGGAGTGTAGCAATGAGGATGACCAGAGGTCACTCTCCTCGCCATATTGGTTTTGGTGGGTTTTAGCTGGCTTTTTTACTGCAAGCTGTTTTATCAGCAAGGTCTTTATGACCTGTATTTTGTGTTGACCTCTTACCTCACCCTGTGACATAGAATGCCTCAACTATCTGGGAATGCAGCCCAGTAGGTCTCAGCCTCATTTCACCCAGCTCCTATTTAAGATGGAGTTGCTGTGGCTCAAATACCTCTGACATGGTAACAGCAGCTCAGTGTTGCCAGCCCCACCCTATTGCACTGTCCCTTGTGGTTTCTTCATATTAAACTCTCTCCAAATTACTCAGTTTGAGTGTGCTATTTCTGCCAGAACCCTGGATAAATTGAGTTTTTAGTTATTTTTAAAAATGACAAATCAGAGTTCATCAACATCTATGCCTCAGCTAACTTGACCTTCATTAGAAGGCTTGCTAGCCTAACAGATGTTATAAGTAATTTTCCTGAGGAAATTATTTATACTGTGGAATAGTCGTTCAAAATAAGTGGATTGGTGAAAAAATGTTGTACAGGCACTTCTACCCTTGAATGAACAAAAGTATGTGAACCAAAAATACAATTCTAAGTCTCCCAACCAATCGAATGGACCCCTTCTCTTGGCCAAGGGCATTCCTAAGTTAACCTGAAAAACCAGTTCAGGCCATGATGGAGATGGGTGGTTGAACATGCCTCATTACGGCCTCCTCCCTTTGGAATTCAGGCACAGCTGAGCACCGCTGATATCAACACAGAGACCTTAAGAGTGACAAAGCAGGCCGGGCACAGTGGCTCACGCCTGTAGTCCCAGCACTTTGGGAGGCCCAGGCGGGCAGATCACCAGGTTAGGAGATCGAGACCATCCTGGCTAACACAGTGAAACCCCGCCTCTACTGAAAATGCAAAAAATTAGCCAGGGGTGGTGGCGGGCGCTTATAGTCCCAGCTACTTGGGAGGCTGAGGCAGGAGAATGGCGTGAACCTGGGAGGCGGAGCTTGCCGTGAGCCGAGATCGCGCCACTGCACTCCAGCCTGGGTGACAGAGCGAGACTCCATCTAAAAAAAAAAAAGAGTGACAAAGCAGACTCTTTGTAGCAATAAGATACCAACATCACAGACAGCAGGCCCTAAAAGAAATCAAAGTATTTTACCCCCAAATGTATTTCTTTGACACATTTTGAAATGGCCCTGCAAAGCTCTCTGTTGTGGGGAAAATCTATGGTCTGTAGAGAATCCCCTTCCCTTTCCAGGTCATTTTCCTGATTCAGGAGAGAATTAACTGGGAGTCTGATAAGAAACATTTACAATCTATTCTCTCTAAAGCCTGCTACCTGGAGGCTTCATCTGCATAATAAACACCTTGGTCTCCACAATCTCTTATCTTACCCAGACACTCCCTTCTCTTGATTCCAGGTGTTTAGATAAACTTTTTCAACCAATTACCAATCAGGAAATCTTTGAATCCACCTATGACCTGTAAGTCCCCCCACACCCACCCCTTTGAGTTGTTTTGCCTTTCTGGACAGAAGCAACGTACATCTTACATGTATTGATGGATATCTTATGTCTCTCTAAAACATGTAAGACCAAGTTGTAGCCCAACCACCTTGGGTATATGTTCGCAGGACCTCCTGAGGCTGTGCCACTGGAATGTCCTTAACCTTGGAAAAATAAACTTCAGCATGGATTGAGACCTGTCTCAGACACTTTTTGATTTACAGGTGTAATATCTGTGGGTATAGCAGAGTAGCATTCATGGCCTTGAACTGTGATTTGGTCCCACATCCTGCCACGTAGTGGAGGATTCTGCCATGTGATTTAGCTAGAAGGTTGACTGTATCCACCCCTTAGAATATTTTATCTACCGGGGATGAGCCCTCATGCAAGACATTTAGTAGACTGCCTAAGGGTCAGAGAGCTGGGGCTCCACTGAGCTTTCAAGAACAGGTTCCTGACTCTTTGATCCAGCTTGATGTTTTAGGTGTGGTAGAGTTCAGTCTGAAGCTTGCTTGCCTTGTAAGGCACCATCTGCTGGCTGGGTTTTGTGGGAGGGTACCTACAGTCCTCATTTATTTCTAATTACTGGAGGTTATAAGAAAAACCCAATACTTAACAGCAGCCAAATAGGCTTACATCAAATAAAGACATCAAATTCATGGCCTACCATCAAATTCATGGTTCCCATCATTTCTGCCTAGTTGTAGACAGAGTTCCCTTAGGGAGTGTGTGTAATTGCTGTGGCCTTAGACAATCACTCAGCCCAGCTGGACACAAGCAGGGTGGCCCCACTCAAGCCCCACGCAGCACCCACCCTCTCCACACACATCCCCACACCCATTTCAAGAGCACTGCCATCTAATTTTTGTGTATTTATTTTGTTCTCCTTTAACTTAAAAAATATTGAATATTTCCTTGCACCTTTACTGATGAATAATTGACAAATAAAAATTGTATATATTTAAGTGTATGACTTCTTAATATATTGAAATATGTATACATTGTGAAATAATCACCATAATCAAGTTAACGAACGTATCTATTATTTCATATCATTACCATGATCTTTTCTTGTTCTTTTTTGGGAGGGGTGAGAAAACGAGATTTACAGTTCTTAGCAAATTTCAAGCATATAATACAGCCTTGTTAATTATGTTCTATGTTAACTATGTCCTTGTTAACTATGTCTATTAGTTCTCTAGATCTCATTCATCCTGCATAACTGAAACTTTGTGTCCCTTGACCAACATCTCACCATTTACCCCTCCCCCAGCCTCTAGCAGCAACATTCTACTCTGTAGTTCCATGAGCTTGACTGTTTTAGATTCCACATATAAGTGAGATCATGCAGTATTTGTCTTTGTGTCTGACTTATTTCACTTAGCATAATCTCCTCATTTATCCATGTCCAACATTTATCCATGTTGTCATAAATGTCAGGATTTCCTTCTCTTTTTAAAGGCTAAATGATATTCCATTGTGTGTGTGTGTGTGTGTGTGTGTGTGTGTGTGTGCCACATTTTCCTTATTCATCTGTTAATGGATATTGGGGTTACTTCCATATCTTGGCTATTGTGAATAGTACTGTAATGAACAAGGGAGTGCAAATACCTTGAAGACATACTGATTTCATTTCCTTTGGATATATAGCCAGAAGCTGGATCATAAAGTAGTTATTATTTGAAGGAACTTCCATACAGTTTTCCCTAATGGCTGTACCAATTTACATTCCCACCAACAGTATACAAGAGTTCCCTTTTCTCTGCATCCTCGCCAATACTTATCTTTTGTCTTTTTTATAGTAGCTATTCTAACAGGTGTGAAGTGATAGCTCATTGTGGTTTTCATCTGCATTTCCTTGATAATTAGCGATATTGAACATCTTTTCATATGCCTATTGACCATTTGTATGTTTTCTTTTGAAAAATGTCTATTTACATCCTTCTTCCTTTTTTAAAATCACGTTATTTGTTTTGTTTTGCTATTAAGTTTTATTAGCTCTTTATATAGTTTGAATATCAATCCTTTATCAGACATGTAGTTGGCAAATACTTTATTCCATTTTGTAGGTTACCTTTTCACTCTGTTGATTGTTTCCTTTGCTGCACAGATGCTTTTTAGTTTGATGCATTTTCTTTCTTTTTTTTTTGAGCTGGAGTCTTGCTCTGTCGCCCAGGCTGGAGTGCAGTGGTGTGATCTCGGCTCACTGCAAGCTCTGCCTCCCAGGTTCACACCATTCTTCTGCCTCAGCCTCCTGCGTAGCTGGGACTACAGGCGCCTGCCACCACGCCCAGCTAATTTTTTGTCTTTTTAGTAGAGACAGGGTTTCACTGTGTTAGCCAGGATGGTCTCGATCTCCTGACCTTGTGACTCACCCACCTCAGCCTCCCAAAGTGTTGGGATTACAGGTGTGAGCCACCGCACCTGGCCAGTTTGATGCAATTTCAATTGTCTATTTTTATTTTGTTGCTTGTGCTTTCAGTGTCATATCTAAAAAATAATTGCCCTGACCAACATCAGGAAGATTCTCCCCTATGTCTTCCTCTAATAATCTTATGGCTTTAGAGGTTGCATTTAAGTCTTTAATCCCTTTGGGGTGGATTTGTGTATACGGTGTGAGATAAGTTCCACTTTCATTTTTCTGCATGCGGATATCTAGTTTTCCCAACACCATTTGTTGAAGAGACTATCTTTTCCTAATTGTGTGCTCTTGCCACCTTTGTTAAAAATCAGTTGACTGTAGATGTGTGAATTTATATCCAGGCTCTCTATTCTGTTCCATTGGTTTATATGTCTTTTTTAATGTTAGTAAAGCATTCTATTTTGATTACTGTAGCTTTATAATATATTTTGAAGTCAAGAAGTGTGATGCTTCCCACTTTGTTCTTCTTGCTCAAGATTGTTTTGGCTATTTGTGATCTTTTGTGGTTCCATATGAATTTTTGGATTTTCTTTATTTCTATAAAAAATGCCATTGAGATTTTTGATAGGGATTGCATTGAATCTGTAGGTTATTTTCAATAGTATGCACATTTAAACAGTATTAATTCTTCTATCTTCTAATCCATGAACACAGACATCTTTCCATTTTTGTGTCTTCTTTCATTTCCTTCATTAATGTTTTATAAATTTTAGCGTACAAGTCTTTTACCAGTTCATTCCTAAGTATTTTCTTCTTTTTGTTGCTATTGTGAATCGAATTGTCTTCTTTCTTCTGTTTTTTTTTTTTTTTTTTTTTTTTTATGAGACAGGATCTCACTCTGTCACCCAGGTTGGAGTGCAGTGGTGTGATCATGACTCACTGCAGCCTTGACTTCCCCATGCTCCATGCCCAGCTTATGTGAATCTCTTGCAGACACCGTACCACTGGATCTTGTTTTTTAAGTCCATTCAACCACTCTATGCCTTTTGACTGGGGAGTTTAATTCATTTACATTTAATATAATTATTGATAGGTGAGGACTTACTATTGTCATTTTGTAAATGGTTTTCTGTCTGTTTTGTGGTTGTTTTGTCCCTCTTCCTCTTTTGCTGTTTTCCTTTATTTCATGATTTTTTGCATTGATTTGCTTTCATTATTTTCTCTTTATCTTTTTTGTATCGATTATTGCTTTTTCTTCATTGTGATTAGCTTGAGGCTTACATAAAATATCTTATAATTGTCTACTTTAAGTTGATAACAATTTAATTACATACAAAAACTCCACACTTTTGTTCTCCCCTCTTTGTGTTTTTGTAGAAAGAGTTTGCTTTTTTTTTTCTTTTTTTCTGAGATAGGGTCTCACTCTGTCACCCAGGCTGCAGTGCAGTGGCATGATCTTGGCTCACTGCAACCTCCACTTCCCAGGCTAAAGTGATCCCCCCATCTCAACCTCCCAAGTAGCTGAGACCACAGGTGTGTGCCATCATGCCTGTAAAGTTTGCTTTTTATACCGGGTATCTGTTAACAAATTTTTATCTTTTAACTTTTATATTAGGGCAAAAAGTGATTTGTGCACCATCATTACAACTATTATATTATTTTATATTTATCCAAATATTTTCCCTTACCTGTGAGATTAATGCTTTCATATGATTTGTGTTGTTGTTTAGTGTGTTTTCATTTCAATTTGAGGACCTGCCTTAAGCATTTCTTAAGGCAAATCTAGTGGTGATGAACTTCCTCAGTTTTTGTCTGGGAAACACGTTATCTTTCCTCTATTTAAAGAGGATAATTGTGCTGGGTATAGTATTCTTGGTCGACAGCTTTTTTTTTTCCTTTCAGTATTTTGAATATATTATCCCACTCTCTTTTTGCCTGCAAGGTTTCTGCTGAGAAATCTGCTAGTAGGGGGTTCCAACTTTTCTCTTGCTGCTTTCAAAATGCTCTCTTTGTCCTTAAATTTTGACAATTTAATTATCAGGTGTCTCAGAGTATTCTTAATTTGTGTGATCCTATTTGAGGTGATTTGGGAGTCATGAACCTGGATGTCCATTTTCCTCTCAAGATTTGGGAATTTTTCAGACCTTATTTTTCACATAAGCCTGTTGCCCTTTTCTTTCTCTGTTCTCTTTGGAATACCATAATATATATACTGGGTTGCTTGTTTATGTCCCATAAATCTTATAGGCTTTCTTCAATCTTTTTAATTCTTTTTTCTTCTTTGTCTCTGACTGGATAATTTCAAATGTCCTTTCTTCAAGTTCACAGATTCTTTTTTCTGCTAGATTGAGTCTGCTGTTAAGGCTTTCTATTGCATTTTTCATTTTATTCATCAAATTCTTCAGCTGCATAATTTCTGTTTGGTTGTTTTTATAATTTCTACCTCTTTATTGTTCTCATTTTATTCATGTATTTCCCCCCTCATTTTGTTGAGTTGTCTATCTGTGTTCTTTTATTTATTTATTTTGAGATGGAGTCTCACTCAGCCGCCCAGGCTGTAGTGCAGTGGTGCAATCTCGGCTCACTGCAGCCTCTGCCTCCCGGATTCAAGTGATTCTCCTGCCTCAGCCTCCTGAGCCAGCTGGGATTACCTCCTGAGTAGCTGGGATTACAGGTGTGCACCACCATGCCCAGCTAATTTTTGTATTTTTAGTAGAGATGGGGTTTCACCATGTTGGCCAAGTTGGTCTCGAACTCCTGACTTCAGGTGATCCACCCACCATGGCCTCCCAAAGTGCTGGGATTACAGGCATTAGCCACCATGCCCAGCCTATTTGTCTTCTTTTGTAGTTTGCTGATCTTCTTTAAAACAATTATTTTGACTTCTTTGTTAGACAGTTTTAGATCTCTATTTCCTTGGGGCCACTTACTGGAAATTTATTATGTTCCTTTAGTTGTGTCATGTTTCCTTGATTTTTCATGTTCCTTGGAGTCTTGCATTAATGTCTGTGCATTTGAAGAAGAAATCACCTCTTCCAGTCTTTATTAACTGGCTTTGGTGGGGAAACACCCTCACCTATGGTTGAGTGTGAGGGAGGTGGCTGGATTCTGTGTGGTGGCTTTGGCTCTAGGAGAATGCACCGATAACTCTGGCCCTGGGGGTGGGGTGCGTGTGCAATGCTGTGGACTCCAAGCAGTCAGCTTGGGTTAGTGTTGGCAAAGATTGTGGGGTCTTGGTAGTGAAGGCGGATGCAGATCTTCCTGTTCTCCTTTTTCCCTCATGGGGGAAGTTATGACCAAGGGGATCCCTCCTGGTGTCAGAGTTGAGGGTACAGTGCAGGCATGGTGGTGCCAAGGCTGGAGTGGTGGCTTCTTCTTCAGAGTAGGTGCAGTGGTGTGGACTCCACGCAGGCCCATTGGCTTGGATCGGCATCTGTGAAAACTGTTGAAGTCCTCAAGGGTAAAAGAGGCAGATGTCTGTGGTGGCTGAGGCTGCTGGAGTCATCCTGCTCTCCTTTTCTCCCATGAGGGACAGTCACAGCCAAGGGGATCCTTTTGGAGCCAAGGTGTGCCAGACTGGGAGATGGGGTGACACAGATACAATTGCTTTCCATGCATTTCTATGTGTTCATCCTCAGTTTTTGTGCTCCACTGAATTGCTGAAACTTCTTTGTAATCAGGACTTCTCCCAGAGCTATTTTATTGGTGGATAAATGTTAAATTATGGGGGTGTGTGGACTAAGATCTCATAGTACTATAGAGAGATAATATGTATTCTTTACCCAATTTCTCCTAATGGTAACATCTTGCAAAGCTATAGTACAATATTACAATCAGGTTCTGGGCATTGATATAGTCAAGATACAGAACAATTCCATCACTACAAGGATTCCTGGGCTGCCATTTTATAGCCACACCCACTTTCCTCCCAGTCCCTTCTGGGAACCACTAATCTGTTCTCTATTGCTATAATTTTGTCACTTCAAGAATGTTATCTAAGTGGGATCATATACTATGTAAAACTTTTTGGATTGCCTTTTTCCCCCACCTAGCATAATTTTCTGGAGATTCACCAACGTCATTATATCAGTAGTTTTTTCCTTCTTAGTGCCGAGTAGAATTCCATGGTATGGATGAACCACAGTTTATCTAACCATTAATCTACTGAAGGACATCCCGGCTATTTCCAGTTTTTGGCTATACAAATAAAGCTGCTGTTAACTTTCATATATAGCTTTTTATGTAAACATAAGTCTTTATTTTTCTGGGACAAATGCTCAGAATTGCAATTGTTGGGCTGTATGGAAGTTGCATGTTTAGTTTCTTAGGAAACTGCAAACTCTTTTCCACAGTTGCTGTATTCCCCTAGCAGTGTATGAATGATCCATTTTCCCCACATCCTCATCAGAATCTGGTGTTGTCATTAGTTTTTACTTTAGCCATTATGATGGTTGTGTAGTGATATCTCATTGTGGTTTTAATTTGTATTTCCCTGATGGCTAATAATGTGTGTGTATATATATTATATTCATATATATTTTATATATATATATATATATATATATATATATATATATATATAGAGAGAGAGAGAGAGAGAGAGAGAGAGAGAGATGCAGTCTTACTCTTGTTGCCCAGGCTGGAGTGCAGTGGCATGATCTCGGCTTACTGCAACCTATGTCTCCCAGGTTCAAGTGATTCTCCTGCCTCAGGCTCTTGAGTACTTGAGTAGCTGGGACTACAGGTCCGTACCACCACACCTGGCTCATTTTTGTGTTTTCAGTAGAGATGGGGTTTCACCATGTTGGCCAGGCTGGTTTCAAACTCCTGACCTCAGGTGATCCACCTGCCTTAGACTCCCAAAGTGCTGGGAATACAGGTGTGAGCCACCGTGCCTGACCTATATATGTATTTTTAACTCAAAGAGAGGAATAGAAGAAAATGACTAAGGCCACCATCTCTTTGCCTAAATAACTCCTGTTAAAAATAAAAGTAATGGGGGTATAAAATTAGAAAATTCAAGCAGTACAGCAAGGTACAAAAAGAGAAATAAAGGCCTCTTCCTAACCCTGCTTTTACCTTACCCCTCTCTGTAAAGGTAACCAGTGCTAAAATGTCTTGGGATTCCTTTCAGAAAGGTAAGGAAAAACCATTCCTTTCAGAAAAAGTAAGAAAAAAATTCTACAGTTACATGTTGCTATAGATGTTGATAGTATGATGAAGATTAGCAACTGTAACAACAACAACAACAACAAAAAACCCAATAATGTCTAGAGACTTCACAAAAAATGAGAGCTTTCCCTATTGGCAAGTAGATCTGAGCAAGTTCCATCTATCGTGTGGGTTCTTGCTCTCTTCTTCATGGTTGAAGCTGGATCATAACACATATCTGCTTTGACTTGTGAGAAGGAAAGAAGGGGAAGAAATCATGGTACACCCAGAGCTTTCCAGTATGGGTCCACTGACCTTCCCTTGGACAGAGCTCAGTTCTGTGGCCAACCCAAGTGCAAGGAAGGCTGGGAAATGTCACTTAGTCATGTACCCAGGAAGAAGGAGAGAACAAGTTTTAGCCCCAGCAGCAGTTCTCTGTCAGAATTTATTATTAGAATTAAATTATCAGAATTAAAAATTGTTTAATTTTTGCCCACTGAGCACAAATGGGATCCTACCTCACACAACCATAAACCCTGTTCTAAACTTTGCTTTGTTTATTTAATAATATAGCATGGAGACCTGACCACAGCAAAGGCACACAGATGGGCTTGATTCTGTTTAATGGTTTCAGGATATCCCATCCCATGGATGTACCATGTCTCTTTTATCAGCCTTTAGGGATGAACACTAAGGTGAATTTTCATTTTTCTTTTTGCAAATAATTTTGTAAGTTGCCTCTTTGAGCATACATTTGAGCCCACATCCAGGGCTACATCCTTATCGGTAAGACTGCTGGCTCAATAGGTATGTGAATTTAAATATTGCATACCATTGCCAAATTGTTTCCTTTTTGATAATATCAATCTTAACCCCCCCCCCCGAGAGGATTTGAGAGATCTTCTCACTACACTTGTTTGTATGAAATATTATTAATTTTACTTTTTGTCACTCTGATATGTGTAAACATGTATTTTTGGCTGTTATTGCTCAGAGAATGCTAGAACCAAAATACAAGATGAAAGCTTAGCTGAGTTTTATTCTCCACATCTGGGCCATTCTAGTGCCATCTCCCAATACCTGGGAAGGCAACATCTGGGTGGCCTGCCCACCTCCAGTGTGACAGACAGGGCAGTCAGAATTCTTCTGAAGACAGTGTTCCCGATAACTTCAGGTAATGGCACACAGTTGGCCCTTGGATTAAAATCACTTGGCTAGCTCTGTCTCAGACCAACCCAAGAAAAATAACTGCCTTGCCCTATTTTTGAATAATAGCACATGCTTACTTTGCAATATATGGCAGTGTCTTTGGCCAGTAAGGAAATTCTTCTTCCTAATGTCTAAATTCCTCCATCTGCACTCTCAGCATATTTTCTTTCATCTGGCCTTAAATGAAAACAGCAGCTTTTAATTATTTTTATGTTCCTCTAGATTTGTTCCTTTGTTCTTGTGCTACTTGACTTCAACCCTGCAATTTCTAATCCAGGCTTTGAATATCCTAAGTACATTATAGCATGCCATGGCACTCTTTCTCTCTCTGTCTCTGTCTCTCTCTCTCTCTCTCTCTGTGTGTGTGTGTGTGTGTGTGTATGTGTTTGGGGGGGATAGATCAAATAAGAGTGTATGTAATGCATAGATATGGTTACAAAAAATGATAAAATCAGTCCTGTGTCATTTATCACTAGCTTAAGAAACAGAACATCACCAGTGTCCTTGAAGCTGCCTGTATGCCACATTTATGTTTACCTTCCCTCACCCCGACACATGTAAAACACTTATTTTAATAATCTCCTTGCTTTTTAACAAAGTGGTTCTATTGCATATGCAGGTATGCCTAAATAATATGTTGGTTTTATTGCTTGTTTTGCACTTAATGTAAATTGAGTCCTATGTATTCTATAATCTGCTTTTTTTTTTTTTTTTTTTTCTTTTTAAGATGGATTCTCACTCTGTCACCCAGGCTGGAGTGCAGTGGCACGATCTTGGCTCACGGCAACTTTTGCCTCCTGGGTTCAGGTGATTCTCCTGCCTCAGCTTCCCGAATAGCTGGGATTACAGGTACCTGCCATCATGCCTGGCTAATTTTTGTATTTTTACTAGAGACGGGGTTTCACTATGTTGGCCAGGTTGGTCTCGAACTCCTGACCTCAGGTGATCCACCTGCCTCGGCCTCCCAAAGTGCTGGGATTACAGGCATGAGCCATCACACCCGGCCTAATCTGCTTCTTTTATGTAAATCAACATCATGCTTCTGAAGTTCATCCATGCCGACATGGATGAATGAAATGAACCATGGAACATGGTTCATTTATCTTCAGTACATATAGTATTCTATTCTACTACAGCATTCCAATACATCCCAATTTAATTATCCTTTCCTCTGTCAACAAACATTTATGTTGTTACTATTTTTGCTGATAGAAACACTTCTGCCTCCTGCAGGATATGTCATGAGTAGAGAACACACCCAGGAACAGAATTACTGGGTCACAGCTTACCTAGTCAGCACTACTAAATATACTCATGTGGCACAAAATGCTTTGGTCAGTGACAGACTGCATATACAATGGTGGTCCTGTAAGTTTCTAATACCATATTTTTACTATATTTTTGCTATGTTTACATAACACAATTACTTACCACTGTGTTCCAGCTGCCTACTATATTCAGTACAGTCCCATGTCATACAGGTTTATAGCCTAGGAGCAATGGGCTCTACCACAAAGTCTAGTTATGTAGCAGGCTACACCCTCTAGGTGTGTGTAAGTGCACTCTATGATGTTGGCACGATGAAACTGCCTAATAATGCATTTCTTAGAACATATCCCTGTTAAGTGACATATGTAATGATGTAATGCCAACTTTTCCAAAGTTTTTTTTTTCTTTTTGAGATGGAGTTTCGCTCTGTTGCCCAGGCTGAAGTGCAGTGCCACGATCTCGGCTCACTGCAACCTCTGCCTCCTGGGTTCAAGCTATCCTCCTACCTCAGCCTCTCTAGTAGCTGGGATTACAGGGGTGCACCACCACGTGCAGCTAATTTTTGTATTTTAAGTAGAGACAGGGTTTTGCTATGTTGGCCAGGCTGGTCTGGAACTCCTGACCTCAGGTGATCTGCCCACCTCGGCTTCCCAAAGTGCTGGTATTACAGGCGTGAGCCACCATGCCTGGCTTTCCAAAGTTTTTGTGTCATGTTTTCATACGCCTCATAAACTGAATAGAGGTGTTTTATTCTTTGAAAAAGATTGTGTAATTTTGGAATGATTGGTTTTTTAAATGTTTGATAGAATCTATCTGTAAGACTATCTGTGGCTGCAGTGTTCTTTGTGGGACCACTTATTATCATTATCATCTTGTTATTATTGTTAATTTTTAATGGTGGTAGAACTACTTGAGTTAATTTTTTTCTTGCACCAGTTTTGGTAATTTATATTTTTATAGAAATATATCCCTTTCACCTAACTTTTCAAATTGATTGGCATAAAGTTTTTTTTTGTAATATTATCTTACTATGTTTAAAAAAACCTAAGCAGGAAATGAGTTTATTGTAAAGCTATCACCTAGTTCACAAAATCCCTGAGAAGGCTCAAGAACCATTTCAGAAAATAAGTGGAGAGGCCAGGCGCGTGACTCATGCCTGTAATCCCAGCACTTTGGGAGGCCAAGGCCAGTGGATCATTTGAGGCCAGGAGTTCGAGACCAGCCTGGCCAACATGGCAAAACCCCATCACTACTAAAAATACAAAAATTAGCTGGGCGTGGTGGCGTGCACCTGTTGTCCCAGCTACTCGGGAGGTTGAGGCAGGAGAATCGCTTGAACCCAGGAGACAGAGGTTGCAGTGAGCTGAGATCGCACCACTGCACTCAGCCTGGGTGATAGAGTGAGACTCTGTCTCAAAAAAGAAAAAGAAAAAAGAAAACGAGCAGAGATATGGAGGGGGAAGGCTGTGGGGGCACAGCTAGGGTTGCCCCACAGAGCAGGGTGGGCCAGGGTGTTCTCATTCATCCTGTCTGCTTGGTCTCTTTTTTCTGGATCTCCTGTCACTCATATGTTGAAAAATGTTGTTTCTGGAACTCCTATTATGCAGATCCTGAAAACATTCTTTATTTCTCTTCCTTTTTTTCTCATAATTTCTATTTCTTTGCCCCTTTGCTTTCCTTTCTGCAAAAGGATTTCATCAATTGTATCTTCCCTCCTTTCAAATAAATTTTTTTCATTTTTGCTATTTTCTTTTTCAATTTCTTAAAATTAAAAATTTTAAAGAAATTAAAAATGTTTTACGTTTTTGAATTTTCATTTGTGGAGCAGCGTGTTCTTTTCATAGACGTAGTAGCTTCTCTAATTCCTCCGAAGGTATTTTTTTCTTCTTTTAAAAATGGTTGGCCAGGCACGGTGACTCACACCTGTAATCTCAACACTTTGGGAGGCCGAGGTGGGTGGATCACTTGAGGTCAGGAGTTCGAGACCAGCCTGGCCAACATGGTGAAACCCTGTCTCTACTAAAAATACAAAAAAGTAGCTGGCCGTGGTGGCATGTGTCTGTAATCCCAGCTACTCAGGAGGCTGAGATAGGTGAATTGCTTGAACCTGGGAGGTGGAGGTTGCAGTGAGCCGAGATTGCACCACTGCACTCCAGCCTGGGCGACAGAGCAAGACTCCATCTCAAAAAAAAAAAAAAAAATGTTGTCTTTTGCCTGGCGCTGTTCCACTAAGTTGCTCTTTCCCGCGTTTGTCTGGCAGTCTGTCTTCAAGTTAGCCACTGCTCATACACACTTCTTGTGTTTGATTAGGTGAGGTTAGGAACCTGCCTGGACATGCCTTGTGTTGAGTGGGTCTTGTAGTTGTGAGTATGATCAGGGTGTACTATAGGGTGAGAGGAGTCCTAAGCAAGTGCCTCAAGGTCTTTTCCTTGGGGTGGGTCAGATTCCGCAGAGAAAAACCATCTTACCTCCTGCCTGTAGAGTGAAGGCCACCTGCTGTTCTGGAATCAGCACTCGATGCATACCCACTGCTTTATCTCCTCAGTCTCGGAGAGGGCCCTGTCCTCAATGCCTGGAGTGGAGAAGGGCATCTGGGGCTGATGACTTCTCACTCTGACCCAAGCCTCCTGAGTCTAGCTTCTCTCTCCCAGGTTCAGTACTGGCAGTGCCTGAGACTTTTGAGGATTTTACTGGTATACATTTTGTCAGTTCTCAGCTTACTCTGTTGCTGGTTTAGGATTTGAGATCTTGCCCATCCATTTTCTAGGAACAAAAATTTTGTAGGCTGGGGCTAGGCACAGTGGCTCATGCCTGTAATCTCAGCACTTTGGGAGGCTGCGGCAGGAGGATAGCTTGAGGCCAGGAGTTTGAGACCAGCCTGGGCAACATAGCAAGACCCCAACTCTACCAAAAAAAAAATTAGCCAGGAATGGTGGTGCATGCCTGTAGTTTCAGCTACTCAGGAGGCTGAGGTGGGAGGATCACTTAAGCCCAGGAGGTCAAGGCTGTGGTGAGCCTAGGTCACACCACTGCACTACAGCCTGGGTAACAGAGTGAGACTGTCTCCAAAAACAATTTGGGATTCCTCTTGTCTCTTGTTGTCATCTTCCCCATGGGTTTATGTTTTCCTAGGAAAAAACTAAACGCTAAAAGGAGAAATTTCCTATGGTTTAAAAGGATTTCAATAGGCAGCAAAATTAACTGTGTGTGCTCACTCTCCTCTCTTAACCCTTTTTCTATATTTTAAATCTTGCCTGTATCTCTAATTATGCTCATTTAAAATTCCTCATATTGTGTGCTGCTTATTCGTGTGCTCTCTTCTTTTCCTTGATCAATTCTGCTGGAGATTTGTCAGTATTATCAGTGTTTTCAAAGAGCCAACTTTCAAAGGAACATCATCTGCCCCTATTCTGTGTTTAGACATGGCCCTTAGATCAGATGCGTTATTTATGTGGTGTACATAATTTGTATCTCTGCCAAGTGTTTGTGTGTTTCACCCAACAATTACTGAAAAGGTAAAATGAAATCTCCCACTCTGATGGGTATTTTTCAATTCCCTTTGTAGTTTTATGTAAAGCTATTTTATTAAGCAATCCAGGATTACAATTGCTATAACTTCCTGATAAATTTAGCCTTTTAACTCGTTTTTATTTCTAGTAATACTTATTTGCTTTAATGCCTATTTTAGTTGATATGAATAAATATCATATATATATGTCTCTCTTCTTTTCACTTTAACTTTCTCTTTTAGGCTATCTCTTGAAAATACCATAAAGCTAGATCTTAAAACTTCTTTTGATATTGTCTTTAGTAGAGCACGGTAGTATGTTTATTACATTATTTCTGAAATCTTATAGACATTAGGATTATAGTATAACTGTTGTGGCCATTTAGCCAAATAACTCAAAGGATCAAACAACATTACACATTCAGTGTTGTAAGAGCACAACTCTCAAAGACATATGTTAGCAGTTGTTAAAGTTTTATATTGACTTAGTAACAAAGGATCTAAGCAAGAAGACAAAAGATCTGAGTGAACAGCATTTAAGCAATAGGGATTTATATAGTTAGTCTAAAAAGAAATGCAAAATAATATTGCTGAGTTAGGTACCCAGTGGGCTGACTTTCTAAGGGCTATTGACCATGTCACCTGGAGGTCAGCTTCTCTGTCAAGCTATAATGTCCCAACAACTCCTCTGTTTCCAACCTTACTGGCCGTGAGCTGTCTGCACCTTCACTGGCTGAGAATTGTTAAACAAAGATTTGGTAACAGCAAAGTTACCTGCCTAAGGGTGTCAGATGAGGTCAAGCAGTCTTATTAGAAAATATTCTAGGGTGATATTAATTTTTAAAAACTCAAGCAATCATCAGCTTGCTTTTTTTGAAGTTTGGAATAAAGTTTTCTTTAACAATTTAACATAAAAATATAAAACTATTTTGTCAGAATGTATGCGATTCTGGTCTTATTAATTGATAAAGCTAAAGGTAGCCTTAGCTAAAATATAAACTAGAATAGCTAAAGGCTGCTGTAAAGTAAATAAGCTTTTATAGACAAGAAACTTAAATTTTCTATCATGGCTATTGTAAAAGTTAGAATTAGTATACTTTACTTAATAAGTAGCAAATGACATATATACTACTTCCATCAAAATATAGGTCTACCACAGAGGCCAGACGCAGTGTGGGGGCTGGACGTGGTGGCTCACACCTATAATCCCAGCACTCTGGGAGGCTGAGGCGGGTTGATCACTTGAGGCTAGGAGTTCAAGACCAGCCTGGCCAACATGGCAAAACCCCGTCTCTACTAAAAATACAACAAACAAACCAACCAACCAACCCAGCAACAATAAAACAGGTCTACCCTGGAGTCATACTCTAATTTCTTCTATTTTCCTCCCTTTCTGATCCTTTATCCCACTTTTTTTTTCTTCCTCCTCCTTCTTTGTCAAAGACATAGAGGATTGAGTTATTATCATTGATCCATACAAAGTCCCTCTCTCATTTATTTTCTTTCATTCCCACCCCCCATTTCTATTCCCCGTCTTCCCATGTGCAACCTTCCTAATATGTTTGATATGCATCTTTTTGTTTGTAGGTATTTTTAGAAAATGTTTATTGTTTTGTGTGCATTTTTTATTTCAGTGTTTTACTAATCCATAGGTAGAACTAGTCTTTTTATATGCAGTTTGCAAAAAATGCCTATTCTTTTACTTATTTAAATTAATTAATTTTTAAATGGCAAATAAAAGTTGTATATATTATTGGGTACAAAATGACATTTAAAATATATATACATTGTAAAATGGCTCAATTGAGCTAATTAACATATAAATTACTTCACATACTTATTTTTTGTGCTGAGATCACTTAAAACCTGTTCTCATCAATTTTAAAGAATATGAAACATTGTTATTAACTATAGATGTTGTATATCTATAGTTAATACAACATGTATACATGGTGTACAATAGATCCCTTGAACTGTTTTTCCTATCTTACTTTCCATCAAAGGATACAAAAAAGAAATTTTGTATCCTTTGAGCAATATCTTTGCAATAACCCCCACCTCAGAAAATGACTATTCTTGTTCTTGTAGCTTATTTTTATTTTTATTTTTTATTTATTTTTTTTGACAGGAGTCTCCCTCTGTTGCCCAGGCTGGAGTGCAGTGGCACAATCTCTGCTCACTGCAAGCTCTGCCTCCTGGGTTCATGCCATTCTCCTGCCTCAGCCTCCCGAATAGCTGGGACTACAGGCGCCCGCCACCACGCCTGGCTTTTTGATTTTTTTTTCTTTTTTTTTTTTAGTAGAGACGGGGTTTCACTGTGTTAGCCAGGATGGTCTCAATCTCTTGACCTCGTGATCCACCCGCTTCGGCCTCCCAAAGTGCTGGGATTACAGGCGTGAGCCACCGTGCCCCACTCTTGTAGCTTATTTTAAAATTGCAGACATGAGTTTGTCTTTGCTACACTGTAATCAAATTTGTTGCTCAATTACCCAATTGTGAGGCAAACCAGTGTAGGCTTTGTGTTGAAGAGTGCAGCCACTAGATGGAAAAAACAGGGCCAGGACTAAGGTGAGGCTTGCGAGGTGACCATGAACCTGAGAAAGAGCACCTCCTTAAATTTTGCATCTGGAGTGCTTTACTTGCCTCATCCTAGTTTCAGCCCTGGAAGAAAGTCTAGATCCCTGCATCATTGCAGAGAGGGGCTGCCCTGGACTGTTGCATTACCTACAGAAGACACTGCAGGAGGAAGAATGAATGCCTCTTGTACGAAGTCACTGAGACTTGGGGCTAGTTTGTTACTACAGTATTGCCCATCCTATCCTGCTTACTAGTCACAAAAGGGAGACAAATGGCAAAGAAAGCATAGCGAAGGGAAACTCATAAATAAGACAGCAGAAGTTAGTATAACAAATCTGCAATCTCAATAAATATGACAGTTACACTTACTGATAAATGGCAAATACTCAGATGGGGCTTCAAAATCCAATGTTGATTCAGAGAGGTTGAAAATAAAGGAATGAAAAAACATATACTGGGAAAATCAAAACAAAAGAAAAGGAATGGAAGCAATATTAGTATCAGACAAAATATAATTCAAGACAAGAAATAATATTAGCTTGGTGAAAAAGTAATCGCACTTTTTGCCATTATTTTGATGGCAAAAACCGTGATTGCTTTTGCACCAACCTAATAAAAGGAAAATATTCATATTAATAAATTTCAGATTATTAATACTGGGCATATTCTATTCCTGACAATATAACTTCAAATTATTTGAAAGTATAAAGAAATTAAAATAAAAGCAATTGGCTGGGTGTGGTGGCTCACACCTGTAATCCCAACACTTTGGGAGGCTGAGGAGGGTGGATCACAAGGTCAGGAGTTCAAGACCAGCCTGGCCAAAACCCCGTGAAACCCCGTGTCTACTGAAAATACAAAAATTAGCCAGTCGTGGTGGTGGGCACCTGTAATCCCAGCTACTAGGGAGGCTGAGGCAGAGAACTGCTTGAACCTGGGGAGGCGGAGTTTGCAGTGAGCCGAGATTGTGCCACTGCACTCTAGCCTGGGCGACACAGCAAGACTCCATCTCACAAAAAAAAAAAAAAAAAAAAAAAAAAAAAAGCAATTGACATGTTTACAACCACTGTGGGAAACTAGCATGTCTTTTTCAGAGGTAGAAACACATAGTGTAACCAGTGTTTTCAATAAGCAGTCTCATGGGACTCACTGGGCGTTGTTCATGACCATTCTGTTTCTAAGTGTCTCTTTAAACTTCATAGTGGTTCTTTCTCTGCCGCCACTCCTGTTGCCTCACTGATCCTTCCTAGGAGAAACAAAGTCCTTTGGTCACTTTCAGATGCAAACATGGTTTCACTTCGTAGTTACAGTGCCAGTCACCTGCAGTAGTCCAAGTGCTGAACCTGTGATGAAAGTTACATCTCCCCTCCCCACAGCTAGGACCTGCTTTGGACATCACTGCCATCGGAAGACAGTGCCATGGTGTTTTCTCTCTTTCCTGGCCTAGCAGTTCTCCATTCTGTCATTGCTAACTGAGATGTCAGAACCTGCCCAAGTCTGAGGAGTAGGGAGATGGGAGAGCACAGGAGGGAGGACAAAGAAGAGGCATTGGGCAGGTCTGCGTGTCTCCCTCTCTGGGTCTGGTGACTGATACCGACTGTTTCCCTGTGGGGCCCTTTTATGGGTTCTCCCCGTGGAGGTGCCGCTCACTGCTCTACAGGACCTTGGCCCTGGCGAATGCACCCCACCCTGCATCAGCCTCCTCAGGCCCTGCCACCCAGCACTCTGCCTCCAACTTTGCTTCCCCCAAGGTCTCTGTGCTTTGAGATAGAAGTTTTGGGCCAAGTGCAGTGGCTCATGCCTGTAATCCCAGCACTTTGGGAGGCCAAGGCGGGCGGATCACCTGAGGTCAGCAGTTAGAGACCAGCCTGGAAACACGGCGAAACCCCGTCTCCACTAAAAATACAAAAATTAGCCGGGCATGGTGGCACATGCCCATGGTCCCAGCTACTCAGGAGGCTGAGGCAGGAGAATCCCTTGAACCTGGGAGGCTGAGGTTGCAGTGAGCCAACATCATGAATAAACACTTACATTTCTACTGCCTGAACCAAGTCTTGGCAGCAGAAGGCTCCATCGTCAAAGCAGCTGAGAAGCAACAATCTCCTGCTCATTAGATTTTTGGGGGGTCTGGGTCAAAGATCAGTCTACAGTTTGAGCATAATGAGTAAGAAGTAAACTTTTGTTGTGTTAAACTGCTGAGATTTCAGTGTTAACTTGTTGCCACAGCATTACCTATCCTATATGAACTAATTCAGGCAAAAAAGGAGAGGGGGAATAAAAAATAAGAGCGCACAGTGAACATAAAACCTGAAACAAGACGGGAAGGGACTACTGCGAGCCCTCTCCTTTACTGTGAGGTGAGAGGCGGGCAATGCTCCCTCCACACCCGACCTGAGGGGGATGGGAGTCACAGTTTGGCAGCAGAGAGAACCAAAGAAATCCTTTTCACACATTCCTCTTAGTTGCTACTCTCTTCACCTTTAAATTTATTGTTTATTTATTTATTTATTGAGATAGAGTCTCACTCTGTCGCCAGGCTGGAGTACAGTGGTGCGATCTCGGCTCACTACAACCTCCACTTCCTGGATTCAAGCGATTTTCTTGCCTCAGCCTCCTGAGTAGCTGAGACTTATAGGCATATGCCACCATGCCCAGCTAATTTTTGTATTTTTTTAAAGTAGAGATGGCGTTTCACCATGTTGACCAGGATGGCCCTTCATTAGCTTTACCAAGGTGATTGAGTTTTGGGAACGGGTTATTATAATTTAAATTATAAACTAAGTCTCTCCCAAAGTTAGGTTGGCCCAAACCCAAGAATAATTAAGGACAATTTGAAAGCTTAAGGGCAAGACAAGGGGCTGGTTAGATCAGATCTCTTTCACTGCCATAATTTTCTCACTGTTACAATTTTTGCAAAGGTGATTTCAGATGTGGGACTTTCAGTTTTAAAACTGGGAAGCTCCTGGGACAAGTTGATCCCGTACATGTTTTATAAATTATCTAGACAGATTAGCATGACTTGGATACCAAAATGGGACAAGGATAGCATCAGAGAAGTATGATCCAATTTAAATATTTGCAAACTGAATCCAGCAGTTTATTAAAAAAGCAATTCAGAAAAAAGGAACAGATGTAAATGTTCTTAAATTGATAAAGAATATCTACCAGAAGTGACAGGAAAGCTCATGCTTGCATCCTGAGAAACACTGTAAGTGTTCTCAGGACAGTAGGGAGCAAGGCAAGTATGTTTGCTGTTACTGCAACTGCTTAACATTGTATAGGAGGTGTCTGCCAAGATCATGAGGACAAAAATATGCAAATATTAGAAAGAAAGGGACAAGACTGTACTCTTTGTAGAGAATACTATTGTCTATGGTGAAAACCAAATACTGATGAACAGACTATCAGAACAAATAAAAAATTCTGCGAGGTGGCTGCGTAAAGAGCTCTCATTCACAATTAATAACAAATTGAATATATAGAAAAATAAGTAACACAATTGAGGGCTTCTTATGTGACAGATTCTCCGCTACACACTTTTTTTTTTTCTTTTGAGACGGAGTCTTGTTCTGTCGCCCAGGCTGGAGTGCAATGGCGTGATCTCGGCTCACTGCAAGCTCAGCCTCCTGGGTTCAAGTAATTCTCCTGCCTCAGCCCCCTGAGTAGCTGGGGCTACAGGCATGCGCCACCATGCCCAGCTAATTTTTATATTTTTAGTAGAGACAGGCTTTCACCATGTTGGTCAGGCTGGTCTCGAACTCCTGACCTCATGATCCGCCCACCTCGGCCTCCCAAAGTGCTGGGATTATAGGCATGAGCCAATGTGCCCGGCCACGCCACACACTTTTGAATGTATTCCCTTCTATGATCCCCACAACAACTGACTTGCGCTGATGGAAATAAGTGGTAGAGACAGGAATTGAACCTACCTATTGAATCCTGAAGTGTCTTCTATCCAAAATAATTCAGGTCATCATGGCAGTGAATAAACATAAGATCCTGGTGGCAGGAACAACTCATTGTCCACCCAGATGCCTACTCTCTCTTCCGTAGGGTGGAGTTGCAGCTGGTAAATGGCTCCCAGCAGGGAGCTTGCCAGGCTCCTTGACACCTGTGTGAAGCCATGCGACTCATTCTGCAAATGAAAGCAAGCAGAAAGGATGCGGGTCACTTCTTGATCAAGGTGGTTAACAGAGGGGCATATCTTCTCCAGAGTCTCTCAATCCTGGCACTAGCTGGATGGCAAAGCCCAGGGCAATCTTAGAGACCTGGCGGTAAAGATGACAAACCCTCTCTCAGCTTTGGGTCCTGAATGGGTTCCCAAATGTGAAATAGGGTCTGCTACATAAGACAGAAACAGACTTCTTTTGTGTTAAACTGCTGAAATTGCAGAGTTATTTGTTACAGCAACTAATGTTACCCTAATTAACACAAACCTAACAAGAAATGTCCAGGATTTACATGAAAAAACTTCTAAATGTTTAGAAGACTATATGAGATTTGAAAAAAAATGGATACTATAATATACTTACGGGTAAGACAACTGATTCCTGCAAAGATATAAATTTTTCCCTAAATATCCCTACCTCAATACTTGTCTAGATGATTTTCTCATTTATTTGGAAGATTAAACAAGATGAAATAAAATTTTGAAAGAGAATAATAAATGGTAGGGGCTTCCTTAACATTGTATAGGAGGGGTCAGCTAAGATAATGAGGCCAAAAATATGCAAATATTGGAAAGTTATCAAAGGCTAATATAAGATTATGATTAAATCAGAAGTGGCCCTGGCGTGGAGATTGATAAATAGGTCAGTGGAACAGTACTGATAGACCAGAAACAGTCTCAGGCACACATGAGAATTGAGCAAATGACTAAGTCAACATTTTAAATTAGGAATTAATGGACAAAGTGGAGAATGTTGTTGAGACAATTAGGCACCCAATTTGAAAAACATATTGTGGAATAATTTCAACCTCATACCATTCTCAGAAATAAACAATTACCTTGAAGGTAAGGAAAATCAAAAAGAACATATAAAACAAAGAAAACATTCACAAATTTGATAATATTACAAGTAGTATATAATGTATGACAAGGGCACCAGAAACAAAGTAGAAAATACTTGCTATGTACATGGCAGGCAAATAATCAATAGCTGGGATATATACAACTTCTACAAATTGATAAGAAAATGATAAGTTACTCCATAGAAGAATGGGCAAGGGGTATGTACTGGTAATTCACACATAACATAGCAAATGATGCTCAGCCCCACTGATAATTAGATAATTGGATAGCAATAAAGGGGCCGGGTGGGGTGGCTCACCCCTGTAATCCTGGCACTTTGGGAGGCCGAGGCAGGAAGATTATTTGAGCCCAGGAGTTCAAGACCAGCCTGGCCAACATAGTGAGACCTCATTTCTACAAAAAATAAAGAATTAGCCGGGCATGATGGCACGCATCTGTAGTCCCACATAATCCTATACAGTATATAGGAATTAGTTTACTCATATATACTAAGAGCTATGTAGAAGGGCTTGCACTGTAGCAAGAGTGGTAATAGGAAAACTTGAAAACACCCTAAGTGCTCATTCAAAGGTCAACTCTAGAATACCATGGAGCAATAGAAAAGAATGAAGTGGTTCTTCGTGGACTGCTATGGAAATAGATATGATTCTTAGAGATAAAATACGTCATTAAGTTAAAAAGAATATTGCAGGACACTGCTTATAATGTCATTTATATAGGATAAAAATAAATAAAACCCACAAAACAAACCTTTATTTCTATATGTGCCTATATATGCCCGTAAATGCAGAGATAGTTAGAGAAGGCTCAACAACAAACTAAAGGTGGTGGGAGCCTAGGGGTGGGCGGGGAAATGGGCAGGGGGGCAGACTTGGAGACATTTGTTTCCTTGACATTGTTGGAATCTTCTACAATGAGGATGTATTTGTGCATATAATAGTATAATTTAATAAATACAAATAGAAAAAGATGAAAATCCTGAGGCTGCCACCCCAGAGATTTTTATCGGGATGGTGTATTATTTCGTTCTTGCACTGCAATAAAGAAATACCTGAGATTGGGTAATTTATAAAGAAAAGAGGTTTAATTGGCTCACAGTTCTGCAGGCTTGTACAGGAAGGATGATGCTGGCATTTGCTCGGCTTCGGAGGCCTCAGGAAACTTACAAACGTGGCGGAAGGCAAAGAGGGAGCGAGCACTTCTCATGCCTGGAGCAGCAGGAAGAGAAGGGGGAGGTGCCACACACTCCTAAACCACCAGATCCGGAGATGACTCACTCTTACCACGACAGCACCTGGGGGATGGTGTTAATCCATAAGAAATGGCCCCCACGATCCAATCACCTCCCATCAGGCCCCACCTCCAACATTGGGGATTACAATTTGACATGAGATCCAAACCATATCAGACGGTTTGGTGGGAATCAGTGTTTTTTTTTTTTGACCTCTCCTTGGGTGATTCTGAGACCGTGGGCCATAGTGAATTGCTGGCTATTGGAGACTATATATTATAGACCACAATTCATAATTCAGCTTCTTATGTGTTTTCTATAATATGTAATTCTTTTTTTTGAGACAGAGTCTTGCTCTGTCACCCAGGCTGGAGTACAGTGGCACGATCTCAGCTCACTGCAACCTCCACCTCCTGGGTTCAAGCGATTCTCCTGCCTCAGCCTCCCAAGTAGCTAGGATCACAGGCGTGTGCCATCACGCTCAGTTATTTATTTATTTATTTATTTGTTTATTTTTATTTTTTATTTTTTGTGTTTTTAGTAGAGACAGGGTTTCACCATGTTGGCCAGGCTGGTCTTGAACTCCTGACCTCAAGTGGTCTGCCTGCCTTGGCCTCCCAGAGTGCTGAGATTACAGGTGTGAGCCACCGTGCCCAGCCTATAATACGTAACTTTTTAAAATAACAGTGTAGTGCTTGTTTCTGCAACACATATACTAAAATTGGAACCATACAGAGAACATTAGCATGAGTTCCCAAGGATGACACAGAAATTTGTAAAGTATTCCACATTTTTGTTAAGGTGGTAGATTTTGTTATGTGTATTTTACCACAATTAAAGAAAATAACAGTATGAATCATTTGACTGAAACCACAGAGACAGATTTCAATAAAGTGGGGCCTTTGTCACTAATTCAAATGTCATCCGTCTCTGTTTAAACGAATGTTGGTTTTTCCTTTCGTCTTTCAGGAAAAACTCTAACTTTTCTCACTGGTAGCAGTTTTAGGTACAGACACATCTCCAGCGGCCTGTGACCCCCCAGCGCTCCACGTTTACGTGTCCCCCGCGGAATCTCTCTGACTGCTCTGTGTGAAGCACGCAGCTCCCCACCCCTTCACGCAGCCCTCTGGAGTCCAGGCATTATCCACTCTGCAGGGCCGCCCTGCTGATCTCAGGGGACGCGTCCAGCTCTCTACCCTGTGCTCCCCGTCCCGTTTTCTCTTCTGTTGGGACTCAGAAAACAGGAAGAAAGGTCTCAGGTCGAGTGAACCACAGAAGGATGTACTTGTGCATAGGAAGCAGCTCACAAGTCGGGGCAGATGGCCGGGCATGGTGGCTCAGGCCTGAAATCCCAGCACTTTGGGAGGCTGAGGCGGACGGATCACATGCGGTCAGGAGTTGGAGACCAGCCTGGCCAACACGGGGAAACCCTGTCTCCACTAAAAATACAAAAATTAGCCGGGCTTGGCGGCGCATGCCTGTAATCCCAGCTACTTGGGAGGCTGAGGCAGGAGAATTGCTTGAACCCTGGAGGTGGAGGTTGCAGTGGGCCGAGATTACACCATTGCACTCCAGCCTGGGCAACAGAGCAAGACTCTATTGCAAAAAAAAAAAAAAAAAAAAAAAAAAAAAAAAAAAAAAAAGAAATGTTGGGGCAGAAACACTGCTTTTATTATGGGATGCTGCCCCACCCCCTGCTACATAAGATATAGTATAAAGTCCCCAGTATTTTAAATTCTGATGCATAGCTGAGCCCATGAATTTCAGAGAAGCACTTTCAGTTTGTGGGCCTGGACAAGGAAAGCACTTAGAAAAGTTCCCCGCACACAATAAACACACAATAAGTGTTAACTCCTATCATGATGGCCCTACTAGTTAGCCTGGCCCATTGGGGTTGTGTTGTTCCTAGCCCAGAAAGCTTTGTCACATTCTGCACACTTAAACCCAGGTGAAGCAACCATGTCACCCTGCCAGTATGTGCACAGTCTCAGGACCAAGTCACCTTAACACAAGCCCTCCCTGTCTGCTCATCATCCTTGTCTCTTGGTTTTTCACTCCCACTCTCAGCTAGCAAAACGTGGACTCAATGTTGTCCTTATTAGCCGGACGCTGGAAAAACTAGAGGCCATTGCCACAGAGATCGGTGAGTGACCCCCCAAATAAGGGAGATGTGTGTGGAGCCCTCCAACCAAGCCTGCTCCCACCATGCCAGTTGATGTACTTGGCATCCCCACATCTGCTCTCAGAGCCTGGGGCACCAGCTCTCCTGGGGAGCCCGGTTACAAAGCAGAGGGCGGGATAGAAGGTGTCAGCTTTAGTGCACACTGGCTCTGTGGGCTGGGGGAAGCAGGAACTAACTGAGGCACAAATAGGTCTGCTCTCTCCTTTGGGTGGGTTCCTTCATTGCTACATCAGCCCTGCTCAACCTTGAGCGGGCTTTCCAATTTTTGTGCAATGATACACTGTTTTCTGAATAAGAAAGAGAGTCAATTCTCAACTAACTATACTATTTCATGGATCAATCACAGCAATGTTTGTTTGCTAAACTAATTCCTGAATTAACTAATTGCTGAATTTTAAAAATAATTACATTTTTACATATGAAAGTGTACAGCATATCCTTGAGCCAGCAGGCTGCCTGGTTGCTTCTGCCACTCCCTTCAAAAGCAAGATCGGTGTTTGGGACTTCCCTTCCCCATGTCTGTGCTCTGCTGTTGGCAGGAGGATGAGGGACAATGCTTACTGGTGTTTGTCAGATTTTATAAACAGTTTTGATCCAGGATCATCATGTAAGGATGTGGAGGTTGTACACTGTACAACCCTGAGGCAACTTTTATATCATAATGTTTTATTATGATGATTTGCTCTGAAGTGTTCTTTTGTTAATAGTGATAATCATATTTCTTTTGGGACCTTTGAATTTTAATAATTATCAATTTAATAATTAACAAACTCTTTAACTCAAAGGGATGAGACTTTAGTTATGGAGACTTGTGAAGACTATGGTGGGCTGTCAGGGGTGAGCCTTGTTTCCCTGGGGGAGATTTGGGACAGGAGATGGGTGTGGGAGGTGTGGGCTGTGCAGTCACACTGTGAAGCACAGTGCCCTTGAACCCATGAATTCTGCTTTTGTTCTGTGTCTGGATATCAGAAGTAACTTTGACTAGGACCGAGACATTCTTCAGTGTTTGCCTCACAATGCTGAAATGTGCTTTTTATCATCCTTTTGAAAAGCAAGTAGTGTCTTTGGACTGAAAGCATTGTCCACCCCCAAACTATGCCTCAAGATTGCTTGGCCCACTCCAAAGCAAAGCAGCTCACCAAGCCACTGGTAAACTCTGTAGCTTTCACATCTGACGGAAAACTCCCGCAGAAGGCAAGTTAACACAGAGTAGTGGGGAGCGCATTGAACGTGGAGTGACCAGAGAGTGGATGGTCTTGGCTACGTCAGTTAGCTTCTCTGAGCCTTCATTTTCTCCTCTGGAAAATGAAAGTCATAATGCCTACTTTAGAAGGTTGTAGGGACAATGACCATAAGACATTGTGTATGTAAATGCTCTGTGAATGCTAAAGCATTGGACAAATACAAAGAGTTGTTGGGTCTGTGTGGAGGAGACTTGACACTTGTGAGCAGAGGCAGTGTCAGACCTTGCTTTTACAGCTGTCAGTCTGGGGTCTCGAACTTGAGCAAGCAGCAGAGTCCCTCGGAGGTGTGTTAAGCAGGTGGCTGGCTGGGCTCCACCCACAGAGTTTCTGATGCAATAGGTCTGGGGTAGAGCCCGAGAATTTGCATTTCTGGCAAGTTTCCCTGTAACCCTGATGCTGTGGTTTGTGGACTCCACTTTGAGAACCGCTGCAGTAAATCTATCTTAATGCATATACGTGTCCCTGCAGTAACTCTTAGAGACACGTAGGAACCACCATTCACCAATCTTAGCACCTCCCAACATTTACCCAGAACCATGTCCCATTTTTATTTGGGGCAATGGGCTGTCCTCTTCAATGTCTGCTCAGGTAATACAGGAGCACTGGGGGAAACTTCATGGGCGAGGGGGCATTTGGATCCCTGTTCATTAAAAAAACTGTTGTCTCTCGTGTAGAGCGGACTACAGGGAGGAGTGTGAAGATTATACAAGCAGATTTTACAAAAGATGACATCTACGAGCATATTAAAGAAAAACTTGCAGGCTTAGAAATTGGAATTTTAGGTGAGTAAATTGCAAGATGCAAAGCTTGTTGTCATACATCAGTGAAATAACCTGACACTGATGAGTGACATTTGATTATTTCATGGTGATTTATACTCAAACCATGACTGTATTTTAAGCTGTCCCATTAAGTTGAATATCAAAGCACACTTCTTCTAGAGGCATTACTGAATAAAAAAATTTATATATTGGTTTGGAATGTATCAAACATACATATTTCAACCCCCAACTATATTTTCTTTTCTTTTTTTTTTTTTTTTGAGATGCAGTCTCGCTCTGTCACCCAGGCTGGAGTGCAGTGGTGTGATCCCGGCTCACTGCAACCTCTTTCTGCCAGGTTCAAGTGATTCTCCTGCCTCAGTCTCCCAAGCAGCTGGGACTACAGGCGCCTGCTACCATGCCCAGCTAATTTTTGTATTTTTAGTAGAGATGGGGTTTCACCATATTGGCCAGGCTGGTCTCAAACTCCTGACCTCGTGATCCACCTGCCTCGGCCTCCCAAAGTGTTGGGATTACAGGTGTGAGCCACTGCACCCGGCCGGACCAACTATATTTTCTAATATTAAAATGAATTTTCTTTTATGGAACTGACGTTGACATTTGGCAGAAAAAGAATCCCAGAAACATTGGCCTAAAGGAATTAGTTTAGCAAACAAACATTGCTGTGATTGATCCATGAAATAGTATAGTTGAGAATTGACTCTCTTTCTTATTCAGAAAACAAGATAATATTTATTTCTGTAATGATTTATAGACAAGATACTTTACGGCCGCGTGCACAGTGCAGTGTTTATGGTATATATAGAAGAAAGTCAAATTGGATTTCTAAACCTTCTGCTGAATTTTAAAAATAATTACATTTTTACATATGAAAGTGTACAGCATATCATTGCAGAAAAATTGGAAAGAATAGACAGGCTAATAAAATAAATATGAATCTCTTAAAATCCCAATATTCTGAGGTAGCATTTTGGTGCACATTTTTCTAATCCTAAACACACATATTTTCAAAACTGGAATTATACGTATGTGCTGTTTTGTCATATATTTTTAAAAAACTTACATCATGCATGTTCTCCCATGTAAGCAGCCCAGCCATAGTTTTTAATGACTACACTGCATTCCAACATATGACAACCCCATGATTCATTGAAGGTGTCTCCTATTACTGGACAAAAACTTCCCCCCAGTTTCCTCACCGTTACCAAATCATGCTGCGATGAACAACCTTACATGTCAATCTTTTTGTACATGGTTCTTTGGGAAAATCTCCCACCTGATCTTCTGACACATTTTTGTTTTGCTTCTTTCTGCCAGTCAACAATGTCGGAATGCTTCCAAACCTTCTCCCAAGCCATTTCCTGAACGCACCGGATGAAATCCAGGTAGACTTGTGCTCTTCTGTGTATAGATTCCTCTTATCCAGGTTCTGGGTCCCCTGGCTGGGTAATGAGTCAGGCCTGGGAAGGCGTGATGGAAGCATGCATCTGGCCGAAATCCTGGACTGTATGTATTGAGGCCCCCTTTCCTCTTCACCTTAGCACTCGATCCACAGTCAAGAGTACCACTTTTCACGATATCTCTAGGATATGGACATCTTCCTCCTTCTCTGCACATCAAAACTTACCTGTCCATTGTCCTATGCTTCTGGGGTGCTGCACTCTACTTTATAAAGGGTAATTCTGCCTAACACATTCGCAGCTGTGAACATATATGGGAGAAGACCAGCTCTTTGGCTTTCTCTGTCTTCCCAGGTACTAAGATTTGTGTAACTTTCAGTGTGAGGGAAGTATATGACACAAACTCTATGGCTGGCAGGATTGTAAGTTCAGTAAACTTGGCTCAGACCCATGACTGCCATTGTTGGTTGGGAGTACATTTTTAATGGATTTAACAGTTCTTTTTTTTTTTTTTTGAGATGGAGTCTCCCTCTGTCGCCCAGGCTGGTGTGCGGTAACATGATCTCGGCTCACTGCAACCTCTGCCTCCCGGGTTCAAGCGATTCTCCTGCCTCAGCCTCCTGAGTAGCTGGGACTGCAGGCGCCTGCCACCACGCCCAGCTAATTTTTGTATTTTTAGTAGAGACGGGGGTTTCACTATGTTGGTCAGGCTGGTCTCGAACGCCTGACCTCAGGTAATCCACCTGGCTCGGCCTCCCAAAGTGCTGGGATGACAGGCGTGAACCACTGCGCCCGGCCGCATTTAACAGTTTTTGAAGGCACAATTTGTTGACCCTTTCTTAGGCCCTGACCTTTGGAGTCATTAGGGCTACACCAATCTGAACAGGCTCTCATGCTTCCATTCCCCACTTCTGCAGGTATCCCATCGTCCTGTGTAAGCCCCGAGTCTGCTGCACCGGGTGATAATGCCAGACTGCTTGGGCGCTGCTGCACATCCTCACCAAACTCCTGAACTCCTCTCTGGACCACACATCTCCTGTGTGGGCTCTGTCTCCCACACTCTGTTTCTGGCACAAATCTACGTCTCTTCAAGAAGCAAGTTCCAGGGTTGCTCCTCTGCCTGTGTGTGTCTGTGTTTGTGCTAGTGTCTGTGTCCGTCCTCTTGTCCTTTCTCTTTATCTTTGGTCATTCTAGTGGTTTCTTTACCTGCCCTCCATAGCCCAGAACCTCTACCTTATATTATACAACCATTTGTCTTTCTGTTCTCCTGGACTCACATAGGCTAACCCCTCTTCCTCCAGCTGAGAATGGAGTAGCTCCCTTTGAAAAACCGTATTTATATTCCTCCAGGAATATAGTTCCGAGTTTTCCAGGAAACTCTTAATTGATGTCTAGTCAAGATGACGTGGGTACAGAATGACAGAATGGGAGTCAGATGTTTCTTGATGCTAGTACATGCTTGCTGGAAGGCAGTTATGAGCCTAATTTGCAGGGTGAGTGATGAAACCGTTCAGACATGCACTTTTGCCCACTTCATGGTTCTTTAGCACCAACTACTTTCCAGGAGAATTTCTCTAATCATCCGGCTGATGTGTGGTTGTGATTATTTATTACAGAGCCTCATCCATTGTAACATCACCTCCGTAGTCAAGGTATGTGATCAATATATGTGCGAAATGCATTAACATGTAGTAACTTGAAATTTGGCAACTCAGGAGAATTGTGCCCATCCACTGTAGAAGCAGGATTCTTTGAAATCGAACCACACTTAGTTGAGAGGCCATGTCGTGGTCTTGTAATTGTCTTGTTCTGTTTTTCATCTAGAAAATACAGTAATGGATTCAACTCTCCCTTGTATCTGAATTCTATTTCTGCTTTCAGTTTTGTCACACGTTGGAACATACTAAGCTCGATGATGCTGAAACGTATTCAGGATTCCAAGGCAATTCTAAAAAAAATTAGTATCTTCCTCTAATTTTAGGCTTTGTAGATAGAGGAAAGCTCACTCTGGAAAACTGACGGAGGGCGTGGCTTGGATTTTCTGGACTTTTGTTGTTCAATAAATATTTGTTAAATCAAAGCTCAAATTCATCTGTGTTCTGGTCCCAGCACAGCTACTAATTAGTTGGACAGCATTGGACAAGTTATGTAGCCTCCTTGAACTTAACGTTCTGCATCTGCTATTAAAAGGCTGTGGATTGGCTGGGCGTGGTGGCTCATGCCTGTAATCCCAGCACTTTGGGAGGCCGAGGTAGATCACCTGAGGTCAGGAGTTGGAGACCGTCCTGTCCAACATGGTGAAACCCTGTCTCTACTAAAAAATACAAAAATTAGCCGGGCATGGTGGCAGGCACCTGTAATCCCAGCTACTCAGGAGGCTGAGGCAGGAGAATCGCCTGAACCAGGCAGGCAGAGGTTGCAGTGAGCTGAGACTGTGTCACTGCAGTCGAGCCTGGGCGACAGAGAAAGTCTCTGTCTCCAAAAAAAAAAAAAAATGGCTGTGGATCAAGAGATGTCTTAGGCACCATTCAGCATTCAAGTTCTTTGGTGAGGGTCAGCTGCACAAAGATGTATAGCATGAGTCCCTCAAAGCTATCCTATGTAGACAATTTAGAGAAAGGTACTGTTTAAGAATGGACACAGCTTGAGGCTGTGTGACTTGGTGAGTAGATGAGGATTTTGTGTGAATGACGTGTTCCCCCTTCCTCTGGGGATAAAGCCCTCTTCCTCTACTAGGACACGTGGCTTGTGAGTGAGCTCTGAGCTTCCCACCTGCACTAACCCCACACCTTGCTCAGTACACAACATTCACAGCTGTATATGGCAGCCTTGATGACCACTCTGGAAGGTCAGTAGGACTGCAGTGATAAGTAAAGTCTGATTCCTGATTTCAAGGAGCTGGGACCCTGGTTGGAGACTAGCAGAAGGCTCAGTCTCACCCATCTGAACAACATGGACTGGAAGTAGGGGAGGACAGATTTCCCAAAGAAAGCCAGGTTGCTGTTAAGATAAGGAGGGGAAATGGAGGCAGAGTAGACAAAAAATTTTTTCTTTTCAGGTGAATAAGTTGGGCGGACAATAACTATTTGGTTGTTTTTCTATAAGCATGCTGGTATTTTATGGTTTCTTGCTCAGTTGCTATTGGGTACACACATCTTTTTGTGCTTAGCAATTGATGGCTTTTTGGAGCCCCCAGCTGATGTAATTATGAGTTTTATATGTCTAACTGTCATCTGCAGCCTTACCACTAAAGTCTTTCACGTTATTTTACAACTGACCTTTTAGTCTTGGGCTGTTTGATCATAGGTATTTCCCAAATGCACTTGACAACCCTCTGACTCCTTTAGCAGAGAAATGCTTTGATTTGTTTAAAAAAATTATATATTGATAAACACTAAGTTCCCTAAGTATGAAATAAAATAAATTGAAGTTTAGCTTCTAAGTATACCACGCCCCAGTGAACCATGCTGGTTAGAAGCATGACTAGTGAAGCTGCACTATTTTAAAGAAGCCGTCTGGAGATAGTCGAGTTCTCTTTCGGGGCAGGGATGGGAGAATATGCATTTGAGGGCAAAGGGAAGGTGGAATAAGAAACTGAACATTGGAAGCCTTGAGGCGGGGACCCACGAGATTCAGTGTTGTCTCTCTCATTGGGATCATTCAGCCAACAGGGCTAGTGAGTTCATTCGGGAGGCTTCGAGGCAATGTGGGTGCTGGCTGACAAGGCTCATATAATATCCCTATGAAGTCATTCACGGAAAGCGGTCTGACACTATCTCGCCCCTCATCCTCCCTCTTCTTCCCCAAAATCCAGTGTTGCAGAGGCAGCCCAGTGGTTCTAGAGAGCCCCACCCCCTCCACTGCCCTGGCCCCCTGGCCCCCCAGCAGCGAAGACATTCCCTGGAGGCTCTGAGACAGGCTGGGGCCTGGCCTGGGAGTGGGCACCTCTGAGGAGCTGCTGCAGGGCCCCTGGACAGCATGGAGAAATGGGCAGCCTGTGTCTTCCGGTCCCCAGGTGCCTTGATGTCTCCACCCCTCTCCTTTCACTTGGGTCCCTTGTCTCAAACCTGCTGCAGTCAGGATCTGCTCCAGGCCTGCCAGGCCTGATTGCGGTCAATTCTACTTCAGAGAACATTTCAGTCCATGGGGTTGCCTCTTCCTTCATTTGTAAAATGTGTACCTTGTAATTTTGAAACAAAAAGTTCTTTTAGGCTCCTGAAATGGCAGAGAAGACCTTTTCAGGGGTCTCTAGGCTGGGAGGGGGAAGGGGCCTCTCAAGGCTCTTGTAATTCCAATACACAGGAGTGGCCATGCACTGTGTCCACGGAGCTATTTCATAGCCTAGCTGCAGGCTGCGTAAGCGGTTGCTGTTGAATCAAAGAGGTGTCCTTCTCTCTACAGAGTCTTGTTAGGTTTCCCCATAGTTCCCCAATTCCAACTCATGGCCAGTCCACTTTTGCCTGTCCCACAGAATGAAGAGTATCATGGGAACCTCAGTGTTGGTCCCACAGCTGTAAGCCAATTCCCCCAATTTTTCACTGCCCTCATTTTCCAGGAAGACATTAGCTTTAGGGGGAAGAAATCAGAGGCCCCAGAGCAGCCTGTCATTTGTCTAGGTTGGCTCCTGTGGGTTCCAGGCAGACTCTAATGTGGCCAGAGTGACCTCCAATGAGTGCCAGCAATTTTCAAGGCCGTCTGAGAAGATGAGGCTCTTTCCCAGCTTCCTCCCGCGCTCCCTTCCCTGTTTCCATCCCGCCCCCTTGCACTGCTACTTAGTTCCTTGTCGGGCTTACCTTTGGCCTTCTCTTGTAGATGACACAGCTAATTCTGAAACATATGGAATCAAGGTAAGGCCTTCTTCAAAAAAGTGTGGAGCAACATGGCCTCCCTGCCCTGGCGGTCAGCTAACTCAGGGACTGGGGACACAGAGTCCATCTGGCTGTGCTTTAACAAACGATAACAGCTATGATGAAAGCACACGGTGATTATGGGAAAAAAAACATAACGTTCTGGGCCAGGCCAGCTCTGCAGACAGACAAGCTCATGTGAAGGTCAAACGTAACACACATTGGAGGGAGGAAGAGAACGGCAGTTTCAGCACACACTGGATTAAAGAAAAATTAACTAATGTTGAGTGTAAAAGAAAACTTCAGAAGTTGGCCCGAGATCAAGACCATCTCTTTGTTAGGAATTTCAGCTTTTGTCAGAGAGAATACTCCAATTTATTGTGAAAATCACTGCCCTGTCAGCTCCTCCACTTATTCCATATTTATGTCACCCTATTCCAATGCCCATTTGGGAGTTGGTTTTTCTCAGGTGTGTTCATTAAAAGCAAATGCTTGATAGCTTATCTTCCCTAGAGGAAGAAGGGGCTTGGCCTTGGATTCTAATTTGCAGTTTCTTGTCCCCTGCCCCTCCATTGTATCCGTCTAATTGGGAAGGATTAAGAATATTAAATTTCAAAAGGACAAGTAAGGCTCCTGGAGACTTGCATAGGGTATCTGTGTGAGCAGGTCCTGTACTGTGAAATTCTATCCAAGACAATATTCCACCATGTGACATCTGTCCAGCTGTGGGTCCTGAGTCCAAAGGGACCGGCAGCTCATGTGGTCACATTTAAGGGAGAAGGATTCTCTCCCCTTAAATCCTGAGCTGAGCTGGTTATCAGTATTTTGGTGGAGAGACCTCAGTTGTAGCACAGCCTGTTTCCAAGAGCAAGCCCCTCACATTATATGATGTCACATGACTGCCAGGTGGCATCACTGTGCGGCGGAAATCCAGACATCTCTGTGTGGCGCCCTCCAGGGGAAGGTAGGGGAAGTTCACTTACCATTCCTAGAAGCAGAGCCCCTAGCACTTGCGGAAGCCTAGAAAGGGTCGAGTCCGGCAGTGTTCACACGGGACCCTTTGTTTTCTTTGTACTCAAGGTCAGGTAGGGCAACAAAGCCATGGGAACTTTGCTTCTTTGCCTTTCAGGCAGAAAGGTCTCATCCTGAACATTTCTTCTGGGATAGCCCTGTTTCCTTGGCCTCTCTACTCCATGTACTCAGCTTCCAAGGTGAGTGATGTCATGACTTCCAAGTCTCTTCCTTCTTCCTCTTATTTCTCCCAGTTGGCAATTTCCTTTGATCATCTGGCAAGTTGATGGAAAGGTTTACCTGGAGATGCTCTCTTATGTGCAGGGCTGAGCTACTCACTGGGAAGTCCAAGAGAAAATTAGAATAAAGCACCTGCTCTGGGCACACGAAGCCCTGCGGTGCACAACTTGGCCAGCCTCCGGGGATGCCTGCCCCACTCACCTCCTCTGGGAGCCCTTGCCATCTTCCTGCTGACAAGTGACACTGTAGCTTCCTTCCAGACTGGGAGATCTAGCCTGGTGTCCCCATGCCCTAGTCATAAAAACAGCCTGAGGAGGAGGGGGCGCTGTACAAGGGAGGTTAATCTATGCAGGGGCCCTAGGGATGGATTTATCCCAAAACAGATTTTCCTGCTGAGTGGGAGGTCCTCTTCCCAGACCGGGGGATGAAGTGCTAACTCCCATCAAGGCAAGCTGGTTCATTTTTTCCCTTACCCTCTTTCTGCCCCACTCTCCAGCTTTATTAAGGCGTACTTGACAAATAAAAATTGTGTCTATTTATAGTATGCAAGGTGATATTTTAATATATGTATATGTTGTGAAACGATCAAGTCAAGCGAATTAACATATCCATGACCTCACATACTTACCGGTTTTTTTTTTGTGGTGAGGACCCCTGAGATCTACTTGCTTAGTAATTTTCAGGTATGTTGTCTATGATTGTTAGCTTTTGTCACCATGCTGTATAGTAGATCTCTAGAACATATTCACCCTGTGCAGCTGAAACTCCGTACCCTCCGTACCCAGAGCTCCCCACTCTATTTTAAGGTCTAGCAGGTAGTGTGTCTGCAGTGCCCCTTGAAGTCAGAGGAAGTTGGCTCTGACGAGGGAGCTCACTCTGGGGCCTCAGGTGTCTCTCCTTCTTGCTCCAGGCGTTTGTGTGCGCATTTTCCAAGGCCCTGCAAGAGGAATATAAAGCAAAAGAAGTCATCATCCAGGTGAGGTGGGCAGCTGTGGAGTCCTTGTCATCATCCAGGTGAGGTGGGCGGCTGTGAGTCCTTGAGAAGGGTTACTCTGGACCTCCCGTGGCTGGGGCCACTGCCTCCTGTGGGTCTGGCTGCTCATGTGTGGTCAACAGGAAGATGAGCTGGGGATGCCACGTGGGCTTTTGGGGCGCCTCAGTCCCACCTGCTGCTGTGGCTTCTGTTGCCCTCCCCCGTGCCCTGGGTGCTGGAGGAGGAAATAGGAGAGGGGAGTGGCTGCTCAGAAATGCTGTGGACCTTCTTGCTACCTGATGCTTCATCAGAGCAGACATTCGGGTTGGTTGTGGCTTTTCCTCTCTGACCCTGGTACAGAACACAGGCTTATGTGGGAGGAATTCTGGAGAAGAAGCAAACAAAACAAAACTGGGCACTTGATCCGAGTTTGAATGAGGGGAGGGGCTAGTCACCAGGGGAGGGGACCTTCTGTGATGGGCCACAGAGGTCCCCACACTCTGGTTCTCGAGCAGGTGAGGAGGAGGCACTCTGCTTCCCTTCCACAGGTCATCGTGGAGATGACCTGTCCTCACCTAGGCAGAGCTGGGCTGTCACTGCCTGCTGCAGGCTGAGCAATGTGATTCCTAAAGTGTCAGTGATTTATTTGTGCTTGGTTCAGCAACAGAGTTAGAGTTAGATAGTTTCTGGAACGTAGAATAAACAGAGTTTTTGTTTTGTTTTGTTATTGTTGTGTGGGAAGAAGTTTTACGATATACTATTAGAAATGGAGAAAGGCACACTCAAAATTATATCTTGGAAATTATTGCTGCGCACACTGATTTTCAATTAAAATATCCAGTGAGAGTATTTTAGGCAGCTGTTCCTATAAACTAACCAGCTACAGGGTAAAGCTTATTAAGTAGGCAGATATGAGTTAATGGTAGGAATTTGGCCAATAATATCATCTCTGAGCCATAGTGAGTGGTTGTAACAGCCTTGCCACCGGGTCACAGTCCCTTTCTCTGCCATGCAGAAGCCGTCTGACCCATCAGAGGGTCCTGCTTCCATGCTGGGGTCTCCGTGCTCCCACTCCCAGCTGAAGCTGGAGTTTCGCTTTTGTAATGCTGCAACTCTGTCTGGGCTAAGTTTGCTGCAGTAAAAAAATAACCCCTAAAATCTCAGTGGCTTAAAACAACAAAGTCCTATTTTGCATTCACGTGACACATCCACTGTGGGTTCACAGAAGACATTGGCTCACTGTGCTGACACAGGGCCCCAGGCTGACGGAGCAGCCGACATGCCAGAGGAAAAGGAGTGGGAAGTTCTAGTGGGTCCTGCTTTGACAATGAAATGCTCTGGCCCAGAGATGACACATGTCACCTCTGTTCATAAATCACTGGCCAACTCTGCTTGCATGGTCCTACACAGCCACAGGGGGCCAGGAAGTGCAATTCTATTATGCATGTGTCTGGAAGAAGAAGGAACCAAGAATCCTTGGTGATTTCTAAACATGAATGATCATCGCAGCCACCTGCTTCCTAGCCATGTGACCCTCAGCAGCATCTTGTCTTGATCCTTGGGGCACAGCTGCCGAGGTAGTGGGTACTATGGAGCAGGAGGGTCAGGAGGAGATGTGGGTGGGGAAATGGAGTCCCTTGTCCCTTCCCTGATGCAGAGAACTTGGAGGTGCTCTTCTAGCAAGGAGGAGAAAGTGAAAAGACTGTGATCTTTCAAAAACCAATTGGCCTCTCCGAACACACACTCAATAAATACTCGCTGAATGAATAAATACTCGCTGAATGCATGAAGAAGTATGTACTGTGGAGTTGGGTTTGAATTTCATCACAGCTCTACCACTTATCATCTGAGTGATCCTGGTCAGCTTGTTTAAACTCTGTGAGCCTCAGTTTTCCCATCCATAAAAAGGGGCTTATAATGCCTGCTTATATCTCTGGGTTATAGTAAAGATCTAACGAAGAAATAAGTACATATGTTTAAACAATATTTATTGAGCCCCTATTTTGTACATACAGGTGTTTTGTCAACCCAAAATCACTTAAGAATGAAAATACTTATCATTACTTCCCTATCTGGAAACTGTGGTGGAGAAAGCACACTCCTTATATTTCTCAAAGAGTAACACTTTGAGATCCTTGGAAGAAAAGTGTTATACAAATTAATCATGCTTTAATTTCCATAGGAACCTGCTCATTTGGATTAATTGATTCATAATTGGGTTCAATTATGAAATAATGTAATTCCAAATGTGATGTGAAGAAAAATAAAACCTAGAAAACTTTTGTGGATTTTTTTTTTTACTTTTTCTTTTCTTTCTTTTCTTTCTCTTTCTTTCTTTCTTTCTTTCTTTCTTTCTTTCTTTCTTTCTTTTTCTGTTCTTTTCTTTTTTTTTTTTTGACAGGGTTTCACTCTGATGTAGCCTAGGCTGGAGTGTAGTGGCACGATCTTGGCTCACTGTAACCTCTGCCTTCCAGGTTCAGTGGATCCTCCTGCCTCAGCCTCCTAAGTAGCTAGGACTACAGGCATGTGCCACCGTGCCTGACTAATTTTTCTATTTTTAATGGAGATGAGGTTTTGCCATGTTGCTCAGGCTGGTCTCGCACTCCTGGGCTCAAGCAATCGTCCTGCCTTGGCCTCCCAACATGCTGGGATTACAGGCATGAGTCACCATGCCAGCCTTTTTTCTTTCTAAAGATGCCAAACCCTTTGTTCTGGGAATAAGGTAATAAAACCCCATTATGAATCCCCATGCCAGGCCACAATGTGGTTAGCCCACAGGTGGAAACATGGTGTTGGGTTTTTAGGGCACAATGTGTGATTGTTTTTCTTACCACAACAGGAAGAGGTTATGAGGTATGTGCTACTCTTGGTTCCTAACTGAAGTGTGAAAGTGGGAATCCAGAGTGCTTTCAGTTGCTCCAACTTTGGTTATATGTATTAGAAACAAACTTCTGAGATAGAGTTGCCAGATTAAATACAGGACCTCCAGTTAAATTTGAATTTCAGATGCCTATGAATAGTTTTCAGTATAAGTATGTCCCATGCAATACTTGGGATACGATTGTGCTGAAGTGGTTTTCATTGTTTGTCTGAACTTCAAATTTAACTGGACATCCTGTATTTTTATTTGCTGTCTTGCAACTTGGTTCTGAGAGAGAGACCCGAGTTCTTCCCATTCACACTGTGTGTTGGGCAGGGCATTTGGGCCACTTGATGTTGGCTAGGTAGGTTCTCATCTTGAGAAACCAAATTTCTGATTCCCAGCTCTGTGCCGGTACTGTGCCTTTTTCCACTCAAGATCTTAAAACTTTGCCTAGGAAGAGAAGGGTCGGGAAATGGTGGGATGGGGGCTTGAGTGTTAATTTCTGAGTCTTCTTCCTGGGGTGGATTGCTTCTGTGCCATGGTCTTTGTTTCCCGTTGTAGGTGCTGACCCCATATGCTGTCTCGACTGCAATGACAAAGTATCTAAATACAAATGTGATAACCAAGACTGCTGATGAGTTTGTCAAAGAGTCATTGAATTATGTCACAATTGGAGGTGAAACCTGTGGCTGCCTTGCCCATGAAATCTTGGTAATTGATAACTTCTCCTTTTCTTGAAGCCAGGGAGGGAGGACACGCAGGTGGCCCTGGCAGGGCTGGGCTAGCTCTTCCTTGCTGCTGGAGCACTCATTGATGCGTTAATATAGCCAGGTACAAGGACTATGTGGCGAGGTGGAGAGAAGCCGGAGCCTGGGAGCTCAGCCACTAGATAACCCCGAAGTTGGCAAGTCTCATTCTTGGCTGCCTCCCTCCTCCCCTCAGAAAGTAAGGTGGCTCCCAGGAGCTGTTGGGCAGGGAAGACCAAGATATATGGCGCTTCCACGTGGGGGCTGCTGTCTTCTCTTGACCCTCTATTCCAGTCAATGTTTAGCTATCAGCCCTCCAGGCAAAAAAACAAAACAAGCACAAACCACTTTGATGTGTAGCATTTGACTTCCACGGTATAAATACTTCCAGCATGGCTGAGTTTAAGCCACGGACATGACGCTGTGTGCATGAATTGAGGAGTGCATGGTGCACAGAGGGCTCTTTTTTTAGTTTTCATTTTTATTTTACTTTAAGTTCCAGGATGCATGTGCAAAACGTGCAGGTTTGTTACATAGGTATACATGTGCCATGGTGGTTTGCTGCACCTATCAACCCGTCATCTAGGTTTTAAGCCCTGCTTGCACTAGGTATTTGTCCTAATGCTCTCTCTCCCCTTGCCCCCCACCCCCCGACAGGCCCCGGTGTGTGATGTTCCCCTCCCTGTGTCCATGTGTTCTCATTGTTCAACTCCCACTTATGAGTGAGAACATGTGGTGTTTGGTTTTCTGTGTCTGTGTTAGTTTGCTGAGAATGATCGCAGTGGGCTCTTATGAGTGAGTGCAAGCCAGCTCCAGCATGCCACAGATCCAGCATATGGCAGAAGAGGCTCTTACCACTCCTGGACTGCTTTTAAAAACAAACACAAACATGAAACAAAGGTAGACTTGAGTATTGCTCACTAATACTGAAGCAAACATAACATTGGCATAGCTCTGACTCCAGTCCCACCAAAGAAAGTTAGATGGGGTTTCCTCACTTACCCATCATCTGCCAATTTCCTCCTCTGTCTCATTGGCTTTTCTACTGCAGGAATTGGATCTCTCTCTGTCTTTCATGGATGGTAGAAGGATTCATGGCTCCATGCGCTAAAGTCTACCAAAGCATTCCTTTATCTGCTGGGACTTAAAGACTCTGGCAAGAGATATTGAACTTTCTCAATTACTTGCTATTTTTATGTAGAACCTCAACAATGTGCATAATCACCAATGTAACTCACACTACAAAGCAGACATGCAGAGAGGATATAAAGTCTTTATTTTTTCTGTTGCTGATCTGGTCTTTTTCCAGATCACCACTTGCTGCAGGAAAATTCATCGAATGTCCAATGAGTCTAAACTGAGTTTGATCTAGTCATCTCAACTGGCCATTTAGGAAATGTACTCTTAGTCTGTTATTTAGGGAGAAATGTTCATCCTTCCCTGGAGGCTCCCTTCTTCCTGCCCCTCTCACTAGGTGGCGCTGGGAGAGGATGCCCTGTGGTCCATGACGGTCCTTCCATGTGTGTGGGCTGGTGTCCTGGGTGGCTGTTCACCTTGCTGAAGTTTATGTCTGTCAAGGATGAGGGAGATGAACCTTTCTGTCCTTTTGACTTGGCCAGTGGATACCCTGATAAGGTCTCCCCAGCTACTGAGGGCAGCAGACTGCTGTACTCTGCCACATCCCCCTCCAGCTACAGGCCCAAGGTCCATCTGCAGCTTTGATCCACATAGACCTCTGGCTGCTATCTCTACATCAGCACCAACGTGGACCTGAAGGAAGCTGGAAAAACCAAATCTCAGCACCTGTCTCACCATGCTGAGATAATTTCCTGTGGTTGGACTGCAGAGGAGTGGGGGCCATGGCCCCTTCTTTGCCCTCAGTGCCACCCTTACTCATGAATCACACTTCTCCATCCTTCATGCGCCAGGCCTTATCCTTCAGCCCCCAGCCTAGGCCAGAGCTCACACCCGACAGAGGACACACTTCTGACCACGCCTTTCTCTTTCTCTCCTCCCACTTCCCACTATCTCCAGGAAAGAAAAATTACAGATCTTTTTTTTTTGAGATGGAGTCTCGCTGTTGCCCGGGCTGGAGTGCAGTGGTGCGATCTTGGCTCACTGCCGCCTCCACCTCCCAGGTTCCAGCGATTCTCCTGCCTCAGCCTTCTGAGTAGCTGGGATTACAGGTGCTCTCTGCCACAACTGGCTAATTTTTGTATTTTTAGTGGAGACAGGGTTTCACCATGTTGGCCAGGTTGGTCTCCAACTCTTGGCCTCAGGTGATCTGCCTGCCTTGACCTCCCAAAGTGCTGGGATTACAGGCGTGAGCCACCACACCCAGCCAAAACTACAGATTTCTTGTGCACTTTCTCGGTGTCACAGCTTAGCCCTCTCCAGTGGGGATGGCATCCCTTCCACCTTCAGGAGGACACTGTGACCTTAGTCCTCCAGGATGCTGATGGCTTAAACAGAACTCATCAGCATCTGAAAAATGTTTCCTTGTAGAAAAATAAACATTTTATTTTTATAAAAATGGAATAAAATTTTATTTTATCTTGACACAGGGTCAAAGTTGAATATTTTATTTAATTTTGACATAGCCATGTTGCCCAGGCTGGAGTGCAGTGCAGGATCACAACTCACCGCAGCCTCTTTGAACTCCTGGGCTCAAGATTTCCTCCCACCTCAGCCTCCGCAGTAGCTGGGACTATAGGCACATGCCACTACATCCAGCTAATGTTTTAATTTTTTTTTTGGTAGAGACTGGGGCTCACTTTGTTGCCCAGACTGGTCTTGAACTCCTGGGCTCCAGCTATCCTCCCGCTTTGGCCTCCCAAAGTGCTAGGATTACAGGTGTGAGCCACTGTGCCCGGCCTGAATATTTTCTTGACCTTTCCTTTTAATTTCTTAGATAACAGATTCTAATTTCTTCAGGCAAACAGTTGCCAAGAACAGACCAGGAAAAGGAGTTTTTGTGCCTGGTGAAATAGGAGAGAAAATAAATGAAAATACGTTAATCATTAAAGCCAATTTCGAGTTTGCCAGGATTTAGAAAGATCATTGTATCTAAAGAGAGAGGCAACCATGTATCATCAAATGGTAAATAAGCGACCCTTTTATTACCAAGAGGCCAGGCAAAGATAGCACGCCCTCCACCCACAGGGAGCATGGGGCTGGGACCGAGGCAGGAATGGAGCCCCTACCTACAGAGACCCTGTCGTGCTTGGAGGCTTCATGCATGTTGCCTCACTTAGTTGTCCTAATAATCTTGTGAGATAGGACTTAGAGTCACCCTTTTACAATGGAGGAAAACAAAGCTCAGAGCTGCAACAGCTGGCCCATGGCCACCCAGCTGGTAATGGTGAAGCTAGAATTTAAGTCTGCTTTTGTCTGGGGCCACAGCCTTTTCTGGCTCCTACATGGCCCTTCCAGGCTGGGAAGGGGTAGACAAAGATGGAGATGGAAGAGGGACTCTTTTAGGACTTTTTAAAGGGGGCTGGAATTGTAATTTATTTTGCTTATTTTCTTTATGGCTGACCTCACTATGGCAAAACATTTAGTTCAAGACAGAGCTACTGAAAGGGCTTGACTTTGCTGTGAGATAAGAAAGCTCGGAGAGAAAAATGAAGTTCTTGAGGAAGAAGTTGTGTTGATTCAGCGACGTGGCTAGTGGGAGGAGAGGTCAGCTTTGGCTCCCAGAAGCTGTCATTAGTCCCTTGTCTTCAAATATCTCAGAGGAATGCAGAGATCTGAGGATCTGAGCTGGCTGACAAAACATGAATAGCTCCCCTAAAAGCTCAAGTTTTCCTCTGGTTGGAATCCTGTTGTTCTGTAGGGAATAGGTGGATTGAGGCATGTTGGATTAATAAAGTTATGCTGTGAATCATTATGAAATGATTGCTTCTGGGGTCCTGGACCCCAGAACTGTGCAAGACACAGTTGCAATTTGGTGGCAAGGAATCTTTCAAGGCCCGTACCTACAGCCTGAAATACATTGAACTGAAGGCTTCCCCCTCTTTGAAAAGCAAGTGCTGCATGTTGATAATCTATACCTTTCTGTGACTGACTTCCATTCATCCAGGCTTCACGTATTTCCTTAGCGCCCACTATGCCTTGGAGTTGTGCCAAATGATGGAAAGCCTTTCTGATTCTCTCCTGGATCCTCATTTTATTTATTTATTTATTTATTTATTTATTTATTTATTTATGACAGACTCTCGCTCTGTCACCCAGGCTGGAGTGCAATGCTGTGATCTCAGCTCAATGCAACCTCTACCTCCTGGGTTCAAGTGATTCTCCTGCCTCAGCCTCCCGAGTAGCTGAGACTACAGGCATGCGCCACCATGTCTGGCTAATTTTTGTCTTTTTAGTAGAGACGGGGTTTCACCATGTTGGCCAGGCTGGTCTCAAACTCCTGACCTCAAGTGATCCACCTGCCTTAGCCTCCCAAAGTGCTGAGATTACAGGTGTGAGCCACCATGCCTGGCCCAGGATCCTCATTTTAACAGAAGCTTGGTAGAAAGGACTTGAAGACAAGTGGGGACATACTCACTAAGAGAAAAAGTAAGTCAGGGAGGTGGTTAACACAGAGTTCTCTTCATTTAGAATTTCCAGACCGGGCATGGTGGCTCACACCTGTAATCCCAACACTTTGGGAGGCCAAAGCAGGAGGATCACTTAAGTCCGGGAGTTTGAGAACAGCCTGGGCAACATAGTGAGACTCTGTCTCTGAAAAAAAAAAAAGAAAAAATTAGCCAGGCATGGTGACACACTCTTATGGTACCAGCTACTCAAGAGGCTGAAGTGGGAGGATCCCTTGAGCCCAGGAGGTTGAGGCTGCAGTAAGTCGTGATCGTGCCACTGCACTCCAGCCTGGGTGACAGAGCAAGACCTTGTCTCAAAGAAAAAAAAATCCTTAGGGCTGATTGTACTAGGTCGTCCAAAGGAGTTTAAAAGGACTGGCTACTTTGGCGTCTGAGAAAACCTTGTGAGCTGAGAAAGTGTCACAAGACCCTTAAACTTTATCAATTACATAAAAGGTTCTGGGGCTCCACTTTAGTAGTCAGAAAAAAATATTTTTAAAGACCACAAAGATGAACTGAGGTACTTGTTATTCCTTCCTCCCCAACACTGATGCTTCTCTCTGTTTAAGGCGGGCTTTCTGAGCCTGATCCCGGCCTGGGCCTTCTACAGCGGTGCCTTCCAAAGGCTGCTCCTGACACACTATGTGGCATACCTGAAGCTCAACACCAAGGTCAGGTAGCCAGGCGGTGAGGAGTCCAGCACAACCTTTTCCTCACCAGTCCCATGCTGGCTGAAGAGGACCAGAGGAGCAGACCAGCACTTCAACCTAGTCCGCTGAAGATGGAGGGGGCTGGGGTCACAGAGGCATAGAATACACATTTTTTGCCACTTTACTTGAGTCTGAATATCTCTGGGAAAGTTGTGGTGCCAATCTGTGCTGTTGTCCTGAAGTGCTCACCTGTTCTCAAACAGGGTTCCTGAAAGACCCAGGAAATTGGTGTGAACCCAAAAGTGTCTGAGACAGATCTCAATCATTTAGAAAGTTTATTTTGCCAAGGTTAAGGACGTGCACCTGGGAGGCAAGTTTGTGCCTTTCTCCAATGATGATTTTGAAGGCTTCAATATTTAAAGGGAGAATATTGGGGAAAGAGGAAGAAATTTTGCAAAGGTATGGGCAGATAAGAGACAAGCGGTTGCATTCTTTTGAGTCTTTGATCAGCCTTTCACCAAATACACAATTCACATGTGGGAGGGGGTAGAGGAATAGTCACTTATGCCTTGTCTAGCTCAGTGACTCTGCTTTTTTACATCAGAGGAAGCAATCAGATGTGTACTTGTCTCAGGTGAGCAGAGAGATGACTTTGAGTTTTGTCCTTTCTCTCCGTCCTGTGAAGACAAGTGATCAATTTACATTGTCAGGATAAAATTCCACAGAACCATTTTAGGGTAAAGATCTTGGGACACACAAGGAATTTCTTAGTGGGCAAATTGCAAAGGAGGTCTGTAGCTTTTTTTCTTTGTAGTCATCTTATTTAGGAATAAAATGGGAGGCAGGTTTACCTGATGCAGCTCCCAGCTTGACTTGTCCCATTGGCTTAGGGATTTTGGGGTCCCAAGATTTATTTATCTTTCACATTGAACAGAGGAAGACGTCAGGCAACAGTTACATCAGGCCAGTTTCTGGTCTCCTCCCGACCCACATCAATGAATGCAACACCAGCTTTATCTATTTTATTTATATTTGAGGTTCTATATAAGATTGTTGGTAAAAACAAAAACAGGATAGGATACTCAAAATGTTTAAAAAACCCTTGCTCTAATGCAGGAGTTGGTAACTAGAAATGAGGTTTCTGAGGGTCTCCAACTCTTGGGGTGCTGGGGACACATGGAGTGATGTGTCCAGCCCTAGGTCTAGAATTATCTGAAGGACTGCATCCTTACTTGTCCGGAGATTGAGGGAGTTGTTGGCTGGGACCCCAGCAGGGGCTGTCACATGAAGCCCCTATACATGGCCTCTCTGAGTGGCTGCTTGGTCTTCCTCGAAGCATGGTGGCTGCCTTCCAAGAATGAGCATCCCAAAGAAAATTGGGAGGAAGCTGTACTGTCCTGTATGACTTACCCCTGGAAGTCACGTGGTATTGTGCCCAAGCCCTCCCAGATTCAATGGGAGAAGATGCAAAACCTGCCATGGGAAGAGCATCCGATGGAATGGTGGATATTGTCATGCTCATCTCTAGAAAATGTGTTCTCCATTCATCCATCTTAGTGTAAGTGTTTGTCCTAAGTTTAGTGTAAGTAGGATGAATTACTTGGCCTTTCCACTGGCACTAGAGCGACTTATAAAAGTGTAGACACTGTGTTTCTAGAACCTTCCAATCAAACCCTGGTGAATTGGCCTTTCAGGAACAACTTCTACAACCAGCACCTTAGGTAAGAACAGAGACACACTTCAGCTTAAATGGCCTGGGGCAGATATTTAGAGGTAAGTTTTAGATGTGTGATACGGGTTTTCTAGTGTAATAATCCTAGGTTGATTTGCACGGTTGTCCAACAAGCTTCTTGAGGGTTCTTAAAGTAAGAGAGAATTTCCTAACAGTAAAGGCCCCAAGACGTTGAACTGACTTCTTACGAAATGAGGGCAGAAAAACTCCATATTTTAAGATCTTTATCCTCATCATCATTAGTAGTAGATAATAGCTATCATTCATTGAACACTAATTGTAGTCAGGGACTATGTAAAGCCTCATAACAACTGAAGAAGTAGGTACTATTAGTATTGCCTTCATTTTACAGATGAGGAAACTGAGGCAGAGAAAACTTAACTCATGTGTGTGGGTTCACTTGACCAGTGAGTGGCAGAGCTGGCGTTTCCCGCACACCTTGGCTAAAGCAGAACAGTAGAGCCCTACGTCTGGGCTAAGTTTATTTAATCGAAATTAATGGCAAGGGGTGAATGCCGTGCCCTCAAATCTGTATATTTCACTCTCACATGTTGTGGAGGCAACAGGAGGGAGCCAGGCTTCAGCAGCCAGGCCCATATGTCTGGATTTCAACACTGACCACTTTCCAAATTTACTATCCTCTGGGAATCATTCAGGAACAGGGAGGCCTGCCAAGTTTCACTGACCTTTTGTTTCTGCGGAAAAGTGCTGGGCTCTTGTTTCTCGCCTGATTCTCTTATCTTTGGAGGGCTTGGGACCCCAGGGCCCAGCATCAGAAGCCGGCCGTTTTGATAGACGTGTTCCCTCTGCGTCCTTGCAGCCTTCCATCTGTGCTACCTCCCAGGAAGCCGAAGGCCGCAGAGTCCCTTTCGGATGGCACTGGGAGCAGGAAAATGAGGTGATTATGGGCTGCTGCTCCAAGAAGTATTGGCAGCTGTTGCTGGGGCGGCTCCCTGGGGTGTCATCCCTTTCTTGCTCTTGTGGATGGGAACCAGAGCACCCCACTTCAAAGACTCTGTAAGCCAGGGCTTACCAGAGAAAGCTGAAGAGTCTAGGGCCAATTTTAATCAGTTTCTTGTGCTTCTCATGCCAAAAGAGATGATTGTCCTCACTATAGTTCATCCTATAGTGCGGCGGGCCTGACTCGCTACTGCCCTCTAATGTTCTGGGAGAGAAGCTGTTGGGTCTTTCCTACCTAATCTGGTAGAAATGTTAGAACAGAGGCTAATTTGGGGAAATAAATCTCTCAATTTTTTTGAGTTGCTTTGTGTGTGTGCGCGCGCGCATGTGTGTGTGTAAGGGGCAGGGTCTCTAAGAAAGAAAGAAAAGGAGGCGAGAGGAGGAAAGAACCTGTTTCAGTTTCACAGGCTCTGGCAAGGTGACTGAGGAAGCGCCAAGCCCCTTAGCCTCTTTGGGCTCTGGTTACCTCATCAGTAACATTAGAAGGTTTTATACATGATTTATCCTTTTTTATTCAGCTCTTATAGTCTATAAATCTCCAGTAAGTTGTGGAAATAAACTGTCTTTTAAAAATCTTTAAAAAACCATTTTCCGGCCGGGCGCGGTGGCTCACGCCTATAATCCCAGCACTTTGGGAGGCCGAGGCGGGTGGATCACGAGGTCAGGAGATCGAGACCATCCCGGCTAAAACGGTGAAACCCCGTCTCTACTAAAAATACAAAACATTAGCCGGGCGTAGTGGCGGGCGCCTGTAGTCCCAGCTACTTGGGAGGCTGAGGCAGGAGAATGGCGTGAACCCGGGAGGCGGAGCTTGCAGTGAGCCGAGATCCCGCCACTGCACTCCAGCCTGGGCGACAGAGCGAGACTCCGTCTCAAAAAAAAAACAAAACAAACAAACAAACAAAAAAAACAAAAAAAAAACCATTTTCCTAATTAGATATACAGTGTAGAAAATAGAAAAACTACAGAAAAAGATCAGAAAATAAAAATCCCAGCATTATCCCACCATCCAGAATGAACCACTCTTCACTGATTGTGAATTTCCTTTTATAATTTTCATGTGTGTGTTTTGTGTGTGTGCTTGTGAATCTAAGGGTAGATTTTATATCTGCCTTTCCTCTTAAGATTAAAGCATATTTCCTCGTGATAGTAGCTATTCCAAAGATGATTTATAATGTTTGCTTAATATTTGTTCATAGTACTGAACATAATTTATTTTACCATCCCTTTTTTATGTGCATCTAGGTGTTTTCTGATTTTAAAAATCTTATAGGCTGGGCACAGTGGCTCACACCTGTAATCCCATCACTTTGGGAGGCCAAGGCAGGATAATTGCTTGAGCCCAGGCATTTGAGACCAGCCTGAGACATAGTGAGACCCCTTCTCTACAACAAATTAAAAAATTAGCCAGGTGTGGTGGTGCACACCTGTGGTCCCAGCTACCTGGGAGGCTCAGGCTAGAGGATCTCTCTTGAGCCCAGGAAATGGAGGCTGCATGAGCTGAGATCACGTCACTCCAGTCTGAGCAACAGAGTGAGACCCTGTCTCAAAAAACGAACAAACAAACAAACAACCCCACAAAACCTTATAACAACATCCATCCTTGTATGTGCATTTTCTTGTTGTGATGTTTCAACTTCTTTTTATACTTTAATTCACATACTATATGATTCACCCATTTAAAGTATACAATTCAGTTGTTTTTAGTATAGTCACAGAGTTGTGTAACCATAATCACAATCAACTTTAGAACAATTTTAGAATATTTTCATCACCCACATGGAAACACAATAGCCATTAGCAGTCACTCCACGTTCCATACCCGAACCCCCCACCCTTAGGTAACCATTGATGTATTTTCTGTCTCCATTGACTTGCTTATTCTGGACTTTTATTTTATTTATTTATTTATTTATTTATTGAGATGGAGTCTCACTCTGTCGCCCAGGCTGGAGTGCAATGGTGCAATCTCAGTTCACTGCAACCTCCACCTCCTGGGTTCGAATGATTCTCCTGCCTCAGCCTCCCAAGTAGCTGGGATTACAGGAGTGCGCCACCATGCCCGGCCAATTTTTTTGTATTTTTGGTAGAGACAGGATTTCACCATGTTGGCCAGGCTGTTCTTGAGCCCCTGACCTCAGGTGATCTGCCTGCCTCAGCCTCCCTAGGTGCTGGGATTACAGGCATGAACCACCAGGCCTGGCCGTATTCTGGACTTTTAATGTAACGAATATAACATGTGGATTTCTGTTTTTGGCTTTTTCCACTTAACACCATGTTTTCAAGGTTCATCCATGTTGTAGCATGTATTAGTACTTCAGTCCTTTTTTATTGCTGAATAATATTCTATTGTATGAATAGACCACATTTTATTTCTTAGTTCATCAGTTGATGGACATTTAGATGGTTTCCACTTTTTGGCTATTGTAAAGAATGCTGCTATAAACATTTGGTACAAGTTTTTGTGCAGATATATGTTTTCATTTCTCTCGGTTATTTACCTAGGAGTAGAATCGCTGGGTCATGTGGTCACTCTGTGTTTAACCTTTTGAGGAAATGCTTCACTTTTCCAAAGTGGCTGAACCATTTTACATTATCACCAGCAGAGGGTGAGGGTTCCAGGTTCTCTATATCCTCACCAGTACTTGTTCTTTTTCTGTCTTTTTGGTGATAACTATACTAGTGGGTATATGAAGTGGTATCTCATTATGGTTTTCATTTTCATTTCCCTGACAGCTAATGATTTGAGCATCTTTCATGGGTTTATTGGCCATTTGTATATATTCTTTGGAGAAATGTATACTCAGATGCTTGATTCATTTTTAAAATGAGGTTGTTTGTCTTTTAATTGTTGCTGTGTGTGCATTACCAATTATTTCCCCAGAGTAGGATTCCTGGATAAAAAGTTTAATTTTTTTTTTTTTTTTGAGGCAGAATCTCACTGTTGTTGCCTGACGTAGAGTGCAATGGCACAATTTCGGCTCACTGCAACGGCACAATTTCGGCTCACTGCAACCTCCTGGGTTCAAGCAATTTTTCTGCCTCAGCCTCTCGAGAAGCTGGGATTACAGGTGCCTGCCACCATGACTGGCTAATTTTTGTATTTTTAGTAGAGATGGGGTTTCACCATGTTGGCCAGGCTGGTCTTGAACTCCTGACCTCAGGTGTTCCACCTGCTGTGGCTTCCCAAAATGCTGGGATTACAGGGGTCAGCCAGCACGCCCGGCCAAAAAGTCTAAATATTTTTAAGGCTCTTTATATTTATTACCAAGTGATTTCTAGAAAAGTTGTATAAATATACACCTCCATCTTAGCAGTGGTTCTCAACTGGGGAACGATTTTGTCCCCTAGAAGACATTTTGCATTTTTCGCAAAAATGTCTGGCAACGTTTTTGGTTGTCACAACTCAGGGAAGGAGAATGCTGCTGGCATCTCTCATTGATAGAGGCCAGCGATGCTTCGGAACATCCGACAGGGCACAGCACTGCCCCTACCCCCAACCAACACAGAATTATCTGGACCCAAATGTCAGTATTGCCAATGTTGAGAAACTTGACCTGCAGTTAATGGGGGTACCCATCTCAATATTCCATTGTTTTCATCCAACCATTCTTTCTTTTAGAATTATGTTAAATCCTACCTGGCCAATGATTACCATTATACTATTGAATTATTCTCCTTTGGACCAGTATGTCTTCTATCACTAAAAGCTGGAGTGTGAGATATTCAACTCACTCCCACAAGTATTTGTTAAAGCCCACTGTGGGTTATTTATCGCTAGAAACAGAGCAGGGTGCAGAAAATCAACAAGACAGTAACTCGAGGGCTGTAATGATAGTGATGAGTTATTACTATCTTCAATAGCTAATATATGTTAGACACATGTGCACGTCCACTCATCACTGCACACCATGAAGTAGGTATTTCATTGGTTAGATTTGAGTGCAGTTGCGGACTTATAGTTGTGTAGTGGAAACTTCAGCAGTGGTTTATGAAATGAGGATGTTTATTTCTTTTTTACATAAAAATCCATAGGTAGGGAGTCCAGGGCAGGAATGGCAGCTCTGTTCCAGGAAGGTTTTAGGGCCCCTGCCTACTTGCCACTTCTCTGTTCCTATGGTGTCCAAGATAGTGGTGGCTACATCTCCAGTCAGCACATCCACATTCAAGACAATAAGATATTGTCTTGATGATGATTCAAGACAACAAGATGGAAAAAAGGGATGATGAAAGAGAAGCAAAGAGGGTATGCCTGTTTTATTTTAAAGAAGATTCCTAGAAGCTGTCACATGATGTACTCTTATTTCTCACAGGGAGAGTTTAGTCATACACCCACACCTAGCTGCAAGGGAGGCTGATATTCTGTAAGACTGTACACACATCTCAAGACTTCTATTACTGGGAAAAGGGGGTAACAGATAAAGGGGGAAACAAGAGCAGCCTCCGCACAACTTTTTCCTGGCCCTCAGACGGAAGGACGTAGAAGCTCAGGGACATTAAATTGCCTTCGGTTACATAGATTAAAAATGCTAGACCTGAGTCTTGACCCCAGCTCTGTCTGAAAACAAAGTTCATATTTGTTTGTTCTCCTGCTCTGTCACCTCACCTTTCACTTAATAGTTTAAGGAGCTACCAAGACATCAGTTGCACAACATGGCAGATATTATTTAAGTGTTAGAATACGTGGCATAGAGTCCTGGCTGTGGTTTGAAAAGCTCACTGGTGCCAACCCTTTGCCAAAGCTCAGGAGAGAGCACAGGGGAATCTGTGCAGCAGAGGCCCTCACTGGGGCAGGGAGTTTATCAGTTCATCAAAAAAGTTGGTTAAAACTGAGAATCATAGGCAATAACACATTCCTTAAACATTTTACCTTAAAAAATTACTGTGGAAAATTCCAAACGTATACAAAATAATCAGCGTAGTATAATGCGTCCCATGTACTCATCACCCAGCTTCAGCAATTATCATCATTCTGCCATTCTTGTTTCATTTCTAACTCCATCTTCTCCCCATCCCCCACTGGAGCTTTTAAATTCTATTTTTTAGGTAAAGTTTATGTACATTCAAATATGCAAATCTTAGCGTACAATTTTGACAAATAGACACAGAAGTGTGATTTGATCACCATGGAAATTTCTAGAGTTCTCCCACTGTAGACTAGTTTTGCCTGTAATGGACTTTTATATAAATGAATTCATACAGGATGGACTCTTTTGGGTCTGGCTTCTTTTACTCGGTGTCATGTCCGTGAAATTTACCCATGTTGTTGCATTTACTCCTTTTTATGGTTGAGTATTATTTCAGTAGGAATATATCACAATTTGTTGATCTATTCTCCTCTTGAAAGACATTTGGTTTTACAGCTTGGGTTTTTATGCATAATGCTGCTATGAACGTTTCTGCTTAAGTATTTTTGTGGACATATGTTTTCATTTCTCTTAGGTTTATACCCACCAGTGGATTTGCTGGGTCAAAGGGTTGGTACATTAAACATTTTATTTTAACTTAAAACATATAAAAGTATATTCCTTTGCCAATCTTTAGATGTAGGGCCAAGTCCTTTCCTTTAAATGTGGGGCCACTGATTGGAATTGCAGCTTGTCTTTCTTACGTAAACCACACTCATCTAATGCACCAACTATAATATGTAGTTTTGATTTCCTTAAAGTGGAATGAGAACTTAATGACACTTGAAAGACATCTGAATGCAGAATCAGGATTCTTTTGGATTTTCAAAATCACCCCAACAATCTTTTATAGATATTATGTTGACACCTGCATCTACAATAATAACTTTTATTGATTTGTCCTTGAGTTTTCATAATAATAGTAACTCTCTTTTCTTTTCTTTTCTTTTTTTTTTTTTTTTGAGACGGAGTCTCGCTCTGTTGCCCAAGCTGGAGTGCAGTGGCATGATCTCGGCTCACTGCAACCTCTGCCTCCCGGGTTCAAGCGATTCTTCTGCCTCAGCCTCCCAAGTAGCTGGGACTACAGGCGTGCACCACCACGCCTGGCTGATTTTTGTATTTTTAGTAGAGATGGAGTTTCACCATATTGGCCAGGCTGGTCTCAAACTCCTGACCTCGTGATCTGCCCGCCTCGGCCTCTCAAAGTGCTGGAATTACAGGCGTGCGCCACTGCGCCTGGCCAGTAACTCTCTTTTCATGCCAAGGCTTTACTGGCTTATATATTTTTAATTCAACTGTGTAATTATCATAATAAATACAGCTTACATTGACAGATTTGGAAACAACACATGTCTCTTCATAAGCACAATTCACCTGGAAGGAAGATATGAAAGCGAGCATGACAGAGAGTGGCTTCATACTTGTTAGTAGATGTTAGTAAGCATGTTCGCTGATTTGCAGTCAATATGTTTTGCAATAGGAACAAAGAGTACCAGTTTGTTCTGGTTACTATTACTGGATAATAAATTGTTCCCAAATTTTGTAGCTTAAAGCATCATTTTATTAGGCTAATGAATTCGGCAGGTTGTTAATTTGGATAGAGAATGGTGGAAAAGACTTGTATCTGCTTCAAGATGTGGAACCTCAATTGGGAAGGCTAGGTGAATGGGAGTGACAATGGCTGGGGACTAGAGTCATCTGGATGTCTCTTTATTCACACATCTGGCAATTGATGTGAACTATTGGCTGGGGCCTCAGCTGAGGCTCTCAACTGAAGCCTCTCCATGTGGCTTGGGCTTCCTTGCAGCATAGCTATCTTCTTACGTGACAACTCAGGGCTTCAACAGTGAACATCCTAGTAAATTTGTAGAAACTGCAGTGTTGTCTTTTTTGACTTAGTGCAGAGTTACTTTTATTGGTTACAAATAGATGATAATGAATATCTTCATGAGCATTCTTTTTTGCCATCCATGTATATTCTTTGATGAATTGTCTGTTCAAGTCTTTTGACCATTTTTAAATTGAATTTTTAATTTTGTTTGTATAGAGTTTAGAGAGTTCTCTATGTATTCTGGATGATGCAAGTCCTTTGTCAGATACGATATTGAAAATTTTTTTCCCATCTGTGGCTTTTTCTTTCATGCTCTTATCAGGGTCTTGAGAGCAAATATTTTTAATTTGATGAAATCCAATTGATCAATATTTTCTTTTATAGATTATATGTTTGGTGTCATATCTACAAATTCTGTGCCTAACCCTAGGTCACAAGTAATTTCTCCTACGTTTTCCTTTAAAAGTCTTCTCTCTTTTTTTTTGTTGTTGTTGTTGTTTGTTTTTAGAGACAGGGCCTCACTCTGTCATCCTGGCTGGAGTGCAGTGGCATGATCATAGGTCACTACAGACTTGAACTCCAGGGCTCAGGCAATCCTTCTACCTCAGCCTCCCAAGTAGCTGGGACTACAGGCATGTGCAACCATGTCTCCTTAATTATTATTTTTTTCTTTTGTAGAGACAGGGTCTAAGCTATATTGCCCAGGCTGGTTTCAAACTCCTGGTCTCAAGCAATCCTCCTGCCTCAGCCTCCTAAAGTAGTGGGATTAAAGACATGGCCTTCTCTAAGTACTTTATAGTTTTATATTTTACACACAGATCTATGATCCATTTTTAGTTACTTTTTGAATAATATGTGAAGATTAGGTTGAAGTTCATGTCCAAGAATTCAAACACCATTTGTTGAAATGACTATCCCTTTCCAATTGAGTTGTCATTGCATCTTTGTCAAAAATCAGTTGGCCATCTTTGTGTGGGTCTATTTCAGAACTCTCTATTTTGTCATTGGTTTATGTCTCTATAACTTTGTCAGTACCACATTATCTTAATTACTGTAGTTACAGTAAGTCTTAAAATCAGGTAATACAATTCCTCCAACTTTATTCTTTTTTAAAACTGTTTTAATGATTTGGTTACTTTGCTTTTCCATCTAAATTTTAGATTTAGTTTGTCCATATTTGTAAAAAACCCACTAGGATTTTAATAAGAATTATATTAAACCTGTAAATCAATTTGAGAATTGACACCTTTACTATATTGACATCTTTACTATATTGAGTCTTAGCAATCCATGAACATGGCATGCCTCTCCATTTATTTACATCTTAATTGATTTCTTTCAGGTTTTGTAGTTTTTAGCATACAGATGCTGTACATGTTTTGTTAGATATATACTTAACTCTATCTTCTGTCCTTCTTTCCTTTCTTTTCCTAGCAATGATAAACAGTATTGTGTTTTAAATTTCAGTTTCCCATTGTCCACTGATAGTTTATGGAAATATATTGATTTTTGCATTCTGACCTTGTATCGTGTGGCTTTGCTAAATCCATTTATTAGTTCTAAGAGGTTTTTTTGGTAGATTTCTTGGAATTTTTTACATAGACAGTCAAGTCGTCTGAAAATAAGGACAAGCCCCGCCCCACCCCTTTCCAATCTGTATGCCTTTTTTTTTTCTTGCCTTATTGCACTGGCTAGGACTTCCAGTCCTATGTTGAATAGGAATGGTGAAAACAGAAATTCTTGCCTAGTTCCCAATCTTAGGGGAAAGCATTTAGCCTTTATCATTAAGTTTAATGGTAGTTATAGGTACATAACATCACTTTTAATGACTGCTTAGTACTCTGAAATATTCAGTCCATGTTCTTTCGGGCATTTAGGTTGTTTCCTATTTTTTGCTATTATAAGCAATGTTTCAATAAATGTCCATATGGAAAAATCTTTATGCACATCGTAATTACCCTCCAAGTGCCCACACTCTCTGTTTTCCCCTTTTTACTAAGGATGAATGATCTCATCCAAGGCCTATGGTCCTCTGGTTTCTATCCCATATCACCTGTAACTATCTCCTCTCCTTTCCTCACTATCAGTTTCTCTCCAACTCCTGGATCATTTGCATGAGCATCCAAACAAGCTCTAGCATATACTATTAAACAAATATTCCTTCCTTATTTCCACATCATCTTGCAGCTGCTGCTCCTCTCTGTTTCCCTTCATGAAACTTCTTGAGTTTTTCTTTGTCACATTCTCTACTTCCTCACTTCACATTATATCCTCAACCCACTCTAATTAGCCTTTGTTCTCACCTCTCCATGGAGAATATGCTTGTCAAGGTCAGCAATGACCCTTATGTTGCCAATCCAATGGTCACTTCTTGGTTCTTATTTTAGTTGTCACTGACTCTTGGAACACTTTCTTCATGTTACTTCCTGACATCACACTCTAATTTCCTTGTAACTCACTGGCTGCTCCAGAACACATCTACTAATTTATCCTCCCACCAGCCATGGCATCAGGATTGTGCTAGATTAGTAAAATAAACTTAGAATTTTTTTTATTTGTTTCTATCCTACAGAACAGTTTAAATAGCAGAAATATTTTCAATTCATTGGAGATTTAACATGCCTCTAAACTGCCTGGGCCAGCATATTTTTAAAGAGGTGATTCTTAATGTAATCTATTTATTTCACTGCTATTGACACTTGAGATTTTGTTTTCTTTTACCCAATTTGTCCTTGCTTGTTGGATAGTGACTTAAAACATGGACTATTGGCTTAGAAGTTTTTTATGTTGAAGGGTTCTTTCTTTCCATTCTAGTTTATTCTATTTTAGTTAGGCGTAGAGAATTATGTAGTTAAGGAGAATGAGGATGTTTGCAATGTTCATCAATGACTGTCTCACACAGGCTTTGGGATTAAGGGAAATAAAAGGAACTTTGAAGCAACTCAGCCTTTTAGCAACAAAACTGCCCTCAATTACCAGGGAAAATTAGCCCTGAATCCAAGCACTAGTTTTAAAACTCTTGAAGCTGCAAACCTGTTTGGATAAGCAATGCATAATCGAACTTTTCTTATTCCTTAAAAAATATATAAATGTATAGGGACAAACATGAATTTGAGCCCAAACCATGATCCAAACCATGGACGTTGAACTTGTAAAGTTCTGGAGAAAATGAGGCAACTGTTTGGGAACCACTCAAGAGGAAGAATTTACCAGGATGGCTTTGAAGAGTCATTGTTGGGAGAATTTCCCAGTGTGGTCAATTGGGAGGAACCTCCATAGACTTCTGCTGACACTCCATCCTCCTGGCAGAACTAGGGAAGAACAGGCTTGCCATTTACACTCATGACCCAGTTCAATGGTTGCTGTCTTCCAGGGACTTCCTTGCCTACTCTCAATCCCATATGTCCACATTTGCTGCTGGCTGTGGATGCAGGAATAGCCAAGGGAGAGGGAGATGCTACACTAAGGGTGTCGGTGCTGTAGGGAGGCTAGCCCCAAAGGGCTCATTGTGCTAAGTTTACAGATGAGAAAACTGAGGCTCAGATAAGTTAAAAGACTGCTGGAATTTTACCCTGAGTTAAAACCAAGTCCAGAATCATTACAACGTGGGTCTTGAATCTGAAGATGCCTTACTGACTACCCCCAAAAAGAGAAATTTGCATGTGTGGCAGTTTTCAGGAGCTGGGGATTGGAGGCTCAGGGGATGTGTATAATCCAGGCACTACTTCCCCTAGTGGCCAGTGGGAACATTTCCAGCAAGACTAAACCATTTCGGCTGGGGTCCCAAAATTAGGGAGATGAGGAAGATTAGGGGCACTAACCAATGTGTCATGAGTAGTAGTAGGTGTGTTAGTCACTGACCAAGGCATGAGTTGATTCCTAAAAAGGGGAAATAAATTTATGGCTTAGAATTTCTATTTAAGAATGTTTTAGGGATAGTCTTCTGGCGGGAGGGGCTAGATGTGCCATTTTATTTAGATGGTGTGTTTCCTGGGGTGGCTGAGGGTATGGGAAGATGGGATTTTTGATGGTCTGACTTTCCGCAAGTGTCCCCTGGTGTTTCCGTTGCTTGGTGTTGATTGTTGGGGTGTAGAGCAATTGATTGTCCCTAAACATTTTTGAGGATGCCTGGGTGTGGAGGACAGTGCTGTTTGTGGACTTTTGGCTGCCCACCTCTCTGCTTTGGTCTGCTTAAACCATTGATTTTCAAACAAGACTATGCTCTAGAATCACTGGGACAAGTTGAAAAATAAAGATTTGCAGGCTCTACTCCTGACCACCTGTAGCCTCTTTCTCCAAGGGGTGCTAAGCCCAGAGACCTGATGTTTGTTGTTTTTTGGGTAAAAATGGTTTTATTGAGGTGACACTGACATATTACATACAATAAATACATATTAAAATTGCCTAACTTGATATGTTTTGAAACTATCACAATCAATCACAATGACTACAATATTGATCACCCCTCACCCTCCCCAACATCCTTGTGCCTTTCGAAATATGTCCTTCCTGCCCCATCCCAAACTCTGGTGATGACTGATTTGCTCTGACACTATAGATTCATTTGCATTTCCTAGAAGCTTATAGGATGGAATCACACAGTAGGCATTCTTCTTAGTCTGGCTTCTTGCACTGAACGTAATTGTTTTGAGAATCACCCATGTTGTTGGCCGGGCACGGTGATTCACGCCTGTAATCCCAGCACTTTGGGAGGCTGAGGCGGGTGGATCACCTGAGGTCAGGAGTTCTAGACCAGCCTGGCCAACATGGTGAAACCCTGTCTCTACTAAAAATACAAAAATTAGCCGGGCATGGTGGCGGGCACCTGTAATCCCAGGTACTCGGGGTGACCAAGGCAGGAGAATCGCTTGAATCTGGGAGGCGGAGTTTGCAGTGAGCCGAGATCGCTCCATTGCACTCCAGCCTGGGGGACAAGAGCGAGACTTCGTCTCAAAAAAAAAAGAAAAAAAAAAGAGTCACCCATGTTGTTGTGTGCACAACATTCCTTTCTTTTTCTTTTTCTTTGTGTGTGTGTGTGTGTGTGTGTGTGTGTGTGTGTGTGTGTTAGGGGGGCGGTTTGGAGTCTTGCTCTGTGGCCCAGCCTGGAGTGCAGTGGCGCAGTCTCAGCTAACTGCAACCTCTGCCTCCCAGGTTCCAGCAATTCTCCTGCCTCAGCCCCTCCTAGAAGCTGGGATTACAGGCATGGGCTACCACACCCAGCTGATTTTTGTATTTTTGTATTTTTAGTAGAGACGGGGTTTCACCATGTTGGCCAGGCTGGTCTCAAACTCCTGGCCTCAGGTGATCCGCCTGCCTCAGCCTCTCAAAGTGCTGGGATTACAGGCGTGAGCCACTGCGCCCAGCCCTTTTTTTTTTTCTCCTGAGACAGGGTCTCACTCTTGTTGCCCAGGCTGGGTGAGCTGAGATTGCATCACTCCAGCCTCGACCTCCTGGGCTCAAGTGATCCTCCTGCCTCAGCCTCCCGAGTAGCTGGGATTACAGGCCTGCGTCACCACACCTGGCTTTTCTTTTTTTTTTTTTTGTAGAGATGGGATTTCTTCATGCTGCTCAGGCTGGTCTCCAGCTCCTGGGCTCAGATGATCTGCCCACCTCGGCCTCCCAAAGTGCTGAAATTACAGGCGTGTAATCTCATCATGCCCGGCCAGTGCATTCCTTTTTACTCCTGAGTAATATTTCTTGGAGTGTCTGTACTACAAATTATTTATTCATTCAGCTGTTGGTGGACATTTGGGTCGCTTCCACTCGGGTGCTATTACAAACAAAGCAATTATGAGCAGTCAGGTTCAAATCTTTGTATAGACAGATGTTTTTGTTTTTCTTGAGTAAATACCTAGGAGTAGAATGGCTGGGTCAGATGACAGGTGTATGTTTAAAATTTTATGAAACTCCAAACTATTTTCCAAAGGAAGGGGGTCATACCATTTTATATTTCTACCAACAATGAATGAGGAACTCAGCCCTCCTAGGGCCCAGTCTGGCGACTGTGACCGTATTCCAGAGGCTTTATAATCCTGTTTTTTTCCTGTGAGCAAAAAAGTTATAAAGGAATGAGATCTAGAAAAGATAGTTCTAGTTGAACCAAAATCTTTTATCCAGGGTGAGGGCATACAAACTGCAAGGGGCCTGGGTGGGGGAGGCAGAGAAGCGCCCGCCTCTTCCGACCTCTCAGGTGCGTGTGAGCCGATGCTCCGCTAGGGGGCGCGGGAGAGCAGGCCGCCCCCCGCGTGACTCTCAGAGCCCGAGGGCTCCCTCCAGGTCCGCTGCCTTCTGCCCACAGGAAGGAGTCACTTTCCCAACTGGCGGGGAGCGGGGGAGTCACTTTCCCAACTGGCGCGGGCGGGTTGGGAGGGGCCGCTGAGCCGCATCTGCCACAGTCACGAAGCTTTCTTAGCACCTCCTGGAGTTCAAGGAAAATCCAGAAGCAGCTCTTTCCTTGAAGGAAGACGTTCACAGCATCGCACCCACGAAGAGGGTGCGGCTTCCCCCTCTCACCCTTCTGGGTCTCGGCCGATCGCCTGGCAGTTGGGCTCGTGGCCCATCCTGCAGGAGGGCGCAGGCATGCATAGCGCCTGCGGAGGAGCGCTGCTCCTACGCCCCAGGCACGGCCCCCGCAGGCCGGGCAGTGACCCCGGTGGCCCGGCCCTTAGGGCGTGCGAGTTGACCGTGCCCCTTCTCCAGGACGCGCGGCCGGCGGCTGGGTTTTCGAACGCGCGGCTGTGAACGGCTCCTTGGCGAGGAGGCACAGCCTCCGCAGGCCGGAAGCCACGCGCCCACCAAAGGCACGAGGAGCAGGGCGGAGAGTACTGCGGGTCAGACGAGCGAGGCCCTCGGGGAGGCGCCCAGAGGAGCGGGGCAGCGCGGCCGCAGCGCGGGTCGGGTCCGCGGACGCTGTTCAGGCCCCACTGTGGGGCTGCTGCCCCTGGGCTGCCCTCCGGCTCGGTGGAGCGCGGGAGTGGGGGTGGGGGCGCCTCTGCTGCTTCCACCCCAGAAACCCGGGTCAGCGTTGGGAGCTGCACTGGGCGGCAGCGGAGAACATTAGAAGGGACAGTGTTTGGGTTAAAATCTAACCCTCGGTCGGGCGTGGTGGCTGAAGCCTATCCAACCACTTTGGGAGGCCGAAGCGGGAGGATCACGAGGTCAAGAAATCGAGACCAGCCCGGCCAACATGGTGAAACCTCATCTCTATTAAAAATACAAAAATTAGCCAGGCGTGGTGGTGAGCGCCTGTAGTCCCAGCTACTCGGGAGGCTGAGGCAGGAGACCCGCTTGAACCCAGGAGGTGGAGGTTGCAGTGAGCCAAGATCGAGCCACTGCACTCCAGCCTGGCGACAGAGCGAGACTCTGTCAAAAAAAAAAAAAAAAATCTATCCCTCATGATCTTGCTTTCTGTGCGTGTGTCTTTGCGTCAGGGGCAGGGAAAGCCTGTAGAGCACACATTGCCTAGTGAGGTCTTTACAACACAGGCTTTAATTATTTTCCTCCTTTCGCAGCTGAGAACAGAGAATTTAAGCAACTTGCCCAGAGTTCCAGAGCCAGACCTTAAAGGTAGGGCTTGTGACTCCGCATTAGGAACGTTCTCCTCCCCTGGATGGACCCGATGCCCCCGCACTAATAATCTTGAGCCGGAATTCAGCAACGCAGTGGTGACATTCAACCTTCCGCCTCACGGAGGCGGTGCCGGCGGGGCAGGGGATGGCCGCCAGGGGGCAGTGTGGCTCCGTGCCTCCGCGCCCGCTCCCGGACCCGCGCCCTGCCCCCACCGGCGCTGAGCCCGCCGGCGCTGAGCCCTCCAGCCCTGCTCCGCGTTCTTAGCAGCGTCGCCAGGCGTGGAAGAGGTTGGACTCAGGGCTACGTCTTCCAGTAGTTAAAAAACGGGGGGCCGAGGCCCCCACAGTTAAAGTGGGCGAGAGAGCAGCTTCCAGCATCTATGGCGATGATGGCCTTTTTTTGCCCAGATGCAACCAGGTCTGCCAGTCGGCCAGCTCGCACGGAGGGGCCCACCTCCAGCCCTGGCCTCAAGAGGGACCAGGCACAAACCTTACCTTGACAATGTTTCCAGCAACACTTCGCTGGGACAACTAGTCAGTGTGGTCAACCAGGCTAGGACAACTAGTCAGTGTGGTCACCCTTGTGGCCGTTCTTACGGGGAATTTGGTTATTATGGGGAACTTGGTGAGACTTGGGTGTAAGCCAGTAGTTGCATTAGTTGTTTTTGTAGCTTATCTTGTTTTAGTAGCAGTGATAGTGAGATTTTGCTTGTTTTTTTTTTTTTTTTTTTTTTTTCTTCTGGACTGATCCAAACGGAATGCTGAAGTTCTGTCTCCATCCGGAAGACCTGGGCTGTGGCCTCCCGGCGTCTCTGGGCAGGGGCATCTGCAGGTCCCCACTCTGGTGGGCACCCTGCTGCGAGTCTGCTCATACCCAGGGTGGATGCACCAGCTGCAGCTTTCAGCTGAAAAGAAACACGCTCTGCTCTGGCTTATGTCTGGCTGAGCTCTGGAAGGGCGGGCCCCTCTCAGCGAGCTGGGGGGCCCGCGTAGACGAAGATGACCCGCAGGCCTTATCAGCACTTATCTTTCAGTAAAGCCTGAGAGGCCAGCTTTGTGTCTGGGACCCTGGGAGCTCAGGAGGGCAGCTCGGCTTTTGTTCCTTGTTCTTCTCCAGCTGTTGGGAACTTTGCTGACAGCAAGAATCTACTCCATGGATTCACAGCACAGGCTATGACCAGAGACATATTTTTGTCCTAAAACATTTTTTTTTCTGATTATAAAGTTAATGGCCATTTTTCTTTTCTAACTTTTTATTTTGAAATAATTTGAAGCTTCTAAAAGCAGTTTAAAAATTATGCAAAGAGTTCACATGCACCCTTCACCCACATTGATGCCCTATAAATGCCTTGGTTTATATTTCCCCTCAAAATAACCACAGGCTTGTGACTGAATCAGGAAATTAACATTGATATAGTTGTGTTATCCTCCACAGACCCTCATCATATTTCCCCGAGGCCCATGAATGGGCCTTTGCTGAATCACACCTTGGGTTAGTTATTGCGTCTCTTTAGTCTCCTCTAATCTGGAACACTTTCTCAGATTTTCTTCATTTTTTCATGACTTGGACAATTTTTGAGCATATGGACCAGTTATCTTGTAGGAAGTCCCTGAACTTGGGCTTGTCTGACGTTCCCTCAGGATCAGACTGTTCGGAATCCCAGGGGCGGTGCTGGGTTCTTCCTGGTGCACCCCCCACCCCTGCCTCTGCCAGGGAGCAGCCGTTCCTGGAGATGTCACCTTTATCACTTGGTTAGGTGATGTCTGCTGTGTTCTCCACTGTAAAGTGATTATACCTTGTGGGGGGATACTTGCAGACTTTGTGATTATCTTATTTCTGAAACATTTTAGAGAATTTGAAAAGTATAGTCAAGAAGGGCAAAGAATCCCTCCTGGCTCCCCGCCTGCAGATAAGCACTGTCTCCATGCTGACTCCGTGCTCTTCTTCTTTTCCCTGGAGTCTCTGCTCTCTTTGGGATCCTCTAACCCTGCTGGAAGGACGTGTTCCTGTGGCTGATAAGCCTCACGCGACCTCTCCCATCCCCTGTCCCATTCCTCTGGGGGTGCTGTGGAGATTCTGTCTGAAACAGAGGTGTGATTCTAATAGAATTTTTAGGTCTAGCCCAGGGAGGAGGGAGAAGTTTTAAGTGGAGCCTTTTAGCTCCTCCAGAATTCAACATCCTGGGGCCTCCTTCCAGGAGGACAAGGGGAAAATTAAGGCAGCCACCCAGAAGGTCCGGGCTCTAGTCACTTGGGAACTAAGGAAGGGTCTGGGGTTGACCTTGTGCTCACAAAGGCCACCAGGGAGCTCAGTGCCTCCTGCCCATCCTCCTGGACAAGCCTGAGAGGAAGGAGGGAAGGTAAGTGCTAAGGAGCCCCATCCCATGGGAACTCAGGGAAACTCGCCTCTCAGAATTATCTAACCCAAGAGGCAAGGGAGCTGGGGTATGTATACACCAAGTCTTAAGAGTAGTTGATTCAGGGCTGCTAGTGGAGGTGCTCAGTGTGTGTCAGTTCCTCAGGCCTTCCTGCCACCTGCAGGCATATGGTGAGAGTGACCTCTGAGGTTCTGGGGGAAAGCTCTCAGGCCAGAGGTGCAGAAATGGCCGAGGGAACCCAGAGTTCTGGGGTACAGGTGGGACACTGAACATAGTCCATGGACCCTAACTCAAGTGCTGGTGACCCAAGTGCTGTACGAGTGAAAGCAATGGAGGACTTATGAGCTGGATCTCATGGGGTCATGGAGATGGTTACTGAAGTCGAAAATGGTTATTTACAAGAGTCTCAAGATCTTGAAGCAGGTGATAACAGCAGGTGAAGCAGATGAAAATGGTTTTTAATCACCATTAGCCAAACTGGCCAGATGAGCAGGAAATGCTTTCCTGTGGATGGAATGGACTGCAGACGGATTAATTTTGAGGGCACCCTCCAGATCCTGTCTGGAGAATAGGCTGAGTGGGCTCTGTAACACATGGAGGTGAGCTGGTTATCCAGAGCATAGTGGAAGGGTCATGGCAGCGGGGAAGGTACAGAGTGCAGTCAGCTTCTTTCATGAGGCAGAGGAGGGTGAAAACAGCCGCGGAAAGAGAAGCAGAAGATCAACCACACTGCATCCTCTGCTTTTCCAGGAACTTTAAATTCCAGGGAATTATGCCATCTGTCAGTCGGAGGTGTGAGCCTGCACACTGGTGACAATCCCCTCTTCTAATGCTGTTCTCCTTTTGGCTAAAATGTTCTTAGATCTCAGCGTGGTCAGATACGGTCCACAGGGCTCCCCTGTAATAAAGTCCATACGCTTCAAACTAAAGCCTGGTACCCTGACTTGGTTTCTGCCGCTTCCCACTCATGATGCCTTTTTCCTTGTGTGCTTTATTTTTCACAGGGTCACTCCCTAGCCTTAGAAGGTTATTTGTGGGGTCTCTCTGAGGCTTGGAGTGAGGGGGTGTTCTTGGAGAACATCTGCACTTACCTCTGCCCCGGGAGGCCACTATCCACCTGCAGTGCTTTTAACGAAATTCACAGCTTGATGTTTCGTATGTTTGGCTGCTAACACAGAGAGGGCTGCTATGCGGGTGCAGCTTTTGCCTCCCCCTGCTCTGCTCAGCACTGTAGCTTCTCTTTGCAGTGCCTTGGGGAAGGGGTGGGGCAGCCTTGTGGGTCACACTATTCTATTAGGTTTCCCACCTTGGGTGGTCCCGAAGTATTGAAGTATTGTCTTCTTCCCCAGTGCTCTGGGAAGCTGTAAAAACCAGAGCTCAAATGTGCTGACTTCAGCAAATGCCTTCAGGGCTAAAGAGCTACAAATCACAGCTATCTCTTTGGGGGTCTGGCTTCATGTAGGTTTGGCCTGATAATGATCAGTTTTTGGTGCAGGTAAACTTTTTCTTCCTTAGCATTTTTGGTGGTTTTCAGTGGGAAGGTTGGTTTAAGCACTAGACAGCCATGGTACTGAAAGTTCCAGCAACTCCTCCCTGAGCCCTCCATGCCCATCCCCTCTTACCCCAGGCTCATGCACTCTGCCAGTCATGTGGGCATTGGCGATGAGGCAGACTATGTTGCCGTAAGTGGTTTTGCCTTCCACTCTCCATCTCGTTGCTTCTCATGGCCACCATGGATCCCTAAGTGCCCAGCGGTTTGGGGTGAGCCATGAGCTGCTGGCGTTTTGTATGGTGGTTGTAGTGGGAAAAACAAGAGCTTTCTTTTATTTCTAACCCCTACCCTGAGATGTTTGAAGTGGTGGTTTGAGAACAGAGGATCGTCTGCTCTAGGGATTTTAGGCAAAGCTCAAGAAAGACAATGTTCTTTTCCTAGGGCAGGAACCAGATGCTAAACAAAGGACTTTGTACCCCACAGTTTTAAACAGAGATCCTATGAAGCATCTTCCTTTCAGTCCAGCTTGAAACCAAATTTAAAGGACATGTTCAGCCCATCCTTCAAAAGGATTTCCTTTATCAGTACTGTTATGTGCCTGTCACTCATTCCTAGAGCCACTGGACTATGAGGAGTCCTTTAGAGCAGTGGTCCCCAACCTTTTTGGCAACAGGGACTGGTTTTGTGGAAAAAGGCGGGGCAGGGGTGGGGGGAGAAGGGGGAGAATGGTTTGGGGATGCAACTGTCCCACTTCAGATCATCAGGCATTAGATTCTCTTATGGAGTGTGCAACCTACATCCCTCACATGCACAGTTCACAAGAGGGTTCATGCCCTTATTCATGAGAATCTAATGCCGCTGCTGATCTGACAGGAGGCTGAACTCAGGTGGGGATGCTCATTCGCCCACCACTCACCTCCTGCTTTGTGGCCTGATTCCTAACAGGCCATGGACTGGTACCCGTCTTCGCCCTGGGGTTTGGGGACCCCTGATTTAGAGCGTGTATGTGCTCACTCTTATCATCGTCCATGGTTAGACAAATTCTTTAGATTGTGTGGATGCTGAGCAAGATTTAGGACTGAGAAATGTCTTCCCACTTAACTGATTGATTTTTGAAAAATTCATCTCACTTCTCTTTAAACTGAGAGTAGTCATGCTTACCTCACTGCATTGTTGTAGGCATTTAATGTGATAGAGAATGCGAAAGGGCTTTGTGAGATGCAGCCTGACACAGTCTCCATCTAGCCTGGCTTCATGTCTGCATATATTAAAGATCTGCTGGGCCGGGTGCAGTGGCTCACACCTCTAATCCCAGCACTTTGGGAAACCCAGGCAGGAGGCTCACTTGAGCCCTAATGTTTGAGACTAGCTTGGGCAACGTGAAGAAACCCCATCTCTACAAGAAAATTTAGGAAATTAGTTGGGCTTGACAGTGCATGCCTGTAGTTCCAGCTCCTCAGAAGGCTGAGGCAGGAGGATCTGTTGAGCCCAAGAGACGAAAGCTGCAGTGAGCTACGATGGTGTCACTGCACTCCAGCCTGGGCCACAGAGTGAGACCCTGTCTCCGAAAAAAAAAAAAAAAAAAAAAGATCTGCTGTGTTAGATTCTCTGTTCCAAGTTCAGTGTATTCAATGTTGGGACATGGCTTTCTATTTCCGGAGGCAGCTTAGCCCCATATGTTTTAAGGCCCCGTAGTGTGTCATGGGTATGTCTCCTTTAGCATCTTCAAACCATATGAGGTTTGACAGTATAGTTTCTCAAAAGGGTAATTTAGATTTCAGGAAAAAGCATAGACAATAAGAAGATAGATGTATAGCATTTTAAATTTGATTTATATAGTATTTGGATATTAACTCAGTTGATTCTCATATTAGTGCTGAGTAGCGGGCAGGGTAAGTATATCTTCATCTTACAAGGAAGGAAACCAAAATTCAGAGAAAACCAGAGATTCACATAAAAGTGAAAAGCTGGGCCTGTAACACTACTCAAGTCTTATGCACTGCCCAGGAGACACTGCTGGGGTCACAGGCGAAATGCCACCCTGTGTTAGCCCAGAGGTCCAGCATCTTGTTTCTGACAAGGGTATTCAATATTCTCTGACGAAAGAGTGTGGCAATTTTCTCCCACCATATTAGCCGGGAAAGCTCAGTGACCTTTCACGACAGTCCTGTGGCGTCCACTGCCGGACCCCCAGTGTCTGTGAGGGTGGAGTTGAGGATATGTGCCTTTCAGGACATGGGATCCCCTCGTGAAAAAGCCCAACGTGTCAGCAGCCATCCTGTTGAGCACTAGCAGAGGCTGGATAATGGAAGCTGATTTTTTTTGAGATGGAGTCTCACTTTGTCACCCAGGCTGGAGTGCAATGGCGTGATCTTGGCTCACCGCAACCTCCGCCTCCTGGGTTCAAGTGATTCTCCTGCCTCAGCCTCCCGAGGAGCTGGGATTACAGGCATGCACCACCACACCTGGCTAATTTTTGTATTTTTAGTACAGATGGTGTTTCACCATGTTGGCCAGGCTGGTCTCAAACTCCTGACATCAGGTGATCCACCTGCCTTGGCCTCCAAAGTGCTGGGATTACAAGCGTGAGCCACCGCAATGGCCTGAAGCTGATTTTTTGATGCACCCATTGAGCATGTAGGACTGAGTATGTGACAGCATGTGCTCTTGTATCGGCTCCTTTTTTGGCCCCAGTTTACCTTGGCCCTTTCCTTTTCTTTCCCACATGATTCTAATATGCTCTATATGACTGCATTTTATGTAACCTAACAAAGCAAAAGGCTCTGGAGACAAGTTCCCAACTAATAAGTAAAGGAATGAATCCAGGAATAAGTAAATCAATAAATAGAGTTAGAGTACATGTGCAAACTATAGGTGCTAAAAGAATTGGAGAACAAAAAGTTTATTATAGGCTGAACCAGTCATTGAGTACTCCATGGAGATAGTGGGATTTGAGGTTGAATTAAATGGGAGGGATACTGAGGGAAGAAAAGCAACGTGAGCTTTCAGAAGGCAGCTGGGATTGAGAATGGCGCTGGCTGCAGATGAAGCCTTCTGAGTGAATGGGAAAGATGTAGGCAGGCAAGTGGGGCTAATTGGTGGAGGAAAGCCAATGTGGAGAACTCGAATCAGATTCAAAAACAAAGAAGGCCTCTTACATGCGGAGGGGCCACGTGGGTTTGTTTCCTATCCCTTCAAAAGCTCACCAGGATGACAATAAAGGAAATACAAAGGTAAACCCACAAGGGCCAACATAGCTGTAGAAGAGAGACTGTAGGACAACCCTGAAAGATAGAGAGACGCTGAAGAAGTAGTAATGGACAGAACAGGCCAAAAATGTCCATCTTGAATGTCAGCAGAGGGGACACAAGTGAGAAGGAGCTTCCTTATCCCCTAGAACCTGTCAGGTCTCAAAGGCACCAGGTGCCATGCTCAGTGAAGCCAAAAACCAAGGGGTTGATAAAGGTCTGGATGAAGTTGCCCATTCACCCAGGCAACTGCCACCCTCTTCCCTCAGGAGGCTGGAGAGTTATCTGGTGAGAAATTCAGCTCTTCTGCTCTGGACTAGGGGCCATCAGACAGCGCAGTGCAGAAGAGAGGTCAGATGCAGGGTTAAAAATGGGGGGATATGGGGAACGTCTTCATATTGAATGGTGAGGTCTCCAGCTTTCTTACCTTTCTTTGCTCTCAGAACATGGGAAGGCAGTCACACACCAGTGGCCCCGCCCTCCTGCAGGCACGGGACTGAAGGACGCTTCCCTTAAGAAACGAAATGGACCCAGAGAGGAGACCTCCTGACACTGACCTGTTAGGGACCTCCATCAGGACGCTTGTCACCTGAGGACTCTGAAGGGACTCTCACACACTAAGAAGCTCTGCCAACCCCTCAAAGCTTTCATTCAGACTTTTAACACTTAAGTCTTAAATATGAGCAAATAGCCCCAGATTATCAGACATTAAAGAGCAACACTCACATGACAGAGACAGAATGAGGTGATCGTAGAGGAAAGAGAAAATGCATAGAACACACAAAAACTTAAAAAAAACCACCTCTCAGAGATAAAGTAAAATAATGCATCCATATATCAAGTATAAGACCCTTTAAAAATAAACAATCTGACAATAAGAAGAGCTTTTGAAACTTAAAGAAAAAAAGCAAAATAAAAAAAGTCAAGTTGAAGTAGAAAACAAAGGGAATGTTCCAAAGGAGGAACAAAAAGGCAGAGATGGACAAGAAGAACATAAATGTAAGAAGCTTAAGAGGACCAATCAAGGATATCTAACAATGATGAACCCAAAAATGAAGCCAGAGAAAGGAGAAGAAATAAAAAAGAAAAAGGCACTTTATCAGAACGTACGCAGGATATCTAGATCTGCACTGTTCAAGATGGTAGCCACTAGCTACCATGGTTAACTAAGTTGAAATGAGAATTAATTGAGATTAAATGAAATGAAAATTTCATTCCTCAGTTGTGCTAGCCACATTTCCAGTGTGTGATAGCCACGTGTGGGTGGTGGCTGCTATATTGGGCATGCAGATGAAGAATGTTCCCTCATCACAGAAAGCCCTGCCATGTGGAGCTGCTCTGCACTGAATCCATTAATTTCATAATTAGTGAAAAAACACTCATTCTTTATAACTCTAGGGATTCAAAATAATATCTCAGAAGCTTCTAGAAGAGAAGAAAAAGCAATGACACACAATGAAACAAGAATCATGATGACATTGCATTTCCCCATAGTGTCCTGGAAGCTGGAAGGCAGTCAAGTGATGTCCTCACACTTTTCAGGAAAACTTATGACCCACCCAGTTTTCTACATCCAGCCAAACTATGAGTCAAGTGTGAGGATAACATGAAGGCATCTCAAACTTGCAAGAACTGTCCGATTTTACCACTCTTATACTCCTTTTAGGAAGTTAATGCAGGATGTGCTCCAGTGGAATGTAAAGGTATCCTACGAACAAGCAAGAGGTGAGTTTAACAGAGCTAACTTCTGAGCCACAGCACCTGTTGGTGCATCACAAATCACCCTGAGACATGGCAGCTAAAAGCAACACGTGTTCTCATCTCACCTGCTTTCTGAGGGTCAGGAGTTTGGAAGCAGCTTAGATGGGTGGTTCTGGCTCAGGGCCCCCCATGAGGCTGCAGTCAAGCTGTCGCCCTGCAGTCACCTCAAGGCTTGCCTGGGGCTGAAGAAACCACTTCAGGCTCACTCACATGGTTGTTGGGAAGCTTTGGGTCCTCACTGGCAGCTCCCAGCCTGGCAAGTGGATTCTCTAGGGGGACTGATGGGGGAGAGAGAGACGGGGACGAGAACCCACGACAGAAGCTGCAGTTCATGAATTAATCTTGGATGTGGCCTGCCATTATTCCACTCATTAGCTGGAAGTCCCTAAATCCAGCCTACATGCACAAGAAAGGGAATTAAGCTCCACCACTTGAAGAGAAGAGTATCAAAGAATTTGTGGACTTATTTTAAAAACAACCACAGATGTCAAGAAGTAGTCTAAATATTTAGGGAGGAAATAATATCAATAGTACAGAAAAGATGCAGAGACTAGGAAAAGAAAGAACATTTCTCAATTCATTTTATGAGGCCAGCATAACATTGATATCAAAACTTGACAAGGACATTATAAGAAAGGGGAGTATAGGCCTGCATCTCTCATGAGCAGGCAGGCAGCAAATAAAATACAAAAATATATAAAAAAGATAATACATCATGAACAAGTGGCTTTTTTTTCTGGGAATATAAGGCTGGTTTAAAATTCAACATAATAATCATATTAATAGAATAAAGGAGAAAAAATGTCACATGATAATCTCAATAGATTCTAAACAAAGCATTAGACAAAATCCAGCACCTGTTTATGACTAATTAGAAATAGAAAGGCACTTCCATAATCTACTAAAGGATATCTCCGAAAGATCTGTGGGTGACACCTTATACAAAGATGAAATATTGGACACTTTCCTCCTGAAGTTGCAAACAAGTCAAGGATATCTGCTGTGGTCAATTCTAGTCAACATTGTCCTGGAGGTCCTAGCTGGACCAAGAATGCCTCCTAGCCATGCGGCAGCCTGAGTCCTTCACGTCCCCGTTGCCCTGTCCTCAGCCCTCTCCTCACCTCGCCACCAGCTACCAATTCCTGCCAACACTTGGTCCAGGCTAAGACAATATCTAATTGAAGAACAAATTATATGCTTACACCCAAATTCTGAGCTATTGGGCAAGGCCTCCAAAAGCCCTTTGCATAAGAATCCCATCCCCTGAGAAAGTGGTGGATGTAACACTGAGATGGGGTGCCCCAACTCTAGGTTTCGGGGGTCAACTCTTCCAAATGGAACAGGAGAAGCAAGGCTTGCTCTCTAGGTAGGAGGCTCCAGGAGGTAACCCCAAAGAAGAGGAAGGCAGAAACCATGGGTCTTGGTTGATGGGGACCATGCATGAAGCTCCTGGATCGTGAACTTCCAATGTTGACAGGCTCGTCCCCCAGTTCACTGCATTACAAAATATCCAATTTCTGTAAGAGTAGTTGGGCCCTTATAACGTGCCAGGCCTGCCTTCTACATGTTCTCTCACTTCATGTGCTTTCTACACATTCTCTCGCTCTCCCTCTCTCTCTCTTTAGAGTTAGGGTCTCACTTGTTGCCCAGGCTGGAGTGCAGTGGTGTGATTATGGTTCACTGCAGCCTCGACCTCCTGGGCTCAAGCCATCCTCCCACTTCAGCCTCCTGAGTAGTTGGGACTACAGGTGCACATGACCACGCCAGGCTAATTTTTCATTTTTATTATTTGTAGATACAGGGTATCACTATGTTGCCCAGGCTGGTTTTGAATTCTGGGCTCAAGTGATCCTCGACCTTGGCATCCCAAAGTGCTGGGTGTGACCCCCTGCACCCAGCCTACATGATCTTGATTCTGGCGTCTGCCCTAATGAGGGGTTAGCAAGGGAACAGAGAGCCAGAATCACAAGCTCAGCCAAAGCTGCTTTTCCTCTTTCCTGTGGCCTGGTGTCCTTCTTTCTTCCTAGCTTCCTCACGCCCTCTGCTGAAGGCGCGGTCCTAAGAATAGGAAGAGCTCTCCTCACCCTTTCCAGGGCCAGGCACTGGTGATGTGCGTGAGGCATACCCTCCATTGTTTCTCTGTCATGCTGGGCCCAGGAGGTGGGTTCTCCTCTGCCCATTTCATAGAAAAGAGAAAGGAAAAGTGAAGTAACTTGCCCTGATCACACAGCTAGGCCTCTGTTTCCAGGATCTTGGCTCTAACCATTGAACCCTATTGCCCCCCTGAGGCTGTGTCCGGGGGCCTTTGATTTGGCTTTTGACCCATAGGAGTTTTCCTCTTCCTGGAGCTGAGTCCTTAAAACCAGCAGCCCCAAACGAATGGCCCTTGCCCATGACAAAATGTCAGGCCAGCACGTCTGGGTGATTTTAAGGGAAGGTTTTCCCTAGCAGGGCCTCAAGACACAACCCACAGGTGGCACTCACTCCAAGGGACTCCCCAAACTGGGACCTGTCATCGGCGTGTCGTGGTTAGTCCCTCAGCAAAGCATTGGAGGGCCTAATGGGGAGGAAAGGGGAGACATGATGGCTCCCCCAACCCCTTAACCTCATGAAGCCTCACTTCTTTAACTACCAAGGATCCAGAGGGAAGAATTAAGGCCTGAAATCTCTTTCAATAAAAACTGTGAAGGAGGCCCCTGCTGCAGTGTCTGCAGAGGCGATACAGCAAGCCTTGCTGGAGGCTTTGACTTCAAAACCTGTCTGCACACTATTACCCTGCAAGCCCAGGGTATTTCAGAGGTGACTTCCTTCTCTATCCCTTCATTCATTTAGGCTTCAGTCTAAGGTGTGTTAAAGTCTGGTGAGAGTGATCACTTCCTATAATAAGCTTCTGTTTGTATTGCTATTAACCAACATCAAAGACAGCATTAGACTTTGATAGCAGTGCTTTTTTTCTTTTCTGCTGCCATGAAATTGAAGCTTATTCGTGGAAAAAAGGCAAGACCACGGGCAGTTCTGAATGGAGGAGGCAAAGGGTGTGTGTGGGTGTGAGGGTGTGTATAGATGCATGTGGGTGTGTGTGGATGCCTGTGGATGTGTGTGGGTGCATGTGGGTACATCTGGGTATATGTCTAAGGAAAAGATGGGATGGGGAGGTCTAGCAAGGCAAACATCTCCTTATTCAACAGCCGCTTGGCATCCATACAGCCCCTCCTCGCTCCAGCCAGAGTGCCCTCAGGAGGCGGCGAGGCAGCCCAGGCCTCCGGGGCTGGCACTGAAACTGTGACAGACCCTCCTCGTGGCAGAAGGAGTGTTCGCTGTTTGACACACATAGCTATGTGAGTGCATGTAAGCAGTACTGTGACCCTACTTCATATGACCACAACCTGTTGGGAGTGCTGAGTTGTTAGCGGAACGCTAAATCAGATGCAGGTTTCTCAGAGCCACTTGCAGCTGGGGGTAAGCCCACTCTTTGCGTAGCTGACAAACACAATGGAAAATGTGAGATTTGGGTTTGAGAGCTGACTTGGGCATCTCAGGGGAATGGCTCACAAGAAAGATGTTTGGCTTTTAGCAGCCAAACTGGAAATGTCCTGGTAACCGAAAGGGAACCATCTCAGCCACAGGCAAATCTCCATGTTCTCAGCAGCGCTCTGGGAGCTTGCAAGTAGTTCTCACAGTGTAAGGACTCAAGGCTATGCTTGGAATGGATTCAGAGGAGCAGAATTATTTTGTCTTCATGAACCAAAACGGGCACTACTGTTAAAGTTTGACTTTTATCCATCCGTCTCCAGAGAGATTAGATCAAACACCAAGATGAAAGTGTTGGAGATGCAGCCCAATAACAAAAAGAAACCCATGGCTGGGTGCGGTGGCTTAAGCATAGTCCTAGCACTTTGGGAGGCCGAGGTGGAAGGATCACTTGAGCCCTGGAGTTTGAGACCAGCCTGGGCAACATAGCAAGACCCCAACTCCACAAAAATTTAAAAAATTAGATGGGTGTGGTGGCGCCTGCCTATAGTCCCAGCTACTCAGAAGGTTGACGAGGGAGGATCACTTGAGCCCAGGAGGTCAGGCTGCAGTGAGCTATGATTATGCCACTGTACCCCAGCCTGGGTGACTGCGTGACGGCTTGCATCCATTAAAAAAAAAAAAGAGAGAGAAAGAAAGACAAGAAAAGAGCTCACATGTGTGCAGAGAAGAGAGCTGTTTTAATGGCCTGCAAACATGTTCTGTGTGCCCCCAGCACCTTGCTCTGAATCTCCAACTCTTAGACCCTCTGCCTTGGCATCACTGGTTGGGGAGTTTTTGGTCTGGGTACCCAGCTTTTATTTCCACCACAAACACAATGCATCTTAAGCAATCTTCCTGGAATCCCAGGCCTGGTACTGTTCTTAGTTGTGAAAACTTAATGTGGCAGTACATTTTAATTAACTATCTGCCCTCAGTTTTACCTTTAAATGTTCTTGTTGCATTTGAAACTTCTGAAACCACACAGTGCGTATAAAGACAGCAGGTGATGTGAGCTGGCAAGCATACGAGTGTATCAGTCAGGATAAGCTGGGTTTTGCTGCAACAACAATCAGATCCCAGATACCAGCAGTTTAAAAAGAAAGGCTCATGTCTCAGTCACATCATGGGTTCATTACTGGTTGGCTGCCACTCTGCTCCATGTTAGCTGTGCCCTGGGACCCAGGCTTAAGGAATGTCCTCTCTCTGCAACTTGCTGGTGTGACAGAGGAAGAGAGACAAGGTCCACTATACACTGTTTTGAGTGTTTCCACCCAGAGGTGGACATGCCACTTCAGCCTGCGTTCCATTGCCCAAGGGAGTCACTTGGCTGTGCCTCAGTTCAGTGGGAAGGGGCCACATCCACAAGATCCCTCCTGGAGGAGAGTGGCTTCCGGGAGGGAAACCTGGATATTTGGGGAAGGCAACAGGGCTAGCACTGAAAAGGGGCCCTCTGTCTATTCTTGGTGTCTGGCCTGAAATTAATAAGCAAGGTTTATCTGTATATACACGTTTCCAGGAAAAAGCCTAACGTTGGGTATTCCATTGCAGGAGGCACCCCACAAGCCTGGTATTCCTGTTCTCCAAAGGACCCTACGATGCACGGATAATGTGTGAGGAACATTTTCTTTCAGTCCCGCCCTTGCCTTTGAAACTGAGCCACACATAAAAGCCCCGGCTCAGGCCCAGGCCTGCCTAGCCCTGGCCAAGCCACACTCTCCTCCCGGGCCCTGGAGAGCCCCTTCCCCCCTAGTACCCTGGGTGGCCCAGCCCTCCGGAGGCATCTCCCTCAGGAGAGCAGAGGCCCCTCCATCCCATCTGGATCCCAGAGCCCAACTGTCTTGGCTGAGGCTGCCCAGAGTAGGGTGTCAGTCAAACTAAAGAATATTCTTTTAATACTGAATAACCATGTAGGGCTGGCAGGGATCCCTCCGCCTGACAGATGGCGAACACATGCCCGGGGCGGCCGCTCCCCACATCAATCTCACTCTGTGGCTTTCAGCACATCCTCGGCCAGGCCCCCTCCTCGCAGGGCTGGTGATGGTAATACAGAGGCTTTCTGAGGCTGGGGGGCGGGTGTGTGTGGAGGGATTTTTCGGAGGAGGGGCAGGAAGTTGGGGCGCTGATATCAGATGCTGTTAGATAGATGCTCGCTTTCCCCCTGACTGGAGCTGCTGGCCTCGGCTGAGCGGCCACCAGCAGGCAGTTGGCTCCTGTGTGGGCAGAGGGGTTTGGAAACCGCTGCAGCAACTGGGAACCATTTTGTGCTTGTAAGATCAGGTTCTTCCCATTGTCACTAGGCTTTTCCTATCCTTTGACTTTCCAAACAAATCTCTTTTCACATCCCTTAGATCAAGTTGGAAAAGATAACTTGTAAAATCTCAATGATTGGCAGGAGATAGGAGATCTTTCTGAGTCCATGTGGCGTGGAGATGTGGCCTCGTGGGGCAGGTAAGCAGCGAGCTTGCTGCAGGCAGGACATCTGCTAAGGTCTGAGTGTCTGGGCCACCGACTGCCCTCACCGTTGCCGTGTTTTGCAAGACCATCCACACACCGGTGGGTCCAGGTTTCTATTTCTAACCCGGGTCTTTCTCCAGAGCTCTAGCTCCACTCTCCTACAGCCAGCTGCCTTCTGACATCTCCATCTGGGTATCTCAGCACCATCTCAAACTTTTCACATCCAAACCAAGCTCAAGATGTTTAACTCTGATATTTGCTTCTCCAACAGTGTTCACAATCTCAAAGTTGCCACCCTCTCAGTCTTAATCAGTTTCTAGTCTTGTAACAGAATACTTGAAACTGGGTAATTTATAAAGAAAGGGATTTATTTCCTACAGTGATGGAGGGTGAGAGGTCCAAGATTGAGGGGCTGCATCCGGTGAGGGCCTTCTTGCTGGTGGAAACTCTGCAGAGTCCCAGTGGCGCAGGGCATCCTGTGGTGCAAGGGCTGAGTGCGCCAGCTCAGGCCTCTCTTCCTCTTATGGTGGACCATAAAGTCACCAGTCCCGGTGCCGTCATAACCCATTAATCCATTAACCTGGTAATCCATTAATCCATGAATGGACTAATTCATTCATGAGGGCAGAGCCTCTTAAACACCCTACCTCTCACTACTGCTGTGTTGGGGATTAAGTTTCCAGATGGGTTTTGGAGGGGACGTTCAAACCATAGCACCCTCCCAGTTGCTCCAGTTAGACACCTGGTAGATTTCTCCCTTCTCATTCTCCTCAATCCACCCTACTCCTCTCCCATCAGATCCACCAGCAGTTTTTGTAATCTGCCTTTGTTGCGTATCTTTTTTTTTTTTTGAAATGGAGTCTTGCTCTTGTCGCCCCTGCTGGAGTGCAATGACATGATCTTGGCTCACTGCACCTCTGCCTCCTTGGTTCAAGCGATTCTTCTGCCTCAGCCTCCCGAGTAGCTAGGATTATAGGCGCCTGCCACACGCCCAGCTAATTTTTGTATTTTTACTAGAGATGGGGTTTCACTATGTTGGCCAGGCACGTCTCAAACTCCTGACCTCAGGTGATCTGCCCACCTCAGCCTCCCAAAGTGCTGGGATTATAGGCATGAGCCACTGCACCCAGTCTGTTGTATATCTTGAGTCTGTTTATTTCTCTTTGGTTTCATGGTCACTGGTCCTCTGCAAGCCTCCATCATTTCACCCCTGGACTGTTAGATGAGCTGTCACTTTCCCTCTTGTCCTCCTCACCCCCATTCATTCTCCTGGGGTCTCAATGGGGTCTTCCAACAGAAACTAGGCCATGGTCAGGCATGACACCCTCCATGACTAGAGAGCCACACTCTTCTTTTGGCAGCATGGGCTGGTCCTGACTCTCATTCCTGGCCCATATTAAGCCGCTATGATCCTTTCTTTATGACCCTGCAGCAGCGCTGGCCTCTGCAAGTTGTCTGATCTTGACAGAACTTCTTTGGGCTCAGGGTCTTTGCACGGGCCTTCTGCACTGCCTGGAACACACTTGCTCAGGTCATCACTGACTGACTCTTTTTGGTAATTTAGCTCAAAAATCTGTACCTCGAAGGAGATGTAGCCATGACTCCAGAAGGGGCAACTGGAAGTTGAGTACCAGGAAAGGTTTTGGCAGCTGGGCTTTGTGGGAAGCCTGTATGTCAGGCGTGGACTAGTTGAAGCTCTCCTCTACATTAGCTGGCCATGTCAGCATGAAGAAATGCTAAGGCAAGTGGACCAGCTACAAAGGTGATGCAAGAAGCCAGGTGACACTTTAAAAAGGGCCTGAACTAGGGAGGTGGCCTACACACAGCCGGCCAACAAGGGACCAATATCAGGTAGGTGGCAGGAATCTGTCCGTCTCTAATTGCCGATGCTGTCATCTGAGAATCGGTATCTGAGGCGGGAAGAAAACTGTTGTAACAATGGCCTTTCTTTTCTGCACAACTCTCCTCACTTAGAGGACTCTTCCCTGGGGGCTGGCATTCCTAAATTAGATGACACCATGGGACCATTTCACATCTGTGGCTCCTGCTGGCCGCATAGCTTTCCTTACTTAGGGTTTAGGGTAAATTACCATTGCTTAAGTGAAGCAACTCTGGTGTCTTGAACATGTGCTTGAAGAAAAAGAATCTTCAAGGACGGAAAGTAGCCAAGTTCCTCCAGAGAAAGAGCTGCAAATTTCCCAGGAATAAAATGTTGTGTTGTTTGGGGCACCCCACTGAGGGAGCGCAGGGCAACTCGGGGAACTGAGCTCCCAGGGGCACATCCTGGCGGGAACATCCTGGGGCCGTCTCTCCCACCCTGCAGCCAAGCAAAAAGCCTTCCAGAAAATGGTGTGAATTACTGCTTACCAAAATAGTGATGGTGGGGAAGAAACCCAGGGCCAGGCTGAGCCCTCCATGGGCTTTCTCACACCCTGTGAGAAGCTCGAACTATAAAGCCTGTTTTCTGCAGTTAGAGATTTTCATCTGGGGAGGGCCTGTCTTCTCAGCTCTGCGCATTGCCTGCCTTTTGTGCGGCTGTTTTGTTTACTGTCCCGAATGAGTAAAAAGCCACTCAGGTGAGCATAGAGGCAAAAGTCTTATTTACTTTCTCCCGTAGCTTGAATTGATCTACTGAGGAGAGTTTTCACTGCTGCACAATTCTTCATTCACTGTCCATGCTTAGAGGGAAGGAGAAGAAAGTGCTAATTTTGAAGTAGGCCTGAAGCTTTTAGCAAGAAACAGAGATGTGGGGGGATGGATTCAGAGAAGCAAGGAGTCACATCACCACCATCTGGACCACGGGCCATGCAAATGGTTATAGAAATGCAGGATTTAGGGCATTTGACTTTTATGATGCTTGAGACCTGAAGAAGCCACAATTAGGTATGTTGGAAAAAAATAGTCACAGTGGGACAGAATCCTGCAGATACTTTGGTAGAGAGTCAGTGATTTATTACTCCCTATGACAAACCCTGGGTAAATTCACATTTGAGTGGATCATTTTATTTTATATCATACCTCCTCAAGTCAGGATTTGCCCTCAGGAGGATCAAAGGGAAGGGAGCTGGAATTGATCCATTTGTGGTATCGCACTTTCTCATCTCGTGCCTCATTCTGCTGTGATTTGGAGGTACTATGGGGGATGTAGGGTTTTGGATAAAATTTACTTTGTGGATTTCCCCCTTCCCTATTGTTTAGCCTTGTATGTAGCTCAGCGAATACCTTTGGGCATTTTCAGGGGCTTAAAATCTTTTATCTATTCTTCTTCTTCTATCCCTATTTTTTAACAGGTAATATGTACAGCATTATAAAGACATATACGATATTTATTTATTTATTTGAGACAGAGTCTCATTGTGTCACCCAGGCTGGAGTACAGTGGCATGATCTCGGCTCACTGCAACCTCCGCCTCCTGGGTTCAAGCAATTCTCCTGCCTCAGCTTCCCGAGTAGCTGGGATTACAGGCGTGCGCCATCACGTCCGGCTAACTTTTGTATTTTTAGTAGAGATGAGGTTTCATCATGTTGGCCAGGCTAGTCTCAAACTCCTGACCTCAGGTTATCCGCCTGCCTCAGCCTCCCAAAGTGCTGGGATTACAGGCATGAGCCACTGCACCCGACCCATATACAATATTTAAAAGGGCATACAGTAAACAGTCAGTTACCTTCCTACTGCTGTCTCCAACCAGCCTCCATCAGTCACCTTGCTCTCCAACCAGATATGACCTGCATCCACACAGACACATGTGCATGTGTGCATGGGTGTCCGTGTCTACGTATGGAAGAACACAAATGGTAGCGTGCTATATTCACTCTTTTGCAGTTGTCATCATTTACCTTAACAGATTCCTTTGGGACTGATATTGAACTACTGAATAGATGAGCCCAACCAGGAAGTCCTCTTCTGTGAATGCCACGGCTGGGAGCAGCTAGTCTGAGCCTGGTTTGCTCTGCACGTCACGTATTCCAATTGCTGAAGGAAAGGAATGGTTACACATTTATTCCTCAATTTTCTTTCAGCTTTTCTCTTCAGCTCCTGTGTTAACTTCTGTGTTTCATGTTTACTTGCATCTCCTGTCTTCCCTTTATTTTCTGCCCATGATGACATTGCCTCTTCTTCACTCATGCACTCTCTGTCTCAACTTGGCTTCCTAAGAGCTCTTCTTGCTGCCTCTGACACACTCTCATTTCTTTCTGGTGATTTTTCTTCTCCCTAAAGAATGAGTTCAGCTTTTCATGAGGCAGCTCCTTCACATCAGTGATTGACACAAGATGTTTTTACTGGTAATTAAAGATCTCTCTTTTTGGTAAAATATATTAGTCCAGGAAGGTTCTGCTTGGAGATGATGTTATTTCTGGTCTGTCGGGAGTGTTGCTCAGCCATCCAGCCTCCCAGCTGAGTGGAACAGAAGGAAGTGAAAGGACTTGCCCAGCATGTTAAAGAGAGCCAGCACATAGGTGACATCAGGATGCCTCACTGGCTCACCCCTCTACCCAACAGCGCACGGCTGCCTGTAAGGAACAGACAGACAGGAAATTGTCCTGGGAGTGAGAAGATGGGAAGATGAGGGGCACCGAGTAAACCTGAGGAAATGCGTGTGAGTGACAGAAGGAAGCTTTGCAGGAAGGCCCAGCCACAAGAAGGAGGCCATGGCAGGAAGCCTTAGGGAGGAAGGCTTTCCTCTATCCCTCCTTCCTGGACCCAGAGCTCATGAGCAATGTGCACAGGTGGCTCAGGGGGTGGCTGTTAGAAGGCAGGGCGGTGGGAGAAGCAGGACCCTTGGGCAGGGTGAGCAGCCGGAGATGGTGCCTCCTTCATGAGAAAACAGGGCAGCTGCGATTGCTGCCCCAGCCGGCTCCTGTCTGGAGGGTGAGAGGGGCTGGTGTGGATGGGAACTTCATCCTTCTCTCAGGGTGCCACCAGGAGAGGGGCTGAAGGCCTCTACAGGAGTGGATTGGTCATGCTGGAGCATGTTCTTCCAGGCTTTGCCTTCCCAGGCACACACACTCACTCCCACTCTCCTGCCCCTGCCCTGTTTTCTCCTTAGCACTTGTCACCTGCTAACATGCTGTTGTCCTCCTTACTTTGTTTTGTTATTATTTTAAAAGTACTTGCCACCTTCCTTCATTAGAGTATAAGCTCCACCAGGGTGGAGGTTTTTTGTCTGTTTTTGTTTTTTTTCTCCATTTTGTTCACTGCATCTCCCCAGCACTTAGGACAAGGCCTGGCATGTAGCAGGTGCCCATTAAGTATTGTTGGACGAATGAATGAATGAGGACAGTTCTGATGAGGACACTTTGTGATGTAACCCAGGGCAGGGAGGCCATGGATGTGTCCTTAGCAAAATGATGCCAAGCTTATTATTTCCTAGGAAATATGGCCAACATCACAGTAGTAGAAGGGATGTGATCTCTCATACAGATAAGAAAGGAGCATCTTAGGAATGAAATCAGGCCTCCCGTGGTGTGATGTTTGCTTCTGGCTGTTTTTGGAGCAAGCTGGCCACAGCTGGATAGAAGCAGCCACGTTCCACTCGGCTCCCTCTGAAGTCAAAGGCAAGCCCCGAGCCCACTAGTCTCCTGAGCAGAGCCTCTCAGCAGGAGGAAGACAGAGGAGCCCAAAGCCCTGGGCTTCCTCATCTGAAGAGAGGGACAGATATTTTGGGAGAAGAGAAAACTAGGCTAGGGAGTAGGTTCCCCTTAGGAGCTCTGCCTGCATTCTGGAGAGAGGCTGGCGGTCACCGCGATGCTTCCCGTGTGGCCTTGGGAGAAAGCAGACTTCCTCAGAGGAAGGTATTCCGGGCTGCAGGTTTGATTTTCTCTTCTTTCCAGCTCCAGAATTTGTCGGGGCAAATTCTGGCTGCCTCCGGTTTCTGTCTAGCTCTTGCACGGCAGCCTCTGCAGTCACCCTCAGGCTTCCTGGCCTGGCCCAGCCCCTTGTGGCTCCTCTGCGTCCCCCCACCCCACTTTTTTCTTTAATTTGTGACAGACTCTCACTCTGTTGCCCAGGCTATGGCAAGGCAGTGGTACTATCTTTGTTCACTGTAAGCTCGACCTGTCAGGCTCAGGTGATTCTCCCACCTCAGCCTCCTGAGCAGCTGGGACTACAGGCACCCGCCACTACACCAGGCTAATTTTTGTATTTTTAGTAGAGATGGGTTTCGCCATGTTGCCCAGGCTGGTCTTGAACTCCTGGACTCAGGCAATCCTCATGCCTCGGCCTCCCAAAGTGCTGGGATTACAGGCATGAGCCACTGCGTCCAGCTCTCTGACTTCTTTTCCCAGCCCTCCCCCAGTCTCTGCGAGGCTTGCAGTCTGTGATACACCAATTTCCCCAAACCCTCAATCCACTCCTCACGTCCTTGTTGAGTGTGGCATTTGTGGGACCTGGCCTACCCCTGAGCACTGAGCCTCCTGCTGGCTGGAGTGGAGGCCCTTGTGACTGACAGTGGAGCTGAGTGGCCTCCCTATCCCTGATTTCTGTTTCTAGACCGTCTCTATCCCTCTCCTGGCCAAAAACCAAGCTATCTAGCCATGCACCGGCCAGCCTCATGGTGACTCCTGGGCCTGGCTTCTTGGTTCCTCTTGGTTACAGACTTCAGCGCCTGACCTCCCTCTTCACCCCCACTCATGTCCTCAATCACAGGGAGTTCAATATCCAAGTAGAGCACCCATCCACCTCCTTGGCTATTTGTCCTTGACATTGTAGCACTAAGGACCCTTTTTCCCCTCCACTGCAACCATCCACTTCCGTGGTCACACACTGAGTCTCATCATTCACAGAAGTCATTTTATCCAAATCTCATTTTCAAGCATTCCATTCTCTGACAAGCACTCCCTGTTGTTCTAGTCTCCTGGCTGCTAAGATTCCTCAATCTCATCAAAGGCTGTAACCCACTAAACCCTACACTTTGCCTGTCAAAGGCTTCCCCTAACTCATTCTCCAGTTAGATGTCATGGTCATGTGTATTATCATTCCCTTCAAGAAAACCTCTGTGCCCCTTCCTGGCTGTCCTCTGTCCTGCATGTGGCAGGCTGTATTTTCCAAAGGTGATCCTTCTACCCACTCCTCCACAATGTGACCTTGCTATTTCCCATTGAGAAGTGGAGTCTGATTCCTTGCCCTTGAATCTGGACTGGCCATATGACTTCATTATATCTAAAAGAATGCAGTGGGCTGGGCATGTTGACTCACACCTATAATCCCAGCACTTTGGGAGGCCAAGGTGGGAGGATTGCTTGAAGCCAGGAGTTCGAGACCAGCCTGGGCAACATAACAAGATCCTGTCTCTACAAAAGTAAAAATAAAATAAAATAAAAAATAAAATAAAATAAATAAAAATAATGCATTAGAAGTAACAGCACTAGCTTGGAAATGGCCCCACAGCTGTCCCCTGGTCCCTCTGGGATTCTTACTCTGGGGAAATCAGCCAATCAAGTAAGTATCCAATTGCCCTGAAACTTCCATGCTAGAAAGACTATATAGGCTCTTGAGTCAACAGTCTCAGGGGTCCTTGTGGTCCCAGCCTTCCTGCCATCTCAAGGTGCCAGACACGTGAGGAAAGCTGTCTTGGATGCTCCAGACCAGCCTGTCTCCCAGCTGAGTCCCATTGAGTGACCTCTGCCAATGCTACGAGGAGCATAAGAAGCATCCAGCTGAGACCTGCCTGAATTCCTGACCTTTGAGATAGAATCAAATTGCTGTTCTTTAGAGCCACCAAGTTTTGAGGAGGTTTGCTGTGTAGTAATCAAAACAGAAGTACTCTACTTGAAGACCCCAAGCTTGATTGGACCCAGTTGTCTGCCTTTTTTGTTCCTATTCCTGAGCAGCTGGAGAAAATTGAAAATTGCTAAGCAGAAATGACTGGCTTCACTTCAAACATCAAATGGCACAACGCCTAGCAATCCCATGATGCTTGCTCTTGTTGTAGTCGTCGGACTATTTCACACATTGCTTCTTGCCTCAAACTTCTTCCATTCCCTTCTTCTTTCCCAAGTCATCTGAGGAGAGATGTCAAATAGGCAGCAGGCTAGATAAGTCTGGAGTTCAGGAGAGAAGTGGTGATAGAGAAAAAAATTTAAGAGGCATTAGGGTGTAAGTGGAATGTAGAATCATAAAACTGGATGATATCACTAGGTTGGAGCATGAGTGAGTCCTCAAGCTTCCCAAGGCTTAGAGGTCTGGTAGAGGAAGGAGAAGCCAACAAAATGGGTCTGGAAGGATGGCTGGGGGTTAGAGTAAAACCAGGAGAGCATCACGTTCCAAAAACAGAGAAGAGAGCCAGGTACGCTGGCTTACGCCTGTAATTCCAGCACTTTAGGAGGCCGAGGTGGGCAGATCATGAGGTCAAGAGTTCAAGACCAGCTGACTAACATAGTGAAACCCCGTCTCTACTAAAAATACAAAAATTAGCCGGGTGTGGTGGCGGGCGCCTGTAATCCCAGCTACTCAGGAGGCTGAGGCAGGAGAATCGCTTGAACCTGGGAGGCAGAGGTTGCAGTGAGCCGAGATCGTGCCACTGCACTCCAGCCTGGGCAACAGAGTGAGACTGTCTGAAACAAAAACAAAAACAAAAAACAGAGAGGAGAATGTTTCTAGAGGGCAAGGCCTTGTGGAGGTGAGAGGAGGTAAGGTAGAGAGGATGGACGTGGATACCTGGGACGTCCTCCATGGCAATAGGAAGGGACAGGGAGGTGCACAGAGATGCTTCTGGACACTAGATTAGACAGCAGAAGATGAGGGAGTGCCCAACCGATGATGTTATTTATTTTCTCTGTAAAGTATGGATGTCTAATAGGCATCTCAGACTTGTGGTGTCTAAAACATAATTCCTTCCTTACCTCCAAACCCACTCCTACCTCGGCCTTTCCCAGCCCAGTTAATGATTTCCCCATTCAGTGCTTTGACTGGAAACACCAGTTCCTCATCTTCTCTCACACTCCATGTCCAATCCAACAGCAAGTCCTTCTGGCTCTACCCTAAAAATGTGTGTTAAATTTGGTCATTTTTCATGGTTTCTACTGCTGTTGCCCTTGTCCAAGCCACCTTTGCCTACCACCTGACCATGACCTTTGCTGAGCTCCTTGTGGTCACTCTTGCCGTTTCCGAAGATCTGTGACCCTCAGAACTCTAAAAGAGATAAGCGTAAAACACAGAAATCAAATTTAATGACCCCACTTAAACCACTCCGTTGTTTTCCCATCGTGCTTAAAACAAAATCCCAACTCCATAGGAATTGGTGGGCATTGATTTTGGATTTGGTAAATAGAGGACTCAGCTAGGGACATAGGAAAGTGAGCCTCTGACAGTTGCCCCCCCAAAGTGGACAGGTCTGAAAATTCAGGTTACGGTTGGCATTATGTTTGCAGTTGTGGCTACAGTTTAGAGCTGTTCTAGTCACATGAATGAGGTCTTGTAAGATACTGGGACAGGCTCACATTGAGAAACTGATCCTGCTGGCCTAATCAGAATATCACTTCCCCTTTTGTGGAGACCACCCTGGCTGGGATAGGGAGGGTTGTCTTGTTACTGCTCCCTCATGGCCTCCTCTGACACTGTGGGGGATGTGGCCCTTTTATTGTTGAATGGAAGTGAAAATCTAGACACTCCACTTGGCCTCCTCTGATGCCACTCCAGTGGGGAGGGGAGAGGTGCCTCATTACTGCTGGGTGGGGATGGGAGTCTGGGCTCCCTACATGGTCTCTACTAACACTTTGGGGGTGTGTGTGTGTATGTGGGAGATGCTGGTCACTGCACAGTGGATTTAAGGTCCTGGCTCCCCACTCCACCTGCTCTGACACCACCCTGGCATAAAGGTTGGTCATCCCATTGCAGTCTGGCAAAAGTAGAAGTCTAGGCTATTTGGCCTTTCCAGGTGGATGTGCTCCAGGAAATATTTAAATATGAGAACAGAAGACTGTCCTAATTCCCTATAGGTATTCGAAAAGTTTTGGATGAATTCTAGTCTGCAAGGTGTTTACACCGTGGGATTCCCAGCATACCTGTGGTCCACAGAGCAGGATTCTGACCATAGACCTCTTCTGAGAAGAGTAAGACTATAAAAGCAAACCCCTAGGGACCTTCCAGGAGTGTCTTAGGAATAAATTGCTGTGGTTTGGTTTGTCCCCACGAAAATTCACATTGAAATTTGATCTCAGTGTGGCAGCGTTGGGAGGTGGGGGTTAATGAGAGGTATTTGGGTCATGAGGGTGGATCCCTCATGAATACATTAATGCTCTCCCTCAGGAGTGAGTGAGTTCCTGCTCTTGTGAATGGATTAGGTTAAAAAAAGTCTGACTTCCTCGGCTTCCCTTTCTTGCTGCCTCTCTTACCTTGTGATCTCTTTGCACACACTTGCTCCCCTCCCTTTTTTTGCCCTGAGTGGAAGCAGCCTGAGGTCCTCACCAGATGCAGCTGACCAATCTTAAACTTTCCAGCCACTAGAATCATGAGCCAAATAAACCTCTTTTCTTCATAAATTACCCAGTCTCGGGGATTCTGTTATAGCAACACAAAACAGACGAAGAAACTGGACAAGTGACTGCTCAAAGGAAGATGGTGCTGAGTTTAGCTGCAGTTCTAAATTTTAAAAAACATATCTGAAAAAAAAAGACTCAAAGCAAAAGAGGTTATACATGGAAGCAGTTGCCCCAGTTCCACCAGCCACATTTAGCCTCAAGACACTCCTGTTACTGATTAATCCTCTTTATCCACAAGCTCTCTTGGTTCTTTCTCAGCAGGGCAGTTGGGCATGGCTGTGGTCCATCATTCAGTCCCTAAGTTGACACTTCTTTCTTGAGTTGTTGGCTGGCAGTTCAGCTGTTGAACTCTCTGCTTGGGGCTTGTCATTATTTCTCTCTATAGAGTCAGACTGTTGGGTGGTGTGGACTCTGCTTCACACAATCATGAGTCCTTTTAGCTTTAATTTTTAAAACCAGGTAAGTACAAGTCCTAGAGTCAAGATATTGACTGTGGATATGATCCATTCTTTCCCTATCTACACTGAGGATGCATGCTGGTAGCCTGGCTGTTTAAAGAGAGACTGATGAGATCTGTGGTGCTGTCAACAGGAAAACTACTATTTAAAACACTATCTTCTAATTGGACTTGAGTGCCTTAATACAGCTTAAACTTTATTAAGGCTATTTGTCCAGTTGTGTCTAAAATGTACTGGACAAATTCCAGGTAGCAATCATGGCAATTCAAGGTTAATATTTCAAGGGCCTATTCTCTAGCACGTCCAGTAGTGATGTTCTCCAGGAGACTTTGTCTAGCTGAGGAGATGGGATCTCTCTACATACGAAAAACGAACTGACAAATATATAAAGGATTTAAATAACTGGAAACCATAGGTACCATAGGATTAATTGATCAATGAATTATATATCTTATGCTATTATATAGAGGGCTTTGGAGGAAGAAAAGAACTTTTTGTAGCTTGAAGAAGTTGGGGTTTGAGCTGATTCAGGGAGGAAAGTTGGGATTTGGCTATGTGTGATTCCTGTGGCCACAGGAATCAGGTTAACCATGCAGAGGCAGATTCCCAGCACGGGCAAATGCACGGCTGTTGAAACCCACACTGGATTCTCAGAGTGAGAAGATGAGTCTAGCTTGGGAAGAGGGTCAGGTAAACTGAATAAAGGAGAGAAGGTTTTTGTTTTTATCAGGGTAGGTGGGGACAGGCTTGTAAAAGGCTTTGAAAATTAGGTGAATAATCAATTGATACTTACTGATTGCTTACTAGGTGCCATGTGGTGTTCTAAGTCCTTTACATATATTTTGATTCTTGTAACAATCTCATGAGTCAGGTATTGTTATTGTTGTTGCCAACACCATTTGGTAGCTGAGGAAACTGAGAAACACAAGGGTTAGGTAAGCATCCCAGTTGGAGTAAGTGTGAAGTGCAGGGTATGAACACTGGCTATCTGGCTCTACTGTCTCTTGTTAAGGTTAAGCAGTCTTAACTGACCTTCTTGGCAAATGAAGATTTATTTACAAATTTGGTGCATGGATGCTCAGTGAAGACCAGGTATGCTATTGGCTTAAGGTGCAGAATTACCTTGGAGCACTATGTGACATCCAGACTTTTCCTGGGCCTGCATTTGCATTTTGTTCCTGGGGTACACATGGAAAGGCATTACCCAGTCTCCCATGTGTCTGAGCCCAGGCACAGCTGGAAGCATGAGATAGATTGACTGTAACTCCCTCCAAGTGATTTTGGTGGGTGGAGGGCTCTGATCCAGTAGTGTGATATATCACTTTGAGCCAAAAAGAGAGAAGTCCTGCCAGTGAGGTTGAGAAGTCAGCCAGGGGAATTCATTCACTTATTCTTTCATTCATTCACTCATTCAGTATCAGTTGAGTATTTGCCATGTGCCAGGAACAGAACAGAGTTCAAGGAATACAGACAAAGTACTCTCATGTAGATTAACATTAATTCATGGGATAATGTTAGATGCCTGCATGAAGTCAGTAGACCAGAGTAATGTTATAAAAAGTAAAATGGATGGTGGGGAGAGGCCTGAGTTCATGACATTTGGGATATACCTGAAAGATTCAAAGCACATGGCCAAGTGAAGAAGAAGGGACAGACATTTTTGGCAGAATTAACAGGATGTGCAAAGGCCCTGAGGTGAGAACAGCTTGGTGAGTTGGAGAGAGGAAGGCCAGTGTGGCTGGAGAGGACAAGTGGGGAAAGAAACTAGAAATGAAGGCTTAAAGAGGCAGACAAGGGCAGGCTAACAGATTGTTAGAGTTTGCAGTAAGGAGTTTGGATTTTATTCTGTGTGTGGTGGGAAGTCATTGAAGTTTTCAACCCAGGGACTTAAGAAGACTCATTTCGTTAACATGTGTCTTGAGGAGCTTGAACAAGTTTTGTCAAATCATGTTTCTGAAGAAGAGCCTGGTATAAGTCGCTGGTGGCACATGCCTGCAGGTATGGGTAATGGTTGGGTGGGAGGCAGGGGCACTTTCACAAGGAGTTCTGTAAGGTGGGAAAATAGGTAGGTAGCACTGGACTCTTCAGCCACTGAGATTAGAAAAACCAGGATTCTGAGGTAGCAGCTCTTGCAACTAGCAGACGAGACCTCATAAAGTTTTTTACATGCCTTACGTGGGGAGATGGGATCCATGTTCCCATTTCTTGAATCTGGGAAGGGCTGTGACTGTTTTGGCCAATGGAGTGTGTTGGAGTGATGACACATGACTTCTGAGGTTGGATCATATGAAGCAAGGCTGGAGCATGCACCTTTGGAGCCCTGAGCTGCCAGGTACCCTTGGGCCCCTGTTCAGCTTTCCTGAGTCAGTGGTGCCAGGGAGGCCACATGGGCACTCTGATCAACAGTCCCAGTTGAGTCCAGCCTTCCAACCACCCCTGCCAAGGTGCTGGACGTGTGGGTGAAGTCATCTGCCAGTTGAATACCACTGAGTGACCTTCATGGCTGCCACATGAAACAGAAGAATCGCTCTGCTGAGCCTTGCCCAAATTCCTGGCAATAAAGTCCCACCCATAAAATCATGAGATAACATAATGTGGTGGTTGTTTTAATCCACTAAGTTTTGAAGTAGTTTGTTAAGAAGCAATAGTTATCTGGAACAAGGTTCTATTTGCTGCAGGTACCTGCCTCTCTTTTTCAACCCATCTTTGAGGGAGAAGATCTCCTTGAGGGAGCCTGGAGAGAGTGATCCTTTGTTAGATTCAACATCAAAGAAAGACAATCTCCTACCAATTATCTGCAAACCCAGAGTGTGGTGGAGGCAGAGATTTGGTTAGCCAGTGAGACCTAAAATGGTAGCTTTACCTGAGGACCTCAATTTGTGAGTACACTGAGGGCTGGAGATGCATTTTATTTATTTATTTATTTATTTATTTATTTATTTATTTATTTATTTTGAGACACAGTCTTGCTCTGTCAGCCAGGCTGGAGTGCAGTGACACGATCTCAGCTCACTGTAACCTCCACCTCCTGGGTTCAAGTGATTCTCGTGCCTCAGCCTCCTGTGTAGCTGGGATGACAGGCATGTGCCACCACACCCAGCTAATTTTTGTATTTTTAGCAGAGACAGGGTTTTTGCTATGTTGGCCTGGCTGGTTTCAAACTCCTGGCCTCAAGTGATCTGCCCACCTCAGCCTCCCAAAATGCAGGGATTACAGGCATGAGCCACTGTACCTGGCCTGGTGGTATATTTTAGATGACCCCAGGGAGGATCTATCTTTGGTCCCATAAGGGTCCTAAACAGACATTCGGGAGTAGGGAAGGAGTAGCAAATCAAGAGGTGAGGAGATTCTGTGGCCTGCATTTCACCTCTGTGATGAAATGCAAGGATGCCTGAGGAATAGAAATAATGGCTACATAGGAATAGAATGGCCTGGACGACCCCCAGCTCTCCTTATTGACCCCCATACCTCAGAGTTTGGGGGTCTGTCTGCAGAAGGCCCAGTTCTTCAGCCAAGGCTGACATGGTGCTGTGAACCAGTGACCCAGAGGAGAACCCTATCAACCCCATGGCCACAGGCTAGTTGGGGGACAGGAGCCCTCATAAAAACGTTCTCCACGGATCACTTCCTCAGGGACTCTGATGAAAACACAGCTCAGAGTGTTTAAAAGACTCTCAGCTGCCGTTGGAGGCCCAAGGCCACAGACCAAAACCAGCATTATACCAAGTCCAGAGCTGCTGCAAGACTCTAACTGGCTCTGGCTTCTGTGTCACCTCGATTTTGAGGCCTGATTCCATTCTGAGACAGAAATATGGGCAGCATTTCCAAATACAAGAAATAAAAATTCATCCTCTTCCTTCAGAGTGAAAGTGTGTGAGAACAAAAAGCTGTGTTGGGGCCAAGCCTCTGTGTGGGCAGGGCGACTTCTGGCTTGGCTCCTTTTGTGTTTGTCACAAAATGATTTCATAAACGAGTTTAAGGAAAACCCCAAAACAAAGGAGAAAAACCTCTTTGGCAAAACGACAGTGGGGATGGAGCTATCTTGCTCCAGGACAACTTCTTATGAGGATTCTGTGTGGCTGTTCCGAGTGGTATGTGAATTGGGCTCCTTTGATTTCATTTATGTTTTATCACTGAGTCTTAAACTGGCCATGGGATCTTATCCTCATTTCCAAAGGTGAGGAGCCTGAGGACAAAGGCAGGATGGCCAACCATGAATCAGAGATGATGGGAACGAGTTAACAGCCACGGGAGGGACCTCAGCAGACCCCCGAGTTCTGTGGCCAGTGCAGTGCACTCACAGCACCTCCCAGAAGAAGTCAGTGCCAACAGCTGAGACCAACAATGGGGATGTAGATTTCCACCTTCAGGAATTCACTCACTACATGTTGGTCCTTTTACATTTAGTTGGACACACTTTACAATTTATTGCTAAATATTTTCTGGAGCATACTTCAGTTATGTCTATTATATCAGCTTTTCTAAAATATTCATAGATACATAGGTGTGTGCACGTCTTTCTATTATTTTTATCTCAATTTTCTGTTGTTTCCTGATTCCATGTTGGAATAATTTATTTAATAGTCACTAAGAGTCAACACCATGACAATTTTATGGGATTAAAAGAATTTAAAACCAATAACGTGGGCTTCCCATTTCTTCGGTGTGATTACACATTGTTTTTATGAATATGTAGACATATTAGTTTTAATGTAGGCAGCGTATCTTAGTTAAAAAAAAATTCTGGAATCTGAAAAACAGAAATATCCGTTCATTGCCAATAGTTCCGATGTACTGAGACTTTCATGTTTGTTAAACTTTTTGTGATTCATATAGTTTCTCAAACGAGAAAAACAAGTGCCAGAGATGAGAATTTAATTTACAAAATGCTCTTCCAAAAAATTTTTGATGAGGATATAGGAATCTTTTCTTTTTAATGTAAAAATGTAGTGGAACAAATTCTTACATAAAAATATGCTAATAATCAAGAATTTAACACTGAATTTACTTAGAGTGATTGCATTGTGGATTAACACATAAGCCAAACAATTTACTTTTATTTTCAGCTGCTTTAATATTTTAGTGTGCTGGGTCACCCAGTTGAGAATCCACCTTAATCTCAACCCTAACCCTACCCTACTCCTCACCCCAACCCTAATGCCAACCCTAATCCTAACCGAGCCCTGCCCCCAATCTCACCCCAAGCCCAACCCTAACCCTTTTGTTTGCCTTCCCATCTGTGATGCTTGGCATTGATGCAGCTAACTTGTGCTCAGGCTCACCGCAAACGCCGCCTTCGCCATATCTTTCTATGAAGCCACCTGGAATCTGTGTTTGAGGGAACGTTGGCACTCCCTTCCCTGGAAAGAGAAAGCTGCTGCACAGACAGGCTCTGTGCCTCGCCCCACGCAGCTTCGGTTGGGGGTGCTGCCTCCTGAACTCCAGCATGCTGTTTCATTTATTATTTCTCTTTATTGCCTCTGTGCTGGCAATAAAGTTGGGGTCATAAAATTAGAGTGTGGTCGCCCCGTACGGTTTCCCAGATTTCCATGTCATGTTGGGAAACTCCAAAGTTCCTGATGACTGCCACTGGGTATTTTCAATCCTCTTGTGTAGACTGACACTGAACATAATTTTTTTAAAAAAAGAGAGGATGGAGGGGAGAGGGAAGCAAAGCAAACTTCAACATTTTGGAGCGAACATAGGCTTTATCTGGACGAGGGGTTGGTTATTTATGGCAGATTTGCAATCCTGAATGCCCTTCTCTAGCATGAGAAACATGTAGGCAGGCAGCCCCGGGACCCCTGCAGCCTGGGACCACACAGGGAGAGACACGGCCTGAGCTGTTTATCGCAGACTGGGAGTGCGGGGCCTGCCGCGCAGCTGCCCGGCCAGCGCGCGTGTCTGAACCTGAGCTGGGCCGGCTGCGGGCTGCAGGCGGGCTCTGGGCGGCCACCCAGCTCTGTCACTACGCAGCCTCGCCGAAGCCTTCAGCCAACCAGCAGGTTGATTGACTTTTGTTTCTCCTTGCATTCCTTTCTAAAGGACAAGGAGTGGCTGTGTTTAAAGAGGGAAAACTCAAGGAGGTCTAACCACAGAAACAGCAGCAGTTTTCTTTGTTGCTCTTCCAAAGCAGGGCTTCCGTTTTGAAAGAAAAAGAACAAACAAACAAACGTTCCCCACTACCCCTGCAAATAACATTCTCCTAAAACACACAGACTAAAAAGTATATCAATTTTTATTGCAGTGTCAGGAAATAGCAAACGGTATTGATAACTACCTTTTTTAGTGAGGGCTACGTATATACAGTTATGTGTTGCTTAACGATGGGTACACATTCTGAGAAATGCATCTTTATGTAATTTCATGGTTGTACAAACATTACAGAGTGGTGTTTGCGCAAACCTAGATAGTATGGCCTACTATACATCTAGGCTACAAACCTGTCCAGCATGTGATTGGACTGAATATTTGTAGGCAATTGGAATACAGTGTCAGTATTTGTGTATCTAAACATAGAAGAGGGACAGTAAAAATAGAATTCTCATGGGACCACCATTGTATACGCCAACCATTGACCAAAATGTTGTCATGTGTACCTGCCTATATGTGGTCCGGCATGATTTTTTTACAACCAAGTGGGGTAGGTACTTCACTGTCCCCAAGCTGCAGGTGAGAAGAAGTGAACCTGCCAGCCCAGGATGGCATAGCTGCTAATTCCAGCCCAGGCCTGGCTGGCCCTCAAGAATGCCTCCTGACCCCAGGCAGTATTTTCTTCCTGAACTTGAGTGGGTGGCCATGGCTGCCTCCCAAAGAGGGTGTGGTTCTTAACTGGGAGCAGTTTTTTCCCCCAGGGGACACTTGGCAAAATCTGGAGACATTTTTGATTGTCACAGATTGCTACTGGTGTGTAGTGGGTAGAGGCCAGGGATGTTACTAAGCATCCTGTACAGGGCAGCCCCCATGACAAAGAATTATCTCACTGAAGATGTCCATAGTGTCAAGGACTAGAAACCCTGCCATAGATGTTTCTATTCTGTGACATTTATGTTTAATGTGGTTTACTATGCTGTGAATAATTGGAGGGGAAACTGGATTGTGAAAGCAAAACTGCTCCTGAAAATTGTCACCCATGACAAGTGTTTGGAAAACAAACCAAACCCTACAATACTTTCTTCTTAAAACCTGGGCAAGATCTGCACACCTAGAGGTGGTGTCTAGTGAACAATTGATGGTTGCTTCCCAGTATCTTCTCATCCATTCTTTATGCCTTTTTGCAACAGCTGGGGCAGGATCTCCAGGGGTTTCTGGTGAACCCACACCAATTCCAGATCCTGTGGGGAGGATGTGGCTGAGGTTGAGAGATCAGGCATGTGGTCATCCTGGCCTGAGAGACCAGTGGCAGAGGGGTGGGTGTGTGACCCATGCAAAGGGAACTCCAGGTATTTTCTGGGAATGCTGGGACAGGAGCTCTCCCCTTAAGAGTGGGAGGGAGTGAGAACTGACACTTAGGAGAGATCAGAGTGAAAGGCAGGTAGGATAGGGATCCAGGACTCTGAGGACTTGCAGTTTGACAATTGATCTGCCCTCTGCTTTTACTTCAGCCACTTGCATTTTGCTTTTGTTTTGTTTTGCTTTTTGAGACAGAGTTTTTCTCTGTCACCCAGGCTGGAGTGCAATGGTGTGATCACAGCTCACTGCAGCCTCAACTTCCCAGGCTAAAGCAATCCTCCCATCTCAGCCTCCTGCATAGCTGGGACCACTTTGATTTTTTTTGACATAAATCACCATATATCTTGGGGAACAAATGTCTCCCACTCAGCAAACTAGAACTGCAATAGGGACTCAACTGTTGGGGGTTGGCAGCCTGGGGTTCATGTGGGGATGTCTTCCCAAGGGAATCAACTTGATCTCGATCCTAAATCTCCTCTTCTGAGCTTCTGCCTTACACAGCTGTCTTCCCTAACTGGGATCCCCAGTTAGAACGTTGATGGCTGTTGAGGAGCAGAAATCATGCTGTGTTTTGTCCACCTGGTGAGAACCTGGAGGGTGGGATGATGAATAAGCCAGAGTGTAGGGGGCAGGACCGGCACCTGAGGCAGGGAGCCCCAGCCCTATTCACAAAGCCCCATGTGCTGCCTGGGACCCTCGGTCACCAGGACTCACCTCACACAGCCCCCAATGCTGGTCTCCTGCCCTGCTCTTTTCCACCTGCAAACCTTAGCTGAAGGAGCTCCCTCCGCCTGGAACACCTTCCACCTTCCTACCCTCCTTCCACGCTTGGCTTCAATCCCCTCTCCTCTGCAAAGCCTTCTTGGATTACCCTGAATTCTTAGCCTGTTTATTGACTGTCAGGGCTGAGTCACATGGTGTATTTTCATTATCTACCCAACTAGATTATATGCCCCTGGAAGGCAGGCTTGTGTCCTCTGCCTTTGCATTCTTGCAGTACTAGTTGTCTGGAAGGGCCAATGGCCCCAGGCACAGAGCCACCTAGGGCTGTGTGATTGGGGGTTCCTGCTTTACATGACTTCGTTTGGAAGAAGAGGACAGACAGCTGGCTGGGGAGACAGGCTTTGTGACCCTACACTTCCCAGTCCCGCTGCCAATCAAGGGACTTACATGTGTGTATAATATCCATGTTCTCAGGTGCTCGTGCACTTGCCTTGTTCTTCCATGTGCTTTTCTGCTCCTCACTTTGTGATGATTTCTTCGCACTTCATTCCAGCTTCACTGCTTCCCAGCTGAGGGACTGCTGCCAAGTTCTCAACTTCTATGTCCCTCCTCTCCTCACCTGCACCTGCCCTGTAGGGTAATTATAAGGCTTCAGCGAGCTACGTCCTGGAGGTGCTCCCTGAATGTTACCTGTGAGGAGGAGCAGTGGAGCAGGGGAATGCAGAGGAAGAAGAGGTATCGTGGAAGAAGGGGTAGTCTTACTGGCTATGTATTGAGCAATTTTCAAAGTTGGGAGTGTCTTACGCAGCCATTTGTTTAGACCTTGGCTGTCCAGTGTGGTGGTCACTGGATACAGGTGGCAAGTGAACACTTGAAATGTGGCTAGTGCAAACAGATGTGCCACAAACATAAAAGGCATTGGGTTTGGAAGATTTAGTATGAGGAAGGGAATGTACAATACTTAATATTTTTTCATATGAATTACATGTTGAACTAATATTTTGGATATATTAGGTTTAATAAAATCTATTATTAGAATTAATTTCACCTGTTTCTGATAACAATGTTTTTTGATGTTTCCACTAGAAAATTTCAAATGACATCTGTGGCTCCCATTCGCTGATCTGAATGGGACTTACAGAAAGTGACTTTGGGCATATTGAATAGAACTTGCAGCCCATACAATATCTCTTGCATTGGACAATCATGGCAGAAATCCCACTAGAGCAGCCTCATTGCTTAAAGACCTTGAGCTTTAGGAAATTGTAAGGTTCTCTAGGGAATTTTGAGCTATCAGTCATTTGCACCGTACTATGAATAAGCACCAGAGTCTTTTTTTTGGAAAGCAGATTTTGATATGAGGAGTGGGGTCAGAGGAAGACAGAAGGAAATAAGAACCGTGACAGCAATGAGCAGGGAAGAGAGGGGAAAGGGGCCCCTCCCACGTGGGTGAAAGGAACTGAGTGGGCAGATGGTGAAACTGACCCACAAATGATGCCTTCACGGCTTTGTGTCTTGATTCCTTTTGTCCTTCTCACAGTCCTGTCACGGTGGTCTGCATGTTGTGGGAGCACACAATAACTGTTAGAGCTTGATGGCCATAAATAAAATTTGAAAGAAGGATTTGGCTATATGAGACAATTTCCCACTTGGCATGATTTGGCCTGGAGCCTGCAGACTATCCACGGGGTGACTAACCATCACTTCTTTACTGGGCAAGGAGTTTTCCTGTGTGTTTTTTTCCTCCTTATCTATTTTCATGGCATGTTGAGATGGGGTTGGAGCCAGGACTTCATGCAGAAGTGAAGAGCCTGGTGCTCAGCAGAGGGAGTGGCCTGCTTTCGGTCACACAGGAGCGGTGGATCCCGCAGCTCAAATTTGTCTTGTATCACTGAACTCCACAATGGACAGCCATTCATTCCTTACAGAGCCTTAAGACGGGTGAGTGCGAATAGTAGCATCTGATTCCGAACTTCAGGGAGGCACCCCATCGGAGGGAAGGGTTGTTTTCCAGATATCTGCCTCCCAAGGGGCGATGTTTCATTGAGGCTGGTTTTTGTTTGGTGCTGTTGAAGGGACTTCAATTTCCTGATTTATGAGATTGAGTTCCTGTGATTCTGAGGGCAACATTACTGGTTTTCCAAATCATTTCCCAAAAGAACCTAAATGAAGAAAAATCATTAGTTCCCACAATAAAAGCCATGGAAAAGCTGAGAGCTCTGCCACACGCCCTGAGATGCTGGGGCTGCCTGTGCCTCCAGGGTCTGAATTTTGAGAAAGCCAGCCTCAGAGAAGATTCACAGCCTCAAATGCAATCTCGTTCTCTCTCTCTGTCTTTTTTTTTTTTTTTTTTGAGATGGAGTCTTGCTGTGTCTCCCAGGCTGTAGTGCAATGGCGTGATCTCGGCTCACTGAAACCTTGGCCTCCAGGGTTCAAGCGATTCTCCTGCCTCAGCCTCCTGAGTAGCTGGGATTACAGGAATGTGCCACTACGCCCGGCTAATTTTGTATTTTTAGTAGAGACGGGGTTTCGCCATTTTGGCCAGGCTGGTCTCGAACTCCTGACCTCAGGTGATCCGCCTGCCTCAGCCTCCCAAAGTGCAAGGATTATAGGCGTGAGCCACCACACCCAGCCCTCTCTCTCTTTTTACAAAAGTTGTTCTGTATATATAATTGTCCTTAAATAAACTAATCCAACTATTTTTCTTTTTTCTTTTCTTTTCTTTTTCTTTTTTTTAAAAAGCTTATGAACACTACAAGAAAGCACCCCAGGAGAGACCTCTCTCTGGGGGAGGAACAGTGAACCTGGCTTGCCTGCCTCGGAAAGAAACCCTGAAGGACGTTTTCCTTGTTAAGATTGCTCTTGTTAAAAAGCTGTGCAGTCCTAAAATGTTATTGAACAATAGCTTTTCACACAAAGGCTGTGTAGCCAACAGTCCCCTCTAACCTGCTGCAACTCCTTGGCTTCCATCTCCTGCAGAGGCTGCAGGGCAGGAGCCCAGGGCTCTACTGTGGCCTCCTCGGCCTCACCATCCTCACCAGCTTGGCTTCCATTCCTTCTGAACAGTCTTCTCCCCTGGGTACTTCTATTTCCCTGTCTGTTGGGAGGGCTATAGGAAAAGTGACTTGTAAAACTTTTAGTTAAGACATCTCTTTAGTGCCAATTGTTTGTTGGTGCTGTGATTGTCGAGTTTTGTCTAAATTTTGTCTAAAGTTAGATACTTTACTTGGGAACATTGTCTGATATCTACATCAGAAAAAGATCCGCACAGGTTATTTGCAATCCACTCAAACCAAGAAATTACCTGGATATAGTTGGTGACAAAAGTGATAGTTGGTATCAAGGAATGGGGTTGTCAAAATGTATAGTGAATGTGAATCTTGCTGTTTGTGTTTTAACTTATGGAAATAAATTTCCCCAAAACTTCTTGGGCTGCTCTTTATCCCACTAGATTGTGGGATGTACAGCCAGGAGATCACAGACTCTCAGGATGCCTGGCAGCAAGTGGGGGGCCAGAATTTCTGGCGGTGGAACTTACTGGACAGCGTCAGCCCTGAGAAGGGTATTGAATAAGACATAATTGTCTATGGAACTTGCTTCCACATTTGTAGAGTTAGGGCTCACCCCACCTTGTTTTAATGCCCTCCTTTCCTTCTCCTGACTCCCCTGCCTCCAGCAACCGCAGGTCCTGAATTTTGAGGTACAATCCTAGTATCCCACGGTTTATTCCCTTTCCCCCATAAACTGTGGAGATGCCCAGAAATCTCAAAACATTAGTGCTCAAACCACATCTCCTGGACTGCCTCTTGTACCTGGAAGCACCCGCAGAGGTCTTTGTTGGAGCACATGTTCCTGACTTGGATTGGAAAGCGTGGTTATCATACCTGCTGGGCCTGCACTTGCCAGGCAATGTCTTCAGGAAGCAGTGAGGGAGGTGACCCAACCCGCTGGTACAGGGGAAGACCTGCAGCTGGGCCGCCATGCTCCAGAAGCCTCTCCAATGCCAGGGTGGCGAGTGGTGTGGGTGCCCTCCCCTTTCCTACAGACCCTCAGGATGCTCCTCCCGGGAAGCCTTTTTATAACCCTTTAACCCGATTATGCCTGCATCCAATGGTGTGAGTGTGTATGTATCTGTGTGTATACATTTTTGTGCACTTGTGTCTATATGTGTGTGCACTCTTGTGTGTGTGTATGTGTGCCCACACAATAGGCTCATTCACGGCTTTGTAAGGGTGAAGCCGTCATCATGGAGGCCAGTGCTCATGGTCAGGATGGAGAGCTCTGGACAGAGATGAGATGCAGGTCACCTGTGTCCGATCTAGTTTCTCCGTTGCCACCAGCCACTTCGTGCAAATCACTGTGCTGGCTCCAGTTCCCTCTTCAACAAAATTCAGAAGCTGGCCAGAAGGATTTCTGTGGCTGTTTCCAGCTTGAAATGCTTGCAACGGGCTCGTGGTAGGGAAACCACAGGGAATATCGCAGTCCCTGAGCCTAGTCACAGAGACCCGAATGGATGAGGGGAGGACTCAGTTACTGGAAACTAGAGAGTGCTCAGGACAGAGACTTCTTGACGGGAAGCTGCAGTTGAGGGTAGAGACAGCCTAGAGCGTTCCATGAGGAGAAAGGGAGGAGGAAGGCATCAATATCAAACCTCACTTCCTCTCTCCCTCTAGTTCCCTCTGAAGCTCCCTGTTACCCAAGCACAATGGGAATTGTAATGGTGAGGAAATCTAGACAGGCATGTGGAGATATCTTGCTGACAGGCCTGCTACCTATTTACTGTAAGTTTACAGGGAGCTCCAGATGGCATTCCATTTTCTTTTTTGAGACAGAGCCTCACTCTGTCACCCAGGCTGGAGTGCAGAGGTGCGATCTTGGCTCACTGCAACCTCCACCTCCTGAGTTCAAGCGATTCTCCTGCCTCAGCCTCCCAAGTAGCTGGGGCTACAGGTGTGCGCCACCATGCCTGGCTAATTTTTGTACTCTTAGTAGACACGGGGTTTCACCATGTTGATCAGGTTGGTCTAAAACTCCTGACCTCAGGTGATCCACTCGTCTCGGCCTCCCAAAGTGCTGGGATTACAGGTGTGAGCCACCATGCCTGGCCTCAACTCCCATTTTCTTCTATTTATGTATGTATGTATTTATTTTTTGAGTTGGAGTCTAGCTCTGTCACCCATGCTGGAGTGCAGTGGTGTGATCTCAGCTCACTGCAACTTCTGCCTCCCTGGTTTAAGAGATTCTCCTGCCTAAGCCTTCCAAGTAGCTGGGATTACAGGCGTCTGTCACCACACTCAGATAATTTTTTTTTTTTTGTATTTTAGTAGAAATGGGGTTTCACTGTCTTGGCCAGGCTGGTCTTGAACTCCTGACCTCATGATCCACCTGCCTCGGCCTCCCAAAGTGCTGGAATTACAAGTGTGAGCCACCGCACCTGGTCTATTTGCTTCTGTTGATCTGACTTCAGCCAAAATATGATTAAATACATCCTCAGCTTCCTGTGTTCTTGATGTTCTGTCTCGGTTCTCCTGTTAACAGTCCAGTAGTAGGTGCTTTTGATGTCCTGCCTCTCACTCACAGCCAATGGGGCCTATGAGCAGCGGATTTCACCCAGCAGTGTTTCTTGCATCTCATCTCTTGTTTTCGCCCCACACCAAGTCCCTTAACCCGGACTCCCGTGGCCCCTTCCTTTTACTGTGGCAAGAGGCTCCTAATTAACCTTCCTGCTTTTGCTTCCAGAATCAAATTGTAAAGGCAGAACTTCTGCATGGAGTCTTCTGCTCAGAACTCCTCAATGTCCCTGGTCTGAGGCCATCTTCTAAACTCCCAAGCACGGCCTCCTTCCCATCCCATGCCCTGGATGGCGCCCACCTTTTCTGTGGCCCGGCATGGCCCCACATCCCTGTAAACGGACTGTGCTGTGCCTCTTCCTGCTCCCAGAGGACAGTCCCCTGTTTGTGGAGTCCCCCTGTGTGCCAGGAGCTGTGTTCTTCATTCCATACAGACATCCAGTCCCCTCCTGCTGCCCAAATGTAACAATTTTAACCCCAAAATTCATAGTGCACTCAAAAGTCAGAGAGGGAATCCCCAGGTCCCTGAAGCAAAGTCAGCATGGTGAGCAGGACTGGACTGAGAGTCAGGGAGAGGGCTGGAGCCAGGGGCGCACCGTGGGGCGAGGGCCTTGGCGCCAGGCCGGTGGGGAGCTGGAAGGGGGTCCTGCAAAGAGGCGGGGTCTGTAAGAACTGTCCACTCCCTGGCTCAGACAAAGAAGCGTTGCCCATTCAGGGCTGGGGAAGAAGAAGAGCCTCCTGAAAATGTAAAGCAGAGGCTGCCCTCCTGCAGTTGGGGGCCCACACTACTCAGGCACTGTGGGAAGCCCGAGCTGATAAATTAATAAAAAACTTGGGTTAGACCTGCGTGCCTACAATGTGTCGTAGCAGAGGCAACAATGCTGCTGCTGAAAACCTCTTTCCCAAGATAATTTCTCATGAAAAACTTCTAATTGCCGTGGAAATCAAGCAGTCTGAAATAGTGTGCAGAGGCAATGCCCAGAGATCTCACACTGGAGGAACACAGGCAACAGGATGCCTGGAATACCTACATCACGGCCCTGTAGAAGGCAAAAACAAAATGTTATTTAGAAATAACAGAAACATGCGGAAAAAAAAATCTAAACTTTAAAAATAAAAAATGCAGCATTGACAAAAACCTCAGGGCAAGGATTAAACAGGAGGCTATTTGAATGGTGAGCTGATGAACTGGAAATTATTTAAACCCCACAATAGTACTAGCAGGCAGGCAACGATTTCTCCTTGTTAATACAGGAGGACATTGGCATGTGGAGGTAAGAAACTTCCTTAGGGGGTCTGCATTTGCCCTCAGGTCTATGTGACCGAGCAGTGTGCTGAGGCTGGCTCTCACCAGCCTGTGAGAGCCAATTGCGTGCATCTCTTCCCTAGCTCCAGTTTCAGTGACCTAATGTTGGGAGCTTGAAATAGGCTACGGTGGCAGTATTTATACAATAGAAATTGGCAAATGCTACAATCAGATCTTTACTTTTTTTTTTTTTTTTTCAAGAGAGTGTCTGTTGTTAAACTTTTACCAGCATTGGTCTGACCCACCCTCAGACTTTAAATCAGGAGTCACAAGGCTGCCTCCCGCAGGAGACTCAGGACACTCACAAGGCTGAGGCGGGCAGCGTGGGGATCACAGTGCCCTGGTGAGCTGTGTGCCCTGTCTTAGGCGAGCAGCTGCTGTGGAGCTCCAGCTGGCTCTTAGGATTATGTGGGGATGTGCACCCAGTGTCAACAGCTGAGTTTTTAAAGAGAAGCTGCAAGGTCCAGAATTGTATGTGAAATCTCAATTTTAAGATGCTGGTGACCGATTCAAATTTTTTAAAAACATTGCTGTGGCCAAACACAACACATCTGTTGGCTGGATTTGGCCGTGGGCTGTGATTTCCAGCTTTAACCAATAAACTCCATGGCTTTGTGTCATCGCTCCTTCCCCTAAATTCCCTCCTACTTGTCAAGATCTGGCACAAATGAGAGTGGCTCCACGTATCACCCCTAAACCTCCCTCTATATGCTACCTTCTGAACTCTGCACCTCCCTTAAGGAACATACTGACATAGTTTGATATTATTTGTGCATACATTTTTTCTTCTCTGGTAGCCGATAAGTTCCCTGAAGATCAAGACCTATGTCTTGATCATCTTCCTTTCCTTAGAGATGTTTTGCACAGTCCTCTGTGTATAGCAGACATTCGATAAATATTATGCAAATCTTATAACTTAAATCTTATAATTATGGAAACTCAGTAGATGTGAATTTGAATTGCATTTTATACTTGTCTTGAGAATGGCGACTCATCTACTCAGCCAGGAAGACTAAGAGTTTAGATAGGAAATGTCAAAGGCATGTTCGCAATGCTAGAGACACTTCTCATCATTCCCAGGTTTCTGAGATGCTCATGGGAAACCTTTATTTCCTGGGTGTATTGATGCATGTGTTACTCAGGAATGGGGATTCCTGAGTCGAGCTCTGTGGACCAAAGAGTGGGCTTCCTATAGCTGCGGTTGACTGAGGTAAAAAGAATATGGACCATTTTCCTATGTAGTTAAGCTGTTTTTTTTCTTAAAATATAACTTATTAAAACCAAAAACATAATACCTTCTAATATTGGTATTTAAAAGAATGTTTAAATGCCCTTTAATTTTAAAGCATAATGAATTTCAGAGCAAGATTTAAAGGAATATAAGCACTTTCATGCAAATCTCAGATTAAATTTGACAGTTATTACCTTCCCCCCACATTTTCCTATGTTGTTTTAAATAAGGAATATTTGGTTCTTTCACATGTAGTACTACAGCTCTGTAAAGCTGCAGCTCTTTAGCCTTTAAAGTTCCCTGTGATCTTCAAATGTCTTTGGATAATCTCTCTCTGACTTTCTGCTAACTCCAGAAAAGAATTGATTAGTTATCTCTAAATTCCAAGGGTTCCTTTTCTTTCATGGACAGAATTAGCTACATATCTTCTGTTTCCTTAGATAGTATTGTTTTCTGAGCAGGAGAAATTGTGCTTCCAATCAACAACTTCTCTTGTCTTTAGCCTTCCCTTTTGACATCTAGAGATGAGAGTGTTTCTATTTTCCCTCCCAGTCTTCAGTAGGACAAGATTAAAGTCTTCTGCTCTCAGCTGTTTTCTGTTTTCTGCTAAAGAGCTTAGAATTAGAAAAATCCCAAACTTATCAGTACCCTATGTTAAAAACAGACTTAAAACGAGTAGTAAAAGGATGTTAAATACCTGTACAAAAGGTTTCCTTCTCACATTAATCACTGACTTCATTATTTGCCTATTGAAGTGGTGGTCAAAGTGGTGAAAAATAAAAGTGTAGATTTTTTTTTCAAAATTACTTGTAATTGTATTTCAAATATAGGGTCTACTTTGAGCCATTTGATAAATTTCAGTTTAGTCTGAAGATGGGATAGAAACGATCTATGTGTCATTTAACTGTAAATTGAATTTTCTTCCCATAGTTAAGAAATATTTCAATTCTACTAACCACCCAAGTTATCTTGTTTCTAAAGCATTGGAGATTCATGTGCACAACCTTGTAAAGTAGGTAATTCATGTGTTCATTCAATAAATCAACATTGAGGGCCCATTCTGTGCAGGCACTAGTTCGGCAGTGGTGAAGAGGGCAGACATGGATTTAGCTTGTGCAGTGTGTAGGGACATCCTCTCTTTATTTAATATTGTCCTATGGGACAGTCATGGTATAGCTCTAGAAAATTAATAAGTTACTTATTTGATAAGATTGTACACAGTGCACATGAATGGTGGGCAGGTTCAGCCCTAGATAACCTGAGTCCAATCCCTTCCTTTTGACTGATGGGAGATCTGAGGCTCAGAGAGGTGAAGCTGCAGCTTGGACATTGCTTTGATCATACCCTAATCTCAACAGCTGAGCAGCTTTGAGGTGTGATGCATTTGCTTTCCATTGCCAGGAATAAGTGATTCCCTTTGTATCTAAGGCTGATGTTATTAAAGTTTGAAAGAAAACTTTTTCATACTGTATACTTTTTTGTTTGTTTGCTTTTTAAGATGGGGTCTCAGCCTATCTCCCAAGCTGGGGTGCAGTGGCACGATCATAGCTCACCACAGCCTTGAACTCCTGTGCTCAAGCCATTCTCCCACCTCAGCCTCCTGAGTAGCCTGGATCATAGGCACATAGCAGCATGCCCAGCTGATTTTAAAATATTTTTTGTAGAGACAGGGTCTCACTATGTTGCTTAGGCTGGTCTTGAACTCCTGGGCTCAAGCAATCCTCCTGCCTCAGCTTCCCAAAGTGTTGGCATTACAGGCATGAACCACCACCCCAGCCCCATAATGTATACATTAATCATTAGTGTCAGTTCACTCAATCAGCTGAAGGCAGCTATTTCTGCTCTGTTACCCAATGTCTTCTGCTTCACGGAGCTGAACAGATCATCCTTAAAACAGACAAACGCTGGAAATGTGTGGTGGAGGCAAACTTGTCACCATAACTGGGACTTTTGCCTCTGCTCCTCTGGGATAAGCCCTGCATTTTAAACTGGAAGTGTAGGAGGACTCCTTCATCGCAGCTGGAATTGATTATTTTAAAACAATAGAAGTTAAATGTTGAAAGTGTTGGTCATTGATGACATGATTGTCCACTGCTCATCCATCTTCTCTTTATTTAATATGGTCCTATGGGACAGTCATGGTATAGCTCTAGAAAATTAATAAGTTACTTATTTGATAAGATCGTACACAGTACACATGAATGGTGGGCAGTGTCAGCCCTAGATAACTTGAGTCCAATCCCTTCCTTTTGACCGATGGGAGATCTGAGGCTCAGAGAGGTGAAATGAATTCCCAAAGCTCCAACTGGTCATGGGATAATCTCTGACCTCTTGGTTTACCAAGAGGTAGACCAAGAATATTTAAGAGCAATGCCTTAAATATTCCAATCTTGTGACTCTGTTACAGTCTTAGTTGTAGAATTTCAAATTCTCTGATGCTGTGTGTTTATTCACCAAATATGGAAGTGTTAGGTTTTCTTCCGTGCAGGATGCTTTTCCTGCCTCAGCCCATGCCTGGTTTTGCATGCCTTATCTTCACAGAGCATGCGGACAGTCTGCTCCTCAAAGAGGGACTTGCCTGCAGCCATGGCTGTTTCAGAGGCCAAAGGAAAAGGGAAACCGAAAGGTGCCAGGAATTAGCACATGTTGTTTCCTACACGCTCGAAGCGATTGGTTGATGCAGGATCTTTGCGCCTCCTGTTTTTATTCCACAGAGGAATGAATGGTCCCAGGGCAGAAAGGAAAGTTAGAAGGAAAGTTAGAAGTAACACCACCCAGACTCTGGGGGAAAGGGAGGTTGTATGTGCCGATGAGTAAGAAGTGAATGTTTCCCTTATGAAATTGTCAGTCGTGAACCACTTTTGACCTACAAAAATGGTCATTTTATTTATGTATGTATTTATTTATTTATTTATTGAGATGGAGTCTCCCACTGTCACCCAGGCTGGAGTGCAATGGCGTGATCTTGGCTCGCTGCAACCTCCACCAAGCGATTCTCCTGCCTCAGCCTCCAGAGTAGCTAGGATTATAGGCACCCGCCACCACGCCCGGCTATTTTTTTGTATTTTTAGTAGAGACAGGATTTCACTATGTTAGCCAGGCTGGTCTTGAACTCCCTACCTCAAGATCTGCCCACCTCGGCCTCTCAAAGTACTGGGATTACAGGTGTGAGCCATCACGTCATTTTAAATGGCTTAATCTAATATCATTTTCCTTTTCCTCCTTCTCCTACCAAACCTGCACGCACTTGTCTTTCCTTATCATTAAAGCTTTCGGGCTCTTTTTAGAATTTCACACATTTGCTCCTTGAAAGGCACAACCTGATTCGACGTGGGTTTAAAGCGGACACTCAAACATAGCCATCAGCCAGGAAAATACTCCTTTATTCAGCCTCTGCCTGGGGCCCTTTGCTTTGTGGGAAGGCTTGGAAAATCAATAGTTCAGTGCTGTTATTTCCTCATTGCTCTGGCCCAATGATTCAGGTGAATATGCTTAATATAAACATGTCTTGAGAAATTATTCAGCTCTATTCTTGCCTGAGCATGCTGAGATGTGGTGCCTCTATCTTGATGCCCAGGGGAGTCTTATGGTTGGGTCTCTACTACCCCTAGACCTGAATGAGGAACCCTGTGCACCATCAGAAAAGCAGGCTGCCGAGCTGTACTCACCGGGTACCCAAGCCTGTGTGTCATTGGTGGGCAGCAGGCCAGCTGAGAGGAGGGCTATGGGCCATGGAGAGGGGGACAACCCCACTGCACGCTTTTGGGCTACCAGTTCTTAGGATAGCTTTGGATAAGTCTCAAAATCTCCACTGATTGCCTCAGTCCCTTCATCCTTAGAATACAGCGGCCAAGCAAACTTTCCTGACAGCAGAAATCAATGCAAGGTGGGCCATAAAGACCCACAAGGCCTTGTTATGTAAGTAGTTCTTGGTTGTAGAAATGGAAGAGTAGGAAGGACGATTCTGGGTAAGTACTTAGGGTCAACTAGCATGGGGACAGGGGAAGGCAGAGTGAAGTGACAGTTACTGGATGCCACTGCTCTTCTTGTAGCCATTAAGCAGATACAATTAATAAAACCTGGCCTTAAGGAAAGCTCTACCTTTGACTGTGGCTGGACCAGTGGCCCTGAAGTTTCTTCCTGAGTTCCAGAAATGCTGCAATGCCGTCCAAAGCTCACGGCCCTCTCTATCCTTTACCAGTAGAACCAGAACCCAAGACACTGCCTTTTCATTTAACCAACGTATTTATTGAGGACCTGGAATACTCCAAGTCTTATTCTAGGCCAGTGGATTTCAAATGTGGTCTCCAGACCAGCAGCTTCGGCATCACCCAGAAACCTGTGAGCAATGCAAACTCTCAGGCCCCCAGCCTTGCTAAGCCAGAAGCTCTGGGGGTCAGCCCTGCATCTGTGTCTAACAAGCCCACCAGGCGACTCTGACGCAACCCTAAAGACTGAGAATGACTGTTGTAGGCATGGAATACAAACAAATGAACGGGCGTGGCTTCTGTGGCCCTGTTCCTATGCGGTAAGGATCATAAAATGTGCCTGACACACTGTTGCTTAAAAAAAGAAAAAACTTTAACTTTGCCAACCAATGAAAAGGAGGCCACATTTAGGAAATGATGAACTTATGTTTTGATGAAATGTCACCATGTCCTCCAAAACTAGGCCATCTATTAGAAATTCTGGAATTGTTTAGCCATGATGTAGTATTATAATTTTGCTGTGAACGAGTTTAAAATCCCTGATGAAAATATTTCCTTTTTCCCCTGGTTCATAACTACAATCCACATTGGAGTTTTGATATTAGAAAATAATGCTCCATGGTCTTGCTTCCACCTGAAAACAAGGGGTGTAGCTGAACAATTCTTCTATCAGTGCCATCAAGAAATCGTGACCAGTTGTGGGTTGGGTTTTACTCCCTCTCTCCCTTCCCTCCTTCATTCCATCTTACTTTACCTAAAAAACTTAAAATCTGATGAGCTGTCTCTATCCTTAGGCATTCCTCCAAATTTATTTCATACACCTGGTTTCTTTTCTGGAAAAGAAATAATAAAGGAATAGCTTTGCTTTATAAACATTCATTAAAATAAAATGACATTGTGTGGGGACACTTTCTAGATACTGACTTCCTTAATCTCCACAAGCTATGTCTTATGATTATTTCCCTTCGTTCCAAGACTCCAAGGCTTGGAGAGGTAAAGTGACGTTCTGGTAAATGGTAGTAGAGATGGAGCCAATATGTGAACCCAGAAGTCCTGTCTTCCAGCTCCATGAGTGCCCTTTAGGTAACATGTTGTGATTGGCCAAGGGCATATTTTTTGCATGGGCTATTTCACCTTTGTGCAAGGAGAATGGGGTCTGGAGGCTTCTCCAAGGTAGGCTGGGGTTACCTCTGGCCTCCATCCCCTTTCCCTCCTGGGTGCTGCCTCCCGCTCCATCTATCTGGGGTCACTGGTCAAAATATGCGGCCAGAGGGGACTCTGGGGTGAACCACAAGACGACCATGGCATGGAAGGCATTTCAAGTGTCTGCCATCATACGCTGTATGATACTGTCATGGTGGATAGTGTCATTGTACATTTGTCCAAATCCATAGAATGTACACCACCCAGAGTGAGCCCTAGCATCAGCTCTGGACTCTGGGTGGTAACGAGGTGCCTGGGCAGGTTCATCAGTTGTGACAAGTGCACCCCTCTGGGGGCTGTAGATAATGTGGGAACTGTGCTTGCATGTGGGCAGGGGGGCTATGTGGAATCTCTTTGCTTCTGCTCAATTTTGCTGTGAGCCTAAAACCGCACTAAAAATAAAGTCTGTTTTTAAAAATAGGATTTATCCTTAGAGAACAGAAAAAGTGGTTTTTAAGACAAACGTTTTCCTCTTTCATCTGTGTATAGCACATATCATCCTGCTGTTTGGAAATTATTAGAGGAATTTGGATGTCAGTCAGATATCATTTTTAAAAACATCATTGATTTAGTGGACAAAGCACACATTAACTAGGCAAGGAGAAAGGCTAGTCAAACTGACCCATCTAACTGCATGTGGCCATTTAGCTAAGTCAGGGAGAACTGTAGAAAAATGAAAAACAAAAACAAACACCCAACTTCACAATAATAAAACAAATATGGTCAGCAATTCTTTATTCAACACATTGGTCAACTGTCGGAAAAAAGTAATGATGTAGGACATGTTGACAAAAATTGAAGGTAATAAGGGGCTTGTTTAATTTTACTGCATTTCAGTGGGGCTTGAGGTTTTCAGAATGGCCTACGTGTTCACAGGGTGACCTACAGCATTTAGAATCCGGCCCTAAATTACCGCCTGGACACCCCCCACGCCCTCAGGCCCAACCCTGGTGCAGCCCTGTGGGCTGGATCGGAAGGGCCATTTGGAAGTCCATCTGGTTCTTTCAGAAACAGCCTTGTTTGTTTGCCTTTTCAGTGACACTGTTTATTCAAACCTTTTTTTCCCTTTTGAGGGAGAAAGCTTAATTTTTTTTCTTTCTTTCTTTTTTTCATTATCTGCTTTTCTTTATTGCCATTGCAGATGAGAAGAATAAAATCTCAGAAGGCAAAATAAAGGGAGACTTAAAGCTGGGAGAGAAAGGAGAGGAGGGAGGAGGCCGCTGAGCGGCCCTGGGTGGCGGCTGCTGGCACCACACGCATTCCTGGGCAGCCCTGGGCTCCCGACACAGCCTGTGATTTCCTCGCAGGGAGGCCGAGCCCTGAAACCCGCCCGGCGACGTGGGTGGGCCTCTGTGAAGACAGTGTCTCTTCCCATTCAGGAACTGCCCTGGGCCGGCCCCAGGCAAGAGGGATGTTTGTTGTTTAAGTAAATAAACTGGTCAGAGGCTCGGCTGGCTGTGAAGGCTCCGCTCCCTCCCACAAGCCTGGTCCCAACCGGGAAGGGGCCACCAACAGAAAGGAGCCACCCAATGCCACCCACCACGACGCGCCCTTCTCCCCGGCACTGCCAGGGGTGCCGGGTGGCCAGAGGTCAGCGCTTGGTCATTCCAGGCAGCTGAGCTGTCCCTGAGGAGACTGTGACCAGGGCCTTCCCTAGAAATTCCAGGAAACAGAGGAGACCCACGATCCCCCTACTCCCCAGCTCCTGTTCCCCCTTGTTAGTGAGGAGCCTGGGCCCTTAATCTTGTTTTTTCAGATGCTTTGTGGGGTTCTCTTCCTGGCCCACCTGCTGACTAAAACACTTCACAACGGCTCACTTGTGTCTTTTGCATGTGGGCTTGAGTCCAGGGCTACTCAAAGGGCGGTCTGCGGACCAGCAGCATCAGCCTCACCTGGAGCCTTGTTAGAAATGCTGATTCTCAGGCCCTGACCCAGACCTGCGGAAACAGATGCTGTGGAAAGGGGCCCAGCCATCTGCATGGGCAAGTCCTTGGGAGGCGCCGTGCACGCGCAGGCTTGTATAGTGCGAAGCTGGACTGCAGGTTTCTGGAAGCTTGCTTTTATCTCTTCTGTGTACTGTAGGGTCCCTAGAAGCAGAGGACTGTCCAGCAGTCAGCAGGTGCTCAACCCACGTTCACAAAGAACAGGTGACATAAGCGAGAGGTGAGCCATGGATTTGGGTTGGTGTTTTCCTCATTCCTTCCTACAGATTCATCTCTGCCCGGCCCTATGCAGCCCGTCTATCCCCGTGAAGAGCCCTGAGTTTGCACCTCAGTTTTGCCATCTTCTTGCCTTTCCGGAGGGGAATTAAACTCAGAGACAAGATCGAGGATGGAGGGAGGGAAGGACTGTGGGATGTGGAAAACAGCTCTTCTGAGACTGCTTCCAGAATCTTCCCTCTCCACAAATTTCCTTCATCTAGCTTCCTCATACACACCCGCACTCTCTCTCACACCCACACTCTGCCTTTAAACCAAGAGGTTTTTGGAGGTTTGTTTTGTTTTTTTAGAGACAGGGTCTTCTTGCTCTGCTGCCCAGGCTGGAGTGCAGTGGTGTGATCACAGCTCACTGCAACCTCCAACTCCAGGCCTCAAGTAATCCTCCTGCCTCACCCTCTCAAAGTGTAGGGATTACAGGCATGAGCCACTACATCCGGCCTGAACTTAATTTTTTTTTTAATTAAAAACACTAGGAAGAGTCAAACATCCAGATTGCCTCAGCCAACCTGGTTCCCAGTGAATGCCAGAAGCCGCCTGGACAGGGGCTCTTTCAATGCTGTCCTTCTCGTGCTGGGTCTGAACCAGTACCAGGCTGACGTCTGAGATACGCTGACCGCCTCCTGTGTCAGACACTGTGCTGGGCACTGGGGCTCCCAGAGTCAACAAAAAGATTCAGTGTTTACGCTTATGGTGCTTCCATTTTAAATTAAGGAAGACAGATAGTTAAATAATTTCAATAAAATAAAATGTTACAAGTATTAGCAAAGTGTTAAAGTTTCTGTTAGTTACACACCATCTCAACACATCTCTTGCGCTCTTGACTTGTCATTGGTGGAATGTTTGCCTTTGTGATTATCATGTTGACTTCGGATTCTTCTAGCTGGATGTACAGCCTCTGAAGGATGAGGAGGATTTCCTACCGTCTTGGCTTTCTCAGTTCTTAGCCAAGTGCACTTCAGGTGCACGAGTGGTTCTTGCTGGGGGAGACTTTGCCCCCAGCAGACATGTGACGCATCTGGAGACATTTTGGGTTGTCACAACCGGGGGGCATCTGGTGGACAGATTCCAGGGATGTTGCTAGACATCCTCCAACACATAGGGCAGCCCCACAACAAAGAATTACCTGCCCTAAAATGTCTATCGTGCCCTTTTGAGCAGCCTTGGGCTAGAACAAAGAGAGAGAGAAGTTTCTTGAGGAAGACTTGAAGGCAGGGTTCACGTGGGAGACCCAGCATTGGGCAGGGGGTCTGTGCAAGAGTCCATTCCCCTAAGGAAAGCTCTGCAGACACAAGCCCTCTGCATCTACTTGGGATGAGCTGGCCAAGTCATGTGTATCGCTCTGCGAATTTAGCATCGGGGGAGAGTTAAATCCTACAACATTTTCATGCAAGAGTGATTTTAAGCCAGTGTCTCCCAGCCAGGTCCTCTGAAAGGAAATTGTTTTCTAAAGGGAGGGGAACTGAAAATCCCCACTTTTTACTTGAGGGACCTGGAAGAACGTCCATGAGCTGGCCTGCTGCCGCTTCCTGCGCGCATGGCTGGATCTAAGCTGAGGTAGGCGGACCTCGAGGAGCAGGCCTGCCTTGGCCCGAGCATTAGGTTCAAATGACAGGAGAGCTCTGCATTTCTCGCTGTGGGACGCAGGGTGCACAATGGCCGGCCAGGGAGAGAGGGCATTGGCCTTTACTCAGGCTGTGCCGCCGGCCCAGACTCCAGCGGCAAGAACAGTGTCCCGATGCGGGGATGCCTCATGGAAAGGGGTGGTACAGGTGAGGGGAGACCACCTTGGCAGAAGTGGGAGGACAGAGAGGGCCCCCTCTGAGGCAGGCTCCTCCTTCTGTGTCTGAGCGGGGTCTGTTCTGGCTGCCGTAACAGAACACCAGACTGGGTGGCTTAGAAACAACAGAAATGTATTTCTCATCGTTCTGGAGGCTAGGAAGTTCAAGACGGAGGTGCTGGCAAATCTGGTGTCTGGTGAGGGCCCATTATCTGGTTCATAGCCATGTGTCCTCACATGGCTGAAGGGGTGAGGGAACTCTCCAGGGCCTCTTTTATAAAGGCACTAACCCCATTTGTGAGGGTCCCATCCTCATGACCTAATCACCTCCAAATTGCTCCACCTCCAAATAACATCACCTTGCAGGTTAGGATCTGACATACGAATTTTGAGGGGACACAAACTTTGAGTCCTTAGCAGTATCTTTATCCTGCCTTGTCCCACCCTTTCCAGGGGCTTGGGAGGTAAGCCTGTGCCCTCCCTGGGTGCTCAGAGTCTCCTGAGACTCCCATTTGACAAGAGGGTCTTTCTGTGCACCCTGATCCATGGGGCACCCGTGCACACTCTCTCTGTAATCCCTTTAGTTGTGCTGTAAGATGTGCATACGAGAAATACAAATGGCACCTGTTTGTGCACAGGCACCTTGTGAATGGCTGCATAGGGCTCGATCCCAAGCCTACAGGTAACAGAAGAGTACCAGTTATTAACCTGACTTCTCTGTATTTCAAAAAGCAAAGGTCTTTGGAAATAAATAGGCCCGATCTGAACGCAGTTCTGAAAGACTTTGATTACCCCATGTCTCTGCACCTTGGTTTCTGTATCTATAGAATTATTAAAGGATTGAAAGAATCTTCGTGGGGCAGTTAGTACAATGTCTGGTCCAGAGTAGGCGCAATAGGGAAGCTGCTTTTATTATTATTGTTATTATTTCCTAGGCTTCATTCAAGGCTAAGAAAGTCTGAACTGATAAAATAATTTGCAACTGGGCCAGGCGCGGTGGCTCACGCCTGTAATCCCAGCATTTTGGGAGGCTGAGGTGGGCGGGTCACTTGAGGTCAGGAGTTCAAGACCAGCCTGGCCAACATGGTGAAACCCTGTCTCTACTAAAAGTGTAAAACATTAGCCAGTGTGGTGGTGCATGCCTGTAATCCCAGCTACCTAGGAGGCTGAGGCAGGAGAATCACTTGATCCCCAGAGGCAGAGGTGGCAATGAGGTGAGATTGTGCCACTGCACTCCAGCCTGACTGACAGAGTGAGACTCTGTCTCAAAAAAAAAAAAAAAAAAACAACTGGCAAATAGGGTAATTGTAGTTACTCTTCTTTACCTGTAGCTACCTTAAAGCTTCTTAAAACTTTTGGTGGTATTTGTGACAACTAATACATGTAGAAATGAATTAATCAATGCATAAATGCATATATTGCATAAAAGAAAAGGACATAGATAGTTTTTAAATAAATATTTAAAAATAATTTCTCTTGGGCAAACCTCATACTTATTTAGTAACATCTCCTGGGTGAAAATATTGCCAGTGTTCCCACCATTTGGAAAAGTGCTTGGTGAATGAACTAAGATGTTACTGTCACAGATTAGTAGCTGAAAAGGTAGTTTTAGTATTATGCTTTTATGTTTTCAATATTAGCTTTTCAAAACTTTTATTAATTTTGTATTGGCTGTCTTAGAAAAAAAGCACGAGGAGAAATGAAACAGTTTCCCAGATTCTTTGTTGGAATACGTTGGAGCTGTGTGTGTGTGCGCGCGTGTGTGTGTGTGTGTGTGTAAGCATCTCACTCATTCAGATATTCTCTCTCTTGGGCTAACTCTTCTAAAAGTAAGTATGTAAAAACCTTTTTACATTTAGTACCCAGCAGTTGAAAACGTTAAATTCAGCACGGATATAAAGCAATCCAACATTTTCTTATTTCTGAAAATGACCATGTATCTGTTTTCTTATTTATTAATTTGTATACCTATTATTCGTTCTTTAATATTTATTGATGACATTCAAGGTGTAGAAAGATCCTGAGGTTAAATAGGCATGGAGGCTGGTATGGTGTGTAGAAGAAGGTCCTTTTCTTCCAGGAGTTTATGACAGATGAGAGAAAATGTCCCTCTCTCCTTTTCTTTTGAAATATTCCGTCTTGCCCCTGGGATCTAATTAGGAGTGGAGGATGACGTTCTTGAGAAGAAAAGGTTCTGCCCTCCACTTCACTTTTTCCCTTGTAGCTGGTGGCACTCAGATGCCAGAGGGTGGGGAGCTAAGCCATAGACCACTGTGAAGGCCAGACCAATAGCAAGTACAGTGTAGCCACAACTTGGAGGGAGCCTGGGTCCCCACACCATGGGGCTGCTTCTGGGGCTGCACATGCTCAGACATTTCTTGCAAGAGAAATAAACTTTCTTCTTGTTGAAGTCATTGCTGCTTTGGTCCGTGTTTTGGCAGTGAAGCCTGTATGCTAATGACACAGCAGGGCAGGAGTGAGTGCTAAACAGGATGCTGAGACAAGCAGCACCAGAGCCTTCGGGGAGGCCTTGGGGAGAGGCGGCTCTCGGCTCTGTTTCTTCGGCTGGTAGGGGAAAGTAGAGGCCGTTCCAAATGGTTCAAAGAACGCTGCCTGCTTTCAGGCCGCACGGAGGCCAGGCCACCTGGATGGAATGAGGGTACAGAGGGAAAGGCTGGGAAGACGGGGTTTGGGAAACCTGGAATTCCCCGTACAGAGTTTCACATTTGTCCTAGAACCAAGAGGAAGCTGTGGAGTTTTGGAAGCGCATTGGAGGGCAGCTCTGGAGCTGGCAGTTTTCCTGGTGGAGGGAGACCAAAGCTAGTCTGGTCCAGGGGTTTTCCAGCTGCGTTCCACAGAAGCCCTAAGGTCCCGCAGAACCCTCTGGGACACCAGGGAGGGGCTGGGGTGGGGAGGGGGCAGGAGCCCCCGCTCCTCTTCCTAATTCATCCAGAGAATCTCCATTTGATCTGTTTAATGCAGGCTTGGGGCTTCCTCACTTGAAGAAAGGGCATGGGGTGCGGAGTTAAATGTTTTGCAAGCCACCGGGCTGTGATGGGGCAGGGTGGCAGGGGATGGCGGCACTTGCGAAAGCAGCGAGCCAAGCCTGAAGCCTGTGCTCAGTGGAGGAGGCTCCGTGTGCAGCTGTGTGGGTTTCTAGGGTCAGGAGCTCTGGAGTCACCGCCTGCAAGCGCGTGCCGGCTCCCCTGCTAACTAGCTGTGTGACTTTAAGCCTCAGTTTCCTCATCCGTAGAATGCTGAGACGTAGTCCCTTCCTCACGGGGATATGGAGAGGCATAACAAGCTCAGTTGTGTGGTGCTCATAAAATAGCACCTAGCACATATGAACTCCTCAGTCAATGTTGGCTAATATTATTGTTATTGCTGTTATTATTATTATCTGATGAGTGGGAGACGTGCAGTAGATTATTAAGCCAATGTTGACAGGTGGGGAATGAAAGGTGAAAACTGGTTGAGAGTGGCAGTTAGAAATCCAGCTTTCATTGAAAAATCCCCATTGGGAATTAATTCTGGCTATGGGAAGTGAAAGCATAACTGATGTTACGTTGGTGAACTGTTAGCTTTCTTGCAAGACTGAACCGTGATGGAAAAACTACTGTAGCATAGCTCTGCATAATCCAAAATACGCTTAGCACACAACAAAATCTACTGGGAAGTTTTGATGATGTAACGTCAAAAGGAGAGTGACTTTCCTGCGGGTGAGCTCCCTAGGGACAGTCCTTCTCAAGCTGCACCCACATTTCCTTGCTCTGTTTTTCTCCCAGAGGCCATAGGGAGTTGCCTTTTTTTTTTTTTTTGAGACGGAGTCTTGCCCTGTCGTCCAGGCTGGAGTGCAATGGCATGATGTTGGCTCACTGCAACCTCTGCCTCCTGGGTTCAAGGGATTCTCCTGCCTCAGCCTCCCGAGTAGCTGAGATTACAGTTGTATGCCACCAAGTCCAGCTAATTTTTGTATTTTTAGTAGAGACAGGGTTTCACCATGTTGGTCAGGCTGGTCTTGAACTCCTGACCTTGTGATTCACCCGCCTCGGCCTTCCAAAGTGTTGGAATTACAGGCGTGAGCCATTGCGCCCGGCTTTCTTTCTGGCCTGTCTTCATCTGCTTTTCCCAAGAGTCTCCTGACTGCACAGAAGAGCAAAGAGATAAGAAATGTCTCTCCCACCCTCCAAAACACATGCCATGAGCCCTTTGCCATCTTTGCTTTGTTTTAAGCTTGTTACTGTTGGTAACTATAGGGAATGGACAGGGATTCACAGAAGTGATGAGCAGGGAGAGCATTTCAAGTTCCCAGGAAATCCATAAAGACTCTGCTCCGTGTTGCTGGTCTCCGTTGGTGTGCAATAAAGACTACATTTTTATGGGCGGTGTGGGGGTGTGGGGGCATGTATCTTCTCTGACTTCCTACTTAAGTGTTTCGCTGGACTTCTAACTCTTGTCTTAAAAACAGTGCTGCCCAGTTCTGTGTAGCTGGGAACTTGGAGTCAACAATGTATGCTTTAACTCAAGAACCATGAATAAAGCGTACTTTTAAAACTCCATTAGGAACAGCAAGACGAGAAAGGAAGAAATCATCTTTCGGGGAGCAGGTTGTGTAAGGATAATGTGAGATAGAGAAAGTAGAGTGCCTCGTCTCCCGTGCCGTGTTCGCTTCTCCACACAGGATGGGCCTTAGGTCGGAGGAGTGGAACAGAAGACGTGAGAAAACCCTGAGCAGGCGAGGCCACCATGACAGAAGCCACAGCAGGCATCTTGGCTGGACCTGCAGATGAAGTTGATTTAATTATTGCTTGTAATCATGGGGTCATAGAAAACAGACAGAAAGCTAGAAAAGGGCAAATGTCACGGGGTGTGTTTGTGTGTGTGAGAAAGAGAGAGAGAGAGAGAGGGACAGAGAGAGAGAGAGAGAGAGAGAGTGAGTGAGTCGCATGTTGCTGGCTCCCTCCACGAGACTCAGCCAGTCCGGCTGATGCTCCGGCCCTGATGCTATCAGAAGCTGCCCCACTGGAGAATGGGGGTGCACCTGCTCCTGGCTTCCTTCTTCCTCCTCCAGGGTTGCCTTGAGCTAAGCATGTCTGAATCACAACAGAGCATCGGAAGACAATTGAGCATCATAGCTCTTGAAGTCACATCACAAAAAGAACCATTGAAGGAACTAGTGACGCTTAGCTTTGAGAAGAGAGGACCCAGGGAGAAAGAAGCTGCCCTCTCATGCTCCTCCATGTGCCAGTCACTGGGCCATGCACTTTCTACAAATTATCTTGCTTACTTTTCCTAGCAAGCGCATAAAGGAGGGTGAGAGAGCTTCAGAACTCTCATGCTGGTCTTGGGGGTAGGAGGGAATGGTGCTGAAATCCAGCGTGTCTTGCCTTTGCCTCCGTCTGCTCATAGAGAGGAATAGTAGCCACACATAAATATTTGAAGGGCATTCACAGGGAAGGCGGTTTCACTTATCCTTGAAGCTTCAGGGAACAAAGTGAGAAACAAAGGTAGGGGTTTAGGAAGGTAGATGTGTGTTCCTTTACAGAAAATGAATGCTTCCAATAGAGCTGCTTGAAATTAGAGCTGGCCGAATGGGGGAGGAGACAGAATTGAGTTCCCTGCAATGGACTGAGTGTTTGTATCCTCCCAAAATTCATCTGTTGAAACCCTAATCCCAGTGTGATGGTATGAAAAGCTGGGGCCTTTGGGAGGTGATTAGGTCGTGAGGGTGGGGCCCTCATCCATGGGATTAGTGACCCTAGAAGAAGAGGCTAGGGAGCTCTCTGCCCTCATTCTGCCATGTGAGGATATAAGAAGACAGCCATGTGCAACCCAGAAGACAGCCCTCAGCAGAACCTGGCCACCCTAGCACTGACTTCTGGCCCAGACTGTGAAAAACAAGTGTCTGTTGTCTATGAGCCAACCAGTGTGTGGCACTTGTTACACCAAGCCAAGCTGGCGGGGATGCGCCCTGTCTTTTCAGGGGGTATTTTCCCAAGCTGCTGAGGACCAGCGCACAGAGACCAGGGAAGGTCAAGCGTTCTAGGCCCTATTGATTGATTGCCAAAGACTGCCTGCTCCAGGCTGCCCAGCCCTGAGCTTGCTGTGGTCTCTTCACCCCTGAAGAGCCACACGGCAACCCCTTGAATCCTCCTGCTCCTGAGCCCTGGCTCTGTGGCTGGGGAAGGAGTATCTTCCAGTGGTTCCAGTGATTTTGTTTCTGGTCACTGCTCCCTGTACTGGGTAGTCCCTTCCACCCCATCAGAGAGGCTGCCCCTAACCACCCACCAACCACCCCACTAAGCAGCAGCCCACTCCAGCCCCCCAGCGTCTGCACAGCATCCACCACCACCTGAAATGAAATCTTTTCCTTCCTTTCTCTGTTACTGTGTGGATCCCCACACTAGGATGTGAGCCCAGTGAGGGAGGGGCCACATGTGCTTGGCTCACTGCCCTATCCCAGGCACCTAGAACGGGGCCTGGCACACAGTTAGCTCTCGAGAAGGAGGTCGTGGCTTCACGTTGTCCTGCACTGACCTCCCAGCTGTCTGGTTGGCCCCTCCTAGATGTCTGCTAGACATGAGCCTGTCTTCCCCCACCACACCTGGACCTTTCTGCCCCTTTCTGTGTGCCTGAGGCCTGTTCCCTGGCCAGTTGTTCAAGCTGATTCTATGCTTGGCTAAACCAGCCTTTTCTCTTTTTCTTTTTTTCCTCTTCTTTTCTTTTCGATTATTTTCCCTCCCTCCCTCCCCTCCCCTCCTTCCTTCCTTCCTTCCCCTTCCTTCCTTCTTCTCTCCCTTCCCTCCCCCTCCCTTCCTCCTTCTCTCCCCCTCCCTCCCTCCCGCCCTCCTTTCTTTTTCTTTCTTTCCTTCCTTTCTTCCTTCCTTTCTTTTCCTCCCTCCCTCCCTCTCTCTCTCCTTCCTTCCTTGCTTCCTTCCTTTCCCCCTCTCTCCCTTCTTTCTTTTCTTCCTTGCTTTATTTCCCCCTCTTTCTTGCTCTCTTTTGCCTTTCATTTTTTCTCCCCCTCCCTCCCTTCCTCCCTCTCTCCCTCCCTGCCTCTCTTTAGTAAGGTCTCCCTAGTGGCCAGAGGCCCTGGAGGGTGGCCATTCCCACCTGAGAAGACTGCCTGCTTGCCCCCTCTTCCTGCTGTATCCTGCTTTCCCATTGTCTGGACTGTCTCAGCAAGCTCCTGTGCCTTCTGGGAGCCCTGAGCTCCACAGACAGAAGCCATCCAGTGGCTGGTGATGAGGAACCCACATCCAGGAGTGCTTGCCCGTCCCTCGGCAGGAGTCTGCACCACACTGCCATGAGCCCTACTGTGTTTTCCTGGGAGAGTTCTCTACCAAAAACACATGGGAAACTTTTATTTTGGAGCCCGCTGGTTGACTTATTGGCGAGAAGCACTTCACCTGCTAATGTGAACAAAAGAACGAGGACAAGGTTAAGGAGAGGCTTGATGATGTATCAAGAGATTATTGCTGGAATGATCATATTTTTGCAAAAGCAAATCAACATATTTAGCATTTAAAGCCTTGAACATGCTGTGAAAGTCAGGTTTCGTTCCCAAGGGAAGAAAAGAGCTGTTCCCTCTCTGTTCCTAGTGACGTTAGGGTGACCCCAACCTCATATAACCTCGTGGTGATGAGCTAGAGTTCAACGTGGCTTAAACCTTCAATCTGTAATACACAGTGGGCCCACAGAGTTCCCATGGCACGTGTCCTAATATCTGTGCTTGCCTCCCCAGAGTGGGTCTTGTCTGAAAAGCCACATTTATTAAAGTGATTTCTATCAACAATTTAATAATTAGAGAAGTTGTTCTAAGCTGAAGAGGAAATGGTTCACTGCAGCCAATAAATGTTTTCGCAATTTAGTCACTACATGTCTGAGCTTATTTTTTTTTCCAGAGGAAACCACAAAAAATACCTACTACAATTGTGTTGAAGGTTCTTGGGGCAGATGTTACGAGTGGTGGTAGAGCTGTGGTTGAACCACCTCCAAGACCAGTGGTAGGTCACCAGGACTTCTTGCCTTAGAGACATTTAGTTTTCTTCAAACTCGATCTTAAAACATTTTGCCAGGGTGAAATGAACTTGAATCGCTCCTGATCTATTGATTTAATTTTTTCCCCTGCTACTTGGGAGTGTGTATGTTCTGGGTTGAGGTGAGTATGTGGGGTGAGTATGTGGGGTCTATTGTAATTTATAGGTTTTCATGAAAACTAAGATACATTTCAGGAAGCCATTCCAGCATGCGATTTGCTAAAACAAAGGGGTCAACAGAGACGCATCCTCTGAGAGTGGTTGGTTAGCGACGCCATTCAGCCAACTTCAAACATTGATTGAATACCCTTTGTATACCAGAACACTGCTAAGTGTTAGACCGCTCACAAGAGGTGGATAGATTCTGGACAGAGAAAGCCAGGTGAGCTCTTTCCTGAACTAGCAAACTCTGGGAACAAGACCCCAGCTGTGGTGGTAACTAAAGACTAGGTTACCAGTTCTGGAAATTCTTTGAAATGCATCGGTGGGGATATCCCTGGCTGGTAGCATCTCCAGCTCATTGAAAAGCTGTATCTTCTCCCTCCCTTCGCTTCAACCTCAAATCTGTCAGCACTGCTCTATCTATGTATGCAATTTAAGCCCAGCACAAAGAACTCACCAGAGGGCGCGGGACCAGAATTCGGCCTGCTCTGCTCACCAGCGGTTTGCTCTGGGAGGCCTGTGCCTGTCCACAGGGGCACGTTTCTCATCCTCATGGAGGTACTGCTTGGTTTAGTGAGGGCTGGGGATTTGATCCACTGACAGTCCCTGGACAAAGAGACAAAGGAGCCAATGGCATCCCATCCATGTGTTACCTGAGGCGGAAGAAATTCTTGGGTTTTCTCAAAAGCTATATTGGGAACACACACTGTGCATACGTGTACACACACACACACCACACACACACCACACACACACACACCACACACACACCACACACATACACCACACACACCACACACATACACACACCACACACACACCAACACACCACACACACACCACATACCACACACACACCACACACATACACCACACACACCACACACATACACCACACACATACACACACCACACACACACCAACACACCACACACCACATACACACAGCACACACACACCACACACACACACCACACACCACACATACCACACACACACCACACATACCACACACACACCACATACAGCACACACCACACACACAACACACACACCACACACACCACACACCACACATAACACTACACACACCACACACACACCACATACACACCACACCACACACACCCACCGCACACCACACACACACACCACACACACACCACACCACACACACTGCGCACACACCCCCCCCCACACACACACACACACACTTTCCCCCATGACTTTTGGCTCTATTTTATTTGGAGAAGCAGCAGCATTTTGATTTTGAAGGAGACTATGTTAAAGGCCACGATGTTTCCTGTTTTCTGATAGGAATGGCAGGGATCAGCGCTGTGTGCAGGCGCTGCTGCAGTCTGCAAGCGAGCGCTACTCTCCTCGCCTTGCGGTTTCAGTACACGGGGCCACCTCCCCACTCACGCTGTCCAAGCTACTCCTTAGACAAGAGCTGCATTTATGAACAGATAGGGGTTTGAGACCATAGGGCTGAGCTCCCCATCTGGCAATTACTGATGACACCCCGGGCCGTCTCTCAGAGGTGGGCACACCTGGACCCATGAATCAAAGTCTGGACTTGCAGAAAAGTTAAAGGAAATAGCTGCTGTATTAGTGGGGCTGATCACAAGCATCTGGGGAAAGGAGAGAACAACATGGCGTTATTGAAACTTCCACCTATTTCCTTGATAAATATAAACACTGCACCAAACATTGCAAATGAAAAGAGAAACAGGGTCTTCCTATGGGACATGACCCACGCACCCAGGACAAAAGTAAGGCTGGCCGTTCTGTTTCAGCACAATAACGTGTGTTAATTCAGGATTGATGCCTGGCTGCCCCCAGTCTGGCAGTGGTGTTTGCCTCCTGCCTTTGTTAGGAGAAGCGAAATAAGCTAAGGCTCCTGGAGCCAGCCCTTTCCTGCTCCTCTGCCCCACCCCCCAGACACGCACGCACAGAGCTCTCTTAGCATCAGAGGCCCAGAGGAAGGCTAGGGTCATCAACACCTGTCATTTCCAGGGCCAAAAATGTCATCAGGCGCTGCCTAGCTGGGCTGTCAACAATGGCGTGATTTGGCCAATTCTGGAAGAGGAAATGGACTATTCATGAGCAGTGCTTTCAGTGATGGGTAGGTGCACTGTGTACGTTGGTGTGTGCATACACATCTGTGCACATGCATATGCACATACATGCACCTGCGCACCCAGCCCACACTCCCTGCCGCCTCAAAAACCTCTTGTGGGTTGCATTTTCTCCAGTAACAGAAGTGATGACTCTGATGGGAAATGCACAATTAAGCTCTAAAGTGATTTCCCTAGAAATCAGTAAAAGGGTTTACTGGAACTTAAGAAAAAAAAAAGATGAAAAGTCTGTTTTTCCTTAAGGATTTGCTCCAAAGAAAGCAGCTCTCACCATATGTTCTCCCAGAGGGAGGAAGGAGGGGACAGAATGTACAAGCTGAATGCTGACTAAATGTTGCTGGCCTGGATTCTGGGGGTGGCTAGTCACCCCATCCTGGAAAGGCTGGCAGAACCGTCAAGTTGAAGGCAGTTTAGGAAAGTCCTGGGCAGACTCGGGGCCTCATGGATGTGGAGCAGCCTGTAGCTTAATCTATGTTCAATAAATGCAATGTTTTTCTCAAGGCAGGTGAGGAGGGGCTCAGGCTGTAATAAGTGTTTTAGTATTCTGGAGCAGAGTTTTATACATTTTTAAAGGAAGTCAGCCTCAGAACGCTGATCTCAACATTGTGACTAGCCTGTTACCCTGGGACTGACCCTGAGTAGAGAGACTGAAATCACAGAATTAGGACTCAAAGTAACGATTAGAGTTCCTTGGTTCTACCCTTGTCCTCCAGGTAGTATCATCACTAGCCTGGTTTGACAGAGACCTACCTGTCCTTCTCTCAAAGTTCTCCAGAGAATAAAATTTTATAGGCTACATTGGTAATGAGTGGGAAGGTTGGAAAGTTGTGGGGGTAGGAAAAGAAACAGAATAAATAAGTCAAATATACAGTATGTTAGATGGTGAAAAGTGCTATTATGAGTAACACTAATCTATAACTTGCATTTGTTTTTATTTTGGATCAGGGTCTCACTGTGTTGCCCAGGCTGGAGCACAGTGGCACAACTATAGCTCACTCCAGCCCTGGACTCTTGGGCTCAAGGATCCTCCTGCCTCAGCCTCCAGAGTAGCTAGGACTACAGGCATGTACCACCATGCCTGGCTAATTTTTTATTCTTAAATTTTTGTAAAGATGGGGCCTCTCTATGTTCCCCAGGTTTGTCTTGAACTTCTGGGCTCTCAAGGAATCCTCCTGCCTTGCTTGGCCCCCTAAAGTGCTGTGATCTTAGGGGTGAGCCATTGAGCCTGTCCATAACTTGCACTTGAATGAGGTTTCAGAATTTTCTTTTTCTTAGCCGGGCGCGGTGGCTCAAGCCTGTAATCCCAGCACTTTGGGAGGCCGAGGCGGTCGGATCACGAGGTCAGGAGATTGAGACCATCCTGGCTAACACGGTGAAACCCCGTCACTACTAAAAATACAAAAAAAAATTAGCCAGGCACGGTGGCAGGCGCCTGTAGTCCCAGCTATTCGGGAGGCTGAGGCAGGAGAATGGCGTGAACCCGGGAGGCGGAGCTTGCAGTGAGCCGAGATCGTGCCACTGCACTCTAGCCTGGGTGACAGAGCGAGACTCCGTCTCAAAAAAAAAATTTTTTTCTTTTGCTTTTCTTTCTTTCTTTCTTTCTTTCTTTCTTTCTTTCTTTCTTTCTTTCTTTCTTTTTTTTTTTGAGACGGAGTCTCCCTCTGTCGCCAGGCTGGAGTACAGTGGCGTGATCTCGGCTCACTGCTACCTCAGACACCTGGGTTTGAGCGATGTTCCTGCCTCAGCCTCCTGAGTAGCTGGGACTACAGGTGTGTGCCACCACACCCAGCTAATTTTTGTATTTTTTAGTAGAGGCATGGTTTCACCATGTTGGCCAGGATGGTCTCGATTTCTTGACCTCGTGATCCACCTGCCTCGGCCTCCCAAAGTGCTGTGATCGCAGGTGTGACCCACTGCGCGCAGCCGAGGTTTCATAATTTTCATGGGCCCGGACACATCTATTCTAGGTCATCCTCACAAGAATAACTGTCCTGGAATGTTAAGGACATTTTCTGAGGTCATCTGATTAAAAGTGCCTTTTCTGGCATTAGAATGCAGGTCATCAGGTGTGGAGTGTCCTTTTCCTCTCTATCTAACCTAAGAAATTAGTATATAAAGTTAATCTCTGTCTTGTTGTATTACTCACTGGAGATTGGACAAGGCCTGCTCACTTTCTTATCCCTGGAAGATGGGAATTCTCGTGTAGAGCTGGTGAGGCAGGCTGTCCTTCAGTCTGTAGACCAGAGCTTTTCAATGACAGTGACTCGAATTGCAAGGTTCTGGTGCATGCCAAAGATCCCCACAGAAGGATCGACATCACAGGGACACTAACCCAAGGGGCCGAGTCTGTTCTGGAGTCAGGAAGAGTCCCACCGGGCAAGAAGAAATGGTTTCACGCTTTCAAACGTTTTCAAGTGGGAACAGGAACATATAGCTTGGGCCAGGCTCTGCCACGACACGTGGCTGTGGCACCTCCCTTGGTGGTGGCTGGGAACCTTGGTAAGGGAGACACGGCAAAGCTAAAGCCAAAGGAGAGCCTGAGAACCAGCAGCTTGAGTGTTTGCCTTGGAAATGCGCTGTGAGGGCCGGGCGCAGTGGCTCACGCCTGTAATCCCAGCCCTTTGGGAGGCCAAGGCGGTGGATCACGAGGTCAGGAGATCGAGACCCTCCTGGCTAACACGGTGAAACCCGTCTCTACTAAAAAAAATACAAAAAATTAGCTGGGCATGGTGGCGGGCACCTGTAGTCCCAGCTACTCGGGAGGCTGGGGCAGGAGAATGGCATGAACCCAGGAGGCGGAGCTTGCAGTGAGCCGAAATCGCGCCACTGCACGCCAGCCTGGGTGACAGAGCGAGACCCTGTCACAAAAAAAAAAAAAAAAAAATGTGCTGTGATTCCTCGGACTAAGAATTCGAATTCCTCCTTTATTCCCTGACCACCCCACCTGTTCTTCTCTGCCCTACAACAGTGGGGAGGAGGGGGGAAAATCAGGTGTTCTGTGACAGTTATAAAAATAATTAATTAGGCCGGGTGCGGTGGCTCAGGCCTGTAATCTCAGCACTTTGGGAGGCCGAGGCAGGTGGATCATGAGGTCAGGAGTTCAAGACCAGCCTGGCAAAGACGGTGAAACCCCTTCTCTACTAAAAATACAAAAAGTAACAGGGTGCGGTGGTAGGCGCCTGTAATCCCAGCTACTTGGGAGGCTGAGGCAGGAGAATCACTTGAACCCAGGGGGTGGAGGTTGCAGTGAGTCAAGATGGTGCCACTGCACTCCAGCCTGGGAGACAGAGTGAGACTCCGTCTCAAAAAAAAAAAAATTAATTAGTTTCAGCAGCTGTTTTGGAACCCAGGTTGGAGAGAAGCATGGGCTTTTCATTATGGCCAAGGTAGGTGAAAGGCCACAGGAATAGCCAGGCACTGAGCCTCGATATGAGCACACCACGTGGCATGGGAAATAAGAGAGTGGAAGTTTAGCATCAGGCAGAGCGGGATGTGGATTCCAGTGCTGCCACTCTCTAGCCTTGGACCTCGGGCCTGTGCGGCACAGAGTTGTTGCCTACCCGGCAAGACTGTGTCAAAGAACAAATGGAGAAGCATGGTATCCATGACCCCCAGCGGCAGCTCTGTGAGTGTCACAGATCAGTCACATCAGGGGTATGGTCACAGCTTGCAAATTTGACTCTCCATAGTGGGCAAGGGAAGAGCTAGGGAAGAGACAAAGTCAAAAACGTGGGCAGTTCCCACGTGTTTACCTGTCCCGTTCAATCAAGGCAACTTGAAAGTCTCTGTGTTTATTCATCTTGCACTCAACAAACTTGTATGTGGGGACTGAGCAGCTGCTGTTCCCCAAAGAATCTTGGTTCCCACCCCCTCATAGTGTGAGGGTCTCACCATTCCAGGTGTGCTTCTAAACTTCAAAGCTCCTGAGAATCTCAGTTCCCTCCCACTCATAGTGTGAGAGTCTCACCATGCCAAGTGTTATTCTAAACTTTAAAGCCCCTGAGAATCTCAATTCCCACCCCTCATAGTGTGAGAGTTTCACCATGCCAAGTGTGATTCTAAAGTTTTGTTTGTTTTGTTTTGTTTTTGAGACAGAGTCTTGCTCTGTCACCAGGCTGGAGTGCAATGACACCATCTTGGCTCACTGCAACCTCCGCCTCCAGGTTCAAGCGAGTAGCTGGGACTATAGGCGCAAGCCACCACGCCTGGCTAATTTTTCGTATTTTAGTAGAGACGGAGTTTCACCATGTTGGCCAGGATGGTCTCGATCTCCTGATCTCGTGATTTGCCTGCCTCGGCCTCCCAAAATGCTGGGATTACAGGCATGAGCCACCGCGCCCGGCGGTGTGGCTCTAAACTTTAAAGCTCCTGAGAATCTCAGTTCCCATCCCTTATAGTGTGAGGGTCTCACCGTGCCAAGTGTCACTCTAAACTTTAAAGTTCGGTATGGTTCATACCTCGTGCCTCTTACCTGCAGCCCAATTACTTCACCAGGGGCTCAACTGAAGAATTAGTGATGAATGGTCATTATGACCCTGTGCAATTTTTGTTATTTATTCACAAACCAAAGAAATGCAAAATGATAAAAAGAAGATACAGTGTTTCCCTATGACATTGGCAGAGACCTTTGAAAAAATACCCAGGGTCTGACAAGAGTGTGGGGAAAAACATTAATTCATTGCTGATTATATAACTAGGATTTTCTGGAAGACACAATAATAGGTATAAAAAACCACAAAAACGTTCAGACCTTTTGATGCCATAATTCTACCACTTAAAACATTTTTCAAGGGGATTATTAAATAGGGTTGCTTTCTAATTAAGAAAGCTCATTGCAAGATACTGTATAAGACCAAAGATTGCAAACAACTTAAATGCTCAGCAATATAGGATTGGCTGATGGAATCATTTGTTCAGCAAATACCACTGAGCACCCTACTGGAGTGCCTGCTGTGCTCTGACCATGCTTTGGGAATAAATATTCTTCTCAGACGTGTGCTCAAAATACACAGTGTGACCCAATGTCGAATGTACAAGTGTGTAAACTGATATTTGACCAAAGACAAATATTGCCAGCTTAGAACTTCTGGGTTTCATGGATACATCTGAAATTTCATTTAAGAATTTTTTTGTTTTGTTTTGTTTTGTTTTTTTAGACAGAGTGTTGCCCTGTTGCCTAGGCTGGAGTGCAGTGGCATGATCTTGGCTCACTGCAGCCCCCGCCTCCCTGGTTCAAGCGAGTCTCCTGCCTCAGCCTCAAGAGTAGCTGGGATTACAGGCGTGCACCACCATGTCCAGCTAATTTTTGTATTTTAGTAGAAATGGGATTTCACCATGTTGGCCAGCCTGGTCTCGAACTCCTGACCTAGTGATCCACCCTGGGCCTCCCAAAGGGTAGGGATTACAGCCTTGAGCCACTGCACCTGGCCTTATTTAAGAATTTAAATCATGTTTCAGTTTTCATTTAAGAACTTTAGTAGTTAAAATTGTATCTGATTTTTTGTTTTTAAATTGATGCATAAGACATGCATATTTTAGGGATACAAGTGGTAATTTTATATATTTGTGTAATTCATACAGATCGAATCAGTGTACTTGGAATATCCATGCCTTAAATATGTATTTTTCCTTGATGCCAGAAACATTTGAATTAGTCTCTTCTAGCTATATGGAAATGTATCTAGATTATTGTGGACTGTAGTCACCCTACTGATCTATCAAACAGCAGGTCTTATTTCCTCTATCAGACCAGAGGTTTGTACCCAGCAGTGACATTTTAAAGCTTAATATTTATAGTGTGATAACAGTGACCTCTCAGCACCGTCACCGGGCAGGGTGCTCCTGTGGTCACTGTTTTCAGATCTGCAGTGGAAACAAAAGTCCATTTCCAAGAAACCAGTGGGGCCGTACAATATGCTTTGGTAGCTAGCTTAGTCAGCACCAGATTCCGCAGAAGATGCTGGTGCCTGAAGCAGATCAATGGGACGGGTGCCACGGTGGGTTACCGTGTAAGAAGTAAATGTAGCATGTGAGTCAGCTTTCCTTCCTTTAAGCCAGTGGTTCTAGGGGTGATTCTGCCCCCCCAGGTGACATTAGGCAATGTCTGGAAATTGGGGGAGTGTTGGGACCAACATCTACTGGGTTGAGGTCAAGGGTGCTGCTAGCTTTTTATGATGCACAGGACACTCAGCCCCTTACAACAAAGAACCACCTAGTCCAAAATGTCAATAGTGCCAACCACAGTAGAGAAACGCTGCTCTAAACATAGACACAGTAGTCTCCCTAGCTGTGGTTTTGCTTTCAGCCGTTTCAGTTACCCACAGTCAACTGTGGTCTGAAAATCGGTGAGTACAGTACAATAAGATACTTTGGGAGAGAGAGAGAGACCACATTTACATAACTTTTATTACAGATACTTTTATCATTGTTCTATTTTATTATTAGGTATTGTTGTTAATCTCTTAGTGTCTTAGCCTTAATTCATAAGTTAAGCTTTTTCATAGGTATTTATGTACAAGGAAAAATGTAGTACAGTTGTTCGTCTGTATACCTGAGTTCTCACCCCTTGAACACTGTATTCTTGGTCCTGGTTTCGTTAAAAGAGTCTAGGTATTACTGCAAGGGTCTGGTGAGGGCTAGACAAACATCCCTGCAGAAGGATCGGTATCACAGGGACACTAACCCAAGAGGCCAAGTCTGTCCTGGCGTCAGGAAGGGTCCCACTGGGGAGAAACAAATGGTTTCACACTTCAAACGTTTTCAAGTGGGAACGTGAACCACCCGTGCTGTCTGACAACCTGTGTTGTATATGTAGGGTCCATACTATCTGCAGTTTCAGGCATCCATAGGGGGTCTTGGATTGTTCCCGCAGATAACGGGGGACTATTGCAATTGCTAACATCAAGTGTTCTCCTTTCCCTACCACCTGGACTTGAAGATGGGGTTGCAGGAAATGCAGCAGCCCCGGAAACAGAAGCTGCGTGCTCTGCTCGAGGAGCCTTCTGGACGCTTCAGCAGCAGTCTTCAGATTGCTGCCTTTCCTCAGTCATCTTCATTTCCAATAATTTGCATGCATTTGAGGGAAAAATTGTCCTCAAGTGTTGGATCTAAAAATTAACAGTGGAGCACTGGAATAGGCTTTTAAGCTAACACTGTGTCTCTAAATGTCCATGCTCCTCAGCGCTCCTTGCAAGCAAGTTAATCCCAGCACCTTTCCGGCTAGGAAAATAGGAGGGTCTAAAGCAGGCTGAAGAAGAAAATAAGTGCTTGCCTCCCAAAGTCCATGGAGTAGGTCACTTCTTCAGCACATTCCAGCAAATGAGCTGCGTTCTCTGCAAGCAATCTTATGCCAAATTGGCATTGCTTCCCACATGGTACAATTTTAAGACTTTTTTTGTTCTTCAAGCAGCCTTTGAACACGGAATAGCTACTGTTCCAGTTTATTGGAACATTTTGTAAAATTACATGATAAGCCGGTTCCAAAATCTTTTCTATGTCATGTAGTTTATCTTTGGATAAAAAAGAATGATGAAAGCAGCCCACTTGCTGGAGATTACAGGCAGCAATTCTGTGCCATTATTGCTTTCTCAACACACAGCTGAAGAGTGTGAACAAATCATAGGACGCTTGTGATTCCCAAGTCACTTGTAGCCATCACCATGTTTGTTCCATTGCTGGAGACAATTGCCCAACACTTTACTTGATGGACTTTTCATTTCATAAATATTTCTCCAATAAGATTCCTTTTACTGGGAAGAACCAAAGCCTCTTGGCAGCAAAATAAAGATGAGCGCACTCAGCCTCACCATTAATCCACCAGGCTGTCAAACTGATGGAAAGAATACAAAAGCAGCACATTTAATAACACCATTAAACTTTGTGCATGCAGCAGCATGTCATGCAGGAAGAAAGCATTTCGATAACATGGTTTCTGGAAAGAACTTTGTACCTGATCACTTGAGTAAATTACAAAAGTTCTTTGTCTTCATCCACTGAATACAGTTGTCAGTGGGTAACATTTTGAGAAGCTTTTTGTTCAAACATTTGGTTTCCACAGAACTGAAATGTGTTTTGAAAGAATTCATGTGAATTCTATTGTTTTGAATTTGGCTAGTGAAAATGTACATTGTGGGTGCCACGTTTTTCCTGAGTACCTCTTCATCCTTTTATACCCTTTGTTATAACTGGATCAATCATAATTTTCCAGGTATCTGTTGCGATTATTTTGGACTTATTTTCCTCCTTATGAAATTTTGAGGTGACAAAGATGATATGCTGCTTGCCATTTATAGATAAGAATATCTAAATCAGGGGTGTCCAATCTTTTGTCTTCCTTGGGCCACATTGGAAGGAGAATTGTCTTGGGCCACATATAAAATACTCTAACACTAATGATAGCTGATGAGCTTAAAAAATCGTAAACAAATCTCATAATGTTTTAAGAAAGTTTACGAATTTGTGTTGCACCACTTTCAAAGCCGTCCTGGGCCACATGCAACCTGCTGGCTGTGGGTTGGAAAAGCTTGATCTAAGCAGAATATTTTCTTGAAAGACTAATGGCCTATGTGAAATTAAGGAACTGAAAATTAAATGTAGATCTTAAAGTTTGTTTAAGTTAATATTATCAATGCACCCATTCAAATAATTCATCAAATATTAGAATTATAGTATAATCTAGTGATTATTTTCCTCCGTATTACTGAAATTTTTTTTTTTTCAGGAGATGGTGAATTTTATTTTGTCTTGTCTGGATAGAGGTTTTGATTTGCTCTCGAATGTTCCAGGGTGGAGAGAAACTAGGAGAAAAGCACAGGATGTAGAGGTCTATTCGGCATAATCTTCTCCCTCATTTTCATCTTCACCATCAACAGAGAGAGCAGCATACTTGCTTGCAGAACTGAACTTGGAAGCTGGATTTTCCTCAGGTTTCTTTGGCTCAGGTGCAGATCTGGAGTCTTGATCCTTTTTGCCATCTTTCCTATCTGACTCCTTCCAGTGGTCTTTGTTCCCTCCATCTCCTGGACCACGGCTAGAGTTCCCAGTTTGGCCTTTTGGGACATTCATCCCATCTACTTTGTTTTCATCTTTCCTTGCTGGTCCTTCCTCAGATGGTTGAGCTGGAGCTACTTTTCCCTCACCACTTGTAGGGGATTGCTGCTCTGTGTCTGAGCTCTGAGATCGAGCAGGAGGGTTAGAACTTCGCTTCACCCAAGCATTCTCCTTTGGTGGAGGGGCTGGCATTACCTTTAGGGGCTGATCAGGTTTGGGAGGTTTAGAAGTTGGAGAGTGGCAATCTTCCTCCTTATTGAGTGTTTCATTTTCTAGAGACTTCTCATTCTCTCTCCTTCGTGCATCCTGGGCTGACTTACTTCTGCCAGATGTGGTGGAGGTCCCAGTCTGTGATGACTCACTTCCTGTCCTCGACCGTTCCCGTTCCTGAGTTTCTTCACTTCGCCAGCTTGGGTGTCTCTCCGGAGGCCGTCGTTCTAGTTTTGGCTCATCCAGCTGATGCTGCAACTTCTCTTGTTCCTTCTGTAGCCGTTCTTCTACTTCTCTTTCTCTAGCAGCTGTGTCAACGGGCTTTGCCCCTCCAAAGATAGAAGCAGCTCGAGTGGACTGGGAGGTACTAGCAGAGGAATCATCTTCCTTAGGAGTACTCCGAGGGTTTAGATTCAGTTTGGGTCTTTGGGGGGGACCTCTACCATCACGCCTATAATCATCCAGAGAGTAATCATCTCTGGAGCTCCAAGACCGATCATCCCGTCTGTCATATCGGTCTTCATAGTGGTCCCCGCCTCCTCTGAGACATCATCCCTGCGATACCCACTGCCAAATGCTCTTCTGCCACTGCCTATCCGGGAATCATAGCCTCTATCATAGTCTCTGCTGCCTCGGTCATCATAGCGATCCCGGCCACCATATGGATCCATATCCCGGCGTTGGCCATCCCGATACCCATCCCGATACCCATCCCGATACCGGTCTGAATCATAACGATCTCGATACTTGTCTCCAAAGCTATCATCACCTCTTCTAGGTGGGTAGTCATCAAAGCTGTCTGTAGCAGGACGAGCCCTCCAGTCTGTACCTGTTTTGTCAGAATCCCGATTTCTATCACGGCCAAAAGAACAATCATCCCTGTCTTTATCCTGTGCTTGATCAGCAACGTCCACTCGAATTCTCCTGTTACCTAGAGACTCTTCCTTGAGACTCAGGGCACTAAGCAGGGAATCCAGGTCCTCAAATTCAGCATAACCAAAACCTTTCAACCTCACTGGATTGCTGGGTTCACATGGTAAACGCACTGCACTGATATTTAATCCTCGAAAGAATTCCTTAATTGACTCTTCTGTAACATCATAGGGTAGGTTTCCTAGAAAAGCAGTGTAGGGTGGCGATTTGGGAAGATGGCTCCGGTCGATATTGGGTTCCCGAGCAGCCCGTGGAGCAGTGGGAAGGATGGAACGGTCAATTGGAGACGCCCTATACACATCGTCATCGTTACTGTGCCAAGTTGTCGAAACATCTCCTTCCAGGTCATCCGTTTCATCAGCTCAGCTGACTGGTTTGGAAACATAGGTCCTTCCTCCACCAGTACCCCCATCCTCAGCCAGAAAGTCTGTTAGGGAGATAGTCTTCCCCTTCTTCTTCTTCTTTTTTGCTGAGGCCGCCGTGTTGGGAGAGGGAAAGAGAACGCAAAAAGCCCGAAATTTTTATAAATGATTATTGGCATTAAAAGGAAACAGAGTTCTTTCTAAAGTTACTTAGCTAACACTCTTTCTTAATATTTGTATTAGTGACGTATTTCCCTACTTAATGATTGGAAAGTTGTTAATAATTTTTATGTGAGATGAATGGTTTTCACAAACTATATTTATTTCTGCATGTAACTACTCTTATTGGTAATAATTTATTTATTTATCAACTGGCTGAAGAATTTAATATTAAAACACACAAGGAGGCTGGGTGTGGTGGCTCATGCCTAAAAGCCCAGCACTCGGGAGGCTGAGGCAGGAGGATCATTTGAGTCCAGGAGTTCAAGATCAGCCTGGGCAACATAGTGAGACCCCATCTCCACAAAAATAAAAAATTAACCACACCTGTAGTCCCAGCTGCTTGGGAGGCTGAGGTGCGAGGATGGCTTGAGCCCAGAAGTTGAGGCTGCAGTGAGCTGTGATCATGCCACTGCACTCCAGCCTGGGTGACAGTGTGAGACCCTGTCTCAAAAAAAGCAAAAACAAAACAAAACAAAACAAACAAAACACAAAAGGAGATTTATTCAATGTTCTATTCAGAATGCTTACCTGGACCTGAAAGTGAATAATCAGGTATTAATTATCAAGTTAAATGACAGGTCTTGCCTTGTTCATACCACTGTTGTGACACTGATTAGATATGATGAGAATCTATGGGATCTCACAATTATTGGTCACATCTAATATTAAGACCACATAACAGTAGGCTGTAAAACAATGTTAGCGTATCCTCTCAAATTGTCAACTAGTAGTGTCTTTTAAATTTTATTTTATTTGCATAGACATACCGAGGGAAAAAGAAGTATTTCCTTTTTTTCTCTTGAGATGGGGCTCCTCTTCTGAGGGGGGATTAAAATTTAACAGTCTTTAAAAAAATTGTTCCAGGGACTGTGTGGGTCTCTGCTTAGGAGAGCTCAGTCCTATGATGAGAAACTAGGAGGAACTTTGTGCTTCCAGAGTTGCAGGGACCGAGTGCCCCACTGGGAGACGATGGGTGGACAGACACCCCAAGACTGGTGAGAGGAGAGAAGTCTTGTGCTCACACAGGGTGGAGAGGAGGCATGACCCCAGGTAGTGGGTGCTGGGGTGGGTAATTATGCTGTGGCTTTGGAATAGCAGCAGAGGTCTTTGGGGCTCAGTCAACAGTCAGCAGAGGGGTGACCTCTTCTTTGAGGGGTCTTCATGCCATCTTGGGTGGGGTGTCTACAGATGGTGAAGGACTGCTGTCCAGTGGCTGCAGAGCCTTTACGTGATGGTACCACTGTAATAGCAGTGACCATCCTGCAGCAGGGACCATGTCAGCCCCTTTCCCCAGAAGCACGATAGCCCAGGGTTCTGAATGGATCCAATAGAAGGCATAGGATGGAGCCGCAGAATAGCTGACACGGGCCTTGTCAGGCTCAGCCAGGTTTAGATATGATTTAGAAGAAGAAACGTGATGTCTCTGGTACCCAAATACTATGGAGCTGTTAACACACATCGCATGTATGCATACATGCCTCCTGAAACAAACCACACTACATATACATCAACATAGTAGCACTGGTTTCTCTGGGTGGAGGAATCGGGGGAGATTTTAGTTTTAGTTGTAATTTTCCTACTTTATTTCTTTTCCAAAATCTCTAGAACAAATGTTCCAAAATCTCTAGAATGTATACAATTTATAATCCAGAAAAGTAATTCTAATAAGCCAGCTGATGATTTAAAAATAAAGAAAATCTACAGTGATTAAGACATTCAGCATAACAAGAATTATGTCTTATTGTCTATTGCACCTCTTTGTCCCAGCATAAAACAATGGCTGTTATTTTTGAGAACCAGGGCACTGTGCTAGGCATTTTATGGTAATTATCTTAACTAATCTTTCAACAATAAGATAGGTACTATCATTATCCTCCTTTTAAAATGAGGAAAAATGATAAAAACATTCTTGAAAGAGCTAAAATAAGATGTAAAGAAATAAAGAGACAGTCAAAAGACCTTGGAGACATTCATAACCTTGCACATAGCAAAGGTTGGCTGAATTGTTCTGTAAAGAGCCAGATGAAAACTATTTTAAGCTATACAAGCCATAGGGTCTCTATGACAACTACTCAGCTCTGCCAGGCAGAAGCAGCCATTGACAATATGTAAATGAATGAGTGTGCTGTGTTGCAATAAAACTTTGTGAAAACTGGTGATGGGCTAGAGTTGGCTCATGGGTCATAGTTTGCTGACCTTGCTATAGAGAAAGACAATGTCATAATATAAAACTTTCTAAAGTGACACTTGATTAGACCAATTCTAATCAGGGATTTAAGATATTGTTTAACCTCTAGGAGGGGAAGCCTTTTAAAGCAAGACAGGGCTGGGCGCGGTGGCTCATGCCTGTAATCCCAGCACTTTGGGAGGCTGAGGCGGGCTGACCACAAGGTCAGGGGTTCGAGACAGGCCTGGCCAACATAGTGAAACCCTGTCTTTACTAAAAATACGAAAAATTAGCTGGGCGTGGTAACGGGCACCTGTAATCTCAGCTACTCAGGAGGCTGAAGCAGGAGAATTGCTTGAACCCAGGAGGCGTAGATTGCAGTGAGCCAAGATCGTGCCATTGCACTCCAGCCGGGCAACAGTATGAGACTCTGTCTCAAAAAAAAAAAAAAAAAAAAACAAGACAGAAAACCAAAAAGTCTTAAGGGAAAAGTCTGACAAATCTGACTACATAAAAAATCTGATCATTTTGCATGGCATAAGACAACACAAAAATATTGACAGACATGATGAGACTAGAGAAAATATTTGAAACACATGACAGAGGATTAATATCTCTAATATTGAGAACCTCTGAGAAATCATTAAGCAGGAAAAAGTTGGAAATTAGGTAATTCGCTGAAGTTGAAATGAAAATGATTGTCAAACATTTAAATATATGCCCAACATCACTAGTACTGCAGAGAATGTTTATTACAACAATAATGAGACTCAGTTGTTTGCCAATCAGGTTGGCAAAAAATAAAAATACTAAAAATACTGATGATGTTTTGTGCTAGTAAAAGTGAGAGGACAGTGATGTCTCACCAGATGCTGGTCGAGTGTGAACTGTTATGTGCTTTGGAAAAATGACCTGGGAGAAAAGGCTAAGTAGCTCTTACCCAAAATGCTTCGGATCAGAAGTGTTTCAGATTTTGAAATAATTGCATATACATAATGAGATATCTTGGGAGTTGGATCCAAGTCTAAGCACAAAATTCATTTATGCTTTATATACACTTTATAGCCTGAAGGTAAATCTATGCAATATTTTAAATAAGTTTGTGCATGAAACAAAGTTTGTGTCAAGCACTTATGTGTGGAATTTTCCACTTGTGGCATCATGTCAGTGTCCAGAAATTGTGGATTTATTTTTTTGAGTTGAGGTCTTGCTGTGTTGCCCAGGCTGGAGTACAGTGGCACAATCATAGCTCACTGCAGCCTTGACCTCCTGGGCTCAAGCCATTCTCCCACTTCAGCCTCCCAAGTAGCTGGGATTACAAGTTTGTATAACCATGCTAAAATTTTGGATTTTGGAGCATTTTGGATTTGGAATTTTCAGATTAAAGATGATCAACCTATACCTATTAAAATTTAAAAAGGCAAATTTGAAATGATAAATTATCTAGAAATTAAGGAAAAGAAAAATACGTCATATCAAAACCTATGAGGTTTGTCAAAACTACTCTGAGAAGAACTCATAGCTTTAAAAATAATGTTAGTACTTCTAAAAACTTAGTGCTTCATTTCTATTTGATATGTATTGCAGTGAAGATTGTTTGACCCTTGTGACATCAGGGAGGTCATTGCTTCCCAGCTGTGATGAATGTGGGGCTTCCCTCTCTGCCCTGGGGCATTTCTTGTGAGTTCTCCTTCATTATCCCTCATACCCACTCCGGGGCTTCCTTTATTTTGGGGTACATTGTCCCGTTCCTATGTAGCCATGTTTGTGGGGTTGGCTCATGGTGATGGGATAGGGTAGAGGTCATGCCTCTCCTCGGATGCATTCAAGGGTGCAGCTGTGAACAGTCACTTCTGGGCTCATGCACAACCGTGGTATGTGTTAATCACTCTAGAAATATTGTGACACATAGAAAGGTCCTATAAATGTCTAAACTGAAAGTTAGTACTCAAAGGACCAGAAGTGAGGGCGGAGTCAGGGATGGGGTGGGGAAAAATGACTTCTTAAGGTCCCTAAAGCCCTTTGCTTCAAGGTCAAGGCATGATTTATTACAATAAAGAAGTATAGTTCATCCACCTCCATATCAGGAAACTTCCAAATCAGAAGGGTGACAACCTCTCTGTGAACCCAGGCTAGAAGCTGCAGAAAATAAATGTGATGATTTTGTATTGTGCCTTCATCTCTCTTCAAAGATGAACACACATCTATTGGCTCCTTAGCCCACCCATCGATCCGCAGCAGAAAGGAGCCTGTGACTGCTGCTAAGCAATCTCCCACAACCCACCAAATGAGTGACAGGGCCCAAATCAAACAGAGCGCCTGTCTGACTCGGATTCAGCGTAGTGAGAAATGAGAAGGGAAGGGAATTTTCTCTATGTGGCTCCGTCTCTAGTGATGTCACTAAGCAAAAAAAAAAAAAAAAAAGAGGGATGGTGGGAAACTGCGACGGAAGAAAAACTTGGAAGCCTGATCTGGACACACAGGAGATGCTTATCGGGGCTTCTTTTGTGGGAAAAGCGTTCCCTTGCATCTCCGCTTGTCTCCCCAGATCACACATGGGTGCTGTGCTGCCATCTCAGAATCGGGGGGAGGAAGCGTCAGGCCTTGCATGAAATACTTTCATTCATTTCTTATGACAACTTATTACCCTGCTCCTCAGCCTGAGCATGAAGGGGGTCCAGTTCTACCTCCGAGGGAGATCGGGCCAGGCTCTGTCCTGGCCGGCTCTGGTCTAGTGTGCTCCAGCTGCTGGTGCCTCCCCTGGCCGCAGCCCAAGCCTCCCTGTTCCGGGCAAGGCCCCCGGCTTTCAGGACGCCACTTCGACAGCACTGCAGGAGGAGGCCAAGGTGGAGACGGTCGACACTAAATCCTTCTTTATGTTTGCCCCGAGTTTTGGGGGAAATATTTATCACTGAAGCGTTAAAAAGTGGGCTCCTCTGTGTCATGCATGTCACGGGCTCTGTTCTGCAGCGCCCCTCAGGGGCCCGTGAGCCTCCTCCTGGAGACATCCGCTGCAGGCGCTGGGTGGCTGGTGATTTCCATCCCACCAGCAATCTAAAACCTGTAAACACTGACGGCAGTCGGCCCAGGGGTGTGAGAAACTCGCAAATGAACAACAAATGCAGGGAGAGAAAGGCCAGACCAAATGGACTGATGTTTTTCACAACCACGGAGGGGTTTAATCCCTGTCCCAAACCATATGGCACACTCCACACCAGCCGGCGAGGGCGGGGGTGACTTGGCGGCGGACCGTGGAAGCAGAAAGGCAAGGCATTTTGTTTCCTTGTGTGCGCTTTTTTTCCCTTTAAATATTTACTTTTTGTGTTTTGCCAGGATGCATTTTCCATCCCATATGCACAACAGGCTGCCTTTGCAAATGGGGGCCTGGCTCGGGGACCTGTAATAGGATACTGATTCTTTCACGTCGTCGGGGGCTGCTCTTCCCACCTCCCAGGGTGATGGCGAGCAAAACCCGCTGCAGATTTAGTGTGTAGGTCTGGTGACTCCAGAGAAAGGGTAGGTGGTCTTGATCCCTGTCTGTCTTTTCCTCAAGTGCCCCGTTGGCAGGACCCCAGACCCGCATCCACCGGGTTAAGTGAGCCCCTGGTGGGAAACGCTGACCTTGCCAGGAGGTAGAAGTCCCACCCGCCTTGTTGGGCCTGAGGCTGTGGGTGGGCGGGGAAATAGCCAACCACGCAGGAGAGGGGAGTCTCTGGCTTGGAGGCAGCTGATGGGGCATCCTTCACAAACTTTCCACCCACAGGAGAGGCAGACCGGGAACAAAAGTGGCAAGAGGGGTGGGCGGGCCAAGGGAGAGCAGCTGGAAGAGGGGATGGGGTGCTGGCAAATTCCCAAGGGAAACAGAAATGTACCATACCAACATAAATAAATTAGTCCCGGGCCGCGAGCCATGTTTGAACCAGAATAATGTAAGCAATCAAATGCTTACTGTCTCTGATTCACTCAGCCTTCCAAACACATTACTTAACAGAAAATGGAAGGGTTTGTCATAAAGATGTGTAGTAGTTGCACAATGCTGGCCACGTGGTTAGGGGTGGGCTTGGAGCTGGCAAATACAGATGTCCTCAACTAAAAATACACAGCCCTGGCATTTTAAAAATGGTTATGAGAGATGAGGGCTGGAAGAAACATCCTGGTATTCTCAGGACGTCTCTGAAGGGTCCCATTTGTTCCACATGCAGCCAGAGGGGAAGCAAACTTTCAGAGGTGCCAGGCAGAGGACACACTTGTCACCATGGGGAGACACTGATATTATTGTCCTTATTTTCTAGGGCAGGGTTGCTTTTTTTTTTTTTTTTCTGAGGCAGGGTCTTGCTCTGTCAACCAGGCTGCCGTGCAGCGGGGTGATAATGGCTCACTGCAGCCTCAACCACCTGGGCTCAAGTGATCCTCCCACCTCAGCCTTCCCAGTAGCTGGGACTACAGGAAGGGGCCGCCATGCAGGGCTAATTTTTTGTACTTTTTATATACACAGGTTTCCTCATCTTGCCCAGGCTGATCTTGAGCTCCTGGGCTCAAGCAATCTGCCTGCCTGGGCCTCCCAAAGTGCTGGGATTACAGGCGTGAGACGCCGTGCCCAAGGATTTCTTAAACTGTAGTGTGCATGGGTATATAAGAACAGGTTTGTGAATCTGAATCCCAGAGATTCTGATTCAGTAGTCTGGGTGGGACCTGAACATTTAAGTTTTTTATAAGCTCCCAGGCAATGCTGGTGCTCCCGGCCCATGAACCACGTTTCAAATTGTACTGTCCTCAATGAGTGACACTCATGACACTTGTCACGTTATTCAACCTGGGTAGCTGGATCCTCTGTGCCAGCTTCCCTGCCAATACATAATGTTTCTTGTGTTCTGATGGCTAGCAATGGTGCTAAGGTCAGCTGAGCCTGGACTTGTCCTCAGAATCCTTCCTGACACAGTCCTCTTGGCAGCCACCACCATCAGCCAGAGCTGGCATTCAGATGAAAACTACTTGTCTACTTTGAGTGGGTGTAATGGGAACTGGTCTAGCAGTTAGAGAAGGCCTTTAACTAGTGTGGGGACATAGGATGAGGTTTTTAACCTTGCTGTATTAGTTCCCTCACCTGTAATGAGAGGGCTGGATTGCACGCACAGTTCTCAACTGGGATAATCCTGAGAGTCATATTGTATTAGTCAATATGTTAGCTCAGGCTGCCATAACAGGGTGGCTTAAACAACAGGAATTTACTTCCCACAATTCTGGGGGCTGGAAGTCCAAGATCAAGGTGCTGGCTGATTTGGTACCTGGTGAGGGCCTGCCCCCTGGCTTGCACATGACTGTCTTCTCACTATGTGGGTTCTGGAGGCTGGAAGTCTGAGATCAAGGTGTCAGCAGGTTTGAATTCTCCCGAGGCCCATCTCCTTGGCTTGCAGACAGCCGCCTTCTGGCTCTGTGCTCACGTGGTCATCTCTGTGTTGCCTGTGTCTGGTGTCTTTACTTATAAGGGCACTAATCCCATCATGAGAGCCCCACCCTCATGCCCCCTTCTAAACCTAATTACCACCCAAAGGCCTCACCTCCCAATACCATCACACTAGGGGGAGATTTGAACATATGAATGGGGGAGACAGGCACACAATTCAGTTCATAACACCTATGAACAGCTTGCTCTAAAGCACAGCTTCCTGTGTCCCTGCTCTAGAGATTCTGATCCAGGTCCTTTGGGTGGGATCTGGGAATTTCTATTTTCCTCTGGTGCCCCACATGATTCTCAGCCTCAGGCAGGCTGGAGAGGCTCTGGGTGAGTTGATGGCTGAGTTCCTCAGTTCCTGAGCAGTGAGTAAGCTGTGGGATCCTCCAGACCCCCAACAGTGGCTTGTCACATCTCTGCATGAGCACTTAGCCCACACCTCTCTGTAACACTTGGCAGAGTGTGGGAAGGAGGGACTGCAACTTATCCCTATGCAGATCTGTAACCCAGCACTGGGTGACCGTGCTGGAGCAAGGCACACAGTAGGCACATCATTAATGTGTACCGAGGGCCTCGCCTAGGACCCCTTCTAACTTCAAAACTCTTTAAAATGTGTAAATCTTGTTCAACGAGCTCTCAAAGGGGTTTCTGATGTTATTTAGGGAAAGGCAGTGCGGCCGCTTTTGTTTTTACTGTCCGGGAGGCTTAAACAACAGCAAGCACATTTACATTGCCCTCGTCTCCCTGAGCAGCAGAAAGTGAAACAACTTGAGCTGTGACTAGAAAATGAATATAAACAAGCACAAAGAACAGCCCCGCCTCTGCCAGCCCTCTGGCCAGCCGCTGCTTTCTACCATTCCTGGTGACTGCAAAGCACTGGTAAGAGCAAGTGATAACTGAGGCTTCTTAGGACAATATAATGCAAGAGAAACACTTTTCCACATTCCTTTAATTCTCTTATTCCCACGAAGAATAATCAAGTGAGGAAAGAGAAGACAATGTGGAAAGAGTTTTCTTTATTAAAAGCAGGGCTAAGAGGAAGAAATGCAAAGTAGGTGAACTGATGTATAGCAAATATAAACCCTTCTGAAAAAATCAGAATGTGATGTCACTACTCACCTATTAGGGAAGCTAACATTTGAAAAAGGTGGCAGTATCAGCTACTGGTGATGATGTAGAGAAAGTGGATCTCTCTCATGTTGCTGGTGGGAGTGTAAAATAGGATAAGCATTCTGGAAAATTGTTTTGCAGTTTCTTGTAAAACTAAACATGCCATATGGCCCAATGACTGCACTCCTGGGCATTTATCCCAGAGAAATTAAAATTTATGTCCACAGAAACTCAGGTATAGGAATGTTTAAATTAGCTTTATTTGTAACAACCCCAAATGGTAAGCAACCCAAATGTCGTTTAGTGAATGAATGGTTAAACAAACTGTGGAATATCCTCACCATGGACTACTTCTCAGCAAGAAGAAAGCAGCATCAATGCACACAGCAACTGGGATGGATCTCTCAGGAATCACGCTGAGTGCAAAAGACAACCTCAAAAATTTCATACTGCATGATTTTATTTATTTATTTTTTTCAGACAGTTTCACTCTGTCGCTCAGGCTGGAGTGCAGTGGTGCAATCTTGGCTCACTGCAACATCGGCCCCCTGGGTTCAAGCAATTCTTGTGCCTCACCCTCCTGAGTAGCTGGGATTACAGGCATGAGCCACCACGCCCAGCTAATTTTTGTATTTTTAGTAGAAAAGGGGTTTCGCCATGTTGGCCAGGCTGGTCTCAAACTCCTGACCTCAAATGATCTGCCTGTCTCGGCCTCCTAAAGTGCTGGGATTACAGGCATGAGCCACCATGCCTGGCCTGCAGGATTTGATTTTATATAGAGACAGGATCTTGTCTGTTGCCCAGGCTGGAGTGCGGTGGCACAATCGTGCCTCACTTGCCTCACTGCAGCTTCAAACTATGGGCTCAAGGGATCCTCTTGCCTCAGCTTCCTGAATAGCTGAGACTCTATTTTTATTTTATACTAAATAAAAATATATTTTTATAGAGATGGGGTCTGTCTGTGTTGCCCAGTCTGGTCTCAGACTCCTGAGCTCAAGCGATCCTCCCACTTCAGCCTTCCAAGTAGCTGAGATTACAGATGCAGGCCACTGCACCTGGCAATAATTTTACAATGACAAAACCACAGAGATGAAGAACAAGTTGTGGTTTCCAAGGGTTAAGGTGGTGGTAGGAAAATGGGGAGAGACAAGTGTGGCTATAAAGAGGCAGCATAAGGATCTTTGTGATGGTGATTCTGCAATTTTGGGTCTGGGTATATACTCCAGAAAATCGAAAGCAGGAACTCCAATGGATATTTGTACACCCATAGCAGCATTATTCACAATAACCAAAAAGGGAAACAACCTAAATGTCCATCAGTGGATGACTAGATGAGCAAAATGTAGCATGTGCACACAATGAAACTTCATTCAACCTTAAAACAGAATGAAATTCTGACACACGCTGCAGCATAGATGACCCTGGAAGACATGCTAAGGAGACAGGCTGGACATGAAAGCTTCAATATTTCATGATTCTGCTACCTGAGGTCCCTAGAATAGTCAAATTCGCAGCAGCCGAAAGTCGAGCAGTGATGAGCAGGGCCTGGGGACGGGGGAACCGGGAGCTTGTGTCAAATGGGGACACAGTTTCAGTTTGAGGTGATAAAAAATCCTAGAGATGACTGGTGGTCATGGTTGCACAAAAAGATGTGAATGAGGTTAATATCACTAAACTGTGCACTTAAAAATTGTTGAAATGGTAAATTTATGTTATGGATATTTTACCACAATTAAAAACAAAGCATTACTAGAGGTAAATAGGGTCACACACACAAAAAAGGCAAACGTTGTCAAATACTTCCTCTCACTCACTATATTTTTTCTTTTGGCTCCAAAGATGAGTCAGTTTTACCACACATTTAAGTAAAATAATAACAGAAGGATGAATGGAAAACTGAAATAGTGCCAAGCAATGATTAGAAAAGTTAAACTTTCAGCCTGGTATTTGCAGCTCTGTGCATTTCAACCTAAAGTCACAATTCCTGTTGTATTTACTTCTCTGGCTTCATGGAACTCAGTCTGATGAGGCTACTGTGGTGTTCTGAATGCACCTTATTCTTTCCCGACTCACACCGTTTGTTCTCCCTCGAATGACCTCTGTTCTCTTTTTCTTCTCCACCTGTCCAAATAGTACCGTCCTCCAGATTCAGCTCAAATTCCACCTTCCCCAAGACAGTAATTCGGTGATTTCTCTCCCTCCTCTACTCACCAGTTTTACTTCTTGTCCAGATCCGTGTTTCGGAATAGGCATTTTTTTTTGGTTAGATTTACAAATGCAGGTTTTGTATTCCTCCAATTAGTGTGTAATATCCTCAAGGCACAAAACAAGTCATCAATCTCTTTGTAGCCACCAAATAAGTCAGTGCTGTGAATTTCAGAGTGGGTACCTGGTAAACTTCTAGAACCGATTAAACAGAAGTTTTCATCCATTTCCCTATTCAATTCTGAAACATTTGGGAAAAAAAATATAAATGAAAGAACTTAGTGAAGACCTGGTCTATGAAGGATGGAGATACCTTAAAAATTCATGTTTATAGGCCGGACGCGGTGGCTCACGCCTGTAATCCCAGCACTTTGGGAGGCCGAGGCGGGCGGATCACGAGGTCAGGAGATCAAGACCATCCTGGCTAACACGGTGAAACCCCGTCTCTATTAAAAATACATAAAAATTAGCGGGGTGTGGTGGCGGGTGCCTGTAGTCCCAGCTACTCAGGAGGCCGAGGCAGGAGAATGGCGTAAACCTGGGAGGCAGAGCTTGCAGTGAGCCGAGATTGCGCCACTGCACTCCGCGAGACTCCGTCTCGAAAAAAAAAAATCATGTTTATAGGAACTTTCTGATTTTTGAGAGTAGTGAGGAAGTACTGGGATAAGAGATTTATGCTTTATAAAATCACAGATGGCTAGAACTGCAGGGAACCTTAGTCATTATCAACTGCAATGTCTATATCTCACAGAACAGGAAACAAATGCCCAGAAAGTCAGACACTGACCAAGAAACACACAAATGGTGCAGAGCTGGGTCTAGAACCCATGTCTTCTTCTAAGTTCCCACTTTTTTTTTCACTAACCACTGCTGCCTGATGGAATTATTTTGTTTATGTATGGGATATATGGTACATAGAAATGAGAAATGTCCATTATAATTTTCCACCTATGATGAAGCACATTAAATTAATGGTAAAAATAACCTTGAATGTTGAAATTAGTAGGTCTGTGGATGTAAACATGTTGTGCTGGCTGAGCTGAGATGAAGATGACCATTTGTGGTGTGGAAATGAAGACCACCCAAAGAGAACAAGCAAAGGCTATTTATTCAGAGCTTGCCATTGCTTGTATTTGGCAGAGACTCAAAGGCAGGCAGAGGAGTGGGAAAGCTTTATAGTGGAAACAAGCGAGAGCTTCAGGTGTGTCCTGGTAGGAGGCTGTTGGCCTGGGAAGCTGGAGGTGGGCTAACCAGAAGTGAGATCTCATCCTATGAGATTGGCTCAGGAGGATATTTGGCTTTCTTGGTCTGCTCCTAAGTTGGGAGTGGGGACAAAAATTAGGGAAGTTGTCAGTTATTAGTCAAGTCCTGGGCTTTTTGGGCTAGTTGTTTCAGAGGTTATTGTTTGGCCTCTTGGGCCAGTTGCCAGAGATAGTGGTCTGACGTGTAGATTGTTGCTGGCTTTCTGGGCTGATTCCTATAGGTCACGGGTTGGTTTCCTGGTCTGGTTGCTGCAGATGGTGGGTCAGAGTTTTCATTCGGTCTGAGCATTGCCTGTTTGTATATTCAGTCTCTCCGCAGTTCCGCTTAAGGAAATTGGCTGCTTCTTGTTCTGTGAATGAGCATCACCCTCCTTAACCTGCCTTTTATAAGTCACAAGGCCCAGACTAAATTGAAGGGGCACGTTCAGGAGTCAAGTATGTTTTCCTGCCTGCTTGTCCTCAGGGAGCAGATCCTCTGCTGTATACGATTTCCCCAAAAGCCTTTTAAAAACCATTGCTGTTCTCATTTTAATCCCCTGCTAAAAAAATGTGCACTACCTCTGGCCTGGGTCCAACCCTCCTGTCCACCCTTTGGTCCTCTGTGGCCTGTGTCTGCCGCACTCGCCCAATGTTCCCTTCTTCCTTCATGCTTGGGGTGGAAACTTGGCTTCCCCAGGCAGATCCTGACTCCCCTGCCCTTCCTTCCATGCCTTCCAACTCCCTAAAATGCCTTCGCCTCTCTTCTCCAAATCCTGCCCGTCATTCAAGCTCCAGTCTGGAACCCGCCTCCTGTAGGAAGCATTTCCTCATAACTCCAGTGCATGTGAAAGTCTCCCTTTCCTGAACCCCGAGGGGCTGAACTTGCATTCCTTACTTTGGGTTTCCAAAGGCTTTGCATCGGAGATGCACCCAGGGAAGCATGTCGGAAATGCAGAGTACTGGGTCCCACCCTTAGAGATGCTGGCTTGTTAGGGGTAGATCGGGCACGTCATATTTGGACTTGCAGAGAAGACAGGAGAGAGTGATTTTGTTCAAAAGTAACCAACATGAACAAAGGCATGGAGGTGGGAGAGTGTGCCCGTGTGTGTGTGTGTGCACATGTGTTTACTGCAAAGGAGGGAAAATTGTGAAAGACTGTGAAATGGACCAAAATGATAACTGGATTTCCCTCCTGCATTGTGGAAGGAGCTACTTGCATCTGTGGTTTATGTACGTCTCTGTTCTTTGGTTTTTCCTTTGAACCAGTTCTAACATCTTCCTTGTTCTCGAATTAATTAAAAAAAATATTTGGCACAAGTCCATTTTCTACTTCTAGAGTCACAGTTACCTCTTTTAAAAAATTCTCTCTGTTACGCACACACACACACACATGCACACACGCACACAGACACCATACACATGCACGTTTGTAAGCCCTGCGGGGCTCAGCCCACTCACCCTGAGAAAATGGTTAACTCGGTGAGAAAGACTGCGATCTGCTGAAACGCCAAACCATGCAACATGAATTTTATTAGGTAGTTTGCCTTTAAGATGGTCCTTCAAAGTGTTGGAATCACCATTTTATAGTTATTCATCCCTCTAAGACACCATTGAACAAGAATGCATAGGAAGCATTGCTCTTGGCTTTTTCTGTACATTTCTGGGAACTTGCCTCTGGGATTCTCAAACTGCCATACAAGGTAGAGTTGAGTAAGCTTTTCCGTCTTTTCACGGCTGGTTCAGCAACAAATGCTGTTGGCTGCTTTGAGTGCTTTGAGTTTCCTCACAGAATGTCTTGACTCTCTTTTTTTTTTTTCAGACAAAGTCTCACTGTATCACCCAGGCTGGAGTGTAGTGGCACAATCGTGGCTCATTGCAACCTCTGCCTCCCAGGTTCAAGTGATCCTCTCACCTTAGCCTCCCGAGTAGTTAATTTTTGTATTTTTTATAGAGGTGGGATTTCGCCATGTTGCCCAGGCTGGTCTTGAACTCCTGGGCTCAAGTGATCTCTGCCTGCCTTGACCTCCCAGAGCTCTGGAATTACACACAGGAGCCACTGTGCCCGGTCTATCTTGACTTTTTCATCTGTAGGGGGCCAGAGAGAGAGAGAGAGAGAGAGAGAGAGAGAGAGTTGGCCTCGGGAGCCCACAGGCCTGTGCCTCCCCTGCTGTGTTATGCCTTCCACTGTGTTCTAGTGGGCCACGGTGCCAGAGCCACTGAGCCATCCTGAGGCCAGCAGCACCCCTGCCCAGCCACATGCACACCAAAGACACCCACCCCTCCCGGCTCAGGGCTGCTTCGTTCTGTTTCTGGTCCTTGTTTTAAAACCATGAAGCAAAGGGTCCAGGTGCTTCTTGTGCCTTTTGCTTTGCAACTTTCCACTGACATAGGCTCTCTCCTTGACCATACTTTAGCTGGGCTCCCTGATCCCTCTTCTCAGTGAGGCCTCATCCTTGAGTCCTGCCTTCAACCTGCCTTGCCCAGTTGTTGCAATGATCCTGCTAAGTCAGTTTGGAGAGAATTCTACCACCCTCGATGCCTGATCATTCTTAAGGAATTTGATAACTGCTCAAATTCCTCATCCCCTACCTTTGGCATCTGATCGCCCTTGCCTGCCTTCAGCAAGAATCCTGTTAAGTCAGCATAGCAACAATTCTCTTAGTACTTTTCCAACCACTGACCTCTCACTCTGCTCATCAGCTGTAAATCCCTAGCTCTCTTCCTTGCCTTCGGAGTTGTGCCCCATCTCTTTCCCCCATTTGATAGTCTTGACATCTACAGAAATCATCCTGAATCAAGTCTTCCTTATATTTTACCAAGTGTGAGAATAATTTTTTAATACCGTAAGGTCTGAGTCCAAAGAGTTGACTGCCCAGGCCATTTGGACCCCTATGGAAAGCTGACTTGAGCTGACTGGGGCCACATCCTGCTTTCTGAGACCCACCCAAACCAAATCACCATCATTTGGTCTTCCAAGGCATCCTGTGGTGTGTTGTCAAGGGGATCCCTCTAGTCTGCCCTCCTGGAAGAGAGTCACCCATTCCCCTTCTGCCTGGAAAACCTCTCTATCTGTAGACTGTTGTTTCAATTGCTGGAACATCCTGGACTTAAAGATCAAGGGAGATTTTGACCTCCAGGCTGGTGATCTCTGGCTTGGCTGAATGCTAAGCAGCCAGACCTCATGCACCATCTTCCAGCCCAGACTCCACATGCCATCTTCTAACCCAGACCCATGTACCGTCTTCCTACCCAGACCCCATGCGCCATCTTCCTATTCAGACCCCACGTGCCACCTTTCTATCCACTTCTCTGTGGGTAGAAGGGGTCTGATGACTTTGTAACCCACCTGACAGGACCCCTTCAGGAGGCGTCTTATTCTTTAGAGGGAGGGAATTCTACATGCTTGGGACATTTCCCCCCCTTAATTTGCTCAGCCTCGCAGAACCCAAACAGAAGTTAACCCCCAAGATGTGCAAGGACAAAAGGGGCAAGGAAATGGGCCTGAGCGGCTGAAACAACAAACCCTTTTCCTAACGGGCAAAGAATGATTTCCTATGTTAGAAAGAATTTACAACCTCCGCTGCTTTCCTTTCTTATTTCTTTTTTCCAGCTTCCTCCTTCTCCCGCAATAAAGGAGACCCGTTTGTCCCAGAGCCCCTTCTTTTTGATGAGAGTCTGACTCTGGGAGAAGGACTGGGCTTCAAGGAACACATAAAAGTAAGTAGTAAAAAACAAAACACAACACACAACGCAATGCCACCCGCAGTCACCTCTGACGGGCAGGACCTTCTGGGGCTGGGTCCATCTGCATTGTGATGAGAGCAGTTTGTGAGTGATGTCAGCCTAATTAGTCAGGCTAATGTCTGGTTTCCTGGAGCGGGCTTTTGTGAAGTAATTGGCTGCCTTAGGGTCAAAATGCAGTAATTATAGGTCTTACAAAAAAAAAAAGAAAACTAAATGAGATAAACAGCCTTTGAATTCTTCAAGCAAGTAAGCCAATCACACCAAGAGACTTCTCTTTGTGCCCAGAACTGCAGTGGGTATTTTGACAGGTGATTTCAATACCATGTAGCTATTTATTTATTCTGGGTTTGGGACATAAACACAAACATCTTGGCCTACAATTCTACACGTTCACCAAATGTGGGGATTGCATGGCAAAGGGTCTGCTTCCAGCACTGAAATTGGAGAATAAGGTCAGCAGGTATTTTGAGCTAAAGCAGAAATTCCACCACAATTTTAAAGCTAACAGAAGAGAATTATCCATGTAAACCAGCTCCCTTTCTTCCAGTTGTTTGCTTATTTTCTTTGTAAAAATCAACAACAGGAGAGTCTGGAAGGCTATGGAAAGCTAATAAAGTTTGGAAACATCATTTCGATCTCAGGAGGCGTGGAGACTGGATCAAAGCTGAGCAGGATGTGAGCCTATTTTTACCAGTCCTGGTTGAGGTGAGGGTGGCTGACCCCACAGTTGTGAAGACCTGGAGATAGGAAGTGGAGAAAAGTTTTATAGATGAAATAAGCCCTATTTCCGGGGTCCCAGTCCCTCCCACTGCATCACAAGCTGGCTAACCCTGGAAACCCCACACTCAACCCCAAACTGTGTATGCAGAGCCTGAGGCCCACTGCAGATCATCTGCATTATAATCTGCATTTTAACACAGTCCCCAGGGATTCCTATGCTTATTCACATAAACTACTTTGTGATGGGCTTTGTTCCTGATACCAGTGGCCCATTTTGAGCAAGTACATTGACCAGGCAGTAGTATGAGGGCAAAAGGTAAGTACCAGGGTGACAGCCTGCTCCATTTTGGTCTTTTAGAAGAGTGATTTGCAGATAATCGTAGCCCACTTTTCTTAATGGTGAAACTTCTGTTGGTTGTTTGTGGGAATTTGAGCACATCCTCCTCTCCCTCACTGCTCCACCCAGGACACCTGACACCCAAGCGTGAAGGGTACAGGTTGGCTCTATCGCTGTCTCTGTAGATGTGGCTGTAGATGTAGCCTGACATTATAGATCAATCACCATGCATCAATTACCATCACTTCTCCCTGAACAAATTAAAAAAAATAGATATCTCTTAGCACTGACCATGCATATGGAAGTCTGGTAATTAACAGCTCGACTTGAGTCTGCATCTCTGCATTACCGCAACCTTAATGATTTACCTACCATGCTAGGCCTCCCTTATTATCTAATTTAATCCCAATACACCACCATGTCTCTAAGAGGACAGGACCTACCCTAGCTTTCATGGAGCTTCCCATTTCATGGAGAAGCCAGACAATAGAAAATTCATTGCAAGTCTGATGGGTTTTACAGAAGGTTGCAATGGGAACATATCCGAGGGGGATCAAAGGCTTCCCAAATAAGTCATGTTTAAGTCGCAACTGAGAACTCCCGGGATAGGATTTTCGTGGTGAAGCTGGAGACAGATCAAGGTGAGCTTTGGTGAGCCATGAGGATGATGTTGGCAATGGGAAAGCTGTTAAACTAAGGGAGAGAGTAATCCAATCCAACGAGAAACAACAGCAGGGCTATGGTTTAGAGAATGGATGGCTTGGAGGTGGCCAGGGAGGGTAGGGTGGGATGAAGATGGCTTAGGCTGGAGTATGAGCCATGTGATGAAGAACTATTTAGATGTGGGATCAGTGTCACTTGATTTAGCTTGGGGAGCAAGGGAAAGAGAGACTTTGACTCCAAGGTGTGAAACATATGTAGTGGTCTTTAGTGTAGACTCATCAACTTGATGAAATGTAATCAAGTATTACCAGTCATGCTGTAGAGAACCCTTTCTCCAAATTTTACCACCCCTATTGTGGGCTAGGCACTCTGCAAAATGGCTTATCTACCTCTTATCCTTAATCTTCATTGACAACCCTTTGAGGCTAGCGCTGTTAGGATTCCCATTTCACAGGTGAGGAAGGCGAGGCTTAGGAGAGTGAGGAGGAGCTACGTTAAAGCTCAGATCTATCTGAGCATGGTCCTCGTGTCTCTGTTTCCCAAACTTATCTGATGACAAGACTCACCTGGGACACTTGATAAGTGTCCACACTGCCCGGTCCCCTCAGGCACCTGCTGATTTGGTGAGTCAGAGCCCCAGAATCTGAGTTTCCATAGACCTTATCACCAGGCCACTTTGGGAAGCACTGACTTATGCTGCTGAGACTTGGCCACAGAAGGAGCATTTGCCTTCACCTTACCCCTCACTCTGACTAGTTTTTATACACAGAACTTATTGCAACTTGAAATTTTTCTGTATTCTTTATTGATTTATGGTTTTTCAGCCCCTCTAGAATGTAAGCGCCAAGAGGGCAGCGATCAGACCAGCTCCTGGAACATGGCAGGACCAACACCCTCATCCGTGTGCCTATTCTCTTCCTGGAGGTCCTCCAGAGACTTCCTGCTCCCATTCTTGCTCCTCCTTCACCCACTTTCCATTTCCTGAGTGAAATGTAAATCTCATCCCCCATAGTCCTTAGAGCCAGACCAGCTTGCTTGGCCCATGCCTGCCCGCCCCTCCTTCCCAACTTTGTCCCTCAGCTCCAGGCTGCCACACAGGCCTCCAGGGTGTTTTCCAATCCCTCCAAGAGATCTTCAGCTCCCCAGGGCACCTTTCTTGGAGGGGCCAGTGCCATTTGGTGGGGCGGCGAGGTTAAAGACCACTCTCTCTGGTGACCACCCCTTTGCCCACTATCTTCCCTGGGCCTCCCCTGAGCTCTTCAAGAGAGAACCACTTGCTTAGAAGAGGCTTGGGAAGGATTTGTACAGTGGCCATGCCGCAGACCTGGGGTGGAAGGTGCAAGAAGGTGTCCTGAGCAGGAGGTCAGGAGGGCCGCTGAGCCATTTCCGAGGGGAACGGCGGGCCTTGGCTGGTCAGGGAGAGGGGAGACTGCCGGGAGGTCCCCTGCATGAGAACTCTGTGGCGGCTCCCTGGGTGGGCCAGGCCGGCACAGCCTCGCTGTGTTCTGTGCAGTTGAAAGAAAGCTGCGGGGCGGAGGGGGCCTGGCTGCTCGGGCCGCGGCCATGGGCTGCGCCACACATGGCTAAAGTACACAGACTATTAGCAATCAAGGAAAGACCTCCCTGCGAGGGAAAATGACATAGGGGTTACTTCACTGTAAACATCCCAAGAACAAGCACTGGTTCCTTTTAAGGGCTGTCTTTACTTCCTTTGAGAAGTTGCAAATGCACCCATGGCGGGCTTTGGCGCTCAGTCACACGTTGGGGAGGAGGGACTCCTATACACACAGTCACTCCCAATGGCAGAAAGCCCCAAATGCCACGAGGATTTGCCAGGAGTCTGCACCCTGAAATGGATTCTGCTGATGCATAGAACCAATAGCGCTTGCAACAGAAAACAGGGCTGCCTGCCGAGAAACACAACCCCTGACAGCCGGGTGCAAACATTCTTTTCAGTTGCGTCCTCCCAGCACCTTTGTTTTACAGGTTGCTTTTAAGAGAAAAAAAGTGTAGTATTTGCTCCTTGCTTGTGTAAGAACAAATTGAAATCACATGGGTCATCTGTCAGGCTCTCGTGAGAAAAGGAGGGACAGAGACTTATCAGGTGTTTGGATCCTCAAATCCTATCCACGAATGTGAAGCCATAGCCCTCTGGGGTCTTTTCAATAAGCGGCTACAAGTTGTCTCCCTTCCTAGGAAGCTTAATAACAGCATTTTTTTTAAAGAGACAGGGTCTCAACTGTCACCCAGGCTGGAGTACAGTGGCACAATCATAGCTCACTGCAGCCCCCAACTCCTAGGCTCAAGTGATCCTTCCACCTTAGCCTCCCAAGCGGCTAGAACTATAGGCACATGCCACCACCCTTGGCTACTTGTTTTATCTTATTATTATTTGTAGAGATAGGGTCTTGCTCTGCTGCCCAGGCTGGTCTCAAACACCTGGCCTCAAGTGATCCTCCTGCCTCGGCCTCCCAAAGCACAGGGATTACAGCTGTGAGCCATTGTGCCTGGCCAGCAATTTTTGGAGAAAAAGATTTGTAGGTTGTGTTGATGGCTATTAAACTTGTGAGTGGCAGAAGGCCCTACACTAGCTTAAACAGAAAAGGACCTTTCTGGGCTTCTGTAGCTGGGCAGTTCGGGGATGGCTCAGGGACTCAAGTGGTAACAGTGGAAGCTAATATGTATTGAGCATGGGGCACAGATCACACAAGTCCCTGCATCTAACCCTCACCAACTCATGACACAGGTTCTATCCTCAGGCCATTTTGCAGATGGAGAATTTGAGAAGCAAGAGTCACAGCTAGAAAGCGGCAAAGCCCAGCTGAGTCCCTAAGCCCTGCTCCAACTCAGTTCTGAGACCTGCATCCTCTGAACTTATTCCATTTTCTCCTACTGCTTCCTGCAGGGAGAAAGGCAGTGCCTGGAAGCCCCTGCTGGACAGCCTCCTTGCCCAGCGACTCCAGGCCAAGGGCAGTCTCCCCAGTTGGCTCTGCAGAGCAGGTCACAGGGCTCCACGGGAAGTAGAAATGTGTCTGGGTGCTGTGACAAGTGCAGATTCTGTGGCCCAGTCACAGCATTCCAGAGATGTAGTCCACTGTTGTCAGAACCTCCAGCTCTCAAGAAAAGCCAGAAAGCTGGATTTTTTAAAACAAAAGTTTCTGCTTTGGGAAATGCTATGCAGTCCTGACAAAATACATCTTGGAGTCACCAGTATCAACCTCTGCTCTCCAGAAGAGCCCTGGAGAGTTCAGCTTCAGCTGCTCACCCACCCCTGAAGTAAACCCGGGCCTGGGGTGTTCTGCCCCATGTGGGACCTGGATCTGCTCCCTGGTAGAGGAGGGACTGTGACTGACAGCCCCACCAAGCCACCTGGTGTATGGATGGAAAGTCCCCAAAGAAGCCATAGGGTAAACTCTAGGCCTTTTCTAGAGCCACGTGTATGAATCCGTAGTCCCACAGGCCAAATCATCAGAGAAAATTATTCCATTCAAAAGTTGAAGTTGCTTATTTTTTTGAACGGTATCAAAGCAGAGATGAATACACTGGGCTGCTGTGAGCAGCGGTGCCTCTTCTCCAGCCTCCTCCAAGGAATGTGCCTTAGTCAGAAAGTAGGGGACCCTCTGAGGTTGAATTGAAAGTGTGTTTTTCATTTCCTATTCCCGTTTCAGCCTGTCTGATGAAATAAATACAAAGGAACCAGATCCCACCCCTTTGTGACATTTGCTAATTACACCAGAGACTTTGCTTGCAAGGCATTCCCACCTGGGCTGGGGTCTGGACTAGGATTAGCAACTTTCTGGGCCTTCCCAATTTGGGTTCTAGCTGCATAGCCCATCTGGAAGAAAATGTGGTGTGTGTACACTTGATTCATGGTAAACCTCAAGTTTATAATTGTTTAGTTCTCCAGAAATAAATCTTGTGACTATTCTCTCACACTTGATAGAAACCATCATTTCGAGCGAGGGCTTGATGTTGAGGTGTGCTGCGTGGTGCAATGAGTTGAGTGCCAGCAGGGGACCCTTCTGACCTCAATCCTCATGCCCCTCACCCCCCGCACTTGTCACAGAACCAAATATTACACTAGTATTTGCTTTCCTCAAGTTGAATGCATTGTGCACCTATGTTAGCTTAAATGGGTTACACAGATCAGGGATGGCAGTGTATTCTTACCTATAACATGACCTGCTATGGACTGAGTCTGAACTGTTTCATGTACTACACACACCCCTTTCTTTCATAACCAATCTAATAATGGGTATTTTGGGCCCATTTTTCTCAGAGGAAGAAACTGAGTTTTCAGGGCTTGAAATGAATCTATATGTGTGTGTATACACACATATATGGTTTTCTGTAAACTATATATTCCTTATACAGTATAAGCTCCTAATACAGGAGTATCAGGATGTTTTTGGCTACAGCTAATATAAACCCCCAACTCCAAATGACAAGAAAACATCGAATACAAGCATAAGTCCAGATGGATGGCTCTGAGGCTGGTTAATTTCACATCTCAAATGACAGCCTTGGGAACCCAGGTTCGTTCTTTCTGTCTGCCATCCTTGGCAGTAGCTGCATCCCATACAGATATGCCCTCACCCAGAGTGAGGGAGGTGGCCCAAGTGTGTTCTTGGGTGCCCAATTCCCTATTTCACACTTGATGTTCAACATTCTGCACCTCAGCCTCTCTGATTTTTGGCACCAGTGACATCAGTAATACCCATTTTCTTCCAATTAACAAGGAAGTTGAGAAGAGTTCTTAGCTTATGTTTTAGACAGGATGTGTATATCAGTCAGGGCTGCGAACCAGTGAGAATTTTCTCCATTGAAAGTGACTCAAGTCGCGTGTCCTCATTTCTGGCTTCTGTTCTCTGTATTGATAGAGAGCTTGGATTTGGAAATCTGGTTCCACCAGTTACAAGCTGTGTCTTTGTGCCTCAGTTTGTGCATCTGTTTAATGGGGATCTCATTAGAACCTGCCTCTAAAGGTTGCTGTAAGGATTAAGTAATTTAATACAGGGGAAATCCTTAGTACAGGGCCTGGCCTGTCGTAAATTATTAATGTTATTATCTAAGCTTCCTGCTGCTGCAGGGGACATGGAGGAAAATGCTCTGACATGACATCTGTACAACTTGTGTTCCAAAGGAAAAGAGAGGGCTACTCCTCCACCTCTGATCCCAGGGGAGGACTCCATGGGCCTGGATTGTGTGTGGCGCCCTCCCGCCAAGGCTAGGCCCTATGGCAAGGCCCTGTGAGGAATGTACTGAGCAGATAATACTCCAGGTGACCCATGACCACTTGGTTTCTTTTTGAATCCAGAGGAGTTGTCATTTTGACTGGATATGTTGAACATATTACATACCATGTTAGCTGCTGTGGTTCTAACAAATATTTGGGTCATGATGCAATCCTTTATTCTCAGCTTAGAGTGCAATCACATGTCTAACGATTCTCTCTGTATTTGATAGAATTTATATTGCTGAAAATGAAATTTTGGAGGGGCAAATAACACCTTCAGCTTTAACAGACATTTAAAAAAACTGTTGTATTTTTTGTTATATAAGCATTACATATGAATAAAACTATGTGCAGATCTGAAATAACGCAGGCAGCAAAAGTGTGTCTCACTAGGGTAATGTTAATAATGTGCATTGCTTAGAAAGCACCTGAAATACTTACATCAAAATGACCACCTTAGACTGTCCTGTGTCCTCGCCCACAGTGCTGTGGGCTCCTCCCAGCACTTAGCTTCTCCCACAATGCCATGGTATCCTCCCGGCCTCGAGCTCCTCCTACAATGCCAGGGCTCCTCCCTAGACCCCAAGCTTCTCCCACAGTGCCGTGGGCTCCTCCTCAGCCCCTGAGCTTCTCCCACAATGCCGTGGGTTCCTCCCCAGGCCTGAGCTCACCACAGGTCTTTGCCTGCACCACCAGATTCTAGGATCTTCAGGGGTAAAGAGGGAGCTTTTTTCACCTTTCTATCCCCAGCCCTCTCTGCAGTGACAGGAACACAGTAAGTGCTCTACAGCTGTTTTTTGAACAAAACTGATACTGTATATCAAAACGTATTTTTCTTTCTTATTTACTCTCAATTTGCAAATAAAAATTGTATATATTTATCATGTACAACACATTTTAAAGTGTGTATACCTTGTGGAATAACTAAATCAGAGTAATTAACATGCATTACCTCACATACTTAGCTCTCTTTTCGCAGTGAGAACAATTAAAATGTACTCTCAGCAATTTTCAAGAATGCAGTACATTGTTATTAAATGGGGTCGCCATGTTGTGCAATAGATCTCTTGAACTCATTCCACCTATCTCACCAAAATTTTGTATCCTTTAACAAACATCTTCCCAGCATCCCTCCCCCATCCAGTCCCTGGTGCTCCTCTGAGTTTGACTTTTTAAGATTCCACATATGAGTGAGATCTTGAGGTATTGTCTTTTGTGCCTGGCTTATTTCAGTTAACATAATGTCCTCCAGGTTTACCCATATAGTTGGAAAATGACGGGGTTCCCTTATTTTTTTAAGGCTGAATACCACATTTTCTTTATCCATTCATTCCATTGATGGACACTTAGATTGATTCCTTATCTTGGCCATTGTGAATAGCGCTTCAGTGAACACAGGAGTAGAGGTATCTCTTGGGCATACTTAGACATACTGATATCATTTCCCATATCCACAAGTGAGATTGCTGGATCACATGGTCATTCTATTTTTAATTTTTTGAGGAGCCACCGACTGTTTTCCATAATGGTTGCACTAATTTACATTTCCACCAACAGTGTGCAAGGGTTCCCTTTTCTCCACATCCTGGCCAACACTTATTATTTTTCATCTTGATAAAACCCTCCTAACACATGTGAGGTGACATCTCATTGTGGTCAAACCACATTTTCTCAGGAGGGATGCAGTATAAATCATTGTTCTGGTGCCTAAAACTTGCCATATGTGAGCAAGTATTTAGCAAGTACTTTAAAAAATGCTGATAGCATTGTTTCCTAAACGTCAAAGTCAGAGACCTCCAACAAACATTTTAACTTTAATTTTTATCAACATATGAACATAGTTTAATACAATTTTAAAAGTGAATGGATTTTACAACAACACAAAACCAAAGTAGTCTTGTCACCCGCCCCACTCACCCTCATTCCCACTCCTATGGCAAACATTTTAACTCTTTTAGTTCCTTCTTCTGATGTTTATGTCCATACTGTGAAGCAACAAGTTTACGTTGCTATTTCCTAATTTTTTCAGTTTTAGATCTCAATTAACTTCTCACCATTAAATATAAATTTTGACTCCTTTTATTTAGACTTCCTCTCCACACTCTCCCAATATAGTTATCTCTACAGTTTAATTTTTGGTTAAATCAAAGTTCGGTTTTTACAATATCATGATTATATAAACAACCAAGTGCAATAGTGTACTTTGTTTTTTTTTTCTTTCATGATCACTATTTTGTTTCCCTGGGAGTTTCTAGTTGCCTTAATTTTCATTTCCTATTGTGTAATGTACCTGTCATTTACTCATCCTCAACTTCTTAGCCTGAGTATACATTTCTCAAAACGTTCCAATACATCAGGTAATCTATGTGACTCCTGTTTTTCTTGGTGATTATCTTCCTAGAGATTTCTGTTTAAATCTATCAGGTATTCTACTCAGTTCTCCCTTTACCATAGATTTCTTTTCCATATCTTTTCCAGAACTTTTCTCTTCCAGTATGGACTGGTGTTTCCTTAGGCCAGCTATAGGGCTGTCATCAACCTAGGGTTCTTCTCCATCAACCCTGGAGTTCTCGTTTTTGATGGATATCCTGTTCCTGTGTCCTACATCTTCCTCATTCCTGGTATGTTTTCTTGCTTGATGACACACAACCTCCACCAGCTTCCTGAAAATAAAATCAATAAAAAGTAGTGGTGTTTTAATTAATATTTTGAGACTGGCATGTCTGAAAATGTGTTTATCTTACTTTCACACTTTTACTGAAAGTAAAATGTTTTTACATTGTGGGTTGGGGGCTAAAAATGCTAGGTTGGAAATCACTTGGAAGGCATCACTCTTCTGGCTTCTAGTCTTGCTCTTGAAAACCCCAGTACCATTCTGATTCCTGCTTGATATGGTTTGGCTGTGTCCCCACCCAAATGTCATCTTGAATTATAGCTCCCATAATCCCCACGTGTTGTGGGAGGTGATTGAATCATGATGGCAGGATTTCCTGTGCTGTTTTTGTGATAGTGAATAAGTCTCATGAGATCCGACAGTTATATAAAGGGAAGTTGCCCCACACATGCTCTCTTGCCTGCCGCCATGTAAGATGTGCCTTTGCTCCTCCTTTGCCTTCCACCATGATTATAAGGCCTCCCCAGCCATGTGGAACTGTGAGTCCATTAAACCTCTTTTCTTTAATAAATTACCCAGTCTTGGGTATGTCTTTATTAACAGTGTAAGAATGGACTAGGGAGGCTGAGGCGGGTGGATCACGAGGTCAGGAGATCGAGACCATCCTGGCTAACACAGTGAAACCCCATCTCTAATAAAAATACAAAAAATTAGCCAGGGGGAGTGGTGGGCACCTGTAGTGCCAGCTGCTAGGGAGGCTGAGGCAGGAGAATGGTGTGAAACTGGGAGGTGGAGCTTGCAGTGAGCCGAGATTGTGCCACTGCACTCCAGCCTGGGTGACAGAGCGAGACTCCGTCTCAAAAAAAAAAAAGAAAAAAGAGAATGGGCTAATACACTGCTCCTTTATGTGGCTCTGGTTGTCTCTCCAGAAGATTTAGAGTTTTCTCACTTTTCCCAGTATTTTGAAATCCCAAGGTGATCTGTTGTCATAATACTACAGTAGTTGGTGGGACTCTTGTAATAGATTCATCTGCCCAATGCACAGCAAGTCAATATGCTGAGACACCAGGGAGCAGCAGAGAACAAATTAAATAATTATAGGGCAGCCTAATGAGATGGGAGGAAACCGCACATCCACCTCCCTGAGGAGTTTGGGGCTAGGGATGTTAAGGGGTTTGGAGTGGACTGAGGTGTGGGGATCATTGATTGATTGATGAATTCAGGGTAAAGTCATGGGAAGGGGAGATGAAGAAACATTCTCATGCTGATATAGTTCTTCTATAAGGGTTTTCACACTGGTTGATGTCAGCTGTTCTGCTAGAATTCAGAATCTGAAAAACATTGTAAGCAATTCTTAAGCAAAAGCTCTATGATTCTAGCATCAGAGATCCTCTTTATCTTCCAACTTTTATGAGAAAGTTTTAAAATTTCATGTTATCATTTTTATGTGTTCCTCTTAATATGGCACCTTGATCTTGTTTTATGGATGCAACATCTCCCTTTTTCACTAAAAAATAAATTACAAATTTTATAAAGGTATCTTGTTCTCTATATTACCTCTCATTCCTTTATTATGTTTTTTTCTTTCTTTCGTAAAGACTTTCCTCAAATATCTGCTACTCCTGAGTCCATTCATATTTAAAGGGCAAATGGCTAGACTAAAAAGATGATTGGAAGCCAGGTGTGGTGGCTCATGCCTATAATCCCAGCACTTTGGGAGGCAAAGGTGGGAGGATTGCTGGAGCCCAGGAGTTCGAGAAAAGCCTAGGTAACAAAGCAAGACCCTGTCTCTACAAAAAAAATTTAAAAATTAGCTGGGCATGATGGCACATGCCTGTAGATCCAGCTACTTGGGAGGCTGAGGTGGGAGGATGGCTTGAGCCTGGGAAGTCAAAGTGGCAGTGAGCCATGATAACCCCACTGCACTCCAGCCTGGGTGAAACCACAAGACCCTGTCTCAAAATTTAAAAATAAACAAACAAACAAATAAATTAGGTTATTGGAAACTCTGCATGCAAAGGTTTCTCTTTCAGTAGGACTTCCCAGAAGGAAACTGGCTATTTTGTTGAGGAACTCTTAAACATTATTATCTGCAAATCCTATCTCTGGGATTGATGAGTTTCCCCAGAGAAGAATTCTCTAATTTCCTGAGCCTGGCCTAGTTCACAGCCAAGTGAGGAAAGGGGATGCCACAGGGCTTGATTTTTATTACACTCCACTGTTTTCACCTAGACCTGGGTCCTGAGCCTGGACTCCCTTTCCTTTGTCTTCTCTAGAAAGTGACAACAACTCCCCCCATCCACTTGTCTTCTTCTGGATGAGGGAGGGGTGGTCCCAGTCCTGAGTGAGGTAAGCAAGGGAATCTCTGACTTCTTCTTTTATAGATTTTCAATTAATCCTCTCATTTTTAGCCCACTGGGATATTCCCCATGAGCAATGCCCTATGCTTCCACTTCCCAAGACTCCCTGGGTTCTGCGTTGTGAATCTGCCCAGCAGCTCCTGCCCCAGCCCTTGAAGTGCTAGCTTTCTGCATCCTGTGGTCTGTTCACTTACTCACTGCTAGATCTGACTTCCTCTTGCAGTCATTCAGTTGACCTCTCTCTGCTGTGACTCCTTTCATGTTCTCTTCGCTTTTGTGCGCCAATGTCTTTTTGTCCCTTTCCTGTCACTTTCATGGAGGGTTAGGAGGGAATAGAGACAAATGGCTGTGTGCAATTCATCATGCTTACATAAATTTCCATAAAGCCACAGCTCCTGATGTTGTTAACCGTCCCACCTGTGTGTTTCTTATCCACCCTCACCCCGCACTGGGGACAATCCCATTGTCTGCTAACTGCTTACCACATTTCCAGTGAAATGACCTTGCCTTTCATTTGGATTTGGGGAGGGGCAGAGTGTTAGGATCTGCATAACAAGATCCCCCACTTTCAATGTAGAATCAAGAATGGGAAATAAAGCAACCCTTGCTAGTTTCCAAAGTATTAGATACCGCTCCTGGGTCTCAGTAACTCTGAATATGCCAGACTTTTATCAAGGAGTAAAACAGTCACCCACGCCTTTGTGAAAGCTCGCAAGTTTGAAATTGTGCCGAATGAGGAAAAGCTTCCACACCAGACAGTTCCAGGTGCCCCTCTGAAAGAGTTATCCCTTTGCCTCAAAAAGAAAACAAGACACAACAAAAAACAAACAAAAAAACCCCCCAAGAAACAATGACAACAACAACAACAAAACCCTCTGTGGTCACAATGGAGAAAAGGTAGGACTAGGGGGCAGCGGGGCTTGAGAACCCTGCCCTCAAATGTTTATATAAAAGGAAGAGCTGCCTGGCACGGTGGTAACTGAGCTGTGTCCCTTCCAGGCTGAGCTCTGTCTTCAGCTGGACAATTTGAGCCAGCTGTGCCTGTTTCTTCCCCAGGGCTGAGAAGGCTTTTATTCACAGGCAGTTTCCTGGGATTGCCATTAGTGAAGACAGGGATCAAGGACTCACAGACAATGCCCTGCAAAGACAGCCACTCCCTTGGCAATTGGGGCAGAGTTTGCATCTTGGAGCTGGAACCTTGGCGGCCCCTGAGCACAGTGTTCTGGAGGAGTCTGTGCTGAAGGGCAGCCTGGAAGCCTGTGGGACATTGGGAACGGTACCAGCTGGGGCCTGGGCTTGCCCCTGGGTACAGAATGTTTTATTCAGTGGGCAAAGCAGTGCCAGGGTGGATGAATAAAGCCTTCAGATTCTGCATGGGGGTTTGTTTAACTCTCCCCCTTCTCATCCTCTGAACACAGCCAGAGGCATTTGGAACATGGCCCATATGATCATATCATTGGTGACAATGGAATCCAGGCCACCCAAAATCAATGAGTCTCTAACAAGGCACAACTGGCTGCTGGGACTTGTCTCCAGCATTGCAACATTGCCAGCTATTCTTTGTCTAAGTGCACTCATGTTAATGTGTAAGCCATTTCCTTCCCAGTGAGAAGGTTCTTTGTGAGATTGCTCTGTATGCTCACACTTGGAGACTGAAAGTTGGACTCGTAGGTACTGAGCGTCTTGTTGTGGAGACCAGATGCAATGCCTGGGCCTCCTGCTCCAGCTCCCATCCAGCCCTGGGTCAAAGCCTGCAGGCGAAGGACAGGACAGCAGAGTGAGCTCCAGGATGTGGAGGAAGGAAGATGAGGTGTGGTGGGGAAAGGGTAAGTGGGTGTGGAGGGTAGAAAAGTGTCCCCGAAAAGATAGCTCCAAGTCCTTACCCCGGTCCTTGCAAATGTGACCTTATTTGGAAATGAGATTTTTGCAGATATGATCTAGTTAAAGGTCTCAAGATGAGATCATCCTGGATTTAGGGTGGGACCTAAGTCCATTGACTAGTAGATATTTTTGCAAGAGAAAGGAGAAGATTTGAGACACAGAGAGACACAGAGGGAAGAAAGCCGTGTGAACTTGGACTCAGAGATGGGAGTGATGCTGTCACAGCTAAGAAATGCCAGGAAGCACCACAAGTTGGAAGAGGCAAGGGAGGGATCCCCCCCAGAACCTTCAGAGAGATCGTGGCCCTGCCAACACATTGATTTTGGACTTTTGGTCTCCAAAACTGTGAGAGAGGAAGTTTCTCTTGTTTGTTTTTTGTTGTTGGTGGTGGTGGTTTTTTGTTTTTTGTTTTAGATGGAGTCTCGCTCTGTCGCCCAGGCTGGAGTGCAGTGGTGCGATCTCGGCTCACCGCAAGCTCCGCCTCCCGGGTTCACCATTCTCCTGCCTCAGCCTTCCATGGAGCTGGGACTACAGGTGCCCGCCAACACACTCGGCTTTTTTTTTTTTTTTTTTTTTTTTTGTATTTTTAGTAGAGACGTGGTTTCACCATGTTAGTTCTCTTGTTTTAAGCTGCCACATTTGTGGTACTTTTGTTATGGCAGCCCTAAGGAGCTAATTCACAGGAGAGATGGGGAAGGGAAGAGGCAAGAAGATAGAAAGATGAGGAGGTGGGGACAGGGACAGCCATGCAGGCTGAGGCAGCAGGGGTGGAACAGCTCCCCTCCCTGTCATAGTCGCTTCATAACAAAATATCCTGGACTGGTGGCTTAAACAACAGAAATTAATTTTCTCAGAGTTCTGGAGGCTGGAAGTGAAAGATGAGGGTGCCAGCATGGTCAGTTTCTGGTGAGGGCTCTCTTTCTGACTGGTAAACGGCTGCCTTCTGGCTGTGTCCTCGTAGGAGAACAGAAGGCAAAGGAAAGCTCTCTAGCTTCTCTTCCACCACGAGCTTCAAATCTAAACCTGATTATCTCCCAAACACCATCACTTTGGGGGTTAGGGTGTCAACATATGAGTTTAGGGAGGATGCAATTCAGTTGATAGCAGGCCTTCATGCATGGGTGTCCCAGCATAGGTCTGGCAGTTTAGAGGCCAGAACTACACGGAATCTTGCTATGCAAAATGGGCAAAAACACCATTGATTGAAGGATAATTTAACCCGGAGCAGAGAAGTTACATTGAGAATCGAAAAATGACACCCTTGCCTTGGGGTTAACGAGGCTGAAAATAAAGACTAAACCAGCAGTAGTCTGGATGAAGGTGAAGGCAGGTGGGGCATCATTCATCAGACCTGGGAAGTGGGGGCGCAGGGCTTATCTGTTTGGGCCTCATCACTGCTCTCCCTATCATCTCCTGTCAGAAATAATTCCCTGACTGGTGTCCCTTCCGTTTCGGGATGAATTGTCCTCCAGCTGCTCCTGATTCCTGCGTTAAAGTCCTGGTGTGATGGCTCACATCTGTCATCCCTGCACTTTGAGAGGTGAGAGGATTGCTTGAGGCCAGGGGTTCAAGACCAGCCTGGGCAACACAGTGAGACCCCATGTCCACAATAAAAGAAATTAGCCAGGCATGGTGGTGGATGCCTGTAGTCCCAGCTACTCAGGAGGCTGAGGCAGGAGGATTGCTCGAGCCCAGGAGTTGGAGGCTACAATGAGCTGTGATTGTGCCACCGCATTCCAGGCTGGGTGACAGAGTGAGACTCTGTCTCAAAACAAAAACAAAAACAAAGACAAAAACAAATCCTAACCCTTTAGTACTTCAGAATAAGACTGTATTTGGAGATAAGGCCTTTAAAGAGGCAATTATGTTAATGAGGTCATTAGGGTGGGTCCTGATCCAATATGATGGATGTCCTTGTAAGAAAAGGGAACTAGGACGCAGACATGTGCAGAGGAAAGACCATGCAAAGACACAGGGAGAAGACGGCCCTCTGCCAGTCAAGGAGACAGGCATCAGAAAAAAATCAATCCTGCCAACACCTTGATCTCGGCAAAGCTCCAGGCATGTGAGAAAATAAGTTCTGCGGCAGCCACCCAGGCTGTGGTAGTTTGTTATGGCAACCATCACCCACTAAGACACCGTCTCCAAGACCCTCCTCTATAGACAGACACCTGATGCCCAGGCCACCCCTCAGATGCCAGGGGAAGCTGGCTGGGAAGGGCATGGGCTTTGGAGCCACCAGCTACACCCTGGAATCTCTGTTCATGGCCTTCTAACTGTGGGACCTTGAGCAAGTTACTCCATCTCTTTAGTCTTGGAGATCCATAAAGCTGGAGGTAATGAACTCTCCCCAGAGCTGTGCAAATTAAATGAACTAACAAGTAAAAAGATAGATTTATTTATTTATTTTAGACAGGGCCTCCCTCTGTCACCCAGGCTGGAGTGAGTGCAGTGTGCGATCACAGCTCACTGCAGCCTCGACTTCCCAGGCTCAACTGATCTCAGCCTCTGAAGGAGCTGGGATTACAGGTGTGTGCCACCATGCCCAGCTAATTTTTTCATCTTTTGTATGTTGCCCAGGCTGATCTCAAACTTCTGGGCTTAAGAGATCCTCCTGCCTTGGCCTCCTGAAGTGCTGGGATTATAAGCATGAGTCACCTCGCCCAGCCATGTAAAAAGATTTAATATGCCTGAGGCCCAAGGACTCTAATACGTTCTCCAATTTTACCTACTCTAGGGGACATTTGCTGTGTTTTGCAGCCACACTGGGCAGCCTGTCTCTTTGGAGGAAATGCCAAGATCTGCGGGGGTCTGGCCCTGTTTCCCACTGTGTGCAGATGAATCTTCTAACCACCTGTCTTCTGGAAGTGGGGACAGGAAGTGGAGCCAGTTCTGCCAGGTCCTCCCATTCAGATGGTGGGCTCCTGAAGAAGTGACATAGAGAACTCATGGAGGTGACAGTGGAGACAGGCTCCCAGCGGAGGGCAGCAAGGACCAATGATGGTGTGAGTGTCCACTGAGAGTGCCATTGGTGGCGTCCCAGGCAGCAGGTTCTGTAGGATGACCTCACTGTCATCTATGCTTGTTTCCCTGCTTGCAGTCAATCTCCTTGTCCTCTGCCTTGTCCTCTTGGGGCCTGTTCTTGGCTGGCAATCATATTGGAAAGTTATCTAACAAATTATTTCACACTAAAGTGAGAAAGATTTAGATAAGTAGTCATTTTCCTAAAGGCACTTGCATTTTAAGAAGGGAAAGGAAACAGGTAAGGCTAAGCATTTCATTTAACTGGCAGTGGAAAACGTAATCATTTTTAAAAATAATTTATAATTTTATAATTTTTAATTTTTTTTTTATAGAGACAAGGTCTCTCTATATTGCCCAGGCTTGTCAACTCCTGGCCTCAAGTGATCCTCCTGCTTTCGCAAATCCCAAAGTGCTGGGATTACAGGTGTGAGCCACCATTGTCCGGCAGGGAAAGTTCATTTTTAAGGCTGACTATGTATGTACCAAGGGCCTATTATTCCCCTGGGATGCTGGTGTTCAAGGCATTGTCTAGTCTGGCATAGGTGAGGCACATTCATTTGAGTGGCCACCTCCCATGTTGCCTACTCGGCTGGCACGGTGGAGAGCTTAGCTGTCTTTTGAGTCTGTGACTTGTTTAGACTTTACTGGTTTAATCAGAAGGCTCTGAATTTCATACTTAAATTCCCATTCAGGTGTCTGGCTGACCAACATTGGCAGGTAAAGGTAACATTTTGGTCAGATGAGGAAGGGGGTGCCGGGAGGCAACAAAGAGGTATTTTCCCCAGTGTCTTACTCCTTTGTTCAGTTTTGATGACATGTAGCACGACTAAGAAAAGAACTTCTAGGCCAGTCCAGTGGTGCAGGGTGTGGGTAGGGTAGAGAACCGTACAAGATGGAGATCCCAAAGAGAGCCTGTGCCCAAATGCAAATTCCTGGTCAATTATTTCAGCCAGTTCACAGTGACTGCCTGCTTCTCCCTGCGTTATTTTCACTGGGACCTGAATCAACTCTTGATTCTTGAATCTAGAGAAGGGAAAGGAATCCAGGACAGAAGGTGGGCAAAAAAGGCAGGAGCGCGAGGTGGCTGGGAAACGGGCGTTCTCCATTCATTTCTCACTTCCAAGTCTGACCTAAGCAGGTCTAGCAGGAAGGGCAGATTATCACGCGCAGCAAAGAGACAGGACTGAAGTTTGGCAAGTAGCACAATCCCATCCTCAGGCTCTTTATTTATGTCACTGCCATGAAATCCACTTTGTGAAACAGGGGGCCTTGTCTGTCTGCTCAAGACATGTCTGGGAGAAGAGGTGGACACCTTCTCCACATCGAGAAGTCAGGGTGCCCTGAGCTTCTGCTATGGCGCTTACCCAGAACCTGGGGAGAGAGGCTGCTGCCAAAGAAACAAATACGTGGGTGTCTTTCCTGGTTCCCAAAGGGCTGACCTTAGAGTCACCCGATTGTGCTGCTTACATCCCTCCAGGGCTTTGAAACACATGCTTAGCTCTTGTGGCTAAGAAATGGACACTGCTGAAACGGACACTAAGCTCTTGTGGGGAAGCTCTTGTGGTGCCTAACTGCATCAGAAGGCGATTCTGGCTTTGAGGCTGGGAAGCTTTCGGAGGTGCTTTTCAAATGCAAGCTTATGTCACCTTTAGGAACATTTTTCAATTCGCTTTCTGCTGGCCAGGCTCGCAGCTCCACGCTGTCGCCTGCTCCTGCCTCTCTGTGGCTCCCAATGTCCAGCAGGCACAGACTTGACGGTTGTCTCTGTGCAGAATTCCCCTCACTTTCTGCTTCCACAGGCTGACTTCGTTCGTGCTGTTCCTGCTCCCTGCTCCGGTTACAGCCACAGGCTCCTCCACATTCTTCTGTCTGCCTCCAGTTTCTTCTTCTCACTTTAATCAGTCTTGTCCACCATTGCCAGATAATTAAAAAACAAAACAAAACAAAAACTAAGCTTCCATATTATCTACAAAATAGTCAAGGTCTTTCTTCCATGTTATCTACAAAATATTCCAGGTTGTTCTTAGCCTTTTAGGAATCAGAGGAGAATTTCAACCCATTATGGGTTTAGGCCTCCAAGACTCTAACAGAAGAGGGACACGGTGGAAGAATAATGGGAAGTGGAAATCTTACCCCTGGCAGGGTGTCCCGGTTCTGGATGCATGCCCAAGGAAACACAAACGATAATTTTTACAAATCAAAGCCATGCAAGTCCCATGGAGACATATTAGAACATGTTTTCTTAGATTTGTAAGTCATAGGACCAAAATTGGTGGCTGAATGGCACTGAGGGAGAGTCTGATAGGTTACTAACTAAGGGGTGCTCTATGTTGCCACAGACTAGGTGGAAAAGGAAGGGGTAGGGAAAGCCAGGGTGGTGATCCTGAGAAAGAAGTTGGATGAGAAGACTCTGCGCCTTCTAGCCATGCTCAAATGCTAGTGATAAACACACACAGACAACATACAGTGAAGTACACACACACAGAGTCTCACACACCTTGCACGGTGTGTGAGCACCTTGCATGCTCTTGGGCATCTACAGCACTCATTTCACTGTCAGGTTTTGCCTTTTCTTTGGACGTCGCTCTTGGGCGTCTAGAGCACTCATTTCACTGTCAGGTTTTGCCTTTTCTTTGGATGTCACTCTTGGGCATCTAGAGCACTCATTTTACTGTCAGGTTTTGCCTTTTCTTTGGACGTCATTTTTCCTTGTGTGCATGTTGCCCATTCCCCTAAGAAGTACAGGAGAGGTGGGCACGGTTGCTCACACCTGTAATCCCAGCACTTTGGGAAGCCGAGGCAGGAGGATCACTTGAGGCCAGGAGTTGGAGAACAGGCTGGGCAACATGACGAGACCCTGTCTCTGCAAAAAAAATCTTTAAAAAATTATCCAGGTGTGGTGGCATGTGCCTGTGGTCCCAGCTACTAAGGAGGCTGAGGCGGGAGGATCACTTGAGCCTGGGAAGTTGAAGATGCAGTCAGCTGTGATTGCATCACTGTACTCTTGCCTGGGCAATGGAGTGAAGCCCTGTCTCCAAAAACAACAAACAAACAAAAAAACCAAAAAACAAAATAACAAAAGAGAAGTACAGCAGATATGGAGCAGAAGTGCGAATGGTCTTCTAAATAGTCAATCTTTGGGGGCATCCTCCCCTCCCTTCTCCCCTCCCCCCCTTTTTTTCTTATACTTCTTCTTGCAGTCCAACATCCTTAGCAGTGCAAAATGAGTCAGAGTTTCCTCAGACCTTTGAGTGCTCAGCATTATATAATCATCACTTCCAAGTAGCATTCGGAGATGTCTTTAAGCTGCAGCAGCTATTGTTAGTTGTTTAAGACACTCCATCACTGCCTTTGATCGGAAACTTTCTCATCACCATTATGTGCATCGGTGCAGGCACCTTAAATTTCACTGGGTCTTGGGATTAGTCATATTATAGAGAGACACAGAGATGTGAGAAATAAATTGAAAAAAGGTCTGTAGCAACAGATTTTACACCATAAAAGAGTAAATTATTAGGTGTTAGGAAAAATATAAATGTTGCAAACGGTGTGTTTTATATACTGTTGCCAAGAATAAAAATATGCCAAATATGGGGGAAAAAGGTGTTGGTTAATCTGACTTCTGGCTGGCCCCCACCCTGCAGCTCTTAGCACTGCTGGGCTGTTTTATAGGGCAGTAACCCAGTCACCAAAGCAAAGAGAATTCGAATAAGGGACTTGGAAGATATGCCAACTTGGGGACTAATTATTGCCTTGTTAAACAGTGAGATGGGGTTATTGTACATTTTTGTGTATGGTAGTTAAAATGTATTTTAAAAAAGAAGTTTTTAGAAACCAAGAATTCCCCAAATTCAAGAAGTAACTGATAAAGTAGTTTATGGAAATGTAATCTCCCCATAGAACCAGATTGTGCAACAAAAAAGGAGAAGGAACGATGTTAAATGGGAAACAGAATGGGGGTGACCCTTCCAGATGGCTTTCTGGAAACTCCTTTCAAGCCAGCCACCCACCAGACGATGCTACCAAATGGCCCCTGTATTCGTTTTTTAGGGCTGCCATAACAAAGTGTCACAAGCTGGGTGGCTTACAACAATAAAAATCTACCATTTTACAGTTCTGGAGGCCACAAGTGTGAAATCAAGATGTCAGCAGTGCCATACTCTCTCTGAAGTCTGTTGGAGAGAACTCTTCTTTGTCTCTCCCAGTTTCTGGTGGTTTCCAGCAATCCGTGGCTTCCTTGGCTTGTCGTCGCATCATTCCAGTCTCAGTCATCATGCGGCCTCCTCACTATGTGTCTGTCTGTGTTTACATTTTCCTCTTCTCATAAGGGCAGCAGTAAATGGATTAGGCATGCTAGTATATCTTCTTCGCTTGATGGCATCTGCAGACTCTGTTTCCAAATAAGGCCTTGTTCATGGGTACTGGGGTTAGGACTTCAACACCTCATTTCTAGTCTCCTATATCACCATGAAGAAAGCTATGCTAGAAAGCTATGTCTTTGTTACTTATACAAAGTGGTATTGATAATAGCTACTTACTCAAAACTACTCAGAATAAGATCAGTTTCTAGCATGACAGTATGAGGAGCCGCCTGACCCACTCCTCCAGGTAAACTGGTAAAAACAGCCATTTAAGGCTTCTGGAAATAGTCCCAAGGAAAAACAGCAAAGGAAGGAACCTGTATTCAAGAAAATGTACTAATTTGGTAGAAGAGGTGAATCTGTGGGATTTGAAACAAGACCACTTCTTTCCTCCCCACTCCCAGCTCAGCACGGTGGCAATTTCCCTCCAGACAGCTACTGCTGAAACACAGGTCTCCTCTCCTCCCAGCACAGAGGGCCTCCTTCCAGGGAGGAGTAGGATGGCAGTGTCCTTCATCCTGCCCCCAGCTCCCTGTTGCTGAGGCTGTCTCAGATGAATGCAGTTGAGAGGTGGGGGCTGCCACCCCTACCTGCTACTCATGGAAGGAGACTCTACCTTGGGTGTGACATGCTGAGAAGACTGTGGCCCTGGTCACTTTTGCCCTGGCTCTTGAGGTGGTGTTTCCATGCCAGAAGGCTCAAGTTAAGAAGACCACTGGCTATCCCCAACTCCTCCACCAAGCACCCAGCCCCTAGGCAGGGGGTGTCACTCAGAGAAAAGCTTACCATTGTTTCTACCCCCAGCTCCAGAGCTCTGGTTCAGATATTTTGTTGCAAGGTAGGGGAGAAGAAGCAGTTCAGAGAAAAAAAGGTAATTCTTAATCTCTTCCCAAGGGAACTGACTTCATTTTCAACAGAGCTTGGAGAAAATTAAGCCTAAGTATGCTCTGAAAACACAGTGGAGGTTGTGGTGAAGGGCAATTGGGAGAGGCTAGTTTGCAGGAGAGAACCCAGAATAAACCACTGGGAAGGAACCCTTCTGGGGGTCAGAACAAATATCAAACACTGACCTCAGAAACTATTCTTTCAAAGGAGCCACAGTTTAATGGGGTTAGTTTGTGGAACACTTTATGCCCCAGGATATTGTTGAAAACAATAGGGCAATTGGCCACCAATTAATGGAGCTTAACAGCTGGATGTGGTTAGGGAAGTGCCAGAGAGCCCTAGCAAAACCACTGTCATCCCAGCACGACTGTGGGCATATGCAAAGCTGAACCTCTTTAGGGAGCAATATGAGAGGCTTAACGCTTTGGGAGGGAAAATATACAGTTGACCTTTGGACAACACAGGTTTGAACTGCGTGAATCCACCTATACATGAATTTTTTTCCACCACTGCCAACCTTGAGACAAGACTGACCCCTATTCTTCTCCCTCCTCTGCAGCATACTCTACATGCAGATGTTGTGGATAAAGATCTTTATGATGATCTACTTCCACCTAATGAATAGTAAATGTATTTTCTCTTCCTTAGGATTTTCTTAATAATATGCTCTTTTCTGTAACTTATTTTACTGAAAGAGTACAGTATATAATACATATAACACACAAAATATATGTTAATTGACTAGCTGTGTTATCAGTGAGGCTCCTTCTGGTCAACAGTAGGCTATTAGTAAAGTTCTGGGGCATCAAAAGTTATACACAATTATTTTACTGCATAGGCAGTCAATGCCCATAACCCCTACTTTGTTCAAGTGTCAACTTTACTTCATGAAAATAAACCAGGCAGTCACTAAAAACAATCAATAAGCAAATAACAATAACAAGTCCTGAAGGAGGGAAAGACCAATATCCAGAGTCAGTAGAATATATTATCTAAAATGTCCAGTTTCTCACAAAAAATTACAAGGCATGCAAACAAACAAGAAAGTATAATATGATCCATACACCTGAAAAAAAGCAGAGAAAGAAACTAACTTTAAGAATGATAAGACATAGGCTGAGTGTGCCTGTAATCTCAGCACTTTGAGGGGTTGAGGTGGGAGGATTGCTTGAGCCCAGGAGAGTGAGGCTAGGCATCTATCACACCACTGTGCTCTAGCCTGGGTGACAAAGTGAGACCCTGTCAAAAAAAAGAAAAAAAAAAAACCCTCAAAAAACCTGTTATAAGCATGTTCACAGAGCTAAAAGAAGGGATGATGACCATGTTCCATCAAATAGAGAATGCCAACAGAGAGACAGAATAATCAAATGGAAATTCTGGATTTGAAAAGTACAATAATTGAAATGAAATATTCACTAAAGGGGCTCAAAAGTAGATTTGAACTGGCAGAAGAAAGAATATGTGAAATTGAAGATAGATCAATAGAGACTATGCAAGCTGAAGAACAGAAGAAGGAATAATGAAAAGTGAAGAGCACTTCAGAAAATGTGAGACACCATTAAGTGCACCAACATACATGTAATGGAAGTATCAGAAGGAAAGGAGAGAAAGGAGCAGAAAAATCTTGAAGATTAAGTGGGAAGATCACTTGAGCTCAGGAGTTTGAGACCAGCCTGGGCAACCTAGTGAGACTTCACCTCTGTTAAAAAAAATAGCTGGGTGTGGTGATGTGCACCTGTAGTCCCAGCTATTCAGAAGGCTGAGGTGGAAGATTTTTTTAAGCTCGGGATTTCTGCACTACAGTAAGCTATGATCGTGCCACTGCACTCCAGCCTGGGTGAAAGAGCGAGACCCTGTCTCAATTTTTTTTTTTTCTGAAGAACTAGTGTCTGGAAGCTCCCCAAATTTACTGATAGATATTTGTCTGTAGTTTTCTTTTCTTGTAATGTCTTTTTCTGCTTTTGGTACTAGGATAATGCTAGCGTCATCGAATGAGTTAGAAAGTATTCCCTTTTCATCTATCTTCTGAAAGAGCTTATAAGGGAATTGGTATAGTTTCTTCCTGAAGTGTTGGTGGAATTCACCAATGAACTCATCTGGGCCTGGTACTTTCTGTTTTAGAAGGTTATTAATTATTGATTCAATTTCTTTAATAAATATAAGCCTATTCAGATTGTCTATTTCTTCTTGTGTGAGTTTTTCTAGATTGCATCCTTCAAAATATTGGTCTATTTCATCTAAGTTATCAGATTTTTGGGCATAGAACTGTTCATAGTATTCCCAAGTTTATTGAAAAGCAATAACCTACACATCCAGAAAGCTCAACAAACTTCAAGTAAGATAAATAAAAGCAAAGAGATACTAAACAGCCACATCATAGTACAAATGCTGAATTAAAGATACAGAGAAAATCTTGAAAGGAGCAAGAGAAAAATTACTCTAAAAAAAAAAAAAAAAAAAAAAAAACTATAAACCAAGAATTCTATATCCAGCAAAGCTTTCTTTTAAAAATGAAGGCAAAATACAGACTTTCCCAGATAAACAAAATGTGAGAGAATTTGCTGCTAGCAGACCTGCCTTACAGAAAATAGTAAAAGAAGTTTTTCAGGCTGAGAAAAAATGACCCCAAAATGTAATCTGAATTCACATGCAACAAACAAACACCACAGGTAACTCTGTAATTATAAAAGATAGTTTAAACACAAATTTTTTTCCCTTCTCTTAACTGATTTTAAAAGTTAGTATAAAATAATATGTATATAATATATTTTGGGGTCTATAATGTATAAATATGTAGGATATACATATTTACCAGTAATGCACAAAGGAGGTGGGAGAAAGCAAAGCTCTATTGAACTAAGAAAGTGAAGATAGATGGTAAAATAATAATTATAAAAATGTATTGTTGGGTTTGTAACATTAATAGATCTAATATGTACAATAATGATTCTGCAACAAAGATGGGAGAAAAGGGAATATAGCTATATAAGCATAATGTTTCTACATATCATTGGAATAAAGCTACTAATAGTATAAATCAGAAGTTGATTCTGATAAGATGTATAGGGTAAACTCAGAGCAACCATTAAAAAAACTAAAATAATATAGTGAAACAAATCAGTAAAGAAGATAAAATGCTACATTCAAAGATATTCACTTAATACAAAAGAAGAGTAAAGGGAGAATAGAGGAACAAAAAAGATATGAGACATATAGAACATAAAAAGCAAAATGTCAGACATAAATTTAATTATATCAATAATAACATTAAAATGTGAATGAACAATCCAATCAAAATAAAGAAATTGTCACACTAGAATAAAAAAGACGTGATCCAACTATATGCTGTCTACAGGAGACACACATTAGATTCAAAGATACAAACAGACTGAACATAAAAGCAAGGAAAAAAGATGTATTATGCAAACAACCACCACATAAAAGCTAGAGTGGCTATACTGATATCAGACAAAATAGACTCTAAAGCAAAAACTGTTATTAGAGATAAAGAAGGATATTTTATAATGATAAAAGATCAACTCATCAGGAAGATATAACAATTATGAACATAAATCCACTTAATAATGTACTAAAATTCATGAAGGAAAAACAGAAAGAAATGAAGGGAGAAATAGCCAATTCAACAATAATAATTGTAGACTTTAATACCCCAATTTCAATAAGGGATAGAACAACTAGACAAATGATCAACAAAGAAATAAAGGACCTAAACAACACTATAAACAAATGATACCTAACAGATATCTATAGAACGCTCCACCAAACAACAACAGAATCTGCATTCTTCTCAAATGCACATGGCATGGTTTCCATGATAGGCCATGTGCTAGGCCATAAAACAAACAAGTAAATTTAGAAGACCGAAATAATACAAAAGTATGTCCTGTGACTGCAGTGAAATGAAAGTAGAAATCAAAGTAGAGAGTAGAAAGAATTTGGGAAACTCGTAGATAAGTGGAAATAAAACAACACGCTCCCAAATAACCAGCAGGTCAAAGAAGTCAAAAGGGAAATCTGAAAAGAGTCTGAGATGAATGAAAATCAAGACACAATATACCATAACTTTTGGTATTCAGTGAAAGCAGTGCTTAGAGGGAACTTTATAGCTGTAATGCCTATATTAAGAAAGAAGGCCGAGCACAGTGGCTCACACCTGTAATCTCAGCACTTTGGGAGGCTGAGGTGGGAGGATTGCTTGAAGCAAGGAGTTTGAGGCCATACTGGGCGACACAATGAGACCCTGTCTTTACAACAAAATAAAAATAAAAATTAGCTGGGCCTTGTGGTGCATGCTAGTAGTCCTAGCTACTTGGGAGGCTGAGGTGGGAGGATTGCTTGAGCCAAGGTTGAGGCTACAGTGAGCTATGATTGTGCCACTGCACTCCAGTGTGGGTGACAGAGCAAGACCCTGTACCCAAAAAAGAAAAGAAAAGGAAAGAAAAAGGAAGGCCGGGTGCAGTGGCTTATGCTTCATGCCTATAATTTCATCACTTTGGGAAGCCAAGGTAGGAGGATCACCTGACACTGGGATTTCAAGATCCGCCTGGGCAACATAGTGAGACCTTGTTTTTACTAAATAAATAAATAATTTAATGTAAAGAAAAAAGAAGAAAGATTTGAAACCAATAACCTAAACTTCCACCTTCCAACATTAGAGAAAGAAGAGCTAAACCTACAAGAAGCAGAAAAAGAAAATAATAAAGATTAGAGGCTGGTCCGATGGTAGTAGGTTATCAGAACTTATTAACATTAGTGCCACTGAAGCTGGTCTACTATCCCCTGCTCTTAAATCTGACTGGCTTTACAATTTTGTAGATTAATGGCTGCCTAGAATTGGGGACTGGGAGTGCTGGAGGTCATGGTTAAAGAGTTTCGAGTTCTTTTTGAGGTGATTAAAATGTTCTGAAATTGACTGTGATGATACATGCTTCTGTTCACAGATACACATATCTGTGAATATACTTAAGCCCCCTGAATTGTACACTTGAAATGAGTGAATTGTACCATATGTGGGCATTGGAGGGCATCCATAGTTTGGATGTCCCCTCCAAATCTCATGTTGAAATGTGATCTCCAGCGTTGGAGGTGGGGCCTGGTGGGAGGTGACTGGATCAAGGGGTGGACCCCTTACAAATGGCTTAGTGGCATCCCCTTGTTGGTGAGTGAGTTCTCACTTAGTTCACATGAGATCTGGTTGGTTGAATGAGTCTGGGTCCCCTCCTTCTCTCCCTCTCTCTCTCTTTTTTTTTTTTTTTTGAGACAAAGTCTCACTCTGCTGTAGCCCAGGCTGGAGTGCAGTGGCGTGATCTCAGCTCACCACAACCTCCGCCTCCTGGGTTTAAGCGATTTTCCTGCCTCAACCTCCAGAGTAGCTGGGTTTACAGGTGTGCACCACTGCACCCGGCTAATTTTTTGTATTTTTATTAGAGACGGGGTTTCACCATGTTGGCCAGGCTGGTCTTGAACTCCCGACCTCAGGTAATCTGCCCGCCTCGGCCTCCCAAAGTGCTAGGATTACAGGCATGAGTCACCATGCCCGGCCTCCTTCTTCTCCTTCTGTCTTGCTAACACTTCTGCCTGCTTCCCCCTGGCCTTCTGTCATGATTGGAAGCTTCCTGAGGCCTCACCAGAAGCAGATGCTGGTGCCATGCTTCTGGTACAGCCTGCAGAACCATGAGCCAAACAATCCTCTTTTCTTGTAAGTTTCCCAGCCTCAGGTATTCCTTTACAGCAACACCAGAACGGAACTGTATCTTAACTAGTGAACTATATCTTACCTATATCTCAATTAAGCTGTTAAAAAAGCTAACAACAAACTACCCAGAGTGAAAACACAGCTCAGCACCAGAACTCCAGCCATTTAAGGCATCTTCTCACAATAGGGGTGTTACTGGAAAGGGGTCCTGATCCACACCCCAATAGAGGGTTCTTGGATCTCTCACAAGAAAGAATTCGGGGCGAGTCCATAGAATAAAGTGAAAGCAAGTTTATTGAGAAAGTAAAGGAATAAAAGAATGGCCACTCCATAGGCAGAGGAGCCCCAAGGGCTCCTGGTTGCCCATTTTTATGGTTATTTCTTGATGATATGCTAAACAAGGGGTGGATTATTCATGCCTCCCCTTTATAGACCGTACAGGTAACTTCCAGACGTTGCTATGGCATCTGTAAACTGTCATGGCGCTGATGGGAGTGTAGCAGTGAGGACGACCAGAGTCACTCTCGTCACCATCTTGGTTTTGGTGGGTTTTGGCCGGCTTCTTTACTGCAACCTGTTTTATCAGCAAGGTCTTTGTGATCTGTATCTTGTGCCGACCTCCTATCTCATCCTGTGACTTAGAATGCCTAATCTCCTGAGAATGCAGCCCAGTAGGTCTCAGCCTCATTTTACCCAGCCCCTATACAAGAGAGAGTCAATCTGGTTTAAACACCTCTGACAGAGGCAGGCCAACCTGCAGCAACTATGTGCAAAGTCCCTATAAGTTGAAGGATGGCTTGAGATAGGAGAGGGGGCTGCTTTAATGCCTCTTTCTTTTATGGAGTGCACTCAAGATGATTTGGGGCGTCCCACCTACCTTCTTCCCCTTGTTTTCCTCCTATTCTGTTATTCTTTTTCAACTCAGCTGCATAAAACCTGAAGCAGGGTATCCACTGGGACTAGAATAGTCATGGTGCTGAGGCCTGGGGAAGTAGAAACATATCTTCTATTTGTCTGCCTGAAGAGAGTTCTGAGCAGGAGCTGGTTGTATTGATGGGGGCTCCCGTCAGGCCTGGCAGAGAACAGAAGAGCATGTTGGACCCTTTCCCGTTACCCTCAGACTCTCCCATAATCTATAAGCTCTGTGGTTTATTTGTTCTTTAAAACCCTTTCTTTTTTTCCCCTTTTCGTTTTGCTTTATATAATGCACATTTATGTCATAATAGAGCCTGATTTTCTACAATGGGCTTTTTTGTGTGCTTTCGATTCAAACATAAAAAGCTCTACTTAAATGTAACAAACAAATTCCCAGCCATCATTGTGCCAAATAATGCACAAACCTCAAACACACTTGGACTGGAAGGCACTTCCTGTTCCCCCTGCTGAAGCCACGCACCCCTCCCCCAGCCTCACTGAGGAGCCTTGCAGACAGGAGCCTGTTTGTCACTATTTTGAGTATGAATCAGGTTGCTGTTGGGTGTTAGCCTGTCTCGGGACCCCCAGCCCTGCATCTGGACATGTCACTGATTTGCTTGCAAGCTGATTCTGTTTAGAGCATTTTCTGTGCTGTGGGCAGGATTCCCCACCTCACTGCCCACGTGCTGGGGGTGGGGGCCTGGGGAGGATACAGCAAAGTGGAGAGCCCGCCTCACCCGCACACTGTTCCTTTCTGGGCACCGCGGCTGGTTCTCATCTGCAGGCATTCACCCTCTGCCACAGAACCTGCCTTGGCCACCTCAGTTCACAGGTGACTCCTGGCCTGGGGCAGCCTCTAGGGGGTCTCCCTGTGTGCCCTCGCATTGCTGGTTAGCTTCATTAGGAGACGAGTTTGTGGGTCCACCTTCCCAGGCCTTCGCTGGCCCTCTCCCGCCCTTCTCTGCTCTGCCTCCACCAGCCTGCTGCAAATCCATTGTGGATTCCTGGAAGGTAGAGTCCAAATATTAAAAGTCTTTATAGTCACATGGTAGCCCCTCTTCTAGCCCCCAAGACCATATCTTTCAACCTATTTACATAAGAAACCCTTCTCTTTGCAAAGTCCATCCCCACCCGTTTCTGGGAATGCCATGGGGATGGCTCATCGGTGCCCATGGAAAGCCTCCATCCAATCCCCATCCACCAAGCACTCCTCTCTCATTACCTCTGCTGTGTCCACAGGGCCTCACTCCCTCTTCCTCTCCACTGTTCGGGATGCTCTTTTCCAGGCTGTGAGAGAATTTTACCAAATTGGGCTGTATTTCCTTTTGTTCTTACTGCACGCGAGTCAGAATGTTATGCGCCAGTACATGGAATGTCTGGTCCATCAGCTGAGCCCACACGCTATTCACATATAGGCACACCCGACGGGGTACAGCTTAGGCTGAGAAACAAATGGGCCCCCAAATATGACAGCTTAAACCAGGGAAGAGTTTCTCTCTTCTCTAAAGGTAGGAGGATTCGTGGTGGGGCTGTTCGGCTGGTTCCATGGTACCCAGGCCCTGCCTCCTTTTCTCCGTGACTCTGCCGTCCCTTACAGATGTGTTTCTCACACAATCTGGAGTACGACTGTCATTATTTCTAGTATCATTTAAATTTCCAATCGATCTCAGACCCCTATGTAGCTTTATTGGGCTTAAAAAGTGCCTGACTCATGCCCAGGCCTGGTCAATATATTGAGGTGGGTCCACAGATCATGTGCTTGAAGGTCAAGGCAATATCAAGGTACTATGAAAGTTTATCAAAGCTGACCCAATTTCTGTCCTTCTCTCCTCACACACTGGGAGCGAGGTTCATACAGTAGCTCCTGTGTGCAGGGCAGATTGTGTGCAGAACCGCCCTGAAATGACACCTCTTCCATGCAGCTGAAGGTGCTCACCACCATGCCCGTGGCGTCCACAGAACCTATAGTGCCACAGTGTCCACTGCAGCAATTTTCTGGCAAGTGGGATGGAGAGGAGCGCAAGACCTGCTCCTTCCCTGCGTGGGCCATCTTCCTGAGCACACGTCTCTTCTACCCACATCCCATCAGCCAGGATTTGCCCACACACCACATGGAGCTGCAGGGGTGGTGGGAAAGGAAAGTCTTTATTTTGGGCAGCTACACAGCCAGGTAAATTTCAGGGGTTCTGTTGCTAAAGAAAGAAGGGAAGAATGAATGTTAGGAGATGTGATACTAAATGTAAAACTACCCCAAGTCCCGTTGGTCAAATTCATAGGCAGTGCAGAGGCTCCTGCCGGCTTCCTTGCTTGGTCCAGATGCTCTAGGGCTTCCGCGTTAGCTTGGCTGAAGGAGCAGGAACTAAGCTGCATGCACACAGAGATGAAGAACTTCCTGGGCAGGGCAGAGTACAGGTCTCCTTAGCAATGGGTGCCTGTGCACTGCTGCTGCTGGTGGCCCTTGAAACACTGACCAGTGGGCATCACTATCCCCAGCAACGGCATGTTCCCAGTGAGGCACTTTGCTCTCCTCTGTGTCACTGACCAGCCCCTTTGTCAATTCTCTATCATAGCAGACACCAGACTGTACCCTTTGTTTCATTTGTTTTTGAGGCAGAATCTTGCTATCACCTATGCTGGAGTGCAGTGGCGTGACCCTGCTCACTGCAGCCTTGGCCTCCTGGGCTCAAGTGATTCTCCCACCTCAGCCTCTGAAGTATCAGGGACCACAGGCGTGCACCACAATGTCTGGCTAATTTGCTTATTTATTTATTTTTTTAGAGATGGGGTCTTCCTATGTCAGCCAGGCTAGTATTGAACTCCTAGCCTCAAGCGGTCCTCCTGCCTTGGCCTCCCAAAGTGCTGGAATTACAGGTGTGAGCCACCGTGCCCCACCTCGGACTGTATCTTTTTATAAGAATAGGCTGAAGTTTGGCCAGGCGCGGTGGCTCACGCCTGTAATCCCAGCACTTTTGGAGGCCGAGGCGGGCGGATCACAAGGTCAGGAGATTGAGACCATCCTGGCTGACACTGTGAAACCCCGTCTCTACTAAAAATACAAAAAATTAGCCGGGCGTGGTGGCGGGCACCTTTAGTCCCAGCTACTCGGGAGGCTGAGGCAGGAGAATGGTGTGAACCCAGGAGGCGGAGCTTGCAGTGAGCCTCTGAGATAGCGCCACTGCACTCCAGCCCGGGCAACAGAGCGACACTCCGCCTCAAAAAAAAAAAAAAAAGAATAGGCTGAAGTTTGAGAAGCGCAGGATGGAAATACGGCACAGAGGAGAATTCACAGGAAATGCATAGTCCAGCCCCTTCTAGGAGTCCTCACCAGGAGCGCTCTCTTCCTGCTGTGGGAAGTGCTCTGAGCATTGCTGCACTGCAAACTCTGGGCAGAAATGACCCTGAGGCTCCGGGGAGGAGGAAGCACATAATCCCATCTCTAAGCTCCACTTCCAGACCCCCCGTTTCTCATACTAGAACCTCCCGCTTCCCAGGGCAGTGACCATATCTATTCCTTATGGAACCATCCACAGGGTGTGGTATTAGCCCACAGTCCCAATAGTAATTACATAATTGTCAGACAGAACATTCCCCAGGTCTGGGCTATTAAGTTGTAAGCACCATCGCATGAAAGACAGATCAGCCCAGCCCAGGTAGGGCTAAAACGATTGCAGTCCAGCTTTTATATAGCATCAATTATTCAATCCAGTTATTCACTCACCACCTTAGCCATATTAGAAATAAAAGGAATGCCTTCCTTTCTTTCCAAAGGACTCAGATTTAAGCCACAGCTGTTGGCTGGCAAACCAGACCCCCGCGTCGTTTCTTCCATTTCTCTAACTCGATACAGGATCTTCATCAATTAGGACGGGTTTCACTGCAAGTCAAGCCTCTAGTAGTCAGAGATTCTAAGGTTGGCCTGATCCTGAAGACAGAGGGAGGCTCCGTGTAAGAGGTCACAGGAAGCTATACAATAGCCCTGGGTTATAAATTCATGTTCTGGATTGGCTTCTGGCAGTCCTGTCTGCCTAATTTATGATGACAATTTCTCAGACTCAGGACTAGTGAGCAGAGATGGAATTACCTAGGAAGGGGCTGATATCCTTCTGCACCCATGACTTTTATACCCAGAGCACACTCTTGAAACTGCTTCTGCCTTCTAAAGCAGTAGCTTCCCAACCCAATTCATTAGAAACTTGTGAGACCACCTTGGAGAATCCTATAACTAAAAAGCCATGTTCTGCAAAAGGGCAGTCCTGAGTTGTGCCTAACTTCATGTGGGATTTTGTTGTTTTCATGACACCAGTGCAATAAAAGGGCCCATCTCTTAATAACGTAAAAATCAGTGATGGTAATGTTCATAGCGGGGTTTTACACTAGATGGCAATGAAATCCTCAGCGCATCTGCAGCTCCCTGCTCTTCTGTCCCTGGAATCTCCAGTGTTTATTTTATGTGAAGGAGGAACCAACACAGAACTTCTTGAACCCTTTATGTGGTTGAAATTGGGCCTTCTCTTCTATTAGGTAGTGTGTGTCTATATCACGTTCTTGTTCCTATGCCAGAAAAGCTTGACACGTTTTATTATTCATGGCATTACCTTGCTGTTTGAACTCGGAATTTCTTTGCCTGGAATCTCAAGTGTAATGAAATAGCAGGAAAATGTTCCAACCTTTGGTGGTGAAGCCTTCAGGTGAAAGAAATGGAGAAAAGAAAGGTGGAAGAGTAGAGACGGTAGGTCCTAGGAAGGAAGCCTTTTCTGTTTTCAGCAGAAATGTCACTGTGCCATGTGATGAAAGAGGAGGCCTCCGTGAGGCCCAGGGTGCGACACCTGGCAGGGAGCCCTGGTTCTTTTCTTCTCTGAAAACCCTCAACTTTTACAAATTAGAGTCTGGGCTTACAAGGCCATGGCCTTTGAGTTTCAAGTGTCTATTCAGAACTGAAAATCCAAGAATTTGATTTTTTGGTCTCTGTCTTTGGGTCCGTTCACCCAACCATGAGTGACCAAGGGTAAGGAGGGCCACACAGCAGCTTCTATGTGAGGATATAATTCTCTATCTCAGAAAGTTGTACCAGCATCCTGAGCTATAAATACCGGACAGTTCTAGATATGAGAAAATTCTATGGTGGTCACATTTTCTGACCCAGAAATGACACTGTTCTCTTCCTTATGGTGTGAGCACACTGAAAATTCCAATTTATATTTTATCACTGTATTAGTCCATTCTCAAGCTGCTACAAAGAACTGCCCAAGACTGAGCAATTTATAAAGGAAAGAGGTTCAATTGACTCACAGGTCTACAGGGCTGGGGAGGCCTCAGGAAACTTACAATCATGATGGAAGGGGAAGCAAACATGTCCTTCTTCACATGGTGGCAGGAAGGAGAAGTGCTGAGCAAAGGGGGAAATGTCGCTTATAAAATCATCAGATCTCATGAGAACTCACTCATTATCACGAGAACAGCAGCATGGGGGTAATTGCCCCCCATGATTCAGTTGCCTTCACCTGGTACCACCCTTGATACATGGGGATTATTATAATTCAAGGTAAGATTTGGGTGGGGATACAGCCAAACCATTTCAGGGAGAGCCAAACCGTGTCAATCACGTATCAACCTCTGAGGAAGACAGGGAGGAGAAGGAGGCACATGATAATGATGAGACTATTTTTGTCCCATTGGGAGATATAACAAGTGTATCTAGTGAAGAAGAAGAGGAGGAGGAGGAGGAGGGGAAGGAAGGAGGGGAAAGAAGGAGGAGGAGGAGAGAGATGATGGTCACTGGTGTTGGGGGAGGTGCCATATCCTGTAAGTAATGGCGCCAGGGCCTTGCTGATGGCAGGGAACATGGGACTCTGGCCATGAACACTTCCCTGGAGGAGCTGGGCATTTGCGCTACACGGAGGGTGAGGTTGGGTGAATTCAATCCCAGGGAGACACGACCTCAGCCTGCATTTATACACTCACACTTCTCAGGCTTCTCAGAGGAGCCACCTCTATTCTCCCAACATCCTCATGCCCTAAAAGGCTCAGCTAGACCTTTCCAGGGTCCCAGTGAGCACCCAGCAGTGAGGGCAGGACTGGCAGCGTGGGTCAGGGGGTGCAACAGTGAGCAGTGCCTCCTGCACCCCCCGTATTTGGAAACGTGAGGGGACACGTTCAGTTGTCACACTGTGGGCTATAGTTGAGAAGCGCCTCCTGAATCAGCGCTGAGGGCAGATGGTGGCAGCGTGCACGTGCACAAGCTCCTTCCCACGCAGAGTGCCATTCGGAAAACTTCCTCTGTGGAAAGAAATGGGGAGAGTTTGGATGGAGCCCATGGCGCATGGACGTCATGCACGTTGGCTTCCCCGTGTTCCAGGTTGTGGGATGAAACCAGCAGTGCCTGACTCACAAGCAGAAGGCAGAGGTTGGAAGGGGCAGAAAATGGTCTCACTTTCTGCCCTTTCAAAGCTTGTGAGCTCTCATTTTGAATCCTGAGTTAAATGGATGTTCTGCAATTCGGTAAAACAATCAAGTGACTTCTGCAGGGGGTACATGAGAGGGGTGATGAGTGTGCTCCCCCCGCCTCCAGACCTGGGCTGCAGAGCCAAGCAACACTGCCTCTCCATCTCATGAGTGTGACTGAGGTGAGTGACTTTTAATTCCTCTGTGCCTCAGTTTCCTCTCCTGTGTGTTATGAAAGTATTTCCTCCTACAAGGTGAGACTCCCTGGGAAGTCTCACCCAGAAATGGAACTCACTACTTTATCACCACCCCAGGGAGCCGGTACAGCCTAGAGATAAGAGTGGGGGAGGAGCGGGGCCTTTGCTTTCTCGTCTGTGAAAGCGGGTGGCTAATAGCCCTCTCAAAGGTGAGGTGGGAACCAGTGAGCTGAAACATGAAAAGTGGGGCTCCAAGATATTACCTGACGCTCTGGGGCCTCGAGAAAATCCAAAGCCACAGGTTGTAGCAGGCAGCACAGATTTCATTCTAGGTTTCTTGGAGACAAGAGAATGTGGTTAAGTGATATGCCACAAGGCAGTCTCCTCATTAGCCATGTCTGTCCTCGCCTTGACATTTCCCTTAGGCTGCCATCCGTGGGAACCTCCCCTCCACCATGTTTGCCTATCTTGAATATTACTGTTACTATTATGGAAGTTTTATTTGGGATAATAGTGAACAGTCTTAGCAACACTATTTTAACAGGAGGCAGGGCTTGTTTAAAAGCAATCTGGCAGCACTTTTATTATTATTATTATTATTATTTTCACTCTGCAACCTCCACCTCCTGGGTTCAAGTGATCTTCCTGCCTCAACCTCCCAAGTAGCTGGGATTACAGACACATGCCACCATTTTTGTATTTTTAGTAGAGACGTGGTGTCACTATGTTGGCCAGGCTGGCCTCAAACTCCTGAGCTCAAGTGATCTGCCCGCCCAAAGTGTTGGGATTACAGGCATGAGCACCATGCCCGGCTAGGCAGCACTTACGAACACACGAAGCCCGCATGCAGCAATTCTGCTTCTACCTGCTCACGGGTCATGGGGGTCATGTCCCCCTCAACTGTGTGCTTCATTGCAGCACACTCTAGAGGAGAGGGGGACTGCATGTGAGAGGTGCCTGAAGCAGAGCGGTTTACGGCACTTAAAGGCAACAGACGAGGTGTACTGCCAGCAAGGAAGGTGATCTTGTAGCAGTTCAGAGTGAAAAGGCAGAAGCCAAACGCAGTCTAGAGCCTGTCACTGTAAGTGAGGGTGGGCGCCAGTGGCACAGGCAGAAATGCAGATTCTGCCTCCACCTCCTGAATCTGAATCTGCGGACAGGATGCCCAGGTGGGCACATTGAAGATGGGGAAGTGCCGTCTGTGGCACACAAAGCAGTGGCATTCTCCCTACAGCCACACATCAATACCTTAAGTCTTTGCCTTTGTGGGAAGGGTAGTGGGAGAGAACAGGGGAAAATGTTAATGAAGTTAAAACTCAGGCAAGAACTACACGGAGGCAGCACATATGTTTTCTCATGGTGAGCAAGGTTCTTGCAGGCACCTTCTACAAGAAAGATTGCTGAAGATATGGACAAGTTTACCAACAGCCCGTGTCTCATCCTCCCTCCCAGGCCTCAAGCCCCAAAGGTAACCTGTGATCCAAGAACAAGCCTGGGTCCAGGGTCCCAGCCCTTTCAATCCACTGCTTGCTGTTCCCACCTTGGGTAAGAGTCCCTCACTGTGCATTTGCTGCAGTACTCATTAAGGCAAAGCGCTTGCACATGAAGTCCTGTGGAAAAAAAGGAGGGGCATTTAAGGCCTAACCTTTGCTAGATGCAAACATAAGAAGGGAAGACTTTTTCATCAAACATTGATTCCCAGTCAAAGCAAAATTCCAGAGATTGTGAAGGGTGAAATAGATTAGTATTAAGCTGAAAATAATTTTGGGTTCCGTATTTCAGTACTCTGCCATTTGCTTACAGTATGTCTGTTGCCTTAATATAGTTACTTCAAAGCACTGGATGGTGAGTTAAGAAGGAACAATTAGTAACAGAAGCCTGGTTTTAAAAAAATGTCTTGGGGAGTCAGGGTGGAGGTGGGGAGATGGGATAATCCCAGACCACTTCAATAGTTCCCAGAATATCTACATGAACTCCTCATTTATGGAGCTGGAAATGTCCATTGCAAGATACTGCTTTTTGGCATCCTTTTCCTTTCTCTCTCTTCTTTTCTTTCTTGTTTTTTGAACTCTTCAGCTCAGAGTCAGGAAAACGCTGGCATGATAATATGCTACCATTGGCAGTTGTCCTTCCAAGATGGTTTATGCAGGAAACATCATGGAAGCAACTTTGCAAACCCGAGGCCTACATCTGCCCGGCCACCCTTCAGCTGTGGGGCCAGTAATAAAATGCTATGGCAGCGATGGGTGAGACAGGGTCATCATAAACAGGAGAGAAGCAGCAACCTTTTAGAAAGGAAACAGAAAGTTAAGGCATTGAGTAGCACTGAGCCTGGGCAAAGGCACTCAGATCCCTGTTGGCAGCAGAGAGGAGGTGGCTGGGGGCTACTGCCCACTGATGAGGAGAAAACCTTTTACGGAAACTCATGAGGTCCTCATTGTCACTGAGTATTATTATTACTGCTCTACAGATGGGTTACAAATGAGTGACGGGAATTTATATAATCCAAGAGCACTAATTTCTCCAAACACATTGCTTGGGTATAGTAAAAAGTCTCCAAAATATCCAAATGTGTACATATATATTTGTGATTATCTTATCCTGTTCATGCTGCTATAACTAAATACCTTAGACTGGGTAATTTATAAATATTAGGAACTGATTTTTGGATTCTGGAGGCTGGGAAGTCCAAGGTCAAGGCACTAGAGATCCAGTGTCTGGTAAGGGCTGCTCTCTGCTTCCAAGATGGCACCTCTAGTGCATCCTCACACCATGGAGGGTGAAGGGGCATGAATGCTGTGTCCTCACATGGTGGGAGAGAGGGAAGGGCAAAGAGGAACTAGGGCTCACCAACTTTTTTGTAAGAGCGTTAATCCATTCCTCAGAGTGGGGCCCTCATGACTTAATCACTTTCCCAAAAGTCCCACCTCTTAATACTACCACATTGGGTATTAAGTTCCAACATGGGAATTTTTGAGACACGAACATTTAAACCATAGCAGTGATCCTTGGAATTCTGTACTTGTTACCATTAATCTGTAAAATGCACAAAGTATCTCTCCTGTTTATCTTGTGGTGGTTCTAGAAGGATCAAAAGTAAAAGTAAAAAGGGTGTGCAAATACAGTGTCTACCACAAGAAACAAGCATAAGATATTTGTGCCAATAAAAGATATATTTGATGCTGTATTGATTCCTCTCACCTGAAACCCTTAGAGGGAGGCCACCTTCCTCCTGATGGCTCCATTTCTAGGTGTTCCAATGCTCTTCCCTCTCTTTTCTGTCCAGAACCTTCAATTACTCTATACAACTACAGTGAATGCTTCTAGGAGATAGGGGTTTCCAAATGCTAGCCCCAGAGCCTCTGCTCTGGAGGTGAAGTTTTCATGGTCCTTGGCAAAACATTAAAAAGCTCAGCATCACTGATCATTAGAGAAATGCAAATCAAAACCACAATGAGATACCATCTAACACCAGTCAGAATGGCTTGATTAAAAAAAAAAAATAACAGAAGATGGCAAGGTTGTGGAGAAAGAGGAACACTTACACTCTGTTGGTGGGGTGTAAATTAGTCCAGCCATTGTGGAAGACAGTGTGGTGATTCCACAAAGGCCCAGAGACAGAAATACCATTTAACTCAGCAATCCCATTACTAAAGGAATATAAATCATTCTATTATAAAGACACATGCATGTATCATGTTCATTGCAGCACTAGTCACAATAGAAAAGACATGGAATCAACCTAATGCCCATCAATGATAGATTAGATAAAGAAAATGTTGTTCCTCTACACCCTGGAATACTATGCAGCCATAAAAAAGAATGAGATCATGTCCTTTGCAGGAACACAGATGGAGCTGGAGGTCATTATCCTTAGGAAACTAACACAGGAACTGAAAACGAAATACTGCATATCCTCACTTATAAGTGGGAGCTAAATGATGAGAACACATGGACACATAGAGGAGAACAACACACATTGGGCCTTTTCGGAGGGTGGAGGGTGAGAGGAGGGAGAGGATCAGGAAAAATAACTAATAGGTACTAGGCTTAATACCTGAGTGATGAAATAATCTGTTCAACAAACCCCCAAGACACAAGTTTACCTATGTAACAAACCTGTACCCCTGAACTTAAAATAAAAGTTAAAAATAAAATAAAATAAAAATAAAGGCAGTGATGTGCATTTTTCCCACCAAGCCAAATTTACTCAACTGAAAAAATTGTCATTGATTCTGAGACTGTCTTTCTTTTACTGGTGTTAAAATATCATTCTAACATGATTTGGTGTGAGAATGATAGGGCCCATAGATGCTAGGTTTCTTTTTTTTTTTTTTTCCTTAATGTGCTCACTTGGAAAAATTACAAGTTGGCCATCTTATATAGGTGCTCCAGTTCTTTTATTTTAAAATTTTGATTGGCCTGTGAAATTTCACAGCCTGGGAATCACTGCTGAATGTTCCATTGCTTACTTTCCCAAGGCCTGAGGTGTGCCTTCAGGAAACGATGATAAAGACACACTAGAAGCTTTATCCAAGAGCCTGATGAAGAGGAACATGGGCTGGGTGTCTCTGACTTAGGAATGTGCCTTCCCAGAACTTCGGCAAGGGCATCTGTAGCTGGCACCAGCAAGAGCGACAGAGCTCCATGGGCAGCCACCCCACCAAAGCTCAGGGGGCGCCGGCTGTGTCCTGCTGCTCTGGGGCACAGTCTTTCCCCAGAATCCTTAGTTAAAGCTAACAGAAAGTAACCTTTGAACGGCCACTAGGGGTGATTCAAGCTACACTTTGCTCAACAGGTATAGTGCCCATTAATGAGAGCTTGGTGGGAGGGCTCAGAGCACCTATGGCAATTTACAGAGTTGTTTCTGAGGAAAAATGTATTCTGAGTACCAGGTTGCTAAATTAAAATTAAAGTCTTGGAGTGTTTCAAACATTCTTGGATGGGCTGGAACCCATCCAAGAGGCTCAGCTGAATCCAGTAACAACAAGAGCACTTCCCTAGTGGGTCTTGTGCTTTACAGTCCTGGTGATCCCCATGGAAGAGGGTTGAAAGAGCTGGGTTCTAGAACTTCCAGGTCCTCTGTGTAGCCACCAGCCTCATGTGGCCATCAAGCACTTGAAATGTGGCTGGTCCAAGCAGTGATGGGCACTAAGTGTAAAATACACACTGGCTTTCAAATATGTAAAAAAAAAAAAAAAGAAAAGAAAAAAGAATGTAAAATATTGATTACATTTTGAAATATTTTGGGTATATTGTGTTTATAAATACAGTATTAATTTCACTTAATTTTACTTTTAAAATTTGGCTAGAAAATGTTAAATTATACATGTGGCTCACATTTGTGGCTTGCATTGTTTCTACTGGACAGCACTCCTTTAGACCACATATAGGAAAACTACGGCCCCCAGGCGAAATCTAGCTGATCTGGGAATATTGTAAATAAAGTTTTATCGGAACACAGCACACAAATTTGTTCACATACTGTCTCTGGCTGCTTTTGAACTACAACAGCAGAGCTGAGTAGCTGTCACAGAGACTATATGGCCCACAAAGCCTAAAATATCTACCATCTGACTTTTTATTGAAAAAGTTTGTCCACATTTGGTCTAGACTATCAAGGTTCAAATCCTGGTTTCCTACTTAAGCTGTGTGACTTGGGCAAGGGCCTTTCTCTGTAAGTGCCTCCACTCCTCATGTGTTAAATGGGGATAATGATAAAGCAGACCTCCCCCCAGGGGTTCTCGTGAGGAATGAATGAAATACTACATAGCAGCCATGGAGTAAATGTTGAACAGATGCATCATCCTCATATCATCATCATCGTCATCATCATTATCATGAAATCTCATTGTCATCATATCATCATCATCGTTATCATTGTCATCTCATCAAATCTCATTGTCATCATATATCATCATCGTCATCATTATCATTGTCATCATCTCATCATCAAATCTCATTGTCATCATCATATCATCATCATTGTCATCATCTTATCATCATCTCATCATTGTCATCATCATCACTATCATCATCAATTCAGAGCACATGACTGGGCTCCAAGAGTTATCTGTGGTCCCTGGCCACAGTCACTTAGTTGGTAGGCAAAGAAAGTGAGGTTTCAAATTCTTGTGTTCTATCTCATATTTTATTATTTCATCCTAAGGCCCTTAGGAATTTGCAGCCGTTTTCAATGCACAACATATGGATAAAGAGCAATATGTCTCTGGTATAAGAAAACAACAGAGCAAATACAATCATAAACAGCAACTGATACTCAGCCTTTGGTATCAGAGAGCCAGAGGAAAGGGAGGGCCTGCCCAGGCATTTGTTGCCAGGAGGGAATGGAAGCCTACCATCTCCAGACGACCTTCCAGTTTCCAAAAGAAGGCTGAAGTATAAATTTCCATGTGAAATCTGCTTTTCCCAATGTAAGCCCAACCTTTAAAATCATTTTGCATGGGACAAATTGACCCGTGAGCTTCTAGTTTTCAACACCTGCTTCACACTATTCCTGGGATGGCTCATCTTTTATGTGAAACACCTGTTGGCAAGATAGTCATGGGCAACTCATTCATCAGAGAACGGCACTGCTTCATGGTTGGTAAGAGAGGGAGGAAAGAAGAACAAGTTAATTATCGGGGGCTGGGGAGTCACCAGGGGAAAAGGCATTTCTGTCATTTATTTACTAGTATTTACTCACAGAGCAATAAATCAAAGTCACTGGCCCGCCAGGAGCAGCGGGAGTGTCGGCAGCCCAGCCGTGCCAGTCAGAATGCTCTTTCTTATGTGATGCGCATCTGGGGAGGGCTGGCTTCCAATTATCTCATGCAGCTCTTATCAGATTCCAGAGAAGAGAAGACAAAAGGAGGGGAGGACAGCCACAGTCACTTGAGAGATGCGCTGCTATCTGGAACAGGATGGAAGGAACAGGGCAGGCAAGGGAAGCCCCTGCTGGAGGAGCCCCCAGAATCAGCCCACCTGAGGGCTGATCCATCCACTTGGGCAGGAGGCTGTTCCACCCCTGCCCAGCCCAACTCCCGAGGCCAAGGCCTTTTCTCACCATGGGAACCAAACAGCATTCAGTTCAGCAATGGTAGAAAAAAAAAATCCTTCTTGTAGTATAATGAAGAGATACTCACGTTGCAGAGCTCCAGAAACAGACCTTGGCTGTGGTGGGTGATGGAGACAGCGTGTTGAAGTCCGCACCTCGGCCACGCTGTACACACCCAGCGATTCCCTGAGTGTGAGGCCCCAGGCGACTGCTGCCTTTTGATGGGTGGCCCGAGGGGGCAAAAGCCGTCCTGGGAACCACACCCCTCCAAGGCTCTGCTCAGGGCACTCCGGGGGGTCAGTAGGAGCCAGGGGTCTCCCCTTGCCTGCCATGCCCCCTTCCTCATAGTATCTGTGTGTGCCTGCGCCAGGGGTAGGTGTTGAGTTTGCTCGTTCATTCATTCAGCAAATACTTATTGAGCGCCTTAAGGAACCAGGGCTTTCCCAGCCTCGGGGCACACAGCGCTTTCTTGGAGATGTCTTGGGCTCTCCTTGCAGGACTTTAGACCTCAAAGCTGAGGGGGATGGGCCGTAGGTCAGGGAGACACCCAGCTCCTCTGTGACTGCTGGGTAGGTGACAGACAGGGCTTTCCATCCCAGTATCCTCAGGGGGTCATATTTTCAAATGCAAAAAAGAGTTAAATTTTAGAAACATGTTTTTTTCTCACCTCCACTTCCAGGTGAAAGAGGCAGTCCGGGAGATACAGTTTCGGTAATGAAAATGGTATTTTCCTAATAATTTTGATGGTTCATGAGGACTGCTGGTTAGGGTATTGGAAATTAGGACTCCATAACACATTCCATGTGGGGTAAAATACACGTGGGATGAACATTAGAAACATGGAAATATGAGGGAGTGAGAATTGTAACTCTGGGGATAGAATGCTTATTTCTGAGGTGTGTGTAGCAGTAAAAAGGAGGATATTCATTGCTGGATGGGAAGATGCATTTATTTTGCATATGAGCATTAGTAGAAGTAATTAATAACTAATAATGGGTAACATTTTTGAGTTCTTACTCTGTGTCAGATAGTATCTTTTTTTTTTGAAACAGAGTCTTGCTCTGTCGCCCAGGCTGGAGTGCAGTGGTGCGATCTCAGCTCACTGCAACCTCCACCTCCCGGGTTCAAGCGATTCTTCTGCCTCAGCCTCCCGAGTAGCTGGGACTACAGACGCCCGCCACCAAGCCCGGCTAATTTTTTGTATTTTTAGTAGAGACGGGGTTTCACCGTGTTAGCCAGGATGGTCTCGATCTCCTGACCTTGTGATCTGCCTAACTTTGCACATATTATCTCACTTAATTTCTTCCAATAACCATCTGAAATGGGCACCCTTATAGATCCCACAGGTGACACATGCAGGCAAAGCCTCCGGTTCCAAAGTGTCAGAAGCCTGCCTCTTGGACAATTGCTTGCTGTGCACTCTAGGCTGAATGTATGGGAACAGATGCTAAGTGACAGCTCCTCATGATGAAAAGCCTTGACGCAGAGTCAGAAAAGCCTCCTGTGAGCCCCATGTTACCACGTGTTGGCTAGGTGGCCTTGGCGAGTCGCTTCCTGGCTCTGCTGCCCAGGTCCCCTTCACTGGTTCACTCTGTCTCCCTCCTGCTCAGATGAAAGCCATGGGCCAGTGGTGCACACTGAGCACTTCTAGGGGAGACAAAGATGTGTGCAGTAAGGCTGTCTGCAGCCCTGAAAGCATGCCTCGAGGGAGGACACAGAGCAGGGAGCACAGGACTGCAGCTCTGTGTGACAGCAGAGCATACAAAGGGACGCACCAGTGACCACAAGTGAGCTGCCCGCATCTGGAGGGAGGCTCACGGGAGGGCTCCAGGTCAGGTGCGGGAAGCTGAAGACTCCCCTGACCCCAGGTGGACGCAGCTGGACGTGGAGGGGCAGGTGCGGCTGCATGCCGGTGAGAGTGTGGTCACTCCCAGCACAAGGCCCACGGCCGGAGGCCTTGAATGTGAGGTGAGGACTGTGGCCTGAGCCGCTGTCAGTGATGAGCTGGTGGCAATAGAATGGGACATACAGGAGCCATGCTATCCACCTTCCCATGTGGAATTAAGGTTAACTCCGGTGGCACAGGAGGAGCGGCAGCCATGGAAAGAGGTGGGAGGAATGGAAAGGGCAGGAAAGTGGAGGCAGGTGCCCCTCTGAGTTTGTTTCCAATTGGCCTCATCTAAACCCACCTCTAGGAAACTTTGATATGTGTAATTTGCAATTGGAACTCAAAGCAGACTGAAACATTGCTTTTTGTTGTATTTTGTAACATAAAGAAAAGAAAAAGTGATTGCCTTTAAGCAGATGTACAAGATAGCTCAAGAGTATTTAAAAGTATTTAGAAGAGCCAACTATTTTTGATAGCTTGACCAATATCTTGGGAGAGGGCAAGCCAGTGAAGTGCAGAAGGGTATTTCCTATTTATTTGTTCAAGTTTGACCAGAACACCTTGGCAACGCTCTACGACCCATGAGTACTCACTGCTAGAATGGAAAACCGTGAGAACACGTGGCCACATCTTTTCCTTTTTTTTTTTTTTTGAGACACAGTCTTGCCGTGTCACCCAGGCTGGAGTGCAGTGGCACAATCTCGGCTCACTGCAACCTCCACCTCCTGGGTTCAAGCAATTCTACTGCTTCAGTCTCCCAAGTAGCTGGGACTACAGGCACCCGCCACCACACCCAGCTAATTTTTTTTTTTGTATTTTTAGTACAGATGGGGGTTTCACTCTGTTGGCCAGGCTGGTCTTGAACTCCTGACCTCATGATCCGCCTGCCTCAGCCTCCCAAAGTGCTGGGATTACAGGGGTGAACCACTGCGCCCGGCCGTGACCACATCTTTTAACATATATCGCATAACACAATCATTTCCCTGCGTCTTTGTCTGGGTTCTCTCTACCCCACCCCATTAGCCTATATCAATGCAATTTAAATTACCATTTCCAGCCAATTTCATTTTAGCACAATAAAAGCTAAAGGAACTTAATGGCCAGCAATTGAGGGTTCTGGTGAAATTTTCATCTGGAAAAAGATGTAGAAGATAAAGCTTTTGATCAGCTTTGAGAGCATTCTTGCCTGCAGGCTGACCACAGTGGTCTGGACTTCCTCTGTGTTTATAGGAGTGGTGCTCCTGTCCTGGTCTTCCACCGCAAAGCCACAGTCACATCTGCAATGCCTCCACTTTTAGTGCCTGCAACTGAAGGGCTCAAAATATTCCATTTGTTTCCCGTGGCCCACCCCTAATTTTAGTTTAGTATTTTTTTTTTTTTTACATTCCCATGCCCATAGGGAAACCGTTGGCTATTTTTGGCTAGATAAATGGTTCATCATCTATTGCAGTTGACTTCCTTTTATGATCAATTAGTTTGAGGTTGTCAGTGCTGCTTCAAAGCTGCTATGTATCTTTCACACCCCTCTACCCTGTAATTTATAAGCACTATGGGTTTCAAAAAAAGAAGAAAAAGAAAGAGAGAGAGAAAAAAGAAACCCTACAGTACTTTTATTAGCTGCTGAAATGCATTAGGGTGCATACACTTTGAACTGCACAGGGGAAGATAACCGTGCCTGTAATTGGAATAACTCGCATCCGTCCCCTCTCGGCTCCCTTTAATAACCTCTGCATTGTTTTATCCCCAGGATTTATTGATGACCTGCAATGGCCCTCTCCTGGGCCCCCGCCCACTGGGGTGTTTGTGGGGGAAAGGGCAATGCACGTGGCCCACTCCCTGACCTGCGCCTCTCCATAAATCAGAGCCTGCATTCGCCCGTGATGGGGAGCCAGATGGCAGCTGTTGTTGGAGGAGCTCAACAGGAATCAAGGCCTGTGATCTTTCCTGTTGCTAACAGGCCTGATTTTTTATGGCTGTCAGCATCCTTGGAACGGCCAAGGCAGGCACGAAGGGAGGCTGGGAGGGCAGGGGCCCGATGGCCCTGGATCTGTGCTTTCTTCTCCCAAGGGGGCAAGCCACAAAGGTCTCTCCCTCTTCCTCCCTAGCTGGGGGGCTTGGCCTTATATTCTGTTTCTGAAGAAGTTTCCTAGGGTGTGCGAGTGGTGAAGCTCAATGTAACCAAACACCTTCTAGAAAGGAAAATGGTGGCCAGCTTCCCTTTGCCGATGGTTCATGGACCCTTAGTGTCATGGCCCTATCTGAAAAATGACAGCTGTCCCTTTCCACTGGAGTGATGTCTAAAACAGTCTGGTCCTAAATGCCTTTGATGCTGAAGTAAAAGCCATTTCTTGAAACGACTTGGTGAGTCAGCTGGGCGTGGTGGCTCACGCCTGTAATCCCAGCACTTTGGGAGGCCAAGGCGGGCGGATCACGAGGTCAGGAGATCAAGACCATCCTGGCTAACATGGTGAAACCCTGTCTCTACTAAAGTACAAAAATTAGCTGGGCGTGGTGGCTCATGCCTGTAGTCCCAAGTACTAGGGAGGCTGAGGCAGAGGAATCACTTGAACTCGGGAGGCGGAGATTGCAGTGAGCCGAGACCGCGTCACTGCACACCAGCCTGGGTGACACAGCAAGACTCTGTCTCAAAAAACAAACAAACAAGGAAAACTACTTGGTGGGTCCAATGTTTGGATGTTTTGCTTTTTCAGAGTGTATGGACAGAAACTGCAAGGAAGATGAGAAGGTAGGAGGTAAGGGGAAAGGATGAAAGGCAAAGAGCTTGCCAGACATGGGGAGAAACCCCAACCAGTTTTGAGGTGCCTAACTGGGGGCATTCACTGCAGAGATCAGTTCTTGAGGTGGAGCAGCGCCACGGTGGGTGCATGGGACTGGGCACCAGTGGGCGCAACCAGATAGATAATGGGCAGTCCCTGTGTGGTCCGCAGTTTGCCTCCAACAGGCTCGGCCTCCAGCAACAGAGCCGGCCACAGGGCAGGGCTGTGTAGTCAGCACCGAACAGCCTGCAGAAGCCTAGAGGAGACAGGCATAGAATCCCAGGCGCAGCCCAGAGCTTTTATAGGGCAGAGAGCGAGTCTATTTATTTATGAGGGCTTGAAGCCAGTGTCAGACCCTAGGGATGCTAAACTTACACAGAAAGCAGACATACCCAAGATACCACATCCAGAATATTCCAGGGGACAATCCAGGTTCTTAGAGCCGTTTAGGTGCTGGCTGGAAAAAAGCCATTCAGATGTTTCCCAGGAAAGGTGGATGCACACCTCTCCGCAGTCCAGTCGACTGCAATGGGCAGCAATGGGAGCAGAGGTTGCAGTGATGTGAATGTGGCTGGAAGGGGCTGCGAGCCAAGGAATACAGCAATCTCTAGAGCTGGGAAACAAGGATGTGGGTTCTCCCCTGGAGCCCCCAGGATGCATGCAGTCCTGCAGGCACCTTGATGCTAGCCCACCACAGCCCATTTTGGACTCCTAACATTCAGAACTATAAGAAATAACTTTGTGTTGCGTTAAGCCTCTAAGTTTTTGGTACCTGTTATAGCAGTCGGCCTCTGTATCTGCAGGCTCTGCCTCCACTCATTCAACCAACCATGGGTAGGAAATATATAAAAGAAAACAATAAAAAAATAACAATACAACAATAAAAATAATAGAAATTAAAAAGAATACAGTACAACAACTATTTACATAGCGTTTACATTGTCTTCGGTATTGTAATTCATCTGGAGATGATTTAAAGCATTGGCAGGATGTGTGTGGGTTATATGCAAACACGACCCCAGTTTACATCAGCAACCTGCACATCCTTGGAGGTCCTGGTGCCGATCTCCCACAGATTCCGAGGGACGATTGTACACTCATCTTCATGCGATGGCTTTTCCCCGTGTTAATTTCACTTTTTAAAAAAACATTTTCCCCCTCATACAAACTCTCAGTCTCCCTGTGACTGAACATCGCCAATGATGTTCTGAATGACTCAGGTGAAAAGTGAAGGATTGAGGTGGAATTTGTTGTTTGAGAACAGATCTAACAGCCGGAACAAATAACTCTTGCATAGGAAGCCAAGTTGGGAGCCAGAGAGGAAGGATAAGGGGGCAGGGACTCAAAGTAGGCGGTCCACTTTCCCTTTGGGGGTAATTTCACTGGCACGGGATGCTTTGTACAGGGCCCTCTGGCCATCTTGGTCTTATAGGTCTGGACCAGTGTTTGAGAGAGAAGTGACTAAATTTTTTTTTTCTAACTGATAAATCCAATTTAAGGAAGCAAATAAGCACAAACAAGTACAGGCATACAAAAGCTCCACACATGATTTGATCCCTGCTGATTTCATTTCACACCTGAAGTATTGAGCTTGGCTTTCTACACAAGCTGTTGCACAGGTACGCAGTATCTGACAGTGGGTTAAACATGGGTGGGGTCTGAGAACTGGGGTGAATCAATGGCCTCTCTTCTTATTAGCTAGGTGACCTTGAGTAGTTCATGACTCTCACCAGCTCCATTTCCACGATGTGGTCCCACCTCATAGCATTGCTGAAAACATTAAATGACACTGATGCCCGCTGTGCCCTTATCACAGTGCTGGGCACATAGGCACACAGGCATGCTCCACGAATGTGAGTTTGTTATGTTAATAATTAATATTTGGCAGAACTAAATGCATGGCTTAATTATTCTTTTAACTCAGGTCATAATCTAACCCACAGATGATGAAGGTGGTAATGATAAAAACAGCCAGCATTTATTAATCACCTGCCATGTGCCTGCCAGACACTCTTTCAAGCCCTTTACATATGGAGTAATGAAAGTCCAGGGTGTTTCGGTAGCTTTCCGGATCACCTTGCTAGGCAGTGGCAGCACTTGGATTCGAACCCACGTGGTCTGAGCCCAGAGCCTGACTGGCCTTTTGGTCATGCTACCATTCCAGGGAGACCTGTCCCGTGGCCTGACTAGGCACAGAAGGGCCAGCAGATCCACTTCTGCTCCTGATTTCCTTACGATCAGTGAGGCGCCCTGGACATTCTCCTTAAGATTAAATGACACTGACTAATATCTTGGAGATGCCAGCCAAGAAAAGTCTTGGCTTTCGATGGAATCTGGGAGGAGAGGTGGAGGAGGCAAGTTGATTCTTTAGCCGGGTGAGTTGAGGTAAGTCTTCTGGGCATTTCTCCAGCATCGTGGTTGGGGCAATCCCTGCGACTTCTAGTGATTGCTTAGAATGATTCACCTTGGCACTGTCTTCCGGACACAGGGTGAGTACCAGGGTGCTCACCTTTACTGAGTATGTCATTGCCATGATTAGAACAGGAACTACCGTACTTTCTGGGATGTCGGAAAATGCAGATACAGAGCTCAGAGCAAGCCACCTTAAGGAAGAGGGTGACAATTTCGGGAGCTGATATTTGAAAAAGTACAGGACAAGTAGGAGTTAGGGAAAATAGGTAATACCGAATATCCTAGACATCAGAGAACGAAGTTATCACAAATGCCCAGGAAAGACTAAATCCTGGAAGAGGTTAAAAATCCGCTTCCAAAAATCCGCCTAGAAAGAGAAGTGAACACCGTGATTAAAATTCCAGATCTGTGATGAGACCTGAAGCGGGAAGACTCAAGGATGAAGTGGGTAGCTAGGCTCAGTGACCTCACATATCCTTCCCAACTCAGGTTCTCTGATTCCCTCAGCAATTCACATCACGTAAGCTGTAGGGATTTCCCTTGCTCCATATAGCAGCTGCTCCATTTTACCCGAAGGAAAAATATTTCAGAATAGTTTCTAAACAAACTGCATCCTGCCTCCCCTCCAGTCCTATTGTTTGAGGAATTCTTTCATTTCTCTTCTTCAACCACTCCTCTCTGCCTCCTTTTCTCTTTTCTCCCTTCATTTTCCTACTCCCTCCTTCCTCCTCTCCTTCTTCTTCTTCCTCTTCCTCCCTCTTCCTGCTTTCCTTCTACATTCTCTGCTTAAACTTCTGACTACTAGAATAATTTCCAATAGGATACAAAGAAAATGACCTGGCTTCGAAGATTTCCATTCTATCTGATACCACCTTCACACTGCACAGTTGGCAGTGCCCAGGGAACTGAAGTAAAGATATGGGTCTTCTGCTGAATGAAAGGCTAAATTAAAAAAAAATTTTTTTTGGCTGTCATACTTTCAGTTTAAATCTCGCAGTTGTATTTTCATAAAATAAAAAATTAAAGTGAATTGCTTATGCATTGCAGGGTGATTAGGCTGTCCTTGAGGTTTGAGAAAAACAAAGTATAATTTAGTTCAAGCTCATGTTCTGATTCCATAGTGGGAAGGCTGCAAATTTCCATTGCACAATAATAACATTTCAGCCATGGCTTCTGAACCTGGGGGCGCTGTTGCTATAAATATTATTTCCATTGGATTATGTTGTGTTGAGGCCTGGATTATGTTAATATTTTAAAAGTCTTATCTCAGCTCTTACATGTTTTAAATACCTGGAAGAGTGTAATGGGGAAGCCAAGGTTCTGTAGACTAAATGAACTGCTTAAAACGAGCTGTGCTTTCTCCCTGGTTGGTTACAGTGCAGATTGGGAGAGTTAGCAACTCTTGTCTCAGAAGCAATCACACAGAGCCAGCAGGAGCCTGCAGGAATGGGAGAAAACCTAAGCAGACAATGGAAACTCGGGAGGAGCAGAACTCACAGAGGCCAAGGACAGAGCGAAATAAATCAGTGGCAGAAGAAATAGGGCAAAGTTGATTTTCTACCCTCTTAATCCCTTCTTACATAGCCCAAATATCCTATTCAGTACTTCATTCATTCATTCATGCCACCCCCATCCTATTATCAGGAGAGATTTAGAGACAATGGAACCTCAAAAACAAAAGCAACAGCGTGAATGAAATGAACGTGGGGAACACGCAGAATGCAACCGAAGGCACGAAGCCAATAGGAAGTTGGACGGTGGGATGTTGGTGGAGGGGTTTTTTTCAGTTTGACACAATCAAATTTCCTATTTCGTGAACTTTGGTTCTTGTTGGCCTAAATGCATTTTTGATGCTTGCTAAAAAAAAGTAGGATAAATCCAACCACTTTGTTTATTTTCGTATTCATTTCAACGGAAATAATGGTGGGATTAGGGAATGCAAAGAGAGGGAGCTCTGTAGGTGTGACGATGAAGAGAGTTAACAGAGAATGGAAATCCGATGGGAAATGCAACAGAAGATGGATCCAGGGAAGCGGAAAAGGAGAAGAGGAAGCACCAGAGACAGCCATGGGGTGCCATGTCGGGGAGGACCCCTGGCCTGGGCTTCCCCAGCAGCCCAGGTGATGGGCAGCAGAAGGTTCCAGACTCCACTAGAGGCTCTGTTTAGCTTCTGTCACCTCAAGAGTCTTATCAGTTTCTACCTAGGTTTCCAACACAGTAGATGTTCCATAAATGCTTGTTACACTCAACCAAACTAAACCACTCAGGTCTAAAAGCAGTGAGTAGAAGAACTGCAAGGAAAAAAACCATACATTGTGTGAAATAGATAATAAAAAATAATAGTAAGAGACAAATCATAAAGGACAAAAAGAAGGGCGCCTTTCAGATGGTGTATGGGTCTTTCCTTCTAGAGTGGAGAAACTGCCTCCATCGCGGGCTTCCATGGCACCGTGCCCTATCTTCTCCACAGTTCATAGAAACCTGGATTGTAAGTAACCACTGGGTCATCTTCTTTCCGACTGGACTTGAAACTTTGAGCAGATGGCGAGCGTGTCTGTTTTGTTCACTGTTGCACAGTGAGTCTAGCACGATGCCTGGCTGAAAATAGTTGCTCCATATATGTTATGTTGAATGAATGAGAAAACGAGGCAAACTTAGAAGGGGCTCATGAAGAAATAGGGGCAATTTAAAAAAATTACTAAGGGCAAAAAAAGATGTTGAGACATTTTGAATGAAGGAATTTAACTTGAAATTTTTTTTTAAAAGCTCTGCAGTGAAAAAAGGAAAGAATGTTATCAATAATAACAAAAAATAATAAAGATGTGTGTATAATCTCCTGGCATTTTCGTTTCTTTATCTGTAAAATGGACTTAATAATATCAACCTAAGAGGATTTTTTGGTGAGGATTAAATGAGACTATGTGTAAAATGTTCAGCATTTGTTGGCCTTTACAATTAATTAATATTGTTAAGTTGGAAGTGATAGAAGCCAGTTTGAACTTATGGGGAAAAAAAAAAAAAAAAGCAGGGGGTTGCTTTACCTACAGTGTAGACAAGCCAAGAGGAGGGCAGGGTGGGTGTGGGAGCTGGGAAGGCCTACTGGTCCCCTGGGTGTGTTGTCTTCGTCCTCGCCATCCACAAACCTGCCACCATGGCCCCAGCCACTCCAGACCCCTGTCTCAACAGCTTCACAGGTAGAGAGGAATGGACGTCTCTTCATTCAGCAGACCCCGAGGTCTTTGAGGAGCCCCATCTGAAATGTGTGCTCACCTCTCTGCCCCTCGCTGTGGCCAGAGACGGGATGTACCATGACTACCTTTGGCTGGGTCACATGCCAACCTTTCAAATAGAGACAGAGGTGCAGGGACCAGCCCCACAGGGTCGGTGGCTCTCTCCCCCTGTGCGGCGACGAGAGAGTGTAGAAATAAAGACACAAGACAGAGATAAAAGAAAAGACAGCTGGGCCCGGGGGACCGCTACCACCAATGCATGGAGACCGGTAGTGGCCCCGAATGTCTGGCTGCGCTGTTATTTATTGGATACAAAGCAAAAGGGGCAGGGTAGAGTGTGAGTCATCTCCAATGATAGGTAAGGTCACGTGGGTCACGTGTCCACTGGACAGGGGGCCCTTCCCTGCCTGGCAGCCGAGGCAGAGAGAGAGAGGAGACAAAGAGAAAGACAGCTTACGCCATTATTTCTGCATATCAGAGACTTTTAGTACTTTCACTAATTTACTACTGCTATCTAGAAGGCAGAGCCAGGTGTACAGGATGGAACATGAAGGCGGACTAGGAGCGTGACCACTGAAGCACAGCATCACAGGGAGACGGTTAGGCCTCGGGATAACTGCGGGCAAGCCTGACTAATGTCAGGCCCTCCACAAAAGGTGGAGGAGCAGAGTCTTCTCTAAACTCCCCCGGGGAAAGGGAGACTCCCTTTCCCGGTCTGCTAAGTAGCGGGTGTTGTTCCTTGACACTTTTTGCTACCGCTAGACCACGGTCCGCCTGGCAACGGCATCTTCCCAGATGCTGGTGTCACCGCTAGACCAAGGAGCCCTTCTGGTGGCCCTGTCTGGGCATAACAGAAGGCTCGCACTCTTGTCTTCTGGTCACTTCTCACTGTGTCCCCTCAGCTCCTATCTCTGTATGGCCTGGTTTTTCCTAGGTTATGATTATAGAGTGAGGATTATTATAATATTGGAATAAAGAGTAATTGCTACAAACTAATGATTAATGATATTCATATATAATCATGTCTATGCTCGAGATCTAGTATAACTCTTGTTGTTTTATATATTTTATTATACTGGAACAGCTCGTGCCCTCGGTCTCTTGCCTTGGCACCTGGGTGGCTTGCCGCCCACACAGAGGGTTAAGGAAATCCTGGTAGACCAGGCAGTTGCCCCAGTTTGTGTCTAGGATCTTCAATCCATGGAAGCTATGAATGGTGTTAGCTAGAGTAAAATGCAGTGGAAAAGGCAACGGGAAGGAAACGTGCAGCTTTTCCTCACAATTTTCCACTGTGTACATAGTTGAGTAAGCAGGTGCCCGCCACTGGCTTTGCGTCTTGACTGCTGCTCTGATAGCTTAAAGAACTAAGAAGCCAAATGTGAATGTGGTGAAATTCAATGTCCAGTCCTGCCTGGTCTCAGAGTAGCTGCCCCTGGAAGCTGCCTTTCCTTTTCCCTCCTCCTCTTGTTTAAATAATTAAACATCAAGTTTCACAGAAGCAGCTGGGGGCATTGGCTCACACCTGTAATCCCAGCACTTTGGGAGGCCGAGGTGGGTGGATCACCTGAGGTCAGGAGTTCGAGGCCAGCCTGGCCAACACAGCGAAACCCCATCTCTACTAAAAATACAAAAATTAGCTGGGTGCAGTGACACGCGCCTATAATCCCAGCTACTCAGGAGGCTGAGACAGGAGAATAGCTTGAACCTGGGAGGCAGAGGTTGCAGTGAGCTGAGATCGTGTCATTGTACTCCAGCCTGGCGACAGAGCGACTCCCTCTCAGAAACAAACAAACAAACAAACAAACACAAACAACAGTTCCACAGAAGCAGGCATCACAGCTTCTATTTCCCCTTGCATACTTCACATTAGACAGAGTGCCATGTTCCCGTGTTTATTGAGTGCTTTTTAAAAACAAATGGATAAACAGATGAGTAATATCATCCAACATCAACCAGCTTGCAAAATGAAACCACCGTGTCAAACTGGTTTCTGTGAAAGGAACTCGCTGAAAATAATGGAAAGTTTTGCCTCAGAAAATACGTCTCCTGACCTAGTTTAAAGTCCTTATTTGGATGCTGAGGATGTACAGATCTACCAGTGTGGCAGCCTCCTGAAGACACAGGAGATTTGGTCTCCGAGAAGGTTCCAATTAAATGGCTTCTTTATTGCTTTAAAGTAAGCTATTTTAATATTTCTCAGTGAAAGATTAATTTATCCCCTTGTATGTCAACCCTGAGCACTTTTTGCTATTCCTAAGCAAAATCTAGTCTGAAAAGGCAGCATAGAGATCCAAAGAACGCACTGACAAAGGAGCTCACCACCAAGACCGCAGTAACACAGTCCCTTGAACAGCTCCACTCGAGGCCACCCTGGTGGAGTGAGTGGATTCATGCGGTCCTGAAACGGCTCCTAAATAAAGTGAGCTTTGAATCATATTTTACAGAAAATTGGGGCTGGGCGTGGTGGCTCACACCTGTAATCCCAACACTTTGGGAAGCCAAGGTGGGTGGCTCACGAGGTCAAGAGATCGAGACCATCCTGGCCAACATGGTGAAACCCCATCTCTACTAAAAGATCAAGATCAGCCTGGTCAACATTGTGAAACCCGTCTCTACTAAAAATACAAAAAAATTAGCCAGGCCCGTGGTGGTGGGTGCCTGTAATCCCAGCTACTCTGGAGGCTGAGGCAGAAAAATCACTTGAACCTGGGAGGTGGAGGTTGCAGTGAGCTGAGATCGTGCCACTGCACTCCAACCCGGGCAACAGTGCAAGACTCCATCTCAAAAAAAAAAAAAATAATAATAATAATAATAATGATAAGTTAGAGCCATGCATTGAAGTCAAGAATAGGGCAGGAAACTGGAAAAAGAAATTGTCTAGTCATAAGCATGACTTTTAAAGCAAGACAGCTCTCTTTTTATCTGCCTTTAGGACAATATATTCCTCTGAGATTAATGAGGGGAAGGGAGGGGAAGTGTGAGATCGGACAGGGAATGGCTGGGAAGTTGCTCCAGTGAGCTGCCTCTTCCCTTTGGGCTATGTCCAGAAGCAGGATTGGCGTGAGAGGTGGGCACCGAGAGAGGGGCTTGGGAAGCCAGGGCCAGAGGAGCCGAGGTGTGAACACTTGGAGGATGCAGACAAGCTGCGGAAACTTGAGATCTCTCAGGGTGGCAAAGACAATCCCAGGGGTGGCTGGGAAGAGATAGGAGGATAACTGGAAGAGGCCACAAAACATGTGTGAGGCACTTTGAAAGCAGCATCCAAGGGTCAATCTGGATTTACCAAGGTGATTAGAGTGAAAAAGAAGTGAGAGGGGAGGGAGGGAGAAAAACAGTAGGAGATAGAGGGAAGGAGAGAGGAGGGAGGGTACTGCTTGGTCAGGACAGTCTAGGTAATGCTTTAGTAACAGATAAATCCTGCACATCTGTGGTTAAACAGCCAAGGTTTGCTTTTTGCTCCCTTGCACGTCAGCCTCCCAGTTACTCAGAGGCCCAGCTGAGGGCATGCCAACTTGAGATATGTTATCACCATTGAAAAAGCAGGACAAGAACTGGCAGTTCTGGTTTTCAAAGCACGCACTGGTCCTCAAAGCTTCCTCCAGGAAATGGTGCACGTCTTTCCCACTCACATTTCACTGCAAGAACAAATCACATGTGCGATGATTTCAAAGGCGTGGAGAAGGTCAAGCCTATCAAGTTCTGGAAGATATGGGAAAAGAAACTTTGTCAACAGCACCACGGCTGACACAGGGAAGAATGGCGAATGCATAGCCGCAGAGGAGCTGCTGTGGCGACCTGGTGCTTGTAGAGAGCTCGCCCTAAAAAGGATGCTCTGCCCTCATGACCCTGGGACAGTTTCTAGCCCTCTCGTCTCAATAAGATATATTTCAAATTCTCAAGCTTAACACTCTACAGTTTTCAACGTAAAATTAATCTTCATTGCACAAATGTTAAAATCTGCCTAAAGAAGCTGTCCTCGGTGAAGGAGGCCTGTATTGTGTTCTGGGGCGAGTCATCTGTGCTGAATGAAGGGCTGTGTGACAACAGAATATTCTTCAGGAGGTAGAGGCGTCAGATTGAGAGGCTGCCACAGTTTAGTGAAGACTTGCCACGGGGACCCCTAAAGAGAGGCACCGTTGCTTTGCGTTCTGTGGGGGCAGTCCCACAGTCAGGGCGCGGCAGAGCTGTGGGGGCCAGCAGCCCCCAGCATGGGCAGAGAGAGTGCCCAGGGAGTGGGCTGGGGGCTGATCAGATGTCTGCCTCTCTCAGGCTCTCTGTTTTGGTGGTAAGGCAATTGGGACAGTGATCTGTCCCCTGTCTGATAATCTGCACCAAAATTTAGGAAGTAACACGTCCTTCAGGGATTAAAATATAAGATTGAAACACAGTGGTGTGGAGCAGTCATATGCAATGCGTGCTTGAAGGAGACGGGTGACCCTCAAGCCACCAAGGCCTGTATGTCCCTTAGTCATCTATCAAAAGCTTACTGGGCACCTCCTATGGACCAAGGATGTTGTGGACACTTGAGGTGTAGTGATGGGCAAGATAGACATGCTGGATGCTCTGATGTGCCCCCCAGGTCACCCTGAAGGAAGGACACTGCTGAGGACGTTGCTAGCAGGGAGTCCTCAGCTGTCAGCCTTTTTGCGGACTGCCTGAGCCACAGGGAGCTGCTTCCCTCAAGATCACAGCGCATTTAGAGAGCAGCCCAGCACCAGTGAAGGACCAATGAGGAGCACAAAGCCCAGCGGTGTGTGTGCTGACCTGGGACAAGGCCGCAGGGATAGCCCACCCTCAGAACTCCCTGCAGGGATAGCCCACCCTCAGAACTCCCTGCAGGGATAGCCCACCTTCAGAACTCTCTGCAGGGCTGGCTGATGTTTCTGGTGAGCTGGCTGTGATGTGCTTTCCCTCCTGCCCAGTCCTATTCCCTTCCCTTCTCTTCCCTTCCCAAGATGGGGTTCCTGAGAGTACACCCTGGTAAATCTCCATCCTTGTCTCCGACAGTCTGCTTCCTTGGGAGTCCAACCTGTCCCAGACACAGCCTGTCCTCATGGAGCCTACACACTAACGAGGAAGGCAAGTATCAAACAAGTAAAGAAACAAGCAAATGTCAGATGGCCATAAGTGTTATCAGGAAAATAAAACGGTGTAACAGGATGGTTACAGAAAAGGCAACACTGGGTGGAGCCGTCTGGGAGGGTTTGGTGGAGACATGATATTGAGCAGAAACCCGATTAATGGAAATCTAGAGGACAACATTCCAGAGAGAAGAACAAACATAAGGGCCCCAAGACTGAAAGAGGTCTGATACATGTGAGAAAGGAAGAGAAGTGCCTTATGACTAGGGTGATGTGCACAAGGGGAGGTCACCATGGGCTTAGTGAGGTCGGTGGGGGCAGGCCATTTTGGATTTTATTTAAGGGCAATGGGAGAAAGGGGGATCCCAGTCCATACAGGGGCTTTCTGTGATTTAGAAAAAGGAATCCCTCTCTTAAGTAAAAAAAATAATCACATGAATGACTAGTTCAGTGCATGACTTGAACAACCATTCACAGTGTCCCTGCAGGGGATAGTGGGAACTGCAAAAGGCTGAGCACTCAGCAGAGAATGTAAGCAGGAGAGGGGAGGGGAGTGAGGAGATAGAAGAGTGTCAGCTCTGGGGTTCAATCAGCAGTGTCCAGCCTAGTTTGCCGAAACAATCATTCCATAATCCAAACTGCTGTTTAAATCGATGGCCAGACACATGCATCCTATTAGGAATTAGGCAAAGCTGCTGCTGGGAGGAGGCACTCCTTGACTCAGCCTGGCTTTCTCAGCCTGGTCACTGGTCACCCCTCAGCATGGGGTGCACATGCATCAACAGTGTGCCTCTGCCTCCCACAGACCCTCCAACCTGTACATGCCCCAAGTTGTCTAGCACAGCTGAGAGGCCTGTGTTTCTTTGGATGGTTAGCTCCATATCTCTAAATAATAAGCTCCATGTCTTATATTAGATAGAAATTATGTTCAGCTGCCAGCACAGAGAGCCAGCAAAAGTTGCTTAAACAAGATAAAGATTTGTTTCTCTCTCACATAAGAGAATCCATACGTGAGGAGCAGAAAGATGGAAGGAAATTGGACCCAAATGATTATGGATCCGCCGTAGCAACCCTGAAGTCCCCACATCTGGCAAGAAAGAGGCAGGAGAAAGGAAAAGGGGGATATCTCAAGTGTTTTTTGACCTTTTAGGGAGCATGTTCATAAGTCCTACCAACAACTTTGGTGCAGACTTTGTTGGCCCTAACTTAGTTACCTATGTCCTTGCCACCTCTGTCCTGATACAGATATATCACTATTGTCGTTAAATTAAGAATCAAAATTTCTATATATATATGTATTTTTGAGATGGAGTCCCACTCTGTCATGATCTCAGCTCACCGCAACCTCCACCTCCTGGGTTCAAGTGATTCTCCTGCCTCAGCCTCCCAAGTAGCTGGGATTACAGGCACCTGCCACTGCATGCAGCTAATTTTTTGTATTTTTAGTAGAGATACGGTTTCACCATGTTGGCCAGGTTGGTCTTGAACTCCTGACCTCGTGATTTGCCTGCCTTGGCCTCCCAAAGCTGGGATTACAGGCATGAGCCACCGTGCCTGGCCCTCAAAATTTCTATTTTTATGACTATGTGGGTATTGTTTACGCTAGCTCCATGAAATAAATCATTTCTTTTCTTATAAAGTTTGTTTTTCCTAGAGTTGTGAATAGGCTTTGTTTTTGTACTATCTGCCATCATCACAGCTTCAGCCTCTCTGCCCTCCTGTCTCTGCAGTCTCCATCATATCAGGTATTCTCCCTTTCTTCCTCACAAAGGCCTCCTCGCCTATGGCTGATATCAGGGTCCGCAGCACAGCTGTTATTCCTGGACTTGCTGTTACCACTCTCATGGGTTGTAGGCACTATTTCCTGGGTTCCATGTCTTTTTCCTTCATTTACTGGAATTTCTTTTTGCTGGAACTTTCCTGCTTGATTACTCCTAGAACAACAACCCAAGAGGTGCTGGTCCAGGCTCCAGACATACAGAGAAGAATGAAGCATAATCCCTGCCCTGAAGGGTTTCACAGCCTGTTGATCAGGAAGACATGTGGAAAGATACATAATAACACGTAAGTGCGCTTACATGCTCTGTGAGCAGGACAAGGACATCTATTCGTGGGATCAGGCAAGGCTTCAGAGTAGAGGTGACACCAGGTTTTGAAAGAAGACTGAGTATTTGTTCAGTGGAGAAGTAGAGGAAGGCAATTCCAGGGAGAGGTCACCACATGGGCAAATGCACCAAGGCATGGCAGACAGAGCCAGCTAGCAGAATGGTGAGTTCAGTGATGTGGAAGCATAGAATACGTCGCGTAGGTCAGGGCTCAAGCATACAGAACCGAGCATGCTTCCTAAGTTGCACACAACCCATTTGTAAACTGCTGAGCATGTCTTATTTGCAAGTTGTGGATGACATAAGCAGATCTGTAGAGGCGGACAGGGCATTTAAAAACCCATACATTTCTGCCCAGAAAATCAGGTCTCTTCAATTCTGATTGCCAGCCTTTCAGTCCCAATTCAGACAGGAAGCTGAAGGGTTTCCATCAGACCTACACAGCACTCAACAAGAAATCGCTTGAGTTTTCTCAAGAGATAAAGACTTTTTATTACAATGTAACGAAGTATAATTGGCTTAGTTAACCTAGTATGCAAAATCTTGGGTGTTCTCGTAGTGCTGTGAAATGTTATGATTCAAAAGAATTTCGGCTCTCTCTAGCACTGCAAACCTCCCCTGCCTTAAAGTGCTAAAATGTTTCTTACTTAGACTCACACTTTGCTTTTCCTTCAAAACACAGAGCTTGCCCAAGTCATGGAGGGTAAAGACTTCCCTACCCCTTTCCCACCTTTTTGGATTATTGGTTTTTTTCTATATTCGTCACATTTCTAAGTGCTTCAAAGGGGACTGGGGCAGACATAACCTCACCTCATAGACTCCTTCTGGCTCCACATCACAAGTCTCCTGGGTATTTTTACATTATTATTGGTTGAAACATATTTAAAATATCTTTCCTCCATAAATGTGTGTGTGTGTACAGCTTCCCTGTCTCCCTGAAATGCCCATTTATAGGTAGGAAGTAGCCAGTTGGACAACTCTTTTATGGAGAGGCTCATACCTCAGAAAAACTACTGTCACACCCCTTCATATCAGAACCCAGTAAAAGGTTCTTTATTCTCACTGTCTTTTCAAATTGTTTTTGCCATTATAGATCAAGGTGTTTCAGTGATTTTGTCAGGATAGCTCTTTAGAAAAAAAGGAATCAGGGAGGAAACAGCCAGTTAAATGGGTTGAAGGAACCGTGGGAAGGTGTGTATGTGAGTGGGGAGGGGAGAGGGGGCTTAACACTAATAATATTTTGAAATGTACCTCTAAACTTGAAACCTAGTTGATAAATGTTGTTATGGAAATTCAAAAGTATTGGGTTTCATTTATTTGTTTCTAGCAAATATCGCAGGAGCACTGGTCAGATGCTGGGTGGTTGCCAGACAAGCGAGCCAGAGGAACACGAAGGCCCTGCCATCGAGGAGCGTGCCAGATCTCAGGGCCCCTAGACCAGGAGTCCTTCAGGGGGGCCTGCCACACTCCTCATGTTTCAAAATGAATTTCCATGCTTAACATTACACCGTCTGTCAAGTTCAAAGAGGCTTCGTGTTTTGTTTGAAACCGGGTCTCGTTGTGTCGCCCAGGTTGGAGTGCAGTGGCACGACCTCAGCTCATTGCAGCCTTGACCTCCTGGGCTCAAGGGATCCTCCCACCTCAGCCCCCCAAGTAGCTGGGACTACAGGTATGTCCCACCACACCTGGCTAATTTTTGTATTTTTTGTAGAGATGGGGTTTTGCCATGTTGCCCAGGCAGATTGGTCTTGCACTCCTGAGCTCAAGCAATCCTCCTGCCTCAGCCTCCCAAAGTGTTGTGATTACAGGTGTGAGCCACTGTGCCTGGCTGCAGAAGATTTTTTTTGATTAAGCCCATCTCACTATGATTTTTCTTTCTATAAAACCCCCAGCATTCCCACTAAAGACCCTTGTTGCTTCTGGAAAGGAGTATTAAAGTATCAGTCTTCCTTTCCAAAATTCGAACCCAAGCCCATGTCCTTCTGGAATCATTTCTAGATGTGTGTGTGTACAGATATACATATATATATATATATATATATATGTATATAAGTATTTACATATTGTGTGTATATATTGAAATTTATATATTTACTCACATTCATGCATGTATACATATATATTGTACACACATATGTGTATCTATGTATATGTATTTAAATTTGTTTGTGCCTCATTTTTTCTTCGTACTAGAAAAATGCAATATTGACAAAATCAAACATAAATTGGTTTGTGGTTCTAGATGTCACAGCAGTGATTGCAGGCATTTCGTAATGGTCACTGGGTCATCTCTCTAAGCCTGCCACCGTTTGGAAGTGAGTAATATTATACAGTTCCAGTTACAAAGCCACCGCACTTGACTAAATCCTCATGTGGCAGAGAGAAGCCCTCTGCCAGGGGGAGAAGCCCAGTCCCGTGATCAAATCCCTACTGGGCTGATCAGCTATTGGCAAGTTCCTGGGCATGCTGGCTGGGGTGCTGGGGGTGTCCTCCAGGACAAGTTCTCAACTTCAGCGGCACATCGGAGTCACGGAGAGCTTCCAAAAACCCTCCTGTTGGGGTCCTTCCTTTATGGAGTCCCCTCTGATGGGCATGGGTGGAGCCTGGCTCAGGGATTTTGAAATGTGACGCCTATGTTGAGCCCAAATCGGGAACCCTGGCAGCAGGGGTCATTGGTATTTGAGGACACAAAGTAAGAAGGCAGCCTGTCTTTTCTTTTCCCAGAGGTGGAAGGTGGTGGGAAGGAGCAGGAGGGGCATGTGCGGTGCCCCTGGAGGCCACCTGCCTGGGCTTGCTTGGGGCCAGCAGCCTTGGAGGCTGTGTGGAGGCCGCTGCCGCACATCTGGCCCTCAGCACTGCACAGACTGTGGAAACCCTGTAAGATAAGCTCCCAGGAATGAAAAGAAGGCGGTCTAAACTTTCTGGGTCCCAGAGCCAAAGCAGGAGGTCCCAAAACCGCAGGGTGGGGGCGGGATCATTTGCGGACACCAAAAGCCAAAGGCCAAGAGGACTCTGTTTTAGCAGATTAATTTATAAGAAAAATATCAGAAGCAAAGGCACACATGGGAATATTGTTATTGGAAAGAACATTTTGCAAAGGAATTTTTATAAATGGAAACTGCTTCAAGTTCAAGCCATATTTAAAAACACAACCACATGGGTGGCAGGAAGGAGGGCACCGGCTGTGTTCAAATATTTTCCTAAAGGGACACCCAGCCCCCCTCAGCTGTCCCCAAAGGGGGCATGGGGGTCTGTGGGTCCTGCTTACTTTGGGAGCCCTGGACTTGGCCCTCGGAGGCCTTGGTGGCCCGGTGAGGATAGTAAAACATGGGAGGTGTTCTGGGAGCGCCTTCTCCAGAGATAAAGGCTGTTCTTCACCAAGATGATTCCAGGAAAGTTCATTTTGGAAATGGAGAAGAGAAATGGAGACAAAGTATGTACGAGTCGCACCTGAGTGCAGAGTTAGGTCTATGGCATTTGCCCAAAGAATCACTCAGGAAATCTTCCTTCCCTTCCTTTGACCCACAGCAGAATAAAGGAGATTAATTTTGGGTGGACGGTTGGTGGCAGAAGTTGAGGGAATTTTGGAAAATTGAAGAAAATAACTATTTGAATAGACCAGAAGTGAAGGTTTCCTGTGGTGTGCAGCCCAAAATCTAGTTCAGGCCATCTCCTGTGACATTTTTTTAAATTGCTGTGTTTGACACAACCTTAGGCCTGAGAAAACTTTACTTTCCTAGAAAAGCACATTTACATGTGAAACCCGGCATATGCCCCAGCACTCAATTGCAGGGAGTCGGCCCCCATTCCTCATGGCATCTGCAGAGCAGTGGCTGGCATGGGGCAGTCCCCCCAAGTGCATCCGTGCATAAAAGAGGTCCGGGAACACCTCCCCTGTGAAAGCCCGGGGAGCAGTTCTGAGGTAGACAAAAGACCCTTAATATACATTTTCCCCCAAATTAATCATTTCGGTTCCAGGAAACAAGAAAAGACTTTTCTGGACTTCTATATATTGCATCATAGCATATCAATGTAATCAGTAGAATCAACTCTGTTCCTCTTATTACTAACAATTAACACATTGTGAGCACACGCTATGGACTCAAGCATTCTTTGAGAAGACTTCATTCGCATATTATTTTAAGTCTGTTTTCTATTGCTTGTAGTAGAATACCTGAAACTGGGTAATTTATAAAGAAAAGGAATTTACTTCTTACATTTCTGGAGGCTGGGAAGTCCAAGTCTAGGGGGTGCATCTGGTGAGGGCCCTCTTGCTGGCAGGGACTCTGCAGGGCCCCAGGGTGGTGCAAGGCATCCCATGATGAGGGGGCTGAGAGCACCAGCTCAGGTCTCTCTTCCTCTTCTTATAAAGCCACCCATTCCACTCCCTAATAACCCATCAGTCCATTAACCCAGTAATCCATTCATCATTCATCCACGAATGAATTAACCCATTCATGAGGGCAGAGCGCTTGTGACCCAATCACCTCTCAATGCTACCACACTGGGGATTCAATTAAAAAGGAGTTTTGGAGGGGACACATATCAAAACTGTAACACATATATGAACTATGAATGCATTGTTATCCTCCAAACTGTATAAGAACTCTTATGCCCATTTCAGAGATGAGGAAATGGAGGCACAGAGGATTTAGTAATGACACTCAGCTAACGAGTGGTGAAATGGAGACCCCAGCACAGGCAGCCTGCCCCTGGGCTTTGTCCCTCTAGCCACTCCCGCCTGTCCACTCTGAGGTTGTTGAGTGGATGCCCATGGATTTGCCTGCTCACACCTTCCCTCGAGATGCCCTGCCACGCTCCACCAACATGGCTCCATGGCAGCTTTGATAGTATCGCCTGGCCCTGCCCCTGCCCATAGTTCACTGCTCTACAGACAAGCCCTGAACTCATTGTTAGTGAATTCTTTCCCCAATATATTTGAATTTGAAACTACACAGGAGACAGGGTCTATTTCTCGCCAATAGTTGTAAAATCTGGAGCTGTTGGGAGCTGTATTTGTCACCACAGGGAGGAATGCACTCCACAGCCAGAGAGAAGGAAGCCAGGGCTCCAGAGAAACAGGAAGCAGAGGCAAGGAGAGTCCTGGGGCATGGAGCCTCTGCTTCCTATAGTGCCCAAGGCTGCTGCCTTCCTGCCACTGGGATCCACGATCACAGTAATGTTTCTCCTTTTGGCTGAAGCTAGTTTGAATGGGGTTTCTGTCACTTGCAACCTAGATAGTTGTAACTAGTTAGAGGCAGAAACTCCATTCTGAGCCCCAAACCAAAGATGTCAGAGTCCTTTTTTCCTTTTTTTTTTTCTTCCTACAAAGAAGGCCTTTGTCCAGAGAGGAATGTAGGCCTCTCCTGCAAGGTCTTCCCCATAAAGCCAGGAGTGGTCAGGAGGACTTCACACCTGTGTTGCTACTCCAACCACTTCCAAAGATGGCTGCATCAATTTAGCCCATGATCTCGTGTGATGTGACTGTGCCACGACTTCCATCAGGAGGTGGAATCTGTTTTCCTTCCTCTTAAATTAGGGCATGACATGTGGCTTGCTTTGACCAACAGACTGCATCAGAGGTGGGGTTATGTGATCTCCAAGGCTTGACCGCCAAGTGGACCTTTCAGCCCAGCTGACCCTCCAGCTGAATGCAGCCATGTGAGCGAGCCCAGGTGAACCAGTGGAGAAACCAACATTCAGAATCAAGAGCGATAATCGATTGTCGTCATTTTAAGTCTCTAGGCGTTGAGGTGGTTTCTCTCATAGCAGTAGAGAAGTGATACATCCAGCAGTCACTCTGGCCTGGGAGAATGGGCATGTCAGTTGCACAATGTGACTCTAACTGGCTAAAGCCCTGGGTGTCATGAGTGCTGGTGCAGCAAAGCTCCCTTGCTGGAAGGAGGGCTCTGGGTTTTCGCACAGTGAGCCCAGAGCCACACGGCTCTGCATTCACTCTTCCAGGCCCACTAGTGCTCTTGCTTCGGGTGAAACAGATCCAGGTTTAATTACTAGTAGTAGCCAAAAACACAGGCTATGTCATATTTCCAAATCTGGAGTTATTGTATACAGCCAGGGTGTTTAGAATTGTCACAGGCTTTATACCTTTTTTCCCAGTTACACCAGTTAGTCCAAGGAAGGCCTTTCTAATACTTTGCTGTTCCTCCCCCTAGGTATTGCTGGGGAGTCACGGGAGTTCAGAGCTGCAAGGCAGTAAGATACAATAGAGTAAAACTCATTTTACAAGAGAGAGGGAGCGTCTTGGATGACTTGAGACTCAGAGTTGGTGGGATGTGGAGTTGTGTGTTGGTTCCCAGGGGGCCTCTGTGTGCTCCGGGCAGACAGAACCATCTTAATTGTGACTAAGTTCTCAGGGTCACATAAACTGGAGTCCAGTCGTCTGGCCTGAATTTCCTAAGACCCCACTCAAAAGAACTTAAGCCACAAGTGAGATTCAAAAATGTCCGAAGGACTTGGGACCCTCTGGGAAATGGGAGTGCAGAGAATCCCCTGAGTAGGAAACTTCCCCAGGTAAGGAAGGCCTTCAGCACACTGGGTGGGTGGGACACTGGTGTGCCGTGAGAAGAGAGTGGCACACCCAGGCAAAGATATCTCCTTTACAGCTCCCTGAAGACACCAAGCCTTCCTCACCAGGGAGCCTCACTCTCATGGGGGCTGGGGAGATAAAATGGGATAAAATACAGCATCCGGGCTCCAAGCACAGGGCCGTGGGAAGAGGCATGTTCCCGGCCATGGGGAGATGGGCAGTGATGGCAGGCAGAGACAGAACTGGCTCTCCTGGGGGTCAAGGGAGTCAGGGACCAAGGGCAGGTGGCTGAGGCATGGAGCTCACTGTGAGTGGCACCTGCATGGAGAAACTGGGCCATGACACTGAACTGCTTGTGTAGAGCTTGAGCAGTGGGGCCCTGACTTCAGTGTAGACTAGTGGGGTAAACACAGACAGGTGGGTGGTCAGATGAGGAGGCCACACACAGCAGAGGGATTATGGGATTATTTATTGATATATGTGCACGCACACAGAGATGTATACTGTATTCACACACACACACACACACACACACACACACATTCACACACACACATACTCAGGATTCCAGGAGACACAGTAAGAGAGGGCTGATGCGCCACCTCAGGGCAGGTGGGGATTCCAATCGAATTGTTCCAGTGACTCTGCTTGGGACCTGTGAACTGAAAGGTCACAGGGGATATTTGGAGAACTCATAGATGAAGGCATTAGGACTCAGAGAGGTGAAGTGACTTATCAACAAGAGGTTTGCAGGCCATAGGAGGTCGAGACTGCAGCCGGCTGTGATCGCACCACTGCACGCCAGCCTGGGTGACAAAGCCAGACCCTGTCTCAAAAAAAAAAAAAAAAAAAGAAAGAAAGAAAGAAAGAAAGAAAGAAAAAAGAGGCTTGCAGGCCAAATCTGGCCCACTGCCTGTTTTTGTAGGTAAAGTTACAGTGGGATGCAGCCGCACCATTTGTCATAACAGCATTGTCAGGAGAAGGGTAGCACCTCGCTCCATTGTGACCTTTGTTCCTGAGGTAGTGTTCCTTGCCCCTTCTACCAGGATCACAGAATAAGGGCAAGGGTGAAGCCCAGTGATGGTTCTGAGTAGATGTCATCGAAATAAGGGAGACTTGGAGCAAAGGGTTTTAGAGACTGTGTATCTTATAGCACCCAAGGCCGAGGACTTCACGAGGGCAGACTTAGGCCCTCACACTGAAACAATGGCTTGGCATGGAGTCAGTACAAAAGCATGGCTTCTGTGGGTTCCCTAAACAAGCATGTTTTAAGTTAACTCATTTCCAGTAATAACGTGCAACAACTTCAACTTTTGCTGATGCAAGCTTTTCTGGTGGAGGGAGGGGGAAGTGACATAATGAACATAAGAAACTTACAAAAAGCTTCTAGAGAAGATACGATCCAATCTTTGGCAACACTGATTGGATCCAGAGCTTTGTAAAACCAAAAGCACCAGAACTCTCTCTACCTCTATCCATCACAAATATGCAAGACAGGGGAGCAAGAAAGATTTAAAGAGAGGAGATGAGGAGGGAAAACAGTGAAACAAACCAAATGGCTTCATAATCTTGCAACAGCTGCTTCAGAACCTCTAGGAGTTGACAGTCCCCAGAAGCCCAGTGACCAGTCACCCAAGCACATCCTGGAAGGCAGGGACGGCCCAGGAGCAAATGGAGGGGGAAGTGCTGAGCTAGGCAATGGCATCTGCACCCAGGAGGCTAGCGGCCATGCTGCAGCTACACACAGGGCTACGTCTGCTTCCCTGAGGCTGCAGCAGAATGAGATGTGGCTGGCTGTGCTGATTTGCAAAGCCAACGCAGCTATGCTCTTTCTTCACTAGCCACCAGCAGCCTCACAGGGACTGGGGTCCAGTCTCCCTCCCTCTTTTCCTTCCTTTCTTCATCCTCCAAGAAAGCAAATGGTGAGTCATAAGAAAGGACTCTGTAACTTCAGATAGATCATTTCAGCGGGCATCAGCACGCCCGTCTGAGAGAAGTGTGGATAAGAATAAGGAACTTCCAAACTTTTCTTTTAAACCAACCAATGCCATTTTTCAAATGAAATATTCATCAAGGCAAAGGGGAAACATTGTGGTTGAGGGACCAGGAGGGGGAGCAAGGAGCCTACTCGGGTGGCTGTGACAAAGCACCACAAACAACAGAAGTTCTCTGTCTCCCAGTCTGGAGGCGAGAGCCACAGGATCCAGCATCATCAGGGCTGTTCCTCGTGAGGCCATGAGGGAAGATCTCTCCCCTTTGCTTGTAGATGGCCATCTTCTCCCTTCACATGGCATTCCTTGTAAGCATATCTCTGTGTCCACCTTTCCCCTTTTCACAAGGACACTGGTCACACTGGATGAGGGCCCACCCTAGTGAGCTTGCCTTCACTTGATGACCTCTGTAAAGCCTCTGTCTCCAAAGATGGTCACATTCCGAGTACCTCAGGGTTAAGACTTCAACTTAGGAAACCTGAGGGCACACAATTCAACCCATAACAGAGCCTTTCCTGCTCGGATCCATCCCCTCTGATGGGGGCTTGTAGGACAAAACCATGGAAATGTTCCTGAGCTGTAAAATGGCCAACAGAAAGATGGCAGACAGGCTGGAAAGGGGGAGAAACACAGAGATACAGCCACATGTTGATGCCCAGGGAAGGAGCACCTTTAAAAGGCACCACACCCTTAGGGGCAAGGGCAGGGCTTGGGCTGGGGACTGACTGTGGCAGTTTGTTTGTTGGAAGAATGAGTGACACTAAAGGTACCATCTTCAAGCAACAGTAATCAAAACAGCGTGTCCCTACCATAAAGATAAACTTACAAATCAGCGAAATAGAATTGAGAGGTCAGAAACATACCCTATGTTCTCTCTCTTAGACAGATAGATAGATAGATAGATAAATAGATAGATAGATAGATGCTAGAAAGATGACAGATACATAGATGATAGATATAGATAGATAGATGCTAGAAAGATGACAGATACATAGATGATAGAGATAGATAGATAGATAGATGATAGATAGATAGATAGATAGATAGATAGATAGATAGATAGATAGATAGATGCTAGAAAGATGACAGATACAGGCTGGACACAGTGGCTCACGCCTGTAATCCCAGCACTTTGGGAGGCTGAGGCAGGTGGATCACGAGGTCAGGAGATTGAGACCATCCTGACTAACATGGTGAAACCCTGTCTCTACTAAAAATACAAAATATCAGCCAGGCATGGTGGCACATGCCTGTAATCCCAGCTACTCGTGAGGCTGAGGCAGGAGAATCGCTTGAACCCGGGAGGCAGAGGTTGCAGTGAGCCGAGATCGTGCCACTGCACTCCAGCCTGGGTGACAGAGTGAGACACCATCTAAAAAAAAAAAAAAAAAAAAAAAAAAACCAGAAAAAAAGAAAGATGACAGATACATAGATGATAGATATAAATAGATAGATAACAGAGAGAGTGATATAGCAAATGCGGCAAAATGTTAACAATGGGTGAACCTGGGTGAAGGTTATATTGGTGTTCTTTGTATTAATACTATTTCTGCAAATTTTCTGTAATGTCTGTACATTTGAGCTATAAAAAAAAAAGAATACACGTGGTCTAATATTACTTGTCAGCCTGGGTACAAGGCTCACGTCATCCAAAAATCCAGACCTGGGGACTCCGGCTGGGGAGCAGGAGTGTGTCTCCACTCAAAGGGGTACCTGTTTAAGCAGCTTTTGTGTTCTCACTTACGAAGGGCCAGTCTGCTCATTTAATATTGAAACCTCAGCACTAGAGAAAGCAGCCTGTGGGTTGAGCCTTTGTTTTTCAGTTTTCATCTATTTTTCTCTTTGGAACAGCTTTGATTGAATACCATACAATTCACATATTTAAAGTGCACAATTCAATGGTTTTTAATATATTCACAGAGTTGTGCACTCATCACCACAATCAACTTTAGAACACTCATCACCCTAAAAAGAAATGCTGTACCCTCTAGCTATCACCCCTAGCATCCCCACTCTGCTCCCAGCTCTGGCAGCCACTCATTTCCTGTCTGCGCTATAGATTTGCCTGCCTCATCTGTACGTTTGGTGTGGAATCATATTGTATGCGGTCTTCCATGTCTGGCTTCTTTCACTTAGCACAATTTGGTTGGGGTCATCCATTGTAGCACACACCAGCACTTCCTTCTTCTTGTATAAATGAGCCAAAGATGGCTTCTGGGCAGTGGCCTCTAGGTTGTTCATTTCTTCACTGAAGGCTGAGACCTCTGAGCTCAAAACCCCACTGGCATCAAACTCAGAAATGTACACATCCAGTTGTTTTGAGAACTGCAGAAACAAGCAGATTTTTAGCCGTTTAGGGCCTGCCTGCTTTGCATTCCCCAGGAGACCTCACTCACTACCTGCCGGACACTGATAAGACTGAGCCTCGTGGTTTTAAGAACAGCCCCAAGGTGCTACTACCTTCCAAGGCTCTCGGACCCAGAGACTCCCCTCTGTGCTGCCAAGCAGCAGCTCCTAGGCACAGAAGCCTCCTTTTTGGCCCCCTTCCCGTTTCCCTTGCCTCCTCCCCTTCTGGAAGGTGCAACCCCCCCCCCAAGCCCCCGCCATAAGCTGCTCGAAGGTCTCATGCTGCAAGGGAGTTCCCCACTCATGCAATGTTGTCCCAGCGCCGTCCAGTAAAGCTTGCGTGTGTCACTACCCCTCATGGTCAACTTCTTTTTCTTTGATCAGCCCCCAAATCTCTCAAGCCCTCTACAATTCCTTTTTACTGCTGAATAGCATTCCATTGTACAGACATACCATATTTGTGTATCCATTCATCCACTGATGGACATTTAGTTATGCACACCTTTTGGCTATTATGGACTATGTTACTCTGAACATTTGTGCTGTTTTTGATTGAGCACCTGTTTCCATTTCTCTTGGGTATAGACGTAATGGTAGAATTGCTGGTCATATGGCAACTCTGTTTAATCCTTTCAGAAGCTACCAGCCTGTTTTCCAAAGTGGCTTCACCATTTGCATTCCCATTAGCAAAGTGTATGAGGGTTCCAATGATTCCACCTCCTTGCTAACACTTGTTATTGTCTGACTTTTCTATCCTAGCCATCCTAGTGGGTGTGAGATGGTTTTGATTTCACTTCTCTGATGACTAATGATGCCAAGCATCTTTTCATGTGCCATTTGTATATACCTTCCTTGGAGAAATATCTATTCAGACTTTGTGCTCATTTTTCAGTTGGGTTACTTGGCTTTTTATTATGGAGTTGCAACAATTTTTTACACATTCTCGATACAAGTCCCTTATCAGATATATGATTTGCAAATATTTTTCCCTTTCTGTGCATTATTTTTTCACTTTGTTGATGGTGTCTTTTGAAGCACAAAAAATTTCTAATTTCAATTTATCTATTGTTTTCCTTTGTTGCTTATGCTTTTACTGTTATATCTAAGATACAGACTGTATCTTCATTGCCAAATCCAAGGTCATGAAGATTTACTCCTATGTTTTCCTCTAAGATTTTTATGGTTTTAGACCTTACATTTAGGTCTCTGATCCATTTTGAGTTTTTTTTTTTGGATATGGTGTTGGTTCTTTTGTGTGTGGCTATCCACTTGTCTCAGCACCATTTGTCGAAAGACAATTCTTTCCCTGTCAACTAGCAACCTTGTCCACAATCAATTAAACGTACACATACAGGTATGTTTCTGGACTCTATTCTGTTTTGTTAATTTATGAGTTTATCCTCATGGCATGTGTTAGTCCATTCTTTGTTGCCATAAAGGAATACCTGAGGCTGAGTAATTTATAAAGAAAAGAGGTTTATTTGGCTCATGGATCTGCAGGCTATAGAGGAAGCATAGCACTGGCAATAGCTTCTGGTGAGGCCTCAGGAAGCTTCCAATCATGGCAGAAGGCTAAGGGGAGCCAGTGTGTCACATGGCAAGAGAGGGAGCAAGAGAGAGAAAGAGAGAAGAGCTGCCAGGCTCTTTTAAACAACAGATCTCATGTGAACTCACAGAGTGAGTGAGGACAGCACCAAGCCATTCATGAGGGATCCATCCCCATGACCCAAACACTTTCCACTAGGCCCCACCTCCAGCCCTGGAGGGCACATTTCAGCATGAGATTTGGAAGGCACAAAACACCCAAACCCATATCACATGCTGTCTTGAATGTTGTTGCTCAGGGGTGGAGCCTTTCATGTGACTCATTCCCCCTGCTGATGAGCTCCCAGTCAGGGCCCAGCCAGGTCCTGCCCCTGCCCCTGTGAGAGTGGGGCCTTTTAAAGGTGCTGCTGCCCTGGGTATTAGCACCTGACTATGTCTCTGGCCACATCCTGTGTTTCTTCTGCCTTCCGGCCCTTCTGTTGGTCTTCACAGCTCAGGAGCATCTCCATCAACCCATGGGCATGGCTTCTGAACACCTGGAGCAGTATGAGTTTTGGTGGAGGGCAGTGATCACCCTGACAGCCTGCAGGAGGCAGGGGCTTCCGCCACACTTCCTGATCCCCACCAACACAGGCCTTTGGGGTTGGCTGTACTTGTTCAGCTCTGGTGCAAGAATATAAAAGTTGAGAGACAGAGAAGATATTCCAATAAGAGAAGTTATACCTGAAAGAAAAAGAATATGGCCCAATCCCTCTTAACACTTAGACCACTAGCTGTCAAATATCCCTAGCCTTCCATCCTTTCAAAGGGAGGTCAGAAAAAGATGCTGAGAAGCAAATCCATTCATCCTCGGGAGTATCATGGCTTTAAGAACCTTCCTCAATCTGAAACTTTTCTTCAAAGAGAACGTTTACAAACTCTCTAGAGAACACAATAGAATCTAAAACTGGAAAGACACCTGAAAAGGGGAGAAGATTGCTATCTTCAGGAGAGAAGTACCAGGGAAAAGACACCTCCCAAAAGAGTGCTTTTCACACAAATGAGGGACAGGCAGAGGGCTTGGATTGTATGTCTCCAGAACGAGGTCACTCAGGCGCTTTGCTGGGAAGTGAGAAGACCTTATATGATCTGGGGATGTCTTTAACCAAAGGATCACTGGCGATGGTTATGGACACAGAAAGCGTTGGCTAATCTATGTCATCTGGAGCCCAGCTGGAAGGGATGCGGGTGCAGGCAGAGAGTCCAATGACACCCTGAAGGGCCTCTTTGTTTCCTAGACTAGGAAACAGCATTATCATTTTGCAAATAGGAAGTGAAACATAAGGAAGGCAGAGACCAATGCCTGGCTGAAGTTGTAAGATCAGAATTCCAGAATCTGTACCAGCACTATCACCACTAGCCCCACCCTTAGAGGTAAGGGAGAGGGCACAGAAGGGAAGAATGTAAAGCCATAGAGAAAAGGTCATGGCACACAGGGCTGGCTTACACAGACCTGCCATGTCCAGAGAGGCTCATCTCAGGTCCCCAGTCTTCTATGCTGAGACGCTGGGGCCAGTCTTTTTCCCCCCCTTGCCTTTAACAGTGCCTTATTTCCAGTAAGCACTAGGAGAGTCCAGGGCTGCAGTGAGGAATTGAAGAGTGGACTTGAGGGTCTCCTTTGCACAAGGATCAAAGAATGCAAGATGGCGAGGGCCCCTGTGGCTGTGCTCTGTGGTGGTCCTGGGGCTTCAGTCTGTTTCTAAGGTGTTGCAGGCAGGGATTTTCTTTCATACCATAACATTTTTTTTAGATGATAAATACATGTTCATTTTAAAAATGTGTTAAATCAAGTTTCACCTGAAGCTGCCTCCTTAGCTATTTTTAGTTTGGCCTAAAGGTTTTTCTGTACATCGTGAACTATAACAAGTATAGGTGTAAACAGACCTTAGCCTCCACTTGTACTAATCACCGAGTTTTGGCCAATCAAATGTAGCTGTTTGAACTCTATTCAAATAAGGCAAATGCCAAGCTGTAACCAATCTGGCTGCTTCTGTGCCTCACTTCTGTTTTCCGTAGGTCACTTTCCTTTTTCTGTCCATAAGTCTTCCACCACGTGGCTGTGCTGGAGTCCCTGATCCTACTCTGGCTGGGAAGGCTGCTCCATACCTGAATCACTCATTGCTCAATTACACTCCTTTAAATTTAATTCAGCTGAAGTTTTTCTTTTATCAAATGCAAATAAGCAAAAGGATAATGACAGTTACCTGGAATCCCACCTGCCAAGTTAACTATTTGTGTCATTTTCATACCTTTTCTTCATGACTTAAAAATACACACATGCATGTACACACACACACATATGATTTCTTCAAAAAATGGCATCTCACTACAATGCTCTTTTGTAAGTTTTTTTTTTTTTCATTCAGCTATATATGACGAATATCTTCCCATGTCAACTGGAGTCTTCCACGCATCCTTGTTTAGGCTGCTGAATGTTCCCTCCAATGGATGACGCATCTCAACCTTCTAGTGACGGTGCACCAGACTAATCATTATAAGTTGAGCAACACATTTTTGCCTCTCTTGCACACAGTTTACAACTTTTCTCAATGAAACAGAGGCCTAGAAAAAGGAGGACCAGCAAAAATAGTGGTCCCATGCCAGGCAAACACTGAATCCTGTTTACGAATTCCTTGTTTTTGATGGTTCCCTTAAGCTCCAGTGAAACCTATGGCTTCCCTGAAATAGATAATACTTAGTGATCTGCAAGGTATAGCATTGCTATATAGTTGTTACAATAATAATAATAGTACTGTTATTATACATTAAGTTCTGGGCTTTGAGTCTATAGTGGAAACCTATAAGAAGCTTTAGAATTACACAAAGCGGTAGGCCTGCTTCACATGAGCCACAGATGTGCTCCTGAGAGTTTGGGACAATCTAAGTGTTTAATGGCTCAAATCATACATTTCCACTTAAACTTGGTGATATGGTTTGGCTCTGTGCCCCCACCCAAACCTCATTTTGAATTGTACTTCCATAATTCCCACGTGTTATGGGAGGGATCCGGTGGGAGATAATTGAATCATGGGGGAGGTTTCCTCCACATCGTTCTTGTGGTAGTGAATAGTCTCACAAGATCAGATAGTTTTATCAGGGGTTTCTGCTTTTGTGTCTTCCTCATTCTCTCTTTGCCTGCTGCTGTCCATGTAAGACATGACTTGCTCCTTCTTGCCTTCCGCCATGATTGTGAGGCTTCCCCAGCCACGTGGAACTGTAAGTCCAATTAAACCTCTTTCTTTTGTAAATTGCCCAGTCTTGGGTATGTCTTTATCAGCACTGTGAAAATGGACTAATACACTTGGAAATGGCTAAGTTCCCTTTTTAAATTGGTTTTCAATTTTCCCTGCTCTTAATACTTTAAAATTCTCCCAAGAAGTTAAGGCTGGGTGAACATTAAACCTTCCAGAAGAACATGCTAAAGGGTCGTCCACGTGCAGAGAGTCCTTGTGTGCTGCTTCTGTCACCCCCAGACCCACTGTCCACCTGCCAGCCCCCTTCTGCCCTGGAAGCCTGCCCTGCATGGCTGCATGGACTGCACTCTACAACTCCTGGGCCCTCTGGCTTCTGGGTGGGTTTGGCCAGGGGCCGGGGGAGCCCCAGCAGGAGTTCAGGGGGAGAGAGGAAGGTGAGGCTTCTCATTGCTCTGCATCCCCCGACTCTGTAAAATCACCTGTGGAGGGGCTGTCCTCCTCACAACTTTCTCCTTCCATGTTTCAGTTCTGATAACCTCTCCCTCCCTCACCCCGCTGGATCTGGTGCGAGTGACAGCTCACCTGCTGTGGCCTGGGGTTCCTGCATGGCTCCCCTGCACCTGCCCACACCTTGTAGGTAGTCCGTATATAGAGAAACTCTCCTCTATGATGCTAATTTGAGTGTGCCTTCTGCTTCCTGTTGGGACCCTGCCTGATAAGGTCTGGAGAGTTTAGAAATCCTTTGACAGGAGAATGTGCCTTACCTCAATTTACCAGCAGCTTGAGGGCTTGAAGCCAGCAGAAGCTTTGCTACTTCTCACAAAGTCTCTGCAGAGTTAGGGATAAGGGCACATGAAAGAGGCCGCTCACAACCTAGACAATTTCTACTTTCCCACCTGGCAAGAAAATTCACTTCTACCTCCTGATCCCACATTGATTTGGTGGACATGGCTGTTTTTCGTTATCCCCAAAAGTCATATGCCTGTTTACCCATGTGTGTATGCCAGAGAGAGGTCCACTGCTCAGGTCACTTAAATCCTCTTCAAATGTGCGTTGCCCCTCATGCTGCGGGGGAGGAAACAGACCCAAAGAGGAAGAGGATCTGCCCTGAATGAGCTGCCAGCTAGCCGTAACCCTAGGAATAAAACCCAGGTGCACCTGACCCAAACTGGAGACGGCTGGACAACAGAACTGGCCTGTTAGCTGGGTGCAATCAGCCAGGCAGGAATGATGGTTACTTCTCCACACTGCCAACAGGATCACCTCCCAGTGAGCTGGACCTGATGAAGTAAGGGGCAACCTCCTATTGACCTTCACTACAGAGCCCTGGCTGTAGGAGATACCCAGGCGATATGGGTTGACTTGAATTCATCATTTATTTCAAAGCAGAGGGCAAAGGAGCTGGAAGAGGTCAGAGCTAGTTTGCAGACACAGAAAACCTCACTTCCTGGTGGATTCTTTCTAGGAGGTGCATTTCACAATGGCTGTTTCACCTCTTAGTAACCTGGCAGCTTCCACAGGGCCTTACTGCACACGTTCTGAGCGCCAGGAAAAATGATTCCTCTCACTGCCAACCATGGTTTTTAATATGTGAGCATATGGCTCTGCTGCTTCTTTTCAATCTCCCTCCACTAGTGCTGAGCTACGGCACTGGGGAGGAAACCAGAAACGCAGAGTGGGTTTGTCTGATTTGTCCAAGGGTGTATTTTAGTATTGGTAGCAGAATTCCCTCCGCTCCCCTCCCCTTTCCTCCCTCCCTCCCTTCCTTCCTCCCTCCTTCTTTCCTTCCCCGCTTCCCTCCTTCTTATTCTCTCTTTCTTCTTTCCCTTGAGAGACACTGCAGCCATGTGGGTGGGTGGGCAGACAAGTGGGTGGATAGTAAGATGGAAGAGGGAGTTTCCTTCTTGGGATTCTCATAATTGGTGTGTGATTGACATTCCATTCATCTGGAGGACTGTGATATTAATCGGAAACAGCTTGAGCTGAAACTGCCTCTAGTGTCACAAACATGCTGAACTCGGGCAGGGTCTTCTGTCTCCCTTCTTACTGAGCGACTCCTTCTCTATTTTAAACAACACTCTCTCCAAGTGTCCTTCGCCTCGAGTAACCAGAACATGCAGTTTTTCTCATTTAAACTAAAAAGAACCCTAAACCGTACAGTGGAATGTACAGTGAAATTCCAGGTGCCTCTCCACACAGGAAACTTTTAATTGTTGTACACTGGCAGAAAAAGGTTCACTCCTAAATCAGTAAAGATGATGTGCTCCCTACTTACATAAAAGGAGTTTTTCTACACCCACAACTCCGGCCCTTGCTGATTTCACCTACTTCATATTAGAGATCACTGCAAACCAGCACACGGCCATTCCAGTTTACTCTTGATTGTGGCTGTATTGTATTCCATGGCATGGTTCTATTTAATTTGTTCAACCACTTTTCTACTAATGATCTTAGTCAGCTAGGGCTGCTCTAACAAATACCACAGACTGGGTGGCTTGAAAAATAGAAATGTATTTCTCACAGTTTGGAGCCTGGGAAGTCCGAGATGGAGGCACCAGGAGACTTGGTGTCTGGTGACGGTCCTCTTCCTGTTTTGCAGACAGACGCCTTTTTGCTGGTGGAGAAAGAGTCCCTCCTCTCTCTTCTTATAAGGGTGAGAGGTGAGGCCAGCTGGACTTCCCAGGTCAAGTGAGGACTTGGGGAACTTTGCTGTCTTACCAGAGGATTGTAAAACGCGCCAATCAGCGCTCTGTGAAAGGCACCAATCAGTGCTCTGTAAAATGCACCAATCAGCACTCTGTAAAAAGCACCAATCAGTGTTCTGTAAAACGCACCAATCAGCAGAATTCTAAAAGTAGCCAATCGCAGGGAGGATTGAAAAAAGAGCACTCTGATAGGACAGATACAGAACATGGGTGGAGCCAATAAGGGAATAAAAGCTGGCCAGCCCCCCCCGCCCCCTTCACCCCCCCAGCCAGCCAGCCAGCCTTGGCAACCTGTTGAGGCTTTCTCGCAGTTGGTGTGGCTCTCCACAAAAAACCTTGCTACAGCTCATTCTTTGGGTCTGTGCTATCTTTAAGAGCTGTAACACTTATGGAGAAGGTCCAGCAGCAAGACCACGAACCCGGCAGGAACCAACTCTGGACACAAGGGCATTATTAACCCTGTCACCTCCTAATCCCCTCCCAAGGGTCCCCCTCCAAACACCAGCACAATGGTGGGTAGGCTTTCAGTATATGGATTTGGGGGACACAAACACCCGATTCACAGCATGTCACTTGGGTGCTTTGCAGTTTTTCATGGAGCTTGATTTACATGGGAGCTCCAGGGGTGGAAGAGTGTTCTCCCCGGAATGTGGGGCCTGGCCGTCCCTGCTGGAAGTCTTCCCTGATGTTGCCCTGCTTCTGGAGTCCACAGCCAGTGGTTGAGCCCACAGACCCTTGGCGATGTCACGGCTCGCAGTGAGGCCCCGCCCGTGGTGAGGGAACAGGGCCCAGGGGTTGAATGTGAAGGAGCCAGATAAAGGTGCTTGGGTTGCTGGGTTCACAAGTTGGGCTAACATCGGAGGAGCCTCCAGAGAGCGGGGAGAACCCACTTCTGAAAGCCTGAAGATACAGGCTCTAGTCCCGCCTCTATCGAAGAGTGAAAAATGTCGGGCTCGGCTGACACACTCCTCACGCTCCAGCTCTGTGGTCTCAGGCCACACCTGTCCTGCCTTTCCTCTTCCCCAGCTACCGCACAGTGGGGTGGGAAGCTCCTGTGCTAAGCCCTGCCCCAGCAGCATTCATACTGAGGTGCTTCTCTGAGAAATCCTAGCTGGAGATTCTCTCCCTCCCACGCCCTCTCTGCCTTCCTTCCAGCCACACTCTTCTAATTGTTTCTGCACTCTTCCTTCAGAATCGAAGTGAGGTCAGCAAATCGTGACTGAGCACCTGCTCTGTGCAGCGCCCTGCTTTTCCCTTTTCTCTGTAGGCTTTCAAGTTAGGTGTGGAGGCAGTAGTCTAAGATTCCAAGGTCCGTGGTTTCCCTTTGGGCCGCAGGGGTAAGAAGTCTGCTTCCAGTGGTCTCCGAGGACGGCCCATGGGGGACCGTGGGGGATGGACGCAGCAGCACAATCACAAGACGCCCCTTCTGACCTGAAGGTTGGCCCGCCGGAGGGATGACCAGCCGGGGGTCAGGCACGTCCTGTGTGCCTTGGCTGCCTCCTGCCATCTGGCGACTCTGGCATCGTGATGAGCGTGGGGTCCACGTGGACGCAGCTCTGAGTTTGTCTGAGGGCAGGGAGGCCTCACGCTGCCCAGGGTAGGGTTACGGGAGGCTTGAAGGGGAGGGGCTTAGAGGACCCTGCGGGATTAGTTGGGAAGACCCAACCAGGAGGTGTATGCAGGGGGGAAATGTCAGGTGGTCCCCATCACCCACCTCACCAGTCCCAGGGGGCGGTATGGGCTTCCCCAGGCCTCCAGCTGCCTCCAGCCTGAGGATGTCTGCAAACTGCTCCAAAGTTTGAGTTGCAGTAACAATGGTCCCCATTCACTGAGGAGTCCCCAAGGCCAGGCACTAAGTCAGGCCCTTTTGTAAACCCCTCAGTGAGATGTCAATGCCCACATTTTATAGACGGGGAAAAGAGGAGCTCGGATGTAAACTATGCCCCGGGAACGCAGAGCATCCCGGGAGCCCGCCCCAGAGGAAGCCTGGTTAGCAGCCTGGGGTGGGAGGAGGGGGTCCTGGCCGAGCGGAGGCGGTCGCCTTAGCAAAGCCCTTCAGGCCCTGTCCTCTTTGAATGGGGCTATTTGTCCGTGAACCCATAATATCGGAGCAGACTGAACTTCCTGGCAAACTTTTTGGCAGGGTTTCCCTAATGGAATCTCCAGAGAGAAGAAGTCCCCTGTCCTCCTGGCGTCACTCGTAACCTCCGGCCTGCTCCGCTCCAGGCTGTGCCCAGGGCGCCCTGCCCAGGGAGCTTGTTTGCTCTGGCAGACAGGGAGCCCATTCAGGCCCTCGGTGGCACCCGGTGAGTCTGTCCCGGAGGCCTGGCTGGGCTCCGGCTGGCTCAGGGGGACCTGGCGGGGCCTCCAGAAGCCTCCTTTGGCTCGGGTGGGGCGGGGGCGCTGACTTGACTCTGGCCCATGAGAACGACTGACTTTACAGTTCCGTCTTGCTCCATAAACCAGAAAGCCACTTCCAGCTGGTGGTATGAAGTCTGGTGGGCGGGTGTCTGGTGCCATCCTGTCCGGGCAGGGAGGGGTCCAGCCTGTGGTCTGTCGCAGGCCGATTTTACAGGCCGCCCGTCACCCGGAGCGGGAGCTCTGGCCGTGTCCACAGGGATAATATTTGTTGTACCTGATCCCGACTTGGGACGCCCACAGCTTCCCAGCTTAGCATTTTAATTACGCTGCCATCAGAGAGCTTTCTTTTTCTACAAATAGGGGGTGCCTAGACTTTTATTTTTCAAAGGGTGGGAAACACTAGGTTAAGCTTAAACCACATCTGATTATGAAGAGGCTGTGAGTGATTCCACAGCCAGCCACCACCCAGACTGCCCTGGGTGAGGGCGGCAGCGAGGGCTCTGGCCCGGAGCTCCCCCAGGGTCCCTAGTTCCAGCTCTGAAACAGCGAGAGAGCTTGCGGCCTGGGCTGGCCCCGCACGGGGACAGCAGGCCCACCTGCGGGAACACGGGCAGCTTCGCCGCGCTCCTGACTTCTTGCCTTGTTGGCTGAGCGGTTCACGAATAGCTGAAGGCTGGGATGTTTAAATATTAAAAATGCTTAGCTAAATAAGCTGGCCTGTTTGCTTTTGCTGATAGTCACAGTCTACCCACAGAGCCCTTTCAAACCTCGTCAGTGTTTTGGAAAGTGGATAAGGGACTCATTCAGTGAGGCTCAGGTTTACCCTGAGCCAGGAATGAAGCATGTATTTCATGAAATAAGGACTAGCCTGAGACCACACACACAGGCGGCTGAACTCCAGCGGCCTCCCTCCCCTCCTTCCCCTCTCCCCCCCAACCTCCTCCTCCCTCTCTTCCTCCCCTTCTCCCTTTTCTCTCTCTCTCTCTCTCCCTGGCCCTGACAAACCGGCCATGACTGACACCAGGAAACCCGTAATCGGCGTCAGAGGGGGGTTTCCAGGGCTTAGGGGGCCCTTTGTTATCCTGGAGCTGATGAAAAAATGGATTACGACAGTGTGTGCAGCCCATACTAAAGAGAGCTCACAAAAAAGCCAGGGCCACCTCAACACGGCTTCTCAGAGAAGAAAACGTTGCAGCCAAATGGAATTGTTGAAATCACCTTTGTGTGGGAGGAAAGAAAAAAAAAAAAACACCTCACACATTTTCCCCAAGAATAAGGCTGGTTTTGTCACAACTTGCCCCTAGTTCAGCGGGTCTGGTAGATGCCCCCACCCACCGGGCCCTGCGTCCCCAGCACAGCCTGAGAAGCCTGGCCGGCCTGGCTGCATGGAGCAGTTGCTTATGTCAAATCCGTCACTGTGGGACACAGGGGAAACATGAGGTTATTAGGAGGAGGCTTCTTCGAGGACACACTGGGGCCACGTTACTTGCCCTCTCCTTGCCATCGCCCTCCCTGACTACAAACTTCAAGCCCAGCGAACTGCCTCTGACTGGGCGCTGTTTGAAGTTTGGGAGATGTGAGGCTTTCTTTTTTTCTTTTTGAACTTTTATTTCAAAGTAGGCTCCCGTCTATTCAGGGAGAATGAGGCACTTAAATTCAAGAAATATTTATGGTGCTTCCTAGGTACAATGAACCAGGGTAAATTTTGCAGGGGGAAGGGTGAGGGCAGGGACTGGGCAGGGTGACAGGGGCACAGCCTAGCCCCTGCAGCCCCCAGGGCCTATTGAAATGCTGTAGGGGGCTCCTTATTAAAGGAACATTACCCCAAATCTGCAGCCCATGCCGACATCAGCACTGCATCTGGCTGGCAAAGCTAGCAACGATGTGTCCTGGCTCTTGTTTTCCTTGCCATCCGCTCCCCGCCCCTGTGGGGTTGGGATTGAAGTCCCTTCCGAAGGCCCCAGGGTGCTTCAAGGAGAGTGGCTGGAGTGGCTTGGTGCCTTCTTTCTTCTTACACGCATGCTTTTTGAAATGAGATGTTTTTGCCAAAGACAAGTAAAAAGTGGGGCGCGCTCCGGAGTTCTGGTTTGGTTTGAAATGAAGAACCCACCCAGCTCTAGGGTGTCTCAACGGGGCACGCAGATCTCTGACCTCAAGCAGGGCCACCGGTCAGGAGAAAGCGTTCTTTCTCCTGAGCTTTCCCGGGGGTTTCCCGAAGCCACCTCAGAGTCTGTGACCGCCCCGGCTTCTCCAGCCCACAGCAGAAATCACAAAGAAGGAACAAGGGACGACACAAAGGTTTTCCCTCCACCCATCCCCTTCTTGGGCTGAGAGGCCGCCTGCCGCCTCTGTTGCGGGCACCACCACCCATGATCAGCTCAGTCCTCTTCCAACCCCAGAGCTGCTCCTTAATCCTCCTTGAGGTAAAAACAAACTGTTTTTCCTTTGCTCTCACCCCAGAGAAACTGACACAGATGACTTCTGTGACCAGCAAGCAGTCAATTCTGCAGCATGGCGGGGCGTCCTTTAATTCAATTCAATTCCAACACTATCTACCTAGAGACAGCGGTGGATCCCACAGGTCGAGGGCTCAGTCCCACAAAACTGCCCTCCATTTCCGAGGTGGATCGCAAGCCCCTGATTGCCTACCCTGTCTTTCTGACCAGCCACCTATAAATCGAGGTTCCCACCATGTCCTCCATGGGTTTGATTATTTTGCTAGAGAGGATCATAGAACTCAGGGAGACGCTTAAATTTACCAGTTCCTGATAAAGATATTGCTAAGGATACAAATGGAGAGACGCATAGGATGAGGTGTGGGGAAGAGGCGCGGAGCTTCCGTGCCCTCCCACAGGGCAGCCATCCTCCAGGAACCCCTTCGTGTTCAGCTGTCCAGAAGCTCTCCAAACCCTGTCCTTTTGGATTTTTATGGAAGCTTCATTATGTAGGCAGGATTGATTAAACCATTGGCCACTGGTGGTCAGCTTAACCTTCAGCCCCTCTGCCCTCCCTCTAATCCTGCCTTGGTCTTTCACCAGCTCCATCCTGAAGCTACCTAGGGGCTGCCAGCCATCAGCCCATTCATTAGCATAGAAAAGACAGCACTTCGGAGAGTCTAAGGATGTTAGGAGTTGTCTGCCAGGGAACCTGGTTGAAGATCACATATATATTTTACCATACCAAAGTGCACCTCAAGTCTTCGAACACAGATCCCCTTAAATTGAAAGGATAAACAACTCAGATACTGCCATATCAGTGGAACCCAATTCAGTCCATCAGATTGTATGAATGTCTGCCAGGGCAAGGCCACTCGGGTTTGCCAGTTTCCAGTCCATCTTGTCAGGTTCCAAAAGCGAGTGGTCTTGGCACACACATGGCTTCACGCTTTCAGGCATCTGGGATCACTGAGCTAAGAGACAGTACAGTCTCTCGCTCTGAGCCTCTTTCAAGGTGTTCATATAATATTGGATTTCCCTGTATTTATAATTCATTGATTCATTTCTTTACTCCCAGCTACCATTCCTTCTCTCTCCATTAATACCCAACTTTTCCACCTTTGGAAGGGACATTAGAATCTGCCATTGTGCTGGTGTATATTGCAGACAGCAATACTAGTAACTCCTCCTCAGTCCTCTTTCACCCAGATAGAATAAGGTGACATAAGTACTACAGAACTACCCATGTGTAGCCCTCAGGGCCACCCCATCAGTCTCACTTGCCAGCTGTGTTCAGGGCCTTCCCACCACGGAACCTATCCCGGAGCCATCGGCAGTGTCTTGTCTGTCTTGCGGGCAGACAGAACAGTTCTTACTGGCATCTTGTGCCTGAGAGGGTGCAAGAGGAACGTGTCTAGACTCAGCCCATCTCTGCGCTGCTGTAGTTCCCATAGCCACTCATTTCACGGAGCCAGGTGGCCACCCTGAGTGAGAACAGCAAACAGGGATATCTGCCAATTCCAGGCGACTTTCCAACCTGGAAGGGAGATTTTCTGATGGGTGTTTGATGTGTTGCTTTCATGCAACCCTCAGATTTCCACAGGGCCGGGCCCCATACGGGCATCCCTTTAATAGACCAGGTTTCCATTGCCCCTCTGCCTGACCATGTCGCCAGGCCATTGGCCACTGCCCATGAGTCAGTGAAAACCAGACACAGAGGCTTCGCCACCGCTCAGTCACTGCTAGGAAAGCAGCATGCAGGTCGGCCACCGAGCTGATTTGCTTTTAACTTCCTTGATCAGAGTGGCAGCTTCCAAACAGAATGTTGTCCCCCTGCCTGGAACTGCCATTCACGAACCAAGCAGTGCTTTGCTGGTCAGTTGAGAGCTGGTTATAGGGCAAGATCCAGGTGTCAGTAGGATCCAGCCACTCCTACAACTCCTCACTCTAGTTCCAGAATGAGGCCGAGGGGAAAAGAGGCCCCTTGCTTGGGGTGTCTCCTCGCATTCTTTCCCCAGGTAGCAGGATCCAGTAGAAACCATTTCCATTTCATTATGGAATGCTCCCGGGCACTGCTATTCCCATTAGAGTGTTTATCTGACGTCACCCAAGACGTCGTGGGTATTTCGGGTTTCAAGACCATTTTATGTCCTTCAGTCATAGAGGTAGCTTCAATTAATGTCCCATAGCAAGGCAGTAATACCCTCAAGTCAAAATTCTCTGGTCCAAAGTCTCAGCAGTTGTCGGTGGGAGGCACTCACAGGCTTTTGCCATAAGCTCCAGTTATAGTTCACAGAGGACTTCAAAATAGGCCATCTGTCCCTCCCAGCAGTCCAGCCTCTATTCTTCACTGTGTGGGTTTGGGCAATCTTACTGTTCCCACAAGCATGTCCAATTCATATTGCTCTAAGGGTAGATTTGCATGCTTTCCATTTTACAGTACAAGGCAGGGAGAACATTCCCCAGGCAGATACAATATCCATCCCCATAATACAATCAGATAAAAGAGACGCAACCGCTTCACATGAAGGGTGTTCAAATACACCACCTCTCCCATGCAGGTTTAACTTAATTCCATCCAGCCTGACTTTCTTAACTGTAGCCTCCACTCGGACTTTATCAACATGTTCTGGTTTTACAATACTGGGTAGGAAAAGTGTTCCCCAACCAGATACAATATCCATTCCTATGAAACATCCAGGTAAAGGAGGCAGAAATTATTTGTTTTGAGACAGAGTCTCGCTCTGTCGCCCAGGCTGGAGTGCAGTGGCACGATCTCAGCTCACTGCAACCTCCACCTCCCGGGTTCAAGTGATTCTCCTGCCTCAGCCTCCTGAGTAGCTGGGATTACAGGTGCGTGCCACCACGCCCGGATAATTTTTGTAGTTTTAGTAGAGACGGGGTTTCACCATGTTGGTCAGGATGCTGCTTTCGAACTCCTGACCTCGTGATCCGCCCACCTCAGCCTCCCAAAGTGCTGGGATTACAGGCATGAGCCACCACGCCCAGGCAGAACCTCTTTAAATAAAATCTGTTTAAACATTCCCACTGCCATAACCCTACCAGCCCTAACATGCGTATATTCTGTCGGTCTAACTAGGGCCCTCGTCAGGGCCTCCCCTGTGGATTTCAGTACCACAGTGTGTGGAGTTCTCATTTCAAGGAGACCCAGGAATTTCTCTTCACCACTCCCTGGCCATTTTACCCACTTGTGTGCCTAAGTGGGTCCCTAGCAGGGGTTGAGTCAAGGGACCCTTGCTTAGTTTTGTCAGTCTTTATCTTGATGAACTTGCGGAATTGCCCAGACAATTTCAGATCAGATTTCTCACTGTCATGTTTGCTTCTGACTTCTTAAATTTCTCCAAACTGGGGGAAATAACAGCAAACTTTAGTTTGCTAAACTAAAGTGATCTTAATTGAACAAAAACTGACATTGGTTGAATAACAAAAGACTTCTCGGGGTTTTTAATCATTAAAAAAAATGCCACCCTCCTTCAATATTTGTAGATGTCCAGCAATATCTACTGTGTCTCTGCTAGTATTTTCCATTTTTCATCTCTAGAAATTTCTGGAATCTGCTAGTACTCTCTGCAGTACGAGTCTAAAAGAACACAACATTGGCCAGGCACCATGGCTCATACCTGTAATCCCAGCACTTTGGGAGGCCGAGGCGGGTGGATCACGAGGTCAGGAGTTTGAGACTGGCCTGGCCAATATGGTGAAGCCCCATCTCTACCAAAAATATAAAAATTAGCTGGGTGTGGCTGCACGTGCCTGTAGTTCCAGCTGCTTGGGAGGCTGAGGCATGAGAATTGCTTGAATCTGGGAGGTGGAGGTTGCAGTGAGCTGAGATTGCACCACTACACTCCAGCCTGGGAAATAGAGCAAGACTCTGTCTCAAAAAAAAAAAAAAAAAAAAAAAAAAAGAACACAGCATTTAGAACCGCATTGAGATTCATCCACAGCCACAGGTGTTTAGATGTTGAGGATAGGAAGAGAAAGGCCTGTTCTGGTCTCCCTGTCTGTAGGCATTTGCTTCCTGACCACTGTGGTGGCATGGCAGCTGGGGCTCAGCCTGCGTCTCACCTACCTTCTGGCTTATCTCCCTGATACGCAGGGGCTGGAATGCTCAGCAACTTCACCAAACATTTTTGTACCTGAGCTTTTGTGTGTGAGTTGGAATTAGCCACTCAGTTATATTTGCGACAGATTTAGAAGGTAAGAGTGGGGTGGGGTCAGTGTCTGCAGTTTTTTGGCAAGTTCATGGATATCTATCTAGAAGGCATGAGGGCCTCTGTTTAGCTGGGTCATGTGATTTCTGGAGCCTGCAGCAGCCGTGGCTGTTTCTTGATTACAGAAGAGACAGCTGCTTCTTGGTGGCTTGCTTCTACTGAATGGGTTTGGGAATCATCCCTGAAAGCTCAACCTCAAGTTGGTTTTTTTAGCCTTCCCATCAGTTCTATCAGTCATTTTGCCTAATTAAGCCCAACTCATGTAAACTAGCTAGAGTGAATTCTGTTCTCTGCAACTGAGCCTGCACTGACCCAGCTATTCTATTAGGTCTCTATTTTGAATGTCTGCTATGAGTTCACATCGTACTGGACAAGAAGGGGCCATCAAAGAAGCACAATAATCACTTGCAATGTGCCACACCAAAGTTAATTCAATCCTCTCCACAGCCATATGAGCTAAGTACTATTATTATCATACGGAAGAGGAAACTGAGTTACAGATGGATTAAAAGACTTGCCTGAGGTCTCACTCAAACAGAAAGAGGCAAAGCCATCCTCGTCCCTACCCAGTGTGGCTCCAGGTCCTACAGTCTTTACTGCCACCCTTTATGACCCTCCCAGTTGGTCTAATAGTGCGATTATTTTGCACAGAATTAGCCCAAACACCATAAAGTTTGCAGTTATGAAGTGGTATCGGACGCTCTGATTATGAAACTAGTATTTGTTCAACTCAATTAGAGGGTTTATAAATCACATCTGAGAAACTTTCAAAGCTCTGACAGTCTCAAACAAGGGTCATCAGAGACCTCCCTCTGATTAGATTTCTCCTCATGGAGCATTCCCCAACACCACCCCTCATGAGAATGATCCTCATAAGCAGCCCATTTGCTCTTAGAAATGAGTTTCCCATGTTCTGCACTTGAAGCCTGGAATCGTAACCAAATAGTTGCTATTATAAAGATATTTTCAGTGTGTTTCTGCCCAGGGATGGGAATGTGCATCTTACACCCTGCCCAGTTTCTGCTTTCTTTGCAGGGGAGAGTAGTGGTGGAGCCGGGGGGCATGGCTTTTCTCCCCAGTCCTCCATGGAGACCATTTATCACTATTGGAAGAGTTGTATGTTTCTGTGGTTGCTTGGTCCTCAGTTTCGAGTTGCAACAGACACTCAGACTTCTGCAAAATTCTATTTATTTTCCACATGGAATGCAATTCAACCCTGATGGCTTCTATAGAGCTAAGTCATAGCCCTATTAATAATAGAATCCTTGGAGCCCACTGGCACCTGCAGCCTGGCCATCGAGGGAATTGAGAGCTCAGGTCTATGATGTCATTTCCATGTCTGAGCTCCTGCCCCGGACCCATGTCCTGCTCTATCCAGTACAAAAGGAAGCTATGCTAACTTGACAGAACTACAAAATGCCAAAACCATGCAAAAGAATGCAGCCCAGCCCGGGGTGTAGCGCTCATCTGCTAAATATGAGATCCTTTCCCGGAGTGAGGCCTCTAAAAACAAGGTCAGTGGGAAAGCCGAAGCTACCTTAGCCAGGGAGGGGCCGATGGCGCCGTGACAAACTCGCCAGCGGTTACCTCAGACAATGTAAATACAAACCTGGGGCTCATGTTTATTTAAAGTTATTGGCATCGGGCTCGTTCTTGGTAGACAAAGATTATCTTGTTTACAGCGGCATCCAGATGATGGACAAGACTCTGTATAATATAAATCCAGCTCTGCAGAGGGGGCCCATTAGCATAAACAACTTCCCTCAAGACAAACAAACCCTGCCAAGGCTCAAGCTGGAATTCATTTATTATACAGCTTCAAGTTGACTTGTCTCAACATTAAACAACTACAAAAGCAAAGGGATAAAACTGATGGCCGAGGGCACGCCTCGCCTCTCCTTTCACTTCTAGAGTGTTTTGCAGAAGGCGTTTCTTTCTGGCTTTGTTATGGAGTAGTGTCTCTGCAGATGCCGTTGCTCCTGTCATCTCCCCATGAGGTGTGGCCATGGGCCACGCATACGGACATAAGAGTCATGGCAGGGGGCAGGGACCACCCAGGAGTCACCATTGTCCTTGTGAAAGCCCTTGGCCTTGTGGATAGGCCTGGACTTAGGAACCTTAGTGGGGTTAAGCACATAGGGACAGATCCCAGGATTTCGGGGGAGATATGCAGAGCTCCGAGGGCACCAGCGCCTGGCTATGAGCTCTGCCAGTTTAGATTCAGACTTGCCTGGAATCAGAGGCCAGGCCTTCATGAGAATTGGTTCACACGAGGAACCGTGGGCCTCCTGAGAAGACTCACCTAAGGGCAGAGAGGATCTAGCCAACAAGCTAGACCCAGAGAAAGCAGTGACTCCAGGTCACGTCTCGTGACCACAGCAGCAGAGACTTCCAGTGGGAGAGTCGTGCCCAGGGAGGACGTGACGCCCAGAAAAAGGGGACAAGGACATGAGCAGGAAGAGTGCAGAGGCTGGCGGCCATCACAGCTGGGAGGTCCCCAGGGAATAAAGAGCTATTGTGGGGGTGCTTGGGGGGGGGCAGGACTGTGTTTCTTGGAGACCCAGTTTCTCTGAGGGCTTCTCTACCTTTGCTCTCTGTTTCTCCTCTAGATAAGGACCATGTCTTTTTTTTTTTAATTAGAGATGGGGCTTGCTATATTGCCCAGGCTGGTCTTGAACTCCTGGCCTCGAGTGATCCTCCTGCCTCAACCTCCCAAAGTGCTGGGATTACAGGTGTGAGCCACCATGCCCGGCCTGGACCACATCTTTATCTGGTGTCCCTGGCATCCTGCAGATAGTAGATTCGACACTGTGGAGTGACTCAGCACCAGCCCTGCCGCTTGCCTGTCCACTGTAGCCTGCTCTGTCTTGGCCACACCATCCTCTGTGCAGCCCTGGGGGACAGAGACCCTTCTCACTCCCTGTCTTCTGCAGCCAGAAGGAGTGGAGCTGGCCTTCAGAGTCTTCTCTTGGGTGTTTACAGGCAGCTGTGCCTCCTGTCTTTGGGAAAACCTCCCTGCAGGGTCAAGCCACCCCAAGAGGCCACCTTCACCACCTGTAATCTCTAGTCCCCACCACTCCCCCGTAAGTTGAGGCCTTAGGCACTGGAAGGTGTGTCTTTCTCCCCAAGCCAAGTCCCACTGCCACCCTGGCTACCCTGGCTGGCTTCACTGTCCAGGGGTCACGACTCTACTGACCCTCCCCCTCCCCAAACTTTGCCACACCTTGAGCCACATCCACCCAGAAACGTTCTCTCAAACAGGAAACTCCACTCTCTTCTCTACGCCTCAGCCCTCATCTTTACTTTCATGGGGACCTCCAGTGCTATGATTCCTCCATTTCCTCTGGCCCCATTCAATCTTTTCTTCTCAAGCCACTAATCACTCCACCACATGGCCCCTTGCACCTCTGGCTGGGGCTCGCCTGCCCAACCTTCACTTGGGACCCACCCCATGCTCCACATTCTTTGCCTTCACACTTAGGCAGTGCAGGAGTTATCCAGTGCTGCTAACGAATCACCCCAAAGCCATAACAGCTTAAGCCGACAAGCACATCATCTCATACCACATCTGTGGGCTCAGCTGGGAAGTTGTGGCTTGGGTCTCTCGTGAGGTTGCAGTGAAGATGTCAGCCAGGACCATGATCATCTGCGTGTGTTGGGGCTGGGGGAGCTGTCTCCAAGGTGGTTCATCTCCACGGCTGTGGGCAGGAGGCCTCTGTCCCTTCCCATGTGGGCTCTCCATATGGCTGCTTGAGCTTCCTTATGACATGGCTGCTGGCTTCCTCCAGAACAAGTTTGAGAAGGAGCTTTGTGACCTGGAATCAGAAGTCACACATTGTTACTGCTGCTACATTTTGTTCATTAAAAGCAAATCGTTAAGTCCAGCCCCCATTCGGTATGAGGGGAATTAGACTCCACCTTTTGAAAAGAGTAAGATCAAAGAATCTGCAGACACATTTTAAAACCACCACAGTTCACTTCATTCTTCTCCCACATGACAGCAGTCACCCTTCTTTCCTGCCCCTTGACTGTAGCCAGAGCTGCCTTGCGAAGCCTTCACTCGAACAAAGTCACCATCCACACCTCTGCTTCTGCCCCTGGGCAGGGCAGCTAAGCCCTGAGGGAGACCAATCCCAGATGGCCATGTGTTCATGCCAATGTGTGCTTTCTGGCCCCGCTGGGCTCCTTCTGCTTCTGGCCTTCTTCAGGCCCAGGTGACTCCTACTGCTGTTCCAAAAGCCTGCCTCTCTCCCAGTGCCCAGACACCACTCCCTGCCCTGCTCAGCGGCAATGTGCTTCCTCACATACGACTCTGCAGTGTAGACTGTCTTCCCACATACTTCGGGGGAAGAGGGGCTTCTCTCCTTTTATTCGGGCTTGATCATTCTACATCCTTCCAGCAATCATCACAGATTCCTCCCAGTCTTTCACCTTTCCACTGGCTCTGCCTTCCTGCCTCCCCTGCCTGATACAAACAAATGCAACTTTGCTCCAGGTATTTTTTTTAAAAAAGCTAAAACAAAATAATAATCCATCATTGGCCCAACATCCCTCCTCCACACAAGAACTTCACACCCGCCCTTCAGGGACGGTCTCCTGACTCTGCAGCAGAACTTCTAGAAAGAGTGGTCTGCTCTCTTCCCCACTTCCCACCACCACCCACCTACCCACGCATGCCAATCCAGCCTCTACCTTCCTGGCTTCCATGATACCAGCTGCTCTGCCCTTATTCCAGCCGTCAAGGGCCACCACATGGCCAAATCCATAGATACTAGATCACCTGTTCTTTGTGGCCCCTGCGCCACCCTGGACACCTGTTGATACCTCTTTCCTTTTGATACTTTCTCTCTCTCCATCTCTTCCCATCTCCTCTGGCTCCTCCTTCTCCCTGCCACCTCATTCCTCTGCTTCTTTCTAGAATGTTGTTGATCTCTCTGTGGGATCTCACCAAACTCATCCTTCATCCTTGCCCCAGCATTCCTCACCTGCTGTCCTGGCGCAGTCCTCGTTTAGGTGCTCAGAAGCTATTCCCTGGCCCTGCTCCCACTTGGACATCACTTGAACTTCTACCTCGACATGTGCCTGGCTCCATGCCCTCCCCGACTGTATTTCCTGCTTTGGTGGACAGCATCTCTCTCCACCTGGTTACTCAGGCCAGAACCTCAGGGCCTTCTATCTTCCCCCAGATATGACCAATCAGTTAATTTATCTTGGAAAATAAAACAAGACAATAATAACAAAAATAGGCAGAGGCCATACATGGGATTCACTGTTGCCTCTGTCACCCTCCTTCCTGCTGACTCAGGCAAGGCCCCCGGCCTCTCTGGGCTACTGTTTCCTCATCTGTTGGCTGGAGATCATACCACAGCTACCTCCTGGGGCTGCTGTGTTGATCACACAATCAATGTGTGCAGTTGACAATAGCAGCTCCGACTGCTTTTCCTCTCCACGCACAGGGACGGGCACTGCCAGGCCATGCTACCTAAGGGCTGGCCAGCTCCAGAAGTGTTTGTTGTTGGTCTGCAGTGAGGTAAGTGTAGAAGGTGAGAGTAAGCATTTTAAACTACTACAGAAATTTGGCAGGGTAACTTTATACCTTTTGAGTCTAATAATTAAAAAAAATGGGGCCGGGCGCAGTGGCTCACGCCTGTAATCCCAGCACTTTGGGAGGCCGAGGCGGGCGGATCACGAGGTCAGGAGATCGAGACCATCCCGGCTAAAACGGTGAAACCCCGTCTCTACTAAAAATACAAAAAATTAGCCGGGCGTAGTGGCGGGCGCCTGTAGTCCCAGCTACTTGGGAGGCTGAGGCAGGAGAATGGCGTGAACCCGGGAGGCGGAGCTTGCAGTGAGCCGAGATCCCGCCACTGCACTCCAGCCTGGGCGACAGAGTGAGACTCCGTCTCAAAAAAAAAAATAAATAAAAATAATAATAATAATAATAATAATTTAAAAAAATGGGGCTTCACCTCATACCCATTAGGATGGCTACTAGGAAAAAAACATCAACTAATCCTCTTATTGGAAAGGACGTGAGAAATTGGAACCCTTGTGCACTGTCAGTGGAAATGTAAAATGGTGCAGCCTCCGTGGAGAACAGTATAGTGATTCAAGAAATGAAAACTAGACTTCCCAGGTGATCCAGCAATTCCAGTTCTGGGTATGTGGCCAAGGCATGGCAAGCAGGCGCTTGAAGAGATATCAACACCCAAATTCAGAGCAGCACGAACACCCATGAGGTGGACAACCCAAGTGTCCATCAATGGATGAATGGAGAAACAAAATGTGGAATATTATGCAGCCTTAAAAAGGAAGGAATTTCCAAAATATGCTATGACATGGATGAACCTTGAGGACATTATGCTAAGTGTAACAGGCCAGACACAAAGGGACAAATTCTGTGTACTTCCAATTATATTACATACATAGAGTTGTCAGATTCATAGGGACAGAAAGTAGAAGGGTTGTTGCTGGGGGCTGGGGGCGGGAAATGGGGAGATGCTGTTAAATGGGTAGTTTTGGTTTTGCCAAAGGAAAGCGTTCTGGAGACTAGCAGCATGGCAGTGTGAGTGTGGGTATTACTGGAATGTGCACTTAAATATGTTTGGGATGGTAAATGTGTGTTATCTTACCCCAATTAAAACAAAAATTTTTGAAGAAAAATGGGACTTGTATTTTGTATGTCTTTTAAAATTGTGTTTGTCTGGTTATTTATTTTCCGAAAGTTTCAGTCTAAGAAGGATTAGAAGCAAAAGGAGTCCTTCACTGCACATCACAGATGCTTCCAGACTCACTGCCCTGGCTCAGCTTCTCCTGGGTTCCTCACTGGTTTGCTGCTCCACTCTCCCACCTCCTCAACCCATCTCCTAACCTCTGGCCACAGTGACCTTTCTAGAGCAAGCTTAACCTGTTGCCTATCTTGTCCAGTGTTCCTACATCCAGGAAGAAAGAGGTAACTGAGGTACAATGAGGTAACTGAGGTATGCAGACAGGTGAAGGGTGAAGATGATGAAAAGGAGTTTATTGAGTGTTAGAACAGCTTAGAGGAGACCCACAGTGGATAGCTCCCCTCTGTAGGCAGGCAGGTCATTCTGTCGAGTGTTCAGGTTTCAGCAGAGAGGAGTCCCTGGAGAGGGTAGCTCCTCTCTGTCTGGCAGGTTGCCCCACTCTCTCTGCAGATCTCTGAAGCTATCAGTGGAGAGGGTAGCTCCTCTCTTTGGCTGACCATTCTAACCTCTCCCTGCCATATTCTGTCTCTGGCCATCCTCTACCCTGGCTGAGCACCAGGCTTTCATGGCCCTCAGAGGAGAGGAAGTGCCTGCCAGTTGGTCCATGGGCAGCCAGGGGCGGGCTCGGAAGAGGCACCATGAATCTCCACTCTGGTCAGCGGGACTAGTGGCCCAGCCCCTAGCCTTCAGGCATTCCCTGGCCTGAAGAAGGGGCCTTACTGGGACCCGCCCCCTTCTGCTCAGGAATCTGTCTGCCTCCTGCTGCCATTCATGGCCCCAGGCTCAGCACCAATCCCACTTGGAGATCTGAGCAGGTGTTGGGAGAGGAGAGAGGACAGGCAGTGGGATTGGACAGGCAGTAGGATCAGACACCCCCGAGCCTGCAGGGATGGGGGGTGTGGTAGAGGAGATGGGGAGTCCTTCCCAGGCCCCCAAGGGTGCAGGCTACAGAGACGCCAAGGTCCTGTGCCTGGGAGGGCAATAGCAACTGTACCCAGGGAGCTCTCCCCTAGCCATCTCAGAAGGGGCAGGGCTCCTGCCTGCTCCATGGAGTGGGTGGCCCAGGTCTACAGCCATGGGTCAGGTGGTTGCAGCTTCATCCAGGAGGGCAGATCCTGCCTGCTCCTGGCTCCCTCCAAGAGCACAGAGAGGCTCGGGTCCACAGCCACAGTTTGGGTGGCTGTAGTCCCATCCAGGAGGGTGGGGCCCCTGTCCCCAGCTGCAGCTTGGGCAGCTGCAGCAGCACCCAGGGAATTCCCACCCAAACTCAGAAGGGGCAGGGCTCCCACCAGCTTCATGGAGTGTGCAGCCCCAGCCGTGCCTTCCTGCTGCAGCTGGCTCCCCACAAGCAGCCCGAGGCCTCTACATCTCACTTGCTGTCCTTTTGCTCATAATGCTCTTGCTTGTTTGTCAAAGACCGCCTCTCCCAGGAAGCTTTCCCTGAATGTCTAAGCACCACTATCACAGGTCATTCCACACCAGCCTCCTTTGCAAATTTAAGAAGCTGTAAAAGCAAGAGTTCAGGCACTCTGATGGGCATTGAGAAGGAAGCTTTAGGCAAGTGGGCTCCTTGGCTCTTCTCAAGGGATGCCTGGAAGGTCCTCCAGCCACTTGCAATGCGTTTGTGTCTTCCACCTACATTTACAGTTTCCTCCGACATCCACATTTACAAACCAGAGCAATACAGGTGTCCTTCAAAGCCTGCACAGGTGCTGGTGGCATCAGACAAGAGGGACCGAGGTGAACCCTCTGGGGAACGTCAGCCGGACCCCCCTCCTATCCCTACCCTGACTGCGTGCAGCACTGAGATGGGAGCACAGAGCCCTTGCCTTCATGCCTGAGAAGATGGATGTCCTTTCTTTCAGCCTGGGAGAATGGCGGCATCTGGGAGAATGGCCAGGTTTCTGATGGGTTTCCCAGTGACCGGAGAGCAGCGGGGCTCAGAGCTGGCAGCCACCCGGAGCACCTTGGCTGCTCACTCACATAAATCCTGGTGCAGACAACGGGCCCTTCTTTTGCAGTTGACGTCCCTGCACCAGGCAGGTGATGGTCTTCCTGGCCTTCTGAGCCCCGGTATGCTTCCCTCCATTCTGCAGTGAAATCACCACTGCCTTTGACCAGGCACAGCCCAGATTCTGCACTGGGCATCTGGATTTGAATCGAGTGTGGAACCCCCTAAATAAGTTGTTTCTCAAAAATCTGCCAGATGACAACTGCAGACAGAAAGGGGCATCTCCTTTTATTTCATGGATAGAAACAGAAGGGATAGTGTTCTTCCAAGACCCAGCTCTTCTTTCCTGGGCACCCAGATCCCAGCCTCCTGGGGGTAATGACTTTGGGTTTTACTTTTTGTTTTGTATACAGCAAAAAACCTCTGTTATACATAGACTCAATGTAGAATTTAAGATTCATTTATGGCCAGACGTGGTGGTTCACACGTGTTATCCCAGCACTTTGGGAGGCCAAGGCAGGCGGATCACCTGAGGTCAGGAGTCCGAGACCAGCCTGGTCAATATGGTGAAAACCTGTCTCCACTGAAAATGCAAAAAATTTAGCCAGGCATGGTGGCGCGTGCCTGTCATCTCAGCTACTGGGAGGCTGAAGCATGAGAATCACTTGAACCCGAGAGTCGGAGGTTGCAGTGAGCTGAGACCACACCATTGCACTCCAGCCTGGGCAACAAGAATAAAACTCCGTCTCAAAAAAAAAAACAACCCAGAATCATTTATGGTTTCCTGCAATCCTCTCAGGTATAATATGTCAGATTCAAACTGGAAACAATGACTGGGCCTAAATCCTAATGGAAAATTTCTTGTGGTTCATATTTTTGACTGGTGACTGGCAGGTTTACACAAACAAATGAATATTATAATTTGGTAGATAAGCAAATACATTACATTTATAGGATTTAAGCACTTTCCATGAAAGCTTTGATTGCTCCAAGGAGATACCACTGGTACAGGCTGCTAAATCACCGACACACGAGCCTGGACGCCTGGGTTTGAGATTAAACGAGTCTGGGCCATGCCTCTGTGGGGGTTCCTGCTCCAATGGGGAAATAGAAAATGCTTGATAAGTAGAAAGAGTCATCGTTGACATTTTTAAGCCAGCTGGGAGCCTTGAGAATTTGAGATTTGACCTACAAACAAGGGAATGGACCTTCACAGACCATGAGGTGCTAGGTGGGGTTTGTAGAGGACAATGGCATGTCAGAGATGACCAGCATTGCGTTCTAGGCCCACATAAGCCCTCTCCAGCTCTGCCAGCTCCGGGCTCCTGGTGAGGCAGCAACTGGTTCTCAGTTGCCGCAGGTGTGAGGGGTGGCTTCGAGTTTTTGTGGCTCTGGAGTGTGACATTCCTGATAGATGAAAGGGCTCCTGGAGGACACCCACCAAAGCGGAGGCTGTGTCTGAATGAACACCCAAGAAGCAGGTGCGCCAGGGAGGTGTGTGGTGGGAGGCAAACTCTGGATCGAGGCAAAGGTAAAAGAGCCAGCTATGGCCCTCCAGCCAATTCATGCCGAGTTCCTAAGAGATGCTCTTTGAGGATCTGTCACTGACACAGACGGTGAGGCGCAAGGAGGCTGCGGAAGAGGATGCGGAGGAAGGCGCTGAGGGTGGTTTCCATTTGTAGAGCTGATTCTGCCTGGCCTAGCGGCAGCTGCCCAACATGAGTGGAGCTGCTCGTTCCTGGGGGTTTCCAGTGGAAGGCATGGGAGTGGCTTTTCAGATCTGGGGTCCCTGGCCTTTCCCTGATGAAGGGAGGTGTGTGGGGTGCTGGCTTTGGGGCTCAGGGTGAGTGTGGAAGGTTCCGGTGTGGAAGGTGAGGTGGCGGGGCCGGGGATACCCAGCCACAGCCTGGAAGCTTTGAGGAAGGGAGATGTGGAAGTAGCCCCCGCTCTCTGCTGATGGGCTTAGAGACTGACCCATGCTATGCCAGTGACTCATGACGTGCCACCCACAGGTTGAGGGCTTGTGATTTAAATTGTTCTACTTTTCTTGACTGCAATGTTGTCCAAAGTCAGTGGGATCTAAATTTTTTAAAGAAGGGGTGGGAATGTCTGTTTGCTGTTTACACGGACTCAGGACGGCCACTCAGGATGTGCCCAGCAAGCAGGAGGGCTTCCAGACCAGGCCTGTGGCGGTAGGGTCAAGTCTGCAGTGCCCAGGGTCAAGCTTGTGTTCCTGGGAAGCTGAACTAGGCAGTGGGTCCCCAGGGATGGTGGGAAGTGACGAGGGCTCAGGGATCTGCCCACTTACTCTTTATTTGCAAACAGTATGTAAACACACATGCAAGCTGTCACTGCCCTCAGGGCGCTGGCATGCTGCCACCCCAGCCCCTGGATCCTGGTGCTTGGGCGCCTTGGCTTTATAGCATTTGGAAAGCAACTTGACTGGAGCAGGCTGTGGACTTTGCTGATGCCGGGAAATTATTTTCTCTTGGATGGAAGCCCTACTTTGCTTGTTGGGAAAGGGACAGAGTTTGTTCTGGCTGAGCACCAGTGGCAGATACATCATGTTGGTTATTTTGGAGGCCTCAAGGCCCCTAGCACAGACCTGTGGGTGCCCTTGGTATACAAGGAACAATTCGGACTGTGGCTGAAGTGTCACCTCCTTAGGGAGACCTTCCCTGACCACTGTTCCTTAAAAAACAACCCCCAAGCCCAAAGAAACAAAACAAAACAACCCACCCTGGTCCATTGTATTCACACCACTTCACCCTGTCTGGAAATATTTCTGTTTCCTGAATGATCTCTCTCCATTAGACACTGGGCTCCTTGAGCACAGCACCTTGCTTGCACAGACACTGCTCTATCTCAACACTGAAAACAGTGCACGAAACACAGCAGGTGCTTTGGAAATTGTGACATGAATGCAGTGCTTTAAAATGTGTCCGGGACTTGTTTTAATCAGGTATGGGAAGACACGAGGACACTGAGATGACTATCCTGAAGGAAGATGCTTTTATACTCACAGACCCCTGGAAGCAGGGGGCGCGACAAGCACCAGGGCCTGTCCGGAGGCACCAGGGAGGGGAAAGCCTGGGCAAAGGCTTCACTGCGGTTTGGTTTCCCCGGAAGGAATGAAGGCTCAGAAGGTTTAGGATCGGATGGCTTGAATACATGAGGTGTGCCCTGGGCTGTCCTGTGGGCCCCAGTTGTCCTGGTTTGTCCGGAGTTTGTTCCTTCCGGTGGGTTCGTGGCGTCGCTGGAGCCACGTACCTTCGCGGTGAGTGTTACAGCTTTTTTTTTTTTTTTTTTTGAGATGGAGTCTCGCTTTGTCGCCCAGGCTGGAGTGCAGTGGCGCAATCTCGGCTCACTGCAAGCTCCGCCTCCCGGGCTCACACCATCCTCCTGCCTTGGCCTCCCCAGTAGCTGGGACTACAGGTGCCCGCCACCACGCCCGGCTAATTTTTTTGTATTTTTTTTTAGTAGAGACGGGGTTTCACCGTGTTAGCCAGGATAGTCTAGATCGCCTGACATCGTGATCCGCCTGCTTTGGCCTCCCAAAGTGCTGGGATTACAGGCGTGAGAGTACTACAGCTCTTAAAGATGGCACGGACCCAAAGAGTGAGCAACACCAAGATTTATTGTGAAGAGTGAAAGAACAAAGCTTCCACAGCATGGAAGGGAACCCGAGCGTGTTGCCGCTGCTGGCTGGGTGGGTGGGGTGGCCAGCTTTTATTGCCTTATTTGTCCCCGCCTATGTCCTGCTGATTGGTCCATTTTACAGAGTGCTGATTGGCCCATTTTACAGGGTGCTGACTGATCCATTTTACAGGGTGCTGATTGGTCCATTTTACAAACCTCTAGCTAGCCACGGAGCGATGACTGGTGCGTTTTACAATCCTAACTACAGAGTGCTGACTGGGGCATTTTACAATCCTCTTGTAAGACAGAAAAGTTCTCCAAGTCCCCACTCGACCCAGGAGGTCCAGCTGGCTTCACCTCTCACTGGGATTGGGGCAGAGGAAGGCTGCCTCCTGGAAGTGTAAAAGCTAAATAGAGGAGGTGGCTGGTGTCCGGGCTCTGGACTGGTCAGCTTGCAAAGCAAAGGCACGCCCAACAGCGAGTCGTTTGCTCTCTGGAGGACTCAGCTAACCCTGGGAGGGGCAGTTCCTTCCTAAGACCACAAGGCCCCAAGGATGAAGCAGCATAAAATCAGTAGAAAACAAACAAACAAACAAAAAACCCATGATCAATACAGAATGACTGTTTGACATGTGTGGCAATGTAAAGATTGTGCGTGCAGATGTTTAGATAAATATGAGAACCAAACAGACGTGAAGTAAGCTAAGACGACTTGGTGTATCATTCAATTTCTATTGGTCCTGAAATCAACACGTTTCCTTTGCGTGGTTTTGCAAAAGGAATCCCTCAGTGGGGAAACAATCTTTTCTGATACCCACCTCCGAAACTTTTTGTTGGAGTACAACATACATTCAGAAAATCACATCTATCCTAAGGTTAGAGCTCATGAATGTTCACAAACTGGACACATCCAGGAAACCAGCACGCAGACCAAGAACAGTGTGGTAAGGGCAGCTGGAAGCCTTCTTGTATTCCCTCCTTTTCACCTGTATCCTAACGTCTTATCCTAACTAACTTATCCTAACTGTACCATCCTAATTTTTTTTTTGTTTTTTTTTTTTTTTTTTTTGAGACGGAGTCTTGCTCTGTCACCCAGGCTGGAGTGCAGTGGCGCGATCTCAGCTCACTGCAACCTCCGCCTCCTGGGTTCAAGCAATTCTCCTACCTTAGCCTCCCGAGTAGCTGGGATTACAGTCACGTGCCACCACGCCCGGCTAATTTTTTGTATTTTTAGTAGAGACGGGGTTTCACCATGTTAGCCAGGATGGTCTCGATCTCCTGACCTTGTGATCCGCCCACCTTGACCTCCCAAAGTGCTGGGATTACAGGCCTGAGCCACCGCGCCCAGTCCCCCATCCTAACTTCTAACAACATAGGTTAGTTTTGCTGGCTTTTCCCTTCTTATGAATGAATTCAAATTGTGTCTAGCTCATTGTGTTCAAATTGTATTTGGAAATTCACCCACATTATTGCCTAAGGTTGAAGATAGTTTATTTTTGTTGCTGTGCAGTATGTGTGAATATATCACACAATGTATATGACGTATACTTATCCATTCCAATGCTAAGGTGAACGTGGGAAATTTCTAGTTTGGAATGGTAATCCCTTCACTGACTTTTTGCCTGCTGGTCTGTGTCAGTCTTTTAGTTGCAAGAAACAGAACTTCCTCTGGACAACCTGACTCAGAAAGATGGGTTTGCCAGAACCATTCTGCCTAGCTCATAGAATAGAAGGAAAAGGGGAACAGCCAGGCTTTATTAGGGACGCCCTTACTAGGGGACCCTGGTGGCAAGAACTCGAGGACAACCTCTCTGAGACAGAAGGGCAAGTGGCTCGACTTGCCTAGAGCAGGGTTCCTACCTCTGTTGCGTGGGACCCTAGTGGTCCCCAGGAATTTTAGAGTGTGCCATGGAGGAAAACAAGACCTGTGGCTCATTCAGTTGGAAAAGTGGTTTAAAAAGGTTACACTTCTCAGGACCTTTCACAGGAGAGGGCACACTCTAATCTCAAGGAAGGGATATTCCTGAACTTGGCTTTTCTCATGGGGCATCTACTCATATCTGAAGGGCACTCGTGCTCCAAGAAACACAGCTTGGGAAAATGCTAAGCCAAAGCCAAGTGAACAGAGGGGAGAAGTGGAAAATACGTTTTGGCCTGCATTTTTAATGCACAGATAGGGACTTTTTTTTTTTTCTGGAAAATAGGAAACTCTGAAAACAGATGCTCAGTGTGTGACCCTTCAGGAAGCGCCGTCTGGCAAGTGTGAGAGTTACAGTTTGCAGGGTGCCCTCGGGTCCACTGTCGCATCCGTTCCCAGGGCTGGGTGGTATGGGTGGGATGCCCAGATGACGGAACTGGCCGCCGATGTCACGCGCTCCTAGAAAGCGGAGAATCCAGGGCAGAGTTAGAGTCAGACCTAGGCTCTCGCAGAGAACTGCATCGCGCTCCCAGCTCTGCTGCCTCGGTGCGGGGACGGGGCTCTGCATGAGGACTGGGAATGTAAGTCCCGGGCCTGGACAGGCGCCCCTGGGAGCTAGCCTGGAGGAGATTCAGTAGAAGGCTGAGGAGTCGGCTTGGAGGGTCTCGGCAAGGCGGCGCGGATGGAGATGAAGCTGCGAAGAATGCTGAGAAAGAGCGGCCGGGGGCCTTGGAGGGAAGCTAGGGAAACGCTGCGGGGGCAGCCGAGGCCGTCGGCGCCCCGGGAGAAGGTGCATGTGGAGTGGCGCCGGGGGGACGGGTGGGCGCTGGGCGGCGGCGGCGCCGGCCTGGAGGTGCGGCCTGGGCTCCTTCCGGACCCGCCCGGCCGGCGCAGGGGCTGCAGCCTCCACGCGGGGGCCTTCGGTTCCGCCTCAACTTTCCAACCGGGCCGCCTTCTCCCAGGGCGGGTGACTGAGCCGGGCACACGCAGCCTCTCCCGCGCCGGGCTGCCCCGGCCAGGGTCTTTCCTCCCTCGCCCAGTCGCTGCCCTCTCCTTTCCCGCAGCCCGCGGGGCCTGGGCTCTCCCTGCCAGCTCCTCCTGTGTCCACTTCAGCCTTCCCGGTTCCCCAGGCAGCCTGTCCTGCCGGTCACTCCGTCTCCCACCTGCTTTGCCGGGAACTAGAGCACACACCACACAGGAGGCGGGAGGGGGGCGCAAGAGGTGGGTGTTGGAGGCGGGGGTGTGGTGTGGCTGTGGTGTGATGTGTGGTGTGTGGTGTGTGTGTGTGTGGTGTGGTGCATGTGGGGTGTGTGTAGTGTGTTGTGTGTGGTGTGTGTGGTGTGTGTAGTGTGTGGGGTGGTGGGTATGTGTGTGGGGTATGTGGTGTGTGTGGTGTGTGTAGTGTGTGGGGTGGTGGGTATGTGTGTGGGGTATGTGGTGTGTGTAGTGTGTGTGTGTAGTGTGGTGTGTGTGTGGTGTGTTTGTGCGGTGTGGTGTGTTTGGTGTAGTGTGTTGTATGTGTGGGGTGTGTGCGTGTGGTGTGTTTGGTGTAGTGTGTGTTGTGGTATGTGTGGTGTGTGGGGTCTGTGTGGTGTGTTTGTGTGGTGTGGGGCGTGTTTGGTGCGTGTGGTGAGTTTGGTGTGTGTTGTGGTATGTGTGTGGGGTGTGTGTGGTGTTTGTGTGTGGTGTGTTTGTAGTGTGTGTGGGCTGTGTGTGTGGTGTGGTGTGTTTGGTGTGTGGGGTGTGTGTGGCGTTTGTGTGTAGTGTGGTGTGTGTGGTGTGCTGTGTGTGGTGTGTTTGTGTGTGGTGTGTTTGTGTGTGTGGTGTGTATAGTGTGGTGTGTGTAGTGTGTTTGTGTGTGTGGTGCGGTGTGTATGCGGTGGGCGTGTGCAGAAACAACAAGCCCCTGCTCCGCATGGGGTGTGGAGCAGATGCTGCGGAAGCCGCCTGGCCTGTGGGCGTTGGCAGTGGGGACCAGCTGACCCAGAGACTCCGCGCTTCCCCGCGCTTCCCCCACCCCCGCCCCACTGCGGCGCTCCGGGGCTCACTGAGTTCCGAATCCACCTCCTGGGATCCGCGCCCTGGCTACCAGGCCCTGAGCCTTCTGCGGGCCAGCGAGCTCCCGCCAGGTTCTGCCAACAGGGGGCCCCAGAGGGCGGCGTGGTGGCCGCAGATCGCAGGACAGGAGCCTGTTCCCGTCAGCAGAGCCCCAATAACCCCCCGGACTCCCAACGGTGGCGCGGTCATGCCCAGTTTTCTAGCTTGCTTCATGCACTCCCAGGACCTGCCTGCCCACATCCCGCCCGGGCCGGCTGGTCCATCTCGGAGATTTGAGTCCAGCTCTCTGGGAGGCCCCAGGGCCAGGCAAGTGCAGAGGTCCGGTTCCACTCCCCAGGGCCCCTTCTCCAGCTTCCAGGACCTCGGTTCTCAGAACCCTCATGACTTCTCTTTGCTCTTTAGAGACCTTCACTGCTTCTATCAGTCACCATATCTGAATCTTGGCTTGCCACTCAATCCTCCAATATCGACCAACAACAGGAGATTCTCTCTATCTGAGGGGGGAGGTGTGTTTCCCTGACTAGACTCTAAATACAAATCCTCCACTTCTCCATCTGTCTCTCCAGTGATCTCAGAGGCATGGTCTTAACACCGCGCACAGTTCCTTGCAAGTTGAAGAGTAGACCCAAATGATCAGTTCTAAAATTCTATTCTTATTGAAGATTACTGGTGGAAATATCAATGCAAACAAAATGAAAAAGTTCAACAATGATTAATACTGCATTTCAACAGAAGAATCAAATCATCTTGACAAAACTTCAATGGGCAAAATTTGCCTTGGGGAATTTTATGCAGGGGAATCCTTGGGTCTGATGTGTGGTGGGCTTTGGATGTGTTGTGTAGCTCAGTGTCCCTTCCTGCTACTCCTAGTCATCTCCAGAAACTCAGACCACCCATCTACTAAAGGCAGGTGGATGAGCAAGGGGGCCTCGGAGGCATTCCGGATCACACTGAACCTGAGCCCCACCGCCTGACCCACTCAGTGTCACTGTTAACAGAAACTCGCTGCCATCTGGCCTCAGGCCTGCCTCCTTCCTATAGAACTTGACACTGGAAGCACCAGGCGAGCTGGACCTTCTGCTGCTACTGCACTCCCATGATGCAGCCTGAGAATGAAGCCCACCAGAGTGACAGAGAGCAGACCTGAGTGGTGAGCTGGTGACACAGGGTGTGGGTGGTGTCCCTTGAGCTTCGACACCACGCCACACCTGAAACCAGCCTGACATCCATGATTTTGCTTTTTTGCTTAAACCAGTCTGCGTCATTTTCAACAAAAGAGTTCTACTAGATATGACAAATTTCTCTAGAAGACCTAAGAAGTGAAAGACTTGAAGCTATTCCAGTGGTTCAGGAACTAGGACACTGGTAGGAAACTGGAAAGAAGGCATCAGAGTTAAGGAAATATTTATGAGGTCAACTCTGGAAGTCTTGGTTACTGAGTGAATACAGTGGCTGAGAGGAATGGAAGCATCCAACCAAATAAAAAAAGATGGTGCTGAGATTTGGGTTATGAGGTCAATGACTGAAGCAATGCGATTAACTGAGTTAGGAGTCTCAAATATAGGATGAGTGCAGAGTTGAGGATGAAGAATTCTGCTTTGGACACAATGAGTGTGAGGTGCCCAAGGATAACCCAACGGGAAGCAGTCACACCAAAGCAACAGGGTGTGCACCTGAAACTCAGAAGGGTGATTGGGCTATGGTGAAGATTCCTGATCACCCATAAATGAATTCATTAAAAGCATGAGAGTGAGTGGAGGGGCCCCTAGAATATGGTGGGTGCATGAGACTAACCCTAGATTGGGGATAGCTCCCTGGGAAATCCAAGGGACAAGGTGAGGAGGAGGAGGCGGAGCCCACCAAGGAAACTAGAAAGAGACCGCTGGAGAGGTCCGAGGACAGCAAGGAGCACAGCCTTCAAGTCTGGGAGCCAACTATCCAAGAAGAGAGTGGTTTGCTATGGATGCCGTGGGCCACCACGTCCCATCTAGGAAAGCAAGTTGAGGTCTCTCTTGAATACATTGGGATTGATTACCCAGACTTTAAAGAATCTATGTCCCCTACTTCCCTTCATTCACTCTGCTCTTTACCTTCTCCTCTTCCCTGGTCACCAGCACCTCTGCTAAAGGGTGGAGAAAGGAACTTCTGATCAGTTACAGAAAAGCTTTGGGGTTACGTGGTGCAAGCTGCTCTGCCTCTGTTTGTGAAGAAATTAGACTATGGCCAGCCATGTGAGTGGCATCACTTTGGTTTCTGGAGCAATAGTTAGTAGCAACTTTTAGAGGTGGTCATTTCGGTTCCCTTCTGGAAAGTGATTCGTGTTTAAGAAAAATAGATGCAACGTTGCTAAGTACACCTAACATTTAAACAGTCTCCAGCAGATAAATGCTGATACTGACACTTCTCACCAGAAAAAGAGAAATACCCATCATGAGGAAGAGAAATGACTTTTGTTCAGTTATGCTCCCGGGTCCCCTTTCACTGGAGGGATATCTCAGCTTTCTGAGCCCCTGGTTACTGCAATCCTCGGTTCCAGAACCCAGCAATTCCTATCATCACAATTGTTTCAAGTCTTATCCAAGCCCTGTATATTTCAGATCATCCTTAATTTCTTGTTCTGTACCCAGAGGAGATCAGGAAAACCTTTAAGTCTCTATGTGAGGCAAATACATCCTCCTCACTGCCCCAGCCCCATGTGATTGATGAAGCAACTGAGGAAGAGAAGTAGGGTGCTTCTGGCACTGGAGGAGCGCAGTGCTGAGAAACTCCGGGCTCCATTCGGAAATAGCACTGATTTCTTAGTGTACTTTTTTTTGGTGTTAATATAGAAAACATCAAAAACACAGTTAAAAGAATGAAGCATGTCTACATACGTGTGGCCAGAAAGACTGACCAGAAGCTGGTAGCAGTGAGGGATGACAGTGCTTGCCCCTGGGTTGAATAGTGGAAGAGTTAGGGGGGAAACAGTCTGCTCTTTGAGACCCTTTCAATTTCATGTGATGGATTTACAGAGACAGATGAATTAAACATTATATAAAAAAGGAATAAAACCACTGGTAGGATCTGTATTCCAGGAAGAAAAAAGCATATTACATAATAGGTCAATGCACAGAAATAAAAAAAGGAATTTAACTAGAGCCTATGCTAATCATAAATCCCTTCCCTGTTCCAGAGTCCTGTTGTCTCTGGGGTCTTGGCCTGTCTTATCTAGGCCATGGAGTGGTGGGGGTGGGATGCTGCTAGTTCCTAGGCAGGAAATAGTGGCCAGTTACCCTTGTGGTGTCATTTCTGGGTCCTGGAAAGGAGACCACTGCTGACCCCTGACTCACCAACCAACAATTATTGATGGAAATCCCACCGGCCTCCCCGGACAAAGGCAGCCCAGACCTGGACTCATTCACATGTAAAGGAAGTGGCCAGAAGTGGCTGCTGTTGGCAGGGGTGAGGGACGGGAGAGCGCGCTAAGTGGCCTGTGTCTGTGGGGGAGGGAGAGGGTGGAGCAGCACAAGCCGGCCTGAGGTTAGGAGCCTGCGGTATCTCCAGGAAAGCAGAGGCGGCTGTGGGGGGCGCCGGGGCTGAAGAGCCAAGTGTGGAGACTGCTCCATCTTGCCCATCTCCAGAAACTCAGACCACCCATCCATTAAAGGCAGGTGGATGAGCAAGGGGGCCTCGCAGGCATTCCAGATCACACTGAACCTGTGCCCCACTGCCTGACCCATTCAGCATCCCTATTAACAGACACTCGCTGCCGTCTGGCCCGGACCCGGCTGGCGCTGCGGGTCCTTCCACCCCAGTTAGGAAGGGTCATGGCTCCCGCGGAAGCCCCTGCCAGGGTGAATAAACTCGGCGTGGGGCTGACGGGCTCTGAATTACTCCGTTGCTTACAAGCCGAGTGCCCCTCTGTGCCTCAGTTTCTCCCTCTATAAAACAATACGAATACCGGCCCAGAAGCGTTGTTGGGCAGATTAAACGAGAAAATCCACTGGAAGTGTTTAACAAACGACACACAATACGGGCTTCATACCTGCCAGCCGATGTCCCCTGCAGCCTTTATTCCCTACCCAATTCCCCTTAGCCTGCTATGTGGAGATACAGGAGGCTTGCACCCGCCGCGGTCCCGGTGTATTTTAACGGGCTCCCGGGGAAGCGGTGTGGAAAATGGATTAGGGAGGGAGGAGGCCAGAGCCTCGGAACCCGGGGAGAGGTCTGCAGGCATCCAGTTGGGAGCTGGAAGGGCGGGACAGGGCCCTTGGCAGGGGGATCCAGGAAATATTTTGGAGAAATTCTCTCTAGGACTTGGTAACAGGTTGAGAGCGGCCACTTGGCCGGGGGCGCCGGCTTCGGAGGCGGGAGGGAGGTGGAGGAAGGGAAGGCAGCTGCAGGGCCGACCTGCGGGGTGGGCGTGAGGCCGGGGGATTGGGGCCGCAGGGGTTCGGCCTGGAGGAGCGGCGTGGGGGCGCCGGGGCCCTGATTCCATCCTGGGCGGGTCGGCCCCGCAGCCGCTGCGCTCGGAACCCCCTAGGCGCCCCGCAGTACCCGGCGTCCTTCCTGCCTCCTCCTCGCCCCTGTCCTCCGTCCGAGCCCCAGTCCCGCCGACCCTGCCGGCGCCTCCGCCCTCCCGCCCTCCCGCCCTCGGTTTCCCACGACCTCGGCGCGACGCGCGCGGGATCCAGTGGAGACTGCTTTCCCATAGGCCGCCATCCAGGGCGGGGAAGGGAGCGGACCCTCCCGGCTCCAGGTGCCTGGGCCCCCGGCGGCCTGCGGAGGCCTCGCCCCACGCCACCCGCCCACTGGCCTCGTCTTCGCGCGGGGGTGAGAGCAAAGGAGGCACTCGGCCCATCGCCAGCCCGGGTCCCCTTCCTGCCCGTCGCTATCCGAGAATTTGCCCCGTGTCCCCCAGGCCGCGGGGGTCCGGAGAACCGAGGGGCGGACCCCGCAGAGGGCTGCGCCGCCCTCCCTTCTCTCCCCGCGGGAAGCAGCCCCCAGGACCGCCCCTCGCTCCCTGCCCGGGAGGGACTGGGCTTCCCCGAGGTGTGCGGCTCCTGGAGAACTCGCTTTCCCGTTTCCAGCCGGCCAAGCCATCAGTTAATCGCTTGCTTTCTCTTTTCTTTACAGAGAAAAGCAGCCTGATTCGGAGGAACGGGTTGCTTGGGGCGGCTCCCAGCTCGAGTTGTGGGCCCCGCCGCGGGTGCCCTTCGGAAACGCGCTGACACCAGGCGAAGCCGCCTCTGCCCGGACGCAGCCCGACACTTGGCCCGCGGGGTTCCCCGGGACGCCTGAGAGTAATGGGCGCGAGGGGGAAAGCCGAACGGCCTCCCTGTGCCCGGCGCAGGCGGTGCCCCCTAGCTGGGTTCGCCGCGGCGGCGCTGCGAGCCCCCGACACTGAGGACTTTTGGTCCAACAGTCCGACGGGGCCCGGTGCGCCGTTCCCTCCGCCCTCTCCCCGCTCCCCGGCCCGCGCGTCTTGGAGGGTGGGTGAATTGTCGGAAGCACTCTACGCCTGGCCAACCCAAACCAGGAACCTCCGCACCAAACAGCCCACGTTGCTGCTGCTCTGGGGTTTTAACGGCCAAGGGAGACTGGAGAAGGGGTGTTCTGCCTTCCCATTCTCTTAGGCCCGTCCACTCCCCATCCCCACAGTTTGGAAGTGGCCTTTTCTGAGGACTCCAGCGCAAAGCATGTTTCTCCTTTTGAGCTGCGGAAGCCTTGCTTGTTCCCGCCATTGGGAGGGCATTCCATCATCTGCAGCTGCCTTCCTCGGTGGGCCTTGTCCCTTAGCGTCCACCTAGGGGACATTCTAAGCTTCTTGAGACCTGCTTGTCCACCCCAACATGTCTCAGCATATGGCTGTGCCCTAAGGGGTCTTTGAGGGCATTTTAGGAGGTGAGCGGCGCCCCTACCTGGGCTCCGCGGGGCCGATTCGGTTTGCCCTTTGCTGGCATGTCAGTGAATTAACTGCTGTCCTTGGGATGACCTGCCCTATGATTTGGCCTCTGGAGCATCCCGGGTGTGTATTTCAGAACTCCTCCCATCTTATCCACCTGCTGAAGGCCTGGCCCCCTGATATGGTTTGGCTCTGTTTCCCCACCCAAATCTCACCTTGAATTTTAATAATCCCCACGTGTCATGGGCGGGACCAGGTGGAGGTAATTGAATCATGGAGGTGGTTTCCTGAACGCTGCTCTCGTGACAGTGAGTTCACAAGATTTTTTTTTTTAACGGAGTATCACTCTGTCACTCAGGCTGGAGTGCAGTGGCGCGATCTTGGTTCACTGCAACCTCTGCCTCCCGGGTTCAAGAGATTCTCCTGCCTCAGCCTCCCGAGTAGCTGGGATTACAGGTGCGCGCCATCACGCCCGGCTAATGTGTATTTTTAGTAGAGAAAGGGTTTCACCATGTTGGTTAGGCTGGTCTGGAACTCCTGACCTTGTGATCTGCCTGCCTCGGCCTCCCAAAGTGCTGGGATTACACGCGTGAGCCACTGTGCCCAGCCGATCTGATGCTTTTATAAAGGGCTTTCCCCGTCCCCCTTCCTCTCTCTCACCACCCTGTGAGAAAGGTGCCTTTCTTCCCCCTTCACGTGAACTGCCTCCATGATTGTAAGCTTCCTGAGGCCTCCCCAGCTATAAGGAACTGTGAGCCAATTAAACTGCTTTATAAATTAACCCAGGTATTTCTCGGGTATTTCTTCATAGCAGCGTGAGAATGGACTGATACACCCCCAATGTGGAGTAGGGGAAGCTGAGGGAGTTAGGAGGTCCCAGCAAGGTGAAGGTGTGATGGGGTCTTGGGACAGTGAGAGTGCTGCCTCAGGCAACAGTGGGCAGGTCATTGAGGCTCCATTGAGCTTGGTGAGCAGGAAGCTGAGAGAGGGAGCTGTCGATTCAGGAGTCAGGGGTGACATGGAAGGAACCTAGGGCTTTGCCAGGCACAGGTGAAGGAAGGCCACTTAGGTACTGGCAGTGGGAAGAGAGGGCAGGGAGTGGTGGACGGAGAGGAAGAGAAAGCTGAACACTGGAGCACAATGCGGGTGCTGGGAGGCAAGCAGAGGGGGCTGGGGGCTTCTCATATGGTGCATCCTGGCATTTATATTTTGAAAAATAATTGTTTTGTTCCCATTAGTGCTTTTATAATAGTTTTAGGAAAGAAGAGAAAATATGAATTAGCTATTATGAGGCTTCTTTTGAAGTTTCTTTCAGTTCAGAAACATATCCCACTTTACAAAAAAATTAAGAAAATTCAAAGTTAAAAAATGTAGGGAGGCCAATAATTTTAGTTGCCAGACATTTTAGTCTGACAAGACAACTCATTGGAGTTTCCTTAGAGACGTATTAGAAATTCAGAGCTGCACACGCATTTTTCCCCCTGCCAGATAAACTGAAACAACATAAAGTGAGTTTTAGTTATTTCTTTCAACGAGACTGCGAGGCCTATTTAGCTAACGAAAAAGATATCTGTAGAAAGAAGCATTCTTGATTCTTATCTACAAGACAGAGCAGCAAAAAACCAAGAATGTCAGATGAGTATTATCTCTGTCCATGGCAGAAAGGTATCATGTTGGTATAATTAAGATTGGTCTTAATGGAAACTTAGGCAATAAATATAAACATCATAGTTTAACCTGCAGCAAAGCAAATAAAATACATGAAATATAATAGAAAAACAATGCAGGCAAAGGCAGGCAGATTGCTTGAGTCCAGAAGTTCGAGACCAGACCTGGGCAACATGGCGAAACCCTGTCTCTAAAAAAAAAAAAAAAAATGCAAAAATTAGCCGGGCAGGGTGGTGCACATCTGTGGTCCCAGCTACTTGGGAGGCTGAGGTGGGAAGATCCCTTGATCCTGGGAGGTCGAGGCTGCAGTGAGCTATGATTGCGCCATTGCACTCCAACCTAGGTGACAGAGTGAGACTCTGTCTTACAAAAAAAGAAAAACAATGCTATGTGTGAATTTTTTTCCAATCTTTTAATAAGGAAAATGTTTTTTTCAAAATAATGGCTTATATGGAGTGTCAACATAAAAACAATATAATTTCAAATTGATAAGTAAAATATAGTCAGCAATCTCACATACATCAAAATTTGGTATATAACACACATTCTGGAGAGGTGTTGCTTTTGGTCTTACTTTTTTTCCATTTTTAAAATTGTAAAACACATACAAAATTTAGCATTTTAATGACTTTTAAGTGTACACTTCAGTGTCATTAAATTCACATTGCTGTGCAACCATCACGACCATCCATCTTCAGGCCACTTTGCATCCTGTGTAACAGAAACTCTACACCCATTAATAACTCCCCTTTCTCCCCTCCCTCCAGCGTCTAGCAACCACCATTCTACTTTGTCTCTATGAATCTGACTAATCTAGGTACTTTATATAAGTGGAATCATACAGTATTTGTCCTTCTGTGTCTGATTTATTTCACTTTGCATACCGTCCTCAAGATTCATCTATGTTGTAGCACGTGTCCGAATTTCCTTTCAAGGCTGAATAATATTCCTGTGTGTGTAATATTTTGCTTATTCATCGATAGGTACTTGGAATGCTTTCTTCGTGTTGTAGCCATTGTGAATAATGCCACTATGAACACAGATGTTCAAATATGCGTGGACATTTTTATAGGAATGTAACAACAACAAAAAGCACACAGTGGGCTCCATCATGAGCTCAGCTGCATACAGAGATGGGGGGCGCTGGAAGTCGTGGTGGGGCAACTGAAGCACCTCTCTGGAAATACTGTGTCCCAGGGGGACAGAAGGTCAGGCAGGTGGGTCCTGCCCAGGGACAAACCTGACAATCACTGGCACATCAGAATTCCTGTGAAACTGCAAAAACAAAAAGGGTGCCTGTGCTGAGCCCTAGACCCCCTGATTCAGTCTCTTGATGAGGACCCTGGACATGTGCATGCTTAAAAGCCTCTCCGGAGGTTCTGACTTGCTACCCTTGGGGCTGGGAACCACACAGCCTGGGACTTGGGAAGGAAGGGCGAATCTGTCTTTCCTCCTAGGGGCAGAGAGTAACTATCAGATGCACTGTTTTCCTAGAGAAACCCTGCAAGACCCTGAGGCAAAATAGCTCTCCTGGGGTGGCCCTTTAGCCAAGCAAAAGTGAGATGTTCTTCCCTCCTGCAACAAATACCAAGTGGAGCCAGCCGTACATGCCACAGTGTACAGGGGCTGTCACCAAGAGGAAAGTGGCTTATGAACCATCCCAGTAAGGCCTCCTAGAAGCACTGGGCAGAGGATGCTTTGCAATCTCTGGTGGAAGATGAAACCAGAAACAAGTCTGTATCCGTGATGATGGAATGAGCAGCAGGCAAGGAGCCTAGAAAGTGATGGGCACTCTTGCTCTTTGAAGGTGTGTGCCTGTCATTGGGGCTGACAGGTTCAGTGACATCCTCGGTGAGGCCTAGATCCTAGATCCACTGTTAGCTGGATTTGTGACATAAAAATCCTTCACATGCAAACAAACAAACAAACAAACACACAAAAAAACCTTTAAGGCAGGCAGTGATCCCCATTCCTTTGGATTTTATAGACCAGTAAGTGTCAAATAAAACTTCTGGGACTGACATATGATTACCAACTTTTATGTAAGGACAATGAAAAAGACCAAAAGGTATGATCTACCATCATTTCAAAAAAGAGGGCTATTTTGATATCATAAAAGAAGGATAACTTCAGAATTTAAAAGCGTACACATTGAACTTTAATTAGAAAATAACCGTGTATTTCCTGTGGCTTTCTCATTTTCTGTGGAAGGATGAAAAGTTTATCATCATCTCTGCAAACTAAGGCTTCTTTGCCTTGAATACTTAGGGGCAGCTGCACCATTTGCAGATGTTATTTATTTCCTTGAAGAGGTGTTTTCAGGGCTGTAAGAGAACCCTGAGGAATTCAAGTGCAAAAATCTCTTGGTATCTTGCCTCAGTTTCCAATATTAATAGCTGTGTGGTGAGTGTTCAGCCAGAAACGGTATCATTGCTTAAGTAAAAAAGATTGTGGCAAGTAGCATCATGGAAACAAAGTTGAAAGGTTTTCTTAGAAATGATCTCATCTCTGTGGTTTTCAAATTAGTGCTCCATGGAGCCACAGTGGTGTTGCTTGAAGCAACAGACTTGCATTTTAATTGTTTTACTAGTTAAGTTTCTGATTAAGATACAGTTCAGTTGCTTTAAGAAAATGGCTGACCACCACTGATCTAATCCATCACCAATTTAAAGGGGAAACTAAGGCTAAAAGGAGGTAAGGGATTTGCTTGAGGCCACCCATTTAGTTAGCAGAACTTGGTGACACATCACCAGTGGAGTGGGGGTAGGAAGGATCTTGTCAAACCTTCCTAGTGTCTGTTCTCAGGTCATCAATGGTTGTACCAAATCTTTCCATCACTCCATTGCAGGGAGTCCACTCCACCTGACAGTTTCCGTTCTGAAACAGGCTCCTTTTCATACTGGACTCTGCATTCCACCTGACACACTTTCCTACATAATAGTGATAAATATTTCACTGACAACTGTTGGAAACTAATTTTTAAACTCCAGTTCTGCATTTTTGCTCCCATTTTGACTACTATTGATAAAAGTTTCCTTTTTTGAGATGGAGTCTTGCTCTGTCACCCAGGCTGGGGTGCAGGGGCACAATCCTGGCTCACTGCAAGCTCTGCCTCCCAGGTTCACGCCATTCTCCTGCCTCAGCCTCCCGAGTAGCTGGGACTACAGGCGCCCACCACCACGCCTGGCTAATTTTTGTATTTTTTTTTTTTTTAGTAGAGACGGGGTTTCACCGCGTTAGCCAGGATAGTCTCGATCTCATGACCTTGTGATCCGCCTGCCTCGGCCTCCCAAAGTGCTGGGATTACAGGCGTGAGCCACTGTGCCCGGCCTAAAAGTTTCTTTAATAGCATTTATTGGCTGGGCATGGTGGCTCACACCTGTAATCCCAGCACTTTGGGAGGACAAGGCAGGTGGATCGCTTGCAGCCAGGAGATTGAGACCAGCCTGGCCAACATGGTGAAACCCCATCCCTACTAAAAACACAAAAAAATTAGCTGGGCGTGGTGGCACGCACCTGTAGTCCCAGCTACTCGGGAGGCTGAGGCAGGAGAATTGCTTGACTCGGGGGGCGGAGGCTGCAGTGAGCCAAGATCGAGCCACTGCACTCCAGCCTGGCGACAGAGTGAGACTCCGTCTCAAAAAAAAAAAAAAATGTTTAGCTGAGTGTGGTGGTACACACCTGTAATCCTAGCTACTCAGGAGGCTGAGGCATAAGAGTTGTTTGGGAGGGAGGTGGAGGTTGCAGTGAGCCAAGATCATGCCACTGTACTCCAGCCTGGGTGACAGAGTGAGACTCAATCTCAAAAAAAAAAAAAAAAAAAAAAAAACTGTACATATATGAAGACTATAGAGCTAATATTTATATGAATATCATAATTTACAAGGTATTAAAATGTTTGAACTACATTGTCTTGTATATAAACTGAAATGAAGTGGTATCTACTTACTGGAGTTCCTCAGATAGCTGATCACATTGTAGGCTGAAAACATCTACAAGTCAAGTCTATCAAGGACCATATCATGCACTCATTGTGTAGAAGGCCCCTCAATGGCAAAACATACCATCTGGTAAGTCTGGACACAACTCAGCTGCACAGAGCAAACAAATGACGAACTCATATAATTTAAAACAGCGTTTTCACACTGTGGATCTTAACCATGGGCCATGAAATTCAATTCAGTGGGTTGTGAGAGGATTAACACACACACAAACCCACTGCCCTACCAAACACAATCCTAGAAGAGAAAAATGTCAAAGTATGTTACATGGCTTATGAGTAAATATTTCATAAACATTTTATTCCAATCATATATGTACGAACACATATGTACTGAGTCATGACATAAATTTTACAATTCTCTAGGGCAAAACATTGCTCTAAAGAAAAGCATACTTGGCCGATCAGTCCCTTGAGAAGACTTTTGTTTTTGATTTTTTGTTCACTTCTGAGCAATGACTCTACATCCTGAGTACACGGAAGCCCTCTCTCCTCAACTTGATAGCAGTGCTCTTTAGCACAGCCAGTTCCCGGCTCAGGCTGTTTTCTGGAGGGATGTGTCCTCCTCTTGCAGCCCTGTGAACTAACTGAAGGACAGCTGCAGCGGTGCATCTGAACCTGCAGCGGAGGCAGCTCAGGTCCTGCCTACAGCATGCACATGTGATGCCAGGGGCTTTCCACCATGATTTTTCACTGACATGATTTCCTTTCATTCACCGGTAGCTCTGCCTTACCTGTAGAGCTCAAGCTCCTAGCACAGAACACAGGGGCTGAGTAAAGGCTTCTAAATACATGCATTCAACAATAAGCACATTCATTTTGCTATAAACCATAAATATTACACTCAAAATATAACAGTTTCTAACAAAATAAAAAGTTTACCCATTTCTTCATACTTAAGAACTACAAAAGTACTATACAAACCTTTATTTACATTAAATCACAATAGGTACATAAAAAGTTGAGGCACTGGTATCTGTGGCTAATGGTAGTAATCACAGCTCATATAGTAAAGTGTATAACATTAACCTTTTAATTTTGAGCTGTTGCAAAATTACCATTTTAATATTATATATACCATATATTCAGTACCAATTATGACTTTTTTCTAAAATAATAATAGAACATGATGCCCAGGGAAAAAGAAAATACTTAATAACTTTCCCAAGTGCTAGTAAAAAACACATTGGTATACACCTGATTTGAGGGGCAGACATGATTCAGCCTATGAGCCATTAGGAGAGCGAAGCAAAGCTTTTTTAAACTGGAAGGACACTCATGCTGATTCGGTACAGACTCTTCATCTTTCATACTGGGAAACAATGCTCACCGGGGCAAGTGTCACATCATTATGTAATATAGTAAGAAAGATGTCCCAGGTCTCCTATTAACAAACCTAGAATCTTTTCTAATTCATAACAGAGGTTTATACTATAAATACAATCATATTCTTGAAAGATCAAATCAAATATCAAGAAAAACAGATCCATGACAATACTTTAGACTTCAAAAAATCCTAAAGCAATAATTTAATAAAAATATATGTCAACAACTGTGTTCAAGATAATAGAATCAGTGTGGAATCCAGTGCCGTAAACAGTGATGGCAGCAGTTTACTGGTGCAGTAATTCATTTATATGCTTATGTGGTACTCTGTGTATTGGTTGCGTTTTCATCTGTATCACTTGGGCTAAATTTCTTCCATAAAAATTTCTCATTTGATTTCCAAAGAGAAGTTGCTGGCTCTTCTCTCCTTTTAAAGGGTGCTGCTAGAGGTGCTTTTTCACACAGAGTCTCTATTACTGCCAAGTCTGTGAGTTTACTAAGACTCTCATCATTCTGCTCATTCAAGATGTCCCAGAAATCTTTTGGTCTCTGTTTTGCTTTTTCCATGGGCCCTGAAAGAACTTTCTTTGGCAGTTGTGTGGGACTGTTCCCATGACTTTTAAAAAGGTCATCAAGAATAGAGGTATCACCAAGTAAGCTTATCACAGAAGTATTTTCCAGCACTGGATTTTCTATCTTTTTGTTTTCCAATTTGAGAAGGGGTTCTTTTCTTGAAATGCCCGTTCTTGTGAGGTCCTGTTGGTCTTTCATGGTATTTTCTAACCTTCTCTCACGTGTTTCAGACTCACTGTTCAGAGAACGGGATGTCACAGTATCTTCGGATGCCTGGCTGTTTTTCCCACTGTCAATCTCTTGAGTAGAACTAACAGGTGATTTCTTAGTTTCTGCATCATTAAAAAACACCTCTTCTCTATAGGAAATATGATTCTGAAACTTAACTGATTTTCTTTTATATGTTTTTAGGCTGCAAACTTGAGAAATTTTGTTGGTAGAATCTTTAAATGACAAGGTTTCAGAATCTGACAGCCTTGGTTTTATAAGAGATTCTCTTTTATCAGATTTCTTCCGGGTGCGCTGCTCTCCTTTCTCAAAGGAAGAATTGTTGAATTGTGACACAGAATCCACAAAAAATTCTTTTACCTCTGGATATTGAGAAGCATAAAAGTCTCTTAGCATTTTCTGTCGTTCTTCTGATGTGGCATTGGTTATATGTTTAGCAAATTCGTTTACAGAAGACGAGTTAAAATAAGAGGCCATTTCTTCAAATTGTTTTCTAAAGATTAAATGAACAAAACTAGTGGTTATTTTCATTACATTTTATTTTGAAAGAACTCATCACCAGTAAGAGGAAATGTAGAGTCCACAGAAGGTAATCTTGTTCCTTTAGCATACGTCTGCTGAATTCCACAATGAAAACGCATTTTATCCTAGTAGAGTGAGGCCTCTACCCTTATGCTACTGAGAAAAGTATTTTAGCTCACAAAATCACCAGCTTTGTAAGTTATTTTGATTTATGCTATTATATTAGGTATTTCCTGGGAATTATGGAGGCCCAGCATGCTACTCCTCCTTTGAGCCAATTTATGACTGACATGAGGATCATGATTTATAGACTCTGTACTTGAAAATCTATATTGTATTCAAGTCTCATGAAATGAAATTGTCAAAGAATCTTAACGAAAAGAGCAAATTCTGAAAAATTAAGAAAGACATTTTTTTCCCTTCCCTCTCCTTTTCCCCTTCTTTTACAAATACAACATAGAAATCGCACAAGACTTTTTGATGAGCCCAAAGGAAAGTTCTAAACTGATAAACCTAGACTATTTTTTCCCCAGTTGGCATGGACACCTAAGCTAAGGAGTGAGATGCTATTAGAAGAAATGTGTTGTATTCTTAGTGTAAGATACTAATAAAAGCTGTTGTATGCATGTATGAGGAAATGGGCCTTCAAGAACCTTGGTAAGATAGAGGCAGAAAGATTTAGGGACCTGGGCAATGAGCCCTGCTCCTTTCCCTAAATGAGGGTGCCATGGACTAAACTGTGCCCCTCCCCCAAATCATGCAGAAGCCCCCTAACCCAGGACGTAACAGTATTTGGAGTTAGAGCCTTCAGGAGGTAATTAAGGTTAAATGAAGTCATACGGGTGGGACCCTGATCCAACAGGATTAGTGTCCTTAGAAGAGATGCCAGAGAACCCACACAGTTTCTTTCTCTTCTGTCTCTTCCTCTCTGCCATGTAAGGATACAGGGAGATGGTGGCCACCTGCCAGCCAGGAAGAGGGCCCTCACCAGAAACTGAATCAGCTAACTTCTTGTTGTTGGCCATCCAGCCTCCAGAACTGTGGACACGAATTTCTGTTGTTTAAGCCACCCAGTCTATAGTATTTTGTTATGGCAATCCAAGCAGACTAAGACAATGGGTATTGCTTTGCTGATGATGAGTTTGGGCCATGAGATAGAACAGCTCAATGTTTATAAATACTCCTTTGAACAAAAGTCATAGATAGTGAGTGCAGCAGCACTTGATTAAAAGTCCTAAAGTTTTAGAAATTATATTTTACACCATAGTTCCTTAAAACATTCATTTATTTATTCACTTAACAAATATTTATAGAGCCTGTTATGTGCTAAGCACTATAGCAGGAACTATATAACAGCAAATAAGACTCCGTTTCCTATCTTCAAGGAGTTTACAGTTTACTTGGGCTAGACAAATGCATGAAAATCAAAGTAGAATAGAGTGATAAACCCATAATGTAAATTTACCATGAGGTAAATATGGGGCACTACTGGCATTCATAGAAAGGGAACCTAGGTCAGTGATTGGTGGTAGGCAAGGTGGATAGAAAGGGTGTCTCTTCCTGACAAGTCAGTCAGGTAATGATGAGTGAGGAAGTCTCCCAGGGGGAGAGGGTGCATGTACAGGCTCAGGTCCAAGATGACCTGGTTCACAGAGGGGCAGGAGAAACTGCAAGGAAGAGGCTAAAAATCATAGGGGGTCCGTAGGCCAAGTTTAGAAGTTTGAATTTTATCCTATGCAAAACAGAGAATCCTTAGCATTAAAAAAATTACTTTTAATGTATGTTAGTAGGAGCTTCAATGCCACTTTTCTTTCTGCCACGTAGACCAGGTTACATAGTTTGTGTTTCCTTTGCTTTTAGGGGCAGACCATAAAGCACACTCACAACTTTCTTTTGTGGCTTCAGATGGGCCTGTGGCTTCTAGTCCTCACTACACTGTCTTGTTAACTTCCCGAAATCCAGATACTATACATGCTTGATCAACAGCCACTTTCATCTCCAACAGAATATTTAGTAACACATACACATGACTCCAACTTTCTGTCCTGGAAATTGCCAATGTTCTTGTTGGAAAGTAACAAGCATGTTCTTAAGAGGTTCCAGTTTTCACTTCACATGAAGTAATGAGATATTATTCTGTCTATTTTTCATCTTCAAATCCATTTTCATGGCCCTTCTATTAAATATTTGTGTTTGTAAAGATTAAGTGATTGGCAAGGTTACAAGCTGATGTCTTTTATTTATCCAAGGCTTGGTGGTGTCTCAGCAACTGCCAAAGTAACTTCACCTCTGCTGTGCTGAAACCACGACCTCACCCGTGACCCTGTGAGCTGTCACCTCTGGGAGGAGAGCTGCTTCTAACCTCATTTTATCTGAGTAGTCTGCAAGTACACTATGCCACATGGTTGCTGCTTACAGGATAAGCTATAATTATCATTCACTTTATTTCTGCCTTTTAACTGGCTTTCCTAATTCTGGGCCTTCAGAATTTTCTCTAAGAATTTAAGGAACTGCAGGGTACAAACAGGGGGCATAAGCCAGCCAGTTTGTGAAGAAAAGTTAGTTAACTAGAGTAGACTTCCATAACCCACTTAGGGAAAGGGGGAAAAAAAGAAACCAAAGATATGTATCTTTCAGCAAGTGTATCAAAAGCAGTTATGTATCATGGATACAATTCAAAATCCTCTCTCTTTCTGGAGGAAGGGAGGTGGAACACACCTAAATTCATCTTCTGTCTGCCTAAGCTTCCGGAAGGAGAGGAGGACTGAACACTTCATTCAGATGATCATGTGACTGCAGTAGAGGGAGGTGCAGTCTTGATTCTGATTGACTAGGACAGTTAATGGAAAAGAGGGTGGTAAAATGTACATGGTTGGACAGTTTTACTTCTACATCCCTAATTGGTAACCAAAGCCAATAAGGCACATAGTGATTGAAACACTTGAACATGCCACTAGAACTCAACGAAGCTGACGAGTCTGTCATCGCTCTGCCCACGGCTCAAGATGCGTATGCAGCATGCTGTACAGCATTGTGTCCATTCCAAAAGCAAACTCCCCGACCACAGCAGGTGCTGTATCAGTCACTTTCACAATGCTGATTGCAACATCTGATCTGGTGCCGGAGCTGAAGGATTTCATCAGGCTGGACAGATCAATTGTTGGAGAGAAAGGCAAAATAAAAATAGCACCATGGTGCATACCTGACTGGAAAAATGGGTAATGTTACCACCAAGTGCAAGGCTGTGAAGGCTGCTTTCTCGCTTATCTATAATGCTGTGTGCAAACCCAGCTGTAACCTGATGCAGCAGATAAACAAAAGATTCAGTGCTCTACTCTCAGCTGTCAAGCCAGGAGGCACCACAACCTCTGTCAAACTCAACCCAGCATGTGACTTCAACGAAGCCGCAGCATGACTAGCTAGCAAGGGTCTTGACATCAAGATAACACGATTACTCTTTCAACTTGGTACCGACCCTAACCTTGGGGTCACTGGGTGTGCCTTCATAAGTCAGTTTAAGCTCATCACAACCTTTTCTGAAATGACCTCATATGTTATAATGTGAAGTTTCATTGAGGAAGGATTCAATCATGCCTCACTGCTCCCTGGTGCAGGTTGTGACATAATGAAATTCATGAGCATTGAAGGACGACTCATTGAGAAACATGGGGAAGAACTTCCATTTCTTAGTCTTCTGACTCAGAGGGCACAAAGAATTAACACCTGCAAAGTTCCCTAATCTCTGTAAGGTCACAAATACATGGAAAAGAAAGCTAGATAATTCACTCAGAGACTACCAGTCAACAAAGGAGTCCCCCTCCAAACTTACTGATCATGAGGTTGAAGAGGCAGCTTCAAAACCACCTTTTAAGAAGGCACTGGTGAGCAAAGAAGATGAAAAAGGACTATAAGCAGCATACAATATATCTAGGGAAGATATTAAAGTTGCACTGACATTGAAGCCCAGAACAGAACAAACCAGTGTCCCAACATGGCTCTTGGAGGCGATCGAGAACAGAGAACGCATGCAAACTTAGGGAAAAAAAGGTATATGGTCAGTCTCCTGGCAAAATATTTGCCCAAAGTGAAAAGGCACACTCTGCAAAAATCCTTGTTGCCGATCTGTTCTGTGGGTAGGTACACTGTGTGGCAGTGTGGAAGGTGGTCACCTTTCTCTGCAACTGCAGAGAGCTGAGAGCCATACTCCAACCAGCCACGCCAGCACTCCAAAGAGCTGCGGGGCCAGCTCTTCCCTGGGCAGCTGAGGAACCAGCTGCCTGGGAGTCGCCAAACCCCTGCAGGAAGTACTTTGAACCCAGAGACATTTCCCACTGCCCCCAGAAGCCAGCAGGACCAGTCCAACCATGCCTCCCATCCCTGTTCACTTCTGTCATCCATTACCACTGGCCTCTCATCTCCTCCTACTGTACATCTTGATCTAATCCAATCCCTCACCCTTCCAAGCCATCCCTCCGTGCCCCTGGAACCAAGAGTCCCCCGAGTCTTCTGCTTCTATGCTGAATGGTCCTGTGCTCTGCTGATATTGCCTCTTCCCATGCGGCCCTTGCAAGGCAAGGCTCTTGCATCTCACAGCTCTCCAACCTCAGGGTTAGTGCTTCTAGACAATGCTGCTTCCAGACCATTCTTTTCTCAGAAAACTCCTTCCCCTCTTTAACATTTATGCCATCCAGCTAAACTGTTCTCTCCTCAATCTTCAGTGACCCCTTCATTGCTTCCTGCTAGCAGCTAAACTCTCAAGATCCTGGATTAATCTTGCTTCCCACCCCATCTCTTGCCATCATTCTTGATAACATCAATATCCATGTGGATGTCCCACCCATATCTGGCCCACCACTTTCTTTAGCTCACCTCCAAACTCATCTTAACTCCATGTTAGCCCCTACTCCCAAGTTTATAAATTGCCATTGTCATTACCATCAACAGCTCAACCTCCATGTCCCTGACTTAGTCATCTAAGGCTCCAGCTCAGCTGCTTGATGACTGCCCACAACAGCAATGCTGGGGGATATGCTGGTAACCTCAAGTCCTCAAATTCACTGACTCTTGTGCTTTTACACTATCCATCAGCCTCCCTTGTCCAGCTTAGGTTTAACTTTATAATCACTCCTTTACAAACATTCTTCAGCTTCCTTGCTTCTCTCTCCCTCCATTCTAACCCCTGGTCAGACCCAGCCATCTTTCTACTTGTTTCTGCAACAGAGCAACTGAAGCTTGCTGAATAAAATGTGCATACTGGACAGATGATTTTCCTGAAATTATTCTCAAATGGGAACTTAACACCACCCAGAAATTCTGGTCCCATTAAGCTTGCTTTCCTACTTTATAAATGATTTGTTTCCTAACTTCTCTCTCCCTAAATCTTTCTCCCTCTGAACTTATGGCTTCAGTTCTCAACTCATTGAGAAAATGTCACATCTGTGCCTGTGTTTGTCCCTTCTCTTTCAATGCCTCTCAAAGGCCAGAGCGTGGCCTGTGGTTTGGGTACTGCCCTCCACTGCTTCCAGGCCCTCCCTCTTTCTGTTTTCACCTCTCTGACATGATCTCTTTTTCTCCTACAAGTCTTTTCCCTCAACACACAACAGGTTCTGTTATCTCAACTGTAAGACCCACAATGCCCTCCAGCTGCTGCTACTTTTTACATTCAAACTTACAGCACCAGCCACCTCCCGCCAGGGCGCGCGCACTGCTTCCATCCGAACTCATAGCACCGGCCACCTCCCGCCAGGGCCTGAGCACTGCTTCCCAGGCTGCTCCTGCCAAGGTGCCTGCTGAGTGCTCTGCTGCTGTCTTCAGTGGGCAGTTTCCCACCTCATCTGCTTCTGGTTCTCAGCAGTATTTGACAAACTCCCTCCTTTTAAGATCCTCTCGCTACTCCTGCACTTCAGGACCTGATACTGTGCCTCTTATGCCTCCTCCAGAAGTAGCTGCTGCCTCCAGTCTGTGTCCTGGGACTTCTTTCCTCCTCTCTGTGCTCTATTTCTAGGCTGCTCACATAGTCTCACAGTTCTGAAGACCATTTATAAACTCTATGCTGATGACTCCCAAATTTAAACTTTTAATCCCCAAACCAGGAGTAGCTCATACATACATTGCCTACTGAACCTTCCCACAGAATGTCACATTTAATACGTGCAAAAGGGAACTCCTGAATTTTTTCCTCTCTTGTTTCTCTCTGGTTTTCCCCATTCAGTACCTCCACTCTGTTGCTCAAAACAGAAAGAAGTAATCTTGTTCTCTTTCTTTCCCGAACCAGTCCATCACCAAATTGAATTCATCTACTTGGCTCTATCCTCATGGCAACCACTCTGGTACAAACCCCCATCACCGAGTTCCTTCTTGTTACCCCTTGTTCATTCTGCACTCTTCTACAGGGAAGCTGGAACCATCTTTTAAAAAGATACATCAGATCGTGCCATTCTTCAACAGTTTTCCACTGCACTTGGAACAAAATCCAAACTCTTTCTGTAGCCCCCAAGGGTTGGCATGCTCCAGCCCCACCTGCGTCCCTACCCTCCATCTCATGCTACTCTCTGCTTGGTTTATTCTGCACTAAGGCCACCAGTCTTCTCCCAGCTCCTTGACCACACCAAACCTCTTCCCTCCTTGGAGATGCTCCTACTCCGGTTCTTTGCATGGTTATCCTTCAGCTCTTAACTTAAATGCTACCCATGTAGACAGTCTTCCCTGACTTCCCAAAAGAAAGGTGGTTCCATGTCCCCTCCCCATCCTATTATTCTCTTTCTCTTTTTTCTTATAACACATCATTTTATAATTATTTGTAGGTTTACTTTTTAAAACTTCATGGTTTGATGCCAAACCCATTCCTCTGTACTGGAGGCTCTATGTCTGTCCTTTTTTTTTTGAGACAGAGTCTCGCTCTGTCGCCCAGGTTGGAGTGCAGTGGCGCAATCTCGGCTCACTGCAAGCTCCGCCTCCCAGGTTCACTCCATTCTCCTGCCTCAGCCTCCTGAGTAGCTGGGACTACAGGTGCCCGCCACCACGCCCGGCTAATTTTTTGCATTTTTAGTAGAGACGGGGTTTCACCGTATTAGCCAGGATGGTCTCAATCTCCTGACCTCGTGATCCACCCGCCTCGGCCTCCCAAAGTGCTGAGATTACAAGCATGAGCCACCGCACCCTGCTGTCCTTTTTTTACACTGCATATTCAAGACTCAGCACAATGCCTGGGCATATATTAGGTGCTCAAAATATATTCATTGACTGAATGAATAAAATGCACTTAAGTATTTCATTTCTTTGTATAACATGATTTCCCTTTTTATGGTAATCAATTCAGGGATTAGCCTTCTAACAACATCTAAAACATTTGCAGTTTATTTTTGAAATTCAGATTTTTCTGAAATATTCAGATGTCAGTTATGGTTATAATTCAAGTATTTACATATTTTACTAATGAGCTACATTTCCTTTGAGAATTATTCTTCAAGTATAGTATTGTCAGAGACAATATACCTGCGGATTCCTTTTGGTGTTTCTCCAATTATGAAGGTGGTCTGGTTTGTATGGTAGACTTTTTTCTTCTTCTGGTTTACAGGATTTGAAATGTAAAGAGGAAGTGAAATGCTGCCTTCACTCGGTTGCTGGCCTTTCTTTGTGTGTGGCAATGTATCTGCATCCACTTTTTCTTTATATGTCTGAAAAAAAGAAAGGAAACAAAAGCTATGTCTGAAAAAATAGTCATTGTTGGTCAAATAATGAGAATGTCTTACTTTTTCTCAATACTCTTTATAATGAAGTAAATCATATTCTCCAACTGAAATCAATGTCAGAAGATATTAACCTAGGTCTTTAAGAAGATGACACAGGGAAAAAATTATTTTTATACCTTTCTTTAAGTTATACAAGTATTGGCAATAATACGTTATTTCCATTGTCAAGACTTGGGCATACTGATACATACGTTGATACCTACTATACCAAAGAAGGATAAAAATTAATGATTATATACACTATGGCATAAACATGGGATATCTAAAATTTTCTAATTTAGTAATTGCAAAATTATTAAGCAGTCTTTCAGTTGTCTAATTTCATTAATGGAGACATGTAAAAAATACCAATCTTTATGTAATAATTAAATAAATAAATCATAAATCTTACATTTCAACCTCTGCTGGGTTGCAAGAATATTTAGTGATTTTGAGATGCTAACTACAGTTGGCTGAATTATAGATGGAATCATACTCCTTTTACAGAGACCATGAATTGCCTGCCTAACATAAATTTTACTGACAGTGAGGCAAGAAAAATAAACTTTATACAGTCCCAGTTTTCCTGACAAGATGATACAGTATGAATAGGTAGAAAGTCCTCATCCTATTCCAAAAAGAGAAATACTAAATACAATTTAACAATAACAACAACAAAATTACACTGGAGCTCAAAAGTAAGAAAGCAGAATGTCTAGGTGCCCCAAACAAGGAAGTCCCACAGTGGTGAGTGGGAGCTGAAGCTCAGCAGCCCTAGTAGGGTAGGACCTTAAGTTACAGCACCCATGTGGAATATAGCACCATGTGGGTGCTATAGTCTATAGCACCCATGTGGAAATGGGAGATGGAAATGGTTTAACTCCCTGCATTAAACAACAAAGAAACACAAAACAGGAATGAGGAGTCAAATTTGCAAATTAAAGCCAGGAAAGCCAAACCTGGCACACAGGCTAGAAGTAGGCCACTTTCTTACTCTAGATAGAAAGAATCACTGGTGACAAACACGAATGCCCAGCCAGTGCCATGTGTGGAATGCGATTTGTACCACGTGGTGGTATGGGAACTCTAAGCTGAAAATTAACATAAATAATTTGTCCAGAACTAGTGAAAACCATAGATCTCAATGAGGGGTGAATAAAAAACATACCATAGGAAGACTGCCATAAGCCAGAGAATGCTTTTGATTCCAATGAAAACAGAAGGAGTTCAGACAAAAATTATGAAGAGCATATAAAACCTACCATCATGAAATTGAGCACATGTAACAAATATAAGAACTGAAATCCGAGGAATTACCTATAATAAAGCAATCTGAAAAAGATATTTATTTATGAATGAATAAACACATAGCAGAGTCTCACTTTGTCACCCAGGCTGGAGCGCAGTGGCATGATCACAGCTCACTGCAGTTGATAAACTGGAAGGATAAAATTACTCAGAATTAAGTGCAGAGATTAAAAAAAATAGGGAAGTTAAGAGACAGAAGACATATCAAAGTTTCTAAAATGCTAAAAGGACAGAATAGAGAAAATGGAAGAGATAATGCCAGAGACCTGCAAAAGAAAGGAATCCTCAAACTGAAAAAGGAGGAAGAATCCCTAGTAGGAAAAATGAAAATAAACCTGCATTTTGTTATATCACAGATAAAGGGCAAACCTTAAAAACTACCAGAGAAAGAGGATAAGACATCCTACAAAGAAATGCCAAATTAGGCCAGGCACAGTGGCTCACACTTGTAATCCCAGCACTTTGGGAGGCTGAGGTAGGCAGATTACTTTTAGCCCAGGATTTCAAGACCAACCACATTTGCCTGGCAATGTGGTAAAACCTTTTCTCTACAAAAAAAAATACAAAAACTAGCTTGGTGCGGTGGCGTGCCCCTGTAGTCCCAGCTACTCTGGAGGCTGAGGTGGGAGGATGGCTTGAGCCCGGGAGGCAGAAGTTGCAATGAGCCAAGATCGTGCCACTGCATTCCAGCCTGGGTGACAGGGCCAGATCTTGTCTCAGGAAAAAAAAAAAAAGCCAAACTAACATCCGTCTTCTCATTAACATCACAATCCTATCCACCAAAAGAAAATGGGATATCTTCAACACGCAGAGAAAAAAACAAAACAAAACAAAAAACCCTGGCAACCTAGAATTCTATACCCAGTTAAACTATTGAGAGGTGACAGCGTGCTGGCAGTCTTCAGAGCCCCCGCTTGCTCTCGGCACCTCCCCTGCCTGGGCTCCCACTTTGGTGGCATTTGAGGAGCCCTTCAGTCCCCCACTGCACTGTGGGAGCCCCTTTCTGGGCTGGCCAAGGCTGGAGCCCACTCCCTCAGCTTGCAGGGAGGTGTGGAGGGAGAGGCACGCGCGGGAACCGGGGCTGTGTGTGGCGCTTGTGGGCCAGCTGGAGTTCCAGGTGGGCGTGGGCTTGGTGCGCCCCGCACTCGGAGCAGCCAGCCAGCCCTGCTGGTCCCCGGCAATGGGGGACTTAGCACCCGGGCCAGTGGCTGCGGAGGGTGTACTGAGTCCCCCAGCAGTGCTGGCCCACTGGTGCTACGCTCGATTTCTCGCCGGGCCTTGGCTGCCTTCCCACGGGGCAGGGCTCAGGACCTGCAGCCCGCCATGCCTGAGCCTCCCACCCACTCCATGGGCTCCTGTGCGGCCCAAGCCTCCCCGACGAGCGCCACCCCCTGCTCCACGGCGCCCAGTCCCATCAACCACCCAAGGGCTGAGGAATGCGAGCACACGGCGCAGGACTGGCAGGCAGCTCCACCTGCAGCCCCGGTGCGGGATCCACTGGGTGAAGCCAGCTGGGCTCCTGAGTCTGGTGGGGACGTGGAGAGTCTTTATATCTAGCTCAGGGATTGTAAATACACCAATTGGCACTCTGTATCTAGCTCAAGGTTTGTAAATACACCAATCAGCACCCTGTGTTTAGCTCAAGGTTTGTGAATGCACCAATCGACACCCTGTAGCTAGCTGCTCTGGTGGGGCCTTGGAGAACCTGTGTGAGGAAACTCTGTATCTAACTAATCTGATGGGGACGTGGAGAACCTTTGTATCTAGCTCAGGGATTGTAAATGCACCAATCAGCGCCCTGACAAAACAGGCCACTCGGCTCCACCAATCAGCAGGATGTGGGTGGGGCCAGATAAGAGAATAAAAGCAGGCTGCCCGAGCCAGCATTGGCAACCCGCTCGGGTCCCCTTCCACACTGTGGAAGATTTGTTCTTTCGCTCTTTGCAATAAATCTTGCTACTGCTCACTCTTTGGGTCCACGCTGCTTTTATGAGCTGTAACACTCACCGCAAAGATCTGCAGCTTCACTCCTGAGCCCAGCGAGACCACGAGCCCACCGGGAGGAATGAACAACTCCAGACGCGCTGCCTTAAGAGCTGTAACACTCACCGCGAAGGTCTGCAGCTTCACTCCTGAGCCAGCGAGACCATGAACCCACCAGAAGGAAGAAACTCCGAACACATCTGAACATCAGAAGGGACAGACTCCAGACACACCACCTTAAGAGCTGTAACACTCACCGCGAGGGTCCACGGCTTCATTCTTGAAGTCAGTGAGACCAAGAACCCACCAATTCCGGACACACTATCACGTAAGAACTTTTCAGACATACAAAGCACGAGCCCACAGGCCGAGCTAATTTTTCTATTATTTTATAGACATGGGGTCTTGCTATGTCGCCCAGATTGGCATAGGTAATGCTGCAAGACCCTGGGCTCAAAAGCAATCCTCCTGCCTCAACCTCCCAAAGTGTTGGGATTATGGAGTGAGCCACTGTGTCTGGTCTTTTTTTTAATAGAAGTTCAATGGGATTGAAGCGGTGATACATTCAATGAATGTGGGCAAGGAATGACTTTTAATTCCACAAATATTTACTAAGCACCTATTACGTTCCTGCCAACATGTTATGCATTTGAGATGCAAAGATATTTATATATACAAATATTCCCCTACCCTTAAGGGATTTAAAAGTGACAAGCCATTTTTAAAAATATGATGTTTATCTTTTTTCTTTTTTGTATAAGACATTTACCTCTATAACTTATATTCTGGTTCATTTTATTGAAACTGACAAAAGCAAGAGTATGTTCTTTAGTAACAAACGATTTCTAAGGAAAACTGACATGTTCAAAAGCTACTGTGGTTCAGATGGACAAACACAAAATGCCAGGTGGTCAGGTTGAACCAGGGCTTTATATCAGTAATGTTAAAAGTACTTTCCTTAAAAATATATTTTAAAAAATTGTATCTTGGCCAGGCGCGGTGGCTCACACCTGTAATCCCAGCACTTTGGGAGGCCGAGGTGGGCGGATCACGAGGTCAGGAGATCGAGACCATCCTGGCCAACATGGTGAAACCTCATCTCTACTAAAAATAAAAAAATTGGCTGGGTGTGGTGGTATGTGCCTGTAATCCCAGCTACTCGGGAGGCTGAGACAAGAGAATCACTTGAACCAGGGAGTCGGAGGTTGCAGTGAGCTGAGATCACGTCACTGCACTCCAGCCTGGCAATGGAGTGAGACTGTCTCAAAAAAAAAAAAAATTGTATCTTAAAACATTAATAGAAAGAAAAATGTTAATCTTTAAAGTTTGAAAAAGATTTGATGCATTTATTTACTATCACAAAACAAAATGAACACCAGAAGTTCCTAATACAAAGACTCATCATCCTAGATTATACCCCCAAGAAAATAATCATTCGTTACTATGAGATGAGATGGTATTGCTTATTACATGAAGGTAAAGGGAGTAAACAGAAAGAGAAGGAACTGGGCCAATAAAGAAAATACCATCCTCATATTTTGCAATTTCTGAAGCCATAGAGAAATCATGCCAAGCAATGGCAATTGTCAATTATTTACGTGTTTACTCTGGGTCTTGCAATGACCCTGGCAGCACTGCAAAGCTCACATGTATACAGATACATTTTTCTTAAATTGGTTTTATAACTTCTTTAGGAAAATTCAGCTTTTGCAACCATAGCTATTAGACACGTGGATCTTTAATTTTTGCCAAACATTCCACATTTAAAAATCTGATTCTTTCAGGCAATAATAAAAGGAAATTTTTTTTTTTTTGAGACAGAGTCTCACTCTCTCGCCCAGGCTGGAGTGCAGCGGCGTGATCTCGGCTCACTGCAAGCTCCGCCTCCTGGGTTCACGCCATTCTCCTGCCTCAGCCTCCTGAGTAGCTGGGACTACAGGCGCCCACCACCACGCCTGGCTAATTTTTTTGTATTTTTAGTAGAGAGGGGGTTTCACCCTGTTAGCCAGGATGGTCTAGATCTCCTGACTTCGTGATCTGCCTGCCTCGACCTCCCAAAGTGCTGGGATTACAGGAGTGAGCCACCACGCCCGGCCAGGAAAATCATTCTTATTTAACATGGGCTCAATAGCTATCTTTTATTTTTAAAAATCTATCTAGTTTCATATTTCCATTTTAGCAGGGAACTTTAATACTTTACTGAAACAAGGCTGTGAAACAAAATAGTTATATTAAAAATAAATTTTAGGAATCAATGTGCCATTTAGGCTTATTCTGAATGAAAGCTCTAAAGGTTACATGTATAAACTATGTATGGGTTGGGGGCAGTGTACTGGATTAGTTTCCTATTGCTGCCATAACAGAGTATCACAAAACGAGTGACTTAAAACAACATAAATTCATTATCTTATACTTCTGTAGGTCAGAAGCTTGACATGGGTCTCACTAAGCTAAAGTCAAGATGTTGGCAGGGCTGCATTCCTTTTTGAAGGCTCTGGGATAATGAATTTCTTTGCTTTTCCAGCTCCTGGAGGCTGCCCACAATCCTTGTCTTGTGGTCCCCTTCCAAAGCTAGCAACCCTTCTTCTCTAACTGTTCTGCACAGTCACATCACCCTCTCACCACAGCCAGGAAAGGCGCTCTGCTTTTAATAACTAATGTGATTAGATTGGGCCTATCCAGATAATCCACGAGCAAAGTGGGTTAATTAACATCCTTAACTGCATACATCCAATTGACCCATCTCAAGGTCAGCTGATTCAACCTTAATTGCATCTACAACCTTAATTCCTTTTCCTGTTTGCTGGGTAATGTAATGTATTCATAGGTTCCAGAAATGAGTTAACAGACATCTTTGAGGGGGGCATTAATTGTTTTCCACTGGCAGGGAGAGTGGGGGTCTTAACCTGGGTCCACCGACCCTCCAAAGGTTCTGTAGATGGGTTTCAGGGACTTCAGAAAGGGATATCTATGAATCTCCTGAAGCTGTATTTGCACATTTGAGCATGAACACGTTTTTCAAAAAAAAAGAGCCCATGGCTTTAATCATGTTCTTAAAGGTGTATATGGCCAGAAAAGGTGTATATGGCCAGAAAGAGTTGAAAAACCGCTGTTTTAAGCAGCAGCACCATTGGTATACTTTTCGAATATTCTTGTCTTTTGAAAAACAATATCTACTTTATAAACATTTTGGTGCTCGTTAGAAAAGTTGGTTTCACTAAAATAGTAAATCTTTCACAATAAATGGTACAAGATAAATAATGCTGCATTGCAGTTGCTATTGTAGTGACAATTATAACTTATTATAAAACAACATACAAGGCTAGGATGAAAAGATTCTAGATTACGTGAACTTAACTCAAACTTGTTCATTACCAATTATATCAAAGCTGTGAAGTCATGACACTGTGGCAACACGATGAAACAGCAATAGTAATGAAGATTCAAGTAATAAAAGATTCAGTAAAATGATTTGGAATAGGAATTTAAAAGATAATACAAGCATACCTCTGATATACTGCAGATTTGGTCCTGGACCACCACCACAAATTTTTTGGTTTGTCAGTACATATAAAAGTTATGCTTACACTATATTGTAGTCTATTAGGTGTGCATACATTATGCCACTGCTTTATCAACTAAGTTTATGTAACATTCTAAATTCTTTGTTGCTATTTCAACAATGTTCACAGCATCTTCACTAGGATAGAGTCCATCTTAAGAAATCGCTCTTTGCTAATCCATAAGAAGCAATTCCTTACCTGTTAAAGTTTTATCATGAGATTGCAGCAGTTCAGTCCCATCTTCAGGCTCCATTTCTAATTCTAGTTCTCTTGCTGCTTCCACCACATCTACAGTTAGTTCCCCCACTAAAGTCTTGAATCTCTCAAAGTCATCCATGAGGGCTGGAATCAACTTCTTCCAAACTTCTGTTAATGTAGATATTTTGAAATGCTCCCATGAATCAAAGATGTTTTCAATGATATCTAAAATGGTGACTCCTTTCCAGAAGGTTAACAACTGACTTTGCCCAAGTCCACCAGAGAAATCATTATTGATGCCAGTTACAGTCTTATGAAACTTATTTTCTTTTCAAATTTAATTTTTAGAGATGGAGTCTCACCAAGTGGACCAGGCTGGCCTTGAACTCCTGGTTTCAAGTGATTCTCCCAGGTCAGCCTCCTGAGTAGCTAGAACTACAGGCATGTGCCACTGTGCCCGGCTCTGTATTTCTTAAATAAGACTTGAAAGCCAAAATTACTCCTTGATCTACGGGCTGCAGAATAAATGCCGTGTTAGTAGACATGAAAACAACATTCATTTCCTTGTACATTTCCATCTCTCTCTTGGGTGACTAGATGCACTGTCAATTAGCAGCAATATTTTGAAAGGAATCTTCTTTTCTGAGTAGCATGTCTCAATAGTGGGCATGAAATATTCAGTAAGCCATGCCATAAACAGATGGGCTGTCATCCAGGCTTTGTTGGTTCATTTATGGAGCACAAGTGGAATAGATTTGGCATAATCCTTAAGGGCCCTAGGATTTTCCAAATGGTAAATTATCACTGGCTTCTACTTAAAGTCCCCAGCTGCACTAGTCCCTAACAAGAGCGTCAGCCTGTCCTTTGAAGCCAGGCATTGACTTCTCCCCTCTAGCTATGAAAATCCTAGGTAACATCTTCCAACAGAAGGCTGTTTTGTCTTCATTGAAAATCTATTGTTTAGTGTAGCCACCTTCATCAGTGATCTTAGCTAGGTCTTCTGGATAACTTGCTGCAGCTTCTACATCAGCACTTGCTGCTGCTATGGAGACAGCTTCTTAGCTTAAATGTCATGAACTTCTGTTAGCTTCAAATTTTTTCTTCTACAGCTTTCTCACCTCTCTCAGCTTTCACAGAATTGAAGTGCATTAGAGCCTTGCCTAGGCTTAAGGGAATATTATGGCTGGTTTGATCTTTGATCCAGACCACTACAACTTTCTCCATGTCAGAGATAAGGCTGTTTCACTTTCTTATTGTTTGTGTGTTCACTGAAGTAGCACTTTTAATCTCCTTCCAGAACTTTCCTTTGCATTCACAACTTGGCTGTTAGGCACAGGTGCCTAGTTTTCAGCCTATTTTGGCTTTTGACATGCCTTTCTAATGAAGCGTCATCATTTCTAGCTTTTGATGTGAGAGATGTGAGACTCTTCCTTTAAAGTTGAACAATTAAAGGCCATTGTAGGATTATTAATTGGCCTAACTTCAATACTGTTGCATTTCAGGGAATGGGGAGGTCTAAGGAGAGGGATAGAGGGAAAATGGCTGGTTGTAGAGCAGTCGGAACACACACATTTATTAAGTTTGCCATCTTGAATGTGTGCAGTTGGTGCCCAACAGTTACAACAGGAACATCAAAGATCATGCATGTGATCTGTGGATCACCTTAACAGATATAATAATAACGAAAAACTTCAAAATATTGTGAGAATTACCAAAATGTGACTCAGAGACACAAAGTGAGCACATATTGTTGGAAAAATGATGCCAATAGCCTTGTGTGAAGCAGGGTGGCCACAAAACTTCAATTTGTAAAAAAGGCATTATCTACAAAGTGCAATCAAATGAAGTACACTAAAACAAGGAATGCCTATGTATTATGATTACAATAACCAAGAAGGTACTTTTGTAGGGAAAACTTTCTTCTTCCAGAGTAGACAGAATGAGTCCACCCTAGATCTACTAACTATCCATAATTCTCTATAACTTACTTCTTACTTTTAGGTTTTAGGTTTATACTGGTTAACAGCAGAAAAGTTCCTTATCTTCATTTAGATTGATAGTATGAAACATTCAAATGAACTTTGATAATACTTTTTCTTTTGAACCAAAAGTGTATTCTGTGTATTTTAAGGCATTAGATCTAAACCAAGTTGCATTATTTTCATTGAAATGATATTTATTGAAAGGCTCAACTGAAAAAAGTTAAGATTTTTGATATGAAAGGGTAAGTAAAAACAAAATCAACTCTTAACTTTGCAGATAGCTATCTTTGATGTCAGTATACTTAAAAATACAAGGAAGATTCCCCCCTACCTCACAGGCACATGATTAAATTAGCAGTTTTCTATTTACTCAGCTACATATGGAATCTATCTTTATATAGTAGAAGGCTATACTAGAATTGTTCAGAGAATGTTTATGAAATAAGAAACCCTCTATTAATATTCTCCAAGCAAAAAGTAATTTTGGAGGTAAGTTACTAAAGAACAGTAGAGGGCACCTAGGTAGGAATAGCAAAGAAGTGAAAAAAGCTGATAGGGAGGAATCGTTCCCACACCCATACACTGTAACAAATGAGGCAAAAAAGTTACAATCCAGGAGAGCAAGTTTCAAGTGCAATCAAGGAACAGCCTCTAGTTCCCATTTCGGCAGGAGAAATATTATCAGTAATCTCTGCATCTTTCTAAATCTCTTTGGGCGAATTCCTGGAGACACAGCTATAGCTGATAATCTGCAGATAATCTGATTCATTCTCCCCTGCTCATCTGTATACTCCAAGGTGCAGAGAAGGCTTGGGAGGATGGTGCACAGGGAAGCAGAACAGCCTGACAGTTGTCCACAGGAGGCCACGAGGAAGTAGTGAAATCTTTTATTAAGCAAGTGTGGAATGGATCTATCTACTGGGCTGGCTTCTCCAGAATATACCTCACGGAGCAAACAGAACAAAGAGCAGTGCATGCTAAACAGCTGCACCAACTCTTCCATAACCAGATGATTAGGCCTGATAAGTCAGTGAGAAAACTGGAAACAAGGAGGAGATCTTCAAAGCCACTGGAAGGTCCTGATGGCTCTGACCCACTGAGAAGCTAGAGTGGAAGGCTTAATTAAAAGTTCTGATTCTAAGGTCAAAAAGGATCTGCCCATCCCAGGATAGCTCTTTGTACACCTTGTTCCTGAGCTTCACAAGACACTCTAAGGTCATCACAGGTGGGCACACCATGTGGCCACAAGCCCTCATATCCACCTGATCATGCCAACTCTGCCATCAAGCAGTCAAAACAACAAAACATTTCGGGATTTTTGCTTAAGTATGAAAATCCTCAACATCATTCAAGGTTTGTGCCTGGAGATAGAAAATGTTACTGTAAATGCAGTTTTCCAATACTCAACAAGAACCTAAGGCAACTATGAGCTATCCCTGAATTGTCTTAACTCACTATCTGCAGAAAAGCCAGCTGGTCAGAGGATCCACCACAAATATACATAGAGTCAAATTTTCTGCCTATGTTTAAAAATGATGTTCAAATCTGAAAAAAACAACAGCATTTAGATTCAAATCCAAAACCTTTTCTGGGGAGAGAGGGAGATGAAAGTTTTTAACCATGGGTCTGCTTTCTTCCTGGAAGGAGTAATACTATATTATCCAGCTAAACTCTTTTTTCAATAGTGCTTTGCTTTCTGAGTGAGCCACATAAGGACAACTTTATATTGGCTGTCCTGAGCCTGCTTTTATTTCAAGAATAATGGAAGTATCTCTTCAAATAAACACATATCAAACTAAATCTGATAGAAGCTGCTTGTGGAAATTCAGCATCACTTATAGGGGTGACTCATTGTTCAAGAAACCCATCTATCTGAAATGATGCGAAGTGGCAGCATTGGGGGGAGCAGGTGAATGCCATGTGCTACAGACAGAAACACAGGAACTCCATCTCCCTGGGGTCTGCTGACCTGCTGGCTCTGTGGGAAAGGGCCAAGCGAGACCATAGCAATTACCTTCACCAAAGCTTGCAGATGTGCAATGGAAAATTTCGCTAATACCCTCAGTTCACCATGAGAGTACAGCCCAGGAGTAAATTCCCTTTAATTCCTCCTACAAAGGCTAGAGCAGGATAGAAGCCTTTCCAGATAGCAGTCTGAGCACTGGACTCAGCACCATAGCCCTGGCATCCAGGCCCTACTTTGCCACTTACTCTTTCCATTTGGGGAGATTCTGTACCTTTCTGAGGATCATCTTGGGGATAATGAAAGATTTGGAGACTGGGATCTAGGAGAAGGGAGATTTGGATCTGGGACTCCTACCAGTCTCTTTCGTATTTAAAATTCACAATTCTACTAGTCTTTATAGGATCTCCAGTAAGTACTAATAGATAGGTCCATCACATCTTGTAGCCTTGACCTCAATTTCAAATCTCTGTATGTACTAAGTTTTATTTGTATTACTATATTTTCTATAAAGACTACCTGAAGATCTCATATGAAATAATACTTGTTATATGTGACCTCATATGAAATAATACCTGTTATATGTCGTATCACTGGCAACAAAGATCACAGAAGAATGGTGCTGGTGAAAAAAAATTAACCATAGAAAGCCTTTCTTGGCAGGCACCCACTGCTGCCTGTGTTTTCCAGTGGCTAGCTTAGGCTCCTCATGTCCCTCCACCCTGGCCTCCAGCTGGGCCACTTAGGCTGATTTGATTAGAAGGCAACCAAATGGCTCTCCAGTGTCTGGGGAAGAAGATTTCAAGCACGTACCACAAATGACACTGAGACATTACAACTAGTTGTGAGATTTGATGTAATTATTTATTATTAATAATAAAGTGCTAAAGTATGTGAAAGATTCAGCTTTTTTAGTAAATTAGAGTTAATTCCCTATAATCACATCATCTTTACTCTCTTCTATTCTGACATGCTTTCTTTGGTTATGCATTAGAGAAAGTAACATTTTCACACAGAGAAAGACCAAATGGAAGCATATCCTGCTAGAAGTGAATTTAATGATAAGGCAACTGTTTTCATATGGGTCTAAGACAGCAGTTCTGAAGCTTTTTGGTCTTAGAACCCCTTTATACTTCAAAAATTATTGAGAATCTCAAGGAGTTTTTGTTTGTGTGGGTTATATCTACTGAAAATTTAAAGTCTTTATCACCTAATTAAAATAACAAAAGCCCATTACATGTTAACATAAGGAACTTTTTAAAACAAAAGTAACTATATTTTCCAAAGCAAAAAACCAAAAAGTTAGTGAGAAGCGTGGCTATGTTTTACATTTTTACAAATGTCTTTAATATTTGGCTTAATAAAAGTCAGCTGAATTCTTCTGTTTCTACATTCAATCTGTTGTGACACATTGTTTTGGTTGAAGCTTATGAAGAAAATTGGTCTCATACAGATATGTAGTTAGAAAAGGGAAAAATATTTTAATAGATATTTTCAGATTTGGAGATAATTATGGATTTTCTTTGACACTATACCAAAACTCAAGGTTAATTTCATTAAAAATCTGAAACCTTTCAGTAAAATTTTTATATTGTTAAAATTCATTGGTGTATCTTGAACTTTGGGTAAATCTTTTCCCCATGTGTGATTTTTAATATCATTCACTGGTCATTTAGAAAATACTTATTAATAGAGTTATACAGATCTTCAAAACACGGACACATTTAATTATACCACGTTACAAATATCACTTTTGTCATTATCAGAAAAATACGTATTGGGAAGGTGTCAATGCTATGGTGGTAGATACAAGCTTTTCAGTATTTTAACTTTCACTTGAAAGCTTGAATTTTATCACTGGCAACAAGCACTATCCATTGTTTTCTTTGAAGTGACATGCTCACTAGGTTCATTTTTTTGGGGAAGTGCCAAATACCCAAGTCTGAATAACCAGTCTGTCTATCAGTCATTCTTTCAAGTACAAATGGTGTTCTATAAAAAAGAGGCTAGTTCAATTTGCAACTCAAACAATTATACAAGTGCTTTATGCAAACTTCCCATTTCACCATACAGAACATAAAAAAGATGGGCAGTAAAGGGTTGAGATTTGCTAAAATTAATTTTGCTGCTTCCTCAAAGATATTCGTAACAGAAAGCAGTTTCTTTTTCCTGCAAGAATGTGGTGGTAAAGAATCCATTAACTACTAGTGATATAGAAGAGCTGGGCTCCCATCTAAACCCCACCCTTAAGCTCAGCCTAGATCTGTGGTCCTACGTGGAAACAGCTGACCCCGTTTTTCCACCCAAACGTTGCCTTTCTGGCTTGCCCCTTACCCCCATCCTGGGCCCATAAAAGACTTAGCTGGCAGAGCAACACAAGCAGCTGAGCGGCAAGCAGAGAAGCAACTGAGCATCGGAGCCTATGGACAGATGCAGCTAACTTCAGACAGTGAAGCTTGGAGAGGGGCCTGGCTGGAGATGGCCAGGCTTCAGGGAAAGATCACCTTCCCATCCCCTTTCCAGCCTCCCTTTCTGCTGAGAGCCGCCCACCGCTCAATAAAGTCTTCCACATGCATCACCTTTCAAACAGTTCATATGACCTGATTCTTCCTGGACACCAGACAAGAACCCACGTGCCAAGAGGGCAGGGGCTGCCACTCTGACCCTCCACTCAGCTGGCTGGCACTTGGCTGTCCCCGGATGGGAGAGCTTGAAGTGCATTGGTTGTAACACACTTGGACACTGCTGCAGGGCCCTCACAGAGCCTGCTCCCACCAGAGAGGAGTGACTGGCTGGTTGCAGCGTTTGTTCGCTCCTGTTCCTATACTTGCTTGCTCGCTTGTACACTCTCTCCTATGAGCAGTGGCCAGCAGCGGGCTGAAACGAGCCACTCCAGTTCCTGCCCGCGAAGGGGGTCAAGGGAGCTATCCTGTCTCACTACTACAATTAAGGGCCACTGCCTGTTCATGGTAATCTGCCAGCAGGCTCCCCAACATGGCTTTTGAATCGTAAATGTCAACAAGTGAAAAGATGGACCCCCCCTCCGAGTCTTGGGGCTATCTTAGGGTCCATGGACCACACTTTGAGAACTGCCAGTCTCTAATAAACTGGAATGTCTTCATTCAACACATACTTGATACCTTCATGTTGGCAAATTTGACCATGATAATCAAGAGTGGGCTTCACCCAGATTTATGTCCACACACATGAAATGGTCCCCCACCTGTTGAGTGCAAATATAATAGTCTTTCTGTCTAGAATAATCATTACATCAACCTGCTCCAGCCTGGCTCCTGGCCTTCTTCACTGTGGAATGGTTAGGTATTTGGCACCTGTCAGAGTATAAAGCCTAACATCTCAGTCTGTTCAGGTCAGTTTAACATTTATTGATTATTGCCCTAAATGAAAGGCCCTTCATGACTTGTTCTTAACCCCCTATGTGCCTTACTGCTCTCTGTTGTCCAATGTAAGTCTGCCTGGTCAGTCCGGTCTTCTCACTAGCTGCCAAACACATTGTCACATTTCTGGCTCCAGATTTCCTCAGAACCCGGCTTCTTGCCCAACACTGTCCTACCTGTACTCAAAGGTACAGCTTTACAAGACTTCCCTTGCATACTCTTTTCTTGCATTATTATGTTGATTTCTCATTTGGCAGCTTTATTATAAAATGGTATGCACCTTGATTTAAGATTTTATGTCATCTCATACAACATACCAAACCAAGCATCCAATAATGCTGCACATAGGCCAAAGATCCTAATTTCATCCATAAAAGAAATATAATGAAACTAGAGGTTCTCTTTGAACAGGTAGGGCCCCCTGTACTATTTGAAATTACTTTGATTGTTTAGGTCTATTTAACTTTTTAACTAGATCACACTTCTCTAATCCAGAGAGCAACCATGTATTTTTATTGCACTAAGTCCTGACTCATGCCCGATAGGCTCTCAATAAATGCTTGCTGTATGAATATAAACTTACACAAATATGACTGTGATATTGTGAAATAGATATTTGGTCTTTGTCCCAGCTTCCTGGCATACAACCCCTAAAATCCTTGAAATAAAGTGATGTGCTTTTCTATGCTAATGAATTGGCTGGTGGCTGGCAGCCCCCTAGGAGCTTCAGGATGGGGCTGGTCACCTGAAAGACCAAGGCAGGGTCAGAGGGTTGGGACTGTCAGCTCCACCCCCCAACTTTCAGGGAGGGAACAGGGGCTGATGGTTAAGCTGATCACCAATGGCTTAACCATCATAACCATTAATTACATAGGTATGATTGATTCAATACCTATGTAATGAAGCCTCCATAAAAACCCAAAGTACTGGATTCTGAGAGCATCTGGATAGCTGAGAAGGTGGACATTCCCAGAGGGCACAGCACTCAGGACTGAGTGTGGAAGCTCTGCACCTCTTCCCCCATACCTTACCCTGCGCAGCTCTTCATCTCTATCCTAATAAAATGGTAACCCTAAGTATTTCCTTGAGTTCTGTGAGCTGCTCTGGCAAATTAAACAAGCCCCAGGAGGGGGTTGTGGGAACCCTGATTTATAGCTGGTTGGTTAGAAGCACAGGTAAAACAAACTGGGTCTTGTGACTGACAAGCTGTAGGTAGTCTTGTGGGACTGAGTGTTCAACCTGTTGGATCTGATACTGTATCCAGGCAGATAGTATTGGAATTGAATCGGAGGATACCCAGGCATCTGCTACAGAATTGACTGCTTGCTGGTGTAAGGGAAAATCCCCCACACAGTTGGTCACAGAAGTCTTCTGTGTTGACTGTTGTGGGGTGAGAGCAGAGGAAAAACAGGGTGATTTTTTTTCCCACTCAACAACAAAGAAAATTAAATTTCTGGAGGATATTTGCCAAAAAAGTTTTTTGAACAAGATAAAAAGTTCTTGCTGTTAAGGCATTCAATTATTTCATCTGCAACAAAATAGCCTTACATAGCAAATGAAATAGTGGGATACGGCTTTCCAATCCATTTTGAAGCAGGTAATGTTAGTCATGAGACTTGTTTATAGATTAACTGAAATTTGACTCCGATACTAAGTAATGCAGCTAACAAGATGACTGACGTCTCCAAAATAAAACATCAACTTACCATCTTGCTGTAAAAGCGGTGAGAACAGATCCTAGTTATACTAAAGGGGTATTATCTTCATCAGATAATTTGCAAAATATCACAAATTCCAGTTCAGACGTATTTGTCTTATCTAATGCCAACTCACCACAAAAGAGTTATGCTCATACCAACAAATTAGAATAATTATTCACATTTTCATTTATAGAATCTCTTTGAGAAGGAAAATGTCTCCAGGGTATGTCAGAGACCTTTGCGGCAGCCCCTCCCATCACAGGCCCTGAGGCCCAGGAAGAAAAAATGGTTTCGTAGAAAAATGGTAGAGGCTTGGTCTCCTGTGTCCTAGCCGCTCTAGCCATGGCTAAAAGGGTCCAAGGTACAGCTTGGGCCATGGCTTCAGAGAGGGCAAGCCCCAAGCCTTGGCAGCTTCCACGTGGTGTTGAGCCTATGGGTGCACAGAAGTCAAGAACTGAGGTTTGGGAACCATCACCTAGATTTTAAAGGATGGATGGAAACCCTTGGATGTCCAGGCAGACGTTTGCTGCAGGGGTGGGGCCCTCATGGAGAACCTCTCTGCTAGGGCAGTGCAGAAGGGAAATGTGGGGTCAGAGTCCCCACACAGAGTTCCCAATAGGGCACTGCCTAGTGGAGGTGTGAGAAGAGGGCCACCATACTCCAGGCCCCATAATGGTAGATCCACTGAGAGCATGCATTGTGCACCTGGAAAAGCCACAGCCACTCAATGCTAGCCCATGGAAGCAGTCATGAGAGAGGCTGTACCCTGCAAAGCCACAGGGGCAGAGCTGCTCAAGACGATGGGAACCCACCTCTTGTATCAGTTTGACCTGGATGTTGGGACATGAAGTCCAAGGAGATCATTTTGGAGCTTTAAGATTTGACTGCCCCACTGGATTCTGGACTTGCATGGGGCCTTTAGCACCTTCATTTTGGCCAATTTTCTCCCATTTGGAATGGGTGTATTTATCCAATTCCTGTACGTCCATTGTATCTAGAAAGTAACTAACTTGCTTTTGATTTTACAGGCTCATAGGCAGAAAGGACTTGCCTTGTCTCAAATGAGACTTTGGACTGTGGACATTTGAATTAATGCTGAAATGAGTTAAGACTTTGGAGGACTGTTGGGAAGGCATGACTGGTTTTGAAATGTGAGGACATGAGATTTGGGAGGGGCCAGGGGCAGAATGATATGGTTTGGCTCTGTGTCCCCACCCAAATCTCATCTTGAATTGTAGCTCCCATAATTCTCCTGTGTTGTGGGAAGTACTCGATGGGAGATAATTGAATCACAGGGGCAGTTTCACTCATACTGTTCTCGTGGTAGTGAATAAGTCTCATGAGATGTGATGGTTTAATAAGGGGTTGCTCCTTTCTCTTGGCTCTCATTTTTCTTTTTGCCTGCTGCCATGTAAGGTATGACTTTCACCTTCCACCATGATTGTGAGGCCTCCTCAGCCATGTGGAACTGTGAGTCCATTAAACCTTTTTCTTTATAAATTACCCAGTCTCTGGTGTGTCTTTAACAGCAATGTGAAAATGGACTAATATACCTGACAAAAGGAGAGAGATAAGGCTGGGCATGGTGGCTTGTGCCTGTAATCCCAGCACTTTGGGAGGCCAGTGTGGGTGGATCACCTGAGGTCAGGAGTTTGAGACCAGCCTCAGCAACATGGCAAAACCCCGTCTCTACTAAAAATACAAAAATTAGCCAGCTGTGGTGATGTGTGCCTGTAGTCCCAGCTACTCAGGAGGCTGAGGCAGGAGAATCACTTGAACTTGGGAGGCAGGGGTTGCAGTGAGCAGAGACTACATCACTGCACACTGGCCTGGGTGACACCAAGACTTTGTCTCAAAAAAAAAAAAAAAAAAAGGAGAGAGATATATGAAGACAATCATACATCCCTGTCCTCAGAATACATCTGTGTGAGGAAATGAGTTCTTGAGTTGCAGTAGTTATCTGGCAACATGAAACAAAAGACCTAAGGACTAAAAGTTAATTTACTAAAGATAGTGGGGCAGAAAAGGAAAGAGCCTGAATCCCTATGGTGTCATGGGGCTGTCACACCTGAAAATGCCTCCTTCCAGACCTGCTGTTATTTGAATTAGTTTAGTGACTTACTATATAGCCCAATTTTTGATGGTTATTCTATTGCCTGCACTCAAAAGCATGTTGTACATATGCATATAGTATTGTATAATACAATGAGATAATGGCTATAGCAGATAAACACACACAAGTAAAGAGAAAGATGAGGAAAAATTTACACTGCTTTGGAGGAGAGTTGGGGGAGAGCTGTCACAGATGATACAAGGGGTAGGAGTTCAATCAGCAGACACAGGTGACAAGGAATTTTAAACAAGGAACCATAGAAGCAAAGGCTTGGAAGGCCTAAGCATGTTTGGAGAATAGTTCACAAACTGAAGGCTGTCTAAGAAGAGCCTGTTTGTTCATCTTCGTATCCCTGGTGTTTAGTACATAACAGAATATAAATAGAATCTGCTCTCACAGCTTTTTACTATGTTGTTGGTACATACTCTGTGGTTGGTATGTACCAAGATTATTGGTACATAATTCATGTCAATAATCTTGATTAGGTGAGTGTCTTGGAATGAGACTAGAAAAGCACACTAGGGCCCAATTGAGACAGGCCTCGTATACTACGGAAAGGACACAATAAGACACTTGACAGCTTTGGAAGATACAAAGTGACTCTGGAAGCCACACAATGACTCTCTAGATTTATTATTGCTATATGAGGATGCATGGGTTCCAGGAATATCTTTCTGACATCATTCTTCATGTTCTCTCTTCTTGAATGGATTTCCTATACCAGCATTATGGCCAACAGATGACATATAATGACAATGAAGAACACCAGCATTTATGCTGCTCAAAGGTGACTCATAACTTTACATTAGCTGCCAGCCAGTATACTCACTTTAACATTAACTTGTGGTGCAAAGAGTTGAGGAGACTTAACTTGTGAAAATGGTTGTAGGGACTGGCCTCACGCAGTACTTCCATGCGGGAATTATCACAAACATTTTCTAAACTCCCACTCTGTGCTGCCCACGGCTAAGTGGTAGTGTTTACAGGAGTATATGAGAGTGTCCCATGGTCCTGATTCTTAAGTAGCTTGTAACATACATGAGGAAAAAACGAATCCACATGAGGTAAGTAACAACAGTGACAGGTATACCACATCTACAGTGATGACTGGCATAGAGAATGGGCACTAAAGGAACCTGAAACTGAGTGATCCCTGAAGACTGAGGCTTTGTGGAAAAAACGGAACTTGAATTGGGTCAAATTGGAGTGGAACATCAGATAGGAGTTGATATGGCTGGAGGTGTAGGATAAGTTAATCCATCCAACACCATGATTGCCAGGCAAACCTGAAAACACTTCTCACTGAGAGAAAGAGATCATTCCCCTGACTGATTAACTATGTTCGTAATATATTTAATCAATGAACAATGAACAATGTCATCTCCAGATAATTTCCAGAGAAACTATGAAAGTTGTTCATGGAATAAATCATCTTTAAAATTCTCAGAACATAAAGGTGGGGTTCATTGTACCCTGACAAAAACTGAAAACCTGACTTTATCCCACAAGTATTTATTCATAAAGTATTAATTATATGTAAGATTATTTTAGGTTATCAAAGATGAATCAGACATATCTTACTATTTCAAAGTTCAGAGTTTATTAGAAAAGAGAGATATGTATATAATCATAATAAAAAATTTGAAAGTCATACTTTAGAATAATCACAGGACATAGAAAGTACTACTGGCTGAAGCAGAAAGAGTGTAAGAGGAAGGCTTCTTATGTCCAGCTGAGGGAAGAACTAGGGCAGACTTTGTGGAAGAGAGGACGCATTTGAGGTAGATCTTGAATGGGAGAGTGATGTGGAGATTTGGGGGATCAGAAATATAAGGCTGAAGGTTATTCCAGGTAGAAAAAAAGCTTAAGAAGAAAAAAGTAAAAACTACATAGCTATGTAGTTCACACATGTATGTATTACATATATATATACACATATAATATATATTTATACATATATAACATATAACATGTATATCATATACATAACATACATGTATGTAGTTACATAACATATATAACATATATAATATATACTTTATCCATATACATGTTAGAGATGTACATATTTGTATGTATATGTAACATATATACATTATATGTATATATGATGTATTATACATATATGTATAAACATATATGTTATGTATATGGTTTATATATACGTATGTATATATATCTTAAAGGAAGGATACATTCAACCCATGTGAGGTTTTTGTGTAACTGCTAAAGTGAAGGTAATTCTTCACAGACAAGTTATCTTGAAAAATTAAAAGACTGGTTTGTCATATTGGAAAAGTAAAATTGAAATCGCCAGAACAAAGTAGACACCAAAGGAATTGAGGGAAAAGCACAAGAAAACACGAAAGGGTCAAAGACCACAGCGATGTAAGCCTCCGGCCATTGTTGAGCCCTGGGGCCTGTAGGGAGTTACTTATCCTCTTATTTTCAAAATTTAGGAAAATGAGATGTTTGGGTTAAATAGTCTTCAAGAATCCTTCAAATTCTGAAATACTGTAATTCCTTTAATCTGTAATTTTGCTTTATTCACCTATAAAAATTCAGAATTCCTAAGACAGAGGCAGGATTTTCAGATGACAAGGCAATAGGTGTTTCCATTAGGGGGCCATGTCCAATTGATACTATGGTTTTCAGAGAAGGATAAAATAGAATTTGAAAAGGGCTGTTAAGTGCGTAACATTCTTTAATCCACTAGTTAGAGTCAGTCAGAGTTGAATGAGGCCTCTATTCCTAAATTTTTATATCATTGCCTTGAAGGCATTATTTGAAGAACTACTATTTTTTAACTATTTAGATCTTGTGACTATTCTCAACAGAGAAACTGTTCAAAGAAGACTTATAGCTATTTTCTATACAATTGGAACAGTGACCAGCTGGGAGAAGAGTTGGAATCAAACTACTTCCTAACAAGCAAAGATCATTTCTGTCATTCCCAGTCCATTTTTAAATTAGCTTATAATTCCTTTCAAAAACATTTTTCTCTATAGCATTTTTCATTAGAAATCAGCCACAGTTCAAGGCAGGTACTTCACATAAAATTAAAGGACTGGACTAGATATCTTTTTAAGGTAGTCTAAAATATTCTGAGTACTATTAGCAACAAAAATAATAGCAGGCTACTGTAGAGACTTATTTACGCATCACCCCTATTGGTAAGCAATAATCATAATTACAATAATAAAAATGTACATTTTTTGAGTAATTTCAATGCCTTTCTTGCAAGGTGTTGAATGTCTTTTGCACACATCAGCTCATCAGTTACATTAGTGCATGAATCCTGGTATCATCACTGTGTGGAAAGATGCCACAGCTTCTCGTAGCCTCCAGCTAGCAGGGGAATAGGTCTCTATGTTTATAGTTTAAAAACTGGATTCTCCTTCCTTTAAGTAGCAGGTATTTTCTACTCAAATGACGTATTATATTCTGAATCAGAATGCTATCTACAATCAATCCTAGTTCTAGGTGTAGAAACACAAAAACCTTTTTCGTGTCAATACCAGTCACATAATTTCATATATATATATACACATATTTTAAAATCTTGATTTCTACTAAAATTATTTGAAAGGATAACTTTCTGATACAAATGCCATAAAATTACTGTCTAGCTACAAAAAGAAAAATGATAAGACCATGAAATATCCCACCCAGTAAGAGTTACATGCTGAAACCATAAACCTTGCTTACTGGACTACTTTGTAAACCAGCCATTTGTGAACAATTACTTTAAAGCATCATGCCATTCATTATCCTGAAAAACAGGATAATGGAATGCTCTATCTCCCCAAAGTCTGCTCACTGTAAACAGTCCATCCCTCCTTGCTGACTCCAAAAGCTGTATAAACATACTGCAATCAAACCCACCGTAGCTCACAGAAATCCTTTAAGTAATCTACAGAATGCCAATCTAATACAAATACAAGAAAGAGAAGTTCTTACTAACACAATATTTTGTATTTACAGTATTCTGAACAGTGCTTAAACCTGCACTGGTTATATAAAAGACACTCCCCCACGCTACCTCCCACCCCAGGCTGACAGCATGCTTAGTTCTCTCATTTACACCACACTGCAATAACATAAAGAGGGGCTTACTATTAATCCAGGTTTTACTACAAAGCGACCCGTTATTTCTCTGTCAAACACTTGCAAGAGTGCCAAGTGTCTGTCATCCAATTCAAGGGATTAAGTCTTCTTTTATAGTCTGATACTTGTACCAATTTATAAAAATACAGATATAGTTTCTTAGAGTTGGTCACAGTCTATATTTTGGCTTGGATTCAGGCAGCAGAGGTTGACTATGACAGCTGGCAGGAAACTGAGGGGAGAATACATCCTCCCCCTTCAGTCACCACATCTCAGTTGCCATAGTGATTAATCCTTAATTGAAGGCTGTCTTTGTACATTTCTTTTCAGAAAATTTTAAGTAAACTTAAGTTGAAAACGTGCAGTTGACTGAGAAAAGGAGGTATCACATCACAAACAGGTACAGTTCAGCTCCGTGACATACTTTCATATAGTAAAAGAACAGATGAACTCTAATAAAGGTATTATCAGTTCCTTCAAATGCTTAAAACACTTCTTTTTCGCCTGAGCTTAAACCTAAGTCAGACAGGTTTTCTCTTCTGTTATCAGACATCTCGTCTTGTTAAAATGAGCTGTTTTCAGAAATGGTTCTAAAATATCAAAATACAATTTAAGGCAAAATGTGTTCTTATTTTGCATATTACTTTACATAATTTGTACTATCAAATAACAATGGTATAATTCAAAATTTATGTTAGGAGAGACAGAACATTTATAAAATATGTTCTATGAAGTTAATTTATAAAATTATAAACTGTAAGAAACCAAAGGAAACACTGAAAACAGTACATTTTACTCCTTTTTAAGATACATGGTTGAATTTGAAGAGTAGATTCAGTTTTTGTCATTTTGGTTATCAATAATTACTGTACATCAAATAATTACTGTATATGGAAAAACTCTGAAAGACCATAGGATCTTATCTAGGATTATGGTGTTTATTACTTCCCTTTTACAAGTTTTCAATTTAGTATATTCCTTTGCAATCTAGTTAAAGGTTCTAATTCAGACTCTATGGTATTCTTTAGAAATTGAAATACTGGTACACTGTGGCAACTGTTATTTGTGTACTGATTTCATAAAACAAATAGGATTTATTTTCTTACTGAGACAATACGTCTGCAACTGGCTACAGACACGCATGCACACAATCTTTCCAAACACAAGTAAAGTTCTTTAATAAAACTGTGATGACAGACATGAAGCACTCAGAGGAATTACCAGGAACCGAAAAGATTCTAGATTGAGCCCCAGATGAAAGATACTGTAACATCGGTGGGAGGTCTGAGGTTTTTTGGAGACTTCAGGATCAAGAAGTTTGCAGGAATTTTCTAACACTATGATTGAGTCTCTTTTGTTCTTGCTTCATTTCCCTTTCTCTTTGTTTATTCTCTTTTCTTCTCGTAACTTTTTAATTTTTTTCAAAACTGCAAATTCACTATTGCCACCCACTGCCACACCAGCTGCAAAACCTCTGAGTAACATAAATCTCTCTAGCCAAAGATGATGAGTGTGTTTCAATGATTTCCTCATTAAAGGTGCTGAAGTAATATTGACGCGATATGATGAAATCAGTGATTGGGAACACTTTTTTCTCAGAAATTCTGTGAGACAGCTTTGAAATGTTAGAATGAAATTTTGCTGTATCAATTACTGACTGAAGTCAGCCACTGAAATGAGTGTTTCTGCAGACTGTGTTTGGGCTGCTAGCAATGGTGCCATGGGAATGGACCTCCCATTTAGTGGCTTTAAAACTTCACCACAATGTAGTCATTAAACAGCTAATTCCTTTATCTTCTCTGAAAAGGGTTTATATTAAGTTGGTGTATGTGTGATGAGGGAGATAGATGGCCTCGAAGGGTATATTATAACCCCCAGGGAGTAGGTATTCCAATTTGTTTCCTAGCAAGAGATGCCCCTCCCTCTGAAAATCACTGTGAAGAGACAAGGTTTCTAATGAGATTGTGTTGTCCACCTCAAAAATATTTCGACTGAAAGAGCTCACAGGCCAACTGTGTTTCCAGCATTTTCGTTTTTATAACTTTGCTTAAGAAACAGGTTGCTTCTCAGATCAATTGTTGCAGAAATTATATGCTTGTAAATTTCTTCTCTGATAAATATTTAGATAAGCTAATGACCAGTATATCCAGTTATTTCATTAACATCCACTACAGCGGTTTGCCAAATTATCTGACCTTTCACATTAAAATTTGTTTGTATGGAGAAGGACATGGTTTTAAAAAAGGGCACAGTTTAAAAAAAAACCTAATAAAAAATTAGCTACCTGTTTAAAAGATTCTGATATACTCTTTATCCTAACAAAGCAAGTTTCTGGAAAACCCAACATAATTCCGCCTGTCTTTTTCAGATGGCACATACAAGGCAGTCAAACTGTAGAAATGCTGTTTAAAGTGTTGGTTGAGAGATGGTATATTCCTGGATCAAATGAGAAGATGAGTATAAAAAGCATATTTGGGTCATGAAAGAATGCTTTCACGAGTTGTAGTCTGGCACTGGGCCTATGGATTACACTGAAAAATGCTAGAAAGGATAGCCTTTCAAAGTCTGTTATTAGATTTATTCTAGGGATATTATAAGACAACTGACTCTTCACTATATCGTTCTGCGGTCCCCAAAAAACACCAAGTGACAAATTTCCTTCAAAGTGAGTGCTAGGAAAAGCTTTGCTTCTCCTAGAACCAGTGTTATTTTTTTCTTTTTCCTTAAGGACAAACATTTCACTCAGCCTTTCTCAGCAGGGTGTTATGGCATTTTGGGCAGAACAATTCTTTGCATATGGGAGTGCCTCCCCATTGGCCCCCTCAACCCAGTCCCCTGTCCAGGATAGCCATTTGGAATCCCTGGCTTCCAGACATTAATGCCAGCTAGGCATTCAGTCATTGTGACCACCCAAACTGCCCACACACATTTCCACATGCACTAGCTGAGATATCACTACATAGATAGCTTACCTCCTTTGTTTTTCTACCAGGAAAGTCAATAAAATTAGCCATTTTAATATAATATCTGGGTAGAACATATTATGTTCTATGCATTTGCATTCTAACTTTCTCCCTGTCTTAAACTTTCAGTTTAATTTGCATTTTCTCTGGTCCTAAATTTCATTTTGTACTCTGGTTTTATTGTTAAGGTAATTTAATTCCTTTGTCAAACCAGTGAGGTACGAATAAATTAATTCCCTTGATAGTTCAGAGGAATTCTACCCTCACCTTCATTCTTAAAAGTATAATAGCACTAAGTTGAAATAAAATATTGGTATTATATACAGTATGCATTCTGAACTCTTGCCCATAAAGTAATAGTAAAATTACTCCTGAGGCACTTAGCTCTTAGAAAATAATAAAGAATAATAAGCCAAACACAAGAAAATATTTTTTAAAAACCTTTGATGAAAGTGACTATGTATAAACAAAAATATCACAACAGCAATTTTAAGTGGGAAGAGCCCATAGGAAGTATTTATGACTTTTAACAGTATAAAAACCCTTTTGCTAAAAATATAAATTCTATATGAAATGAGTTTTCTATGTTGGTCTTCATTTTAGGTGAAAAATTGTGGAGCAACCTAATCACACACTTTCCTTTTTCCATATAAGCAGAAATGGTTTTGGTTCTGATTGAACTACATGATTCCCTCAGATTCCTTTTCATTTTGGGAGTACTGGCCAATTTTTATTGAGAGAAACTATTAAGCAACTCAACATGATTAGGTATTTGGGTATAAATTTGTTGTTTAATCTAAAACGTCTTCAATGACTACAGTTCCCAAATGGTGTTTTGATTTTTACACTTATTTGTATGTCACTTACAGTTTTTGTTGCTACTTTTGAGGGAGTACTTAGAGAAGATCCTATTGAGTAACTTCTGTGAAAAATGAGGTAACTAAAGATGATACTACCCTATATTTTTCTTACCTTAGAACTGCAAACAGCTATGTTAGCAGGCAGCTGAGAAAACTGCTTCAACTCAAATACGTCATGTGCTGCCCATCGGCTCATGTGATTTTCAGCTTTGCTCGATCCAATTACATTCTGGTTTGAGTGAATATAAGCCACTTCCTGAACGCCATCTAGGAGGTAATTTATGTTTATTAAGTGATGTATCAGTATAAAGCAATATGGTTCCATAAAAACACATTATTCTTATTTTTAATACTCAAGAGAAACATCAACATCACAATATTCTTTAGGAAAAATATTGAAAAGAGAAAGAGTTCAAATATGTTAGTCTGGGTTACCTTGGAAATGACTTTTCCTTCTCATCAATGTGAGATGAGAACTACTGATAGGTAACAATCTTTAAACCTGAAATGGAGGTTTTGGCCAAAAGAAAAGTCAGGGTTGAGTAGGGTCCTCTCTATGAATTTGTTTTCATTGTTAATTAAAAAAAAAAAAAGATGTTCACTAATTTAAAGAATGAAACTAACCTTATCTGTTCCTTTAAACATGTACTTGATTACAGTGATGGAATGAGAGCATGGGGTTTATGACCAGGGAGTTTCGTTTGATTGGCTTTGCTCAGTTTTACTGTTTGTATTTTGTCTTTTTTGTACATATGCCCAGAGAATGTCAAGATGAGAGCTTTTTAGGAAATGAAAAAAATTAACTCATGGCTTTTATCTGAAAGAGGTTTAAAAAATGGCTACAATTTTTATTGCTTTGCTTCTAGGCACCTATAATTCATTTTTGAATTGTGATCATAAAAGAGAAAGCTAGAACCAAGGCCTGTAAAAGCTCCCTGCAACAGCTCTGGCAATGAACCTCAGGTATGACCTTCAACAATTGTGCTGTTTTAGTCCTGAACCTCTTCAATCAGAAATTGCCAATCATGCAAACACAAAACATTGTTAAATAATATGATGAGACAGTAACTAGCATAACATTCTCCTTCATTTCAGAATACCAGGTACTATACATGGCACACAGTTTCAAAACCTTCATGGCAGAAAATTTACTCAGATGTTTCTTAATTTTGATGACACGTTACCATTATTCAAAATAGCATTAGTTCCAAATTAACTACTGACACCTTTTACACAGTAAAAACAAACAAACAAAAAACTGAGTTGATTATTTAAAAAAGTTTATGCAATAATTCCTCAAACCTAAAATCTAACTGTAGCACACCAACCAAAGGGTAATTCAGTACTTATTTATAATGACACCAAGATATAAATCATAATTAACTCTTAAACGAGAATGCTAATAGCCACAAAGAAAGCCTCATTTGTATATAATCAAACACAAAAATTAAGATTTCTATAGCAAAATGTCCTTGCTTATATCTCAGCTTCTTTCATATAGTTTTTGGGGAATAAGTCAGACACTTGTGAAGGCAATGCTAACTCTTAAAATCACCATACAGATTCTGGGCAGAGGGTGGTAACAGCAGAAGAAGCAGGAGAATCTCTGAATCTGTACACAAAAGCAGACAGCAACTAGACAGCAAAACCAAAAGCCCATGGACATTTACAACAAAATTAGATAACAAGATACCCTCATGACACCTAAAGTACAAGCAGGTGGGGAAAATCTCCACTAGCTATGAACTCTGCATGGTTTCAGTATCTGTGTGAAAGTAGGAAGCAACAGGGTACCTGACAGACCTAAGAACAGGAGACCCCAGAACTGCCAACAGGTATTCACCGGAAAGCACAAGGGGCCAGCTGGAGAACAGCAGCTGAATCTGGGAAGGTTTGTTGCTCTTCAATGCTGAGAGGGTGCAGAGGGGACACAGTAAGAAGGCCTGGAGGGGCTGGAGCAGGCCAACCACTAGAACTCCCCAAACTGACCCACCAGGGCTCCCACCCAGGTCAGGGCCCAATAAAGAGGAAAAACTGCTGGGAGAGAATCAAAATAAGTAGGATAGGAAGAACAAGGATGAGGGCAAGAAAAGACCTAGAGCAAAGCAAGGGAGAGAGAGCGAGAGGAAAGCCCACCACAGTGCAGCACTCTACATGGAAATAACATACGGATCTCTGTGAGGTGAGAAAAGATTTCCTAAGCTCTGCTTCATTTGTAAAATTCAGGGGAAATAATTTCATATAAAAATGACCAAGGGAAAAGCAGCAGGGTCAAATCTCAAAAAAATTATTGTGAGAAAAAAGAGAACAAGCAGAGTAATATCCCTTCAATGAAAATGTGCTAGAAAGATGTGCTCACAAAACAGAAAAAGACATGAATCAACGTAAATCAGAATTAGAGCAACTCAAATGAGTGATAAGAACTTAGGAAAGACTTAGAAATTTTTTTTTAAATTTCAAAAATGAAGACTAAACTAGAAGGAACATAAGTGGGAATAAACACAACAGATAAGCCTTAAGAGAAACAAAACAACATTTTAAAAAAGCAAAACAAAATGAACAGATAAAGATTTGAGAGAATGTGACAAAAACTGAAGATAGGCAAAGAAGACTGAACATCTGAAAAGAAGTCCCTGAAGAAGAAAGCCAAACCAAAGGAATAGAACAAGTAACTAAAAACACTGGTACAAGCAAATCTTTCCCAAAATAAAATTTGAGTGAAAACAACACTGTGTATATCAGAATATGGACCCAGGATAACCAACATGAAGACACAAGCTAGTAAAATTATTGGACAACAATGAAAAGAAAAAAACCCCCTGGGCATCCAGGGAGAGGCAAAAAAAAAAAAAAAAAGAACATATAATACCACACTTTATGCCAGAAGAAAACAAAGCTACATATTTAAGATGCTCAAGAAAAGACAATGTGAGCCAAGTATTTTACATCCAGCAAAACTTTTAGGTATAAGGGCACAAAACTGTTACTGCAAGAATCTCAGGGAATATTATTCTCATGAACACTTCTTGAGCAATCTACTAGACAGTAAGATTCAGACAACCAGAACGATGCGAGGAAGACTGACATTAAGGACTGATGGGGAGCATGAAATGTGTAGTTACCTGTGGACCAACAGTTAAGTGAAGTCTAAGAGGGGAGTAGTATACAATGCAATGTATCTTTGACAATGAAGACATAGTATATCCATTTTTAAAATGGAAGAAAAGGGAGAGTAGAGGCAAAAACAGATAAACCCTAAATGTTACCAGCAATCAAATGGAGGTAGTACTGTTATTTTATTCTTTGTGTAATATGGGATAAAGCAAATGAGCAAACATGGGGCATTAAAAGTAAATCATTCCCTATATGCTTGAGAACCAGAATTATCAATATTGTAGAAATGGTATTCACATATAATAAAGAGGCTAAATAAGAGCTCTATACTCTCAAATTAAGTATCAATACAAATATGGACGTATAACCTCGAGGTATTTTATCATCACATATGTGTACATACATATATAAAATATATATCACAAATATACGTATACATACACATATATGTGTATAAATATAAAATACACACACACACACACACACACACAAATCTGGCCACTGAAAAGGCCCAAAAATAATAACCAAGTCAACAGTAGCAATGTTCATTACTAGCACCAGACTGTGGTCTTGAAACACACTTTCTCTCTAAAAGAAACCAAGACTTCTTGGAATAATGACTGATTGTAGGTCTGGGACAGAAAATGTATGAGGTGTTCCTGGAACCTCTTGTAAGACTAGACTACAAGGAAGCTTCCAAAATGACTAGCAGCATGCCAAAATGCTTCAGGAACCAAAATATTCATGTCAGAGATTCCCCTCTATCCACAGATAGGACAATGGAGCCTTAATAATATTATTAATTGCAATGAATTGAGACCCACTAAATGTGTTTGAATCAATTACTAAGAAAAGAATGGGTCATCCTTATGGCATATAGACATATTTAGTTTAATACTAAAAACTGGTAAATAAAGAAAGCAATTAGCATTTTTCCTGTCTCTCCCATATGAACTGCGCCACTGGGTAAGCAATAATGAAGGGAAGTAGTGAAGTACCTCTTTACAAAAGCATTCTAAATAAATGAAAATGAAATCGAAAGAAAGAGAAAATATTTTGCTACTCTGAATGAATAAATAAGTATAGGTATTAAGTATCAATGGCTGCTAGGATCATAAAGAGAGAGAATAAACATTTTGTGCCTACTATAGTCTTGTTAAACACTAACTTATATCTTGCCAAAGGAACTGAACCTGAGTCTGATCCAGTCTCAGGAACCAACTGCTCTTTTGCAGGTAATATAGAAGACAGAAGAACATGTTTAACTGCATGGAGAGGGTACAATTAGCAAAATGCAAACTGAGGGAAACTCTGTAAGAGATGGTCCAGGTACTTCCATAGTTACATTGTAAGGCAATGAAAGGGATGAGGATTCCTGTAGATTAAAAAAGACTATATAATATTTTTACAAAATGGATGAGACTGAACCATAATACCTAGTGATATGGTTTGGCTGTGTCCCCACTCAAATCTCATCCTGAATTGTAGCTCCCACAATCCCCATGTGTCATGGGAGGGACCTGGTGGGAGGTAACTGAATGATGGGGGCAGGTCTTTCCCATGCTGTTCTCATGATAGCGAATAAGTCTCATGAGATCTGATGGTGTTATAAAGAGGAGTTCCCCTCTGCAAGCTCTCTCTCTTTTCCTGCCACCATCCATGTAAGACATGACTTGCTCCTCACTGCCTTCCGCCATGATTGTGAGGCCTCCCTAGCCATGTGGAACTGTGAATCCATTAAACCCCTTTTTCTTCAGTCTCAAGTATGTCTTTATCAGCAGCATGAAAACAGATTAATTCACCTGGGGATGCACATTTGGTGATAAAACCATATAAATGTAAATAAGTAATTACTATAGAGGCTAGAATAATTGGTATTTATGGGGGCAGAGGAACTGTGATTTAGATGGGCACATGGAGGGGGTCCTGGGGTAGATGGCAACATTCTCTATCTTGACCTATATGTGGTCTCCCATTTATCCTGCTACCCAACCGTTCCTTATTTGTGCCTCAATGCAGCATCTTGATTTTAGGGCTGTTTTACAAGTTAATTCAAAGCGTCTCACAGAACTATTTGATAAAACAAATATACTTTTTAAAGTTTTGAGAATGTGTCTTTAGTTACCTAAAAATTTATCCATTGATTCATACGACTGCTCTTGATTAACAACTTTCTCATTTGAACATTTCATTGGTTTTCTTGGAATAAAAGTGCTATTTTTCTTATTATGGCTAGGCAATTTTGAAGAAAAACTAGTTCTGTCTCTTATAGTTCTTGGTCTGTGGCTCTGTTTAGAGAAACTGAAGTGGCTGACGGATAAACTCTCATCTGAGGATGAATAATCATCAATAAACTGAGAGTTATGATCCTCATTTGCTGCATACACTTGGTTTGTTTTGTTCATTGTTTTGGGAGAATTGTGAAGTTCTTTTTTGGTTTCTTTTATTCTCTTAAACCTCAATGAACTAGCTCTCTTTCTTACTCTTGACTTGGAAGAAATTTCAATGTCATCAGATTCATCACTGATATCACTGGTGCCTTTTCTTTTCAAAATAGATTTCAGGGTTGTGTTCTCAGGACTTAACTTTTTTGAAATTATTCCATTTCTTTTGTCATCAGTGTTTCGACTATTATCATTATTTCTTGTTTTTACAGTGTGTTCTGTTTCAGAATCCTCAGATCCTTCCAAGGGTGGCTTAAACCTTATACTATTGTCGGGGAATCTCTCAGTTGTGTATTGTGTAGGACAGATGACATCACTATCTTCTGATTCTGTGACATTCTGTAAAATGCAATGTTTATCTGTATTTTTAATTTTTTTCTCGTCAGACTTGGAAGAAATATTCTGTTCTAAAATCTTCTCACTTTTATAAAAAATATGCTTTTCTTTTGGATTTAGGATGTTATCTAATTTCTGATGTTTTGAAGTACCAAGAGAGTCCTGATTTTTCTCACAACCAGCATCTTTGGCTTCTGTTGAAAGGCATGTGGGCTGCTCATCAGAACTTTCATCATCAGAGGCAGTATTTCCATCACTATCCTCAACTGCTTTACATTTTGTTTCAAGCAATTTCGAGAAACCACACTGGAGTAAGGTAAGCTGTCCTGGAGAGCTGGAAGCTTTACTTGAATCGGGTGCTTTGTTTTTGGCAGTCTTTATTCCTGTGGCTCCCACTGGCTCTTCATCACTGAAGTCACTGCAGAGATCACATGCTTCCTTTGCCAGTGGCTCTGCAGCTTGTTCTGTACCTCTGCATTCCTGACAGTCAGGCTGTCTAGGCTATAGGAGAAACAATGACAAAAACATCAGAAAACCTCAAGATATAATGTGGAATCAACTGAAAAGTACTCAACTTTGGGCAGGTAATTTAGGTACAAGTATATCACTTAATATTTTCTAAAAGTACAACATTTAATAAACAAATGTTAAGGATTTAATATCATAGTCTGGTAGTCTTTTCTCTTTCCATGTTGAATATTGTTGCAAAATAAAAAAATTTAAACTAGAGTACCATATAATCAAAGTATTTTGAAGAAAAACACAAAGTGGAGTGTTTGGCTTCTAAGATGCAAGGACACATAATTCTGGCCTCGAAAGTGAAAAGCATACAACTTACTGCTTAAGAATTACTGGAGTTTACTGTCATCTAGCAGATGCTTCCAATCACGCTTTAAGAATAAGACAGATTACAGGAGTTAACAAGGTAAAGAATTCAAGACTGGAAAATTGTTCTAATTGATTAAAAAGGCCGATAGGATCTTGATCACCAGAAATAAAGAATTTTGAAGTAAAATTTGCTACAAATTTAAATTCAATATGTAACCTTTGCACATTAATCAGAGTTAAATATAACCTAGTTTTCTAAAACTGAGGCTCTACTAGTAAAATATTGCGGAAAGTATTATCTGATAATACTTTTGCCAATATTTGAGATTCATATATTTCTCTAAATTTATAGAAATTTCATCCCCAATTTAAACTCATTGGACTGGTATAAATTGATAGTTAAGACTCTAAAAACAAACAAGAAAAAACCAGCAACAATAACAAAAAAACCTTCCACACATGTTTTTTACCTTTAAGATGGCCTTATGATGAAATAAAGATTTGGTGGTACATGAGATGACAAGCTACTAAAAAGATCACAAAATTAAGGAATCAAATATCTACTTTCAGGTTAGAGAATAATTTTGATATTTGGGTTCAATAATTTTAAATACACATTGATGGTGATTTTTCCATTTAACTTACCATTTAGTCAAAAATTATTTATTTGGGATGGGTTAGTTATCTAGGTGGTACTGGATTTACAGTTTGGTGTAGTTAAAATTCAGTTTAGCTGTAAATGCCTGAACTGCTCCTGAATTTGTTCTTATAATATGAATGTTAAATCAGCCTTAATTATTAATTTTATCCATAGTCCTCTGACTTTGTGTCCTTGACTCTTAATTTTTTTTTTTACAGGTTATAAAATTAAGGAAAAAGGAAAAGAAACAAAATTGTCACAGTACATGTTTTCTAGGTGTTGTAGTCTACAGGTTCAAATATTACATACCATTTCCAGTTTGTGTGCTGGAGGTCCCTCTTTCAACCATGTTGTGGCTGTCATGATCCCTGCTTCTACTTGGCCTTCTCTCTATAATGTCAGTAAGAAAGAATGCAAATAGCTATGCAACACAGGGGGTAGCAACAACCAGATAAACAACAGCAATGCATGCTATTCTTGGAGCTAAGAAAGAAAAATTGCATGCAGCTTGCTTTAGCATTCTTAATGTTATTTTTCAACTTGCTAATTAAGAAACTCATATATAAACATTTATATAACATTCTAAAAATACTCTTAATTCTTGTGTTAAAGTTTACTTTTACATACACAGAAAACTAATACTTTCCAGCCAACTTCATTAAAAGTACTAGTGGGAAGAGGGAGAGTGAAGAAATGTGAAATATTTACCCAGTATGATATCCATAACAACCATTCCCATACAATAATTATGGTAAGGACATATTAACATTTCAAACACCACAATGTTGAATATTGGGAACTTGATATTCTAGCCTATATTGTTACTATATTTATTGTTCATATTCATTTAAAAATACCCCTTAGGTGTAGGAGACATCAAAATGAAAAGGTCCACCCTAATATGAAACTAAAAACAATATTCTAGTTATATAACAGGCTTGCTATCTTTTGGGAAAGTATTTGGACTTTAAAGCTTCTGGTGTATCATTTAGCAGAAGTTCTAATGGCCTAGATTCTAGAATATTAAATTCTCCTCAAAAGGAAATCAATTCTCTTTTTAAGGCTATATTTGTTGACAGAGCAAGGAGAAATAATACTACCATCACTAGAGTTACAAATGCCCAACTTAAGAATACAGACACACTAATGGCGTGGTTCCAGCCACCTGGTATCCAGGGCAATGAGTGAGAATCTCCCCTATGGAACTCTAGGGAATGATAGTTTCTGAACTGCTGCAAGTCCTTTATTCTCCATGCCTGGAAGCTATTACAGCAATGGGATGGGAAGCCTCATTCCCAGGCTACCATTTATCTCTGTAACAGAAGCTAAATGACTACAACAGGTGAAAGTGGCAGTACTAGAAATCTTAAAGCTGTTGAAACTCCGTTATTATAGATAAATGGCCACTCCAGTCTTAAGTTGTTCAGGCCAAACACCTTGGAGCCATCCTTAACTCTTCTCTTTTACTCATACCCTGTATCTGACCCGTCAGCAAATCCTGTCAGTGCCACCTGGATAATATATACAGCATCCAGCCACTTCTCATGCCACCCACCACAATCACCCTGGCTCAAGCCGACATCATCTCTCAGCTGGATTACTGCAGTATCCTCCTAACTGGCTTCTTGCTTCTGTCCTTGTACTTCTATAGTCTAGTTTTCAATAGTAAGTCAAGCTAATATAAATCAGACTATGTCATCTTTCTGTTCAGAACCCTCTAATTGCTTTTTGTCTCATTCAAGTAAAAGTCAAAGTTCCTGCATGGTCTGGCTCTCTGTCATCTCTCCGGCTCCATCTCTTGCTCTCTTGCTGACCCCACTCTAACCACTCTGGCCTCCCTGACATTGGAGATCACACGGGGCATGTTCCTCCCTCAGGACCTCTGCATTTGTTTCCCCTATCTAAAACACACCTTCCTCCCTCACCTCTTTGAATACTCAAATGCAGCCTTCAGAGTGAGGGCTTCCTTGACTACCCCATCTAAAACTGCAATGCCCCTTCCTTAACAGTTTCTATTTCCCTTCCCTGTTCTATTTTTTATCCTTAGAACCTATCATAATACATTCCATATTTCACTTATTTATTGTTTATCATTTGTCTCCCCATATAGAATGCAGACTTCTGGTAGACAGGATCGTTTTGTTTATTTTGTTCTTTTATGTATGCAAAGCTCTATGAACAGTACCTGACATTTAGCAGATGCTCAACAAATACTTGTAAAATGAACTCTCAATATCTATCTTTGAAGAGAAACCATAATATAGATAATGGAAAGTCAATGCAAAACAGAATGAAATTGCCCAGAAATCATAAGATTATAAGTGTAAATATTCAAATTTTTACATCTTAAAACATTTTAAAAGAGATTTTATACAACCTTTAAAAATTAAAAATGTCTCACATGAAGTGAAATACTCCTTTTACTTTATGATAGGTACTCCCATTATATGGGGCTAATAATAATATTTAGAAGCACCTTTTGGCCCAAAGCAGCATGAATCTAACCAATCCTGAATAAATTTACATTCTGATTGATGACAAATGAGTAATTTTAATTCAAAATTTAACTTAATAATCAAGTGCCAATGATATGCCTAGCAAGACAAATGTAGGGCATGGATGGCCTTGTCACCCCTTATTAATATCAATTAGAAAATAGGTTAATATTCTTAGTGTTCTGGTATATTAAAGAACTTAAAAGATATTTTTAAAAAAGAAAATGTAAGACATGGATGGTCCTGTCATTAATAAACACTTCTGAAGGTGAAACAAGATATTCTTAGAATAACCAGTGAACAAGAGAACTTTTTTTTGTTTTTGTTTTTTGTTTTTGAGACAAGTCTCTTGCTTTGTTCCCCAGGCTGGAGTGCAGTGGCACGATAAACAAGGGAACTTTTTCTACTTAATAACCTGTCATCCTGATATGTCTTATATAACACTTGTTTAACAAAGAAATAGGTGGTTATTCTGATAAAAACAGGTAACTATGTCATATATGACAGAAAACAGGATAAATAATAAAATGCTAATATTTTTATAGACAATTGACTTTAACATCAATATAGGCATGTCAAGTAGTACTCTGAGATGGAGGTAGCAGCTGGGTTTGGGAGCTGGAGGGCAAACAAAGTTATTGATATGAAAAGGGAAACTGGAAAGAACAAATTCATGAAAGAAACAGCGTATTTAAAAAGCAAGGGGAAAAAACCCCAAAAAGTAGGACTCCAAATGGGCCACTGAATTCAGAATCAAATATAGTTACTATAAAATAGAAACTCAGCAGTATATATCAGAAACTGTATAATAGTAACAACATTTATAGGATTCAAATAATATATACCTTCCTCTCCCCCAGCCATCCATGGTCTACTGTTTAACTTGTTCAGCATACGATTCCTGACATTGCATGGTTATTATGTAAACGTTCTCTTCCACCTCCGGTCAAGATGGTTTAAGTTCCTCAAGGACAGGAACCAATTGCTCCTTGAACTGCCTTTATGGTACTTACTGAATAAATGAAGTACATTAAGATTTTACTACAAAGTCCTGGAAGTCAAGAGAAATATCCTGAAGTTCTCTAAGACTCAGTTTCCTCATCTATACCATGAGGAGGTTGAAAAAGATGATACTCCAGGATTTTATGATACCTATATGAATATCAATTAGAAAATAGGTTAATATCCTTAGTATTCCGGTATATAAAAGAACTTAAAGATTTTTTTAAAAAAGGATATAAAATATTTTGTTTGAGGAATAAGAAACATCTGTATGCTGAGGATGAACACAACAGGGAGAGTTTAAAATACTGGTGTGGAATTTTTATTGGGAACAGAAAACAAAAATCTCCATGAGACATGAGAGTACATCTCAGGGAGTATTTGGTAACTTTTAATTAAAACACATTTTATATTTTTGTTTATTTAGGAAAACCTCTTTTTTTAGTTCCTGACTTCAGCAGCTGTTTTCAAAACTATAAACTTCTCTCTGCCTATTTAAAATTGCCTTGGAGTTCATACTACCCAGCATATACATTTGTGTGTGTGCATTATTTGTAATTATGCATGGGAAAATCTTAGTTTAGAGGTACAATAATTCATTTCTTATTCTCTAAAAGTAAAAATTCCAAGGCATTTTTGATAAAGAAAACCAAAAGTTTCTCTGAAAAGGCAACAGCAATTGTATTTCAGATTTCCTGAGGAAGAAAAACTGTATTTAAAATATTATTGAAAAGGTCAGAGAAGAAGTTCACACCTCCAGGATGTCCTTCGTAAGACAAGACCCTTGGGACCTAAATTTGAAGAGGTTATGGATCCCAAAAAGCTCTCCTTGATGCTCTTTAGATCCTTGAACTGCTTCAAAATATCGTTTGGCATTTTCACTTCCAACCACCACACAGTGAAGTTGCTAAAACAGAAAAAACACAAGACATTTTTGAAGTGTTTGCTCCAACAATATGTCAGAATTTCCTGGCATTCCCTGTATATACACAGCTTTAGCTGGAGCAGGCAGAATCTCCTTAGGGAGGAAATTTTGTTTTAATTTCCCTGGCAGATGTTGCCATTATGGTGAAATAATAATAATCTGGCCAGTCTTATTGAAACAGAGATCTTATATTTCCTATTTTATCTGTTTTCTAACAACTGAGTCAAGATTACATCTCTATAGAATATCCACCTGACATAAATGTTTAATAATAAAAGCATACATTTGAATATACTTTTCTCCTTTTAAAACTCTTATTACAATAGCAACTACTAAAACTGGCAGAAGTAATTACTACATCACTGAAGTTAAATTACAATCTAAAGTAATGATATGATAACCACCTTGGTGTCAAACTAATTGTGGCTTGACTACATTGCCTACTAACAGCAAAAACCCTATCACTGTTTTAAGAAACACTGCATCTTTGACATAATTTTGAATACAGAAAGAACACTGACATGGAACATTTAAAAACACCATTTCAGTATCAACATTAATATGCACTATTTGCTGGATATTTTACTAAATGTAATATAAATATGTAAAATTAAAATACAATCTGATTAACCCCATGTGTACTTTAAAATTCCTTGAAAGAAACAAAGAATGCACAGAATGGAAAATAACTTCAGCCCACTGACGGAGAAATCAGTAAAAAATGATGCTTAAGGGCCGGGTGCAATGGCTCATGCCTGTAATCCCAGCACTTTGGGAGGTGGAGGTGGAGGCAGGAGGAACACTTGATTTGAGGAGTCAGAGCCCAACCTGGTCGACGTGGTGAAACCCCTTCTCTACTAAAATACAAAAATTAGCTGGGCATGGTGGTGGGTGCCTGTAATCCCAGCTACTCGGGAGGCTGAGGCAGGAGAATTGCTTGAACCTAGTGGAATCTGCAAGCAACCCGAGGTGGCGCCACTGCACTCCAGCCTGGGTGACAAAGACTCCGTCACAAAAAACAAAAAAAGAGAAATGCTTAACTATTGAGATTATCATCAGAGTTCATTTGCACTGTAATAAGTTACTCTAGGCAATTAAAATTCTTGTTAATAACAGCTGCCATTTACTGAACATTTATTACATGTATAGCATTTTATTTCCATACTCTCATTTAATCCTTACAACCTTATATCATCTCAATTTTAGAAATAAAATAACTAAAATTTCTGTATTTTAAAAATAAAGTAACTCAAGTTTAGAGAAATTAAGTGACTTGCTCACAGCTGCCAGCTAAGAAGTGTCATTCCTAGAATTTGAACCTTGGTTTGGCTGAATCTAAAATTTATACTATTAACTAATTTCTCACTTTCAAGATGCCTCTCTTAAAAAAAACCCTCGGGACCTTCATTTAAAGAAGTTATGGATCAACATACCAACTTGATCAATTTGATACCAATGAACATGGGCTGTAATCCTGGGAGTACAGAATTACAATAACAATTGATACAAGTGATAGCCCGGGTACCTACCTATTTTACCCTTGTTACTGAAACTACCTTAAACACTGATATTGTCAGACTGCAGGACCTGTAACTATAATCACCAAGGTAATTTGTAAGCCTTAATTTGAGTCTTTATAAGCTTCCTAGCAAAGTTTTATTACAAAATTTATAAAAAGCACATTATTTTGTACTAAAGTGGCTCCAGTAAAAGTGGAAACCAGGTGCTTCCATCTGTAGGCTAACTAAAAATGAAATCATGTTCAAATTCAAGAAGTTAGGGGGAAAATAGTAACTAAAAAATGTAGCTTAGTTCGTAGCTTATGAAAAACCCATACAAGGGAGAAAATGCTTGGATCTCATCATAACAATAGACAAAATAAAGAAAGAAGTAAAAAGAAAAGAACATTTATGATGTTAAGAAGTTCATGGCCGTTCTTCCATCTTCAAGGCCAGCAGTGTGGCATCTTCATTATTTTTCTCTCTGACCCTTTGCTTCCTTACCACGGGTTATTAGGCAGTAGGGTCAGAGCTAGCAGAGATGAAGATGTGCACATCTGACCCTTATAAAAAATCCCTTGTGATTACATTGGCCCATCTGGATAACCCAGGTGGTTTGGGGGATTACAATGTGAACATCTTTGGGAGACTATTATTCAGCCTACCACAGTAAAGAAGTGCAAAAAGAATGATGGGAGCAAGTCGAAATGACACAGAAGCCACCCTAATGGGTTCCCATTGGCCAAATATAAGACAATGTGAACATCAAATAAATAGTGATATTCAATGTGTTGTAATCTATTACTAAAATAGGAAGCCATGAGACCACACAAATTAAATAAATAGAAGGGAAAGCTCTTTTTTAAATGGTAGAGTGCCAAACAACAACCAAGAAGGATAATGGAAATAGAAAAATCACCACCTGACAACCATTATAGTGGTAGCTGACTCAGGCAGGAATCACGAATGAACACTAAGGGTTATGCGTGCAGGTCTGATGAGGAACTGGCAGTCTCAGAGGATCTCCCCATAAACTACATATCAATTACAAAGAAAAAAATAGTAACTTTGCAGTGGAGAAACTTAGCAGACACAAACTTGACCTGCGATCAAGGTTAACGTGAGCAGTAGTAGGGCAGGTCACCCCCATGTGCCTTCTGACTGATGCAACGAGAAGAGCACAGTATCATGTCTGTGGTATTCCTGCCAATACTGCTTGGCCTGAGTCTGGACATGAGGAAACATCAAATGGACCTAGACTGAAGGACATCCTACACAAAGGCCTTATTCTTTAAAGCTGTCAAGGTCTTGAAAGACAAAGCCTGGATAATATTCCAGGCTGAAGAAAACTGAAGAGACACAAGTAAATGGAGCCATGAACCTTGATGAAACCCTGGACCAGAAAGGAAAAAGAGAGAGGTGGGGAAACTGAATGGGTCCTATGGATTACAGCATCATGTTTTATCAAAGTTAATTTCTTCATGTGAATAACTGCATTTTGGAGAGGAGTGTGGAGGGTGGGGAAAGCGAGTTGTAGAACCGTATATACAACTGAGTGTTTAGAATGCATAAAACTGGTTTTTATGTATATTTAAGTAGGAGTGTACTTCTTTTGGGGAAATACATACTGGAAAATTTAGAGTGTTGGTAGGAGAGTGTTGCTTCTTTGGGGAAATACATACTGATGAGAAGTCTAACTCTCTCAAATGGCTCAGAAAAAGAATAAAGATAATGGCTGAGACAAAGAGAAAGCAAGTGTGTAAAATGTCAGCAAATAGGGAATTTGAGTGATTTGAGTGAAGCTAACTGGGGGTTCTTTCTGCTGTTCTTGCAATTCTTCTGCAAACACTTACAAATAAAATTTACACACACACACACACACACACACACACACACAGACGAGATGACTTTCTGAATGCCAAACTTTAGATTGTTTAAATGCTCCAAACCTGAAGGAGCACAGCTGCTGTAAAAGTGATGTTTATATTTTTAAAATGTATAAAATATCTGAATGCATCATCACAACAGATGCAACAAAAGGTATCAAAATAAAAGCCCCTCATGAACAATACAGGTCACTCCTTATTAGTCTAACCAGTGCTGTAACGTTTAGGTGCATCCTTCTAGGTATCTTTCAATGAAGTTAAAGCTATTTATACATACACATGCTCCTTAATTTATGATGGGGCTATATCTAGATAAACCCATTGTAAGTTGAAAACACCATTAGGTCTAAAGTGAGTTTTGGACTTACGATAGGCTTATCTGGATGTGGCCCCATCGTAAGTAGAGGAACATACTTCATACATAAATAGGTATCATTTTAGCACCATCATAAAACTGAAAAACATTAAGTTGAACCATGTCATAAATCAGGGACAGTCTGTCACACAGAAATAGCTTTATTTCTAAACACACTGAAACACTGTAGATATTGTTCTGTATATTGCTTTTTCAACTCACTTAAAAATGTCTTCAGACATCTTGCCACATCAGTACATTTGATCTGACTATAATTTTTTAAATTTTGCTGTCACAAAGTAATATAGGTATCAGAATTTATTCTGTTACTGTCAGACATTTAGGTTGTTTCCTTTGTTTTTTAAACAAATGCAAGCAATGCTAAGTAAAAGCCCTTGTCATCCTTCACTGTGCGTATGTGAGAGGATTTCTGTCAGTTAGCTATGGAGACTCTACATATACCTATACCAGTTGTACTCTCAACAGTAGTATATGAGCATCTCTCAAATGCCCCAACCAACAATGAACAGCACCAATCTCCCCAACCCCCCCAAAACACCTCAATATGCATTTTTTAAAAAAGCTTTTGCAGAATATACAATGCAAATGGTCTTATTTTATTTTCTATCTCTAGATTATGAGTGTGGTTAAAAAGATTTTTTCACATGTGTTAACCACTTGCATTTTTAATTCAGTGAAATGCCTATTATTCTTTTCATTGGTTTGTAGGTGATACGGTTTGGCTGTGTTCCCACCCAAATCTCATCTTGAATTGCAGCTCCCATAATTCCCATGTGTTGTGGGAGGGATCCAGTGGGAGATAACTGAATCATGTGGGCGGTTCACCCCCTACTGTTCTCGTGGTAGTGAATAAGTCTCACGAGATCTGATGGTTTTATAAGGGGAAACCCCTTTCGTTTGATTCTCATTCTCTTTGCCTGCCTCCATGCAAGATGTGCCTTTTGCCTTCTGCCATGATTGTGAGGCCTCCCCAGCCATGCAGAACTGTAAGTCCATTAAACCTCTTCTTTATAACCCAGTCTCTGGTATGTCTTTACCAGCAGCATGAAAACAGACTAATACAGTGGGAGTTCTTTATATTTTGTACATGCTGCTCTTTTATTACATATATGGCAAACATATGCTCCTAGTCTGTCTTTGAATTTGGTTTGCAGTTCCTTTGTCATACAGAAGTTTCATACAAAAATATAGTCAAATTTACAATACTCTGTATTTGCCTTAGGGGCTGCACTAGTTTCCCAATTCTGCTGTAACAAAGTACTACAAATTGGATGTCTTACAACAATAGAAATTTATTTTCTCATAGTTGTGCAGCTAAATCTGAAATCAAGGTGTCCATAGGGCCATGCTCTGTCTGAAGATTTTAGGGAATGATCCTTCCTTGCCTCTTTCTAGCTTCTGGTAGTTGCTGGTAATCCGTAGCATTCTTTGGCTTGTGGTGGCATCACTCCAATCTCTGCCTCCATTGTCACATGGTGCTCTTCCTCTGTGGCTGTCTGTATCCAAATTTCCCCCTTCTTATAAGGTATCAGTCAATGGATTAGGGACCACTCTCATCCAGTGTGATCGCATCTTAACCTCATCTGCAAAGACCCTACTTACAAATAAGATCACATTCACAGGTACCAAGGGTTAGGACTTCAACCTATCTTTTGAGGGGAAGGGGTGCAATGGACTCAAAACAGATGCTTGGTTAAAGATTTTCATATTTATGTTCATGAGAGATATTCATCTGTCATTTTCTCTTCTTGCAATGTCTTTGTCAAGTTTGGTATCAGGATTCTACTGTTTTTGTGAAGTAAGTTGGAAGTGTTCCCTCTTCTTCTGTTTTCAAAAACAATATTAAGTGTTTGATAGAATTTACCACTGAAGTCATCCGGGCTAGAATCTATCTTTGTGGGAGAGTTCTGAATTAACAACACAGTTTCAACCAGCCTGGGCAACAGAGTGAAACTCTATCTCTACAAAAATAAAAATAAAAAATTGGCTTGGTGTGGTAGCACGCACCTATAGTTCCAGCTACTTGGGATGCTGAGGTGGGAGGATCATTTGAGCCTCTCACAGTTCTGGGAGCCAGAAATCTGAAATCAGTATCACTAAACTGAAATCAAGGTGTTGGCAGGACCACGACCACACTCCTTCTGGAGGCTCTAGCAAAGAATCTACTTCTTGACTCTTCCAGCTTGCGGTGGCTGCCACCATTCCTTAGCTTCTGGCACACCACTCCAATCAATGCCTCTGTGGTTACATTGTCTTCTCCTCTTCTGTCTGTGTCAAATTGTCCTCTAGCTCTTTCTTATAAGGACACTTGTGGATAATCCAAGATAATCCCCGAATCTCAAGACCCATAATTTAATCACATCTGCAAAGATCCTTTTTCCATATAAAGTACCATTTACAATTTCCAGGGATTAGAAATTGATATTTTTCGGGGCCAGTATTCAGCCCGCTATAGTGCCTTTTTCAAAGTGTTTATTTTCCTAAACTGTTGGGTAATTATTTTTGGCTGGGCTATTCATCTGCCTTTAAATACTTCACATGCTTATCTCTGTCTACTGCAGTGCTTATCTGAAATAAAGTGGAGGGTGCAAGTAATTAGTCTTCTGGGCAACAGGAGGGACTTTCTTCTGAATATTAGAAAAATTTGGAGCTCTGTCTTGCTTCTTTGTTTCCAGTACTTCTACTTATTGTTCTCACTTGACAGTAGACACCTCTGCTGGCTGTAATTTGGTCCAAATGGGATAGGATTATAAGGGCTAAACCGTCTTGTTACACCATCAGTGATACCCTGAAGAGGGCTCCACAGTTACCCTAAGGCTCCCTTCTTTTTTAGTATCTGCTGACTCTAAACTTGGAATATCCAGAGGCTGCACCTACCTTTTCAGTAGTCGTCTTCTGAGTTTAACTTGGCTTCTTCCTTCAATCTGATCCCAACTTCCTTTTGTCTTTTAGGACTCCTTACAATTTTGGGGCCACCAAGAAAACTCTTCTTGCTTTCTAACATTTTTACAGGTTTATTTTTTTTTTAAGAACATAATTTTTTTTTGAGAAGTGTCTGTTCATGTCCTTTGCCCACTTTTTGATGGGGTTGTTTTTTTCTTGTAAATTTGTTTGAGTTCATTGTAGATTCTGGATATTAGCCCTTTGTCAGATGAGTAGGTTGTGAAAATTTTCTCCCATTTTGTAGGCTGCCTGTTCACTCTGATGGTAGTTTCTTTTGCTGTGCAGAAGCTCTTTAGTTTAATTAGATCCCATCTGTCAATTTTGGCTTTTGTTGCCATTGCTTTTGGTGTTTTAGACATGAAGTCCTTGCCCATGCCTATGTCCTGAATGGTATTGCCTAGGTTTTCTTCTAGGGTTTTTATGGTTTTAGGTCTAACGTTTAAGTCTTTAATCCATCTTGAATTAATTTTTGTATAAGGTGTAAGGAAGGGATCCAGTTTCAGCATTCTACATATGGCTAGCCAGTTTTCCCAGCACCATTTATTAAATAGGGAATCCTTTCCCCATTGCTTGTTTTTCTCAGGTTTGTCAAAGATCAGATAGTTGTAGATATGCGGCGTTATTTCTGAGGGCTCTGTTCTGTTCCATTGATCTACATCTCTGTTTTGGTACCAGTACCATGCTGTTTTGGTTACTGTAGCCTTGTAGTATAGTTTGAAGTCAGGTAGCATGATGCCTCCAGCTTTGTTCTTTTGACTTAGGATTGAGACTTGGCGATGCAGGCTCTTTTTTGGTTCCATATGAACTTTAAAGTAGTTTTTTCCAATTCTGTGAAGAAAGTCATTGGTAGCTTGATGGGGATGGCATTGAATCTATAAATTACCTTGGGCAGTATGGCCATTTTCACGATATTGATTCTTCCTATCCGTGAGCATGGAATGTTCTTCCATTTCTTGGTACCCTCTTTTATTTCATTGAGCAGTGGTTTGCAGTTCTCCTTGAAGAGGTCCTTCACGTCCCTTGTAAGTAGGATTCCTAGGTATTTTATTCTCTTTGAAGCAATTGTGAATGGGAGTTCACTCATGATTTGGCTCTCTGTTTGTCTGTTATTGGTGTATGAGAATGCTTGTGATTTTTGTACATTGATTTTGTATCCTGAGACTTTGCTGAAGTTGCTTATCAGCTTAAGGAGATTTTTGCAGCGAAAAACTCATGAAAAAATGCTCACCATCACTGGCCATCAGAGAAATGCAAATCAAAACCACAATGAGATACCATCTCACACCAGTTAGAATGGCAATCATTAAAAAGTCAGGAAACAACAGGTGCTGGAGAGGATGTGGAAAAACAGGAACACTTTTACACTGTTGGTGGGACTGTAAACTAGTTCAACCATTGTGGAAGTCAGTGTGGCAATTCCTCAGGGACCTAGAACTAGAAATACCATTTGACCCAGCCATCCCATTACTGGGTATATACCCAAAGGACTATGAATCATGCTGCTATAAAGACACATGCACACTATTCACAATAGCAAAGACTTGGAACCAACCCAAATGTCCAACAATGATAGACCGGGTTAAGAAAATGTGGCACATATACACCATGGAATACTATGCAGCCATAAAAAATGATGAGTTCATGTCCTTTGTAGGGACATGGATGACATTGGAAATCATCACAGTAAACTATCGCAAGAACAAAAAACCAAACACTGCATGTTCTCACTCATAGGTGGGAATTGAACATTGAGAACACATGGACACAGGAAGGGGAACACCACACTCTGGGGACTGTTGTGGGGTGGGGGGAGGGGGGAGGGATAGCATTAGGAGATATACCTAATGTTAAATGATGAGTTAATGGGTGCAGCACACCAACATGGCACATGTATACATATGTAACTAACCTGCACATTGTGCACATGTATCCCAAAACTTAAAGTATAATTTAAAAAAAAAAACAAAAACATAATTTTTGGATTTTTTTTCCCCAAAAGATTGAAAGCCAACCTGGGAGGCTAGAAGGTGTGCTCCATTGGTTAAAATTCCAAACTATCTTTAAACCATATTTAGTGCCTTTTCCTTCCATGATTGCCATCTTATCTTTATTTGTGTCATATAAAGTTCTTAAATTACCTCATCTTCTGAAGCGTGTTTTATCATATACTACTGCACAATGTATATTTTATAACAAGACATTTCATTAAATGAGTCGCATGAATAGGTAAAAAGGAAATGTATATAGTAATGGACTGAAAAAAATTACTACATAATTGAGGAAAGACTCTTACTTGAGAGTAGTCTAAGACAGTACTCAAAAGAACAGCTCCTAAGATGAGTAACTTCCCACTTTTTCCCAAGGTTGGTTAAATAGGTTAGAAAAAAATAATTTTCAAGTAGTTGTGCTATACCAAAAAAAAAAAAAAAAATGAACTGTTTATTACAGAGCTAAAAGCTTTAAGACAAAACAAAAACTGCTGTGTACAATTCTATTTTTAGAATGAAGAAAATAGCATAAATTTAAGATTGGATCATTCTTAGGTTAACTACCAACACATGTGGCAGATGTTTGCTCTTAAATAGATGCCAACTGAACATATAGGAAGCAATTCAAATGTAATATTTATGATTACACGTGAACCTTATTCCAGATTGTCTCAAGTATCCAGTTGTAAACTAAATAAATATTGTTTGTTTAGAGGCATAAATGAAGTAGTAATTGATATCTCAAGCATATTAAAGAGTTAATGCAATTTCGGACGAATACTAAAAGTACCAGGAAAGTAGTTAGCACACTTAAGCTCTATTCCTATAATTTCATTTACTGGGGGATCTCTGGGGTCCCAGTTTCATCATGTACATCATGCACCTCTAAGGTAGTGCTCCCTAATCTTCATGTGATGGCACATGTAGAAAATGGTAACATATGAATATCTACCTGGTGTAAAAAGAAGAGGTTACTCAAAGGCTGGCAGCTAGCTGATATGGTTTCACTGTGTCCCTACCCGAATTTTATCTTGAATTACAGTTCCCATAATCCCCACATGCTGTGGCAGGGATCCAGTGGGTAACTGAATCATGGGGGCAGTTATACCCATGCTGCTGTTCTCAGGATATTGAGTTCTCAAGAGATCTGATGGTTTTATAAGTGGTTTTTCCCTCTTTGCTTAGCACTTCTCCTTCCTGCCATCCTGTGAAGAAGGGCATGCTTGCTTCCCCTTCCACCATGATGGTAAGTTTCCTGAGGCCTCCCCCGCCATGTGAAACTGTGAGTCAATTAAACCTCTTTCCTTTATAAATTACCCAGTCTTGGGCAGTTCTTTATGGCAGCATGAGAATGAACTAACACACTGGCTTAGGTACTCTTGCTGTCCAGAAAGCTGTGGGACCAACATATCAGTGCACCTGTAGCCCATTTGTGGTAAACCATTACATCTTGGCCTGTAATTTGGGGAGCTGTGACCTTGCTACTCAAAATGTGGGCTGATTAGTTTTACTAGGACTCCTGGGAGCTAGTTAAAAATTCCACATCATGGGCTCTAACTCAGACCTACTAAATCACAATCAGTATTTTGACAAGATCCCTTGGTAATTCGCATGTACACTAAAGTTTAAGAGGTACTGCTCTAGAAAACTTTCAGCTCAAAAATTCAATGAACCAAAGAATCTGTTTCATAAAAGTGTATTCAAGGGTAATTTTTATAATCTTATTAAATTCCGCAATACAGTAAGATTTAAAACTTACATTTTACACAAATTTGTTCCTAATTTTTGAAAACAGATAAATGTTGACCTCTGAAACAGAAAAAGGGAAACATATTTACCTGCTTGTATATCTGTCGTAAATACATGATTTCCTCCACAGTTCCCAAGGATATCAGCCTAAGCACTTTGACATCTCTACATTGTCCAATCCTATATGCTCTGTAAAAGGATTAAAAATACAAACAAAAATCAAGTGAAGCAACTTTGGGTTGAAGAGGTAACTTGGGGACATAAAAATGGAAAATCATTAAATTTTTAATTAATTTAAAAATAAACATTTTATGTTTAAATATGCTCTATTTAGTAATAATTCAAAAATTCAAACTCATATAAAAAGCTTATTAAGGAGAAAAAATATTACAGAAAACCTACAAGTATCAACTTCATTTTTGTTATAAACATCACTTTCCACTGTCTAAAAACATTTCCTAAATTCAGGTTTTTCTTTTATAGCAGCTTTAAGCTTACAGATTGTTCCCCAAAGATTTCATTTATATAAAAATCCCCAAAATGCCAACTAATCCATAGTGCCAGAAAGCAGACTAGTGGTTGCTTGGGGATAAGGGGATGGGGAAGAATGGGAGAGGTGGGTCACAAAGGGGCAGAAGGAAAATTCTGGGATGATGGGTATGTTTATTATGTTAATTGTGGTGATGGTTTTACATGTACATAAGTCAAAACTTATCAATTGTATACTTGAAGTATGTACAGTTTATTGCATGTCAATTATACTTTATTAAAACTGTTAAAAAGTAAAAAAAACCACAACTTAGCAAAAAGTAATTAATCAACTGTAAAGTCTATGAAGTGCTGGTCTACAGTTCTCATCCGTAGATGAGGTGGATCTGACTGAATCACTCAGTTTACTGGCATCCAAGGTGTTTCCATACAGACCATAGTGCTAATTAAAATTCTAAACTGATTCATCACAGTGGTTTAACTATAGGTCTATTCCCCACAGCTTCTCTCATATGGAGGCTTTATAGGATGCTCTGTATGAGCACCCAATGCCTGTTACAGTTGCTGAGGGGAACCGGGGCAAGGCCATACTGCCTATATGCTTGAAAATGTCACAATTTGGGGGAAATTTATCTTTGAACTTATAAGGTCACCCATATGTTACATTTGATGTTCTCTCTGCCTCCTTTACCTGTCCCTCCTCACAATGGACTTTTACTCGAGGACATCTTGGATCCTGCAAATCTCACATCTCCAGCAGGAAATGGAGGCTCCTGTGACACAGCACCACCAGGGGTAAGGTACTGCATTCTCACTTCCATTCTGCAACCCAGGAGCAGAGGAGAGGGGCTCAGCATCCCTTTCTCTCCTACAATGTGTTTGGGTTCTAAAGAAAACCAGAAATGGATCTAAGAAAATGTCCTTTGGATGTATGCTTAAGCCAGTTGTTTGGTGAATGGGAGAGATTCCATTAGGATGCACATCCTTTAATCTTTACAGACAAAAATTTTAGACACTTGTTACTGTGCGCCTATACTTCATCATTTCTTGATCCATAAAGCAAGGATTTGTAAGTGATGAGTTTTCACCAAGTGGAGACAAGTGTTGAGGAACTGTTATACGATAGGTAGGTCATTAGCTTTATTTCTGTTCTCAGTTCCGGCTGTCAGAGTCAGTGGAAGGACAGGGAGAGGAAAAGGAATGCCATTTATTCAGTTTTATTGTGAACTAACTTTCAGTGAATACCAAAGCACAGTACACTGTGCTTGGAAGAATACTGGGATAAATAATATGTCTCGATGACCTAATGAAAAAGTACAAAATACAACAAGATCAAAAAAAAGGGGGAAATTTTTCTGTGGTTTTCATTTTGACCAATTTCCTTGACAGCTGTCTGTGGAGAGAGGCTGATTAAAAGTGTAAGCTTTGCAGTAAGACCACATGGATTCAGATCCTGACCCTGCCACTTATTGGCTATGACCTTGAGCAAGCTACTTAAGTGCACTGTGCCTCAGCTTTCTCATATGTAAAATGGGTATAATAGTGCCTATCACATATGGATATTCTGAGTATTAAATGAGATAATCCATGGAAAGCACCAAGAATGACAGTTCCTACCTTACCATAAACACTCAATAAGTGCAGCCATTATTCCTTTGTCCTTATTCTTCCAAATGTACTTGAATAAAATTGTACACAAAATATTAAGTATTATAAATAAACATTGTTATTGGTTAGATGGCCTTTCTGCTTAAGTGTTTCTATGTATTTGACTTTTTCCCTCAGATTAGACTTTTCAAAAGTGTCTCTATTTTATTCTTTTCAATGAATTAGTTACAATTTATATTATGTTCTTATTTTTATCTTAATAATGTAATAATGTGTATAATTCTATTTTCTTTACTTTGTTCCTTTTCTAGTTTTCTAAATTATTCTTTTACTTTTGGCCTTTCTTTTTTAATAAATGAATTTAAAAATTGAAATTAGCACCAGAATTTAAATATTGATCCACAGTAATTTCATTGTTTTTTTTTTTTTTTGAGACAGAGTCTCACTCTGTCTCCCAGGCTGGAGTGCAATGGCTCAATCTAGGCTCACTGCAAGCTCCGCCTCCTGGTTCACACCATTCTCCTGCCTCAGCCTCCCAAGTAGCTGGGACTACAGGTGCCCACCACCACGCCCAGCTATTTTTTTGTATTTTTAGTAGAGACAGGGTTTCACCGTGTTAGCTAGGATGGTCTTGACCTCCTGATCTCATGATCCGCCTGCCTCGGCCTCCCAAAGTGCTGGGATTACAGGCGTGAGCCACCACAACCGGCCTCATTGTTGTTTCTAAATAGCAAATTTTTCTCTCTTGATTTCCTCTTATTGTGGCAAAATATACAAAACAAAAAATTTAATCATTTTAAGCATTTTTAAGTGTACAGTTAAGTGGCATTAGGTATATCCACACTGTTATGCAACTATAACACCTATATAGCTACAGGCACTTTCCAAACTGAAACTCTGTACTCATTAAACAATAACTCCCCATTCTCCAGTCCCCCAGCTACTAGCAACTACCATTCTCTTTTCTGTCTTTGTGAATTTGATGACTCTAGGTACAACATGAAATCATACAATCTTTGTCCTTTTCTGGCAAAAACAGGTATCCATTCTTCGTAGCTGATATTACAGGAAAAACAATTCAATCATGACACCACTGAGTACGATGTTAGCTCTGGGTTTTTCATAAATGACCTTATATGTTGAAGTAGTTTCCTTTTTTTTTTTTATTGAGACGGAGTCACTCTGTTGCCCAGGCTGGAGCACAGTGTTGCAATCTCAGCAAACTGCAACCTTCGTCTCCCAGGCTTAAGTGATTCTCGTGCCTTGGCCACCCAAGCAAGCAGCTGGAACTACAGGCATGTACCACCATGCTGGCTAATTTTTATATTTTTTTTTGTAGAGATGTGGTTTCACCATGTTGGTCAGGCAGGCCTTGAACTCCTGACCTCAAGAGGCACGAGCCAACGTGCCTGGCTTGTTTCCTTTTATTTTTAATGTGTTGTTTTTGTCATCTTTAAAAAGATGTTGAATTTTGTCAAATGCTTTTTCTGCATCAATGAAATGATTATGTGTCTTTTTTCCTTCATTCGTTAATGTGGCATATTACACTGATTTTTGTGGGATGTTGAACTGTTTTTGAATTCCAGGAATAAATCCTACTCTGTGTATCATCCTTTCAATATGCTGCTGAAATTCAGTTTGCTGGCATTTTACTGAGTATTTTTGCATTAACATTCATAAAGATTATTGGTCTGTAGTTTTCTTTCTTGTAGAGTCTTTGATTTTGGTATTGGGGTAATGCTGGCTTTATAGAATTAATTGGAATGTGTTTCTTCCTCTTCAGTTTTTTGGAAGCATTTGAGAAGGATTGGTGCAAATTCTTTTTTTTTTTTTTTTTTTAAGATGGAGTCTCACTCTGTTGCCAGGCTGGAGTGCAATGGCTTGATCTCGGCTCACTGCAACCTCCAACTCCCTCGTTTAAGCTATTCTCCTGCCTCAGCCTCCCGAGTAGCTGGGATTACAGGCACACGCCACCACGCCCAGCTAATTTTTGTATTTTTAGTAGAGACGGGGTTTCAGTGTGTTGGCCAGGATGGTCTTGAACTCCTGAACTCGTGATCCGCCTGCCTTGACCTCCTAAAATGCTGGGATTACAGGTGTGAGCCACCGTGCCTGGCTGGATTGGTGCAAATTCTTTAAATGCTTGGTAGAATTAATCAGCAAAGCCTTAAGGTCCTGGGCTTTACTTTATTGGGAGGTTTTTGATTACTGATTCAATCTCCTTACACAGTTATAGTTATATTCAGGTTTCTATGTCTTCATGACATTCTTCCTAGGTTGTGTATTTCTAGCAATTCATCCATTTCACGTAGACTATTCAATTTGTTGGTATACAAATGTTCACAGTACTCTCTTGAACTCCTTTTTATTTCTGTAAAATCAGTAGCAATGTCCCCTTTCATTTTTGATGTTAATTATTTGAGTCTTCTTTCTCTTAGTCAATCTAGCTAAAGATTTATCCACCATTTTCTTGATCTTTTCAAACAACCAACTCTTGGTTTCATTGATTGCCTCTGTCGTTTTTCTATTCTTTGTTTTACTTATCTCTGTTCTAATATTTGTTATTTCCTTCCTCTGGCTAGCTCTGGGGGTTTTTCCTTTTCCTAGTTCCTTAAGGTGGAAAGTTAATTGTTGATTTAGACCTTTATTCTTTTTTAATGTAAGCATTTACAGCTATAAATTTCCCTCTTAGCATTACTTTTGCTGCATCCTGTAAGTTGTGGTGTGTGTTTTCATTTGTTTCAAGCTATTTTCTAACTTCCCTTGTGAATTCTTCTTCAACCCTTTTGTTAAGTGTGTGTTGTTTAACTTCTACATATTTGTGAATTTTTCAATTTTTCTTCCGCTGTTGATTTCTAGTTTCATTGTACTGTGACTGGAAAAAAATGAATGATTTCAATCTTTTAAAATGTATTAAAAACTTGTTTTGTGGCCTAACACATGATTTATCCTGGAGAGTGTTCATTGTGTACTTAAGAAAAGTATGTATTCTGCTGTCGTTGGAAGGAAAATTCTATATATCTGTTAGGTCCAATTTGTCTATATTGCTGTTCAAATCCTCTCCTTACTTATTGATCTTCTGTCTGAATGTTTTACCTATTATGAAAGTCAGGTGTTGAAGTCTCCCATTATTATTGCAGAGCTATTTCTCCCTTCAATTCTGTCAATGTTTGCTTCATACAATTTGGGGCTCTATTGTTTGTTGAATTTATGTATATAATTGTTAAATCTTGGTGAATCCACTTTTTACCATCAGATAATGTCTTTCTTCTAACAGTTGTCGACTTGAAGTCTATTTTGTCTAACATTAATACAACCATTCCTGTTCTCTTTTGGTTACTATTTGCATGAAATATCTTTTTCCATGCTTTTATTTTCAACCTGTGTATATTCTTGGACCTAAAGTGAGTCTCTTATGGATAGCATATATTTGGACACTGTTTTTTAAATCTGTTCTGCCAATCTACATCTTTTAATTATGGAATTTGATCCATTTACATTTGAAATAATTAAGAACAGGGAAGAACTCATTTTTCCCACTTTATTTATTTTCTATATGTCTTATAACTATTTTGCCCCTAAATTCCTCCATTACTGCCTTCCTTTGTGTTTAATTGATGTTTTTTAGTGACATATTTTTATTCCTTTCTCATTTCCTTTTACATATACTTTAGATATTTTTGTTGTGGTTACCACAGGGATTACATATAATATCCTAAAGTTATAACAACCTTAAATCAATTGATTTTACATTGATATCAATGTACTTGTCAACATAGATTTATAATTATTTTATGCATGTGTCTTTTAAATCCTGTAGAAAATAAAAAAGCAGAGTTATAAGCCAAAATTACGATACTGGTATTTATATTTGTCCATGATACTTACCTTAACTGGAGATCTTTATCTTTTTGTATGACTTTGAGTTACTGTCTAGTGTACTTTCATTTCATCTTGAAGTTCTCCCTTTAGGATTTTTTTTTTTTTTTTTGAGACGGAGTCTCACCCTGTCTCCCAGGCTGGAGTGTAGTGGCACAATCTCGGCATCTCGGCTCACTGCAAGCTCCGTCTCCCAGGTTCAAGCAATTCTCTGCCTCAGCCTCCCAAGTAGCTGGGATTATAGGCGCCTGCCACCATGCCTGGCTAATTTTTGTATTTTTAGTAGAGACGGGGTTTCACCATCTTGACCAGACTGGTCTTGAACTCCTGACCTCATGATCCACCCATCTTGGCCTCCCAAAGTGCTGGGATTACAGGCGTGAGCCACTGCACCAGGGATAGGATTCCTTACAGGGCTGGTCTAGTGGTAATGAACTCCCTCAAGCTTTTGTCTGTCTGCAAATATCTTAACCCTCATTTTTGAAGGGCAGTTTTGCCCAACATAAAATTCTCGGTAAACACTTTTTCTTTGTTTCTCAGTTGACAGTTTGTTTGTTTTTTTTTCCCCCAATACATTAAATATATTATCCCACTGCCTTCTGGATTGCAAAGTTTCTACTGACAAATCCACTTGATAATCTTAATGGAAATTCCTTGTACATGACATGTTGCTTTTCTCTTGCTGCTTTCAAGATGCTCTCTTTGTGGACAGTTTGATTATAATGTGCCACAGTGTGGATCTCACTGGGTTTATACTATCTGGACTTGGTTGATCTTCTTGTATTTGTATATCCATATTTTCCCTCAAATTTGGAGAGCTTTTCATTATTTCTTAATCTACCCTTTTGTCCTTTTCCCTTTCTTCTGGGCCTCCATAACGTACATATTGGGTCCATTTGATAGTGTCCTATATGTTCACTTCCCCTTTTTGTTTTGCTCCTCAGATTAAATAATTTTAAATAACCTATCTTCAAGTTTGCAGATTTTTTCTCCCTATTTTGGTCTGCTGTTGAACTCCTCTAGTGAATTTTTCAATTCCAAAATTGAATTTCGTGTCCAGAATTTGTTTGGTTCTCTCTCTTTTTTTCTTTTTTTAATTTCTATCTCTTTGTTGATACTCTCATCTTGCTCATATATCCTTTTCCTCACTAGTTCTTTCTCTGTGTTTTACTTTCACTCTTGGAGTATTTAAGACACTTGTTGTAAAGTCTTTGTCTAGTAGCTCCAATGCCTGTTTTGCTTCAGGGACAGTTAGTTTCTAGAGATTTATTTTGTTACTCTGAATGAGCTGTATTTTCATTTTCTTTCTTTTCTTTTCTTTTTTTTTTTTTTTTTCTAATGTCTTGTGGTCTTTTCTTGAAAACTACCATTTGGAAAGACAGCCAACTCCCCAAGTCTTTGCAAACTGGTAAGGAAGACCTTCACTAATTAGCAGGGTGTGTCTTGAGCCTTGGGAACAACATGGGGTGAAGGCTAAAAGTCTTCTCAGGTCATTTCTGGGTATACATCCTGCCTGGGTATGCTGCCATCTTGGCTAACTGCAGCCTCCACCTCCCGGGTTCAAACGATTCTCAGCCTCCTGAGTAGCTGGGACCACAGGCACACGCCACCACACCTGGCTAATTTTAGTAATTTTAGTAGAGATGGGGTTTGACCATGTTGGCCAGGCTGGTCTCAAACTCCTGACCTCAAGTGATCTACCCGCCCTGGCCTCCCAAAATGTTGGGATTACAGGCATGAGCCACTGTGCCTGACCTCATTAAAGTTTTATCATGAGATTGCAACAATTTAGTCACATCATCAGGCTTTGTTTCTAATTCTAGTTCTCTATTTCCACCACATCTGGAATTACTTCCTCTACTAAAGTCGAACTCCTCAAAGTCATCCATGAGGGTTGGAATCAACTTATTCCAAACTCCTGTTTGATATTTTGACCTCTTCTCATGAATCACAAATGTTCTTAAATGGTATCTAGAATAGTGAATCCTTTCCAGAAGGTTTTTAACAGACTTTGACCAGATCCATCAGAGAAATCACTATATATGACAGCTATAGCCTTACAAAATGTGTTTCTTAAATAATAAGAGTTCAAAGTCAAAAGTACAACTTGATCCATGGGCTACAGAATGGATGTTGTGTTACTGCATAAACAACATTAATCTCCTTGTATATCTCCATCAGAACACTTGGGTGACTAGGGGCATTGTCAGTAAGCAGTTAATATTTGGAAAGAAATCTTTTTTTTTCTGAGCAGTAGGTCTCAACAGTGGGATTAAAATATTCAGTAAACCATCCTGTAAAGAGATATGCTGTTATCCAGGCTTTGTTGTTCCATTTTACAAAGCACAGGCAGAGTAGAGTTAGCATAACTTTTAAAGGCCCTAAGATTTTCGGAATGGTAAATGAGCACTGGCTTTAACTTAAAGTCACCAGCTCCATTAGTCTCTAACAAGAGAGTCAGCCTATCTTTTGAAGCCAGGTATTAACTCTCCTCTTTATTGACTACAGTCCTCAATGACATCTTCTTCCAATATAAGGTTGTTTTGTTCTCATTGAAAGTCTGTTGTTTAATGTAGGTACCTTCAACAATGATCTTAGCTAGATCTTCTGGATAACTTGCTGCAGCTTTTCTACATCAACACTTGCTGCTTCACCTTGCACTTTTTTGTTATGGAGGTGGCTGCTTTCCTTAAACATCATGAACCAATCCCTGCAGCTTCAAACTTTTCTTCTGCTACTTCCTTGTGTCTCTCTGCCTTCAAAGAACTGAAGTGTGTTAGAGACTTGCTCTGGATTAGGCTGTGGTTTAATGGAATGCTGTGGCTGGTTTGATCTTTGATCCAGACCACTAAAACTTTCTTCGTATCAGCAATAAGGCTGTTTGGTGCTCTTGTCATTCATGTGTTCACTGGAGTAGCACTTTTAATTTCCTTCAAGAACTTTTCCTTTGCATTCACAACTTGGCCAACTGCTAGCTTTTGGCCCATCTTGGCTTTCAACATGCCCTCCTCACTAAGCTTAATCATTTTTAGCTTTCGATGTAAAGTGAGAGACATGCAACTCTTCCTTTCACTTGACCACTTAAAGGCCACTGCAGAGTTACTAATTGGCCTAATTTAAATACTGTGTCTCAGGGAAGAGGGAGGCCCAAGGGAGGGAATGAGACAGGGGAATGGCCAGTAAGCAGAGCAGTCAGAACACACACATCTACCAATTAAGTTCATCTTTTTATAGGGGCATGGTTCATGGTGTCCTGAAACAAATACAATAGTAACTTCAAAGATCAGTGATCACAGATCACCATCACAGATGTGATAATGAAAATCTGAAATAATGTGAGAACTACATTCTCACAGAGACACAAGTGAGCATATGCCACGGAAAAATGGTGCTGGAAGACTTGCTTGACTCAACATCTCTACAAACCTTCAATTTGTAAACAAGGCAATTATCTGTGAAGCACAATAAAGTGAAGTGCAATAAAATGAGATGTATCTGTATACACAATTATTAAATTATGGTAGATAACTTTTATTCAAGTAATTTATATATTTATTTAGCCTAGTGGATTTATTATTATTATTTAATTTTATTTTTTTGAGATGGAGTCTCGCTCTGTCACCCAGGCTGGAATGCAGTGGCCCAATCTCAGCTCACTGCAAGTTCCGCCTCCCAGGTTCACGCCATTCTCCTGCCTCAGCCTCCCAAGTAGCTGGGACTACAAGCGCCTGCCATCACGCTTGGCTAATTTTTGATATTTTTACTAGAGACGGGGTTTCACCGTGTTAGCCAGGATGGTCTCGATCACCTGACCTCGTGATCCGCCCACGTTGGCCTCCCAAAGTGCTGGGATTACAGGTGTGAGCCACTGCACCCGGCCAATTTATTATTTTTTAAGAGAGGAATATGGAGTTTCCCATTATAGTTGTGGATTTGTCTGTTTCTCATCATATATAAGAGTTTTGGCTTTGTTATGTAGTGACTATTACAACTTCCTAGTGGACTGTGGCCCTCTTTGTTTTGCTTAATGCCTTTTGTCTTGAATTCTATTAATAATTTGATATTAGCATTGCCATCCATTCTTAATTTTTGTTACCATCTCCCTGATTTGATTTTTTTATCTTATTTTCAACTTCCTGTGTCTTTTTTATTTACATATATGTTTCATAATAAGCATAAACCTGAGTCTAATTTTTCCTTTCTGCCAGCCCCACTTTTCTCCTTCTTTCTAAAAAAAGTTTCAACATATTCATATTTATGTTTGGATTTAGTTCTGACACTTCATTGGTCATGCTTTCTGAGTTTCCTCCATCTTCCCAACACAACTATATATTTCCTATCATGTACTAAAATAATTACATTTTCTTGGTACTCTTATTTCTTTTGGAAGTTTTACACCTGTTGCGGGAAGTCAGGGACCCTGAACGGAGGGACTGGCTGAAGCCATGGCAGAAGAACATAAATTGTGAAGATTTCATGGACATTTATTAGTTCCCCAAATTAACACTTTTATAATTTCTTACGCCTGTCTTTACTTCAATCTCTGAACATAAATTGTGAAGATTTCATGGACACTTATCACTTCCCCAGTCAATACCCTTGTGATTTCCTATGCCTGTTTTACTTTAATCTCTTAATCCCATCATCTTCATAAGCTGAGGAGGATGAGTGTTGCCTCAGGACCCTGTGATGATTGCGTTAACTGCACAAATTGTTTGTACAGCATGTGTGTTTAAACAATATGAAATCTGGGCACCTTGAAAAAAGAACAGGATAACAGCAAAGTTCAGGGAACAGGAGAGATAACCTTAAACTCTGACTGCCAGTGAGCCGGGTGGAACAGAGCCATATTTCTCTTCTTTCAAAAGCAAATGGGAGAAATATCGCTGAATTCTTTTTCTCAGCAAGGAACATCCCTGAGAAAGAGAATGCATCCCTGAGGGTAGGCCTCTGAAATGGCCGCTTCAGGTGCGGCCGTCTTTTATGGTCACTACTGTAGGGATGAAATAAGCCCCAGTCTCCTGTAGTGCTCCCAGGCTTATTAGGACGAGGAAATTCCCACCTAATAAATTTTGGTCAGACCAGTTGTCTGCTCTCAAACCCTGTCTCCTGATAAGATGTTATGAATGACAATGCATGCCCGAAACTTCAATAGCAATTTTAATTTCGCCCCGGTCCTGTGGTCCTGTGATCTCGCCCTGCCTCCATTTGCCTTGTGATATCTTATTACCTTGTGAAGGATGTGATCTCTGTGACCCACACCCTATTCGTACACTCCCTCCCCTTTTGAAAATCGCTAATAAAAACTTGCTGGTTTTGCAGCTCAGGGGGCATCACGGAACCTGCCGACATGTGATGTCTCCCCCAGACACCCAGCTTTAAAATTTCTCTCTTTTGTACTGTCTCTTTATTTCTCAGACCGGCCGACACTTAGGGAAAATAGAAAAAAAACCTATGTAAAATATTGGGGGTGAATTTCGCCCGATATCTGGCTGAATTTCCCCGATACACCTAATATCCAGTGTTTTTCAAAGTGGAGTTGAGAACCAATTGTATCATAATCACTGTGGGTGGCTTTTAAAATTAATTGTGGCAAAACATACAAAACGATTTACCATTTTAGCTATTTTTAAGAGTACAGTGCAACGGGATTAAGTAAATTCAGTTTTCCAGCCATCACCACTATCCATTGCTACAACTTTTTTATTATCCTAAACTGAAATTCCATGCCCATTACACAATAATTCCCCATTCCTCCCTATCCCCTAATAAGCACCATTCTACTTTCTATCTCTATGGATTTGACTATTCCAGGTATTTCATATAAGTAGAATCATACAATATTTGTCCTTTCATATCTGGCTTATTTCATGTAGTATAATGTCTTCAAGGTTTGTCTATGTTGTAGCATTTATCAGAATTTCATTTCTTTTTAAGGCTGAATAGTATTCCATTTTATGTATAAACTGTATTTTGTTTATCCATTCATCCATCGATGGACATTTGAGTTGCTTCCACATTTTAGCTATTGTGAATACAGGTGCTATGAACATGAGTGTACAAGTATCTCTTCAAGTCTCTGCTTTCAATTCTTTTTGGTATATACCCAAAGTGGAAGTGTAATTGCTGGATAACATGGTAATTTTATGTTTAATTTTTTGAGGAACCACCATGCTGTTTTCCACAGCAGCTGTGCCACTTGACATTTCCATCAACAATGCACAAGGGTTCTGGGTTCTAATTTCTCCATATCCTCAACTAGGACTTGTTTTCTGTTGTTGCTTTTATTTTTACAATAGTCATCCAACGTGTGTGAAGTTGTACCTCACTATAGTTCCGATATGCATTTCCCTAATGATTAGTGATGCTGAGCATCTCTTCATGTGCTTAATGGCCACTTATATATCTTGTATACCTTCTTTGGAGAAATGTCCTATGCATTGTTAGATTGGGTTGTGTTTTTTGTTGTTGTTGAGTTTTAGGAGTTCTTTTTATATTCTAGATATTAATACTTTATCAGATATGTGATTTGAAAATATTTTCTCCCATTCTGTAGACTGCCTTTTTTCTCTGTTGATAGTGTCCTTTGATCCACAACCTGGGTGTTTTTTAAAACGTAGAATGTTGAGTCCCATTCTACATCTACATAAACAGAATGCCTGCAGGGTGGAGTTTGAGCATCTGTGTTTTTGAAAATTGTACCAGGTAATTATTATAACTCACTCTTTTAGTTGTTGCCCCTAAATTTTTTGCTAGCATTTAAAAACATTTGTTGGCATACAATTTGAGAACTGACCAGGGTATCCTGGTCCTTTCCTGAGGAAAAAAAAACAATTCTAAGACAACTTTACCCACCTCTACCCTTATTCTGACAATTATCAAAATTTATATAACATTTTAGTTCTTGTTACTAATTTTTTCATACCATCCCTTCATATTTCAGGGAATTCTTTCTTTACAACTGCATGAAGCCTATCAGCCACACTCCCAGTAATTTTTTAGACTTAAAATTTTAGCCACAAATTGTAAATACAACTCAAAATAATTTTCTTTCACATATAGCCATATAAATTTTTTCACTTTGACAATTCTGTTGTCATTCTAGAATCCTATAATGCTGATGAAATGTATGTTCTTCAAAGTCTGATCTGCTGAATTGAGTCTGATTCTCATTTCTTTGTTAACAATGTATCTTTTCCTTTTTGTTGCAGTTTTTATAAATCATTCTCTCCCTGTTTCTCACTTTGGAACCTTTTAGCCCTTCTCTTTATCTTTGAAACTTAGAAATATTACTAACATGTATGTTTTCTCTCTCAGTCATTATTCCTACTTCATACTAAATGCCCCTTCAAAATTAATAACAATTTTCTCCAATCATGTCATCAATTATCTCCCGTCCTCCAGTCTCTGTTCATTATTTCTGGAATACACAGATGATGATTTCTGGGATTTTTCCTCAATTTCTCTTTACTCATATTTCACATCTATTTGCTACTTGACTTTATGTTTTAAAATATTCATTCCTTTTATCTTCCATATCCTTCTCCATTTTTCCATTAGCCCTCTCCATTTTTTTTCAGACCTTCATTTTTTTCCATATCCTTCCATTAGCCCTCTCCATTTTTTTTCCCAGACCTTCTACTGAGTCACTTTATTTTGGCAATAGTTTTAATTTATAAGAACTAATTTGTTTTTTTATGTACTTTTTTCCTTGGCATCCTATTCTTATTTTATTCCCTTCAATGTCTGTTTTTCACCTTTGTCCTTTGCTTTCTTGCTAGGTTAATTTTATTAAAATGTTTCATAATTCTTCATTTCCCATTCATAATTAAAATGACGACTAGGTGCATCACTGGAAAGCCGGTCTGTGTTTCCATGCAGGTAACACGTGTATTTCCCTTTTTCATGTCCTGGGGAGATCTGGAAGTACTTCAGGCTTGGCTCTGGCTTTATGATCTGGTTCCAACATCCATTCTAGGAAGCTTTCTACAGTCAGATTCCCCATTTGTTTATAAAATGTGTAAAATTATTCTTTCAGCTTTAATCAAAGAGTACCTGTTACGGCCAATCTCTCTGTAAAGTAGGGTGTCAGAGGGGAATTTGTATTAGAGTCAGGACATTATCAATTTCCCAGAATGATGCACTCTGTCTACTCCCACATACTGTAGTTGCAAGCCCATGCTTAAAATTTCTGTACTCTTTCCTGCAGACTTTGGATTGTAGTATTTCTCTGCGGATACCCTGATCACAGATTCTACTTGCTTTCTATCTTCCAGGAGTTTCTCAAAACTTCTGATCTACTAGTACAGAACTATCCTATTTTCCTACAGTATTAGGAATTTATTCTTTCTTCTTAAGTCATTTCTGTCATATTAATAGGATTCTGAGATGGATGAAAAATGGCTATTTTTGGACTGTTATTTGGATTGAGAAGGTCAGGATTATATTAAATGTACGTTTTTACCAGTTTCCCCCTTTCTTCTAATCATAGTCATAGTATAAGCAACCTTAAAAGTTCAAGAGTATTTTTAGATTAAAAGTATTTGCAGATCACTTTAAATTTTGTCAGTATTATACCTGTCAATGGCTTGAAGATCATTGGCTGGATTCCAAGTAGGATCAAATAATACAACAACATTGGCACCGACAAAATTGAGGCCTAGTCCACCAGCCCTGGAGGAAAGAGAAAAAAAAAAAGCACATTAGAACAGCAAAAACTAACTGTTGTGCTATAACTCAACTGTGCCAGGTTTCTATAGCCAAAACAGTACGATATTGCATTAATTTCATCAAAGTAAGGTGGTGATTAAAATACAAATATGCCACAAATTAAATATTTAAGGCACAATTTTATTTCTACCACTCTAGAAAATCCCTAAAAAACTGGTCATTAGAGCCCACGTAAATAGTTTGTGCTGGTTTTTACTTTTTTTTGATACTCAAATACTACTTCTGCAAGATTTTCCTAATATAATTTTTAAAAAGTGTTAGTACATTCTAGCTAAATAAAGTAATGCATACATTAAAAAACTCAATTCAGGAATAGATGCACATCTTATTCTTCCACTAAGTGCAGCTAAAACTCTGGATATTACATAGGAAATAAACGTAAAACTCTGAAAGGTACAGAGAAGATAGGCAGGCTAGGGACTACAAGGCCTAAGGAATGGCATGGCAGTGAGTCATGGCTTTCCTGAAAAAAAGGAATGGCTTTTCCAAAAAAGAAAGCTTCCATGGCTTTTCCAAAAAAGAAAGCCTAGCTGAAGGAGTCCCACATTCAGCAACTGATGGAACTCCTGGAGAGAAAATTGGCAAGGATATAAAAGAACAAACTGACCAACCAACAGGATTTAAATGACATACACAGAACACACCACCTAGAACAGCACAACACACACACTTTTTTTTTCCTGGTTCCTATAGAACATTCACCAAGATAGACCAAATCATGGGCCATAAAACAAACCTCAACAAATTTAAAAGAACTGAAATTATACTGGTATATACTGAGTATAATGGTATTATACTGAGTATGTTCTCTAACAATAACGGAATCAAACTAGCAATACATTTCAGGAGGACAACAAAATAAATTCCACACACTTGGAAACTAAACAACATACACTTAAATAGCTCATGAGTCACACAAAATCTGAAATCCAAAAAAACTGTGAGAAGAAAGTCTAGCTTTCTTTTTTGCTTAAGATACCACAAGCTGGGTTCTTAACATATCCCAAGCTGTTGGTAATGCCGAAAGTCACAGACTATAAAAATATATATATATATCCCAAGAAAAGCCTTTTCCCTTTAGCCAAAGAACCAGGAAAGGTGTAGCCTTGAAAGGCAGAAAAATGTGACACAATAACCACTCTACTCCTGCCAAACACCAAGGAACAATCTGCAGCCCCATCCCTACCTTAGTCAGCAAAGGCTGAATGAGGATGCTAGACTTCTACCCTTGCCTGGCTATAATGAGACACTACCACTGATTCTTGCTGGGGTGGTGTCAGAGAAGACTGAGTGAAGAGCTAGAGCTTTCGTTTTCTTCCCAATGATAACAGGGTCTCCCTCCATGGTGTCAGGGGACGCCAGGTGGGAGCAGTAGTAAAGCACTTCCCTCTCAGGCTATCAGCAGAGGCCAAAGACGGAACCTAGCTTTCCACCCCTACTTGGCTGGCATGGTGTCAAAGAGGAGGTGTACTAAAATGGAAGATTTAAATCACATGCAGAGTCTCATAACACAATACTCAAAATGTCCAAGACACAATGATACAATAAAAAATCACTTATACCAAGAACCAGGAAAATTGCAGCCTGAATAAGAAAAGACTGAGATGAATCAGATGTTGGAATTACCTGACAAGAATTTTAACAAAGCCATCATAAAAATGTTTCAACAAGCAATTACAAACATGCTTGAAACAAACAAAAAAATTGAGTCTCAGCAAAAACAAACAAAACAAAAATGGATATAAAGAGCAAAATAAAAATTTTGGAATGGAAAAATAGCTGAAATACAAAACTTGCCAAATGGGCTGAACAGTACAGTGGAAAAGACAAAAGACAGAATCAGTAAGCATGATGAGAACCAGTATCATTCACGAAATATGAACAACAGAGAGAAACATCAGAAACCATGGATATCAGAAGAAAGTGGCATTATCTTTCAAGTGCTGAAAGAAAAGAACTGTCAACCCAGAATTCTATACTCAGTGAAAATATCCTTCAGAAAGGGAAAGGAGATAAGACATTCTCAGACTAACGAAAACTAAGAGCACCTGTTACCAGCAGACTTAACCTAAAAGATTGGTGGCTAGAAAGTTCATAAGGAAAAAAAAAAAAAGCAGAATAAGGCTTGGAACTAGAACAGAAAGGAAAGAGGAAGATCAGAATAGGTTAAAATAGGGGTGAATATAAATACTATTTTATTTCTCATGCATTTCATAAATCACATTTCATGGTTAAAGGAAAACTGCAATACAATCTGATATGCTGCTTAGGGCATGTAGAGGAAATATCTAAGACAATAATATCTTAAAAGTGGAGTAGGAAAAGAAGCTTAAATGTAAGTAAAATTTCTATACTTCATTCAAACTGGTAAACCTGTATACCAGTAGACTGTGAGAAGTTACTATGTACAATGTAAATACCCAGAGCAACCACCAGGAAGCTACACAAAGCAATACACTAAAAAACACTATACATAAACAAATACAGAATCCTAAAGAAATGTCTGAATAAGAGAAACAGTGGAACTAGAAATAGGAGATAAAAAGATAAAAGTTAAATAAAAAATATCAATAATTACCTTCAATATAATGGCCTAAATATACCATTTAAAATCGTAAGATTGGCAGGGTAGTTTGAAAAAACAATATGCTCTCCACAAAAAACAAAACAAAACACTTTAAATATGATGACACAGCTAGGCTGAGAGTGAAAGGATGATAAAAGATATACCAGGCAATTATTAAAGAAAAAAGCAAGACTGGCTATATTAATATTAGTCCAAGTATATGTCAGAGCAAAGAAAGTTAATAGTTAAAAGAGGGACAATGCACAATGACAAAAAGATCAATCTGCCAAAACACCAAACAGCACCAAAACAGCAGAGCTGAAAGATACATGAAGTCAAATTAAGCTGAAAAGAGAAACAGGCAAATGCACAATTATAGTTGAGGATTTCAATATCCCACATTCAGCAACTGATAGAACTCCTAGAGAGAAAATTGGCAAGGATATAAAAGAACAAAATGACCAACCAATGACATACGCAGAACACTCCACCTAGAACAGCACCACACACACTTTTTTTTCCTGGTTCCTATAGAATATTCACCAAGATAGACCAAATCCTGGGCCATAAAACAAACCTCAACAAATTTAAAAGAACTGAAACTATACTGGTATATACTGAATATAATGGTATTATACTGAGTATGTTCTCTAACGATAATGGAGTCAAACTAGCAATACATTTCAGGAGGACAACAAAAAAAATTCCAAACACTTGGAAATTAAACAACATACATCTAAATAGCTCATGAGTCAAACAAAATCTGAAATCCAAAAAAACTGTGAAAAAAAATACAAGGAGAAATAAATAATAATGTAACACAAATGAAAATACAACATATCAAAATATGTAGGATGCAGCTAAGCAGGGCTTAGGAAAATTTGTAACATTAAATGCTTATATTAGAAAAAAATTAAAGGTCTCAAACCAATAATCTGAGGTCCTCCCCCTAAGAAACTAGAAAAAGAAGCAAAAAAAGCAAGCAGAAGAAAGGAAATAATAAATAAAAAAGCAGAATCAATAAAACTGAACACAGAAAAATAACAGAGAAAAATCAGTGAAAAAAAGCTGATTCGTTGCTAAACTAGCAATGACAAAGATAAAAGAGAATACACAAATTACCAATATTAGAAATGAAACAAGGGATATCACCACAGATCCTACAGCTATTAAAAGGATAAATGAATACTATAAAAAATTTTATGGTCATAAATTCAATAAGTTAGAAGAGAAACAATTCCTCAAAAACCGCAAACCACTGAACTCAACTAAATGAAACAGACAACCTGAATAGTCCTATAACTATTAAAGAAATTGAGTATGTTATTTTCAAAACTCTTAGGGAAAAAAAATAACCCCTCCAGGCCCAGATGATTTCACTGGAGAATTTTACCATTTACAGAAGCATTAACACCAGCTTTATACAAGAAGCACATGAAAAGATGTTTAATATCATTAGACATTAGGTAAATGCAAATCCAAACCACAATGACATGTCTCTACATGCCCATCAGAATGGCTAAAATGAAAAAAATAGTGACGATAGCAAATGTTAGTGAAAATGCAGAGGAACCTGATCACTCACACACTGCTGTGGGGAATGTAAAACCATATAGCCACTTTGTTAACAGTTTAGCAATTTCTTATAAAACGAAATACGCAACTATCACATAATGCAGCAGTTGCAATATTTAGCATTTATCCCAGAGGAATGAAAACTAATGTTCAAACAAAAGTCTGTACACAAATGTTAATAGCTTTATCTGTCACAGCCGAAAACTGGAAACAACCCAGATGCCCTTCAACAGATGAATGTATAAACAAACTGTGGTGTATCCATATCATGAATACTAAGAGCAATAAAAAGAAAAGAACCATTGATACATACAACAACTGGATGAATTTACAGGGAATTACGCTGAGTGAAAATAGCCAATCCCAAAAGGTTACATACTTTATGACTCCCTTTACATAACATTCTTGATTATGTTGTTCTAAATTACAGAAATGGAGAACAGATTAGTGGTTTCCAGGGCTCAGGGAGAAAGGGGAGAGAGGAAAGCAGATGTGACTACAAAAGGACAGCATGAGGGATTCTTGTGATGGAAATGTTCTGCTCTTCACTGTATCAACGTCAGTATCCTGGTTGTGATAATGTACTACAGTTTTACAAGATATTACATTGGGGGAACTGGGTAAAGAGTGCATGGGATCATTCTGTATTATTTCTTAAAACTACTTGTGAATCTAGAAATATCTCAGAATAAAAAGTTTAATTTAAAAATGTGGCTAACATCCATATGGCCTTAACACAGAATGGATTCTTAAGTACAGATTATTTCCACCATCACATGTTGATCACAAGACAGGCAGTCAGGGTGCTACCGCATATGCTTCAGGCTTGTCATAGTGAATACAGAGAGAGCCAAGAGTTACACTGCAACAGGATGCCACATGTTCTCTCTCCAAAAGGAAGAGAACAAGATGAAATAACATCAATGCTAATTTTATAATGAGCTACATCTAATACTTCCCTGGACCCAGAGTTCTTTTTCTCCATATATTTCCTGGTGATACCACCCATATACTCACTCATCAAAGTCAAAAGCCATGCTAAGTATCACTATAGACTTCTTCTTCTCCATGACTACTTCCCTTTCCCACTAAAAGCTAACCAGTATCAAGTCCTGTCATATTTAGCTCAGAAATGTTTTTCTCTTGAGTCCCTTCTCCATTCCTATTACCACTGCCCTTTTCAGAGCTGTTATTAGATTGCACTTGCATGTATTACTTCTTTGGTCTTCTGATTGTCCTCTCTTACTTCAGACCTTACACCCATGCCCATTCTCACATTACATAAAAATTATTTTAAGCACAGAATATACAGAACTAAGTGTACTACTCATCTGGAAAATTTTACTTTTGCAGTATAGTACCCCAAATCGTTAACTTAATCCTTACAAGTTAGTAAGTATGAAAGCATTGTAGTTCAAATTACAGGGCTTGCTTAGAAAGCTGTTTGTAGCTTAAAACCCATTAATTCCTATTCATCAGAGACCAATCGGCCTCAATGACCAGGCCTACCGTCTCTGCAGCTGGTATCACACCAGTCATTCTTGATAACTATACCACAAGTGACCAAAACATTTAAAGTTGCTTTCATACAATTTTCTCTGCTATCTTATTTGCCTGGCTAACTTTTCCTTGTCCTTCAGGTGTCATTAACAAAGCCTGAACTAAATCTTTCTCCTCTGTGCCTCCTCCTACCCTGCATTCGCCATACTGTATTGAACTATCCTTTTACATGTTTCTGAACAACTCCTCCTGTACCCCTCTACTTTTTGAGTTATAAACTTTAAGAGACGTGTCTCCTCCAGGGCCTGTCACAGAGTGGATACTTACACTCTGTTAAACTGAGCTTCGTTAAAATAACTCATGAGTTCTCCTATGTAGTCATACACCCAAGCTGTTGCCTCCACATATCCTAAGCACTAAACACATAAGTTCTCTAGTTATTTTGGTACCTATGCTATTCTCTGTGCCTAAAATGCCCTTTACCAAAACCTGCTTTTCCTTTTCTTTTTAATAAAATCTTATCTCTAAAGAACCAGTTAAAACATCACCATCCTTCTATGGGATTTTTTGATCTATCTATTTCTTAAATGCCTATGAATCTTCACACATAAACTCCAGTAAAGCATTTATTGCATTATACTGCTCTTCAAAGGCAAAAATTCTCTTATTTTTCTTGCTGCACATTAAGGGTCCATGAAGATATTAGTAGTTGAACAAAAAGGTGTGAGACTGAGACAAAATAAAGCAGTAAAGGCAGATTTTAACAAAAGGCATATAATATGATTCTCATTATTTATTTGAAAAGAGTGGTTTAGAATGTCTTTCTCTTGGGGTACATAACAAAAGAAATGTCCTCATCTTTCTGGGAAAGTTGACAGTGTTTTGGAATAATGTTATGAGAGACAGAAAATGATGTTTCTCCTGATCCCTTCAAAGCTCATGATTCCTGGTGTTGGACTACCTAGAGGTACTTATATCATCTGGAAAATTTTACTTTTGCAGTATGGTACCCCAAATCCTTAACTTAATCCTCACAAGTTAGTAAGTATGAATAAAGCATTGTATTTCAAATTATAGGGTTTGCTTAGAAAGCTGTTTGTAGTCAACTAGTGTATGATTCTGAAAGTCAAAACCAAGAATGAAGTTGTGCCTAGTATTCATGCTACAGAGTCTTTTTGACACTTAAATGGAAGCCAAAAGTTTTGTCTTCATTTAACTTGACCTGTGGTTAAGGTAACAGTGAAGAGAAGTCACTAAAGACATATTTTTTGGCAGTTTTTATTATTAGTATAAAAATCACATATTGGTTTTGCTAGATTCATTTTTTTCTATCAGCATACTACTTATTTCTTTTGGAATAAAATTTCTAAAGGAAACTTTTGGCAAAACTGAATGTATATAATGTTTGTATACTGAGTTGAAGATTCCAGCTGCCTATATAATTTAATAGATTTTAAATAACAATAATTGTGATCTTTTCATGTTTTGAACTATCTGATCTACATATCCTGTATTTAATACTCTGTAAGACAACGATGATAAATTTTTACATTTTTACAAAGAAAAGGCAAAACCAAAATCCAAGAACACAATGATTTTCTTTCTCTTCCTCAACTGTTTTCCTGAGCCCAGCTGTCTTTCAGGCTTTCCTCTGAGGCTTTGCATTGCCATTTTCCCTCATCAGCTGCCTACACTGTATCACAAAACAACTCACACTTAGATAATGCTTTACACTGGATGCTAATCATCCAGGGGAAGAAAAATGATAATCTTTTCTCCTACAATTTCTATCAAAAATGCAAATAAATTAACCTTTATTGAGCATCTACTATATATCAGGAACTATGCAAGGTATTTTCATATATGCTAGTTCTTTTGCTCTCAAGACTTCTTTTTTTTTTTTTTTTTTTGAGACAGAGTCTTGCTCTGTCTTGTCCAGGATGGAGTGCAGTGGCGTCATCTCAGCTTACTGCAGCCTCCACCTCCTGGGTTCAAACAATTCTCCCGTCTCAGCCTCCTGAGTAGCTGGGACTACAGGCATGAACCGCTGCACCTGGCTAATTCTGTATTTTTAGTAGAGATGGGGTTTCACCATGTCAGCCAGGCTGGTCTCGAACTCCTGACCTCAGGTGATCCATCCGTTTTGGCCTTCCAAAGTGCTGGGAATACACGCGTGAGCCACTGCACCTGGCCTGTTCTGAAGACTTCTATAAGCAAAATATCCTGATTTTTCAGGCGAGAAAATTGACAATCACAAAAATTAATTTGTTCAAGGTCTCCTAAGTAGCAAGTGTCTCGATTCAAACCCAAATGTCCTGATTGAAAGTTCAGTGCTCAGTAGAAACTGAATTTTCTCCTTTGGAAAACTGCTTATTAGACATACCATGAAGATGTCATAGAGACTTGACTGAACTCTAAGAAAAGAATGAGGTGGGATAGGGAGAAAGTATTAGAAAGGATTAAAAAAATGGATAAGTTAGGGGATTGGGTGGAATTTAGACAGCAAAAAAGCAGAAACGAAGTTAAAGGTTTCTATGTTGAATAAATCTAATCAACTGTTCCAGTTACCTTCTTGATGGCAAGGTCAGGCATAACCATGTATGATGCCATCTCAGATGCCATATATGAGCCACAGATAAGATCTCTACTAGTTGAGGTAGCAATCTTCCAAGAGATTCTGAAGTAATAACTTCAGTCCTTGCTGAAGAAGCAAAGCTCCCTTTAAAGAAGAAGAAAAAGGCCCTAGACTCTCTCTCTCTCTGCAGATGAGATAATTCTCCCTTTGATGATAATACAACTCAGAAACCTAAACTTTAAAACTTGTCACTCTGTTCTTACATGGTTAACAGCAAAGGGTTACTTGTTAAGCAAAAAAAATTTTAATATTGCTCTTTTCGAACTGAGGACTGGTATTTGAGACACTTAATGAGTATGCAGGCTGTTTATTCCTTAGGTCTGCCACATGCTCTTCCTGTATCAAATAAGTATATCAGAAAGTACACCTTAACTACATCTTAATGTTCTACAAACATGTCTTTGATGAAATAAGTTTTATTATTATGTATTAAGTATTATAAAAGGTCAAACGAAGTATCCATTTGAACAATGCTTCTAAGAAAACCTAAATAAATATAAAGAGATACCATGTTTATGGATAGGGTGGCTTCATACCTTAAAAACTCCAATTTTCCTCAAACTCATTAATAAATTCATTGATTCTCCAAAAACAAAAAACAAACCCCAGGAAAAATGCCAGATGATCATTCTTTAAATAAACTGAATGAAATGACTATAAAAAGCTAGAGTTTAACACACTGATGTTCTAAAACAAAAGGTAACTCCAAAAACAAAAGAGGTCAGAAAGCAAGAAAAACTTTAGATTAAAAATGTGATGGCAGAAATGGTGGCTCACACCTATAATCCCAGCACTGTGGGAGGGCGAGGCAGGTAGATCACGAGGTCAGGAGTTCAAGACCAGCCTGGATAATATGGTGAAATCCTGTCTCTACTAAAAACACAAAAATTAGCTGGGTGGGGTGGCACAGGCCTGTAGTCCCAGCTGCTCGGGAGGCTGAGGCAGGAGAATTGCTTGAAATCCGGGAGGCGGAGGTTGCAGTGAGCCAAGATTGCACCATACAGCCTGGGCCACAGAGTGAGACACTGTCTTAAAAAAAAAAAAAAGTGATCATTTCAAACAAAATAATAAGATCGAAAAATGACATTTCTCAGAACAGAGCAAAAAGACAAAGTCTGAGAGAAAAGTTCAGAGATTTAAAGAACCAATATAGTTTGAAAGTTTGAAAGTCTGATGACCTGGCATGCCAGAGGGAGGGAGCAGAGAAAAAGGAAGAAAAAAAAAAGGCCATTGTTAAAGAAATAATAAAAAAGCATTTTCCAGAGTTGAAAAAGAACATAAGCCTTCAGAATACAAGCCTACTGTACCCAGCACAAAAAAATGAACGAAGATCCACACCAAGACTCAAATATCACCGTGAAATTTTAGAATAGTGTAGATGAAGAAAAACTCTTACGAGTTCCCAAAAAGGAATGAAAATCAGATTGGCACTGCACATCTATTTAGCCACACCATCTATCAGAAAACAATGCTGCAAGCCCTTCAAAGATCTAAGAGGAAATGATTTTCAATTTAGAATTATATAGTTGGACAAAGTATCAATTAAGTGAGAGAGCAATAAAAGACATTTTCTGTATTTACAGATGCAGAAAATTTACTTCCTATATATTCTGGCTTAAAAAGTTACCAGAGGATATTTCCTAGGAAAACAAAGGGGCAAGTCAAGAATAAAAACAGCATGGAACCCAGGAAAAAGATCCAACACAGAAGAGCAGTGAAAGAAAGCTTCAACATGACAGTTCTTTATCAGGCCTAGAAAACTGGGCCAGATTGAAACTAAGGAATAAAAGTTTCAGGAGGCAGGTTCAGGATACAGAGGACTCAACAGAAGAGAATGTGTGAATGAGAATTAGTAACATTGAGGATTATTACAAAGGGCAGAAACAGACTGAGAGGGGGAAAAGACCGAAAAAGTCATGATTGAAATTTGAAGTGAACTGAACAGTGCAAACATAAAACATGGATGAAGTCTTAGGAAAGAGAAGTCATATGAGGTTGATGTTAAGACTGATCTTGCATTGACCAAAAGGTCGTGAACATTAAGAAAAATTATCTTAGCACTACTTGCCCCTGCATTAAAGATGTTTAGTTTATAAAAACATAGTAATGTAAACGCTTTTTTGCCTTCAAATTTTAATGCCAACCTATGGACAATAACCGGTTACTGGTACAGGGCTTATTGAAAACATTAATACCCTTGACAAAGTAAAAGTTAAAATAGTTAACATAATATGTATAGGTGACAAAAGTAGAAGGGTGGGTGGGTGTGTGCTAATGCTAATACCACACATTACAAAGACTTAGAAGGCATGTGGAAAGTTAATGGACCAAACATCAAAACTTGAATCATTTTCCAGTAAAACATGGCGGCAAACCAAGAAAGAAGAAGACACGGGATCCAGGAAAAAGATCTAAGAGAAAATTCAATGGATCTAATGCAGAAGTACAAAGATTGAAAGTTACAAAAGTAGTTTATAGACAAATAATTTTAAAATAGCAAACACTGTGAGAAAAAAACGGGGAGAGAGTAGTGAAAGTAGCCTAATCATCTTTCTTAAGAGAAGTTCCAACTTATGTAAAGTTGATAAACTAAAAGATAATGAAGACTTTGTACTCTGGCAAGATAATGGCTAAGCCAATGTGAAAACATTTCTGTCACAACATATTAAATATAAACCCTTGCAAAATGATAGAAACTAAACAAAAACTGAGCTTATGTGTCTTTTGCAAAACACAGCTGAAGAATGTATTTATTATATTACATAAGGTTCCTTATATAATGACTTATGAAATAAATTACTCAAATTGTCACAGAAAAATAGGAATCCAAAACTTTTTCCCTTGTCTTGTCAGGATGCCCAGCAGAAGCCAAAGCAAAACCACACAAGCAGAAAACTCCTACAACCGGTCTCCAAAGGATTTCCAGAGGAAAAAAATCCCATTGAAGATAAGCTCAAAAGAAAAAAAATGACCAAACATGAAGAAACTATCAACCATAAGCAAGAGCCAGAGGAAACAACAAATAGAAGGATCAGCACCACCAAGTACAGGAGTTAATAGAGCAAAAATGCCATCCAAAAAGATGTTTTTCGAAGTATGATTAAAATTAAAAATTCAATGGATAGGTTAAATAGCAGTTTCTGACAGATAGAGGTGAAGGGGTAATTAGGAACTTTATGGAGGATCTCAGCAAATGAGCTGGAAGTGAGCAGAAGAAGGATAAGAGACTACTGCTTGTCATTATAGAGTCTATTATTGGAACCATTGTTTAGTGCATCTATCAACTGGAAACACTTTAAAGTTAGAATGCTTATATGTTTTATGAAATTTAATTGACCACAGTATTCTATGTCATTTAGTGCTCTGTATGTAAGGACGCATGAAAAAAATTACTTCTTGCATTCCTTTATAGGAAAATGGGAATCCAAAGCTTTTCCCCATTTGCCTTAGTGGTAGGAATTCAAGAATAATTAAAGTGCTCAACAATGTTGGCTCATTCATAAGTATATTTTATTCCTCATTTTAAGTTAATTTCTATTCTGATTTAATTTTTACTTTGTGCATTTTATATATGTTTATTTTTAAAGTCCATTGAAATTCTGAAAGACAGTGGGAGTGAATCTATAAAATTCTTATTACACAGGATGTCAAAAGTTATTGATCTGTTCCTTCCTAAAATGGGATTAATCTTACTTAGGTGTTTATGTTGATTTAAATCTTTTCAGAAGTGTGTATATTCTCTAAAAGGTCTTAAAGGGATATTCATACATAGGGGTTAGAACCAATTTACCTTTCATAAAAACTCTAACTGCAGAGCTGCTCCAGTTGAGATGAGGTAGAGGCAGAGGAGGGAAACGTGAGCCCCTAGCCCCAGTGGGCTCTCAAGGGCTCCCTGACACAGTGGGAAAACTGCTGCTACAGTGAGTCTCAGTTATCCAGTTAATAAGAAGTCTGATTATTCTCACCAGGAGACTTGGGTCAAAACACTACCATGGAAAATTCATAGGAGGAAGTATCAATTTTTTTATTGTTACCTTTATAAACCCAGACTTCTAAGAGGAATTCAATGTTGATAAAGGAAATGAGAGAAAAGCTTAGCTAAAACTTAAGACATTGAAATTTCGGTCATAATAGTATTTTTGCTGCTTCTAAATAAGCATAGCCATTAAAAATTAATCCAGTAATAGTTTTAAAAATTATGCTAAATCTCAAAAACAATTGGATAAAAATCTAGTTATTAAATTTAATTTTCTTACATTGTAGAGACAAGGCAAATGTTAACATCTTGTGTACTGTTGAACTCTTTTACAATCTTGAGTCTTTCCTCTGATTTTGTACTTCCATCAAGTCGTCGGTAATCAAGCCCAGACGCCATACAGTACTGCTGTAGCACGTCAAGCAACTAGACGAGAGGTATGAAGATGGGCAAACATGAATCTTGGTTAAGTAAGTTTCAGACCATTACAAAGTTGAGACTTGTTAAGTATTAATTATTGGTGTTCATAATTTCTTTCTTATAATTCCAAGAACAATAAATATTTTTCTCACTTCTGACCCATATATTTATTCCCGTTATCCTGCAACATTATGGCTTTAACATTCAGAACTTGTTTTAAAAATCAATCTTTTCATTTTTAAGAAACAAACAATATTACTGGTCAAATCATTTACATAAATATATGCATGCTATTTTTTAAGTTCTAAAATATATGAAATGTCTTAAAGAACATTGTAATTATTAAGAACATCAACAGAAAATAAAAATCTATCTTTGAGTTTGATATTTAGCAACCCTGAAACAATTGAAATTTTAGTGTCTGTTTAAAAACTTCAAGTTGCTTACCTCACTATTTCCTACTGTGTAGATAAGAGAAAATGTGGCTGTAAGGTGTCATGTAGGCATATGCTTTATTCTTTATGCCTCAAAAGTTGAGGCTGGCCAATCAAGGATATACTTTAGATGAACTCACCTTGGTGGAAAAAGAAAAGAGAAGAACTTTATCTCTGTTTTTCCTGCAATGATTTAAAAGCTGCTGAAGGACCTGAAAATGAACCACAGAAAATCAGTGAACCAGTTCCAACTAAAAGTACACTTTATACATATAAACATCACTTGAGAATTTCTTTAAAATTATTTTCATACAATACTAACCTCATTCATTTTTTCTAATTCCTTTCATTTTTTCCAAGTTAGAGAAATAAAGTATTAGCTATTACATCAAATGTTATTCATCATCATATTGTCAATAAGGAGGTAAAGTTCCCAAAGACTTTTATTTCATCTCATCTGGTTTTAATAAAAAGGAAGCATTTTGGATTATGGGATGCATTTAAATGGATTAATTTAATTTCCAAAATACACTTTCTTTATACCTACAATATGCTAAGAAACTAAATTATAGAGCAGCATTCCTTTTAGGAAGTATTTAAATTGTCCCTAGATGGATGTAATGAAATGTGTTCAATTACATCTAGGTTCTAAAAGTCTTGATATTTATTTTCTTAGAATAATCAGTCAGATACACACCTCTTCTCATTTTCTCCCCTTTGTTTCTCTATTTACAGTAAGCTCTGACTTCCAGATTTGATTTTGACCTCAAAATGCCAGTAATCTGCCCCCACACACAGTGCTTTCAGGGAGGAAACAAACAGTCCAAAGCCTTGTGTATAACAGTCACACTGTTACTTTTATTTCCACATCTGGCAATGACAGCTCCAGAACAATGTGGAAAAGCAATCCACAGAGGGGAAAAAGAAATTTTCTATACAAAGTCTAAATTCTTCTGAAAGATGAAACAAACACTAAAACAATTTATTTAATGATAAACATTTAAGCTTTTAAATAAAAAAAATACTCAATATAACACTTACTCAATCAAGAGAAGCTATTGTGCTAACTTTGACCTCTACCTCCCCCTAGTCCCTCAAAAAAAGCTATGGAGTTAAAAAAAACTTCTACTCAGATAACCAAATTTATTTATCAAATGGTAAATAAAAATGTTATGGATCGGGTAAACATTACTTTCACATTTGGAGAACATATGAAGTTTTATTTGCATTTAGTTCATTTTTTAATAAAATAACTGATTCTATATGAAGTATGTAATTTGAATTTCACATAAGACTTTTTAAATTGGTAGATATTATTTTTTCTGTTTTACAGAACTGAGTAGAAAATGCACAAAACTCCTCTTTCCCTACTTCCAACCTCCTCCACACTTTCTCTTATTAATATCTGTATTAATAATATTATTAGAAAATATAACATCAAGTATTATTAGTATTGGTGTGGTTTATTTGTAACAACTGATGAGTGAATATTGATACATTATTATTAGCTAAAGTCCATAATTTACATTAGGGTTTATTCATTGTGTTACATAGTTCACGGGTTTTGACAAATATATCATGACATGTATCTACCATTACAGTATCATACACAATTGTTTCATTGCCCTAAAAATTCCTTGTGCTTCACCTACTCATTCTTTCCTCCCCCAGAACCCATAGCAACCACTGTTCTTTTTACTGTCTCCATAGTTTTGCCTTTTGATAGTATTATATAGTTGGAATTATACAGTATGTAGCCTTTTCAGACTGGTTTCCTTCACTCAGCAATATGCATCTAAGGTTCTTCCATGTCTTTTGGTAGCTTGATAGCTCATTTCTTTTTATTGCTAAATAGTACTCCACAGTATGGCTGTACCACAGCTTTTTTAATCCATTTACCTACTGAAGGACATCTTAGTTGTTTCCAAGCTTTGGCAATTATAAATAAACTCATAGGTTCTTGTCGGGATGTAAGTTTCTAACTCATTAAAACTCAATAAAATTTAATTCATTATAACTCATTTGGGTAAATACCAAGGGGCACAATTGCGGGATCATATAGTAAGACTATTTAAGGTAATATTTTTTAGTTAAGAGCTTTGTGAGAAACCACTGAACTGTCTTCCAAAGTGACTATACCATTTTGCATTCCCACCAGCAGCAGATGGGGGTTCTTGTTACTCCACATCCTCACCAACATTTGGGCTTGACAGTGTTCTGGATTTTGGCCGTTCTAATAGGTATCTAGTGGTATCTCCTTGCTGTTTTAATTTGCAATTCTTTAATGACATATGTTGTTGAGCATCTTTTCACATGCTTATTTGCCATCTCTATTATCTTCTTTGGGGAAGTACCTGTTCAGATCCTTTGCCCATTTTTCAATTGGATTGTTTGCTTTCCCATTGTTGAGCTTTAAGAGTTACCTGTATATTTGTAAACCAGTCCTTTATTGTTTTGCTAATATTTTCTCCCAGTCTGTGGTTTGTTTTTCATTCTTAAGATATTAACATTTTAAACCAAGGATATATTGTATAGAAATCCATTCTCATTATTTGGGGTGGTATCATAACTATTGCAACTTTAAGTGTTTTCAAGTATTTTACAGTAAAAACAAAAACAAGTCACAGGAAAAGTAAATGTTTTTAGACTGGAGATCTTAATTAGGCTAGTTTAAAGAGACTAACTAAATGAACGACTATAAATTAAGATCCCAGAAATTTCCAAAATGACAATGTAATCAACAGATGTTGGAGTCTTAACAATATAGACCCAATGTTTTATCACTCAGTTGTCCTCCACAGAACAAGACAATCCACCTATAAAGGAATCGTATTATTTGGGGGTGTTAACAGCAAGGAACCTTGGATCTTAACTTTCCTCAACTTGGTCAGTCAGGCCTAGAAAGATGAACATGACCCTTGTGTGACTTCAGCAGCACCAAGCTGGATTCCTGTCTTTTTTTCCACCCTCCACAGTAAGTGGCTCTGCGGCATTTCTCAAGAGAAAGAAAAGTGAAGATTTTCATCAGGTGAATGATTGCAACTTGTGACTAACCCCTTGAATGATAGTTGAGGTCAAAACTCTGACACTCAAGAGAAAGAGGTGGGGTCATAAGTGTAGCTTTGAGGCTATAAAGATTATAGCAGGCATTCTGTTCAGAGTCCTTGCACCTGCAGGCTGACCTGTGACAAGACAAGCTAAACAAAGATCTTTTATCACCTGAATTCAAAAGGTAAATGCAACTCAATTCTTAGAGTTCTTAAACCCATAGGCAATGATTCTATGATAAGCCTGTAAGTCTGCATTACCAAATCAATATATGACCAGATGATGCTGTTAGTCAAATGATTTAACATAGTCCTAAAAATATATCCCTAGCTTATTACTATCCATCTGTTTGGCTGGTGCTCTCTCACAAACCAAGTAAATTACCTGCATCATTCACATATAAAAATACTACCCAGCCTCCAGCAACAATTTATGCTTACCTTTTCCCTCCTAAAAATTAAAATAAAATTAAATTTAATCATTCTCTTAATCAGACACTATTATTCCTAGGGAGATTAACTTTAAAAGTATATTTTACAAGTATATATTAATGAATATATAAAAAATATAAAATGCAGAGTTATAAAACTTAATTTCAAGACTGGCAATTTTTTAGTGAAGAGTCACAGGGAATAAAATTTAAATGAGTAGCAATGACTAATGCAGTTTTCAGAGGAGGCTATAATTTCTGGAAATGTTCTACTGGTTTAAACTGTGGGATAGTAAGTGCTCAGTTCTAAACCGGACTTTTTATATATTTTAATTTAAAAATAATTAAAGTCAATGAAATGGATGACAAAAATTTGCTACCTTAGGAAATATCATTAGATTTGAATTATTTGTTGTGGTAATAAATCACATGATATCCTCATTAATATAAACATTTATTTTTTAAAAGCAAGTTTTTAATGCAATAGTCTTTATGTATGTATGTATATTCCTACCTTCTATTTTATTTCATTGATTTTAGAGGTCCCAAGCAAACTAAACCATGATGAACTTATCTAGATCAATTGCTAAAAGTATTTCTATAAAAAAAAAACAAAAACTGCTTTGAACTACTTCCTTTTTATTCTTTTTATGTCAAAAAGAACTTACCTTTTAAAAACTATAACAAAGTTGAGTTTTGTTCTGTAAAAATCTGTGAATCTACAAATAAAGATTCTTGATAGACACTAAGGGGTTAAACAAACTCTGTTGTTGCAAGGAGGCAGGAAGCTGTCAGCATTTCATGCTGCTGCCACAGGCAATGCCCAAGGCCTGGGTCAAGGTTGGAGAACTTAGCCTTACTTTTCCCACCCTTCCCTCGGTAACACATTACCAAGAGCAGCACAGCTACAGGTCAATTTTCCTGTGTATGACAAATGACTATTTGCAACTTTACGATCTAGTTCTGCAAGTAAAAACAACATGCAGAAAATTCTAGACATACAGACCTTGCCCATCTTAAACTCTTCAAGAAATTCCTTTCTCTAATTCCAAGGTAAGGCCTTTCCTTACCCCCCTGTTTTGCATTAGCTTTTATATTTCTGGTAGGTTATTTCCTTAAACATCTGAAGACAAGCTATTATCTATGTGGTAACAGCACACGCATTTTAAGAGGGCATAAGTCCAATATATCAATAAGGAAAATTTGAAGTATATTTGAAGCAACTACTACAGAGGACCTATCGAGTGCACACCATCTGTATTCGGGGTTCATAGTGACCTAGTAAATGCTGATACAATTGCACCACTTGTCCATAGCCACCATCTCTTCTGAATGACTGAGCACCTGTTCTGATTAGTTGGTGTCTCTGTCATACCACTGAATAAATATTTTGTGTATCATGTCTGTATGCAACCTGAAAGAGGAGCACTTACCTTCATTTTTCCACTGTATTTAGGGTCAGAAAGTGTTTCAAAGGCTGCATCTTTGCTTTTCTGCACAAAATCTGGGAATCTGGAAAATACCTGATCACATATCCTTTTGATAAGTGTTTCCTTGAAGGGAAAAGGCAGAAGAAAAGATATTTCCACTTAACACATTCAAACCTGTATAAATTGAAATAATTTATGAAAAAAATTCTTTTTAGAAAGAATGTATTACTTTAAAGATTTTTGCTTCCCTAAGTCAGACTAAGAATTCAAAAACTCTTAAAGTTATATGTTAAACGTATGGCACTGAATTCTTAATGATGTGGTTATTAACTTGATCATTACTTTTCAATTTTTTAAGATTTCCAAAACAAGGTGCTAAATACTCCCAAAGAGTAAAGAGTACTATCAAAGAACAATATCAAATTCTTATGAGATTTCAAAATTACATTTAAATGGCATCAACTATAACAGAAAAAAATATAAAATCATTACAAAAACATCTTTTCATTTATGTGTGCTCTAGAATAAAAGGAAACAACCAAAGTAAACTTTGAAATTACTGATTTTTGCCAGTTTGGTAAACAGCCCTAATATTTAATATACAAATTATTATAAATCCTCATTTTACCCAGTAGATTAAATACCATTACAGACATTATTAGAGGAATAGAACTGACCCATCAAATATGTTATTTAGTAATTATACCAAAGACTGTTTTGAAAAATAAAGATATGAACATTATTAAAGGCATAAAAGATAGTTCTTATTTTAAATTAAGCTTAAATTTGTTCACTTTGATTAAAAACTTAAGTGCACATACTCCTTGATATCTACATTTAAAAATAAGCAAATCAGTTTCCTCTTAAATTTCATCCACAAAAACTTTATTTAATAACTATTTTAAAACTTTATAAAATATTCACAACAATAGCATCACAAAGAAATGTAAAATGCTAACCAAACCTGTTGTTTGGAAGTACTAGCAGCTTGCAGTAGCGCGACATGGTTAGCTACCTTCTGAAGGACTGTAAGGTAACTGAGATACAAGGTTTTCACTGTTTCACCATGAGAATTGGTCTGTAACCAGAAAAATATAGAAAATAAAAAGGACCAGCATAGCTATGCACCTGCTTACATCATAAAATGTATCACTTACAATAACATTTATTATCGGGTTACTTTGGCACAATAAATTCCAAGAAAATGATGGTCAACTATTGCACAAAATATCCACAAATAGCTAATGTGGAAGCATACTTTTGGTAAATCATAATACAACTATATTTTTCATAAAGGGAGAAAATCCTTATTACAGAAAGTATTTATCCTCATGACACACAGTGATGGAAATGTTGCTGTTACGAGGTGCCTGGTAACAAAATCTAAGTGCAGTGGCAGTGCTATGCAGACCCCTTCTCATTTATGCTCCAAGGCTCCTAGGAAACTGGGCTATTACAAAAAAGGGAAGTAGTTAAAAACAGCAAAATAAATGAGACCAAATAAATATCAAACTAGATAAATATTCACTTAGGGTTTCTCTACGTACACAGATATGTGACATAATTTAATAAAACAGAGGTGAAACATGAGCAGGAAATATAAACAAAAGGTTAGAAAAAGTACAAATAAATTTTGTTTCTTTAAAAAAAACACTTTCTTTGATACTCAGTTTCTATTAAATTGACACTATATCTAACATCAGAATAGTATTTTAAGCCTCCTATACAAGAGTATGTTCGTTTACTATTAGTGGATAATGAGAAACTTCTTGAAAATGAAATGAAATTTCAAAATGAAAGGATACTTCCCAAGAAAAGCTAAAATGGAGGATATCAAAATTAAGCTTACTTTCTGCAATTAACTTTTTGAAAATATATTTGAATATTGTATTTTATATGTGATTACTATTTGATATTGTAAAATATTTTTGAAAACTATTTTTTAAGACATAGCTTTAAAGAACTGTCTGAGGAAAAGGTATTTTATCATCTGCTACTTTCTTTTACACTAGAAGAGAGTACTATGTAATCAAAAGCATGATTATAAAGATATATTGAAATGCTTGCCTTATAACAACAATTTCTCCTTTTTTGGCCACTCCTACAGGTACAAGGCTCAGAAGATTGAAGTATCAAAGTCACGTCCTCTGTTTCTAACACTGTTTGATAGACAGCTTTCTGGAAATCTGTCAAAGAACAATACACCATCTGCCAAGATAAAATACAAGGTAGTTATTAGTATTTTGTTTATAACAATAATAAAAATCATAATCTACATCTGATTTCATAGATTATAACAGTGAAAACTGGCCGGGCGCAGAGGCTCACGCCTGTAATCCCAATACTTTGGGAAGCCAAGGAGGGCGGATCACAAGGTCAAGAGATAAAGACCATCCTGGCCAACATGGTGAAACCTCATCTCTACTAAAAATACAAAAATTAGCTGGGCGTGGTGCCACGCGCCTGTAGTCCCAGCTACTCAGGAGGCTGAGGCAGGAGAATCGCTTGAACCAAGGAGTCAGAGGTTGCAGTGAGCTGAGATCACGCCACTGCACTACAGCCTGGGCGACAGAGCGAGACTCTGTCTCAAAAAAAATAGTGAAAATTGCTATAAACTAATTTTTCCCTCTATTTACATCATTATGATGATTTCTACTGACTGTCTTATATTCTTTGCTCTCCACCCCACCCTGGATAATATAAAGTATAATTTCACTTTCAAATAAACCTCATAGAATTTTTTTAATTAAAAGAAATCATAATATGAACAAACAAATGATGTTCCTTACACAGTTGACTCTTGAACATGGATGGCGCTAGGGTGCTAACTCCCCACACAGTCAAAAGTCCATGTATAACTTCTGACTTCCCAAAAACATAACTACTAATAGCCTACTGTTGACTGGAAGCCTTAACAACAGTATAAATAGTTGAGAAACACTACTTTGTGTATCTATTATATATTATATTCTTACGATAAAACTAGAAAAAAAGAAAATGTTATTAAGAAAATCACAAAAAAGTGAAAATATCTTTACTGTTCATTAAGTGGAAGTAGGTCATCATAAAGGGCTTCATATTGAGTAGGCTGAGGAGAATAAGGAAGAGGAGAGGCTGGTCTTGTTTTCTCATGGGTGGCAGAAATGAAGAGGTGAAGGAAGTGAAAAGGAAGTCAAGGGAGGCAGGAGAGGCAGGCACACTTGGTGTAACTTTACAGAAACATGTCGTAATTTCTGTCTGACATTTCTGCTTTTCATTTCTCTAAAAAAATGTTTCTATATGGTGCCAGTCCTTCTTCCACCATTTGCTTTAGTTTCAGTGCCCATATCATAGAAGGGTCCATGTCATAAAAGAAGTCAAAAGCAGTCTCAAATAATCAGAATCCCTCTGCCACATTATTTAATGTCAATTTGTTTTCTGGCACTGCTTTTTCTGCGTCTTGTTCCTCATCGTCTGGCACTGGTTTGAAAGCACTTATCTGCATCAAGTCATCTTCGATTAATTCCTCTGGTGTGGTGTCCTGAATTTCTTTAAATTAGCTCTTGAATTTCTCCAAGATCCGTCTCTTGAAACCCTTCACCTTTTTTGCCTCTCATGATTTATTTGATTGGCTCTGTTGTAAATCCTGTGAAGTCATGCACATCTGGACACAGTTTTCTCCAGCAGGAATTTACTATTCCAGGAATGATGGCTTTCATGGCTTTTTCTATAACAACGACGGTATCTTCAAATGGTGTAATCCTTCCAGACATTCATGATATTCTATCAGGGTTCTTCTCCACAGCATTGACAATCCTTTCCATAGAGAACCAGGTGTAATGAGCCTTAAAGGTCCTTATGACCCTCTGATCTAGAAGCTGAATTAGACATGTTGTGTTTGGGGGCAAGTGGACCACTTTGACGCCTTTGATGTTGAACTCATGGGGTTCTGGGTGGCCACAAGGATTATCCAACATCAAAATAACTTTAAAAGGTAGTCCTTTACTGGCAAGGCACTTCCTGACTTCAGGGACAAAGCAGTGACATTTTTTTATTTGTAAAATAGAAACATATAAATATTTGTAAATATTTGTATGCTTATATCACTACATCAGATTATTGGCAATAAACAGGCAAAGGTGCATACAAGCAAATACAGTAATGTCTCTATAAAACAATGCTAATTTTTTTTTTCCCTAAATGCCATGTTTATTCTGTAAACAGGCTCAGAAATGTAGACACAGGCCGGGCGTGGTGGCTCACGCCTGTAATCCAAGCACTTTGGGAGGCAGGCAGATCACGAGGTCAGGAGTTCAAGACCAGCCTGGCCAAGATGGTGAAACCCTGTCTCTACTACAAATACAAAAATTAACCGGGCATGGTGGCGTGCGCCTGTAGTCCCAGCTACTTGGGAGACTGAGGCAGAATAATCGCTTGAACCCAGGGAGGCGGAGCTTGCAGTGAGCCAAGATCACGCCACTGCACTCCAGCCTGGGTGACAGAGTGAGACTCCGTCTTAAAAAAAAAAACAGACACAATTTGTAGGTTGAGAAATCTCTGTGTAGTTGTTACTTCACAACAGCAGGACTGATGATGGCTTCTGAGCATATTAACCTACCATTTTTCTGTTTTTAAAAAACACAATGAGAATGGATTCCAAATGGCTTATTTCTCTAACTGATGGTCACATTTTTCTGCTCTAGTCTTTAAGAACAAGTCGAGCCTTCACTTCAGCCACCACCTCTTTGGCTCTTAGGCCTCAACAATCCCAAGAGTAGACATGAAGCCAGTCCTAGGCCCCCCGACTTGTAAAAATCAGGCCGTCCTTTTCCACACAATTCTCAGAGTAGCTGTAATGACTTCCATTCATCATTTTGTCTTTAGCAAGTAGGTATGTTGTAACTTTACTTCCAAAACCTATTTCATGAGCCAACAGACCTGCAGGACCTGAATAAATGGTAGCTATGAGGCCCTTCTCGTTTTCTTGTTCCTTCAGTATCTCTCTCAAGGCAGCGGACTCAAATAAAATCTGTGCACCCAGATTACCTCCTGTTAGAAACATCGTGTCATTTGGTCCCTCTTTTTTGCATCTTCAAGACTGACATCAGGACAAATAACAACATCACAGCTACACTGTAGTGGGTCTTTTCCAGCCAGACCTGCAATGGTGACCTTAATCTCAGCTTGTCTCATCATGTCTACAGGGCTGACTGCCTCCATTTCCTCTGCTCCTTTAGCCAGGATGACCACAACTCTTTTGGAAGCTATTTTTATCTTTTATTTTTTAAAGACCCAAACCAGACTGAAGAAGGATGCATGGCAGCACACATCCAGCCTGCCCCCTCCTGATGCTAGATTTTTAAAAAATGTTTATATAAAATATTTAGTACAGCCTGACCCCAACCTTAAATATAAAAGTACATATAAGAAAAAAAGAGAATATAGAAGTTGGTGGTCAATGATTGAAGTACAAAGGTATCTTCAGTTATTTATTATTATTAAACATAGTACCAATTACTCAATATTTCTTATGTGTCATGCATTTCAGAGTAACCATGTGAGGCAGGCACTATTATCATCACTACCATTTAACAGAGGAAGAAACCCAGGTTCCAGGGCCTCACAAATTGCTCCAAGTCACAAAACTCTAAGCAGAGGTGCTGCAAGTCACAAATACTCTAATCAAATAGTATTTGATTTCAGAGGCCAAGCTCTAAACCTCTATGAACAATTCTTTTCTTATACTTTTGTACTGTTCCTACTAGACAGATAGCTAAATCACATATATGAAGTTGCATAAAACATTTTTAAAAGTGAGAGTTCATGAAGTATCTCAATTTAGTAACAATATTTGCTTTAGATAAATATCAAAAGTCAGATGTATCTATTTCCCCAACTTGCATATCAATATCGTATTTTCCTTTCAAATCTATCTTTTTAAAGAAACAATCAAGAGGATACACTAAAATTAGAGGGCATTTCATAGGATTGCCCTTATTTGGGACAACATTAATTAGGTTTAGTTCCATAGTAATCTACAGAACCTTTATTCCATTGCCCAAGCTAGAAGAAACACAAGATGAAGAACTATAAAAGAAGACTACTATATTTTTTTAAAATCCTCTTGAAGTCCACTCCTCATATTTTCTTGAACAATTTAACAATGTAGTTTTCCTACAAATTCTAAAAGTTAGGTTAGTTGTGTAACTGCAAATAGCATTCTACAAGAAACAAACCTATATATTTTTTAAAAAGCTCTTAACCACTTTGATCCTACAGCTAGAATTAAGGTACCAAAGAATACACTGTGTGGTGGATAGTACACAGTATAGGAAGGACAACGTGTGAACAGAAAACACACTGCAGAGAGAAGCTCTTCCTTCTTTACTGGGGAAAAACTGCATCAAAAGTTTTGATGAGGCCAGGCACGGTGGCTCACGCCTGTAATTCCAGTACTTTGGGAGACCGAGGCAGGTGGATCACCTGAGGTCAGGAGTTCGAAACCAGCCTAGACAACATGGCGAAACCCTGTCTCTACTAAAAATACAAAAAAATTAGCCAGGCGTGGTGGTGCACATATGTAATCCCAGTTACTCGGGAGGCTGAGGCTGCAGAATCGCTTGAACTTGGGAGGCGGAGGTTGCAGTGAGCCAAGATCGCGCCACTGCACTCCAGCCTGGGTGACAGAGCCCGACTCTGTCTCAAAAAAAAAAAAAAAAGGTTTTGATGAGAAATGAGTTTAATGTATACTAATAATAAACCTGTTAGCTAACAGGTTAATAAAGTCAGTAAGGAAAACAACTGAGCTCAATCAATGGTTTCTGAAATTCTGCGCGCAACAATTTTTTCCATACAGAATAAAAGGCAAAAAACTGTATTTACAAAATGCCACAGGAGACAGACTTTTTCTTAAAAAGGAAAAAAAAAATATGACCACAAATTAATAATATATACAAATGCGGTTCTTACCCGGTCTTCCTTCTTAGGCAACTGATCCTTGATAAGAGTCTTGGTGCGCCTGAGAAACCAGCCAGACATCTTTTTGGCAAGTCTTTGCATGGCCTTTCGGCCAGTGGCTAGTTCTCTCTTTGTTGCCGTGTGTCTCTGACCATGTTCTACTGGGTCAGAAAACTGCTTCTTGAAGTAGGTCCCACTCCCTAAAAGGCCTGGCACAGCCCTTTATAAAGACAATAAGAAAAATGTAAGGGCTTTATTATCTAAAAACACTAACTTCTTGCTTCTAAGAGATATACTACATTACTTGATTATCAACGGTAACAAAAACAAAAGCCAAGAAAACAGAATGTTCTTTCTTTACGACAGTTTCAGGTTCTAACTATGATATGAGGATGAAACTGGCAGTGAACATGTATATTTACTTCAGGGACCAAGAGTAATATATATAAAGATAGGTTTTCATGGGACTCTCTACTGTGTATACCACATCTGGGATCAAACACATCTAAAACCAGACAAATGACTGTTTCGTTTGTTTGGAAACTAATGATTAGCAAACAAGACCGTATTCAGCTGAAGAACTATTAAACAATTTTTTAAAAAGTGTTTTCTCTCACCAGTCCATAACACACCACAGTTCCTTCATGTTGTTCTGAAGGATGGTTCCAGTGAGGCCAATGCGGACATTACATTTCAAAGCTTTCATAACTTCTGTTACTCTAGCTTTTGGATTCTTGATTCTATGAGCTTCATCCACAATGACAGCTGACCATTCCAAACTATAAAGTAAGAAAAAAGAAGGGTGAGGTTGAGAAAACTTCCTTTCTTAGTCCTTACAATTTTAGACAGTAGCTTTCTCTATCAAAGTTTTGGAATTATTTTTTCCTTTTTACTCTTTGATGACTCCATTGGATTCTTACCCACTTAGTTAAATGGTCACACCCTTGGACAGTCGACAAAAATAAAATGCGTAGAAAAGAAAGGGTATAGACATTCTTTAATGATGGTAAAAAGAAAAATTTCATTTAAACATCACTGAAATGACAATAAAGGAATTTTTTAAAGTAACAAACCAGAAAAACAAATATAAAAGAAATAAAACTTGCAATGTTTTATTGCAATATTTTTCTGAATGAAAAATATCAATATAAACTCATGATTTTTAAAAGCTGTATTCCATAGCCCTGTCCACTAAGAAAGTTTAGAGTTGATTGTTACCCCAGTAGCAATGAGCACCCATAGTGGTCTCTTTACTGAAAGGAATGAGAGCCTCACGGAAGAATGGAGAAACAGCTGATTTCAGGCATATGTTGGGGGAAACACTGAACAGCCGAAAAGCACAGATGTATCTAAAGACAAATGCGAATATGTCCAAAGAATAGAGACGCCAGCCTAATTGGAATATTTGAGCATTGTTACAAATATTGACTACAATTGAAAATATTGAATAAACAAAAATCCAGGAGTTCTATGAAAAAAATGAATTTAAACACTTACTTCACACCACACATGAAAATTAACTAAAAACAGATCACAGACCTAAATATGAACTCAAACTTTTAAAAAATGGGAAAAAAAATTTGCGACTCTGGATTAGGCACGTATTTCTTAGATATGACACAAAACTTATAGTCAATTAAAAATAGTGTGATAAGTTGGACTTCATCAAAGTTAAAAACTTTTGCTCTTCCAATGACACCATTAAGAAAATAAAAAGACATGCTACAGACTATATTGCAAATCATAATCTGATACAGGACTTGTATACAGAATATATAAAGAATTATTACAACTCAGCCAGGCACAGTGGCTCATGCTTGTAATCCCAGCACTTTGGGAGGCTGAGGCGGGTGGATCACGAGGTCAGAAAATCAAGACCATCCTGGCCAACATGGTGAAATCTTGTCTCTACTAAAAATACAAAAATTAGCTGGGCGCGGTGGCGTGTGCCTGTAGTCCCGGCTACTCAGGAGGCTGAGGCAGGAGAATCACTTGAACCAGGGAGTCAGAGGTTGTAGTGAGCCCAGATTGCGCCACTGCACTCTAGCCTGGTGACACAGCAAGACTCCGTCTCAAAAAAAAAAATTATTATAACTCAACAAAATTTAAAACAACCCAATTAAAACATGAGCAAAAGATTCTAATAGACACCAAATGTCTATCTGAAGATATAGATGTCAAATAAGCACATTAAAAAATTCTCAGCATCATTAGTTATTAGAGAACTGCAAATTAAAACATGAAATACCACAACACACCCACTAGAATGGCTATGATAAAAATGATTAACAATATCAAGTGTTGGTAAGGATGTGGAGAAACCAGAATCCTCAAACACTGCTTTTGGAAAAGCACAGCGATTGTTCTAAAACAGATGGCGGTTTCTTAAAAAGTTAAACATATACTTAGCATAAGACCTCACAATTCCATTCCTAGGTATCTATCCAAGAAAAATGAAAACTTAGGTGCAAAGACTTGTATGTGAATGTTCACAGCAGCAAATTTGTATAGCCATAAACTGGGAACAATTAAATGTCCATCAGCTGGTGAATGGACAAAATAACAGGATAGCTGTATAATAGTACCATTCAGCAATAAAAAGGAACAAACTACTGAAATGTGCTACAATATGGATGAACTTCAAAAACATTATGTTAAGTGAAAGAAGCCAGACACCAAAGACTTTATATTGAATGGCTCCATTTATATGAAATACCCAGTTAAGGCAAATCTATAGAAAGAGAAAGCAGATCAGTAGTTGCCAGGGACTGGAGATGGAAGCAGGGACTGACTATAGACAAATAACTTTCTGAGGTGATGGAAATGTTCTACAACTAGATTGTGGTAATAGCACAACTTTTAAAATTCACTAAAAATCATTCTAACTTACAAGGGTACGTTTTATGTCAAATATACTTCAATAATCCTCAAGTCCATAGCAATATTCAGAAAGAAAGAAAGAGAGAAAGAGAGAAAGCAAGCAAGCGGGCAAGCAAGCGGGCAAGCAAGCGAAGGGTGTAAGAAACTTTGCCACCATTGTAGATGACCATTATGCTAACTTCTTACTCCAAAAATTAGTCATTAAAGAAAAAGAATCGAGCATTCACCTTGCTTTTTTAAAGTCAAAATTGTGGTTAATTCCTAATTAATGGAGAAAGCTTTCCTTTACAGGAGAATACCGGTAATTAATGTGTAGAAAAGAAATAATAAAATTAGAAAAATATTATTTTGCCAAACATAATAAAGTAACTGATTCAGACAAGAACAATTTGTATGTGCTAATACTACTAAGTAAAAGGATTGAGGGATACCAGGATATTTAAATGGTGGCAAAGTATCACTCCACAGATTATTTGATCATTACAAAGGGAGAAACATATCTTTACAATGGAGAGATCTGATGATGGTAACCTTCTTAACCTGTGGGACAAACTTGGCATCACTGACAGTGAAACAACCTGACATTAGGTACTTCCTGAAGTGATGCAATATGAAGTCCACAGCATCATTTATGAAGCATTCTTGCCAAAAATGTTTAATCTGAATCTATTTAAGCCTTTGGGCCAAAACCACTTTACTAAAATACAGATGACAGATGAATATATCTTGAGAAAGTAATCAGACAAATCTAATATGTGAGATATCCTAAAACAACTGACTGGCCTGGTCCTCTCAAAAAGTCATATAATTAAAAAATACAAGTTGGAAAAATGATGTAGATTAGAAGAATAAACAGACAACCAAATTCATCACCTGAACCTTTATTGAATCCTGCTTTATAAACATAAGATATTAAAGATGTTTTGAGAATAACTGAGGAAATTTTAATTGCTATTAATATTCTTGTGTGTGACAATGATAATGTGGTATGACAAGAAGTATCACTAGTTTTAGGAAATCCATGCTAAAATACTTAGGGATAAGGATGTCATGTTTTATGCAACTTGCTGAAATGACTCATTACCACCACCGTACACAAAGACATAGACATAGACACACACATTTACATACATTAACTTACATTTTGCCAACATTTGAATGTATATACATACATACACACACACACACAAAACTGTTGGAATCTAGATGCTCATGTACTGTTATTTTAACTTTTCTATAGGTTTCATCATTTTCTTAATATAAAGCTGAAAAAAGCTAGAAGCCTCAAGAACAAAGACAGGAGAAAAATAGCAAAAATTCTAGAAGCTAAAAAGAACATGGACAAGATGGCTGACAAAAGCAGAGACTAGTGTCCTATGCCAATAGTGGAAAAAGCCAAGAAGCAATCTAATTCATATTATTTACACATTCTTGAAAAGTTAAGAATTGGTGGCTCCAGATGCCTCTGGAAATTGGAGTCATGTAAATGTTCAATAGTCTGTTTAAGAATCCTCCCACTGCACAAAGTAGATGGGCCAGGTCATCCTAAAGCGGGCAAGAGAAGGGCAAAAATCCTAATTTTCCTTAAAAAGAAATCAATAGATGATGCTGAAAACTAAAGAAAAATTGAAAAGTTGCAGCATAAACATGTTCTTTAGCAATAAGGAAGTAAAGACTATGAAGATCAGTAAGAGTTGAGGTAAAGGTAATTGGCGGACAGTGAACTGCAGTTTTTCACTAAAAGCCTTTTATCATGTTTGGCTCTTTAAATCATATACATAATTAACTTTGATAAAAACTGAAATGAAGTAAAAAATATAACAGCAATAAGAAAAAAACTACAGCTCACTCACATTCAGTTCATAGCACGTTCATCCCCTCCACAGAGTATCTGTGATAAATGCACAGAGCACTATCCTCACAAAAACAACTTAATATTTGCTCAGGTAAAATATTAATTATTTTAAATATTTGCCAAACACAAACAAAATAAAGGCATTTGAACAAATAAATTCAACTAAATAAATAAATATAAAATCATAAACATTCCTCTAATCTTATAAATATATGATTTATAGTTACATAATTCTACTTCAGAATTCTTATTTAATATTTATAACAATATTTATAACAATCAGAAAAAAAGTCACCTAAAAAACATTTATTTGGCAACTCTTATGTGCTAAAAGTACTGAGATACAGAAATTAAAGATAAAAATTTCCTACACCAAAGAGCTTACAGTCTAAGGGGACAGACAGGTAAGAAATAATTAAAATATGACTGATGCTATGATAGAAGAATTTATTACATTTATCTAATTGCAAAACATCTTTTGGGGTGGTACAGTATATTGGTTAAAAACCTAAGGTTTGGCCAGGCATGGTGACTCCCACCTATAATCCCAGCACTTTGGGAGGCCGAGGTGGGAGGATCACTTGAGTCCAAAAGTTTGAGATCAACCTGGGCAACACAGGGAGACTTTGTCTCTACAAAAAACAAAAACATTTTCCAGGCATGGTGGCGCATGCCTGTAGTCCTAGTTACTTGGAAGGCTGAGGTGGGAGACTGAGGGTACAGTGAGCTGTGATAGCACCACTGCACTCCAGCCTGGGCAACAGAGCAAGGCTCTATCTCAAAAAGAAAACAAAACAAAACCTGAGGTCTGGCGTTAGATGGTCAAGGTTCAGTCCTCATGTCTGCCACTGACTTAGTTGTGAAGGCCTAGAAAAATTATTTAACCTCTCTATGCCTCAGATTAGTCTTCTGTCAGGATCCATGAAATAGTAACAGGCTAATTTATTAGCTTGTAAGTTTGATTTATAAAATTAAATCCCAGACCTGACAAAAGTGGTAGCTCCATATCCAATTTTACCAATAATTATATTCAAAGTGAATGGTCTAAATACCCAAATAAGAGGCAAAGATTATCCGAATGGATGAAAAAGCAATATTTGGAGACTCACTCCAAATATTAAGAACAGATATACTGCAATAAAAACAGGAAAAGCTATTTACATGCAGTAAGCATAAGACTCAGCATAAGACAGCAGCATTAGTCATACAGTCAAAAACTGGAAACAATTCAAATGTCCATCAACTGGTGAATGGACAAAATATGGGATAGCTATATAATAGTACCATCGGCAATAAAAAGGAACAAACTACTGAAATGTACCACAATATGGCTATGCTCATATCAGATAAAACATCAAGATAAGAGATATTATTAGAAATAAATAGGTATATTTTTTAAAGATAAAAGGATCAATTCATCAGGAAAAAATAACAATCATAAATGCATGTGCACCTCATAAAAGAGCTTCAAAATACTAAATTAAATGCTGACAGAGGTGAAAGGAGAAATAAACATATCTACAATTACAACTGAAGATTTCAACTCTCCTCTCTCAGATACTGTAAGCCAATCGAAAAGGAAATCAGCAAAGATAGAAAACACCTAAGCAACATCTTGGCCAATCTAGTCTTATTGATATTTATAAACACTACATCCAATAACTATAGAACATTGTTTTCCAAGTGCACATGGATCAGAAAAATGCAAATTACACTACAAGATACTACTACACATCTACTAAAACAGCTAAAACAAAAAGACTGACAATACCAAACGTTGCTGAGAATACGAAGCAACTGAACTCTCACACATTGCTAGCTGGAGTAAAACCACTGTGGAAAATGGTTTGGGAGTTTCTTCTAAAGCTAAACCTACAGTTAACCATATAATACAGTAATTCTACTCCAAGAGAAATGAAAACATATGTCCAAAAAAGGCTTACATACAAATATGCCTTGAAGTTTTATCTATAATAATCCAAAACTGGAAAAACCCAAAAATCCATCCTCAAATGAATGGGTAACAAAATGTGAATATTGATGAAATGGAATACAATGCAACATTAAGAAAGAACAATCACTGATACACTCCTCAACATGAATGAATCTCAAAAAACATGCTGAACAAAAGATGCGACACACACAAAAGGGTGCTTCCTGTATAATACCATTGACATGCTCCGTAATAGCTTAAACTCACCTATAAGTGGCAGAAATTAAAATCAGTAGTTGCCCAAGGTGAGGGTTGAGGAAAAGCCACTGTAAAGAGGTAAAAGAAAAGTCCTGGGATGATAAAAATAGTTTTTACCTTGTTTGGGATAGTGATTGCACTCATTTGTCAAAACTAGGAGTCAGTATACTACTGCCCATGGCCAAATCCAGCCCGTGGCCACTTTTGTATGGTCAGTAAGCTAAGAATAGTTTTTACATTTTAAAGGGTCATAAAAATAAAAAAGAAGAATATGCAACCGAGACTATATGTGGCCCAAAAGCCTAAAATATTTACTATCTGGCCCTTTACAGAAAAAGTTTACCAATCCCTGGTCAAGATTCATCAAATTGTATTCCTGAAATGGCATAATTATTCTACACAAATTAACTCTCATTAAAGTTGATTTTAATACAACTCTCCAGCTGGGCTTGAGGGGCTAGTTTTCACAAAGACTGATTTAATTCATCCTCTGTCATTTTCCAGATGGGCTAATTTACCCAAAGCCACATGGCTAATTAGTGATTTTTTTACTCTCTTTTTTGTGTGCTCATAAAATTTGAGACAACTATCAATTGTTCATCATTTTCATCCTATGCTAAATCATTTTAATGCTGATGTGAAAGTATCACCTTAAAAAAATTACCAATTTTCTAAACTTCGGTTGACTTTGGGGGAATATCATTAACTCCTTCATTAGCAGTAGTTCAAATTGAGTATAACTATAATGTCTAAACATTTTAAAGACTTACTAGATAACTGTTTCTAATGCCATGCTTTAATCTTCACCTAAAAGGTATAAATTGTATCCCTGTAGAGACAAATCTAGGCTACAAGCAGATGGAAACTAATGATTTTACCAAGGCCCAGCCTACTGCTGGAACAACTATGAAGACTTCAGACCTCACTACCATGGTCCCGTGACCACATTACTATAAAAGCCTTGTATTGGTTTGCTAGGGCTACCAAAATAAAATACCACACACTGGATGGCTTAAAACAACCAAAATTTATTTCCTCACAATCCTGGAAGCTCGAATTTCAAGAGCAAGGTGTCAGCAAATTTGGTTTCTCCTGAAGCCTCTCCCCTTGGCTTGCAGATGACTGCCTTCTTGCTGTGTCCTCACAAGTCCCTTCCTCTGTGGTGTGTGTGTGTCCTTGGTGTCTCTTTCTCTTCCTATAAGGATACCAGTCATACTGGACCCAGGCCCCACCCAATCAGCCTCGGTTTTAATCACCTCTTTAAAACTTAATCAAAGAGACCTGTCTCTAAACACAGTTACATTCTGAGGTGCTGGGGTTGAGACCTGAACATTTAAATTGTGGAATGGGGGTTGAGGAGAAGCGACACAATTCAGCACATAACAAGCCTCTTAATTGGTCCTTCTCCATTCAGCTTGGCTCTCCTTTATCTGCACACACAGAAGCTAAGGTATTTACAAAGTGCAAATCTGATCATTTTTATCCTATCGGTAATCTGCTGACAACACTGTAGGGGGCACTCTATTGCTCTCAGGATAAAGATCAAAATCCTCAAAGTACCTTCCAATACTCTCTATAATCTTTTCCCTGCTTATCTCACTGGTGTTACCTCTTGGCCACTTCTCCCTCACACTCTATGCTACAGTGGGTGTGTGGGTGTGGGGGTGTGTGTGTGTGTGTGTGTGTGTGTGTGTAGTTTTTGCCCCTCTATATTCACAACAGACTCCCATAATTGAAATAATTCATGAAAATTACTGACCTAGTTCAGAGGCAGTGTCTGCATAAAAGGCTGTACATGAGATTTAGGACAAGTCTTATCATTCTTTAACAATCAGTGTTTGAAGAAGTATCCTGTATTCAATGTAAGAAATAGAATAAGAAGTTCTAGAAAACCTGATGCAGGTTTTTCCTTCTCAGAGAGTAAGTTATTATGAACTAAATATTTCAATAATTCTAAAATGAAATTAAATCAAGCAAAGGAATCATCATTATTCCTTTTTAAAAAATCACAATATAGGCTTGGCACGGTGGCTCACACCTATAATCCTAGCACTTTGGAAGGCTGAGGTGGGTGGATTGCCTGAGCTCAGGAGTTCGAGACCAGCCTGGGCAACGTGGCGAAACTCCGTCTTTACTAAAAACACAAAAGCAAGACTCTGTCTCAAAAAAAAAAAAAAAAAAACTCTTAATATAAAGGGATGTAAGTAGACTATTAATACAATCATTCCTATTCCTATTATTCCCATTACCTGTTAAGTTCATCCAGGCATAAGCGTAGTGTTTCATAAGTTGTTAGAGCAATTTCACATTTCCTCTGCTTTACACGAATTAATTCATTATCTTTTCTGTTTCCATGTAAAACAGTGACTCTGAAATATCCCCAGGTGTCCAATTCATCCTTCCAGTTGTAGAGGACAGAAAGAGGAGCAACTATTAAGAACATCTAAAACAAGAATAAAAAAATTTTGCTGTTTTTTAAAAACTGAAAAAGAATCCCAAAGTGAAATCCACAATATCAATATCAATAGTCCTCTTCCTTAATTTTGACATCTAGTTAGTAACAATAAATACAACTGAGTGATTAGCTATATCTGGACATTGAAGATTCTCAAAAAATAATTTGCTGTTTAATTAGCTTTTTATCAGGACAAGACAGACACCTAACCTTGCTCAAAGAAACACGTGTTTTTTATTTCCCCCTACCAAAAAGGCACTGAGAAATGAGAGAGAAGTAACTTTCCAAAAGAGAGAAAAGAATAAAATCTGGATCCCAGTAATAGCTTCAAAGGCCAAGTGGGTAATGTACATACACAAGCAGGCCACGTGTTCTTGAAATATATGGTCTCCTGGAGCTCTCTTTCCTTCTGCATTTTCCTAGCCCATTTCCGCTCCCCCTCTTTCAGATACTCTCAGTTAAAGAACTGGAAAATTCACTGGAAAATTGAAGCAATCAGAAGAAAACTTCCTGGATGAACTTCTCTCAGTATCCTATCAATAACCTATCTATATTCATTTCCATATATTTTGCCCTCCCACCTGTTGCCATGGGTACGCTGCTCATGTTCTTCTCCAAAAAAACCCCTCATACAGTGGCTCCCATTCCTTCTTGCCAACCTAAAGTCAATGCTGCAGAAACTGCCCCCAATCTCCCCTACCTGATTAACTTTTCCATTTTAATGAACCACATCACCTATGGACAAGCATGTTAGAATATTTCCCAGGGTTAAAAAAATCCGAAAAACAAAAATTTTTTAAAACTTCTTTTCCTTAACCCAACATCTATCTCTATTACCTCATTACTCTACTCTCCCTATAGCAAAGATCAAGAGTTATCAGTGCTTAACTCTCCTCCTGCTCTCTCTTGAAACTCAGGTAAATGGGACTTGTGCCCTAATAATGCCTACCAAATCAGTCCCTCTGAGGATTACCAACGTAACTCTCTGGTTATTCCTCACATTCATGTACCTTTCCTGTACTAACCCAGAATCCTGCTGTCATCAACCATTTTAACTTTTTAATGTTTTTATTTCTCCCTGTTACCACTATTCCTATCCTGTTAAGTTTAATAGGGTTACCAGTACGATTATTTTCTAAAGTTTTATACTTGATCTACTTGATAGAGATGAACCAATTAAACATACTGAAAAAATTCAGTTTAACCAAGAAATAATACAATACTGCTCTAAATTCTGCTCTGTTTTCTGTGAAACATTTAACCTAGGCCATTTGTCAACTCTAAAAAGTCAAATTTGTGACTGTGTTTTGGAAAGAGAAAGAAGAAAACGAAAGAAAATCAACATGCTGAACGTGAGAGTTCCTTTTTCCCAAGCCATCATCAAGCATATGTAAGTACTTCTTATACTTGATTCATCTCAAGTATGTCCGTCCTTTGGGTGAAGGTTAATCCTATGATTTCCATTTTTAACTTTCAAATATGAAATTAGGCCTCCAATTACTAAGTCCAATTACAGTGTCTCCCTTTGATTTTTTTGTATATTACGAGATGACAATGCTAGGTGCAAATTGCATCTGAGCAGTCTTAGTAGTTTTCCACTTGAGAGGCCATTCATCAAAGGTGCCAATGAATCTAAAGAGTCCTGGCATCAGCCCTAAGATTCCAGAAGATGTTTAAAAATTAAGGTGGCAACATAATTCTTGATATTTCTTACAAACATTGGTCTTCAAAATTATGAAAGGTGAAATAATGGTTCAAAAATTCATTTTGGTAGTGAAAGATGTCAGAGAACTGAGTTATGCTATTATGCAGAGTCCAGGGAAAGTACATAAGAACTTAGCATTTCCTACAATCCAATAAATAATATTTCATTTAATAAGTCTTTTTTAAGCAAATGATGCCAAAATAATAAAATGGAAAGCAGTGTCCAACTGCTAAGTCACTACACACAAAGCAACTCTGGGAGCTATTCCTCTAATCCAAGTACTAACCAGGTCCGACCCTGCTTAGCTTCCAAGATCAGACGAGATGTGGTGTGTTCAGAGTGGTATTGCTGTAGACATGGGGGAAGGGTGATAATTCTTATTCTGAAGCTAAAATACAATTTTATAAAACTGAATATAAAATTAACACAAATAAAATTAAAATTCATTTGCTTACGTATTATTAAAATTAACAGAAGCTAGGTTAAATAATGCAACTAGAGAATACTGAATTATTTATATCTTTCAATAAATCTTGCTCAATTATTAAGGAGTTTTCTATCAAATCTGATTCCTCAGGAACCACGGCATAGAAGAATGATGTAGTGTGGACTGTGATGAGATACTCAAAGATTAACGTGACAATTTTTGTGGCAGAAGTAGTAATAGTATTAATAATAACATAACAATTATTGAGCACTTACTGTGTGCCAAGGCCTTTAGAAGTAGTTTACAGAAATTAATTCAGGGACTTTACCCAGAAACACAGATGAGGAAACTGAGGTACAGAGATATTAAGCAACACACTCAAGGTCATACTGCTATTAAGTAGCAAAGTAAGTATTTGAACCCAGGTCTGCCTAATTCTAAAACTCTTAACTACCATGACATATCCTGTTAGCACCTTCAATCAAAAAGTCTACGTCCTTGAGATGTGTAACTTTATTTACCTTAACTTCAGTACTTCATATAGTACCTAGAAAATAGAAGGTATTCAATTGATGAATGAATACATGAAACCATACATGTCAATGCTAAGTTCGGAATAATAATATATGTTCAGAGGACAGTGAGATTACAGTAGAGTTGAAACAAAGGTTCCACGTGGAAAGAAGTGTGATATCAAAATGAAAAATAAATTATACCTTTACAGAAAAATTACGGAACATAAAATTGGAATCTTTGCTAGAAAACTCAAAGGTCTAAAAAAAGCCTTGTATTTATCGCCACAACCTTAACTCTCTCAAAAATACCTAACATAATTAATTTACACCCTACTGTGTGTATAGCTGATCATTTTCTCCTTCAGTATGCTGCAGTTATTTCATATACAGAAATTTCAGTTTAGAATCCACTGTAGTCAGGGGCTCTTCCAAGTCCTTTGTATAAAAACAGCCTAATTTTTGACAGAATATCAAGTTTTGGCATTAAATAAATTAATTACCTATGTTGGGTATTTTTGAGAGAGTTAAGATTGTAGAGATAAATACGAAAACTTTTTTTTTAGTACTTTGAGTTTTCTAGCAAAGATTCCAATTTTACATTCTGTAATTTTTCTGTAAAGGTATAATTTATTTTTCATTTTGATATCACACTTCTTCCCATGTGAAACCTTTGTTTCAACTCTACTGTCACTGTCCTCTGAACATACATTATTAGTCCTAACTTAGCACTGACATGTATGGCTTCAATTATTAATTCATTCATCAATTGAACACCTTCTATTTTCTAAGTACTATATGAAGTATTAAAGTTTGGCATTATGCCAAAACTTGATATTCTATCAAAACAGAAAGTTACAAACCAGATCAATAAATATCAACTCTTGCAATTAAAAAAGAGAAGTAAATAAGAAATATAAGAATGGAAATGACAAGCAAAGTTAACTATAAATTCAACACAACATCAACTAATATATCAATAGGTTTTGAGGAGAAATTTGAGAAAATTTATTTTTCATAAGTTGAGAAAACTTGAGGAGTAACTACCAAATAATAAATTACATTATAAAGCTAAAATAACTAAAACTGTTTAGCACTGGAAGAGAAATGAACAAATAATTAGGACAGAATAATACGTCTAGAAATAGAAATGAGTTTAATTTTACACCAAAGTGGCCCTTCAAATCACTGTGGAAAAGCAGGCTTACTCAACAAATGACATTAAGATAACTGGTTAACCAACTGAGGAAAATAAAATTGGATTACTAGACACCTACAGCAAAATAAATTCTAGCTGAAACAAAGATATAAAGGTATAAAATAAAATCACACATATTATAAAAGAACCATGAATGAATGTATTTATAAATTTAGAGTACAAAAGGCTTTTCTAGGCAAACATAAAACCCAGAAACTATACAGACCAATACATGTAACCACATAAACATTTTTAAAAAATCAATAAATAATTCAAAGCTGACTCTACATGGGGAAGAAATATTTTCAAAATATATAATGAACAAAAAATTAGATTCCAGGATATATCGTTAAGGACTATTAATCAAGGACTATGATTAAAAACGAGAATTAGATTTAAAAATAGCTTTTAAACATCTGAAATGCTACAGCTTCACTCATTAAGAAATGTAAATCAAAGCAAGATAAAAATTTTAAATCTCTCAGGTAGTCATAAATTTATGTTTGCTAATACCTAGTGCAAACGAAAAGGTGGAAACAGACATTCTTATACATCACTCGTGGGGATATGGGGTAATTTAACTCCAGTTATCAAAAAGTAATCCCCTAAATCCAGCTCTACCTGCTATCCAATTCCAGTACTAAGAATTTATCCTACAGTTATTATTGCAAAAGTTGTGCATAAGGATGCTCACGGTAGCATCATGTGCAACATAATCCTCTTGGTACATATGAAGAACTAAAAAAATAGTGTATAGTAAATAAAATAATTATAAAATATTTTTGTTAAATTGTCATTGAAATTGCTTCCGATGCTGGTGTTGTGATTGCTACAAAAATCCTCCTCTTTTGCATTAATTATGAATTTTACTTAGAATCTCTAAAGCTTCATCATGCAAGATAGTAATATTTTATAATAAATTTATTATGATTCATAAAAATTGAATTTCAATCAAAACTTAGCCTACATCTAAAGAACCATTCCAAAAATCAATGTTTAAAATGTAGAGCTTGTGTCTTTTCCTTTAAGAATTTATTCTTGGCACAAAACATTCATGCATTCTTATTCAGATGATTTATTCACACTTGAAAAGTTTTTAAATGTATATGAGATGTATCGTATCACACACACATACCTTAGACCCACCACTCCTTAATTTGTAACATTCAGTTCATTAAAGGGCTTTCTTCAACAAGCTTCAACATTAATTTTTCAGAATTCAATTGTAATTCTGGCATTAGCATAATAAATACAAAAGAAATGATTTCTTCTCCATTTCATAAACTGTCTTTTTAAAACATACATTGTTTTAAATGAACCAATACAAATTTATCTTTTAAAACTTTCAAAGTTATAATTTTTGTTTGTATTTACTTCTGGGAAATACTGTAGAATGTCACTGGTGATGCCATTAAAAACTCTAAATTCCAGTTCAAATGACTAACTCAACACGTTTGTATTGATGCCAATGAAACAAAAGAACAAACATAATAAATCCATAATAGTGGCAGAATGCCTGGAAGGGCAGTACCAGCAGGTCAGAACAGTGCAGGAGCAGATGAGAACTGGCACACCTGAAGAACTGAGCAATCCGCCCTACACCTCTGAAAGCAAAAACTCCCCCTGCCCTCCCCCGCTAAAAAATTTACTTTTCCTAGAAGGAACCTAAAAACAACAACAAGCAAAACAAAACTCAACAAAACAGCTAAGGTAGTTGGAAAGACTAAGTCAAGAAAAATAATGGCCAAGTAATTTTAAGAAGGAAAAGTTACACCAGTCATCAAAGAAACTGATTCTAGCATCAGTATGCAACTTTCCCTGCATAAAGCACTGTATATATATTTTCTAAAGCAAAACTTATTTGGAAGAATTCTATGGTGAGTGTTAGGGCTCATGGAAATTTCCAAATTTCATCAATTAAAAAAGTCCTTAATACTTCCAAACAATTAAAAAAAAAATCCTTTCCAAGGAAAAAAATCGGGTTGACACTGAACTCTCATCTGCAATATGGAGTGACAGAAGATGTTTTGTCATTATAAAAGAAAATTTTGAACTTAAAATTCCATAGGCAGATAAGCCTATGGATAATCAAGTGTGAGAGCAATATACAAACACATAAAATTTACTGAAGAATTTTTTTTTTTTTTTCTGAGACAGAGTACCACTCTGTCACCCAAGCTGGAGTGCAGTGGCACAGTCATGGCTCACTGCAGCCTCAACCTCCTGAGCTCAAGTGATCCTACTACCTCAGCCTCCTGAGTAGCTGGGACTACAGGCACAAGCCACCACACCTGGCCTCTGAAGAATTAACTGAAGACGTTAAGAAAAAGTTGGTATGAACACAAAGAGAAATAAAAAAATTTAACGTTTTTCTTTCCAGATCCAACTGTTCAGACAAGAAGAAAATAACACTATTAAACATTTTAACAATGCAATTAACAAACATGATTAAATAGAAATATATAAAACCATGTGACCATGATTACAAAGAATGCACAATATAAGCAACATTTTAAAACAACAGAGACTACACAATGCACTACATCAAAGCATAAAAACTGATCCATGGATGTAATCACAAAGAAAAAAATATCAAGGCTGTTATCTGATGCAACAAAACTAGAATTGTCAAAAAGGGTTCAGCCCTCCCATCATCCTGAGCCCCAACAATAGCTATTCACTTGGAAATTTTTTAATTTCTCTTTCAAATAGTACTTGGGTAAAAGAGAATAAAAATTAGGGCCACAGATAATTTAGAAAAGACTAACGAAAAAACTACATATTAAAAACTATAGAACACAGACAAAGGAGTACTGAAAGGAACTTTTTTTTTTTTTGAGACAGGGTCTTCTCTGTTGCCCAGGCTGGAGTGCATTGGCATGATCACGGCTCACTGCAGCCTAGAACTCCTGGGCTCATGCGATTCTCTCACCTCAGCCTCCCCAGTAGCTGAGACCACAGACACACACTACCACACCTGGCTAATTGTTTTATTTTTTTATTTTCTGTAAAGACAGGGTATTCTTATGGTGCGCAGGCCGGTCTCAAACTCCTGGGCGATCCTCCAGCATCAGCCTCCCAAAGTGCTGGGATTACAGGTGTGAGCAACCATGCCTGGCCCAAAGGAACACTTATAGCTTTAAGGTAATTTATTAGAATACAAAAAGACTGAAAATAAATAAATTAAGAAATCAACTGAAGAAGGTAAATAGCAATGTACATTATAGCAAGGAATTTACAGTTCCTCCATATCTGTGGGTTTCATATCAGTGGATTCAACTAACTACAAATTGAAATACTAAAAAATTCCATCTGCACTAAACATGTACGCAGACCTTGTCATTATTTCCTAAACAATACAATATAAAAGCTATTTATGTAGACTTTACATTGCACTAAGTAAACTACAGATGATTTAAAGTATATGGGAGGATAACAGGTTATATGCAAATACACTATTTTATATCAAGGACTTGAGAATCCACACATTTTGGTACCCAAGAGAGGTCCTGGAACCAATCCCACATGGATACCAAGGGACAACTGTATATGTGTGTGTGTGATATGATACATCGCATATGCATACATACGCACACACACACACACACACACACACACACACATATATATATAAAGAGAAAAAAAGAAAGAAAGGAAAGAAGGAAGGAGAGGAACTGGAGTCAACTGAGGTAACTATTATAAGCATATTTTACCACATTATCAAATGAGTATCTTTGTTAACTTTCTTTTCTTTCATTCTTGTTCTTTTTTGAGACAGGGGTCTCACTTTATTGCCCTGGCTGGAGTGCAGTGGTGCAAACATGGCTCACCGCAGCCTCAACCTCCCCAGGCTCAAGTGATCCTCCCACTTCAGCCTCCGAAGTACCTGGGACTACTGGCACACACCACCACACCTGACTAATTTTCTGTATTTTTAGTAGGGAAGAGGTTTTGACATGTTGCCCAAGCTGGTCTTTAACTCCTGGGCTCAAGCAATTCGCCTTCCTTGGCCTCCCAAAGTACTGGGATTACAGGCATGAATCACTGCGCCTGGCCCATTCTTGTTCTATAATATTTTAAATATCTTTAAGTATTTTAATATATTTAAAATATTACTTTTCCTTCTTTGTTCTCTCTTCTATCTGCTGTCACAGTGGCATAAAAGAGATATATATAGGCTCTGTGGTGACATTTAGAACCAGGGAACAACTGAATCCAGAGCTAAAAACAGTACTTGAGCTATTGAATACTTAAAATACATTAAGAACCATTATTCTCTTCAGGATCACATTGAATCTGATACTCAGGATGCATTTATTCTACTGAAAAATAAAGAGAATTTAAAATGATAGCAATTATATCTTAAGCCAGTAGTTCTGAAAAGTTTGCATTGAAATGGTCTTTATGATAGACAAGAGTAAACTTGGACTTCTCAGCAATCTTGTACATAAGACTTGTATAAAAGAGTCTGTTTTAAAACTTGCTGTAAGTAGCTCATTACCAAATATAATAAAAGATTTCATAAAATCACTTCATTTTTATTCTTATCTGGTTTCCTGGAGGCTGAGGATAATATTTTTTAAAAGACATGTAAGTATAATATACTTTTTTATATTTCATTGCTTTATTAGAAATCTTTTTTGTAAGAATCATATATAACGTATTTATAAACATACGTTTATGAAGAAGAAAACTGAAGTATGGATATGAATAGCATTCAGTCATATGGGCAGAAAGAGAAATAAGCACAGACCTACCTAGTCTTTCTGATTCCAACTTTCCTATATTGGTAGAACTTATTTCATATTTTTTGGATGCAATTAGCTAGGCAACTTGAAATAAGTCAATGACGCACTTTTGTTACCAATATCTGTAACTATCGCCTTTTCATTCTCACATAAATAAAAAACAATATAATGAAGGTTTCAATTAACTTTACATATACATTCTGTAAGTTTAACAAATCAACCTAAGTAAATCATGTAAATCCAGCCAACCAACAGATTAAAACCTCAAAGCAAAACCAAGCTGAAATTCTGTTTTGCCATGACAGTCAATCAAATTTAACTTGGGAATAAAATTGGTAATCTTTCAAAAATTAGGCCTATAAAACAAATATTTTAATAACATCTTTAAATTCTTAGGTTTTAAAATGTATACCAATACATTTTAATGTGTGATATTTAAATATTTCTATATGCTTTTGTAATACCAGCATCATGAGTAGAATATACATTGTCTAGAGATTTTACCTTTTTTGCTGTAGAAGAAAGGGGTTCCTTTTTCATACTTCTTAGTAAAAACTCTGGCATGTTATTTTCAATATCCTCACGAGTTCCCTTTTTATGCAAAACTGCAGCCAGAAATGAAATAACCTGGGGAAAAAAGACTTTTTCAATCACTGTGTATAATGTATCATGACGTACAAAATTTCACTGCTTACATGACTATTCAATTAGTGACAAAGTATGTACAAAGAGATTTGTTGGGGGAAATAGAACATGAAATATTAGTACTGATTTTCTTTATTTGTAATAACAAACTGTTTTTCACTCTTGTAAACAAACAAAAATCCTCACATTACCATCTTTTCTTTTCATAACTTCTACCTACCCAATGAATTCTTTCTTAATTCCATCACTTGAGACACTACCTTCTTATTTGTTTCTAACCATGGAAACTATCTCTTCGTATCCTCTATCAGAATAAACTGTATACATTCTTGTTTCCATGTAGAAAATAAATTCCTTAAGGGGGATAATATTTGGCCCATAAATTTGTACACTTCTATTTATCTAATAAATATAGGTGAAATGGAAAAATGTTATTTTAAGACAGACTAATTCATTAATGTATGCAACATTTTGAATAACAGCTCATCTCCAAAAATCAAGTGAGCAAAACAGAAAAAAGGAACCATAACCTCATATAATAAATTAGAGCAAGAAATACTAAATTGATTTGACTTTGATTCAAATGTTAGCTCTGATTGCTTGGCTGCTCTGTGAAGTTAGGCAAGGGCGTTAACCTCTCTGAATAATATCTGTAAAAATGGCAAAAAATAATTTTGGCAAGGTTGTTTTAAAGATTGGGAAGAAAGGTATATGAGGTATCCATATGGAAGAAAATAACTGATCATTACCTTACAAAAATAAATAAGAAGAAAAACTATATAAAACAAAAAACTATGTGAGAATTAGAAAAATTATAGAAAAAAGTATACTTAACAAGGGTGTGGATACCTATAATCTGAATCCCAAATGATAGAAGAAAAGAAATGATACAGAAGTATCTGAAGAAATAAAAGCTGAAAACTTAACTGATTTTAAAAATCAAGCCACAGATTCAAGATCTTCTTCCAAGAACCAGAACCAAAACCAAAACAAAATGAAAACCAAAAACAAACAAAAAACCACAAGCAGGTGCTTGAGACAGCAAAATGTTTGTTAAAAGCAGCCAGAAGAAATAACAACAGATCACCTACAAAAAAGCAACAACTGGTCTGGCCACAGTGGCTCACCCATGTAATCCCAGCACTTTGGGAGGCTAAGACGGGAGGATCATTTTAGCCCAGGAATTTGAGACCAGCGTGGGCAACATGGCAAAACCCCATCTCTACAAAAATTAGAAAAATTAGCTGGGCACAGGGTGGCTCATGCCTGTATCACTAGCTACCTGGAAAGCTGAAGTAGGAGGACTGCTTGAGCCTAGGAGAATGAGGCTGCAGTGGGCCGTGACTGCACCACTGCACTCCAGCCTGGGCCACACAGCAAGACCCTGTCTCAAAATAAAAAAAAAAAATCAAAAAAAAAAAATCAAAAAACAAACAAACAAACAAACAAAAAAACAAATAGACAAGTAGCTGACCTTGCAGGAAAAAGAATGGAAGATACTATACAACAGAATATTTTCAAAGTGATAATAAAAGCAACCTATATTTTTATACCTACGGATGATATTCAAGAATGAAGGGTAAAGATTTTCAGACAACCAAAAAGTGAGCCAATTCATCACCAAAAGAGCCACACTAAAGAAACTAACTAAAGAATGTTTTCAGGTACAAGGAAAATGACTCTAGTTAGAAGATCGGTGACACAGGGAAAGATAAAGAGCAACAAAAATGGTAAATATATACAAAATATATATGTACATTGATTGACATTATGAAACAATAAAAAAGTTTGGTTGAAATCAAGTAACAGGTTAAAAGCTATGACAGCCTGTAATCCCAGCACTTTGGGAGGCCAAGGTGGGTGGATCACGAGGTCAGGAGATCAAGACCATCCTGGCTAACACGGTGAAACCCCGTCTCTACTAAAAATACAAAAAATTAGCCGGGCCCGGTGGCGGGCACCTGTAGTCCCAGCTATTCGGGAGGCTGAGGCAGGAGAATGGCGTGAACCTGGGAGAGGGAGTTTGCAGTGAGCCGAGATCGCGCACTACACTCCAGCCTGGGCAACAGAGCAAGACTCTGTCTCAAAAAAAAAAAAAAAAAGCTATGACAACAAATGTATATGAGTCAGAAGGAGCACAAGTGTAGTTATAATATTCTGAGGTCACTATGCTGTAGGGAGGAAACTAAAGTACTAATTTATGTTAGATTATGATAAATCAATGGTATCTGTTGTAATCTCTAGGGTAATCATTAATAGAAGAATAAAAGAATGTGTACCTAATAAAAGGGGATAATAAAGTAATAGGAAACAATCTACCCAAAAGGACACAAAAAAAGTGGGAAAAACATGACATGGAATAAATAAAAATCAAACAGTAAAATACTAAGTTTAAATCCAAATATACTAGAAAGCACATTATATGGAAATGGACTAAACTGTCTAAACAAAAGATAAAGACTGTCCAAATAAAATATATTTCCTTGTCATTTACAAGAAAAACTTCTTAAAAAAGGGATAAAAATTCTAATAAGAAAATAAAAATGACAGACCATGTAAACAAAAATCAAAGAAAATTGATATAGCTATATTCATATCAGATAAAGATGCTGAGACAAAAAAGCATTATGAAATTAAAGAGGCACACTTTAACTTAATATTGATAATAAAATTAGTTCACTTGGAAATTTTAAGAAGTCTAAATTTATCAATAAAGAAAAATTTATTGAAATAAAAGTAGACAAATCCACAAGCACAATGGTAGATTTTAAAATAACTCAGCAAGAACAAACAAAATAATCAGTAAAGATACAGAAGACTTTAATAACATGATTGTCAACCTTCACCTAACGAATATTTGCTAGAACACTGCACACTACTGCAAAGCAGTTTCATTTTAAGTACCCACGAAATAGTTACCAAAGTTGACATACCGGGCCTGGTGCAGTGGCTCACGCCTGTAATCCCAGCATTTTGGGAGGCCGAGGCGGGCGGATCACCTGAGGTTAGGAGTTCAAAACCAGCCTGGCTAACATGGTGAAATCCCGTTTCTACTAAAAATATAAAAAATTAGCTGGGCATGGTGGCGTGTGCCTGTGATCCCAGCTACTTGGAAGGCTGAGGCAGGAGAATCACTTGAACCCAGGAGGTGGAGGTTGCGGTGAGCCAAGATCACGCCATTGCACTCCATCTTGGGCAATAAGAGTGAAACTCCGTCTCAAAAAAAAAAAAAAAAAAAAAAAAAAAGGCTGACATATGCCAGGCCACAGAAGTCTCAATACATTTCAGTAGACAGAAACCATACAGAATATGTTCTTTGATCACAATACAAGAAACTAGAAATAACAAAAATATAAGCAGAAAATCTCCAAATGTTTGGACAGTAAGGAACAGAGTTCAAACAACTCACAATATAAATTATAAAATATTTGAATTAAATAATGAGTAACAATACATGTTGAATTTGTAGAATATGGCTAAAGCTGTACCTTAGGGACTTAAATGAATATTACAGACAGTCCCCAACTTATGATAGCTCAACTTGCAATTTTTCAATTTACAATGGTATAAAAATAATACACATTCAGTATAACTGTAAATCAAGTACCCATACAATCATTGTTTTTCACTTTTAGCAAAATATTCAATAAACTATATGAGATTCAACACTTTAGTATGAAACAGGCATTGTGTTAGATGATTCTGCCCAACTATATGCTAACGTAAGTGTTCTGAGCATGTTTAAGGTAGGATAGGCTAAGCTATAACGTTCAGTAGGTTAGGTGTATTAAATGTGTTTTCAACTTATAATATTTTCAACTTACAATGGGTTTATGGGGACATAACCCCACTGTAAGTCAAGGAGCATCTGTATTAGGAAAGAAGAGGGACTATTAATCAGTTATCAAAGAATCTATCTCAAAAACTTATGAAAATAACAGAAAATTTAACACAAAAAAGCAGAAATTACTAAAGCATACAATGAAAATGATCAACAATGCCAAATGATCATCCTTTGAAAGAATTTTTTCAATAAACCCCTGGCAAAATTGATGAAGAAAAAATAGAGAAAAGGCAAACAAAAAATATGTATAAGCCATAATAATGCTTTGCCAATAAATGTAAAATTTAGAGGAAATTTAGAAATAGAACTTATCAAAAACCAACACAAGAAAAGGAAATTTAAATACTCATAAAACCATGAAATAAACCTGAATATGTAATTATAAACCTTCCACAAAGAAAGTTAAGGGCCAGATAGTTTCACCAACAAATTCTACCTAATGCTTAAGAAAAATGTAATGCCAATCTGTAACAGACCCTTTCAGGGTTTAGAAAAAGGGGAAAATACTGTGACCTCGTTTTATGAGTTCAGCGTAACTTTGATAAGAAAACCTGACAAGAACATTATAATACAGGAAATTTACAAGCCAATTTATCTTACTCATATAGAAGCCAAACTCTTAAACAAAATATTAGCACACAGAACACAGAAATTTAAAAAAGGAAATAATATATACCAAAACCAAACTGGGTATATTCTGCAAATATAAGTTTGACTTAACCTTTGAAATTTAGGTATTAGGTAGTTATCAGCTAGGTATATTAGGCATTACACTTAGCATTCCTAACTCTTAGATTCCTTAAAATGAGAATAGAATGACCTATTTACAAGAAACATATTTTATCTGAAGCAGTACATTATTAGGTACATTGCAAGAAGTTGAGAATGTATATTTTATCATTAGAGCAACCACTAAAAATAAAAAGCAAAGAAGTATAGATAAAAAGTCAATAGAAAAATTAAAATAAAATTCTAAAAAATATCATATCAACCCAAAAGGCAAATCAGACTGTTTCTGAATGAACAGATTTGTATCCAAATCCATACATAAGAATTACATTAAATGTAAATGAACTAAATATTCCAATTAAATATCAGAGATTGTCAGAATGAATAAAAGAGCTGTCTACAAGGGACACTTCATAGTAAAAAAATGGTCAATTCATCAGGAAGATATAACAATCACAAAGGTTTGTGACCCTAATAACGGAGCTTCAAAATATATGAAGGTAAAACTAGCAGATTAAAAGAAATAGACACATCTGGCTTGGCGCAGTGGTTCACACCTATAATCCCAGCACTTTGGGAGGTTTAGGTGGGTGGATCACTTGAGGTCAGGAGTCCGAGACCAGCCTGGCCAACATGGTGAAACCCTGCTTCTACTAAAAATACAAAAATTAGCTGGGTGTGGTGGCACATGCCTATAATCCCAGCTACTTGGGAGGCTGAGGCATGAGAATCACTTGAACCAGGAGGCAGAGGTTGCAGTGAGCTGAGATCACCACCACGCTCCAGCCTGGGTGAGGGAGCAGGACCTTGCCTCAAAAAAAAAAAAAAAAAAAGATTTATACACTTCACCGAGAAACTTGACTTTTAGGAATCTATCCTACAGAGAAATACTCTTAGAATTCTATCCTACAGATATTCACTATTTGCTATTTCCTAAAATAGGCAACAACCCAAAAATCCTTCTCCCTAGGTCCCTAGAGGAATGGTAAAATAAGTTACAGAACATATAATCTATAGTATGCAGTAATTTATTAATTAATGAATGGGGACAATCCTTATGTACCAACATAAAAAGATCTCCAAGACCTATGTTTAAGTGAAAAAAACAAGGAGTAGAATAACATATAGAAATAATAGTCCTATTTTTTAAATTTATTTACACATACATTAAAATTACAACTTGTTCAACCAAATAAAAAAACAGATTGGACTTCATAAAACTTAACTTTCGTGCATCAAAGTAAAATAACAAGCAAATAAAAAGACAACTATAGAATGAGAGAAAATATTTGCAAATCATATATCTGATGAGGGATTAGTATCCAAAATACATAAAAATTCTTACAACTCAACAATAAAGACAATGAAATTAAAAAACAGGCAAAAGACTTAAATATATATTTCTTTCTCTAAAGATCTACAAAGGGCCAAAAAAGCACATGAAAATATGTTCAACATCATTGGCCATTACAGAAATGCAAATCAAAACCGTAATGAAATACCACTTAACACATAGTAGGATGGCTATAATGAAGAAAACCAAAAAATAACAAGTGTTGGCAATGATGTGGAGGCATAGGAAACCTGGACAATTGTTGGTAGGAATGTAAAATGTTTTAGCCATTGTGGAAAATAGTATTGCAGTTCCTCGAAAAAAAAAAAAAGAAACACTGAATTACCATAAAACCCACTAATTCCAATTCTAGGAATACACACAAGAGAAATGTTTGCATACAAATGTTCACAGAAGCATTATTCATAATAACTAAAAGTGGAAACAACCCAGAAACTAGAAAGAGGTGGGAGTTGCACAACATTCTGAATGCATTAAATGCACTCAATTAATCATTTTATATAATGAATTAATGCTGTGTGGACTTATCCTCAATTTAAAAATTACAGCTTGCATTTTTATAAGAATGCGTTTGTGTATTACAGTGTAATCAGAATTATTTTTATTCTAGAAAAAAGTTAAAAAGTATGTACGTAAAGTGTCAAGTCAGTAAATATCAATGATTCAATAAACAGGAGCTTTTTTTTGAGACAGAGTTAGGGACACACTTGTTGCCCAGGCTGGAGTGCAATGGTGCGATCTTGACTCACCGCAACCTCCGCCTCCCGGCTGCAAGTGATTCTCCTGCCTCAGCCTCCTGAGTTAGCTGGGATTACAGGCATGCGCCACCATGCCCAGCTAATTTTGTATTTTTAGTAGAGACAGAGTTTCTCCATGTTGGTCAGTCTGGTCTTGAACTCCCGACCACTGGTGATCTGCCCACCTTAGCCTCCCAAAGTGCTGGGATTACAGGCAAACAGTAGCTATTTTTAATCCCAGCACTTTAGGAGGCAGAAGCGGGCAAGCTCAGGAGTTTAAGGCCAGCCTGGGCAGCATGGTGAAATCCCACCTCTACAAAAAGTACAAAAATTACCCAGGCCTGGTAGTGCGCATCTGTAGTCCCAGCTACTCGGGAGGCTGAGGTGGGGAGGATCACTTGAGCCCAGGAGGTCAAGGCTGCAGTGAGCCAACACTGCACCACTGCATTCCAGCCTGGGCAAAAAAGCGAGACACTGTCTCAAAAAACAAAAACACATTAGCTATTTTTCTGGCATCATTCCTTAAGGTAGAAGGCTTTGTTTCTTGCATATGATCTTGTATATAATAAACAAAGTAGCTTTTGCAAATTATGTTGTCTAAAATATTATAAAAAGATGAAAAATAGGATGGTTTAAACTTGTCCTAAGTTTTAAAATATTCTAACAAAATTCGCATGTCAATTTGCAGGACTTATCACAAAGACTTTGGTGTCTGACCAACCAGTTTCATACTAGCTATGTGACACTGGGCAATTTACATAAACTTTCTATAAATTTTAATATTTTCACCAATTAAATAGAGGCAAGAATATCTAATTAACATGAATGTTTAATGGAAAATGTTTATCATAGAGCCTGGCAAATATAGGCAATATAAGTTATAACCATAGAACCATAATGTTATCCAATTCAACTTAAAATTCACTAACACATTCAATAAAAATATATTTATTACCTACTCAATACCAAGATGCTGGAATAGTCTAGGTGAAAGGCTATTTCTAGATGCTGGAATAGTCTAGATGAAAGGCTATTTCTATCATTCAGTAGTATGAAATCAAGCTGATTTGGGGTGACAGGGAAGAGGTAGTTAGGAGATGTGTTGAAGGAGCATGGTTGAGAAAAAAGTGGACAAATGAACAGAAAATAAACAGTTACTAAAGAATCCAGTGAGAGATTAATGTGCGCAAACTGGCTGATGTAGAACATAAATTAAAAGAAAGAGAACGGATACTCCACAAATAACTGAGTTTAGGCATTGGACAATTTAAATATTGTTAACACCACCTAAGTAAAAGATCTTTGATGCATGTTCACAATTTTCATTTTATAAATATTTTTAAAGTTATGTTTTCTATTTAAAAATACATCACCTAATATTAGAATTTACTGAATTCCTTGATGGTGTAAATAAGCATAACATTTTGGGTTCTAACTACCTTTTGGAATATAACTTTACACTGATCACAGAAAATTTATAATTAAAAGTATAGGTAATTGGCATATTGACTGGAAAGGGGCATGAAAAAACTTTTTAGGGTAATGGAATTGTCCTATATTTTGATTAGTATATTAGTTACACAGACATAGACATTTGTCAAAGCTCATTAAGTAGTATACCTGAGATCTGTGCATTTTACAGTTTAAGTGTACCTTAATTAAAGAATTAAAGATACACACATGCACACACACACACACATATATTGACAGATATACTCTTTTTAATTTTAGGCAACTGGTCCTCAAAGGCTACTGAAAAGACAAGAGAGATACCTATTAGATACCATAACAATTTAAATGAGGTAATATAAGATCAAATCCACTGATTTGCTCTTAACTCACCTACAGATTGTTTCATTATAGGAAAATTATATTCCTAATTGTGCAAATTCATAATTCAATTTGCTCATCTATCCAAGGTGATATACGATCTTAATTCTAACTTCATTTGTCAAATTCTCTAAAACAAAGATATGTGAAATGTTCCTTGTGTTTAAGAATCTCAGATCTTTGGAAGATATTTCATATGTGGCAGCTAAATTTATAAACTCTAAGTATAGATTAGCTTTATTTAATTCACTAAATCCACTAATGATTTTTAAAAATCTTTGTATCTCATTTAAATCATCTACACTACCTCTTAACACTACTTATCCACCCACCCCCGAAAAACTTAAGTTGAAATAGTAATAAACTTTAGTTGAGAATACAAACTGGAGAAGCTAGCTAAAACCACTAACAAACTCTTAGCTATATATTAATTATATTAATTAAAATATACTAATAGGTATTGTGGTAATGCTAGCAGCAAAGTGTCAATACACAAAAGACAGTTAGGGAAGGGAGAATGTGAAGAACAGCACAGGTGGATTTTATGGACCAGGACTATAAATGGCACTCATCACTTCTACCCTTATTTCTGCTGGCGGAACCCAGTCACAAGCTCCACTGACATGCAAGGAGATTTGGGAAATGCAGTCTCTGTCAGCTAGCCCAAACTCTAAGAAGGCAAAGGAAATATGTATTTTGGGTGGAGATCTAGCCATCTTACCACACTATGGTGGTCCAGTAGAGGTCTATCAAAATATTAATTCACAGAAGACTAAAGACACATTTACAATGAAGGTTTACAAAACTTATCTGCAAAGAAAAAGCCAGAACATGTTTTATTGTGGAATAGTTCTAAAATTGCTTATAGATGAAAAGAACAAAAACAAATATTTAAATCAGTCACCTCTAGAATAGTGAAAGGCCAAAAACTGCATTTCAGAAATGAAATATCACTCTGGGAAAGCTTTCTGTTTTTACATGTATTCCTTTCTAAACTCTGTCAAGCCAACAGTTTTATAAGTCATCTTTCCTCACAGAGTCAGCTCATGACATACTGAGTAAATCTGAGGCTGGGAAAAAGGGCATAAACCTTCCCTTAGACCAGAAGAGGAAGGCATAGCAAAAATTGTCTATTTCTTACAGAACAAAAAGAAAAAAATGTTTACTACCTTATTTTTCAACTTCCTGGGAGATACAAAGGTACAGAGAGAGTGGTTCAGAACCACACTTCAAAAGTATTTTTGCTCGCTTTGAAAAAAAAAAAAAAACCACAAAGTGCTGTTTTGAAATGGGGTCTAGCTCACTTATCTTTACAAAGCTCTCCCCTAAAATCAGAACTACATGCCAAAAGAAGAAATACAATTTTATCTGTGAAATACTAGTACATTTTTGTTTCTGCTTAAAAGGGCTCAGGGATCTGGGGGCTAATTAACCTTCCACACTGGATATTATAGCATTTTCTCAATGAATGAAAATAAAGACAATATTATTTTTCTCTTTATTACTATATTCCTGAGTGAATAACATGACTTGAGATCCCAAGAACCTTCATATTTTAGTATGTTTTGAATCTACTGAAGATCTTATTATCCAAAAAAGGTACTGAAAATAACCTAAGAAACCTTTAATTATCAGCAATCCCATTTCTCTCAAGAGTGAGGTTTACTATACATCTTTTTAATAAGACAGCCTTCAGTAATGACATTTTCAATAATGTAATATCTAATAATATAGAAACAAAAATTCAAAGAATGTCTTCATGCTTTGCAAAATTCTATCTCTGCTACTCAAAAAGTACTATTATCTTCTTTGCATAGCAGATGAGAAAATAAAATAATATGGTAAGACATATTACTGCATCTGCTTAATAGTAGTCCTTAAGATTTTGGTGTCTGTAAAAGCTAATTACCACACTACCATTAAAAACTAAATTATTTTGATTCAATGAATTTGAGCTCTTCTCTTGTGATAAACCTTTCAAATACTATATTAGAGCTATGCCTTCAGTAAAAAATAAAATTCATTAAAACTCAATTCAAAACTCAAAGTTTGGTGGGTTTCCAAAAGCAAAGTATGAAAACACCAATTTCCCTGTGGAGTCTTCTTTGACACCCCCAGGCAGGCTTGTTTCTCCCCCCCAACCCACTTACCAGACTAGATGACTCTTGGCCTCATTTCCTTTTATTACTCTTTTGTGAACTCTGTAAGGCAGGTGTATTAGGGTTCTCTAGAGGGACAGAACTAATGGAATAGAGATATATGAGGAGTTTATTAAGTACTATCTCACACGATCACGAAGTGCCACAATAGCATGTCTGCAGGCTGAAGAGCAAGGAGAGCCAGTCCAAGTTCCAAAACTGAAGAACTTGAGTCCGACGTTCAAGGACAGGAAGCATCCAGCATGGGAGAAAGATGCAGGCTGGGAGGCTAGGCCAGTCTCTCTCTTCACATTTTTCTGCCTGCTTACTTCTAGCCACGCTGGCAGCTGATAAGACTGTGCCTGCCAGATTAAGGATGGGTCTGTCTTTCCCAGCCCACTGACTCAAATATTAATCTCTTTTGGCATCACCCTCACAGACACAACCTAGATCAATACTTTGTATCCTTCAATCCAATCAAGTTGACACTCACTAGTAACCATCACAGTAGGTATTATATGCATTTATATTCATATTGGCTCTTCAGTGCCAATCACAGTGCCTGGCCCAGAGTGAGTACTTATCAAATGTCAACCAATTGAACAAATGGTTAAAAGTTGAGTAAAAGGCTTTTAATTAACTGTATTATTAAGTCAAAAGAAGGCAGTAGATGATAGAAGAGGAAAAAAATAACAGTTCTAGAATAGAAATGAAAATTATTACTTCTGTGCCTGACCCTAGATAGGGAAGTCATTCCTGTGCCTGTTTTACGTACTAAGTTAAAAAGCTGAACAAAATTATCTCTAATATCATTTCCATTTCTAAATGTATTTTTTTTTTAAATGAAATGATCATCATCCTATGTATACATATTAACACAGAGGCCAGGCACAGTAGTTCCTGCCTGTAATCCCAGCACTTTGAGAGGTCAAGGCAGGCAGATCACTTGAGCTCAGGAGTTCAAGACCAGCCTGGGCAACTCGGGAAAACCCCATCTCTACCAAAAATACAAAAAATTAGCTGGGCGTGGTGGTGAGCAACTATGGTCCCAGCTACTTGGGAGGCTGAGGTGGGAAGATCGCTTGGGCCCCGGAGGTGGACTTTGCAGTGAGCCGAGATCTCGCTACTGCACTCCACCCTGAATGCCAGAGTGAGACCCCCATCTCAAAAAAACAAAAAGAGAACAACAACAAAAAAGATTCACGTAGACCAAACATCCCTTAACCAATGTTCACTGAACTCACCAGATTAATCAAAGTTTTCTAACCCTCTGAAAAACACACCGTCTGAGCAAAGGCTCTGAAACTTTAGTGGGCCTTGGAATTACCTGAAGCATCTGTTAAAACACAGATTGCCATCCTCTCCTACTCCCACCGAGTTCACAATTCAGTATGTCTGCAGTGAGACCCCGGAATTTACAATCCTAACAAGTTCCCAGGTGACACTAATGCTGCTGACCCAAATATCCACTTTAGAGAACCACTACTCCATGGTAAGCACCCACTCACCTCTTTTCCTATCACTGAGTTGTCTGATTACCAAAGGTCAGGTTCCCAAACCTGTATACTCCAGTGAAATTGTTTATTGTACTTAAACTAGCTAATTATCACGTAAATGTACAAAAGGGATTCATTTTCAAGTTACCTGTTGAATTAGATGTGAAAATTCTGTGAAATATTGGGAGATAGTCATAAAAATCTTGGATTTTGTATTAAAATTTCCTCAAGTATCTTTAATTTTTCAGTCCCACTAAAACCAAAAATAGTAGGTGATGAACTGCATGGTGTTGAACATATCAAGGGCACAATGGACATGAGGAAATCTAGGAGTGATAGACATGTTCATCGTCTTGGCTGTGATGATCTTTTCTTGGATATGTGTATGTGGGATAAAATGTATTAATGTCTGCTATTTTAAAATGCAACAAAAGATGGATGGATATTACAAAACCATGTATAATGAAATATTAACAGAATCTAAGTGGTGAGAATATGGCTTTTCATTGTACCATTCTTTTAACTCTTCTATGTTTTAGAAAAATGTCAGAAGGTATCGGGAAAAATTAGTTCATAATCTTTGACAAAAAAAAATCTGCAACCTGCTTATAAGATAGTAGTTATTATGTGACTCCATTTTTTGCATATGTATGTTTGTGTGTGTGTTTACAGAAGTACATGTATATGTGGGCATATCATTATGTATGTTGCATATTTATCTGTGCCCTCTTCACCAGATCTGTCCTTCCAATTCACCTTAAAAATACTCAAGTCTTTCCTACCCCCAAACAATACAAAACAAACAAAAAAGAAACCCCCTCAAATTCTCGTCTCTCTCTTCACCTACTACTAGGTCACTTTTATTCCCTTTCGAAGCCATATTTCTTAAAGAGGTAAATATACGTTCTTTCTATGTCCACGTCTTCACCTACTCCATTATGGCTTGTGTCTGAAAGCTCCAGCAAAATGGCTCTTGCTCAGCATACCAATGATTTCTATGTCACTAGAACAAATGGACATTTTTCAATTCTCATCCCCTGTAGAGTGTAAAATATTAAATTCACCTACTTTTAAATTTGAAATGAGGGAAGGAAACTTTATTTGGTATGTAAAACAAGCTTTAAAAAGACTTCAGTTTCATATCATGGCCAAATTAGAATATAAAAAGGGGGAAACTAAAGGGATGAAATCAAGAAACAGGAAAAAAAAAAAAGAAGAAAAGAAGATAAAACTATAGCTCAAACAGTAAATGTCAATGGTCTATTTTCATTATCAATTAATTTTACTACATTCTGAAATTTTAGTTAACACAGTAATCATTCACATTTCTTCAACTGGCTTAGTCATATCTATAGAAGCTTTATCTATCTATAGAAGCTCTACCTTAAATGGGTCTTTCAAACCACCTATCTATGTAGAAATTATTCCCTGAGTTACAACAACAGTAACCAGAGAACTAGGTCCCCAAGCATCAGACAAATCCATCTGAGTATCAAAATTAGTGCAGAAACCATTTCCTAATCTTCAGACGGTACTCCCTCAAAGACTTGCACAGCACACTAACAGCATGTACCAGAACATCTCCAAGTCCTTCAATGATTACAGTGTATCAGGAATAGAAAATTCTGCAGTAAAATCAGCTCCTTTAAAAATAATCCTATGAACTGTAAAATAAAGTAAATTTCTTTGTAACATGGGCCTCAGAGATGAAAGACAGCCTTCAAATTTGAGACTAAAATGTGCGCAAGAATTTGAATTCGAATTGTATTTAAGCTGCAGGATGGTGGTTCCCAAACAGATCACTTTTTGTATGTAGTACCCTCATGTTTCTTCTTTTTTTGTATGTGAGACAGAGTCTCACTCTGTTGCCAGACTGGAGTGCAGTGGCACAATCTCGACTTACTGCAACCTCTGCCTCCCAGGTTCAAGAGATTCTCCTGCCTTGGCTTCCCAAGTAGCTGGGACTACAGGCGTGGGCCACCATGCCCAGCTAATTTTTGTATTTTTGTAGAGATGGGGTTTCACCATGTTGGCCAGGATGGTCTTGATCTCTTGACCTCGTGATCCGCCCGCCTTGGCCTCCCAAAGTGCTGGGATTACAGGTGTGAACCACCAAACCCAGCCTCATGTTTATTTTGAAGTTGAACATGCACTGGCTAATCAAAGAATTGTGGTAACAAACATTCTACCACAGGCAAAAACAGTAGAAGTATATGCGAAAACAGTTACAGCAGGGCTTTAATTAATTTATTAATTTTCCTCTAGTACTCATCTGTAATCTTGGTCACAGATGGCGTTACTGAAACACCACGGGTTCGGTCTAAGACCTGCTGCTCACCATACAGCCAGCCAATCACTGAGACAACACGTATTGCCAAGGAAAAATGCTTTAATCAGGCACTGTAGCCAAGGATCAGTCTCAAATCCATCTCCCTGATTAAAATTAGGAGTTTTTACAGCAGAGAAGAAATGTAACAATGTATGGGAAAACAGGAAGTTGGGAGGGCTAAGGAAGTAATCTGATGAATGAGAGGCCTGGTGTCTCACTGTCTGAATTCTACGATCTGGTGAGTTTCAGTTCTTTGATACTTTTTGAGAGGCCTGGGGGTCCTTTCCTGAGGAAGGAACTCAGATAAAACAAATACAAGTTTAAAGCTTTAGGACCAGAAGGGTCAATTTCTATGTTTATCCAAAAACAAGCAAACAAACAAACAAAACTGTCTGTGGGACTGTTGGGTCAGTTTCAGAGGTAATTTCTTGAAGGCTCCTTTCTTTATTCTTGCTGTCTATCCTCCACCTACAGGCCGGCATGCTAAATGATAGTTTGTGGAATAAACGAAGAAGGTAAATTCATTTATTCCACAAACAATCATTTAGCACGTCCAGTGTGCATGTCTAAACTATCTGCACTGCCTAGGCTTGAAGGAACATAGAGTATGGTTAATGGTAATATGATTATTAAAAGACTTTATTTTAGCCTAGTTTTTCACACCAGACCTTTACACACAGTAGCATTATTTGGCTATTTTTTTTTTCTTTTCTTTTTCCTTATTCCATCATTGGTGTCTGAAATTTGGCTATTTATAAATGTTAAATTTAGTTTTCCACTTAAACCTTTGAGTTCCAATAACTAATGGAGGTAATATGAAGAAGAAAATAAGTTAAACTCAATTATAAGAAAGGAAGCAGAATAACTTAATCACAAACTAGGCACACACTCCTGAAAATCTAAAGTGATCGTTTAGTATAAAATCTAGATTCAAAACTCTATTCTTCTTGGATCACAAACCTCTTTGAAAATCTAAGGAAAGCTAAAGACCCTGTAGCAGGCAGCTTCTGACAGGACTCCCAATAATACCCACCTCTTCATATTCCCAGTCCTGTTTAATCTCCTTCCCTTGAGTTCTGGCTGGACTTAGCAACTTGCTTCTAATGAGAAGAATGTGACAAAAGTGAAGGGATGTCTCTTGTGTTATTACATCACCAAAGACTATGACTTCTGTTTTACTAGTGCTGTCTCTTGCCCTCCTACTTGCTCTCCTTTTATGAAGCAAGCTACCTTGTGTGAGATGCCCCATGAAGAGGTCCATGTGTCAAGGAAGCAAAGGAGGCCTCCAGCCAACAGCTCACAAGAAACTGAGGCCAAGAACCCACAAGGAACTGAATCCTGCCAACAAACAGGTGGGCTAGGAAGTGAATCTTCCCCAGTCACCTTGAGATGACTGCAGCCCTGTGAGAGGCAAAGCTACAGGACCAGGCTAGGCGGCAGCTGGATTCCCAACCCACAGAAACTGTGAGACAATACATGAATATTGTTTTAAGCTGCTAAATTTGGCATAATTTGTTATACAGAAACAGATTAACTACAACAAATCCCCTCTTTAGGAAAGTATGTATGTGTACAAATTCTAGTACACATTTTAGGGAATCTTGAAGTCTCTCTGAAGTTCACAAACAGAACTGCTAGTGACCCAGGGATTCCAGATTAAGAAACTTCTAACATGATAAACTTCGAACAATATGCACAAAAGGCCTATAGGAACAATTTAACCATGCTATGTGGCATAACAAATGTTAGAATGCTTTCCTTCCATTAAGTATGAAGAAAGTTAAATGACTTCAAATATATTGATATCTTAGTACCAGTATTACCAAAGGTAAAATCAAACCAAGTGGTACCAAAACATTATTTTGGAATAAAATATTTCATAGGTACTGAAGAATGATAAAATAACTGAGACATTGTCCTCAACTTTGAGGACTTCACTATCTAGTTAGTGAGACAAACACAAACATACACAGGAACACACAAAATAGCTATCGTAACAGCAGTACAAATAAAGATTTACATATAGTATCCACTCATGTACACAGTAAAGTGACTTTACTGTTATAACATAATTAAATACCTGTACTGTTTTTCCAAGTCCCATGTCATCACCCAGAATGCACCCTCCTCCATGGATGTAGTGTCCATAAAGAAACCGGGTTCCTTCTCTTTGGTAGTCTCTCAAATACCTATTGATGGTATAAGGAATAGAGTCTCCATTGTCAGATAATTTAAAAGCAACAGAAGATGATGGAAATTTTCGGTTTGGGAAATAAGGTTTTTCTAAATCTTCATCATCAAATATAAGATTCCTAGGGCAATCTTTAACAAATTTCACTTCTTGAAGCTGTTTAAGAGGTATTTTCCTTTCTTGAAAATCTGCATATAAGACGACTGCAAATGACTTGCCATTTTCATCCACTGTGATAGATTTTATGCTTGCTTCACAAAGTTTTCCATTATCTGGAGAAGGGGCAAGACATCTTTCTCCTGGATGCCATATGTCTGCAAGAATAAAGAAAATAAAGTTTCCAAAGCTAGCTTATAAAGTAACACCTCATTTATTCACAGCTGTGAGAAACAATATATACCTCACATAAATGCCTTTTCCAAAAAACTGGAACAAGATAAATTCTAACATGTATAGATATTTTTCTAAAATAGATTTTCAGATATTCTCCTATAATAAACAGAATAAAGGGTACATACTTTATTTCCAGTGGTTCTTACCCTAACTGTGTGTCATCATCTCCCCTGGAGTTTAAAAATATACATTCTTAGACACCACCTCTAGTGATTCTTATTCAGTGGATAGGGGTCACGGGCATCTGGTTTTATTGTTTTGTTTGGTTGTTATTGTTGAATTCAAAAGATCATTCTGACGCACAGCCAGGGTTGAGAGCCACTGACTAAAATATTCTTCCTGACTCATGAACATATATATATACATATATTTCATGATATGGTAGAGTAATCGTGAATAGGACTTGGTAATGAGTAAACTAAAATCCTCTGGACAGCAATGCTTTGTGGTTCATCTGTCTTTTTTACAGTTATTCCATTGCCTTTCTCTAGAAACAGCTGTTTCTTTTCACTGCAATATTGTTGCCTCTAAGCCTTTACTTTAACCACTGCTTGTATACAGCTAACCATGGGAACCTCCAATTCAACTACAGTGATGTCACAGCTTTTCCTCTTCCGGGTTTTGAATATTTACTTTAAGAGATGAATTCTAAGATCTCTTTCTGCAAAGATCCTATTACACTTTAAAGAGTATTACCTCTCTCTTTATGAACTTATTCTGTGACTAACCATACAGCTATTTTATTTTCCCAGAAAATATACCACTATGAATGAGGAGGGAGTCCACAGTATACTATTGGTACAATTAAAAAGTATCAAATAAAGAAAACTAAGTAAAAATAATTTTCCAAATGGAATTTCTTATGGCAAGAATCCAAAAATAATTCTATGGCTACAAACATAAGAACACTAGGAATTATTTTTCCTATACATTTCTCACTGAGATCAGATAACCACTGGCAGTTTCCTAGGGTCTTCCTGATGACCTCCAGTTAGATATTTATAACTACAACATGACATGTTTATACTATCTAAAGCAAGAATAGCTCATTAAATTCCTCATCCATCAGTTGTTCCTTAAAAGTAAAGCCACTAACTTTGATGAGGTTATTTTACCATAACAATAATGAGTACAGAGGGAAAAACCTTCTCTCCCACTCTACTCTCTGGACCCAAACTGTTGACAACTGTTACACCATTCTAAAAGAGTGTTTTAATGTCAAACTAAAGCCTCGATCCACTGTACAAGTAGAACAACATATAGGTCAATGGGCCCAATTTTCATAACAGTACTATTTGCACCTTAAAACCTAAAGCAACCCTTACAGCAATTCTTAACACATTACTTATATTTCCCATTATGTGTTTGCCTACCCTATCATTTCTTAAGACTTATTTTATTATCTATTATTCAACATATGTGATTTAAGCACAAATTATTCACCAAATATTATACCACACAATGGGTATAAAATGAAGAAAACTAATGTCAAAAATGATGGTGACTAATAGTCTTCCTGCATCTTATTAACTGGCATCATCTCAGAGAAATGCAAATCAAAGCCACAATGAGATACCATCTCACACCAGTTAGAATGGCAATCATTAAAAAGTCAGGAAACAACAGGTGCTGGAGAGGATGTGGAGAAATAGGAACACTTTTACACTGTTGGTGGGACTGTAAACTAGTTCAACCATTGTGGAAGTCAGTGTGGCAATTCCTCAGGGATCTAGAACTAGAAATACCATTTGACCCAGCCATCCCATTACTGGGTATATACCCAAAGGACTATAAATCATGCTGCTATAAAGACACATGCACACGTATGTTTATTGCGGCACTATTCACAATAGCAGACTTGGAACCAACCCAAATGTCCAACAATGATAGACTGGATTAAGAAAATGTGGCACATATACACCATGGAATACTATGCAGCCATAAAAAATGATGAGTTCATGTCCTTTGTAGGGACATGGATGAAACTGGAAATCATCATTCTCAGTAAACTATCGCAAGAACAAAAAACCAAACACCGCAGATTCTCACTCATAGGTGGGAATTGAACAATGAGAACACATGGACACAGGAAGGGGAACATCACACTCTGGGGACTGTTGTGGGGTGGGGGGAAGGGGGGAGGGATAGCTTTAGGAGATATACCTAATGCTAAATGACAAGTTAATGGGTGCAGCACACCAGCATGGCACATGTATACATATGTAACTAACCTGCACATTGTGCACACGTACCCTAAAACTTAAAGTATAATAAAAAAAAAAGCTGGCATTTAAAAAAAAACAAAAAACTGGCATCATCATCTAACCAACTTTTCAAGGTAGAAAACCATTAGTCAGCCCTTAAACCTCATTTAATATTACTCCTTACATCCAATCCATCAGAATATCCTGGTTCTACTTCAAAAATGAATCACTTTCCTCCATGCCACTATCTCTCTAAAGCAAAGGCTGGCAAACATTTTCTCTAGAGTCAGTTATTAGCTATTTGTTACTTTAGATTTTGTAGGCCATACAGTCTCTTGCCCTTGTAATGCAAAAGCAACCAGACAATACATAAACAAATGGGCACAGTTGTGTTCCAATAAAACTTTATTTACAAAAAAAAGTGTCAGACCAGTTTTAGCCCACAGGCAGTAGTTTGCAGACCTCTGTCTTAAAGCATGCCACCATCAACTTTCCCTAAATTATGCCTAACCAGTCTCTCTGCTCCCAGTCCACCTATTTAGCGTAGGGTACCCATTATTCTCTATCTCATCATTTTATTGCCTCTGTAGCACTTATCATAACATTTAATTATCATGTCCACTGGTTTTTTGTCTTTTCCTTCCAGTAGAGAGTAATTTCCTTTCCAAGAAAAGTTTGTACTGTTATAAATTTTATCCCCAGGACCAACACAGAGTCACACAGCAGACATTCAGTGAACATGCGAATTTATTACACATTCTTTTTTTTTTCTTTTTTTTTTTAGACAAGAGTGTCTCTGTCGCCCAGTCTGGAGTGTCATGGCACAATTATAGCTCACTGTAAACTCCAACTCCTGAGCTCAGCCATCCTCCCGCCTCAGCCTCCTGAGTAGCTGGGACTACAGGTGTGCACCACCATGCCTGGCTAAATTTTTTATTTTTAGTAGAGACAGGGTCTCGCTTATGTTGTCCAGGCTGGCCTCAAACTATCCTCCCGCCTAAGCTTCCCCAAAGTACTGGGATTACAGGTGTGAGCCATGCGCCTGGCCTATTACAAATTATCAATCTCACAAATCCTTGATATCTTGCGAGAAAACTAAAAAGTACACCAACATATACATAACTGTAAAAACTGCATTGGAAGAAGAGTGCTATGAGAAGGGAGTATTGAGAAATGTAATTTAAAAGGGAAAGGGGTCTAAGAACTGTATCTCAGATAAGTGTACAGCATGTGCAAAAAAAAAAAAGCCTTAAGGGAATCACACAACTTATTGGAGTATTTTGGGTTTGAGTTCGGATAATTTCTAGGACGAAATAAATTCAGTTGAGTTAGAAATGGAATCTCTCAGTATCCAAACTACAGAACAACTGCTTAAATTGTTAAGATTTCCTGTTGGATTTAACAGGGAAATGGGTTAAGTGTCCTAAAATTTAATGAGTCGAAATCATTTGTTTTGGTTTAAACTAATTACCAACTCAACTCATTCTGGTGATAGGGTCTCTCTCTCCCTCTTTCACTCCAAAGGCCTCCTCAAGCATTCCTCAAGGGTGTTCCCACCTCGGGGCCCTGGAGCTTTCTGCTCCTTCCACCAATTTCCCTAAATACCAAGAGTGACTAGATTTATCAAAAGGAATGAGCCTCCCAGTCACAATATCCACTCGGCAGCTTCATCTATTTTTAGCTGCCAGTCTCCTATAGGTATTTATATGTTTGGTCCCTGAATTACAGCGTCATCAATTCCTAGACCTCAGAATTCAGGCTTGTAACTTGCCCTCTCTGAACTTTAGCTCTGAATTCATCTATTTAATGAGATCGATATCTTCCTCAAAGGAAAGCAAGTAAACAATCAGCATATTGCTGGGCTCAGGAAAATCACTCAATACCTGGTAGCTTTTGTTATACAGCACAATTATTAATGAAAACTACTCATTTGGGTGCCAGAAGGCATCCCAGGTGACTTGTGGTAGATAATCACACCTTCTTTAAACCTCCTATTTAAGGCAGAATATAATGCCCTGACTCAATAGGCAATAAAACTCAACTGAACTAAATATCTCAACCTTCATTTATCTACTTACAACAAACTTCTGCCATTCACTAACAACTGGGGCATACAAGAATAAAGAATGAAAATAACATTTACTGAGTGCTTAATATGGGCCACACGCGGGGTCACATAAATACTTTGCGTATTCCCCACGTCATTTAATAATCGCAAGAACCTAGTAATGAACCCAGTTTTACAGATGAGGAGCCTGCCCAAAGTTGCTCAGCAAGTAACTGTCAGAGGCAGCACTAGATCCCAGGGGCTGACTCCCGAGTCCAGGTTCTCAACACTGAATCGGAGATTTGGTTCCAGGCCTGGAGGGGTTCACAATCTGCAGCTGTCACTGAAGAGGATCTACAGGGCAAAACCCCAACCCGAAGGGCACCGGCAAGAACTGGTCCAACGCGACGCAGTACACAGGCCTCTGCGTAAGGGGCGAGCGCGGAGCTGGTACCTTTGCCTGAGGTTTCCGCGCGGGGCTGTGGCGCCGACGGATCCATCCGGCCAGGGGGAGGGGCCGAGCCCGGCTGCATGTAACACCCGGAAGGCGGCGGAGGACAGCAAGGTGGCTGGCCGGCAGGCCAATGGCGGCCAACGCCACTTCCGGCCGCCCTCCGAGCATCGCTCTTCGGCAACCCGAAGCCACAGGATGGAGGAGGGGGATCCCAGCAAAGGTAGCGACTAAGGGGACCCAAGCAGAACGGGAGGGCGACGTCCGGAGCGGCGGCAGAGCCAGGGGACGCTGTGTGAGGCTGGCAAAGCGGTGTTCACCTAGTTCTCTCGGGCTCCGCCGCCGCCGGAGGAGGACAGGAGGCCGGCAAGGCGACCCCCAAATCTTCCTAGGCTCTGACTTCCGTCTCCTAACCCCCGCAAATTCCAACCCGGTCTTGGAAAATCCCGCGAGAACGGGCTCCCGAATTGTCATTGGGATCTCGCGAGAACGAAATCTTCCTTTCTGTGGGCGGAGCAATCTTCCCGATGTCTCTTCCCTCTGAGGCCAGTAGCAGGAAGGGCCTCGGGAGTTGCGAGTGTCGCGAGGTTTGAGGTCGCTCGGTGGGCCGGGCGCTGTGCGAAGCTAGAAATAACTGGGGGCATGGAGAATGCGGTGGCTGTAAAGGGCCGCTGAGGCGGTGGAGGCCTGGCAGAGAGCGTCCCCGCGGTCGCGGCTTCTGGCTTCTCTGTGGAGCTTGGTTCTTCCGTGGTGGTGCAGCACCCCAGGAACTTCAGGAACCAGTCCTTCCTTGGAGAGCTCCCCGGGACAGCCACGGGGGCCAAGTGAAACTAGCGCGTTTTCTTGGATCCTACACTTTATAGTGAGTCATAAATACTTTAAATACAAAGCCAACAACATTTGCTGCAAATAAACGTAAAAATACTGTTAAAGTGTAAAGTGTTTTCCTCCGTACCATCTGACGTTTCTGGCGGTTCGTTGAACGCGAGAGAACGCTGAGCCGTCTGCACTGAGCCCGGGAGCATCTTCAGGGCAGCGCCGCCCACGCGCGAGGTGAATGAAGGACACGGCCTCTTGACACTCCCAGGCAGCACAGATAGACGGATCCGTAAGTGGCTCCCGCGCATGTTAAAATTTGTATACTGTAAGGTATTTCATGGATTGAGTGAAATACCTGACAGGGCCTGTATCCGTTCCCTATTGCCACAATAACCAAAAACCACAAACTTTGTAGCTTGAAACAGCACAAATTTATCATCTGACAGACAATGCATTTATTATCTCACGGTTCTGTAGATCAGAAGTGCTACCTGGGTGTCACCCGGGCTGCACTCCTTTCTGGTGACTCCACAGGACAATCCTTAGCTTGCCTTTGCCAGCTTCTGTCCACATTCCTTGGCTTTGGTCCCTTCCTCCATCTTCAAAGCCAGTGATATGCCATCTCTCTGAACCTTCCATCCTCAAGTCTACCGCTGATTGCAGCTGGAAAAGATTCTGAGGGCTCACCTGAGTAATCCAGGATCATCTTCCCATTTCCAGGTCTCTGCCCTTGATCACATCAGCAGAATCCTTTTGCCATGTAAGCTAATATATTCACGAATTCCGGAAATTAGGAGATAAACATCTTTGGGGGATCATTATTCTGCCTACAGTAGTGTCTTAAGAAAACAATATGGCTGTTTGCAAATAGATCTCAATTCTATGGCAGATACTAAAAACTAGTAGTATGTGTTCATAAAATGCTTCATTTAAAATATGACTTGTTTGCTTACCAGCAGGCAATAACTTTAAGCCTAAGTGAAACATCTAACTCAGCCATCTATGTGTGAGTTGTTGGCCAGATCACTTCTCCGTGTTTTATTGTACTCACCTATCACCATTACAGTGAAGCTAATAATAGTAAACTACCTAAAAATGGTAATTGTAAAAAATTAGATAATTAAGTAAAACTCCTAAAACAGTAGCTGGTCATAGTAAGGAATATATGTGTTGTTATTACTATTATTATCAATGGAATGCATCCACTTGAAAGTTGCATTCTACATAGCCATTATGTCAGTTTAATATTTTGGCTAATAGGCCGGGCGCGGTTGGCTCATGCCTGTAATCCCAGCACTCTGGGAGGCCAAGGTGAGCGGATCATGAGGTCAAGAGATCAAGACCATCCTGGCCAATATGGTGAAACCCCGTCTCTAATAAAAATACAAAAATTAGCTGGGCGTAGTGGCACATGCCTGTAGTCCCAGCTACTCAGGAGGCTGAGGCAGGAGAATCGCTTGAACCCGGGAGGTCTATAGAGGTTGCAGTGAGCCGAGTTTGCGCCACCGCACTCTAATCTGGCGACACAGCGAAAAACACTACTAATTATAATTGTAATTCTTGATTCTGACATGCACCCTGATATTGGAAATCTTAAAATCTAGAAAAATCTGCTGCTTGTTATTGATGGATTATATCTCTTTTCACATTGTCTCTAAAATCAAAATGGCAAATTGAAATTTTAATCAAGCTTCTTTTTTTCCCCTACAACTACCAGGGAAGAAGTTTGATTTTTTTCCCCTCTCTGAAATGACTAGTTGTGTAATTTTGTCTTATTTTTCCAGAGGTCCATTGAGTTAAGATGTAGCTCTTGACAGAGCAGACCTCTTAATAGAAGTGATAAGCAAATTCAGAAATAAATTTTGATTTAAATGGGAGGTATCATCTGGTTGAAGGAATACCCTTGTGACTAACAAAAGAGGAGGATACCTCATTTTCTTTTTTTTTTTTTTTTTTTTGAGACGGAGTCTCGCTCTGTCGCCCAGGCTGGAGTGCAGTGGCGGGATCTCGGCTCACTGCAAGCTCCGCCTCCCGGGTTCACGCCATTCTCCTGCCTCAGCCTCCCAAGTAGCTGGGACTACAGGCGCCCGCCACTACGCCCGGCTAATTTTTTGTATTTTTAGTAGAGACGGGGTTTCACCGTTTTAGCCGGGATGGTCTCGATCTCCTGACCTCGTGATCCGCCCGCCTCGGCCTCCCAAAGTGCTGGGATTACAGGCGTGAGCCACCGCGCCCGGCCCTCATTTTCTGAGTGTTTATTATTTAACCTCACTGCTGTACTTACAGTGTATACTGAAGCAGAAATAATCATGACATGAAAATATGTCCTAGTGAACTAGTTGCCTCATAAAGTTAGACATTCTCAAATATTCCTTCCCCCAGTAGCTTTTGTCTTTGCATTGACATCCTTGTCTAGGTGCTGATATTGTGAACATCTAACGCTGTCAGACCAGTCACTTCAAAGTTAAACTGAATATCTTGTAAAATATTAAGGAATTCCTGTAGTTAATATGTGTGATGTTGGATAAATCACATGAATGAACTGAATCACATACAAAACTTTTGGCAAAGGAGGATCTAGCAAAAATTAAGCCAATTAAAACTACAAAAGAGAAAAAAATAACACAGATGGTGATAACACAGGCATTTCAAAACAGGCTCATGGAAGGATGATTAAACCCACCAATAATTTGCCAAAAAATAGTCTCTCTTTATCTTCACACTGCAAAAGTCAAATATATATCTGTATGTGGTTGACAGATCTCCAGAATTGTGAGTTAATCTAGCAAAAAGGCTCCAGAAAAAAATAGATATGAAACTCTAAGACAACACAAGAAATTAAGTCTTTTGAGTTTTAGTTAGATGATTTTAGGTTGCAGCATTTCTCCCTTCATACGTCGTTCCAGCCAATAAGGAAGCAAAGATGAGTGAAGGCAAGAGAAAGAAGATAAAATAGACCTGTCCTTCCTTGCCACAAATAACCTAAATCTTAAAGTTTAAAACTCAACGTTGCACAACAGTGTGAACATACTTAACACTATTAAACCGTACACTTAAAAATGGTTAAGAAGGTACATTTTATATAATATGTTCTTTCTTATCACAGTTTAAAAAGCAAAACACAACAAAAAAGCTCCGGCCAAAGAAAGGAAAATTTGAGGCTTGAATGAGGTATAGTGAAAGATATATAGAGTCAGTGTTAGAAGTATATCATGGTCCCATATAATGAATATCATTACACCTTGAATATTCACCAACACCATTTTTACTTCATAGACTCAATAAATAGACTCAAATAATAGAACATTTAATACCTCATGTCAGATAAGTATAAAAATCCTGCAACAAAACACCAAGAAATACTGGTTGAAACATGTTTATAAAAACTCTCAAAATATAAAAGCGAATGCTTATACACTGTTGATGGGAATGTAAATTAGTACAACCTCTATGGAAAACAGTATGGAGATTTCTCAAAGAACTAAAAGTAGAATTACCATTTGATGCACGAATCCCACTACTGAGTACCCAAAGGAAAATAAATCATTATATTGAAAAGACACCCACACTTGTATGTTACCACAGTAAAGTTCACAATAACAACGTCATGGAATCGATCTAAGTGTCTATCAAGAGATGACTGGATAAAGAAAATGTGGTATATAAACACCATGGAATATATTGCAGCCATAAAAAAAAAAAGAATAAAATCAGGTCTTTTGCAGCAACATGGATGGAGCTGGAGGCCATTATCCTAAGTGAAATGACTCAGAAACAGAAAATCAAATACCACGTGTTTTCACTTAAAAGTGGGCGCTAACTAATAGATACATATGGACATGCAGAAGGAAATAATAGACACAGAGGACTCCAAAAGTGGGTAGGATGGGAGAGAGGTGAGGGTTGAAAAATTATCTGTTGGGAACAACTTTCACTCTGAGTGACAGGTACACTAGAAGTGCAAACCTCACCATTATGCAATATACCCATGTAACAAACCTGTACTGTACCCTCTGAATCTATAAAATTTTAAAAATAAAAAAATCTCAATGCATAGCTGAGCTTTCAAGAAGTACGTGAAATACTCATAGATCAAAAATAAGGAAGGAACTGAAAACTAGTTATTAAGATGGCACTTATACCACTCCTTTCCTGGACACATTTGTCTGGCTCAGTTACAAAAAGGTCTGAATTTTCACAGGCTTGTGGGAGCAGAAGACATGGTCTTAAGCTCCCACAAGTTCCCACATTGAAACTGAGCCTCCCATTTGAAATCAGAAAGCTTGAAAGGTAACATCCTTAGTGAAATGGTGAGCTAGAAGAAAAAAGTCTGGATAGCAGAAAAGAAGGAGGATGAAGAGGGATTTGTCTGCCTTGGCATGGGATTTTTGAAGGGGTATTCTTAATTCCCTCTGAAATTTTGAAACCACAGCTATGCCCTCAAATTTAGGATTTGAATGTATACAATCTGCGTTACCTAAGAAACTCCAAGCCAAGATAATAGCATAATGTAGTGCCTGGTTAACTGTATCTAGGTTGCTAGAAAGAAGCATGCACATCCTGGCCTGGCCCTTGTTCCTTGTTTTTGTCTCTTTTTCCGAATCATCCCTAAAGAAGTTGGAAGCAGCTTAGAAAGTAGGAGAGGAAGGTGAGGCATAAATCATATAAAAGAAGCAATCACCCCCACATTTTCCCCTGCCAACCACTTGCCTGTACCAAGTGTGAGCTCTGAAAGGGGAAGTCTTTAAGGTTAAACAAGTGTTGAAGTCTTAATTTTTTTTATTACATGGACTTTACCAAACTGACTTTTTGTTTGTCTCTTTTTAGTGGCTAGAAGTGACCCCAGGATTTTTTTATTATCAAGAGAGACTAGAAGAATCATGAGACTTTTCCTAGTTGCCTTTCAAGAATATGAAGAAAAAAATGGTTCTCAAAGTGGGTTTGAATGAGTATTGTTCCAATAAATGAACTTATATTCATATTTCATCCCCTGAGTCCTGGTGTTTCAACATCCATTAGAACTGAATAATCATACTGCATATCAAAGTTTGTGGGAAATTGCTAAAGTGTAAAAAATGCTCATATTGAAAAAGAAGAAAAGCTGAAAATTAATTGTGCTTCCAACTTTAAAAAAGGACAACAAGCTAATCCTAAAGAAACTAGAATAAAAGGAAAAAATAAACAGAAGTTAAAGAGTAATTTTAAAAAATACAATAGAAATTATCAACGAAGCCAAAAGTTGATTCTTTGAAAAGATTAATGAAGTAGGCAAACCACTGGTGAGATGAATCAAGAAAAATAGAGAAAAGACTCAAATAAACATTAGGAATGGAAAATAGGGCAATGCTAAAGAGAATTCAAAGATCAGAAAAATATGGGAGTATACTAAAAACGATTTCATGCCCAAGTGTTCAAATCTATATTGCCTTTAAAAATATATAAAAAAGGAGCCGGACACTGGCTCATGCCTATAATCCCAGCACTTTGGAAGGCTGAGGTGGGTGAATCACAAGGTCAAGAGATCAAGACCATCCTGGCTAACACAGGGAAAACCCGTCTCTACTAAAAATACAAAAAATTAGCTGGGCGTGGTGGCACACGCTTATAGTCCCAGCTGCTCAGGAGGCTGAGGCAGGAGAATTGCTTGAACCCATGAGGCAGAGGTTGCAGCGAGCAGAGATGGCCCCACTGGACTCCAGCCTTGGCGACAGAGAGAGACTCCATCTCAAAAAAAAAAAAAAAAATCAAAAAGGAAAAGAAGCACTGAAGAAATCCATAACCGTTGGAGAAGCTTGAATCAGTAGTTGATAATGTCCCTCCAAGAAAAGACCAGATGTAAGTGACTGTACAGGAAAGTTCTGCCAAATGTCAAAGGGAATAGATAAATATCACATAAACTCTTCCAGAGAATACAAGAAAAGGAACACTCCCCAACTTATTTTATAAACTTGGTTAAATCTTGATAGCAAAATTTAATAAGGACACCATGACAAGTGAAATTATAAGCAAATTTTACTTACAGTTATATGCAAAAGTTCTAAACAAAATACTGGACAACTGAATCTAATTTTGAATAATACTAGCAAGAATAATAATAATAACAATAATAATAATAATAATGCATCATGACCAAGTTGGGTTTACCTCAAGAATGCAAATATAGTTTAAAACTGGAAAATCTAGTAGTGAAATTTACCACACTAAGAAATAAAGAAGAAAAATTATGTCATCTCAACAGATCGAAAAATTTTCTAAAATCCAACCAAATATTAGCAAAAAAGCAATAAAGGAAAATTTCTTAACTTAATAAAGAGTATCTATTCGAAACCTGCAGCAAGCATGATAGTTAATGATGAAATGTTAGACACTGTCTTTTTAAAACCATAAACACAATGATATCTGTTATCACTACTTCTACTCATCATTGATCTTAACCATTTCAATAATAAAAGATACTATATATAAATTATAGATATTGAGAAGGAAGACCAAAACTGCTACTATTCACAAACAATATTATTATTCACCTAAAAAGCAAGAGAATATGCAAGTAAATCTTTAGAATAAGAGAATTCAATATGGTTTGAGGATACAAGTGCAATTTATAAAAATCAACTGTATTTCTATACACTAGCTACACAAGTTAGAAAATATAATTTTTAAAATGTATTTTTACAGTAGCAACCAATAATATATAAGAATAGCTAATAATTATCTAAAAATGTGTGCAAGTTGCTTATAGAAGCAATAATAAAACCATATTGTAAACCTACATAAAGGAGAGATATACCATGTTCATGGTATAAAAAAAATAGATGTCAATTTTTCCAAAATTATTCATAGTGCAATTCCTTGCCAGATTACTGGCAGGTTTTTTTCCCCTGGACCTTGACAAGAGGATTGTAAAATTTATATGAAGGCGTAAAGTGCCAAGAATGATCAAAGCAATTTTGATAAAACATAAAAAAGGAACAGAGGAATAAATGGTGATGGAACTTCCCACAGAGGAGGGAAATAGGGTTGAACTTCTTATCCTATACACAAAGTTAAATTCCAGGTAAATTAAAAACAAAATGTAAAATGCAAAACTTTTAGAAAACTTTAAAATTAGAAAAAATGTAAAAACCAATCCAACAAGTTATTTTTACACATCCAAATTTTCCAGTCATCCCAGCACAGTTGTCAAATATCAAATGAGTGGCAAAGTACTAGAATGATGAAAGAAGTGGTATAATTATACCACTCATAGGACTACTTACAAAGCAGCTGCCTTCCTAGACATGCTTTTATTCTAACTCTTTAAATGAATAGGATTGTATTATATTGTTTACATGTCAAAATTTGCATGTCAATGATGCATATATGGTTATGTTCGGAGCATTCCTTTTGGCATTCTTTTGTTTTTTAATGTAAGATTTTAATTTAATGACAAATGCAAAAAATATAAACATGAAACATGAGATTTATGTCATATATGATTAACTTCTTATAAAAATAATCAGCATAAAACACTAGCATGTCCATATAAGAACATGCTACTCAGCTTTGTTAGCCTTAAATAAACAAAGGTAGGTTGTTTAAAATGTAAATGTAAATCAATAGATTAATATTGCTTTAATAAATACAACAAATGCAGACTTAATTACAATAAAATTTAAAATGCTAAAACTAATTATTGAAAGTTAAATTATAAATTGAATAAGATTTCACATAAAATATTGACATAATACTCGGACTTAATCCTTATCATTCTTCCCTCATACATATCCAAAAATGTTGTAGCATAGAGAGCTGGCTGATATAAGTTCCACAGAAAGACTTTTTCCCATCTAGAAAAATACAAAATTGTATTTTTCCAATGAATAAGCTGCAAAAATCAATTACATATTCATAATAGAATTGACCTCCTCCACCCCATAAAGATTCTAAAGTAATATGAATTACATTTGAAGGACATCAAGATAATCCCTCCCAAAATGTAGATTTACAATATTGTGTAAATCTTCATGGAAACATTACATATTTGAATCATGGTGAAATCATAGGGTGAAAAATTTTTTCTATTCTTACCATGGACTCCACTAGTGGTCTTCAGATTACATGACCTATAGGCTCCATTTCAACTCTAAAATTCTATATGATTTCTGCTGAAGATAACTTTTATCTCAGTTATTTTAGAATGCATCACCTCATCTTTGGCAACTTTCCTTGAATTGAATTTTGATTGCTTAAATTCTTCAAGCAAGGCAGACTTTTTCAAAAGAGAAGCTACATAGACATGGTTTAAATATTTTAGGTTCAAATTTTAAACCATGTCTATATACTTTGTAAAGATGATTGCCAAAGTTTTACTTTTCAAAAGTGTTCCCAAAGTAATTGACAGCTTAGGTACCATGAAACAAGGGTAAAGAGAATTCTATGGCCATTACAAGATATGCAGACTTGAATAGTGATTCTGAATGCAAATATAATCTTATACTTCATTTATAAGGATCATTTTTATCACGTTGCCCTAAATTGGAATGCAATGGCATGATCTGGGAATTGACAGTGTTTGGTTAAAAAGAAATTAACTTGAGGAATTAATTAAGACAGGGAAACATAAAAAGCATGTAAAAGGTAAGTGAGTTTATTTTTAAACTGGATACTATTTTTTTTAATATAAAGCAACTCTTTCAGGGGAACTGCTCTCTCCAATTTATGCACAGATTATTTGACAGACTGGTTGAAATATCTCACACCACTTTTGCACATTGGAAATGCAAAACCCAAAGAATTCATATTTTCAAGACTGTTAACACCTTCTCAAATTTCTATAATTCATTCAATTTCTGTAGAAAAACATGAGCTTTATTTTTCTTACTATTAATTATTTATATAGTTCAGTTTCACAGATAGGTTCTCAATATCTAAAAGCCTGCAATAATTTCACTGTCGAAAACATTTTCTTAAAGTTTTTATGCATTTACTAGTGTTGTCACAATAAGGCCTTGTATGGCTGTGAATTGTCCTTGGGCTTTTGATATTCACAACCAGGAGAGGATCTCTTTTCTTTTTCTGTCATCCTTTTTAATACTTTTCTTTCTTTTTTTTTTTTTTTTGAGACGGAGTCTTGCTCTGTCTGGAGTGCAATTGCACAGGCGCGATCTCGCCTCACTGCAAGCTCTGCCTTCCGGGTTCAAGCGATTCTCCTGCCTCGGCCTCCCGAGTAGCTGGGATTACAGGCACCCACCACCACGCCTGGCTAATTTTTTGTATTTTTAGTAGAGACGGGGTTTCACCGTGTTAGCCAGGATGGTCTCGATCTCCTGACCTTGTGATCCCCCCCACCTCAGCCTCCCAAAGTGCTGGGATTACAGGCATGAGCCACCGCGCTGGCCGTATTACTTTTCTTAAAGAAAGACTATGTCAGTTCCTAAGTCTATGGCACCTTGAAAATTTACATGCCTGTTAAAGGTGGACATTTGTACTGTATTTTTAGATGATAGTTAAGAAAAGGAGATGATGGGGGAAGTTCACACATGGTCAAATATCATTAGAAAATAATAATTCCACTAAGCAAAATAAGCCTAAGACCATAACAAAGATGAATTAAACGAAGAAAGTCCACATTCTGTCTTCCACTTTTGTTTGTGTTTTAACTTAGCATTCATTGATAAAAGAGGATATTCTTGAAGGAAAAAAGTTAAAATTACCACTTTTTTCTGCTTTTAAGTATTTTAATTATTGTGGTATGTATCACTAGTCTAAAGGAATAAAGTATAAATTTCTTGTCATCTATATTACTCCTTCAAAAACATGGTTTTTCCAAGTTGGTCACAGTTTAGCAGGGAAGAAAGGGTTGTAAACCAAGTATAGTGTGATACTATACAGTGACTCATACTGTATAAATACATACTGATGCATTTTTGACCAAGACTAGTATCTTTCAGATTTCAGATATGAGTGTATAAGCCAATGGTAATTTGCATGGTTCTTTTCCTAACTATGTATTTTTTAATATTTCTTATAACCTGTAGACCACTTACTGAAACTAACTCAGTTTAGTGTTAAATTCTATTAGATGTCTTTTTCTTATTTGTCTGCTGTAAAAAAATCCCTAGTTATTGAGACAAATTGCAAAAGAAATAATATATTTTAGAAAATCTTAGAAAAGTTGCCAGTCACCTGGGTGACGATTCAGTTATTCATTCATTCAACAAATATTTGTTTAGTACATCTGCCATATACTAAGAACACCGCTAGGCACTGAAGATAACAGCTATGAAACAGAAAAACATAGTTCCTACCCTCATAAAACCCAAAGTCATCAATGTCTCCAAAAATTTTGGCTAAAACGTGGAGAGTACACAAATTCTTACATAGTTAAATAGTACAGCTATTATTGGAATCATTTTCATACTTAGACACATTATATAGTAAAATTTAAGAATATCAAAGGCAAATTTCTAAAAGTTTTCAGAAAGAAACATCCCTTACAAATGAACAGGTAACATATTCATATTAGACACTTTAAAAACTTCTACAAAAATGACAACTGAGTTGGCCGGGCATAGTGGCTCATGCCTGTAATCCCAGCACTTTGGGAGGATGAGGCGGGTGGATCACGAAGTCAGGAGTTCGAGACCAGCCTGGCCAACGTGGTGAAAACCCACCTCTACTAAATATACAAAAATTAGCTGGGCATGGTGGCATGCACCTGTAATCTCAGCACTTTGAGAGGCCGAGGTGGGCAGATCACAAAGTCAGGAGTTCGAGACCAGCCTGGCCAACGTGGTGAAAGCCCACCTCTACTAAATATACAAAAATTAGCCGGGTGTGGTGGCGCATGCCTGTAATCTCAGCTACTCGGGAGGCTGAGGCAGGAGAATCGCTTGACCCCAGGAGGCAGAAGTTGCAGTGAGCCGAGTTTGCACCACTGCACTCCAGCCTGGGTGACAGAGTGAGACTCCATCTCAAAAAACAAAACAAAACAAAACAAAAAACTGAGATATAGTTTTTTGTTGTTGTTGTTGTTGTTGTTGTTGTTTTTGAGACAGAGTCTCGCTCTGTCACCAGGCTAGAGTGCAGTGGCGCAATCGGCTCACTGCAACCTCTGCCTCCCAGTGTCAAGCGATTCTCCTGCCTCAGCCTCCCAAGTAGCTGGGACTACAGGCGTGCACCACCATGCCCGGCTAATTTTTGTATTTTTAGTAGAGATGGGGTTACACCATGTTGGCCAGGATGGTCTCAATCCCTTGACCTCGTGATCCACCTGCCTTGGCCTCCCAAAATGCTGGGATTACAGGCGTTAGCTACCATGCCCGGCCTGAGTTATACTTTTTTAGTATTGGAGAAAAAAATCTTTGAAGCTAGAATCTTGCACTCATCCGGATTGGCATTTAAATATGAAAAGTGCAATAGAAATAATCTCAGCCGTATAAAACCTCAGAAAGGTTGCCACACAAAGACCCTATTGAAAATATTGGCTACAATAATAGTAGGAGACTTTAATACCACATTCTCAATGGCAAATATTACAAGTAGACAGAAAATAAATAAATAACACAAACAACACTGTAGACAAATTGGACTAACAGACATATAGAGAATACTATGCCCAACAACAGCAGAATATATATTTTTCTCAACTGCACAGGGAGCATTCTCCAGGGTAGACCATATGTTAGGTCACAAAACAAGCCTGAATAAATTTTAAAAGATTGAAATCATACTGTGTATCTTTCCCAATCAAAATGGAATGAAACTAGAAATCAACAGCAGAAGAAAAAAATAAAAATTCACAAATTGTGGAAAGTAAACAACACACTCTTAAACATCTAAAGGGTCAAAGAAGAAATCACAAGGGAAATTAGAAAATATCTTGAGACAAATGAAAATAAAAACAACATACTAAAACTTACAGGATGCAGTGAATGTAGTCAGAAGAAGGAAAATTATAGCTGTAAATGCTTACATTAAAAAAGAAGAAAGGTCTCAAATCAGTGCTCTAACTTTCTACCTTATGGAACTAGAAAAACAAGTACAAACTAAACCCAAGCCTAGCAAAGGGAAAAAAATAACAAAGATTAGAATAGACATGGAGAATAGAAAAATAATAGAGAAAATCAGCAAAACTGAGAGTTGGTTCTTTTAAAAGCTCAAGAAAATTGACAAACTTTTAGCTAGATTGACTAAAAGATGACTCAAGTGATTGAAATAAAAATAAAAAATTGCTGATTTTATAGAAATAAAAAGAATTATGACAGTAGCATGAACAATTGTAAACCAACAAATTAGATAACCCAGATGAAACTGACAAATTCCTAGAAACACACAGCCTACCAAAACTAAATTATAAAGAAATATAAAATATGAGTAGACCTTTTTAATGAGTAAGGCAATTGAATTAATAATCAAAAACCTCCTAACAAAGAAAAGCCTCGGAGCAGGTGTCTTCACTGGTGAATTCTACCAAAAATTCAAAGAAAGATTAATGCCAGTCCTTCTCAAACTCTTCCAAAAAAATAAAGAGGAGTGAGCAGTTCTTATCTAAGTCTGTAAGTCCAGCATTACTTGATATCAAAGCCAGAGAAATATGCTACCAGGAAAGAAAACTAATATCCCTTAAGATTATTGAGGCAAAATACTCAACAAAATACTAGCAAGCCAAATTCAAGAGTGTATTAAAAGGATTACACATCATGACCAGGTGGGATTTATTACTGGAATACAAGGATGGCTCAATACACAAAAATCAATGTAATGCACCACATTAACAAGTAAAGGAAATAAAAACACATAATCATCTCAATTGATACAGAGAAAGTATTTGACATAGTTCAATACCCTTTCATGATTAGAAAAAAAAAAAACAAACTCAACAAACTAGGATTAGAAGGAAATTACCACAACATAATAAAAGCCATATATGAACAACCCACAGCTCAAACATCGTACTCAATGGTGAAAGAGTGAAAGCTTTTCCTCTAAGATCAGGAATAAGGCAAGGATGCTGTTTTGCCACTTCTATTCAACATAGTACTAGAATTCATAGTCAGCGCAGTGAAGTAAGAAAGAAAAATTAAAGACATCGCAATTGGAAAAGAAGGAATAACATTGTCTCTGTTCACAGATGACATCATTTTATATGTAGAAAACCCTAAAGATTTTACACAAACAAATCTGTTAGAGCTAATAAACTGATTTGGGAAAGTTGCAAAATCACAAAATCGACATGCAAAAATCATTGCTTTTCTAAACATTAGCAATGAATAAACCAAAAAGGAAATTAGGAAAATATTTCAACTTACAATAGCATCTCCTCCAGCCAAAAACAACAAAAGCCACTTAGGAATTAATACAACTAAGGAGTTGAAAGACTTGTACACTAAAAACTACAAAATATTGCTGAAAGATATTAAAGAAGACACAAATAAATGGGGGAAAAAACCAGTGTTCATGAATTGGAAGACTCGATATTGTTGAGATGTCACTGCTACCCAAAGCATTCCACAGATTCAATGCAATCCCTATTGATATTCCAATGCTTTTTCGTAGCAATAAAAAATCCATTCTGAAATTCATACAGAATCTCAAGAGACTTCGTGTAGCCAACTCAATCTTGTAAAATAACAAAGTTGAAGGTCATATACTTTCTTATTTCAAAGCTACAGTAATCAAAATAGTGTGATACTGAAAGACAGAAAGACAGACATAGAGCAATGTTGTTGCTATTGTAATAGCAACATTATCACAATAGCCAAAAGTGGAAGCAACTCAAGTGTCCACTGATAGATGAATGCAGACAAAATATGGTATATACATACAATGAAATATTATTCAGCCTTTAAAAAGAATGAAATTCTGGTACATACTACAACATGGATGAAACTTTAAGACATTATGTTAAGTGAAATAAGCCCCAGTCAAAAAGGACAACTTAGGGATAACTTACTAGAAGAATAAATTAGAATATAAATCTCAAAGCAGCAGAAATCATTTCTGTGTATTTGGAAGAACACAAGATGAACTAGGAAGAGGAAGAAGAAGCCACATAGTAAAAGGAAATATAAAATGAAAAAATAAATCCTGATAAAACAGTAATTATAGTAAATGGCACTCATATTGGATTACAAAACAAAGCGCTAAGTATAAGACATTCTTACACTTTAAAACAAAAAGACATAGAAAGGTAGAAATTAAAAGCACTAAAAACATATGCAAAAGAAATATAAACAATAAAAAAGGCCAGAGTACCAATCTTGATCTTAAATCTATCAAAAGACTTAAAGCCAAAAATATCTTCTAAAGACAAAGAGTAGCATTACACATAGATATTATAACAGGTCAAGAAGGTAAAACAAATCAAGAAGTTCAGCAAAGTTGCTGGATACAAGATCAGTTTTAAAAAGTCCATAACATTTCTCTGCAGCAGCAATGACCATCTAGAAAACATAATTAGGAAATAAGCTGCTGTACACAGCAGTAAAAACAACTATAACATGTCAGTAAACTTTTGAAAGAATGTGAAAGAGCTCCATGGTTAAAGTTTTAAAAACCTATTACGAGATGCGAAGTTCTAAATAAATGGAGAAATAGTTTATCTTTACAGATAAGATCATTTAACATTCTAAAAGTATCCACACCCCCCACTGACAAATGATTCATAAATCTATAGCATGCCAATTGAAACTGTAGCTAGATGTTTTTAAGGACTTTACTTATTTTAAAATGTATATAGAAGAATGAACATCCACAAATAGTTAAATCAATTTTGAAAAATAAGACTAAAGGGCAGGAATTTGTTCTGCCAAAACTTAAGATTAAAACAAAGCTATAGTAATTTAAAAAAAAAAACACACAAACAATAGTATGGTACTGGTGTAAAAACATAAATGAAGAAATGGAACAGAACGGAGATCTCAGATGGAAGTCTTAGATACGATAAACATGACACCACAAATCCTTGGGGAAAGAAAAACCGGTTTATGGTAATGGGAAAATAAGTTTACCATATTGAGAAAAAACAGATTTATATCTCATACCATATACATATATATACATATGCATATAGAGAGGAGTGTGTGTATATATGTGTGTGAAAATATATATGTATATATGTGTATATGTACTAAACATCTAAATATGAATAGCAAAACTATAAAGCTACAGAAGAAACTATAGGTTATGACACTGGTATGGGAAAGAACTCTTAAGCAAGTTACCAAAAGCACAAACAAAATGTAAGGAATTGTTCATTTGACTTCATCAGAATTGTTCAGTGAAGGACCCCACAGCCAAACTGAAACCAATGTGTTAACTAGTATTTAAACTGATAAGAACAGATACTACACTTGATCTTAGCCAAAAGGCCTAACTTGTATTTAGGATGTACAAGAAAACATATGCAAATCATTCGATAATAAAGAGTCAGGAAAACTAATTGAAAAATAGACAAAGAATGTATATAGGCAATTTGCAGAAGTGGAAACCTAAATGGCTAAAGGATATATGAAGAATGCTCAAATGTATTAAAAATCAGCTAAGAGTGATTTAAACAAATTCAAAAACTACAACTAGATATCCATGAGATAAACAAGCATTAGAAAATCAGATAAGGCCAAGTATTTGCAAGGATGTGGGAAAATAATAACCTAAGTGAACTACTAGTGAGAGTAGACTGGTACAGCTAGTCAAATTCAGTACTTAGTCAATTTCAACATGCATACACCTTATTACCCAGCCAGCCCTTACCTGGGTATATATATTGTAAAGAAGTTTTCACACTTAAGAGTCATGTATTATCTATTTGTGGCTTCCAGTGATTAGGGGGAATCTTGGTGTTCATTCCTGGAGGAAGGGGTGAGTAAAATGTGCAGACTGCATAATATTGAGTATTGTATGGCAGCTTGAAGTAACAAACCAAGTGTCAACAGAGCAATATGAATAGATCTTAAAAACACAGTGCTTTGGGAGGCTGAGGTGGGTGGATCACCTGAGGTCAGGAGTTTGAGACCAGCCTGGCCAACGTGGTGAAACCCCATCTCTACTAAAAATACGAAAATTAGCCAGGCGTGGTGGCGGGTGCCTATAATCCCAGCTACTAGGAGGCTTAGGCAGGAGAATTGCTTGAACCCGGGAGGCTGAGGTTGCAGTGAGCCAAGATCGCGCCATTGCACTCCAGCCTGGGCAACGAGCAAAACCCTGTCTCAACAAAACAAAACAAAACCACAGCGCTGAGTAAAAAAATAAGAAGTAGAACAAAGTCTAATAAGATACAGTAGACTATATTATTATATTTTGCAAGAGTATGTATACACGTGTTAGACTTCAAACTCAGAGCAGTTGTCTATGGAAAGGGGAATGGGAGAGGGAACGGTAACAGAATGAGGTGAAAAAGGAATAAATATCTAAATTAAGTGTTTTGCTTCAACTCTAATGATCAGGTGATATGAACTGAGGAATATGATTAGTTCAACTCTGGCACTGAGGTCATTTGAAAATATTGATAACATATAATATCTGTATTTGATGAATGTGCAGTGTAAATGAGGAAGATGACACAAGATTTACTTTATAGTAAAAACATGCTGAGTAATATAAGTCAAGTAAATGTAGGTGTGATCAGAGATTAGTGTAATCAGAAAGAAGGCATTCTGGAAGAGATAAGCTTTTAGCTGGCATTGAAGAATAGTTATATTTAGATGTGTCAGTTAGATAAAATATTATTCTACACAAGGTAAACTTTGAGAAAAGTCAGAAAATGGAAAAAGTTCATGTCAAGTGTGAAAAACCAGTGATTAAGTTTTGCTGGAGTATTTGCGCCTGAAGGGGATTAGTGAGAGAAAGGGTTCCTGGAAGATTTTAAAGGTGAGGCTAGAGAGTCCAGTTATTCCAAGGCAGTAGAGATCCACTGAAGACTTTATAGCAGGAGAGTGACATCCCAAGGACACAGGGGTCATTGCTGATGCTCCCAAAGTGCCTGCTGATCTGAGCTGCCAGGGTCATTTGATTAGTATCAATGACTTCAGGGACTCATCTAGAGTTCTCACATTTCCTTGTACTTCATTTGACTGAAGAATAAAGGACTTAGAAAATTGGAGCCCTAAGAAACAGTGAAAATAAGTCTGGGAAAATCCCTGGAGCCTAAAATTAAGCTCTGCCTGTTCTTGGTTTCTTGTTGCTCTCTGGCAACTTCATTAAGTTTCTATTCCTCTTTCCACTCCAACATATTGCAGCCCTTTGATGCCTTTAGATTAGCAAGTTCAACACCTTCTTTGGACTGTAGGTATGAAGACCCAGTTTTGAGCTAGGCTGACATTGGACAAGCTGCAAGGCCAGCAGTTCCTGCATCAGGTCAGCACAGGGAAGTAGGTATTAAAGAGCTGAGCCAGAGCCCTGGGTGCCAGGGCTGGGAAGAAGGCTGGTCTGGCAATCTCAGAATGGCATGGTATTGATAGGTGAGAGCAAACACTCATGATTATGGAGGTCTAACTTGAAGTTGCCAGGTTGTCGTGACCTACAGACTTAGTCTCATTGTTCTTTAAACTTAGTTTGAAAATTTAGAAAGCAACAGAATGAAAAAAGTTCCGCTTAGTTATCTTGCCTTCTCTTGTCACTCAGGTGAGAATGTGAATGCAACTGGACTCTTTTTCTCCTTGCCCAGTTCCTACACGTAAAGATTCCTTTACCAGGAACAGCCCTTAAGTCTTTCATGTCAGTTGTTTAATTCTCTGGAAACTGACCTCTGTTTCCCCATATCCTTCTTGCCTAACTTGTAGATTTCCTGGAGTTTGTCTCCCTGCAGCTGAAATTCTGGCAGCCAATAGGGGACTCAGCCTCACCCCAGTCTCTAGAATCAAACCAGGTATTAATAGGAGGGATTAAGTTGCTGTGACTCAACGCTTAGGCACTCTAGCAGCAAAGATGCTTGATGTTGTCCAGCCCTGATCTTGGGCCCCAGTTTTCACAACAGGCTTCTATCTTGCTCCAATCTGCTCTTTACACAGCTGCAAAAGCCCCTGCCTTGGCAACGTTCCTGGTAACAAGATCCCTCTGGGGAATGGCTCAGCCTTGGTCTTCCACTCCTCCTCCCCCCCATCACTTCTGCTGCCCCTCATATACTGAAGCCTTGCCCTTGAACACTGTCTTCTTGATATTTACACGTTGTGCTCAGTATGATGCTTGGGTCACAGACGATTAGTAAAGACATGAACTATGTTCATCATTCCTAGGGGGAAGGGGAAGGGCCAGGGTTCACTAAAAGGGTGTCATTCATTGCTGATGTCCTAGAAACTGCAAACTGCCAATTTGAGTTTAGGAAACACCTATTATTCTACCTTGATTGTATCTAAAAATGGGGTGAGAAGGAAAGTGGTTTAGTGAACTCCACCCTCAGGAATAAATGCAGAGGGCAACACCTCAGTGAAGTGTGGTGGTCTGCAATGTATATTTCAGACATCTGCCATTCCATGTCCTAGGTATGTACCTCTACCCTGCCCTTGGAATAGGAAAGTAGTCCTTGTATTCAAGCCAAATTGATATTAGGAGATCCACATATGATCTTATCAGGGACACTACAGTCTGTACTCTCTTTCTTTGCTGCCTTTCAGGGAACATATACCAGACCTAGAACACTGATGACTATTCAGGAAAGGTATGGAAGAGTGGGCACAAGGTGGGACCCTGACTATTTTCTGGAGTCACCACCAGCTGGGACCCAGTTCTGCTGACTGTTGTAGTCCTGTTGTAACAATTGCTTTCATGTTTGCTAAAATAAATAAATATCAATGTGTTTAACCAATAATGATAACCACTTTGCTTTTTGGCAAATCCTAAAGAGATAAAACTAATTCATATAATTTAGCGGGGAGAGAAAAAGGCACACACAAAAGTCTCATCCTCCTAGATCCATTTACCATCTTGAAAGGGACAAGTAACAGATAACTTGTTAATTATGGAAGGATTCTATAACCTTACTCACTTCTACCAGATTGGTTACTTCATTATCCTATTTCTTTTCAGAGATCAGGAATAAGATCCTTAAATTTTTTAGGTTTCTGTGCTTATCTACAGATGTAGAAGAAAATGCAAAATGAGGGAGATTATGCAGTGGTATGAAACAAAATCTGAAGGGATAGAAAGGATGGCTGAGTTGCTGGAGAGGAAAGAAAGCTGAGTTCCTGGGGCCTGCTTTGAAGATGAAAGGAAGGCACCAGGAGATAAACTGGGCCAGAGATAGGTCTTGTGAGGCTTTGCAGTTAAAAAACCTGCAGATGGTTTTTGGATGGGATCAAATATCAGAAAGGCAGATAAGCCACAAACCCAAATTAGTTTCCAGTTAAGTTATTGCTCTCAGATACAAAACTCAATACAATACTTGGCATTTTGTTTCACATGCAAGCTTTTTCCTATCATTCTTTCAATAAACATTTACTAAATGTCTATTCTGCAGCAGGCACAGCTGTAGGTAAATTAGCCAGAAATCAATTGATTGAAAACCAGTCCTCTATAAGTCAACTTAGCAAAGCATCAATTTGCCTAAAAACAATTTGCTAAATTTACCCAATTTATCACAAGTATATTTTTAAGTATTATTCTTCTTGAATATTCTTCTTAAATGTAGTATTCATGGGAATATTTTTAGGACTATTCAAGTTGTAGCAAGTGAGGACGTAGGTGGTCTAGGGTTTTTCAGACATTTTTCCTAGTCTAGTTTTTTTGCTAAGTATTGGTTGATGGTTTGTCTCTAGGTTTGTTGTATTTGCAGTTCCTTCAGTCTGGACTGCCCTTCCTCAGATATTTTCATGTTCGCTTTCCAAATTGCCTGTCATTTTGTCAGACGTATCACTGGATCCAGCTAAAAGGTGAATTTTGAAAACACTAAAATGTTTCCTAAAGCAAATATTGTACAGAAATAGTCAAATCAGTCACAAATAAAAATTCAGCTTTCATTTTATCTTAAGAATTTAAAGGACCAACTTATCAATGGTAATCAATTTGTAATTAGTTTAATTTACAATCACTCTGAAACCCTCAAACATCACTTTTTCAGATATAGCTTGGATTAATTAAAAATTTCACACTTGTCTAGAGACTATTCTACTTCATGTTACTGCACATTCTAGAATTAGCATACAGATTTCTCTCACACTTGGTACACTAAATAATTTAGTTATTTTTATAAATTGCATTAATTTCTAGGTTTTTCTAAAATACATTATTACCCTAGAAGTAGATAACCAGATGTTTAAAGTTTCAGACTTTAACTGCCTATCAGTAGAAAAGAATATATTTAATTAAAAATCTCCAAAGAGATAATCCTAAGGAAAAAAAGACAGCATATTGGCAGGAAAAGAGTAATTTTGAGTGTAGTACACCACATTCTAAATGAAAAATTTTGGATGACTTACAAGAATCCAGAGAGATTGAATCTGAATGGTGTGATTCAGATGGTAAATATGTGCTATGCATTTACTAAGAAGTCATAAAGTACAGGAGAGAGGTCTCACTTAGAGGCACTTATATTTTATAAAATCAGAAAGACTTTAGTTTATTGAATAAGGTCAAGTCTTATTTACATGCAACGATAGAAAAGCCAACATAAGTGGCTATAACTAGGATCAAATATTTAAGATGCAGCTAAAGGACTTCAACTTACAGTTCATGACAAATACACAGGAGATGAACCAGCTATAGGACACTATGAAGAAATAAACATATTTGAGACATGATACAAAACAATGGTCCTGGATGCTTTAAAAATTCAATGCCAAAGAAAAGAAGATGTGTTGGGGCATGAGGGTGCTACTGAGAACACTGTTGCACTAAAAGAGATTAAAAGAAATACAGAAACAAAATGCAATATACAAACCTGGATTTAAAACAAAACCCAGCCATTCAACACATGCTTAAATATATATCTGAGGAACAAATGAGAAAATTTGTACATGATCTGGGTATAAGATAATATTATAATAATTGCTAATTTTCTTGGATGTGTTAGTAGTATTGTGATCATGTAGTGGAATGCCCTATTTTTAGGAGATGACCCTGAAATATTTAGGGAAGAATATCATGAAGTCTGTTGCTTATTTTGATATAGGTTCAGCAAACAACATACACACACAAGTGCACACACCCACTTATCTGGCAAAATGTTAACAATTGTTGAATCTAAATGGTAGGTGTCTAAGTGATATGAGTGTTCATTGTATTTTTCTTCTGAATTTTCTATATGTTAGAAAATGTTCATAATAAAACATTGGAAAAAATAAAAATTATTAAAGTTTTTGTAGTAAAAGACAGGTCCTTTTAGAATTTTGAAAAAAGGATCTTAAGGAATTATCTTTATTTAAGAAACAGAGCTAAACTTAAGAATAAGATAGCACTGTTTATAAAGAATGCCATTAGCCTATTCCTAAATAAAATGCCAGGCAAATAATGATAATTATTCTTAAGACATAGGCAATTGGCCTTACAATACCAATTATCTGTGTTTCTAACTATCCTGCATCCTCTCAGGGTAAATAAGGATGTTAATAGCTTACAGCACTATACCACTGTAAGCTCATAGAGGTCAGTATATTATAAATTATTTTCAGTGTTATAGGCATCCAACCTTTACACAAATGTCAGAAAGGAGGCAGATGAAATTCTGACTTAGTATAAAATCTAACAATCTTTGTAAGCAGAATGGTTGAATCAATATTTTTCCATTTAGCTAACATAGCACATGAATTAGTTGAATTTACCTGAGTAAGTGTGGAGCTCACTGAGATTGTGACTTGGCATCGCTGGAATATTGCAGTAAGTGCAAAATGCTTCCCAAAGGATGCTGCTTTTTCACAGCCGAGGCTGGAGAAACCAACTTAGTAGCAAATTGGTCTACCTGTTAAACAAGAAAATGAAACATGGAGCAGAAGAAATGTCTGTCAGTGTTATAGACTAGAGCTCCTGTAACAGCCAACCCCTTCTCAAGGTCCTAGATGATCCCAGTGGGCCTCAAAACCCACCATGGGTGATGTGCAGAGTGCCTCAGGGCAGTTAGGACTAGAAGACCTGGCATGCACGGCAGTCTAACAGGAAGGAGTTTAGTTTTCTATTTACCTGCAACTGAATATAGATTTCCACCTTGCATGCAAAAGCCCGCTTTTCAGTCAGCGGCATTCAGAGATCTGATGCTGGATAACAGCTTCTTCGAAGGAATGTTCTTATTTTTTTGAAAATCTGAAACACAAGAAAAGTATTATTCTTGGGCACCAAATAAAGACCTGGTAAAAATCCTTATTGCCACAGAAAGTCATCATCTTCTAACATTGTGAGAGATAGAACTTGGAGGCAGCAAACACTCTGCAATAATACATCAACATTCAGATCTCTTTGAAAGAAAGTTTCCCATTATAGACTTGGCTACTTGTTATACTCTAGGTGAAGACCACCTGGAGGGAAATGTCTACACAGCGACTCATTTCTTCTACTAGAAGATGTCAAAAGTAGAAGCTGCTTAGTCATAGCAAGATTGCTGTCACCAGTGAACATGTCAACTGAGTCATACAAGGAACGTCTAAAATGGACTTCTCAGAAGTTGAAAATGTTGCTTCTCTTGATTAGTAGCGCAGGAAGGGGAGAAATAGGTATTCCTTGATTAATGGGCAAACACACCATTTCCCAGAGACTCAGACAGTTGGAGAAACCCATGAATGAATAAGTCAGAGAGGAAAAAAAATAGTGCCGATATAAAGAACCGTTTATTTTCTCCTTGTTTCCATGAAGAGTGCCTTTTTGTTTGCAGATCCTCACTACTGCAGCAACCCAGAGAATAGAGGAAATTATGCCAATAGCTAAAGCAAAACTTGAAGATTTCTTTAAAGTACCTAATTATGGTTTTAAAAAATTCTCCATCTCGATTTGCTGGAAGTTGAGACCCAGGTCTTTTGCAAGCTTGTGAAGTGAAAGAAATTTCTAACAACCTTCCCTGGACCAAACCATTCTCTCCAATCTCCGTCCCTTCCTGTCTTTTCATTGCTGGTCATGCCTCCTTTGTGTACATTCAGGCTCATGATTCTCTGATTCTCTGCCAGAACATACCTCTTCTCTCAAGGGCCTGCTAAATGGCTTGATACTCTGGCCAGTAAACAATTTGAAACCCTCCATTTGTATGCTTATGGACAATTGGGATTTCAGTTTAAAAAATAAAGCATATTTTTAAAGTGAATTCTATTTTGTGATGTGGCTGTTGATTTCGTTTTAAAATTAGAGACGAGGACCAGGCTGAAAGACAAGCTGAGGGAAAGACTATGCCGTGCAGCAAAGTGCACAAAACTTAAGTGTATACAGCTTGGTGAATTTTTGGATATGAATCCACCTGTGTAACCACCATCTGGAGCAAAATATTGAACATTTTAAGCATCCCAGAAGATTCTATCATGCTTCCTCCTAGCTCTAACCTCCTTCCGCCTAAAGGTAATCATGATCCTGATTTCTATCACCAGGGATTCATTTCACCTGTTCTTAAACTTTATGTGAATGAAACAACACAAGATGTACTCTCTTGTGTCTTATGTGTGTGAGATACACTCATGTTGTTACATGCAGCTGTGGTTTGTTCTTTTTCATTGCTATGGAGTATTCCATTATATGCAAATTCTTCCATTTCCATTCTGTTGCTTTGGTTCTTACAAAATATGTCATTTCATGGGCATGTGCACTTTAAAAAAACAGACTTTATAGGTCGGGCGTGGTGGCTCATGCCTGTAATCCCAACACTTTGGGAGGCTGAGGCGGGCGGATCACGAGGTCAGGAGATCGACACCATCCTGGCTAACACGGTGAAACCCCATCTCTACTAAAAATACAAAAAAATTAGCTGGGCGTGGTGGTGGGTGCCTGTAGTCCCAGCTACTCGGGAGGCTGAGGCAGGAGAATGGCGTGAACCTGGAAGGCAGAGGTTGCAGTGAGCCGTGATTGCACCACTGCACTCTAGCCTGGGCAACAGAGCGAGACTCAGTCTCAAAAAAAAAAAAAAATAGACTTTATAGAGCAGTTATAGGTTCACAGCAAAATTAATCAGAAAGTACAGAGTTTCTATCAACTCCCTGGCTCCACAAACATACAGCCTCCGCCACTATCAACATCCCCCTACGGAGTACTACATTTGTTACGATCGATAAACCTTTATTGACACATTGTTATCACCCAAATTGACCCCTTTCATTATGAAATGCCCTTCCAAAATCCCTAACAACTCCTGTGCTCTGAACTCTTCTCTTTCTGAAGTTAATATCATTATTCCTGCTTTCTATTAGTGTTGGCACAGTATATCTTTCTCCATCCATTTACTTTTAATATATGTGTCTTTATATTTAATGTGGGTTTCTTGTAGAGAACATATAGCTGGGTCTTGTTTTTTGATGTACTCTGACAATCTGTCTTCTAGTTGGTGCATTTAACCATTGACATTTAAAGTAATTATTGATATAGTTGGATTAATATCTACAATATTTATTACTGTTTTCTATCAATTGCCTTTGTTTTTTGTTTTTATTTTTAAATTCCATTCCTTTTCTGCCTTTGGAGGTCATAATTGATAATTTTAGATTATTCCGTTTTCTCTCCTTTCTAAGATACTTTTTTTGTTGCTTTTTTTAGTAGTTGCCTTAGAGTTTGCAAAATACATTTACAACTAATCTAAGTCACCTTTCAAATAACGCTATATCCCTTCATAGGTAGTACAAGTACTTTACAACAAAAAAAACTTATTCCTCCCTCCTGTCCCTTGTATCATTGTTGTCATTCATTTCACTTATCCATAAGCACATACACATATATGTATTCGTATACATATATGTAAGCATGCATAATCAAATGCATTGTTGCCACTATTATTTTGAAGAAACTGTTTTCTGTTAGATCAATTAAGAATAATTGTTTAAGTTTTCTAAATGTTTAAAATTTTCCTTCACTTATTCCTTCTCCAATACTTTTCTTTCTACAGATCCCAGTTTCTGACCTGTAGCATAGTCCCTCTCTCTGAAGAACTTCCTGTAATATTTTTTGCTAGGTGAGTCTGTTGGCAATAAATTCACTCAATTTTTGTTTGTCTGAGAAAGTCTGTATTTCTTCTTCACTTTTGAAGAATAGTTTTGCAGAGTAGAGAGCTCTAGGTTGGTGGCTATTTTTTTTTTTTTTTTCTTGAGACGGAGTCTTGCTCTGTCGCCCAGGCTGGAGTGCAGTGGCGCAATCTCGGCTCACTGCAAGCTTCACCTGCCGGGTTCACGCCTTTCTCCTGCCTCAGCCTCCCGAGTAGCTGGGACTACAGGCGCCCACCACCACCATGCCCAGCTAATTTTTTGTATTTTTAGTAGAGATGGGGTTTCACTGTGCTAGCCAGGATGGTCTCGATCATCTGACCTCGTGATCCGCCCGCCTCAGCCTCCCAAAGCGCTGGGATTACAGGCGTGAGCCACCGCACCTGGCCTGTTGGTGGCTATTTTCTCTCAACACATCAAATATTTCACTCTACTCTCTTCTTGCTCGCGTAGTTTCTGAGGAGATTATGACATAATTCTTATCCTTGTTCCTCTACAGATAAGGTGTTTTTCCTCCTCTGGCTTCTTTCAAATTTTTTTTTTTTATCTTTCATTTCTGCAGTTTGAATATGATATAGCTAGGTGCGGTTTTTTGGCATTAATCCTGCTTGGTGTTCTCTGAGCTTTCTGGATCTCTGCTTTGGTATCTGACATTAATTTAGGGAAATTCTCAGTCATTATTGCCACCACTATTTGCTCTGTACCTTTCTCTCTTTCTTATTTCCATTATGCTAATGTTACACACAGTTCTTAGATATTCTGGGGTTTTGTTTGTTTTTTGTTTTTGTCATTTTCCTATGACTTCTCAATTTTGGAAGTTTCTACTGACAAATCCTCAAGACCAGAAATTCTTTCGTCATCTATCCAGGATGATGGGCTCATGAGTAATGAGTCTATCAGAAGTATTCGTTTCTGTTACAGTGTTTCTGATTTATAGTATTTTTATTATTTCCTAGAATTCCTATCTTTCTGCTTACATCACACATCGATTCTTGCATGTTATTGACTTTTTTCATTGGAGCCCTTAGCATGTGTATCATAGTTGTTTTGAATTTCCAGTCTGATAACTCTAACATTCCTGCCATACCTGAATTGATTTGGATGCTTATTCTGTCTCTTCAAAGTGTAATTCTTGCCTTTTAGTATGCCTTGTAATTTTCTGTTGAAAGCCAGACTCACCAAAGCTCCTGGATTCTCATGTGCATAGACACTTAGGAGCCCTGCCAGGTCTCCTGACAGTTCTGAGTGTGGCCAGGTCTCATGATGAGTACAGTCCCATCTCCAGTGGAGGCTCTGCTATGCTTAAGTACATCACAGGCACAATTAGAGAATTTCAAGTTTTAATTCTATGGAGTTTTATTGAACAGAAAATATCAGAGATAGGAATTGAATACTTTTTGTCATGGCTACAATTTTTTTTTCTAAAAGCCAGTCAGAATTTGCAGTTCACAAAGACCCCCAAACCAAAATTTAATATTGAGTGACTGTCATCAACTCCTGACATTGAGGGCTGGTTATTATGAAGCCACAGCTTGATAAAGGCCTTTTGATAATAGAAGCTGTCTTCTACCTTTGTTACGGGAAAAGGGTCCTGATCCAGACCCCAAGAGAGTGTTCTTGGATTTTGTGCAAGAAAGAATTCCAGGCGAATCCATAGAGTAAAGTGAAAGCAAGTTTATTAAGAAAGTAAAGGAATACAAGAATAACTACTCCATAGGCAGAGCAGCCCCGAGGGCTGCTGGTTGCCCATTTTTATGGTTATTCCTTGATGATATGCTAAACAAGGGGTGGATTATGCATGCTTCCCCTCTTTTAGACCATATAGGGTAACTTTCTGATGTTGCCGTGGCATTTTATAAACCATCACGGAGCTGGAGCTGGTGGTGTGACGGGATCTTTGGGGTGTTGCTTTTCTGGCTGGAAACCTCCATGCTGGCAGGGCCTTTGCCCGAGTTCTTGTCCTGGATCCAGGAAGAGTGAGGTGTGCAGACAAGTGGAAGATGAACAATATGAAGAGGAGCTTTACTGAGTGTTGCAACAGCTGGGAGGAAGTCCACAGTGGGTAGCTCCTCTCTGTATGCAGGTTGTCTAGTGGAGTGTTCAGCTCTCAGCAGAGAGGAGGCCCTGGAGAGGGTGGCTCCTCTGTGCAGACAGGTCGTTTGGACATCGCTGCAGGTCTCTGAAGCTCTCAGCAGAGAGGATAGCTCCTCTCTGCCAGCAGGTTGTCTTGTCAGCAGAAAGGGTAATTCCTCTCTGCAACTGGTCTTCCGGTGGCCTCTCCATCCTTTGTTCTGCTCTGGCTGAGCTGGGGGCTTTTATGGCCTTCAGAGGGGAGGAAGTGCATGCTAATTGGTTGGTGGGTGGCCACAGGCGGCCTGGAAGAGGCATCATGAGTCCCTGCTCTGGTCTTGGGACTGACTGGCAGCCAGGCCCCCCCAGCCTACAGGCCCTCCCTGGCCTGAAGGAGGGGACTTACTGGGGACCACCCACTTCCACCCACGAATCTGTCTGCCTTCCACTGCCATTCATGGTCCTGGGGCTCGGCCTCAATCCCCCTCTGAGATCACAGCAGGCACCGGGAGAGGAGAGAGGCCAGGCACCGGTAGCAGGCACCCCCAAACCTGCAGGGATGGGGGTGGGGAGTGGGGGTAGAGGGGCATGTGTTGGGGGGGAGTGTGGGCCTTCCCAGGTCCCCGGAGGATGCAGGTGCAGAGGTGCCCAGGTCCTGCACCTAGGAGGGCTGCTACAGCTGCACCCAGCTTCTTTATTGCAACCTGTTTTATCAGCAAGGTCTTTATGACCTGTGTCTTGTGCCGACCTCCTAATCTTACCCTGTGACTTAGAATGCCTTAACCTCCTTGGAATGCAGCCCAGTAGGTCTCAGCCTCGTTTTACACAGCTCCTATTCAAGATGGAGTTGCTCTGGTTCAAACGCCTCTGACATCTTTGTGCTGATAAAAATACATATCTTTGGCTGGGCGCAGTGGCTCACACCTGTAATCCCAGCACTTTGGGAGGCTGGGGAGTGCGGATCACGAGGTCAGGAGATCGAGACCAGCCTGGCCAACATGGTGAAACCCCGTCTCTACTAAAAATACAAAAATTAGCTGGGCGTGGTGGCACGCACCTGTAGTCCCAGCTACTCGGGAGGCTGAGGCAGGAGAATCGCTTGAACCAGGGAGGCTGAGGTTGCAGTGAGCCGAGATAGCGCCACTGCACTCCAGCCTGGCAACAAAACAAGACTCCGTCTCAAAAACAAACAAAAAAATTAAAAATTTAGTTTCAAGCCCATAATAATTAGTGGATCTTCTATCTTTAATAAAGCTGGAACAAAACCTACAAAAATTAATCATTATGCATCTTTGAACTATATTGAACTATAGAAAATTATTTTTTGAATGTTGAAATCAAATCTTAAGAGTTTCAGCTGGTCTTTTTCAGCATTACAATAAATTCTAGCACAGGTTTCCCAAAGTGAGTTCTAAAACAGACGTTCTTAAACAATAACATGTGCCTAGGGATCTTGTCAGAAAGCGTATTTTAATTCATTAGGTCTGGGGTAGGGCCTGAGATTCTGCATTTTAACAAGCTCTGAGGACACACTGATGATGCTGATCCACTATTACAGATTGAGTAGCAAAGGTTGGTGACCCCGATGAGCCCCCATTATTATGAAAATACAACCGGGAATGGTTAGGTGTGTGTTGCAACAGGAAAAACAATGTCTGTGTTAAATGACACTAGTTCAGTTTTAAGTCCTGCCACTTGCTAGCTGTGCAATCTTGAATAAATTCATGCAATGATTCTGAGCTTCAGTTTTCTTATCTATTAAATGTGTTTATTACTCACCTTACTAGCTCAAAATATAATGGAGTCTCTTCTAACTTAAAAGTTAGATTCTAAGTAAATGTATAAAGCAGAAATATATGTGTATGTATGGTATATGTATAAGTACTTGCTTGGAAGTACCTTTAAATCTTCCATTAAGTATATGATTTTAATAAATCCAACACAGATAGGTAGAGACTTCGCATTATTACCTAGGCAGTAATCTGTTCCTGGACAGTTGGCATCATGGTTTGTTGGAACATTTTGCAGTCCTGGTGAGGTTCAAATTCCCTTCCATCACCAAGAAGGGGTGGAAAGGACAGTAATTGTCCAAATCCCCTAAGGATTGCCCTCTGATTCTCAAAGACATTGAGCAATTTCAAATTAACTTTCAAATCTGTTTGTGTAAACTGTATCCCTTTTCAGAAAGAACAATCTACCACATTCACTTATAAACAGAAACTTAAATTGCAACAGATGTTTCCCTTTTTGAAAAGGTTCTTGAATTCATTGACAGACCTTTGGCTAAACTGATGAATTAATTTGTTCGGGCCAGATTTCATAAATCCTCTAATAATTCTTCCCTTTACACATATTGACTTGATTTATCAGATCTACAGCATGTGGTTTAAATGTTTTAACCATTACTGCTTTAATCAAATACCATTTATTTCAAGGTTGGATGATGACTGACCATTGAAAGATATAGCTAACTAATAAAGTCCAATTTGTCAGTTAAGTAAACCTGGGTATCTAAATAATAAGTAGAAATTAGTCTATGTCACTGAATTTTGAAATGTTTGGCAGCTTTAATGTAACTCCTTCTCTCCCAGGACTTTGTGGAAGATAAATTTCTGAGTATTGCTACAAAGCTTGGGCATGCATGTAGATGCCATGCTTAGATGTAGCTAATTGAGCTTGGCTATACACAAGCCAGCTTTTAACTATACAAGTAGATTTGTTTATGGTGTGTTAGACTCTTTTTTAAATTAATACACGAAAGCTAAGTACCAATTTAGCATGGTTCTAATCAGGTTTTAATACAAAATTGAGCTGAGCTTTTCAATTTTATTTTTATTAACTCACAGCACTAAACTTGAGGTGAACCTTGCTTACCATAAACAAGTTTAAACTCAACTTTGGTAAAAAAAATTTCAAAGAGTATATATAAAGCTTTTTAAGAGTATCTGTTAGAAAACTTTATTTCTAGAGTCCAATGAGCTGAATTTCATCAGTGTTCTTTGGTGGTTAATTATCACAGGGCCACGAGAGAAACTCAGGGGATCACTTACTGGTTATACCAAGAATGGATTAAGTTGGTTATTTTCCTTTTTGATATGAGCACTGTCAGAGTCTAGGATTCCCATTAGAATATTGAAGTGAGAGTGGTCATAATATCAAGATAAAATGCCTTCTGTGCATTGGGAAAACCATTTGATTATGACCCTCTCAAACTTAGACTGGCTAAGTATAAGATAAAGGATAAAACACACGCAAAACAGCATCAGAATTACCTGGACGCTAGTTAAGACACAGACTGAGACAAGGGTGCCAAAATCATTCAATGGAGAAAGGTCAGACTTTTCAACAAATGGTGGTGAGAAAACTAGATATCCATATGCAAAAGAATGAAGTTGGACTTTTAACCTTATATCATATATAAAAATTAACTCAAAATGAATCAAGAACCTAAATGTAAGAGCATAAACTCTAAAACTCTTAGAGGAAGACATGGGGGAAATCTTCATGACATTGGACTTGGCAATAATTCCTTGGATATATCACCAGAAGCACAGGCAACAAAAGAAAAAATAAATAAGTTGGACTTCATCAAAATTAAAAACTTTTGCCTATCAAAAGTCACTACAGGCCGGGCGTGGTGGCTCACGCCTGTAATACCAGCACTTTGGGAGGCCAACGCGGGTGGATCACCTGAACTCAGGAGTTTGAGACCAGCCTGGCCAACATGGTGGAACCCCATCTCTACTAAAAATACAAAAAATTAGCCAGGCGTGGTGGCAGGCACCTGTAATCCCAGCTACTTGGGAGGCTGAGGCAGGAGAATCGCTTAAACCTAGGAGACGGAGGTTGCAGTGAGCCAAGATCGGGCCATTGCACTCCAGCCTGGGCGACAGAGCAAGCCTCTGTCTCAAAAAAAAAAAAGAAAAGTTACTATAAAGACAGTGAAAAAAATAACTCACAAAGTGGGAAAAAAAATTGCAGATCATCTATCTGATAAGAGATTAATATCCAAAAATATATGAAGAACTCCTACAACTCAATAGAAAAAGACAAACAATCCAATTCAAAAATGGGGTAACTTGGCCGGGTATGGTGGCTCACAGCTATAATCCCAGTGCTTTGGGAAGCTGAGGCCGTTGGATCACTTGAGCTCAGGAGTTTGAGACCAGCCTGGCCAATATAGTGAAACCCCGGCTCTACTAAAAATACAAAATTAGCCAGATATGGTGACCCGTGCCTGTAGTGTCACCTACTCTGGAGGCTGAGGCAGGAGAATTGCTTGAACCTGGGAGGTGGAGGTTGCAGTGAGCCAAGATGGCACCATTGTACTCCAGCCTGGGTGACAGAGCGAGACTCCATCTCAAAAAAAAAAAAAAAAAAAAGAGAGAGACGACTTTAACAGATATTTCTTCAAAGAATATATACAAATGACCAAGAAACATAGGAAAAAAGCTCAATATCATTAGGAAAGTGCAAATCAAAACCACAATAGGATGTAACTTCACATCCATTAGGATGGCTGCTATCAAAAAAGTAGAAAACAGCAAATGTTGGCAAGGATGTGGAGACATTGGAACACTTGTGTCTTGCTGGTAGGAATGTGAAATGGTGCTGCTGCTGTGGAAAGCAGATTGGCAGCTCCTCAAAAAGCTAACAGAGAATTATCCTGTGATCCATCAATCCCCATTCTCAGTTTATACTCAAAAGAATTGAAAGCAGGGACTCAAAGAGATGTTTGTACAATGTTTATAGCAGCATAATTCATGATAGCCAAAAGGTTGAAACAACTCCAATGGCCATCAACAGATCAACGGCTAAACAAAATATGGTATATACATACAATGGAATATTATTCAGCCTCGAAAAAGAGTGAAATTTAGATACATGTTTCAACCTAGATGAGCCTGAAAAACATTATACTAAGTGAAAAAAAACAGATACAAAAAGACAAATACTGTATGATTCCACTTATGTGAGGTACCTAGAACAAACAGACAAATTCACAAAAACAAAAAGTAGAATAGAGGTTACCAGGGACTAAGGATGGGGTTGGGGGAATGGGAATCTATTGCTGAATGGGTATAGAGTTTCTGTTTGGGATGATAAAAAAGCTGTGGAAATGAGTAGCAGTGATGGTTGCTCAATATCATGAATATATGTAAAACCACTAAATTGTACACTTACAAGTGGTTCAAAGGGTAAATTTTATATTATGTATATTTTACCACAATGAACACACACACACACAAACAGAGAGAGAGAGAGAGAGAGAGAGAGAGAGAGAGAGAGATTGCTGGGTCCTATTCCCAGAGTTTCTGACTCCGTAGGTCTGGGCTGGAGCCAGTTCTTTTTTCTTTCTTTTTTTTTTTTTTTTTTAGATGGAGTCTTGCTCTGTCACCAGGCTGGAGGGCAGTGGCGCCATCTCGGCTCACTGCAAACTCTGCCTCCCGGGTTCAAGCGATTCTCCTCCCTCAGCCTCCTGAGTAGCTGGGACTACAGGCGTGTGCCACCAAGCCCAGCTAATTTTTGTATTTTAGTAGAGACAGGGTTTCACCATGTTGGCCAGGATGGTCTCGATCTCTTGACCTCGTGATCCACCCACCTCGGCCTCCCAAAGTGCTGGGATTACAGGCATGAGCCACCATGCCCAACCCAAGAATTTACATTTCTAACAAGTTCCCAGGTAATGCTTATGCTGCTGGCCTAGAAACCACACTTGAAGAAACCACTCCTTCAGAAAATAGTTCTTGTCTCCCAAGAGGAGAAGGAATGCGAAAGAGGATTTTAAAGAAAGCTTCCAAATTGTGGCCAACTCTGATAGAAGATCATAGACACTTGAAACTCAGTGCTGAAGAGGATGCTGTAGTCATGCCCAGGCTCAATGGGAAAGAGCTCCAGGATGAGGGGGGCTTGCATACCATGGGACGGGGGAGGAATTGACAACAAAGATCCACATATTTATCATCCACAAGGTTGGTTGGTCTTAATCTTGTGCTTGTCGTATCCATTTTATAATACAATCACATTCGTACACTTGACTTTAATTTACATCACAGAGTTATATGTCTTTGATGCAAGACTTCAGCAAAATGGCCCAGCCAGGGTGTTAGGGTTTTCTGGCACTCTACCCATGGAAGAGGAGAGGATTGGAATGAAGAGAGGAAGGCACAAGGGAGAAAGCTGACATATGGAATCAAGTTGGAGAAAATAGTGGGAAATAGAAAAGTGTGTGCAAAGATTTATTGTGAATTCCTAAGTACTCAATTAAAAGCAGACCAAAACTTGAGAATTGGGTTGAAGGCTAAGGACTGTGAGTGGGGAAAGGGTGGACAATGCATTTTCAGGGACCAGCCCCATCACTGGCTCAGGGTTTCCTAGGCACGGCTCTTCTCAGGCAAGCTGTGCTGGAAGCCTGGATTACATCTGGAATTCAAGAACTCTCCCTGTTTCAAATACAGCCTAGAGAACACAGGTGGTCCACAGGCTGCATTTTTGCCACCCACAACTTTGGGCCACATTTAGAGGAGCCAGTGAAAGAATCAATCTGCTGAGTCAGAAGAAAATTCAACAAGCTCTTATCCAAATAGGCACTCGTACGTGTTGCCATATTAAAGATGCAAGTGGTCCCATTAGTAATAAACTCTTCAGACACAAAAGGCATTTGTGTCACAAATTCTGTACAAGTTATAAATAGAGGGAAAAGCATCTGGGAATGTGAAGTCAAGAGTCCTGTGTTTTGACTCTAGCTCAAGTGCAGACCAAAAACATAGGCGTTCACCTCTCAGTTCAGTTTAACAATATTTCTCAAGGATCTATCTGTGAGGCACTTGGATGCATGGTCTATAAATAAGACCAAGTCCCTTTCTTGAAAGTGCTTAAAATCTAATGAAGGGGAGGGAGATAAATACACAAATCAATGGATTCAAGACAGGGTATTGAAGATGTTATGAGAGTAATACAAGTAAAACATTGACCAAGTTAAAAAGGACAAAACAAAACAGCAAGTAAGGTGTTAACTCCTCCATATTCCATTAGAATACTCTTAGCATGCCCAGTTCCTGACACAAAAGTAGGCATTTGATAAATGGCTCTTTGAGTAAATTAAATGAGCATTATCTCTTCCCAGACCTAAACAGCCCACCAATGACCTAGTTTACAATTTATGCACTGTTAATTTGCCTAATTAGACCCAGTATCTACTTCTGTGCCACAAAATCATATGATTAGAGCATTAACAGTCATGAAACGCTTTATAGACCTGGACTTCTCCAATCGAGGACATTACAATCTACTAAATAAAGAATAACTTGAAGAGGGATTTAAATAGAGGAGGGTATTGAGAAAGCCATAAATTTAGTAAAAGAGAAGTTAAAATCGGCACGTGGGGTTCATAGCATTAAAGGACATGATTTACCTCTGAAACTCATGTTTGTTTCTACCAGATGAGCAGGAAGAGATTCCAAAGAGGAAAAGATGATTAGAAGTAGGAATAACTAGCTTGGGCAAAGTGGCAAGACCTCCATCTCTTTAAAAAAAAAAAAATGGCTGGGTGTGGTGCTGCACACCTGTAGTCCCAGCTACTCAGGAGTCTGAGGTTGCGGTGAGCTATGCTCATGCTCATGCCATTGCACTCCAGCCTGGGTGACAGAATGAGACCTTGTCTCAAAAAAAAAAAAAAGAAAAAGAAAGAAAGAAAAATTATGTATGAATCAATCAGCCAAGTTTCTCTTAGCATCCAATTCATATCATGTATCATACTTGGCACACTGACCCATTTTTGTAGGAGTTCAAGACAGAATGTTCCTGTGAATTGAAATTCTTTCATTTTGCACACTGGAGGGTCATTCCTGCAGATTAGGCTTCATGAGCTTGGCAAAATGGAGCCCGTGTTGCAAAGGAAAAGCAAAAGGAGTTGAGCTGCTTGGAATTTCTTGGCAGTGGAAAATCTTTTCAAAAACAAGCATCTTCAAGGCAGTGTTCTCAAAAGTTACGAGGTTCTACATATATTTTAGCAACATGCTTTTAAAGGAAAAGCCCAAGACTGATGATTTCTGTTCTACTGAAGAATACAATATATAGTTATGGTTCTTAATCTTACTGTGCAAAATTAATCTCACATTAAGCAGGCATGAGAACAGGGCCAGTGAAACTGATGCAGCAAAGAATAGTGAATAGGAGGAAATCAAGCGTTTGATAGAACATTGTGATATAATGTTGCAATGCAGGATTTCTTTATCTACTTCATAGTTTTTAAAATAATAAAATTACAATTCCTTTCACTCCTCTGTATAAGGTATCTGTGTTTAATGCATGACTATTTGACAAATAAGTAAACGCCTAAGCAACTAACATGCTGATATCACAGTTTACCATATAATTTATCAGGTAACAATAGGCATTCCTTCAGCCACTGACCAGGTGTTCATACCTGAGAAAATTGCCTAGTTTCTCTGAGCTTTCATTTCTGTCTTAGTTTGTGTTTCCCTTGTGGCACACCCTGAAGTAAGGCCCTTATTTAGGAGGCATGCTAGAGGCAGTTTGTCCTGGCTGAGGAGAGCTGACAGTGCTGTCCTTCCCAGATTCAGGGATGTCCCATTGAGAGCTTGAAACAGGCCATGGTGGGAGCATAGACACTGTGGAGACCAGCAGCTGCTTCACACAGGGGCTGTTTCTATTCCACTTGTTGTTTTCCTCTGTATTTTGAGCACTGGTTTACTAGCGTGCCGCTGGTATGGGAAAATCAGCAGAGGAGTGGAGGAGTAAGACAAGGAAGGGAAAGCCTCCAGTTAGGGGACATTTTAAAGCCTACTATCCCTAAAATTAAGCTAGAGATTACTTCTGTGAGGAAACTCTGAGAAATGTTATAGGACACATTGCAAATTTCACCTGCCTGAGGATAGAGGGAGCTGGGGTATTTATACACCAACTGCAATCTCATTGTAAAGACTGCTGGGGTGGAACGGTTGATTCCTCTGGCACATCTGCCTCCAGTGAGTGGGAGGAGTGGCCTTGCCCATCCTCAGCAAAGAGATGCAGCTCCCATCAGCCATCAAGTGGCAGGCCAGCACTGAAGTGATAGAACCCAGGAGTATGGGTGGGGCACCAAAACAGCATCTGCTACAATTGCTTTGCCCATAGATTTTAAAAAGTCAACCATCTCACATTAGCTTAATGGGAATATCCTAATGTAAAAAGTAGATATAATTGTATTATTTTATAGAAAGTGAGAAAGACAAGAGAAAGATAAGAGAAAGACAAGATGTTTAGTGCATCATCATCATCATCATAAAAATGACAATGATTGACAATAACCCATTGATCTAGAAAACAAGAGGAACAAAATTTTAAAAATCCCTAACAGAAAGCCTAGTTAATGTTCATGAATAGGATGTCAGCACTGGGGACCAGCAGTTTGCAAGGCCATGGAGTATACATTTTGGAGCATAGGTAAAGACTCCCACCTAAAATGACCTCCTCCTCTGGACCATTCTGACCCCTAACATTTGCCACTTTGGTTCCTTCACTGAGTGTGGCACATAAAAGGCCCTTGGTGTTGATGAAAGAGGTCACTTTGAAATAATACACGAACCCACAAGCTTTACCGAGAGCCTCGCCATGATGGTTTTGTCACAATGCTGGGTGCTAAGGAAATGGACAACAGGAAATTTTTACAGTGGAAGAAGATTGGAAACTATTCAGAGCATGGAATCTTGGGTGAGGATGACTGATAGAAATAGAGGCCAATGACTTAGCCGGGGCCAGATGATGTGCAACCTTATAGACCGGATAGAATTTAATTTGGATTTTATTTTCTTAGATGTGACATGATCTGACTTACACCTTAAAAGGATCACTTTGGCTCCTGCAAACAAAATATAAAGGGATCAGGAATGGAGTGGGAGACTAGTGGGAGTATTGCAGGAATCCAGGCAAGGGCTCTCAGGGTGGAGACAGTGAGACAGGATAGGGTTCAGACCCTGCTGTGAAAGTAGCTAGATGGGATTTGCTGAGGGATAGAATATGGGGTGTGAAAGGAGAAGAGAAATTAAAGATGATGCCGAGGGTTTTGGCAAAGACACTGGTTGGAAGTGCTAAACTTGCTGAAATGGAAAGACTGGGATTTGGGGGAGGATAGGTTAAGGGTAGCAGGAAATTAGTTCCGTTTTAAACATGGGAATTAGGCCTGGTAATAGAGATGTCCAATAGGCAGTGAGGAGTGGCCCACATTTTCCTCAAAGACCTCAAGAGTTTTGCATCTGTTCTGGTGTCTCAGAGTCCAGTACTTTAGAATATGCAAGAGATAACTTTGCCTAGAATTTGCAGGACAAGTTTTTTTGTTTGTTTGTTTTGTTTTTTTTTTTGTTTTGTTTTGTTTTTTGAGAGGGGCCTTGCTCTTGTTGCCCAGGGTGGAGTGCAATGGTGCGATCTCGGCTCACTGCAACCTCCGCCTCCCGGGTTCAAGTGATTCTCTTGCCTCAGCCTCCAGAGTAGCTGGAATGACAGGCACCTGCCACCATGCCCCGCTAATTTTTGTATTTTTAGTAGAGACGGGGTTTCACTATGTTGGCTAGGCTGGTCTCGAACTCCTGACCTCAAGTGATCCATCTGCCTCAGCCTCCTAAAGTGCTGGGATTACAGGCGTGAGCCACTGCACCGAGCCAGGACTTTTTTTTTTTGAAACAGAGTCTCTCTCTATTGCCCACACTGGAGTGCAGTGTCACTATCTTGGATCACTGCAACCTCTGCCTCCTGGGTTCAAGGGATTCTCATGCTTCAGCTTCCCAAGTAGCTAGGATTACAGGCATGCACCACCATGCCTGGCTAATTTTTGTATTTTTAGTAGAGATGGGGTTTCACCACATTGGTCAGGCTGGTCTCGAACTCCTGACCTCAAGTGATCCCCCCACCTCGGCCTGCTAAAGCATTGGGATTATAGGTGTGAGCCACTGTGCCCAGCCCAGGACAAGTATTTTTAATTGCTCACTCTCATAGGCTAAATTCTGTCCTCCCCCAAATTCCTATGTTGAAGTCCTAACCCCCAGTACTTCAGAATGTGACTGTATTTGGAGATACAGTCTTTAAAAAGGTAGTTATATTAAAATGAGGTCATTAAGGCTCTAATCCAATCTGACTGGTGACCCTATTAGAAGAGGATATGAGGACACAGACTCACAGAGGGAAGATTATGTGAAGACACAGGGAGAAGACGCTGCCTACAAGCCAAGGAGAGAGGCCTCAGGAGGCACCTGCCCTGCTGACACGTGGAGCTCAGGCTTCCATCTTCCAGAACTGTGAGGAAACAAATTTCTATAATTGAAGCCACCAAATCTGTTGTACTTTGTTATAGCAGCTGTAGCAAACTAATAACACTCACTTTGCCCATTAAAAATTTGAATTCCTAAAAACTGTATTTTTTACTATATGATATCTGTTTTCAAGCAAAATAATAGTCTGTTGGAATTGAACTCTCTACTTCTACAGAAGAAACAAACAAATAAATAAAATTGGCCTGTTCATTGGAATTATTTGTATTTTCCATCTGAATGCTAAAGCCTCTGGACTAACAATAATTCTGCTTTTTACATTGAGTGCTTTTTCTAATAACACTTATCCAACAAATTGATTGTTTCTCATGATAACTACTGGATTATATTATTAGAAACCATGACATTGACATGTAGCATCATTACACAGATTTAAGCTTAATGGAAATGAAAGCTAGGGCACTCTCCTATTTTATACCATAGAAGCTTGGAATCTGATTTTTATTATTCTAATCCACACTGCTTCTATGAGTGGTGTAACCAACCACATAGGCTTTGACAGAATGTTTGTATTCTGGAATTTTCTGAGATCATACAGGTTAGCCGACAGCATGAGATGAATAAATGTGAAGGAATGTTTCAAAAACCTTCTCAGTAAGAGAAAGCCAAGTGTAGGAAAAATCTGCAGAAAAGTGGTTGTCATTAAATGAAGGCTACTTAACCTCATACAATGTAGTAGATGAAGATATCTGCATCTTGTTGAGAAGAATTCTTATCTAGAGTAGGGACACTGATTCATGCATTACCGAAGGAGATGGAAAGTAGGTCTTCTGACAATGTGATGGGTGATATGAGTCCATTCTGAAGCAGCCATTCCTGTTCTTTCATTATGGTGGATCATTATTTAAGATCTAGGACCATAGCAGGAGGGAAACAGCTCTGGAGGCTTCACTTAGTGCCATTTTCTAAGTTATCACTAGTAATCATTTACCTTGTACTGAGGACGGGTAGAGGAAAGAGCTACCAGACTCCAGCAATGAAACACTTATAATATCACACTGGATCCTTCTCCTGCACCACTGTGTCCCCAAATCTTTATTCATTGGCAGGCTATGTGGCTGTCTCCCTCTGAGATTTAATTTATTTCTGTTTTTTAAGACCAGTTTATTTTCAAAAGTAAATACATTTCTGTTTGTTTTGGGAGTTTTCATTAAGAGGCCGACTTTCTTACTTTGCCAGACTATTTGTTCCAATCGTGTCTATTAAATCAAGAGAGAGGGTTGCCAGGCATGGGGTAGTCACAGCTTGCTTTAACTGTCTGTTAAACTGTCCATTAATCTGCCTAGCAAGGAAGCTACTCCCTTGAAATAATTGAATTGAGGCCCATGAATTCTCTGCTCCACCAAATAAGTTTTATAAACTTGTGGATGCCTCATTTTATTTCAGTTTCATTAACCTTTATATTTATTTTACACGCATGATTAGCGAGACTTAGGAACCTCAATGTTAAGGGTATTTTAAGTAGGAATTGATTATTTTTCAGCCCATTATATGGGCTCATTATAAATAATTCCCAAATCTGATCTCTTGATGAGAGATGACAGTGAAAGTCTCTTTGCACTTCTCTGCCAATGACCAACATTACTTTGTGATTATACGTGAATTTGGGCAAGTGTTTTCTTCTCCGAGTCCTCCTCTTCTGATTCCTAAAATTGCCTAGTTTTTCCACGTTGGTTACTTATTGGTAAAACCTTAGCAGAACCATTGCCCACATCAGCAATTTAAAAGATTGTTTGCCCAGAGTGTTTGCCCCGGACATGTTTCAGGATGATGGTCATGCAGTTTTGGTGTCTTAACTCCAAGAAGATGCAGAAATGAAAATGGTTACTACATTTCAAATTGTTGTTTAAAGATATGTTACACACGATTTTATAAAAATCAGCTAGGTACCCTGTGGTTGCTGTCTGGGCAGGAGGTAAGATTAAAGTTTTTCCTTTGAAATCTGTTATCATGTCAAACTTTTATCTTTTGGGTTTACTGGAGGAGTGAGGGAAGAAAAGTTCATGTCTCCAGAGTGATAAGAAAACTGTAAACATTTCTTTTTATTGGAGCATGGCCAACAGTTTTATTTTCCTAGAAATTCTAAGGCCTGAGGAATCAAAATTGATTTGGCTAGGAAACTCTGGTGGGTATGTGGGTTTTACCCAAAATGTAAAGGATGTGGATTCTGCCTTTGATGTGCCCTCACTCTCCTCCTCCCTTCAAATGTGGACAATTATGACGTCAGCAACTGGCCACAAAATACTTCCGCAGAGACAGGCTCTATCAGTTACTCTGACCAGGAATCCACAGTCCAAGATGGTGAGCTAGCATTCTATCAGAAAGGCCGCACTCAGGCATTTCTTACCCAACACCTTGGGGCTTCTTGAATTAGCATACTGAAAGTCACAAAATGAGTTTTTATTGGAGACAGTAGTGGCCTGTTGACTGTTATGATACATGCTCTAAATGAGCTCTGAATGGTGAATGTAAGATTTTCAAGAGGCTTGGATTGGCTAAAAGTTTTTTTGTTTATTTTTAAAAACTTCCCTTCCGTTGAATATAAAGGATGTAAGAATGTCTTCTGGTTCACTGTTTTCTCAGTGCCCGTCATATCGGTTTTGGTCAGTAACACCAATTGTTTGAATGGGTGAATGAACGAATGGTTTGCAATCCCATTTCTGTGAGGAAGCTTGATGGCCTTCCATCCAGGAAAAAAGAAAAGTAGCTCAAGTTGTTTAAATTTTCTGACAAAATATCAACCTGATAATCCACACACAGCACCTAATGCATAGGAATCTTTCCACCCAGGCACACACACACTCCTCACTCTCTGGCAACTTGGCGTTGAGTGGAACAAGAACTGGCAGTTCAGCAGCCCTTGCCTAAACCTGCTCAAGATCATTTCTGTTTACAGAAACATATTCTATGAGACATGCTAAGTTTGTACTTAAGGTTTTCAAACCCCTACCTCTATACTAAGTTAGAACTTTAAAAACTCTTTACAAGACAACATAATCTTGCAGAGATTCTTGTGTCATTCCTCGGCCGTATTTGGCATTGCTCAGGCAGAGTGAGCGAGTATACACTTTCTAAGAATAACCCATGTAAATATGTTCTGATTTTTTTTCTGTTGCTATTAAAGAGATTATCTGCAATGTTGCTCTAATACCCTTTGTATCTGGATCTTTTTGACAAACTGTACTTTGAGGTGCAGTTCCAGGAAAATGTCTCTCTTCCAATGAATTAGAGCTCTTCCTCATATCAAACGATGAAGGCCATATATCGTGTTTTCCTTTTTACGTTGGCTGCCAGGAAGCATTCCTCAGCTTTAGCCAAGGCACAGCCACAGACCCATAAAAGCATATAAAGCACATATCTCTGCATCTACCTAGCATGGAGTTGATTGCATATTTAGCAATTATTTAGTGAAAACTATCCATTTCAAAATCTAGATAATTCTATTTGAAATTACAAATATTAATGGTAACTAGTCAAAATATTTGAGGCTGTTGTGTGGAAAACCTAATAAAACATTAATTGGAAAAACAGAGATAATCATTTTTATCTAAGAGTCATATCTGATCTTTCATCAAAATTAATAAGATCAAGCCTAAGATTTGAAAGGTAAAATCTCAGTCGAAAGCCCAGCTTATATTTGATTTTTAAATTGATTTTAAATGGATTAACCCCTCTTAATATTATATATATAATAACAATGATTGCATCCTTTACCTGGATTAGTTTCTTTTGATATTGATCAATTTAATATTTAATCATAAATAAATATAATCAACATTCTTTTCTTCTTAGTCACAAAAATTACTACATGCTTTGGCAAATGGAAAATTATTATTATTATCATTTTTTATTATACTTTAAGTTCTGGGACACACGTGCAGAACATGCAGGTTTGTTACCTAAGTATTCATGTGCCATGGTGGTTTGCTGCACCCATCAACCCGTCATCTACATTAGCTATTTCTCCTAATGCTATCCCTCTCCTGGAAAATTATTATTGTTTTCAGGATTATGTTCATGTCAACCTTTTCTTTCTGCCTTCTACATTCTAATGCCATGTGTCAACCCCAAGCATAGGCTGGGTATACATGGATCTAGGAAAATAGGGATACCCACCTCCAACCCCAATCATAAAACTCAGTTTAAAAGAAAACCCTTGAGCACCTAAAACATTAGGCAATCATCATTGAAACTTCATAACGAACAAGCGCCTTCAGCCCTGTGTCTCTGAGGGTCCAGTTGTTTGGAGGATGCTCAGCTTTGGGGACATTGGATCCTGGGCTACGCGTTGGCTTCCTTGCTTTCCTATCATTCCCCGCTCTCTCCCGCCTTTCCTGTTTCACTGGAGGCTGATCCTCATTAACTTCATTTCCCAAAAGCTCTTTTACCAAATAGTTTCCCTTAGGTTTGGTGAAAGAGGGGAATTGGTTAGAGGCTTGAGGGCAGGAAGAAGGGAGCAGCCAGAATATTCCTCCCCATCCTCTCTGTAGCCCAGCTCCTGGGCTCTGCTGCTGGCTGTGGTTCCCACTCCGCTAAGTCTGGTAACACCACCTCCGTCCTGCGTCCTTCCCACCTTTAGGGTGACAGCAGCTTCCTAGTGTTGCCAGTATCTTTGTTTTCCTTACTGTCTTCTGTCTTCTTTTCCCCTTCAGCTCTATCAGCCCCTTCCTCACTGACCATTTTATTCTCTCTATTGAATCCTTGTTATTGATAAAACTCCAGAGGGACTCCCTGGCCTGGCTTCTGTTTTCCTGATTGGACTTTGATTTACAGGGTTCCCACCCACAGCCCAAGCTGGGTTCACAGAACTCAGCCAAACCTGGCAGCTTGAGAGAGTGCAGAGGGCCCTATTTTACAAAGGCTCAAGGAGCTTCTGAGAAAACAGCCTCAGGAAGGAAAGAATGGACATTGGGTCAGGGTCAGAGAAGAAGCATTTTAGCCAGAGGGGCCTAAAAATAGAGCTTTCTTGGAGGGTGTAATCACAGGCAGCAGGAGTAAAGGGAGGGGAGAAAAGGAATTGAGACAAGGAAAATGGATTCAAATGGAAGGCAGAGGTTTGCCGAGGTGACTACACCTTCACAAGGAGACACAGACACAGATGCCTCCTGGACAGGAGCCACAGAGCCTTCGGAAGAGTCTGTCCATGAATAAGAAGGAACAGGGGATGGAGAAGGGTAAGAATTTATCTGCTGGTTCCTTCCCACCTCCTGGTCTCCTGCCTCTCATTGTTCAAAATGTGCCAGACAGCCAGTTGTTGGGGTTGGGAGATGAGGACACAGCAGGGCTGACTGATGCTCTCCATCCAGCAGGTAGCCCTGGCTGAGGTGGGGTGGAATGAGGCTGGGAGCTGGAGTCTGCTACAGTGACAAGCCCAAACCCAGTGTCTGTCTCACTGATTTTCCTCCAGCTCAGACCTCACAGGCTCGTGCCTGAGTTGTAATGATCACATGCTACAATGACAGAGGGTATAACATCAAAAATTGTTCCACTAAAGCCTTCATGGGCCATTGAGGCCACAGGGTGTCAGCAGCTTTGGCCCCAGTAGCTTGGTCATTTCAAGAGATGGTCCTGGCATCATGGCAGGGATGCCTGGTTGGCAGCCTCTGCAGCCACTGAAGATAGTAGCATCAGCTTTAGCGGCAGGGGTTTAAGGGGCCCTGGGTTTTGGCCATAGCAACTTTGGTGGGAGACTATCCCAATGCAGAAGTTCCTGTGTGTCAGCAGCAATGACTGTGTCTGTGATGACTTCGGTGGCATAACTGATGCTCAGGGCATTGGCAGCAGAAGACACAGCTGGTGAGTCTGAGTGGGAGAGTGGGCCCTGGTGACCCAGCGGCCCCAGGGGATGGAGCACTCTGCATGGGTGACTGGCATCATCAGTCATCTTTTACCCTTAGGTGGGGTGGTTAGACCTGGTGTAAGAAGATTTTGCTTCTTGTTATCAATGCATGGGTCTACTAGGATGAATCACAGAGATACCTCTTCAATCCACCAACCAGATAGGTTCTTTCTATCAGCAATTAGAGGTTTGTTGTTTTTGTTGTTGTTGTTGTTGTTTGTTTTTTGTTTTTTGTTTTTTGTTTTTTTTTTGAGATGGAGTCTCACTCTGTCACCAGGCTGGAGTGCAGTGGCTCGATCTCGGCTCACTGCAACCTCCGCCTCTCAGGTTCAAGTGATTCTCCTGCCTCAGTCTCCCGAGTTGCTGGGATTACAGGCGTGTGCCACCACGCCCAGCTAATTTTTGTATTTTTGGTAGAGATGGGGTTTCACCATGTTGGCCAGGATGGTCTCGATCTCTTGACCTCATGATCTGCCCACCTCGGCCTCCCAAAATGCTGGGATTACAGGCATGAGCCACCACACCCAGCCCTCTTCTTTTTTTTTTTTTAAGACAGGATCTCACTCTGTCGCCCAGGCTGGAGTGCAGTGGTGCAATCACAGCTCACTGCAGTCTCAATCTACTGGGCTCAAGCATCCTCCCTCCTCGGCCTCTTAAAGTGCTGGGATTACAGGTGTGAGCCACTGCACTGATTCAGCCAAAACCCTGATTCTTCCTAAGCAGTGTTTCAAGGTTCCTTTTCCTGAAGCTCCAGTCATCTCGCCTGCATTCTTCAAAGCCCTTAGTGGTTTCATGTCCACAGCTCAGGGAGGCCCAACACCTCAGCCGGTAGTTCTAGTGTGTTGGAGCACCCAGCCATCATTGCCATCGGAACCTTGTTCTCTGCTACTCCCCTTCCATATCCCCAGTCCAGTCAAAGCAAAATGCTTGCTGCTTTGTTTCACCCCACACTGCATCAGCTTTCACACCTCTGCTCATGAAATTCCCTCTGGCTGCATTGCTCTTGCTCCCATTCCTTCACATTCAAACCCATTCCACTCTTCAATACCCAACTCAGTGCCACCTCCTCCACCAAGGTCTCCATGATCTGCCATATCTAACAACTGGACTTCGGGAGCCTTTTCTCTATACCACGTCTGGAATGTAGTGCTAGTATAGCTTGTGTCTTGGCTAATTAATGCATATCTTGTCCCCCATGTAATAAGCCTGTTAATTTTTGGAAGATTCCCCAGGGACCATGTCTGACTTCTTTGTACCCATCCAGCCCAGGGTTGTAAGGCATCTTGCATCTGCCTAGTGGAAGAATATGGACATTTTAAAAATGTTTAAAATGAAATGACTATGTGTAATTCTCCCTCTGCCACCGCCAAATAAGTTCATCATAGTGGGTAACAGTATCCCTGTCTTAATAATATGCTAGCATAATTTAAAGACAAATGTAATCACAGTCATAATCATAGCTTGCAGAATGTCTGAGGGATCAATTATCTTCCTATATTTAAAATCTATCACTCTTGGCTGGGTGTGGTGGTTCACGCCCATAATCCTAGCACTTTGGAAGGCAAAGTGCTAGGTGGGAGGATTGCTAGAGCCCAGGAATTCAAGAACAACCTGGGCAACATAGTGAGATCCCATCTCTACTAACATTTTTTAAAGATTAGCTAGACGTGATGGTGCACATCTGTAGTCCCAGCTGTTTGAAAGGCTGAGGTGGGACGATCACTACAGACCAGGTATTTGAGGCTGCAGTGAGCTATGATCATGCCACTGCACTCCAGCCTGGGCAACAGAGCAAGACCCTATCTCTGAAATAAATAAATAAATAGTAAAATAAAATGTATCACTCTTGCTCAGGTCTACAGCTATATGCACAAAACATGTCAGGGGCGTGCGGAATTAAACTTGTTAAAGAAAGAACTACCACGTTGATTGGAATATTAACATTAAAACAACAACTGAATGTATATGTCAAAAGGAATATGAACTATCTTTCATCCTGAATTCAGACAATCAGAAATGTTATTCTAATCTCTAGATATGTGAATGACTATTAAATAAAGCAAAGAAACAATCCCCCAGTGATAGAGAAAACTTACAATGCAGGACTTCACATTAGTGTAGAAACTGCAGTAAATATCTGTTATCTTGTTCTTGTCCGTTCATTAGTTATACACATATTTATTGAGCTCCTAGTAACTGTCAGTCACCTATGTAAGCACTGGGGATACAATAGTGAACGAAGTCCCTGCTTTCATTGTGCTTCTGTTCACAGGACAAAAACATAAACCAAGTAGCGAACACATAAGTGCAAAAGCTTAATTTTGGGTGGTGCAAATGTTATGAAGAAAACTAAGTAAGATCAGGTGATCTGGTGGTGAGAGACCGAGGTGGGTTCTCCTCTGGAGGGCTGGTCAGGGGAAGACCTCTACAGGGAGGTTCCTTTTATTCTGAGACTTCAGTGTCAAGGAATGAGCCACGAGAAGCTCTGATGCAGGTGTGTTCTAGGCAGAGAGGACAGCAGCGTTTCTAAACTTTCTCACTTTGACATTATCAGCATTTTGGACCAGATAATTCTTTCCTTTGCGCCACTGTCCTGTGCACTGTAGGACACTCAGCAGCATCCCTGGGCTCTGCCTGCTGGATGCCAGTAGCAACTCCCTCACCCCATCCCTAGTTGTGATGGTCAAAATGTCCCCAGCCATTGCCAATGTCCTGGGGGCCAAACTGCCCTGGTTGAGAACCACTGAGGTAGAGTGAAGGCTCACAGTCAAGATCAAGCTTGATGTGTCCAAGGAAATAGAGCAAGGTCAGGAGGTGTTTATTAATGCTTGCTTCCACTGTATGACAAAATCCTCTTCTATGATAATCATGTAGCAATCCAGAGCCATCATTATTTTTTATTTTTTGTAAGTTATAAAATAGCTAGCAATTTAAAAAGAAGACTTTTTTATTTTTGAAACTAAAAACTTGTCAGAGCCACATAGAAAACTGAATTGAAGTAAGTCAACCTCTGTTTTTCATCTTTGCAAGCATTATGGTATCATTGGATCAGATGCACACTGTGCCCAAAGAGAGCTTGAATGGTCACAAACTGTTACACACTTGCTCTCAAAACCAGTGTGTATAGTGGCACCTTCCCCGACTGCTGTGCCTGGGGCATCTCTAAATTAACTTCCATGTAAAATGCAATGTCTATTAAAGCATAAGTAATACAATATGCTAATTTAAAGCTTACCTATACATTGTTAAAATTCCATGTACATTCAGCAATAGCTTATAACTCAGACCAACAAATGCTTTATTTTTCAGGGAAGGAGTATTTTATCACTGAGGTTGTTTAGAATTGCTGGCTCATGGTGATAATAAAAATCATACCAACTGCGATGGTTTTACCAATCTTTTAATATTCTGTGGTCAGTGCACACACTTATAGCCCACACCTAGGGCCGGCCACTCCCATCACTCTGCCCCAGACGGATCAATGAAGGCAGGAGATGAGATCTCCAGTAGGCAGGGGCCAGAGCATATGCAACTTCGGAAGCTACAGTAAACACTTGGGTTTTCATTTTCCTTCCATTTTAAGTGCAGTGGAAAGTTGGTGGAGGGTAGGAAGCAGGGGAGTAAGATAATCTGAATTGTGTTTTCAAATCAAATCATTCTGGCCAGGAAGGAAGCGGGGAGACTGGAAGGGAGATTGACGTGGGAGTCCAGGGGATACCATCCTGCTGGCTGGGACCAAGGCAGATGCGTCCAATGGAGCAATGTGGGAATGCGAGTGGAGGCCGGATATGTTCTGAAGGTGACACGGGCAGGAGGGGCTGTAAATCTGGAGCCCAGGATAGAGGTCAGGGTTAGGGGTTTCATCTGGAGCCAGCGGCATATGCAGTTGTGTTTAAGGGCTCAGGCAGCTAGGGAGAGCGCGGCTAAGGGAGGCCGGCAGCCCTGCGATGTTGAGAAGCCAGCAAGGTGTCTGGAAGGCAAGAGGGAGCAGGGTCGGACAGGATGGGGTGAGGGGCAGGTGTGCAGGAAGAAGGGAGGGGCCACCGGGACAACCTGACAAGAGGCCAAGAGCAGAGAGGACAGATTGGAGACCTGGCTTTGCATTCTGGAGGTGATGGAACAGAAACCCACCTGGGGATGACAAGAGGCAGAGGTTGTGACAATAGAAAAAATTCTTTGCAGACATTTTGCTTTGAAGGAGAGCAAAGAAATTGGAGGAAGATATGGAATATTGATTTCCCTTTCTTTTAGTAGTTCATGAGCTTCTTTTGAGGAATCTCTGCTCTCCCATGCTCAGCACGTATGGTTTGAGAGGGGCTCAGGCCCTATCTCCACTGGTGCACGTGACCCAGCTTGGCCACGTGGAGCGTCACATCCCCTAGCCATGTTATTGGTTAAGAAATAGGCTTGTGACTTGAGTTGGTACAATCCTGAATTTTTTGGGGAGCTACAGGGGACATACTCTCTTTTCCCCTGAGTCTGAATTTCGGAGGATGTGCATCTGGAGCTGCAAGCAGTTACCACACGAGTCCTTAGAACAAGAAGAAATATTCTGGAAAGCAGAAGTGACAGAGAGACTCATCTGCACACTTGAGTCCCTCCAGGCTGCGACTCACTTACCTCTTGAGTCAGTAAATTTCCTTGTTTAAAAAACTTAAGTCAGTTTGAATTAAGTTTCCTGTTTCCTTGCAAGAGAAAGTGTCCTAATAATAAGAACCTTCTATAATAGCTTACAAAGGGCACCCGTACACAATTTCCTTTGTGAAAGGCAAGACAGGTATTGTTTTAGTTTCATAGGGCTGCCATAACAAAATACCACAAACTGGGTGGCTTAAAACAACACAAATTTCTTCTCTCGCAGTTCTAGATGCTACATGTCCAAAATGAAGGGGTCAGCAGAGCCATGCCTCCTCTGAAGGGTCTGGGAGAATGTGTTCCAGGCCCCTCTCCGAGCTGTGGTTGGCAGCTCCTTGCTGTGGCTGCATCACTACAGTCTCTGCCTCCATCTTCACATGGACTTCTCCGCATTTGTCTCTGCGTCTCTTCTCTTCTCATAAGGACACAGTCATGTTGGAGTAGGACCCACCCTCATGACCTCACCTTAACTTAATTAGATGTGTAGTAGGGTTTCTACATAAGTTCCCATTCTCAGTTCCTAAGGCTTAGGACTCAGCATGTCTTTGGGGGGAACACAATTCAGCCCATGACATTGTTATGATTATTCTCACTTTGCATATTATTTAGACTTTGCATAAGTTGCTCAGAATCATAGAGTCAATAAATTGTGGAATAGAGACGCAAACCTAACGACTTCAGTTTGAAGTCACAAATTCTTAAATGGTGGCATCAAATATTTCAGCTTTGATTTTTTTTTAAAGAGTGTAAATTATTGAGAGAGTTTCACAAAATGGTTATTTCTCTTAGACTGTGGAAATTGTACTACATTCCACGTCTGAGTGTGATAAACCTGGACGGTTATTCAGTCTTACCATCATACTTTTGCTTGAGGCCCATGTGTGATCCTTCCCCTGCCCCAACACCACCCAGGGGGCCGAGCCCACTCCTCCATGTGGGGTCCCTAGGGGACAGCTCTCTGCAAACACCCCGAGCACACTGATGTGCCTGTGCTTCCCCAGGGAAGCAGGAGTTCCAGCTCAAAGCCCGCGGGCCACGGGAGCACATCCTGAACTTGGGGTGGTGACGAAACATGGCTGTGCTGTGCCACCGGCTTGGAGATCTGGTGGATGTTAGTGTAAACCAGAAAATTTAAATCCATCAAAAAAAGGAACCGACATTACCTCAATCAGGCAATTTGAATCCTAGAGAGATAGGCAGGCTGAAAGAACCTACATTTCTACAATGCTGAACCCAAGTAGAGATTATGAACTGCGGCACCATTCTTAGTGTGTTTCTCTCTCCTTTTATTTTTAATTTAATTTAATTTATTTATTTATTTATTTTTGAGACAGAGTCTCACTCTGTCGCCAGGCTGGAGTCCAGTGGCTGATCTCGGCTCACTACAACCTCCACCTCCTGGGTTCAAGCGATTCTCCTGCCTCAGCCTCCGGAGTAGCTGGGACTACAGGCGTGCACTACCACGCCCAGCTAATTTTTGTATTTTTAGTAGAGATGGGGTTTTGCCATGATGGCCAGGATGGTCTCTATCTCTTGACCTCGTGATCCACCCACCTCGGCCTCCCAAAGTGCTGGGATTACAGGTGTGAGCCACTGCACCTGGCCTTCTCTCTCCTTTTAAGGATTGTACTCAGGATTACAAGATACTGCACATCAAAAAATGAATCCCAATATGTGGTCAATTGAGGAACTTGAAAATGTCATGCCAATAATAAAAGCTTGCGCACAATAACTGAAGTTAGAAGGAGGTAAATATTGCTAAAATATTGCGGATTTAAAAAGATAATCTAACCCTTTATTATTTTATGTGAGTCTCATGTTCCCAAAAGATAAAAGAATTTAGAAAAAGGCCAGGAAAAGTGGACAATACACCTAAAAGAACACAATCACCAAATTCTATGAAATGCATCCCCTTGAGGGGAGCTTGACCTGAAAATTGTGATTTGGAGTGGGAAAGGGTGTGTCTGAATATGTTTTCATCTTGTGGTCTTTGGTTCTCCTAGGATGCAGTGGAAGAAAATTAGGACACTGATAAAATTTTAAGAGGCATAGAGCCCCCGCGATATTTGAGCAGTGAAAACGCATGGTCATTAGCACAGGTTTCACCATGAGGCTCCCGGGAGGACTCCTGCTTACGCCTCCAGGCTCACACCTCCCTCCATCCCTCCCAGCCTTTGTTTCAAGAACGTCCACTCATTTGTAAACTGTATATTTTGTTGCTCTGTGTCTCCAAAACCCGAGCATATTGCCTGGAGCACAGAAGGCATACAGTAGATATTTGTGGCATAGGTAACTGAATTAATAAAAACTTAGCCATTCAATATAGATTGGATCCAATTTATTTTTTTTTTTCTGATTTCTTTGTATCATAGAGGCTAGGACTGCTGTGGTGGAAAGTAATCATAATAGCTAAATATGTAAGGAGCATGGTTTTCTTGGATAGTTAGAACATGCCCCGCTTTGTCGGACTAGTCTAATGGAGAACTCCAGGGCCATGAGGCTCACTCCCTGAAGAGCAGCAATGTGGGAGGAACTCAGCACTCGGAACCCCGTTGATTATTACCAGGAGTGGAGAAGCTCACTCACATTCTGCCATGTTTGAACACCTGTGTAGCAGGTGGCAAAACAATCAGCTCATACATCATTTTCCAAATCTTGAGCCCTACCCAAATTATATTCCCACAGGATAAAATATTGGTCGTATTTCCTAGGGGCTTCACGCCTGGAGAATAGGAAAGCCCAGGTCCTTTGCTGCCAGCTGGGACAAGCTCTGACGGGTGCCTTATCCTCTTGAGGTCCCTGCAAGATCAGGCTGGCGCCACCCCACGGGTCGCAGCCTGAGATAACCCCTGGTGTGGCTCTTCTCCTCCTCATCATCCTGCTTCCCTCACTCCTGCCCAGCCTTCCCTGGCGCACTTCCTTAGTAAACACCTCCTACCTCCTCTGTCCTCACCTTACAGATTTGTTTCTGGGGAACCTGACCTTACCCACATGCTTACTCTGAGGGACACAAAGCTGTGTGAGGCGCAGTAACAACCCCCAAGGAGCTTTCAATCCAGTTGAACTTGGCTTGAATTGCATCTGTGCTTCTTACAGGAGGGTGGGCCTTCAATAGAGCTAGACAGAGCCTGATGACACAGGCGTTTGGGAATCTTGAGGACAAACCTGTTTTTATAAAAATCTGCCTGCCTCGTGCATGGCAGCAGGTTTGACTCTGGCCTTGCTTCACTAAATTAAGCAAAAACAAGCATTATCAAATGTTTAGATTTCCTGGAGTCTCTGGCTTCAAGTAGCTTGATGATTCATTTCTGACAACCTCATAAAACCAACCTCTAGCCACGTCCAGGCTTAAGCTTTGTGGTGGTGGAGTGGGTTTTCCCTGTTGTATTTTTAACCTAAGAACAGAAGCAATGCTAGCCACACTGATAAAAACAAGTGAAGAGTTAACTTTCAAGATGACCACAGTCAGATGGTAGCGTGGAAGCCACCAGAGCCACTTAATCTTCCCAGATGATGGATCACTGCAGTACCTAAGTCTCTCATGTGGATTTCTGCCACAGTCCTCTGCACACACTCACTAAAGGGATTTGCAGTTCATGGGTCCAACACAGCAGCATGACCATTGGTTGGGCAGGGCCAAAGGCCCTCGAGGCAGAAGGGTTACCAGGAGAGTCACGCAGCCTTTACCGTCGGGATTTGTGAAGACAGTCACAGTTGGCGACAAGGGTTTTCAGAGTTCTTGGTGTTACTTCACCACCCTCCCCTGCTCTGAGCCCACTCTTTCCTCCCCTGTCCTCGTTCTTAGCTCCTGCTGTTGCCTCCTTTTAGCTCTCACACATTCTCCCTTCTTCCGGTTCTGCCCCAGATATTCTCCCAAGCTCTGTCCAAAAAATCACCAGTTTACCCCTTGAAATTATTTCTCAAGAACTATTTTCCCCCAAGAAGTTGCAAGCTGCTGCATCCCACCTTGGTGAGCTGAGAGCCTGGAGATCAAGACCTGGGCGAGCGGCCAGACCCCTCCTGGCTTCATGCTCAAGTCTTTTTTCAGACGCCCTGAGATCAAGAACAAGGGCACATTCTTAGTTCATGGCCTTTTACAAAATGCTACAGATAATGGAATTTAGATGATGCAACCATTTTACTTGGAGTAGAATGTGTTTTTAGCTGAGGGGGTTTTCAGGGGAAACACATTATTTAGGTTTAGAGGGTATCATGCTTGTCAAAAGCAATTAAATGGGACATAGAGCCCTCAAAGAAATGTTCAAATATAATCTGGACATGGTTTGGGTATCTGAATAAATGTAAACTTGACCAAGCCTTCTTGTTTAAGAAATATAGCCTAAAACATACTACTCTTGATAAAAATTGAAGTTACTAAAATGTTCTGATTTAACGTTGCTTCCACCGGCTAGTTGTTGCTTTATAAATGTCATTTGCCATGTAATTCCAAATGACTTTACAGACTACAGAGCATGGGATTATTGTGTCAAAAGGAGGCTTTCATGATCTCACATAAGCCAGAAAGACTTTATTTAAACTTACGTAGGAAGATGTATTGGTTGTTTGGCCCAAGAAGGTCTTATTTGAATGACAGCATTTAGGGGACCACATGACATTTCTATAAAACTAGACTAGAGTTGATAACAGATGAAGGATTAATTTGTTGTTTTTGTAGTCAATATAGTCCCAAACCATGGATATATTGCTTAGATCCACTTATACCATCAAGCCAGCCCAAGACAAAATTACTACTCTAGTTGTCTAGCATAACCAACTACTCCAAATTTAGTGACATAAAATAGCCTTTATAGTAGGCTTACAGATTCTGTGGATTGAGAATTTGGAAAAGACAGAGTAGAGATGGCTTGTCTCTGTTCTGTGGTGTCTGGGGCCTCAGCTGGGAAGACTGGAACAACTGAGGCTGGAGGATTTACTTTGAAGATGGTGTCTTCTCTCGCATGCCTAGCTGGGCTGCTCCAAGCCGGACTTACTGGGACTGTTGACCAAACCACTTACAAGTATGGGGCCTCTCCACGTGGCTTGGGCTTCTCATAGCACGGCTGATAGGTTCCAAGAGGAAACATTCTAAGAGCAAGTATTTCAAGCACAAGAGTCCAAGAGACTAGAAGAGATAGAAGCGGTGTCACTTTCTCTGACCTAGCAGCGGAAGTTATATAGTCACTTTCTTCATACTTATTGTCTGAAGCAGTTGTAAGCCCATACAGAATGAAGGGGAGAAGTCAATGAGGGGAGAGTAATATGTGGCCATTAAAAAAAAAAAAAACAACCCCACTATCATGGTTTTGGCAAGATGGAAAAAACACGAGATTGGCTTTGAAGTCAAATTCCTCTGTTTCTAAATGAGTGACCTTAGGCAAGTTACTTGACCTCTTCCTTCTTGTACAAATGTGGGTAAGTAACCACAACGTTGCTGTGAATAGGCACGAATCTGTAGTAAAGTGTATCTGTGGTTCATAAATGGCTGGCTAATGCTAGTCCGCTAGTACTACTCCTATTTTTTTTTTTTTTTTTTTGAAGCGGAGTCTCACTCTGTCGTCCAGGTTGGAGTGCAGTGGTGCGATATCAGCTCACTGCAAGCTCCGCCTCCCGGGTTCACGCCATTCTCCTGCCTCAGCCTCCCGAGTAGCTGGGACTACAGGCGCCCACCACCACACCCGACTAATTTTTTGTATTTTTAGTAGAGACGGGGTTTCACCATGTTAGCCAGGATGGTCTCGATCTCCTGACCTCTTGATCCGCCTGCCTCAGCCTCCCAGAGTGCTGAGATTACAGGCGTGAGCCACGACACCCGACCCTCTTTTTCTTTGTTAAAAAAAGTACAGTTTTATCAAAATACAATTAACGCAATAAGGTACATATATTTAAGCTGTACGATTTGGTAAATTTTGATGTATGAATTATACCCATTAAACCATCAGCACATAGAAGGCAATGAAAATATCTAGCAACCCCAAAAGTTCCGTCCTCCCTCTCCTCACGTCATCTCTCCTCGCTCCTCCTTCCACTCCTCATCCCTGGCAACCACGGACTCATCTGCTTCCCATTATAAGGCTGGGCTTGCATCTTCTGAAGTGTTGCGTGAGTGGAGTCACATAGCAGTACTCCTGTCTGACTTCCTCACTTAGCATACATTATTTCAGATTCTCCATGTTGTGTGTATGGTTCATCCGTAATTCTTTCTATTGTTAAATATTATTCTGTTGTATTGATATATCAGGTCATTTTCATCCATTCATTGTTCTTTCCTCTTCCTTTTTGTTTCTTAATCACTTTTGCCTCCCTTTTCGGGCAGGAGCATCCTTGATCTCCCTCCCATAGCGCCACCCAAGTCTGCCCTCACAGCACTGTTGAGAAGGCGGCGTCTCCTGGGTCCCTCCATGGAGGAGAGGCGTGCAGTCGCACCTACAGAGGCCACCTACTAGGTCACGCCTCAAGCCTGGCCTTTCCTCTCGGCTCAGCTCTGTTAGAATTCCAAACCTCCCCTCTTCTGACACCTGAGGGAGGCACTGACAGACATTCTTTAAGCCCTCAGGAATTTCCTTTTCCTTTAAAGAAAGAGAAATAGAATTCCAAGTAAGGGCGCTACAGGAGAGGATTTTCCTGCAGGATGTAATTATGTTCTTTCTGCTTCCTATCCTCACTGGGCATCACAGCAGCAGAGGTGCATGCGTTCTGGAAGGTAAAGGGTGCCTGCAGCACCGGCTTCTTTTTCTGCCACACATCTTTTAGCATGGGACCCACATCTACTCCAGCCCAAGAGCAGTTTCACTCATGGCCGGAGCCAAAGAACACACAGAAATCTCCAAATGCTGGGGGTGGTAAGGGCAGCGTTGCATCCAATTATGGTGAGAGAGAGGTGTCCTTCTTTCTCTTTTATTAAATTATTTTGAGATGAAGCTTCCCTCTGTCACCCAGGCTGGAGTGAAGGCTCTTTGCCTTCTCGACTCACTGCAACGTCTGCCTCCCAGGTTCAAGCGATTCTTCTGCCTCAGCCTCCCGAGGAGCTGGGATTACAGGTGCGCGATACCACACTCTGCTAATTTTTAGTAAAGATGGGGTTTCGCCATGTTGGCCAGGTTGATCTGGACCTCCTGACCTCAGGTGATCCGCCCGCCTCGACCTCCCGAAGTGCTGGGATTACAGGCATGAGCCACTGCACCTGGCATGTCCTTCTTTCTCTCTTGTAGTTGTTGCGATTCTCCAGGCCCCTGCCGGAACTCCTCACTGGCGTCCCTGCTGTGACCCTAATCTCCCCAGGCTCACCTCCACACAGGAGTCAGAGATATCCTGCTAGAAGCATATTGGGTCACCCACTCCCCACTCAGAATCTGACAATGGCTTCCTGTTGCACTTGGAGGAAAATTGAAGGTCCCTGCAATGGCTTACCAAGACATAGGATCAGCCTTAAGTCCTCAGACGGACCTCATCATCTGCCTTGCTGCCTTTAGAGCTGGCCAGGTGACACGTACGGTCACCCAGGACCCCAGCCTGGAGAGGCCCCACACTCGGGTCATTGTTCTGCTGTTGCCTTTTTGAAGGTTTAAATAATTTTTGAACATGGGACCCTCCATTTTCATTTTGCACTGGGCCTTGTAAATCTTATAGCGACTCCAGCCACATAGGCCTCCACTGATCCTCAGTCAGGCCAGGCACATCTCAGCTCCCTCAGGGGTTGGGCAGTGGGCAGCCCGTTCCCTCTGCCAAGGAAGCTCATTCAAGAGATGTGTACCTAGCTGCTTCTCTCGTTCACTCAGGGCTCAGGTCAACTGTCTCGCCAGCAGCTGGGAGCCACAGATCATTCTGTAATCCCAGAACTTTGGGAGGCTGAGGCGGGAGGATCCCTTGAGCCCAGGAGTTCAAGACCAGCCTGGGCAACATAGTGAGACCCCAACTCTAAAAAATATATATATATTTATATGTATATATTATATATATAGTTATATATTTTTTTTAGTAGTGGAGTGTGGTAGCACAGTCCTGTCATCCCAGCTACATGGGAGGCTGAAACGGAGGATCGCTTGAGCCCAGGAGGTCAAGGCTACAGTGAGCTATGACTGGGTCATAGCACTCCAGCCTGGGCGACAGAGCAAGACCCTGTCTCAAAAACAAAACATAAAACAAAAACAAACGAACAAAAAACCCAATGTCTCCCCAGAAGAGAAAACTTCTCTGACCACTATGTCATGGTGTCAATGCCCCTCAGCTCCCATGGCCATCTCCTTTGTTAAGTGCCACCTGTCTCAGCCTGGCTTGATGTTCTATAGTTATTAATTTAAAGTTGGTTCTTGTTTTCCCCATGTAAGGTCCTTGAGGGCAGGGACATTGTCTGACTTGTTAATTTCTTTTTTCCGGGGCCTAACACAGGGACGTAGATGTTCCTCAATACATTTTTGTTGAGTTAATTTTTACCTCCCAGCCATAGCATGAATGGTGACATCTCACCAGGAGCACGTTTTAATCCTATGAATTTGGCTGTGAGAGAAGTTCAGAGCACACATTTAAAGATACATTGTTTTATTTTAATTGTGGTCAATTGGCTTTTCTCAGACTACCATAAAGTCACATTTATCTTAATCTCTTTGCCTTTTTTTTTTTTCTCTCTCTTTCTCTTCTCCTGGTTTTCTATGACTCTAGTTCTGTGTTTTAAACATTTCAAGGTATGGAAAAGTTGAGATTTTTTTTTTAACTATGAAGAGAGAAGTCATGCATGGAGGCTCATGCCTGTTTCTCTCTTCCAAGAAAAGAAAAAGAAGAAAGAAAGAAAAAAGGAAAAAGAGAGAAACAAGATAAGGCACGGGAAATATCCGAATAACCCCCCAGATGGCTCTGAGCTGGACAGTCTCAGCTGGAGAGGGCGGCAGCTGCCTGGTGTCCTGACTACAGGTCCCAGGGCCCTGCCCCGGCCCACGCAGGGCAGGAATGTTAGTGCCAAAGGTGTCTCTGAGGTCATGTAGCCTAAACTCTAAACATTTTGTGTTCTTTCAGAGTGGAAACGATGTTTCAGGTTAGGAAAGAAAGTAAAATAAAACAAAATGGAATGGAGCAGAGAGGAAAGAAAAGGAGAAAAAGACAGTAGAGGGGAGGGAAGTGCAGGAAAAGGGAAGAAAAGAAGGGAAAAGAAACCATAAAAGGTATACCTGGATGATTCTGCCTCTGGGGGAGAAAATTAATTTCTTGAGATTACAAGGCTGCTTTGTTGTAGGTCAGGCTCCCAAATTTAAGTTTTCTGACTTTCTATTTGATATTAAATGTCCTTTAATAGACGAAATGATCATTGACATCTACATGCCCAATAGAGTTAGATATTTATTACCGTTCTCCATGTTCAAGTGAATTTTTCTAGCATTACTCATTTCAATGAGCAATTTCTGTCTAGGTCTGTGCCCTCTACACGTGGGCATCAGTGGCTCCACAGCCAAGCAGGCAGCAGATGGTGAAGGCCAGGTCAGTGAGCTGCACCCAGCCCCTCCAGCAAGCTAAGAGGGCCGGTCAGGGGTCCTGGCATACATCTCCCTCCAGTCTGTCTTTTTGCACCTGGGTGAACAGAAATGGATTAATAATAATCTTTGGTTCTTGACATACTCTCCCCGTTGGTCCATGCACGCCCCTCTACGTTTTCTATGGAGAATTTTTTTTTTTAATAATTGTATCAACTCCCATGGACTCACCAGGCAACCTGGAAACCAGAACCCTGACAACACCGTGCCTCCATCGGCAAGGTGCCCCCATCCTGGCTCCTACCTCCCCAAACCCGGAACTGGAGGTAGTCCCTTTCCTGGGTCTCGTGATGCTTTTTCCCTTTGCTTTAAAACCCTTGTCCTTTTTGAAATAGATGACATTCCTCCCTGTGTTCTCAAAAGGCATGTTGTTTAGTTTGGGTTGCTTTTAGCTGTGTACAGAGGTATCATGCTGGAGGTAATTTTTTGGTACTTGCTCGGAAGGAGGAACTGGCCTTGCAGGGGACCAAATCCTTCCGCATTCCTAGGTGGAGAGAGAGCCCAGCCACCATTCCCTGAATCTGGCCCTGAGCTGACCCAGCGGCCTAAGGAGGGCTGCCTTCCACGCCACCCTCTGCAGAGGGGAGCTGACAGCGCCGGAACACACGGGCCTCTGCCGGGGTCTGCTTTTGCTCGGATTCCCCACCTGTGCTCCAGGCAGAGCTTCCCGCCACCCACTTTGCAAGCCTGCTCGCTCCCCCACCTGTACAAACACAGGGCTTCCTGTCACCACGTGGCCTAGCAGCGCAAGGCCGCGGATGGGGAGCTTCGAGTTTTTAATTTACTAATGAGAACGATTGTAGACCTGGAAAACAGCTGTTATCCCAGGGGCCACGACACAGTGTAATTCAATTGCGTCTTTATGATTTCTGTCTTGTCCTTTGCAATTTCCCACAAACCTGAAACATGTTTGGCTACTCACTTTCCATCTCACCGCGATCACAAGACTTAGCACTCAGAGAGACTCTTACAGCATGGAATGGTTTTTACTCCCTAAGTACCAAGTGGGAAGTAATAGGATATGGACTTATTCATGCTGTCGTGGTGCAATGTAAGGACGCTGAGTCTGCAAGGATAGATAACTCATTTCCAAATAGGGTCCCTCCCACGTCCTCTGTCACCGCTATTATTAACCATTTTTTAAAAAAAGAGGCTGATGTGTCATAGTAGAAAGAACATGGACTTCGAAGTCAAGACAAAAAAATGAGTTCCAGTCCCACTTGTGCGTTTACCTGTTATGTGGCCTTGGACCTTGCCTGCTCTTAGTTTCCTGGTCTGTAAGATGGAGCCGGATACCGACTTCATAGGGCACGAGGAAGATGAACGGAGACAAGATGGGAAACAGCGTGGCTCGCACAGCCTGTAGGTCATGGGTAGCCTTAGCGCAGGCTCCCAGCTCCTCACCCTGCCTCCGCAACAATCCGAACACTCCCACTCTCTCTCCATTCTGATCCATTGTACACCACGGTCAGATGACTCATCCCAAAGCAGCGTCTTGTATATATCACATTTCCTTCTCTCCCCAACCAAACCACACCCCTAAACAACAACAGAAACCCTTCGAGGTTTCCCAATGCCTTCAAGATGTGCGAATCCTTTAAGTCGGCATTGATGCTCAACCGAAATTTAGAGTCCATTTACCGCCTCACAGGGGCCGTTATTACTCCTATACCTGAATCCGCTGCGCTACACAAACTCATTGCTCTCTGAGTGTGCCAGATTCATGCCAGGCCCGTCTTTTCCCCTGCTCCCCACGTTCATGCCGCTCCCCTTGCAGGGACTGCTTGCCCCTCCTTGGCATTGTATATTTTCTTTAAAATGCGGATAAAGTCCCATCTCCTCCTCTCCCATCCCATTGGCTATTTAATGTATCCCACCTTGCTTTGTTGTTAGTGACCTGTGTATGTAGCCAGCAGCGCCTGGCATAGGCTCTGTAGAAGACGTTCAGAAACGTGAGGTAATGACTGCAGGTATAAAAGCACAAATTTAGAAATGCCTTTGAAACCAACTGGAATTCAACTCATAACAATTTTCTCCCATGCAATTTTGAAATATCAATAGCCAGACTAAAATTATCAAGCTTTGAGTTTGTGTATTGCTCTGTGTGTGTGTGTGTGTGTGTGTGTGTGTGTGTGTGTGTGTTTAGGGAGCTGCATTTAGTGGTTTAGCTTCACTTTATTCAGCTCCAAGTGGGAAATAATTATCTTCACTTCTTTCTCCTGCTACTCGCAGCTGATAAGCTCTCATCAGACCACGCTGATTGTTCAAGCAACCAAAATCATACCGGAATTTAGGAAAGATAATTGAAGAGAAGATAAGGTTGACAATTGTTGACCAGTTTCCTCTCTTTAACTTTTCTCCCAGACTCCCTGCATAGTTTAATCTTCTGTATTTTGTGTGTCTTTTTGCTAAAGCAGCTTAGCCTGTAATTTCATCCAAAGCCTTCCAATGCCTTCCCAGAGCCACTTGAAGGCATTGGGAAACCTCAGAGAGTTTCTGTTGTTGTTTAGGGGTGTTGTTTAGCCTGTAATAAAATACACCAAAGAAAGTGGTCTTCTCAGAGCCCCCCAGCAGCTGGGGGGTGCTCTGGCTAGTTGGCAGTGAAGGACATTGAGGAAGGAGGCTCTGTTTAAGCTCTAAACTTGGCTGTTTAGATTCCAGGCATTCTTGATAAGTTATACCTAAACCAGTACTTGGACAAGGACCAAAGGATTATGCATCAGTGCCATACCCAAGATATTTGAGGATTCTGTCAAATTGAAGATTGACTAGTGTCCATGTGTAATGATGTAGTCAAGAGAATATTGAATTGAAGCAATTAAACAGTAATATCTTGAATTCATGTTTTTGAAAAGGCTGTTAACTAAGTGTCCATTTTTCTGCCCACCAGGAAGAGTTTGAAGTTTGAAATCCCAGAATGAGGAAATTCATCCAGCTTGGAGACTTCCAATCCCTTCATTGTGCAGAAGGTTGCTAATGCTCTCAGGAGAAGCCCTTCACCAAGAGAATACTTCCACATAGAGTCCTCTCCATTGAGACTAAGGAAACATGCTATGTCATGTAGCCACAGCAGCCTTTGCAGCTGTTGAAGGCAGCAAGACTTGCATGGCAATCAGAAGACACAGAACCAAGACTCATATCCAGTTATAAGATGGCAGATGGGACACACACTCATCAGGCTTAGTGAGCAGCCAATCCAGAGGGAACCATACTCAGCCCTAGGGGCTGGGCGCGGTGGCTCTCGCCTGTAATCCCAGCACTTTGGGAGGCCAAGGCGGATGGATCACCTGAGGTCACGAGTTCAAGACCAGCCTGACCAACATGGAGAAATCCCATCTCTACTAAAAATACAAAATTAGCTGGGCATGGTGGTGCATGCCTGTAATCCCAGTTACTCGGGAGGCTGAGGCAGGAGAATCACTCGAACCCGAGAGGCAGAGGTTGTGGTGAGCTGAGATTGTGCCATTGCACTCCAGTCTGGGCAACAAGAGTGAAACTCTGTCTCAAAAAAAAAAAAAAAAAAAAAAAGCCCTAGGAAGATTTCTTCAAACAGATGAAGCTAATGATATCCCCAGTGTGTTTGAATATATTGAGAGATCACACAATAGGGACACTGTTTAGGGTTGAATTAATAGCAAGCAAATGGGATGCTAAGGAAATATAAAGAATAAAAGTTCAAAGGGAAAACAAAATGTTATTCAAGAAAGTCAAAACATCCATCGTAACTTTTTTTTTTTTTGAGACAGAGTCTCGCTCTGTCACCCAGGTTGGAGTGCAGTGGCGTGATCTCAGCTCACTGCAAGCTCCGCCTCCCAGGCTCACGCCATTCTCCTGCCTCAGCCTCCCGAGTAGCTGGTACTACAGGTGGCTGCCACCACGCCCGGCTAATTTTTTGTAATTTTAGTACAGATGGGGTTTCACCGTGTTAGCCAGGATGGTCTCGATCTCCTGACCTTGTGATCTGCCTGCCTCAGGCTCCCAAAGTGCTGGGATTACAGGCGTGAGCCACCGCGCCTGGCTCGTACACTGTTTTATATACCACTTGCAGTATCATGATTGTATAAATACTAAATATCTATTGATCTATCCAAAACTACAACATAAGTATTTTTGGAATATGGAGGAGTGGGTGCTGAGTATGCATGGGAGAAGGGAGGCTGAGGTGAAGGTGGGAGAGAAGGAGACAGTGAAATATTCATCTTCCAAATTGGAAACTCAAATAGATAATGCCTAAACATGAAATATCAATAGAAATGTAATATTTAAACATATGGTGGTGCTTCTGGGAAAAAGAAAAGAGGATGGAGAAGACTGTTTGTTTGTATGTTTGTTTGTTTAAACAAGCAATATGGATGAAATTACAGGCTAAGCTGCTTTAGCAAAAAGACACCAAAATACAGAAGCTTAAATGAGGTAGGTATAAGTTTCTCTGTTTGATATGATCTCAAGAGAAGCAATCTGGGTTGGAAAGTCACCTTTATGATCCTCAAAACGTAGCTTCCACCTGTGGGACTAAGGCAGCCATTCTAGTTTTGTCTTCCCAGCCAGAGGGAAGGAGGACAGGGTCAGGAGAGCACATGTGCATAACTGATAGGAACATGCCCCAGAAGGGCCACACATCCATCGGTCAGGATGTGGGCATAAGGACCACAGCTGCATGGGAGGCTGGGAAGCATAGGGTCTAGCTGTTAGCCACGTGCTCAGCTAAGACACTGGAGCCCTGATATTAAAGAAGGTGAGGAATGATGCTAGTGCTCAACCAGCAGTCTCTGTCACATCAGCTTTGCAGAATCATTTGATTCTTTCAACTAGGTGCATATACAACTTCAATACAAATGAAAACTAAATATAAGACATGGTTCTTAAAAATCATCTTTTGTACAATTGAGGACACAATCAAAACCCAGACACCAGGGTCCTGAAGCAGAATGCAGGCATCCACAGAAGAGGCGGTGCTGATGGACTGGACCCCAGAGAGTCCACACCTGCTTGGTGCCATACCTTGGGTCCCTCCAGATCAGGATGCTCCCAGCAACTTTTCTAGGATGGTTATACTGCACATGCTGCAAAGATGAGTGGGCATCCCTGCAAGCCTATGGTTTTAGAGTAAATGGTTCCAAAAGAAGGTATGAAGCAGACCCATAGATGGGGATTAGTGCATAGGAGGTTTATTGGGGAGTACTCTTGGGATCAACATCTGTGAGCAACGAGAAAGAAGCAGGATTGAGCAGGGAAGAAGGTGGGTGTTCTGGAGCTGAGATCAAACTTCAGAAGTGTTGTGGCAAGGGGGCCCAGTATTGGTGAGTCTTTCAATGTGACTGCTCCAAGAACTCACAGCTTGGGGGTGTCATCTCAGGTGAAGTTGTTGTGTTCAGCCTGGGCAATTCTGGAGAGGCCTGACAAGTGAGGCCTGCCCCTGCAGAACTCCTGGCAGCTCAGGGAACACATTTTTCATTCCTGAGATGTTGCTTCACAGCATCTACTCTGTGTGGATCCAAGGAGCTGCCTCTGGGTCTCTGGGAAATCAGTCGTTTGAATTTGGATTCCAGCGTGTGGCTCTTACATTTCTTTTTAGGAGAAATCCAATAGTGGTGCTCTCATTATGATGACAGAGGGGCTGGGAGGTGCCAGGGGCCCAGCAGGGAAGTGGCAGGAGTACAGCAGCATACTGTGTAACCTGGGCTAGGTTTTTACTCAAGGTGGCTTAGGACAGCTTTTGAAGATTACAGGGAGAAGAACCTAAAATATAGGCAAACCAGATGATAACTACCCTGCTTTCATCTGTGCCTCAGGGTGATTAGTCAGCATTTGTTGGTTAACATGTCAAGAACCCTGTGATTTTGTCAAATATATATTTGGTCTTTGACTCCATTTTCTGACATACAACTCCTAAAATCCTTATAATCTCCAAAGTGATAGTGTCTTTTTGTATGCTTATGAGTTGACTAGTGGCTGACAGCCTCTATGTAGCTTCAGGACAGGGACTGGTCACAGGAAAGACCAAGGCAGCATTAGAGGGTCGGGACTCTTAGCCCCCTACTCCCACCTCCAGGAACCAGAGAGGGTGGAAAGGTTGTTGACCACCAATGGCCAATGATGTAATCAATCCTGCCTACAGAATGAAGCCTCCATAAAAACCCAAAAGGACAGGGTTTGGAGAGCTTCTGCATAGCTGAACACACGGAGCTTCCTAGAGGGTGGCACACCCGGAGAGGGCATGGAAGCTCCCTACCCCTTCCCCCGTATCTCCCTCTAAGCATCTCTTCATCTATATCCTTTGTAATACCCTTTATAATAAACCAGTAAACCTATGTTTCCCTGACTTCTGTGAGCCACTCTAGTAAATTAATCAAACCCAAAGAGTGGGTGGTGGGAGCCCCAATTTGAAGTCAGTTGGGCAGATGTTCCAGGGGCCCCAACTTGTGACTGGTGTCTGAAAGGGAGATCAGTTTAGGGTACTGAGCCCTTAACCTGTGGGATCTGAGGCCATCTACAGGTAGATAGCCTCTGAATTTTTTTTTTTTTTTTTTTGAGACAGAGTTTCACTCTGTCGTCCAAGCTGGAGTGCAGTGGCTTGATCTTGGCTCACTGCAACCTCTGCCTTCCAGGTTCAAGCGATTCTCCTGCCTCAGCCTCTCAAATAGCAGGGATTGCAGGTGCATGCCATCACGCCTGACTAAGTTTTGTATTTTTTAGTAGAGATAGAGTTTCTCCATGTTGGCTAGGCTAGTCTCACACTCCTGGCCCCAAGCAATCCTCCCGCAAAGTGTTGGGATTACAGGCATGAGCCACAGAATTGAATTGAATTAGACACTCAGCTTGTGTCTTCTGCTTGGTGTCTGGGGAAACCCCCACATTTTGTCACTGAAGTCTTCTGTGTTCACTATTTTTTTTTTTTTTTTTTTTACGTAAGAGCAGAGGAAAAACTGTGTGAGTTTAAGTAGTTGACTCACAAACCCTAATCTTAATTTAGGTTCCAGAATGGCCCAAGGCAAAGGTTTTAAATAGTCCTTCTCCATCTGCCCTAGAGGGTTTATTTGTTATCACAGGGGTTGTTAGAAGGAAATTTTCTTTGAAGAAATGAGTGATGCTAAGGCATGTAGTTGGCTGAAGAGACTTCCACTGGCACCTCCTCCCTTGATCTGGCAAACCCAGCAGCTGACCACCTTTGGAGTGACAGAATCTCTCTCTCTTTATGGATAGAATTCTGTCCTATGGTCCCCACCTAATGGAGAGCCACCTATGTCATCTCTGTCACCTACTCTGATGTTAAAATTTTGTTGTGACCACAACAAAGTAAATATTTCCTGCAAGATGCTTTCCAAAGTACCTAAAAAGACAAGAGAATGAGAGGAGGAGGTTGCATGGCTATTTTTGTACTTACCTCCCAATAAATGTTCGTGTGTATGAGGCAGAATTTGGTCTGAGACTTGCTTTCATTTAAAAACAAGTCCTGGTGAGGTAGTGGGAGGGAAAGGACCTAGACCTTCACCTCCTTCTAACTGCTAGAGGCTACCAATATTTTTTAAAAGAGCCTGATATTTGTGAATGGCTAAATAAGCCCAGAGATTAAGAAAGTAAATGATGCCTCATATTCTTGCTGGTTACATGTTCCAACAATCTGAACAGTAAAGATACCTGAAAAAAATGATTATCAACACATTGGTTTAGTGCAGTGATTGATCATAAAAGATAAATGATCCAGCTGTAGAAATTGGGAATATGATATATGATAATGATAGCAAGGCAAACCTAACCTGATTATTCTAGATATTCATTTGTCATTTACATGGTGTCTGCTACTGGACTTGGCTTTGGGCAGGCTCAGGTTCTAGAAGAGTCTTTCATGCCCCCAGTGATCTGTGGCATGGCTATGGACAATCCCTGGGTTTAACTCCTATGTGTGAAAAATCTAGAGGATTCTAGTGGCCGAACATACAGAAAAGTAAATCCAAAATCTAATCTTGCTTTGATTTATGTGGTTGGAAGCGGGGAGGTTTGGGAAATGCAGTCAGACAAAAGTCATCCCATCTAAATATTAAATGCAAGAGAATTAAAAGGAGACAGAGAATAGAAACCACTGTCAATATGTTGCGAATCTGACAACTCTGGGATTAGACATGATTTTCCCATGTTCCCTCACACAAACCCTCCATTCAGGCCAGGCCTTTGCTCTTTCTATCCCCAAGAGCTTGCCCACCAATTTACACCTTGGCTCATGAAACCTAGGTTGCCCTCCTCTATTCACAAACTCTCACCACCCTTCAGCTATCCCATCCTCATGTATAAAATGCCTCCCCAACTCCTGTTAGCCAGTGTTGATCTCTTCCTGTAAACTCTGTTAACTTTGCCACTTATATATTTCATACTTTTTCTTCTTGAGATTCTAAGTCCCACAAACATTTACTGGGGCAGGCGGACCTTGTAGTCTTGTGAGACTATGGACAGATGAGGACTGTCCATGGTTAGACATGATTAGTGAACAATCCTATACTGGGAAAACACATGCTTAAATGGGACAATACTGAAGTATTATTTGCTGCATTCTGGACTTCTTCCCTTAATCTGCATTTTTTTCTGGGCAAAAAGCCAGAATGGCCCAAGGCAAAGGTTTTAAATAGTTCCCAGGAAGCCACATTCAGACTGCAAAGGCATCCTACTGAAGGGGCCATGGTGTTCAGAAAGGTAGATGTCCTCTGGGTCTTGCCCTGACCCCAAGCACAAGGTCTTTCCCCTTCTGGAGTCCCTGCCGGGTCTCTGCTCAGACGTGGTCTGCCCTGCAGCTGTTGGGCTGGGAGCTGGAGGGCAGGCAGGCAATGGGTGGAAATCAGGGGAACGTTTCTCTTCAAAAACTGCTGTTTGAAGGCAGAAACCAGCTGTGCACCTTTCCTAAGGATTCAGGATGAGGATGTTGGGATTTGAGAAGATAGAAAGATCTAAGTCAAAAGCCATTTGAATAAGGTAGAAATATCTTTCTCCTGAAAGGAGGCTAAACATAGAGACATACCCCAAAGACATGAGAAAATGAGAGTCTTTATACTTGGTGAAAACAAGAAATGAAAGATGATGGAAAGATGCATGCAAATTATCTTCCAGCTTGCTCTTTTGAAGATGCTCGTCTAAAAATAAGATCACGTGGAGGAGAAATGACATGTCTGGTGCTGAAAACAACCCTACTGGGACCAGGAGATGTGGAGCAAAATGTATTCAGAAAGAGACTTTGCTCTGGAAACCATTGCTCACTGCCCTGCTGCCAAGGTCACAGAGAGCTGGAGCTTTGCTGCTGCAAAGCTGTTTACATACAAGGATACACAGGAACGAAAGGTCATGGGAGGTACTTGAGCCTGGAGTCTCCAAAGTCAAAAGACAATAAACACACCAACTTTCAGGGCTTTTAACAAGCACAATCGGGCCAAACAAATTCTCACTTTGGATGTAGATCCACAACATCTTGCAGCAGACGGAAATAGGACTGGGGCAAGAGTTGGTACAAACAGAAATACTAAGTTTATCACGACCAAAATAGGCAATGGAGGGTAAAAGCCCGCAACCTACTTCAAATATATCTGAACTGGTGTTAAAACTAAGCTAGCATTGAAGAGAGGGATAAAATTCAGGAGCAAGTTTCCAAAGAGACTCATAAGAACCCAGAGAGAGGAAAATCTTTTTCAGAAAATTCATAAAAGTTAATGAGTCGCCATTCTGATGTAACGGAGAGAACTTCAGTAATATGACCAGTGATGGAGTTGGTGTGAAATGCATAGACTCCACTATGACCTGACCGGGTATTTCCTCAGCAAATATTTGGGTATATTTAATTGAAATGCATTTGTGGCAAAAGTCAACTCCTACAAAAAAATTGTTAAAATATTCTTCCTGGAAGTTGTCTCCCAAAGTGACTCACATCAAGTAGTCTGAATAAATATGGTGAGACTTGGCACCCTCTGAGGCATCATTTGCTAGGAAGAAAATGCTTTTGAATATCCTAGAACTCTTGGAAAACTTACAGAACCATTGGCCTCATGCAAGCCCATTGTCCCTGTCCAACACACCCCCACATCCCCTTTCCCTCACCATCAGGCACGAAAGTCCTTCCTAAGTCGCAAATGCAAATCTAACTGACTGGCTTCCTTCTTACAGACCAACCACAGCTACTTGTCTTTGAAATTCAACTTCAAGGAAGACAGAAAAGTCTATTTTTAATCAGAGAAAAACCTCAAATTGAGTGCGAATTACTGCCTAGGCCCTGTTGAATGCACACTAGAATCACTTTTGAGATGATCACTAATTTTATGGAGTGATATACACCAGAATGAACTTCTAGCCTGCTTTATAATCAATCAGTTAATCAACAAGTCTGAGTGGAGCGTGTATGCTTTGCGTTATCTGCAGTGCGGCCTGAGGTTACGGGAGAAAAAAATGGCACTGTGTATTGCTTGAATGCTCAGGGCTGCGTTCAACTAATTTTAACCATTGAATCAAAATGATCAGGTAGAGGGCAGGAAATGTAGAATGGCTTGAACAACTACCTCATGAAAACATGCAGTATGCGTTTGTAATTCAGCATCTTAAAATGTCTCTTTTGGCAGTATTTCTTTACAAATGTGGCAAAGCATGATATCTTTGAGTAAATTTTTAAACTTCACAAAAGTTTCTGAAAAAAATATGTACAATCAAAGAAAAACACTTGGAAATAAATTCTGTCTATAGTTTATGCACATTTAATGTATTTTCTCCTGAAATCATTATGCATCAACATTTTTTGAAATTTCTCTCTCTTAGCCTTGTAAAGTCCTAATTCTAGTTTATCACACTTTGAAACAACTTTCCTTCTTTTTTTTTGAGACAGAGTCTCACTCTGTCACCCAGGCTGGAGTGCAGTGGCGTGATCTCGGCTCACTGCAAGCTCTGCCTCCCAGGTTCACGCCATTCTCTTGCCTCAGCCTCCCGAGCAGCTGAGACTACAGGCGCCCGCCACCATGCCCTACTAATTTTTTGTATTTTTAGTAGAGACGGGGTTTCACCATGTTAGCTAGGATGGTCTCAATCTCCTGACCTCGTGATCCACCCGCCTCGGCCTCCCAAAGTGCTGGGATTCCAGGTGTGAGCCACCGCACCCGGCCCTGAAACAACTTTCTATACCCAAACTCAACTGGATCCCAGAGCCAGCCTATTTCACATATCAAATTGAAAGAGTTCTTGCATGAGTGTCATTTCTATTAGACTAGAAGAGCTTACAATTTACAATTTATAAGTTATTTTAAAGAAACAATTAAATTTTGAAATTTAGCCCCCTTGTTGCTTTTGTTAGGACTGTATTCTCATAATTGCACCTTGCAAAAATAACATTTGCTAGTGTTTCTTCATGCTTAAAACTGTAACGAACATACCAATGTCTCATACTCCCACCACCTAGATAACTTTGATAACATGCCTTAAAGATTTATTCCCTTGCATGACAAAAAATTCAAGAAGTACAGAAAGTTGTAAAATGAAAAGTAATATTGTACTCATCTGGTCATTGTCACTCGGATTATTAGCAGTTTTTTAGAGCTCTTTCAGAAAACATTTTTCTTATATACCAACATGCATGCACACACACATATATACATACATATTTTCTATTTCTTTTTATACAGAAGATCATACAATCAGTACCTATAGTGCCTCGTCTGCCTCATTTTCACGTCTTGAAGAACTTCCCATGTTAGCACAAATAGACCAATTTCATTCTTTTTAACAGCTGCATACAAGGATACACAGGAATAAGACACCCAATTCTGTCAGATGCTAAATATATCCCACATAGTCTACAGTATATCTCAATAGCTCTTTATAAATAGACATATAAGTAGTTTCCAGTTGTTTTCTCAATTAAAAAATGCTAAACGAAGATCCTTTTATAGCTTGACTTTTTTAAAAGTAAGTTTATTAGTCAATTAAATTCCTAAAAGTGGAATTTGGAATTTGCTTATTTTTTAGAGAAGGGGTCTTGCTAAGCTGCCCAGGCTGGCCTTGAACTTCTAGGCTCAAGTGATCCTCCACCCTAAGCCTTCCAAGTAGCTTGGACTACAGGTGCAGTCTAAAAGTGGAATTTTTTAAAAACTAAGTTTTCCAATGTATTCTAACCTTTTCTGTTGCCTACAATTTGGAGGGCAAAGAAGCTTTCTAATTTTTTTCAGGTTAAGAAGGAAAAACAACCTGGAAAACATCAGTGACACCCAACGTGCTGGCCTGGCTGCTTTGATTAATTTCACATTCCAGTGTGGAGGTGTTAATCTTGAGAATACACTTAAGAACGAGGTCCACAGCAATGTTCTTCTCACTTCAGAATAATGCAAAATGAGCTATCTAGTAGGTACTGTGTCCGGAGTTGGTTCCTACCAGGTGGGTTCATGGCCTCTCACGAACCTTTGCAGTGAGTGTTACAGCTCTTAAAGATGGCACAGACCCAAAGAGTGAGTAGTAGTAAAGTTTATAGTGAACAGCAAAAGAACAAAGATCCCAGGGTAGAAAGAGACCCGAGCTGGTTGCTGCTGCTGGCTGAGGTGGCCAATTTTATTCCCTTATTTGTACCCTCCATGTTCTGTTTTTGTCCTATCAGAGTACCCTTTTTTCAATCCTCCCTGTGATTGGCTACTTTTAGGATCCTGCCAATTGGTGCATTTTACAGAGCACTGATTGGAGCATTTTTACAGAATACTGATTGGTGCATTTTACAATCCTCTTGCTAGCTACAGAGCGCTGATTGGTGCATTTTACAGAGCACTAATTGGTGCATTTTACAGTCCTCTTGATACCTACAGAACACTGATTGGTGCTTTTTACAATCCTCTTGTAAGACAGAAAAGTTCTCCAAGTCCCCACTAGACCCAAGAAGTCCAGCTGGCTTCACCTCTCACTAGCACCTCCATGCAGTGAACCAGAGAGAGAATTCATTAAGAAACATGGCCATTTAAAAATTATTGACACCTGATCAAGTCTTTGTGATGAAGTCACACCATCAAGAGTGTTCTCAGTCACGCTGAACATGCAAATGCCACTAAAGGCAGTAACCACCTCCAGTCTCTCTAAAGGAAGTTTTATATGAAGCCGTTGGACCTGGAACTCAACTGTAATCACAGAAGATTTCTTGGGAGAGAATAACTCACCCCTGTATAGCATCTAAGTGGTCCCCAAGACATGTATAATTTTACAAGACCTAGAAGTTGTATAATAGAAGCCAATTTTTAAAATCTTGCTTTCATTAAATGCAGAATGTTCATCCTATTGGGGAAAACTCAATTCCTTTGCCAGTATTAACAGCCAGACCAAACCTCCCGTATATCAGCACGGCGTGACAGATTCAAATCATGCCTTAAGTCACTAGGGTTGGGGAGAGATTGAAGGGGACTGTGTCCTTAAAAAGAACAAAATTGCTGACGTAAGTCTGAATAGAAATTTAATTTTAGGGAAAAGAGAAACTCCAGGCAAAGCTAGATTTGCTCCACTGATCAAGCCAGACAATTTTCCATAAAGCCAGATTCTTTGGTGATGTTCCTAAGAGGAGCAGACTACAGAGCCCACTTTACCTTTGCCATCTCCCAGACCCCATGCTCTGTACCCACAGGGTGTCCAAGGAGGAGAGGTCCCACACCCACTGAGACTGCCCCGGGCTGTTTGTGAGCACAACTGCATTCCCCTAGGTAACTGCCTTTAGGATTTTTTTTTTCCTCTGGGAGTTTGGGAAAACTAACACTCCTCAAGATCCTTGAATTTAATCACAGATAGGAAGCATCATTCCATCAGTGTACTATTAATTAGAAAATTAACAGTCAGAACTTGGGTGCATTAAAAAAGCAGGCAAAAAATACAGCCAATAATATATTCCTGCTCCTGAGGAATTTCCAATGAAAATTAGATATGAACCTTGAATAGCCAATGGGAATTTTAAGAAAACAAATGGAAAATTGCAGAAATAAATGGAGATATGTATGAAGCAGCATGGATTGAACTGCTTTGATTAGATGTGCTTTCCCATTTCATTCATTCATCCTTTTAACAAATATTTTTGAGCACCCATGCACCAGGCTCTTCCAGATAGAGGAATACAAAGATTTTACACATAAATAGTTCAGGTAGTGGTTTGAATTTAAAGTGGCTTTCATTGCAGCAACTGGAGTCCACCAGTAGGCTGAGAGGACAGAGCAAATACCAGGCAAAGACATAACAGATCAATGTTAAGACAAATAACCCAAGCTCAGTTTTTAAAATGTAATATAAAAACATGTACTAACATAATCTGAAAAAAATGACTTCTTTGTTATAAGAATATATTTTTCCCCAAATCCGAGAAACATTTATAAAATTAATTATATACTTGGTGCATGGACCTCACTAAATATCAAAAATTATTTTTTAAAAATGCAAATCATGTTCTCTGACCACCATGCAGAGACAGGAGAAAATACTTAAAAAATAAAAATAAAAGGAACCAAGGCCCATATGACTCTGAACCTCTGGATCAAACCTTACCTGAAGTCAATACAACTTTGGACTTCTTGGTTATTTCAGCCAGAAACCGCTTACCCCTCCTTTTTTAGAACCAAGCTTTAATACTTGCAATAAGAACATTCTGATATCAACATCTGAAACTACTCAGCCTAATTATAAATCAAATGTGAAAAAAGAATATATTTTCAGACCAAGTGTAGCTCTCATACAACCTTTCTCAGGCATACTCAAGGATGAGCAATAGCAGGATCTGAAACATAGTAAGTTGAACCCAGGAGAATGACAAAGGGAAGTTCCTGAATGCAGCTGTGCAGCAAACCCAGGAAATGATCAATCTTGGAGAGCTAGGTGTCCAGGAAGGAAGGATATTGTAAAAAGAGATTCCATACATTTGATAGTATTCTTTCGAAAATGGAAAAAATTTAAAGATGCAGTAGAGCCAATGATGCCAGAAAAAATAAGCAATTAGAAGCTCCAGGAGGAACAAGGAAAGGAAATAGAACAAGCATATTTCTTGGATCTGCAGTGAGTGCTATTTACATGGTCATAGTCACAAAAACACTTTATTGAGTTTTGGGTGTTTAGAATCAAAGCAATAACGCAGCACAGATGAATTGACCATTTCAGAGCAGAAGTAACATCAGCCTTGACAAAGCTGAAGTTGTCAGGTACAACATAAAACACAACAAGGGAAGTAAAAAGGAAAAACAGCAAAAGGAGGAGCTTGACTCTAGTGTCCTTTTGTTAGTACCTGACAGAAAAAGAAATAAAGCAACCAATAAAGGTAAAATAGTGATGAGTATGTGGAAGACAGGAGAGGAGTGAGCTAAATCCTTACTTATCACGGCAGGAAGTCAAGAGATATCTTCTTAAAGGGATAAATAAAAAAATAGGGGTTTGTACATATCATCTAGAGGTATTGAGTAAATTTGAATATGTTTTGAATCACGTGAACTAAAATCAGAAAATGTTACAAGAGTAACATGGGTGCCTGTGGGGAACTGAGATGGGGACTGAGATGGGACTAGGAACTGTGCTTCATTTTAAATTCTTATGATCTAATTAAATATTTAAACCAAATGTGTATTACCTTAATGAAAAGAAAGTTTCAATGCTTAAAAAGATAAATCATACTCAACCTCACTCATCAGTAAAGGAATTCAATCAACTCACTTTCAATTAGTTAATTTTACAAAAATATGAAAAATTTGATGATACCCAAGGTAGGTCAGGATGTGGCCAGAAGGTGGGGGAGAAATTAAAAATATTTTAACACTGGTGTAACATATACACCCACTACTCAGAACTGATGCCAGCCATAAAGTGCCAGTATACCCCTGTTAGTACCTGCCAGCTGAACATCAGTCTAGGGGACAGGTGTCCCCATTTGATGGGGGGATGTCAGTGGGTGCAGTTGTCCTGGAGGACATTAGTCATTGTTTTTGTTTTTTTTAAATAAAGTCTTTTGAAAATGTTTACTGAATTGAATATCCATCTAAGTAAAACATTAAAAAGGATATAATTGTAATAGTTTTATCAACATATAATTCACATATTATACAATTAACTTACATAATGTGTATAGTTCAATGGATTTTCATGTATCCCCAGAGTTGGGCACCCATCACCACAATCAATTTTAGAACATTTTTATCATTCTGCAAAGGAACCTCAGATCCTTTAGCTATCTTCCCTCCCAGCCACCCTCCTCCTCATACCTGGTCCCAGGCAACCACTAATCTACTTTCTGTCTCTATAGATTTGCTAGTTAGTCTGTACATTTCATATAGAATCATATGTGGTCTTTTGTGATAGTCTTCTTTCCCTTAGTATATGATTTTTAAGTTTCTTTTGTGTTAAACCATGTATCAGTATTTCATTTATCTTGTTGCTGAACAATTTTCTATTGTGTAGGTATACCACTATTGCTTATCCAATCATCAGTTGATGGACACTTGGCTTATTTCTATCCTTTGATTATAATAGTGCTATGAACATTCATGTGAAAGTTTTTGTGAGAACATATGTTTTCATTTCTCTTAGGTATATAGTAACAAAGAATGAATTTGCGGTGTTAAATGATAACACTATACTTAAATTTTTGAGGAACTGCCAAGCTGTTTTCCAAAGTGGATGCACCATTTTACATTCCCAACAGCAGTGTATGAGGATTCCAATTTCTCCACATCCTTGCCAACACATGTTACTCTTTGACTTTTTGATTTTGGACATCTCTGTGGATGTGAAGCCGTGTCTTCCTGTGGTTTCGATTTGCATTTCCCTGATGGCTCATGATGTTGAAAATCTTTTCACGTGCTTGGCCATTTGTATAACTTCTCTGGAAAAATACCTATTCAGATACCTTGCCCATTTTCCAATTGGGTTGTCTTTTTGTTACTGAGTTGTAACTGTTCTTTACATATTCTAGATACAAGGCCCTTATCAGATATATACTTTGTAAGTCTTTCTCCCATTCTGTGGATTGTCTTTTTGCTTTCTTGATAGTGACCTATGAAGCACAAAAGTTTGTAAAGTCTAATTTATTTTTTTCATTGCTTGTACTTTTTGCTCATATCTAAAAATTCATTGCCAAATCCAAGTTTACCAAGATTTAACCTGTTTTCTCATAAGACTTTTATAGTTTTGGCTTTTATAGTTAGGCTCTTTTTAATCCATTTTTATGTAATTCTTACATATGGTATGCAGTAAAGATCCAACTTAGTTTTTTTGCGTACGGCTGTCAGTCTGTCCTAGGACCATTTGTTGAGGAGACTATTCTTTCCTCATTGAATGATCCTGGCACTTCTGTTGGAATAAATTGATGATAGATGTATGGGTTCATTTCTGGACTCTCAATTTTATTATATTCATCTATATGTTTATCCTTGAGCTAGTTCTACACTGTCTTGATTGATTATTATAGATTTGTATTAAGTTTTAGAAATCAAGAGGTATGAGTCCTCCAGCTTTATTCTTCTTTCTTCAACAGCATTTTAGCTATTTGGGGCCCCTTTCATTTCCATATGGATTTCAGAATCAGCTTTGTCAACTCCTACAAAGAAGCCAACTGGGATTTTTTTTTTTTAAGATACGGTCTTGCTCTGTTGCCCAGGCTGGAGTGCAGTTCTGCAATCATAGCTCACTGTAACCTTGCTTGAGCAATCCTCCCATCTCAACCTCCCGAGCAGCTATTATTACAGGCATGCACTACCATACCCAACTAATATTTTTAGTTTTTTGTAGAGACAAGGTCTCACTATGTTACTCAGGCTGATCTCAAACTCCTGACCTCCAGGAATCTCCCATCTCAGCCTCCCAAAATGTTGGGATTACAGGCATGAGCCACCTTGCCTGGCCCCAACTGGGATTCTAGTAGAGATCTCTGTACAATTTGGAAAGTTATTACCTACCATGTTTCCTGATCCATGAGCGTGAGATGGCTTTCCAATTTTTTTAGTCTTTAATTTTCTTTAACAGTATTTTGTAGTTTTCAGAGTATAAGGTTTGCAGTTCTTTTGTTAAATTTATTCTGAATTTGTTTTCTTAATTTCATTTTCTAATTGTTCATTGCAAGTGTACAGAAATGCAATTGATTTTTATATCCTGCAGCCTTGCTGATTTCATTAGCTCTGATAGTTTTTTAGTAGATTCGCTAGGATTTTCTACATAGTAGATCATGTCATTGCGAGAAGAGATAGTTTTACTTTTTCCTTTCCAATCTGGATGTGGCTTTTTTTTTTCATTGTCTTGCTTAATTGTCCTGGCTAGAATGTTTGAAACAATGTTGAATAGAAAGAGCAGAGAGGACATCATAGTCATTATCTCTTCAAATTTAAAATTTAAAATGCTTTGACCCAGTAACCTCATTGTTGTCAAATTTATGAAAGTTCAACAAGACATATGTACAACTATACTTATAAGGGTTTAAAAACAGATGAAAAACTTAATCAAAATATATCAATGACCTAAGTATATGCATTAAACCCACAAACATCTAAGCAGAAAACATAGGAATACATCTTCATAACCTTGGATTTGGTAACTGATTCTTTGATATGATGCCAAAAGCATTAGCATCAAAAGAAAAATCGATAAAGTGAACTTTATCAAAATTAAAATCTTTTGTGCGTCAAAGTATATTTTGAACAAAGTGACAAAACAACCTACAGAATGAAATAAAATATTTGCAAATTGTGTATCTCAGAGGAGCTTAATATCTAGAATATATAAATAACTCCTAAAACTCAACAACAAAAGGACAACTCAAAAGTGGGCAAAGGATGTGTTGGGATAAATATAGACATTTCTACAAACAAGATATATACGTAGTCAATAAGTACATGACAGGACGCCCGACATCCCCTGTCACTAGGAAAAAGTGAATTGAAAACCTCAATGGGATGCTACTGTATACCTACTAGAGTGGCTACAGTAATTTTTTTTTTAAGGAAACTAACACTTGGAGAAATTGGAACTCTTGTACATTGCTGGCTGGCATGTAAAATGGTACAGCCACTGTGGAAAACAGTTTGGTATTTCCTCAAAATGTTAAACACAGAATTACCATATGAACCAGTGATTCTACTCTTCATTACACATCCTAAGGAAATAAAGGCAGGGACTTGACCAGATGCTTTTTTGGCCAATATGCTCCCCAGCACTATTCACGATGCCCAAAGGTGGAAACAATGTAAGGGTCCAACCGCAAATGAATGGATAAAACAACATGTGATATGTACATACAATGCAATTATTTTATTTGGCCATAAAAAGAATGAAGTTCTGACCCATGTAACAACAGGGATGAAGCCTGAATACATTACATCAACTGAAATAGGCCAAACATAAAAGGACAATTATTGTATGATTCCACTTATTGAAATATCTAGAATAAGTAAATTCATAGAGAGGGTAAGGGCCGGACGCAGTGGCTCAAGCCTATAATCTCAGCAGTTTGTGAGCCTGAGGCAGGTGGATTACCTGAGGTCAGGAGTTTGAGACCAGCCTGGCCAACCTGGTGAAACCCTGTCTCTACTAAAAATACAAACATTAGCTGGGCATGGTGGCACGCGCCTGTAATCCCAGCTACTCGGGAGGCTGAGGCAGGAGTATCACTTGAACCCGGGAGGTGGAGGTTGCAGTGAGCCAAGATTGCACCACTGCACTCCAGCCTGGGCCACAGAGTGAGACTCCGTCTCAAAAAAAAAAAAAAAAAAAAGTAAAAGTTACCATGAACTAGAGCAAAAGAGAAATGGGGGAGTTATTGCTTAATTGCCACAGAGTTTGTTTTGGATAATGAGAAACTTTGAAAAAGGATAGGGGTGATGGTGGCACCACAGCATGAATGTAGTTAATGCCGCTTAATTGTACAGTTGAAATGCTCAAAAAGGCAAATTTATGTTATATATATTTTACCACATAACAAAATAAAATAGTTAAGAAAAAGATTTAGTAGTGGTTACCTTCAAAAGCAATGAAAGAGTGAGATTTCTCTTTTGAGAAACCCCTCCTGCACTGTTTGAACTTTTATCACATATATGTGTACTTTTTAAAAGTCAGCAAGATCATCTGTATGTGAAATTGTGAGTTGGTTTTATCTTCTTAGATATGATTTCCCTTATTTTAAAAAAATCTATATGTTAAAAAACATCATTTTCTAGCAGTTTTCTGTTTCTAGAAGTAGAGACATCTTTTGAGCAAATTTTGCTTTGGTAAAATGACCAGAATGGGTGCCTTGAAAACATGTATAAAACAAGCGGCCGCTCATTAATCTTAGGGAAATCTAATCTTAATTATAGCTAATCGTAATTCAAGTCTTTCATTTACAGAGTTTGTTGTTTAGTTTATTAATTGTGGTGTAATTTTGAGTAGTACTATACTCTTGCAGATTTAGAGGGTATTTTTCTCCTAAATTCGAATTAAGGTTTGTGCTTCCTGGGAGATGTGTGTGTGTGTGTGTGTGTGTGCATATGCACGTGTGTCTGGTCCTCTGTACACATATGCTCCACTCTTGCCTTATGCGGGAGGAGATGTTGAACAGGAGCTGGGCAGGGCCTCTCACAGCACACCAGGGAGCATTATGCCAGTGCCTACACCTGGCGCTGGAGCACACCACCGATGCTCCAAACTGCTGGAAATGTGCCATTGTTTGCTGTGACTGCGTAAATGGGCCACAGACTAGCAAGAGACTGGATGAAGAGAAGCAAATCCCCTTCTGTCTCTGGGATTGAGAGCCTTGGCCTAGACCCAGGTCAGGGGGAACTGGTCAGGGGTGTGCCTTTTGATTGGAGGTATATTGACCTCTGTAATCTGCTCATCAGTTTTTATGTATCATGGCTTAGCCCCTCGACAACTTCTTTTTTTCTTTTATCTTTTTGTAAGGCAAGGTTTCTCTCTGTTGTCCAGGCTGGAGCGCAGTGGCATGATCACAGCTCACTGCAATCCCAAACTCCTGAGCTCAAGCAATCCTTCCACTTCAATCTCCCAAGTAGGTAGGACTCCAGCCTAGCAGTTACAGCTGCCTGATTTCTTTCTTTGTATTTTTTGTAGACACAGGGTCACACTATGTTGCCCAGACTGGTCTCAGACTCATGGCCTCAAGGGGTCCTCTTGCCTCGGCCTCCCCAAGTTTTGGGATTACAAGTGTGAGCCACTCTACCCAGCCTCAACTTCTTTTTAAGTGTTTTTCTATTTTCCCCACCATGAGGATTTTTTTTTTTTCATAATGCTGAAGCCCAGGAACTAATCTAGGAAAAAATAATTGTTCCCCTTTCCTTTCCTCACACCTTTTCTTTCTTTTCTATTTTTTTTTTTTTTTTTTTGAGACAGAGTCTTACTCTTGTTGCCCAGGCTGGAGTGTAGTGGCGCAATTTCAGCTCACTGCAACCTCTGCCTCCCGGGTTCAAGCAATTCCCCTGCCTCAGCCTCCTGAGTAGCTGGGATTATAGGCAAGCGCCGCCACACCCGGCTAATTTTTGTGTTCTTAGTAGAGACAGAATTTCATTGCATTAGCCAGGATGGTCTAGATCTCCTAACCTGGTGATCCGCCCACCTCAGCCTCCCAAAGTGCTGGGATTACAGGCGCGAGCCACTGCGACTGACCTCCTCACACCTTTTCAATCTTTCTCTCCCCATTCTCTTTATTCGAAAACATGAAAATCCACCATCAAGGATGGCAAAGACAGAATCACCCCACAGGACTGAGGTGGAGGCAAAGTAGAATGCCGCTTTGGTCTGGACTAGAGAGGAGACTGGGAATATCCCACATGAACGGACCTCATCTCTATGATGTTGACATAGTGTATAGTTCTTCTAACATAGCCTTTAATAAGCAGCACAAGTATCTTCTTGCCTTTTCTCCCTCTGGACGGTAAGCTCCTGGAGGCCAGGGACTTGTCCAGAGCTGTTTCTCCAATACCTGGCAGAGTTCATGGCGGACAAATGGGCATTCAAACATTGGCTGCATAAGTATTTCATGTTTCAAAAGAAAGTGACTTCTCTAGTTGTAATGGCCATCCAATCAGATGATGCAAGGGGAAATGATAACCGTTTTAAAGACCCAGAAATATAACACAGTTTTCAAAAAGACATTTCTTAAAGAAACAAAGTATGAGTAGGATATCATCTCAATTTTCTAGTGGTGTTAGAGTCACTTCCCTGAACAAGAAATGAGAGCAATGATGCAAATGAAATATGATTACAAACACATTGAATTCAAAATGTAGTGGTTCCTAGGATATCATGTGCAGATTCCCAATTTCAACATGTGTTGTTTAAATAAACGACAAAAGATCAGATCTTTTGTGACTAAACATTTATAGCACTGTATATTTTACATCTTATCTTCCCACAGCTCCCTCTTCATACTAGTTTGTTTTTATTGGACCACCAGCAGCAAATTCCTGCCATTTTATAACCTTATGACATTATTGTCATTGCTTTTAGCACAGGCACTGCTACATCTGTTAGTAAAAAAACTAAAAGTATTCTCTCATGAGTCACTAAAACACAATTGCCAAAACCAATTAAACTCGTGCCAAATATGACAAGTCACCAGAAGACTTTTAGCAATTTACAATGTTTTTGCTGGGAAAAGGAAATAAAGAAAAGAGAGAGGTACATTTGCATAACACTTTTTTTTTTCTTTTTTGCTAGTGAGCTTCAAAAGTTATAATCACTGAAATTTAGTAATGCTGACTACATCACTTTCTTCTGGTGTTTTTTACACTATCGTCCAGAGTTGATCATTAAAATTCTCGGTGGTTGGTCCTTCCCATCTCCACACTGCAAAATATTCCTATTCTTCCTGAGCTGGAGGTACTCACCAAAGATGAATGAACAAAGTATAGAAGAAGCAATGGCTGGATTTTAGGTTGAATAATCAAAGGATGGCCAGATATTTAACAAGCAATAAGGTAAACCAGCAGTGAAATTCTGCATATAAACCTGCCTGGGGATAGGAAATTTAGCTCAAATAAAGGCTAGGGATAGAGTTAAAAAGTGCCAACAGGAGAGGTATTTTCCTATCCTCACCTCAGCCAGTTCAAGATGAGTAACACATTGGCAGGACTTGGATACAGGACATCTCACTACATGTAAGCTTTAAGAGAAAAGAGTGTAAATTTATTACAGTGTGGAAAGTACAGGATTAACTAGACTACTCAATTGGCCTTATATCTTACCACCTAGATCTTTGCAGACTCATCCAGCAGAGAACTGAAGCAATTATTTCAACAAAACTGAGGCCCCAATATTTTTTTCCAAAATATTCTAAAAGTAGAGGAAAATATGTACTTAGTTAGACAATCAGTTGCACTATCCACATTTCAAATCCTGCATACATAAGTGTGGCTACTGGCTACCCTGCTGGACAGCACAGATACAGAACATTTCCATCACTGCAGAAATTTCTACTGAATAGTACTAATCAAAAGGATTTGGGGCCACAGTGGCTCATGCCTGTAAACCCAGCACTTTGGGAGGCTGAGGCAGGAGGATCACTTGAGCCCAGGAGAAGGAGGCTGCAGTGAACTATGATTGTGCAACTGCACTCTGGCCTGGGTGGCAGTGTGAGACCCAATCACATGAAAAAGAGGATTTGGGTCACTGAAAAGACAATAGAGAAGGAAAAATTCTTGGCTATTTCAACCTGTAAGAGGTGAGGAGAGTGAGAGAAGCCTGAAGATTTAGGAGTGTACAGAAAGGAAGGGGGAAATCAGGAGTATCAGAAGTCAAGGGAGAAAAAATTTCAAAAGACAGTAAAGAAACAAGAATGCCGCAGACATAAGTGAGACAGTCATTGAAGAGTACCATTGAACTTGGTCATAAGAAGATCATCCATGGCCTTCGAAAGACTCCAGATCACAGTGAGTTCAAAAATCAATGGGAGGGTATGAATTGGAACTGATGAGTATAGACAGTCTTCTAAGAAATTTAACTTTGTAAATAATTGCGAGAGTAACACTGCGCCTGGCACATCCTCTGTGTGTCATCTCCGAATCTGAAGTGTCCCTAACAAGGTGGCTTCTGCATCTCACGGCTTCATGTGGACCTAGAGATCTTATGAAAGTATCATGGAGCAAGATTGTCATAAATAGCCCCATAGCCCCACCTTGTTCCTTTGTGGTAACTTAAGCACTGGGAGGGTCAAACTCACTAAGTGTTCATATGTGGGTCTTATAAACTAAAAGATTTTTTTTTCATTTTTGGTAGCAACGAAACGAAAATAATTCAGCTAACTTTTTCACTTCAATGGAAAGGGGCACCTCACTGGTGGGAAGACAAAAGGTTATCATATTTTGCTTATTTTCCCCTTGTATTAAAGAAATAATTTTATTGGGTTTTTGTTGTTGTTGTTGTTGTTTTGAAACGGAGCCTCACTCTGTCGCCCAGGCTGGAGTGCAGTGGCATAATCTCGGCTCACTGCAACCTCCACCTCCCGGGTTCAAGCAATTCTCTTGCCTCAGCCTCTCAAGTAGCAGGGACTACAGGCACCCGCCACCACACCTGGCTAATTTTTGTATTTTTAGTAGAGACGGGGTTTCACCATATTGGCCAGGCTGATCTTGAACTCCTGACCTTGTGATCTGCCTGCCTCAGTCTCTCAAAGTGATGAGATTACAGGCATGAGCCACCGCGCCCGGTCCGATTTTAGTGTTTTATTTAATATTACAAAAGAAATACATTCTCATATAAAAAGACTTAGAAAACTCATATGAGCCAAAAGAAGAAGTTAAAATTACCCATTATATCTGTTTGTGTGCTTCAGCTCCAGGAGAAAGAAGCCCTGGCTTAAGCAATACAGACTACTACATAACAAGGAGTCCAGGGCCAGGTGGGTGGGTTTCAGGGCTGGTTTTTCCAGTGGTTCATTGATGTCATTAAAAATCCAGATTTATTTCATCTCTCTGATCTGCCGTCTTCAGTGTGGTTTTAACATCAACCCATTGGCTCTTACAATGGTGACAACAGTAGTTCAAGGTGTTACAACAAGACATAACCACATTGAAAGGAAAAAGAGAGACTTCCTCATCTCTTTTACAAGCAAGACATTTTCTTGTAAGAGCTTTCTAATGGACTCTTCCTCAAATTCTATTGGCCAGAACTGGGTGACACGCCCACTCCTTAACCAACACTTACAAATGGGTGGGATTCCTTTTTGAGCAATCAGAGAGAACCATGAAAGCAGTCAACTGCCCGAGACACACGAGTAAACAGGGCTTGGGGAGATATTGAGCCCAAAGTGACAAGTTACTCTAAAGGAAAGTAGGGGGGATGGACACAGGAGAGGCAATCAACATTATCCATAGCTAACAGTCTGCAGGATTAACCTTGGTTAACATCTGAATAAACATCCCTTCTTTTCCTGGGATTGTGTGTGTGCTTCTGGGCGTGTAATAGTACTGTATTTGCTCTCGTAATTTGGAGTTTTCCCCCTCAGCAATATATTGTGTCAGGCAGAATAAAGCTGTGAAGAAATTAAACAATACAAATAGAAATAAATACATTATGGAATTCTGCCATGCCATAAACAATCTTCTACAATATCATTTTAATGAGTACAGATATTCCATTTTTAAGAATATGGCATAATTTATTTACCAAAAAGGAATTAAAAATAAATATTTCCAAGTCTGAGATGAAAATTTTTATTTTAATTCTATGCACTGAAAAGATATTATAAAGTTAAGGTCTTACTTTCTTTGAAGGTAAGTAATAAGGAAGGAATCTTGTATTGACATTTATTTTAACAACTTATGTTTTAAATTAAAACATGACCATTGAAGCTGATGCTGTTGGACCATAGACCAAACTTTAAGAATCTAGGCAGGTGCGGCCAGTCATGACTATAGTCTCAGCACTTTGGGAGGCTGAGACAGGAGAATTGCTTGAGGCTAGGAGTTCAAGACCAGCCTGGAAATCATATAGTGATACCCCATCTCTACAAAAAAATTGAAAGCCGAGAATGCTGGCATGAACCTGTAGTTTCAGCTACTTGGAAGGCTGAGGTTGAAGGATTGCTTGAGGCAAGGAGTTCAAGACCATCCTGAGAAACATGGTGAGACCCCATCTCTACAAAAAAATAAAAAGTTAGCCAGGCATGGTGGTGTGCACCTGTAGTTCCAGCCACTTGGGAGGGTGAGATGGGAGGATTGCTTGAGCCCAAGAGTTCGAGGCTACGGTGAGCTATGATCATGCTACTGCATTCCAGCCTGGGTGACAGAGCAAATTCCATCTCAAAAGTAAATAGATAAATAAATAAATAGCAAGGATCTGCAGCAGTGCTGTTCAGTAGAACTTTCTGTGCTGATGGGAATGTTCTATAATCTGGACTGTCCAGTATGGTAGCACACGTGGCTACTGAACACTTGAAATGTGGCTACTGCATCTGAGGATCTGGCTGGGTTTTTTTTTCATTTTAATTAATTCAAATTTAAATAGTTACAACATGACTGACTAGTGACTACCATATTGCATAGCACAAAATCAGAGTGTTTCACAATCAAAAATATTCTCCCTCTTGCAAATCAAAATCACAATAAGATATCCACCTCACACCTGTTAGATTACCAAAAAGGCAAAAGATAAGAAGTGCTGGTGAGGATGTGGAGAAAAGGAAACCCTTATACATAAGGAATGCAAATGGGTACAGCCATTATGGCAAAAGGTATGGAATTTTCCCACAAAATTGAAAATTAGATCACATTTTAATCCAGCAATCCTACTTCTTTTATTTATCCAAAGGAAATGAGATCAGTATTTCAAAGAGGTACCTCCACTCCCATCTTCATGGCAGCATTATTCACCATAGCCAAGATATGAAATCGACTTTTGTGTCCAACAATTTGGATGAATGTATAAAGAAAATGTGATACATACACAACAGAATATTATTCAGCCTTTAAAAAGAAGGAAATCCTGGCTGGGCCGGGTGGCTCACGCCTGTAATCCCAGCACTTTGGGAGGCCGAGGTGGGCGAATCATTTAAGGTCAGGGGTTCGAGGCCAGTCTGGCCAGCATGGTGAAACCCTATCTCTACTAAAAATTCAAAAAAAAAAAAATTTGCTGGGCATGGTGGTGGGCGCCTGTAATCCCAGCTACTGGGAGGCTGAGGCAGGAGAATCGCTTGAACCCAGGAGGCGGAGGTTGCAGTGAGCAGAGATCGTGCCACTGCACTCCAGCCTGGGCAACTGAGCGAGACTGTGACAATATGGATGAATCAGAGGACACGGAGCTAAGTGAAATAAGCCAGATATAGAAAGACAAATTCTGCATGATCTCACTTACTTGTGGAATCCAGAAAAGTGGAGCTCATGGAAACAGAATAGAATGGTGGTTGCCAGGGGCTGGAGGAGGGAGAAATGGGAGATGCTCGTCAAAGGATACAAAACAAAGTTTCAGTGATGCAAGGTCAATAACTTCTGAAGGTCTAATGTACAGCAATGTGAATATAATAACAATACGGTATTGTATACTTGAAATTTGCCAAGAGGGTAGATCTTGTGTTCTCACCACAAAAAAAAGAAAAAAATGGTAACAATGTGAGGTGATAGATATATTAATTAGCTTGATTGTGATTTCCCACAATGTATGTGTATATCAAAACATCAAGTTGTGCAAGTTAAATATAAAAAATAAAGTAAAATAAAATCAGGCCAAATAAAAGATATTATTGTTAATTTAAAAATGTAGATTCTTCCTCGTTCTGAAAGGTATAGGTTTTCAAGTACTTCCAAAAGAGTAGAGGAAAAAGGAGAGAAGGGGCCAGAGAGAAATGAAGGTCTATTTGCCTGCACTGCATATGATAATATGCAGTATATCTCTAAGCAGAGATGCCGGCTGAGCTCTGCACGGACAGTGACAGGACTCAACCTCACCACCTGTGCCAAGTGGATCAAAGATGCTTCTTCCCACGAGCAGGGAGACTGTGCCAGCAGCCAGTGAAAAAAATGTTCTTTCTCATCAAATGAGGATGCTATAAAGTGCTGACCTGAATTGGGCTTTCCCCTTTGTTCTGTAAAGGGATGGAAGCCATTGAAAATGTATTTCCAGCTGAACTGTGGCTCATTACGCATTGACCTTGCATGGGGACCTTTTGTTCAACAGCAGAGGCAAAGTGGGCATGCCAGCCAGAGCGTAACTGTCCACCTATCTCTCTATGAAAAGTCTTTTTTTTCAGTCCTTTTTGGCTCTAGCTAACTCATGGCAGCAGTTGAAGCTTGGCAGAACTCTACCCACTGAATGAAGATCTGGTGCTGGAATCTCAGACAGGGCATGCTGTATTTACTCCACGCACACTGAAAGCCAAAAACTGTCTTCAGTTGGTCCCGTGATTTTTTTTTTAACCCCTTTTGGTTCTCTATTAGAATCACTTCTCCAGGAATTATATAAACAATATTCTGTTCATGAGTATTTTGTGATCTAAAGATCTAGGCCCTTGTCAGGAGGATTCCCTGGTGTCACTAACACCACAAAGATCTGAAACCTGTCTTCACTTTACATCTTTTAAGTGTGTCATAGCCAGCTCGACTCTCCCCAGGACTTCGGCCATCCTTTGCCAAGAGCAAGGGGAGGAGCCGGGATCTAAAGGCATCGAATGTCCACGGGAGGGTTGAGGAATGTCGTAGAGTTCTGATTGAGTGTCAACACCCAAGACATTCCAGAAGTGATATATCTGCAGGACTTAACATTTTTACTTGAAGCATTCTCTACAATTGAAAGACTGGTTCTACTCTAGAAGATGCCTTACGTTAAGTGAGGCACTAATTGGGTGCCAGCTCTTACTTTTAGGTGCTAGCAATGAACTAAGCCGACAAGACTTCCTGTCCTAGTCTGGGCGTGAGCCACCGCGTGAGCTCTTTGGGAGGCTGAGGAGGGCAGATCACGAGGTCAGGAGTTCAAGACCAGCCTGGCCAACATGATAAAACCCTGTCTCTACTAAAAATACAAAAATTAGCTGGGTGTGGTGGCGGGCGCCTGTAATCCCAGCTACTCTGTCTGCTGAGGAGGGAGAATCATTTGAACCCAGGAGGCAGAGTTGATAGTGAGCCCAGATCCCGCCACTGCACTACAGCCGGGCCACAGAGCAAGACTCCATCTCAAAAAAAACAAAAAACAAAAAACACCTTCCTGTCCTAACATCATCTTTCTGAAAACAGTTTCAGAATGTTGATGTTTATTTTTGCCAAAGGAAAAGAGTTAACATTTCCTATGAGAACTGAATGAGAACTGAAAAACAACGCTAACATTTATTATCATTTTTGTGTGTCGGAAGCTATAGAAAGTGATGTTACATAAATTATCTCAGCTTAGCCTGTAACAATACCATGTATTAGATACTCTATCATCTTCAGTTTACAGATGAGGCATAATAATATTGGGGAGATGATAAACCAGTGGACTCATGGCTTCAGCAGTGGGGGCAAGCCTGACGGACTGAGAGCAGAGAAGACCACTCCTCCGCACCCTAAGGAAGTAAAACATGCAACGTCAGAGCTCTGTCCTGACAAGAAAAGAAAGCCAGTCACAATGAAGGTGTGGAACTTAACCATCTTTGCTTGAGGAGAGGTTTTGGTTCTCTTCTGAGGGCTGTTAACAGGAAAGTAAACCACACTGTTTTCCACTGAAAATCATTTTGTGGCAGGGTTTAGGGCACAGAGCAGCTTCAGGATAAAGAGAGTGGAGGGGGAAGAAAGACCCTATTATTGGTGACCACAGTGTTCCTGGAGGCCAGTCTGCCTCTAGACTTCTCATGATGTAAGATAATACATCTTCCCATTGCTTCATACAGTATGAGTTGAAGTTTTGTATTGTTACTTGAAACTCCAAAATCCTAACTGCCGGCAACCCTGTCTTGGGGATGGCAAGCCACGCATCCTGGCCAGGGGCCCGATGGAAGACACTACTGAGGTTCAGAAGGGCCTGGGGCATCGGGGAGAAATGACATGAGGCCAAGTCAAGGAGGAGAACAGCCACAAACCAGGAGAACAAACCACAGGTTACCTGGAGGAACACCAGGCCCGGGAGCGGAGGAGCTTAGGGGCCAGATGACACTACCCAAAGCAGATGGCAGCAACCAGAATCCCAGGGCACCTCCCAGCCTGAGGCTTCTGCCCTCGGTCACAAGGTCACCGCCACCCCTTCCCCATTTCCACAGACCCAGGTGCCCTCTTGGGAACAGCAAGCTGAGGAAGAGGAAACATGAAAGACTGGGTTGCCCTCCCCACTCCCCTCCCTGGAAGACTGTTTAAACACGAAGTAACCTAAACTCCGAAAGCTGGCAAATTAAAGGAGTTCCCAACCACCTCCCTCCTCTTCCTGAAACTCATCCTTTCCAGCCACCCAGCAAGGTGAGGTTTGCAGGGAAGATTAGATACCTTTAGAAAATAAAGAGGCGATACCTTTTTCTGCCCCGCTGAAATAGCATATGTAAATTTAAGCTCCACAATATAAGGCCTACGGAAGTCTCAAGCGATGTCACTCTAAACCCCTTACTGGTCATCGCAGTTCTATTCCACAGGGGGTGACACATATCTGGCCTACCTGCTGCCTCTTTCCCCTATTGAGACCCATGGCGGGGATCACTGATTGATCATCACACTTTCCTCCTCTGAGCCCGCATAAGGCCTCAGAAGCCTTCTCATCACATGCTGCGTGAAACCACTACCAAGTGATCAGAGCTGAGAAATACATGGAAACTATTTGCAAACAGCAATTTGACGAATGCCAGGAATCAAGATCCTTGCCTTCATTCTTATTAGAAGGTAGTACTGGTGTAGCAGAGGCTCCAAGGCTCATTCTGCAGGATACCAACGCTCCTCCAATGCAGAGGGCAAAGCCTGTGGCACTTAGCTGTGCTTAAGGCAATCTGCATTTTCATACTGACTCCTTTTAGCTCAGCAACAGGCAAGCCTTTTATTCCCCTTTCCTCCCACCTTGTCCTGAGGCATCATAAAGCACACGGGCTCTCCTTCCAGGCTTTCAACTGGTTCCAGAACCCTAAGTAACACCACTGTTTTTAAGACACCTTGCAGCAGCCAAAGTTTAGCCTTCCTGGCGTGGGCTTTCCTTAGCTCTCGGTGTGGTTGAACATCTGACAACCATTTGGTGGAATAAGTGAAGGGATTAGAACAAGAAACACAACCTTTTGTTGACTTTTCTGCTGATCCATTGGAAATTCAGTTAGGCTCCCCAAAGCATGCCGATTCTTACTTAAATATTAAAAATGCAATTTCTGCAGAAGCCGGTTCCCACCTTGGAGGTCATAAAGGGCTGTCAACACAGGATCCCTAAAGGGAGTCCTCTCTCACTCTTGTCTTTGCCCAGCCACCTTTTAAAATTATACCAGAGTTCTTGAGAAGCCCAGATGGATGGCCTCAGCCAATGAGGTCATCTGTTTACTGCCCAAAACCGCCAGGCTGGAGGCCGCATGAGGCTGCTGTGTCACAGCATGGGAAGCCACCTTGCCCAAAGATGCCTTTGCAGGAACACCTCACTCCAAGGGAGTCAGATTCTACCCTCTCTATTGAAATCTGCAGTCCTTCTACAACCCACATGGTCAGGTTCTTGAGCATATTAATCTGAAAATCTTTAGACATCTCCTGGCCCTTCCATAACTCTGAAAGCTACACACAAACCTAGACAAGCTCTGGGAGAATTTCCCAGCCAAATGGGCATGTCCCCAAGGTAGAAGCCTCCTGAGATAGTCAAGGGGGTGGCTTTGGGGTCAGATGGCCAAGTTTGAATCTTATAGCTCCGTCACTTCTAGCTGTGTGTGACCTTGGACGGGTTTCTCCATCTTTTTGAGCCTCAGTGTCTATATCTCTAAGGAGCAGCATAGTAAAACTGGCTACTTGGATTTTTAGGATAACTGAGCAAAGCCAGGGGAATGAGTCTCTGTTCATGATTCTTGCATCCCTGTTCTCTCACCCTCCGCTCATACACACAGGTCAGGACATCTTCCAAAAAGAAAACCCGGTATCATTTTGTTGTCGTTCCTTTCTGAAGGGGAACAGGGTTGCTGTGAGGAGGAAGAGGATCTGTTTGCAGGAAACCCGGAGACACAGTCTCAACCTCGTGGGACTGCTGGGCACGCCGCTAATATATGAAGCCCCGCTTAAGTCCGGAGCTCCCGAGAGTGGCGATGCTGGAGCTGTTGAAGGACCCCGCTGGAGGAGGGGGCCTCCCCGTCCCCGCTCGGCCACGTGGACCCTGGGGCGGCAGGGCTCGTCGTGGCCAGGGAAGCCTGAACCCGGGGGTGCTATCGAGTTATGCTGCTGCATAATGAGGTTTTCACACAGGCCTCCTAACCGGCGGGAGCCAGCTGAACCGGTGCCCTCCGGCCGCGGGAGAGGCGGGGGTGGCATGACCGCCTCCCAACCCCTCCACCCACGACCCCGCGTGGGCAGCGCAGCTGCGCTTCCCCCAGGCCAGTGCGGTGACAGTGCCCCCCGCTGGGTGCCCCCAGCTTCCAGGACCCTCGTGGCCCCCAATAAGGAAGGGCGGGAAAGGGTGGGGACGACTGCAAAGCGAGCTTTAAATGCGTGTGTATAATCCTAGTTGACCCCTAAGAAGATGTTCAGTCAGTGCTGCTGTCCTCTTCTTTAAACCTTGGGAGGGCAGAGACTTAGTTTAGTGGCAAGCAGGGCAGGTGGGTGGCAGCTGCTGGGACCCAAGTCCAGGGGCATGGAGCACATGGTCCTGGGCGCAGATACTGGACGCCAAGAGCTGGCTGGGAAGGAAGAGGGGATGTGGGCCCGCCCTTCATTTTCCAGACGATGAAACAAGGCACGATTGCTGTATTCGCGGGGGAGTGGGCCTGGGAGCCCACTGTCCTGCCTCTCTCCCGTCCCCTTCCCACCAGCCTTTCCCAAACTGTGCTCCACGGAACACACGCTACTGGGGAGCCAGGGTGAGAGGAGTTCTGTAAATATGGACTCTGATCAAGAGGCTGAAACTGGGAAGGAAAGGCCGCCTCCCACAGGCTGCGTGCCATCCCCAACCACCGGTGGCTCAATTCCTGGGACCTGCGCTGTGGGTAACAGGAAGCCCAGAGGCGGAGGCGTGAGCTCAGCTCTGGGCTCTGCAGTGTCAGGGCCACTCGGACAGCCTCCCGTCTCTGTTCTCAGCGCCCCCACCTCCCCGTCACAGGTGGGTGGCCACCGCTCCAACCGCTCCAGGTGTCCTGTTCCCTCACCCTATCTCACGCAAAGGCAGCAGACTCTGGGGCAGCTCTCCCTGCGTTTCTCTCTGTATTTCCCCAAACTCCCAAAGCCCCCCTCCCCTTAAGTCTCACTGACCAGAAGGGCTGAGTCACATGCTCACCCTGTACTGATGACTGGCAAAGGGGACTACAGGGCCTATGATTACCACAGAAATAGGATGATTCACCCACTGGGGCTGGGCCCGGTCTTTCTTTCTTTTTATTTTATTTTATTTTATTTTATTTTTTTAATTGAGATCGAGTCTTGCTCTAGAGTCACCCAGAGTGCAGTGGCACGATCTCGGCTCACTGCAACCTCCACCTCAAGTGATTCTCCTGCCTCAGCCTCCCCAGAAGCTGGGATTATAGGTGCCTGCCACCACTCCCAGCTAATTTTTGTATTTTTAGTAGAGACGGGGTTGCACCATGTTGGCCAGGCTGGTCTCAAACTCCTGACCTCAGGTGATCCACCCGTCTTGGCCTCCCAAAGTGCTGGGATTACAGGCGTGAGCCACTGCAGCTGGCCCTGTGTTTCTTGAACAAAATCATAGTTCTGATCGCAAAAAAAGGAGAAACAGTTATTCAGAAGATACCAATGGGGTCCGCCATGACATAGTTTTTCACTTTGGGACTTCTGAGTGCCTTTCCATGTGTATGTGCACTGTCCATCTCAAGAGGTGAAGTTCACATGCAGCTTCCTAAACTCAGTTGACCACAGAACCCCTCTGTCACCAAGCATCTTCTGAGACTTGTGTTCTATGAACACACTTTGGGAAACACTGCCCAATGCGTCCTCTCAGGGTTTCCCTTCTTAATTTGTGTGACATCACTTTTAGGCTAGACAGAAACCTTCTCTTCAGCCTTGAGTAAACACCATTTCCATAAATGTCTGTCTCCTTGTTTTTTTTAAGTCACTCCCTGTCCAAGTCAAACCTGGATTCTGAATGACAATTTTTCTGTTTCAGCCAAAAGCCTTGCATTTAGACATTCATCCTCAAATATTTTCAGTCCCTACAAAACTCTTCAAAGGTTTAAAACACACACACACACACACACACACAGTGAAGTCCTGAACCTAAATTCCAGCAGCTGTTCTAAAATGTTTTAACAACTCCATCCACCCATGAATACCATGTTCACCCTTACAGGAGGTTCTGTGTGTTTCTGTGTTTTCTCTCTAACTAATTACATGTTTAAGGTTCCTTTCTTCCAGGAGCCTGAACGTGGTGTACACTCAAAAATAGCTGCTACAAGTTCTGTAGCTCAGGATTAAAGGAAAACTTACGTTTGCAGTGAATTTGCAAAATGTTCTCATTCTCTGCGTGATAATTCTGAACTACTGTAGCTCCCACTTCCAGAGCTGTGTCCAGGAGCTGTGCAAAGCATCTCGCCTGCATTATATCCATTCTTTTTTTTTTTTTTTTTTTTTTTATTGACACAGAGTCTCACTATGTCGCCAGGCTGGAGTGCAGTGGTGCACAATCTTGGATCACTGCAACTGCTGCCTCCCGGGTTCAAGCGATTCTCCTGCCTCAGCCTCCTGAGTAGCTGGGATTACAGGTGTGCGCCAGCACACCCAGCTAATTTTTGTATTTTTAGAAGAGACGGGGTTTCACCATGTTGGCCAGGATGTTCTCAATCTCTTGACCTCGTGATCTGCCTGCCTCAGCCTCCCAAAGTGCTGGGATTACAGGTGTGAGCCACTGCACCCGGCCCATTATATCCATTCTTACACGAAGCTGCAAGACAGGCATTCCTATCATCTATCATCCCCAATTTTACAAATGAGAACAGAGTTTGGGGAGGCAAACCCAGGCCAATCTGATTCTGAAGCCTACGTTCCCAACACTAGCTCATTGTAAGATTATCTGCCAGTTTCTGGGGGAAATTTGGGGTGAAACCTTTCTTCTTAGGAAGTGAACCTGGGTGCAACACCTCCCTTTATGAAGTTATAACCACGTAACTAGTAAAATTCGCTCATTGGTTGTATAGAATTTCTACTTCTACTTTTTAAAGTCTAGACTTGACGCAAATTGCAAAAAGTGTAACCAACCTCTCCCTGGGAAGATTTGGTGTTTTGTGTGTGAGTGTGTGTGTGTGTGTGTGTGTGTGTGTGTGTGCATGTATTGGGGGGAAGAAGAGGAAGGGCAAGAATCACATCGTTCCCCTGATAAGTCAAATTAACTTAAAATGTACATTAGGAGCAATCTTGTCTGATGATTTCAAAGCAGGAGAGCACTACTCCTACTTATTAAAAAAAATAAAAATATTTAAATCCAATGTGTTTTGAACATTTCCTAAATGGGAGACATAGTGCTATGTGCTGTACTTATTTTTTCCAAGTTCTTGCAACCATCCTGAAATGTGGGTGTCATTGCTCGAATTTAATAAATCAAGAAACCACAGTTTCAAGAACTTAATCGAGTAAGCTGACGTCACAAAGCTAGATTTGGCAATAAATATGATGGAGTTGAAAAACAAAGGGTGATTACAGAAAGAAGAGTCCTGGCCTAGCTTTGAACTGGCCACAGTAGTTAAAGCCACCTACCAGGTACGGTAGACTCTCTGAGGCACTGACTAGCAGAAAAGGGCCAAGACACGAGGTCTGAACAGTGATGCTGTGATCTCTTCAGCTTGGGTGCAAGACTGGGCAGGATCAGCCTGGCCTGGAACATGTCTGTACATTCAGGCTAAGACACCGGAATCTCTGAAGGGTCACTTGCTTCCTTGGTTGCTCATCTGCAAAGAAGGGCAGTCATCGCTGCCTGCTTGTTCAGGTGATGAGGTGCTTGCCTTGTGAATTAACAAGGCTTATAAGTTACTGTGAGCGCCTTTGAGAAAGGTGCCATTCCACCCGAAGCATTGTTGGACTGTTACTCTTTTTGCTTTTGTTATTCAGCCTGTATTATTAAAATATAGTCTGAAATGTCAGCTTAAATTAAAAGATCCTTTCAATGGATCATTTAAAATGCCCATTGTCTTGATTTCTGGAGAAACTTTGTCTGTGCCACAAAATCTCTTAAAGGAAAAAAAAAAGAAAAAACAGAAGTAAATTCAAGTCGACTTGGTGAAATAAAAGAGAATGTCTTTTCATAGGGCCATGCTTAGGGTTGGCCGCTTTTAAGATGTTTCAAGGGATTTTCTTTCTTTCTTTCTTTCTTTTTTCTTCTTCCCAAACTACCTTCTTTGTTTAGGGGTCCCTATTTGCCCTCCTGCCTTTTCTACAGTGTCACTTATTGCTTTGCCAGAGACTAACTGAATGTGAGGACACAAAGGGACAATGAGGCTCATTACCCAAGGCAAGAAGCCACCTGCATGCATTTAGAGAGGCTCCTTCTCATATGTCCTGCAGTTTGTACCAAAGGCATTAACAAGGAGGGCCACCAGCAGCTCCCTTACTCAGGGGGAACGAGGAGGGAGTTAGCCCCTCAGTGCTCCCAAACTGATGAGTCCTCAGGAAGCCCCGGGAAGAGGCAGTTGAATTATTATTACTGTTATTATTAATTCAGGCCTCTTCTACTACAAAGACATTGCAAAGAAATAGCAGAGCAATTGATCTATCCTGATTCACACTAAGTGCATCTGATAATAACATACGTTCTCGATACCAGCCTGACCAACATGTAGTCTCTACTAAAAATACAAAATTAGCCAGGCGTGGTGGTGCATGCCTGTAATTCCAGCTACTCGGGAGGCTGAGGCAGGAGAATCGCTGGAACCCGGGAGGCAGAGGTTGCGGCGAGCCAAGATCATGCCATTGCACTCCAGCCTGGGCAATAAGAGCAAAACTCCATCTCAACATAAATAAATAAATAAATAAATAAATAAATAAATAAATAAATAACATATTTTCAGGGGCATAAAGAGGCCAGTAGTGTCACTTAGGCCAGATGGCCGGGGCAGATGTGTTCAGCAACCTTCCCATCATTGACAAGCTTTACTGCTATTACCTAGAAAGTCAAGACAATGTGAGTAATTCAACATGTGTTGTTCCTGATAGGAAATGCTAGCTAAGGAGACTGCAGGCCTTTTTGTTTTTCACCCAAACAGTTGGCTTTGTTTTGCCCTTTCCCTCCTTATTTTCTCTCATCTCTGCTTCTTGCTGAATTCTACAGAAATGGCAGTTTGGAAATACTAGGCAGAAAACACTGCACAAAGGCCACATACTAAATATTTTCAAAGGCAAAATAAAAAGGAAAGGATAGCATGGGATGTCTCAACATAAGGGAAGACTCATCTGGGCAATGACAAGTTTATCCAAAGTCATATAAATGAGAGTATCAAGAAAGTAAGTGGTGATTGTTGACATGGACTAAATGGATGAACTATTTAGGCAAGGAACTGGGTTGCATCTAACTGGAAAGGCAAAGAGAGAGACAGAGTCTGCATGGTTTGCTCGCTTCAGATTTTGCCAAGCATGAAACACATCTGCGAGGTTGAATCATGAGGTGATTGTGCAATGACTAGGGGCAGGTGGTCTGAGTCCAGTAATGGCATGTGGCTGTCAGCACAAACCCTGCAGAGGAAGATGCATTCTAGCACAGGCCCCCTGGCCCCCATCCAAGGTGCTTAGTTACCAAATTCCCGAAAGGACCTCTAATCAGGCAAGGTCAGCCACAGTGCCACCCCAAAGATTGTGTATCAGCAGGCCTTGTTACAGCTTTCATTGGGAAACTAAGTTGCTTCCCAAATGATTGGTGTCTAGAATGAATCAATGTCCACAGACATTATGGTGTCTGGCTCATAGTAAGCATTGAATACTCATTGACTCAATGAATGGTTGGCCATAACCTCACCATGACCTGCATTGAGATTTAGTTATGCTGATGGTTTTATAAAGTGCATGTATCTTAGAACTAGCACTGTCTTCCTTCATCATTCTATAAGCTATGATATAGCTGCTATACGTTAAGTGTCACAAAACAAAGGAGGAAAGGGAGGGAGGAAGGAAATTTTTTTCAAAGTTATTGAACAAAATACTGTGTTTAATTATTCCGGCTAGGGAAGGGGGAGGGGAGCCTGCCCAGGTGGTCATTCCAGTGAGCTGGGCCACTAGGGCCAGGACTCTTTCTGACTCATATTCGGATCAGGTATAGCCTAGGGGGTAGCTCCAGCCAGAGGCACCAGAAGCCACGTATTAAGACTTAGACATAGACCTAGACAGAAGCCAGAACATAAAGGGGCAGAGAAATGGAGGGAGTCGGGGCACTGGGTGTAGGAGAAGTAAGTCAGGATATGAAGAACCAGAGGAGTTCTGAAGGAAGGCTGAGGAAAGAAGAGTGATGGGCAAAACCAACTCCTCAGGACAGACATGCTGTGAATTTCAAAAATAGTTTAAAAAATAATTGCTCTTTTTCTCCCTAAACCTATTTTCTCCCAACATTATTAATGTTTTCAAGTACACAGAGAAGTTGAACATTTTACAGTGGACATACTCACTGCCTACCTAGATTTCCCAGTGATCATTCCAGCATACCTGCCTTCTCGTGTATCCATTCATCTACCCATTCTTCTCTCCTTCTATCAATCCATTCTAGTTTTTGATATTTTCTTTTCCAGCATTTTTTTATGAAAACACAACCTTATTGTTAATGCTCATGATTTTTGTTATTTATATAAAGGTGAGTGTAACAGGGGTGGCTAACTCTCCAACAATATATATCCTCCCCTTTATAGTAATTTTTTAAAATATGGACATAGAAATTTAGTATAAAGACTACATTGCCCAGCTCATTTGCAGCTAGGTGTAGCCATGTGACTAAGTTCTGGCCAATTAAATGTAAGAAGGAATATCATGAGACAGCTTCCCGGACCCTTGTCTAAGGGGCAGCATGCCAGGGCCTGTGCCCAGTTTGCCTTCTTCTTCCCGTCTTCCTCCATTCTGCTGCCTGGAACACAGATGTGGCCATCTTGGACCATGAGGATGAAGATGGCAGCCTAGGGATGGCATTGTGGAGCCCTGAACTGGAGGAAGCCTAGGGCCCTGAGGGCTCTGTACAACAGGGCCACCACAACAGTCCTGAACTGCTTATCCCTGAACTAAATTTACATGAGAAGACAATAAACATCTTTCTTATTTAAGCTGTTATTTGCAGCATTCTGTCACTTGCTACTACACTTAATTCTAACCAATGCAACAAGACTTAAAAACTCCATCAGTACAAAGAGCTTATAAAGAAAAGCAGTGAACAAATCCTAATGCCTCCTCAGCCCTGCTCCAGAGGCAAACCCTTTTAAGTGGTTATTTCCACATCTCTAAACACTAAAAATAGAAAAATGTTTCTATTTTTAGGCACTGTCTATTGACTTCAGCTCCCTTGAGCCTCTCCACTACTTCTCCTTAATTCTTCCTGCCAATAAAGGTTCATCACCATTGTAGTCTCTCTATTGTTCCTGTTGGTCAATGTAGTTTTATTTACTCCATTATTTCTTTTTCCATCAACTAAAGATGAAATCTCTTGTCTCCCTGCTTTGTAAGATAGGGTCATCAGGCCACATACCTTCAATTCTTTCTACTTCTACTCCTCTGTCGTCTGCCATCTCAGTCTCTATAGTTTTTATGTTTACACTGTCAGCGTTGCTGGGACATACATCCTTTGGCTGACAGTTTCACTACAGAGTGAGTGTAGGGCATCCTGACATGCCAGAATGTGAGAGGCTTTGCTCTGCTGCATCAAATCCCAACTTAGGTGCTCTAATTTGTCTGTAGCCCTATAACCTCCAATCTAGAATTCACACAGAATACTGTAATTGTGTGTTTACATGTGCATCAAATCCAGGCCCTTTATTCTCAGCAACACACATGGAGGTGTAATGACCTACCAAAGTTTTCTGAGTGATAAGACTGAGCCAGAACCCAGGTAACTTACTTCATATTCATTGCTACTGAACATTTCTTGATAATTCAGTGCTTGAGGATCAATATGGCAGGCCACATTCTCCTGTAACACAATAAGCTCTATCACTTCTTAGCAGATTAAAGCTGAGTTTGCATAGGCACACTTGACATGCTGCACTTCCTCCAGGCTGTGCAGGCTCTAACAACCCTGGAAGACCCCCTGTTGACACCATCCATATCTGAGCTGAAGAACTATGGCTTGGCAGAGTTAGATTCAGGCTGAGAGCACAGAGTGCCCACCATGAATATCTGTTTGGTGGATCACAGAGGGAAGCTGTTGAAATCATAAGATACTGCTCCAGACATGCTATTGGTTCAATGCATGTTTTCTCTACAGAGAAACAGATGAGAATGCAGAAACACATGTTCAGATACATTTGGCTGAAAAGAATGGCAGCCCTGTCATGCATATTCTTGGCACAAAAATCCAAAACCATAATAAACACAAGAAGCAGATGTTTATAAGAATCATTTTTAGCTTGGGGCTATCAAATTGAGGATGGAGATGAAAACTATAAAAGTGTTTTTTAAGTGTACTGATATGCCTTCCCTACATTGTTTCATGCCAGTTTAAATCTGTCTGACTTTATATTGCAGTTTTCAACCACCCAAATGGAGGTTTTAGGATGATAAATTTGGAGATTTTGGAAGGTGATTGCACCCATCCTTTTTAACCAAGTCAAGGTCACAACTAAAACACCTCAGAAAGTCCGTAGTCCAATGGTACCTCTTGGTAATACTGTTACATTGAGACAATTGGCAGTAGAGATTAGTGAGAAGAGGTCATATAAAAAAATAGAAACAAGAGTGGAAAATCAATGAAGTGACCCCATAATGAATGAGCAAGGAATTCACATAGCAGAGAAAAATCCCAGACAGAACCAGATTTTCCCAGAAAAGACACTGAGGTGCTGATGTGCCAGTCCCCAAACCGTACTTTCTTCTACAATCCCACATAGTCAGTGTGCCCACCATGCTGCAGCACCCTGCAAAACGTCCCAGTGAACCCCAGGTCCCTGTCTTTGCTGGCCTCTTATCACACTACCCTCTTTACCATCCAGATCACAGGGTCCTCAGTGGTCAGCGGCTTCGTCCCCACCGCCATCAGCTGTGATTTCTGCCTTCACATTTTCCACTCTCCCTTATGTGCCCAACACTGTCTTCCTCTGCTGTGTGGATGACGATATGGCCGTCCCTCCTAATCTATCCCTTTGATTGCCTTGTTGTCCCCCAAACATTCTCTCTTTCTGCCTTTAATAATGAAATCCCCGCATTTTTGCTGGTCACAGGACAACGTAGCATTAAGACTACATTTCCCAGCCTCCTTTGCTAACTGTGGTCATGTCACTCAGTTAAGGTAGGAAGCTGGGTAAGTTCCAGGCCATGTCCTTCAAAAGAGTGGTTGCGCCTTCCCTCACTCTTTTCTCCTTCCTGCCTGCTGGACTGTGAAGGCATTGTTCATGTCAGGGAGCCACCTGGACCAAAGGAATCCCCTAGGAGAAGGTGGAGTAACAGGGTGGAGAGCCTGGCTCCTTGCCGCCATCAAGCCACCGCTGTAGTGCTGGGTCACCTGCTCCATCCTTGAGTAAGATAAATAAACTTGGTTCTCAGCCACCACATTGAGTCTCTTTGCTATTGCAGTCCGTCCTGTATCTGAATGCAGCACTATTCCCATCACTTTTCACCATGCAGGCTACCTGCTCCAAATGCCAAGGCTCTGCTCCCACACCCCTGGCATCCCGCGGAACCACTCCTCCATGACCCTCAACAAAGTCCCAGCTTTCCCTGTGTTCACTTTCCTTTTGTGCACTGCAGCTGGAGATCTCAGTATTAGAGCAGTGGGTAGGACTTGGTCAGGCTGCTGCTTCATTAAAGGAAACCAAAAGGCATTCTGGATCTTGTAGGGGAAGAGTAACTCCCGGTAGGTTCTTAGTTGTAATGAACCCCTGTTACAAAGGACAGATAAACAAGAGAAAAACAAACAGAAGTTGATTAACATGTGTATTTTATAAATACATGGGAGATACCCAGAGAAGTATCCAGAATCATTCTCCAAGAAGTGGCCTTGACTCCCAGCTTATATAAGATCCTCAACAAAGAATAGCACATTTTTAGAGAAGGGACAAAGGAAAAGGACTGTAAGTCTCTGCAGGCAACTTGTGGGAAGGCAAATCCATGGCGGACAAAGGCTGGCTAGACAGCTGGTGAAGTAGAGTCCTCTGTATCACCTCCAGGCTGATGAGAGTCTAAAGCAGTCTTCATTGGTTAACCTTTGCTCTCCTGGGCAGGAATACTCTTTGTCTCTGTAAATCTATGTCCTGCTTTTAGGCAAATAGAGGGAAGTCTAAAGGGTTCCTGCATCTGCTTCTTAATCGTCTTCAGCTGAACAATCCTTCGTATTTGAGGATGGCATATTCTGATCTCCTAAGAGCTCACAGAAGGTATTCAGTAAATGCTTGTCAAATGAATGCATGACCAAGAGAAAGTCCCACCACTAGGTGCACAGGAACTCGTAGGTGGGAATTTTCTCCCTCAAATTCCTTAAAATAATTATCAACATCATTATCTTACATTCATTTAATCAATGTGCAAGATATCATACTGGTAAGCAATTTGTGAATGTTGTCTTTTAATCTCACAAGAATTGTATCAGCTGATTACTATTATTGTTGTTGTTGTTGTTGTTGTTATACCTGTTTTACAGATGAGGAAACTGGGCTCAGAGAAGCTAAGCTAATTGGCCAAGCCAGAACACAAAGCTCTGTCAGTCTGTCTGCAATGCTACCTGCATCCTTAACCCTTGTGGTAACTGTGATGGTTTAAGGCAAAAACAAGTAAGTAAAGAGCGCAGCGTAGCCCTTACTATTCATGCTTGCTGCACTGAGAAGCCTTCCAAAAGCCTGAGCCCTTAAAAGAATATGTGGGGCCCGTAGGGCTGATCATGCAGGGACCACCTTTTGCCAACCGAGAATGAATAACCCAGATATCCAGCTTTCTTGATATCTGCAAGTCTAGAAGCACTTTATACTGCTTTCAAATTATTTGTTAAAGCACAATAATTCACATTGTGTAGCATTTTACGGTGACTAAATGTTCTGACGAACATCAGCCTAATCACAGAACTGTCTTGTAAGGTAGTTGGGCTGTCGTATTATTCTTCCTGTTCTCCAGAGGAGGACACTGAGGCCCACAAAGCTTGTGACTCTGCTGGGCAGAGGCCGAACAGGGCCCGCCCTTCCTTCACACTACGCTTGTCTTGGTTAGCATGTTACCTTTCCTTTGTCCCTCACCCACCCTCTTCCGCAAAGCAAGCTATGGGGAAATTATGATAGATTAGCCTTTACAGAGGGAAAACCAAATAATGCTAGGTTCCAAAATATTATTTTGAAAAGTTTTTTAAAGGCATCCAGTCCTGTTAGCTAAGAAAGCTGTAAAAAAAATAAACCACAAGAGTTTAGTGGTTTGAATTCAGCTGAGGCTGGGAAAAATGCCATCGATGGCTTTTACTTCGGTGGCCAAGCTGCCTACATTTTTCTAGCAACTTCGGGAGTTGGCCAATATTCACATCTGAAAAACCATCTTGGGCCCTGAGAAACCTCCTGCTTGCCCAGCTCCACAGACAGAAAGACTGTGATGGGGCCCAAAACAGGATTGGCTGAGATCAAGGTCGCGGAAGCTGGCAGAGCAGGTGGGCTGCACGTTGTGACGCCAGCGGGGACCCACACCGGGCACCCACAGGATGAGGGTTTCAGCGGGTGCCAGTCCCACGCCCAACACCCTGTCCTTTATTCCTCTCTCTTCAAACCGGCTGGATCTCGAGCCCACTCACCTGAACGCTGAACTTTTTAGTTGAAAATTTACCAGATACGAACAGGGAGTTTTTGTACTGGGTGTTTATTTCCTGGACCATGGGTACTGCCGGTCGGGGATGGGAAGAGGATGACAAAGCAGCAAACAAAAAGATTTTACAGCCGCCCACCTGCCGAGGACTCCAGCGAAAGCTTGAGTTGCTGAGGATTACTGAGAGGCCGGGGGCTGCCATCGGAGCTAGCAGCCGGAGGGCAGAGAGAGTGGAGTGCTCAGTGCAGCGGGCGGAGGCTGGGAAGAGCTGTCCCGGGCTGTTTTCAGGAGCAGCTGCTCAGCTTCAGCGGCCTCTTCCCTGGGCTGACAGGGCCACAGGCATCGAAAACCCGGCCTAGCCCAACCTCTGCCGGCCAAACAGCCCTCATAAAACCACAGACTCCTTTTAAAAAGCAATAAAAGGAGCCATGCCCAGAACACCAGATCAGGGCAGGACATGGGGTGAAGATGTCTGAGGCAGAGAACTGGGGGAAACAGTTCCAGGAACCTGCGTCTGTGTGCGTGGTGGTGGTGGCGGGGGGCATGGTGTGTGTGTGTGTGTGTGTGTGTGTGTGTGTGTAGAGAGAGAGAGAGAGTTCTTCTTGTAGGGGGAAACCAAGTGAGATGATAGACTCTGGTGAATGGCAGACAATAATTCCACTGTCTCCTGCCCCTCCTGTGGCCTAGTGTCCAGCCCAGGTACACGGGCCCTGCAAAGCGCCCCCTCCTCCCAGCCCCTCCCCTCCTGCCTTCCTGGCCCTGAATGCCCGGGACCACTCAGGCCTTCATCCATACTTGCAAACGGCAGCAGCCACCTCTTGTTTCCCGGCACTGTCGGAGAAGGCTGGGACACTCTGGACAGTCTTTTGGGCACCTTCCAAAACTATGTGTGCAAAAAGAAACAGGGCTTTTAAAAGAGACCTTTAAGAATGAGGGCTCCCTCACCTTCCCTGAATAGGAACAGACTAAGAAATCTCTTCTGCAGCTTCTTTGGGTTTCTCTTTGGAGAGATGTGTTTCCCCTGGCTGTCTGTCGGCAGGAGGGAGGTTTGGAAAGCCTGCAGGATAAGCAACAGTGGGAACACTGCGCATTCACCCGCAGGAGGCCACCCACGGAGACTGCGGGGAACACACACACACTCACACACACAAATACGCGCAAACACAAAGAAACCTCCATTCAGCCCATCTCTCAACATGAAGCAAACGCATGGCAAACATTGCAAAATCTCGGTTTTGCTGGGGAGGCCGCCGGGCCTTTAGATGGGTATTAACGCAATTGGTAGACATTAACCCGTTGTGTGCCGCCTGCTGGTTTATTCTCCAGCTGAGAATGAAGGGAGAAGCTGGGTTTTAAGAAAGTCTCAGAAGCAAACGATGTCATGGCGAACACTGTATACAATTCAGGGAGAGAAGCAGCACACCAAACTGAGTATTTGAATAATACTAAAATAAAGTTAATATCACATTTTTAATGATTCCAATTGCAACACTGATTATTCAATATTAATCCCAACTTTAATAGAAGTATAAGATGCTACCAAGAAAGACACTAAATTGCAGTTGTGGAATTATTAGCTCGGGGCTTCTCAAACTTGAACAGGCACACAACCCTCTGGGGGTCTGGGAAAAACACAGATTCGGATTCCGAGGTCTGCAGCGGGGGCACTCCTAACAAGCGCCCAGGTGGTGATGACGCTGAGACTAGCAAGGTGTGGGTAAATTTTTTTCTTCTTTATAGTATAGCTTTTGGTATCTTACAATCTTCTGTAATGACCATGTTACTACTTAGGCAATCATGAAAATATTTTCCTTTTGAAGATAAGGTATTTGTAGATTAAGTTCCATGCCTCATCTGACCAGTGCCTGGAGCGCTAGGGTATGAGGCTTATCAACAGGAAGGGCAATTCAGAGCTTTGATTCTCAGCCTAGAGTGGGGGTCTCCAGGGAATCCCCGGGAAGCTTTACAAAGCATTTGCCCCCTGGGGACTTGTCAGAATCTGGGGGAGAGGAGGGCTGTGTAATTGGAGAGCTCCCTGGACCACACACCACGCCAGTTGCCCAGGCCTGAGCGCCACTACTGCAGACTTCCCACTTTGCTGTCCTGTGTCGCATACCTCAGTCTGTTCGGATCCAGGCCTGCTCTGTAGCTGTCACTGGAGTGGCTGAGTGCAGGGTAAGAAATATACGATTTGGTGTTTCAGTCAGGAAGATCCAATGTTTCATGTTTATCTGGAGTAAAAAGGGCTATTTGCTGCTCAGACTTAATGTTTGTGCTAAAGAAACTATCGCACAACTCACCTGCAGATCAGTGATTGAGAAGCAAAAAGAATGGTGAGGACCCTGTTGCTATCTTTAAGACACTGTGCATATGGGGACAGGTGAGCAGACTGTCCTCTCCGCTGTGGCTCTTAAGGTTTACAAAGTAGCTCAGTGGTACCAAGGGTCTGACAGTTATAACACCAGACAAACTGGCAGCTTGGTGAGTCCTTCTGCCAATGGGACAATGATCAGGAGCGTGGCTGTGTAAAATGTTCCTCTTCTGTAGCCCTGTGCCATTCGGAATGCCGTCAGAGATAATGCAATGTTAACTTAATCATCAGTGACACGTGCACCGACATCTTTTTGTTGCCTTGCATTGAGGACAAGGAAAACGAGATGGGCTGGTTTGTAAGCTATATCCTCTGTGTATTATTGGATTAGAACTCTTCCCATTCCAACTGGCATAAGCAAGAAAATGGAAACTATTGTCTTATGTAACTGAAAATCCTACCTTCAGGCACAGCTGGATCTAGGCACTCAGATGATGTCATCAGAACTTTGCCTCAATCTTTCCACCTCTTCATTCAGCTTTCCTTCATGCAGGCTCTTTTATCAGGCAGCCTCATGATCCAGAGACAGATGCTGGAGGTTCAGGTTTATTCTCTCTCCTTGCAGAAACTGCAATAAAAGAAGAAAGCTTTTCTCACAACAATTCAAAGGAACATCCCTAAATGGAGTCTTACCAGCTGGACTTGGATCACCTACAGGAATCTGGACCAACTGCTGTGACCTGGGGAATCCATGTGTCCAGTCCTAGCTCAGGTGCCCACCCCTGAACCAACAAGCAAGGTTATGGAGAATCCATCCTCTGACTGGCCAGGCCTGGGTCAGGTGTCCACCATGAACCAATCACTGAGGCTATGAAGAGTCCATGCTATGATAGGCCAAACTGGAGTCAGGTGTCCACCAAAAACCAGTCACTGAGGCCATGAAGAGTCCATGCTATGATTGGCCAGGCTGAAGTCAGGTGTCTACCGGAGTGGACCGATGAACCACTCACTGAGGCCAAGAAGAGTCCTACAGGATTGACCAGGCTGGAGTCAAGTGTCCACCATGAACCAATCACTGAGGCCATGAAGAGTCCAAGCTATGATTGGCCAGGCTGGAGTCAGGTGCCTAGCCCTGGCCCAAATGTTGTTAGAGGTTCAGGAGCACAGAAGTAAAGGCTCTTCTAGAAAAATATACATTCTATTACTAACAGAAGAGTAGTAAAGTCTAGGCAGGAAAAAGAATAAGTGTCCAATTCAGTATATAATTATCAACAGACTAATATTCACAAATGGTCTGTTTTGAACTTCATAATTAAGGTTGATTAGCATTGCCAATGCTTCCCAGCCTTCCTGGGTCACATAGAAAGGTATAATGTGTGTAGGCAGCCTAGGAAAATGGGAGGGGATTTGGGATTCTTTTTTTTTTGAGACAGAGTTTTGCTCTTGTCACCCAGGCTGGAGTGCAGCAGCTCGATCTCAGCTCTGCAACCTCCGCCTGCCAGGTTCAAGCGATTCTCCTGCCTCAGCTTCCAGAGTAGCTGGGATTACAGGTGCCCGCCAACATGTCCAGCTAATTTTTTTTCTTTTTTGTATTTTCAGTAGAGACGGGGTTTCACCATGTTGGCCAGGCTGGTCTCGAACTCCTGACCCCAGGTCATCCACCCGCCTCTACCTCCCAAAGTGCTGGGATTACAGGCGTGAGCCACCACACCCAGCCAGGGATTTGGGATTCTAATAGAGGCTGTCTTAGTCCGATGGACTAACGGAATGCCATAGACTGGGTGGCTTATAAACAACAAATTTATTTTCCAAAGTTCTGGAGTCTGGGAGGTCCAAGATCAGGATGCCACGATGCCGCGTCTGGTGAGGCCCCACTTCCTGGTTTATAGACCTCAGTCTCATTGAAACCTCACACGATGGAAGGGGCAAGGGAGGTCTGTGGGGATTGTATAGGGGTACTAATCCCATTTGTGAGGGCTCTGCCCTCATGATCTAATCACCTCCCAAAGGCCTCTCTTTCTAATACCATCACATTGGGGGTTAGGATTTCAACACATGAATTTTGGGGGGACACAAACATTCCATCTATAGCAGGCTTCTCTGAGATTAATTGGTCAGGGGCTCCAGACTTTCCAAGGGCTGAGGGAGCAATAACTTGTACTGGGTCAACTCTTGGAAAGCTCTGTGTTAGGGCATAATACTGGTGCTTAAGATCCAGTGTGGACATTTAATAATTTTTTTTTTTTTTTGAGATGGAGTCTCACTCTGTCACCCAGAGGCTGGAGTGCAGTGGCACGATCACTGCTGACTGCAACCACAACCTCCCAGGTTCAGCGATTCTCCTGCCTCAGCCTCTCGAGTAGCTGGGATTACAGGTGCACACCACTGTGCCCAGCTAATTTTTCTATTTTTAGTAGAGATGGTGTTTCACCATGTTGGCCAGGCTGGTCTTGAACTCCTGACCTCAGGTGATTTGCCCGCCTCAGCTTCCCAAAGTGCTGGGATTATAGGTGTGAGCCACCACGCCCAGCCTAATAAAAAAATTGTAATGCAGCGCAGTTCAAAGTTTATTGTGACTTGTATCCTAATACCTTCCCGTCCTTACCACACCCTACCTTGCCTCCCCAAAACAATTGTTTATTAAGCAATTATTTATTGAGCACATGCTGTGCTCCAAAAACTATTTTAGGTGCTTGGAATACATCAGTGAATCAGACAGACAAGGATTATTGCTTGGCAGAATTTCTTTTGAGTATATGTGGGTGGGTTGAGACAGACAATGTGCAATGAACATAATAAATCAGTAAATAACAAAGCTCATTAGATGGTGGAAATGTTAGAGGAAAAAATAGAGCAAGGCAGGGAGGCTACCTGAAGAAGAATTCAAGAGGCCAGGCACAGTGGCTCACACCTGTAATCCCAGCACTTTGGGAGGCCGAGGCAGGTGGATCACTTGAGGTAAGGAGCTCTAGACCAGCCTGGACAACATGGTGAAACTCTGTCTCTACTGAAAAAAAAAAAAAAAACAAAATTAGCTGGGCATGGTGGCAGGTGCCGGTAATCCCAGCTACTCAGGAGGCTGAGGCACGAGAATCACTTGAACCCGGGAAGCAGAGGTGGCAGTGAGCCAAGTTCACACCATTGCACTCTAGCCTAGTCAAAAAGAGCAAAACTCCTTCTCAAAAAAAAAAAAGAATTCAAGAAATGCTTCTGCTTTCATAGTTTCAGAGGTACTCCTAGTCTACAAATGTTAGGCGATTTAAGAACGGCTTATCTCATTTTACAAAGGGTTTCAGTGCCCACCTTTGGGCATTAGGGCATACCTGGAAGCTCCGAGCCTGGGCCTACAGTGGCAAGAAAGGGTAAGGCTTTTGTGCAGGAGAACAGCTCATTACGTGGTAATGCCAGCAGGTATGTAGAGTTCTAGACCTGGAAGGGACTGGGGTCCACCCTCTTGTGTTGCAAATGAGGGCTCACACTGCCACGGCAGTAGCTGGCCTCTGACTCAGGGCTTGGGGTGAGAGGATGCAAGTCTCAGCTGGGGTTTGTACTGTTATCTATCACTGCATAGTAAATTACTTCAAAATTTAGTAGCTTAAAAGAATGCCATGTTTTGGACTCATAGTTCCTGGGGGTCAGGAATCTGGGTATGCTTGGAGGACCCCCTCCCTCAGGGTCACTCATAGGCTGCAATCATGGTGTGGGATCCCAGTGTCCCGTCCCGCATGGCTGTCATAGAGACTCAGCTGGGGCAGGATCCACTTCCAGGCTTGCTCCGTGGTTGGCCTCCAGTGGTGGCAGGACCCAGTTCCCTGCCAGCTGTTGGCCAGAAAACACTCTCAGTCCCCTGCCATGTGGACCTCTCCAGTGTGGCAGCTTGCTTCATCAAAGCCCACAAGAGAGAAAGAGTATGTGCTAGCAAGGTGGAAGTCACAGTCATTTGTAATTTAATCACAGAAGCAAGTCACTAGGTCCAGCCCATACCAGGTCAAGGATGACATCAGGGTGCATCTACCAGAAGGTGGGAATTGTGGACCATCTTCAAAGTCAGCCTACCACAATTTCCATAGCTCCTCTCGCTCCATTTTCTAAGGGACGGCACATCCTGCCCTCACCACCTTTCCTTTTGTTCTGAATGCTAGGGCACTCTTTCCTTCTCACCCTGTCCTCAGCCCTCCCAGGTTTCTCTGAGGAGGCATCCGTCACCCACCCTCTTGCAGAAATTGACTGCATCTCGGCTAGGACCACATGATCAATCCACGATCACTTACTCAGATGGTTTTAATTCTACTTCAACCTTCTAGGCCCAGCCAGACTCAACACCGACCACAGCCTCTGAGACATTTGGGGAGAGGGAGTTTTCACCACAGGGAATTTGGAATAGGCAGCAGTTATCAGATTGAGAGGGGAGCCCTGGCAGGGAGGGTCAGTGGAAACAGTCACTGGCAGCTGCTACTGAGGCATTTGCTGAAAGGGAATGGTTCCTTTTTTTTTCTTTTTTTGAGACAGGCAATCTCAGCTTACTGCAACCTCTGCCTCCCGGGTTCAAGCGATTCTCCTGCCTCAGCCTCCTGAGTAGCTGGGACTATAGGCACACACCACCACACCTGGCTAATTTCTATATTTTTAGTAGAGACAGGCTTTCACCATGTTGGCCAGGCTGGTCTCGAACTCCTGGCCTCATGTCATCGCCCGCCTCAGCCTCCCAAAGTGCTGGGATTACTGGTCTGAGCCACCGCGCCTGGCTGAGGGAATGTTTTCTAGGTTTCTAACAAGCTGTCAGATAAAGTGATGATGGTGGAAAATTCTAAATTAAAGAAAATTCTAACAGCCTCACTCCAGTCGTGTCTCTGCAGGTCAGATTGCATGACAAAGAAAAGATACAACTGAGCTTTCCTTCTGAGATCCAAGCAAGGCAATTCCACAATTCCACAATTAATGGGACACAGTTTGGGGGGATGGCTGTGGTCTGTGTCATATTCCATTCATAAGGGGATATTTAGAACAATTGCACAGTATGTCTGCTGTGTGCAAACCAACAGCACTCTAAATACATCCAAGTGCAAAGTAACCTGGGCTAACACAGGCTTCCTTGGCCCCTCCTCCTTAGCCCATTGTGCATGTTTTATTATATATTTTCTTCACAACTCCCCTTCTCATTTTGACATCCACCCATAGTGGCCATTTGAAACTGTCTGCTAAACGTTTGAGTTGTTTATTTCCCTCCCTCCCTCCCTCCCTTCCTCCCTTCCTTACTCCTCGTCCTTTCTCTTTCTTTCTCAGTCTATGATGCCACCCCTCTTGTAACCTTGAATGCCCTTTGTAAACTCTACTGCCTTTTCCAAAGCAGTTTCAAAACTCATCAGAAGGAGACAGGTAGTGGCTACGCTACGAACGCATCCACCGCAGCCCTGCGTGCTTCTCTCCGGACTAAATCCTCTGAAGGCTGGGTGTGCTGAGCACTGTCCGCCTTCACGGTGAGATGTGTGCGTGTCTGGACTTGTCAGGCCGGAGACACTGAAATGTCCTACCTGTATTCCTCTTGGGGGATCCTTGTTTCTGGAAAATGATTTCTCCTCACATCCTTACAGCTACTTTTTAGACAGAGCTTTCATTTCTGCATGGAGTCTCCAGGGTGTTGACGGTGCCTCCTTTGCCTCATCCTTTTAAAGCATTTTTACTGTTTTTCTTCGGCGGGGGGGGGGTTGAGGGGGCGGGTGGGTTCTGTAACTATACGGCTGTGTACACATATTTCTATCCTGGAGAACAGCCATTGTATGAGTTTGCCAGGGCTGCCATAACAAAGTCCCACAGACTGAATGGCTGAGACAGCAGAGATGTATTTTCTTACAATTCTAGAGGACAGGAATCTGAGATGACAGTGTGGGAGGGGCTGTTTGCTCTTGAGGCCTCTCTCCACGGCTTATAGATGGCCGTCCTTTCCTCCCTGTGTCTTCATAGAGTCTTCTCTGTGTGCAAACGTGTGTGTGTCCTCATTTCTTTTTATAAGGACACTAGTCATAGTGGATTAGGAGGGTCCACCCTAATTACCTCACTTCCACTTAATTATCTTGTAAAGACCCTATCTCCAAATCTAGTCATATTCTGAGGTACTGGGGGTTAGGATTTCAACACGTGAGCTTTGCAGGGGACATAATTCAGCCCACAGCAGTCATAAAACAGAAATAAGCAAAATAATAATAAAAAGCCATCTATAATCTCACACTTTTTGATCTTCCAGTGGCTCCCGATGACACTCAAGGGTCAATGCCAGCTCCTTGACCTCAGCCACATCTCCCCACTCTCCCCGCCCCTCCCCCTCTGTCACCTTCTCCTGCATGCTCTCCATGCACAGGCCAATTCTCATCCTGCTGGGGCCTTTGCCCCTGCTGTTCCCAGACAGCTGCATGGCCATGGACACAGCCCAAACCTGGAAGAGCAAAGAGGCCTCCCACAAGCCCTCTCCCCAGGCATTTGAGAGCAGGGTGTCTCCACCTGGCACTCAGTCCATTTGGGGCTGGAGAATTCTCTGTTATGGGGCTGTCCTTTGCATTGTAGGATGTTTAGCAGCATCTCTGGCCTCTGCCCACTAGAAAGCGGCAGGACTTCTGCAGGTGCGACCACCTAAAGTACCCCCCGGTATTGCCCGAGGCCTCAAAAGAGATGGGCTAGGATAGAGCTGAAGAGCGGGGTGAGGCTCTCATCTCAGTGCCTCAACTCCCTCATTTATAAAATGAGGATAAAATTATTCATAATATGTTAGTTCATGCAATGTGAGCTAGTTTAGTTTAATAGGAGGTAGACTGTGGTGAGGCTTCAATGGGAGAAGATGTATTGAGCAAGTAGAGGAAGGCCAGACCCAGAGCAGGTGTCCAGAGAGCTGGAGCCTTCTTATTCTCTCAGGACCCTGATATTTTATTTATTTTTATTTTTATTAATTTTTTTGTGTGAAATGTAGTCTTGCTTTGTCACCCAGGCTGAGTGCAGTGGTGCGATCTCGGCTCACTGCAACCTCTGCCTCCTGCATTAAAGCAATTCTCCTGCTTCAGCCTCCCAAGTAATTGGGATTACAGGCACATGCCATCACACCCGGCTAATTTTTGTATTTTTAGTAGAGATGGGGTTTCGCCGTGTTGGCCAGGCTGGTCTCGAACTCCTGACCTCAGGTGATCCACCTACTTTAGCCTCCCAAGGTGCTGGGATTAAAGGCATGGGCCACCGCACGCAGCCAACCCTGATATTTTCCTGTACATGCTTATTCATTTACAAATGCCACAAAGCAGGTGCCTGGGAGACTTCATGGCACATAGTAGGTGCTTTATATCCATATGCTGAATGAAGAAATGGAAGTCTGGCCCAACTATGGTAGAAGGCACTGTCTGTTGTGTTCCGGGACACAGCTCCAGTGCAGATGGCACACAGCACCTGGCACATAGTAGGTGTTCAATAAATGTGTTGATTGATGGCATATGACAAATGAAGGAGATTTGTTATAAACTCTGGCCCCTATAGCTTCATATTTCCATTACCTGCCTTTTGTTACTGATGTCTCTTCCCATCATTTTTCTTCTCTCCTATGAAGTTTTGAGGAACTTAGAAAACAGACTTGGCCTTTTTCCTCCTGTGATGGGACTCCCAGGTGCAAGTGACATTTAAGGTCCCTGATCAGCTAGTGAGTCCAAGTCCTTGTTTGACTTGTCTGATGTCCCCTTCCCCAAACCCTTCCCGGCACACAGGACTACTCCTATCCCATCTCTGTCCGTGCCCAGGCGTGGTCACCATCTTACCTGCTTCATCAAAATGAGCATGGCCTCCCCCCTTTCCATGGCTCACAGGTGAGTCTATGGCCACCCTACCTTCCGGGAGGTACACTCTTTATTCGGGACCCAGATGTCACAACTGTTACCACACAAGACATACCAAATACTTGTTTTGCAAGCATCTCAACCATCAACCACACAGTGAAGGAAGGTTCCAATGAACGCTTCACAACATCCACAAGTGGTGTCTGTGGTCTGGTCTGGTTTTGGTTGCGTTCTGCCACCACATGGCACCAGCCCTCCAATGCCGTGTGTAATGTCAGGGGGCAGAATGGAGTGCTGCTGATGAAAAAATGACAACAAACACACAGGTGCCATGTGCCAGGCCCAGTTCCAACTGCTTTAGGGCCACACCTCCTGAGTCCTCCAACAACCCCACAAGGTAGCTCACTATGACTGGCAACCCGCAATACAGGTGAGGAAGCTCAAGCTTGGAGCAGTAAAGTAACTTGCTCAAAGGCCAGGATGACCAGCTGGCCTCAGTTCACCTGGGTCTTTCTTGGCTTTAGCACCAAAAGTTTCACATCCAGAAAAATCCCTCAGTCCCTGGCAGGCCAGGATGATTGGTGACCCAAGCCAGGTCACCCAGATGATAAGTAGCAGAGCTGGGATCTGAATCCAGTCAGTGAGACTCCAGTATGCACACTCAACTGCTGTGAAAAGCAGCTTTGGAGATAACTGTGATGTGTGTAACCAAGGATGGTAACCAGGAAAAATCAATTGGCCAATTAGTCAAATTCAGGGAGATACTCTGAAATGAATCTTGCATCCATAATGACAAAATAGGGTGAGTCTGTACACCAAAACCACGGGCCCTATAGAGGAAATAACACTGGTATTTCTCTTTGTCTAGAAGTATCCAGGCCGGGCATGATGGCTCATGCCTGTAATCCCAGTGTTTTGGGAGGCCAAGGTGGGCAGATTGCTTGAGCCCAGGAGTTCGAGACCACCCTAGGTGACTTAGGAAGACCCCGTCTCCACAATAAAAAATAAAAAATAAGAATACTAGTCAGGTGTGGTGGCGTTCACCCGTAGTCCCAGCTACTCAAGAGGCTGAGGTAGAAAGATCACTTGGATCTGAGAGGTCAAGGCTGCAGTGAGCTCTGATCGCACCACTGCACTCCAGCTGGGCAGAAGAGTAAGACCCTGTCTCAAAAATAAAATAAAATAATCCAGTTCACTGTCTTAATTTCCCCCTTTGTCACTGGCCACAGAGACCTAGGAATTTAACTTAGGGTCTTGATGCAGGAGATGTCTTTATTTCTAAAACCATGAGTCAGTCACCTCACAGGGGGACATCAGGCAAAGCTGAAACATCCCTTGTTTTCGTTCCCACACTACATCACATGCCTAGCAAAGACTAAAGTAAACTGCTCCTTAAGTATTTCCTTCTGCCAACAGGATTATTTCCCATAACCAATAATGCTGGCTTAGAATAATGAAATAGGGACTCGAAGGTCAGCTTTCAGGCTGAGTTTAAGTCTGTCATTAGAGGGGGAAAAAAACCCACGGAGTTGGATAGTGCCACGTGTCTTTTGCTTAGCACGTATTGAGCTTGTCATAAATATGCAGACACATCCCTCGGCCTTACCTTTATCTTAAATTAAGAATGGCATGCTTGGCCTCTTTCTGACTACGAATGTCTTAGTTAAAAACCAACTCAGAGCTCTTGGGCTGCGAGGCACTCTCTGGCTTGTGTTCACTCAGTTCTGAGTGCTGCCGGGCCTGCTCCTCTGCTGTCAGGGAGCATTCTTGATGTTTAAGACAATAAGCAACCCAGGAGATTAAAGAAGAGCCGTCCTCCGTAGGGCTCAGACAAACTGTAGGACAAGTTTCTGAGGGTTTACTATGCCTGAGAATTAGCTAGGAAGTTTATCTAAAATTCCCTGGTGATTCTGGATCTGCATTTCTTCATCAGTAAAACGCAGGTTTGGCACATAAACCGTAAGGGTTTTCTTGCTCTAGAATTCTCTGTAACGATAGCTCCTTGCCCTATTAGCAGACCATGAACCTCGGCAGATCTTTTATTTATTTATTTATTTATTTATTCATTAGAGTCAGGTAAACATGAAACCTGGAGATTCTGATTCCATAGGTCCAGGGTGGACCCAGGCATCTTCATTTTTTTTTTTTTTTTTGAGACGGAGTCTTGCTGTGTCACCCAGGCTGGAGTGCAGTGGCGCAATCTCAGCTCACTGCAAACTCTGCCTCCTGGTTCAAGCGATTCTCCTGCCTCAGCCTCCCCAGTAGCTGGGATTACAAGTGTGTGCCACCACGCCTGGCTAATTTTTGTTATTTTTAGTAGAGATGGGGTTTCACCATGTTGGCCAGGATAGTCTTGAACTCCTGACCTCGTGATCGACCCTCCTCAGTCTCACAAAGTGCTGGGATTACAGGCGTGAGCCACCGCGCCCGACCTGCATCTTCATTTTTAACAAGCTCCCCAAATGATTCTCATGAGGTTCAAGGCATGTTACCCCCAAATCTGGCACCTTGGCATTTGAGAAAATAGCAGAAGCGGGAAAGCCCTCCTGCCCTGACACAGGTCCTACAACCTAGAAGGTCACTCTCTGACTTTCTCCTGCTCTTCTCTCCTGAAGCCAGTCATAAGACCCTCATTTGAGAGGTTCCCCCTGTACCCAGAGGAGAGGAGTATCCTTATCTCAGAAGATGCAGGGACATAGAGAAGAACCTGAACAAACGCCTTGCAAGTCCCCCCAGGCTAGCACCGCTAGCTCTCCCCTGTCCAATCACACTTCCGCACGCCTGACCACTCTTCATCAAACCTAAGCTTAAAAATATGCAGGTTTCCCACTTTCTTTGGGTCTTCATTTCCACAAACTCTCATGTCAGGTAAAACTTACATGAAGTCAATGTGTATGCTTCTCACTTGTTAAGCTGTCTTTTGTTATAGGTGCCTCAACCATGAACCTAGCAATGAATGAGGAAAGAAATCTTTCTTCCCCTACAATTCTGCTGGGTTTTGCAATCACACTGTGAGAAACTCTACCCTGAGACGTCAAACCGAGGTTTGTCTCACACACGTTTCCTTAAAATTTCCCATATAAGAAAAAATAGAAGCCTAAAATTTAAAGCATTTTCCACATTTTCTCTTGGGTATATGTTTTGTTTAACTCTCTATCCATGGGTGCTTGGGTAGGCAGGAATGTTATCACACCAGTTGTGGATATTAAGTAATTGGCCTTATTTTTTTTTTTTTTTATAGAAAGAATGCTATTGGCTCCAAGGTGCGGTTTGGAAGACGACCGACCTCTATTCCGACCTGGAGGTCAGCTTTGAGGATGCCTCTGCCTGCCATCTTTGGGCGTGTTCACAAGGCACATTTCTTTGAATAGATTTCAGCAGCGACGCATTTTCACTTCTGTGGGGTGGGTGCAAAAGTCATTCAGAGCTGAGTCTGGTGGAGAGGACGGGTGATATGCTGGGAATACTTTTTGCTTTAAAAAGCATTTAAAGTACTTAAATACTTTTTTTTTTTTTTGAGTCAGAGTCTTGCTCTGTCGCCCAGGCTGGAGTGCAGTGGCGCGATCTCGGCTCGCTGCAACCTCCGCCTCCTGGGTTCAAGCGATTCTCCTGCCTTAGCCTCCTGAATAGCTGGGACTACAGGCACCCGCCACCACACCTGGCTAATTTTTGTATTTTTAGTAGAGATGGGGTTTCACTGTGTTAGCCTTGATGGTTTCAATCTCCTGACCTTGTGATCTGCCCACCTCGGCCTTCCAAAGTGCTGGGATTACAAGCATGAGCCACCACGCCCGGGCTTAAATACTTTTAAAGTACCCTTAAAATTAGTACTTTGGGTCTGGGTGTGGTGGCTCATGCTTGTAACTCCAGCACTTTGGGAGGCTAAGGCGAGAGGATCACTTGAGCCCAGGAGTTCGAGACCAGCCTGGGCAACATAGGGAGGCCCCATTTCTCCAAGGGTAAAAAATTAGCTGAGTGTGGTGTCATGTGCCTGTAGCCCCAGCTACTTGGGAGGCTAAGGCAGGAGGATTGCATGAGCCCAGGAGGTTGAGGCTGCAGTGACCTGTGATTGTGCCACTGTACTCCAGCCAGGGTGACAGAGGAAGATCCTGACTCAAAAAGAAAAAAAAAAGAAAAAGAAAAAGGAAAGAAAAAAAGAAAAGAGCACTTTTGTTTATAAGAGTAGGTAAGATTACTAAAATAATTCAAGTTAAATTTGAGATTTTTTGAAAAACGCTGCATCATCATGCTTTTCTAGAGAAAAAACATAACTAAACACCTGTCAACATTTAATCATCACACAGCAAATTATATTCTATAAAAACAGTAGCCTGGGCTGGGCGTGGTGGCTCACACCTGTAACCCCAGCACTTTAGGAGGCCGAGGGGGGCAGATCACCAGGTCAGGAGATTGAGACCATCCTGGCTAACATGGTGAAACCTCGTCTCTACTAAAAATACAAAAAATTAGCCAGGCGTGGTGGCACGCACCTGTAGTCCCAGCTACACAGGAGGCTGAGGCAGGAGAACTGCTTGAACCCAGCAGGCAGAGGTTGCAGTGAGCTGAGATCACACCACTGCACTCCAGCTTGGGTGACATAGCGAGACTCTGTCTCAAAACAAAAACAAAAACAAAAAAACCCAGTAGTCTGGGCAACACAGTGGGACCTCATCTCTACAAAAAATTTAAAAATTAGCCTGGTGTGGTGGCGTTCACCTGTGGTTCCAGCTACTGGGGAGGCTGAGGCGGGAGGATTGCTTGAGCCCGGGAAGTCGACTGGATGACAGAGCGAGACCCTGACTCTAATAAGCAAATAAATTAAAGATCTGCTAAGGTTCATGGATGGCTCATGGGGTGGGGGCTGTTGTTACAGTGAATTCTAGAGCAGGAGAGAACCTTAAGGTTTATGTACCAAACCTTCCATTTTATGGATGAAGAAATACAGATCCAGAAAAATGTAGTAACCTGGCCAAGTTCTCACAGCCAGCTTGTGCCAGCGCTGGAGCTAGAACTCAGGCCTAGCCTGGTTTGTTAAGAGAGAAACCAAGCGCTACGGTTTCATTACCTGTTACTATATGGATGCACGCCTGAGCTAGAAATCAATATGAAGAGAGGGTCAGATATTTCCCTTATGCAAAACTGCTAATTCAGGGACTACAGGCATGTGCCACTGCACCCGGCTCTGTCTCTCTATTTCCTTACAGCTTAACTTAATTTGTTTCAGACATCTGTGGACATATTGACCTTTATGATTGGGCTCATGGGAGAAAAAGATCATTCATACAGAGCCAGCGGTTTCATCAAGCCAACTATTGACCCCTTGTCTAGGGTTTTTCTCTGGTGAACAGAAATTCCTTGGGTAAAAGAGCAAGGTGCATTGACAGAAAATGCTAATTCTCCAGTAAATGAATAGAGATCGTCCCTTTCTCTCCTGTCAATTGGCTGTGGAGGAAGGAACATGTAGTCAAAGGAGAGACATGTCATAATATCCTCTCAGAGCTGCTTTCTCCTCCAATACTACGTCATGTGCCCATGATTCAGAGTAAAGAGGAGAGCAGGAATGGTTGAAGGAAACAGATTATACAATAGAGGATCCCAGCTAAGGACTCCTGGGGAAAGCTGAAAAAAATGCAAGGTCTCTGCCAAAAGGCCCTGTAGGGAAATTCCTTTCAGAACCCAAATTTGGCAAAAACTTCAACGCTGTAAAAATCGCCATAGCTAGGTTTCTGATTGCATTTTCCCCTGAAACTATATGGGATGTAGCTTGGCTCTGGCATGAGTTTAAGAATAGAAGCGGTAAATACTAACTTTAAATTCTGACTTTTAGCTACTTTGAGACCTTGCATAATCTGTGTGTTTTCCTTCCCAAATATGTAAATAATGTTTTTACATGTATAAGGATTAATTTGGCCTGAGAGCTACATCGAAGAGAGGCCCAGAAGTTTTGCTTTCAGAAAATGTGAAAAGTTTTTCCAAACGGTTCTGTTAACAAAAACTTCTAGATAAATACTTCCTAATAAAGACAAGGAGTAAATTTATATTGTCTCTTGTCTTTCAGAAATTCCCTTTGCTTTGCCAAATAAAACACAGTGTAATTTTTTAACTTGATAAAGAATGATGAATTTGATGTCTTGAATTTGCATACTTTTAAGAAAAAGAGGCAAAGATTTTTGTTGTTGTTTTTGTTTTACTTTTTAAAATAGTTGGCTAATAAAATCTGGATATTTGTTTGTAAGAAATTTGGTAGCAGAAAAAAGGATTAATAAAACACACATATCAAAAACCTGACCCAAGACATTGTGTAAGTTCTAGAGAAGCAAAAGTTCAGTATGAAAGAATTCCTGCATTAAAAGGCCAAGAGAGGATGTGAGGGAGAAAGGGAAAGTCATGGCCTTTAGCAACAGCTAGACCTGAATTCAAATCCCAATTCAACCACTTAGAAGCTGTGTGATCTTGGATAAATTTCCTAACTTCTCTGAACCTCAGTTTCTGGACCTGAAAATTGGGCATAACAGCTATCGTAATCCTGCTGTTGCAGGCCTGTGGCTTAACAAGAGCAAGCCTTCGGAAAGTGATAGCTAATGATGTATTTTATGATTGATGCCCGCTCTAATGCTCATCCCATCCTGGGACATTCCTGTTGCCCTTGAAGTGCTAGCAATCTAGTAGGGGCACAGAGAAGCAGAAACACTTTTCAACTCCAGTTCTGCCTTTCCAACTTCTAACTGGGCATTTCTATTGGAATGTTTTGCCCCAAATTCAAGGTGTATGAAACGAAGCCTTCCTTTCATTATTCAGGCCTTGCTAGCTTCTGTGGAAGGTGCTGTGCCTTCCCAGTTGCTCAGGGTTGGGCCTGGTCCTGCTGATTCTCCTCACTGAGTCCCTTGGCTCTTTCTCTAGGATCTCTGCAGTCCCCCAGGACCCCGCTGTGTAGTCCAGCTGCCTCTGAGCTGCCCACCCTTATGCCTGGATCAGCAGCAGTCTCTATCTTGAGCATCTTACCTTTTCACCAGACCCACCTGCCTGGAATCACTGCTTTCCAGTACTTCCTCATAAGACATGACAAGGGAGAGACTGAGCTCCTCACCGAGGACTCAAGCCCCTCACAATCTGATCACAACCTGCCTCCCCAAGGTTAACGTGCACAACTCCTTCCTGTTCCTTTAGGACAGGTAAATGGATTGTCCCTTGGAAAGCCACTGTGAACACCTGCTGCTGAGCACCTGGCCATGCTGTTCACCTGCAGGTTACCATTCAAGGTGGCCTTTCTCAAGTCAAATCTCCTCCTTGAAGCCTTCATGCTCTCTCCAGACCCCCGTCCCTCCCTTGACTAAACCCTGGCACCGTTTATTCCCTGTAGCACTGCTGGCTTTTCCTATGTGGCCTTGACTAGTAGATAATCTTGTCAGAGATAAGGTTTATCTCCGGGGCAAGCATGAATCCCCTGAGGGTGGTTTGTATGCCAAAATTCTGTAGCTTCCAGCAGTGCCTTGAGCCATAAACATCCCTGGTGTCAAATAAGGACGTGGGCAACAGAGAATTTCAGATTCTTGGTGAAGATCACATAACCTAGTAGGAGCGCAGTGAATCTGGAACTGGACTCCTGTAGGCCCCTGCCTGCAGCCAATTCCTACACCCAGACACTGCCTGAAATTAGTGATCCCCGGACCCAGCACTAGACACTCAGAGGCACTAGAAACTGGTTGTACCCAGTTCCAAGCTTTGGCTTCCCTGGGAAGACAAAGGCAGAAATTCCTTCACACTGGGACGCAGGGCCGGACCAGCTGCCCCTGCCCGCTCCGCACTAACCAGGTGAGAGAACCAGTGTGGTGTCACTTTTGTTATTTAAATGTCAAGGTCCTTATCCCCTGTTCCGCACATGATTTTCATTTCCAAATTTCTCCTTTGAGCCTTTTAATCCAATAGCTGCCAACCCAAGGTCATAAGGCAATTCAATCGCCACCACATTGAGTTCCCGACATGCTGCTTCTGCCAGCCCCCGCAATCACAGTTCTGGATCTGCAGTAGCCTCAGGCTGTCAGTTGATGGTTTAAATGTAGCATCCCTATACTCACCTTCTTTTTCACAGGAAAAAACACGTCACATTATAAACTAACAAGTGCAGCACATAAAAGCTCACTTTAAACAGCTCAGAGCCGAACACTCTGTCCATACATTTCCAACAAAACGGAGATTTGAGATTCCAAAGTACATGAAATACTTTAGGGCCTCCTACCTTTAGAATTTTCTTTTGACCCCTAAGCAGAGTTAAGGAGAAAGATCTGATGCCTAGGAAGGCTGAAAATGTCCAAGGCAGCTCTCATTATCTGTGGTCTGGATCAAGACCACAGACACAGCCCTTCAGTAGACACCCCTCCCCACAAACAGCCATTTGGACGTCCTGTAACCTGAAACACATACTGCAAGCAGTTGAGAGCGGGTGCAAATGACAGTCAGCTACACAAATAATTGGCCCCCAAATGTTTATCAGCTCCCTGCCATGGCCACTTCCATTTATAGCTTATAAACAGTTATTAACTGGCTCCTTCCCATCTGATAGCTAGGCCCCAGAACAGGTGGTGAGAGCGGTGGGTGATTCCAGGCCTCCCTGGGAGGTGCTGTGTGTTTGCCTGTGGGTGGTCTTCCTGCCTGAGCCCAGTGCCCACATGAGAAGACATTGCAGAAAGCCTCCAATTTAGGAGATAACAGTCTGTGTTGTCTGTTTGTGTAAAGCACTGTCCAAGTTACAGCTGGCTTTGCTTTCTGGCCAGCAAACATTGCCAAGAAGGGTTGAAAGGTCAGCATAATCAGCCCCCAAACACAATCCCTTCCCCCTTCTGGCCTTTGCAGATGGGCCACAGTGCTCCACGGATTCTTTTGGAGGTTTGATTATAACAAAATGTTGCTCTAGCTGCGGCTTTGCACAAACCCTGCCAGGAGACGGAAGCCAGAGGGATACGCCCAGTGGGAAGGAGGCAGGGTTTCTAGGGCTTTGGTCCTCTGTGATTTTGTTCTGTGCTAAAAACAGCTTTGCAGGTCCCCACAACTTGCTTTTCTCAGAAATAGTTCCCAATGCAATGGACCACAGAGACATCAGACCTTGGTTCCCTTGGCGTTTCTTTAGGAGAGACCGCAGGAGAAAGAGATGTCAGGGCAGTTTCTCCATCTCGCCACTATTGACATTTTGGGCTAGTCTCTCTTGTGGTGGGCTGTACTGTGCGTTTTAGATTTAACATCATCCCGGCCATCACCTACAAGATGCCATTAGCAACCCCCTCTCCAGTTGTGACAGAAATGTCTCCAGATATTGCCTGGGTAGTAAAATCAACCCCAGTTAAGAGCCAGGGTGTTGAGAGTCTATATATACATTAACTAAAAAACAACGTCCTGAAGTATCCGAATAGGACAGTAGAGGTTTGACAACACTAGAACAGTCTAGTAAAGCTACGCAGAATAGACCGGTGGTAAACATTTTTCATCAGCCAATAAAATCCTGATTAATTTATCTCATAGGGTGGGGGGGAAATGGTAATCAATGATCATAAAATTTGAAAAAGATTTTTAAATAATAACTTCACGGTGAAAAATTTTTAAAAGACTATGGTGATGATGCTGTGATTAGCTATAATGCGGCTAGTATTTTTGAGCACTTTCTATGTGAAAGGCACTGTGCTAAAATCTGCATTATTTTCCTTAGTCGCAGCAAATATATAGGAGGTAGGTCCTGATATTATCTCCATTTTACAAATGCAGGGCCTGGGCCTGGCCCAAGACTGTTTCCAAAGCACTCTCCCGAAGGTTCTCTGACTACAAATCATTCCCCACTCCCTGAATCCAAAACTGAGTTGAAAAGATGGTATGTATTTGGATAATTATGGAATGGGTTTTTTAAATCCCAAACTCAAAATAATAATAACGGCTACTATGTAGCCATTGCCTGGGGGCGGCAGGTGCATCCTCCCTTTCAATGCTCGCAGTTGTCCTGGGTGAGGGACTTGCTGGCGGTGGCCCAGCGGCCGAAGCAAGATTTCAGGGCAGGAGCCGCTGCCCCTGCCTCCTCCTGAGCGGAAATTAGCTCCGAGGGTCTCCAGGTGGGACCCAGTCCCGCTCCGCGCTGTTTCTGGCTGCTTCCCTCCTTCTTTCTTCTCCGCCACACCAGAGAGGGGCACGAAGGAGTCACTAGACTTGGCCTGACCCCCCGCGCCTGGCAGTCCCTGCCCCGGGGTGTCTTGCTTGAAGGTCGGGAAGACAGTCCTTGGCAGGGCCTGACCCCCCCACCCGCTGAGGGCCCTCCTTTTGAGGCCTCTATGGCAGCCCCCGCGGGCTGACCTGGCCGCCCCCACTGAGCTCCCTGGGTCGGTCCTGCTGGTCTCCGCCTCGCTGGGCTCCTCCCGGGCAGTCCCCTGCCCCCCCACAGCTCTGCGGGACCTTCTCCCCGGAGGCGCCGCTCTGCCTCCCGGGGCCCCCGCAGGTCGCTCCTGCGCTCCCCTCGCCTGGGTGTGAGGAGGACCCGGCCTGGGGACCTCCTGCGCTGGCGCCACTCTCCCTGCTCGCTCCCAACCCGCGCCGGGAGGCTCCCGTCTGTAAGAGGACGGGACACTGAGAGGGCAGCGGGAGGGGGGGCAGATCGTGCGTGACGTGCCCCACGCATCTGAGAAGGGGGTGATGTCTTTGGCACAGGATGAACAAGTTAGTCGCATTTTTCAATGTTTAATGCGGCCCCTTCCCTGCTACCTGGCTGTGCGAAGGCGCACTGCGCCCTCCCTCCCTCCCTCCCTCCCGGAGCTCAGGCTCCCTCCCTCCCCGCATCCCTCTTCTCCCTCCCTCCTGCAGCTCAGGCCCCATCCCTCCCCTCCCTCCCTCTCGCAGCTCAGGCTCCATCGCTCCCCTCTCTCCCGCAGCTCAGGCTCCCTCCCTCCCTCCCATCCTCCCTCCTGTGGCTCAGGCCCCATCCCTCCCCTCCCTCCCTCCTGCAGCTCAGGCTCCATCCCTCCCCTCCCTCCCTTCCTCCCTCCCTACCTCCCGCAGCTCAGGCTCCATCCCTCCCCTCCTTCCTTCCCTTCCGCAGCTCAGGCTCCATCCCTCTCCTCCCTCCCTCCCTCCCTCATGCAGCTCAGGCTCCATCCCTCCCTCCCATCCTCCCTCTTGCAGCTCAGACTCCATCCCTCCCCTCCCTCCCTCCCTTCCACAGCTCAGGCTCCATCCCTCCCCTCCCTCCCTCCCACAGCTCAGGCCCCATCCCTCCCCTCCCTCCCTCCTGCAGCTCAGGCTCCATCCTTCCCCTCCCTCCCTCCCGCGTTCAGGCTCCATCCCTGCCCTCCCCCTCCATCAGGCAGCTCAGGCTCTGTCCCTGCATCCTCTCTCTCCCACAGCTCAGGCTCTATCCCTCTCCTCCCTCCCCTCCCTCTGCTGCTGAGCATCCCGACTCACAGACACCACTGCAGAGCCCGCACACGCCTTGGTTGTGGACAGAGCACATTTGTACACATTGGTCAGAACTGGTCAGGCTTTTCCACAGCCTGAGGAGGAGAAAGTGCCCATCTGACTGAGGTACTCAAACGTGACCATAGTTACCACCATGAACAACTTTAGAGTCTGTGTTTTCTTCCTTGGACTAAAGACATACAGGTGTTTGAACTACTTTTGGTTGACATGGTCTTAGAGTCTATAACACGTTGGCCAACAAGCCCATGGCACTAGACTCCAGGGCTTCAGGACTGGTCAGCCCCGGATACTGAGGCCCTCCCAAGATTTCCTTCAGGTAGGAACCTTGTGGAGGCCTCTGTGGGCCCCTGCACACCCTAAGGTGAGCAAATTCAGCCTCTTTCATCAGGAAACCACAGTTTCCTCCGCTCCTCTGTGGGTTTTGAAGCCTCACCTCAGAGTTCCAGTAAGAGCAATGGTTTCTAAACCTGGATGTGTAAACAAAGGGCCTTGAATTCAACATAATTTTAAAATGCAAATATAGGCCTTACACATGTCCTTGAGGGTTTAAGGCTAGACTTGGGTTGCGAGGCCTTGGGCACGTCACTTAACTTCTGGACTCTCCCATATCCATCTTCCAAATGGACCCTAATGCCAGCCCACTCACTCAAAAGGCTTTATCCATAACCAAATAATGTCAGCAAAAGAATTTATAATTTTTTTAATCACATAAATAAAATTTTCTTTTCTGACAAAAGGTTCTACACAGGCCCCTCTTTGGTCCTTTCCATCTCTAACTTGCTGTAATTGCTGGATGGAGGGGCCGCGCCATTGCAACTGAGACTCGTGGGAACTCACCATGTTATGTGCATTTGACAGCTGCCTGTGACTACGAAGGATGACAGATTCTCCCAAACAGGGAGAAATGATCAGCCCTAGCAGATAGAGGGTGAGGCTTGGGAGCAGCCCCGCCCAGGGCACAAAATGGTGCATTGTTTGAGAGACATTAAAAGCAACCATGAGGCCAGGCACAGTGGGTCATGCCTGTAATGTCAGCACTTTGGGAGGCCAAGGCGGGAGGAACACTTGATGCCAGGAGTTTGAGACCAAGCTGGGCAACATAAGAAGACCCCATCTCTGCTAAAAATACAAAAATTAGCTGGGTGTGGTGATACACGCCTGTAGTCCCAGCTACTCGGGAGGCTGAGGTGGGAGGATCACTTGAGCCCAGGAATTTGAGGCTGCAGTGAGCCATCATCTTACCAATGCATTCCAGCCTGGGCAATAGAACAAAACCCTATCTCAAAAATATTAATAATTAATTAATTTTTTAAAAAGCAGCCATAAAACCCACTAAAGGGTCTGCTTCTTATTTTCACCTAAACAACACCAGTGATGAACTCTTCCTTCTTGGCCAAAAAACCTTTTCTTGGTCTCGGTTTTAAAAATTGCTGCGATTTTGTCTGAGCTTTAATAATATAGCTGTAGATTTCAAATCAGCACATTTTCATGCTTACCCTTCAATAACATTCTATTCTCCACGAGGTTAATCTGGTTAATCTGGAGCACTCCCACCTCCAACACGTGCGGACTCAGCCAACGGCATCTGTTTCAAGCTGCATTCAGGAGGGCCCAGAACCGAGGTGGTTTCAGAGCAGGTCATTCCACAAGGCCTGCAGGGCTGCACGTGCCTGCATGTAAGCAGCAGGTTTGAAAGAAAGAGTGACAGCACAGTGATCGTAGAGAGGAAAAACTACAACTGCAGGGACTTGAATTCTGTCACTGCAGGTGACCACTTTCAGTTTTTATTTGTGTTTAAAATTTAAAACAGTGAGACAGCGTACAAACTGCGGGGGGTAGTATCTTTTTATTAAGTGTAGATTGTACTTCATTCATGAAATATTTTACTGGATGGGAATCATATCTTTCTGTTGAAATGTATTTTCCTTTTAAAATTTTTGTTTTAGATCTAAACACTAAGGAAATGATGACTACTAATGATTATTACTTGAAAATAATATTATTGTACAGAGGAGAATATTAAAAAAAGATCCAAGCTAGGTGCAGTGGCTCACACCTGTAATCCCAGCATTTTGGTGGCCAAGGCAGGCAGATCGCTTGAGCTCAGGAGTTTGAGACCAGCCTGGGCAACATAGGGAGACTCTATATCTACAAAAAAATTCTTAAAAAAAGATTAGCCAGGAGTGGTGGTGCAAACCTGTAGTCCCAGCTACCTGGGAGGCTGTGGTGGGAGGATGGCTTGAGTCCGGGAGGCAGGGGTTGCAGTGAGCCGAGATTGTGCCACTGCCTTCCAACCTGGTTGACAGAGTGAAACTTCATTTCAGGAAAAAAAAATTGATTCTGCTCTGAAAGTCAAGTACACCACCAATGATGAGAAGATGTTTATTTCTCTCTGTTGCTGTGACTAGTCAAAATTGGAAGAACAGGTAATAGGAAATGGCCAATCTTCTTCAGGTTTCTAATAAGTTTCAACTACAATGGAAAGCTAATTAGCTCGATGGAACACTTGCAGGGTGTTTCTAGTGAGACATGCCGCAGTTTGTGCTCAACTATCGCAGAAGGATGGGAAGGACTCACTCATCCATCCACTCATTCATTCATTTGACAGTTCTTCAGGGGGTGCTTAAAGACACTGTTCTGGGATTTGGGGGCATAAAATCTCTTGCCTTATGGAACTTCCATTCTAATTTGGGGTGTGAGGACTCTGGCAATAAACAGGTAAAACAGACAGTAGGGTCGGAGGTGTTAAGTGCTGTGGAGACCAGCAGAGCAGGGAAGTGGCAAACAGGAGCCCTGGAGGACTCTTCTTGCTAAGCTGAGGGAGGTGAGCAGCGATGGGAAGGTTGGTTATGGAGGAATGCCATTGTCCTGCAGGTGTTAGGAGGACTGGACTGTCTCTAGGTATTAGACCGGCGGATGCAGGCAAAATACAGTCTGTGGGCCAAATCTGGCCCTCAGCCTGATTTTGTGCAGCCTGAACAAAAGAGTGGGTTTTGGAGAGAAAAGTGAGTTTTGGAGTTTGTTTTTTTGAGACAGGGTCTCACTCTGTTGCCCAGGCTGGAGTACAGTGGCACAATCTCCTCCCCGGGTTTAGGTGATCCTCCCACCTTAGCGTCCCCCGAGTAGCTGGGGCTACAGGCGTGCACCACCACACTTGGCTAGTTTTTTTGTATTTTTTGTAGAGATGGGTCTCCCTATGTTGCCCAGGCTGTTCTCGAACTCCTAGATTCAAGCAGTCCACCCACCTCAGCCTCTCAAAGTGCTGGGATTATAGGAGTGAGCCCCCTCACCCAGCCAAAAGTGTTTCTTACATTTTTAAATAGTTGATAAGAAGTCAAAACAGAGTAATACTTTGTGGTACATGAAAACGACGTGAAATTCAAACTTCAATGTCCATTTGCTTATTTATTTTCTGTGGCTGTCTATGTGCTGTGAGGGCAAAGCTGGGTAACTGCAACAGAAACCATAAGGCTAGCAAAGCCTGAAATACATACTATTATGTTGGTGCGAAAATAATTGCACCAACCTGAAATATCTGGCTCTTTACAGAGGAAGTTTACCAACCACTGATTAGACCATAGAGGGATGAGGGTGGGAGCAGGGAGATCAACAGGGGGCTCTTGCAATAGTCCAGGTGAGAGGATCCTGGCTTGGACCAAAGAATAGAAGAGGAGGCCATGAAAAGTGGTTGTATTTTGGATATACAGATGGTTCCCGACTAACGATGGCTTGATTTATGATTTTTTTTAACTTTACAATGGTGCAAAACAGATACACATTCAGTTGAAATCACAGTACACATTTTGAATTCTGATCTTTTCCTGGACTAGCGATATGCAGTATGACACTCGAGACGCTGGGTGCAGCAGTGGGCCTCAGCTCCCAGTCGGCCACGCAACCACGATCACCATCACTTTATAACCAAGTGTTGAATATCTCATGTAATTTACTAAAGCAGAAAAATCATTTCAACTGAAAGATATGACTCCCGTTCAGTAAAATATTTCATGAATGAAGTAAAGTCTACGCTTAATGAAAAGATATTACCCCTCACAGTTTGTACTCTGTCTCGCTATTTTACATTTTAAACCTGACCAAGACTAGAGATCTTCCTGAAGAAGTCCATGCCGGCCAAGCCATGGACAAGTGTGGATGCCCCAGGGCCTGCTACCAGGTATTGTTGAGGCTCATCAGAAGACAGACATGGATGACCCTGTCACAGTAGCATCCCCATCATCCAATTAACTGTAGTTCAATGTGTCCCATATCCTTCAGGCCCTTTGTGATTTCAGCTGTGGATGTCAGGCCCTATACAGCCCTTTTGTTTTCCACCTCCAGTACAGTACTTAACAAATTGCATGAGACAGTCGACACTTTATTGTAAAAAAAAAAAAAAACAATAAAGGCTTTGTGTTAGATGACTCTGCCCAACTGCAGGCTAACCTAAGTGTTCTGAGCATGTTTAAGGCAGGCCAGGCTAAGCTCTGATGTTTGGTAGGTTAGGTATAATACATAATTTTTTGACTTAATGATGTTTTCAATTTATGATGGGATTGCTGGGACATAATCCCATTGTAAATTGGGGAGCATCTGTATTTTGATGGCAGAGACATCAGGATTCACTGATAAGTCCAGTAAAATATGTGAGAGCCAGAAAAGGGTCACGCAGAAGGCCAAGGGTGTAGCTTGTACAGTTGGATGCTGGGGGTTGCTGTTTACTCAGATGGGGGAAGCTCTAGGAGGAGCAGGATTTTTTCGGGGGGGTTGGGGCAGAGGATCAAGAGTTCAGTGAGATCATATCATAGTCCTGTTGTAGTAGTGAGGGTTGGGTATTCTTTTTCCTATTCACCTAATTCAGCTCTGGTAGCTGCCTGGACCTATAATAAATGGCTAGGTATACTCGCTGACATGGAACCTAATGTCAGTGGTATGTTAGACAGACCAAGAGACTCAGACTAACCTAAGGGACATCACATGGGTTGCAATGGACAATGGTGTCAATAAAATTAAAAACAACAACTATTAAGCAACATTGCAGTAGGTTGGGTTCCCCCAGAAGCTGATTTTGAGACACAGGTTCATGTGCAAGAAGCTCATTTGTGAACTAATCTCAGGAACCACTAGCAGGAGAGGGGGTAAGTGAAGACTATGGGGAGAGGGCCGCCTACAGTCAACAGATCGCTGTTCAGGATATGGGGTTCAATCCTGCTGGGGACCTCTAGGAGACCGTACCAAATGTGCCTCTGAGTTGTCCTACCCAAGGTGAGGCTGTTGGGGTATTTATCCTCCAATTCCTCTTTATTATTGGCTGAGGAGATGATAAATGCCTGGCACTTCCACTTCCCAAGTGTGACCTCGGCATGTTTTTGTAGGTAGAGAAAGCTCTCCAGTAAAGTTGCAGGTGCCACTGGTGTCATTGAGAAGGGCAAGTGCCAGGGAGTTCATATTCCCAGTGAGACAGCAAAAGCATCTGATGGAACATGATAATCATGGAAGTGCAGACACCTGCCACCAGCACTCGCTTGTAATGCCCAGAGCCCTGGGGAAAGCTCGACTAATCCCCAGGCCTGTTTCAAACTACAGCCAAGGAGCTTTCTCAAGACCAGAGAAAGTTTTTGAAGGCCCAAGGCATGGTTTCCATATTTGGCCTCATTAAGTCAATTCAAGACCTTTTTATAACCAGAGCGAAAATGTTTTCATGTGATGTATTTCCTAAATTGCTATAAATATTTTTCACGTATGTAGCTTCAATATCGATTTTATTAGAAACAACATGGATTATCTTTTCATTGCTAATGAAAAGAGAAAACATCACTTCATTTACTGAGAACAGTGGCAAAATATTCTAAGATATTGATCAAAAGTTGGGCTGACTACCACTTGTGTTAGCCAGTAATAGAAGCTTCAAAAGGCAGCCCAGGGATAGGCTGAGTTCCATGAAATGAGAAGAGGATTTAGTAGGCAAAAAGTACCTGGATATGTAGATGCAGGTTCCATGGATAGCAAGGCTGACTTTCAGCTTCAACTTACAGGTAACCGAAAGACTGAATAGATCCCATTCCCTGATACTTCCTGATCTCTTTAGAAATGGTTCCAGTCCACCTACAATGAGATATAAGGGAAATAACAGTCAGGCTGTCCACCTAGAGGGGTGAACAAATAAATGCAAACCTCAGAATCACGTTAGTTATTGAGAAACACTCACACTCACACACCAGATGCTCTGAAGGCCAAATAAGTTGCTGTCTACCAAGTTCATGGGCTTAGCGCTAACTACAAGTTGCTTAGGTATTCTGTTAAATCACCTGGATCGTTTAAGGATTTTCATATTTTCGTAACCGTTAAGAGTGTATACAATGTACAGTGATTTAAAGAAAGCAGAACTGGCCAGGCATGGTGGCTCATGCCTGTAATCCCAGCACTTTGGGAGGCCGAGGCGGAAGGATCACCTGAGGTCAGGAGTTGAAGACCAGCCTGGCCAACATGGCAAAACCCCGTCTCTACTAAAAAATACAAAAATTAGCCAGACGTGGTGGCAGGTGCCTGTAATCCCAGCTACTCAGGAGGCTGAGGCACTTGAGTCACTTGAACCTGGGAGGCAGAAGTTACACTGAGCCAAGATCACACCACTGCACTCCAGCCTGGGTGACAGAGACAGACTGCCTCAGAAAAAACAAAAACAACAACAACAAAAAAGAAAATAGAACTCCCAGGTCCATGAAATCATGACGATTGTCACTAAAAATATATCCAATGTATGGAGGCAGGAAGATTTTGTCATCACACATCACAGAGGCCATAAGCCACTGACCTCGTTGCCTCCCTCTTCTGGCAGAGTATGCCTGGCCTTCAAAGGTTGAACACTTATTTTTCAATATTTATTAGCTTTTTAAATTTGTCTTTGAATTGCCCATTTACAGTTTTGCCCGTTTTCCTGTTAAAGCGTTTGTCTTTTTCATATTGATTTGTAAGAGCTGTTTAAATAATTGAGATTGAACATTTATCTGTTGCAACTATTGCAAATATTCCTTTAGTTTTTCATTTCTAAAACTTTATGTGGCATTTTATGACATGTAGAATTGTATACTTTTATGAAGTTATAGCCAAGGTCTTTATGATTTTTTTTCTTGACTTTTATGTGACTAGATGAATATCCACTGATATTTTTCTAATTCATTTAGGTTTTTATTTTAAGTAAAACTCTTCAGACCATCTGGGATGTATTTAGGCAGGGGGAAGGAAATGTAATATTTTTTTTCCCAAATTGTTAACCAGTAGTGTCAGCCATCAATTACTGAATAATCCTTCCTTACTGATTTGTTAACAAGGTGGAGAATTTTATTCCCCAAAATGCTCCATGAGTTTTCTGTTGAAGTGAGAAACAGATTTGCTTCCTAGCGGCTCTCATGTGCTTTTGCCCAGAGGGTGCTAGGGATGCTCGGGAGATGAGGTGGTTCTAGATGCTCTGGCCATCCTAGAGAGGTCTGGCATAGGGGCAAATGGAAACAGAAGTCCTAGGGGACAATTCTGCTGTCCACTGTGGCACAGAGGAGAAAGAAGCAGAGCATTTGAAGGAGAAAGTCAGTGGGGATGCCATGAGAAAGCTGCGTGGGCGAGAGAAAGGAGAGGTAGCTGGTAGCTACTGTGAGTACTGAAGTTTGGGGAACAGAAATATTTCCAAAGAAGATCTTCAGGAAGTTTTCTAAAGATGAATTTCTTTCAGAAAATCTGTAGCAAAATTTCTATCATTCTTGAAAGTGTCTTAAATTGAATGTGTTTTCTTGGAATGAGACTGCAAAAACTGGACTACATGCGACATATATCTGGGTTCACCATATATCACGAGGCCATTTCAAAGACATTTGGAATGCTGCCTCATTTGTTAAGAAACTTTATATATTCTTTACTTAAGATGTATTGCTAAATTCTTAAATATCATAGCTTCTTTCTGAGATTTAGATTATATTATGTTCTTGTACTAGGTCCTACTTACTTAAATGCTCATCCTTTTAACTTTCTCTGTTACCGCCCATAAGGGATCTTCATCTATCACAAATGATACATCTAGATTATAGTAGAATCTAACCCCAGCCAATGAAAAACATAGCTGGAAATCCATACCTTATTTGCCAGGTAAGAGCTGAGGGGAACTCTTTCCTTGATCTGAGTGGAGCACAATCGATGCTGCTGGTCCTAGGAAACTCCTGGCTGCCAGAACCAGTGGGCTGTACAGACAGCATGTCTGGCTGGGGCAGGATGAAGGGCGACGTGAGCAGGGGCAGAATATGCGGAGCAAACACTGCGACCACAGGATGGCTGAGGCAATGCAGATAAGAGGTCTCAGGGATAGCATCCTGGGACTGAAACTTGGGAAGGAAGAGGAAAAAGTTGTATGTTTCTATTACTATCACTACAGAGTATAAGGAATGGCCCTAAGAATGTGATAAACTTAGAAGAAATTCCGATCTTTACTATGATCTGGAGTTATTCCTTTTATTTTTATATTATGTTATTCTTTTATTTGAGGTTCTTTTCTTTTGCACAGGACTTTTATTATGCAATTTTTAAACACATTGAGACTTAAAGTCAGAATTTTTAAATCTGAGTTTAAAAGAAAGTATGATGGTAGTAAATGTGGGGTAAAGCATTTCAATAAAATTCCAACAAGGATTCTTTTGTGCTGATGAATATCAAATGCGCTGTCATTTTTATTGCCCATGTGCTATTTTACTGTATAGATATTCAATGAATGACCGAATCTGTCCTCTGATTATGGGCAGCTTTTTTTTCCCCTTATTGGTTGCTATTGCAAACAAAGCTGGATTGAACACTTTTGTTTATAAGTTGAATCATATCAGTCAACTGCTTTAAAATCCTTATTGGCTCCCTGTTGCCCTCAGGATAATCCATCCTTTTACATCTGGCACACAAAGCTCATTAGAACCCAGCCAGAGTCTGCGTTAGAGGCTCCTCTCCAGCCAGCTCCATTTCCCAGCCCCTCAAGACCCAGCTCTCGTCCCCTTCTTTGTAAAACCTTTCCCATGGTTCCCAGGCCTGGTGACATGTCCTTGCTCTGAGAAATCACAGCACTGCACTCTCACATCGACGAAAACAAGTATCACATCACAGCACAGTTATTTGGGGGATCGCTGTCTCTTGACCTGGACTCAGCATTCTCTGTTTTGCTTGCTATTGAATACCTAGCCCAGTACTTGGCACCTAGCATAGTGCCTCACACAGAAAAATAGTTGCTCAATAAATGTTTGTTGAGAGATATATGATTAAATAACAGAATGGAATTACACAATGGGTAAAATGTTGAATCACTGCTTTTTTTAACTGAAGTTTAAATTCTCTCTTGGGCTTGAAATGATAGGATTTCATGCATCCCTTTAAAAAGTTAGTAGACTATGACCCAGGAATGAACCGAAAAGACTAGGCTTTGCCATCCTCTGGAGAGTTCTCTGGCTGGGAGGTGGAGCCCCAGTGAGAGACCTCGTATAGCTGCTACTAGAGCTTCACAAGGCCATTTCAAAGACTTCCCAGCAGTGGTGTAGCTGGTCTGGGGCTGGAGGATGAGAGAATGTGTGTGAAGGAAGAGGAAAGGACAAAAGTCTTTCTGTGAGACCATCCCAGGTCCACATTTTCAAGAGTTTTCTAGCCAGCAGAACTGGCTGCCCACCTTAAAGCCAGTCACTGCTGGACGGGCCAGGGGGTGGCCCAAGCACTCCCTTTTCTGAGGCCTGGAATCTCAGTGGAGGTAGATATCTGAGGACAGGTGGTGGTGAACAGCCCTTTGGGGGACAAAATTAGAATTGGAAATGATTTTGAGAAATCGGAAACCTGGAGATAGACAAGGACCTGAAGGCCAACAGGGCCCCTGGACACCACCTCATTCAGGCCAAGCCTTCATGGTAAAAACTTAGCTGTGAATTGAGGAGTTTGCCCTTCAATAACCTTTGTTTCAGTGGCTTCACATTTTTTCATGATCCAGAGTAAGAAATACAGTTTACACCACAAGCCAATATACCGCATTCAATAAATAGGCACAAATGAAACAAAGGTCTCAGATTCATCTGAGTCTATGCAGCATAGCCTGATATTTTCAACTCTATTAGATTTCATTGTTTTAAAAATTCTGGTCATGATCTTGCATTGATTTCAGTTTTCACCCTGCTGTGTGAAAACCACTGCCCAAGGATAACTGCAGAAAGAATGGTCTCCCAATTTCATGAGACCTGGGAGAGAAGTGCTCAGCTGTCAAGTGTGAGGTTAGCAGCCAAGGGCACTGCCATGGGTCTCAGCCACTATCAATCTTAAGTAGGCGAGGAAGGCTCGGAGTTCTTGGTTGTTAGGAAAACACCAACCATAACCTGTTAAGTATTAGTTATGTTTGTGGAGAAGGGAGAGAGAGAGGAGAGAGAGAGGAGAGAGAGAGAGAGAGAGGGAGAAAGTAAGGCAGAGAGAGCAAGAGAGACCAAGATTGGGAAGAGGAAAGGCCTTGAAAACGTCTGCGCCTTTGCCCCGGGGCTGTCGTGAGTGGATTGGTGGATGCCTCAGCAGAAAGGCATAAAAGACACAGCAGAATGCCAAAAGAGTCATTCTGAAAGAGAAATCACTCACACGCAGCTTTTTGTTAACCACACAAAATCAGAATTTGTTAGCCTAATTGAATTAATCTGGACATCGAAGCTCATTCTTGGTCCAGAGAACTGATGGGATTATAGGTAAGAGCTAAGCGGACAGACTGAACTTTTTAATAACACAAAGTTCACAAATATTTGTTCTCCCACTCTTGGGAAAGTAGAAGGAAATAAATTAGAGGCACATGCCAGGACCTTCAACCTCCTTGCCTCCCACCAACTTCTAGAACAACTAAACATCAAGGATCCTTAGTGGCTTCCTCTTTGTGTGAACATGCATGAGCGATGGGAAAGAGATATACTTGGGGCCAGTGCATTTTTAACTCCCTGGGAGGTATTTTTTTTTTTTATCTAAACACGCTTTCATTTGGGCCTTCAAAGATGCAATAATGAAGCAACTTTCCCAAGTGCCATATCTTATTCTATCATCAACTTTTTATAGACTTGCATACTACATCAATTAAAACCTTTTTACTCAGGACAAACTCCTCCTTCGGGAATAGATCTATGGTAAAGGCCATGCAGATAAAGAAGGGGCTGAAGTTGCACGGTAGTTGTGGATTTCGGCACTGTCCTTTACCTAACACAGCAGTAATAAATTTTTTTTGGAGGGGGGAGACAGGGTCTCACTCTGTCACCCAGGCTGGAGTGCAGTGGTGCAATCATGGCTCAGTGTAACCTCCACCTCCTGAGCTGAAGTGAGCCTCCCATGTCAGCCTTCTGAGTAGCTGGGACCATAGGTGCACACCACCACACCTGGCTAGTTTTTTTTTTTAACTTTTTATTTTTTGTAAAATTTTGTATAGTCTCCCTGTGTTTCCCAGGCTGGTCTCAAACTCCTGGGCTCAAGTGATCCTCCTGCCTTGGCCTCCCAACGTGCTGGGATTGCAGGTGTGAGCCCACCAGGCCAGGTCAACAGCAACAGAATTTTCTGTGCCTATGGAATATGCCACTCCCAAAGGCAGGTGCGCAACATTTTAAAATAGCCTTTTTTAATTAAATAAAATGTCATTTCTATGTGAAGACCCCATTCTGGCACATGTCCGAAGCTTAACCTTCGTCAGTTCGGGATAAATTCAATGTAGCATTTTCCCACTTCCCATTTCTCTCCAGGATTGCACCTTATGCTTGACTTCTGGCTGTCAATGACCATCTCCCACACTCCTCTGAGATGTGGACATCCTCCTGAACCCCCCACCTCTGCCTGGGCCATCCACACTGCATCCCTGCTGCACACCCTCAGCTAAACAGTGAGTTCTGGGCAGGTCTGTCATCTAGCGTCTATGACTTTTTCAATATCATGGGAATATTCCACCACTCTGCATGGAAGTGGAAATCCTCATGAGATCCCAGGAAAACATGGCAGAAGCTCCAGGAAGCTGTACTCCAGCAGCCTAATTTCCTTCTACTTTTTTTCTTTTTCTTTCTTTCTTTTTTTTTTTTTTTTGAGATGGAGTTTTGCTCTTGTCACCCAGGCTGGAGTGCAATGGTGCGATCTCAGCCCACTGCAACCTCCACCTCCCAGGTTCAAGCGATTCTCCAGCCTCAGCCTCCCGAGTAGCTGGGATTACAGGTGTGTGCCACCACGCCTGGCTAATTTTTGTATTTTTAGTAGAGATGGGGTTTCACCGTGTTAGCCAGGATGGTCTCGATCTCTTGACCTTGTGATCTGCCCGCCTCAGCCTCCCAAAGTGCTGGGATTACAGGCGTGAGCCATCGCACCTGGCCATTTCTTTTTACTTTTAACATATTTTTAATAGCTTAAATGTGATCAATAGGGAAGATGCTACTTCTTGAGCCCGAGTCTGCACTGTCACCTTGGGGCAGCGAGTGGCTCCCGGCCAAGGTGTGTGTGTGTGTTGCTCCTCCTGGGTCACCCTCCCTCCCTTCCTGCTGTGGTCTGGGCCCCCGACTGGCCTCTACACAGGCCTCACTGGGTTTCCTGGCCCTTTGGCTGCAGTTTGGGTTAGCCAGAGAGTGGCACTGGCAGTAGATCAAAGGGCAGGAGGAAGGGTGGTGGAGATGTTGATCTTGCCGGCTCCCTTCCTTCTGAGTCACAGGTGGGCAAAGGCTGCTTTCCTCCCCTGAAAGCCATGTGCGGGCAGGGGCGAGGGGATCATCTCCTGCAGACCCAGCTGCAGCGAGGGCTCCGGCTCTCTCTGGCCTCGAGTGTCCGTTCCCTGCCCTGCCCTTTCAGCCTGGAAATGGTGACAGCTCTCCAAAGCGTGGCCCCAAGACGTGTCGCCATCCCTTGTTGGCTTCCCTTCATCCTGCCCATGGCTGTGTAAATAGCTCCTCCATTCAGCTCACTCCAGTCACCCTGCTTGCAAGTGCCATCTGTTTTCTGCTGGGGCCTGAAGGAAACAGTTAGTTTTACAGATGCTCAATCATCGTAGGGAGGATGCTCCTGCTTCTGGCCATGGAGTAATATTCCTTGGATGTGGAGTGGGTCAGGCTTTGAGGGAACGAGGAGACTGTCCACACCCCGGGGTGTTGCATCGGACATGTGCAGCCCCTTCAAGGAGACTGCCTGTCCTCATCCCCTGATGAAGAGGCAGCCCCGGGGGGCCTGTTTCTTTCCCCAACTGTCTCTGCTCTGCCTCCTACCCTTGGTACCCATGTGCCTTCCTAGGGCTGGCTCAGCCACTCACACCTGAGCCGAGGAGAATATGTTCACAGCTTGGCCCGTAACCTACACCACGCTCAGCTTAAAAAACTGAACTAGGCTGGGCTCGGTGGCTCATGCCTGTAATCCCAGCACTTTGGGAGGCGGAGGCAGGTGGATCATCTGAGGTCAGGAGTTCAAGACCAGCCTGACCAACGTGGAGAAACCCTGTCTCTACTAAAAATACAAAATTAGCCAGATGTGGTGGCCGGTGCCTGTAATTCCAGCTACTCGGGAGGCTGAGGCAGGAGAATCACTGGAACCCAGGAGGCGTAGGTTGTGGTGAGCCAAGATCGCACCACTGCACTCCAGCCTGGGCAACAAGGGGAAACTCCGTCTAAAAAAAAAAAAACAAAAACAAAAAAACAAAAAAAGAAAAAGAACTAGGCCTATCAGTATCTTCCTTCCAAAACCAGAATCAGGAAAAGTAAAAAGAATAAAATGATTTGTGGCTGAGACAAGTGCGCAGGAGGAACAGAGAGTGAGCAGCAGGCAGAATCCAGTCCACGGTGAGGGGGCCGCAGGGGCCCTGGCCATCGAGGCCACGAGGAAAGTGGGAGCCCAGGGAAGCAGAAGCCATGAGCAGAGGATGAGAACAGCGTGGGCAGCTGGAGGCGGCAGACCCCCTGGGGAGAGCAGCTGAGCAGGGGAGTGACAGAGCCCCTGGGGACAGAGCCGTCTGAGGGTTCCAGTGTCCGCCCAGAGGAGGCTGGGGCTGCCCTCCGGACTGCCTGCCAGGAACCTCGTGTTTCCAGGGCAAGAACATCGCAAACTTAGATGTGATGTCTATGCAGAGTGACTTGGGCTAGGCTGAGGGTCATTATTGTGGGCCCTGGCTGAGGTCCCTGAGAACCCCAAATTCCTCTTGCCCTCGAGGCTCTGGATCCTGCCTGAACAGCCAGCCCTGTCCTGGCTTCCTGGGAGGTTGCCGAGCAGGTCGTTAAGAGCAGGTCTCTGGAGCCAGTCTGTCTGGGTTTCTATCCCAGATTCGCCACTTCTTAGCTCTGTGGCCTCTGGGCAAACTTCTAACCTTGCTGTCTGTTTTCTCATCTGTAAAATGAGGATAATAATTGCAGCCCTCTCACAGGGTCACTGTGAGGATTAAATGAGTTAATACATAGAGCCGTGATTGACACACAGTAAGGGCTGCCTAAAATTATTATTATTGCCACTTTAATAACCCACCCTACCCCCCTTGCTCATTAAAAGGCAGGCGGGGGCGGTGAAACATGAGGCGCCAGCATCAGACCAACTGGCTTCACATCCTGCTTAGCTTTTTACCAGCTGCAGGACTTTGTAACTTACCTCATTGTCAGTTTTCCTACCTGCACAATGGGAATAATAATAATGCTCCCTTTGGAAAGTTGTTGGCGGGGCTCTGTGGCAGTGCAAAGGGAGGGCTTAGGAGGGTCTGGCCACAGTGAGCTGTGAGTAGAGCTCAAGTGTGATCGCTCCTGGAGTTGTCGGCCTCCAGCCTCTCCACTAGGGGAGCCTATCTAAAACAGGACTTTTTCATTTACAAGGAGCTCTTCATCCTAAGGTGTTATCTCCATCTTTGCAATAGTTGTAAAGGTGAATTTACTTTAATACCTACCCAGGAAATAAAGAAAATTTATAGGGCCGGGTGCAGTGGCTCACGCCTGTAATCCCAGCACTTTGGGAGGCCGAGGCAGGCGGATCACGAGGTCAGGAGATCGAGACCATCCTGGCTAACACGGTGAAACCCCGTCTCTACTAAAAATTCAAAAAATTAGCCAGGTGTGGTGGCAGGTGCCTGTAGTCCCAGCTATTTGGGAGGCTGAGGCAGGAGAATGGCATGAACCCGGGAGGCGGAGCTTGCAGCGAGCCGAGATCATACCACTGCATTCCAGCCTGGGCGACAGAGCGAGACTCTGTCTCAAAAAAAAAAAAAGAAAAGAAAAGAAAATTTATATCAATTGTTGGTGGCTTCAATTACTAGATGTCTCCAAAATTTAAAACAAAGGATTATATTCATCAGCCCCTGGAGTTCAATACATGCATTCCTGCCCTGCCCTGTTCATTGAGCACCTGTGGGCCTTGATCTAGGAACTAGTTTCACAGAGATGAGTAAGACCTTATTCCTGCCCAAGAGGAGTTTATAGTTTACTGAGGGAGATGGACACAGGAGCAGGTAATTCCCCTACAATGTGATGCTTCCTCCAAAAGAGAAACTCACAAAGGGACAGTGATAGCTCAGATAAAAGGGGTGAGTAACTCTGCCTCCAGGTAGAGGTAGACGCAGTCTCTAGAGAAGCCTTGAGATATTACATTTAAATTGAATCTTAAAGGACGCACAAGAGTTCACCAGAAAGAAAAGAAGGGAGATGGAAAGGAAAGAAATGCATTCCAGAAGCAGCCATGGGTCCACAGACCTGGAGCTGTGTGGAGGGAGGTAGGGGTAGAAAGGGAGATATGATCAGAGCCAGATCAAGAAGGGCCTCCCAGGCAGGGCAAAGAAATTTGGACCTCATCTGCATGCAGTGGAGGAGTTTTTAAAGAGAAGGTGTCCAATTTTTTGTTCCACACTGGTGGTACAGTGGAGGAGCGATTGAAGCAGGAGAAGAAGATAAGAAGACAGGACATGCAAAGTGAACCTGGTCCCAGCACACCTGAAATGCATAATATGTGGAGAGGTCAAAAATGCACATCGCTTTCAAAAGGATGTTTGGGAGCCTCTCACGTGTGAAATTTTTAGAATCTCTCGTGAATAAGAATGCTGTTTGGAAAGATAGAATGAAGTAAAGTGTTTGCAGGAGAGGCAGGGAGAAGGATGGCCTGAGGCCCCATTCCATGGCCTTGCTTTGGTCAGGACCTCTGTTTTTATGCATGAGGTTCAAGCACCTTGCAACCAGGTGGTGATTAACCCAACCCAGGTTCAGAGACACCCACCATGATAGCCGTGAGTAAGACCAACTATTGGGCCTCCTTTCTTAGGCTTAGACTTTGGGCTACGGTGTACAAATCTCCACTATTCTCACAAGTCATTTTGTAAGAGTTTCCAGGTCGGTGGAGCTCTGGGCAGCCACAGAGAACAGGGAGGAAATGCTTTGGGGCAGCAGGGAAAGCCATTGGAAAGAAAGAAATGCAAGTCCACTGGGACTCTACAGAGCATTCAGAAGCAAGGGCAGCACGCTTGTTTGCAGGAAGGTGGCTCAGCTCTGCCTACATTGTCTCTGATGCCCAGCACAGCAGAAAACCACTTCAGAGGAACTGTAACATTCTAAGTGACTTTGACTGGTGAATGCAATAAAGTCCAAAAGGAAAGGGCAAATTCCCAAATTCCCCTTCCTTGCAGATGCAGTGTTTGACCAGATCTCCACCATGAGAGGGGTCCTCAGATGCTGCCCAGTGGAACTGAGGCATGCTCATTCTTTTTCGTCTTTATTCTTAAAATACACCACAAAAACATATTACTATTGCAGAGGAAAATTCTGCACCATAGCTTACTGATAAGAAATGCCTGATATTGGGATGAGCTCTTTCGTAGCTGTGGTTGCCATGGCAATATAATTCCCAGCCATCAGGGACATACTCCCCTTCCCTGGACATTTTTTTTTCTTCTGTGCATCTATTTACTAGTCATTGATCCAAGACCTACCAGGTCACCTCCCAATTCCTGCACTGCAGACAGCAATTTCACATAGAAACAGCCCATGACTAGCTGAATGGACCCCACATTTAGCTTTGGACCTCTCACCAAAGGCTGCACATCGGCGCCACACACACACACATCTGTGTCCCCATATCACAGCTGCATCAACAGAGGCGCAGGGCGGTTAAGGGACAGCCCTGGATCACCCAGTGAGCCCGTCTGCGCCAAGAATAAGATCTGGGCCTCATGACTCTTGCTCCATTCCCTTATTGCTCTCTGCCCTTATAAGGTGATTAAATGGTTCTTTTTCTCCTTGAAAAAGGCGAGGAGGGAGTGGTGGGAAGTGGAGAGGGGAAGGGTAGAAGGGGGCAAAATTAATTTGAATGCAACTATTTTGCCCAAGTCTCAGAACACTGTAGTTCTTTTATTCGTTTGGAATGAGTGGGTATACAGAACAGCTTTGTTTTTCAATTCATTAACTTCCACAGAAAAAGACCATCCTTTCTGTTTATACTAAAGGAACTGGATGTCAGAGCCATCGCCATGTGTGTGGTGTAAATAAGAAAGGCCACCAATGGAGATCCGTCCCTTTCATGATGAGAAAATAAAAGTTAGTTACTTGGGTTCCAGGGGAAGTTTCTTACTTACCAGATGTCAGCTTTTATGTTTTTTTTTGTTTTCAAGAAGTAGGTAAAGTAGCTGTGTTTTTAAATTCATTCCCTTTAATTTTTAGAACCCCAGTGACTTCTAAAGCACTTCTCTGGACATAAATGCTTTCTTTAATGGAAAAAGAAGGCATCCAGAAACTGCAACAGAGATGAGACATTCAGAGAACAAAGAGCCCCAGGTTATCATGGGGTAATTACCTCCCTGCAGCATGGAGCACAGAGTTGGGTGTCAGTAATTTTCCTACCTAGATAACTAGGCCCCCAAGGGGTTCTGTTATTGCTGTTGTAACATTTCTGTGGTAAAGGAATGTGTTATTTGGATACATCTGTTGAAAGAAGATGAATCTACTTGTGCACGTTGGCCAGAGATGACAAAGGGACATGAATACCAGATCTGGACTTTTCAAATGTTCCATCTGGACATTTTCTCCAGTCCCCGTTCTTGAGCTCTCTTGCCCCAAACAGCAATGTTTGGCAAGCTTTGTAATGAAGACGATGGTGTCGCTCATTTCATCTGTCTAGAACACTCTAAAAACAAAACTCTTAACTGCAGTGTGTTTATTACCCATTTCCAGTTCTACTTGCATAATTAAAATATACAGCAAAGAAAACATTTTTGTAATGTCAGTGATGACCCTTGAACTTTTGCTTTGCTCCATCAGTGTTGTTTGATTTACAAGGAAATGACAGTTTATTTCTGTCTTAAGCTTGTAATTTTCACCCGAGTCCAGCAGTGACCTCAAAGGCACAGGCCAACTTCCTGGGATCAGGGGTGGATCAGCAATTCAGACAAACAGGCTTCATTTCCAACTAAAAACTCAGGAAGCTTCGATGAACCTAAACTTCTCCCAGTCTGGAAGTTCAGAAGCCCAGTGGTTCACTCTAAATTTTAAACTGATTTTGGAATAAGTCAGCTTCACCTGAGCCCAAAGATAACATACCACCTAAAATAGGTGCAGATTTGAGGAATAAGTCTCCTCCTTTCACTAGAACAATTCTCATTCCTTTCATTCTCTTGTTTCCAGTTTTTTCCTGGTTGCTCCTAGCCAGTAGAAGTGGCTTATCAACAGACCTCTACTTCTGTTGAACTTCATTACGTAGCAAATAGAGAAAAACCTGCTCTGAGAAACCCATCTTCTCATTCTGTGACTCTCTGATCCTAAACAAGAAGCTTCATTAGCAGCTGGAAGCCCTTGTCTCCTATGGATTAGAGAGACTCCCATGGCTAATAACTAACATGCATGGGATTTCTTGGCTGACAGTGCTCAGTGTTAACCATTTTACCTGGAGCACACTCTTTTCCCTCACCACTCCCCACACTCAGTCCTTTACCAGATGATTTACTAAATCAAATTCACAACTTGTAACATGACTCCTAAAGTTCCTGATAATCTGGAGCTGCCCCTGAGTGCGCCCCCCAACAACCCTGGACTACACCACCACATTCCCCCTAGACTCATGGGATTCCCATGTGCTGTGCCCTCTGCCAGGAATGCTCTTCCTCCTGTTTCTATACCTGGATAAAACCCACTCATGAATCAAGTATCAGCTGAGAGTCCCCTTTTTAAGGGTAGCATTTCTTAAACACTCCTTGCCCCTGCAAACATAGCTTTTTATCCACTTCAGTAGTTCTTTATCTCTTTCATAGCACTTCTCATGACTCATCATTATATTTTTGTGTCATTATTAGATAAATAACAGTCTCCCTCTGTGGCTGTCTCCCAATACCCACTATCCTCTTCTTTAATGAAAGAATCCCAACTTTTATCTGGGCACATTGTTACCCACCTAAAAAGTCCACATTCTGGCCGGGCGCGGTGGCTCAAGCCTGTAATCCCAGCAGTTTGGGAGGCTGAGAGGGGCAGATGACGAGGTCAAGAGATCGAGACCATCCTGGCCAACATGGTAAAACCCTGTCTCTACTAAAAATGCAAAAATTAGCTGGGCGGGGTGGCATGTGCCTGTAGTCCCAGCTACTCGGGAGGCTGAGGCCGAAGAATCGCTTGAATCTGGGAGGCAGAGGTTGCAGTAAGCCAAGATCACGTCACTGCACTCCAGCCTGGTGACAGAGCGAGACTCTGTCTCAAAAAAAAAAAAAAAAAAAAAAGTCCACATCCATATTCCTCACCGTCTCTTATGGCTAGATGTGACCAGGAAATGAAATGCTGGTCAATAACATGTGTCCTTCCTTGTCATTTTTTCTGCTGACTGGAATGGAGATAATGAGGAGGGCTGCAGCTTGGGTAGCCATGTTGGATCATGAGGTGGAAGTCATAGGCTTAGAAGGTAGCAATGAAAAGAAAGGAGCCTGGGTTCCTGGGGATACCAAAGAGCTTCCACACCAGGCTTGGAGTGTTACATTTTAGTCTCCTCTTCATGTGAGAGAAATAAACTTTCATCTTGTTTAAGCTACTTCTGTTGTCATTAACCTATCTTAAATGAATAGTTTCAGAAGCGATGACTGCACCACCATTTTGCAGGAGAGACAAATAGCTGAGCACATCCTACGTCTTCTCCAGTGTGAGCCGGGGAGGAGACAGGCGCACGGGCAAGGTTCTAGGTCATCAGTTTTTGTTCTTCCTCATGCCATGGATTTGGGATCTATACAACATCTTTTTAGTCTCACAAGAAATCTTTTGGCAAAGATTTCTTTTCTCTCCTTGAATTTTTTTTTTTTTTTTTTTTTTTTTTTTTTTTTTTTGAGATAGAGTCTCACTCTGTAGCCCACGCTGGAGTGCAGAGGTGCAATCTTGGCTCATTGCAACCTCCGACTCCCCAGTTAAAGCGGTTTTCCTGCCTCAGCTTCCCGAGTAGCTGAGATTACAGGTGTGCCACCACGCCCAGCTAATTTTTGTGTTTTTAGTAGAGACGGGGTTTCACCATGTTGGCCAGGCTGGTCTCAATCTCCTGACCTCGTGCTCCACCCGCCTCAGCCTCCCAAAGGGCTGGGATTACAGGCTGAGCCACTGCCGGCGACCTTTGCTTCTTAGCACAGCCTGCCTGGCAATGAGGGCACCAAAATCATAGAATCAATTTTTCAGAGTTCATGCGTTAAAATTCTTAGGTGATATTACATTTGAAGATGCTGTAAATATGGCTTCATTACTTTAACTTGCAAAGAGAACAAAGAGAACTTGCAAAAAAAATACCTCAGGCGAATGTGCCTTGCAGAGCATGTGCCTTAAAAACGTCCTAGACAAAGGTGTGTAAACAGTAACTGGCCTTATCCAATGCAGGATTCACAGCGGCTAGGAAATGAAGCTTTAAGGTCAATCGAAAGGAAACAGGAGATAGTGCCTTTACAGGTCATCACCTACAAGAAGAAACCCATAGAATACTACTTTTTTTTTTTTTTTTTAGAAAAAAATAATTTATGACACCAATAAAAATAGGACTTGTGTTTTAGAAAATTACATCATGGGTTGGTAAACTGTGATCTCAGTTTTGTAAATAAAGCTTTATTGAAGCACAGCCACACCCATAACCTTCCTGATTCTGTGTGTCTGGCTGCTTTGGGACTTGAACTCCAGCAGTTGCAACAGAGACCCTATTGAGTCCGCAGTTTCTTTCTTCCTGCTGTAGAGTTCGTAGTCTCACCAACTCCAAGAATGAAGCTGCAGACCTTCGCAGTGAGTGTTACATCTCTTAAAGATGGCACAGACCCAAAAAGTGAGCAGCAAGATTTTTTGTGAGGACTGAAAGAACAAACCTTCTACAAACGTTCCCACTACTGCAGCACGTTCCTGTTACTGGCTGGGGTGGCCAGCTTTCATTCCTTTATTTGGCCCTGCCCACATCCTGCTGATTGGCCCATTTTACAGAGTGCTGATTGGTCCATTTTGCAGAGTGCTGATTGGTCCATTTTACATAACACTGATTGGTCCATTTTACAGAGTGCTGATTGGTGCATTACAATCCTCCAGCTTGACACAGAGTGCTGATTGGTGCATTTACAATCCTCCAGCTTGACACAGAGTGCTGATTGGTGAGTTTACAATCCTCTAGCTAGACAGAAAAGTTCTCCAAGTCCCCTCTCCACCCAGGAAATCCAGCTGGCTTCACCTCTCACTATTGCCCTCAAAGGCAAATATTTCCTCTCTGGTACTTCACAGAAAAAGATTTCCGACCTCTAGCTTATGTGATGGGGAGGCGTCTTTCTCAGCTCCTGCATTATGGTCCTGATGACTAGAGAGCAGAATGTCCTCCCACACACCGCATTGCCCCTCAGCCCTCACCTGGGCGCCCAGCATTTCCAAGCGGGCCTGTGGGGCATTTGCTGCCTCTGGCCTCTGGCCGAACCTGGCTCCTCTTTCCCCCGGGGTCTGCGGAAGGGCGGTGCGGGCCTCCCACGCGCACCCCCACGGAGTCCGGAGAAGGTGGAGACCCCAGGGAGGCCCCTGGGGACTGTGCCGTCCGCAGCGGCTCCTCCCCTCCTTGCAGCCCGCGGGACCCGGGCGGTGGAGGGGCCGGCAGTGAGCTGTCTCCAGCCCTACGGGCTCCCGCGGGGTCCTCTTCGGGACTCCTCTCCGGCTCCCGGAGGGTCCGGGCTGGCTTGGGGCGGGGCGGGCCCCGGGCCAGCCTGCGGGCGTCCTCCTCCTCCGCGATCACACACACTGTCACCGCGGAGGCTTAATTTCCTTCTCACTGTGTCCAGCCCACACACCAATGCAAAGTAGTCAGAAGCGCCCTTCTCCCCTCCCACGCAAATGAAGTCCTGTCCTGAGGGACACCTCAACGTCTCCCTTGGCCGAAAACAAGAGGCAGCTGCCCGCCTTCCTTGGTGCCCTGCTCCTTCACCGCACACGGGGACCTCGCCCGCTCTCCACCAGTGGGTTTGTGGGTGGTGGGTCTCATTCTCCAGGCTGCTGGGCCGGCGTGACCTTCGCTGGTCGCTTTCACTCGGCCCAGGTCGTTCTGTACCTCCACGTCCAGGAAACGGTCAGCAAGGAGCCTTCCTAGGTGACCGAAGGCCACCTTCATGTACCCCCTCTTCTAACGCCCACTCTTGGGAAGGTTATCCTGTCCATTACCAGTCCCCTTGACTTAAGCAGATGGCCCTGGCAAAAAATATAGAAGCGGATTTATGGATCATTGGCATGTAAGGACCTGGGACGATGGCTGAGCATGCAGGAAAATAATAATAACAGCTAACGTTTGCTCAAGGTTTACAGTGTCAGGCTTGACATATATTCTGTCACTTGATGCATAAAACAACTTTATGGTTGTAGGACCTAGCATTTTCCACAATCATAGGGAAATTCTTCAGAGACAGAGAGATTAAACGATATTCCAGGGTTGACTCAAACTCAGGCAATCTGACCGCCAATCACAGTTTTAAGCACCTGTGCTGTGCCTATCTTAATAGAGTCCTGTCGCAGGCTGCCGCTGCTGACGCACAGTGGTGCAGTTTTCCCAGGCAAACCTCATGAGTGCCTTTCAAAAGCTTTCGGCTTACCAGTTCCACATCTTGGAAATTTTCCAACCCAAATAATGAAAGGTATGGGTAAAGATGTGTGTGTAAGAATGTTCATAAAGTTTTTTTTAGTAATGTGAAAAATTAGTAACAACCTGAATATCCAACAATAGGGGACTAAGTATACTGTGGAATGTATTTCTGATAGACTATCACAAAAGCATTAACAATTATTTGTAAAAAATACTGAAATGGGATATTGTTTATATTGCTAAATGAATGTATCAGGTTATATAACAGTATTCCATAATTATAGGAAAATGCACATATAAATACAAAAAAGACTGGAAGATCATCATCATACCGAAAAATTGTTAACTGTGAGTTTTCTCTGGGTAGTGATATTTGGGGACTAATTTTAAAAAATGATGTTCTATCTCTTCCAAGTTTTCTGAACTATAATTAGAAAAAAAATCAATAAAAATCTTTATACGTATAATTGAGATAGAGGTCCATTCTCACATCTCTCACACCAAAAAGGATTACTCTATCACTTACTTTCACTTCCATGTAACTTACAACAAAGTGTGGAAAATGAAAGTCTCTGGATTCTATGTGGGCAATTGTCTTTTTTCCTCAACTCTGAAAGCATAGAAATAGATCTCTCATTGGTTAAAATAACTTTATAGTTGGGGTTGAAGAATAAAATCAAATAGCCTCCACCACCAAAGACAAAATGTCACCCATCTACTCTGGCCTAGCTCAGCCAGAACTGCCATTACTCAAAACTAGCTTCATCTACTTACACAAAATGCAATATATGCAAAAAGAGAGAAGCACTTCAGAAGAAATGCCCCTGTTTCTCTAGTGTTTATTTCAACAATAAATATCAGTGCTACCAAGCTAGATCTCATGAGGAAAAGCTGTAAACACAAATGGTTGCAAAGGTGTCCTTTGAGAAGATTGAGAGCTCGGAGTAGAGCTGGCAGAAAAAGGAGGAGGAGGAGGAGGATGAGACCAGGAAGAGGAAAGAGAAGGGGGGTGGGGAGAAGTGGAGGATCTGAGGATATAGGGGCCCAGGCTGGATTCCTGCAAGGGAGCTGAACTGATCTTGAGACCTTCCAAAGCTCTAGCACCTCACCTCCTGCACCAACAGCAGCATCATGTGGGAGCTTGATAGAAATGTAGACTCTGAGGCCTCGCCCAAGACCTACTGGATCAGAATCTCCACAAAACCACCAGGTTATTCATATGCCCATTAAAGTTAGAGAGACACTAACCTTGTATTTTGTCCAAAGCCCATGGCTATTTTGGAATTATTTAGACAAGATTGAGACTGTCTCCCATCTCTCTTTAGTGACCCCTAGTGGTAAACCCAAAAGGAACAAGATCTATATTACAGGATGACTGAATTTTGGTCTCCAACCTAAACCAACAACTGTCCAACCTTCAGCCGGTTGACCTATCCAAGGTCCAAGCACTTGGAAGATTAGGATCCTAGTTGGCCATCCTGGTTTAGAAAATCTTATGTAGTCCAATCCAAGCTGGAGTGTTTTTCTGCATATTGCTGCTGTTGGAACTCAAAGACAATGTTCCTGAGTGAGATTATTCTCTGTGTCTGAAAAACACTGATCCAGGTAACTTGGGATCTCTTGATAGAAGACATATCAAGATGGGCTATTACTCATGTTACTAAGTATACCTCATGTGCTTCCTCTCGGACTAGCCCTCATTGAGAAAGCTTTAGCTAAAAAAAGAAAAAAAAAGTGATGTTTCCTTGTTGCAGGCTGCTCAGGGTTCAACTGGACTTTCAATTTATATTGGGGTTTGAGTTTTGTAAGAAAAGTGGAAAAATTCAGGGCATTGTAGAGGTGAAAGAACTACCCTAGACATCATTTAGAACACTACCCAAAGTGTGTTTCACCTGTAGAATATTACTAGAAGTTACAAATAAGGGTTCCAGAGTCAAACTAGTTTGAGAAACACTGGATTGAACAAAGTTGGAAAGTTTGTTTTTTTACTGCAGGACATCTCAGGACTTTTATTCAGGTGCCTTGTAAATTCCTCGAGTTATTCTCTCATAGAAAACACACACACTTTTTTTGGACTCCTGGGGAAATATGATCTACGGAGCCTCAGGGCTGTGAAATATCTCAGTATCTCACCCCCAGTCATTCTTAGAGCAGCACCCAAGCCCCCTGATCCTCCATCCGTTTCTCTGCGTGCTGTGTTATGCTGCACCGTAAAATTGATTCCCATTCTTTTCAACTCTGGTCTTATCCGTCAACCCATCCACCATTTTGTGCTCTATGGATAAATGTAGCAATGTGCAGGAGGAAAAGCAGGAATAAAAGAAGGGGAAGGATAAATTAGAGGAAAAAAGAAGAGAAGGTACAAGGAGAACTTTGCACTCATGTAGAAGTGGGAACTTGAAAATAAAACAACAAAATGGTGACCTGATTGTCTTCCATGCTTTCCTTATCAAGCAGAGAACTGGTGAATTGGTCACAGTGATCATTCACATCGGACCATTAATGCGCTGGCTCAAGTGGTCCAAATTACTACCCCATGTTGATGGACACATAACACCCATTCCTTCAATTAGTGGGCAGGTTACAGACAGCTTCCATATACATCCCCGCTGGGCTCTTCACGACTCTTGGCAGTGTGTCTTTAGTGGTGGGGTCTGTGCTCTTCAAAGGGAGTCCATCTACCATAAGCATTTTCCAGGGGAACGTTTGGTTATTGAAAACACCATGTTGTCTGGCATTTATGCCTTTTCCACCAAATGATTTTGGGTTTGCCCCACTGGGGGCTGGATTATTCCATTGTCAACCTATGTGGTTCTAGGTTCGAGTTGGCAAAAGTGACTCTGCATGATATTTAGGAGGCAGAAGAGAAACCACAGCCACTATGTCCTGAAGGTCATTGTTGAGTGTGGGGCCAGAAGTGCTAGAGAGTTCCAGTGTGTCCTCACCCCTTCCCACTCCATACCCAGCTGTCCTTCCAACCAGCAGCGCTGCTGCCCAATGGTAATGCCAGCCCCCCACCAGAGGCACTGCTGTGGCCTGACACAGGCAGTAGCTTCAAAGAGCCAATGACCTTTGGACTGATATCAACCCCTTGTCAACTTCTCAGTGCAGATGCTCCATGTGCTTCGATTCAAGACTTCCTGCAAACTCTGACTCAGTCACCAGCACCAGGGCTGCCTAATGACTTTTCTCCAAATATTAAACGCCCATTTTCAGGCGCTTGCTTCCTTCCCCATCTTTGCCCACAAGGTCTAATATCTATATTAAATGTTTAGTTCTAAAATATTCATAGTGAGTCTGCTTCTCTGAGCCCTGTCTGATACACCTATGAACTCTGGCTGTTATGTTCTTCTGCTCACAGTCTGGGGTTTCCTGTTGAGACATCCTAATATCGGATTCTGGTTGTACCTCACTCGGCTTTCCTTTGGGCAGATGGTGCCCAGAGTGAAAGAAGCGTTCACTGCTCTTTGAACTACTGCTCTTTTATCTTTATTTCCCTTTACTTTTGCTTTGATCCTCCTGTCCAGGAAGTGGCATCTTTAGACACCGCTTCCTGCCACAAGCCCAAGACTTACTCTATTTCTCACTCTCTCACCAGTGTTTGACAAAGGTTGCTAGTCATAAAGAAAGCAGGTCACTGAATGCTATATTTATACTACTACAGAATTTAAGGCAGTATGAAGAAGGCTTTGCTTTATGTGGCTGGAAACTTAAAGTCTGGGTTTGTAGTGGAAATAAAGATAAAAGAGCAGTAGTTCAAAGAGCAGTGATCTTTCTTGTTGGAGCCATGAGAACAATTAATTATAGGTTGTAGGTTAGCCTGGTTTGGGTGCTAATTTCTAGCTCATAGTCATATGTGAACGCTTCTTTTCAATCTCAGTACGGTGGCGGAATGCTAGTTTCTAAACATCCTTGGGATGATCATATGGTCATAAAATCCTTGGCAATAAATAAGTGCTCTGATCTTTTTAGAGTTAATGCACTGTATACAATGTGTTTTAAAGGAGGGGGGATATGGGATGTTTTATTAGTGCAATGTTTCTGGGCGTGTACTTTTGACTTTCTATTGGCAGTGCTGTAGGGGTAGAAGTTAACTGGTAAAAAACCAATAGCAACATAAAGTAATTCTTGTCAGAGAATCATGGAAATGATTCCAGCTCATTACAATGCAAACGGATTTGACCTGGTAGAGATTAAATTTATTTTCATCTAATAGAAAAGCTAACCCCCAAACATTACAGTTTATTACTGTCTAGAATGTTAATCAGTTTACATTTGTTGGCAAGTTTATTTCAGCATTCTTTTGACTGACCATATAAATCTGTTTCTTTCAATAATTTCAACTTTTATTTTAGATTCAGGGGTACACATGCAGGTTTGTTACATGGGTATATTGCATGACACTGAGGTTTGGGGTGTGAATGGTCCCATCACCCAGGTAGTGAGCATAGTACCCCATAGGCAGTTTTTCAGTCCTTGCCCCACTCCCTCTCTCCCGCCTCTAGTAGTCTCCAGTGTTTACATCTGTTCTTCAAATTCTCTTTTGAACCAGTCTTAACATTTTACTGGTTCCCTCATCAATTAATGAGTCACATACAATTTTGACATGGATATGATTTCTATATCTTTGAGAGTCATGTTTTTAACTTTTTTTTTGAGATGGAGTCTCGCTCTGTCATCCAGGCTGGAGTGCAGTGGCGTGATCTCGGCTCACTGCAACCTCCACCTCCCAGGTTCAAGCGATTCTCCTGCCTCAGCCTGCCGAGTAGCTGGGATTACAGGTGCCTGCTGCCACACCCAGCTAATTTTTGTATTTTTAGTAGAGACAGAGTTTCACCATATTGACCAGGCTGGTCTCAAACTCCTAACCTCAGGTGATCCACCCGCCTCGGCCTCCCAAAGTATTGAGATTACAGGCGTGAGCCACCGTGCCTGGCCTTTAACTTTTTGAAAAGCTCGTTTCATTCACATTTGTTTGTTGTTATTTATGTGATGTTAAGACAACTGAACTTGAGGTTTCAGCTATAAACCCAGTTTCAAAGTACAGCTCCCCTAGTCTTAACTTCTCTTCATATACACTCGGAAACATTTGGATGTCTTAGCACCTAGTATGCCTCGATATTCTAAGCACTATAACACACACCTGGAGAGGTGGGAGGCCCACCTGTACAGGCTAGACCATCCATCTGGGCTTGGCTCTCCTGACACTGATGAGGTCATGCAGAAACTCCTGGGATTTGGAGCACCAAATCTCTCAGTTCTTCCTTTAGGATACAATGGTAAGAAGAGGGGACCGGGCAACCACTGTTGACTTATTAAAGTGGAACCAATGGTTAAGAAGTAGCACAGGATTTATATTATCAAAACAGATAAAGAAAATAAACAAATCAAGCACACAATTGCACAAGGGAACTAAAACCATGAAGATTCATTCCTAATTTCTCTCTTTGCCTGTCTAATGGATCTTATTATCCAGTTCTTTACCAGACTTACTTATGATCGGGCATTGTCCAGTCTTTCTACGGAGGTCCCTTGAGGTGGAGGGATCTTCCACAGTGCCTCACATCCCAGTTTTCTTGCAGTCTCTGCCCCTCCCTTCTTCCACATCCCTGAAGGTGACCTGCTCTTTCTCTATTGTCTGGAAAGTTCAGCATGTGTGTACACATGCACAAGCATAGGCACACACAAACACAGAAACAAACACACACCCCTCCATGATTCCTGCTCATCCTTCAGCTCAGACAGCATTTCTCAAGGAAGCTTTTGAGGCCACTCCAGCCCAGAGCAGGCCTTCCTGTTTTACACCGCACAGACTCGCTGCTTTTCCTTCTGAGCTCTTGTATGTGATCATTTGTCTGTCTCCCCCATTGTCAATAAAATCCGGGATCATTGTATCACTACTGTATTCCCAGACCTGGCAGGATGCCTGGCACATAGAAGGTGTTCTTGAATGAATTAATAAGAACTCAATGCCTGTTTGTTACAGTGATGAATAGATGGCTGTTTGGTCTGTTATGGTCCCAAAAAGCAAAAGAAGCTGTTAAAATAGTGTGACTCTGACTTACTGTTCACGTCTGAATAAAAGAAACCATTCAAATTTTGGACTGAGTTTGACAGTCTACTATGTTGGTGAGTTGTGAGGAATCATTTCCATACATTTCTAGGGGGAACTGGTAAACCTGGGAGAACAATTTGGCAAATCTTTAAAGATTTACAAATTTAAAAACCTTCTGACCCAATAATTTCACTTTCAGAAATATATTCTCTACTTATGCTTGCACTTGCATAAAATTATTTGTGTTCAAGGATGTCTATTGAACATTCCACACTGAACTGAAACATTCCACAGGATGTTTCTGGAAGTATCTATAATAAAGTGGCAGCAACAGTTGCTTTGGGGAGGCGAGGTGTGTGGCTGAAGGGTAAGGGTGAGGAGGAGACTGAAGTTTCTTTACAAGGATACTTTAAAATTTGTAATTTTGTGCCTTAATCATGCATGACCTCTTCCAGAAATTCACAAATGTAAAAAGGTTACTATGTAGTAACTGCAAAAAATATGTATTCATAGGAGTTAGATCTAGATTAAGTTTTACTGATGTTCCTTTGATTTTTTCAACCCCAGATTTTCACACATGTACTGTCAATGTATCATTGGCTTAAGCAGTCCCTGCCGTTCATTCCTTCTCTCCTAATCTCCCCCAAACCTTTCAGTCTTTGCAGCACTCCCAAAGTCTTATCTAATTTGGAAACAGGGGACTCCTTCAATGGGAGGTCCAGAAATAAGACTGCATCTGGATGCACATTGAGGTTTGTGACATAAAATCTCACCACCCTCGTGAAACCTGCCTAGTGCATCCTGGCCTACTCTATTGACTTTGGCATCCTTGCCAGCCTTGTCATGCCAATAAGGTTATTGCGACTAAATTGAATGAGCATGTGGCTATGTCCTCCAAATGTTTTATGATACAGTTAAATGGAAAACTGTAGATTACATTTATTTATTTAGTGATAAACCCTTTGTTTATGTTGCTGGTGATCCAGAAAAAGTGGTCTCCTACAACACGCCATGACCTAAACAACGACAAGTTGAATTACTCTTTCATTTACCATAGGAGACTTTCTACCATGTGTTTTGCAGCAATGATTTCTGACACAGCTTAAGAAATGATAAATTACACCCAACGAAAACAAAGAGAAACTCAGAATTTCATAGCATAATTGTAAAGAAAACAGTTATTTGCATCTCTGTCTCCCACATTTTCAAAAAACAATGTACTTGAAACGAAAAAGACCCAAGAATAGTAAAAACAATTTCATTTTCCTCTTATAATTGGAAACATTTGGAGAAAGCACTTTGTCTACTCGGCCTGCATATTTATGGCTTAATTTTAAATAGGGAATGTTACTGTACCTTTGCCTCTCATTTCATTGTTATTGTAATTTTTACAAATGACCAATATCATGTTATTAAAACAAATGTCACAAGTACAACAGCATTCCTGTATACACACACACTAATATAGCTGTCCTTTGTGTTGAAAGACATTCTATGGCGTGCTAACCTTGTCTGCAAGGTCATATAAAAGTGGGAGGCAAAGATAGCAATGCTTTCCACACCCCTTTCAGCAATAATAACAATTGTGTGGCCAAGTTACACGAGGAAAACATGAACTTCTGGTCATTGGTGCTCACACAAAATCATCATAAAAATCCAGATTGGTGGCCGGGCGCAGTGGCTCATGCCTGTAATCCCAGCAATTTGGGAGGCTAAGGCGGGCAAATCACGAGGTCAGGAGATGGAGACCATCCTGGCTAACACGGTGAAACTCCGTCTCTACTAAAAATACAAAAAATTAGCCAGGCGTGGTGGCGGGCACCTGTAGTCCTAGCTACTCGGGAGGCTGAGGCAGGAGAATGGTGTGAACCCGGGAGGTGGAGCTTGCTGTAAGCCGAGATCGTGCCACTGCACTCCAGCCTGGCGACAGAGCCAGACTCCGTCTCAAAAAAATAAAACATAAAAATAAATAAGTTAATTAAAAAAGATTGTTATGAAAACACTCACAGGGTCTTCGTACATCAAAGGACTTTTTTTCTTTCTTTTTTTTTTTTACAGGTTCACAGTGTTCTGCATTCTCCTTTTCCTTTGAATTATCTCTTATTTGAAACTGCATTGAAATAAATCAAATGTATGTTACTTCATCAATGAGACAAATGCTTTTATTGTTAAGAACCAGTAACAATTTCTACTTTCAGAAACAGTGACTTTAGAATTGTATTAACATTTTGAAAGCTAACATCATTATTTTTAACAGTTCCCAGAATTTATTCTACTAATATCGACTAACCTCAAGCTGCAGATGCATTAATTTAATAACCCAGGAACACATTCTCCTGCTCAATTACCCCAGGAGGTTCGCTATGTTTTTCTTCAAATCAGTTGATCCAAGATAGAGATACTGAAGCTCTATGGGTAATTAATTATTTCTGCTTAAAAAGTTTTAGTGATCAAAATCACCTTAGCCAGGGTTTATGGCATTCTCCACTGAGGACTCAGTTAAGCAGTTACTCCCATGTGGTAGTTTCCTGAAAATTCTGACTCCACTTGGACTCTGCGCCTGCTCACGTCGGAGCTCGTATTCTTGACTGGACTCCTCGTTTTCACCAGAGTGTTAATCTCACCCACCACTTCTCCACTTGTTTAAAGTTCACAAATTCTCTCCTTACACTGGTAAAAGGTAAACTGTTTTCAACAGCAAGGAGTACAAAGTCTCAGCTCCAGGAGCGTAGACCATACGGTTATTTTATTGCTTACTTGATAAGAATCTGCAGGAGAGCTCTCTCCAGAGTGCACTCCCAGCTCCATGTCAGCAAGGACCCACGCTCACTGTTTTTTCTCTTGACCCACCTCAGCTAGTTGGCTTTTCTGTTGCATTTCTATTACCTACTGCAAGGCTCTTGTATTGGTTCGAACCCCAAGAACGCGCCAACAAACAACACAAGGTGGAGTGGAGCAACACGCTGTTTTAATGAGCGCCTGGGTGCAGACGGGCTGAGGCCCAAAATGCCATCAGCCTCAAGTGAGGATGGGGCTAGGGTTTTGTAGTCTCCTGTAAACAGTAAGTGTCCCAGTCTGACGTAACTGCTACGTGGTACACCGAAGGACTCTCTCCATTTCCAGGGGGTATGTGTCTTCTGGCCAGCTCTCTTCCTGCTTCTACCATCTTGCTGAAGCATGCTGCTGGCACAAGTGGTCTTGTGCCTTGGGACTGGGCCCGAGGAGGAAGGAGTTATTCATCTCCCCAAGCTTTCAGGCCCCCAGGCTTTCACCTACCTCATGATAGCCACCATTGCACCAGACATCACATTCATGTTCAAGACAGGAAGAAAGAAGAAGAGGCCATGCCAACATCTTTCTTCTCACATCATTCACTTTGTCAGTAGAGCAAGAGCTTTCCTAGGAGCTCCCAAACCTATTTCCCCTTAGTCTTTCTGACTACATCTGTGTCATCTGGCCACTCCGTGTTGCAAGGAAACCTAGGACATGGACCATCAGGCTTCTATTTTTAAAAGATAGACAAGGGAAATGGGGTTGGGAGTAGCTGTTGAGATAGCTAAGTAATGAGTGGCTGTCTCAACAGGCAAACAGATTGTTGGAACTCCTAGGCTTAATCAGAGCACCACCCTGGGCTGAATTTTACTCATCTTGAGAGGTGAAGCCAGCTAGACTTCCTGGGTCAACTGGGGACTTAGAGAACTTTTCTGTCTTACAAGAGAATTGTAAAATGCACCAATCAGTGATCTATAAAAATGCACCAATCAGCATTCTGTAGCTAGCAAGAGGATTGTAAAATGCACCAATCAGCAAGATCCTAAAAGTAGCCAATCACAGGGAAGGTTGAAAAAAGGGCATTCTGATAGGACAGAAAAGGAACACAGAAGGGGACAAATAAGGGAATGAAAGCTGGCCACCCCATAAAGCAGTGGCAACCTGCTTGGGTCCACTTCCACACTGTGGAAGCTTTGTCCTTTCGCTCTTCACAATAAATCTTGCTACTGTTCACTCTTTGGGTCGATGCCATGCCATCTTTAAGAGCTATAACACTCACCGAGAAGGTCCGCAGCTTCATTCTTGAAGTCAGCGAGAACATGAACCCACTGGCAGGAACCAACTCCAGACGCCATCTCCCCTCCATCTTATGTGTGGTCAGGCATTCTCTTCACTCTTCCAGAAACTCTGAGATCTAGCCTTGAAACCTGCTGGATCAGTAGAGATCACACATTTTTGCCCTTTGCAGAATCACTGTAGCTTACTTCAATAGTAGTGCTAAACCATAAACTTCCATGGAAACTCTTATACTGCAGGGCCCAGGCCCATGAAATCCACTATTGAGCTTGGCTGTAAAGATGCTGTTGAGAACCCTTTCCCTGCATTGCTCCCTGCTCCCTGCTCTCACAGGTAAGCCCTAAGAGATTTCTTTCAGAATTTGGTGCTGGGGAAGGTTTGCTTGCTCTAGGGCAAATTTGTCCATTCCATGGCCTACCGGCCACATGTGGCCCAGGATATCTTTGAGTGCAGCCCAACACAAATTCATAAACTTTAAAATATTATGCTTTTTTTTTTTGCTCATCAGCTATCGTTAGTGTTGGTGTATTTTATGTGTAGCCCAAGACAATTTTTCTTCTTCCAGTGTGGCCCAGGGAAGCCACCCCTACTCTAGGGAAATTTGCACTCCATCTTCTTTCTGATAACACAAATAACATAAAGCATGGTCTCTTCTACCTGTCCTTGGGTACCAGGAAGCACAGATCCAAGTTTGAACCATGACTGTAACAAGTGTTCACCCCAACCCCGGGATCTGTTTGTCTTCTTGTTCTTCATGATATGGGGTTCATTTTGTTATTGTTTTGTTGACTGTATTTTGTTGTAACCCATCACACATTTTCTGTAGAGAAGGGGTAATCGGTAGACAGGGAAGAGAGAAACATTTACTTCAGCACGTTTTATCAAAGCAAACTTCAAAGGCTGAAATAATCACAGCGGTGAAGCAAAGGGGTCATTAGTGGAGAGTAGGTTGACAGGATATCATTATTTCTCAGTCTATAAAATACTTCCAGTTTAAATGGATCCCTACTGACCAAAGGTTGAGTTCTAAAATCTTCATTTTTATATTTTTTATACTATTTCTACCTGCTGATACTTTTATGTATTTCATTTCCCAAATTGTTCTTTTCACTAATTTAATACTTAAAAACCACCAAATGATCAATATTGACATATGTTGATTTTCAGGACTGGCCAGTTGCCCATCAAATAAGCATCCTTTTCTTCTGTGAGGACAAAACCTTGATTTAGTTGGGGGTGCCAAAGTGCCCACCTAAAAAGCCTGTATTTCCCAGCTTCCCTTACGGTTAGGAGTGGCCACTTGACCTGATTCTGGCTCTGAGATTAGCTAGAATTTGCTAGGAGGGATTCTCAGGAAAGCCCTTTAAAGGGGCAGACTCAGCTGGTATCTTAGTTTGAGCTCCCTCAAGAAGGAGCTTGAGACGAACTTGGGTGCAGGTGGTTTATCTTGGAGTTCATCCCAGGTAACAGAAATGGGGGAGAGGGAAAAAAGGAAGAGAGGAAAGCAGTGAAGGAGGCATTAATAGGCCAGTTGCCAGTGAGTACCTCAGTCTGCCGTGGGACCCTGCACACAGTGGACCATGCCTCACGATCGTCTCAGTGGAGGACTACGAGGCTGGGCTGCCTAGTTCCCCATTGCTTGGGATCTCCCTTGGGTTCTTAGCTCCCCCATACTAACTGATTGTTCTTTCATGTGGTTGGGTGGTCTTCTGTGGCTCCAGCAAAGCAAAGAGGCATCATGGTGTGGCTGGTGTGTGATGCTTACCACGTGTGTGGATCTATGGACATGGCTGGCTGGAGTGAAGATGGCCAAGGGAGTGCCGCCAGAGCATCCCAGGCACCCCAGAGCCAGTGTGCATACCTATGCACTCCACTTCTCCTCCTGTACTCTCCCCAAAATGTCAACATGACAGCTGGGACTCTAGTAGCTGTGAACACAAAATGAAGGCCACACTCTAAAAAGGGCTCTGGATTGAAAAACTAGAAAAAGCCTGATGTCACCATGGAGCTGATAAATCCTTGGACTATGTAACTTGAAGCTTGAGAGAAAAATAAACACTCATGTTGTTTAAGCCTCAGTCATTAGTTTTCCTTTTAAATAGAGCTGAACTCAGTCATAATGGATACACATCCCTAGTGCCAGACACATTCACTGGATTCAGGCTTCCTGGTACCATTAATAAGCCAGTGGTCTTCACTGTGACTCACTCCCTCTGGCTCAGCTCAGGCCGAGTTCCTTCTTTGTGAAAATGACCCAGAGGAAATCTTTCTCCCTTTGAATTTTTCTAAGCTGTCTGGAAATCAAGTTGCATTTTTCCTTCCCCATGAATGCTATCGAAAACATCACTAAACATCTGAGTTTACTGTGTTTTTTTCTCTTCAACAGATTTTGTGTTAATCAGAGTAGATGAAGTGCTATAACAAACAATCTCAAACTCTCGGTGACACACCATAATGAAGGTTTATTTCATCATCATTTCACAATCAAGGTTGGTTGGAGGGGGCTTTGATCCATGCAGTCCTCCAGGGCCCCAAGCATCTGCTATCGAGCGGTTCTGCCATCCCCTAGGGCCTTGGAGGCCTCCACTGGATCATCCATGTCTGACCAGCAGGAGAGAGAAGAGCAAGAGTGTGGAGGATGCCACAGGCAGTTTCATGGCCTGAGCTTGGATGTGGTGGATCCCACTTCTGCCACCTTCACTGCTTCTCAGGTCACATGGCCTCACAGACCTGCGGCAGAAGCTGGGAAATTCAGTCCAGCTGGGTTTCCAGGAGGAAAAGAAAGTAGAGCTTAGTGAGTACTTAACATGCCACTGCCATACATGTTTAAAAGCTCCCAAGGAGGCCAGGCATAGTGGCTCACACCTGTAATCCCAGCACTTTGGGAGGCCAAGATGGGTGGATCACCTGAGGTCAGGAGTTCGAGACCAGCCTGGCCAACATGACAAAACCCTGTCTCTACTAAAAACGCAAAAATTAGCTGGGTGTGGTGGCACATGCCTGTAATCCTAGCTACTTGGGAAGTTGAGGCAGGAGAATCACTTGAACCTGGGAGGCAGAGGTTGCAGTGAGATCACGCCACTGCACTCTGGGCAACAGAGTGAGACTTCAATCTCAAAAAAAAAAACAAAAAAGAAATACTTCTAAGGAATCCTCCCAACAGGGCCGGGACAGTCTGGCTACCACGATCTTGAGACTTGTGCTCACACCCTTCAAAAACTGCTTTTGGCCGGGTGCAGTGGCTCACGCCTGTAATCCCAGCATTTTGGGAGGCCAAGGTGGGTGGATCACGAGGTCAGGAGATCAGACCATCCTGGCTAACACGGAGAAACCCCATCTCTACTAAAAACACACAAAAAATAGCTGGGCATGGTGGCGGGCGCCTGTAGTCCCAGCTACTCGGGAGGCTGAGGCAGGAGAATGGCGTGAACCCGAGAGGCAGAGCTTGCAGTGAGCCGAGATTGTGCCACTGCACTTCAACCTGAGTGACAGAGCGAGACTGTCTCAAAAAAAAAACCAAAAAAAAACAACAACTGCTTTTACACATTGTAGAACTTTGTGTTTTAAAGTTTACACCTGGAGATTTTCATCATAAATTTAAACCATTGTGAATGGATATCATTTTTGGCATAGTATAGACACTGAAATTTGTGGTGGTCACCAGACGATGCTCCACCCAGATCCCCCATCAAGGAAAGACTTGTCCCAACCCCCTCCACTGCTGGGAGCACTACCAGCTTGCAGCTGGGTTAGGATGGCCTCAGGCGCAGAGCTGCCTGGCCCTGGTTCATGCCCTTCCCCAGGCAGCCCCCCTCAATGACTGGCTGTGGTGGGAGTACAAGGCTCGAGGCAAGGGTGGGGCAATTCTGATGACCCTTTCAGTGGCAGAGCTTCCCTGGGGCTGCCAAGTCTGCTGGGGACCTGCATCGCAGCTAACTTCTTCCTCTCCCCAACTCCTGCTTCCTTCCCCTTCCTTTCTCAGGGGTTCCCCCCAAGGGCACCCCCCATAGACATTCTACACACGAAACTCCAGCCCATGATCCCCTTTCCAGAGACCCACCCGACAACAGCTTTTCAAAATGAAATGGTCATCCTGTTCCGCTACAGCAGAAATACATAAATATATTTAAATTAACTTTAAAAACAATCCTTAGTGCCATAAGCTTTCAAGCAATTAAAAATGTGTTCCAAGTTGAGTTGCCATTTCAAGTTAATGTCAATCATTATTAAAAAGAAAAAGTAATTTTGGGGGGAAATGCATCTGTAATGGACAGGAAGTTGTATGCTCCCTAGAAGGAAACACCAACACTGGGGGACACCAATATTTGTATTACGTCCTTGTTGGGCACTCTGAAGGTGTTTCTACCTTGAAGCAATTCACGTAAGAATATTCAGGAAGGATAAAGATATGCCTTGCTTTTATAAAGTGGGAAAAGGCCAATTTTAAAAGTAAAGAAAGAAAAACCAACCTAATACCTCCTGACCAATTTTAGAAGAGTACAGCTGCCAATTTATTTTCTGAAAACCATCGGGGTCTGGATTACAAATCTCAGAGCTAGCAGGAAATGTTCACACCCCCGTTTGAAGATCGTGTCCACTGCACAGAATCCTCCTACCCTGTGTTCTTTCCTTTATTTCTGTTTCAGACATGTTGGTCATGTCGATCAATTACAAAGCACTCCCCAAGAGGAACGTCCCTCCCGTGGTGCCTCCTGAAGTGACGCCCCTCTGCCATTGTGCATTGCACCTGCCACAGCTGATTAGACCAGGGGTGGCGTCTGATTTCAGTCTCTCTCTGTTGCCTAGGCTGGAGTGCAGTGGTGCAATCATAGCTCACTGTAGCCTCCAACTCCTGGGTTCAGGCGATCCTCCCCACTCAGTCTCCCAAGTAGCTGTGATTACAAGCATGAGTCACCGTGCCCAGCTGGCATCTGATTTGACAACCACCAATGTATAGGCCAGCCAGTGATCGATGCCTGCACAAAACGATGAACAGAGCCAATCAGAGCCTCTGTTTTGAAGGAATCTGAGTTGTGGACATGGAGAATACCATGCAGTTAGAAAAGAAAGCAGGAGGCAAGTCGACCCAGGAGAGGAGCCAAAGGCCAGAGTCACAGCCACACAAGGCCACTAGGTGAATGGGGGTGAGTCTATAGGGAGGAGGAGATGGGGAGAGAGGTGCTGCTGCCCCCCCTCTCAGGAGCTCAGCATGCTGGGCACCAAGATCTCCTGGATCCCCACAGGCGCCTGCACACTTGACGATCCCTAGTTACCATGGTATCCATAGGGATGGTGGCCATCTCTTGCTGCGTAACCAACCTCCCTTAAAACGCAGTGGTTTAAAACAACAGGAGTCACTTACACTGTTTATGTATTTGCGAGTAGGGCGGGGCTTGGCGGGGACTACTTTTCCTGCTCACAATGAATCTTAGCTGGGATGTCTGGGGGCTCAGATCCCGGAGCCAGTGGCCCAAAGTCAGGTCCCTCAAGCTGTCCAGTGCTCCTCCCAACCCCAGGTTGCTTCTTAGGTGAAGGGTGGACATTACCAGTAACTGCAAGTTGCTGGAGTCCTGTTGCCCCTTCTTTGTTCTCCCTGGAGCCATTTCTCACCACAGGCTTCCTTTTCATGGCCAGCACAAAACTCCCTGAGTTCTGAAGGATGTAGAATAATCGCAACAGTTACGTCCAATTGTCTGCAGTTTGACCTGAATGCTGCTGATTCAGGGCACGGGTGGAGACCACACCCCATGGGTGGTCCAGGGCTATTACTTCACTTTGGAAGGTGGTCAAATGAGCTACCACTTTACCTTGGAAGAATTATCAGTGGAAGCGCTTGGGGCACCAAGGAAAGAATACAGAAAGTTCTGTCGCATACACAGTGCTCTATAAAGATGTCCCAGTTATCTTTTCATCCAGAGGCTCGAACTGCCGGCTTACAGAAAAAATACAGCTTATACAGATATTTATCTTGCTTGGCCTATACTCTGCTTAAAAAAAATTCCCGACTTTTAAAACCTGGGAGAGTTGTGTTCAAAAAAATGGCTTTATGGCCGGGTGTAGTGGCTCACGCCTGTAATCCCAGTACTTTGAGAGGCCGAGGCGGGCAGATTGCCTGAGCTCAGGAGTTGGAGGTCAGCCTGGGCAACATGGCGAGACCCCATCTCTATTAAAAATACAAAAAAAAAAAAAAAAAAACAAGCATGGTGGTGCGCACCTGTGGTCCCAGCTAGTCGGGAGGGTGAGGTGAGAGGATCGCTCGAGCCTGGTGGGTGGAGGTTGTGGTGAGCTGAGATTGCACCACTGCACTCTAGCCTGGGTGACAGAGCGAGACTCTGTCTCAAAAAAAAAAAAAAAAAAAAAAAAAAGGTTTTCTGACTTCTGTTGAAGAGACTGGAGGCCGTGGAAATACCAGGCCACTTTCTCGCATGGACTGAGTGGTTCCTGAGCCCCCGTCTACCTGCCTCGCTCCTTCAGGCTTCTGAGTTTGAGGTCCCCATGGCTTTCAGGGGAAACATGAGTGGCAGGCAGTGGCTGGAAACAGTGTGTAGCCACATTTTAGTCTTGCATTTCATAGACTGCCATGCCAGCCCCCTGTTAGTTTTGAACTGCTTGTTCAAGGCCTGAGCTGACACACATGAGACAGGGTTGAGGCTGATGGAACAAGAGGGGAGCTGGCCTAGGGAGTCAGCCAGAGGCCACAGACTCTGTGCCATCAAGCACAGGCTCTCCCTCTCCAACAACGCCTTGCGAACCTGGAGACTGGCAGGTTACCTGGGGTGAAGGTCCCAGGTAAGTAGGGCCACACGGGCTGCAGTTTAGCATAAAGATTGTTTCCCAGATGCCGGGCCAGAAGATTCTGCAAGTGTAAAGGAAGCATATTTGTCGAGTGATACTAGCTTCTTCCTCCACACATTGACATGATTTTTACTGCATTTCTCATAATCATTTTATTACCTATTAAGTGCAAGTTCCCAGGTCCTAATGCTTCTCGCAACGATGGCATTGTTGGCACAGCAGGCTGTTTCGGTCAGGGCTGCTGTCTGCTGGAGGGGAGTCCTTTGTCAAGGAGCAAAGCTTGTTCTCAATCTAACATCACACCAGGCCCCAGAAAAACCACAAGTCCTCGGAACTGAATGTTGAACCACAGTGTTCTCCCCAGGGTCTGGTCCTCAGCTTGGATTGCCTGCAGGAGGAACCTGTGCCTCCTGAGGACATTCTAGTGGGGGGTAGATGTCACATCGTCATATTTCTCTGGCTCTACCACCACTAGAAGAACCTCAGACCCCAGTTAGTGCAGGGACGCCCTGGAAGGTAACTCACATGTGCTCCACAGGTGCCGGCTGGCATCGGCTGTTTTCCCTCTCTGATGCTGCTTCTGACTGCTGATGCCTGCAGCAGAGACCACCCAAGCTCCAGGGAGGCTGGCATTCCTGCATGACCACATCTGGACCTCTGGCACCCCAGCCATGCGTGGCCTCCAACGGGGACCCCAGGGAGAGAGCTGTCTTCACTCCCCACCCCACCGCTGCAGCCCGGTCACCCAGAGCAGAGCTGCCTGGGCCCCACACCTGGAGCTCTGAGTGTCACTGATCTTTGGAACTTCGTCTTCCAGGGCTCAGCTCTGGTCTATGGGGCTGGGGCTGAGGACAGCCCAGGCAACCAACACCATGCAGCGTGTTTCACTTGCCCATTGCTCATGAACCTCAATTCTTTCTGCCATTTATTCAAGTCCCTCCAGCCCCCCACACTGGTCTGGATCCTAGGCCTGAACACGGCTCAGGTTCCCAGTGGGACCCTGGACTTGGGGCTACACATGGGCTAACCCAGAGCAAAAGCTGCACAAGGTGTTTTCCTGACCCCTCAGATAAAATATGGCCCTTCACCCCTCCCGGTAACCCTCTCAGTCCCTTCCTCTGCTTATGTTTTCGTCTCATTGCTTCCTGTTCTATTTTACTTTATTTTTTATTTATTTTCTGTCTCCTGTCACGAGAACGTTAGACTTTGAGAGCAGGAAATTGATATTGATGAGTGCTGTATTCCTAGCACCCCGAACAGTGCTGGGCACAAAGTTGGTGCATAATAAATGTGTTGAGATAAAAAAGTAAGAGTGGACAGGGGTTGATTTTCCATTCTATAACATGACTTCTTTCACTTATTAGGCATGGCTAAGGAACCGAAGACGCAGAGTGGAAGATAGGATGGGAGGGACTTGCTGGGCTCTGCTTTCTGTAATCTGCCTTGGCAATAAAAATGGCCAAGGAGAGAAAAGATGCTACGATTCTTTCCAAACTGATACAGGTTTGATCACTTTGAATGACAATGACATTCCCAGGAGACAAGGAAAAAGCTAGAGTTCCTGGCCCAAATGTAGCAGATTGTTCTGTGTCAGATTGTGCCTTCTCTAGCATGGACACACCATGTCTTCTACTTGGCCCAGGGTTCAATATCAATCAATATCCATAGAAGGATAATGTGCCTGGCACTATGCTAGGTACTAGGTAGAGAGTGACAGATGACATTTGGGAGTGACACAAGAAATGAATAAACAAATAAGATAATTTCAGGTAGTGACAAGTTCTTTATAGACAATAACAGCAGGTGACATGATGAGGGTGGCATCTTATCTGTATTGATATATGCCCACTGTGGAAGGATGCCTCTTGGATATCTGACTCTGAGTTTTCAGAAGACTGTAGAACTAAGCCCTTTACATTGCATTTTAAAATATCTAAACCCAAGCAGGAGACTAAGAGAGCTTAATCTGGAAGGCTTCGCTGCACTTACAAATTCACTGGAAATTCACCAGCATCTGTTATTTTTCTGTTGAAGATGGTTTATATGTCAAATCTGGGCTCATGAGTCTATCCCACTTAACTTTCTTACTCATTTCCAATTTTTAACTGCCTCTTAAATAATAAACATTTATTGAGTTTGCCATGTGTCAAGCTCAGGAGCAAGAGATACGAAATGAATGTGATAAAGGTGAGTGGGTCTTCTTAGTGGCTGAGGGCAGAGACTATGGAATCAGGCAGGTTTGGGTTAGAATCCTAGTTCCTGCCCTTCCTCCCTAGCAGCTAGCTCCTGCCTATTGGAGCCCTTTTCCTCTCTTGTAAAATGGGAACGATCCTATCCAGCTTGCAAAGTTGTTGGGTTATTTAAATGAGATAAATGTGGTCTCCCATAGGAGATATTCAATAAAGGGAAGCCATTTCTTGCCTGAGACACCTGGTTTCCGGGAACAAGCAGGAACTTGAAGCGGTTCAGTGATGCATTCTCCTGAATGGGGACCTCGCATTTAAGGAATTGGTGCAAATGGAGGCTCAAAATGCTGTCTATTGTCCCAGAATAGTGTGTCACAGAAAGCCACGGTGGTGACTGGGGGCGGCACATTCTCTGTGCATGGGACATGGACACTTCATGTAGGAGCAGCCGGCTTCTCTGGGGCCATGGCTCCCTTCGGGCACAGTTATCAGATTCGTGACAATGTGGAAGATCTAATAATAGTGTTTTCCACCCCAAGAGCAGGGGGCTGCTTTGCATATTTTGCATCTTTTGTAGCTCCCTAAATGACTTGGTAATCTGAAACATGCCCATGGAGAGCCTTGTTTTGTTTGTTCTTATGCTTTCATGCAAACATCAAGCAAGAGGAATTTGTTATAAATAGCTTGCAACTATTTAGTGAAAAAAATAGAAAAATAAAGTTGGGTGGTCACTAGGCAGACTTCTGGACAAATGCAAGCTCCCTCAGCAAGAATGGTCAAGTGGAACGGCATGCCATGGGTGCTGGCTATGGACCTATGTTCATCCTAACTCAACCCTGAGGAATGTCTGCTTCCAGGGCCTCGTGTCTGTGAGTGGCTTGGAATCACGGGTGAGGGAAAACATCTCCCCAGAGCCCACTCACTGGGACACGTTCACCCACATGGAGGGTCAACCTTAGACAGATTTGGAAGAGTAATTCTCAGCTTTAGGAGGCCAGCGGGGGAAAAACTAAGAAATTCTGTAAAAGGAATAGTGTGGAACTTTCCATCTAGTTTTTTCTCTGTAATTGCTGGTTCAAATTTTCATATTTAGAAGTTGCAAGCTCAGTGTGGCAAACATGTGAAAGGGCATCTACTCTTTCTGCCACTTCCTTCATCGCCAGGAATCTACTGTTGGAAAAGGACAAGCATGTGTGTGTGTGCACGCGTGTGTGTGTGTGTGTGTGTGTGTGATGAAGAACCTTCTCTTATGATTCCATTATGGTGCTATTTCTGGAGAGTAACTGCAGCAGTAGGAAAGTCCTGATTTGTGTGTTCAGTAGGCTATTGTGACAGAATAACCCAGGGAGTGGATCTTTCCAGAGGCCCTTGGGACTGCCTAGGTGCAGAGATACTTTGCTAATGGTGTTGATACCATTTTTCATAAACACATTCTTCTTTGTGCTGTAATTTGCATATGACATTTCCATGATTCTGCAGAATTCATGAGCTGAAATCTCTATTGTTATAAACTTTGCAAAGTATTTTAGAAATAATTATATAAACTCAGCATAAGCTCGATTTCCATTCTTGCTTTATCACTTTTCTGGTCTCTGCTGGGAATGCCTCATGAATATTTGATGCATCCATGGTACACTCTTAAGGAGAAGAGCATTTTCTGCTGTAGATGAAGTAGAAGATTTTTCTGTCCACGAATGGAACCTGAGAGGAGCTATTTTCCTTACCTTCTTTCTCAAATGAAGCCACCAGTGCAGACGATGTAAATGACATAATTGTCTGTATGTTGTGTGCGCATGTGTATTTTGACTAACCATGGGAATACTGTTCAGGTATTCCTTAGATTGATTACTTCTATCACTAGATTTTGCTGCCAGCTTGGGCCTTTCATCAGAGGCCTTTCTGGTTGAATGAGAAAAGCAAGGCAGTAAGGCACTGCGTGGAGAGAACATGTGCTTTCTGTTCACTGATGGGGAGAGGGTCTGCCACCCCAAAATGACAATGTGAAGACAAAGCAAACACAGTCTCCACTTTCTGGCCATACACATTAGCTTTGGAAAATGTGTCTTCTGAAATTCCACCTCCTCCCACTCTGCCATCCAAATAAGGCCTCTTTCCAAGAAAAACATCAGCGGTTCCAGTTCTGCTTCCAGTATCTTGCATGGGAAGTCTCTGTTTTAATAGGGGTACTGCTGGGTATATTTCACTGTTTCCAAGAGTGGAATAAAGCAGTGTGCGGGCTATCAACCTTATTAGTAGCTGATGACAGGTATTTGCAATCCACGGAGAAATATGTAAAGATGGAGTAGACTGAAGCAGATTCTGGTGATACTTTAATAATAAAACACATCCCCAACACGGCTCACACAGGCAGAGTTTGTCATCTCCTCCTCTGTTCCCAGAGGTTTCTATCCATATTGCAACTATGGAACTCATATGTTAACATGACTACCCAGGCCACGTAGCCTTGAGCTCTGAAACCTAAGGATATGACTTGCTGACTTTGGATCCTCAGTGCTTAGAGCAACTTCTAGCACATAAAATAGATGGCTACTGACTAAGTGGTTGAATTTCAACTGCTTTATCATTAACAAGGATTTCCACATGTATTAGCATATCTATCTGAAGATTCTGAATGTTCTGTCCCTTTAAGCTCTCTTTGACTCTTCAGTTCAGCCCTATGTTGACCAAAATCAGAGTTCAGCATGGTGGACACCAAACAACTAATCAATTAACTTACCACTCTTTCATCAATTGACTTTATGCTGTATGTAAATTTTAAAATCAATCATTTATAAACACAAGCAGCTCTAAAATTGCTTTGGCATCTTGGGTTTTAATCTTTAAGAAAAACAAAATCATCTTTGAAGAAAAATCAGAAGAAAATTTTTTTTTACATATTCCATATCATCTGAATTTCTCTGAATCAAAGTGCTTTTTTCAAAAAAAGCACCTATTTTGACAGAAATAAGATAAAGAAATGATTAAGCGGAGAATGCACAGTTAGCCTACATATGGGATTCTCAAACTTTAGGGAAGCATCTAAACAGAAAAAGATGTCTGGGTGGGATCCAAAAACTTTCAGTTCTAGCAAGTTCCCAGGTGACGGTGATGATGATGATAATGGTGATGGTGATGCTGGTAATGGTGATGGTTGTGATGATGGTGACAGTGGTGCTGGTGGTCATGATGGTGGTGATGGAATGGTGGTGGTGGTTATAGTAGTGATGGTGGTGGCAGTGGCGGTGGTGGTGATGGTAGTGGTGGTGGTGGTGGTGATGGTGGTGGTGGTGGCAATGGTGGTGGTGGTGGTGGTGGTGATGGTGATTGTAGTGGTGGTGGTGATGGTGATGGTGGTGTTGGTGTTGGTGGGGGTGATAGTAGTAGTGATGGTGGTGGTGGTGGGTGGTGATGGTGGTGGTGGTAATGATTATAACGCTAAGTGGTAATGATGGTGATGGCGATGATGGTGACGTCAATGACATTGGCCTGGAGACCACACATGGAGAACCCTGAATTCAATCAGAGAAGTAGTATAAGGGTTTGGAATTGAATTTATCAATTGTTTGATGTGATGCAACAGATGGATGTCTTGTCATTGGACAAAGTCTCTCTTTCTATATGTCTTATTGTTTTCCCCATTAAAAAAAAAAATCTGGGCCAAGTGTGGTGGCTCATGCCGGTAATCCCAGTACTTTGGGAGACTGGAGAGACTTGGGAGACTTTGGGAGACTTGAGCCCAGGAGTTCGAGACCAGCCTGGGCAACATGGCGAAAACCCTCTCTACAAAAAGTTTAAAAAATGAGCTGGGCATGGTAGTGCACACTTGCAGTCCTTGCTATTTGGAAGGCTGATGATCTCCTGAGCCCAGGAGTTCAAGGCTGCAGAGAGCCATGATGACACCACTGCACTCCAATCTGGATGACAGAGGGAGACTGTGTCTCAAAGAAAAAAATCTGTATATATTTGACAAAGACACCAGATTGGGAGGATGGCAGAATAGTGCAGTGGTGAACAACCAGCTCTCAACAACAGTAGCAACAAAAGCCCTGATTTGCAGCATTTGCCTCCATGGTGCAGCTCCCTCTGCTGTGGTCACCCTCAAGTTGCCAGCATGAATTCAGGGGACCTGGAGTCGGGAAGGGCTAGCAGCACACACTTCGAATTAGACACAGGCCCAGCCCTGTTCCCTAAAGCCATGTGTTACCTTCTGGGCGTGAGGCTTAATCTCCTTAAGCCTCCTTCTTCTTATCTGTAAAACAGACATAGTAATAGCCCCTTAGGAGCTTGGAGGAGCTGCCCAGCGCCGGGCTCCAGCACTCCACAACAGTAGCTGCAATGTCTAAGCAAAGCATTGCCTGGTCTCAGCCACCTGTGCGGAAGCGGAGAAAGCCTGTTTGAAATAAGGTCTTCTGTGGCCGGGCGCGGTGGCTCACGCCTGTAATCCCAGCACTTTGGGAGGCCGAGGTGGGCGGATCACAAAGTCAGGAGATCGAGACCATCCTGGCTAACACGGTGAAACCCCATCTCTACTAAAAATACAAAAAATTAGCCGGGCCTGGTGGTGGGTGCCTGCAGTCCCAGCTACTTGGGAGGCTGAGGCAGGAGAATGGCATGAACCCGGGAGGTGGAGCTGGCAGTGAGCCGAGATGGTGCCACTGCACTACAGCCTGGGCGACAGAACAAGACTCTGTCTCAAAAAAAAAAAAAAAAAAAAAAAGAGACAGAGAAATAAGGTCTTTTGTAAAAAAGCTCTCGCGTCATCTTTGTCTCTGTTTTATAAACCTTCCCGTGGGATGTTCCGTAGGTCAGCTTCCACATGATTACTGAATTCGCTTTCAGAGCAAATTAAATTTCTCTCCAATTCGTTCACTTGGTTCTTTGTTCTAGTACCCAGAAGGTTTTGTCTTCTGGATGCTAGAAACATACACCATACAGATAATTGGAGTTTCAAAACCATTGATGCCCTGATTTTCTTGGGCAAATTCATAATCTGAACATGGGTCTGGTACTTGGATTGTAAACTTCCCTGCATTCCTTCCACATATCAGTGAGCTAACGGGTTGGCAACCTGTGAGCAGTGAAAAGTAGGCATGGGATTTATAACGGTGGAAGAAACTGGAAGCGAGGCAGAGGCCCCGGATGGAGGGTTGGTGAGTAAAGTTGACCTCATCACAGGATGCTCCTCACGCAGCAATCAAAAATGACATTTGTGAAGTGTTTCTAAGAACATAAAAAAATGCTATGACTTGTTCTGTGACAAAAGCAGCACACACACACACACACACACACACACACACACACAGACACACACATATATATACACAAATGACCCTTGAACAATGTAGTGGTTAGGGATGCCAACTCCCCACAAAGCTGAAAATCGGTGAATAACTTTTGACTCCCCCCAAACTTAATGATGACTCACAAGAACAGTGTATAAATCAGTGTCCCTATGAGCTGAGAACCCAAGCTGAAGCTGTCTCCACTCGCCACGCAGGTGATTCTCTGAGCGTCCCCGGTGATCCACAAGTCTTTGCATATCTCTGTCATCCTACAAACCAAACTTTATTTTTTTTATTTTATTTTTTTTTATTATACTCTAAGTTTTAGGGTACATGTGCACATTGTGCAGGTTAGTTACATATGTATACATGTGCCATGCTGGTGCGCTGCACCCACTAATGTGTCATCTAGCATTAGGTATATCTCCCAATGCTATCCCTCCCCCCTCCCCCGACCCACCGTCCCCAGAGTGTGATATTCCCCTTCCTGTGTCCATGTGATCTCATTGTTCAATTCCCACCTATGAGTGAGAATATGCGGTGTTTGGTTTTTTGTTCTTGCGATAGTTTACTGAGAATGATGGTTTCCAATTTCATCCATGTCCCTACAAAGGATATGAACTCATCATTTTTTATGGCTGCATAGTATTCCATGGTGTATATGTGCCACATTTTCTTAATCCAGTCTATCATTGTTGGACATTTGGGTTGGTTCCAAGTCTTTGCTATTGTGAATAGTGCCGCAATAAACATACGTGTGCATGTGTCTTTATAGCAGCATGATTTATACTCATTTGGGTATATACCCAGTAATGGGATGGCTGGGTCAAATGGTATTTCTAGTTCTAGATCCCTGAGGAATCGCCACACTGACTTCCACAATGGTTGAACTAGTTTACAGTCCCACCAACAGTGTAAAAGTGTTCCTATTTCTCCGCATCCTCTCCAGCACCTGTTGTTTCCTGACTTTTTAATGATTGCCATTCTAACTGGTGTGAGATGATATCTCATAGTGGTTTTGATTTGCATTTCTCTGATGGCCAGTGATGATGAGCATTTCTTCATGTGTTTTTTGGCTGCATAAATGTCTTCTTTTGAGAAGTGTCTGTTCATGTCCTTCGCCCACTTTTTGATGGGGTTGTTTGTTTTTTTCTTGTAAATTTGTTTGAGTTCATTGTAGATTCTGGATATTAGCCCTTTGTCAGATGAGTAGGTTGCGAAAATTTTCTCCCATGTTGTAGGTTGCCTGTTCACTCTGATGGTAGTTTCTTTTGCTGTGCAGAAGCTCTTTAGTTTAATTAGATCCCATTTGTCAATTTTGTCTTTTGTTGCCATTGCTTTTGGTGTTTTGGACATGAAGTCCTTGCCCACGCCTATGTCCTGAATGGTAATGCCTAGGTTTTCTTCTAGGGTTTTTATGGTTTTAGGTTTAACGTTTAAATCTTTAATCCATCTTGAATTGATTTTTGTATAAGGTGTAAGGAAGGGATCCAGTTTCAGCTTTCTACATATGGCTAGCCAGTTTTCCCAGCACCATTTATTAAATAGGGAATCCTTTCCCCATTGCTTGTTTTTCTCAGGTTTGTCAAATATCAGATAGTTGTAGATATGCGGCATTATTTCTGAGGGCTCTGTTCTGTTCCATTGATCTATATCTCTGTTTTGGTACCAGTACCATGCTGTTTTGGTTACTGTAGCCTTGTAGTATAGTTTGAAGTCAGGTAGTGTGATGCCTCCAGCTTTGTTCTTTTGTCTTAGGATTGACTTGGCAATGCGGGCTCTTTTTTGGTTCCACATGAACTTTAAAGTAGTTTTTTCCAATTCTGTGAAGAAAGTCATTGGTAGCTTGATGGGGATGGCATTGAATCTGTAAATTACCTTGGGCAGTATGGCCATTTTCACGATATTGATTCTTCCTACCCATGAGCATGGAATGTTCTTCCATTTGTTTGTGTCCTCTTTTATTTCCTTGAGCAGTGGTTTGTAGTTCTCCTTGAAGAGGTCCTTCACATCCCTTGTAAGTTGGATTCCTAGGTATTTTATTCTCTTTGAAGCAATTGTGAATGGGAGTTCACCCATGATTTGGCTCTCTGTTTGTCTGTTGTTGGTGTATAAGAATGCTTGTGATTTTTGTACATTGATTTTGTATCCTGAGACTTTGCTGAAGTTGCTTATCAGCTTAAGGAGATTTTGGGCTGAGACGATGGGGTTTTCTAGATAAACAATCATGTCGTCTGCAAACAGGGACAATTTGACTTCCTCTTTTCCTAATTGAATACCCTTTATTTCCTTCTCCTGCCTGATTGCCCTGGCCAGAACTTCCAACACTATGTTGAATAGGAGCGGTGAGAGAGGGCATCCCTGTCTTGTGCCAGTTTTCAAAGGGAATGCTTCCAGTTTTTGCCCATTCAGTATGATATTGGCTGTGGGTTTGTCATAGATAGCTCTTATTATTTTGAAATACGTCCCATCAATACCTAATTTATTGAGAGTTTTTAGCATGAAGGGTTGTTGAATTTTGTCAAAGGCTTTTTCTGCATCTATTGAGATAATCATGTGGTTTTTGTCTTTGGCTCTGCTTATATGCTGGATTACATTTATTGATTTGCGTATATTGAACCAGCCTTGCATCCCAGGGATGAAGCCCACTTGATCATGGTGGATAAGCTTTTTGATGTGCTGCTGGATTCGGTTTGCCAGTATTTTATTGAGGATTTTTGCATCAATGTTCATCAAGGATATTGGTCTAAAATTCTCTTTTTTGGTTGTGTCTCTGCCCGGCTTTGGTATCAGAATGATGCTGGCCTCATAAAATGAGTTAGGGAGGATTCCCTCTTTTTCTATTGATTGGAATAGTTTCAGAAGGAATGGTACCAGTTCCTCCTTGTACCTCTGGTAGAATTCGGCTGTGAATCCATCTGGTCCTGGACTCTTTTTGGTTGGTAAACTATTGATTATTGCCACAATTTCAGAGCCTGTTATTGGTCTATTCAGAGATTCAACTTCTTCCTGGTTTAGTCTTGGGAGAGTGTATGTGTCGAGGAATGTATCCATTTCTTCTAGATTTTCTAGTTTATTTGCGTAGAGGTGTTTGTAGTATTCTCTGATGGTAGTTTGTATTTCTGTGGGATCGGTGGTGATATCCCCTTTATCATTTTTTATTGTGTCTATTTGATTCTTCTCTCTTTTTTTCTTTATTAGTCTTGCTAGCGGTCTATCAATTTTGTTGATCCTTTCAAAAAACCAGCTCCTGGATTCATTGATTTTTTGAAGGGTTTTTTGTGTCTCTATTTCCTTCAGTTCTGCTCTGATTTTAGTTATTTCTTGCCTTCTGCTAGCTTTTGAATGTGTTTGCTCTTGCTTTTCTAGTTCTTTTAATTGTGATGTTAGGGTGTCAATTTTGGATCTTTCCTGCTTTCTCTTGTAGGCATTTAGTGCTATAAATTTCCCTCTACACACTGCTTTGAATGCATCCCAGAGATTCTGGTATGTGGTGTCTTTGTTCTCGTTGGTTTCAAAGAACATCTTTATTTCTGCCTTCATTTCGTTATGTACCCAGTAGTCATTCAGGAGCAGGTTGTTCAGTTTCCATGTAGTTGAGCGGCTTTGAGTGAGATTCTTAATCCTGAGTTCTAGTTTGATTGCACTGTGGTCTGAGAGATAGTTTGTTATAATTTCTGTTCTTTTACATTTGCTGAGGAGAGCTTTACTTCCAACTATGTGGTCAATTTTGGAATAGGTGTGGTGTGGTGCTGAAAAAAATGTATATTCTGTTGATTTGGGGTGGAGAGTTCTGTAGATGTCTATTAGGTCTGCTTGGTGCAGAGCTGAGTTCAATTCCTGGGTATCCTTGTTGACTTTCTGTCTCGTTGATCTGTCTAATGTTGACAGTGGGGTGTTAAAGTCTCCCATTATTAATGTGTGGGAGTCTAAGTCTCTTTGTAGGTCACTGAGGACTTGCTTTATGAATCTGGGTGCTCCTGTATTGGGTGCATAAATATTTAGGATAGTTAGCTCCTCTTGTTGAATTGATCCCTTTACCATTATGTAATGGCCTTCTTTGTCTCTTTTGATCTTTGTTGGTTTAAAGTCTGTTTTATCAGAGACTAGGATTGCAACCCCTGCCTTTTTTTGTTTTCCATTGGCTTGGTAGATCTTCCTCCATCCTTTTATTTTGAGCCTATGTGTGTCTCTGCACGTGAGATGGGTTTCCTGAATACAGCACACTGATGGGTCTTGACTCTTTATCCAACTTGCCAGTCTGTGTCTTTTAATTGCAGAATTTAGTCCATTTATATTTAAAGTTAATATTGTTATGTGTGAATTTGATCCTGTCATTATGATGTTAGCTGGTGATTTTGCTCATTAGTTGATGCAGTTTCTTCCTAGTCTCGATGGTCTTTACATTTTGGCATGATTTTGCAGCGGCTGGTACCGGTTGTTCCTTTCCATGTTTAGCGCTTCCTTCAGGAGCTCTTGTAGGGCAGGCCTGGTGGTGACAAAATCTCTCAGCATTTGCTTGTCTATAAAGTATTTTATTTCTCCTTCACTTATGAAGCTTAGTTTGGCTGGATATGAAATTCTGGGTTGAAAATTCTTTTCTTTAAGAATGTTGAATATTGGCCCCCACTCTCTTCTGGCTTGTAGGGTTTCTGCCGAGAGATCCGCTGTTAGTCTGATGGGCTTTCCTTTGAGGGTAACCCGACCTTTCTCTCTGGCTGCCCTTAACATTTTTTCCTTCATTTCAACTTTGGTGAATCTGACAATTATGTGTCTTGGAGTTGCTCTTCTCGAGGAGTATCTTTGTGGCGTTCTCTGTATTTCCTGAATCTGAACGTTGGCCTGCCTTGCTAGATTGGGGAAGTTCTCCTGGATAATATCCTGCAGAGTGTTTTCCAACTTGGTTCCATTCTCCACATCACTTTCAGGTACACCAATCAGACGTAGATTTGGTCTTTTCACATAGTCCCATATTTCTTGGAGGCTTTGCTCATTTCTTTTTATTCTTTTTTCTCTAAACTTCCCTTCTCGCTTCATTTCATTCATTTCATCTTCCATTGCTGATACCCTTTCTTCCAGTTGATCGCATCGGCTCCTGAGGCTTCTGCATTCTTCACGTAGTTCTCCAGCCTTGGTTTTCAGCTCCATCAGCTCCTTTAAGCACTTCTCTGTATTGGTTATTCTAGTTATACATTCTTCTAAATTTTTTTCAAAGTTTTCAACTTCTTTGCCTTTGGTTTGAATGTCCTCCCGTAGCTCAGAGTAATTTGATCGTCTGAAGCCTTCTTCTCTCAGCTCGTCAAAATCATTCTCCATCCAGCTTTGTTCTGTTGCTGGTGAGGAACTGCGTTCCTTTGGAGGAGGAGAGGCGCTCTGCATTTTAGAGTTTCCAGTTTTTCTGTTCTGTTTTTTCCCCATCTTTGTGGTTTTATCTACTTTTGGTCTTTGATGATGGTGATGTACAGATGGGTTTTCGGTGTAGATGTCCTTTCTGGTTGTTAGTTTTCCTTCTAACAGACAGGACCCTCAGCTGCAGGTCTGTTGGAATACCCTGCCGTGTGAGGTGTCAGTGTGCCCCTGCTGGGGGGTGCCTCCCAGTTAGGCTGCTCGGGGGTCAGGGGTCAGGGACCCACTTGAGGCAGTCTGCCCGTTCTCAGATCTCCAGCTGCGTGCTGGGAGAACCACTGCTCTCTTCAAAGCTGTCAGACAGGGACACTTAAGTCTGCAGAGGTTACTGCTGTCTTTTTGGTTGTCTGTGCCCTGCCCCCAGAGGTGGAGCCTACAGAGGCAGGCAGGCCTCCTTGAGCTGTGGTGGGCTCCACCCAGTTCCAGCTTCCCGGCTGCTTTGTTTACCTAAGCAAGCCTGGGCAATGGCGGGCGCCCCTCCCCCAGCCTCGTTGCCGCCTTGCAGTTTGATCTCAGACTGCTGTGCTAGCAATCAGCGCGATTCCGTGGGCGTAGGACCCTCTGAGCCAGGTGTGGGATATAGTCTCGTGGTGCGCCGTTTCTTAAGCCGGTCTGAAAAGCGCAATATTCGGGTGGGAGTGACCCGATTTTCCAGGTGCGTCCATCACCCCTTTCTTTGACTCGGAAAGGGAACTCCCTGACCCCTTGCGCTTCCCAGGTGAGGCAATGCCTCGCCCTGCTTCGGCTCGAGCACGGTGCGCACACACACTGGCCTGCGCCCACTGTCTGGCACTCCCTAGTGAGATGAACCCGGTACCTCAGATGGAAATGCAGAAGTCACCCGTCTTATGCGTCGCTCACGCTGGGAGCTGTAGACCGGAGCTGTTCCTATTCGGCCATCTTGGCTCCCTCAACCAAACGTTATTGTAACAATCTATTTATGTATCTGTTTCAGATGTTAGACCAGAAGTTCCTTGAGGGCAGGACTGTGTCTTCCTTTTTGTACCCCTGGCACATGGATTTGGTCAGAAAGTGTGTGAATGATCTCATCTCAGGAATGGAGAGGCCAGTCATACAGTGCAGTCCACAGAGGTGTCATGAGCCCTTTGGGACATGGTATTCTGAAAGCTCCTTGTGAGTTAATGTGTGGGAGGACACAAAATTCTTTCTTAAGTCCCAGCAAACCTTTTCCAGCCCTAATATAAATCCCCTTTTTCACAGTACTGAAGACCTCAAAGAATATTGATTGGTATTTGGTACAAAACACACTGATGTGCCTACGTATGTACTCATACTTCTCTTGTAGTAAAAAGGATTTCAGTTGACTTATAAACCTCCAACGAAATAACGTGAAAGCAGGAACAAAAAGAAATGGAAGCCAGTGGAACAGGGTGGGGACACAAGCAGCTGGACCTCAAGGAACTGGAACACAGAGCTCAGCCCTGCCAAGGTTTTCCCTCCACCTGCTGCTTTTTGCATTTTCACTTACCTTGCTCAGGCTGGCTTTGTCCACATGGTGACTAAGAGGTTTCCAGGCTCCTATATACCTCTTATCTCTCAGCATCACATCAGAGGGTGATCAAATCTTTTTCTCTGGTTACACTTTAACAAATCCCAGGGAAGGACATAATGGATCAGGATTAGGTCAGGTGCCTAACTGGAAGCAATCAACCATAGCCGGATGAATGTGGGAGGCACCCTAGGGCTGACTGAAGGCTGGTCAGGGCACTTCCTTAGTCAACAGGGTCTAGCCCAAGAAAGGAGCTTGAGGAAGAACTTGAAAGCTGCATTTGAAACCTAAGGCTGGAGAGGTGGAAGAAGCTCTTCTTTGATGAAGTGGGGAGAAAGGTGAACAGACAAGACACAGACATCCATCACAGCTCCTAACCCCTCAGGGATCATATGGATGGCAGTCACAGTGGAGTGAATAGGATGGGCAGATGGCATATTACAAAGCAACTTATTTACTGATAGGTTGCTATGGCCCTCAGAAGCTTCTCAAGGTATGGGAAGGACAGAGGCGGGGGCCCTATAGCCCAAGGACCACACTGTCTTCGTTCATGTATAGAGTTCATATATAGTGTAGAGCCTAGGAAGAGTATAGTCGGTTCTTCTTTCTCAATTTTTCTTAGGAAATAAATAACAAATATAAGGTCAAAATAAGAAAATGTTTATATCTGTTTTTATATGCTATAGAAACCTTATAAATTTACATGCAGCAAACAATAAAAATGTGGTAGTGAAATCACTTTTAAAGACTGCTCTACAATAAATGCATTTTAAATATTTAATAAAAATATTAACCCTTAATAATTCTCAGTCCTTAGTTTCATGGCTTCTTTGTGACCTCCTGCAGCTCTACCAGGTTTCACAAGACCTTCATGCTACAAAGATGGCAGCTTCTGTCACCATTTAACAATAATAGAGTGCATAAACAATCTGGGTCAGGCACTGTGCTAAGTGCTATGTGTACAGTGCTGGGCTAGTCAAAAACTGTCCCTGCCCTCACAGAGCTTATGTATCAGTTCGTTCTCACATTGCTAGAAAGAAATACCTGAGACTGGGTAATTTATAAAAGAAAGAGGTTTAATTGACTCACAGTTCCACATTGCTGGGGAGGCCTCAGGAAACTGACAATCATGGCGGAAGGCAAAGGGGAAGCAAAGACCTTCTTCACATGGTGGCAGGAGAGGGAAGAGTGAAGAACAAAGTTGGAAGAGCCCCTTATAAAACCATGAGATCTCGTGAGAACTCACTCACTATTATGAGAACAGCATGGGGGAAACCTCCCCCATGATCCAATCACCTCCCACCAAGTCTCTCCCTAGACACGAGGGGATTATGGGGATTACAATTCAAGATGAGATTTGGGTGGGGACACAGCCAAACCGTATCAGCTTACATTCTAATGGGAGATACAACTGGAAACAAGCATTATAGATGTTTCTTTAAGGAGAAAACATTCAGGGAACCATAAAAGTTTCAAATGAATGAACCTATGACCACACAGCAAAAGGACTCATACCGTAGAAATGGACTCCAGGCCTGTCCTGGTCCAGGTTACCTAGCAATACACTTCCTCTCCTCAGAGGAGAGGAGAGCTCGAGGCACACACAGAGCAATTGGAATAGGGGTTAGAGAGTTGGAAGGGCAAGATGTGGATTTTCCTTCTCTGTAGCAACTTGTATCTCTCAGTTCCCAAACTAAAAATAAAACCAAGCAGGGTATGGTGACATGCACATGTAGTTCTAGCTTTTCAGGAGACTGAGGTGGGAGGATCACATGAGCCCAGGAGGTGCCCTGAGCTATGATTGCTCCACTGCACTCCAGTCTGGGCAACACAGTGAGACCCTGTGTTTAAAATAAATAATAAACTTTAAAAAAAAAACCATAGATGGGATAGATCTCATTTACTTGCAACAAAAATGTCTTATACATGGTAACTGTGTTCAATTCATTGGCATACTGCAAGAGAAACAGAAGAAAGCTCTTCTCTCTTGGATTTAGGGGAGTGAGTTATGACCTTTTTAATTCAAGATTAAAAAGAAAAAACGCCAGGCGAGATGGCTCATGCCTGTAATCCCAGCACTGTGGGAGGCTGAGGCAAGCAGATTACCTGATGTCAGGAGTTCGAGACCAGCCAGGCCAATATGGCAAGACCTGTCTCTACTAAAAATACAAAAAGTAGTCGGGTATGGTGGCACATGCCTGTAATCCCAGCTACTCGGGAGGCTGAGGCAGGAGAATCACTTGAACCCAGGAGGCAGAGGTTGCAGTGAGCTGAGATCATGCCACTGCATTCCAGCCTGGGCAACAAGCGAGACCCTGTCTCAAACAAACAAACAAACGAAAAACTCCCTAAGCTCATTATAAACAAACAAATAACAACTGAACTGCCTAGAACACTAGTTAAGAAAACATAGGCTGCATTGGGAGTGTGAGATGTTTTCATAAATACCATAAAAGCTTAGAGAAGATGGGTGTTTTTGAAAGGTTCATTTTTAAAGAATAACTGTATCAGTCAGGGTAAGTCTAGGTTATGCTGCACTAACAATGATCCTGAAACTCAGTGGCTTCAATAACACTAGGTTGTTTTTTACTCACGCTACGTAGACATCACCTGTTGGTGGGGGTTTGACCCATGGTAGTCCCTCAGGGGCCCAGGTTGGAGGTTCCAAACTGCACACATTTCCACAGTAAGGTGCACGGTGAATCATGCATTTACCATTAAAGCTTCTGCCTAGAAATGACACATGTCACTTAACTCACCTTTGGGCTAAGCAAGTCACACGGTTATACCTACTTTAAGTGGGACAAGAGAGTGCAATACTACAGCAGTGACTGGCTTCATGAAAAATGGGAATAATTGGAGTGTTATTTTTAAGCGTAGGAAATCTATCTCAACTGTACTTAATTCCATATGTTTTAATTTTTAGAAGATATTTTCCAAGGCTTTAATCATCTTAACTACGCACTTGAATTCATAGAGAGATGGAGTCTAATTACCCTCCTCTTGAATCTAGGCTGAAATTAGTAAACTGCTGGAGCAATAGAAAGTGGCAGAAGTGATGTTCTGGGAATTCTGAGGTTAAGTGTTCAGAAGGCTTTGCAGCTTCTTGCCAGCCCCTAAGGACCTGTGATGGGCAGTGCCCCCTGCCCACCTGGGATGCACTGGCAGTGAGACGCACTTGCTCCTGCAGCCCCAAGCTGCCATATAACCAGACCAGCTACCCTGAAGCCACCATGCTGGGGAGGCCACAGGAAGAGATCACACAGTGTGGCCCAGAAACTACACGAGGAAAGGAGTGCCCCCAACTGGAGACGAGTTTACTTCTTTGATTTGAGTGTTTTGACGCAAACAAATGTATTTCTGCCTTCTAAATGTTGTGTGAAGATATAAGTATCCCGAGGAGTGGTTGTACCTCTAATTGATTTCTTTGGGCTCTAATTCCTTGTGCGAATTAGTGGATCAGAAGATGTTTTTTCTTGGTTGCTGAGAGCCCTGGGGGAAAGGAGTTTTGGTTCTCTAAAGGAAAAGAGAGGACAGGAATAATTTTGAGGCTCCAGTTACTGTCTAGGAAGGCACATGCTTGTGTGGTTGGGATACGCACAGGGTGTCCTGCAACCAGCACAGAAAAGGAACACACCCAGAAGCCCAAGAGCAGGGTGCCTGGAGGAACCCCCACCCCATTTTGCCAGGACCACCCTGAGCTGGTAGCGGCGTGGGCTCTGAGCAGATGTGAGATACACCATGAGCTCAATCTTGTCTCCTGGAAACCTGCAGCCATCCCATGGAATCGGCTTGGGTCTTTTGAGCAGAAATAGGTAGAAGCCACCCTTTTCCCTACCTAAGTTCTAAAAATATTGACCAAAAAACCCCCCAAAATGCACCTGAACTGGGGATTGAAACAGCACATTGGTTCTGTCAAAGCTGACAATGTCGAGACGGCAGTTTCTGGTCTTACAGCCTCATGGGCTTACCCTATGAACCCCAGAATGAGGCAGACTTCATCACCTGGTCACAGACAGCATTGGGTGACAGTGGGACAGCTGATGTGAGCAAAACTTAAGATGCAGAGGAGCGTAGGAAAACACACGCTTCCTGTGAGCCTCTCTCCCCCGAAAGAAAGTAGAGAGGGATTGAAATGAGCAAGCCCAATGTATTTCTCCCAAATTTGTGAAAAAGAAAGTCTTTCCACATTCCTGGGATGCAGTAAATAAAGTGGGAGAAAGAGGCTTGGAGTGTCACACTAGCTGAGCTCCCTCCACAGGGAAGCAAACAGTAGCAGTGGAGAGGAGCATCTCACCCACTGGTGGAGTTGACGGTGCCTCACAAGACGGGCATGCACCTACACCCCTAGCAACGCAGCGCTGAGCAATTGCATTGGCCTGGAGAACCTGGCAGGTTCATCAGATCTTACACTTGCTTGGCATGTCATACCAGCCCTCATTGATTAGATGTCTGCTGTAAATCTCTCTCTTGGTCGTGTGATCCTAACTCTAAGAACCTGTATTAGTGAAGATACAGGGGAGCTTTTATAACCAAAAAGCCACCAACACAAAGGCTCTATGCCAGGCACTCATCCAGGCTCTGGAATAAGGAGATGAATAAGACAAATATTCTGTTATTAAGGAGCTGTCTGTTCAGTGAATGAGCCAGGCAAGTAGATAGAATTTTTTTTTTTTTTTTTTTTTTGAGACAGGAGTCTCGCCCTTCACCCAGGCTGGAGTGCAATGGTGCGATCTCGGCTCACTGCAACCTCCGCCTCCCAGGTTCAAGCGATTCTCCTGCCTCAGCCTCCCGAGTAGCTGGGATTACAGGCATCCACCACACCCAGCTAATTTTTTGTATTTTTAGTAGAGATGGGGTTTCACCATGTTGGCCAGGCTGGTCTCGAACTCCTAACCTCATGATCCACCCACCTCGGCCTCCCAAAGTGCTGGGATTACAGACGTGAGCCACCGTGTCCAGCCCAGTAGAATATTATAGAACAACAATAGTGCTATCCCAGGGCCACGTTCACAACATCACAGAAGTAAAGAAGCCATCAGCTCTGCCTGAGAGGCTGGAGGAGGTGCACAGAGGAGGTGAGGGCTAAGCCAAGAGTGGTAAGAATTTGCCAAGACTGGGGAACAGCCTGTGGGAAGGCATAGCACTGGGAAAGAGAAAGCCCTGTGCCCAGACTACAGCAGTTTCTCTCACTCAGCGGGTATTTATGAAACACTCCTGCCATCCGTTTTAAGGGTTTGATGTTGAATGAGACAGGCACAATCCCTGTCGTTGGGGAATTTATCATCTCACTCTATATAGAAAAGGGAGTAATAGGAGACAAGACTGGAAAGATAGACAGGGGCCAGATCATGGAAGGTCTTATGTGTCATGCTGTGGAGGTTGCAGTTTCCACAAAACCTTTTCCTACTCTGCTATTGTCCACACCATACTGCAGGACTGGCTCATGATGGGGACATGCCACATCCCTGCTCAGGGGCCAAAGTGGCCATGGGTGATGGAAAACAGAACGTCCAGCATAGCAATTGCCTTTTATGTCCAAGCAATTCTAGAGGTACAAGGAGTCTCTTACATTTTCCCCAAGCCCAGTCATAATAACAATGAGTAAAAGCACTAGGAAAATAAACCAAAGTTAAAACAAGGATTTGTATCCTTATTACACTTAATGGTGGGAAACTTTTAGCAAGTCTTTTGAAAGTACCACAGGATTAAGTCAAGTCTCAGAAAAGAATGGCTTCCTGGCCCATAGAAAAAGAAAAGGAGGGAGCTTATGATCCCCTGCAAAGACCTGTCCAGATTTCTTCTAGTTTTCAGGATTCTATTATAATTTTTTTTCTTTATTTAGACTCAGAAGATGCTGAGACTGCCTTGCTAGGTTTTTTCTTGGAGACAGTTAGAGTGAAAACCAATTCAACAACAAATACTTATTGGGCACCTGTACACTGTATGCTTGGTACTATAGCATGTGAGAAAGGTACACTGTCTCTTTAGTGGATATTCAGTGTTTAGAGTTGAATAAATAAAACTTCATTATGCTCAGCCTAAATATGTTCCTAAAAGTAAAGTTCCAGTCCATTTAGTTTTTTAAAAGAGGAAACTGGGCATGTCTTCTTTGGAAATAAGTTAATCTGAAACAATTGTAGGGGCAGACTGCTTAAGTGTTTATGAATAAATATAAGCCCTTGAGCAAGTTTCCAGGTTTTTCTGATGCCCCAGGGATAGATCTTGCTTTTGAAGGGAGACAATTAATCCCTTGTGACTGGGGAAACAAAGATAATGATGGAAATTTATATTGCTGACCTGAAAATGTACTTTTTAGTGTAATTGTCTCTCTGTTCTGGCTTTTTTCAAGCTGCAGGGAAGGCAGAAGCCTGGGTTTTGAGGTTCTCATTTCAGTTTTTAAGCAAAAAAGACAGGCATCACTGCATTCACTCACAAACATTACCCCAGGATACTGAGGTGACTGTTAGGATCTTTCACAAATATCATGGTTGCCCTCTCCTTCCAGCTCAGGGCAAGTGCGAGCCTCCCCACCCTCTTTGAAGTTAGGTGTGGCCGTGTGTCCTGGTTTAGAATCAGGCCTGTTTGGAGAGTGGAGAGCTGGAGAGCTAGCCTGTTCCTCACCACATGTCCTTCTCCCTGCACAGGCCCTCTGCGAGGGTATGACAACATAGCACCTCTTTCCCTGATTTTTTTTTTTTTGAGACGGAGTCTCGCTCTGGTTGCCCAGGCTGGAGTGCAGTGGCGTTATCTCAGTTCACTGCAACGTCCGCCTCCCTGGTTCAAGCGATTCTCCTGCCTCAGCCTCCCAAGTAGCTGGGATTACAGGCACCCACCACCATGCCCGGCTATTTTTTGTATTTTTAGTAGAGATGGGGTTTCACCATGTTGGCCAGGCTGGTCTTGAACTCCTGACCTCAGGTGATCCACCCATCTCAGCCTCCCAAAGTGCTGGGATTACAGTGTGAGCCACCACACACCTGGCCACTGTCCCTGAAGTAATTCTACGAGGAGAGCCTCTCAGCAAGAAATAAACTTGTTGCCTTAGGTCACTAGATGTGTTATTCCAGCATAAGGCGCCTATGCTGGCTTGCCAGATGTTCACATGTAACCACCCTGGTGCCAGGCTCTGAGGGTACAAAGGTGTCAGACAGCACCTGCACTCTCCTTAGGGAACTTCTGTTCCAGGGGGCAGGAGAGCCAGGAAAACAACTCTGAGAGAGCCACACCCACAGGGGAGAGGAAATCCAGCCTCAGGGGACCCCAAAAAAGAAAGGCAGTGAGATAAGTCTCTTTCCTTTAAAACAAGAGGTGGATCGACTAGGAAAAGCTCCTCTACGTATTCAGTTACAACCTGACCTATACTCAGTTATAGTCTGTGCTATTTATAGTGAAGTGATGGGATTGTTTATATGCTAGCAGAAAGCTTAATATTCTACTTAATATATTTAAGTGTTTCTATGGAAATCCAGTTCCAAGATGGCAAATGGGGGTCATATTTTGGATTGTCTGATAGATAAGGAGTGGTTGCCTGATTTTACTTAAGAAAGATTATGATGCTGCATCCAAGCTTGGGAGAAGAGTGATGTGATCAATTAGCAATGTCTGTCTTGTGGTTAGCAGACGGGATCAGAAAGCCATATGTTACTATTTGCCAACCTACATCTATCTGAAACAAAATGACAGTTTATAGATTGGTTACGCGTGTTTTAGCAAAATGAATTTCCTGGTTTTGATAACTGTACTCTACATTTGGAAGATGTTTGCTTTAGGGAAAGCTGGGTAAATACTACGTGGGAACACACTACTATTTTTGCAATTTTTCTGTACGTTTAAAGTTATTTTTTTTTAAGTCCTGTCATGTCATAGCAACACTTTTCACATGAAAGGCTAATGAAAGGCATGGAGCCAGAGGCCTAGAGCCCTTGAAGGACGCCCATCTCCTCTCCATCCTGGGCTATTCCAATAGTTACGTAACTCATCTCCAGATCTTCATTCTCTCCCCAGCCGCTCAGTCTGCCTGGTCCACTTCCTGTACAAGCACAATTATCTTGATGTCCCATACAGAACCCAGCAGGGGCTCACCATTGCCTAGTAGAGCAAACCCACACTTTTTTTTTTTTTTTTTTTTTTTTTTTTTTTTTTTTTCAGATTTTATTTTAGGTTCGGGATAGATGTGAATGTTTGTTACATAGGTAAATTACATCTCACAGGGGTTTGCTGTACAGATTACTTTATCACCCAGGTATGCTTATGCATAGCACCCGATAGGTAGTTTTCCTATGTTCCTCCTCCCACCATTCACCCACAAGTAGGCCCTGGCATCTGTTCTTCACTTCTACGTGTTCACGAGTACTCAATGTTTAGCTCCCACTTATAAGTGACAACATACAGTATTTGTTTTCCTGTTCCTGTGTTAGTTTGCTTAGGATTATGGCCTCCAGATCCATCCATGTTGCTGCAAAGAACATGACCCAATTCATTTTTATGGCTGCATACTATTCCATGGTCTATATGCACCACATTTTCTTTATCCAGTCTACCACTGATGGGCATTTAGATTGATTACATGACTTTGCTATTGTGAATAATGCTGCAATGAGCATACATGTGCATGTGTCTTCATGGTAGAAAGATTTATATTCCTTTTGGTATATATCCAGTAAAGGGATTGCTGGGTTGAATGGTACTTCTGTTTTAAGTTCTTTGAGAAATTGCCAGACTGCTTTCCACAATGGCTGAACTAATTTACATTGCTACCAGCAGTGTATAACTGTTCCCTTTTCTCCCCAACCTTGCCCGTAACTGTTATTTTTTGACTTTTTAATAATAGCCATTCTGACCGGTGTAAAATTGTATTTCATTGTGGTTTTGACTTGCATTTCTCTAATGATTAGTGATATTGAGCATTTTTTCATATGCTTGTTGGCTGTATGTATGTCTTCTTTTGGAAAGTGTCTGTTCATTTCCTTTGCCCACCTTTTTTTTTTTTCTTTTTTATTTTTTTTTTTGAGACAGAATTTCACTCTTGTTGCCCAGGCTGGAGTGCAATGGCATGATCTTGGCTCACCACAACCTCCACCTCCCAGGTTCAAGTGATTCTCCTGCCTCAGCCTCCTGGGTAGCTGGGATTACAGGCATGCGCCACACATCCAGCTGATTTTGTATTTTTAGTAGAGACGGGGTTTCTCCATGTTGGTTAGGCTGGTCTTGAATTCCCAATCTCAGGTGATCCACCCGCCTCAGCCTCCCAACATGCTGGGATTACAGGCATGGCCACTTTTTAATGGGGTTGTTTGTTTTTGCTTGTAAGTTTCAAACTCACACTCCTTACAATGGCCTACAAGACATTTAATGGTCCAGCCCAAACTTAGCTCTCCACTCTTAACTTCTGCCCCTTCTAGACATTCCTTCTCCTCTCAACCCAACAGGACTTTTTGCCTATTTTCAAAGATTCCATTTTAGGCCCCACCTCCCAGAATTCACACATACTCTTCTGAGTGCCTGGAATGCCTCCTCAGCCTCCCCTCCGTCTGAGATTTCTGGGTTAATTCCTATGTTTTCTTAGAGATCCAGCCTAAACATTACTTCCCCTTCAACACTCTGCACCATTTTTAAAAAACTCTTCTAGTTCTTATTATTAATATTGTGATTCATCTAGTCAGTCATGGTGAGGAATTCTGCTTGGTTCTTGGATGACAAAGACAAAGGACAGAATAGCCCCTGCTTCCTAGGAGCTCCAGGTAGGGGGCGAGGCTGGTGGGGAGCCAGCAGCTGTAGTACAGCGTGATGGATGTGATGGGGTCAGCACAAAGTGGTTCCTCCAAGGGGGAGGATGCAGGAAGGCTTGCTGGGGACATTATTCAAGAGTTCAATCTTAAAGGGTGAATGGAGGTTCCCAATTCTCCTTTCACTTAAAGGTCAATTCTTCCCACATCTCACTGCTCTCCTTCTTCTGCTACTCATTCTCTATCTGTTCCATCATGGTTCAATTACCAGTTCAATGTAGTTCAACAACTTCCCCATATGGTCTTTTATGAAAAGCATGAACTTTAATGACAAAAGTTAACCTGTTCATGCTGAAATATGGATGAGGTCCTCAAAACTGTAGGAGAGAGAACTACTTGTTTTGACCCTAGTACCAATAGAGTGGAAGTTTTTTTGCAAAAAAAAAAAGTATTACAGCTGTTCAGAACATTTAGACATCAAAGAAAAACACAATGAAGCACAGCTTTCAAAATAACTACTTAAGGATGATAAAGATTGTCACTGTTAATGATGACCCAACGGTGTTTATTAATATTGCTTATGCCTGTGGCTCTTAGACTGTGTGTCAAGGCACCCAGGGTTGCTGCAGTAAACATCCAAGAATATGACAGGCTTTTTTTTTTTTTTTGAGACGGAGTCTTACTCTGTCATCCAGGCTGGAGTGCAGTGGCATGACCTTGGCTCACTGCAACCTATGCCTCCTGAACTCAAGTGATCCTCCCATCTCAGCCTCCTGAGTACCTGGGACTATAGGCACATGCCACCACATCTGGCTTTTTTTTTTTTTTTTTTTTTTTTTTTTTTTTTTTTTTTTTTTTTTAGGTAGAGACAAGGTTTTGTCATGTTACCCAGGCTGGTCTCAAACTCGTGAGCTCAAGCGATCTGGCTGCCTTGACCTCCCAAAGTGCTGGGATTACAGGCATGAGCCACTGTGCCCAACCAACAGAATATTTTAAAATTTTGAAGGAAATACAAAGCTACTTAACATCTGTCAGACACTCAGTGAACTAATAGCTGAGCAGAATTCACAGTTTCAACATGAGATTATGCTAGATTCCTTTTCATGATATCATATTTTTGTAAAACCTAGGTTTCCAGTGGTTTTTGTGATAAAAAGCCAGTACTGCATGAAAACCAATGTGGATGAGGAAATGATGGGGAGATGGTCAATCTGATTCCAACATTTGGGAAGTCAGGCAATGCCAACAGGCTTACACATCCCACGATTGTGGTTATTAAAGAATGAAATAAAATGATATTTTTTCTTTCAATCTATGTGTCTTATTTTTTCAAACAGCTACTGAGTTGTTAGAACATAAATATTATTAAGGTGTTTGGACTTACTTCATAAATGGAACTGTTGGGTGTTTCTTTTGGCTTTGAGTGTCACAAGGAAACTTACTGGGAAATGAAGGGAGCCATGAACTAAGAAAGTTTGAGAACTTCTGACCTATACTGTTACTGAATTGACAGTGATGTTGCTCCTTTTATAACTGTTTCATCTGAAGGCCACGGAAAACCTTTGGATTCCAAGGATTTCATGGGTCTTCAAGTGTAAAGACAGAAACACAAAGAAAATCCTTATATAATTAAAGGAAATGTGAAGGACCTGGTTTATTAGTTTGGGCTTTACTGGTGAGTTCTTGCAAACTAAAATGTGCCCGTTCTACAGATTCAGATGCCATTGCTGAGCCTCATCAGAGGATATGACAAGGGGTTTGTGGTATCTTGCCCTGTCTACTTGTGACAAAACAAATAGGCTTGCCATCTGCAAAGCCAGGTTTAGGGTTGCTTGCTGCAACTGATCATGATACAGTGAAATATTTTCTTATTTTTCCTTTTATGATACTACTTGCCTCATTCAAGTTTAAACTCACTACCCTCATCAGCACTGAGACTGCTGTGATTTTAACCAGGGAAACCAGCCAGCTCTTCTCTAAAGCTGCCCTGGCCATGCAATCTTACGTGAGCATCACCAGCCACTGGAGAGAATTGGGTTTGGAAGTGGCGTAGGAAGGGGAGATGATAAGTGCATTTGTTTCACCAAGAGTGGTTTAAGAACATTATCTTCTTCCTGTGAAAATGGAAATAAGCAAAATTACAATCAATGGAATAAAGAACCTGTGTTCTAACAGTTCCTTAATTCTTTTAAAGCTAAAACAAATATTTAATACTAGTATTTCAGTATTAGTGGCACCTACATTGTTGGCTAATAGACATACATTGTTTTTGCACCCTGGAGGGCTCACTATATCAGGCGATTTACTTGTTCATTGGTTATCCATCCAATGCGCTTATTGACAGTTTTTGAAAACCTGCCATGTGTCAAGCACTGCACAAGATCACACTGCTGGCAAATCTGGGGCTGGGGAAAGGGCATGAATCCAATTAGCCTCATCTTTCTTGCCCAACAATGAGAATGTAGGGAATTACACTGTGGTTACTAACACAGTGTCCTCTGTAGATCAAAGAAGGGCGTTTTCCCCATAGGGCTCAATGACACATGGATTTGGGCAATGGCAGAAAGAGTATGTTCTTCCTTGGCTTAGAGGAATCTGTCCAAATATCATAAGAGTGCTTGTCATGAGAGGCCACCACTGATGAATTGTAGGATTGTCCAAATGTTCCCTGTTTCTTGGAACCACATCCTGTTTCTGAAGATTCAGGCAACAAATTAAACAAAAAGTTCATCGTTTAAGTTCCTCCAGGCTCCTGTTCATTTGTGTTCAAATTAGGATTGATAGATATTAATAAATAAATGATATTATCTAAGAATTACTGTTAGACTTTTATAAAATGGATATGGGTAAAGTCGGCTGTGTCATTCCAGGTTATGGAAACCTGGAGTTGATTTCCTTCAACTAACAACAGGGTTAATAGTCTCAGTTATACCAGAGAAAGTTCTTTGGAGGACAGTGATAGAAAACCCAGCCCAGGATGTCTTAAGTAAGAAGGAAATATGCTGGATCGCATAACTGAAAAGTTGGCGCCAAGAGTGGGCTTCAGACAGGACGTCAAAAGAGGGACACTGCCACCAGGCCCCGGTGGCATTCCTCCATCCCTCGAGGCCACTCCCTTGGAGCTGCTTTGCTTGCCTGTGTTTGTGCTCTTGTGGTAATAAAATGGAAGCAGCAACTCCAATCTTTGTTTTTTAATAAATTTTATTGTGTATATTTAAGGTGTACATGATGTTATAAGATACATTATATATATAGTAAAATGGTTATGATAGTAAACAAATTAACTTATGTAACACCTCACATTGTTACCCATTTTACCTCCCATGACGAGCAGCTATAATCTACTCATTTAGCAAAAATCCTGAATGCAATATGCTGTCATTAACCAGGGTCCACCTGTTGCACCTTAGATCTTTCTTTTTCTTTTCTTATTCTTTCCTTTTTTTTTTTTTTTTTTTTTTTTTTGGAGACAGAGTCTCATTCTGTTGCCCAGGCCAATCTCAGCTCACTGCAACCTCTGCCTCCTGGATTCAAGTGATTCTCCTGCCCCAGCCTCCTTTGTATTTTTAGTAGAGACGGGATTTCACCGTATTAGCCAAGATGGTCTCGATCTCCTGACCTCGTGATCCGCCCGCCTTGGCCTCCCAAAATGCTGGGATTACAGGCATGAGCCACCGCGCCCGGCCCCGACCTTTTTTTTTTTTTTTAGATTCCGCATATAAGTGAGATTATGTACTATTTCTGCTTCTATATCTGGTTTATTTCACTTAGCATCCTATCCTCTAGGTCCACCCATGTTGTGGCAAATGGCAGGATCTCCTCCTTCCATAAGCCTCAGTAACATCCATTATATGTAATGGAATTAAGCATACATGCACCACACCAGTTTCTGCATCCATTCATCCATTGATGGACACCTATGCTGTTTTCATATTGGTTCTTGTGAGTAGTGCTGCAATGAACATGGGAGTGCAGACATCGTTGCAAGGAAGGGACTTCATTTCCTGTGGGTATATACCCAGCTGTGGAATTGCTGGATTCTACCATAGTTCTACTTTGGGATTTTTGAGACAATCCCTTAATGTTTTTCATAATGGCTGTACTAATTTGTATTCCAACAACGTATATATTAGTTCCGTTTTCTCTACATCCTCTCCAGCATTTGGTATTGTCTTTTTCATAGTAGCCATCCTAACAGGTGTGAGGTGATATCGCAACTTGCTTTTGGTTTGCATTTCTCTGATAATTAGTGATGTTGAACACCTTTTCCTATATCTGTTGCCATTTTTATGTCATATTTGAATAAAGATCTATTTAGATCCTTTGACCTTTTTTCCATCAGATCATATGTTTTCTTGCTATTGAATTGTATGAGCTCTTTATAAATCTTGGATCTGTAAATTTTTTTTCCCAATTGGTAGGGTCTTTTCATTTTGGTGATTGTTTCCTTTGCTGTGCAGAAGCTTTTTGGTTTTATGTAGTCTCATTTACTTATTTTTCTTTTGTAGCTTGAGATTTCAGTGTGATAGTCAAGATATTACTCCCAAGGCCAATGTCAAGATTTCCTCCTATGATTTCTTCTAGGAGTTTTATGGTTTCAGGTCTTACATCAGGTCTTTTATCCATTTTGATTTTGTTTTTCTGTATGGTGAAAGGTAAGGATCCATTTTCATTCTTTTGCATGTAGAAATCCAATTTTCCCAGCAGCATTTATTGAAGAGACTATCTTTTCCCCATTGTGTCTTCTTTGTGCCCTTGTCAAAAATTAGATGACCATACATGTTAGGATTTATTTCTGGGCTCTCTACTCTGTTCCATTAGTCTAAGTGTCTGTTTTTATGCCAGTAAGCAACTTTAATTTTATATCTTGTCATTCAATTCCAGTAGAAAAAGCACATGTCCCTCTTCCAGAAGTTGCAGCAAAAGTCTCAAACGCATCATCATGCCACAGGGGCCACATGCCCGTACCTGAACCAGTTACTCTAGCCAGAGGAAGACAATGCTCTGATGGGCTTTGACCTAAGTAACAAGCTCCATGTCTGAGCCAGGAGTGGACACCAACCAAAGCCCCAGGCTGTTGATGAAAGATGGAATGATGCGCAAACAGAAGGTGGAAGTAGGGGTGCAATTATCCAGTGAAAGGTAAATGGAGGCAGGAAGCCACATGCTCACCACAGAAATAAAACTCATTTCCTTTTCCAAGGAAGGGGATTTCCAAGAAGCCATCTTCATAGATTGTGGAGTACAAGAAGCGAATGTCTTAGAATAGCAGCCCAGCCTCAGCTGATCAAGTTTTGAAAAATATGATAGGAGGCAGAGAGCCAGGAAGTGTTTGATGACAACTCTCCTGGTGGATGATTTGTAGCATCTACTGATTCCCATGCGTAAATACTCGCACTATGGCTGATGTCAAGCTACCAAAATGGCTACACTGAGCATAGGTTTTGGAGAAGATGCAGCCAGCTCTCATGAGCCAGTGAGAGCCGATGCAAGCTGCCTCCCACACTGGCAATTAGTGATGGTCACAAAAGGCTTGCACACTTATGCCACCAAAATGATCAGAAAAATCCCCCAAAACTTTCCAAATTAAGACAGATGTGAAGGTTGAGGTGAAGGAGGGAACAATTATAAGAGACAGCTTTTGTCACCAGGTCAAAAATACACATATTTTAGATGCTTTTGATGGAAGCCAGAGAAATAAATCCATCATTTGGCTGGTCATATAGCTGTGTCCGGACTTGATGGGTTTTTGGTCTCACTGACTCCAAGAATGAAGCCGCAGACCCTCGCGGTGAGTGTTACAGCTCTTAAGGCAGAGCGTCTGGAGTTGTTCGCTCCTTCCGGTGGGCTCGTGGTCTCGCTGGCTTCAGGAGTGAAGCTGCAGACTTTCGCGGTGAGTGTTACAGCTCATAAAAGCAGTGTGGACCCAAAGAGTGAGCAGTAGCAAGATTTATTGCAAAGAGCGAAAGAACAAACCTTCCACGGTGTGGAAAGACACCCGAGCAGGTTGCCACTGCTGGCTCGGGCAGCCTGCTTTTATTCTCTTATCTGGCCCCACCCACATCCTGCTGATTGGTAGAGCTGAGTGGTCTGTTTTGACAGGGTGCTGATTGGTGCATTTACAATCCCTGAGCTAGACACAAAGGTTCTCCACCTCCCCACCAGATTAACTAGATACAGAGTGTGGACACAAAGGTTCTCCAAGGCCCCACCAGAGTAGCTAGATACAGAGTGTCGATTGGTGCATTCACAAACCCCAAGCTAGACACAGGGTGCTGATTGGTGTGTTTACAAACCTTGAGCTAGATACAGAGTGCCGATTGGTGCATTCACAAACCCTGAGCTAGACACAGGGTGCTGATTGGTGTGTTTACAAACCTTGAGCTAGATACAGAGTGCCGATTGGTGAATTTACAATCCCTGAGCTAGACATAAAGATTCTCCACGTCCCCACCAGACTCAGGAGCCCAACTGGCTTCACCCAGTGGATGCCGCACGGGGGATGCAGGTGGAACTGCCTGCCAGTCCCTTGCCATGCCCCCGCACTCCTCAGCCCTTGGGTGGTCCATGGGACTGGGCGCCGTGGAGCAGGGGGCCGCACTCATCGGGGAGGCTCGGGCTGCACAGGAGCCCATGGAGCGGGTGGGAGGCTCAGGCATGGCGGGCTGCAGGTCCCAAACCCTGCCCTGCGGGAAGGCAGCTAAGGCCCGGTGAGAAATTGAGTGCAGTGCCAGTGGACTGGCACTGCTAGGGGACCCAGTACACCCTCCGCAGCCACTGGGCTGGATGCTAAGCCCCTCATTGCCTGAGGCCGGCAGGGCCCGCCAGCTGCTCCTAGTGCGGGGCCCGCCAAGCCCACGCCCACCCGGAACTCCAGCTGGCCGCAAACGCCGCGCGCAGTCCCGGTTCCCGCTCGCGCCTCTCCCTTCACACCTCCCCGCAAGCTGAGGGAGCCGGCTCTGGCCTTGGCCAGCCCAGAAAGGGGCTCCCACAGTGCAGGGGTGGGCTGAAGGGCTCCTCAAGTGCCACCAAAGTGGGAGCCTAGGCAGAGGAGGCGCCGAGAGCGAGCCAGGGCTGTGAGGACTGCCAGCACGCTGTCACCTCTCATAGCCACACTAAAATAGTCTTCCTCACTTGACACAAAATGTTAAAGAAAAACAGCAATTACGTGACGTCACTCCAGTTGCCTCTGTCCGCGTGAACTGCTGCATAGTCAAGCATTTCTGCACACACATCTCCAGTCCCTTACTCCTCAAGAGGGTCTCCTAGGTTTAAAACTTTCTGGCCACAGAAGACACATCTGTTTGTTGCTATTTTTCTAGACTGCTCATTACAAGAATCCTATGATTTTCCACTCTGGTGAATGAACAAAAACAAGACCCTCTGTCAATAATGTGGCTCGGAACACGCTGGCTTGATCCAAACGCGGAAATAACCACAATGGCTAAGCCTAAGGTAAAATGCTCACTAAGAAAACGCATCTGAAAGGTTTAGGTTTTCCCTTTGCAGTCAGCTACTCTGACTGGGCACCAAGTGGAAATGGCATAACTTGTCTTCAGGCTTATTTGGGAAATAAGAATAAATTCCCCTTTAAAATTTTTCTGGAAAACCAACTTTCTGTGGCAGGATGTGAGTCCAGAACTTGCTTATTAGAGTTTGGGGTGTGGCTGACCTCGAGAAAAAAAGCAACGTTCCTTGATTTGCTTCATTTTCTGTCATGTTGGGCCCTGCTTTGGGGACATCTGGATCACAGATATAAATCAGTCAGGACTATGATTAGCAGGAAGGATGCATAGCTGGAGGAAAGAAACTAAAACTTTTTAAGATCTCTTTTTCCCTCTCTTTCAATGAAGATGCTAGTTGAAGTAGTGCCTAAATGTAATGACACAGCTCTGAATATTTGCCTTTGCGTTTCAAATTCCAGAGCACCAAACTATGAGAAAGTCATCAAATTCTTCCCGAAATGGCTAAGAATCACAAAACTTGTAGTAGCTAAACTGTAGATTTACTAGAAAAATAATATTTAGTGTGTATCAGAATGCCATATGGGGGAAACCTGGAATTGAAATCCTTTCCACCTACTAAAGATAGGATATTAATAAACTTCTTAGTCAAAAGTCACACTCATCCCAGCTCTCAAGTAATTCAGAGTCAATCTACAAAAATAATCTTATTATTGATAGTAATGATGGCAGCAGTGGCCCACCTGGAGTGGCTGCTGCCAGGACACTGGCTGCAGCAGGGGAGGCGCAGCTGGGCTATGTGCTCCACAGAGCCCACAGGAGCTAGGAGCAGGCAGGAACCCCGCCCTCCTGGATGCAGATGCAGCTGCAGCTGCCCAAGTCAGGCTGTGGACCCAGGCCTCCTTGTGCTCTTGAGGGCCAAGAGTACAGCTGTAGCCACCCAAGCTGCCACTGCAGACCCAGACATTTCTGCACTCTCAGGGACCTGGGAAGGCCCCTGTGTCTGGGCAGGCATGGAGGTGTCTGCTTCTGCTGCTTGGCCTCTCCCTGCTCCCTGCACCCATTCTCCCTGCACCCACTCTCCCTGCACCCAGCCTGTTGTGTGTACCACCAGCTCTCTGCTGCCTTGGCTCCCTCCCCACTTTGGACGCTGAGGCGCATGGGAGGGAGGCTGAGCAGGGAGCTGAGGAGAGCTCAGTGCTGGCCTGCAGGAGCACCTTGGCACCAACAGCCTGGACATCATGAATGGGGGCAGGAGGCAAACAGGCTCCTGGGTGGAAGGGGGCAGGTCCTTGGTGAAGCCCCACCTTCAAGCTGGAGAGGACCTGAAGCCTGGGGGCAATTCTGCCAGTCCCACAGACTGAAGTGGGAACTTGTGGTGCTTTTTCCAGGGCCCATGGCTGCCTATGGACCAATCAGCATGCACTTCCTCCCCTCTGAGGCCCATAAAAGCCCTGGACTTAGCCAGACCCTAAGACACAACAGGAGGACCAGCTGCAGAGAGGAGCTACCCACTCCAGGGTCTCCTTTCTGAGAGCTGAACACTGCCCACTGGAGAGGAGCTACCCAATGTGCGTATCTCTAAGGTGTTCTGCAGGTCAATAAATCTCCCTTCGCCTTGCTCACCCTCCACTTGTCTGCATACCTCATTCTTCCTGAATGCAGGACAAGAACTTGAGACCTGCCAAATGGCAGAGCTAAAAGAGCTGTAACACAAATAGGGCTGACACATGCCCCTTCCTTGCCACATTTCAGGCAACAAGAAGGAAAGAAGGAAAGAAGAGCTGCAGCGCTCGGGGAGCCCAGACCTAAGAGCTCCAAGCCAGGGCTGTGACACCCTTTTTGGGGCTCTGCAGTTCCTGGTGTCTCCAAGCTTCCAGGTAACATGGTGTTCTTCAGTGCCAACCTCAGTGGAAGCTGCTTATGGTACTCCTGGACCAGATGCAGTCTTGCAGGGAGCCAGCGCCCATGCTGGTGCCTGGAGCTGCCTGCCCCACACAGCCAAGCATGCCTGGCTATGCACAGTGGCTGGACCCCACGCTCGCCCACACATCCCTCACCACTCCGTGCCTGGCTCACCCTTGGCAGGCATGGGATCCAGTCCAATAGGGCTAGCCGAGCACAGCCTGCCAGGTTGAGTGGGCCAAATGAACCCAGCAGGCCTGAGCAAAACTCAGGCAAAAGTGTCACTGGCCACAGAGATTTCCAGCTGGCAAAACAACACCCCAAGAATCCCATAACAGTAATAATAGCTAACTTAGTTTACAAGTATGCTTAAGAGGGGGATCAAAATATCTTCACCCTCACAACAAGCCCATCAGGTAGGTTCTATTGTCCCCATTTCATAGACAAAGAAACTGAGGCTTAAAAATATTTAGCGATTGGAACAAAGGTCACAAAACTAATACATGTCAGAAACAAAAATTGAAGTTTGAGGTTTTTTTGGTTTTGTTTGTTTGTGTGTTTTTTTCTTGTTGTTTGTTTGTTGTTGTTGTTGTTTTTTGAGACAAAGTCTCACTCTGTCACCCAGGCTGAAGTGCAGTGTTGCAGTCTCGGCTCACTGCAACCTCTGCCTCCCGAGTTCAAGCGATTCTCATGCTTCAGCCTCCCGAGTAGCTGGGATTACAGGCACCTGCCACCACACGTGGCTAATTTTTGTATTTTTAGTAGAGACAGAGTTTCGCCATGTTGGCCAGGCTGGTCTCGAACTCCTGACCTCAGGTGATCTGCCTGCCTTGGCCTCGCAAAGCTGAGCTCTTAATTATACTGAATTTCCAAGTCAATTTCCAGAATTTGCAAAGTACATAGAAAATGAAAGAATAAAGGAAAAATAGAATATTTGGATGCAATACAGCCTTAAACATAAAAACAGTTCAAACTTTGAATGTAGAATGCAAGTAATAATTATTTTAACAACAATTTGTATAGCATGTCAGAATTTGAAAAATATTTTCATGTGCATTTCATCTTCTTAGCAGTTCTGAAAGCAGAAAAGATCTGTGGTTCTCATTCTGCAGAAGCAAAGACCAAGCCTCAGTCAATGACTGAGGAAAACAGATCACTGCTGTGCTATTCTAGGCCACTGAGAAGGATAAAGAGTTTCTCAGCTCATTTTCAATTCTATGCCATAATACACAAATCAGATAAAGACAGACTAATACTATACATGAATTTCACTTATAAATACAAATTCTAAATCAAACATTTCAGATTAATATAAATGCAAAAATTCTAAATAAAATATTTGCAAATAGGATCCAGAAGTATATGAAATAATTACATACCACAGCTCCTGCTATTGTTTGGGTGTTTGTACCTCCAAAATTCATGCTGAAACTGAGTAGCAGTGTGGCAGTGTTGGCAGGTGGGGCCTAATGAGAGGGGATTGGATCATGAAGGTAGAGCTCGCATGGGTTAATGTTGTTATTGTAGGAGTGGGTTAGTTACCAAGAGAGTGAGTTGTTATAAAGTGAACCTGGACTCCTGCTTTCTCTTTTTTGCCTGCACTGGCTTGCCCTCCCACGTTTCTGCAGTGGGATAACACAACACGAAGACCCTCACCAGATGCCAGCCTATGAACCCTGGATTTTCCCAGCTTCCAGAACCAAGAGCTAAATAAACCTGTATTCTTTATAAATTACCCAGACTGTGGTATTCAGTTATAACAACACACAACGAACAACGGCAACTCCCTAGGGCATATCCTAAGACTTCAAAAATGGTCCAACATAAGGAATCCTTATAACGTACCATATACATATGTTATACCTCCAAATTAAGGTAGAAAAAGTACATTACACTGCCAGCTTCCTAAATAGACATTTAATAAAACTGAGTAGCCATTTTTATTAAGTTAGGGAAAAATTATGAAATGGCTACTGAAAGCCTAAGAAGTCTTCAAGTATTCGTTGAATCAAGTACATGTGCTCTAGAATAAGAGAAGAAAATGAGCAGTTTATTTCAACCACATCTGCAGGGGCAAATACACTATATATCTGAAATATATGCATAATTTACCTGAATGAAAAGCCTGCAAACAAAGCCAGTAAAATAACAGGGAGCAACCTTGCTCAGCCCTTCCCATCACAACCGCTTGGGTGTAGGAAGGTTCAGGGAAGCAGCCAGCTCTATCACCAACTTTCTCTGATGGTGAACTGCGGTTGGGTCAGTCCAAAGTCTAATAGCCATGTTTTTCTCGTCTAACCATCTAACTAACCTGTTTCACATACTGACATCATCTAACTGTCTAACTAACCTATTTCACATACTGATGAAGCCCTAATCAGCCCATGAAGAGAGGACATGGAGGCATCTCTTAGTGGAGGGTGCTCCGGCAGCCTTCACAGTCACTGGTCCCTAAAGTCTAAAGTCGTGGGTGGCAGAGAGAATGGTGACAACCTTCATTCCCTGGTGGAGAGTGGTGAGATCCCCCACCAGATCACACCGTTTAAAGCCCATAGTAGCTTTGCCTGGTTGTGCAACAAGTCCAAGTAGCCTTCATCTTCACAATCACAACTCTTCCACAGAACATCCAGCCGGACCCAGTGGGGAATGGACAGAGCCAGCTTTGAGGACAGTCTTGCCCCTCCACATGTAGGCTGCTGTGTTTGCAGAGTTAGCACAGTCTTGTGCACAGGTGTTTTACACTAACATCTGTGGATGAAACAGATCACTGTGCCATCTTTCCTGGGGTGTAGGAAATGGACTGGTCAGTGTGTCCTAAGGGGTCTTGAGCCAAAGTCCGAGCTCCGTTTTCTAATCTTGTTAGCTCATTAGAGTGCTGAAAGAATGGGAAGAGCAGTAAGTATAAAATAAGCAGTATTTTCCAATCTCCTCCTTCCCTAAGTCACAGATGGAATGCCAAAAAGCTCTACCTGGTCCACAATTTTTATTTCAAAATGCTGACCAAAAAAGCTGTTCCACTCTTCTCTGAGACTTCTATAAAGAAAACCCCCAGAAAATCAGTAGCTGCCTAATTATTACACTAAGATCGAGCTTTAACAAAAGTAAATTATTTTTTTAATGCAGTAGACTTTTCAAAAATTAAAATTAAACAAAGTAGCTTTAGCATAATAGTTAGAGAATGTTATTTCTTTGGACTCAAGTTGAAATGTAAGCCTTACATTGCCTTCGACTTTATTTGTTTATCATCTTTTTATTTTTTTAATGAGGTTCCTTTGGTGCATTTTGAGCACTGTGCAGAACTGTTAGACTAACTCATGCGGCAGCATGCCTGTTCCAGTTGGCATGTTTTTTTATTTTACTAACCTCCGTGTATCCTTAGATATTTGGTCAGCTGGGCCAAAACTGCAGAGGCTATTCTAAACAGCATGACCCAAGTATTTTAGCTTAGCAATATTACAAATCTAAAAAGGCAATACTGCCAATCAGACTAAAGCAGATACGTAAAAGTGATTCATTAAACTTATATGTGTTTTTATTTATCTAAATTAATTAAAATAGATAACATGTTTAAAATGTGCCCAGAAGCAAGTTCTTTTTTTATTTTAAGACTTGCATATTATAAAATAAATATTCTAAAAACAACTTGTCAATTAATTATAGTCTATTATGGAGTGACAATATTACATTTGCTATGGGTGAAATTTATGTGTTGGAAACAATCCCCAAAGCAACAATGTTGAGAGATGTTTAGGTCATGAAGGCTCTGCCCTCGTGAATGGACCAATGCCACTATAACAAGGGCTTATGTGAGTGGGTTCAGTCTCTTCCAATGTTCTGCCATGTGGGGAAGAGCATTCCTCCCCTCTGGAGGATGCAGCATTCAAGGCGCCATCTTGGAAAAGGAGACTGTGCCCCTCACCAGACACCAAACCTGCCAGCATCTTGATCTTGGACTTCCCAGCCTCCAGAACTGTGAGAAACAAATTTCTGTTCATTATAAATTACTGTCTCAAATATTCTGTTATAGCAGCATAAAGCAGACTAAGACAACATTCCACTTTTCTCAGTTAGAAAATCGATTAATTTACCCTAATTATTTCCACTTGCTAATTTGCTTCCTCGAAGATTTAATACATCTCAAATATACTCATGTATTAAAAATTACCTCAAAGACACAAAGTTAAAATAAAATTCCATGTTGAAAAGGCCCTTTGTAGGTGGCCAATATTTTCTATGCTAAAGGGAAAGCATTATGTTTGTTGTGGAATTTGAAACCCCAGTTAAAGTAAAACAATAATACCAATTATCTGAGTCTGTTCATGTTTCATCTTTATCAAACTGTGAGAGTGCCTCTCTTTACACATATTATGACATGCACATTTACACAAGACTGTACATTTACAGAGTTTAAAAATCAAGAGGAGTGCAGGGAAAGAGTTGACTGGCAGCATGGAGGTAACCAAATGGAATGAATCCAACTTTGATTAAGTGTTCCCATCAACTCCCATGAACTGGAGAGCAGAATGGTCCAGTCTTGGATGTACCCAGACTGAAAAACAAGCCACAGTTCCTTGAACAACAACAAAAAATCTTACAAAAGTATAAGAGCCGTGCATGAAAATTTTGAAAAAACAAGTGAAAGGCTTTGGTGCATTGGAAAGTTACACGTCATCTGAAAAAATGATTTTGATCACCCTACACATACACAGTCTTTTTTTCACACAGTCTGATTCCCCCTAACATTCTATGAGTTGTACGCAAGCAGGCCACAAGGCATAGCTCAGCACTCATTCATACATTTAACAATTTTGAGACACCTAGTATTACACCCACTAGCAGACTCTGTGCAGATAGAGGGGATACAGGGATAAACAAGGAGTCTTTGATGAGGATATCTGGTAGTTAAACCAATGATTATCACACAACATGATAATTTGCTATACAATGAGAAACGAGAGAATGAAAGAGAATCATGATCTCTGAGGAGAAAAAATGACATCACAGAAGAAGTGAGCTGAGTTGTTCAAGAATGAAGATGCATAAAAGAGGGAAGTAGAAATTATCACCCTGGGGTCATCCTTGAGCAAAGAGTAGAAGAATCTTAATGGCCACAGGAAATTAGGAACCCTGTCTTTATGTTCTGGTCAAGAGCAAATGCAGTGCTGAGAAATGGTGGTGACAAATAGATTTATAGACATTAGAGCAAAATGATGGCTTGGGATTTGGATGACAGGGTTATGGACTGTGGGCTCAGGCCATGCAAGTTTAGACAAAGTTGAGGATGACAGTCTTCTTTTGCTTTCAGTCAAGTACACGAATATTGAGACACATTGACTGCCCTGGCGATTTTAGCTTGGTTAGGGAGGGACCTTCCTTAGCCTTCACTTACTGTGCCCTCCAGTTTTTTTTTAATATACATAATTTCAGCTTTTATTTTAGAATCAGAGGGTACAGGTGCAGCCTTGTTACATGAATATACTACAGGATGCTGAGGTTTGGGGTACGACTTATCCTGGCACCCAGGTACTGAGCATAGAACCCAGTAGTTTTCTAACCCTTCCCCCAACTCACTTCTAGTAATCTCCAGTGTCTACTGTTCCCATCTTTATGTCTGTGTGTACCCAATGTTTAGCTCCCATTTCTAAGTGAGAACACGTAGTATTTGGTTTTTTGTTTCTGTGTTAATTCCCTTAGGATAATGGCCTCCAGCTGCATCCATGTTGCTACCCAGGACATAATTTCATTCTCTCTTATGGCTGCATAGTATTTCATGGTGTATGTGTACCACATTTTCTTTATCCAATCCACCGTTGATGGGCACCTAGGCTGAGTCTATGTCTTTGCTATTGTGAATACTGCTGCGATGAACATACGAGTGTATGTGTCTTTTTGGTAGAACAATTTATTTTCTTTTGGATACATACCCAGTAGTGTGTACCCTCCAGTCTTTGGCATCAATAAAATAGTTGAGATGAATATTCCCCAAGTAGATTTTTGTAACAATTATAGAAGCTACTAACGAAAGAAGAAATAAAAGAGATCCTTCACGCAGTGTCCAGAATGATGATAAAAATCTTTTTAAAGGTTATAAAATTTTCATAAACTTAGTTCTGAGATTTTGCCTTCCATCTTCTTGTAAGCTTCTATCAAATCCTAAAACATCATAATTTGACCCAGTCATTCCACTTGTACAAGGGTGTTTAGTGTTTATGGCAAAGTTGTTTATGATAATAAAACATTTGAAATGTAGGACAAATGGGAAATATTGAAATACACCATCTGATAGAACAATATGCTATCATTGTAAAATCATCTTACCTTTAAAGATATGAGAAACTTTTCATAATGTGAAGAGAACAAAAGTTTACAAGCTTTATCCAAGGAAGACTACAAAGCAATAGCCCAGTGCTTAAGAGTGATTCTCTCCAGTCAATGCAATTATGGGTGAATTTTATTTTATTCTCTATACTTTTCATCATTTTCCAATTGTTCTGCAATTAACCTTTATTCACTTTATAATCACAGAAGTGCTTTAAAATGTTAGTTAATTGAATAATTAAGAAAATACATATGTTCACAACTCTACTTGCAAAATTAATCCTGGAATTCTAGAGACAAAGGTCCACCTTCTGTGAGTTTGACAGTAGTACTCAATAGGGCATGATATGGGATATGGTATGTGCTGTTAGGATAAAGATCCTCCCATTCTTCCCCACACAATGAGGAAACAGTGCATTTGTGGTGATGGATGATGATGATATTAATGACTATCCACCTAAGGTCCCCAAAGTAATGGGGGAAGCACGAGAATCAGACCAAGCAACATGAACTCCATGTGCAAACTGAACTTTACATGTTTACAATGTTTCCATTTATTGAACTAAAAACAGTTGCAAACTCTAGAGATGGCCTCGAAACACCTGGAGGCCTCTTAACTGCAAGGGCAAACTATCTCAATAGCGCTTTGGGAAGGCCACAAGGCATTCCAAGACTCATTTGAAAAAGAAAGTCTTGAATATGGAGCTAAAGCCTAAGATGGGAATTGTTCAGGAAAGGGAATTCGAAAAATCAGGATGTAAAACTGGAAGGAGGAAGAAGGACAGGCACAAAAAAAGATTATCATCTAAAATGGAGATTACTTGGTGAAAAAACTCAATGTAGGAGAAAAAAAAACTGAAAAGTTAGACCCAGAAATGAAAATGACAGAAATCGACACCGAAGGCCAGAGGATTCTAGATCACTAGAAATAAGTATGAACTAGGAGTGGAATTTTTTTTTTCAGAAATGGACAGAAATTAGAATACATTTCTTGCATTCAATTTCATCCATTAGCCTTTAAAATGCTTTATCCAAATGAAATTTACAGCACTTGCTGATTTTTAATGGGGTTCTCTAAGCAGAGCGTGATCAAAGTTGGCTGTCTCCTGGTAGCTGGAAGCCAAATTCAGGTTGGAGAATGACACAAAAAGCGAAAAGCCTCCAGGCAGAAGAGGTGGTCCTTGCGCTCTCCCCGAGAGGAGGTCAGACATCTGGCGGCCACACCTGGCCCGCAGCGAGGCAGCCCAGAAGGCAGCGCCATGTGCAGATGGTTACAGACGCACCTCCCAAGGAGAAGGGCACCGGATCGAGCAGAGATGAGTGTCTGGACAGATTGCTTTAGGCTCGGAGAGAGCTCCGAAGGAACAGCGGCTGCGCCACAGTCACAAACATTTTTTAAAGGATGAGGGCACAGCCTTCCAATGGAAAGAGCTTCTTTATTCTAAGAAATCTCACTTGAAGACCTAAAATCTGACTAAACTGGTTGTCTTGTTTTAAACAAAACATGTATTCAATTCATTATCTCCCTCCCTTCCCTTATGACTTTTTCAAAACACAAATAAGAACAGTAAAAAGCATGTGAAGTGATTTTTAAAGCATTTTAGTAACTTTCAAAACCATAAGTTTGGGATCTTACTGTCACTATGGGGGATCTTTCCCATTCCCTCACTCTCCTCCAGCCTCCCCCGACCCCACGCACCGGTCTTGGGCCTCCCTTCCATTCCCAGCGGTAGCTGCAGGACTCCATCCTCCCGTTCTCCCCGAGAACCACAACCCACTGACCCTTCCCCCCATCCCTCTTTCCTCTTCAGCGCTCAGAGTCCAGGACGTGTCACGGTACCCACTCCCCTGACTGTCCCTCCCCTCTCACCCTCCTCAACTTGCCCCCCGCCCCCGCCTCCCCCTTGTAGGTGTCGGGGGCACCGTGGTGGCCACCCTTCATGATGGCGGTGCTCACTCTCCCAGCTGCCAGATCATTGCTGCTGAAGACTCACAGCTCACTTGTTCTTTTGGAAAAGCCTTTGGCAAAAGGGAGTTGTCCCCTCCAAAGTAACAACCCATCCCCAGAGGCAGCCTGAAACCAATGACAGGGATACAAAAGCAGGGCCTGTGGCTTCGATCCTGTGCAGCTCGGGAACAGCCCTCCGGGCTCCAGGATCCCAGCAGATCAGCCCTGCCCGTGGCTGCAGCTGTGTGGCATTTCAGCTTCTCCCTCTGTCTCATCCTGTTCTCCCACTCCTTTCTGAGTTTTCTTTCCAAAAGCACTCCCCGATAAACCTCCTGCTGGCAAATCTCCTCAGGGTCTCCTTCCAGGGAGCCCGGGTTATCCGGGGTCCCAGAAACAGAAGGCACAGGGGTCACCCAAGAGAGTTCACAGTCTACAAGGGCTTGAGCAAGGGTGTGCAGAAAAACGAGGCTTGGTGAAGTGGCAGGGAATAGGAACAGGGTTGACACAGAAGAAACATTATTCTGTATTCTTTAGTTCTTTAGCTGCTGATTCTAAATATAAATCGATCTAATAAAAAATGAACATTCATTTCAGCTCTACCAAAAAATCAATTAAATCTAAGTGATATTAACTAAGTAGCTACTATGTATAAAATAATCTGCTAAGCACAGCACACCACCAAAATAGCCAGGTAACAACAGAACAACTCCAACCTTCAGCAAATTATCTTGGCTACATGCCACTGGTTGATTTGAAAATGAAATATACTGATTCAACACATTCTTCTCGAATCTGGTAAACAAAGCCATAACAAAACATACATAATTGGCACACCATTTTTCGTACAAGATTAAATTTAATCACCAGGATAAAACTGTCTTGCAGGCATTTCTTTTAATCCACCAATCCATGTAAATACATCAAACACCTGTAAAAGAGAAAGCTCCTCTCCACTACCTCCCACCTCCCATCAAATCTGCCTTTTGTTATATTTTATACTATTTAACACTTTACTTCTTAATTCATAAAGAAACCTTCCGACTACATTTATGTTAAAATTTGGGGACTTGATTTTAGGATTGCATTTTTTAAAGAAGTTGTATTCTCGTAAAAGCTCTAGTATTTATTAACAGCCACTTGAGTGACTTGGCAACACCCAATATATCAATTTCATTAATGATATCATTGCAGTGTTCAGTGGGGAATGTCCATTTTCATACATTTGTTTTCTCAATGCCATTATTTCAGATTTCACTGCCGGAGGATGCTCAATATCTGTTCATTACTCAATTAAATAGAATTTGCTAAGTGTGTTTCATGTCCGAGTCTGTGGAGCACTGGGAAGGTCAAAGAAGTGGAAACTATGGTGGGGAAATAATACAGACCCTTAAATACTGAGAGACAAGGACAAACCCTAGTCTTCAAACTATGCCGAGACCCGTCCAATTCCCCTTGCCTCTGAGAGGTAATTCATTAAAAACCATAGACAGAAGTAAATAATTTTTTCTTGTCTTTGCCACCTGATTTCAGGAGAGAGTATTTTAAATCCGTGCCCTGCAGGGAACATTTTAGAAGAGGCCTGCCAATCTCTGATAATTGCAAAGTAAACAGATTTTTCCAACAGAGATAAAGCCTGAGTTGGCATTATTTGTTCCTTGTCTTAGTATGCACATTTGTATCAGTTTCCAGGCTAAATTTAAAGAGGGAAGATAATTTTGAAGTAAAATTTAAAGATAAAAACTGGTGAGGCAGTTCACTAAAAATGCACATTTCATGCTGGGTCAGAAAACAAATCTCAGTAAATTTCAGTAGCTTGAAATCTGACCACAATGGAATTGAATTAGAAATCAGTAACAATAAGATGTTTTAAGAAAGGATACTTAGAAAATAGCTAAGTATTTGGAAATTAAGTACACATTTCCAAATAACACATACCGTTTTTTAAAAAAGGAGAAGTCTTTAAGGAACTAGAAAATATTTCAAACTGACTGATAATAAATACCCAGTATGTCCAAGTTTGTAGGATGCACCCTACACAATCCTTAGAGAAAAATTTATTCTTTTAAATGTCTGTATTAAAAAAGAAAAAAGTCTTAAATCACTGTTCTAAGTTTCCACCTTACAAAGCCAGAATAAGAGCAAATTAAACCCACAGTAGGGGAAGGCAAATAATAGAAATATAGATAAAGACAGAAACTAAGAAATAGAAAACAAACATACAGAAAATCAACAAAGCCAGATGTTGGCTCTTTGAAAAGCTTACTTAAAAAAAAAAGTCAGCACATATGTACAGATATAGCACATTCCACTTATATACTTTGTTAGGAAAATAAATAAATATATTGCTTCAGGAAGATTAGAAGCCATTAATACTTCTTTCTTTTAAAAGCAGGAGAAGATCATGTTTATGCATGCCACAGACGCAGTTTGGCTTCATATGTCTAGTCAAATGGAATAGCCACAGAAAATGCCCAAAACCATCATTTAAATTGAAACACACACACACACACATGATATAAGGGAATTTTCTGAAAATATTGCTACTTTTGTTAGAAAAATAAGGTCCAAAGTTGCTTTTAAAAAGAGAGGATTGTTATTGCGTCTCCGAGTTCCTCCATCGTGCCTCTGCAATGGGGCTGTTTGCATTCTCTTGAAGCCACACTTCCCTCTCCCTCCTATTATGGACCTCACACTGCGTTGTTTTTTAGTGCAAAAGCTCTGCATAACTAAAAAAGTTTCCTAGCCTCTGTTAATGGCATACTTGTTATGAGTACTGGAGTCAATATATGTATATTTTTAATCAAGAATGCTGAAGCCCCTTAGACTTCAGCCTGATGGGACAGTGTTCATATTCATTCCGGGATCCTGGTACACACAGGGGCTTTCCAAAAATTCAGCTAATTGCAGGCTAGTGGCAATTGCTCAGCTTCATGGGAGGTCATTGTCACAGTAACTGGCTGGGTGCCCCGGGCAGGCAGATTCTCCTGGATTGTGGGAGAAAGACAGAGAGGGGGAGGGACAAGTGTTATGGGGAAGCTTAGCCACCGTGTTGAGAGCCAGGAAAGAACAGGTCTCTCAGGAGACCTGGGTCTCCCTGCACTCCTTTCATCCCAGCCCAAAGGCAGGGTACAGATGATCCAGGGCAGAAGGCAGCAGGGAGATGAGACCCCTTGAGTTGCCTGGAGCAACTCAAGGACAAGCCTCAAAGCAAAAGAAAGCCGGAGCTGGCCTTCTGATGGACTCCGTATGGGCCAGAGCATCCAGGTCCTGTCTGGTAACTCCACATACAGGACCAAACAGTGCCCCGTCGGGCGGTTCTGTCGCATTGCCAGAGTGCATGAGTTAGGAGAAACAGCAAGTTTATCGACAACTATCCGCAATAAATTCCCTTTTACATTTATTTACTCTATCAACAAATATTTATTGAAGGTCTACATGTACCAGTTCCTGCCCTAGGCATGGAGACAATTAGGACAAGCTTTCATGAAGTTTACACTTTCGCGGTGGACAACAAAAACAGACAACAGGTTAAAGGGATCATTTCAGAACCTAATTTTGTCTAAAGGACATAAAACAGGGAGGTGTGATGGGGTGTGACTTTTGCAGTTAGATGGAATAGGGCTATTTTGGATAAGGGGATCAAAGCGGGTCACTGAGACAGGGCTGGCTTCACAGGCATGTGGCTCGCATGGTCGCATAAGGTCCCACATTCAAAAGAAGCCTCGCAGCTGGGCGCGGTGGCTCACGCCTGTAATCCCAGCACTTTGGGAGGCCGAGGCGGGCGGATCATGAGGTTAGGAGTTTGAGACCAGCCTGGCCAACATGGTGAAATCCTGCCTCTACTAAAAATACAAAAAAAAAAAAAAAAATTAGCCAGAGGTGGTGGTGCATGCCTGTAACCCCAGCTACTCAGGAGCCTGAGGCAGGAGAATCGCTTGAACCCAGGAGGCGGAGGTTGCAGTGAGCCGAGATCATGCCATTGCACTCCAGCCTGGACAACAGAGACTCCGTCTCAAAAAAAGAAAAAAAAAAGAAGCCTCGCATGTGGAGACTGAAACTCTTCAGCAGTCATGTTGAAATTCTTAATAACTTTATCTTTGATTTTGTGTTTTGTAAGTGGCCTCTGATGGGACAATGGCACATGCTCCAGGAGTACCCCATGACAGGTTCTCAGCCACCTCCTGCCTCACCTGCCCAGCAACTGTAACTGTCCTCTGCACCCTGAAGGGGCACCAGTGCCAGGTGGGACAGGTTCAGTGTATTTCCCAAGAGCCTGGGAAGGTCTGTATTTGCCCCAGAAGTATCTTGTGCCCCAGGAAGCATGGCAATGAATAGCTAATTTAAAACACCATGATAGTGTGGCCGGGGCTGGTTCCTGCGGGTGGGTTCGTGGTCTTGTGTTCTCGTTGACTTCAAGAATGGAGCCGGGGATCTTCGCAGTGAGTGTTACAGCTGTTAAAGATGGCACGGACCCGGAGAGCGAGCAGTAGCCAGGTTCATGGTGAAGAGCAAAAGGACAAAGCTTCCACAGCCTGGAAGGTGACCCCAGCAGGTTGCCACTGCTGGCTGGGTGTAGCCAGCTTTTATTCCCTTATTTGTCCCCTTCCATGTTCTGTTTCTGTCCTATCAGAATGCCCTTTTTTCAATCCTCCCTGTGATTGGCTACTCTTAGAGTCCTGCTGATTGGTGTGTTTTACAGAGTTCTGATTGGTGCATTTTACAGAGCACTGATTGGTGTTTTACAGAGTGCTCATTTGTGCATTTTATAATCCTCTTGCTAGCTACAGAGCACTGATTGGTGCGTTTTTATGGATTGCTGATTAGTGCATTTTACAATCCCCTTGCTAGCTACAGAGCGCTGATTCGTGGGTTTTACAATCCTAGCTACAGAGTGCTGATTGGTGCATTTTACAATCCTCTTGTAAGACAGAAAAGTTCTCCAAGTCTCCACTTGACCCAGGAAGTCCAGCTGGCTTCACCTTTCAATAGGCCAGGTGCAGTGGCCCACACTTGTAATCTCAGCACTTTGGGAGACTGAGGTGGGAGAATCACTTGGGCTCAGGAGTTCAAGACCAGCCTGGGCAACACAGCAAGACCTCGTCTCTACGAAAAAATTAAAAATTAGCTGGGCATAGTGGTACAAACCTGTGGTCCCAGCTACTCAGGAGGCTGAGATTAGGAGGATCTCTTGAGCCTGAGAGGTCAAAGTTTCAGTGGGCCGTGATCACGCCACTGCACTCCAGCCTAGGCAACAGAGCAAAACCCGTCTCAATCAATTAATCAAAAAAACACTATGACAGACAAGAGAGACTGCAGAAGAAAGAAACAAGCTAATTCCCTGCTTTTTACACAAGGGACTCCCATTTTCATTTTGCACTGTGCCCTAAAAATTACGTTGCAGGTTCTACTCTGAGAAAGTGTCATTTGGACTAGAGGCAAGAGCATTTCAGGAAGAGAGAACTCCAAGTGCAAAGGCCCGGGGCTGGAACAAGCTTGGTGTATTCCACCGTGAAACAGAAAGACAGTGGCCAGAGCCCCGTGAGCAGGTCCCAGCCTGGAACCAGGTGCAGGAAGGAGAAGGCAGACCCGAGGGGCTGAGAAAGGAGGAGCCCTGGGAAGTCCAGGCTGGGCAGTAAGCACATTGGAGTCCAGGTGTTGGTGCTGAGGAGGAAAGCAGAGACGCAGGCCCTAGAGGGAAGGGGACATGCGGGGAGGAGAGGGAGGAACATCATTGCTGAAGACTCAGCCCACTTCACTTCCTGACTTTGCCTGTTAAGTCCTGGAGGACTCTCACACATCTGAGATCTACCGCCTTCTGGCTCAGCTCCGGAATCTAGGAATTTTTATTTCTATTCCCAAGCCTGCCATGAGCTATGGGTGCCTCTGGTCTTCACCTTCATTACTGTGTAATGGGCACTAAGTGGTGTATCCCGTGCCTCTGTGCTAGGACCTGTGTTCCCTGTGCAGCTCCCCCAGATCTTCATGCCACACTCGCAGGCCTTCTTGCCTGTTTCAGATAGGCCACTCTCCACCTCATCCTGGGCCAGCTTCTGCCCGGTGACTCTCACCGCTGCCGTACCCAGCCAACTCTGCTCCCCTCTCAAGACTGTGCCTAAATGTCCCTTCCTCAGAGCCCATGCCAAACCCTCAGCCAAGCTTAGGTCTTCAGTCTTGGTCCCTTTCTTTTATAGCAAAGGTACAATTCTGTGTGTGTTTGTTTCATCAATGTCTGCCTCTCCAAATGTACTGAGACATCCTTGAGGGCACGGGGTAAGTCTGTTTTGCCTGCAATGGTGTCCTGAGCACCGGCTCAGAGCCTGGCACAATGCAGACTCTCAGTCAGGAAGGGCTAAGGGAGTGCGGGAGAGAGATGACCAATCCCTGCCAGGGAAGCTGGTGACCTCCATGTTGGGCCTTTGGAAATGCAAGGAATGGTCTGAGGAAAGAAGAGGCCCTGCCTAAGTATAGATTTTCTTTTTTTTTTAAGTCAGAGTCTTGCTCTGCCACTCAGGCTGGAGTGCACAATTATGGCTCACTATATTCTTGATCTCCTGGGCTCAAGCAATCCTCCCACCTAAGCCTTCCAAATAGCTGGGACCACAGGCATGTGCCACCACAAGCAGTTAATTTTTTGTTGTTTGTAGAGATGGGGTTTTGCCATGTTAACCAGGTTGGTCTCAAACGCCTGGCCTCAAGTGATCCGCCCACCTCAGCCTCCCAAAATGCTGGGATTACAGGCATAAGCCTGTAAGTTCCTGACTTAACTATACAATTGAGCCAAGTGTGAAGGCAGAGAGGAGGAAAGAAATGAACAAGAGATGGCCTTCCCTGTGTCAGGAAGATCGTGAGTGTGAGAGGGGCCTGCCCGCCCAGGACAGCCGCTTGCCTCTCTCCTTTGCCTGCATCTCCACCATCAGCCCTTGCAGATCCCCTCACCAGGCTTTCTGCTATTGTCCCATTTGACCCATCAAAAGTAGTATACCATGGCTGGGTGCAGTGGCTCAGCCCTGTCATCCCAGCAATTTGAGAGGCTGAGATGGGCTGATCACTTGAGCTCAGGAGTTCAAAACCAGTCTGGGCAATATGGCAAAACCCTGTCTCTACAAAAAAATACAAAAATTAACTGGGCTTGGTGGCTCACACCTGTGGTCCCAATGCTAGGGAGATGGAGCAATTGACCCCAGGAGGTTGAGGCTGCAGTCAGCCAAGACTGCACCACTGCACTCCAGCCTGAGTGACAGAGCCAGACACTGTCAAAAAAAAAAGTATATCAAGGTTCTCCTTGGGAACACTGGGGTAGAATCCAATACCGTGGGCTGGGTTGAGACACACTTTTAGGAAAGTAGCCATTAAGTATCTTATCGCTCTGATAAGAGCAGAAATGAAGAAGAAAATAACCCTGTGTGGCAGGCAGCCTCTAGAATGGACTCAGAACCCCCACCTCTGAGTATCCACACTCTTTCATGGTTTCCCCCACTGAATGTGAGCTGAACTTATTGACTTGCTTCTAAAAAGTAGAATATGACAAAAGTGATGAGGTTGAAGTGACAAGTCTAATATTAGGCTATAAAATATTGCGGTTCCTGCCCTAGGCATCCTCTTCTGCTCACCTTGAGGAGGCAGATGCCCAGTCCTGAGGCAGTAGCTCTATGGAGAGGCCCACATGGCAAGGGGCTGAGGCCCGCCAGCAACCACATGAGTGACTCAGAAGCAGACAGAGCCCCCTGAAGTCGAACCTTCAGATGAGACTGCAGCCCCAGCTGATAGCTTAGCTGACAGCAATCTCATGAAGACTTTGAAGCAGAGGCAACTAGTTAAGTGAAACCCAGGTTCTTCACCCACAGAAACTATGAGACAAGTAATGTTTGTTGTGTTAAATCACTGAAAAAATTTGTTACCCAAAACTAGATAACATGCATTGTGGTGGGCAGTTTCTCAACTCCACACCTGTGCTGAGACTTGGTCCTTGAGCAGCAGCAATATGCTGGACATGTGGGCACATGGCACAGTGTTTGCTGGGACCCCTGCTCAGTGCAGCTCAGTAAATGACAAAGGCAGACAAAAATAATTTCTGGCTGAGAAGATTTTATAGCACTGGTTTTGTTAAGCAACATTTAGAAATCTGTAACAATTACGAATATCCCCTTCCTTAAAAAAAGCAACTTATGTAAGAGAAAGGAATTTGGCAGTTTTGACTCCTTTTTAAAGAATCTATTGAAGCATGTGTCTACAATATGTAATGCAGAGTTGACTTGACCAGTTCTTTCTTATCCCATATTTACAAATTGTGAATAATCCATTATATACATGGCCTTTGAAGATTCTTTCTTTCTCTCTTTCCCTCTTTCTTCCATCCTTCCTTCCTTTTGTCCTCCCTCCCTTCCCTCTATCATTTCTTCCTTTATTCCTTAATATTACAGGCAAAACATTAGTAGCCTTTTGTTCATTGAATAAAATGTCCTTCAATTTTGGCAATCCTCAACTTACCTTTTAAACTTGGACATCACTCCTAAAGCATATGTATAAAGAATGTTTTATAAAAGTAAGAAAACTTATCCCAAATCATATTAACTTAGTACTAACTGAGCAGTGCAGCATGTTCATTAATTTCCTTGGAACAGTGCTTCTCAAGCTTGATGTCTACAAATCACTTGGGAACCTAGTTAAAATGGAGGTTCTGATTCCACAGGACTGGGAAGGCTGCAACTTTGCATTTCTAACAAGCTTGCACCCTTCGAGAAGCAAGGCCTTAGATGCAGTCGTTTCTTATTCCTGGGCCTGAGTATCTGCAACTATGAAGTGAAGGGGTTGGACTCATTGATCTCTTAACTTCTGTAGTCTTGTGATCTTCCCCCTTTTTCTACCCCCACCCCCCACATTCCTTGTTGCAGTACATGGCACTACCTCCATCCCCATTTTCCTCTAAAAATATGCAAATGGTCCTCCCCCAGCCTCTCCCCGATACTTGATCCACATGCAGGTGCCGTCAATTTTGCCTCCAATATCACTTATCTCTATCCATCTCTCTTCCCCTTGACTTCCAGGCTCCACTCTATGTTGAGCCCTGATAACCTGCTTGCTGTTCTCCCAGGCTAATAACACCAACCTCCAGGGCCTTTTGACAAGGCAAATCCAACCATCTCGTTTCTCTACTTAAACCCTTTGGTAATTCCTTAAGGCGGCTTGTAATGCAGTTCTCTTTGAATTTCTTAAAAACCACAAGGTTTTTCCATCCTTAAAAGCTTTTGCATGGGCAATCTGCTTAGCCTCAGAATGCTATTCCCCAGCCTTGTCACCCTTAGGATGTGGCTAGCCTTGGAGAAGTCTTGCCTGAGCCTCAGAATGGTTTGGGTATCTTTGGTGCGCAGGCTTTCAGCAGGTTGTGTTTTTCCTTCCTAGCACTGATGATGATTAATTACATTTTGTTTAAGTGTCTGCTTTATGCGTGGGCTGACATCCATATTGGTTCTTGATCACCAACCTATCCTCACTGTCCAGTGCAGGACTAGCACATTTGGGCACATGATCAAGACTTTTCTAATGAATAAATGCTTTTCCACCCACATTCAGAATTCCTAAAAGATTTCTCTACATTGTATCTATAAGCTTTTAATAGAAACTATGGTCTTATTTAAAAATTTAACATGGGCCTCTCATAAGTGGCCGACATTCCCATGTTGTCTTATAATTCTTGTAGCAATTTCCTTGCTAGGAAGGCTGAGACTGGCTAAGTGTGATAATAATTAGTGGATGGAGGCAAGGGGCCTGTGGCTCCTTATTGAAGTTCCAAGTAATTGATGTTGGAATTTTAAATATTGACACAAACAACACATAGAGAACACGTGGCTTCCAGGCCCCCTCCTTCAGAACTTTAATTTGCTTCTGCATTTTTTAAAACAATGAATTTAAAAAGTAAAGTATTGTCTATCAAAAACCCAGACCAGTCCCAAGAACAGAAAAAATGTATGGCCAAGGAGCATGTGTCTACCTAGGAGGTGTGAATGGAGGACTGGGAGCCCTGCAACCACAGTGCCTTCTCAGTCACTTGAACTCTACCAGAAGAAATGTGTTTTTTGGTTTTTTTTTTTTTCTTTTTTTGTTTGTTTGTTTTTTTGGGACAGTCTTGCTCTGTCGCCCAGGCTGGAGGGCAATGGTACGATCTCAGCTCACTGCAACCTCCGACTCCCAGGTTCAAACGATTCTCCTGTCTCAATCTCCAGGGTAGCTGGGACTACAGGTGCCCGCCACCACACCCAGCTAATTTTTATATTTTTAGTAGAGACGGGGTTTCACCATATTGGACAGGCTGGTCTCAAACTCCTGACCTCATGATCCGCCTACCTTGGCCTCACAAAATGCTGGGATTACAGGCATGAGCCACTGCGCCCTGCCAGAAATGTGTTTCTTTAGACCTGAGAGAGTGCTGTAAAAACACAAAGGCCTTTTAGACAGCTGAGCCATCTAAGATGAGAGAAACACACTATGTTCTCAAATCAGAGTATATGTGTACTCACAGACAAAATAGGAACATCTTCCGAAGCCATTTGTTTTTTTCCTACAATAAGAATCTTTAACATATTTTAAACCAAGGAGAGAAATATTTATTTTTTTAGAATAGTGTCAAAATTTGCATGAGTCTTCAGATGAGAGATTGAAGTAAATGTAATGATTGTGGAAGGTATTCCCTAGGGATACTAATTCAGTCCTATGGTATCAAGGATCTCTCTTGCAACATTTAAAAAGCACAGGCAAAGTGTATTCTCTAACCAAGCAGTCAGGCTACAGAGCTGTTGGATGATAGTACGTGTTTGTAGGATGATGTGTGGCAGGGACTGCTGTTCTGTACTTTCCATCTTTCTGAGAATAGAATCCTTCATTTAAATCTTGGACCATCACTAACCATGACAAAAAAAAAATCGGTATTTCCCAGCCTCCCCTAAAGCTAAGTGTAACCCTGTGACTAAATTCTGGTCAAGGTGATGCAAGCTGAAATGTGATGAGACAATTTCTGAAAACTTCCTTACAAGACAACTGATAGTCACGTGGTCATATCAATAGATACAGAAAAAGCATTTGGCAAAATCCAACTCCTATTCATAATTAAAAAATAAAGAACTCTCAGTAAACTAGGAATAGAGGGGAACTTCCTCAACTTGATAAAGAATTCTACAAAAAGTTTATAATGAACATCATACCTAATGGTGATAAATTGAAAGCTTTCCCACTGAGATCAAGAACAAGACAAGAATGTCCCTTTCACCACTGCTTTTCAGCATTGTACTGGGAGTCCTAGCTAATGCAATAAGACGAGAAAAAGAAAAAAACCAACAGATTTTGAACCATAAATAAAATTGTCTTTGTTTGCATATGACATGATTATTTTTGTTAAAAAAAAAAAATAAAAGAATTGACAAGAAAAAAACCTCCCGCAATTAACAAGCAATTACAGCAAAGTTGCAGGGTGCAAGGTTAATACACAAAAGTCATCACTTTTATATATCACCAATGAACAAATGGAATTTGAAATTAAAAACACACATACATTAATACCCCCAAAGTGAAATATTTAGGTATGACTCTAACACATATGTGCAAAATCTATATGAGGAAAACTACAAAACCCTAATAAAAGAGATCAAAATATAACTAAATAAATAGGGAAAAATTCCATATTCATGGATAAGAAGACTCAAGATTGTCAAGATGTCAGTTCTCCTCAACTTGATCTTTGGATTCAATGCAATCCTAATCAAAACTCTCAGCAAGTTATTTTGTGGCTATCATCAAACTGATTCTAAAGTTTATAAGGAGAGGAAAAACATCCAGAATAGCCAACATGTTATTGAAGGAGAAGAATAGTTGGAAGACTGACACCACCTGACTTCAAGACTTACTATATATAAAGTTACAGGAATCAAAACTGCGTTACTGGTGAAAGAATAGGCAAATAGATCAATGAAACAGAATAGAGAGCCCCAAAATAGACTTACATAAATATAGCCAAAGGATATTTGACAAAGGAGCAAGGGTAATGCAATAAAGAAAAGGTAGTTTTTTAACAAATGGTGCTGGAACAACTGTAAATCCACAGGCAAAATTTTAAAAATGAATCTAGACACAGACCTTACACCCTCCACAAAAATGAACTCTAAGTGGATCACAAACCCAAATATAAAACACAAAACTATAAAAATCCCAGAAGATAACATAGAAAATCTAAATAGCCTTGGGTTGGGCAATGACTTTTTAGATTCTAACAACAAAGGCACAATCCATGAAAGAAATAATTGATAAGCTGGAATTCATTAAAGTGGAAATTTTCTGCTCTGAAAAAAAAAAACCATTGTGAAGAGAATGAAAAGACAAACCACAGACTGGGGGAAAATATTTGCAAAGGATATATCTGATAAAGGACTGTTATCTAAAATATACGAAGAACTCTTAAAACTCAACAATAAGAAAACACAGCCTGGGCAACATGGTAAAACCCCATGTCTACAAAAAATATGAAAAAATTAGCCAGACATGGTGGTGTCCACCTGTGGTCCCAGCTACTTGGGAGGCTGAGGTGGGAGGATCACTTAAGCCCAGGTGGTCAAGGCTGCAGTGAGCCAAAGTTATGCCACCACACCCCAGCCTTGGTGACAGAACAAGAGAACAAGACCGAAGACCGTGTCTCACAAAAAAAAAAAAAAAAAAAAAAAAAAAAAAAAAAAAAAAAAAGAAGAAGAAAGACAACAACTTAGTTAAAAATGGGCCCAAAGACTTAATAGATAACAAAGAAAATATGCAGATTGCAAATTAGCATACAAAAAGATACATACATAACATGTCATCAGGGAAATGCAAATTAAAACAACTATGAGGAACCATTACACACCTAATTAGAATGGCCAAAATCCAAAATATTGACCACACTAAAGGTTGGCAAAAGTGTGAAGCAACGGGAACTCTCATTCATTACTGGTGGGAATGCAAAATGGTGCAGCCACTTTGGAGTTCAACTTAGCAGTTTATTACAAAACTAGACATACTCTTAGCATACAATCCAGCTATCATACTCCTTGATGTCCACACAAACACCTGCACACAGATGTTTCTAGCAGCTTTATTCGTAATTGCCAAAGCTTGGAAGCAACCAAGGTGTCCTTCAGTAGGGGAATGAATTAATAAAAAAACAAGGTGATATCTCCAAACAATGAACTATTACTCAGAGCTAAAACAGAAATTAGCTATTAAACCATGAAAACTCATGTTGGAAACACAAATGTATTATGAAGTGAAAGAAACCAATCTGAAATGCCAACACACTGTGCAAGTTCAACTCTATGACATTCTGGGAAACGCAAAACTATGGAGACGGTAAAAAGATCTGTGGTTGCCAGGGTTTAGGAGAGAGGGAAGGATGAACAGGCAGAGCATGGAGAATTCTTAGGGCAGCAAATCTACTCTGTGTGATCCTATAAGGGTGGATACATGTCATTATGCCCACACATAATGGGTTATCCATGGGTTGTCCAAGCCCATGGAATGTGCACCACCAAGAGTGAATCCTAATATCAACTCTGGGTGACAATGATATGGCAATGCAGGTTCATCAAATGTAATAAAGGCACTACTCTGGTGTTGGATGTTGACACTAGAGTCTATGCATTAAGGCTATGCATGTGTAGGGGTATGGGAATTATCTTTACCTTGCACTAAATTTTGCTGTGAATCTAAAACTGCTCCAAAAAATAAAGTCTATTAAAAACAACAGGCAGCTGGCACCTGTCCTTCACTGCCTGTCCTCCCTCTGCCTTCCTTCCTATTGACTGAATTTTCCTGAGGTAGCTGAAGATGGAACAACCAGACATGGCAGTGGAAACTACGTACACTAGAAGAATAAGACAGGAGGAGCAGGACTTACATTCGGGTCCCCAACAACTGACCCCAGACTTCTACAGAAGAGAAAGAGGCATCCACCTTGCTTACACCATGGCTGTCAGGGGTCTGTAACTTGTAAACCTAAACCTAACTAACGCACAAGGTAAAGATTTTTGAAAAGCAATTTATCACCCTACTTCTGGAAGGAAATGGGGTATCAAAACAATATAAAATCTTTTTCTGAATTGCTATTTCATGTTGCTAGAAACAAAATTATATGATTTTTAACTTTTTATTGACTAATAAATTGGTTTTATTATATTGATAGACCTATGAAATAGTTCAACTCAAAGACTATTTTTAAAAATAAACTTTCTAGAAAAATAAGTAGCATATACCTTTGTAGTGTATGTAAATAAAAATCGAAAATTTCTTCATATTGATTATCTGAGTGTTAAAAATTAAAATAAGCAGAATTACTTTTGGTGCCTATTCACATGCTTTGATCAGTTTCTCAGCTATATCTTGAATGCATGGCACTCATTTTTTTTTTTTCTGAAAAATGTACTTTCTTCAAATTGGTCTTATTATCCTTTCATCTTTTTTATAAAATTGCCAGCAATCTTCTTCAAAGTCACTTTTTATCGTTAATAATTTGTGGGTTTTTTTAGACAGAGTCTTACTCTTTCGGCCAGGCGTGATCTCAGCTCACTGCAACCTCTGCCTCCCGGGTTCAAGCGATTCAAGCCTCAGCCTCCCGAGTAGCTGAGATTACAGGCACACGCCAACACACCCAGCTAAGTTTTGTATTTTTAGTAGAGACGGGGTTTCGCCATGTTGATCAGGCTGGTCTCGAACTCCTGACCTCAGGTGATCCCCCCCACCCCAGCCTCCCAAAGTGCTGAGATTATAGGCGTGAGCCACTGTGCCTGGCCAGTTAATGAATTTTAAATTATTGATACCTTCAAGTCACCTCAATAGACCATAGTATCTTTAGTTGAGAAAAAGTCTTCTCTAGGGACAGAGGTACACAAATGCTCCTAACTAGAGAATATTCTCAGTACTGATTTTCCTAATTGAAATGTGTAAATATTTCCACCCAAATATAAATATAAAAGATTTATATAAAAAATATAAGACAAAAAATATAGTTTTTGTCTTTTTAAACTCTGTTCAAAACACTTTTTACAAGGTCAAACGTTTCAAACATGCCAAATGTAGACGCAGCAGAATAGATTTAAAAATGTCATTTCACTAGGGTTCAGAGTAAAAATTTATCTAATTAAAAACAGAATCTTCGGCTGGGCGCAGAGGCTCACGCTTGTAATCCCAGCACTTTGGGAGGCCGAGGCGGGTGGATCACGAGGTCAGGAGATTGAGACCATCCTGGCTACATGGTGAAACCCCGTCTCTATTAAAAATACAAAAAATTAGCCGGGTGTGGTGGTGGACGCTTGTAGTCCCAGCTACTCGGGAGGCTGAGGCAGGAGAATGGCGTGAACCTGGGAGGCAGAGCTTGCAGTGAGCTGAGATGGCGCCACTGCGCTCCAGCCTGGGCGACAGAGCGACACTCCGCCTCAAAAAAAAAAAAAAAGAACCTTCGGCCGGGTGTGGTGGCTCATGCCTTTAATCCCAACACTTTGGGAGACCGAGGCGGGTAGATTGCCTGAGGTCAGGAGTTTGAGACCAGCTTGACCAATACGGTGAAACCCCATCTCTACTAAAAATATAAAAATACAAAAATTAGCTGGGCGAGGTGGCCTGCGCCTGTAGTCCCAGCTACTCGGGAGGCTGAGGAAGGAGAATTACTTGAACACAGGAGGTGGAAGTTGCAGTGAGCCGAGATGGGGCCACTGCACTCCAGCCTGGGCAACAGAGTGACACTCGGTCTCAAAAAAATAAAAAATAACAGAACCTTCTTCAAAAATATTTTTCCCACACACAAGATTTTTGAAATGAAACTAAAGAATCCCGAAATTAAACTTTATACCTTATCTGAGCCCTTGCCTTCTAATTTATTCAGTTACTTCCTCTTGTACGTGTAAGTTATGGAGTCTCTGCTCTCAGCTTTGTTTTCAATACCAGTAATGCGTAATATTACTTGTAATTTCAATACATGTAATAGCTAATACTTTTTTGTGCTCCCTTCTTTAAATACTTTGGCCACAGATTTCCAACAGATTTTGAACAAAATGCAATCAAAATTTAGAAGACTCATTTACAAAAATATCCACTGCCACGTTTAGAGACTTAGGTTTTACTTGTAAAGTTGACCTGCAAAACTCAACCATTTCTAAATGCAATTGATGGCAGGCAGCCAAGGAAGCATGCTTAGCCTGCTATGCTCACTTTTTAAATTCAAATATGGAAGTTTACTGTAGGACCCTCAGATGGTGTGAATAAAGGCAATGGAAATGCCTACATCATGTAGATGTAGACTCATCCGTGATTTGAATTTAAAAATTGTTACAAGCAAGAACATTTTAGTCATCATGATGCTTTCTTTTCTTTCTTCTTTTCGTTTTATTCTTTTTATTTTTCAATTTCAGCATCATATTTCTCAATTTCTTCAGGATTTAAATTCCTGAGGGATTGATCTCGCCTGGTGACAGCAACTTCAATGTTTCTACCACCTGAGGCACCCACTTCCAAGAGCGCCTTCATCACCAGCCTAAGGGTCAGGCCACACCTTTCCATGGCTTCATCCCTTACTTCTTCTCCAGGCACTCACTCACTGCCTTGGTGCCCGGCCTGCAGCACTGGCCCTGCAGGCACGGTGTATACCTGAGGGGTCACCCTGATAAAGTCTAGGGGTGCCATCAAAATCAAAACCAACCATGAGGGCACAGGGGCCCAACAGCCCGGCCCATGCTTGACCCATAAGGCTGCTCCAGACAGTGGAACTATGAAGTGGAGGCCTACCAAACCTACCCCAGCCAATGTATGTTAGTTCAGCCACTGTGAAGAGTAGTTTGAAGATTTCTCAAAGAACTTAAAACAGAGCTGCCATTCCACCCAGCAATCCCACTATGGGGTATATACCCGAAGGGAAGTCATTCTACCAAAAAGACACATGCACTTGTATGTTCATTGCAGCACCATTCACAATAGTGAAAACATGGAATCAACCCAGGCGCCCATCAGTGGTGGATTGGATAAAGAAAATGTGCCACACAAACACCTTGGAATACTATGCAGTCATAAAAAAATTAAATCATGTCCTTTGCAGCAACATGGATGCAGCTGGAGGCCATGCTCCTAAGCAAACTAATGCAGAAACAGAAAACAAATACTATGTGATCTCACTTATAAGTGGGAGTTAAATATCGGGTATACATAGACATAAAGATGGGAACAGAGCACTGTGAAATACAAGAGGGGAGAGGTAGAGAGGAGGGCAAGGGTTAAAAACTACCTCTTGGGTACCATGCTCATTACCTGAGTGATAGATTCATTCATACTCCAAACCTCAGCATCATGCAATTGACTCGTAACAAACTGCACATGTACCCCTGATTCTAAAATAAAAGTTGAAGAAAAAAAACCTACTCTGACTTATTTTAATGTGACCATTAATAATATTTCCTCATTAAGGAATGGAAGACCTGGGACCAATATTAAACCATGTAGAACCCCAGAAAAAGGCTTAAACCAGGACGGTCCAGGACAAGCAGGAATTTTGTATTTCCTCCATAAGGGAAAAGGTAGAACAAAGAAAAATGTCTTCTCCCATTTTATCTAAAGTGTACTCTGAAAGGAGTCATCAAAGTTGTTCCCTTCTATGGGTCTCTTAGCATATCACTCAAGTTGTTAAATCCGATTTTTGTGTTTAATCCCATGAAATACTGTGATTTTTTTCAAGAATTTTAATGTTCTGTAAAACAGACGTCTACAGTTATTATGAATATTTTGATTTTCACTCAATTTCATTCTGTATTTCTTTATTCTCTGAATATGAGCCAATAACATAATTAGCAATTTATGCAATAATGGCCATAACACCAAGAAGATAAATACATTATAGACAGCCCCAGAAGATATAGGAATGGATCCAATTTAAAATCCGGAGCAAACTGGAAGTTGAGGCTGTTCCTGGAAATTAATCAATACATGTTGGACAAGGTGCAAATTTTACTGATTGACATTGTAGAAGAAGAGACAGTGGCTATTGGAGATCTAGTGGAGTGAGTTTCACTATTGCACAAGGGAAAATAAAAGAAACCTTTTTACTGGAAACACATCTTTACTTGTACCCTTACTTTGAAAGAATTAACCAATTAAGGCTGTCAAGCTGCTTTGACAATAATTTTTCAGTGATGGGACCAGGTTGACTTAATTGACTTCTTATTTTTGCATCATACAGACTATCTGTGTTTTGTACAATGAAAACACAAACTAACCTACATCATGCATGTGCTTAAACTTTTTTATGTTTTTATTTTTATTTATTTATGTATTTTTACCATCAAATTTACATAAGCATGCTTAAATATTTTTAGTAGCTCTACATTGCCTACAGAAAACACATGTCTAAACTCCTTCAACTGGCTCTTCATGAGGAAGTCCCTCCTTGCTTTTAGCCTCTTCTCACTTCAGCCCCACCACACCACAGGCCGGCTGCTCCCCTACACACCCACGAGCTTCATGGATGCTTTCTCCATCTCTAAATACCTATCCTGATCTGTGACCACATGGCTCACCTTCAAGATTCAGGCCATGCCTTATTTCATCTCGAAAACAACTTCCAACACCTCTTGTCCATTTCCACCCCAACCTGGGCATAGCCCAGCCCCTCCCTGGGCCGCCTCTGCCCCCACCAACCTGTGGTGCACTCCTGTTTGTGGACCTCATCACACAGTATTAGGTGATTGCTTTGCCTATCACCCCTAGACCCGAGCTTTATGAGGGCTGGCTGCCAGGACTGTGTCCCTGGAATCACACACAGTTCCTGGCCCAAGGTGGAGACACTCAGGAAGTGTTGGGTAGATGAAAGAATTTGGATGGATTCAAGCTCCAAGAATTAAACTTATTGCTTTACAAGAATCACCTCCCGTTTAACTTTCAGAGTCAGACTTCATCCAATGCTTGAAGCTGTATCTGATGACATGTTTTCTAGTTTAAATGGTAGTTTCATAAATGGTGCCCAAGTCTCTAATCAATCAAATAGTATTGTCCAGCAGCGGGGGAACAGCCAGACACCTTCCATTCTCATAGCTTTGAAAGTGTCTAAAATAGAGCGGCTTGGGGAGCAGGAATCAAAGACACTTTCTTCCCTTTTCAGCAGAGCTTTCTGAACATCTGTGTATTATTGTAAGGAGAGACACAGAGAGATGAGACCACAAACCAAAAGTTACACCCTTCTGGTCTGAAAGGTTTGGACAGACACTAGTGTTTCTGGAAGACAGAGAATCCACAAACATAAGAATGTGGGTGTGAATGTTTGCACACAAAGAAAGGCACGTTTTGAAAGCACGTTTGCAGACCACGGTGTGAAATAAAAACTGTTGAGACTTACCGGTAAGAGCACACGTCAACTGTGGGGCTCTGACTGCAAGAAGGGGACGCAGAGGACTCAGCAGAAAGCGAGACAACTCCTGCTCCCATGGACCCACAAAACAAAGCACTAAACAGACTCCATAGTCATTTTCCTTACACGTCATTTCCTGGTAGAATTCCCACCTCCTAAGAGGAAACCTCCGTGACCACATAAGAAAAAACATTTTTTAATTTCATTCCAATTTTTAAATGAGTCCAAACTAAAACAAAGATTTTATGACTCTCCCTCTCAGTCTGCCATGCGGATTTCCGCCTCTGACAAATGCCAGGAATCCTTGTGGCTACTTTAGATGTTCAAACCATTTATTAAGAAGAATGAGAGGGTGCCATGTCGGAAATCGGGCTCCAGAAAGGTAACTGTGGCCACCACTTTGGATGCCAGCCAGAAGAAGACTTCTTGGCAATGAAGCAGGCAGTTTTAGGAATTTCACAATTGTTTAAACTCTCCTGTGCAATTTAAGAAAAGTATTTGCAATGGCAAGGAGGTACCATAGAGCTGGAAATACAGATGGAAGTATTCTCTCCACATAATTGTATTATGCTGAAAATGAAAACTAAAACCTGATAAAATGCTGCCATTATCCACCAGAAGCTCAGACAGAAGCCAATCTCATTCAAAGGATTATCAGGCCCTTGGATAAGAGGAAGAAGAATAAACTGAAGGTACATTTTGAAGAGCACAGACTTGTTAATATCCCATCTAATTGGTATCGGACTTTTGGTGGGAGGAAAAGGTATATACTCTGTATCAGATGCTATTGGCTTTAAACTAAGTAGTGACTGGACATCTAGAAGATCATCTCCTCTGGAAACGTGTGGGTTAAGGATTGAATATCACTAAGGGCACATGTGGATGGGAAATAGAGAGGGGGGAATAGAAGTTAGATCATTGATTAGCTGGCAGCCAGATGAAAGAATAACTTGCTAGTGATGGGGGCCACTCAGCTATCTAGACAGAAATCTACTCCTAGGGTCTAGTGCAGTGCCTGGGACACACACGCACATAAAAAGTGAAAGTCTTGTTTAGTTAAAAGTAAGGCATATTTTTTAAAAATGTGTATCGAATCAGGTGAAGAGCAAAAAAGGTCCATACCCGAGTTAAGAGTATTGGATCAATGTTAGTGCCCAGGTTTTCAAATATGTTCTATGGTTATGTAAGACACTATCATTTGGAGAAGTGTGGGAAATCGCTTGTATTTCATTTCAAAATAAAAGTTATAATAATAATAATTTACAAACAGAAAGGTGGAAGATAGATTCTTGACATGCCACATGTAGAAGATGACTGAGTCTCCAAAAGCCTGGACCCAGAATGGCCAAGTGGAGGAAGGCTGTCCCACTGACCTACTGACAAGCCCAGTACCATCCTGAGCATGACAAATCAACTTCCTTATTATTGCCATTACATGTTTGGGTGTCTTTTTCCTGCAACCTCACCTACCCAAACTAACAGGGTCCCGCTCCTTCTTCTCCTGCTAGCCCATTAAATAGTTGGAAAACCACTCTAATAAAACTTAACATTGGCCTCTGGAAGAGTAGGAAGGAGGGCAAACTTTCAAAGGAGCTAAGCTTGCAAAAACACTCTGAGGACAATGGAAATGACTGTCTTGAGTTATACTCAAATAGCAGGTGCTAGAGAGACAGAAATTTGGCTACAGAAGCTGCATTTTTTAAAGCTGCCTTTTGGGTTGAGACAGGAAGACTTCTTAGAGCAGGGCAAGGTCACCTTGTCATGCAAATATAAGAAGCCCACGCGCCCTTTACCCTGGAAGGGAGAGGGAGGGGCCTTTGTGGCCTGGCAGAGGCTGCCTTTGCCCCTGTGGTTTGCAAGGGTGGGAAGGTTAGTAAACCTGTACTGGAGACCAAGGATCCTGCTGTTGGGAATGAAATGGGGACTCCGCTCTTCCCTTTAGCGTTTCAGCATTGAGGGACCACTTTACTGGGCCCGGCATGCTCTGGTTGATGTCTGCTGTCAGGAAAAGCACCAAGGCCCACAGAGGAGAACTGACTACAGGGAAGGGGAAGCGTGGCTGGCAACCTTATCTCACACCAGGGTCTGGCGGATCTTGAGGGGAGGGCTCTTTCTGTCCCAAAGGGTGGCTGAGCTTAGATGGCCCTTCTAACCCAGCTACCCTGGTGTTCACAGACTACCTTGGGACAGTGCATGGCTTGAGAGTGTGAACCCAAGGGCTCTAGCCTTGGAAGGCCAACAGTGGAGCACAATACATCAGGAACTAGCAAAGGCATGGACTGGCCAAAGCCCCATTACAGTAGTGCACAGGGCAATAAACTGGTGCCAGGATAAGTGGCACAAGTGGGTTAACCAGATTCTCTGACACTGTCTACACCAAACAAGAACAGCACTTGGACTGTGTACCACCCTGGGAATCCTGAAAACCTGACACTGGTGAGAGGCAGGGAGGGCAGATGTTTCAGAGGAACTGGATACCCTGCTAATTTAATATTCATAATTTGTATTCATAGTTAATATTCATAATTTAATATTATATTTTAATATTTGACCCTTTAAAATAGCCATGACCATTTTTGCACTTTCAAGCTATATAGTGGATCGTACCAGCTTCCCAGGGAAAACCCGTTAGGAAAGGAGAGACCTGCAGTCAAAACCTACAGGGTAAGGTTGACAGATGGCAAAAAGCAAGCAGGGAGATTGCATCTTCTTTTACAAATATAGTTATATTTAGGTCAAAAAAAGTAACATAAATGTTAGTATGAGGGAGTGGGACCCCAGTGTAGACAGCGTATAAGAAAGCAGTGAGTGTTCCTATTGAACACTCTTCTCCTAATCTGTACAAATAATACCCAGGCCACAGGCAGAAGCAACCTTTACCAGCAACCACGGAGGACAACTGGGGCCAGAAGAAGGGCCGAAGACCAGAGGCGGGCAAGTGGCATTTCAGTTTCCTGAAAGAGGAAAAAGGTAGATTCTGAAAACCATGCAATTTCAATCTCGGGCAAGTCACAAGAATAGATCATTTAAAGACCTGGGTGAGTAGTAGAAGCTTCGATAGGCTCACTGAGAGCAAGCCATTGCAGATGAACCACGTTTCTTTTTCCAAATTGTTAGAGTAGTAGCTCAGAGAAATGTGACTGACGTAGAAAATGTTGACATCAGAGAAACATTTGACAAAAGCACAATAAAATATTGGCAACATGGGGATATTTGGGGTTAGAGGCCACTGAGTCGATGAATGACTGAATCAAAATGAGTGGGTTCGGTTCATTAGTGATGTGTCATAGGCCTCAGAGCTGGACGTTGTCTCATTCAACTTTTTTTAATGATGTAAATGAGAATATAAATTACAATTTACTACAATTGCTGAAGCTGGGCGGAATATCAGAATCCAAAATTACCTCAAGTTGAATCAAAGGACCAACGAACACCATAGAAATGGAAAAAAGTTCCTTAACAGTTAGCTTTTTATTGCTATTCTTAGTGCCAATTTTTTTTTCTAATCATAGCCAGAGCCAAGGCTAGAAATTTAAAACTATTTTGTAAATTTAGTAAATCATTTCCAAATTATTCTGGTAGGGAATGCATTGCTCACTGCACAACTGTACATAGTAGGAAATTACATCCATTTTCAAAGGCAAATGTATTCCTAAATCTTTCAAATTTAGTGCCCTTCAACTTTCAGTAACTCAAGAAAACTAAAAGAACTTTATATTATTTTTCTTAATCCTCTCAGCAGAGATCTTTTAAATAAAACTTTCGTGCTAAACCATCATTTCTTAAATGGATATTTCATTGAATACTATCCCATTAAAGGTTAATAGTATAGCATGAAGAAAGTGTTCCACAGTCAAATAGATTGAGAAACCCTGGGTCAAACTTGGCTGTCAGACTTCATTTCTGCAGGAATTCTCAAAGCCTTTGAGTTTAAATATGCTAATGTGAAAAGAGCTCAAAGAAGGGGGTACAGCAGAGGTCCAGTCTACAATCCTCAGTCCTCAGGCCAAGTATGACTCAATGCCTGTTTCTCTTGGAACACAGCCACACCTATTCATTTACATATTAACTCTGGCTCTGAGGACAGACTTGAGTAGTTGCCACCAGGACTGTATGACCCTCAAAGCCTAAAATATTTACTTTTATCTCACCCTTGACTGGAGACATTTGCCAACCTCTGGGCTATAGTATGCAGTGTTCTTGAAATTTGTCTGGCCACAGAATAATTTTGGGGAGCACACCTATTATGAAGATTAATTTTTGTGTGTCAACTTGACTGGGCCACAGGGTGCCCAGATATTTGGTTTCACATCATTCTGGGTGTGTCTGTGAGGGTGTTTCTGAATGAGACTGACCTCTGAATTGGTAGACTGAGAAAGCAGATAGTTCTCCCAAATGTGGGTGGATCTCATCCAACATGTTCAAGACTCAAATACCACAAAATGCTGAGTAAGGGAGAATTCACTCTGTCTGACCGTCTTTGAGAATAGGCCTTCTGCATTTGGACTCAGACTCAAGCTAGAATTTACACCATGGACTCTCCTGCTTCTCAGGCCCTTGGACTTGGATTGGAAGCACACCTTTGGCTCTCCTGGGTCTCCAGATTACTGACTACAGATCTCAGGGCTTCTCGGCCTCCACAATCATGTGAGATTGGTTCTGTTTCTCTGCAGAACCGTGACTAACACAGATGTTGATACCAAGAATAGTTCTAGAGAACAGAATAGAATGTTAAGTATGAGTTTTCTGAATTGGTTCTGGGGTTTCTAGAATTGGCTCTCTAAGCTGACTAGATTTAAAGCTTCCAGTAGTAAAGAGAGCATTGAGAGTCCATGGTGTGACCTAGCAATAGAGATGTGCAGAATAGCTCCACTGGATACTCTAATCAGCCACTTTTAAGAAGCAAGGATGACTATGTGTGTGATATTTTCAAACACTTTTTTTAAAACTAATGAATGTAATGAGACTGGCATCAGTCAATGGGCTGCTGACTTCTGGTTATAAAAGGGAAAAAGTTCCTTGGTTGTCACAGTTGACATCAGTCAGTGATATCGTATTGATAACTGACATCACACTTTCACTGAAATGCATACTGGTATCGCATCCTCAGCTGACACCGAGAGATGCCCTATAGAACTCTTCCATGGCAGTTGCAACTGTATTGTGTTTATTGCCCATTATGATAACTGGTTGCTTTGCATCCAGTCTTGCACCCTCCAATACCTTCTCTATTCTGCAGCCAAGATGGTCTTTTTAACATTCAAATTTGATTATACCTCTATCTTGCTCACGACCCTCCAGCGGCCTCCTGCAGCATGAACAGATAATCATGCACTAAACTCCGCGCCCCCTTTCCAGAGTTGAGCTATTGCCGTGAAGTGGCTGCCCAGCCAGGGACTGCATTTCCAACCCACGTTGCATTTAGGCAGGGTGTTGTGACCACTTGCCAGTGAGTTATGTAGAAACAATGGTTCATTTTGGAGGTCAGAATGATTAAGACATGCTTCTTCTCCACTTTCTCTCTCCCCTCCACAGTTACAGGTTGGCTGTAGAAGACATAGGAGACTCATGACAGAATCACCACTGGGAAAGCTGCCCAGCCATCAGAAACATCCCATTAGGCTAATAGGGGAGTAAGGAGAGTAAGCTACAGTGTGCACTGAGCTACTGAAACCCCGAGGTTTATCACAGCAGCGGAGTGTTCTAACTATTAATAACACAATTTATGTTGGATACAGTCCAGAATCCTTACTGTGGCACTCCACCATCTGACACAGCACTTGCTCTGTTCTCTCATCACTCCAACTATACCAGACAATGACACAGACAAGTATAGGTGTCTCCATTGGTCTTCTGTCTGCCTTGCCTGGCAACTTCCTCCTCTACTCTTTGCCTGATGAATTACTGTCATGCCATGGAGAAATGACTTTGGATGTCACCTCTTCAGAGAGACCTTCCCTGACCAGCCCATAGAAAAAGTCCCCCTGGCATACATGCCTGTGCCTCTGTTCTTCCTCATCCATAGCACTCCTTGGACTTGTCAATAATTGCACATCCTGCCAGGCTGTGAGCTCCAAGAGGACAGAATCATTTCTATCTGGTTTATGACATATCTTTCTGGTCACTAGGACAGTGTCAAGTATGTAGAAGGCAATCAATGAATATCTGTTGAGTGCATGAATGAATGAACTGATATTGTGAGAATAACCCTGAGTGTCCCTGTTTAGGAAGATCCAAGGAAAATGTCACTTCAGGCTGTCGAATTCCTAGCAATTTTTTAAAAATTCTATTAACAGTGTTATTCTTACACAATCATCTTTCTGTCTTTGCGTTTGCCTCTAGGAAACTCACAGACGGAATTACAGCTCGTTTTTAAGAACCACACAAGCCCTGAGGGCATGCCATACTGGATAATCTCTTAATCTAGCTCCATGTAATTATTGAATCCTCCCTCTCTCATTCTGAGTTCATTATTCTTTATCCTCAGAGAGTGAAAGTACTTTTGTGGACTTCTCAAGTGCTTTTCTGTACAGAGTGGCATAAAAATTTTAGTTTCATTCTGAATGAGAGGGTTGGCCTGTAATTTCCCCATGCTTATACTAACTTGGGAATAGTTCAAAATTTATTTCTGCCTTTATTTTGCCTATAAATATTGAATCTTCCCTGATACAACTTAGAACAAAGCTGCTCTGAATAGATTTAAGCCACATCACTTATAACAAAGGTCACTATGACAGAGGCAGCTGTTGAAAATACTCCTCAAAAATCAAAAAATTTAAAGATGACAGAGCTAAAAAGAGTCTCAGGGGGTCATATAGTCTAATTCCCTCACATCACAAATGGAAAAGCTAAAAGCCAGGGAGGTCCAATGACTCTCCCAAGACTGTGCATACAGTGACTGGAGCTGGGCCTCTGGCTCTGGTGAACTTGCTCCTAAATCAATGTTCTTTTTACAGCAATCCCCCCCACCCCTGCCTTTTTGTTACTTCATGCCGGGGTGTAATAGGATGAAAAATGCCCCCTCACCCCAAGATATCCACATCCTATTTCTGGGAACCTGTAAACGTTACCTTATGGCCAGCCGCGGTGGCTCACGCCTGTAATCCCAGCACTTTGGGAGGCCGAGGTGGGTGGATCACAAGGTCAAAAGATCAAGACCATCCTGGTCAACATGGCGAAACCCCACCTCTACTAAAACTACAAAAAATTAGCTGGGCCTGGTGGTGCGCACCTGCAGTCCCAGCTACTCAGGAGGCTGAGGCAAGAGGATTGCTTGAACCCGGGAGGCAGAGGTTACAGTGAGCTGAGATTGTGCCACTGCACTCAAGCCTGGTGACAGAACAAGACTCCATCTCAAAAACAAAAACATTACCTTACAAGGCAAATGGATTAAGTTAAACGCCTTGAGATGGTGAGGTTAGCCTCGCTTATCCAGGTGGGCACTAAATGCAACCACAAGGGTCCTTGTGAGAGGGAGGTTTGATTACACAAGAGGAGAAGGTGATGCCATGATAGAAGAAGCAGAGGTTGGGATGATGGAGCCACAAGCCAAGGAATGCTGTCAGGCCTTGGAACCTGGAGCAAACAAGAAACAGACTCTCTCCTGGCACTTCCAGAGAGAGCGTAGCCTGCTTGATTATTTAGCCCAGTGATAGTGATTTCAGACTTCTGTCTTCCTATGAGAGAATACATCTGCATTGTTACAGGCCACTAATTTCTGGTCATTTGTCACAGTGGTGACAGGAAACTAATACACAAACTATAGCCTGTGACCAATTCTGGCCCATTGCCTGTTTTTGTAAATAAAGATTTATTGGAACACAGCCTTGCCCATTCCTCTGTGCAGTATCTATGACTGTGTTAGTTGCAGAGTTGAGTGATTGCCACAGAGACCATATGACCTGCAAAGCCAAAACTATTTACAATCTGGCTCTTTACAAAAAAAGTTTGCTTTTAATGAATTCCACCTTTTCACATATTTTCATTGTCCTTTTGGACTAAAAATAATACATATTCATTATACAAAGTTAAAACATTAACAAATCATATTCCCTAGAAAGTAAGTGTCCCCTACAATTGTTATTAAAAGTTGGGAGTATATGCTTCAATTTGACATTTACTATTACTGATGCTGTTAATCAGTTTTTCTTGTCTTCAGATATTCACAAATTACAAGACTAAACACTTCAGAAAGATAATATAGCTGGGAAACTTTTCAGTGAGCGAGCCAAGGGCAAAGAGAAAAGCATGAAACTGACGGGTTCCCAAGGTGCTCGCAAGACACTCTCCCTGGAGCACCCCAGAGGGAGCAAGTGGAGTAAGTGGCTGTGGCTCGAGTCTTTGCCTTCACCAGACCAGGTCCAGATCCAGATCCCCTCCTTTCCGGAGGAATCATCCCTTAGCCTCTCTGGGCATCAGTTCCGTCATCTGTAAAATGGACATAAAAAGACACGCAGAGCAAGGTCTCATGTAACAAGTACAGAGACAACACTGTGAAACCCTGGCAAAGTGCCCAGTACACAGTCACACTGCATAGAAACAGCTGCCATCACTTTTAGTAAATGAAACAATATTCAAGGCAAAATATTCAAAGCAAATGATTTAAAAAAAAACTGCACAAAAAGTTAATTTTTTTCTAAAAAAAGCTTAATAAAAGCAATGCATGGTTATTGTAGATAATTTGAATTTGACAAAAATCATAAATTTTAAAAATTAAAATTATCTTTTAATCTCACCACCCTGAAATTGCCTTGTTTACTATTTTTTCACATTTCCTTCCAGTCCTTTTTCTAAGTGCATGTATCTGTGCCTATTTATAACAAAAGTTGAATCCTATTATGTGTAAAGTGTGTGCTTGGCTTTTTAAAATTAAACCTGTATGTGCCATTAAATATTTTTGGAAAATATTTTAATAACTTCTCATGTGTTCCCCAGAGATATATTTCAAGCATTTTAATTCCACAAATACATCCCAGGCACCTATCACATGTCAGACATTCTGGCTGATGTTGAAAGGGTAAAAGAGGAATGGATGTTTTTCCTGCTCTCAAGGAGCTTATAATTTTGTAAGAAATGAAAGAGCAAGCAGGCACTTTTGTAGTCCATAATACAAGGTAGGCTCAAATAAGTACAATTTTTAAAAAATACAGTGGGTTTAGGTGTGAGTACAAAGTGCATTTTTCTCCCCCTTCTTTGAATTTTCTGTTGGCTATTTCCTCAATAGAATTTGCAAATAAGTTACTATCATTTGAGGAGTAACAGAGCTAGCAAGAACGTTCTTTGCCAAGAAAGGAGAATTTTCCTCCCAGTGAGCACTCTTTGGGAGGTATTTTGAAAAATGCAGCACGTCCTTTTAAAGAGAGAGGAAATGAGGAGATTGTCGTGTCTGTCTCACCTTAGATAATAAATGCTGGGTCGACATCAGAAATTGGAAACAAATTCTAGGAAAACCTCTCTGAAGTTTCCACAAGGTGATCCAATTAAGATATGACTGGCAGCCATGAAAAGCTTTGGTCCTGCCAAACCACAGAGAAATTTTAGATGTAGAAACACAAGAAATATCTTTCTGGATAACCAAATATTTTTTAAAAGAGCCATATAGTGTAGGCTTAAACTTCCAAGACATCATTGACTATTTTTCTTGCCCTCCAGCCAAAGATAACCTAAAACAAGGGAAAACACTGGCTATCCCACGAAAGCCAGACAAGTAAACAGAAATTTGCAATGAATCTTTCTTAGCCTCCGCAAAGGCCAAGTTGAAAATCCATCTTCAGCACATTGGAATGGAATCTCTTAGGTCAACTAACAAGACCCCGCCTTGCAGGGGTGCTGACACCGAACCACTCCGGAATCTCCTGCGACATGTGCCTCCATCTGCCATCATAAAGTACTGTGTCAACTAGGCTCCAGATGCTCTGGGCATCTTCTGAATGCTTCCAACTTCCCCTGACTGCAGAGAAGACCCAGTTCCCACTCCAACAACAGCTGGTGCCATATATGATGAAACTGTCATGGAGGCATCCTTGAGTCAGATTACCCCACATGACAAGGAATGGAGGCCAAGAGAAGTCGCCGTCAAATCCCCTCCTCTTAAGCAGGAACATCACCCTCACATGAGAACCCTTAAAAAGTCAGACTCCTGACTCCTTCCCATTCTTGAGTAGTCACACTGGGGCCAAGTGGAATATCCTGGGAACCTAGGAAAATCTCCTCAAAACAGGCTACACAAATTGATTGCTTAATAAAATCTCCTCGTTCTTCTTGAAAGACATTGTTTTATGGACATTTCAATTGTATTCTTAAACCTGTCCCATCAGGTAGAACATTTTGAGATCATGGAATGTTTGTTGAGTTTTTGCTTTGTTTTGTTTTGTTTTTTGAGATGGAGTCTCCCTCTGTCACCCAGGCTGGAGTGCAGTGGTGCGATCTCGGCTCACTGCAACCTCCGCCTCCCAGGTTCAAAGTGATTCTCCTGCCTCAGCCTCCCGAGTAGCTGGGACTGCAGGTACCTGCCACCACACCTGGCTAATTTTTTGTATTTTTAGTAGAGATGGGGTTTCACCATGATAGCCAGGATGGTGTTGAGTTTTGACTGAGCAGAATTAAATGTTTCTGGAATGAGACTGGGCATCACTGAGTCAAGAGAACCACAAAGCGCATCTCCAGTCACTGATGGTGTTGGTCTTTCTCATTTCAGGTGTTCGGGCAGGCATGTCATAGTGTCTTATGATAAATTGTGCATTTCCCTGGTGGCTGATGATGTTGAGTACATTTTCATATAACCATTGGCCATTTGTATATGTTCTTTTGTTTTGTCAGTTTTTTGCCCATTTTTAAAAAATTGGGCGTCTGTCTTTTTATTATTGTGTTACAGGAGTTCTTTACATATTATTGATACAAGTCCTTTGTCAGATGTATGTGTTGCAAATATTTTCTCCCAGTCTGCAGCTTGCCTATTGATTTTTCTTGATGGAGTTTTTCAGAATTTTGATGAAGTTTCATTTACATACACTGTTTTCTTTTATGACTTGTGCATTCTGTAACCTCCCCAATAAATTTTTGCCTACCTGAAGGTCATGAAGATACTCCTCTGGGTTTTCTCCTAGTAGCTTTATTGTTTTAGATATTATATGTAAATATTATACCCATCTCAAATTGATTTTTAGATATGGTACAAAGTAGGAATTGAGGTTATAGACACACACAAAGGGATATATATATACATATATATATATGAATATCCCATTGTTTCCATACAACTTAGTAAAGAGATTTTTCTATGTACATTAAATTGCTTTCACACTCATCAAAAATTATTTGGACATCTATTTGTGGGTGGTGCGTCTCTGGGCACTCTATTCTGTCCCACTGACTGACATGTACAGGCTTCCACCAGTGCCACCCAGACCTGATGCGTAGTCTTAAAGTCAAGTACTGTGAGTCCAGAAACTTTTTTCTTCTTTTCCAAGATATTTTAGGCTATTGTTGGTCCTTTGCTTATCCAGACAAAACTTAAAATTGTCTTGTCAATTTCTGAATAAAAGTCTTCAGGCTATATAGTAAAGGCACAGAAACAAGGCTTTGCTATGAAAAACATGAAAGAAACTTTGAGGTGAATATCCTGGTGGCAAGCATGTGGGGGAGGAGAACAAATGACAAAGTAAGGAACATGAGCCAGTGTGGAGGGTGCTCCATGGACTGACATGCCCTACCCCAAGAATCATAAGTTGAACCCCTTACCCCTAGTGTAATGGTATTTGGAGGTGGGCATTTGGAAGATAATTCAGTTTGTATGAGGTCATGTGGGTGGAGCCCTCATGATGGGATTAGTGCCCTTATACAAAATCATGCCAGAGAGCTTGCATCCTCTCCCATCTCCACTATATGAAGACACAGCAAGAAGGCAGCCACCTGCAAGCCAGGAAGAGAGCCCTCACCAGGAGCCAATCAGCCTGCCTCCAGAGCTGTGGGAAATAAATCACAGTAGTTTAAGCCACCCAATCTGCAATATTTTGTTATGACACCCCAAGCTGACTAACAGGCTTTAGGCATAGAGGGGAAATTATCATGTGCCTTAAAGCTGACAATTTAATTTGATTCAAGGGGCCATTAGAACTTACAAATGGCAGATTGATCACAAGCATTATCTCCATTCCCTTCCAAAACCCCACTCAAATAACAGCAAAGGAAAATAGTAAACCCATAAATGCTAAGAGAATGGCAGAAGAGATAATTCAATCAACTTTTTGAAGGTGAAAAGCACATGAGGCAATAGTAACTAATCTAAATTTAACAGAGAAAGCTAAAACCAAGAGGCTGCAGAGGATGCCAAGGAGTAGCAAGGATTTGTTCTGCTGAGCCCTGGAAAGGATCAGGAACTTGAGGCAATGGCTCCCATAGACACATGGGACTAAGACAGGAGCAGGGAGGCCACTGGATCCCTTTCCCAGCAGCCACAGAAGGGCAGCATTGTCAAACAGGAATATAATATGAGCCCTGGATGTAATTTTAGATTTTCCAGCAGCCACATTGAGAAAGGTAAAATTAATTTTAATAATATACTTTACTTAACCTAATATATCATTATTTCAATGTGTAATCAATACTTTACAAATTGAGATAAGGTATAATCAGTACTTTAAAAACTGAGATATTTTACTGTTTTTTGTAATGTCTTCAAAATCAGGTATGTATTTTACACTCACTGCACATCTCAATTCTGACCAGCCACATTCCCAGTGCTCAGGGACCATCAGTGGTGAGAGGTTATGGTATTAGACAGCATCAGTCTAGTGTAACACAACTAAGGAGACCCTGAGCACAAAGACTCAGGCATGGGGAGAGTTAGGCATCTGGAATGAACTGAAAACAGAAGCTCTAAATAAAAACCTTCATTCTGAACAGTGATACTCACAGCTTCCTCTCACCCCCAAACCAGAACACAAACAATGAATCTCTTCTCTCCCCAGCCCCCAGTTCAGGAGATTTGGTCCTTTTCAGTACCTTGGAAGAAAGAGAAGCAATTTAGAGGGCAAAATTAAAACTTCAGAAGTCAGTAAACTCAAAGAATTAATAGAAGATATCACGTCCCTAAAGCAGTACCAGGATACCCTAAAAATGAGGAAGATATTTTGAAAATTAAAAATAGTACAGCTAAGTAAAAATGTCAACAGAGGGTTGGATTTAAAAAGACAACATAATCCGGCAGACAGGAGGAAAGATAAAAAAAATGAACTACAGAAGAGAAAAAGATAAGCAATTAGAGGATTAAGCCAGGAGATTCAACATGCAAAGGAGTTCAAGAAAAAGACAGTAGAAAAGACACTGACAGGAAATTAACAAAGAAAAATATGAGAAAAATTTCCTGGAAGTGATATCTGACTTTCAAAAGTATGTGCATATATTACTTCGATAACATTAAAATTTATTTAAAAACAAAAACTATTATAAAAAGAAAAAAAAAGAAACCATTAGACTTTGCTGTGGTATCTAAGGATGGGGGTAATGGGGTTATCGATCCTTCATGATGAACACAATTTCTGTTCCTAGCACCTGGTAAGTATTAACTGACCAGAGCAGCAAAGCCATCGGAGAGGTTGCCTCCCTGTTTCCCACCCCACCCCTTGTTCTATGGCACTGCTTTAATGCAACAACAACCAAAAATCCTCTGGGCTTCACATTGCAGAAAATCTCTTTTGTACTTTAAGGCATTTTTGTTCACATTCAGAATCTGTGGTCTAGACATTTCTTTGGCACTTGTCATCATCATCCCAGGGAAATGGAACTCAAATGAAAGGAAGGGTGGGGAGTGCCTTAGAATAATCCCCTGGAAGAAGAAACTGCAGAGCACATTCCCGCCCTCAATAGGCAGGCCTGGCTCCAGTGCTGACTGTACCAAGGGTGCAGGGTGGGAAGGGCAAGGAGGTGGTCTTGGAATCCCTGGGACCGGGGGAGTGGCAAGGGGGTGAGTCCATGGATGCCCTCAGTGGGTCCCTGTCTTCAAGGGCTCCCACATCAGAACATGCAGAGGACTCTAAAGGCAAGGTCCAGGAATCCACCTTTAACGGGAACCCCACCCCTCCATGTTACCCCCATTCATTCTCTTGCACACCTGCCAAAATTAGAGGACCACTGGGACACATAGGAGCACTGGAATTGGAATCACAATGGTACTTCTTCCAAATGCAGACATCTGTGATCCACCCCCAAATGTATTAAATGAAAATCTGCTAGGCACAGTGGTTCACCGGGTGTGATGGTGTGCACCTGTGATTCCAGCTACTCGGGAGGCTGAGGTGGGAGGACCGCTTGAACCTAGGAGGCCAAGGCTGCAGTGAGTTGAGATTGCACCACTGCACTCCAGCTTGGGTGACAGAGCAAGACCCTGTCTCAAAAAAAAAAAAAAAAAAGACAAATATATATATATGTATATATAAAGAGAACAGAGTGCTGAGAGTGATTCTCATGTGCTCCTCTACTTAAAAATCTCTGGATCGATGGCTCTCAAACGCATATATATTTTAGAATCTCCCAGGAAATATTATAAAAATGAAAATACCTAGGTTCCATGTCTTCTGAGTTGTGCAGTCATGAGTGAGGCCCAGGAATCTGCATTTTGACTGGCTCCCCATGATATTAGATGCAGGTAGTCCTGAGAGCTCACTGCTGAAAAACACAGCTGTATGCTCTGGAGCTTACATTTGCCTCAGACCACATCTCCAGAAGACCCCTTTGGTGTGCACCCATCTTCCTCAATGGGCTGAAAGAATCTTACATGGGAATCTGGGTTCAAATATCCAGATACTTCCCCAGCAAACACTCATCCGATTGCACCTACACTCACAGCTTAAAACAAGACAGGTTGAGAACTTTAGGCTCAGGACTTTTTACCCCATTTGCTTCTTGCTGACCTTGAGGATGTGCGGCTGGGAGAAGTACTTATGTTGTCCATTTATTTAAACCATCTCTGCCGGAAAAAAAAATAGGCTCATCATATGCTTGGGACCTTTATGTTATGACGGTGGGTGGTGTGGCCATATGTGTGAGTATATGTATGTATTACACAAATGCCTCTATAGACAGTGCTCAGGAATTGGATCTGTGCCAAGGGCAGATATTAAGGAGACATTTGATTAAGATCAAGCCCTGCCCAGTCATTTGAAGTGTATGTTAACAAAGAGTCAGGAAAAGGGGTCTGAGTGCCAATTCTCCAAGAACATGTGGAGGGCAGCCCCAGCTTGTGTGTGTGCTGTCCGGGAGGCAAACAACACTCCCTACCCAACTGCTGGAAACCAGATGAGAGAGTGGCCGTGCCACACTACTGCTGCAGGCGAGGGAATGGGCTTCTTGAAGAAAACATTTTGGATAAGTTCTAGAGGCCAGATAACTGCTCTGGGGAAGTTCAAAGACCTGCAGAGAGAACACAGCTCTCCCTAAAGGCAAGCGTCTGGTCATCGCTTCCCCAGGGGCATTCTCATCGAGGCCAGCACAGCTCTTCATGGAGAATCAAGACTGACAGGAATTAGAAAAATGACCAGAATGAGGCTGTCCGCAGGGTTTCCAAACAAGACAATGCTGCCTGGGCCCAGTGCCTCTGCCTGCCCTCCTGCTTCTAAAGGAGGGTGCCCCACAGGCTCTCAAATCTGGGCCCTTAATTAATCCTCCTGTGTCTCCAGTGCTCTGCATGTGAACAGCAGCAACGATCTACAAAGAAGCACTTACACCTAGAACACATTTACTAGTCCGTTCTCACACTGCTTTAAGGGAATACCTGAGACTGGGTAATTTATAAGAAAAGAGGTTGAATTGGCTCATGGTTCTGCAGGCTGTACAGGAAGTATGGCAGCATCAGCTTCTGGGGAGGCCTCTGGGAGCTTTCAATCACTGCAGAAGCCAAAGGGGTGTGAGGTGTCTCACATGGTGGGAGCGGGAGGAAAGGGGGGAGGTGCCACATACTTTTAAATGACCAGGTCTCACGAGAACTCACTCACTATCACAAGACGAACAGGGAAATCCACCCCCATGATTCAATCAACTCCCACCAAGCCCCACCTCCAACACTGGGGATTACAATTTGACAGGAGATTTGGGCTGGACACAGATCCAAGCCAGATCAACACACAAGGACAATCATCATACTCCGAAACACCTTAGGCACTAACGGGGTTACAAATCCATCTTTCGCATGGGATGTTAATGATCTGGGGAGGGCTTCTATTTGGGAAAGGTGGGTCATACAATGAGAGACAAAGTACTGAAGCTGATGTTTCCTGGCATTATGGTGGGGCATGTACACGTTTTTTTTTCTTTTTCTTTTTTCTTTTTTTTTTTTTTTTTTTTTTTTTGAGATGGAGTCTAGTTGTGTTGCCAGGCTGGAGTGCAGTGGCGCAATCTCAGCTCACTGCAACCTTCACCTTCCACCTCCAGGTTCAAGCGGTTCTCCTGCCTCAGCCTACCAAGTAGCTGAGATTACAGGCACACACTGCCATACCCAGCTAATTTTTGTATTTTTAGTAGAGACAGGGTTTCACCATGTTGGCCAGAATGGTCTCGATCTCCTGACCTTGTTATCTGCCCACCTCGGCCTCCCAAAGTGCTGGGATTACAGGTGTGGGCCACCATGCCTGGCCGTGTACAAGTTTTTAAAATAGAAAAGAGTGCAGCAATATGACAAATTCAGTCAGTCAAACCAGAACTCTCCAGGGTTTATCAATGCAATCTGATTGCAGTTAGAATTTTGCAGTGCACCAAGTATACTATCAACATATCAAAATGATATTGATGACAATGGTGATGATGACATCCTCATCATTTTCTGAGCATAGACTATGGTCCAACCCCTTAATATTTTACATGTATTTACTTTATTTATTCTTACAACAGTCCTGGTATTACCTCCACTTTATTAATGAGGAAACCGAGGCCCAGAGAAGTGAAGTTACTTGTCCAAATCCACACAACTAAAACTGAGAACTTGAGGCAGCCTTACATCAGTACCCATGGCTGTCACCACTGTTCAGTCAACACAATAGACAGTCTATCATTTTTCAGTTTTGCTCTTTGTTGGAGAAAAGAATGAAAACGGAAAGGGTTAGAATGGATTTGAGGGAAATCTGGGAGGAGTTTAAAGTCTAAAGAAAATGAGTGAAAGAGCTCTTGGATAGTTCCAGGGCCTGACAGTGATGGAGGGAAGCTCACAAGTTCCGTCTTCCTGGTAAAAGAAACTATGGAGTCAGATTGCTCCAGGGCCCAAGCCTCACTCTTGGAAACCACACTCAGATCAGCCCATGCAACACCTTTCCCCGGGGGTCGGACTGCCCCCTGAGACATCACACAGACCTCCAAGCAGGGTTTTCCATGCAGAAGCCTCTGGAGGATGAGCGCAGAGATGGAAGCCCTTCTCTCCCATGCGAATGGGCACCTGCAGCACCATCAGGCATCATTAAGGAGCATGCCGGCTGCTTTTTCCAATGGCGTTTGTGATGCTGAAGGACTCTTCTCTATGCAGATTCACCCCCGCCCCCCGCCTTTTTTTCTAATAGATTTCTTTTTACGTAACATCTATTTACATTTCATAGAAGCATTCCATGGCCCATACTAGGGGAAGCACACACTGGCTTAGGTGCTGCTGGTGATAACAAATGCAAGACCACCTCTTCCGTCAGAGATCTTACACTCCCATTTCCAAGACAGGATCAACTCACACCAAACTAGAGAACAAAGTAAGGAGAGTCCCTTCTAGCCAAAAGGTGCTCTGTGCAAACTAACAGGAAAATGGGGACATGTCCCTTACTCCAGGGGCATTTAGCCCCACACCAGGGCACACTGCTGTGAGCAGAGAGCATGGACTAGACTTTTGTCCCAGCTCATCCTCTTGGCCAGATGCCTTGTGCAGTGAGCAGCTTACACAACCTTACATGAAAATAAGACCCAATAAATTAAATATAACCCCATTTCAGTAAGTTTATTACCAATAGTTGAAAAAAGGACAAGAAGGGCATAGTTATCAAAGAACATTCCACAGCTAAATCTCCAGGTGCCCCAGCCTCACTGCAACTTCCCCTAGACTCTGCCTTCCTTCCGTTTTGCACGCATTGTCTGTGTTTCTGTCTCAAAGCCCAATTCCCCTCCCTCTCGCTGACTCGAAGACCTCTCATCTTCAGTTGACCCTTCTTTCAAGCCCCAGCAGTCTCCTCTTTCTATCAAATCATTCCAATCAATTAACAAATGCTGAGATGGCTCTCAGCTTAAAAAACAAACATTTTGACCGCATCTTTTCCAACTCTTGCCCCAATTCTCTCCACTCCCTTTCTTGGTGAAGCTCCTCAAAGAAGATGTCTGTACGGGCCATCTCCCTTCCCTGCCCCTAATCTGGGGGTGCCTCTGCAAGCCTGGCACAGACTTGGTCCCCCCAACCAGCTTAGGATACAGTGGTACCTGGCACTTACTGCACCAGGCTTGGCCTTTGGGGCATCAGTGACAACGGAGACAGAAGTACTCCCAGCTTATCCTCCTGACACATGACCATCATAACGCATGAATTCCCTGAAGCAATGAGACTCCCGTGATTCTATTTCTCTTGCTCTTCCCTTGTATTCAAGTGTCTGTCATCACCAGTCCATCACGGTCTTCAGTGCTCTTCAGCAACTTGCGAAGCATAGAAGTTCCCTAGGTCAAGGCTTACAGACTCAAATCCTTCCAGAGTCCAAGCAACAGTATGAATAGGGAGACCCACCGGGACTGAGAAATCCCAGATGAAGAGGAGTGACATGGAGGCTTAGTGCAGGGGAGCCATAGGGAGGGGTGGGGCCATTGCCAACTTGAAGGCAACAAGCCCTGCCCTGTCTGAAGGGGCAGCTCCTGCTGAGTTCAGGCCAACTGTTGCTTTGCTGGAATATGGGCTTATTGCTGTTCCAAACTCTAATTTTTCAAGAGAAGGTGGAAATCTGGCTTTTTATGTGAAATCTCCAGGTATTTAAAAGTTGGCTACTAATTCATACTTTCTTCAAAATACTGTGTGGACCAACAAACCAGAGGCCAATCAAAATACATATGGGCACCAGGGCTGGCAACAGGCCTTCAGGGTGCTACCTTGGCCTGATGTTTTCATCCTGAGTTCAACCTCCCTTTGATTATTTCTCCCAAGTTCCCCACAATTTTATTATTTCCTTTTCGTTCGCTCCAGCTCTCTTCTTGGGTCTTAGACATGGAACCAGGAGATAGATGGACAGAAAAAAATGTTCTTCCCCACATACTGAACTTAGAGATTCATTACTGATTCACATTGTAATTATGAGTCAAGAAGACTTTTTTCTCAACTTCTTTCTTATATTTCTATTCTAAATCAGAGCACAAAGAATAAACTTCCAGGGTCACCCACCAGATGACAGAGCCACCCAATGGGAATCACCCACATCATTTGTGAGCTCAAAGCCCCAAGCATACGTCTGACCAGAAAATTAAAAGGCAAATGGGACAAGCACTGAGCCAGAGGAACCAAAGACTGAGCTCTCTCCTCATTTAACACAGGGATCTCCAATGAGAATGCCTTCCACGCTTGTTACTCCTAAGAGTGATGGTTGCTAAGGCCAGGGGTGGGCCTGGGGACTGTGTGGTGCTGAGCTGTCAGCAAGGCCATTCTTACCTGCATTCACCTGCATTTCAGAAGCCTGGAAATTAGCAGAACTCCAGCGTTGCTCAGCAGAAGCTTATCCTTCTGCATCAAAGTAGTAGCTGAAAGAGCTGCCATCTTAGGTTAAGATGTTTAGCCTGCCTAAAACAGTGTATTTCTGAGGAAGAGTACATGTCACTCATTTATACTTCCTTTTTACCTTAGTATTGTGTATGTTTCAGACCTTTCCTAAGGGATATGTGTAGAAGAGAAGTTTCTCCAGGAGTCGAGAGGGGGATTCGCTGAAGAGCTTGGACACTGAGGCGCTACAGAGCATGCCGTGCTCACCAATGTCCATGGGCTCCTTCCACGGTTAGGTGGGTGGCATGATGGTTGTAGCCAAGGGCATCGCACTTCTGATTCAGGTGGTTAAGAACCTGGTGCTCCTTTTACTCTTTCTCTTCTGTCCACATGACTAGAAGTACCTGAGCCAACTCAGATCACAAAGCCACACCATGATCCCTGAGTCACTGCTTGGAGGACCACTGCCATGGAGCCACCCCGTTCTCGACAGACTTTGCACACCTGAGAAACACACTTGTATTCAGTTATTGGAATTTGAGGACTATTTGTTATAACAGCTAGCATGAATTACTATAACTAATACAAAAGAGAAACTGGAAAGGGTGGTCAAAATGTATCCACAGTCCTTTCCACAGCCGCTGGGCTGAGCTACAGGAAGTGGAAGCTGTGGTTATTCCACCCCTGTAACTGCTGTCCCCAGGTCCTGAGATAATGTCCACCTGTTCTTTGAGATAATGTCACCCAGATCTCCAGATCTTAAGGACCCATCTGGAATGTGGCCCCCTCCACTGTAGAACCCACATGGTTGCCACGGTTTTGCCTCATCGCGGGCACATTAACAGGTAAGGCCTGCGCGATTTTGCTGAGGAAAATGCAGCTCCCTTCAAGGTTGCCTGTGAGCTTAGGCAGTGAAAAGTTGTCTTAATAGAAAAAGTAGACCAGGTAGGACAGAGGAAGATTTGTGCCTGATTGCAAGAAAGCCACCCTATCTGCCATGGGTGAAGAAGGAGGGGAGAGCGATGACTTTACCTCTTCCGCTTGTTTTGCTAAATTGGTTTGACAGAGTTTCAGCAACAGCTTCAACTCCAGAGAAGCTACTCCAGAATGGCAAATTTGGTTTTCAGGCTCCAGTTATAGAGGCATGACCCCTGATCATCCAGATAGACAGAGAGAACCTTAACTTGGTTAAATAGATACTGTAAAGGATATAGATTAAACTGGCTTCCATCAAAAAATGTCCATCTTCTTTGCCCCCTAAAAGAAAGAAACAAAATAAATAAATAATAAGAAGACAAGGGCCAGGCATGATGGCTCATGCTGGTAATTCCAACATTTTGGGAGGCTGAGGCAGGAGGATCACTTGAGCCCAGGAGTTTGAGACCAGCCTGGGCAACATAGCAAGACCACATCTCCACAAAAATAAAAATAAAAACAAAAATTAGCTGGATGTGGTGGTGCATGCCTCTAGTCTCAGCTGCTCAGAAAGCTGAGGCAGGAGGATCACGTGAGTCTAGAAATTTGACACTACAGTGAGCTATAATCGCGCCACTGTACTTCAGACTGGATGACAGAGTAAGACCCTGTCTCTCAAAAAAAGTTTTTTTTTCAAAGACAAGGAAGGAGCAGAGGAGGAGAAAGAAGAGATGAATGACCCTCCTTATTTGACACAAATGCAGAAAGATACACAGTTGACCATTGAGCACTGTCGGAGTTATGAGTGGTGATCCCTTGAGCCGCCAAAAATTCACACAGAACTTTCAACTCCTTAAAAACCTAACTACTAATAGCCTACTTTTGACTGGAAACCAAGAAGATAAGCAGTTGATTGACACATATTTTGTATGTCTTATGTATTACATACTGTATTCTTACAATAAAGTAAACTAGAGAAAATAAAATGTTACTAAGAAAATCATAAGGAAGAGAAAATACATTTACTAGTCTATAAGTGAAAGCAGACCATCCTAAAGACCTCATTGTCTTCATGTGGAGTAGGACGAGGAGGACGAGGAGGAGGAGGGGTTAGCCTCGCTCTCTCTGGGGGCAGAGATGGAAGGAAAACCATGTACAAGTGGACTCGCGCAGTTCAAACCCGCGTTGCTCAAGAGCCACCTGCATGTTTTGCGATCCCAGGATCCAGTTTCCATTATCTGGAAAGAGTTCTAGCACTTCTGAGTCCCATTGTCCCTTGCTCAGGCAGCATTTGTGGATTAATTTCTCATCCTCAGCATGATGATGTTGGGTGCCCTGTGGTTTGACCCCTCAGCTCACCCATTCAGGTGGGAAGAACTTTTCTTTCTGCTTATTTAGCACAGGCGGGTAGGAAACTAACATCAGTCTTTTTCAGGTGGCCACTGCCCCCGGCCAGAGTGAACAGGACCAGGGACTCTCTGGGGGGTCTGGCAGGAACCATGGCTGTGGCTGAGGAAGCACTCTGGTATGTATCAAGTGCAGCGTGTGTCCTGACTCGTGAGGCTGCCCCAGATCCAATGCATAAAAGGGAGAATCCAGTTGGCCCCACTGTAGTAACATGCCTACCGCTTGGCCAGGGAGAGCAGGGCGCCTTGATTGACAGTCTACCATGCGGGTGAGCTAATTCCCTGGAATGCACAGGACGGGGATGAGGTCATTTCCTGGAAAGGAAATGGGGTGCTATTAGCATGAACGGGGAGCAGCAAAAACAACAAATGTCCATTCTACCTCCTTTCTAAGTTCATAGATTTGATTTTAGCCCAAGACTCCTGGAGACTGATGCTTTCATTCAAAGGCTTGGCATCCATGGAAAGGTGGAAAAGCATGCCCTGGTTGGGTGGTAAAGAGAGAACACCACTCCATGCAGCGTCCTGACACTGGAAACTGATGACTGACCTGGATGCTCATTTCCTCCTGTGAAATTATTCCTCTCCTATTTCAGAAATGAGGAAGGTGGGGCAAAGATGAGAAAACTGCCCAACATCATCAGCTAAGCAGAAACCCGCCATGCGTCCGAGATCTCTGTCTTAAGGCTCAACCTCCCGACCCCAAGCATCCCTCTCGGTCAACTTCCCCTGCTGACAGGAGGGTCCTGGGGGGCTGAGGGCCTCACCACCACTGGAACCATTTCTGAAAGCACGCATCCTCCTGGGGTAGGGGCATGGGGCGTGGCTGTAGGCTTGACTTGAGGCTGACTGTTCCTGTCAAGGCTGGGGAGGGAGGGGACCAGGAAGGGGGTCAGGAACGGGAAGGAACACAACGTGACAGATTTCAAAAGGTGACAATATTTTCCTGAAAATATAGTGTCTATGTGCAGTAGGTTTCGATATAACTAACCTTCTCTCTTGAGTTTGAGCTGGGAATTGATTTTTTTTTTTTTTTTACAGGAAAAGGAAATGCATGGGTGTGGAGCTGCCAGCAGCGAGGGAAGTTCCCAGGCGACTTGTCATGATGCAATTTATAGACCCAAGTCTCAGAAAGGCTGTGGCGGGCTGAGGAGAGGGTGTGATTTGCTGACAGTGGAGCCTGGCACCTGGCACCCATCCACGCCGCTGAGCTCAGCATGCACGTGTGTCGCCGGGACACGACGGCATCAGGGCCATTGAAGTGAAAAGGGCAGAAGGCAAATGCACTCATCCAGAGCGGACATAAAAAAGGAACCCGGAAAGCAACAGAGAGGGGAAGGGGAGCTGGCTCCAGGGTGAGGGGCCTCCCACGACCTCTCCGAGACCTGACTTGCCGCAGCTAATTGAACCTGCCCTCCGCTCCTGAAACACACATAGCATGGATGCTGGCAAGGTCTTCCTGCCCAAGAGAAGAACGTCCCTTTCGCTGTCAGTCCAGCTCTTCTGGGAAGTGGACAAATGGACCTCAAGGGACAGAATCAAATAACTTGACTCCCACCCTGTCCCCGAGGCTTTCCCCAGAGCCACAGAGACCAGAGGAAGCGGCTGGAAGACTCTGCGAGAGCCCATTAGGCAGCAAGTCCTGACAGTCCACATGGCGTCCCGGCCTAGGGCCGCAGCGGTGTTTACAGAGCCCGGGGGCCCTGCCAGAGCTAACATGCCACACGCTCGGCCCATCTGGGCAGGCTGGAAAAAGTCAACCATTTTCCTCTGGATCCCGATGGCTGTGGCTCAAAACATTCCGCACAGCTACATTTGCTTCCCTCCCCTCACATCTCTTCAGAAAACCCACACATCTGTATACACACTTGAAAATAAATAAGCATAAATGCAGAATCCACACTGAAGGTGGGGGGCAGGACAGGCCTCGGGGGCTCCTCTCTGCACGGACCCTGCCTGAAGCTGCTCTCCTGCCCCAGGACAGCCCACCCCGGGCAGGCTCCAACTGCAGCATTTTCTAGAAGTGTGAGAACTCTTACCAACGTGCTACCTGGCTCTGTGGCTCCCCAGTCAACACAAACACAATTTTGAGGTCTGCAGTTCAAATTTGCTTCCCCTACAAGCTTCTGAGCTGGGTTCATAGGGCAAAAAGGCCCGAGTTTCTTTTCAAGTCAATTGGAAACCCTCCAAGCCAAGACCCGTCCCCATACACCAACTTTACCAAGGTTTTCCTTCTCACTAACACAACAAAAGATAAAGCCTCTGCTCTGCTCTTTTTGAGCTTATTCTTGTCCATTTTTCAAACTCGGCCTCGTTGTTTTGATCCTCTTGGATCCTGGGGATTGAAAGTGCCACCTGATTTCTGGAAGCCTGGGGGTGCACGGGTGGTCCTGTCCTCTTAGCATGCTGTGGGGCAAGGGAAGGCAGTTGGGGTTTGAAGCCAGGCTAATTCAGGGTGCCGCTGAACAACAGCCACCACAGAGAAAGCAGAGAGCCATGCACACACACTCGCCAGGGGCCAGCAAAGGGTGCTGCCATCTGCAGCTGCATTGTTGACCGTCACATAGCTGCTTCTCACACTTGGGTGTCTACAAAATGGCCACGATATCAGTTGCTATGGTAATGGGCATCCTGGTGAGTGTGCCAGGAGCCAGCCTTTTGCCCCTAAAACCTCAGCCTCCAGTAGGCAACTGGCTGGGCCCTCCTCTGACTGGCAGACATCTTTCTCCTGTCGAAGTGCAGCTCCCAGCACCTCCTCTGCAAAGCTCCCTCACCCCGGTACATCCAATCACCCCTCAGGATTTGAAAACCCATTTTCTCCCTCACAGTTTTAAGATGACATTTTTAAAAACTTTTATTGTGAGTTTAAATAGTTGCAGAGAATGTCATTTCCTTACTATTGTAAATATTAGCATTTTAAAATAAAACCATTACATCACTCTTTTAAACTCTGCCAATGGAACTAAGTAGCGGAGCAATTCTGTACCCACAATGACCAATTTTTAAAATACATGAAAAGTCTTCTTTATTTGCTTCTTGTTCCATTTTCTCCTTGAACTCATATTTCCATTCCATTTACTCCTCGTACTTCTTAGCAATTGTCATTTGCTAAGGAATATCTTAGCAATTGTCATGTTTGAAAGTTATTTTCATAAATGACCATCATTATCATTCTATTCTGACACAAAAATGCACATACACTAAAATTTTAATTTCAGTATCATTGTAAGACTGTAAGGTTTAAACAGCTTTTTCTAGACCAAGTTTATAATTTCAATAATCATCAGAATACAATTGATCAAAACAACATAGCTCTATAATGTGTTTAAATAAATAATCAAAAAGGTGTTTTTTTCAATCAGCTGATATACTCACAGAAGAAAATTACTTATTGCTAAAATGAAATGGGGTCCAAAATTAATTCTATTTCTATTTCACATTTTTAGAAAAACATTGTGAGAAACTTTGTTCTCCTCAAAAACAAGAGATCAATGAAAGGAGTTTTATGATGTCAAAAATTACATTATAAACTATTATCAAAAATTAGTAATGACCTGTCACCTGACAAATCAACTTGGTCCCCCTTCAATTTTGTCAAAAGAAAAGAAATGGAAACCATGAGACATGAAAATGTATTTGTTACCCAGTCATTTGTCATTCACTGTCTTGATTCTGGGAAATACACCAAAAAGACTGCCCCCAAACTTCTCAGATGACTGCTAATTATACCTGCTACTCATTTACTTAGAGATTCCTTGTTAACATGGAAAAGGTTAGGAAAATTAAAATACTAGTCATTTTAACACAACTTTGCCAATACAATTTTTTTTTTTGCCTTTCAAATTGAGATGTAATTCACATACCAGAAAGATCACTCTTTTAAAGTGTGCAATTTAGTGGGTTTTAGTATCTTCAGAAAGTTGTGCAGCCATCACCACTGTCTAATTCCAGGACATTTGCATCTCCCCAGCAAGAAATTTCATACCTATTAGCAGCTACTCTTCATTCCCCGCTCCACCCTCACGATTTTCAATGAAGTTATTTTATCTCATCATATGCTTTAAGTACATTTTCATCCAAATCATGGCATTTTAGGTGCAGCTCATTCAGTTCATGGAAATGCCTGCCATGTAACCTATTTGGCAAAGCAGTCCATTCATCAAGACAGCAGCCAAGCCAGATCTAGCTTCAGTTAGGAAAAAACTGACTTCAATTTCAAAGCAATGTGTTAATATGCATCCCTTCCCAACCATCTTACTTCTGAATTCTAATTCTGAGATGAGAGATTGATGTACAAGGCGTATTGCATACCTCAGGTTTTATTCCAGACCACCGCAATAAAACAAATATCACAAACATCACAATAAAGTGAGTCACACATTGTTTTGGTTTCCTAGTGCTATAAAAGTTATGTTTACACTACACTGTAGTCCATTAAGTGTGCAATAGAGTTATGTTTTTTAAAGATGTACATGCCGTAATTCAAAAATATTTTATTGCTAAAAAAATGCTAATGATCATCTGAGCGTTAAGTGAGTCACAGTCTTTTTGCTGGTAGAGGGCCTTGCCTTGATGTTGATAGCTGCTGACTGATCAGGGTGGTGGCAGCTGAAGGCTGGGGTGACTGTGGCAATGTCTTAAAATAAGACAACAGTGAAGTCTGCCACATCAATTGACTCTCCGTTTCACAAAAGATTTCTCTGTAGCAGGTGATGCTGTTTGATAGCATTTGACCCACAGTAGACCTTCTTTCAAAATTGGAGTAAATCCTCTCAAACCCTGCAGTGCTTTATCAACTAAGATTATGGAATATTCTAAATCTTTTGTTGTCATTCAACAATGTTCACAGCAGCTTCACCAGGATCAGAGTCCATCTCACTTTCTTTGCTCATCCATGAGAATCAACTCCTCATACACTAAAGTTTTATCATGAGATTGCAGCAATTCAGTCACACTTTTGGACTCCACTTCTAATTTTAGTTTTCTTGCTATTTTCACCATATCTGCAGTGACTTCCTCCTCTGAAATGTTGGCCCCTCAGAGTCATCCATAAGGGTTGGAATCCAGTTCTTCTAAACTCCTGTTAATATTGATACTTTGACCCCTTCCATAAATCACAAATGTTCTTAATGGCATCTACTATGGTGAATCCTTTCTAGAAGGCTGTCAATGTACTTTGCCCAGATCCATTAGAGGAATCACTAAGTATGGTAGCTAAGGCCTTATGAAATGTATTTCTTAAATACTGAGTCTTGAAAGTCAAAGTGACTGCTTGATCCATGAGCTGCTGAATGGATGTTGTGTTCACAGGCATGAAAACAATGTTGATCTCCTTGCACATCTCTGTTGGAGCTCTTGGGTGACCAGGTACATTAACAATGAGCAGTAATATTTGGAAAAGAATCTTTGTTTCTGAGCAGTAGTTCTCAATAGTGGGCTTAAAATCTTCAGTAAACCATGTTGTGAACAGATGTGCTGTCATCCTGGCTTTGTTGTTCCATTTATAGAACACAGGCAGTGGATTTAGCCCAGTCCTTTTTTTTTTTTTTTTTTTTGAGAGGGAGTCTTGCTCTGTCACCCAGGCAGGAGTGCAGTGGCATGATCTCGGCTCACTGCAACCTCTGCCTCCCGGGTTCTAGTGATTTTCCTGCCTCAGCCTCCCAAGTAGCTGGGACTACAGGTGCACACCACCACAACCAGCTAATTTTTGTGTTTTTCAGTAGAGATGGGGTTTCACCATATTGGGCAGGCTGGTCTCGAACTCCTGACCTTGTGATCTGCCCACCTGAGCCTCCCAAAGTGCTGGGATTACAGGCGTGAGCCACTGTGCCCGGCTCCTAATTCTTAAGGGCCCTGGGATCTTCAAAATGGTAAATGAACATTGGCTTCAACTTATAGTCACCAGCTGCATTAGCCTCTAACAAGAGAGTCAGCCTGTCCTTTGAAGCCAGGCACTGACTTCTCTTCTCTAGCTATGAAAGTCCTAGGTAGCATCTTCTTTGCATTTAAGGCTGTTTTACCTACACTGAAAATCTGTTGATTGGTGTGGCCACCTTCATCTTAGCTAGATCTTCTGGATAACTTGCTGCAGCTACTACATCTCCACTTGCTGTTTCACTGTGTACTTTTATGTTATGGAGATGGCTTCTTTCCTTAAACCTCGTGAACCAACCTCTGCTAGCTTCTGACTTTTCTTCTGCAACTTCCTCACTACTCTCAGCCTTCACAGAATTGAAGAGATTCAGTACTGAGCCTTGCTCTGGATTAGGCTTTGGCTTAAATGAACATTATAGCTAGTTTGACCTTCTATCCAGACCACTCAAACTTTCTCCAGGTCAGCAAAAGGGGTATTTTGCTATGTTATCATTCGTGTGTTCACTGGAGTAGCACTTTCAATTTCTTTTACAAACTCTTCCTTTACATTCACAATTTGGCTAACTGTTTGGCTCAAAAGGCTTAGCTTTTGGCCTGTCTCAGCTTTCAACATGCCTTCCTCATTCAGCTTAATCATGTCTAGCTTAATCATTTAATGTCAGAGATATGCAACTCCTCCTTACTGGAACACTTACTAGCCATTAGGGTTATTAACTGGCCTACTTTTAATATTGTTTTGTCTCAGGGAGGCCCAAGGCAAGGGATATAGACAAGGAATGGGCACTCAGAACACACACAGCATTTATTGATTAAGTTCGCCATCTTTTATTGGAATGGTTCATGGTGCCCCAAAACAATTAAAATAGGCCAGAAGCAGTGGCTCACACCTGTAATCCCAGCACTTTGGGAGGTCAAGGTGGATGGATCACTTGAGATCAGAGTTCGAGGCCAGCCTGACCAACGTGGCGAAACCTTTTCTCTACTAAAAATACAAAAATTTGCCAGGTGTGGTGGTGGGTGCCTGAAATCCCGGCTACTGGGAGACTAAGGCAGGAGAATCGCTTGAACCTGGGAGGCGGAGGTTGCAGTGAACCAAGATCTCACCACTGCACTCAAGCCTGGGCGACAGAGCCAGACTCCATCTCAAAAAATAAAAATAAAAAACCCACAATTACAGTAGTAACATCAGAGATCATTGATCACGGATCACCATAACAGGATATAATATAAAAAGTTTGAAATATTGCTAAAATTGCCAAAATGTGACACAGAGACATGAAGTGAGCACGTGCAGTTGGAAAATGGCTCGGTTAGACTTGCTCGATGCAAAAAGCCTTCCATTTGTAAATAAAGCAATATCTGCAAAGTGCAAATAAAGCAATATCTGCAAAGTGCAAATAAAGCAAAGAGCAATGAAACGAGGCGAGGCCATGGTGGCAAATGATTGGTAGACCAGCTGTTCATCTCAGAGAGGGACATCAAGAAAGTACAGCACCACGCCATGAATTAATTGCCTCCATGAAAGAAAGTCTTTGCGATTGCCTTTGATACCCTCCTCCCTTCATTTTTGTGGACTCTTTCTTTAGGGACATACGTTCTTTGATATTATTTATTTAGGGGATGGAAGAAGTGAGCTTCTTGGACAGAAATTCTCATCAATCCTGCTGCCTCACTCTGCAAAACATCTGAGTTCAAAACACTCCAACTCAGGTCAAAATATCCCTCTTCCGAACACGACATTTTGCCCTTAGCGGAACCACGCTAGCATAGGGAGGTGTGCTGGACAGAGTGCACCGTGTGGCTCTCCTCCAGGGAAGCCTTTGTTACCCAGCTGTGGGATTGAGGCCAGCAGATGGCCTCCAGCTGTCAGCTCCTTCAGAGTCAGCCTCAGCTGCAGGGAGGCCAGCCTAGTCTGCCTTTTCTGCCCAAAGAGAGCCACCTTGGTGGGCAATGCTTGCTCCAGCACATCCGCCGGGGCTGACTAAGCGTTTGTCGGGTCTATAGCGAAGTTTGACTTCTTCTGCCCAATCTTGCTTCCTCCCCTGTTCCTTGACAGTTGTTGACCCCTAATAAATATCTGGCACCCCTAACTCTGTCTCAGCTTCTGCTTCTGAGACCCCCCTAAACAGAAAGACACTGGTGGTCTCTCTGCAGGTCAGCAGTGTCCAGTCACAGAAGCTTTGCCTACACCAGTATGTTGAATCATAGCTTTATTGCCCCCAAAGACTCTCACAGTCCAGAGCAAGACCCCAAGGTGAGGTTCAGCATGAGTGAGGGGTGCCCTGAGTTTCTTTGGCCAAGTGGGAGAAGAGAACTGTGACGAGGCATTGGGGAAGGCCAGGGGCTGGCACCCCGTCACAGCTGTGTGCATGGGCAACGCATCTTAGGAGAGTCAATGGAGAGTGAGCATCCACAGTTGACTCCCTTAAAACCAGCTCAGGCCACACCCACCCCAAGAAGTCTCTGAGGACATCTTGAGGGATGCAGGCCCAATTTAAAACTCCTGCCTACAGCAAGGTGTCTGTCTTAATACTAACACACTGCATTCTATGGGTCTGGTAAACATCTGCCATCTCCACCCCATGGGAGCTTCTTAAGGGAAAGCATTGAGCTTCCTTCTTTCATTCACTCCCTCAGTCGATCAGCTGGTCAGTCGGTCAGTCACCAATAACTTTGTTTTTTTTAACAAATATGCCTGAGTACCCACTGTGTACTGGGCAGATACAGCTGAACAATCCTCTAGGAACTCACAGGTTTATAAGAGAAACAGGAAAAAGTGGAGGAAGTGGAAGGAAGCCAAAGCATCCATCCTTTCACTTTCACTGACCACTGAGTGGGTCTCGCTGGGTCTCAGTGAAAAGAAAGCCGTTTCTACTGCTTTAACCCTTTCCAATGCATGTCCCTTCAGACAGAGTAACCCCTGTGAGCTGGTAATCAAACAGAATTTTATTCAAGTGAAACAAACAATGGAGAAATATGGAGTACCCCAAATTTCCTCCCTTTAATTTGCACATTTTGAAGTGCCGATATTAGTAAGTAGTTTATTTACATGAACATACAGGAAATTTAACCTTTAAGAGTTTGTAAAATACGGCTTAGTTTAAATGCATTTATTTGTCTAAAATTCCTGGTAGTTAATTGTACTTTTTTTTTTGGCAAGTTTTCACTTGAAATCTCAAAGTACTTTAAAGTAAGATGGCATTAAAAACAGCAACAGGAATAAGCCGACGTGTCTTAAGGGCTCACCATGTTTAGACACTAAGTGCCGTTAACATGTATCACTATTTACTCCTTGAACTCGTCCTATTTGTTATTATATACACACCATATACTGTATTATTATTATTGTCTCAGCTTCACCGATAAGGAACCCTAGCTTGGTGAGTTCAGAATTGCTGGCAGGTTAGGGAGGAATGGACAGTGGAACCCAGCCCTGGCTGTGCCCAGACCCCCTCTCCTCTGCAATACTGTCTGCCTCTGAGGCGCATGGAGTCCTTCTCCAGCTCTTCAAAGCGTTGCAGGTCCATGTTGTCCCAACAGAATTTAAAAGTGCAGGCCAGCATCACCTGCAAAGTCCCAGGTTGGAAGAGAACCTCGTCTATACTTCTACGGGCAGATAAGGTCAGAAGTACATTTTCCAGTCGCCACGTAAGCTGCAGCTCTCTCTAGATAAACCCGTGTCTGGAATAGAAGAAAATGCTCCCCACGTGCTGGTCTTCTCTGTGACCTTTTAATTCTGGGGCCCGGGGCTCCCTTGTTGGTCAGCTCTTCCCTCCACACCATCCATGTGCTGAGGCCTCAAGCCACCACTGCTCCAGCCTGGACCTCACCCCTAAACCCAGTCTTGTGAGTGCATTTTCTACACTCCCACTAGGGTGTTTAAAGGACTTCTCAACCTTAGTGTGTCCCATAGAGGGTTCCTGAGCGCCCCCCAGAGCTCTGCCTCTCCCAGTCTTTCCCACCTTAGTGAAGTCACTCCAGATCACTTCCTGTCACCTGGAAAATGTGGAGGGTCCTCCTGGAGTCCTCTGTTTCTCTCGCAACTCACACTCTGCACACAAGCCATGGAATGGATCAGGATCCAGCCCCAGCTCCACCCTCACACAGCACCCCACACTCCCACCCCGGTCCAAGCACCATCATCTCTCCTCTGGATCACCACGATGGCTTCCTGGTCCCTGTTTCTGTCCTAGCCTCCCTTCAGTCTATTCTCAACACCCAGCCAGAGTGGCCACCTTACACCATGAGTTGGAGTGTGACTCCACTGCTCAGCTCCCTCATGCCCATCACTCAGAGAAAACGCAGACTCCTCACAGCTGGCCACTGGGCCCTGAGCCGCAAGCACTGCGGCCCCACCATGACTCCTGGGACCTCACCCCCAGTCCCAGCCACGCAGCCTGCTTGCTGTTCCTTAAACACTCCTGGGCACTTGCACCTGCTATTCTCGCTGCCTGGACCAGCCTCCCCCAGGGATCCACCTGGTTCACCCCCCGCCCTCTTCCGTCTCTCCCCAAGGCACCCTTGGTGACACCCTTTCCAGCCACTCTGTCTAAAATGGCAACTCCTATAGGTCGCTCTCCCTTGCTCTGTTTTTCTCACAGCACTGACCTCCATCTAACAACCCACATGTTCGTAACTTTAAACCAAAAAGTGTCTGAGACACTTCTCAGTCAACTTAGTGGCTCACGCCTGTAATCCCAGCACTTTGGGAGGCCGATGCAGGTGGATCATCTGAGGTTAGGAGTTTGAGACCAGCCTGACCAATGTGGAGAAACCCTGTCTCTACTAAAAATACAAAATTAGCTAGGCGTGGTGGCGCCTGCCTGTAATCCCAGCTACTCGGGAGGCTGAGGTAGGAGAATCGCTTGAACCCGGGAGGTGGAGGTTGCAGTGAGCCGAGATCGCACCATTGCACTCCAGCCTAGATGACAGAGCAAGACCCCATCTCAAAAAAAAAAAAAAAGTTTATTTCACCAAGGTTAAGGATGCACCTGTGACTCAGCCTCAGGAGATCCTGACGACATGTGCCCAAGGTGGTTGGGGCACAGCTCAGTATTATACATTTTAGGAAGGCATGAGACATCAATCCATGTGTGTAAGATGTACATTGGTTGGGTCCAAAAGGTGGGACAACTTGAAGTGGAGAGGAGTCTTCTGGGTCATAGGTAGATAAGAGACAAACGGTTGCATCCTTTTACGTTTCTGAGTAGCCTTTCATGGAATACACAATTTACAGCCACTTATGCCTTGTCTGGCTTAGCAAAACAATAGGACAAAAGAGGTAATGGGATATGCATCGGACTCACGTGAGCAGAGGGATGACTTTCAGTTCTGTCTGTCCTTTGCCCACAAGAAATTACCTTGTGGGCAAATTATGAGGGAAGTATGTAGCTTTTTTATCTTTGTAGCTCTCTTATTTAGGAATAGAATGGGAGGCAGGTTTGCTCAGTCAGTGCAGTTCCCAGCTTGACTTTTCCCTTTGGCTTAGTGATTGTGGGGTCCCGAGATTTATTTTCCTTTGACATAACCATCCTGTGTCCTGTGCCGTTGGGATGTAAACTCCAGGAGGATGCAGAGTTCTTGTCTGTTCAGGCACTGTTATTTCTCCAAGTGCCTGCCACACAGTATATGCTCAGAACACCGAGGCTGAAATAAGTAATAAAGTTGTAGGAGAGGTGAGAGGGGCTGCCTCATTCCAGGGAAAAAGTTATGCCCTATGGTCCAAAGTTTGGAGTATATTCCCCTAAAGCCAGCATGCCTCAAGTGGAAGCTTTGTGTCTGTTGGTTTCCCCTTCTCTGAGAGCTGCTTGAGTCAGCTCCTTGCCTTCAGATGGGCCTGTTAGAATCACAGATGGTACTCAGGATGAGATGCTGTCCTTTGAGGGGCCATGATTCCCCAGCAAAGCTGTTTCATGGGTCTGTGAGCTACAGAGGAGGTGAGAACTGCATGCTGACAAAGGCTGGGGCACATCTTGAGCTAGAGACCCAAACTCTCTGCACCTCTATCAGATGAGAAAACCAAACCTGGAACACGCCTGCCTGTCTACCCCAAGAGGCATATGAGATCCAGTGGAGTCAGGCCATGAAAGTGCTTAGCACTGAGCCCCACTGCTGGCTTGGTCATAACTGTGCTCTCCTCCCAGGGCCCATGGTGCCTGCCCTCTCCAGTCCAGAATCCAGTGCTCCCCAGCCACTCCCCTCAGGGACCTCAGTGCCCTGCTGTGTCTCCCCACTACCCCAGAGTGCGTCCCTATGAGGAAGGCAGAGAGAAACCATCACAGCCCCATTCATTAACTCAGGAGGAATCCATGCATCACTCTCGCTATCTCCCTCTCTCACACACAGAAAAATCCAGATAAAATTGGCACCTAAACACCCTTGATTTCTTCCTGATTTTTTTTTCTTTTTATTAGAGACGTGATCTCGCTCCGTTGCCCAGGCTGGAGTGCAGTGGTGCGATCATGGCTCACTGCAGCCTTGAACTCCTGAGCTCAAGGGACCCTCTAGCCTTGGCCTCCTGAGTAGCTGGGACTACAGGTGCACTCCACCATACTCGGTTTTTGTTTTTGTTTTTTTCCTGGTAGAGATGAGGTCTCACTATGTTGCCCAGGCTGGTCTCCAACTCCTGGCCTTAAGCAATGCTCCCACCTCAGCCTCCGAAAGTGCTAGGATTACAGGTATGAGCCACTGCACCTGGCCACCCCCTCCTGATGCGCTGTCCTTCCAGCAATCCAGGCAGAAACTTCCTAGTGACCACCGGATGGCCCTTGGTGGAGCAGTCATCTGCAGGGATTCCCTTCCTTGGGAGCCCCTCGCAGGCCTGACCACTCACTTTACTCTCAAAATCTGCCAAAAGGAGAACTACAGAGAAGCCAAGCAGGGGTATTTATCTCAGACTCCCCGCTCTGCTAAACTGGACCCCTCCAAAATCACTCACTTCCTCGTTCCTCCACCAGTTTCCAAGGCAGGCTATGGGCCCAGATCTCCTCCCCTTCCTGCCGTCATCCTCTCACCCTGGCACCTCACTGCAGCCGCAGCTTTCAGGGACCCCCGTCCATCAAGCATCCTGCTCTCATCATCCTCTCTTTTAAACATACCCAAATATGTCTGCAGTCCTCATGTAGGTTGATGGCTTTCACAGGTAGAATGTTTTGGCTTTCTAGAGGAAAGGTATCTTGGTTGGCACAGTCACAAATGGCATGTCAACAATTTTGATTCTAAAACCAGTTCTCCCCTTCTAGGTGAGAACAAAGTCCCTGAATTCAGAGGTACTGCCTTCTGGTGCCAGGCAGCTTCTCTCACTCCCTTCTCTTTAAATCTAGGTGGGGAACAATGGACACCTCCCGCCTCCCTGCATAAGCACCCACAGGCCGAGCAGGGGCTGGGGCATCTCTCAGAGCCCAGGCCTGGCTAACAAAGAAGACTCAAAGATCAAGGGAGAGACTCAAAGATTGATGTGGGGTAGGGAGGGTAACGGGGGGATATTGGTCAAAGGACACACAATTCTACAACTTGGAGATTATAGTTAATAGCAATGTATTCTTGAAAATTGCTACAAAAATGATAAGTATGTGAAATAATACATATGTTAAGTACGTGAAGTAATACACATGTTAAATATATATACATTGTGGAATTTAGCCATTCCACAATATACACATATTTCAAAACATCATGCTGTACATCATTAATAGGTATAATTTTGTTAATTAAACATTAATTAAAAATTATTTTTTTACAAAAGGCAGATGTCAGGACATGACGCACAGGGAAGACTCCAGGGACCCTGAATCACCCACTGACCTGGTGGGGACTTCTTTTTCCTCTTCTGAATTCTCTCAAGCACCCAAAGCAGGGCCTCTGACAGAGACCCATGAAGGCAGAAAAGTATCTCCTGTTCTGTGAGCGAGCTTGTTCCCAGAACAGTCTTTTTTCCAGAAATGGACAGGTGGCAGCCAAGAAAGCAGAACCCCAACTAAAGCCACGAGAGGGTGGTACGTCATGGCGGAAATTCAAGCCCAGAAGCCTTAAACCTGGCCTTGACAACATGCTGCCCTCTGGGTTCCCTTTTAATCAGGTTATAACAGAGCAAGGCTCAAGCAATTTTTTTTTAATTTCTTTAAATCTAAAAAAAGACTTTTCAGGGCACAAATTAACAGGCCATGATAAAAGTGTATGGAGTGGAGGAAGCGATCCAAGTGACTGTTGAGAATTTCAGCCTTCATGGTTCCAAGGGAGCCATCGCTCAGGCAGAGACCTGCTGGACACTGTGCTCCCATCAGCTCAGAGAAGGGGAAAGTCTTTCTTATCTTTATGCACTTAGTTAATGAATTATAACCCATTTATATGTAATGTTAAAATTGCAAGGTGTGGTGAGACTCCAAAACTTGCAATGCATTTGATCCAGCTCCCAGATCCACCCACAAAGCCTACCACACACAATGCAAGGAAGGCTGCAGGGAGAGAGGTGCACGCATTACAAGGCAGGTCACACCTCTGAACCAGAAGCTCAAATCAGAGCAAGCCCTCAGGAGAGGTTGTCTACTATTGGGAGAGGCACTGTTTATTTTTGAGCTGTGAAAGGAGAAATCTTTTGTTGGCTTGAATCCTACAAGACATCTGCCCAGGTTCATTCAGCCAGGAAGCGATTCCACCAACACAACCTCGCCCTTCAAAGTCCATCTCAATGTTCTCCCTTCCATGAAAGGACTTTTGCACTCGCAAAATGATTATTATCCTTTTCTGAATCCCCATAGCCCTTCATTCATTTTCCATCACATTCACATTCTGTCTTGTATTAATTATTTGTGCACTTATTGTGCCCTTTGGGTAAGGGTTTTTCTCCTTTGTATTGTCAAACTTTGCTGCTAGGTCAATCATTGCTGAATTAGAGCAAATCAAACCCAGTGTTCTCTGATGACAAGAGAGCCTTCTAGTATTTTAGGAACCTCCACTCCCAAAGACACCCAACTAATAAATAATTCGTGGCAAATGAACTGGTGAAATATACCCAAAGCAGGCTGGAGGGTTGGGTGTGTCTACTAACTTCCCTCCACATTGATAGTAAGAGCTAAAAACACGTCCTTGAAGTCCGTTCCAATTATATTTTTTTTTCCTAGACAGAGTCTCTGTTGCCCAGGCTGTGGGGCAGTCACCTCAACCTCTGCCTCCCAAGTTCAAGCGATTCTCCTGCCTCAGCCTCCTGAGTAGCTGGGACTACAGGCACGCACCACCATGCCTGGCTAATTTTTGTATTTTTAGTAGAGATGGGGTTTCACCATGTTGGCCAGGCTGGTCTCGAACTCCTGACCTGAAGTGATCCACCTGCCTCAGCTTCCTAAAGTGCTGGAATTAGAGGCATGAGCCACCATGCCTTGTCCATTCCAATTACTTTTAAAACTCGGTTTGATTACTCCCATGGAAATTTAGGACAATGGGGAATTTTAAATGATATTCTTGCATATACATTAAGAAGAACTTGTTAATTCAGCTACTCATTTGCATTTCTGAAAAGCTATGAAATCAGAAAACTTACAAAGAGCCAAGGAAATCAACAGCAACCCTCTATAGAACAATAATCCTCCACGGTGAGTCCATCTTGCAATTAGAGTCCTCTAAACGCACCCCCTGGTCAGTCGTGGGAGTCTGTTGTTTTTACCTGCCTGGCCTCCATGATCCTTTCTTGGGAGATCAGGGGACCCATATCCAGGGCACACATACCTAGTTTTCCCTAGGATTATCCCCTTAACCTCCCCCTGGTTCATGTGGGGTATACCCCCGTGCCTGGCTGCAAGATCCGACACAGGATGAAGGCATGACCAACATATTCTGATCCTCAGGACATGGTAATGGGCTTGAGGATGGACAGATGATCTATCCAACACATGCAAGTATCATCTGGGAATTTGAAGCCAGCTCAAATGAAAGAGAAAGCTTGATTCTTCAAGGTTCAGTTTGAGCACCTAGATTAAGCCATGCCTGAAGCTCCTAGACTTTTAAGTGAGATAAGCCAATAAATTGCTTTTTAAAAAATATCTTGCTGGGATTGGGTTTATGTCACTTGTGACTATGAGTTCTGACTAATGTAACATAAACGGTACTATGATAAGAGTTATTGTTATATATATTATTTTTAAGCTTCACATTCATGGAAGGGCAGTTATTGTAGCTGCTTTTCCTGGTGAGGAAATTGTGGCTCAGAGAGGTGATTGGTTTGTCCAAGATCACACTCTTAGTGAGTAGCAGAAATGGGACTCGAACTCAGTTCTCCTGCCTCCAGAATCCAAATTCCTGTCTCTGCACCAGGCTGCCTCACCAAGCACAGCACATCAGCTACATATTGCACCAGGGAATAAAGATTCTTTGCAGGCATGATTAGCCACTCATCCATTACATCCAAATAAAATGTAATTATTTTCTATTGAACCATCTCTTTGAGCTTCCACATCCTCCTCGAACTCACCAGTCATGTCTTTTTCTCACCGAATGAGTCCTTTGCTGCACTGTGTGACATTGCTACCTGACAAGAAAGTCTGGGTTTCCTTGCCACTCCAGTGGGGGGCCCAGAAGGAAAGCCCCCAAGAGCTGGACTCTGATCCCCCACAACATTGGGCTGTGTGGTTTGGCACTCATGGAATACGAGCACTGAGACGCTGTCACACAGTTAGGAAAGAGGTGAGGATTTTACTCTGAATCAGGTCAACTTGGCAACTTGCCAGCTCCTGGGTCCCCTCCAGACACTGGACACGTCCCTGGAGGGAGGCAGTTCATGCTGCCACAGGCACCTGGCTGCCCAAGCCACAGGCATATGAGTCAACCCCACGGAGGACTTTGTCATCTTTAGTAGGGAGATTATTTGGGATTACTGGAGATTAAGGTAAAGGGGAAACACAGTATCTGTTTAATCCCATGTCTAATGAGTTGAGAAGGAATTCCCTGTAAGAAAGATCTGCCTGCTTTGCAGGATTGAATGTAACTTATAGACACGTTGACTGGTGCCCTGTGGCCGAGGCTGGGCCAGCCTCGGTGTGTGCGGCGGAGGCACCAGCATAACCGCCCCCCACACACACCGTGGCAGCCCAGACGCAGGCTACTTGCCCCTCCTTCCAGAACGTCTTGTCTGGACTCTCTGGTAAGGTTCAGGTGTGTGTGCAAAGAAAGACCCTTTAAGCCTTTACTGAGCTCCCTTGCAGCATCAAAAACAATGGGTCAGAGAGACTTAAAAGACAGGAGGTAGAAGAAGTAAGAGGTCTGTGAGAAAGGGAGGGCGGGCTGGGCGAGGTGGCTCACGCCTATAATCCTAGCACTTTGGGAGGCCGAGGCGGGTGGATTGCCTGAGCTCAGGAGTTCAAGACCAGCTTGAGCAACATGGTGAAACCCCGTCTCTACTAAAATACAAAAAGAATTAGCCAGGCTTGGCGGCATGCACCTGTAATCCCAGCCACTTGGGAGGCTGAGGCAGGAGAATCACTTGAGCCCAGGAGGTGGAGGTTGCAGTGAGCTGAGCTCAAGCCACTGCACTCCAGCGTGGGCAACAGAGCCAGACCGTCTCAAAAAAAAAAAAAAAAAAAAAGGAAGGGCCCACCGGGCCGGGGCAGGACTTCCCAGTGTCACGACAGTGGCCTCCGACCCAGACCCAAGAGCAGTGGGAACTCGCATAGCCTCAACCCATTTTGCTCTTTACTCCAAGACTGAAGTCACAGGACTTCACAGAGACACCGCCAAGCCTCAGTTACTCAGGGGATGGTCAATGCAGAGTTTGTCAAATGGCAGCCCTCGGGGGGCAGTCAGAGAAACGGCAGCTTTTTATTTAACTGCCATGTTAAGTGTAGGTTTCCACTGCCAAAATAATACACAGATCCGCTCTACTCTTTAAAATTAAAATATTTGGATAAGGCTAAAGTCCTTCTTGACCACTACTCCAATCCCACCCTCTGGGGTAGCCCCGGTGAGAAATAACTCCTTCTAGACACACATGTGTTTGCACGAATGCAAGTGTGGGCACATATACGCCCACAGAAACTTTATGGTATTTTGTGTGTATATGCATCTTCACATAAATAGTGTGCTATCTACCTATGATTTGTCTTTTTCACTCAAAAAAGTTGTCTTGCAGGGCCGGGCGCGGTGGCTCACACTTGTAATCCTAGCACTTTGGGAAGCTGAAGTGGGTGGATCACTTGAGGTCAGAAGTTCAGACCAGCCTGGCCAACATGGTGAAACCCCCCTCTACTAAAAAGCACAAAAAATTAGCCAGGCATGGTGGCGGGTGCCTGTAATCCCATCTACTCAAGAGGCTGAGGCAAGGGAATTGCTTGAACCTGGGAGATGGAGGTTGCAGTGAGCCAAGATTGCGCCACTGCACTCCAGCCTGGGCAACAAGAATAAAACTCTGTCTCAAAAAAAAAAAAAAAAAAAAAAAACCTGTCTTGGGGATGCGTCCATGTTGAGAGCCGCTTGCACCTTCCACGCAGACTTTTTGAGGCAAAGCCAAGTACAATGAAATTGAGCTGCATTGAACATGCCCTCCGCCCACCACCCTTGCTTCTGCCCTTCCTCCCTGGAGCTGAATCAACATTCCTTCATCAAACACTTCTTGGCCTCAAGGAGATGTCAGATTGAGTCCTAGTCAGGCTGAGACTCGTAGCCCATGAGACTTGTGGCCCAGGAGTGTCCTCCAGCACCTGTGAAAATCCTCCAGCCTCTTGTGAGCTCAGGGAGACCACAGCCGCTCCCCACGAGTTGCCCCTGGAGAGACCATTACTAATGTCTGGGCCCAGTCTCTTTCCGCGAGCAGCAGCACAGAATGGGGAAAGCAATGCATGTTTAGAGCTGGCCAGCTTAGGTTTGGGTGCTTCAGCCCAACCATCTACTTACATGCCGTGTTCTTAGACACATTATGTAACATCTTTACATCTCAGTGTCCACATCTGGAAAACGTAGAGAATTCAGTGTCTCCTTAGACGAGGAGCTAGAAGGAATAGCTACTCTGATGATGACGGCTGGGCTGATGTGGCAGCAGGGAGGCTCGAGTTACTCAGTTTGGGGATCACCAGGTTGGGCACCGTTTTTGGAGCATCAGTGGCTCAGACTCCGCCTTTGTCCTCTTTCTGCTTCTGGGATCCCCTTGCTCTCCCCTTTTCTCTCCTTCTCCCATTCTTGAAGTATGTCACACCACTGGGCTTTGGAGGATAGGAAACTCAACAGGAAATGAAATAAGCATCTGTACTCACCTGTTTAGAAAACAGCTGAAGCTGAGAGAAGAAGAGGGAGAAGATTCTCTTTCCAAACTTAGATTTTGTAAAATCAGTGGTAGATTTTGTTTTTTGATACAGGGGAGATTACATCAGAATGGCTAGGAGAGCTGGCTTTGGAGGCTGAGCTGCACAGGGTCAAATGCAAGCTTGCACAGGTGACCTTGGGAGCCTTGGTTTCCCCACATCACGCCTCCCCTCATAAAAGCTGTGATTGGCACACGTAGTAGGTGCTTGATAAATAGGCACTATTAACATTCTCCTCTAGTGATCCCTGTTCTTCCCTAACATGCTTACATGCAAGTTGACTGAACAATTTCTTAAATCCCCTTTTAAATGCCTTAATTAGTGTTAAAAGAAGAAAAGAAGTGAAATGATCTATAAATCACAAGCTTTCATGTTTCAAAATGAAAATAACCAAGATTTAGTTTCATCAAAAATGATGTTTTCCTAGCCTGGCAATATAGCAAGACCCCATCTCTATTAAAAAGAAAAAAAGAAAAAAAAAAGACTCTTTAAATTAACTGGTCTTGATGGCACACATCTGTAGTCCCAGCTACTTGGGAGGCTGAGTAGCCCAGCTACTTGGACTCAAGATCCCTTAAGCCCAGGCAGTTGAAGCTACAGTGAGCCATGATCACACCACTGCATTCCAGCCTGGGTGACAGAGCGAAGCCCTGTCTCTTAAAAAAAAAAAAAAAAAAAAGTTCTGCCATTTCAGAGTTAAACAAAAATCACTAACATTTGTCTTGGTCTGTGGGACATCCACAATGGACAGGAGCAGCAGCCTCGCTGTCCTCGGCCCTCAAGTGTCTCCCCTTACTCACTAGGAAGACCAGCAACAGCTCACTCTGGGACAACCCTGGACACACATTCAACCCTCTGCACAGACTATGACAGAAAGACCCTTATCCTCATTTAATGGGTGGAGAACTGGGTGCTGACTGAATGTTCAGGACTCCAGCTCTCAGCCTCTATTTTAGGATTCCTTTCTTCACCTGGTTCCACGTCTGCCTCCCCCAAAGAGCCTGTATTCTATTGTGCTGCATTGAGACCACTTCTCTATGATGGAAAACAGAGGTAGGCAGCTAGGGTGGAGCGAACAGACCACAGGACTTAGCATCCAAAGGCCTGGCTCATGGTCTATAGGCCGCCCTTTGGACATAGGTAAATCATCATCTTAGTCTCCATGTCTTAATTTATGAAATGGGCAAAACCATACCCCACTGAGCCAAATAACATGATGCATGTATATGAGAAACCACTCCACGAATGTAACATGATGCACGTATATGGGAAACCACTCCATGAATGTAACATAATGCATGGAAATTGAAAACACTCCACAAATGTAAGGTCGCCAAGTCCTTGGCAGGGAGTGAAACAGGAAAATTGGGTAGCATGAAGTTTCTCATCAAACATTTACTGAACCCTCATAAAATCCCAGGCTGGAAACTGCAATGCTTCCAGGCTTCAGAGAAGGGCTTAGGCAGAGACATTGACAGCAGTGCTGCTCACAGCAGGTCCGGGGGCCAGCAGCACCATCACAGTGCCTGCAAGAAAGAAAAATGCATGGGCCTCGCTCCAGACCTGCTATATTAGATTCTCTAGGGGTGAGGCTCTGGAATCTGCACGCTAACAAGGCCTCCAGGTGATCCTCATCGTTCCCAGGCACCACAGCCTAGCGCACTTTGGTTAGTCACAATCACTGCCTTAAACCCAATGTTATCAAGTAGATTGATCTAATACAGAGGCAAACTTGACCCAGGGTGAGGGTGAAATGTCAATAGGCCTACAACCAGGGCAGCTGGGGTTCCCTCGTGGTGAGAAGCTGAGCCGGGTTTGGCTTGGAACAGCAGTGGGGAGGAATTAGTGAGGCGCCTGGCAGGAGAGGTATCCATCAGTGGGGTCTCGACTGCACTGGCAGCTGCCTCTGGCCCCCCAGCTGATGACACGTGGCTAAGTGTTGTTGCAAGAATTAAGCGAGATAATATATATAAAGCACGTGGTAAGTATTCAATTAGCTACTGTCATCATCATCATTATTCTCGCCGTGGCCTCCACACCTCCAGCTTGGGCCGTGTCCATGCATATCAGTATGAGTCAACTCTTTTACCCTTCATGTGTGCCCATGTTGAGAAAGAGGTCAGGAAAGGGCATTTGCATGTTTTAAAACAGGCCCTTTGATCATTCGTAGAAACGCCTATAGTCAATAGGGAACCTCAGAGGGAAATTGGGGTCCTGTTTTGTGCCCTCCAGGCCTCTGCTAACATTGACCCCTTCATCAAAGAGATCGTGGTAAACCAACTGCAAACCAAATGAAACTGGTTTCTGAGATGAGAAGTGATTCAGAGTGTATAGCAGCTCATTAAAAAAAAAAAAAGGCATTTGCTAATGAGTGCGGCAAATGCCTGTAAATGAGACAGACCTGCTCCATTATGACGGTCTCAGAGTTGTGCAAACCTAATTTTGCAGCAGCAAGGAGAGAATAAAAACGTCTAGAGCTGGTCATCCCCCGCTCAGAGACAGGATAATCTTGGGAAACATTTTACGGTGTATCGCTTGAAGAAAAGTGCATTAGTCTTTCCTGGAAAAACATTTGGTTGACCTTGAAAATAAAAGCATTCATGAGAAGTATGAGCAGAAGTTTTCATTATTCCTTAAGCCCTTGATTCAGAGAGACAAAAAATTCCACCCTCCACTGCAGCCCCACAATGCCAAGTTGCCAAGCAACGGATCTTTTATGGTGAATCGCCACGGAGACTGATGTAAACAAAATCATAAATCCCATTACCCTGCTAAATACTAGGTCTGGGTTAGAAAGGGAGCAAAAGAGCTGCTTTTCAGGTTAAAAGAGATCATATGAAACGGTGAGTGGCAAGATCTTAGTCAGAGTAAATTGTCATGGGTGAGACTGTAATTAATGTCGCGCTTTTATTCTTTCAATGGCCAACAGCCCCCAGTTTTCTTGTATCAAGGAAAGCAGTCATCGTTGGAAGAGTCATTTCCAGCTAAAAACTTACCTCCAGTACCCCCCAGGCCCAGGCCCGCCATGGAAGGAGCAGTTCCTTGTGGTTCTTCCCTGCACTTCCCAACTGGACTTTGGCCAGGGCCCACCCAGAGCCAGGGTATGGTCATTCAGAAAACAGCTCCAAGAAGGAGACCCTCGGGAACAACATTTTGTACTTTATTCCCCCTTTCAGACAAAGGGAAAGAAAAGGGACATTCATGGAGCCCGTCTCTATGGCAGACTGTGGCAGATGACCCAGTTGTGGTACCTCATTTCATTCTCGCACAGTTCCAGGAGCTCCAGGCTACCATTCCCATCAAACAGACAGAAAGCTGGAGGCCTGAGGATGAAGACATCTTTTCTAAGGTCACACAGTTAACTAGCAGAAAAAGGGAGATTCCACCTTCAAAGTTGAATTACAGACTCAACGTGGCCCCCACTGAGTTGGACCTCAGGCCTTCTGCGGGTAAAAGCCTCTGCCTCAAAGTGAGCAACAAATCCCACGTTGGGACATTGACCCCTGCAGAGGGAACAGCTCACGTTGTGGCTCCCGTAATAATGACACAGGGCCTCTTCAGTGGTGTGCCAGGAGTGTTTAACAACCAGCTCTCTGGAGCGAGGGGATGAGTTCTGGTTTCTGTGATGCGAATATTTCTCCCTGGCCAATTTCAAGCTATCAGCAAGAGAACATTGGCCCTCCTGAGCTGCACAAGTCAGCTCCAACACACGCTAACCAGCATTCTTAGTGCTACCCTGGCCAGCCCCAGACCCGTCAAACCTGAATTCCTAGGGGTGGGGCCCAAATCTTGGTATTCTTTAAAGAGGAGAGCCAAGGGTTGAGAACTGCTGGGCTCAAAGCTTCATGTTCAGGGGCCAGTTGGCCTTTTGGGTTTTGTCCTGGTGAGAAAATACTAGGCTCCGGAATTAAGTGCTGACCGTCAGATCTGCATTGGAAAGATACTTCTGTTCTTTCCTGAGTATGGCCTGCCACCAAATCTCAAGCCCCGGCCACCACAGCCACATGCCAGCCATTTATTCCAGGCATTTTGCACACATTCAGTCACCTCTGCCCCAGACATAGTGCCCAGTAATTCCTGCACAGGGTCACAAACCCAAACATCCACAGGGAAGACAATAAAGGGATGTTCCCAAGCCAGTTTCCACAGGACAACTGCAGTGTGATGGGAACTCTGGAGGCTGTGCAGAATACCCCTCAGAGTCACCCCAGCCACGAGGCAAAACACTAGGTTCTCATCCAATACCTTGTCTGTCATTGGTGAGAGATGCTTCTGGGACATTAACTTTATGGCACTTTTGGCTGGCCCCGAGCTCAGGCCAAGCACCTTCCAAGATGAGAAAAAGTTCTCACATGTCTTAAAGAACTAAAAATAGAACTACCATTCAACCCAGCAATCCCCCTACAGGTATTGGAAACCAAAGGAAAAGAGATCATTATATTAAAAAGACACCTGCACGCATATGTTTATTGCAGCACCATTCCCAATAGCAAAGCCACGGAACCAACCTAAATGTTCACCAGTGGCGGATTAGATAAAGAAAATGTGGGCCGGGCGTGGTGGCTCCCGCCTGTAATCCCAGCACTTTGGGAGGCCGAGACAGGCAGATCATGAGGTCAGGAGATCGAGACCATCCTGGCTAACACGGTGAAACCCTGTCTCTACTAAAAATACAAAAACTTAGTCAGGCATGTTGGCGGGTGCCTGTAGTCCCAGCTACTCAGGAGGCTGAGGCAGGAGAATGGCGTGAACCCGGGAGGCAGAGCTCGCAGCGAGCTGAGATCGCGCCACTGCACTCCAGCCTGGGCTACAGAGCAAGACTCCGTCTCAAAAAAAAAAAGAAAATGTGGTACATATACACCATGGGATACTATGCAGCCATAAAAAAGAATGAAATCATGTCCTTTTCAGCAACATGGATGGAACTGGAAGCCATTATCCTAAGGGAAATAACTCAGAAGCAGAAAATCAACCACTGTCTGTTCTCACTTAGAAGTGGGGGCTAACCAGTGGGGGCACTTGGACAGAAAGATGGAAATAATAGACACTGGGGACCCCCAAAGAGGGGAGGGTGGGGAGGGGAAAAGGATTGGAAAACTACAATTGGGTACCATCTTCACTACTTGAGTGATGGGTACACCAGAAGCCCAATCCCCACCATGATAAAATACACCCATGAAACAAGCACAGGTACACCCTGAATCTAAAATTAAACATGTTTAAAAAGCAAAGGCTTTCAGGGGTGTTTGCAATAAGCAGCCTCTGGGGCACACGTGAATGTCAAGGAGGTGTGGGCAGGGCACAGGCAGCACCTGCTACACACAGGAACCAAAACACTAGTGCCAAAGCCAGGATGCTAGGTAAGCAGCTCACTGCAGGGCACGGGGAGCAAGAAGACTGCACAGCGAGTCATAGGCAGCGCAAGATGGGGAACTGGGAGACAGCACATAGCTGAAGAGAGAAGAGCAGAGAGCGGGGGCATGACACAACACCTCCCGTGGCCACGGATGCCAGGAGCTCCGCTGCTGATTTCTGCCCCTGCCCTTCTCTGGCCTCCTAGGTGGGCTTCTAAGTGGGCCCAGGACTCAGCATCTGAGAGAAGAGTCCTACAAAATGCAAGACTAAGGCAACATTGTCAGGCATCAAAGGTGTCTTCAGGGCCTCTCTTGATGCTTGCTTCTCTCCCTTTGGAAACTCTGAGTTGTGACCCCTGTGCTCAGTCACCTCCAGCTGAGGCAGGGGCCAGGATGATCCAAGGGAACCACAAATTGTGTAGGAAGCAATAGGCAACCTGGGAGAAGGTAAGTGCCTGTGTTAGTCCAGGTCTGAGGATCACATGCGAAGACAGGATGAAACATGCAAGGGTTGTATCAGCGGAAATGCCTGGATGGAGACTAGGTGGAGAACTGGAGGAAGCTGGGGGAGTTGGCAATGCAGGGCTGACCCACAGAGAAGGAGAGAAGGAAGGAGGGTGGGGTGGAATCGTCCTAGACTGCCATGCAGTGGAGGGAGGCACTACAAGGCTCTGGGGACTCCTGGAGCCAAAGGCAGTTCTCAGAGCAGCTTGTTATCTGTCAGGTGGTAGCTGGGAGCGGCCTTCAGAAAGCGTGACCTTGGCACACACACTGCCATCCATTGATCCATTTCAGATCCCAGCAGAGGATGTCGTTGGTCAATCACACTCACCCCTCTCCCCACTAGAGAATGCTCAGAAATATTGGAAGGGCACTGGATTTCCCACAAGTCGTGGAGGGTAAGGGCTCAAGTTATTTTAATTCAGAGTTAAAGAAGAAAGGATAATACAGTGTATGAAGGATTATTATCTCTAGGCTGTAAGGCAAGTAATGATCTTTCCTTAACCTTTCTTATATTTACGAATCCCTTCGTAGTAAGCACTCGTTGCCTTTGTAACTGGTGGTAGGAGGTATGGTAACTACTATAGATGCCCACTCGATCCCATTTACCAGGACATGTCCTCCAGCTCCCAGTCCCCTTCCCGCTGCTGAGAGCTCAGAGCCTGCTCTCTGCGCCCTGAGTGGGAGCCCCTCTGCCCTGGCATTTCCTCCAGCCCCTACCTCCCCTGGTAGGGGGAAGGGGGCCCCCTGCCTCAAGGTGGGACCAGCGCTGTGTGCAATCCAACCTCAGTGGCCACACCCTTGCTTGCTCCTTCCCCTGCCCAATCCTGCAAAAAATCCCTTGCACCAGAATCCTTGGTTTGGGCTCTGCTTCTAGGAAACCCAACCTAGGCTGGGGTATTTTTTTCAAAATCTTGTGTAGACTCCATTGGGGGATTATTCTCGGGTCTGTAGCCCTTGGTCTGCTGTACAATTTATTTGTGCTGTGAAGCAACTGCTTTAATTTTCAACTTCCCATGCTTCTTGAAATAAAAGATGACTTTATTTCAGGAGTGGCAAATTCAAATTCTCCTGAGGCAAAGGCAGTTAACACCAGTATATAAGGCCAGCCTGGTGGGGACCGAGGTGAGTGGGAAGCAATGGCCTCATCTGAAAGGGGCGTCATTGGCTGCTGCCACACAGGAGTGTGGACTGCAATCACCAGGTCTCCTGGACATCTAGGACATTCCAAAGTTTCAGGTATTTATGTGAAATTCCTGATGTTTAAGCGTTGGCTCAGATTTTTCAAAAAGCTCTGCATGGGCCAAACAAAACACGTCTGTGACTCAATTTGGCCCATGGGTTGTCATTTCAAGTCATTTGTTTTCTGGAACAAGTTGGGAAAAAGAAAAAAATCCCCTTCAGCACTGACTCCCACATGCACGCTGATGAAGGGGACATTCCTTTGCCACTGTCTCCTTTTCTTATCCCAAACCTGATTCTAAACCCCTGACAAGTAACCAACACGACCCTGATCCACACAAGGGGAATTCAAAAAATAAACTCCATCTACACTTTCGAGGTGGACTTTGGGTGATCTGTTGGCCTCCAGAAAATGTGCTGGTTTTTTTTGTTGTTGTTTTTTTGTTTTTGTTTTTGTTTTGAGACGGAGTCTCCCTGTCGCCCAGGCTGGAGTGCAGTGGCTCGATCTCGGCTCACTGTAGGCTCCGCCCCCGGGGGTTCACGCCATTCTCCTGCCTCAGCCTTCCGCGCAGCTGAGACTACAGGCGCCCGCCACCTCGCCCAGCTAATTTTTTGTATTTTTAGTAGAGACGGGGTTTCACCGTGTTAGCCAGGATGGTCTCGATCTCCTGACCTCGTGATCCCCCCGCCTCGGCCTCCCAAAGTGCTGGGATTACAGGCGTGAGCCACCGCGCCCGGCCAAAATGTGCTGTTTTTTAAACGCACTGCATGTCTCCCCACCTCCAATGAAATGGCTCTAGGCTGTTCTTGTGGTCTTGGAGGACTGGCTCTGCACCCAGCTGGCGGTAGTAGCCTTTGCCTCCCGTGGTGCTTGGAGAGTGAAGTGGGTGGTGCACAGGAAGGGCTGAGCCCAGGGCCCGGCCTGCGGTGAGTGCTGAGAGGACGCCAGCCTTGGTGCTGCTGGCAGCGGTGGGCAGGGCTGGACTCAAGCCCTGGCCAGGCTGCCGTTCTCCAGCTGAACCAAATAGGTTCACAGCAGCAGAGGGGTAAAGGCATGAACAAGGATACTCCTGCCCTGGGCAATCCTGCCCTTTTGTTCATTTCACACGTGTTCCTGGAGCATCTTCCTCACTGAGAACATGATTTTTCATGGAAGACCTGAAAGAAGAAGAGCGTGGACCTCCCTGACCCTTTGGGGAAGGAAGGGCATTCCAGACAGCAGGAGCAGCAAGTGGAGAGACCCAGGCGAGAGCAAGCTTGGCAGGCTCTGACAGCTCCCCGACAACAAGGAGGAGACCAGGGAGTGAGGGGAGGTCAGAGAGGTAAGAAGTATCCTGGTTCACGCCTTACCCCCTGCTGGTCTGAATCTATTTGGTTCAGCTGGAGAACGGCAGCCTGGCTGGTGCTTGAGTCCAGCCCTGCCCAACCTGGGCGACAGAGCGGGGACTCTGTCTCAAAAAAGAAAAAAAAGTAGAAGAAGTCAACATGACTCCATGGCTTTTGGCCTGAGCAATTGAAAGGATGGAGTTTCTATTCATTTAGATGGAAAGGGGAAGAAATTATTAGGGAGGGTGAATATCAGTTCAATTTCAGACGTTCAGCAGGTGGTACCCATTATACATCTCAAGATATTATACATATTCAGTTGTGTTATACATATCAATATATAGAGTAATATAAGATTACGTATCTTACATACATAATTATAAAAATATTATATATACAACGTATATTATACATGTGTAACATCTGAGTTATACACTACAACTGAAATCCTCCAGTTGACCATTAGATGTAAGAGATTGGAATTCAAGGGAATCCTTGGCCGGAGATAGATGTATTAATATTTTTCAACTCATCAGGATCAAGACGGGATCTACAGCCATGGGACTGAATGGAATCCCCTGGAGAGTAAATGCAGAAAGAAAACTAAAGGTCCAAGAACAGAGGCCAAGCCCACTGTCACTGTCACAGGGTGGCTTCAGGCGATCATTCAAATACAGGTTTACAAAAGAAGTGATCCTTCCTAAAAAACCCACAGCCAAAGAGTCAGAAGGACCACTCAAGGAGGCAGCCCCTGCCCCCCCCCCGACACACACTCAAGCCATTCACTTACCTCCCAGAAAGCAGAATCTTGAGAAATTTCATCCTGAAGAACACACGTACAATGTTCCTTTTTTCTGTCACCATTTATTTCATGATTTTACCTCAGCCGTGAACTTCACAGTCCTGTTCGTGACTGTTACATTTCACTTCCTCCCCTCTGGGCCAAGCAGACATTCCTGGGTGGCCACTGTTCAGCCTTAGAAGGTATTCATCAATTTTATATGATCACATTTCAGCATTTGAGGTTCTGCAAGAAGAGTTCTGTTGTTGACACCATTGGGTCAACTGGAGACTCCACAGAGTTGCCACAGAGCTGCAGTATGGAGCATTGGTTTCTTTCTTGAGTTGTGCTAACAAAATTAAAGATACGAATTTAACTGGTCTCGAATGGACTGTATGAGTTAGCACTTGCCACAATACTACTGCAAAACAAAACACCTCACAATCAGTGTCTGCAACAATAAACATGTATTTCCAACTCTCACATGTGCAGTTGGCTGGGGTTTGGCTCCTCTTGGTGGGGTTTTGTGCTGGGCTTGACTCTAGACTGCAGGTTTGGTTTGGGTTTGCTTCTCATATTTCGTTTTCTCCTGGGATGAACAGGCTACCCGGGACATGTTTTCATGGTGGTGATAGGAGCCAAAGAGGCAGACCCAATCACACAAGAACATTTCTGATTGTTGCTTGCATCACATTCACTAGCATCACCATTGGCCAGAGCAAATCACATGGCCAAACCCAACATCGTGGAGGCAGGAAAATATTCTCCACCTCTGCTCAGAAGGGAAAGGATATAAAGACAGGGAGGGTTGAAAAGAATCAGGAACAGTTCTGCAATCCACCATGTAGACTTTTCTTTGCCTCTACTCTGTGTACCCATGCCACATAGCAGCAGACATTTCCCAGTCAAACCTATGCATGCATCCATATGTTTTGTAAGTCAGTCGTAACAAGACAGAGTACAGCCTGGAACTCTGTTCTTTGGGGGCAGAGCTTTTGCCATGAACCTGACTTGCTAAAGCAATGAAAACGTTTGTGGGATTGAAGAGAGAATAATGTTTCCAGAGGGGCAAGCTAGGCCAGAGATGCAGACGACTTTCAAAGGGAAGAGTTGGATTTCTGCAGTGTGCTGTGGAGTGGGCTGAGACATGTGAAGTAGGAAAACCACTCAAGGGATTTTTTTCTTGTTATTAATACAATTTTTCTCACCCAGGTTTTACAAATAGAGGGAGTAATGAAATTGGCTCTGGACAATTCACACCCAAGTGTTTTGCTGATTTGACCCTCTAACCACAGGATTAGCAAGACCCATTTACCCTGGCTAGTTCTGCAAATTCTTCCGGTTTCATAATTCAATCCAAGATAATAGTAAATGGAATGAGAGGTTGCTCATAGGAGAGCCAAATGCAGGAGAAACAAAAATCAGGGGAACCAAAGACTTAAATTTTATGTATGTCTTGAATCGGTTTGGCAGGGAACCAACCAGAAAAAAATCTCATTCCCTGTTAGCTGCCTATTTCCAAATCACAAAAGCCTTGTGGGGTCTGGCCTAGCTCTGCAGCTTCTTCTCATAAAAGGCCCAGACTAAAGGAAAGCCCACTGCAAAATGCAAGTTCCCAACAGAGCTATGCAGGGAAATTATTTGGTGGCTTCCTGAACCCAAGGGTGTCCTTCAGCCTTCTGATAAGTCTCCCAGAAACCCACCAGCCAAGAACTCAGAGGAAACCATCCTTCACATCAAGGTCTCCTGTCCAGTGTAACAAGAGCATGTGCTTTGGCGATATCTGGTTCAAATGCTGTAATTGCTACTAACTAACTGTAGGACCTTGGGCACATTACTTAACTTCTCTGAGCCCCAGTTTTCTCATCTATACAATGTAGAAAACAATGACACTTGCCTGGCCCTTCCTAAGGGCTCAGGAAGTGGAAGTTATTATTACTAGGCAGTGCTAAGGAAGCTTTGTGTAGCTACAGGTTCTACCATCCAACAATTCCTCTAATTCCAATCCCCCCTGCTTAGTGGAACTAAAAATAACAAAATATCTTTCATCTTCATAAGTACCAAAGACATGCTAGTGATCCATCCAGTCTCCCCGCAAACCTAACAAAATCCATCCAAAGAAAATAGCCCCGGCTGAGCATGGTGGCTCACACCTGTAATCTCAGCATTTTGGGAGGCCAAGGCAGGAGGATTGCTTGAACCCAGGAGTTAGAGCCCAGCCTGGGCAACATAGCAAGACTCCATTTTTTAAAAGAAAGGAAAAAAAAGCAGGCTGGAGACTGGCAGAAGCAGCCCACCTACAGCCAGGTAGGCCAGGAGCCCCAGCGTCAAGCCAGACATCAGTGGACCTGATCAAGAGGGCCCCTGCGCTGGAGCTCCCACACGCTTCAAAGAACGCCTATGGCCCTTCTCTGGCCACTGTGATCCCCCCACCATGAAGCAAGAAATCTGCTAGTTTAGGATGGGCCCACCAGGAGCCCAGATCCTCTTTTGGAGGCCACGCTCTAGGGTCCTGGGGCCCCAGGTTTCCCTGCCCATAGAGCCCCAAGCCTGCTTCCAGCACTTGTGGGGCCTCTTTCCCTGGTCCTCCGTCCCATGATGGACTGTGCTTCTAGGGCATAAACTTTCAAGTCCAAGAAGTGGCCAACAGTAGATGTTTGCAAGGTACGCAGAAGGAGCTCAGAGGTGCAGGCTGCGGTGTGCACATGCATACATTTGAAGCCCTTTACAGTGTGGAGCAAAGCCGGGGTGTGAAGCCAGACAGGGTTTGCTTTGAGGGCTGAGGGATGGTTCTCCCCACTTAGGAAACTCCCAGGAATTCAGGAAATCCAAATTCAAATCTAGCTTTTCAGTTCATTAAGAAGGATATCTGCCAAGATGACAGGATAAGGTAGTCATTTAACAATTAGTTTGCTTTATTTATAAACTGTAAATATTTAGACATATGGCAGGTAGAGCTCCATATGTACTCTTGCTTTGAGCCTGCAAAAGTTAGGGGTGAGTCTGTCACCTAGCAAACCCCAGAAACAGCATATATTGATGGGATTCTGACACTGATCCCGTTAATTCAATTCAGTCTCGGCTACAGAGGCCACAGCTAGCTCATCCAAACCCCAAACACCTCTGCGATCCCCAGGGACCCTGGGAGCAGCTGCCAGTACTGTCCTTTGGCTCACGGTGACTGCTGATACCAAAGGGCCCAAGATGGCCTCAGAGTTCCAGAATCCCTGGGCCTGTGCTCTGCCCTACAGACCTGGGCCCCATCAGGAGATGGTGGCAGGTTTATTTTCCAGAACTGGCCTCGCACAATTACCCTTGCCATACACTCTTCCAGAACCTTGCCCCTCCCCTATCAAGAGGTGGAGTCCATACCCCCTCCCCTTGAACCTGAGCAGAATTGTGTGACTTCCCTGGCTGGTGGCCTAGGTGGAAAATGCCACGTGACTTCCACTAGATCATACACGGCAACAGCATTGGCTCAGTCCTCCTGGGATATGTCTCTTGGGAGCCCTAAGCCACGGAGTAGGAAGTCCCACTGCTCTGAAATTAACATGGCTAGAGGGACCATGTAGATATAGGGATGTCGGTGGCAAAAACCTGTCCTTACAGAATTGCTGCACGACCCAAGACAGGGCCGCCAAGGTGGAGGCCAGCACCAAAATGAAACAACCCAAAGTCAATTTCTATATTTACAGAGACTAATTTAAAAGATTGGCTCTGAAATGATTGTTCCAAAACTGCTCGGTGGAAGCCGGTTCCACATGCGAGAGGGTGAGGCAGAGTCTATGGGAAGGATCTGTTCCCGCTGCTGCCTGTGGCTACTGATCATCCTGATGGCCTATTGCCTAGTAACAGGCAGCGCTCTCCGTGAATCCGGCCCAAAGGCCCCGCTTGGCCCCCGCGCTGGTCTGAGTGGGCTCCCAGGTCACGCAGCCTCAGTGGATCTCTCCAGCAAGCGAATACTACCACACCTTGGCCCCAGGCCAGGCCCAGGTCAGGGGCCTCGCACAAGGGCTGGCCTGCTGAGTCCTGGAGCATCTGCGGCTTGGTCATGCAAGTGTGAGGGCCAATCATGCACAAAGGGGCCCTGGATCAAAGCCCTGGCCCACCCTAGACTTAAGGGAGGCTCAGCAGGAACTACATATATGAAAATACTGGCCAGAGCTTTCAACACTCACAAGTCAAGCATGTATTGGTCATAGCCCTTTGGGGAAAATTTTTTTTTAATTTATATCTTGTTTTTTTTTTATGCCTCTTTTCATAGGGCACGTCAGTTCAACCATCACCCATGCAATTCAGGCTAGGAGTTTTGTGGTCTCAGGCACAAATCACACAAATCACAAAGCAAGTGCCCACCGGGGCATTGTCAGAGATGTGGATACCTGCAGCAGGCTGGAAGGGGTGATAATGAATCGGATCCCAGGCCCCTGCTCAAAACGGCATGGCCAGCTGTTTGCAGCCTAGTAGGAATGTCAGCCAGTTTTGCCAGGTCTTCACTTTTTTGCCCCGAGAAACAAGAAATGTATATTTTGTCCTATTTTTTAAAATATTGGCAACCAAGGAGAAATGATGGGTGCCACACCCACAACCCCAGGGCCTTACAACTGCAGTGTGTACAAGCTGACTTTCAGCTGCCAGGCATTGCATCTCTGGACCTGGGGGCTTTTTGAAAGCATTGGAAGGCCTCTGGGCCTGAACACAGAGGCTGGAATTGTCAGAGCATTAACTCCTCCCAGGAGCATCCTTCTGGGACTGATAGGACTTGGTGTATACACGCTCCAGCTCCCTCGCCCCAGGCTGGGAGAACCCTGGGAGCCTTGTGTCCTGCAGTGCTCCTCAGCCTTTCCACCAGGAGGAAGCACCGTTGCTAACAAGTTTCATCATCAGTCCTTAACTGCTGGCTGTCCCTTCCCTCTCTCACAGCCCCACTCCCCACGAGCATTCCCTGAGACCAGCCCCATAGAAGCTGTGTGCCCTGGACTCCCTATCTCACACACCAATTCTAAAATGTTTAAATGCATAGAACCATGGTATAGGGATGTCCATGCTGCATACTGTTTTTGTTTTTTTTTTTTTTGAGACGGAGTCTCGCTCTGTCCCCCAGGCTGGAGTGCAGTGGCTCGATCTCAGCTTGCTGCATGCTCTGTCTCCCGGGCTCATGCCATTCTCCTGTCTCAGCCTCCGGAGTAGCTGGGACTACAGGCGCCCGCCACCACGCCCGGAGAATTTTTTGTATTTTTAGTGGAGACGGGGTTTCACCGTGTTAGCCAGGATGGTCTCAATCTCATGACCTCGTGATCCACCCGCCTCGGCCTCCCATAGTGTTGGGATTACAGTCGTGAGCCACCACGCCCAGCCTGCTGTATACTTTTTAAGAGCACTTGGGAGGGTTTACAAGGAGGCTAAAATCCAGCTGAGTGTCTGTTCTCCCCACAAATCCTTCCCCTCAGCGGTGGGCTCAGTGAGCGGGAAATGGGCCAGAAGACAGGCACCCTTCTGGAATTCACACAGCGATGCTGGGTGGGCTGCCAGAGCCTTAAAAACAACCTGAAGCTGGAGGTGGCCCCAGTCACCAGCCTGCACCTTCCGACTTAGGGGACAGCAGAGTCCACTCACAGGGAGGTGGCCCCGGTCACCAGCCCGCACCTTCCGACTTAGAGGACAGCAGAGTCCACTCACGGGGAGGTGGCCCCAGTCACCAGCCTGCACCTTCCCACTTAGGGGACAGCAGAGTCCACTTACGGGGAGGTGGCCCCAGTCGCCAGCCTGCAACTTCTGACTTAGGGGACAGCAGAGTCTGCTCAAGGGGAGGTGGCCCCAGTCACCAGCCCACAGCTTCCGACTTAGGGGACAGTAGAATCCACTCAAGGGGAGGTGGCTCCAGTCACCAGCCCTCACCTTCTGACTTAGAGGACAGCAGAGTCCACTCATGGGGAGGTGGCCCCAGTCACCAGCTCGCAGCTTCCAACTTAGGGAACAGCAGAGTCCACTCAAGGGGAGGTGGCCCCAGTCACCAGCCTGCACCTTCTGACTTAGGGGACAGCAGAGTCCGCTCATGGGGAGGTGGCCTCAGTCACCAGCCCACAGCTTCTGACATAGGAGACAGCAGAGTCCACTCAAGGGGAGGTGGCCCCAGGCACCAGCCTGCACCTTCCAACTTAGGGGACAACAGAGTCCGGTCATGGGGAGGTGGTGCCAGTCACCAGCCTGCACCTTCCGACTTAGGGGACAGCAGAGTCCACTCAAGGGGAGGTGGCCCCAGTCACCAGCCCGCACCTTCTGACTGAGGGGACAGCAGAGTCCACTCCCACCAGGCCCAGCTTACGTCACCACAGCCCGTCCTGCCTTCTGCCTCCCTGGCCAGGCACCTTCCAGAGTTATCTTATTTTGTTCACTATCTCCTACCAAAATTTCATCTGAGGAAAGTAGCACATCAGTTTTTTATACTTAGTTTTATAGGATAGACCATAGCTAAAAGTAATGTCCGGCTGAAGCGTATTTATGTTTTTCTGAAATAAAAAACTCAACAAAAATATCCCTGTATTCATTCATACATCAAATATGTGTTCAGTCCCAGCCACTGCTCTTCCTGCTGGGGAAGACACAAGCAAACAAAACACATAAGGACCCCTGGTCCCTGCACTCGCACTCCAGGTAGTAGAGACAGCCAAGGAGCAACAGACATAATTTATTTGAAGCAGCTTCACTGAGATATAATTCATGTACCAGGAAATTCACCCATTAAAAGTGTACATTTACCTGGCTTCTATGATATACAGAGTTGTGCAATCATCACTTTCATCACTCCAAGAAGAAACCACACATGCATCGGCAGTCACTCCCCCATCCCAGCCCCTCTCACCTCACCTCTGCCAGACACTAATCTACTTTCTGTCTCTATGAATTTGCCTAGGCCGAACATTTCCTATAAGTGGAATCACACAATAAATACGTGGTCTTTTGTGTCTGGCTTCTTTCACTTAGCATCGTGCCATCAAGGTTCATCCACGTGTGGCACTGATCCTTCACTCTTTGCTATTGCCAAATAATACCCCACGGTATGAATATACCACATTTTATCTATTTATTTCTCAACGGATGAGCATTTAGGTTGTCTACCCCTTTTTGCTGTTGTGAAGAGTGCTGCCATGAACATTCATGAACAAGTATTTGTTTTCAATCTTTTCTGGGTGTATACCTAGGTGTGGAATTGCTGGGTCATATTATGATCCTATGCTTAACTTTTTAAGGAACCACCAAACATTTCTGCAGTGACTGTGCCATTTTACATTCTCATCAGCAATATACGAGGCTTCCCATTTCTCCACATTCTCAGCAACACTTGTTATTTTTCTTTTTTAAAATTTATTAGAGCCAGCCAGGCACAGTGGCTCACTCCTATAATCTCAGCACTTTAGGAGGCCAAGATGGAAGGATAACGTGGGTCCAGGAGTTGGAGACCAGCCTCAGCAACATGGCAAGACTTCATCTCTAGAAAAACACAAAAATTAGCTGGGTGTGATAGCATGTGTCTGTAGTCCCAGCTACTCTGGAGGCTGAGGTGGGAAGATCACTTGAGCCTTAGAGGCAGAGGTTGCAGTGAGCCAAGATCTCACCACTGCACTCCAGCCTGGATGACAGAGCGAGACCCTGTCTCAAAGAAAAACAAACAACAAAAATTTCTTAGAGCCATGCTGGTGGGTATGAAATGATATCTCTTTGGGATTTTAAATTTGCATTTCGCTAATGACTAATGATGTGAAGCATTTTTTCATGTGCTTGTTGAGTATTTATATACCTTCTTTGGAAAAACGGCTATTCAAGTCTTTCACCCATTTTTAAATTGTATTGTTTGCCTTTTTGTTGTTGCATTGTAACAGTTCTTTACATATTCTGGATATTAAATCCTCACCAAACATGATTTGAAAATATTTCCTCTCATCCTGTGGATTGTTTTTGTTTTTTTGTTTTGTTTTGTTTTGTTTGCTTTCTCAATGGTAACATTTGCAGCACAAAAGTTTTTCAATTTTGGTGAATTCATCTATATTTTCTTTTGCCATTTGTGCTTTTGGTGTTATATATAAGAAAGCTTTGCCTAAATCAAGTTCATGAAGAGTTACTGTTATGTTTTTTCCTAAGAGCTTTACAGTTTTAGCTCTTACATTGAGGCCTATAATGCATTTTAAGTTCATTTTCATATATGATGCCAGGTAGGGATCTAATTTCATTCTTTTGCATGTGGATATCCAGTTTTCCCAACACCAAAGCTTAATTTTCATCATTGAATTGTTTTGGCACCCTTGTGGAAAATCAATTGAACGTAAATGTAAGGATTTATTTCTGGACTTTCAGTTCTGTTTTATTGATTAATATGTCTAGCCTAATATCACCAACACACTCTCTTGATTACTGTAGTTTTGGAAGCTTTGAAATTTGAAAGTGTGAGTCCTCCAACTTTGTTCTTTTTCAGACTTGTTTCGGCTAATCTGGGTCCTTTGAATTTCTATATGAATTTTACAATAAGCTTGCCTATTTCTGCGAAAAAAAAGAAAAAAGGCAGCTGGGATTCTGATAAGTGTTGTATTGAACCTGGAGATCACTTTGGGGAACATTGCCATCTTAACAATATTAAGCCTTCCAACACAGGAACGTGGGATATCCTTCCAGTTCACTTCTTTCAACAATGCTTTCTAGTTTTCAATGCACAAGTCATGCACTTCTTTTGTTAAATTTATTCTTAAATACTTTATCTTTTTGTGCAATTATGAATGAAATTGTTTTCTTAATTTCACTTTCGGATTGTTCAATACAATAATTTTTGTATATTGTTCTTGTATATCCTGAACCTTGCTAAACTCGTTTGCTAGTTTTAATAGTTCTTTAGGGGATTTCTTAGGATTTCCTATATATCATGTCATCTACAACTAGAGTTAGTTTTTTGTCTTTCTTTCCAATCTGGATGCCTTTTATTTCTTTTTGTTCACTTAACTGCCCTGGCAAACATAATTTTTAAAAAGTAAATTTTATAGTATGGTAGAAGATGATAAGTTCGGTGAAGAAAAGAAAAGGTGTATCCTGGTAAGGAGGGTTCGGAATACTGAGGGTTAGAGTTGTAGTTTTAATTTCTCCTCAATGAGGAGGTGACATTTGAAGAAAGACCTAAAGGAGGTGAAGGAGTTGAATGTGTTGAACATCCAGGTGGTTAGAGTAGCCAGGGCAAAGAGCCATGGTAAAAATGTGACAGGCAGGTTGTCCAGGAAGAGCCAGGTGTCACTGTGGCTGGAGCAGAGTAAACAAGGATATCCCACAGAGGGTCTTGGGATTGGAGGGTTCGGAACAAACGTGTGACCCAGCTTAGGTTTTGAAAGCATCACTGTGGCTTCCGTGCAGAGAACAGACTGAAGGCATGAAGGGAGCAGCCAGGACACAGCTGGGGGCTGCTGTGGCCATCACGGGGCCACATGATCATGGCTTGGAGCAGGATGGGATCCACGGAGGTGGTGAGAGCAGATTGAATTCTAGCCATATTTTAAAGACAGAGTTGACAGGATTTGTTGACAGGTAAGATGAAGAGTGCGAAAAGGAGGAGCTAAGATGAGTTCAAGATTTTTGGTCTGAGCAATTGAGAGGCTGATGTTGCCATCATCTCAAGCTGCAGGTTTTGAGACGAAGACTAGGCATTCACTTTGGGACATGTTTTATTTGAAATGTCTATTAGAAGCCCAAGTGGGGATCTCAGGTAGGGAATTTGATATGTGAATCTAGACTCAAGAGAGAAGCCTGGACTAGAAATGGAAAGGGAGACTGCCATCCAGGTGGCACTAGAGGCTGAGCAATGGAGTGTGGTTGCCAGGGGGGTGGTGTACACAGAGAAGACAGAAGGACCGAGGCCTGAGGTGTGGGTCCTTCCCATGTTGACAGGTGGAGGAAGAGAACAAACCAGGAAAGAGGCTGAAACAGAGCCACCAAGGAGGTAGGAGGAAACCCCACAAGCGTGCCATGACCTGAGACAAGTGAAGAGCTGTGTTAGGGAGGCAGGGATGATGCGCTGTGGCAAAGGAAGAGGAGGACTGACGATTCTCCACTGGTGAACAAACCAAGGCATGAGTTTGTCATTTCAGATACCACAATGTAGAGAGGTTTTTTTTTCCCACATTTCTTTTTGGTAGGGAGAAGCTCAGGTGGGCAGGGCTGGGGATGAAAAATGAGGGCCATCCAGAAGGGTGCTGCCAGAGATGGTGCCTGACTCTCTAGCAGGCATTTAGTATCTACTGCTGCATAACTAATACCCCAAAACTCAGTGGCTGGAAGCAACAGTTACGGTCTCACGGTTCCTACGGATCACAGGCCTGGGAGGGGCTCAGCTAGGTCCACTGCTTCCCAGTCTCTCCAGGCTGTGATCAAGGTGTCAGGGACAGCACTCTTTCCTCCAGACTTGCCCCAGGAAGGGTCTGTGCCCAGCTCATGCACATGGTTGCTGGCAGGACTCCGCTCCCCACTGGCTGCTAGCCAGAGGCCTCCTTAGTCTTTTGCCACATGGGCCTCTCCATCGTGCAGCTCAAAGCATGGCCTGCTTCTTCAGAATGAGCAAACAGGAGTGCCAGACATATCCTGCAAGGAATGGACAACCAAAGTCACGAGTGTTTTGTTATTTAGTCACAGAAGTGATATGCCAGCATTTTTGCCATATTCTATTAGCATTAGGTCGCCAGGTCCAGCCCATATCCAAGGGGAGGAATCACATAAAGGCCTGAACACCAAGAGGCAGGGTCACTGGGAGCCAGGACAGAAGCCGCCTCCCTGCCCAGCAGGTCCAGTGCGGTAAACGGGTTGAAAAGCAGAGGCATTTCACCAGTCTGCATTAATCATTAATCATGAAAAACAAGTTAGAAAACCTACTCAGGAAATGAACTCATTGATGAGATTTTTGACAAAACTTTTAAAATGTAAATCCTGGAGCCGGGTGCAGTGGCTCATGCCTGTAATCCCAGCACTTCAGGAGGCTGAGGCTACAGTGAGCTATGATTGCACCACTGCACTCCAGCCTGGGAGGCAGAGCAAGACTCTGTCTCTAAAAAAAATAAATAAAAGTAAAAAAGAAAGTGTAAATCTTGGCCTTAGTATGCAAAAAACCCACCTTATCAGAAAATCAGCTCTATTTTGCAATTGTTTTATTTAACTTAGAGCCTTGATGTTAGTTCTAAGCACCACAACTAAATGGAAAACCTGGAGTGCAGAGACTAAATCTTACAATATTCAGTGCCAGCACATTGCCTTGCTGAGAAATATGTGAATGACACATTTTCAATGTAATGATTCTTTTAAAAAAGTAGGGGGACACATTATGGAAGAGTTACGTTGTATCATCCCTGTGATTCAGGTTTTATAAGGTCAAATGTGGGCTCACTACTTATCAGCTGTGTGGTTTGGGGCAGGTCACTCAGCCTCTCTGTGTGTCCATTGTCACATATAAAATGCAAATATTCATGCCCACCCCTCAGATGGTTGTGTTGCTTAGATGGGATCCTGAGCACAGTCTTCAGGCATCTGGCCCGTCTTCCGTGCTCAGTGGGGGTAATCATTATTACTGCTATTTTTATAAAAATAAACATAGTGGCCGGGCATGGTGGCTCAGGCCTGGAATCCCAGCACTTTGGAAAGCCAAGGCAGTGGATCAAGAGGTCAAGAGATGGAGACCATCCTGGCGAACATGGTGAAACCTCGTCTCTACTGAAAATACAAAAATTAGCTGGGCGTGGTGGCACGCACCTGTAGTCCCAGCTATTCAGGAGGCTGAGGCAGGAGAATCACTTGAACCCAGGACTTGAACCCAGGTTGTAGTGAGCCAAGATCATGCCATTGCACTCCAGCCTGGCGACAGAGCAAGACTTGGTCTCAAAAATAAATAAATACATAAATAAATAAAAATAACAAAAATAAACATAGCAACTGAAGGAATTTGTGTGGAATGTGACGATTCAAAGAACTAATCCATGAAAGTAACTGTACAAAGTATCTGGCTCATACTATATGTTCAATAAATGGGAGTTACCACTACTACAGTGAATTTTATAGTGCACACTAGAATTCCTGAAGGAATTTGTGTGTGTGTATTCTCATTGACTCTGTTAAATCACATGAATTCTTCAAACAGTACTCAGGTCACCTCCTCCAGGGAGCCTTCTGGGTTCAGTGCCTAGAATGAAACTTTGACTGTCATTGACGTGGGGAAACAGAATGTGCTGTGCTCCATGCTCATGTGCCCCAGGCTGGGAGGCTCCATTCTCAGGCCTTTTCTTGGCATGTCCTATTTCTCCCATTTGGTTATGGCACCTGGAGAGTTGAGTTGTGTATCCTCCTTTTACGTGTCCCCAGGACCCACCAGTGTGCTGTGTACTCCATTCTGTTTCACCTGACATGCGTGCCATACAGCCCCAGACACTGCCCCACAATGGACAGCTGAAATAACTACAGACACCTAGCCAGGTGGTGACCAGCAAGGTGGGTGGAAGGCTACAGGAAGGGCCAGAGGTGAAGGAAGAGAAAAAAGCATGCAACTAGAAGGGCAATCACAATCTATTTGGATGCATTCAATCTTACAGAGAGCAGCAGGAGCCGTGGGTAACAACTGCTCCATGCCAAGGCCACCCACGAGGTTGTGCAGCCGGATGATGGAGAATCAGATGTGGCCAGTCAGGCCACTCCATGAGGTGGGGTCACTTCGTGGTGAGAGGAGAATTTGCAAATGAAGTTGGTTCAACACTGCGGAAGGGTCTTGAGTCAGGCAGCACAGGTCTATCAGGAATGGGTTCAGACAATTAACTTCTCTGAGCTTCTTGCTGTTATAACTAACACGTATGGAATGCTTCCTGTCTACCAAGCCCCTTTCTTAGCATTTGCATGTATTATTTAATGACACAATAACCCAAGAGGCAGGTACTATCATTGTAGGTATTTTACCAGTGAGGAAACTGAGGCACAGGGAGGTAAGAAACTTACCCTTGTTCAAAGAGCTCAAAAGTGGTACAGGCAGGATTTGAATCCGTAACACACACTCATTGAAGTCCTAACTTCACAAGGGTTATTTAAGAATTACATGAGACACTTTATGTAAGTAAAAGTGAAAAAAAAAAAAAAAGAGCAGAGCCTAGCAAATGGTCATCAGTGTTAGCTAAAATGCAAAAGAAAAGATATTGAGAAGAGTTGAGTGATTCAGTTTCAGTTGCTAACAAAGGAGTTTAGGGGCTCAGGGCTTGGCATTGCTCGCAAAGGAAACTTTCCACCTGACTCATTTGCTGCTAAATATGCAGCTTGAACAAGACCAATCTATGCAGGGAACACAGAACTTCTGTGTCAGGTAGTTGAAGGCCCTGAGAGAAGGCTCATGCATCCACTCAAATCCAGTTTCAGCTGGCATCGATTCCGTGCTTGCTGCCTGCCAGGGAACATGCAGGGTCGTCGTCCTCTGTCAACTCCTGCAATCCTCACCATACCTGTGCAGGAGTTGCCGTCATCCTCATGTGGCTGACAGCGAACCGGGGGCACAGAGAGTTTACTGTGGCCCATTCAGGATCTCACAGCTGATAGGTGATGGAGTCGATATGAGAACTCAGATCCACTTTCCCTAAAACAACTGCCACTACTTCTGTGCCCCAGATGTCTGTCTGGTCTCCAAGGCTTGGGCAACAGCACCCCCAATCAGGGCCTAAATTGCCTTATCCTAAGAGGCGGCCCACAAACTCAATTTGATCAAGACAAAATAAGTATGCTCGGGCTGAAGTTTCGGAAATAGCCACTTTGGAGCCTGATCACGGGAGCAAAGAGGAAGGGCGTTGGTGATTTCAGTGAGCTTGCTCTGCTCCAGGCTGGGACGGACATGCTGGAGAGGTCTGATGTCACAGTGCTGTTACGTCATACGATGCCAGGCCCCCGTAGGCACACTGTTCAGAAGACGAAGCCCAGGGCAGGAGCCAGAGGCTGCTCTGCAGAGGACCTCCACTCCTAGAGGGGCGGAAATAGCTTGCTCCAGGGCAGAGGGTGGATGCAGTGGGTCTTTTGAGGGGGTCTTAAAGCCACAGGGCCATTTGAGGAGATGGACCTTTCATGCGAAGGCAGTGAAAACTTCACACCCCATGAGAGCAGCCTCCCATGGACTGCTTTGGTGTGAGGTGGTCTCTGGGTGTGATGGTCTCAGTCTCAGCAGGGGTCCATGTAGCTCTCAGGAGCACATCCAAAGAGCCCAGGGTGGGGTTTCAATATTTGGAAACTGAGAGAAGCATCAGAGGCCAACAGCCCAATGCTGTTCTCTTCCTCTGGCATCAGTTCTATTTCCAGAACCCTCCTGGGTCCAGTGAGTGACCTCTAAACATCTCCTGAGGGACCAAGACCAGAAGGGCGAGTGTCTGGCAAAGGCCGCCAACCATCTCCAGAAGGCCTGGGCTGCCTCTTGTCACTTTCACACAGCACACAGGTTAACGCTCCTATTTCCTGGGTAGGCTTCTCTGAGGATAATGAGCACAGTATGAAACAGACCCCTTTGGGAGGCCAAATCCCAAAGGATCAAAGCGGGCAGATCACGAGGTCAGGAGATCAAGACCATCCTGGCTAACACAGTGAAACCCCGTCTCTACTAAAAATACAAAAAATTAGCTGAGCATAGTGGTGGGCGCCTGTAGTTCCAGCTACTCGGGAGGCTGAGGCAGGAGAATGGCATTAACCCGGGAGGCGGAGGTTGCAGTGAGCCGAGATCACACCACTGCACTCCAGCCTGGGCAACAGAGTGAGGCTCCATCTCAAAAAAAAAAAAAAAAAAAAAAAAAGACCCCTTCACCCACCCCTGCTCCTGATGATGCCTGGAGGGGAAGAGCAACAAAGCAACAGCCAGGACCCACCAGCTTCCAGGCTTCTTGCAGGAGGGCAGGTGTCCCACAAGTTTTCTTTCTTTTGCTCAGTTTGGAGACATTTTCCCAAAAATCATTCTGTCAGCCCAAGTTCAGCCACCAACTGGCAGAATCTGCAACACTACTTCTCTTGAACTTTAGAAATACAGCTTCCTAATTTTTTCCAGTTCCAAATATAAAACAAACCAAAAAAGTATTAAAATAATTTGGGCTTCAAAGACTTTCTCATTCTTAGTGGCCATAATGAAATTAATAAGAATCAGCCTCTCTTTTTAGTCTCTCTCTTTCTCTCTCTCCTCTTCCCTCTCTCTCTCCCTTCCTCCCACCACCTCTCATTTTTCTCCCCTCTTTAAGGAAAAGAAAATAAAGCGAAGAGAACACAGGGCCCATGCAGCCCCAGGAATTGCTTGCACGGCGCTTATTTACCTTCTAACTAACATTTGTAACCCAGGATTAGTGGAGCAGCCTCTTGTAATTACCCGTGTTGCCCCATTTGAGGCCGGCTATCTCCGTGAGGCCAGTAAATCTTGAAATTACAGGCTGACCACCCGGGAGAACTGAGACAGAGTCAGCCACATCTCTCAAAGGCGCTGCCCTGGGTTGCTTCCCGCCCCCCGAAATGACTCGCTGGCCAGGGAGAAGGCCCTGCCTGGGAGTGGCTCCCAGACCTCACTGTGGCTGGGAGGTAAATAAAGCCAGGGTGGCCTAGGACACCCTGCACCCCCTGTGAGTGGGACAGAGGCAGCTGGCCAAGACAGAGCCTGCTCTACCGCCCATCCTCCCACCCAGCGTGGACTCCTTCTGGTTAGGGCCCCAGAGATGGACAGGAAGAAGGAGACAGGACTGAGATGGGGGGATAGGAATGCACTGAAAAGGAGATTCTGCCTCTTGAAATGCTGTTCTCTTCTGTTGAGGAACAGAACACCCACAGAGGACTTCTAGGGTAGTGTGGCTGTCATTTTATAGAAATGGAGATCGTGGGCCAGGTGCGGTGGCTCACGCCTGTAACCCCAGCACTGTGGGAGGCCGAGGCAGGTGGATTGCTTGAGCCCAGGAGTTCAAGATCAGCCTGGGCAACATGGTGAAACTCCGTCTCTACTAAAAATATCAAAAATTTAGCCGGATGTAGTGGTGCGGGCCTGTGGTCCCAGCTACTCAGAAGGCTGAGGCTGGAGATTTGCTCTAGCCTGGGAGGCGGAGGTTGCAGTAAGCTGAGACTGCGCCACTGCGCTCCAGCCTGAGCGACAGAGACCCTATCTCAAAAAAAAAAAAAAGAAAAAAGAAAGAAATGGCGATCACAATTTGACTTGAGAGTTAACCATAATCTTGATCATACCTTTAGAATGAGTGTCAGATGGACCTATGTAACATACACCTGTTCTGGAGCTCTGGGGAATGTCAAGGTATTTTGAATCAAACAGCAAATGTTGCTCAGGTCCAGGCTGTTTTGAAATGAGATATGCTTGGCTCAACCCTCACTGACACCTTTACAAGGATGAAGCCATCACTAAGAACATTCTCCATTTTCTATCTGCAAGTGCCCTACATGGAGGCTCTTTTTGTTATTCCTCCCTCTGATCTGAGACCTTAAACACCACATATAACTTCATTAAAACACAACCAGGATTAGGAGATGTTAAAGCGTCTCCAATGCCAAGAGCCTATGATAATAAAGCGCTCAGCATTCTGTGCATTGCAGGTGGATTCCATGATTTTGCCTTTGCAGAACGCACTTCATTCCATTTTTCAATGTAGGTGTGGATACCTATAAAATCTGCCTTACTGGTTGGGCGTGGTGGCTCACACCTCTAATCCCAACACTTTGGGAGGCCGAGGTGGGCAGATTACGAGGTCAGGAGATTGAGACCATTCTGGCCAGCATGGTGAAACCCCGTCTCTACTAAAAATACAAAAATTAGCTGGGCATGATGGTGTGTGCCTGTAATCCCAGCTACTCGGGAGGCTGAGGCCGGAGAATTGCTTGAGTGAGCCGAGATCGCGCCATTGCACTCCAGCCTGGGCGACAGAGTGAGACTCCGTCTCAAAAAAAAAAAAAAAAGTCTGCCTTACTATGTGCTACTTTCTTTATTAATTCTACTATTTACAAAAGCTCAGCGGGATCTGACACTTAGTAAAAGAAAAAAACGCACAGTTAAACAATTGAAATAATTAATTTAAATGTGTATAAATTTAGTATATTTAATACTAAATATTAGTATAAATCTGGATCATACCTTAAAATAATATTCCCCAACCCATTTAGCATCTATCAATGGCCTGTGGTCCGGATGTCCCGTCTTATCTACTCCACCAGCTCCTCCACCATCATCCTAATTCCCCATATATGTTCTGTTCAGCATCTCCACAAAAGGTACCACTGGCTCTGGGAGGCCCTGTGCCCTTCCCCCATCCCCCCTCACCCATTTACCCCCCCCCGCATTCAAAATCTTTAGCAATCCCAATCTTCATATTATAACTTGAATTGAGGGGACAGGTCTTTGCCGTCTACTGAGAATGGCCCAGAGGATTAGATTCCTTGCCCAAAGCCACACAACAAATCAATGAAATGAGTTCTTTCTTCTGTTCTTTCTGTTGTTCTTCCAACCTCGTAAGATTTCTTCTTGCCCCAGAACATGCGAGTCTGAGAAGCACTGTTCAGATATGGATACTGTTGTGTTTCCATTTCAGAGAAAGCAAGAGACAGCCATCAACCGATTTGCTTGCCACACTCCTAAACTATACACAGACAGCAGGACGTTCCGCATTATGATTCCCATAACAAGTTTACTAACACAAAAAGAAAAAAGAATGACAGAAAAGAAAGAAGAAAGAAAGGAAAAAAGGAGAGAGGGATAGCGAGAGGAAGGGAGGGAGGGAGAGAGAGCCTGCAGGGGAAGTTGTGGAAAGTCCCCTTTGCAGGGGGGATTAGGTTTTAGTTGCTCAAGGAGCTGTAGGGAGGGGAAGGGTGGAAGCCGAGGAATTCATGCCACCCAGTTGGTCAGTTGGGAATTGTTTACAGCCCTGAAGGAGATTGGCTTTTGTGCTGCTGACTTCAAAGTGTAGTCAGATATTAACATACTGACCCCTTCACCGTTTCCACCCCCAAACACAGTGGGGGTTAGGAGGACCATCTCCAGTGGGGAAACTGAGGAATGAAAAGGGGAGCTGGGAAAAGGGAAGTGAGGAGACTAGGAATGCCCCCAAGACTGTGCTGTTAACCCAGTGCTAACATTGGCCACCAAAGGCAGGACCCCTTCCTCGTAAGCCAGCCGGCCTGCATGCTGCGGTGTTGAAAGATGAAAGGGTTCTCTTTGGGACCAGAGATACAGAAAGTCCCAGGTGAATGATGAAATCCAGCAGTCTCCAGGTGCCTTCCCTTCAAGGTGGGCAGTCTCGGTGACCCGCTTTCCTGCTGGCCCTTACCAGTCCTAAGGCCTGGCAGCAGCAGGCCACGCCCTCCCTGCAGCCTTCAAGATATCTGCCTCCATGCCGTGCTTGGATTCCCCTCTCCGTCTCCTAGGAAGAAAGGCTGCTGGAAATCCAGACGCCCCATGGAGGGGACTGGTGCCAAGTCGTCTGGGGCCCTTTCCCCGGGGAAGCAGGAGGCACAGCCAGCCTTGCCACCGTGCCCCAAAGTAGGATGGATGGCCCCGTAAACCGATCCTCACTAATGTAGCCTAGGTGCTATTTCATATAAATACATCCACCCAGACATTTCCCATCAGCACAGCGTCTTTCCCTCAAGGCCTGGCTTTCGGAGGTCTCTGCCCCCACCGACAGCCTCCAACCACCCGAGTTAATGACATACTAGGGTGGAGAAGGGAGTATGTTAATTGTCTTTGCAATGGCAAATAAGGGAGCCCCAAAGCCTTCCCTTTCTTCATTTATCATCTTCTATAATGTACCTATCACATCCCCGGCTTCTCTCATCTTTGCCAAACTAAACAGCCTTAGTCTTGCTAATCTCTCCTCAGATGGAGGCCTGGGCCATAAATCTAATCACTGTAGAAAGAAGGCCTTCCCCAACAGTGCCTTGGGCGCTGGGTACAGCACACATTATAAAACACACAGCAGATAATGACAGAACTGCTGTCACAGGACATGTTATAAAGTGCAGATGTTGTTACCACAATGTGCCTGTTGTGAAGTTTACGCTGTAAATGGGTAAATGGGCCCGCTTGCTATGGGATAAAGGCAATTAAATTTGCTCATCCACCCCACCTACTCTCCTCTTTCTCCTAGGTCCCTACTTGGTACCTTATGTTTGAATGAAATTGTGGGTGGAAAGTGGAAAAGGGGAACTCCTCACTGGTTTTGCCAGAATAACATGAAATTAAATCCCATTCGCTTTTTGAATCAATTTCAAAAGGTAAAAGGACTTCATGGTTTTAGTTCAACGTGTGGTCTATATGCATTTTTTTCAGTAATGGGACACCTTCTCAGGACCCCAGATCTGATTTAACACTCCCCCATGACAACTTCTCATTCACCTCTTCCTCCCAATCGTGAATGTATTAATGCCTTTTTCAACAAGTACTAAATTTTCATGGTGTTCTGCGTTCAGAAAGCGAAAGGAGCTGGGGGGTCTATACATCCTTAGAGAAGATCTTTAGGCCTGGTGACGTGGCTTATGTTTATAATCCCAGCACTTTCAGAGGCTGATGCAGGAGTTCAAGACCAGCCTGGGCAACATAAGGAGATCCCATCTCTAAAATATACATATATATATATATATATATATTTTTTTTTAAGGCTATCTCTAAAGAATAGCACCAAATGGGTTAAATCTCTCATAGCACATTTCAGGGATGCTAATAAGGTCTTTAAGGAAGGCAGATGTGCTGAGAGTATCCCTTGGGCCATCAAGGAAATCTTCAAATTCTTCTTTGTATTTCTTTCTTCTCCCAACAGTCTTCAAAAGAAGAGAACAGTTCCAAGAGACAGGATGTATTGGCAAGAGGAACTATTAAGACCATTGTTACTTCTGTTTAAGCATCTGTCCTGGAGCAAAGAACCGAATTTGAGATTTGGGGAGCACTGAGTTGTGCCCCCATGCCAGTGACCATGGAGAAAGTCCTCTGGCTCAGCTCTCCCCAGGCAGGGCCACATCACAACTGAGAAGCTTCGTTTCTGGAACTTGAGAAATTCCAAGATTGCATCTTTTCTAGCCTTCACCTTGGGCAGTAAATAGATTGAAAAAGACCTAGTTCCAAGTTACCTGGTGTGTTAGTCAAGGTTCTCCAGAAAAACAGAACCAATAAGACAGAGACAGAGAGAGAAATAAGAAGAAGTATTATAGAAAGTGGTCATAACACCAGAGGATCTGCCATCTGCAAGCTGGAGACCCAGGAAAGCTGGCATTGTAATTTAGTCCAAGTCTGAAGGCCTGAGAACCAGGGAGGCCACTGGTGTGAGTCTGGGAGTTCAGAAGCCCCAAAGCTGGGAGCTCCGACATCCAGGGATAGAAGATGGATGTCCCAGCTCAAGGAGAGAGAGAATTCACCCTTCCTCCACCTTTTGTTTTATCTTCGGCCTCTATGGAACTGGCGACACCCACCCTCATTGGTGAGGGCAGAGCTCCTTCACTCAGCCCACTGATCCCAGTGCTCACGTCTGCTGGAGACACCTTCACAGACACACCCAGAAATCAAGTTTCATCAGCTGTCTGGGCATCCTTAATCCAGTCACACCGACACCTGAAATTAACCATCACATCTGGTGAACCGTGCTTCTCCAACAGGTCACAGTAAGAAACCTGAGGAACTACCAGGAAATCCTCAATTCCAAGAGTGAGCACAGACCATCTTACTGAGCCATCAATTCTACCCAATGGCATGTCATTGAAAACATTAATGTGTACATTAAGACAAGCACTTTCTTTTTTTAAGAGCACATTTATTTGTGCATTAAATGCAAAATTCACATACACTTTTAGGTGGGGGGATGATGCAATGAATTTTGAGCTTGTGAGCTGCTGCAGAAATCCCATAGCCCTCTGCTCATATATCTCCCTCTTCTGCAAGTCAAGTTTGAGAAGCGTCTTAGTGGGCCATGCCCAACCCCTAAGAACACAGAATGCAATGGGGGTGGGGTTGGGGGGCTGGATAGAGAGGCCAAAAGAACTGAATTCATGACAACATTGCAGAAATATGGGTGAGGAGTAGCTTAGAAGCACAGGAGGCTGTTCTGAGGATCACAGGGTCCAATCTTGGAGCCCAGGTGTTCCAAGAGCCATCCTCATGAGGTTCAGAAGCTAGGACAAGATAAAAACACTGGAAGGCTGATCCTTCTCATAAACCAAAGAGTTTCCCTTCCCCGCTTAGTCTGTGTTCTCCTGACCGAGACCTTGAGACAAGAATTCAAGGGCAGGTAATTTATTTCGGAGGGGATCCCAGCATGGGGAACAACAGCAGGGGAGTGGGGAAGGGAGACGGAGAAGGACAGCCAGCCAAATAAGGATCCATTATCCAGCAAGTTCCCACCGTGGACAACTGGAGCTTGACCCTCTTGGTCTGCAGAATTCTGGAAGGCACTATGGAACACAACCTCTGATGCATCCCACCCGAGGGGCAAGGGTGCTGGGGTACTTGTACACCACACTCCATGGCCATTGGTGGAGGGCAGCAGAGGGGAGGAGAGTGGTCTTTAATTCCCTAGCACTTTGGCCTGGCTTGAGTAGAGCTACCCCAGGAGACAAAGAAAGCCCTCAGGCAAAGCGTTGCAGGGTCTGGTGGTTGGAAAGCAGCACGCACTGCGAGGATGAGGGTAAGGGTGCTGGCGAGGCACAAACAGCCAACCGCTCTACCCTCTGCATGGAGGAATCTGGTCCTCTTTACTGAGGGTTAAGTAGCAGACATGGTGGCAGAACTGGGCTTGTAGATAAAAACGATAGACTACCGCCACTAAACACATAGGTCAGGCAGTGTGCTTGGGGCTTCTTATTTGGTCCTCCCAGGAAACTTCTGGGTAGGTACTGGGATTAAAGATAAGGAAGTTGACCATCAGAGCTTGAGGACCTTTGGCAGTGTCCTACAGCAGAGCTTGAGGACCTTTGGCAGACTCCTACAGCGGGTGAGGCTGGGGCTTCAGCCTAGAGTCCATGATTTTAACCTCTGCATCTGCAGCAAGAAGGGACTGCCTGTCCTTGTGGTCACTGCCAAGAGGCATAATGAAGTTTTGTGACATGTGACTGAGCCCTCCCACCTAGCCACAGTTTTTTGGACCAAGGGGTGGGAAGCTGACCATTTGACTACCCAGGGCCCTGCGTGGCCTGACTTGGAAAGATGAGCTGGATAAAGCAGATTCCTATGGTGAGATTTAGATTGGTACCTGGAGACCTAGGCAGTTAGCAAAGTGAACTGGGGGTGGGGATGAAGCCACATACAAAGGCAGCATTTCTTGGTTTGGCTTTCCCAGTACCATTCCTTCCCTCCCTCCCTCCCTCTTTTCCTTCCTTTCTTCCTTCCTTTCTTTTTCTTGAGACAGGGACTCACTCTGTTCCCCAGGCTGGAGTGCAGTGGTGTGGTCATTGCTCATTGCAACCTCAAACTCTTGGGCTCAAACAGTCCACTCGTCTCAACCTCCCAAATAGCTGGGACTACAGGCATGTGCCACCTGCCTGTGTAATTTAGTTGCTGTTTTTCTGGTCTCCTCACTTCTCCATTTTTTTTAAAGAACGACCTTCCCCATTGTATGCAATCTTGAGGTCATTGTCAGTCAAGATCCCCTGCCATCTTGGACCCAAGATTCCACTGACTCATGATGGGACAACTGGGACTCCCTCCCTCCAGGGAATTTAACTCCTGAGCAAAATGACTCAGAGAAAGCAGCCATTGAGATCAGTGCTCTAAAGTGATTGTCCACTCTGTGCCACTACAGAGATCCATGGCATATCGTCTGTGAGGCCGGGACACAGGGTTTCTCTTTCACTGCACGTGCTGCCTGCAGCAATGTCATAGGCGTCCTGCCCACATCCCTGGTACTCACTGCTCCCTTATGCGGTTCCTGTTATCTGGGGCTGCATAACAAGCCACCCAGAAACTTAACAGAGTACAGCAATAATTTATTGTTACCTCTCATGGTTCTGGAGGTTAACACAACTGGCTGGTTGTTCTCATACAATTGCAGTCAGTCTATGACTGAGGCTAAGTTCATCTGAAGTCTTCTTCACTCACCTGTTGGTGTCTGGTCTGGAATAGCTGGAACATCTCGGAGCTAATCGAGCCTCTCTTTTTCCTCTTTCCCTCCCTCTTCCTTTCTTTTTTGTTTTTGTTTTGTTTTGTTTTGAGACAGAGTCTTGCTCTGTCACCCAGGCTGGAATGCAGAAGTGCTATCTCAGCTCACTGCAACCTCTGCCTCCTGGGTTCAAGCAATTCTCCCGCCTCAACCTCCTGAGTAGCTGGGATTACAGGTACGCGCCACCACACCCAGCTAATTTTTGTATTTTTGTACAGACAGGGTTTCACCATGTTGGCCAGGCTGGTCTTGAACTCCTGACCTCAGGTGATCCGACCGCCTCGGCCTCCCAAAGTGCTGGGATTACAGGTGTAAGTCACTGCACCAGGTCCCCTGTCTTCTCTCTCTCTCTCCATCTCTCTCTCTCTTTCCATGCAGCCTCTTCATATGGCTAGCTTCGGCTTCCTCATAGCATGGCGATCTTGAAGTAGTTGGACTTCTTCCAAAGCTGCTGATTCCTCTCAAAGTGAGTGTTTCAAGAGACTCAGGCATAAGCTGTGAGACATCACTTTCACTCAATTTGATTTCAGATTCAAGGTGCAGGGGCAGTCAAGGAATAGACTCCATCTCTCAATGCAGGAATAGCTTATGCACACAGAGAGGGAAGGGGATGATGGACAGGAACCATCTTGGAGATAAACCACCACATAGCCATCGGCTCTTTTCACCTGGACTCTGCCAGAGAACATTCTCTGACTGGAACTGTATTCTGCTTGCCTGTGGCAGAATTCAGGAGAGTTAACACCCCCAGATTAACTAAGGATAGATGGGAGTTTGAAGATAAACGCCCTGGCTTCTCCCAGCTCGGGGGCGGGGTTCATTCAGAGGCAAGTCTGTATAGTTCCCCAGAGGCCCCTAAAAAAACCTGCTCTCCTTGTGCCCTGAAATCGCGGCCTTCCTTCCTCAACTCATCTCCCCACTCCACCTGTGCTTCCTGAGATCACCTCTCAGAAAAAAAATCACTTGCACTCAAACCCCTTTCTCAACATCTGCTTCCAAGGTATCCTACTGAACACATGCCCCGCATTCTTCCCAAGTACTTCCCTCTTGGGTAGGTTAACCGGAGTTGGTTTCTTTTGCTTACAACCAAAGACTAGTAAGGGCTAGAAGGAAGAAGTGGCTAGAGAGAGGATGGGGGGGCCGTGGGGTCTGGGTGCCAGTTAGCGTTGGAGGGACATGGTAGCGGGTCCGCAGAGGAGGCTGCTCTAGGGAAGAGTGTGCAAACGGAGTGTCCACACGGAGAAGCCACAACAGAGAGGCCGGGCTGCAGGCCCTGCTCCCATTCCCACGTGTGGTGCACGGTCTCTGTGGACTTCCAGGTCCTCACAGTTCCACAAGATCCCTTCTCCTTCTAAGAAGGTGGCTGAACCCCCTCATGAAAGCAAGCAATTCTTAGGTGTGAAGGGCCCAGTAGAGCCATGCAGATAACCCTCCCGGCAGACAGCAGTGTCCACAGAAACCTTCTTCCTCCCTCTTCTCCTCACTCCCTCCCCACCCCTCAGGGACTGGCCTCCGTGTGAGCTCCATGACTCCATAGCACATGGGATATTCCCCAAAACAGCTCCTTTAACAAGGCCTAGGAGGATTCGTGGAAATGAGGGCATTAGGTCCTTCCCTAAGGCTCATGCGAGGGCAATAAAAGTGGGAAAAACTATCTCAATTAGGAAAAAGTGGGAGATTCAGTGAGAGCTGATGCAAGAGACTGTGGGAATGCAGAGGACAGCCTGGGGGCGGTGCCATGGTCTGTGGGACTCAGAGGACAGCCTGGGGGTGGTGCCATCATCTGTGGGACACAGGAGAGAGCCTGGGGGCAGTACCTTCGTCTGTGGGATGCAGAGGACAGCCTGGGGGTGGTGCCATCGTCTGTGGGGACGCAGAGGACAGCTTGGGGGCTGTGCCATCGTCTGTGGGACGCAGAGGACAGCCTGGGGGCGGTGCCATCGTCTGTGGGACGCAGAGGACAGCCTGGGGGTGGTGCCATCGTCTGTGGGATGCAGAGGACAGCCTGGGGGCGGTGCCATCGTCTGTGGGACACAGAGGACAGCCTGGGGGCGGTGGCATCGTCTGCGGGACGCAGAGGACAGCCTGGGGGCGGTGGCATCGTCTGTGGGATGCAGAGGACAGCCTGGGGGCGGTGCCATCATCTGTGGGGATGCCGAGGACAGCCTGAGGGTGGTGCCATCGTCTGTGGGACGCAGAGGACAGCCTGGGGGTGGTGCCATCGTCTGTGGGATGCAGAGGACAGCCTGGGGGCGGTGGCATCGTCTGTGGGATGCAGAGGACAGCCTGGGGGTAGTGCCATTGTTGTGGGATGCAGAAGACAGCCTGGGGGCTGTGCCATCGTCTGTGGGGTGCAGAGGATAGCCTGGGGGCGGTGCCATCATCTGTGGGGATGCCGAGGACAGCCTGAGGGTGGTGCCATTGTCTGTGGGACGCAGAGGACAGCCTGGGGTGGTGCCATCGTCTGTGGAGATGCAGGGGACAGCCTGGGGCGGTGCCATCGTCTGTGGGGACGCGGAGGACAGCCTGGGGGGCGGTGCCATCATCTGTGGGGACTCGGAGGACAGCCTGGGGGTAGTGCCATCGTCCGTGGGGATGAGAAGAGATGGAACCTGAGGGTAGGAGGTGGACAGAGAAAGAGAAGCAGGAAGGCACCAAAAACCAGCTTGGCCTACATGGGAATCTGCTTACAGCAGGTCTCTCCACTCCTTCCTTCTTTGAGAGAGATGAGGAAACCATGGTTAACTTTGGAGCAAGGCACAATGTAAGAACTAGGTGGTAGAGAATTATGTGCGCACTCAGCCAATGCTTTGAGCCTGCATTAGGTATTTCTATCAGGAAATCTTCAAAGTCTCTGAAAACAGAGACATTACTCCTCAAAACAGGAAAACACCCATTTGGAAATGTTTGTGGGAAGCAGCTGGGATGGAAAAGTTCAATGATTTATCCAAATAAAACCAGAAAAATCTGTCCCTTTTAGACTGGATTCAGAGAAGAGTATCCGCATAATTCATCGTCTCAAGCTGGACACTGTTGAGAGTGAGATGGGGCGCGGGTGGTGCTTACACATTGACCAGGATGTCCCAGGCAGCAATGCAGGAGTTCAGGAGCCTGGGGCTCGTTCTGCTTTACCTGCGGGAAGGTGTGTCTGGCTGGCAAGTGGAGGTCTGAGATCTGAACGTAAACAACACTGGTAATTGTCACATTCCTCCTTGGTAGATGTCGAATACTGGGAAATGCCCTAGGCTCAGAACTTCAAGATCCAGATCAAATCCAGCCCTACCCCTTCCTGACTGAGAGACCCTGAGCAGATCTCACCTCAATCCACCAATTCCCTCTTCTGTAAAATATGGGTGATTCACCCCATTCACGAGGTTGTGTGTGTGAAAGCACCTTGTAGACTCTTGTTGAACAAATGCACAGTATCATTATTATTTGACCATTCACTGGGAAATTTGGACACTCCAAAGCATAAAAAGCTTAGACACAATACAGGAGTTCTTAAAAGCTCTGAAGAGAATTGCACCTGTTTCCATTCTGGCCTCAGCATGCATGGATTCTTTCTTCTGGAAGCACGTCCTATGACAGCCCAGGCCCTTGAGCTTTCAGCTCCTTTCTCATTGGAGAGGAAGAGCAGCTCAACCTCTAAGGGAAGAGGCATGTATACCCCCGACTGCCTGACACCAGGCAGCGTCACCGAAACAGACCGGCGGCAGGAGCAGCTTGCGTTCAGCAATGGGATGCCTCCGTGGCCAGCTTGTGGGTAACATGGAAAAACTTACAGGACATGAGAAGAAGGAGACGGGGGTTTTCCGCTGTAAGGGAAGACCACACACATAGTCCCATGAGGACTGTGCCCTGGACCATCTTCAAAACCATGGAAGCCGCGCTCTCTCCAGCCATGCGTAGGCCTGGTTTAATTAAATGTGGGCCATGAACGGGCTGGCAACGGCGACGCAGAGACGCTGTCCGTGTCTGCGGGAGAAACGTCCCGCAGCTCCGTGTCCCTGATAAGATGGTCCATGTGGAGAGCAACCTGAATGCCTGGCAGATGGTTCCATCTGTTTTTCCATCATTTTGAATTTAGCAGGAAACCCTCAAGATGTGTTTTGACACAAGTGTGCTGCTTCCCTTCCCCAAGTTTGGAAATGGCTGTGTTTGGAGGCTAATTAAATCCAGATGCTTCTGATTCATTTACACTTAACTCATCAAAATGTTTTGTAATCGCCATTTGAAGTCCAAGGCGCCTCTCTTGAGCCTTTTTTTTCTGAAAACCAGGAAGTTTTGATTTGCCAGCCAACAGCAGTGTTCATGTACCAAAAGGTTCAAATGCGGTTCAAGACAAGATCCTAGACCCAAGAGATCATAATGGCTGGAATTGTCCTAAAGCATCATTGTCAAATGTGGGGTGTGACCAGGCACGGTGGCTCACGCCTATAATCTCACCACTTAGGGAGGCTGAGGCAGGCGGAACACTTGAAGTCAAGAGTTCAAGACCAACCTGGCCAACATGGTGAAACCATCTCAACTGAAAATACAAAAATTAGCCAGGTGTGGTGGCACATGCATGTAGTCCCAGCTACTCAGGAGGCTGAGGCATGAGAATTGCTTGAATCCAGGAGGCGGAGGTTGCGGTGAGCCTGGATCATGCCACTGCACTCCAGCCTGGGCACAGAGCAAGACTGCATCCCCTCTCCTGGTCCTCCTCCTCCCTCTCCTCCTCCCTCTCCTCCTCCCTCTCCTCCTCCCTCTCCTCCTCCCCCCTCCTCCGCCCTCTCCTCCCTCACCATCTCCCCCTCCTCCCTCTCCTCCTCCTCCCTCCCCTCCCCTCCTCTTCCTCCCTCCCTTCCCTCTGCTCCTCTTCCTCCCTCTCCTCCTCCCCCTCTCCTCCTCCCCCTCTCCTCCTCCTCCCCCCTCTCCTCCTCCTCCTTCTCTTCCCTCTCCTCCTCCTCCTCCTGGGATGGGTTTGCATAAAGTGTCCTTAGCCTGGAAACTGCCATGGGGGCTTTCAGCTCTTGGGTGCCATAAAAAACAGTTACTTTGAAATATTTGGTGGCCAAAGAGAAATCCAAGTCATTAGGGAAAATTATAACCAAAATGACAGCAAAATTCTCTCATCTGGAAGGGCTTTGAGTCCAGGTCGTCAGTCAGACATTGCTCCCATTCCTTGGGCTTTTATGAGACTGTGGAAGAGCGAATGTATGTGGACGGTTCCAGAGCATTCTAGCAATTATCATTTTAACCCTTGCAGAGCACACTAATTCCGGGCCGGTTGCCCATTTGTTCTTCTATGAACCAGGCCCTGTTCTAAGCCCTTTGCAGTACATGATTCAGAAGGCCTGATTGTCTTCTCATTTGCCGGCAGGAAATCTAAGGCACAGAGAGGTTAAGTAAGTAGCCCAAGGCTTCCCAGCCTGGGAGGTTGTAGAGGCCAGATTCAAACCAGGCCGTTAGTCTGACTGGAACTGGAGAAACTTCCTCGCTCGACCATCAGGCCACGATGCCGCTCCGCATGGAGATCTAGGTAAGTGGAGGCGCGCACCCCAGCTTATTAGAGCCAAGACACGCAGATGTTTTCACCTACTAAAACTCTACCCTCAGCCATAGCATGGACCCTTCACTTAGCCCAAACAAAGCCTGAGAGGAGACCAAGGCCCGGCAGGCTGCGTTCTTTCACTCCTTCCTTTCTCTCTCCGCTGTGTGAATGAATTGGAAAACTCCCGCACCACACTTTATCTGCAGGGTAGCAAACAAATGTAAGGGTGCAAGGAGGCAGCTTGTTCCTGGGACTCTCCTGGCAGCTCCCAGGAGCAACTGAAAACCCGCAGGTGATCCCAGCCTCCAGCGTTGGCACTAGAGGAGCGCCAGCATCTTACAAACGCTCTTCCATGAGGGAGGTGAGCTCACTTCCTGAGGAAGTGGCTGCAGGGGGTGTCTGTAGGGGCCAGCCAGGCCTGGCTTGAAAGCATCTGAAACAGCCTGCGGTGTAATCGAGCATGAGTATTGGTTCAAACACATGATGCATATTTGTCCACTTGGTTATTAGTTATTCACGCGATCGTCCTTAGCCCGTGAACTGCCATGGGGGCTTTCAGCTCTTGGATGCGGTAAAAAACCAGTTGCTTTGAAATATTTGGTGGCCAAAGAGAAATCCAAGTCATTAGGGAAAATTATAACCAAAATGACAGCAAAATTCTCTCATCTGGAAGGGCTTTGAGTCCAGGTCGTCAGTCAGACATTGCCCCCATTCCTTGGGCTTTTATGAGACTGGAAGAGCGAATGTGGACGGTTCCAGAGCATTCTAGCAATTATCGTTTTAACAAACAGGGCTCTTTTCTAATACTCACATTCCTTTCGCATGGCCTCACGAAAACACAAACATTCACTCCATCCGCAAAAAAATGCAGGCGCTCTGGGAGGAAAGAGCCACCCGCTCAGCCCCTTCGCCGGGCTGCAGCCACAGGAGATTGTATCTGCTCCCGGTTTCCCGTGCGGACTGTGTCTGACTCCGCTGAGAAAAGATACCGCAGCCCTGGGTGGCCACTGCCACGGCCAGGCGAGAGATCCGGAGCGCTGGGGACCCTCCATGCAGGAGGCCGGGCTACGGTGGTCAGAGTCGGCCCTGCAGATGGGGCTTTCCCTCCAGCATCTTCATTTTGGAGAGGAAGGAGAGGGCTCCCTGAACCCTGTTTTGAGGACTGCACTGATACAGTTCATACAGTTCTTTCATTTTCGTCTGATTTTCTTGGGTCTGATCTGTTACCAATCTCAAAGGGAAACAGAGTAAGATTTTGGACTCAGCCACTGCAATTAACCTCATAACCTACCCACACGTCCAGAAGTGTTATGAACGTATATGTCAACATGAATTCACCTCTACAGGTCCATTTTAGCTGGGGGGGGGGGGGGGAGGGTGTCAAGTAAAATCAATTGGCAACCTATATTGATGAGCTATTTTCAAAACATTATTATCTGAGAGAAATGAAAGTCAGATCCAAGAACGTGACATGCTCTCTCCGAAAGCAACATCAGGGATTTTCACCTTCTATAGTAGGAGTTTCTCACTCTTCCTGACACAATCAGGTAAATTATTATGTGATTTTAAAATGTTTTTAAAGAAAGGGAAAACAGCAATACCTAGAGACACTCTCCCCCACAAGGAGAGTATTTTGCAGATTCGCTGGATGTTCAGTGTCCTTGTGTGCCCAGAGTTGGTTCCTGCCAGTGGGTTCATGGTCTCCTGACTACAAGAATGAAGCCAGGACCTTCGCAGTGATTGTTACAGCTTTTATTCATTCACTCATTCATTCATTCATTCATTCATTTTTTAGACGGAGTTTCGCTCAGTCGCCAGGCTGGAGCGCAGTGGCGCGATCTTGGCTCACTGCAACCTCCACCCTTGGGGTTCCAGCGATTCTCCTGCCTCAGCCTCCCGAGTAGCTGGGATTACAGGCGCGCACCACTGCGCCCAGCTAATTTCTGTACTTTTAGTGGAGACAGGGTTTCACCATGTTGGCCAGGATGGTCTCACTCTCCTGACCTCGTGATCCACACGCCTCTGGCTCCCAAAGTGCTGGGATTACAGGCTTGAGCCAAGGCGCTCAGCCATGTTACAGCTCTTGCACAGACCCAAAGAGTGAGCAGTAGCACGGTTTGTTGTGAAGAGCGAAAGGAGAAAGCTCCCACAGCCTGGAAGGACATTGGAGTGGCTTGCCGTCAGTGGCTGGGGCTGGCCAGCTTTTATTCCCTTATTGTCCCGGCCGATGTTCTGTATCTGTCCTATCAGAGTGCCCTTTCTTCAATCCTCCCTGCGATTGGCTACTTTTAGAATCCTGCTGATTGGTGCATTTTACAGAGTGCTGACTGGTGCGTTTTACAGAGCGCTGATTGGTGCGTTTTACAGAGCACTGATTGGTGTGTTTTACAGAGCACTGATTGGTGCGTTTTACAATCCTCTTGTAAGACAGGAAAGTTCCCTAAGTCCCCACTCGACCCAGGAAGTCCAGCTGGCCTCACCTCTCACTTGCACAGCACTCCACATAGAGAGAGAAAGGCTGTTCACTCAGCTCGCTGTGCATTATCCACTCGGAATAATTGTTCTAGGAGTGGGGAGATGCAGTGAGTCCGGGAAGGAAGGTCTCTCACCCCTTCACTCCCAGGGTGACCTCCCTGTTCCCAAGAGAGGGCCAGCGCCAGGAGCAATGATGTCCATACACACCCCACACAACACCACAGACACCCAACACAACAGACGCCACACACCAGTACATGCCCCCCACACCTCATAGACTCATACTACACACATCACACATCTTGCACACATTACACACACACCACACAACAGACACACAACACACAACACACACCACCACATGACCCCCACATGCCCCATAGACCATGCATCCTACACACATCACACACACACCACACGCACTGCACACACTACACCTGCACCACACAACAGACACACACCACACAACAGACACACACCACACAACAGACACTACCACATGCCCCCCACACTCCTCATAGACCACACATAATACACATATCACACACACCACACACCCTCCACACACTACACATACACCACACAACAGACACACTGCACAACAGATGCCACAACCACCACATGCCCCCCACACGCCCCATAGACCACACATCACACACACACTACACACACCGCATACATACACATCACACACCACACACACACTACATCTACAATACACACACACCACATAGACCACACATACCATACACATTAAACACACACCACCCAACACCTCCCACACACCTCATATATGCCACACACTATCCCATACCATATGCACACCACATGTGCCACACATACACATACACCACACATACACAGCACACACACACCACACAAACCACCCACCACCCTGTACCCTACACGCACCACATATACCACACATACCACATACCATGCATACACACTGCATGCACTACACATACACACAACACACATCACACACACACCACCCAACACCGCTCACACACCACACATACACACTACACACACACGTCACACACCCATACCATACACACACTACATACACCACACATACACACTACGCACCCACACCCTGTACACACCATAGATGCTACACATACACACCACACAAATACACAAACACACCTGCGAGTGCTGACTTCCCAGGCAGTGAGCCCACTGTGCTGATCTGTGGTCAGTATCTGAAGGGCAAACAAGGGCTTCAACTAGCACCGGGCCTAATTTCGGAGGCCATTATGCAACTGCGTAGCCAAGTGTAACAACATCCTGTGCTACTTCCAAGAGCACAATGGCCGGTCCCCCTCTGTGAGAAGGGGGACCAGGAGGTGGGAAGACGTTGTGAGGCACTAATTTTACCAAAACAAAGTGGAGGCATTCCATATTCTGGAAAGTGTGATTGGCGCTGATTGTGTGAGTGTGAAAAGGAGCGTAAACCTCAGCACTAAATGAGCGCTCTTATTGTTTGGGGCATTTTTTAAAGCAAGTAATAATTTTTTTAAGTAAACTGTGATTTACAATTTTTCTGAGAACAACCCAAATTTCCATCACTAAGGGCGGTGTATACTAGAAAGCTCTTAAATAGAATGAGGCTGATCTGTGATGTGGCCCTGGAAATGGTCACTAAGACGTAGGGTCCACCGGGGAGAAAGACTAAGTGAAGAACCGTGCACAGAGTATGCCATTTACATGAAAAGAGAACTTTATTCCACGGCTATAAACACGTGTGTGAATGCAGAGAAAAAAGACTTGCAGGATCCAAACCTGAGGATCGTTATCTCCCAGGAAGAAAGTTGGATTGTCCTGCAGAGAGAAGCAAGCAGCAAAGAGGCTTTTCCCATTTCACTCTATATGTTTCCAATCTACTTAAATCTCTGAGAATGGAAAATACATTTGGGTATCAATTGCATAACTTTAAAAAGCAACAGAAAAACAGAAAGGGACGTGCTTGCTTTGGCAGCACATATACTTAAAAAACAAAAAACCCAGAAAGTTGGGGGAAGAAGTTGGATTCATACCCATAAATGAGAAGTATAATTTGTTTAAACGGCCGGGCGCGGTGGCTCACGCCTGTAATCTCAGCACTTTGGGAGGCCAAGGCGGGCGGATCACTTGAAGTCAGGAGTTCGAGGCCAGCCTGGCCAACATAGTGAAACTCCGTCTCTACTAAAAATACAAAAATTAGCCAGGCATGATGGCACACACCTATAATCTCAGCTATTCAGGAGGCTGAGGCAGGAGAATCGCTTGAACCCAGGAGGCAGAGGTTGCAGTGAGCCGAGATTGTGCCACTGCACTTCAGCCTGGACAACAGAGCAAAAACCTGTCTCAAAAAAAAAAAAAGAAGAAGAAGAAGTATAATTTGTTTAAATGCATGCCTAAATTGGCAGGACACCCTGGGTTTGGCGGCTCTTTTAAAGCTGAAGACACTTGCTAGATTGCTAGTAGAATACAAAGAGGCTTATAAAACACCAAAGAGGCTTATAAAGCATCTTCAGTGTGCTGCAGGCCCCTAACCCACTGCACAGCAGAGGACCTCCTGGGACTTGCAGGCAACAGGTGTCACCGCAGGCAGAGAGGTCACCAGTGTGAGTCTGGAACCAGAGTCCAGCTTCCAACCTGCATCGGCCACATGCCTGCTGTATGGTCTGGGCCATTCGCTTCACCTCTTTAATGGAGTTAAAAATAGTACCTACCTCAGTCATCAAAGAGTGACTGAAGCCAGGTGCAGAGGGTCATCTCCGTAATCCCAGCACTTTGGGAGGCAGGCAGATCTCTTGAGTCTAGGAGTTTGAGACCAGCCAGGGCAGCATAGTGAGACCTCATATCTACAAAAAAAAAAAAAGCCTGGTGTGGTGGCACCCACCTGTAGTCTCAGCTGCTCAGGAGGCTGAGATGGGAGGATCACTTGAGCCTAGGGAATTGGCGTGCAGTGAGCTGAGATCACATCACTGCACTCCAGCCTGGGTGACAGAGCCAGACCTTGTCTCAAAAGAAAAAAAAAAGTGAGCTAAAAACATGGGAAGTGCTTAAGCACTTCGTGGGACAATTTCTAATTGTTCTAGAAATATTGGCTATTATTATTGAAGCACCACTAGGGATTCCTAACCGAATGCATAACATCACCCCAAATCCAGAATGCAGGAGAAGTTTCCACTAGCCAGAGTCAGGTTTCAAGGCCCCACACTCGGCACTGGGCAAGTATTTGTTAAGCACTGTCAGTGTGTCCACCTCGGAGGGCTCTGCCAAGGAGTGGAGCCGGAGCCTCTCCAGGACCCTCATTCAGGGACATTAGCAGCCAGTACCAAAAAGAGATAAGGATGCACTGCCCAGGCCCAGCACTGGCTGCCCTGGGAGTGGATAAATGTGGGGCTCAGGGCGTCCAGTCCTGTCCTGGGGAGAGGGCAATCAGGTCAAGCTTCTCAGTAGAAGCAACATCTAAGTGTGGAAAAGGCAAGAGGAATGAGAATCTGTCCCAGATAGAACTCAGGAGCAAAAGCGTAGTGGTGAGAGGGACCGTGGCACACACCCAGCCATGCAGGCGCTGCAGGTGGACTTGGAGAAAGGAGTGTGGGCAGACAGGCCCACGAAGTAACAAATAAAAGACGGTTCACACCTAATAAATTATCTGTCACACCACATACCCTACAATAGCAGAGCTCCCTGCTGGGCTGAACGTGGGGCCTGGATAGCTGCACCATCAATGGAAAAAGTGTGCACGGACGCTGGGGCATTTCCAGCAGCAGCCAAAGGGCACTCCTGGGCTGGGAGATATGGAGGAAATTCCATGCCCACAGAAATCCCTTGGAAAATGCCCTCAACAGCGAATCAGCCTTGTTGCACAAACGTCAGACAAGCCAGAGACAACTAAAACCTCAATGATGCAGAACTCCCATCGTGCTTCCCCTCTGCAGGCACCGGCAGGTCGAGGTTTCCCCAAGCCTGGACCTCAGGGCTCTTCTAATGCAGCGTCCTTAGCTGTATGCTGCAATGGGAAAGCTGGTGACGTGGAGGAGGGGACAGGCCCCAGCTCCTTTCAACAGTGGACTCAAACAGCCCGGCCCAGGAAGGCCATCAACGGGGAGGAAATAGACCTGAAGGTCGAGAGTGGCTGAGTGAGCACAGGAGGGTGAATTCCTGTCCTAGAATGAAACCAAGTGAAGTAGAGATGCTGGTTCCCAGACAGAACTCATCCCCAGCTCTCCTGGAAGAAAGAATAAGACAATCAAGATTTATACCTGACCATTTGTTTCCTTTTCAGTGACTTGGGCAAATCATTGCTTGCTGTCCTAGTTTTCCTTTCTGCCCATGGTTTGTTATGGATTCACCTCAAAAGAAACGATAGCCTGAGGAATCCCAGAGCCCAGCTCACCACTTTCCCCGCTGTCTTCGAAGACCCAGCAGCCATGTGTCATCACAGGACTCCAACCCCCCATGCCCAGGGGACCAGATCTAGTGTGGCCAAAAGGAGCTGGGCCAGTGGAATTCCCAGTTGGGAATCTCACTCAAGAAAAGAGAGAATCGGCAGGGCACAGTCGATTACAGCCTCACGCCAGCACTTTGAGAGGCTGAGGCGGGCGAATCACGAGGTCAAGAGATAGAGACCATCCTGGCCAACAGGGTGAAACCCTGTCTCTACTAAAAATACAAAAATTAGCTGGGTGTGGTGGCACACGCCTGTAGTCCCAGCTACTCGGGAGGCGGAGGCAGGAGAATCGCTTGAACCCGGAAAGCAGACATTGCAGTGAGTGGAGATTGCGCCACTGCACTCCAACCTGGTGACACAGCAAGACTCCGTCAAAAAAAAAAAAGGAAAGAAGGAAGGAAGGGAGAGAAGAAGGGAGGGAGGGAGGAAGGGAGGGAGGGAGGGAAAGGGAGAATCGCACTGTGGGAACCCAAGCTGATGGGATATAGGAAGAGTCAAGCTGAGAAGCCATGTCCCGAGGAAGGAGCCAATGGGTGCAGAAGGCAGAGGAGCCCCCTAATAATAAAAAGAAAAGAAAACACAGACACAGAAGCAGAGGCTGAGAGAGTAGCCACACTGGGCTGGGAGTGGAACACTACAGGGAAGGTGCTGGTGCTCCAAGGAACTGGGCTGCGTCCACGAGGGAGCCCCAGGGAGGCCCCAGGTCCTGCTCTCCACTGACGCGGTGGCCTTACAATACGCCTCCCCATAGCCCGCCTGCGAGCGCTTGTGTTCCTTGGGATCCCAGTCTCCTGGAAGATTCAAATGAAAGACTGTGAGATGCCTGGTGAAAAAATGTACCCCCGGGGGCTGGAAGAAAGTGGCTATTTGGTTTTTTTCACCAAATCTCCACTACGGATTTTTGAGGAACTGTGAATCACAGGAGTGGTGCAAAATACATGTACATGGGAACATTCTGTCCATGTTGTATAAAGATGAGCAGGTGGTAGATACCACCACCTTGTGAACTCTGGCTCTATACTGTGCAGGTTCTAGGAAGGAAAAACCAGAGCAAAGGACGTGACCCAAAGAGCTAGGAATGGTTTAAGAAGAATCATTTATGGCAGATTAAGCTCATTGATTTTTTTAAAGTGGCATGGAAAATCAGAGTTTCTAGTAAATGTTTTTATGAGAGTTGACTTTCTTTACCTTTGCCCCAATGTGAAAGCCATTCTTTAAAATACAGACTTCAAAAATCAAACACATCATAAAACGTGGCGAATTAGGCACTGTGAAATCAACCTTCTCCTCAGCTCTTGAGCCTTCCCCTCTTGGAGTCTAATTTTCTCCAACAATAAATAATATGTAATTTGTCTGCTTTCCCTAATTCTTCCTGCCAAATTACCCCTTTCTGTTAGTAAGAGAACAAACAAAATCTCTCTCTTAGATAACCACAACTGTATTAGCAGTTTTCCAAGGATTCTCTTCTTCCTTCTCCTCCTCTTTCTTGTTTTTGATTAGAAGCAGCTTTTATCAATAGATCATTTCCAGGAGTCCAAAAGGCTATATATATATAGGTTCAACTCCTCTCCCCAGAGTCCCCCAGGCCCCCACCCTGGGCAAGGCTGCAAGGTGCCTTGTGGTTTTCAAGGGGCCCTGTCCCAGCCCCTCTTATATGGGCATCCCAGCTATGACACCCAGTAGTGACTCTGGGCTTTGCATCAGTGCCGGCTGCAGCTTTAGTAGCACTGTTTATGGTGGAAGCGGAGGTGTCAGGGCCCAGGTCTTATTAGAGGCAGAATGATGAGAAAGTCCCTGAAATGCAGGGACTGGGACTACCAAAGGAGGCTTCTCTTTCTGTCTTAGGAGCTTGATCCTTGACAGGCTTCATCATTCTTTCTGCAAGACCACACCCTTCTCAATCAGACGCAGGACGTCCCTGCCAGCCACAGGTCCAGTCCTAGAGTGATGAGGTGAGCCAATACAAACTAAAGCATATTCCTGGTCTGCAAAGACTTGAAGTGATTAATTAGACGATTAATTAGACATCCTTTCCGTCTTCCCGCCTACCTTAGCGAAATGCAATTTCTGCTGCAGTGTTATGATAAGTGGGGAGACGTCAAGCTAGACATCAGACGCGTTCCTGAGGAAGCCATGGAAGTACTCGCTTTACCTGGGTGTTTGCTGTGTGCTCTGTTCACAGTGATGTTTAGTTTAACTGGTCTGAAAGAGGAAGTGCTCGAAAGGAAACACTTGGTAAATGCAGGCAAAATCTAGGTAAATGTTTCTCCGGAACAGAATTAGTGCTGGGAGCAGGAGAACAGTGATTTGGGAAGATCATGTCTTTCGGTGGTTTTGTTCACTGTCTGCAGCGGTTCATGCAAATTATTTCAAACATCATCTCCAGCATTCACACAGTCTATTTCCCTGCTCTGCAGACAGTAGAAAGGTAAAAGCCACGCCTCCCGGACTCCCTTACAGCCAGCACTTGTTGAACTCAGGTTGGAACTGATTGCCGTCTGTGTTGTGGGAGTAGGCAGGAGTTCTAGATTATACCCAACAAATGCAGCCATCAGGATGGAAGGTGCCATGAGAGGGGGAAATGGGATCTTCTGGCAAGCCTGGAGAAGGACGTCTTTGTTCTGTGGCAGCCACGGCCAGCGCTCTTCTCTCTGGTCCCAGCAGCATACAATCTGAGTGTTAGAAATATCTCATTGTGTGGTTGCTGTTTCTTCTGGTTGCTTATTCCTGACGATGTAGTATCCAAGCTTCATTCTCTGGTCCTCCTGAAAATTCTGTACTGACTCTGCTTAAACTAGCGGTGGATTCTGTCGTCTGCAATTAAGAAAGCCTGCCTCTTTATGATTTCCAGGAGACAGAGTGGCATCAGGACAGCCACACCACCAGCTCACAGCTTTCTTCTCCAGTGCTCCCAGATGAGACTCCAGGGCCCTGAAAAATGACTCTAGTGGGTCAACTAAGAGACCTAAACCTAATGTTTTCATGCATTACATTGAGCAAACTGAAAGGGTAGGAATGTCCTCACAAACTCCATGCTGAAAATACTTCTGATATCTTTGTGTTCCAAGGAGTATATTTTGAAGAAATTGATCACATCTTATGTTTTTATACAATAAGTCCACTCCAAATGGCATCAAAACAGTTTAAATTGTCTAGGCACAGCGGTTCACACCTGTAACCCCAACAATTTAGGAGGCTGAGTTAGGAGAATCACTGGAGGCCAGGAGTTGAAGACCAGTCAGGGCAACATAGGCCTTGTCTCTACAAAAAATAACAATAATAAAAAAATTAGCCAGGCATGGTGGTGCATGCCTGTAGCCCCAGGGACTCGAGAGGCTGAGGTGGGAGGATCACCTGAGCCCAGGAAGTCGAGGCTGCAGTGAGCTGGGCTGTGTTCACGTCACTGCACTCCAGTTTGGGCAAAAGAGTGAGACGCTGTCTCAAAAAAAAAAAAAAAAAAAAAAGAATAGTTGGAATTCTTTTAAGAAAAAGAAATTCGAGAGGAAAATATTGTGTAGTCCAGTTCATTAGTGAAAAAAAATGGCTGAAGTCGGTGTTTATTTCCTGTCACTTCTTTTACCTTTCTGAATGCAGAATTCTTATTAGGTTTTAACTTAATATTTCAATGTTTCATGACTGTTCTTCTAGAAAGATCATTTTAAAGCAATTGCATTTGTTCTGAGAGCCACATCTAGATCCTCTACCTGGGTCTATAGGTTTATAGAGTAAAAAGAACTCTTTCACTAATTTACACGTTAAAACGATGACCCAGTTGCTCTGGGCACGGCAAGCATACAGATGGTCACTCAGTGAATAAGTAATAACAGTGGAAGAGGGTGAAGAAAGTTTGTTAACCAAAACCAGGAAGTGACTTTTACTTTGAGGTTGACCGTAGGGAGATATTGGCACCACCGGAGAATGAGGTAGAGTAGGCTTTAAGTGCTATAAGAGGGGTTTGATGTCCATAGAAGAGGTTTCCCATCTTTGTCAATGACAACTCCCTTCACCCAGTTACTCAAGCCAGAAGCCTAGGAGTGCTTTTCATACCTGTCCCTCCTTCACGCCTCATATCTGATCCATAGCCAGGTTTGTCTGTTCCAGCTCCAACATGTTCCCCAAATGCATCTTTCCAAGTCTATGGGCAGCATCCTAGTCCTGCTGAACATTGTCTCCTGCCTGGATGGCTGCAGAGGCTTCTCACCGGCCTCCCGTTTCCTCACTTGGCCTCATACAACTCTTTCTGCTTGCAGTAACCAGAACTATCCTTCAGCCCTGTGCAGCAAACCACAGCTACCATTCCGTGGCCTCCCCACGGCCAACCAGACTCCAGGCCAGGTCCCGCCCGCCTTGCCAGCCTCACATCATGCCATCCTCCTCCCCCACACTCCTCCCAGTTCATCCATGTGCCCAGGTCCTCTGTCCCTCGGAGGCCGAACATGAGAACATCTTGCTGCCGGGAACATCCTTCGCCCGACTCCTCACAGGAGGCACTCAGGCCTGAGCTTACCTGTCACTTTTCAAACCAGGCATTCTCCCACTCCTGCCCACATCTTTGGGTCTAAACAGTGCCATCTCTCCCCACAGCCCCTTATCCTCTCCAGCACCTTATTCGTTTCCTACACAGAATGTCTCGCCATTTTTAATTATATACTTAGTCTTGTTTATATGCCTGTCTCCCACCAGACTGAGAGCTTCACACAGGCCAAGCTCTTCCCTGTCTCATTAAATATTGTGTTCCCAGCACCTTGCACTGGGCCTGGCATATAGTGGGTTCCTGTGCATATACATTTTATTTTCCGGACAGACCAAGAAAAAGTGTTGCCCACTTAGCAGCCTGGACAACATAGGGAGACCCCATCTTGACAAAAAAAATTAAAAATTAGCCAGCCGTGATGGCACACGCCTGTAGTCCCATCTACTCAGGAGGCTGAGGCAGGAAGATCACTTGAGCCTTGGAATTTGAGGCTGCAGTGAGCTATGATCACTGCACTCCAGTCTGGGTGACAGAGCAAGATCCTGTCTCAAAAAAAAAAGTCACTTAGGATATTAATTCAGGAGGATTTAGCAATAACCAACAAAAAGGGGATTAAATTGGCCAACGGAACTCCAATTGAAAACAAATCTGGCCAGTACCTTCCAAAATTGGGGGGCTGAGGGATGACAATGAATTACATATACAGCTGGTAGGTTGTTTCCACCTACCAGTCTGCAAAGATATAGACAAAGGTTCTTAAAATTGTACTTACAGTACAATTTTACAGTTTGTAAATTTTACAATTTTACAGTTTGTAAAACAGTTTGCATTCTCTACAAATGTTGAAGAGAAGCTCACCCAGCAATCTCACTCTTAAGTATGACCAAGAGAAATGTGTTGGGCAAGAGTGTTCAGAGCAGCATTATTCACAACAGTCGCATGCTGGAAAGAAGAACCCAATGTCCACCAATGGAATAGATCAATAAACTGTGGCTTAGTCATGCAATGTAATTCAACTACAACTACAGGCAGAAACATGAATGAATTTCACAAACCTAATGGTAAGGAAGCAAAAAAAAAAAATCCAATGCCAAGCTACATGCTGCATAACTCAATTTATATAGAACTCAAAAAAACAGACAAAACCCTACTACGATGTTGAGAGATACATGTTTAAATAAATCCCTAAATTTTAATGCATGCCCTCTCAAGAAAGGCATTGAAGCAACTGTGTAAACTCAAGATAATAGTTACCCTTGGGGAGGCTGGATACGAAGGGATCTCTGCCATTGATAAAGTTCTGTTTCTTGACAAGGGTCATAGCTACATGCATGTTCGTTTTCTGGTAAATAGCTGTTTTTAATAAACTAAATATGCATAAGAATCACATGTTGAAAGTACCAGTTCTTGGACTCATGCTCAGGATACAATGGGCCCAGGAAGCTACCCTTTAACAATGAACTTGAGAGCTTCAGATGGAGGTGGGTCCTTGCAGAAATGATGACTGACAACCTCATGGCTGGAAAGAGTTTTAAGGGACAGCCAAAAAGTTTACCCTGATTCTGAATTTACTGCCTTGGCCTGATCAGCTCAAGCTGTTTGATCCAGGCAAGGCTCTTGTTGGTAGAAGACAGAGATACAAAGAGCAGCAAGATGTTAGGAACATCTCGCAACCCAGCAAGGGTTTAAATCAACTCTGAAACAAAGTGAGGGTGAAGCTGGAAATTGCATTATGGTGTCTCTAAGGTCAGAGCTGTGTGTCTCATGGGAAAATTGATCCTTGCACATTTTCTCAACTCCATTTGATCACTTTCCTTAGCTTTTGAAAGAGCAGTTGCATGCCCATCATTGGGATCATTGTTGGTGATATGTCATGTGCCAAAGGCCATCATTTTGCAATATAGAAAACTAAGCCCAGTCCTGATGTGGGCATTCAATTCATGAGCGCTCATGTCCAGCACAACTGAGCTCCTACTGAACAGGCTCCGGTTTTCCAGGGTAATATACCTGCAAAATGCAAGAGCATGGGACGCACAGACCCAACATTTCCTTGCGTTTCTGTCAGTCAACTTTGCTGAGCTTTCTCTCTGGATGACAGCTCCTGAGCTCCAAACTTCGAGGAGCCCTTCCCCCACGGGACTCTGGGCTTGGCTGACTGGGACTATTGCAGGAACTACAGCTCAGCTCCACAGCACTCCAGGCTGAAGTTGCATTGAAAACCACTCAGCCATAACTAGGCAAATATACCCATTCATCAGAATGACTCTCCTCCTAAAGGTAGGCCCTAACCCTAACTACTCACCAGAGAAGCCTGGGTTGTGTTATGCTGTGTGGTGTCGTGTTGTGTTGTGCTGTGCTGTGTGGTGTTGTGTAGTTTGTTATGTTGTGCTGTGTGATGTGTTGTGTAGTTGTGTTGTGTTTCGCTGTGTGATGTTGTGTGGTTGTGTTGTGTTGCACTGTGTGATTTGCTGTGTGGTTGTGTTGTGTTGCACGGTGTGATGTTGCGTTGTGTGGTTGTGTTGTGTTTCACTGTGTGATGTTGTGTCGTTGTGTTGCACTGTGTGATTTGCTGTGTGGTTGTGTTGTGTTGCACGGTGTGATGTTGTGTTGTGTGGTTGTGTTGTGTTTCGCTGTGTGATGTGTGGTTTGTTATGTTGCGCTGTATGACGCTGTGTTGTGTGGTTGTGTCGTGTTGCGCTGTGTGATGTGTGGTTGTGTTGTGTTGCACGTGTGATGTGTTGTGTGGTTGTGTTGTGTTGCGCTATGTTGTGTTTAACACACCTTGGAGACTTCTGAGATTTGCATACAGCAGAGTCTTCCCTTTGGTTCCAGTCTGTGCTCCTCCTAAGATATTACAGATTTTTGAGAACCTATGCTAAGGATTCCTACAATATTGACTAAAACCAGACATGTTTCGAGAATATCTGGAATCCCGTGTTTTTATTTTCCTGGACCCAGCAGGCAGCTTTCCCTGAAAACCCCCAGTCTGATGATCCCACCTTGCCACCTGGTATTCCCCACGCGCCAATCCCTGGCCCCACACTTCCCAAGTCCTATTGTTTCCAACAAGCGCCTTCTGTGTTTTGACATCCACCTCCCACCAGCAGCCCTCCAGCGCAGGCAGGCCGAGCAGGGAGCAGGCTGGCACAGGCGCGCTCCTAATCCCTAGCATTAAATCCAGGGTAAACTCTGAGGAAAGCGATGAGGGGGACTTTGCTTCCATCAGCGTATTGAATTTGGAAAGTCTGTGGGGGAAAAAGAATTACACATATGCAGGCATAACCTCTTAACACACTTTCCAAGGATCTCAATACTCAAAATGGGAAGAACTGCAACGTTGTGGGTGGTATCATGGAAAAAGCTAGGAGGAGAGAGAAAAAGATTTTCATCCCATTGTCTCTGCCAATAAGTAGTTCTGGTCCTTAGGCAATCTGCTTGGTCTTCAGTTTTCCTCATTTCTGTAAGGAAGTATTTGGATGTACCAACAATTTCTTCTAGCTCAAACATTCTGTAAACCTATGGATACATGTTCTTATCCATACTATCTTTTACATAAGACTACGTGAGCAAAAACTTGATCTCAGTACTTGACTGAACTACTTGTACCAGCCATCTTTTTAAAATCTGTCCCAGGCAGTATTAAATTTCCAACTGTGCCTGCTGGGCCAAAAGTCCCAGCAGCTCGCCCCAGAAGTACAGGCAATCAAGGAGTGTCACCTTCTTCAAGTGTGTGTATTCATCTGGGACCTCAACAAGTGCCTTACTTCTCTCCCGCCTCTTCCTTCGGTTATGAAAAAAGCAAACTCCACAGCATAACATAACACAACAGGCACAAGAAACGAGGGTGGGGAAATGTGAATAAGTCTGAAAAATCACAGCCAAAGAGAAAGACATCAAAGTCCTACAGAGTTCTTAGAGTTCACCCTCAAATTTGGCCCCCAAGTTTCTGGAAGCCAGAGAGGAGAAGGAAGCCTGGGGAAGAGCAGACCAGGTACTCAGTGACATCTCTGCAGTGCAGTCAGTGGGAGAAAGCAGCTGACTTATTTTTGTATTATTTCTCACAAAAGCTGTGGTACAGTCTGTCTGTCTCCCTATGGCTGGAAAGTCAGGTGACACCCAGTACTGGAGAAGTGAAGGAAGCAGGGAAGAGCATGTGGTGGGTGGGGCAGGTGCCACTTGCGTAGGGTGGCTGGGGAAGCTCAGATCAGGGGCATGTGAGCAGAGGTCTGCAGGAAGTAAGGGAGAAGCCCGGATACCTGGGGAAGAGCACTCCAGGTAAAGGGAAGAGCAAATGCACAGGTGCCGAGCTTGGTGTGTCTGAGGGACAGGAGGGAGGCCAGAGACTGGAGTAGGGCAGGTGGAGGAAATAGTGACAGGGGATGTGATTGGGGAGGAAGAGTCTCTGGGGTGGTGTGAAGGAGCAGATCCTGTGTGGCCAGCAAGGACTTTGGCTTTCACTGTAGGAGACATGGGGAGATATGTAGGCTTTGGAGGAGAGTTCCTGGTGTATGTAGCTGGAAATAATCACTACAGCTTCTTCCTCCTTCTGAAATACCCAGAAGCCTCAAAGAGAGAGAGCCATGACCCCTCCTCTGCCCGTGTCTGGGTCTTCACCATCCAACCTGAAGAGCTCCTAAGCTCTGCGAATGAGCACCTCCATACCTTTTCACACACATGCCTTGCCCTCGTCCTGGCTGCCTTAGTCCATTTGGGCTATATAACAAAAATGCCACAGACTCCATGATTTATAAAGGACAGAAATGTATTGCTCACGGTTCTGGAGTCTGGAAGTCCAAGATCAAGGCACTGGCAGAGCAGGTGTCTGGTGAGGGCAGCTCCTGCTTCCAAGATGGTGCCTTGTTGCTAGGTCCTCATACAACAAGAGGCAGAAGCACAAAAGACCTAGCTAGCTCCCTCCAGCCCTCTTACAAGGCACTAATTCCATCCCTGAAGACAGCCCTCATGGCCTGACCACCTCCTAAAGGCCTCACCTCTTAATACTTTTGTTTTGGGGACTGTTTCAACATGAATTTTGGAGACGACATGAACATTCAAACCATGGCATTGACCTTGGTTTCCAAGGCCGGATCCCCAGGAGGGCTAAGATAGTGGTTTTCAATTTGTCTTTGTGCCTTGTAGTCTGTGGGTTCCTCGGAGAGATTGTAGGAGCAATAGTCAGTGGATTCCAAGCATCCCACCATGGCTGCTTCAACAAGCCTGGTTCTGTTTCTACCTGTGTCAAAGCTTACATTTCCTATATATTTGAGTACTTTGTCACTTGGAAAGTGTCTTCCTAGAGAAAGGACTGGAAGGGTCTTCACCAGAGTGTTCTTGGTTATCACTGGTTACCATGGGCATAGGAGGTGTGATGGAAGAAGGGCGCAGGGGGTGAAGGCAAAGCTTATTCTTCTAGATTGTTTCAATTGTCTACAAGTCATTGTACAAGGCATAAATTTTGCTCATTTTAAAAAATGATATGAAAAAATTAAAACCTGCCAAGTCATTTTTCAGCTCTAGGATGTGAGCCTTCTGAGGTGGTTTCTGGTGGATGCTATTCAGTCTGGATAGAGAAGAGAAGGCTGGAAGGGAGTGGAAAAGAGGGAGGCTTTGCTGTTTGGGGACAGCCCCAAACGCTCTAAATATAATAAGAAAAGGCCAGCTTTGGTGAGTTCGTTAAGTGAGTCCAAAGGAAGCGTGTTGAACTGGATGGCTTTCAGCCCTAGATACAACCAAGCAGAAAACAGCAGCTTGAGAGGGTGCCTCTACCAGCTTCCCAGGGCTGCCAACCAATGACCACAGATCACCGAAGACCACAGACCTGGTGGACTAAACAACAGAAATGGGCCCTCTCACAGCTCTGGAGGCTGGAAGTCCAAGATCAAGGTGTGGGCAGGGCCATGCTCCCCACCAAGGCTTTAGAGGAGAATCTTTCCCTGCCTCTCCCAGCTGTGGGTAGCTCTGGGCATTGCTTGGTTTGTGACTCCAATCTCTGCCTGCCTCTCCACATGGCCTTCTCCTACTTTGTCCCCCCGACCCCCCGTGCCTCTTATAAAGACACTTGTCATTGGATCTAGGGCTCAGCCTAACTCCAGGATGATCTCCTCTCAAAAACCTTTACTTGATTTAATCCTCAAAAACCCTCTTTACAAATTAGGTTCCCGGACATGGACGTGTCTTCTGGAGAGCCACCACTCAACCCACTACAGCCCCCCAAATGACACCTCCAGAGACAGTCACCGCTCGCGATAGGTGGTGAGGAGAAGGGAGGATGCAGCCCTTCAGAATCAGGCAGAGGCACCGAACCAGAGGGCAGCCCGTGGGGTGGGGGGCCGCGGCGGGGCGGCGGCTGGGGCGGCCCCGGAGTCTGCAGTGCTGGCTGCGCGCTAGGTCACCTGGGAACTTTACACAATGTACGTTCGCACTCAGGCCCCTCCCTCAGAGATGCTGATGTAACGGGGTTGGGTTGGTGCCAGGGCATTCGTAGTTTTTCAAAGGCCCCAGGGGGTTCTCATGTGCAGCTAAGGCAGAGAAACCCTGGCAGCTGAAAGGGGGCTGCGGGCAGGAGTCAGAGGCCGGGGTCCCCTCCGGCTCCGCCGCTCATGCGGGACAAGGACATTCCCATCTGCGGGGAGGGCAGGCGTGAGGTCAGAGAGGAGAGCCCAGGCTTCCTCCTGTCGTGCGCGTCCACTGCCCCTGGACGCCACCCTCCTGGCTCCGCGCTGGCCGGGCCTATGGGGAGCCGTCCGCGGAGATGCGCTGTTCCGGCCCTGCTGGCCCTCGGTTTCCACCCGGCCCCAGCCTGCTGTGCCTGCAACTCGGCCATGAGGAGTCGTTCACATTCTTACAAGGTCTTAACAATTCAAGCAAGTTGTCTTGGGTCCTCCGCAGAGCCGTGGATCCATTTGATGTTCATCTGTAAGGAGATTTTCATTCTTTCAGGGCCTTCCCCAAATGTCGGCCACAGTTATGCTAAGGACCCCCCACTCTGTCCACAGCTGGGTACGATGGTGCTCTATTTTATCCCTCTGCGCCAAACACTCTTCTCTGGGGCCTGAACTCTGCAGCAGTGACAGAAACTCACTCTCTTCTAGTTTTTTGAAAGGAAGACACAAATTCAACAGGGCTTCTTGTGTTGCAGTAGTTACCCATCCCTAGGCCTCGGGTTTTACTACATACCTAAAACTGTTATGCATATGAGTGGCTGTACAATATCTTGAGATACTAAATTAAGTGCATTTTTCATCCTCTATTTTACCCTTTTCTTCCCCCCACCCCCCGTTCAAGCAGGAAGGCTCTTCAGTGCTCATTGCCAGGAGCTTGCCCTGGTATGCTAGTGGGCAGGGAATGGGCAGAGTGTGGGAACTGTGGAACCAGAGCCCTTGGCCAAGAGCAGCCTTGCGTGGGGCTCCGCGGAGGGCAGCTCAGGCAGAGCGCAGCCTCCAGGGTGCCTGGTGCCCTGCAGGAGGCAAGCACAGCCTCCCCTGCTCCTGGTAACCCTCCGGTTTGGCTGAGGAGGTCTTCCATTGGGAAGTGGCCCTGCCCCCTTGAATAAACATTCTAACCACCAGCCCTTCACTAGAACAACTGAGTTACTCCGAAAGTTAGATAAATAATCTGTCGGGGATGGAGAACTGACTGAAGACAGAAAACAAAGAATAAATGAATGATTCTTGGGATAGAGAAGTGGTAAAGGCAGGCATTTCCTGAGACTAAAGTGGCCTAAGGTTGGGAAGGCTTTTTTTTTTTTTTTTTTTTTTGAGGCAGAATCTCACTCTGTCATCGCCAGGCTGAAGTGCAATGGCGCCATCTCAGCTCACTGCAACCTCCGCCTCCCAGGTTCAAGTGATTCTCCTGCCTCAGCCTCCTGAGTAGCTGGGACTACAGGCGCCTGCCACCACGCCCAGCTAATTTTTGTAGTATTAGTAGAGATGGGGTTTCACCATGTTGGCCAGGATGGTCTCGATCTCTTGACCTTGTAATCCACCCGCCTCGGCCTCCCAAACTACTGGGATTACAGGCGTGAGCTACCGCGCCCAGCCCAGGAAGGCATTTTTTTAAATATTCTGAGCGCCTACAGTGAACGTTCCAGGTTTAAAGATTATAGCTAAACACTTTGAGGGACTGCAAATTACAGAGACAGAAGACAAACTAATCTCATAAGTTACCATGATGTGGTAGATAAGCGTTGAACTGAGAATGGGGATCCCCAGCTTTCAGGGCTGACATCACCATTACCTAATTATACAACCTCGGGGAAGACACTAACATTTCCAGAGCCCAAGTTTTCTCACCTTCAAATGAGGAAGTCAGTTTACAAGGTTACTAGGATGGCTTTCTACAAAAATCATAATCTATATCCATGGGAGTGAGCTGGAAATTAGAAGGGAACTATAGTATGTATTCCTGGCATTGAGCTGGGTGTTCAATGAGATGGGTTACTGCAATCAATTTTTACAACATTTAATGACACATAGGAAGTTCCCCCACTCCCTCTACTCTGTCTACAGTTGAGAAAACTAAAAATTTTGCCCACAGTCACACAGCTAGTAAAAGGTGCACTCACCCACGTTTATTTGACTCCACAATTTATTAAAACATGATTCCTCTGTGTTTGGAATTGTATTGATGAGTTTTCATCAGCAGTTAGAACCTAGCACAATTCATGAAAATAACTGGATGCTCAAAACATGCTTTTCTGGATGAGTCAATGTTGAATCTAAAATATATTTATCTAAAGTAACTCTATGAGATGATAAGATGGTAATTTGCTTAACTGTAGTAATTAGTTCACTATGTCTATGTGTAGTAAGATAAGTATATCAAAATATCCTGTACACCTCAGATATATACAATTTTAAAAATACAATTCATTAAAATAAAATTTATTATCAAACCAGATCACAAATCCACAGCATCTGGAATACACCCTGGCACATAGTAGGTGCGCAACAAGTATTTGTCACAGCAGACTACTCCCTGAACCTATTAGTCCAGCATGCTGTTACAGCTAAGAGGATCAGAGACAAAGGTTTTATTGGCAAGGATATTGGGAACCAAAGCATAGGTAGCATATTCCTATCCTAGCAAGAGGCTGTGTGCTCCTCACCACAATGTGTGGCTGCCTCTTCAAGGCTCTTCTTGTCTCTGCTGTCTGTACCTACAACCAAGAGGTGAAGGAGCTGGAGACAATTCCGAGGGGAAAGCATTTTTGCGTATGAACGACCTCCAGTGCTCTGTTTTCAGTCTTCATTTTCTCAAGCTCTCGGCAGAGTGGATGGCTCCCCTCAGTCCACAGCCTCCTGCTCAGAAAGCTACCAGGTGATCTCCACGGCAATGTTTGTCTTCAAACATTCCAAAAATCTAAGCTGAATAAGACAATTGTACTTGACATGACACTTAAACTCATTCAAAGACACACTGAATTACATCACCACAATCTAATTTTAGAACATTTTCAATGCCCCCCAAAGAAACTCTCTGCAGGCCTGGGCAACATAGTGAGACCCTGCCTCTAGAAAAATTTTTTTGATTAGCTGGGTGTGGTGGCACTCACCTGGGAGGCTGAGGTGGGAGGATCCCAGGAGTTAGAGGCTGCAGTGAGCCATGATCATGCCACTACACTTCAGCCTGGGCAACAGAGCAAGACCCTGTCTCTATTGAAAAAAGTGGTGGGAAGTGGGGGAGAAACCCTGTGCTACAGCAGTCTTCCTGATTCCTGCTTACCCATCTCCTACTCCATCCCCAGACAATCTCTCTATGGATTGGCCTATTCTGACATTTCACATCAGTCATCTGTTGCTTAATGACAGACACACATTTGGAGAAATGTGTCATTAGGCAATTTTCTTCATGTGTACACATCAAAGAGTGTCCTTACACAAACCTAAATGGGACAACCTACTGCAGACCTAGGCTGTATGACAGAACCTATTGCTCCTCGGCTACAAACCTGTACAGCATGCAACTCTACTCAACACTGTAAGAAACTGTAACACAGTGGTAAGTACTTGTGTATCTAAACTTACCAAATACAGAAAAGGTATGATAAGAAAATGGTATAAAAGATAAAAAATAGTACACCTGTGTAGGACACTTACCATGAATAAAGCTTGCAGGACTAGAAGTTGCTTTGGGTGAGCCAGTGAGTGGGTGGAGAGTGAATGGGAAGGCCTAAGGCATGACTCTGCACCACTGTAGACTTCATGAACACTGTACACCTAGGCTACTCTCTATAGAAAAAGTTTTTCTTTCTGAAATAATAAATTAACCTTAACTTACTGTAACCTTTTTACTTTATAACCTTCTCAATTTTTGTCAACTTTTGGACTCCTTTGTAATAACGGTCAGCTTAAAACACAAACACATTGTACAGCTACACAAAAATATTCTTTCTTTATATCCTTATTATACAAGCCTTTCTTTGTTTTCAGTTTTTTTCTTTTTACTTTTTAAACATTTTTGTTAAAAAATAAGACACAAACACAGACATTAGCCTATGCCTACACAGGGTCAGGATCCTCAATATCACCATCTTCCACCACCACACCTTGTCCCACTAGAAGGTCTTCAGGGCAATAACACACACGGAGCTGTCATCTCCTGTGATAGCAATACCTTCTTCCGAGGGACCTGCCTGAGACTGTCTTACAGTTAAATTTTTATAATAAGTAGAGTATACTCTAAAATAACAATAAAAGTATAGTGTATTACATACATAAACCGTAACATAGTCATTTCTTATCATTAGCAAGTATTATATACTATACATAATTGTATGTGCTAGACTTTTATATGACTGCCAGCACACTAGGCTTGTTTATCCCAGCATCACCACAAACTTGTGAGTACTTTGTTGTGCTATGACATTATCACGGCTCCGACATTACTAGGCAATAGGAATTTTCAGTTCCATTATAATCTTTTTTTTTGAAACTGAATCTGGCTCTGTCACCCAGGCTGGAGTGCAGTGGCATGAACTCAGCTCACTTCAACCTCCGCCTGCCAGGTTCAAGTGATTCTCCTGCCTCAGCCTCCCAGGTTCAAGTGATTCTCCTGCCTCAGCCTCCCAAGTAGCTGGCACTACAGGCGCATGCCACCACACCCAGCTAATTTTTATATTTTTAGTAGAGACAGGATTTCACCATGTTGTCCATGCTGGTCTCAAACTCCTGACCTCAAGCTATCCACTCGCTTTGGCCTCCCAAAGTGCTGGGATTATAGGCATGAGCCACCACACCCAGCTGTTCCATTATAATCTTATGAGACCATTATCTATATGCAGTTCATCGTTGACTGGTTGTTATGCACCACATGAGTGTAAACAGAATTATACAATATGTGGCCTTTGCTGTCTAGCTTCTCTTAGTTAGCAAAATGTTTTCAAGGCTCATCTATGCTGTCACATGTGGCAGGACTCCATTGCTTTGCATGGCTGAATAACATTCCATTCCATGGACATACCACAGCTTGTTTATCCATCGATCAGCTGATGAGCATTTGGGCATTTGGGGTTTTTCCACTTTTTGGCTATTATGAACAATGCTGTTCATTATGAACAATGCTGTGAGCATTCAGGGACAACTTTTTTAGTTTTTTGTTTGTGCGCATGTGTGGTCATATGTTTTTTATTTCCCTTAGGTTTATACCTAAAAGTGAAATTGCTGGTCATAGGGTAACTCTATATCTAGTATTTTGAGTAACTGTGAAGCTGCTTTCCAAATTGTCTGCACCCACTTTCAGATCCCACCAGCAATGACTGTGTGAGGATTGCTGTTTCTCCACGTGCTCACCAACACTTGTTATTACAGTCTTTTGATGACAGCCATCTTAGTGGGTGTGAAGTGGGATCTCACTGAAGTTTGATTTGCATTTCCCTAAAGACTAATAATGTTGGGCATCTTTTTTTTTTTTTTTTTTTTTTTTTTTTTTTTTTTTTTTTTGAGACAGAGTCTCGCTCTATCGCCCAGGCTGGAGTGCAGTGGTGCAATCTCGGCTCACTGCAAGCTCCACCTGCTGGGTTCACACCATTCTCCTGCCTCAGCCTCCCAAGTAGCTGGGACTACAGGCACCTGCCATCACACCTGGCTAATTTTTTGTATTTTTAATAGAGACGGGGTTTCACCGTGTTAGCCAGGATGGTCTCGATCTCCTGACCTCATGATCTGCCCATCTCAGCCTCCCAAAGTGCTGGGATTACAGGCGTGAGCCACCATGCCCAGCCTCAATGTTGAGCATCTTTACATGTGCTTATTGACCATTTGTCTATCTTCTCTGAAGAAATGCCTATTGAAATCCTTTTTCAGTAGGTTGTCTTTTTATTACTAAATTGTGTTTTCTAGATATTCTAGATTTAAATCCCTTGTCAGAAATATGATTTGCAAATATCTTCTCCCGCTCTTTGAGTTGTCTTTCTCCCTTTACTGGTGGTACCCTTTGATGAACAAATGTTTTAATTTTAATGAAATCCAATTTAACTCTTTTTTCTTCTCTTGCTTATGCTTTTGGTGTCATTTTTAAGAAAATATCTTCTCACTCAAAGTCAAAAACTCCTGTCTTCTTTGAATGAGTTTTATACTCCTGGCCCGTATGTTGAGGACTATGATTCGTTTGTGTTTTATTTTTGTGGATGGTGTAACAGCAGGTCCAAGTTCTTCAGATGTCCACGTGTTCTGGTACTGTTTATTGAAAAGACCAGTTGTAATGGTTGGAATTACAGGTCAATTTGACTGCTCCAGCAGGTGCTCGGATATTTGATTAGACATTATTCTGGGTGTATCTGTGAGGCTGTTTCTGGATGAAACAACATTTGTATCAATAAACTGAGTAAAGCAAACTGCCCTCCCTACGTGAGCTTTATCCAGTGTGTTGGAAACCTGCTTGAAACAAAAGGCAGAGTAAGGGGAAATTTGCTGTCTCTGCCTGACTCTGCCCGAACACTGATTTTCTCCTGCACTTGGACTAGGGATCAGGCTGGAACTTACACCATTGGCTGTCCTGGTTTTTGGGCCTTCAGACCCCGCCTGGAACTACACACTGGCCCCCCAGGGTCTCCAGCTTGCCAACTGCAGACTGTGAAACTTCTCAGCCTCCATCATTGTGGGAACCAGTCCTTATTTCATACATATCCATCCTATTGGTCTTGTTGGTTCTGTTTCTCTGAAGAGCCCTGACTAACACACCAGTCTTTCCCCTGGATTTATTCATCGTCAAATTCCTATGTCTCAGGTTGGATTTCCTGGGAAGCCGCTGGGTGTTTGAGCACATGGGTGAGGGTGTCTGGGGAGTGCTCACAGCAGCAGTACCCAAAGAAACAAGGCAGAGGGAGAAAGGGGACTGTGGGGAGTCCTGGAGTGGTGATGGCCCATCAGAACAGCCCCAAATTCCCACTTACAGCGGGTCCTGGAGAAGGCGTGCCTATGTCAGGCGGCTTCAGCAGCTGAGGGCAGTTCTCCAGGAGGGCCTCAGCTGAGCTCCCATCAGCCAACACTCCTGGCAGCCTGGAGCAGCAGTGCCCGGCCTCAAATAGGGACCTGGGCCCCACGCTGTAGCATCCACTACACCTCCAGTGTTTACCCAAATCAACGGGAAATTGGGGGAATTTTTAACTAAATCAATCAAGAGACAAAAATCATCCTTTCTGGTCTGTGGGAGGTCTTCCTTAACTGTTTAAGAGCTTTAGCAGGAAAAGCTGAAAAAGAAACAAAAAAAAAAAATTGCCCTCACTAAGTGATGAAAGAATTCTACAGCAGTTGGCAAGAACACTGAGAAGCGAGTGTTTAGATACGAAAACAAAACCTCTAAGGCACTTCCACAAAACACTGGCATTCACAGTGGAGACCCTCACACACGTGGGCAGGCAGGCTGACAGACGGCCAGGAAGACCAGCGGCTTTCAGGACACACAGCTTCGGTTACAGCAGCCAGGGCTTATTTATCCTCTCCATTAGGTGCTGCATTCAAAGGACCTGCATGTGGTTCAATGAAGATCAAAGCACATTCTTTCATAGTAGAAAAACAAAAAAAAAACAGAAAGAATGAACTATTCCAAATATACACATGTTCTGAGTTGTGACTATTTTCCATCCTTTGTTGTAGGAAAATAAGGGAAGACAGGAAAGAACTAGGTGATAGAATCCATTGTGTACGTATCATTGTCAAGACAGAGACACCCCATTCAACACAATGTTAGCCCATCCATGGGTCCAAGCTTTTAGAATTTAAAATCATCAGTGATCGCCTTGCTTAGGATATGTTTTGCTGTGATTACATTTGAGATGTTTGTAAAAGATGATTTCCTTTAAAGAGTTTTCCAGCATATTGAATTGACTTATAAATACCAAAGCATTTTCATAGCGGGTCTCACATCTCACATCTCACTTTTTTCCTGCAGATAATAGCCTATCTCCACAGAAAGCCATATGTAAAGGAAAATAAAAATTATGCACTATGTTCTTGAAATGTCCCCAACAGAAAAGTATTTCCAAATAGTACACATTCAGCGCACAGCCTAACACGTATTAATGGTTGCCTTCTTTGTGCCAGGTATTGGCACTGAGGATCACACAACTAAATCCCAGTTCCTACATTCTTTTTTTTTTTTTTTTTTTTTTGAGAGAGAGAGAGGGTCTGGCTCTGTTGCCCAGGCTAGAGTGCAGTGGTTCGATCACAGCCCACTGCAGCCTTGACCTCCCAGGAGATCCTCCCACCTCAGCCTCCCAAGTAGCTGGGACTACAGGCACGTGCCACCATGACCAGCTTTTTGTGTGTGTGTGTGTGTGTGAAGTTAGGTTCTCACTGTTGCCAGGGCTGGTCTCAAACTCCTGGGTTCAAGCAACCCTCCCAACTTGGCCTCCCAGAATGCTGGGATTATAGGCGTGAGCCGCTGCACCCAGCCTAGTTCCTCCTTTCGGAGTGTAAGGAAGACTGGCAATTCCAATGTTAAGGAAGGTATTCAAAGGTAGCGTGTAAAAAGGACGATGCTTTGGAAACCACCTGCTTACCCCTGCGGAAGAAGGTGGAGGATGAGGAAAGGTTTCGTGGAAGAAACCTTTTTTAAACTAAATCAATTGGACTTAGTTAAGTCTGATTATCTTAACTAAGTTAAGTTATAGGATAAGTGGGAGTTGGATGGGGGAGGAGTCCCAGAAAGGACCGTCCAGGCTTGGGGAATGGTAACTACATACACATACTTGCTGTGTATGAAAGAAAGTGCAGTGAGGAGGAGAAGAACTAGACAGGTAGTCAGAAAACAATTACGGGAGCTCTGAATGGCATGCTAAGGAGCTTGGGGTCATTAAAGAGTCATATGGCCGGACACGCATTTTAGAACGGCTGTTGAGCAACTCCATAGAGGAGGGATTTAAAGGAGACAGTATAGACCTGGGCTTCAATGCATAAGGTGGTTCTTAGAGCAGTCCAGGTGGGAAACAGTGAGGGCCAACTTCATTAGGCAGGGCATGTGGGACCTAGATGATGGGACAAACATGAGAACTATTTCAGAAGCAGTAAGAGACTGGGTACTGCTGGGATTTAGGAGTGAGGGAGAGGGCGAAATTACATATCATTCCATGGTCTCTGGATTGGGCAACTGGCGGGATACACGTATGGGCAGACAGAGAATCCAGTGGAGCATGTCTAGAACAAAAGGATAAGGAGTTTGATTTTAGATATCCAGAGTTGGAGGAAGCCGAGGAATAGGTGAATGTGGGCATGTGTGTCTGAATCTCTGAAGAGAGGCCTGAGCCGAACAGGGACTCGGGAGTCATTCCCATGCTCAGGCATTATAAAGGCATGGATTTGTGTTTGTTTGTATGTGGGTTTTTGGATTTTTGTTTGTTTGTTTGTTTGTTTTGAGACGGAGTCTCATTCTGTTGCCCAGGCTGGAGTACAGTGGCGCGATCTCAGCTCACTGCAAGCTCTGTCTCCTGGGTTCAAGCGATTCTCCTGCCTCAGCCTCCCAAGTAGCTGGGATTACAGGTGCCCACCACCACACCCAGCTAATTTTTGTATTTTTGGGAGAGACAGAGTTTCACAATGTTGGCCAGGCTGGTCTCGAACTCTTGACCTCAGATGATCTGCCCACTTCGGTCTCCCAAAGTCCTGGGATTAAAGGTGTAAGCCACCATGCCCGGCCTATTTTCAACTGATTTTTATGCGCTAAAGTGAACATCATAAATAAATGAGAAATCCACCCAACCACATGCAAACAGAAACCCTGCCTATTTCACCTAATTTTTAAGAACTTCAAAAAAATAAGTTATATAATAATAAAAGGGCGCATCTTGGTTTCCAGATCCATATTCTCGTGCCTACTCAACATCTCCATTTGGATAACTCAAAGGCACTTCAAAATAATTATGTTGAAGATCAAACATGATCTTCCCCCAACTCTTGGTGAATGACACCATCCTCCATGCAGAGTCAAGAGTCAGAAAACTAGGATTCATCCCGGCATCTTCCTCTCCCTCACTTTTCACAGCCATAACACCCCCAGGTCCTGTCAAATTTACATCCTGTGAGCCTCTTGAATGCAGTCACTATCTCTCCCCATCACCCCACACTGGTCCAAGGAACTGCCACCTCTCCCTTGGACATCTGCAATAGCCGACTCATTATTCCATTCCACCGCTTACCCTCTCTGCTCCTCTAGATGCCAGATGCCGATCTGAGCTATTTGTTTGTTTCAAAACACAAATGTGATCACATTTCCCAGCCATGGAGAGCCCTTGTTGGCTCCCTGAGACTCATAGGAGAAAGACCTACCTGTGTACATGGCTGTATGGCGTTCATAGGCATGGCCTCTGCCTCTCTCTCCAGCCTCGTCTGGCTGGCTCTCCCCTGCTCTCTCTGCGCCCAGCAGCCCTTCGCATCCTCAGGCATATTGTGTGCACCTGCTATTCCCTCCACCTGGAACCGTTTTCTCATCAGCCTCCCAAATCCAGCCCAACCCATTTGTCTTAAATAACTCCACTCATCCTCACATCTCAGCTCAAACACCCCTTCCTCAGCCTCGGTTCCATTCCACCAGTAGGTGATTCCATGAAATTCCACTACTATCTCTCAGAGTACGTGATCTCACTTTATAATTACACCCATTCTTCACTGTATAATCATACATTCTTTGTGTAATCAAACAACATCTGTTTGCTTTCCACTGAACCCTAGCCCCCTGTTTTTTGATCACTGATACCCACACCACCCAGCTCTGTGCCAGGCACATGTGTAATAGGTATTCAGTAACTAATTGTTGGAGTGATGGGTGAATATGTGTGGGCATGTGTCTCTATCATGTCCATTTCCAAAGGCTTTGGAATTATTAACCAAAAAATATCTCCCCAAACAGAAGTACTGCATGGTTTTTTTGCTCCTATCTCTCAGTTATTACACAAGCTTAAACAGCATGTGCCTGTACATGCTCCTTGACAAAGTGTTTGGCTATTGTAGATTCATCTGATTTAACTTCCCAAGTTGAACTAAAAAAACTAGAGCAGCTGGCGCAGTGGCTCACGCCTGTAATCCCAGCACTTTGGGAGGCCAAGGCGGGCAGATTGCTTGAGGTCAAGAGGTCGAGACCAGCCTGGGCAACATGGTGAAACCCTATCTCTACTAAACTACAAAAATTAGCCCGACGTGGTGGCAGGCACCTATAATCCCAGCTACTTGGGAGGCTGAGGCAGGATAATCACTTGAACCCAGGAGGTGGAGGTTGTAGTGAGCTGAGACTGCGCCACTGCACTCTAGCCTTGGTGACAGAGTGAGACTCCCTCTCAAAAAAAAAATTAAAAAAACTTGAGCAACACCCATGTAAAAATTTCAGTGAGTCTCTTTCCTTAGATGTACCTCCATTACAAAGAAGAAATCAACTAGAAATGGCAAATGAAATGCTGTTTTATTCTACCCTTTACCATAACACAATATGAACTCTTTTTATTTATTTTTTATTGTATTTACTTTATTTTTTCTGAGATGGAGTCTCACTCTGTCACCGAGGCTGGAGTGCAGTGGTGCAATCTTGGCTCACTGCAACCTCTGCCTCCCGGGTTCAAGCAATTCTCCTGCCTCAGCCTCCCAAGTAGCTGGGATTACAGGTGTGCACCACCATGCCTGGCTAACTTTCATATTTTTAGTAGAGATGGGGTTTCACAGTGTTGGCCAGGCTGGTCTGGAGTGCCTGACCTCAAATGATCCGCCCACCTCAGCCACCCAAAGTGTTGAGATTACAGGCGTGAGACACCATGCCTGGCCTGAACTCTTTTTAAATAAAAAGAAATGTTTTAAAACATTACAGTAAGCAATCTATATATTATGAAAATTTAATCAGGATATTGCAAAGTAAATACTATAGAATTTCAAAAAGGCAAGACAAGCTTTGTAAATATATTTAAATAATTCACAACCATATTTAGTGTTTCACATGGCTATTTCCTCAATCATATAGAGAGAGGAGGTCTTATTGATCTTTTTATTGCCAAGGGATAGGCCCACATGCTTTCTACCCAGTAGCAACAAGTGTTCATCAAATAAATAATTGCCAGCCTCAAAACTTTCACCAAATCTTTCCTTTTTTCAAAAATAAATAGGAGACCAGATGTGATAGCTCATGCCTGTAATCCCAGCACTTTAGGAGGCTGAGGCAGGAGGATCACTTGATGCCAGGAGTGTGAGACCAGCTTGAGCAACATAGTGAGTCCCTGTCTATAAAAAAAATTTTTTTAATTAGCTGGGATGGTGGGCACCTGTAGTCCCAGCTACTCAGGAGGCTGAGGCAGGAGGCTCACTTGAACCCAGGAGTTCAAGGCTGCAGTGAGCTATGATTGCGCCACTGCATTCTAGCCTAGGCAACAGAATGAGGCCCCATCTCAAAAACAAACAAACAAACAAAAAAACAAAAAAGTAAGTAGGAGGCATTCAGTTTAAAACAATATCCACAGGCAGGTGTGGTGGCCCATGACTGTAATCCCAGCACTTGGGAGGCCAAGGTGGGCAGATCGCTTGAGCCCAGGAGTTCGAGACCAGGCTGGGAAACATGGTGAAACCCTGTCTCTACAAAAAATACAAAAAATTAGCCAGGTGTGGTGGTGCATCTGTGGTCCAGCTACTCGGGAGGCTGAGAGGTGGGAGGATCACCTGAGCCTGGGGAGGTCAAGGCTACAGTGAGCCATGATCATGGCACTGCACTGCAGCCTGGGCAACAGAGTAAGACCATATCTTAAAAAACCTAAAAATCCAGAGATTGAATCTCCAACGTTTATAGATATTCTTGTTCCTTTTTTTGCCTCAAAAAAAGATTATGTTTAAAGAGAGAGTTTTGTTGTTTTTGCACAACATTCTAAGACAGGACAACAGAATTCTCTGTTGAAAGGTGAAAAAATATGGCAAATAGAACATCAGAAATCACTGCTGCAGAAGAAACCAACCTATAGGAAAGATGTTTAATATGTTTATTGCCGCAGCACCCGGACAGTTGGTGTTGGATCCAGTGTACTCATTAAGTAAAAACCCTTTATGACTCAGTTGATGACAAGGCCTCATATCTTGCTTGCAAGAAGCTTCCTTGTAGAAGTTTTGGGAATAGGATTCATGTAAATGTCCATGACTGAGTCCAACATTCATAATGGAAATTCTTCCTCATGTTCTAGGTGATTGTCTTAATGTGGGTTTCCCCAGAAGTGGCCCTGAGGAAGGACTTGAGTGCAAGTAGCTTCCTGAGAAGTGGCGAGTGGAAAAATGCAGCAGGGAAGTGGAGAAGAGAGAAGCGGAAGGGAAGACAGTTGCTAAAGCTGCATTATCACAAAAGCCACCCCTGTGGAAAACTGGAGCTCGGTTCCACTGGGGAACTCATGGAGCCAGGGTAAAGCCCGAGAGTCAGTTACTCCAGTCAAGTGGCAGGGGAGCTGGGGTATTTATACATCAGTGGATTCTTGTTTGAAGGTGGCCTCCAGAGTTGTTAATTCCCTAGCTCTTCCAACCTGTTGTGTGAGAGCCACAGAAAGCCCTTGGGCAAAGAAGGGCAGATGCCAGCAGCTGGAAGTCAGGCCTGTGATTTCTGAAGTGGTAGGAAGGGGTAACATATGGGCACCCATAGCATCTGCCATAGGGACAAATCGTTCAAAATTAATTCCCACTTATTTAGTGCTTGCTCTGTGCATAGGCCCTTGCATGTCTTATTTCATTTTCCAACTCATAACAACCCTCTGAGGTGGGTATAGTTGTTAGGAATTTACAACTAAAAAGCAAAGGTAGCTAGCTTTTCCAAGGCTGCACTCCAGTGCACAGCAGAATATATTTGGCTGCAGTCTCAGTTCCGAACCACTACCCTGTACTGGCAGGACTATCCCTGCCCTTCCACAAACACATACAGACCCCCGTTCCATACACAGTGGCGTTGATGCAAGATCAACATGTCCCTCCTATCAGGCACTGTACTCTGCCTTTCCTGATTCTTTCACATTGGCATCAGAGCAGTGCCAATTATTCAACAGTCAGTTGACCAAATACAGGACAACTTTGTGCGGGGTAGCAGAGCTCTATGGGCCTTTGACTGAAACTTCCAAATGAACATTCCATGTGGCCAAGGGCTCAGTGAGAAAGTAGGTTTAATGAATCTCCATGGTGTAAGAGTAAAGGCAGTGCCTGAACCACCCGAGCTTGAATACAATTATAAGGGGGTCATCCCAGTGCTTTGGGGCACAAAGTAACTGTTATCTGAAGTCGGGAAGGAATTTCCTGAAATAGCTGGCAATTGTATAATGAAGCATATCATAAAAGCTTGTTGCCCCGCAGACCCTGGTCACGAAGACAAAATTGGACCAGTTAGGGCATGGATTTAGACCATGAAATTATTTTCAGAGACTTTTCCTCCAATGGAGAAAAAAAAATCCACCTCCCTAAAATAGCCTCCATTTAATAGACCGTTGCAGTTCATAAAAGGCTTTATTTTATGGAACCTGCTGTGTATTCAGAATGAATTTGGACCAACCAAATTCCCAACCTTCTGAGAAAGTACAGTAATGACCTGTTATATAAGTCACAGCATTTTAAATTTTGTCTTGAGAAAACCTGAACTCTTTAAAAGTTAAGTGCTAACTTTTCAGGGTCCTCATTTTTTCTTCTAAATTATGCAAAGAATCTCTGTAGGCTCTTTGTTTCCATGGAAAGCCCACTGCTAAGAAAAAATAAAAAATCATTTTCCCTGTACTCCTTTTTGAAAACTAGACAACTATAAAATGATATTCAAGAGATAATCACACCAAATGCAGTATCAATTTTTTTTTTTTTTTTTTTTTTTGAGACAGAGTCTTGCTCTGTCACCCAGGCTGGAGTGCAATGGCGCAATCTCGGCTCACTGCAACCTCTGCCTCACGATTCAAGCTATTCTCCTGCCTCAGCCTCCTGAATAGCTAGGATTACAGCTACAGCCACCATGCCCAGATAATTTTTGTATTTTTAGTAGAGAGGGGTTTCACCACGTTGGTCAGGCTGGTCTCGAACTCCTGACCTTGTGACCCGCCCACCTTGGCCTCCCAAAGTGCTGGGATTACAGGTGTGAACCACCGCACCCAGCCAGGATCAAATATTTAGGAGAAGAAGCCAGGAGCTTGGCCGACACTAATCCTCCAGTTTTGGCCTGACACTGGTTAATTATCTCTATCATACAAGTTGTCCATCATGGTTCGCATTCTCTTGAGGCAAAAAAAAAAAAAAATGTGAACATACTCCACTCTCTGAAACAATTAATTCAAAGGAATATTGCTGCAAACAGGCATCTAGAACAATTTGGAACTCAAATTAGAGTGTGAAATGTTAGGGTCTTCTGTATTCCAGCAGATACAGTCTCCTGACATCTGCTTTTCTACAGGGAATTTGGTTTCTTGTGCCTTTAGCATAGACATTGTAAAAGCATCAGTTGATTGTAGGATGAAAGCACATTTAAAGTACCGCTGAGAGGAAACCACCAAAAAGAGGGGCCCTGGGAATGACGGGTTCGTAAACCCAGCAATAGGGACTTCTGAGGTTCTGCATTGCCCCTGCCCATTTAAACAACCGACCGCCTCCTTTTCTCCAGCTGAAAGTGGAGAAATGCTTGGAGACGGGCTTTTCTGAAGACCAACTCAAGTATTATCTGTGGTTGGTGCTCATTTTTAAAGGATGCTCTTTCCCTACTAAAACATTTGCCTTGATAAAGCAAGGAGCAGCTCCGACTGTGAGATGTCTAGCTGGAGTTCCTACGACATAATAACTCCTGACCTGTAAAGACCTGGGCAGAGTAAACAAATGTGTGTGAAGGGTTTGTTCCCTGAGGAAAAACTGAAGTACTGCCACTACCATCATCAGGACAATCTTGCGTAAGCATTGTGCCTACCAAATGACATCACTTGTTCCAGCCAGCACAGATTGGGTGACCATAGCACTGGGCTGTGCTAAACAATACTCAGAAATTAAAAAGTTAATTTTTTTAAAAAAAAGCGGGGGATGGAGGATAAAAAGTGGTTTATCTTAGACCTCAAAAAAAAGGTATTTCCGGCTGGGCACGGTGGCTCACGCCTGTAATCCCAGCACTTTGGGATGCTGAGATGGGCAGATCACTTGAGGTCAGGAGTTCGAGACCTGCCTGGCCAACATGGCTAAAACCCATCTCTACTAAAAATACAAAAATTAGCTGGGTCTGGTGGTGCGCGCCCATAATCCCAGCTACTCGGGAGGCTGAGGCAGAGGAATCGCTTGAACCAAGGAGGCAGTTTGTGGTGAGCCAGGATTGCGCCACTGCACTCCAGCCTGGGTGACAGAGTGAGACTCCATCTGAAAATAAAATAAAATAAAATAAAAGTATTTCCTGTCTTCAATCTCAGCAGTTAAGGATCATGCAAAAAATTAGAAATAACATATAGTGATATGGAAAGGCATATTTAAAAATAGTTTAAAACCGAAGATAGATTACTAGTTTTCTATGCCACCTTTTTATAAAGAAAGGGACATATACACATACACATCTAATTATATACAAAACAATCTTAAGAGATAAATAAAGTCCCAAAATGATGGCTGTCTCTGGAGAAGGTCATGAAGGATTTCTTTTTTGTTTTTAACTTTTATTTTAGGTTCAGGGGTACATGTGCAGGTTTGTTATACAGGTAAACTTGTGTCATGGGTGTTTGTTGTATAGATTATTTTTTCACCCTGGTACTAAGTCTAGAACCCAATAGTTTTGTTTGTTTGTTTGTTTGTTTCTGTTTTGTTTTGTTTTGAGACAGAGTCTCAATCTGTTGCCCAGGCTGGAGTACAGTGGTGCAATCTTGGCTCACTGCAACCTCCACCTCCCAGGTTCAAGCGATTCTCATGCCTCAGCCTCCCGAGTAGCTGGGATTACAGGCGTGCACCACTATGCCTGGCTAATTTTTCTGTATTTTTATTAGAGACGGGATTTCACCATGTTGGGCAGGCTGATCTCGAACTCCTGACCTCAGGTGATCTGCCTGCCTCAGCCTCCCAAAGTGCTGGGATTACAACCGTAAGCCACTGTGCCTGGCCCCAGTAGTTATTTTTTCTAATCTTTTCCCTCCTCCTACCCTCCACCCTCAAGTAGGCCGCAGTGATTGTTGTTCCTCTCTTTGTGTCCATGTGTTCTCATCATTTAGCTCCCACTTATAAGTGAGAACATGCAGTACTTAGTTTTCCTGCACAGCTCCATCCATGTTCCTGCAAAGGACATGATCTCATTCTATTTTATGACTTCATAGTAATCCATGGTGTGTATGTGCCATATCTTCCTTACCCAGTCTACCACTGATGGGCATTTAGGATGATTCTATGTCTTTGCTATTGTGAATAGTGCTGCATAAACATATGCCTGCATGTGACTTTATAGTAGAACTATTTCTATTCCTTTGGGTATATAGCCAGTAATGGGATTTCTGGGTCGAATGGTAGTTCTGATTTTAGCTCTTTGAGGAGCCTCCATACTGATTTCCACAATGGTTGAATTAATTTACACTCCCACCAGCAATGTATGTGTTCCCTTTTCTCCATAACTTCACCAGCATCCGTTATTTTTTGACTTTTTAATAATAACCATTCTGACTGGTGTGAGATAATATCTCACCGTGGTTTTTATTTACATTTTCTAATAATCAGTGATATTGAGCTTCTTTTCATATGCTTCTTGGCTCCATGTATGTCTTCTTTTGAAAAGCATTCATGTCCTTTGCCCACTTTTTAATAGGGTGGTTTGTTTTTTTCTTACAGATTTGTTTAATTTCCTTATAGACACTGGATATTAGGCCTTTGTCAGATGCATAGTTTGAAAATATTTTCTCCCATTCTGTAGGTTGTCTGTTTACTCTGTTGATAGTTGTTTTGCTGTACAAAAACTCTTTAATTTATTTAGATCCCATTTGTCAATTTTTGCTTTCCTTGCAATTGCTTTTGGCATCTTCTTCATGTTATCTTTGCCAGTTCCTGTGTCCAGGATGGTATTGCCTAGGTTGTGTTTCAGGGTTTTTATAGTTTTGGGTTTTACATTTAAGTCTTTAGTCCATCTTGAGTTTATTTTTGTAAATGGTGTAAGAAAGGGGTCAGTTTCCATCTTCTGCATATGGCTAGCCAGCTATACTGGCACCGTTTATTGAAGAGAGAATCCTTTCCCATTGTTTGCTTTTGTCAGCTTTGTCGAAGATTAGAGGTTATAGGTATGTGGTCTTATTTCTGGGCTCTGTATTCTGTTCCACTGGTCTATGTGTCTATTTTTGTACCGGTATCATGCTGTTTTGGTTACTATAGCCCTGCAGTATTGTTTGAAATCAGGTAACATGATGCCTCCAGATTTGTTCTTTTTGCTTAGGATTGCCTTGGCTATTTGGGGTCTTTTTTAGTTCCATATGAATTTTAAAATAGTTGTTTCTAGTTCTGTGAAGAATGTCGTTGGTAATTTGACAGGAATAACATTGAATCTATAAATTGCTTTGGGCAGTATGGCCATTTTAATTATACTAATTCTTCCTATCCAGGAGCATAGATTGTTTTTCCATTTGTTTGTGTCATCTCTGATTCCTTTGAATGATGTTTTTTAATTCTTTTTGCAGAGATCTTTCACCTAGTGGAGGATTTGAAGTCAAGGATAGAACAAGGACACTTACTCTTCTTTCTGTACCTTTGGCACTCTTTGACTTTTTGCCATGGATGTGTATTTCTTCCTTTTAAGTACTAAATATTCAGAAATGTACAGCCTCTAGAAAGCAGGAGGAGAAGAACGTAGAATTCGGAATGTGTTGTGCATGAGTAATACCTCTGGACATTGACGGGAGGCTGAGGCTTAATCCTGCAGGGAGACTCTGGGCAACTGCACAGGACATAAGCCTTGGAATTATGCCAACCCAGGCTGGGGGGTCTAGTCGGGGTGTTTATGCACCAACTTCTGAAGGTCCACCACCTGCCACAATTAGACTCCACTGAGAGCTGCTGGGTAGGAAGGGGTTATTGATTCCTCGGCACTGCAAGGTAGTGTGACTTTGGCTGCTGGGAAGGCAAATAGTCCTCAGGCCCAGAGAGAAAGATCTGGGCAGCTGGAAACTTGCACAGCACCCACAGCACCCCTTCAGGCCTCATCCTTTGAGTGCCATGACAGAGTGGCCCACTAACAGGCACTGAGTGCTCCAGCAGATACCCTTGGGACAGCGCCTCACATTCACAGGCCTTGAGTCACACCTGGTAGAGCTTTGCTTGTGCTTTTAGGAGACGTTACAGGGACTTTGTGGAAAATAACAAAGCAATGGAAATGAACAGTGAACCTTGAACAGAAGCAGCAGCTCCATGTGCCATCACCACACCCGGGGTAGACACCACTGCTCAGTCATGCCACTCTCCCCTTTGACCTGACTTGGCTCAGAATCCTCTTCAATAGCAGTCGCTCTCAGGTTATCAAAATCAGCCATTGAAATGTCAACTACTTATCATGTCTTTCCTGGAGGATGCAAACAGTTCCGCCAGACTAGGGAGTATTAGTAACATTTTTTCTTTTTTTAATTGATAAATAAGAAGTGTACATATTTATGGAGTACATGTGGTATTTTGATACATGCATACCATGTATAATGATCAAGTCAGGGTAATTACAATATCTATCACCTCAAACAATGATCATTTCTTTTTATTGGGAGCATTTCTTCTCTTCTAGCTATTTGGAAATATACAATACTGTGTCGGTAACTGTAGGCACCCTGTGACGCTATTGAACACTACGTCTTAGTCCTTCTATCTAATTGTATGTTTGTATCCGTCAACCAACATCCCCCGCTGCTCCCGATTCCCAGCTTCTGGTAGCTATCACTCTATCACCATGAAAACCACTTTTTTAGCTCCCAAATATGAGTGAAAACATGCAATATTTGTCTTTCTGTACCTGGCTTGTTTCACTCATGATGATCTCCAGTTCCAACAATGTTGCTGCAAATGATGGGATCTCATTCTCTTTTATGACTGAATAGTACTCCATTGTGTATAAGAACCACATTTTCTTTATCCATTCATCTCTGGATGGACACTTAGGTTGATTCCATATCTTGACTATTGTGAATAGTGCTGCAATAAACATGGGGGTGCAGGTATCCTTGTAATAAACTGATGTCCTTTCCTTTGGATAAATACCCAGGAGTAGGGTATTATTCCATATGATGCTGGATCATATGGAAGTTCTATTTTTAGTTTTTTGAGAAACTTTCATACTGTTTTCCATAAGGGCTGTACTAATTTAAATTTCCACTAACAGTGTGTAAGAGTTCCCATTTCTCCACATCCCCACCAGCATTTGCTAATTTTTGTCTTTTTGATAACAGCCATTCTAACTGAGGTAAGACGATATCTCGTGTGCCTTGGGTTTGCATTTCCCTGATGATGGGTGATACTGAGCATTTTTCATATACCTGTGGGTCATTTGTATGTATTCTTTTGAGAAATGTCTATTCAGATCTATTGCTCACTTTTTAATGGGATTATTTGTCTTTCACTATTGAGTCATTTGAGTTCCTTGTAAATTCTGGATACTAGTCCTTTGTCATATGAGCAGTTTGCAAATATTTTCTCCCATTCTAGATTGTCTCTTTACTCTGTTGATTGTTTCCTTTGCTGCACAGAAGCTTTTTACTTTAACACAGTCCCATTTGTCTGTTTTTGCTTTTGTTGACTGTGCTTTTGAGGTTTTAGCCATAAATTTTTTGTCTAATGTCCTGAAGTATTTCCCCTATGTTTCCTTCTAGTAGTTTTACAGTGGCAGGTCTTACGTTTAAACATGTTTAAAATAAGTTTTCTTTCTAAGCTTTGGTGTGTTGCCTCAGGCAACAGAGGGCAGGTGGGTAAGGAAGGGAGAGAGAGTATCTACCTGAATATCCTATACTGCCGCCACAGTGACCATAGACTTGTGGCTTACAGCAGCATGAATGTATTCTCTTAGAGTTCTGGAGTTCCGAGTCCAACACACAGCTCACTGAACTAAAATCAAGGTGTCAGCAGGCTGCATTCCTCCCTGTAGACTCCAGGGAGAATCCATTTCCTTGCCTCCTTCAGTGTCTAGAGGCTGCCTGCACTCCTTGGCCGGTGGTCTCCCCCTTCATCTTCAAAGCCAGCAACAATAGGTCAAGTCCCTTTCACATCCCATCACTCTGAGCTCCTTTTCTGCCTCCCTCCACTGTTAAGGACCATTCTGAGTCCATTGGGCCCACCGGGATAAATCTAGGATGATCTCTCCATCTCAGGGTTCCTAGCTATTCACTACCCTGGCAAAGTCCCTTCCCAGGTGAGGATGTGGACGTCTTTGGGGGACCCGTACTTCTACCTACCACAGGTCTTTATCAATAGTATTTATCAATGTCTTAATTTTTCATAAAAGGCACCTAACTCTATGCCATCTCCCTTATTCTTTTTAATCTGTGTAATTTGTGGAACTCTATCAAAGCTATCTATGACTCTTGGCTCATTTGTTCACCTAGAGTTTTACCAGATGTATTCCTCTGACTCCAACTTTAATAATTTTTTAAAAGCATGATTGTGGCACTCTACAGAGACTGATACAGCCAAAATCCTACCCCAAGTTGTTGGTAATTGAGATAAAGTTTTAGAGCTAATCCAATATTTCCATTTAATAAATGAGGAAATAAAAGCTGAGAGATGCTACTCCTGGTCATACAGCTGGTCAGTGGCAGGCCAAAGATTGGATTTGGAGTTTTCAGAGCTCTTTCTATGGCATTGTCTCTGGACAGCTATTCATCCCAGAGAGCAACAGTGCTTTAGTGCTTGCCATTACTATTACTACTACTATTACTATTATTTTACCTGACTCAGATAAACATCCTATAACCCATATCTTGACTATACCTCTTCTTTCATGCTTCAGAACCAAGAATTTATTAGAAATAGTGATGTATCCAACTAAATACTCAATTTCCCAGGCTCCCTTGGAGGTAAGTGTGGCTTTGTGAACAATTCTAGCCAATGAGGTGTAAGCTGAAGGCCAGCCACTGTGAGTGGCTTCTTATAAAAAGGATCAAACTGAAAGTGAGCAAGTGCGTTTTGCAATTCTTCCTTCCCAGAGCATGCCCATGATGCCTGGGTGCTGGTCATCTTTGAAGCATGAGAAAGCACATGCTAAGGCTGGCAGAGTGGAAAGCTACAGAGGGGACTGTGCCTGTGACATCAGAGCCCCTGCACCTTCCCAGGGCCACCTATCTCCAGGCTACTTGGGACATGAGAAAAAGAAACCCTTACTTGTTTTAGGTACTCCGGTCAGAGTTCTGTCAATGCTGCCAAAAGCAATCCTAACTGATGCAGATGGCATCAACAAATGCTGAGGTTCGGAGAAGAGTCTAATTATATGTTTTCAGTCTAATAGGAAAGGATAGAATTATAGCTTGAACTCTCTCTGCCATTCTCATTCATTATCTCCACTGAGTAGGAACTCAGCTTTCTAATTCCAGATTGCATGTAAATTTTCTTTAAGATTTTGAGTTTGTATACTCTTTGTTTTAAATTTCCGAACTTGATTTTCTCTTTTGTTCCAAATTATGAAGCTCTTAACTAATTTTTTTAAAATTGTTGTTTAGACAGGGTTTTGCTCTCTCTCCCAGGCTGGAGTGCAGTGGTGTGATCTCAGCTCACAGCAGCCTCAACTTCCTGGGCTCAGGTGATTCTCCCAACTCAGCCTCCCAAGTAGCTGGGACTACAGACATGCACCACTATGCCCAGCTACTTTTTTTTTTTTTTTTTTTTGGGATAGAGATGGGGTCTCCCTGTCCAAAAGACCAAGTGGTCTCAAACTTGTGGGCTCAAGTGATCCACCTGCCTTGGCCTCCCAAAATTCTGAGATTACAGGTGTGAGCCACCATACTCAGCCTAACTTCTTTTATAGTACATACATCATTGTAGGTTTTAGACCAAAGAGCAATATTCTCCCAGCAAGAGTTCAGTTTAATCATGTTTGATAAAAATTGAGTTGGTATATTAACATTTCTTTAGCTCTAAATTCACCTATTTCCAAGTTCCATATTCACAGAAATATTGTGGAAATACTATAAGAATTTTAATAAATATTTTGGATGCTGCTGATACATTATTTTATATCATTTTTTAATTTTTGTTTTGTTAAAAGATAAAATTTTAAAGGTATTTATGACTCTCATAAAGATATAAAATAAACACCTGTCAAAGATTTTATTGAACTGTAATTAATGAGGGAACTAGTAAGATGTTACAACAGAGTCAGAGGTGAATTGAAGTATCATACTGATGGTCTGATAAGGAAGTGTTGAAATGAATTTACAAGTGGATGCAAAAACTGGCAAAACTGGTCACTGTACACCAAAATAATCAGTTTTGTTTCACTAGAATATTTTTGCATTTTTATAGACAAGAATCGTTTGTGTTACTATCCATTTTCTATGACTTGCAGTTATAAAGTAGCTCAAGGAAATGAAAGTGTGAATGAATTTAATTCTCACTGAATTAAATTATCTCCCTTGTCGGATATTACATTCCTGTATTTACTAGGATCTATTTCTGTGTTCTCTATTCCATTGACTCAACTATTTGACTTTCCTTATGGCTAGGAATAGCCAGACAAAACTCTAAAAGTAAGCTGGAGGATAAGCATGAATTCAGGCTGTCTAGAGAATCTGTCTCTAGGTCCTTAGAGGAAGACAAATAGAATGAAGGAGGACTGAATACGTGTGAATAGTTTGGGGTAAGGAAATACAGCCAGTTATGGTGACACGGAATTTTGAATTTTGGGGAGGTAGCTACATGATGCTGGCTAATTGGCTGTTGAATGAGAAGTCAGGCAAGGCAGTGGATCAAAAGATCACTCATTTAAAAGGAGAAAAGACCTAGCAGTAAGACGAGAAAAACAAATGCAAGATCTGGGCCATCAGTGCCAACTTCCTGATACTAAGACCAATTTCTATCCCATTCGGAGGGCATCTGATGGTCTTCCTGATGGGAAAGGAAACTGTCTCAGGCTATGTGTGAGTCAGGTGACTGACTGCAGCTGGGAGAGACAAGGGCTTGGCTAAGGGACGCCCCATCCGCTAGCTACAGTGGCTGCATTCACAATGCAATTCCATCTCCCCTTTCTCCTTATGCCAGATGGAGACTAGTGGTTCTCAAATTGGAGCAGGCACCAGAATCACCTGGAGAACTCACACAGATTTCTGGGCCCCACTCCCAGAGATTCTGACTCAATAGATCTTGGCGGGGGTGGGTGCTGAGAATTTGCATTTCTAACAAGTTCCCAAGTGAGGCTGCTGCTGCTGCTGCTCCAGGGACCACATTCTGAGAACCACTTCTGTAGACTTTTTTTTTTTTTTTTTTTTGAGATGGAGTCTCCTCCTGTTGCCCAGGCTGGAATGCAGTGGCGTGATCTCGGCTCACTACAACCTCCGCCTCCCAGGTCCAAGTGATTCTCCTGCTTCAGCTTCCCAAGTAGCTGGGATTACAAGCGCCTGCCACCATGCCCAGCTAATTTTTGTATTTTTAGTAGAGTCGGGGTTTCACCATACTGGCCAGGCGGGTCTCAAACTCCAGACCTTAGGCAATCCGCCTGCCTCAGCCTCCCAAAGTGCTGGGATTACAGTCGTGAACCACTGCGCCCGGCCACTTCTCTAGACTTTCACACCTAAATGACTACTAATACATTAGAGATTTAAATGTGATAAGAGAAAGCCTCATTTGTGAAGTCCCTCTGACTCTCTCATGTAGAGTTGATGAGCCCCCATATGCACTGATGAAGTGGCATTTGAGCCATGTGCATCTTAAAGGATACGTGTAAAGTAGAAGATGCAGGAAGTAGGTGAAGGGAAGGACAACGAACAGGTGTGGGAGAGTGAGAAAGTCATAAAACTGCACATCATTCTGTTTCTTCACTAAGGAAGAGTGGCAGGGTGTGGAGACACGCTGGAGAGGAATGCAACAAACAAACTTACCAGGGGCCTTGCAAAACACCCCTGAGAATGTGGACATGGTGCCTGACAAACTCCTTTGGGAACAGAGCAGGAGCTGTCAACGGTGCTGCAGAATTGCTGGCTGTGTATCTTGTGATGGGAAGAGCCATTAATTGAGTCAGAAGAGCAGGTGTGGGGTGTGAAGACGTGATCCTGAATTCAGGTGGAGGAGGCGGGGCAGGGACATGTCAGATCCCCCATAGATCTGAAGCTCAGGGTAGACAGCTGGGAGGAGACGTGGGTAACAGTGGGCTTACCGTCCAGCCTCAAGAGTAAACAATAAGTCAGCAGAAGGAAATGAGGCAGCGCTGGGACCCCAGAAACACCCAATTTGAAGGAGTAGGTGGAAGAACAGGAACCAGTGGAGAGATTGGAAGGAATAGTCAGAGAAGTAGGGCAACAGAGGCCAAGAGAAGCTTGCCACCAGGAGCTGCAGGATGCGAGCACTCCATCGATGAATGTCAGGGCAGTCCTGCCGGTGAGATGGCTGGAGCCCCTGGGGCAGCATCTCCAGCCACAGGGCAGCTTTCCCCAGAACTCTGTGAGTGCAGGTCAGACCAAATTAGAACCTCACTGTTATTTTGAAATGCTTGCTTTGAAAAAGTTCCGCGGTGTTATGTGTTGACTTGTGTCCGCCAAAAAAGAAATGTTGAAGTCCTAACCCTCTGCACTTCAGGATATGACTTTACTTGAAAATAGGGTTGTGGCAGATGTAATCAGTTAAGGTGAGGTCACACTGGAGTAGGTGGGTTCCTAATCCAGGAAGATTGATGCCCTAATATGAAGAGGTGGGGACACACAGGGAGAGCTCCATGTGAAGACAGAGATGGAGACTGGAGAACATCTACAAGCCGAGGAACACCAACCATCAACAGCGGTCACCAGAAGTTAGGAGAGCAGCCTGGAATAGATCCCCCCTTGGAGCCCTCAGAAGAAACCAACTCTGGCAACACCTTGATTTCAGATTTCTTGCCTGCAGAACTGTGAGAGAATATATTTGCTTTAAGCCACTAGTGACTGGTTCTTTATTATGGAAGTCCTGAGAAACAAATGTACATGGAAAACTAGAAATCCATTCGTTATTAAAGTCATACTCAGAGACTGCATGCTGCCATTTTAGGCATTAAAAAATTGATATTCATGGAAGGAAGTTTAGGGTTCTCAATCAAAGACTTGAAAAGCTTTTATTTGGAAGTTTTATATGAATTTCATATTTAATATTTTTTCTAATGCTTTGCATCTTTAAAAACTTTATAATATAAAAGATATAAATTATCTACTAAATCCCCCCATAGATAAGTGCTTCAAACCTCTTCCAGTTTATTCCAGTGTGCATAGCAATATTATTATTCTTTCTATGTGTACCATGACATAAAAAGTTGGAAAGCACTAGAAACTCTAGAAGAGAGGGTGTTAAGAAGTGATTAGGGGAGCCAAATAGAATTGTATGTCTGCGTAAGTGGGGCTGGGAAGGCGTGCATGTCTGCATGGTCAGAAGGGGTCACAGAAATGAATGGGACGATCCGTGAGGGTGGGTGGGTGGCTGTTTCAAATCACAAAGCTTAAACAGAAGTGTTCACCTGTATAAGCAAATAACGAGCTGCAATGTGTGAGCCACCTTCTCCTTTGCTTCCTCCTGGCCAATGCTATCTGTAACTGAATATTTCTGAAGAAGTCTGTCACTTTACGTGACTTCATCATAAAACTTCCTATTGATGTGCCAATTGACAAGAGAGTTAAGGTCACAATTTTATGGATTTTCACTACCATATACATTTATAACTCCTTCTAGTATTTGTAGTAAATAAGTAACATTGCCTTATACACAAGGCACCACTGCAATGTCATTATAAAATGACCCCATTAAAGGGTTGACTTATATATGCAGAATTTTTTTTTTTTTTTTTGAGATGGAGTCTCACTCTGTTGCCCAGGCTGGAGTGCAATGTCGCCATCTCGGCTCACTGCAACCTCTGCCTCCTGGGTTCAAGCGATTCTCCTGCCTCTGTCTGTTGGGTAGTTGGGATTACAGGCGCCCACCACCACGCCCAGCTAATATTTGTATTTTTGGTAGAGACAGGGTTTTGCCATGTTGGCCAGGCTGGTCTCAAACTCCTGACCTTAGCTGATCCACCCGCCTCCCCCTAAATATGCAGATTTTTAAAAAACCACGTTGGGGCTCATAAAGTAACATTGCATTTGCACATTTTCTAACATTAAGCTTTGTATGGCTTAAATCTCTGTAGGAATGGGCTTTCCTCGTTCCCTTGGAGGAGACTGCGTGGGTTTCTAGACTATACTAAGGTTGGTGAGTTGATATGCAGTAAGCATGAAGTCAGTTACTCCCGACGCCAGGGCCTGGGGCCAAGGAAGGGGCTGTGTTCTGGATACTCCCCACTCTCACCGCCTGTCCCGGGGGAATGCCCTTGTCTCGTTTTTTGTTTTGTTTTGTTTGTTTGTTTTGAGACAGAGTCTCACATTGTCATGCAGGCTGGAGTGCAGTGGTGTGATCTCGGCTCACTGCAAGCTCCGCCTCCCTGGTTCAAGCGATTCTCCTGCCTCAGCCTCTCGAGTAGCTGGGACTACAGGCGCCCACCACCACGCCCGGCTAATTTTTTGTATTTTTAGTAGAGACGGTGTTTCACCGTGTTAGCCAGGATGGTCTCGATCTCCTGACCTCATGATCCGGCCGCCTGGGCCTCCTACCGCGCCCGGCCTTGTCTCTCCCTTTGACCTGGTCAGTAGCCCCTCCTCCTCTTCTCCAGCAAGCCCCTCCCCACTTCATGCAGTCTCAGGAGTCAGGACCCAGGCACACTTCCCACTGAGCTCCCACGGTATTTTCTGTGTGCGGCGGCCTCCGCCTTTCTCAAAGTATAGTTTCATGTTCTCCTTCACTCCTTCACTCCCCACCGGACTCTGCATTGATCCGGGACTAGGATGGCATATTTAAAATAAAAATGTATGAAACAGAACATACGATAAAAAGTGTTATCACCTGTATGCACATTTTAAAGAACAATAATAAAATAAATACTTAATGGAGCTTCTCCTCCCTTCACCTCCTGCATTCCAAGACATAACTGCTTCCCTGAATGGGTTTTTCACTCCCTTTTTAAAATAAGTATTACTCTATACAAATGGAATTTATGAATGCATTCTGGTTTTTTGTTTGTTTGTTTGTTTGTTTTTGAGACAGAGTCTCGCTCTGTTGCCCAGGCTGGAGTGCAGTGGCCAGATCTCTGCTCACTGCAAGCTCCATCTCCCAGGTTCAAGTAATTCCCCTGCCTCAGCCTCCCGAGTATCTGGGACTACAAGCATGCGCCACCATGCCCAGCTAATTTTTGTATTAGTAGAGACGGGGTTTTACCATGTTGGCCAGGATGGTCTCGATCTCTTGACCTCGTGATCCACCCACCTCGGCCTCCCAAAGTGCTGGGATTACAGGCGTGAGCCAGCGTGCCTGGCCATGAATGCATTCTTATGACACTTGCTTCTGACCTAGGTATTTCACCCAAGATTATGTTTGTGCGGTTCATCTGTGTTGCTGTAAGGTGGCTGTGGCTTGTTGCTTTTCACTTCTTTGTAGAATTGCATTGCAGAAATTCTCTACTGTTTATGTTTTCTACGCTGATGCACATTGTGGTCATATCCAGTTTTATGTTTCTACAAGCAGTGGTGCTGTGGACATTCTGGTGTGCATCTCCTGAGCCCCAGGGAGAACAGTTTTCTCTTGGAGAGACCCCTAGAAGGGGAATTCAACCTTTCCAGAGAATCCCAAGTTGTTTTCCAGAAGTGATTAAACCAATCTATGCTCAAGGAAGTCATGCGCAAACGTTTCCATTGTTTCACAATCTTGCTCATCTTTGCTGCAGTCAGACTTCTCAATTTTGACAATCTGATGGGGATAAAATGGTATTTCACAGTATTTTAAAAGAAAATAGCCTTTTTGTTCCCAAATTCCCATCACCTAGCAGAGGATGATGCATTTAAAAGCTCACAAACCTTGTATTTGGTGAATGAACAGCAATAATGTAATGTGACAAATGCTGTAACAGAGAACAGCATCAAGAAGATATTCACCAAATAACCAAGTGTCCCTTAGGTCCTCAAATCCAGTTGCACAGCAGAATAATTCAGGTATCCTTTTATTTTCTTTTTGACATTTTATTATGAAAAATTTTAGGCCGGGTGCTGTGACTCACACCTGTAATTCCATCACTTTGGGAGGCCAAGGTGGGTGGATCACAAGGTCAGGAGTTCGAGACCAGCCTGACCAACATGTTGAAACCCCGTCTCTACTAAAAATACAAAAATTAGCCAGGCTTGGTGGCATGCACCTGTAATCCCAGCTACTCAGGACGCTGAGGCAGGAGAATCGCTTGAACCCAGGAGGCGGAGGTTGCAGTGAGCTGAGATCATGCCACTGCACTCCAGCCTGGGCAACAGAGCAGGACTCCATCTCAAAAAAAAAAAAAAAAAAAAAAAAAAAAGAGAGAGAGAGAGAAAAGAAAAAAGAAAAATTTCAAACATACAGCAAAGTCGGAAGAATTTTTCAGTGAACACCGTATACCCACTCCTAGATCCTACCATTAGCATTTTACTGTACTTGCTGTAGTAGTCTGTTCTCACTCTGCTAATAAAGACATACCTGAGACTGGGTAATTTATAAAAGAAATAGGTTTAATTGAGTCACAGTTCCACATGGCTGGGGAGGCCTCACAATCATGGCAGAAGGCAAGTGAGAAGCAAAGTCACATCTTACATGGTGGCAGGCAAGAGCAAGTGCAGGGAAACTTGCCTTTATAAAACCCATCAGATCTGGTGAGATTTATTCACTACCATGAGAACAGCACGGGAAAGACTCACCCCCTTGATTCAATTATCTCCCACCGGGTCGTGGGAATCATGGGAGCTACAATTCAAGATGAGATTTGGGTGGGGACACAGCCAAACCATATCACTTGCTTTAGGGGGATTATTTTTAAAAATACTGATTCCCCAGGGCTGAGAAGTTGATTCTACAGTTCTAGGATGGGGTCAAAGAATCTATTTTTGTTTCTTTGTTTTTAAACTCCCCAGGTGATTCTGATGAACAGCAGCCTTGGAAACGACTGCCTTAGGGGACTTGCTGCTATAAATAAAGAAGACAGATTTGTAATTAGCCTAGCAGTGTTCATTCTTTGTGGTTGGGGGTTGGGGGAAATTCTGCTGGGTGCCTAAAGCCATTTTCTTAGACCACCAACATTCTTAGAAAATGTGTCAGCTAGTGTCTGTTTTGTGGAGGTGTAGACAGGTCTCTGAGAGGGGGTGGGTCAGGTCCTCTCAGCACTGGATGCCAGGAAGGACCCAGCTCCAGTCTACCCGGAGCCCCCCTCCAAACACAGAGCCGAGAAATGAACTTGCCTTTCAGATGCAAGCCAGATCTTTTCAACCTTTGGTTGCTGTTGTGGGCTGAACTGTGTGCCCTCAAAATCCTTCTGTTGAAGTCTTAACTGCTAGTGCCTCAGAATGTGACTGTATTTGGAGACTGGGTCTTTAAAGAGGTAATTAAGCTAACATGAGGTCATTAAGTTGGATCCTAATCCAATATGACCAGTGTCCTTGTAAGAAGAGGACATTTGAGGGCTGAGTGTGGGGTCTAATGCCGGTAATCCCAGAATTTTGGGAGGCCAAGGTAAGAGGATCGCTTAAGGCTAGAAGTTTGAGATCGGCCTAGGCACCATGGCCAGACCTCATCTATATGAAAAATTTAAAACATTAGCTAGGTGTGGTGTCACATGCCTATAGTCCCAGCTACTCACAAGGCTGAGGCAGGAGGTTCACTTGAGCCCAGGAGTTCAAGGCTTCAGTGAGCTATGATCGTGCCATTGCACTCCAGCCTGGGCAACCAAGTGAGACCCTAACTCAAAAAAGAAAAAAAAAAAAGAAAAGAAATTTCAACACAGACACCCATAGAAGATCAAGCGAGGGCACAAGGAGAGAGGCCTCAGGAGGACCCAACCCTGCCGACACCTTATTCTTAGATTTCCAGCCTCCAGAACTGTGAGGAAAATTCAGTATCTGCGTGTAAGCCTCCTAGTCTGTGGGATTTTGCTATGGCAGCCCCAGCAAACTCACACAGGTAGAGAAGAAGGCACTGAGCCTGGGATATGGATGGCAGGGCAGGGCCAGCCCAGACCCAAGCTCCCACCTCCCACACTACAAGAAACCGGCCTCAGTCAACAGCTGGTAACACATCCTTTCCACCTCACAAACACAAGGAATGCCACTGTCTGGATATATGTGAGAAGGGTCTTCAGAACCACCCGCAGATGGCTGGCTGGGTGTCCCCCAGGGCACAGCCTAATGAAAGGACTGTTGGAGGCTCAGCTTCTCCCACATGGCTCAAACTTGCTCCCTTTTTAGGAGTCTGCTTTACACAACTTCTTTCACAAATGGAGTGGATATAAACTTTGACTCACCCCTCCAAATTTTCAATCACGTGACATAATTCAGTTCTGCACCTTCTGCCACCAATCTCAATGGAAACAAGTGATGAATGCTTAGTTGCAACAATGCAGAATGTGTAAGCAGCAACTTTCATCAGATGGAGGCTGTCATTCATATTCACGACATTTAATCTCTTTATTCAGGGCCTCTTAGGTCCAGGTAGAACCTCATGATAAATTTTGGGAACCTACTTGATCGCAGTGGGCTATGTCTCCCGGCACTGACCCATCACCCTCACCACCAGCCACCCTGGCCACACCTGCCTCCCACAGTTGACCAGGCCCCTTGGCATTTCGTTTTCTCAGCACATTCTTCGTTAACAAGGCTGCCCCTGCAGGTCTTCTACATATGGGAAGGTCATCACTGGATGAATAGGAGTCAGTTTGTATGTGTACCTCTGTTGGAGGAAGAGCAACTTGAGTAAGTGTTGTTTTTTGAGGTGAGAGTTCCACAGGTATCTATCTCTCTGTTTCTTCTTGTCCTGAAATTATCATCTGATTTTTCGAACACCTCCAACTGCCTTCCTACTCCTCAGCAATGGGGTCCGACAAAGCCTATATTCCATAGTATTCCAGGTTTCACTCCACCCACTCTGTTTCCAAGCTGTATGTTCTGGTGTTTCTATTCATACAACATCATCGCCTTTTCTGTTTTGCAATCCTATTTTCTTTCTTTTTGTTGTTTGTATTTAAACAATTCCTTTGTTTCAACTCAAGTTATCTTCAATTGTTCATTGGGTCTAATTCGATGTTGTAACAAACACCTTTAAATATTTCTTACCTCTCCAGTCCCCAAAGCCCTAATTCTGAGAGTTGATTTGGCTTGTGAATATCCTCCCACAAGGAAGAGGCCAGGATAGGGAGTGAGGGGGGGCAGTCATTTTAGAATTGAAATCCCCACATTGAGCAAGAGTACTTTTATGAAAGCTTGTGAGGATCTGTCTGATCCAGAATCAAAGACTGACCACGCCTAAGGTGTGGCCAGTGTGGTATGGCCACTGACCATGTGCAAGAGCAGCATTCATCTTGAGGTGGAGAGCTCCTTAAATGTGGGCAACTGTTTCTTCTGAACCCTCAGTTACTCATTTGAAAGCCTTCCAATTGCTGGAGGTTACCGTGAGGGAGGAGATGAATGGAAACTCTTAGGCACCCATTTTTATTGGGAGCCAGAGAAGAGGGGAGCTTAAAATGAAGAATGTGTGAACACATGTATGCATGTGCAAGTGTGTGTATAAGTGTGTATGTTGATGGTACAAGAGTAACACTGGGCCAGGCACAGTGGCTCAGACCTGTGATTCCAGCACTTTGGAAGGCCAAGGTGGGCGGATCACAAGGTCAGGAGATCAAGACCATCCTGGCCAACATGGTGAAACCTCATCTCTACTAAAAATACAAAAATTAGCTGGTGTGGCGGTGTGTGCCTGTAATCCCAGTTACTCGAGAGGATGAGAATTGCTTGAACCCGGGAGGTGAAGGTTGCAGTGAGCCAAGATTGTGCCACTGCACTCCAGCCTGGTGACAGAGTGAGACTCCATCTCAAAAAACAAAAACAAAAACAAAGAGTAACACTGTATCTCCAGTAGCAACAATATTCAGAAAGACAACCTCGCCTATGCATACTCATTGTGGTCTGTTTTCAGTCGGTTTCAGGCCTGTTTCAAAAGTCCTATTGTCCTGTCTTCCAATGCCCCCTAAATCTCCATCTGGCCCTGCCCTGAAATCTTCAGCTTTGGAATTATTCTTCTGTGTATGGCTCCAAAAGTCCAAGTTAACCAGCAAAAGTATTGTCTAGTAGCCTCATCAGCCATTAACACCTGGATGCCAATTGGCTTATCAGACTGGGAAGACTTGGAGCTGAGCGGTGTTGTCTGGTAGCCTTGTGTGCCATTAACACCTCCATGCCAATTGACTTAGATTGGGCAGCACTGGAGCTGGTTTTTGGGAAGTGGGGAGACATAAGCAACTTTAGAAGTGTGGAGGCAGCTGTTTGATGAGAGAGGGCCCACCCTGGTGGGAGTCTCAGAGAAGCACTAGAAGGTAACACATAAGGGTGTTGAGTCCCTGACCCCCAACCAGAACCTATATCATTGACTTAATGCTTCTAGCATCTGAGAGTGGAGAGAAGAGAGGCACAGCACTGACATAATCTGCGAAGATTGATTTCAAAGGAAGGAAAAGAAAGACAGGTTGCTTTTGGGAGACGTTACATGGAAAATGTTTATTTAGAAACAGAATGCTTGTTCCCTGGTGCTGCAAAGAAACAGCACTCGAAGAAACAGCACTCGAACATAAATTTAATTCTCTCAGCAAGGCCATTATTACTTTCTGCAGAAAGGGTGCTCATCAGAGATGAAACAATGTGACAGCACACCTGAACAAAGGAGGGAAGCAATTTTTATCCCTTACATAGTTTGTTCCTGAGACTGTGTCCTGTCTCCATTGGCTGGAGCCAGACCTCACAATCTAAACTAAAACCAGATTGGCTAACAGTTTAAAACTTTTCTAAATAGGTAAAAGTAATGAAAAGACAAAGGAAAACAGGAAGTTGCTTGTGCCATACAGGGAAGGGCCATAGGCTGCCAGCTGGAACTTGCCTGTGAGCATGTCCAGCATAAATATCTTGGTTAAGGTACAAGGACATAGAATGTACTATGTGCCTGTGAGCATGTTTAACAGCTACATACGATAGGGCTTAACAAAGAGTTATTAGCACAAAGCAAGGAGGCTTGAAGGAAGTTAGTTTTTAAAAGAAACTATTATTTTTAACACTTATGATTTATTCTTTAACAAGAAGGGAAGGGGAAACTTTGAAGAGGAACTTTTTACATTCTACAAGAGAGAACATTTCCAGGGGCTTCCCTCCTTCCTATACTTGTACGTTTTAACACCAGATTTTCTACTCCCTGCCTCATTATGCCACTCCTGCCCAACTCTAAGTACTTACACTCTTGTACAAAACAAACTTGTCTTTGCTCCCAATTGTAAAGCCTTGGACTAAGATAAGACTCATATGAACACATTCAGTCCTAACTAAGGGACAGCGTAGACCACCAGGACCACAAAGACTGGGTAGTTCTGTCGTCCTCCTGTCTGCACACTCAAGAAAGGCGATTTCCTAGAAGCCCAGGTAGCTTTAGGGCTCCTCCCTGCCCAGGCCACTTCAAGGCCCTGTACTTAATTTTGTGTTTGCAGTTTTGAGTTGCTAAAGAAGCTCCCCACTCCCCGTTCACTCTGAAAGCTGCCTAAGTCCTAGGCCACACAAAACTAGTGTCCACTCTTGAGTATCAGCCTTGGCCACAACTCAGCAGGAGCATGTAGCCAAGTGTGCTTCCATGAGGGTCTTCATTTTAACTAGAAAAAGCAAACTCCTCAAGTTCTGCTGTAATTTTCCTAGCAACTGTATATTGTGGGCCATTTAAATGCCCTTTGTCGGCTGTTTCTCTTTTTTCTTATCCCCCTTTCTCCCTCATATTCTAGACCCCTCTATTTGGAGATTATGTATACCTTCCTGTTCATAACCCCACTCACATTTATAGATAAACAGGGCCCTTTGATATGACACCAAAAGACAGGGGGAAGTGTTTCGAAGGGAAATGTTGGGTTTTTTGTTGTTGTTGTTACAACTATTGTGACTTTTAGAATCCATGGTCAGCCAATATGCATTTGAGTCCATTTTTGACTGAAGTCACTGGTATGAAAATGACCTTCTGGACCAGCCAAATTCACAGGGCTGCCCCCCTTCTAATGCTTAATTACTTAACGTGTCTCAAACACATACATTCTGGAAACTCAAATGACTCTGCTCAAGAATGGCTACGTCATCTTTGTGGGAGGGAGATCCCAAAACTCCTAGGATGATTATTATTATTTAATAACACATGGGGCACCTCTTCTACCCCCGCCCCGCCCCCCCCGCCCCCAACACACACACACACCTAATCACACTGTCAGCCCAGAATGAAGTGAGAAGAGTCTGGCTTTATTTCAAGACCAGCTAGTCAGCTCTTCAGAGCTGCAGTAAATGTTCTCACTCCCTCTACCCTGCCCTTGTATCTGTAATTCATCTTTATTCATAATGTGGCCCATTTAAAGTCGCAGTGTGTGAAACACCGTCTACCAGCGGCGGGGTTGAGCAGATAAAATGTCAGACATTGTAGCGGGGGCGCTCCCGAATAGAACGCTTCAGTCTTGAGCGAGAGCAGGGTTATCCGCGCGACCCACCAGCTCCTAGGTTTAGGCCAGTCACCCAAGGCCGCCTGGCACAGGACGGCACAGTAGGTGGGAGCATTTGGGTGGCATACCCCAGAAACCACAGGAATCAGAAGAGAAAGGGAGCAAATGTCAATCCGTGATTCTTCGGACCAGGTACAAATCTTGGTTTCCAAGGGACGCCACCTTGGTCTCTTTCAGAAGAAACGGCTTCCGAGGGACCGACACGAATCCGCACACATCTCGTGCTGAAATTTCCCCGGGAAGGCGCTGTGATCTGTCCGGTTTTCCTGCTCCCCGCCCCTCTGGCGGCCCGTAGGCCTGTCATCTAGAAGGCTCCCAGCTTTTCCGCGCTTCCGTGGGAATGCGAGAAGGAAAGGCTTTGAGAATGCAAGCATGAAAGGTGGTGTTCTTCTGCAGTCCTCTGGGAACCCCCCACTTCCCGGACCGCTGAGGATGCTAAAAGGAGCTTCCTTGCTTCCCCACACCTCCCCCGACCGGCGTTGGGACAAGATGGCCAAATGTTAGCAAATAATGTGTGCGGGGGCGGGGGAGCCGAGCACAAGGTGGAGAAGCCGCGGGAGCGCGCGGAGACCCCCAGCCCGGCGGCCCCCCGCAAACACGGCCGCGGGGGGCGGGGAGAGGGTGGCTAGGCTCGCGGGAGCTCGCCGGGCAGGGCGCCTCCCAGGAAGGCGGGGAGGGGAGCGCCTGTTTACCCAGGAGGGCTGTGCTGATAGCACGTTCCTCGAGTTTACTTTGCTTTCCTTGAGTTTATTGTAAAGGGGTAAAGTTTTCGGATCCGTCACGTGACCCTGACAGGTCCTGCCTATGGCGCGGCAGACCACCCACGCCGAGGGCCATGGAACTGCTTAATAGAAACAGGCTTGTAATTGTGAGTCCGCGCTGCACTCCGCCGAAAGCCTCCGGCGGCCCAGCGCGCCGGGGTTTTTACACTTTCCGTTCCTTTTGTAAAGACGGAGGAGGAGGAGAAGAAGAAGAAGAAAACGGAGGAGAAGAAAAAGACGACAGGGGAGACAAAGAGACCCGCAGCGACAAGGCAAGGGGGAGACGAGGGAAGACTGGGAGAAGACGGAGGAGCGGAGGACGAGGAAAGGGGGGCCAGGGAAAAAAAAGGAATTGATGTGAAATCCAAGCCCAGCGTCCGCGCCATCGGCACCCGCGCTCCGAGCAGGGGTTGACGGCCGGCTATGGTGAGTGCAGCCAGCGCGGCGGCCGCCGACGCCACCTCGCCTCGCGCGCCGTGCTCCTCGGGCGGCGCGGGGACACGGGGACGCGGGACGCCCCGCGCGGCGGACGGAGGAGCGAGCCCCGAGCGCCGGGCAGGAGGGGCGGGCCGCGCGCCGGGGCCGTGGAGCCGGGTGGGCTGCGCCGCCTGGGCGCGGGAGCGCGGGTCCCGCGCCTCCACGCTCGCTCGCACGCCCGGGCCCCCGCCCCCGAGGCCAGCCCCGCGTGGCGGGGAGGGGGCTGGCCGCGGCGGGCCCCGGCTGAGGAACGGCTCCGGGGGGAATTCTCACGGAGGGGGTCGCCGGAGCTCCCATTTTCACGCCTGAAAGGGTCGCCACCTTGGCTTCCGCTCATCAGCCTGGTGGTGGCTACTGACTCGCCAGCGGAGGCAGAGCTGGTGATGGAAGGGCTGGTGCGGAGAGTGACAGCGCCGAGGGGAGGGGGCTCAGAGCGCGCGCGCGGAAGCCGCTGCCGCCAGCTCGCGGGAGCAGCCGCAGCCGCAGGGAAGGGCACGCTCGCGCCCCGCAGACCCGCTCTCGAGCCCGCACGCACGCCTAGGGGTGCGGGACACCCGGGCTAGAAGAGACGCACCTTACCCACCTCCCCTCCCATGCTGCGGGAAAAGGGCCAGAGAGGCTTTTGGAGTTCTGGAAGGGGCGGTGGGTAAGAGAGGTGGTGTGTGTGACTCTTATGCCCACCGATTCAGGCGCTTGGGTGGCTGCCACCCTTACAGAGATGGGCGACCAGCCCAGTGCTTAGAGTGCAGAGTGCGGCCTCAGGGGAGCCCGGGGGCGGGCCGGACCGATTCTCACTTTACAGGCCCGGGCCCAGCGCTGAACCCCAAGACCCCCAGAAACTGTGCCTCTGGGTGACATGCGCTGTGTCTCCACGTATTTAGTACGTTCATGTTTAAAATGATGCTAGCGTGTGGATGAGCACACTCTCAGGGAAACTGATCTGTTTCCATCACCTAAGAAGAACCATATGGGTGGGCGGCTGTGGAAGACACCCACAGACCTGTTTTCCTGCACCTGGGAGAGAAGACCGTCTTCCTCCCTTTTTATCCTTTCTTCCTCCCTGGGGAGGAGAAATACAAAAGAACTAGACATAAATAATAAAGAGCCACAATGGGTGGCTCTAAATATTTGATAATTGGATCACTGAGGTCTTGAACTACCACAATAGTCCTTTTTCAGCATTCTGTGTGTGTGCATTTCTTTTAGGTTTTTATTTATTTCTGTGTTTATTGGCGACAGTAGTTCAGCATGCAATTAATCGCCTCCACAAAGAAAGACAATGCTTTATGGTGTCATCCTTTGTTATTGCAACTTAAAATTTCTGGGTGGTACTCCGGATAAATTGTTGCCTCAGGTGCATGGAGTGCCCAAGTTGTAAAACAAGGGGCTTTCGATTGTGAGTTTATGTGTGTTCCAGTTGTCACCCAGCTTCCTTCCACAAGGCTATAAAATGCCTTTGAGTCCATGATCTGTTTCAATTAAAATGTTGAATCAAGGTAGACATCAATAGGCCCCGCCATTCTCAATTTGGGGTATTAGCTTCATTTCAAACTCACTGTGAGTGGTGTATCTAATTTCTGGTTATAAAGTAGTCATAATCTTTGAAGCTATTTGAACAAAACTTAGAACCATTTGGAATTATTTTCTGAAAAGAAAAAGGCTGTTTTACAAAATTATCTTCAACTTTCTACAGATAGATAAACTGATGAGGTTAATCAATGTGGATTAAAATATGTCTCCCGTTTTTATCCTCATTCCTCTCTCTCTCTCACACACACACACACACACACACACACCTTTTATTTTCTCCAGCCTCTGCCACAGTGTATAATGCCCTATTGAGACGTGTAGGCGTGATGTGTAAACCGGATTAGCAGTATGAAAGAAAGACACACAATAAGCTGGAATTGTTTTACTTCCCTTTCATTTCTCATGCCTATATTTCTGATAAATTTGTTGCTCCAGCAGTGGGTCAAAGGGATCATGTTGCTCAGCTTCTTTTTCATGCAGGACCCAATAGCAGAGATCACTGAAATGAATGGTGTGCCTCCTAGCAAACGCAAAGCTTGATAGAGATATATTAGACAGGGAGAGGCGAGGAGAGGGAAGGATGCAAAACATGTTCAAAGTCTGGGTGTTGTAGGAATACATCTCTATCCATGAGAGGAAAGCAATGTGGGTAAGAATATATTTGGAGAGAGAGGGATCAATGCAGGGGTCAATGCTCTGTTTTCTTTCAAGTTCATAGTAGGCTCTGAACATTCAGCAGTTGGTGACATGCTTAGCAAGAGAATACCAATAGCTTTTGGCAATACATAAAGTCTAATTCCCCTTTCAAGCTAGTATTTAGACCTGGAGTAATCAATGTGGAGATTTCTGGGACCTTCTCAGGACACTCCCCTCTGCCGCTTTCCCCACCCCCAGCTCACTGTAAGCTCAAAAAATGCCAGTGCTCCCGGGTTTGTGCTGTAGACCCCTCATTTACTCCTTTGTGGAGTTAGGAGCAGCTTCCCATTAAAGGAGATCAGGGGTAATTAGCAGCATTATTTTGACAAGTTGGCTAGAGCTGTTCCCTTTCCTCCAGCCTGGGGAGGGGGTAAATAAGGGGAGGAAACAGAAGGTGGAAGGGAGTAGGGGAGGGGAGTCAAGCCCAGTAGTTTTAAATTTTGTAGCTGCTGAATCTCCCCCCACCCCGTCCCCGACTTCCCTGAAACCTTTTAGACTCATTTTCTACCATCACCTTTTAAGAATATACAAAAGCTGCCAATGAGAAAATAGTAAGGCATTCTTAGGGAGCCAAGAAAATGTGGTGGATGGTGGCACATTGGCTTGAGTTGAGTCGACTCAACTCATATTCAAGGTACCTGCTTGGAACTGCTGAAGCCCTGCCTTGACCATCACTCACATCCTGTATCCTGGGCTCCCCATGCAGTAAAAGAATATTGCATCAAATCCCCAATTCCTCTCTCCATCCGACCCTCTCAACAAAAATACTGTAGGACTTAAAATCATGTTTGCAATTCCTTGTATTTCTGGAAGAGTATTAAACTCAGTAGACAAAATTATAAATGGCCCCAGGGTCAAATTACTGGAATACATTAACCCCTTTATTCATTTATACTCTGCAAAACTTGCCAAATTACATTGGATTTTAAAGACTCATTTGGTTTGATCTGAGAAACCAGTGAAAAGTTAAATCTCACTGTGGTTTTTCATAACTCCACCAAGTCTGGCTTCCACAATTGCTTACCATTGGAACATCCCAACACAAAGGGCAGATGTTTTATTTCATTGTCATCATTTGGATAATCTGATGTCATTTTTGAAATGTGTGTGGTGTGGCCATGGATATTTGTAGTATTGGAACAGAGAAGGGAGGAGATGTGAGGGAATCCGGAGAGCTTAAGGCATCTGCTTTGAAAACTACACACTCCAATGAGAAGTCTTGGATCATGACTGGGAGACCAAAATGACAATTTATGCATTGAGATGAACTTTACTTGGAAAGGGGAAATGGAACACTCAGCTGTTGCTTCATAAAGGCTGGCAACTCCTGCTGGCTGATAAGGCCCCAAGTTCTCACTTATTTTTATTTGGTAACTGTCACAAGGGGTGCCAGAGGCAGAAGGGCCATTTAAAGGGACTGTCTTCCCGGAGGACACCTTAGCAGGTCTGGCTGCCCCAGTCTGCATCTCAGATCTGTGGAATCCTTGTGGTTAGTTGAAGTTAACAAACCCGGTGTGGCACAGCAGTCCCCTGCACAGGGCATGCATATTAAAGCCGACAATGCTTACAAATGTAAATAAGGGCAGATTGATTAGGAACAACATTATCGCTGGGAATGTCGCACTCGCATGCATCAGCAATGAGGCAAATTGGGGGCAGCCTCAGCCCTGACCACCCAAGTCGAGCAGGCTTTTACACTGGCTCCTCTTCCCTTTCTTAAAACGTTACAGAAACAAGGCCAATTAGATCCTCAAAGTAATTCATCTCTAAGTATGAAAAAAGCAGACCACAGGGGAAGCGGCGGGTGGGGGGTGGGGAGATTAAGATAGCGCTCGTTAGAGCCGAGGCTCCGGAGTGCGTCCTGGAACCCACGGGTAGAATTTACAGGCCGGGACCATTGTCTGAGATGCTGAAAAGTTAACCCATCAAACAGCGGGCGAGGGGGCTCAGGGCACTGAAAGCTCCGGGGATCAATGTTCAAAACGTTTAGGAATTAAGTCAAACTAAGGGATATGGGCCTGAGTGGAAGAGGCTTTGCCACTGAAATGACGTGCATGTGGCAGCCGCCGGAACCAGAGGACATGCAGCCGCGTGCGGAGAGTGAGGCGGATCCATTACGGGCACACAGCTTACCATTTCCTTCCAGAATTCCTTCTTCCAAACAAGCTATACTGAAATCCCTCTAGTAAAAGATTGAGACGAAACACTAATAGTTTTGGGCCAAAACGTGGTGGAGAAGTTTGAAAAGACAAACATAGCAACGTGTCTTTGGCTATATGGTTCCTTGCCCTCCAGCAAGCTTGAAATATAAAAAGGCTAACATGCAAAACTAGGGGTACTACCCCCCTCCCCCAGTTTTTAAAAAGCAATTTCCAGAAGCAAACACACAATGGTTCGACTTGAAGTGTCGGCATAACCATTCAGTAAGAAAAGCTAGAATAGTAAACCTCTTTTCCTGTTTTGTGCTATTTATCAAACCTAATAAACATCAGGATCGTACTCAAAGATGAAACTGGCAATGTGTGGAGCCGTCTGAGCTCTTTATCAACTCAGTGTCATTTTCCTCGCATGCTGCCCGCCTGCTTTCCGAGTTTCCGCAGCCCTTCCCTGAGGCACTCACAAAATCACGTGCTCCTTAAGCGGTCTGAGTTTTGAATTTCCGCGCTGGCCCGGTGCTCAGGTCCCCCTCCGGATCCCGCGAACGCCCCCAAACACCTCCACCCCGTCTCCCTCTCTTCCTCGGGACATCCCGCCCTGACCCCGGCACCGCATACGGTTTGCGGGTTAGGGGGTCGGGGGAAGGGCCTCCCCCTGAAGCCGGGGAGGAGGAGAGGCTGGAGGGAAGGTGGCCAGGCTGGTGGGGGAGGGGAGATTGAGGGAGGGAGCGGGGCGAGGGAGGAAGGAGAAGGCGCAGGCCGAAGGAAGGAAGCGGGGAGGGGAAACCGCCGGGGAGGAAGGAAGGGGGCGGGGAGAGCCGGCGGACGGGCCCCCTGCGGGAGCCGCGTGGACCGCCCCGGTGGCCGGCGCGCCCCGCCGCAGCCCCCAGCGCGCCCGGGCAGCCAGCGCGGGGCCGCTGAATGGGCAGGGACTCGTGAGCGCGACCATTGGCCGGTCGCGGGGAGGCGGCGCGGGCATTGGGCAGCGTAAGGGGGCCGGTCCGCCTTCAGGAATGTACTACGGCGCGTCCGGCACGTCCGTCCGCGCCGGCTGGGCGCGCGCCTCGCCTGGGCTCTCGGGAGACCGCGCTGGAGGCCCGGAGCCGGCCCGGCGCATCCGCCTCCCTACCTACTCTGCCCCGGCCGCGCGGGCGCGGGGAGTCCGGGAGCCGGGCGCGCGCGCGCACCGGGCCTCCTGGCGCGGGGTCACGTGGCCACCGGAGCTCCGCCTTCTCCCTGCTCCTCCCCCTTTCCCTCCATCTGGGTTTCTTTCTTTCCTTTCCTTTCTTTCTTCTTTTTTTTTCAATGAACATACACCGTGCGCATCTTAAAGCCACACCGCCCCATTTCACGACTTCACTAGACTTCTCGCTACTGCCAGTCCCTCTGCAGTTCAACCCCGTTTAAAAAAAAAAATAAAGTGAAGCAAATCAAGGGTTTGCGGGTCGGGTTCCTACCGCAGGGAGGAACGTAATAACTTGGAAACGTAAGAAAAACACATTCCACTTTCCGAAAACAAAAATTTTTTTAAATAAAAAGCCTAGTTGTGTAGACGTGTCTGGCTCCAGAATCCACCTCAAAGGGTCGCGTGTTTTCCCCCTCCGCGGGAAGCGAATCCCCGGGATGCCTTGGTGACACTGGACGCGGTGTCGGGACGAATCCTCGCGATCCGCGCACAGTTTGTTTTCAATGAATCCAGCATCGGGGCATTTATAATCTCCTACGTCATACTATTATTAAATATAACATGCATACCGAGTTTTGTAAAAAAAAATACTGACTATATAAACATCTGGTTAATAAAAAGGGGTGTACAAATGAACCCAAAATAATCAGGAAAACTTTACTCTCTCAAGGAAACAATTCCGTTTCTCTAAGTTGTAAAAAAAGATTCTGTTGTTTCTCTTTTACTTATGTCACATTCGAGATTCAAATAAAAACGCCTCTGCCTCTACAAGACTGCTTCGGTGTCTGGATTCCACGTTTATAGAACACTGACTCCTTCAAACCAAGACTGTGTTTTTTTTTTTTTTAAGTTGGGGGGAGAAAGCGGCTGGGGGGCAGACGGATTTTAAGAAAGATGGCTTTTCCCAACGTCCTTGCTTTCCTCTTTAACTTTCCATTCTGTTTATCTTAATGCGAGGCGTTGTTCCCTGCAAGAGCCTAAGTCTTCCCTTTAGTTATAAAAGAAAAGAGAAGAGGAAAAAAAAATCTGGCACACACTGGCGCACTATCCAGCACGCTGTCATTATTGGTGCAGGCCTGGGAATGCGAGCCGGACCTCCCAGTATTTGCTGCAGCTTGAGGCCAAGGTGCCTCTGAAAGGCTTTTCTTTGAGGAATTTCAGAAATTGTTTAAGCGCTTAAAAAAATATTACATTTCCCCCCGTGTCTACCGCGAGGCAAATGTTCGTGTGTGTGCGTGCGCGCGCGTGTGTGCGCGCAAAGGCATCCCACAAAAAGAAGACACTGTTGAAAAGAAAAGGAATAAGAGAGAAAGGAGGGGGAGCATTCCTTAATGGAAGTATTGCATGCGAGAAGGTTGGCGCTCTCAGAGGCTGCCCCGAAGCCGAGGATGCACACACTGGGTTGCCTACCTGGGTGGTCTCTCTACTTTGGTGAGCTGTTGCTAAGCAGCTAATAATAGTCATGTTTGCTGAGTAATTTCTGCCCTCCGCGAGCCAATCGCGTCGCAGAAACCCAAGCCATCTGACAGCCCCGGGGGCGGGAGCTCCAGCCTTTTTCTCTTTCGCTCGCTCTCTCCCCCTCCACCCCCTCCCCTCCCCTCCTCCTCTTCTTTCTCCAAATGGAGAGAGTTCTTTTTTTTCTTCTTCCATCTCATCTATTGAATCAAGGAGCTGCTGCGGCCGCTGCCCGCTGCACACACACAGAGCGGAGTCCCCAGGTCCCGGGAGCGAGAGAGGCGCGCTGCACGGGGACAGAATGGTCCAGCGGGTTGCCGAGGAGCACAAGAAAGCAGAGTCCGGGACCGAGCAGCCACCGCGAACCCAGCAGCCAGAGCCCGAGCAGCCCGAGCAGCAGCTCCTGGAGCCGCCACCGCCAGCAGCAGCCACCGCGGGAGCAGCGGCAGCTGCGGCTGCCCGGGCCCGGCAGCGCTGAGACCCGCCGGGCACCCTCGGACCCCGCGGCGGCGGCGGCTCTGCGCTTGCCCTCCGCGGCCGCTCGGGCGACCCGGGAGGCGCCGAGAGAGCCAGCGCGGCCGGCGGGAGCAGCGGGGATTCGCTGGCTCTTTCTGCAGTGAAGGGGTCGCGGCGCGGGGCGGGGGGCGGGTAGGGGGAGTTGGGGACCGCAAGGAGTGCCGCGGAAGCGCCCGAAGGACAGGCTCGCTCGGCGCGCCGGCTCTCGCTCTTCCGCGAACTGGATGTGGGCAGCGGCGGCCGCAGAGACCTCGGGACCCCCGCGCAATGTGGCAATGGAAGGCGCAGGGTCTGACTCCCCGGCAGCGGCCGCGGCCGCAGCGGCAGCAGCGCCCGCCGTGTGAGCAGCAGCAGCGGCTGGTCTGTCAACCGGAGCCCGAGCCCGAGCAGCCTGCGGCCAGCAGCGTCCTCGCAAGCCGAGCGCCCAGGCGCGCCAGGAGCCCGCAGCAGCGGCAGCAGCGCGCCGGGCCGCCCGGGAAGCCTCCGTCCCCGCGGCGGCGGCGGCGGCGGCGGCAACATGGCCTCGGCTGGTAACGCCGCCGAGCCCCAGGACCGCGGCGGCGGCGGCAGCGGCTGTATCGGTGCCCCGGGACGGCCGGCTGGAGGCGGGAGGCGCAGACGGACGGGGGGGCTGCGCCGTGCTGCCGCGCCGGACCGGGACTATCTGCACCGGCCCAGCTACTGCGACGCCGCCTTCGCTCTGGAGCAGATTTCCAAGGTGCATTTCAGACTCTCTCCTCCCACTTTCTCTTCCCTCCTCTAACTCTTTGGGATCGCCCCCGCCACACACAAACACACACACTCTCTTCCTCTCTCTCTCACACACACACACACACTCACTCACACCTCTCCAGGAAAAGCAGCAGACAAATGGGGATTGAAAAATTCAAACCCTCCCTCTGGTCCTGGGAGGAAAGGGCTGTCTGAGGTCCGCAGGGGGTGGAGGTGTGTGTGTGTGCGTGTGTGTGTGTGTATACACACGCCCTCCCTGGTGTGCCTTTTCCGGAGCACTGGAAAGCCGTCCACGGCGGACCACCTCAAGGGCGGCCGCGGCACTGTCCTGCCCCGTGCCCCCTGCCCTGAACTTCTTCCTCCTGCGCCCCTGCCCCTATTTGCAGCCTAAACTCCTGTACGGCTGCCACATTTCTTAACATCTTGGAGGGGGAGGCGGAGTGGAGAGAGGCGGAGAGAGGAAGGGGGGAGGGAGCCGAAATAAAGGTGGTTTCCTTTTTTGGCAGCCAGTTTTGGTTTTGTTGAGCATGAAATCTCTGCTCCCTTAAAAAATTATTCTCGGAAAAAGATATCCCCCCCGTTTTCCAGGTTTTGAGCCGCCTCTCCTTAGGGCCTGGTCGGGGGAGGAAAAGTTGTAAACAAATTGCCACCTTAAATTCGCGGTGCGAGTCTGCGGAGCTGCCGGGTTCATTGTGTTTACGAGGCTCGCTGAAATGTGTGGAATCCAGGGAAGGCGAGCACCCAGACGGGGGCCCGCCGGGGCCGCGGCCAGCGCCGGGGAAATGCCGCGCCGGGGAGCAGCCTGCGCCGGCCTGAGCCCTTCCCTTTGCACTCGGCTGTTTTTTACGTTTAACCAGAAAGGAAGGGAGAGGAGGGAAAGATCCATGTGGCTGCCCTCTTCCGATCACAAATATTGTCGTAAGTTGCAGCTGGCTGCCCCACTTCCTAATTCAGCTCACACAGCCTCTCCCCACGCTATGGAAATGCGTCGGGAGTGAACTCCGGCGGCCGCGCTCACCACGTGGATCCCCACTTACTACCATTCTCGGCGGGGGTCCAGTTGGGGGAACCCGCAATATGTTGTTCCAAAGAGCGCTCGCCCCTAGCGCCCGTCCCCGAGGGTGATGGACAGAGCAGGACTGGTTTGCTGGCTCCTGAACCTTGGGCTCCATCGCTGGGATTACGCAGCCCCTCCCTTCTCAGCTCTGGGGTGAATATTGTCTGTGTCGAGTGGTTTCTCTCCTCTCTACCTCGGCTTCCTCTTCTGTATTGCAGCCCCAGTGCCCCAAGTCGCTCAGGGATCCCGCGGGTGGGGGCGCCCTGATGTCCCCGAGGTGCAGCTCCCACGCTGCGGCCCGGCTTTATGACCGAGCCCCCCATGACGCTCAGATCCGCCGGGGCTGCAGTCTCGAGGGCGAGTCCGTGTGCCGCGGCCACCCGCGCCCCCACGGCTGTTGGGGGCTCACCGGGCGGGTGCGCGCAAGCGGGCGTGGGCGCGCGGGCCGCGACTCCCCGGCGCTCACTCCTCCCTTCTGCTTCGTCCCCAGGGGAAGGCTACTGGCCGGAAAGCGCCGCTGTGGCTGAGAGCGAAGTTTCAGAGACTCTTATTTAAACTGGGTTGTTACATTCAAAAAAACTGCGGCAAGTTCTTGGTTGTGGGCCTCCTCATATTTGGGGCCTTCGCGGTGGGATTAAAAGCAGCGAACCTCGAGACCAACGTGGAGGAGCTGTGGGTGGAAGGTAAGAGCGCCCGCCGCGGCGCCCGCGCCCCCGGCCCGGTCCCTCCTCGCGGTTGATAGAGATATTCGCCAGCGCACACCTAGAGCCTGGCTGCGGCCGGCGAAACCCCCTGCCCGCACCCGGGGGATTGTTTATTGTTTGGGCGCCTGGCCGGGAGCCAGGCCCGCCCGACAAAGGCCGCGCTGTAATCTACTCGGGGCGCTGCGCCGGCCGAGGTGTGGTGGGAGAGAGCGGCGGGGGCGGGACGGGGGCGCGGGGCCCCTCCGGGACGGACCACTCTGCGCGCCGGGGGCCCCGGGCCCGCCGCCGCTGCCGCTGTCCGCCTGGGCCGCGCCCCGAGAGGCGCCCCGGGGCTGGCCTCTCCCGGCCCCGCTCCGCGGCCCGGCTTTCTTCTCTCCCCCACCCCCACCCACCGCGTCCAAAGAAAAAGGAGTCGGGGAGAGCCAGAGGCCACCCCTCCGGCTGGCTGGAGTGTGCGCGCCCCCGGCGGCCGCGGCCGCCGCGCTGGGGAGGGCCGGGGGCGGGCGCAGCGCGGGGCTGCGGAGGCGGCGGCGTGTGTGGTCCTGTTTTTGGACAGCTTTCAACTCTGAGGGAAAAAAACATTTGTCTCAAGGTACAAAAAACGCGGGGTGGGGGTGGAAGGAGTGGAAAAAAAAATAGTAAGGCACAGACTGGAACGCATGTTTGCAAAGTAGATTAATGTTTCCTCGCGGGTGGGGGCTTTTTACATGGAATTATTCTGGGGGAAGGCTGCATTTTGCAGGCAAAGAAAAGAAATGTTTTAAGAACGCGGGGTTGAAGGGACCTCTCAGAGGGGTTCTGCCAGTCTTTTATCCACGTTCCTCAGTTTTGGGGTTCTTGAGACCTTAGCAAAGCAGTTGCAGATTTAAAATAGATATATATTTTTTCGAAGACAAACATTTTTACATTATTTTGGTGACAAAGGTTTCAATTTTTTTCCCCCGCTGGTTTCTTATTTATCTTTTTGGCAAGTTCCAAATCCTGCTATTTGGAAACACTTTAACCCTAAACACCACTTTGGGCATCCCTTACCTTACAAGAGGGTAGTAGGGGAGGGTAGAGGTGACTAGGTAGATAATTCAAACCAAAATACCTGGAGCATTCCTCCGGACAGCATGTGGAAGCTGAAGAGTTATGCGCATAATCGCTTCAGTGATCCCTTTCAGGATGCTGTTGGAGACCTTGAAGAATATTTCCTTAATCTCTCCTTGTTTGTGAAGATTCAGCTTGCAGAGTTTTGCAAGCCTGGGGTGGAGTTGGAGTATTTAGTTGAGAAGTGACAATTAAAATAATAGTCTACATAATTAAGACAAAACATTCCTGCCTTAAGTAGTTTGGTAATTAATACAAAAGCGTTCTTTGGATTGAATCCATGGAGTAATTTACCTCAGTTCAGCGATTCAGTATCACTGGTAGATAAAAGAAGGGTTTTATCGAGCAGCTATTATGCTCCTAGCAACAAGTTTCTTGAGCACCTATGATGTCCCTAGCACTGTGTTAAGCACCATAAGAGACTCAAGTGTGTGCGACACTGCACAATTTAAAACTATTAGAATTCGATGCATTTGGACTACATTTGGGTTCACAGCTGAAATGGGCTGTGAAAGTTACAAGAGGGTGGTAGGGGGTGGGGGGAGAGAACTGGAGACGGTAGGGGAAGGAGGGCATTTTAGGCATGGGCGGGACACCAGCAGGGGCCCCAGCTGAGGAGTTTGGAAGTGATGTGATTGGCTAGACTGTAGGGGCGCTGCCGTAGATTCTAGGACAGAATAGGGCATGAGGACAGGGAGGGCCGCTGCCGTAGATTCTTGGACAGAATAGGGCATGAGCACAGGGAGGGCCGGCTCATCCACCACTTGATCCAACCTGTATTTGTTGCCATCGGATGAGGATGACAAAACGTGATTTTGTGGTGTTCTTAGCAAGAGTTTTCAGTGGACCTTTGACATGTTGAAGGAGATAGAATGTGATTTATTTTCTTAACATTGCATATTTCTGGAAATAACTTGCTTTCTGCATAACACGACCCATTTCAAGTCCTGGAAGGAGATGCAGTGTGCTTCCTAGCAGTTTTATGGGAGCTGCCAGTTGTGTAGTGAGAGGGAGTAAAGTTTTTCTTTTTCAATGGACTGGATGAGGACACTTCTGAGGGGCACACTCACTTTGCTTACTTTTGGCAGTTTCAGCATGACTCACTGGTCTTGGGCCAAATGTTATTTACTCAGTACTAATACTGTCACTTGTTGAGCAACTGCCATGTACCAGGCATTTGTTATATATTATCGCATGCCTTACGATTCAATAAAATAGCTATTATTATCTTTTTTTTTTTTTTTTTTTTTTTTTTTTTTTTTTTTTTTTTTGAGACGGAGTCTCGCTCTGTCGCCCAGGCCAGACTGCGGACTGCAGTGGCGCAATCTCGGCTCACTGCAAGCTCCACTTCCTGGGTTCACGCCATTCTCCTGCCTCAGCCTCCCGAGTAGCTGGGACTACAGGCGCCCGCCACCGCGCCCGGCTAATTTTTTGTATTTTTAGTAGAGACGGGGTTTCACCTTGTTAGCCAGGATGGTCTCGATCTCCTGACCTCATGATCCACCCGCCTCGGCCTCCCAAAGTGCTGGGATTACAGGCGTGAGCCACCGCGCCCGGCCCTATTTTGTTTTTATAACATGATAGTGGATGTAATGTCTTTATGATGAGGATTGTCCCATTTTACAGATGGGAAACTATGGGTTGTCTGTTTGTCTCCAGGTCTACTTTGCCTACTAATGACATAAGTCACTTGTTCTGTTGCCCTGTCCTTGATCTCTCATTCATTCATTCATTCATTCATTCTGTGCTAGATTCTCCCCCTAGAGAAGAAGCGACAGTTTCATAAATGCAGATAGACCCAACTAGAGAGGTGACTATACAACAGTAGCCATATAGATTTAATTTCATTTTCAAAGCAGAAGTGATTGTGTAGAGATCTTGTTTGTGACAGAGTGAGCTGAGTGTTCACGTCAGCAGTAAGTAGTGTGAGCATTTGCATTCAGGAGTAAGATTTCCCTGCTGTCCTATACCTCAGTGGACGTCCGTGAATTGAAGTGAGTAATAGCTCCACATTTAAGTTCATTTTGTGCATCAGTCTCATAGATAAATTCCTCATCACTATCAGCAAAGAAATCTGTTAGATGCTGCTTTCTTGGTAGGTTGTTCTTAAGGTTCTAGACATGAATTTTTATATGAACTGGGCATCAACAGAGTGCTTGCTACACAAACGAAATGGATAGAGGTAGCATATTGCCCTAGTTAGAAAACAACAGAAGAGAGGAAAGTATGAGATTTTAAGGGGAGAGGGATGCTGAGGGATAGTTTGGAAGAAGCTCCTTCTCCTGCGGTTTAAAATCACAGGAGCGTGTGTGTGTATGCACATTGTCTTATTCTGCATATCCTCCTATCTGCCAAAGGCATGTTAATGTTATCTTTTTAATACAGCCAGCAAATTAAAGGGATCCACTCGAAAGGCTGTGTCTTCAAATTGACTTTCATGCTTTGTTTAACATGCTGGGGAAATGTGGCTTTATAAAGAGTTGGCTTTATAAAGAGGGCAGAATACATCAGCCACAATGTGCAGACTAATATATGCTAGATGAGAAAGAGTCCGTGTGTGTGCATGCGCGTGTGTGTGCGTGTGTAGGAATTGGTGATAAGAATTATTGTATTCTGTTGTTAAAATGTCCATATAATGATTGCCTTTTAATAAACTGTCAATTATATGTTAAGATACCAGCTTGAGTTTTAGGGTTATAGTGTTTGCTAATCAAAATTGTCAAATCAGTTTCACATATGTGCGGAGTAATGAGGTTTGATAGAGAATATGTTGACTGATGTAGTGGACATCTGCTGTTGCAGAAACACATGACCATGGCAGCAAGGTGGGGGAGAAACTAATTGTCATTGTATAAAAATAGAAGCGTTCATTCTGCACATGTTCTCAGTACCTACTCTGCACCACCATTGCAGAAAGCTCTCCAGAGAGATGTTGGTGAAAAGCCACAGTCTCTGCCCTCAGGGGAACTCCATCCAAACATTCAGCAGGTACACGGACTGGTGTGTGGGTAGTTAACATGAAGGACAGCAGTGCCAAGATGGCAGGAAAATCGGGGACATCTTCCAGGATGGCCTCAAGGGTGGAGGCCTGAGCTAGGCACAGGGGCTGGAGGGGAGAGGGTAGGGGGCATTCAGGGCAGAAGGAACAGCATAGGCAAAGGCTCAGAGAACAGGAATGTGGCCTCCTGGAGGGCAGCCTCCCTTTGTGGGTCGTTGAGGTTGGGTGGGAGCCTGGAAGCTGGGCTCGTCCCTCAGGGCCATTTCACAGAAGTCTCCCTGCTTGGCTGGGGGCTGTCAGCTCTTCCTACTAGCCATCCCTGTCTCACGAGTGTGCTCACGTGTTGGCCTCTAGTGTTTTCCCTGGAGCCACGAATGCTTCACCTGGATCTCACCTTTCTGGGCACAGACTGGTGTTATTTTTAATCTTGCCTGTTTCTTTGTTGGTATTTCCTTTTTGTTAAGCAGTTTTAACCCATCTCCCTCAGTATCTATTTCTTTTCATATCAGCCCCCTCACTGCAGCCCTCCCTCAGAACAAGTTTCTTGTCAAGCTTCTCCAGCGATAGAACATTCATTTATTTCTTTGAGCTTTTTGTTTTTTCTAAAAGCTTGCCCAGCTCCTGGCCTCCTTTTCTGCAGAGGGCAGCAGCCTTGTAATGAATCCATATTGCTTTGGTGTTTGGATGTTAACATTGCTGCAGGCCAGCGTCAAGGAAGAAGGAGGCAAGTTGTGACTTTGACTTTTTTTTTTTTTTAAGAAAAATAGAAGAAATTGTTTTTTAAAATACATGCTTGGTATGTGTAAGTGCTTTCAAGTTTGTACCTTGCTAGTGTTAATGCTTTCAGTGTTCTTGAACTCAGGCAATCAGTTGTAGGAGATAACTGAGTTTCACCACTCCTTCAATTTGGAGCAAGGTCCCTCAACCTCAGGACTATTGACATTGGGGCTGGATCATCCTCTGTTGTTGGGGGCTGTTCTGTGCACTATAAGATGTTTAGCAGCATCCTGGTTTCTACCTACTAGATGCCAGTAGCACCCTCCCAGTTGTGACAACCAGAATGTTTCCAGTCATTGCCAGATGTCACTGGGGGAGAGGGTGTCCCAAATCATCACGATTGAGACCCACTGGTTTAGATGATAAAAAGATTTTGATTGGAAGACTCATGCTGTGCAGATGGAAGACGTTTATTATGATGGAGTTGTGGCTACAATGCATTGCAGAGATGCAAGAGTATTAATCTTCTTTAAGATAACTCCCCCATCCCATTCCTGTATTTATAGACCCAGATAACTATTTTTCTTAGAATGACATTAAATGTCAAAGAAAAACACCGTGATGGGTCGAAAGAGGAAAGAGGCCATGGAAGAAAGAAATAATTTATATTTGGGTACCTTTTGGTGGGGGGTATCTAAATTTGCAGAAAGACTGGTTGCACCTCAACCCCAGTAGCCTGAAGGTTTTTAGCATGGTTGACTTTCTGAAAAGCTTTAATAGAAGACACCACTGCCTTTGTGCATATTGAAATAACAGCTCCTTCAGAAGCCCGGCTAGTGTGTGAACTCCTTGGTGGTCTCATTCTCCTCCAGATGTTTCTGTCACAAACCACTCCCCCTTGTCCCCCCAGGAGCCCTTGTGGAGCAGAACCAAGGGACAGCAAGGGACCAGTCCCAGCCAGAAGGGCAGAATGGATTCTGCTGTCACTGCCCTTCCACAGTGAGCACCTGGTTTCTTTTCTCTGGGGTTGCCATTGTGGGGGCATTTCACAAGGGACAGGAAGAAAAATGCAGCTCCTTTCTGCTCCCTGGACCCCCATACATGGTTTAGAAGGGAGAATATGTTTATAGGTATTTATTAGTTTCTACTACTGGGTATGCACATTTAGGTGGAAGCAGTTGTGATATTTCTTTCATATTTGGAGAAAAACGATTGGAAATGAGAAGCCACCAATGATTGTTTAAAAAAGAACAAATAGCCCTCAGGTGTCTTCTACACAGGGCAGTTGACCCTGCGAATCCTCCCTATCTCTTTGCTGTCTGCCATTCTTGACCCTTCACCAAGTTGAGAGGACAGGTTGGGTAATGGGGTGTTTCAGATACATAGGATGCCGCTCAGAGGTTCCAGAAGATGACAGCTTCCAGATGTATGAACAGCCTGATCCGTGTGTTTAGATTATGCACCACAGCTGATGCCGAGATTAATGCTGGCTGGACAAGCCATGGGAGATTTGTCTGGTTTCCACAATGCCATGTTTATGTTTCATTTGAGTTTCTCCTTCAAAGCTGACCTGCCTGTGACCCTGGGCTCTGTCCACTCGGGCAAGCTGAAACTCGGGCAAGCTGAAACTCGTCTGCCCTGTTCTCCTGCTTGTATTGGGGTAGGGGAGAGTCACAATTGGGCGGAGAAAGGGGCGCTTTGGTGGCCGCCTTCTGCCTCACCATGCCAGCTATCTGCCCAGATTTAGCCCCTGATGAGTGTTCAGTTCTCCTCGGGGATGTGTTTCACTGTAAAAGGTTTTTTGGCTTTTAAAACAAATATGGAAATATTATAAAATAACTGTAAAGGGGACCAGATTTAATAGAAGCCACTTTGCATAAATGTAGTATTTTAACTTCTGGCACTCTTTTGACACTATTTAGGGGGAGAAAAAGTTGAGGGAATTTCAGCTATGTCAGACACCCCCACATAATAACCATGGCTGTGTCATCCTATTATAATACTATTAATGTTTCCTGTGCCCCTCGCTGGCTCCCAGAACCTCTGCTGCCTCCTCCCTCTCTCCCCTGCCCCCTTCCCTCCTGCCCCTTCTCCCGCCCACCCACTCTAACCTGCCCACGTCATTTCCTTCCAAGTGGATCTCTGCAGTTACTAGTGTGAACTCTGAAATGGTAGTAAGTCTGGCTAATCACAACCTAAGAGGAGGGAATGAGAACATTTATTATTTCAAGCCAGCTGTGGGAGATACTAGATACAGAGCTGCCATTTGCATCCTTGGCATTCTTATTTTGGTTAGGGTTGGTTCCAAGACCACACTCTTTGATGGGCTCTTGGCAGAAGATGTGATTCCCCTGTTGAAGAATCATGACTTTTTTTAATGGACTGCTGAGGCAACTTTAAAATCCATTGACAAGTTTCTTCAACCCATACCACACCGCCAGAGAGAGTGGGAAATAAGTCTTGGTCCCCTGTGCTTACCGTGGCGCATGGACAGTGGAAGAACTGGGTTCCCTAGCATTTCTGAGACAGTGAGTGGAGCACAAACCATGGCTTTCCCTCCCAGGTGCCCCACTTCAGGTCTTCCTTGCTTAGAACTCCCACCAAAGCCAGTGGGCACATGGAGCTTGGCTAGATTGAAGACGATGGAATTCCTTATCCAGATTTTGGCCGACTCTGAAGCTTTATGTGTTCCATCCTCACGAGAGGTCTTGGTTGACATCCAGAGACCAGAGGGCCTTGCTGGTGAGGGCACTTCTGCCTGCAGGAGGAGGAAGCTCTGCGGGATTCTCTCAGTGGGAACATTCCTTGAATACACAGATATAATCAGGGTCATCAAAATATAAACACTTCTGTTACTTTCTCTTCTAATCTTTGAATTTGGGTGCTTATGATAATACTCACTGGATTTTTTTTTTCTCTTTAAATTGGATTTAGGGCACTTTTTTTCCTTTACACTGCAATGTCTAATGCCTTCCGTACAGCAGAATACTGCCATTGAGAAACTGCTGGGCTGTGGTGGAGGATTTTAGGAGCCTGGTGTACAGGAAGATGCGCCCCATCCTTAGTCCCTCCAGGAGGGAATATGACTGTTCCATTTGGGGTTTAGAGCATGGCTGGAAAAACAGCTGTCATGTGTTAGGGAAACTGTATTGTTGGTGGGCAGTCAGATACCTGCTAATGAATGGCAAGTTTGTTGTTGGAGAGATTTATAATGTGGGGGCAGGACCTTATTTCTAATCCAGAAACCCAGGTGTGAGTTGGCCCAAATAGTCCACTCTGCATGTGGGTCCCATAATGCCACTGCTATGAAAGCAAGGCTAGTGAGAAGCAAGTCCCCATACCACAGCGCAAGCTTTATTTATTATTGTTCGGATAAATGAAAAGAAGCAGTAGACTTACCCAATTTAGCAACCAAGATAGTTTTCAGTTATTAATGAGACATGTATAAAAGTAAGCAAAAGGAACTGGAAATGGGCTTTGTTAAGTCAATGTGCATGATTTTTTTTCCCCCTTAAATCATTGCTTAAGGGCTTCTGGCCCCTAGCTCAGGAATCCTGCCCAAAAATGCCAGATGTATTACACAGTCAAGTATTGCAATGTAAACACCACTCCGTGCCACGAGGCAGGGTGGTCCATCTCCTATTTAAGAAGAGTGCGAGATTGAGAGGATGGGGGGTGGGGGGGTAAACCCTCTGCTCTGTAGTGAGCCCAGTGGTGGTTGTGTCATTTGTGTTTTTGGCTGCACAGTCAAGATTTGAAACTACAAAACCCAGATAAACACATTGGAATGGCAAAGAATAGCAACTTGAATTGGGATGCCAAACAAATCAAGATGTGGCTTGGATAGTGTTGCTTCATTGGGTCAGATAAGTTTATAAAATGTGGGACAGAATGGAGGGTGGGGAGAGACAGGAAGAGCGCTCTTGTCACAGCAGCATCTTTAAGTTGCATGAGCATCCTGTTATTCATTTGCTGGTGGTTAAATGGAAAGGTGAGTGGAAGCGAGGCGGAGAGAGCCCGAGCCTCCAAGATGACCTCCTCCGTGAGAGGAAGCCCTCCCGGGTGGGTGCACCTTCCAAGCCTGGAAAAGCTGATGGGTTGCAAAGCCAGTCTGGTGTTCTGTGGCACTGAGGGATGTAGCCCACGATATGTTCTGAAGTAAATGGCTTTCCAGTTTTCTCCTGCTTTCTGCATTTCTGAAGTAAGAAGTCTGCTAATGATGATTGTTCGGAGCTGAGAAAGTCACTGGCACTTTGGGCCACCCTCCGGTATAACGTGTCGTACGATGCTGCCAGCAATGACAGGAAATTGGAGTACCCAAATATTACCTATCCTTCCAGATAGCCTAACATGAAGCAGCCCTGAGAGTGACTACACTCAGGGTTTTTAAAAATTAATACGAACATGTTTTGTGAGTTAGGAAGAAATAGGATTTCAGTTTGAATTTGCGGAATTGTTGAAATACCTGCGCCAATATTCTCCTGATTAAGAAATTTATTCTACAGAGTGATCTGAGAAAACGGCTTTAAGAAATAGTGATGATAAAAACAGGAATTTTGAGATGAAGGAAAATGTAGGCTTCTTGACTCCCTCTTTCTCCTCCCACCGCTGTTTTTTTTCCTTTTGTGAATTCTTCCACATTCCCACCCCCACTCCCTGATTTCCTCTGCTCCTTTACTGGGAAACCAGCAACCTTCACAAAATAGACTCAAACATCACACAGCCTCTTTTTAAATAGAGGCTTTCTAAGAGAAAATAACAAAAGAATTTTTCCTAGCTGCCTAAGAAATTCTTTCTTCTTACTTTATTTTCCTCATGAGATTTACACATTGTTGTAATAAGTAAAAAATGATAAATATGATACCATCATTTTGGTCTACACATGATCCAGAAAAAAAAATTGCACATGTTTAATACCTTGCTTAATTGCAAACAAAGCTTGCAATTTGAGAGAATTGGGATTAGGGCTAAATATCTATTAACTGCTCTTTCTAGAGATTTGGGGACTAGGATGACCCTTTTTTTTTTCTTTTTTTTTTTTAATAGGCTACAGTTTCACATGGCTCCCAAAAGAAATCTCTCTCCCTTTTTGTTTCCCACACCAATTGATTTATCATTTTGCTTGCAAGCAGATCCAGAATGTTAGGGCAAGAACACACTCACTTTTTTCTCGTAACTTTTTTGTTGCGGACCGAAACCAGTTGACTTGAATAAATTTTTCTGAGGCCTGAATGTAGCCAGCAACGTGGAAAAATCTTGCCATTCAGGGCCGTCTGAATGTACATTTCAGCCACACAGTAAGCTGCATTGGGAGGCGCTGGACTGCTAAATGCAACCATTTTTCGCAGCAGCGAGTTAGACAGGTGATTAGCATAATTAGCACCGAGCAGCTATACATATGGTAATGCTGAGTGTGTAAATGCCAGCTGCGGTGTAAAATTTATGTCAGGGGTCGGCAGGGCTGTGCGAAAGTATTGTGTTCCAGCTGCAGGTCAGGGCCGCCAAAGCTTACCTCCTTTTCTCTTGTTGGTGAATACGCCAAACAGAAGAGAAAGACAGAAATATAACAGATACGGCTTTGATGGGACAGCCCAGTTCTGTGCAAGAGGGACTGCTCTATAAAACACACACACTCACACACACTTGCAGAAATCCCATTACTTTCTGTAGAAATCGTGTGTGTACTTCATGCAGGGTCCAGATGAGTGGGGCCGGGATGGAGGTAGGTAAATGATTCCCTGGGAGGAAAAAATTCAGTCATTGAAGTTTTAAAAGGAGTTAAAAGTTCTGTTTTGTTTTTCTTCCCACCCATCCTTTTACCCCCCACACCATTCCCTCCACCACTCTCCTGCCCACATTGTCTTATTTCACATTAGATGGGGGGATATCCTTGCTGGATGGGATAGCATTGGTCCTTTAGAAGAGGAGGAACTAACCGTTCTGGAGGTGTTAGCCTTGAACAAAATATAAGGTTTCAGCAGTGCAACTCTTCCCAAACTGCTTGACTAGCTTTAGAAAGGGGCTAAAAAAAGCTTTTGTGGGCTTTTTGTTCTTCCTCTGGGTAGCTATACTTACTCGCCTACCTATACTTACTCCCCCTACCTCCACTGTCAGACCCACCAAATTCTTTATAGATTTAAAAAAAAAAAAAGAATCACATGGGTTTCTTGTTTGAAAGGATAGTCTTGAATGGCTCACATACTTTGAAATGCATGATGCGGGAATTTATTGCTATGATGAGTTTATACATTTTGCACTTGAGGTATTTTCTCTGCCACGCCCCCACCTCCACCCTTCCGTTTTTTGGTTGGTGGCTATAAGAAGTGGTGGTGTTGACAGAATATAGTTCACACCATGCTGACCCGGTGATGAAACTTCCTCACGGCACCAGGGGGTCCTTATGTACTGGCCCCTAATCCAGCTAATCCTGATGGCAACAAAATCATGAAAGTGGCCCCCAGTGACGTGAGTCTCCCTGCACAGATGCAGAGGGAAGGAACAGTGCAGGAGATAAATGAGGCCAGCGTGGTATTCACCGGAGGCCAGGGAGCCTGCGTGCGAAGGTGGAGACTCGCATTGTCTTCTCCCCCATGTCGGCTCAAGTGGGAGGCCAATGAAGAGAGGCCCAGGCTGGATAATGGCAAGAAGACTGTTCAGAGCTGAGAGGTGATGTCAGCCCCACAGAAGCTGAGAGAAGGAAACTGGGGTTAATGTTATGCAATGCCTTGAGTGCTGTGATGGAGAGCCTGCCGTGGAAGCACTTGGGTTTTGTTGTTGTTGTTGGGTTTCTTTCTGTTTCTATTTTTTTAATGAAGACTTCAGGAGGTTTCAACTAAGCTTGATGAAAACACGCTGTGTTGGTTCCTGGGTTCTGCTGCCTGCTGCTGCTGGAGTGTGGCCTCTGAGCCAGCGCGCGCTCGTCATCACACCTCTGGGCCCGCCCACTTCCTGCAGAGCGACGGGACCTGGGTGTGCATCTGCCTGCCTGTTGCGCTTGAGCGGCCTGGTTGCACCTGAGGTTGTGGTAGAACCTGGGACAGTTCCCAGCTTGGAAAGTACGCTGTTCCGGATGGAAGACATTTCCGCCTGTGCTCTGCAGGAAGTCAGCAACGTTCTTGGGCCTGTCTCAGGTGGCGCGGTGCACAGCCCTCATTTGCCAGTGTGGCAAGTAACCAATGAAGAAGGGGCCTCCTGGCAGATGCAGCGTCGTCTCGGGAACTCGTGGCTCCTTGGGAGCTGGTGGGAGCTGCGACAGGCAGCAGGTCCAGCGTGGGCAGAGTGCCGGGCTGACCTGATTGCATCTGACAGGGCGAGCAGGTCTGCGTCAGGGAAAGCCATTCAGAGGGAGCAGCCTGGGCAAGGCTGATAACAGATGGCACTGCCAGCAGCTGGTGGGGGCGGGGAAGCTTGCTTCCGGCGCATGCGCGTTGCAGAACCCCGCGCGAGCGCCTGCGCACTACCTGCGCCCAGCCTGCCACATGCCCCGTGCGGTCCCGTGCGGTTCCGTGGGCAGGTGGGGGTGTCCTTTTCTCGTTATGCTTTGGTGGTTGACCTCTCACTGGGCTCACTTCATGAAGGCACATTCTCTTTGGGCTGATTGTAGCGTTTTTCCCATGGCAACACGCAGGGGCACAATCTCATAAGGAAAAAAACGGCCCAGAAACTTGGACAGCGGTTGGCTCCTCCTGAATAAAAGAGATGGGTGGGAGAGGACTAAAATTCACAGCCCGTGAATTTTCAGCCAATTGCTCACATTACTGAATTTTCTTTTTTTTTTGTTTTTCGATTATAAAAAAGAGGCAGTGCTAATAATTTTGCAGTTACACCCGCTTAGAGATTTGTACTTTTTCGGCCTCACAGTAAGTAAATGCAACATTGAAAGGAGGACCTGAGCAACTAAAAGAAAAAGAAAATCTCTCTAGAGGCTGTTAGATAATTCATGGGATTAATCAAATGCAAATGCAACGCTTGCATATACACAGACCCTATTTTCCTAATTGGACTCTGAGTGGGTACTTTTCAGGCTGAAAGGGTCATTTGTTTTGACTGATTGACTTTTTGAGGCTTTGGGGGGAATTAATAACTTATACAGATGACTGCCTGTTCCCAAGGCTCTGTATTGAGACTGCGCATTCATTTATTCATTCAGCACACTTGGTGTGCCATGCCCCTGGTGCCCCTCTGCGTCCCTCACATACGGAGGTGCATGGGCAGGACTTGAATTTTGTGGAAAATAACTTCGGTTGGTCCCTCAGATCATCTTTATGTGGATCACAATAAGCTTTTGCTAAAAGGTTTTTGTGTGAATGACACAGAAGTTTCTTAAGCTCTGTGCAGAAGGCTGTGCTGAGGAGGGGCACAGCAGGGAAGCGTGATGAGGGAAACATCTCTTGTCTACAGTGGATTGGAATCATATTGGCCTAGAAGTATGGGCCTCTGGGTCAGCTGGCATCCCACCTGAGCTAGCTAGCCTTTCTTCACTTTGGAAAGTTAAGCCTGGCTTGATTTGGGGATGAGAGGATCAGCAGAGCTTGATCAAAAACTTATTTGCAGAAGTGATGCTTCTTTTGCCTTTCAAAGAATTGGCTTAAGCCTTGGATTTCTGGAGAATAAGATGGCAGAATTTGCAGGTAAAGAGGCTTAGGGCTGCATGTTCTCTGTGTGCCTTCATCTGCCCCCTCTAAGACAGGACTCTCTGGGGACCAGAAGGAAAATGAGGCCTGTCCACTGTGACCCAGGGAGCCCTACTGAAAAAAATGCATCTCCTCACTGGCTGAGAAAAGTCTTTGATGCAACATGGTTGTACTTTAAATAAAAATACGGATTATTGTCATATTTCACGCATTCTAAAATTCTAGCTGTGAGCGTAATACAGGTTGAGTATCCCTTATACAAAATGTTTGGGACCAGAAGTGTATGGGATTTTGGATTTTTTTAAGGGGGGGTGATATTCACACATAAGCATGATGAGAAAGCTTGAGGATGGGACCCAACTCTAAACATGAAATTTGTTTATGTTTCAACTACTTTATGCATCTAGCCTGAAGGGAATTTTATACGATATTTTAAGATAATTGTGTGCCTGAAACAATGTTGGTGTATATTGAACTGTCTGAAAGCAAAGATGTCACTATCTCAGCCACCCATGTGGACAATCTGGTTGTGTGGCATTCCCATCCTTCCTGACTTAAAATTTATATGCTGCCGATAAGCAATCATTTTCTTAAACTAATTCACACCTACGTACTTACCAGTAAAAAAACCACGACATTCCATTAATGCAGTGAAAAAAATAATGTGTTCAGGGTACCCAAGCAGCACAATAGCATCACCAGATACCTGCATCAGTGGCTAAACAACAGCAGCTTCCGGTCTCCACCTGCAATGCTGTGTTTTCACTGAGAGGTTACTGTACACCATGTTTTATTTTTTTAGGTGAGAAGAAACATCAGAAGCAGTTGAAGGATCAGGGAGTGGGTTGTGTAGGGGCGAGGAGACATCTGCTGGATGGCTTTTCAGAATGTTTCCTCCAGCATCACCGGCCTCATTAACAATAGTTTCTGTCTTAAGACGTCTCTCTTTGATTTTATGAATTGACATGATTTCCTGTTTGGTTGTGAATGCACGATGCGTTAGTTTTCAATAAGCCCATCACACATTTTTACCAGGTCTGCTATAGTTAACTTTTTGTGCAGTTGTAACATGTCATCTTCATGGTTGTGAGCCTGTTTTGACTGTGACTGATTACATGAGGTCAGATGTGGAATTTTCCACTTGGAGCATCATATTGGCACTCAGGAAGGTTTTGGAGCATTTGAGACCTTCAGATTAGGGATGCTCAACCTGTCTAGTGTGCTCTGTGGAATTTGGCACTCCTAGGCTACCTCCTGCTGTACTCATGTTCTCAGCTGGTGCTCAGAAACCATGAGGCTCGCAGGGTAGTTGGACTCTGGGTTAAAGGGTCAGTTCTGCCTCTTACTAATAAGGTGGGCAACCTTGGGCAAGCCACCCAAACTCTGCAGCTATGCCCCCTCCCCTGTAACATCAGGACAGTGAAACAATGCTCTGTGACAAAGGCATGGGTGAACTGACACTTGCTCCGCTCTTGGGTAAGGGTCTGGGAAATTTCACACACATTGTCAGCTAAGGCTCTCACAGTCCTGTGAGGTTCATCACAGCATTTGTTATCCCTGTTATCCTCAGCAACCAGGAAAGGTGGCTGAGGCTCAGCTGTGTCAGGGACTTGTCCTAGATCTCTCTGCCACTAGTGGCAATGCTGGGGTCTTCCGGTTTCCATTCTCACTGCCTGTCTGGTACAGCTGGCCCCAGCTTGATGGAGGAGCAGCAATGATCAAAATATTTCCAAAGACGTAAAGAATATGGTCTCAAAGGGCTTTGCAAATGGAAAGCACCACCCAAGTATAAAACGTTATTTTGTGTCTCAGGATCCTGAGATAATGATTTTTCTTGAGTCTTGTTCAGAGGGGTTGTTATTTTATTGTTAATATAAAAGGACTTCAGAATATGATGAAGATGCATATGATTATTTTTATAGTTTATTAGTATTATTGATACATAATACTGTATATATTTGTGGTGTACATGTGATGTTTTGATATAAGCATATGATGTGTAATGATCAGATGAGGGTAATTGGAATGTCCATCACCTCAAACACATTCATCATTTTTTTGTGTTGAGAACATTCTAAATCTTCTCTTCTAGCTATTTTGAAATATACAGTGTATTGTTGTTAACTGTAGTCTCCCTACTATGCTATGGAACACTAGAATGTATTCTTTCTACTTAACTGTATGTTGGTACTCATTAACCCACCTCTCTTCATTTCCCCTCTCATTCTTCCCAGCCTCTGATAACCCTCATTCTACTCTCTAAGTCCATCAGATTAATCTTTTTTACCTCTCATATATGAGTGAGTACAGAGATGCCTATTTTTTTTTGCATTGAGTTTGTTTTTAATTCATATCTCTACCAAGTAGCTCTCATATCTATCTTTCTTTTGTGTGTGTGTGTGTGTGTGTGTGTGTGTGTGTGTGTCACATAGAAGGTTTTGTTTTTCTGGGTTTTGTTTTGTTTTGAAGTGGGGTCTCATTCTATTGCCCAGGCTGGAGTGCAGTGACACAGTCACAGTGCACTGCACCCCCCAACTCCTGGGCTCAAGCGATCCTCACACTTCAGCCTCTGAAGTAGCTAGAACTAAAGGCAGCCTCCACTACTCCACAGCTATTTCTTTAACTTTTTATTTGTAGAGATAAATACGTTTATCTGTGTTGCCCAGGCTGGTCTCGACTCCTGGCCTTAAGTGATCCTTCCACCTTGGCCTCCCAAAGTGCTGGGATTACAGGCATGAGCCACCATGTCCAACCATAGAAGCTTTTAATTATACTCTTTCATTGTAGAAAAATTGATAGAAATAAACTCAAAAAAGCAAAGCGGGTAAATATTATCCATAGTCCGGCCAGGTGCAGTGGCTCACGCCTGTAATCCCAGCACTTTGGGAGGCCGAGGTGGGCGGATCACAAGGTCAGGAGATCGAGACCATCCTGGCTAACACAGTGAAACCCCATCTCTACTAAAAATACAAAAAAAATTAGCCAGGCCTGGTGGCGGGCGCCTGTAGTCCCAGCTACTTGGGAGGCTTAGGCAGGAGAATGGCGTGAACCCTGGAGGCAGAGCTTGCAGTGAGCTGAGATGGGGCCACTGCACTCCAGCCTGGGCGACAGAGCAAGACTCCGTCACAAAAAAAAAAAAAAAATTATCCATAGCCTACCACACAGCAAAAATGGCTATTAACTTGGTTCCCTATGCCTACATCTACATAACAGATACTAGATTTAATAGTTATTTTCTTCTGCACTATTTCACGAACATTAGATTATTTTAAAAATATGTTAGGACTTTGATCCTGACAGTGGAAAAAAGTCATGCCTGAAATCCCAGCACTTTGGGAGGCCAAGGCAGGAGGATTACTTAAGCTGAGGAGTTTGAGACCAGCTTGGGCAACATAGTGAGGCCCCCGTATCTACCCAAAAAAATGAAAAGTTAGCTGGGCATGGTGGTGTGTGCCTGTAGTTGGAGTTATCTGGGGTATTAGGGGAGGAGGATCGCTTAAGCCCAGGAGGTTGAGGCTGCGGTGAGCAGTGATTGTGCCACTGCACTCCAGCCTGGGCAACAGAGCAAGACCTTGTCTTTAAATAAAAGAAAAAGAAGGGGGAAACCTATTTCTCCAAGACCATGACCTTCATCTCAGTCATCTAAAATGGGTTCTGTGGGACTTCCTGAGCTCAAAGCTTCACACTTAGGGATGATAAGGAAGACAGCAAGATAATGAACAGCTTTCAGCTGTCATTCAGCAGTGATTTAGGATAGGCGTTTGCTAGGGTAGCAAATGTCAGACGAGTCAGTAAAATTGCTCTATCCTGAAGGGTTTCTGTTTCTGGCAGCTTGCTCCAGAGTGCCTTGGGTCAATACTGATGTCAGAATATATGAGTGTCGTGCACTTTATGACACAGTTATACCCGAGAGGGAGCTGATTCTACCAGTTCACATGGTGAATGACACAAGACTTAATTATGGTCTCACCAAGCTCCGCCACACTTGCCTCCCTTCTCTCCCTGCAACAAGCCAAACCTGAGGGCTTTGCAGTTGCTGGTTCTTCTACCCAGAACGCTGTTTCTCCAGCTCTTCAAAGTCACCTAAATGTTGTTTCCCTTTAGGTCTTCCCTGCTATCCCATTTGAAATATCTTTTCCCCTTCCCCACTACCCAACATGGCATCACCATCTTCGTTTTCTGCATCACACTTGTGCTATGAAGGTATCTTATTGTTTTGCTTGGCTGTTGCCTGTTCCCTTCACTGACCAGCATGCCTCTTGGAGAGAGACTACGCTGACTGGTTTCGTCCACCACATCCCCACTGCCTGGTCAAAGTACCCACCCACCCACCCACAAATGCTTGCTGGATGAATGAATCATGTTACAGCTATTGGTCAGATAAAATGGGTGGCAACTAAACTTCATTAACGTTTTTGAATCATTTTGCAAAACATTCATATTTGGTTAAATATAAGATGAAATATTAGATAAAATATAACCATATAATATGTAAAAGTGAATTGCATTTAATAGTATATATGGCATAGGTGGTTGAGAAAACCGTAGACTTCAGAGTCTCAACTCTAGTTGCTTGGCCACCCTATCATGATAGTCTTAGTTGAAACATCACATTGGCAAAATATTTGTGTTCATCATTAGAGCAAAGAGATGGGGGAGCGACAGGTTTTCCAATTCCAGAGAAAGGACAAATCTATACCTTTATTAAAATGTTTATGTAAATATACATCTTAAAACATCTAAAAAGGGGACATGATGGAGACCCTGAGGTACATTTTATATCTTGTAGAAAATAAATGCCATTTCTGAAACACCCTGTGATAAAATAACTGCTCCATTATGAGGTTGGTCTGGAAGAGTCTGGTAAAAATTTCTTAGCAGCACAAACTTTGTGTTTGGTTTTGCCATTTTTGTGCACACTGCACTCTCAGGTCACTTCGAGGATTATATAGTTAACAGGCGGCTGCTCTGCCAAGGCTCGAGGGGCAGAATCTTGCTGAAGCCAGGCTGTCTGTCATGGACTGCTCCTCACTATAACGGCACCTAGGTCACCATAATAAGGGTGGGGGGTGTGCTTTGTTGCTGCTGTTTTTTAATTTCATGGGTTTAAGTCACCTGATATGTTAAGCTTCAGTAAAGGTGCAGGAGGTGCAACTTTGTAATCAGAATGAAAAACCACGTGCATGCTGATGTTCGAGGAGGCAGTAACAATGGGAATGATTTCTGGGTTTGTGGCATTAGATGTGATAACACAAAGAAAGGGTGAGCAAAAGCTGCATTGAGCTCCTTGGTGGGCAGCTCTGCAGCTGTGACCTCTGGACTCATAACTGGCTTTTTAGCCTCATACAGCTTCTGCACTTCTAGGGGATGTGGGCTGGCTCAAATTCAGTTAATTGGTTGGAAGTCTGCGTGGTGTTAAGTACTGTGCTTTCTGCTAGAGTGAGCAAGCCCCTGCCTTCAGGCAGCTTTCCCAGGGCTTGCAGAAAAGGCCAGCCGAGTAGGTAGATGCTTCTCTGTGCAAGTTGTTTCCCAGTGTTTTCCTGTGATTTTTCCTTAACTTCACATTGATGGCAAGGCCCTCGGCAATGCCCCCTGGCATTTTTCAAAGTTTTCTGCACACAGAAGTCTTATTCCTTTTTATTAACCAACTGATATATTCCTCCCTCCTTCCCGACCCCACACGCAGTATGTTAAACCTCACCTCACGGAGCTCCTGGCCTTGGCATCCGCGTGGACCTGCACAGAGGGTCCTGCCAGGCGGTGAATTTGTACTGGTTTTCCTAATGAGGGCATTATTTGCTTTTTAGCCTGCCCCCTTGTTTATAAAATATGCCAAGAGAACTAAACAACCCGCTGTTCCCAGTCCTTATTTACTTGTCCAAACCAAATGTTTATGTCCTTGAATACTAAACTTGAAGAAAAAGGATTCCTCCTCGTGGGAAAGCTATGATCACTGAGTTTTTTTCTAAACTGTCGCTGCAGGCCTGCTTTTCAGTCAACATGCAACTTATCAATGACTTTAGGAACAATTCAGACCCGCTTCCTTTGCCCTAGACTGTGGAGTGGGGGAGCTCTAGGTTCCTGGGTCTGTAACTATTAGTATCTCCCTGAGACACCTCCCAGCCCAGGTGCAGCATTCGGAGCTTGGCTTGGCCCAGAACCGTTCATTGAACATAACCTTGGGCCTAAGGATGTAAAAAGGAGAGGAAGAGAAAAGGCATTTGGCAGTCACAGTGTTGATGGTTTTCTTTGGTCACCTGCTCCTGCGCTGGCTTTGGGCATACCCCGTGCTGGCCAGCTTGCTGGAAAGCTGGGTTGGTGTGAGGCAGGACTTCTCGGCCTGGGCAGCAGGTTCAGGGTCACCTGGGGTGCTTCCGGAAAACAGGCTGCTCACCCCCAGCTGACTGAGAACCTGGCACCTGTGTTTTCTGGATGCTGACCAGGTGCGTCTGATGGAACCAGGTTCCAGGGACTGCCCATGATGGCTGTGGCTGATACAGTTTGTTCCTCTCAATTGGGATTTCCCCATGGGCATCTGACTTGAATCACTTTATTTATCTTCTCCTGGCAAGTTTTGTGCTGAACACACACTGGCCACCTTTCCTTGTTTCTTTTTCCACAGAGGAGAAACATTTCCTTGTTACCTTTGCCAGTTTACTTAGGAGAAGAGTGTAAATTGAAGCCATTTATCTTGAAATCTGCTGCAGGGGCGCATTGTTTATACAAGTGAAAGAAATTGTAACAGGGTTATTTGGTCTGGTCTGCAAGGAAAAGGTGTCTCAAGTTTTCCTTTCTGCCCCCCACTTTCGTCACACAGTGTATTAGTTAGAATTAGGTTTGTGTCTGTGACAGGCGGGACAGCCATTAATGGGCTTAGTGAGTATTTTTTATGTTTACTATTGGTGAAGTTAACATTGCCATTAATAAAGTGAATGTTACTGCTCACACATCAGCCAGTCTCATGACTAGAGTTCATCTATTGTGTATCCTATGGCAGGTAGTCAGATAACAGATAAAACATGAGTTTGCAGTGATTTTGCTATTCTAATTAAACCTGTACATATTTGTCAGTTGGAGGACGAGTAAGTCGTGAATTAAATTATACTCGCCAGAAGATTGGAGAAGAGGCTATGTTTAATCCTCAACTCATGATACAGACCCCTAAAGAAGAAGGTGCTAATGTCCTGACCACAGAAGCGCTCCTACAACACCTGGACTCGGCACTCCAGGCCAGCCGTGTCCATGTATACATGTACAACAGGTAAGGCCCGCCGCGTCCACCTACTAATGAGCAGCAGGTAAGGCGGTGGGAGAAGGCTGCTGGTTTAGGCCCCGTTATTTTAGTAAATGAAGTTGCCCTGGAAATGCACCTGGAGTATTAGTTCAAATAGCTTTGCAATGAAAGGATTTTTTTCATCTTGATTTATCGTTTCTCGAGTTTGGTAACAAAGCAAGTGCATTACTTGATAATGTATTGCCAGTAAGTATCTTGGCACTGTCCCCAAAAGAGGATGACGCTGAGCCACTTGGGGACTATACACCCAGGCTGTAAGATGTTTCATTGCTTAAGAGATTTTTGGAGAGTGATATTTTGAATTGCCCTTGCTGAACTTAAAAACAATGCGAAAAAGAAGAGCTGCTTCTTGTGACTTTGTACTCTTAGTTGTTTTGTGTCACACAGCACGTTGGGGGCTGAGCCACCATGGGAATTGTTGCTGACACCTTTTTATTTATTTTTTTGAGACAGAGCCTCACTCTGTTGCCCAGGCTGGAGTGCAGTGATGTAATCTCGGCTCACTGCAACCTCTGCCTCCCGGGTTTAAGCGATTCTCATGCCTCAGCTTCCCAAGGAGCTGGGGCTAGAGGCGCCCACCACCACACCTGGCTAATTTTTGTATTTTCAGTAGAGATGGGGTTTCACCATTTTGGCCAGGCTAGTCTCGAACTCCTGACCTCAAGTGATCCGCCTGCCTCAGCCTCCCAAAGTGCTGGGGTTACAAGCGTGAGCCACCATGCCTGGCCCGCTGACACCTTTTTAAAAAGTCATGTTTTAGCATCGTATTGCTAATTTCACAATGCTGTGAGTAGAGTAAAGCATTAGGAAGAGTTCAAAACTCGGTCCTTTTTCTTATGTATCTAGACTGTTGGTTACTACAGGGCAGGGGCCACCTCTTGTCTGTTTTCACCCCAGCATTGAGAACAGAGTGGGCATTCAGTTTGTTGATTGCTTTTGAGGTTGGCATCACTAAACCCCATTTCCAGGGGACCTCTGAGTTGATGTCACCCAACCCCATCACCTCCCCTAGGCTTTCAGCACCTCTTCACTGAGGCCTTTGTTAGTACTGTTTATTTTTCCTGGAAGAGGTGAGGAAGTAGCAGTATAGGCATATTCAGCAGCCAGGGAGAACCAAAGAAGAGAATAAAATTAAGATTTTTCTTGTCCCTTCTCTAACCTCTGCTTACATTCCAGCTCGACAGGATCCTAGGGACAAGCACAGCCAGGGTCGAGTCACATGTCTTTGGCACATTCTTGTTTGTTTATCTGTAACCTGGGCTTATGGTCATGTGTGCTCGTATCCTTCATGGTTCCCAGAACAAGACCAGATACATGAATGCAAGGGCCTTAGAAAATGTAAAATCATGTTTCTGCCAGGCAAACTTGCCCTGTTGGTCTGTAACAAGTATTGTAGGGAAGCAACTACCTGGTACAGTTTTGCAGAATGTGAAGTGGCATCCCTGTGGGGAGCCAGGTTGTCCTGGGGCCACTGCAAGCATGGCCAATGCATTCTTAGTGTTTGTCACCTACATGCTTCAGGAGAAGATGTGAGGGTCTGTGCCATTAAATTACACTCTTAAGCTGAGATGGGTCCAGAGTAATTTTATGCATTGGAATGAACTTTAAGAACATGTAGTTCAACCCATCCCATGTTTTAGGTGAGAAAACTGGGAATTAGACTAATTAGAGCATTTGTCCAAGTTCATGCAGTTATGAAATGAGAGAGCCAGGTTTCAAAGCCTTTTTCTGGCTTCAAGCCCATTCATTTTTCTAATGCACAATGATGTCCTTCTCAAGTGTAAATGAGAGTTGATCAAGTAATATAAAGTGAGAACCTACTCATGCCGGATAGTCTATGTTGATGCTGTATAGAATTAAAATATAAATATGTCCATGGATGTGTGGCTAGGTGGAGGATGGCGGAGATATGGGTAAGTTAGGCACAGCTCTCAAAGAGAGGAAAGACATCAGTATAGATAGACATGGACAAAGGAAACGTGGGCGGTCCCCATGACAGCTGCGCCAGGTTTCAGCAGGAGATCTGCCCAGCCAGGGCTCTAGAGTTCAGGAGAAGGGGGTCATTTTCAACAAGCTTAACATGGGGGTGACATTTCAACAGGGCGCTGAGAGACAGGAAGGCACAGGGAAGAGGACACAGTAAGCTCCTTGGGTGAAGACAGGCCTCCCTTAGGAGGCCAAGAATAGAGCAGTTGGGAGGGAAGTTTTTACTGTGTTTCTTTCTTTTTTTTTTTTTTTTTTCCTTCCCTTGGACTTTTCCATCCCCACTCTTCCAGATTTTCTTTTTTTTTTCGTTAGACTGATCTCCCTAACACACCTGGAAAGATATGGGCTTATATAACACTTTTCTAGAGACAATAAAACTCCCGATTAATTCTTTTTTTTTTGAGAGATAGGGTCTTGCTTATCTAGGCTGGAGTGCAGTGGAGCAATCACAGCTTACTGCAGCCTCGAACTCCTGGGCTCAAGTGATCCTCCACCTCTGCCTCCCGAGTAGCTGGGACTATATATGTGTGGCACCACGCCTGGCAATTTTTTTTTTCATTTTTTTGTAGAGATAGAGTCACTCTCTGTCACCCAGGCTGGAGGGCAGTGGCATAATCACAGCTCACTGCCTCAGCCTTCCAGGATCAAGTAATTTTCTTGTCTGTATAGCTGAGATGACAGGCATGCACCACTGCGCCCAGCTAATTTTTAAAGTTTATTTATTTATTTATTCATTCATTCATTTCATTCATTCATTATAGAGATAGGGTCTCACTTTGCTGCCCAGGCTGATTTCAAACTCCTGGCTTCACGCTGTCCTCCTGCCTGCACCTCCCAAAGTGCTGGGATTACAGGCGTGAGCTGCAGCACCCAGCACTAAATTAATTCTTGATCTGTATATTTATTCACATTTCTGTAAGATAGGAATAGAAGAGACTGTGAAGTTAGAATTTGACCCACCTGGCACATGTTGTTGTTTATAATATTAATGGTTAAGAGCAGGAGAGTTCATTTTGAATACTACCTATTAAGGACATGATCTGCCAGTAAAACATCTCCGCACCTGAGTATGTGTCAATACTTTGCAAACCTAATTTAATCCCCGCCTATTTTGAATTTATGATAATTCAGCTGGGCTGCCCTGAAGTTGTTTAATGTATGTAGAAAAGCAGATTAATGGTGTAAACAAGATTATTGGGAGAACACTTAAGAAAACAAGACTTTTCAAGTACTTTGGTAGCATTCATTTACATAAACACCCTACATGTTAATTACGATTGAGTATTATCTATTCATTAAAGCAAGCTTGCTGGGTCTCTACTTGGCAAAAGCTCTGCTCGTTTTGACAGATGCTTAAAAGTGATCGAAATTGCAGTTCTTTTTATATGTTCTATCATTTCGAATTTGCACTAATTTTCTTATTACAGTGAGAAATTTTTGTCTCTGCTTTTCATTTTATTAGGCAGTGGAAATTGGAACATTTGTGTTACAAATCAGGAGAGCTTATCACAGAAACAGGTTACATGGATCAGGTATATTTTCTTCTTGTTGGCAAAAATTTCTCAGGAACACCCCAGTAGTGTGCCTTAACCTAACGCATGGCCTCTTCTTTTTAACTTTGACAGATAATAGAATATCTTTACCCTTGTTTGATTATTACACCTTTGGACTGCTTCTGGGAAGGGGCGAAATTACAGTCTGGGACAGCATACCTCCTGTAAGTGTGTGATCATGCTTTCTGATGTCTGTGACTTCTCTAGGACTCAGTGTTTCTAATGTTGCTTATCATTGTTTGTTCCATTTCAGTTTTGAACAAGAAATAAAAACATTGAAATTCCATGTGCATTTTTTGAGTGAATAGTCGGGGGAGAGGGGATTTCAGCAGAATGTTTTTTCTCTTTTCAAAAAACAATTCTGTAGGCGTCATTAAATTTCATTCACTTTTACCAACCTATTTATATGCAAATAAAATGCAAATTATTGCAGAGTACGTGTGATTTTTTAACTCTTTAAAATGTTCGTAGTTTCGAAGACGAGGCATTTAGACACTTATTTTTTAAGGAGAGACTTTATTAGTGAGTGGGTTCACATCAGAATGAAATATTTTGAGTTTGAGATCTTCCTGTGAAGTAAAAAGCTAACCTTTCTTTAGATCACACTAATGGCATTTAAGGGGGAAATCCACTATCTGTGAAGGCCACAGTAGGGAATGTTTCACCGTTTAGCAGTTGGATATTATATATACCGCATCATTTAGAGAATAATTGTTAATCAGCATAGACATTTTCAGTTAATTATGCAAGAGTGAGAGCTTGGGTTATTGTTTCTGTCCTGGCTTGCACATATCTGCAAAAGCAATTTGCAGTGGCCATCCCCTGACCTTCAGTGTACAGTTTTAGATGGGAAATAAGGGGTTTTGTGTTTTCTGGTTGGGAGATTCCGAATAATGACTTCAGCCTGGTTAAGCAGCTACAGTGTGGTTTGAACCACATAACAGGCAGCCAAAAGCCTTTCTGGTCTGTCAACAGCACAGATTCAAAAGTGAGTGTGGGGGGAAGTGGCTGTGATGGTGGTGATGGCAGAGGCTGCAGGGGGCTTGCCCATTCCATTGCCAGGCTGTCAGAGAGCGCTCATAAGTATGGGATTGTTAAAGGTAGCAGAGATCAAATATTTTGATTGATGACATTTACAAAGTATTTATTTGGCTGCCAAGTGCTAATTTGATATTGTGACGCCCTCTTTTTTAAAAAAAAAAAAATTTAATTTTGGATCTGTCTTTTTGGCTAATTTTGTATGTAGATATTAAATATACAATATCAGCAATTAAAGATTATTCAGTGCCCTCATTAACTTATGAGTCCTCTCTCTGCTTAGCATCTTCAGTCATGAATTATTTTCCTGACCTAAGTTTTTATGCAGATATGCTGGAAAGGAGCATTTGTTTTGATGCCAGAGTCCCAGAACTGCAGCATTGCCAGGAACCTCCTACAAGGTGGATGCAGTGGGCGCAGCCGTGTTACTTTACGATGCGTTTAGAAGGCTCTTTTCATGGTCTCGTCTCCTAATTTCTTTTGCAGAGGTAAACCTCCTTTGCGGTGGACAAACTTCGACCCTTTGGAATTCCTGGAAGAGTTAAAGAAAATAAACTATCAAGTGGACAGCTGGGAGGAAATGCTGAATAAGGCTGAGGTTGGTCATGGTTACATGGACCGCCCCTGCCTCAATCCGGCCGATCCAGACTGCCCCGCCACAGCCCCCAACAAAAATTCAACCAAAGTGAGTACCAGCAGTGAGCGCTCTCAGAAGGGTGGAGAGCAAAACACTTTTTTGTGTCCATTCATCGTTCACTTTATTATTTTCATTTTTAACATTTCATTCTCCATGATCGTCTTTGTCTATGGAACTAAGTTTATTTATAGAGCTAAATTTTGCTGTAAGATTTGCCATACACCTCCCATTAGCCTTGCTATTAATGTTCTCTCTGAAACACACAAGCCCTTAATGCACTGGATTTTAACAAGGCATGTGACCTGCCTACTAATTCCCATAATTATGTGGCTGTCTTTTTATTTTAGCCTCTTGATATGGCCCTTGTTTTGAATGGTGGATGTCATGGCTTATCCAGAAAGTATATGCACTGGCAGGAGGAGTTGATTGTGGGTGGCACAGTCAAGAACAGCACTGGAAAACTCGTCAGGTAAGCCAGCTCCCGAGGACAATCTATGCCCTGTAGTCTTCTTCCTTTCCTCAAAAGCCACTTCCCTCCTGACATCGGCAAGTGTATTTGTATTAATACTTAAACCGTTATCCTCGCTAGCCAGGTGGCGTCATAGAATATTAAGAAATAGTAGCAGACTGCAACAGCTTGAAAAAGCACCTTGTGGGGAATTTTTCAAGAATGGATTTGTAGTTTTCATCAGGACCATAGTTCCTGACTATAGGGTTTAAGGAGATCTGCCCATTAGGTAGAGAATGGGAGCAGGTGTAAAGTAGGCCGGGACACACTGGTCAGAGAGAGTTGGTGGTGCGAGCTGCACAGTGTCATAGACTGTTAGCAAAAGATGGAGAGCCAGCGGCTCAATAAGAATTATCCTTTGTGCACTTGTGGACTCTGGTCAGTCAGGTGTCTGGCGTTTCGTGTAAGATTTCTCCCTTGGGAACGCCACCGTCTGGGATTTCTGCACAGCAAGTATGCGTCACTGAGCCCGGTGTATCTGTTCAAGCTATCTGCTCCTCTCCCCTTCCTGTTTCATGGAATGGAAACTGTGAAAGGAAATTGCCTATTAATTTAATTTTGGGGTATATCTGTAAAAGGTTTGTAAGGTTATACCTTTAATATGGTACATCAATCTATTAAATAAAATAACCATCCTGGTCCCATTTTAATGGAAACATGTGCTCACAGAGAAGGAAAAGAATTGCAGCCAGTGAGTTGGGGGAGCTGGCTGGGGATTTGAGGCAGTGGAAACTGCTTCCTGGGAATACTGATGATGTGCCTTCCCTTGGACTGTGCTGCAGCGCCCATGCCCTGCAGACCATGTTCCAGTTAATGACTCCCAAGCAAATGTACGAGCACTTCAAGGGGTACGAGTATGTCTCACACATCAACTGGAACGAGGACAAAGCGGCAGCCATCCTGGAGGCCTGGCAGAGGACATATGTGGAGGTAAACCCACCTTCGAATCGGCGTGCAGACTCGCTGGTTATGCAATTCTTCATTTTCACCATTATTTAAAACATTTCTTTCCATTCGCTTTATTTTCAAAACATTGCAATTCTGGGAACTTGATGGGATGAAAACTTTTTTCCTCTTCTTTGATATTGAAAATCCTGGGATAATATCTAAAAGACTAGTTCTAATTGGGGTGCCCTGAGACATGTTTAGTAACCAGTTGTGAATTCCAGAACTAAAGCACATAACAGTGTTTAAAAAAACACTTGGTTAGCAAAGGTGTCTGGAAAACATTAGCAAGGCATAGAATCTGTTCACAGCTGCAGGCCCCTTGGTCAGGTCATGTGACAGGAGCTGGCCTTTGTTTCCCAAGCAGTGACCTCTACTGAGCTGCATGTGACCTTTTAAAAGTGGCCAGCAAATGAACAGGGGGAGGAGGGCCATAAGAATGAGTTGTTTTGGATTAGTGGGGAGCCGATGGGACCGCAAGTCAATTGTGAAGTTAACGGAGAAGAGACGAGCAGTCTCAGCCCTGGAGTAAATACAGCACTCAGAGTGAACTCCAGCGACACCAGCCCTCAGCAGCACCCACTGCCACTGATTAGCCATGGCCCTTGTCCTAAAACAGGGTTCTTTAATGTTAGCCCAACTTCAGCTTCTCTCCCTGCCCTGGAATCACGTAGAACTTTTTTAAAAAATGCATCAGAAAAAAAGAAGGGCTGCGCTGTGTCACCTGAGATCTGTGCTGTCGAGGCTTGTGGAAGTGTTCATTGCATTTGGGCATTTCGCATTCTGTTGTGACCACAGGTGGTTCATCAGAGTGTCGCACAGAACTCCACTCAAAAGGTGCTTTCCTTCACCACCACGACCCTGGACGACATCCTGAAATCCTTCTCTGACGTCAGTGTCATCCGCGTGGCCAGCGGCTACTTACTCATGGTAACGCTCGATGCCATGCTCCTGGGGGCTGGAGTTTGGTTTGGTTGTTTTAGTCTTTACTTTTCCATGACTGCTCCTGCTTCTTAACTGCTCTTAACATCGATGTGCATCCAGGACAGAGAGAGCGTGGCTTCACAGTGGTTTAAAAGTGGTCGTGTAAAGCATTTTTCCCATTTGCCGTTTGCCTACCTTTGACTCCTGTCATTTTATGTGACGCCCTTGATGTAAAGTTTTGTTGTTGTTGGATAAGTTCTGCCTTTTGATTTGGGGTGATGGGTGGAGGGAAACATTAGAATCACAACACATTCTAATGTTCGGCTTTTGTTCTGTGCCCCCATTGTTCTGCTTGCAGCTCGCCTATGCCTGTCTAACCATGCTGCGCTGGGACTGCTCCAAGTCCCAGGGTGCCGTGGGGCTGGCTGGCGTCCTGCTGGTTGCACTGTCAGTGGCTGCAGGACTGGGCCTGTGCTCATTGATCGGAATTTCCTTTAACGCTGCAACAACTCAGGTACTAAAGGAGCCATTTATCTGCTGTCCGTTGACAAATGCCACCCGGCCCCCAGGCTTGGCCCAGCCAGCCTCCTGTGTGCTGTGTGTCCTTCTCACCGGAAGGGTCTTGCAGCCTTTTCCACTAGGATGCTACTGGTTTCAGGGGAATGCTGTCTCTTGATGCTGTCCGCCCTCAGGGAAGTGGGTAGGAAGTCTGTTGGGCTTATTGGTTAGTAGAGACACTTGGCTGATAGGAATGTATGTCATTGACCAGGGTTGTGGCTCTTCAGCTCTGGTGGGCATTTGCATGGCTTGCAGGGCTTGTGAAAGCTCCGATTGCCAGGCCCCACCCCCAGAGTTTCTCAGTAAGTCTGGGGCCGGGGCTGAGAATGTGCACTTCAGGGCAATTCCCAGTGATGCTGGTCCATGGGCCACACTCTGCCAATCATTGCTTAAATGAGTTGGATTCCTTCTCATTTACTAGCTTAAAAAATGATAGTACACTGACTTTCGAAGTAGAAACGTGCAGGATCTCCTGTGAGCTGAAATGGCTAGGCTTTGGGACGTCAAGTGAATTCTTCACCATGAGGTTACGGAAGCCCTGCTTCAGGAGCTGTTAGGTGCTGGTGGCAGAGTCCTAACTAGCTTTAGAATCATCTGAATTGCATCTCGCATGTCTAATGCCACCATCCTCTGTTTTTGCTGTAGGTTTTGCCATTTCTCGCTCTTGGTGTTGGTGTGGATGATGTTTTTCTTCTGGCCCACGCCTTCAGTGAAACAGGACAGAATAAAAGAATCCCTTTTGAGGTAATGCAAAAACAAAAGAAGAGAGCTTTGGGGACATCACAGCTTCCTCTGTTCCTAAGTATTTGTCCTTTAATTTTCCTCAGTCTGACCCAGTAAAGATTTCAGTCCCATGTCAGATGATGTGTCACTGGCTGCCAGTCAATGAAATAAGCTGGAAGACTCTCAGGACATGTATTTGCTATGAGAAGTCCCAAGAGCTGCATCTCGGGTGCCTTTAGGAATACGGGTGTTTGTTTTAATGTGACACTTTATCCCTAACTGCCATACATTCCCAGAGCCTGCATTTGCTTCTCTGGAGATGTCTGTCACTTAGCCATCACCTCCCTCCACTCCCTTTTAAAATTATACTTAAGCGTTAAGTCATTATCTTGCAGCTTTCTTCTCTGGATGGTAATAACCATGAAGAATTGATGACTCTGTAGATGGTACTGAATAATGCTGGTGTTAGGGGGTAAGGCAGGTGGCTCTGTTTCCCTAATGCCAGCATGATAAGCTGTAATAACAGTTGTGTTATTCTGCCACGTATCTGCTCACACAGTCTGTGCTCCAAGGGGACCATGTCCAGTGCAGCTCTCAGCGCTGTGTTTTTTTATTCCCAGGACAGGACCGGGGAGTGCCTGAAGCGCACAGGAGCCAGCGTGGCCCTCACGTCCATCAGCAATGTCACAGCCTTCTTCATGGCCGCGTTAATCCCAATTCCCGCTCTGCGGGCGTTCTCCCTCCAGGTGAGCTTCTGGTGATGAAGGCTGTGGTGATCCTGAACGGGGCACTGACTTCCAGCATCCCATGTCTGCGGTCTCTGCTAAGGCACTTCAGTTACTTATGAAGTGAAATAGAAATGCCTGTGTTTGAGGCTCTGTTTAACTGGGTGGATGCTGCTTTAAGCTTATAACCCTGACACTCCCTCTAAAAAACTAAGCCCTTCTGGAGTTTTTCCTTCCTTTCTAGCCCTATGAAGCCCAGACGTCTGTTGCCTTATAGAGTGGCCATGTCCTTTATGCATGGCTTTCGGGGCTACTCCATGTTGCCCTCTGGGGTCACCAGCGCTGCAGCCAGCTTCTGGGCCATCCCCTGCTTCCAAACACCACTCCCAGTACCTGCACTTACCCCCTCTCCCGCTGCCCACTTGATCCCAAACAGGCTACCTTTTCTTTCGCTTTTGCCAAAGCACCCCCAACCCAAGACAGTATTAAGCTGAGGTCGCATGTCAGACGGCACTGCAGGACCGCGAACTGGCGAGGCTCTGTGGAGAATTTCCTGCAGGGTCCGCCTCGGTGGGCCCTTTCTTTCCACCTCCCTTTCCTAAGTTGGCCGCCACAATCTTTCCTGTCCCCTCTTCTCTTTCCTTTTGGTCCCCTGCTCCCCTCTCAGGCTGCCCAAGCAGACTCATGATCCCTCTCACCTTCCCATGCAGAGCACGTGGGCCCCTCGTGACTTGTCCTCTCCTTCCAGACCAGGCCCCGTCACCCCCAGAGGCCGTCAGGGTATTTTCTAATCCAGACTCAGCTTCTGTGAATTGTAAGCATGGACAGTTCCCTGGGATGGGGATAGAGCTGTAGTCCGTTCTGCGCCTGGAGTAAATTACTGACGTTGCCCTTGAGCTACCTGAAATTCATAGGAATCCTAAAATTAGTTACTGCAGCCAGTAAAGCAGAGACTTCACCAGTTTGTGCCATGGTCTTCCTGAGCGCAAAGTGGCCTGGAGTTTTGATATCTCAAGATGTTGTGGGGGTTTTGTGAATTAATTTCAAATTTCAAAACCTCAATTGTTTCCCCTTTCTTTCTCTGTGATGATATGATGTCTAATTCTCAAGCTGGCCAGGTTGTTAAAGGAAATGACTTCTGTGTCACTTTTTCACTTGTTGTTAGGATGCCCGGCACACTCACACAGCTTTACTCTACTCACCAAGAGTTCCTGCAGATGCGAGCAGGAAGAGAAATTGACCAGTCTTGCATCTGGTTTCTGTTTATATTTTGTCAATATGTTTAGCTCTTTCCTAGTCTTTCCATTTGTCATGTAAGAGGAACCAATCAATCACGTATTTGAATGTCATTTCGCTAGTAACCAAGAGGCCTGGGCAACTACTGATCCTACTGGGTTTGGGAATGGAGGCATCTTTAGTATTTAGTGTGAGGCACAGCTGGAGAAAAGATTCTATGCCAATTACCGTAACCGCCAGCCCCAAAAGAAACATAAAAAGAAAAGAAAACAGGGTTTATTTATATTATAAATTTATATAGAAGTAAAAATAGTGAATCAATGAATAACGTTCAGATCTGATGCTCGAACCAAAGCACAGGACAAGGAAACTCTCTCTGATTGCTCAGTGGCATGAAAGGTGAACCAGACTCGCAGTGCAGCTGAAGTTGTAGAATGCCTTTGTGCGCAGGTGTGTGTCTGCTCAGCACCCTGTGGTACCCCAGTCTCATTTCACGTGCAGCCGGTGCTGGTATTGAGAAACTGTTCTAGAGTCTTTTAGTCATGGGACCCTGTCTGCCCATTCTCTCTCCTCTCCCCTTCTTTTCTGCTTGCCTTTTTGCTCACTGTCTTTCTGTATCTGCTCATACTCCTTCTTTTCTTCTTTTCTCTCTCATTCTCTCCTCTCCTCTCTTAGTACATACTGATGGCTCATCGAGGCCGACTCTCCTTTAATGATACCCTGTGGTGTGGTGGTCTGAAAAGCTACATGAGGTTTCCTTACGAGGAGTAGCCTTGTAGAAAATCCAGTGCGCTAAATTCTCCCAAGGTAAGCACCTTACAGAGACAAAAATGAGTACTGTTGGTTTTTGTGTTTCTGTTTCAAAGCACCACAGTATCACTGTAGAAAATTGCAACTATAGCTTCCAAGAGTCCTCATCTTACTGAAGAATACCTCCTCATGACACTGGTTAATTCTCTGTCAAAAGAAAAAAGGAGTGCTTCGCACGGTGGCTCACGCCTGTAATCCCAGCACTTTGGGAGGCCGAGACGGGTGGATCACGAGGTCAGGAGATCGAGACCATCCTGGCCAACATGGTGAAACCCCGTCTCTACTAAAAATACAAAATTTGCCGGGCGCGGTGGCTCACGCCTGTAATCCCAGCTACTCGGGAGGCTGAGGCAGGAGAATCGCTTGAACCCGGGAGGCGGAGGTTGCGGTGAGCTGAGATCGTGCTATTGCACTCCAGCCTGGGTGACAGAACAAGACTCTGTCTCAAAAAAAAAAAAAAAAAAAATAGGATAGAAAATGCAAAGAAAAGAGAGAGTGTGCAATGATTTTTGCAGTGGCCATCAGAAAATTTTCCCTGGTTCTCTTTTAAATGTATTGACCCTCAAAATTGGCCATTATGTAGCTTCTCTTTCCATTGATGAACAGTATCAGGTTTGACTCTGGGTGTTCAGTTGTGTTTATATTTGCAAGATGCTACAGATTAAACATCAAAAGGGAGTGACCCAAGGCGGTTCTGTCCAATAGTAAACCTGCGTTACCTTCAGAATTTTCCATATAAAACTCCTCCAATTTTGTAGCCTGACCAAATAATTAGATATTTTTTTCCACAAGGAAACTGTCTTAAACCTCATCAGCCTTTATCCATCTGCCTAAATGCCATCTCTACACCAGAAATCACTGGCATCAGCTGTAATTCTTTGTAATTAACTAGGGCTTGCTGGTAGCCCAGTAGTGTTTATTCTTCAATGAAAACTCACAGAACAGAACCCCTTGTTGTTCTGTCTGGTCTAGGAGGGTTCAAGTGGAACCTCCTCTGCATGTGTCCCAGCCTTAGCTGCTTTGAGGGGATGGGGCATTTCCTATGAGTACAATAACTAGAATTGATTCACAGTTGCAGTATCATCCCCATCATCTTCTCTGGTTTACTTACACTCTCTTGCCTTTGCGACAACCCTTCTTGCTTTCTGAGCAGCCCTTGCTGGTTGTTTTACTATTTTGGTGTACACCTGGGGACCTGGCACTGAGAAAATACTCCGCCATACATGTAGTAGGTTATGAGAAAGTCAGTAAGATGGGACGCTGCTTGGGGTTCTTCCCTCATCCCTTCATTTCCGTCATGGACACGGAGCAAGGTGCCCAGCAGGCTTCTCTGACCGATGAGGCCGGCTGGTGCCCATGCCTGTGCCCGTGGGGCTCCCTGTGTCACGAACCTCTGCTCTCCTCATCCTCATGAACACCTGTCCAAATTGGGATGCCCAGGGTCTCTTCTCTACATTCCACTCCTCCATTCTAAACATGACTGATTTTAAAAGCTAAAAGGATTCGGCCCCCAGGATGACATCTGGAAAATCTCCGTTAGAATCCTACCTGTTCTTCCTGCCATCCCCTGCTGTCTCACGGTCAGGTGTCCTAACCCCGTCCACAGACGTCCTCTCAGTAAGGGACCAGATCTCACAAAACTCCCGGTTCTCAGCTGAGCTAGGGGCTTGGCATCAAGTCTTTGTTTGATCTGATTTACTGGATAACCTCAGGCAGGTGACTTGACCGCACTTCGGGGACTTTATCAGGTAATACTGTCAAGAGCAGTGAGAACCTCCTGTTTGCTATGAATCAGGTATGAACGATCTGATCTTCATAGCTTCTCCTTTCTCTTCCCCAAAGTGAATTTCAAACCCCAGCAGTACTGAGGTGCTTGAGCCAGGTGTCTCCTCTTGCACACTCTGTGTTTTTTTCACAGGGAGCACCTGCCATTCCCCTGCTCCTGACTGATCTCTTTTGCTTTTCTTTTTTGAGACGGAGTCTCACTCTTGTTGCCCAGGCTGGAGTGCAATGGTGCGATCTCGGCTCACCACAACTTCTGCCTCCTGGGTTCAAGCAGTTCTCCTGCCTCAGCCTCCCGAGTAGCTGGGATTACAGGCATGCGCCACCACGCCTGGCTAACTTTGTGTTTTTAGTAGAGATGGGTTTCTCCATGTTGGTCAGGCTGGTCTCGAACTCCAACCTCAGGTGATCTGCCCGCCTCGGCCTCCCACAGTGCTGGGATTACAGGCATGAGCCACTGTGCCCGGCCCTCTTTTTCATCTTATAAACCCTGCTGAAGCCTCTCCCGGGAAGCCTGCCTTGACTGACCACCCCTCCACCCCACTGAGCTGCTCTGCAGCCTGACACCTGCCTTCATGACGCCATCCATCATTCGAGATTGTCATTTGTGTATAGGTCTGGCTCTGTGAGAATTGAGAGTAGGATTTTGTCTTATTTATCTTTGTGTCTCCAGCACCCAGCACAGTACTAGACTTTTCTTTTTAAAAGATCTCTCTCTTTCTCAGGTAAATTCTCTTGTCACAGTGGTGATGAGCTTATTTGTGTAGGTCTATCAGACAGGTCTTAAATACATTAGAGTGGTAAGCTAACATGCTTCATATTTTTCAGTTGATGAAGGATTTTCAAGATAGACCAAGAAGAAAGAGGTTAGGTAGTTTTTAGAAGAACGCTCTTGAGAGGGAATTAATTATTGGAAGACATCTCTCCGGAACTCAGGCTTGCTGGTTCACCTTCAGCATAAACTCACAATTCCCATCCAAAGCCCTTTGTGGAAGTTCTCCCTGGATTGTGTTAGGTGGCAGTTATAGCCAGGTTTTCTTTCCTCACCCTAGGACGTTTATCAGTTTGAGATTTGTGAACTAAGCAGTTCTTTGAGAAGCCTCGTTTTTTATTTTCTTTCTTTCTTTCTTTCTTTTTTTTTTTTGAGACAGACTCTCACTCTGTCACCCAGGCTGGAGTGCAGTGGTGCAATCTTGGCTCACTGCAACCTCCATCTCCCAGGTTCAAGCAATTCTCCTGCCTCAGCCTCCCAAGTAGCTGGGACTACAGGCATGTGCCACCACACTCAACTAATTTTTTGTGTGTTTTTAGTAGAGACGGGGTTTCACCGTGTTAGCCAGGATAGTCTTGATCAGGAGATCCCTGACCCCGTGATCCACCCACCTCAGCCTCGCAAAGTGCTGGGATTATAGGCGTGAGCCACCGCGCCTGGCCTCGTTTTTTATTTTCAAAGCCATGTCTGGCAATTTCCTGGCTCCTCAGCATTGCCAGTGCTTTTCTCTGTGGTGCCCCTTCTGCCGTGCCCTTCCGAGCTGGGTCGACTTCCACCGGCTTCTGTTGGCTTCCCCTATTAACAGCCCAATTTTGTAATTTTTACTAGGTCAGCAGAAGATTTGCCAACGCACTGCAGAATTTAGCCCTGTGTTTATTCTAGGTTATGGAGTGACTTTTGAATCTGTACTTATTTATTCTGCGTACTATAATCACACACAGGAATTTCTTTCTGCTTAACTCTCCTTGACCTTTTATGTTTCTTGCTCTCACACCCCACAGGCTACTCCAGAGGCAATTTGGAATGTGCCTATTAAAACCTCAGGGGACACGTGTGAAATTGTATTTCACGTTTTAAAGGGGGACATTTTGATATACTCGATCCACTTTATATAAAAATGTTTAACTGTAAAATCAGGGTCGCGTGACCTCTTGGAAGCATTCTGGAAGGGAACTGCTTCTGTTTGTTTTAAATTCTATCTCGAGTGTGCTCTCTGTTCTGCCTTTGTGGATTTGGTTTGGTTAGGTTACTAGCAACACGTTAGTAGTTTAGTTCCCAGGTTTGTGCCTTATCGGTTTATGGAATTATTAGAGATAGAAAGGCCCAGAAACAGTCAAGACTATTCCTATCAAATAGGCTCTTGATGATGTAGCAAAAGAAACTCTTAACATCTGTCACGGTTTCAAATGCTTCAAGAGGAAAGGGAAAGAAAAATATTGTTTAAAAGCATCTTTATTTTCGAAGCAGTCCTCTGATTGGGCGGAGGCATGTTGGTGACCTCTGAATTTTTTTTCTGCTCCCAGGCAGCGGTAGTAGTGGTGTTCAATTTTGCCATGGTTCTGCTCATTTTTCCTGCAATTCTCAGCATGGATTTATATCGACGCGAGGACAGGAGACTGGATATTTTCTGCTGTTTTACAAGGTACATTTTCAGACTGCTGTGGCCTTTTGATTGGGTGCAGAATGGTGCTGTGAGAGAACTCTTTCAGCCTGTGGACTTATAAAGGAATGTGGGTAACGGGGTTTGTGCTGGTGTGGAGAACGTAGGGGAGAGATTGGACAGAGGCTGCTTCCCTAGGGGGACATCAGAGTCCCTGGGCTTCCTTCTCCCCTGCCGCAGCTGAACAGTCTCACAGCCCTCAAGATGCTGGTTCCGATGACCCCTTTTTCCATCATGAACTGATGTTGCCGATTGTAGGAATGTTTCATATCTCTGCATTAGAGCAGAACAAGATTGAAAAACACCCATCTAGAAAATATATAGTCCTTTGATGGTGGTTTGGTTTTGTTTGGAATTGTGCTTTGAAGGATTCATCATCATGGAACTTGCTTTTGAAAGCCAAATTTAGGATCAGTCCTCCATGTGGCCTCCTCAGACTGACTTTTATCTAGTTCACCAGGCGATGAACCAGGTGATGTTATCAACCAGGCGATGTTTCTGGAATTCAGCAATGTGATGTTTCTCTCCTAAGTCAGAGCTGTGTAAAATGGGTATTCTCCGTACACAGTGAAAAATGGCAGAATGAAAGCACCATTTCCCTGTTTCAGCATAACATTGCAACATGTTTCCCCTCCTTTCAGCCCCTGCGTCAGCAGAGTGATTCAGGTTGAACCTCAGGCCTACACCGACACACACGACAATACCCGCTACAGCCCCCCACCTCCCTACAGCAGCCACAGCTTTGCCCATGAAACGCAGATTACCATGCAGTCCACTGTCCAGCTCCGCACGGAGTACGACCCCCACACGCACGTGTACTACACCACCGCTGAGCCGCGCTCCGAGATCTCTGTGCAGCCCGTCACCGTGACACAGGACACCCTCAGCTGCCAGAGCCCAGAGAGCACCAGCTCCACAAGGGACCTGCTCTCCCAGTTCTCCGACTCCAGCCTCCACTGCCTCGAGCCCCCCTGTACGAAGTGGACACTCTCATCTTTTGCTGAGAAGCACTATGCTCCTTTCCTCTTGAAACCAAAAGCCAAGGTAATCTGCCACAACTTAAGGCTCTTCCTGTCTTCAAAAAAATAACAGAACCTTTGGAGTTCATCAGATTGCTTCTACTTTTCTTCTTTTTCCTTAAAAAAAAAAAAATTTCGTTTAAGTATGATACATTTCAGTCCTCCAAAAGTCAATGCTTTTAGAGCATAGGGCCATTTTAATGAGGTCATCTTCCATGGGAGTGAACCTCTATGCAGCAAGTCTTTTTATGAATGAGGTTGTTTAAAAATGTGATTATTGCCACTTGCGGTGGCTCATGCCTGTTAACCCAGCGCTTTGGGAGGCTGAGGTAGGAGGATTGTTTGAGCCAGGAGTTCGAGAACAGCCTAGGCAACAAAGGCCAACCCTGTCTCTACAAAATATTTTAAAAATTAGCCAGGGACAGGTGTGGTGGCTCACGCCTGTAATCCCAGCACTCTGGGAGGCCAAGGCCAGCGGATTGCTTGAACCCAGGAGTTCGAGAACAGCCCAGGCAACATGATGAAACTCCATCTCTACAAAAAATTGCCTGGGCATGGTGATGTGCCTATAGTCCCAGCTGCTTAGGAGGCTGAGGTGGGAGGGTCACTGAGCCCAGGGAGTCGAGGCTACAGTGAGCCGTGATGGTGCCACTTCATTCAAGCCTGGGTGACAGAGTAAGACCCTGTCTCAAAAGAGAGGGGGAAAAAAGGCATGGTGCTGTGTACCTGTAGTCCTAGCTACTTGGGCAGCTGAGACAGGAGGATCATTTGAGCCCAGGAGTTGGAGGCAACAGTGAGCCCTGATCATGCCACTGCACTCCATCCTGGGAGACAGAGTGAGATCCCAACTCAGATACATAACAAAACAAGGCTGGGCATGGTGGCTCACGCCTGTAATCCCAGCACTTGGGGAGGCCGAGGTGGGTGGATCACCTGAGGTCAGGAGTTCAAGACCAGCCTGGCCAACATGGTGAAACCCTGTCTCTACTAAAAATACAAAAAAAAATAGCCAGGCGTGGTGGTGCACACCTGTAATCCCAGCTACTTGGGAGGCTGAGGCACGAGAATTGCTTGAACCTGGGAGGTGGAGGTTACAGTGAGCCGAGATGGCACCACTGCACTCCAGCCTTGGCAACACAAGACTGTCTCAAAAAATTATATATAAAACAAAACAAAATAAAAATGCGATTACTATGATTTTATCCTTTTTCCTATGGGAGAACAACCCCTACAAGATAAATCAGTTTAAGTGTGGTGGTGAAAACAAGGTATTAACTAGACAGCTTCTCTTTGTCCAGGAAGAGTCAGTGGTGCTCCCTGGGGTCTGACCTTGTGCCTCTTCTGTTCCAGGTAGTGGTGATCTTCCTTTTTCTGGGCTTGCTGGGGGTCAGCCTTTATGGCACCACCCGAGTGAGAGACGGGCTGGACCTTACGGACATTGTACCTCGGGAAACCAGAGAATATGACTTTATTGCTGCACAATTCAAATACTTTTCTTTCTACAACATGTATATAGTCACCCAGAAAGCAGACTACCCGAATATCCAGCACTTACTTTACGACCTACACAGGAGTTTCAGTAACGTGAAGTATGTCATGTTGGAAGAAAACAAACAGCTTCCCAAAATGTGGCTGCACTACTTCAGAGACTGGCTTCAGGGTAAGACGGCGTGGGAGGCTCTCGTCCTTTCGGTCTTTTGCGTGTTCAGCTTCAACAGGTTCCTTTGTCATGATTATGAGAGCGTTAGATTAGAATGTAACACTGACGTGTTTCATGGACTTTTAAGAGTTGCTCAAGATTCTTACATGAACTGTTTCTGCAGCAGCCTCCCAGATCTGGCTTTTACCTATAAAATGATGCAGATAATTCAGATGAGCTTCTGTGAGAATGTACAAGTGCACGTCAGGAAAAGGGGAGCATGTTGTAACAGGTGGAGCCGAGGCTTCTGGTGCTCTTTCCTCTTGGATAGACGGTGGCTAGTTTGGTGACCACATAAAATCAAAGTGCGGCTGGGATTTCCAGACTGATTGCCAAATTATAGCTTACTGCACCAGGAGATGCTAGATAAGCAGTGGACATAGTCTTACACTCCATATTTTGACCATCTCTTTAAAAATTATCTATTTCTAATTGACTTTGTTTTTAGAGCAGTTTTAGGTTCCCAGGAAAATTGAGCAGAAGGTGCTGAGATGGCCCATATCCCCCTTCCTCACCCACACACAGCCCCCTCGACTGTAAACATCCCGCACCAGAGGGATGCATTTGTTACAGCTGATGAACCTGCACATTATTACCCAGGCTCCATAGTTTACGGTTGGGTTCATTTTGACCATTTTTTGATTTGGTACTTGAAGTAAAGTTATAAATGCTTAGTAACATTTCACATTATTTTATAAATAATTAAATTCTGTTTTAAAATGCCTTTCTTGGTGGGGCACAGTGGCTCACGCCTGTAATCCCAGCACTTTGGGATGCCAAGGCGGGCAGATCACCTGAGGTCAGGAGTTCGAGACCAGCCTGGCCTACTAGTGAAACCAGCTCTCTACTAAAAATACAAAAATTAGCTGGGCGTGCTGGTGGGTGCCTGTAATTCCAGCTACTCAGGAAACTGAGGCAGGAGAATCGCTTGAACCTGGGAGGTGGAGGTTGCGGTGAGCCTAGATTGTGCCATTGCATTCCAGCCTGGGCGACAAGAGCGAGACTCCATCTCCAAAAATAATAAATAAATAACAGTGCCTTTATTGGCTTCTTCACTCTTAGAAATGTTTCTAGGAAATATTCATCAGCTGGAGGGGAAAAAAAAGTCTAAATTTTCTCCTGACCGACTGCACGTAAATGTATGCAGTGATTCCAGGAACATCTGTTCATTTATTCTGCATTGACACATGCAAAGCCAAGTAGAGAATCAGGATAATTATCCACCCAATTCAAGCAAAACACTTTTACTGGAGTACCAAATCATTATGGCCCCCAACATTTTTTGGCTTGGATTATCCAAATGATTGTCTTAATTTCCCACTTAATTAGGCTTGTTTAAACACAGATGTAAGTGCCTTTTTTGGTCTGAAGTCAATACACTTGTATGTAAAGACTCAGCAGCCAGTTTCCCTGAGAGTTTGCAGGAAATGGTCAACAACTTGAGGTTGGTAGAGGATGGTTCCATACAGCTTCTGGCCTTGACTTGTGTTTACCAGAACTTTGTGTCTACATGTACACCCAATTTGACTTTCCTTTTGGAGGAAGGTACAGAGAACATGCCATGATTATTATTTATTAACACCCTCCTGAGACGAACGTGAATTTGTTCCAAGTTTTATTTTTCACATTTAGTTTAGAAAGCAATGGTTTTTGGGATAATGAGTTAAAAGAGAGACAGTGGAGAGAGTCCCTGCTTTCATTTTCCCCCCATTGACCAAAGACATATAAATAACTTGCCACAAATGACAAAGAGATCTGCTGTGCCCTGCCAGTCTGTGAGCAGAGAAGGGTTATTGTAGAGTGTATTTCAGTGTCTTTGGCCATTGCTCTGGAGGCTCAATGTGGCATGTTAGGCAGGGATTGGGAAGGGGGTAAAGGGGGATTGTCTCGAGGCAGTGCAAAGGGTTAACCTTTTTATAGAGCATTGTAGATCATCTCTATACGTTTCTTCCTTTATAGATGTAAATCAGCTGGAGTTGAGTTTTTTTTTTTAAGGTGCATTTGAATCATGTTTTGATTGCTGTGTGAACAGCATACACCTAGACCAAGTGAGATCCATTGGTGCTAAGCAATCAGGGTCCCAGGCAGCCCTGGGACTCCATGACTGACTCTTACAGGGTCCGCTAGAGCACTCAACACAGAATGACCAGACACTGGAGCCCTTTGCTGCCTACACGTTTTTCAGGCCTGTTGAATGGTTGATGTGGTGTTTGAACATTTTCTACAAGGAAACAATTATCCTTGAGTCAGCTTTCCTTGCTGACATTTTTGTGTGGCTTTTAAATGGTGGGAGCCTCATTGGTTTTTAATGGAATTCCCATTAAAACTATGTCATCTCATTGGTCTTTATCGACATTACAATAGTTTGTCTTTGATTTTTTTTACTCCTAAAACTATATAATGGTTAATTTCAAAACTATCCCACATGTCACATCTTAAAACATACATGCAAATAAGGCAGAGTCAGATAAAAACCATGCCTCGAGTCATGTACAAATGTGTTCATTTTTATTTCACACTGGATTATGCAAACAAAATTTTGATTAACATTTTACTTCTAGGGTCCCATAGCTGAAGGAAAATGGGCAATTGGGGTTATTCCTTTGGCCTAGAACTTTACATTAGAAAATAATTATTGACACAAAATATTCATAAGAGGAGAACTTCTAGCTAAGATATTAAGGTTTGCTGTAAAATAAGTAAAAAGTCACAATTTTCTAGAGTGTGCATGCATTGGAATATGAAGCACTGGCTAAAGGGCAGTGGAAACCCAACCTTATCCCTTGTTTTGTATCCAGGGTCGTACCTTGTACATGTGCTTAGGCCAGCCCCTTGTTACTTGAGCTTTTTGGTGATTAGTCAGAAAATACTGTAGTAATGGGGAAAGAACTTAACTGTTCCAGAAAGTCGATGACTGTTTCGTATTCATCTTTGAACCCCCAGTAGAGTGAATGGCACCTAAGTGACCAGCAGTGTGGATTCTGAGTTGAATCGAGTTTCCAGCAAGGCTGACCTCCCCAGATAGGATCTTTCTTCCTTTGTTTCACCCTCGGGTGTCCCAGAAGTCTTTGTGTGTGAATATCATAAAACCGCCCCCAGATTTTGGGGACCCCGTTTGCCACCAGATGTTATTGATGCTGGAGTTGAACCTGCTTGTCTTACTCCTGCCTTTGACACATCCTTGGGTACCACGGTGTGTCCCCGCACTGTAGGCCAGTGAGTGGCTCCAGCTGCCTCTGGTGACTTGCTGCCTGGGTTTGAGCTCCATCCAACACTCACCTGCTGGGTGGCCCCCTCCAGTCTCCCCTTTCCAAGACTCAGTTCCTCCATCTGTGAAGCCGGAGTGATTAACTCTAACGGGGCTGTCCCTTGGTTGCCGTGGGATGCCCAGCGCCACCCCACACTCACCAAGTGTGAGCCTCTCTTCAGGATTAGCTGGTTAAGGGAGAGGGGCTTAAAGCCCAGGACACGTCATGACATCATGAAAATTGTTACAGCGAGGAAAACAGACGAGGCCTCCCTTTTTGAGGGGAAAGGAGGCGCAGTAATTTTTCTTCTGCTGTTTATTGTTTTTCAAAAACAGAAAGAAAGGGCTTTCAGTAATAAAATAACATCTGCTCAGTACCCTGTGTGTGCATGCCTCCCTATGAAAACCCGTCTGTCTGAGAGGTGCACGGCCCACCCGGTGGTCTCCTGTCCCGTCTCCCCTCCACGCTCACCCTGACACAGACTCCTTTCACCACCGAGCCCACTGTCATCCCCAAATTGTTCCTCTAGCCAGTAGTGTCAGAAGGAGGGTTTCGCTTCTTAGAGAGACAGAAGGGGGCCTGTGCTCCCCCTCCCTCCCCACACTTCAGACCCCAAGAGCTTAACCATTCTGAGCACTAACGCAACCAGATTTTTTTTGAAGCCTTTGAAATCATCCAAGGCATGTCCCGAAATGAAATAAACGCTTCTCCCTTCTTACTAGCCGTGTCCAACCCATACATGTACAGCTTGTTCAAAAGCTGTGGTTTCCTGAGCTGCTGGGGCTTGGGAGCTCTACTTGGGAGGTGGCTGGGAGGGGCAAGGGTGGGTGGGGGGAGGGGGGTGTCCCGGAGAGCGTGCGCACCAGCCAGCGCTCAGACCCTAAGGCCGGGTCACCGGGGCCCTGTTTTCTCTTCCAACATGCTTATCTCTTTACAGCTGCAGCCAAACCGTCAGGTCTGTAATGATGGTTTTGATTACTGAGGCCAAGCGCAGCTGTGTGTGGTGTGCTGGCGGGCTCGCCCATCCCCCAGGCCCAGAAAGCTCTTTCCTCCCCCTCCCCGGCTTGTGGTTTGTCATCTGTTCTCACAGAGCCTCCTTGTATTGGCCTGTGGCTTCCTGTTCTCAATCGGATCCAAATTTACCCTGTGAGGTATTTCCCTGCGTGCACACGAGCGCCTTCCCTTCCTTCTCCTCCACCCCCTCTCCTGAGGAAGGGTGGCAGAGAGGAAGAGAGCAGTCGAGAGTGAATAGGTGTTGGCTGTGATCTTTACACAACCTGGCAGCGGATCCCACAGCTTGTGTTAGCTCCACAAGTCGAACAGATGGAACAAATTGACAGAATCGTGTTCGCTCACCCTGGGCTCCAGAAGCAGCTGAGCTGCTGTTTGAAGTTGGGGGAGTTTGAATGTGCTTTTTCCCCTCTGTGTGGAATTTCTGGTTGTATTGAAGAACTCATGACTTAGCACCCCGAGTGGCACGAAACGGTTAATGACCCTGGTGCGTGTCTTTCCGTCGCACTCTTGCCTTCTTTTGTAATTGTCATGGGGCGAAAGGAGGAGAGTGGTTTTTCTTAAGATAAAATATGAGTATTTGTTTCATAGAAACAGATAATCTCCTTCCCCCCTTTTGAGCAGTGGCTGGCAGCAGCTGCAGTTCATTCATGAAAGATCCAGTGCTTTCAGTCAAAGTGGATGTGGGACACAGAGGGTGTGTTTCTGATGGACGTCTAAGAGCCCCCTGCCCTGCTCAGTCTCCTCAGCCCACCCCGCTAGGACCAGGGTCCTTCTGGCTGCGAGTTATAATGTGTTACAATCATTTGCCATTTCTAGGACTTCAGGATGCATTTGACAGTGACTGGGAAACCGGGAAAATCATGCCAAACAATTACAAGAATGGATCAGACGATGGAGTCCTTGCCTACAAACTCCTGGTGCAAACCGGCAGCCGCGATAAGCCCATCGACATCAGCCAGGTACTCCAGCTGCTGGGCACTGAGGGCGCTTCCAGGGCTGCGGGGCCGCTGCCCTGGTGGAGGCTGCTTGACAGCGTGTGACCCCACCCTGTGCTCTCTGGAGACCTAAGGCACTGGGAGCTGGTAGAAAGAATATTGGGTGACTCTAATTCACCTCCTCCCACCAGCTAATTGTGTGACCTCAGGCCAGCCAGTGCACCTCACTTTCCTCATCTGTCAAATGGGACAGGCGTGTTCCTACCACCAGAACAATTGTCAGAATAAAGTGCAGCCAAGAGAGTGCAGGCTCTTTCCAATGTTAGAAATGCAGCGGCGTGTGATTCTTTCAGTTCTAGGACTCGGTACCTTGTTGGTCTTGATGGTATTCAAGCTTGGAAAGATGGATTTCTTGGGTAGCAGTCATTTGGATGAGCAGAATTTGGGGTAGGTGGGTGGGTTAGGAGATTGGAGAGGTGACAGAAGGATGGGAAGATTTGTTACATTTGAGATCTTTGGGTGGCCCTGGCCCCAGGAGTAGACAGATCGCTCTGTGATGAGTGAAGCAAACGGAAATGTGCACCCTTGGAATCAGAGTGGCTGCGCCATTCTGCTCACTCCTGCAGTAATAACCGTTTCTGTTTGGGAATCATATTCTCCACTTGTGTTTGCATCTTCTTGCTGCCATTTGGATTCCAGCATACCCCTTTTGGTTCTGCAGGTGTGTTCAGGAGTGTGTTTTGGACTCCTCCAATTGCACGGGGCCCGGGCTACCTCAGCTTCCTCGGAGCCTCTTCCCTTGGCTCTTTGTAGCTTGCTTGCTTCACCTTCAGGCAGAAAACCGTCATGCTAATGATCTTCTCAGCAGCTATGTTTATTGTCTCCCCTTTTTTGCTGGCATTCAAGGTGACAGATTTACAAAGTACATTGTTCAGAGTTGTTATGGAGTGTGAAACTCTGAGCTCACAGCAGCAGGCAGCAGACCATCACGTTTCCCAAGGATGCAGGCAGAGGAGTCTGCCTCAGAGACACCAGGAAAGTGCCCAGGCAGCAGGGCTGGGCGAGGGACCAGGGATACTGTGGGACAAATGGGATTGGGCCAGACCCCCAGATACCATTTCCTCCTCCCGGGAGGGAGAAAGGCGTGCTGCATGCACAGAGGCCACGGGCTGCGCTGTTTGATTCCAGGGATGTGTTGAGGACATGCAGTTGTTACATATCCTGTGGATTAATTGAATCCAGATCCCCGAAATCCAGTTCTCTCACTCTCTCCCTGCTCCTTCTTCCTTCACTCCTTCTCTAGGAGCCGCTGTCACTGGTGTTTTTCATTTTGTTTAAAAAAGACCCAAAGCGAGGAATGAGGCCTGAATCTAAAATAAACAGGAAACGGAATTTTTCTATGTATATAAAACGTACAAACACATACTGAGTCCCACAGAGTTCCCCACCTCAGCAAAGCCCACAAGCCCTCCTGCCGAGGGAGCACATTTGGCCACGCAGAGGACGCGGCGTGCGGAGTACTACGACCTCCGGGAATAAGATCACCTGGCGAGGCTTGAGGGTGTGCACTCGTCCCTTGCACTTTCTGGCGCTGGGCATTTTTTGAATCCACAGGTCATAGGAGGCTAGTGTTAGCAAAATTTATACAGATGTTGTTTTATTTTTATAGCTCTCCTCCATTTACTGGGTGGCATTTCCTTCAGTGTTAACAACAGAGGTTAACTGCACACAGACGTGCATGGGGATTCTTGCCAGGTTTCTCCCCCTTCCCCTCCTATAAATATGTTTCTCCAGATTGTTCATTCTCTGCCTTGGCTGCAGACGGTCTTTTAGCATTCAGATTTAATTGGTTCAGCCAATTCCTGGGCCATCTGCAGAACTGTGTTTGTTATAAACACGCCAGTGATTGCATCCTCCGATAAGTGCACATTGAAAGAAATCAAAGGTGTTCTGATGGGATTTTCGACACTTTCAACAGTAGGCATTCTATTCTTTGTTGTAATGCTGTGCGAAGCTCAGCTTCTGTGCTCTCAAGGCAGAAGTGTGTTTACCCCCAACCCCATTCTCAAAGGCCTCTGTTCTTCCCGTTTTTGTAGTTGACTAAACAGCGTCTGGTGGATGCAGATGGCATCATTAATCCCAGCGCTTTCTACATCTACCTGACGGCTTGGGTCAGCAACGACCCCGTCGCGTATGCTGCCTCCCAGGCCAACATCCGGCCACACCGACCAGAATGGGTCCACGACAAAGCCGACTACATGCCTGAAACAAGGCTGAGAAGTAAGTAGCGTTTTATCGGGAGGTCTGGGAACTTACAGAGGTGCCTTCCCTGGTTCTCCAAACTCAGCAACAGCCTTCATCCGTTGACGCTACCCAGGGTTCAGAAGTGTAAACAGAACAATCTATTTCTTCTCGTTTAAAACTCTGGGAGACGAGGATGTGTAATGGGATACAACCCCCGCACTCTATCACATTGGGAAATCAGTGTCTCGTCTCCATTCGTAGCTTTAATGCTAAGACGTTCATTAGGCGTTGCTCTCACGTGCCAGCTGTTCCCTGTGAACACCGGGGACGCCTCCAGGTTAAGTGTTATTTTACTATTGCAGAGTTTTATCGCTGGGGATTATATGTTTATCTTAACTTTGTCAACTCTGGTGTTGAAGGGATTTTTGGCACATTGGGTCATTCCTATAAGCCACCAAGCACCTGCACTGTGTCAAAGCTGTTTAAACCGGAGCAGAAAAGTCTGTATACAACAGCGTCCTCTTCCTTTCACCTCTCAGCCCAGAGTTTGAAAGGTGGTTCTGTGTGGATTTCATTTGCATTTCTGGTGGAGATATTAGTAGCGTATGCTTTGGATACCGGGCCAAGGGAGGATGTGAGAAAGAAGACGGGTCCCCTTGCAAACATGGCTGGAGACTCAGCGAGTAGTGCTTCCCCGGATCCAGTGCTGCCCAGAGCCCTGTGGCAGGCAGCCAAGGCTTGTCTTAATGAAAATTTATAGTTGAGATTATAATAGGGCAAATCATGTTTAGCAAGTCAACTGAATGACCCCAGAGGGTCTGGAACACACAACGGCAGTAACTAAATGCTTGTTGTGTAAGGATTTCTTCCCCTGTTGCTGAAGACTTAGCATTGCATTAGAAAAGAAGCATACAAGGTTGAAGTTTGTTCAGGCACTAAAAGGATAAGTTAAGCATTTTTCTCAGGAAAGCATGACTCTTGAGTTCTTTTGCTCTTGCAAGTGATTGAATAAAACTGTGTGAACTTGGTATTTTCATATGTGTCAAGGGAACAAAAAAATGTTCCCAAAATGTAAGCCTGGAGTTTTTAGACCCCTCACAAAGAATGACTGCTGGAAGATTAAAATCAAATCTTAAAAAATACACACATCACAGAGTTAAACATTTTTAAACCAAATGGGAAGATCGTAAAGGCCTGGAGGCTATGATCAGCATTGTTTGTTCTTTGTATCATGTAGAAGAGCAGTCAGTAAGCTTTCATGCAAAGTTCTTCTCTCTTTCCATTGAAACTGTGATGCTCTTCTACCCTGGGCTGCTCCTAACCTGTGCCCTTCTCTGTCCAGTCCCGGCAGCAGAGCCCATCGAGTATGCCCAGTTCCCTTTCTACCTCAACGGCTTGCGGGACACCTCAGACTTTGTGGAGGCAATTGAAAAAGTAAGGACCATCTGCAGCAACTATACGAGCCTGGGGCTGTCCAGTTACCCCAACGGCTACCCCTTCCTCTTCTGGGAGCAGTACATCGGCCTCCGCCACTGGCTGCTGCTGTTCATCAGCGTGGTGTTGGCCTGCACATTCCTCGTGTGCGCTGTCTTCCTTCTGAACCCCTGGACGGCCGGGATCATTGTGAGTGTATTATAAGGGGCTTTGTGGAAGTCAAATTCCTTTCAGCATAGCTCTTTCTGCAGCCGGGAAGTTTTGTTTATGTCTGGGCCTCTGGAGGAGGGTATAGCTTGCATCATCCGTAATATGTTTATTCTACTCGAGGTGGTGAGGTCCATGGTTAAGGTAGAACCTCTAATGGCCTTATTCGTAGGTCCTCTCTCCTGTAGCTTGAAGATTTTTGTGGAAAGATAGGGGACTTTTTAAAGCACACCTTCCATCACAGCTCTGAACATTTATTAAATCAAAACACTCAAAGCCTAGCTCATTTTTTCTTTAATTGAAAAGTGTCATTTTGTGACCTCATCCAGGCCTAATAACGACATAGCAGGTTCTTCTGCATTTAACATGAAGGGACAATCAGAGAAGTTAGGAGAGTGATATATGGAGAAAATGATTTTGTGTGTTTTAAGTCCTGGGGGAAAATGATAAACTAATATTACGAACCTGTTTTTTGGCATCCCTTCTCCAAAATACTCTCAGATTTTGATGTAAGTTTCATGTAGAGTCTAATAAAACCGTGGCAATGTTTAAATTCTGTGAACTATGGTATAGCCTTTAAAATGCCAAAATTATAAAAACAAAGGCCAGATTTTGTGTCTGCACCGTGAGTCTGTGCAGCAGGTACATTAAAAGGTAAATGTTTAGTCTGTGAGAGTTTTCATGGCACTTAGCAATTGATGTTGTCCATCTTTCATCATTCCTTCCCCTCCCTCCACCTCTGCCCACCACCCACCCCCAGAGAAGAAAGATCATTTTTCTCCTTCTCTTCCATCTGGTAACTTGTTGTTTATTTGTATCTTCTCCGCTTTGGACCAAGAAACTCCAAATCTAACTCACAGATTTTATTTCCATTTCCCCACAAATTTTTACAAGGAAGATGAAAGGCAAGAAGCTTTTCCTTGGATTTTAACAGTTGGCTCAGTCCACCCCAGCTGTCCCCAGCTCTTCAAAGTGCAGGGCTCCTGTAACCTGACAGCGTCAGCTGATGACGACCTCCCCGCTTACCTGGCCCCCACATCATCTTTGCTTAGCCTGCAGGTTCACTCACAAAAGCAAAACTACTTTGACCTGCAAATCTTTTATTCACCCCGTCCTATCAGCTTTCTTTAGAATGGAGAGTGAGGCAACCAAAAACTTAATGATGGGTTCACGGATGGTCTCTGGCGGCTGAGACCCAAGCAGGAGGAGAGATGGGTCTTGTTGTAAACTGTGAAATTCGCAGCTAAGTGATGCGGCCATGCTTGTGCAATTCCTCGTGGATTGCGCTGGTGGAGTTGTTCTGTATGTTTTTTGCTTTCTGGAGAAGGTACATTGGAAAATAATTTGCATTAGAACACTCTACTTTGCCTTCTACAGCTTTACACATCAGCTGTCCCACAGTCTCCCTTCCCAGCGGGAAGATGAATTAGGCAGTAAAGGCAGTGTCCAGAGTTAAAGCAAGTCAGTCCATTCATTGTTTTGATCTGAACCGAGGACACCTTAGCCCTCTGGCGACCTCCCTTGTGGGCAGCCCCAGAGGGTGACCTGCCCGCCCACTGACCACTGTGTGCCCTGCTCCAGGTGATGGTCCTGGCGCTGATGACGGTCGAGCTGTTCGGCATGATGGGCCTCATCGGAATCAAGCTCAGTGCCGTGCCCGTGGTCATCCTGATCGCTTCTGTTGGCATAGGAGTGGAGTTCACCGTTCACGTTGCTTTGGTATGGGAGACATTTGAAGCAAAAACTTTGTGAAAAAACAACCCATTTCCTCTGGCTCTGTTTGTCTCCAAGTGGGAACCTTGCATTCTCCCTGTGCGTGGCAGTGAAAAGGCCTCAGGGCACAGGGGCCCCCTAGGAGAGCCTGCAAGATTTCTGGATTCCTTTCCCTCAAGGGAGGCTAAGGAGAGGGGTATGGAAGGTACATGGCAGCGGGCCCTGTCAGCCGTAGGCAGTGCAGGGTTGGTGTGTTGGAGTGGGCCTTGAAGGGCCGTGCTCACCTGACTTTGACTGTCATTATACCCCCACGATTCCTGACGTTGTGACGTTTGTTCATAAGGCGGATTATGTGGTGAGTGTGTGGGTGGGCATACACAGAGTTTTAAAAACAACAGGAACAGTGGGGATAAAATGAGACCACACTCACAGGCTTGGGGATGGCATCACTGAGGATGAGGTGAGCTGGCAGCCAAGGAAGTACCCTCGGGCTTAGGAGTGGAGGCTCCATTGTTCAGCCCCGGGGAACTGGCTCTTCTACCTAAGCCCACCCAGTTCCTCAGACCTCCCAGCCTCTACATTCATGATAGCAGAAAGTAAGAGAACCAGTGTTGCTTTCAACAGACATTTTTTTCCCTCTCTTTTTCTCTATCTTGCCCTGTGAATGCTTTGTTGGAGGTAATTAAACTTCAGAAGGAATCTTTAGTCCAAGAGATAAATCTGTTGTATACATTTATCAAAGAATTATCCAAAACATCACAACTGTGTAAATTATGTTCTGTCTGCAGATTAGAGCCTAAGAACTTGGGGTTATCAGTAGGCATTCAATAAGTAAATGCGTTCACCTGTTAAATATCGACGTGCGAAATACCCTAGCTAGGAAGCCAGCACTGGGCTTGACCAAATCACTTCCGCCATTGCTTTTGCAATCTCTAGCACAGGTTTCCTTTGGGCTCAGCACATGGCACATGCATGTCTCCACATAGGCTGCAGCCTTGTGCCTTCTGCAGTCTTTCCAGGGCTACTGTGATACAATTGAGAGATTGTAAACTTTTGTGTTTTGGAAGGAATGCTTTGTTGAAGTTATCCCATTTTTTTTACAGTGTATCATAAAAAGCCAATAATATGGCAACAGTATTCTCTAAATTTTGAGCCTGCTCAAATTATTTTCTTCCTTTGAGCTGGGAGGAGGGACTATTTTTTTAAAAAGAAGAGTGCCAGCCTAGAGTTTAGAAAACCCATAATTCCAATACAGTTCTTCAAAAGGGAGATAAATTTGCATGTGAGTTAAGAATCCATAAGTTATTTTATTCTGATGCAAATGGAAACCACCTTTTTTGGAAGCTAGCAGGGCAAATGGGTATCCCAGAGCAGATTTTTACCATGGAAATGCTAACTGCAGTCTCTAAACTCTAGGACTTCTAGTCCAAGTCATTTTCAGTATTCTGATCCTCTATGTGAAATTGCATTTAGAGTTGGCAGTTATTGCTCTTTCAAGGTTTGTAAAATGGTAGAATAAGGCTGTGAAGAAGAGTCTTCTTTCATGAATGTCTTTAGGAAATCAGTGGGTTCCCGTTCATTTGCTGTCTCAGTAACATAGAAACAGTGTGTGACAGGGTAGTCACAACTAGGCCCTTATGGCCTCATGGCCCAAATATGATGCAAGCCAGCATGGCTGAAAAACCCCTTTGGTGCCTTGCCCCAAGAGCAGAAGGCAGCTATATTGACCCTAATGTCTTTACCAACTCTGAAAGAGTAGAACCTGTTTGAGAGAAAAGTATGAAAACTCTTAGCACACCTTTGTATATTTGTATTTTTTCATCTGTTAAGGAGAACGACCGTCTCAGTCCTTCTGCAGGTAGGTAAGGGATAGAAACGCATCCTGCCAAAGACACCCAGCCCTCTCCTCTCGGCATAATCCAGAGCAGCCTGAACTTCAGAGAGAGAACTTGTGCCAGGTTCAACACTCCCTGCAGGGGTCACACGTTCAGGCCAACAGTCTGATCTTCCAGAATTTACTCTGCAAAGTTCCCGTTTAGTTATCAACAGCATTTCTGGCCTAGGAGAGCTTTAGGACTGCAGGAGAGACAGGGATGTGTCCACACAATGTTCAGAAGGGCTTGATTCAAATGTACGGTCCTGTGTATTTCTTGCAATACACTCATAGTGCTTAGATGTACTACAAACATAGCCTGAAACAGTGACAGAAGGTCTCACCTCTGCATAATCGTGAGGAAGTGTGTGTAGCACCCAATTGCTTGGGACACTGAGCTAAGCTCTTAGCCATCCAATGCATTAGCCAGAATCCTGTGCTGTGGGAATTGGAGGTCTCACGTGTGAGTGGTGTGAGATCATTTAAGGAGGGGGGAAACTTCGGGGTGAGTATCAGTGAAAAGAAGGGGACATTTCTGTCCATTTTTATATAGTTTTGATTTTACTGTGTTCAAGATTTACGTCAACACCAAATATGACCCAGTGTCATGAAGAGGTCATCTTAGTTTAAGTCTAGGTGCTGCTAGTTGAGCTACTCTGATTACACATTCTAGCAACTAAAACAGTAAGATGTGAGCAGTTCTGAGAGCTTGTAACATTTAGGACAGAGCTGAGCATTTACCAGGTGAAGTCCAGCAACCTGATCTTGTGAACATCCTCATTGCACAGGCCTTTCTGACGGCCATCGGCGACAAGAACCGCAGGGCTGTGCTTGCCCTGGAGCACATGTTTGCACCCGTCCTGGATGGCGCCGTGTCCACTCTGCTGGGAGTGCTGATGCTGGCGGGATCTGAGTTCGACTTCATTGTCAGGTAAGCAGGCGTGTGCAAGGAGACATGTTTTAGAAATCATTGTGATTGGGCCGGGTGCAGTGGCTCACGCCTGTAATCCCAGCACTTTAGGAGGCCGAGGCGGGTGGATCAGAAGGTCAAGGAGTTCAAGACCAGCCTGGCCAAGATGGTGAAACTCATCTCCACTCAAAATACAAAAATTAGCCGGGCGTGGTGGTGGGTGCCTGTAATCCCAGCTACTTGGGAGGCTGAGGCAGAGAATTGCTCGAACCCGGGAGGCGGAGGTTGCAGTGAGCTGAGATTGCGCCACTACACTCCAGCCTGGGTGACAGAGCGAGATTCTGTCTCAAAAAAAAAAATATTGTTATTAGCTCAGGTGATCTTCGTTGCTTATTTCCTTCTGTATCTGGTAGATTGCAGCACCTCGTCATCGTGACTCTGCTTTCTTTTGAACTTGTTAACGTAGAGATATTCGGAGGTATAAAGACAAGCTCTCTTCTAGAGCTGTCTTGGGGAGTATCTTGAAAACAGAAGGTAAAGGATTTGGGGCTGGCAGCAAAGACAACTCTGCAGCTTGAAGCCAAAGGATCACCCAATAGGTGGCCCATTATTGTCTCGGGTTAGAAACACTGCAGAAAGAAATGCCACATTTGACCTACGCTCCCTCTCCTTCAAACTGTAGAAAGGAAAACTTAAAAATACCTAAAATTGTCACCTGACTTTATTCTTTTAAGAAGTGAAAATGACGTGCTCAGATTTCATATTCGAGTCCCCACAATTAGGAAGCATTTAGCATTGGACTTTGGTGTCAACTCTTGGGAATCTAAGCCTAGTTTGGATCTCAAGGCAAGTCGTTTCCAGTTGATTTAATTAAGAATATGACTTTGTGAAATATAAAAGAACAGTGAGTTTTCCTTTTGAAAAGAATTTGAGAACTGCAGAGGAGGAAACCACTTGCTTCTTTGAGCAGCCTCCATGGCTTTGTGAGGGACCTGCTCTTGGATAGAACTCTGCTACTTTATGGAGCTCTAAGGCCAGAATCACCAATAAGTAAAAGATAGTCCAGGATTAGAACCATGACAGGGCAGAACCAGATGTGAGAAATGATTGGTTTGTTTGGCACGCTTCAGTACTGAGAGGTTGTGTGTGTGTGTGTGTGTGTGTGTGTGTCAGAGAGAGAGATACGCTTCTTATCTTCAAGTAAAAAGAAGAGGGTTTCAACTAGAAGTTTTAGCCAAAGTTTTATTACGGGAAAGAGATGAGTCCATTGGTTGGCCTGTGGCATAGCCCACTGGGCAATTTGGCATCATGGAGGCCGCCTTCTTAGAATGAGTGCCAAGCTTGCTTATTGTAGTTTTTGCATAGAGTGAATGGTGAAGTGGAATCGCTGTAGACCAGCGCTTCTCACACCGATGTGCTGAGGAATCATCTGAGGGTCTAAGTGCAGGGCCGATTTCGGGGGGCGGGAGGTGGGATGAGGGCTGGGTCTGCATCTCCAGCTACCTCCCTGCAATGTCCATGGAGCTAGACTTCTCAGCACAAACTACTGCTAAGCCAGCAAGCCAGTTCCTAAATTCCTGTTTGCCAATACCAAGTAGAGAGTTGCCCAACTGAGTTAAATGTTTTGGTCTGTGTTTTATTTTAGTTCTTAGTTTGATTTTAGCTTTTCCTTTGTTCTTAGTATACACTTTTTCAGGCACTAACGTTATCATTATGATATAAAAGCTCAATGTCAAGTAGAGTTTCTTTTGCATATTTACTTTCTCGTTTAACACAAATATAACAAGCACCCCATAAGTGCCATTTGCACAACAGCAAATAATGGGGACCCCCATATCCCTCTGTGTAGCCTAAGGTCTTTTAGGGGAGAGACAAGTTCACAGGCAAAACCAGGGGAAATGCAAGGTGTGCTGGGGTCTCATGAGTTACAGGAGGGTCTCGCTCAGCCTTGTGGGGGATGCTGAATGAGGAAACTTAGCCTGAATTAGAGCCCCCAGCTGGAAACCTGGCAGCTGGAATCCCAGCGCTCTCCTCTCAGCCGGGGTTGTTCCCGCCCAGAAATATCAGGGTTCCTCTTTCAAGCACTTAAAAGGGCTTCCCATTTTCTAGGATGGGATGGATTAACCTGATAAAGGCCTCACCAAGGTCAAATAAATGAGCAGACACTGTATATGCTAAGCCGTCAGAAATCTAATTGGCCTGTTTATGCTTCAGCTAGATGGATGGGATGCAAATGTCTTAATGTGGCTGCTGATACATGCCCCAGCCGAAAGTTCCAGCAGTTTACATTAGACCAAGACATTGGCTGCTTGGTTTTTACTAATGTAGTTCAGAAGTTTCTAGTGTTTACAATAGCTGTGAGGTATTTGTATTTTTATGGGGATTCTCTCTCCTTTCATCTGATGTCAAAACATATATAGACATGGCAGCACTGGTTGCCTGTTCCATTTTATGAACCAGAGGACCATTAACAGATAGATATCTTGCCCCCCCCTTCCCAGAACATCCTGAGCCTCTCCCCTACCCCAGCCCACTTCCATCAGAGTTGCCCTAGAAATCATTAGTTCCAGAAACGCATCCCTGCGTGGAGTCTGTGCCCTCCAGCCATGCAGAGTGTCTGCCAGAGGCTGTCCCTGGCTGACAGGTTTACCTTGGTATTCATGAAGGATTCCAGACCTTAGCCCTCAATGGTGGGAAAGCAGAACTACTTCTGCACTCTCCTCCTCTGCCATGGTGCTGCGGCCTTTATGTTTGAATTGGCTGACGCAAAACAAGAGTATTCAGAGATGCTAAATTGTTCAACAAAAGATTGGCCCGCAGAGCAGCCCCGCCATTGTGGAGTGCCCTCACCCAGCACAATGCCCCAGCTCCCACAGAATGGGCAGCATTTTCTTTGCAGAAAGCTGGTTCCTGTGTTCTAAAAAGGTTGCAATTGGAGCTATTTGGTAAAACTGGAACTCACAGAATTCTAGGCAGAAAGTTGTGATTAATGAAAGGCCAGGGAAAGCCTTACCTGATATGCTAGAGACTTAATTAGAGATTCTGCCGTAAGATGCAGAAGCATTTCACAGTGGATTAGCAGCCTGCAGAAGTGGGCTGCTTTTCCTCCTGGGCTAAATTGTTTAAATTCTACACCCTTCACTTCATTTGTTTGCTTCTGCTGGGTTTTCACGAGCGGGGCCCCTCGGCATTGTGTTTGTGCTTTCAGTCTGCCCAGCCATTCAGGTCGCATTCCATATTTTTGTGTTTGTGTAACACATTCATAAATAACATTACATGCCATCAGAGTTCAGCAAATTAACAAACTAATTTTTTTTTTCTTCCCTTCATGAACTAACACTTTGGGTTGTGGAATGTAGTCCTCAAAGTCATAAGGTAAAGAAACAAAAAGCAAAAACTCACCTTGTGTTGAATGTGAACTGCGGTTGGATAACAGCCTTTTCAGTGGGGTGGGTTTTGTTCATTTCTGGCGTTGCCATGCTGCTGTGTCGGGCACACGGAGGGTGGCGCGATCCACCCTGTCACAGCGCGTGTTCCCGTTTCCTCTTGATCTCCCAGGTATTTCTTTGCTGTGCTGGCGATCCTCACCATCCTCGGCGTTCTCAATGGGCTGGTTTTGCTTCCCGTGCTTTTGTCTTTCTTTGGACCATATCCTGAGGTCAGTAGTGACACGGGGATGTCCCACGTGTAGGCCGGCTGAATGCTGTGTTTCCTGTGCCGCTCTTCACTTCGATACTTAGGTGCCTCCCCACTTGCTGGTGGTTCTTCAGTAAACATCTCAGAGTCATGTCTGTTTTCCTCTTCGGTGTACTGGCTTTGAGGGCTAGAGGGCGGGTTCGGTTTGGTTCCTCTAAATCAACTGATTGGCAGCCTGGGTCTTACAGATCTTTATACAGTAAATGAAGACTTTCCCCTTGAGATGCATAATTGGACTTCACAAGAGTAAAAAGTACACATCCTGCCTTTCCAGTGTGGAGCAGAGGACAGTTCTTCTGCTCCAGCTGCGGGACCTGAAGGTCCTCCAGGTGGTAGAGAAGGGGAGGTTAATACGGCACAGTGCGCAGGGCCCCAGGGCAGGGAACAGAGGCCCCTGAAAAATACCGTGCTTTGAGCTTTGAGTGTGGCCAGCAGGTAAATGGACAAGAACACTTTTAACATGGAATCCCCTTAAATAGGTGTCTCCAGCCAACGGCTTGAACCGCCTGCCCACACCCTCCCCTGAGCCACCCCCCAGCGTGGTCCGCTTCGCCATGCCGCCCGGCCACACGCACAGCGGGTCTGATTCCTCCGACTCGGAGTATAGTTCCCAGACGACAGTGTCAGGCCTCAGCGAGGAGCTTCGGCACTACGAGGCCCAGCAGGGCGCGGGAGGCCCTGCCCACCAAGTGATCGTGGAAGCCACAGAAAACCCCGTCTTCGCCCACTCCACTGTAAGTGACTCTGCAGAACCAGGGGGAGGGGTCTTCCCACCGTGGTAGTGGGCCTGGAGGTCCAGCGGGGGCTCCTGTCTGCTGAGCAGCACATCACACAGGCAGATGGGATGCAGAGATAAGGTACAGACTAGGTCAAATCATAGGAAATAACCAGTATTTAACTCTTTCTCAACTATACAAATGCCATCTTCCTGTGGTTTGATCTCATAAAGGATAAAAAGGGCAGGGGCCAGTAATGTCACTGCACAAAGCAGTAGCATCTATCTTGTTCAGGGTGAGGACAGTTTGGGCTTCAAAGGCCAGAGATAAAGCATTCCTGCCTTTTTTTTTTTTTTCCTCTTAAGGTGCATGTCATTTGAGAGTGATATTTTCTAAAACTAGTAGTATTTTTATTGCCAACAGAGGTCAGGTTTTTTCCTTCTCTCATTTCTGTTAGGTTTCAATGCCCTTGATACAACATTCATTATTATTGTCTAAATACTTTACCATAGCTTTTGGGGCTCCAAGCTCATGTTCCAGGTGGCAGGAAAGAGCAGAGAGGCCAAGAACCACCCCTGAGTTCTTAGCCTTCAGTGATTCAGGAGGTCACCAGGAGCCTGGGAGCCCCTCCTCGGAGGCTCCAAGGACCTGGGTCCTTTCCTCCACCCTGTGCTCCCTGGGATGGGCTCAGCCCTGAAAACTCAAGGAAGGTTCTGGGCTGATGTTGCTCCACTGAGGGCCCCCTGCTGTCCCTCCAGGAAATGGGTATTCCAGTCCCAGGCCAGAGCAGCCCTTCCGTGAAAGAGAGAAAGGCCAACCAAATAACCTGAATTGTCCTCCTCCTACCCCCCGCGACGACGCCCGCTGAGCTGCAGTGTGAATCTGGTTTTGTTCAGCAGGAGCCTAAAAATAGGTACAAGCTGAACGACTTTGAAGTTGGTCACGGTCCTTTTGATTGATGTGGCCACTGTGTTGCTCTGTGCTTTGTATAGAGACGCAGAGACCAGATTCTTAACAATCAGATGGAACAGGCTGCCCGCCACAGCCCTCCGCAGTGACGAAAATGCCCTCTCTGCTTTCCAGGATGGGAGCCACCGGCCACACGTGGCTGTGGAGCACTTGAAATGTGGCCGGGGCTACCGAGGAGCTGGATTTTGGATTTTAGTTCATTAAAACTTAAGCAACCACATGTCTGGAGCGGCTACTGTGTTTGACAGAGTAGGCAGAGACAGTCCTGCCAGCGTCCTGCACTCAGGCCAGCCAGGGCCGCACACTTAGCAACTTCGGGAGAGGGGCAGCTCAGAGCCTGCAGAACCTAACAGGGTCGGGGGCAGGTTGTGGGGGGCAGCAGCTTGGATGCTCTGACCACAGCCCACATTTATGGGCAGCAGCAGTACGTGTCCAGCCAGCCGTGTCAGAGAAAGCCTGGAAACAGGATTTTCAAACAACACGCTCCTCCGCCAGGTCCTGGAGGTTATTAGAAGGACAGGCTTTTCTTTTGTGGGTGGAAGGCCCCCATTGGCTCCCCAGGGTTGACTGAGTCTTTGGTGAAACCCAAGGAGGGAAGTGTGGGAGCTGCGGGGACCATGCCCAGCCTGGGATACCACCCTTCTAACCCACCCTCACCCTCTGCAGGTGGTCCATCCCGAATCCAGGCATCACCCACCCTCGAACCCGAGACAGCAGCCCCACCTGGACTCAGGGTCCCTGCCTCCCGGACGGCAAGGCCAGCAGCCCCGCAGGGACCCCCCCAGAGAAGGCTTGTGGCCACCCCCCTACAGACCGCGCAGAGACGCTTTTGAAATTTCTACTGAAGGGCATTCTGGCCCTAGCAATAGGGCCCGCTGGGGCCCTCGCGGGGCCCGTTCTCACAACCCTCGGAACCCAGCGTCCACTGCCATGGGCAGCTCCGTGCCCGGCTACTGCCAGCCCATCACCACTGTGACGGCTTCTGCCTCCGTGACTGTCGCCGTGCACCCGCCGCCTGTCCCTGGGCCTGGGCGGAACCCCCGAGGGGGACTCTGCCCAGGCTACCCTGAGACTGACCACGGCCTGTTTGAGGACCCCCACGTGCCTTTCCACGTCCGGTGTGAGAGGAGGGATTCGAAGGTGGAAGTCATTGAGCTGCAGGACGTGGAATGCGAGGAGAGGCCCCGGGGAAGCAGCTCCAACTGAGGTGAGTGCCACTGACAAGGGCAGCCAAGGGACCTAGAGCCAGGCAAAGAGGAGGACAAGGTTCTCCTGGGGTTCTCGGCATCCCCGAGGGGCTGTGGCGCTCGGGCACATCCCACGCTGGACCCCAGTGACCTTTTATCCCCAGAGCAAGGCTGATGTGTCCAAGCTTTGTCATCCTTGGGGAACCAGTCCAGCTCCACACTGCTCTCTTCCCCCACTGCTAACCTGCGGAGGGTCGGTGCAGCGCCACAAGGACACAAACAGCACCACCTTTTACCAATATTTGCCAGTCTTTATGGAGGTGCATGCCACAGCGAATTGGTCACATGGGAACGCATCCGTGTAACCAGCCCCCAGATGAAGGGAGAGGTCACAAGCAGCCCCCAGGGACACCTCAGGCCCACACCCCACTCTCGTGATTTCTAATACCAAGGTTACTGCTGCCTGCTTTTGTACTTTATAAATACGGACTTGCACACCTCTTACTCTGTTCAACTTCCTTTTTTGCTTCCTTTTAAAGGGTGATTAAAATCTGAAGCAAAGAGGCCAAAGATTGGAAACCCCCCACCCCCACCTCTTTCCAGAACTGCTTGAAGAGAACTGGTTGGAGTTATGGAAAAGATGCCCTGTGCCAGGACAGCAGTTCATTGTTACTGTAACCGATTGTATTATTTTGTTAAATATTTCTATAAATATTTAAGAGATGTACACATGTGTAATATAGGAAGGAAGGATGTAAAGTGGTATGATCTGGGGCTTCTCCACTCCTGCCCCAGAGTGTGGAGGCCACAGTGGGGCCTCTCCGTATTTGTGCATTGGGCTCCGTGCCACAACCAAGCTTCATTAGTCTTAAATTTCAGCATATGTTGCTGCTGCTTAAATATTGTATAATTTACTTGTATAATTCTATGCAAATATTGCTTATGTAATAGGATTATTTTGTAAAGGTTTCTGTTTAAAATATTTTAAATTTGCATATCACAACCCTGTGGTAGTATGAAATGTTACTGTTAACTTTCAAACACGCTATGCGTGATAATTTTTTTGTTTAATGAGCAGATATGAAGAAAGCACGTTAATCCTGGTGGCTTCTCTAGGTGTCGTTGTGTGCGGTCCTCTTGTTTGGCTGTGCGTGTGAACACGTGTGTGAGTTCACCATGTACTGTACTGTGATTTTTTTTTTGTCTTGTTTTGTTTCTCTACACTGTCTGTAACCTGTAGTAGGCTCTGACCTAGTCAGGCTGGAAGCGTCAGGATATCTTTTCTTCGTGCTGGTGAGGGCTGGCCCTAAACATCCACCTAATCCTTTCAAATCAGCCCGGCAAAAGCTAGACTCTCCTCGTGTCTACGGCATCTCTTATGATCATTGGCTGCCATCCAGGACCCCAATTTGTGCTTCAGGGGGATAATCTCCTTCTCTCGGATCATTGTGATGGATGCTGGAACCTCAGGGTATGGAGCTCACATCAGTTCATCATGGTGGGTGTTAGAGAATTCGGTGACATGCCTAGTGCTGAGCCTTGGCTGGGCCATGAGAGTCTGTATACTCTAAAAAGCATGCAGCATGGTGCCCCTCTTCTGACCAACACACACACGACCCCTCCCCCAACACCCCCAAATTCAAGAGTGGATGTGGCCCTGTCACAGGTAGAAAAACCTATTTAGTTAATTCTTTCTTGGCCCACAGTCTCCCAGAAATGATGTTTTGAGTCCCTATAGTTTAAACTCCCTCTCTTAAATGGAGCAGCTGGTTGAGGCTTTCTAGATCTGTTTGCATCTTCTTTAAAACTAAGTGGTGAGCATGCATTGTGGTGTAGAGGCAGGCATTATGTAGGATAAGAGCTCCGGGGGGATTCTTCATGCACCAGTGTTTAGGGTACGTGCTTCCTAAGTAAATCCAAACATTGTCTCCATCCTCCCCGTCATTAGTGCTCTTTCAATGTGATGTGGGAAAGCAGGAGGATGGACACACCCCACTGAAAGATGTAGGCAGGGGCAGGTCTCTCAACCAGGCATATTTTTAAAAGTTGCTTCTGTACTGGTTCTCTTCTTTTGCTCTGAGGTGTGGGCTCCCTCATCTCGTAACCAGAGACCAGCACATGTCAGGGAAGCACCCAGTGTCGGCTCCCCATCCAAATCCACACCAGCACCTTGTTACAGACAAGAAGTCAGAGGAAAGGGCGGGGTCCCTGCAGGGCTGAAGCCTAAGCTACTGTGAGGCGCTCACGAGTGGCAGCTCCTGTTACTCCCTTTTAAATTACCTGGGAAATCTTAACAGAAAGGTAATGGGCCCCCAGAAATACCCACAGCATAGTGACCTCAGACCCTGATACTCACCACAAAACTTTTAAGATGCTGATTGGGAGCCGCTTGTGGCTGCTGGGTGTGTGTGTGTGTGTGTGCGTGCGTGCGTGTGTGTGTGTCTCTGCTGGGGACCCTGGCCACCCCCCTGCTGCTGTCTTGGTGCCTGTCACCCACATGGTCTGCCATCCTAACACCCAGCTCTGCTCAGAAAACGTCCTGCGTGGAGGAGGGATGATGCAGAATTCTGAAGTCGACTTCCCTCTGGCTCCTGGCGTGCCCTCGCTCCCTTCCTGAGCCCAGCTCGTGTTGCGCCGGAGGCTGCGCGGCCCCTGATTTCTGCATGGTGTAGAACTTTCTCCAATAGTCACATTGGCAAAGGGAGAACTGGGGTGGGCGGGGGGTGGGGCTGGCAGGGAATTAGAATTTCTCTCTCTCTTTTAATAGTTTTATTTTGTCTGTCCTGTTTGTTCATTTGGATGTTTTAATTTTTAAAAAAAAAAAAACTTTGCTGATATTTATAATTTTGTATCATAAGAATGTTTTCCTCTACAGTATTTGTCATGCCAGTTTATAACAAAAAAAAATGCAGGGATTTTATTTCTATTGGAAACATTACAGCTATGTTTTACTTTTGGACAGAATTTTTATTTGTATAGAGTGCTTACTAATGTTAAATAGTTCAGAGTATATAACATTTACATTAAGGACTCATGGTAGGTTTTAGGGTAAGGAGTTTAAAGGAAATAAATATTCAAACTGGGTCTCATTGCCAATTTTGGTGGAAATGAGTTTGTGTCATTTCAATTACAAAGATAAAAGTATGCCATATAATTTATTTATATGAAGATTTATTTTTGTAGTGTACATAGTAGTCATCAAGTCTTTTGACAGAAGTATATTTTTAAAGAATTTATATGTGATGAATCCATAATGTCTGGAACTTTGCTGAGACATGAGTGGGCACAGTTTTCATTGTAAATTACAGCAAGGAAAGAAAATGTTTAACAGTGTTAAGAGAGTCAGAGCAGAGTGGATATTCATGCGATTATGAAGTGTTTATTAGTTACCATTGGCGACCTAGCATGCTTCTCATTTCAAACCTTGGAAGGTGAAAATGTACAAACTCTCTAAATAATTAATGTTCAAACACTGATAGAAATTCTAACATGAATAAAAAATAATATAACTTGTTGGTTATATCTTTGTTTGTAGAATGCTTTTTTTCTTTAAAATACTTGGGAGAGACAGTTAGTGTTGGAGCCATCAGAAACTGTTGTTTCATCTTGCTGACCTTGTGACACTCTTCTTTTTTGCTCTATCTGATGGAGAGAGTTTTAGGTTTTCCTCCTTTTTGTTTTGTATAAATAGTGGGTATAAGCATAGCTCTGTTACATGGATGTATTACAAAGTGGGGGCTGAGCTTTTAGTGTGATCATCACCCAAATAGTGTACATTGTACCCATTAATTAATTTCTTATCACCTGACCCTATTTTTGTTTTCTCATACCAAGAAACTTCCTAAGTTAACCATCAAAATTAGTCCTTCTGTCATCTCTCTTAGCATACTTATTTCCCTTATGTGATGCCTAATAATGAGGGAACATAAATAAAGCCAAATTCAAAGATGATTATCATCAGTGAAGGTGTCATACTTCTAAACAGTGTCAAAGATAATATGGAATTGATTGAACCTGATACAGAACAGTTTTTGAGTGTTTCCTGGTAAGCAATGATTTCATCATAGGCATGGAGAAAAATATGGCCAGGAATATCATGTCCATGTTACAGCTGTGTAAGCAAGGAGTGGTGGGGCTGAACTCAAGGCCCACACTGCTGTGCACATGGGCAAGTTGCAGAGGGGTCAGTGAGCCACAGCCGGCTGGCCATGTCCTGTTGCACAGGTTCATGAGGAGAGAGTCGTGCCTGTTGCCGCACATGTTGTTGATGGCTGTTTTTCTGCTGCAACGGCAGAGTTCAGTAGCTGCAACACAGACTATGGTCTGCAGAGACTATGATATTTACTATCTGGCCGTAAGACACCTGCCAATCCATCTCTAGACAAGGTAACATAGGCCAGTGCTAGTCAAGTGTGGTCCACGAATCAGCCTGCCTTGGAAGCTTGCTAGAAAAACCGAATCCAACACCACCTAACTCAGAATCTTGGAGTGAGGTCCAGGAATCTGCTTTAACGATCTGTCCTGGTGGTTGTGATGCACCAGCGGAGGCGATCCCGAAATTCCAGCTGAGTGTGGCCAGGTTCTATCATTTGGCTTCGGCTCCTGGGCCAGTGCGGGCCGGATCTGGAAATGGCACAGAGATACCGACTCCACTGTGTGGTCCTTTCACAAAACACATGCTCCTCTGTGGGTGAGCCCAGGCCAGGAGCTTGACTGTTACGTCTGGGAGTCCAGAGTGAGGAACTCCCTTCTTAGTGCTCACCCCACAGTGAGGGAGGACCTGGAAGGAGAGTGTGGGCCCCTTTCCTAGAGGGGAGGGGGAGCCACGCCGGGCCCTTCCACGGAGAGGGCTCCCTGTCACCCACTTGACTGGCTTGGGCAAGTCTCTTAAAACCCCAGAGCCTGTGTGTCCTCATCTGTAAATTAAAGAGATAAATATCCCTTGAAAACTTCTGAAGGGTGGCAGCAGTGATGCTGGTGACGAGGTCTGGATCTCAGGGGCTGGCCGGAGTCGTCTGAGTGAGAATTGGACAGCCCCATCCTGAGGACCCCACTCCAAACCCCAGTTCAATCACCAGCTCTGCCTCAGGGTTCCCATCTTGAAGATGACAAGGGCTCCCCATAGAAACAATGGGCGCTGCTATGGGAATAGTTCATGTTTACTGAGCCCCTCTTGGGAGGCATTTGAGGTAGCACAGTAAATTCTGACCAAGGAATAAGATGTTCAGGTAATACACTGTCCTCCTTAATACTACACATAACAGCTAATTTGGCTCATTTAAGCCACAGAGAATATGTTCTCCCTGAATCTGAGTACGGGAAATAGTAATTGCATTAATTGGAATTCAGATTGGGACATGCTTTCCCCAAGACACGTTTAATACCACCAAAATGACCATTTGCTACCATCCAATTTTATATTCCTTATAAATGACACATAGCTAACTAGCTAACTTAGTTTTTAACCATGTTGGCCTAGGGAGAAGTTTTTAATCAGATTTGTGTCCCCAAATCCACCATATTTATTCAGGACTTAGGTCAACACAGAGCTCCATTTTTTTTTTGGCACAACAGATGTATGTAACAGCTTTGTGAAAGCTGCGTCCTGCTACGTTTCGGCAGCAGCACGTTGATGTAAAGGCAGGTGTTTCATTTTTGATAACTGGTAACCGACCTCCCAAAAGGAGAAGTGGAGATGGTCTATTAATCATCCGAGATGAGTATTTGCCAAGTTTTAATTACTTTTAATGAAGGCTGCGCATAATGAGAACATGCCTTGAACATGAATCTGTTTCATCCTTTGCACTGTCGTGACGGAGGGCATGTCAGGTACCATTTTCTGCAAGGGTTCCCTGCCAGGAAATTCCAACGACTGCCACCATAAGGATCTGGAAGGGATATTCTGGCGTGTCAGGAACACGCTGGGCCTCAGGAAGGATGAACTATAGAGATGACCCAAATCAAACTTGGTGCACATGGGAAGCACATACAGAAAGCGTGCACTTTCTACACCATGAGGTGGCATGTGTATCATAGATTCCTGCCCGCTCTCAGGGAGGTCCCTTTTCAGGGAGGCAAAAGGAACAGGGCCCTTCAGGTGAGAGGCTGTAGAGAGAACCAATTTTGTCAAGACAGTGTTTGCCCTGAGAATGAGTCGTCCCTCTGCAAGCAGTGCCACCCTGCAGAGACAGCCACAGCCACATCCACAGTGGTAGCACCATCACGCAAGCAGGTCTCACAGGTGACCCTGGAACAGCATGGGTTTGCAGTACATGGGTCTACTTATACATGCATTTTCTTCCCCCTCTGCCAATCCTGAGACAGCAAGACCAACTCCTCTGCCTTCCCTCCTCCCCCTCCCTGTTTTTCTTCCTTCTCTCACTTTCCTCCTCCTCCTCTTCTCCCTCCTCCCCCCTTCTCCCTCCTCCCCCCTTCTCCCTCCTTCCCCTCCCCCTCCTCCACCTACTCAACATGGAGACAACGAGGATGAAGACCTTTGTGATGCTCCACTTCCACCTAATGAATAGTAAATATGTTTTATCACCTCCTTATGAGTTTCTTCATAACATTTTCTTTTATCTAGTTTACTCTACTTTAAGAATAAGTATGTAATACATGTAATATACAAAGCGTGTGTTAGTCACCGTGTTATGGGTAAAGCTTCAGGTCAGCAGTAGGCTACCCGTCTTTGAGTAGCGTTGGTCTTTGAGTCAGAAGTTATACATGAATTTCCAACTGCTAGGGGATCAGCACCTCTAATTCCCATGTTATTCAAGGGTCCACAGTGCATCCCACTTTCCTGGAGAGTGTTGTCTTAATTTTTCTGCTTCCCATCCACAGGGCTTGAGGCTGAAGATATAGGAATGTGATGTAAGCTACCAACAAGGCAAATTTCGTGTGCTTGCTTTCAAAGAAGAAAGCAAGCACACGAAATACCTAAGTCAACACACCATCTCTCAGGATAAACACTCTCTTGACAAAATTATTTCTCTCTACAACCTCTCACCAGAAGGGCCCTGTTCCTTTTGCCCCCGCAAAAGGGAATTTCCACAGAGTAGGCAGGAACCAGTGATAATAACACCACCTCGAGATGCAGAAAGGACAACAGCTTGTATTGTTATGGAGAGGGGGAAGGTAGATAATAACCTGTTATACTCTTATAAGGAAAAAAATCCTGTAGTGGGAGAGGGATTGATGAGCAAGTTCTAACTGGTGAGTTATTATGTAATAATGAGGAGTGCAGCATGAAGCCCAAGTCAAGATGCCAAAGAACCCTCTTGGTAATTATAGACCTCCATCAGCAGCAGTGGTCGGTGGACTTGTGTTGAGAGCCTATTTTGCAGTAAGAGGAGAGGAGAAGCAAGACAAGGCAGGAATGGAGACCACCAGCAGGCTCTCTGCTGCGGTTTAAGAGTGAGAGCAGAACTATCCGTCGGTGAGGACTGGGTCAGACATCCAGAAAGTGAGGCCAATACTGGGGAAAAGACCAACCTACCACCAAAATTAGGAAAAGGCCATTGAAATTAGGGAAGAGGTATGAAAAATGATAAAATGGAAGGGTGCCAAGAAACAAAGACCTTCTCCTTCAAAAAAAATCCATGGACTGCAAGAGCAGTGGCCAGCCCCAATCCTTGTATTGTGACCGTGCCGTGTCGACAGGCATACTCGGCCCTTTTGTCAATAGATGCTTTTGCTTTTCCCACACAGCTTCCACTTACATGGCGGCATGGTAGGTTACCATGAATCATAGAAGCTCGTCATGAATCATGGAAGCTCGTCATGAATAAGCTGTAAGAGACCTTTGCCATCTTGTATCCAGGAAGCCTGGAGAAGTGATATGACATGTCCAGTGTTAGCCAACAGCCCCAGCCCTTGGGTCAGCTTGAGAACCTGGATCTCTGGAGTCCAGTCCTATGTTTTTCTCTCTTAGTGTCCTCATCTTTTTCCCTGTTTGTTTCATGTTGCTAATTCCAATATTATGGTGACTGCTGTCTACACAACGACTCTAGCAAGAGTTTCCAAGCCTCTCAGCCATCCTTGTGTGTGTGCAGCATCATGCAGATGGTATATGTTTGCTCTAAAGGCAAACAGCTGCAGTGGAGGAAGCAATTAGCAAATTTCTGAATTATCCTTCTGATTCCACTTAAATTCCAAAAGCTAATTGGCCAAAATGTTCCTCCTTAATTAGAAGCAATTAATATGTGAAACCAGGTTTGCATTTCACAAGAGAGTGTGCATTTCACAATTGAAATTGCATAGTTCATTTACCAATGGTCTCTAATGGTCTGTAATCATAAGGCACACACAATTAAGGTGGGATTTTCAAAGTGTAAGTACGGAAGGAAGCCTGAATATATGAATTATTCTTCTGCTGCTGAGAATCCACTTTGGGCTGTAAAGTATCCACTTTGGGCTGTAAAACATACTTCATGCATGCACACGGTTGCCCAAACACATCCACATGCATAGGCAGTCCTGACCTGTCACCTTTGACCCCTTCTGAATTCCCTCCTCTCTACTCTCGCTCCCTCTCCCTAAGGCTTGTCCTCTCTCCCTGACTCCACCAAGACACTCCCCCTCAGCAGCAATGCCAATAGAAATCTGTCCATGATAAAAACACTGATGGTTGGACCCCATCTTGGGTAGCAGTAATACCGATAACCAAAGCCACCGTTTCCTGCTTAATATGTGCCATGCTATAGCTTCTCTCACTAGATGAACCCAATAAATAAGATGTTGGCAGAGACTAGAAATGAGCAGGAAAGAGCGCGAAGATGCAGGAGGAAATACAAAAGATGAGAAAGACATGGGGCAGGGCAGCGAGGATGAGAAATAAAGAATTATGGAGGTGAACTCAGAAGAACAGAGGAAAGGGCCACACTTGAGTTAGAAGAAGTCAGAAGAATTGAGGCAAGGGCAGGCATTTCTCACTACACCACCCAAGTGATTTTAATGAGAAAGGCGGTGTTCTAAAGTGAAAGTAGAAAGATGGATCATTAAAAAGCAGCGTCTTTGTTTTATGTACTGATGTTTTCCACTATTTCCTTTTCATTGTCCAAAATCAGAGCATGATAGATGTGTTTAGAGTAGGGTCCACAAACTATAGCCCACAGGCCAAATCTGGACCCAACTTGTTTTGGTAAATAAAGTTTGCGCAACACAGCTCTGCCTATTTATTTATGTCTCGTCTAGGCCTGCTTTTGAGCTATAATGGCAGAGTTAAGTGATTGCAACAGAAACCGCATGGCCTATAAAGCCTAAAACATTTGCTATCAAGTCCTTTAAAGAAAGAGTTTGCCATCCCTGATCTGGAGCGTGGTATCTCCACATCAAACCAAATAGGCACTTTTAGCCACTGTACAGACAGGCGCTGCTATTTCTTGATATTCCTCAAACATACCAGGCACTGTTCGGCCTCAGGGCATGCACTTATTCTTTCCTGCACCTGTAATATCAGTCTCCCAGACAGACACGTGGTTCATTCCCTTATGAAATTCAGGTCTTTGTAGAAATATCATCTTTTCATTGGGACCCTGCCTGACCACCCAGTTTAAAGTTGCAAATCCAGGGAGGGCGCACCTGTAATCCCAGCACTTTGGGAGGCCAAGGCGGGTGGATCACGAGGTCAGGAGATCGAGACCATCCTGGCTAACACGGTGAAACCCCATCTCTACCAAAAATACAAAAAATTAGCCAGGCATTGTGGCAGGTGCCTGTAGTCCCAGCTACTCGGGAGGCTGAGGCAGGAGAATGGCGTGAACCCGGGAGGCAGAGCTTGCATTGAGCCGAGATCGCGCCACTGCACTACAGCCTGGGCGACAGAGCGAGACTTCTTCTCAAAAAAAAAAAAAAAAAAAGTTGCAAATCCAATCCCCACCCCACTCAACACATCCCCTCTTCCTTTACTACTTAATTTTCTCCACAGCATTTACCAGTATCTAACATCCTTTATATTTTGCCAATGTATTTGTTTCTCTTTCTTATGCTGCTAGAATAATGTCAGCTCTTGGAAGACAGGGATTTTTTACTATTGTATCCACTACTTATTCCCAAAATCTAGAAGAGAGCCTGGAACATAGTACTCTCAGTTTAGGACAGTATTTGTTATTTTTAAAAATGAGCCCTACAATGCATCTGCAGTATTATTCCTATTTCACAGATGAGAAAGCTAAATTCTATGAGGTTAAATGACTTCCCAGAGATCGCAGTGCTAGTAAGGGGGAAAGGCAGCCATGGATTCCTGAGTTTGCAGGCTAAAGGATCGCGATGGGAACGGTTTCCAGAGCTACTGGTTTCTTCCACTGCTTGCTCATGCTGAAGCTAGCTCAGAGCATAGCACCCTGCCTAGCCCCAGGCACCATGCTAAGTTCTGTGCAGGCTAAAATGATGAATATGACAGTTCCTGACAAAAAGAACCTTAAACTTCTTTAAGTTTCAGTATCGAACTCCTGGGCTCAAGTGATCCTCCTGCCTCGGCCTCCCAAAGTGTTGGGATTACAGGAGTGAGCCACCACGCCCAGCCTACGATGCATTATTTTTAAGAAGGAGTATATTAGGTACAATGAGGCTCAAAGGGATGGATAGATCAGAAAAGATGTCCTGGAAGACGTGGCATTTGAATTTGGCCTTGAAAGCTAGGATTTCAGCAGATAGAAATTGTGGGAAGGGCATTATCAAAAGGAAGGAAGAGCTTGAGCTGAGTCCCAGAGGTTAAGACAGTAGAGGTGGCGTGGCGCGGTGGCTTGCTCCTGTAATCCCAGCACTTTGGGACCGAGGCAGGTGGATCACCTAAGGTCAGGAGTTTGAGGCCAGCCTGATCAACATGGTGAAACCCCGTCTCTACTAAAATACAAAAATTAGCCAGGCATGGTGGCACGCACCTCTAATCCCTGCTACTTGGGAGGCTGAGACAGGAGAATCGCTTGAACCTCGGAGATGGAGGTTGCAGTGAGCCGAGATCGTACCACTGCACTCCAGCTTGAGTGACAGAGAGAGACTTTGTCTCAATAAAATAAAATAAAATAAAATAAAATAAAGTAGAGCTGTGTCTGAAAAACAAACAGCCCATTTTGCAGGAAGAGATGCCACCCATGAGCTGTGGTTCTGAGTGTGGTTCTAGGACTGACAGTTTCAGTGCCAAGTGAGAAATTGCTAGACATGCAAACACATAGGCCCCGTCCCAGCCCCACTAAGTCGGAATTTCTGGGTTGGAGGCCCAGAAATCTGGGTTTCAATTAGCCTTCCAGGAGATTCTTAATCTTCTGAAAGTTAAGAAGTGCCCATGTAAGGTGCACTGGAAGAAGGTGACATTGAATGCTAAACTGAAGACAATGGCCGTTATCTGTTTGCAAAGCAGTGACACCCTCTCGAAGACTGTTGAACAGATACGTGATTGTACTTGTGATTTAGAGCTCCACCAGATGGATGAGAAGTGCAGAAAGAGAACGTTGAAGTGGGAAGATCATAGAAACTTTTTATATTGGTTGCAAAATGGAAACAAAGAAGCAACCTGTTATTCTTCATAAACATGTTTCCCAACATCCACTCACTATTCAGGTCCCCATAACCTAATTTCCTTCTAGAAGAACCATCCCATTTCCCACTCTCAGTCTGTTTGGTTCAGACAGTGCTACCTTCATCGCAGGGTCCAGGGTTGTTCATGTGACTCAGACAGTCCAATAAGAGTATCACATTCTCTTGGCCAACGTTATTGGTTTGAGGATAAGAGCATGGACCAATCAGAATGTGTTACATGTTGTGAAGCTTTGTCTGAAACATAGAATGTGCTTTTCCATGGGTCTTTAATCTAAAAATCTGTAGCCTTAAGGGAATTGAGGGTGGGGGCCTTTTCTGAGAAAGGAGCGAATACAGCAGAAAACAGATTAAATGAAGGAAGAGGAAGAAGTCAACTCTGATTACATCATTTGAACCCCGGGTCAAGCTGTACCCAAAGCTAAATCTATTTCTGCTAAACTTTCCTTTCTAACAGGCCTTTGTGCTCAGGGCAATTGGAATGAGATTTTTTGTCTTGATTGACCCAAACTCAGTCATGGCTCTGGACTTCAGATAAGGGAGTCACAGACTCGTAAGATGTTTGCAGGCTTTGGACTATGATTCAGAGAAGAGAGGGAAAGTCAAGGGCAATTGACAGTGTTGCAGGATGGATTCCATGAGAAGCAGACTGTGAGAGGGAGCGTTGTGTGCGCGAAGAGCACACGGGGGTGGTCCCAAGTCAGCGCCTGTGGGGGAGTGAAGAAGCAGCACTGCGCAGTGGAGGAAGTCAAATTGTCATGCGGCTGAGGCTATGCGGAGCTGAGATGCCCTTTGGAGTTGGCTCAGGTTAGGGCAAGGAGGCCAGAGCCTCATGCCCTCACATTGACCCGTCATTGTATGCAGGTGGCCACCAGGAGACATGATCTTGGGCCACACGTTTCTCTTCCATACAGTGCAACTCTCAAAGAAGGATTCAACTGAGCCATCGGCCAGCGCACTCCCGCAGCCGGAGGACAGAGTGCTGAGTCAGGGTGTGGGTGGAGGGGCAGGGCGCTCAGGACCGCCAGGTTCCCAGCGGGGTGAGCAGCTGTGAGGAGACTGAGCCCTGCAGCTGGAATGAGGAAGTGGGAGGAGCAGATGGCATCAGAGAGAGGACAGATTTCGTTTTGAGCTGGTGGCATTTAAACGCTGGAGAAGGTGTCGACCTGGGATCAATGGGAATAGAAACCACGGTTGATGAACCCTGGCCCAAAGAGAGCGCAGACAGAGACAGTGGGGAGCTCAGAGCTCAGGGAGTGGAGGGAAGAAAATCTGGAGCCCATAGGCCGGGCGCGGTGGCTCACGCCTGTAATTCCAGCACTTTGGGAGGCCGAGGCTGGCGGATCACGAGGTCAGGAGATCCAGACCATCCTGGCTAACACGGTGAAACCCCGTCTCTACTAAAAATACAAAAAGAAATTAGCCGGGCGTGGTGGCAGGCGCCTGTAGTCCCAGCTACTTGGGAGGCTGAGGCAGGAGAATGGCGTGAACCTGGGAGGCGGAGCTTGCAGCGAGCAGTGCTCGAGCCACTGCACTCCAGCCTGGACGACAGAGAGAAAGAAAGAAAAGAGGAAGGAAGGAAGGAAGGAAGGAAGGGAAGGGGAAGGGAAGGAGGGAGGGTGGAAGGGAGGGAGGGAAGGGAGAAAATTTGGAGCCCATGAAGGGGAGGGAAGGAGTAGCTAAAGAGGCAGCAGAAACCAGGCCGTGTTGCCAGATGATAACAATATAAATAGCAAATGCTTATAGACTCTTGACTGTGTGCCAAACAGTATTTACTGTAGAACGTTGTTCTACATTCTTAGCTCGTATTATTTCTTCATAGGAAACAAAGGAGGTGACGGCCAGTGAGTGGGGTGGGTAATCTGCTGATGAGCAGTTAAATCAGGGAAGTTAAATTAGCAGTTAAATTAGGGAAGCATCTGGACTCTGCATGTAAGGTAGATATTTTAAAAGTCATCAAAAAGGAGTTTGTGTGTTTGCTGAAGAATTGTGTCCCCACTCTCTTCATTGCTGTTCTTTTAACAGCTTTATTGGGATATCATTCACATACCATACAATTCACCCATGTAAAGTATATTATAATTCAATCGTTTTTATATTCACAGAGTTGTGGAACCATCACCATAGGCAATCTTAGGACAATTTTGTTACCTTCAAAAGTAACTCCATACCCTTTAGCACTCACTCCCCCCCCACTCCCCCCCCACACCCCCCCCGCCCCGTCTGCCACAACCGGTGCCTGTTCACCTGTGCAACCCTAGGCAATCATGAATCTACTTTCTGCCCTGCTCTGGATGTTTCCTATGAATGCAGTCTTATAGTATGCAATCTCTTTGTGTCTGGTTTCTTTCACTTAGCATAATGTTTTTTCCAGTTTCATCCATGTGATAGCATAAATCAACACTTCATTCCTTTTTATGTCCAAATAATATTCCATTGTATGGCTATCCACATTTTGTTTATCTTTTATCAGTTGATGAACGTGTGGATGATGTCTGCCTTTTGACTATTATGAATAATGCTGCCGTGAACATTTGTGCACAGGTTTTTTCAAACACTTGTTTTCCATTTTCTTAGGTGTACACCTAGGAGTGGAGTTGCTGGGTCTCTGTTTGGCTTTTTAAGGAGCCACCAAACTCTTTTCTGCAGTGGCTGCACCATTTTATCTTATCACCAGCAGTGTAAGAGTGTTCTGATTTCCCCATGTCCTCACCAATATGTGTGATTATCTGAATGTTCATTCTAGCCATCCTAATAGGGATGAGGTAGCATCCCAATGTGATTTTTTGGGTTCCGTGTAGATTAGACTGAACTTCTTGCCCATGCTGACATTAAACTCACATGCAAAGAGATGGACACACACACATCTCACATGGGGAAACAAGCTCAGGGGGGCGAACCAGGGTAGTCCCTTGGGAACGTCCAGCTCTGAAAGAGGAGAGAGGCACACAGGAAGAATAGGAGTGCTTGGCATCTGAAAGCACAGGGCGAGAATAAAGCCAAGCACCGACCATCCTAAGGAATGACCCGACCCTTGACCTTCCACTTCAGCAGTGCGAAGATATTCTCCATTTTGTTTTTGAAGTGGCCATGGATTTAGTCCACCCCATGTTCCACCCCCGCCCATCACCACCTGTTCTGAGGGCTGGGGTGAGGAAGGAAGGAGCAGGATGGGTCCTTTGAGCCCAATTAACACACACATTTTGCTTCCAAAGCTTATTGTGCACCTTATGCCAAGATTTGAGTAGGACTCAACTTAACCAGTATATGTAAAAGTCTTCTTAGAACTTGGAGAAAACAGATGATGCATAATGCTGTGTCGCAGATTATTAAATAATACTAACAGGCAGATCAGGGGCAGGCTTCAGGAAGGGGTAAGCACAGCCTAGAAATTCAGAGGCAGGAAGGATCACTGTGGGCTGGCAGGGCCATTTTGATATTTCTGTGGCAGGAGGGACTGGTTTCTGAGATGACCTTTCTGGCAGGGCTGTAGTCACCTGCCAACCTAAGAATGAAAGTTTAGGAGAGGATGAGAGCAGAGATAGTGTCCAAAATAGATTTGACGTCTTTGCCAAGGACTGTGCTTTACATTTATTCTCTATGTAACTTTTAGAGCAGGCCTGTGTGCCAGACATGAAGTGCCAATTTGCAGTCGAAGAAGCTGAGGCTCAGAGAGGGTATCAGGTAGGGTTCAACCAGAGAAGCAGAGCCAATAGAAGAGATGAGAAATAGATAGACAGACAGACATATAGATGATAGATAGATAGATGATAGATAGATAGTTAGATAACAGATGATAGAAGATTGATAGATGATAGATAATAGATGATTGATAGATGATAGATGATAGATGACTGATAGACAACAGATAGATGATAGATGATTGATAGATGATATATAATAGATCATTGATAGATGATAGACTGATAGATGATAGATGATTGATAGACGATAGATAGACAGATAGATAGATAGATGAAAGATAGGTGATAGATAATAGAGGGATAGATAGATAGATAGATAGATAGATAGATAGATAGATAGATGATAGATAAATAGATAGATTAATTACCAAAAACACTGGCTTATGCAAGTCTGGGGTTGTCCTCAGGACAGACAGTCAGGAAGGGGAGATCATGAGCAGGCTGGAGCCCCATAGGCATGAGCTGAAGCCTCTTATTCATATACCATCTCTAAACATAGGAAAGCCTATACCTTATTTTAAAGGTCTTCAAACTGATTAGGTCAGGCTCACCTATAATAACCTCGTTTTTGATCAGCTTGAAGGGGATTGATCTGGGACTTTCATCACATCTGTAAAATACCTTCACAGCAGTACCCACATTAGTGCTTGAGGGAATACCTGGGAGAAGGTGCATGCATGCTACAAAATGGCCACTGCTTCCCTTCTATCCTCCAATTCTCCAAAAAGAAAATCTCTTGTAGCCCACCCTAACCAGAAACATACTCAAAAGAGAATGCTGGGGTCTGTAGCTGAGCCTAGCCCAGGCAACACATCAGAAGCTGTCACCATCACAGATCACAGACAGGTTAAGGAACTCTGTTGGTCAGGATTCCATTACAGGGAACAGATTTCACTCTCCCTAGTTTAAGCAAAAATATTTATTACAAGGTAATGAATGGTTTACAGAATTATTGAGAAGGCTGGAGGGAAAACTGTGGGATGAGCTTTCAGAAGCAATGCCAATACCACAGAGGCAGACCACCAAGAGGGTTTCTGCCTCTTTTAAGATCAAGAAGCCACCAGTCAAACTGGAAAGTCCTTGACAACTCCTGAACCAAGCCACCAAAACCATGCTTCCCAGGAGAAATACCAGTAACAACACAAAAATGGCCTCGTACTCATTTCTGCGTTCTGCTTTCTCTGACCACACCAAATGTGTAGGACCTAAACACTAGGTCCTAACCCCTAGCTGCAAGGGAGTCTGGAAAATGTTTTCAGTTTCTCATCTCTGAGATACAAGATGAATGGACATAGAGTACCAATCCACGGCAGTAATATACTCAAGATCCTTCTGCCATGAAGGAGCAAAGTCAGGATTCAAACCCAGGTCGTGCTCTTGACCCCCAGAGTGCACTTCATCCCACGATCTGGAATGGCCTTTCTTCCCTTGCCACATTGGGGGCTTGTCTCAGTCTGTTTGCACTGCTATAACAAAATACCACAAACTGGGTAGCTTCTAAACAAAGACATTCATTTCTCACGGTTCTGGAGGCTCAGAAGTCCAAGATCAAGGTGCCGGCAGGTTCAGTGTCTGGTGAGGGCCTGCTTCCTGACTCATAGATGGCCCCCTCTCAATGCACCTTTGTAAGGTGGATGGGGCAAGGCAGCTCTTCAGGGCCTCTTTTATGAGGGCACTAATCTCATTCATGAGGCCCTCCCAAAGGTCTTACCTCCCAATACCATCACACTGGTGATTAGGCTTAACATGTGATCTGGGGGGACACAACTCACATCATAGCAGGCCTCTTTCTTGCAAGTATTTCTGGTCTCTTCTAAGTATACATTTACTGGCTATATCCACAGTTTCCATTCTTGTCATCAGCTGCAGAATATTCTGAAACAGTCCATACGGGAGGAAATGAAAATGATCAGTTTTTGTCTCCAGCCCATCTGCATCACCTCAGGATTGGGAAGGCTGCAGTGTGTACAATCCACTTTTCTTCCCGAGCCAGCCATGTTAAAATGCTTCTGTTTATGGATGTCTACAAAGCAGTGACTGGGCAATTCAGTCCAGTGGTCTCAGGAACCCCTGGAAACGTAGGAGGCACTTGGAAAAAAACAAAACAAAATCTATGGCCATGATAATAGAAAGTACCTGTAGTGAAAACCCTGCCTTCCTCGGGTCTTTTCTTTGTGTCCTAGTCTATCAGCCCCACACCCCAAAATTCCTAAATAAGCCCCAGTGAACAAACTTGGGCAGCTTCTGGGCAGGCACATGAGTGCCGCAGCACGGCGTTCTCGAAGGAGCTGCGACAGCCATGGAGGGCCAGTTCCTGAATGAAGAAAGACCTGCATGAGTCAGTGATGCTCCTTCACACCGGGAGGAACCTGGAAATAAACAGTTTAAAGGCTCTCAAGGGAACCAAATTCACATTCCGGGCAAATGTCCCTGTATTAGTCAGTTCTCGCACTGCTATAAAGAACTATGTGAGACCGGGTAATTTAGGAAGAAAGAAAAACTTCTTTCTTCATAAAGAAAAACTTGACTCACTGTTCCACAGACTGAACAGGAGGCATGGCTGGGGAGGCCTCAGGAAACTTACGATCATGGTGGAAGGGGAGGCACATCTTCACATGGCTGGAGAAGGAGAAAGAAAGCAAAGGGGAAAGTGCCACACACTTTTAAAAACTAGATCTCATGAGAACCCACTACCATGAAAACGGCAAGGGAGAAATCTGTCCCCATGATCCAATCACCTCCCACCAGGCCCTTCCTCCAACATGGGGGATTACAGTTCAACATGAGATTTGGGCAGGGACACAGATCCAAACCATATCCATCCCTAATAGCAAAGTTTCAGGTACATGGTGCAGAACTCCAAAATTTATAAATCCAAACAAATGGATTTTTCCGACACAATTGTACAACTTCTTTGCAGGGAAGCATTCACACAGTAAACCTTTCTTTTAAGGAAATAACCTTTCCTCAGGTGGTTCATTATGTAAACACTGCACATTTGTATTCAACTGTATACACCTAAGGGTGGCATAGCAAAACCTGTGTACATATTTATTTGTGACAATTTATCTGGAAGATTAGAAAAATCCTTGTGGGTCTGCAGAGACCATATATTTACTGACACTGAAAAATGTTCATGACCTACTATCAATGAAAACGTTAATTACCCAAAAATGTAGGCACATTATAATCCTGTTTCTGAAAAAAAAAAAAAATGTATCTTTATATAAGAGTAGAGGCAGGCCCGGCACGGAGGCTCATGCCCGTAATCCCAGCATTTTGGGAGGCCTAGACAGGTGGATCACTTGAGGTCAGGACTTTGAGACCAGCCTGGACAACATGGTGAAACCCCGTCTCTACTAAAAATACAAAAATTAGTTGGGTGTGGTGGCACACACCTGCAGTCCCAGCTACTTGGGAGGCTGAGGTGGGAGAATTGCCTGAACCTAGGAGGCAGAGCTTGTAGTAAGCCGAGATGGTGAAACTGTACTCCAGCCTAGGTGACACAGCAAGACTGTATAAAAAAAAAAAACAGAAAATGTACATTTTTATTATATTATTATAGTATTCATACAGATGAAATTTAATATTGATTATTGATATCAACTTTATATTATTGAATAATTATAATTATTACTTAATATGTCATATATTATTCATTACATTATTTCCTTATATGATTTTAAAAAATTGTTTTAAATTACTTTTAAAATTTGTTGTGGGTACATAGTAGGTGTATATATTTATGGGGTATATTTGGTGTTTTGATACCAGCATGCAATGTGAAATAAGTACACCATGAAGAATGGGCTATCCATCCCCTGAACATTTATACTTTGAGTTGCAAACCAATTAACACTCTTTAAGTATTTTTAAATGTACAATTAAGTTATTATTAACTATAGTCACCCTATTGTGCTGTCAAATAGTAGGTCTTACTCATTCTTTCTTACGTTTTGTACTAACCATCCACACCTCCCCTCAGCCCCGCACTCCCCTTCCCAGCCTCTGGTAACCATCCTTCTACTCTCTATGTCCATGAGTTCAACAGATTTGATTTCTGGATCCCACTAATAAATGAGAACATGCGATGTTTGTCTTTCTGTGCCTGGCCTTTTTCACTTAACATAATGACCTCCAGTTCTGATATGACTGTTTTGTGGGATTTATACTTTGCATGTATTTTTTGTTTGTTTGTTTTTTGAGAGGGAATTTCACTGTCACCCAGGCTGGAGTGCAATGGTGCAATCTGGGCTCACTGTAACCTCCGCCTCCCAGGTTCAAGCCATTCTCCTGCCTCAGCCTCCCTGGTAGTTCGGATTACAGGCGTGCGCCACCATGCCTGGCTAATTTTTGTATTTTTAGTAGAGACGGGGTTTCACCATGTTGGCCAGGCTGGTCTCGAACTCCTGACCTCAAGTGATCCGCCCGCCTCGGCCTCCGAAAGTGCTGGGATTACAGGCTGAGCCACTGCGCATGTGTATCACAGAGCCGTGTATCAGTATTTTTAAGTTAGTCCGTCAAAAACAACCTTGATTTGCACGAGACACATGTTAAAGAGATTTTGTGATTGTCCTTTCTCCCTTGCTTTCCTCGTCTGGCTCCTGGCTGCCCCTTGGGCCGGCGCCTCTCGCTCGCTCTATTCCTTCTCCCCGCGGCTGCCTCGTGCCGGCCGCACCTTCTCGCCGCGGACCGGAGCCGGGGCAGGAGCCGGGGCAGGAACCCGGGCAGAAGCCGGGGCAGGAACCAGGACAGGAAGCGGGGCAGGAACCAGGACAGGAAGCAGGGCAGGAGCCCCGCAGGAGCCAGGTGTCTGAGCCCCGCCCCGCCGCGGGGGAGAGGCCTCCGGGAGCCGGGGCCGCCCAGAGCCGCAGCCGCCGCGCAGGCAGGGCCGGGCCGGGCCGGGTGCGCGGGCACAAAGGGGCCGCTGCACATGGCAGGCAGGCGAGCAGATGCCAGCAGACAGCTTTTGTGAGTCCCTTCATGTTAATTAACTTTTGTGAGAACCTTCATGTTAATTAACTTTGCTTGAGCTTTCCCTAGACTTGAAAGCTCTGGAGTGGTTTGTTTTTGTAAAATGCTTTGACTCCAGGGAAAGCCGCTTCAAGGGGGAAAAAAGGAGAAACAAAAAGAAAGAAAGGGAAAATTTTTAAGTGGGGCTTTGCTTACCAGCAAATTTCTTCCCCTTGGCTCCGTCTCCCCCTCCCCCACAAGCAGGGACTCAACCATCAGAGAGAATTTTAATGGCCTTTTTCTTACCCTAAAACATAAACCCGAAGCAGACCTCCCCGTGGCAGTGGGGGCTCGGCTGGCCGCATCGGGGACAGGGAACAGGTGTGTGCAGGCAGGGCCGCCTGTGTTTCTAAGGAAGCAAATCAAAGTGTGAAGGGCCCTGGACTAATGTACTCCCAGTTTAGAGAAATGGGGACATGGAGCTAGATTTGTGGGGGCCAGTTCTGATAAGTAACAAATGTGCTCACCCACAGAGTCTCAGGGCCCCAGGGTGAGATGCAGGGGGTGGGTCTGCTGCTTCCAAGACTTCTTCCTGGGACAGGACCGGTTGTTAAAGTTTAACCGAGGCCAAGTAAAAAGAGACAGTGCTGGAAAGTGGAAGATCTAGCCAGCCACCCAGCTGTTTATTAATATAAAGGCGGCACAGCATCAAACCACTGACTCAAACCACTGACTCACCTCTTCTTCCCCCAACATCTTATGAAAATTTTTGAACAAACGGAAAAAGTTGAAAGAATTATGCAATTAATACCCATATACCCACCACTTACTTTCTGTAATTAATATTTTGCTATATTTGCTTTTATCACGCGTATGACCACCTGTCTGTCCCCATCTTACCTGTCCACCAAGTCGTCTTATTTTTAAGAATTTCAAGTTGCTAACATCAGTATTCTTCAATCTTTAACACTTCAGCATGTAGTTATCTAACTCTAGTTAGATAACTAGAGTTCAATCTTCGTTTATCGCTCATGGATTTTTTTCTTTTTCTTTTTTTTTTTTTTTTTTTGAGAGGGAGTCTCGCTCTGTCGCCCAGGCTTGAGTGCAGTGGCGCGATCTCGACTCACTGCAAGCTCAGCCTTCCAGGTTCACGCCATTCTCCTGCCTCAGCCTCCCGAGTAGCTGGGACTACAGGCGCCTGCCACCACACCCGGCTAATTTTTGGTATTTTTTAGTAGAGACGGGGTTTCACCACGTTAGCCAGGATGGTCTCAATTTCTTGACCTCGTGATCCGCCCGCCTTGGCCTCCCAAAGTGCTGGGATTACAGGCGTGAGCCACCGCGCGCGGCGGCTCATGGATTTTTTAAGGTAAAACGTACATACAGTAGAATGCACAAATAAGAGGAAATTTGATGAGTTTTCACAATGCATACAGTTTGCTTTTTCTTTTTACTTTTAATTTTTTTTTTTTTTTTTTTTTTTTTTTTTTTTTGAGATGGAGTCTCGCTCTGTCGCCCAGACTGGAGTGCAGTAGCACAATCTCGGCACACTGCAAGCTCCGCCTCCCAGGTTCACCCCATTCTCCTGCCTCAGCCTCCTGAGTAGCTGGGACTACAAACTCCCGCCACCACGCCCGGCTAATTTTTTGTATTTTTAGTAGAGATGGGGTTTCACCGTGTTAGCCAGGATGGTCTCCATCTCCTGACCTCGTGATCCGCCAGCCTCGGCCTCCCAAAGTGCTGGGATTACAGGCGTGAGCCACCGCGCCCGGCCACTTTACTTTTAATTTGAAGTAATTTCGCACTTGCCAAAAAGTTGCAAGCACAATCCACAGATCTCTTATTTGCTCTTTACCCAGATTCCCACTTTTTTAACAAGTTGCAAGTAAGTTGCATACATCATATACCTTTATTTCTTAATAATTCCATATTTTCTAAGGACAAGGCTATTCTCTGATTTAGAAAATTTGATTTTGATATAACACTTTTATTTAAACTACTGTCCATATTCCAATTTTGACAACTGCCCCAGTAATTTTCTTTATAACATTTTCCTCCAATACAAGTTCCAGTCCTTTGCGAACTATGGTTTCAGCTTTACTAAATCTCTTTCATCTTGTTTAATGCTTTTTGGCTTAAATGCTACTTTGTCTTAAACTGTCATAACAATCCCTGAATTCTTATTGTTTCTATTAACCTGGTAAATTTTTGTTTTTATTCCTTATTTTTTACTCGTTTTGAATCACTGTGTTTTAGATGTGTCTTTTGATCACAGCATAGACTTCGGTTTTGCTGTATGAGGCAACTGTTCTGTTTTGTTTTGTTTTGTTGAAACACAGTCTTGCTCTGTTGCCCAGGCTGAAGTGCAGTGGCATGATCTCAGCTCACTGCAATTTTTGCCTCCCAGGTTCAAGCGATTCTTGGGCCTCAGCCTCCTGAGTAGCTGGGATTACAGGTGTGTGCCACCACGCCCAGCTAATTTTTGTATTTTTAGTAGAGGCAGGGTTTCGATGTATTGACCAGGCTGGTCTCGAACTCCTGACTTCAAGAGATCCACCTACCTTGGCCTCCCAAAGTGTTGGGATTATAGGCATGAGCCACCGTCCCTGGCCCTATATGAACCAATTTGAAAATCTTATCATAAATAGGTCAATTAAGTCTACGCACATTTAATGTGACATGTTTAATCTCGACTCTGTCATATTACTTCATGTTATAGTTTGGTGTATATTTTATACTATTTATTGTGCTTCTTTCTCTATTTAGTATGTCATTCATATTAATTTTTTTTGAGACAGAGTCTCGCTCTGTTGCCCAGGCTGGAGTGCATTGGTGCCATCTCGGCTCACTGCAACCTCTGCCTCCTGGGTTCAAGTGATTCTCCTGCCTCAGCCTCCCAAGTAGCTGGGACAACAGGCACACACCACCACACCTGGCTAATTTTTCTTGTATTTTTAGTAGAGACGGGGTTTCAGTATGTTGGTCAGGCTGGTCTCGACCTCCTGACCTCAGGTGATCTACCTGCCTTGGCCTCCCAAAGTGCTGGGATTACAGGCGTTAGCCAACACGCCCAGCCATTCATGTTAATTTTTAAGGTTTCTTTTGGTATTTAAGAATATTTTTGTTCTAGTTATTACCTTTGTTTTCATATATTTTATGTTATGGTTTCCCTAACTCCTTTTCTTTCTTTACTTAATCTTTTATGATCTAACCTGTCAGTAGTGTCTTCTGATTCCCACATATTACAACTGGCAGTGATCTTATTCAGCCTTCCCCCTCCTCCTGTTCCTATCTCCTCTCACTTTTACTGGTATTCTTCCTCTCTGCCAGAATGTATCACCATTATATGTTTTCCACCCATGTTCTCTCCCTTGTTTTACTCCTGGCTCTGCAATTAAACATATTAAGTACTGGTTATTTTGCTGAAGTTTCCTCTATGATCACTTAAGGTTGGATGAAGTCTACTCTCCAGTGTATTCTTCAGGAAGAGCATTAGCACACTGTTCCATGGATAGCTTGGATGGATATTAAATCTGTGACTGGCACTTTCTTTCCTTGAGTCCATGAAAATGCTGCTTCACTCCTGCCTGACCTTTTCTGTGGCTGTGAGAAGCCTGATACCCTGCCTGATTTTCTTTCCTGTAAGTAACTGGATCTTTTTGCCTGGAGGCTCTGATGATTTCTTTCCTTTGTCTTTAAAGTCTAATCATTTTACCAGGATATGTCTTAGAGTTAATTGTCTGTTGTCAATTTTCTCATTTACACAGTAAGTTTGCTCTATATGTAGAATGAATTTTTTTTCATTTCCAGAAAGTTATCTTAGAATATAAACTTAAATATTAGCTCTGTTCCAATATTTTGCTTTCCTCTTTAGAGAGCACAATTATTCATATGTTGGACCTTCTCTGTCTGCCTTCCATTTCAACCACTTTCTCTCTGACTCTAACTTCTTTACCTCATTTTAAATCTCTTGGTCATTTGCCTACTTTTCTTCAGTATCCCTTATTAAATTTTTGTTGAATTCTGTTTTCCATTGGGACTTATAATTTGTTCTTCATTTCTGAAATAATTCTTTTTCTTTCGATATGTTTTTTGAGATTAGTCAATTTGTGTGGTATTTCTTCCTGTTTTATGTCCATTTCTATTCTTGGTTTTCTAAAAATTATGATTCTAACATTTTAAAAAAATCCATCTTCATGTATTTGGTTTAGGATATTTAACTGAGTTTGGAGAGTTGTGTAAAGTTTTATTCTACTTTCTGAATTTTTTTTTTCTTTTGAGGCAGGGTCTCACTCTGTCACCCAGGCTGGAGTGCAGTGGCACAAACATGGCTCACTGCAGCCTCAACCTCCCAGACTCACACAGTTCTCCTACTTCAGCCTCCCGAGTAGCTGGGACCATGAGTGTGAACCACCATGCCTGGATAATTTTTTAAAATTTTTTGTAGAGATGGGGGTATCACTATGTTGCCCAGGATATGAATTTTTTTTAGAAAACACTTTCATCAGTCAAACATTACAATTAACACTTTCTGTTTTCTTCTTACATTTGCTTTATAGGAAGTCAGTTTGATTTTTTTCTATCTCTGGGTGTTTTGTCAGGAGGGTTCCTAGTTGAGTGTCGTCTTAAGATAGTTTAATTGAAGTGCAATTTATTTAATGGAAAATATTGTTGGCAGTTGTGGTGGTGATGGTGGTAAAGAAAGGGGACTGACAGATGCAGTGGTCAGCTGGTAAATGTTTAACAGCCAGATCTCCAAGAAAAAGTAGCCTGATTGGTAGCATTTGCCATGACACGTGTACTCCCACTACAGCTGATTTTAACCTACCAATGGGGTGTCACCGAACACAGAGTTGTGAAGAGATGATAATAACCAGTCCTCGTGAGCCGTTATGTTTACCGCACATTTTATTTCTCCTTTAATGTGCCCGTCTCACTTCCTTCTTCTCCGTCATGGCAGCATCTTCAAGGGCGAATCCCTTCTCTATTCTTTCCCAGCAGCACTGCTTCTTCATGGCTGTGGTTTCCAGTGCCGTTCACTGCAAGCCCCCATGCTGTAACTGTGGCTTTCCACTACTATGTCCCAGACATGTGTTCAATACTTAGACACTTACTGTTGGGCTTTTCCGGGGTGAATTTGCCTGTGCTTCATCTGTATCTTCTACTTCCCTGTCTCATTTTTTTATGGGCCTCTGAAAGCCCCTTCTCCATACTCTCAGCATCCACAGGCTTGTAGGTGGATGGTAGGACTCTCCTGGGATTTGGTATTTATTTCTCTATCTACAAGTAATTTGAAGACCATGGTATTCTCTGCCACTAATAATGCTAAAGGCATGATTCACGTGTAGTTTTGGGGGTGTTTTTGTTTTTGTTTTTTTAAGAGACAGGGTCTCACTCTGTCACCCAGGCTGGAGTGCAGTGGTGCAATCATAGCTCACTACAGCCTTGAACTCCTGGGATCAAGCCATTCTGCCTCAGCCTCCCAAGCAGCTGGGACTAAAGGTGCATGCCACCACACCCAGCTAATTTTCTTTCTTTCTTTTTTTAGAAACGGGGTCTCACTATGTTGCCCAGGCTAATCTCGAACTCTTGGCCTCAAGCAGTCCTCCCAGCTCAGCCTATGTATGGTTTTATTGACACTCAATGGTGATTTTATATTTTGAGGGTGGATGTAGAAGAGAGATTTGGATTTAGGCAGCCACCAGTATCTCCCAGCCATCAAAACCCTTCTGGTTTTACTTTTTACTATCAAATTCATTGATTTTTTCAGTTTCATGTTGACCCAGGATGTGAGCTTTTCACTTTATTCCACTTCAAGTGAGATCTAGCCCCTTAGTCTGTGTGCCCCAGTAAGTAAAGCATGGTTTTAATATCCAGTCAGATTGATTAATATGGTGAGTGGTAAATGCCATACCTACAATTCTGGGTCAGTGGGGTTGGTGAATTGATCCAACCAAAACTTCAGGTCAAGTCTCATCCAGCTGTTCCTGTCAGCCTGACCTCAACATATGCCAATTAGGCAGAGATGCTTGGACTTTGATGGCTGTGACAGAAGGAGAGGGAGGGGAATGTGTCAAAATAAGAGCATTTTGAAGCTGTTTTTAATTTTGATGTCTAATAGAATAGGACAAGTCCTCAATTAAAAGCTATTCAGTGTTCCTGTGGCCTCAGTATTCACAAATGCATTTAATCTTCAATTGTTACTTCATCCCATCCCAGTGTGTCCCACTTATTAAAGATTTACTCATCTTTCCGTTTACCACAGTGCCTAGCAAAGATCCATGAGTAAAGTTGCTGATTTGTTAATTAATTTTATTTTACTTTGATTTTATATTGTAAAGCCGTTTTTTTTGAGAACCAACATAGTAAAATCATTGACTCAGCAAAGCACACAGGCTACAACTCCACACGCTCATACACTAGGTCATTCATTCAGTCAGTCAACAAACATTTTGAACACAAGCTCCAGGGACTGTTCTGAGGAATATGGTAATAAGAAAACTAATCTGGCCGGGTGCAGTGGCTCATGCCTGTAATTCCAGCACTTTGGGAGGCCGAGGCGGGCGGATCACCTGAGGTCGGGAGTTCGAAACCAGCCTGATCAACATGGAGAAACCCCACCTCTACTAAAAATACAAAATTAGCTGGGCGTGCTGGTGCATGCCTGTAATCCCAGCTACTTGGGCGGCTGAGGCAGGAGAATCGCTTGAACCTGGAAGGCAGAGGTTGTTGTGAGCCGAGATCGTGCCATTGCACTCTAGCCTGGGCAACAAGAGCAAAACTCCATTAAAAAAAAAAAAAGAGAGAGAGAGAGAAAATGAATCTGACACAGATCCTGCTCTGAGGTACCTGGAATATCGGTTCCTTTCTACCTCCAATTTCTGTTTTAATTCTGTGCCTATACAACACTCAAGCAATTGAATGAAAATTTGAAAATCCAGTTTATTGTTTGCATCTATATATTTTGTCTATAACTTTAGATTTTTGCTAACATTGAAGCAACTTGTGACTTTTATGTATCACTGCCATTGCTATGGTAAAGCACCCACATCTGATTTCATTTCCATTTTCATTTCTCTGTTTTGACACATCATAGGCACCACCACAGTTTCATAGACCTGGAAAAAAAATTCTGCTTTCTAATTGACTTAAAATGGAACACTTTCCATAGAGTACATAAACACTGATAGAGTTTTGAAGTTCATCTATTCATTTCTTCTTAAGAATTTATTGTAAACTTTAGTATGTTGTTTTGATGGAAAGAGATAAATACATCTGCAGAAAGACTATAATATTTTTAAAGACTTTATTCCAAGATTGCCTTCTAGTAATGGAAAAAATCAGACTTCAAACTAACTAGACCTAAGGTAGTTTGGTTTGGTGAGGTAACATTCCAGATGGAAATTCTGAAACTCAAAGAGAGTAACACAAATCAGATGTTCATCCAAGGGATTGAAGATGTGTGTGTGCATGTAAACACAGCCTCTGGATTATCAACCTGTGATTTTCTTACAGAGATTGTCATGCACAGCATGATACAGGCCGCTCTTGGTAAGCAACCTGCTTTGAAGCAATCCATCATGCTTGGCTCCGTAGATCTTGTAATTTTTCTTTACCCGTGATGCATTTACCAACATCCCCTTGAATTATACATAGGACTGCAGACTCGTGCTATGCGCCTCCTGCTTCCTTGGCTGCGTGAGGGAGACCCTGTGTGATTCCCTAGCTTCGTTGAAGGGGAGAAACACTTCAGTGCCCCTCACCTTCAATGTACAGCTACAAAGCTGCCTTGCTTGGGTTATATAAAAGTTTATAAAGAAACACGATGATTAAAGCTGGGGAGGCGGCCGGGTGCGGTGGCTCACGCCTGTAATGCCAGCACTTTGGGAGGCCGAGGCGGGCAGATCACGAGGTCAGGAGATAGAGACCATCTTGGCTAACACGGTGAAACCCCGTCTCTACTAAAAATACAAAAAATTAGCCGGATGTGGTGGCAGGCGCCTGTAGTCCCAGCTACACGGGAGGCTGAGGCAGGAGAATGGCGTGAGCCCACGAGCCTGAGCTTGTAGTGAGCCAAGATCGTGCCACTGCACTCCAGCCTGGGCGACAGAGCGAGACTCTGTCTCAAAAAAAAGATCTCTTAGCATCTAGATTCCCATTGTTTTCACATTCTACTCCAGGTAGCGCTTCTTGATACGTTAAGATTTAATTTAAAATCTTGCAGCCTTCTTGACTGTTTAAGTATTTTCAACATTTCTGACTATTCACTCTGCATCTTTGAGGCTTCTGAAAAGCAAACCTATTTTTCTTTCTCTCCAAAACACACACACACACACACACACACACCACACCCATACACGTATACACACAAATACTCACACCTCACAGTGGCGATCTCTGGCTAGCAGAAATATGATTTGTTTTGTTGGTTTGTTTCGCTTTGCTTGCCTATATTTTGAAATTTTCTTCGCTGTAGCAATATGGTTTCTGTAATAATGAACAGTTTGCCTGTTTGTTTGTTTTAACAATAAACTAAACATCAACATTTAAGTTTGCCTCCCAGGCAAATAAATAAAACACCGTTCTGTATTCTTACCAACACGTGGCATTATCAGAAGTTTCCAATTCTGGAAATCCAATGGGCATATAGGGTTATTCAGAGTGGTGTTAAGTTGCATTTCCTGATTATTAATGAGACAGCCATTGGTGCTTTTGTCTTGCTCTGCGTAAAACCTACCTTGTTTTAATTATTACATTAAAATTTTTAAAAAATAATAAATCCTGATATCTGGTAAGGCAGCTTCTCCAACCTTGGTCTAAATCTACACTATCCAATATGGTGGATACCCTCTACATGTGTTTATTGAGCCCTGGAAGTGCAGAGTGCAGCTAGTTCAAATTGAGACATGTTGCGAATATAAAATACACATCAGATTTTGAAAGTTTAGTACCAAAAAAGAATATTTGCTGATAATTTTTATATTGATTACATGTTGAAATGATATTTTGAATATCCCTGGTTAAGTAAAATATATTATTAAAATTAATTACAATAATTTCCTTTTACTTTTTAAAATGTGGCTACTAGAAAATTTAAAAATGCCTAATGGCTTACATCTTTGGTTCATGTTATATTTCTCTTGGACAGTTCTATTCTAGAACAATCTGATTTTTTAATTTCTTCTTCATTCAAAATTGGTACGTTACTTTTTCTCCTACAAAATTTTCCATTTTGTCTAATCTTTCAAATGTATTAGCATAAAGTTGTTCATAATAATACATTATGATCTTTTAAAATATCTATAGCATTTGTAGTGATGTCTCCCTTTTTATAAGATTCCCAATTTGGGTTATTTGTGGTTTCTCTCTTTTTTCTTGATTAGTCATACCAGAAGTTTGTCAATTATTAATCTCTTTAAAGAACCAACTTTTGACCTTGTTGGTCCTCATTTTATATGTTTGCTTTGTATTTCACTAGCTTCTGCTCCTATATTTATCATTTTCTTTCCATCCTCTTTGTGTTTATTTTGCTGTTTCTTTTTCCAGTTATTGAGATGGAAGTTTGAATTGTTGATTTTCAGACTTTTTCCTATTACATTTTTTTTTTTGACAGGGTCTCACTCTGTTGCCCAGGCTGGAGTATAGTGGTACAATCGTGGCTCACTGCCGCCTTGACCTCCTGGTCTCAGCCTCCCAAGTAGCTGAGACCACAGGTGCACACCACCAGGCCTAGCTAATTTTTTTAAATGTTTTTGAAAGATGAGGTCTTGCCTTGTTGCCCAGGCTGGTCTTGGGGGCTTAAGCAGTCCTCCTGCCTCAGCCTCCCAAAGTGCTGGGATTACAGCTATTCTATGTTTTATATTTCATATGTCTTAATATGTATTATTTCATTTTAGTTCAGTTAAGTATTTTCCAAATTTCATTGTGATTTCTTATTTGACCATAATATATTTAGGGTTGTCTTACATAATTTTCAACCAAGTGGAAATGTTTCCTTTTAATTACTGATTTTACTTTTAATAATTGATTTCTGACATAATTTCATTGTGATCAGAGAACATTCCTCTGTAAAATTTATTGAGACTTGCTTTTTACCTCCAATATATTGTGAATTTTTGTATATTACTTGTTTGCTTGAAAATAGTGTGTATTGTGCAACCGTTGGGGACAGGATCTACACATCATTTAGTTTAGGCTTGTTAATCATACTCAAATCTTCTATATCAACAATTTTTCTTTCAACTACTGAGCAAAGCGTTTTAAAATTTCCCCTATGATTGTGGGTTTATCTATTTCTTATTTTAGGTGTCACTTTTTGTTTAATATATTGAGGTTATACTATTAGGTACATACAAATTTAAATTTATTTTTATTGTGAATCTAGCCTTGTATCATTATGAACTGGCCCTTAAAGAATACATAAGTAATTATGAACAGAATGTTGATGGAAATATGGAGGTAAAAGCCTTTCTGATGTTGTCTCAGACGTAAATGAAGAGTGTTATTGGATGACGGTGGAAAGGCCATCCTTATTATACAGTGGCAAATAACTTGGCTGAATTGTGTTTGTGTCCTAGTGTTTTGTGGAAGGTAGTACTTGCAAGGGATGAAACTGGATATTTTACTGAGGAGATTTCTAAGCAAAATGTCGAAGAAGTGACTTGGTTCCTCCCAGTTGATTGTAGTAAAATGCAAGAAGAGAGAAATGAATTGAAAAAGGAATTGTTGAGCAAAAATGAACCAGAGTTTAAAGATTTGGAAAATTCTCTGTCTGTTCATATGACGAAAAATGAGAAAGTGTGTACTGAAGAGAACACTAAGGGTGTGGTGGACCAACCATTTCATAAAGAGATTAGTGTGGCTGTGTACCATGAACTTAATCAGCCATTTCAACAGAGGCCGGGAATACAGATGGGATTACACCTGCAGAGACACTGCTGGCTGGGACTAAAAAAAACAGAACATGGAATGGAATGAAGGAAGGCCGTGACTTTGTGCTATCATCTAGTAAAAGGGATGAAGGGCCCCGAGGCAATTTGGAGGTCCTCTGCCTCCAATTTGAAGGACTATTGCCCTGGTTTCAATAGTCCAGACAGCTTCCAACCAAAGATGTGGAGGCACAATCTTTGCCTGGTAGAGAAGCTAGGGGTGCAACATCTGGCCAGGAATGCTGCTGGGGTGGGACCTTTACCCTAGTGGCTCCAGAAGGCAGGGCATCAAACCAAGGATTACTCCCAAGCCTTAAGATTTCATGGAGTTTGCTTTGTAGTTTGGACTTGCTTGGGACTGGGTCACCCCTTCCTTCTGTGTTTCTTGCTTTTGGAATGGGAATGCCTATCCTATGCCTGTCCCACCAATGTATTTTGGAAGTATACAACTTGTTTGGTTTCACAGATTCGCAGCTGGAGAGGAATTTTGCCCCAGGATGAATCATAACTCAAGTCTCACTGTACCTAATTTAGAAGATATTTAGAAAAGACTTTGGACTTTAGACATTAGCGTTGTTGCTGGAATGAGTTAAGACTTTGGAGGATGGAATGAATGTACAGATGCTCCTTGACTTAGAATGGGGTTATGTCCCAATAAACCCATTGTAAGTAAAAAAATATATAAGTAAAAATGCATTCAGTACCCTGATAAACCCATGGTAAAGTCAAAAAATCAGAAGATGCTTTTCAACTTACAATGGGGTTATTTATTTCCTGATAGACCCATCGCAAAATTTAAAAATTGTAAGTTGAACCATCATATGTTGAGGACAATGTGTATTTGGCACATGAGAAGGACATGAATTTTGGGGGGCCAGGGGTAGAATGCTATGGACTGAACTTATGTGTCTCCCTAAAATTCGTACGTTATGACCCTAGTTCCTAATGTGATGAGGAAATAAATGTTCATTGTTTAGGCCACCCAGTCTATGGTATTCTTTTTGTATCATCTTGCACTGACTAAGACAGGCATTTATGAAATACAGTTGCTCTGGCACTAAAAGGAACAAATGATATGCAGCAGTAAGGATGGGTGTTAAAAAATATTGTGCTGAGTGAAAAATGCCAGACCCTCCCACAACATATCCTCTACGTAATTCCATTTATATGAAGTTCTATCATTGGCAGGACAAATCTAATGTATGTGATTGAGATCAGATCAGTGGTTGCTTTGGGAGTATGAGGTGGGATTAACTGAGAAGGGGTACAGGGAAACTTTCTAGGGGATAGAAATGCTCCGTATCTTCCTCAAGATATTAATTTGTCAAACCCCATGGAACTCTACAATTAAGACCTGTGCATTTCACTGTATGTAAATGATACCTCAGTAGTGTGGTCTCTATGTGTGTGTATATACATGTGTGCGTGTGTGTGTATCTGTTCTTTGCCCTGCCCCCTTTCCATTCCTGCCCTGAGAAGATAGAAGACCTAGGAAGTAGAGAATGCAGTCCCATAGAAAGGAAGGCAGTCCCAAGGAGGGCCATAAAAGAAGTCCTAGAAGGACCGAGAAGGAGAGTGGAGGGTTCCAGCAGGGACGTCTACAAGAAAATGGTGGCCCAGATGGATGACTTCATGAGGAAGCTGGAGGAAGTTGTGGGAAGTTATACCAGGAAGTTATTAAAAGGTGTGAGAAAGAAAACTAAGGAAAAAGAAAGAAAAGCAATCATTAACATGAGGAGGCAGGGGGCAGTAAGGACAGGGGCATGGTCACAGTACCCTACAGTGCTCGGCTGGGAGTAATATGTACATAGGATAATGTAAACACTATGTGTTATTTAATCCTACAATTTGCAATATAATTATATTGAAGGACTGCTGAGGGAGGGCTGAAGGATGGCTCCTTGACCATCATGTGAAGTTAGTAGTTAAAACGGATGAATCAGAAGAGGTCAGGGTGCACACATTACTTAGAATCAAGAACATGTGAATGCCAGGAAAAAAAATTGCTTAAAAATTATGTGGACTTTAAATTCTATCTACCAGGCCACATTAGTCTTTTCCAGTAACAAAGTTGAACCCTCTAAGGAGATTTCTAGGGCAGTTTGAAAAAGACCCAAAGCTGTTTACTAATGTAGTTTATTAATTAAAGTGGCCCTGGAGTCACACACCACAGGTACTACAATTTGTCATGACATTTGGCCCTCCATGTCCAAGGGTTCCACATACACGGATTCAACAAACCTCAGATCAAAATTATTCAAAAAATGAAAATAAAAAATAATAATGCAACCATATGACACCTTCCAGTTGCCTGACTGCCTCTTCACCTTTCCCATGGGAACTCCAGCGTCTCCTTTGCTCAAAACGGACCCCAACAGCTCCTGCACCACTGGCGGCTGCTGGCCCTGTGCTGGCTCCTGCAAATGCAAAGAGTGCAAATGCACCTCCTGCAAGAAGATCTGCTCCTGCTGCCCTGTGGGCTGTGCCAAGTGTGCCCAGGGCTGCATCTGCAAAGGGGCAACAGAGAAGTGCAGCTGCTGTGCCTGATGTGGGGACAGCCCTGCTCCCAGATGTAAATGAAGCAACTTGGATACAAACCTGGATTTTTTTTTTCATATGACCCTGAGCCATTTGCTACATTCCTTTTTCTATAAATATGTAAATAACAGTAAAACACTTTTGACTTAAAAAAAAATGCAACAATATGAAGTAATACAAATAAAAATACAGTGTTAACAACTATATACATAGCATTTACATTGTTCTAGGTATTATAAGTCATCTAGAGATGATTTAAAGCATGTGGGACAGTGTGTGTGGGCTATGTGTACATACTGTACCATTTTATGGAAGAGACCTGAGCATCTGCTGCTTTTTAGCATCCACGGGGGTCCTGAGACCAATCCCCTGAAGATACTTAAGGTTGGCAGTACTCATTTATTTGTTTACTTGTTTTCAGAAGTTCAGACTAAAACCAGGTAAGCAAAAATTATTGACGGTAGCTCTGAAGCAAGCAAGAGGGAGGAGCCCTTACCTCCCTGCTGTGGTGTGGCAGGAGTCCCTCTCCTGAAGCCGTTGGCAAGACTAGACCTCTCTCATACATCCCCCACCGCAGCCTCATTATCAGCCAGTCAGTTCAATATGATGTTTCCTCAACTCTCAGATCTTCTGTTCCAAAACCCACCAACAATTTAATAACAGCTTTGCAGCTGACAAGCCTACTTTGACCTGAATTGCAAAATGCATCTCAATTTCAGAAATATTAATATGTGGAAAACCATGTATCTCTCCACCAAAGATTCCGTTAAAGGACCCTGGTTTGGGTCTTGTTCCACACCTCCCATCTTGGCCTATTGGTGGAGGTATTTTTGTACAGCTGAACAGTGTCCCAGAGTCCCCCGACAGCTCAGGCCTTCATGCTCTTGGCTATACCGAGTGTTGGCTGCCCACAGCTCTCAACTGAATTCCTCTCTGTGATTTGCCTTCAGCTCAAAACAGCCACTTTCCCGAGTTCATGCCCCTTCCCCAGGACAGCTGTGTCCAGTGGGCAATGGGGCAGGGGTACAAAAGCCCCGCCCTCTGAGGGCTCTTTCCACTTCAGACTTGCCCTGGGGTTGTCGGAGGCCTCGTGGAGACTGCCTTGCAGCTCAGCATCTCTCTGCCTCATCCTGCCTCTTTCTCTTCCTTCACAGATGTTGATCCTGGGAGTACCTCAATAAACTTCAGGAGGCAAATCTCAGAGTCAGCTTCCTGAGGTCCCAAATGGGACAAAGTCTCATTTCAGCCTATTGTCGTTCCCTTCATGCCGTAGGCATTTCAGGGGTTCATGACTGACCACCCCGTCCAGTCTCTGTGCAGACATGAACCCATTACACCTGGAGCCCTCCCTGACTTCCTAAGGCCCTGAGCTGGTGCTTTTCTGGGCCAAGCCCATCATGAGGCTTCTGACAGATGAGGTGACCATCCTGCTCTGCTACTGACGTGACATGTGGCTTCGGCAGATTGCTCACGGTCCCTCCGCCTCCAGGTCCTCATCTGTCAAACGGGAGGATTCAGCAGGAGGACTGCGGTGAAGCATTAAGCACAGGCCTGGCACATGGCAGGGGCTCATTCCTTTTTCCTGTATCCCATTCCAGGTCGTCCAGTCTCCCAGTCATCCGCCTGACCTGCTCCTGTCTGAACATCCTACCGCGAGTCAAGGCAAATGGGCTCAGCCGCTGTTCCACTCCACCCAGGCTTGGAGTGGACTCCCCGTGAGCCTGCAGAGGGGCAGGATGCTGAGTAGCAGGCCATGCGGGTGCGCCCGGGGTCTCACCCCAGCCCCAGGGAAGAGGCTGTTTCATTCAGTGAACCAAGAGGTGATGAAGGGGAGAGCTCAAGCGGCCTCCTGTTCCCTTGGGAACTTGAGGGGGTGTCGGGATGTGTTCCCTTTCTGCACTCAGCTGGGAAAGAGCTGGTGGAGAATTTTCCCTTCTGAGCAGAGAGAGAATTCTCTTCACCTCCCCCGCCCCGCCCCCGCCCACTCCCACAGCCACCAGTTCTCTGGGCAACCCTAGTTAGCAGTTTGGGCCTTTCTTTCTGCACACAATTGACCTGGAGGGCCTGAGTCTGGTCCATTCAGAGGCCACATGGAACACTCTGTTTTTGTCACTGCCCTCTCATCTTCTAGAAGCATAACCTTATCCAACAGAAAGAGGCAAAAGCGATTGGGCCCGACCTCTCCCAGTGACAGTGTTTGCACTTCATTCCATGGCACAGCGTCTTCTGTAACTTTAAGATTTAACATTTCAGATTATTTTCCACTGGGGCTCCCATCGATGCTGAGTTCTGGCTACTTTTTTCCCCTGATGCTGAAAGGTTCGATTCTTCCATCTATCCATCAACAAATCACATTGAATGACGGTGCTCAGTGACCCAGGATGCCACTGGAGACAAAACACACTATACATATTTTCTGGTCTCCCTGGAAAATTAGTGCAAACACTTTCATCACTGCGGAGAAGGGAAATATGCGCGGAGCTGTGAAAATCTGCTTTGTTTTTTGTTTTTCTAAGAGGAGATTTCCCCCTCCTTCAAACAGTGAAATTTATATTGTTCTTTGTCTGCAAATTAACCAGTTAAGTAGAATTCCTGTATGTCTCTTTCACTTTCTGCAAGCCAAGGCCCCTCTTTCTCTCCACCCTGTATTCATACATAGTCCAGGATCACCCCCTGTCCCCCTCCAATGCTGCTTGAAATTTCATTCCATTTTCGTCCTGACTTGTTCAAAGTAACATTTAAAATATTTTAATTCAAATTCTTATCTCATCCATCCTGTTTAAGTTCCATTTTAAAGAATCTTCTTTTCTTATGAATGGTCTGTTTTTGATTCAGTGGAAAACTTGGGCTGCTCAACCCTTTCTCTCTCCTGTTAAATTTTCACTTTTATGAAGAGATCAGATGTCACCCTCTGGAAATGGAGCGGGAGGAGACCCAGGAGCTCTGGCCCTCCCTGCAGCCCCGCGTGGTGCTCCCTGTGCAGCCGCTCCCCCTGTTCAGTGGAGAGGACAATTAATCTCCCACTACACAGAAGTGGTGCCTGAATGCACCAAGATGAAAATGTTTGTGTACAGGGTGGTCTATTTAAAACAGTTCCCATATGATGCAATGCAGCTTGACAAGGAAACTCTTTCAGATGACTCACCATTTCACAATAACAATTAGCATTTGAGAATCTTGCATAGAACACCCAGCAGAAGAATATTTTATTGATTTCTTAAGAGTTTCCACACGCTGGCTGGGGCTTCAATCAAGACAACCTATTAAAGACTGATGTCCAATTTCATTTGTATGAGTTCGCAGTAAGGGAGATAAAGTTTAACAGTGCAAAAGAGAAGGACTTAGGAAATGCAGACTTCAAATTCAGATAAGCCATCAGTGGGACCTAGTTTTTCAAAAAACCAATAAAATGTCTGGATGCATTAATGAAGGCATAATATTTCAAATGAAGGAGGTGATAATCAATCACATTATATTCTTTGATGGTCAGGCTATATTTGGAGTATTTTTTAAGTTACAGGCAATGAATTTTAAAATAACCAGAAAGCATCCAAGGTAGACAATCTAAATAATGAAGACTGAAAACTAGATTCTCTAGAAGAACAGGATTCTGCATTAGAATTGGGTTGCAGTCCTAGCAGTCCCTTACCAGCTGTGAGCTTAGGCAAGTTACCTAATCTTGCCTCAATATCCTCATCTACAAAAAAGATGATAATTTTTAAAAACCCATACCATGGGGTTATTCTGAGGGTTAAATAATTCATACATAGTTAGTGGCAGAGTGCCTGGCACATAGCATGTGCTCAATAAATATTAGATATTGTTATTAATGTTGACAACAAAAACAGTGATTATGATACCACCTTATGGTGGTATAGCGTTTTCAGTTTATAAAGTGACTTTATATCATTATGTTTTCTAATGTTCATGTTTAATACGATTTGGTCATTACTATCCTCATTTTTGGAGGAAGAGAACTTTGGGGTCATCTGCCCTGAGAGGGCCTTTCCTTCCTGCTCAGCTTGGCTGGGCACCAGCCTCCTATGCCACCTCCAGGCAGTCCTCACAGCCTGGGGCGCCTCTGGCCCCCAGCAGCTGACCCTCCTCCTGAGGAGGAACCAGCCCTGGAGGGAGGACCCCTGACGATGGATTTGGCCATCTTTGTGATTACAAAGTTTCCAGTCAGCCTCGCCATTCAAATCTCATTGGTCCATCTATGCAAAAAAAAAAAGCAAAACAAAACAAAAAATTGTGTGTATGTGTATGTGTATGCACATACACATCCATGTTCGAAAGAAAATACACCGCAAGGTTAACACTGGTACTCTCTGCGTAATGGATTATAGGTATTTTTAAATCTTTCTTTCTAAGGTGTATTTTCTAATTTAAATTTTTTTTTTCACTGTGGATTTGTATTGCCTGGGAATAAAGAACTAAGAAGTGCTTCACAACAGCATGGGGCTGTTGTGACCGGTTCATTGTAACTAACATTAGAAAGGCCCACAGTTTATAAAAGATGATGAATGGGCAGAACCTGCTAGCATCCATCCAATATCCGTTCTGTCCTTCTCCCTAACCATGGTGATTTTGACAGGGCAGCACTGGGCCGAAAAATTACACACCTTCATTTGCAGCCAGGGGTGGTCACACAGCCCAGTTCTAATGGATAAGATGAGAGCAGAAGTCTCTGAGTGAGAATTTAACTTTATCCTTTTGTTTTTGTTATGATTTTCTTCTACCATATACTTGCAGCAATAGGAAGACTTTATTGTTGTTATTGTTTTGTTGTTATTGTTTTTGAGTTGGAGTCTTGCTCTGTCACCCAGGCTGGAGTGCAGTGGTATGATCTCTGCTCACTGCAACCTCCACCACCCGTATTCAAGCAATTCTCCTGCCTCAGCCTCCCGAGTAGCTGGGATTACAGGCGCCCACCACCAAGCCCAGCTAACTTTTTGTATTTTTAGTAGAGACAGGGTTTCGCCATGTTGGCCAGGCTGGTCTCAAACTCCTGACCTCAAGTGATCTGCCCATCTCGGCCTCCCAAAGTGCTGAGATTACAGACATAAGCCACCACACCTGGCCCAGCAATAGGAAGACTTTGTATGAAGCATGAATTGCAGCATTTTTTTTCTACCTAAGAAAACATTACAGCCCAGGCACGGTGGCTCACGCCTGTAATCCCAACACTTTGGGAGGCCGAGGCAGGCGAATTGCCTGAGGTCAGGAGTTCAAGAGCAGCCTGGCCAACACGGTGAAACCCTGTCTCTATTAAAAATACAAAATTAGCCTGGCATAGTGGTGCATGCCTGTAATCCCAGCTACTCGGGAGGCTGAGGCAGGAGAATCAGTTGAACCGGGGAGGCAGAGTTTGCAGTGAGCCAAGATCATGCCATTGCACTCCAGCCTGGGCCACAAGAGTGAAATTCCATCTCAAAAGAAAAACAAAAGAAGAGAAAGAGAGAGAAAAAAAAGAAAGAGGAAAGAGAGGAGAGAGAAAGAAGAAAGAAAGAAAAGGAGAGAGAGAAAGAAAGAAGGAAAGAAAGAAAGGAAGGAAGAAAAAGAGGAAGAAAGAAAAAGAAAGAAAGAAAGAAAAGAAAAGAAAAAAAAGAAAAGATTACTGCAGAACTGAAGATTGTGCAAACCAGGTGGGAAACACCTGGGACAGCATATGGGCAGGATCCTCAAGAAGGTGCAACTCCCCTTTGCACTCCTCACAAAAATGTGGGGTTGTGGTTAGATTCCAAATCTGGAGGTCTTTTCAATTGATCTAGACCAAGCAATAGAAGTAGACCAAGGAAAGGGAGGCAAGCAAGGTGTGAGTTTTTTCCTCTCCTAAGTTTGGTAATTCTGAATGTCACAAAGGTCCTTTGTTTAAGAATCCTGCATGTTCCAAGCAATTCCTGGAATTTCTTAAATGGCTTCCATTTTCCTGGAGGAGAAGCTCGTAATGGTCTGCTTGGCTCTCTGCCTTTATAGCCTCTACTGGAGCCACTTAACCCGCAATTTGTAGGTTCAGCTGTACCCCCAGGCCTAAGGCCACCCCTGTCCCTAGGTGAGGGAAGATAAGTTCAACCCAGCCTACCCTGCCTCTGTCCTCCCTGGTCACCTGGCTCATCTACAAAAAGCGAAGATTCCCCCTTAGTGTCTGGCAGAGATGCACATTTACTCCTGGGTAGAAGTTAAAAAAACAAAAGATGTATTTGCTTTTTTTAAATCTGCTTGGAAATATAAACAAAGGTGAAATCTTATAAAATAAAGTGTTCCAAAAACACTTGCCCAGGTATCAGCACTCCTAGGTGGTCAAGCCGTTTAATGCGTGGGGACCTTCTGCTTCCAAGTGGTCACAGGAGGCTTAGGGGATCCTTTAGGGTTCATTCTAATTTTCCAGGAAACATCCCATTTAAAGGGAGAAAAAAAACACTTACAAAATTTCCCATGAAGCCTCCACTATACAACACTTAACAGAGAGGCTCTTCCTTTAAAAGCTTGCACATTTTCATACTATCCCATTTTTATTCACACTGGTCAAAACTGTGCTATTTTTTAACTTAAGGAAAGTAATTTGATGAAATTTAACAGCCCTAATGAACTAAGCGGAAGAAAATGCAGAAGGCTTTAACAACAGCAAACCTATTGAAACGAAAGACCCTATACATTGTTCTACTGACAGACTTACCAGCAGAGCAAACCAGATGTAGGTTGCCAAGGGAAGTTCAGCTTGTAAATTGTAAGAAAAGAGTATACTGCCAGGCTCTGCTGGGCTCTGTTATTTCTTCATTAAAATGCACTGTCAATCAGATTGAAAAGAAATGTCTAATTAACACCATAGGGCACCAAAAATTTAGCGTCAGAAACTCAGCTGCTATCCCTTTTTACAACTGTATCTCTCTGAGCAACTCCAGTCCTCTTTCCACCCTTTCCCCACGCCATTGCCCCTCCCCCATATCCTACTTGCTTATGATTAAAAGCATCAGAGAAATTGCAAAATGCATTGCATTACACAATTCCTTCTTTATAGCTGTGAACCCACTAGAACTAAAAGTTTCCAGCAACTTCATTTCTTTTTATGCCTTGTATCCATGCAAGAACCCAAAGACAATGGAACATAATGAAAACCAACAGGTTCCATCCTGAGGTCTCCCCTTTCAAGATGTGGAAGGAGGAGGACAGGTCTAACCTGGAGTAGCCTAGTCCAGGCTCCCCGACTCCCCAACCTGTTTGACTTTGGGGATGTCCCTTCATGCTGATGAGCCTCAGGTTTACCACTCAGAAAACAAGTAAGGACGAAGGGCTCAACCACCTACTTCAAGGATCCATTGAGGCAGGGTGTGTGAAAAGGCTTCGTAATATTTAATGCACCATTAGTACGACTCCAGTCTCAGAAGGGCTGGGTGGAGTCCATATTTTTTTTGTTAATAGGAGGCTGACTGCGTTCTGGTGCTTCTTGAAAGGTCATGGTTCCCAAGGTCTCCCCAGGTCACAGTGGCTGAGTGGAAGCTGAGGATGAACCCAGGGATTTGGGTTTGGGAACGTTCTAGAAGGGAATACAAGGTATTAGTGACTAGAGTCACTAATACCTTGGAGGCTTAGAGCAGAATCCTCCCCCACTCCCTTGCCATCCGGGCACCAAATACTGTTGATTTCTCCATTGTGATGCCTTCTCCACCTCCATACACTCTTTCCACTCTCATCACTTCTAGGGAAACACACTGGTACTCCTACGATGGGATTTGTGGTTGATCTTTACGCTACCCTCACCCTTTTTGTCCCTTCTGCACATGCCTACCAGATTAGTCCTGGTTAAACCCCACTTAGCATATGTCAGGCTCACTGTTTGGAGATTTCGGTGGTTCCATCATGTTCATATACAAAGTCCCTCTTTCTTCACTGGGCATTTTAGGTCCCACAGTGATGCACTGTCTGCTTTGCTGACTCACTCTCTTCTCTTCCATTTTAAGTCCACCTGGTCATTTGAAAGTCTCTTTTTCCGTAAGTGTATGTTTCATAGCCTCTTTTATTTCTTGAAATATATTTCTTCAAATATATTCCAACTGGTCATTGTGCATTCTGTGCATGGGCATTCTTTTTTTAATTATTATTTCAATAGGTTTTTGGGGAACAGGTGGTGTTTGGTTACATGAATAAGTTACTAAGTGGAGATTTCTGAGATTTTGGTGCACCCATCACCCAAGCAGTGTACACTGTACCCAATGTGTAGTATTTTATCCCTCACCCCCTCCTATCCTTTCCCCCAAGTCCCTGAAGTCCACTGCATCATTCTTATGCCTTTGCATCCTCATAGCTTAGCTCCCAATTGTGAGTAAGAACATACGATGTTCGGTTTTCCATTCCTGAGTTACTTCACTTAAAATAATGGTCTCCAATTCCATTCAGGTTGCTGCAAATGCCAATATTTCGTTCCTTTTTATGGCTCAGTAGTCTTCCCTGGTGTATATATACACCACATTTTCTTCATCTACTCGTTGACTGATGGGCATTTGGGCTGGTTCTATATTTTTGCAATTGCGAATTGTGCCGCTATAAACATGAGTATGCAAGTATCTTTTTTGTAAAATGACTTCTTTTCCTCTGAGTAGATACCCGGTAGTGGGATTGCTGGATCAAATGGTAGATCTACTTTTAGTTCTTTAAGGAATCTTCACAGTGTTTACCACAGTGGTTGAATTAGTTTACCTTCCCATCAGCTGTGTAAAAGTGGTTCCCTTTTCACCACATCCATGCCAACATCTATTATTTTTCAATTTTTTTATTATGGCCATTCTTGCAGGAGTAAAGATATCGCATTGTGGATTTGATTTGTGTTTCCCTGATCATTAGTGATATTGAGCATTTTTTCATATGTTTGGTGGCCATTCGTATATGTTCTTTTGAGAATTGTCTATTCATGTCCTTAGCCCACTTTTTGATGAGATTGTTTTTTCTTGCTGATTTGTTTGAGTTCCTTGTAGATTCTGGATATTAGTTCTTTGTCAGATGTATAGATTGCAAAGATTTTCTCCCACTCTGTGGGTTGTTTACTCTGGTGGTTATTTCTTTTGCTGTGCAGAAACTTTTTAGTTTAATTAAGTCCTATCTATTTATCTTTGCTTTAGTTGCATTTACTTTTGGGTTCTTGGTCATGAAGTCTTTGCCTAAGCCAATGTCTAGAAGGGCTTTTTCAATCTTATCTCTTAGAATTTTTATGGTTTCAGGCCTTAGATTTAAGTCTTCAATCCATCTTGAGTTGGCTTTTGTATAAGGTGAGAGATGAGGATCCAGTTTAATTCCTCTACATGTGATTGGCCAATTGTCCCAGCACCATTTGTTGAATAGGGTATCCTTTCCCCACTTTATGTTTTTGTTTGCTTTTTTGAAGACCAGTTGACTGTAAGTATTTGGCTTTATTTCTGGGTTATTCATTCTGTTCCATTGGTCTATATGCCTGTTTTTATACCAGTACCATACTGTTTGGGCAACAGTGTCCTTATAGTATAGTTTGATATCAGGTAATGTGATGTCTCCAGATTTGCTCTTTTTTCTTAGTCTTTGCTTTGGCTATGCAGGCGCTTTTCTGGTTCCACATGAATTTTAGGATTGTTTTTTCTAGTTCTGTGAAGAATGATGGTGGTATTTTGATGGGAAAAGCATTGAATTTGTAGATTGCTTTTGGCAGTATGGTCATTTTTACAATATTGAGTCTACACATCCATGAGCATGGGATGTGTTTCCATTTATTTGTGTCATCTATTATTTCTCTCAACAGTGTTTTGTAGTTTTCCTTGTAGAGGTCTTTCACTTCCTTGGTTAATTATATTCCTAAGTATTTTATTTATTTATTTATTTATTTATTTATTTGCTGCTGTCGTAAAAGAAGTTGAGTTCTTGATTTGATTCTCAGCTTGGTTGTTGTTGGTGTAAGCAGGGCTACTGATTTGTGTACAGTAATTTTGTATCCTGAAACTTTGCTTAGTTCTTCTGCCAGTTCTAGGAGCTTTTTGATGAGTCTTTATGATTTTCTAGGTATACGATCATGTCATCAGCAAACAATGACAGTTTGACTCCTCTTTACCTATTTGGATGCCCTTTATTTATTTCTGTTGTCTGATTGCTGTGGCTAGGACTTCCAGTACTATGTTGAATAGAAGTGGTGAAAGTCGGCATCCTTGTCATGTTCCACTTCTCAGGGGGAATGCTTTCAACTTTTCCCCATTCAGTATAATGTTGGCTGTGGGTTTGTTATAGATGGCTTTTATTACCTTAAGGTGTGTCCTTTCTATGCCTATTTTGCTGAGAGTTTTAATCATAAAGGGATGCTGGATTTTTAAAATGCTTTTTTCTGTGTCTGTTGAGATGCTCATGTGATTTTTGTTTTTAATTTTGTTTATGTGTTGTATCAGATTTATTGACTTGTGGATGTTAAACCATCCCTACATCTCTGGTATGAAATCCACTTGATCATGGTGGATACTTTTTTGATATACTGTTGGATTTGGTTAGCTAGTATTTTGTTGAGGATTTTTGCATCTATGTTCATCAGGGATATTGGTCTGTAGTTTCTTTTTTGTGTGTGTTATGTCCTTTCCTGGTTTTGGTATTAGGGTGATACTGGCTTCATAGGATGATTTAGGGAGGATTCCTTCTTTCTCTGTCTTATGGAATAGTGTCAGTATGATTGGTACCAATTCTTCTTTGAATGTCTGATACAATTCAGCTGTGAATCCATCTGGTCCTGGACTTTTTTTTGTTGGTAACTTTTTAATTTCCATTTTAATCTCGCTGCTTGTTATTGGTCTGTTCAGAGTTTCTATTTCTTCCTGGTTTAATCTAGGAGGGTTGTATATTTCCAGGAATTTATCCATCTCCTCTAGGTTTTCTAGTTTATGTGCATAAAGGAGTTCATAGTAGCCTTGGTCTTTTGTATTTCTGTGGTATTGGTTGTAGTATCTCCCGTTTTGTTTCTAATTCAACTTACTTGGATCTTCTCTCTTCTTTTCTTGGTTAATCTTGATAATGGTATATCAATTTTATTTATCTTTTCAAAGAGCCAGCTTTTTGTTTTACTTATCTTTTGTGTTTTTCTTTGGTTTCAATTCCATTTAGTTCTGCTGTGATCTTGGTTATTTCTTTTCTTCTGCTGGGTTTGATTTGGTTTGTTCTTGTTTCTCTAGCTCCTTGAGGTGTTGACCTTAGATTGTCTGTTTGTGCTCTTTCAGACTTTTTGATGTAGGCATTTAATGCTATGAACTTTCCTCTTAGCACCACCTCTGCTGTATCCCAGAGGTTTTAATAGGTTGTGTCACTATTATCATTCAGTTCAAATAATTTTTTAATTTCTATCTAAATTTCATTGTTGACCCAATGATCATTCAGGAGGAGCAGGTTATTTAATTTCCATGTATTTGCATGGTTTTGAGGGTTCCTTTTGGAGTTGATTTCCAATTCTATTCCACTGTGGTCTGACACAGTACTTGCTATACTTTCAATTTTCTTAAACTTACCGAGACTTGTTTTGTGGTCTATCATATGGTCTAAAATTTTGGAGAATATTCCATGTGCCAATGAATAGAATGCATATTCTGCAGTTGTTGGGTAGAATGTTCTGTAAATATCTCTTAAGTCCATTTGTTCCAGGATATACTTTAAGTCCATTATTTCCTTGTTGACTTTCTGTCGTGATGACTTGTCTAGTACTGTCAGTGGAGTATTGAAGTCCCCACTATTATTGTGTTGCTGTCTATCTCATTTCTTAAGCCTAGTAGTAATTGTTTTGTAAATTTGGGAGCTCCAGTGTTAGGTGCATATATATTTAGGATTGCGGTATTTTCCTGTTGGACCAGTCCTTTTATCATTATATAATGTCCCTCTTTGTCTTTTTTTAAACTGCTGTTGCTTTAAAGTTTGTTTTGTCTGATATAAGAATAGCTACTCCAGCTCACTTTTGGTGTCCATTTGCATGGAATATCTTTTTCCACCCCTTTACCTTAAGTTTATGTGAATCCTTCTGTGTCAGGTGAGTCTCTTGAAAACAGCAGATACTTGGTTGGTGAATTCTTATCCATTCTGCCATTCTGTAACTTTTAAGTGGAGCATTTAGGCTATTTACATTCAATGTTAATATTGAGATGTGAGTTACTATTCTATTCACTGTGCTATTTATTTCCTGAATACCTTGTGGGGTTTTTTTTTTCATAGTATTGTTGTTTTATAGGTCCTGTGATATTTATGCTTTAAGGAGATTCTATTTTGGTGTATTTTGAGGATTTGTTTCAAGACTTAGAGCTCCTTTTAGCAGTTCTTGTAGTTCTGGCTTAGTAGTGGTAAATTCTCTCAGCATTTGTTTGTCTGAAAAAGACTATCTTTTCTTCATTTCTGAAGCTTAATTTCACTGAATACAAAATTCTTGGCTGATAATTGTTTTGTTTAAGGAGTCTAAAGATAGGACCCCAATACCATCTAGCTTATAGGGTTTCTGCTGAGAAATCTGCTATTAACCTGATGGGTTTTCCTTTATAGGTTACCTGATTTTTTTTGCCTCCTAGCTCTTAAGATTCTTTCCTTTGTCTTGACTTTAGATAACCTGATGACTGTGTGCCTAGGCAATGATCGTTTTGCAATGAATTTCCCAGGTGTTCTTTGAGCTTCGTGTATTTGGATGTCTAGATCTCTAGCAAGGCCAGGGAAGCTTTCCTCGATTATTCCCTCAAATATGTTTTCCAAACTTTTAGATTTCTCTTCTTCCTTGGGAATATCAATTATTCTTAGGATTGGTCACTTAACATAATCCCTAATTTCTTGCAGGCTTTGTTGATTTTTTAAAAAATTTATTTTTCTTTGTCTTTGTCAGCTTGGGTTAACTCAAAAGCCTTGTTCTTTAGCTCTGAAGTTCTTTCTTCTATTTATTTGATTCTATCGCTGAGACTTTCCAGTGCATTTTACAATTCTCTGTGTCCTCCATTTCTAGGAGTTGTGATTGTGTTTTATTTATGCTATCTATTTCACTGAAGATTTTTTCATTCATATCCTGTATCATTTTTTAAAATTATTATTTCTTTGAGTTGGACTTCTCCTTTCTCTGGTGCCTCCTTGATTGGCTTAACAGTCAACCTTCTGAATTCTTTTTCTGGCAATTCTGAAATTTTGCCTTGGTTTGGATTCATTGCTGGTGAGCTAGTGTGATCTTTTGGGGATGTTAAGGAATCTTGTTTTGTCATATTACCAGAATTGTTTCTCCAGTTCCTTCTCATTTGAGAAGACTGTTTCAGAGGGAAGATCTGGGGCTCAAGGGCTGCTGTTCAGATTCTTTAATCCCATAGGATGCTCCTTTGATGTGATACTCTCTGCCTTCCCCTAGGGATGGCGCTTCCTGAGAGCCAAACTGCAGTGATTGTTATTTCTCTTCTGGATCTAGCAACCCAGTGGCGCTACCAGGCTCCTGGCTGGTACAGGAGAATGGACAGACCTGATCCATCTTCAGGCCTGTCAGCCATGGATACCAGAACCTGCTCTGGTGGAGGTAGCAGGGGAGCCAAGTGGACTCTGTCAGAGTCCTTGGTTGTATTTTTGTTAAGTGCCCTGGTTTTGTGTTGGTTGGCCCCCAGCCAGGAGGTGGCACTTTCAAGAGTGCATCAGCTGTGGTTGTATAGGGAGGATACAAGCTTGCCCTAGGGTAAGGCAGTGGGCAGGGCCATAGAGCTCCCAAGGGATTATGTCCTTTGCCTTCCACTGCCAGGGCAGGTAGAAAAAGACCATCAGGTGGGGGCAGGGTTAGGTCCGTCTGAGCTGAGACTCTCTCTGGGCAGAGCTTGCTGCAGCTGCTGTGGGGGATGGGGGCATGATTCCCAGGCCAATGGAGTTATGTTTCCAGAGGGATTATGGCTGCCTCTGCTGCGTCATACAGGTCGCCAGGGAAGTGGGGGAAAGCCGGCAGCAGCAGGCCTCATCCCACTCCCCTGTGCACAGGCATTCTGTTTGGTGTCTTTGTTCTCCTGGTTCTGCTGTTTGTTGCTTTGCTGGTGCTCACTCACGATACCTTGTTCTCTCACGTGCTCCGTGACTGCTTTCATCGTGATTCATGTTGGCCATAATATGATCTGAAGGAATTACTTGAGGCCTGGGTTTAAGGTCATTCCCCCAGAGAAGATTTTAGTTTGCACCACCATGGATCTCAGATACTATCAACTCTGGTTCACTTGGAAGTAAGTTCTTGGCTTGAGATTTATCAAGCTACATGGACAGTGTAAACTGGGGCCTCATTTCTTCATAAGTGAAGAACAGCAACCTCCGCTTCCCGAGTTCAAGCAATTCACAAGGGCCTGCCCTGTGGTTACAAATTTCAGGGACTTTTTATTTTTTCCTGTGTAAAAGCCAAAAGAGGACAACTTTTCTTCCAATGCCCCATTGAGGGTCATATGTTTGTCTAGGTCACACATTGAAGGTGTGTTATACAGGACTTAGGTTTATGGTGGGAGAGATCCCCAATGTGACTTCTCTTCTCCCCTGTCACCCTGTGCAACCCTTTAAAACCAACACTCAGGCCAGGCGCAGTGGCTCATGCCTGTAATCCCAGCACTTTGTGGGGGCTGAGGCAGGCAGATAGCTTGAGCCCAGGAGTTCAAGACCAGCCTGGGCAAAAGAGTGAAACCTCATCTCTACAAAAAATACAAAAATTAGCCAGGTGTGGTGGTGCACATCTATAGTCCAAGCTACTTGGGAGGCTGAGGCAGGAGAATCTCTTGAGCCCAGGAAGTCGAGGCTGCAATGAGCTGTGATTGTGCCAATGTACTCCAGTCTGGGCAACAGAGCAAGACAAAAAACCAACTCCACAGGCAATCAGGGAGGGATAAAGGCCCACAGAGCAGCAGCTGGCTTCAGTGCTCATCACTGAATTCATGATTTAAAAAAATTTTATTTAGTACACAATAGATGTACATATTTTGGGGATACATGTGACAATTTGAAACATTCATACAATTTGTAAAGAGCAAATTCATGTAATTAGGATATCCATCACCTTAAATATTTGTCTTTTCTTGGAGCTAGAAACATTTGAGTTATTCTCTTCTAGCTACTTTGAAATATACACTAGATTATGGTAAACTATAGTCACCCTCCTGATCTAGCAAACAGTAGGTCTTATTTCTTCTATCAAACTGCATGTTTGTACCCATTAATTAACCTTCATTCACCACCACTGCCTCTTCCTGGCCTCTGGTAACCACTAATCTACTCTATGAGAGTATATTGAATAGGCACTCCATGAAATCCACTTTCTTTTTTTTTTTTTTTTTTTTTTTTTTGAGACGGAGTCTTACTCTGTGGCCCAGGCTGGAGTGCAGTGGTGTGATCTTGGTTCAGTGCAACTTCTGCCTCCTGGCTCAAGCAATTCTCCTGCCTCAGCCTCCCAAGTAGCTGGGATTATAGCCGTGAGCCACCGTGCCCAGCTAATTTTTGTATTTTTAGTAGAGACAGGGTTTCACCATGTTGGCCAGGCTGGTCTCAAACTCCTGACCTCAGGTGATTCACCTGCCTCGGCCTCCCAAAGTGCTGGGATTACAGGCGTGAGCTGCCATGCCTGGCCAAGACCCACTTTCTTAGCACCCACATATGAGTGAGAACATGTGGCATTTGCCATTCTGTGCCTGACTTATTTCATTTAACATAATGACCTCCAGTTCCATCCATGTTGCTGCAAATGACAGTATTTTATTCTTTTCTATGGCAGAATAATATTCCATATTGTATATATACCACATTTTCTTTATCCATGTATCTGTTGGTGGACACTTAGGTTGATTCCACATCTTGGGTTTCGTGAATAGTGCTGCAGTAAACATCGGGGTGCAGGTATCCCTTTGATGCATGATTTCCTTTCCTTTGGGTAGATACTCAGCAGTGGGATTGCTGGATCATATGGTAGTTCTAGTTTTAGTTTTTTGAAAAACCTCCATACTGTTTTTCATAATGGCTGTACTATCTTATATTCCCACCAACAGGGTACAAAGGTTCACCTTTCTCTGCATCCTCACCAGCATCTGTTATTCCCTGCCCTTTTGATAAAAGCCATTTTAACGGAGGTAAGGTGATCTCTCATTGTGGGTTTGACTTGCATTTTCTGATGATTAGTAATAATGAGCATTTTTCATATACTTGCTGTCTATTTGTATGTCTTATTTTAAGAAATGCCTATTCAGATCTTTTGCCCATTTAATAAATCAGGTTGTTTTTTTTTTTTTTTTTTTTTTTTTTTTTGCTATTGAGTTGTTTGAACTGCTTATATACTCTGGTGATTAATCCCTTGTCAGATGGATTGTTTGCAAATATTTTCTGCCATTCTATGGGTTGTCTCTTCACTTTCTTGATTGTTTCATTTCCTGTGCAGGAGACTTTTAGCTTGCTATACTCCCATTTTTCAATTTTTGCTTTGGTTGCCTATGCTTCTGAGGTCTTACACAAAAAAATCTTTGCCCAGATCAAAGTCCTCGAACATTTCCCTAAGGTTTTCTTATAGTAGTTTCATAGTTTCAGATCTGAGATTTAAATCTTTAATTCATTTTGTTTTGATTTTTGTATATGGTGAGAAATAAGGATCTAGTTTCATTCTTCTACATATGAATATCCAATTTCCCCAGCGCCATTTAAGAGACTGTCCTTTCCCATTGTATGTTCTTGGTAACTTTGTTGAAAATGAGTTTGCTGTAAATGCATGGATTTATCTCTGGGTTCTCTATTCAGTTCCACTGGTCTATATGTCTGTTTTTTATGCCAATACCACGCTGTTTTGGTTATTATAGCTTTGTAGTACGTTTTGAAGTCAGGTAGTGTGATGCTTCCTTTGTTCTTTTTGCCCAGGATTGCTTTGGCTATTCAGGATCTTTTGTGGTTTTTTTATAAATTTTAGGACTGTTTCTTCTATTTCTGTGAAGAATGTCATTGGCATTTTGATAGGAATTACATTGAATCTGTACATTGCTTTGGGTAGAATTGTCAATATTAATTCTTCTGATCCATGAGCATGGATGTCTTTCCATTTGTTTGTGTCCTCTCCAATTTCTTTCATCAGTTTTTGTCATTTTCCTTACAGAGAAATTTCACCTCCTTGGTTAAAGTTATTCCTTGTGTGTGTGTATGTGTGTGTGTGTGTCTATTATAAATGGGATTATTCTCTTGATTTCTCTGTCATATTCTTTGCTATTGGTGTATATAAATGCTACTGATTTTTTTTTTTTTTAGACGGAGTCTGTCTCTGTTGCCAGGCAGATCGTGCAGTGGCGCGATCTAGGCTCACTGCAACCTATGCTTCCCCAATTGAAGTGATTCTCCTGCCTCGGCCTCCTGAGTAGCTGGGACTACAGGCCCACTGCCACCACACCCAGCTAATTTTTGTATTTTTTAAGTAGAGATGGGGTTTTACCATGTTGGCAAGGATGGTCTTGATCTCCTGACCTCATGATCCATCTGCCTCAGCCTCCCAAAGTGCTGGGGTTACAGGCGTGAGCCATCACACCCAGCCTCAGTGATCTTTTTAACGAGTTGTTGAATTCAGTTTACTAGTATTTTGTTGAGGATTTCCCAACCATGTTCATCAGTGATATTGGCTTGTAGTTTTCTTTTTTGGTCTGGTTTTGGTATCAGGGTAATGTTGACCTTACAGAGTGAGTTTGCAGTTATTCCCTCCTGTCCAATTTTTTTTTTTTTTTTTTTTTTTTTTTTTTTTTTTTAGGAGTTTGGTTAGAGTTTGGTTTAGAATTCAGCACTAAAGTCATCAGGTCCTGGGCTTTTCTTTGATGAGAGACATTTTATTACGGCTTTGATCTCCTGATTCATTATTGGTTTGTGGATGTTTTCTATTTCTTCATTGTTCAATTTTGGTAAGTTGTATGTGTCCAGGAATTTATCCATTTTTCTAAGTTCCCTAGAATTTTTAAAAATTTGTTGGCATGTAGTTGTTCATAACAGTCTCTAATGATTCTATTTCTGTGGTCTCAGTTGTGTCTCCTTCTTTGTTTCTAATTTTATTTGGGTCTTCTCTCTTTTTTTCTTAATCTAGCTAAGGGTTTGTTGATTTTGTTTATTTTTTCAAAAAACCAACTTTTCATTTTATTGATCTGTATTTTTAAGTCTCAGTTTCATATATTTCTGCTCTGATCTTTATTATTTATTTCCTTCTACTAATTTAGGGTTTGGTTTTTTCTTTTTTTCTAGTTCCTTATGGCACATTTTAGGTTGTTTATTTAAAGTCTTTCTACTTTTTTGATATAGATATTTATTGCTATAAACTTCCCTCTTAGTACTGCTTTTGCTATATTCAATAGATTTGGTATGTTGTATTTCCTTTGTGATGTAGTTCAATAAATTTTTTAATTTTCTTCTTTATTTCTTTTCTCACCCATAGGTTGTTCAAGAGCATGTTGTTTAGTTTCCATGTGTTTTGTGGTTTTCAAGGTTCTTCTTGCTACTGATTTCTAGTTTTATTCCATTTTTGTTAGAAAAGACACTTGATATGATTTATATTTTTAAAAAATCTGTTGAGACTTGTCACATGGCCTAAGATATGATCTGTTCTGGAGAATGTTCCATGTCCTGATGAAAATAACGTGTATTCTGCAGCATTTGGGTGAAATGGTCTGTAAATGTCGCTTAGGCCTATTTGGTCTGCTATGTAGTTTAACTCTGATGCTTGAATTCATGCTTTTAAGTACTTTTTTGGAATTTGAGGATTTCCCTTACTTTTTGAAAATGTAACTATAAAGTCTTTAAAAAATAAGCATTTTTAGGGATTTTGTAGAGGAATGATTTTCAGGACATCTAGTCTACCTTATTGCTATTACTTCTGTACAAGATTTCTTGGATCATCCAAGTAATCTTTTTGTTTTGCGAGCCTGCCATACACATTGCAGCTTCCTAACCATAGCTCATTATGTCTTGTCTCTTTGGAATGCCATAACCATGTTCACTCACTCTCACCTCGAAGCTTGTCTAAGCATTGTTGTTTTGTTTTGTTTTTTTTGAGATGGAGTTTCACTCTTGTTGCCCAGGTTGGAGTGCAATGGCACGATCTCGACTCACCACAACCTCCACCTCCTGGTTTCAAGCGATTCTCCTGCCTCAGCCTCCCGAGTAGCTGGGATTACAGGCATGTGCCACTGTACCCGGCTGATTTTGTATTTTTAGTAGAGACAGGGTTTCTCCATGTTGGTCAGGCTGGTCTCGAACGCCCGACCTCAGGTGATCCGCCCACCTCGGCCTCCCAGAGTGCTGGGATTACAGGCATGAGCCACTGTGCCCAGCTAGCGTTGTTCTTTTTTAAGGGCTAGATCAAGTCCTGCTTCCTCCATAAAGTCTTTCCCTACAACTTTAGGTTTCCATAGGCGTTCCTGTTATACTTTGTGTAACCCAGTTATCACTTACCTGTGCTGTAATGCTGCTTATCATTTTCTTTAGTCACTACCAGTTTTGAGGGCTTCCTACATGTCAAGCACAGAGTCAAGTACTTTTCATGTATTATACCATTTAACCTTATAAAAACCCTGACAGGTGACTACAGCCAGCACCCAATTTTTTAAATGAGAAAATCCTAGTGTCAGAGAAGTTAAGGAACTTTCCCAAGGTCATATAGCTAGTAAATTAATGGAGGCCAGATTCATATCCAGGACCACTGGATTTCAAATTTCATTCTAATACCCACTAAACAAAACCACATTACACAAAACTAAACGTGTAAGTTTCACATTAAGTTTTCACAGTCATATAGTTTGTTCTCTAAGGGTAGAAAAAATACCTCATACATATTCTCTGCATCCAACACAAAATTATTTTCTCAACAAATATCAATTACTTGTTTATTAATCCGACATGTATTAAACCATCTACTGTGACAGACAGCATGCTAGACTTCATGTTGCAGAAAAAAAGCAGACAAAATCTCTGACCTTGAAGAGTTCAAAAGCCAATAGAGAGTCCTCCTTACCTGCAAGAGATACATTCCAAGACCCCCAGAGGATGCCTGAAACCACACATAGTACCAAACGCTATATATACTAGTTTTTTGGTCTGATAACCAAGAGGACTACCAAGTAACTAGTGGTCAGGCAGCATATGCTGAGTAGATATGCTGGATAAAGAAATGATTCACGTCCTGGGTGGGATGGAGCAGAAAGGGGCAAGATTTCATCATGCTACTCAGAACAGTGCAAAATTTAAAACTTATGAATTCTTTATTTATGGAATTTTCCATTTAATATTTTCAGACCACTGTTGACCACAAGTAACTGAAACTAACTTTCCAAGCAAAAGCATGGATAAGAGGAGACAACTGTAATAGGACTTCCAATTCCACCAAGATGAAGTAGCTCCTTTTCCCCCAGGTCCTCTCCTTTACAACTAAAACCCATGGACATAACACAACAAAATAAAAAAATGCTGACAAAAGAAATCAACCTATATACCTATAATCAACCTATAAGAAATGACCTATATAAATGGAGAGACATACTAATTCATGAATTGGAAGATTCAGTATAGTAAGCATGTCATTTCTTCCCAAATTGATCTACAGATGTAATGAAATTCCTATCAAAATCCCAACAAGGTTTTTTTATAGACAAAGGTAAGTTTATTGTAAAATTTATATGAAAAAAGCGCAGGCCCAAGAATAGCTAAAACAATCTGGATGAAGAAGAAGAAAGTGGGAGAAATCACTCTATTTGATTCATTAATTCAATTTCATTACAACTATTATCAAGTTGGGGAGAAATGACATCTTTACTATACTGAATCTTCCAATTCATAAGTACAGTATGTCTCTCCATTTATTTAGTTCTTCTTTGATTTCTTTCATCAGCATTTTGTAATTTTCAACATACAAATTCTATTCATGTTTTATTAAGTGTATATTCTAGGCATTTCATTTTATTTGGAGCAATTAATTATAAATGACATTGTGTTTTAAATTTTGCTTTCCATATGTTCATCGTTAATATGCAAAATGTGATTGACATTTGTGTATTACTCTTGAATCCAGCAACCTTGCTGAACTCACTTACCAGTTCTAGGAGCTCTTTTTTGGAGATACCTTGGGGTTTTCTGTGTAAACCATCTTGCCATCTGAAAATAGGGACTGTTTTATTTTTTCCTTAAGGCTTACAATAATAGCTGTAGTCATTAGACCATATTATATTGGCAGAGGCATGGATGCAAAGATGATTGGAGCAGAATAGAGAACCCAGAAATAGAGCAACAAAAAAATGCTCATCTGATTTTTTACACAATTACAACAAATGGTGCTGGAGCAACTGGACATTGACCTAAACCACATAAATTACACCAAAAACATAGCTCAAAATGGATGAGGGACTTTAAAACTATAAAACAGTCACTCTAGAAAACAGGTTGGGCTGGATGCAGTGGCTCATACCTGTAATCCCAGCACTTGGAGGCCGAGGAGGGAGGATCACTTGACCCCAGGAGTTCAAGACTAGCCTGGGAAGCATGGCGAAATCCATGGTCTCTACTAAAAATACAATAAATTAGATGGGCGTGGTGGTGCATGCCTATAGTCCTAGCTACTCGGGAGGCTGAGCTGAGAGGATCACCTGATCCCAGGAAGGTCAAAGCTGCAGTGAGCCATGATCACACCACTGCACTTCAGCCTAGGTGACAGAGTGAGACCCTGTCTCAAAAAAAAACAAAAAAGAAAAGAAAACAGATTGGTAGTGCCTTAGAGAACTGAACATGCAACTACGATACGACCCAGCAATAGTTCTCTTGGTGTTTACTAAAGGGAACTTCAGAAGCTTTTCCAAAATTCACATGGAGAAGCAAGCTGCCAAGAACAGCACATGCTAAGGAAAAGAAGAAAATTATAGAAATAAACAGGCAGCATCATTCTGTTTATATAACGTTCAAAAGCAGGCACTAAAGGAGATATGGTTCACAGATACACACACGAGTGGTAGACGTGCAAATCCCTCCAATCACCTCTGGCTGAACGTCCTAAAGGTACCAAGTAGAGTAAAGCGAATCAGATGCTTCCCACTATCGTATTCTGTGCCTGTGAGTCTGAAGCCACCTATAATACTGAGATGTCTCAGGAAGGAAATATTCTTGTAACATGGTTTCACTGATAACTCTTTTAAAATCTGAAATCCTTAATATCTGAAATAATAAAGAATTTCTTTCCATATTATGACATACAGTGCATACCCATTGGCTGGTGATAAAACTATTACAGAAATAAGATATAAATTGCTTGAAAAGGTGTTTGGAATTTTGTAAGATAAAAAGTATTTCAGTCTCCTATTTCTTTGTAACTTACAAATTAAGAATTAAAAGATATTCATTCCAACATGCAAATAGCACTCTTCATACTAGAATAATCTACAGTTGAAATGCAGAAGTCAGTCCTAAATTAAAGGTATGGTTTTACTTTTAATACTTTCTTTCTGAAAATCAGGCATGTTTAAGTTAATTTAAAATTATTTTGAGAAAAAAGGAGTCACTATCTTCATTACAAATATTTGTGATCATGCATCCTTTAGCGAAGTAATAATGAATGGTTGGACTTCTTTAGGCATGAAGACAGTCTAAGCTTAGGGCCTAGACCTTATTTCCTTCCAACACAAAAATGGCAGTCTGAGTAAATTAACCTAAGTAGTGACACAGGAAACAAATCATGCCCAATTCCCAACCTCGAACCCAACAACTTGCTTCCAACAGTTAATGGTCTTCCTTATCACTCTTATTAGGGCACGACAGATTCCATCTAACAGATCTGCAATTACCATAGTTCCTTTTCTTTTAATCCAGTATTTAAACCATTCAATGATTTCCAGTTTCACAGAATCCATATCTACCTAAGCCTAAGTGGACAAAGTATAATTCAGCGAACAATTCCCATCTGCAGGAAAACTAACCATATAAAACATGTTTTCGGAAACACTTGTCCCCATTACATGGTTAGGAAGCAAAATTCAACAAGTAGTCATTGACAATTTTGCCTCTTTCATAAACCACACTTTGAGATGTATAAAAGTATTGCTAATTTCAAATAAGAGAAGAAGCCAAGTCTAATTAATTTTTTCCTCAGAAAATCTGAAATCTTACCATATGTTTAAAATGGACTTATTATTCAGCACTCTTTTAATGTTTTTGTTTTTTTAGGAGATGGGCTCTCAGTATGTTGCTCAGGCTGCTCTGGAGCTCCTGAGCTCAAGGGCAATGTTCCCACCTCTGCTCCCAAGTATGCACTCATTTATGTAAAGGTTGGTGTTGATAAAACACATATTGACCAAGCCCCTTAATAAGACGGTTGAAACACAATTAAGATAAGTAGGTTTAAACCAATCACATTTTCTCAGTGCTGCCACCATTGACATTTTGGGCCTGACAATTCCTTGTTGCAGGGGCCTGACCTGTGCCTTCCCGCCTTCTACCCCCTCAATGCCAGGAGCCCCCTCACAAGTTGTGACAACCACACATGTCCCCAGACATTGCTCAAATCCCCTCAGCAGCAAAACCGCCTCAGCTGAGCAGCTCTTGTTTAAACACACACCCATTTTTAGAACTGAGTTTGGATTACAGTTTTTGAACATTCATCTTGTCTCTGGGTTAAAGATGAATGTTACCAATATAAAGGAGATTTGTGTGGCTGATAGAGAAACACTCAGGAGTTACTATCATGTGAAGAAAGCAAGTCATATAATACAGTCAGCATAATTCCACTTATGTGAAAACAAACGTAAAAGTTATTTCCATATATAAAGGCAAAGAAGACTACAAGAATCTGCACAGCCCACTGATATCAGGTTACTTCTGAGGAGGCTTTTGAGGTTAGGGGGAGACTGCTGTGCTTGGACTGTTGGATTTTTTTTTTTAGAAACTGTATTGATGTATTAATTGTGTAATTAAAATAATAAAGGAAAGAAAGGTCTTGGAGCTTTAAAGTTAAACAGACTCTCAGTCCTAGCTAGTGACCTTAGGGTAATTTTATTTATTTTTATATTGTTATTATTATTATTATTATTATTATTCTGAGACAGAGTCTCACTCTGTGGCCCAGGCTGGAGTGCAGTGGCACAATATTGGCTCACTGCAACCTCCGCCTCCCAGGTTTGAGCGATTCTCCTGCCTTAGCCTCCCGAGTAGCTGGGATTGCAGGCATGTGCCACCACGCCTAGCTAATTTTTGTATTTTTAGTAGAGACGGGGTTTCACCATATTGGCCAGGCTTGTCTCAAACTCCTTACCTCAAGTGCCTTGACCTCCCAAAGTGCTGGGATTACAGGTGCGAGCCACCGTGCCTGGCCTTAGGATAATTTTTAAAAACGGTGTTAGGTCTCCTCAGTTTTCAATTCCATAAAATGTAGATGATAAAACTGACTTTGAGGAAGTTCACAGAAGTGAGTGAGGCACATGCACGGGAAGCAGCGAGCATTACGCGCTCCCAGCACGTCTCCCATCTGATGCTGCTGTATCTGAAGTCGCAGTTCGGATGAGCATGGAGTATAATCTGAGAGCTGCGTAACCCCAGTTCCTGGGTTCTGGATACCTCTAACCTTCTCCCTTCTCCCTCTTCATGGTCACGGCCAAGGCCCACCTCCTGCCCTCTGGCTCATCTCCAATGCCTGCTCCTGCATACATACACTCACCTGACGATATCATCTCTAGGTCTGCCACAAATGTATGCAGAGGCCCAGGAGGAGCCAAGACTGAAAACCGGAGGGCCTAAGTCAGCGTTTCTCAGGATGTGATGTGCAGAGACCTCAATCTGAATTATCCTGCAGACCACCTTGGTCCCACCCAGCCCACTGAATCCAAACCTTTGGGGGTGGGCCCTAGAATCTGCTCTTCCAACAGGACAAACACCCCCTTTCCACTGCACTGTAAAGTCTGGGGCTCACCAGCCACAGACCTGACTATAGCTCAAATGCTGTGTGTCTTTATCTCCTGTGCACTAGGGAAAGAACCAGGAGAGGACAGCATAGGGGGAAGCCCAGGTCATCCTGTGACCTCCCCACCTCTGCCGGAGTGACCCCTTCCTCTGGTTCAAAATCTCCAACAACAGGGTGCAGACATGACCTAGACCACCGTGTGTGGTGAGATTACTTGAGGACCTGAGGTAGAACGCTTTCAGGATGGAAACGTCTCAAGACTTGGAGTCAGACCCATTTAGGTTCAACGAGTGGTTCTGCCACTCAGTAGCACTGAGCACACGTAGAGTCCAGATCTTGGTTTCCAATCAAAGGAATCAGGGCTCCTTGGAAAGATGGCTGATTCTAAGGCTGGGGCAGGAAACATGCAAGATGAGCCTGGAGCTTCTCGTAGTGACAGGAAGTAAGGAAGCACTCAAGTGTCCCCCCCACCCCCACACACCCCCACCATTGGTGGAGCTATGTCAGAGGGGCGCAGAGACAACTGCAAGGCTTCTAATGGCCAATGCTGGAACAATGACAGCAAGGAATAAATAAAGTGATATTTAATTATAACCCAAAGCATACTACAGCTGTTCATGATCCCATACTGACATAAATAAATTGTTGAATAAATTAATAAATGGAGAAGAAACAAACCTTCCAGGCAGAAGAATTCCAAATAATGTATGTAGATGCTGCACACTGAGAGAGATAAAGCATAGCTCCCCACTCCTAAGTGTGGGCTACACATAGTCACTTTCTGCTCAAGAGTACAGGATGGAAAAAAGGAAAAAAAGAGTAACATTCCAATCACCTGCACCATTCAGGTGATCGAGGTCCTCATCAACAGTCATAAATGGGCCAGGCACAGTGGCTCATGCCTGTCATCCCAGCACTTTGGGAGGCCGAGGCAAGCAGCCCACTTGAGGCCAGGAGTTCGAGACTAGCCTGGCCAACATAGTGAAACCCCGTCTCTACTAAAAATTAAAAAATTAGCCCCGAGTGGTGGCACACACCTATAATTAAAGCTACTTGGGAGACTGAGGCAGGTTCAAGACTCGCTTGAACCTGGGAGGCAGAGATTTCAATGAGCCAAGTTCGTGCCACTGCACTCCAACCTGGGTGACAGAGTGGAGACTCCATCTCAAAAAAAGAAAAAAAAAACATAATTCATGTTGCTAGAGTGTCCCCTTGATATGGCACTTTCATTCTGTGACCTTCCTCCCCAAAATCTATAACCCGTGTCCAGTCATGTAAAAATCATCAAACAAATTCCAGGAGAGGAGCATCCTACAATACACCTCCCTAGCACTCCTCAAAACTGTCAAGGTCATCAGAAAAAAGGAAAGTCTGTCACGGGGTGTCCAATCTTTTGGCTTCCCTGGGCCACACTGGAAGAAGATGAATTGTCTTGGGCCACACATAAAATATGCTAACACTCAGGATAGCTGGTGAGCTAAAAAATAAAAAAGGTCCGTGCATCAATCTCATAATGTTTTAAGAGAGTTTACGAATTTGTGTTGGGCCACATTCCAAGCTGTCTTGGGCCACATGTGGCCCATGGGCAGAGGATTGGACAGGCTTGGTCCGTCACAATCAATAGGAACCCAAAGAGACAGAACAACTAAATGTCCTGTGGTATCCTGGATGGGGTCCTGGAACAGAAAAGAGATACTAGGTTTAAAAAAAAAACTAAGAGAATCAGAATAAACGATGGACTTTGGTTGCTAATAATATATCAATATTGGCTTATTAATTGTAACAAATGTACCATACAATGTAAGGTGTTTATAACAGGGAAGCAAGATGGTGGGGCTGGGCTGGGAACTCTATCTGCTCGATTCTTCTGAAATAAAGAACTGCTCTGAAAAATATCATAAGTGCAAATCTTATAAATCTGGGGAGAAATGTTTAAAAGGTATTAATAATAGATGCAGCCCCTAATGCTCCCTAAAATCCTCAACAGCCTGGAAAATTGCCTTTGATGCAAAATAAAACGAATGATATGTTGTTGTTTTTAGAGGTAGAGCAGGAAAGTAGAGAGCAGAGCTGCCTGCTGATGAGGAGGCAGCAGGAAAATCTCATTAGCGCCTGAACCTCTGGTTCCTCAGGGTGTCCATGGGACCTGGTTGGTGAAGCTGTTTGTTATTTTTCCCAATTTTCCATGTTTTCCTGGTACTGAAAATACCTCTCCAGTAACTCTCCTAGAAACATGTAACCCCATGGAGAAAGCTAGACACACCCTGGGGCTAAACAGGAATGTCAGGACACCTTGCCTGGGTGGTCAGGAGAAGGTGCTTTAGTTACACCTACAATAAACTCCCGCGTGTCAGCAACCTGAATGGGTCTCTGCTCCTCGCAACAAGAAAGAAGCACAGAAAGGACGGAAGTTACTCAATGTACAGTGGCACATTGGTGATTTCTTCTCAATGCAGCGGCATTATCAGAACCATGTGTTAGGGAAATAATGGCTTAAAAAAGAAAACTGGAGTTTGGAAGGCCCATTACAGCAGTGCTTCTCAGCTGTAGGGTGGGTGAGAATCCCTTAGAGAGCTGCTTCACATGGATTCCCAGGCTCCCGCCCCAGAGATTCAAATCCAGTAGGTGTGGGCTGGGGCCTGAAAATGTGCTTTTCTGGCAAACTCCCCAGTCCTGTGGCGGTGGCAGCTGGTCTTGTCCCACTCTGAGGAATTCTAAGGCAGGAGGGCTTTGCAAGTCTGTCAGGAACGAGAATGAGAACAAGAGGACAGGGTCAATAAATGACTCTCCTCTTCTGTGGTGCAGGATACCGTGTGCATTTTAGTACCTGGTATGTGGACACTAGACAATGATATCCTGGGACCTAGGACCACAGGGAACTCACTGTTACTTCCCCAGTGTTACATGCTGTCCGGTACAGAGGGTGAGCTTCATAAATAGTTGTTAGCTGAACAAGTGAATGTAACATGACTTAGCGTTTGCCTGGGTATTGGGAGTGATGACGGTTTGAGTGTTTATGTACCCCCCAAAACTCAAGTGTTGAAACTTAATCACCACTGTGATAGTATTAAAAGAAGGGGCTTTTCAGAGGTGACTAAGTCATGAAGGCAGAGCTCTAGTGACTAGGGTGAAGGCCTTTATAAAAGAAACATCACACAGCATTTGCCCCTTTTTTGCCCGTCCACTTTCTGCCGTGTGAGGACACAGCACTCAAGGCACAATCTTGGGAGCAGAGAGCACCCCTCACAGACACTGGACCTGTGGGTGCCTTGATCTTGGACTTCCCAGACTCCAGACCTGGGAGAATATACATTTCTGTTCTTTTTTTTTTTTTTTTTTTTTGAGACGGAGTCTCGCTCTGTCCCTCAGGCTGGAGTGCAATGGCGCCATCTCGGCTCACTGCAAGCTCCACCTCCCGGGTTCATGCCATTCTCCTGCCTCAGCCTCCCCAGCAGCTGGGACTACAGGCGCACGCTGCCATGCCCAGCTAATTTTTTGTATTTTTAGTAGAGACGGGGCTTCACCGTGTTAGCCAGGATGGTCTCGATCTCCTGACCTTGTGATCTGCCTGCCTCAGCCTCCCAAAGTGCTGGGATTACAGGTGTGAGCCACCGCACCCGGCCTTACATTTCTGTTCTTTATAAATGGCTCAGTCTATGGTATTTTGTTACAGCAGCACCAGTGGACAAAGACTGGAGTGGAAGTTAAATGTTTTGTTCTGGTGGAGGGGGACATGGAACAGTGGTGTCAAGAAAAGGACTGGAGATAAAAGAGAAGACTAGAACATGAAATAAAGGAATCAGCAGGGGCTCTTAATGTCAGCAGCTGAAACTTACTCCTGCTGCTTTAAGCGAGGAGAAAATTCACTGACAGGTTATAGGGTGGTTCATGGAGGCTAGAGAGCCCCGCAGGGCACCCACATGGGCGGGACCATAGTTGGGATTGCCCCGCAGAACTGCTCCAGGAGGACCCGGGTGTTATGGGTGCTGTACACAGGCTGCATTTCTTGCCCCGTGCCCACCTTTCCCGTGGGTGTCAGACACCCCCCCATACTGCCCCTTGAGTTCCCTGCCACTAAAGGTTCTCTGCTGTCACTGCTGGGCAGAACCTGGTAAGCCAAGCCTTTACCTGGTGTCAAGCGAGGCTGGGGAGGCAAAGATATGGAGGCTTCAGCCTCCAAGATGGGAGCCAGGATCAGGCAGGGCATCTCCCAAGTATAGAAAAGGGGCTAAAACTCACAAGCATCCAGGACATCTGGCTTCACAGATTGGTCAAGAGCACTCAGTTCAGCAATCAGAAGTGGCCAGGACAGGGGGAAAAAGTTCAGTCTGTGTTGCCTTCTTCACTGGCATTGCCAGGGGCACCTCAGTCCCCCAGAGGAATCATCCAAGAATACAAGTAACCAGAAAGTCAACTTAGCTTAAATGAAACCGTGTCTATTGCAAACCATTTTAGTAAAATAAACTTGCCCATACCAAATTAGGAAATCTGGAAGTAACTTCTGAATTACAATCTATGTAATTATTTTGTTGGTGAAACAATTTTTTTCTCATATACAATTGGGAAAAATAAATGGGTCAATGCTGTGATGTGAGACTACTGTGACATGGAGATTTCTATAGTATCATATTTATTATAGCAGGATTTTATTGGTTTTTAGCAAAGTGGCAGTGACATTAAAGGAATCTAACCAAGCTGCTTTGCCTGAACACTTCCAAAGGGAGGTCTGAGATTCCAGAACACGTTATCATTTTGAAATGCTAGTCAATCCAAAGATGGGATTAAGATAAGCAAATTAGCTTACTATCCACATTGGAATGCAAGTCTTCCAAACAGTGAAATATCTCAGAGCATACTCTTATCTCATCATCTCGTTTTTTGGAATGAATTATTCTGCCTACAAAAAAGCCTCGCTGAACCACCAGGGTAACTGGCAACCTGTGGAGAAACCACAAGCTACCCCGAAACTAATTCACGAGAGTCCCCTCAGCAGATCCTATTTTATGTAAATAAATTTTTTCATTGTTAGGTGTAAAATCTGCAAGTCATTTCACCAACTTTGACTGCATTTCTCAGCCACGCAAGTCTGCAGCTGGCAAGGATGCAAACAGCAGGCCAGCAGCTCGTAAACAGGGTTGGGCAAAGCTGTCAATGTTATTCAGGTATTTTCTGGTTTTAGCCTTTAGCTCATCTAAGATCCTTTGCTTATTTTCCGACTGCAGGCTAAAACTAATTTGTTGAGCTTTTATCAGGGCTGGCTGGCCCTATAGAAATTTAGAATGTTGTTGGCTGGGTGTGGTGGCTCATGCCTGTAATCCCAGCACTTTGGGAGGCTGAGGCGGGTGGATCACGAGGTCAGGAGTTTGAGACCAGCCTGGCCAACATGGTGAAACCCCGTCTCTACTAAAACTACAAAAATTAGCTGGGTGTGGTGGCGCATGCCTGTAATCACAGCTACTTGGGAGGCTGAGGCAGGAGAACTGCTTGAACCCAGGAGGCGGAGGTTGCAGTGAGCTGAGATCACGCCACTGCACTCCAGCCTGAGCAACACAGCAAGACTCCGTCCCAGAGGAAAAAAAAATTTAAAGGTGGCCCTCCTTGTATTTGACCTCGAACTCGTCTTCCAGCAGTTTATTTTCCTCCTTCACTTCTCTCTAAGCGCCCAATATTCTCGAGCCGCCGCTTCCTACCTACCCACCGGCTCCTATGACTCCACCTGTGGGTTTGGCATGTTGCCAACCTGACCAGGCCAGAGGGGCTGAAATGTAATTAAGTTGTAGATGAGCTTTTGTTTTAAATCAACTTGGAGAAAAGATAAAAACCAAAATGTGATGGCCCAGGGAGATAATTACTTTCCTGTGGCTGTTTGATGATCCAACGCAGGTTGGCTCCCAATTTGTCAAATAGCATGTACTGAGCTTCAAACACACAACAAATCTTTATTAAGTACCTTCCGTGCGCTAGAGGCTGTGCTAGGTTGTGGGAATAACCAGAAGAGGTAATCCATGCTTTCAGGTAGCTCAAGGTCTGTGAAGAACACGGGGACCAAGGGAAATAATTACAACATGCAATTAGTTTCTCTACCTTGGAGTTTCCATTGCATTAGGTACAAATGTCTGTTGGCACTTACCTCACACCATGCTTTCCCAGCTCCTAACATGGTGTCAGGCATATAGCAGACTCTCAAAAATGCCCATGAAATAATGAATGAATACACAAATGAACAAACAAAACATTATGGGAATGCCAATATAGAGTGTGGTGGGAGCAATTAACTCTGGCTGGAGGAAAAAGGAAGTCTTATAAGAAATTGTGATTTGAGTTGAGGTTTAAAGCATGTCTAGCGCGGTGTCTGACCTTGAATGAGCCCATAATAAAAGTCAGATGAATTCACTTGGGTGGAAGCTCAGGTGGAGAAAGAGGGCATTCGGAGGCGAGGGTGTTCCAGGCAGAAGTATTCCAGCACTTAGCCTAGTGCCTAGCACGTGGCAGGAACATAAGAAGTACTTGTTAAATGAATGAATGGACCAATGAGTGTAACACACGGCACAGACAAAGTCACCAGTATTGTGAAAAAGTAGACACATTTAGGGAGTGACATATTTGGAAAATTCTATGATTATAAGAGAAGAAGAGAGAGCGAGAGAGGTAGAGAAAAAAGAATGGAAAATACAAGAAAAGTGCAATGCAAGGAGTGGAGCTACTTGGGGAAAGAGGAACTTTGCAGGGAGGAAAAAGCTCCAATGAGAGCATGGAAATAAGCCAAGGACTATAGAATCAGGTGTGGTGTCTGTGAGGAGGAAACCTAAGGATCATGTCTTAATATGACTGTGGCCAAGGGGGCTTTCCGGCAGCAGGGCTCGGGCGAGGAACAGAGTGTGGTCAATCACTGAGGACAGGCAATCTCTCAAGGGACTCTGGCCCAGAAGGAGCTGAGTCATTGAGAAAATAAAAACAAGGAGAGTTAAGAAAAAATGGATTGTCTTAAGCTGGGGCAAATCGGAGTGAGCTATATTAGACCACGTATTCGTTATCTATTGCATGTAACAAGTCACCTCAAAACTTTGTGGCTTTAAGCAACGATCAACCTTTATTACCTCAGACAGTTTCTGCAAGTCAGGAATTTGGGAGCAGATGAGCTTGGTGCTAAGGTCTCTCATGAGGTTGCAAGAAACATGTTGGCTGAGAGGCAGCCATGGGAAGGCTTGGCCAGGCTAGAGAGCAGCTCAAACACATGTTGGTGGGCGCTCCAGTTCCACCTCACACAGGGAGCAACTCACATTAAGTGCATTGATGTCCTTGTGATGTGCAGCTGGCTTCCCCCGGAGCATGTGTTCCAAGAGAGGGCAGAGTAGAAGCTGCAATATCTTTCATGACCTACCTTTGGGAATCGAATGCCATCATTTCTGCAATATCCCATTGCCTACATTGATCAGTCCTGTTCAAAGTGGGAAGTGGGGCTGGGCACAATGCCTCACGCCTATAATCCCAGCACTTTGGGGGGCCAAGGTAGGCAGATCACCTAAGGTCAGGAGTTCAAGACCAGCCTGGCAAACATGGTGAAACCCCATCTCTACTAAAAATACAAAAATTAGCCGGGTTTGGTGGTGCATACCTGTAGTCCCAGCTACTTGGGAGGCTGAGGCATGAGGATCACTTGCACCTGGGAGGCAGAGGTTACAGAGGTTGCAATGAGCTGAGATTGCACTATTGTACTCCAGACTGGGTGACAGAGCAAGACTCTGTCTCAAAGAAAAAAAACAAAAAACAACAAAGGGAGCCGACCACGGTGGCTCACTCCTGTAATCCCAGCACTTCAGGAGGCTGAGGCGGGCGGATCACAAGGTCAAGAGATGGAGACCATCCTGGCCAACATGGTGAAACTCTGTCTCTACTAAAAATACAAAAATTATCTGGGCATGGTGGCGGGCACCTGTAGTCCCAGCTACTTGGGAGGCTGAGACAGAAGAATCGCTTGAACCCGGGAGGTGGAGGTTGCAGTGAGCCGAGATCACGCCACTGCACTCCAGCCTGGCGACAAAGCAAGACTCCATCTAAAAAAAAACCACACACACACACAAACGGGGTTCAACAAAGATGACTAGAAGGTGGCAAGAATCACTGGGGGTAACTATCTTGGAGCACTATCCAAGAGACAACTCCAAGGTGATATTGGAGGCTGGTTACCACAAACTGCATTCCATAATTACCTAATCTGATGGAGTTCTCTAGATTTGACAGGCAGGTTCAATAAAAGACGACAAAAGTAGCCTTCCACAGCTCTGGGCTTAAGATATCCTCCCCATAGTAGCTAATCCCTTCAAAAGGAAAACATCGCATCCTCATTGTAATGAGGCTCATTGGCCTGGCTTGGGCCCAGTAAACAACCGTGAGCCCATTTATTGTGACAGGATGGCTCCATTCCATCTGAAGTGCATAGATGGAGTGTGAGGGACCCACCAGCAGTGACTCGGGCAATTCACTCTTTCTGGTTCCATTACTGGCTCTGTTCCTCCAAAAAGAAGAGACGCAGAGCAAATGAGAGAAAAGGTGGCAGGTGCCCTCTACTGCCCCAATGGAAAAAACCGCCCACTCTGCCCATATCTAAGCTTTTTCTTAGCTGGCGTAACATCACATCCTATATCTACTTGTCTTTTTTTCAATCAACATTTTGTTATTATCTGAATATATTGCAAATATAGATATATCACTACACCAAAGATTTATGAGACCTGGAGGCTGAAAACTATGAAACATTGTTAAGAGAAGCCACAGGGCTGGGCACAGTGGCTCATGCCTATAATCCCAGCACTTTGGGAGGCTAAGGCTGGTGGATAAGTTGAGGTCAGGAGTTCAAGACCAGCCTGATCAACATGGCGAAACCCCATGTCTACTAAAAATACAAAAATCGGCAAGGTGTGGTGGTGTGCGCCTGTAATCCCAGTTACTCAGAAGGCTGAGGCACGAGAATTGCTTGAACCTGGGAAGCAGAGGTTGCAGTGAGCCAAGATTGTGCCACTGCATTTCAGCCTAGGCTAGGCGACAGGGTGAGACCCTATCCCAAAAAAAAAAGCCACAGGAATAATGGCTCACACCTGTAATCCCAGTTACTCAGAAGTTGAGGCAGGAGGATCGCTTGACACCAGGAGTTCAAGACTAGCCTAGCCAACGTAGCAAGACCCTCACTCTAAAAAAGTAAAATAAATAAATTAGCTGGGCATGGTGACATGCACCTGTAATCCCAGCTACTTGGGAGGCTGAGGTGGGAAGATCACTTGAGTCCTGGAGTTCATGACCACAGAAAGCAAGCTATGATTGTGCCACTATACTCAAGCCTGGGGAACAGAAAGAGACCCCATCTCTAAAAAAGTAAAAATAGCCCAAGCATGGTAGCTCACACCTGTAATCCAAGCTCTTTGGGAAGCCAAGGTGGGAAGATCACTTGATCCCAGGAGTTCGAGACCAGCCTAAGCAAAATAGCAAGACCTCTTCTCTACAAAAAAGAAAAAATTAGCTGGTGTGGTGGTGCATTCCTATAGCCCTAGCTACTTGGGAGGCAGAGGCGGGAGGATCACTTGAGCCCAGGAGTCCAAGCTTACATTGCACCATGGCACTCCAGCCTGGGCAACAGAGCAATACCTTGTCTCTAATAAAATAAAAAGAAAATTATAAAGAAAATTAAATAAACCTAAATAAATACAGAGATATCCTATGTTTATAGATTGGAAAACAGAATATTGTTAAGATGCCAATTATCCCCAAATTGATCTATAAATTCAATGCAATCCATCAAATCCAGGAAGACTAGATTTTTATGTTCAAATTGATAAGGGGATTATAGAATCCCTACGGAAATGCAAAATACCTAGAATAGCCAAAACAACATTGAAAAACAAGGACAAAGTAAATAACTCATATTCATAAAGCTATAGTAATGAAGACAGTGTCTTATTAGCATAAAGATAGACAAATAAATGAGCGAAAACAGAAAGCAGAAGCAGACCCAGATATACATGGCCAGTGGGCTTTCAACAAAAGAGCAAAAGTGATTCCATAAGCAAGGATTGCTTTTTCCACAAATGGTGCTAGAACAAATGAATATGCATATGTAAAAAAAAATTAATCCATGTCTCACACAATATATAAATATTAACTCAAAATGAATCATAGCCATAAATATAAATCCTAAAACTATAAATCTTCTAGGAGAATACATAGAAGAAAATCTTTGAAACTTTGAGTTAGAGCTTTTTTAGAATAACAAAAGCACAATTTATTTTTAAAAATTGTTAAGTTAGACTCCATCAAATTAAAAACTTCTGCTCTTCAAACAACACGTTAAGAGAATGAAAAGACAAGCCACAGCTGGAAGAAAATATTTGCAAATTACATATCTGATAAAGGACTTATCCAGAATATAAAAAGAACTCCCTCAAAACCCAGTAATAAGAATATAAACAATCCACTTTTTAAAAGTCACAAAAGGGCTGAAGAGACTGATGAAAATATTTAGATGGCAAAAAAGCTGTGGAAAGATCTTCAACATCATTAGTCATTAGGAAAATGCAAATTAAAACCACAGTGAGATACCAGTACATATCATTAAAATGACTACGATTAAGAGGACTGACTATACCCAGTGTTGGTGAGGATGTGAACAACTGCAATTCTCCAGCCCTACTGATGGGAATGTAAACGGGTACAACCACTTTAGAAAACAGTTTGGCAGTTTCTTAATGAGGTACACAAATACCTAACGTGGGACCCAGCCATTTGACTTCTAGGGATCATAGACCTACATTTCTTGAGATTTACTGAAAAGAAATGAAAGCATTGTGCATAAAAAGAGTTGCACATGAATTTGTAATGGCTCAAAACTAGAAACAACCTGTATTAGTCAAGATTCTCTAAGAGAAACAGAGCCAGTAAGATATGCATATGTGTATCTGTGTGTGTGTGTATTTCTTGTGTGTCTCGTACATGTCTGATAGGTAAGTAGACAGATAGACAGATAGCTAGACATCATGTTGGTTCTACCACTCCGGGGAGCCTTGGCAAATATGTATTTGTGTAATTTATTAGAGAATTGGCTCGTGAGATTATGGAGGTCAAGAAGACCCACAGTCTGCTGTCTGAAAATGCAGAAAAGCCAGTAGTATAATTCTGAGAACCAGGAGAACTACTATCTGAGCACAGAAAAAAGATGGACGTCCCAGAGTGAATAGAGAGGGCAAACTGCCCTTCTTCCACCTTTTTGTTCTATTCCAGCCCTCAATGGATTGGATGGTGCCTGCCCACATTGGTGAGGGCGACCTTCTTTACTCAGTCTACTGATTCAAATGCTCATCTCTTCTGGAAACAACCTCAGAGCTACACCCAGAAACACTGTTTTACCAACTATCTGGACATCTTTCAGTCCAGTCAAGTTGACACAGATTTAACCATCACACAACCCCGTTGTCAGTTAATAGATGAATAGGTAAGGAAATTGTGGTATATACCATAGAATACCACTCAGCCATGGAAAGGCATAACTACTTATATAACGCAACATGGATGCAGCTCAAATAGTTCTGTCACGTGTATACTCTATGATTTCATTACATAAAATTCTAGAAAATACAATTGATAGCGTTGGAAAGACAGCAGTGGTTACTTGGGGGTAGAGAGGCACAGGGAGGGAGAAGAACGGGGTTACCGAGAGAAATGGGGGCTTTTAGGGGATCATGGATACGTTTATTATCTCGATTGTGGTAATGGCTTCGTAAGTGTATACCTGTGCAATTTATTTTAAGTCAATCATACAATCATACCTCAATTAAGCTTAAAAAAAAAAAAAAAAAACAGGTATGATGGCTCATGCCTGTAATCCCAGCACTTTGGGAGGCTGAGGCAGGCGGATCACTTGAGCTCAGAAGTTCATGATGAGCCTGAGCAATGTGGTGAGACCCCGTCCCTACAAAAATACAAAAAATTAGCTGGGCATGGTGGTACACACTTGTGGTCCCAGCTACTTGAAAGGCTAAAGTGAGAGGATTGCTTGAGCCCGGGAGGTGGAGGTTGCAGTGAGCCAAGATCACACCACTGCACTCCAGCCCGGGCTCCAGAGTGAGACCCTGTCTCAGAAAAAAAAAAAAAGAAAAGAATGCAAGGTTTCAATTTATCTCCTATAAATCTGTATCCCCAAAACCAGGACCCTTTCTCAAGAAGCTGCCTGCAGCCAGGTGGCACGGTGGCTCACGCCTGTAATCCCAGCACTTTGGGAGGCTGAAGCAGGCGGATCACGAGGTCAGGAGTTCAAGACCAGCCTGGCCAACATGGTGAAACCCCGTCTCCACTAAAGATACAAAAAATGAGCTGGGCGTGGTGACGTGCGCCTGTAATCCCAGCTACTTGGGAGCCTGAGGCAGGAGAATCGCTTGAACCCAGGAGGCGGAGGTTGCAGTGAGCCGAGATCGCGCCACTGCACTCCAGTCTGGGCAACAGGGCGAGACTCCGTCTCAAAGAAACCAAAAAACAAAAGAAGCTGCCTGGATGATGGGGATAGCATCTTCACTGTCATATGCGTAATTCCCTACAGCTGACCATCCCAGGCATGAAGGTCTGGTCTATTTCAGATGTCCCCACCGACCACTCCAACTTGGAGTGAGCGCTCATTCTGCCCCACTGGTTTTATGCTTATGACAATCCAGAATGTTCTTTGGTTCTTCTGGTGCACTGGCTCCTTTGTTCGTTGTTGTTGTAACTTACATTTTGTCGAACACCCACCATGTTGCACTGTACTAGGCAACTGTGTAGAAGGTGCCCGTAGCAATCGTTACAGTTCAGAGTGAAAGTAGTGCAAAGTCCAGAAAAAGCAGTGATTGACTCTTCCGGCGAAGGACACTGGAGGAGAGCCAGGTAGGAGTCTTGAGCTGATTCTTGAAGGATGAATATGGTTTTGTTTTGTTTTGTTTTGTTTTGAGATGGAGTCTCACTCTGTCGCCCAGGCTGGAGTGCAATGGCGCGATCTCGGCTCACTGCAAACTCCGCCTCCCGGGTTCACGCCATTCTCCTGCCTCAGCCTCCCGAGTAGCTGGGACTACAGGCGCCTGCCACCAAGCCCGGCTATTTTTTTTTGTATTTTTATTAGAGACGGGGTTTCACCGTGTTATCCAGGATGGTCTCGATCTCCTGACCTCGTGATCTGCCCACCTCGGCCTCCCAAAGTGCTGGGATTACAGGCATGAGCCACCGCTCCCGGCCAAGGATGAATATGGGGTTTTTTATGAAGTAATTTTTATCTTCAGTTACATTGTAAGCAATTCAAAACAGGCACCGTGTCTTATACTTTTTGGTTCCCTCATATTTGTTACCGTTGCATGGAATAAATGTTGAGTATTTATTTGTTAACTGATTAATAAATTCATGTAGATGAACAGAGATGTGGACTTCTCAGCTCAGAAATTCCGTTTTCACAGAGCAGTTCCCACAGATGTCATTAAGCATTACAAACTTGTGTTCTGTGACCCGCACTGAGATAGTCCAATGTGATTACTGACTTTTTTTAAGGCCATGGTCACTACGTTGCAGAAATTAAAATCATAACATCTTAGGCAATGTGGAGATAAGAGCTGCCCCTCTGTTATGTAAAAGTATGAATCTTGCCTCCTTTAAACATTTTCAATTTGGGACAGAAAACATTCATTGAATTAGCCAAGCCCTGTGGCACACAACTGTAGTCCCAGCTACTTGGGAGGCTGAGGCAGGAGAATCGCTGGAACCCAGGAGGCGGAGGTTGCAGTGAGCAGAGATTGCCCCACTGCACTCCAGCCTGAGTGACAGAGTGAGACTCTGTCTTGAAAAAAAAAAAAAAAGAAAGAAAACATTTATTGAAATGTGGCATAGTCATATGTCACAATGATGTGAAATATTTCAAGCTCACCCTTTAAAATTAAAGTCCGCAATGACCCTTGGAGCAGGTCATTATTGTTAGAAATAACTTGTGGGTGTCCGTCTGCTGTATCGCCACAACCATGCCTCACCTGGGAACACTGTGAGTTGAAAATTACACGCTTATGAGAGTTTCAAGCACCAAGTCAATGAAAGAAAGAAGTGTTAGCAAACCCATTAACAAATCTGTAAGATACAAATCATAAATTCTGCTTCTTTATGTGGGTGTCTGCCTCCCACACCCCCTGTTATTTTTTTACCTCTGGGTGTTTCATGAGTCAAGGGGAAGAGAAAGAAATACAGGGATTGAGGGTGTTTCATGTTCAAAAGGTAACATTCGCCCCTAAGTTACCCCAGGCGATAGGAAGGAAAGAGGTTTCTGGCCTCTGGTGTAAAAATCAGGTTGATACTGGCTAGTTCACTCTTTTACCGTGGGGTTGGTGGTGATAAATCATACATAAATCATTAGCAGTAGTTTTTCCCAGATGAGGTGGGCTCTGGAAAAATACACAACACTAAGTCACGTCTGAAATATGAGACTGGCACGGCCCACTTTGATGTCATTTAATGTTTTTAGAATCAGTGTCAGTTTTATTTTGCAATTGAAGCAGACATTTCCTCCTTTGGTGTCTAAGAACTCACTGAATTCAATGTTGAACTATTAAAATATATTTTGGTCCTATGTACTTGAATTAGTTCAAAATAGGGGCTTTTTTTTCTTGCTATTGCCAATGTATGCAAATATATCAAGCATGAAATCATTCTCCTGGTGCCTTCTTCCCACAGATGTTTTGAGTTCTCATTCTTTGTACAAGAGACATACAGGGAGTGTGATAAAATTGGCATGATTGTCAAAAGGGCAGGACAGGTGCACTTCCCAGGTGGAGATATTGTGAATGAATGTCAGTCGGGAGAGACAACTCCAGAGTGCTTCCCAGCAACCAACCTGCGCCTGGTTGCTGAGAAGGGATTCATTCTCAGGCCCTCTGAATCTGCCAGCAGAATCTCTTTCCCACATGATTTCCCAGCCTGGTCCAGAGGTGAGCTGGCTCAGAACGAGGTCCATACACTTCAAAAAAGATCTCCACGTTTACAGCTGTGTTTCTGTAATCATTCTTAAAATTCAAAGTTGCCAGAGACTAGGTGCATCTTGTTTACGCAGGATGTGGGTGTGTTTATGCAGTGCTCTGTTAAACCCACCACTTGCCAGCCTGGCTAACTGCCCAGGCATAGCCTCCTGGAAAGCTTCCACAGGAAGTGGGCAGGGGCTGAAGCAGGAGAGTAGGGATACTGAGAGATTCATGTGGCTCCAGGTGAGATGACACAGATGTCAGAAAAAGTAATCAAGCCTTGGAATTTGGGAGACGCTGGGATCTGCAAAAGGTGAGGAAAGTAGGTTTTTATTTCATTACTTGTAAAAATAACAAGAGTATAGTGCAAAAAAGTGTTTTCCTAAAACGAACTCAGGCAACATTTATTGAGTTCCAACTGAGCTAGAAACTGAGCAAGGCTCTGGGATCACAAAGATGTTTTTCTATGGGCAGAAGTTAGGCAGACACAAAATTACTCCGGAAGCATTGATGAAGACACCAATGAGTAACATAGGTATCTGTATCAGCTAGGATGCTTCTGGCTGGAAATAATAGAAAATCTAATTCAAACAGGCTTATGTGATCAAAGGGATCTACTGGCTCCAAGACTTGAAAAGTCTAGAAGCAAGAGTATCTTAAGGCCTGTTCCAGAAACATAGCCACATGACCACGGCCGGAATTTCTCCCCAGTTCTCAGAGCTGCTTTCCCAGTGCTGGCTCCGTCCCGAGGGTGGCTCCTCTCACCAGCCAAAGACAGCTGCCACCAGATTCCAGGTGACAGGCTTTGTCCACATCAGTAGGAAAGAAAGAGTACTTCTGTCCCACCATTGCAATAAATGTCCTGAGAAGACGCTGATGGAAACAGGGTGGCTCATAGGACCCCCCCACCCAGGAAGCAATCACTGTGACGAGGACATGGAATGTATTATTTAAATTAACCTCCAGGTCACACGCCAACCAGAAGAGTAGGAAAATAGTTCAGTTTATCAGCAAACATATGTTTGGGATGCTGAGTGCAAAGGATGTGGAGATATCTGACTCTGCCCGAGGAGGGTGTGGTGTAGACTGGGAAAGAGGAGGTTGGGGAAGACTTCACAGAAGAGGAGATGTCAGGCCAGGCGCGGTAGCTCACGCCTGTAATCCTAGCACTTTGGGAGGCCGAGGAGGGCAAATCACCTGAGGTCAGAAGTTCAAGACCAGCCTGACCAATATGGTGAAACCCATCTCTACTAAACATAAAAATACAAAAATTAACCAGGCTGTGGTGGTGCGTGCCTGTAATCCCAGCTACTCAGGAGGCTGAGGCAGAAGAATAGCTTGAACCAAGGAGGCGAGGTTGCAGTGAGCCAAGATTGCACCACTGCACTCCAACCTGGGCGACAGGAGACCCTGTCTCAAAAAAAAAGATGTCACTTGGGACCAGAATGTGAAGAACCCTCAGTGTCATGCTAAGAAACTTGAACCTTTAGCTCATCTAAAAAGAAATAAGTTGTTAAAGCAAATCCACAGCATAAACCAGACGGGCTGACTTATGCTACCGATAAAGCATCATTTTCAACAAGTTAGTTGTATGAGAGTCATACAACTATAGGATGAGTACATATCAAATTTTATTCAACTAATTAACGAGGCATCCAGTAAGAGTTCAAAGCTGGTTTTAAGAACATCTGAGGAGCCCAGGAATTTGAGACCAACATAGGCAACATGGAAAGATCCTGTCCCTATAAAAAAATTTAAAAATTAGCCGAGCATGGTGGCGTACACCTGTAGTTCCAGCTACTTGGGAGGCTGAGGTGGGAGGATCATTTGAGTCCAGGAGTCGGAGGTTGCAGTGAGCTGAGATTGTGCCACTGCACTCCAGCCTGGGCGACAGAGTGAGACCCTGTCTCAAAAAAAAAAAAAAAAAAAAAAAAAGCTGGGCACGGCCGCTCATGCCTGTAATCCAAACACTTTGGGAGGCTGAATAGGAGGATTACTTGAGGCCAGGAGGCTTGATTACTTGAGACTGCAATGAGTTATGATCACACCACTGCATTCCAGCCTGGGTGACAGTGAAGCCTTGTCTCTTAAAAAAGAAGGAAGGAAGGAGGAAAGGAAAGAAGGAAGGAAGGAAGGAGAAAGAAAAGAAACAATAAAGAAAACCTAAAAAAAAGAATTCAGAATAACATTACTTGATCAGACATACAAGTAGCTAGTTGTGTTTCAAAAAGAGATGGAAGCCTAACTTTTGGGGTTTTCTACCTGAGAGAAATAATTGGTATTTCCACTGCACACAAATCTACAAGTTAATACTTACTTGCATAGAGTCTGAGTCTTTAATTAAAATAACAAGCAGAGTAAAATAATAGTACAACCTTCTATCCCTAGAGAATGAAATAATCTTTAGATAGGCTTGTTAGACAACGCTTTAGTATGGCCTTAAAAAGACAGTCATTCTCTTGGCTTTATTTCTAAGTTTTGGATAATTTTTCCTAACACCAGAGCAATCTATTTAAGACAGTTTTGTTTTTTAAAGTGGACTTAAGCATGACAGTACTTGCATATCAGTGAATACTGCTAATTGTAGTCAGTTTTAATATTGTCATTAAGAGAGGGCTGGGCGTGGTGGCTCACGGCTGTAATCCCAGCACTTTGGGAGGCCGAGGCGGGCGGAGCACGAGGTCAAGAGATTGAAACCACCCTGGCCAACATGGTGAAACCTCGTCTTTACTAAAAATACAAAAATTAGCTGAGTGTGGTGGCACGTGCCTGTAGTCCCAGCTACTCAGGAGGCTGAGGCAGGAGAATCACTTGAACCCGGGAGGCGGAGGTTGCAGTGAGCCGATATCGCGCCACTGCACTCCAGCCTGGCGACAGAGTGAGACTCCATCTAAAAAAAAAAAAGAGAGAGAGACTTGAAGAGGTTTACAGAAGTAAAGAGCCCAGCAAGAGGAGGCCCCAGTGTCACAGAGACATCTCCAGGGCGTTATTCAGAAAGCAGCTAGCGAGGGAGACATCAGCTCTGAACCCAGCCCAAGCTGTGGGAGTCCCACTCCCTGGTGTCTCTTCTGCCCCTGAAGTGTTTTGGTTAAGAGAGAAAGACATTCCAGACACTCAGTAATCAAGTGCAACCACGCTAAGCCACGTTTAGAGCCACATTTTTGGATAACAGATTTATTAATGGGCTGGTTGAGAGAACTGGACCATGTGGTGTGTGGAGAAATTCAAAATATTTCAAATAAATACTTGGTGTACTTTCTGTCTGACTGCTGTAATGTGTTCAGTTACTCTTATGTTCCCTGTTGAAGATTAATTAAATAGAAATTGCTCACTAAAAATATAGTTCAGAATATTAAAAAGCTAATTAATATAAATTTTTCTAAAAAGGAAGGCATTTATTTCAATAGACGCTCACCTGTCCAAATCCAATTTTTTTGTTTACTGATAAAGTTGTAGGTGGAGTAATTGCCATAGAGAAGAGAATACACCCTATCTACACTTCCAAAAATGAGGATTGCCACATTTAGCAAATAAAAATATGGTATCCCCAGTTAAATGTGAATTTCAGAAAAACAATGAATAATTTTTTAGTGTAAGTATGTCCCATGCAATATTTAGGACACACTTGTGGCAGGTAGAAAAGGGGCCAACAAAGATGTCCATGGACAGATATTCCTAACACTTGGAACATATTCCCTTACATGGCAAAAAGGATTTTGCGGATGTGATTAAGTTAAGGCTTTTCAGAGGGCAGGTCGTCCTGGGTGAAGTGACTGGTCCAAATGTAACCACAGAGTCCTTAGAGGAGGGAGGCAGGAGAGCCAGAGTTAGAAATTGAAGGTGGAGGAAGGACCAACCAGCTGAAGGATGCAGTCGTCTTCTAGAAGTGTGGGAATAGGCAAAGAAACGGACTCTCCTTGAAGTCTTCGGAAGGAGCATGGCCCTCCTAGACACTGATTTGAGCCCCAGGAGACCCCGGGGCTAGCTACCTGCAGCAGTGTTAGATTAATTTGTGTTGCTTTACACCACTGTAATTTGTTACGGAACCAATAAGAAACTCAGATAATGCTTATACTGAAAAAGTTATTTGTTGTTTATCTGAAAATCACATTTACTTGGGGCATCCTGTATTTGTCCTGGCAGCCCGACCTAGAACGCCAGAGCAGGAAGCAGCCGGCAGTGGTGGGAAGCACTGAAACAGCTTCGGGAGGTCCCACTGTCTCGCCTGGGGAGTCTCTTCAGATTCAGGCCTCCAGTCCCTCCAGGGAAATCTGAGGAGCTGTCTGGCCTGGGTGATCACTGAGGCTCCCTCGCAGTCCGTGAGCCTATCTAAGAAAAAGCCTTTTGCCAATACGAATAAAACAACCAGCCTAATTAGCGAATGTTCACAGTTCAGACAATTGCCGCCTCTGGGCTGTGTGCCCCTCTCCTGCCGTCCACTACCCCCTCCGGGAGGCGGCCCACCTGCTGGTGCGTCTGCATTGGGCCCTGCCCAGGGCTGGTGTCCTGGTACTTCTCCCTGTCTCCTCACACCTCCTCCTAACTCTGGGACAGACAACGCCAGGCGGCACTGCATGAGTTTCGTATTGCAAATTACCACACAGCGGCTTAAGAACACAAACTTACTTTAAAGCTCTGAAAGAAAGTCAGAATTCCAAAAAGGATCTTGTGGACCTAAAATAAAAAGTGTCCAGAGAGCTGTGTCCCCACCTCTAGATGCCGCCTGCTCTCCTGGGCTCGCAGCCCCACACCATTCTGCCCTCTGCTTCTAAGAGCGCATCTCCCCTCAGACGCTCACCCGCCCACCTCCCTCTAGTGAGGGGCCTTGTGATTACAGTGGGCCCTCCAGGTAACCCAGGAGAATCCTCCCGTCTAATCACATCTGTAAAGTTGCCTTTGCTGTGGAAGATAACATAATCACAGGTTCCAGTGATTTAGTCATGAACATCATTGGGGGGCCATTATTCCACCTATGACACCTACCTAATGTCTATTCTTCCCTTCCTTCTAACAGAATCATTATTTTGTTCAGGGTGACAATATGCTTGGCTAAAGAATTTTTTTTTTTTTTTTTTTTTTTGAGGCGGGGTCTCGCTCTGTCGCGCAGGCTGGAGTGCAGTGGCGCGATCTCGGCTCACTGCAAGCTCCGCCTCCCAGGTTCACGCCATTCTCCTGCCTCAGCCTCCCGAGTAGCTGGGACTACAGGCACCTGCCACCACGCCCGGCTAATTTTTTGTATTTTCAGTAGAGACGGGGTTTCATCGTGTTACCCAGCACAGTCTCGATCTCCTGACCTTGTGATCCGCCCACCTCGGCCTCCCAAAGTGCTGGGATTACAGGCGTAAGCCACCGTGCCCAGCCAAGAATTTTTATTTACAAAGCTGCCTTGAAGCTTCCTGCAGTCATGTGGCTGATGAGATGTTAGTAGACGTCTGCTGGCCAATGAGAAGTAGGAGTCTGGCTTCCCAGAAGGCTGCTGTTTTCCCAATTAAAAGATGGAGACTCACTTGGCATATACCTTTTGTTCTCTCTCATGACCTCTTCATCCTCATGGAAAATGAACGTGATACCTGGAAGGGCAGCCACTATATTGTGACCTTGACAATGAAAATCACTCAAAAAAGATGACGAAGCAAAGAAAAGTGGATAAATCTGCAAGGAAAAGTGGACAGCTCCACCATCCCTGAGACACTGTGGAAAAGACTCCTTCTTCCCTGTCTGCCAAGCTTCAGATTTCTAGATTCATGAAAACGGAGAAACTTTATTTATTTATTTATTTAAGGCAGAGTCTCGCTCTGTCACCCAGGCTGGAGTGCGATGGTGTGATCTCGGCTCACTGCAACCTCTGCTTCCTGGGTCCAAGCCATTCTCCTACCTCAGTCTCCTGAGTAGCTGGGATTACAGGCGCCCGCCATCACTCCCAGCTAATTTTTGTATTTTTAGTAGAGACAGGATTTCAGCATGTTGGCCAGGCTAGTCTCAAACTCCTGACCTCCAGTGATCCACCTGCCTCGGCCTCCTAAAGTACTGGGAGTACAGGCGCATGCCACCACACCTGGCTAATTCTTGTATTTTTGTAGACAGGGCTTAGCCATGTTGGTCAGGCTGGTCACAAACTCTTGACTTCATGTGATCCTCCTGCCTTGGCCTCCCAAAGTGCTGGGATTACAGGCATAAACCACTGCACCTGGCCTGGGAGGAACTTTTAATTGTGGGAGGCTGGTAGTCAGTTAAATGCAGCGGAAACCAGTTATAACAGATGCAAGCTCTGTCTAAATCCTCACTACTTAAAGCGTGCTCCTGTGGGAGCAGCAGGGACAGCCCCTGGGAATGTGTTGGAAATGCAGAATCCAGGGCCCCCCACAGACCTGAACCAGAATCTGCATTTTAACAAGATCCCCAGGGAATTGCTCTGTATGCCCTTCGGAGTCACCACAGCTCTGGAGCCCACAGAAGCTGAGAGGGAAAGTGCCCTGGATTCCTTCACCCTGTGCTTGAAGACACGGCCTGTCTGGCAACAATAGTAAGTACTCTTGGAATTTACTGGAACGAACGTCAAACCGTGGGAGGTGGGTGCAAAATTGTATATACAGTCGTCAAGTCTGCTTCTCACCCCACCACCACCAATTACCCTGATTTAGTTCTTTTCTTTTCTCCCTAAAATTGTATATTTCATGATTAGTCAGCCTAAGACTCCTACATCCATTTCATTCAATCAAGACCAACATTGATAAGAAGTTGAAGACCGGGTGAAATCAGGAAAAAGTGGAAAATTACCTCCTTTTAAAAGTTTCTTAAAACTTTTAAAAACTTTTGGTGGTTTGTAAATAGACCTGAAATTTCTTTGATGCTATCAGCCACCCAGATGAATGAAGTGCAGTATATAAAGCCCCCGACTTACGATTCAACTTGGGATTTCTTTTGACTTTAAAATTTTTTGACTTTATGACTTTAACCCCATCGTAAGTTAAGGAACATCTGTAAATATATAAATCCACAGAGAGGAAGAAAGATCCAGAGAGCCTTTCAACACACTGCATTTCTCATTTCCATTAAATCCCTCAAGTTATACATTTAATATGGACTGTAAATTGTGTACTCATTTTTCTTCAATGATTTCTATTCAGAATATTACAAAGAAAGAGTTAGATTAAAGCCCAGCTACTGTTTCCTGGGGACTGGAGGGGACGTCAGGGAAGTGAGTAGATCATCCAGCTGACTTTGCCCTCTTGTTCTGGGAGGGTTTTTAAATTTATTTTTTAAATAGGTAAATCCAAAAGGTATATAAGCATATATATAGACAGTGAAAAGTCTCCTTTTCCTTCAGTCCCTCCCTCCAACTGCCAAATTTCCCTCTCTCAAAGCAACTCTGTTACCGGTTTCTTGAGAATCCTACCACGTGAGCACGCTGCATGCTGGAAGAGGCTAAAACATGTGGCTGAAAAACAAGAGGGGAGTGTGTAGACGGCTTGGAATTGTTCTTGAGGGCATGCATTAAAATTAATCTTTGTCATCATCCAATTGCTTTCTGTTAAGATCTTCTGCTGGCATTTAATTTTTCCAATCATAGATAAAATATCTGTCAAGTAAAGAGCCAGAGTTGCCACCTACTTGTTCCAGAGGATTAAGGAGATAACGTTTATAAAACACTTGGAGCATCTCAGAGGAAGGCTCTGAATAAACAGAAACACTTGTTAAAGCTGCAGCCCTCTTCTACATAATTTACATTTTATCACTCTGTCCTCACCCCCAGCCCACTACATACTTGCCCCCACCTCCTTGCAGCACGGTTTAAGGGTGAGAGGTTAATAAGAAAGGGTGATTGATGTAAGGCAAGACTAAGTAGACTGCTTTGAGGATTTTTGCTTTGTTTCCTAAAGCTTCCCAACTCGTCTGCTCTTTAAAGAACCTGGAGTTTTTTTCAAAAAGAGAGACACCTAATTGCATAAGTCAACTTTGTAGTTGTGTGGCTTTATTTAATAATTCAAATAATTTAAGAATATTTTCTTTTTTTAAAAAATGGATAATTTACATCCTTTCTTGTTTCACTTATTAATATGTTATGAGCATTACTGTTGTGAACAGCTGTGTTGATATAGCATGATTATTTGAAAAATAAGAAGTGTTTCTGTAATTAAAGATACCCATAAGGAGACTTGGTTCACATTTATGCAGTAAATTGATATATGCACGTTCAGGGCCTACTATGTGCTAAAACAAAAATGGACACCACAGAGATACCTAAGATGTTTTCCCTGCCCAATACAAAGCCCTCGGTGACAAGTGTGAAATTGGAGGATTCAGAGGGCATTTTCTTGCACCTGACAAATAAGGTTGTTTGCTTAAATTGCTGCACTTTAGGAAGACTTTGTTTTGTCCTAGATCACTTTGAGTACCCCAGTGGTCTTATAGACAAATGAATAGACTTTTCTAAGAGATAAAAGCCCCCACATAAAGATTCTAGGAAAAAATATGAAACCATCTCTGGGAAGGGATATAAAAATCATAAGTTACTAAAGTAGATAGAAATAATAGACTATCTACTATCTACTACTAAATATAATAGAATATTTAAAAGTATTTCCCTTTTAAATATAAAATCTTTAATTGTAAAACTGTTGGGCAAAGAGCTGAATGATGGTTTAAGCCATATGAAAGGCAAGTCTGCAGATCAGCTAATTATTGGCCAAAACGATAATTGCCCTGTACCTTCCAAATTAAAGGACACAGCCCATAAAGATAGTAGTAAGAGTTTATGTTTCCTTCTCCTTAATCTTGTACAAGAGTTAACCTCCTAGACCCAAGACATTTCCAGCAATTAGTGATGGGTTGAAGTTAACAGTGCTGACAAAGCCTTGGTCACTGATCCCTTCGGCTTGTCATTAACCTCTAAAACTGCTAAATATGATGCAAAAAAAGTATTTCACCAATATTATTTAAAAGACTGTATCATATTTCATACATAAATTTCCAATGTAGAAAAATCTCTTACAATGTATATATGTGTGCAAGGTAGTTTAAAGGTTTTTTTAGTTTTTTATTTCCAGAATTTTCTTCCAGTATAAAAGAGTAATTTGAGGTAAATATTCTATGTATATAGGGAAGGAAAACTATTACTAAGATCAGGCATTCCAAAATGTTTTTCAAAGAAAAGGGTTATAAAATTCACTTTAAAAAACGGGAATCTTTGTTTTTGCCTATTAGCACTTTGAATGAATTTATTGAAAGTTTTAAGCAGAGTGAAAAATTGGATCATAGGTTAGTGTCCTCTTGAAAATGGTGGTGTATGTTTCTCATACTCTTAAAAGAACAAAAGGTAAAATATCATTGAAAGAACACAAACATAGCCCCATTTATTATTATAACTACAAATCATATTTTCGTAGTAACTTGTTCTGATTTAAGAATTTTCATAAGAAAAGATATGAAGTCTCAATGGATTGTAATGTTACTGACTCTATTCAACATGTAATAAGCTTTACTCTGATTTTATATCCTGAGTCCATAAAGCTTATTAAATGACACTTCAAAATTTCTTTCAATGGTGGAAGCTTTGGTTAAGTGAAAAAGCCTGTTGGGGTTTTCCCCCTGTAGTTTTCTAATTAGGGCTTCCTTATTACATCACAAACATTAATCACCACATTATCCAGTAACAGATCAGACTTACCCTATCTTTCAGATCCTCATTAATCTACTAGTAAAGTTATGAGCTCCATTAACATGGTTACATTTAGAAAGTCTCCCTGAAGCACAGTACATCCATTACTGGGGCTGAATAACCCAACAGCTATGTGTCTTATCCAGTCCAGATACGTTTTTGAAATGTCAACTTTGACAGAGAAACTTTCTGTGCACCCCCCACATAGGAATCCTACAGAATATTTGCTTTATTTACTGCTTGGGGTACTATTTTAGCAGAAGATAAATTCTCCGAGCAGGATCAAGTTTGCATTTTGCAGAGACGGAGCCATCTGTTGTTGTCCAGAGCTTGGCTGTGTTCCATTTGGAATGCAGGGCCAGCCCCGGTTAAAAAAGAATGTGAACTCTTCCTAGTGTGATCACCCCCACAAACAGAGAGAACGCTGCAAGTTCCTTGCAATCCTAAACCAGCCAGCACTTCCTGAACACCTGCCCTGAACACAAATGTTCCTTTGGTGAGTGACAGTGAAAATGACAGGGCGTCAAGTTCACCTGGCCATGTCCACATCGATGAACCAACCTGGCCAGTAGACGCAGAGCCCACTGTGGTTCTGCAAGAGCACACATCGGGGAAAGGTGCTCTGGTGCGTTCACACGGTCTTCAGATTGCTCAGAAAGGCGTATCATTTTCTAGATTTAGGGAGTGTGGGCTTTTATTTCAGAACTTTACAAAAAGAAGTGTCTAAGTCTCTCAGCTTACCTTGGAGTTGAATTTATTGCATTCATGGCTGGATTTGTCAATTACTGTTTGCTTTCCGTCCTTCCATAGGGTGCTATATAGACGTAAGCAAGCCATTTCCTTCTAGAGGATGCAAAAATGAATAAACAGTTAACAACGTATGCTACATACATATGGCATTTATCATCAGACTCATTTAAGAGAACCTAGATAAATAGAAAGACACTCTTTTTTTTATGAAGAGGGAGTCTCACTCTGTCACCCAGGCTGGAGTGCAGTGGCGCGATCTCAGCTCACTGCAACCTCTGTCTCCTGGGTTCAAGCGATTGTCCCGCCTCAGCCTCCCAAGTAGCTGGGATTACAGGCACCCACCACTATGCCCAGCTAATTTTTTGTATTTTTAGTAGAGACAGGAGTTTCGCCATGTTGGCCAGGCTGGTCTCAAACTCCTGACCTCGTGATTCACCCACCTCAGCCTCCCAAAGTAGGCATGAGCCACCGCACCCAGCCTAGAAAGATACCCTTAAGGAATTTTAAAATATTAGAAAATATTTTCCTGAGGAGAAACATGTTGAAGTCAATGAATATTTTGTTCAAAATGTCAAATGGATAAGACAAAATTCAAAGATAGACAAGGTGAAGGAAGGGAAATACCAATAAAAAAAAGAAAGTCTATTAAAACAAAACTCAGGAGACTTAAAAAAAAATTTCAAAGATTAGAAATTACGTATTTGTGAGCAGAGTAATGTGGTTATCAAATTTTTCTGCAAAACAATCTAGTTTTGGAATTTGAGGACTGTGTTTCATTCTTTTTTTTTTTTTTTTGTAAGTCGGAGTCTCGCTCTGTTGCCCAGGCTGGAGTGCAGTGGCCCAATGTCGGCTCATTGCAAGCTCTGCCTCCCGGGTTCACGCCATTCTCCTGCCTCAGCCTCCCGAGTAGCTGGGACTACAGCCACCAAGCCCGGCTAATTTTTTGTATTTTTAGTAGAGACAGAGTTTCACCGTGTTAGCCAGGATGGTCTCGATCTCCTGACCTCATGATCTGCCCGCCTCAGCCTCCCAAAGTGCTGGTATTACAGGTGTGAGCCACCACGCCTGGACTGTGTTTCATTCTTGAGGTCAAGGACATCCTATATCATTTAGTGAGCTTCATGCAAGAAATGGTAAGGGAAAATGAAATAAGCCTGGAAATAAATGAACAGTGTCCTGGTTTCAGATAGGTGCTTTTTCAGTCGTTTATGATATTCTTGTAGAGCTCATGGAAAACTGAGGCCTGAGTAATAGTACAGTTCTGTGGATTTATAGTTGATTAAACCAAGAGGTCACAGAGACAATAGATCAGTGTTACATGTCCAGGAGAGCTCTAGGGCTTTCTATGTGACTTTGCAACAGAGAAACATGCTTCTCAGATTTGTAAGGTGTGTAGAACTCAGGATTCAAAAAGATCTCTAGGCTGGGTGAGGTGGTTCATTCCTGTAATCCCAGCACTTTGGGAGGCTGAGATGAGAGGATTTATTGACACCAGGAGTTTGAGACCAGCCTGGACAATAATATGAGACCCCCATCTCTAGAAAATTTTTTAAAAAATCTGTAACGACTGTGCAGATGAATGGAAATCAACAAAATGAAATTGAATGTAAATAAAAATAGAAACCTGCATTTAGGTTCAAAAAGTCCACTATAAAGTATACAACCTGGCGTCAGAAGTTTATATGGGAAGACAGACACACATACCTCAGGTGCTTTAGTTGATTTCAAGGCAGAATGAGTCAGGAGTCTGTGAGCCAGAGAATGAACTAGCTAATGAGATCTTAGTTTGTATTAACAAAAGGATGGCATCCAGATCAAGAGAAATCATCATCCCCACAGACGCTTCCCTGGCCAGGCCACATCTGGAGTTGCAATTCCATGTGCCACCCTGGGGAGCGCAGGCTGGGCCGAAGGGTAATGGAGAACAGGCAGAGGTCAGCGACGAGGGAGGTCGAGGGGACAACTTGCAGGGATGCTGAGAGAAGCTGGCTAATGAGAATCTAAGTCTTTGAAAGCTGGGACTTTCCCTTAACAGGGGCCCAGGCTCATTTCTTCCAGGCGAAAGGTGGAATGTTAAAGGGGCTAAGAAACTTTAAAATAAAAGAAATTCACCGTTATGCCTCCTACCACTCCAACACAAGTAAAAAATAACCTGCTATAGTAATTAAGGGGTTTCTTCAACAAATAAGTGGCATGAGGAAGAAAAGGGGAACCTGGGATGGATTTTCAAAGAGGCTTTAGAGACTTAACCACATTTATTCTGTGGGCTTTGTTAATTTTTTTTTTTTTTTTTGAGACAGAGTCTTACTCTGTCACGTATGCTGGAGTGCAGTGGCGCTATCTCAGCTCACTGCAACCTCTGCCTCCCACATTCAAGCGATTCTCCTGCCTCAGCCTCCCGAGTAGCTGGAATTACAGGCGCCTGCCACCACCGCAGGCTAATTTTTTATATTTTTGGTAGAGACAGGGTTTCACCATGTTGGCCAGGCTGGTCTCGAACCCCTGACCTCAAGTGATCTGCCCGCCTCAGCCTTCCAAAGTGCTGGGATTACAGGCGTGAGCCACCATGCCCAGCCTGGCTTTGTTAGATCTTGATTTCAACAAGATCTACCTGGTAAAAGAAACACTTTTTGAGATAATCAGGGGAAAGATTTTGTAATAATAGCTTTATTGAGATACAACTCACATGCCATAAAATTCATCCTTTTCACAATGTTGGGCACCATTCACCACTATTTAATTCCAGAACATTTTTATCATCCCAAAAGGACACCCCATAGACATTAATAGCCACTGCCCACACGCCTCACTCCAGCACCTAGTAAGCATTCATCTTTTCTCTCTATGGGTTTGCCTCTTCTGGGCACTTAATAGAAATGGCATCATGCAATCTGTGGCCTTTTATGAGTGACCTCTTTCACATTGTCTAATACTTGCAAAGTTCATCCATGCCGTACCATGTATCAGTACTTCATTCCTTTCCATGGCAGGATACTATACCATTGTGTGGAGAGACCACACTTGTTTATCCATTCATAAGTTGTTGGACATTTGGGTTGTTTCTACTTTTTGACTATTATGAATAATGCTGCAATGAAAATTCACCTACAAGTTTTTGTGTGGACATATGTTTTCAGTTATCTTTAGTATATGCCTAGGAGTGGGATTGCTGGGTCATATCCTAATGCTACGTTTAACATTTTGAGGAATTGTGAAGCTGTTTTTCCGAAGAGGCTATGCATTTTGCATTCCCACCAGTAACGTGTGAAGGTTCCTTTCTCCACATACTCGTCAACACTTTATATTATGACTTTTTTATTACAGCCAGTGTAGTATGAAGTAGTATCTCATTGTGTTTTTTGTTTGTTTGTTTGTTTGTTTGTTTTGAGACAGAGTTTTGCTCTTGTTGCCCAGGCTGGAGTGCAATAGCGCAATCTTGGCTCACTGCAACCTCCACCTTCCAGGTTCAAGCAATTCTCCTGCCTCAGCCTCCCAAGTAGCTGGGATTACAGGCATCCACCACGATGCCTGGCTAATTTTTTGTATTTAGTAGAGACAGGGTTTCCCCATGTTGGTCAGGCTGGTCTCGAACTCCTGACCTCAGGTGATCCACCCGCTTCGGCCTCCCAAAGTTCTGGGATTACAGGCATGAGCCACCGCGCCCGGCCTCATTGTGGTTTTTATTTGCATTTATCTAATGACTAATAATGTTGAGAATCTTTTCATGTGCTTATTGGCCATTTGTCTGTCTTTAGAGAAATGCCTGTTCAAATAATTTGCTTGTTATATTGGGTTATTTGTTTCCTTATTATTGAGTTATAAGAATTATTTATCTGTTCTAGGCCAGGTGCGGTGGCTCACACCTTAATCCCAGCACTTTGGGAGGCCAAGGCAGGTGGATCACTTGAGGTCAAGAGTTCGAGACCAGCCTGGCCAACATGGTAAAACCCTGTCTTTACTAAAAACACAAAAATTAGCCGGGTGTGGTGGCCCGCGCCTGTAATCCAAGCTACTTTGGAGGCTGAGGCATGAGAATCGCTTGAACCCGGGAGGCAGAGGTTGCAGTGAGCTGAGATTGTGCCGCCGCATTCCAGTCTGGGCAACAGAGAGACTCTGTCTCAAAAAAAAAAAAAAGTATCTATTCTATTCTGAATCCAAGTCCTTTATTAGATATATGATTTGCAAATATTTTCTCCTATTCTATAGGTTGTCCTTTTACTTTCTTAATGGTACCATTTGAAGCATAAAATTTTTTAATTTTGATGAAGTCAAATTTATCTAAATTTTCTTTCTTCATTTGTGCTTTAATTTAGATTTCTATAATTAGATTTTTAAAATAACTTTTCATCTATTAATTTAATGTAGTTAAATATATGTTACTACAACTATGAAATAACCCTTGTGTTGTGGTTGCAGAAGAGATGTTAAAATGCAGTACACTTAATTTTATTAAGGTAAATTAGGACTGCCTCCCATGGTAAAGATGCGTAACCAGTCTGTTACAATTTTTAAATCCACATTATACCATCAGTTCAACTATCACAATAACGTAGTCAAGTTTGGAAGGTAACGGAACCCCCTGAAAGTCACTGTGTATAGTAATATGCATCATTTGAAAATTCCTGGGCCGGGTGCGGTGGCTCACGCCTGTAATCCCAGCACTTTGGGAGGCCGAGGCAGGCAGATCACCTGATGTCAAGAGTTCGAGACCTGCCTGACCAACATGGAGAAACCCTATGTCTACTAAAAATACAAAATTAGCCAGAAGTGATGGCGCATGCCTGTAATTCCAGCTACGTGGGAGGCTGAGGCAGGAGAATCGCTTGAACCCGGGAGGCAAAGGTTGCAGTGAGCTGAGATCGCGCCATTGGGAGTCTGAGAGAGAAAGAGAGAGAGAGAGAGAGAAAGGAAAGAAAGAGAACTCCCTTGCCTCAAATTTTACAGAACACAGTTATGCTCATGAGTAAGGAAAAAATGTTGCTTCTAAAATCATCCTCAACATAGTCTTAACAACCTGGTAAGGTCATGTGCCCTTCCTCCAGCCCCGAGTAGGGGTACTAATTAGAATCTGCAGAAGTGAGAACATGTAACTTGGAAAAAAAAATCAGCACTATTTATTTGTAAACGAAAACAAGGGCTGGGTGTGTTGGCTCACACCTGTAGATCCTAGCACTTTAGGAGTCCAAGGTGGGAGGCCAGGAGTTTGAAGCCTACCTGGGCAACATAGGAAGACCCTGTCTCTGCAAAAATTAAAATATTTAGCCTGGCATGGTGGCATGCACCTATAGTCCTAGCTACTTGGGAAGCTGAGGAAGGAGGATCGCTTGAGTCCAGGAATTGAAGATTGCAGTGAGGTATGATTGCTCTACTGCACTCTAGCCTGGGAGACAGAACAAGATCTTATCTCTAAAAAACAAAACAAAACAAAACCTCAAATATATAAGGTAAAGTTCAATAAATGTCTTTTAGGCTCTTAAGAAAAATGTATTAGAAATGACAAGGTTTGGGCAGGGAAGGGTGTGGCTCACGCCTGTAATCTCAACACTCTGGGAGGCGGAGGTGGGCGAATCACCTGAGATCAGGCGTTCGAAACCAGCCTGGCCAACATGGTGAAAACCTGTCTTTACTAAAAATACAAAAATTAGCCGGGCATGGTGGCATGCGCCTGTAATCCCAGCTACTCGGGAGGCTAAGGCAGGAGAATTGCTTGAACCCAGAAGGTGGAAGTTGCAGGGAGGCGAAGGTTGCAGTGAGCCAAGATTGCGCCACTGCACTCCAGCCTGGGCGACAGAACAAGACTCCGGCTCAAAAAATAAAATAAAATAAAATAAAAAATTAGCTGGGTGTAGTCATGCACACCTGTGATCCCAGCTACTCGGGAAGCTGAGGCAGGAGAATTGCTTGAACCCGGGAGGCAGAGGTTGCAGTGAGCCGAGATCGCGCCATTGCACTCCAGCCTGGGCGACAGAGCAAGACTCTGTCAAAAAAAAAAAAAAAAAAAAAAAAGAAAGAAAGAAAGAGAGAAAGAAAGAAAGAGTAAGAAGAAAAGAAATGGCAGGGTTTGGGGAATGTGGTGAATTTTCTATTTCTCCAAAAAAGATATGAGTTTAAAAATATTGAGAAACAGTGTAACAGTGGATTAGATGATTAACAGTACAGAGAGTCAAATCTCAATGCTCCTACCCACCATTTAAAAATGTTTAAATGTCTTTAAATAATAGATACTTTCAGATAGTATTGCACAAATAAGTATATATGGAGTAAAACTTGGTTTCGTCTGATAATCAGTGTCCTCATATAAACTCAATTCCATAATCCCTGGGTCATTATACATAACTATACACTAAAAATTACATAATACTTAAATACCTGTATTAATCTTAATTAAATCAGTAATTCATCATCACATAACAAGTAGTTTTTAAAAAGTAATTACTATAACTAATTGCTCTGCCTTAACTTTGTTCCAGGAATGATTTTTGCTTTCACCAAACTGAAATTCACATGGATCAAAATCATGATTATTTATATTTGTCCAAAGTTTCCAAAGCTGTATCTATTTTCTAGAAGTAGCTCAAGCTCTAAATTTTCATTAGTTTTAAAAGAGTATGGAAAAATCTAAGAAATGACCCTCAAAGACATGAAGTAAAAAGTAAAAATCTTTTATTTTTACATAAATAATTATATGAGGCATGACACAAATCACTTCCAATTAAATATGCTGATTAATATATTTTAATTTTTGTTCTTTCCTGAAACCCCAGTAGAGTAAAATAAATTAAACATGGAGAAACCCAGAAGAAAAAAAGAAAGCAGAGAAAGCAACAGCAGAGAGGAGATCTCAGCAAACTTTGGAAGTTGACAGGAAAATCAGTGGATGGCCAGAAACCAAAACTTTACACTGACGGGAAGATCAGAAGAAAGGAACAGATTTAAACTACTCAACTCTGGGACAGCTCAGAAGTGAGAGGTACTGGGTAAGCACTTCAGAAGCATAGGTGCAGGGTGGAAGTAAAAGCAAGAGGAAAGTTGATGGTGCTTGTAAGAAACAGTCAAACCACCATGCTGCACTCCTCCCCTGGCCCCCCAAACAACCAGGAATTACCCTGCCCCTCCACAAGTGAAAGCCAGGGTTGAACTATTATGGACTCTAATCTTTGAGCTACTCGCTCTGATTTAGGGCAAGATAACATTCTGTACTAAAAACTCAAGTGGAAACCTACACACTGAACTTCAGATTTCCAGCCACAATTCTCTCCCACTCCCACCATGCCATGTATCTGCTCAGATCCCGTTACACTGGCAGCCAGGCATATACTCCCAGGCAGGAGCTAAGACAATGCATCATTACTGGCAAAGTAACCAGCCCCCTCCTCCCCGATTCTGTAGATACTGGTATTTGGAGTTCTCCTGCGAAAAGGCCAGGGACATCTAGCACCACCCAGCGAGACCTACTCATTGACAGGTTCCACCCAGGTAGGCAGAATTTCCAATGAGCTTTTAGTGCTTGGAACTTAAATATGAATAAACAAAATCATCAGAAATTTGAGGGAAGCTTTTTAGCATGGAAAACAAAAAGGGAAACAGAAAAAAGAAACTCAGAGGAAACAGATAATTCAAGGAAGAAGAAAACTTCAAAATTAAGGTATCATATCCATGAAGAAAAACCAGATTATAAACATGAACATTTAGAAAGCCAAAGAAGAGCTTTTGGAAATAAAATACGATTGCAGAAATTAAAATTTTAACACAAGGGCCAGGCGAGGTGTTCATGCCTATAATCCCTGCACTTTGGGAGGCCAAGGTGGGAGGACTGAGCCCAGGAGTAAATCCAAGACCAGCCTGAGCAACATAATGTGACCCTGTCTCTGCAAAAAATAATTTTTAAAAATTTAGCCAGGCATGGTGGTGCATGTCTGTAGTCCCAGCTACTTGGGAGGCTGAGGTGGGAGGATGTTTGAGCCTGGGAAGATGAGGCTTCAGGGAGCTGTGATCACCAACTGCATTCCAGCCTGGGCAACAAAGTGAGTCCCTGTCTCAAACAAGCAAACAAAATTCAACACAAAGTTCAGAAAATAAAGATGATGAAATATCTCAGTAATTAAAAGGAAAATGTCAATGAGGCAGAAAATTGGACAATAAATTATAAGATAAGTAGAGGTTCATTCATTCATTCATTGAATGCCTACTATGTGCTAGATATTATTCACAATATATGAGTGAACAAACCAACAGAAGATCCCTGCCCTCAAGGACTTTACATATTAACTGCAGAAGTCAGAAAATAAACAATAAACATAATAAGTAAATTACATAATATGTTAAGAGATAGTGCTTTGTTCAAAAAGAAAAAAAAAGCAGGGAAAGGGGATTGGGAGTGCTGAGAGGGTTTTGTGGTTTGTTTTTTCCATTTTCTGTCTTTCTGTTTTGTTTTGGTTTTGGGTGTGTGTTTGTTTGTTTGTTTGTTTGTTTGTTTGAGACAAGGTCTCACTCTGTTGCCTAGGCTGAAGTGCAATGGCAAGATCATGGTTCACTTGACCTCCCAAGCTCAAGTGATCTTCCTGCCTCAGCCTCCCAAGTAGCTGGGACCCCAAGCACACACCACCATGCCCGGCTAATTTTTTTATTTTTCACAGAGACAGGGTTTCTCCATGCTGCCCAGGCTTTTTGATAAAAGCCATTTTAACTGGGATAAGGTGATATCTCATTGTGGTTTTGATTTGCATTTTCTGATGATTAGTGATATGGAGCATTTTTCATATACCTGCTGTCTTTCTGCATATCTTATTTTAAGAAATAAAAAATATTGGCTAGGCGTGGTGGCTCATGCCTGTAATCCCAACACCTTGGGAGGCCAAAGTGGGTGGATCACGAGGTCAGGAGATCAAGACCATCCTGGCCAACATGGTGAAACCCTGTCTCTACTGAAAATACAAAAATTAGCTGGGCTTGGTGGCACGTGCCTGTAATCCCAGCTACTTGGGAGGCTGAGGCAGGAGAATCGCTTGAACCAGGGAGCCACAACACTCCAGCCTGGCGACAGAGCGAGACTCCGTCTCAGAAAAATAAAAATAAAAAAAATGGACAGGCATGGTGGCTCACACCTGTAATCCCAGCACTTTAGGAGGCCGAGGTGGGCAGATAGCTTGAGCCCAGGAGTTTGAGACCAGGCTGGGCAACATGGGGAGACTTTGTCCTACAAAAATACCCAGGCATGGTGGCATGCACCTGTAGTCCCAGCTTCTTGGGAGGCTGAGGTGGGAGGATCACTTGAGCCTAGGAGGTCAAGGCTGCAGTGAGCTGTGATCGCACCACTGCATTCCAGCCTGGAAGGCAGAGCAAGATACTGAGAAAGAAAGAAGGAGAGAAAGAGGAAGGAAGGAAGGGAGGGAGGGAGGGAGGGAGGGAGGGGAAATGTAAACTCTGAGGTTAATTTAAAATAATTATATAATTATATTGGGAGGAAATGTGTAGTTTTGTGTGGAAGAAGTGAGTATGTGGGTCTGCGTGTGTAAGACAGACAGCAACAGAAAATGAGCTTGCATATTTGTATATCGATATGTTTAAGTCAATAGATAATATCTTTAATGGAAAAATTGAGAAACAACAGTATAAATATAGCATTTACAGATATGATAGTAAATACCAGACCAGCTAAGAGTTGAATATTGTTGTCTCTGTAGAGCAGAAGACTGCTATTTTTATAGTAATTCTTATATTATTTGTTGTTTTAAACAATGTGCATGCGACTACTTTGAAATCTTTAAAACTTAAAAAGTAATATGGCTTATTTTAGAAATATAAAAGAGAAATAAAAATGAAATCAGTACACTGAGATTTTCTATTATATATCCTTGAAACCATTACCATTTTCTTTTCCTGCTTTCCATTGGACACTTTGAGATTTCCTTGGCTGGTTGAAATTAGATGGTATTTTTGTTCATGCAATGGTTGTCCTTATACTCATTCACCCCTCATGATTTCTTAGGTGTATAACACCTGCTTCTTCCCCTAAAGAGACTGGTCTTCTAAGCTGAACTTACTTCCCACATTCCCAGTCCTCATTATGTCAATATCATTCAGATATTTAGTTGTGTTTTCTTTGGTCCTATATTTTTCTTGAAGCAACAAAAACCTGTATCAAAGTATTTGATCATTGGCAGGGCATGGTGGCTCATGCCTGTAATAACACTTTGGGAGGCCGAGGTGGGTGGACCATCTGAGGTCAGGAGTTCCAGGCCAGCCTGGCCAACATGGCAAAACCCTGTCTCTACTAAAAATTCAAAATAAATTAGTCAGGCATGGTGGCGCACACCTGTAATCCCAGCTACTTGGGAGGCTGGGGCAGGAGAATCGCCCGAACCCTGGAGGCAGAGGTTGCAGTGACGAGAGATCGCACTACTGCTCTCTAGCCTGGGCGACAGAGTAAGACTCCATCTCAGAACAAACAAACAAAACAAAAACAAAGTATTTGATCATTGTTACTTCCTGTCTCATTTGCAGTATCTTTTTCAATATGTTTACTGTCTTCTTTAAGTAATTTTTTTTTTTACCATGGGTAGTGCTTGGTTTATTGGTATTAAAAATAGTTCTTATGTACATAACAAGCTGATATAAAGGCACTCTTTTTTTTTTTCGAGATGGAGTCTAGCTCTGCTCCCCAGGCTGGAGTGCAGTGGCATGATCTGGGCTCACTGCAATCTCCGCCTCCCGGGTTCACGCCATTCTCCTGCCTCAGCCTCCCTAGTAGCTGGGACTACAGGTGCCCGCCACCACGCCAGGCTAATTTTTTGTATTTTTAGTAGAGACGGGGTTTCACCATGTTAGCCAAGATGGTCTCGATCTCCTGACCTTGTGATCCGCCCATCCCAAAGTGCTGGGATTACAGGGGTGAGCTACCGCACCCAGCCTGTAAAGGCACACTTTATGCCGGGAGCGGTGGCTCACGCCTGTAATCCCAGTACTTTGGGAGGCCGAAGCTGGCAGATCACTTGAGGTCAGGAGTTCAAGACCAGCCTGGCCAACATGGTGAAACCCCGTCTCTACTAAAAATACAAAAATTAGCAGGGCGTGGTGGCAGGGGCCTGTAATCCTAGCTACTTGGGAGGCTTAGGCACGAGAATCATTTTTGGCATGAGAATCATTTGAACCTGGGAGGTGGAGGTTGCAGTGAGCCAAGATCTCACCACTGCACTCCAGCTTGGGTGACAGAGGGAGGCTCTGTCTCAAAAAAAAAAAATTTTTAAATAGAAGTTAAAGTATGGATTACATGGAATTTTTTTTCCTGGAAGCACTTAAGTCACAAATATGCCACAATGAAGATATCAAACACAAAAGAGGGGCGTGGGCAGGAACAGTGATCCTCATCACAGCTTCTGATCCAGCAGATGTTGACTGTGGATGGAAGGTGGCACATGCCCGCAACTTGGTATAGAAGTGAATTCCCACCAAAACCCAGGGGTGCACAATGTGTAGACAACTCACTTGCATGTTAGAATACCAACAAGATTCAGCTGCAGAGTAAACCCTGCATCGCAGCTAAGCCATGAGGTTGAGTTGTGGATCTTGGGGGACTGATGAAAGTTTGCTGGACAATTACCGTGTAAACGTCATGACCCGTCAGTACGTAACACTGCTTCCGTCTCTACAGTAGCCACGGGCACCGCAGCGGCCTCAGAGCAGAAGGCACAGGGTACTACCAGGGAGGCATCGCAGGGCGTCAACACCGAGGACCTGAGGCCACCGCCTTGAGCCACGCCGCGTGCAGGAGCGGGTCCTGCGCGTTCGGCCCCGGGAGGCGGCCTGCAGAAACCGTCCAAAGGGCTGGCCTTGTTGTTCGGGCACACCTCTGACTGGGCCCCAGTTTCTGGAGGGCAGGTGTGGGGAAGGCTTGTCCCCAGCACCGGGCTTTGCACATCATCTGTGCCCAAGGTGTTTGGGGACCAAAGCTCTAAGCAGCGCCTATTGGTGTGCGCGAATCAAGAAAAGGAAATTTAAAATGGACACGTTGTATTACCCTTTAGAACCATGACTTAAAATGAAGAACAGTAACTCCATATAAAAAGAAGTGTATTGCCAGGCGCGGTGGATCACGCCTGTAATCCCAACACTTTGGGAGGCCGAGGCGGGCGGATCACCTGAGGTCAGGAGTTCAGGACCAGCCTGGCCAACATGGTGAAACCCCATCTCTACAAAAATGCAAAAATTAGCGAGGCATGGTGGCGCAAGCCTGTAGTCCCAGCTATTCCAGAGGCTGAGGCAGCAGAATCGCTTGGACCTGGGAGGCGGAGCTTGCAGTGAGCCGAGATCGCGCCATTGCACTCCAGCCTGGGCAACAGAGCGAGACTTCATCTCAAAAAAGAAAAGAAAAAAAATAACTTTATTTAGATGTTAGAGTCATCTAGTGATTGAACAAGATTGGACATGAATCCACCCAGGCCTGGGGCTGCGCTGCAGAGCAGCCACCGCGGACATCCGCGGATTTCACCTGCAACAGGGAGCGGTCAGTGTGCTAGCTGGCCTTTGTGCTTCCAAACGTTTTTCCAACAGACGGCTGTGGCTGCAGTTTTCAGAAGATATGCTCTGGACTCCAAGGACCAGCGTGGTGGGGAGGGACCCTTTGTATAGAAAGTGCTGTCCTGGGAGCTTCCCCACGGACACTTTCGGGCATCTAAGCGATCCGCGGAGCGGGCAGCTGTGGCCTTCGGTCCTCGAGCTCCCACGGCGGCCACAACCAGACTTCTTCACCAGCAATCAACCAAAAAGCATCCTCTCAGAGTCTCTTTGAACCTGGCTGTGATGATAAGAGCCAAATGTTTGCTGATCTAAGACGTGTATGCAAAACACAGAAGACTGCAGTTTAGGAACACCCTACAAAATCGTATTTTCCAAAAACAGGGCGCTGGGAGCCGGGGCGCGCCCCTGCCTTTCGCGTCAGGAGAACCACCTCCGCCTCCGGAGGGAGTCCGTCCCCGTGAGGGCCGCTCCCAGCCCCGGCTCGCCGTCTGAAGACAGCAGTTCCGGGAACCGCGACGACAGCATCGAACTGGAGATCAGGAAGTTTTGGTGGAAAAGGCCAAGGAGTGGTGTGCACGCGGAGCCCGGGACCCGGGCGGGGACAGAGCGGGAGCGCGGGCGCAGCCCGTTAGCGCCGGCGGCAGAGTCTCAGCCAGAGGCTGCGAGGGGCCCAACAGGCCGCCAAAGGTGCTTCTGGCCAGAGATGCCACAGCGCGCACCTAGGCAGGAGGCACAGGGGACCTTTCACAGGGGCTGCGGGAGCTGGCGCTTCCCCGCCCTAGGCCGGGAGCTGAGAGGGGCTCTAGCGCCCAGGCCGACTGCGCCCTGACCGGGAGCCACTGCGCCCAGCGCAGCCCGAGGGCGCTGAGCTCGGAGGATGCGGCGCGGGGCGGGGGTCTCGGGAGCAACAGAGACTGGGATCCGAGGGCCCGGCCCGCGCTGCTGCCCACGCAGCGCTTCCACTTTGGAAAGAGTGTCTCCCGCGCGGCGGGCCGGCCTCTCCAGCGCGCACCTGGGGCTGCCTCTGCAGGGCCACCCCCGCCTCCAGGGAGGCCCACGCTCGCCGGCGAGGAAGGATGGTGAGCCCTGGCCCAGCGGGAAGGCTGGAGGAACGCAGGCTCGGAGGAAAAAGCCTTTTAGACCTGGGCCATCAACGAAGGTCTCTATAGGGACTACCAGGACCGGGACGCCGTGGGCAGAGGCGCCATGCCTTCTGCGCCACCTCCCTGGGGACCGCGCGTTAGCTCGTGGTGCAGGGCCGAGCCCTGGGGCTGTGAGCGCGCGTCCCGTCTTCGTGCGCTGGTGGAAAGCGGGGTGTCCGTGCGTGCGTCTGCGAGCGTGTGTCGGCTGTAACCGCAGGGAGCGCAAACAGGCCGTTACGCATGTGTCCTGGTAGATAGGATTTTTGTAGCTTTTTGTAAATTATCTAAAATGATGTAAAAATATTTTTGGAAAATTAAGTAATTTTTTAAGAGAGCTTTCAGTATTAGCCTTTGTGTGAAAAACCTTTTGTGGCCGTGTAAGCCTGGGGATATTTTTTCACACCCTCGAGTTTTGAGAGTTTGGCTGGTGTAAAATGCTAGGTTCAAAGCTCTTTTTCCTTTAATACTTTAAAATATAAATCTATTAACTTCTTGCATCCTGTATTGCTTTTTTTTTTTCCTTTGAAACGGAGTTTCAGTCTTGTCGCCCAGGCTGAAGTGCAATGGCATGATCCCAGCTCACTGCAACCTCCATCTCCCAGGTTCAAGCGATTCTCCTGCCTCAGCCTCCCGAGTAGCTGGGATTACAGGCGTCCGCTACCACGCCAGGCTAATTTTTTGTATTTTTAGTAGAGATGGGGTTTCACCATGTTGGCCAGGCTGGTCTCGAACTCCTGACCTCAGTTGATCCACTCGCCTCGGCCTCCCAAAGCGCTGGGAGTACAGGTGTGAGCCACCGTGCTCGGCCTGCTTTTTTGATTTTTGAAGGTTATCTCTAAAAGATATTATCCCCAGATACTTTTAGAATTTTCGTTTTGTTTCTTTTGTTGTTTTTTTTTTTTTTCCTTAAGACAGGGTCTTATTCCATTACCCAGGCTGCAGTGCAGTGGCACAATCTCAACGATCTCAGCTCCCTGCACCTCTGCCTCCTGGGCTCAAGCAGTCCTCCAGAGTAGCTGGGACTACAGGCTAGCACCCACGATGGCCGGCTAATTTTTGTTTGTATTTTTAGTAGAGACGGGGTATCTCCATGTTGCCCAGGCTGGTTTAGAACTCCTGGGCTCAAGTGATCGGCCTGCCTCTGCCTTTAAAAGTGCTGGGATTACAGACATGAGCCTAGGTTTTTTTTAATGTTTTGAAACCCTATTCTAATATTAATTCTTTCTCTTTCCACCTCAGCATCAAAAGAGCCTTTGAATCTGGGAAATTTATCTTCACTATTTCTTCCAATAATTCCTCTCTTATGTCACTCAGTACTGGCACTTATATTTTATCTTCCATATCCATGAGCTTTTTTGTTATATTTTCCCTTTGTCTTTCTTTTTATCTTTTCTTTTCTCATTTTTTTGTTTTAGTGTTTGTTTTCTGAGACAGGATCTCACGGTCGCCCAGGCTGGAGTGCAGTGGTGCAGTCAGGGCTCACTGCAACATTCACCTCCCAGGCTCAAGTGATCCTCCCATCTCACCCTCCCAAATAGCTGGGACTACAGGCATGCACCACCTCGCCAGGGCTAATCTTTGTACTTTCTGATGTCTTCTAAAACAGTTCCTCAATCTTTCCTCAGCTGCACCCATTCTGTAATTTATTCCCTATTTTGTATTCTTTTTCCAACTATTGTATTTTCTATCCAATATTTCTCCTTTGTTGTTTTTTATGCTTTCTTGATTTTGCTTCACATTTCTAAGAAATTCTAGTATCTATTAAATACATTTATCATACTTATTTTAAACCTTTGGTCCCGGGCCAGGCGCGGTGGCTCACGCCTGTAATCCCAGTACTTTGGGAGGCTGAGGCGGGTGGATCACGAGGTCAGGAGTTCAAGACCAGCCTGGTCAACATGGTGAAACCCCATCTCTACTAAAAATACAAAAATTAGCAGGGCATGGTGGTGCGTGCCTGTAATCCCAGCTACTTGGGAGGCTGAGGCAGGAGAATTGCTTGAACCCAGGAGGCAGAGGTTGCAGTGAGCGAAGACCACGCCACTGCACTCCAGCCTGGCAACAGAGTGAGACTCCGTCTCAAAAAATAAAAAAACTAAAAAATAAACCCTTGGTCCCTGTGTTCCAATAATTTGGTTTCAGAAAAAGTTTTTAGATCGTTGCTTGTAGTAGACTGAAAAATGGTCTCCAAAAATATCAGGTCCTAATTCCTGGTGTCTGTGAATATTACCTTAGTTGCAAATATAGTCTTTGCAGATGTGATTAAGTGGATGATCTTGAATTTAGGAGATTGTCCTAGATTATTCAGGAAGGCCCTAAATGGCATCACAGTGTCCTGATTTGAGAGAGGCAGAGCGGTATTTTACATGCATATGCACACACATTAGAAAGTGACATGAAGATGAAACAAAAAGAGATTTGAAGAAGCTGGCCTTGCAGACTGGAGTGATGTGGCCACAAGCAAAGGAATGTCACCAGCCTGAAAGAGACAAGGAACAGATTCTCTCCTAGAATCTCTAGAGGGAGTGTGGCCCTTTGATTTCAGCCTAGTGATATTGAATTTGGATTTCTGACCTCCAGAACTATGAAAGAATAAATTTATACTGTTTTAGGCCACCAAATTTGTGGTAATTTATTAAGCAGCCACAGGAAACTAATCCATTGCCTTGCCCCTGTTTCATAGTGTGGTTGTGTGCCTCCCTGTCCAGTTACTTTGGCTTGTGCCTTCATTTTCCCCAAGGGACTCATCTACCCTGTCTGACAGTGTGTATTAGAGAAAGGTCAAAGACCCTGTGATGTTTCTTACAACATTGTTTGTGATGGCCAGGAAGTTAGAAGCAATCTGAGTGTCCATCAGTGGCAGACAGGATAGAAAAAATATGGTGAATATACACTCCCTGGAGTACTATGTAGCATGTAGGTTAAAAACGTGGATGGATTTTAAAGACATGATACCAAATGAAAATTTAGCAGCCTGGGCAACATAGTGAAGCCTCATCTCTACTAAAAATAAAAAAATTATCCAGGCTTGTTGGCACGTGCCTGTAGTCCCAGCTACTTCAGTGGCTGAGGTGGAAGAATCACTTGAGCCCTGCTTCAGTGAGCTGGGATGGTGCCACTGCACTCCAGCCCTGGTGACAGAGCAAGACCTTGTCTCACAAAAAAAAAAAAAAGAAGAAGAAGACGAAGAAAAAGAAAATAAAATTAAGAATCAGATGATTTCTGTGACTTACATCATTTATGTGAATAAAAAACACACGCAACAACAATGTGCATTTTACAAGAACACATATAAAGAAAGGATGCGGCCGGGCGCGATGGCTCACACCTGTAATCCCAGCACTTTGGGAGGCTGAGGCGGGCGGATCACAAGGTTAGGAGTTCCAGATCAGCCTGACCAACATGGTGAAACCCCGTCTCTACTGAAAATACAAAATTTAGGCCGGGCGCAGTCGCTCACGCCTATAATCCCAGCACTTTGGGAGGCCGAGGCTGGTGGATCACGAGGTCAGGAGATCGAGACCATCCTGGCTAACATGGTAAAACCCCATCTCTACTAAAAAATACAAAAAATTAGCCAGGCATGGTGGCACGCGCCTGTAGTCCCAGCTACTCAGGAGGCTGAGGCAGGAGAATGGCATGAACCCGGGAGGCAGAGCTTGCAGTAAGCCGAGATAGCGCCACTGCACTCCAGCCTGGGCGACAGAGCAAGACTCTGTCTCAAAAAAAAAAAAGAAAAAGAAAATACAAAATTTAGCCTGGCTTGGTGGTACATGCCTGTAATCCCAGCTACTCAGGAGGCTGAGGCAGGAGAATCACCTGAACCTGGGAGGCGGAGTTTGCAGTGAGCTGAGATGGTGCCACTGCACTCCAGCCTGGGCGACAGAGCAAGACTCTGTCTTAAAAAAAAAAAAAAGTAGGATGCATATTAAATATATTAGAATAGCATAGCTTCTTATGGGAGATCAGGGGAATGCAAGAGGAGAATGGAGGATAAAAGGGAATTGATGAATAAATAAAAACAAGATGGAGCCTGAAAGGACCAACAATGGTTTGCACTAGAAGCAGGAAACGGAACTCTCTGGACCCGAGGTCCAGCCTAAATCACCATCAGCTCATTCTTATCACTGTCATCAGTTTAAGATGAAAAAATACTGGACTGAGAAACTGTGATATTGTGAAATATATGTTTGGTCTTCAACCCTATTTCCTGGCACACAGCTCCTAAAATTCTTAGAATCTCCAAAGTGCTGACTTTTTGTATGCTAATGATTGACTGGAGGCTGGCAGCCCCTGGATAACTACAAGATGGGTCTGGTCACCAGAAAGACCAAGGCAGGGGTAGGATTGGGACTTTCAGCACCACCCCCTGACTTCTGGGGAGGGGAGAGGGACACCTCCCACAAAGTTGAGTCAATCACCAGTGGCCAATGATGTAATCAATCATGGTTACATAACGAAGCTTCCATAAAAACCCAGTATGACAGGGTTTGGAGAGCCTCCTGATAGCTGAACACATGGAGGTTCTTGGAGGTTGGTGCACTTGGGGAGGGCATAGAAGCTCTTTGTCTCTTTCCACATACCTTGCCCTAAGCATCCTTCATCTGCATCTTTTGTAATATCCTTTGTTAAAAAAGAAAAAAAAAAAAACTGGTGACGGCGGGGCATGGTGGCTCACACTTATGATCCCAGCACTTTGGGAGGCCAAAGCAGGTGGATCACTTGAGGTCAGGAGTTCGAGACCAGCGTGGTCAAAATGGTAAAACACCGCCTATACTAAAAATACAAAAAATAAAAAATAAAAAAAAAAGCCTGGTTGTGGTGGTACATGCCTGTAATCCCAGCTACTCAGGAGGCTGAGGTGGGAGGATCGCTTGAACCTGGGAGACGGAGGCTGCAGTGAGCGGAGATCATGCCACTGCACTCCAGCCTGGGAGATAGAGTGAGACCCCATCTCAAAAACACAAACAAATAAAAAACTGGTAACATGTTTCCTTGAGTTTTGTGAGCTGCTCTCACAAATTAATCAAGCCCAGAAAGGGAGCCATGGGAACCCCAATTTGGAACTGGTCCGAAGTTCCGGAGTAGAAGGGGGGTCTTAACGGGACAGAGTTCTCAACCTGTGGGATCTGAGGCTATCTATCTCCAGGAAGATAATATCAGAATTGAGTTATAGGACACCCAGCTGGTGTCTTCTGCAGAACTGATGACTAGCTTGATGTGTAGCGGCAACCCCACACGACTGATCACGGAAGTATCCTGTGTTGATTGTTGTCATAGGAGAGCAGAGGAAACACAGTTTGTGGGCTTTTTGGTTTTGTTTTATTTGGAATTAACAGACTCCTACTTTTGAACTGTGCAACACTGAGCAGATCATTTCTACTCTGTAAGCATCTGTTTCATAGTCTGTCAATGGGAATGAGTATTGCCCTCACCACAGAGATTAAAACATGAGATAAAGTGAGACAGTGTATGTGAGAGTTATTTCTAAACCACAGGGATTATCTGCAGAGATTACCTTGTTATTAAGCTCCTGGACCAGACTGAAGTCCAACATATAATAGTGGAATTGGGGTTTGGGGATGGGGAGTCTAAAACGAGGAGGAAGGAAGTAGGGGCCCACCTCTGTGATCCTGCCCATTAACTGGTCCTTCTGACCTTGCTCAAAATGTCCCTCCCCAAGGTGCTCCCACCACAGAGCTGGCTCAGTGCTTCCCACAAACAGGGCAGAATGCCTAGAATAGGGGCCACACACACAAATAACTTTCAGGGCTCAGTCACATAGCAGATATGGCAAGATTGAAAGGTTTATGTCATAGTATAGCTTGTGAATGCAGAGAAAATGGGTATCTTAGCTGGGTTACCCACAAATGGACCTTGAGATGAGCTTTTGTGTGCAAGGCATTTATTGAGGAGGGGCTCCCTAAGGAAATCAGTCAGGAGATAGAGGGAAAAGGATGGGAAGGGGATGAAACAAAGCAACAGAACAATTTCAGAGTCTGCAGCCTGCAGGCTCCAGGAGCCCAGTTTTCCAAAGCAAGTCACAGCAGGGCCTGAGCCTCAGAACAAAAGCACACAGAAGCTAAAAGAGGGGGCATCTGACACAATTCGTGTAAAATGTTTAACAGGAGTGAGGACATACCACCAAATTAATGCATCTTCTTTATTTTGACTCAGTTTAATCTGATCTTCGTCATGAGCCTCCACCCATTGGTTCAATGGCACAGGGGTGGAAAGGGAGTTAAAAAATTAACTATTAGTTCTATCTGGTTTAAAGATTGTAGCATGTTCCCTTAATCTCATCAGTGTCTTTAGTTATTGCTCAGTCTTCTCATAGATACAAATATTCCCTTTCTCAGTTATCCTTCATCCCCCTTGCTCTCTGTCCGAGGCGGTATCTTGAGAGAAGGGGAGTAGAGTGTGCCTCACACAGGTCCTGTGGTGACGCAGAAGGGCTGGGTCTCCGCGGAGGCACCTTCCACTTCTTGGCCTCTGGGGAGGGGCCCTGCCCTGACTGTTTGCAGGCTGCCTGGATGTCCCCGACCCGTGCTCGGTCTGTCAGTTTGGTCCCAGTCTGGGGTCACCCTCTCTGACTTGTCATCACGTTGGCCTCCACTGGCTGTAGACACAGGGCCTGTTCTATGTATCCGTTCCATCTTCCTGCCCAGCAGTTACAGGTCCATTTTCTGTCGACTCACTCCGACCATCAACTTTCGATTCACCAGTTTGCTGTGGGGAACCCCAGATTGTAGCAAAATACCTGTAACATAAAATTAGTCATTTTAACCATTTTAAGTGTGCAATTTGGTAGCATTATTAGATTCACAGTGTTGTACAACCATCACCACTACCTATTTCTAAAAATTTTCAACTCCCCAAATAGAAATTTCCCTAGTTACCTCCTTCCCCCCAGCACCCGGTCACCACTAATCTACTTCCTGTCTCTATGAGCTTGCCTATTCTAGATGTTTCATATAAAAGGAGTCAAAAATTTGTCATTTTTGTATCTGGCTCATTTCACTTATAATGTTTTCACAATTCATCCATGTAGCATGTATCAGAATTTTGTTCTTCTTGATATGTCAACTTAAAATCATTTCTTCTTCTTCTTCTTATTATTATTATTTGAGACAGAGTCTCACTCTGTCACCCAGGCTGGAGTGCAGTGGCATGATCTTGGCTCACTGCAACCCCCACCTTCCGGGTTCAAGCCATTCTCTTGCCTCAGCCTCCCAAGTAGCTGGGATTACAGGCATGCTCCACCATGCCCAGCGAATTTTTATATTTTTAGTAGAGATGGGGTTTCACCATGTTGGTCAGGCTGGTCTCAAACTCCTGACCTCAAGTGATCCTCCCACCCCAGCCTCCCAAAGTGCTGGGATTACAGGCTTGAGCCACTGCACCTGGCCTAAAATCACATATCCTAAAATTTGGGAAGGAGACTTTCTTATAAAGGCTTACAGTGTGCGAAGTGGTCATTCTGACAGGCTGGGAAGGGTGCCCTCTGGCTGAGATTGTTAGCAGGCACTTTGAAGAAGGAGGGGCTGGGGCAGGAACATTATGCTGAACTGGTTGGTTAAACATACATATTCAACAGGCCACAAGATGAGCTATGAATATTCATGAGGGGAGTCACACCTGTATGTGATAAGCAAACATGCATGTTACATGTGACCTGTGTTCATTTTGGGGTGGAGACTTAATGTTCAAATGCATTACAATTAGTCCCTATATATCAGAAAGTGAAGCAGGGACAGGATGGCACTCACGTGTGCAGCCTCTGTAAACCGGCCAGAACCAAGCCATGGCTGGTGGTCTTCTTATCAGGAGAAAGTTACTAAAATTGGTCTCTTGTCCAGTCACAGCTGTGGTTCTGGCTGGTGGAATGGGAGAGTGGGTGTGGGACTGGGACTTTGGCGGTCATTGCCTGGCTGTCAGCTGTGGATGAGCTGCAAATTGTTTTAATATTGCTTATTTCAAGGCCAGTGCTTGTTTAACTGCTAGAGAAAAAGAAAAGAATTCATGGCCGTTAGAATATAGTTTATTTTTTAAGTGTAGGGGTGAGTGATTTAACCCTCACCTGGCATGGCCTTAGATCCTGCTTATAATTTGGTTCCTTATACCACAGAGAGTCCATTCTGTCAGTCTTATGAGCTCCATTTTCACGTGAATGCTGGTCAGTTGTGTCTAAATTGCACAAGGCGGGGGTGTATAACGAGGCATGGCCAACCTCCCATCCCTTCATGGCAGGGAACTCGGTTTTTAAGATTTCTCTGGGGTGCCTTTGGCCAAGAGGGGATCAGTTCAGTTGGTTGGGGAGCTTAGGATTTTATTTTTCCTTTACATATGGTTGAATTATATTCCATTGTATGTATATACCATATTTAATTTATCTATTCACCTGTGAGTAGAAACAAAGGTTGTTGCCATCTTTTGGCTAATGTGAATAATGATGCAATAAACCTTAATGTTTGAGTCCCTATGTCTAATTATTTTGAGTGTATACCTAGGAGTGAAACTGCTGGGTCATATGGTAACTCTATGTTTAGCTTTTAGAGGAATTGCCAGACTGCTTTTCACAGCATCTGAACAACTTTATATTCCTACCAGCAATGTATGAGGTTCTGATTTCTCCACATTTTTACCAATACTGTTATTTTGGTTATAGCCATTCTAATAGGTGTGAAGTGGTATCTTACTGTGGGTTTTTCTTTTTCTTTTCTTCCTCTGCTTTTTTTTTTTTTTTTCTTTTTTTTTGAGACAGGGTCTCACTCTGTCACCCAGGCTGGAGTGTAGTGGCACAAATACTGCTCACTGCAGCCTCAGCCTCCTGGGCTCCAGCAATCCTTCCACTTCGACCTCCCCAAGTACTGGGATTATAGGTGTGAGCCTCCTCACCTGACCTCATTACAGTTTTGATATGCATTTCCATAATGATTAGTGATGTTGAGAATCTTTTCATGTGGTCATTGTCCATTTGTATATCTTTGTAGAAATGTCTATTTATGCCCTTTGCACATTTTAAAATTGAGTTGTTTATCTTTTTTGTCAGAGACAGATTTTTTTTCTTTTTTTTTTGAGACGGAGTCTCGCTCTGTCGCCCAGGCTGGAGTGCAGTGGCGCGATCTCGGCTCACTGCAAGCTCCGCCTCCCGGGTTCACGCCGTTCTCCTGCCTCAGCCTCTCGTGTAGCTGGGACTACAGGCGCCCGCCACCACGCCCGGCTAATTTTTTGTATTTTTAGTACAGACAGCGTTTCACCGTGTTAGCCAGGATGGTCTCGATCTCCTGCTCTCGTGATCCGCCTGCCTCGGCCTCCCAAAGTGCTGGGATTACAGGCGTGAGCCACTGTGCCCGGCCATGTATACATATTTCAAAGCAATATGTTATACACGATAAATAGGCACAACTTCTATTTGTCAATTAAAAAATGCATTTAAAAATTTTAAAAAGAGGCTGGGCGAAGTGCCTCACACCTGTAATCCCTACACTTCGACAGGCCAAAGTGGGAGGATTGCTTGAGCCCAGGAGGTCGAGGCTGCAGTGAGGTATGATTTCACCACTGCACTCTGACCTGGGCAACCAGAGTGAGACCTTATCTCTTTTATTTTTTATTTTTTAAATTTATTTATTTATTTTTTTGAGACGGAGTCTCACTCTGTCGCCCAGGCTGAAGTGCAATGGCGCGATCTCCGCTGACTGCAAGCTCCGCCTCCCAGGTTCACACCATTCTCCTGCCTCAGCCTCCCGAGTAGCTGGGACTACAGGCGCCGGCCACCGCGCCTGGCTAATTTTTTGTATTTTTAGTAGAGACGGAGTTTCACTGTGTTTGCCAGGATGGACTGGATCTCCTGACCTCATGATCCACCCGCCTCGGCCTCCCAAAGTGCTGGGATTTAAGAGACCTTGTCTCTTAAAAAAAGTTAAAAAAAAAAAACCCCAAAAAACTAAATTTATTTGTTTGCCACGGTTTGGAGCATTAAAACGACCAGTAGCCTTAGAGTTACAAGGTGGTTCAAGATCTGGTTTTGCAACCCACGAGTTGCTATGGTCTGAATGTTTAAGTCCTCACAAACTTCGTGTGTTAAAATCTTTACCTGCGAGGTGATGGTATTAGGGGGTGAAGCCCTTGGGAGGCAATTAGGTCATGAGAGCAGAGCCCTCATTAATGGGATTAGTGACCTTAATGAAACAGGCCTAAAAGAGAGCCCTTGCCCCTTCCACCATGTGAGGTTAGAGTGAGAAGACAACCATCTATGAGGATGCAGGGCCCTTGACAGATGCAATGAACCTGCTGTTGCCTTGGTCTTGGACTTCCTAGCATACAGAACTGTGAGAAATAGATTTCTATTGTTTATAACTACCCCTCCCTCACCAAAAAAGAAGATGATAAATACATTCAGCTGCATTTTCTTGTCCTGAACCTGGAGAAGTTACCTCATTTTTTTCGCTGGGTATTCTTTTGTAATCGAAATCTCCTTCCACTCATTTTAAAGAATGCCTCTGAGATTTGGAAAGGCAAAAGAGAAATCATGTTAATAATTTTCAAAATGCTATTTCCATGATATGTGAAATTGTTATGGGCTCTTCGGGGTGTCGTTTTTCTGGCCAGAAGCCTCTGTGGCCTGTGGCACCTTTGCTTGAGTTTTGCTTGGGCCTGCTGGGCTCGTTTTGCCCACTCAGCCTGGCAGGCTGTGCTCAGCTCACGCTACTGGCCTGGATGCCATGCCTGCCAAGGGTGAGTCAGGTGTGGAAGGGTGAGGGGTGTGTAAGTGAACGTGGGATCTTGCCACCGCACACAGACATGCCAGCTGCTATAGCTGGTTGGTCAGCTCCAGGTGCCAGCATGGGTGCTGGTTCTCTGCAAGGCTGCAGCCAGACTGGCACTGGGGAACATGTTGGCGCCTGGAAGCTTGGAGACAACAGGGACCGCAGGGCCCCAAAGAGGGAGTCACAGCCTTGGCTTGGGAAGCTCCTAGGTCTGGGATCCTGGAAGGGCCACAGCGACCCTTTGTTCCTTCTCTTCCCCCACAATGTGGTGAAGAAGGGGCATGTCTCAGTCCTGTTTGTGTTACAGCTCTTTTAGTCTTGCCATTTGGTGGGTCCCAAGTTCTTGTCCTGTGACCAGGAAGAATGAGGTATACAGACAAGTGGAGGGTGACCAAGACGAAGAGGAGCTTTATTGAGTGCTAGAACAGCTCAGAGAAAACCTGCAGGGGCAGCTCCTTTCACAGCCAAGGGGTCCTGATGAGTGTTCAGCTCCTAGTACAGAGAGTAGCTCCTCTCTGCTAGGCAAGTCATCCCAACAAGTGTTCAGTTATCAGCAGAGAGGGTAGCACCTCTCTGCAGCTGGTCATCCTGTTCTCTGCGTGGCTCTCAGCAGAGAGGAGGCCCTAGAGTGGGTGGCACCTCTTTGCAGCTGGTTGTCCCAATGTCTGCTGCTCTCAGCAGAGAGAAGGCCATGGAGTGGATAGCTTTCCTCTACCACTGGTTGTCCTGACATCTGCTCAGCTCTGGCTGAGCCTGGGGCTTTTATGGGCCTCAGAGGGGAAGAAGTACACCCTTGTTGGTCCATGGGTGGCCATGGGTGGCCCAGAAAAGGCACCACAAATTCCCACTCTGGTCCATGGGACTGGCAGCCCGGTCCCCAACCTTCAGGCCCTTCCTGGCCTGAAGGTGGGGCCTCATCAGGGACCCACCCCCTTTTGCAGGGAAGCCTGTCTGCTTCCTGCTGCTGTTCATGGTGCCTAGGCTGTAGGTGCCAAGGGGCACCTGCAGGCCAGCACCAAGCTGCCCTCAGCCCTACCTCAACTTCCTTCCTATGCTTGTTGGCACCCAAAGCCTGGTGGGGGCTGAGGTGGCAGGGGGCTGGCATGTCAATACTGTCCCAAGTGTGTGCACACCTGGCTGGGGTGCAACAGTGCCTGGGCTTGGCCTCTACTTTGCTCCCAGATTGGAGTGGGCGCCGACAGCAGGGAGAAGCCACACAGCGGGAGCAGGCCCTTCCAAGCCTGCAAGGACAGGGCCTTCCCAGACTCCCAAGAGTGCAGGGATGCCTGGTTCCTTGCTCCCTGGAGTGGAAGGCCGGGTCTGCAGCTGGGGTTTGGGTGGCTGCAGCTGTGCCCTGGAGGGTGGGCATCCTGCCTGCTCCAGTCCCTGAGAGCACAGGAATGCCTGGGTCTGCAGCCGTGACCTGGGTAGCTGCAGGGGCACCTGGGGAGCTCCTGCCCCAACTCAGAAGGGTGGGGCTCCTGCTTGTCCCTGGCTGTCACCAGCTCCACGGAGCATGCAGCCCCTGTCGCATCTCCCTGTTCCAGCCAGTGTGATGGCAGTGGTGGCTCCAGATGGCCCGCTGCTGCCATCAATATAAATGAAGTAGGCTTGGTCTTAGTGGTATGTGGAGGGGCAGGTGAAAGGTAGTTAGCTATGAGCTTCATCTATAGCAGTACTTCTCAAATTTTCATGTATATCCAAATCACCTGAGAATGTTGCTAAAATGCAGATTCTGGCTCAGGAGAGCTTTTAACAAACTCCCGATTAATGCCAATGCTGCTGGTCTGTAGACTATACTTTGATGTGCAACGTCTTAGAGGATAATTTATACATTAAAAATACGTAGTAAAAATGCCCTCAAACAGTTCCTGGGCCAAATTTGGGTTTAGCAAGCAGTTTCCACATTTGAAAAATGAGGTGATAATGTTAGGATATCGCTAAGGAGAATTTCTAAAGGGTGTCTAGCATAGGGGTCTCAAACTCAAATACTTACAGGGGCCAGACTAGGGCTGGGTGAAGACCGTGAAGCTGGAGAGCCTCTGCCTGCCTGCAGGGGGCACTGCCACAGAACTCTAGCTCATGGTTACCAGGCAGAAATGCTGGCACAGGGTGCCCATATTAGCCAATTTTTTAAGATAAGTGAAATCAAAGGATTTTATGTGAAATTCTCTGATTTCTAAATGTTTTCAATTAACTTTTTTCTCAAACACTCTTCAAGCTAAACAAAACAAGTCCGTTGGCCAGATGCAAACTGCAGGGTGTCTGCTTACTCTCTCTGGTCCAGTATTTTGCTAGGCCCTTGATAGATATAAAAGAAGAGGACATGGGTTCAGCTCTTGAGATGAGCATAGCTTTGTTGGGAGCTAAGATATTTGGATAGGAAATAGCCAGGGAGCAATTCAAAGGCATGTGTTTGTAAATGAGAAAAAAGAAATCCAGGCCATCTAAAGGAGCTGTGAAGTAAAGCCGGGATGACTTCGGATACTATCCCATAGCTGAATCTTGTGATTTGTAGAAGTGCCCTATGTTTGGGAAATATCCTGTTTACTTAATCTTAGTGGGTTAATTAGTGCTGATAAACAGTGTAGTTATTTCTGCTCAGTACCAACTTTGATAGTTAAGCAGGTAATAGTTATTTGATACAAATCTGTTCAAAGAAATAAATTGATCTGCAAATATTAGTGGAATCTGTCATTAAACACTATAAGAAACAGAGAGCCTTTGAAGAAAGTAGATTTCCTAAAAGTCATATGAAATAAATTACCTTCAATACTATGGAAACAATATGCAGAGCATTATGCATCATTATGTGAAAATAGAGTCATGAAAATGTATTTAAATAAATAAATGGGATGTGGTAAGCTGAATAATAGTCCCCCAAAGTTATCCATGTCGTAGTCCCTGGAGTTGGTGAATTTGTTACCTTACATGGTAAAAGAGACATCATAGATGTGATGGAGTTAAGGATCTTGAGATGGAGAGACTATCCTGGAATTTCTGGGAGGGCCCAATACATTCACGAGGGAGAAGCAGTGTGGTCAGAGAGGGAGACACCGGAGGATGGGGCCAGGGCCAAGGAATGCAGGCAGCCGCCAGAACTAAGAAAGGTGAGGAAACAGATTCTTGCCTAGGACCTCCACGAAGAACAAACCCCAGCTGACACTTTGATTTCAGTCCACTGAAACTGACCTGAGACTTCTAACCTCTAGAAGTATAAAATAATAAATTTATGTTGTTTTAAAGACTAAATTACAACATAATGGGGTTGGTAACAAACCAACCCCATAATGAGATGGGTGATTTGTTACAGTAGCAATAGGGAACTAACACAGATGGCAAAGATACAGAGGCAGGAATCATGAAAATACTTCTAAGTTTCGAGTTTCCAATATAAACAAAAGGAAGTTTTTTTGGTTTGTTTGTTTTTTTTAGACGGAGTCTCACTCTGTCGCCCAGGCTGGAGTGCAGTGGTGTGATCTCAGCTCACTGCAACCTCTGCCTCCCGGGTTCAAGCAATTCTCCTGCCTCAGCCTCCTGAGTAGCTAGGATTAAAGGCATGCACCAACATGCCCAGCTAATTTTTGTATTTTTAGTAGAGACGGGTTTCACCACATTGGCCAGGCTGGTCTGGAACTCCTGACTTCATTATCTGCCTGCCCTGGCCTCCCAAAGTGCTGGCATTACAGGTGTGAGCCACCACACCCAGCCCAAGGAAGTTGTTTCCTATTAAAGCTATTCTGTCACTTGCTGTCCTGAAATTTTTAGTAAACAGATTTCTTCTTCTTCTTCTTTTTCTTTTTTTTTTTTTTCTTGAGATGGAGTCTCACTCTTGTCCCCCACGCTGGAGTGCAGTGGTGTGATCTTGGCTCACTGCAACCTCCGCCTCCCGGGTTCAAGCAATTCCCCTGCCTCAGCCCCCCGAGTAGCTGGTATTACAGGCGCCTGCCACCATGCCCGGCTAATTTTTGTATTTTTAGCAGAGATGGGGTTTCACCATGTTGGCCAGGCTGGTCTCAAACTCCTGACCTCAGGTGATCCGCCCTCCTCAGCCTCCCAAAGTGTTGGGATTACAGGCGTGAGCCACCAAGCCTGGCCTGGTAAACAGATTTCTTCTAATACATTGATTGACTTTATTGACATGTGCAACATGACAGTGACACTTTTATTACACTTACATGTGGTGAAATTATGTCAGAGAAACAAAATCAAATGAGATAATAAGCATAAAGTGCCTGACACAATGCCTGACACATAGTAGGTGCTTATTAAATGTTAATTTCTTCCACTTGTCCTTATAGATCATGGATTTTAAGGTATGCAAGTAAATATATATGCATGTTGATATTATGTTTGAAGGTTGTTCCTTTATCGTGTAACACTTATTTTATTGTATGACTTGGGTGTACTAAAACCTTAATTTAGCACATTAATATTATACATAAAATAATGAAACTAGGCTTGGAAAATATTAGACAATTAAAGAGTCAATCTGAAACAGACACAAGAATGGGATGAAATTTACTTATTTTTGACTAAACGGTTGCCAGAATTAATGAAATCACAAATGTGCATAATTTCCTTTTCAATTTGAATTTTTAAGTGCTTATTGTTAGCAGTTCTTTAATATTAATTTCATGCTAAATGAATCATTATGAAATACTTATGAGGGAAACTATTTTTAAGACGTGCTCCTTTAAAAATGTAACTTATTACTTTCTGCAGGCAATAAAAATGTGTTACATTAGTTATAACACATCTTACTTGGTGGGATGCATGTGCTGAATAAGAACGCATTTTTTACTGAACTAAAGAAAATTGGACTAAAACTGGCTTAAGGTTCTTTTGAAATAGTGTATCATTGCTCAATGGAAAAATGACAGATTTTTATTAATGACAGATTTTTATTTTCTGGGAATTCTGTCAGATTGCACAAGGATAGTTTTTTCTCCATTCCACAACATTCACGGAATTTTAGTAAGCAGATAAGAGAGTTTACTCTTCTTGCCTCTTGGTCTAGTTTAGGTCCTCCCATAGCCTCTTTTTTAGAATGAAACTTGCTACTTTCTTGAGCTTACCTCATTTTGACAACTATGTATCTATTGATTTATGCTTCAGGAAGAGCACACTTCAATAAATTAAAGGAAAATTCCCTTCACTCTGCTAAACTTCACAAGGGCATAGAACATGTTTTTTTTCTTCTTTTTTTTCATCCCATTAACCCCAGACCCTACTATAGTGCTTTGGTTGAGTTCTGTTGCCAGCCACAGAGACCTGAAATAACAGTAATTTAAACAAAATAGAAATTTGTTTGTCTTTATTATGTGAAAGAAAAATCTTGGTGAGAGGTGAAGTCAGCTGGACTTCCTGGGTGGAGTGAGGACTTGGAGAACTTTTCTGTCTTACAAGAAGACTGTAAAACGCACCAATCAGCACTCTGTAGCTAGGCTTGTAAAATGCACCAGTCAGCACTCTGTAGCTAGCAAGAGGACTGTGAAATGCACCAATCAGTGCTCTGTAAAATGCACCAATCAGTGCTCTGTAAAACACACCAGTCAGCACTCTGTAAAATGCACCAGTCAGCAGGATCCTAGAAATGTCCAATTGCCGGGAGGATTGAAAAAAGGGCACTCTCATAGGACATAAAGGGAAACATGGGAGAGGGCAAATAAGGGAATAAAAGCTGGCCACCACCCCCCCCAACCCCCAGCCAGCAGTGGCAACCTGCTGAGGTCATCTTCCATGCTGTGGAAGCTTTGTCCTTTTGCTCTTTCCAATAAACCTTGCTACTGCTCACTCTTTGGGTCCACACCATCTTTAAGAGCTGTAACATTCACTGCGAAGGGCTGTGGCTCCATTCTTGAAGTCAGTGAGATCACAAATTCAACAGCAGGAGGAGACCCAACTCCGGAAACATTGAGGTCCCAAAATCACTAAGCTAAAGGGAAGAGTCAAGCTGGGAACTGCTTAGGACAAACTTGCTACTCATTCTATTTTGCCCCTCTGCTCACTGAGATAAATGCATATCTGCTTGCCTCCTTTGGAGACGACAATCAGAAACTCAAAAGAATGCACCTGGCTGGACACAGTGGCTCACGCCAGTCATCTCAGCACTTTGGGAGGCTGAGTGGGCGATCACTTGTGGTTGCGAGTTCAAGATCAGCCCAGCTATGGCCAACGTGGTGAGACCCCACTCCACCAAAAACACAAAAATTAGCTGGGCGTAGTGGTGGGCGCCTGTAACTCCAGCTACTTGGGAAGCTGAGGCAGGAGAGTCACTTGAACTTGGGGGGTGGAGGTTGCAGTGAGCCGAGATTGTGCCACTGCACTCCAGCCTGGGCAACGAAGTGAGACGCCATCTCAGAAAAAAAAAAAAAAAAAAAAAAAGCACCCATTTGTCTCTTATCTACCTATGACCTGGAAGACTCCCTGCCTGCTTCGAGTTGTCCCACCTTTTTCCAGACCAAACCAATATTCATTCCACATATGTTGATTGCTGTCTCCATGTCTCCCTGAAATGTATAAAACCAAACCGTGCTCTGACCACCTGGGGCACATGTCGTGAGGACCACCTGAGGCTGTGTCATGGGTGCGTATCCTCAACCTTGGCAAAATAAATTTTCCAAATTAACTGAGACCCTGTCTCAGATATTTGGGGTTCACATTTTGGTAACCACAGAGGGATTCTGAGTGCAGATGCCCTGCTCGTGACCTTTGACAAATCTCCTATTGGTGTTTGGTACCAGCATGAGCCAACTTTATGGTTCAAATCAACAGGACAATTTGCTGAGGTCTGGGAGCACCCCCCTCCAGAGAATCCCTGGTCTCCCGAAATTTGGTTGTGATCTAAAGTTTATTTTTATTTTGCTATACAATTATCTCTCTCTCTCCTTTTTTTTTTTTTTTAAGAGTTTTACTTGCTTCCAACAAGGAAGGCAAGATTTCCTGCTTCCATGATGATGGAAGGCAGGTAACTCCTTTATGAAGTCTGAGTTCACTCGCAGCAGGGAAGAAGAATTTCAGTTTTCTTTCCCTGCTTCTGGGACGGTTGAAGGCAGTCATCAGCCTGAGACCTGTCTCTAGGTAGGTATCTGAATTGGGGTTTTGGCTTGGCTAAAGTTCAGCAACCACCTGGCCTTAATTACTCCTTACCATTAGAGTGCTCAGTGATCATATTGTTGGGTTTGTTGTTGTTGTTGTTTGTTCCGGTTTTTCTCCCATCAGATTTGACCAACTCTACCTAGTGAGGTCAAATCCTAGTGAGAATTCTAAATTATGGGTAACAAACCCTCTCTAATTTGGCTAAAATTCCTTGCAGCTGCAAAAGGGGGAGAAAAAAGCAAAAATCCATGCTTGCGTTTGCTTCCTGTCTTAAATCCAAAAACAAATTTCTTTTGTTTACTTTTCTTCCAACCTGTACTTCCTTCCCCCTTTGCTGTCTGCAGTACCAAAAAAAGTCTAGAAAAGGCTTCTAATGACTTGAACCCCTTTAAAGAATTCAGAACAAAGGTGTCACTCAGCCCTTTTGGGCTGTTCTATTTTCTATGTGGAGTTTAAAGAGTCATGGGCAGATTCTTCTTAGGTCTAGAGCTCTGTTTTCCTCTATTGCATGGCCTGGCCTCTTTAGCTTTGGGGGTACCAGAGATGACCTTGTACTGTGAGAGGATTTGACCTTGGTGTGTGTAACGGCGGACGAGAGCTACAAAGTAGGGGTGGCTGAACACAGTTTACAGGAAGTGGTCTTAGCTGTTGTTTTTTATTTCTCTCCTAGAAAGGTGTTTAAGGACCCTAATTCTAATTAGGAGATATATTCTAAAGGGTCTTCTCTATTGCTTTTTCTCTCAAAATTAATCCTGATTCAGCTTGTCTATACGAATTTGCGTGAGGAACTGAACTGTTGTTTTCATAGGTAAATGAGAGATTGAGTTTTCTTTAGTTCCAAAGAGAAAGGGCATTTGCTCCTCCCAGCTGAAAGGTGCCCCAGGTGATGGAGAGGGGGGCCTCGTAGAAGTATCTGGGGGATTGATCCCCTGTGATGTGCAGTGGCCCTACAGGGAAATCCCCCACAAAAATTAATTTTTAAAAAAAGGCCTGTCCGGGAAACACATATAAGGGCTGATCATCCAGCATTTTGATCCCTCTCAGAGGTCAGGGATGTCTGGAGAGAGAAATCGAGACACGTGAAAGGGTGGAAACAACTCTGTGGTTACACACTGTGGAGTCCTGTCCACAAGCAGCGTATATAAATCCACCAGGCAAAAACCTAGCCTGCAGCTCACAGCTCAGTTACTCCTTTTAAGAAAAGAAGTGGGAAACAATAAGAATTAGGAGAAAACGAGGAGAATGACCCCCTTTCGAGCACTTTGTAGATTTTATGGCACCCCTACTTGCCACAGTTTATGTAAAATGGAACTAATATGGTCTCTATGCACAATTACATTAAGGAAAAAAAAGCCCCTAAGGTCGATCTGCAAACTATAGTGTTCCTAAATTCTTTTTTCCTCTATTTTATTTTCTGCCTGCTTTAAATCTGCTGTTATTTTTCTATTAAGATAAAAACCACTGGCTGGGCCCAGTGGCTCATGCTTGTAATCCCAGCACTTTGGGAGGCCGAGGTGGACGGATCACAAGGTTAGGAGATCGAGACCATCCTGGCTAACACAGTGAAACCCCGTCTCTACTAAAAATACAAAAAATTAGCCGGGCGTGGTGGCGGGCGCCTGTAGTCCCAGCTACTCCGGGAGGCTGAGGCAGGAGAATGGCATGAACCCAGGAGGCAGAGCTTGCAGTGAGCCAAGACTGCGCCACTGCACTGCAGCCTGGGGGACAGAGCGAGACTCTATCTCAAAAAATAAAATAAAACCACTGTTTGAATCCAACAGGTTTTTTGTTTGCAAGCCAGTGAATTTGTATTTAACTCATGGCCAAAAGTTCTGAAGTAAAAGCTATAGGGTGTGTGTGTGTGTGTGTGTGTGTCGGTGTGTGTGTGTATTTAAAAGACCTTTATGATTTCTATAATTTTATGTTTAATTGGCAATTAAATCCACTTTAATTTCCCTCTAGCGCACCAGACTTTTTCTCCTTGTACAATATGATGTAAATCTTGCTATTTGATTTTCACCTGAGTTGGCCCCTTTAATATGAAAATTTAAGGCTATTTAGCTGACAACTGGCTAGGGTAGTGAAAACAGGCTATCAAGAATTTGAAGGCTGGGCTCAGTGGCTCATGCCTGTAATTCCAGCACTTTGAGAGGCCGAGGTGGGCGGATCACCTGAGGTCAGGAGTCCAAGACCAGCCTGACCAACATGGGAAAACCCCACCTCTACTAAAAATGCAAAAATTAGCCAGTCATCGTGGTGTGCGCCTGTAATCCCAGCTACTCAAGAGGCTGAGGCAGGAGAATCGTTTGAACCTGGGAGGCAGAGGTTGCAGTGGGCTGAGATTGTGCCACTGCACTCCAGCCTGAGTGACACAGCGAGACTCTGTCTCAAAAAAAAAAAAAGAAAAAAGAAAAGAAAAAAGAATTTGAAAGTCTAAGATAGGAAAAAAAAAGCTCTTAAGAATCTATGAGATGTACTTCTATCAGCATGCCTAACACATCTCTGTATTTATGTGTTGTGTACACAATGTTTCACTACTGAAAATATATAAAGGAACTCCAATTAATTGGCTTAAGAAAGTAAAGGTGGTTGAACCAAATACTTTCTCAGGAAAAAAGACTAGTCAAATGCTTTTTCAAGTTTACATAAGTAAAATCTTTTCATAAATAAACTAGCTTTGAAATTATTGGTGAAGTAATGTTAGAAATGGGAATTGCCAGCATACATTTTTGTTTGCATTTGTTAATCAAGAAATTTCATGCTTATCCCTGCCAAATACTATAGGGTGTCAAAATTTGGCATAGGGGCTACAAAATTACAGATCCAGACCAAGACAGAATGATCTTTGCTTATGTAATTTTTTTTTTTTTTGAGACAGAGTCTTTCTTTGTCACCCAGTTTGGAGTGCAGTGGCTTGATCTCGGCTCACTGCAACCTCCACTTCCCAGGCTCAAGCGATTCTCCTGCCTCAGCCTCCCAAGTAGCTGGGATTACAGGCACCTGCCACCACACCCAGCTAATTTTTGTATTTTTAGTAGAGACAGAGTTTCACCATGTTGGCCAAGCTGGTCTTGAACTCCTGACTTCCAGTGATCCGCCTGCCTCGGCCTCCAACTGGGATTACAGGCGTGAGCCACTGCACCTGGCTGTAATTTTAATAAATAAGACATAAATATAGGTCTAATGAAAATAGTTACATCTTAAATTTAGTAAGATTACCATAACTTCTAATCTTGTGACTTTAGGCAGTCTAGCCCACAAGCAGTAAGGTTTGTTTTGGGAAAGGACTGTTATCGTCTTTGTTTCAAAGCTAAACTGTAAACTAAGTTACTCCCAAAGTTAGTTCAGCCTATACCCAGGAATAAACAAGAACAGCTTGGAGGTTAGAAGCAAGATGGAGTCAGTTAGGTCATATCTTTTTCATTGTCTTAGTTATAATTTTGCAATGGTGGTTCCATAACTTTAAAAGAAGACTATTGTAGTTTTCATAAATATCTAGGTAAATGATTAAAATACAATAATTAACCAAATGTAATGGGATAAATACTTGTAGACAAACTCATCATAATTTAGAAGCTAAAGTTATATTAAAGTAAATAATAGATATGTCATTATTTGGGTATTTTCCAATAAAACTATATTATAGGAAAACATTATTTCAAAAAAGTGTGTCTTTTTTAAAAAGGTGAACAATTTTTGTCTAATTCAAACCTTATATAAATGTTATATATAAAACAAGGTAAAAGGAGCCAGGAAATAAGAGAGATGAAATGAAAGTTATAAAAATAAAGAGGTTTTTTTTTTTTTTTTGTAAGAAAGCTTAAAGAGAAATAATTTTACATTAGACAGAATCTTGTATGGTCAATTTAGTCCTAAAATAAAATGACTGGTTGTTTAACAAACAGGGATGTTCAGGACAAACCAGAAAGTCCAAGCATGTCATGAATAGTCTGTGTAAGTCACAATAAGATGATTTATTTAAAAAACCCCCAAAACTTTTATATGATCAAATTGTCTATTAATTAAAGGGAAATTGTAGTGGTCTTTCTACAGATGGGGCTTGATGTAAAAAAACCACTTATACACTAAACAATTGGTTAGAGCAATGAATTTTTTTTTTTTCAGATGGAGTGTTGCTCTGTTGCCAGGCTGGAGTGCAGTGGCACAATCTCAGCTCACTGCAACCTCCACCTCCCAGGTTCAAGCGATTCTCCTGCCTCAGCCTCCCTAGTAGCTGGGACTACAGGCATGCACCACCATGCCCGGCGAATTTTTTGTATTTTTAGTAGAGAGGGGTTTCACCATGCTGGCCAGGCTGGTCTCAAACTCCTGACCTCATGATCTGCCTATGTTGGCCTCCCAAAGCACTGGGATTACAGGTGTGAACCACTGCGCCCAGCCTAGAGATGTTAATTTTTTTTTAACCTAAATTTTAACTTTTATTGCACCTTGCCATTTTCGGTTTTCTCTCCTCTTTTAAAGGTTGACATACAGTAACACTCTCCAACTCATCTTTCAGGTAATATAAGTTTTTTTCCTCAAGTTCTGTTTGTCGTGGCCTGATGCTAACAATGTTTTCTTAAAGGTGTAAGGGAAATGTTTTCTTCCAACATAATATTCTGTGCAGTGCAGAAGTTATTCTCTTTTGCCTTTTAGGAACTGGCCTAACAGATTTTATGGCTTATTGAAACAATTCTTATGCCATTATTATTAAGTTTTCGGTTTCCTTAGAAAAAAACTGAGATTAAAATATATTTTTTAATTAAGGTTATTACATCCTTGTATCTTTCTGTATGGGCTTTTAAAGTCCTTTTGACATTGAGTTACAGGGCTTTCAGTCCTGGGTCTAAGAGGACACTAAATCCTGCTAAATCTAAAATACAGCAATTAAAGCCTCATCTTCAGGCCTCGTAGAAGATGTCAATCAAAATAAACTGCATTCCTGAGACACAGGGCCAGAAATTAAAGCTATTCAACAACTCAATGTTCGGGGACTATCGCAGAAGATGTGGGTGTGTGGGATTGTAAGGGCCCATTTTGAGAGATAAAATAAGTTCAGTTTTTCTATAAATTAACCATTAATGTTAAAGGCACACTGATGCAAGACCATCATATGGACCCCTCTGTCAGATTAACAAGGTTTTCTTGAAGCATTAACCACCTCCTTAATAAAGGTTATGAAGGTTATAAAAGGCTTATGTAAGTTATATCTTATGGTCAAGATAAGATAAAAATCATATAGATTGTTCACAAAATTTTGAAAAAAATTTAATTGGCTTCATACTGTTTTTATTAGGACTTATTGTTTGAAAAATTAAGTCTCCTCTCTCAAAGAATGAAGGTTTTCACCTTTTTTGGAAATTCTTGAGTTATCACCTTAGTCAAATGAATGACTTATTTTACAGTGATGTGTGATATCAAGTGTTTTAAACCTTTGATATTTAACAAACTTTCCAAAATCAAATGATAAATTATGTCTTTTTCTGACCTGATTAATCCTTTAAGATATTAGTTTCCCTAACGTCCAAAAATGACATAATTTGGCTTATTGGTATAAAAAGTATACAGAAAACATTGTCAAATGTGAAATAGTGTTTGGTTTTCTCTGGGCTGTATTTGTATAATTATGTTATTGGTATGTGTTCCAAAATTATGGGAAATGCCTATGATTCTGATGTGACTTAGTGTACATTATCAGTAATAATTATAATTGTTAAGTTAAATTATTATGTGCCACAGAGCTAACAAATTTCCTTGTCAGCTGTGTCTTTGACTATGGCTGCCATAAAACGTTTTGTCATCCACAGACAATTGTCTTGTTTTGGTCCTCTTTAGAAGGTGGCTTTATAATCAGCTATAAAACTCTAACAGGTGCTCTTGAATATAAGTTTCTGATAACTTTGGAAATTGTGGCATCAGAATAGGAGAAAAACTTTTGGGATTCATGGAGAACTGAAATGTTTGTGAATATCAGGCAGAACAGAAATTAACCACATGGACTGAACTAACAGAAGACTAAAGTAATCTGTTTGACTTTTTGCTTAAAACGTTTCTCATCCTTTGTTTTGTTTCTTTAGAGTCAAAGAAACTTTTTTTGAGCTATTAACAGCTTTTAACAATTTAGTACACTTCTGTGAACAAAATTTAGAACATATTTGTTTCTCTCTACCTGATTTCTCAGGAATTTGGAAACCATTTGTGAATATTCTTAACTTATGGCAATACAGTGATTTGCATAAGTACAGTAAGAATATGTCTTCATTTATAACAGGACACAATTTGAGAAACTGGTTATTTTACCAAGACTTTGACTGGAATGATGTGCTTTCCTTTAAGGAATCAGACTTGACTTATGGAGCCAATAAAAGCCCCTTGGGAAAACAGACCTCATACCTTGTCTACATAGTCCCTGTACAGGGTTCCTGACCTGTGGTAAGTAAAGAATGTAACTTTCTGACAGGCCCAGGAGCCCCAAGTCTATCTTGGAACCTCAGGAGTAGAGAAATTCACCCAACTCATAGGTATTTGATGGTACAAATCCATGGCTGGGCTGGACTTCAAAAAAGTCTTATCTCAGATTCCTTCTATGGAACAAATTTCCATCAAAGGCAATTTAAAAGCCTATGTAAACAAATAATTATTCTTGCTGCACTGTATACAAATTGTCAGTTCAAGTGTAATAAAGCAAATCAGTCTTACCATGATTTGGCTGTAGTAAAAATGGGAAACTGAAGAGAGAAAAATTCTGTTTCAAAAACTATAGTACACCTGTTGTTACATTTGAGTCTTGCCTAATGTTTTCCAGTTTTTATTATTTTCTACAGTTTGGGCCAAATTCTAATTTTTCTTGGCTATAAGTCTTCAAAATAATGTTTTCATTTTTTTCCTTCTTTTCCCCCCCATTTTCCCTAATTTGGAGTCACTGTTGTAAAGCCTTGCAAACTGAAGCTAAACAACTTAAACTTCAGAAGAAAATAACAGCAACCTATTTACATACATAATCCACTTTCATACCTACCTACTGATGTATGGACTTCAGAATCATATGGCCTATACCAATTTTCCAAGATTGTTCTTTTGTTTGTTGTTGTTTTGCTCCCTTCCTCCCCCTATTTTCTCTTCATAAAACATAAGATTTCACAACCTGTTAAAAATGAACTTTCCTAATAACTTGGGACCTACCCATCTAGGAATAAACCTTGCTAGCCATGAGAGATCAGACAAAAATGAGACCAGAGACTCATTTTCTTCTAAAATTCTTTCTCCAAAATATTTTTTAAAAAGAAAAGGGGGGAAATATGAAAGGAAAATAAATCTGGGGGCCCCAAAATCACTAAGGTAAAGGGAAAAGTCAAGCTAGGAACTGCTTAGGGTAAACTTACCTCCCATTCTATTCAAAGTCACCTCTCTGCTCACTGAAATAAATGTGTATCTGATTGCCTCCTTTGGAGAGGGTCATCAGAAACTCAAAAGAATGCACCCATTTGTCTCTTATCTACCTATGACCTGGAAGCCCCCTCCCCACTTCGAGTTGTCCCACCTTTGCTTTGAGTTGTCCTGCCTTTTCCGGACCGAAACAATATTTATCTTACATATGTTGATTGATGCCTCATGTCCCCCTAAAATGTATAAAACCAAACTGTGCTCTGACCACCTTGGGCACATGTCATCAGGACCTCCTGAGCCTGTGTTATGGGTGTGTGTCCTCAACCTTGGCAAAATAAACTTTCTAAATTAACTGAGACCTGTCTCAGATATTTGGGGTTTGCAATTATAAAGTCCAGAGTTAGGCAAGCCAGGTAATTCTCATGATTATTGGGAACCCAGGGTCCTCCTTCTTCTTTTTCTTTTTTCTTTTTTCTTTTTTCCTTTTTTGAGACAGAGTTTCACTCTTGCTGCCCAGGCTGGAGTGCAATGGAGTGATCTCGGCTCACAGCAACCTCTGCCCCCCAGGTTCAAATAATTCTCCTGCCTCAGCCCCCCAAGTACCTGGGATTACAGGCATGAGCCACCATGCCCAGCTAATTTTATATTTTTTTTAGTAGAGACAGGGTTACTCCATGGTAGTCAGGCTGATCTCACAGTTCTGACCTCAGATGATCCACCCGCCTCAGCCTCCCAAAGCACTGGGATTATAGGCGTGAGCCACCGTGCCCAGCCCTCCTTTTTTTTTTTTGCTCTGCCATCCTCATTCTGTGACTATCATCCTTGAGAGTTGTTTATAGTCCAAGATGACGGAAACTTAAGCCCTTCTGCCCTTATACTAAGTAGGAAGCAGGAGAGAGGGGAAGAGGGCTAAATATCTCCTGGCCTCTCTTGTCTTTCCACCTTTTCTCTCTCACTGGCTACAGCTGAGTTGCTGGCCACCCCTAGTCGGAATGGAGTCTAGTTGTAGGGAAGGTGGTCCTTTTTATTGGGCACATTGCCGTGCTAAGTAAAAGCAGTGTTCTGATACTAACAAGGGGAGGAAGTGGTAAAATGAGATGAATAAAAACAACATAATGAGTTTTTCATGAAATAAAACTTATTCAATTTAAAAGACTGTTCTTTGAGACTTTTTCCCTTCATCTTGTCTTAAAGTTAAAAATACATTTCTTAAAAAATGAAATTATAATTATGGCAGACTTTTTTCTCCTAAGGTCTTTACTTGACCAAATAAAAAGTTGTTAACTCTGTTAACTTCTAATATTACTGACATTTCACTGGCCCCCTCCCCTGCCAAATCCAAAACCTAGAGAACTCCTGCTTTCTCTCAACTCTAAAATACTTAGATCTGTGTCTTTCACACAGCGTATAGGCTTTGTGCTTTATGCTTTGTAGTGATTGGGTTGAGAACATGCTTCTGCTAAATACAGCATGTTGATATTTGAAAACATGGCAGAAGCTGGAAAGTCACTCTCACCTTCCCTCCTCTCCTTTCTCCTGATGCGGGTCATAAAACCTTGGAATGATTTTCTGAACTTCCCCTGAAGCAGGTCCTAAGACCCTCATGTAAGAAGTGCTGCCTATATCCACAGTACCTATCTCCACAGGAAAGGTACTTTCTTACCTCTGAAGACTGACGGGTTACAGAGAAAAATCTGAACAAATAAGCCTTGCTAAATTCCCCCCAAGTTTATTCCCATCTTTGTTCAACTGTATCTCCCCACAACTGTCCACTCTTCATGAAACCTGGCATAGAAACACACAAGTTTAACAGCTTCTCTGGGTCTTCCTTTCCTTAGGAAGGCTCCTATGTCATGGGAAACTTACATGCAATGTCTATGCTTTGCTCCTGTTAATCTTTTATTATGGAGGCCTCAGCCATGAACCTAGGATGGGTACAGAAAAGCCATTTTTCATTCCCTATAGTAATCTCGCAATAGGTATCTATTGATTAATTTATCAAATAGGCTCAGCCAAAGTGCGAATGCCCAGTGACACAATGAAGAGCTGCCACCTCCAGGTTCTTAGTCAGGGCTTGCTTTGCAGTGAGGGAGAGAAACTCACTGAAGTCAGCATAGGTAAAGGGATGACTGTTGCAAGGATATGGGGCAATCCTGTGGACAACTAAGAACAGAAAAAATATATAGTCAGTTAACCTTAAAATTAGGCTTAAAAATAAAAAATAAGGAATGGAAGCTCCCCTCTCTCTCACAGAATAAATAACAGCCTTTCAACGTCATTTTGCTTTTCTCTGCCAGCCAACTTTCTTTGCTACTTACATATTTTTCTTCCCCAAGTAACTCCAGTTGGCATGAGGGCTTTAGCTCCTGTTGTATAGAGATGTTACAGTCTCTCAGTGTTGCAATTCCAAATTCCCCAGCAATAGTTTGATTGGTTCAGCTAGGGTCAGGCTACCATCTCTGGTTCAATTAGCTGTGGCTAGTAATGGAGGCTCTAGTACAAACATGTCCTCCTAGGTGCATTCTTTCAGCAGAGCCTAGGGAGTGAGCATATCGGGGGCAGGGTAGAAGTGGCAGCTTCCATGCAGCATTTATAATACATTTCCCTTTTTCCATGAATTTCCATCTCCTGCAGCCATCCCTTTCTTGGCCTTTTCCCCTTCACGGTGGCAGATCAAAGCCCTTCACTATTATCTGCTCCGTTTCTTAAAGTGTTTCTGGCACAAAAAATATTCTCATTGTTCTCTTCTCTAGTTCAACTTACATTTCCTCAGTTGGAATGTTTTAATGGGAAAGTAATGTGGTGATTAGAGTGCAGAAGCCTCTGGGATCACCTCACCCTATTTTCAAGTCACCAGCCTGGGCCAGGAGCAAGAACATTATAAGTAAGAGGCCACTGTAAATGGAGTTGAAGCCAGGTTCCACCCTCCACTAGAAGAGATGGCTCTGTGCATGAGTTTCTGTATCTGTGAAAGTGGAATATTACCACTGTGGATTACATAAGATCACTGTGAGAATCAAAGGGAATAACCCAGGCCAAGGAGTTAGCCCAGTGCCTGGAACTTCAACACGCATTATTCACAACTGAGGTACAAGAGGCAAATATCAAAGCCATGGACAAGATAGTGTTAAGGGCGTGATGGCATGTGCCTGTAATCCCAGCTACTCATGAGGCTGAAGCATGAGAATTGCTTGAACCGGTGAGGCAAAGGTTGCAGTGAGCTGAGCTGAGATCATGCTACTGCACTCCAGCCTGGGCGACTGAGTGAGACTCTGTCTCAAAAAAAAAAAAAAAAAAAAGAAAAGATAATGTTAAATGTTGGGGTGCCAAATAAGGACTGGAAACCAGGTGGGTGGTGTCTGAACTAATTCTGGAAGTAGGAGTCTTGGTACAATGGTTTCCACAACGTGGATTCTAAGACAGTTGATTCTATTTGTTGAACTTTGAAGGAAGGTTTGATAATGTCAGGAACTTTGCAGCACTCAGCCAATTGACTTGTTTTCCTCTAGAATGTAAAGATTTAATGTAAACGATGTAATAATTTTCACCTAAATAGGCCATTTTTCATTTTGCGACATTATTTGTGATTGGGTTCTATACTACAACCAAAACTGTGTTCCAGAGTAACACACACCTGGGCCCGGTGGCCCACGCCTGTAATTCCAGCATTTTGGTGCCACTGAGGTGGTTGGATTGCTTAAGCGCAGAGGTCGAGGCTGCAGTGAGCTGTGTTTGCACCACTGCACTTCAGCCTGGGTGAGAGTGAGATGCAGTCTCAAAACAAACAAATCAAAACCACACACACACACACACACACTCCCACACACAAACAAAAATTGGATCACCCATAATCAATTTTATGATTCAATTAAAAAGAGGGTTTGTATTGAAATATCTGTTTCTCTGGAAACTTTCTGGGCATTTTACAAAGTGAACATCTCACTATTGCTTAAAATATTATTAAGATAGTTCCATGTATATGAATGCCAGGCAAAATGAATCCCTATAAATATAAGTTTGGATCTTTATGCTATATATGCTTCCTATTTAGGTCTAATTTAGGCCTAAACATGGTGTCATTTCATATACTGCAAAGTTGGATGAGCCTAGCAATTCTTTATTAACCACTGAACTAAAAAGACAGAAAACTGGGATATGGCAAGACATCAATCATTAACAAACACTAAAAATGATTTTTCAGCGAATATGTAAAAGGATGTGGGTACCAAAATAGATAATTTCTCTCAAGAAATACATACTTTAATTGCTTTCTTTGCTGATAAATGCAGAACTTAAACGTCAACTCACTCTCGATTTGTTACCACAGAGGTGACTTTCTCATGGTCAAGGTGCCACGATGAGTGCCCCTCAGGCATGTATTTCCCTACCCAGGACTTGCTTTTGATTTATCCATGTCACACTATGCACACATCAAAAACACATCGACCTCTCTGCTGTAAAACAGAACGAAATCATGTCCTTTGCAGCAACATGGATGGAGCTGGAGGACATTATCCTAAGTGAACAAACTCAGAAACAGAAAATCAAATATTGCATGTTCTCATAAGCGGGAGCTAAACAATAGGTATACATGTACATAAGAATGGGAATAACAAGACACTGGGGACTCCAAAAAGGGAGAGGGTGGGAAGGGGGTGAGGGCTGAAAAATTAGCTATTGGGTACAATGTTCAATGTTTGGGGGACAGGTACACCAGAAGCCCAATCCCCACCATTACACAATATACCTATGTAACAAGCAAGCACATGTACCCCCGAATCTAAAATTAAAAAACAATCAAAAAGCACCGACTTCCTTAACTGGCATGGAATAGTTTCGAGAATGGATGTAAACACCGAATTCCTTAATGTAGTTGCAGATTCTGCCAGTTTTGTCTCAACCTCTGGATCGGTTCCTTTTTTTAACTACCTTTAATTCTTAAACAGATTGTTGCTATTGCTATGCTATATACTTATTGTATCACTTATAAATGTATAACCTCTGCAAATTAGTCTCTGAATTGAAAGTATTCATTGGTAAAACGGGTATTTCTTCACCATAGGAATAGTTGGACATGTTTAAATACTTGAGAGCTATTTTTATTACAAGCACACACAGCTTTGTGGTGTTTTTTGTTGAGACAGAGTCTCGCTCTGTTGCCCAGGCTGGAGTGCAGTAGTGCGATCTTGGCTTACTGCAACCTTCGCCTCCTGGGTTCAAGCAATTCTCCTGCCTCAGCCTCCTAAGTAGCCGGGAGTACACACTAATTTTTGTATTTTTAGTAGAGACGGGTTTTTGCCATGTTGGCCAGGCTGGTCTCAAACTCTTGACCTCAGGTGATCCACCCGCCTCAGCTTCCCAAAGTGCTGGGATTAGAGGTGTGAGCCACCGCGCCCGGCCTGTAGTGTGTTTTTGAACGTATATGTGAAGTTGTAGCTTTTTTTTTTTTTTTTTTGAGACGGAGTCTCCCTCTGTCGCCAGGCTGGAGTGCAGTGGCGCGATCTCGGCTCACTGCAACCTCTGACTCCCTGGTTCAAGCTATTCTGCCTCAGCCTCCAGAGTAGCTGAGATTACAGGCGCCCGCCACCGCGCCCGGTTAAACGTTTTGTATTTTTAGTAGAGACGGCGTTTCACCATGTTGGCCAGAATGGTCTCGATCTTCTGACCTCGTGATCCGCCCGCCTTGGCCTTCCAAAGTGCTGGGATTACAGGCCTGAGACACAGCGCCCGACCTAAGCTGTAGTTTTATGATTATGATTTATGGTTGTGAGGCATTGATTTAAGACATTTTAAAGCTTAAGTCGTCAGATCCTAGAAGAAAAAAAAATTCACCAAGACAAGCTAATGCCATTGTCATAAATGGGAGTTTGGAGAAAATTTTATTAATATTTGTTTGGGTGGTTTATGTACAGCGTTGAACTGATTTGAACCCCGACCAAACACTGTATGGAACTAATGTACGGTAGGGGAAATCATTAACTGAAGATGCCTTTTTTGTTGCTATTGTTTAGAACGCAGTTAGAAAATCTTATTTTAGAGGTTTTACCCCGTTGACAAAGCCTCAACTTTTCTTCAAAAGAACTAATTTCCATTTTACCTCCCCTACATTTTGAACAGAATATGGAAGAAGCCAGCGCCCCTTCTCCGCGGGCGCTGCTGCAACCCTGCTCCCGCCGGGGCTTCCGCGCGAAACCGGGAACACTGGAGCAGTACCGACTCCGCTCGCCTAGAACCCGCCCCAGCCGGGCCCACTTCCGCCAGAGCCCTGGCCGCGCCCGCCCCGCCCCACGGACCCGAGATTCGTCGGAATTTTCCCGCGACGCCGCGGGAGCGCGCGGGGCCGCTAGCCAGGCCCCAGAATGCACTGCTGACACGTGTGCGCGCGCGCGGCTCCACTGCCGGGCGACCGCGGGAAAATTCCAAAAAAACTCAAAAAGCCAATACGAGGCAAAGCCAAATTTTCAAGCCACAGATCCCGGGCGGTGGCTTCCTTTCCGCCACTGCCCAAACTGCTGAAGCAGCTCCCGCGAGGACCACCCGGTAAGCGGCAGGCCGCAGAACGCAGCGAGGGCGGAGGCTTCCCTCGGGGGTCTGGCCGACACGTCAGCGGCGAGAGCGGGAGGAGGAGGCGAGGGGCAAGAGGGAAGGCTCGCGAGAGCGGGTGGGCCAGGCGCGCCTTGCGGTGGGCGAGAGGGGTTCCCGCCGGCGCAGGGCTGTGGCTAAGGCTGAGGCGGGAGGCGGGAGGCGGGAGGCGGAAGGTGGCGGGCGGTGCCAGCCCGCGGGGCGGGGCCAGGGCGGGGAAAGCGGGGGCGGGAGCCGGCGCTGGGGTCGCGCGGAAGGGAGCCCCCGGAGAGGCGGGAGCCGGGTGTTGGCGTTTTGGTTCTTTTTGTTCATTGAGCGCAGGCAGCTATGTCTTCTTCAAAGGAGAGGAGCAAAGGTGAATTTCTCTGCCTCGGACTCGTGGGAGCCGTGAAAAGCTCGCCCCTTTGAGCCGGTCGCCCTCTACAGCTGGCCTCGTCCTCCCCGTCCCTCACACCCCTGCCCCCAAACCCCATTCGCCGGGGCGCCAGGAGGGGCGAGGTCCAATTAGAGGAGCCCGGGGCGCGGCTGTTACCCCTCCCGCCCTCCGCCTTTTATTCCCGGAGGGAGGCGGGTTCGCAGAGGCCAGTGTCTTCCCTCCATTCTTTTTGTGGACGCCAGGCCATATCTTCAAAGCCCGTGAGAGATTTTTCAGGTGCTGTTTGTTGGTTTGCTCTTTTTAATTTTTTAGGTGGGTGCGTTTACAACTACGAACCCTCTATGATCTTATGTGTCCAGCGCACCGAATGGGGGAAAAGACTTGGAGTTTTATAACATGGGAAATTGGGTACCAGAATCTTAAGGGAAGAGACCAAGGAGTTTTCTAGCAAAGTCCTGTATGTGCCTGGACTTTTGTTCTAATCTGAAACTTGGAAAACTCCCGGGCATCTGATTTTATTCTAACTTGTGCCCCATTTAATGCATCTAAACTGTGATGTGATTTGACTTAGCATTTATCAAATGAGCAGAGCACTTTTGGGCCACCCAACTTCAGCTCTTTGTGGCTGTCACTCACTGTCAGTGATATGCCCTCAGACAGATCGTTTTCTCCTTACTCCCCTGAAAGGTTGTTACAAACAGTAGAATTCATACCATGTGTTGAGATCATTCATTACCTAAGCTTAGATGGAAAACATGTTCATTGCGACTTTATACATTAAACTTGAATTGATGTTTCAATGTTATGTGCTGTACCAGAGTCACCTGGAAATAAGCACTCATATACATTATTCATATACAAGAAAGGCTGCATCGAAAAAGAATTTGTTTTCCTAGATATATCAGAGATCTTTTTCACCAACCCACTACTCCCAGTAATAGAGCCTGCTTCTTGAGAACTGGACTAATTATACTTTGTATATTATACATTCGAATTTATTTTTGCTTTATTCGGTCATATTTTCTCTTGATTTCTCCAAAAACGTTTACCAAGGCATCAGAAAAGAAAAGCAGGCTCTATATTGGTATTTTTTGTTTTGTCCTCTAATAAAAAGCATTAACTTGATTGATTGGCTGGTTGTGGAAGATGTGTTGCTGCATGTATGTGCAACTGTGCATGTACATTTTAAAACAAATGGTACTTTTAACCAGTTCCATATTTCAGCAGGTAGTTCCAATAACAATTATACAAATTTCGTGTTTATGAGAACCAGCTACAGGGAGGCCAGCCTGGCCAGTAGAAAGTTGGATTGATTATCTGGGCCATGGAGAGAGCCAGAGGAAACTCACATGAGTGGTAGTTCCAAGTTGGTAGTGTTAGGGCCTCAAATCGGGCTGGAAATGAGCACCAAATGATTTTTAAAAGTTTTATTTTAGGCTGGGATATGTGCATTCTCTGTCTTGTTTGTGGATCTTGAGTGATTGACTTAATGTGAAAAAATACATACAGGAGAAGCACCTTGGAAGTTTTGCAATGTTTTAATAAAAATGCAGAAGTGGAGAAGGAAAGGCAATTCAGATAACAGGCAGAGCATGGTGGCTTATGCCTGTAATCCCAGCACTTTGGGAAGCGGAGGCGGAAGGATCACTTGATCCCAGGAGTTCGAGTCCAGCGTGGGCAACAGAGAGAGCCCTGTCTCTACAAAAAGTTAAGAAATTAGCCGGCCATAGTGATGCGGGGCTGTGGTCCCAGTTACTCGGGAGGCTGAGGTGGAGGATCACCTGAGTTCAGGAGGTCGAGGCCACAGTGAACTGTGATTGCGCCACTGCACTCCACACTGGGCAGCAGACTGAGACCGTGTCTGGAAAAATAAAATTGGTAACAATTCAGATTGGCCACCAGAGTTGGACTGGGGGCTAGCAGGCAATGGTTTTACCTCCATTTTGAGATTGGCATCTTCTAACTCAAGTTTAATACGGGACTGAGGGTAAGAGACCTGCATGCCTTTTATGTCAGCATTACATTATCTTGATTATGGCAGCTTTATAGTAAGTTTTGAAATTAAGTAGTGTAAGTTATCCAATGTTTTTCTTCATTTTCAAAATTGTTTTGGCGGTTCAGGGTTCCTTACATTTCCATATAAATTTTAGTATCAGTTTGTTATTTTTTTTCAGAAAACCGTGCTGTGATAGACTTTGTAGGAATTGCATTTAATTTTGCATATCTATTTGGGGGAGAATTGCCATCTCATCATGAACATGGAATCTCTTTCCATTTGTTGAGCGCTTTAATTTCTCTTAGCAGTATTTAGTAATTTTCAGTGTACAAATTTTGCCCTTTTGTAAATTAATTTTGAAGTTTTATTTTTGATGGTATTGTGAATTGAATTATTTTTAAAATTTCATTAAAATTTTTTTTATCGATAAAGTGAAAGCAAGTTTTTTGTTTTTTTTTTGAGACAGAGTCTCGCTCTGTTTGCCCAGACTGGAGTGCAGTGGCACGATCTCGGCTCACTGCAATCTCCGCCTCCCGGGTTCAAGCGATTCTTCTGCCTCAGCCTCCCGAGTAGCTGGGACTACAGGCACCCTTCACCACGCCCGGCTAATTTTTGTATTTTTAGTAGAGACGGGGTTTCACCATATTGGTCAGGCTGGTCTCAAACTCCTGACCTCGTGACCCGCCTGCCTCGGCCTCCCAAAGTGCTGGGATTACAGGCGTGAGTCACTGCGCCCGGCCGAAAGCAAGTTTATTAAGAAAGCAAAGGAATAAAGAATGGCTACTCCACAGGTAGAGCAGCCGAATTATTTTTAAAATTTCATTATGGATTGTTGTCAGTATATAAACATACACTTGATTTCACTTATTAATCTTATATCTTGCAACCTTCCTTGTTGAACTTGATGATTACTTCCAGTTTTTTGTGAATTACACAGGATTTTCTACATACGGCATCATGCCAATATAGTTTTACTTTTCTTTCCATGTGGATGCCTTTAGTTTCTTTTTTGCCTGATTAATTTTTTTCTTACCTGGTTCGACCCTCCAGCACTTTGCTGAATAGACATGGAGTGTATATTATTGACTTATTTCTCATCTTAGGGGGAAAACATTTAATCTTTTACCATTAGATACGACGTTAGCTGTAAGTTTTTCATAAATGCACTTTATCAGGTTGAGAGATTTTCCTTCTGTTACTAGATTGTTGAGAATTCTTATGAACAAATGTTAGAAATGTTGCTTTTCTGCATCTATTGAGATGACTGTGGTTTTGTTCCTTTATCAATATGATTTATTAACTGATTTGTGTATTTATACTAACCTTGCATTCTAAATCCCATTTAGTCATGTTATATAATCCTTTTTACATATTGCTGGATTTGGCTTAGTAATATTTTGTTTAGGATTTTTGTATTATGTTCATGGTAATATTAGTAATATTTTGTCTTGTGATGTCTGTCTGGCTTTGGTATTACCGTAATAGTGGCATCTTAGAATGAGTTGGGAAGTGTTCCCTCCTATTTTTTCAGAGTTTGTGAAGGATTGGTATTTTTTTTTCTTCAAATATTTGATAGAATTCACTCACAAAGTCATCAGTTCGTGGATATTTCTTTATAGGGAAATTTGAAATTACAAATTCAGGTTCTCCAGCGCACGCATGCGTGTGACTTCTCCGGTGAAGGTTGTCGTGCGCGCACCTGGCCGTGACTCCTCCAGAGCGAGGTTGTGCACACATGCGCGCGCCTTCTCCATCGCCAGCTTCCACATACTTTCTCCAGCACTGGTTCCCAGGCACACACGTGACGCTTCTCCAGGGCGGAGCTCCCATAGTGTGTGCGGCTTTCTAGCGCTCACTCTTGGTGGGTGTGCTTTGCCAGCGCTAGCTCCCTGGGGTGTGCCGCTTCCCCAACGCTGGCTCCCGTGCTTGGGTGCCGCCCCAGCACCTGTTCCCAGGCGTGTGCACGTCTCCAGCGCTAGGTCCTTGGCATATGTGCTTCTGCAGCGCCGGCTTCTGTGGTGTGTATCTTCCCCAGTGCAGGCTCTTGTAGTGCGCTGTGATCAGCTGCACCCAATGGTCAACTGTGTACCTCAGCATCCCCCTCAGGCGATTTTGTAACTGAGCCTGTGGTGGGACACCTCCCTGTGAACACTTTTCCTGGCGCCCTAGAGGATGGGTTTCTGGCAAGTTACCAAAGGTGGTTTTCCAGCAAGTTGTACTGGTACAGCACCCACAGAGACATCTCTCGTATTCAGTGAGCCATGGCTGTGCTCCCTCCAAAAAGTTCTTGATCCCATTTCTGGGAAGAAGTGGGTATTTTTCCTTAGGGCACCCACCTCAGCCCTAGGGGCAGTGGCTCCTCCTTATATCTCCTATTCCTGTGTTTTGTAGAATTCTCTGTACTTCTTACTAGCCAGCACCTTGTTACTCCAGTCCTGTTACAGTGAATAGTTCTTGACTGGGCATGGTGACTTATGCCTGTAATCCCAGCACTTTGCGAGGCCGCAGGGCTTGGGAGAATTACTTGAGACTAGGAGTTTGAGACAAGCCTGGGCAACATAGCAAAACCCCTGTTCTACAGAAAACACGAAATTATCTGGGAGTGGTGTGTGTCCCACCTACTACGGAGGCTGATGTGGGAGGATCGTTGAGCCCAGGAGGTTGAGGCTGCTTGGAGCCATGATTATACCATTGCATTCCAGCCTGGGCAACAGAGTGAGACCCTCTCTCTAAAAAAGAAAATGACAACAACAACAGTAATTATTTATAGTTGACTTTCCTTATTCAAATTATTATGTGGTTTCTTTTTACTGACTGGACCCAGACTGATTTATCACCTTTGCTCTGAACTTCCTCAAGAAATCATGAGTGGTGAGAGTATTTAGTCTGTTCATTTTCTTGAATTGTGAAAGTTAATCCTAAGGTTTCTCCCACTTCCACATGACGAAAGACACGTTTGTGTGAGAGTATGTAGGCTTTTATGAAGTGATGAAACTGCCTTTCCATGCCTTTGCAAATTAGAAACAGTATAGATTATCATGGAAAGTGGGGTCAGAGATTAGGAGGGGAGGAGAAGAGGACAGGATTAGAACTGTGGTCGACCTTATGGCATCCAGTGGGCAGGGTTCCCAGATGACCTGACTTTAGATGTGACTGTACTTCTCATTATCTTTCACCCCTGTTTTTCATTTTTCAGATTTCTGGGACTTGTGTTTTCATTTTCCTCTAGAGCCCCAATGATGCTTTTGTAATTCAGAAACATTTATGTGTGATATAAACATTTTATATACATTTAGCTATTTTAGTGGAATCTGAGATCTGTTACTCTGGTGACTACCCATAAGACAGTTTGAGGCTGCGGTTTTTCACACACACACACACACACACACACACACACACACAGATTCAGAGGAGACTATTTAAACAATATGAATTTGGCTGGGTGCAGTGCTGTGCACCTGTAGTCCCAACTATTTGAGAGGCTGAGGCTGGAAGATTGTGAGTTCAAGTCTCCTGGGCAAAATTGTGAGACCCTATCTCCAGGGAAAAAAATAAATAAATAAAAGGCTATGACTTTATGTCTGTGATTCCTTCTTTACCTGGTTCAGTTCAAAGGTATGGAATTGCCAGACACTTTTGCTTCTTTTATAAGATTTTGGAGGTGCCATTTACCTTAGTGACTTCCAACACCCTCCTATGGCTGGTTCCTTTTTGTTGTCATTTTGTTTTTGTTGGTTGTTACTGTTTACTTAAAGCTATAACATTATAAGGCATTGTACTTAGCCTAATCCTATTTTTGTAATTATGCTTGTACATTCAAGTGCTGTACTCAATAGATTTCCTTATTAACTCCTGATTTTTTTTTTTTTTTTTTTTTTGAGACGGAATCTCACTCTGTCTCCCGGGCTGGAGTGCAGTGGCGCGATCTCGGCTCATTGCAAGCTCTGCCTCCCGGGTTCACACCATTCTCCTCCTGAGTAGCTGGGACTACAGGAGCCCACCACCACGCCCAGCTAATTTTTTGTATTTTTGTTAGAGGCGGAGTTTCACCGTGTTAGCCAGGATGGTCTTGATCTCCTGACCTCGTGATCCGCCTGCCTTGGCCTCCCAAAGTGCTGGGATTACAGGCGTGAGCCACCGCTCCTGGCCAACGCCTGATTTATTGATGACCATTTGTGGTTATGCATAATGACTTTTCCTCTGTCTTTGTGCACTGCAGTTCATATTATTGCCTTATGTGTATATGCTTGTTTCCACAACTCTTAGCCAACTTCTTCAGGGTATATTCTTTTTTATTATATAACTGCATTGATGTTTGTTGAGTGCCAACATCCTTTCCTCCCTTCTCTGTCATAACAGACCCTAGATTTTCTTTTAGTAGTCACTATTCTATGGGCTCTGGGGAACACTGATACTACCTCTAGCTCCTGGGGGTGGACTTTTATTGGTTTAAGGAGTGTGTTTTATTGATTCGTCACAGTCATTGGTTAAGGATGGGCATAAGCTCAAGCAAGTCCAGTCTGAATACATCTGAGGTCTGTCTCTTACTTGGGATGCTGGAACAGAAGTATGTACTCTATTTTTGGGTGGTATGGATGTGATGTGACTTCTGTAATGGCTAAAGCTGTTTTGCTATCATGAGGGAAGCAGGATGGAGAGACAGATCAACTGTGAAGTCTGCCCTGTTTCTGGACTTGCCAGTTTCTTGAACCAACGAATTCCCCCCCTCCTTTTTTTTTTTTCTCTTTTGAAACAGGGTCTTGCCCTGTCAACCAGGAGTGCAGTGGCACGAACATAGCTCACTGCAGCCTCAAACTCCTGGGCTCCAGGAATCATGCCACCTCAGCCACCTGAGTAACTAGGACTACAGGTATGCACCACAATGTCTGGCTAATTAATTATCATTATTTTTGTAGAGACAGAGTCATGCTATGTTACCTAGGCTGGTCTTGAACTCCCAGCCTCAAGCTGTCCTCCTGCCTGGGTCTCCCAAAGTGCTGTGATGAGAGGTGTGAGCCACCATGCCTGGCCTCCCATTATTGTTTTAGCTGGTTTTGCTTGGTGCAGCAGGGGCATTTAATGCTTACTAAATATTTAGATCTTCCCTCACATTTCCCAGTTCACTTGCAGCTAGGTAGGACATTGTGATTGTTCTAGCCAATAGATTTTAAGCAGGTTATTTCCAGGTAGAAGCATTTAGTAGCAGATTCCTGACCTAGCTATCTCTTCTTTTTGCAATGGTGATTCTGGAGGCTAGGTGTTGAGATGTCTGAGCACCTGTCATGCTGGATCCATGAGTGACTGTGGAGCAGAACAACACCCCCACCCCACAAACATGTGTGTCCCACATAACATGTTGGACATATAGTATCAGAAAAAAGTTACTACATCATAACTTAGCCTATCTTGATGAATAGAGTTGGGTTTTCAATTACTGGAAACCAAAGGCATCCTAGGTGATATAGTATAATTTTGTAATTCTTAGTGTGTATTTGGTGATTTACAATGTATGCAGATTATACATTGTAATTGATTAGTAAGACACTTGTCTGAAGGAATCAGTTATATTTAGCCCTAGCTTTCTGAATTTGGTGTACCCAAACATGACCTTGTCCAACATGGATTGTAACGATTACTTAGCCTATCTACCCCTACATATTAAAGATTATAATAAAACACTATATAAAATATACATTTATACAAATAATATCGAATTGCTGCTTTTGCTTGAAGCCGTTAGCTAGGAATTTCCAATCATAGGCCGTAAGAGTGAGTAACCGTTTATTATTGGTATAACAGCATGCATTTTATTTATGAAGTAGTATTTTCTGCAGTATTTGGCACCCAGAAGAGTATCTTGTGTTTCTGATACTGACTAGTACCATTAGAATTTTTAGTCATTACACTAAAAAAGTTGGCAAAGCTAGTGAAACTTTTGCTTGATGATAAGTATTTTGATAAGTGGTGACTTTTTGAAACTATGCAGCCAGTTTTAGGAGTAACAGAAATATTTTTATATGAAATGGTATAATATGACTGATTTTTTCTTAAAATTGAGTAGTTGTAAGCAAGAAAAGTGCAATACAAATATCTTTTTCTTTTTTCGAGATGCATCTCACTCGGTCCCCCAGGCTGGAGTGCAGTAGTGCAATCATAACTCGTTGCAGTCTTGCCCTCCTGGACTCAAGTGATCCTCCCACCTGAGCCTCCTGAGTAGCTGGGACTACAGGCATGAGGCAGACACTGTGCCTGCCCTTAAAAATATCTTGAATTTTGGTAGTGACATTCCTTTGAAGGTATTAAAAGCTAGAAATTTGTTTCATTCTATCAAAGTTTCAGGTATCTTCATTTAGTTCTACACGTGTGTGCTGTACCCATCTAATGTTTGCCTAAAATTGTACTGTCTTTTTGGTTTTAAAATAATTTAAGTCTAGGCCGGGCGTGGTGGCTCATGCCTGTAATCGCAGCACTTTGGGAGGCCGAGGCGGGTGGATCACTTGAGTCCTGGTGGTCAAGGATGCAGGTCGGCTGGGCAAGGTAGCTCCTGCCTGTAATCCCAGCACTTTGGGAGGCCAAGGCGGGTGGATCACTTGAGGTCAGGAGTTCGACTCCAGCCTGGCCAACAGGGTGAAACCTGTCTCTAATAAAAATACAAAAAAAACTAGCCGGGTGTGGTGACATGTGCCTGTAATCCCAGCTACTTGGGAGGTGGAAGTACAAGAATCGCTTGAACTCGGGAGGTTGCAGTGAGCTGAGATTGGGCCATTGCACAAACAAACAAACAAAAAGCGGTGATCTGTGATTGCACCACTGCACTCCAGCCTGGGTGACAGAGCAAGACCCTATCTCAAAAAAAAAAGAAAAAAAAATTAAGCCTAAGATGTTTAATTTAAAAATAAGTTTTTAAAAAAGTATGTTTTTGAGGCAAAATGGTGAGAATAGGACAAGTATTTGAAAATATTGTGGTACTTGATCAGAACCACCTTTGGTTACATTGTTTTGTGGCCAAAGTGGCTATGACTAAATGACTACATGTTATTTTAAAAACATTGTTTCTAAGGTATTACTGATGTACATGAATGGATTGATATTATCATGGAGTGGTTTGTTATAAAAGCGAGTTTGGCCCTCTTGTGCTCTGTCGCTGTGTGATGCCTTCCATTGCGATGTGACCCCTCAATCTTAGACTTCCCAGCCTCCAGAACTGGGAGCTGATAAATTTCTGTTATTTGTAAACTACTGAGTCTCACATATTCTGGTATAGCAGCACAAAACAGACTAAGACAGGCAGTTGGGCAACAGCAAGTCTGAGTTCCCTTCCAGCAGCAACTGGCAGGAGTGAAATCCTGGCTGTCTTCTTTGCAGTCAAATGCTCTACCACTGAGCTATACCTACTGGCTATCTTCTTTGGACAGTTGCTGTTTTTCACCACAAGCCTGTCTAATTGCTTTACTCATTTAACTTATCTGTTGTGGACTTTGAATTTATGACCTTTGTCTAAAGTAATTTAAGTTTTGAATAATTCTGAAATGCATTCAGTTGTTAAACTAACACTTAGAAAAAAATGGACAGATCAGAACAAATTTGTCATACTTATTGGAGAAATTACTGCATTAATCAGGGTTCTCTGGTGACTTCTAAGTTTCATATCTGTAGAAAAGGTTATTATTATTCTTGAGCAGTAAGATACTGTATACCCTTTATAAATCAGAGCTTTTTGTTCTGTTGATTTTATACAAATACGTTGGTTTTATAAGCATGGTTTTTTTTTGTTAACTACTTCTTTTGATTTCTTAATTTATTTCTAACATTACTTTGGGCAATAGCCCTATTAAAAGTGCTTTGTACTTTCCAAATTATTTCCATATAGATTATATGGGATTCTCACAATAACCATATGTGCTAAGGTAAGATAGGCATTTTAAAAAAAGAAAAACAGGGCTGAGCACCTGTAATCCCAGCACTTTGGGAGGCAGAGGTGGGCAGATCACTTGAGCCCGTAAGTTCAGGACGAGCCTGGGCAACATGGCGAAACCTTGTCTCTACAAAAAATACAAAAATTATCCAGGCGTGGTGACATGCAACTGTAGACCCATACAGTGTGACATGCAACTGTAGGCTGAAGTGGGAGGATCGCTTGAGCCTGGGAGGTTGAGGGTGCAGTGAGCTATGATCATACCACTGCACTCCAGCCTGGGTGACAGAGCGAAACCCTGTGTCTAAAAACTAAATAAATAAATAAAAATTAGAAAAGAAAAATAGAATGGAGACTTTTCAAAAAAATTACTTTGGCTCATAATTAAGGAATTCCCAAGAGATTGCCCAAAGGAGGATAGCTACTGATGAACTTCTTGGGTTGATTGTGTGTGTACAGCTTTTAAATGTGTCTTAATTGTTATGAGATGATAACCTTTTCAATAATCAAAAGAGCCGGGTATTTCTGGTTACCCAAACCCAACTGATTTTAGCAGAAAACATTTGCCTTAAATAATAACTTCTCTTTGAAATGTTTAGAGAGAAGGAAACTGAGTTTAATGGCAGGGTTGTTGGCTGTTACCCAGGGAAACTAACTCCTGTCTGGTGCTCTTTTTGTTGCACCAGTAGTTCGATGTCCAAGGGGGGCTGAAGCTTCCTATGGAAGCATTGTTAAGCAAGTCTTTCGCAGGCTTTCGGTTGCATCTTTCTACTGTGTAAATAGGGGCATTAGGAGAAATGTAATCTTTGAATACTGCCCAACCAGTTTCTGCTTGGTAATGTGCCCTGAAACCCTCAATGAATGCCAGCAAACAAATTAGATCCACAGTGTATTTGATACGCATGTCTTTTCCCCAAACAAAATTCAAATTTCACAAACACAAACTGAGTCATTTTCCAAATGTTTGTATATGAATGGAAGTTTTTGTCCTGTTCTTCTGTAACCAATACCATAAAACTTCTGAAGGTCCTTGATGCATTTATTGTACAATGTTAATCCAAAACAAAACTTTATTCTGACTAAACTTGTAGGTATAGAGAGATACCAAACTCATTTTTGTTGATCAGTACAACATGTTTGTACCAACCAGATCTAAAAAATGTGTAAAGGAGTGCCATGCTGTAAAGACCTTATTACAGTTGTAAACATCAGTGCAGCTGTTACAAATCTAGCAAAACCTCAGGTTAAACAATTTCAAATTTACTGAAGATGACATTCCAGACCCAGTTTTCATAACATAAACACTCTAGGAAATGCCTTTGAGATGAGTGGGATTGTCATTAATATTAATGCCACCAAATTCAAGGCTGAGAAGTCATTTCTTTTCAAGCTTTATTTTCACTCCTAATTTTGGAATAAAATATACTTTTAACCTGAAGTATGGCGTGTCTTTTCACAGCCTGAAAACATTTGATCCTGTTGCCTTTGAATTGTAGGAATGCAAAAATACAGTATAAGTCTTTTATTCTTGATGGTCATTTAACTTAAATGAGTTTGTTAGAATTAAAGTTGGGAAGAATTAACTGTTAATGGAACTCAGTTGCATTGTTCAATTAAAAAATAAAAGGATGCTAAAAATAGTTGCTGTTTAAGGATTGTATTAGTGTGACATTTTAGAATGCTGCATTTAGGGAAGGAATTTTATTCTAAAGTGATTTGAAGCACATTTTTTTGTGGTCCTGTCTTTCATCTAGACAAGGTAGGACAAGCATTCAAAACCTGTACCAGTCTTAATCTGTTTTTTTCTTCTTAGTTTCCACTTAGTGGGACATCTGGTGAGGTATCATTTTGGCCATATAGTCATTTCTAAAGTTTCTTTCTGTGCTCTGATTTCCAATTAAGTCTTCTATGATGTTTGCCAAATTTAAGAGCATGCAGGGGTCCACTGGAAGTGCTGAATAACTGGGCTTTGGCCTAATTCTTTGTGCATGGCTGTATGTGTGGGGTGATTTTGTTTTCTTTGCTTGTTTATTGGTAATTGCATTAAATTCCATTTGCCTTTACTGAATTTTTTTTTGTTGGACTTTTGGGGAAACCTCTAAATTGGATAATAGAGCAATTAAGTGACTGTTTGTAAGCGATCCTCAGTGCTCTATTAGAGAGGCAGCATTTATCAAAAGAAAACAGTTGAATTTCTCTTGTTTAAACTTGCTTTTGAAATTCTGTTAATTTTCTAATAAGGAGAATTGAAGCCAAGCATTGTCAAGTACCATATTGTAATCTGAAGTTGGTAACTGTGGAAGCACATAGTTGATATGGTGATACCTTTTTCAGAGGAACTTTGGCTATTTCCATCAGCATAAAGGACACAACAGACTGCATCTATTGCCTTCACCTCTGCCTTATTTCTTCTGTTTTCCCTTTTTTTTTTTTTTTTTTTTTTTTTTGAGATAGAGTCTTGCTCTGTTGCCCAGGCTGCAGTACAGTGGCACGATCTTGGCTCACTGCAACCTCCGCCTCCCAGGTTCAAGGGATTCTTGTGTCTCAGCCTCCAAAGTAGCTGGGATTACAGGCGCTCGCCACCACGCCCACCTATTTTTTTTTTTTCGTTTTTAGTAGAGACAGGGTTTCCCCATGTTGCCCAAGCTGGTCTTGAACTCCTGGGCTCAAATGATCTCCTCCCTCAGCCTCCCAAAGTGCTGGGATCACAGGTGTGAGCCAACACTCCTGGCCCCCTTTTTTTTAAAAAAAATTAAAGAGGTTGTGGAGGTTTCTTTGAATTCTTTTGGTGTTTTTAAAAATGTTATATTTTGAGAAGAAAATCTGGGCAGGTACAAAGAACCCCTCCCTTTCCTGTTTGAAAACTTTTTTGCAGTCGCCCTGGAATTTTCCTTCACTGTCATTCATCCTTCTCTCCTTTCTTGATATTGGGTCTTCTGTTTACTTTATTTTCTTTCTTTGTTTTCTCCCTCCTCTTGATGTGAAGCAGATGTTCTAGTATCTTCCTAAAGCAGAATGTGTGGGAGATGAATTATTTCTAGTCACTGCCTGTTGAATGTGAAGTTATTCTAGTCACATTTGATTGATAGTTTGTCTAGATAAGAATTCCAGGTTGGAAATTATTTTCCTTTAGAATTGTGAGGCATTGTTTAATTTCCTTCTACCTTCCTGTGTTTTTACAATTTCATGATGATGTGCCTGGTGTGGATCTCTTCTCATCCATTTTCTTGGGCACTTGGTCAGCCCTTTCAATCTGGAAACTCCTGTCTTTTCGTTCTGAGAATATTTTTGGTGATTATCTCTTCCCTTCCATATTGGAACTCATTACAAGAAAGCTAATTAAGGAAGAGTAGAGGGTTGTGTTATGGGCTGAATTGTGTCCACCCCTCCCCCATTCATAAGTTGAAGCTGAAGCTGTAACCCCCAATGGGACTGTATTTGGAGATGGAGCCTTTAGGAAGTCATACCGGTGGGGTCCTAATCTGGTAGGATTGGTGGCCTTAGAAGAAGAGGTAGAGAGAGAGATCTCTCCCCACATGAGCACAAAGAAGAGGTCATGTGAGGACACAGGTGGCTGCCTACATACAAGCCAGGAAGAGGGCTCTCAACAGGACCTAATAGGCCTTGATTGTGGACTTTACAGCCTCCAGAATTGTGAGAAAATACATTTCTGTTATTTAAGCCACCATGTATGTGATATTTTGTTATGGCAGCCTAAACTGACGAAGACAGGTTGAGGTCAAGCTAGGACCTCAGCTTCATAAAGGTGAACTGCATGCGTTGCAAGAGAATATTAACATGATGCTGGTGCGCGTGTGTTCTCCTTTTTGACTGGTCCCTTTTTGAACTTAGCTCACTCATCTGCATATCACCCTTTGTGAGTTAGCACAAGTCATTAACCCAAGGTTCTAGATCTGTGCTGACCAATGCCATAGTCAATAGGTACGTTTAATTATATAAATTTACATTAATTAAAATTAAATAAAATTCAAAATTCACTTCCTCAGATTCATTAGCCATATTGCATGCGTTCAGAAGCCACATGCAGCTGGCGCCTGCAGTATTGGATGGACAGATAGAGCCAGAACCTTTCCATCCTTGCAGAAAGTCTGGCTGTACAACCGTATTCTAGATACTTGCCTTACACCTCTCCCTCTCTCTTTTTTTTCTTGTCCAGTGGGTCTGAACTTTTTTAGGTTCAAGACATACTTAGGAATACTAGAATTTGTAGTGGACATCTTCAAGGTTTTAAAACAACACTAAGAAGTAAACAGCCATTATAGTGCAAACTCTGCCAAAGTGTCATATGCATACTGAGTCTATAACTGCGTCTGCAGTGATCATGCTATTCATTTGGCCATGCTTCTGCAGTATGGCCCTTAGAAGAGCTGTTTTTTACCCCTACTGGGCTTTCTGATATGTTTGTAGGACAGAGAATTGCAGGAAGCAGGCCTTCATATCTGAGCCGTGCTGCTCTGGTTTGCTGTGCTGAATGTTGCTGTGCTCTCCCGGAAGAGGTAGGCACAAGTGCTTTAGAAGGAACTGTCAGAACCCCACTGCTCTACTGAGCACTGGTGAGTCTGAGGATTCACAGGCTAAAGGCAGGTCACTGAAAGCGGCCTACATTCTGGAATTTCTCGGAACAGATTATTTCCTGAGATGACAAAAAGTATAATTTTGGTCAGAAGGATCACTGAATTTCCTGGAATCTACCCCACCAGGCTGTGTCTTCATAGGTGGGAACTGTTCTCAAGAATCCTCAAAACAGCCCTTTGAGGTAGGTTCTGTTTCACTCCCAAAGAGAAGCGAGGTTGGCACTCAGAAATTTCACATCATTTGCCCTGGCTCACTGAATGAACTAGTGAATAGTGACGCCGGGTTCAGACCTTTCCGTTTTTCTTTAAAACTTGTGTTTCTTTCTACCAGAATGCAACTAGGGTTGGCCAGTGACCCCTTCTGTCCACCACGTGGGAGCAGCTCTCCTAAAGCTGGGCTCTGCATTAAAGGGATTGTTTACAAATTCATTAAATTAAACATGTTTAATTCAGGGTAAAAACTGAATGATTTAGAAGATCTTTTTTCTTTTGTTTTTTTCTTTGTTTTTTTTTTTTTTTTGAGATGGAGTCTCACTCTGTCTCCCAGGCTGGAGTGCAGTGGCGCCATCTCTGCTCACTGCAAACTCCGCCTCCCGGGTTCCTGCCATTCTCCTGCCTCAGCCTCCCGAGTAGCTGGGAGTACAGGCGCCCGCCACCGCGCCTGGCTAATTTTTTTTTTTTTTTTTTTAGTGGAGATGGGGTTTCACCGTGTTAGCCAGGATGGTCTGGATCTCCTGACCTCGTGATTCACCTGCCTCGGCCTCCCAAAATGCTGGGATTACAGGCGTGAGCCACCGCGCCAGGCCTTTTTTCTTTTATTTTAAAGAACTGTTGTTATTTTTATTTCAATTAAATTGAAAAACACAGGGAAAAAATGCAACAACAACAAATCCCAGGCAGGGCATGGCAACTCACGCCTGTAATCCCAGCACTTTGGATCACTTGAGTCCAGGAGTTTGAGACCAGCCTGGGCAACATAGTGAGACCTCAGCTCTAGAAAAAAAGAATTAGCTGGGCATGGTGGTGCATGCCTGTGGTCCCAGCTACTAGGGAGGCTGAGGTGGGAGGATCGCTTGGAGGAGGTTGAGGCTGCAGTGAGCCTAAATCAGTCATGCCACTGCACTCCAGCCTGGGCGACAGAACAAGACCTTGTCTAAAAAAAACCCAGAACCAAAAAAAACAAAAAACCCCAACAAATCCCTCATAGCACCAGCACTTATTTTTGAAGACTTCCTGTACTTACACATATAAATATTTTGTACAAAAATGTTATGATATTATAAATATTTTTCTGCAGCTTCCTTATTTGACTTAAGAATTTATGATGAACATCTTTCTGAGTCAGTCAGGAATATTCTTCATGCACTGTTAACTCCTCTGTTACTTTAACAATTTTGTGTGTGTGTGTGTGTGTGTGTGTGTGTGTTTTGATGGTTATTGTTATACTGACTTTAGCCACTTTTCATCATTTTAGCCTTTAGGTCTCTTTTTTTCTTTGTGTGGTCTTAACCGAGAAATAATTGCAAGCGAGGAACAAAGTCTTAAATTTGGTGGCACTCACCACCAAATAATTGCAGATGTTTGCCTTCCTTCTACATAGAAAGAGCCCACTCTCATGCTGTATTTGTTCTTCTCATCCTCCCCTGTCTTATTTCTCTTTCATTTCGTTTAATTTTAACCTCAATACCAGACTTATTTTGTGCAGCCCTTGGCCTGCTGCGGAGTTATCTTTGCCACTGGCTCTCTTTCCAGCCCCCAGTCGCTGATGTGTCTCTTGGCAGCTAGTGTAAATGATGGTGGTCCTCTCATTCTGACGTGGGAGCACCCCAAGTCAGCAGTAATATTTGGTGTAACAAGTACCAGGGTGGGATAACCACATATCCCTGGACTGGGATTTTAAAATTGTCAGTTGTCCTGTCATTTGTGGTTTAGGGATCAACTTGAGCAAGAGAAACTCCGTCTCTACTAAAAATACAAAAAAAAATTAGCCAGGCGTGGTGGCAGTTGCCTGTAATCCCAGCTACTCAGGAGGCTGAGGCAAGAGAATTGCTTGAACCCAGGAGTCGGAGGCTGCATTGAGCCGAGATCGTGCCACTGCACTCCAGCCTGGGCGACAGAGCGAGACTGTCTGAAAAAAAAAAAAAAGAAATTGTATTTATTTCCTACAGACTTCTTTTTCTTGGTTATCACCTGACATTGCCTTATCAGGTATTTTATTATGTATTTTATTCCTTTTTATTATTTTTGGCTTAAATTTTCCTTTTAGTCTTTTACTTGGATCATTCTTTCTTATTTTCTCCTCCATATTTTGGATTCTTCAGACTTCTTCCCTTTTCTTAATCTTACCATTACCAGATTTCCCTTCTGCTTAAATTTCATGATCCAGTTTTTCAGTGGATGGAGATAGAAGGCTGAGGTGAGGAAGGTGGGGGTAAATACGATACTTGCTGAATTTCAAATATAAAACAAGATATTAAGGAACTTATTTCCTTTTTTATTCCCTATATTTGGGAGACCATAGAATTGGCTGGCCGCTAATATCAAGTGGCTTTTGTGTGTAGACCCTTACAAAGAAATGACTGATAAAGTCCCTACTTCTGGGAGTTCTGATAGTAAAAAGTGTGACATCCATGACACATACATTGCCAGTCAATGATGGATAGAAATGGACAGACTTTGAGGAGATGAGTTTTGAGTATACAGAGATACCATTTTGTGTGTGTGTGTGTGCGCATGCATTTGAGACAGGGTCTCACTCTGTCTCCCTGCCTGGAGTGCAGTGATGCGGACATGGCTCACTATGGCCTCGACCTCCCAGGCTTAAACAATTCTCCCACCTCAGCCTCCCGTGTAGCTGGAACCACAGGCATGCGCCACCATGTCTGGCTAATTTTTTGATGTTTTGTAGAGCTGAGGTCTCACTATATTGCCCAGGCTGGTCTCGAACTCCTGGACTCAAGCGATCCTCCTTCCTCAGCCTCCCAAAGTGCTGGAATTACAGGTGTGAGCCACTGCAGGGCCGCAGAGATACAGTATATTTGTGATACCATTAGTAACTTTTATTTGACAGAGGGTTAAGTATTGACTAAGGGATAAAACCTATTCTGGGGCTTAGAAAACAAGGTTTTGCTCCAAGAAGGCGGTTAGATGTGGATAACGGTTTCAGTACTGAATTTGGAACCTTTTTACTAAAATGTAGTCTACATGTGGGTATCTAGCAATAGAGTCACTGTTAGTAAAGAACTATATATGTGACATACAGAGGAACCACATACAGTTTCTTAAAATAATATGTTCTTCATCTTTGAGGAAATCCTAGACAAAGCTGGAAAAATTTCAAGTTTTCTTATTGCTCATTACAAATTATAGGGATTTTGATATTGTGCAGTTAAAAGTTCAGTAGATTTTCAAAACTAGTTATTAATTGACCTCGGTTCTGCACATTTTTGTTGCTTTGCAAGAGTACCCTTAAGGCTCAAATAAAGTTAAAAGTAAGGTAAATGGTGTGTTAGACTAAAACTGTATTTTTTGTCTGTCAACACTTAAATAGAAAAACAAACTAGCTTAAGAACATGACTGCAATTTAGGATCTTAAAACCATATATACCGTAGTATTTTTAAAGCCTGCAACCAAAAAGTAGAATCATTGTGTTTTATAGCACTTTGAAATTCTGTCTGATGTTACTGTATGTCTGTGCTGTCCTGATATGGCTTTTGGATTGCGTTTGTGGTACAAGATTGATTTCTTGTATTTGTATATTACTTGGCTGCACAGATGGTATCCGCTTCAAATCTACTAAATAAAACTAGAACAATGATTTTGCCAGTTGGTTTTGACTGCTTTTATTTATTTTGGATGGCTGTAGTCTTTGTGAAGATGGCAGACTAAACCTGGAAGTGACAGCTAAGAACAGAATGGGTGGGCTACAGGTCTGCTAATTGATCTCAGCAGAACTCATGCTACTTCTCCCTGGGTACAAGACGTTTTCTTCAATTGAATGTTCACAGGCCAGCTGAGCCATCCTTTGCTCCCATATCTCTATTGTCCTTGGCCCAGACCTTTTCTCATCCTCCCTGGGTTATCTCATCCATTTCCATAGCTTTAGTTACTGTCTCTCTGTTGATGTTTCTACATCTATGTCTTCAGCTCAGGCCTGTTTCCTAACCTCTTCCTCACATACCCACTGCCTATTGGACCTCTTCATTTAGATGCCCCAGGTCTCTTGTACTCACCATGCCCTAAGCTGAGCCTATCTTTTTATCCAAGTATGTTCCTACTCCTTTGTTGCCCCTTTCAGTGTATGGTGGCATAACACATCTAGTTCTCTAATCAGAAACCTAAGCAACATCTTTACCTCCTCTCTATTCCTTTTTTTTACTATGTCTGATCTAAATACTAAATACTATGTGTTCTCCCTGATAAGCATCTCTTATCTGGGTGCTTTTCTCTATTCCTTCATGTGACTAGACTAGGCCTCAGTTACTGTAAGATGGTCTTCCATCTTACAGTATGATCTTGTCTCCCCTGGTGGTCCATTTTCTATATTGCTTGTGTGATTTTTCTGAAACAGAAATCTGAGTATATCACTTTAATGCTAAAAATCCTCCAGTGACTTACCTTTGCTCTTAGAATAAAGTCCAGAGTCCTTACTCTGTTTTGTAAAGTCCTTTTAAATCCATCTACTACTTGCTTGAGCAGGGTGACAGTCTTGGTAAAATGTACTTTTATAGCCAGAAGTCCCCCTCACACTTAACATATCATGATGCTTTCCTTTCTTGTGAGAAGCGAGAAATTTTATTGTGACATTTTGTCCATTAGTAAACCACACTCAGATCTGTGTGCCCCTCTTCCAAAAAATACATTATACATATTTCTACAAAGAGAGAAAACATGTAATAGTTGTCAGGTTCTTTTGAGAAATCCTTTTGTAGAAGTTATGCTTGGTGTTGTTTTAATGTTTTTATTACAAAGTAGAGAGCCTGTCTGATGAATCTTACACAAATAAAGTAATGGAGGTAATTAGATAACACCACAGCCTTTCCTTTCTCTCCAGAAGAGGTAACAAGAGTCAGCATTCATTTGGAAGCAGTTGCCCAGACATGCCAACAGAAGTTGTGGGCATCTGTATCTCCTTCTAAGAAAGCGGGTTTCCTGAAAACCTTGGGAAAGGAAGGAAGAGAGGGACGGAGAGAGGGAGGGAAGATGCTATGTAGGTGGGCCAGTCACCAGCAGAGGGATAAAAAATGGTGAGATCAAAATATAAAAGCACGAGTAGTGTATTCCTTTGGCTGGCCTCTATCTCTAGATGCCCTAAAATGTTTATCTCCATTATTATAAGTCAGTGTAGATGCCTAGAGAAAGGAGGCATCCCTGATTTGGGCAGGATTCTAAACAATTGCCTTTTGTATTGTTAGTCTACACTTTGCTGAAAGTCCCTCTTGCCTCAGTCTGCTGTTCCCCTGGTGAGCCCCCACATATGGTTCAGTTCTCAGTGTCAGGTCTCTTTTTCTGGAAACTTTCCTCAACACCCCAAATCTGGGTTAAGTGCTCCACTTAGTCTGCTGTACTATGTAACACTTCTCACTCTGCAGTTTTAGTTTGTATTTTAAGTTCAGTGACTATGACTAATGTTATTGTTTGAAATGAAAGAGATTTTAAGAGTTTCTTCAAGAGGATTGACCAGAGTCCTGAGACATTTCTCCATTCCTAAATATATAAAAGCCATGAGTTGCCTTTGAACTTCATTACAATTTTGAAAATTTTTAGACATATCAAAGGTATTCTGTAGATGAGAGCTAGCCCGCTTCAATCCAGTTGTGACTATCTTGAGTGTGAATGTCAGTGTTCATGTTTGATGTTCTTTATTTTGGTGTATACTCTAGGTGTAAAGCCAGCCCAATATTGTCCCAACACATGACTGTGTTTGTTTGGCTAACTGAATACACCTTACCTGCCTTTTCTCCACTTTCTGTCTTCATATCGAAATCCATACACTTGAAATATTCTAATCCATTAGATATATGTAATTTCCTCATTTATGCTTTACTGAAACCCTGTTGGAAAATTCAAATTAATTACCCTTAGATTAAAAAAAAAAGCCTAACAAAGCTCTGTGGATTTGGTATGGGAACATATCAATAAATTTTTTAAAATAAAAACCACATAATTATTTTTAAAGACAACATTTATTTTCAGATCTGTTGAGTTTTTCCACCTATTTCTTCAAAGTTTTCCTTGTCATCCAAAGACATGACATTTGAGGATCTGTCTCTTTACTACTTTTCTATTTTTCAGGCAATGAAACCTCTTGTTACATTTAATTAGTGTGTCTAGGTCATGATCCTTAGTCATTTTAAATTGGAGTGTGATAGAGAGGTTTTAATATATTGTGCAGTAGATCCTTGATATTTTCAGATGTAAAAGGTTTGTTTTGATTTTTAAAATCACTTTATTGAGATATGATTGATATATAAAAAGTTGTACATATTTAATCTATAGAACTCAATGAGTTTGTGGATAAGTATATACCCATGAAGTTATCACCACCATCAAAACTGTAAACATACCCATCACCTCCCAAAGTTCCCCCTGCCTGTTTTGTTATTATTTTTTTGTGTATGGTAAGAACACTTAATATAAGCTCTACTCTTTTAGTACATTTTTACTATACAGCATAATATTGTTAGCCATGGGCACTATGCAATATAGTAGATCTCCAAAATTTACTTCTCTTTTAGGACTGAAACTTTGTACCTTTAACTATCACCTCTCAATTTCCCCTCCTGCCAGCCCCTGGCAACAGCCATTGTACTCTTTTTTTTTTTTTTTTTAATTGATACAGGGTCTCACTGTGTTGCCCAGGCTGGAATGAGTGGCGTGATCATAGCTCACTGTAGCCTCAACCTCCGGGGCTCAAGAGATCCTCCTGCTGTAGCCTCCTAAGTAGCCAGGACTACAGGCATGCGCCATCCTGCCTGGCTAATTTTTTATTTTGTACAGATGGGGTTTTGCTCTGTTGCCTAGGCTGGTCTCAAACTCTGGCCTCAGATGATCCTCTCTTATTGTGGTTTTGATGTGTATTTCCCTGATGATTACTGATGTTGAGCATTGTTTCAAATAACTGCTAGCCATTTGTTTGTCTTCTTTGAAGAAAAGTTGGTTCAGGTCCCTTTGACCATTTAAAAGATCAGGTTTTTTTGTTTTGCTTTGTTTTGTTTTGCTTTGTTTTGTTTTGTTTTGTTTTTTGTTTTGTTTTGGTATTGAGCTGTTTGAGTTCCTTATATAATATATTCTGGATATTAACACCTTCTCAGATGCATAGTTTGCAAATATTTTCTCCCATTCTGTAGGTTGTCTCTTCACGCTGTTATTTTCTTTGCTGTGAAGACATTTTTAGTTTGATGGATTTTTAGTTTGATGTAATTCCATTTGTCTGTTTTTGCTTTTATTGCTTTTGTGGTCTTATCCAAAAAATCTTTGCCCAGAAGACCAGTATTATGAAGCATTTTCTCTATGTTTTCTTCTAGTAGTTTCATAATTTCAGGTATTACATTTAGCCCATTTTGTGTTGATTTTTCTTTTTTTTTAGATCAACATCTCAAACTTTATAATACACTCACATTTATACACAAATTTCTGTTTACAAGTACAAAAGGCAAAGAACTGCAAAGAAGCTAAGCAACTGCATCATCAGCCACATTCAATCGAATTAATACTGTTGTCCCCCGTCCGTAGTTTTAATCCAGAGGAAATGGTAGATGCCGTCTCACACATGGACTCCACTGTTAGTTTTAGAAGTTGGAGACTGTGTGTGGTTCCGCAGAAGTCTGGGTTTCTACAGAGCTGAACTGAGACTCCATCATGTTCCAGGCCATATCAGCCAGAAGAAAGTCGTCCATTGTTGTTTGAGTTTCGTTGTTGGTGAAGAACAAGCTCCCCAGGGTTTCAAACCCAGAACTCATGGTCTGTGTTTCTATACTGTTCAACTGAACTTTGCTTTCTAGAGCAGGTATATCTTTAACAGTGGAGATTCCTTCAGTTTGTGTCTCTGTGTCAGATGAATCAGTACTCATGGAAAAGCTGGAGTGTTTCAGAATACTTCCCAGAGGCAGATGAGGGCTACTGTCTAAGAAAAAGTTTAAGTCTGTCTGTGTTTGTCTGTCAAACATCTCAAGGCCTAAGAAGTTAGAATTTCCCCTACACCCATAGGACTGAGCAGAGGTATCTGCGAGTAAGAAGTCCGTTTGAGTCTCTGTGTCCAGTGACTCCAAGACTGGCTCAGTGTTCATGGTGCTAAGTTCACTCTCTTCAGTTTGAGTCTGGATATGTGAGGCCGAAAAGAACTCTTCAATATCAAAATTGATTCCAGGGTTCTGGGCTGGGCCAGATGGGAGCTGGGTGTCAGGTCCAGGATTTGTGTTAGACAAAAGACTATGATGATCCAATGTCTGAGCAGGCAGATTACTTGACAAGATGTTTTCCAAATCACTTAATAAATCTATGGTTTGGGTCTGATTATCTGTCATGTTCTGTGAAGGAAGCATACTGTTCTGTGCACTGAAGTTTATAATTGGTGCACATTTCTCAATCTCTTGATTTAAAGTCTTAGGCTCATTCTGAGGTAACAAACTATGAGTTACTATCTCTGCTACTAAACTGTTGCTTATAATGTTACTTGTAGCAACATTATATGATGAATGAACACTCAAAAATGTCTCTGCACATTCCAGCTTGGTCCATCTGTACATGGTCATCCGTTGGACTTTGTATCCCACTGGTTTGAGTTTCTCAGGAGACCCCACCCGACTGGAAACAGGTGTCCATAAATGCATCAGTCTGAGCAGCTATAGATGAAGTTACCTTAGAGCTGGGCAAAAATGTCTGAGTGTGAACACTAATGGGAAGAGACACTTGAGAATCAAACAACAAATCAGTTTGAGAACAAGACGACACAGAGGAATCAGCGGTGGCCCACTGTGCAGAAGGTATAAAGTTTTGTGAGGCATAAGACAGATCTGTCTGCACGTTGATTGAAGAAATGCCGTTCTTCTGACATGTGTTCCCTAGTTCTTGTAAAGTATTAGATGGACTTTTACCCAAGTTCACTTGAACACCAGTACTTATTGGCTCAACAGCAACAGGATCAGCAATTTAGAAAAGAAGTAGGCTCTCTTTAAGAGAGCAAGCCTCTGAATCTAGGCCGAGGATCAGGGTTCCTACTGACAAGGGCAGGCAGTAAGTGCACAGCCCCTGTGGCAGAGCCCTGATCAACACCTAACACCACAGGCTGGGCTGAGGAGTCGGCTGTAGGCACAAAGACAGGCATGAGAGAAAACTGCATCACGGGTAGTTTAAGCAAAGCCACTTTGGGCTTTGGTAAAAGCAACTTTTGAGGCTATCTCGGTGATGTTGTAAGAAAGAGTCTGCTTGTCAGTGTTAGAGCCACAAGAGTCTTCAAAAGATGGTTCTAGCTTTATTTCTGAAGCTTCTAGTTCTTGGGTGTCTGGTCTAGGGATTGGTTGGTTGTTAAATGATTCAGTGGTCTTGTTGGATAACTTCTGGTTTTGCACAGTTTTCCATTTTCCTTTTCTTACTAGGTGGGTCCCTGTGTTCTGCAGGGATCTCGTGGCCAGTTCGGTAGATGTGAGACTGCAATGCTTTTCTACTGGCGTAGGGACAGCCGCATGTGCACCGGAAGGTCTTGCCACAGTCCTCTGCAAGTCTTTTCAGGTCCCATTCTGTACCGTACGAATTGCTGCACTTGCTACATTTGTGCTTCTTCTCAGCATGGATTTTCATAAAGTGCTGTTTTACGAGAGAAAACTGAGAAAATGGTCTGTCAGGGCCTCTGGGGCAGCCTTCGATTGGACAACAGTAGAATTTCGGTACAGTTTTCAAATCTTTTCTTATTATTGGATTGACTGTGCTATACTGCATGCGGTGGCTCTTGACCAGGTGCATGTTGAGCGCGGGGCTGTTGGGCAGGATCTTGCGGCAGCCGCGCACGGTGCACAGGATGTTGGGCCATGTGGTCTGGGACAGCTCGCTCACCTACTGCTGGATCAGCTCCCCCGCCAGCACGGAGGCCGCGGGCTGCTGCGTCACCCCCGCGGGCCGCGGCCGGCTGCCCCTCAGTCGGGGTCCCGGGGGCACCCACGGGCCCGAGGCGGCGGCGGAGGCTCCTCTCGTGGCCGCCGGGACGGCGCGGGCACCCGCCGCCAGAGCCGTGGACCCCGCCGCCGCCACCGCCTCCGAGGCCGCCATGGCTCCCGCAGGGCGGCCAGGCCCAGCTCGCAGTTGTGTTGATTTTTCTAAGTGGTGAGAGATAGGGTCTACCTCCGTTTTTCTGCATGTGGATATCCAGTTTTCCTGAACACCATTCATTGAAGAGACTGTCCTTTCCCCAGTGTGTGTTCTTGGCGCCTTTGTCAAAAATCAGTTGACTGTAAGTGTGTTCTCTTTTCTGTTCCATTTGTCTGTGTGTTTTTATGTCAGTACTCTACTGTTTTGCTTACTATAGCTTTGTAGTATATTTTGAAGTCAGGTAAGATTGATGCCTCTAGCTTTGTTTTTTTGACGCAAGATTGCTTTGGCTCTTTGGGGTCTTAATATATATATATATATATATATATATTTTTTTTTTTTTTTTTTTTTGAGACAGAGTCTCACTCTCTCACCTAGGCTGGAGTGGAGTGGCGCGATCTTGGCTCACTGCATCCTCCACCTCCTGGGTTCAAGAGATCCTCCTGCCTCAGCCTCCCGAGTAACCGGGACTACAGGTGCCTGCCACTATCCTCAGCTAATTTTTGTATTTTTAGTAGAGATGGGGTTTCGCCATGTTGGCCAGGGTGGTCTCGCACTCCTGACCTCAGGTGATCCACCTGCCTCGGCCTCCCAAAGTGCTGGGATTACAGGCATGAGTCACTGTGCCCAGCCTCCATACAAATTTTAACGGACTTTTAAAAGATACGAATTCTTCCAATCTGTGAACATGGGGTATCTTCCCATTTTTTGTGTGTCTTCAATTTTTTTCAATATTTTATAGTTTTCATTGTAGAGATCTTTCACATCCTTGGTTAAATTTATACCTAAGTATTTTATTTCTTTTTTTTTGGCAGGTATTGTAAATGGGATTGCTTTCTTGATTTATTTTTCAGATAGTTTGCTATTAATATTTGGTGTATAGAAACACTAATGATTTTTGTTTGTTGATTTTATATCCTGCAACTTGACTGAATTCATTTATTAGTTCTAATAGTTTTTTTTTAGTGGAATTTGTAGGGTTTTCTATGTACTGTGTCATCTGTAAACATAGACAGTTTAACTTCCTCCTTTCCAGTTTGGATGCCCTTTCTTTCTTTCTCTTACCTAATTGCTCTGGGTAGGATTTCCAGTGCTGTGTTGGATAGAAGTGGTAAGAGTGGACCTCGTTGTATTGTTCCTGATTTTAGAGAAAATGCTTTTAACTTTTCCCCAGTCGGTATGGTTAGTTGTGGGTCTGTCACAGATGGCCTTGTGTTGATGTACATTCCTTCTATACCTAATTTGTTGACAGTTTTTTTTATCATGAAAGATGTCGAATTTTGTCAAATGCTCTTTCTGCATCTATTGAGATGATCATATGATTTTTATTCTTGGTTCTGTTAATGTGGTATATCATCTTCATAGATTGGCGTATGTTGAATCATCCTTACAACCCAGGGGTAAATTTCATTTGATCATGATATGTGATCTTTTTTTATGTGTTGTTGAATTCTGTTTGCTAGTGTTGTGTTGAGTGAGGACTTCTGCATCTAAGTTTATCAGGGATATTGGCTTATGATTTTCTTTTTGTGTCTTTGCCTCCTATTCTTAGCAGTGTTCCCTTGAAAGCAATTTGTCTTTTTATAATCTCTGTCTGCTTTTAGGACTTCCTCTTTGCCTTTAGTTTCTGCAGTTTTACTGTGTATTTTACTTCAGAGGAGTGTGTTTTGTCCCATTTTCCAGAGGTCTTGTTGGACTGAGCTCTGGTTACCTACCCACTCTGGTAGTTGGCTTAATAACCCTCCTTTCATTGGCTGTGATTCCCTGTGTCACTTCTCTACTTTCTTAATGGTGTTCCCTTTATTGTCCAAATAAACTACTCTACTCAAATCCCTTTTTCAAGATCTCCTTCTTGGGAGTAATAGGGCTTCTTCGATCTGAGGATTAATGTTCGTGTTGATCACAATGGAATAGTGATATTGCTGACAGAAAGATATCATTGGTTATACTTGGAAGATCCTCAGTTTCCCTAATGGCAAAAGACTTGGGAATCTGTGGATCAAGATGGAGCATATATGATCCCAGACAGAAGTATTGTTTCTCAGGTCCCCCAGAGTTCCCCAAAGGATGGATTTGCATGGCAAGAGAAGCTCCCTTATCACTTCTAATGGGGTTTTATATGGTTTTGGTCAATTACCCTTCCACTGCTTGAACATTACTCTTCTGGAACCCAGTGACATGTGTGCCTACTCAGGAGGTAGAATTAACTGATTCACAACAATTGCCAAACGTTTTTTAGAGTTTACTGCAAGGTTGGATGACATGAAGACCAATTTTCTGGAATCAGTCTTTCAGAAGATGTAAGCCTCAGGCATGTCTGATTTCTATTCTAAAACGTGTGGCTGGGCACAATGGATCATGTCTGTAATCCCAGCACTTTGGGAGGCTGAGGCAGGAGGATCACTTGAGCCCAGGAGTTTGAGACCAGCCTGGGCAACATAGCAAGACCCTGTCTCCACAAAAAATAAAAATAATATCAGATTAGTCAGGCATGGTGGCATGTGCCTATAGTCTCAGCCATTTGGGAGGCTGAGGTAGGAGGATCCTTTGAGCCTTGGAGGTCAAGGCTGTAGTGAGCCATGATAGCACCACTGTACTCCAGCCTGGGTGACAGAGCAAGACCCTGTCTCAGTCAGTCAATAAAATATCATACAGTTATGGTTAAAAACTAAAACAAATTTTTAAAAATTTGAATGAACAATAGAGAATGTATTAATATGCTTTGAATTTATATTAATTTTGTGGAGAAGAATCATTTAGAATTTTAGCTCAATCATAAGCCTGTAGATGATGACACATGAAATTATTATCCCCCCGTGAAATACAAGTGTGAAAGATGACTACCTTTTTGTGGTATGATTTCTATATACTATACTCACGCGCACTTCAAGGTTCAGTTGTGTGGTTTTTCAGTTCTTACTCCAGCCACTGGTTGTGCAAATACTCCGTGATTGTGTAAAAATCATACCTGTTAATTTATATATACTGTTACTGGCAGGAGACAGACAGATAGTGCTATTTATTAGAATTATATGTGCTTCTGAGCATTAGTTACCTAATCAGGTATTTTAAAAGTTCAGAAAAAAATTTTTAAGTCTGAACCTTATGTAGTAACTCTGAAAAACTATAGAAAACAGAGTAATAAAATATAAAAGTAGTAGATTGAAATGATACTCTTCTTATTATCATTATTTCTAGAGACAGGGTCTTGCTCTTTTGTCTAGGCTGGAGTGCAGTGGCATGATCCGTAGCTCATTGCAGCCTCAAACTCATGGGCTCAAGCAGCCCTCCCTCCTCAGCCTCCCAAGCAGCTAGGACTACTGGTGTGTGTCACCACACCTGGCTAATTTTTGTTTGTCTGTTTTTTTGTGAAGATGGGGTCTCACTGTTAACTGAGCTGGTCTCAGAACTCCTGGGCTAAAGTGATCCTCCCATCTCAGCCTCCCTAAGTACTAGGGTTACACGCTTGCACTACCAAGCCTGGTCTGAAATGAGACTCTTAAAGGAAACAGGAAACAGTGAACAAAGAGAAGAGTCATTGGAAATTAAAAAAAAAAAAAAGTGAAATGCCCTATGTGTGATCAAATAGAAGCACTGGATTCAGATTATCAACAAACTAATCAAGATGGAAGAGCATAGGAAATTTCCCCTGGCAAGAGCTTGGTAACCAAGACGTCAGGGGCCAGAGTGAAACATGCTGAATGCATGAGCCAAGTGCTGGGACTCAGTTGACCTATAAGAACAAATAAAAAGAAATCCATGTAAATCCATATAAAACACAAAACCATGGACACTTGTATTAAAGTATGGCTTGTCAATAGAATTTGCATCAGTGCATGCTAAGGTTAAGTCACAGTCAAAGCCTATTCAAAGAATAGCCTAGCGGTTTTCAAGTAGCTGGGCAGGTAAAGAAAATCCCTTGACATATATAACTCTTAAGATCTGCTGTAACAAATAGTTATTATACTAGCCAAACCAAGTTTAATTTTCTCCTATATATGGTCTTGGTAAAGGCATCATGTTATATAGAACAAACATGATCGACTTGGATAATGAAATTGTAAATAAAATCCTGCTTTACAAATTATTATTGCTGAAACAGCCTGTGTTTTAGAGAAAGCAAGAATGTTTTTAGATAAAAGAAATAATTATTCCACTTATTAATATTAAAATTAAATTATAGCATTTTATTTTAATGTCAGAAGTACTTGTTCTGTACAGAGATTATGAAGAACTGGGATCATGAATCTGTTGCTGATAAATAAAATTTCAGAGGTCTTGGGATAAATTATGAATTCAGTTTGGGAGAACAGGGGTTCCTTATCAGCTAGAAAAACTGATTTTACTACCATATGGCAGTGGTAAAAAAAAGTCCATACCAAATTCCTTATCTTGGATATGTATCTTGAATTTTTATGCAACAGAACAGAAATACAGTTTTGTTCAGGAAAAAAAATTGCAGAAATACTACTCTGTGCAGCTCCTGTCTAGAACATGCCTGCCTTTTTGTTGTACACAAGAAAGAGAATTTTCTAGTTTAATTCCTTGAAGAGCAATTTGAATGGTTTCCACTTGGGAAATTATGTAATTTCATATTAAATAGCAGGTGGTAAGGTAGTCAGATGGAAATGTTCAGTTCATCCAGCATCATCAGATTGATTTGACAAATGGAATTCTTTTAACTCTATGGAAAGCATTTTTCTCCCTTTATCCTTTGGCAGAGGCAGACATTGTCTGTGGTTTCCCCACAAAAGTTTGAGTGGGTAAACTTTGGATGTGTAAATATAAACAGCAGACAGAGACATTGCCTCTGACAGCTGGAAGGATCCACTGAGGATCTTAGAAGGAGACTGCTGATATGGATGATGTTGGATAGAGAGACTTGAGGGAGGAATTAACCAATGTGAACATAAATGAGGAATGCACATGCTTAGAAAAAATGATAGTTCCTCCTTAAGTTTAGGTTGAGGTTGTTGAAAATTTTTGCTTTTGATATGGATAAAAACAACAAAAAACTGACTTTTATGGATAAAAACAACAAAAAACAATAAAAAACTGACATACCATGTGGATGAGCACATGGTATGTTTCTTGGTGAGTGGCTCCATCTCGTACATGATATGTAACCTTGGGCAAGATATTTGGGCAAGATATTTACTTCTCTTTTCCTTAGTTTCCACACCTGTATAGTGGGATTGTAGGGACTGAGATAAGTTTACGGTGCTTATAATTGTCCTTGGCATAGAATAAGCACCATGTAAGTGATAGCTGCTATAAAATAATAATAATTATTATTTTGGTGGATTGAGAAATTCCCTTAAGGAGGAAGCTATTTGCTTCCTCTAATAACCTTAGTATAGTTGATGTATTTATATATAAATGAGATACAGAATTCAGGAGCAAATTATTTAGTGTTTAAGATGATTTATAAAGATATGTTCATATTACCTTTTAAAAATTAAATTGTGAAGAATACTGCAGGTGCCCGCCACCATGCCTCACTAAACTCTGAGCCTTTGCACGTGCCAGGAAAGTGCTGTGGCTGGACACTGGGTCTGATGATGCTCCCCTTTTCTTTGCTTGAACAGTAATCAGCCCTCGAGACTCTTCTGGTTTGTGAAATCTTTGTGCCCCCACGTTATGTGTGTGTGCTGCCATTAGATCAATTTCACATTATTATTGGAATTTTTGTTTGCATATCTGCTACCCCACTCAGTTGTGTGTTTTCCAGTCTACTATAAAATGTTTCAAAGATTAAAAATTACATCTTTTCATTAGCCACAGTGCCTGCTGCATAGTAGGTGTTTTTAGGTAAATGATTGAATGATAAATAAATCATACCGGTCATGACAGTATTCAAAAGAAAACAGTTCTTCTCTTGTTTTTCCTGTAAGGAGCAAGGAAATCTTTCCTGGAAGCCCCTACACCAGACATCTCCACGTATTGGCCTAGGATACAGTCACTGACAAGGGAATGGAATTTCCCTAGTTGGCTTGGAAAAGGCAGTTTGTGTTTAACCACAAAGATCACTGCACTGGTTACAAAAATAATACATGATTATTATAGGAAATTTATAAATTAATGAAAAGTACAATAAAATAATCTGGCATTACACAAAGAAAACTGTTGTTAACATTGTGGTGTTTGCTTTCCAGTTTTTGGTTGTATATGTATATGTTTGTGTGTATAGAAGAAAATTGCAATCATATTGTATATAGCTTTTTATAGTCTTACATTTAAGTCTAACATAAGCAGTTTTCCGTACCATTAAGTCATATTTTTCTGAAATTAGACTAATGGCTTAAGTTCCTTCATATGGCTGTATTACAAATTATATAATTCATTGCTTATTGTTGGAGATATAGATTGTTAGCAGTTTTTTACTATTGTAAATAAATATGCAGTGAACATCCTTTTATATCAATCATGTACATCTCTGGTTATTTCCTTACACTAAATTCCTAGAAGTGGATTAATGAGTGAAAGGGTATAAACACATTCAAAGTTTTTTGATATACTTCTCTGATTATCTTTCAGAAAACTTGGACCAATTACATTACCAGAAACCTGCATATGAGTGGCTGTTTAACTGTATTCTTGCCAGTACTGGGAATTTTTTTTTTTCAAGACAGGATCTTGCCCTGTTGCCCAGGCTGGAGTGCAGTGGTATAATCATAGCTCACTGCAGCCTCAGCTTCCTGGGCTCAAGCAATCTGTGAAGTATTTTTTAATCACTGATTTTATAGTCAAAAGTGGTTTCACTCTGCTTTTTTGACTTGTAGTGTTATTTTTCATTTAGTCAGCATTTAGTAGATGTTTGTTGAAAGAAGAAATCCGTGTTTCTTGATATGTATATTGTTTATTCACATCTATTATTGGCATTATTATTTTTGCTTTTTTATTGTGATATACAAAAAGTACATAAGCTGTACTAATGTTAAGTGTAAAACTCCATATAATTTATGGCATTCTATTTTCAGTTTGCTGTTTTGGATATTAGTTTGTTTAGTTTATAGTATTATAATAATTTATAATATTATCTCAGCCAAGTCTGTTGGGTGAGATTTATTCCATCATAGTTATATTCTCCCTAGGGCTCCTAATTACATAGAGACTTCATTTTTGGTTCTGACTGAGAAATAAATTATTTCTTTCTCAATTCCTTTATATTATTTATTACATGTCTATGGTTTTTTTGCACAATCCTTCTCTTTGGCAACATACCGTTTTATTTATCTTCATGTTCTTCTAGATATCAAAATCTTTTTTTTTCAGTATTTAGAAGAACCATTAAATTATTTCCTTTTTATGCTTTCTCCCTTATTCCTTGGCTCAGATTTATTTTTTCTGTGTGTGTGCGTGTCTCTCTCTGTGCGTGTGCGCATGCGTATGTTTGTGTGTGTGTGTGTGTGTGTGTGTGTATGTGTGTGTGTGTGTGAGAGAGAGGAGTCTTAGAGTTCAAGTAAATGATACTTTCCTGTGTTATTTATTAACAGTTACAACTGCTGTTGTTAATATTTATCTCATTTAATCTTTTTTTGTCTGGTAAGACTGGTACATATCATTGTGTTTTTCATTTAGAGGGAAGTGAAATATTTTGGGCCATACTGTTAATAGTGCTGTGTGGATCAGAGCTGAGATTAGAACCCAGTATGCTAGTGATATGTTTGGATTTCAAGTTATAAACTGTACTGGGTTTAGTCTTGCACATAAAAAGAGGCTGAACTGAAGTTTCCAAGATGTTGAGAAATTTACAGTTTATTTAAATTTGAGTCTTGCTCTCAAGTACACTCTTTTCCCAGTTATTTGCAGCTAGAAAAGCAAAAGTCTTCAAGTATAATTTAATATGACCAATAGGAACCACATGACTTTTACAGTCATTTTGTTGCGTACTAGTGTTTATACAACTCATGACTTGACAGCCGACCAAACTGTCTTATCCATCTCATATTAACATATTGTGAATGTAGTAGGAACTGGCTTAGCAAAATCTTGAAACCTCTGACTCTAATATTTGTGGGATAGTAAAGTAAACAACTTTGGGGCTTTCAGGCTGTGTGATGCACAGCCCGTTCAGGACATTAATGCTTATTCTCTCTGTTGACTCCATTGCTTTTGTGAACAGTTTTGCCGACAGGTGTTTAGGCTTGCCAAGAGAGATTATTTCTAGCTAGTAGAGGACTCTTGGAGAAAGACATTGGTTTCTACTTAGAAATACAATAACTAATGATAATAACTGACATTGAATGGGTGTTAAAATGTGCCAGGCACAATTCTAAGTGCTTTCTGTGTAATTAATGTATTTTATTATTCACAGCAACCCTACTAGGTTTTTCCCATTTTACAGATACAGAAACGGAGGCATAGACTGGCAAAATAACTTCCCAAGGTCACATAGCTAGTATGTTATAGAGTAGGGATTCAAACTTCGGCAGTCTGCCTCCAAGTCAGCCTTCTTAATCACTCTGTTATGCTGACATTTATTAGATGAAAAGAAAGAGGCACAGGTGAGTCATAAGTGGCTGTTTGTGTTTTTGGAAAATATTTGACTTTATGCCTACTGGCAGCTTGAAATAATTAAGCTGCTACCATTCATTAAATTTTTATTTTTTTGTAAAGTGAGTTATTTGCTTGCATGTAATATTATAATTGGAACATAGTGAGTAAAGTATACCCTTTTATGTTTGTACAAATTTAGGGTAAGCCTGTATTTTCATTAAAAAAGTGGTCTTTGAGAAAGAAAGTGTTTGAAACAAAACTTTGAAGAGTGGGTTCAGAATCAGGGTGACAGCCACAGAGTAGTAAGTTATTTGGTCAATGCTCTGTAATAAATAGCAGAGACTGCCTTATTGGTCCTGTGCGCCATCTTGAAGAGCTGAATGTTGCAGAAATGGCAGGCTAAATGTTTTGGAGTAACCCAAGCTGACTCTAGGCAGAATTTGTCTTTGGCATCTTCTCATTTTGCCTGTCACTGGCACCTGTCTCATTCACCTTTTGTCATTGCCAGATATGGTATGGTGCCTAACAACCTTTACTAACTATCAACAAGTCCAGCTGGGTGTGGTGACATGCACCTGTAGTCCCAGCCCCTGGGGAGGCTGAGGAGGAGGATCCCTTGAGCCCACGAGTTTGAGGCTGTAGTGAGCTATGATTGTGCCACTGCACACCAGTCTGGGCAACAGAGGAAGAGCCATCTGTTCAAAACAAAACAACAACAAAACAAGTTTCTCATAAAATATTAATTAATGTTTAATAAAAGGGATATCCTTTCTCAGGGTATTTGCATTTAATAGATCATTCTCAAAGTTTGGGCTTTGGGTTATTTTTGAGAGTTGGCATTTATTGCTATAAACTTCCCTCTTAGAATTGTTTTTGCTCTATCCCATAGGATTTGGTATGTTATGTTTCCGTTTTCATTTGTCTCAGGATATTTTTAAATTTCTCTTTAAATTTATTCATTAACTCATTGTTTAGGAGCATGTTGTTTAATTTCTATGTATTTGTAAAGTTTTCAAGGTTTCCCCTTTTATTGATGTCTAGTTTTATACCATTGTGGTCAGAAAAGATACTTGACAAGATTTTGATACTCTTAAATTTAAAAGACTTATTTTGTGGCCTAACATATGATTTATACTGGAAAATGATTGATGTGCAGTTGAGAAGAATGTGTATTCTGTACCTGTTGGATAGAATGTTCTGTAAATGTTTGTTAGGTCCATTTGGTCTAGGGTACAGTTCATATCTGATGTTTCTTTGTTGACTTTCTGTCTAAATGATCTGTCCATTGCTGAAAATAGGGTGTTAAACTCTTCTACTAGTATTGTGTTACAATCTATCTGTTTCTTGAGATCTATTAATATTGGCTTTATGTATTTAGGTGCTCTGACATTGGGTGCATATACATTTACCCAACATCAGAGCACCTAAATATGTAACATATCCTTTTGCTGAATTGACCAACCCCATTATCATATATTAATATAATGACCTTCTTTGTCTCTATTTACAGATGACTTAAAGTCTATTTTATCTGATATAAGTATAGCCACTCCTGTTTTGGTTTCCATTTGTGTGAAGTATCTTTTTCCATTTATTTACTTTCAGTCTATGTGTATCCTTATAGGTGAGGCAAGTCTTTTGTAGGCAGTATATAGTTGGGTCTTGTTTTCTTTTTTTTTAAATCCATTTAGCTACTCTGTGTCTTTTAATTGGATAATTTAATCCATTTACATTCAAAGTAATTATTGGTAGGTAAGGATTTACTACTGTCATTTTATTAATTTTTTTCTAGTTTTGTAGATTCTTTTTTTCTTTCTTTCTTCCTTTGAGGTTAAGTGATTTTCTCTAGTAGTATATTTTGATTCTTTGCTTTTTATTTTTAGTGTATCTATTATAGGCTTTTGCTTTGTGGTTACCATGGGACTTATAAAAGTATGCCTTATAGTTATAAAAGGTTATTTTACACTGATAGCAACTTTGATCGAAAAGAAAATACTCTTTAACTCCACTCCCCCATTTTGAGCTTTTGGTGTCAAAATTTATATCTTTTTATATTGCATGTCCCCTAACAAATTATCGTAGCTATTATTTTTAATTGTGTTGTCTTAACCTTCTTAAAAAAATATATGATGTACATACCACCATTACAGTATTAGAGACTTCAGAATTTGACTGTGTACTTGCTTTTATCAGTGAGTTATATACTTTCAGATGTTTTTGTGTTGCTCATTGCTATCCTTTTCTTTCATCTTGAAGAACTCCCTTTAGCATTTCTTGTAAGACAGGTCTGGTGCTGATGAATTCCATCAGCTTTTGTCGTCCAGAAGTCTTTATTCTTTTCTTCATTTCTGAAGTACAGCTTTGGTAGGTGTAATATTCCTGGTTGATAGTTTTAATTTTTTTTTCTTTAGGACTTTGAATTTCTTCAGGACAATGTTTCTGCTTAGAGGTCTCTTGTTAGGCATATTAGTACTCCCTTATAAATTATTTGCTTCTTTTCTCTTGCTGCTTTCAGGATCCTCTCTTTGTGCTTGATCTTTGACATTTTGATTATAATATGTTGTGGGGTAGTGTTATTTGGATTAAATCTGACTGGTTGCCCTTGATCTTCCTGTACGTGGATAGCTATAGCTTTCTCCAGGTTTGAAATACTTTCTGTTATTATTTCTTTAATAAGCTTTCTACTACTTTCTCTTTTTCAAGGTTCCCCCTTGAACACCAGTGACCCACATATTTGCTCTTTAGATGTTACTCATAAATCCTGTAACTTCATTCCTTTTTCCTTTTTCACCTTTAGTTACGTATTTTCAATTAACCTGTCTTTGAATTCACTGATACTCCTCTAATTGAACAATTCTGCTATTGATGCTTTCTGTTGGATTTTTTATTTTGTTCATTGTAGTTTTTAGCTCCTGGATTTCTGTTTGATTTTAAAAAATTATTTCAATCTCTCTGTTAAATTTCTCTGATGAATTTCTGAATTGTTTTTCTCTACTTTATTGAAGTTAGCCAAATTTCCTTAAAACAAGTATTTTGAATTTCTGTCAGGCAGCTTTTCTATAATCCTCTCTTTAGGATCAGTTACTGGCAGCTTATCTTTGTCCCAAAGCATGTTTTTCCTCCTTTGGGCCAGCTGGTTATTTAGTAGTGCCTTGTTCAGTTTCCACATTTGTGAATTTCCTTTGAAACTTCCTGCATTTATTTTTAATTGCTTTTTTTGTCATCAGAGCACATTTGTTATATTACTAATGTTCTTTTAAATATATGAAGACTCATTTTATGACCTAGCATATGATCTGTTTAGAATATTCCATGTGATCTTAAGAAAAATGTATATACTATTGGGTGGAGAATTCTATAGATGTAAGTTAGATCTAGTTGGTTTATAGTGTTATTCAAGTGTTCTGTTTTCTTGTTGATCTTCTTTCTAGTTGTTTTATCTATCACTGAAAATGACAGTTTGAAGTCTCCAGCGATTAATATTCAATTGTCTGTTTCTCCCTTTCTGTCAATTTTTGCTTCATGAATTTTGGTCCTTAGTTGTGTATGTTTATAATGGTTATATCTTCCTGATGGATTGACCCTTTTATGATTAACAAAATGTCCCTCTCCATCTCTAATAGCTTTTTGTTTTAAAATTTGTTTTTTTTAATATCAGTATAGCCACAATTAAGTTTCTTGTTTTTGTATGTTTGCATGACATATCTTTTCTATCCTTTTACTTCCAATCTGTTTGTATTTTTCACTCTAAAGTGTGTCTTCTATAGACAGCATATAGTTAGATCATGTTTTCTTAAAGTCTGACAATCTTTGTCTTTTGATGGGAATTTTTTTTTTTTTTTTTTTTTTTTTGAGACAGAGTCTTGATCTGCCACTCAGGCTGGAGTGCAATGGCACGATCTCTGCTCACTGCAGCCTCCGCCTCTCAGGTTCAAGCGATTCTCCTGCCTCACCCACCCGAGTAGCTGGGATTACAGGCACCTGCCACCACAGCCAGCTAATTTTTGTATTTTTAGTAAAGACAGCGTTTCATTATGTTAGCCAGGCTGGTCTTGAACTCTTGACCTCAAGTGATCCACCCACCTTGGCCTCCCAAAGTGCTGGGATTACAGGTGTGAGCCACCGTGTCCAGCCTGATGGGATTGTTTATTCCACTCACATCCATGATATTATTGACATAGTTGGCTTTATGTCTGAACTTTTACTTTTTCTGTATATCTCGTCTTTTTTTTGTAACTCTGTTTCTCCTTTTATTACGCTCTTTTAAGTAAGTATTATCTGTTTTTTTTTTTTTTAGACAGGGTCTCACTCTCTTGCCCAGGCTGGAGTGCAGTGGCATGGACATGGCTCACTGCCACTGTTGACCTCCTGGGCTCAAGTGATTCTCCTTCCTTTGCTGCCCATGAAACTGGGACCACAGGCATGCACCACCACACCTGGCTAATTTTTCTATTTTTGATTTTTTTTTTCTTTTTTTTTCTTGAGACAGAGTATTGGTCTGTCACCCAGGCTGGAGTGCAGTGGTGTGAGCTCGGCTCACTGCAACCTCTGTCTCCCGGGCTCAAACTATTCTCATGGTTCAGCCTCCTGAGTGATTAGGACTGCAAGCATGCACCACCATGCCCAGCTAATTTTTGTATTTTTAGTAGAGACGGGGGGTTTCACCATGTTGGCCAGGCTAGTCTCTTAAGTCTTGGCCTCAAGTGATCTGCCTGCCTTCACCTCCCAGAGTTCTGGGATTACAGGTGTAAGCCAGCATACCCAGCCAATTTTTTTTATTTTTTTGTAGAGATTTTTTGTTGCCCAGGCCAGTCTCAAACTCCTGGGCTCAAGTGATCCTTCTGTCTTGGCCTCTCAAAGTGCTGGGATTACAGGCATGAGTAGTAACTGATGCCTGTAAGTGAATATTTCATAATGTAGCATTTTAATTTCTTTAATGATGTTTTCACTATTCTTTTTGAATTTTTTTTTTTTAGTGGCTACTCTAGAGTTTGCCGTAGAATAATTACCGTGATATATAGAAATGTTACTCCTATACATATGATTTTTGACTTATGTCCTATACATATGATTCTCGACTTATGATGGAGTTATATCATCATAAGTTGAAAATATTGTAAGTCAGAAATTCACTTAATACACCTAATGTAGTGCACATCATTGCTTAGTGACACCGTGCACTGTAGAGTGTTACTTGTTTACCCCTGTGATTGCTGGGCTGACTGGGAGCTGTGGCTTGCTGTCACTGCCCAGCATTGTGAGAAAAGCATACTTGAGAAGAATGTATGTTCTGTTGTTGGGTGGAGAGTTCTATAGATGTCTGTTAGGTCTGCTTGGTTATAGTGTTATTCAAGTGTTCTATTTTCTCGATCTTTTTTCTAGTTGTTTTATCAGTAGTTATGGTATCACATATCAGTAGCCTGGGAAAAGAGCAAAATTCAAAATTTGGAGTATGGCTTCTACTGACTGTGTATCACTTTCATATCATTGTAAAGTCAAAAAATTGTAAGTCTAACCTTCATAAGTTATGGATCATCTGCATAGCTTTATTCCCTTCTCTTCCTTTTTTTGTGACATTATTGTTATACATATTACCTCTCAATGTTATGAATTCAACAATGTTTTAATTATTACTTTAACATGTGTAGTTACTTCCTTAGCCCAATACAGCTTGGCTGTTTAACTCATTTGCACTGTGTTTGGCAAATATATTTACATATCTTATTCCTTTCTATATGTTATAGGCCCAACAGTACAGTGTGTACATATCATTTTATGCAATTCATTTTTATGTCAGTTATGAGAATAAGAGAGAAAAAATGTGCATTTATAATTACATAATTATCAGTGTTCTTTTATTGTGTGGATTCAAATTACCTTCTGGTATTAATTCACTTTTTTTTGCAAAGTGGGTTTTCTAGCAACAAATTCAGTTTTTGTTCTTCTGGGAAAGTCTTTATTTCACCTTCATTTTTGAAAGGTAGTTTTGGGGGATATGGGATTCTTGGTTGACAACTTTTGAGCACTTTGAATATGTTTTCCCATGTTTTTCTGGGATCTTTTGTTTCTGCTGAGAAGTCACCTGTTAATCTTATTGGGGTTCCCTTGTAAGTAATGGGCTATTTTTCTATTTCTGCTTTTAAGACTTTCTCCTTGTCCTTGACTTTCAGCATTTTCACTACAGTGTTTTTGTTTGTGGATCTCATTGCATTTATCTTATTTGGGGTTTGTTGATGTTCCCAAGTGCCAATAAATTTGGGGAGTTTATATGTTTCTTTTTAAAAATTATTTTATTTTTAATTGGCACGTAATGTGCATATTTATAGGGTGCAATGTGATGTTTCAACACATGTATATATTATGTACTGATCAAATTAGGATGATTAGCATATCCGTCATCTGAAACATTGTTTCTTTGTGGTGAGAACTTTCAAAATCCTCACTTCTAGTTATTTTGAAATATGCATACATTATGTTTAACCCTTTTCCCATTTAGGAAAAAAGGTGCAGCTCACTACCCAGCGCTCATTTAATTTTACATTAATGTGCTCTTTGAGGCTGAAGCAAATCTGACAGATTTTCAATGTGAAAATAAAATATAAAAACTGTTTTTGGAGTTATTTCTAAACAGAACTAACATCAGAATTGTCTGAATCATCAGAATCATCTATTTCAGAAAAATTGAATTGAAATGGATCTTTGGCTAATAACTGTTCAAGAACAATGTTACCATCATGCGTAGGAATGCTGCATTTTCTAGGATTTGATATTTTCAGCGATTGAGAATTACTATATTTTGTAAATGGAAATACCAGTGCTAAAAACAGAATGTTATAAATAGAATGATGTTTTTTGTTTCCAAATTCAATGTACTAGAGCTTGCGAAAATAGTAGTAAAAGCGAGCAAAGTTATCTCAGAGTAGACGCTGCAGCCTCATGTACTGTGGGCGAGTATTCTCTGGGCAAACGGGAAAAGGGTTAACTGTAGTCAACCTACTGTACAATAGAATACAAGAACTCTTTCCTCCTGTCTAACTGTAACTTTGTACTGGTTGATGAACCGATAATTATGCTTTTTAAGCTCGTGGAAAATGTTTCAGATCTTTAACCACAGTTAGTAGGCAAAAGTACTCATACTCTTTCTTTGATTTTTGTTGTTGTCGTTCTTGAGATCCTACTCAAATCAATGTGGTGAAGCCTTCTGAGTATTGCCAGACCAGATATAATTCTTGGGGTATGACAAGGAATGAGTAGTAGCACCTTATGAAGCCTTAGGTTAGGTATACATAGAAATAATCATGCTGTTACTTGAGATTGCCCTGCCCCTAAATAAGTGGTCTTGAAGATGTGGTAGGCAAGGGACAGAGAAAGACCAAGCTCCCTGTGACCAGAAAAGGATTATCTGTTATTTAGAGGAAAGGGTTAGAGAAAAGCTGGCCCATTGAATTAATGCAAGAAACCAGAGGTACTGTTAGGATATTCTGCAGACTAAGTCAGGGTGAAAACATATTTAAGAACAAATTCAGCAACTGAGAAACTTCATGTCTTGAATGTGAGAGGCAATCTCCCATATGAAACTGTTAGTTGACGTTGAAAATTCATTCATCCTGGTGGTTGGGTTAGGAGGAGACCCAAGAAGAGCTTTTGTATTTAGTTTCCTGGTGGTTGGAGAGTTCAAACACTAGACTTGGAAGCAGATAATACCTCATAGTACAAGGAACAGGAACTTTTCTCACTGTCTGGAAAAACCAAGCATCTGGCTGTCTGATTTTAGTGAAATTGTAATTCAGGGGGAACTGATTAATTTTATTAGACAGGGTGTGAGTCCTGTGGCTCCTGCCAGGTGTAACTGAGATCCACTCTTGCCTTCTCTCTCTGCTCCTGCTATTTATGATCCTTATGCTCAGAGTGTGTAGAGTAGGTTTGCATTCTTTTTTTTCTTTTTAGAGACTGAGGTCTTGTGAAGTTGCCCAGGCTGGATTTGAACTCCTGGGCTCAGGCCATCCTTCTGCCTTAGCCTCCTGAGCAGCTGGGATTACAGGCATGCACCACCTAGCTAGGTTTGGGTTCTGTTTGGCTACACTTCCTCCTATTCCTGCCACCAAGGTTTGTAGTTGTCGTTGATTTTAATAGACTATTTTTTAGAGCAGTTTTAGGTTCACAGCAAAATTGAGCAGAAAGTACAGAGATTTCCTCTATACCCCATGCCCCCACATGCATAACATCCCCCTACTGTCAACATCCCCCACCAGAGTGGTACATTTGTTAAAATTGATGAACATGCATTGATACATCATTATCACCTGAAGTCCATAGTTAACATTAGAGTTTACTCTTGGTGTTGTACATTCTATGGGTTTGGACAGATATACATGTGTCCGCTATTATAGTATCATACAGAATAGTTTTATGGCCCTACAAATCCTCCGTGTTCTACCTATTCACTCTTCCCTCTCCCCTGCCCGAGTGGAATTTCTGTTTTTATTTTATTTTATTTTTTGTTTATTTATTTTTTTGAGATAGGTTCTTGCTCTGTTATCCAGGCAGGAGTGTGGTGGCACAATCATAGCTCACTGCAACATCTACCTCCTAGGCTCAGGTGATCCTCCTGCCACAGCCTCCTGAGTATCTGGGAGTACAGGTACACACAACCATGCCTGGCTAATTTATTTTTCTTTTTTTTTTTTTTTTGTAGAGACAGGGTCTTGGTATGTTGCCTAGGCTGGTGTCAAACTCCTGGGTTCAAGCAATCCTCCTGCCTCAGCCTTTGCAATCCCAAAGTGCTGGGATTACAAGCATGAGCCACCACGCCTGGCCTGTTTTTATTTTTAAAAATTACTTGAGGAACTGGTTCTAATTCCAGTCCTGTGCTGAACTTGTATCATACATAGTTCAGAGAATTCCTACCTATGTAGGGACTGCAGATATCCTCCCCTTATCCCTTTCCTCCTTTCCCTTCCCCAAATAATGGCAAGTCAGTGCCCATACTGTGTATCAGTCCATTTCATTTTTTGAGATTTCCTTGATGGTCTGCTAATTTGGAGACACTTCTGGACAAATGATAAATTTCTGGCAGTACAAGCCCAAAGTAGTAAGGTTTTGTTCTAGACACTGGAGCTAGAATGAAATTTAAAAATGGTTCCTTGCTTTTACACTGTTGGTGGGAGTGTAAATTAGTTCAACCATTGTGGAAGACAGTGTGGAAATTCCTGAAGGATCTAGAACCAGAAATACCATTTGACCCAGCAATCCCATTACTGGGTATATACCCAAAGGATTATAAATCATTCTACTATAAAGACACATGCAAATGTATGTTTATTGCAGCACTGTTCACAATAGCAAAGACTTGGAACCAACCCAAATGCCCATCCAATGATAGACTGGATAAAGAAAATGTGGCACATATACACCATGGAATACTATATAGCCATAAAAAAGGGTGAGTTCATGTCCTTTGCAGGGACATGGATAAAGCTGGAAACGATCATTCTCAGCAAACTAATACAGGAACAGAAAACCAAACACCACATGTTCTCACTCGTAAATGGGAGTTGAACAGTGAGAACACATGGACACAGGGAGGGGAACATCACACACCAGGGTCTGTCAGGGGGTGAGGGATTTGGGGAGGGACATCATTAGAAGAAATACCTAACGTAGATGACGGGTTGATCGGTGCAGCAAACCACCATGGCGTGTGTATACCTGTGTAACAAATCTGCACGTTCTGCACATGTATCTCAGAACTTAAAGTATAATAAAAAAATTAAAAAATGGTTCCTACTCTCTATTTACAAATTATGACCACTTCATCCAAAGATCACAAATTCTAAAGTGATACAATCTTTCTGGGTAGCCTTAACTAAAAGAGCTGTATCACTCTTGAGTTCCTCTATGCATATGCCAATCATTTCCTCTTTGCTACACCCTGTTTTGAAGTGTCTGCCCAGACAGTAGTACTCATCAACCACCAATCTTTGTGGGATGAGCAACTGACCCCGTAGAAAACTATCTAAAGGGTCTGTTGGCTGGATTGAGCCAATCACATCCTCTTCCCTGAGAATGGGGACCTTGAGATACTGAGCTGATTAGATAATGGTTAGTTCTTGGGCTGAAATTTCGTATAGAATTGTGACCACCTTCTGAACTACAGCATAAAAGACGTGCAAGCTGGGGGAACAAAAAAAGCCACAGACAGCAGAGACAGCAGAGGCAGCTAGTGTACAGAGAGATGTGCTTGAACGGAGCAGAAATGTGGACACCCTGAGATGTGGCAGGAGCTTCTAGTTCCACTTCCTATTTGGACCAGCTAAACCTTTTCTTTCCTTGGGTGTTGTTCATGAGATCTTTGGTCATAGCCTTTTCATAACACCTCTTCCCCCATTTGACTTGTGCTAGTTGAGTGGATTTCTGTTCTAGAGCTGAAATGCAGTGCCAGCAGAATCTAGTGCAATAGAGTCTTATGTAATTAAAGTCCTAAAGACTCTTTGGGTTGTGAGACACACAAAAAGATAGAAAACCAAGGTTGATAATCAGTACAAAATAACTACATGTTGGGGTACCCTTCAGTCAGTCAATGTCTTCCTCACCGGTAGGCATTTAGTGACTCGTTCACCACCCTTCCCTCGTCGAGGCTAAAGAATGCCTACGTCATTTCATCTTTTCTCAAAAAAGAAAAACATTCTGCTGTTTTCTGCTTCTTTATTGATCACATTTGTCCTTAATTCCTTCATATAACCTCAGGTAGAATATTAGTCTAGGTGCCAGGGGATGTGGGTTCTGTTCTTGTTGGGGTTCTAACGGGATGGATGGTCTCTGTAAGGTTCTTCATCTCTCTGTACCCCTACCCCCACACCTTTGCCGGACAGTGAAGAGTTATGCTGATCACCGATTTCTAGCTGATAACTCCCACAAAACAAGGTGTGAATAAAGAGTGTGAAGAAATCAAGCTACTTCACAGGCATTTGCTATAGATGAAATAAATATGCCTATCCCTCACTTAATGATGTTAATTCTAAGAATCCTGCCAGTAAGTGAAAAGCTAGAAAATGAAAAATTACTTCTGTTAATTTTTTTGTTGTTGTTTTGGTTTTGTTTTTTGAGACAGAGTCTTACTCTGTTACCCAGGTTGGAGGGCAGTGGCGTGATCTCCCAGCTCACTGCAACCTCCACGTCTCGGGTTCAAGCAATTCTCGCCACAGCCTCCCGAGTAGCTGGGATTACAGACATATGACACCACGCCCAACTAATTTTTTCTATTTTTAGTAGTGACAGGGTTTCACTGTGTTGGCCAGGCTGGGCTCGAGTTCCTGGCCTCAAGTGATCCACCCGCTTGGCCTCTCAACTGCAGCCGGCTAACTTATGTTCATTTTAGTGGTAAAAGTTATGATGTGTTCCATCCCAACCTAAGATGTCCAAATACTTTCTACAAATAGAAAAATATATCATTGAGCAATGAAAACTTTTTATTAGTAAATAATCCAAAATTAAATAAATGTAATTGGTACATAAAATGTGTTAAAATGATGCTTTGTTGCCTCAATAAAAAAGAGGAGGCGGGGCCGGGCGCGGTGGCTTGTGACTGTAATCCCAGAACTTTGGGAGGCCAAGGCAGGCGAATCACGAGGTCAGGAGATCGAGACCATCCTGGCTAACATGGTGAAACCCTGTCTCTACTAAAAATACAAAAAAATTTAGCCAGGCGTGGTGGCGGGTGCCTGTAGTCCCAGCTACTTGGGAAGCTGAAGCAGGAGAATGGCGTGAACCCGGGAGGTTGAGCTTGCAGTGAGCCAGGATCGCGCCACTGCACTCCAGCCTGGGCGACAGAGCGAGACTCCATCTCAAAAAAAAAAAAAAAAAAAAAAAAAAAGAAGAGGCTTGATGGGATTGATGGAAGAGGGAAGGAGCCATACTTTGGAAGGTGGTTGGTGAGTCAGGTGATAAACTTTTAAGGCGTGCATTCAGCAGCAAAAGTGCTTAATAATATTTTTCATTGGGGATTTTGACAGTAGAAGAAACTCCTAATGTGGAAACCTTTGGTATATTGGTAGAAGGGAATCTTCAGATCAAAAAAAAAAGCAAGATGTAACTTTGCTTCCCTTTTTGTAATTTGCAATTCATACACCTCCTTGCAGGATGCGATATTAGTTTCCCGAAGCTGTTATAGCAAATTACTACAAACTTGTTGGATCAAGAGAACAGAATCATATCTTGTTGCAGTTCTGGAGGCCAAAAGTGTGAAAACTGACATGGCCACATTCCCTCTGGGGACACCTTCCTCTCACTTCTGGCGGCCAGCATGGCATTCCTGGGCTTGTGGCCGCATCCCTCCAATCTTTGCTTCTGTCTTCACTTTGCTGCCTCCTCTGTGTCTGTCTCCAACTTGCTCTGCCTCTGTCATAAGGTTGCATGTGGCCTACCCTACCCTGATATTCCAGGACAAGCTCCTTCTCTCAGGATCCTGAATGTTACCACTTTGTAGTAGTTGTTGTTGTACAAGGTAATAGTCATTCCTTTGCCATGTAAAGTAATATTCACAGGTCCCATGTGCTAGTGTGGGAATGAGGTGCCGACATTTGGGCTGCTAATTCTTTGTTGTGGGAGACTGTCCTGTGCTTGGTAGATGTTCAGCGGTGTACCTGGCCTCTGCCCACTGGGTGCCAGTGACATCCTTCTCCCAGCTGTGACAACCAAAAATGTCTTCAAACATTGTCAAGGGTCCCCTCTGGGGCACGACTGTCCTTGGTTGATGAGCACTGCTTTAACCTAATCAGAGCCCATTCTTATCCCACTCAAATATGCTGACTGGGAAGTTTCCAGTCTCGTTAAGAAGGGGGAGGGTGGAGAATGGATGCTGGAGAGGTGACTGCTCCTCTCCACTACACCTAACATTCTAGTGAAGTCCACAAATGGGCCAAATCGAGCAGGATTATGAAATTTTTGCTAGACCCCTGTTAGTGTATTCTAACATTGTGGCATTTTATATTAGTCAACTAAATCTCAATATTATGTTTTAAAAAAATCCAATGGACCTCTGAATCCCCAGGTTGGGTTTTTTCTACTTTACCTATGTTAAATATGTTAAATACCTAGGTTGCCCTTTATCTTAGAATTTGTCCATGTATCACCTCATTCTTTTTCAGCAGGTCCCTTTCTGGAGGTTTTCATACTCAGTTGGATTTATCCTCCCTGCGACTGCTGCCTGCTCCTTGCCTTGCCATGCGGCATTAGTAGAGTATGAACTGCACATTTAGCACAGCAGTTTATGCACTAGAGAATCAGGATTGGAATTTTTCTGAAGTATCTTATTTTTCTGTGAAATAATTGAAACAGAGTATAGACACATTTGCTGTTTTGAAGTTTTTATGATTTCCAAAGTAATAAATGTGCACTCTCACAGTTCTCGGGTGGCTGATCTCTGGAGTGCTTGCCGTTTCTCCGGGTGGTTGCTTTGTACAGGCTCCCCTCTCGTGTTGGCCTGCAAGTGCTCTCGCTGCGACGGGTCCCTGACCGGTACTGGATGAGAGGACTAGTACTGGTGCAGATGTTGGCATAAACAAAAGCTGCAGCTTTTTAATCATGACTAAGGCATGGGAGAGGCTGACATATAATTGTGGGGAAAAGCGAGAGAGATCAGATTGTTACTGTGTCTGTGTAGAAAGAAGTAGACATAGGAGACTCCATTTTGTTATGTACTAAGAAAAATTCTTCTGCCTTGAGATTCTGTTAATCTATAACCTTACCCCCAACCCCGTGCTCTCTGAAACATGTGCTGTGTCAACTCAGAGTGGAATGGATTAAGGGCGGTGCAGGATGTGCTTTGTTAAACAGATGCTTGAAGGCAGATGATCAATAAATACTAAGGGAACTCAGAGGCTGGCGGGATCCTCCATATGCTGAACGCTGGTTCCCCGGGTCCCCTTATTTCTTTCTCTATACTTTGTCTCTGTGTCTTTTTCTTTTCCAAATCTCTCGTCCCACCTTACGAGAAACACCCACAGGTGTGTAGGGGCAACCCACCCCTACAATAATGGTTCCCAGAGTGTCCCTCTCAGACCAATAAAACATAGCAAAACTACGTGATAACCAGGCTGGAATGTATGTGAATTGTTCGAGTGAGTCTGTGTCACTTGAACTGTACTGGGCAGTACCTAGGGGCTTCATGTAAGGCATGAAGGGCTCCAGAAAGAACCCGCTCTTTGCCTTCAGTTGTATTCTATATGTTTAATACACAGCACAGCAGAAGCAATCAGCTCTCCCCAATGTTACTTATCCCATAAATCATCTTTCCTTACACCTACGTATTTTCTTCTGTATTCAATTTTATTAATGGATCATCTGATCTCCAGCTTTGCTGGTTTAGAACCTCTGTGCTCATCTTAAGCTCCTCAAGGAGAAAAGGACTATTGTAATCATCTTTCAACGAGTTTGTAAAAACAATTCCCCCATCACAGCACTGTGCCTCATAGGGTTTAAAATTTGACCGAATGACTGACTTTACATACATCCTTCCCAGACCCTTTAGGACTACTGCTCCCCTAGAGGTTTTCTCTGCCCTTTGGAAAACAGGTAGGGGAAGAGGGATCTAGAAATGGCAGTATTCATTAAGATAGCCAAAGCTTGATAGGAAGAGACATTCATTTTACTGTGGTAATTAAAGTGAAAATGGGAGAATAAGAAGGCATGCTGCTTCTTTTTCAGGAGTCTTGGCAAGGGTTCTAGTTTTAAAAGAAAGAGACACAGCCAACTAGATTGAAATGATGTGGAGTTCATCCCTCCACAGTCATATTTTACTGAGCCATTTTTCAATAAATGGACTAAATTGTCCCTTGGAACTCAGTAGGTGGTGCTCTTGTGCTATAGCATAGCATCGGCTTTGGAGAGGTTCTGAGAGCACAGCGGCTGGTTCCAGGGCCTGTGTCCTGTCAGTCCCCTTTCATAGCTGCCAGGCACACACCTGGAGGGCATCACATGGCTGGTCTGGTGAGAGGCTTTCTGTCTTTGGAAATGAGGGGGTGAATTAAGGTCTTTACCTTCTCTAGCCTGTCTGAGCTCTGCTTTCCAGGGGAACCTAAATGAGAGGTTTTCTAACCTTTTAAAGAAAAAAAAAATGTGACTGTTTATCCAAACAATTACGATGTGTATTGTTACCAGTTTTCCAAGATTTTTTATATTGTTATTCATCTGTGATTCCTCAAATCAAAGTTCCTTTCCACATAACTCAGGGTATCATTCTTGTTTATGTTTTCCTTTATGTTAATGTTTGTTTCCTGTTTAAGCTTCAGAGAAGATGCAGCAGAAAGAAATAAATATGTAGTAGAGAAATTTGGAAGTGATGAAGGAATACAGGTGAAAGCCATCGAGTTCATGCAGCAGCTAGTAGTAACTTAGCTGACAACAGACCCTTTTGGCAGGAGCCCATTGCTTTACTCCTTTTGCTATATAATGAGTTCCTTGGTCCGAAGTTGGTTGTGATACCATGATGGTGAATAAGGAATCCAGTCAAGTCCACATTTGGTGATGCTGGAGAAGTGTGGTGGGCAAAGAAGATAAATTTAAATCCAGAGTGAGTTATCTATTACAAGGAGGACAAATCTGTTGCCTGAAGCATTTCAGGGTCTGCTTTTTCATCAAGTTTCTGTAGGGGTTGTATAAAACGAAAGTTACTTCACCTATATCCACCAACTGGTAGGGGAGAGGCAAAATGCTAGTGGGACTCACAGCCTGGATGTGCTGATCTGACCCATTCAGTCACCTGTGATGTCGAAAGGCTACCAGCCAGGTCCGAGTGAGGCCAGGCTGTGGGGCCAGCAGCTGGGCTCCTGAGCTGTGCTGCTGCAGATCCAGTGATGTGCAGTGTGTTTTGTCAAGACAGAGTGCTTCCTCTCCAGTCTACTGTCTAGTATCTTGTGCACTGAGTTTTTAGGTTTTAATGACCGTAGTCCTGATTTACATACTTTGCAGTTGATTTTTTTTTAGCCATCTTTTAATTCTGCCTTTTCAATTTATACTTTCTTATTTTTTAATTAGCTTTTTTAAAAAGCACCCTAAATATACTGATTTTTGTTGGTTTTAAAAATCACCTTAAATATATTTTGTTGGGATTATTTTAGTGTCTTAAGTATACTTTGTTAGGATTTTTTAGCATCTAAATATACCTATTTGTTGGACTGATTAACTTCATCTGAAGTGAATTTGTGATCTAATGTCTGATATTGTTAGTTGCATTTATTTCTTCATGTACTTTAGAACTTTGGTTAAATGACATGTTTTGAATGAGGTTTTAAAAACTTTTCACTCATTCAGTCATTTTTCGCCTCTTTCTCCCTCTCTGCACACTCTCCCCTGTGTAGCCTCATTCTGCTTGTCTCTGTCTGGCTTCCATGGAGCCTGGGTGCAGAACTAGCTTTCACAGTGGGGGCTTAGTTACCTGGGCATTCATGGCTGCTTCACGCAGTGCCTGGTCCTGCCTGACAGGTGTCCTCCATCCTCCCTAGACCGCCACTCCATAGGAGGCAAGGATGCTGCGAGCCTTCCTTCAGGCATGGAGGGGTAGGGCTCTAGTCAGCACCTTCCATCCCACCTTCCAGCAAGGGTGCTAGTTTCTCACTCTGTCGTTTGTGCCTCTGTTTAGCCCCCAACCCTTCTAAGACCCAAACCTACAGTTTCATTGCCTGTTTTTGGACCCTAGCATAGGAGGGGCTGGCTGCTCATGGTTTTGTCCTCGGGGTCTTGCCTCTTTGTGTTTCTGTCTCGTATCGATTTCATAGAAATGTTTATTTTGTGTGTGTGCTTGCCTGTATCCTTTTCCTTTTTTCTTTTTATGTTTCCCCTCTCATTGCTGTATGTTTGGAGTAAAGAGAATCCATCCAAAAGTGAATTTACCGTGCCATCTTAACTGGAAGTCACATGGGCAGAGAGTTTAAAGGAAAGAAAGATACTTGGTTTTACATAGTACTGAAAGCTAACCACAAGAACGCTTCCTATGTGAGCTCAGTGACCCATAGCATATAGTTACTTAAACTCCGTCTGAGGCTTGCAGGCCCCAAAAGATGAGTGGGATTAGGCAGGTGGGATTTATTAGGGTGCTATGGTTCTCTACAAAGGTTTCACCTTCTATTTTTCATTTTGGTGGTAATTTTTTAAAAATTCATAATTCCACACACCTAAATGCCTGCAATTCTAACTAAGTAATGTCTTAAAATTTCAGTGCCTGGAGTTGTGTTTGTATTGGTGCCAAGGAGCACTGCTTTAAATATAGGGAGATATTATAAAAGAACAGAGGTGAAAATGTAAATAACGTGTTTGAGCTAAGAGATTGCCGTTGCACAGTGGTTCTGAAGAGGAAAGTGATGCGTGAATTAAGCTGTCTCCCTGCATGTGTTAGTATTGGCCAGTCAACAGAACCTGCCTGTCGGTACCAAGCCCTACATGGTTAGTCCAAAGTGAGTTTCAATGACTGCATCATTGATCACGCTGAATTAATTTTGTCAATTTAAATTTTACTCATTTTGTAGATTTGTTGGTATTTAATTTGTATATTTTTTATATTGTGGTTGTGTAAGAGTTACAAGCATAAAGGTTTTACTGGTTTATGTTTGTTAATATTTAACTAATAAGAAGAATGACTTTAGATAATACTGGGAGCTCTCAACAGTTTTTAAGTTTGAGAACCATGGGTCAAATGGTAATTTAACTCTTGCTGTTGGTTGCAGCAAGCACCTTGCATTTGATTTTGATGTCTTTAGCTCACTCCTGCTCATGCTTCCTGACCTGCTTAGCTCAGGATCGTTTCTCTCTGGGGACTCTGACACCTCCATGCCGGGCTGGTGCCCCTTCCTCATGCTGCCTGCAGCCCCCTGTGTTTCCTTCTCTCCCAGCCCTTCCCACAGTGTAATCTGTGTATGGGTCCCAATTTCCTCATTAGCCATAAGTTGCTTGAGAGTGGGGAACACTGTCATCTTTTTATTTGCAGTGATTTTCAGAGCTCTTGTCATAAAATAGGCTCCTAATAAATGTATGGGTTTCCTTGTTTTTGTTTAGGTAGTAATAAATTACCTGTAGAATCAAGGAGAGAAAGAGGCAGAAATAACTTGGAGCCAAGTCACAAGGCAAGAAGAAGCTTCCTAATATTTTAATAACTAATGTGTTCCTCAGCTCACTTTCTAACTGGTCTAACCAAAACCCAAGTCTTACTGTCAGGTAAGTGAAGTGAGGACAAGAAACGCAAGGAAAGGAAGTAATGATTGTAATAGAATGCATGAGGGAAGGCTGGTATTTTTCAAGTCCGAATGATGGCTCCTTGGTGCTCTGATGGAGAACAAGGTCAGAGATTTCTGTCTTAGCAGCCTCGATGGCAAGCGCTGTGGTGAAGGGATGCTTTTATTTTGAAGCCAAGTCCAGAGAATAGCTCCTCTCCCCCCATTGCTGAGGTCTTGGGTGGGAGAATTGAGCCTAGTAAATCCCCAGAGTTATCTGCTAGATTCAGTTTCCTTAATTCTTTGCAAAGTCATCTGAAGAGTATATATACATACTCTGCACCTGGATTGAAGTTGCCTCCTCCAATTCCTTAGGCCCAGATTTTGTTTACAATTGAGGTTTGTTTGAAATTATCTGCAAATTTCAGGTCTGTGTTTTTGATTAGACTATCTCAGAGGTGGAACGCCACTGACTCAACAGAGAAATAGCCAGCTCCTCCTAGTGGAACTTTTCTTAAAACCTCATTGGTTTTAGGAGGAAAAATACCATTTGTTTCTTTCATAAGCACTTAATGGGAACAAGAATCTTTTATTGTGACTTTCAAAAAAAAAAAAAAAGCCACAAACACAGGGGTAAATTGACCAGTCTTACCCTGTGAAGTGAAGCAAAGAAACATTACATTTCAGCAAATTAAAAATAGTTATCAGGCTTTCATCAAGGAAGAGGAAGAATCTTGTCAACTTAAGTGGAATTGAACATAAATTTCTTAATTTTATATTTGATTATATTTTAGGGGGTTTTAAATATTTTCTGACAAGGTCATGGTGCCCCTAGTTGATGACATTGATTGATTGGAAGCTAAGTATTTGATTTGTCTTTTTTTTCTTTTTCCATAATTAGTGTGTTTTGTAGCATTCTCTCCATACATCTCCTGTTTGGTGCTTATTTCATGAGAGAAAGGACCTCATGCTGAGGGTAAATGGGAAAAAAGTGCACTTTATCAGGTCGCCTCCACTTTGAGAAGCTTATATGGTCCATATTTGGCATGAGTAGACTTAGCTCTCTGGGCTTAGAGATGTTTTAGACCAAAGGAAAGCATTCTTAGACTTTCTTGTCCCCCTGACAGGTACCATGTATAGCTACTTTTGTGTGGTTTAAAATGAGCTTTGTTTTAAATGTTAACAATCTTGGAGCTACAGGGGTTTCTATCAACATAAAATCAGTCAGAATTTTATCTGTTTTATTTTTCTTCTACAACAGCCTTGTTGCTTTTTTTATGTATTTATTTTCCATACATTTGTTCAGTACATATTTATCATGCTCCTACAATGTGCCAAGTATTGTGTGAGTTTGTGGGTTTCAAAATATGCTCAGCAAACTAGGTCCTGAGATGTGTCAGCTAGGATGTGTTTGATTGCAAGTAACAGGAAAGCCAAAGAATGGTGTTAAGGGATTAAGCAAAAAGAGCAGTTCCACATTTGGCTCCTTCATTGCCTCAACTATGCTGTGAGGACACGGGGCTGTGATTCTTCTTTGCTGTTTGCAGTATGTTGGCCAGTCCCCTCAGGTTTCCTTATCCCTGGGTCTCAAGGTGACTGTTACCGTTCTGAGTATCACACAAAGACTACTATGTCAGATATGGAAAAAAGTGAACTCATTTAAAACTGAGGAAAACTGAGAAACCTTTTGTTGAAGTTCAGTTCTCATGCCCTATATTTCCATAATATACCTGTTCCTACAGTTTGATAGGCGAGCAAAAGTAAATACCATGACTGGTCTGTACTAGCCATTCCCAAAATGTGGCTGAGGGCCCAGGGTCCCCGAGACCCTTTTAGGAGGTTCACAAGGGTAAAACTATTTTTATAATAATGCTAAGCTGCTATTTGCCTTTTCGACTCGCATTCGCTCACTAGTGTGCGGTGGCGTTGTCAAGAGGTTACATGATAGATGATGATGACCTCTCTCTGACAGCTAATGGAATGTGTGTTTGTATATTTTGTCTTTTTAATTGTTCTCAGTTTTAGTTTCTGGTGGTAAATATCTATCTATCTATCTATCTATCTATATCTATATATATATAGATATATATATATATACACATACATACACACACACACACATATATATATAAATAAAACTCTTTGGGGTCTTCAGTAACATTGAAGGATGTAAATGGGCCCTGAGAACAAAACATTTGAAATTACCTGCTCTGTGTGAATCAAGATTCACCCCTGGCACTGGCGGATATCCCAGTCTCCCTAAGACATATGGCCTTGAGATTCCTGGACAAAACTCTTAACAAAGAGGAAATGGAGAGCTTAGGGCTGCTGGGTGGGCAACTAGCAGTGTGTGCAGCCCTGTTCTGAGGGGGCCCTGAGGAGACAGCAGGGCAGGGATGCAGCATGTTCTCCAGGCCCCACCTCTGCTGGGCCAGCCAGGACTGGAGCCACTGTAGGTTTGTCATTTGTGTGTTGTTGGTTTTTTAATTGTGGTAAATATAAATAAGATTGTAACCATCTTAACCACTTTTACATGTAATTCAGTGGCATTGATTACATTAACATTGTTTAACCATTGCCGCCATCCATCCCCAGAACTTTCCCGTTATCCCAAACAGAAACTCTACCCATTAAGCAGTAACATTCCATTACTGTCTCCCCTCATGAATTAATTTGCCTCTGTGAATTTGACTATTGTAGGTACCTCATCTGTGTGGAATCAAAGAATATCTGTCCTTCCGCATTTTGTCTGATTTCACTTAGCATGGTGTTTTCAAGATTTATTCCTGTATGTATCAGAATTACATTCCTTTTTAAGGCTGAATGATATTCCAGTGTGTGCATATGCCACACTTCGTGTATCCTTTTCTCCACTGATGGATATTTGAGTTGTTCTCACTTTTGGCTGTTACGCTGCTATGAAATTGGGTGTACAAATATCTCTTTGAAACCCTGCTTTTAATTCTTTTGGGTATATACCTAGAAGTGGGATTGCTGGATCAATGGTAATTCTATGTTTAGTTTTTTCAGGAACCACCATACTGTTTTTCGTAGCAGCTGCGCCATTTTACATTCCTACCAGCAGTGCACGAGAGTTCTGGTTTCTCTGTGTCCTCATCAACACTTGTCGTTGTTTTCTTGATAGTAGCCGTTCTAAGTGAAGGGAGATGGTTTTCTGTTTGTTTTTAATGAATTAGGATGCATTGCCCCAGCCTGTCACCCAGCGTCTCCTCCCTCTTTGTTATCTTTCTTCAGACACTGCTCAAGTGTTTTAATGCTTTTACTTCCTTCTGCTCTCATGAATTGTGCTTGGTGAGCTCCATATTCTTGTAAGGTACATTTTCCATGAAGTTTTTGAATATATCCTTCTCCTAAAGGATAGAATTCACCAAAATGAGGAACCTTTAGTCCTGAGGTAATACTCTTTGTTGCCTGCTGTACTTTGAATCTGAGCCATGTTATCTCGGTGACTCAGACCATGAGCCCCTGTGGACAGTGGTGTATCTTTGTATCATGGCTATTTGAGTTCATAAAATAGTACTTAACAAGCAACCAAACTCTTGAGCAATTTATATGTGTGAGAAGAAGGGCAATGGCAGTGGTCCTAAGCTGATGCCATTGTGAACTGGTTCCTTTTCAGTATCTTGGATGTTTGCATGGCCCCATGGCTGGTTTCCCTTGGTACTTTATCCCAGCCCCTCACCTCTTCCTGCTTCTGAAGGATCCGCTCCCACCTGGCAGGAAACAGGGACAGGATCAAGCATGTGTGGGTCCTTCACTGGACACTGCCTTCTGTTCCAGCGTCTGCATCTCTCTGCTCATACGACTTTGCTTTAGTCCCCTCTGCATAGGAATTTCTGAAGGTCTTTATTTAATTTCTTTATTTTCTCCTGGAAATACTTACTGAGGGATCTAACAGCTTCTGTTGTTTTTAGTCTGCATACGTGGAGAAGGTGAAATCATGGTTTGTTTTGATTCCTTAGGGACTGGGTAAATGCACTAAAAGATACATTATGCAAGAAATGGAAAAAGTGGATTTCCTTCTGATTTTTCATGCCAATTGCTTTTGCTGCATTAGTATATGCTGTGCGTGTATGCACAAAATACTTGTTAACATCCTGAGTTTTCAGGAAATATGTTATAAAACATTTACCTTTTTTATTTCTTAAAAATGCTAAACAGTATTTCTCTAAGAGCTAGTAATGAAATGAATTTAGGTACATACACTAGGCAGAATCATAAGAAAGTCAAGGACTTACATTTGGAGCAAGATAAAGGATTTTGGTATTGAGCAAAAAATATAGTCAGCTGTCAATTGTCTAATAGGTTTGTAGATTACCTGCGATAAAAAAGTAGTACATCTGTGAAAAAAGTTGAAATTACCATAAATCTGAAGAATCAGCCCCATTTTTCAAGGCATGCATTTTTTGGAGCTGCACGGAAGCCACCTTATATGTCTGCTTCGGGTGACACTGTCTTATTCCTCCGTGAATAATGAATTGAACGTCTCTCCCTCTTTGTGACAAAGCCCTCTGGGGCAAAGCAGTAGCCGTACAGGTAAGATAGGGGGTCCAGACAGCAGGTTTTGGATTTTCCCCTCCTTAGAGCCAGGACTGGAAAAATGGAGTCATTATTTGAGGACTGGAAGGAAAAGGAGGGAGCAAGTGCTAGGACTGTTATCTCTGCCCATCCTGGTGGGTGGTTTTAATATTTCCAGACAGAGAACTCAGTTAAAAAAACAAACAAACAGAAAATACATACTATTTCAACAATTTGCAAAATTTTGTTGTATTCATCAAGTACTGTCCATCTTTATTCACATTTATAAACTATAATACTTTTTCCTTTTTTCTTTGCCTGTGGGGTGATGTCTTTATGGTAAATGTGTATCTGGAAGTTTTTTTTTTTTTTTTATATTTTAAGTTCTGAGATACATGTGCAGAATGTGCAGGTTTGTTAGCCAGGTATACACGTGCCATGGTGGTTTCCTGCACCCATCAACCTGTCATCTACATTAGGTATTTCTGCTAATGGTATCCCTTTCCTAGTCCCCCAACCCCCTGACAGGCCCCGGTGTGTGATGTTCCCCTCCCTGGGTCCATGTGTTCGCATTGTTCGACTCCCACTTATGAGTGAGAACATGTGGTGTTTGGTTTTCTGTTCCTGTGTTGGTTGCTGAGAATGACGGCTTCCGGCTTCATCCACGTCCCTGCAAAGGACATGAACTTAGCCTTTTTTATGGCTGCATAGCATTCCATGGTGTATATGTGCCACATTTTCTTTATCCAGTCTATCATTTATGGGCATTTGGGTTGGTTCCAAGTCTTTGCTATTGTGAATAGTGCTGCAATAAACATACATGTGTGCATGTGTCTTTATATAGCAGGATGATTTATAATCCTTATATACCCAGTAATGGGATTGCTGGGTCAAATGGTATTTCTGGTTCTAGATCCTTGAGGAATCTCCACACTGTCTTCCACAATGATTGAAGTAATTTACACTCCCACCAACAGGGTAAAAGCGTTCCTGTTTCTCCACATCCTCTTCGGCATCTGTTGTTTCCTGACTTTTTAATGATCGCCAATTCTAACTGGCGTGAGATGGTGTCTCATTGTGGTTTTGATTTGCATTTCTCTAGTGACCAGTGATGATGAACTTGTTTTCATATGTTTGTTGGCTGCATAAATGTCTTCTTTTGAGAAGTGTCTGTTCTTATCCTTTGCCCACTTTTTGATGGGGTTGTTTTTTTCTCGTAAATTTGTTTTAAGTTCCTTGTAGATTCTGGATGTTAGCCCTTTGTCAGATGGATAGATTGCAAAAATTTTCTCCCATTCTGTAGGTTGCCCGTTCACTCTAATGATAGTTTCTTTTGCTGTGCAGAAGTTCTTTAGTTTAATTAGATCCCATTTGTCAATTTTAGCTTTTGTTGCCATTGCTTTTGGTATTTTAGTCATGAAGTCTTTGTCCATGCCTATGTCCTAAATGGTACTGCCTAGGTTTTCTTCCAGGGTTTTTATGGTTTTAGGTCTTACATTTAAGTCTTTAATGCATCTTGAGTTAATTTTTGTATAAGGTGTAAGGAAGGGGTCCTAATTCAGTTTTCTGCATATGGCTAGCAGTTTTCCCAACACAATTTATTAAATAGGGGATCCTTTTCCCATTGCTTGTTTTTGTCAGGTTTGTCAAAGATCAGATGGTTGTAGATGGGTGGCGTTATTTCTGAGGCCTCTGTTCTGTTCCATTGGCCTATATCTCTGTTTTGGTACCAGTACCATGCTGTTTTGGTTCCTGTAGCCTTGTAGTATATAATTTGAAGTCAGGTAGTGCGATGTCTCCACCTTTGTTCTTTTTGCTTAGGATTGTCTTGGCTATATGGACTTTTTTTTGGTTCCATATGAAATTCAAAGTAGTTTTTTCTAATTCTGTGAAGAAAGTCAATGGTAGCTTAATGGGGATAGCACTGAATCTATAAATTACTTTGGGCAGTATGACCATTTTCATGATATCTATTCTTCCTATCCGTGAGCATGGAATGTTTTTCCATTTGTTTGTGTCCTCTCTTATTTCCCTGAGCAATGGTTTGTAGTTCTCCTTGAAGAGGTCCTTCACATCCTTTGTAAGTTGTATTCCTAGGTATTTTATTCTCTTTGTAGCAATTGTGAATGGGAGTTCACTCATGATTTGGCTCTCTGTTTGTCTGTTATTGGTGTATAGGAATGCTTGTGATTTTTGCACATTGATTTTGTATCCTGAGACTTTGCTGAAGCTGCTTATCAGCTTAAGGAAATTTTGGGCTGAGACAGTGGGGTTTTCTAAATATACAATCATGTCATCTGTAAACAGAGACAATTTGACTTCCTGTCTTCCTATTTGAATATGCTTTATTTCTTTATCTTGCCTGATTGCCCTGGCCAGAATTTCCGATACTATGTTGAACAGGAGTGGTGAGAGAGGGCATCTTTGACTTGTGCCAGTTTTCAAAGGAAATGCTTCCAGTTTTTGCCCATTTAGTATGATATTTGCTGTGGGTTTGTCATAAATAGCTCTTATTATTTTGAGATACGTTCCATCAATACCTAGTTTATTGAGAGTTTTTAGCATGAAGGGATGTTGCATTTTATCGAAGGCCTTTTCTGCATCTATTGAGATAATCATGTGGTTTTTGTCATTGGTTCTGTTTATGTGACGGATTGCATTTATTGACTGGCATATGTTGAACCAGCCTTGCATCCCAGGGATGAAGCCGACTTGATTGTGGTGGATAAGCTTTTTGATGTGTTGCTGGATTTGGCTTGCCAGTACTTTATTGAGGATTTTCGCATTGATGTTCATCAGGGAATTGGCCTGAAATTTTCTTTTTTTGTTGTGTCTCTGCCAGGTTTTGGTATCAAGATGATGCTGACCTCATAAAATGAGTTAGGGAAGAGTCCCTCTTTTTCTATTGTTTGGAATAGTTTCAGAAGGAATGGTACCAGCTTCTCTTTGTACCTCTGGTAGAATTCGGCTGTGAATCTGTCTGGTCCTGGGCTTTTTTTGGTTGGTAGGCTATTAATTACTGCCTCAATTTCAGAACTTGTTATTGGTCTATTCAGGGATTCAACTTCTTCCTGGTTTAGTCTTGAGAGGGTGTAAGAGGGTGTATGTGTCCAGGAATTTATCCATTTCTTCTAGATTTTCTAGTTTATTTGTGTAGAGGTGTTTATAGTATTCTCTGATGGTAGCTTGTATTTCTGTGGGATCAGTGGTGATATTCTTTATCATTTTTTATTGTGTCTATTTGATTCTTCTCTCTTTTCTTCTTTATTAGTCTGACTAGCGGTCTATCTATTTTGTTAATCTTTTCCAAAAACCAGCTCCTGGATTCATTGATTTTTTTGAAGGGTTTTTTGTGTCTCTGTCTCCTTCAGTTCTGCTCTGATCTTAGTTATTTCTTGTTTTCTGCTAGCTTTTGAATGTGTTTGCTCTTGCTTCTCTAGTTCTTTTAATTGTGATGTTAGGATGTCAATTTAGATCTTTCCTGCTTTCTCTTGTGGGCATTTAGTGCTATAAATTTCCCTCTAAATACTGTTTTCGCTGTGTCCCAGAGATTCTGGTACGTTGTGTCTTTGTTCTCATTGGTTTCAAATAACTTCTTTATTTCTGCCTTCATTTCATTATTTACCCAGTAGTCATTCAGGAGCAGGTTGTTCAGTTTCCATGTAGTTGTGCAGTTTTGAGTGAGTTTCTTAATCCTGAGTTCTAATTTGATTGCACTGTGATCTGAGAGACTGTTATGATTTCCGTTCTTTTGCATTTGCTGAGGAGTGTTTTACTTCCAATTATGTGGTCAGTTTTAACAGAAGTGTGATGTGGTTCTGAGAAGAATGTATATTCTGTTGATTTGGGGTGGAGAGTTCTGTAGATGTCTATTAGGTCCACTTGGTCCAGAGCTGAGTTCAAATCCTGAATATCCTTGTTAATTTTCTGTCTCGTTGATCTGTCTCATATGACAGTGGAGTGTTAAAGTGTCCCACTGTTATTGTGCGGGAGTCTGAGTCTCTTTGTAGGCCTCTAAGAACTTGCTTTATGAATCTGGGTGCTCCTGTATTGGGTGCATATATATTTAGGATAGTAAGCTCTTCTTGTTGTATTCATCCCTTTACCATTATGTAATGCCCTTCTTTGTCTTTTTTGATCTTTGTTGGTTTAAAGTCTGTTTCATCAGAGACTAGCATTGCAACCCCTGCTTTTTTTTTTCTTTCCATTTGCTTGGTAAATATTCCTCCATCCATTTATTTTGAGCCTATGTCTGTCTTTGCACGTGAGATGGGTCTCCTTACAGCACACTGATGGGTCTTGACTTTTTATTGAATTTGCAAGTTTGTGTCCTTTAATTGGGGCATTTAGCCCGTTTACATTTACGGTTAATATTTTTATGTGTGAATTTGATCCTATCATTGTGATGCTAGCTGGTTATTTTGCCCATTAGTTGATGGAGTTTCTTCACAGAGTCGATAGTCTTTACAATTTGGTATTTTTTTGCGGTGGCTGGTACTGGGTTTTCCTTTCCATATTTAATACTTCCTTCAAGAGCTCTTGTAAGGCAGGCCTGGTGGTGACAGAATCTCTCAGCATTTGCCTGTCTGCAAAGGATTTTATTTCTCCTTCGCTTATGAAACTTAGTTTGGCTGGATATGAAATTCTGGGTTGAAAATTCTTTAAGAATATTGAATATTGGCCTCCACTTTCTTCTGGCTTGTAGAGTTTCTGCAGAGAGATCCGCTGTTAGTCTGATGGACTTCCCTTTGTGGGTAACCCGACCTTTCTCTCTGACTGCCCTTAACATTTTTTCCTTCATTTCAACTTTGGTGAATCTGACAATTACATGTCTTGGGGTTGCTCTTCTCGAGGAGTATCTTTGTGGCATTCTCTGTATTTCCTGAATTTGAATGTTGGCCTGTCTTGGTAGGTTAGGGAAGTTCTCCTGGATGATACCCTGAAGAGTGTTTTCCAACTTGGTTCCATTCTCCTTGTCACTTTCAGGTACACCACACACCAATTAAACGTAGGTTTTGTCTTTTCACATAGTCCCGAATTTCTTGGAGGCTTAGTTTGTTCCTTTTCATTTTTTTTTTCTCTAACCTTCTCTTCATGCTTTATGTCATTAAGCTGATCTTTAGTCTCTGATATCCTTTCTTCTGCTTGATCGATTCAACTATTGATACTTGTGTATGCTTCACGAAGTTCTCATGACGTGTTTTTCAGCTCAATCAGGTCATTTATATTATTCTAGTTAGCAGTTCCTCTAACCTTTTTTCAAGATTCTTAGCTTCCTTGCATTGGGTTAAAAAATGCTCCTTTAGCTTGGAGGAGTTTGTTATTACCCACCTTCTGAAGCCTACTTCTGTCAGTTTGTCAAACTAATTGTCCGTCCAGTTTTGTTCCCTTGCTGGAGAGGAGTTGTGATCCTTTGCAGGAGAAGAGGCATTCTGGTTTTTGGAATTTTCAGCCTTTTTGTGCTGGTTTTTACTCATCTTCATGGATTTATCTACCTTTGGTCTTTGATGTTAGTGACCTTCGGATGGGGTTTTTATGTAGACGTCCTTTTTGTTGATGTTGATGCTATTCCTTTCTGTTTGTTAGTTTTCCTTCTAACAGTCAGGCCCCTCTGCTGGAGTTTGCTGGAGGTCCACTCCAGACGCTGTTTGCCTGGGTATCACCAGTGGAGGTTTCAGAACAGCAGATATTGCTGCCTGATCCTTCCTCTGGAAGCTTCGTCTCAGAGGGGCACCCGCCAGTTGCCAGCCGGAGCTCTCCTGTATGAGGTGTCTGTCGACCCCTGCTTGGAAGTGTCTCCTTGTCAGGAGGCATGCGGGTCAGGGACCCACTTGAGGAGGCAGTCTTTCCCTTAGCAGAGTTCAAATGCTGTGCTGGGAGATCTGCTGCTCTCTTCAGAGCCAGCAGGCGGGAACGTTTAATTCTGCTATAGCTGCGCCCACAGCCACCCCTTCCCCCAGGTGCTCTGTCTCAGGGAGATGGGAGTTTGATCTATAAGCTACTGACTGGGGCTGCTGCCTTTCTTTCAGAGATGCCCAGCCCAGAAAGGAGGAATCTAGAGAGGCAGTCTGGCTACAGCGGCTTTGCTGAGCGAACATCCCTGCGGCTTTGTTTACGCTGTCAGGGGAGAACCGCCTTCTCAAGCCTCAGTAATGGGGGACGCCCCTCCCCCCACCAAGCTCAAGCATCCCAGGTTGACTTCAGACTGCTGTGCTGGCAGCCAGAATTTCAAGCCAATGGATCTTAGCTTGCTGGGCTCCTTGGGAGTGGGATCCACTGAGCTAGACCACTTGGCTCCCTGGCTTCAGCCCCCTTTTGAAGGGAGTGAACGGTTCTGTCTCGCTGGTGTTCCAGGTGCCACTGGTGTATGAAAAAACTCCTGCAGCTAGCTCGGTGTCTGCCCAAATGGCCGCCCAGTTTTGTGCTTAAAACCCAGGGCCCTGGTGGTGTAGGCACCCAAGGGAATCTTCTGGTCTGTAGGTTGCGAAGACCATGGGAAAAGCGTAGTGTCTGTGCTGGAATGCACCATTCCTCACGGCACAGTCCCTCACGGCTTCCCTTGGTTAGGGGAGGGAGTTCCCCAATCCATTGTGCTTCTTGGGTGAGGTGACACCCCACCTGGCTTCTGCTCACCCTCCGTGGGCTGCTCCCACTGTCTAACCAGTCCCAGTGAGATGAGCCGGGTACCTCAGTTGGAAATGCAGAAATCACCTGCCTTCTGCATTGATCCTGTTGGGAGCTGCAGACCAGAGCTGTTCCTATTCGGCCATCTTGCCAGCCTGTGGAGGTTTTAAAAACTATTTTTTAATTGTAGAAAGTAACATATTGAAAAGCATATAAATACGATTTATACTTTGGTGAGTTATTAAAATGTGGATAGATAGTCATTGCCACACAGGTCAGGAAATAGAATATTGCCAGCATCTTGGTGCCATTCTTGCACACCTTCCCAATAGCACATCTTCCTTTCCTCTAAAGCAGGGTTCCCCAAGCCCCGGGCCACAGACCGGTACCAGTCCGTGGCCTGTTAGGAACCAGACCATACAGCAGGAGGTAAGTAGTAGGCCAGTGAGCATCACTGGTTGAGCTCCGCTCCCTGTCAGATCAGTGGCGGCATTAGATTCTCATAGGGGCATGAATCCTCTTGTGAACTGCACATGCAGGGGATCTAGGTTGCACGCTCCATATGAGAATGTGACTAATGCCTGATGATCTGAAGTGGAACAGTTTCTCATCCCACAAACACATCCCCCCCATCCCTGCCCCCGCCCTGGTCCATGAAAAAATTGTCTTCTGCAATGGGAGATGGGTGCACCAGAATCTCACAAGTCACCACTAAAGGACTTACCGTGTAACCAAATACCACCTGTTCCCCCAAAACCTATGGGAATAAAAAATTTTTTAAAAGAGAAATATCTGAAACAGTAATTACTGAGAATTTTCCAAGTTAATGTCAGACACCATACCACTAATACAGGAAGCTTTCTTATTTTGAATGGAAGCCGGAAGAAAAATGCACTTTACCTGTAGAGGAGCAGAACATTCAACTTCTCCTCAGAAACCATGTAAGGAAGAAGAGAGTGGAGTGAAATATTTAAAAATATTGATTTAAAATGTTGAGAGAAACACCTTACATTATTAAGAACATGAGCTCAGATACCTCTAGGGATCTAGATTAAGAGAGCCTTTGAATGACTGAGTTCTACCTGTCAAGACTCAGATTCCCAGCAGGGTCAGATATGCCCAACAGGTGTGATCATCCCACATGTGGCCGATGGCACAGGGTACTTTAATTAACCAGATGCTGGCAGCAGCCATCACCCACACTCCCTGGTCATCACAACTACAGCACCATGTTTTCACCCCTCCCAGCCCCAGAGGTTGTGGAGCAGCATATTGAGGATCAGTGCACTGCATGATTCCTAAAGCTGTTTGCATTTAAAACAATCAGATACATTTCTATTGCTGAGCGAAGGTTGTTTGCCTTTTTTTCTTTTTTAGACAGTCTGGCTGTCTCACACAGGCTGGAGTGTGGAGTGCAGTGGTGCTATCCTAGCTCACAGAGGCCTTGAACTCCTGGGTCCAAGCGATCCTCCTGCTTCAGCCTCTAGAGTAGCTGGGACTATAGGCATCTGCTATTATGCATGGCTAATTAAAAAAAAAAATTTTTTTTTTTTAGAGATGGGGTCTTGGTATGTTGCCCAGGCTGGTCTCAAACTCCTGGCCTCAAGCGATGCTCCTGTGACCGCCTGCCAAATGCTGGGATTACAGGCATGAGCCACTGTTCCAGGCCTGCATTTTTTTTTTTTTTTTTTTGAGACAGAGTCTCGCTCTGTTGCCCAGGCTGGAGTGCAGTGGAGTGATCTCGGCTCACTTACAAGCTGTCTCCCAGGTTCATGCCATTCTCCTGCCTCAGCCTCCTGAGTAGCTGGGACTATAGGCGCCCACCACCACGCCTGGCTAATTTTTTGTATTTTTAGTAGAGATGGGGTTTCGCTGTGTTAGCCAGGATGGTCTCAATCTCCTGACCTCGTGATCCGCCCGTCTCTGCCTCCCAAAGTGCTGGGATTACAGGCGTGAGCCACGGCGCCCAGCCCCGGGCCTGCAATTTTATTTGAATAAAATGTTTGTCTCTTTTATCAAAAAGTTCTTCATTTTACTGGGTTCCCAAATATCTAAACTGATCTGCATCTAGTGCCATATGAAATATATAAGAAATTCATCAGTTTGTTAGTTTCTTCAGTTTCTTTGTTTCTTTTTTTTTTCTTTTTTTTTTTTTTTTTTTTGAATCAGTCTCACTTTGTCTCCCAGGCTGCAGTGCAATGGTGCGGTCTCGGCTCACTGCAACCTCTGCCTCCTGGGCAAGTGATTCTCCTGCCTCTGCCTCCCAAGTAGCTGGGATTACAGGCTCCTGCCACTACGCCCAGCTAATTTTTGTTATTTTCAGTAGAGATGGGGTTTCACCATGTTGGCCAGGCTGGTCTCAAACTCCTGACCTCAGGTGATCTATCCACCTCGGCCTCCCAAAGTTCTGGGATTACAGGTGTGAGCCACTGTGCCCCGCCTCTTCAGTTTGTTTCTTTAAGGACACAGACTTTAGAGCCAGACCCTGGATTCATATTCCACAATCATAGCTCTGCTGTTAACTAGCAGTTACTTCCTTTCAGTTTTTACATAATCTTACTTTGGGCAATTATGTAATCTCTTGGTGCCTCTGTAAAATGGAGATGATAATAGTACCCATTTCATAGTGTTGCTGTAATGATTAAATTAGTATGAATAAAGTATTTAATATATTGCCAAGAGCATAGTGTAAATGTATGCAAGTATAAACTATTATTATATTTATAAAATGAGATATTACTAATTAAATTTCACACAGGCAACATAAAAATACCTTAAAATTTTTTTTGGTGGGGAATTACCTTTTAAAAATTAAATTACTGGCTGGGCACGGTGGCTCATGCCTGTAATCCCAGCACTTTGGGAGGCAGAGGAGGGCGGATCACTTGAGGTCAGGAGGTCGAGACCCGCCTAGCCAACATGGTGAGACCCCGTCTCTACTAAAAATACAAAAATTAGCCGGGCGTGGTTGTGTGTGCCTGTAATCCCAGCTATTTGGGAGGCTGAGGCAGGAGAGTCGCTTGAACCCAGGAGGTGGAGGTTGCAGTGAACCAACATCGCACCACTTAACTCCAGCCTGGGAGATAGAGTGAGACTTCGTCTAAAAAAAAATACATAACATAAAAATAAAATTAAATTACTTCATCTGGAGAAGCGTTTTGCTGTGGCATTTAGCTTAGAACTGTACTATGAGGAATACCGGTGAATTATTCATTCCTTAATTCAGTATTTTTTGAGTGTTTGCCAGGCATATGCTGCATTCTAGGAAGACAGGGAATTTACACACCAGTAGAGGAAGCGGTAACTAAGTGAACGAATAAAGCCCAGGATAATTAACTGGAATCAGCAGAAAGGATTTGTTGTGTGCATGAAGCAGATGAGAGGCATGGGCTGGACCGTGGTGAGCTGGGGAGAGAGGAAATAAGGGCTGTCAGAGACGGTGCTGGAGCCATGTTTTGCAGGGTCTTCAAGACTCCAGCAAGCAGCTGGGAGTATCTACGGGGAGTTTAAGTTTCTTTTCAAGGAAGCGTGAAGAGAGGTTTTACCCAGGGGAATGTGCTGGTCTCATTTACATTTGCTAAAGTTTTTTCTGTCTACTGCATAGAGAATGAATTGGAGACGGGCAGGCCCAGCCTGGCAGTAGACAAGTGCAACACTCCAGGGCTAGGCTGAGGGGTGGCAATGAGGTGGAAGGAAGTGCATGCAGTCAAGTCGGATCACACACATTTATTTTGGTGGTAGACTTGACAGGTGGTGATGATAGCTTGGATGAGGAAGACAATGAGGAGGCATGGACATTATCTAGATTTTTGGCTAAGTGCCATTTTGACAGTTGCATATATTCCCTCTATTATTAAACTTTCTTTTCATTTAGACATGATCCTTCTCAAAACTGTAAATGTTCTAGTGTGTGTGCTGCCCAAGTGAACATGAAGACTGCACATTTTTTAGGTATTTTAAAACTTTCCCGATCTAGATTTTTTTGCACTGCAGCCAAATTGTACAGTCGTTTCAAATTTCTTCTTTAGTAATGGGAACCTCCTTTGTTGATATCTTGGGTATTTAATTGGGAGCATTTTACCTGTTAATTATGGTTGTTGAGGATTTTAAACTCACTTTATTTACCACTAGTCTTTTGAAATTACATTGCTGAATATCCTGCCTGCCCTGGGGAGTGTCAGAGCCTGTGAAGGCCTGCACCTGTTGAGAGGCAGCCTTCCCTCCTCTGCGATTCCTGCTTCTGGCTTCCATGGGTGATGAAGGGTTGTGGGATGGGAGGGGCAGCTGGAGCCGCTGAGCCAGCTCCACCTGAGTCTCACTGTGTAACTCCATTGTTCTTTTTAGCATGGCCTTCAGGGGTAGGAAGTCAGGCTTATGAGATTTTATCTACTGTCACTGGGACTAGTATACCTCCTCAGTAAGTGGAATTTATTATTATTTTACTAAAATATGGTTTCTTCGTGTGAATGAAGTGAGATCAAGCATATAAAGCAATCTTTAGTTAAAAGATTGCTTAAATTGTTACATGTGGAATAAATTATTTTACTTTTTTCTAAGAAATGAAGAGAAACTGGGAAAAAAATTCGTTAGACAGTAATGCATAGAGATTTTTTTACACCTAAATGAGAAGCCAGAAATTCATATAAAACATAAGAACTTCAAAAACATTTCTTAGGCACAGACTATTATTAAACACTCATGGATGTTTTTTATTTTCTATTACATTAAAATACTCAAGTCAACTTCATATTCAGAACATTTAAAAATAGCTCAATCTTAAAAAGAAGATATAAAGTATTATCAGCTGTGCTTTTTGTGCATAATTAGCGTGTGCCTGTGGAGGTATAAAGACTTCTAGCCTAATGATAGTATCATGATAAAAAGTTCAGATGGTAAAAATTGGAGCTCCAGCTGGATGACATATTTTATAACAATTCAAAGATGGCTCCAGCATAGAAGCCATGCTATTTTAGTTCTTTGTAATCCCTCCTTCACCCATCAATGGGTCGTGAAGGCACTGATAAAAGAGCCTTTTAGAAATGCTTCTATTTGTTCCCTTTCTTACAGATTTAATGTGTGCCGACCATTTCCTTCAGTGCTGGACAGGCTGCTGTGAAGGGACATCACCTTTTCGCTTTTTCCAAGATGGCTCAAGATTCAGTAGATCTTTCTTGTGATTATCAGTTTTGGATGCAGAAGCTTTCTGTATGGGATCAGGCTTCCACTTTGGAAACCCAGCAAGACACCTGTCTTCACGTGGCTCAGTTCCAGGAGTTCCTAAGGAAGATGTATGAAGCCTTGAAAGAGATGGTAAGTAGTGGACCAGAATAATGAAATTATTTTCTGACTTCAGGGACTCTACCAGATTTCACCAAGACAGAATGCCACCCAGAATCGGGACTTGTGGTATTGACTGAAGTGCCGATGGATTAGGAAGACAAATTACTCAAGAGCTGGTTTCCTAGTCTCCGATTTATTATATTATTATAATTTCTTCTTGAGTAGCTGTATTGTTACATGACACTTCCTGACCAAGCAAGTTGTTCTTAAATAATCAAGATTTCATGCTTGTTGTCAAGTAGTAAATGGGATTCTTTTGAAGGCCTTTGTGTCCCTTGAATCTTGGAGAATTTGCTACATGCTTAACCCTTCTTCAACCCTCTTGTCAAGTGGGCTGTCCTAAGAGATGATAGATATTAAGATCTCTTCTTATAATACTTTTTATAAATATTAAGATTTTGAGTATCTTTACTATTATATAATTTATTATTTTCAAAATTTAATATATTTTCATTTTGATGTCATGTTTCTTTTATTATGATAGATATTTTTATGATTTAGCACATGTTGTTATATTATGAGCTAGTATTTTGTATTTAATTTCAAAATGAAAAGCAAAATTGTCACTTAACAAAGTGTTCTTGTGTTAAGCTTTTCTTCCCTTAATCAAAGAGTAAATAGGAAATTTGAAGAATAATTTGTATTGATAATATGAGTTCATATGTCTTTAGAAACTATAAGGAAAGATACAGTCTGTGTGAACAACCGATGCTAATTTTTAGAATTGTTTTTTTAATGAGACATACGTAACTTGACCTTTATATGGTCCCAAAAAGTGTAGGACCAGGCTTGATGCTGGGACACATGTGAGAGATGTTTTGCTGCAGTAGCAGAAAGTGCCCATTGTGTCGGCTTACCTGCATGTTATCCTAGTTTGCTTTTATTTTTGAAATTTTATGAAAGGTAACAAGTGGAAAAAGGTCCGGTTGTACAATAGCATGCATGTGTGTTTTTAAATCTTAAGCTGTTTTCTATTTGGTTGATCCTTTTTCTATTTCAGGGTTTAGATTGTTACAGACTATGATGTCATTTGCCATACAGTACTCAAAATAGTAATAAACAGATATATACATTTATGCTTTGGCTGCTTTTATTTCTTTTTACAAGTTCCAGAGTTCTCATCCCTTTAAACCTTCTTCTTTGAAATAGTCTTACTGGAGCTGAGTTCGTAACCTCTCTTATGTTAGAATAAAAAAACCAGGATAAAGATACGGGATTATATAGTTATTAATCACCAATAATGTGTTTTCAACTCTTAAGCAGTCTTTATTATTTTTAAATAAAGTAGCCTTTACTGACTATTAAGTATGAGTAGAATTAATTTTGCAACACAATTGATTTTACCTATGTCATACATCTTAGTTTGGTGACCCCATTTAAGGATGAAGTAAGTTGGTTGGTTGCTTTTTAAACTTTATTTGAATTACTTACCTAAAGATCTTCTCTAATCCTTTTGTGCTTACTTTTAAAAATGGTATACTAAACAAGAAGCATTCACGTTCCCTCAATCTATAATGTCAGTTCAGTATTTCTAAGTTGCATAATGCCTTTACTGACCAAAATTTATTTTTCTTTCACAGGATTCTAATACAGTCATTGAAAGATTCCCCACAATTGGTCAACTGTTGGCAAAAGCTTGTTGGAATCCTTTTATTTTAGCATATGGTAAGAATCAAAAACGTGTCCTCTCAAAATGGCTATTTTAATCTTTGCATTGTTTCACAGAGGCTTACATTATGAACCTTTCTCCTAGTTTTTTTTTTTTAATGGAACAACTTATCAAATGTATTCATTGTTCTATTACAAAGATGGCTTCCTATACTGTTGTCCATGTATGTGTGTGTAGGTTTGTATAGATAAACACACACACACACACACACACACGCGTGCACGCACCCATGCAGATCTTCAGGAAAATAGAGCTCTTCGTATTAGAGGACAGAAACTCCCAGATGATTTAAATATCTACTTTTGCCTGTAATCACTTTCATAACTTCATTTTAAATTCAATATAAAATGGCTATACTAATGATACCGAGTTAATTTTGTTTCACGGTTTCATAACTCACACACTCTTTCCCATGTTGTAAAGTCATTCTTCAGAGTGTGAATCCTGCCGTGACTTTGCCTTTGACATTGGCTGCTTTGACCTTATTTAAGGGTGCCATTTTGGTTTTATCCAAGGTGGAGATGAATGTGGGGGCACTTTGGGGAGGTATTCCTTCACTGAGCTCCTGTCTGCTGTCCAGTCTCATTTCCTGTTTCATCTTTCACAGCTATACCTCATGGTGGTAGCCAGGTCCTATTACTAACAGTGCCTGAAGGCACTTTGTGTCAGGATTCCTTTCACACTCATTCTCCTTTGAAATAGCCTTACTGGCCTGAGGTAGGAGCTGCTGGGAGTGTCTCCATGGCCTCCAGCATCTCCCTTTAATACACTTACTTCACTGTCTGATGCCCTGGGAAGACAGCATGCCTCTCGAGAACAGGAACCATGGTTTTAGTTCTCTTTGTTGTCCTAGGGCCTCCCAAGGAACATGGCTGAGGTTTGCTTTGGATTGACTGTATTATTAGCTAATGTAATATTTACTTTTAAGATTTTTTAAAGTCAAAGACTAATTGCATAATATAATGACATTAGAACCCAAAATAAAATGAATATTCCCCTTTGATGTTTTAAAGAATCATGCAGTTTCCCATTTATAGGTTGTCATAATCATTATTGGAAGAGACGTGAACTAGGCAGGAAAGGGACAATATGTGTGTTTAGCCCTGTGAGCAGGCGTGCGTGGACGCCCACACACTCAGCCTCCCTCACTCTACCCCACCCTCGTATGTCCCTCCTCCTTCCCACTTATACCTCTTCCCCCAACCCCTAAACTTCTTCAAGTTCTTGATTCAAAATGGCAAAACCAGTGAGGCAGCAATGTGTTTGCCCACCAGGACCACGCTTACCTGTCCTAGGTTTATCTATTGCAGTTAGGTCAGTGTTTCTCAGACATCTTTGACCAGAAATACATTATGTATATGCATATGCACGTGGATATGCACACACACAGTGAAACACATCTCATGAAAAAATGCATACAATGGCACCCCCCTTAGACTTTCTGCACTTGCAGTTACTCACAGTATAGTACAATAAGATTTTGAGAGAGATGGAGAGATCACATTTATGTAACTTTTTTTTTTTTTTTTGAGACAGAGTTTTGCTCTTGTCAACCCAGGCTGGAGTGCAATGGCACTATCTCGGCTCACCGCAACCTCTGCCTCCCGGGTTCAAGTGATTCTCCTGCCTCAGCCTCCCAGGTAGCTGGGATTACAGGTGCCTGCCACCACACCCAGCTGATTTTTGCATTTTTAATAGAGATGGGGTTTCACCATGTTGGCCAGGCTGGTCTCAAACTCCTGACCTCAGGCGATTCACCCGCCTCGACCTCCCAAAGTGTTGGGATTACAGGTGTGAGCCACCGTGCCTGGCCTAAGGGTTTAACAATGACAACAATACAATAAATCAACTGTAACAATATAGTGTAGTACATAACTTCTATTACACTATATTGTTACAGTTGATTTATTGTATTGTTGTCATTGTTAATCCCTTGCTATGCCTAGTTTATAAGTTAAACTTTATCATAGGTATGTGTATAGGAGAAAACACTGTATTTAAGGTTTGGTACTATTCTCAGTTTCAGACATCCCCTGAGGGTCTTGGAATATTTCCGCCATTGATAAAGAGGGACTATTGTATTATTATTCTGTGCAGTCCATGTTCACTATGCTGTTCATAGTGAATGGTGTTCATGACCCGAGACTGGATTTCATAACCCTTGATGCTTCTTGACCAGAAGTTTGAAGAACATTGATCTAGGCCAATATCGATGGCAGGAAAAAGGAAAAGAAATTGTTGAATGACCTTCATTTGAAAGCAGTACCCATTGTTAGGGGCTTCATGGATTTATTAATTGCTTTTTAGAAAGAAAGAAATATTACGTCCTTTAAATGTACATCGTGGATGTAATACATCCTCAAGTCAGAAATGTGAGAAACGTGGGGAGGTTTATGATGTCGTGTGAGAGGCATTGCTCACTTTGAGCTGGGCACTGTTCTCTGTGGGCTACATAATGGACCTAATTAATTCTTGATGACAGTGTTGCAGGGTAGATAATTATGGATTAGAGTCAATAAGTCGCTTTCCCTAGAATACAACACTAAGAAGAGCCAGAACCCCACTCCTCATGTGACTTTAAAGTCCACCTTCTGTAATGTTCTGTCCCTATTGGATCACATCTTGTGATCGAAGTGTTCCAGTCTTGGCATTCCCACTAGCCAGCTTCACTTGCACATACATATTAATTCAGCAGGTATTTACCAAGTGTTGGGTTTTTTTTTTTTTTTTTTTTTTTTTTTTTTTTTTTGAGACAAAGTCTTGCTCTGTTGCCTAGGCTGGAGTGCAGTGGCGTGATCTCGGCTCACTGCAACCTTTGCCTCCCAGGTTCAAGGGATTCTCCTGCCTCAGCCTCCTGAGTAGCTGGGACTATAGGCACCCACCACCACATCCAGCTAATTTTTTGTATTCTTACTAGAGATGGGGTTTCACCGTGTTAGCCAGGATGGTCTCAATCTCCTGACCTTGTGATCTGCCTGCCTCGGCCTCCCAAAGTGCTGGGATTACAGGCGTGGGCCACTGCACCCAGCCTACAAAGTGTTTTTTTGTGTGTGCCAGCCCTTAGGAAAACGCGGCTCACTGTCTCTGCCCATTAGGAGCTTCCAGTCAGGGAAAAAGAGATACTTAAGCAGGTCAGCCTGACTCAATGTGATGGTTCTCTGAATGGGAGTAGCAGTTGCTGAGAGGAAGGAGGGTTTCTCAGGAGAGCCCCTGCTGGGGCAAACTTGAAGATGTGATTCTCTAAGACAGGGCATCTGAACTCGTGGGGTCTCATATTTCTTCTTTGTAAAAGTAGGAGTTCAGACTGATTTATTCTGGTGTCCTTGAACTTGTATCTGTCTGTGATCTTTCCTTAGCACCTTATCTGCATTACCTTGGCCCCTCTGACAACCAGAAACAAATTCTCCATCCCTTTCTGTCTCAACGCTTGTATTACCTTTTGAACTGCTCATAAATTTCAGTTTCCTGTTGAGGTATGCCCTGGCTGTGAGCTCACAGAGGTGGCTGAATGGCATGAAACTCCATTAGCAGTCAGATGTTGCCTGTGTCGCCCCTGTTGTTTGACTAGTTGGGCGCTTTCTTCCTGGAAGGGATCTTTTCTTATGGTTTTATAATATCAGAATTGCTTTTTTTTGAGATGGAGTCTCGCTCTTTCACCCAGGCTGGAGTGCAGTGGTGCGATCTCGGCTCACTGCAAGCTCTGCTTCCTAGGTTCACGCCATTCTCCTGCCTCAGCCTACCAAGTAGCTGGGACTACAGGCGCCCGCTACCACGCCCAGCTAATCTGTTTTTTTTTTTTGTATTTTTAGTAGAGATGGGGTTTCACCGTGTTAGCTAGGATGGTCTTGATCTCCTGACCTTGTGATCCGCCCACCTCGGCCTCCCAAAGTGCTGGGATTACAGGTGTGAACCACCACGCCTGGCCCAAAATTGCTTTTTAATTACAGTAAAAGCAAACAATTTTCATCATGGAAAAAAGTAAGTCATATGTAGTGTTCATGGAGAATAGGATCAGAAAAGGGTAATAAGGAAGGAGGGATGATTTGGAAATGAAAAGATACTGAAAAGAGAAGAGACAAAATAGATAATAATGGAAAGTTAGAGAATACCTTTTTATTCGATGATGTCCTCAGCATAAAAATACTGCCTTCACCTTCTGAAATTCTGATCCATTGCTTCTAACTCTGCCCTCACGATTAAGCATGACAGCTGTTACCTCTCTTCTTCACTATTCACTATTCCTGTATAACAAATTTCTGCCAAACTTAGCAGCTTAAAACAGTGAATATTGTCTTAAAAATTTGCTGCCTTCATACTTTTAAACTATAGAATTAAAGTTTAAAGAATTGCTTTAGCTTTTATGTAGAATTTCAATTCCAGATATCAAAAAATAAAATACAAGATGGCAAGTGTATGTTGTTATCTTCCTTTCCTTTCCACTCAGTTTTAGAATCCAAATTTACACTAAGATGGGCTGTCAGTGACTGTCCCTGCAGTGAATCCCAGGCAGTTTCCCATCTCACTTAACATGCCCTGTGGGATGCTCCAGCCTGAGCTCAGGGCCTCCAGGGAGGAGCCTGACAGATGCCAGCCCCTGGAGTGAGTGCTGGTGGCACTTGTGAATAACAGTCCATGGCTCATGTTTGTAAATTGCCTAAGCAAAGCAAACTGTAAGCTCATTAGCAGTGCATTTCAGTGCATTGACTCTGGGCACAGAAAGTCACCTCCTACAGGTTGGGTGGAAGTTTCTCTGGCTCCTTCTCTTTTTTTATTTTTCTCCCAAAAAATAAAATTTTGGGAGAAAAATAAAAAATAATATACCTTTTGAACTAAGTTTGCATAATCACTCAACACCTGGGGAAACTCCCAGTTTTGGGTATTCTTTTAGATTTAAGCTTCATAAACTCATAAACTGACATTTCCTTTCTTTTTTTTTTTTTTTTTTTTTGGTGGTGAATGTCTGGTTTTTGGAAATGCTCTCCATCAGATTACATTCTTTTTAACACCCTGCTGCATGCGTAAGGATGCCATTGGATGCATCTGTCACACTTACTACATGAAGCTAGGTAGAATTTCTTCTAATATTGAAACTATGGGAAGCATAACAGTCACATTTTTAATTAGTGGCATTGGTTAAACCTGAAGAATCCTAGAATCTTTAGTGGTTAAATTATACGACTCTTGAAATGAACTGATCTCAGGCAAGCCAGTGCTTTATAATGCTTTATTTGAGCTCATAAAAGCTAGGGGAAAAAAATGAATGGCCTCAGAATAACCCCTGATAAAGTTTTTTCAGAGATGTTAGTTATTGGAAAAGCATAAGCTATGTATGTTCACAGGGAAAAAAATGGGTTTAAAAATTACTGTTAGCATTATTTAGTTTGTGGATAAAAATACAGAAGTCGCTTACTAGAGTTGGTATTGTTCTTATTTCTTTGTTAATGAAGTCCTTAGAAATGCTGGGTTTTGGCCAGGCACGGTGGCTCATGCCTGTGATCCCAGCACTTTGGGAGGCCATGGCAGGAGGATCACTTGAGCTCAGGAGTCGGAGACCAGCCTGGGCGACATGGTGAGATCCAGTCTCTACAAAAAATACAAAAATTATCCGGGTGTGGTGGCACACACCTGTGGTCCCAGCTACTCAGGAGGCTGAGGTGGGAGAATCGCTGGAGCCCGAGAGGTGGATGTTTCACTGAGCTGAGATCATGCCACTGCACTCCAGCCTGGGTGACAGAGCGAGACCCTGTCTCAAAAAAAAGAGAAAGATTGGGTTTATTAGATTGCAGAAGATGAGGTGGCAGAGAGTACTGATTCCAGGCACCGGCTGTCTTAGCCTCACCTCCATGGCCTTGTAAAGTCTGAAGTTGCTTTGCCCTAGCTCGGGTACTGACATCTTCAGTTTCTAGGCCCCATTTTTGTTTCTTAATTGTGTTATAAAATCATCCGCTGGAATAGACTCAGTCACCACAAAAGGAGAAAGAAAGTAGCTCATCAAGTAGATGTTCCTGCAAAATGTAAGATTTCAAAGTTCAGATTTTCATTGCATGTTTGGTAAAGTTTTATAAAGATTTACATTTTAGAGTAAAAGAGCATGTAAGAGACTTCTATTTTATCCAAAGCACTTGGTACTAGAAATATATTTTAAAACAATCCTTTTTATTAAATTTCTTTTTAACAAGTGGAGCTATTTTGGCAAATTAAAAAATTAAAAGATTAAATCACAAATACTGGCTACCAACTGCCTATAACCATTAAGTTGCCTTAGAAAGGTCGAAATTACTAACCATTTGAAATGTGAAAAAACTGATCATGAAAAAAGCCCAGTTCTCTTAGTTCTTTCCATCATTCTCGTTTGGCTTTAAAAATTGATACTGTTACAGAAAGGAAATTGACCACACAAGAGTTAAGTGATCCCAAGGCCACAAGAAGGACAAAACCCCACAAAGTTAAGTTTAGGGAATTCTGAAGGACAGCTAGGAGAGCAAAGATAGAGTGAGGGAAAATATTCCCATCAGCAGAAAGAGAATGTGCAAAGTATGATGGCGAGAAAGCAAATGTTATATTCAGGGATACTTGTTCTGTGAACTTAGTAGTTTGAGATTTTCCTAAATATAATGTTTACAGTGTTTTTATATTAATGATTTTTTCTGCTTGATAAAACTTATTAAGTTTTCCTTTTTGTAGATGAAAGCCAAAAAATTCTAATATGGTGCTTATGTTGTCTAATTAACAAAGAACCACAGAATTCTGGACAATCAAAACTTAACTCCTGGATACAGGTAAGAGAGTAAATCTTGCTCTGCACTTCTTTGAATTAAATTGATTATTTAAAAGTGCTGCTTAAAAAAATTTTGGGGTGGGGTGGAATCCAGTTCTATGATGTTTTAGAAACTTTTTCAAACATACCCTTCACTGTTACATTATCTTGCTGAGTAAAAAGTTTTTCAAGAGATTTCAATTTTGCTTGACTGTGAATTCCAAAAGATACCAGTCTTTAGGATGAAGACCTAATGTTGAGTGGTTTTGAAAAGTTTCTTTCAGGTGATTAAAATAATGTATTCCATTTCACTCTAGCAATTGCTATCCTTCAAAAAATTGTTTTTCCCTATCAACCTGGTTTAAATTCCTTTCCACATGCTTCCATGCCTCTCTCAAAATCTATTTTGTAGTGAAATGAAAATTCAGCAGTGCGGCGGGAGCAGCACTCTTTATTTTGTGTCCCGAAGTTGGTGCCTGAGCCAGCATATGCACAGACTGGATCTTGGTGCTGCGCAGCCTCTGCTGCTCACTCACACTTTCCAGTTGGCTACCTACTGTGCTAGTCCAGATAGCTGACAGCTTTCTAGATTTCCCTGTCTGCTTCTACTTTCTCCTGAAGGGTAGGCATAAGGTAGAGATGTGGTGAGGCTGGGCTGCAGCTGCCCTCACCAGCAGCGCATTGGCTGTTCTTTTCTGTTCCCCGCACTGCCTTGCTGCAGCAACCCCAGGACTGGCTGATGCCTGTCAGACTCCACTTAGTATGCTTGTGGTTCAGATCAGCTGCTTAGTATTATGAAATCATCCAACCAGATTAGTGCATATGGTTTTGTCTATCAGTCTGACTGGTGATATCGTTACATTCACTGCTTTTTACGATTTCTTTGTTTTAGACAAAATTGCTAACAGATGATGAAGACAGTATTTATATTTTTCTGTTTGAAAGATAGAAGGGAGTGAGAGGGATTGGGCAATGGAAGGAAAGAATACAAACTTTAATTGGAAGGAAAATTAATGTAAGGAACTGAAGAAAGGAACAGATAAGTAGAATTAGGGAAGAAAGAATGTGTAACAAGGCTGAAGAAACAAAATGACATATTTAGTCCTTAATTTTTTTAATTGTTGCTTTTATTATTTGATATTTTAATGAATATTTAGCATATAATTTTGTATTAGATAGCTCATTGAGTCCTGAAGTAGGCCATCTAATGAAGTGTTTTTAGAGTGACTGGATTAACTTTCTTCATTTAACTCATGACTTTATTAGCCTGTTTAAAAATTTCTAGCCTCACATTTTATTGTTTTTCTTGTTTAATACTATATCTACTTACTAGTAGGTACTTATTAAGTATAGTTCAGGGAGTTAAAACACTTAATCTGTGCCTTCGGGGAATTCCCAGACTGGTAACCAGGTCACTCCAGGGCAGCGTGGTTGAGTTATTGCTAAAGCTGTGTTTAGGTGTGACGCTGACGTAGAGGGGGACACTTGCTCTGACAAGGGGGTTTGGAGACATTTCCTGGGGCAGGTGACGTGTTAATTGAATTCTGAAGAACAGCTAGGAGAGCAAGGATAGAGTTAGGGAGAATATTCCTGTCAGCAGAAACAGACTATGCAAAGTATGGTGGTGAGAAAGCAAACGTATTCAGGGAACTGTGGGTACTTAAGTGTGCCTGGAACTTGGGGTTTTGTGGAGTTGGTGATGAAGCATGAAGCCAGAGAGACCAGCAAGCACAGTCCTTGCATATGACTATAGAAGGTTTTTATCTTGATGACAGTGGGGCAGCCACCAGAGTATTTAAAACAGAGAAATCATGCCTGGGCGCGGTGGCTCATGCCCCAGCACTTTGGGAGGCCAGGGTGGGCAGATCATGACGTCAGGAGATCAAAACCATCCTGGCTAACATGGTGAAACCTTGTCTCTACTAAAAATACAAAAAATTAGCCAGGAATGGTGGCACGTGCCTGTACTCTCAGCTACTAGGGAGGCTGAGGCAGGAGAATCGCTTGAACCTGGGAGGCAGAGGTTGCAGTGAGCTGATATCATGCCACTGCACTCCAGCCTGGGTGACAGAGCGAGACTCTGTCTCAAAAAACAAAAAAAAAGAAAAAAGGAAAAAAAAAGCCAGAGATATCATGTAGCCAGTGTGAGTTTTAGAGACTAACAGCAAAAGGAAGTTGGTTGGGAAGAGGGCAAGGATAGACGTTGGAAGCTATTGTAGTGATAAGTTGAGAAATTGCGAGGGCCTCAAAGAAATGGAGAAGGGGGCCCGATTTATAAGATATTAATAAGGCAAATACCCAGAAGGTATAATGGCAGATTAAATGTCGATACACTTAGGCATAGCTGGAAATGTACAGAGAGCAGGTGAATATCCCATTGTCAGGAGAGCAAGCTGATTTGCTGGCAGAGGATTGAAAGTCAGCCACCTGTGGGAATAGTGGAAGCCTTAGGTGAGGTAAGGTCCGCTCCCAGAGAGTGCTGGGGTAGGGGCCCAGGGGAACTAGAGAGAGCCTTGGGGAGACACTGACCTTAAGGGGAAGTGGAAGAATGATTGATGCTACAGAATGTAAGGAGGGGTCCAAGAAGTAGAAGGAGAGAAGCAACGGAGAATGAGTGCTCATTCATATCTAATGCCATACAGCAGTGCTGTCCAGTAGGAATAAAATACATGCTGCATAGATAATGGTAAACTTTCCAGGTGCTGCTTTAAAAAACATAAAAAGAAATAGTTAAAATTAATTTTAAGAAGATATTTCACCTAATTCAGTATATTCCAAATACCATCATTTCAACATTTAATCATTATTAAAGTTATTGAGATTATTTATAATCTTTTTCATGATGTATCTTTGAAATCCACTGTGTATGTTACGCTAACACTTATATCTACGTGTTGTATCTTCATTCAGATGTTAAATTTTCTTTGGAAATTCTTGATCTGTATTTAGATTTTATAAAATGTAGGGTTGAAAAAGTAGATTCACATACCCAAGTTGTTCCGAGGAATTTTATAACTGAATCAAGTATCGGTATTTAAATTAAAATTGAATTAAAATTAAATACAAAGTTCAGTTATTCCCTGGTGCTTACTGCACGGCAGTGCTCTGCAGCCACATGTGGCAGGCGGCCGCCGTGTTGGACAGGGCAGCTGTGGAGCATACAGCAGAAGGATCAAGAAACACTACTTGGATTTAGCCACTGTGAGCAAAGACTCGGTGAGGAGAGGTTTAGTGAGAGGTGGAGGGAAACAGCCAGATTGCTCCAGATTGAGAAATGTTGAAGAGGTGAGGAAGCAGAGATAATAAACTTCACTCTTTCAAGAAACTTGGCAGTAAAGGAGGGAGAACTTTGGCAATGAAGGGGGTGATAGCCAGACTAGGGTGGGGTTGGCTGAATTGAGCAAGTCCCAAACATGCTTTACATTGAGATGAATATGTGGGTAGGGAACAGGTGAGGATATGCGAGGTTGGGAAAACAGTTTCCTTCCTCAGTTACCAAGCAAGCCTGAACTAAATAACATGAACCGATAAAAAGATGTCTAGGAACATATTAATGATTTAACTCTTAACAATTTATTAACATATTAATTATTTAACTCTTAACAACTCTAAAGCTAATTACATTGCCCATCATCAGTCAGTACATACATAATCTCATGTTGGCTGTAAATGCAGCAAGATAGAAGATAGTCTGTAGGTTGGTTTATAAATCAGTTCACATCTCCGGTATACTTGATTTTATCTTGGAGGTGATATTTTCTTCATGGAGGTTTTAGAGTGACATAGTATCTGTTAAAGATGTGTACCTTGACATCCAATATCCTTGTGAAAATTATAAAACAGCCATATTTTAATGTTTGCTAATTCATTCAGCAAGCATTTATTAGGGCCTACCATGTGCTAGGATGTTCTAATTGTGGTAATAAAATCTTGGGTCATTCTGTGTTACTGGAGCATTACAAGTATGATTGAAATACTCTAAATCAAAAACTAAGAATTTCTACAGTAAATTACAAAATTCAGTAAACATTCAAATTAATTAATAAATTTGAAAATGATAGACTGAGTTGTATTTTTAGCACAGAGAAGAAATAATTCTGTTTGACACTTGACATGTTAGCATGTGTTATACTGGAAACACATTGATAAAATGTTTTGGAGTTTTACTGACAACCTTGAATGTGCCATCATAGAGCACCACCTCAACAGCTCTTCTTACAGTTCAGAGACGAAGTTCCGGGACTCTTTCATGTATTTTGGGAATATGTGGTCTTGAAAAATGTAGTTTTACTGGTAAATCCACTGAACAGATACTTTTTGAGCACCTACTGTTTGCCAGGCACAACTATAGAGGCTGAGGATACAGCACTGGACCTAGAAAGACAGTCTGTTCTCAGATGCTACAATAGATGGGGAAGGTTTCCAGGGCCTGCCAAATGTAAGAGGATGCCTGTCTTCTCTGGCAAAACCATACCACTATTATTTTTTGATTCTGATAGAAAGAAAAAAAGACAAAAAAACACAACAGGGTACCAGGAACAGAGATCAAAAGGTGTTGTATTCTATCTGTATTTTCTTTCGAAATGCAATACTAAGCAATATCCAGATAGCGTCTGTCCTCTACTTTCTTCTTTTTTCAAAAAGAAAAAACTTATAAATTAAAAAATCTAACAGACTTACACAAAACATAAATGCCAAGCTTAATAAATTGTGACAGATCCTTGTAATCACCACCCAAGGAAATAGAACAGAACATTGACTGCTCCTGGATGTCCCTGCCCCCCATGTGCCCCTTGTTGCTTTTTTTTTTTTTTTTTTTTTTTTTTGAGGTGGAGTTTCACTCTTGTTGCCCAGGTTGGAGTGCAATGGCGCAATCTTGGCCCACTGCAACCTCCGCCTCCTGGGTTCAAGCAGCTCTCCTGTCTCAGCCTCCCAAGTAGCTCAGATTACAGGCATGCGCCACCACACCCAGCCAATTTTGTATTTTTAGTAGAGATGGGGTTTCTCCATGTTGGTCGGGCTGGTCTCAAACTCCCGACCTCACGTGATCTGCCCACCTCAGCCTCCCAAAGTGCTGGGATTACAGGCGTGAGCCACTGTGCCTGGCCACTTTGTGCCTTATTTAAGAAATTTTTCTGCAGTCCAAGGTCATGAAGATCTTCCATATTATCTTCTAAAAGCCTGTTGGTTTCCTTTTCCTATGTAAGTCTGTGATCCACCTGTAACTTATGGTGTGGTGTAAGGTGGTAAGTAGTCCATTTTCATCTTATTTCCACGTTGATGTCCCATTGCCTGACACCGTTATTGAAAATCATGATCTGTGGTGCTACCTTCGTCATGCATCAGGTTCCTTTGGGTGCATTTCCCACTGATCTGTGGTGCCACCTTCATCATGCATCAGGTGCATTTCCCACTGATCTGTGGTGCCACCTTCATCATGCATCAGGTGCCTTTGGGTGCATTTCCCACTGATCTGTGGTGCCACCTTCATCATGCATCAGGTGCCTTTGGGTGCACAGGTGTGATCCTGCATCTCTCCATTGGTTTTGTTGTTTATTTATGGTATTAATCTTAGTATCAACTTGACTGGACACAAGGTCCTGGTAACATTATTCTGTGTGTTTCTGTGAGGGTGTCTTGGGGTGAGATTAACATTTAAATTAGTTGACTGAGTAAAGCAGATTGCCCATCCTAATACGGGTGGGCCCTATCCAGTCAGTGAGAGACCTGACTAGAAAAGAAGGCTGATGCTCCCGAGTAAGAGAGAAGTCCTCCTGCCTGAAAGCTTTTAAACTGAGACATTGTCCTTTTTCCTGCTTTCACACTCAGACTGAAACGTCACCTCTTCCCGGGTCTAAAGCCTGCTGGCCTTCTGACTGAAACTATACCGGTGACTCTCCTGGTTATCTGGGCATTTGCTCTCTTGTGTCTCTGACTTGCTGGCTACTGTAATGGTGTTAGCTGATTCCTTATAATAAATCCCTGTGTGTGTGTGTGTCTATCTTATTGGTTCAGTTTCTCTGGATAACTGACAAATATACTATATTTATGCCAGTTCCACACTGTCATCATTAATGTGGCCTTGTAAGTATCTTGCTATCCAGGAGGAAGTTCTTCCATCTTGTTCTTCATCAAGACAGCCTTGGCTAATATTGGAACTTAGCATTAACTGTTACATAAATTTTAGGATGTGTGTGTCAGGTTTCACTAAAACACAAAATAACTTGTTGGCATTTTGATTGGCATTGTGATTAGTCAGTTTGGTGAGAATCTCAATGGCCACTATCCTCTAAGGCAAAATTGGTTTTTCTCAGTTTTGTTTACTATTAGCAAATTGAACAGTACCTGGCACGGCATAAATTTTTGAATAAATTAATGAATATATGATATGCATAAATGAATTAAAAGTTGTACAAATTTATTTTTTCAGATAATCTTCCTGATAACTTTGAAACATTTTTGCCAACTTTTAATTAGCATAACCTTTTAATGAGGCTGATGATTCGCTTGCAGAAGTGTCTGTGCTACCATTTCCCAGTTCTCTTAGGTTGCATTCATAGTAGTATTTTTAATCTCTGACTTCTTTGCAGGGATCTTTTGAAGCCAGGTGTCCATCTGATGGTTCCTTTAGTTAGATAGCATAATCAGCAGACCTTCCTTACTGGTCACATGGAGACCATAATGCATATCCTGAGAGGAAGTGGGAACCGGAGGGCTCCTGCCAGCCCTCTGTGAGGTGGAATCCCCACCCTTCCCTCAGGGTCCCACTTGGACTACTTGTGACACATGACCATCTATAACATCTAGACTGGCTAAGGTCGTAGTGTGAGTACATTTGTGAAATATTAATAAAGCTTGATTTCTTCTTACATATAAATATTCTAATGTTGTTTTCACATCTCAGTGGACTATCTTGTGCACTACTTGGAGTACACACCCCAACTTTATTAACCAGTAATAAATTTTGATAAAATCCACATTCTACCTTGGTATATGCAGCTTCTCTTCATCTTTTCTCAACCCTAATATCTCCATTTTCCATTTTTGCATCCACATATCATGAAGGCCACTCCCTGATCTTCCCAGATCCTAGCATCTTGCTGCACTAGCTCCAGACATGCCAAACCTATGCACAGATTTGTACTTGGCAGAAATTTTCTTTCCTCTCCTTGGAATGGTTTTATACCCTTACTAGCCTGGCCTGGCTGAGATATGGAAACCTAGGGAAATAATTATTGTTCAAGTTTGAATGGCAATTTAAAAGGGAAAATAAGATGATTAGTGAAAAATAGCAGAGGCAAGGTGAAATTCAGAGATGAGGCCAGGGATGTTAGCGATTCCTCTTCCACAGCTCCATCTACTATTTTTATTACTTTTAAGTAACAAACACATTACTGATATTTTTTTTCTACCTGCGTTCTATTTGCTTGACTTTCTACAACCTCAGGGTTTTTTTTTTTAAAGATTAATTGATAATTGAATTTTTGTATTTGCCTGTATAGGGGATATTTATTCATTGCTTTTCCAGTATCCATCTCCCCTCCTTTCCCGCCTTCTTAATAGTACCCTGAATTTCCCAGCTGTGCATGATTCATTCTGGGTGAGAGGTATCTTATGTGGCTCCTGGAGTGGGTCCTACCTGGCTTAACCAACACAGCTTCTCTGTTCCTCTGGCCACACTGGTTGGTCAAGATGAGCCCCGTCAAGGCTGATGAGATTCAGGGCTGTAACATTTGTTTGCAAGATTGGGAAGTGGATTGTATCTTTCCTGATGAACATGAATTAAGTAGCACATAATCCCTGAAGTTGCTGTTGGTCATGTGGAACCATGAGATCAGAGCGTCTCTGGAAATGGAGTTAGTCCTGACAAAACATAGCTGAGAAAAACAGCAAGAGAAAACAGGTCATATTCACATTGTGTGGACCCTGGATCAAGTCTTTTCCAGGCATAAATGCTCGAATTTCTTTCCTTTTCTATTTGAGCTGTTTGGTTCAGGATTTTGTTACTAAAAGCCAGGAGTGTTTTGAGATAACATTGTTTGGGGCATAAAAAAACATTTCTTTGAAGGTTTTTGAAACTCAGGGACACATGGACACAATTGCAAGAAAAAAATCTTATTTATTCAAGGATGTTATGAATAAATAGTGAATTTAATAAAGTACTTTCAGTTTCTTAAAAATTGCTCTAATTTGTATTTGTTTTTTCACTGCCATTCATTGTAGAAGATATATGCATTCAATAAGGCATCCTTCTTCCCAGCCTCAGTTAATTTTACTCCTTTGCACAATCCTGAAGTGAGTTCATAATATATGTTTGTCACTGATATGGTTTGGATCTGTGTCCCACCCAAAACTCATGTTGAATTGTAATCTCCAATGTTGAGGGTGAGTGGGGCTTGGTGGGAGGTGATTGTATCATGAGGATGGTTTCTCACAAATGGTTTAGCACCATCCCCCTGGTACTACTAGTTCTTGCGAGGTCTAGTTGTTGAAAAGTGTGTGGCACCTCCCTTGTTTCTCTTGCTGCTGCTCTGGCTGCGTGACATGCCTGCTCCCCCTTCACCTTCCACCATGATTGTAAGTTTCCTGAGGCCTCCCCGGAAGCCAAGCAGATGCTGCAGTGCTTCCTGTACAGCTTGCAGAACCACAAGCCAGTTGAAGCTCTTTTCTTTATAATTACTTCATAAATTATTCATTGCCTCCATTACTCAGTCTCAGGTATTTCTTTATAGCAATGCGAGAATGGACTAACACAGTCAGTCAGCTTATGCTCATTTCCATGGTTGCTGAAATGGCATAGACCCAATAATTGGAGGTCACCACAAGATCTTGGCAAAAGAGAGAGTGGCCTTCAAGTAATACCTTTATTCCATGTTATAACTTACCAAATAATAAATAAGTTTCTTTTTAAAATATCCCTCTCTTTGATTTGCACCCTCATAAGAATTCCTCTTTAGGTTAATCACGAACTCTGTTCTCCACACTTGGAACTTTCAAATATAGGATTGTTGCAGGACTTTTCCCTAGTTCAGCTAAGGACGGGGTTCTTTATCCCATGGCCATGAAAATTCAGGCTTGTAGACAATTTGAATGGTGAGTGAGACTGGGTTTTATTGGGTGAAAAGGAAGAAAATGGGGAGACAGGGGCTCTCGCTAGACCAGAGTCCCTGCTGGAGTGCTTCCCGCCTGCCATTCGAATCCCAGGGTCCTCACAGGAAGAGGAGGGGCCAGGCGCCTCCCTGCTGCAAATGTTGTGAACTTCCTGAGGCTCCACCTCAGTCAGTGGGCAGGCTGGTTGGAGTTTCTCCAGGGACCCCTGTCACCTGGCTGTCTCAGTATGACCTTGATGTATCATTTTTAGGAAACGTGTTTGCAACCACCATTGAAAAAGTAACATAGTTTGGATATTTTATGGACTTGGTTTTTACTTTCTGCAAATATTGCATATAGATCTCAGAAAAGTAAAACAGAAGGAGATAAACTCATGGTCTAAAATAGTATTTGGTATGACAGTGGAATTCAAAGGTTCATACTTGAAATTGAACCTAATGCAAGATCAGACTGGTAAAATGGAGTGAAGTTACAAAAAGAAATCTGATAATGAGAGGTGAAGCCAGCTGGACTTCCTAGGTCAAGTGGGGACATGGAGAACTTTTCTGTCTAGCTAGAGGATTGTAAACGCACCAGTCGGTGCTCTGTATGTAGCTAAAGGATTGTAAACACACCAATCAGCACTCTGTAAAAACAGACCAATGAGCACTCTATGTCTAGCTAAAGGATTGTAAATGCACCAATCAGCACTCTGTAAAAATGGACCAATCAGCACTCTGTAAAATGGACTAATCAGCAGGATGTGGGCGGGACCAAACAAGGGAATAAAAGCTGGCCACCCCAGCCAGCAGCGGCCACCAGCTCACTTGGGTCGCCTTCCACACTGTGGAAGCTTTGTTCTTTCGCTCTTCACAATAAGTCTTGCTGCTGCTCACTCTTTGGGTCCGCACTACCTTTATGAGCTGTAACACTCACTGCGAAGGTCTGCGGCTTCACTCCTGAAGTCAGAGAGACCACGAACCCACCATAAGGAAGAAACTCCAGACACATCTGAACATCTGAAGGAACAAACTCTGGACACACCATCTTTAAGAACTGTAACACTCACTGCGAGAGTCCGCGGCTTCATTCTTGAAGTCAGCGAGACCGAGAACCCACAAGAAGGAATAAATTCCGGACACAATAAGGTTAAATAATTTTGCATTGGAAACTGGTTCTTTATTCATCCATGGGCCAGATGCAGCATAGAAAGCAAGGTATGTGCTTCCAAAGATATCTCACCCCTGAAAGGAACCTTGAGCTCTCGAAACCACTCACTGGTATGAGGAACAGTTAGATTGCACTCCAGGTGGTGGTGTGACTGCACTGCAGCCGCACTACACCGCACGGAACCCTGGCTCCTCAGACAGACCTCTTTCACTAGGCTGGAACTGCTGGGGACGGCACAGGGCTAAGTCTTCATTGTGGCTTTAAAGAAATACCTGCATTGATTTCTGAATGGCAAACTTAAAAAAATTTTTTTTTTACTGAAATAATTAAGGAAGCAACCATTTAAAGAGGATTTGTCAGCTTTTCAGACATTATATTCCGCAGAGTTGGGCCATGTCTTTTTGTTCATGTTCTTTTTTGTTTTGTGTTGTAACTCATAGCAGGCACAAAATAAAAAACTACTGAATGGATAAAATTATTTAAAATTTAATAATTCAGAATTTTTTCCCTTCTCTTTTTCTAAAAGGTAAGACTACCCAGAATTTTGTTTTATTTTGAACTGATCTGTTACAAGATCACTGGAAAGAGCCATGAAAGAATTACAATGTGTGTGTGTGTGTGTGTGTGTGTGTGTGTGTGTACATGTGTGCACACAAGCACTGACAGGTCCTAAGTCCACATCTCCAGGTCGAACCTTTCCCCTGAGCCCCACATTTTCAGCTGCCTGTGTGACATCTCCACTTGGGTGACCATGAGTATCTCAAACTAAACATGTTCCAGATTAATTCCTGATCTTTTCCCCAAAACTTTATTCTCCCTCCAGGCTTCCTTAACTCAGTTAAAAAGCAGCTTCATTCTTCCTGTTTCCTCAGGTCAAAAGCCCTGGCATCATCCTTGGCTGCTCTTACTCTCCCATCTCACCTCAAGTCTATCAATCCATCCAGTCTGTTGATTTTATCTGTGACACGTGTCCAGAATCTGACCACTTCCTACCAGCCTCACTGCTTCTACCCCCATCCACGCCACTGTTGCCCTCTCCAGGAACATTGCAGTATCTTTGTGTGTGCTCTCCTAGAGTCTCAACCAGAAGGATTTTTTTTTTTTTTTTTTTTTGAGAAGGAATCTCACCCTGTCGCTCAGGCTGAAGTGCAGTGGTGTGATCTCAGCTCACTGCAACTTCCACCTCCCGTATTCAAGTGATTCTCCTGCCTCAGCCTCCCAAGTAGCTGGGATTACAGGCGCCTGCCACCACACCCAGCTAATTTTTGCATTTTTAGTAGAAATGGGGTTTTGCCATGTTGGCCAGGCTGGTCTTGAACTCCTGACCTCAGGTGATCCACCTGCCTTGGCCTTCCAAAGTGTTGGGATTACAGGTGTGAGCCATCGTGCCCAGCCAAGAAGGATCTTTTTAAGTGTCTCTGTTCAGGAGCCTCGGGTAGGTTCCTGTCTTATTCAAAGTGAAATGCAAAGTCCATGCTTGGCTCATGAGGCCCTCTGTGACCTGGCTGTGGGGTGTTACTGATTTTCTCTCATATTCTCACTTCTCTCAGCCACAGTGGCCTCCTCACTATTCCCCATGTGTGCCCAGCAACTCCTTCCTGGGGTTTGGGGGTTTAAGCATCTGCCTTCACTGCTCCTCTCCGAGAACAACACTGCTCCTCTGGGTACCATTTGGGTCACTGCTGGATGTCACCTCCTCATGGAGGCCTGCCTCATCATCCTGGGCTAGACCCTCACTCTCTTCGCTTGCACGCGGTCTTAGTGCTCATCAGCTCCTGACATGCTGGGTTTTTTTCTGTCTCCCCATTACCTCCCAACTAAGTTACATGTTCCATGAGTGCAGAGACCTTCTTGTACAGGCTAGGATAGTGCCTGGCACACAGTAAGCGTTCAGTGATTATTTGCTGAATCAGTAAAGAAATGAATAGGAATTTTTGTGGCAAAATGTGGTGGGATGAGGAGAGGGACTTCCACATGGAGAGGAGAGAATGGACAAAGTTGACCATGGCCAAGAAATAGTGATCACTCCAGTTAGGCTGGAGAATGAGGTACCTAGAGGGAGAAGTTAAGGTTAGAAAAATAGTTTGGGACGCATTTTGGAGGACTGTGAGTTTGTTTATAAATTAATGGTGTGAGGCAATAGTGCTGCGAGAGTGTTGTAATGTGGCACCTGTCATGCTCCGCATGCCCCTGCTTCCGCCCTGGCTCCCCTCCCATCTTTTCTTCATCCTCCATCCCTCATTTATTCCACAATTGTATCCTGAGTGCCTACTGTGTACAAGCAGGTGTTGGGGATGGAAAGGTCTTGCCTTTGAGGATCTGGTGATTTTATTGCATTTTACCAAGTGAAGGGGTGGAACAGCATGCAGAAGGCGCTGAGGTAGCCAGAGGGAAGGGAGAGACACTTTGTTGGAGGAGTGCAGAGAGGTTGCAGGGGTGGTTAAGAGGCTTCCAGAGGGGAACAGTTGAGTTTGCAACATGAAGAACAAGGCCCCAAGTGAGCAGAGGCTGAGGGCCTGTATGGTACTAGGAGACCTGAAAGTGATTTGAGGTGTAGGCAGAGAGATAGCTAGAAACGTTCTTCTTGCTAATGATAAGAAGAATGGCCATCTCATTAATCAAATGTTAGGTACTCAAGAAGGTTTAGCTGGGCCTGATCCCAATGGGCCACTTGGCCCGTAGTAAAGAATTCACTTAACTTGGAAGGCAAAACTTTTAATTGAAAGGGTTTAAATGGGGGCTGGGGGACACATATGTAAATATAAATCAGATGGTGGCTTCTTTGTTGAAAATACGTTCAGCACAGTGCAGGAGGGCAGGAATTGGCAGGTTGAGATGTTGGAGAAGTGGGAGTGGAGCAGTGGAGGATAGCGTTAGGTTTTAGGAGACTAATAACACTTCTGTCAGTCGTCTCCTGTCTTAGGAACTAGTTGAGAATAAGATACCAGAGGCAGGCAATTGGACAGTTCCTTTACACCTAAACAGATTCAAGAATGTAGCTTGTGTCTGTGGTTTGGTTGGCTCCTCTGGATTTAGTAGATAAATCCACCAGGCACTGGTGAGCTGAGCCCCCAGAGGCCTACCTGGCTGGGACTGAGCCTGCCTGGCCCAGTATGGTGCAGCAGTAGGCCAGGACGCATCCTTTCTGCAGGCAAGGCAAGTTGGAAAGACAAAGGAAAAAGGACCTATGGCGGGCAGGGCATTTTAAATTTTCTCTCCCGAACTGACCAAGTAGATCATTTCTCTTAGAGAGGAGAGAGAGTGGGTTGAGAGATGATGTCATAGGTCGGGCTCTCAGGAACTCTGACTTTGAGATGGAGATTAGTGTTCAGGGAGTGCTTTGGGGAGGAACAGCTATGGAGTAGAAAGGAAGGAGACAGGACTGTGCAGAGGAAAAAGTTTAGCTGCACTGCAGTCTCCACAGAACCGTCAGCTGTGCCTGTGGGGGTAGAAGCGAGAGACCCCTCAGAGCTTTCCTGTGCTGGGACGGGAGGGCTGGACCTTTGTAGCTCTACATCCATCAGTCCTTGAGATGTGGCCACTATGGGATGGGGGTGTGACCTTGGGCAAAGCAGAGACAGCTGAATATGATATGGTTGTCAAATCACAACATCCTTCACAGATATTGCACTTGTTCCTCCCCTGCTTTGCCCTCCTGGGGAGTGGGTGGACATTCTGTCTTTGGGAACCTGGGCAGTTTATTCTGTCTTCTCTGGGAACCCGGGCAGTTTGTCTTCCTCTAAGAAGGAATGCCGAGGTTTTGTGGTTGAAGATAGACCTTTCCCTGAGAAGTATAAGGGGAAGATGTGGTGGGATCCATGACAGAAGTCACTAGAATGTGCGAAAGGGAGGAGCAGGAGACAGCGCATCCCAGCAGCTGCCCTCACTCCTGTCTGCCGTGTTCCTGGGCAGCTACCCTCACTCCTGTCTGCCGTGTTCCTGGGCAGCTGCCCGGGGAGACGCTGTCTTCTCCTCTGCCTTCCTCACTGCCTTTTGGTGTCCTTTTCCATCCCTAGAGCATAGATCAGGGACTACAATAAAGTTGAATCCTTTTCCTTTTCACCCCCTGTCTATTATTGAATAAAAGTGGCTAGTAACAGGCATCTGAAAAAGAGAAATTGTGGAAAATTTTTTTATACTTTTGTAAGTGTATTTTTCCTGGAGGTTTGGAAACCACAAAAGTTTTCTGTCATACTTTATTAGGGTAGCAGAATTGGTGGTAGGTTCTAAATTCAGCAAGTACATTTAGTAAATCCACAAAATGCCATTGCTTTCTTAAATATCATGGTTTTATTTAGTCTGAAAATTTTTTCTCAGCATTTCATAGTTTTGCAGTGTAAATATGGCATTTAGCATCATTTTACAGGGCTCTGGAAAATGTGGAAATTACTGTTATTCCCATTTTCAGTATTTCAAGTCCATTTGTTGTGATCAGTACTTCATTCCACACATAAGGTCTAATTGTGAATTTTTAAAATGTCTCTATATGTGCATGTTTTGTGGGAGTGGTAGCTGTCTCCTGAGTCATTAATGTGAGTGCACTGAACTTCTTAAACTTCCCATTATGAAAATTTGCCTCCCCTAAAGGGGTAAAATGAGATACCATTTGTATTCCTAGGTAGGTTTTAATTTTGTTTGGAAGTTTTGTTTTATTTTGTTTTTTTCATTTTATTTACATGGAGTTCTGCTTATTATAATTCTAATTGTATCAGATTGTTTCTTAGTGATTTGCCAGTGCTCAGATGGGCCAGATCAAGACATCTATTGCCAATTAGGAACAGGATGTTTATGGTATTTACTGATGTTCTCCGGATGACCTGTTTTATGTTTTCAGTTTGTTTTGTTTTATGATCATGTTGGCTTTTCCATTAAACTATAACTTTAACTGAGTTGGCTTAGTTAGTAAAACATTGACCAGCTCCCCTTCTCTATCCTCCAGGCCCCTTCTGATGCCTCTTCCCCTATTGTGCCCCAGCCTCAGTCTGAAGGGAAGCGAATTTTTAGGTCTCTATGTTCCAGATGTAATCTATATTTCCAAGACATAAGCTCACTGTATTTCAACCTAAATTGCCTGAGTAATGCTCCTTGGAACATTTAGGGATAAATCCCTGTGAAAAGTAAATTTAAACAGTGACGTCTGTAGTGGGAGGTATTTCTTAATGAATAGCCACTAGTGAGGATGTGTGGATGTCTGCACTACACGTGGCTGCCTGATCGCTACATCTGTTTTGAAGTTCAGTGATTTCCCAGACCACATGTTCATTTCTTTAGGGGGCTGACATCCCTCCCAGGATCCAGTCATTGTGAGCTGGTAACTGTAACTGGCTTACTCTTTTTGACCTAGAGATTATTATACTTTGTCTTAGTTTGACTATTGTTCCTATCAGATCTGACAATATTGGAGTTTCTATAAATTAGCAGCATGGCAGAGGAACCAAGTGTATTTAAACCCATAAATCATGATTTCCAGGTCTTTTAAAAGCTGTGTGGTTTGAATAGTACTTTACTCTATGGTAGACATAAAGAGTGGTTATAAAAATTCTGGCTAATCAGGAGGCTTTTGTAGTTCAGCTGAAACTACAAAATAACCTCAGATGCGTCACTCCTTTGGGAATCAGACCATCCAGATTTGTCCTGGCTCTGCCAGTGAGATCTTTTACAAATTACTTACCCTCATTCCTATATATTAAAAAAAAATAACAAATACTATATGATTCCACTTAAATAAGGCACCTAAAGTAGTCAAGTTTATAGAAACAGAAAGTAGAACAAGCTGGGGAGCGGGGGTGATAGGGGAGTTGTTTAATGGATGCAGAGTCTAGGTTTTGCAAGATGAAAAATTTCAGGAGATCTGTTGCACAACAGTGTGAATGATTAAGATGATAAATTTTCTGTTTTTTTTTTTTAACCAATCTTCAAAAGGATGGTATTACTGTTAACTGAATGCTTGGTATGTGTTATGCATGCATTATCTTGTTAACTATTCACAACTCCATGAAGGTAGATATTGTCACCGTGTTTATAGGTGAGAGAACTTAAATGGAGTTTACTAGCTAGGAAGTGGCAGACCATGTTGGGCCTAGATGTGTCCGTAAAGCCACTTGAAAAATGTGTTGCCACCAGCACACTTAAAGGCAGGCTCACTCTCGGGCTTTTTAGCTCTAGAATCTGTGATTCTATGATTCTGAGACACGCCAGGGACTTTGCAAAGACCCATCAAGTAGGAACAAAGTTTAAATGTTTATGTGTTCAGAGACCACTTCTCTACTATTTTTAGTGAATACAAACTGCCATATTATATGTAATCTGTGGTACATCAGCAGCACCAAATGCTGGTTTGTGAGAGGGTGAGATGTTACTGAAATGTGAGAAAAGTTAAGGTGTAAATAGTAATTACTTCTTTTTTTTGTTCGTTTGTCTGTTTGTTTTCCTTGAGACGGAGTTTCACTCTTGTTGCCCAGGCTGGAGTGCAACGGCACGATCTTGGCTCACCACCACTTCTGCCTCCCGGGTTCAAGCAATTCTCATGCCTCAGCCTCCCGAGTAGCTGGGATTACAGGCATGTGCCACCACACCTGGGTAATTTTTGTATTGTCAGTAGAGACGGGGTTTCTCCATGTTGGTCAGGCTGGTCTCGAACTCCCGACCTCAGGTGATCCACCCGCCTTGGCCTCCCAAAGTGCTGGGATTACAGGTGTGAGCCACTGTACCCTGCTAATAGTAATTACTTCTATGGAATGGTTTGGTGAAGACTGAGAAGAACCTCACCTATTCATTATATTTTTCGACTTTTTGAGTTTGTAATAATTAGCTTGTATTACTTATGTTATAGGTTGAATTTGTGCCCCCAAATTCATATGTTGAAGTACTAACCCCCAATACCTCAGAATGTGGCCTTACTTGGAAACAGGGAATTGCAGAAGCGATTAGTTAAGATGAAGTCATACTGGATTAAGGTGGACCCTAATCAACATGACTCTTGTCTTTATAAAGAGGGGAAATTTAGACGTAGACATGCACACAGGGAGAATGCTATGTGGAGATGAAGAAAGAGCTCAGCTGATGCTTCTGCAAACCAAGGAATACCAAAGACTGCCAGGAAGCCCCAGAAGTGTAGGGAGAGGCATTTCCTCACAGCCCTCACAAGGTATCAGCCCTTAGGACACCTTGCTGTCAGAATTCTAGTATCAAGACTGTGAGACAAATTTCTGTGGTTTAAGCCACTCAACTTGTGGTACTTTGTCACAGCAGCTCTAGCAAACTAGTACAATTTCTAAAATAAAAAGGTTTTTATTACATACAAAAAAATGTTAACCATGGTTACTGATAGTTTATCCAAAGCAGTGTTGAAATTAAGAAATGATCTTTATATGTGAAGATGTTTATTGTAATATTTTTTATAATCAGAAAAAATGAGAATCCAAATATCTAGGCATTGGTGAATAACCAGGTATAACAAATTATAGCATAACTACTTGATGAAATATTGTATGGTCATTTTGTATAGCCTTTGAAATGTGAAAAATGCATATAACATAAATAAGCTGGATGAAAATTTTTTATACAAAATGATAACAGTTGTATGAAATATATATGCATCAGACTGAAATTGGAAGGAAACACAGAAAATGAAAAAGCTTTGTTAGGATTATGGAATCATAAGTGGGCTTTTTTCTTTTAATCTTTTAATTTGTTGCTTTTATTACATAGAATTGTGGCAATGTATTATTGTGTTATATTATTTTTTAAAAATCAACTTTATTGAGGAACATTTTACGTGCGATCAAATGCACTCTTAAAGTGTATAATTTGATAGTTTTGACACATGTATACCTCTTTATAACCACCGCCACAATCAAGAAACAAAACATGTTCATCACCCCAGAAAGTTCTCTCTTGCCCTTTTATAGTCAGTCCTTCTCCCAACTCTGGTCTCAGTTAGCCACTGATCTGCTTTCTGTCACCATAGATGAACTTTTTCTTTTCTATAATTTCATATAAACATAATAATATAGTATATACTCTGTGTCTGGCATCCTTCATTCGGCATAATGTTTCTGAGATTTATCCATGTTCTAGCTTATATGTAGCTGATTACTTTTTATTGTTCAGAATGTTCCAATGGTATGTTGTATCCATATACCAGTTTGTTTATCTGTTCATTTGTTGATAGCAATTTGGATTGTTTCTAGTTTTTGGCTATGAGTAAGTTGCTATGAACAATTTTTTTTTTTTTTTTTTTTTTTTTGAGATGGGGCCTTGCTCTGCTGCTCAGGCTGGACTTAAACATCTGGGCTCAAGTAATGCTCTCACCTCAGCCTCCCAGGTAGCTGGGACTATAGACATGTGCTCCTAGGCCCAGTTTGAACATTTTTTGTAAAAGTTTTATATAGTCATACATTTTCATTTCCCTTGGATAAATGCCTAGGATTGGAATTGCTGGATTGTGTGATAGTATGTGTTTAATATTATAAGAAACTGCCAAATGGTTTACATTCTCACCACCAACCTATGAGAGTTCCAGTAGCTGTACATGTTCACCAACACCTCACATTATCAGTCTGTTTTTATCTTAGTCGTCCTCATGGATGTATAGCAGTCTCTCAAAGTGGTTTTGGTATGAATTTCCCTGATGATTTGACACTGATCATCTTTTCATGTGATTCTATCTTCTTTTGTGAAGTGTCTATTAAAATATTTTGCCCATTAAAAAATATTTATCTTCTTCTTAAGGTGTGTAAGACTACCCTTTATATTCCAGATACTGTTCCTTTGTCAAAGATATGTATTCAGAGAACATATCCACTCAGTTGTGGCTTGCCTTTTCATTTTCTTAATTGTATACTCAAAAGTGCATATGTTTTAAATTTTTACTTTAAATTTAAAAATTTTCCTGATTTGTCATTTTGTTCTGTTATAATTCATGCATTTTTTTCTATTATAATTCATGCTTTTTATACCTAAAAAATTTTTGCCTATGTCAAGTTTATGAAGATTTTCTCCTGTGTTTTCTTCCAAAAGTTTTATGTGTTACTTTTTACATTTAGATATGTGATCTATTTTAAGTTAACTTTTCTAGACAGTTATGAGGTGGGAGTAGAGGGTCTAGATTTCCATTTGTTCTCTGTTTTCTTGTTTTAGCTCGTTGAACATAATTTCAGACAGATTTTGTGTGTGGCTTTTTGTTTTTGTTTTTGTTTTTTTCAGATGCTCTGTCGCCAGGCTGGAGTGCAGTGGCGCAATCTCAGCTCCCGGGTTCAAGCGATTCCCCTGCCTCAGCCTTCCGGAGTAGCTGGGACTACAGGTGCATGCCACCATGCCTGGCTAATTTTTTGTATTTTTTAGTAGAAACGGGATTTCACCATGTTGGCCAGGGTGGTCTCGATCTCTTGACCTCGTGATCTGCCCGCCTCAGCCTCCCAAAGTGCTGGGATTACAGGAATGAGCCACCACGCCCGGCCCAGACAGTTTTTTAAAAGTCTTTGTCTAGTAAGTTCAAACCTGTATTTCTTTTATTTATTTATTTATTTATTATTATTTTTTATTATGCCTTAAGTTCTAGGGTACATGTGCACAGCGTGCAGGTTTGTTACATATGTATACATGTGCCATGTTGGTGTGCTGCACCCATTAACTCGTCATTTACATTAGGTATTTCTCCTAATGCTATCCCTCCCCTCTCCCCCTACCCCATGACAGGCCCCGGTGTGTGATGTTCCCCACCCTGTGTCCAAGTGTTCTCATTGTTCAATTCCCACCTATGAGTGAGAACATGCGATGTTTGGTTTTCTGTCCTTGTGGTAGCTTGCTCAGAATGATGGTTTCCAGCTTCATCCATGTCCCTACAAAGGACATGAACACATCCTTTTGTATGGCTGCATAGTATTCCATGCTGTATATGTGCCACATTTTCTTAATCCAGTCTATCATTGTTGGACATTTGGGTTGGTTCCAAGTCTTTGCTATTGTGAATAGTGCTGCGGTAAACATACGTGTGCATGTGTCTTTATAACAGCATGATTTATAATCCTTTGGGTGTATACCCAGTAATGGGATGGCTAGGTCAAATGGTATTTCTAGTTCTAGATCCTTGAGGAATTGCCATACTATCTTCCACAATGGTTGAACTTGTTTATACTCCCACCAACAGTGTAAAAGTGTTCCTATTTCTCCACATCCTCTCCAGCACCTGTTGTTTCCTGACTTTTTAATGATTGCCATTCTAACTGGTGTGAGATGGTATCTCATTGTGGTTTTGATTTGCATTTCTCTGATGACCAGTGATGACGAGCATTTTTTCCTGTGTCTGTTGGCTGCATAAATGTGTTCTTTTGAGAAGTGTCTATTCATATCCTTTGCCCACTTTTTGATGGGGTTGTTTGATTTTTTTCTTGTAAATTTGTTTAAGTTCTTTGTAGATTCTGGATATTAGCCCTTTGTCAGATGGCTAGATTGCAAAAATTTTCTCCCATTCTGTAGGTTGCCTGTTCACTCTGATGGTAGTTTCTTTTGCTTGTGCACAAGCTCTTTAGTTTAATTAGATCCCATTTGTCTATTTTGGCTTTTGTTGCCATTGCTTTTGGTGTTTTAGTCATGAAGTCCTTGTCCATGCCTAGATCCTGAATGGTACGCCTAGGTTTTCTTCTAGGGTTTTTATGGTTTTAGGTCTAACATTTAAGCTTTTAATACATCTTGAATTAATTTTTGTATAAGGTGTAAGGGAGGAATCCAGTTTCAGCTTTCTACATATGGCTAGCCAGTTTTCCCAGCACCATTTATTGAATAGGGAATCCTTTCCCCATTTCTTGTTTTTGTCAGGTCAAACCTGTATTTCTTTAGGGTTGTTTCTAGAAATTTATATCGTTCCTTTGAAGGGGCCATGTTTCCCTGTGTCTTTGTGTGTCTTGTGATATTTTGTTGACAACTGGTGATTTGAAAAAAAACAGCCAATTCTCTCAATTTTTGCAGACTGGCTCCATGTGGGGAAAGACCTTCAGTAGTTAGCCCAGTGTAAAGGCCTAAGGTCTTACACTTTTTTGGCATATACATCTTCCTTGGATTTGTCTGTCTGGTTTTTTGTTTTTTTCCAATTCCGCTGTATACATGGCTGCTGTTACATGTATTAATTTCTCTAAGAGCCTTACTCCTGCTGCTTCACAGAGACTCAGCTGTTCTGCTGTTTTTCTCTGCCCATAATCTCTTGCCCACAGGTGACTGCAGTTTCCTGCAGTTTTCATGCACTACAGAACTTGCCACTACCTTCTGCAGCCTTCAACCTGAGATCCAAAGTGTCCCAGCATTCCCATCCGAACTCTGAGTCAGGCAATGAAGAACCAGTCCCTTGGGCAGCCCGCAGACATACTTTTCTCTGTAATGAGGGAGAAAACTAGGAATTGGGTCTCTTTGTCTCTCCCATGCTATGCCAGGGAAAGGCTAGGGCAAGTGCAAGCAAGCACAGCATGACATTTCCTATCGTTTTCAGTGTGGCTTTTTCTTGATTGGGTGTTTGCTTGGTTGCTGCATATCCTTGACCTGTTTCCACAGCTTCCACAAAACCATTTTAATCAGCATGTAGTTGTTTGTTTGATGTTTCCATGGATGAACGGAGAGGGCCATCCTAGTCTGCCATCTAGCTAACATCACCCTATCAAATGCTGACTATTTTTAAATGTTTTTTCTGCATCTATTGAGATGATCATATAGTTTTTCTTCTTTATACTATTCTAGTATGGAGAATGCAGTCACTGATTTTTAATGTTAAACCTACTTTTCATTACTGGGATGGTCCCCATTTAGTCATGTAATGTTATCTTTTTAATATATTGCTGCTATATGCTAAAATGTTAAGGGTTTTTATGTCTATGTTCATGAGAAATATTGATCTGTTGTTTTCTTACAGTGTCTTTGTTTCGACATCAGGGTAATTCACTCTTATTATTATTTTTTTGAGACAGGGTCTCCTTCTGTTGCGCAGGCTGGAGTGCAGTGGCCAATCATAGCTCACTGCAGCCTTGACCTCCTGGGCTCAAGCAGTCCTCCCACCTCAGCCTACTGTGTAGCTAGGACTACAGGCATGTACCTCTGCAGCTGGCTAATTTTGAAATTTTTTATGGCAACGAGGTTTTCCTGTGTTGCCCAGGCTAGTCTCGAACTCCTAGTCTCAAGCGATTCTCCCACCTTAGCCTCCCAAAGTGCTAGGATAACAGGCATGGGCCACCACACTCGGCCTGCCCTTATTTTTCTTCCTTAAATGTTTAATTGAAGTCACTAGTGAAACTTTATGGTCCTCAGATTTTCTTTGGGGGAAGTTTTTAAATTGCAGGTTCCTTATTTTTAAAATAGGTAGTTTCTATTCAGGTTCTCTGTTTCTTCTTGAGTCGGTTTTAATAATTTTTGTCATTTAAAGAATTACCTATTCCATCTTTGTTGTCAAGTTTATTGATATAACATCCTTTAATAATGCTTTTAGTATCTGTAGGATATGTAATGATGTCTTCTCTTTTATTTCTGACATTGGAATTTGTGTCTTCTCCCTTTTTTCTCCCCCATGAACTGAGCAACGGTTTAACAAATTAAATTTTTTTAAATAGCCAGGTTTTGGGTTTATTGATTTTATCTATTGTTTGTGATGTCTTTGATTTTTGCTCTTTATGATTTTCTTTCTTCTACTTACTTTATATTTAATTTGATCTTTCTTACCCTAGCTCTTAAGCTGGTGACAAATACTTGCTCAGAGACCTTTCTTTATTTACACCATGAGACTTAAAGCTATAAATTTCCCTCAGTCGCTGCTTTATGTGCATCCACTGAATTTTGATACATTGTGTTTTTATTTAAATTTAGTTAAAAAAAATTTACTAATTTTCCTTGTGATTTCTTTTTTTGACCATTGGTTATTTAGAAATGTGTTTTTTGTTTGTTTTTTTTTTGAGATGGAGTCTCACCGTCACCCAGGCTGGAGTGCAGTGGCACAATCTGGCTCACTGCAACCTCTGCCTCCTGGGTTCATGCCATTCTCCTGCCTCAGCCTCCCGAGTAGCTGGGACCACAGGCGCCCACCACCACACCCGGCTAATGTTTTGTATTTTTGGTAGAGATGGTGTTTCACCATGTTACGCAGGATGGTCTCGATCTCCTGACCTCATGATCCACCCACCTCGGCCTCCCAAAGTGCTGGGATTACAGGTGTGAGCCCCCAGGCCCGGCCTAGAAATGTGTTTTTAAATTAACAAATATTTGAGGCTTTTCCACATATCTTTCTGTTACTGATGTATAATTTAATTTTGTTGTGTCTGATTATATATTTGTATTATTTCAGTCTTCTCAAATTCACTGAGAATTGTTTTATGGTTCTGAATTTGGTTTGTTTCAGTAATTGTTCCATGTAAACTTCAAAATAATGTTGGGTGGAATATTTTCTAAATGTCAGTTGGGTTAAGATGGTTGATAATTATCGAAGACTGTGGCCGGTCTGAGATTTTTTTTTCCTTCCTTTTTGGAAGGTAACAAGTTAGACTGCCACTGTTTCATGCATGCTGGCTGAAGACATAGGACTTCTGGGTCAGAGACAAAGGATTTTATAATCACAGCACAGCAAGCCACAAGAGTTTGGTGTTTGTATCTGCTCCTCTGGTCCCAGAAGACCTATGGGAGAGATGCAGAGAGTCCTAGATAAATACTGTGCACATGTGGGTTTGTGTCACAGCTGAGGAACCTACAGCTTGTATTGCTCAAATCTTTTATAATAGGCTGCAAACAAACTTCCTTTTTCGTGGAGGAAGACATTATTCTTATTGTTGGACAGTTAGCAAACCTGTCCCATTTCTTCTGAATGAGACCCTGTCTCTTTTCCAAAGGGGTTGGCTGTACAAATATCATTGAAAATATAGTCTGGAGCAAAAGCAGAAATGCAGCAGACCCATGGAGAATTGTCTACCAATAATAGTGTTGTTCAGGTCCCTATAGTCTTCTGATTTTCTGTCTATTTTTATCAATCTCCTAAGAGATGATGTTGAAGCCTCCAATTATGAGTTATTAATTGCTATTTTCAATTCTGTCATTTTTTGTTTCATTTATTTCTAAGCTCTGTAACTGTGTATAAACACATTTAGAATTGTTACATCTTCTTGATGAATTGACCCTTTTATCATTGTGAAATCTTTCTTTTTTCCTGGTAATACTTTTTGTTTTTAAGTCTGCTTTGTCTGACATTAAAACAACAGTAACAACAATAACAGTTTTCTTTTGATTACTGTTTGCATGGTACATCCTTTTACTTTTAACTTACTTGTGTCTTTAAAGTGGGTTTTTCATAGGTAGCGTATAGTTTTTGGTTTTATCTAATGTGACACCTGCTGCTTTTTCATCTAATATTTAAAACATTTCTATGTAATATAATTATTGATATGGCTGGTTTAAATCTTTAATAATAGTTGCTGTTGTTAAGTAACAAGCCATTCCAAAGTTAGTGAATAAAATAATAATCCTTTTAATGCCTTTTTAGATTCTGGGTTAGGAACTCCACTACACAATGTAATTGGCCTCCACTGGGAAGACTTGAATGCTGGCAGGATTCAGCATCTGGGGCTGGAGTCACCTCCGTGCTTACTCCCTAGTTTTCCTGACGTTAGTTGATACCGACTGTCAGCTGGTTCCTCAAATGAGGCTGTCATCTGGAACCCATGGCCTCTACGTGGGGCTTCTTGGCTTCCTAACAGCATAATGGCTGGGTTTCATGAGAGTGTCCCCAAGAGAACCAGGCAGAAGCTACATAGCCTTTTGTAACCTATCCTCAGAAATCACAGAGTTATACTGTACTCTCTTAGCAGGAGCAGTCATACTACCCCACTCAGATTCAAGGGAAGGGATCTGAAACCCCACCTTTCGGGGGGAGGAGTATCAAAGATCTTTAACACCAGACTTCAAAACTGCCACATCAAGCACCTTGCTATTTGTTTTCTATTTTTGTCATCTGTTCTTTGTTCTTTCCTCCTCTTTCCCATCCTCCTCACTCTCTCTCCCTATCTCCCTCTCTCCATCTCCCTCTCCTCCTCTCCTACCACCTTCTTCCCTCACTTTCTTGTTTCTCCTTACCTCTTCAGAGACCGTATAAACTGCTCTCTGCTCCCCTAAGAGAGGCTCTTGTTTTTAGGAATTTAATTCTTTTACATTTCTTTGCATCCTCAGATGCAAAGTGGTTTACCCATTTTATCTAGTTATTACTGCAGAAGCAGTGATCTGTATCCGAACTGTAAGAGATATCTTTGTCTTTGAACTGGTAAGTTTACACCATTTAATTTTTTAAAATTACTGCTAGTTTGGAACTCTTTTTTATAACTAAATTTATTACTTCAATTTGACCTATTTTTAATGTTTCTTTTAAACTTTTTATCATATATTTTTGTGGTAAAATGCATATAAAATTTATTATCTTAACCATTTTTAAGTATATAGTTCAGTGGTATTAAGTACATTCATATTGTTATGCAGCTATTACTACCATCCATCCTCAGAACTCTTTTCATATTGTGAAACAGTACCCATTCAACAGTAATTCTCCATTTCCTCTGCCCCGGCACCACCATTCTACATTCTCTCTCTGTGATTTTTGACTACTCTAAGTACCTCATATAAGCGGAGTCATACGTTTGTCTTTCTGTGTCTGACTTACTCCACTAAGCATAATGCCATCAAGGTTCATCCATGTTCTAACGTAAGTCAGAATTTCCTTCCTTTTTAGGACTGAGTAAAATTCCATTGCATGAAGAGACTGCATTTTGCTTATCCATTCGTCTGTCAGTGGACACTTGGGTTGCCTCTACAGTTTAGTTGTTTGTGGATAATGCTGGTGGGAACATGGGTGTACAAATATCTCTTCAGGATCCTGCTTTCAGTTCTTTTAAGTATAAACCCAGAAGTGGAATTGCTGGATCATCTGGTAATTCTATTTTTAATTTTTTATATATTATTATTATTTTTAGAGACAAGGTCTTGCTGTGTTTCCCAGGCTAGAGTGCAGTAATGTGATCATGGCTCACTGTAGTCTCAAACTCCTGGGCTCAACCGATCTTCCAACCCCAGCCTCTTCAGTAGCTGGGACTACAGGCATGCACCATCATGCTCAGCTAATTTTCCAAATATGTTTTTTGTAGAAATAGAGTCTTGCTTTGTTCCCCAGGCTGTTCTCAACTCATGGCTTTAAGCAGTCCTCCTGCCTCGGCCTCCCACAGTGCTGGGGTTACCAGTGTGAGCCACCACACCTGGCCCATTTTCTGTTTTTTTCATAGTAGCTATCTTAATGGGTGTAACATAGTATCACATTGTAATAGTTTTGAGTTGCATTTTTCTAATGATTAATGGTGTTGAACATCTTTTCATGTGCTTGTTAGCTATTTGTATGTCATGTTTGGAGAAATGCCTGTTCAGTCCATCTGTTTTTCAGTTGTGTTGTTTGGTTTTTATTGTTGAGTTTTAGTTCTTTATACATTCCAGGTATTAATCCCTTATCCTGGTATATGATTTGCAAATATTTTCTCCCATTCTGTGGGTTGCCTATTTACTGTATCTGTAGTGTCTTTTGAAAGTTTTAAATTTCGACTATTTGATTTGCCTGTTTTTTTCTTTTGTTGTCCGTGCCTTTGGTGTCACATCCAAGAAATCATTGCCAAATCTGTTGTCATAAAGCTTTGCCCTATCTTTTCTTCTAAGAATTTTATAGTTTTAGGTCTTAAATGTAAGCCATGGATGCATTTTGAGTTAATATTTGTATATGGGGCTAGGTAAGGGTACACAGTTGCATTATTTTCCATATGGATAGTCAGAATTTCCCACCATCATTTGTTGCAAAGGCTGTCTTTTCCCCATTGAATGATCTTGGCACCCTTGTTGAAAATCATTCAACCAGATATGCAGGGATTTATTATTGGACTCTGTATTCTATTCTACTGATCTGTATGTCTGTCTTTCTGCCTGGACCACACTGTTTTTTATTACTGTAGCTTTTTAGTAAGTTTTGAAATCAGGAAGTGTGAGCCTTCTAGCTTAGTTCTTCTTAGGGACTGTTTTGGCTATTCTAACTCTTTTGATTGATGGTTTTTACTGTTTCCTTTCATCTCTACTTTTTGCTTATTAGGCATATCTTTTTATCTCTTACTGGCTGCTCTAGGGCAGCAGTGTCCTATAGAAATATAATGTGAGCCACAATTGTGACCCCCATATTTCCCATTAGCAACATTGAAAAACTCAAAAGAAAGAAATGAAATTAATTATAAAAATATTTTATTTAACCCAGTATAATGAAAATATCATTGCAACATGTAGTCGAAATAAACAGAATGAGATACTTTGTTCTCCTTCTCATACTAAATCTTTGAAATTCAGTGTGTAACTTGTAGCTTATCTCAGTTCAGACAAGCCACATTTGAAGCTTTCATTTGCCCATGTGGTCAGTGGCTACTGTGTTGGGAAGCACAGCTCTAGGATTTATAATATTCATATTTTGCATAATACATGACTACAAATATTACTTGAAAATAGAGTGCATAACATATGTGTATACTATTAGAACCTCATCACAGTCTACAGCCACATCTCCTCTCCCTTCTGTTTATCGTGGTGGTACATTTACTTCTAAACATTTTATAAACCCACAGTATATTATTAGTTTTAAACAAAATTACTGTTTTAAGAACATTGACAAGTAAGGAAAAAATCTTTTCTGTTTACCCACAGATTCTCCCTTTTCAGCACTCTCCCTTTCTTCCTGCAGATACACATTTCCATGTGATGTCACTTTCCTTCCTCTTGAGTTTCTCTTACCATTGCTTGGAGTGCATGTCTGCTGCTGACAAATTTTCTCAGCTTTGGTTTCTCGGAAAGAGGCCTTATTTCACCTTCATTTTTGCATGATAGATTTCTAATTCGACAGGTTTTTTTCTTTGCTATTTGGTACTTTAAAGAGGTAATTCCATTCACCTCTGTCTTGCATAGTTTCTGAGAAGGCTGTTGTCATTTTTATCTTTGTTCATCTGTATCTTTTTCTACTTAGGCTGCTTTTAAGAATTTTTTCTTTATCATAGATTTTCAGAAGATTGATTATGATGTATCATGGTATGGTTTTCTTTGTGTTCATCCTAGCTGGAGTCTTTCGAGATTCCTCTATTTGTGCATTTATAGTTTTCATCAGATTTGGAAAAAATTTAGTTATCATTCCTTTAAGTGCTTATTCTGTCCTGTACCCCCTTTCCTAGGACTTGAATTCTATCAGTGTTAACCTACGTGAGATTTTCCCAAAGATCATTGAGGTTCTTGTCATAATTTTCCCCATCTGTTTTCTCTCTCTGCTTCCTTTTGGATAGTTTTATTGCTATGTCTTTAAGTTTCTAAAGATTTTTCTTTTAAAAAAAGGTTTAAAGAAAGAATGACTTTAAATCTTTAAGTCTTTCTCCTGAAGTATTTAGTCTGCTTAATTTTGCTTTGTGTATTTTTTATTTCATATATTGTATTCTATATCTGTAGAAGTTGTGACTGGTTCTGGTTTTTTTTTTTTTTCTTACCATTCATTTCTCTCCTGATTATGTTTTTCTTTAAATACCTATAATACGTGTAATTGTTTAAGGTCTTTACTACTTCCATCATCTCTGCCATTTCCAGCCTGCTTCCTTAAGCTGCTTTTCTTTTTGGTTATGGGTCATATTTTACTGCTTCTGAGCATACCTAGTAACTTTTTATTAGATGCCAGGTATTATGAACATTGCATTGATGAATGTGTTGATTATGTTGTCTTCTTTTAGAGAGAGTGTTGTTTTATCCCGGCAGACATTTATGTTTTGTAGATTAGGTCTATCCTTTCCAAGCTTGTTTGTAAACGTTGTTGGGGCAGGTCTATAGTGGCCTTTCTCCAGGGCTAATTTTATCTGCCCTTTCATATGCACAGATAATTAATTTTACCAAGGCCAAGTAGCATGTTAAGGTCAAGTAGCATAACAAGGTCAAGTAGTACCCTACATATGCACAGATTATTATTCAGCCAAAAACTCAGAGCCCCCATGTTGATTTCTGGAGCCTTTTCTCTATCTAGTTTCCTCTTGGCTCTCAAATTGTAGCTATCTTTGCCTTATCAGACTCCAGTGTTGGTCTCCTTAACTCAGTGAAACTTCTGTGCTCTGCTCACGATGGCTCTCCAGCCCTGATTCAGAAAGTGCACCCAGGCAGAAAGCCAGGCCAATCATAGGGATTCCCTCATTGGTTTTTCTGCTTTCAGGATCACAGTCTGGTGCTGCCTGTTGTCAAGTGTCTGAAGATATTTTGTTCAGTTTTCTAGTTTTCTGTAGCAGGAGGATACATATAATAGCTTGCTAGGGTTAGAAGTCCTGAAGACAACTGGAGTGCTTTAAAATCCTTTGAAAAAATTGGTAAGCCTTCAAGAAATTTTTAAGTAGTGTTAGAGGTTAGTATATATATTAATATGCTACTTGACCTTGGTAAAATTAACATTTTTCAGGTTACAAAGATCTATTGTAACCTGTCCTATTAGTATATAGATAGAGTTTATGGAATATATATGACATGTTTTCAGAGTCTCCATTCTGTAATAATTGCCATTTGTTAAGATTGTTAAGTTGAAACAAATTGTTGGGCATCTAGATCAGATTTAAAAGGAGTTAAACCAAATTGAGACTGAATTTTGGAATGGCTATGCCAAGTACTCTGCAACACAGCTAATTGCCTGGGTTCAAATCCTGGTGTGTCACTTACTACTTATTACCCTGGGCAAGTCATATAACTTTTCGAAATTACAGTTTTCTATCTGTAGTGACAAAATAACTTTACCACCTCGTAGGATTGTTGGATTAAGTGATTATATATAGTGTGTATGTGTATGTGTGTGTGTAAAGCTTTTAGAACAATGCCTGATGTTATGTGCTCAAAAAATGTTAATTATTGTCATTGTGATTGTCATTGTTAGGGAACTGAGTTTCTGATTAAGGTTTATTAAGCCTGAATTTTTTTTTTACCATTTTAATTGAGACTTCTCTTGCTTTTTTAACCAAGTATATCATTTTATAATTTAAAAAATAATAAATAACACATATCTATCATCCAGTGTTAGGAATAGAATGTTACTGATATGTTCAATATCATCCACATAACTGTCCCTGCTCACATATCCTATTCTCTCTTCCTATCTTGAATTTTCTATTTATTGTCACCTTGCTTTCTTAAAAATAGTTTTGCTATGTATTGATTTAGTCATAAATAATATATATTAATTTTTCCTGTTTCTAAAATTTTATATAGATATAATGACATGTATTCTTCTGCCACCTGCTTGTTTGCTTGATGGTGTATTTTTTTGAGATTTGTTCATGTTGGTGCATGTAGTCGTGTGCATTCATTTGTACCAGGGTAGAGTGTGTTTATTTCCAGGTTTTGCTGTTACAAACAGTAGAGCTCTGAATATTTCTGTGCATATTTCCTGGTATACATGTGCAAGAGTTTCTCTGGGTATATGTCTGGATGCAGATATTTCAGGTTACAATCTTTAGCAGGCTGCTCGCTGGAGCAGGCCAGAGTGGAAGTAGGTTATTGCAGTAGGCCAGGCAAGGGGTTATGAGGGCTTGAACCAGAGTGATTACCTTGGAATGGAGGGAAGCAGATGAATTGGAGATTTTGTCTGGAAATATAATCAATAGATATTGATGGTGTATTTTATAAAGGGGGCCGGATGAGAAAGAACATCAAGGAGACTCCCAGGATTTTACATCAAGTTGCCATTTACTGAAATGAGAACTGCTCCCAACAGATAGACATATTTTATTTTGTTTTAATTCATACATGGGCTTTTAAAAAGAATAAACTTTATTTTTTAAAGCAGTTTTAGGTTTGCAGCAAAATTGAGTGGAAGGTACAGGTATTTCCCATATCTACCCATTCCTACACATGCACAGCCTCCCCTGTTATCAACAGTCCCCTCCAGAGGGATGCATTGGTCACAACTGATGAACCTGTCCTGACACATCGTTATCATTCAGAGTCTGTAGTTGACATTAGGGCTCACTCTGGGTAGTGTACATTCTATGGGTTTGGGCAAATGTGCAATGACACATATCCACCATTACAGTATCATACAGCGTAGTTTCACTGCCCTAGAAATTATTCGTGCTCTCCCTGTTCATTCCCCTCTTCTCCCTAATCCCTAGCAGCCAGTGATCTTTTTACTGTATCCACATTTTTTCCTTCCCCAGAATGTCCTGTAGTTGGAATCATAGATTATCTAGCCATTTCAGATTGGCTTCTTTCATTTAGTAATATCATTTAGTAGCTCATTTTTAAAGTGCAAAATAACATTCCATTGTCTGGATATATTACAGCTTATCCATTCACCTACCGAAGGTCATCTTGGTTGCTTTCAAGTTTTGGAATTATGAGTAAAACATCTGTGTTTACTAAAACACAGATGCTAAAAACATCTGTGTGCAGGTGTTTGTGGGGACACAAGTTTTCAACTCTTTTGGGTAAATATCAAGGAGTATGATAGGTGGAGAATATGGTAAGGGTATGCTTAGTTTTATAAGAAACTGCCAAAATGTCTTCCAAAGTGGCTGCACCATTTTTCATCCCCATCAGCAGCGGATGAGAGTTCCTGTTGTTATACATCCTTATCAGCATTTGGTGTTAGCAGGGTTCTGGATTTGGGCCATTTTAATAGGTGTATAGTGGTATCTCGTTGTTTTAATTTGCATTTCCCTGAGGACATATAATGTGCAGCATCTTTTTGTATGCTATTTTTCATTTGTATATCTTCTTTGACGAGGTGTCCATTACAGTCTTTGGTGCATTTTTTAATCAAGTAGTTTTCTTCTAGTTAAGTTTTAACAGTTCTTTATATGAATATGTCTTTTTAAAATATTTTCTCCTACTCTGTGGCTTTTCTTTTAATTCTCTTGATAGTATCCTTTGCAATGGCATAGTAGGAGATAATATGGGTGACTTTTCTGTTAAAAGGTTTATGGAGGCCGGGCGCAGTGGCTCATGCCTGTAATCCCAGCACTTTGGGAGACCGAGGTAGGCGGATCACCTGAGGTCAGGAGTTCAAGACCAGCCTGACCAACATGGAGAAACCCCATCTCTACTAAAAATACAAAATTAGCCAGGTGTGGTGGTGCATGCCTGTGATCCCAGCTACTCAGGAGACTGAGGCAGGAGAATCGCTTGAACTCGGGAGGCAGTGGTTGCCGTGAGCCGAGATTGCACCATTGCACTCCAGCCTGGGCAACTAGAGAAAAACTCCATCACAAAAAAAAAAAAAAAAAAAAAAAAAAAAAAAAAAAAAGGCTTCTGGATTAGCAGAAGGCATTTACAGAGTTTAATACTTTCCTGTCCCTTACCTCTTACCTGCAAAGTTTATTAGAAGATGGATTTTTAACATCTAGGCTGAAATACTACAGTTAGAGCCATTTGTGTCACACTCCTGAATGTAGTCTAGTCTGTATTATTAAAATTTTAAAATAAACACCGAAAAGACAGACACACACGTACACACACACTCACCCTTCATTCCTCTTCCTTAGGATGAAGTAAAATTTGTTAAGTTATATTAAGCCTCTAAACAAACTGCTTTATGGCTCCAGCAGCTTTGTGTTGTTTCTTATCTTTGTAACATTTTGCCACAGGTACAGTATATAATGAAATAGGTGGGGGTGGCTAGTGGAGAGGTTGTAACACTGTCAATGAGAAGGCACCCGGGATTTGTCCGTCTGACCTGCTCAGTCAGAGTAGTGGAGCCACCCGGAGTTCTAGGGAGCATCAGTCTAGGAGGGAGATGGGCAATGTTGCATCTCCTGGAGGCCAGCACAGTTCAAAGTTGGTTTTCTGAGTCTCGGTCTTGTGGTTTTAGGATTTTATGGCTTTTGGTGGGTATGTTTGGGAAGGAAGAGCCTTCATTCCTTGCTTAACCTGTGCAAATAATCTTCAAGGACTTTGATCACTGGGCAGAGGGATAGGAGACTGCCATCTGTCCTCCAGATGAAAGGTTTCTTCTTGGCAGGAGCACTACAGAGATGGAAGTTGTGATTTTTTGGTTGTTTTGACTTTATGCTTCTAGAAAGGATCTTTTAAAAAATTCTTATAGCTCTTTTGTTTTCTTTTCTTCTTTATGGTTTCTTTCCTTTTTAGTGATAGAAGCTGTGGCCAGCTCTTCATGTGAGTTCACCCACTTGCCCCTCCCAAGGCAGGCACCCTGATATAGACCAGTTTAGGTGGAGGTTTAGGGTCTTCCTTGCTCACCTTTGAGCCAGGCTGGGCTGCCAATTTCTGGCTGAGCTGACTTGACCTTTAAAAAAAACAAACTTGATATTATCTTGGCTCCTACAGAGAAGACATGCAGTGTGGGGCTGGGGGCTGGGGGTGGAGCAGGGTTTGGTTGTACTCCCATTCATTAGTTCACCTCTTTTTCTGAGTTCCTATGCTGGGTATCCTGACTGACCCTTATACACTGTACCTGGGATAATGCTCCTGGAAAAGCATGTCTTTGCAACCCCATTACTGTCATCATGAACAAAATTAGAATGGAAAGCAAATTTTTGTTACAAAAAAAAGTTTAGGGGTAAACAGACCTGCAGATTTTTACAACTGCTATGTTTCTTGGTATTCTTCTGTGTGTTTAATCACTGGACAGATGTAAGGGTGAATTTTATTGTTCCCTTGGTGCATGTTTAACCTGTATCTTAGCTATCTGTTAAGGGGTTTAACTTGGGCTGTATATCTTCTTTAAGAGCTTGAAAGGGAATTTAGAGTGGCATATCTATTTTCATTGCAGCGTTAGATGTACGGTAAGTTAAGCCATTTTTGTGAAAATTGAAAGCGTAATGTTAAAAGTGTCCAGTTTTTTAGCCATTTGTGCACATTAAAAATAACTTGCTATTTATGTTCAGTGGTTTCCTTGTTAGACGATGTAGGGGACTTGCCACAACACATGCAACAGATTATAAAAAGACTGCAAATTTAATAATTACAACATGGCACAGACCGCGCTGGCAGATACCGAGATCCAGCACACTCTTTAATCATCATGCTTCCCATAGTGTGGGTGGTCATGGTCCGCAGACATTTCAGGCAGGCCAGTCCCGTTGCAAGAGCACAAGTAAACAGCATTCCACAGGCTTTTCAGGATTTTTAATTTGAAAAAGTATAGCATTTCTTTTAGGTTGCTTTTCCTTTCTCCTTCCTCCTTCTCCCGCCTCCTCCTCTAAATTTTCGTTGTTTAGAATGTTTGCTTTTTCAGCAAAACCTTTTTACATATGATGCTTTTGTGTATTTCTTTTTCCAGCTTTTATTTGGGGCAACAAAATAAAACATTTCTTAATACTCCTGAAGCCTGTTTCAGCACAAAAGCTGAAAATGACCGGTAGGATATTTTGCTCTTTGGAGAAGTTAGCAACTTTTCATTATAAGTCCTGGTAAATTGAATTTAATCAATTTATTTCCTTACTATTTTTTTAAAATTTAACTTTTACCGCTTGTTTCCTTTGATGTTTGTTTGATTAAATGAAAATTTGAGTCATCTGCAAAGTTTTTCTTCCTCATTCAAAAATGTTGTTCTTGCTAGCCTGTTTTGTTCTTCTACTTTCCATTTTTTTGAAGCTTTTATGATCTTAGTCTTTAATGTTAATGAATATTGATAAAAGAAGCAAGTCACTAGTTTTTGTTGATTAATGAGAATTATGGAGTTTAGTAAAGCTCTTGGTTAGTTTCTCTCGGGAGGAGTTATTTTAAGTAATAAATGTGTACAAATGGAAATGTATCATTCCGAAGCTTTAACATTTTCTCTGAAAGTGTTTTTTTTTTTTAAAGAAAAACTTGGAAAAACACAGATATTTTAATAAAGAACAGTTAATATTACAGATGCGCACCTTTCTCTTCTTTCCTTCCCTAGGGATTTCCTTAAGGGATGCTGTCTTGTTGCTTTAAATTATAGACACTGTTCCTAGTCTTCATATATATAATTAAAGACAGTTGTCAAGTTTTTTAAAATATAAAATATGACATCTTAGCTGCTATTTTATATAGGCACACATAATTGAGTAAAAGAACTATGTAAAAAAATACTTTAAATGTATATATCATAAGATACAGTCCTTACTAAAGTCATAGTATACTATACCTTTTTTTACATAAGCTGATTAAAAATGAATTGCTAACAATTAGAATTTATAATGACATTGTCAAAACCAGCTTAAAGAGAAAGTGGTGTGATTATACATTTTAGAAGGAATAACTTCCTTTTACAATCATACCTGTATAGAATGCAGTGCTATACATAATTTTTGGAGTTTTGTTATTGTTCATGAAAGCATTTTAAAAATGCTTTAGTCATTTTCATTTGTGATAAAGCTAATCTAATTCTCTATTCTGATGCTTCTTGCCAAGCTTTAGATCATAACAGCTTAATTTAAGACAAAAATTGCTGGCTAATCCCCTTTGGTATTTTGAAGCTATTTTGGGCTCCCTTTGTTCTATGGTACGTTCCATTCTGTTTATGGGGAGCCATCGGGTGTTTGATGTGGGACCCTGTGGCAGAGGAGATTGGAACTCCAGAGTCTGGGTGCAACTGGGACAAGTTAAGGATGCTGAATTTAACTTGCTCTTGGATTTGTGTTTCTTCTATATAAATTGAAGGATTACATTTAATTTTAGATGGAGTAGGGGTAAGGCAGATTGGGTTTGATTTTCGAAGTCAACATTTGGAGTTTGGTAACCATATCAAAAGCGAGGATTTTGACAGATTTAATTTTCATATTACTGGTTAACATATACTTATGACTAAGTGTTTAGTCTCCCCTTTCCTGAGCTTCCTGATGGGTGTCAGATTTGCATTAAGACACCAAGGCCAACCCGCCTACACACAAAAATTGTGTTTTGAAAGTTCTTAATCCCTCATTTCAGACTCATGTTGTGGTTCCCACCAAGTGGGCTGCCTGAGACCCAGTGGAAGTTTAGCAGATTTCTATTCACAGGCATGCTCTCAGAACATCTCCCAGTTACCAATGCCTAATTAATGTCCTTGTGATGGATATCCATGGGTCTATATAGATGAAGCTTCTTGAACTCCATTCATAAAACAGATATATAGCCATATAATAGACATGAGTAATGGACGCCTAGAAGACTAAATGTTCTATGTATTGTTTTTTGTGGTTCCTTCAGTGAAATTAAAGGATCAATGTTTTACGTAAGTTTAAACTACTATTGTTGAAATTATTTTACTTTCCTGGCCTTTTGTCTATAAAGAACACATTAGCATATACTAACCGTGTCTTATTATTGGACACAGTGCTTCTTTGCTCCTGGGGATATTTACAGTTATCCCCTCCACTCTGTCCTAAGTGTAAGTATACATTGTTGTGTTTTTGTGTTATAGATTAACAGCTCTGAAAATGTGGTCCAAGGACTCTGGGGTCTTCAAGACTATTTCAGGAGGCCTACAAGGTCCTCCCTTTTCCAGCTATGTAATTTTATTATGCTGGATTTTCTTTATAAATTGAACTAAAGCAACATATCACAACAGATTGAATGCCGCAACAGATAGGAGAACACAGCTGTCTTCTATTGAGACAAACATTAAAGAGATTTGCAAAAAAATGTAAAACAGTGCCACTCAAAATTTTTTGTTTTGTTTTGGAAAACATATTTTTTCATAAATAATATTTTTGTTAACATGTAAAGGGTTATTATCTCATATTAATTACTAGATAAATATTTTAAATTTTTCTGAGGCTTGATTACAAGTACAGTAAATAGTGATAGGTAAAACCAAAATAAAAAGTGCTTTGGGATCCCAAGACCAGAAAACTTAAGAACTGCTAATATATACAATTGGGATTATTGCTGTGGTTCTAAAATCAAACTTCCATTGGCTTCTCTGAGAGTTTTAGCCAAGTGAGCATATAAAATGTAGTGAAATTAGCCTGCGGTTACGAGGTTTTAATGAACTGTCTCCTTCACATTTTCAGGTGTTTTTTTTTTTTTTTTTTGAGACAGGGTCTTGTTCTGTCACCCAGCCACGAGGCTGAAGTGCCCTCCAGCTCTGGGCTCAAGCGATCCTTCCACCTCAGCCTTCCAAGTAGCTGGAACCACAGGCACATGCCACCATGCCCAGCTATATTTTTGTATTTTTTTGTAAAGATGGGGTCTTGCTATGTTGCCCAGGCTGGTCTTGAACTCCTGAGCTCAAGTGATCTGCCCACTTCAGCCTCCCAAAGTTCTGGGATTACAAAGTGGCATGAGCCACTGTGCCTGGCCTCATGTGTCTTTTTATAAATAAATTATCAAGCAAAGCTGCCACTGTCCTCTTGTAAATTTAATAAGGAGTCATAGGTTTTAGAGTTATGATCCCTTTTACTTATTTAGCTGATATTTCTTTGCAGTTTGACATAATCTGGACCCATCTGAATTGTAATATGTGACTTTTAACAAACATTGTAGATTACCATCTTTCATATGTGATCTCATGCCATTCATGGAATCTATGGCAATTTCAGTAAGGATAGAACTCATCATTCTTGTGTATACTTGGGATGTTTCTAACCACATTTGCCTCAGTTACCTAATATTTTTTGCTTTTCAATTGATTTCTAGTTTGGGGATGAAGAAGAAAAAGAATGTAACTGGCAAAATAGCCATTATTTTTTGCCTTTATTCTTATTTCACACTTTCTATTTTTAGTTTATCTTGCTTTGTAACCAATCCTTTAGAATGTAATTACTTCTTAATTGGAAGGGGCTAACTGCCCCACAGAAGAAACTTCTGTAATTAGAAAAAGAGTCCCATAACATCTGATCTGGTTCTTTCGCCCTGAGCATATTTGTTGGCAATTTATGGCAAGGTTGACTCACTGGTGGGAAGCTGCCTCACTCCTAACCTGTGCTAGAAAAGCTGCCTCGTTCTAGAGGCAGCCCTGCCCCTGTTAAGCCCAGTTCTGCTGCCTCACTCCTAACCTGTGCTAGAAAAGCTGGCTCTTTCTAGAGGCAGTCCTGCCCCCTGTTAAGCCCAGTTCTGCTGCCTCACTCCTAACCTGTGCTAGAAAAGCTGGCTCTTTCTAGAGGCAGCCCTGCCCCGTTAAGCCCAGTTCCCTCTGCCCTGGCATCTCCACCTCTACTGGGGCAGTTTCCCCAGTTCTCTTCCCAGCCAGCAGCACCCCTGGAGCCTTCCTTTTAGTCTCCGGTCACATGAGTGAAGAGGAAATTTTCCTCCTTCTCCGAGCTTAATACAGCAGTTTTATATATTTAACATTGTAGGTGATTTGCATGGCAATGAGCTTATTAGGCTGTTTTTTGAGTGCTGCCAAACACCTAATTGATTTTTTCAGTTTTCTTCCAAGATTATAGTTGTCAAGAACCATCTGCCTTATATATTACATTAAATGGGTTAAAGCTGCAAATGCTTCTTTAAGCAAAATATAAGTGTGTATCTTATAGAAAGTAATGCAATATCACCAGTCTGAGGTTTGGAGTGTATTAAGGTACTTGGTTTCTGGAAATCTTTTTAAGCTTGGAAACCTTTAAACCTGCGACTTAAAAAAGGATCTACAGCTATCTAAGTAGGTGGCCTTCTGTGTCTTGGCTAGTTTTAGAGTGTGGTGTTTGTTTCTTACGCAAAAAGGAACAAATTTAAATCACTAGGTACTCAACCAACAGATTTCAGTGTGGATTAGTTAAGAAATAATTGTAGTTCTTGTGTGGTGGCACAAATTTTTTTCCCTACATTTTGTTTATGCAGACTGTCTTTTTTTCCTTCATCCTTTTCTTTTTTTCACTGAAAAAGGAAATCGCAATTTTGTTAGTGGATTGCTTTGAAGAAAATACGGAGGGAAAGAGAGAACCAGACTTGACTTGTGATTACTTTTCATGAGTGTGGATAAGTGTGGGCTTCAAGACTTGCCAGGCCTTCAATTCTTTGGCTTGCTTTTTTTCTTAACATTTCCAAAGGTTTTGTTAGTGACTTTCAAATGGAACTTCACGCCTTGGAACAGTTCCATTAAAAAGTTGTGTGGTGTTAGCCACAGTAGCAGCATGGTTTATTTTTCCTGTACTAGTTTCACAGAGGTTAACTGAGCTGGAAATGATGAGAGACTAGCAGTGCAAGCGGGTGGGTGTGTGCTATGTGTATGCTTTTTCCCTCTTGATTTGTGCAAAAAAAAAAATTTTTTTTATTGGCATTAACGTGTACTTCAAATGTTGTTTAAAAAGGAAGCAAGTCAAATTATCCTAAAATGCTTTATACTACATTGTTGAAAACTTTCAAAAATGTTCTCTTTTGTTAATTGTATTTTTACATTGCATAGTACCAGCCCACATTTATAAAAGGCAATTCATTATAGAGATTTGCTTTCTTGATGGGAAATGTACTACAGTTTACAGCTCAGCATAATCTTAGTTGACGTGTTCTGGAGAGTGCTTTTTATCTGTCTGAATTTAAAAGAACACTTGACTATGTTCATGATTGAGACGGTTTTATTCCTGGTTCAAATAAATATCTTGAAGTTAAAATATGCGCCTTTTATTCCTTAGGTGAGTATATTTTTTAAGAAAACATGGTCTGTTATTTATATGTCATCCGCTTGTTATATGCATAAGTTACTTGAAGAATAGTGAATTTCTAATGAAAATAACAATTACATTAATACTTTAGATTTTAATGCTGTTTTGTAAATTTTGAAGCAAATTCATATATCTCATTTAATTCTCACAACAACCTCATGATACCCCAGGGCAGATATAATTATCTCCATGTTATAGATGAGATGAGAAATGTAAGGCATTTGCCTGAAATTCCCCATTTGGTAAATGAAGGAGCTGGATCAAGTCCTCACATCCCTGACTCTGCTGTTCGTCTTGCCACTCTCCCGTAAACAGCTGCTTAGACCTCCTTGATAGTTTACACCATGGCTTGTGGATGGACAACTGCCATAAAATTGTTTATAACACACACTTATTGACTGCTTACAAAGTTTCGCACATTTTGAAATGAGACTTACCCCAATTAATTCCCTCACCAACTCTCTGAGTTAGGAACTATTATTATATCCCTATTTTGTGGTTGAGAAAACTCAGGTTCATTAGATAGGTGAGTTGAGCTTCCTAGGGTAATGTAGCCAGTAAGTGGTGGGTACTAATGTGAACCCCAGCAGCTTTGCTCTGAGATCCAGGGTCCCTGACTGCTACCGTGCATGAACTCCCAGTGGTTCATGTGCCGGATTTTCAAACGCCAGGTATTCACTGGTATTTGTAATAGCATCTGTTTGCATTCATCTGTAATCTTGAAGATCTGACCATGAAAACTTAGAAATGAGAGGTTTATCCTCTGAATTTACACCGAAATAAAAGAAAAATTTTAAATATAAAATACATATTATTATCAGTAGCTATACTGCATGGAGCAGATAGCTACTAACTTGTATAAATCATCCTAAAAATAAGATAAGTGTTTATTAAGAAACAAAGAAGGTTCATATAAGCTGGGGAAATTTTTTTTATCTAATAAATGTCCTCTCTGTTGTATAGAGGGTTCTTAAAATGTAAAACTTTTGGGGAGAAATGAAGTATGAAAGGTTTCACCTAAACAGCAGAGCCATTGTACCAAGGCGAATGTATATACCTTTCAGAACTCTGGAAGTCACTACTGTAAACACTCATCCTTGGACTGGAAACCAGGAGCCTCTGGTGGTAGTTTTTTCTCTGTTCCCCCACCCCTCCATTCAACAAATGGAATGCCTGTGTGCGCTGGGCACTGTCTGTGCTGTGCTGGGCACACAGTGGTGCTCAGATGGTTCAGGAGGCAAACAGCCATCAGTCAGTACTTCCTTAGACCGAGAGACCACGCCCTGGGAGAAGGGTGGCTAGTTAGGTCATGGCAAACGGACATGAGGTGGTCTTGCTGGAGCTGACACCGGAAGAGCAATTCGGGCTTTAGTAGGTGAGGAGAGGGAAGGGGATGTAGGAGGTGAGCAGAACGCACTGGGAGGAGGCATGGTGAGTAGGAGGGGCCCAAGGAGGCAGAGAGGGCTGTGGGTGCAGGGTGGGGCTGCAGGGTGGGGCTGCAGAGTCAATCCTGGGAAGGCTTCTCTATATCTAAGCAGCAGCAGGAGGAAAGGATTTTAAGTACTAGGGGTGAGGTGGGGGGCTTCGAAAACTGGCCAGAGTGCAGTCTGTGGAACAGATTGTTTTAAGGATTTGATACATGGCAAGGTCTAAACCCATTCAGATCCAACACCGGTTTTTAATAACAGATGTTTTATAATACCTGGTTGGAGATCCTGAAATGAAATTCAAAATACTCTTTCAAAAAAAATTCATATATTGCCTTTACTACAATATAAAGAAAACTAGGTCAGGCACAGTAGCTCACACCTGTAATCTCAGTACTGCAAGAGGATCACTTGAGCCCAGGAGTTCCTGGCCAGCCTGGGCAACATAGCGACACCCTGGCTCTACAAAAAAAGTTTAAAAGTTAGCCAGGTATGCTGGCGCACACCTGTTGTCCTAGCTACTTGGGAGGCTGAGGCGGGAGGATCACCTGAGCCCAGGAGGTGGAGGCTGTAATAAGCTGTAATGGCGCCACTGCACTCCAGTCTGGACCTGTTTCTAGTAAGACTCTGTCTCCCCTCCCCCACACACACAAAAAAAATTTTAATAAGATAATGTACATTTCCAGTGTAAATACTTGGGTCTTATGAGACTGGGAGACATCATGAACGGATGCATGCATCTACACATGGGCTCTCTGAGAATGTGACCACTGCAAATTCAGGCTGTTAGAGGAGGGCCTCATGTGGCCTTGCCTTCCAGGAGGTGATTTTCCAAAACGATAGACAACTCTTGATAATGCTATGATGAAACTGCTGTAAAATCTTCCCTGACCAACAGGGTAATTACATTTTCAGAGAAGTCAGAGGATGCCAGAACATGCAAAACATATTTTGTATTTCTATGTAAAACAGCTTTAGGCTCTAAAAGAAGGTTCCACATACATGATGATACAGTGGAACGTCTGAAAATTGTGTGTGACAGTTTGCTATTATATGGTATATTTCTAGTTTTCCTTAACCACTAAATGCCAGTAAAGCCACAAAAATGTTTTAATAGCAGATTAGTGGATTTTGAATTGGCCCCATCAAGAGTCACTGTTGTGTTCTATAGCCCTTTCCCACCTAAGTCCCAAGCTAAAGACAGTGAATTGTGGTAGCATTTCAGAAATTCCATCTCCACTAGCTGCTGGGTCATGACGTGTGTCTCACTCCTGCGAGTGCTGGCTTAGGGGCCTTTAACACCTCTGAGCCAAGACTCTGGCATGGAGCCCTTTGCCCATCCTAGGAGTCTTGAGTCTCAACCCGTGATTATATTCTTGATTGTAGACCTTCTCCCCTGATGAGATCAACCCTTTCTCTAGGGACTCCTGGAATTTGGCCACTGATGCCTACTTGACTACTATTTTTGGGTCCTGTGGGGACCTCTGCTGTGTTGTTCCACCCACTCAGAAGGGCTTTTTGGATGGCTTCATCAGTTCAGAACATGTCCAGGCTTGAGACTTTGTTTCTTGGCCTTCTGCCTGGTAACTCCTTTATGTCAACTCAGGGCTTGGCATCTTGGCTGCAGCAGCAGTAGAAGGTCCTCTTGGGCCCAGCACCACTGGCCTTCCTCAGGAGTCAGCTCTGCAATTTAACTAACAAGCCACGATTCCTGCAGACTGTGAGGGCCATGTGCAAGATAAGCATGATGACAGGGCTAGATGCACAGTACCTGGCAGAGAAAGCTTTCAGTACGTCTCAACTATAACTACCATACAGTTCCTTTATTATATTGGGGTTTGTTTGTTTGTGACGGGGTCTGATTCTTTCACCCAGGCTGGAGTGCAGTGGCACAATCATGGCTCATTGTAGCCTTGACCTCCCAGACCCAAGCAGTCCTCCAACCTCAGCTTCTCAAGTAGTTGGGACTACAGATGCGTGCCACCATACCCGGCTAATTTAAAAAGTTTTTTTGTAAAGACAGGGTCTCCCTTTGTTACCCAGGCTGGTCTGGAACTTCTGGGCTCAAACAGTCCTCCTACCTCGGCCTCTCAAGGTGCTGGGATTACAGGTGTGAGCCACTGCACTTGGCTATAGTTGGCTTTTTTAACTTGAGGACCTTGGGCCCTGGTGTTCATGGATGGGCTTCAAAGGGTCAGAAAACTCCATGAAATTGTGTGGAAATATTGTAGGCATATATAGTTTTCCTGGAAGAGGGTTCACAACTTTCATCAGGTACTCAGGATAGGTCATGAGGGACTTCTGTTTTTAGCAATTGCAAACTCAGAAATCAAGTGACACCTCCTCCTAAGGATGAGAAAACTCAGACTAAATATGAAAAATATGCTTCAAAGCTTGAAAAAGCTCATGATATAGTAAATATGTTCTCAGTCAGAGTCCAGGGAAAGGTAGAGGCCACAGGAGGTGAGCCTATGGTTTAGGACTAGGGGTGTCTGCCAGTTACAAAGGAGACGATTAAGCAGCAAGGTGCTTTTGGAGCATCACAGGACTAGGAGGGCAGAAATTAGAGTCCGTGGTCTGCCAACTGAGCACATCCTGGTGAACCTTTTACTTGAGGTTGGGATCTTGAAGGGAAGCACCTGAAGAGTAAATGTGAACCGAAGCAGACAGGCCCTCAGAGAGTGTGCAGTTTACCCTCAGATCATCTCAGTCACTGACCCTGGATTAGGGTAATCCTGGATTGCTAGTGATTCAGGTGTGACAGAAGCCTCTTTGGAGGACGACAATATTATCTTGGTATCTCAAATTATTTCTGCCAGCAGTTTTGCAAGTGTAGTGTCGTGTCTGGTGTAGATAAAAATAACTAGGTATACAAAGAGCCAGGATAACAAAATTGAATCAGTAGAAATAGCAGACAATAAAACAGACACATAGGGGCTCCAGATATTAGCGTTAAGACTCAGACTTTAAAATATTATAAATCAATCAGTGTAATCCACCATATTAAAGAAGAAAAAGCATGTGATTATATCAATTGATGCAGGAAAAATGCATTTAATAAGATCCAATACCTATTCATGATTTAAAAAAAAAATCTCCCAATAAATTAATAGTGGGGAATTACCTCAACTTCATAAAGGGCACCTCCCAAACACGTAGAGTGAATATCATATTTAATAGTGAAAGATTGAATACTTCCCCCCAAGACCAGAAACAAGGCAAGGAGATTCGTTCTTATAACACTGGAAGTTCAAGACACTGTTATCAGTCAAGAAAAAGAAATAAAAGGCCTGCATATTGTAAAGGAAGAAAAACCATTGCTATTTGCAAATGATATAATCGTTTACATAGAATATCTTAAAGAATCTACCAAAAACCAAAATAAATCAATTGTTAGAATTGATAAATCAGGTCAGCAGAGCTGCAGGATACAAGATCAACACACAACAGTCAACTCCATCTCCGTATACTATCAATGAACATTTGAAAACCAAAACTAAAAACACAATATATTTTAGAGTCACTCCAAAGAAAATAAAATACTTAGGTATATACATAACAAAATGGGATCTGTTTAATGAAAGTTACAAAGTGCTGATGAAATAAATGCTTAAAGACTGAAATAAATGGAGAGATATTTAGTGATGATGCATTGAAGACTCAACTTAGTAAAGATGTCAGTTCTTCTCAAATTGATCTATAACTTTAAAGCATTTCCTATCAAAATTCTAGCAAGGCTTTTTATATTCATAGGCAGACTTATTCTAGAATTTATAGGGAAAAGCACAAGCCCTAGAATAGCTATAACAATTTTGACAAGAAAACGGGGAGAAATCACTGTATTTAATACTAAGTCTTTACTGTGATAGCTGCAATAATTAGATCCTGTGATATTGACAGAGGCGTGGACACATAGATGAATGGAACAGAACAGAGAACCTGGAAATAGACCCACACAAATAAGTTCAACTGGTTTTTGACAAAGGTACAGAAGCAATTCAATGGAGAAATTTCAACAAATGGTGCTTTTGCAGTTGGACATCAACCTAAACCTCACAACTTATACAAAAATTAACTCAAATGGATCAGGGATTTAAATGTAAAATGTAAAACTATAAAACTTTTCAAAAAAAAAAAAAAAGGCTCTGGAACTAGGCATAGTTGGTTTTTTTTTTTTTTTTTTTTTTTTTGAGACGGAGTCTCACTCTGTTGCCAGGCTGGAGTGCAGTGGCGCCATCTTGGCTCACTGCAACCTCTGCCTCCCGGGTTCAAGTGATTCTCTTGCCTCAGCCTCCCAAGTAGCTGGGACTGCAGGCACGTGCCACCACGCCAAGCTAATTTTTGTATTTTTAGTAGAGACGGGGTTTCACCATGTTGGCCAGGCTGGTCTCCATCTCCTGACCTCGTGATCTGTCTGCCTCAGCCTCCCAAAGTGCTGGGATTACAGGCGTGAGCCACCAAGCCTGGCCAAACTAGGCATAGTTTCTATACTTGCTACCCCAAGCATAATATGTAAAAAGAAAAATCAACTGTGTTAGGACCTCATCAAAACTAAAACCTTGTGTTCTGTGAAAGCCCACGTGAAGGACAATGGCAGACTGGGAGGAGATATTTGCAAGCCACAAATAACAAAGGACTAGTATCTAGATAATCAAGAAATCTCAAAACTCAATGGTAAAAAACAACCCAGTTAGAAAATGGGCAAACACTATTTCACGAAAAGGTGAAATAAGTTCATGAGCAAAAAAAAAATGGCAAATAAACACATGACAAGATATTTCACATCATTAGCCATTGGGGAAGTGAAAAAATAAAACCACAGTGGGCTATCACTACGCACCTATCAAATGGCTAAAATAAAAGCCAGCGAGAACTTAAAATGCTGGTGAAGATGTGGAGGAACTGCGTTACTCATGCATTTTTGGTAGGAACATGGCTGTGGATAGTTTTGTACCCAAGGCAAATGCTCTCCTGCATCTTCTTAGTGCCAGCCTTGACAGGCTGCTTGTTGACTTCTTACAGAAGTAATGGAAGCCAGGAGACAGTGTAATGATATCTTCAAATTCATGGGGGTGGAGGAATCCATTAAAAATGAGACATTTTAGGTAAACGAAAAGTAGGAGAATTTGTCACCAGCAGAGCTCCACAAAGGGAGTACTAAGACTGTTCTTCAAGCAGAAGGAAAATGACCAAAGTAATCCTCCATCTCCAAAAATATACGAAATTTAATTAATCTAGTTTCCATGCTCTGCCTGGCCCAGTGAGTTTTGGCCCTGGCTGCACATCAGAATTACCAATGGAATTTAAAAAAAAACACAACCCTCTATATCCTTCTTCAGTTGGTTTGGTGTATGGCTCAGGGTCACTAATGGTACTGGTGTGCAGCCTTGGAAGTAACAGGGTGGACTCAGAAGGAGAGAAGAAAGTGGTGTCATGGCTTAAATGGAACACACTGTCCTCCTGGTTCCTGGGCCTCACCTTTATGCCTGGTATGTCTTCCTGTGGCAGCATTCGTTCTGGCTAGGCTGAAATGACCCTCCGTAGCTCTGAGTTCTCCCTCTTTTGCTCCAGTGAGCACCAAATCCCGTCTATCACACCTGTGTGGTATTTCACACTTTTATCCTTTTCTCTTCATTGCCATTGCCGCCCTTGCAATTTGGGCACCCTTTACATTTTGACTGTGATAGCTGGTCAGTGGCAAAAACCGCAGTTACTTTTGCACCAACCTGTAGTATCTCAGTTTCCAATGTCATCTTCCTCTTTCAGTTTGTCTTGCACAGTCTTACCAACCCAATTTTTGTAAAGCATAACTCATGCTACTGCCCCATTTAGAGACATTTTTAGTGCTCCCCTCCCCAATGTTCACAAAATAATCTCAAATTTAATACTTTTGAAAACAAAATCAAGTTGTTTACCTATTGAATACCCTTTGATCACACCCACGGCTCCTGTTACCACAGCATACAGGATGCGACATGATTGGAGGTCTGTTTCGTCTCCACCCTCATCTCATAGCACTCCTTCTTCTGCTCGCCATGGCCTAGCTAGAGTCTGGGTTTTTCCTTGCCTTTGGGCTGAACTTGCCGATTACTCCACAAGCTGTTTGCATGCTCTTTTCTTACCTTTCAGGTCTTGATCCCATGCTTAGTCTTTGGAGTAGCGCCCCCTTGCTTATCTAAAGTGAATCGTATCCATTTCTAATCTAATCAGCATGCTCTTCATTTCTTTTATTGTTGGTCATCTTCATCTTGTTGACTTCTATATGTGTTCGTTGCCTCTTCCCTTTTCCCTCACTGGAATGTAAACCCCTTGAAGGCAGCCACCTCAACTCTTGTTGGCTGCTACATCTCCAAAGCCAGGTACATAGGAGGTGCTCAATAAATATCCCCTAATCTATTTTGAATATAGATACACTATAGTAAAGATTTTATAACAAAGGAACTTTCTGACAAGAGAATCTTGTTTGTTCAGTGATTTGGACAATGTAGTACTATGTAGTTGGTTATTGAAATTCTGCCTGTTCCCATTCTTACATGTAACCTTTGGATGAATGAAGGGCAGGAAATGTGGTAGGAAATGAAACCGTATAGGAAAAAGCTGATGTCTAGGTTGGACAAAGAAGCTGGAAATAGAATTCTGTCATTTCTGCAAGATCCAAGAGTCTCTACTTTGACTATACCTTTATGTCTCTGAAATTTCTGTAATCTTTTTCTGTTGCTTCAATAATAGTAATTTTAAAAATTTGATAGTCAAATTCCAGGTACTGTTTTTAAAGGGACATTTCTAGAGACGTTATATTTAATAACATATTTGAATGGTGTTCTATAGTTTGTTCATTCGTAATTGCGTTGAACAGCTCCCTGTGAAAAATGTTATATCCTCACTTTGAAAATGAGAAAAGTGAGGCCCTAAATGTTAAGAAACATTTAAAAAGCTAGTTAAGTTGGGAAACTGGGACTGAGGTCTTTGAATGTCTAATCCAGTTTCTGTGTCACTACTGGGTTTCCCATCCCTGGGGCGTCAAGTTTCAACTGAAAGTACCTGTGGCAGGAACTGGAGATGTAACAGACTTGCTTGTCTCTCAAATCTGGGAACAAGTGAAGGTGACTACCACCAGGTCACCTTCACATAGCAACACGATGTCTACCTGGTGATGTCCTTGGTCGTTGTCCCTGCTCCTCCTGTCGTTGGTCCCAGCAGATGTAGTTGTCCAGCTTGACATGGCTGAAGCACCGTGGGAATCGATTTTAGATATCACATCCAAGGTGTTCCTCCCATTGTTCCCTGCATCTTCATTCTTAAAAAGGAAATAAGTCTCATCAAAAGTATTACTGCATTCAGAACAACTCACATTTCTTACTCATAAAAATTGTTTTGGCCTTAAGAGAGATATGTCCTAACATTCCCTCCTCTTGCTGCCTTATGGAAAATGGATCTCGGGGGAGGAAGCAAGAATAAAATGAGAAAAACGAGACTGGAGGCTGTGACAGCATGCAGGTGAGAGATCATGGTGGCTGGGATCACGGTGAAAGCAGTGCCCTGGAGAGAAGCAGACCTATCCAGAGTGTAGTTGAGCTGTAATTGGCAGGACTTGCAGATGGGCTGCGTATGGAGGATGAGGGAGAGGATTTGAAGGATGAGTCGAAGGTAACATCTAAAATGTTGACTGGAGCAACCATGTGGTTGGTAGAATCATGTTCTTGGGTGGCAAAGATGAAAAAGGGGCTTGGGGATGGCTGGGCTAAGAATCTTAGTTGTGTTAAATTTGAGATACCAATTGCACAGTTGCAGATGTCAGGCAAGCTAGTTGCATATATGATCTGGAGCATAGGAGAGATGGCAGGGCTGGAACTAGAATTTTGGAAGGTGTGGTCACCCTATAGAAGTAGGATGCTGGCCAGGTGTGGTAGCCCATGCCTGTAATTCCAGCACTTTGGGAGGCAAGAGGATTGCTTGAGCTGAGGAAGTCTTGGCTGCAGTGAACCAAGATCACACCACTGCACTCCATCCTGGGAAACAGTGAGACCCTGTCTCAAAAAAAAAAAAAAAAAAAAAAAAAGGAAGTAGGATGGTGACTGGGGCTGGGCTGGGCTGGGCTGGGCTGGGCCTTGTGAGGTTTGAACCCCACCCTGGGCCATAGGAGGGAGCACTCAGGCTTTCTTAGTCTTCTGTTGACCTGCCCAGATGCAAGGCCGAAGGGGAAGTTGGCCTGGAGTTCAGTCTTTTATGACAGAAGACCCCAGCATAGAAATGGCATCCACAATCATGGGACTGTACAAAATCTCATGGTCTTGAAAGCCACTGTCCTGACACCTCAAGACTGGAGTCCAGCCCTTCATGACAGAAGACCTCAGCATAGAAATGGCATCCAAAATCCCGGGACTATACAAAATCTCTTGGGGTGCAACCTTTGTGACAGAAGACCCCAGCACAGAAATGGCATCCAAAACCACGGGACTATACAAAATTTCCTGGAGTCCAGCCCTTCATGACAGAAGACCTCAGCATAGAAATGGCATCTAAAATCATGGGACTGTACAAAATCTCCTGGGGATCACTTGAGCTCCCAGGTCTCCAGTGTCTAAAAATGGGGTTGAAGAGAAAGTACCAGCTAAGTTAGACTAGATGAAAAGAAAAATGTGTAGCATGCGGTGTACCAGCAGCAGAAACCAGGGCCACCCTGCTGACCTGCTCTGGTCTCACCCACACAGTGCCAGGGCGGGCAGTGTGTGTGCATCCTGGAGATGTACAGGTGCAGCCCTGGGGGAGAGGCAGCCCAGGGCACCGCTGAGTGGGCAAGCAAGAGGGTGCAGGGGTGGATCCCACGGTTTGTAGCATGGAGTTCTGACTGGTGAACTGGTAGGGATAGAAGCCAGATTAGAGAAGCCTGAAGAATGAATGTGAGTTGCAGAAGCAAAGAAGGCAAGTTTAGACAGCTTTCTCAGGAAATTGTGCTAAATGCAGAACACAGAGATGAGGAGTAATTAGAAGGAGGGAGAGGTAGGATCAAGGAGAACTTTTTTCTTTTTAATCTAGGTAGCTCTTCTAGCATGTTTGTAATTGACATGAGAAATCCAGCAATGACGCGGGTCACTGCTGCGGAGGGTCCTGGCGAGGTAGGAGTGGAGGTGATCAGGGCCCAAGTGGACAGCTGCACTTTATAGGAGCAGAGACACTCCTTCCATCTGAACAGGAGGGAAGACAGGACATGGGGGGTGTGCGTGTGCAGGTGAGCTTGTAAATTGGTTAAATTGGTTGGTGGTGAGATGAGTGAGTTTCTTGCTAATTGCTATTTTCTCAACTACATATGAGATGAGCTCCTCACCAGGACTTTTGGGGAAGGGGTGGTGGTGTGATGAGAGAGGAAGCAGGAAATAATTACTCAGGAAGTGGCCAAGCAAAATGACCAAGGATGCATAAGAAGATTGTGAGGCACTGCTGAGCCCCTTCCCTTCAAGGGTTGTGGTCAGAAATCCAAGCCAACGCTGTCAGCTCAGTTGTCTGATATTCTCCAGCAGTGTTCAGCTGTGTGGGCACCAGGAAGAAAAGCTGCAGCATGGATTCACAAGGGCCAAGGTTTTACACAGCAAGTACCACTGGACTTTAGAAAAGGGGGCAAGCCAGGGAGATGAGGGTGTTTTCAAAGGGATGATTATTTAAGCCTGGCAGAATATTTATCAAATGCATGATCTGCTCCTAGTGAATGTATTTAGTAAAGCACACATTTCCAGGTCTGTGTATCTACATATTTCTGTATACATTCTTATAGATACGGTTTAATGCCATGGTTTCATTCAGGCTTATTTTCTAAAGCCTTTTGGTTTTGGTTTTTGGGAAGCCTACTCTATTTCCCCCCCCGGAACTAATGAGCGAGCAAGCAAGAGGTTCTGTAAGCAAAAGTAAAAGCTGCAGACTTTGTTATGGTTGGACCTGTGTGTGGAAATTCTGTGAATTGTGTTCTGTCAGCATCCTGCTCACGGAATAGGCTATGTAAACAACGGGCGCTGGGAGGGTCTGTGAATGAGCAGCCTTCCTTCCCACTCACAGACTTAACCACTGCAATTCTCCAGGTTTCTGAGTGTTTATTTCATAGTAAAAAGGGCTCTAAAAATACCAGGGCAGTTAGGTTTTTATTGTAGATCATTTCACTTAAACTGCAATGGGACATATAAATTTTAAAAAGGGAAAAAAAAAACATTGAAGGCAGGATTTTGAAGCAAAAGCTACAGAAATGTGTCTGCAGTAATTTGTTTTGGCTGTGGATGTAAAACTGCAAAAGGGATGGGAATAAATTTGTTCCATTTTTTTAAGTTAGAGCAATTGGCGTATTTAATTGATATTCACAGTATTTGAATAGCATCCCAGAATGCACAAATAATATGCTATCATGAGAAAATTACATATACTGAGATGTAAATGAAAGGAAATTCTTTTTTTGAACTTAAAATATCATTTGTAACTTATGTGTAATTTTTTAATTAAAAATCATAGGGCACATCATACTGTAAGTTTGAGTATGCAGAGTGAAATGAGAAAAGGATTCAGGCAGATTAGGCTTGAGGACAGGAGGCAAAGCCCCAAGAGTCAGTCCAGGTAGGGATTATAAATGGCAGGGTTCGGGAGGAGTGGACATAAAAATGCGAGAGAACAGGAAACTGCAGGAAGTAACAGTTAGTGGGAAACAAAGAGAGAAGTTACTGAGAAAACAGACACAAACACTGACGTGTTTCGGACTGCCATGTGACCACCACTGAAGGATGATAAGGTTTACTGAGTAGGAAGATTTGAAATTATGGACAGGAGCAATATGTACCAAGGAAAGCAAATATTTTGCTTTTCACTGGATGGAAATTTCTCCCTTCTAGGAACTCCTGACCTTCTTTATGGGACCAAGCAGTGTAAGTTGTAGGCTTGTGGTTCCTTCTGACTTCTTGTGTCTTCTCCCTAGGGGCAATGATGGTGCTGGGGTGTGATGTTTTCAGTATGAAGTTGTGCTTGGAGGCAGTGGCAAGAGCCAGTGGGAGCTTTTCATGGAGCAGGCTGCATTAACCCACGCGCTGTGTGCCTCCTGAAGCTGTGGCAGTAGTGGCGTGACACCTGCCTTCCTGGGAGCCTGGGAAGAACCCCAGGAAGAGACAGTGAAGATTGCATCTCTTGTGGGAGATAGAAAAGAGTTCAGTTTAGTATTGGCAGTGATAAATGCTTGCTGTGTAGGCAAACAGAATGATGAAACAGAAGACATTAAAGACCTCTTTCTCCCCCTAATTAGGATAGGTTCTAGACATTTGGCCTGTGTCAGAGAAACAGCCCTGGCACTGAACCATGGAAACTAACATTTATTTCGCACCTACTATGAGCCAGATCTCTAGCCGGGCGATTTACATGAAGACACTGATGCGTAGTGACAGTAAGTGAGTTTCTTCACTGAGTGGCAGAACTACTCATTGAACCTAAATGGGTCTGACTCCAAGTCTTGAGACGTTTCCATCCTGAAAGCGTTCTACCTCAGGTCCTCAAGTAATCTCACCACACACGGTGGTCTAGGTCATGTCTGCACCCTGTTGTTGGAGATTTTGAACCAGAGGAAGGGGTCACTCCGGCAGAGGTGGGGAGGTCACAGGATGACCTGGGCTTCCCCCTATGCTGTCCTCTCCTGGTTCTTTCCCTAGTGCACAGGAGATAAAGACACACAGCATTTGAGCTATAGTCAGGTCTGTGGCTGGTGAGCCCCAGACTTTACAGTGCAGTGGAAAGGGGGTGTTTGTCCTGTTGGAAGAACAGATTCTAGGGCCCACCCCCAGAGGTTTGGATTCAGTGGGCTGGGTGGGACCAAGGTGGTCTGCAGGATAATTCAGATTGAGGTCTCTGTACATGACATCCTGAGAAACGCTGACTTAGGCCCTCCGGTTTTCAGTCTTGGCTCCTCCTGGGCCTCTGCATACATTTGTGGCAGACCTAGAAATGATATCGTCAGGTGAGTGTATGTATGCAGGACAGGCATTGGAGATGAGCCAGAGGGCAGGAGGTGGGCCTTGGCCGTGACCATGAAGAGGGAGAAGGGAGAAGGTTAGAGGTATCCAGAACCCAGGAACTGGGGTTACGCAGCTCTCAGATTATACTCCATGCTCATCCGAACTGCGACTTCAGATACAGCAGCATCAGATGGGAGACGTGCTGGGAGTGCGTAACGCTCGCTGCTTCCCGTGCATGTGCCTCACTCACTTCTGTGAACTTCCTCAAAGTCAGTTTTATCATCTACTTTTATGGAATTGAAAACTGAGGAGACCTAACACCGTTTTTAAAAATTATCCTAAGGCCAGGCACGGTGGCTCGCACCTGTAATCCCAGCACTTTGGGAGGTCAAGGCACCTGAGGTAAGGAGTTTGAGACCATGTGGTGAAACTCCGTTTCTACTGAAAGTACAAAAATTAGCCAGGCGTGGTGGCGCATGCCTGTAATCCCAGCTACTCAGGAGGCTGAGGCAGGAGAATCTCTTGAACCCGGGAGGCAGAGGTTGCTATGAGCTGAGATCACGCCACTGCACTCCAGCCTGGGCCACAGAGTGAGACTCTTTCTCAAAAAAAAAAAAAAAAAAATCCAACAGTCCGAGCGCAGCAGTCTCCCCCTAACCTCAAAAGCCTCCTCAGAAGTAACCTGGTATCAGTGGGCTGTGCAGATTCTTATAGTCTTCTTTGCCTTTATATATGAAAATAACTTTGTTTTATGTTTGTTTTCACATAGGTGGAATTATACTGACTCTTACTCTGTGACTTGCTTTCTTCACATGACAGTAACTCCTGGACTGTTTCTGTAGCAGCCACACAAGTCTCCTTTATATTGCCAATATCTATCTTTATCCCAAAGACAAGATGAATGTTCAAAAACGGTAATCCAAACTCACTTCTAAAAATGGGTGTGTGTTTAAAGAAGAGCTGCTCAGCTGAGGCAGTTTTGCTGCCGAGGGGATTTGAGCAATGTCTGGGGACGTGTGGTTGTCACAACTTGTGAGGGGGCTCCTGGCATTGAGGAGGTAGAAGGCGGGAATGCACAGGTCAGGCCCCTGCAACAAGGAATTGTCAGGCCCAAAATGCCAATGGTGGCAACACTGAGAAAATGTGATCGGTTTAAACCTGCTTATCTTAATGGTGTTTCAACAGCCTTATTAAGGGGCTTGACCAATATGTAGTTTATCAACACCAGCCTTTGGTGTAGTGGGGTGAGTTGTGCTCCTGTTGGAGAAGCAGATTCTAGGGCCCCACCCACAGAGTGCATACTTGAGAGGCAGAGGTGTGAACATTGCCCTTGAGCTCAGGAGCTCCACAGCAGCCTGAGCAACATACTGAGAGCCCATCTCCTAAAAAACAAAAACAAAAAAGTGCTGAATAATAAGTCCATTTTAAACATATGATAAGATTTCAGATTTTCTGAGGAAAAAATTAATTAGACTTGGCTTCTTCTCTGACTTGAAATTAGCAATACTTTTATACATCTCAAAGTGTGGTTTATGAAAGAGGCAAAATTGTCAATGACTACTTGTTGAATTTTGCTTCCTAACCATGTAATGGGGACAAGTGTTTCCGAAAACATGTTTTATATGGTTAGTTTTCCTGCAGATGGGAATTGTTCGCTGAATTATACTTTGTCCACTTAGGCTTAGGTAGATATGGATTCTGTGAAAGTGGAAATCATTGAACAGTTTAAATACTGGATTAAAAGAAAAGGAACTATGGTAATTGCAGATCTGTTAGATGGAATCTGTCGTGCCCTAATAAGAGTGATAAGGAAGACCATTAACTGTTGGAAGCAAGTTGTTGGGTTCGAGGTTGGGAATTGGGCATGATTTGTTTCCTGTGTCACTGCTTAGGTTAATTTACTCAGACTGCCATTTTTGTGTTGGAAGGAAATAAGGTCTAGGCCCTAAGCTTAGACTGTCTTCATGCCTAAAGAAGTCCAACCATTCATTATTACTTCGCTAAAGGATGCATTAACATGAATATATATAATAAAGATAATGACTCCTTTTTTCTCAACAAATTTTAAATTAACTTAAACATGCCTGATTTTCAGAAAGAATTAAAAGTAAAACCATACCTTTAATTTAGGACTGACTTCTGCATTTCGATTGTAGATTATTCTAATATGAAGAGTGCTATTTGCATGTTGGAATATCTTTTAATTCTTAATTTGTAAGTTACAAAGAAATAGGAGACTGAAATACTTTTTATCTTACAAAATTCCAAATACCTTTTCAAGCAATTTATATCTTATTTCTATAATAGTTTTATCACCAGCCAATGGGTATGCACTGTATGTCATAATATGGAAAGAAATTCTTTATCATTTCAGATATTAAGGATTTCAGATTTTAAGAGTTATCAGTGAAACTGTGTTACAAGAATATTTTGTTCCTGAGACATCTCAGTATTATAGGTGGCTTCAGACTAACAGGCACAGAATAGGATAGTGTGAAGTATCTGATTAGCTTTACTGTACTTGGTACCTTTAGGACGTTCAGCCAGAGGTGATTGGAGGGATTTGCACGTCTACCACTCGTGTGTGTATCTGTGAACCATATCTCCTTTAGTGCCTGCTTTTGAACTTTATATAAACAGAATGATGCTGCCTGTTTATTTCTATAATTTTCTTCTTTCCCTTAGCATGTGCTGTTCTTGGCCCCTTGCTTCTCCATGTGAATTTTGGAAAAGCTTCTGAAGTTCCACCAAAAACCCTATTTGGAATTGTTACTGGTACTGCATTGAGTTTCTATGCCAGAGAACTGACATCTTTGTGACATTGAATTTTTCTTGCTAAGATCCAAGGTCTTCCTTTATGCAGACCTTTCACATGTATTTTTAACAGTTTTGTAACACGAATCTTCTTTGCTGTCTTGTCATGTAATGCTTTGCCGGGGAGTGGTGGTCCATCTTACTCTGTAGAGGACATTTCTTTCTTTTTTTAGTGAAGTAAATGTAGGTGGTGCTTATGAGTTGTTTTAATTTCTAGTTTGTCTTTGTTTGCAGGGGGAAGTGATAATTTAAAATTGTGTTGTAAGAAAATTGGCCAATTTTCACCATGGTATTTAATTTAGAAAAATATAAGTCACTTGCAGGTAATTTAGTCAGTTTGGGCATTTTGATATTAAGTAAACAATTCCAGTATAATAACATAAATGCTTTCCTAGATGTTTACATATAATGCCATAATTATGTAAATAAATAAAATTCATTTAATTACATTAAATTTTTTTAATGTTTACATTAAAAAAAGGGGGGGAGAAGCAACTAATTCAGCATTCGGGCACAAGTATTTTATATGGTCATGGTCAGAGAGCCCTCCAGGTATTCGACATGGTAGCATGGCCACAGGCCCAGGACTGAATAGACTGGTTTGAGGAAAGAGAAGGTTAAACACACTGATTTATACCTGAGAAATACATTTTGGTGGGCCAAAAATAATTGAGTGTATCGGATGGAACTAACAAAAGCTTTCTTTTACTAACCAGTTTTGCAGGAAAAACATGTTTTAAAATATGTAGATATGCATTATAACTTCTATTTAAATACAGCTGAGGTTGAATTTCTCAGGACCCCTTTCAGCAAAGATGGCCCTTTGCTTCTGCTTTTCCTGTCCGTCCTGGATGTTCTAATCCCAGCACCCGAAGGTTACTGCAAGCTGAGTGGCACCAAAGCAACACCGTAGCCAATGAAAGTACATCATCATTGGTGTGCAGGTTCTGGTCAGTGTTACCAACATGAGTTAATATCTTTGAAGTAAAAGCACATAGCGATGTCATGTTTTCCCAGTATTCTGTGGGTATTTTATGACCTGCAACTTAGGAAAGCAAATTGTGAAAAAGAAAACTTGTTGTGTTCTCCTATAACAAGGTCACAAGGGAATCCTGCAGCGATTATGTTCTTCACTAGCTGTAAGAGAGCAATCTGTGCTCTTGGTTTTGACTCAGCTGGTCTTTATTGAATGACTATTGTGTGGCTCCCAGCTGTGGTAGGAATGTGAAGGACAGCGAGGCAGTGCCTGCCGTGGAGCGCCTGCATGCTAACGGTGGACAGAGGAGAGCAGGCTCACCGTTACACTGCAAGGTGACCTTGGAAGGTGCAGGGAGAGAAACACAAGGGAGGAACCACAGAGACTCCAGAACAACATCTTGCCCAGTCAAGAACTAGAACAGGAATCCTAGAGAAAGGTGAATTTTGAAAGATGGGTATGATTTTGGCAGCTAGAGATGGGGGCGGGGAGGTTGTTGGGTTTCTCAGAAGAAGGAAAAGGTCTGGAGGTGGGAAGGGGCTGGGTGAATTTGGTGACCAGCCAGGAGTCTGATGTCACCAAGTCACAGGGATGAAAGAGAAAGGCAGGGGAAGTGAGTTTGCGCAGGCGGGCTGAGGCCATGTAGGGGCAGGCTGGAGTAGGGGCCGGGAGCCTTAGGGGGTGACAGGAGAGGTTTTCCCACCTTTTTTCTCTACTCCTTCCCCAGTCACCTTCCCCTGTCCCAGCGACATCACACATGCATTCTTTCTGTCTTCCCCTTGCCTCTCCCTCCTCCACTTTGTCTTCTTCCCCAGCCCTCAGAATCAGTTCAGATGCCATTGTCTCTGGAAGTACCCCAGAACCCAGCAGTTGGAACTCATCTCTCCTTGCTCTGTTCCCACAGCGGCTGCCTCACCAAGAGTCATTCCAGCACTCAGCAAGCTGGCTCACGTGATGGCTATTCCCACCTGCAGCACCCTTCACCAGGCTGCAGGGCTTCTCACCCCAGTGGTCCCAGGAGAGTGGCTTGAAAGCAGATCATCCTCAACCTGTGTTTGTTGAATGAATAAATAAGGGATCCCTATTTATAAGCACGTTTTTCTTGGAGATGGAGTCTTTCTCTATCTCCCAGGCTGGAGTGCAGTAGCGCGATCTTGGCTAACTGCAAGCTCCGCCTCCTGGGTTCACGCCATTCTCCTGCCTTGGCCTCCCGAGTAGCTGGGACTAAAGGCACCCGCCACCATGCCCAGCTAATTTTTTGTATTTTTAGTAGAGACGGGGTTTCACCATGTTAGCCAGGATGGTCTCGATCTCCTGACCTTGTGATCCGCCTGCCTCGGCCTCCCAAAGTACTGGGATTACAGGCGTGAGCCACCACGCCTGGCCAACACCTTTTTTTTTTTTTGTATATTTTGTATAAAGAGATATGCCATGGAGAGCAAAGTGGTGGAAATTCTAAAAGACTTTAATGATCAGATGAAGAAATTGTTTAGAGAAGCATAATATACGTGCTCTGTCTTAGTTTGAGAATACTGACCACAGTTTGGCTCTCCTAGCCCTTTGCCTGAGCAAAACCCACAACCCTTCCTCCACACCCAGACCATGTTCCAAGCCACAACCCATTGCTCCAGCTTTCCTAACCTGCCTGCGAATGTGCTGCCTGTTACACGAGGGAGCAGATACAGTGAGGCAAGGACAACTAACAGCACCCAAAAGCAAGGGCAGTGGATTTCCCTCTGCTTTATTTAAAACTCCCCTTCTTAGGAAAGTTCACTCGCATGATCTAAGCACATTCAATGGCTTTTCACACATGAGCAGAGTTTCATTCTTTTACATGAATCGAAATTGGGCTTAAAATCATTTTAGATACAGCCATCTTGGTTCCCATACTTTCTACTCATGAAAGATTTTATATCAGTGGTCAGGATGATAAAATCTGTACATCTTTATGTCTGAACCTGTTCATTTATATCCACATCCTTTTCTTAAATACTGATTTGTATATTTAGAAACTCAGTGCTTCATTAGTAAACTGAGGGAGTTAGAGTAAAGGATCTCCAAGATCACTCTGCCAGCATTTGAGAAAGAACCTATTATTATATGACTATAGGAATTTATTTTTGTCCAAGAGCCAATGCCTAATCTTTAATGGTTTTGTGTTTAGACTATTTACCACTAGGTGGCGGTAAAAAAAATTATTCTTAGCAATGAGAAATGCTCATCAATATTTAAGTTTACTATAAAATAAAAATTTAGAGGACCAAAGTTTGAGGTGTCTGTTTGAAAACTACGTAACCATATACTGGCCTCTGTATGTTGTTTCTAGGACTTAACACTTATTTTATTCAGGGAAAAAACTCTTGTGGCACTTCATAGCCACTTATATTACAGAATTATGGAAAAACGTAAATTAAAATATGTAATTTTGTTTCATACACACACACACACACACACACACACACACAATGTGTACGTGTGTGTGTGTGTATGTGTATATATAGAGAGGAGAGAGAAAGGTTAGGTACATTCAAGGTTTCCGGCATCCACTGAGGGTCTTGGAGTGTATCCCTTGCAGATAAGTGAGATACTACATTTTCATTTTTCCAGGACATTATATGTTAAAGTCAGCTCGTGCAATGCAGACATTGGAAGTTTAGTCATGTGCCTTATAATGACATGTTGATCAACAACAGCCTGCATGTACAATAGTGGTCTCATAAGATTATAATGGAGCTGAAAAGTGTCTATGACCTAGGGACATCATAGGTGTTATAATGTAGTATAACACATTGTTCACATGTTTGTGGTGATTCTAGGTAAACAAACATCCTGTGCTGCTAGTCATAGAAAAGGATAACACATATAATTATATATAGTACATAATTACTTGATAATAATAAATGGCTGTGTTATTGGTTTATGTACTTAACATACTATACTTTTTGTTATTTTAGAGTGTACTACTTATTTAAAAAAAAAAAAAGTTGGCCAGATGTGGTGGCTCATGCCTATAATCCCAGTGCTTTGGGAGACCAAGGCAGAAGGATCACTTTAGGCCAGGAGTTTGAGACCAGCCTGAGTGACATACTGAGACCTACCTCTACAAAAAATAAAATTAAATTTAAAAAATAAGCCTCAGCTTATTCAGTCTCAGCTACTTGAGAGGCTGAGGCGGGAAGATTGCTTGAACCCACGAGTTGAAAGTTGCAGCGAACTGTGATTGCTAGCCTGGGTGACAGAGCAGAGCAATACCCTGTCTCAAAAAAAAAAAAAAAAAAAAAAAAAGAGTTAACTGTAAGACAGCTTTAGGCAGGTCCTTCAGGAGGGATTCATTCCAGAAGAAGACATTGTTATTACAGGAGATGACAGCTCCACATATGTTATTGTTATTGCCCCTGAAGACCTTCCAGTGGGACAAGATGTGGAGGTAGAAGACAGTGATATTAATTACCTGACCCTGTGTAGGCCTCAGCTAATGTGTGTGCTTCAGTTTTTCTCTTTAATATTTAAATTTTTATTGATACATAATATGCATACAGAAGTACATGCACAAAGCATTAAGATAAAGCTCAGTGAATTATTACAAGGCAAATACATTTTTGTAACCACAAGATAGAATCAGCCTTGTTCATGCTTCTGACATCCACTTTCTTCCTTCTTCCTCTCCAAAGGTAGCCAAAATCTTAAGAGCTAATGTTATGGATAAACTTTGTCTTTTTAGACAAGTGTTTTATTACAGAACATTTTAAACATATACAAAATAAACAAAATGGTGTAATAGACCTGACACTCAGCCTCAACAACTACTCATCATGTGCTATTTCTGCTTCATCTATACTTCAGCTCATTCCCCATCCCTTTATTTTTTTATTTTTATAAGATAAGATGTATGTGCATTGACATGTATAATCTTTATTGTACCTTTTTGACAAATCAGTACACCCATATAACTTTTTATCCTCTTAAGAATAGAATACCGGCTGGGCATGGTGGCTCACACCTGTAATCCTAGCACTTTGGGAGGCTGAGGTGGGCAGATCACTTGAGGCCAGGAGTTCGAGACCAGCCTGGCCAACATGGTGAATCCTTATCTCCACTAAATACACAAAAATTAGCTGGGCGTGGTGGCACACACCTGTAATCCCAGCTACTCTGGAGGCTGAGGCAGGAGAATCACTTGAACCTGGGAGGCAGAGGTTGCAGTGAGCTAAGATTGTGCCATTGCACGCCAGCCTGGGTGACAGAGCTAGTAACAATCATTAATGTGCATATGAATCACCTGGAAATATTATTTTAAATCCAGATTTTAATGAAATAGGTCAGATTTTGATAAAATAGGTCAGGGTTTTGTCTGAGAGTTTGTATTTCTAACAAAGTACAGATTCATAGAGCACATGCTAACTACAAGGTCTCTTTTATCTAAAGTAAATAAAATTTGATGAATAAACTAAGGGAAATTGACCTTAGATGAAAGAACACATCAAAACACATGTGCAATATGCTATCTGTAGGAGCATTTGGTTAACGAGCATAAACCAACCAAGCAATTTTATAATTATTTTAATCCAAAGTTAGCGAAATCTCTATTATGGTTTCCATGGAAATGCTCCTTCAGGCTAAGAAATGTTAGTATCACCAGAGGGCACTGGTTAAAAACACCACAGATTTGGAAGTCGATGTCTTATAAAGTAAGTGACAGACCCCTCTTTACACCCATAAGTGGCTTTTACAGAGTTACCCAAAATTCAGTCATTTGTACACCAAGTGTAGATAATTTTCATAGCTTCCTATTAAAATTATATTTTAACGCCCTTACAAAATTTAACTCAATTTTCTTATAAAATGAAATAACATTTTTATATGACATTGTTATTCAGCTTAAACATACATACTTGTATTGGGTGCTGTGTCCGTGTGTTGACCACCCAGTGTTCTTTGGGGTTCCACTCTTTGCACAGGCACCACAGCTGGAGAAACACAGACGCACAGACACAAGCTGGATCCTGCGTCTCTTCCTGCCTCCGGGCACAGGGCGCCAGTCAGCCTGGTTGTGCGAATGGAGGTCGTGTTCCTTAGCACAGAGGGACTCATTCCAGGGCGCTCCCCTCAGAGGAGGAAGAGACCGGAAGGTCGTTTTAGGGGGCACTTCCTGGGACATGGGCCAAGCCTCCTAAGGAGTGAGGGCTCCAACCAGCAGGTACAGACCTCTCAGAAGTCAGGGATAAGGCGGCCATTCTGAACCTGGATCTCCACCACCCCTTGTCCCATCTCATCAAGACAGTTCTGAGGGGCTATTCTGGCACATGTCTGGACGTTAGAGGCTGGAGGACAATGTGGGCTTTGATGGGATTCAGATAAGGTCTGTTCCAGGGAGGCAGGAGGTTGATGCTCAGCATCTGGGATGGTGTCCTTGTGGACAGTGAGTTGCCTCTTTGGGTACAAGTCCATTTTCACTACAGAAGAGACTAGAGCAGGGGTGTCCAATCTTTTGACTTTCCTGGGCTACATTGGAAGAATTGTCTTGGTCCACACATTAAATACACTAACACTAGTGATAGTTGATGAGCTTAAAAAAAAAAAGCAAAAAATAATCTTATAATGTTTTAAGAAAGTTTACAAATTTGTGTTGAGCTGTGCACTGACAAGCTTGGGCTGGAGAGTCTGAACGGCTCCCCGATCCCCTCTCTGATTCTCTTTGGCAGCAAGGCCTTGAAGGGGCTGAGTCTCAGTGTCTTGGGGGAATTCTGGAAAGCCTGTTTGGGAACCTGAGAAGACCTCTTGCCTGGAGCTTGAATGCTTGATTTGCTGTCCTGGCCACATGCATGCTTGGCAGCCAGAGAGCGGGGTTTGCATTCACACCAGCACAACAGTGAGCCAGGGGTTGAAGTGACCAGGACAAGTGTCTGGGTGGCAGTGTGCCTCAGTTTTTAACAAAAAAGTTTAAAAAGTAAAAAAAAATTAAAAAATTAAAATAGAAAAGCTTATGATATAAGGATATAGTGAAAGAAGATATTTTTGTACCGCTGTACAATGTGTTTTAGGCAAAGCATTGATTGTAATAGTCCAAAAGTTCAACAAAAATAAAAGGTTTATCAAATTTGAAAGTTGCGGTAAGCTAAGAATAGTTTATTGCTGAAGAAAGAAACAAGTTTTTAAGAATTTAGTGTAGCCTAAGTGTACAGTGTCTGTGAAGTCTACAGTGGTGCAGAGTCATGTCTTCGGCCTTCATATTCACTCCCCATTTACTCACCCAGAGCAACTTCCAGTTCTTCAGGCTCCATTCATGGGAAGTGTCCTATACAGGTGTACCATTTTTTCAGTGTTATACCATAGTTTTACTGTACCTTTTCTATGTTTAGATAGGTTTAGATCACAATGTTACAGTATTCTGTACAGTCCCATGCTGCACAGGTTTGTAGCCCAGGAGCAATAGGCTCTCCCATGTAGCCTAGGTGTGCAGCAGGCTGAGCCATCTGGGTTCATGTAAGTACACTCTGTGATGTTTGCACGCAAAGAAACTGCCTAACGAAGCATTTCTCAGAATGTATCCCAGTTGCTAAGTGATACATGACTGTAATATCTAGGGAACTATTTGTGGCTATTTTAAACATTACTTAAGAATTATTTACAATCTCTCATCTCACCCTCTGAATCTATCAAATGTCAAGACGGAGCTCATACAGTATTGGGAAGTCACCCTCCGTGAGCTGGTCCCAGGCCCAGGGTGTGAGTGCTTCTGGGAGGCTGTGGGTTAGGGGAAAGCCTGGGCATGGTTTTGTTTAACATCTACAATCTTAACTGACCCTTAGCTGTTACTGCTCAAAACTGGTTTCCTTCAATTACATACTACATTACTTTCCATCTCAACCAGGTTTGTAGCGCCTTGCGCTCTAATTTTTTAAGGGTGGATTGTGATATACAATAACAGTAGCCACCTGTTTATGGGTGGCTTAATTGAAACTTTGCTGAATTGAATTTGATTAAAAACTGAGCCTGGGATTTTCAGTGAGATGCCACACTTAGAGAACATAGTGCCTCACACATTGTAAGCACTTGGTAAATTGTGGTTGTCACAATTGCTAGAATTCCTTCAAGAAGTCAATTCTCACAAGTGAGGGGCATAGGAGAGCTCCCCAGGCAGAGGGGATTGGACATACTGAAGTCCTGATGGCCCAAAAAGCCTGTGGCCCTCCAGGGTCGCAAACAGGCTTGTAAGGAGAAGTCAAGCCTGGTGGCGGGTGTGGGGTGTGCTGGTGAGCCAGGCTGCTTCACTTTGAGAAGTTTGGGCTTCACAGTAAGAGTAACTGGAAGCTGTAAGGGTCTCAGACTGAGAGCATTCAGATTTGCATTGTTAAAAACTATCCCAACAGTCTCATGGACAGTGGATACAGGGAGGTTCATTATAAGGTTTGGCCATAGAGTAAATAACTAGCCTTGGGCAGGCTGCTTAAACTGTCTTGATTTCCTCCTCTTTAACCCAGATTCAGTAACAGTACCTACCCGTAGGCTGTGAGGATTAAATGAGTTGCTATTTGTAATTGGCTTAGAACAGCCCCTGGTGTGTAGTAAATGCTTTAAATGAGTGTTAAATAGAATGCAAAAGTCTGGTTTCTGAGCAGAAGGTTGCATTCTTCTGACACTGCCCTCCCCTCACCTAGCATCAGACTGACCTGCTCTGTGCAAACCCAGACTGCTGCCGACTTGGAGCCCACCTACTTTCCAAACCAAGTCCTCCCTTCTCTGCCTGGGTCTGACTTGGACACCTCCGCGTGGATTTGACATATGGCTGGCCAGACCTGGCCGGGCTTTCCCTTTTCCCAGAACACCTGCACTGCACCCCACTGGGGATTCAGGCTCCATCCTGGCTTGCTAAGAGCACCAAGTGCTCTCCCTGCTGTGCAGGCCCCACCCTCCGCCTTCGCAAGTTCAGTGGAGTCCAGCAGTAAGCGCAGCTGGCAGTAAGCACTTCCACAGATGGCACGCTGGCTTGTACCTGAGCTCCCTGACTCTGCCCACCCAGCCATGGCTGCTCCCTCTCTCTCCCAGATTGCACTTGGTGTTGGAAGAGAACACCACCAACATGGAGACGAACTCTCTTGGGGCTATGGTCAGCTCCTATTTGCTTTCTGTATTTGCGGCAGATTTGAACTGAAAGAGGGAAAAAACAATAACAAGCAAGTGGCCCCATCCTTCTCTCTACCTTAAGCAAGGTTCACTCTAACTCTCTAACTCTGTAAGGTTCCTGTTTTTACCCCTTTCCAGTGGATTCATTTTTTTGTAAATCATGTAGTACATATTACTGGGGGTTTTTTGTTGTTGTTTTTATTAATCATGAACGTCTTCTACTGAGTAGTAATGTTTTAAAGCTACTTTGTTAACTTGCAATTCTAATTTGAAAACTGTAGATAGGATGTCATGTAGAAATGGCAGGTTTCCACTTACATGACTTAGGAGTGTTGCCTGGATTCTCTTTTAAGGATACGGAGGCAGGGGTGAGCTCACAGGGAGAAAGTACATGATCTGCACAAAAGGATGCATCCCAGATTCAGGGTAGAGTTTCCCCCAGGGGTAGGGCTGTTGAATCATGATGGGGAAGGGCAGAGGGCATAGAAGGCTTCTTCTGTATTTCTAATGTTTACTGATTAAGCTTGAAGGTTTGTGGAATTTGACATAATATTTTGTATCTTTTTGGATGTGTGAGATACTTTATGATGAAATTGAAATGACCACCGTGATAATGGTAACCACTCAGAGTGTCACTGGTATGTGTGCCACGTGCTTGTCGTCCCGGGTCTATGGAGCCTGCCTGCCCATCACTGAGGCACCCTTAGCCTCCACCCTGGATTAGACTGTCATCTCCAAGTATTTGTGTATGAAGTTACATACATACATTTATATGCACAGATGCAAATTCATTTTATCTTGTAATGTGTTATCACAAAATGCAGTATAGGACTTTTTTAAAGATCAAATATTTCCAAATAAAACTTTTTCAAAAAATATTTTTCCTGGTAGTAAAAGAAGCACATACATGTATGGAAGGCTAGGAAATTGTACTTAAGTAGAAAGAAGAAGAAAAAAAATATATATATATAATGTTAATATAAATGTTAGCAGTCTCTAGGGTGGTACTATTATGGGTCTCTAGCACCACCCTAGAAACTGCTAACATTTGGTGATAGCTGTGATCTAAATATATCCCCTAAAATTCATGTGTTGAAACTTAATCACCCATGTGATAATATTAAGAGGGGCTTTGGGGGTGATTAAGTCATGAGGGCAGAGCTCTCATGAATGAGACTGGTGATTTTATAAGAGGTGGAAGAGAGTGCCCTGGGCCCTTTTTGCCCTTCTGTCCCTTTCACCATGTGAAGACACAGCATTCATAGTGTCCGTTTCCTCTAGAGGGCACAGCAACAGGGCATCACCTTGGAAGCCTTCAGCAAACACTGAACCTGCCAGCTCCTTGGTTCTGGACTTCCCAGCCTCCAGAACTGAGACATAAAGTTTTGCTCTTATAAATGACCCAGTCTGAGGTACTTTGCCATAGCAGCACAGACTAAGACAGTGATGTTTTCTTCCATTGTTTTTCCATTCTCATTTATGGATTATTTTTATATTGATGAGATCATTTCTGAGTATAACATTTTACATCTTTCTTCATTTAGTAGTATAATATAACCATTTTAAATACTATTAAAATTATTCATAAACTTTTCTTTTCCTTGGAGACAGGGTCTCACTCTCAACTCCCAGCCTGGAGTGCAGAGCCTCAATTTCTGGAGCTCGAGTGATCCTCCTGCCTCAGCCTCCTGAGTAGCTGGGACCACAGATGTGCACCACCATGCCCAGCTAATTTTTTTGTATTTTTTATAGAGGTGGGATTTCTCTGTGTTGCCCAGGCTAGTCTCGAACTCCTGGGCTCAAGTGATCTGCCCGTCTCGGCCTTCCAAAGTGCTGTGATTATAGGTGTGAGCCACCGTGCCTGGCCCCTTTGTAAACATTTTAGTGGCTTACAGTGAGCCACTATATAAGCATATTAATCATTCTCTGCTGTTAGACAATTTTTACTATATGAGAAATAACCACTATAGTGAACATCTTCGAGCATAGTTCCTGTCATCATATTTGCATTTATTTCCTTAAATGTATGCCACATATATCAAAGGTTCTGAATATTTTGAAGACATTTAATATATTTTTTTCAAGTTGCTTTCTATAAGGCAGGGCCTCTGTTAGCCCGTAATCGGTCTTTGTTCAGGTGACAAACCTCTAGGCAGACACACCCCTGGAAGTCCAAGCTTCATGATGGGTTCCGGGCTGTGTTGCCTCTGCTCACACTTTGGGCGCCTCGGTGCCATTCACAACTGCACTCTGTATGGAAGACCCTATTTCTATTCCTCCAGGAGCTCACACAGAGTACATGTTTCATAGAACCCCATACAGCTTAGCTATTCATGTCTGTAAAAAACTTGAATTCATTAAGTGAAAGTGCCATACAGGTGTTTTACCCTACCCTTTTTGATTATGGAGGATGAACATTCATTTATGTGTTTCTTAGCTATTTGTATTTTATGAATTATCTATTCATATTCATTGTTATGCTCTTAGTGTTTGTCGTATATTTTGTACATTAATTTGATAATATAGAATCTGTACTGTTTGTTGTTAACATTCTTCTTAGTTTGTGCTCATATTATTTTTCTGGTAAACACAAGATTTTATTTTTATTGAGCACAGCCAAGCCTCTTCCCTGATGATTTACTCCCAGGATTTTCAGTTCTCAGAGTTCTTTCTCATTCAGATACTTGAAAAATGTTCATGTTTTCTTCTTGTGTATTATTTCATTTTTACATTTATCTCTTTGATTTACATTAAACTGGAGTATATTTTGATGAATAATACCCGGTGAGAATCTTTTTTTCTTTTTACAGATAGTTTTTGAGGCACCATTTATTACATAATCTGTCCTTTCCCTACTGATTTGTGATGTGTTCTCTATCTTATATTAAATTCTAATATCTGGATCCTTTTGTAGTTCATGAGCGTGATGATTGGGTGTTTCACGCATGTGTGTGCAATGTGCCACCCTTGAACCTTGTATGACATCGGCACGTTACCCATCTGACCTCAAAAAAAAAGCAAAGAAAAATTATCATCTCTGTTAAACATATTTTACTGAGTTTAAAAACAATAAAGATTCCATTCTTAATATAGGTAAAGCACTGCTCATTGATGATATATATTTTTGTTTCACTGCTAATGTTTGTTTAAATTGACTTCTTTTTAATGTGTTAACTTTAATGCTAACATTTCTCTTTTACACTTTGAATCAAAGTAAATTGGGTACTTTGACAAACAGATTTTTTTGTTTCATAGAGACCACCCCCATGTACAAATAAATTGTAGGCATTGTACATAAAAGGCACTTGCATTTACTTTTAAAGAAGTTAACTTTTTCTGTTTATGTTTTTTAGGGTGTATTATCTCATATACTTTCAGCACTCAGATTTGATAAAGAAGTTGCTCTTTTCACTCAAGGTCTTGGGTATGCACCTATAGATTACTATCCTGGTTTGCTTAAAAATGTGAGTATTTAAAATTTATCACTTTTGAAATGTTTAATGCTGAATGTGCCATCAGCAAAAAGAGTAAATGGAAATATTTCAGTCCTCCAGAAGAGATGTTTAACTTTTCTTTGTTTATCTCTTCTTACCTTGGGCAGACTTATGGCCATGTACGGAAGAAATGTGAGATGGGAAGTTATGAGAAAGAAGGAAACCAGGAAGGGTTTTCCTAAACCAACCAATCAGCCTCTCTTTCTAGGGACACATCTCACTTATTCACTCAGAGATGTTTGGGAGAAGAGCTGTTCTTAGCTATTATAAACACAGTCTTGTACTGTTGAAAGAATCTTGTATTTCAAATAACCTGATTGGAATTTTCTGTTAAAGCAAAACAGAAAATTCAGTACATAGTTTTAAATATTTACCTCTTAATATTAAAGCATTGTTTTCTTCTGGCTTAAATTATAGCCAAATGTGAGAAATTTTAACTTACAAACTTGATGTAACTCTTCTAAAAAATGTTATGAGATTTTTTAATGTTTGTTAACCATTCCGGTGTTTTGGAAGCTTTGTACAATAACAACTTTTTTTTTTTTTTCAAATGAACTGAATTTTAAATGAAGAAGTAAACTAACTTTTCTTTAAATGGATTTGGTTTTAATTCTTAGGAAATTAATGACCTGTCTATTGTTCATTGCTTAAATAGGAATGCAGAATTATAGACATTAAACATAAAATCCCAATTATTAGTAAATGTGACATGGCACTGCTTCCTTTTCACTCTGACAGAGTGAAACATGAGAAGATGGGGGTTGGGGGAATCTCAACGGAAATATCACTCACACCAAGAAAAATAGAACTGATGTAATCCTGTTTGCAGCGTGAGTTAACCTGCAACTGATTTTGTTTTACAGATGGTTTTATCATTAGCGTCTGAACTCAGAGAGAATCATCTTAATGGATTTAACACTCAAAGGCGGTAGGTGTTAAACTAAACATCCTTCTTCTCAGGTTTCAAAATGTATCAGTTTGGTTATGAGAGGAAAATTTTACAATTCATAGGAAATGGATGTTCAGTTATGGTTGTATTTTATATAGAAAGATTATTTTAGTGGAATACATAGCAAATTGGTGAGTTTTTTCAAACTCTTTTAAAAATCACTATTTTCTCAACTCTCACAGAGCAGTAAGTAAATCATACAATGTCTTTTGTGGGCCCATTAGGTAGAAAGCCCTACATACACAGTAGGGAGCATAAAAGAAAGAGCAGTACTTAGTTTTACCCTGGGATTGCTCACTCTGCAAGAGGAGAATGTGCACAGATGCAAGTGTATGCTCTCACACTAGCCTGCCCTGGCTCTGCCTTCTTCTGCTCCCAACACACACACACACACACACACACACACACACACACACACACGATATTTACAAGGCAACATTTGATGTGAACATATGCCCTATTTTAAGAAACATGATATTCCAAAATCTAGACTAAACAAATCAAAGAGATTCAGACAAATTAAAAGGCAATTAATCACATTACAAATGTTTCTTCACTCTGTAAAAGAATCTCAGTTTTCATTGGTGGGCATTTCATTTTTGACATATCATTAACCAAGAGAATCTGGGACTGAGGGACTTGGTGATTTTTTTTTTTTTTTGTAAAGCTATTGCTAATTCAAGCTCTATCAGAAATTGTCTTTGTCCTCAACCTTTAGGAATCCTTTGCACCTAACCCTTAAACTATATAATTATTAGAGGAAAACATTGGAGATAATCTTCATTATGTTGGATTTGGCAATGTAAGAAGAACCATAGGAGACATGGAGAGTGTTTAGATTTATTTATTTACATGTCAGGTAAAGACTTGGATTTGGTTGTGAGGTGAATGTTGACTGATGGATCTTTTGAATTATGTAATTATAAATTTATTCAAAAAGACCTTAAAAATCAGTCAGTGCAGTGTGTATGTACTCCCTACACCAAACTCCCAAAATATGCATCACAGTTGATTTTTTAAAAAGCAGCTGACAATAAACAAAATAATTTTTAAAATCTGTTAACAAATAGAAACAAAGGATCAGAATGCAAAATATAGAAATGACTTGCAAAAATAAATCATAAAGAGGCAAACACTCCGTTATAGAAATGAGCAAGGAATATAAGCAGGTCATTACTAGAAGATGAAAACTGAATTAATAATAACATTAAAGGCGTTCTTCAGGAATGACATCAGCAAGATGGCAGAATAGGAAGTCCTAGACCTTATTTTCCAGTAGAGACATTGACTTAACTACAGCATACATCCCAAAAAATTATAGTGAGAACTACAGAACCAATTAAGAAGTCACAGTACTGCAGGCAAGCTCAAAGTCTAGAATAGCCACATTGAAATTGATTAAACAATCTGTTTCATGTCAACTGTGATAGCCCTTTTCCAGGTCTGGCAGCTTGGTGAGATTGGTAGGAAAAACCCAGCTTGTGGCTTCTCTTCCTTGGGAGGGAAAAAGAAGAGTGGAATGTGCATCCAACATTCTCACTTTTTAGGAAGCAGACTGAGGAACTGATTTCTGTCTCTACTGACCGGGAGCACTGATGAGGAAATCGCATACAGTAATCCCTCCTTATCTATAGGGAATATATTTCAAGACACCCAGTGGATGTCTGAAACTGTGGATAGTACCAAACCTGATTGCCACCAATCATAACACATTTCTGTATTCCACTCACAACTTTAATGTCTTTTCCATCGTAACTAAGCACTTATCATATATGATGGCTGTAATTTTTGCCATGTGAGATGCAACGACAAAACTAACAGAAATTTTTTTCCTTCTTTACAATTTCACAGATAGATGATTTGTTTTTACTATAGATCTCAGCAACCTCAGCATATGATTTTTTTCTTTCCTTATTAAGTTGAAAACTTTCACCTTTTCACTTAAAGAAAGCACTTTACAACTTCTCTGTGGCATATCCAAATTGCCAGCCCCAGTGCTCTTGGACTTTGAGGTCATTATTAAGTATTAATAAAATAAGAGTTACTTGAACACAAGCACAGTGATACTGTGACAGTTGATCTGACAACCAGTATGGCTACTAAGTGACTAACGAGCAGGTAGTGTATATATTATGGATACCCTGGGTAAAGGGATGATTCATGTTCCAGATGGGACAGAGTGGGACAGCATGAGATTTCATCATGCTACTCAGAACAGTACACAATTTAGGCCAGGTGCGGTGGCACATGCCTTTAATCCCAGCACTTTGGGAGGCTGAAGTAGGTAGATCACCCGATTTCAGGAGTTCAAGACGAGCCTGGCCAACATGTCAAAACCGCATCTCTACTAAAAGTACAAATTAGCTGGGCGTGGTGGCTTATGCCTGTAGTCCCAGCTACTCGGGAGGCTGAGGCAGGAGAATCACATGAACCTGGGAGGTGGAGGTTGCAGTGAGCTGATATTGCATCACTGCACTCCAGCCTGGGCAACAGAGCAAGGTGCCATCTCGAACAAAACAGTGCACAATTTAAAACCTTTGAATTATTTCTGGAATTTTTTCATTTAATATTTTTGGACCACGGGTGACCATGGCTAGCTCAAACTACAAAAAGTAAAACTGCAGATAAAGGAAGACTACTTTTGATGCCTTGGGGCCATGGAGAACAAAAGAAAGCTTAGTGGTTTGTGGTAGCACCAGAGAATTGACAGTGCTGCCGATGGAGGCTGGCATAGCTCAACAGAATTGGGAGGAAGCACTTAGCTCATGACCTGTTCTTTGGGAGGGGAAGAGAAGCCTCTGGCTTCTCAGGGGCCTACTAGAGGGACTGGTATCTGTCTTGCCTGACTCACAGCACTGACAGAGAAATGGCGTAGTTTGGAACAAGAGAGCTCAGCAGCTTGTTGCAGCACTGGAGAATCTGCAATACCACAAACGGACACTAGAGGGGAGGGGAAGATTAGGAGCTCTTGAAAAACCAGTAAAGCCCTCTAATTTGGAAATCACACGCATAAGCCCAGAGAAGATATATCCCTGGAAAAGGTTTGAGGGACCTCCAGAATGTCTAGCCGGGTCCACTGGTGAAAGCCTTCCTTTGTACCATGTTAGTCGATAAAGACTGAGAGAAGTAGATGTTTCTTTAAATGTACAAAATACAACAAAAATAACAAGACACAAAGTAAACCAGGGAAACGTGGCATAATCAAGGGATGAAAATAAATCTACAGAAACAGACCCTAAAGAAGCAGAGATCTATGCATTACCTGACTAAGTATTTGAAATAATTGCCTTAAGGGATCTCAAGGCACTACAAGAGAACACAGATAAACAACTAAATGAAATCAGGAAAACAATATGTGAGCAAAATGAGAATATCAACAAAGAGATGGAAACTAGAAAAGAACCAAACAGATATTCTGGAGCTAAAGAACCACAATAAGTGAATTGAAAAACTTACTAGAGGGGTTCAGCAGTAGACTTGATCAAACAGAAGAAAGGGTCAGAAAACTTAAACACAAATCATTTGAAATTATTAAGTCAGAGAAACAAAAAGAAAAAAGAATGAAGGAAAGTCAAGAAAGCCTAAGACACTTGTGGAACAACATCAAATGGAACAATACACACATTTTGTGAGTCCTAGAATAAGAGAGAAAGGGGCAGAGAACTTATTTGAAGAAATAATGGTGAAAACTTCCCAAATATTAGGAAGGAATTGGATATCCTAATTTCAGAAGCTCAGCAGACTCCAAAGAATGAACCCAAAGAGGCCTACAACAACATACACAAAAATCGGATTGTCAGAAGTTAAAGACATAATCTTGAAAGCAGCAAGAAAAAAGTGACTTGTCATGTACAAGGAAGGTTCCAGAAGATTATCAGTGGATTTCTCAGCAGAAATATTACAGGCCAGAAAGGAGTGGGATGATACATTCAAAGAGCCAGGGAGGAAACAAAACAAAACAAAAAACCCTTCCAATCAAGAATACTGCATCTGGGCTAAATCATCCTTCAAAAAATGAAGAAAAAAAGACATTCCCAGATAAACAAAAGCTGAAGGAGTTCATCACCATTAGACCTGCCTTACAAGAATTGCTAAAGGGAGTCCTTCAAGTTGAAATGAAAGAATATTAGCAACATGAAAGCATGCAAAAATATAAAGCCTTCTGGTAAATGTAAATATACAGACAAACACAAAATCTTATAATACCGTGTTGTATAGTACAGTTGTCCCTCAGTATCCAGAGAGGATTGGTTCCAGGACTTCCCACACATACCAAAATCTATAGATGCTCCAGTCCCATAGTAAACTGTATGGAACTTACAGATACAAACGTTCAATCTTTGGGTTCTACATCCTGCAAATACTATATTTTTGATCCATGATTTAGTTGAATCCATGGATACAGAACCCATAGATATAGAGGGCTGAGTGTACATAAATCACTTTTTAATTCTGGTATAGAACTTAAAAGATAAAAGTGTAAAAATAACTATTAAACTGTGTTGATAGATACAAAATAGAAAAGGATGTAATTTGTGATATTGATAACATAAACTGGGGAGGGAAATGTAAATGAGTAGAGTTTTAGTATGTGATTGAAGTTATCTCGTTAGGTTGTTATAACTCTAAGATGTTTAATGTAATGCCCATGGTAACAACAAGAAAATACCTGTAGGAGATGTACAATGGAAAATGAGAAGGAAAGCATGTCACTATGAAAAAAATCAATGAAACCCAAAGGAAGGGAATAAGAGAAAATCGTGAACAGAATAACTACTAGGTATATGGAAAACAACAAAATGGCAATAGTAAGTCCTTCTCTATCAGTAATTACTTTAGGTGAACATGAATTAAACACCCCATTCAAAAGATGTGGAATAGCAAAATAGATCAGAAAACAAGATCCAACTATATTCTAGCTACAAGAGACTCACTTGAGATACATAGGCTGAAAATGAAAAGATGGAAAAATGGCAACCAAAATAGAGCAGGCATAGCCATACTTATATCAAACTATCAAAAGAGACAAAGAAAAAGATTATATAATAATAAGAGTGTCAATTCAGGGAGATACAACAATTACAATAATATATGCACTTAACACAGCATCCAAATATATGAAGCAGATACCAATAGAATTGAAGGGAGAAAGAGACAGTAACACAATAATAATAGATTTCACCACCCCACTTTTAATAACATATTGATTAACCAGACTGAAGACCAATAAAAAAATAGAACTTGAATAATGCTGTGGACCAATTGGACCTAATAGGCATATAGAGAACATTCTACCCAATAACAGCAGAATATACACTCTTCTCAAGCACATATAGAACATTCTGTAGGAAAGACCACATGTTAGGCCACAGAACAAGTCTTAACAAATTTAAGAAGACTGAAATCATAGTAACTATTTTTTCTGACCACAAGGGAATAGAAATCAGTAACAAAAAGAAAATTGGAAAATTCACAAATATGTGGAAATTAACCCACTCTTAAACAACCAGTGAGTCAAAGAACAAATTACAAGAAACACAGACAATAACTTGAGACAAATGAAAATGAAAACCCAACATATCACAACCTATGGGATGCAGCAAAAGCAGTTCTAAGCAGGAAGTTTATAGTGGTAAATGCCTACATTAAAAAAGAAGAAAGTGTACATGCTTTTGAAGGAAGAAAAAAAAAGAAAATAAGAAGGATCTCAAATCAGAAACCTAACTTTACACCTCAAGCAACTAGAAAAAGAACAAACTAAACCTAAAGTTAAAAGGGAGAGACTAATAAAGATTAGAACAGAAATAAATAAAATAGAGAATAGAAGAAAAAACTAAGAGTTGGGTTTTTGTAAAGATCAGCAAAATTGACAATTCCTTAGACTAAGAAAAAAAAAGAGAAGACTTAATAGCAAAAATCAGGAATAAAGAATAGAAATTAAAACTGATGCCACAAAAATTAAAAAGATTGAGACTACTATGAACAATTATATACCAACAAATTGAATAACCTAGAATAAATAAATGTCTAAAAATATACAGCCTACACGACTGAATAATGAAGAAATAAAAACATCTGAACAGACCTACAACTAGTAAAGAGATTGAATTGGTTATTCAGAACCTTCCAACAAAGAAAAAAACCAGGACCAGATGGCTTCACTGGAGAATTCTATCAGACATTTAAAGAAGAATTAACACCAGTCTTTCTTAAAGTCTTCCAAAATATTGAAGAAGAGGGGACATTTCCAAACTCATTTTGTGAGCAAGCATTACCCTGACACGAAAATCAGGCAATGAAACTACATGAAAACAGATTAATATCCTTCGTGAATCATGATGGAAGGATTCTCAGCAAAAAGGGAATTCAACAATACGTTAAAAAGATATGTATAAACACCATGACTGAATGAAAATTATTCCTTGAATACAAGGATGGCTCAACATACAAAAATCACTATATTGCACCACATTAATAAAATGATGAACAAAAACCACATGGATCATCTTAATGCAGAAATGGCATATGACAAAACTCAATACTCACTTATGGTAAAACCTTAAACAAATTAGGAATAGAAGGAAATGACCTCAATGTAGTAAAGTAGTAAAGGCCATATTTGAAAAATCCATAGCTAACATCATACTCAGTGGTGAAAAAGGGAATGTTTTCCCGCTGAGATCAGGAACAAGGCAAGAATATCTTCATCCTCTCTTACCACTTGTATTTAATATAGTATCAGAAGTCCTTGTCAGAGGAATTGGGCAAGAAAAAGAAATAAAGGTCAACAGATGCTCCAAATTCTTTCCATCCAAATTGGAAAGGAAGGAATAAAATTGTCTCTGTTCACAGATGACATGATTTTATATGTTAATAATCCTAAAAGATTTCACACAAAAAAATTGTTAGAACTAATAAACTAATTCAACAAAGTTGCAGTATACAAAATCAACACACAAAACCAGTTGCATTGCTATACATTAATAAGAACAACCCAAAAAGGAAGTTTAAAAACAATCCTGCTTACAATAGCACCAAAAAGAATAAAATATTTAGGAATAAGCAACTAAGGAGGTGAAAGATTTGCACAGTGAAAGCTATACATTGCTAAAAGAAATTAAATAAGACATAAATAAATAAAAAGATATCCCATGTTCATAGATGGGTATGGTTTTTTTGGGGTTTGTTTGTTTGTTTATTTTTGTTTTGAGATGGAGTTTCGCTCTTGTTGCCCAGGCTGGCATGCGATGGCGCAATCTCGGCTCACTTTAACCTCCTCCTCCTGGATTCAAGCGATTCTCCTGCCTCAGCCTCCCGAGTAGCTGGGATTACAGGTGCACGCCACCATGCCCAGATGATTTTGTATTTTTAGTAGAGATGGGCTTTCTCCGTGTTGGTCATGCTGGTCTCGAACTCCTGACCTCAGGTGATCCACTTGCCTTGGCCTCCCAAAGTTCTGGGATTACAGGTGTAAGCCACTGCACCCAGCCTATGCTTAGTATTTTAAATGCCCGTACTACCCAAAGCAATCTTCAGGTTCCAGTGTTATTTCTATCAAAATGTCAGTGGCGTTTGGTTTTTCTTTTATTTTTTACAGAAATAGAAAAAGAATCCTTTAATGTATATAGAATCTCAAAGTACCCCAAGTAACCAAAACAATTTTGAGAAAGAAAAACAAGGTGGAAGCCTCATACTTCCTTTTTTCAAAGCATATTACAAAGCCACAGTAATCAAAACAGTGTGGTACTGGCATAAAGGCAGACATATTGACCATTAAAACAGAATAGAGAGCCCAGAAGTAAGGCTTCACATGGAAGATCAAATGGTCTTTGACAAGGGTATCCTGTCTATAAGATTGGGAAAAGATTGTCTCTTCAATAATTGGTGTTGGGAAAACTGGATATACACATTGAGAAAACAAATTTGAACCCTTACCTTTCATTATATATAAAAACTAACTCAAAATAGATGAAAGACCTAAACGTAAGACCTGAAACTGTAGGAGAAAAGTGTCATGGCATTGGACTTCGCAATGATCTTGGATATGACACCAAAAGCACAGGCAAGAAAAGCAAGAATAGACAAATAGGACTGCATGAAATTTTTAAGTGTCTGTGCAACAAAGGAAGCAATCAACAGATTAAAAAGCAGCCTATGTAATGGGAGAAAATATTTTCAAACCTTAAATCTGGATAAGTGATTAATATCCAGAATATACAGAGAATTCCTGCAACTCAACAACAGCAAAATAATCCAGTTTAAAAATAGGTCAAAGACTTGAATAGACATTTCTCCAAAGAATATATACAAATGACCAACAAGCATATGAAAAGATGCCCAACATCACCAGTTATCAGGGACATGATAATCAGAACCATAATAAGATACCAGTTCACACCTATTAGAATGGCCACTATCAAAAGAAGAAAGAGAAAATGACAAATATTGATGAGGATGTGGAGTACTTGGAACCCTTGTACACTGTTGCTAGGAATGTTAAACTAGTGCAGTCACTATGGAAAACAGTATGGAGTTTCCTTAAAAAATTAAAAATAGAATTACCAAATGATCCAGCAATCCCATATTTGTGTATATTTCCAAATAATTGGGAACAAAATCTCTAAGAGATATTTGCACACCCATGTTCATTGAGCATTATTTACAAGAGCCAAGAGGTGGAAGTAACCTATGTGTCCATCAGCGGACGAATGAATAAAGAAAATATGGTATATATACACATTGGAAGATTATTCCACCTTAGAAAAGAAGGAAGTCCTGTCATATGCTACAGTGTGGATGAAACTTAAGGACATTATGCAAAGTGAAGTAAACTAGTGACAGAAGGCAAATACTGCATGATTACTTACACTTATGTGTGGTATCTAAATTAGTCAAACTTGTAGAAACAGAAGCTAAGGGCAGGTGCAGTGGCTCACACCTGTAATCCCAGCACATTGGGAGGCCAAGGCAGGCGGATCACCGGAGGTCAGGAGTTTGAGACCAGCCTGGCCAACACGGCGAAACTCCATCTCTACTAAAAATACAAAAATTAGATGGGTGTGGTGGCGGGTGCCTGTAATCCTGGCTACCCAGGAGGCTGAGGCAGGAGAATCGCTTGAACCTGGGAAGCGGAGGTTGCAGTGAGCTGAGATCGTGCCATTGCACTCCAGCCTGGGTGACAGAGCAAGATTATGTCTCAAAAAAAAAAAAAAAAAGAAAAGAAAAGAAGCAGAAAGTAGAATAGTGGTTACCTTGGGATGGGAGGAAGAGGGAAATGGGAGTTGTTGTTCAATGGGTATAGAGTTTTGGTTTTGCAAGATATGAAAGTTTTAGAGATCTGTTGCATATAAGGACATATAGTTAACACTACTGTACTGTATAGTTAAAAATGGTTAAAATGGTAAATTGTATGTTAATGTGTTTTTCACCACAATTTAAAACTGGTCTATGAGCTTTTCTGTGCATTTTCAGGAAAGTGTAAACTAACAACATCAGTTAGACATCCATTAGGTTATGGTGAGCTTTAGGAGGTTGCTGATGGGAACATAAATAGGCACAACCACTTTGCAGAACAATTTGGTCTTCCTGGAATTTGGGATTCCTTGTTAGTCTCTCGATGAGTGCTCTGTTTACTGTAGCCTCCAATAATTATGGGAAGATCAAGAGGTAGTGTTGATTGAGGTTGCCAGTAAATTGTATTCTGGGCCTTAGAGGACTCCCATATTTCCTGGAGGTTGATAGCCATTTCGGGCTGGCTTCTCCTTCCAGGCCTCCTTCCTCCTTCCTCCTTCCTGTTGGAGTCAGGACATTTCTGTTATCTCTTGCCTAAAGACAGTGGATAAGAAGAAAGAGTGTATAATGTATAAGGCCTTGGCAGCTGGCTGTCAGGTTGCCCCCTGTTCCTTGAATTCATCCCCAAAGTAACTCTTATCTTTTATAGTAGTCCTCTCTTGGCAAGCTTTTAGGGCTGTGGTATTTTCCTTCAAAAAGATCCCACCTACCTACCATCAAGCTTTTCTCAGAATTCATGGGTCACCAAAAGCCCCCATTTTACAGTATTATATATTTAATTGTAAAAACTCTTCCATCATTGACATGATTGTATATTTAGAAAACCCCATTGTCTCAGCCCAAAATCTCTTTAAGCTGATAAGCAACTTCAGCAAAGTCTCAGGATACAAAATCAGTGTGCAAAAATCACAAGCATTCCTATACACCAATAACAGACAAACAGAGAGCCAAATCATGAGTGAACTCCCACTCACAATTGCTACAAAGAGAATAAAATACCTAGGAATACAACTTACAAAGGATGTGAAGGACCTCTTCAAGGAGAACTACAAACCACTGCTCAAGGAAATAAAAGAAGACACAAACAAACGGAAGAACATTCCATGCTCATGGATAGGAAGAATCAATATCATCAAAATGGCCATACTGCCCAAGGTAATTTATAGATTCAATGCCATCCCCATCAAGCTACCAATGACTTTCTTCACAGAATTGGAAAAAACTACTTTGAAGTTCATGTGGAACCAAAAAAGAGCCCACATTGCCAAGACAATCCTAAGCAAAAAGAACAAAGCTGGAGGCATCATGCTACCTGACTTCAAACTGTACTACAAGTCTGTAGTAACCAAAACAGCATGGTACTGGTACCAAAACAGAGATATAGACCAATGGAACAGAACAGAGGCCTCAGAAATAACACCACACATCTACAGCCATCCAATCTTTGACAAACCTGACAAAAGCAAGAAATGGGGAAAGGATTCCCTATTTAATAAATGGTGCTGGGAAAACTGGCTAGCCATATGTAGAAAGCTGAAACTGGATCCCTTCCTTACACCTTATATAAAAATTAATTCAAGATGGATTAAAGACTTAAATGTTAGACCTAAAACCATAAAAATCCTAGAAGAAAATCTAGGCAATACCATTCAGGACCTAGTCATGGACAAGGACTTCATGACTAAAACACCAAAAGCAATGGCAGCAAAAGCCAAAATAGACAAATGGGATCTAATTAAACTAAAGAGCTTCTGCACAGCAAAAGAAACTACCATCAGAGTGAACAGGCAACCTACAGAATGGGAGAAAATTTTTGCAATCTAGCCATCTGACAAAGGGCTAATATCCAGAATCTACAAAGAACTTAAACAAATTTACAAGAAGAAAACAAACAACCCCATCAAAAATTGGGCAAAAAATATGAACAGACACTCTCAAGACATTTATGCAGCCAACAGACACATGGAAAAATGCTCATCATCACTGGTCATGAGAGAAATGCAAATCAAAACCACAATGAGATACCATCTCACACCAGTTAGAATGGCGATCATTAAAAAGTCAGGAAACAACAGGTGCTGGAGAGGATGTGGAGAAATAGGAATGCTTTTGCACTGTTGATGGGAGTGTAAACTAGTTCAACCATTGTGGAAGACAGTGTGGCGATTCCTCAAGCATCTAGAACTAGAAATACCATTTGATCCAGCTATCCCATTACTGGGTATATACCCAAAGGATTATAAATCATGCTTCTATAAAGATACATGCACACGTATGTTTATTGCGGCACTATTCACAATAGCAAAGACTTGGAATGAACCTAAATGTCCATCAATGATAGACTGGATTAAGAAAATGTGGCACAAATACACCATGGAATGCTATGCAGCCATAAAAAAGGATGAGTTCATGTCCTTTGCATGGACATGGATGTAGCTGGAAACCATCATTCTGAGCAAACTCTCACAAGGACAGAAAACCAAACACCACATGTTCTCACTCACAGGTAGGAATTGAACAATGAGAACACTTGGACACAGGGTGGGGAACATCACACCCTGGGGCTTGTTGTGGAGTGGGGGGCAAGGGGAGGGATAGCATTAGGAGAAATACCCAATGTAAATGATGAGGTAATGGGTGCAGCAAACCAACATGGCACGTGTATACCTATGTAACAAACCTGCACGTTGTGCATGTGTACCCTAGAACTTGAAGTATAATTAAAAAAAAAAAGGTCAAAAAAAATTCTTCCATCATTTCTAGCAGTTGGGAGTATAGCATGAATGCTAGGACATCCGTGTCCTTAGTTCATTGCTTGATGCAGTCTCTTAGGTTACATTTTCATCTTATTTTCTCTTGACTAGATTAAGAGAGTCACCATTCTTCATAGGTCTTGCCTTTGAGTCCTCAGGATGTGTAGCAGTTCTACACCAGAGCTACTCAAAGTGTGGCCCTACCAATCAGCAGCATCAACATCCCTCGGGCAGAGACCAAGAAATATGACTTTTTAAAAACATCTGTCCAGACATACTCTCTGGAAGTTCAAGAAATGCTGCTCTACACTACTTCTTTAGAAGCAGTTCCCATAACTGCATATCAATCCCTGGTAACAATCTGAATACTTTATGGTGACATGATAGAATTTTATTTACGGTTTTTATTTTTGTTGATGAATTCCTATAAATTGTTAATATTTTTGCTGTATTCTTGATAATAGTAAATTCTCATAAAGATAATTTTTTGCCAAGCTACCCATAGTGATCTATTATGTGTGAACAGTTTGTCTTTTCTCCTCAAATATTCACCTTTTCTAAATTGTTCTTCCTGTTCTCTACCGCTTCTTAAGTGGCAGATATCCTTTCAACATTTACCTTCCATAGTGCTTTATCATCGTTCTCTTACCACCAAGATGGTTTTAGATCTAAAATTAATTAATATGCTTTTTGAGTCTATCATCTAAGTTGTTAACAAAAAGACACATTTAGCATGAGTTGTAAATATCTTAAATTTTTGGAATATATGAGCTTAGTGGGTGGGCTGGTAGAGGAAGAGGTATGTGGGGGTGTGTGTGAAGGTGTATACTTTGCACATAGCCTAGCAGAATATATTGCATAGAGTTAGGGCGGGATGGATGTTTGTGCAATTGAAAGGTAGGCCGGAGAGTTGCCTGTGTGCATCACTCATGTAGCGTCTCAAATAGGCAGGCAGGTCTCCAGCCTGACTCATCAATCTTCCTCCCTAAAAGATCTCTAAGCGCAACTTTTCTCTCATCTGAAAAGAGGAAATGAGAAGAGTCAGAGATTATTACTGGGGACTGAGTGGGTGGAAAGACTGTGGTTCTGGGGACATTTATCAAGTATTGCAGTTCATGGCTGCAGATTATATCTTCTGTTTAGGCTGGAAATGATCCAGGATAATTTTCCTGAAAAATTTAAAAAATCTCATAAAGACAGGTAGTTCTTGGGTATACCAAAATTTGGGCAGGCCAACTGATAACCTTCCCAAGAACTTCAAGGTGCACGCAGCCTTCATGGCTCCTCTTTTGGTCTGAAGTTTGTCAGAGTGTGGAGATCCAAGTTCAAGTGGAGAGTTACGCAACACTTTCCAGATTGAATTACACTAAGCATTAGGTCTTGACTGGTTGCCAGAGCAGCACTTCCAAATAATTTCTGCACAAGAATTCAACTGCAGAAGGCTAGACGGTAACCATGTACTGCTGGGAACATCCTTTCTGTGTGGTTGTATTGTAGCTTCCAAACCATCTGCCCCAAACCATAGAGCTACAGGATAAGCTGACGATGCTCAGAATGTTGCTCCTTCTAGATGGTTTGTAGCAAAGAATAGGATAGAATTTAAACATTCTGTCACTGAATTGTTGACTTTACTTGGTGGCAAGTGAAACTCTATTTAAAGCCCTATGACAACACCATTTATCAGGCCTCTAAAAATAATGCAAAAAGAAAGTAAGCTAATTTTCCCACTTTTTTTGTTCCTCTGGCGATCTGTGCATCTGAAATTATGAGATCAATTTCTATATTTTCTGAGACTTTTTGAATCTTTGGAAATGAACTTTAGACACTGAAGTGCTAAAAAATTAGAAAAAATAAATGCATAGATGCCTTCTAGAAGGAAAAAAAAACACAGGAAAACAGCATAGCATTGTTTATATGGTGCTTAAGTTTGGGAGCTCTTGGCTGCTTCGACATTTGAAGTCATACTTGTGAAAGGAGAGGAATTAGAAACTTAGATTCATAGGTGGATGGGACTCTCCTGACTTTAAGCATATACTGGAAAGTAGTTTGCCTGTTATGCTGTGTTCTGATTTAATTGTTTCAATTTGTAAATCTTAAAAGTGGACAGAGAACTTCAGATATGTAGTAGAAAGTTATGTGGTATTATGATACCTATTTTAATTGTTATTATTAATGACAGCAAAAATTATGATGGCTGCAGCGTGGTTGACAGCTGTTTTGCAAAGGTTATCATGGTGTCAGAGATGTTACCTGATTTCATTAAACCGGCTTCTACTTGAGATAGAAGAATACACTTGGCAGAATTTATAATTCACTGGAGAACTGTGGACTTGAAAAGTTTTGTTCTCACACAAGCTTTTAAGAATCCAAGTTAAAATTTTATGAATGGTGATCACAAAAGCTTCTAAAAGGGCTCAAAAAGCATGTTACGCATCAAATTGCTTTTTAAATTCAATCTTCTGATAGGTATAAATGAACTCAGTCCAAGAGATTGAATTATCTTAAAAACTATATATAAGGGCTCAACACATTCAGAAAAGTACCTGGACAAATTTATCTGGTTGAATTATAAAATTCTTTAAAGAAAAGATTCTAAACATCATTCAGTAGAGCAAATTAGGAATGTATCGGATGTGTTGGTTTACAGGGAGCACTCTGCTAGCACAGGCATCTCATATTCTTAGTAAATTCAGTTAAGAATTTTACTGATTGTATCATAGCTTTGCTTTGACTAGGAATATCCTGAACTGCTAACTAAATTAATTCCAATTTTATCCTTGCTACTCCTGCCAGCTGGGATGCCAGCATGGACATCCTTCAGTGGACTTCGCTCTGTGCCAGGGAATTTGTTCATATTACTTTTGAAAAACAAGCATTCTTAACAACAACAACAACACCAAAAACCAATTATAAACTAGAGAATAAACCTCTTCCAAAGTGGCACAATCTGGCACAAAGGCAAATTTTTAATCTATAAAAGTTGTTTCAGCCTTGGCACAGTGGCTCACTCCTGTAATCCCAGCAATTTGGGAGGCCAGGGTGGGAGGATTGCTTGAACCCAGGAGTTTGAGACCAGCCTGGGCAACATGGAGAAACCCCATATCTACAAAAAAAAAAAAAACCCAAAAAAAGCCAGATGTGGTGGCAAGCACCTGTAATCCCAGCTACTAGGGAGGCTGAGGTGGGAGCATCGCTTGAGCCTGGGGAGGTTGAGGTTGCAGTGAGCCAAGACTGCACCACTGCACTCTAGCCTGGGTGACAGAGCAAGACCCTGTCTCAAAAAGAAAGAAAGAGAAAAGAAGATTGTTTCAGCTGATACCATCCAGCAGAGTCTTTTAATTGTGGTCCAGGAGACTTTAAAAACCTCTGTGAACTGCTTGTCTTCTGTCCAAGGGTGAGAAAATGAAAAGCACAAATAATTCTATAGAAATACCCTGAAAAGAGACCAGTAGAATCAAATAATGGGAAGAGTGCAAAAAAAGATGTAAATAAAGGGGAAAAAATACTCCAGAGGGAAATAAATACTAAGCAATTTAAGACTGATTAAGGATGATTAGTTTTTAATGAGCTACTTTTGCTGTTTTGGAAATAAGAACCTGAGGCAGGAAGTAACTCCTTTATTACGAATATTTTCTTTTTCCTCCCTCCCTCCCTCCCTCCCTCCCTCCCTTCCTCCCTTCCTTCCTCCCCTCCCCTCCCCTCCCCTCCTCTCCCCTTCCGTCCCCTTCCTTCCCCTCCCCTTTCCTCCCCTCCCCTCCCCTCCCCTCCCCTCTCTCTTTTCTCTCGCTCTCTCTTTCCTTTCTTTTTTTGACAGGGTCTCACTTTGTTGCCCAGGCCAGAGTGCAGTGGCATGATCTCAGCTCACCCCAACCTCCACCTCCTGGACTCAAGCCATCCTCCCACCTCAGCCTCCCGAGTGGCTGGGACTACAGGCGTGTGCCACCACACCCAGCTAATTTTTGTATTTTTTTGTAGAGGCAGGGTTTCACCATGTTGCCCAGGCTTATCTCAAACTCCTGGGCTGAAGCAGTCCACCCACCTTAACCTCCCAAAGTTCTGGGATTGCAGACATAAGCTACCACACCTAGCATGAATATTTTCATTTTCAGTATTTTACTAGTTAACATTGTATTTTAGTTTTTTAAAAGTTTTATTATAAAACACTTATGTCATGGAAAAACTGTGTGCCTGTTGCCCAGGTTTTATAGTGCTAACATTTTATTTATATTTGATATTTTTAAGAAAAAGTTTCAATTAGAGCTGAAGCATCCTTCTCCTATTCCATTTCTTTATTCTCCCCGCTGGAGCAAGCACGCCCAAGAAGTGGGGTGTAGATTCTTCCTGCCATGTTTTAACACTTTTACTTCACATTTCGCTGTGCTTTAAAACTTTACATAAGGATGGTGTATTGTGGATATCTTTATGCAACTTGCTTTCTTCATTCATTCAACTTTTGAGATTTATGTATGCAGATAATGTAGGTACAGTTTATTCATTTAAACTGCCATATAGCATTCCATTCTGTAAATAAATAATCATTTATTCATTTCTGTACAAATTCACAGCAAGATTGAATCTACCTTTTACAAACAGTCCTGTTTGTCTCCCTAACCTGTAAGAAGAAATGGTAGCACGTTGCTACCAGTTGTTCTCCAAAGTGTTTGTGCTTATTTATTTATGTTCCTATCAGAAACATCCTGGAGTTCTCTTTTCTCTGTAATCTGATGGATTTCCCACTACAATTTTTTTTTTTTTTTTTTTTTTTTTTGAGACGGAGTCTTGCTCTGTCACCCTGGCTGGAATGCAGTGGCGTGATGTCAGCTCACTGCAATCTCCACCTCCTGGATTCAAGCAATTCTCCTGTCTCAGCCTCCTGAGTAGCTGGGACTACAGGTGCCCACCACCATGCCTGGCTAATTTTTGTATTTTTAGTAGAGATGGGGTTTCACCATATTGATCAGGCTGGTCTCGTACTCCTGACCTCAGGTGATCTGCCCTCCTCGGCCTCCCAAAGTGCTGGGATTACAGGCATGAGCCACCACACCCAGCCCTCCCACTACAAATTTGATGTTATAGTTTGTATTGAACAACAAACAACACATTGAAGTACTAAAGAATTAATTAGGGTTGAAAGTAATTTCTGGACATCAGAAAATGGGGATAGGAATGCCCTTTCAAAAGCTACTATTTTGATTAACTTTGAATAACTATTTGACCATTTCAAGTAGTTACATCAAAGAAATAAACAGACAACCAACAGAGTGGGAGAAAATATTGCAAACTATGCATCTGACAAAGGACTAGTATTCAGAATCTACAAGGAACTCAAATCAAGAAAAAAGCAATCCCATCAAACAGTGGGCAAAGGATATGATAGATATTTCTCAAAAGAAGATGTACAAATGGCCAAGCATATGAAAAAATGCTCAACATCACGAATCATCAGGGAAATGCAAATTAAAACCACAATGAGATACCACCTTACTCCTGCAAGAATGGCCTTTTAGATGTTGGCATGGATGTGGGGAAAAGAGAACACTTATACCTGCTGGTGGGAATATAAATTAGTGCAACCTCTATGGAAAACAGTATGGAGATTCCTCAAAAAGCTAAAAGTAGATCTATTTGATCCAGCAATTACACTACTGGCTATCTACCCAAAGGAAAAGATGTCTTTATATAAAAAAAAAACCACTTGCATATGTATTTTTATAGCATCACAGTTAACAATTGCAAAGATGTGGAACCAACATAAGTGCCCATCCACCAATCAGTGGATAAAGAAAATATGGTATATATACACTACTCAGCCATTAAAAGGAACAAAATAATATTTGCAGCAACTTGAATGGAGCTGGAGGCCATTATTTTAAGTGAAGTAACACAGGAGTGGAAAATCACAAACTGTTATGTTCTCACTTATTAGTGGGAGCTAAGCTATGAGTACACAGAGACATACAACAAGCTTGTCGAACCTGTGGCCCATGGGCTACATGCAGCCCAGGACAGCTTTGAATGCTGCCCAACACAAATCTGTAAACTTGCTTAAAACATAGTTTTTTTGCGATTTTTTTTAAGCTCATCAACTATCGTTGGTATTAGTGTATTTAGTGTGTAACCCAAGACGATTCTTCTTTTTCCAAAAAGAAGGAAGCCAAAAAGATTGGACATCGCTGGCATACAGAGTGACATAATGGACTTCAGAGACTCAGAAGGGGGAGGAGAGTGGGATGGGGGGTAGTGAAAAAAACTACACATTAGGTGCAGTCTACTCGGGTGATGGATGCATTAAAATCTCAGAATTTACCACTATACAATTCATCCATGTAACAAAAAACTACTTTTACCCACAAGCTATTAAAATAAAAATTTTAAAGTAAATAGTCTAAACAAAAAATATAGTTGCATTTATTAATTTCATAAAAATGAAAACTAAATTTTTACAAAAAGAATATGCAGGCCCCTACAGTGATCTACAGAAGCCTTTCCGCCATCCTCCCCGGTTCACTGGGTGTGGCCACGTTGGTCCCCTTGCTATTTTCAGATGCTGAGGGCCTTTGCTTTTGCTTTTCATCTGTCTGCAATGTTTTCTTCCCAGATATATACGTGCTTGTTCATGTACTTCCTTCAGAGCTCTGCTCACATATCACCTTCTTGGTAAATTTCTGTCACTTCTGAGTATTCTTTACTTTTCAGCATGACACTCAGTATCATCTGGCATTATATTGTTCCTCTCCCTGATGAGACATTGTCATCTTTGCATCTGTGTCATGTACACCTCAAACAGAGCCTTGACTACAGTAGGGGATCAATAAATAGGTATTAAATGAACAAATAGGACAAAGATACACAAATATATAAACAAATTCTCTGAAGAGGAAATACAAGTGGGTAACAATTACTGTCTCACAAGTTATCAGGAAAATGCAAATTAAGGCAAAGAAATAGCAATTTTTGTCCGTTAAATTTGCAAGAAATAGAAACAAATAATGATATAATTGGAAAGGGTGGAAAAGTAAATTGGTGTGGTCTTTTGCAAGGCAGTTTTTTTTTGTTTTGTTTTTTGTTTTTTGTTTTTTTTTTTTTGAGACAGGTCTCGCTCTTGTCTCCCAGGCTGGAGTGCAGTGGTATGAACACAGCTCACTGCAGCCTTGACCTCTTGGGCTCAAGCAACCCTCCCACCTCCGCCCCCCCGAGTAGCTGCAACGCAGGCGTAAGCCACCACACCTGGCTAATTTTTGTATTTTTTGTAGAGTTGGGGTTTCTCCATGTTACCTGTGCTGGTCTTAAACTTCTGGGATCAAGCGATCTGCCTGCCTCAGCCTTTCAAAGTGCTGGGTCTCCATGTGTGAGCCACCACCCCTGGCCTTGGAAGGCAATTCAGTATGCAAATACTCACACATGGGCACAGACAGGCATGGGCAAGGGTAGCACCACAGCCCTGTCTGAATAGTGAAAAACCAGAAACAGCCTCAGTGCCTACTGATAGTGGCATTGTTAAATTACAGAACATGTTTGTTTTAATAATAGGCAGCAAGTTTTTAAGAATGAGGAACAGCTACATGCTCTATACTGTGGTTTCATTTGTGTTTCACAAAACACAAGACTAAATTTCTATATTTACAATTACATATGAAAATACCTAGAATAGCCTCCACCCAGAACTTTCATTTTATTTATCATTCACTGGAGACGGATTTGTTGAGCACGTGCTGTGTGTGAGGAGTTATCCCTAGGTGCTAGGAATAGAGCGGTGGGCAAAGTAGGAGAAGCTGCCTGCCATTGTAGAGCTTCTGCCCTCAGAGGAGGAAGCGAACCATGAGTACTATAAGGGAATACTGTGTAGGTCAGGTGGTGAAAGGTACCAGGAAGAGAAGTAAAGCACGGGTAAGAGGGCACTTGAAGCTCGAGTGTCCAGTGGCGCTTTCTGCAGTCCCAGGCACATCCTGTAAATGTGCACTGTTCGGTACTGTAGCCGCCAGCCACCTATAGCTGTTGAGCACTTGAACTGTGACTAGTGCAGTTGAGGAGCTGGATTTTTAATTTTATTTCATTTTAATTCATTTGCATTTAAATTGCCACACATGGTAGACAGTATAGTGACATGGGATGATCAGAGAAGACCTCACTTAACAAAGGGACATTTGAGCTGCAACCAGGGAGCTAATCATGTATTTCAGGCAGAGTGAACAGCAGGACTTTATTTGGGGCAGTCAGAGGCAGAAAAGACAAAGGTAAGAGTGGAAGGAGATTAAGTCAGTGAAACAGATGGGGACCCACCATGGAAGGACTTGCTGGCTAGTGAAAGACATTGCTTATTCTCTACATGAGGTGAGAAGCCATTGCAAAGCTTTGAGCAGACAAGTGTTGTGATCGGAATTTTTAAAGGGGTGCTGGAACTGTTCTGATGTTAAACTATAGGAGTGAGTGCAGAAACAAGAAATCCAGAGGCTACTCTGTCACCCAGGCTAGAGGTGGTGGTGAGTTACTCTCCACTTAGGAGGACAGTGATGGAGGTGTTCAGAAGAGGTCAGATGTGTTGCTAGTATTCACTGATGGATCAGATGAGGGGCCTGAGAGAAAGGGAGGAATCAGGATTTGGGCCTGAGCAAACAAGATAGCACTGGGGAAAGGGAACACTGGGAAGGGAATTCAGGAGTTGTGTTTTGGACATATTAAGTGCCTGTGAATATAAAGAACAAAGTCCTGACCATGAATGACACTGAAACAGCAATGGTAGCTAAAAGATTTCTTCCTAAAGAATTGGATAAAAGAGAAGTGTTCATCGATGGTGTTAGAGTCATTCTCTTTATTTAGAGGCAAAACAGGTGATCTGTCTTTGACCTTTTTAGCATGAAGGTTTTTATATGTCCTTAATTATGCATGGCTCTTAGATTTGAGTGATTATTTCTTATTTCTTCCATAGAATGGCTCCCGAGCGAGTGGCGTCCCTGTCACGAGTTTGTGTCCCACTTATTACCCTGACAGATGTTGACCCCCTGGTGGAGGCTCTCCTCATCTGTCATGGACGTGAACCTCAGGAAATCCTCCAGCCAGAGTTCTTTGAGGCTGTAAACGAGGCCATTTTGCTGTAAGTGGCAAATGTTTCCTGTCATCCTGCGTCGTTTTTCCTTTTCTTAGAAGGCTGTGGTGTGTTGGAAAGACTGTACGACAGCAGTGTCCAAACGTTTTTGTCTCAGTACCCTTTATACTCTTAAAAATTACTGAGTATCCCGGCCAGGTGTGGTGGCTCACACCTGTAATCCCAGCACTTTGGGAGGCCAAGGCGGGTGGATCACCTGAGGTCAGGAGTTTGAGACCAGCCTGGCCAACATGGTGAAACCCTGTCTCTACTAAAAATGCAAAAATTAGTCAAGCATGGTGGTGTGTGCCTCTAATCCCAGCTACTAGGGGGGCTGAGTCAGGAGGATCGCTTCCACCTGGGAGGCGGAGATTGCAGTGAGCCGAGATTGTGCCACTGCACTCCAGCCTGGGCAACAGAGCGAGACTCCATCTCAAAAAAAAAAAAAATTACTGAGGATCCCAAAACATTTTATTTTTTTATTTTTAACTTTTATTTTAGGTTTGGGGGTACATGTGAAGGTTTGTTACATAGGTAAACACATGTCATAGGGTTTTGTTGTACATATTATTTCATCACCCAGGTATTAAGCTCAGTCCCCAGTAGTTACCTTTTCTGCTCCTCTCCCTCCTACCGTTGCTCAGGTAGGCCCCAGCGACTATTGTTTCCTTCTTTGTGTTCATACATTCCCAAGAGTTTTAAAAATCTGTTAAACCCTTATTAATATTTATCATATTTGAAACTAAATTTTTAAAAATGTGTTTGTTACTTAAAAAATAAAAATAATTTTATTACACGTTAACACAAATAGCTTATTTTTATGAAAAGCAATGCTCTTTTCCAAGGCAAAAAAAAAAATGTTTGACAAAAGCAGCATTGTTTTTACATTTTTGCAAGTCTCATTTTCTACCCTAAGACTGCTGAATTCTCATATCTGCTTCTGGTGGGACGTGTTGTTTTGGTTGAAGTGTATGAAGAAAATCCAGCCCCACATAGATAGTAATTGGGAAAGGCGGGAATATTCTAGTAGCCATTGCAGATCATTGTGGATAATTCTGCTTTGATAGCTCACCAAAATTTGAAAATGGTCATTTTTTAAAGGGTAGTTGCAATGTGGAATCTGAAATTATGTCAGTTAACTTTCCATACTCTGTTACATTAGAAACCCATTGGTCTGTCTTGCACTTTCAATGGATCTTTTTTGCCAACACACATAATTTTGTAGCATTATGCATGGTTCATTTGGAAAATCTTCATTCATTGAGTTATGTATATCTTCCAAACATTGACATATTTCATATGCAGTATCAAAACCTATAGTCATTACTGCCACCATGGAGCTCATCAGAAATGACTTTAAGTATTGGGAAGCTGTCAAGCTTATGTTGGTGGACATAGATTTTCCAAGATTCTAATTTCTGCTTAAAAGCTAAAATTTATCATGGGCTACAAACACTGTCAGTCATTTTCCTTAGGGGACTGAGTCACTTTGCTAATTATTGAGAAAGTATGTGCCTAATCCTAAAATGTGACTGACCACTGCCTGTCTGCTAGTCATTCTTTCAGGTCAATTTCCATGACAAAAAGTGGTCAAGTGAGCCCACTGCTGAAAGAGTTGTGCAGGTGTACAAGTGGAGTGCTTTTCTCCAGGCAACCGTCTTTTTTTGTTATGAAGCAGAAGTGCTTTATGCACACTTTCCTTTTCACCGTACAGAATTCTTTTTTAAAAGTATCCTTGAGGGCAACAGTTTAATAAAGTCAGTATGTTAAACTGCTTCATCAGACATTCATATGTGAAAATGCAGTGTTTCGACTGTGTGTGTGTGGTGGTGAAGAGTAGCGTGAGGGCTGTCTCGGCTCTGATTCCCACTGAGACACAGCTGTGTTACCCACTGTTGCTTTTGCGCTATCAGTGCAAATGTCAACACGGTTATTCCAGGAAAAACCAGGAGATTCAAAATAGTTATTCAGTACTTTAAGTATTTCCCTACCACTTGGGTGTGTGGCCAACTTTCATATAAAAGAGCTTCTGTGCTTAAGTTGGTGCTGATACCAGACAAGTACAAGCAATACAGTAAGTCCAGAGATTCTATTGTAAGGCAGAAGTACAGTTCTCTTGGTGACATATTAATTTATCACATCTGCATTTAAATTTTTTTTCTTCAGACTCTGAATGATTGGTCTCAAACTGATGTGGCAGTTAACTTGCACCATAACAGTATTCAAAATATTGTTGCATAAGACACAATAAGGTAAATCATTAACATCTGTAAAGGCAAGGGAAAAATAACTTTCCTCACATTTTTTGTCTTTATTTACAGTTTAGCCCACTTTCTCTGTAGCAGATGTCTCCATCTCATGAGTCAGAGAATTCTCTGATGTGTCAGTTTCATCTTTTCTTTTCTTTTCTTTTTTGAGACAGAGTTTCACTCTTGTTGCCCAGGCTGGAGTACAGTGGTGCAATCTCGGCTCACCGCAACCTCTGCCTTCCGGGTTCAAGTGATTCTCCTGCCTCAGCCTCCCGAGTAGCTGGGATTACAGGCATGCACCATCACGCCCAGCTAATTTTGTGTTTTTAGTAGAGACAGGGTTTTCCATGTTGGTCAGGCTGGTCTCGAAATCCCGACCTCAGGTGATCCACCCACCTCGGCCTCCCAAAGTGCTGGGATTACAGGCGTGAGCCACTGCGCCAGCCAGTTTCATCTTTTCTTGATGAAACATCTGTAGGATGAGAAATTGAATCTTTTAATCCTCATTTTTAAAGCCAGTGATCCATTCTTAAATGCAAGAAAATACATCATAAATAAATGTTACTTTTCAAATAGAATATTGTAAAATTCCAAAATAATAATCTAAAATATATATTAAAATATATAAGTAAAATATACACTGTATATATACATACAAATATATATCTAATAAAATTATCTAAAATAACTTAGATAAAATTTAAAAATTAGAAAAGTTTTCAAAATTAAAAAATATATATTACTACAAAACCCAACAAAGTGTACTTATTTCTTCTTATGTTTCCACGTAGGCCCAAGAAAAATGTAAGAATTTTTTAAATAATGATTTTTTCTTTTAACGCATCTCAGTTCTTCCCTCCCTCTCTGGAAACAGTTCTTTGAACCCCACTTTGAAAATTGTTGCATGGCCTCTGACTACTGCTGTAGTCATGACTCCAAGTTACGAGTGGCTCTGTCTGCAGTGTTTGAAAACACTGTGAATCCACTGTGTGGTATAATTTGCAGAGCCCTCTCCGTCTCAGATAATGAGATCCAAAGCATTCACATTTCCGAATTCAAGGTATACATGCAATGTGATTTTAAAATGATACTTACTGCTTATAAACTTGACATTTTGTTAAGAATACTGTGGTTTTTAAATCATTTTATTAATACTATTTACGTTTTCAATTTTTTTTTTTTTTTTTTTTTTTTTGAGATGGGGTCTCACTCTGTCACATAGGCTGGAGTGCAGTGGTGCAGTCTTGGCTCACTGTAGTCTCAAACTCCCAGGCTCAGGCGATCCTCCCACCTCAGCCTCCTGAGTAGCTGGGACCACAGGTGTGTGCTACCATGCCTGGCTAATTTTTTGTATTTTCGGTAGAGACGGCATTTCACCATGTTGCCTAGGCTGGTCTTGAACTCCTGGGCTCAAGGAGTCTGCCTGTCTTGGCCTCCCAAAATGTTGGGATTATAGGCATGAGCCACTGTGACAGGCCCAATTCTTTATTTAAATACTTTCAGTGAGAAATTGGAGAATTGTTACATATGTAGACCCTTCCTTGCTATACAATGCATTTTAAAAAAACAAAACTACAATACCATTATTACATCTTAAAATTGACATTAGTTCCTTATCATCATCACATATCTAGTCAGGAATTAAATTATCCTGATTGTCTTAGAATTTTTCTTCCAGTTGGTTTGTTAGAATCAGAGTTCAAATAAAAAAAAATAAAGAATCAGAGTTCAGATCTACACATTGCCTTTGGTTTATGGTTCTTTTAAGTCTCTTTCAATCCCTCTTTGTTTTTTGTTTTGAAATTATTTGTTGAAATAATACGGTTGTTTTCCCCGTTCTCCGGTGGTAAAGCATGTCCGCCCTCTTGAGTGTGATAAAGGGTGCGTGCCTCTGGAGCACAGTCCTGTGGGCTTAGGTGGTTCCCTTGTCACATTCTCAGTTCTCACATAGTCAGGCCTGTTTTGTTACCTTCTGTTCTGGTTCTCTGGTCTCTTGCATGTGCGTGCGGCAGTATCACTGCTTTAGTGCTGGCATCAACTGTGTTCAATACAAAATAAGGATCATTCCCTTTGATTTCTCTTCTTTACTAGGGTTGTTATTAGTTTGTTTTGCTATCATTGCTTGTCTTATATTCCACATAAACTTTGAAACCAATTTTTCTAGTTGCAGGGAAGACACCCAGTGTTGTTGGGGGAAGACTCCTGTAAGTATATAGATTATCGAGAGAGCTGGCGTTTTCATGATGTTAAGGCTGTCTGTCCGCCTGTTCAAGAACACATACGTTTTACCATTTGTTAAGCTTTTGTGATCTGAAGGGAGTGTTGTATATATTTTTCACACATTGGATTTACACATTTCTTGTTCCTAATGTTTTGTTGTATTTGTGTTTTCAATGTTTTCACTGTCATAAATGGATCTTCTCCTCCATCTTCAAATAGATTTTCATTGTGTTGTTTGTTGCGTTTGGAAAACAAAACAGGCTCAAAACCACCGTTGTTCTTACAGTTCAGAGTATTTCCATTTTTTAAATCTATAACTCTTAAAAATTAGGATACATATTTTAATTTCAGTTTATATGAAAGGTTATAATCCAGGATTTTGTGAAAGTGAGATTTAAAAAGAGAATTAGAAGATTAAGTCACTTGATTCGAAAAATGGTCAAAATGCAGGTTTCATGGCTAAAAAAATAAAATGGCCTTTTTTCTACCTACTCTTAAACCTTCTGTCAAAATTCACCCAGTAAGTGGAGTGAGCTTTCTGAGGAGTCCGAGCGTTATGTTTGGTCCTTATGTGAGATACTGAGTAAAGGGCGTTGTGAACGTGCGGCGCGGCGCTCGATTCTTTCCTTACAGTGCCCAACACCCGCAATGGAGCACACGCTTCACGGCCCCACCACTGATCACACCAACTGGCATTTTTACTCTCCACGGCGATTTTTCAAAATACTTACAAAGAATATTTAACTAAAATGCTCTTGCCTTTCACTGTGGCAGCTCCCTTCTTGATTCATCTAGGAATATATTTCACAGGAGAATATGGTCTCAGCCACCCCCGTGTCTAGCCTTACTCTTTCAGCAAGAGCTGAATTAAAGGGAATCTGGAAGTGAATACTCCTGGTCTTCTGTGAAACCCCAAAAGCTGTTTGAGAAATCACTGGCCAGGCGACGTGCCCAGAGAACAGCTACTCCTGCTCTAGCACAGTGCTCAGAGGGACGCTGAGGGCAGCGGCTCCCCAAGCAGGCCCACACTCCCTTGCTTGTAATTTTGCTTGTGATAGCATGTTCTCCCTCAACAACTCATAAAATTTATTTGGTTTGGAAAGTTATGTCTGCTAATCCATAAGGGACAGACTGTCCAGAAGTGCTGGGTGGTCTTCAGTGTGTCCAAATCCTGTGGCTTCAGCTCAGCAAGTTCCCCAAGCAGTGGCGTAAGAGCTGGAGCCTCTCCATGGACACTTTCCCGTAGGCGGAACATCCCAGCCACATGTTGACACAGCGAGGCTGATCCAATCAATCAGTGCAAATTACCAGCCGCGCCCAGCCCCCCCTCCCCAGATGTGCTGCGTGGTCATTTGGAAACCACATGCTTTCTTTGACCAATGCACTCTAACCCGTGTTTAGCCTTCCAACTATTTGCTTACCACAGTACACCAGTGGAATTTCATCTGTTTGACAATTGGCTGGTGTCTTTGGTCTTGGCTTCCAAATGCAGTCATATATTTTCAGCAGTGGTCTGCCTGTCTTTTAAACAGCAGATGCTTGCCCCTCTTTATGGTTTAGATAACCTAGAGGAACTTTTAAATTTCTTGGCCTAAATGTCAACTTTTCATGTCTGTCCCTGGGGCTGCCGTCATAGGCACCTGCAGGCTAAAGACGGCATAAAACCTTCCTGGGCGGGCTGCTGAGGTCCTTTTGTAAGTCTGGAGTATAAGTAATACAGCATGACATGTCCTCTGAGGTCATCCGAATCCACTGCTTCAAAAATACTGAGAAGCTTGAAGACTGGATGGAGAATTTGTTCTATATGCCTGAATGAATGAGACACTGAACAAGTGAAAAAAAGAATGAAGGCATGACGGTGATCTCGTGATATAATAAGAAATGTGCATTTGGTCTTCATCCAGGCTCCTAAAACCCTTGAAATTTCCTGAGTGATGAGGTGAGAAGAGCATCTTTTATTATTCATAAGTCCCTTTTCACCACACCTGAGTGTAGGCTAATGAAGTGACTCCTGGTGGGCCCCCAGATAGCCTCGGGATGGGGGCTGGTAGCCAAAGGAACCAACCACACCTGACCCCCAGAGTTCGACCTGATCACTACTGGCCAGCGATTTAATCAGTCGTGCTTACATTGTGAGACCTCCATAAAAAACCTAAACTGTGGGGTTCAAATAGCTTCCAGATTGGTGGTCACATCCAGGTGCTGGGAAGGTGACGTGCCTGGAGAGGGCCTGGAAGCTCAGAACTTTCCCCCAGGCCTGGCCCCATGCATCTCTTCCATGTGGCTGTTCCTGAATTGTATCTTTCAGAATAAATTGGTAATGGCAAGTAAAGTGTCTTCCTGAGTTCTGTGAGCCATTCTAGCAAATTATCAAACCTGAAGAGAGGATCATTGGAACCTCTGATTTTATAGCTAGTTGGTCAGAAGAATGAGAGGCCTAGACCTGTGATTGGCATCTGAAGTGGGGGCAGTCTTGTGGGACTGAGCCCTTAACCTGTGGGGTGTGTGCTAATGCCAGATGGTGTCAGAATTGAATCACTGGACACCCAGTTGGTGTCTAGAGAGTTGGGAGCATTGGTTTGTGTGGAGGAAGAAAATCCACACAGTGAGTGTGAGAAGTGCTCTGTGAGTAAAAACAGCTTCTAAGTAGTGGGAGTGACTGACATACGAGTCTCTGACCACTCTAACACTCGCAGCTCGGGGTGGCTCTGAGTGTTAAATAGGGTGGCCATATGATTTAAAATCTAGACCATGCCACTTCTGAGAGTTAAAAGAGATCCCTTTTATAAGTATAGTGGGATAACAGAAATAAACTTACAAACTAGGACAAATACTTACACTAAGATTTAAATGGGTTGAATGACTGTAATATTCTTAGCACAGTGCCTCGTATCCACAGTAAATACCCCGTAACCATTAGCGTCTACAGCCACTCCACCCTAAATGTGCCCAGTCTTGCCTGATCTCAGAAGCTGAGGGGGGTTGGGCCTGGGGATTAGCGGGTGCTGTAGGCTTTAAAAAATAAAAATAAAAAGACAGGCACAGTGGCACACACCTGTAATCCCAGCTACTCAGGAGGCCAAAGCAGGAGAATCACTTGAGGCCAGGAGTTCAAGTCCAGCCTGGGCAATGTAGCAAGACCCTGGCTCTAAAAAATAAAAACTGTTGGTGGCCGGGCACGGTGGCTCACACCTGTAATCCCAGCACTTTGGAAGGCTGAGGCAGGTGGATCACCTGAGGTCAGGAATTTAAGACCAGCCTGGCCAACGTGGTAAAATCCCATCTCTACTAAAAATACAAAAATTAGCTGGGTGTGATGGCAGGTGCCTGTAGTCCCAGCTACTCAGGAGGCTGAGGCAGGAGAATTGCTTGAACCCGGGAGGCAGAGGTTGTAGTGAGCCGAGATCGTGCCATTGCACTCCAGCCTGGGCGACAAGAGCAAAACTCTGCCTCAAAAAAAAAAAAAAAAAAAAAAAACCCCACAAACTGTTAACATATTACTATTACCATTATTGACTCTAGTAATTGTATTATTTTTGACAATGTGTAGTATTAGGTTTTTGCAAACTCATATTTTTCCCCCTAACAATCACTGAACTAAAACCAGATGTAAGCTTAATTCCCATTGCTGAAAGAGCTAATATGGCTTCCAACAATGCTTAATAAGAAAACAATTCATTATCTATCAGAAGAACCTAATTTATGCTTCTTGACTAACTTATGTATTAGTAGTTTACTCGTCTGTTATGCTCTTGCATATCAAGTTACCCCAAAAAAGGAGCCTAACTAGAATTACTCTTGAGGAGCCACAGATTCTTTTGAATACCCTCAGCATCGCTGTAGCCATTTTACAAATCAGGAAAATGAGACCTCTGGAAATGAAAACGTAAATTAGAAGAAAGGGCCGACCTACAATCAAGATGTTGGGTTTATGTTTTTTTCAACTTAGATAAGGAAAATCCAGATTTAAATGTTGTCAAATCATATAGGTGAGTGTTTAAACAAAGAAAAGTCAGCATAATACCAAGGACAGAAAGGTGGCAAAGAATTAGCAGTAACTAAAACTCCCATTTCTATTAATATTGTTTATCCATGATGGAAACTGAGAGACTTCCTCACATCCTTTTTTTTTTTTTTTTTTTTTTTTTTTTGAGACAGGGTCTCACTCTGTCACCCAGGCTAGAGTGCAGTGGTACAGTCATGTCTCACTGTAGCCTCGACCTCCCAGGCTCAGGTGATTCTTTGACCTCAGCCTCCCGAGTGGCTGGGACTACAGGCATGTGCCACCATGCCTTGCTAATTATTTTGTATTTCTGGTAGAGACTGGGTTTTGCCATATTGCCCAGGCTGGTCTTGAACTCCTGGACTCAAGCAAACCACCCTCCTTGACCTCCCAAAGTGCTGAGACTACAGGCCTGAGACACTGTGCCCAGCCACATCCTGTTTTTTTAACCTTAATAAGATATGGTCACAAATTGAGTCACAGAAAACTTTACTTTTCTAATAAAAAATCTGCTTATATTGACGTGTAATTGCCAGACATTCTGGTGTGTTTGGGTTTGCACATTTCTTCTGCTTGTTGGTGGCTGCCTTTTGAGAAGTGAGCTGCTCTGTACATGCAGATGATAATGATGGCAACTTTTGTCTGAATTATGATGCATTGCTTAGATCAGGCTGTCACCTAAATACAACTTTAGGATCAAACAGTGTTCTTTTCAGTTCCTTGGAAGTAAGCAATTCTCCATAACAGTTAAATCCAAGTTTTGTGAGTTTGTCTGGCAACCCAAACAGCCTTGATCTCTTTCTGGTTTGAAAAGGTGGACTGTTGCCAGTGCACCTTTGTCTTGGCTGAGGAAGCCCTGGCCTCCCCTCTACTGCTCAGACAGCTTTAGAACACAACCTCTCAGATGGGCCTCCCTCATCAAGAACCTTTCTTGTGAAGAATTTAATTCTGCATTCTGGTTTTGTTTTGTTTTGTTTTGTTTTTTTGTAGCTATAAAAATATTTGGAGCCAAAATTATTTAGTAAGCAGTTGGACCAATTTCTTTACCTGCTACCTCTTTTTGTAAAGGATGAGAAAACACAACTGCCTCACTAAACTGAGTATTTGGGGGAAACAAAGTAGAGTTTTCTAAATCTCAAGGAGGTGTCTTTTGGAAGAGTCTGTTGGACAGGGGAGAGCGTCCTGTCCAGGCTTCCCTGGCTCATGGCAGACGCTGTCACTGTAAATCAGATTTCTAGGTGGAGCCCTGACTGGAAGCCTACTGCTCATTATTTTAAAGGAGAAAATAGTAATGTATTACACATAAATTCTAAATGTCCACCCCATTTCCTAAAACATAACTATGATACAGAAAACTCTCCCAATTATTAGGTAGGGATTTGGGGGAGTCAAGTTTTTATCTTACTCTGTTTTCTTGAATTCATGATTTTGGTCAATTCCAGGCAGGATGGATGGAACCATTATAGAGAAGAAAAAGGACAACCTTAGCGTTTCTGTCACTAACGTATTGAACAGAATGAAATTTTTTAGTTTCCCTAAAAACATTTTTTTCTTTTTTACTTTATTGTCCCTTTAAATTTTCCACAGAATGAATGAATATATATATTTATATATATATATATATAAATATATATATATTCATTTTGTCAGGTCAAACAATACAGCACAAGGCATATACAGAAAATGTTCATTACCTCCTCCTCCTCATCCTGCAGTAATTCTGGTAGCCATACCTTATGCTTGTTAAACATAAAGTCCATATAAAGCCATTGTCTGCTCATTGTCAAAACAAAAGCAGCATTACACCATAGCCACATCACTCCAGAGCCTGCTTTTTAACCAGCGTGTCTTAAATACCCCTCGCAGGACACAGATCCAGCTCATTTGAAATAGGGGCATACTCCGTGGCACGAGGCCCACACTCTGTTCCGCCATCCCCGTGGGTGCACACTGCAGTGTTTATAGTTTTGTCCTTATCATATATAAGGATTGCAGTAAATATCCTCAAACTGATGTTTCTATTTCTGCCAGGCAAATTGACAGCAGTACGATGATTAACACGGGGCTGTGTGTCTTGCATTTTCTTCAGTGGCACCACATGACTGGCCATGTGAAGCCAGTGCCTGCCTGCCTGTGAGGAGACGCACCCTCTGCCTACCCCAGCACTGGGTGTTGTCACTCTCCTCAGCGCCTACACGGAGAGGGTGAAACTGAGACCACGTCGGTGCGTTTCCCTTCCTTTACTGTTAATTAGATGGGAGAGCTGCACATTTTTATCGGCCATTTGCAGTTCTTTTTCTGTGATTTGCCTTTTTATTTAAAGCCAGCCTGGTTCAGACCACCAGGTAGAACACAAATATGTTGGCTCGGCCAAATTCTGTTAAGCAAGCATATCAAGATGATACTGCTTCGGCGATTCCTTCATTCAGGGGTGATTACAAAGAGTTAAGTCACTGAGGTTTTAGAGCAAAATCTATCCAAATATTAAACACAGGTCCATAAACATAATCACTCACAGCAATTAGTAGGGTGTGCTCTGAATCAAGGCTCTAATAAAAAGACAGCTATTAACACACATCGTTTTCAAACTAGAATGGGCGCATCACGCACTTTACTGACTGGAGTGTGACTCGTGTGCTTGAGTGACTATGCTAAGCAGGATGGGTCGGTTCTTCATTGGTTCATGTGAATTTGCTGCTGCTCCTGGCGGCCTGGCCTGAGTGCTGCAGCAGCTTCCCCACCACCACCTGGCAGGATGAATGACAAACACCGTGCCATGGCTCTCGGCCAGGATGTGGTACTGGCAGAAGACCTCTCACTGCAGTGAAACGCCTTTCCAGTGACATACAGATTCGTGTTACATGGATCCTGAAAAAAGATAAGGCATGAGGAAAGCTGGTCAAAGCCAGCACTGCTGCTTGAGAAGGGAGGAGCCACTGAGAGGCGAACTCTCCTATTCAGAGCTTCCTGGCTCCATGATGGAAGCTACGAGCACCCTCTCCACACCCAGGGGTGTTCTGCTTCCCCATGATTACTGGACAGGAACCCCTCTCCAGGGCTCCATTGATGTGGCTAGAATTGGCTGACCACCTGGATGGAAAAGCCTTTCCTCTTCACAAGGGGCATAAGCACAGGCACGGCGTCTGGCCCACCCAGTAAAGCTGCCCACTGTTCTGCTGAGCCCAGGCCTGGCTTCTTGCACCCCTCCTCAGAGCCAACGTGGTCCTGTACTCACTCCAACCTCAGCCGCCCTGGCTTCAAGTGTTACCAGCTGCGAGTCCTGGTCCTCTCTGACCTCGGCTGCCTCTTCTGTGCGGGGAGGGGATAATTTTGTACCTGTTTTGTAGGGCTGTTAATGAGGATTCAAGTGCAAGCGAAACAGCATCATTCCAGCCACTGCTTTTCAGCCTTTCCCACTCCTCTGCGCCTTGCCCGTTGGCAGCCTTTCAGGAGCACACTAGGCCCCACCTCTGGGCCGCCGCCTGGGATCACTCCCGTTACCGCCAGTCCTCTGAAGTCCTGTCTGCAGTCCTGGCTTCACCTCCACTCCTCTCCTCTCTCTGCCATGTGCTGCCATCCAGGGCCTGCCCGGCACACTCAGGGTTCATTCGCCCCTTTGTATCTTCTCGTGCTCTGATGACGCGTCCTCTGCTTCTGTGCCTCCTGCCATCTGCAGCTGCTCCTCCTCCCCTGCCTGCCTCCACACTCAGAGCTTCCTCCCTTGGGGTTCTGACACCCAAATGTGTACCTTCAGCCAATTCCTCTCCCGGAGCTTCCACCTTGGATATTCAAGGACCTATTGAATATCTCTGCTTGGTTGTGCCTCAGACACTCCAAATCCACACACCTCAAACTGATCTCTTAGTAAATCCTCCAGAAATCATTTCTTCTCTTCTTTTCATCTGAGGAAATGGCATGTCCAGTATTGAGGGGGTGTGGCACCATGGCAGGGCTTTGCCAGGTGTGGGAGGTGGGGAGATGAGGAACGGGGCCTGCCGGTGGGTCCTGGACAAATTGAAGCTCAGGGTGTGAGCGTGAGATCAGGAGGCTCTGAGGTGAATGTACCCTCCCTCCCTTCTCCCTTCCCCCTGCCTTCTGCCAGCTCCTCCGCAGTCTCCCCGGGTCTTCAGCCTCTTCCCTGCTGCTCTTGCCCCACGGTCAACCCTGGACAAGGTCTGCAGGAGCTACACCAAGCAAGCAGAAAAAGTGAAACCTCTAGGAACTGCTCTCCCCATGTCCCTTCCTGTCCCTGGACCCAGTTGCTGGGCTTCACACCAGCTCTGCAGAGAAGTGGCCCAAAAGTCATGGTGAAGGGACAGGCCTTGAAGGGGTTGTTGGGTCGGTGGGAGGCTTACGCCCCCACTTTAGTTTTCCTTATTAATAGCAGTAGCCTTGTTTTTCTTGGGGCAAGACAGGAGGGAGATTAATGAATAGACATCAAGTTTGAAAAGCACCCACTGGGAAGCACCCACTGTCTGGGATGTGCAGGTAAAGGGCAGGTGGCTCTCGGGGGCAGCTCTACTGTATCCCAGAGCCAGCAGTTGGGGCTCAGAGACAGACATGTGCCCCTCATGCTCCCTCCAGGGAGGGGAAGTGGAGCCCCAATTCACTGACACAAGAGGACCTTAATATATGTTCCTTTAGAAACAAATGTAGCTACACAAAATGGTTGTGTCTGGGGAGTAGTGGGGCTCAGGCCTGTATTCCCAACATTTTGGGAGGCCAAGGCAGGAAGATTGTTTGAGGCCAGGAGTTCAAGACCAAACTGGGCAAAATAGCAAGACCCCCATCTTTACAAGAAAAAAAATAGCCAGATGTGGTGACGTGCACCTGTAGTCCCAGCTACTGGGGAGACTGATGCAGGAGGATCACATGAGCCTAGGAGTTTGAGGTTACAGGGAACTTTGATCACACCATTGCACTCTAGCCTGGGTGAGAGAGCACGACTTTGCATCTTTTTTTTTTTTTAAAGGAATCTTTGATTCCCAGTCCTGCTAACCTATCCAGTATCACACTTAAGGTCCAGTGCATCAACTAGGCCATAACTACCATATATGAAATTGGATTTTTTTCTTTTGAGACAGGGTCTTGCTCTTTTGCCCAGGTTGGAGTGCAGTGACGTGAACACAGCCTCCTGGGCTCTAGCGATCCTCCTGCCTCAGCCTCCCAAGTAGCTGGGATTACAGGTGTGCTATCACCATGCCAGGCTAATTTAAAAAAAAAATTTTTTTTTGTAGAAGCAGGGCCTCACTATTTGACCAGGCTGGTCTTGAACTCCTGGGCTCAAGTGATCCTTCTACCTCAGTCTCTCAAAGTGTTGGGATTATAGGTGTGAGCCACTGCATCTGGCCTTGAAATTGTTAGAAATATTTTCAACTTTCAAGCAACCGATTATAATTAGTTATTGGATATTTATGTGCCAAGCACTGTGCTAATCACTGTACGTGTGTTGTTGCATTACAAGAACACTGTGAAGGAGATAGGCCCATTTTACAGATGAATAAACTGAGGTTAACTTCTCTGAGATCATACAGTTAGTAGGCAGTGGCGCTGGGACCGAAACCCAGGTCCGCATCCCTATTGTGAGGCATGATTACGCGTGTTTGAACATGCCTATTTCTTCAGTTAGGGACTGGGCATCACGAGGCCTTTTCCATCCCGTTTTTTATCGCTCCCTCTTTCTTCCATCACTAGACATTTGCTTATTCTTTTTGAAAGCAATTTTTTTCCTGAGCATTTCTGATTTCTTAAGGTGAGTTGAAGTGGAAGCATATTCACATTATTTTGCAAATGAGCACTTGGTAAATATTCACTGATTCTATAAATTATTAGCCACTGCTGTGACCATGATGAGAAGTCTCACAAATTGGATTAGTGATTGCATTTTGAACTTTTTTTAATCTTCTTTTTTCAGTGAGCCATTTCTGTTTAAAATTTTGTTTATTTCTTTCTGAAAGGAAGAAGATTTCTCTCCCCATGTCAGCTGTAGTCTGCCTCTGGCTTCGGCACCTTCCCAGCCTTGAAAAAGCAATGCTGCATCTTTTTGAAAAGCTAATCTCCAGTGAGAGAAATTGTCTGAGAAGGATCGAATGCTTTATAAAAGATTCATCGCTGGTACGTACTGGGTTTTGATGAAGGGAAAAATCCTTGAAGGAGATGCTTGGAATCATTTCTTTTAGTCAGAGAATGAAAGGGGGGGATGTAAACAAAAGAGCAATTGGAACCTTTATATATAATCGTGTATTTACATTTTATTTTTGAAATCACTAACATAGGGGGCTTTTCTGCATCCTTGGAGCATGCAGGGAGAGATCTGAGGTTTACTTGATTGATATGCCGTATATCACATGTTCACAAGAATTGACATTTGCACAACAGACTTTTTAAAAACAGTATTTCTTATTTCAGCATGGAAAATAAGTTTTTGGAAATGAACATATGGGTAAGAGGAAGAATCAATTAAAAACATTCAAAAAATAAACTTGTAGCTCTTCACTAGAGGAAAGATGAAATAAGAGACACAAAACCCCAGAAAAATGGTTAAAGCAGCAGAACCAGCTAAGACTTCTGTAAGTTTTCTTTTGGTGTGAGGCCACCTGCCTTCACCCTCCCCTGCGCGGTGGCGCCTGGCTCCCTTCCCGCTCAGGACTGTGCAGCTGGGGACTCCAGCCCACGTGGACATCCACCTCCTGGCCCAGTGTCTGGCACCCTGGGCTCTCAGTGGCCCTCGCCACCACTGACTCGCCAGTCATATTCCTTTGTGGGAGGCAGCTCTGTGGGATTGGAGCACATTTTGTAAGGACAGGAATAAAGACCAAGGCACCCTGAAAAAATGATTCAGAAACCTGCAGGTGCCATGGTCCCGCAGCCTCTGTCTTCCAGGAGCTCCAGTGAACTCTGCCCTTTTTCCCTTTAGCTTTCGTAATCTGCAGGGATGTGGCACAGAGATTGCCTTCCACTTCTTCCTGCTTCCTGCAAGTGGAGAAAGTGAGTTCCAAGAGCCACAGTGAACGGTCCGGTCTTTAGTTAGTGGCCGGGACACTGGGAAGGAGGGAGTGTTCACCCTCGCCCTTGAGCTGAGACTGAGGAAGTCCCTGAGGTTGGCTGTGCCCACTTTTCCTGAGCTCATAGAACCCCTACCTCCTAGAGGCCTTCAACTTGTTTAGTTCAGTTGGGACTTCTGTGTTCTTTCTTTCTCTTTCTAGTTGGAGACTGTCTAAGGGAATCCTAATGGAATCAGTTGCCTTCCTCCGCGATCCCGTTTCTCCCCTTGTTTCATGGCCCCTTTCACCCTTCCCCTTGGCCTCCCAGGGCGATGTGCATAGGGTTGCAGGTGCTGACAGCCACGCTGCTCTCACCTGTACCTCAGGCTGCACACACGGATCCCACCTGACTTGAAAGTTTACCACGATAGAAGAGAAAGGAAGACGTGTATATTAAGACTGAGAGAGCCCAAACAGATTTCTTAAGGATAATTACTACCTAACCTTACCATCCGGAAGAGTCATATATTAAGGCAAGAAATAGGAATGCACCTTATTTTAAAATGGTTGCAGTACAATTCAAAATAAATCATGACTTTCAGAAGCCCTCTGACAGCCCATTCCTGGTGATTCAAGGTCATAAATTACCTTTATTGTCTGCTAAATCTATTACTAACTTACATGTGCATACTAGGATTTCAGTTTCTCTGGTCCCTTTTCAGTGGCAAAATGATAGTAACTGGGCTATATGCTTGCTTCCAGGGTGCTTATGACATTTTCCTTAAGTCTTCTCCCTATTGAAAAATTCTAGTCCCATTGCCTTTTTTCCAGCCTTTCCTTAATCCTTGGATTCTTCCCTGAACCTTCTCCATGTCCTTTTTGCCTGTGGCCCTCATGCCTGAGCAGCACTGTGGTGAGCACAGCAGATGCAAGACAGAGAACGCAGGCCGTCCCATTGCACATAACTGTATAATGCTCAGTCTCCAGTTTGTAGTTTACAGTAATCTCCCACGAGTCACACAGCTTTGAAGTCAGTTGACTTACAAAAGCTTTTATCGGGATCATGTGTGCAGAAATTCAGAGCTTCCATTATGGCTAAAGGGGGATTCTAGAGGGTGTTATTTGGTTTAATTTATTGTGGCATTGGCAGGATGTGACCTCTCTGTGCCTCATGGTTCAAGGACGTAATTACAATACAGACGATGGCTGGAAGCCCCTGATTGGTGTGGGCTGTTCTCCTCAGCATCCTGGGCCTGCAGTGCCAGAAAGCCAGGCAGGCCGCAATAGGCCTGTGACGTGGCTAAGTGATTGCAGGGGTAACCTGAAGAGCCTGCTTCCTAATTGCATCATCTGATTCATTTATCGCAGTGCAGTATCTTGGTGCAGTGACAGGACTGTACAGAAGTATCAGAGAGATCTCTAAGACTCAGATAGCACGAGACTGCTGCGCTGTGCTCCAGAGGAAACCTGATGCCTATTACATTAGAGTTGGATTCTGAGAGTAATTAAAGTGTGATGGTCTACATAACTTGTGTTTTATATAGAGCACTGTTAATTATATTTCTCTCTCTTGGGACTATGCAGAATGAGTCCTGGAAATTCTATAGTTACCAAAATGTAACAAAAACAAAAGATAAAAGTGTGGTACAGGTTGTACAAAGTGAAATGACCTTCCCAAATGTTCTTTGGCCTCTTGGACTCGCAGGTCTGATATTTTCCATTAAGACCATGAATAATGAGGGATTAGTCTCTTATTACCTGAGTTCCAAATGACTATGTATGTATTTAACATCTAAAATAAAAGAAAAGTTTTCAAAACCCGTTCACTTTTGAGGCTTCCCCTTTGGCTTCCGTGCGGTGGACTGGACTGCTGTCGAGTCATGCTGTCTGCCACGGTTGGTAGCTCCTACATCAAGTGAGGTATTAGCCCTAGATTGTCATTTACTGTACAGACTGAAACTTTTCAAAAGCAGATGGTCTTGTGTTTTCCTTGACAGCATGGGCACGGGAAGACCATAATCCATAGCTTCAGACCTGACCTTAAAAACCGATGTCACCGACAGCAGTGAAAGCCACTTGTTAATTATGCAGCCTTCTTGGCATTGTTCGGTTTCCCAAGGCTGGCCCCAAATTAGAAGGATGTTATGTTTTCCAGTTACAATTTTGTTTGTGGAGCCCAGAAAGCTATTCTTTGGATTCCACATTGGAATGAAAAGTGTCTGCAGGGTGTCAGGGTGGCACTGTGCTTGGCTGGCAAGCTGCATGCCAGGGCCGGAAGGTACCCGATTCTCATGCCCTCCCATTTGCTGGCAGAGCCCGCCCGCAGCTGGGTCCAGAGGAGCTAGCCTCACCTTCCCAGGCAGACTTGTCCCCAAAAGAAAGGAGCAGAGGAGGCGCCCAGGAGGCAGAGTTGTTTCTGCTAAGATTTGATATCAGAATATGCTTCATTTTCTCTCCTACCTAAAAATCTTTATGGCTTAATTCAAAAGATTACTTTATCTAATAAGAACTTAAGAATAAAAAGCATCTAGATACCTCAGTATCCTCCTCAATATGGGATAGGTTGTGTTTTTTTCCCTCATTCTCCAGGTAGCAATTGTAGCACTTCAGAAAGAAAAAGAAACTTCCTTTACACAGACTCCCAGTATGCAGCTCCTCCTTGGTAAAATATTGTGCTGAAGAGTTCACTCTACATCCTGGGTGATATTGTCAGTTTGCTGTGCTTAAGTAGCTTTTCACTAACATGCCAGGGTTTTCTTTTCCTGCTTTTTCAGTCTTTTCGGCACTTCCTTTTGAGCTCTTTAATGTGGTGCATGTAATTGAACAAGAGCTGAAGTAGATAATTTAGCAGTAGTCCAGTAGTGCTGGCTGATGTGTATGGCTAAAAGCTGGGAGGTTCTGCATCTTGGACTGGAGTTGCACTTTCCAGAATTAGCCTCAGGGGGGCACCAGATCCTCCAGCATAGTCTCTGTGAAGAAAGAGGCCCACGTTGCGAGTTTCCTTGCAATGGAATTGCAGTTGGGGATGCAGACCTTGTGGCCAGAGATGAAGGGAGAGAGGGAAAAACCCAAAAACAAAGCAGGGGTGGACGTAGGGGTCATTGCCACTCAGGCTGAGCTGTGAAGCAGCAGGGGGCTGAGGAGCTTTCTTCCAGCTTGGGCTACCCGGGCTAATTGGATAGAGGCCACTGGGCAAGGCTAGAAGGACTTCAGGCAGGGGAGGGGGTGCTGGGGATCCTCTGTGTCCAAACACAGAGAAGAGCACATGTAAATTTAAGACGCAAAAGTACATTTGGTACTTGTTAAGTTCTTAAGCCCAGGAATGACAGATTTATCACTAATTAAACAATAATTGCATTATGGAGTACTGAAAAAATTGTTTGTGTATAAACAACATCTGGTAAAGATTAAAAAGAAAGAATAATTTTTCCGAGCTCAAATTTGTTAAAAGGAACCTGAATGTTTTAAAACAAAATAGATCTGAAAATGTAAAAGGGATATTTAGAGTCTTATGTTTAGTATTTTGAAAATAGAAAAGAAGCAAATGGCATAATAAAAAATACATATTTATAAAGGTGCCTCATTGTACATGATAGATGTGAAGGTTTTGTATAAATAGGTTTTTCTCAAGCCAAATCATTTTTCACTTCAATAGAGGAGTTCACTGGTGAAATGACTCTTATGGAGAATCTTCTTTTTAAGAAGAAAGGTATTTTGTAGTGAATATGCACATATTAACAACAAGGGCTTCCCACTGTGGAGAGAACAGTGGCTCGGAAACAGCTACACGGTGGGACGGGATTGTCCGGCTGCTGGGTAAACTGGAGGGGAAGCTGCCCATCAGCTGATTCTTTAAATGACCCATTTCCTAAGTAAATATTTAAGCTACATGCAAGTACATGAAAATACCAGGAAAGAATCTATTCCAGGCTTAATGAACTTCAGCTTCTCTGTCATCTGCTATTTCCTTCTTTATTTTTAAGGCGAATATATCTATGAAAGGTGATAGATGGAAAGCACTTGATAATTTTTTCTGTTCCTTCACTGCCTTTTTATTTTTTCTAAAAGGGATTTGCTTTTGTCTGTGAGTTACCTTAAATCATAGTATAATTTCCCTTTTTGGTTTGTTTTCTGTCCCTCTCCTTTTCCCTATTCTCTCTCTCTCTCTCTCTCTCTCACACACACACACACACAGAATCAGCAAATGACAGAAAGAAATGCTTCTTCCTGAGAATTCTGTTCTTCTTGTTCTCAGGCCTCTTTCAAGTGGCAAGTGGCTTGTAATAATCATTGGTGAGTTGGTATGAAAATAACAGCTTAAGTAAACATCAAGGACCGGGCACAAGAGCCTGTGTAATTTGCACAGTTCATGGTGCAGAGTGACAAGTTGGCCTCTCCCTTGCCTCTCTTCCAAAACAGGCACTGAGACCATGGTTATTGTGTGTTGATTCCATGTTGACTTTGTCTTCCCTTGTGTTTTGAGGGATGAAGATGGGCTTTCTTTCTAGGTGGAGGGGAGATAAACAATGCAATTCTGGGTAGCCATGAGGGGAGATCAGAGGGAAAGCTCTTGTTAGCCCAAGGGGATGCACACCCAGCAGAACAATCGGGTCTATACAAGAGGGAGGGCAGAACCCAGAGCTCTCCATCTTCGCTCCCTAGTCATCCTGGGCATTCAGTGAAAAGCCTGAGGGGGGAGATAAGGAGGGAAGGACAAGACTCATGTTATTGAAGACCTCCTGCTGACATAGCTCCCCTCGAGTTGAAATGATCTGCCTGTGGAAATTGTTAGGCCAGATGGAGAAGAGAGAGCTTGAGAAGGAACAGATTTTGGTAGGATGGAGAAAAACAAACAGATGGAAACCACAAAAGGTTTATTTTATTTCCCCGCTTTTATAGAAAAGATAATGGCCGCAGTCATGGGGCTTCAGAGCCCTGGCTTGCAGCGTGACCTCTGGTGTGTTACCGGAGTGCCCCACCTTACAAATAAAACAGGATCAGAGGTTAGATGCCTGCGTCATCACTCATGAAGATGCTACAGAGATTTAGGGGGGAAGATACGGCTTCCAAAGAAGCGTGTATTAAAACCTTAATTCTATTTGGAAGATTATCTTGATAAGAAAAGCAGCTTAAGATTGCTTTTGTGATTTGATGTCGCTGGGACATATGCCTGACCTGTAGTACTCTAGTCCTCATGAGGGGACTCACTGACCCTGAAATTATGTGCTCAAAAAGTATAAAGAGTGTCATTTTAAAAGCCATCGGTGAGGGGTGCAGATGAGAAGGAGCAGTTCACAGCTGTAGGGGTAGCAAGGGAGACTGGTTTTCTTTTTTTTCAGTGAGGTCAGGAGATCGAGACCATCCTGGCCAACACGGTGAAACCCCATCTCTACTAAAAATACAAAAATTAGCCAGGTGTGGTGGCACGTGCCTGTAATCCCAGCTACTCAGGAGGCTAAGGCAGGAGAATCTTTTGAACCCAGGAGTTGGAGGTTGCAGTGAGCCAAGATCACCACTGCACTCCAGCCTGGCAACAGAATGAGACCCTGTCTCAAAAAAAAAAAAAAGGAGACTGGTTTTCAAATCAAAATCTCTGCCGTTGCTGTTTCTGCAGGTTCCCCTGCCTCCTGGCCTCTTACCTGTTTTAAAAGCTAAAATGGGTTGTGGAAGCAGGCTGAGAGTAGCCAAGGGTCTGAAATATTTGGAAAGAAAGAAATCTAAGAGGAGAGTCCATCTGTATGGGGAAGAACAAGCAGATTCCACACAGCCAGCAGGCATTTAAAACATTGGATTGAGCGATTTTGCTAGAAAACAGCGCACAGAAGAGGAGCAGATCTAAGCTCTCACTCTCTTCTAACAAACTGAGTAAGAGCTGTCTTCCTTGCTCCCCCAGTGGTTTTCATAGTAGCCCTAATCTACATCTGATCATCATTTTCTTTGCTGTTTGGAAATCCCTATAATTAGTATTGAATGATTCTCTACTAGCATCAAACCTATAGAATGGCTCTGGGATAGTTTGACCATTTAGAAAAAAGAAATTTAATTTTACCATTTTCAAGTTTCATCTTACTTTCTATCAACGCATTTCCAAGCTCTTATCTGTCTGCCTGTGGGCACATAACAGTGCTATTTGATCTTAAACACTCTTATTCAATAGGCATGTTGTTGTACAAACTTTGAAAATTGCTCTGGCAAACTTAGATGAATCACATTTCTTCAAGACATACGGTTGCTTTTCCCTTGTTTTATTTTTTCATTATGAATACATAGAAACTTTTATATTTTCCGTGCTTATATCCGGTGACCTCTTAATAACTTTTATTATTTACAGTGAGACTGGGCATCAGGAGATTAACTGACATGCCTAAGTTCGAAGCCACGAAATAACCTGCCTCTCCTCTCTTGAACGGTGGTCCTGCCAAATTATTTTCTTGCATAGATAATGAATTTATCTGTAAGAATATCAAGTTGGTTCCTTTTAGATAAAAATGCACATCAGTGAAGGATGAGGGAGCATAGATTATTTAAAGAGTAGGACATTTTAACTTGCAAATTAGAAATCTTGAAATAATTAAAAGGAGATTTATCCTGTCCTGAAAAAGTGGCAGAGCTCCTGCCTGGAGCCCGGCGGGTCCAGCAGTGCTGACCAGTGGACGCTAGATGGCGCGGGCTCAATGTCATCGGGGAGGCCGCGAGGAGGCGCGGTCCTGCCTCAGTGTGATCCAGGGCACGGCCGGAGCAGAGCGCCTCCTTTTTTCTTGCCGACGGGGGCCTGTGAACAGTGTTTCCCAAAGCTAGTCATATCAAATGCACTCTGACTTGAATTTCCAATAGCGCCTGATCCACTAACATGTGAATGCTGCTGTGAAGCAGGGGTCCCCGCCCCCTGGGCGCACAGCGGAGAGGAGCCCCTAGCCTTCCCGCCCGCACCTGCCCCTGTCAGAGCCCCGCGCTTCGCTTCCCACGGAACCAGAGCCCCATCCTGACTGCGCATGCCTGGAATCGGGTTGTCCTCTGATGATCTGAGGAGCAACCGTTTCATCCCAAAACCATCTCCCCCTCCCGGTCTGTGGAAACATTGCCTTCCAAGAAACCGGTACCTGGTGCCGAGAAAGTTACGGACCCTGCTATAAAGGATCTGTTTTGGAACACAAATGGGCATTTTCATCTGGCATCATCTCATACTTTGAGCTCTGGCCAAAAAGATAGGGAACCAGGGACTGGGCCAGTGAAGCTCCCCCCAGCTCCCAGGGCTACCGGAGGCCAGCTTCTGCAGACTCAAATAATCAGAACCCATCACCGAAATATTCAAGGAGAAATTAGATAACTTTTATTCTTCTTCATGAACCCCCTTTTCATCTTAACGCAAGCTGTTAAGTGCATTAAGATGTGATGTGATTTAGTCCAGCGTGGTAGTGGTCACTGGTTTGCCAATAATAATTCTAAATTGTTATGTACCCATTACCGAATAAACAGGCTGCAGGCACGGGCCTGACCTCGAGGCACATCTAGCCATTTGAGGAGGTCACACAGGCACACTTCAGTAGAACTGGCAGTACAGGCAGGCTCCACGGCATGCGGGCAGAGGGATGTTTAAAGTTTCTCTAATACTTACTGATTCTGTATTATGGATCGCCTGAGCTTTTATAGAAAATGTGGGACATACAGGAGTATACAGAGGAATAAGCTGCCTGTAACCCCTGCCCAGGGAGACCACCGTATGCACTTGTATGTGGGGCGTTTTCAGTACAGCAGTGGTTCGTTCTTCTAACCAAAAGGAGTATGCCAGTTTTCTGGACATCAGCAGTTCCCAGTAACTCCTTTGGCTGATAATAGCAAGTTTCTGAGAAAGTGCTTGTGATATTTCACATTCTCATGGTCTTCTCCTTTTACAGCCTCAAGCAGCCTGCCACCCTGCCATATTCCGGGTTGTTGATGAGATGTTCAGGTAAACGTTACACTGTTTCTTCTAGTAATTGATGTAAAAAAGGTTCCATTTCCAAGCATGAATCAGAAAATGTTGTGGTAGTCTCTGGCTGTATCATGGGGAAATTAGAGTTTCTGATTCCCTCCTGTTCCTCTGAGCTTTTTGGTAATTAGAGGTAAAAACTCAAAAATCAGTGTAAATTTAAAGGCCAGTGCCTAAGAATTAAGATAACTTTATTTTCTTTAGCCTTTTAAGATTCTAATAATAGAAACACAGAATTGAGTTAGGCATTAATATCATGAAATATTCATGTAGGATTTTTCTCAGCTCAGAATAAAGGGTAGCAATATACTCCCTTCACCATGTGAGGGCTGACCAATATTTTTAAAAGACTTTAAAGCTAAAGAAAGCCAAGAAAAATAAAAGTCATTCTTAACAGAACTCTTCTGAAAGGCAAAATACACCATGCATGTTCTCTTACAACACATTACATTTTTATTTTGAAAATATGAGTACTTCTTGGGAAATGCATTAGATTTACAGACGGCAAGAGACGAGGAGCTCACAGCCATGAAGCTGAGATGTGGCTGGCAGTTAGTGGGAGTTTTAACCATGGAGTACTAAGTTAGTGGGAGTACTAACCATGGAGTACTAAGACTGGACGCCCCTGGGGAGCTTGTCACCTGGGAGTGTCCCAGCCCCTCTTCCAGGGGAGCCCATATCAGCTCTCTCTCTAGCCCCTCCCACCTAACACACAGCAGCAGAGGCTGCAGGGCAGACTGCAGACTTTGGGGAAAGGAATTTTTACTGTGACAATAACTCACCAGTAGTCAGAACAGTGTTGGGGGTTTAAAGCTAGCAAAATTTGAGAGTTTTTTTGTTTGTTTTGTTTTGTTTTGCTTAAACAAACATAAAGAAAAATTAATTGTACAATAATGCATGGAAGCGAAACCAGGTACACACACATTATTTTCCTACTTTGCTGGGTGGATGGACGAGGCCATTTTACCCTTTGAGCAGCTTCGTCTCCACTTGTGAAAGCAAAATGTTGATGTTGCGTGTCCAGGCATACAATACAAAAATATTTGTACAGAGTATGCAAGCCTGTGTGGAAGGGATTTGCATTGCTTAATAATTTAAGAACCAAGAAAGAGAGCTCTGCACGTTGCAATTTTAAAGAAAATATAACAGGGAGCGACAAATTTATCCTGTTTTCACACAAGGACTGAAATCTGATGAGTTGAGATACTGCTGAAGCTTATGGCACAAAAAAAGTGTTTCTACTTTTCCCTTATACAGTGCAGGTTTTCATGTTTGCCGGATTACTTGTTAAACGTGTTCTGATCTGACTTTGCATTGTTCAGGTGTGCACTCCTGGAAACCGATGGGGCCCTGGAAATCATAGCCACTATTCAGGTGTTTACGCAGTGCTTTGTAGAAGCTCTGGAGAAAGCAAGCAAGCAGGTTTGTTATATCACATATATTACTCATTCATCCCAGAGAATAAGACGCTGTTGAGAGTATTTTGGACAAGAGCACTTTATTTTCAATAATTTTGATGGACTGTTTTGCTCACAAAGAAAGGTTCCTAATGAGTGCCCCAACAAAGGTTAAGCCATTTTAACTTAACATAAATCAAGATCTGTCTGCCCCGTGCCCTGATACCCAGAAGCATCTGTCTACTATTATGTCTGAGAACTCTGTCATGCCAGCATGCATGGCCCTGGAGGACGGCTCTTCTTGGCCCTGTGTTGTGCACTGTCTGCCGAGCAGGACACTGCCCCCTGGCTGCATCTGAGCCTCCCAGGTCAGCAGGAGGCACCCTGGGGTCTATATGGCATGTGATGAATAGGAAAGGGCACTTATTACAAAGCACTCCTGGACATTCTTAATTATTAGCATCTTCATTCTTATCAGAGACCCAAATGTGAATTGGCTTCCAGGAAAGGAGGTGGTAAGAGTGACTGGGAAAGGCTTGACTAACTAGAAGGGGAGTGAGGAAGGGCAGTGAGCGGGAGGTGTGTGTTAGACACAGTCAGTAAACCAAAGGCCAGGCCCGCACCCTGCAGAAGATTGTGCTCCACGTCCCCAGCAGCAGAGGCTGGGCAACAGCTGCCAAGAGTCAATGACCAATTAGAGGGACCTCGTGAAACAGGGACCTTTGCTACCAGCGAGCTTTCACCTTTCAGCATATATATTTGGCCTTGATTTCTAACGGCCACAGAAGTAATGTTTATGGGACACATTGCCTGTCGAGAGTGGTGCTGGTCCAGTGCATCTCATCTGTAGAGTATGTCACGGCCCCTGTGAAGCTCTCCGCAGTTTGACTTCCGAGAGGAGAACTACAATGCTTGGCTCCACCAGATCACACCCCCCGCCAACGTCAAATAGATCTCTCAGGTTTTAGCCGATATTTCTACTTTTTTTTTTTTTTTTTTTTTTTTTTGAGACAAGGTTTTACTCTGTCACCCAGGCTGGAGTGCAGTGATGTGATCTCAGTTTACTGCAGTCTCAACCCCCCAAGCTCAGGTGATCCTCACACTTCAGCCCCTGCGTGTAGCTGGGACCACAGGTGCATGTCACCACTCATGGCTACTTTTTGTATTTTTTAATTAAGTACAATTTCCATTTTATTTTTCTCAAGAGAATAGTCCGTCTTCAGACTTTAAGGACTCAACTCCTTACGTGGGCTTTGGTGGGGGTTGTGGGGCAGCATCCGCAGGTCTAAATTGGAGTAGGGGTGTTCAGTCCTTGTGGGCTTCACAAGATCGATTCCTGACTACTTTGCTGTGAATTGCACAACTCAGACAGTAATGTAGCTTCAAATACAGCTTGGGAAGCACATAGGCATCAAAGACGCTCGCTTCAGAAATGTCCCTGACTGCTGCAGCCTCCACTGTGTTTCCAATGATGAATTTGTTAATAGCCTTGTCCTTGGGCACACATTGGGCACAGTTCGTGTCGCAAATAGGCTGCACGTGGCCGCGGCCCTTTTTGGTACGACCGTTGTTCCTTCTTTTTTTCATCATATTGGAGGCACGGACTGGAGGAAGCACTAATTTTTGTATTTTTATTAGAGATGGGGTTTCACCATGTTGCCCGGGCTGGTCTCAACCTCTGAGGCTCAAGCAATCTTCCCACCTTGGCCTCCCAAAGTGCTGGGGTTACAGGTGTGAGCCACCACACCCAGCCTGTTTCTGCTTTTTAAAGCAACAATAAATATATTTTTATTTTATTTTATTTTTTGAGACAGGCTCTTACTCTGCCACCAAGGCTGGAGTGCAGTGGTATGATCATGGCTCACTGCAGCCTTTGGCTTCGTGGGCTCAAGCGATCCCCCCACCTCAGCCTCCCAAGTAGTTGGGACCACAGGTTCAAGCCACCACGCCCAGCTAATTTTTAAATTTTTTTTTGTAGAGATAGAGTCTCTCTGTTGCTCAGGCTGGTCTCAAACAGCTGGGTTCAAGGGATCCTCCCACCTTGCCCTCCCAAGGTGCTTGGATTCCAGGCTTGAGCCACTGTGCCTGGCCAACAGTAAATATTTGTGATTTATTTTTTCCCACCCTCACTTTCCCTGGAGAAGTTAGCTGGGCTGTAGCAAGCTGCGCTATCCATGGTCCCACCTAGAATTTTGGAGGTGGCTCGGCTGGAAGGCACAGCTGGCCCTCACGGTTATTTTGAGCCTAACTGTAAATGTCTCTGAGCCTCCCTTGTGCATTCTTTGTAGACCCCATTAGGAACGGGCCTCTGGGGAGTCTCACCTGTGGCCTCGCGGAGCACACCTGGGTTGGAGCAGAGGCCACGGAGGAGTGCCACTGTGCTCTTTAGGGTTAGCTCGCGCCTCTTTTTCTTCTTAGCTTCACCCTCAGCCTCTATGTTGGCCGTGGGCACTATGGATTGGGACTGATGTTGCAGTTGCTTTTAATTGAGACTAGTACCCTGACCAGGCATACGTATCTAAGGACGTGGGACCACACACTGGGTCCTGGTGTGAGGCAAGGCAGGGATCCAAAAACAAACAGGAATTCACCACCCTCGCCTTCAGCTCAACAAAGGAAAGGAAAGTCTCTTTGCTTTGCCAATGCCTGCATAGGTATCTGTTAGTTTATTTCTCTTCCTAGAGCTGGACCTGAGTGCCTGTCTTTTTAACTGATGGCCATCTACATCTTTTGACCCTCTGCCTTCTTGACTGTCCATTTTTAGCTAATCAAAACCCTTCATGTCATATTTGGTAGATGCGTGACCCTCTTTTCTCTCTGTGTTTTATTCATTAATTCCTTCTTAATAAAATGAGTATCTGTAAACCTGATATCTAATAATCTGAATATATGTCTATCCACGTGCTCCTCCCTGCCTCTCTCCCTCCAGGTAACCTCTGGTTTGAATTTTATGTGCCAGGCGTGGTGGCTCACACCTGTAATCCCAGCACTTTGGGAGGTCGAGGCAGGCAGATCACAAGGTCAGGAGATCGAGACCATCCTGGCTAACACGGTGAAACCCTGTCTCTACTAAAAATACAAAAAAATTCGCCGGGCATGGTGGTGGGCGCTTATAGTCCCAGCTACTCAGGAGGCTGAGGCAGGATAATGGCATGAACCCGGGAGGCGGAGCTTGCAGTGAGCTGAGATTGCGCCACTGCACTCCAGCCTGGGCGACAGAGCGAGACTCCATCTCAAAAAAAAAAAAAAAAATGAATTTTATGTTTATTATCCCTTTGCTCTTTCTGAAAGTAGTTTGATCACATATATATGACTGCCTAAACAATGTTTTGTTTAGTTTTGGTTGTTTTTGCACTATATAAAACAAACAGGAGCAGCATACTCTGTGCAATCTTTTGAGACTTGCTTTTCCACTCAGCAGAGACTTCTTGACGTTGCCATGTGTGGCTGTGGGGAAGTACTGTTATGCATAGTCCATTGTGAAAACGTATGGCAGTGTAGCCATCCTCCTGCTGGTAGGCACTTGAGATGCTTCCAGGTTTTGTTTTTTATTACAAACAATGTTGCTCTGGACACTCTGGGATAGATACTTAGGAGTGGAAGTGTATTTGGAATACAAAAGTTCAACTTTCATAGATCCTGCCAGACTCATTTCAAAAGTGTTGGTGCTCATCTGCACTTCCTGCAACAGTTTATGAGTGATCCCATAAATCCACATTCTCTCCTATCATCAGAAGCACTCATGTCAGTGCTTCTGTCTCTTCTTACCCTTTCCTCTTGTCCCTGTTCTGTTTGGAGGACACAGTCAGCTCCATCAATATGCCCTATCAGACAGTAGGCAGAAATTGAAATGGGTGTGACAAGCCACTTTTTCTAAGCCTGCACTGTGGCTCAGTACAGCCAGTCAGGTCAGTTTCTGGTTGCAGCCATGACAGCATCTGGTAATGAGCTAGATTAAATCATCTCCCACAGATAAAAATGATAAACTCCAGGCAAAGTATTTTTAAAAATCTATTTGAAGGCACTACAGAGCACCTGAAAAAGTGGACAGAAACTGGAGGCCATCAGCCCTTTAAAGGGACATCACACAGAGAGGTCTCCTGCCTCCCCCCAGCTGCCCTCATGTGAGGTTGGAAGGCAGGCAGTGTGGGGCCAGGAGAGGGCCAGAACTTGGCACAATCTGATTGACTTAAGGTGCCAAAAAATAGAAGTGTAAGCTGCCAAAGGAACAAAAAAATTGAGGGGAAAAAAGAAAACCAATGTCAAAAGATAGACCTAAACCCAAAACTACCAACAATGACATTAATTTCAGCAATTAAATGGAAGTTAAATATTCTAATAAAAAGGCAGAAACGTCAGATTGAACAAAAAAAATGAAGACCTGGCTGGGCACGGCGGCTCATGCCTGTAATCCCAGCACTTTAGGAGGCCAAGGTGGGAGGATTGCTTGAGTCCAGGAGTTGAGTTCAAGACCAGCCTGGGCAACATAGTGGGACCCCAGTCTCTACAAAAAAGTAAATAAATAAAAAATTAGCTGGGCATGGTGATGCATGCCTGTAGTCCCGGCTACTCGGGGGGTGAAGTGGGAGGATTGCTTGAGCCCAGAACGTGGAGGCTGCAGTGAGCCATGATCACACCACTGCACTCCAGCCTGGAAGACAGGGCGAGATGCTGTCTTAAAAAAAAAAAAAAAAGATTTTAAAAGCCATTGTAATCAAGACAGTGAGGTATTGGCAAAAAGACAGCCATAGATAGATCAGAATTGAGTCCAGATATAGACCCATACATATGTGGCCAACTGATTTTTGACAGAGATGCCAAGACAATTCAATGGGGAAAGGAACGTTTTCAACAAATGATGCTGGAATAACTGGATGTCCATATGTAGAAAAATGAACCTCAAACATTACCTTGTAAAGCACACAACAGTTAATTTGAGAGGATCATGGGCTTCAACAGAAATGTTAGAAAGATAAAGCCCCTAGAGAGAGCATAGGATAATGTATCTGTTTGACACTGAGGTGATCTAAGATTTCTCAGAAGCACTAACCATAGGAAAAAATGGATAAATTAGACCTCATCAGAATTTAAAACTTTTAGGCTGGGGGCATAGCTCACTCCTGTAATCCCAGCTCGTTGGGAGCCCCAAGGCAGGAGGATCTCTTGAGCCCAGGAGATGGAGACCAGCCTGGGCAACAAAGTAAGACCCCTTTTCTACAAAAAATACAAAATTTAGCTGAACGTGGTGGCACACACCTGTTGTCCTAGCTACTCGGGAGGCTGAGGTGGGAGGATCACTTGAGCCTGGGAGATCAAGGCTTCAGTGAGCTGTGATCATGCCACTGCACTCCAGCTTGGGCAACAGAGTGAAACCATATCTCAAAAAATAAGAAAGGAATGTAAAATTTCTATTCTTTGATAGATATCATTAAGAAACTGAAAAAGCAGGCCAGGCACGGTGGCTCATGCCTGTAATCCTAGCACTTTGCAAGGCTGAGGTGGGTGGATCACGAGTTCAAGAGATCAAGACCATCCTGGCCAACATAGTGAAACCCCGTCTCTACTAAAAATACAAAAATTAGCTGGGCATAGTGGCATGTGCCTTTAGTCCCAGCTATTTGGGAGGCTGAGGCAGGAGAATCGCTTGAACCTGGGAGGTGGAGGTTGCAGGGAGCCAAGATCACACCACTGCACTCCAGCTTGGCAACAGAGCAAGACTCCATCTCAATTAAAAAAAAAAAAAAAGAAAAGGAAGAAAGAAGGAACTGAAAAAGCAAGCCGTTAGCTAGGAGAAAATATTTGTAATATATGTATACAACAGAGGACTTGTGTCGAGAATATATGAAGAGCTCTTATAACTGCCTAAGAAACCAGTTTTTAAAATGGACAAAAGACTTGAATATATACTTTCAAAAAAGATACATAAGTTGGCAGTAAGCACATGAAAACTGTTCAGCGTCATTTGCCATCAGGAAAGTGCAGAGTGAAACAGGTAGGAAAGCAAGCATACATAGGGTTATGTTCCCAGCCACTAGAATGGATGAAATGCTGGGGAGTATGTGGAGCAACTGGAATTCACATACATTGCTGGTGGGCGTAAGATGGTACAACACCGGAAAACCATATGGCCTTACGATGTTAAACAAGCATCTATCTGTGACCCAGCAGTTCCATTCCGATGGCATCCCCAGGAGAAACAGAAACACATGTCCATGAAAAGACATATGTATGCATGTTAACTACAGCTTTATTCATGACAGCCCCAAACTGGAAGCAGCCCAAATGCACATCAAGAGGAGAATGGCTAAACAGACTATGGCATATTCATACAATTCAGACTACTTCTGAGCAATAAAAACAGAATGATCTACTCGCACACAATAACGTGGCTTAATCTTTAAGAAAATATGTTGAGCCCAAGAAGCCAGACACAAAAGAAAACATACTTTATGTTCCCTTTACACAAAATTCAAGAATAAGCAAAACTAATCTCTCTTGTCAAAATCAAAACATTGGTTGCCAGGGTGGGGTGGAGGGAATGATTGTTAAGAATTGGAAGGGGACTTTTTGGCGTGATAGAAATGTGTCTTCACTGGGGTGGTGGTCACATGGATTTGCACATTTACCAAAACCTCATATACTTAAAGCCCATGCACTCCATGCGTTATAGATTTTACCTCAATTTTTAAAAAAGCTTCTGTGCCCCTTGGGGGCATAGATAGCTGTAGCTCTTTGGCCCTCGAAATGCGAGCACAGTTTTACACTTTTGTTGTTATTTTAAAAACCATGCTGAGCCAGGCTCAGTGGCTCATGACTATAACCCCAGCACTTTGGGAGGCCGAGGCAGGTGGATCACTTAAGCTAAGGAGTTCAAGACCAGCCTGGCCAACATGGTGAAACCCCATCTCCACTAAAAATGCAAAAATTAGCCAGGTGTGGTGGCATGTGCCTGTAATCCCGGCTACTCAGGAGGCTGAGGCAGGAGAATCATTTGGACCCGGGAGGTGGAGGTTGCAGTGAGCTGAGATTGTGCCTCTGCACTCCAGCCTGCGCAACAGAAGGAGACTCCATCTCAATAAAAAAACAAAAACAAGCCGGGCATGGTGGCTCACTGTAATCCCAGTACTTTGGGAGGCCGAGGCGGCCAGATCACCTGAGGTCGGGAGTTCGAGACCAGCCTGACCAACATGGAGAAACTCTGTCTCTACTAAAAAGTACAAAATTAGTAGTGCTTGGTGGCGCATGCCTGTAATCCCAGATACTTGGGAGACAGGGAGGAGAATCGCTTGAACCCGGGAGCCAGAGGTTGCGGTGAGCTGAGATCGCGCCATTGCACTCCAGCCTGGGCAGCAAGAGCAAAACTCCGTTTCAAAAAAAAAAAAAAAAATGCTGAAATACCTAACATCTCACAACGGCTTTGGCAAGTCTTTCCAAAACAGAAGATTTATTTGTATAATTGGGTTCATGTGAAGTAGAACTCATAAAGACATCAAGAGCATAAATTTTTAAGTCCCAGAAGGTGACTTTAAAAAGGTTAATTATTCTGGAAAATATGAGGTTATTGGGAGCTTATTTTTCAAAAAATAAATGTTTAAGAAAGTGTTCTGACCATGTTAGTACTGGTGGGTCTTTTTTGGGCAGAGGACTCAGAGTTTTGTATTTTCCTGACCCCGTTTCAATCTTAATGTTCATGCTCTTTGGATTTTCCATCCTGTGGCAGCTGCGGTTTGCACTCAAGACCTACTTTCCTTACACTTCTCCATCTCTTGCCATGGTGCTGCTGCAAGACCCTCAAGGTGAGTTAGGGTTGACTTTGCCCACATCAGAATGATTTCCTGGGAAGAGCATTGTCAAATTATGACCTCCTCATCAGGCCCTTATCTACAGCATGAGGGAGACAGAACTGGTTATTTCTAAGATCCCTTTAAGCCCCCAGGATCCCACATTCTGTGGATTTTGATATGAGAGTCTGCTTGGCTTCCCAGTTGTGATCACTTACCAAAAGAAGAAAACAAACAAAAAAACAATGGCCTCTGGTAGGTGTTGCTAGTCTGCCTCCAGATAACACAGGCTCTTCTGGTGCCAACCAGATCCACCAGATGCCAGGAACAGGCTAAGACTTGGCTGAGTCAGAATAAAACAGTACATTCGTTTGCTTTTCATTCTTTCTACTCTGTGCAGCCTTGTTGCAGAAGAAAAGACAAAATGATGGATGAAGCTGAGGAAATGCAGGGGAAGTTTCCCCTAACCAAGCTAAGGGAAGGATTTTGAGAGAGTTCAGTAAGGTGCTTCATCCACAGCCTCTCCTGATATCCTTTGCCAGCCTTCCAAAGGCTATCCAGCTGGGGAAGTGATGGTTCCAGCCTTCATTCGACTGGTGTTGATCCAGGAATGTGGCTGTGAGCTCACGCTTAGGAGACATTTCGGAAATAGAGAATAAGGGCATCCTTTCCCTCTGAGGCCTGAAACCTGATGGAAGGCAGTCCTGACATGGGCACAGACTGCGCCAGCCAGAAAGGGGCCTTATTGGAGCATGGGAGGAGAGGAGACAGAAGGGAACGAGCCAGTCACATTTCCTTTTTATGCCATTTTGGGCCTGCCTTTTTTCTGAGACTTGAGTGAGTAGATCTGTTTGAGAAATGCAAATGATTCAAAGTTTCAGAGCATTTTACAAAACCTAAATTCCTCTTCCTTTTTCGAGAAGATGTAGGTTCTTGCCCAGGGTGATCCCCTAACACTGTCTTCTCAGATGCTGGAGCTAGGGGTGGGATCTCTGGGTGACAGTTTTATGAAAACTCTTGGGAAAACTTTATTAACAAGACAGAAAAATGAGGAATTCACTCTCCCAGGGTTCACCTTACGCTTAGGTCAGATCAGCAAAGCCTAAAGTCAGCCAACAGGGGACGCTGAGTGAGCTCCAGAAAATGTACTGGAGTTGTTAGTGTCTCAGTTTGGAAATAGTAAATAAACGGTGAGGTGGTGCATGGGCATGGGCCCAACCCTTTACCTTTCCGTTTGTGTAACTTGTAGATTTATGTCCAAATATAAATAGGTGGCTTCGGGCAGAAGTACAAGAACCTCTTGTGCTAGTTCCTAGAAGAGCTGTCTGTATATTACTTTGGGAAACAGTGTTATGGTCACAGATTGAAGAAGTGTTTTTTAGTGGCATGATCTTCTGTTTATCAGAAATTTATTTCATACCCATTGTGAAGGCCGGGAGAGGGGTGTAAAAGAGGATCACTTACGAGCCCTGACTGTGTAGACACTACAAGTGGAGGAAATGCGAAATAAACATCTAAATAGCTAGTAAAAGGAAGAAACGAAAAATACCTTCAAAAGGCTGTGCACCAAGGGCCGCGGGAGTTCAGAGGAGGGAGGCGCTGGCCTTGTGGAGTAGCAGCAGTTTGTCCATCACTCGCCTTACCTTCCTTGTGTGTTCGATTATAGCATCTATCACTATGTGAAAACTTTTGCAGATGCTGCACAGAACTGCAGATACGTGCTGCTCAGCTGTATTTAAAACCACAGGATGACTGTGAAACCAGAGCAGCTCACTCAAGAAAAGACATTTGTTTGCATAATGCTCACTTATTTTCTTTCCTGGCCTTTTTTTCCACTGTAAACCTGAAATCATATTGTGAATTCATCACAGCCCTAGGAAAGCAGTCAGGCAGTCTATTCCTAATTCCTTATTGGCTGCTTTACTACAGTCTCCGTCTATTTTGAAATCAACACATTAGTGATGGAGGAGTGTGTAGGTAGAAAAGAAGAAACCTAGGGCATCCGCAACCCGGCATTTCCCAGTCTCAGCGGGGGCTGCTTATGCAATCTCTAGCTACTTCCATGTACCTGAATTTAAAATTACTTGAGGGCAAGCGTGGTGATTAATGCCTGTAATTCCAGCACTTTGGGAGGCCAAGGCGGGAGGATCACTTGAGCCCAGGAATTTGAGACAAGTCTGAGAAACATAGTGAAACCTCATCTCTACAAAAAAATTTTAAAAATAGCTGGGCATGGTGGTGCACCCCTGTAGTCCCAGCTACTGGGGAGGCTGAGGTAGGAAGATCGCTTGAGCCCAGGAGGTTGGGGCTGCAGTGAACCAGGATCGTACCACTGCACTCCAGCCTCTGACCAAGCAAGATCGTGTCTTAAAACCCCACAAAACTAAAATTAAAAGATTAGATTCTTTGATGTTCAACTCTGTGTGACATGGACAGATCTTACTTCCCCAGGCTTAAGAGATAGGTACTGGCTGGGAAAAGCATGAGAACAGTATTGGGTTCCGTGAACCAGAAGTAAAGGGCGTCTCCCAAAGACTCTTCAGGTCATCCCTGCAGGTGGTTCCTCATGGGCTTGACATTTCCTCAGTTGCCCTCTGACGTATCTCTCTCCACCCGCAGATATCCCTCGGGGACACTGGCTCCAGACACTGAAGCATATTTCTGAACTGCTCAGAGAAGCAGTTGAAGACCAGACTCATGGGTGAGCAAACACTGACCACTCCCAAATCTACTTCACACATGGTTTCCCTAGATCCTCATCTGCCCTTTGAGCAGGGCTGACAGAGGAAGGCATTACTGGTCTGGGACCATCACCAAACAGGTGAGCACCATGGTGAAGTGAGAAGTGGAGGAAGCGCATGGCTGCACGGATGGCTTGGAGCAGGTCAGGATGAATAGGCATGCGCATGTATGCATGTGCCAATACCTGTATCGAAATGTTTTCTACATTAACGTCTGGTTTTAGATTTTGAAATATACAGGCATAACAATAAAAAGAAGAGGCCTTGGAAAAAGCAGCACCCACCTGCTGGGAACCCCTCCCTGGCCGCACAGAAGGGAAAGGGCACTTGTTTGGGTCCTGTGGTCTTCCCTCTACCTCTCTAGGGAAGGAGATTTGAAACTCCTACACAGTAGGGTGGAATGTTAAATGCTTGCTTTTCCTTCTCTCTAATAAATCTCTCTAAAATGAGAAAATCTATTCTAATATAAATTCTGGGTTGGTTGGTTTGTTTTAAATTTTTAGAGATAAGGTCTTGCTCTGTCTTTCAGGCTGGAGTGCAGTGGAATGATCACATCTCACTGTAGCCTCAAATTCCTGCGCTTAGGTGATCCTCCCACTCAGACTCCTGAGTAGCTGGGACTACAGGCGTGTACCACCACACCTAGCTAATGTTTAAATTTTTTTGTGGCCGGGCGCGGTGGCTCACACCTGTAATCCCAGCACTTGGGGAGGCTGAGGCAGGCAGATCACAAGGTCAGGAGATCGAGACCATCCTGGCTAACACGGTGAAACACCATCTCTACTAAAAATACAAAAAATTAGCCGGGCGTGGTGGCGGGTGCCTGTAGTCCCAGCTACTCGGGAGGCTGAGGCAGGAGAATGGCATGAACCCAGGAGGTGGAGCTTGCAGTGAGCCAAGATCGTGCCACTGCACTCCAGCCTGGGTGACAGTAAGACTCCGTCTCCAAAAAAAAAAAAAAATTTTTTTTTTTGTAGAGGTCTTGCTGTATTGCTTCAAATTCATGGGCTCAAGTAATCCTCCTGCCTTGGCCTCCCGTCGTGCTGGGATTACAGGTGTGGACCGCTGTGCCTGGCTTGTTAATTTCTTAACAGTAGTGTTAGGTACCCTCTTATGTGTGTGATTTTCTTGAAAGCATTCACATTTATGCCTTGCTAAATTCCTTGTATCATAACACTCTTTGGCTTCCTCTTTCAGAGTATAATTTTATTCATTGTCCCTGCTAGCCTACTAAGACTATCTTATTTGTTCCTTTTGCCACTTTTCACTCCTGGAATTCTCTGTAGTCTCACACCGAGTTGACACAGACAATGGGTGACACACCTATGTCCAGCTCCGTGATTGATGGCTTGGGTGCCAGCTGCTCACTCCTTCCTCACCATGATTCTTACCGACAGAGACCAGACAAAAAAGGCCTGCAGCCAATGGAGGCTGCGGGGTTGGCCACATGAATAGCCTGCAGTGGCCAGTCGGCCCCCCACACACCCTCCCTGGTTGTCCTGGTGTTACACAGAGCTGGACCTTGAAGAATCTTAACTCGGGGACAGGACGTAGATGCAGGTGGCATAAACAGCCCACCCTGTGATTGAGACATGTTGTGCAGTGGGTGCCCTGGGTGTTTTTCTCTTCTCTCTACCCACCCTCTCCACCATCACTCAGAATGTGTGATGTCAAATGCGTGAAGACTGGAATAAAACAGCAACCAGAAAGGGCGCATGTGGTGCTGCAGAACAGGACTTAGACCTCGTGGGGCTCCCACTTCAATCCAGACCTTGGAGCCATGAGATACCTTTCAGGTGGCCACATGGGACTGCTTGTGCATTCAGCTACTGGTGGAAGACAGAGGGAAGGACCAGACCGGTCTCTGATCCTGATCCAGTCACGCTGCCAACCTGGGAGCTGGGAGCATGAGGGAGCCTCACTGCTCTGTGCATCTGTCTACCCTGACATGGTGCCTGCAGGGAAGAGGCATGGCAGAGTCCCCTCCTCACTCTGGTACAGCCTAACCCAGCCCACAGCCAACGTGGCCTCCAGAGCATCAGCTCTGACCATGTCCTGGGAAAGAGGGACATGTCTCTGTTGCTCAAATGTAGAACATTTAACCACTTGTTCTCAGGGAGGACTGGGGCAGGAGGACAGCAGTGTCCAGGGAGGCGAGGACAGTGCTTAGAGCTTGGGAATTCCATGGGCCAGGCAGAGGAACATGCAGGAAGATCCAACAAAGGGGCCAGGAACACTCCTGTTCCAGCCACTGCCCCAGTCCAGAAGGAATGTTCTCATCTAATGTGATCTCAGGCTGGTCTGTTCCATCCTCTCCAAGGGAGATGTTCACCTGCTGAGACCGGCACTGCACACAATTAGTAGGCCCTTATCTCAAGCAAATTCTACCCTTAAAACAAGTATTGCAACTCCCATTTGCCAGTGTGGCGAGGGGATAGCTTCACAAACACTTCAACTTTCTGGCATTGATGCACCCATGATGACAGCAGCTCATTAAAAATTCGTAGTTGCTGAAATATCCACCTGAACTTTGCGTCTTGTCAGAAGGGAAATAGCCCATGTTTCTGCCTGCGTCCTACCCTCCACCTCTTTCTCCCCATCTCAGAAGGCAGGGAGGTGTGCCGCCACATCCTGCCACATTCCTGTTGGTCATGGCCGCAGTCTTCCTTCTTCAGTGCCTGTCCTCACTGAACGTACCTGGATTAAAGACTCCGATGTCCAAAGGCCTCAGGCCTCACGGGGGTCCTGAGAGGCACTCTTTCGATGTCCTGTGATGGTGCAGAGTGGCGTTTGGACAGGCTTTCTGAATCTAAATTGTATTCCTTGCAGGTTGCACTTCAGTGGATAAGTACAATTTAAGCCAACCGTTGGCAAACGTTAAAGTTGCTTTAAAAACCCAAAGGAAGAAGAATTTAGGTTGTCAACTGCCATGTGTTCTGCCTCTGTTCCAGGTCCTGCGGAGGTCCCTTTGAGAGCTGGTTCCTGTTCATTCACTTCGGAGGATGGGCTGAGATGGTGGCAGAGCAATTACTGATGTCGGCAGCCGAACCCCCCACGGCCCTGCTGTGGCTCTTGGCCTTCTACTACGGCCCCCGTGATGGGAGGCAGCAGAGAGCACAGACTATGGTGGGTAGCAGGCCCCACTGCATGTGTTTGGGGTGGGCTCTGGGGGGCTGAGAGGAGCTTGCAGAGAGGGGCTCTGTTGTGGGCTTGGCTTCCATGACACCTGAGCTCTGCCCACAGATGGCATATGTCATGGCAACCTGCAGGCATGGTGATCTCCAGCCTTGTGGTCAGAGGCGTTCTCCTGTCCCCACCGAGGTGGCCAGAGACGAGACGCTGCCAGCCCATTCTCCTGCAAAACGAAGACCCTTCTTCCCCAAGGTCATTTGATCTGTTATTGCTCAGCTGCCATATCTGCCCCAGGGTCGCGTCCTCCAAGGCGTGCCCTGCAGAGGCGGGCTGTTCTGAGGGGTGTGCCGGCAGCAGAGCCTGGCCACAGCCAGGGCCCTGTCTCGCTCCCCAGCAGCCCGGCCAGGGCTTGCTTCCATCTTGACTGTCTCCTTTCTTGGATCAGTCAACAGATCCTCACATTACTGGCTTTATTTACATCTCTTACTAAAGTAATCAGATGATATTAACCACTTTGCTTCTGAAAAAGAAGTTGGTCATTTCCTAAATAACAGAGCAGCTAAGTATGGGACTGGATAACTGTCTGTGGCAAAGACAGTTGTTATTTTATGTGGAATATAATAATTACAGGAAGCAATGCTTTGATTAAAGGCATTGGCACCTCCCTTGCAAGCATTGATTTGCTAGGTTCTTAAAACTTCAACTGCCAGTGCTCTATGCTGATCTTAGTAGTTAAAGAGGACAAGGCTCATTTTGTATAGAGCCCTGCTTCTCTTGGCTTTGGCATTTTCTGTTGTTTGAAAACACACAGACTAATAAAGATGTCTGCGTATTTTGTTTAAAGGCTTGCATGGCATAGGAAAGAAAAATAGTTTTAGATTTTAAAAAGTTGAAATTTGGTGATAATTTATTTTGGATCAGAAATAAAGCTTTGTGAAAAAATTATAACCCACGTATGTATTTGAGGATTGCTGTCTGATTAAAAAGAAAGCTTTTTATTTCTTCCCCTTTAAAAGATCACGTTAAGCTAAGGAAAATCCTGGTTGATGTTTTTAACAGTAATAAGATGTACGGGGCACATATGGTTTTTAAAGCCCTTTTATATTCTGTCTTATTTGATTCTGAATAAGCTAAGTTGGTAGATATGTGTTCAATTCCATCACAGTCAAAAGGTTACTGACAGAGAATCACTTTTGAAGTATAAAGAAATAAATTATTCAATAACACTTAATTTCTAGAAAGTTCTACATTGGCACATCTTCTACTAGCTAACTTGGTCCTTTTTTATGAAAAAATAAAACCCTTGCGTAGTTCTCCCTCAGGGGATGCCTAGGATTTTGGATGAGAACGTATTGGCTCAATGTGAGTGGGGCAGTGGCAGGCATCCATTTCCCTTCCCCCCATTCTGTCACAGGTGCCCATCTGCCTGGCAGTTCAATCCAGTGCTCATGTTGGTGACTCCAGAGCCCCTTCCTTGCTGGTGCCTGCCTGAGGCATTGGTGTATGTGGCGTCCTGGGAAGGGGATTTTAGTTTAATGAATGATACGTACCTCTTGTTTTCCTGGGTTTTGTGAGCTTTAATCCCTTGATGGTCTGTTGGGAGGCTTGAGAGACAAACTGTGAACTGTGTTAGAAAGCATGATTCGTATGTGATTGAATTGAAATTAGCAGTATCTCTGCATTTGTGCATTTACTTAAAAAGGCACAATTAAATCAGCTGGTGGCGTATCCCCGCATCGTGTGCTGGGCCTGGCGTCACTGCCTCTGTGGATGTCCTTGAGGTGAAGAACATGGGTGCAAAGACCAAGCGTGTCCCCGCCCAGGATGTGTCCTGCCTGTGAGAAGGCCTGTCCCACTCATGGGCAAGCCACCCTTTCCACCAGCAGCCAGAGTTCATCTCCTTTTGCCAACAACTGAATCAGATCACAACAAAATAAAAAAAAGTCGTTTAGATACCCTTAAGAATCAGTAAGGTACAATGATGCCTAGAGAAAAAAAGGAAAAAAAAAAATCAGGCAAGGGTTCATACCCTTTAACCCTGTGGTTCCACTTCTAGGAATTACCCTGGGGAATAGAGATCCATGCAAAGGCTTATGTATAAGAATATTCAGCACAGCATTGTTCATAAATACAACAATGGGAAATGGCCTGAACTTTCAATAGTAAGGCTACTGGCCAAATAAAGTGTGGTATATCCTAACCATGGAATAGCATTCTGTTACATACCATGAAAAATCATGCTCTTGGACGGGTGTGGTGGTTCATGCCTGTAATCTCAGCACTTTGGAAGGCCGAGGTGGCCGTATCACTTGAATCCATGAGTTTGAGACCAGCCTGGGCAACATAGACCCCTGTCTCTACAAAAAAATAAATAAAGAAATTAGCCAGGTATGGTAATGTGTGCCTGTAGTCCCAGCTACTCGGGAGGCTGAGATAGATGGAAGGATCGCTTGAGCTCAGGAGGCAGAGGTTGCAGTGAGTAGAGATTGCACCACTGCATTCCAGCCTGGGTGACAGAGCAAGGCTCTGTCTCCAAAAAAAAAAAAAGGTCTTGAAGAGCATGTTCTATAGATACAGTGAACTGAACTGCTTATAGTACATTATGGAGAGAAAAATGAAAGATACAAGGCATTATGTGTAGTGAGTGGTATGGTCTCAGTGCGTAGAAAAAAGACAAGAAGTATATAAACCGAATTATTAACAGTGAGTCTTTTTGGATGGTAGAGTTATAGATCATTTTAATGGTTCTTCTTTTTCTCTTTTCAAATTTTCCATAGTAAGCATATATGTCTTTATAATGCAGGATAAAAAATACTTTAAAAAGAAAAGAAAGCTTTTATCTTTCTCCTGAAAAACTTAGGACATGTTTAAAGTTAGTTATCGGTGTTCAAGTGGAAGCCCATGAGCATGGACGGCCTCTGAAGGGAAAGACAGTCTGGGCCAGACATAAAGGAAGATAGACCCCATCTTAGGGATTATTGGACAAGGGCAGAAAGTCGGTTGTGGGTCAAGAGAAAAAACAGATATAAAGGCATAGCCTCCTAAACCCTGACATTTTTGCAGACCCAGTTAGATGGCAGAATGGCCTTGGGCTCCCGTAGACACCATCAGACCCGGCAGGCTGGGCCGGCTGAGGGGCGAGGTGGGGAGAGTGAGGCCTGCCCTGCTGGAGCGCTGCCGCTCCCCGTGGAAGAGCCCGATGGTGCAGTTTCTCACGGTCTTGTATTGTGGTCAGAGGAGCTCACACAACACACCCAGTGTACTGGAGTTTATGACAGACTTCATTGAATGAGGCCTTGACTTCCAGGGAAAAAAAACGCCTCACACAAAATCCATAAAATCGGTCATGGGAATTCTCAGAATAGGCCTAAGTATTCTTTCAGAAGTGATGGAACATAGCTGTTCACGAGTTCCATGTGGCATTTGGAGCTATGGGCTTTCGGTTTTTGCTTTGCTTTGTTTTCCAAGTCACGACTGGGTGTACCATTCTTGTAGCAAGCAGAAACATCTCAGCATGGAATGAGTATTTTTTATGCAAAAGCAACCTGCAGACTTATAATTACCATTATTATGTGGGTTCCACAGACTTGTGGCCTCTGCTTGAGCATTAAACACGTATGAACAGATTGTTCCGGCATCTAAAACAAATGTGTTCTTGTGTGTGCATGCATGTGTGTATGACCGTGCTTGTGTACACGTGCGTGCATGTGTGTGTGTTCCCCCCGACCCCCCGCCCTGACCCCCAATATAGCAAGAAGCAAAGGCAAGCCTACATTCGTATGGGAACACTGGCTCGGCGGAGGTCTGACTGCGTGGGGCTTTAATTGATTTGTGGCTGTGATAGGCGAGTCTTCAAGGAGCCTTTTGTTCTTTTTCCCACAATATAAAAATCTGACTACATTCTGTTGAGAACTTTTCTCTGTTTCCTTTTATACAAAAAAAGGTCAGTTCCTGGCATGGTGCCCTGACTGCTTGGTGAGCAAGACGAAAGAAAGTCAAGAAATTTCCATTCCGCCCATTTGGGTTTGTGTGAAATCGAGTGTAAATTCGGCCGCTGCCTAGCTCCCTCTCTCAGGGGCCAGTGCTTACCCGTTTCTGGGGGTTGTTTCAAAGCAAATAAATAAATCCTAGAAGTATGTCTGTCCTGCCTCTTCCTAACCTCTCCCCTGTGAAATACTATTGCCCAGGTCCAGGTGAAGGCCGTGCTGGGCCACCTCCTGGCAATGTCCAGAAGCAGCAGCCTCTCAGCCCAGGACCTGCAGACGGTAGCAGGACAGGGCACAGACACAGACCTCAGAGCTCCTGCACAACAGCTGATCAGGCACCTTCTCCTCAACTTCCTGCTCTGGGCTCCTGGAGGCCACACGATCGCCTGGGATGTCATCACCCTGGTAAGTCTCCCTGTGGTCCAGCATCCTAGTACTCATTTCTGCTCCAGGCGAGAGGTGGGTTACCTGTCCGAGGGTCTGGCCTCTGCACAGTGTGTGTACCAGGATGCTGCCCAGCACAGATAAATGGTCAAGGAGGTTGACAGCTGGGATGGACCCCAGAGCCTGCCCCTTCCAGCACCTTTATGTCATAGAAGAGAAAACAGAGGCTCAGAGACAGGAGATGCCATCTCCTGGGCCCACGGCTTGCTGCCAAAGCCTGCGGTAGAAGCCAGGTCTCCTGTCCCCCTACGTACATTTCTTTCCATCGCAGTGTGCTGCTCTCCTCCTCCTCATGGAAAGAAGTAAGGCCACGATGAGAATGGGCTCGCAAAGCAACCACAATGCTATTCACTGCAACAGTGCAAAGAATTCTGTTAATCTTTAAAAAAATTGGTTTATTACAAAGAAATCCTTCCTGAAGCCCACTTGACTTGAGGGGTAAAAAACGGTCCAAGTCAAAAGTGAGCACTCTTTGTGACATTAGATTTGGCAATGATTTCTTGGATATGATACCAAAGGCACAGCAATGAAAGAAAACAATAGATAAATTGGACTTTATGAAAATTAAAAGCTTTTGTGCATCAAATGATACTGTCAAGAAAGTGAAAACACAATTCACAGAATGGGAGAAAAATATCTGGAAATAATATATATGATTAGAGTTTAGTATTCAGAATACATAAGGAATTCTTATAACTCAACAACAAAAAGATAAACAACCCAATTCAAAAATGGGCAAAGGACTTGAACAGACATTTCTCCAAAGAAGATGTACAAATGGCCAGTAGGCATGTGGGGAGATGCTCACAGAAAGGGCATGAGTGGTCAGGGAAAGGCAAAGTGCAGCGAGATGCACTGCACAGCCATCAGGATGGCTGTCAGCAAGGAGAGAAAAGAAACGCCCGTGAGGATGCGTGGGAACCGGAACACTCATATGCTTCCCGGTGGGGACATTAACGTCGTGCAGCTACTGTGGAGAAGAATGGGGTGGTTCCTCAAACAGCCAAACTTGGAATTACCATGTGGCAGGCAGTTCTCCTAGGTCTATAACCCAGAGAGCCGAAAGCAGGGGCTGGAGGGCCATCTGGCCCAGTGCTCAGGGCAGCACTATTCTCAGCAGCCAGCAGGCAGAGATGGCCTAAACGCCTGTAGAGGGACAAGCAATGCACCGTGTGATCTGTACCCACAAGAGAGTACTGTTCAGCCTGAAGATGGAAAGAGGTTCTGACAGTGCTACAACATGAATGAACCTGGAAGACACTGTGCTGTTGAAATAAGCCAGAAACGAGGATGTTGTATGAGTCACTTAGGTGAGGCACCTGGAAGAGTCAAGTCCAGGGAGAGGAAGTGCTAGAGTTTCCCAAGGCAGAGGGTGGGGAGTCAGTGTGGGGATCATGGAAAGGGGCAGGAGACGGCCAGTGCTGATGGCTGTGCAACACTGTAAACATACTGCATGCCACCAAATTACACAAATGGGTAAAACAGCACATTTTATGTATATTTTACCACAATTTAAAAAAATACTCATCTCAGAAAAAGCACCAGCATGCTGGCTCTGGGAGTTTTGTTTTATTTTTTATTTTATTTGTACTTTTGTTGACATATACATACAGAAAATACACAGCTTGATGAATTTCACAAACCAACAACACCTGTGCAGCCAGCAGCCAACTCGAGAGGAATATTCCCAGTCCCCAGAGGCCCCTCCTGCTCCCGTCCAGGCCGGGCCTGACTGAAACGTGAATGTCCATGTACAGAAAGTCCCCGTAACATGACCCACCTGCCAAGAACCAGGGCCAGGAGATTGTCTCCATCCTGGTAGGACAGTCCTGTGGAGTGGGCCCAGGCTGTGCCTCCCAGGTGCTGGTGTCTCAGCTAAGACGAATCCGAGTCATGAGGGTGGCCCAGGGCTAAAGACGACTGGCTGCCACATGCCAGGTGCCACCTCTTTGGGCCCGGCCCCAGCACAGCGAGAATGCTTTCGAGAATCTATTGTGTACTCTTATAAAATGCACACCTGCAACAATGCGGCCCAACCTAGAGGGCTTTACACTGAGCGAAATAAGCCAGACGCGAGAGACAAATGCATGCTCTCACCTATGGGTGGGATCTAAAAAGTCGAACTCACAGAAACAGTGGGAAGGTGCTTATGGGGGGCTGGGGAGGGGCAGTGGGGAGATGGTCAGCCCTGCCCTGTGACAAGGACAATTCCAGCTCAGGCACTTCCTCCCCAACCCTGTGGCCCGTGTGAGTGGAGAAGGCTTAGCAGCAGGGGTCAGCGTGGGAGTTTGGTGACTCCAGCCCTGCCGACAGGGTGTGAGAGAAAATCACCCAGAGCAAGCACCCTAGAGACACCCAGGTCTCTGCTTCAGTTATCCTGATGCCATGTTTCCATCTACTCGGAGGAAACTTTCAGTCCACATTCAAAGCAGATCGCCCTCAAGACTGGGCCCAGAGACATTGCTGGGAGTAAGCCAGATGCTGCAAGGGCCAGCCTGCATCCTGTGTGGGGCAGTCCCTCCTGACACGTGGTTCAGCCCCTGCTGCGGATCCACACGGGAACCCTCAGGAGCACAGAGGGCCCCAGTGCTTTGTCATCACATCCCCCAAGTCAGTTCCGCCACAGAGAAGACACACACAGCAGAAGCCCATTCCCAGAGCAGACGCCAGTGTGGCGCTCATGCACTGACTCTGTCAGGGACGGATGCTGGCCATCTGGGCACCCATCGTGGTGAAAGCACCTCCTGGGGGCTGTCCTTTCGGATGTTTTGAAACCATCTTTATTGACACGTCAGTCTTCCTAATGAGAAGCCTTCGCTGCGGTGGCCGCGTGGCAGGGAGGGCCTCTGGGGAAGGATCCCTCCCACCACCCCTGCCTCTCCTGGCCTTTGTCAGTTCCTCTGCCGACAGCACCTTGGAAAGAGCCGGGTCTGCTTGGCCCACGAGCAGGTGGTGGCCAGATGGTTGCTTTGGTGGGACGGCCTTTCCCTCCTACAGCTTGGGTCTCTCCACCCTCAGGACCTAGCACGAGCGCAGCCACCTCCCAGCTGGTCCCAGGCTCTGCCCTCTATCTTGGCATCCAGATTTGGAGAGCAGTGCCAGCTCAAGGCAAAGGCCACTATCTCTCTTCAGAGCCCTTGCACCCTCTTGGAGATGGCTTGAGCGAGTGGCTCCATCTGACCTAAAGGACGCACTGGTCCTGCAGCCCCATCTGCCCACAGCCTGCCTCCTGTGTGGCCTCTGCAGTGAGCTCTGCGCAGTGGGCTCTTCTCCAGGCACCTGGAGGCCCACTCCCCGGCTGTCCCGGAATCCTCTTCTCTGACCTCGGCCCTCCGATTTTCCCCAGAACGCCATCCATGAGGCCCTGCCCAACGTCCCTGCGGTTCTCCTGCCTCTCTGGCTCCTGGCCTCTCGCCAGGCACTCCTCTGCCTTGCCCCAGCCGTCCACTTGCTCCCTCACTTGTGCCTGCAGGAGGCCGGCACAGAGCAGAGGACTGCATGGAGTCCACCCCTGGGGCTCCACCTCCTGTCCTGTCCTGGATTCACACTTCTCCTTCTCCTGCCTCCTGCTGCTGGGCCACAGCAACAACAGCAAAAGTTAGCTAGATTCCGAGATGCAGAGTTCAATTCTGTAGTCGTTGAACTCAAAATGAATTGAACCCACTCTTGGTGCACCAGCCAAGGCCAGCAGGGAGGCAGGTTTTCCAGGCGGCTGCAGGGCTGCGAATTTTTGCATGTGACTAGAGAGCTGGGAAGGGGCCCACCCAGGAGTGTTGGTGTGTAAGGAAGATGCAAGGTTGGATTTGTAATGACAACTCGGCCTTTCTTCAGACATGGCCAAGCCCATCAGCATGGGCATGGCCAGCCCCTGAGCGGGGGACAGTCCTCCCGCTCAGGGTCTGGGTGGTATATTAACTGAAAGGGGTCCACAGCAGGCTCACATTGTTTCCTTGATGAAGGACAGGCTGCATCTACCGAAGGCCATCAGCACTATGTGCCTGTCATTTCTGAGTAAAAACCAAGTGATAGCAATACAGACGCCCAGGGACACACTGGCACGTGCCTGGGCTACAGCCGGAGCCCCCGTGCTGGCTGCACTGACCCTGGCGGGCTCGTTGCAGGCCGGCTGCAGGCCCTGTGTGCTGCCAGGGGGGGCCGAGGAGAGCGAACGTCATGGTCCACACCACGTCGTTTACTCTTAGCTCTGCGTCCCCACGCTGCCATTCACACAGTGCGCATGCGACAAGAGGCTCCCTTTAGTGGTGGTCAGGAGGTGGAAGGCCCAGTTCTGAAGGGTGTCCTGGGCTGTCGGACCTGAGGCAGTAAAACCAGAATAGTCCTGGGAAAACCAAGGCAGTTGTTCACCCTCCCAGAACGGCCCAACCCTTCCAGAGGAAGCTGACCTTGGGCTGCTCTGGCTAATTAAACATTTGCGGGTTCTGTATAAACTGACACACACTAAGTGAATATATCGGTTACTCTTTCAAAAACTTAAGCCTTCTTAATACTGCTTGTGCTTAAAGAACCATAAATTCCCCACACAGCTAAATTGTAAGATTCTCACCCTTCCCTTTTTTCTTAACCGAAGTTTTTAGGAAAATACTTACAGGCACCAACAAGTACGAATGCCTTGAGGCTGTGTCTCCTGCTCTCCCGCAAGAATCAGGTGTTAAAACCTTAGAGGCCTATTAAAAAGCAAGTAGGTCCGGTTGCTAGCCCAGGGATGCCAGGGGCTGTTTCTGTGAAAACAGGTGGTATTTTCCAATTCTCATGTTCGTGTGAGCCTTTTGCAGAAAGTCAAGCCACAGCATGCTCATTTGCCTTTGTTCCCCACAGTGGATCATCCCACAACTTGTGACTGGCATTCTGAGAAGCACTTCTGATTGCAAGCAGCGCTTGTTTGTGGCCTTTATGAGTCTAAGGCTGTTGGCAGCTGAGCTCAATGCGAGGAGGCTCGTTAGGAAATGGCACCGCTCACTGTGTAGCCAGCCTTGGAGACAGACTTGCTATGCTAATCACCTTGCAAACTAGAGCCCCTGATGCTTTACTTTGGAACTGATGGAAATGCTGGATAGGGCTTCTTTCAGGGACTGGGTGGTTATGGTCCGTCCCTGGACAAAGGACAAATCTGTCTGGAAAGTGTTTTAATTTGCCTTCTCTTCTGTCCTGATTGCAGATGGCTCACACTGCTGAGATAACTCACGAGATCATTGGCTTTCTTGACCAGACCTTGTACAGATGGAATCGTCTTGGCATTGAAAGCCCTAGATCAGAAAAACTGGCCCGAGAGCTCCTTAAAGAGCTGCGAACTCAAGTCTAGAAGGCACGCAGGCCGTGTGGGTGCCCGGCGTGAGGGATCAGGCTCGCCAGGGCCACAGGACAGGTGATGACCTGTGGCCACGCATTTGTGGAGTAAGTGCCCTCGCTGGGCTGTGAGAATGAGCTGTACACATCTTGGGACAATCTGCTAGTATCTATTTTACAAAATGCAGAGCCAGGTCCCTCAGCCCAGACTCAGTCAGACATGTTCACTAATGACTCAAGTGAGCCTTCGGTACTCCTGGTGCCCGCCCGGCCAGACCGTCAGCTTGATAATTACTAAAGCAAAGGCCTGGGTGGGAGAACAGGTTTCTAGTTTTTACCCAAGTCAAGCTGCACATCTATTATTTAAAAATTCAAAGTCTTAGAACCAAGAATTTGGTCATGAACCATTAAAGAATTTAGAGAGAACTTAGCTCTTTTTAGACTCTTTTTAGGAGTCAGGGATCTGGGATAAAGCCACACTGTCTTGCTGTATGGAGAAATTCTTCAAGGGGAGTCAGGGTCCCTCAGGCTTCCCTTGTGTCTCCCTGGACCTGCCTGACAGGCCACAGGAGCAGACAGCACACCCAAGCCCGGGCCTCCGGCACACTCTTTCCACTCTGTATTTGCTAAATGATGCTAACTGCTACCAAAAGGCCCTTGGGACATCAGAGGAGCCGGCAGGCGAAGGTAGAGGATGTGTTCCAGAAACATTAGAAGGCAGGATTAATTCAGTTAGTTAGTTCTCTTGTTAAATGGAAATGGGAATTGGAAATTCCTGATAAAGAATTGGCCTGGCTGGGTGCAGTGGCTCACACCTGTGATCCCAGCACTTTGGGAGGCCAAGGCAGGGGGATTACTTCAGCCCAGGAGTTCCAGACTGCCTGGCTAACATGGCAATACCCTATCTCTACTAAAAATACAAAAATTATCGGGGTGCAATGGCATGCATCTGTAATCCCAGCTATTCAAGAGGCTGAGGCATGAGGATCTCTTGAACCCGGGAGGTGGGAGTTGTAGTGAGCCGAGATCATGACACTGCACTCCAGCCTGGGCAACAGAGCGAGACCATCTCTTAAAAAAAGGCATTGTTAGTGTAATCTCAAGGTTAACATTTATTTCATGTCAGTACAGGGTGCTTTTTCCTTTCAGGGACATTCTGGAATTGTATTGGTTGTACATTCTTTTGTGTCTATTCTGTTTGTCAAGTGAGTCAAGACTTGCTTTTGTCCATTTTGATTTGTGTGTATTAGTCTGAGTCTTGGCTCCGTTTTGAGGTATGAGCAAAGTTTTGCTGGATTAGAAGTTAACCTTTAGGGAAATTCCTTATTTTGGTATGTGGCAATGCTAATAGATCCACTGAAGATCTGGAAAATTCCAGGAACTTTTCACCTGAGCCTTTCTTCTGAGAAATGCTGCAGTCAGAAGGGTGTGCTGGTAAAGTATTTTGGTGGCAGCTGCCATCATGGTCATTGCCTTCATATAACATGCTTCGTGCTCATGGTCATTGCCTTCATATAACATGCTTCGTGCCATCATGATCCTTGCCTTCATATAACAAACATGCTTCGTCAGAGGTGTTGGGGTTGAAAAAGGAGCTGCATGCTTCACTGGAGTTGAGGGCCTCTCTCCTGTTCTGACTTTAAGCCAGAACTTGTGGCTGGGCCATGGAAGCTGTGACTCCTCTGTGGACATGGTGGCAGCAGGGAACCCCTAGAGAGAGGGGCCACTGGGACCAGGCCTCCTGTTGTGGAGGGACTCCTGGGACAGTCCTCCACCCTGTCCTGTGGTCCTGTGTACAGGGTTGGCCTCTTCCTCCTCCCCTGCCAGGCCTCTGCCCATGCCCCTTCCTTCCTTCTCCTGGGACTGGTGAAGCTAGGCATCTGGAAGACTTCTTCCTAGCCTGGAAGCCCTGACCTCGGCCCATCTGCAGAATCTCCCAGTTCCTTCACAGCTGCCGAGTCCTCTCACGGGTGCGGTGGAGGCGGCCTTGCCGGTGGTGCTTTCTGGGCAGCCAGGGGTTCCTGGGTGGGAGGACTGTCCCTCTGGGGACGTGGCACTGAAGTGCCTGCTGGCTTCATGTGGCCCTTTGCCCTTTCCCAGCCTGAGAGATGCTCAAAGGTGGGGAGCTGGGGGAGCCACCCCTCGGCCATTCCCTCCACCTCCAAGACAGGTGGCGGCCGGGCAGGCACTCTTAAGCCCACCTCCCCCTCTTGTTGCCTTCGATTTCGGCAAAGCCTGGGCAGGTGCCACCGGGAAGGAATGGCATCCGAGATGCTGGGCGGGGACGCGGCGTGGCCGAGGGGGCCTTGACGGCGTTGGCGGGGCCTGGGCACAGGGGCAGCCGCAGGGAGGCAGGGATGGCAAGGCGTGAAGCCACCCTGGAAGGAACTGGACCAAGGTCTTCAGAGGTGCGACAGGGTCTGGAATCTGACCTTACTCTAGCAGGAGTTTTTGTAGACTCTCCCTGATAGTTTAGTTTTTGATAAAGCATGCTGGTAAAACCACTACCCTCAGAGAGAGCCAAAAATACAGAAGAGGCGGAGAGCGCCCCTCCAACCAGGCTGTTATTCCCCTGGACTCCGTGACATCTGTGGAATTTTTTAGCTCTTTAAAATCTGTAATTTGTTGTCTATTTTTTCATTCTAAATAAAACTTCAGTTTGCACCTAATGTTGTATCCATTAAATATTACAATCCTTCTCTCAGGAAAAAGCTCCCCCGATGGCCCCAGACAGTGGAAGCTTCGGGCCTCAGGAAACCTAGATGTGCCCTGGAAGAGACCGAGGATGGCTTAGCCTCTGGGCCTGGGAACCTTGCTACTAAATACCTAAAAACTAAGGGTCCTGTCACCAAGGAGGAAGCAGGAGGACAAGGGCAGGCATCTGGCAGGGCCTGCCAAGATCAGGTTACATGCGTTTCATATCTGTGTTTTCTCTAAGCCAGGCTTGACCATAAGCCTCACTTGAATTGTTCTGTCTCTTCCCTGATCCCTGAAGCTGAAGGCCTCGTCCCACCAGCATAGCCCACCCACTCTTGCTCGCTCCGTTGCTTCACAGGCTGCTGTCCCCTCCTCCAGCCCCACAGGCCCCTCTGGGAGGCATGAGTGATGCGGCCAAGGCGAGCAGCGCCGTGGCCACCCCCAGGACCCCCACTGCAGTGGGGTTTCCAGCACTCCCCATGCTTCCGGCTATGGGACACTAGGGCCCCTCTCGGGGTCAGGAGGGCGCCTGAGGGAGCAGACAGGAAATGCTAAGACACTCCTGAGGAGCCTCTCACTGGAGCAGCCATGGTTGGCAGGGTTTCGTGGTTTGTTCTTCACCCTGTCCTGCCTGGTGTCTAAGTGGTGGGACAAGGTGCTAGGACAGAAATGGGAGCTAGGACAGAAATGGGAGCTAGTCCAGGGGATGGGAGGAAGCCGAGTTTTCTGTTGAAGTGGAGAAGTTACGAATGGGGTCTTGACAGGGAAGCCAGAGAAGAAGGGACCTTGGTGAGCCTGGCAGAGTGAATCCACCCAAAATGCTGGGAAGTCAAAACCGAGCCTGGCCTTACGCTGCCCAGAGGACGGCGGATGCACTGGAGGATTTGCACAGTGGGAGCAAATGTGAGGAATGTTCTCCTTATTCAACAAGGAATCCAAAATTTTTTTGCTTTCCAAGGAAGAAGAGAAACAGTTCCCCGTGCTTCTCCCCTCGCCTTTTTCTTCCTCTGTTTCCAGCCCAGGACCACCTCCCCCAGCCCGGGGGCTCGGGTGCTAAAGTTCTTCCCTCTGCCAAATGTTGGGAAATCCGTAGATTTTGTCGAAAAATCCTAAGTCATTAATCATCGCTAAGCCATTTTACAACCAAAGAACAAAAATTAAGATACAGTAAGTACATAACATGTCTTCAAGCCTCCTCCTAAAATCCAGTTCCACAATTGGTTTATACCATGGGTCCAAATCACACCCCTCAAGCCCAAACTGGTAATGGAGAGCTCATAGCAAAGGCCTTCCCTCCCGCTCCTGTCATGGTGTCTTACTGCACTTGCTGTTCTGGGCAGGGAATTTGTTCACCCAGGACTTTTGGTTGCAAGCAACAGAAACGTGCACTGAATGCTGAAAGTAAAGGGGAACTGATGAAAAAGGTATTGGGCTGATGAGGCCTGGTGTGAGCCGGCCAGCAGCAGTCCCAGCCTTGCTTCAGATGCTCTGGCAAGGCCAGTCGTGCTGCCCAGCCCTTCCGGACCCCACTCCAGCCGGGAGAAAGGCCCTTGTGCCCACTCCTTTCCACACCCCTGCCCAGGTGCATCAGATGGAGGAGCCTGGGTCAAAGGCCTGCCAGGGATGCTAGGAAATCACGCATCTGGCTTCAGCTTCTTTAACGTTATTGGGTACCTTGGATACCACCAAAAGCATCACCCAACTACAGGAAGGGGCCAAACACTGGGCAAATGGAGACAATAAAAATGTCTCCAGCTCATTACAGCATCTATACTTTAGCCTATGCCAGAGCATTTTAGAAGGTTGCGTCCCATGAAACAGCCCAGCAGCCAGCACCAGAACAGGCAGAGGTGAGCCTTTTCAGAAAGATGTTTTGTAGGCACCTAAATCTGGGTTTCTTAAATGCAGCACCATGAGCACTTTGGACCAGATGCCTCCCTGTTGTGGGGGTGTCCTGTGCACTGCAGGGTGTTGGCAGCATCCTGGCCTCCACCACTAGGTGCCGGTGCACCCCTTCCACCAGTGGTGACAAAACTTTCTCCAGACATTGCCCAATCCCCTTCCAACCGAGGGTACTGCTGTAACTGCTGGCCTCTCCCTCTGGAACGACATCCTAGACACAGACACTAACGGTTGTAGACACAGCGAATAGACAACCTGATTCCAACATTCATATGGACAGTAAACGTTCATGAACAGCCAGGCAAGCTCTGAAAGTGAAGCGTACCACGCACTGACACATACTTTGGTGTGAGGTTCTCATGAAGGGAAACATGGGTGGGGCTGAAAGGGCCCCCGTGGCTGCAGCCAGCGGCCAGCTCTCAGGCCTCATGGGCCGACCTCCTCCCAGCTCACATGCTCCTCCTCTTCTCCTGACCCCCTCCTGGTGGGCGCCCTTGGACTCCACCTAGAGGCTGGACCCTGTCCTGCCCGTGGCTTCACATGGCATCTCTAGGCAGAGGGACCACACCTGCCCCTGGATCACCGGCCCGGAGAGCCCGCCGCCTGTTGGGCATCACCACTGGCGGTGTGAAGACCCTCTCTGCTTACCACATCCCAGGTGGGCCCACCTGCTCCACCCACCTCCCGCACCCACCAGCTCCCCATGTTGCCGATGGCCATTCCATCCTGCCAGGGACTCAGGGCGAGTTCTGAAGCCACTCTTGACCCCTCCCTTTCTCCCACCTCCACATCCAGCCCGTCGGGGAGCCAGGAAGCTGGCCCTCTGTCACTCCCCGCTACTCACTGCCTAGGTTTCAGACATCATCTCCCGCCGAGTAAATCACGTGTACATGTACAGAATTTAGTATAAGATAAAGACATTGCCATCAACGGGGAAAAGATGGTATCAGGAGTAAAACTGTTACAGAATAAGCTCCCCAGCCCTCTGCCTTTCCCAGCGTCGGCATCTGGAGCATGGCTCGTTCTGGGATCTGTGTGTTCTGAGAAGCCTCTAGCAGTTCCCCTGCTTCGGAGAGGCAGGGAGGCTGCAGCCACTCTGGGGAGATGCTGCATTACTTACTTAGATAAATAAGGATTTCGCTTATAAAATTGAAGCTTCCCTCCTCCCAAAATGCAGAAAGCATTTTCTGGTCTTTCATTTAGAACTTCTTTGTTCCTCAGTGGTTTGCAGATGGTCACACCCTGTCCAGCCCCGGCCACTCCCTCCCGGCCCACCCACACCCCTGCGTGCAGGTCACTGCCTCAGGGCAGACTCTCCAGTCCTTTGGAGGGAGGAAGGGGAGCTGAGAGGATGCCGATCTCACGAAGAGGGGGCGGGACCCAAGGCTCCAGCGCATCCCTGCGGACTTCCATGCCTCCTTTCAGGCCAGGCCGTGGGGACCCCCCACGCATCTCCCTTGGCTGTGTCTGCCACAGGGAACCCTTTCCATGCCCAACGCAAAAGCAAGAAACCACAGGAGAAAAGGTGGGTAAAACTGGCCATACAGAAATCAAAAGCAAACTCACCAAAGTATCTCAATACACATGGTAAACTGAGGGAAGAAGAAGTATTTGCAGCACATGAAAAAAGCGAATTTCCTAACTTCTAAAGCTCTTCTACACATCAGTAAGGAAACAGCTGCCAGCTCGAAACGCACGGGCAGGGACACACACGACACAGGGAACGGGACGGCAGGGGCTTTTCCACAGCGTGGCAGAAGCCCAGGTGCTCCCAACCATCTCCACGGCAGCTTGGGAAACACTCAAGGCTGATGCTCCCCATGCTGATGACAGAGTGCGGAACAGGCAGAGGAAGGGACAGGAAACTGGTACCACCTTTTCGGAGGACAGCCTGTCAAACATCCAAATTTATCAGCACCGTAAGATAGGGTGAAAAAAATCAAAATAGAAAATTGACTCTGGAAACAGTATGGTAACCTAGAACTCTGATCTATCCATTCTGCCTCTAGATGTTTACCCAAAAGAATGCAAAGTAACAGCTGAGGAAATCCTGGACGCCATGTTCCTGGCAGCACTCTCCTGGACAGCCAAGAGGCAGACAGCTGCATCCGCCAGCAGCCAAGCCAGTGCAGAAAGGAAACGTGGTCTGTGTGTATGGCAGGATGGTCCTCAGCCTTAGAAGGCAGAGATCCTACACTTTGGGAGGCCCAGGCAGGCAGATCACGAGGTCAGGAGTTCAAGACCAGCCTGGCCAACATGGTGAAACCCCGTCTCTACTGAAAATACAAAAATTAGCTGGGCATGGTGGCGCACACCTGTAATCCCAGCTACTCGGGAGGCTGAGGCAGGAGAATTGCTTGAACCCAGGAGGCAGAGGCTGCAGTGAGCCAAGATCGTGCCACTGCACTCCACTTGGGCAGCAGAGTGAGACTCTGTCTCAAAGAAAAAAGAAAAAAGAGGCAGAGATCCTGAGCACGCCACAGTATGGAGGAACCTGGAAGACTTTATGTTAAATGAAATCAGCCAGACATAAAAGGACAAAGATTTTATGAATCCTCTCATATGAGCTCCCTAAAACAGGCAAGCCTCAAAGACAGGAAGCTGCATGGTGCTTCCCAGGGACCTGGGGGAGGGGAAGTGGGGCACGAGTGTTGAATGGGTCCCGTTTCACTGGGGAAGATGAAAAAGTTCTGCAGGCGGATCGTGGTGAGCTGCACAACAATGAAGACACCGAGGCTGCTGAGCTGGGTCCTGACACATGGTTATACTGGTCAATCTTATGTGTATTCTGCTGTAATAAAAGCACTAAGATCGAAAAAGATTATATATCCTTTCTCCAAGGAGCAGACACCCAGTTCTCCTGACCCCACTCCCTCCACTGCAGACTGCAGGGATCCACACTAGTGCGCACATCTAGGGCTTTCCCCGTGGATATGCCGGCGCCTGTGCGTGTGCAGGATGCGACAGCCAACAACCACTGGGGCAACTCAGAGGTTCACATAAAGATATAAATGAAAGGAAACAGAGAGGGAGGAAAGGGAGAGAAAGGAGAAGAGCAAGAAAGGGGTGGGGGAGAGAGAGGAACGAGAGAAAAAAAGGAAAAGCCTGCGTGCAAGCAAGTGCACACTCTTACCCTTGAGCCCGGGCCTGCTGTCCACTTCACACACACTGACCCAACAAAGTCAGCTGAAGCTTACAGAGGAGGAAATGCAAACACAGAGAGGCCGAATAATGTGCCCAAGGCTACACTGAGGCCATCTAGCAGGGCTGGGACTTGAACGAAGCCCCCAGAAGGTGGGGTGTCACTGCCTCTCGAGTTACAGCGCGTCCATGCAATGCAGCCATCGACACAGAGAAGCGAGCGTTATGTACGTGCCAATCTAGACCCGTGTGAACACTGTGCCACCCTCCGTGTATAAAGCAGGGCCTGCACACGTGCTTGCCGGCGCCAGGGTGGAGACGGTAATCAACTTCATTATAGTGATTTGGGGAAGAGACTAGCTGAAAAGGCAGAGAAAACTTACTTTTTGTTTACATATTACCTATATTTGTTTGCATGTGTGATCTATGAGAAAAATAAGTTGTTATCAAGTATGCAAAGGAAGACTCTTTGTTTGCTCTAAGAGAGGGCTGCCGTTAAACGCTGCCCTGAAGGGAAGGAGGCCAGGCACCATCTGTAACTTTAAAAGGAGACAGCGCCATCTCTGATCCTTGCACCGTAGTCACCGTGGTGGTGCTTTTGTTTCTTATTCACAGGACTTATGTTCTACCATTGGACAGAATTTTCTAGAAAAAGTCTACTTACTATGACTGGACGCATGTGCCCTGACATTTGTTGGGCCATGACCCAGCTTTCCAAAGACCCATCCTCCATCTGCCAGGGCCCTGTGCTCATCATGGCTTTCCTCCTGTACGCAAGTCCTCTGCCTCAGCTGTGCTAAAACCAAGTTTCTGCAGTCACTTCCTCCACGCTTTTAACTTAGTAAAGCAGATACAATCATCAAACTATAGCTCCTTCCCCATAAATTATCTGTGTTTTCTTTACAACCCAACATAAATGCACACTTGTTCCATTCCATCAGCAATCACTGAAACGGACTCCGGCCTCATCTCTGAGTTATGCCGTAATTCATGTTCTTCCTGAGCCTCCCTCCCTAAACATAACTGCAGCTGAAGTCCCTGGGGACTTAAATCATAGGGTCAGAATGCAGAAACCTCAGGGATCACGGGTGAAGAGTGTGGTGTCTTAGCCACAGAGGGCTTCCTTGACTCCTGCCTTTCAGAGCTCGCCATGAGCGTCCGATCCAGTCGTCAGGAAACGCACTTCTGTTCTGTCAGACCTCGTTGTGGCAAGGGAGGACTATGAGAGCAGAAAGGAACTTTCTGGAACTCAGGACTCTTGGCAGTGAGTCAGGGTCTGACCATGGGCAGCTTCAGCACCCCACCCACACCCCGCTGGCAAAAGCACCTCCTCGGCTGCGCTTTAAAGTGGCGGACAGATTCCACAAAGGCCCAGGCTGAAAGAAATTACAGGCAGAAGGAGCACAAAGAAAGCTTAAGAAAATGGAAACCACAGGGTGCACACCCAGTCGCCTCTGTGCCCCAGACAAAGCCACAGATGAGCTGTCTGGGCAGGCGGCCCCAGGCAGGATCAGAGCTGGGCACTCCTCTCCCAGGTGGGGAGCCTGTGGGAGACTCAGAATGGACAGTCCCCCTGGGAGCAGCCCCAGGCCCGCCCCCAGGCCCCACTCAGCGACTGCCAGGGTCAGGTAGGGGTGGCAGAGCAGCCAGATGCTGGGTGGGCCCAGGCGGGGGTGGGAGGCTCTGGTCTTTACAGCAGCTCCCCCTGGGCCCACCCCCTTTAAGTCCTGGGGCTGAGAAGCCAAACCCTGACCTTGTTTTATCTCAACAAACACCGCAGGGACCGGTCTGGTTCCTTGTAAGCTGTTGGGACTAGACAGAACTGTGTGGTCAGAGGTCTTTCTCTGCATTTCTGCATTTAGCCCTGCACTGCCTCTCCCTACTAGTGTGTGTGTGTGTGCACACACACACACACACACACACACAGCCTTCAACAGGCTTTTGGTGCCATCAGCAACTCTCTCAGGCCACAGCCTGGTGACCGAAGCTCTCAGCCTTTCTTCTCTTCTGGATCTATGTGAGAACCACGGGGCATCAACCCCCTTTTCCCACCCCCAGCCCCAAGAGTGGCTTCTCAGGCTGGGCCTCCCATGGGGGCTGCTGGGGTGGGGTGCGCACATGCACACGTGCCAAGTTGGTCTTGGGACATCTGTGGCTTTACGGTGGTTTCCTTCCACCCCAGGCTCGGCTGCCGGCCTTTCTCACACCGTCTAGTTATCCGACTGGAACAGGAATGCCTATCGGGTGATCAGTCTCCCAGACAGCAGGGAGGGTGGGAAGAGATCTATAAAACCCTGCCACTGAATAGTCACAACTGGCCTCTCCTCACTTCCACCTTGTAAATCTCCAGAGCCCAAGCAGCAAGGCCAAGGTCACTGTCCCGCGGGTGCTGGGAACGACCCTGGGAGGTCCAGGCAGCCCTTTCAACCTCCAGCTCCCCCAAACCTCTTGGGTGGCCACCGTCTCCGTGCCCCTATACAGTGACTGTCATGGCTGGGCCCTGCACAGAGTGAGCCTGCAGTGGCTCAGCCCAAGGGCACCAACTAACCAAAGAGCCACCACACTTTAATGTGAACCCCTGACAAAGTGCCAGGCAGCACCCCGCTTATTCTGGGGAATGGGGTGTGGTGGGCCCTGCGCACCCAGAGTTCTGCTTGGAAGGAGCCTCCCAGGACAGACTGTGGCCCCTTGCCGGGTGGGACTGCCTTGCCAAGGAGCCCTCCTTCCCTGCCAGCACCTCCCCTCACCCCCACCCATGACCCACACAAGTCCTCCACTGGCCCCATCTATAGAACAAGGACGTGCTTGGTCTAGAACTTGAAACTCTAAACAAACTGTCCCTTGAAAGCGGCCCTTGGCCTTGCTTTCAGCTGCTCTGTGGGTCACAGCTGCCTTTGGTGAGGTCACTGCGGCACAGGTCCCTCCCCTCGGCCTCCCCCAGGCCCGGCCACCGGCTGTTGCAGGCTGAATCGAGGTGGAGGGAAGCCGCAGCCTCCCTGGACCCCTTTGTCATTGAGGGCAGGTTTTCCGTCAGGGCTGTCTTGGGTGTGGCTGGCCTCCCTCCATGCTGCAGGCAAGGTCACCTTGCCTAGCATGGAGGCTATTATTTCAGTATTTTGGTTTGAAATTCCAATAAACATAAATGCTTTAAAATCCTTTAATCCTCAAAGGAAGCTGAGCTGGGACCTGACCGTCTTCCCTGGTGTTTCTTTCCTGTATCCTCCCTCACCCCACTTTTTGCCTTTGTCCAGCCAGAATTCCCTGCCCTTATACCCCTGGCTGTGGTCCAGAGCCCTGGGCTGGGGAGGTCCTCCTGTCCCTTCAACCCCAGCAGGGAGGCAGGGGCTGCCTTTCTAGGCCGGCCCCAGGGTGCTGGCGAGGCCTGCAGGCGACCAAGTGCAGGGTGTGGTCACTGCTGCTTCCTCCCTTCGAAGGGGGGGCCCTCTGGGCTGGGGTCACCCTCAGATGCCCTGGCTACCTCCCCTCCCGCAGCAGGCCCTGGGCCCGGGCCCAGCCACAGGTTGGCGCAGCCTGTGTTCAGACAGCCGGAGGCGGCAGCAGGGGACATGGTTTAAAACGTGCTGGCCTCTGGAGAAGTGCCCTGCACTGGGCTGCCCGGCTCCTGCGGGCTGAAACACTGGCATCTCTGCGGCCTCAGGGGGAAGGACTGGACCCGGCATCCGTTTGTTCTCCTGGAGGACAGTGGCAATTAACCCATTAACTTGCTGCCTCTCCCTGATCTTTTATTAAACCTGGCAAACCCAGTTAACTGTTCGTACCTACCACTCAGGGGACAGATGGCCCTGTGACGTTGCTAGTGGCTGCAGGCCACAGGGGCCAGGGTGGCGTGTTGCGGCCTCTGCCCTCCAGCCCCTCAGTGGCCCTTCAGTGCCGTTTAGCCCCACGCAGCCTCAGGGCATAGCCATGGGGCTCCCCCATCCCATGGCATCTGCAAGTCATTTTAGAGCCTAAGAAAGCCCCTTGTGAGCAGGTGTTTCTTGGCTTCTACCTAGACAGGAAGCTGATGTGTCTTGTGGGGACCCTCCAGTCCTGGGTCCGTCTGTTCAGTGGAGGCGCTGGCTTGTTGGTAAAGAAGGTTGTTCCTGTCAGTTTCTTACAGCCTGTTGCAGGGTGGGGGGAGCTAATATCTTCACATCTGATTAACTGAGAACCTGTGACAGGTCCCACCCATGGGTCGGCCGCGGGGAGCTGCTGAGCTGAGGCTGGGAAACAGCACTTAACTGGCGGATTCAAGTTCAGGTTTCCATGCTTTCCAAAGCAGCCCGTGCCCCCACCCAGCCTGCCCTTCCATCAGACTGGATTAGGAGTGAAGGCCCAGGGGGGCCTCTCAAGTCTTGGCTGCTGAGTGTGACAAGACAGTATCCCCAGGAGTGCCTGGACACGGAGGCTTCAGCAGATGTCAACGAAGGGCCCACAGCTGGGGAGGCATTGTGGCGTGGAGGAAAGCTCTGAGCCATGTGGACCTGCGTTCAAACCCTGCCACTTGGCAGATGAATCCACAGTGGGAACTCAGGTTCCCCAGCACACCCACATCCTGCTCTTCCAGACAGCCCGTCTTCATCCAAAACTACTATGTCCCGTGCAGACAGCCCTGCTCTCCGAAGGTGCTATGGCTGGGCTAAGGCAGTGAGCGTTCTAGCCTCAGTTGTCACACGCCCTTTGATCTGAGCTAGTTTCTGATGTGATACTTCACTTAAAAATGGAAGAGTACTGGTCACATCTGTCTCCTACTGACCCCGAGACCCCGGTTTGCTCTCAGGCTGGAATCTAGAGGCCTCTCTGCCAGGCCCTGGGTGGAGGTTCTCTCAAGTCTCTTAGGAGATGCCAGAGGAGCAGCTAGCAGAACCCATTCAGAGTCAGCTGAGGCACGGGTGAAGGATGCCGGCGAGGGCAGTTGCAGAGCCTCGGGGAGCCTCCTGCCTGGAGAGAGTGGCGGAGCTGCTCTCCGGCTTCCTCCCTCCCTCACCTCCAGGGGCAGCCCCAGCACGGGCAGGGTGCCCCCAGGTCTGGAGGCAGCAAAGGCCGACTCCTGGCAGGACCTCAGTCAAATCCGTGACAGCAATGTCCGGTTCTGATGAGGTCCACCAAATTTATGCCACCCACTGGCCAGATCCCCGGTGGTCAAAGCAAGTCACAAGACCCGGTGACTCACAGGAGCCAGGGGATTAGTGGTCTTTGTGCAGAACCCCACCTATTCAGCAGTTCAGCTTTGCTTTAGTGGTTTCTAAAGAAGATAAAGCATGGCTTTCACTTTTTGGAAAAGCAAGGTCACCCCAAACCACTGGGCCGGTGAGCCACCCGCAGCTCTTGAGAGCTCCAGGTGCCAAGCATCTGCACACAGTGGGAGTGGGAGCCTCGCAGGGCAGTGCGGCCGGTACTCCCACGGTCCTTCCTGGCTCTGCCTCAGTGAAAGCCAAACACACTTAGAAAGCGCAGAGAGAGAGAGAGAGAGAGGCCGGGTACAGTGGTTCACGCCTATAATCCCGGCACTTTGGGAGGCCGAGGCAGGTGGATCACGTGAGGTCGGGAGTTCGAGACCAGCCTGACCAACGTGGTGAAACCCCATCTCCACTAAAAATACAAAATTAGCTGGGCATGGTGGCGGGAGCCTGTAATCCCAGCTACTCGGGAGGCTGGGGCAGGAGAATCGCTTGAACCCGGGAGGCGGAGGTTGCAGTGTACAGAGATCGTGCCATTGCATTCCAGCCTGCGCAACAAGAGTGAAACTGTCAAAAAAAAGAAAGGAAGGAAAAAAAAAAGGCAGCAGCACACAGAGAGAAAGCATCGTTCATTCTAAATCTCCACAGGAAGCCGCGGTCGTGTATTTATTCAAACATAACAGTCAAGTTCTGAGCCATCCTCCACGATGGCACAGCCAGCTATACAGTCCCACGCAAAGGCATGTGACAGCAGAGAGCAAATCCTAAGAACGTTCTGGAATCAGTCACTGGGACAAGAAAAGAGAGTTCTGGAGACCAAGGCCTCCCAGTCCAGAGCTTCTAATGAGATCCATGGTAGAGCCCCACTTCACCCCAAACAGGCCAGAATTTGTGCTGCCCCCTGGAGCCAGGCAGAGGAGACTGTGGGTGTGTTCAGGTGCACTCATGCTCAGCCCAACTTGGCACAGGGCCCATGGCTGCACCCGTTCCTACAGCCTTCTCCAGGCATTTTCAAACATTCTGCCCCATGGACAGTGCCAAGGAAGCTCAGTGCCCAGCTTCTGTCTATACCCTAAACCTTGTGGAGAAAGAAAAATCATACCACCAGACTCCCACGATGCCTGAATATGCCCAGGCTCTCCATTTTATCGGAAGAGGGTGCCCCACGCGCAGCCAAATTACTTTTGTTTTCAGGCTTCTAAGAGAACTAACACTACCTTGAAAACAACAAAGAAACTAGTGAGGTGGGGGGGGAACACCAGAATGTGGAGAATACCTTTTTCTTGTACGTGCTTTTTTTTTTTTTTTTTTTTTTTTTTTGAGATGGAGTCTTGCTCTGTCGCCCAGGCTGGAGTGCAGTGGCGCAATCTCGGCTCACTGCAACTGCCACCTCCTGGGTTCAAGCGATTCTCCTGCCTCAGTCTCCCGAGTAGCTGGGATTACAGGTGCCCACCACCACGCCCGCCTAATTTTTTGTATTTTAGTAGAGACAGGGTTTCACCATGTTAGCCAGGATGGTCTCGATCTCCTGACCTCGTGATCCACCCACCTCGGCCTCCCAAAGTGCTGGGATTATAGGCATGAGCCACCGCACCTGGCCTTTATTATTTTTAAACAGTATGAAATTTAGAAGCAAACACGTATACAAAAAAAAAATCCATTACATTTATTAATAATATATCTTAGATTCTCATCCTGTTCTTTTAAATGGCGCCCACTGGTCTCATACAGAGGAGCTGTGTGACTTTCTGGAATTATAGAAATATCCGCATCCAGCCATGTGCTGAGCAGACCAATGTAAAATGTTCAGCAGGTTTTCCAATGTCTCTTGGATATATTTAATCATCTCTGCAGAAGAACTCAAAATCTCAGAGCAGCTCCACTCCAGATCCAGGGCAGGAGGCAGCCTCCAGGGAGGGAGGCTGCGTTTACGAGAATCTGCCTTTTGTGTGTGCCTGGCTGGGACCAGCCTCTGGGAAAGAGAAGCACCAAGATGTGAACAGGGCTGTGGGCCGATGGCTTTAGCAGCCACATAATCCCTCCTTTGATGTCCAGGGTCAGTTCGAGCCTGGTCCCCCAGGCTAGGAGGAGACGAATGAAAGAATCTTGCTGTGGTCTTTCCTGCAAAGGAAACAGCAGTAACATTGATTACCCAGTCACCGGGAGGAATTCTTGTGAGCGCGCACCTCTGTGTGCCTTTGCTCTCCACTTTCAAGAGAGGACTTTAATCACAGGACAAGGAGAAGACCCAGGCCCATTTCAGTCTCCGGGACGGGTCACAGCGAGCCGTGTGACGCTGGCCTGCTCACACGTGGCCATGACACCAGCAGGCTGTACTCAGGCTTTGCGTACACAATAGCTGCTAGGAGTACCCATTTCAGACACGCACCCACTCTAACTGTTCTCAGAAAGTCTCAGCTCACCTCGCCGTGGGAGAGCTGGGCCCTGCCTCCCTTACACATGGGGGCAAACGGCCCCCTGCTGGCACTGTGTCCTGCCTTCAGGCCTGGGAGCTCTTAACTTTCTGCCAACAGGGTTTTCCAAGTCTACAAACCCCCACGCCGCAGGAGCACATGCAGATGACTGGCACCGTGCTGCCGCCGGGCCGGGGTGGACGCAGGGTGGACGCGGGCCTGTCTGCCGCGAGTGGGAGCCCCAGCTCTCCTGAGCCTCGGGCACTTACAGACACGAAGGCTTTTTGCTCAAGGGCTCGACTCCTGTTCCTGCTGAACTGAGCCAGTGTGTAAAATGAGAACTGATATCAGCTCAGTAGGCACCGGAGGGCGGGTCCAATCGACAGCCCGGAGAAGCAGCGCCTCAGCTGGGAGCTCCGTGGGCACCGTCTGCTGGCGCAGGAGACGCGAAGGCCTGGACTGCAAATACAAGAGAGAGTTCACCGCGCCCAGAACAACAGGAGCTCCTCCGAAAGCCCCGCCCCGCCCCGCTCACAGCCATGAGCTACCACATGATTTCACACGACTTAGGTGATGCATTTGGTTTTAGTTTTTTGTAAGAAGAATTTTTGCAACTTTCAATACATTTGACCTTTCAGACAGATGTCCGATTAGTGCATGTTTCTGTGGACAGACTTAAGGACTCAGTACATGGCTAGCATTCCCAGCAGGAGACAGTGCATCCTTGGGGTCAAGTGGTCTCTCATCCTCCAGGATCGCGCTCCGCACCCAAGCTGACTGTGCAGCAGCGGCCGGCCCGTCAGCAACGGCCTCTGCCCCAGCGGCTCCAACTTAACTGTCCCCATCTCACCTTCTCTTCAGGTGCAGAACTTAGCCACTGTGAACAAAGCGGAAACCAATCACTGTTCACCAATCAGCTAAGCTCTGCACCTTGTTAGAGAGGTCATCGCTGGGCATAAATAAAGGGACGGTGACCGGTGAGCATCTTCCTCAGCTGGTGGCTTCTTTTGTTTCCAAAGAAGAGCTACGAGATGCACCTGTTCTCCAATCTGCAGTGAGCGCGACCACGGTTTCTGGAGGAGCAGCCAAGGTCGTGGTTGCGTGGTAATCCCTGGCAATGTGATTTTAATCTTAAGTCACAAATCAGCATGCCAGGAACCCAAGCAGCCAGAGCACCTGAGAGCAGCGCCACCCCGTGCTGTCTGCACACACTGGGCTTCCGCGGAAGGACGCCGGCGACACTGCCGCCTTCACGCCTGTTATGCTAGCAAACAGGTGGAGTTTCTGTTTGTTGTTCGTTTAGTTGGCATCCTAGAGGTATAATTTCTTGAATCAAAGGGACTCCAGAGATGACCATAAAAATGCCAGTGCAGCTTTGGAACTGAAGAAAAATGCAGGGACCGGCCATGCGACACACACAATTGCTAAAGGCAGCTGTCCTTGCTATTAGTTTACTGCCTCTAACCCTTGGGGACAAGATCCCTTCTCTCCAGGCAGATTCTAGCTGCCCTGGGAAGGCTTTGGGGACTCTCAAGTCAGGAGGTCCCCCTGCTGGAAGGGGCCCTGGGACAATCCCGGCCACTGTTCCTCACGGGGACTGGTTGGGGGGCAGGCTTGCAACCCCTGGATGCATCTGGAGGGGTGGGGACAGGATCGAAGATGCTGGGGAGGGGGAAAAGGGAGACTTGTGACCAAGATGACTCCTTTGCCTGCCTGGGCAAAAATTCCCCATAAAGAGTGGCGAGGGGTGTGCCCTGTGGTGCTGCTCCAAAACCTGCACCAAAGGGAATGATGAAAGGACTAGCTGGCCTTGTAGTTTCACACACTTTAACACGTACGCCACGAAATAACAAAACGAAAGAGAAACACCATTTACACTGATTACTATTATGAGGCCGGCAGTGAGGTAAGTGCACAGTCTGTGTGCCGCCAGCCCGTCCTGGAGGGGAGCCGCGTCAAGTCTGCAGCAGGCGTTTCGCTACGAGACGCTCAGTCCCGTTTCCCTTTCCTGGCACACATGGTTCCTGACTCTTCTGGAAGAATATGATCATGCTTCTGAAAAACTTTTTATTTCTTTTCATTATTAGAGTTCTTTCAGATAAATAAGCTACTTAAACACGTTACACAGAAATGGTTTTCATAAGCACAAAACATTAGAAGAAAACTCAATGTTCAAAACTGAGTGAAGAATATCAACACCAAATATTCAATATCCATGAAAAATTATAGAGAAGCTATAACACGAAAAATGCTTCAGATTTGATAAAGTTTTTTTAAAGATACAAAATTAGACATCCCCTATTAATATCATATAAAACACTGAAGAAAAACGGAGCAGACACAGAAATAATGATGATTGTTAGAGAAAAAAAATCTCACAGCTATCCTAACAAAACCTTGTGTACTACCGCTAGGTTGCTTTAATAGTGTAGAAACCCATACTGAGCAACTAACTGCTAGGAAGTAAATCTAACAGGTTAATTCCAGGCACAATTAACAGAGGAAGTGATTTAAATAATCTAGGACTCCAATAGAAGCCAGGGGAGAAATTCCGCTCCAACACAACAAAGCAAAAAGTAGGACCTGCCCTCAAGACACAGGGTCATGGAGGCCATATGCCACGTGTGCTGTGTGCGCCGCGGGTGCTGTGTGGTGCGTGCACTGTGTGTGCCACATGTGCTCTGTGTGGTGCGTGCGGTGTGTGCTGTGTGTGCCGCAGGTGCTCTGTGTGGTGCACGCGCTGTGTGTGGTGTGTGTGCTGCATGCAGTGTGCGCGCTACGTGTGGTGCATGTGCTGTGTGTGCTCTGTGTTGTGCATGCGCTGTGTGTGGTGTGTGTGCCGCGTGTACTCTGCGTGGTGTGTGTGCTGTGGGTGCTCCAGGTGCTCTGTGTGGTGTGTGTGCTGCGTGTGCCGCGTGTGCTCTGTGTGGTGCGTGCGCTGTTTGGTGTGTATGCTGCATGTGCCGTGTGTGCTCTGCGTGGTGCGTGCGCTGTGTGTGCTGTGTGTGCCGCGTGTGCTCTGTGTGGTGCGTGCGCTGTGTGGTGTGTGCTGTGCGTGCTCTGTGTGGTGCGTCCTCTGGTGTGTGTGTGCTGCATGCAGTGTGTGTGCTACGTGTGGTGCATGTGCTGTGTGTGCTGCGTGTGCCTGGAGAGCCTCCTGCCAGCCGATGACCAGGCGTGGACAGCCCAAGGAACCTCCAATTCACACATGGCTAGAAGAAAACATCTGCTTGCAGAAGCTAGGCTTTGGAGTCACACGGCCGCTTAAACTCCTGTATCAGCCGTGACCCTGAAGACTGGACCAGCGCTTCTGCCAGGCTTCCCATTCCATCTCTAAACCTACTCAAGATGTTCCCCCACAATTTTTGTTTCAACAGATTATAAAACCTGAAGTGGCCAAAATAGTGCCAAGGAGTGCCGCTGTGCCTCCAGGTGGACAGCCTCTGCTTCCCGGTGACTGCCACAGCCAGGCAAGGTGCTCCAGGGACCCGGGGCTCCCATACCAGCCCAGCACCCACTTGGCCAGTTACTCTCCAGGCCCTGGGCCAGGGAGCCGACTATTGATGCTGCGGGTAGTCTTGGCTAACTATTCGGCTTACTGATTTAGTTGGCTCCTAAAAGGAGTATCTGGTTAGAACTAAATGACAGAAAGGAAAGGGAGAGAATCACCTCGTTAAAATAACATTTCGGCCACCACCTGGGCTGAGGACCTATCCATCTGCTCCTTGGTCCGCTCGAAGCACCTACGGGCGAGCTGCTGCTGTCTGGCGTCCTCACTCACCATCAGCTCCCCGTAGAGGTACACACCCATGGCCTGCAGGGCACAGAGGCCAAAGGGCATCAGGCGAAGGTGTGGGTACCCACACACACGCACACATGAGCTCAGTCTGTGCTTGTTCCACACACACTTGCTGGTCTAGAAATTGCAAAGACCCCAGAGAAGACAGAGGCCGTGGGCTGACTGTGCTTTTGGAAGCTGCAGTCTGCAATCCCTGTCTCCTCCTTGTACTCAAAACCCCAAGGAATCCTCAGCTCCCAATTCTCTACACAGACTCTGACGATTTCACTGGTGACAGAACGATGAGCAGGCATTCCCACCATGATGGCCGTGTCAGGAACGCTCTGAACAGACAGAGATGGTTCCCAGAATTACCACGCGGAGAGCCTGTGTGGCATTACAGACACGGGACTCCTGCCCCGCAAAGTGTGTCCCTAGGAGTAGCTGGTCTGAGCTCATCCGGGAAGTCCTTCACCTGCCAGGGAAGCAAAGAGCACAGCAGGCAGCAGCCGCGGCAGAGACACATCACGATGCCCGCAGAGACGCCCACCCCGCCTGCGCCCTTTCCTCCACAGCCCTGCACCGTAGCCCGCACCGGCTCTGCTGCTTGGGAACAATGCCGCAAACACTCACATCTGCATTTTTCCTGTATTTTTAAAATAGCCAAGGACGTTCTAGAAGACCCAAGGGCCCATCTGGATCTGTCTACTCTCTTGTGCCATGCTTAGTTATGCCACGAGTTACATTCCGCTGGAGTAAACTAAAAGAAGGGTCTCAAAGACATCGCAAGAGCAAAACTTCGTAGTTAAGGGTTCAAAAGTGCTTTCCCAAAAAAGTCCAGACATGGTGATCCTTATTTGTCAAAGATCACAATTCTAAATATACTGCAGTGAATTCTGGTCTTTAGAACAGACCATAAAGTTGCTCTTAAATTTTGTCCTTCTTATACTCCTGTATGTTTTTCCAGATACCTCTTGCTCTGCTGTGCAAATGTGACATTTCTTCTGGTACAAAGGCATGTACTTTTCTTTGTAGGAATAATGAGGCCTCAGGCCTCACTGGCTGGCTGTCCCCCACACTGAGACCCTATCAAAAGTCCTTTTGTTTGCCTCACTCCCACTCTCCACCCCAGCTGGAAGGCAGCTCCATGCTGTTACCCACAGTGCTTGACAGGCCACTCATTCAGAGGCAGAGGGGGTGGAGAGTGGGGAAATGGGGAAGGCGTGGGAGGCTGTGACGTGTTACAGGACACACCTGTTGGTGACCTGACACACTGCGGACATCAGAGGCGGCCAATGAAGGTCTCCCCAGATCCGCTCCCACATGCGCACTGCCTGTGAACTCCTAGGAAGGTGACTGCTGTCCCTGGTGAACAGTGAGAAAAGCTCTCACAGGAAGGAAACCCGCCTAGCACAGCACGGCAGGTGCAGGTACAGACCGAGACTGTCCCGTCGGGGCTCTCCCAGTCTGACTTGCACGTGTACTTTAAATGAGGGCCACTGAAATCAGGGATCTACCCCACGGCGTCACCAAGGGACACGCATGGCCTAGCAGGTGCTGGAGATGCCGTGAAGTGTGAGCACGCAGCATCGGATGACGTGTGGGCCACAAGGCGGCATTGAAGGTGCTCAACTCAATCCTTCAAAGACATTGAGAGAGGAAAAAAGCAGCTCAGAAAAATCAGTGTTAGGCAAGATCCCACCAGTCCTTAAGAATCTCTGTAACAGATTTAATTATTTGTTATGAAAGAGATACTGAGAACGTGGATTCCTGTGTGAAGTGCAGGGACAGCCTTTACAGAATCCCCATCTGCTGAAAGATGACACCTACCTGATCCTCCTGAAGGAACCTCTCCACACTTTTGTAGGCTTTCGTGAACTTGTGCTTAACAATGAGTTCACACCACCGATGGCGAACCTGGAGGAACAAGAGAGAGCCCAGTGAGCGACAAGCAGGCAGGCATCCCAGCCCACCGGGCCCAGTGACAGGCAGCCTCTGTATTCCGGAAAGCTGTGCTCTCAAATGGGCTGGCATTGTTGACACACTTAGTTTTACATTTTCTTTTAGTATATTTTTTTTACTTTTTATTTTCTTTGAGACAGAGACTCGCTCTGTCACCCAGGCTGGAGTGCAGTGGCACGATCTGGCTCACTGCAACCTCTGCCTCCCGGGTTCAAGCAATTCTCCTGCCTCAGCCTCCCAAGTAGCTGGGATTACAGGCACCTGCCATCATGCCCCACTAATTTTTGTAGAGACGGGGTTTCACTATGTTGGCCAGGCTGGTCTCGATCTCCTCACCTCGTGATCCGCCCGCCCCAGCCTCTCAAAGTGCTGGGATTACAGGCGTCAGCCACCGTGCAGTAAGTTTACTTTTTAAAGAAAGAAACCACAGTGCTAATTAGGGCTGTTGGTCAACTTTAGAGAGAAAAGCAGGTGTTTCTGTTGGGTGTTTCACTGTTTTAAACATGATTTTGCAAGATGACAGATACTAAACGCAAAGCATAACGGGAAATTCAATGCACATTCCGACCAGGCTGCTGGTGCTCCTTCCTCAGGGTGCTGTGAGTGAGGGTTCCCTTTCAAATCACCACTCCTTAAGTTCCTGCAGCAGATTTGACTCAGTGCTGCTGATTTGTAACAAACACAGTAAGAGGCGGAGACACTGCTCTCTAATTCCCCGAAAGAGGCAAAGCACCCTTCTGAGAGTCTGGGGAAGGAGTAAGCCCAGGACACCCCTGAAGTGGATAGTTCCTGCTGTGTATCCACAGGTGTGTAGGTTTGCACAACATTGAAAACAGACAAGCTAAAGGTGGATGCTGTTCTTTTAAAAGATACACTTTATTAAACGTTCACCTGCAGGAATTCGGAAGGAACCCCCACTCCCACCCTCTTCAAATCTCCGGACACAGTGGAAGAGTCCGATGCCAGCCCTGGCCGCCCTCTGGACACAGGCAGAACCACCTGCGCAAGGTATTCCCCACATCCCGGAGCAGGCGGCATTGCTCGGTGCTGCAGGCACATGCTCTACAAGAAGATTCACCTACCACTTGTTTTTCAGAATCCAGTCCCCTGCCTTTTTCTACTGCATCAAAGCACTCTCAGTTATACCACGTCAACCATTTTATACTCCATCACTGAACCAACATCAGCCATACATAGAAGTGATTATGTGCATTTTAGAAGAGCCTCCTTCTATCACCCCTTGTTTTTACTGACTGTGAAAGAGGGAGATACTCTATAGTAATATATTTGCAGCAATAATTAAATGTAAGCAATGTCAACATTTTGGCGAGGGCCCCTGTAAATGACATCATTATCCACTGACCTAGCCAGATCTCTCCTTTAATCTACTCTAAATAGGTTTACATGCAAACAGTTAAGATTGAAGGAGAGAAACCAATCTTTTGGAAAGAATCCTTCCCCCAGGCCACAGTGCCCTCTGAGAACGGGTGTTAACTCAGGAATTCCACTGGGCGGCCCTGGGCTCGCAGGCAGCCAGGCCCTTTGAAGTGCTGAAGTGGCATGCCTCTGGGAGGGGCTGATAGCCTCTGCCCTCAGAGCAAAAGGGAAGGAGGCTGGGACGGCAAAATCTTTCCACCTTCAACAAAATGTGCTTTCCTGTACAGCCAACAGAAATTAACGACACACTATACAAGAAAGAGTCCCTCCACCTCCCCAACAGAAAGAACAAGTGACCAGAGCTCAAAGAAGTTAGCTCACCATCCCATGCCAGAGGAAGCCGCTAGAAGAAACTGCGCCCAGCTGTGGAGAACCCAAACTGCCCGCTGGACGCCTCCGTCCCTCATCTCTCTTCCAACTCACAGCCACCTAAATGTGCCACCAAACTGCCAGGTCCACACACCAGCAGAGGTGTCATCTGCTGCGAGCTTTGTGAAGATGGGCACCAGCTCCCCAAGGCTGAAGGGCCTTGCAGGCAAGCTGGTGTGGTCTGGCGAGATGGCCACATATGGATGGGAGCGACAGCTGGGGACAGGAGCTGCTGCTCTGAGACTTAGGGAAAGAGCCTATTTTCTTAACTGCACAAAAGAAACCCTACGTGTGCCAGCTTTTAGGGAGGGTCCCGTGCGTGAGACCTGTCGGTTTCTAAGTGTTCTTTAAAGTGTTCTAACAACCAACGCTTGTCTGATCTGACCACACCACACTTTTGGCAATGACTGCTGTCACTCTAAAACTTGGAGGACATTATACAATTTAGATTTGATTGTGAGAATGGAGGGTTTCGCCTCTCCTTTTCTTTCTGTGCTTTCCTTCATCTTATTTACACACACAGAAACAACGAAGCATAAACTGGGGCTTATTTCCTAGTAGAACAAGGCCCTCGGTGGCGGCCGGAGGCAGCGGCAGCCCACAGCTGGTGCAGGTCCAGATGGCGGGTGGAAGAGGCTCTTTCACCACGGATCTGAAGTCAGTATTTCCACGTTTCTTACTGTTAGAAATAGTTTACTGTCAAGATTAATAAGAGACCCAGGCTTCTGACCCCTGGAGGCTAACAGCATCCAGGAAGGACAGACCAAGCCCAGTCTCCCACCCCCACTCCCTTTCCCACCCCATCAAGAGAAGATAAAAACAAGTCTTTTCATTATAAAGAGCTAAGTGTATGTCAATATTTCGGCGACAGGATGCTGAGAAGACATCACAGAAATGCTGCGGGAGGCTGGGCAGGCCAGATAGTTCCTGCTCACGCGCAGTCTTCACTTTTCTTCGTTCCTTTGAGAAACAAAGAAAATCCTTATTTTTATCCCCCAAACTCTCAAGGACCCACAATTCGCATGCCATTCGTCACCACAGGGAGTGGGGATGACATCAGTCTCACTTAAGCCCAGCAGTATTTCCAAAGGAGCCCTGACAGAATATCTGTCTCCAGACCACCGAGGGGCTTCAAGGTCGTGAAAGATGCTCTGCCCTCCTGCATCAAGTTCCTCCGCAGCTGAGAAAGCAGGGAAGCCCTACGGGCCAGAGAGGTGGGGCCACAGAGTTCCACAGCATGCCACCAGAGGACAGCTGTCCAGTCTAGAGGTCTGCTCTTATTTCTTAATTTATTAACGAGGGTGGTCAACGTGTCTTTCTGTAATTTCCTCAGTCAGAATAAAAATAAACAGGGACAGCGCATGCTCCCAGGACGGTGCCTGGCACCAGTGGGCACTCCTCACTGTCTCTTCTGGTCGCCAGCCACCCCGCAGCATCCTGGCGGGGCGACCGGCCTCCCTGTGGACCCGGGCAGTTGTCTTCTCTGCACGATTAGGAAGGAGTTTGCTTTTCAGAGGTGAAAGCCACACTTCCTGGCTGCCTTTCTGCTCCCACCCTGTCTGGGAGCCGGGGCAGTGCTGGAGGCTGGCCCAGGCTCCCCCAGAGCCACAGCACTGTGCTGTCCCGTGCCTAGGAAAGCAGATGCTGGCAGGAGAAACACATAACCTGGGCTCCTGGGGACAGCCAGCTGTGGCTGCCTGCCACAAAGGACACAGAGGGCCGTCTGCAGGGGAGCAGCTGTGAGGGTCAGAGGGACCTACCAAGAGATAGTGTCCCCTCCCCCTCTCCTCCCCAGGCCTGGAAGGTGGCAGGAGAAGAACCTGATCAGACCCTTCCCCAGCCACAAGGTACCTGCACTGGAGATCTGAACTTTAAATCTGAAATTATGATAAGGGCTTGGCTCCCTAGGAGACTGGACAAAGTCCAGCTGGGGATAGGGATGGGAGAAAAATGTAACTGTTTCATTTTAGACCCAATCAAATGGAGACTGATCAGCAAATGAATCACACCCCAAAACAAGTCAATTTCTATTTCTCAGCTTTTTAGAATCCTTTTTTCTAGATTAATATACAAAATACGGTAAGGTCTTCCCCTCATCCCTATGCCCAGAGACTGCCTTCAGTCCCTACTGTGCAGGTGGCCACTGGGCCAGTGTGTTTTACACACACACAATGTATTTTTCCTTTTCCTCCTAACAAAGATAACTTCATGGATTGCATTCCTCTGTACCCTGATAAGGATATATATTTACTTTATATAATTACATTGATTATTTAATAGGATATCTTGACTTACGATTCCCATGAGTGCAGGAAGAGATTCCCCATTCCTTGTATTAATGGTTGCAGGGTAGTCTATGATACTACAAATAATGCTAAGATTAGCGAGACCCTGACAGATAGACACAAGTTTACATCCTAACAGTAAAGACTGAAAACAACCTCTGATGCAATGAAACACAAGGTGTGGGTCATCCGGTGCCCTGAGGTATCTGTGTGCAACTTCCTAGATGTGGGGTGTCCAGATCAGTGTGTACATCTTCACTTTGAGAGGCTGCTAAATTGCCTTCCATGAGGGTGTAGCAATGTACACTCCTGCCAAAATCGACGTGAGACCCCACCTTCCTGTACCATCACCACCACTGAATTACCAAACTTTTGATAAGTGAAAAATGGTGTCCATGAGGTCCTTTAGTTTTTAATTAAGAGAGAACTTGAGGAAGGGACTAATTAGAAAGGTGGGGACAGTATTATGGACACCAGCCAGGTACGGTGAAGTACCAGAGACCATGGAAGCGGTAGCTACCCACTGGCCTGAAGAGGTGTGAGGCTATTTCTGGAACAGAGAGAGCTAGAGCCCTGGGAGGGGCTGCCAGCCTGCAGGAGCGGGAGAGCCCCCATCCCCATCGGGGCAGCTTAGGCATTCTATTACCAGTTGAGTATGGCTGCTTTCTTTTGTTTGTTTGTTTGTTTGAGGCAGGGTGTCGTTCGGTCATCCAGATTGCAGTGGCTCACCACAGACTCCACCTCCCAGGCTCAAGCGATCCTCTGGCCTCAGCCTCTCAAGTAGCTAGGACTACAGGAATGTACCACCACACCCAGCTAATTTTTTTTTAATTACTTTTTGCAGAAATGGGGTCTCTTATTGTTGCCCAGGCTGGTCTCAAACTCCTGGGCTCAAGCCATCTTCCCACCTTAAGCTTCCGAAAGTGTTGGGATTATAGGTGTGAGCCACCATGTCCGAGCATTTTTTTCATGTGCATAAAATCCTTTCTAGTAACTGTCTATTCATATTCTTTACCATGTTTTTCCTATTGGATCACTGGCTTTTTCTAGTTAATCTGTTGAGTGTTTTTGAGTACTAGGAAAATTAGCTCATCTTTGATGAAACTGCAGCTTTTTCCAGGTTTGTCAATCTGTCTGACTTTGTTCATGGCGGTTTTGCTTGTATTTCTTAATTGCATACAGTTATCTGGCTTCTCAGTTCTCTTCATTGATGTTTAATGTTTCATGGGTACATATGCCAAAAGTAATCAAATGGTACACTTCAAATATTCACATTTTATTATATTTCTATTGTCAATATAGTTGAAAAATTTAATGACCTTTAAAACTGTGATTAAAATTCATCAAGTCACTCCAAATCTATGCCAGGAATCACCTGAGAGCCTAGAGTCAGCATGTATTTCAGCCCTACACAGACCCAGACCGCAGACCATGACCAAAGGGGCGAGGGAGGAAAATGATGAAGTTGGTGTGGGAGGGAAGGAGACTGGGCAAGTAGAGAAAGAACAAGACGGCAGAAGGGAAACAGGGACAGGGCACGGAGAAGTGAGAACAGAGCTGCCCGTGGCAGTGAGCACAGGGTCCTGGACACCTGCAGCACCCACACCTCTGCCCTGGATCCAGCCTCTCAAGCACCCAACACCTCACCTATCAAGGATGTGCTCATCTCTTCCCTCTGCCGCTGCCGGTGCTGACGCTGGGCAGCAGACAAGCAGGTGGCCTGGGAGGGGGAAGAGCAGGTGCGGCCTGGGCCTGGCTGGCCTCCTGACCTGCCGGAAGTGGGCGAGAGCTCACATATGAAATAAATCAGCACAGCTCTCGCAAGAAGAAGTGGCATCTGGGTCTCTGGATCCTTTCCATGTCATCACAGTGAAGTTGACTTTTGCACAACACACAGGTGTGCACCCTTGAATGCTTTAGTCCAATAAAAATTACTTTGGACATCTGCTGTTCAAAGTGTTCTGCTTACGGGACATGCTCAACAGAAACAATGACAGTGCTGCCCTCACTTAGCGTACAGGTCGGGGTAACACAGAGGCGCAATTTATACTGTTGGAAAGGGATTCAGCACTTTCCGGGTTTCCAAAGCCTCCATGAATACAGGGTAATGACAGCAAAGATTTCAGCTTCTCCTAAGAGTGCTCCACACAACTGCTTCTTTGAGGCTGGGTGCAGGTGGGAGGGTCTTGGAATCTAGGGTGGGAAGAATGAAGGGCAGGTATGTGGAAGCCAATTCACATCAGACACATATCTGGCAGTAGAGAATTAAAATCCTCAAGGAATCCAAGTAATGGTTCCAGGATTGTGGACCCTACCCCACTGACAGACTGCCACAGGGAGGACGGGGTATGTCTGTGGTACAGGCCTGAGCCACCTAGGAGGCCCAAGCAGACATGCAACCTGGGTATCCAAAAAGCACGTGGAAGGAAGCACACACACAGGCACTGGCTATGAGGATGGGGCTCACTGATTCCAAGCACATTCATGGCAGCCAACTGCATGACAGGCACTGGGAAATGGTGCGGGGCAGAGTGATGGTCAGTACAAACACGTATGCATATCTATGTGTGCATACGTATCCACAAATGTGTATATGTAGAACATATAGACACACACTGAAATCAAAGTGTTATTTCCCAACACTTTCCTTCACTACACGCAATGCAGTCTGGTATTTTTATTCTTTGTTTTTTGTTTTTTGAGACCGAGTCTCACTTTGTTGCCAGGCTGGAGTACAGTGACGCGATCTCGGCTCACTGCAACCTCTGCCTCCCAGGTTCAAGCGATTCTCCTGCCTCAGCCTCCCAAGTAGCTGGCAACACAGACATGTGCCACCACGCCTGGCTAATTTTTTTGTATTTTTAGTAGAGATGGGGTTTCACCATGTTGGCCAGGCTGGTCTTGAACTCCTGACCTCAAATGGTCCACCCACCTCAGCCTCCCAAAGTGGTGGCATTACAGGTGTGAGCCACCGCGCCCGGCCTGCTGGGATTACAGGTGTGAGCCACTGCGCCCAGCCTTCTGGGATTACAGGCGGGAGCCCCCGCGCCCGGCCTGCTGGGATTACAGGCGGGAGCCACCGCGCCGGCCTCTTCTTTCTTTTTTTAAAATGCTGACTGGTGACCTACTAGATGGATTTCATAACCCACTGTGTCTTGACTCCCGGACAGTGTGAAAACCTACATACAAGCTCGGCTTCCAGAGCCTGATGCTCCAGGCTGGACCCTCGTCGGCTCAGGCAAGCTGCTCTAACCAGGCCCCACTCCAGCTCCAGCTCCCCAAGATGGGGGTTAGAAGAGCGTCAACATGCAGGGAGGGCCACAGACAGGCTGGGCTGGCATGAGGTAGGAGGTAGGAACCACATGGCTGAGCAAGAGCCTGGGCCAGGTCAGAGACTCGCAGCAGGACAGCAGAGGGAGCAGGGGAGTCCCAGGAGTAGTAAGGGCCTGGGAAGAGCTACAGCTTTTCAGGCCATCTCCTGGGAGGGAGACCCAGGGACAGGCACCTGGGAATCCTGCAAACCATTTGTAAAGATGGCTCCCTTAGCCTTGCCCCAGCCTCAGCCCCAGCCAGACTCCACTTCTGCCTTTACAGGAAACTTATCACACACTACCCAAGAGGTTCCATGGAGCTGAACTCTGGAAGGCTCAGAAACACAGTGGAGGGGGAAGCCTGCTCTTCTGACTTCCTGCAATGCTAGAAAAATGGCACATGCCTAGAAGGGCCATTTAGAAACCACATCTTGGATTTGGGACACAGGTCCCGTGACAACGGGCATGTCTATGATATAACAATAATTTTAACTAGGATATGGTAAAGGGGCCTCACCCTTATTTGATTGCTTTTTTTCTTGGAAATAGGAAAGCTGCTGAAGCTTCCTCACAACTTGAACCACTCTAATCTCTTTTTTAAAATAATATTTTTTAAGACAGAGTCTCACTCTGTCGCTCAGTCTGGAGTGCAATGGCATGATCATGGCACACTGCAGCTTCCAAATCCTGGGATCAAGTGATCCTCCCACCTCAGCCTCCCCAGTAGCTGGGACTACAGGTGCATGCCACTATGCCTGGATAAGAGTGGGACCCTGTCTCTATAAAAAATACAAAAACTCCTGGGCTCAAGTGATCCCGCCTCAGCCTCCCAAAGTGCTGGGATTACAAACATAAGCCTGGCCCCTAATCTCTTTTTAACCCAAGATATCTTCATGTGTCCAGAACCAGATTCCTGGTAAACTCCAGAAGAGAGGCTGGCAAATTTTTTCCTTCAAGAGCCAGATATTGAGCACTTTTGGCCTTTTGGTCAAAGCAGCCTTAGACAACATGTAAATACGTGGGCATGGCATGGCTGCCTTTGGATAAAACGTTATTTACAAGAACAGGCAATGGGCTGCACAGGCTCAGGCTGGGGTTGGCTGATCCTTGCTCTAGAATGGGTGCCCAAGCTATGGCTCCCAGAGCACAACATACACAGTGGTGTACTGGTGTTCATCCCCCAACATCCACCAACATGATGTCACTGAACACAGAGATGAGGCAAAAGGTGAACAACGGCCCGAGTGGGTTTGGGCCAGCTTTAGCACGACTCCACCAGAAAATCAGAGGTGCTCCTTAATGCTAGTCCTGACACCCTGGGCCTTATTCTTCCCTCTGCAGGTCAAATTCCTCTGTACAAGGAAACATGGTCTGGCATTCATCTTGAATCAGACTCATTAAAAAGGGGCACTGTGTCTTTAGAGTACCCCAATACTGGAGACAGAGTCTGAAAACCAGTGTCTTACAGAAAAATTACTCTGCCTGAAAAATAAACATCATTCACAAGGGCCTGAGCAGACATGGCTACAGGCACGAGACAGAGCAGATGAGCTCTTAAGAACTCAGCCAGTATACCCAACTTGGTTCCAAGAGCTGCGGTGCCACCACCAAAAACCATCAAGACCAAAGACAGGAATGGCCTCATTGTCTCTTCCACGGCAATCCTGGAGCCAGGATTCAGTTTGGTGCATGCTCGTCACCATGCTTAGAAAAGCACGTATGGCTCCTTTTGGTAGCTGCTTTCCTTGCTTTATTTTTAAACATTTAAAAATTATAAGCAGATGACTATACATAAATACGGAACCCAATGTACATGAAATTCTAGCCATTCATGTCAAATTCACTTTTGATGTTTCCAACAGCAACAATTGATACAGATATATATTCAGCATCCCAAATTCAAAAATCCGAAATCTGAAATGCTCCAGTGAGCATTTTTTTGTGTGTGTGTGTGGGGCGGGGGGAGGGTCATGTCAGCACTCAAAAAGTTTGGGATTTTGAAGCATTTCAGAGTTTGGGTTTTCAGATTTGGGAAACAACCAGTTAAGTATAATACAAATATCCTAATAACTGAAAAAAATCTGAAATCTGAAACATTTCTGGTCTCAAGCATCTTGGATAAGGAAGACTTGACCTGTATATTACTTTGGGTTTTTCCTTCTCCCTGCCTGCCACTGTTGCATTTACTGGCATGGTGCCCTTCTGTTAATATACTACAGCTCACTGTCTTTCCGTCTTCTGATGACACTACAAAGTCTCAAGTGTGTCCTAGTAGCCTTTAGCCTTTTAACAAGAAAGCTATGCTGGAGCCAGCAGACAGAGGGTACAAGGAAATCTGCTGTGACACTAGATGGCATTGCTGTGGCCACAGCTCATCCAGCAGACCCAGGTTCACTTGAGTGATCTGACGCGTCCACATCTCCTAGTTCACCTCTGCAGCCCAGAGATCAGCTCCCAGTGTGCCCCCACCGGCCACTCTCAGAGTTGGGCTTGCAGCCTTTCCAGCTCCCACTGCTCTCTGCACTGCCGTGTCCTTCTCCGCTAGTCTGATGTATTTATTTACAGCATCATGCAAGTCTGGGGCATGCATGGGCCTCTGGGCCATCTTTGGGCCTGTCGCAATGCCCAGCACATAGTACATGCTTGATAAATGCTTCTGAGTAAACGTACCACTTGAAAACTTGGAATGCTTTTCAGCCACTCTGAAATTATAATGCACAGTTAGAGGCTATAAAATGCTTTGAAGAATGCCACCAGTCCTATTTATAACAGGAAGCACTCCCCTTTATTTTTAGTCCTTTTGATTTTCAAATTTACTGTTGAAGAAGGAAAAAAAAAATCTGTCCAGGGAACATGATCTGGGAAGCCCATTAAACCTCATTTAGAGTTCCATTTTATTTCTGTAAACAGAAAGACCAGGGCTCATGGCTCTTCTAAGTTAATAAGTCTACCCTGCAATAAACAAACCTGCTTTGTCAATTTGTGTCCTTAAATTAGATTTAACTTGACTTTACAGTGGGCTGACTGGCTGGTAAGGGGGGCCTCTGCAGAGTAGCCACAGGGCAAACGGCATTCCAGTGGGGGACTGCCCCAGGGGCTTCTGGACAGGTGGAGGCCGTCTACCTGCTCAGTCCCATGGAAAGAGGAAAAGAACCTTTCACTGTGTGGTGATCACATCAGGGCTGTCCACATTTGTGTTTTCATTCTTTTCTTTTCTCTCTCACCTTTTCTGCTCCTTATTTCTGAAGGGCTGCAATCTGAATGTTATTTTTTAAACTAAAGGAAATTAAAAGTTACTTTATTTGCTACCGCAAAGCCAGGTTAGTAAATTCCTAGGCACAGGGTTAAGAGGACAAATGAAGCACTGGAGGCTCTTACCACCCTTGCTGGAGTCAATTCCTACAGCTCTTGTCTACACCTTAACTGGTTAGAGCTAAAGCAGCAGCAATGTGCTGCTCAACTGCTACCAGGGCCATCACACTCGACATGCACATGGAGATCATGGTGAGGGTCAAGTGTGATGACAAACATCAAATATTGATGTCAAATACAAACGTCAAGTATGATAAAAGAGGCAACCTTGCTTCACCTGTGTGGTCTTAGACAAATCTTAACTACTTTTGAAAACCTGGAATGCTTCTTATTTTCCTCCAAATAGGCTCTTTTATTTAATAACACTGGTGCTATTAAAGGCTCCAAAAAGTACAACGTGGGAGCCCATGTGGGGTTCACTTTGAAATATGGCACAGTTTGCCTTCCTTCCATACTAAGACTCTCATTGAATGGCTATCCATCTCAATATGTAATTCTGAAATTAGAAAATAATACACCCTACCTTCTTTCTTCAATTTATTGACATGTAACTCACAGCCTTTGCTGAAAGGGACTTTTACTGCTGGCAGAAACAGTGACCATCGTTACCTCCTCTAATAAGCCCTGCAGACACTCGTCCCCTTCCCTCACTTTCCCTGGAGGTGAATTCAGCCTGGAGGACCTCCCCAAGTCTGAGGGATGGCTGACTCTCTCCCATCACCTTGCTGTGTCAGACATGAAATCCGGGTAACATCATTCTCCAGCAAGTAAGTCGATTGGGCATTGAGGATAAAATGGTGACTAAAATAGATAAGCACTTGTCCTCTAGGAGCTTACAGTTCAGTAGGAAGTTTAAGAAAAATCCAGTAAACCAGCAAGTGTAGACTCGTGTTGGTAACAAAAGCCACGAAAGGGTGCATGAGGCAACAGGGAGTGAACAGGGCTGTGGCAGGAGCGCAGTCATAGAAAGCTCCTTGAGAAGGGCCACGCACACTGAGGCCTAAAAAAGGAAAAGAAACCCACCACTCAAAGGGGGCATCCTGAGCCCCGCCAATTTCTAGCCATATCACGTTTTACTCCATGAAAGAAACTCAGCCTTCCCTCCCCCTTCTCTTCTCAGTGGCTATTTCTTCTGATACCCTTCTGTTCAAGAGCTAGAGAAACAGGCTTTTAAAAATAAACCCCAGAGACTAAAGAACTAAAACTATACAACTTTTAGGAAAGACACAGGCATAAATCTTCATGACCCTGGCAATGATTTTCAACAAAACAAAGGAGATACACTGGACTTCATTAAAGTGAAAATTTTTATACCTCAAGGGATACCATCATATAAGAGTATATTTTTGCAAACTGTATTTGAGAAGGAACTCGTATCTAGACTATATAAAGAACTATTATAACTCAGTAATACAAAGACAAACCAATTTAAAAATGAGCAAAAGGTTTAACTAGCCCTTTCTCCAAAGAAGATATGCAAATGGTCAATATGCACATGAAAAGATGCTCAACACCATTAGTCAATACGTGAAAAAAAGGAATGACGACGACAGTGGGGTACCAAGTCACATCCAACAGGATGGCTAAAATAAAAAAGACGGACAACAAGTGCTGGTGGAGGCCGAACCCATACTCACTGCTAGAGAAAATGTAAGATGGTTTAGCCACAGCAGAAAACACACTGGCAGTTCCTCAAAAGGTTAAACAAGGGTTATAATCCAGCAATTCTACTCCTAGGAATATACCTAAGAGAAATGAAAGCATATGTCCACACAAAACCGTACACACATATGTTCCTAGCAGCATTATTCACAATAGTTAAAAGTGGAAACACCCTAACTGTCCATCAGCTGATGTGTGGATCAACAAATGCCATCCATCCATATGACTCAAAATATTTGGCAATAAAAAGGAATGAAGTAATGATATATGCTACAAAGAAGGATGATCCCCGAAAACATTATGCTAAGTCAAAAGAAGTCAGTCACAAAAGACCAAATATTATATATAATTCCATTTATGTGAAGGCCCAGAATAGGCAAATCTATAGAGACAGAAAAATGAGTGCTTGCCTAGGACTGGGGAGCTAGGGATGACAGCCAAAGGGTACTGGGTTTCTTTTGGGGATGACAAAATGTTCTACAAGTGATTGTGGTGATGGTTGTACAACTCTGTGAATATATTAAAAACTACTGAATTGTATACTTTAAAATGGGTGCACTTCATGGTATGTGAATTATAGCTCAAAAAAGTTACTAAAAACAGTTACCCCTCACCCTAAGAACCAAGTTGAGAAAGGCTGTTTCAGCGAAGGGTACTATTCTACACAGTCTACTCTCGAGAAAAACTACCTGGTGCCCTGAGAGCCGAGGCCATGAAGTCAGCTTTGCGCTGGCTGGTTCCCTCAGTGCCTGGGAACTTCCTGTGCCCAGCCTGGGCATTTGCTTCCACCCATGGATGGGCAAAACCAGGTGGTCTACAGAACACAGTTCCATGTGGTTCAAGGTTGCAGCAAAGCAATATGCAGAGACTGAACAGCCTAAAAATCATTTTTAGTGCCACCCCACAAAGTTTAGCCAATCTCTACTGTGTTTATGTTCTAAATATCATACCCTGCCATCCACACAAAATTCCACCATTACACGCAGAGCAGGCCTGGGAACGTGCTTCCGCAAGCTGACTCCGTGCGAGCGGCCTGAACACAAGGGGTAAAGCTCACATCCTATCTGTGCTGTGAGGTTCTCACAGCCTGAAGTCCAGACAGATCCACCTCTCACATCCTGGTGTGCCACAGTTCTAGAGAGCAAAGATGGTGTACATGAAAGCCACCAGAAGGCAGAAAAGCCACCTGGAAAGCTATGTTGAGAGCTGTGGCAGAGTGAGCCCTGTATTTCAGGGCATTTAAGGTATACTTTAAATGGGAATATGGCTAAGTTTACAATTGTAAAAAGAGACGGCAATGTTCAAAGAAAGTTGTGTGGTTTCTGGTGTGGATTTCAGAACAGAAATCCAATACAAAAGTATGTAAACTACTGACTGAGCTGTAAAGAACCCAGAAGCACCAATTAAAGTCCAATGCATTAATTCCACTCGAGAAGCCTTTGGACACACAATGAATATGAGATGCTGCTGGTTTCCTGGCTATACCGGAAGAAGAGCATCAGGGCACTGCTATTTAGACCCCAGAGAATGTGTAAATCTCCATCTCCATCTTTCTGAGAAAATCTATACAGACTGGAGAGCGCCCTATGGAGCAAACACAGAGGCCCTCACATCTTCAGAGGTCGGTAACAGTGGGCCCACTGCTGAACCCTGTGCAAACAGCAGACGGCAGGGACACTCTGCAACCAGTGGCTTTTCTAATAAAGTCTGGCTGAACCTGTAGCTAAAAGCCACCTATTAAATGCCCTCTCTCTTTAAACAGATAAATGCTAAGCTGACCATTTAAGAAAAATTAGCCAGATTATGCTGTCCATGGCTTGCTTCTTCTTTACTTTCATTTGCTATAAATTCACAGTAAACAAAACACAATCTTCAGGAACAACACAGGAAATTATTTATCTAAAAAAGAAAGTTCTTTGTGATTTTAGATCAGCTTTTTAAAAAAAAAATCCCTTTATCACAGTATAACAGGGGAGATGCTGTTGCAGGCTTTCCACAGGAAAGTTCCAGAGGCACTGAATTGAATAACAGAAAGAAAACCCTAAGAAGGATGTACTGAGAGACAGACCGTCCTGACTTTGAAAGAATGTTCTGAAACATCGATTAAATGTTTCATAAACCAAATAAGACAAAGAAAAAATGCACAAATAAAACCAGAGAACTCTATTCTTTCTCCTATCATAAAAAGCAGATGGTGTAAAAAGATATGTCTAAAGTAACTAAAGACAATTACCCCAATCCCTTTTTTCAATCTATACCCACCTTTTAAACTCTAGAAAAGGAATAATGCTCTGTCAAAGGGACAGCCATGACCCTCACAAGCATGGTCTCAGCTTTCTAAAAACCTGAAGTCACACTATTCACAGGCCATGTTCTAAAGTTCAGACTCATCGGTATCTGGCCTCTTGATCTGTAACCTAAGGTTGATGGCATCAATGGGCCAGTAAGCCAGACCCCTGTACCTGCAATCATACTGTGAGAAACGGCCTAATGCTGAGCTTCTGTGGGTTGCCAGGTGGAGGTGGCAAGTGTCAACTTGCCCTTTTGGGATCCCGGGGGGACCTGGTTCCTTGTATTTTACCCTATAAAAGCATTTCACTAATTGCACACACTACTCTGACACTCCACAATGGTGTTCTTTTTCATGTTCAATCTGAAAACCTGCCTTGTAGGGCTCTGTTCCACAATGGTGTCTCCTGACAATGCTGGATGATGACGTGGTGAGCCAGCTGGCTTAGTAATGAGGCCCTGGATTCGCCTGCACCAAGGGCAGCCAGCAGGAGAAGGGGAGGAGAGGAAAAGGGGGCCTGGGTGGGCCCCCTGGACATCACCAAGATGGTGCCGGCGCCTTGGCCGGCACTGCTCCTATTCATAAGCCTCGGTGTCCTACGGGGCAGAGGCCCTGGTGCCAGCACCGTGGTGGGAGAGGCAGAGCTGGGTGCTGCCCTCACACACCACGATGACAGGACCTGACGTCAGCATAGCCAGAGTTTCTGCCTTTATTACGCTTAGACTCTGGATCAAGGCAGACAAGAGGAAGGACTTCTAAGTTCAGCACACTACATATTAATAAATCTAAAGCATCGAGCATCCTGAAACAGCAACAGAGCCCAAAGAGATTATATCTAACCTTTCCTCTAAGCCACTCTGTAACAAAACAAAATAGAAATGTCTTACTTATTTGTAGCCAGAATACTATGAAAAAGCAACCAGGGAAGAAAAAGAAGCTCCAACAGCAGGGAAAAGACCCTCCTGAACATTTCACATCTCCAAGCCCTCCAAAGCAGAAGACGAAAGTCATCTCTAATGGAAAGAGTTCTAGCACTGAAAGGAACGAACAGAACCACAACTATGGATCAATTTTAGAATCTGGAGATGTAACAACCATCAAACCTTCATTCTTTGCCCCTTTGGTAAGTTCCTCTAGAGTTCTATTAATCATTAAGTGCTTGAGTCACAGAACTATGCTTTTGGCCCAAATGAAATTCATAAATGAGCATTAAAGCTGTCACATGATTGTGTTGCTGGACTCACAACTTCCACCTTTGGACTGCAAATAAATGCTATGGTGCTTTCTTCCCAAGTAAACAATGTATTAGTAACAGCATATTAAGATAAATACCAGCTTGTGGACCCGCCCCCTGACCAATGGCTTGTGTACGATGCATCAAAAGAGGTAGACGAGGCCAGGCGCGGTGGCTCACGCCTGTAATCCCAGCACTTTGGGAAGCCAAGGCAGGTGGATCATGAGGTCAGGAGTTCGAGAACAGCCTGGCCAAGATGGTGAAACCCCGTCTCTATTAAAATACAAAAAATTGGCTGGGCGTGGTGGTGGGCACCTGTAATCCAGCTACTCGGGAGGCTGAGGCAGAACTGCTTGAACCTGGGAGTTGGAGGTTGCAGTGAGCCAAGATCGTGCCACTGCACTCCAGCCTGGGAGACACAGCGAGACTCCGTCTCAAACATACAAACAAAAAAGAGGTAGAGGAGACCTAGACCCATTACACAGGGTCTGCAGGGCCTCTTCAGCTACTGCCCGTGCTACGGGACAGGCCTGTGACGCTGGTCGTTTTTTCCATTTCCAATCAACCTGGAGTTTCCTTTCTATCCTGGAAGGCAGCCGGATGAGTGCTGAAACAGGTATGCCCTTACAATCTGTTTCCTCACATTCACTTGCTCCTACTAGTTTAGTTTGCAATTCTACATGAAAGAGTGGAGCCTCCCAAGGTTACATTCTTTGGCACTTTGGGAGAGTATAGCTGTCTTAGGGTGGCCTCTAAATGTTGTTAGCAAGCTTTTTCTAGCTACTCCCCTCTGTGCTGACACCTTACTAAGTTGAGATTTTTTTTTTTTTTGAAACTGCCTTTTGTCAATTAGCTGTAGTCAGTCAGCAGGAAGAGCCGCTCACGTGCACACGAGCACCTGGGGCCAGGCATGAGGGCCAGACCCTGAAGGGAGACCTCCAGTGAAGCAGCACCCCGGAGAAGACACAGTCACAACACACGATACCCACACTTTCTTGCTCCAATCCAATCTCGGAGTCCTCTTCCTTTCAATCAACACTATTTCCCCCACACAGTGAAGGGAAGAACGGGTGCTACCAAATTCTCCCAGAAAACTAATGTTCTTATTAAGCATATCAACCAAACTCAAAGCAGGGCACGCTGCAGCATGGGCCTTTCGGATTCGTGGCCACCAGCAAAACAACACAGGGGGAGCCCATCCCCTGAGGCATGGCCCCAGTCTGAAAGCGCTCAGTGGAGTCTGCAGAGATCTGAAAGCGCTCAGTGGAGTCTGCGGAGATCTAAAAGCGCTCAGTGGAGTCTGCGGAGATCTGAAAGCGCTCAGTGGAGCCTGCAGAGATGCTGCTGCCTGAAGGTCAGTCATGGACTTCCTGGGGGAAAGAGGTCAGAAAGGCAAGGTCCAGGGATCCTCATCTCACTGCCATGGGTAGCTATTTTTACAGCTTAAGAGACCTGCTAAGGCAGGCAGGAAATGTGTTACTTAAAAAGGGATCTTAGATAACATGTTTTGTTCCCAGAGTTAGCTGTCAAATATATTTTTTAAACTTTTATGGCTATTTGAGAAATATACTCAAAAACTGCAGAAAGACAAGGTGCTTCTGTGGAACGGATTTCCCTTCGGCTCATTTTCCGTGCTGGCTGCAGTGGCCCAGCACCCGCCCATAGTCCTGAGGCCTGCTACATACAAGATGGCTGACTTTGAGGTCAGCTTCACTCTCCAGGCCAAGGAGCATCAAGGAGCGCAGCCTGTGCCCGCCCTGCAGAGGGGTGGCAAGGCAGGAGGTAGCCTGGGATGGTTTGCCTACTCCACCCATGCTCTCAACTCTGTCTGTCCTTGAGCACTTTTCCTTTCACATTCTGAACACGGGGGCATTGCCTCCATGAAGAGCATACACCTGGGTCTTCACATCACGTGATGCAGGCACATGGAGGGCAGGCAGGGTGTGCATAACCTGAGATAGTATTCAGAACCCTGGCCCCACAACCCCTCGACATTCAAGCCCTTGGCAAGCAGCCGCAGCAGACTCAGTGCTACACTCAGAAAATCAGACCAACAGATCAGATGCTCTGTGAACACAGCCCATACACAGAAGCACCACACATAGAAAGAATGGTTAATAGTAATCTCGTCCCTCCTTTCTTCCTTCTCTGTGTGGGTGGGCCTGTACCGGCCCATCCACATGAAAAGAGGGAGGGACAGACCGGGATGGCAGCCCAGGAGCTAAAGCAACCATGGAATAGGCTTCTCACTTGCAGCCGCTACATCCCGAACACGCTGCTCAGCCAACAAAACTCCTCAGTGCACTTTGCCATGAGGAGCAGGAACAGCTGGAGGCAGCAAGCTTACCCTTCTGGAAAGGCAGCTTTACATATGCATCTCGGTCACATGTAGAGCAAGGGAAGCCTTTCTGCGTTATCTCAAAAATATAGGGGCACAGAAGGTAAAGAAATCTGCCCCCACCAGGTCCCAAGCACCCCTGCGCTGTACTAGAGATCTGCCCCGTTAGCCTGGGCAGGTGTTTCTGAACCAGCCACCTAATTCAACACTGGCCTTAGCACCCACAGCCGTTCTTCTCAAAGGTTCTAAGAGGTTATATATAACAACTAAGTTGAGCTGCAAGAACAGGACATGTTTTATGCTAAACGGAAGGGGGCCACCTCATGGTTTCCGGACATCAAGTGACAGGTGCCCGGTGCCTGCTCTGATCCTCCCCTCTGGTCTGTCCATGCCCATCACAGGGTCCTGGAGGTTTGGTGGTACTCCACCCTGATTAAAACACAGCCTAATGACTATATATAGCAAAGTCTTTTAAACACTAATTAAAAATAACAGTCTGGCATTTGAGAACTCCTACATACAAAAATATAAGAGCTGAAATAAACAGCAACAGTTGTAAATTTGGTCTATGCTCAGGTGGGTAAAAAGCTACATGTCCCCTCTGGAGTTTTTCAATCACTGTTGAGTTTATGGGGCTTTAAAATGCCTAACAATGGCCATCTTACCTTTTGGTTAATAAGGAACGGGCTTTTCTCAATTACTCCATTTTAATGATTATAAAATTCATTACAATAATATTTAACCTAATATATCCCAAATATCACTAACACTATAATCAATTGGGACACATTAAGTTATTTTGTCTTTCTTCATTCCAGTGTCTTCACTATTCATTGTGCATTTTATACTTACAGCACATCTCAACTCAAAATAGCTGCATTTAAGTGTTTAACAGCCACACATGGCTAATGGCTGCTGTACTAGACTGCACAGTTTTAAAATGTTCAAAACCAAACTTACTTTCTGCATTTTGGGAGTCTTATATAAAAGAGGTTTTCTGTTTAAGCTCTTGTTTTTACTTAAGATGTCTGAATACATTATTTACTATTTTGTATTTTTTTAAAACCCTGGAATTTGTCTTAGGATTCACACTGCATTCCTCACAATAAGGTAGAAGATATTAAGGACTATATCACATTGCTTTCTCGCAAGCATCCAATTGCCTTTTCCAACTACAGCTGCTAGATTTAGTTTTCATTCCCTTTACACATGGCTCCTTTCCTGCCCTAACTGAATGCAACCAAGAAGCTCTGACACATCTGAGCCAAGTTTCCTTAATGTGCAACAGAATGGCACCACCGTCAGTGGGCACAATGACCCACCCAAGTTTACAACTCAAAAACATTCCACTCATTCCTTTAGGAGACTTATGTCCATCTTTATGATTTAAGAAGAGGGAAAAACTTAAGACCTCAAAATACTCTGATTAGAAGCATAAGCATAATCAGATTAAAGCACTTAGTTCTTCACTCATACAGCAAACACATGAGATTTTGCTAATAGAAATGGTGGTTTCAATAGTTTGGGACTGCAATGGGATCACCATTCTTCAACAACAGTGGGGACCTGCTGGTTAAACTCCGAGAGTGTTCCTGGTTACCTCTGCATCCTGATCCTGGAGGTGGTATGTCCTCTGGAGGCTTTGCAGAGTTCGGGGGCTCAGAGTCTTCTGCTCCAAGAGATGCTCCAGAAGCAAGACCAGCTGGTCTGGAAGAAGCTAAAGACAAAACCAAACAGCCTATGAAAATGCCATTCAGTTGATGAGAAACAACACCCAAATGTTCAGACTGAAGACCACATACCCAGGGTAACCTGGGTGCTTTCAGCATATATTGGCAACATGGAAAGACTGTTCGGCTGACTTTTGTAATTCCTCAGGGCCTACATTGTCTGTATTCCCAAAGACACTACATTCTGGGGTCTGCTTTGGCCCCGTTTTCCATGACTAATCATTTCAGTTCTATACTTAGAGCAGATCAAAACTGTGCTTATCTTAATAAAACATTATCGTGGTTTACTGGATCTCTTCCTTTACAGCACGCATACACCAGAAAATGTAATTTAGCCTAGACAAAGATTCAAGGAGCCATCCAATTACAGGCAAACACCTGGAAATTTCACAGAACTAAGATGCGGCATTCAGTCTTTTTACCACATAAGCTCTGCAAATATACCTGCTGCACACTGAGAAATAAAGAGCACATACTGAAAGAACTGTGTCTTCCCTCCATTACGAAAATCATACTTATAATCCATTAAAAAGCTCAAAAGGCTGTACACAACTATATGTGCAGCTATACACACAGACACACAAAGTTACCCATATTCCTGAGTTCTCATACAGGAATGGTCAAAAGTGGTGTTACAAGTTAAGGGCAAAGACAGGAGATAGTCTTAACATGGTACAAAAATAAAACACAATGTATGTGAAATACAAGAAATGAAGAGAAGCATGTGTAAGACTTCATCCGTGTTACTCGCTATGCAACAGCAGGGCCAGGCCTGGTGGCCCTGTGAGATCGGCCCTGTAGTGCACTGGAGGAAGAATCAATTTGAGATATGCCTTGTAGGAAGTGAAAAATATTTACTCTAAAATCAAGATTTTAAAATTAATCCTATGAATTCCATGGTTCTCTCTGCTGAGCTTCTCTCCATCCCTGTGTATGTGCAGATCATTCCTGTCAATCCCAATTACAGGTCTGGAAGCTGATATCAAGTCAACAGTACATTCATAAGAACACCTGGATTTTAACTGCCACTTTCTGGTGTTCTAAAACAATTTTTAAAAAGTACTGGTTTCCCTCCCTGCTCCTCATCTTTCTGCCCCCAAGTGTGCACTCTGCCTGACCCTCCCTACCCCCTACCCCCTTACCCCCTCACTCATTCACACACACATATACTTTTCCAAAAGGTATGCGGGGGGCAACGGGCAGACAGCAAGCACTGCAAACACCACACCCACCGCACCATTCCACTAGGTATCTGTTTTCTCACCTCACTCTTCTAAGTTCTAAGAAAGCCCCCACTTGCCTACAGACAGAGGCAGAAAGAAAGGAGACAAGACACCAATGCAATCACTTGGTTCTTGGGTATATTCTGTACTTCATGACATCGCTTCATCTGAAAGACATGCTGTGGCTATTCTCTCAGGAGAAACAAGGCGCCTTCAGCAAAACTGCAGTACAATCAGCACTGACAAGGACCCAAAGAATTACTAACACTCCATTTCTTTTCATGAGAAGTCAAGTAATTGCAGCATGTTTTAAAGATATCAAATTACTACATAACTACTTGTAACAAAATCACCCATCCACCATACGGTATTAAAAAGAAATCTACTGTTTTACAGAAGAGGCCAAACCCAGGCGCCCAGCCTCTGGTAGGCCTCCTCACCATTCATACCATGAACACTGCCGGGTGCATGTGGGTATCCAGCACTTCTGCCCAGGCAGCCCAGTGAGACTGGTTCTCTTTCTCCCTCTGCCCTCCTTCTCCTTCCAGTTCATCTCACCCTTCAGCCTCCTGTGATGTTCCGAGAGAGGTGCTTTCCTGCAGGAGGCTGGGCCTTCAACCCATGGCCTCAAGTACCCCTAACCCGTCTCCCAGGGCCACTGACTGAATGCCCTCCAGCCCTTGAGCCCTCTTCCCAGTGTCTTCCTTTTCACCCCAGTCGTGGGCTCTCCCCACTTCACCTCACTACTACCCTTTGTTGTGCTGCTGTCAAACAGCAGCTCCACGAGGGGTACCCAGGCCAGGCCACAACAGGATGGGGACCTGCTCTACCCCACAAACACTCAAAACTGGTGAGCAGCATTTCTCAAGACAGACAGTCCGAGGACAACAGGCGCCTGGCATCAAGGCCCCTCCAGACAAAGGCAGGCAGGCTTTGGGGAATGGGCTCAGCCTCACAGAGAAGTGATTCTCGGCACCACCAGCCCCTAAACACCCTTTGCCAGAAGTGGGGCCTCGTTTGCTAACTAAATACAGAAGGAACCAGCCCTGCCAAATTGCAGAATTACAGGGAAGGGGAGAGTAGAAAGAAAAGCATCTCCCCATATTATACGCTTGTGCTTACAAAGAAGCCTACTGTTAGAACTCTCATTTGGGATTTGGTCTAAACTAAAGAGACACACAGAGCAAAGAAACCCTGAGTAAGACAACTAGCTTGGTCCTCAACTTAACCCCAACTAGGTTTAACCAATAGATACAGCTCCAGTTTAAAATCAAACAATTACCTATATGTGAACCTACAAAAATACCTGCATTCATACCTGTATATCTGAGTTTTCTTTTAAGCTGAAAGCTCAGCAACTCTACACAGAAACAGAACCAAAAGGATCAATGGAAGCTTTTGTCCTCTCCAAATTTTACACAATGAAAATATTTAAAGCTAAACTCCCTGACTTAAGACCGCGAGATGGAAGTAAGGGAGGGAGCACACTGACTGACTCTAATTTGAGAGAGGTAAGAAGCAAGGATGGACACTCCCCTCAGGTATCTGCTCCCCCTAAAACAAGGCCCCCGACCACAGTGCTGCCAGAGCCAGCTTCATGCTCCCAGGTTTCTGTGAGTCCCATTCTTCTGAATAGACTTGAAATGACTCTCACTTGGTAAACAACCTGCGGCCACCTGGCTTTTAGTTGTAACTATTCTAACTCATGGGGGGAAATGTAGTTTCTGAAAAAAGTAGGGAAAAAAAATCAGTGAACAAACGTTATTTTGGGACACAGACAATAAAACTAATAAAGCATCTTTCATTCGCAAAGTACACATTACAACATTTTTAAAGGATAAGATAATAGACCTTAAAAAGAGCATATTGAAGCAAAAATGTGGTTAAACAGCTTCCATACATTTGTCTTTGTAAAATAAACATTTGCTCCCCGTAAAGCCACCCTACAAATGAAAAAGCAGTGGTCATGTAATAAACCAAAATGTTTGTAAAGCAAATGAAAGAGACCACGTATCAGCAGATGTGCTCAAGGCAGCACCGGGTGGTACGAGGAGCCCGGGGCGGGCACAGGGGGAGTGGGACATGCTATGTGGACCACTCCACTTCCACCCACGTGGAAATCAAAGCAAACTTCACATGACTTCTAGGCCAGCTGCGTTTATTTATTTATTTTAAGATCAGCTGAATTTAAGACTGAAAGGCCAGCTGTGTTTAATACAGCAGCACTGGCGGGAGAGAGATAAGGCTTTGGTCGTACCACAGAGTGATCGTGAAAAATAAAGGACCTTACCTCCAAGCATCACCACCTAAGAAAGCAGCTCCTTCAGACAGTATAAAAAGAACTTGCCTTTATTTCTGGGGGCCCAACAGTGCTCACACCCACAGTTCAACAGTGACAGGAATGCAAAAGTCCTTTCCTTTGCATAAACAAGAAATTCATGATGGGGTTATTTTTTCCATACAGAGACCAGCTCATTATTTTTAAAATGCATCTGCCTCGGAAATTTACACAAAATAGGACTACAAGGTGCCAAAGTGATGTGGGTACTTGCAAGAGAACTTCACAGAACTATGAAACTTACTGAAATGAGTACAAGAAATAAAATGCTAAACGAGGTCAGTCAAGTACAAATGCTGCTTGTTAAGGATTTTAGAAGTCTGTGTTCTACTCTAAACATGGAAGATCTCATAGTTGCTAAATACTAAGAACTGTACAAAGAAAAAAGTCCACTGCATGTTTTTCCCAACTTCAGAGTCGACGCAAGCTGTACGACTTTGAATGGTTTGGGAGAGTTTTTATGCATGCTCCTGGAAAGAAAATATGAATTTTCCAAACCCACCCTCCTAAACTAGAGGCAGCTCAACTAAGAAAAACCCCTGACTCTTGCAGAAGCCTCTTACTGCTGTCACGGGGGCATCACTCACTCTGTGCTCCCAGAAGACCACCCACGCAACTGAGGTTCCGCCACCATTTCTTCCATTAGCATGATGCAGAACAGGCCAGCTCACCTCCTACATCAGAAAATGCCACGGACATGTCCCATGACTGACCTTGCAGAGGCAGGGCCTGTGACAAGAGACCAGCAAATGGCAACATCCAAGCCCCATTGCCTGCACCCCTCCGAAAGCAAAGGAGGGCACCTCCCGGCGTGGCCCAGCTGGTGCGCTGCAGCCTCACACGAAGAAAGTCACTGTGCGGCTCCCCAGACAGAGAATAAGCCTGGGACTAATGCAGCCACGGATTGACAGTGGCATGAGTTCTATTATTACCCCATTATCACTCTGGGATCTGTGCCTAAATGAAGCATGCTTCCTCCCTGATGCCATTTCCTTTTATCCTGGCTGGAGACTAAAAGCGGATCAATGGGGGCAATACATATGATGTCACTTCAATTTACAGCCACGGCCTCCCCCTCTCCAGTCTGTCTGAAACACACAGAAAGATCAATTCTTCCCAAAAATGGTTAAAAAATGCTTAGGGAGCATTCTTCTTCCAGAAAAGCATTCTCTGCTATATTTGTCTATGTTACTACGCAGGGAACTGTTTACATGGAACAAAAACAGAAGAAACGGTGGGGGTGGGGGAAATCTCAAATTCTGTATGCTGGAGACTTGCTGGCTGAAATTCAACACAAGCAGGGTCCTTTGAAAGTCACATGCAGGCGGCCTTCGGGCAGGGGCACAATAGAAACCAGTTTTCTTTTGCCCCTTGGATTAAAAAGGTGATCCCACTGACATAAAATATCTTTCATTTTTATCAAGTTCCCCCAAAGGCTGACAAATCCCCTTTCACTCTTCCCAGAAAACACACCCACCACCTTAGCAGACCCTCAGGTTGCCCCTTCAGTCCACAGGAATGGGAGGAAACAGCTTCTAATCACACAGTGCCCTCATTAAAGGAGACAGAAAGCTTGGCTACAGGACACGAGACAGAACTTATAAACTAAGTCATCTTCCAGACTCGGCTCTGAACCAAATAAAACACAGTGAAAATCTATACGCTGCATAAATTTTCACATGGTGCTTTTTGCCAATAAGGCAAAATTAAGATATAATCAATGAAGTTCCTCAAAACAAAACCAAGAGTTCTCCCTCCTCATAATCCAAAAAGAAACAGAAAACGTTCAGAGCCACAGAACCCAGGTGCAGTCACCCCTTACTGCCCACACACTAGCCAGGCCACAGTCTTCAATAAATGGTCTTCTTCCATCTGTTACTTTTTAAATGATAAACATTTCTAAGAAACAAAAGTAGACAACTTAATAATACATACACATATCAGGTGTCTGCCCAAGAGCCTGCCTACTAGGATATCATGACAGAAATGAAATATATTTATTCTAAATTAGTAATTTGTATAATGGAAAAATACAATTGGTTTGAATTGCTGCTGAAAACACAATTCAGAAAAGAAAAACCTTTATATGTTGAAGCAAAAACTTAACATATTTTAAAGAATTGCCGAAACTTACAAGTAGAAGTCTCTACTGTTCACATTATTTGTGGGGCATAAAATTGGATTTGCCAGCAAAGGAAGCCACCAAATAATTAAGAGGAAAAAAATTTTCTTCAAAATAAAGAAAATCAATCAATTGGTGCATATTTGTCTAGCAGAATCAGTTATTTCTGATTATCAAACATCTTTAGGGAGTATGTCTATAAACAAATTTTGGAAAGAAAATTCAAGTAGCAGCAAATATTCATATAGCTCATTTTATACAAAGAAAAGCATATTTATTAGATTTTTGGGAAATTCTAATAGTTACAGTTCAAAAAGATTACTACAAACTTTGAGCCATGGTTTGCTTGTGGAGTTTCTAAAAGTGGCACCACAGAACCTAAAACAGACACATACCATCATTCGCAAATACTATCTGAAATAATTTACTGGCATAAATAATTCTCATGTTTCCAGATTGTAAGTGTCAAATGTTCCCGTGCTATTATTCCCCTAACTCTTGTTAAAAGCATACACTATATGCAATCTAACACAAAGCATATTATTTAAATGATGAAACATGCAATCCTCTGGTCAACTGGATCTCTTACAACCACGTGTACATTAATATTTTATGTTATTATATATGTTGGAAGCATCATAAACACTCAAATTGAAAATTTCCAAGTATTTCACAAGAGATGTGTGGGATCCTTGTGTCCACCTCCCCAACCCCAGATCCTGCCAGACCAATTACAAGGGGCCAAAGGGAAAACATTCCTGATCTATGCTTCTCAAGAAAATAATCACTCATGAAAAAGAAACTAAATTCCTAAGTGATTCTGTCTATTCACCCTGCCATGACAACAATGGCATGTTCAATATATGCCTGAATATTTCTAAAGAAATTGGAATACTTTAAAGTATCAGAATATTCCTAACTTTTCTTGTATTCACATTTTCATAAAAATTTCCTTCTTTTTGTTTCCTTAGAATTAATGCTTTTGCCACAAGTGGTAGCTCACACCTGTAATCCCAGCACTCTGGGAGGTCTAGACAGGAGAATGGCTTGAGCTCAGGAGTTTCAGACCAGCCTGAGCAACACAGTGAGACCTCGCTCCCTACCCACCCCCAAAATTAGGTGTGGTGATATGCATCTGTAGTCCCAGCTATTTGGGAGGCTGAAGTGGGAGGATCATCTGAGCCCTGGAGTTGGAGGCTGCGGTGAGCTATGATTAATCCAGTAGACTTCAGCCTGGGCAACAGAGCAAGACTCTGTATCCAACAACAACAACAACAACAACAACAACAAAAATGAATTAATGCTCTTACCTAAATTAATAACAGTGTACGTAATATACTTGTTGTATTTATCTTGAAGGAGAGTATACATTTTATAATTCTGAGTTCCTAATTTACAAACAGTGACATTTGCTAGCTCCAATTCTAGTTATACATTAACTTATAACCCCCTAAGGCCCAGCATATGAGTATACCTTTACTGTAAAAAAACGGTTGGTTGAGTATATGAATCAAAACATCCTATATGGTATGTAGCCATGCAATGGAATACTATGTAGCTATTAAAAAGAATGAGATGGAATTATTTTTGTAATATAGGAAGATGGCAAGAAATGTTTTTAGAAAAAAGGTTCAGAATAAAATGTAAACTATGGTTCAATTTGTGTAAATTACATTCTAAAGATACATAATAAGAAAATAAGGAATGCTTTGTGTCAACTGTTTCTCCGAGTAACCTACCTGAACTCTCTGGCTTCCCCTCTGTCCATTTTTCTGCTTCCAGCTGAAGCTGAAATATTTTTCTTAAATCATGCTACAAGTATTTCCTAATAATTCACTTAAAAGAGAGATCTACTTTATGAAGAAATTCATTACCACAACCAAACCTAAGAACACTGAAAATAATTAAAGCATGTGCTCTAACAAAGTACTGAACCAGGCAACTGGAAACCAGGGGTTTCTCTAAAGCTGGCCCGGTAGGTATGGGAAGACCTCCTAGCACTAAGTGTGCACCGAGAAACCTATCATTGTCTCTCTAGTCTTAGTCATAACATTTTAACATTGGTTCTGTGCAAGCAGCAATCAAGAACTGGAAGAATTTAAAATTTTCCAAATATTCTGTAAACAGATATATAGGAAGCACAGTGTCAAACAGTCACATGCTCAGGTTTTTAGGCTGTTACTTACAATACTAACAAATTATAAAATATATTCAGATTTTTTTTCCAAGGGAAAAAACCAGTAATTTCATCCAAACCCAGAATTTCTTCCTTTCTATAACTTCCTATATTACTCCAATATGTCAAAAATCACAATCAGATGGTCTGTGTAGGATTATTCATTACAAATTTAGTAATTTTAGTTAATAATTTATCAACACGATTCTTCTTTGGTTAAATGTTTTTTATACAGCCCTATATTCCTGGTGAATAGTAATCTATACTATGCACAAAATTACTGTGTTCATATGGACAAATAGGCAATCATCACTAACATTCAGTGTGATAATATGGTTTTTCCTCTAAATTAGAAGGGATTAGCAAATGGGGAAAAAACTCAGCTCTTACAGAAAATACCTATCTTCAGAATTTTATGTACAGAAAATAGGATCCTCTCCTTTTGAGTTTAAACAAGGAATAACCGAGTTCAAAGAAAACTATATTTTAACTTCTATAAAAGGAATATACATTTTTAAGGCTGTGTCTTAAATACTGGAACCAGATTTTGCTCATGTCATGTGCTATCTACCCCCATCCTTGATAGTCAAATGTTTATCACATTGAAATAAACGACTTAATGCCCAATATAGTAAGAAGAAATAATAAGGTAACAATGTCTGCAAGAATAGCTGTCAATTAACAATCTGGTGATTTAAAAGAATTTATTAAAAGCAAATTTATATAGCAACACATGAAAATTCAGACCAGGAGTGGTTCTCATTCCTCAACTAGAACATATCTAAAAAATACAAATTTATCAACTTAAAAAGTTTCATAGGCCAGGCACGGTGGCTCACGCCTGTAATCCCAGCACTTTGGGAGGCCGAGGTGGGCAGATCACGAGGTCAGGAGATCAAGACCATCCTGGCTAACACAGTGAAACCCTGTCTCTACTAAAAATACAAAAAATGAGCCGGGTGTGGTGGCAGGCGCCTGTAGTCCCAGCTACTTGGGAGGCAGAGGCAGGAGAATGGCGTGAACCTGGGAGGCAGAGCTTGCAGTGAGCCAAGATTGTGCCACTGCACTCCAGCCTGGGCAAAAGAGTGAGACTCCGTCTCAAAAAAAAAAAAAAAGTTTCATAAACATTCTTTACAGTACAGATCTGGTTAATTATTCTTCATATTTAAAAAGCTAATGGTAAAATGACTGAAAATGCCTCTTTAATTATAACAAACTGCAATCAATGAAATGATAGCTCTGCAATTTTTTAAAAAGCAAATAGATGGGCTGTATGAGGAGTTATAACAATCTAGTTTGCTTTATGTGCAAAAACTCAACTGTATGTCTTAGAAAGATCTCTCCCTTTGCCTTCCATAGTCTCCTTGTTAAAACTTACTATTAACGATTAAGGGTTTTTTAAAATCAAAACTCACAGTTAAAAAAAAAAAGTATGGCTGGGCACAGTGGCTCACTCCTGTAATCCCAACATTTTGGGAGGCCGAGGCAGATAGATCACAAGGTCAAGAGATCGAGACCATCCTGGCCAACATGGTGAAACGCCATCTCTACTAAAAATACAAAAATTAGCTGGGTGTGGTGGCGCGCACCTGTAGTCCCAGCTACTCGGGAGGCTGAGGCAGAAGAATCACTCGAACCTGGGAGGCGGAGGTTGCAGTGAGTCGAGATCACGCCATTGCACTTCAGCCTGGGCGACAGAGCGAGACTCCGTCTCAAAAAAAAAAAAAAAAAAGTAAGCCACAAAAACATTTTAGAGATAACAACATAATAGTTGCTAAGTGAGAAAAAGAATAGCAACAGAAGGACAGAGAAACCAAGTCAACCACTCCGATCCTCAGGTGAGGCAAGTGATTCAAGTATGGACACACACATACACTCTTAGCAAATTCTGAAGCAGGAAACATAATTTATAAATTATTTTCACTCTTGGGTATTTATTCTGGAGTCGGAAACACTAACATTCCATTACTCCCAGTTCCTGTCCTTTCTTGTGCATAGACACACAGTCAAGACAACATAAATATTTTTTTGGTCACATTTTATTTTCTAATATTCTTTATTTTCTACCAAATCCAAACTAAGCATAAATTTTAGCCACATGTCTACAATTTGTCAGGTGGTTTCTGCCACCAAGTTGACAAAGCAACCTGTCCATTTGTAAGGAGAGCCGACCACAACTAAGGAGCAGGGGGGAGGTGGTGAGGTGAGTCCAACTACATGAAGGATTGCTGGAAAAATAATGGAAGTTGTTTTCATTTAATAAAAATGTGTGGAGAGTACTGTACAATCTCCTATCCAAAGTTTCAGTTTTATTTCACAGAATGATTTAATGTCTACAAGGCATAGGAGTCACATTTCCTCCAAATTCTGCAGTTTTGGATTCTCGTCCACACAGTTTACACACTAGATTAACTGTGAAAAGTGTTATGAGGAATAGAGCAAAGGATTAATTCCTTAACAGCCTCTTGGACATGTAAGGAAATTCATGCTACTGAAAATAAAATGGATTTAATTTCAGGAGAACAAGGGCAGAAGTCTCAGATTTCAAGAAATGTTTAATTTTCCTACATTACATAGGACAGAAAAGGCTGCCTTGCCAATGTGTGAGAGGTGATGCGAACAACATCGAGTCTGTTTGCCCTTAAGTTACACATTTTGCACAAATAGCTGAATAATTCATTAATTTAGATACTGCCCATCACGACAGAAACTATTTCCAAGGAAACAAGTAGACTGAAATAGCGTTATAAAAATGTTCTTTTATGGCAAAACGTCACTTTACTGCTATGAGTTTAGACATAATCTTAGTTCTACTGTGAGTTCCAGCCTGGACCCAGAGCCTGGAGCAGCCTGAAGTTGATAGGGGAGCAGGGGATCTGAAATGCGACTTTGCTGCCAAAAAAGTATTCTCTTACATAATTTCAAGTACTTGATAGTCAATCAACGAGTCTTCAAAAATGCAAAATGGATACTCACAAGTGGTGGTTAACTATGGATCTAAAATCCTGGTAGGTCTTTTCATAGGCGTTGGCATGAACATGATTAAAACCTAAGATGTGCTTTCTAGCAATAATCTAAATTCTCAAATGTATGCAAGACTTCAGGAAATTTGTTTAGAAAAATTTCGCAAAAATGGTTAAGTTTTAGAATTTCTAGTATTTTTGTATCTTCCTTTACATATGTAAAATGTGCTCCTATAAGAAAAAGTATTTTATTGGAATTTTACTTTGATGTTAAAATGTAACATTTCCTATAACTTCCCGAAGTTACAGGAATAACATTTCTGAGCTTTCTGATTATTTAAATTTTAATGGAAAATAGTCTATAGAAAACCATACTTTCCGTCCCTCCCCTCAGTATTCCCATTTATCTGCAGAAATAAGAATTTATCTTTTAAAAAGAGGCTAAAATGAAACACAGGCTTTTAATTGTTTTTCTTATATAAATTAAGCTGAAAAAGAAAAACTTTTAAAAATGCTCCTGTGGCTACTGCTTGCATCCCGCATTTTTACAGAATTTCCCTTTAACATATCAAAGTTCCAACAGAGCAACTATAATCTCCACCTTTACTCCAAAGTGAAGCTTGACTCCTTTAAAACAAACCAGCTTGAAAAACCAGTGAGCACAGATCCTCAAAAAGTAAAGTGGATAAACAAACTTTAAAATTTCTAAGAACCACTTTTCTGCTGATTTCACAGTATAGATTCTCATCTCGGAATTTAACAAGTAAGAGCTAACTCTGACAGAGAAATGTTTGAAAACTCACAGGCTGCTCCTCTCTGTGGAGCCCAGCCCTCTCCCCTGGAGCCGGAGTCTAGAGCAGGCTTCTCCCGGCGGCAGTGCAGGCGAGGTCCCGTCGGGTGAACGCGCGCGTGGCTGCAGAAATCCCAAGCCTGAGCCCGCAAGGTATGTCACTTTCTCCCTGCTGGATTTGTCCTTCGTGTGAACTTTCTTGATAGCCCCAGAACGTGTGTTTGCCTGGCCTTTTTGATTTGAAGGCCTGGTAAATAAAACACGCACGAAATCACAATTCCGACGCCTATGCCCTTGAATCACTCTGAATTTAAAAGGTTTACCGCCAGCTTGGAAGCAAGAAAGCACAAGCAGTAGCCACTCAGCAACGTCCCAAAGCGCGCCCGAGGGACATAGCAGCCCCGCTCCCGTCCCTGCGTGTCACCTGGGCGGCGGCAGCGCGGACTGGGAGCCGAGGGCAGGCGTGGGCGGAGAGCCTGCGCTGTTCTGGTCCCGGCCGCCGCGGCCGGAGGGGTGGGCCGTGGTCGGTCCCGGTGCTGTCAGTCTCCCGGCCAGGTCCCGCGCCCGTGAGTATCTCGGCCGCCGGCACCTCGCCCCGCCCCTGCGCCCCAGGCCCCGCCTCACCCCGCCCCGCCCCGGATGGGCCGCTCCCACCCGGCAATTAGGCAATTACTCTAATGAGAAGTTCTCATCTCAGCACTTCAACAAGGTACAAACCAGCCCCAACACAGCCGGCAATTCAAATGGCTTTGAGAACAAAGGCAGTCATAGCTGTAGCAATTTCTCCTCTCACTTACACAATGTGAGGACTTTCTCTCTTTGCATATGGTATTTAAGAAAAAAAGTTTAAAACTATAGCATACATGCCATTTCACAAGGATATTAGTATTACTGTGGCAAAACATCAGACCTGGCCGGCTGCAACTGAAAAAAAAAAAAACTTACCAATAAATACATAAATAAATTTTTAAGTTTGGTCCCTCCTGCAGAACAAATGTTCCTGGACCACCTGGTGGAAATCAGCAACATGCTGAGGTGTGAGAGGACTGTTTTCTTATAGCTTATATCATGTGAATAAAAGAGCAACAAACCACCCAGGGCAGCTTTCTGTAAGAATAAACAATTTATACAATTCTTAATCAGCACTGGTGGAGGTCGCTAACTGTTCACACTAAAATCAGAAAAAAACAAAATGCCAGAGATAAGTTTTCTGTATGCAAGGACAGCTTTAATGGTTAATTACTGGTATCTTCATCCTAAACAACCAGAACATTTGCATGGCAAACAAGAAACCCATCTCATTTCCAATCTTGCAGCAATCTCAGTAGATAAAAGTCACCAGAATCGACCCCAACAACAAAATCAAAAACTCCAACAAGGATTAAGAGGAATGTGATTTATTGAGAATAAGTGAGAGGTAGGTATTCCTAGAATGCACTTCAATCAAAAACAGAAAGATGTGGCCCCAAACCACAGGATAGGGACCCACCTCAGGAAGGGAACTGATCAGGGCAGTTTTCCCTAGAAAACTGTAATAGTCCATTCACAAGTTCTGCATGTTAAACTCTTCATTCTAATTTAAAATGTAATTAGAATGTTGTAGATGAGAAAAATTATAATTAAAACATGCTTAGAAAAATAAAACATCAAAAACAAAGCCTTCTTATACTTTGACAATACTGATTTGATCTTTAAATAATCTGCATCCATTTAAAAGAATTACTGAACAAAGTTTACGTGAAAGGTTAAAAAAAATCAGGCAATGAACTACTGAATGGAGGAATATTAAAACCCCACCACTATAAAAACTTCGCATTAAATAGGCTGAGAGTCTTCCACTTTCAAACTGTATATTTTTCAAAAACAGATTTAAATTTTTAAAACACTTCAGGTAAGTATGGCTTTCAGTCCCATTCCATGCATTTATAAAATGTGAGCTAAAATATCTCCATCTAAAAGTCAAGAAAATCCTAAACTGTTCATGTGATAGAAAACTTAGTACCTTATTTTCTTACAAAATGCCATGTTTGGCAACTAAATTTGCCTCTCTAAATATTAATATGACAAATAGCTGAATACAATTTAAATTGTAATAACCACTTTAAAAGTTAATCCTTTTTTAAACAAGAAAATTAACAGATTTTAAGTTAAAACAAGCAGAATAAGAAACAATTAAAGTGAGTACTTTCAAATGCTAATATGTCTACCTTAACTTACAACTTTAGTTTCCTGAAGTAAGATGACATTCTTACATACTTAAAACTAAGAAAATCAGGTGTCTGGGAAGTAAAAATATAGAAATGACTCCCAAACACTTGTTCTGCAGATGAAATAAACACGGTGAGCAACTGAGAACCTAGGGAGAAAACTCCTTCAGAGAAAATGTAACACTCCCAAAAAACTTATCCTTCCCTATGTTCCCCACACTCCCAGGTCTAGAAGTCGTTCTTAGCTGGGTCGATCTCTTCGTGTACAGCACACAACACTCCCCTTTAAATGTTAAGAACACTAATAAGCTTTATGCATGTTTTCAAATGCATAAGAACATTACAATTAAATATAATTCCCTTAAAAATTATGTCAGTTTGAAAAATTCTTATCTACCTTTAAAAAACAAACATTCTTTAATGAGAGACAGAAATAAAGAAGTTTTACAAAATACACCAAAACATTCTTGGCAAAAGTAAATCTCCACTTCAGGTACCTACGCTATCAGCCTCATCGCTCACACAAACATTTTAGCATGTACTTTTAAAAGCAAAAAGCCACTGCCGATTAAGTTGGTCAAATTTGCAATTCTGCTTTCAACTAAAAGGTAGAGAGTAAGCCTTTGGGATAAGCCACAAAAGGTCTTGAGAGTATTTCCATTTCAGATAAGCAGTTCTCACTAACATCACAGATTTAACTTATCAAATGATTCCGACACTATTTGTTCACGCCATTTTTATAATCTCCATTTTGCTTTTCGGAAGTTGAATCAGTGGCCCTAGTCCACTGACATTTTTTTAAAGAACCCGTATCTGGGAACCCATAGCTTCCTTTCTAGGCCCAGCGCAGTCCTCTGCTGGCCAGCAGTGCTCGTGCCACCTGAGCACCTACCCTGCGTTCCTACCGTTGTTCAAAGTGGAGGTGGCGGCGCCTTCCCAAGGCATTTCCAAAGCAAATCCCCGAACACCACTCTCCATTCCGCAGGGGCCGGCAGCGTGATGCTGCCTGAAATCTACTGGTACTGCTCCCCTCTCAACTGGCCTCAAGTTCGTTTAATGAGGGTTAGGGGAGCTACGTTACATGGACATCTATCTGTCCCTGGAGCACCTCTGTGAAGGCTTAAAGCATGACCTATTTAAATTAGAAGCACGAGGACCACAATCATCCATAGAAAAAAAAGAAAACACCTGGCCCTTAGGAGAGGGCAGCTGCTGTACAGCAATCCTTGACACGAGTAACTGGTTCTGAAGCCAAGGCCCCAGGGTGGGTGCAAGGGTCCCGACCCAGAGCCCTCCGCGGAGAGGACCCAGCCACCAGCATCCTTGACCGCACTGGAAGGTGCGGGAAGACCGGAACAAGAAGGCTTTAGAAAAACTCAGGCGTGTCCAAAAGCCTGGCTCCAAAGCTGGGAGCACACCTAACACAAGGAGGTTTTAACAAAAGCAAGTCGCGCTGGACCTGGGGCCTCTCACCGACCCCTGTCCGCAGTGGACGCAGCGGAGGCCCGCCGGGTGCAGGGGCGCGCCCCAGCCTGCAGCCGCCCCAAGGCGTCCCCAGCCCGCATCCCTCCTGCGCCTGCGGAGCTGCACTGCCGGGACACGGGTCCGCCCGCTGCAGGCGATGACACTCCCTCTTTAAAACCTGTCGTCCTTTCCTCCAAGCACAGTGATTTCGCAGACGCTAGGGGCGCCGTTGGCTGGAGAGTAACCCGGACCAGGGTCTAATCCTGCCTGGCTACTCACCTTGTGACCTTGGGCACAAGCGCTGTGACGCCCAACTCTCCAGGGTGTCAGGAAACAGCACCGTCCTTGGCGCGCCCTTTCTGGCTAAAGACCCCTGTTTCTGAGCATGAATATAAAATGGGCCACCCTCTTCCCCACGTTCCTTCAACACCAACTCTGCACAGCCTGAGATGTGTGCCGAGAGGGACTGACGCAACCCATGATCCTACCAAATGTAACCCTCAAATGTAAACTACAGGTGCCAAGTAAGCTCTCCACTCTCCCCCTTCCCCCACTGCCAGCGCCTCTCTAGTGCAGGCCCTAGGGGCACACCAGCCCTGCCTTACCACCAGGTGGGTTCCCTGACTCCCACCCTGCACTTCTCTCTGGCTGGGGACTGAAACAGTGACATGTATGCCCTATGTGTGCAGGTCACTATGCTCATTTCCAGTCCCAGTCCACTCCTCAGCCCTTCAACAAACCTTTCTGCAGCCTTCTCAGCCCTCTGCCTGGAATGCCCTCTACTCAAATCACTATTCAAGGGGTCACGTTTTTCAAGAACCCTTCACCAATCTTACCCTTCCAGATGCAGAATTTGCTTCATGGGTTTTACTCTCATTCATTTTCACGTGGGCTGTTACGCTATTCTGCCATACAACAGAATTATCGGAGTGCTGCTGCGCATGATGCTCCCATTTCTGAGCTCCTTGCAGGTCTGGGATGTCTTTACTTTTAATCCCCCCTCACTCCCACCCCCACCTGCATCCAGCGGAGCCAGTTTTGAATTAATGTAACCTTCTTGTAGCAGGATCTAAGTTTCCATTTGTGCCCATTAGCAGTGATTCTTAGCAACTAAATGATGAAAATATGTTAAAATAGAATCAACTTTAAAAGACAAATTAAAAGATAATACTTTTTTTAAGCCTTGTACCATTAATTTCACAGGCAAAGAAAACCATTACAGGTAAATGTCTTATCTGTTTCAGGGACATTTTCCCTAGGAAGCTGTTGACAGCTTAACCTCGGCAGCTCTGCTTTATGCAAATGCAGATGGTGCTTTTCTCCCAGAGAACTTCGCACGTGTTATCTCAGTTGACTTTGCAATGGCCTTGTAGACAGGAACACATGTTACCCACAGTCTTAGATGACTGGGGAAAGAGAACACAGGAAGGTCAAGCCACTTAATACACCATATGTACACAGCGGTTACAACTATGTAAAAATTTTGCTGAGGCTGGTGGATCATGTGGGCCCACGAGTTTGAGATCAGACTGGGCCAAAACTCTGTCTCTACAAAACATACAAAAATTAGCCAGGCATGGTGGCATGCGCCTGTAGTCCCAGCTACTTGGGAGGCTGAGGTGGGAGGATTGCTTGAGTCCGGAAGGTTAAGGCTGCACTGTGCCCTCATCTTGCCACTTGTATTCCAGCCTGGGTGACAAACTGAGATCCTGTCTCAAAAACAAAACAAAACAAAACAAACCTAAAAATTATACAGATGTGTGCACAAAAAAGGATGTTTACAATGTTAAAACTGGAGTATCATTTTAACTGGAAGTTTTCCTATGTTAGTACAAATTATAAAATAAAAAATTTCACAAGACAAAGCAAACGATTAACTCAATTATTCACAAGTCAATAAAACTATAACTGAATCATTCTTTTAAATAGAAATGCCAATTTCCTTCAAACTAAAACCATAAATTAGTTTTATGTCACACTGAAAATTTCTCTTTATGTCAGCAGTTGGCATGTTAGCTATTACAGTGTAACAGAAACTTCATTTAAGCGAAATGCAAATGACTTTTTCTACTATAATAGCATATATCTGTATATGTGCATATACAGATGTATCTGTACATATATACAGATATATATGTATATATATATCTGTATATATCTGTATATATATGCACATATACAGATACATATGCACATATACATTTTCCTGATGGTAGTTATGAGAAGCTGTAAGAAAACTACAAAACTACTAACTACCTCCCACCTTTTCTTATTTTTGTGTAGATGAGGTGGCTGGGGGGTCTCAGTTTGTTGCCCAGGCCGATCTCGAACTCCTGGGCTAAAGAGATCCTCTTGCCTTGATCTCCCAAAGTGCTGACATTACAGGTATGGGCCACTGCACCCTGCCAAAAAACCCCTACCTAATACTACACTCTGTATTTGTCAACTATCAAACCCTATGAACTCCCCAATTCACTACCCTTTACATTATCAACATCCTCTGAGGTTGTAGGCAGGATAATGGCCACATTACCTGGCAAAAGGGAATTAAAATTACAGATGGATTAAGGCTGCTAATCAACTATTAGATTACCCTGGATTATACAGGTGGGCTCAACGTAAGCATAAGTGTCCATATAAGTAGAAAAGGCAGGCAAGAGAGAGAACCAAAAAGACAGCAGTGTGAGAAGGACTTGGCCAAACCATGCTAGCTTTAAAGATGGAGGAAGGGGCCATGAACCAAGGAATACAGGCAATCCTAAAAGCTAGACAAGGCCAGGAACTAGATTCTCTCCTAGAGCCTACAGAAAGAAAGTGCTGCGGACACCCTGACATTAGCTAATGAAGGCTGATGTTGGACTTCTGACCTCCAGATACTATAATAAATTTGTTTTAAGCCACAATATTTGTAGTAATTTGTTAAGACACAATAGGAAATTAATACATCTGAGTTCCAAGTTCCTCATAATCAATGTCATTGCTTCTTAGCCTGTTTGGTGCAACACCTAAGGACAATGACATCCTTTATTTTTATTTATTTATTTATGTATTTATGTATTTATTTATTTATTTATTTATTTATTTTTGAGACAGAGTCTCGCTCCGTTGCCCAGGCTGGAGTGCAGTGGCGCAATCTCGGCTCACTGCAAGCTCTGCCTCCTGGGTTCATGCCACTCTCCTGCCTCAGCCTCCCGAGTAGCTGGGACTACAGGTGTCTGCCACCACGCCCAGCTAATTTTTTGCATTTTTAGTGGAGATGGGGTTTCACCCTGTTAGCCAGGATGGTCTTGATCTCCTGACCTCGTGATCCGCCCGCCTCGGCCTCCCAAAGTGCTGGGATTACAGGCATGAGCCACCGCGCCTGGCCAATGACATCCTTTAAAAGCTCTTGGCTACACTTGAATTCATCAGTTTCCTTTTAAAAGAGGAAGGTTTCTTCCCGTTCCCTCCCAGATCCCTAAGTGTGCTGCTTTATAGATGATTTCAGGCTCAGTTCTGAAGGTTGAAGAGTTTGTTGGGTTTGGGGGGAGGGGAGAAAAGGCGGCTAGATAGGAGGTCTACGGGCCTTCTGGGTCCGGTTCTTTAACTGCTCTGCTGCTTTTATAGCGCCACGGAGGCCGAGGCAAAGCGTGTCAATGAAACAAAGGACAAACATGAAACAAAGCGCCAGGGGCCACCGCGTCTTGATCAAATCTAAGAGCGATTCCAGTTAATGAGTAACATAACCCCACCACCTTTTTCATGGCTTTAATTATTACAGCCGGTAAGAAATATTCAAGCCATCCCTGTTTAGTGATGTTTTATTTACCCCTAAAGGCTGAAGTCTTCATTAAGTGCAGAAGAGTTGTGTTCAATTCAACACATATGGTGAGATCACAAACTGGCTTATTGTACTTTTTTAGTGTCTCTCCCTCTCCACACACACACACACACACACACACACACACACACCCCCAAGGACTCTGAGTACACAGTATACAATCTCAATCTGGCAATATCACAATTTCAAATTACCACAAGGATGATTTTTTTTTTTTAAATCTTATTTCTGAATAGTTTCCTTATTCTCAATTTTTCTAGCACAAATCCATCTTCTCATAAGGCCATTTCCTACACTGATTAAAGCGCAAGTCACTCTTGCTACAAAGGAGTCTTTCTTTGGCCCCAAATGTTTCACTCACATACATGAAAACTGGCTAAGTTCCTGAATGGCACAGAGCCTTTTGGTTTGAGAAGCCTGACAAAATGTCTAAGTAGTAAAAAGAACTGGTAAAACGTGAGAGCCTGTTATTTATTGCAATTCACATATCCACACGATCAACAGCCATTACTTGCTTTTTTTTTTTTTGGAGTGTGGAGACTTAACTCTGTCATGGAACTCCCTGATTATGGTATTTTCTGAAGTTCACAATGTTATGTATTCTAAAGGGAAAAAATTAACCAGCCATGGCTTTCCAGGTACAATCTTTGAGGAAGGGAGACTGTTTACCGTGTTTTCTATCAGAAAAGGAATGTTTTCAGCTCATCTGCACTTGGATCAATATTTTTATCTTTGGGTATCATTTGGCATTGCTGTCACTGGAGCTGCAAAAAACATGGGAGGAGCCAGGATAACCCAAAATTCTCATCCTGCACTTTGCAAAAGAGAGGACAAGCTGGGTGTCGCTCTGTCATGTGTGGTCCCACCTCCAGGAGCTTGGGCCAGGAGGGAACTGGGAATGCCTATGCCCATCAGCAATAGGCGTCCTGGGGGCACCTGGTCAGAAAGACATAGAGGAGGGGAGGGAGAAAGGTCCCTGCTCTCCTCTTTCATCGCAGAGATGGAGACAACTTCTGAGGAAGAGCTGGAATCCTGGGGTCAGAGGAGGCAGCCCAGGGGGAAATGCACATGGCCTGGGCCTCAATGCCGTTCCTTCAGAAAAAGGGGGTTACCACGTGGCTCTGTGGTGGCCCCAAGGTGGGAAGATGAACTTGGCTTTGTGTCTGATCATCCACTTTATTAGCAGGATCACATATCGTGGGACACAGCCTTTCTTCCGCTCCAGTTCTCAAGAAACCATTCCTGATAGCAATATAATTCTAAATGTGAGTAATAAAATGCATAATAAAGAGGCTGGGCACTACATTTTACAGAGGATGGGAAAGCAAAGTTGATTTTGTACGTGCAACTGTTCCTGTCAATGGACAAACAAGCCTGTGGGAAGGGACTGGGGCAGCAGAATCCCCTGGTGTGGCTCTGGCCTCAGGGTCCCCTGACTGTGTGCCTCCTCTCTCCTCTACCTACTGAGGTCCCCTGGGAGGGAGGAGAAGCCACCTGTAACCTCTTGCTGCTCAGGTATTAAAGCAGGGCTGATGAGGCCTGTGCCTCTGAGCTCCTCAATGCCCCAATGCTATTTTTATTATGTTCCCAGAATTAAATTCAAATAGCATCTTTAACATGCTTTAGTTCTGTGGGAAAAGGAAACACATCAATCATGCAATAACTATAAAAATTTAACATCCTGAAACCTGTTTTTACAAACTCTAAATAAAAAGTCAGCAATCTTAGTCTGCCATCACAAATCATTGTTCTTGACAATAAATAATGATAGTGGCTATTTTAAAGATTTCTTAAAATTAACATGAAAGGTGAATGAATGAATGAATGAATGAATGAATGAAGAAACATGTCTATAGCAGGGATAAACAAATTAGCAAGCTCCTAAGTTGTTTCTGTTTATACAGCCTGCTTAAAGCTTTTGAGAGAAATATTACTTATGTTAAATGTATTTAATTATAGGATAGGAATTCCTTAAAACTATGGTCCAGTTTTATTTTTTGTTTTTGAGACAGGGTCTCACTCTGTCACCCAGGTTGGAGTGCAGTGGTGTGAACACAGCTTACTATAGCCTGGACCTCTTGGGGCTCCGGTGATCCTCTCACCTCAGCCTTCCAAGTTGCTGGAACTACAGGTGTGCACCATCACACTTGCATCATTTTTTAGTATTTTTTTTTGTAGAGATGGGATTTCACCATGTTGCCCAGGCTTGTCTCAAATTGCTGGGCTCAAGTGATCTGCCCGCCTCAGCCTCCCAAAGTGCTGGGAATACAGGCATGAGCCACCGCACCTGGCCAACAATTTCAGTTTTTAAAAAATTTTCCCATAGGTCTTATTTTTCTCATGCCCACAATACTACTTTTCTTTGGACCATTCTCAATTGCTCCATCTTGCTCAAGATGCAGACTCCAACAGCATGGGCCGATCCCATGTTAACTCCACCATTATGCTATTCAATATTTAAAGACATTGAACACATGCTCACATGTGTTCCATTTGACTTCTGTCCATCCAGAAGGCCCACAATAACCCTCTTTCAAACCCAGAGCTGGTCACTTTGGCACATGAATCTAAACAGTGCTTGGTATAACAGGATCATTTCGATTGCCAAATTTACTGGCAATCCTATGTTAAGCCCGCCTCATCTGTGAACTCATCGAGGTTATCCGTAAGTCCCAATTTCTAGTACAGATATTAAGCCACACCCCAGAACTGCTCCTATCACCTCCCTACTGGCGGCAACGGAGGCACTGATGAGCACCCTTTGGGTCAGACCTGTCCGCCTAGAAGTAACCTGGACTTACCGAGCTTGCTGCTAGCAATAAGAAGATGTACAACTTCTAAGAATCTTAATGTAAGACTAATTAAAAGAACAGGAAAAGAAATGAAATCTCCCTTAACAAGACTCGTTCCCTTGAGGAGATGCCTTCTCTTGCAGGGCACCTTGGAGGCAGAGCACACCTGATGTGCTTGCGTTGTAGAGACATTATCACTGTGCAACAAAAGAAGTTATTTATAGCTGCTTTGTCTTTATTTCCTAGGTCTAACCACCAACATCTCTACTTAGCCAGGTAGTGGCCTGGATTTGTTTGCTATAGTTACTGAGACTTGTGGCAAACATGGTTTATATCATTAGGCTTTTTATTGTTTCATTCTGTTTTGGGGGTGTGTATGTGTTTATATTCAGATTTAAAATGTGTGCAAGTTGCCTAGAAACCAAAGTGCAGAATTCACAACCTAATGCATGCTAAATTGCAGCTGCTGGAAAACATGTTCCTTCACCTACAGTCTGGGCTGGGCTCATTCCTATCTACCCTGTCATTCAAGTTTGATGGTATCTAGTTTTCCAGGGAGTTTGGTTTAGTTATATCATCACTTTTGGTATAACTGGAAAGAAAGTGTTTTTTGTTTTTCACCTTGCTTAAAAGCCCATTTTTTCTCCCCAGAAAACTTAGGTTCTTCTCCTGCATCAGGACAGTACATATAACTTTCGGTGTGGGAGACACAGGCTCAAGAGGCCGAGAACTTGCTTGCATGGAGCATGGACGGACAGACAGCTGGATGGAAGGTTTCTCACATTACTGTATTTCCCACACCGAGCACCTTTCATCTAAGGAGCTCCACACCATCTCATACGTGCCTGAGGTGCCAACCTTCCCCACCACGGCATGACACTCAGGGTCTCAAGGCAGAAAGCCGGTCAAGATCACTGTAAATTAGGAAGTGAAGCCAAATAAGCCCTTAGGAATGTATTAGCTTGCACTGAGAGGTACATTACTTACAGAAGCCCCTTCTACTGTTGCCGCAATTCTTCAGGAGTAAGCATGGCCCTTCCCCAAGAGCAGCTGAAGGCCCACAGACAGACGCTGAAGAGGAACAAATAGTGCTCCAGGGTTTTTCTTTTCAGTTTCACTAGCTGGACCATTCCTACTCCTGACATGCTCTTTCCTAAGTCCTTCAGCAATAAGAAACTGTGCCCAGAACAAAAGTTATGTTTTATTTTATGCCACAAAATTAGGAGTGGAAAAGAAATGTGAATATCTTATGAGAAAAAAATGCAAGTTAAACTTCCTGGAAAAGACCTGAATTCATCGAGCTTTGGTGCTTGTATACTATAAGCTCAGACAATAAAATTCTACCCACTCTCTTTAACTGAATGCGGTAATACTTTTGACAACAACTTTAAGGTGTCAAGGAGAAAAATATTTTTCATGGTTAACTGTACAGCCTATCATCTTCTATCAATGAACACTAATCAGTTTTCTGGCTGAAATAAAGAATGACTTCAGAAAGAGTTCTTAAGATAAAATGGTTAGGGATTGATAAAGGAAAACCACCCCCCTTTAAAAAATCAAAATAAAGGCTAAAAGGTGAGGTAAAAAAAAAATTATCCTGAAACTTCATAAAATAGCTATTTAAAACCAAATCAATAATACTGCTGTGAGGTCTTTTTAGAAAAAAATTAAAAGCCTCTATGGGTTTGCTACAATTTTCATGCCCACTCTTAGGCCGAAGACAGCTCATACATCTGTGGTGTTCAACTAACTAGCAACTTAGGTTCTGAATAAAAAGTACACAGAGATGTTACCACTTTCTGCAAGTAGCACACTGGAATGCATTATCTGCCACATCACAGGGAGCATCCATCCCATGACAATGACATTGTCAAAAGATGGCACACGGGCTGCAGACTGCTAAGGCAAGCTTGTGGCCAGGCTGGAAGACTGACAAGATGAAAAGATCTCTAAAAACCCACAGTCCCTTCAGGGTGACTTTAAGCCAAGGTGCCCAGGCAGCAGCTGTCCCTCCATCTCTCAGCTGAGCTATGCTTGGCCACCTCTGAAACAAACTATAGTTTTATTCCCCACAAAAAAAAAAGAAGAAGAAGAAAGAAGAACAAGAAAGGAGAAGAGGAGGAGGAAGAAGAGGAGGGCGGGGAGGAGGAGGAGAAATAAAACAAAACCCAACATTCTGACATTTACCGAAAGGAATGAAGTGCTGCTCTTGTTTATAAAGAGCAAGTAAACACATACTTTATGGCAGATATTTGAAGATAATTAAAAAGTAAGGAAACTTTTAAAAAAGATTAAATACCTTTAAAAGAGATGAAAGATTTTCTCTCACCCCAACCCCCAACTATGATTCTTGTCATTTAAAGGGCAACTACTATTAGGAATTTGTTTAAAAGTTGGAATTTTTTTTCCAAAGGCAAAGATTTAAAGCAAGTAAGACCTATCAGATAAATTCCATCTTCATGAATTATAACTTAAAGAAATAAAACATTTTATTTTCATGCTTTCAAATATGAAATGTTTTAAAATATCCTGAGAAATCAGTGGTAAAATCTTAAGAAAGCAGGCAAGATCAGTGGAAGATTCCACCTGTCCTCAAGCCTAGGCTTAGGGAAAATGAGATCACACAAGATCATATGCACATCCTCACAAAGGAACCTTTAAACAGGACAAAAATTCTTAAAGCCATGTAAATCACTAGACAGCAAAAATCTAGGGAGATTTAAAACACAAATATTTGCATAATCCCTTCTATTCAAGAAAACTCAGTGTGACCACCATCACGGAAACCTCTCCCGGGGGTCTACAGTCACCACCCTCAGACCTATTTTCTGGGTAAAGCATCTGAAAGCATGTGGTAGGAGGGAAGTCTGTCATAACTGAGTGAATGATTGGGGGCCGGTGCCTGCTTTTACTGACAAGCAAGTAAGGCCACACAGCAATTTCTTTAAAAAAAAAAAATTATCTGGGCTGGGCGCAGTGGCTCATGCCTGTAATCCCAGCACTTTGGGAGGCTGAGGCGGGCAGATCACCCGAGGTTGGGAGTTCAAGACCAGCCTGACCAACATGGAGAAACCTCGTCTCTACTAAAAAAAATACAAAATTAGCCGGGCATGGTGGTGCATGCCTGTAATCCCAGCTACTCAGGAGGCTGAGGCAGGAGAATCACTTGAACCCAGGAGCCGGAGGTTGCGGTGAGTCGAGATCGCGCCACTGCACTCCAGCCTGGGCAACAAGAGCGAAACTCCGTCTCAAAAAAAAAAAAAAAAAAAAAAAAAAAATTATCTGAAGCTGGTGTCAAAGAGATTTATTTTAAAAAACAGCAAATCACTAATACAAAGGAAATTCCTTAGAGATTTACTACCCACCTTAGATACCTTTACTTAGATTTTTCAAGATGTTCCAACTGGCCCTGAACTTGATTGCATCAAACTGTTAGGTCTGGCTGCTGACTGCTCCTACGAGATACATCACAGGAGCAGACTTCCCCAACATGCCAACAATTAATGTCCAGGTTCAGGAGAAAACTGGTATGTCATCAATGTAGGGATGGTTTTCTTTCAACCAAACACCGCATGTTCTCACTCACAGGTGGGAATTGAACAATGAGAACACACGGAAACAGGGTGGGGAACATCACACACGGGGGCCTGTCATGGGGTGGGGGACAGGGGGAGGGATAGCATTAGGAGAAATACCTAACGTAAATGATGGGTTGATGGGTGCAGCAAACCAACATGGCACATGTATACCTATGTAACAAGGCTGCACATGTATCCTAGAACTTAAAAGTATAAAAAAAAAAAAAAGAAAAAAGAAAAAGAAATGGTTTTCTTTCAAATATTAAATGAAATGTTGGGTGTTATTGGATGTCTTCCCACTTCTCTCCCAAGTTCATAACAAAACCTGAATCCTATCAATCAATCCAATGCAGCGATTAGAGGAAATCCCAGCAAGGCCCGCTTCTCAAGCTCCTCTTCTGAGAGATCTGTATCAGCAAACCAGGATCCGCTTTATCTCAGTGTGCTTCATGTTGAGTCAAAGACTGTCAGTTGATCAGAATTAAGAGCAAACTTGATCCAACCTTTCCCTATTAAAAACACAAGGGTATTTACATCTTCCAAACAAATGCCTTCAGCCCATATAAAAACTGATGAGCCAAAATGAGGCCTCGCAGGCCACTGTGTGTGATTCAAGGGAAAAATTATTAATATCCAAGTAGAGTTTCATGATTATCTCTCCTTTTCAAATTGCTTCAACCTCAGCCCTCATGTCATTCCTGACCCATGTATAATTCTCAAATTATAACAAGCATAGTCTCAAATCCTCTCATCTAAATGACCTGTACAGACACTTAAGTAGCATTTACCCATTTGGTAGATTCTTTGGTATTTCCTAATACTATTCTATCAAACCCACCTATATTGCAAGGAAGGAGAAAATGGGAGAAAACACGTCTTAATGGGTGTCTGGGTCTATTTTCCCTTGTCAAAGATCTCCTTTATGAAGACACCTGTCCAAATTACTATATAAAAGTACAGTAAAAATAAAGTGGAAGCAATCGCTACCTACATCTTGGCTTCAAGCAAAAAACAATAATATCACTATGTCTCAAATATAACTGAAAACTCCCTTGTTTTCAAATAGGTACCCTGGAATAAAGCAGTATCAACGTCAGGACTCAGAACCAAACCTCTAATGGAAGACAAGGCAGGGATGTGTCTTCAGTACGTCATTTAGACAGCAATTCTGTCATCATCAATGACCTCACAGAACTAACAGCTGACAGCAAAGCAAGGGGAGAAAACAATATATAAGATTTTTAAATCTCCACTGGGTTAATCAAATAATATAATTTGATATAAATTTATTTTCACAGTATCCCCAAATTTAACTGCTCACAAATGAAATTGGGGATGTTTAACTTCTGAATATACAGAATGATTTCTGTGACTTCTATATGTAGAATCCTTATGTATTTCATACTCTTATTTCTATAATGTTACAAAAGAAAGTAAATACGAAACACTGTATTGTGATTTGCTGAACCCTGACAAAGACTGAATTCAGAGATAATTTTTAAATGTCAAAAATTTCCCATGTGGCCTTTTTGATGAAAGACATATTAAGTAGAATACAGGCTTTATTATTAATTATAGCGTCATATAATTAACCTACTACTTCATTTTTACGAAGGAGGAAACTTCAGTTAGGGAACTGTAGCTTCTTTAGAAATGGAACCTTTTCTAAAGAAGGTTCTAAATGGAACCTTTCTAAACATGAAGAATCACACCGACTGATGGAGACAGAACCACATACACATGAGCCTATCAATTCTGGCTCATCATATCACCTATCAAAGAATGGTAGAGAAACACAACAGGGAGGGAGGAGAGGGAAACTGAATGAGTACATTTTGCTGGAAGGAAGGAATCACCACTTGGGGTTTTAGGGGGTAAGAGAGGAGCATGGAGAGACATGCTGAGCACACGGCACCAGAACAAACAGGTGGAGGAGACGTTAGTACTAGAAAGAGGAACAAAAGTACAAGAGAAAAAGGCGTAGAACAAAAGAAGAGGTGAAATGAGGACACAGCGGACTTATATCTGTTTGGCCAACTCTAGACTCCATGGACTAGTGGTAAGGAACCGTCTCCGAGATTAACAGCACATAGCACAGGAGCTATTCTTAGCTGGCTGCGCTGGCTGAAGCTGTAGGCACCTTCCCCCAACCATGTCAGGTGTGCTTCCAACTGCACTTTTTCCAACTGCAATCTCCCTGAACAATACGTGGCCATCCCAAAAACAGCCATTCTAAAATGAACTCTAGTGTTCTAGCACTTGGCACAGTATCAGAAGAATCCTTATCCCCATTATACACACCTATACATGCACATGCCCATCACATAGCCTGGTCAGAAAAGAGCTCTGGGGCTCTCAGGGCTGCACGTCCTGTAACATCACTGATGAGGCTGTTTTGTCATAAAATAAAAGCACAGAGGTGGGAACAACTCCAAACCACCCTCCCCTCACTTAGTCATGTATTTACCTACTGATTTGGGTGCCAATTATTTATTCCTAAGTAACACCTAGTATTTACTAGCTACAAAACAGGCTCTGTTGCAGGTGAAGTATTCCAAAGTGAGGTTTTGTGCCTAGAGCAGAGTAGCCTGGGAGAACATCAGCTCCTCAAGAAAACATTCTCCAACTAGCCCACTGTACACCCAAGGTGAAGGACCCTCTGGTAGTGCACATCGCCACCTTTCGCTGGCTCACCATAGGACAGAGGAGAACGTTTTCACATTTCACTCTCTGGCTTTTGTTTCAGTAATACCTTTGAATGGCAGAGTTTACTTAACAGATAACATATCTGAAAGCCTCACTTGAAAACCAATGCTGCAGTATCTGCTTCATTTCCCTGGGAGGTGGACAGGCTTCCTGATGGGCCATGCGAGGTCTGCCAGTCTTTCTGGCCCAGAACAGCTCCCCTGCACCTGTGAACACCTGGCTGGCCACAGCACTCAAGCCAAGAGGCCTATCTACCACTCCAGGTGGGGGTGGCCTGAAAAGGAAGGGCCAGAAGCAGGTGGCCTCCGCTGGCCAGGTGCAGTGGGGTTTTTCTCAGACACACACGATAAAGTGTGTTTGCAGGCTCACTGTGAGTCCTGCTGGAGGGTTTCAGGGCCCCCCAGTTAGTTTGCTTTCCTGGGACATGTACCTTCTGATCATGCCCCTTTCCATGTTATGGTTAATGTAACAGGATGAGAGAAACCACAAAGTACAAAAAGCTACAGGACACTGAGCCACTTATTCATGCCCCTGTAAGCACTGAAAAAAGCTGTCTTTAGCAGAAACACATGTAATCAAAAGAAGAGGCGGGGGCTCTGCAACATCAAAGCCCCTCAGTTGTGGCACATGGTCCACAAACAGGATAATCCTCCAGTTATCTGGGACAAGTCACAAGACAAGAGGAGCAAACAGTGTTCGCTTGTTTGAACTGGGACACATTTCCAAAAGGGAGCATGAAATGACATGATCCAGCAGCAGCTTAGGGAGCTTATGTTTTAATTCCCCCCTACCCGGAGAATCGGGCTTGAACAGGATTTAAGGTGCACAGGTGAGCTTTAGCAATTCATCAGTTACGTGTAGAGTAGTAAAATCCAACAGCCCCCTTTGATCTGCAAAAGTGTGCAGTTCTGTCCTCACTCCCCACCAGTTGGCCACTGCTGGGGCATTGGCAGAGCTGGGCTCTTGTGCTTTGATAGATGGTGATGTTTAAATCGGGTATCAGTTTCTATTAAAAAATGCTGAGGGACTTAGCTTCTAATCACACTAAAATGAAGACCTAGATGACGTCGTGTTCTGGCATTCTGGGTACACGTGAAGAATGCCCACCAAGAACACGCTCCGTGATTGGATGTTTAGGAGAGAAGAGAAACTACTTCACTTTCATGACATTCTTTTTAAACTAAAAGAGTAGACATGTGAAGAACAAAGACAGACCGACGCACTGACTTCACTTCATTAAATACATACTGGTAAATGCAGAGAAATCTATTAACTGCCAAAATAATTGACATTCTTTGGCCACGCATATTTATATTTAACACTTTGTGCTGTTAACACCACCAGAGCTCATGTCATGTGGGGGTGCATGTGACTGCACACCCAGGGTAAAACTGCACACTGTGAACACCACACTTTCCACTAGCCTGGGATCAAGCCTAGCAGAGAAGGGTCGGAAAAGCCAGCCAGGCCAGACAACATAGTGGAAATACTAGAGAGGAGGCAAAGTATCAGTTATACTTCTTTCAGGATTTGATTATGCTACTTTGAAGTGAGGACTATTTGCATTTTAATAAAAGCCAGAAAGCAGGAGACAGCTGTGTAACTGCATGTTTCTTAGAAATAAGTTGAGTATCCATTTCAGTGTAACCCATAAAGTAGAGCAGAAATAGACCCACGGTTAACTGCTGAACCTTGAAGCTCATCTTCCATAATTTCCATATTGCGCCTACAAACTAAACACACAAGTCATGATGGGGAGCTGGCAGTGTCCCCTGAGATTCTGAAATGGATGCCTGTTTGATTCATGTTCAGAGAGGAAGAAGAGACACAGAGAGGAAGAAGGATGGCTGCTGCCAGTTTTTACATCACTGGCCACATGCAGAAAGGCAAAGGTAAAGGACGAATGCACAAACCTTCCTCTCACAGTCCGACACGATCCCTTCATGAGGCTCAGACGCTGCTCTGCACTTACAGCCATTTACTCCAGGACACAGGAGATGGTTATCAAATGGAATCAGTTAAGGTATACATATCCCCAGGACTACAGCTGCAGTTAAATGCTGAATTCCAGTACTCATGGTCAATGAAGTTGCTTTTTATGAAATGTACATAACAGATCTTTCCAAAAAAGCAGAATTTCAAAACAACTGAATTCAATTATTTTTTTAAAAAGTAGCCTGCATGAAACCACCTTTGAAGTCACAAAGTCAAAGTCACAAATATATAACACGCTCCCATTCTTCTTCAATAATTATTCTTCTTAAAAGACAATCAAAATACTAAAAGTGCTGGTTGAGTGACTGGATTACTGGTAATTTTGAAATTTCTTCTTTATACCTTCCCATATTTTCAGAATTTTCTGTAACAGACAGTATCACTTTGATATTCAGGGGGAAAAAAAGTTAAATTTCTTATCTTGAGTTGGTTTAAAACAAGAAACTAAATATGCTGAACTGTAATAAAAATACAGGAAAGGTATCACACCAGAAAACAAAGCTTGGTTACTTTATGCAGAGACCAGAATCATACCACGGCTGCAATGGTCAACTCAGCACTCAAATCCAGATTTCAACAACTTGAGCAACATGAACTGGACTCCCAGGGGGCCTCCCTACTTAGGAGTGCTGGGCACACCATCAGTAATGCCACCCATCTCCCAGGACAAGCACTACGAAAGAGAGGCCAGACTATCACCTGGATTTCATATTAACAGATTTGGTTATTATAAATTAAATTGAAATGAATTTCAACCTCCTTCCCTTGAGTAACTTTCCTTTTTAAATTCTCACCATGCCCCTGATAAGCTGCTGGAGAAGATGCTTACAAAACACTGAAATGCCCAAAATATAAATAACAAATGAAAGAAGGACAACAAATACTGGAAAACTTAGAAACTCCAATCAGTGCTGAAACAGGAGCTGCTAACACATGGCGTCTCTCAAATTCTGGGGGTGAAGGAGTGACTGGCATGGCACTGAATGGATGGCAGGTGTGAGGGCCCAGGAGGGTGACACGCAGCACACAAAAAAGAAACAGCACTTACACTTGAGGATCTCGAGTAACTTTACCCTACTGAGAAAACACAGGCTTTGGAAGGGGCCACACCGGTTTACAGGGCATGGCTCATCAGTAACACACGCAGACAAAAGGACAAAGGCCAGGAAAATTCAGACTGGTAGAATGATTTAATGTATGCATCTACACAATGCCCATAAGGAATTCAGTAATGTCCACCTGAGGCCTGCCAGCCTGATTGCCTCTCACCCTCACCTCTTCTCAGAAATGTGTGGCTGGTCTTCTGGCACCCCCAGTTTCCCCAAGAGAGTGCACGGTGACAGGAGATTTCATGTTGGTCACGGCAGCAAGTATAGAGGACCACATCCTAGGGAGTCCCAGGCAAGCCCCTGAGAGAATCAGTTTTCAGCAAACGAGGACAGCTCAATGCCACACAGCACCTGCCCACACAGCTACCTGGAAACTCTGCCCCATGTGCGTTCCTCACCAGCTGGCGCTGCCTTCCAGACACACTAGGCTAGTATCTCAGTAATATGGACCAAAACACTGCGGACATCTGGGGCCAATGGCTCTCGCGGAATTCTTGGATAACCTAACACAAATAATATACACAATTGGGCAGGGAAATTCTAATACAATGCTCTATCTATAATAGAAAGCAGAATTAAAGGAAAAGTGAGTTATAAAGCATTAATATGGACGTCAATATTTACAAGCTGATGCCTGAGTACCCAATTAAATACAACAGTGAAGCAATGGGCTGCCTGGAGAATCCCCACTAACACACAGCTGTTAATGCAAACTGAAGCAGCTGTGGCAGGTGGTCACTCAAACATCACAAATGCATTCTCACTGCAAAAGAGATTTTCTGAAATGGCAAGTAACTCTTGGAAAAATTCAACAAAATACAATCTTCCCAGATTTACCCTTCAGACTCATTCCCAGAAACCTGAGTCAATATTAAAACTGTGTACATAAAAGAATTTCTAAGCCCAAATATTAGACACCAGTTTTTCACCTGTACAGCTCTCCAGCTGGCACCTGAAGGCTGTGTGGGTAGTGACGTAATTCTCCAGTCTGCTGGAATGCACTGTGCACCACAGGCATAGTGCGCCTGGACTCCATACACCCACGGCCAAAGCACCCCGATCACAAAGCACCCACATCACTCCCACGAGGGTGATTCTGCCCTATGAGAACCGTTCCTTTATAACAAACTGCCACCACATGACAAAAGTGCCTCTGGAGGCCAAAATAATTGATGTAAATTGTGTTCAGTTGAGGTTGTTTATTCAGATATCAGACCCTAAGAAAATCATCTCTGTCACTATTTTCCTCCCATGAACTTCTGGCACTGGGCACCTGGGTGCTAGGTGTGAACTGGAATGCCTCTCATCTTTTCCTCTTGACAGACTGCATGCCCCGCTTCAGAATATTTGGACAAGCACAAATTTGAAAGATAAACAGGCCTGCAATGAGTGTTCTGAGGCTCATGATTCTGCTGAGACCCAAAGGGTGGTCCTGAACTTCACCCACGACGAGAGGGTTATTTCACCGGAATGCTCTGTCATGACTGATGATACGACTTATTTAGAAAAATAGGTTCACTTGATTTGCTCACTGCCAAAATTAAAAATACCTGCAAATTCTAGAATAAGCAAAAATAATGAGAAACTCTGGTCATTTGGACTTGAAAACGTAGTAACCCCTGCCATGTTCTAATGATGTGATAAAGTTTCCTGCACAACTTTTGCAAGGCTTTTGGAGATAGCCTAGATTCATACAGATACTGCTAGTTGCATTTTTAATAAAGAATCCTTAAAAGCTACCAAATTCTAACACCTAGAACTTCACTATTTAATTATTTAAAGCACCCCAAAACATGGCTCTACAGACACATGTGTGTCTTTTCTATATTAAAACAATGTGTATAATCAGAAATACAAACTGACAAACATTGGTTTGAGTAACAGAACTAAAAAAAAGAATTCAAAATACCAAAAACATCACTCCTCAAAGTAAATTTAATTTAGACAATATCACATACACACATCAACTCAATACTTTATATCAAGTCCACAAGAAAAAAACATAATTAAATGGAATGTGTTTAACTGTTGCATGCATGACTGGTGGTAGAACCTAGAGAGTAGGGAGGATAGGCATCAAAGACTACAAGTTTATTTATTTTATTATTCTATTTTATTTTATTATTTTTTGAGACAGGGTCTCACTCTGGCTCTGTCACCCACACTGGGGTATAGTGGTGTGGTCACAGCTCACTGCAGCCTTGAACTCCTGGGCTCAAGCGATCCTCCCACCTCAGCCTCCCAAGTAGCTGGAACCACAGGTGCATGCCACCGTATCCAGCTAACTTTTGTATTTTTTTATAGAGATGGGGTTTCGCCATGTTGCCCAGGCTGGTCTCGAACTCCTAGGTTCAAGCGATCCACCCGCCTCAGCTCCCAAAGTACTGGGATTACAAGCGTGAGCCACCACTCCCACCCTACAGTTTTAATTAACATGTGTTAACAATGCTTGAAAAACTGTAAATACCTTAAAATAGTTCCTAGCTTTCTTCTGTACCTAAGAATATAAAACAAGTCAACAGTTAAGGTTATATTCCTTATAGCTCATGGCAAAGATGTGGAGAAACTGGGACCCTTGTTCATCACTGGTGGGAAGGTAATGTGGTATAGCCACTTTGGAAAACAATCTAGGCTTCTTAAATCACTCCATTTACTCAACTGCTCATATAAATTTACTCAACTTACGTGACTCCTAGGTCATCTATCGGAGAGAGGTAAAAGCATATGTTCATTTAACAACTCATCTGTACTTACTGCAGCATTACTACAGCCCTAAACTGGAAATAACCCAAATGTGCATCAACTGGTGAACAGACAGATAAAATGTGGTGTAACCATAAAATGGAATACTGTCCAGGAATAAAGGGAACACAGCGATACACACTGCGACATGCATGCACCTCAATACGTTATGCTAAGTGAAAGAAAACAAACACGTAAGACCATGTATTATATGATTCCACTGATATGAAATGTCCAGAAACTGCAAATCTACAGAAACAAGAAGTAGATTTACAGGTTGCCTAGGGATGAGGAGAGGGGGAAATAGGCAGTGATTAGTGATGGATGCCAGGGGTTTCTCTGGGATGATGGAAATGTTTTAAAACTAGATTGTGGTGATGGTTGCACAACTTAGCTAACTTACTTAAAATCAGTGAATTGTTTATGGCACGTAAATTACGCCTTAAAGTTGTTAAAAACATATATATACACAGAAAGAACCTGTGCTGAAGCCCTGGGTAGCTATGAAGTGTTAAATCTATATTCCGGTTTTCTCTTACTTTCTTGACTTCAGAGTGGAAAAGATGACATCAGTCCATTAGCATTATGAGAATGCAGAATTTTGCTATTCAATTTCCTCTAAAGATAATAAAGGAACACGGGGGAGGGACGCATGCAGGGGAGCAAATAAATCTGCTCTTTCCTCATTACGGAGTTCAAACTGGGTCACAGCCCTATTAGGCTTAACCACTCGGAGCTTACTTATTACTGCTTGCTGCCGGCGGAGGCAGTGCTGGGGCCTGGGAACTGGCAGAGTCCAGTGATGATCATGACCACTGCCCTAGGAACACACGACTTTTAGAATGGGCTAACCCAAGCAAGACACCTAGGCTAAGCATAATGGGCACTCTGAACAATTAGGAAATGACACTACAGAAATTCTTATCTTTAGCTCATGTAACCTAAAACCTTACACAAGTCACTTACCTCCCAAACTTCAAAGTTATGTTTTATTTGTTAAAATCACTATCAACTTAATAATTATACAAAACGAAAATACCAATGTGGTAAGCAGGCAGCCCATGCCCAATAATCTAAGACGACCTTTCTTGCACCTTTTCTCCCAACTCCTGATGAATTAACTTTTGCCAAGTACCTACTAAACTCACTGCTTTGCTCAGTGGGGTCAGCTCTGGCAGCTAACCTACCAGCTCTGCTTTGCAGACTCATCAACAACTCTTGTCTGTCTGACAAGGCACTGAGCCGTATCCAGCACTGTTGCTGTGGACAAGGAAGTAGCAATGGGCCACGTCTGCAGTGGCTGTGGGCTGACAGTATCTGTTAACAGAAGGCTGGAAGGAGTAGGGGGACACCAGCATATGTAATGGCCTCTGCTGGGAAAATGGATCACGGGAGAAGGAAGAACAAGGACAAGCCAGAATTTCTGACCATCCAAAAGCCAGGACACCAAGACTGCCCCAGCCATAAGACCATGACACATGCACCAGGTGCAGCAGGTGAGCACTGTAGACCATCTTTTATTCCCTGTAGAAAAGCTATTGAGAATGGTTCTAGCATAAAGAAAAGACAAATATTTAAGTTGATTGAGATCCCAAATATAATGATTTGATTTTTATAAATTATATGATGGTACTAAATCACATGTACCCTAAAACTATGTATACCTATTATCCATCAATAACAAATAAATAAATATGAAGCTAATAAAGTAAAACAGTTCATTGGCCTAAGGGGAAAAAAAGGTTTTGAATAGGAAAGCAAAATAATAACAAGTATGATAAGAGGGCCAATCTGATAGAAATGGTTGGAATTATTTTTAGCTGAAGTCGATAGGATGAAAATCTAACCGTATGAAAAGTGAAATGCTGTGGAAGAGTAGAGGAAGCAGGAAATCGGAAACGCTATATTTATCCCCTCCCCTCCCACCATTCCCTTGAGTATTTCCTTTATTTTGAGAAGAAAGCAATAAAATTATTCTCCATACCAACATTCTCCCTCCTCTCAGAGACACTCTGGCAAACAAACCGGCCAAAGGCCTCATGGAACGTGGGGCCACACGCTCAGGCTCAGAGTACAAAACTACTGCCAGCTCTTGGGCAGTCGGTACTCACACAGGGGTCAGATACCATATCTAGAAACGGCTCTGGCCAATGACCAGGTGGCGTTTCCCTAGGCCTAGGAGATCCCTGGTCACTCTCAAGGCTGAGGGGAAGAACAGCACAGCCTGGAGAAAACAATGAGAATGCTCCCGAGGCCTCATGGAGGCAGTGCTGCCAGTGGCTGCTCACGAGCTTGTGGATGAACTGCTACTCTCTGTTGACAAAGGTAAGGATATTCCAACAAGGACACGGACTATGGAAAACAACTGGTGGCATTTTTCTCATGATTCATTCCTATCCTACGTTCTCTCTCATTCCTGACTCTCCATTTAAAATAAACTTCTCAAGGAAAAGCAGGGATCAGGTGGGGAAAAACAACAACCTGCCTGGATGATAGAGCCGGCTGGCTGATCTAACATTTGACATGAAAATTATCCGACATAAAACCATAATTTCTTTTCCCATAAAAAATTCAAGCATGCTCATAATTTACAGGGCATGTGGAGTTTCAGCCCTTAGCAATTAGGAAGCCAGTGTCGGTCCACTGAGCTTTATCCAATGACCCTTTTAACTACTTGAAAATGATGTCTGATTATCAAGTAATGTTATGGCTTACCTATAAAAACTTCTTTTCAAAAATATTGATCCTTGACTACATAAGCAAGGCCTTTCTGAGAAGCCTTTTTAAATCATGCATAACCCATTACTCATAGCTGGGACAAACACTGGACCCATTTCTTCTGTGACTAAGTGGGTTTCTGTTAGTCAGCGCTCAGGGAAACTTATTAACGATCCAGAGCCAATTCCACACAAGAATAATAGTTACTGCAAACTCAGACCTCTGTAGTTGCTGGGAGGCGGGGGTCAGGGGAGATCTCAACACTTGTTGTTGAAAGGTTTCTGGAATTCTTCAGTTGCTCAGGACACCAGCAAGCATTTTTTTGTGGATAACCAGACTTTTTGTAAATTGAGCTCACAAAGACCTCAACCAAAATCAATAAAACAGCTCTAGTGACTTCAACTAAAACTCCCTTTGGAGGAGCCGACTGGAAACTTCCAACTGAACCTGAGGCAGTATTTGACTAGGGCAGAGTGGCCCCATGGGGCAGCTTCCTGGGTCTGCCTGGGAGGCAGGCGTCCTCTGCACCTGTGGCTGGGACCCACTAGAGAAGTGACTGGGCTGCTTTCCCAGTCTTAATGCTGGGGACACTTCAGCTGGCCCACATCCGCCACGCTGATGTTCCAAACGTGCCCTCATCGTCATTCTTCCTGCAGCTACACTTCCTGGTCTCTCCTATCAGCTCTCAGGAACATCTTCTGTTCCCATAACACACCACAGATAACAAATGACTTTAAGTCTGAAAACAGTACTGGAAAAGCCCATTCCCCAGTAACATTAATTACTACTGTCTGTGACCCATGATGCAGGGGCAGCTCTGTGCAAAATGTTTTCCCGTGAAGTCTGTTTTGCAGATGAGGAAACTGAGACTTAGAGAAGCGAGTCGGTCCAGCGTGAAAAAGCCGGTGAGGGGCAAAAAGGTGGGATTTCAATCAGTTTGTCTGATCACAAACCCATGTCATTCCGGACTACAGCGGGGAGAAAGGTACCTTAAGATCTCAATTTAACCCTAATAGCACAGGTGACCCACAGCATCAGCTACAGCCATGGCCAAAGTTCTATGGAAAAATAAGTTAATGGAAACCACACATGTTCTGGGCAAGGGGGGAAATGTTTCCATCCACAACAGACAAACATTTTTCCTGCTAAGAAAACTACATCAAAAAACTTCTTGGGAAGTAAAACACTCTCAACAAACTATTTCTACTGAGCTATTGTTAAAACAGCTGCTTTATTTTGAGTGATTTCTAACATATTAAGATAGACAATAATGAACTGTCTTTAAAAAAAAACAAAATAGGCCAGACGCGGTGGCTTACGCCCGTAATCCCAGCACTTTGGGAGGCCAAGGCGGGCGGATCATGAGGTCAGGAAATCGAGGCCATCCTGGCTAACACGGTGAAACCCCATCTCTACTAAAAATACAAAAAAAATTAGCCAGGCATGGTGGCGGGCACCCGTAGTCCCAGCTACCCAGGAGGCTGAGGCAGGAGAATCGCTTGAACCCAAGAGGTGGAGGTTGCAGTGAACCAAGATCGCACCATTGCACTCCAGCCTGGCGACAGAGACCCCATCTCAAAAATAATAATATAAGGATGTATTCCCAAATATGCTGGCAACAGTTTTTCAGAGGAAAAAAACCCCACTAAGAATACCATAGAGGCACTTTCTGTTTTATTCTTAACCTTCATGTAAATGACATACCTCACCCTCTAGACACCTGGAACATCATTTTGAAGAGAAGGAATAACACTGAAGTCCACACGTTTATAATATGCCTCCTCTCTTTCTCTGTAACAGTGTATGATCTCAAAACAGGTTTGATACAAAGAAAAACAAAAAGCTGAGACAAAATCTACAACAATCACTTGCGACTACTCTCTTCTCCCCTCCCATTGAATAATCTGAACCAAGAGCAAGAGTCCTGTAGCAGTGTCTGATTTCTTCTCTTCTATGACCTTGAACTCCATCAGGGGTTCCCAAGAAAGTGAAAATGCGGTTAAGCAAATCTAAACAGAAATAGTCCTTCTTCGCCTTCTCTTCTGGAGCCGGTTTACTTGCTCCACCTTTACACTTCCCACTGAGCCTCTCCCTGGGATGGCTCCTGATGACAGTGACTCTTCCATAAACGAGGGCAGTTCTCCAGAAACCAAGGCGTCGGTCAGACCGTGAATCAAGAGTTAGATGCACACAGCGATGTAGCTTCAATCTAAGATGGGAGACTGTGGTCACACAGCAGGCCCCAGCCCAAACCTGCCCCCTGCTCAGAGGACAAAGGCCAATTAGACTCTCTGTGTGTGTGCGCACATGTGCATGCTTGTATGCACACACACCCACACAAGCTACACATGCATGCTGGTACATCACTAATCCTCTGCTGGAAGATACTTCGGCATCATTTAAATTTGTCTTATGATAATCTGATGCTCTGTGATTAGGTAATGCTATTGTTGACCAAGTCATTAAATTAATCTTCAATAAAGACTCAAGGATGCCAGGATCCTCAAGGCAGGGAAAGGCAGGTGCCTTTTCCCAGAGCCTTTCATTTTGCTAAGAAGGAGGAGAGGAAGCTTTCTGCAAGTCTGAATCAGCTCAGTACTTGCCTTTTCTTGCCACCTGCCCACTTCAGTATCTGCCAGTTGTGTTAGAGAGAAAATATGTCTTTTTCCCTAAGCCAGACTATTCCTACCCATTTTGCCCTGCCAGTAACACAGAGAGTTCTGGGGCACTAATCCCTTCACAATCCAAGTTTTGGGGAATGAGGGTAGTTTGATCTGGCCTATGAACAAACAGCCAAGTTAGACAGACTGCAGAAACTCTAAAATTGCAATATATCAAGGTATGAATATATATAAACATGAAAATCAGCTTTGCATTTTAGAAAACAATACTAACATATATATTTACAAATACCAGCACAGACTGGTGAAAAGGTCATTTGTGAGAGTGCCATTACTGCATTTCAAAACAAAATGTCAATTTATCTGGTCATGCTTATGTCTTTTTTTTTTTTTTTTTTGAGACAAGGTCTCACTCTGTTGCCCAGGCTGGAGTACAGTGGCGCAATCTCGGCTTAACTGCAACCTCCACCTCCCAGGCTCAGGCAATCCTCCCACCTCAGCCTCCTGAGTAGCTGGGACCACAGCCATGCACCACCACACCTGGCTAATTTTTGCATTTTTAGTAGAGACGGGGTTTCACCATGTTGCCGAGGTTGGTCTTGAACTCCTGAGCTCAAGCGATCCACCTGCCTCAGCCTCCCAAAGTGCTGAAACTATAGGCGTGAGCCATCATGCCTGGCCCTATATTTCTTTTTTTTTTTTTAAATAATACTGTCATGTCACAGTTGGTCTATAACAAGCATCACAAAAATGTCAAATAATCTGTGCCTTGTAAAATCCACTAATGTAACATGAAAAGCACAATTTGACATCAACCCGTGCAGTGAACCCAGCTGTGTTACTATAGAATCCTTATCTGCTCTTTGGAATTACTGATCTCTCAAAATCTGACTCAGTTTACTTCTAGCCCAAATGGAAAAGTCCTCAATAAGCCAGGAAACAGCCCTCCCTTTGGATGTGTGTCTAGTCTACAAAGGATGGCCTTCTGGGGTACCATCTTGTGTCTCCCAGACCTTTCCCTGTCTCCCTCAGTGTCTGTGCCCCACAATACAACAAAGGCCACCTGGACACATCTCTCCTTACCTGGAACCCAAAGCAGCTCTGCCTCCATGCCTGCCTTGGGGAGCTACCTGGGCAGACAGCTGGAAAAAGCAAGAGGAGACCCAGGCTCTAGTTCCAGGCCAGCATGCAGGCCTGGGAATCAACTTCTCAGGGCCTCTGCATTCTCATATGTGAAACAAGGACTTGAATTAGAGAAGCTTGTGAGGTCTTTCCCAGCTCTCACAACTCCAGCCTTGGACAACTTTCCAAACAAAGTGCTCAACTGAAACTTCAGGTGTTCCTCCGTGGCAATCCTTCTCCTCTTCCTTCTCCTTAGGACTAGCACATGCATCTATGGAGGACCTCTAGTAGCTTTCATAACATTCTACTCACTAGCACACTCCTCCACGTGCTTGGGTTATAATCTTCCGGTTATTTTAGACAGCTTCTTGCTGGTGGTGACTTTATTTTCTCAAGTTGCCTGAACTTTTCAGTTCTTCCTGATGGTCTGTGCAGCACCATGGTACCAAGATGAGATTTCCACAGGTCAAAAGCACTATGTTCTCTTTAACATTTAGAAGCTCAACATGACCAAGAATCATTTCAGAGAAAATAATCATTTCACAGAAAACTAGAGTACACTTTTGTCATGAAATACACTGCAACACTGCAACTGTGTTTAGCAAAAGGGTAACAGGTAGCTGGAACCTTCCTTTAGACAGAAAACTTCAATGTGATGATGCACATGGGCCCAATCTTAAGTGCCTTTCATTAGCTGGGTATTTGCAAAAGCTCCAACAGCCTTTAAAGGAACTTCAAATCAAAACTGTTTGAAAAAAAGAAACAAAATCAGCGACTTACTGCGTATAAAAAATGATGATAGATTATCTAAAATGGAGCTTTGATAGAATACAAATCTCATCAACAGCCTGACCACCACCTAGGGAGCTTCCAATTTGGAGACGGGACAAGGACAATCTATTGTACTATAATGGACAAAGTGAAGAGAGTGGCAAATAAAACAATACAGTTGCTCTGAGAAACACAACTGGTTTTCTTGAGTAAAGCCAAAAGGCAGGGAATAAACACAACAACTCATAAAGTACTGCTGCTGTACTTGCTGCTGCTGTACTTGCTGCTGTATACTTGCTGCTGTATACTTGCTGCTGTATACTTGCTGCTATACTTGCTGCCGGCTGAAGAACAGTTACAGGAAAAAACCAAGCCTGATTTTTTTTTAACGTCTATAAATAAATTTAGGAATGTTTTCCTGCTTCTCTGTCATGGAGGAGAAAAAAACAAACGGATGGCATCGCTATCCACATGCCATCACGTAAGCAGCCTTCCACCGCCTTCTGTGAAGAGGTGCCTTAAGATGCATTAAGTATTGAGTGAGTACTAGCTGCCTTAGAGAAGTCCCCTCACTAACTCCCACAAGGCTCTGACGAGGCACGTATCTGCCCTTTCACAGGATGACATGCGGTTGCACAGTCACTGTGGAGACAGCCTCGGAAGCAGGTCTGACCACCCAGCGCCTGTGTGCTGCAGCCAAGAGGCAGAGAGAACCTCTCCACAACACTAGCATTCTTCTGCAGAAAACAAGCTGCATGTCATCAGACACAATTCCAGAGAGGATAAGAACAGATGATTTTGAAAGGATAAAAAGAAAGGCACACCTAACAATGCTACAAGGACAGAGAGGATTCTGAGTCACAATAGTTGACAGAACAAAAGCAGGTTGCTACAACTCCAACTGACGCATGAAGATTCTAGGCTCAGTGACTCATTTGGGAATCTCGGGTGAGACATTTAGATTCCCATTTACTGGGCCAATGCCTTCTGGTCTGTAAAATGGAAGACACGAGCAGCATTAAGGTATCTAGACACTTTCAAATCCTCTCAAGAAATAAAATGTTAAGTATAAAAAAGCACGTTTGAACACCCACCGGAGTGGCTAAAATAAAGAAGTCTGACAATACCAGGAGCTGACAAGGAGGCAGAGAAACTAAAAACCTTAAACACTGCTGGTGGAAATGTAAAATGGTACAGGTACTTTGGAAAACAGTCTAGCAACTTCTTAAAAAGTTAAACATATACCTGCCATATAGCCAAGCCATTCAATGCCTAGGTACCCACCCAAGAGAAATGAAAACATATGTCTACACAAAGACAGTTATACCAGTGTCCACAGATGGGTTATTCATAATAGCCAAAAACTGCAAAAAACATTCCAAACATCTCATAACCAGTAAGTGGATCAACAAAATGTAGTATATCCATACAATGCAAAACTACTTTAAAATAAAAAGGAACTAGTGATACATGCAACACCACTGGAGCTCAAACTTTACAATGAAAGAAGCAGATCCAAAAGACTGAGTAGTGTATGATTCAATTACATGAAATTTCTAGAAAAGGTAAACTATAAACCAGAAAGCAGACTAGTACTTGCCTGGGGCTAGGAGGAGGAATGGGGATTGACTACAAATGGATACAAGGAACTTTCTGGGTGATGGAAATGTTCTAAAACTGGACTGTCGTATCAGGTACACAACTATAAGCATTTCTTAAAACTCAACAAACTGTCTGTGGATGAATTTCCTGGCATGTAACGTATACATGACATATAACTCAAGAAAGTCATTAAGAGCGAGACTCAGAATCACCATCTTTGCTGTCTGTGGGGGCACTCAGCAATCTTTACCTTTGTCATCAGGAGTAAATGTTGAAGGTAGAGCCACACGCTGCATAACGACATTTCAGTCAACGATGGGTCACATACACAACGGTGGTCCCATAAGAATATAATACTGTATTTTTACTGTCCCTTTTCTATGTTTAGACAGGTTTAGATACATTAATAATTACCAATGTGTTACAATTGCTTGCAGTATTCAGTACAGTAACATGTTGTACAAATTTGAAGTGTAGGAGCAATAGGCTCTACCATCTAGGTTTGTCTAAGTATACTCTATGATGTTCTCACCATGATGAAATCACCACATGAAGCATTTCCCCATAATTAAGTGATGTGTGACTGTATAGCTTTGACACTGAAAACTAAAGCTTATGTATGTGTGATGGTTAGGGAGAAAAAAAAACAGAAACCCACTTGTATACGAATAGGATCCAGAGGTACATTCTGCTTTTCTCCTGGATTCTTTCTGCCATTCCTGTTTAATGTCTCATGCCCTTCATAGCTTTTTCTCCTCTTGGACACCAAATTAATGGTAGAAAATTGCCACATTTTATATATACATAAATTATATATATAATTATATATAATTATAAATTAATAGCATGAGCTATGTGACTTGTAGTTACAAGTGAGGCCACATAAAATGACTACTGTTACCTTATCTAAGAAAATGCCAGGGTCGGGAGTGGTGGCTCATGCCTGTAATCCTAGCACTTTGGGTGGCTGAAGCACAAGGATTGCTTGTGGCCAGTAGTTCAAGACCAGCAACATAGAGACCCTGTCTCTTTTAAAAAAAAAAAAAGCTGACATGGTGGTACACACCTGTAGTCTCAGCTACTCAGGAGGCTGAGGCAGGAGGATCACTTGAATCCAAAAGTTTGAGCTTACAGTGAGCCATAATCATGCCATTGGACTTAAGCCTGGGTGACAGAATGAGACCCCATCTCAATAAAAAAAGGTCATGCTATATCTGTGGTGCTGGAAACGTGTGGGATGCTATCTGAATGACAACCTAACATTCAAAAATCACAAAAGGGCCTGGCGCGGTGGCTCACACCTGTAATCCCAGCACTTTGGGAGGCCAAAGTGGGTAGATTACCTGAGGTCAGGAGTTCAGCACCAGCCTGGTCAACATGATGAAACCCCATTTCTACTAAAAAACAAAAATTAGCCAGGCGTGGTGGTGGGTGCCTGTAATCTCAGCTACTCAGGAGGCTGAGGCAGGGAGAATGGCTTGAACCCGGGAGGCTGACGTTGCAGTGGGCCAAGATCGCGCCACTGCACTCCAGCCTGGGCGATAGAGAATACGTTTCAAAAAAAAAAAAAAAAAAATCACAAGAGAAGGAAACTTTGAATAACTCTAGAACTTAAAGTTACCATCCCCAATTCTGAAACATTTTATTTTGCCTTAAAACCAAAGGTTTACCGTGGGGGGAAAAAAAAAAAAAGCTTAATGCAAGTAAAAGGAAAAAAGAGTGAGAGTAAAATAGACTGAACCAAGTTCAGAGGTAGCCTAAACTTGCTGTGGCACTTTGATTTCACATTTATGAGCCAAAGATAAAAGATCAATTTCCGGGGCCAGGCAAAGTGGTTCATACCTGTAATCCCAGCACTTTGGGAGGCCAAGGCAGGCGGATCACTTGAGGTCAGGAGTTCGAGACCACCCTGGCCAACATGGTGCAACCCTGTCTCTACTAAAAATAGAAGAAAAAAAATTTCATACTGAGTATGTGCTCATGAAGGCAATCTGGATTTTGAGAATACAAATTATGGTATCCTCGATTATACAAAATAACAAGAGTTGAATGAAACTGCACAGGTATTTGTATCCTGCTATCAGCCTGAAGGAGGGCTTATGGACAATGAAAATACCCAAAGTGATGACTTCCCTTATAGAGATCCAAACTGTTCCGATACCTCCTGCACTTCCCTGCACCTCTGATACAGGTGTGATTCAATTGTCTTCTATCCTATAATAGTTTTCTACATCTATCTATAAATTCTCCTATCCTATATAGTTTTCTACTTCTAACTATAAACTATTCTATTCATCTCAGTATTCTCTACTCCTGACTCAGGGTTTTGTACGTTGTGAACATCAAATAAAAATTGTAAATTGTTTGAATAAATATAGAATTTAATAAGAAATGTGTTATGCACAGAATAATCAACAGTATTACATTTCTGGCCTTGGGTTTCCAAATCGTCTTGATTCACAGGTGTCAGCAGGACTTCTATAATAGGTTCCAGCTTTACTTGCAAAACATAGATGAATTTTTAAAAGCATATATTCAAATAAAGACACTAACACTATTTACATATACATCAATCAAACCCCTATCTGTGCTTACAAACCAGGTAAAAGCACTAAAATGGACTCAGTTAATTCAATTATCCAATTTCCCACCATAATTTCCAGCCTACATGTGTAAAGTGTTGCTTTATCAAAACAAAGACCAGGCATGGAAACTCTAGCCCAGGGTAGCCTCGGGTAAAAATGCATCATATACTCATGTCTTTAGTTTGTGTTATGCTGCTGTGGATTTATTTATCACAGGATGCTTTGTAAGTGATCTTTGATATGCTGTGTGTTTGATCTCCCCATGGCCAGAAATGACATTTCTCATGTCTCTTTGGTATTTTCCAGCAGCCTCTTACGTGGGGGACTTATGTACAATAAATTCAAGAAAATGTACTGGTTGTTCAGGCTGACTTAGGTTTTCAGCAATCCTCATTATCTGAAAAATAGACTACTTTAATTTTTTCCAGTGTTTCTCTATGCACATATAAACTGAAATCATGTAAACCCAGAGTTCTGAGTGGGGAACTAACATGACAGGCAAGAGTGTGAGAAGATAAATGGAAATGGAGTTTTCTAGATGAGGTACTTCAGAAAGCGCCACTTCCTTCAATCCAGTAGTAGTCCTCCATGAGTAGATGCAGAGATCCTGCTTACCACATGGAATCAGGGAAAGGTTATTTACTGTCGGGACATAGAAGACTCACTGGGTAGCCACTATTTACTTTTCACAGACAGAACATCAACTCAAGTCCATACACTCATAAAATGAAGTACTCTTAAGTTTCTTTTCTCTTTTTTTTTTTTGAAACAGGGTCTTGCTCTGTCACCCAGGCTGGAAGGCAGTGGCACGATCTAGGCTTATAGCAACATTCGCCTCCCAGGCTCAAGGGACACTCCACCTCAGCCCTGGAGGAGCTGGGACCACAGACATGTACCACCACGTCCAGCTAATTTTTGTGTTCTTTTTTTTTTCTAGAGATGGGATCTCGCTATGTTGCCCAGGCTAGTCTTGAACTCCTAGACTCAAGCCATCCATCCACCCTGGCCTCCCAAAGTACTGGGATTACAGGCGTGAGCCACCATGACCAGACAATTTTTGTATTTGGTAGAGATAAGGTTTTGCCATGTTGCTCAGGCTGTCTAAATTTCAAAGTTCCTAATAACAAGAAACTTTAAAGGATAACAAGATAGTAAAATAATACATTTAAAGCACTTCATATATAATACCTTATTTGGCTTCATATCTACTGTGAGCAAGCAAAACAAAAAAGTTATTCTCATTTTACAGACAAGGAAAATAAAGCTCAAAAGCCAAGTGACAACCAGGAAAAGTAACCCACAATGAGACATATTAAACTAAAATTATTGGAATGTATAGAAAAAATCTGGGTGTCCAGGAAAAATGACCAGGTCACTCCCCAAGGGAAAGAAATGAGACCAGCATGAGACTTTATGTAGGATGACAATGGAGTAACAGACTTTAGATAATTAAATTAAAAAATATGAACCAAGGATTTCTTATTTAGCTGACATGACCTTCAGGTATAAACAGCACAAACTTAAAACATGCAAAAAACCAGGACTATAGCTGTTCTAAGCTCTTCCTGAGAATTCTACTAGAAAACAAGCTTCAGAATTGACTGAAAAGACATCAATCTAAAAGCAGATGATGAACATTAAATATAAACCACAGAATTAAAACTTAAGTGATTTTATAAAGGGTACAGCATAGTATGTAATGCCTATATGCTCTGACATTGTAGACACAGTCCAACCATCAAGAAGGGAATAATGAGGAGATTATATTGAAAATACAATCCTCCGGCCGACTGTCTTACAGGTATTTACAGGAAGTAAAAAAAAAAAAAAGGATAATATTTCAAGTTATATGATGGAAAATAAAGAGAGGAGGGGGAAGAAAAGGTAAATGACTGATTTATCACTCACAGCGGGAATCAATACACAAGAGCAGAAAAAAAAAGTATTACATCAAAGTAACCATTAAAACAAAAATAGATGCCTTCCTAAATGCCAAAAAAGGATAATACTTTTAAAAAATCATAAAACTAAGGGAAAAACTTGAAGTCAAACATATTGATTTTATTAATTATTATAAATGGGTTTAATTGGCCTACTGAGTAAAAGGATTTTCAGAGGAAAGCAAAGGTCACGTGACAAACTCAAGGGACACATGATTAGGTGGTACAGTTGGGACCAGTATAAGGTCTTTAGGAATCCAAGCTCTCTTTATAGAAAAGATAAGAGATAATCGCCCTGCCCCCCCCCCCAAAAAAAAAACAGGAAAACTCTACCAAATATACTTTGATGAAAACCTCTAACGTTAAAAAAAAAAAACAAAATAAATAAAAACCTGAATAGCGAAAAAAAAATTTTTAATGCAATAGCCAGGTATGAGTTTATAAAATAAATGCCATTTGTGGGATTCATTCATTTAATTCATTCAACAAATACTTATTGAGGCTGCATGTGGCCAGGCCTTTTTCTAAGTGTTGGAGATTAAAAGCTTGAGTTTAACTCTTCTGTGGGCACAGACCCTGAACATATATTTCCAGAAGGAAATATATGTTGGCTAGACTCGATACACGCTGCTGTCAGCCTCCTCCAATACAAGATGAATGGAAACAATGGCAGGCCTGAGCCCACACAGACATCAGTACGTGCTACAGAAAAAAATGCACCTTATTAGTGCCATATGAGACCCAGGCACAAAACAGCAGCTCCTTAAAATGTCGATGAGAATGACTGCCAAGTAAAGCATTCTGTCACAAGAATGAAACTAATACTGCCTATAAAAGTAACTAAAAAGCCACGAAATTTTTCTCTGCCTGCCTCCCTTTTCCAGCCGAACTCTAACATTTTATATAAAAATGGCTTTCATCTCTTATGGCATAGAAGAGTTGATGGCTGCTGGCATCAAACTTGCTAAAATCAATAGTAGTGTAATTATCAGCACACTTCCAAATGTTTTCAAATACATCCCGGCTGGGATTTTCCTAAATTAGATATGTGTGCTTTATGCTGGTGGTCTAGGATTGTCAATAACCTGCACTAAAGAGAATTTTCAAATATTGCCCAAAGCATTCTTTTTTATAGCAATTGTTTGACTTCTTTACACCTCACCCCTTTCAAAAAGTGTTTGATGCACTCTACAACATCCTAATGTCATATTGCTGGTTGTGATACTACTTTAATTGTACATTTACATGATCTGATACATGTAATGGATTTAGAACAGTGCTTGACACATGGGAAATGTTAGCTATTATGATATGAATAGTTCCATTCAAAGATTCTTTTTAAAATATGTGAATAAGTGTATGTGGGTAAGTGGATGATGATACTTTAACTTTCCTTATTATGCTAGTTAAAAACGGGAAGGAATTTTGTACACAGAAATCTTGGAACTTTTTTTTAAACTATAGATTTTTTTTGTTTTTGTTTTTGAGTTTGGGTCTTGCACTGTCACCCAGGCTGGTGTGTAGTGGCAGGATTACAGCTCACTATAACCTCTAACTCATTAACTCAAGCGATTCTACTGCCTCAACCTCCTGAGTGGCTGGGACTACAGCCATGTACCATCATACCTAATTTTTACTTCCTTTATGTTTTGTAGTGATGGGGTCTCTCTATGTTGCCCAAGCTGTCTCGAACTCCTGGTGTGAAGTGATCCTCCTGCCTCAGTCTCCCAAAGTGCTTGGATTACAGGCGTGAGTTACCATGCCCAGCAAAACGGCAGTCTTAAAAAAATACATCAGCTGTGCGCGGTGGCTCATGTCTGTAATCCCAGCACTTTGGGAGGCCGAGGTGGGCGGATCACGAGGTCAGGAGATAGAGACCATCCTGGCTAACACGGTGAAACCCCATCTCTACTAAAAACAAAAAAAATTAGCCGGGCATGGGGCGTGGTGGCACGTGCCTGTAGTCCCAGCTACTCGGGAGGCTGAGGCAGAAGAATCGCTGGAACCCGCGAGGTGGAGGTCACTGCACTCCAGCCTGGGGGACAGAGTGAGACTTCGTATCAAAAAAAAAAAAAAAAAAAAAAATCAATGGCTAGGGAAATTAGGAAAAATAAGTAAATCTATACAACAGATAAAAATTTAACAGTAAATTATACAGATCAGATTTCCTTCCTGAGGCTACCAAAAATACCTTTTATCAGCAATTATTCCTTGGTCCAGCTTAAAAAAATATATAGCAAACAAAGCTAAGACTTTGTGAAACCTCATCTAAAATGAGACCTGGGTACAGAAACTTTAATACATTATTTATTAGGGATTTACAAGGGAAAATCAGAGACCCACAAATAGGACCAAGAATCTCAAATGAGTTCCAAATATTTCAGCAATAAAGTAACGAATTGCGTATTAACAGCACTGTAATTACTCCTTTTGTTTGGTTTCTTTGTAATTACTTTTAATAAATTATTCTGCCTCCCCCCATCACTCAAGTAAGTTGCCATCCAAAGGCACAATCAGTACAACACAGGATACAAAGCCACTCACAGTTAGGGAGGAAGGGATGAAGGGAGGGAAAACGGGTAGGCTGGTGCTTCAAGAGCCGTGACTCACTAGAATCCATAAAGCTTTTCTATGGAAATCAAGTATCAATGAAGCTATTGTAAGAGATTACGGCTATATAAATGTAGACTAGTTATGAATTCTCACAGAGCAATGGCACTCTCAAAAAGAGGCAAGGGCACCAACGCCTGGGAAAGCACTCAACTGCAATGTTGCCTCAGTGGCATAAGAGTGGCTGCCTAAGCCTACTATTTGCTGAAAGCGGGGTAGTTCCTACAAAGTGAAGGGACCCTCAGCTCAGCACTCCATAGGTTCATTCTGTGCCATTTTGCTAAGCTTTGTGTGCTGATGGCTCTGGAGTCAAGCCTACCACAGTCACCATCTGTTGTTTTGGGTCCAAGAAAGAGCCAAATAATTTTTATTAGTCTTAATATTCATTTTCAGAGATCATAAACTGAACATAAAATATACCTTTGTAACAAAAGACAAACACAGCAGTACTTTGTTAAATAGTTTAAAATTTGTACCTACCTTTATCATTTTGAATAATATTAGTACTGTAATAAAAGTATTCTCTTACAATATATAAAATTTAAAAGGAACAATAAACGCTAAAAAATGCATAAACCAAATTGGATTTTATATACAATTTTTTAAATCTGAATTATTATTCAAACTAAGATTATCACTGATTTTGGTTCAGAGTCAAGTATGTACAAGGAACAAATGAAATAGAAGTAGAGTGAAAATACTCTAGAATTTAGGAATATATTATAACAAGGAAAATCTTTTTTTTTTTCACTTAAAAGACTTGGAAAACAGAATTTATCATTTGGGCTCAATGAAAATGCCCACTAGATACTATAAAGTCTATACTTTTCACAACCATCCTTCTAGATCTTTATGTTTCACTTTGAATACATGAAGGAAAATTTCAGGAAATTTTTAACAATTGGAACACTGAGTAGCTCAAGAGTATTGTTTTTTGGGTTCTGGCAGAAAAGAATTATGAAGGTAACATTGAAGTGCGCTGTTGTTGGAAACCATTTGCACCATGTTTGTTGTGACTAATCCTAACAGACAGCTGACAATCTCACCCCAGCCAAGACCACTCGCTTGGAAACGCTAATACACGTAATAGCCAACCTTAGCATGGCTGAATTTTCAATGATTTGAAAGTGAGCCAATGAATACTTCTGACATCATCATACACACTTACTGAAGACCTGAAATGAGCACTGTAAAACTAGTTCTCCGCTTACTATATATATAGACTAGGAAGGGTGCTTCCTTTGAATCTGAAAATTGAAATTTTCTTCCTCTAAAGGAATCATATACCAGTCATATATTTTCCATAAGTATATTATTTCATAAAAGACTATTCTACTATACATTCTAATCCTTAGAATATTGATAAAAGAGTTACTAAATCTTTATATTATATGTATATATTTATAAAAACATTCCTTAATCTGTGATGGCACACAATTTTATCTTTGAATCAGCTAACGAAGGTAAAAAAAAAGAAAAAAAAGTGCATTCCTCTTCCAAAACCAATAGCCATTTAGTGAAATCTATTAGTTTAAAAACACACATAAAATCCACTGTTGCAATCACAACCGTTCATCCTGTCCTTTGCACAGCTGGCTGATCCAATCATCCTAATTGTTCTTCGTTAGTTATTCATACTTTCCTTGTTTTTCTGTTGCAAAAATTATTCAAACTAAATGAAAGGAACTTGAAATAATAAAAAAGAGTATCAGAATAGAAGAAAAAAATACCTGAGGACCAGAAGTAGAAGAGGTGAGTTTTGTCATTTTAAACGAAAAACAAAATATAAAAGAATTCAGTCATACCAGGAGAACAAGGGCTAAAATATGAAACTAAAATAAAATGGAAATAAATGTCAGAGAAAATATGAAAAGACGCATGAGACAGAATGATGCATCTTCAGAGAGATAAGAAATGAAGCCTGTTAGGACAACACAGAAAGATGGCACAATTCTCTGGTGGGTGGGATGACTGGAAGCAGAAGGCGGGGAAAGGCCGGCAGAGCACTTTACATCACTTTATCTGCATGGTACATCTCAGTCCCCAATTTACTTTATTTCACTATTCGTTATTTTAACCCACAGCTGAGCACAGGGTGAGTTTGTTTTGCTTCCCCTTGTGAGTTCACTGAAAAACTCAACTAGTATTTCAGGTTACATCAGACTGTGCCTACTACTCAGCACCTTCGAGATTTTCTTTAAGGGGAAAACAAACATCCCTGGAAGATGCCGTTCTACCGTGTAGCTCCTTGCTCAGCGCCCGTGGTCAGAGTCCGTCCTCTCACTAGAGCACTGTTTTCCTTTCCCGGGCAGGTCAGAGGTTCTGCTTTCCACACGGCAGGAAAAAAGCTGCCCCCTCCTATCGGAGGAAAAAGGTTGTGACCCCCAGCAGAGTTAGTACAGATGACTTCACCGAATTTACTCATCTAGGCTGAATCCTGAGAGAAGCCTGCAGGTGTAGACAGACCCTTCGGGGCTGGAGGCAAGGGCAATGTGGAGGGGATGAACGGAGGCAAGGAAAACAAAGTAGACAATCAAAAGCAATGGCTACATTTCAAAGCGGCATCTACCAGAAATGACTAAGATTCATTTTATTTTACACTAATACAAAATGAATAAAATCAGAAAATACCATAGCTTTATTTTAACACAGAAGAAAAATATAGTGGATGCAGGAAAAAAGAGAAATTGAATAATCTGCTTCTACTTGTGACATGGCAAACGTTTTTAAAAATAACTTATTAGACTCAACAGCAAGTGAACTGCGTCGGCTCCTACTAATAACAGGTTCAAATCCTAGCAAAAGGTTAACACATAGACCTTGGAATGAATACACATGATCACAAAGCTCAATTTCTATTTCAGAATAGGGGGAAGGCCCTTGGAAATATCGCATGTTTTGCCTCAGCAAGCTCTGAATCTTCTCCTAGGTGTGGCAGAAGCAAAACAGTGAGCAAAAGGGCTTGGAAGTGCTGTGCAGAGCCAAGAGAAACATTGGAAACACTGACAGTTCATATTCTCTGATATGACTCTGAAATTTGCTATCTTCTAGCCCTTCCTCACCTCCACCCTCAAACCTCCTCAGCTTTAAGTTTCAATCCATGAAAGGAAGTTCTGAATGTTGGTTTCAACCTACTCCATTTTCATGTTCTCTTTAAAATTGCTGCCCACATTTTCCAAGAAAAAAAGTGAGAGGCAAATCTTCCCCCTAAGTTTTAACGCAAGAGCTTGTATCAAGAGGAAACGGTTGGGCAAAGAACTTCATTCTCCTGCAAGGTAAAATAATCAGTCCCCCCCCCACTTTCTCCCCACCCCGATTCTCAGGAGACCCAGTAGTCAGGTCATGGGTGTCACAAATACGGTTACTTCTAGGTTAGATTTTGGTAGTGACAACATCTAGTAATCCACAAAGATAATGGCTTCCCCTTCCTTTCTACAGCACATTGTGCATTTTGGTAATCTTATTTTTGGCTTAAAAATTAACAGCTGGCAGGGTGCAGTGGCTCACGCCTGTAATCCCAGCACTTTGGGACACCGAGGCGGGCAGATCACGAAGTCAGGAGATCGAGACCATCCTGGCTAACACAGTGAAACCCCGTCTCTACTAAAAATACAAAAATTAGCAGGGTGTGGTGCCATGTGCCTGTAGTTCCAGCTATTCGGGAGGCTGAGGCAGAAGAATAGCTTGAACCTGGGAGGCCGAGGCTTCAATGAGCCGAGATCACGCCACTGCACTCCAGCCTGGGTGACAGAGCAAGACTCCGTCTCAAAAAAAAAAAAAAAAAATTAACAGCAACGACACATTTTTTAAAAAATACCAAGCAAGCCATAATTCTTTTCCTTCTTTGGGTATTTTATGATCTCATTCATCACCTCACAAACATTTAAAAAAACACCTAAACCATTAAACACAACTTACCATACCATGCTGAGGTATGGTCAGAAAACTCAAGTCTGTTCCAAATCACAACTTTTTCTATTATTCTTCAACTGAAGTGACATATATGACCCTCTGTGGAAAAAGAAAAGGGGTGGGGTCCCCCTTTTCATGCACACTGAAAGTCCAGCTACAAACAACTATATTCGCAGGCTGGTTCCTTTTCCAGCTCTCTCAGAAGCTGCCCTCTGGTATCCTGACGTGCACTCTGCAGCTCTGGGATCACCTTTATTCTGATGTGCTTTGTGCACATTCTCGGACGCTGCAATGCCCATACTAAGGCAACATAGCACAGAAATTGGCAGCAATGCTATCAGCAAGAATTTGGCTTCAGAATCAAGAGTGATTCATCATACATTCTAGCAGCAGAAAAACACACCGCTATTTTAATCCCTTGCTGGTATCAAGAATCAAAAAACAGTGAAATGTAATTAAGCAAAAGCAACAAAAAAACCTATCTGCTGTAATATTTGTCAAAAAATTATTCACTTTTACGAGTTTTCCGCAAGTCACTTAGAAAACAACGGGCTACTTACCTTATTTCATGATATTACAATGACAAATCAAGTTTTAATACAAAATCAAAAGACAGGCAGTCCAAACTTCTGCAAAGTAACATACTGAAATTCTAAACTTGGGCAAACAAATTTCTCATCTGCTTTACAGTAAATAAAATTCCTCCTAGTGTTTTAAAAGTAATCCACTTCTTTCTTCTTCTCTCTCTATTTCTTAGATGACTCCAATTTAAAGTCTAGGTGAGAGAAAGTACAGCATGGAAACCTAATACTGTGGGCGATTTATTCGGAACACTTTTCATTTTTCAGAGGTACCTTAACACTGAGATAATAAACACTGCTGATCTAAAATAATAATGGAACCCACTTAAGTCCGATTGCTGTATTTAATGAGCATGAAACAAATTTCATGGGCTACTCTCTCCTAATGAGACTATATAAATGATCATTAGCCTTATCGACCAATATTTCTGTAGAATTTCCCCATATATTAAATCTATGGTTTATTATAACAAAAACTTTTTAAATTAAACACTACTCTATTGTCATGACCAGGTCCTCACGGGGCAGAAGCGGATTTACCAAGACCTGCACCGAGTACCGTCTCGGGAACCCCTACCTTTTCAAACACCTCTTCCTTCTCCCTGCGCTTCCGTTTTCGGGGTCTCCGGTTCACTCCAATCCATTTCGTGACCTGAGGTTCAAAAACCACAGCATTTCAAAGAAGGCGACAGGGTCCTGACGGCCATCCCCCAGCGCGAGAAAGCAGAGACCCCCGGCCTCGCGACCTGGTCTTCCCCGCACCTCGGGAGGCCACCCGCGCCCGCCCGCGGAACTCGCCGGGCGCCTCACCGCAGGGGCCGCGACCTTCGTCACGGCCGCTCCCCGCGCCCGAGCCGGAGCCTGGCGGGTAGTCCCCGCACCCGCGCGCCGCAGCGCAGAGCCAGGGCCTCTCGCCAGCCGCGGTCTCGCGCCGGCGCCACCGGGGCGCAGGGACCGCGCCGCCCGCACTCACCTCGGCGCGCACTTGCCGCGCAAGCCCGCACTCCGCCCCGGCGCGACGCTCCCTCTGCAGCGGCTGCGGGGGAAGAGGACACAGTCAAGTTTACCGCGGGAGCGGCCCCGGCCTCCCTGCCCCGCGCCCGCTAACTCGGCGTGCCCGCCCCGTACCTCGCCCGCGGCCGGGGAGGACGCAGCGGCGGCGCCGGAGCCCGCGCCCTGCGCCCGCCCGGGGTCCGCATCACCTCAGGCGCGGCGCGGGCGGCGGGCGCGGGGCCTGGGCGGCGGCGCGGGCGGGCGGGCGGGCACCGAGCGGGGGCGGGGCCTGCCTTAAAGGTATAGCGGCCGCGCCGCCTCCCGCAGGTCGCCCTCCCGCCCGCGCCGGCATTGTATTGTTCTCCCCACGAACGGCGTGCTCCCGCTCCCGGGCTCCGGCCGCCCCGCGCCCCCGCGCACCTTGCCCCCGCCACCCCTCCCCGGGCTCCGGCCGCCCCGCGCCCCCGCGCACCTTGCCCCCGCCACCCCTCCCCCGGCTCCGCGCCCTGCGAGCGGCTTCCCGGCAGCGAGAGGGGCCCGCGCCGCCCGCCGCAGGCTGGAGGGAGCGGTGGCGGGGAAGGAACCCCGCCCGTAGCCAGCGTAGCGCGCTCCTGGAGTCGGAAACCTGGTCCCGGTGGCTTTCGCGCAGGGAAAGTAACTTTCCTAGTGGAGTTTTCTCCGGGACCGGGTTCTACGCCCTCGAGTAGACGTTTCCCAGTGGCCCCTCGGGGCTCCGGGCAGCGGCAGGTGACCTCCCGGGGGGCGAGGCCAGGGCGCAGAGAAACCCAGCCCCGCGCTCCCGCGAGTGTGGACCCGCAGCCCTCAGACTGCCGTGGACCCCCAGAACCACTGGGTAGAATTTAAAAAGAAGGGGTCAATCTGTTTTCATAATTAGGGAGAAAGTTTACACTTACTTTATAAAAATGTGCGATACCCCAAGATTTTCCTCCACCCGCCAAAGGCCTTCTCATCCGCATCAGCAGTTGCTGGAACCCGCCTGCCGGTGAGGGCGGGCCGGGGCGGAGAGTCGGGTTGTCCTGTTGCTTGCTGGGTCTTGACCATCCCTTTAACTTTATCACATTTCTTTAAAGAAAATCTGTCTTGCCCTCTCTTTATTGCTACTCCATCCTTCTTTCAAGATCAAAAGGTTTAGATCAAAGCCAAGATCAAACTCACTACTTTAAATAGCAGCAACTTTGCCATGGAGTATTTTACACAGAGGAGCTTAATGGAGACATCAGGAATTTATCCCTTCATTCCATATTCATAACTGGACTACTTAAAATTACACGGATGATGTATGTCTATTTCCTAAAACAAACAACAAGTCTGCTCAAATGAGGGATTCTTACTGTTTCCAGGAATACAAAAAAGTTGAAATCTAGAGAGCAATATAAATAGACGTGTTAACCATTTTGCGTCATTATTATAATAGCTAAGTGCTACGAAATGTGTGCTCATTTGCTAGAGATTTTTCAATGTGTTATTATATCTTTTAGTATAGACTGTACAGCCATCATATACAATTTTTTACTGTAAAGGAAATATATATAAATAGTTAATGGTTTGGAAATCTTGCACATAGGCAGGTAAATAATTATAAATGGTGAAGTGGATTATTCTGAGCTGCTTAATTTTAAAGGGAAAGAGAACTTTAAACTCTTCAACCTTTTATGCTGCTAATAAGAGTTCCACAATCAATAGAAATCTATCTTGGCAGGCACTTCCTTTTACCCACTAGAATTTTTTTCCTTGGGAGTTCACGATCCCCAGAAACTGTGATATGAGCCATTCAATATTGATGTACTAAAACAGTGCTCTGCTTAAATACAGTTTTTCAACATACAGTCTTGGAAGAAACAAAATCCAAAATAAATTCCAATAGTCCAGTAACAGGAATAAAGACAACTATTGCAAATTAAATCTTACAGACTTATATGAAAGCTGTTGTTAACAGCTGGGTACTAGTTATTTGAAAAGTTTTTTCCCTTTGCAGTTTTTAACTGGTTGCAGTCACACACGCGCGCGCGCGCGCACACACACACACACACACACACATTCTTAATTCTATAAATCCCATTGAACCACTGGAAAGATCTTAGAAACTGAGACCTGGAAACCCTGTCTTGCTCTGCTACTGACACAGTCTCCTTTCTTCCTAGCACCCAGATCATGGATAACCTAACGGTTTCCGGCATGAGCTGAACAAAGGAAACAGCCTACTGTCACTCTGCTCTTCTAGGATTTTGCTAAGTAGGAAGCAAAAGCTGTGACCCATCCTAATTGCCTCTTGTCTCGTTTGTCCTTTGTCCCCCAACTCTCCTCCCAATTGCCATCCCAGAATCCATCCTCCACAGAGAAGCCAGAATGGTACGTCCAAAGGTAATTCAAATGATACCACTTTGCTTCACTGAGAATGCTTTTCCATCTCTTCTTTGCGTGGTAGCCCACTTATCCTCTAGTTCTGGGTTTAAGCAGCGCTTTTGCAGAAAGGTCTTTCCTTACTCCCCAGTCCAAATTATGTCACTCCACTATACTTTCTAATAACATTCTGTTTATTTCCTTTAGAGTGATTCTTAGAGCAGTTTTAAGTTTATAGAAAAACTGAGCAGAAAGCAGAGTTCCCATATTTGTACCCACTCACCAGCTTCCCCATATTTAACATATTGCATTAGTATATTTATTATAACTGAGGAACCAATATTGATACATTATTATTCACTAAAGTCAAATTTACATTAGGGCTCACTCTGTGATGTTCAGTTATTATAGCTCTTTTAAAAATGTACTGAACGTCTCTCTCCCCAGCTGGATTTTATGCCCCAAGAAGAAAGAGATCCCGTATCTTTTGTTCTTGATTTTTGTTCAGTCCACCAGAAACATTGCCTGGCATATACTAGAAATTCAATAAATATGTTATATAGTGAATGGAAGGATAAAGGAACAAATGAAGGACACCTAAAATTTCAAGGGGGAGAAGTCTTAAAATGAATATCTTTCTAATTACCTCCTGTTTGTTTCACCACTAAAATGCTTAATTTGTAAAGAGGCTAGAATTTTACATTTTTACAAAAGGGAGACCATGGGATATTAGTTATATTGCCAGGGTAACTTTATAAACAGGCTGTGCACGGTGGCTCACACCTGTAATCCCCGCACTTTGGGAGGCCGGGGTGGGAGGATCTCTTGAGCCTAAGAGTTCAACACCATCCTGGGCAACATAGCAAGACCCCTGTCTCTACAAAAAAAAAAAAAATCAGCCAGGCATGGTGGTGTTAGCCTGCGGTACCAGCTATCTGGGAGGGTGAGGTGGGAGGATCACTTGAGCCCGGGAGGCAGAGGCTACGGTGAGCCATGATGGCACCACTGCACTCCAGCCTGGGCAACAGAGTGAGATCCTGCCTCAAAAAAATATTAATAAGTAAATAACGATAAATTTTAAAAAATTGAAATGAGAAAGGTTCCTAATTCTGTCACATATGAATCACTAAAATTATATTCCAGCATGGTGCTACAAGCTGAATTTAATCTAGAATGAAAGATTTACATATTGCATGACACGGAAAAAATACTTTTCTATTGTGTTCAATCCAGCCTGAACACATTTCTCCTGTTGTCTACCTGAATCTCCCCTTCTTCACAGGCTGATGCCAATGAAGGTAGGGTGTAGAGAAACTGGAAGACCGCTTTTTTAAAAACTGGAATTCTATAGTGGGGGACAGGTATTCTAATTACTGTCTTTGAGAATGTAGTAAAAGCACTTTAAAGCTGTCTCTTAAAACAGATGTTTTCTATCTGAATTGTATCTTTAAAAATGCCTCATCCAGTAGATACGCATGTTTTGAAAGGAAGTTGTTCTAAGAAACTTTTTTTGTCAAAGCAGTTCATAATAGCTGAAGACAACGTCCGAGGCTGAGGAAAATACCATTGCTTTAAAATTATTTAACCTCGTGATTGATTGGAGATTACTTTTGGAGGGAAAGCCTTTTTCAGTTTTCTTCCTTTTCTTAGACAAAGAAGAAATTCCTCCTATCACTGGAAAAATACAGTGAGACCAACTTCACATTGTTACGGGTGTGTTTTCTCTTCCTGCTTCTACTTCATGGAGGGGGCACAGGACAGAGGAAGGAAGAGGAGCCAGCCTTCCTAGGCACCAGGAAGGCCACAGGGCAAGCAAGGGGCTCTTCAATGTTCCCAAACAGCCACAGATGGCAAATTACATTCCCTCAGGCACAGCGGAGGGAAAACTATCCACTAAAAGAAACCGAAAGATCTTTCAATACCAAACAAGGTCGAGAGTTCCAGAAGCTTCCACTGGTTTCAGAAGCGTTCTATTGCCAACATACGTTCAGGGTGAATTTAAAAGTAGGAATCTACACACGTCTAGAAATAAAATCAAGGTTGGATTAAGTTTCAAAAATAACAGAGGGATTAGGAGCAAAATTATCAAATATTTATATCTTTAAATTTGGTTTATTTATTTATTTATTTTGAGACAATGTCTTGCTCTTGTCACCTAGGCTGGAGTGCAATGGTGCAATCTTGGCTCACTGCAACCTCTGCCTCCCAGGCTCAAGCGATTCTCCTGCCTCAGCCTCCCCAGTAGCTGGGATTACAGGCGCCTGCCACCACGTCCAGCTAATTTTTATACTTTTAGTAGAGACAGGGTTTCACCATGTTGGCCAGGCTGGTCTCAAACTTCTGATCTCAGGTGATCCACCCACCTTGGCCTCCCAAAGTGCTGAGATTACAGACGTGAGCCACCGTGACCGGCCATCTATTATTTTTAAATGTAACATCCTTTATGTAATATTTTTGGATGATTTTAGAAAAATTATAAATTAATCCAAAAAATATAAAAGATGCTACATAAAGGATGTTTAGAGGGTTGTTTATTACATTAGATAGTAATTTTCTATGAGGAGCCACAGGACAGTCTTCTCCCTGGCGTCAGCATCAGGAATAGTTGGACTTGATCAGCTGGTTTGTTTTTACCTGTTATTTGTATTATTTTTATTTGCCCATTTTGTCTCTCTCTTAAATAAACACCTAGTTGTTGTTGTCATTGTTTTTTTTTAGGAGGATTTTGGCCCTGCCAAACGGACCTCTTAGTGGAAGTCCTTACAAAGCATAATTTTCAAAAAAGGAAGTCAGTTTCATGCTTGGCGTAGTGGATTGCTGAGGCTATGGTTCTGCAGTGAACCAGCTAACAGACCTTCTTTCTCTCAGTAACCATAACCTGAGCTCACTGCTGCTAAAAACGTTTACAGAGATCAACTGAGGGAACATGTACAATGCTTAGTTCTTCCATTTCTTGACCCCCTCTGAGATTCTAATGAAGGCTAATGGTGCTATCAGCTCCTTAGAAAAAAATACACCTACAGCACACACACATGCATGCACACACACACACACACCCCAATTGTCAGGATGTTCACAGATTCTTCTGTACCTAAACTTGTAGTCTGGATACTCTAAAATCCCTTCTTGGAATAAGCCAGACCACTTTTAAAGCTGGCCCTGGACTTGGTCTTATGGGCACTCTGTGAAAGTCCTGTTATCGCATTAAGTTCTGGTAAGAAGCCATCAACATTTATTGAGGTGCATTATAAGAAACAGCCCCATAAAATCCATCACAATGTTTACCGGAAGGATGGATTTAGAGGGTTGTTTATTCCATTAGATAGTAATTTTCTGTGAGGAGCCATAGGACAATCTTCTTCCTGGTATCAGCATCAGGAATAGTCGGACTTAGGCAGCTTTTTTGTTTTTACTTCTTGAATATTGCAATTTATCCCTTTTCCCTCTTCTAGAAAGCTTGGAGTTCTGTGACCCTGTTTAACCAGGCATAGGAACTTCAGGGTGTGCATATTATGTGCTAATTTAATTCCTGGCCCCATCCTTTTTTTTCTACCATTATTTTCATGTTGCTTCATTTTTCTTGTTTTATTTCTATCATGTTATATTTATCTGTTTTGGAAGCTGCCTTCACTCCATTTTGGACAGGGAAGAGGATAACTCAATAAAGTATTCTGGGTTTTTTGGGGTTTTTTGTTTTTTTTTAATTTCCTTTTTCTCTTTGGATGGGAGAAGGGAGGATCTGGGAAAATCTTATGGTTCTAAGATTTATCTCCATTAACAACGTTTAGAAGTAAAGTACAGGAGTTAAGGATGTATGACTGTTCTTAACTTATAACTCTACTTATAAAATTCTATGAAAAGAACTGTCAAAATATATAATACTACGCAGATATAATACTATACAGACATCATCAAATAAACATAATACTATACAGGACTATTACAAAAAGGCTAACCAACCAAATATTTTACTTCTTGGTATCAAAACCAGAAGAAAGGGGCTTAGATTATGGAGAGAATAATGTAAGTTGAACATATGGACAGGTTATTCACATAAAAGACATATTAAATGCCTACTGTGAAACAGAGCACTAGATTTCGTGAATGCAAAGATGAGTAAGACGTTGTCCCTGTCCTCAGGAAACTCCTGTGACAACGCAGTAATACAGCAAGGTATAAGGAGCACACAGCCGGCTTGCCTAGTAGCTGTGTGGCCCCTCTAAGCCTCCTTCCTCATAAAGTTCTGATCAAATGACATGTAATTTGCTTAGAACAAGAAGCAGTTGTTATTTATCAACTTCTAAATGACTAGAATTAAGAAGCAATACAACATTACCAGAAGCTGGAGGGAAGTGACTTTAAGACAAAAAAAGTATTGAAGCACCCCTACCAGAGAGCACAGGACCTTAGACTGCTAGAGAGAAGAAGAGTGGCAATTACCTACAGAACTGAAGGCTTTACAAAGTGCTTCCATATACAGACTGTTCTGCTCGTTCCTCACACAGTCCCATCTGAAAGATGGAAAAACTGAGTCTCAGGGGATTTCATATCGCTTGGCCCCTAGGTCTCCTGGTTGGAAATGGAATACTCTTTCTACTCCAGCGTGAGTACTTACGGAACATCTAGTGTGACTGTCTCACTTTAACATATTTGTTCATTATATGGATTAGATCAACCCCAGATGACAACATAGGCTGGAAAATATAATTCCATACCATAAAAGTCTACTGAAAAATACATTCTAAAAAGCAGACATTATTATATTCCCTTCAATGCCTGTTACAACTGCAGTTATTTACAGGGCTTGATATTCATGGACATTATAACCTTAAAGAGTTTTCAGCTGTGTGTGGTGGCTCATGCCTGTAATGCTAGCACTTCGGGAGGCTGAGGTGGGAGGATCACTTGAGGCCAGGAGTTCAAGACCAGCCTGGGCAACATAGTGAGATCCCATCTCTACAAAAAATGAAAATAAAAAATTAGCTGGGCACGGTGGCGTATGCCTCTAGTCCCAGGTACTCAGGAGGCTGAGGCAGAAGTATCGCTTGAGCCCTGGAGTTTGAGGCTCCAGTGAGCCACTGTTGTGCCACCGCACTCCAGCCTGGGTAATAGAGCAAGACTCTGTCTCAAAAAAAACAAAATTTCACAGGTGAAATATAAAATGATGTAAGGGTGCCTTTAGATCAGTGGTTTCTACTCTCGAGTGCTTATTAGAGTCACCAGAAGGTGTTTTACAAATCTCAATGCCCAGGTGACCACTTAGGTTCACATCTCTGAGAGTGGGACCCAGACATCAGTCATTTCTGAAGCACCTCCACCCCTCAGGATTCCAATGTGCAGGTAGCATTGAGAACCACTGCCTTAGATAATTTTAATGATGCCCCATCTCAAATAGGTTACTATGGAAAAAATTCCAGATGCTTGGGAGACATCTAAATTTCAAAGTCAATGCCACAGATGATAGCCACTCACTATGCTTTACTACAGTAAGTCCAATTTGGCAGATGGCAGACACAATGTTGGGCAGGATGGGCTGGTGGTCCAAACCAGGAGTCACTTCCTGCAGCTTACACCAAGGGATAAAATTTTGGGCAAGATGAGTTAAGCACACACACAAAAAGAACTAAAAAGAAGTGGAAGATTTCAACATTCTACCCAGAAGGGAGGCAACAATGGGCAGATATCTGACTTTTTTTCTCTAAAGCTAATACAGTTCTGGGTCCTTAGCGAAAAGTGCATACATCCTTATCTTTAGGAACCCAATCTTAGTGCTGACCTGCAATACTGTAAACATGAAGGTGGTATTTCCAACTCATCATCTGTAGATGATGTTCTAATTATGCTGAGGGCTGCCATCCATTCCCTTGAAATGAACATCTGCATTTGGAAGATTGCTGGCTAGAATTAGGGGACAGTGTGCACCAATGGAAAAGACCCTTTGCTGTGTGCAAAAGGTATTGTTCCATTCAGGAAGCAACCCATGCTGACTTCCTCCAGTCTTGAGCACTGTGCTCTAACCACATGGGCTCTATTGTTTAGAAAACACACACACATATATTGCTGCTATAGGAAAATTATTCTGACAAAATGCCTTACAAAAAGGGATTAGTTACTACTGAAAAACACAAAAATATCAGATGTTGATATTTCACCAGCTTGAAAAGCAAACAACCATGTCTAGGTACTTTCCCGTTATTTCCTAAGATAGAGCAGGTGTGGTATCTGGAAGTGTGGGCACATGGACATGTGGATGCTCCACAGTGCCTCTGAAGGAGGGGACGTGATGGGAGTCTGTGGCCCTGGCAGGTCGAGTTTTAAAAAGCTTGGCACTCAGACTGTGTGGCTTGTTATATATCCTCCAAAAGAAAACCAATGAAGTCACAACTTGCAACAAGAGGAATGGGCCTGATTCATCCATCCCTTGATGAAGAAGTAAAATCTCTCTCTCACACACACACACACACACACACACACACACACACACACACAGAGGCAAGTAAAATCCACCACATGTGGGGGGTGGAGTGGCTGTTCCAAATATAAATAAGATATGAGAGAAAGCTATTTTCCAGAATGTTTGTTCACCAAACATTCAGTGCCATACAAGGAGGTGTTCCAGGAAAACAATGGGAAGGGCCAGAATTAATTGGCTGCTAATCTCTTCACTTTTTGTAGGATGTTTTCTCCAGCGGTGGATGAAATCAGTGTTTAATGCTACACAGGCCGAGCTGTGTCCATATAAGGAAAGCCCAGGCTCACGTCTCTCCGTGAAAAAGGACCTGTCCTCCCCTCCCTGTGTTCTGCTTCCACCCCCTGCATGTGGAGGTGGAGAGTGGGAGCCGGGGAATGTGAACTTGATCCAGCACTGATCAGCCAAGCAGCAAACTCTCATTGTTCTTTAGATACCAAACATAACTTCTTTCTACTAGGGATAAACCCAGCCATTCTGTACATAACACAGCTTTTGTGCTCACCAGTATGATAGTTGGAAAAGAACCACAAAGAACATTAGAGCTTTATTAGACACCTCCTAATATGCAGGATTTAAGAACCTACCACCCAGTTAATTTATATTCAGATTTATATTAGGTATGTTAGAATCTTATTAAATCTATCTTCTAGGAGTTTCTGAATGCTTTTATAATTATGGGTTTCAATTTATTATGTAAATATTATGGCCTGTTTTGCCTTCTATGGGAGCATTTCTTACCATCACTGCCTTGATCTCTGAGTTTCAAGGATACTGGAAATCATGATAAGGGACAACCAAATATGCTGTTGCTGTTTTTACATGTCACCCTGTAAATGTGACTTAACTGTTTCAGTACAAAGCCATGGTGTCATAGGAAATCCACAGCTGGGAATTTAGACTAGGCACTCTCTGTCATTGCCACCAAGAAGCTCTGTGGCCTTGGACGTGCATGTCACACAACCTCTCTGAGCTATGAAACAGAGATAATGCTGTGGTGAGGATAAAATGAGATGGTGCACATGGTAAAAGGCACAAAATAGACCAGTAAATGCAAATCCCTTCCTCTTTCCCCTCAGAAACAAAAGTCTATCTGGTATTTTGAACCTAAGTAAATTTTCAAAGGTATCAAAATAACTGAGTTGTGACGTCATAATAAAAAGCCTGGCCTGACAAGCACACAGGCTCAATGCCCTTGTACGGAGCCTGCAAAGACACAACACATCTGAGCTACTACAAACAAGTGTGTATCCCTTCCAATGACAACCAATGGACATGAGAAACCAAGTTCTGTTTCTCATGTGTCTTATTATAAAGGAGATAATTCCATTTCTGGTCCTGTCTCATTCAAAACAGTAAGCTGACTGTTATTACAAGAATATCACAAAGTGAAATTTGATACTTCTTTTTTTCTGTTTTTGAGATGGAGTTTCACTCTGTTGCCCGGGATAGAGTGCAGTGGCATGATCTCAGGTCATTGCAACCTCCACCTCCTGCGTTCAAACAATTCTCTTGCCTCAGCCTCCCGAGTAGCTGGGATTACAGGTGTACACCACCACACCCGGCTAATTTTGTATTTTTAGTAGAGACGAGGTTTCACCATGTTGGTCAGGCTGTTCTCGAACTCCTGACCTCAGGTGATCCACCCACCTCGGCCTCCCAAAGTGCTGGGATTACAGGCATGAGCCACCATGCCCAGCCTGAAATCTGATATTTCTACATTGCTCTCTGAAGATACCACCATGGTCAGGTGCTAGATGCAAAAATAGCTATAATCCTAACCAGAGCTACATGCATTTAAAACCAGTATAATAATTAAGGATGAAGGCTTTTAAGTCAGACAGATTTGGTTTTCAGTTTCTTCATCTGTAAAATGGGTATAATAACAATGTCTGTCTTACGGAGTTGTGACTAGGAGAAATAAATAGCTATTATGTATAATGCACTTAGTATATAGCCTTTTCTGCTCATTCTGGATGTTCTAAATGTAAAATAGGATACTCTAGTCAACTGGAGGCAGGGAGGTGAGGGGAAGGAGGGAAGGGAAGGATTAAGTTAAAAACTACAATTCTATAGAGAGTTAGACAATCTACATATTCTTAGATTTACCCATTTGCAGCTTAATTGACTAGAGGCATTTATGCAAAACCCAGGCAGATGTCTCTCAATTATAAAACCAATGACAGTGACTAGGAAATACAATTTGAGGAGGAATAACCAGAGAGAATTGTAGAGCAACTGCCTTTGCAATAAACAGAATCCAGAAGCATCTTAAGGAGAAGTGTGTCTCTACCTGGCTGCATGGAATGTGAAAAGTGGCAGCATGCGTGGCTCGGGAGAAGAAGGGAGACACCAGAGAAAAACAAGAGGAAGCGCTTGGACAAAAGGCAAGAGACGCTGCCTGACGTGGGAGGCAGCTTCTGCGTCCCAGGGAAACAGACCCCAGGAATGGAGGGGTTATCTCCAGCCGAATCCCATTATTGCTTGTTGCCCTGGAGTCTGAGTCCCAAATTCTGATGTATTGACTTTGGCCTCCCTTCCATGCATGTTCATGCCAATAAAGTTGGTGAAATTAAAGAAGAACTGAATTGTGAAGTCTTCTGGCATAAATAATGTCATATTGCAAAGTCAAGGCTAATAACAACCAGGATGCTGGTAACACTCTTACGGAAAACCATCTGATCTACGTCTCTCAGTGCGGTTTGAAACTCCCCTCGGCCTACAAAGGAAAATATTTTTAGCATGTAGCACACTTTGTAACAGACATATAAATGCACCAAAAATATAATTTTAGGAAAGCATCTGGGTTTGATCATTTCAACCCCAAATAGGTTCTACTTTCTCAATATAAGAAATACTGCAACGTTTTGCTATAAAATATGCAGCGATCACTGTAGCAATTTCTCACACACATTTCATTACTGGTTCTGTTTGTTTTTTTAAAAGCAGCAAATACTTGAATGATTGAGATAAAAAGCAGCATAAAACACGAAGTGCTCTTTCTAGAGCATTGGGCAACAATGGCTTCCCCTCCTCCAAAAGGCAAACTGGACTCACTGGACTTTTCCCCCAAGGTTATTTAGGCAACGGGCATAAATATTTTATCTCTATGTCTCAAAATGTATCTTAGAAATAATAATTGTCCCTGTCTAAGGTAAAACTGACCTGCAGTTACTACTGACCCGTAGGAATTTTAAGACTAAAAAGGCCAGCAAAAATTTTTTCATCTCCTGATCAAACAGGTTAATCTCTATGAATAATTGATTTCAACTAGAAGCAAATGCCTATTCTTCAGTGGTCAGGCAGCATAAATGCTTTTGTAGATTGATTATTACTCAGTTCTCTCAATCATCTCTCAAATAGCAATTTTCCACTGGAAAAGAAAAGAAATGAAGAAACAGGGTTCCCAGATAGTGTAACTTTGTAAAACACCATACAGGACAAAGTATATTTAAAAAACTCTCCCAATACCAGTCCAAGCTAAGGGCAACTTTTAAGTCTGAGGGCAATTCTACAGGTTCCAAGGACAGAAGGAAAGACACATGAAAGTAAATCCCAACTTTTCTCCTCTCAGATGCGACCAGGTACACCTGCATTGCAGGCCTCAGCACGGCACCGGACGCAGCCCAGAGTGCCTTCACCCAGGCCAGCTCCCCTTACCCCCAAAGAGGCAGTGAGCCTCAGAGAGGGCAAGTGGCTCGCCCACTGCTACACGGCTTCGAGGTGGTAGAGCTGACTCCAAAGCTGGTATTTAATGGATTCACTGACGTCTTCATCCACTATAGGACTAGCCTTGCTGAACAAAACTTCATAATAAAGAACTCTGTGAAAAAAACATGGATTTGGACATAACAAACCGACTTTCCTCCTCTACCCAGCCTCCAATCTTGCTGATTAACTTTAAAGTAACGCTGTCTTGCATGTTATGCACCAAACTGTTTGGAGCCCACTTACAGTGTGACGGTGGTGGCTGTAACTCGACAGGATCAGAAGCAGAAAATACTGGGGTCGTAAAGGCCCAAGCTGGAGGACTGACCTGGAAGAACAGGGTCTTTTGCTGAATGATTGCAACAGACTCCTTACCAAGCACCAGTGAAAAGTAGACAGCTGCCATCCAGAGATGTGTGACAAGAACGCTGGCCTTTTTAAACACACACTGGGATCTGTGCAGTTCAACAATCATTGACAGTTACCCTGACCTGTGAGACACTTGTTGGCTGGCCACCACCTTTGTGCTCTCTGACAGTCTTCTGCTCTGGGTCAGCTTCAGGGCAAAAGACAGGGACTCTGGTTGGAAGTGTGCTTGTGAAAGCAAATAAGAGGATATGAAAAATGTACATCAAGATACACTTTTTGTTTAACCATTTACTTTTTCCCATTCGTTTGTTTGTTTGGGTGGCCTGGTATTATGTAATTTAGTTTCCATCTCAAGTGAGGAATGGCTGTATCTTTCCAAATGCAAAGACCTAAACTAATCTCTATATACAATCACATTCACTCACACCAAAAAATATACCAGCTTTTTGATGCAATGGAGCCCAGTATTTCCTATGCAAAATATTCCATCTAGATACATAGGGCTACCGTTTAGAAATATCTAGTGGAAGAGGGGCATGTATATCCATGACACATATTTGTGAAAAGCTCTGGAAAGTGAGGTCCATATCCTGCATCTGTGAAAGAATAGGAACAAACAGCTTCAAGAAAAAGAGGAGTCATTAATGAAAAATCATCACTTCTCAGGGCCCTCTGCCATACTCCTTTATTATCTACTCATAGGTCTTCGTAGAAACTAAGGCAAAGATGGGACCCAAATTACAAAATGCTTTAGTCTGATGGGCTGAAGACTTAGAATCCTGTACTCAAGCCATAGCTCTGCCACTAACTAGTGCTGCGAGCTTGGGCAGATACTACACTTCTCCTGGGGCTCCGCTCCCCCAGTAAGAAGAAGACGCACTGCACTCTAAGACTCATCTGTAGCCTGTGATTCTACAGCAAGCTCAAAGTTGCACAATACCAGAAAAAACTAATATTTAACCATGAAGCAGCAGAGGCCACACAGGAGAAATACCATGCAGGTATTAAATGTATACCTATTTGGTACCACATAATGGCTTCCACAAAAGAGAAGGAAAAAAAGCCCTGACTGTAAAAGTAGCCAGGTGCTCCTGATGGCTTTCCCGGTCAGCAGGGTGCTCTGGCTGCAAGAGCTGGGACAAGCCACTGTGAGCATTGTGCAGGGCCACAGTGGGGGCAGCAGCCTAAAAAGCCCTGGGTGTTGATCTTCTATCAGCATGTGCCATGATGCTGTGCGATGTCAAACAGCCAAGGGGTCATGCTTGTGTATGCAGCCATGTGCACAACTCACTCAACTACTGCTTTGCCGGGCTTTACCTTCCAGGTGTGGGAAGAGTGCAATGTCAATATAAAATAATCTGCTTTTGGCCAGGCGCGGTGGCTCATGCCTATAATCCCAGCACTTTGGGGGGCTGAGGCAGGAGGATCACCTGAGGTCAGGAGTTCGAGACCAGCCTGGCCAACATGGTGAAACCCTGTCTCTACTAAAAATACAAAAAATTAGCCAGGCATGGTGGCACAGACCTGTAGTCCAGCTACTTGGGAGGCTGAGGCAGGAGAATGGCTTGAACCTAGGAGGAGGAGGAGGTTGCAGTGAGCCGAGATCACGCCAGTGCACTCCAGCCTGGGCGACAGTGAAACTCCACCTCAGAAATTAATTAATTAATTAATTAATTAATTAAATTAAATAATCTGCTTTTGACGAAGAGTCTACCAGAGTATGTCTTTAGCCTAATAAAAGAGAAAATGGGGGCAGTTTTTCTTAAAAAGCAGAATCAGTTGTTTTTCTATTGATACAAGGTTTACACTCTAGAGCTGCTATCTTTGTCCTAGTTCTTTGAGTTTGCATTGCTCTTTCTTTCTAAAAAGGTTTCTCTACAAAATAAGGCAGCACTGCAGTGAAATCCTATTACAGGTCCGCTCATTATTAGGGATGCAGTAGTCCTTCCTTCAGTGACTCTTTCTGTGGGCCAATACTTGAAAGCCTGAAAGACAGGTACTGCCCATGTGTCCAAATATGGCTCACCAGACTACACCTTGAGGACAGTCATGCTGGCTCCTTTGCACAATGGGCCAGCTGACTTGTGATTGAGTGGGGCTTAAGGGCAGTCTCCTCCCTCCAAGCGTATTTGTTTTCTTACAGATTTAGCCTCCCAGCGGAACATGGCAAACACAAGACATCAACCTCTACAGTTCTTCGCAGGTCTCAAACTCTGGGGTGGAGACCTGTTGGGCAAAGGTTGGTTTGCAGATGCTTCCACAAACCATGAGCTCATGGGCAGGGTCTGTGCCCTTTCGGCTTTATATGCAAACCACCCAGCGCAATGTTTGGCAAACTGCTTGAACTAATAAACTAAACCACAAAGCCAAATGTTTGGGTTACTTGGCCGGGCGCAGTGGCTCATGCCTGTAATCCCAGCACTTTGGGAGGCCGAGGCGGGCGGATCACAAGGTCAGGAGTTTGAGACCAGCCTGGCCAATATGGTGAAACCCTGTCGCTATAAAAATACAAAAATTAGCCGAGTATGGTGGCTAGTGTCTGTAATCCCAGCTACTCAGGAGGCTGAGGCAGGAGAATCTCTTGATTCGTGGAGGTGGAGGTTGCAGTGAGCTGAGATCACGCCACTGCACTCCAGCCTGGGCAAGAGAGCAAGACTCTGTCTCAAAAAAAAAAAAAAAAAAAAGTTTGGGTTACTCAGGAAGGGTATAAAAATGAAGGATTCTAAGGGTTTAGGTTGTACTTAGAAAAGAAGCTTCTTGGCCAGGCACAGTGGCTCATGCCTGTAATCCCAGCACCTTGGGAGGCCAAGGAAGGCAAATCACGAGGTTAGGAGATCGAGACCATCCTGGCCAACATGGTGAAAGCCCGTCTCTACTAAAAATACAAAAATTAGCTGGGCGCGGTGGCCCACACCTGTAATCCTAGCACTTTGGGAGGCCAAGGTGGGCGGATCTCGAGGTCAGGAGATCAAGACCATCCTCGCTAACACAGTGAAACCCCGTCTCTACTAAAAATACAAAATAATTAGCCAGATGAGGTGGCGGGCACCTGTAGTCTCAGCTACTCGGGAGGCTGAGGTGGGAGAATGGCATGAACCCGGGAGGCAGAGCTTGCAGTGAGCAGAGATCATGCCACTGCACTCCAGCCTGGGTGACAGAGCAAGACTCTGTCTCAAAACAAACAAACAAACAAACAAAAAATAAAAAAATTAGCTGAGTGTGGTGTCGTGCACCTGTAATCCCAGCTACCTGAGAGTTTGCCCCCGCTGAGGCAGGAGAATTGCTTGAACCCAGGAGGCGGAGATTGCAGTGAGTCAAGATTGCGCCACTGCACTTCAGCCTGGGCGACAGACCGAGACTTTGTCTAAAAAAAAAAAAAAAGAAAGGAAAAGAAACTTATTTTGATAGAATATATTTCAGAATATGAGATAATTACGGATTATGTTGACCAGTTCCAGCCGTACCTATGGAGATGCTGACTCAGTAGCAGGTTTGGGCTGGCTCCGGGATCTGCAGTTTTAATCCGCCTCCTACATGATTCTGATGACCAGGTCTCCCTGAGCGCCTTCAACTCAAGCCTGCAGAGCTAGACTTCCAGCAAGAACCCAGCTTGATCCTATTATTAAAACCCACACGTACATGGGCCACTACCAACTGTCTCCATTAGCTGCATTTTTTAAATGCTAGTGGCCTCTGCTTCCTTTTCCTTCTGGTTATCCTTCGATGTTCGAAGGCAGGACTGGGTTATCCTTCATATACCTAGCAAATATTAGCTTTCTCTCTACGGTGTCATACTTTCAATGTGTCTGTTTGCATCTGAGCCAGTTCAGAATTCTTATTCTTTTTACAGGAAAAATGTCTCAAATGCCCTTTATCCCTAATGAGAAAGCCATCCTCATATGCCTTCCTCTGTGCTCACTGAAAAAATGTACGTCTAATCCGAGATTGTGAAAGCTGTGGGCAATCGACTCTCCCTGCCGACTTCCCAACGTCCTTCCCCGTCGTGAGTAGGATTTGGGTGCATCAGCTGCATCACATTGATCTGTGCTTGTTTCTTGTGGCTTCCTACTCATTCCCATGGATATAGGCGTTCCTCAGCCCACTGCATGTCCTCTCTGGATAGACAGACACCATTGGTTATCTAGATACTTAATGCTGTTTTTAGAAGTATCCATGTAAATGAAGAGCTTCTGGACCTGAAAGTTCAGTCAGAAACCAAGGAGCTAAAGTCAGTCTAGCTGTTCCACACCCTCCACTAGACTACCTCTTCCCTGCACAGAGGGGAAAAGCATGGCTTTTTACCCGGGGAGCTGTCTTTCCAGGCAAGGCTGCTGACCCACCTGACCATGTTTATCTAAACATGCTGCTCAAGTCCTGTCACTCCTTGCACAAGCATCAGTGGCTACTCAATCTGCAGGAACTCTCTAGCATCACATTCAAGTCCCTGTGTAATCTGGCTGGGTCCTGCCCCACTAACCATTCCCCCTCACAGATCCTGCCCTCTATGTAAAACAAGCAAGAATTAAACATGTCCCCAACAAGAAAAACAGAAAGGGAAAAGATTACAACCCCAAATCACAATCAAAATGCGTTCACCCAGTATATTTTATCAGTATTTAAAATGCATTCATCCCTCTATTATTCAGGAGCAGAACAACCTTGGTTAGATTGTTGCAGGGGCTGGGAGGGACCTGAGAATGAGAAGGAGGCTGAATGGGAAGGATTCTTGCCCCCACCCTTCCAGCTGAGGACGCCACCTTGATTTCACTGGGGCTGGGATGCTACCCGCTGAACCTTCATCATGGTTGTGACACTAGTTAATCAGCTTCCCAGCACTGAGATTTGACTCTGCCTGATGCTGTTCAAACAGGCACACTGAGTTTCCCAGCAGCACACCTTGGTTATGTCACACTCCCTGCCCGTAAGGGCCTTCTCCACAATCTCCACCTGCCCATGCTCTACCTGCCTGTCCTTCAAGATTGGCTTCAAATGGTACTTACACTGTCTCTGCTTCCACAAATCAAAATGGCCTTTCTTCTGAACACTAAGCTTTCCACTACTTATTGCTTTCTGCCTTACGTCAGTTATTTATGTATCTATTTTTCCTATTGAATTATTAAGCATCTTGAAGGCAAAGCCTGTATTTCTCTCATCTTTGAATCATCCACAGTCTCTCATCAAGAACCTATGTGTGGGATCTACTCATGGGAAGAAGGATAGGAAAGGACTGGACTCAGAGGTCTGATTTCAGATCCTGGAAGAAGCTTCCTCTTGCAAATATCATCCATCTGGTCTGGATGCTTGAAAGTTCTACCGTAGAAGCCTAAGCTCTAAGCTCTGACACTTACAAAGGAAATCTTCAAGAGAGAGGAAACATTTTTAATTCTTGTTATTCACTTGAAGTCTAGTCTTAGACTACTGTGAATGAGATTCAAACTCGTTCTGGAAATCAGGTTTTGAAAGACAGAAATGAAGGAAGCACACAGCTTTCATTTGGGGGCACCAGAGGAAAATGTTTCTCATTTCATTGTGATGGCTTGTGCTGTAAAGAGGTCAATATATTTGGACAGTGTCAAATCAGATGCCCCAATGTTACACAACACGCAGCACAGACCTTCAGCTATTACCACTTTCTGGGGGAATGGACCCTTCCCACATTTATTTCTCTCGCATGCCATGAAGACATGATTTTTAATTCTTGTGCACTCACTAGATACTAACATCATTTGGGACCAAAACATGTACCCAAAGCATATTCATCCATAGGGGAATAAAATGCAGTGAGGTTGCGCTGAGTAATTTTTATTGGCCATTCTGAAGGGATTCATTAGAATGCGGAACTAGTGAGAGACGTACTGTGAATAAGGTAAATAGGAATGGCTAAATTGTGTCCCACCAAATTCATATATTCAATTCCTAAACCCCAGTACAACTCACAATGCAACTGTATTATTGGAGTTACGGCCTTTAGGGAGGAAATTAAGGTAAAATTAGGTCATATTGGTGGGCCCTAACCCAATATAACTGGTGTCCTTATAAAAAGAGCAGGTAAGGACAGACATGTGCACGCATACAGAGCAAAGACTACATGAGGACATGATGAGAAGGTGGCCGTCTACAAGCCGAGGAGAGAGGCCTCACCAGAAACCAACGCTGTTGGCACCTTGGTCTTGGACCTCCAGCCTCCAGAACTGTGAGGAAAAAAATCTCTGTTGTTTAAGCCACCCAGTCTGTGGTACTTAGTTATGGCAACCCCAGCAAACTCATTTGAGCACAAAGCCTTAGATGCCAAAAATAAAGGAAATTAAGCTAAAAATGAAAAGATTTTAATAAACCCTCTCCCTGTCTTGTGATTCTGCTGAGCAGTAGAGCAATTTGAAGAGCCTATGGAGGGGGCCAGGTGCTTGGATGAACGGAAGTGACTGTGATGACTCAGGCATTTTGGGTGCTGCCTCAAGTGAGGCCGCAGAACCTATTCCACATGTCTTTAAGGATCCTTGACAAGATGTTTAGTCACTTAGAAAATACAAGTTTAACTACTGGACAAAAATGACAGCAAAATTATTAGCAGCCCAAATAGTATACCACATTATGGCAACTGCTATTATAGATATAAAAGAAGCAAACATATCGTAGTTCATATAATTTGAAAAATATACTTTCTCTGAAATTTGCAAAATAATCAGTTTCAGTTTTCTTGACTGACCATTAAATGTAGAATTCTTCTAGACACCACTGAGATTGAGTATCTTAATAGGCCTTAAAATTATATTGATAATACTGCATAATATGTGCTATAAGAAGTCTACTAGTCATTCCCCTATAAAACCAGCTGGATTTCTCTGTGCTAAAAGCACATCGTGACTACAGTGACATAAAGCCTCCTGCATACTGTCTTATCAAGTATTCTCAATTCTGTGATTGCAGCATTTTCCCTACAAGACTTCAGTTTTCTATCATGTGCTCATGCAGCCTCTGGCAACTTGCAGGTGTTTGCTCGGAAAGAAGTGGCATTTTCCCAAGATGACAAAATAACCTGTTGTTCTAAATTCTGGGATTCAGGAGAAAGTCTGGGAACCCAAGTTGCTTTCTGCCTATTTCTGGGACACATTATTGTCGGCTCATTTCCCATCTTCTCTCTCCTCCTCACTGCCGCTGCTGTGATGATTTTGCCAGGAACTGGCGGCTGAGCACTTCCTCCAAAGAGGAGACTGAGGTACAGAAGACACGTGAGGTTCACCTGAGGCGGTGTGCTTGTGGTTCACACCTCAGGAAACTGGTCTACCAGGAGTTGAAACCCACAGCTAATGCAAGGCTGCTAGTTCATGCCCTCTGAATGTCTACTGTGAACCCAGCACTCCCGCCCCGTACCTGTGGATTCTCATCATCCATGCTGTCACAGCAAATTGAAGGGTGTCTATGGATTAACCAGCTCTATCTTTACCCCGCATTTGACAAAAATACAGACGATTTCACTCATATCTATTCTGTGGGTGACTTTAAGGCATTATGCACTCAGATTTTAATCCAACTAATAGCTTTAGAACAGCTCTATTCAACAGGAATATACGCAAGCCACATGTGTCTTTTAAAATTTGCTAGTTGCTACATTTAAAAAGAAGTAACAGGTAGGATTAATTTTAATATATTTTATTGGGTATATACATTGAGTTGCAATGTATCCAAAATATTATCATTTCAACATGTAACCAATATTTTTAAAAACATTGATGAAATATTTACCTCCATTTTTGTACTAAGTCTCCTAAATCTGATGTGTTCTCACAGTCCATCTCAATTTGGGTGTTAAATTTTCATCAGAAATGTTTGGTCTCTATTTATATTTCATAACAGTCCGAGTTGAAAAAGCAGACTCATTCACATACCCAAGGTATTTCAAACAATAACTAAATTATGAGATTTTAAATTTAAATTTAATTACGACTAAATTAAAAAATCAGCTCCGGCTAGGTGCGGTGGCTCAGGCCTGTAATCCCAGCACTTTGAGAGGCTGAGGCAGACAGATCACGAGGTCAGGAGATCGAGACCATCCTAACACGGTGAAACCCCGTCTCTATTAAAAAATACAAAAAATTAGCCAGGCGTGGTGGCGGGCGCCTGTATCCCAGCTACTTGGGAGCCTGAGGCAGGAGAATGGCGTGAACCTGGGAGGTGGAGCTTGCAGTGAGCCGAGATCATGCCATTGCACTCCATCCTGGGTAACAGAGCGAGATTCCGTCTCAAAAAAAAAAAAAAAATTAGCTCCTCAGGTGCTTTCGATATATTTCAAGTGCTTACCAACCACATGTAGCTAGTGCATTGGACGGTGAGCTCCTGAGCATCTACTGTTAATATATGCAAGGCCCAAAAGAGATAAGCACCACAACAGGTACTACAGGATGAGGCTTATAGACATAACCCTTGTTTCCGGGGGAGGGGGGAGGGGAGGGGACGGCATGGGACAGATACAGAGAGAAACATGTAAGGCAGGTTGTGATGTATGCTAAAGAGAGGGAGAGGAAAGCATGCCAAGGAGCAAAGGGCATGCACAAAGGCAGGCTGATGGAAAAGCTTGCAAATACCTGTGCACCGACAGTCGTGAGCGGGCGAATCTCCAGAATGCCAGGAAATAAAGTTGAAAAGGGTGACTTTGACCAGTCTGCTGGTAGCCTCAAATAGCAGGCCAAGGAGTTTGTTCTAAATCCATTGTCCATGGGGGAAAAGTCTCTGGTGAGAAGAGTGGGTCTGAGCTGGGTTGTGGGAAGATTTACTTGGCATTGATGTGAACAATGAATCAAAAAGGAGAGAGCTAAAAGACCAGTTTGCTATTGCACCAGTCCAAGCGAAATATAATTTATAAATGGCAGAGGTGCTAGGAAAGAAAATTAGACATTTGGTAAGTGTGTACAGAAGGGCCTCAGGACTTGGCAATTTAGGGAGGAAATCAAAGAAAGGGAGGAGTCAGAGTTCTGTAGAAACTGGCTGGCTCGCATCTGTAATCCCAGCACTTCGGGAGGCCAAGGCAGGCGGATCATGAGGTCAGGAGTTCGAGACCAGCCTGGCCAATATGGTGAAACCCCGTCTCTACTAAAAATACAAAAATTAGCAGGCATGCGTGCCCGCCTGTAGTCCTGGCTGCTAGGGAGGCTGAGGCAGAAGAATCACTTGAACCTGGGAGGTGGAGGTTGCAGTGAGCCAAAATCGTGCCACTGCACTCCAGCCTGGGTGACAAAGCGAGACTCTGTCTCAAAAAAAACAAAAACAAAAACAAAACAAAACAAAACAAAAGCGCAGTTCTGTAGCAACTAAAATAAGGAGTGTAGAAGAAAGGCTGGATGCAGAAATTTATTTCTAGTGTATTTATTTCTAGTGTATTTGCATATAAATGTTTTAAAAGAAGACTAGAATATATGGCTATGGGGCCGAGGGAAACCTTTGTTTGGACATGAAAAAAAATCCAAAATCTATTTATAGAGCTGTCAAATTAGCGGAATGTGCAACTTTCTGAGAATAACTGTACAATAATATACTATTCTAATAGTGTGGGGTAGGCCCCGAATAAGTTTGATTATGGTATTATTCATCAGGAAGCGGTGCAGCTCTTTAAAAGTATTGCCCTTTCACTGCAGCCCGGGAGGTGTAGGCTGCAGTGAGCCATGATCATACCACTGCACTCCAGCCTGGGTGACACAGTGAGACCCTGTCTCCAAAAAAAAAAAAAAAAAAAAGTATTGCTCTTGAATTATATTAAGGGATGTGGGAAACTACTCAGTGTATATCCTTAAATGAATAACTTAGTTTGGAAGATAAGACTCCAATTTTATTTCAAAAGAATGTGCGCCTACATGCTGTTCAGCACAGAAACTGTGTGGGCGGACACACAGCGGGCTGCTCTCAGGTGCAGGTGATCTCTGGAGGTATGACTGAGGGCAGCGAGGAGTTTCACATTTTCTATTTTGCTATTGTTTGAATTTGCTACGGAGGGCATGTTATTTTTACTTTTAAAGAGGGAGAGAAAGGAAAACGTAAAATATGTATTTATATACCCAGAACAATGAGTGAAAGGATGTACATAAAAAATTGTCTCTGGGTCATTTTTATTTTCTTAGACTTTTTTATATCCCAAAGTAAATGTGTACTTCTTCTATAACCAAAAAAAAAGTCATAAAAGGAAATAATCTATAGTACTGATGGTACAATCAATTTTAAATCTCTTTGTAAGGCCAGAGGTTATAGAGTTGGGATATTCTTTAAAGAGGTTAGGATCCAATTTCTTTTGCTTCTTCAGGGCTCATGCTCACTTTTACTGAAGCTATTTCCACTTTTTAAAAATGATTTCCATTCAACGTAGCCAAAAAGGAAAATCGAGGCCAACCACAAGGCAAGTCTTCCTGAGAGAAGACAAAAAGCCTCTGTAACCTGTGGAATGAAAACTCCACCAGTAGAACATGACTCTTTTGTCATGAATGACTTCAATTGCTGGTAGACAGAAATTTTTACGAGAACAAAGAGCATCAGAGCAATTTCAGGGCCCTGGTTGTCATTCCAGGGCAAGCATCCTAGTAACTTTATATTATAATGATGGGGACAAAGAACAAGGTGTCCCATTCACCACAAGCCTCCTGCAACCGGAGGGTCCCAGGTCCTTGTAGAGCCTTTCAGTGAAGTGGAAACGGCAAGGAACTCTCAAGGAGTGGGAAAGGGGCTGAGAGTAGATAAATCAGCAGCAGCCGCAGAAATCATGGCCGAAATGGGTAGAAGAGACGCAAAGACACCATCTGATCACCCACCAATCATGCGCTAAATCAGGGTCTTTTCTGTCTGACCCTGTTGTTTTTACTGAACAGTGAAGCACCCAAGGAAATACCAGTTGGGTCTTAAACACAATTTATAGCCGGTTGGCCTCATTGCACCTGGCTGTTTTGACAGCAGGTTTCTTCAGTTTATAGCAGAGATTCTTGTCTACACTATAAGCTGTCACTAATGCAACTAGACCTTTGGAAAAAATGTATAGCTCAGAGGCAAATCTCTCCCTGCCACAGACCCCTCCCTCTTTTAATGAAAACCAAAAGCCTCCTGCTGGCAGCTAAAGCCTCCTCCTCTGCAGGGGAAATTACAGAGCCCCCGGCAGTGAGAGAGCCAGCCCCAGCACCACAGCCTAAGTGGAGTGCGCCTGCTTCTGGGCACTGGATTAAGGTCTCTTTCTTTCCCCCTCCCTAGGGGCTAATGGCTGCAAACAGCAGCCTTCTTGTTCCAGGCCAGGAAATTTGGGAGCCAGTTACTGGAGCTCCCAGCTTCCAGGCCACACTAAGAATGTCTGGGAGCCTTGTAACAGCCTGGCTTAGGATCACAAGGCAAACTTCAGCAAATGTCCCCCACCACCTGCACTCCCATCTGAAACATGAAGGAAAAGGGTTGGTTATTCACACCTAGACAAACCTTAACTTGTTTTTCCTGGATGTTTGTCCTCAGTGAGTAGTCTGGTTTGGAAGTCACCGTCTCAGAGCTCACGGGCCCTCATTGTCACACACGTGAGTGAAAGGCGCTGCCCCCAACCACGCACTGCCTTGTCCTACCCCTGGTCTGTTTTATTTGTAAAACTCGGGATGTTTTTTCTTTTTTCCTCCCAGAAGGACTGGACCAAAGAAATAATTTGTAACAGGTGACACACATTCCTGAACTGAAGGCAAACTGTCCTTTTTTAGGAATGAGCTTATGGTTGCTGATGGCTGACATTTCCCCTGTGGTGAAAATGGACAAAGATGTGAGGAGGGGGATGAAAAGGTAATGGAGAACAGCCCCTCCTGTCCCTTCATTTCATGGTTCACAGACATTCACTGACATTGAGACCCTCCTAAGGGGAAGCTCATGTAACCAGCCATGAAACCAGAAACCAGCAGGCTACAGGGCCTGCCTCACCACACGGGACCGCCCCCAGATGCCAAGGCCCATGACCCTGGGTCAGGCCCAGCCTGCAGCCGCTCTGGGGGCTGCCCCAGACTGAGAGAGCTCCCAGCCTGCAGGGTCCTCTGACCGCGCATCTGGGATCCCACCCTCAGACTTCCCAGGGCCTAGGCTTGCCATGGCCAGCATTTGATTTGGCGAAGGGGCCTGGGCTGTCCAATGGTCTCTGGGAGGCACAGGGCCAGAGGAGAGTGGACGGGGAGAGGAGCTCCAGGCCAGGTGATTTCCACAGAGCTAGGGCTGGCCAGGAAAAGGTTTCTCCCTTAGAGTTGCCCATAGACTGAAAGGGAGGGAGAGAACAACAATCTCCAGCTGGGATGAGCCCAGGTCCCTAAGACAGAGAAATGAATGGAAATGGGTCAGCCAGGTGAGAAGGCCGGCCTGAGACAGGAGCCCAATGCAGAACCAGGAGACGAGGGAGCCACAGGCGTGTCAGGGAAACAAGGGACAGGGACCATGGGGCAGGACAGACGACGGCGGCAGCAAACCAACTCCTGTGTTGGGCCGCATCCAAAGAGCAGAGCTGGAGGCTGACTGCTCCCCCTCAACCTGCTCCCCTGCCACCTGCCCCCCCACCACCTGCCCCACGGGGCATGGAACTGTTGGCTGGTGGTTCCACCCAAAATCTACCCCACGTCTTGCAGGGTCTCATTTAGCAGGGAGTTCAGGAGCTACCATCAATTCCACGTATACCACGGTCACTTGAAAGTGGCCAGAGGCACACCCCACAATGAGGGGGGGAAATGCGGGAGAGACTAGTGTTCTGACTTACAGATACTTGCACTCAGTAAGATAATTACTTTCCTACACATATATTAAGAAATCACTGTCATGATTGATGTGCTAAGCAGCAAGCTTTACTACTCTCCATGGATTCTACCAAAGTGGTTATCTTGAGTTACCTTTGGTATTCCGGAACTCTCAAGCCAGTCTTGGTAGATGTTTTCAACAGACAGCTCAAGCCTTTAGAAATAAAACAACAAAAAGTAAAGGATTAAAAAGTTACAGAGCGCTTATTACACAGACTGGTTCTCTCTAACTGGGTACATCACAGCATCGATCTTCCAGAAGTGCCCGTGCTTTACAGAAAGGGCAGCGCTCCCCTGGGTTGAAGTGTGGAAGGGAGCCCAGTCACATGAGACCGCTCCTCTTCACCCACAGCAACATGCACGATGAAATCTAAGGACCCAGGCACAGCATCATGGGTGCTTTCAGTGCTTTGAAAGGAACTATTTGGTTGGGAAAGCCAGTTTCGGGAGGATAAGGCATATTCATCGCACACATCAGGCATGGCTGCTTCCTGGAGAGTAGTGAAACAAAGTGAAATCTGAACATCATGGCATTGAGTGCGTCAACACGAAATCTGCACTTTATAGGAAAGATGGACTACAACAAGCAAAAATAATACAAATCACTATCAGACCACAGAGAGGCTCAGGTGCAAGGAATGAGGACCACTTCCACTGTCTCCTTTCAACCGGGCCCCGTTCTGCTTTATTTGAGGTGTTATCATTGCTTGATATGTCCAATCTAAAGTCAGCTGAAATTATTTTGCTTTCATGCCCCGCTGACTTGAGTACTCCTTAAAATCACTAAGTCTTCAGTATATTTAGGATCACCAGATCTCCGGCTGTGTCCTTTTGTCTTCCTTGGCTAATGCAGCTTAAAGCACACCCATCCCCTCAACCTCTTCCAGGTAACTCTTGCTCATACCCAGGATCTCTGCTTACAGAGAGGCCTTTCTTGACCTCCTCCCAGACTGAAGCAAGGCCTCCCCAGTGCCATAACATCTGTCACACGCCCTGTTCTCTGCCTCACAGCCTCCACCCGAGTTTGTGACTATTTGTTCGACTACTAGACTTAGTTACTGTCTCCTCGTTGGATTGAAACCATCTGAGATCTGATCCCTGGTATGAAAGAGGATCCTCATTTTTTTTTTGAATGAATGAACGCACATTTAATTGTAGACTCATTAAAATCATTCCTTTTAAAGATAATATTCACCTTTCCACCAAGATACTTCCAAGTTGTTAAGCTCTGCCTCTTTTAAATTTTAATGTATTATACACTACATCATATGTAAAAGTATGTAACTATATACCTGCTCTCTCCCTCCCTTTTGGAATTCTAGAAGTTATGAAAAGATACAGTGTTACACACACTGTTAAGGAGCTGGAAGGCCAAGTGCACCCCTCTGCGACCCTGTGGGTGGGTGGTGTTGCAGACGGGGAAGTAGTGAGGTAGGGAGGGAAGGAGGGGTTGGCTTTGGGAGGGCTGGAGGAAAAGGGGACTGACTGATTTTCTCTTCCTTTCTTTCCCCCTATTGGTCGCTCACTGGTGCCCCTCGTCCTCCCTAGCCAAGGGCAAAATGAAAGGCTGCTTAAAAAGGCAATTGCTATTTCAAAACAGAAAAAGTTCATGGAGGGAAAGAGGGCTTATGCAGAAAAAGGGCTTTGAGTTCATATGAAAGATGATGGCCCTCTGTGTGATTAGCAGGCAAGAGAAGGGGAGGGGACTACCTCTCTAGGTCCTCCAGGGTCCCAGACTCAGTGGAATTACCGGGCAGACCTCACAGAAAGGCCTGTGCCACCATCGCTGGGCCTTCCACTGCTTCTTAGTGGTCATTTTCATAGCATCAGCTTCAGCGCAAATGGCCAAGTCCCCCTGTAAGCTATGAGAGTGTGGGAGTGTGCGCATGCATGGATGTGTGCATGTGTATCCGTGTGTGTGTGGTGGAGGCAGGGGAGACTTGAAGAGAGGAGGAAGCTCTCAGAGCACCTTCTATGAGGTCATTGTTCTTTTTTAAGCTTTATTTACCTGGGAGAGAGGCTGGAGATTCCCTTAATGGGCAGTAGCAATTTGCCAGAGCAGTGGGGCTAACTGACCAGCTAGAGAGAAACACCAATGAAGAAGATCCGAGAAGAAAACAGGCCTGTGCCTCTAAATCAGGGCAGGTGACATAGAGTACTGCAGAAGCCTCCACAAGCTCTGAAAGCCCAGGGCTGCTCCGGGTTGCAGGCAGGAACCTGACCCCTCCACCAAATGAACTATCCTCTCCAGGGGCATGTCCAGCAGCAGATAAGGTGGGGACAGTGCGTTCATACCCACCAAGAATAGGCCTTCCACTGGGCAGCCTTGCTTTCAATGCACTTTATAAAATCTGTCTTACCTCCATCTTCACACATTTCATGAGAAAATAAAGCAACTTCAAGCTTACTTGTGCACAGGTAGGAAAGTGTCCTTCACTGGCTTCCTTTCCAGCCAGAGAGGGACGTTTCTGTGCCCAGAACCCTGAGCCCAAAGCTCCTTTCACCCATCCTTCAAGCGATCCTCAGGAAAGCCAGAGCAAGAGGCTGACTTCTGGGCCAGGCACAGTGGCTCACGCCTGTAATTCCAGTGCTTTGGGAGGCTGAGGCAGGAGGATCACTTGAGGCCAGGAGTTCAAGACCAGCCTAGGCAACATGGCAAAACCCTGTCTCTACTAAAAATAAAAAAATTAGCTGGGCATGGTGGCATGTGCATATAGTCCCAGCTATTTGGGAGGCTGAGGTGGGAGAATGGCTTGAGCCTGGGAGGCAGAGGTTGCAGTGAGCCTGGATCACACCACTACACTCCAGCCTGGGGACAAAGTGAGACCCTGTCTCAAACCCCCAAAAAGAAAAAAAAAAAAAAAAAGAGGCTGTCTTCTGAACTGAAAACAAGTCTCCACCTTTCCCATAAGATATTTAAGAGGAAGATGCAGAATTTGGAAAGGACTTAGAGAGAGCAATAGTGACGATCAAAAGGGGAAGAGCCCACAAGGGAGGTAAAGGGAACTGAGGTTAAATATCCCAGAGAAGAGAAGTCCGAGGAGCGACTTAATTGCTATTTTTGAGTGATTTTACAAAAGACAGTGAACAGCTGTTGTGTATCAGCATGGGGGAGTGAATATGAAGACACGGACATAAATTTCCTTTGGGGAATTTTCACTTACAGATGCTTCTCTAGGGGTGGCATGGAGTGGGGGCTGGGGAGTTGAGCCCTGGAATGTTATTAAGTGAGGTCCAAAGTCTTCACCAGAGAAGACTGAAAAACAGGCAACATTCTCTATGTGGCAAACATTCGCTGGATGGCTGCTGGGCAAAGGTTCTGTGGAAGGCTGGGATGGGAAAACCCAGGGAGTGACTGTGGATTAGGGATGTGTAATAGACACCAGGCAGAATGCTACCAGCGCCTGTAGAGATGATGGTCCTCTAGGTGTTGAAGAACCACTGCTGCAGGTGGGATAGGTAAAACAGGACAAGAGGAGGTGCATCAGGAGAGGCTTCCTAAGAAGGCCATGCATGACTGGGTCCTGGTGGGGCAAAGCCAATAGAAATGGAAGAAAAGCACATCGGGGCAAAGATAGCAGGAGCAGGAATGCCAGTGCAGTAGTGTGCAGACTCCGTTCAGCTCAGTGGGGCTGGCCTCCAGAATGAGCTGAGAAAGAAAACAGCGGGTCCTGCGGGGACTCTGCAGTCCCTGCTACCGGGCCCTGCCTTTGTCAAGGAGGCTCTGGAGCAAAATTGCAGAGGGACACGGCAGAGAACTGAGTCAAGGAAGAAAAAGCGGAGAAGAGGCTGGAGGCAGGGAGACCACACCAGAACTTGCAGAATGTTTCTGCAGGAGGCAACGAGAGCGGCCCACATGGATGTGGCGTGCAGGGGACGGATCTGCAGGGCAGCACTGAAGCAGTCCAGCTGCAGGGTTGGGAGACACTGTGCAGATAGTGGGCCCCAGGAATCTCTGCAGGATGACTTTCCGTAGGAAGCATGTGGCTGCATACAATTTGCCTGTGCCACAGTCTTCGGCCAACTCAGAGGGTTAGTTCATTGGCAAATTCTGCTTTAACATAGTTAGTACTTGCACACACAGACACTATTCTACCGTGGCACTAAAAGTGAAACAAATAAAAAGTCCTCTATCCACTGCCAAGAAAAGGCATAAAACTAGAAGCTACTGCTTATTGAACACCTACTGTGTGCCAGACACAATAGACAGAGTATCATCTATACTTGACAATAACTGTGCAAGACCAATATTATTATTATTACTTATTATTATTATTATTATTAGAGACAGAGTCCCACTTTGTCACTCAGCCTGGAGTGCAGTGGTTCAATCTCAGCTCACTGCAACAACCTCCTCCTCCTCCAGGGATGAAACGATCCTCCCATCTCAGCCTTCCGAGTAACCGGGACTACAGGCATGTGCCACCACGCCCGACTAATTTTTGAAATTTTTTATAGAGACGGGGTCTCACTATATTGCCCAAACTGGTCTTAAACTCCTGGCCTCAAATGATCCCAGCCTCCCAAAGTGCTGGGATTACAGGCATGAACCACCACACCCAGCCAAATGACCAATATTACTGTCTTAATCTTACAGACAAACAAATACAGGTTCCAAGAAATTGAGAAATGTATCCAAGGCCACACAGATGGTACTTGAAGAGCTGGGATTTGAACCTTTGGTGCGTGGCTATGAAACCCCAGCTTTTCTTTCCGTGCTAAACTCAGGCTTCATGACACATGGGTTTCTACTATGGAACTGACAAGCTGGCAGAAGGGGTGGGCCTGTGCCTGCTCCAAACCATGCCGACTTCCCCCTCTCACTAATCTCTCCTGCTGAAGACAGCCTGGCTCCTGCTGAAGACAGCCTGGCTCCTGCGTGGTTGCCCTGTTTGTCAACCCTTCGGTTACATTTCTGAAGAGATCAGGAGACCCTTGGGAGGGGCAAAAGTGTGGGAGCAGGAGAGCTCGTCAGTGAGCTGCATCCAGAGGCAAAAGGCCCTCTCCGTGAATGAAGAGAACGTGTGTTTTCAGATCACTTTTCTTTGGAAAGGTTCGAAGCATCTTATAACCATTACTCATTTCTCATAATATCCCTGTGAAGTGAGTGTCCACTGTTGTGTGGCTTCTTAGCACAGGAGCATAGGAGGACTCTGACCCAAGTCAGCAAAGGAAAAAAATCCAGATTTCTAAACTTCCAGTATCAGTGTCGACATCACACTGCATCATGCCCTATTTGGGGATTGTTAATGTGGAATAAGATGTTAAATTATGAGAGAAAGATGAAAGCATTAATTCCAGCTGCTAACAAAAATTTTTAAGGTACTATGAGTGGCCTTATCTCCCAAGGAATCATGGGACACCATAGGACAATGTTTAATTTTCAGCAAAGAAATGGACTAATATGTTGCAGAAAGAACATAGCATGCAGGTAGCTCAGGGAAGAAACAGGATGTAGGTCTCAGGAAGAAAGATGACATGTGTGCAGGTTCTGCTGTTTGGAGCATAATTATTGAAATGACACTGCAGGTGAATTTTTAGGTCTGGGATTGGATTTATACAGTGGTTAAACTAAAAGCTGACTTTTTCAAATCAAGATATTCAGAATCCAAGCCAACGGTGAATTTTTTCCCTCTGAGGTCATGTGGCTTAAATAATCGCAACAGACAAGCAGAAGCATTTCCACTTAGCCAGGACCTAGAACTTACAGGAAATTACTCTTCTGCATGTCTGATCACTATGGAAATTGATTTTATACAGAGAGCTAAAAGTACACAGACCCATGACTGCGAGTCCTGCGTATCCGTACTAGTGAGCGCGGACTTTCCGCCTCAGTACTGAAACCCAGGCCTTAGCCCTGGGCCTCCTGGGTATGAGGAACAGCAGGTGGCTTTGCCCTCTGGCTGGCTGTTCCCTGGTGCACCCCCACATCCTATAGGGCGACTCTGAGTGTCAATGGTCTCCAGTTCCTCGGAGCTATAAATTTGGTCACACTTAGTTAACACGGCAGGGGAGAGAATATGCTGACCACCTGGCATGATACTGGTTAGAAAAACAAGCTGTGTGTAAAGCCAGAAAGTAACCAATTGTTCATCTCTTTACGAAGTTAAAATAAATCAACAGGCTTGTGTGAAGACGGTGTTGCCCATGCCTGTATTTGCTCGCTCAGTTGATTTCCAAGGTGGGATGACAAGAATGGGGATTATAGGATGGATCTGCTACTTGTGCCTATCAACATGTTGCTTGATCAAGAGAAATGTCTTCATCACTTTTGGCTCCTGTCTTCAGCTCTTGAGATCCTAAAGATCACAGTCTGTCAGTGCCTCTGAAGGGAAGCACACAGCCCCAGCAATTTTCACATGAACTAAATGACAGACTTAAAGAATTGGGAAGTGCAGCCAGATAGAGGTAAGGCAGCAGAAACTGCAGAGCTCAGGGTCTGGAATGGAAAATGCCCTTTTCTGGAATTCAATTTACATCTGTGTCGATGTTTACATTTAGTTTACATGTTTAAATTCCCTCTCTACATGTGGGTGGATCTCAAAGCTGTGCAGAGTTACTTATTTTCTTCCTTTTTTTTTTGAGACAGGGTCTCACTCTGTCTCCCAGGCTGGCGTGCAGTGGTGCAATCTCAGCTCATTGCAGCCTCAAACGCCTGGACTCAAGCCATCCTCCCACCTCAGCCTCCCGAGTAGCTGAGACTACAGACACGTACCACCATGCAGGCTAATTTTTTGTATTTTTGGTAGAGATGGGATTTTACCATGTTGGCCAGGCTGGTCTCCAACTCCTAAGCTAAAAGTGATCTGCCCACCTTGGCCTCCCAAAGTGCTGGGATTACAGGCATGAGCCACGGTGCCCAGCTGATTTATTTTCTTGATCAAAACATTCATTTGTGCTTGGGTAGATAATAAAGATTGCTGAGGTCACACTTATAAAACAAGTACTGTGTAGCTCCGTGGGGGAGGAACAGTATTAGATTAAAACAAACACAGGAACATGCACACACAAACACAGTAACTGATGGGCAAGGAAAGAAGTGGCAGCTGTTACTAACACTGGAACACCAGGCAGCAAGGACACTGGCATAAGGCGTTCCACGGGGCTCTTTCACCAGGAGAGACTGCTGCTCAGGATTGTCTGGGTTTTCTTCTGAGCCCTTTTAGTTTTACCTGACAGCATCTTTCTGCCTTCCAACGCTCGTCCCTTTCACTCCCTCTGCCCCATTCAGACTCCCCAAACACCTGCCCTCCTGCATTTCCACTGCTACTTCAGAGTGTGACTTAGTGGCTAAGAAAGAAAGGTCGGACTCAACTTTCACAACCAGTCAACCAAGTCTTTTCTGTGGCAACTCTAAAGTATGCCTTGGCCGTTATTTACTCTCAAACCCACCACCACGGTCACCGTCCCTGCCATAGCTCCACCTCTCCAGGTCTCTTGACTGAACCGCTCTATTGGTTTCTAATTGTTTTCCTGGCTTCCAGTCCTCTCCGCCCCCATCTCTCTGCCACACTGCCCTCGGCCACACTGCCCTCGGCAGGTGTCTTTCCAATCTGTTGACGGCACTGCCTTCCTTAAGCCCGTTAGAGGTACAGGTGCCTGAAGGCTCAGAGCTGGGACTGATGGACCCTCTCTGTGTCCCCAGGACTCTGAACCTCAGCAGAGCACTTCCTACATGGAGTCATAATGACTTGTTTCTGTTTTGTCTTCAGTAGTCGGCTAGGAGCCTCCTAGGGCTACTCATGGGATTTATTCCTCTAGGTTCCCCAGTGTCCAGCCCAAAGCCTGGTATGGGAGATGCTCAATAGAGAATGTTGAGTAAATCAAAGCAAGAGAACAATGCAAAGGCAGTAAGGCCTAGAGAGTGCCGGCCCCTGAACACTGACAGACTGGTCTAATCTGAAAAACCTTGCCTCATCAGAACAGTTCACGTGCCTAACAGATGTGCCCAAGGATCAGTTTGCAACAGAGGCCAAAGATTAGAGGCTCCGGGGGGTAGGTGTGGGGCCTTTGGAGACCTAGATAAAATTGGTACAATATGTCGCATAACTAATAGGGTAAACAGTCTGTTTTAATAGCTGAACTAGATTCTGAGATTAGTTAGCAGGCAAAAAGATTTTGAATTTCAAAATATATTCTGGTATACCTGCTGAAATCGATTCATTGTAAAAATGAAATCTCCTTAGCTTTTAAGGAGATTTTTTTAAAAAGAAGCTTAAGCCTGCTAGACAAAACACGATCCTAACCGGGAGAGGTATCCTATCAAAAGGCATGTGATTGGTGATTGGGGGCCACCATTAAGACAGGGACACTGCTCTTAAGTTCCACAATTACAACAACAAAAGTCTCTTTGTGGGCTCAGTGTGCAGCCTCAATAAATATTCACAATGATAAAATCCAGGTTCCCCCAGAGCCAGAGGGCTCAGGGGCCATCCAAATGAACTCCATAACCTTATTAGGAAGAGGATTAAAAGAGAGACCTCCAAAACTAAAAATGCACTTTATTGCTTCAGTGAAAATTACTATATTTATGCCCTAAGAAGTTCTTTTGAAAGAATGCATAGTCACCACTCAGAAACAGACTTTGGTAACAGTCTAAGAAAGTAATACACCATTTCTATTAATTTTCTTTTTTTCTCGGTTTTAGTTCCTAAGGAAACTGCTTCATTCTGTGAGAGGACCTGAAAAGTTATTCCGGGGTAGGTACGAAGAAAAGGAAAAAATATATCCTGCAGGTAAACTGTCTTCTTGATCTTAACAGCCACATGTGATGGGATTTTTGCATGAAGAAATCCCATATGTCTGTTTTTTTTTTTTCAAGACAGCAAATCTGAAAACATTTCAGACCTCCCAAAACAAGCCACATTTCCTTTGAGCAGCCTCCTGAAACACTTAGACAAAGTTTTATCCAGGGAGACTGCGTGGGGCCTTGGAAATCTTGGCCAATTTCTAAGGCCCCACGCAATCTCCCTGCATAAGATTTCTTCAGCATCAAAAGGAATGAACATGAAAAGGTAGAAACAAAGAAATGTATCAAATATGTGTATGTTAATCCTTTATGATGCCTGGCTTGCTTAATGTGTGTGTATAGTGGGCATAAAAACACATTAGTGAAGTAAGATCTACTGTTTGATAGCACAGTTGGGTGTTTAAAGCTAACAGTAGTTTGTTGCATTGTTCAAAATTGCTGGAAGAGAGGAAGTGAAATGTTCCCAACATAAAGAAGGGGTGGATGTCTGGGGTGACTGATGTCCCGGCTGCCCTGGTCTGATAATTCCACATGGTATGCATGCACCAAAATACCACATGCACCCACAAATACAGACCACTATTAAGTATTGAAAAACCTGACTAACAATAATACTTCCACTATTGAAGAAAGAATTTGGAGCCATTCTGAATGGAAGGTGAAAGAGAAGTTTACACAGAAAAAGCCAAACAAAAACCCAATGCTTAGAACAAAACCTCCACGTCCTCATGAGCCCTGGATCCTCTCCTGAATCTGCATGTCATCTCCTCCACCTAGTCTGGTAGCATAAGCCCTGACACTGTACCCTGGAGACACCCAATTCACACTGCCTATAAGACAGTCTCATCAACATGGAGGTTACTGGCCCTGCATGAATCTAAGTCTATGTCTGTGTCAAAGAATTCATTTCCACACTTGGAAATCTGTTCCATGCATAAAAACATAGCTAAAACTGTGGGTCAGAAATGAGGCAAGCAATGTTAACTCTTCTTCAAAAAATGTTTAATTTCTCAAGATGCCTCCGTTTAATGTTTGAATACCAATTTTGCTATTAGAAATTATGTTGGCCAGGCGCAGTGGCCCACGCCTGTAATCCCAGCACTTTGGGAGGCCGAGGCGGGCAGATCACGAGGTCAGGAGATCGAGACCATCCTGGCTAACACGGTGAAACCCCATCTCTACTAAAAATACAAAAAATTAGCCGGGCGTGGTGGCGGGCGCCTATAGTCCCAGCTACTCGGGAGGCTGAGGCAGAAGAATGGCTTGAATCCAGGTGGAGCTTGCAGTGAGCCAAGATCGTGCCACTGCACTCCAGCCTGGGTGACAGAGTAAGACTCCTCAAAAAAAAAAAAAAAAGAAATTATGTTTCAGGGTATTCACTTTTTAACGCCTAAATCAAGATAGGAAATTAGGAGAGGGTTGGAATGAGCGTATTTTAACCCCAAACATTGGTTCTAAGACCCCTCTGCAAACCCTGTCGGTGGTCAGCCAGCCTAAAACTGGATACCTCCAAAAATGAGAATCTCCCTCCTTCCAGGGCAGTGAGCTGGTGCTGAGCAGTGTACTGAAAAAACACGGGCCAGATCCAGATGGGCCTAATTCCATCTATGCTGTTTTGCTTGCTGAGTGATCTTGGAGTCTCAGTTTCCCCATTTGTAACAAAGTAGATAAGAGCATAGGTTCTAGAGCCAGACTGCTTGGGCTAAAATCCCAGCCTGCTGCATACAGCTGTGAGATCCTGGGCAGCTTACTCAGCCTCTCAGTATCTTGGTCCTCTTGTTGGTATTATCGGGATAAAAACATCATGGACCAAATAGTGTTGTTTTGAGGATTAAATGAGTGTCTGTATGTGCTCAACTTCAGTGTTGGCTTATAATAATCACTATCATGATGATGCTGAACAGCACTGTAGTAAGAGTTAAATGATTTCTGTATCTAGATCCTGGATCCAGTGCCTGATACACAGAGGATTATAATTTATCTACACCAATCATTAATTGAACAGCTACTTTTAAAACGTATGCTAGCTCCTTTAATCCTCTCTAAAACCCTGATAGGTTAAAAAACTAAAATTTGGGGGGATTATGTGACTTGCTCCAAATGTCACAGTTAAGAAGTGGCAATCCCAGCACTTTGGGAGGCCAAGGCGGGTGGATCACTTGAGGTCAGGAGTTTGAGACCAGCCTGGCCAACATGGCGAAACCCCAACTCTACTAAAAATACAAAAATTAGTGGGGTGTGGTGGCACACCCCTGTAATCCCAGCACTTTGGGAGGCTGAGGCGGGCGGATCACCTGAGCTGAGGAGTTCAAGACCAGCCTGGCCAACATGGTGAAACCCTGACTCTACTAAAAATACAAAAATTAGGCATCGTGGATGCCTGTAGTCCCAGCTACTTGGGAGGCTGAGGCAGGAGAATCACCTGAACCTGGGAGGTGGAGTTTGCAGTGAACCGAGATCTTGCCACCACACTCCATCCTGGGTGACAGAGTGACACTCCATCTCAAAAAACAAACAAAAGAAGTGGCAGAGCTGGGTTTAAAAATCTAGGAGAGCCTGATTTTACATCCCAAGCTCTTACTACTATACTACATTTTTTCTTTTAATTAAACAGTATTTCCTTGCATTAAGCCACATTAACTAGAGCTACCCTGAGTTTTCTAACCTTCCTCTCTTCCATTCTTTCCGCAGCAGCAAAGGCCACAGATTGCGCTTGGCTTGCCTCCCATATCACTTTTGGGGCTCCTGACTTTGGGGATCTTCAGTCGTGCACACTGGCTCCCAATATCCACTGGGGCTCATCCCAAAGGTTGGCTGATGATCCTGTACTCCCACTGGCAGAACTAGGTCCTTGCCTCTATTAGACAGAAAGACTGAGCTTTCTAGGCTGTGACAAGCCAACCAATGGCAATGTCATTTTTAACATTAAAACTGGGCTCTTAATTCCAAAATTCCTAAATTGGTCCTTACCTTTTTTCTTCTGGAATGTTCTCCAGTAGCATTTGAAGGAAATCCTGGGATTAAAAAAAGCAAATCATTAAAGATGTCCATCAATAAATAACTCTGCCTGGAACCATGCCAGAGGCTGAGTGCTCCCAGCTACTGACAGCTCACCTGCTTGAGAAGCTAGACCTATGCTGACTTAAAAGACTATAGACTCAACTTATTAATTTCCCAGGGTTTCAATCGAATCATTGAAAGAGATCTGTTTTGTAAAAACCAAGAACACATTAAAAAGTGGAATGTTTATTATTCTGACCTAATCCAACAGTCTATTTTGTTTTGTGTTTAGCCATTTTCAAAAGGCTGGCCATCAAGTAAAGCATTATCCCTCTCTACTCCCCCATCGCCTCCAATTCCTGAACCTTCCCTAGAGATTCCTGTACTCCTAGAGTCTAGGAACTAACTGCAACTCTCTTGCGTTGCTCTACCAAATGGTAAAGATAAATATCAAGATGATAAATATGCCATCAAGGAACAAAGATGTCCACAACTCCAAGCATGGCTCACAAGCCCCTGCCTCCATCTGTAGCCTCTTCTCATGCCCTTGTACAAGTCCTCGGTCACTGGACATTTGAGATGTTTAGATGATAAGTTTTTTAAACCTAAAGGCATGGCTTACACACACATACACACACGCACATTTTATTTTCCTTTACTATGGAAAATTTCAAGCACAATCAAAAGTAGACAAAACTTTCACATACCCATCAATGCACAGCCCATCCCGCCCTATCCACTTTCCCTCTTCCTGTGTTATATAGAACCAAGTCCCAAACATTACATAATTTCATCAATAAAGGTTTTAGTAAATATCTCTTATTTACTCTTAAAACATACCACAAAAGCATAAAGACCTAAAAAATTCGAATATGAATGTTCGTTTATATTTAATTTGTACTGTGAATATTGTGACCCCCTTTTCCAGCCCATTTCATTCTGGAATCTTGATTTGTTCTTAACTAGGGTTGTCAAATAAGAAGAGATGCCCAGTAAAATTGGGGGCATAACTACATTAAAAAATTATTCGCTATTAAACTGAAATTTGAATTTTACTGATTTTTCTGTTCTGTATTTTTATTTGCTAAGTGTGTAATCCTAGTGTCAACCTTTCCTCATCTGAAGATTTAATAAGATATACTTTGTATACTTTGGATAAATACAGAACATGAAACAAACAAGAACAATATTTAACTTTCTTGGAACTTGATGATAATGAGTAACAAGTAAGATCTATACTTGAAGTTTTTATTTTAATAAATAGAAAATAATCTTTTAAAATGGGTCTGCCCAAACATGACAGACAAGAGTCACTCCAGACTAAGCCCTCCCAATAGAACCAAGTCTGCAAATACAGACTCCACACAAGACTCTGATGACACCCATTTAACTGCAGACTGAAGCCTACCAGTAGAACCAAGTCTGCAAATACAGACTCTACACAGGACTCTGATGACACCCAGTGAACTGCAGACCGAAGCCTCCCAATAGAACCAAGTCTGCAAATACAGACTCTGCACAGGACTCTGATGACACCCAGTGAACTGCAGACCGAAGCATCCCAATAGAACCAAGTCTGCAAATACAGACTCTGCACAAGACTCTGATGACACCCAGTGAACTGCAGACCGAAGCCTCCCAATAGAACCAAGTCTGCAAATACAGACTCTACACAGGACTCTGATGACACCCAGTTAACTGCAGACTGAAGCCTCCCAATAGAACCAAGTCTGCAAATACAGACTCTACACAAGACTCTGATGACACCCAGTGAACTGCAGACCGAAGCCTCCCAATAGAACCAAGTCTGCAAATACAGACTCTACACAGGACTCTGATGACACCCAGTTAACTGCAGACCGAAGCCTCCCAATAGAACCAAGTCTGCAAATACAGACTCTACACAGGACTCTGATGACACCCAGCGAACTGCAGACCGAAGCCTCCCAATAGAACCAAGTCTGCAAATACAGACTCTACACAGGACTCTGATGACACCCAGTGAACTGCAGACCGAAGCCTCCCAATAGAACCAAGTCTGCAGACACAGACTTCACACAGGACTCTGATGACACCCATTTAACTGCAGACTGAGGCCTCCCAATAGAACCAAGTCTGCAGATACAGACTTCACACAGGACTCTGATGAGACCCATTTAACTGTGAGATGGAAGCAGTAGCACAGATCTTCACGTTACAGAACAGCTAGAATTACAGAGGGATAGAAATCTGCAAACCATTTGTATGACAAGGTGTTCTTCTTCTATCATCACACAGAAATACAGCTACCACTACACTAGTGAAGCTGGCTGTCTGATTTCTACATGTTCATGGGTGGTCACAGTCCATTTCTTCCGGAGACAAAGTCTCCCTATTAAAAGCATTAATGAAATATTTATTTCTTGTAATGTCTGTTCTCCTTCTGAGACTTTACTTGTTTATTGCTGTTTGACGTGAAATAACAATACAAACAGTAATAAAACTAATGTTTAAAAAAATGGACCACGCAAAGAAAATGGGAGCGGGGGGACAACCCCAAACTGACTGATGCCTCACAACTGAAGTCGTTCCTTGCACCTGCAGTGGATATACAGAGAAAAATACCAAAGGAAACGAGCAGTATTTAGAATGCAAAGAATTATTTGTGCGTGAGGTTCTTAGTTATCATTTTTATTACTTAAAAATTATTTTGCAAAAAAGTTGAATTAGACATTTATCACAATCTAATATATTATTTTATAAATTTAGTATCTTAATAGATAACTTTGTAGATTAATTTCTCACTGGCTTGTGGATAGGATTTTTGATTCTTAAAAATCCAAGTCCTTGTAGGGGCCGGGTGTGGTGTCTCACGCCTGTAATCCCAGAACTTTGGGAGGCCAAGGCGGGCAGATCACAAGGTAAGGAGTTCGAGACCAGCCTGGCCAACATAGTGAAACCCCGTCTCTACTAAAAATACAAAAAATTAGCTGGGTGGGTTGGTGGGCACCTGTAATACCAGCTACTTGGGAGGCTGAGGCAGGAGAATTGCATGAACCTGGGAGGCGGAGGTTGCAGTGAGCCGAGATCGCGCCATTGCACTCCAGCCTGGGCGACAGTGAGAGACTCCGTCTCAAAAAAAAAAAAAAAAAAAAAAGTCCAAGTACTTGTAATGATAACTTTTTACTAAGTTTACTTCATTATCTCCTTGTAGCCTATACTAATTTATCCTATATTTGCCTGGTAATTTATGCTCAATTATATGGGGGGAAATTACATTAACTCAATGGCAACGGGGGGAATTTAATTGCATGAGAAGCAGGAAATTCAGAGTTAACCTTAATTCTGCCCTTTTGCATTTTCCAGTTACAATTGGATCCTTCTGTACAGGATTGCAGAGCACAAGTATCCAGAATTGGGTGTTGAGTTCAGGGTAAGCGCAGGAGGCCCCGGAAACCCTGCTTCATGTTGAAGGAAGATGGTTGTCCTGCCTCCCAGTGGGCTGTGATCCTGGAGCACCTGCCTCTTCCTACCTCAGAGCTCAGGCCTGCAGGCAACAGAGCAGTGAGCTGGAGGCTGCCAGCGATGCTGGGGATGGCAGGCCCAGGGGATCGCAAAATCCTAACACCTTGGGCATCTCTAAGACATGGGGCTGCATTCCCACAGGCTATGGGAATGTCTTTCTATAGCGTTCGATATTCTTCTGTTCTGTGTTCCATCCCATTCAAGATAGCTGGTCTCATCCAGGCAGTCTCTGTACCATCTATCAATGGAATTAACCCACTGGCCCTTCTTACTCCTGTCATAGATTCCATCTTTAACCATGAAACACTAGTTTTCCTGTTTCTTTTCATAAATTGGCATATACCTCTAAAGTGGACTTATGACAGAAGCTTTTTCCACTTTCTACAGCACAAGAAAATAAAAAGAAAAATGTCTCTTATGATTATTCCTTCCTGCACCACCTCTTTTCAATTCTTTCGTCTGTCTTCTTTCTTTCCTACAGTGTATTGGCAGTTTTGTGAAAGCAAATTATAAATCTTATTTGGACAAGGAAGACTTTTTTCATAGCTGATTCTAGAAAAATTTGACAAAGTTAGCTAGCAACAAATAGTAGGGGCCCCAGCTTGTCACCTCTGCAGTGTGCCTGAAAACAAATTAAAACCAAAGCCCACCCCCACTCCCCAAAATCTATTGATAAAACAATAGATTTATTTAAATCTATGAAGGGGATGAAATTCTATCTGGACCCTTGGCGATGGTTACAAGCCCACACTCCAATCAGAAAATACATTCCTTTAGAATTTTTTTTTCATTTCCTACTGTCCTAATAATCTATATGCCAATCAGGTCCATCGCATACAGCTTGTTTTGATTAACACCTAACAACACTAAATTAAACACTACACATTTTTGAAAAACTAACACTGATTTTGGCACATGGCTAATTTGGTAACTATTTTTTAGTCCTGGTGAAAGTATTCAACAGAAAGCAGGTACATGTAGATTCTACTGGATAAACTGACACTGGCTTGACTATTACATGGGGCTAGCAATTTCTGTCGAGTATTTTATGAATAATTATCATGTTCATGGGGAAGGGGTGGGAGGTAGTAGAGGCAAAACAAAATATTGAAGGAAGGACAGGATTGGCAAGATAAAAACTGAGAAGAAATGAAATTGTCAGGAAGAAGTTATTGTTACACTCAAGAGAGGGCTTTTAGTGGGGGCTACAAAGATGATAATATTGGCTGGATGCGGTGGCTCACGCCTGTAATCCCAGCACTTTGGGAGGCTGAGGTGGGCGGATCATGAGGTCAGGAGGTCGAGACCATCCTGGTTAACACGGTGAAACCCCATTTCTACTAAAAAATACAAAAATTTAGCCAGGCGTGGTGGCGGGTGCCTGTAGTCCCAGCTACTCGGGAGGCTGAGGCAGGAGAATGGCGGGAGAATGGCGTGAACCCACAAGGCAGAGCTTGCAGTGAGCCGAGATCACGCCACTGCACTCCAGCCTGGGTGACAGAGTGAGACTTCGTCTCAAAAAAAAAAAAAAAAAAAAGATGATAATATTGAAATGCTGGACAGGGAGGGCATTTGGAAGGGAAAGGATTAAGATGTAAACTGGAAAAGGAAGAACTTTAGGGACTTCTGAGTAAAGAAACTGGATCATAGACCTTCATCATCAATAACTAACTAGCAATTTACACAAAAACACAAACCATTAAAGTAATTAAAAATGTAACCAGCAGCATTCAAACAAGGACAGCCTCATGGCATAAACTTCAAGAAGATGCAACTAAGGAAGAAATCTAAGATTCAAACACAGCTTCTAACTCTCCCTCTGCACCGACCCCCAGCCTCATGCTTAGCAGTAGCAGTACTGGTGAACTGCACAAACCCGGCAAATTCTCACAAATATCCACACATTTGGGAAAAAATAGGAATATCTTTGTCTGTCTTCTTTTTTGCCTGTGGAGGGGCTGGAAGTGTTTGCTGGCAAGAGATGAGTAAAACGTGGGAAATAAACAACTGAGGATGACTCTCTTCGGTGAACTGCTCATGTTCTAGGGCTGTCACCTAAATTGGAGGAACAATATTAATTGAGAGGGAATTAATTAATATTAACACAGTGGGAAAAAGCTGCACCCATATTAGGTCACAAGAATCTTGGCAGGGGACATTTAACAAGTTTTCAAGAGCAGCACAGCCACATTTTCCCAACAAAGGCTGTATACAACTCCAGTGGAGCTTCTCTCCTCCTCCCCTGTACACATAACATCCAAGTTTCAAACTGTAGCTCAGAGGGAGAGAAAAACAGGCATAGCACAAGTTGGAAAAGGAATCAAAGATAATGTTCCAATACATATGAGAATAAACGAAAGGTCAGGAGAGTGCTACCCAAGCTGAGAATGAGCAAAAAGAAACGTATGGCAACCATGCAAACTAACACAACAACAACTCACATAGAAAGAAAGCAGCATAACACATAAAAGATAAGGAATCCCGCCTTGAAGAAAACATAATCCAAGGAATAGAAGAAAATTCTCCATGAATACTTTACACTATAAAATAAATTAACAGCTACAGAAAAAATAAAAACATAAATTTGGTAAAATGAAAGCTCAAAGATAAGTTGACAAAACAACAAAATGAAAAGAACATAGAGATTTCATGGCAAAGGTAATAAATTAAGGACCAGTACAAGAGCACTAATAGAAACGTCAAGGAAAAGAACAGACATTAAGGAAAATAACACTAACAATAAAGGGGTTGCTTCGGATTAATACAGGTCATGAAGAAGAAAAAGATAAACGCAATTGGAAAATAACAGGTATAGAGGACAAGGATGACATAACACAAGGAAAACTGGTAACCTTGAAATCCAGAACCCTGCAAGGGGGAAAAACGAATTCAAAAATACAATGAAGACATACTTATTGAAAGAGGAAAGAATAGAATCTAGGACTAAAAATAAAAATGCACACTATTTTTCCAGGGGGAAAAAAGATAGAAAACCATAGACACCAAGCCATTTCCTGATAAAATTACTAAACTTCAAAGATAAGGAAAGAATTCTTCTGTCATCTAAGAGGCAGAAAGGGGGAAAAGCAGGATGACTGCAGAAGTTTCCACAGCAGGATTTAATGCCAGAAAGCAGCTGAGCCATGTCTAAAAAGTTTTGAGGGCATGAAAATGTGACCCAAGAATATTATATCCAGTCAGTTTATAATTCAAATATAAAGAAAACAGGCAAGCATTCTTTTTTTTTTTTTTTTGAGACAGATTCTCGCTCTGTCGCCCAGGCCGGAGTGCAGTGGCGCGCAATCTCGGCTCACTGCAAGCTCCGCCTCCCGGGTTCACGCCATTCTCCTGCCTCAGCCTCCCGAGTAGCTGGGACTACAGGCGCCCCCCACCGCGCCCGGCTAATTTTTTGTATTTTTAGTAGAGACGGGGTTTCACCGTGTTAGCCAAGATGGTCTCGATCTCCTGACCTCGTGATCTGCCCACTTTGGCCTCCCCAAGTGCTGGGATTACAGGCGTGAGCCACCGCACCCGGCCCACAAGCATTCTTACGCAGTAAGAACTCAGAAATAGAGCCTGTGAGTCTGCAACGAACACAAATTTGATAATGAAATTCAGCCAGCAAAGAGCTGAATCAAAATAAAATATTCATGAAAAAAGGTAAAATAACTGGTGGTAAATACTGAAATCCTTTAACAAGCCAAGATTACACAACTGTGAAAATTATGGTTATAGTCAATTTTGTAAATGAAATAAATCTTAATATATAAAAATAATAATTAAGAAAAATTTAGAATTAAGGGGAAAGTAGTTAAAGTACATAACTATTTAATTCCTCATCTTTTTTTTTTTTTTCCCTGAGATGGAGTCTCGTTCTGTCCCAGGCTGGAGTGCAGTGGCGTGATCTCGCCTCACTGCAACCCCCGCCTCCTGGGTTCAAGCTATTCTCCTGCCTCAGCCTCCTGAGTAGTTGGGATTACAGGCACTCACCACCAATGCCTGGCTAATTTTTGTATTTTTAGTAGAGATGGGATTTCACCATGTTAGCCAGGCTGGTCTCGAACTCCTGACCTCATGATCCACCCGCCTCAGCCTCCCAAAGTGCTGGGATTACAGGCGTGAGCCACCGTGCCCGGCCAATTCCTCATCTTTTACAGTAGTGAATAAACTGATGTTTTCTACAAATGGAATATATAGGTAAAGGGAAAAAATAATTTCAACCTCTTAATTCTTTTATAATAATGTTTCTTAACCATAAAAAATTCTTTTAGAAAATAATCTTTCTTACATTTATCTTAAGTTTGGGAAGTTATCTCCACTTTAGTTGCTTTTTCATTCATTAAATTCAAGTAAAAGAAAATTTAAAACACTTCATTAAAATGCACATATAATATAATCCTATTTTTATAAAATTATTTCTGTCCAGTGACATCAATGTCTGTATACACACATATGCCATATATACATACATACACAGATACATGTATATATATCATGTATAACATATAAACATTGAGGGATAAATAGTATGATTTCTGGAGTGTCACTCACACAATATTAATTATAGGTATTTCTGGGTGGTGGGATTTTGAGTAATGTTTCACATTCTTTGTATTTTTCTGCATTGCTTATAATTTTTTATAATGAGTATATGCCAGGTGGAAAAGCAATAATTTCCAAAGTTAATACAAAGCTACAGTAATCAAGACAATATGATACTAGCACAAGAATAGAAATAATGATTAATGGAATCAAATTGGGAGTCCAGAAGTGAATGCTTACATTAATGATCAACTAATTTTTGGCAAGGGTACCAAGGCAATTCAATGGAGGGAAAGAACAGTCTTTTTAACAAATGGTTTATGGGACAACTGGATATTCACATGCAAAAAAAAATTAAGTTGGACTGTAATCGTCACAACATATATAAAAATTAATTCATCACACCTGTAATCCCAGCATTTTGGGAGGCTGAGGTGGGTGGATCACGAGATCAGGAGATCAAGACCATCCTGGCTAACATGGTGAAACCCTGTCTCTACTAAAAATACAAAAAATTAGCCAGGTGTGGTGGCGGGCACCTGTAGTCCCAGCTACTCGGGAGGCTGAGGGAGGAGAATGGTGTGAACCCAGGAGGCGGAGCTTGCAGTGAGCCGAGACCGCGCCACTGCACTCCAGCCTGGGTGACAGAGCGAGACTCCATTTCAAAAAAAACAAAAACATTAATTCAAAACAGATTAGAGGACTAAATATAAGAGCTAATGCAATAAAACTCTTAAAAAAAAAACATAGGAGTGAATCTTTGTGACCTTTAATGAAGCAACAGTTTCTTAGTTATGACACTTAAAGCATAATAAACCAAAGAGAAAATAGATACATTGGACTTCATCAAAATTAAAAACTTTTGTGCTCTAAAGGACACCATCAAGAGAGTAAAAACACAAAACATAAAATAAAACAAAATATTTGAAAATCATATCTCTGATAAGGGACTTATATCCAAATAAAGTAGTCTTAAAACTCAATAATAAAAGACAATCGAAATTTTAAAATCAGCAAATAATCTGAATAAACATTTCTCCAAAGAAGAAATGGCCCATAATCACATAAAAAGTGCTCAAAATCATTAGCCATCACAGAATGCAAATCAAAACCATCATGAGCTATAATTTCACACCCACTAGGATGGCAATAATAAAAAAATCCAGAGGGCATTAAGTGTTGGCAAGTGCGTGAAAAAACTGGAAGCCTTGTGCATTTCTGGTGGGAATGTAAAATGGCACAGCCAATATGGAAACAGTATGGCAATTCTTCAACAAGCTAAACATAGAATTATTGTATAACCCAGCAATTCCACTTCTGGGTATATACTGAAAATAACTGAAAGCAGGGACTTGAACAGATATTTTATTCACTAATGGTCACAGCAGTATTATTCACAATGGCCAAAAGATGAAAAAAATGCAAATGTTCATGAAAGAATTAACAGGTAAACAAAATGTGATATATACATGCAATGGAGCATTCAGCTTTAAGAAGGGAAGAAATTCTGGTACATGCTGCAACATGGATGACCTCTGAAGACATTATGCTAAGTGAAGTAAGCCACATACAAAAGGACAAATACTGTGTGGTTCCACTTACATGAGGTACCTAGAAGAGTCAAACTCACAGAGACAGAAAGTAGAATGGCGGTTGCTGGGGCTGGGGGAGGAAAGAATGGAGGGTTATCATGATGAAATATTAATGGTATGGGAGATGGATGGTGGTAATGATCGCACAAAAATGTGAATGTACTTAATGCCACTGACCTGTGAACTTAAAAATGGCTAAAATGGTAAATTTTTTTTGTATATTTTATTACAATTAAATGAACATTAAAATAAAAAAGAATGAAGTACTGATACATGCTATATGAACCTTGAAAACATTACGTTAATAAAGCTAGACACAAAAGTTCTCAAAGCATATGATTCTTTTATATGAAATGTCCAGAAAAGGCAAATCCATAGAGACAGAAAGCGGATTAGTGGTTATGTAGGGCTGGGGGAGTAAAAATGGGGAAATGACTGCTAATGATTTCTTCTGGGTTTGGTGAATATGTACTAAAATTAGATAATGATGACGGTTGAACAATCTTGTAAATATACCAAAAACCACTGACTTGTAGACTTTCAAAGGGTTAACTTTATGGTATGTGAATTTTATCTCAATAAAGTTGCTATGAAGAAACAATGAAGCTTTTCAAAAGAGATAAACGGGCTGGGTGTGGTGGCTCACACCTGTAATCCCAGGACTTTAGGAGGCCAAGGTGGGCAGATCACCTGAAGTCAGAAGTTCAAGACCAGCCTGGCCAACATGGTGAAACCCCATCTCTACTAAAAATACAAAAATTAGCAGGGTGTCGTGGCAAGCGCCTGTAATCCCAGCTACTCGGGAGGCTGAGGCGGGAGAATCACTTGAATCTGGGAGGTGGAGGTTGCAGTGAGCCGCGATCGCACCACTGCACTCCAGCCTAGGCGACAGAGGAGAATCTGTCTCCAACAACAAAAAAACAACAAAAAAGAGAGAAGCAAACGAAGAACTGAACAGTTTGGTTAAGAGAGCAGTAAGAGTTCCATGGGAAGTGAAAATCAAAACCTCCGAAGTCATGGTAAATACAATGCACTTATTTAACACTGCAGTCTCTTGGTGAGAAGTGGCTTCAAGCAGTAGGAATTTGTACTAATCAGTCAACCAAGCATGTAAGACTTCTGAACCAGTTTTCGAATTGCTTTTCCAAATATATGCTTAGGGAGGATTTTCCCCACACCCAGTACAAAAATAAAAAGAACATAGAGGAACAGCCATCCGGTCTTGTTACGCTCATGTGATTCTTCCATCTGTGTTCAAATTATACGTGCACATCCTTTACATCTAACACTGGAGATAATGAGACTCACAGCTGTATATGAGCACAATTATCAAATATGAAAAAGGTCCATTAGTCCAATCTATGCTAAGGATGCATCACCTATTTTCTATTAGTTATGAGTGTCATTTTTCAGAGCCTGCCACTCCTTGTTAACTTCCTTGCTATGTGCTGCTTGGCCCCATGCCCATACGAGCTGACAGGGTCTCTCTCTGATAGTTTTGTGGCCAGGCTGTCTGCATATTTCAGTGTATCTGGTTATTAATCTATTGATCAAATATTTATGGAGTACCTACTGTGTGCCAATCATGTGCTAAGTACTGGTGAAATAGAATGGTCTGGCCTTGTTGGGCATATACGTAGAGTGGAGGACAGCGAAAAGAAACAAATAGCCCCATGATGAAAACATAATTACAGACAATGGCAATGACAATGAAGGCAATGGAAAGGGCAAAGGGGTGGGACACGTGAGCCTGGATGCAGATCTGTTTAGCCGGGTGACTTGGAGCCTGTGGCGTTCAAACTGAAAACTAGAAGGTAAGAAGGAGGCAGTCTTCCAAAGATAAGTCCAGGTAAAGAGAACGGCAGGATTGTTTTATTTTTGTCTTTAACTATCACTGTGTACGAGACAGCTTTGGGTTATAGTTTATTTCAAAACTACAGAGAGATCACCTTCCCTGAAGCAACCCTTTCTTTGTGTCCATTTCATTAACTTCCTATTTTTCCCACTGCATTAAATGGGAAACCTTTTCCCTACTCTTTAATACTGGCATAATCTAATCTTCATGTGCCATACCCCCTCCAGTCATACATCATGGACTCATGAGGACCCATAAGTTACCTGGGAAAGAATCAGCTGTCCATGAAATGTGTGCACAAATTTTCTTAAAAATGAAAAATAGGTTTCATCTCCAAGTCTTTTGGCAAGAAACCGAAGAAGGAAGTAGCCCTAGAAGAAAGAAAAAAGAGAGAGAAAAAGAGGCCTACCATGAGTTCATAAAAAAATGGTTATATAGTCAGCCCTACCTAACCCATAGTGCACTTGTGCATCTAGAATGTGCCGTCCTACCTGTCCCTGGCTGCCCTTTCCATTTTCACCAGGAAGGCGTGGCCTGGAAATTAATTAGTTCTCAACTCCTTTGTTAATGTTGTCATCATTTTTGTTTGGACTTGGTTCACATGAAGGCTGGTTGTCCATCGCAGATGAAAAGAGAAGAGAGACCCAGTTCTTCTCTACTCCCCCTACCAGGAAAGGCCTTCACGACAGAAAACACTTCCTTCTCACCCATGTCTTTCAGTTGGAACCTGACAGCAAAGTGAGAGTTCTGCTCCTCAGGCAGGGAGAACAGAGGTACAGGGCAGGGAATATTTCAGCCTTTGTTCATTCAGTCTTTCCTAACTTGGTCTCCTTTTTTGGGCATGAAGTGCTTTAATTACTGAACGCTCAGATATCTGGCCAGTCAGATATCATTACAGTATTTTCACCTCAGTCTTGTTACTAATCATCATTGTTTAATTGTGTGGCCTAAAAAGTGCTGCACCACAATCACTGGCTTCTGCAACTGACATGTGCTTACCTTTAAATAATGCACCTGCATGAAGATCTTCTCCGGATTAAGTCCATGCTTGATAACAGATGCTCCCGAGTCACTTGTGTGGCCAGTTTTGTCTTTACTGGGTCTAAAACGATTTAGTAACAATTTATTTAAGTATAGCACATTCTTAAGTAATTAGGTCATAATAGCATCTTATTTGTTATTTTCAGAGTTGCTCAATATCATCCTGATTCTATTCAACAGTACCAGGTATAATTTAGAACAGTTTGTATTACATACTCGTCTACGGGATTTATATTTGGGTTGGGAACCTGAAGTTGGCTATTGGCAAATATTTTACATCAATTTATCCAAAATTAAAGTCTGCCAGACCCTCAAGGGTTCTAAGCTCTACTATAAATTATCTAAGAACGTATACCCTTTTTTGATGACAGACTGGGAAATGCAATGGAAAATGAAGCTTTACTTGGAAAAGTAAAGAACTTATATCTCTTTCAAAAAATTTTGAAAGCCTCAATGTTATCCACTTCTCTGGATTTGCACTTAGTAATTAAGGCTCCTTTAATAAATATTTGTACTTTCCACCCATATTAGAATTACAAAAAAAGGTCATAGAAGCTCATGTTTTTAGAACAGGTGGGAACATCAAGAATCACATACTTCAACTTCCTCATTTCACACAAGGTAAACTGAGGCACACAGACATTAGTTCTACAGTAAGTTTGTCCAACCCACAGCCCATCCATGGGCCACATGTGGCCCAAGATGACTTTGAATGCAGCCCAACACAAATTCATAAACTTCTTAAAACATTACGAGATTTTTTTGCGATTTTTTCCTTAGCTTATCAGCTGTCGTTAGTGTTAGCTTATTTTACACATGGCCCAAGACAATTCTTCTTCTTCCAATGTGGCCCAGGGAAGCCAAAAGATTGGACTGGATAGTCACGGTCCACTCAAAGTCTTTTTTTTCCTTCGAGTCAGGGTTTCACTCCCATCACCCAGGCTGGAGCGCAGTGGTGCGATCTTGGCTCACTGCAACCTCTGCCTCCTGAGCTCAAATGATCCTTCTGCTTCAGCCTCCCAAGTAGCTGGGATTACAGAAGCCTGCCACCGTACCCAGCTAATTTTTGTTTTTTTCTGTAGAGATGGGGTTTCGCCATGTTGGCCAGGCTGGTCTCGAACTCCTGAGCTCAAGCCATCCGTCCACCTCAGCCTCCCAAAGCGTTGGGATTACAGGTGTGAGCCACCACGCCCAGCTTTATGCCTTGTTTTGATTTGTAGTGACATTAGGACTGAAACCAGCGACTCCTTATTCTCCATGAAGATCTTTTCCACTGTGCTATTTGGCTTTAAAATTTTAAATATTTTAAATAAAATGTAACAGATCCTTTGGGCCATCTAGTAAAGATTTGTGCAGTGTTACAGTATAGCTTCAACAGCTGAATCAAAATAAGTGAGGAGGTATTTACAGCTTTCGGCTGTTCTAAAACCGGCCACTCACTGGATCAACACTGAGGAGTGTTGAGGTGAAGGAAGGCAAGGAACCACGAGAGGGTTGGTGCATCAGAAAAGCAAGGGGTTATTTTAAAAGGTAGTGTGGTGGTGCAGAAGGTATGCAGCCTTTGGAATATGAGACCTAGTTTAGACTAGCAGCCTTACTTCTTACTACCTGTTACTTACTAACCTTCATTTACTCACTTGTAAAATGGGAATAATCCTACCCACCTTCCCTGATCCTGCAGAGAATAACTGAAATAATACATTGCAAAGCCCCTAGCAAGGGCCAGGGATACAGAAATTACCTAATAAACTTAATAAAATATTCCATTTTAGCAAACAGGATCCCTGATTAAGTCTTAGCTGAATACTCTGGGACATTATCCCAGCAGACACAAGGCACAGAATCAGCAGATACCTAAAGGAAAGATGATGATGAAAACCATCAGAGCTAACTGCATACTTTTCATTTTTCTACTCGATCCCTGACTTACCTACATGCCCACACTTGTAAGAATAACTAATCCATTTCATCTTCATTTAAGACTCCCCTGAAAAGAATCAGCTTTTTTCACTGCTCTCAGGTTTGTCCTGCCATGCAATGTTTTTGTAAGAAAGCCACACTAGCTTTGATAAGGAAAGCCCATCACCCACTGTCTGGGGGAAGGGAGACTTCTCAAGAGTCAGTCTGAACTCAAACTAGGTTGCCCAGCCCTAAGACAGGCAGAGTTGCCGTGCGTCTTTTTTGCCCTTGAGCCCTGAATTGAGACTGCTCGAAGGGGAGGAACACAGAAGAATGATGTAAATCTCTGCTCAGAAGGCTGGCTTCCAGGTTCCAGTTCCCAATGACGCCTTCAGTTGCTGTTTTTTCCTTTGCCTAAAAATGTCCTTCCCGAAAGCATCCCTCTCTAACTCTCTTCTTCCATCCTCTCCAAATGAAGAAGTGCTCAAGAAAATTCTTCCTGCTGACAGCATTCAAAGCCAATATACAAGTCCCCAAGAGATTCCTTTGATAGCAGCTTGCTGCTGGAGAGGGCAGTGCACAGGCAAGCTTTGCAAGAAATCAGAGGGGGTGGTTTCTAGGAGGAAATGACACTCTATGAATGGAAACAGGAAACTTCCATCTCTGTGCTACTCTGGTTCTCACAATGCTACTAATACCAGGTCTGCGTAGAGAGACAAAGTACCGGAGAAAGCAGATGAACTACAACCACACACAGTAACACAGATGACTCTCACAGGTCAGCCAAAGAAGTCAGGTCCACGAAGTGCACACACACATGTACAAGTCCATGTCAATGAAATCCAAGAACAGGCAAAACTGACCTATGGGGATAGAGATCAGAATAATGGTCACCTTGGGAGGGAGTGTTGACAGACAGCAGAGAAACAGGAAGGTTTCTGAGATGCTGGGACTGTTCTATAGATTGATCTGAATGTACTTTCATGGGGATAAATCATAAAAATCCTTTGAGCCATCTAGCAAAGACTTGTGCACTTTAATGTATCTATGTTATGTTTCATTTAAAAACTTAAGCGATGCACGTACATGAAACAGCATACACTTGCGAGCAGGAAAGGCCATCAGTCTAGAAAAGGGGCTTTGCCACTCATGTGCCACTGGCACACGACTAGGATGAACTAAGCCCTATGCACCTGAGGACCAATGCAAAATTTTTTTTAAAATGACAGTGTGAGAGGCAGGAAGGGCTGTGGCAAATCCAACTGGTCGGTCTACTCCCATTCTCATTTGCCTTCTTCCTTGCCACTTGTATGACTGAATCTGAAAAGCTAATGCTCATTTTCTAAGTGTCTCTTGCAGCTGTGGCACTTAGTCCAGGCCAAAATGAAAAAAGCAGATGTCTGCTGTGATTCCATGCTGGGTGGGGTTCTGGGAAAGCTTTTGCTTTCCTTATAAAGGGGGAAAATGTGACTGCTACCGCACCTCTTCCCCACAAGCCTGGTGGATGGAGCAGTGATGGCCATCTTGCAACCATGAGGCAGCAAACCAGGATTCTGTGGAGAGCAGAATGGACTGAAGGAAGGCAAACAGCCTTTACTATCATCATGCTGCTCCTGGCCAGCCTGGGGATGCCTGCCTTCTGACTTTGTATTGTGTGTGAAAGATAACTACCATTTGTTTAAGTCAACCATTGCTTTATTGCTGCAATAATTGTAGCCAGATTCGTTTCTAACTGGACTAGTACTAACAGCTAACGTTTCCTGGTTATCCTCTGTGCCAGGTACTCAGCCAAGCTCTTCTTATTATGCATCACACCCTCTTCCCTCATAAGATCCTGATGAGGCCACATCCTGTTTATGCCCATTTAAAAGTTAAAGAAAGTGAGTCCTAGAGAAGACCACAAAACTGGTTAGTGGCAGAGTCGAGGTTAAGAACCCAGGTCCACAGAACACCAAAGTCCTTGCTACACTCTGGGGCCCCCCCAAGATCCAGGTCCCCATCTTGGCTGTGCCAAGTACTAAGTGGAGAACCTTAGAGGAATTGCTTACCCTCCCTGAAGCTCAGCTTCCTCACCTGTAAAGTCTGCAGTGAGGCTCAGGTCATGTGGAAGCATTCCATAAAAGCAAAAGTGTTCAGTATCTCTTAGACATTACACTCTGGTGTTTATTTCTTTGGCTGGAATACATGGAATGTGAGAGATCAAGTTACCAAGGTCATCTGAGCTCAAATGCCCTTGGTTTCTGTTGTACTTGGCACCAAATGCAACAACTGAGATTGACGTGCCCTTTCCCTTCCCCACGCCTTCCTTTTCCACCACAACCACAGAGGCAATGTGGATATTTAAAGAGTGGGCAGGTGGCAGTGATATTTGATACATAATGATTTGATTTCGAATCGGGCCTCCTGAAGAAAGGTCCAATCCTGCAGGATAACCCCAAGGGTGGGATTTGAGAAAATGCCTCTGAACTGTCCTCTGGCATGTCAGCTGGGTCTGAATACCCACCTGCTGCTCTGCCCCCACCCAGGCGGGCCCTCCAGCAGCACTCTTCCTCTCACACTCCCAGCAGTCAGCATGAGAGCCACAAGAGATTCTTCAACTATAAACCTGCTGCTGCCACGCCTGAGCCAGGGACTAAGCATCCCAGAAATGAGACAGAAGGGAATTAATGATCATTTCAACATCTCAGTGTTTCTGTTAGTCGCAGCTGCCCCACCAGGTTTGACAGCTTTGAGAGCAGGACCTCACTCACCCTGCAACAATGGAGGAAGTGAAATCTGACCCTTGTGTAGAGACTGGCCAACAGTGCCCATCTGAGCCCCAGATGCACAGGTGAGACCTGCAGGGGAAGGAGCATGACCACTGGGTGAGGGCTTGGACCCAAGTCTCTCCACTGCCATGTGATCTTGAACATAAGCCCCATGCAGTCCGGCTCCCTCATCTGTGAAAAGGTGACAGTAAGAGTCACTGGGGCAGCTCCCAGAGCTGAGTGGCACCAGAGCACTCAGCCAGAGCTCCTCCTGGCATTCAGTAGCTCAATGTAAATGTGGCTATTATCTGCGTTCTGTGTTCCGACTATGTTCTGACTGAGCCTCCAGTAGCATCAACTAAACCTTCCTCTGACAGGCAAAGACATTAAGAAGACATGGCACCATAGTTACGCATGTGAGATGCTGTCATGGGGGAAAGCTGGGGGAGGGGACACAGGAACTCACTCTACTACTACAGTAATTTCTTGGGAGTCTAAACCTATTCCAAAATGAAAAGGTTTTAATGACACCACACACAAATGTAGCCTATACTCTCCCTTGGTGAGACTGCTGATTTTGAATGCAAACCCTTTAAGGGCTGGTCTTTAAGCTTGCTCCTTGACTCATCATCATCAGAAAATAAATAAAAGAAACAACAAATTTCAAGAGCCACATAAAGTCCTACTAAGCTAGGTCTGGGCATCTTCCTTACACACTCATCCCCTTGGTCTACACCGCTCCACGAAGACACCTCTGGGTAAAAAATGAAGGCAGAATGATGAAAGCACAGGAATTCTCTATCCACTGTTTGTTTTCGGTGACAATTTTCCTATCTATAAACTGTGAATAATGAACATTTGCCACTGACTAGCATTTGCAGTGCTACCAAAAGGTTGTGAATAAACCTTTAACTAATAAATTTGTATTGTATCAACACCGCTGGTATTTGGCAGGTGTGACTGTCTGTATGCTTTTCAAAATGGATTTAACAGCTACCCAGCAGGAAGGGCTTCCCCACTGGGACCATCAGCCTGCAGCAGACACAGAAAGATATTCCTCTGGTGTTGAAAAAGGCAATTGCTAAGATGATTTAAGACAGAAGGAGGATCCCTCTGAGGAGCCACGGGAAAATAAACAAGGTTTATTCTGTCCTCCTGAGAGTGAAAGGACCCAGTGGTGGGTACCCATAAGAAGTCTCAGCGTCCCGGGTCGGCTGCTAAAGAAGGTGATAAGGAGAAACTCTGTAGTTAGCAGAACTGTGGAAAATGCAAACAAACTCCACACATTTTAATAATCAGGGTGGGAAAATGAAAGATGAAACTCAGAAAAGCAATGAGTATCAACACAAAACCAAAATGTCCTCAGGTCTTGATTGCCCATGTATCAGAAATTCCTCTGAGAAGCAAAACACCACATGGAGAAAAAATAAGAAACCAATCAATGCAATGGTCTGAGTGCTATATTGTCCCATTCAACACAGCAAGCGATGATCTAGACACATTCTCAAAAGAGACAGAGAAAAACGGAGAGCCAAGACACCCATGTGACTGCACAGGCAGTTTCTGCTAAGGGTGGTTTTCAGAGAACACAGACAATAGTTGAACGGGATGCTGGAGAAAGGAAAAACCCACGCTACATAAAGAGAGCTGGGAGGCTGTAAAATGACTGCCAAGAAGGCAAAACTTCAGGATGGGCTAGTGGAGAAGGCCCAGGACAACAAAAAGGGCTTTGGAGGTGAAGTTGGGAGCATAAGGAAGACCAGGTGCCAAGAGGTGGCAGAAAGAACAGAATGACTCAACTCCCATTTTGATTCAACTTTCCTGCCAAGGAGAATGATTTTCAAGCTACTCATGGTAGAATAAGCCCTGCTATGTGGGAACTGCTGCTTGGTACTGGTAGACAGGGCTCCTTCACCCTTTAAAGGAGTTCCCATTCCAAGTCCAGGTGAGGGACAGGCTATAGCTCTGAAAGCTTCCACCTGTGATATGTGATCACAGATCTCTGCGGGGAGGATCAATTCACACAGACAATGAGAAAGAAGCTGAAGGAGGTAGACAGCTATTCCGATTTGCAAAGATAAGAGATGGGGGGCGGGGCAAAATTTGTGATGACGTTATTGAACAGTTTGTGAGCACTTAAAAGAGAAAATGATGAACTACAAGAGTTAGAATGGGATCCTGAGGGCCAATTCCAGAAATTCAGTGGGGCATCTTGACTTCTGCAAGGCAGCTAGTAGAATGGATGTGGTGGAGAGCATGCAACGGTGAGCATATGGTAGTTGTTTCACGGCTTTATACAAGGCTAAAAAACAGAGCCCCAAGGGTGTTGATTAATTATTTGCTATAACCTGGATGGAGATCCTTAGGTCTGTGCCTAAGGAATGGTGATTTACTGGCTTAACAGATTTGCCTATGAGCTATAGTTGGGAGTCTACCTGGTTGACTGACAGCATCCACAGTCAAGAACAGCAACCGCAGGCTGAACTGAGGGTCCAATGAATAAGAAGAAAATATCTAATAGAGAGAAAGAGTTTTTAAAAAATTAACTGTTTGCCTATGAAAAATATTTAGTATATTTAATTTTCTGTAAACTCAACATGTAGCAGGAGGTGACTGCTGTGGCTTCCAACATAGTAAGCACAAGGGTGGGCTGGATCAACAGGAGGAATGCAAATGTAATGGGAATCCCACTGGGGGAGGTGATGTGGAGAGGAGCAGTTAGGAGCTGGGCTCTGGGGTCAGATGCGCCTCTGCTTTCACCCCAGTGCTGCTGCTTACTCGCTGTGCAGATAAGGCTGACTGCTTAATATCTCCATGCACCTGCTTCCTCCTCTATCAAATGGGGAGGAAAATGGTACTATGGTACCAGCACTTCTCTCACAAGGCCATTTTGGGATCAAATGAGATAATGTATATAGAATGCTTAGGACAGTGTTTGGCATATTAAAAGCACTCAAAGAATGTTATTAAGGAGGAAAAATGCATGGGACTTGGAATGGTAGAACTGCCATGACAAGGTGTATTATACTGAATGTAAAAATGAAATATGGGGCTGGGTGCAGGGGCCCAAGCCTGTAATCTCAGCATTTCAGGAGGCCAAGGCAGAGGATCCCTTGAGGCCAGGAGCTCGAGACCAGCCTGGGCAACAAAGCGAGATGTGGTAGTGCTCGCCTGTAGTCCCAGCTACTCAGGAGGCTGAGGTGGGTGGATCACTGAGCCCAGGAGTTCAAGGCTGCAGTGAACTTTGATTGCGCCACTGCATTCTAGCCTGGGCGACAGAGAAAGACCCATCTCTTAAAAGAATAACAAAAGGCCGGGTGCGGTGGATCACGCCTGTAATCCCAGCACTTTGGGAGGCCGAGGCGGGTGGATCACGAGGTCAGGTGATTGAGACCATCCTGGCTAACACAGTGAAACCCCGTCTCTAATAAAAATACAAAAAAAAAAATTAGCCGGGCGTGGTGGCAGGCGCCTGTAGTCCCAGCTACTCGGGAGGCTGAGGCAGGAGAATGGCGTGAACCCAGGAGGCGGAGCTTGCAGTGAGCCGAGATCGCGCCACTGCACTCCAGCCTGGGCGACAGAGCGAGACTCTATCTCGAAAAAAAAAAAAAAGAATAACAAAAAAGAAACATGGTATATATATATATCTGAGTGAATCCCACTGGATGAACACTTGTCCTTCCTTTCTGGATGATCCAGATCCAGGGGTGCAATAACAGTTCCACTCCATGCTTCATGGGTGGCGCCTCAAAGCAGGCTGTGTTCAGTTCAGTTGTCACATTTGGAGAAGACCACTGTCAACAAAGAGAACAACCAAGGACCAAGCCCAAGAAAGCGAACGTTCTCCCAGGCATGCGGTATATATGCTAAATTCACCCAAAAAAGTGACCTATTGGTCAGGAAAAGAAAGAAGAGCCTTCAGATACGTAGATTGTTTTGGTGGGAGCAAGGCGCATTCTGTGCAATTCTGGAGATAAGAGCTAAGAGGACTGCGCAGATGTTACAGGAGGCAGATTCCAGCCAAATCTGAGAAGGGCCATTCTAAGGATCAGGCTCTTCCTACAGGAAATCTGCTGTTTGTTAGTGCAATGAGACCTGGATCCTGGAACTGCTCAGGTAGAAGCTGAGCACAGGAAATCTGCTGTTTGCTAGTGCAATGAGACCTGGATCCTGGAACTGCTCAGGTAGAAGCTGAGTGGCCATCTGTCAGGCACAGGGAAGGTTAGGCAAAATCACTTTTAAGGTCCTTTCTGACTCTAATATCTACAATTTTAAGAGACTGTACAGCCCGGAATATATTTAAGCTAAAGCATGTGAAGGAAAACATTATTCATCCATTCAGTAGAGTCAAGAGGTTTGCTACATAGCTTTGGCCTTGCTAAATCAGCATCAAGTGTGGTTTTCATTTCAAAAAAACTAAACTAAATGAATTATTTAGAGGAAGCTTAACTGAATTGTATTAAATATATATTGCGAGATAGAATTAACTTTTTGAGTATAGGATCCAGGCAGTACAAGGCCTTGACTGTACTTTTCACAGTGTTCTGTTTGGGGCGGGGTAGAGCTGTGCAATGTGCTGAGACAGGTCTCCTCATAAGCTGGGTTCATCTATCAGGGTTAAGGTGATCATAGTGACTCAGCCATAACTCAGGCTGCTGGTGTGCCATACACATTCAGAACACAGGAATACAGAGAACCTGAAAATTACTGGAAGCAAAAGTAGAAAGAATAAAAATGGAAAACTTTTTCTGTATTGCATTAAAAAAAAAATCACGACTTCTTCTGGAAAGAGGCAAATGAGACAAACATTGGCTTCATTTTACAAGAGGAGGCTCGAAGCCCGTTTTGAACACCAACAGCATGTGCAGTGCTGTGTGCTGAGGTAATGGGAAGGATCGCCTCATCTGATGACTCAACGAGGAGCAGATGGCCCGTGGGAGCTGGAGAAGGACTTTTCCCTCCTCAGTGGAGGACAGCACGGCCCTAGGCATGGGGGCGGCAGCGGCAGGGGTGGAGGGCTTGCCTGGTTTTCAGCCCAGTACATACCAGGATGCACAAGAGGACGAGTCCTCAGCAGAGGAGCTCTCTTCTCAGCCTTGCCAGCAACAGTGTGCTCTTTGGGTCTTCTATTTCACATGCAGTGCATCTAACAGTAAGTGTGAGACCATTCACCATAGCATTGTTTATGAAAGCAAAAAACTAGAAATGACCATGATGACGCCCAATGGTTAACAAATGTTTGATGGTTAGTAACGGAACATTCATATCTGGGAATACTCACAGCAGTTAAAAAAAAACAAATAATTCACTGTGTTGATGACAGAACACTAGCCAGGATTCTATTATTAAGAGGACAATGGGAGGTATAGCATGGCATGGATAAAACACACAATCTTGTGTGTATACACTTGTGCTTGAGGGATGCTTTCTTGGGAGTGAATTATCATTCCACGGGGTTGTTATATCACAGACCCTATGGAGATGTCTTCCATCCATCCAACGCTGGAAATGGCCCCGTGGGTCTCATCCAAACCTCGGAGGTCACCAGTCGCCTCCTGCCCTAATTTCTTTTTCCATGTCTCCTCCAGATGATTGTTGATCAACCCCACCAGGCTACAGGGGTATTATGAGACAGTAGAGAACATTAAATGATTTCCATCAATCTCTCTCTTTTTTAAAAAATTGAGATGTAATTCACATATAGTGGTTTTTAGTGTACTCATAAGGTTGTGCAACCTTATGAGTTGCACATAAGTTGATGATGTGCAATAAACTTTAGAATGTAATCAACTTTAGAACATGTTAATCACCCTAAAAAGAAACCAAATACACACTGGCAGTCACTCCCCAATCTCCTTCCCACCTCCACCCAGGCCCTGACCATTAATCTACTTCTTACTTTGGGAGATCAAGGTGGGAGGATTGTTTGAGCCTGGTAGGTTAAGGCTGCAGTGAGCCATGATCGTGCCATGGCACTCCAGCCTCGGGGACAGAGTAAGACCCTGTCTCAAAATAAAAAAATAAAAATAAAAAATCTACTTTTTGTCTCTATGGATTTGCCTATTGTGGACAGTTCACATAAATCACATGATACAGTATGTGGCCTTTTGTGTCCAGCTTTTTCCGCTGAGCATAATGTTTTCAAGGTTCACCCTTGCTGCAGCAAGTATCAGTACTCCGTTCCTTTTTATGGCTGATTAATATTCCACTGTATGGATATAACACATTTTGATTATCCATTCATCTGTTGATGGACATTTGGGTTGTTTCCATTTTGGGCTATGATGAATAATACTGTTATGAACATTTGCATATGATTTCTTCATTTCTTTTGGTTATTTAGCTAGGAATGGAATTGCAGGGTTATATGGTCACTCTATGCTTAAGCTTTTGAGGAACCACCAGGCTGTTTTCCACAGCAGCTGCACCATTTTACCAACAGTGAACAAGGGTTCCAATTTTTCCAAGTCCTCACTGATTTTTATTATCTGTCTTTTTCATTGTAGCCATCCTAGTAGGTATGAAGTGGTATCTCACTGTGGTTTTGATTTGTATTTCCTGATAGCCAATAATGTTGAGTATCTTATGTGCTCATTGGCCATCTGCATATTTTCTTTGGAGAAATGTCAACTTAGATTGACCTGTTTTTTTTTTTTTTTTTTTTTTTTTTTTGAGATGGAGTCTCACTCTGTTGCCCAGGCTGGAGTGCAGTGGTACAATCTCAGCTCACTGCAACCTCTGCCCCTCGGGTTCAAGTGATTCTCCTGCCTCAGCCTCCCGAGTAGCTGGGATTACAGGTGCGTGCCACCACACCCTGCTAATTGTTTGTATGTTTAGCAGAGATGGGGTTTCACCATGTTGGCCAGGCTGGTCTTGAATTGCTGACCTCAAGTGATCTGCCCGCCTCAGCGTCCCAAAGTGCTGGGATTACAGGCATGAGCCACTGTGCCCAGCCAGATTGATCCTTTTTTTTTCTTTTTTCTTTTTTTTTTTTATTTGAGATGGAGTCCCACTCTGTCGCCTAGGCTGGAGTGCAGGGGCACGATCTCAGCTCACTGCAACCTCCATCTCCCAGATTCAAGCAATTCTCCTGCCTCAGCCTCCTGAGTAGCTGGGATTACAGGTGCATGTCACCACACCTGGATAATTTTTGTGTTTTCAGTAGAGACGGGGTTTCACCATGTTGGCCAGGCTGGTCTTGAACTCCTGACCTTAAGTGATCTGCCCACCTCAGCCTCCCAAAGTGCTGGGATTACAGGCGTGAGCCACCATGCCCGGTCCAGACTGACCATTTTTTAATTGGGTCATTTGTCTTTATTGTTGAGTTGTAAGTGTTCTTTATATATTCTGAATACAAGTCCCTTAACAGATATATGATTTGCAAATATTACCTCCCATTCTGTAGGTTGTCTTTTTATTTTCTTGATGGAGTCCTCTGTCGCACAAAAGTTTTTAATTTTGATGCAGTCCAATTTACTGATTCTTTTTCCCTTCAGTTGCTTATGCTTTCAGTGTCTAGTATGTAAGAAACTATTGCCTAATGCAAGATCATGAAGATTTACATCTACATTTTTTCTGTTTGTTGTATAATTTTAGCTTTTATATTTGGGTTTTTGATCCGTTTTGAATCAGTACCTTATTATCTTTGATGCTACTGTAAATGATTTTTTTTTTTTTTTTTTTTTTTGAGACAGACTCTCACTGTGTCCCCTAGGCTGGAGTGCAATGGCACAACCTCAACTCACTGCAACCTCTGCCTCCCGGGTTCAAGCGATGTAAATGAATTTTTCCTAATTTAACTTTCAGATTATTCTTAGCTAGTGTATGGAAATACAGCTAACTTTTGTATGTTGATCCTATATCTCGAAACTTTACTGAACTTGTTTATTAGCTCTAATTATTTTTTTGGAGGATTACTTAGGATTTACTCCACATAAGATTATGTCTACAAATGGAGACAGTTTTACTTCTTCCTTTCCAATCTGGATGCCTTGTAGTTCACTTTTTTGCCTAACTGCCCTGGCTATAACCTCCAGTACAATGTTGAATAGTACAGTCCCTGTTTCTTATTCCTTCTGTCCTCAACCATTGACTTGAAAGGGGCAAGAACTCCTGTAAAGCAGATTTGTAACATCTAGCAGGATGTTCTTCTTTCGTGTCTTTGTGGCAGGTCCAGCAGAATACCCATATAGTTTTTGTCATCCATTCTAGATCAAAACTGTTGGCCAAAACACAAACTAAATGGTAGGAAAAAGGGGCACAGGAAGTAAGCAAATACTCTGTGGAACAAAGTGAATTTGGCGTTACATGAGAAAGCACTCACTGGATGAGAGTTTTTCTGAATGGGAAACTAACGCTCATTAGCTGAACATGTAATGTACATAGTGATTCTTCCTACTGGCTGAGTGCATAAGATATCCTTAGGATGGGCAAAATAAGAGTGAATTATTATGGACTGGCATATGTACATGAATAATTTTGTACGAAATATTTTATAGTCAAATAGCATTATAATGAATCAGTGCTACACGGAGCAGCAATATGGAAGTATGCATGTATACTTACAAAATTTACTTTCCCAAGATTCACAAGAAAACAGTAGCAGTAATTATCTTTGGGTAAGGGACTACAGTGGTAGTAAATGGAATTTTATACTTTTCTAAACTGCTTGAATTTTCTTACTATGTGCTTTGAAAAAAATTAACCAAAGTTAACTAACCAGTGATTATGAAATGTCTTGCTTTTTCATGTTTTTCTATATAAAGAAAAAGGACCCTACTAGATGTTATTGCAAAAATGAAACACCAAGTACTGTAAATATGTAATTAGGGGTCTATGGAGAATTCTCTCCCCCTTAGAAAGACCTGAGTGCTGACTAACCAGGAAATGGTCTGGAAAAATAAAGAGGGAAGGTTATTTGAGTTCAATTATTCAGGACATGTCTGTCATCTTTGCTGTTTAAAAGAGCTGAGAGCTGAGGGTGTCCCTCTAACAGGAAACAAACTGAGTGGGCAGCTCAGGCTGGTGGAGCTGACCTTTGAAACAGGAAAGGGCAGAGTCCATTTCTGGCTAGCTGAGAGCTCTAAAGTTTTTCAGAAAATGCTGGCATAGGTATAGCATCCTCCCATCAAGAACAGGTAGAAACACTCTTCACAGGTCGCTTGTTAGTGTATGTGGTTCAAATAAAAACACTAGACAGACAGGAGTGGGTAGGGGAATCCCACGTGCCTGAGGGATAGAGGGGTGTAGGGCAGGAATTCTAAGACATACAGTTGAGACCTTAGGAGAGGCACAGGCCAATGATCAGGTAGGAACTCTCGGAAGCCATAAAGGCAAGAACTTTTTTCCACTCTGGACAGTGGTGAGATTTTGAACAGAGGCCAGAGGAGCTTTACAGAGAAGAGCCAGAGGGGACCCAAGGGTTGCCCTTCAGAGGGGCTGGACTAGATGTAGGTTCCAGAAGGGTAGTCTTAGAAGTGCTGCTCATTCAATTCTTACCTCTAGCGATTTGCTTGAGCATCTCTGTTGAACTTTCAGACTCTTTCCTTTTATGCCTGTGCTCTACATTTGTAACCAGGCATTCTTGCACTTTTTTTTTTAACATTCTCTTAATTAGTAAAATTAACTTGTTGAACATTCCAGCCAATTATACTTGTCAGGAAGGGAGGGAGGTGTTTCCATGTTCTGGTTGGTCAAGAGACAGGAGCAGATGCCTTGTGTGGTCCCCAGGGAAGGGTGGCAGCAGGGAAAGGGAAGGGCCCAGCTCCAGAGCCATGCGGACATGAGGGGACGAGCCAGGCTGAGGAAATCAGAATAAGCCAGGAGGGGCAGTGGGGGCTGTGTCCCTGTGCCCTCTGCCACTTGTTGGACAAACCTTTTCCAAGTGCCAGAGGACATAGATGATAGCATCAAACGTGTTAAGTATTTACCTGAACTGTAGGAAATTGCCAATATTCATTCTATTTTATTTTATTTTATTATTTATTTATTTATTTATTGAGATGGAGTCTCACTTTGCTGTCCAGGCTGGAGTGCAGTCTGAGCTCACTTCAGCCTCTGCCTCTCAGGTTCAAGAAATTCTCGTGCCTCAGCCTTCTGAGTAGCTAGGATTATAGGCATGCCACCATGCCAGGCTAATTTTTATATTTAGTGGAGATGGGGTTTCACCATGTTGGCCAGGCTGATCTCGAACTCCTGACCTCAAGTGATCTGCCCGCCTCGGCCTCTCAAAGTGCTGAGATTACAGGCATGAGCCACCGCACCTGGCCCTGACAATATTCATTTTAGATCCACCAAAACAGCAATTGCCTGTGATTCAACTTAACATACATGTTCTAAATGGATTGCATGTATTCATTGTATTTATTCCTCACATCCACCTATAAGGTAGAAACTATTGTGTTAATCATCCCTGTTTTACAGCTAAGGGGACTAAAGCTAAGTGTGGTTGAGTAACTCTCTCAAGGCCACACAGCAAATGTGTGTAAAGCTTGAGTATCCTTTATCCAAAATATTTGGAACCAGAAGTGTTTCAGACTTCCGATATTTTTGGATTTTGGAATATCTACATACAAATGAAATATCTTGGGGATGGGACCCAAGTCAAAATACAAATTTATTTATGTTTCATATATAGTTGGTCCTCCCAATCCTCAGGTTCTCCATGCTTGGATTCAATCAGCTGCAGATTCAACCAACCTCAGACTGAAAATATAGTACTCCAGGGATGTAGAACCCCCAGATACAAAGGACCAGCTTTCTGTTTCCTCAGTTCCACAAGGCTGACTATGCATCCTGAGATTTTGGTATGGGGGCAGTCCTGGAACCAATGCCCCGAGGATACTGAGTACCTTTTATACACATAGCCTGAAGGTAATTTTATACATTATTTTAAATAATTTTGTATATGAAACAAAGTTTTGACTGGGAGCCACCATCACATGAGATCAGGTATGAAATTTTCCATTAGTGGTCATGTTGTTGCCCAGGAAGTTTTGTTCAGATTTTCATATTAGAAATTCTGAACCTGTAGTAGAGTCAGAACTCATCCAGGCAGCCATTCTCATAAACCCCATCCTACCATCCTGGGTCAAGACCAAGGGCGGAGGAGCTCTGGAGTGAAGCTCAATCCATATCCTCAGATGATGCCTCCCTAACACGAGGCAGGATCAACCAGACCTTGGCCAAGGAGGAACATGGGCTGTTGTCTTTCCCTCTTTTCAAAGACTCACAAACTTCACAGAACCCCCGAATTTAACCTTTCTTTTAATGGGTCAATCCTTATATACAATGGGGATGGCTTTACATTGTATTATTAGAAGCCTTCTTTTTTTTTTTTTTTTCTGACACGAAGTCTCACTCTGTTACCAAGGCTGGAGTGCAGTGGCATGATCTCGGCTCACTGCAACCTCCACCTCCCAGGTTCAAGTGATTCTCCTGCCTCAGCCTCCCAAGTAGGTGGGACTACAGGCGCCTGCCACCATGCTCAGCTAATTTTTGTATTTTTAGTAGAGATGTGGTTTCACCATATTGGGCAGGCTGGTCTTGAACTCCTGACCTTGTGATCTGCCGGCCTCGGCCTCCCAAAGTGCTGGGATTACAGGTGTGAGCCACCGCGCCCGGCCTAGAAGCCTTCTTTCAATCCATTTTTGATAGCTGCAAATGAACAATTCAGTCAGATCTTTAGGCCAACCAAGGTCTTCCGAACTTATGCCTCTGTTCCTCACACAGCCACCTGATTCCATCTGTTCTCTAGACTCTTTCTCTTTGATCATATGTTATCCCAAACGCTGGGTAATCTTCCTAGAACTCTACTTTCATTATGTCATTCTTGGAACATAAAATACCTCACCATTACCCAGAGGATCACATACGAGTTCTTCAATTTGGCATCCGAGGAGCTCCATGACTTAGCCTAGCCTTGCCTGGCCCACCTTCAGTCTCACTGGTTCTTTTCGTGGCTGTCCTCTCCAGCAAGTCCATTCTCATGTTAATGTCCACATCCACAATCCATTCCTTTTTATGCCTACCAGGCTTTGCTCCTTGAATTCCTCTCCCTCTGCCTCTTCACCCATCTCAGTGGTATCCTTTCTTACTATCCCAGCTCAAGCCTCACATCCCCCTGTAGCCCTTTCTAACTAAATCTGTCAACAGTAAACTCTCAGTTCTTAGAACTCTGAGGATGTAGCCTAGGATTACCTATCTATCTTGGGACCAGTATTTCAGCTCTCCAAATAACATATAAAGAACCTCAGGGACAGACATCATGTCTATGAGATTCATTTTTTCAACACTCACGGAGCACCCTCTCAGTGCCAAGCACTGTGGTGCACTGAGAAACAAGACGTAATCCCTAGGGACAAAAGTCTGAGGGTCAGAAGCGAGATATGTATTTGGTTGGACCATATGAAATTGTTTTTGGCCGGGCGCGGTCGCTCACGCCTGTAATCCCAGCACTTTGGGAGGCCAAGGCAGGTGGATCACAAGGTCAGGAAATCGAGACCATTCTGGCTAACACAGTGAAATCCTGTCTCCACTAAAAATACAAAAAATTATCTGGGTGTGGTGGCATGTGCCTGTAGTCCCAGCTACTCGGGAGGCTGAGGCAGGAGAATCGCTTGAACCCAGGGAGGTGGAGGTTGCAGTGAGCCGAGACCACGCCACTGCACTCCAGCCTGGGTGACAGAGCGAGATTCCATCTCAAAAAAGAAAAAAGAAATTGTTCTTGTAGGGCAAAAATGGTCAAATATTGGCAATTTAATGTGGTAAACATAAAAAGAATGACCAAATCATGTAGTAAGATCAGAGAGAGACAGAGAAGAGAGCCTAGGAGTACAGAGGAGGGACAGCAGCTTACATTAGGATAGGGTCTGAGAGTTTCTGGGAAGGCAATGCAATCTGTGCTGAGTCATAATGATGAGTCATAATGATATGGAATTATGCAGCAAGGCAAGGATATTCTAAATAGAGACAACATCTTTAAAAGGCATGGAGGTAAGAAAGAGCAGGCAGATGGTAGGAGCTATGACTGAACTGGGTTCCCCCAAATGTATATGTTGGAACCATATCCCCCTGTACCTCAGAATATGACTGTCTTTGGAGATAGGGCAGTTGAGGGCTTCAAGGGGTGGTTAAATTAAAATGAGGCTGTCAGGGTGGGCCTATTCCAATGTGACTAGTGTCCTTTAGGAAGAGCAGATTAAGACATACAGAGGGACACGAGGGACATGCACACGCAGAGAAAAGGCCGCTTGAGGACACAGCGAGAAGATGGCTGTCACACTGTGGAGTGTATATTTGGTTTTTGTCCTCGTTTCCTGGCATATAATTTCTAAAATCCTCTGGATCTTCACAATTACGCCTTTGTATGCTAATGAGTTGATGGGTGGCTAGCAGCCCCTAGGTAGCTTCAGGAGGAGCTGGTCACTGGAAAGACCAAGGCAGCATTAGAGGGTTGGGACTTTCAGCCCCGCCCCCCAATCTCCGGGGAGGGGACGGGGGTAAAGGTCAAGTTGACCACCAAAGGCCAATGGTTTGACGAATCATGTCTGTATAACGAAGCCTCCATAAACCCCCCAAAGTTAGGAGAGCTTCTGGATAGCTGAACGCAGGGAAAGGGGCACATCTGGAGAGGGCAGGGAAGCCTCACACCCCTTCCCTCATACCTCACCCTATGCATCTCTTCACCTGTATCCCTTGTAATATCTTTATAATAAAGGAGTAAATGTGAGTGTTTCCCTGAGTTCTGTCAGCTGCTCTAGCAAATTAATAAACCCAACGTGCCAGCCATGGGAACCCCAATTTATAGTTGGTTGGTCAAAAACACAGGGTAGACAACCTGGGGCGTGTGACTGGTGTCGGAGGTGGAAGGCAGTCTTGTGGGACTGAGCCCTCACCCTGTGGGATCTGATGCTCTGGACAGTGTCAGAATTAAACTGAATTAGAGGACACCCAGCTGGTGTCCACTACAGAAGTTATTGCTTGCTTGGTGTGTGGGGAAACCTCCTACACATTTGGCCACAGAAGTCTTCTGTGTTGATGGTTGTGGAGTGAGAGCAGATGAAAAACAGTTTGTTTTTTCTGCTCAGTGACTGCAAGCCAAGGAGTGAGGGCTCAGAAGAAACCAAATCTGTCAACATCTTGATCTGGGACTCCTGGCCTCCAGACTGTGGGAAGATAAATTTATGTTGGCCTTTAGTAACTTATTATGGCAGCCCGAGCTGACTACCACAGGAGGGGTCTCTGAGCTACCTGGAGGGAGAGGGTAAAGCAAAGAACGACAAGAGATGAGATGGGGGACAGAGGTGATGTGCAGGGACTTGCATGCCACACTAAGGGGCTTGAAGATTTTCCTGCAGGTGAGGGGAAGCTTTTGGAGAGTTTTAGCAAGGAGGTGGCAGAACCATGAGGTGTTTTAAGGAGAGCTCTCTGGTGGCAGCAAGGAAGGGCAAGACCAGAAGTAGAAAATAGAAAACACTTTGGGGCTGTTGGACTGCTACAAGCAAGTGGTGAAGAGAGAGACAGTGGTATTAGGGGTGGAGAAGAGGAGTTGAATTGAGGAAATCCTTAGGAGATGAAATTGGCAGTTGTTAGCAATGGCTCCCAGGGAAGGAGTGAAGGAGAGGCAGGAGCTGGAGCTCCCAGTCTCCTACCCTGTTGTGGGTGGACCTGTGCCACCAGCGATGAGTACAACACTATGGGAGGGGAGCAGATGAAGCAGGGTAGAGGGGATGATCAGTAAGAGATGACTGTGGGGTAACCAGGAGAGATGTCAACGGGGAGTTAAGCATTCACGCTTGATCTTTAGAGAGAGTGGGGCTGCTGGTGGAGACTTGGGAGCCTTTGGCTTAAAAGGGGGTATGGCCGGCCATGCCCACACCCCACCCGTGTGCACACCAGCCCTTGGCATGCTCTCTGCGACTCTTCGTCAGAGGGTGGCCCTGGGGTTGCCTGAGCCTGTCTTTCCTGTGAACACATGGAGCTGGAAGCACCTGGGACTGTACATTTTTCCAACCAATGAGACAAGTGCAGGGGTACATGCACCCTGGGGGTCCACTGCCTGATGCGAACAACTGAGGGTGACCCATGCTTCTTCCAGAGTAACCCTGCATGACCTGGCCTGATGTCACGGCACCCTGGCTTGGCCTCCTCACTTCCATTTCCCTTCCCTTTCCACCTCCTGGGAACATATATTAGTCTGTTCCTGAATTGCCATAAAGAAATACACAAGACTGGGTAATTTATAAATAAAAGAGGTTTAATTGGCTCACGGTTCTGCAGGTTGTACAGGAAGCATGATGCTGTCACCTGCTCGGAGGCCTCAGGAAACTTACAATTATGGCAGAAGGCAAAGGGGAAGCAGGACATCTTACATGGCTGGGGCGGGAGGGAGACAGTTGGTGGAGGAAGGTGCCACACACTTTTAAATAACCAGAGCTCATGAGAACTCACTCACTATTGTGACCACAGCACCAAGGGGGGATGGTGTTAAACCATGACAAACCACCTCTGTGATCCAGTCACCTCCCGCCAGGCCCCACCTCCAACACTGGGGATTACAATTCAACATGAGATTTGGGCGGGGACACACAGCCAACCCGTATCAGAACAATTCCTAATAAATCTCTTTCCCATACCCCTTGCATCAGGGTCTGCACCTGGAGACTCCCACCTAAGATGGGGGTTTAGATGAGACCACTCTGGGAGGACACGCAGCCGAGTGTGGAGGCCCCGAGGAAGATCAGCTCTGAAGACACAGGCAGGCAAAGGGCAGACCTCGAAGGAGATGGAGGAGGAATGACAGAGGGCAAGAAGAATCAGGTGAGGGACTGCCACAAAAGCCAGTGACAAAAACTTCCAGAAGAGCTGTCAACAGTACCAAACAAAGCAGAAGAGTCTCAAAAGATTAAAAATAAAATTTGCTTCCATAATCTGGTGACTGTCAGGGCACAATGAGCCAAGGAAAAAACAGTTTTCCTGTACTGGTGAGAGCAGAAAGCAGATTCCAGAGGACTGGAAGTTCTTAAGAGCTGTGGGAATGGAGACAAGAAGTGTTTTGATAATTAGATGAGGGTGCAGCAGTTTAAAGGAGAGATTATTAAGGATAGGAGAGGCTGGGTGTGGTGGCTCGTGCCTGTGGTCCCAGCTACTTGGGAGGCTGAGGCGGCAGGATCACCTGAGCTCCAGAGTCAGAGGTTGCAGTGAGCCGAAATCGCGCCACTGAACTCCAGCCTGGGCAATAGAGCCAGACTCTGTCTCAAAAAAAAAAAAAAAAAAAGATGGGAGAAGTGTGAGCATAGTCAGCAGTTAGAGGGAGAGGGAGAGGGAAGGGAGGGAGGGTGGAGGACAGAGGACCGTGGGTGACGACAGAGCCAGGTCCTGGTGGAGGAGGGCCTCAGGTAGCTGGTGCACTGGGCAGGGGCCCCAGGACATTTCCGTTTTGGAGCTTCTGCCACCAAAGCAGATGAAACTGAGATTTTCCTCTCTCCTTATCAGACTCTTCCTTGAAGCCTGTAAGCTTTCAATTTAAAAATAAGATGGTATATGGCTGGGCGCAGTGGCTCACGCCTGTAATCCCAGCACTTTGGGAGGCCGAGGCAGGCGGATCACAAGGTCAGGAGATCAAGACCATCCTGGCTAACACAGTGAAACCCCGTCTCTACTAAAAACACAAAAAATTAGCCGTGGTGTGGTGGCGGGCACCTGTAGTCCCAGCTACTTGGGAGGCTGAGGCAGGAGAATGGCGTGAACATGGGAGGCGGAGCTTGCAGTGAGCTGAGATTGCGCCACTGCACTCCAGCCTGGGAGACAGAGCGACACTCTGTCTCAAAAAAAAAAATTAAAAAAAATAAATAAAAATAAAAAAAGGCTTCCTATTTTAAGTGGAATGTACAGTAGGCATCATACAAATTCACAACACTTGTGGCATGCAGACTTTATTTTGGCTATGGATAGGGTTACATACTTGGGGTTTTCCCCCTATTATTAAGGGATGTTTTTGTGATCAAGGGATGAGGCATTCAGGAGGAAGGTTAGGGAAAGATGCTCGCATTTATCTAGCATTGTATCAAAGTGGAGGCAGCAGCTAAGATTAAGAGTTCCATAGACTCCTGCCTGTTGCACCTCCTTAAAGCGATACATTTTAACGTTTTCCTCAGCAGGAGCTTGAATTTAACAATGAATCCAGAAAAAAAGAGAAGTCATAATAAATCACAAACAATAAAAAAACAACAGATTTCTTCTGACCCTGCCACCTTAGCTCTTCCATCCCTGGGGCCTGTCAGAGTGTGCTAACTGAAAGCACTTAGGCAGAAGCTGCCGGAATCCAGCTGCACCCTGGAGACAGGAGGCATGGCGAGCCTTTCGGAAGCTGCCATGCATCTCAGGCAAGAGCCACCACTGCTGCACGAGTCAGGAGGGGACCTTGTAGGCAGGGGATAGATGACAGGAGAGAGCTGAACAGTGGCAGGACAGAAAGGAACACTGAAATCAGACTTTGCCTGGGGAAGAGTTCTGCCCAGGGCCAGAGAGGAGATGAAGAGTCTGGGAGAGTCCTTGGGGTCTTATCTGTGGGAAAGACATCTTCAATAATTAACAAATGAAAAATGGCATGTGACCCCTAACATTTTGAAACTGAGCAAATCGTCTTGCCTCAGAAGCCTGTAGCCACATTACAGGCTCTCCAGCCAATGAAGGCTGAGAAGGCTAGGAAAATACAAGAAACCTGTTAACGAATGACTTACAAGGAAGTCAATCTCAGACACATCGGATACAAAGGAAACACAGCAAAGTCAATCTAAGAAACATCTGGGCTGGGCGCAGTGGTTCACGCCTATAATCCCAGCACTTTGGGAGGCCGAAGCAGGCAGATCACTTGAGGTTAGGAGTTTGAGACCAGCCTGGCCAACATGGTGAAACCCTGTCTCTACTAAAAATACAAAAATTAGCCGGGCATAGTGGCACATGCCTACAGTTCCAGCTACTTGGGAGACTGAGGTGGGAGAATCACTTGAATCCAGGAGGCAGAGGTTGCAGTGAGCAGAGATCATGCCACTGCACTCCAGCCTGGGCGACAGAGCAAGACTCTGTCTTAAAAAAAAAAAAAAAAGAAAGAAAGAAAGAAAAGAAAAAAAGAAACATTTGATGAAACCTCATGACTCAGTGGATGTATGAAAGGCACAAATGGAAAGCTGTTCTTATAAATTACTAAAACTAGTAAGTCAGAGCCAAACAAAATTTTAGTTTTTCTCTTTTCACTTTGTTAATACTCCAGTATCTATAACCAAGAGAATGTTGAATGTTCCTTTTTCTCAATGTCTTTTAAAATAATAAGACACATACTTCATGTGTTAAAAGAAAAAAGATGCTTGGACCAAGCATACTTTTCACCCTGACCTGTATGTCCTTCCAGAGCCCAAGATACCTGCAGGTTTTTTGTTTGTTTGTTTTTTTATTTGTTTTAATGCAACTAAATGCTCTCAGTTCCCTGAAGACAGGAATATGGTATAGGGAACCGAGAAGAGTTTCCGTCCCTGGGTTTAAATCCCTGTTCTCTTCTTTATCAGCTAGAGGAGGTTAGACACGTTATTCAGTCTTTCTGAGCCTTGGTTCTTTATCAGCTAGAGGAGGTTAGACGCATTACTCAGTCTTTCTGAGCCTTGGGCTATTGAAGTGGAGACTGTTAACCTGCCAGCAAGAGAGGTGAGGAAGGACTGGCCACAGAGGCAGAGGGAACTCAAGGAGAGTAAGACACACAGAAGCCAGGAGGAGAAAGTGCTTTAAGAAGAAAGCGTTTTTAGGACAGAGTGGTCAAACATGTTGAACAGTGTGGCAAAGATCTCAAGAGAAGCTTCCACTGCATCCGCCAACATGTGGAAACCTATCAAGACATAAAGCGAGATTTTTACGTTGTTATGGCCCATCATTTCAAGACCATGGGGCATCTTGAAAGAAAGAACAAGATAGCATCTGATTGTTTTTAAGGGACTTCTTTCCCAAGGTCTCATTGAAAACAAAATCTGAGAACAAATTTTTACAAGTCTGGTTCTTCCTTTTACTTTCAATAACTTCCAGGTTCTCTGTGTCCATTTAAGGGAGAATTCTAGGGGATGGGAGTAAACGAAACCTAGACTATATAATTCAGGGCAGGTTCGGAAACATTTCCTCCTCATTGTAAGTACATCTGATAACAATATTTTCCTTATTGATGTGCAATAAGCCTTTCAAATGCAGTCAATTCATGGTTAGCCTAAATTTAGGCAAACAAAATTTCTGAATACGAAGACAAAGAAAAGCAAATGCCATAAAAAACTGTCTAGTACAAAGGTCTAAAAATACTAGATTGTTCTCCCAACTCCACACACAAAGGAAAAGATCTTGGCCATCAGAAGCTTGGTTGACTCAGGCTCCAGGGAAGCCAGAGATGAGGCCCTCCTCATGTGTGAACTGACTTCCCAGGGTGCAGTCTAACTTGCTTACAAGTTGGAAACACAGTTCACCAAAACTCACATTTACTGAGATGCCCCTACCCCACTGAAGGACTATGGTTATGCAAAACCAAAGGGATCAAAGGGACTAAGAGACGTAATGGAAATGACCTCTTAGGTGGAGGGACTGAGCCTTTAAGAGGTGAAGGGATTTGCACAGTGAGGCAGCTCGCAGGTAAGCATGCTCCTGGGCGCCCTACCTGAAAGCAAACCTCTCTGGCCCTCATGTCCCTCTGCTACCTTCCCAGTCTCGCTTCCTGGGCCAACACACCCCCTCTCACAGAGCCTACAGTTACCAGCCCCGCTTCCTGACTTCCCATCCATGCTCCTGTCCACTTCAGCCTGACTTCCTTCTCCATCACCCATGTAGTCCCACTTCTCTCTCTTTCGCCCCTCTTCATCCCCCAGGCAGCTTCCAACATCAGCCACTCCCACCTGCTTGCCTCAGCTTCTTTTCTGGCTTCCATGGCCCCTAGTGCCCTGGTTTTCTCTGGGGAAACACATAATGGTTTCCCCAGAGTCCTCTGTTGGCTCCCCCTCTTCCTCCTGACCTCTTCTCTCACTTTCCTCTCTCCCTGAGGATTTCACTGTGTTCAAGATTTAAAGGGTTTTATAGGCTGAATGTTCCAGTCTCTCCAGTGAGCTCCTGAATTGTAATCTCCAAAGTTCATAATATTGAATATCTATTGGTCATCACAAACTTAACACATGCAAAGCTGGAAACTTCATTTTCCTTCCAAGCTCCTCCTCATGTCTTTACCATCACACAAATGGGATCACCATCTACCCAACTGTCCAACTCAAAAACCTCAAAGTCATTCTGGATACACTCATTTTCCTCTTCTCCACATTCAATCAACCAAAGACCTGCCCGTTCCACAGCCAAAACACATTTCAAATAGGTCTGCGTCTTGCATCTGTCACAGGCACTCCAGGGCCTCTTGCATGGACTACTGCAAGGCTGCAACCGTTCTCCTGGCTTTCCGTCGGCTGCCTGTGGTGCTCTCCACACAGCAGCAGAGCAGCACCGTCCAAATACTGAGCAGATCATACCACCTTCCTGCTGAAGGTCCTGGAGCAGCTTCTGAAGAACTTGGGGAAAGACTCGTGTGACCTGGCTCCTGCCTGCCTCTCTTGGCCCCTGCCCTCAGTCCCTTTTCCAGCCACACTGCCCTTCTTTCTGTCCCTAAGGCACATGAAGGCCTTTCCCACCTCAGGCAGGCTATGCACAAGGCAGCTCATTTTCAGAGAGAAATTCCCCACCTCCTTATGCGCCGCCCTCCAGTTAGTATGGACATCACCGAGCAGTCTGCTCACAGTGCTGCGCACCACCTGTGACCGGCCGGTACCTGTAGCCATGTCCCTGCTAAGTGGAAGCTCTGTGAGAGCAGGGGCCATGTTCACTTTGGCCATAGGAGTAGCTGTCCTGCCTGGATCAATCAGCATTGGCCAAGAGAAAAGATGCTGGAACAATGGCTTTGGGGCGGGAACACAGGTCTCCTGGCTCCTGGCCCGCTCCACTTCCCTCCGCTAGATCTCCTTTCCGAAACAATGGATGAGTCAACTTGGGAGTCCGCCTTAGCGTGCAAGCGCAGGGAACTTTGCTGTGGGAAGGGTGCAGCTTGCCATACCCCAACATTCTGCAGTGCTGCACAAAAGTCCCAGCCAGCTCCCTCCCTGGGGTGCATTTGCGTTAGGCTTCAGTCACAGTCAGGCGAAGTGGGGGTGTATATTTAAAAACAAACAACAACAGCAGAACCATCCAAGGCAGGCCTCTGCCTGGGAAAGTAGATGGGCCTTCAGGGCGGCCATCTAAGAACAGGCGAGGAGAGGAGCAGTTCCTGGATGGCCATCCCTCCCCACCTGTTTGATGGCAGATTACCAACATCTGACTCTAGTGGAAGAGGAGGGGAGGTGATGGAACCTCCTGTTGCCATAGCAACCACAGTGCTCCCGGAGCCTAGGTACCAGGTTTCAGATAAACATTTCACAAAGAAAAGGAGCAAAGCAGAGAGGGACAAACGTGGAAAAATGGCATGAAATAATCCTGCACATGCCACAAGCCACAGTCTACAAACAAAACTCAGGAGCTGGCCATGGAATCCTGCTGCACAGGGGAGCAGCAGAGGCTTCCTGCTGGGCTACGATGGAAACAAAAGGGCCCATTGACACATACATCTGTGACCACTAAACACTTAGGAATCAATATTTTCCTAAAGATTTTTTTCCCCTTTGGCTTTATAGGTTTACTGTCTGCCAGGCTGCCAAACCCCAACCCTCGCCACATCCGCAGCCACCACGTAAAGTGACTGTTAGAACTTCAAACGAAGGATCTGACCCCCGGAAATGGCCTCATGCTAGTTTTTTCCTAAACAGTCACCAGGAAAATGACGGAAGGCAAATCGAAACGCATGCCCTGAAAGACTTAGAACATAACCATCACATCTGGGGGACAAGAAGCCCACCCCAACTTAATTTAAAAAGGAAACACAGCAGATGTCATCAGTTGGCAGGGAGGTGTCTTGAAGGAAAGAAGGAGGGGAATGAGAGGGCTGTGGATCACCATGCAGCTTTACCTTAACACCTGCATCTCCTCGGGGGAGCATTGCATCTCGTCCTGGAGGCGACGCCAGCGCAGACAAGCCCTCAGCTCCTGCTGCTCCCGGGCCTCATAGGGGGCCAGCTGCTCAGCCACAGACACACAGACACACATGCACAAAACACAGTCACTGTTGTGGTCCTGGTGCAATGGCTCACTTTGTTTCAATGGGGGACAAGATAGCCTGCCCCTGCTCTCACCTTGCTTCCATCAGAAACCTAAAGGCCACTGGAGCCTCTTAGTGCCTAAAACAAAAAACCAACCGTGCACGCTCGCTTGTGCTGCTGGCCGTGGAGCTGGGCCTGCTGTTTGGCGGAGGTCGCCTTGTTCTGGAACCCACCCATCCCACCGACACACACCTGGTCTGGAGAGAGTGGGCTTCCCTTGGGACCATTTCCACTTTGATCTGTCCTCTTTTCCTGCTTTGTCTTTCTGCACAGGATGGGGAAGGCCCCACCGTTCACCTCCGATTTTCCCCAGCCCTCAATTTTGTTAAGGACTGTTTCCAGCGGGGCCTGCTAATGCAACCCAGATGATTCTGTGTGCACATAACTAGAAGTGCTGCCTGGACTCACTCTGGGGGAGGGGAGGCCATCACACTCTGCCCTACTGAGTCAGAACCAGCTGCCGTCCCATGGTGTGCTCACTGGGCCACACGGCCCCGACCTCTGTGAGGGAAGGCAGCAGAGCACCCACTGGGGAGGGAAGACGTCTATCCACGGGTGTTTCTGGAAATCAAACTTTCCTGATAATTCGTTCAACAGATATTTACTGAGTCTCTGCTAGGCCATGGGGACATTACAGACAGGGCCTGGGGCAGCAGCCAGGGGAGGGAGAGATGGGCAGGAACACTAACATCAGAGAGCAGGTGACGGGAGAGGTGAAGGGAGAACCCAGATGCCCCCTTGCCCACCAGGGCTTCCTGAGGAGGTGGTGGTGACAGCACTGATCCTCAGGGAAGGAGGAGTCGGCCGGGGAGGAGGGATTTCGGGAAGAGCACTTGCAAGGCACGTCGGGCCAGGAAGTGTGTGATGTGCTTAGAGAATGGCAAGGCATATGGTCAGGCCTGGAGCAGACTACCATTCTGGGAGGGAGCAAGGTGCAGGGAAGCTGGCAGAGGCCAGACGATCCTCAGACCCCATGTGCCTGCTGTTATGGACTAAACTGTGTCTCCACAAAATATATGTGTTGAAGGCCTTACCCCGGTGTGACTGTATTTGGAGATAAGGCTTTCAAGGAGGTCATTAAGGTTAAGTAAGTCATGAGTGGGGCCCTAATCCTACAGGGCTGGTGTTCTTATAAGAAGAGGAAGAGCCAACAGAGCGTACTTTCTCTCTGCATGCACAGAGGAAAGGCCATATGAGAACGCAGAGAAAAAGCAGCTCGTGGCCACCTGCAAGCCAGGAAGAGTGAGGGGCCTCACCAGAAACCAACCCTGCTGGCACCTTGGTCTTGGACTTCCAGCCTCCAGAACTGTGAGGAATAAACGTCTGTTGTTTAATTCACCCAGTCTCTGGTATTTATTATGGCAGTCCAAGCAGACTAATATGTCTGTGAAGGCATTTAGACTTTCTCCAGGTTGATGACAAGTTACACCATCCAACCTTGCGACTGACTTGATTCACAAATCCCTGCGGATGCCTCTCTGAGTGGAAGGTGGTCTCCATCACCTTGTTGAGATTTCACATGTCCCCCGCAACCCACCCCCGGCCCCACCATGCTTTCTACTGCTCAGTGCTGCAGAGCACAGTCTCCCAGGCAGCAAAGTGACCCCGGTGACCCCTGTCACCCTGTATCCTCATGCCCTGCTCCCGGGTGGGGCCTGCTGGCCAGGAGCACCTGGGAGGTGGCACACCCACCCCTGCCCCACAGGGCACTCCCCCACTCCCTGGACGGTCTGAGGCAGGCACTCGCCAGGGCCAGCAACAGCCCAGTCTCGCACTTGAAGGGAGAGGTCAGCCTGGCGGACTTGCTCTGGAAATGTTTCAAACTTTGTGCTGGAATCTAGAATGGCAATTTTGCCTCAGGGATATTCATGTTTTCACATCTCGAAGAGTTACTGCATGTACCTCCAAGGATGATGAGGGGGCTGACTCCTATCATGTTAAGGGAAAAGAGCAACAGGGCAAGCTCAGCTCCTGCTGTCCCTTTAGGCTCACAACAGAAGCCACCGCCTCCACAAAGGCTTTCCAGGCCCGCCCAGACCTGTCCTCTCCTACCTCGGAATTCTGACAATATTTAGTGTTTACTTCTCTATGTAAACTTATCAGTCAAGAGGCAGGACCAAGCCAGCAGACTAAGGAGTGGCCTCCTAGAAGTCTAGGCAAAGGGAAGGGTAAGGAGGAGCACTCTTTGGAGATGCAGGAGATAAAAACTGGAGGTTCCATGATCAGATGCCTGGAATGCACCACAACTGCCAGGACCAGCGCGAATCTGAGAGTCTCAGAAGGGAGGCACTCCAGGGAAGAGATGGTGATAGAGGCACGTTCATATTAAACCCCTGCTGAATGCCTGTGTGTAAGACGGAGGGAAACACAAAGAGGAAGGGAACAGGTATTTCTTGTACATTCTCCACGTGTCAGGCACTGTGCTAAGCTCATTCACACCTGATCCCATTCACCCTGCAAGCTTTGGCATTCTTACATCCATTCTACAAATGAGGAAACGGAGGCTTGGGGAGGCTACCTAACCTACCTATACTCACAGAGCCAACGAATGGCAGAGCCAGGACTGGAAGTCTGTCTGACTCAGACCCCAGAGCCTTTTCTGTATCTATCATGTGGCCTCTCCTCACAGGACTCCATGTGGCAGGGGACACTGATGTGCACACTGCTGGGTCCACGGCCAGGGTATGAAAAGCAAGACCCAGCTCCAATTTAAAGCAGGTATAGTCCAGGTGTGAGGATAAGGAAATGACACAGTAGAAGGAAAAGAAAAAATAAAATAAGTTTAAAAAGGTAAGCACCAAGTATTGTGGGAACCCACAGTGTGTAGGAGGGTAGTGTTGAATTGTGAGCCGGGTAATCAGCCTGGGCTAGCTAGAGAAGGTGACCTCCAGCTGGTTAGTGAAAAATAAATAAGATTTCAACAGACAAAGGACCTTGAACAATATCATGCAGGTATGCACAAACTTGGGAATTTTGGAAAATGCCAAATAGTCCAGTGTATAAGGGACAGAGATGACAGGGGGAAAAAAGTGACCTAAACATTAGGAACTTGAGGCTGGGCGCGGTGGCTCACGCCTGTAATCCCAGCACTTTGGGAGGCCAAGGTGGGCGGATCACGAGGTCAGGAGTTCGAGACCAGACTGGCCAATATGGCGAAACCCCCGTCTACTAAAAATACAAAAATTAGCTGGGCATGGTGACATGTGCCTGTCATCCTAGCTACTCAGGAGGCTGAGGCAGAAGAATTGCTTGAACCCAGGAGGTGGAGGTTGCAGTGAGCCAAGATCGTGCCACTGCACTCCAGCCTGGGCGACAGAGCTAGACTCCGTCTCAACAACAACAACAACAACAAAAATAGGAACTTGAAAGTAAGCACGAAGCAGCTTAGTTGCTTATCATCCTCATTGGAACTGGTGGCCAATGCTTTAAGGTAGAGGTTGCAAACTGGGAGCGTGTGCACCAGGTCTGGCTTCTGGGTATGTTTGTCTTGCGTGGTATTTTTTAAATTAGTAAACTTCACATAAAAGTCCAGAATTATAAGTTACCTTAAAAAACTAATAGTGTAGGTTATATTGAGCCCTCCTTCCTTCACCATGACAATTGGTTAGAGCTGAGTAGCTGCTGTCAGTTTGCCACAGTTCTCACCATTCCCTAATCTATACCGCCCCTGCTTCATTCTTCATTCACTACTTGTGAGCAGACATCTGAGATGACTCTGGATTTATGTTTTAATCTCTTTATTTAAAACACACACACATACACTGCACACACACAAGTCACCACAATCACAACCACAAAGAAGTGCTTGAGTATGCTATAGCATGACCTTTTCTTCACATCTCTGCTCAAATATCTCCTTATCAGAGAGGCCTTCTCTTACTACCTTCTAAAATAGGACCCACTGCCCCTCTATGGGTCTCATTTCTCTTCACAGTACTCCAACACTTGACCCATTACTGATTCACTTGTCTACTCTCTCTCCCATCTCTAGATTGTAAATCCTGTGGGGAGTAGGGGCTTCCCTCTCTTATTTATGCAGCCATCTCCCCAGCAAAATTTGTGCCTAGTGCATAGTAGGCCCTCAGTCCATAGCTGTTGGGTGAGCAAATGACCAGAAATGGAATTTGACTCTGGGTAGTGAAATACTTAGGGTCACTTTAACCCACCTGCTGTGCTGTGGCCCAAAACACATCCTCCAAGTGAGTGGCGAAGCCTTCACTCAGCCACTCCTCCGTCCAGTCTCGGGCCCCGATGGCTAGGCCAAACCAGGCATGGGCAATTTCATGGCAGAGGCGGGTCCCACAGAGATGGTTCCCTCCTGTCAAGATGCTCTGAGAGAGGAACATGATGTGTGGGCTGTGGATAATGGGGGAGAAAATGCACAGAGTCTTGTTAGAGCCTGTCCTCATGGCCATCCGATGGGGCAGCTTTCCTAGCCTGGCAAGCCTGTTATTATCATGTGCATGCTAGATCATGACAGATAGGCTTGCGGCTTAGATGCTTTCAGACATAAATAAAGTGGCAGTTTATGTTTCTGGCTGTAGTTCAGGTGGCCGTTTCTGCCAACCAGTTTTCTCCATCATCAAACGGCTATTACCTGTAATAAGTAACCTGCACCAAAGTTTTACACTCAAAACAAAAATTACAAGGCAATGGAAGCATTTACTCTGAAATCTGGACTGTAAAAGAAGAGCAGGTGTGACAGTGTGAAGCCTAAGCTGTCAGGAGAGTGATCAAAGAAGACCCTTCAGCCAAAAATCTGAGCAGCTTACAAACAAATTGAGAAGTCATGCAGAAGGACAGAAAAAGCCAAGAAGAATGGAGCAGAAAATGTTCCATTCTGCACGGGGAGCTGGCTATGATGTTAACAAACGAGCAGGTGCCGGGGATGGCTGAGGTTTCCAGGAGGCCCGAATAAAGGCCGAGACCGTGTAAGGCCAAGCTTTTCCATCATATCTGCAAGTGCTTATAGACTCACATGACAGAACAAAATTATGCTGACAGAAAGAAGGCAGGGAGTTATCCCACCCAGGTGTGCAAATGGCCCCAGGACTGGCACCAGACAGGGAGATTTATCTAATCTCATTTTCCATACCTTGTGTTAAAACCCAAAATATCACCATTAAAACTGCATAGGTGGAATGGGAAGAAGGGGAGCTGACGAAAGAGGCCCATCAAATATCTTCCATGCCTCCTCCTTCAGCAATTATCCTTTTTCCAGGACTTGTTTACAGTCTTCCTAATGAAGAATTTGCCCTTAAAAAAATCTCTCCTCCATCAGTTGAACAAAAACAGTTGTGAAACCTTCCAAATTAGGAAACTGTACACACCGGTTCCTCCCTTCAAAAGTCATTTGTTTGCTATCATGTCGGCTCGGCACAAGCCAAGACTGCTCGCAGGTTTTTCTTCCACTCCCACAGCCACCATTAGAGAAAACCCCACCTCGAGTTCCCTTACACAACATCACCCATTCAGCTCAGAGAGCTCAACTGCAATCATGGTAGTCATGTCTGCCAAAACAGACAGCTTTCATGTGAAGTAATAACAGGGCAGGCATGCAAATGAAAAAGCATCTGCCAGGTGCTCTGAAGAGGACACCAGAAACCCCAGAAATTACAAGTGGAGTTGGGGCACTCAGGATAAAGGGGTGCGATGCAACAGGCACCAACAGTATTGTTCAGAGCACTAACTCAGGGGAAAAAAAAAAACAAGGAAGGAAGGAAGAAACTGAGAGACACAGGAACTAAACTCCCCTAACTGAGAAAGTCACCCCGTTGAGAAGACAAACTGTGCAACCTGGCATTTTCAAGTAAATGGCTCTGGCATGTGCAATGCTACAAAAAGCCACAGAAATGTACCAAGTAAATAACATTCCAGACATACTGCTGGCAGCAGTTCACCCTTTGGGCTAAAACAAGACAGAAGTAACTTCAGGCCTTATAAACAGGCTGGAGGGCAAGCCTGCGTGGGCAGGGTCTGCAGCCAGAAAGACAGACACGCACGTCCTTACAGAGACTGGAGGGCGGACTCCAGCCAGGAAGCTTCCACGAGTGGATGACTGCGAAATCGCTCTAAGACTATTCATGAAGAAAAAGCCTCCACTGTCCGGGGACCTGCCTGCTCTTCTGTCCCAGTGTGGAAGCCTCACCAGGGCCCATTTATGCAAATATAAAAGTCTGCGAGGGCCTGAAGGAATGCACAAAAGCAGCTGTGGGGAGGGTGGGTGGCACTTCTTTCTCCCACCCTTTCATTTTTTCCCCTTGAGCAGTCCTTGTTGTCTGCACCACACTTCCCTCCCCACCCTTCAATGTTCTGGAGACACGACCCCGGCCTCAGTCCATCTTGTTGGGCTTGGGACAGGACCCAGCGTTGCCAGAATTCCACCTAAATTTCCCCTTCCCATCTTCAATCCTTTCTTCTGAGTCGGGGGTAAATGTACTTCCTACTGTCCTCTGAGGGAGGCCAAGTCTGAACATCCTGCCGGCTCAGAAGGAAGGGCGTTTAACCATACAAATGACCCCACTATCTGCGGAAAACATGACCTTCTCCCTGAAAAGCAATTTTCCGGCTGGGAACCTGAATCGAAAGCCTCCGGGGCCCGTTTGGCCCTCTAAGGTTGGGTTTGACATACTGGATACTCTGGGGCTATTTCCCTATGAAGGAAAAGGCTTCTTTTAAAAACTAAACCAAAAACATGGAGTAAGGTTTTGATAACCTTTCTCAAAGGCTGTTAACAAAATCCTGACATAAAAGGACCAACAGAATATTCTTTCAAGGAGAATTTCCTTCCCTCCCTTGGGCACTAAATGTCTGAACGTCTCATGTTAAGTAGATTTAACCTCTTTTTTTAGATTGCTTTTCTTCAACAGTGAGTGAAGAAAAGTAATTCTCTTTAGCTCACTTCAAGGAATAATATTAAGTATTTCTTTCCCAACAGGTAATCTACCCATGTCCACCCACAAAACAGAACGGACCTGTAAAACACTGCACTCCTACCTCAGCCTGGACTCAACAGCCCAGCCCGGCTCCTCCTCATCCCTGCATTCTTGGAACTGTGCTCATGGTCCGAGCCGGCCTGCCGGCGATCAGTCTTCCCCCTGACAAGCCTCACTGGAAAACTGTTTCTTTTTTTCCCCTTGAAAGGGTCTGTGTCAACTGCCTCTACAAATGCCAGACTGTCGATTCATCATCATTACAGAGAATGGAAGATAATCACTTCAATGACATCTTCATCCTAAAAACGTTTCTTTCTTGTCTTTTTTTTTTTTTTTTAAATCACAGAGTTGATTATTTTTCCCAAATAAGAGATGGGCAGGAAAGTGATATTTCAAATCTCAAAAAACACAAGCCCTCTTGCTTCTATTCCCCACCATAAATTCTTTTTGGCTCCAAGTGGTGGAGGAAAAGGAGGTGGCAGGCAGGGGTGGCTTGCAGCCACACTCCCGTGTTGTCATTCTTCCCCAGCAGACCACCTCTGGGGCTGCCTCCTCCACAGAGGCCAAGCGTATTGCATGTCTGCCGCCTTGCCCCTCGAGATTAAAAATATCATGTCTGGTCTGAAAACACTTTCTCAAGGCTGTTCCTGAACACTACCTACCCACCCAGATTAGAAGACTGCGTCTGTTAATCTAAAACATGTTTCTAGCAGAGGAGGAAGGAGTGCCTTCATTACTCCCAGGAGCTGCTCCCATCCTTCGGGAGGAATTCAATTTGGAGCGGAAATGGAGAATTTCATCAGATCTTAAGTAGGAGCTGGTGTTTGATTTATTTGTGCTTTTTCCGTGGAGCCCTGACCAGCACGGCCCATCTTGCTGTGGGTGGAGCGACCCAGCACTTGGCGGCCCTGGCTAGATGCTGCTGCCACAGCAGGTTCCAGCAGGCTGCAGGGGTAGAAGGAACCCAGAGGACGGGAAATTGATTGCCCTTAAGGACAAGAAGAGCCCCCAGGCCACCCCTCCCATTTTACGGGAGCAGACCCCAATTCCCCTCATGGAGAGCAAGTTTACATTTTTTTTTTTGAGACGGAGTTTCCCTCTTGTTGCCCAGGCTGGAGTGCAATGGCACGATCTCAGCTCACCACAACCTCAGCCTCCCAGGTTCAAGCGATTCTCCTGCCTCAGCCTCCTGAGTAGCTGGGATTACAGGCATGCGCCACCACGCCCTGCTAATTTTGTATTTTTAGTAGAGATGGGGTTTCTTCATATTGGTCAGGCTGGTCTCAAACTCCAGCCTCAGGTGATCCGCCCGCCCCCTCTCAAACTCCCAACCTCAGGTGATCCGCCCACCTCAGCCTCCCAAAGTGCTAGGATCACAGGCATGAGTCACTGCGCCTGGCCGCAAGTTTACTTTTCACACAGATCCTTGGGAGGCATCATACAGACTTACATTTATCAAGCTGGTACTTCTTATGGATTCAACGCTTTTCACAATTTCAACATGTGCAGCCCAATATCCCATGATAGAGACAAAGGAAGACCCGAGAGAGGGGGGAACCAGGCTCATTGCCCTCTAAAGTCCAGCAGGATAGATAGTTCTAAGGGTCTTATAATCATGAGCAGCAGCTTCTGCTTGTGTGACTTCATTACTTGCTAATTTAAACTGGACAAGTGAAACCGTAGACTCGTAGTAGCCTGGGGCCATCTGAAAGGGAGACAAACTGTCGCTCCACCCCTCTTAGGTTCATAGCCTGTCTTCTCTTTCCTTCATCAGGTGTGAAGTGATGTATGTCAACACTCTCGCCTACACATTTACAAGCCGAACTCTCAGCCCCTGCCCCTTCTTCTAAACGAAATCCCTTAGTCCCTCTCTCCTGGACGCAGCCTAACGTAGGAGATGCTTCTGTAGTCCTGAAGCCAAAGTGGGGGGGTGGCCCAGACAGCCTGGCAGGACCCTCCTTCCCTCTGGCCCTGAGACTGCGTGGGAGGGAATCAGCATCTTCCGCTTTCCTCATCTGGCACCCACCCGACTGCAGTGTGTATCTTTAAACGGGAGGCTGAGGAGATGAGGGGATAGTCTTCTGGGGATATGGGACCTTCAGTAGCCTAAAGTGGAAACCAGTTCCAAAAACTTGAAGCAAACTTGCTACGTCTGATCAATGTGTAAGGGGATCTGAGTTTGAAAGAAAGGCTTAAGGTTAGAAGTGTTTTCTTAAAAATTCTGAAAAACTTTGGGAGGCTGAGGTGGGCAGATCACAAGGTCAGGAGTTCAAGACCAGCCTGGCCAACATAGTGAAACCCTGTCTGTACTAAAAATATAAAAAATTAGCCAGGTGTGCTGGCAGGTGCCTGTAATCCCAGCTACTAGGAGGCTGAAGCAAGAGAATGGCTTGAACCTGGGAGGCGGAGGTTACAGTGAGCCGAGATTGCACCATTGCACTCCAGCCCAGGCAACAGTGCGAGACTCCGACTCAACAACAACAACAAAATTAAAATTAAAAAAAAAAAAAATAGTAAAACATCCACTCATTTGCCTAAATGAATTTTGACTCAAATGTGACTACGGCAGAGAGACTGAGGAAAGCCCCAGGGCCACATTCCTTATTCTTGTACCCAAACATCTTCTCCTTCTGAAGACTGACTGCTCAGTGTTTGCTACGTGCCAGGCACTGTATTTTACACATGCCATCTCATTGCTCTACCCCACAACCTCAGGATGTTACTATTATTCAATTTCATTATCTCATTTTACACGTGAGGAAAGTGGGTACAGAGAGGCAGACTGACTAGCCCAAGGTCACACAGCTGGCAAGCAATAGAGCCAGGACTGGAGCTCACACAGTCTGGACTCTAAAGCCTCACTCTGATCCACTCTGCCCAGTGTCACTGGGTTTAGACCTGTGGCTTCTGGGCTCCCGTCCCTCTGTGCCAGCTCAAGCCCATGGGCTTCATGCTCACTACTCTCCCAGGAGCTCTGTCTTCAGGAGGCACCAATGGGAAGCTATCAACCACGTCCTGAGACCTCTGTTCCCTCAATCTACATCATAGCCAGAACTGGCCCAAGGTGAGCAGGCCTCCTCCTAGTGAAAGGAAGGTAAGAAATAAGGGTACAGAGGCCATAGGGGGGCATCACTACTCCACTGTTGATGCCCCTGAAGAGCAATGCCTACTTCCTCATAACCCTGTCCTACGCTGGGAGTCCCCAGTGGGTCACAGGGGCATGTGTTAGACAAGCCCTTACAAAGGTACTTAGGTCAGTCCCCAGGAGGGTGACACACAAGTCTACCTCTCCCTGATCTCCACCTCTCACCTATATTTGCTAAAGCCTGGTATTCTTTTCAAGTAGAGATGGTTTAAAGCAGGTCACAAACTCAAAGAGCTACAGGAGGCAAGAAGATAACAAAATTAGGGCCGTAGAGAATGAGATGGGGAAACCGATAAAAAGATGAGGGAAGTAGACAAGGAAAGAAGCAGAGAAAGGAGCTGGGGGAGCAGATGAGGGAAATAAAGATGGAGATGAAGGAAGCAGATAGAAAGATGAGGGAAGAAAATAAGACGAAGGAAGCTCATTACAAAAGAGGCCAACAGGCTGAGGGTAGCAGATATAGGTAACAAAAGGAGGGAGACAGAGAAAATAGGAAGGACAGACAACAAAGGGAAGGATGCAGAAGACAAGCTGGGGAGGCAGCTAACAAGATGAAGGAGAGAGAAACTGAGGTTAGGGAAGTAGCAGTGATACTATAGGGCAGTGGGCAGCTACGTCAGGGAAGCAAACAACGATGCCAAGGCTAGGAGCTCCAGCTTTATGATCTGGTTTAACTTCTAAGTGCTCTCAGAGGAGGCTTATGGTTTCATGTCACATGGAGATGTAAATGACAGATACCTGGATCCTAGCAAGGTTCAAGGTGGGTGCTCATGGGGGCCAGGGAAAGGCTCCAAAACACAGCACAGACGACACTGGGGAGGAGAGAGGCATGAGGGCGGAAGGGGAGGCTGGGGACACAAAACACTGTAGCCAGCTTCACCATTTGCTTTAGCGTTAGCTGTGGCCTATTGCTAGCAGGAAAAACAGCATGGCAACGACAAAACATGGAGACCACCTTGAGTCTAGGAAACACAGAGACCACCTCTGGCTCAGTGGCAGCTCTGCAGACCATACAGAAGGCTCAGCTACTGACCAGCAGAGCAGCGGATACATCCCTTCTGACCCCAGGGCAACACATCCCGAGAGAACGTTGTGGAGACCTCAGCCCTGCATACGGAACAGGGCAGCACTGCTGTCTGACTCTCAGGAGTTGGCCTCACCTGCCTCAGCTGCTCTGCCTTAGCCTGGGGGTGGGGTGGGGGCAGGTTCTGCCGGTTATGGTCATCAAAAAAGCTGCATGTGAAAGTCTCAGGTTTCAAAGCTAAAGAATCAGAGGGAGAAACAGTATTTTATTCAGTTTTTCAACTAGATTTGGACTCCTTTCCCTCTCTCAATGTGACAGTACATGTTCTGCCTTAAACATTCCAGAATCTCATAGATGAGAACAAAAAATTTGTTTTTGAACAAATTTTGAACATTCTGTTCATTTAGTTATACATTTTGGAGACTATAGATTTTGGTTGTCAGGGGACACACCCATACCCACACAATATGAACAAATATTTATTGTAACTGAACATGTCTTTATTTATTTATTTATTTATTTATTTAATTTTTTTTTTTTTTTGAGAGGGAGTCTCGCTCTGTTGCCCAGGCTGGAGTGCACTGGCGCTTACTGCAACCTCCACCTCCCGGGTTCAAGCAATTCTCTGGTCTCAGCCTCCCGAGTAGCTTGGGACTACAGGTGTGCCCCACCATGCCCAGTTAATTTTTGTATTTTAGTAGAGACGGGAGTTTCACCATGTTGGCCAGGATGGTCTTGAATTCCTGACCTCATGGTCTGCCCGCCTCGGCCTCCCAAAGTGCTGGGATTACAGGCATGAGCCTGGCCCTGAACATGTCTTTTGAATCATCTATAAATTACTTATGAATGAAAGCTGTGTATTTTCTGCAGGATCTGGGGAACTCTTCTGGTAAGTAAGTAATTAATGTGAGTAACCAACTAAAACATGTCGGCAGCCTCATTGGAGCACGCAGATGACAAAATGTGATTCCACTCCCTCACCTCCCCACGGCCCCCACCTCCGTCCTCCCCAATCAGGGCGATGATGTTTGTTCCCATAAAAAGAGCTAATAAAATTAGCCTCCACTGTGATACAGGGAAAATCTTTATTTAATAAAATAATGTGTTTTGCTCCATTTCCAGAACAGCAATAAAATGGCACAACTGAGAGCCGTAATAGCTCATCCTGGTGGTTTTCACAGCGAGCACAAGTCTGTCCCGTGTGGCGGTGTGGAGGCCTGGAGGGCTGCTTTATGGAGGGACACGTTGGGGCAGCTTGCAGCCATTCTCAGCAAGGACAGTTTGGTGACTGCTTTGCTTTGAAATACACTCTTTGGGTCCACAAATCAAATCTTCCCATGTTCCTTGTCTGGAAAAAGTTGTGGGGATTTCCTAAAGTGTACTCAGAATTCAATTGGTGAGGAAGGCATTCATTGTTTCCCCAACTGACAGCAAGAAGCCAAGCCCCAGTCAGGCCCTCTGCAAATCTGAAAATCCAAGGTAGGGTCAGGAAGCTGTTGACTTGCCCTGCTGGGCTGGTGAAAGCAGACACGAAGTAGCAAGGCTGGTCTGTACAACAAGAGGCCTGAGCGCAACAGAGGCACTGCCGGCTGACAGAGTTCAGGCAGCAGGACATTGGGGTGGAGGCAAGTGTGGGTTCCCTGCCAGACCACCACACTGTCAACTAGATTTCAAAGCAAGGGTAACTCTGGTCAGGCAGCAGGACGTCGGGGTGGAGGCAAGAGCGGGTTCCCTGCCAGACCGCCATACTGTCAACCAGATTTCAAAGGAAGGGTAACTCTGGGTAGGAACAAGCAACAGAGTGGCCTTGGGGAATAGCACGTTAGAATCAATTCTGCTAAATCAAAGTTAGATCCAGGAAAAAAGAATTGAAGGAAGATGAGTTCTCATATTCCCTGATGGCTGCGTGGTGGCAGGAGCGGTGATGATTAGAGCAGAAAGAAAAGAAAAAATAAAATGATGATACTAAACACATATATTGTTTATTTTCTCCCAGGCAAAGTTCTAAGTATTTTATGTTCGTTAACTCATTCAATTCCAGCAACCACCCCATGAGGAAGAAATTATTATCGTGCCTATTTTACATGTAAGTAAACCAAGCCACACAGAAATTATGTCACTTGCCTAAAATCCCAGAGTTAATATGTGTCAAAGCAGATTCAAACACAAGCAGCCTGGCTCATACACATGTTTTGCTTGATCAACACCAGCGGGTATCAGAAGCACCGGGAGGTAGGTCCGCTAGATAAGAAAACAGCACACGTACTCAAATTTGAATTTCAGATAAACAACGAATAATTTTTTGGTGTATGTTCCATGAAATATTTGCTAAAAGCTGGCAGCCCTACCTGAAAGGCTTGTTAAAACAGATCTCTGGGCCTCACCCCAAGAGAGTTTGTTTCAGTAGGCCTGGGTAGGGCCTAGGAACCTGCATTTCTGTGAAGTTCCCGGGTAATGCTAATGTGGCTGGTCCAGAGACCACATTGAGAGCTGCTGATCTGCACTGTGGTGGCTGCACAGCATCAGCTTAAATAGCAAAAACTCATTGCCAAAGTTTATAAATGGGAAGATTTTATCCAGAAATCCAGATTTTGACATTACATTAAAAATTTGAAAGATGTGGCCACACTAGGCCCAGGTCTTTTTTAGAAGTGGGCACATATTTATCCTGTACATACACACACACACACACACACACACACACACACACACACGTCTAATGCCAAAGGGCAATATTTTATCATTTCCTAAGAACAATAATAAGCATTACAGAGCATTTCAAAGATAGGATTTTATCAGGTCCCTGTTATGATTCATCCTGGTGAAATCCGAGAAGCAGGCAAAACCTGCTTTGGAGTCCCTCATCACAGGCCTGCATTCTTATGTAGTAACTGCAGCTGAATCGGAGCTGGTCCTTTCAGACAGGGCTTGGGCTCTCCAGTTTGCTGTGGTCCCAACTTCTCCCTCCCGTCTCCCTGCCATTGGCTGAGCCTCCTTGTCATTTATAATCATGTGTGTGGTTTTTTTCCTTCTTATCACAGGATTAAAAAGTGAAATATTTCTTACATCCATGTCTCCATCAAAAGTAGACCAAGTGTTTCTTAGAGGATGCTCTATCCAACCCATTCACTAATTTATATTGCTGCCTGGCCCCTTAGAAGCATTAGGATTTAAGCTGTTTTGTTTAGTTTTTCTTATGAAGAATTCCTATTTATGGCTATAAGATGATTTAGCAAACCCTTCATGCAAAGGGCAAAGACACAAACTTCTGCCTAGCTCAGGTTGATCAGACAAATTCCATATTACTAAGGGTGAAATTAATTGGGTTTATTGTATTTGTGAAATCCAAACACAGTTTCAGTTATTACTAGCCACTAATGGCTTATAATGAAGGCAGAGCTTGTTAACTAAGCAAACAACTGGCATGTTTGTTTAAAGTGTAAATAGAAGGAAAATTCATGAATTAAACGAATGAATTCACTGATTGTTCTCCCTTGGCTGTAAGGGGGCATTCAGCTGCCACAATATATGTCACCACCTTTGTTAAACAAATTCGCCTGCTCAAGTTATCTTTATCCGGTCAGAGACCGTCTTAGTGGTAGCTTAAAAAGTAAATGTCTCTCTTAATTTTTCAAAGTACTCATCTGCATCAATAAATGCCACTAAGTATAAGGGATCACCTGGCTATTGGGGATTCATAAATAATTGAACTTTTAAGAATAACAGCATATTTCCTAATCTCAAATTATGACTCCATGGATAGACCACCATGGCACGCTTGTCGAGATAAGGAGACAATATCCTTCTTATTTCCCAGGGTGGTCCTGGAAAATATGTGACAGATGGTCATCCTCAGAGGTATTCAACTTAACAGCATGTCCCTCTGAAAGGTAATAAACCTCACCAGAAACAAAAATAAACAAATAAAAGTCTCTCCAAAGTCTCTCCAAAGTCTCCTGATTTTAACTAACCTTTCCATTTAAAATTATGAGCCTTCTATTTCTTCTCCCCAAATGGAATGCATCAGGTTTATTGGATATCTACAGCTCAATCCCATTTCTCTGGATGGTTCCCTTGACTCATCATTCTTTGCATGTGTTCACCGTGGTGAAAATGTGGGCAAGGATCCCAGGAATTCCTTTCATTCTAAAGAATTCTGCCTGCCCATGTCCCCATTCCTAGGTGGTTACCTTTTTGTGATCTGAAAGGCACCCGGGTCTGTTTGGAATGTATTCAGCTGCAAGTAACAAAAAATACAATGAACACTGGCACACACTGGAGAGGTTTTTCCTTTCTTGAAACAATATCACTGGAGTGACAAGACCTTGCTGGGGCTGGTGCAGTGACTGGCAGTGCAGCGGGAGCTGGAGGACTTGCTATACTCCCACTCTCCATCCTTCCTGTGTGCACTTCTTTCCTCATGCTTGCCCCTCATGCTCACGGGTTGACCACTACACCTTCATGCACCATGTTCGTGTTTAACATGGAAGAAACGCGCTGTGCCAGCAACAACGATCCCTTTCATCAGGAAAGCAACTTTTCCCAGGGAGCCCATAGCCGAGATTCCTACTCTTTAGTCTCTGCTAGCTGTTAAGGCAGCATGGGAAAGATGCTTTTTGGTGTTTTCTGACTCTGTAGTGGAAGATGGACAAGGAATTGGGTCTCACACGGTCAGCCATGGCACCGTAGTGTAGCCCTCTTTCTCATAAATAGCAGAAAGTCATCACTTAGGTCATCTTTTAGAACGCAAATACTTTAGGAAGAGATAACGCACTCAACTCACACTGAAGTGTTAGTAACATATCACATTCCTTCTTTCCAGGCAGGGGACATTCTGAGCATGGGGGTCGGGGGCTGGGCAAGTCAGAGTACCTCAAAGACACTGGCTACCTAGTACCCAACTTAACTGCACGCTGGCTGGCACTTGCACTTTCATTTTACCTTCATACCCTCACCAATGACCAAACACCTAACAAAGCTAAGAGCGGTACTATCTATTCTAGTGGTTTTTAAGAACTCGGTCTTTGGGGACAGAGCTGGGGGTCAACTCCTGGCTCTCCCTCTTGCCAGCAGCATCAGTGCATTGGTTTCCTAGGGCAGCTGCAACAAACCACCACAAGTACGGTGGCCTAAAACAACACAAATTTATTATTTTACAGCTCGTCAGGTCAGAAGTCGGACACAGGTCTCACTGGGCTGAAATCTATGCTGCTGGAAGTCCTTGTGTGTGTGGTTGACTGGAAGGGGCACAGGGGTCTTCTGGAGTGCTGGTTATGTGCATTTCTTGGTCAGGGTGCTAGTGACAGGGATGTCTACAGTTTGTATCCAACAAGCTGTATGCTAAGATGTATACTTTTCTGTTTTACACTGCAATGAAAAGTTAAAAACAGACAAATACCCTGGGAGGTCCATCTTTTCCATGGAGAAACTGAGGCAAAGATGAAGTTAGAGCTCTGTCAGTAGGGACAGAACTGAGACCAGGGTCTGGGCAGCCCACCTCCTAGTCTTTTGAGTTTAATGTATTCGAGGCCAATTTCCAACACTAATTATGTATTATATATTTAAAATCTCTTGAGAAAAGCTTTTTTTAAAAAATTTCTTTTGCCATAGAGTCACATTTCTATTGCAAGTGAAAGGTACCTTGTATGCTTCAGACACACCTGTAAAAACAGAACCAATCCTGTCATATATCCCTGTCTGCTTCACTTTTTTTCAGACGCTGTGAAAAACATGCCACAATAATAAACCCCTTTTCCATCCTAGCCAGCTGGAAAATTACGTGATGCTTGAAGTGACATCATTCAGCTACGACACCAAGCCAGTGGCTGCTCTGAGAAATCTGGGTTAGACAATGACAGCATGGATGTGAATGCCACTAGGCAATGAATCCCACCCTTTTTATTAGCAAATGGCTGTTTTTATCACCATGACATTTTAAAAATGAAACTGTGACAGCTACATTGTCTGAGGCCATTGATCACCCAACATCTCTTATCTCCAAAAGGAAGCCCACTGGCCAGAGGTGTCCTGTTTCAAAGCAGGGAAGACAAGAATGGAGGTAAAGGAGAGCTCATTTTAAACCACTAGTTCCAAAGGGAAAGACCAGGGCCCAGGACTGAGGTACTGGGGTCTTCCAGGGGATAGACAGTCTTCCCTCTATCTCTATCAATTGTTTCTAAAGTGAGCTCAAGTAGCAGTAGTGATAATACCTTAAGTAGTAATGACAGTATCTACAATAATACTCTTTGCTATAGACACAGATACTGTATCATAAACCCTAGGCAAAACCCCAGGATGCTTATTAGGTAAACATAACATCACGAGGAGGCCCAGACATTCCTCCACCTTTTTGACCTTTAAGTTGAACTACATAAAATGCAATAAGTGACCCTTTCCAACTTCAAAAAATGGGCAATTTCATATGGCTCATCCTAATAGACTGGCCCCTCCCCCAAGATCCTTCTCTGCAGATGTGTTAGGAACTGCCAAAAGATCTAGGGAAATGTCCATACTTCTCAAGCAACAGAGAATTAGAAACACTGCTGCACCTCATCATATAAAAGTGCAGAGGATGGCCCTGGGGCAAAAGACGTCCTGCTGTCCTCCGAAAGAGCTGGACCCTCGACCAGTGGGCCCTCTGTCCTTTGCCCACTCAGTGTGAAGCCAGGTGCAATAGGTTAAAAGCACATCCTCAAGTCAACAGCAAAGGCAGAGGCGTGCCCACAGCAGGGAGACTGGAGTAGCATTAGGTCCCACCCTTGAGGGAGCCCAAGAAGATCCGCGGTTGATGTGCTGCGTGCTGCAAGGCTGCCCGAGACCCAGTCCTCGCTCGGAAGCCAGAGGACAAGGAAGCTGGGGTCCTACCCGGGTAGCAAGGTTTCAGATGACCAGTCTGCCACAGGTGCTGGATGCTTCTGCACTGGAGTGCAGGGCCCAGGGTAAGAGAGAGTACCCTGCTTCAGAGCCACTCTCCACAGGTGAAGAGGCATGGCCTAGTCGGTTCACAATCTGCCAGGGAGGGCTCTGGGAAGGAGAACCGGCTGCTTCTAATGCAGGACTAGAGGTGAGGAGGAAAGGTGAGAATGGACGGAGGGCTGCCAGGGAGAAAACTAGTTAAGGGGAAGAAGTGTCCATCTAGGCAGGGACCCGCGATTCAAACGCCTGCATAGCTCTGGCTCACAGCAGTCTTGCCGCAACCGAAATGGGGGAGACAGTCTGGGGAGTATGGATGTGCTAGCGCTGAACCTTGGGAAGGAGTGGGGCTGGTTCTGGAATCCCCAGACACTCGATCCAGAAGGGCTCTTAGAGGCCCCACCCCCTCCCATTCTCAGATGAGAAAGCAAGACCCAGCGAGCTGCAGCCTTCATCCATGGGGTGGGAGCTGCTGTGTGCCATGGCGGACTCATGACAGCCGTTTAAGTCTGCAAGGTATTTCCTTCAAAGCTCTTTTACAAAGGCCCAGTCACCTCAGAACCAACAGACACCCCTTGCCTGAAACTGGTGACTCACCCCAAGCTAGAGGCTTGTGGGGATCTAGGGCAGACATCAGCGTATGCCACCCTGTGTAGTTACATTCACACAGGCTTTTGAGATGGACGTCACACACGTCACAGCAGTTGACTGCGATGCCTTCTCTCTGGGAATACTTGGCCTTTACTTCTGCTGACAAATGGCTACCCTTAAGTTTCAGCCTCATCGTTCCTTTTCTTTGTTTTGGTGGTTGGTTGACCAGTTTCATGTGAGAGGAAAATAACAACAAACAAAGAAAAGAAAACATTTCATACTATTTTCTAAGTATAAAAGCTGTCATCTTTTCACAGTTGTATAACCATAATGGTTTACCTAATTGTTTTCAAATTTTCTCATTCTTTTTTTTTTTTTTTTTTTTTTTAAGGCTCCAAAAATTCACCTTTGGGTTGAACACATCTGTGTGAAAAAAGCCTGGCGGAAAGAAAAACTGGATTATGCTGACGCTCAATGCGCGTAACCTTAACTACAGCATGTTTGCTTCTGCAAACACTACAGTATATGAAATTAAATATTAATAGCCATCACCTCACCCCTTCGGAGAACAGGCCTGAGTCACAGCTCCTGTGTGGCGTGATTTCCATTCACGGACTCACTGTGAACGCTGCTCACGTTACGAAGCCTCAAACCAGGCAAAACCAAAGCAAGTGTGTGTTTTTATTCCATAATGTCATGGGGAACATTGCTTATTTTGGAGGCCAAGTTCAGTTCTCCTGAATTTACCACCTATGACACATTTTAAGACTAATCACCTCAAAACATACTAGGAGAAATGACAAAGTTATTTTTAAGTTAGAAAGGAAAATATTGGAATAAGATGAACATGTCTGTTATTTATCAGTGACGAGATTTGCAGCACTCGGCTGAACTCTTCTGACATTTGAAAGCACCAACATATTTGTATTGGTGAATATATTTCCAGTGCCCCTTATCTGTGCATTGCAAATGGACATAATTAGATTTTTAAACTTTGCATGGGTGGTGTCAAGTATGCCAAAGATATTTAGCTTCCTGGGGGTTTATGGGAGGTCTGGTTTCCCCTCTCTACCTCTGCATGGTCACTGTCTTCTTGATAAGCTTTAGACTCTCAGCAGCCTAAACCATTTGACGGTTTTGTGTATGATGATTACAAAGCAGAGTTAAAGGAAAGAATGAAAGTCAAGCAGCCAGCCCAGTACCTGGCACGCAGCAAACATCCCACAAATGTTAGCTCCCTTTTCCCTTCCCCACTTCTTATACTCTTAGAGGGATAAGTGCTTTCAAGTCAGTGTTCAGAATTGATTCTTCAAATCCCCCAGGAGATAGTGTAAAGTGAACATTCCGCTTTTATTGGTGAGGGGCCAACAAGGGGAGGATGGAGGATTTACTCTGTGGGATGGGATCCTGGCACAGTCAGAGACTGGACCAAAGCTCTCTCTGCCACAGCTTAACAGCAGGGCTCCTGGGCTAAATCGCTTCTTTCGGTGGCCTGCCACACCAAGGTGTGTTTTTAAAATCTGCGCAATAAAATTTAGTGTGGTTGGAGAGGTGGCAGCGGATGGGAACCCACCCACAGGCAACTGACGTCAAAAAACCAGAGGGAAACATTAGGCTTCTCTGTTCTCGAGAAGCTTCTGCTCTGTTAAGCAACCTGAGAAGGAAGCTGACTTTCCATTAAAAAACGGCCACTTTGGCAGTTGTCAGAGACAGCCTGGTGTCTTATACTTCCCCTCTCAGGAAAAGTGAGGAAAATAATTTCCATAAGTTGGAAAGGAAGAAACCAGCAGTTCAAAGAATAGAGCTGGAAAGGAATTTGAAGGGCACTTAGAGTAACCTCCACCTCCAGAGAGCAAATGAGGAAAGAGGCCCAGCGAAGACTGGGGACTAATCTTGCCCTTAAATTTGCAGGGTAGCCCACCCTGTAGGCCACGCTGCCTTCACAAAGCTAGCTAGCTGCCTGCACCTTGGTCAGCTGTTGAGAGGGACATGCCTCGAATTCTAGTCTGAAGAGGGGTTGCTGCAAGGGAGGCTCCCAGATGCCTGGAAGGAGAACTGCACTCTAATGTTGATACCCCGAGGCTGGAGATGTTGCTTTGGAAGAGGCTCTGGGGAAGACTGGTGTGGGGGAGGGTGTGCATGTGTGTGCACACATGCATGTGTGTAAAGGGGCAAAAAAACAGGCAGCCCTTTCCTCCTTACACCTTTCCCCGCGGAAAACAACCTGATGCATGACTCTGTGTCCTGATGCTTGACTCTGTGCCCAGCCAGCCTTCTCCTGGCTGGTCTCTGAGGCCAACACTGTGTACACACAGAAGACGGCTCTCCTTGAAACATGGCAGCTGCACTTGATCTGGACACCAGCCTCTGGGTCTCTCAGTTCTTCAGTTTTCTCCTTTCTAGAGAAGCCCGAGAAGCAGCATGCCAAAATCAAAGAGCAGAGTTGTTCACATGCTCCACACATGCCTGCAGGTGTGGGTCTTCCCTGTGTCTGCAGGAAACCAATGTGTCTGATTTTAAAATACGGTGATGTCACTCATAAGACTGTACTTTCCTTAGGAAATTAGTAATGTCCTTATTTCTAGGGGCCCTTCATATCCATCTTTCCTCTCTTTTTCATTGAATCTCAACAGCTTTGTGAGGGTGGTGGCCTTTTGTTCCCTTCGGGTGAGAAACAAAGGCTCAGAAAGAGGAAAATTCCGACCTGGAACAGCAAGCCAGTGATGCAGCAGAGCCAAAACTCGGGCCCACCTCTCCTTTCTAGTATCAGCTGGATGTACACATGGGGGGAACAGCTCTGTGTCTGTGGGTCACCAGGTGATTCCATTCAGGGAACACACACCTAAGTCCAAGACTGGGTTGGGCAAACAGGACATAGAAGGTGGACAGTGCTGCTGCACCATTCATTGATTCAGCAAATATTAACTGAGAGCCTACATTGCCATGCTCTGTCCTGGGGGCTTGGGATACATTAGCAAACCAAACTGATGTGGACTGGGGTCCTTAGGGAGGTCACAGTGTAGCAGGAAGAGACATTCAATAAACAAAAATATTTTTTAAGTTTTTAGAGACAAGGTCTCACTCTGTTACCCAGATTGGAGTGCAGTGGCACAATCGTAGTTTACTGTAACCTTGAACTCCTGGGCTCAAGCAATCCTCCTACCTCAGCATCCTGAGTAGCTGGGACTGAGTAGCTGAGACCTGGTTAATTTTATTAAAATCTATATTTATAGAGAGGGGGTCTGTTTTTTTATTATTATTATTATTATTATTATTATTTCAGACAGGGTCTCACTCTGTCACACAGGCCGGAGTACAGTGGCTCACTGCTGCCTTGACCTCCTTGGCTCAGGCAATCTTCCCGCGTCAGCCTCCTGAGTAGCTGGGACTACAGGCATGCATCACCACACCCAGTTAATTTTTACATTTTTTTTTTTTTGTAGAGACAGAGTCTCGCTATGTTGCCCAGGCTGGTCTCGATCTCCTGGGCTCAAGTGATCCATCCACCTCGGCCTCCCAAACTGCTGGAATTACAGGTGTGAGCTACTGTGCCCAGCCAGAGACAGGGTCTCACTATATTGACCAGACTGGTCTTGAACTCCTGGGCTTAAGTGATCCTGCCACCTCAGCCTCCCAAAGTGTTGGGATTATAGGTGTGAGCTACCATGCCCAACCAATAAACAAAATTCTTTACTTTTTTATTCTTTATTAAGTTATTCGTTTCTTTCCCTGTCTTGATTCCCACAAATTTTCACAGTAGATACTGGAGGTCATGTTTGGATCTGCATTCTGCTGCATGATCTGCTGTCACTTCTGTCCACTACAGGGCCCCGGCCCCCTCCCCCCAGCCCCTTCTGCACTCCCTGCAGAAATGACAGGGATGATGGATGGTTCCCTCAGTGTCTTGACTGCTTTAGTCTGAGTGTTGGCAGTTGTTAGTGATGGGTGTTATCATCTGATCATTGATAGATTTCATTGTTTGTAGCTTTCTAGCAAGGCTTTTACTGGAAGTCCTCTGTGAGTGTGAGTGTGTGTGCATGTGTTTCCCAGAGCATACTTTATAACAGATTTTAACAAGATTGGGGCAAAAGCGTGAGGTGAGCAACCTCCAATAAGGGCTCCATGATATGTACAGGAAGGTACATTTGAATGATGAGGCTATCCCTCTAAATATAACAAAAAAAAATGACAGAAGAACATGCATATTTACCATTTTGATAAAACTAGAATTTGAAATCAAAATTTTAGTCCTTTTCCTTATTTTACGGAACTCTTAGTTTCCTGCTCCCCCATCTCACCTCTGTTATCTGAGGACGTGGAACAGTTATTTAATGCAATCTGAACCATAACTGTGTTTATAATGTTTTAAAATAATCCTCCTTAAACGATATGTAAGTGGAGCATAAAGAAGCCAATATTTTAATTTTACTGAAAGATTATTGATTGCTCTTGAGCTTGTTATTGAGATGAACGAAACTCATTCTTTTATCAGGAAAAAAAGGATGAGAAGAAGAAATCACATAAAAGAGTAAGTAGCAACTCGAAAATTATTTTCTTGGTTTATTTTATGTTGCAGCTACACAAGCCATCCCTTTTTGTGTGTCCATCAATACGATATCTGTTGTGCTTTTGTACAAAGAACAAAGATGCTTTTATCAATTCTCAAAAGTCTGTAAGACAAACCATTCATGCTGTCAAACCCCCTAAAACCCTTTCAGCAAATAATGAAATCCATCAGTGACAAATGTCAACATACTAATTTGTTAAATGCAAAACAAAAGCAACATTCAGACAAGGCGCTTCATTTCATGTTATATCAGCACTCCAATTTGTACCAAGTTTATGGCAACCCACAGATCATGCAATATTAAACAGGGCTGTATTATAATGACTAAAACTGGAACAATAAACTCCCCTTAGCTAGACTGCTAATAAAGCAGCTGAAATACGTGCTATGATTCTAGTACATTCAACTCCTTCCAAACTACTAGAAATTCTACAAAGATACCTATTGCTAATAATTTGGTTTAACCCAAATATATGGCTTTCAGATGGATAAGAAACTTGAAACACAAAAGTGAAGTCCCAGAGAAGACTTTAGAAATCATTTAATCCAATAAGACCAATTAGAGCAAAACAAAATTCTTAAAGGTATGAAATATGTAATAGGACATTCTTGATTTTTATTATTGGTCATGATTTTCAAAAACAGATATTTTAACTGAAACTATCCCATTCCACAATTCTGGAAGACTTTTTAAAAAGCCCAAAAGAAACAACTCACAGATGCCGAGATTCAGAGCTCTATCTGCAGGGTGTGAGGGAGAGGCTCTGAGTAATGTTTCTCCGTGACTTTTTTGAAAAAAACTGCTTCAAATAATACCCAGTGCCCCATGTGACTTCAGGCCAAGTTCTTTACCTCTCTGGCCTCAGTTTCATATAAATGAAAACCACAGCCACTGTGCAGGGAAGCTGTAGGATTTCTAGTATCATGTATGCAGTGGGTAGGTATTCCATATCTTTTTGATACATGAATGCCTTGGTCAGGCTTTCCTCAGATTGGTTGATTTCATCTCCTTTACTTCTGGAGGGATTAATTTAGTTGGGCTCTTGGGCAGCTCAAATGCAGATGCAGCAAAGGACACTATTCACATGAAAGGAAGGCAAAATTGAGTAGTTACGGTATGTAGTCATCAAATGGCAATCACAAATGTTTTAGTAATTTTTTTTTTTTTTAAGAAACAGAGTCTTGCTCTGTTACCCAAGCTGGAATGCAGTGGCACAATCATAGCTCACTGTAACTTTTTAAACATTTTTTGAACTTTTTTTTTTTTTTTTTTTTAGACAGAGTCTCACTCTGTTGCCCATGCTGGAGTGCAATGGAGCAATCTCAGCTCACTGCAACCTCCTTCTCCTGAGTTCAAGCAATTCTCCTGTCTTAGCCTCCCTGGGATTGCAGGTACCCACCACCACACCCAGCTAATTAGCTCACTGTAACCTTGAACTGCTGGGCTCAAGTAATCCTCCTGCCTCAGTCCTCCAAGAAGCAAGGACTACAGGTGCATGCCACCACACCCAGGCAAACTTGAAAACTGTTTTTTTTTTTTTTTTAGAGATGGAGTCTTGCTACATTGCCCAGGCTGGTCTTGAACTCCTGGCCTCAAGCAATCTTCCCACCTCAGCCTCCCAATGTACTGGAATTATAAGTGTGAGCCACTGCACTGGCAGGTGATATTTTTACAAGTGTATCTAGTTGGATTTCCATGTATCTTCAACCAATTCGATTACTGTAAAGAGATGATGAGGATGACACCTGCTATCACAGATCCATTTGCTACCACTTTCCCCCACAATGGGGCCTGCTGCCTGTTATGATCTTTGAAACAGAAGCAAACAAGCAGAGATACTTCAAGAAACCTGAAATGCAAAAGGCTATCAAGAAAAGGTTTTAAGGCCAGGCATGGTGCCTCATGCCTGTAATCCCAGCACTTTGGGAGGTTGAGGTAGGTGGATGACTTGAGGTCAGGAATTCAAGACCAGCCTGGCCAACATGGTAAAACCCCGTCTCTCCACAAAAAAGACAAAAATTAGCCGAGTGTGGTGGCAGGTGCCTGTAATCCCAGCTACTCGGGAGGCTGAGGCAGGAGAAGTGCTTGAACCCGGGGGGCAGAGGTTACAATGAGCCAAGATCGGGCCACTGCACTCCAGCCTGGGAGACAGAATGAGACTCTGTCTTCAAAAAAAAAAAAATCTTTCGGGTTCAAGAGATTCTCCTGCCTCAGTCTCCCGAGTAACTGGGATTACAGGCATGCACCACCACACCAGTGAACTTTGTATTTTTAGTAGAGACAGGGTTTCTCCATGTTGATCAGGCTGGTCTCAAACTCCCAACCTCAGGTGATCTGCCCACCTCGGCCTCCCAAAGTGCTGGGATTACAGGTGTGAGCCACGGTGCCCGGCAAAAAAAAAAAAGATTTTAAAAAGAGCTTTAAATTTTCTTTCAAATGACACACAGATACAGAGCCCCAGGGGAACACACCCACAAGTACACACACACAGCATATTTCTATCTAAGAAAATTCTAGGAAACTGAAGACCAGAAAATGTATGTACCTAAATTGTGACAAATGAGACAGATGAACACATCTTTGCAGAAGAAAAGTGACATAATCACTAGTACTAATGTCTTGGGTAAATTCTCAACTAGGCAATTGGTATTTGAGACAGGCAGGTCTAAACTACCATTCCTGACCATTTCTTTTGGATACAATACATTCTTATGCTTCTAGTCCTCAGAGGGGGTGTGGTATTGGGGGAGATGTTAAAACAGCTGCTGTCTCACCCCCGCAGTAAACTGTGTTTTAGCAGTTGACCCTGCTCACCCTAACCCCACTCCAGCTCAGTTTGCTGAGCTGAGGCACAGCACATAAAGCAAGATCCAGCCAGCTTTATTAGTTTCCTTTCTCACCTGCTGAACATCATTCACACAGAACCCTGTTAACCCTTCCTCACCCTTTCTGTGTGTGTAAGAAATATTAAATGACATACTCACTGGAAAGCTAAACCGTGTTTTTCCTCCCTGCTTAAACACTCAGTCAATTAACAATATACACAAGTCAACTTAGAGTTCTTGATACTCAAAGTGTGGTCTGTGACCAGGACCAGTGGTCCTGGTCTAGACACCTGGGCTCTTATTACAAATGAAGAATCTTAGCCTCTTCTCAGAACTGCTGAATTGAAATCTGCATTTTAACAAGATCCCCAATTCATTCATATGCACATTAAGGTATTTTATTAGCACTTTTTCTTTTCTTTTCTTTTTTTTTGAGACACAGTCTCACTCTGTCACCCAGGCTGGAGTGCAGTGGCGCGATCTCAGCTCACTGCATCCTCAGTCTCCCAAGTAGCTAAGATTACAGATGTGCTCCACGACGCCCGGCTAATTTTCTGTATTTTTAGTAAGGACGGGGTTTTGCTATGTTGGCCAGGCTGGTCTTGAACTCCTGGCCTCAAGTGCCCACCCACCTCAGCCTTCCAAAGTGCTGGGATTACAGGCATGTGCCACTGCACCCAGCCTTCTCAGCACTTTTCTACGTGAAAAGTTATTATACACATTTTAAGTGAAGGTTGTTGAAGATGCGAGGTGTTTTGTTTTTGTTTTTTCTCTTGTGGCTAGCAAAAGGTATGTGAGATACTGAGAAGCAGCGAGGAGTCCTAAGGACTCAAGGGTTAATCCGACAATCAGGAGAGAAATCCCACATTTAACAAATACTAGATAAACACCGATCATAGGTGGAAACTTGGGCTAGGTGTCAGGGACTTAAGGATGAATGAAGACAGTGCCCATCCTCCCATTTAAAACATGTACTATACTATACTATTAGGTGATTAAAGCCGCTACATTGAAAAAATACATTCTTGCTATGGGGGCTCAGAGGAAGAAGCAATCGATTCTTATTTGAGCAAACTTGAATACTCTATACTTTTTGGCCATTCTTCATTAAAAGCTGAAAGGGCCATAAGTATAAGTCAATTCCACATGAGTCAGAGAAGATTATGAAATTTTGATTTCTTGCTTATTGACAGTAACACATTCTAATTGTTTTGATAATGTCTCCCACCGAACCACTTACTGAAATGATGTTTCATATTACTTATTGAACTTCGCATGAATTACAAATAAAAAGCCAAATGGCAACCACCTTTTAACAGGAAGGAATATTGGAATGGCCAGTTTGCCAGGGTCTGAGAGAAAGTGGGCTGATCCAAGCACAGCATTATTGCAGGAAAGAGTTGAGCAAGTTCTAAAAAAATGGGCCCTTGGAAAGCATTCAACTTACTTGTGAGTCAGATGTGTCTTCACTGCAAAGCTTCGTGATTTTGTTTAAAGTCAGTTCCCAGAATCGCAGATCTATCCAGAACTCAAAGCTAAGTAGAAAACACACTCTAAAGCCAAATATAGATGACATTTGGATTGTCTACATGCCCCACTCTCCTCAAGCAGGGGAAACTGAAAGTTGACTAAGATACAGACATGCAGAGAAAAATGTTTCAAAGAATTATTCATATCGGATCCTGTTCCAAAGATGGTAGTCTGTTTCCCATGAAATCTTCTACTCGAGCACGATGAAACACTTTCCTAATGTCAGATGGGGCAGAGGCAGTGATAAATCAGGAAGAAGAAGATGAGGAGGAGGCAAGAGATTCTCCTGAGAGAGGGGGAAGCATGAGGAATACCCAGAAGGCTAAAGATGGTGAGAAAAACAGCTCTGCACTCACCTCCCGAAGGGCTGAATAATCGCCGGCCTCAGCAGATCATCTACCGAGGAGAATTACTTGACGACCTGGGAAGGATGGTGTTTTGGCCCTGAAACTGTGACCTGAAGAATAGTGCTTACATTAGCAGGCTACTGTGGTCCTCACAATCACCTTGGTGCCATTGAAAGTTTACAGGTTACAATATTCATAAATCACAGAATTTGGTTGCTAGAAGGGTCTTTTACCACTTCCTTTTACCCCCAGTCTCATTTCACAGACAAGAAAACTCAGGCTGAGAGGTTGGCTCACATAGCTAGCTAGTTGGCGGCGGCCAGCAGTCAGTCTGGCCTTCATCCTCTGACCCCCCTGCCCAGTGCTCTTCATATTATAACTGTGGTTTCTAACCTGGGTTCCCCAGACCCCTCCATCTCATTCAAGTCCACAGGAATCCATGAACTATGACTCACAGACTCATAGTTCAGTATTTCAAAAAGTTTACTTGAATCTATATATTTGGCTGGGGGGGAGGGGTCAGGTAACACATTAACCTGCTTGGGGCTAGATTTAACTCAGTAACTCAATAATTCTAATTATAGAGACAGTAAGTTGGGACTCAAGCAACCTACGTCTAAAAATTTTGTAATGCTTATTGAAAAGGGTTGTCTGTACTTTGTTCCAATTTCTTTGTTCTGAGAATTTTATATTTTTGTTTTTGTTTGTTTTTTTTTAGATAGGGTCCCACTCTGACACCTAGGCTGAAGTGCAGTGGTGCGATCATGGCTCACTGCAGCTTCAACATCCTGGGTTCACGCAATCCTCCCACCTCAGCCTCCCAAGTAGCTGGGACTACAGGTGCACACCGCCACGTCTGGCTAATTTGTAAATTTTTTGTAGTGATGGGGTCTCATTTTGTTGCCCAGGCTGGTCTCAAACTCCTGGGCTCAAGTAATTCTCCCATCTTAGCTTCCCAAAGTGCTGGGAATAAAAGTGTGAGCCACCGTGCCTGGCCTTCATAATTTTAATTATTAATAAGCTAACAGTTGCACGGTTAAAAAAAAGTCAATATAAAAAAATAGCAAATGTAACACAGTGAAACCTCGTCTCTACTAAAAAAAAAAAAAAAAAATAGCCGGGCGTGGTGGCGGGCGCCTATAGTCCCAGCTACTCCGGAGGCTGAGGCAGGAGAATGGCGTGAACCCAGGAGGCGGAGCTTGCAGTGAGCCGAGATGGCGCCACTGCACTCCAGCCTGGGCAACAGAGCAAGACTCCCTCTCAAAAAAAAAAAAAAAAAAAAAAAGCAAATGAAGAGGCAAATTATCTTCCCTCCTCCCATCAGTCCTCCACTTGGACTTTTTCTCCTCCAAGGCAACCAGTGTTAAAAAGGTATTACGAATTGCTCCAGAAAATATTTTAAGGTAATAAGGACAAATGCATGATGGACATTGCATTTTGTTTCTTCAGTTGATATTATACCAAGGAGCTTCTCCCACATTTGGTCTACTTAAGTCTTTTTATTTATTTATTTATTTGAGACAGTGCCCAGGCTCGCTCTGTCGCCCAGGCTGGAGTGCAATGGCGTGATCTCGGCTCACTGCAAGCTCCACCTCCCGAGTTCACGCCATTCTCCTGCCTCAGCCTCCTGAGTAGCTGGGACTACAAGCGCCTGCCACCACGCCCTGCTAATTTTTTGTATTTTTAGTAGAGACGCAGTTTCACTGTGTTAGCCAGGATGGTCTCGATCTCCTGACCTCATGATCCACCCGCCTCGGCCTCCCAAAGTGCTGGGATTACAGGCATGAGCCACTGCACCCGGCCTTTTTTTTTTTTTCATTTTATTTTTTATTTTTGAGACAGTCTTGTTCTGTCGCCCAGGCTGGAGTGCAATGGCGCGATCTGGCTCACTGCAAGCTCCACCTCCTGGGTTCAAGCGATTCTCCTGCCTTCAAGCGATTCTCCTGCCTCAGCCTTCCAAGTAGCTGGAATTACAAGTGCCCCACACCTGGCTAATTTTTGTACTTTTAGTAGAGATGAGGTTTCACCATGTTGGCCAGGCTGGTCTCGAACTCCTGACCTCAGGTGATCCGCCTGCCTCAGCCTCCCAAGGTGCTGGGATTACAGACATGAGCCACCACGCCTGGCCAGCTTCATTCTTTTTAAAGGCTGCATAGAATTCCACTGAATGGTGCAGCAGAATGCACATATCCTGGCCCCTCATGAGTTTCCAGAGCTTTGCTTTTACCAGCAATGCTGAAGTAAACATTCTTGCTTATTTAGCCACCTACACTTTGGTGAAATTCCTAGCAGTGGAAGTGCTGAGTCAAAGAGAGCATACTTTTAGGCTGGGCACAGTGGCTCATGCCTGTAATCCCAGCATTTCGGGAGGCTGAGGCAGTTGGATCACCTGAGGACAGGAGTTCTAGACCAGCCTGGCCAACATGGTGAAACCCCATCTTTACTAAAAATACAAAAATCAGCCAGGCATGGTGGTGCGCGCTTGTAATCCCAGCTACTCTGGAGGCTGAGGCAGGAGAATCGCTTGAACCTGGGAGGCAGAGGTTGCAGTGAGCCGAGATAGTGCTATTGCATTCCAGCCTGGGCGACAGAGCAAGTCTCTGTATCCAAAAAAAAAAAAAAAGGCATACTTTTGAAACTTCAGTAAATACTGCAAATGGCCCTCAAAGAAGTCACAACAATTTCTATCCCCACAAAAAAACAAATGAGAATGGCAGTTTCATTTGCCAGCTTTACTAATGAGTTAATTTTTATTTGGGGAGAGAGATTTTTATTAAAACATTTGTTAGAACACTTGATAAAATAAGAAACTTAGCCCTTTATTTGTCTACACCCCCTTTCATTTGTTGTATTTCTTTTTGTATTTCTTTCAATTAGAAGTTTGAAGTTTTTATTAAACATGTTTTATCACTATTTCTCTTTACAGCTTTTGAATTTTACTTTCTGACTCTAAAAAGTTTCCCACATATCAAGAATGCATTTATTTACTCATGTTTGTTTCCTACTGTGGTTTGATGTGCTTTTTTTTATTTAATATTTGATGTGGAATTTATTTTGGTGAAAGAAATATGGTATGCAGCTAAATTTCCAAATTGTGAATCGGATGTCTCAATAACATTTATTGATCAGTCCATCTTTTCTTCATTGATTTGAAATGCTCATTTCATCATATAAAAAAATCTGAATGTATTTGACTTTATTTTTGAGTTTTATTCTTTTACATTTCAAGGGCTTAATTTAACTTCTCAAGCAACAAACTATTCTGATTAATATATCTTTATAACATGTTTTAGATAGAAATATAATAGAACCCCTCATCATTACTCTTCAAAATTTTTTCCCATTCATCCTCACATTTATTTTTTCAGATGACTTTTTTAAACCTTTCCAAAAATATATATTTACATGTACATGACCAGGGAAATTTACTGAGGACAAACTATACACCTTATGTTTCACATTCAAATTTTGGTGCTTTTTAATTTAAATAAACATTTTACTTTAGTTTTAGAAACACAAAAGTTAAAACCAAAAACCAAAAAAAAAAAAAAAAACCCACAAAAGTTGAGACATTTGTCAAAATGTACAATGCTAATACAATTAACCAATATTAATATGTCATTATTAAAGTCTGTAGTTCACTCCGAATTCCTTAGTTTTTACCAGAATACCACATAACATTTAGTCTTCATGTCTCCTTAGGCTTCTCTTGCTTGAGACAGTTTCTCAGACATTCCTAGATTTTGATGACCTTGACAGTTTTAAGGTGTAATGGTCAAGTACTTTACAGAATGTCCTTCAATTTAGGTTTGTCTGAGATTTTTCAGTTAGACATGGGTTATAGGTTTTTAGGAAAAAGAATAGAGATATAAAGTGCGTTCTCATCACATCACATCAAGGAACCTGCTATCAACATGACATCACTGTTGATGCTAACCTTGATCACCCCGCAGAAGCAGCAGTCCAGTCTGTCAGGTTTCTCCACTGTAACGTTATTCTTTCCCCCCACTTTCCCTACTGTGACCTTTGGAAGGAAGTCACTATACACAGTCCACACTTAAGAGGCAGGGCATTATGTCCCATCTCCTCGGAAGGGGAGCATCTACATGCAGTATTTGGAATTCAGTACAGGAGATTCTTATTTATTCATTCCATAATTTATTCATATCATATAGACTCATAAGCATTTCTTTTCTGTGCTTTTCTAAATGGGAGCTCTTCTTCCATTATAACTGTTTGTTTGTAAATCAGAAAATGAATGATTTTTAAGAAGTTTATTTTGTAACCATCCATCTTATCGAGTTGTATTGTTTCTATTTTCCATTCAGTTGATCATCTTGGTTTTCCTATGCATCCTCCGAAAATAATGATAATTTTGCTGCCTCCTTTCAATAATTCTACCTCTAATTTCTTTCATTTATCTATTAGTATTGTCTAGAATAGAGATAGGCAAACATTCTCCATAAAAGGATAGCAAATATTTTAGGCTTTATAACATACAACCTCTGTCACAACTACTCATTTCTGCAGTTGTGGCATGAAAGCAGCCACAGACAATACATAAATGACTGGGCAATGCTGTGCTCCAATAAAACTTTATTTAAAAAGCACAGCCGAGTGCAGGGGCTCACATCTGTAATCTCAGCACTTTGGGAGGCCGAGGCATGTGGATCACCTGTCAGGATTTCAAGACCAGCCTCTCAAACATAGTGAGACCCTGTCTCTACTAACAGTACAAAAATCAGCTACTCCAGAGGCTGAGGCATGAGAACTGCTTGAACCCAGGAGGCGGAGGCTGCAGTGAGCTGAGATCATGCCACTGCACTCCAACCTGGGTGACAGAGGGAGACTCTGTCTCAAAAAAAAGAAAAAAGAAAAAAGCAGGCACTTGGCTTACAGGTAGTTTACTAACCATGAGTCTAGAATCCAAATATTATTACATAGTGATGGTGATGGTAGGTACCTTGTCTTGTTTTAATCTTAACTTTAAATAGAATTTTCTTTTGTTGTTTCATTACTAATATAATGCTAGCTTTTTTTTTTTTTTTTTCCTTTTTGTGTGTGTGAGACAGGGTCTTGCTCTGTCACCTAGGCTGGAGTGCAGTGGCATGACCACAGCTCACTTTAGCCTTGACTTTCCAGGTTCAAGCAATCCTTCTACCTCAGCTTCCTGAGCAGCTGGGACTACAGGTGCACACCACCATGCCCAGCTATTTTTTTTTTTTATTTTATTTTATTTTTTTTTAGTAGAGATGAGGTTTCACTGTGTTGCTATGTTGCCCAGGCTACTCTCAAACTCCCAGACTCAAGCAATCCTCCTGCCTCGGCCTTCCAATGTGCTGGGATTACATGTGTGAGCCACCACATCCAGCCTCATGCTGCCTTTTGATTACAAATACACACACACACAAACACACAGAGAGAGAGTTTACATAACATTAAAGAAATATCACTTCGTCCTATTTTCTCTAGAAGTATTTATTAGAAATATTATTGAATTTTGCTAACTGCCTTATTTGCAACTACTGAGTTTTGACATATTTGACCTATAAATATAAGTTTTCCTAACACATTTCTTAAGATGGAACCATCCTTACACTTTTAGGATAAAACCCATCTAGTTTGGGTTTATCATGCTTTTGATATGTTATTGAGTTATGTATGTTGTTTGTTATTTTTACATTGATATTTACAAATAAGAGTAGCTTATAGTATGTTATTGTTCTGTCTAACTTGTCAGGTTATGGCATTAGTATTTTGCTGGTCATAAACATAATTTGAAAGCCTTCCTTTCTATGAAAATATCTTTACAGTTAGAACTGACCTGTTTATTGAAATTTTGAGCAAATTCACTTATGAAAGAAACTCTGTGGGTCTGGTGTTTTTCCAGGAAAAATTCTTTGCTAACTTTCTTCCATGGGTATTGTTTACTTAGGTTGTCTAATAATTCATTCGGTATCAATTTTTGGTGACTCATATGTTCTTAGAAAATCATTTATTTCAGTCAGATTGTCAAAATTCTTTGCTGAAAAGTTCACAAAGTACTATATATGATTCTTTTAATTTCCTCTGCATCTGTTACTATTTGTCACTTATGATTTCTAATCCTCTGGATTAGTGAGTTTTTCTCTTTCCCCTCTTAATGCAGTTAGCCAATGTTATCTCTGTTTTATTGGTTTTGGCAATAAATCAACTTTTGTATTTGTCAATTCTGGTTTTTCTCTCATATCTTCTAATTAATTCATATCTGCTTTGATCTTTCTTTCTTTTGCATTCTGTAGGTTGATTTTATTGTTGTTTTCTAACCTCAGAAGTGATGTTAGACTATACATTTTTCATCAAGAACAATTTTGGTGGCATTCCATAGATTGAGCTATATATTGTTTTCTAGATATTCTGCATTTTGGGGTTAATTTATTCTTTGACCCAAAAGTTCAGAGAGGTTTTAGTAGAAGAGGGATAAATTGTTCTTCTTTTATTATTTCCTCATTTTATTACCTTACTGCATTGTGACCAAAGATAGTCTTATTTCTACTTTTGAGGAACTGATTGACATTTTTAGCAAGTCTTCCAATGTGATTAATTTCTACAAATGTTCCATGAACTGTCAGTTTATAAAGCAGACAATTACACATTTTACATTTTTCTTTCTAAGAAGAGAATAATGTTATTTCTGTATTATTGGTTTCTTAAGAGAAAGAGACCTGTCTTGTTCATTTTCTAACTCTAACACCTGGTATTGTATTTGGTACATAGCTGTTGTTCAGTAAAGGTAGGCTGAATGAATGAATGCTGTCTGTATTCAATGGGTTTATGTTTCTGAGGTTAACTGGCTCTGGAAAGCCTCTCCTCACACAAGCACAAGACTGACTACTAAATCATTAGTTTTATAGGGATGCATGGCAAAATGAGCCAATAAGAAAGAACAGGATTTGACATGTAGGTTGTTAAAAACCTGGCTTATATACCTCTTTTTCTCAAATGTCTTCTCATTTCCTCATTTTATACTTACCTTTTCAGGCTCGAGTCTGGACTCATCCATGAAACCAGGCCACCTGCCCTTCCTGACCCCTCCTTCACTCCTCCCGTGCCCTCACTGACTAGACTCATTCTGCATGCCATCCAATGGGCCTTACACTGCTACCTGGCTATTTCCTGTGTCTTTATCTTCCCGGTAAAACTATAAGCAACTTGAGTGTCTTATGTTCCCTTCTATCCTATAATGCACCCAAAAGGGTGTTCAATAAATGACTGCTGGAGCAACAAGAGAAAAGCTAAGAGAAAATAATACTCTAGAGTTCAGTTGCCATTCTACCACGTCACAGTCTTGTGACCTTAGTGAAGTAATTTCACACTCTAGGTCTCAGTTTTCTATAAGGGTCTTCTCAAGGCTTAAAAAATGCAATCATTCTGTCATATATTTGATTATACAAAGCAGAGAGAGGCACTATATCAAGAAAATAGCATAAAACATCCAAGTGAGGTAGCTAACCCCTGGAATCCCAGCACTTTGGGAGGCTGAAGTGGGAAGATTGCTTGAGGTCAGGTGTTCAAGACAAGCCTGGGCAACCTAGCAAGAAACAATTAGTCAGGTGACGTGGCCTGTATCTCTAGTCCTACCTACTTGACAGGCTGAGGCAGGAGGATTGCTTGAGCCTAGGAGTTCAAGACTCCAGTGAGCCATTCTGGTACCAATACACTCCAGGCTCAGTGACAGAGCAAGACCCTCCCTCTTTAAAAAATAATAGAAAGAAAAAGAAAACAGCATAAAACATTCTAGTTAGCCAAATGACAACAGGACAATAGCACCTTCACTCTACACAGAAGTCAGCACCTGCTCCATGGTTTCTTTTCTCTTCACCCTCCAAATGAGGCCATCTCACAGAAACTATCCTCAGCCCTCACTCTTCCTTCTTGCTCCACTCAGAGAATTTATGGCTGTCACTAACATGTCTGTCTCTTAATCTGCCCCTTTCTGGGCCTGCTTCTTCCAGCGAGCTCTATGTAGCCAACTTCTGGGTGTTTTGAGTGAACTTGATAGCATAGTGGAGATAGAATCAATGAATCTGACAGCAGATCAATAAAATTTACTCAATTTGAACAACAGTGAGAAAATAGAAAAAAATGAACACTGCTTCAGGGTTCTGTGGGAAAATAATAAAAGATCTAAATTCATATCATAAAGGTCTCAGAAAGAGAGGAGGAAGGGAGTAGATTTGAAAACTTCTCAAGTTTGGCAAAAGACATAAACCTACAGTTTCAAGAAGCTGAGTAAGTCCCAAATAGGATAAACCCAAAGAAACCCATGCCAAGATAAATTAGGATTAAACTTCTGAAAACAAAAGACAAAGAAAAAAAATCTTGAAAACACAGGGAAATTACACATTATCTATAAGTAAATACTAATTTGAAAGACAGTGGTTGTCCCATCTGAAACTATGGAGGCCAAAAGGAAGATGCATAATATTTTTCAAGTGCTGAAAGAAATATCAACCCTAAATCCTTTCAGAAATAATGGGGAAATAAAGACATTCTAAGATAAAGGATTAAGAGAAATTGTTGCTAGCAGACCCACCTTTAAAGAATAGTTAAAGGAAGCTCTTCTTAACAAAAAGGAAATAATAACAGAAGAAGGTTGGGACATTCAGAAAGGAAAGAAGAAAAGAATGAGTAAAAATGTAATAGCCTATTCTTCACCTTATGGGTTTTAAAAATCTTATTTTATGGTTGAACAAAAGTTATAACACTACCTAATATGACACACAATGTATCTAGAGGAAACACCTAAGACAAAATATATTTCAGAAGTGAGGAGGGTAAAGGTATCTAAATGGAAGAGTTCTGCATTTCCCTTTAAGGGGTAAAATGTCAAAAACAGTAGGCTGCCATAAGTTACATATGTATATGGTATTGCATGAAAGAACCACTAAAAAAATCTGTAAAATGCAATATGCTAAAAAAATCAAAATGAAAAGCAAGATAAAAGAAACAGAAGAATAACAAAACAAGCATAAAATAAAAATAAAATGGCTAACTTAAGCCCTAGCATATCATAATTACATTAAATATAAATGGCCTAAATATGCCAATTTAAAAGTAAAACCCAACCCAACTATAGAAGAAACTGTAAGAAATTCACTTCAAGCGTAACAACATAGGTAGGTTGAAAGTGACAGGATAGAAAAAGATATATCATGCAAATATTAATCCAAAAAAGCAGGAGTGGCTATATTACTATCAGATAAAGTAGACTAAGTAGACTTCTGAGCAAAGAAAAGTAAAAAAGACAAACATTACTCTCTGCCAAGAAGCTATAGCTATCCTAAATGTGTATGCACTAAACAAGAGCTTAAAAGTACATGAGGTAGAAACTGATAAAGCTAAAAGGAGAAACCGGCAATCTACAATTGTAGTTGGTTATTTCAGTACCCTGCTTTCAGCAATTCATAGAACTACTTGACAGAAAATCAGCAAGGATCTAGAAAAGCTGACCATCAACCAACAAGATCAAATTGGCATTTAAAGAAGGCTCTACCCAACAACAGTAGAATACATATTCTTTTCAAGCACCCATGGAACATTCACCACAACAGGCCCTGAGTCACAAAACAAATATTAACAAATTTAAAATAATTCAAATCATAGAGAATATATTCTCTGGCCTTAATGGAATGAAACTAGAAAGAAATCAATAGAAAATCTCCAAACACTTGGAAATTAAACAATAACACATAATAATGCATGGATCAAAGAGTGTCAAAAATTTAAAAATACACAGAACTGAATGAAAAAACCAAAGTTTGTGGGATGCAGCTAAAGCAATGTGGAGAAGCGAATGTATAGAACTGCTGACATTAGAAAAAAAGGAAAGATCTACAAACAATTTTTTAAAAAGAGCAGAATAAACCCACAGCAAACAGAAGGAAGGAAATAGTAAAGATTAGAACACAAATCACTGAAAATGAAAACTCTCAAAACTGCATATTAAAAATCAAATAATACAGCCAGGCATAGTGGCTCATGCCTGTAATCCCAGCACTTTGGGAGGCTGAGGCGGGTGGATCACCTGAGGTCAGGAGTTCAAGACCAGCCTGACCAATATGTGTGGGGAGCAGGAGCCTGTAATCCCAGCTACTTGGAAGGCTGAGGCAGGAGAATTGCTTGAACCCAGGAGGCGGAGGTTGCAGTTAGCCGAGATCATGCCACTGCGCTCCAGCCTGGGTGACAGAGCAAGGCTCCGTTTCAAAAAAAAACAAAAAAACCACAAAAATTAGCCAGGCATAGTGGTGCGCACCTGTAGTCCCAGCTACTCGGGAGGCTGAGGCAGGAGAATTGCTTGAACCTGAGAGGCAGAGGTTGCAGTGAGCCAAGACCATCACACCACTGCACTCCAGCCTGGTCGACAGAGTGAGACTCTGTATCAAAAAAAAAAAAAAAAATCAAGTAATACAATTAGAACATGGGCAAAAGATATGCACAGATACTTCAAAGAGGATATACAGATGGCACTTAAGCACATAAAAATATTCAACATAATTAGCCATTATAGAAATGTGAATTAAAACCACAATGTGGTACCACTACATACCTATCTGATTGGCTAAAATTACAAAGTGGTAACACTAAATGATGGTGACGATGTGGAAAGACTGAATCACTCATACACTGCTAGAAGAAATGTAAAACGGCACATTTCTTTGAGAAATAGTTTTAAACTGAAAAGGGGCTTACCATATGACCCACAATTGAACTGTCTTGGGTATTTATCTAGAGAACTGAAAAATTATTTTCATGCAGAAATTTGTACATGATGACCAGGTGCGGTGGCTCACACCTGTAATCCTAGCACTTTGGGAGGCCAAGGTGGGAGGATCACTTGACCCCAGGAGGTCGAGGCTGCAGTGAGCTATGATGGTACCACTGCACTCCAGCCTGGGTGATAGAGCAAGACTCCATCTCCAAAAACAAACAACAACAAAAAGAAACTTGCACATGAATGTTCATAACAGTTTTATTTGTAACATCCAAATAGGGAAAATTGTCCAAATGTCTTTGGTGGTGAATGGTTAAACAAACTGTGGTATATTCATACCATGAAATTCTACTCAGCAGTAAAAAGGAACAAACTTTTGATACATACAGTAGATTGAATTAATCTCAAAAAAATTATGCTGAGTGAAAAAGACTAATTTTAAAAAGATATAGCACTTTGGGAGGCCAAGGCGGGTGGATCACTTGAGGTCAGGAGTTTGAGACCAGCCTGGCCAACATGGTGAAACCCCATCTCTACTAAAAATACAAAAATTAGCCGGGCGTGGTGGTGGGCACCTGTAATACCAGCTACTCAGGAGGCTGAGGCAGGAGAATCGCTTGAGCCCAGGAGACAGAGGTTGCAGTGAGCTGAGATCACGCCACTGCAAAAAGGAGAACAGAGGAGAGGTTTCGAGGGGCAGGGGAGAGGAAGCCGCCGCTAGAGCTCTAAGCAAGTTATATGAGGGAGCCTTGAGGCAATGGTATACCACAGTCATGTGGTGGTGGTTACATGTGGTGGTGGCAGCTTCATGCATGATAAAATCACCTAGAACTATACACGTACACATGCAGAGAGAAAATAATGCATGTATAACTGTTGTAGTCTCATCAGTGTACCAAGATGTAATAGTCTCTTGTTGTCTGAGATAGTAGTCCCTTTACTCATGTCCAAGAGAACTAAGGACTAAACACGTTCCTTCCCCTTCCCAGTCCATAAAAACCCTAGACCCCAACCTCATAGGGGACAACCCATTCAGGCCTCACCTTCCACTACAAAAAACTTTCTTTGACTTATTAAAGTTTCACTCCACCCTTGTGTCCACACTCCTTAATTCTCTTAGATGTGAGACAAAGAACTCCAGGTACCATCTCAGACAACGACAGACTAGTACATCTTGATACATTGACAAGACTACAACATAACTGCTGAAATCTGAATAAATTGTGGATTACACCAATGTGAATTTGCTGGTTTTGATACTGTATTGTGGTTATACAAGATGTTAACACTATGGAAGGCTGACTGATGGGTACATAGGCCCTCCTTGTACAGGTCTTTGCAACTTTCTGTGACTCTATAATTATTTCAAAATAAAAAGTACACACACACACACACACACACACACACACACACACACGGTAAGGTTCTTCATGATTCCATCTCAATTTATTCCTTGGATTCACATCACTTGAGGTCACTATGGACAAAATGTTTAAAGTCTCATTTTGTGGAGAAGAGAATAAAACTATAATTGGTTGACACAGTCACCTCAGCTGTTATGGAGAGATTTTCTCGCTTATTTTCATTTTCACTCCTTGACTTGTCACTTATCAAATTAGTTAGGTGCTACTATAATTAAAATAATCCTCTTTTTAAGATGTAATATTGGATAAAAAGGTGAAAGTTTAGTGAACAAACATATTTTCAATAGTCAAAGCAAACAATGGCCTTATACTTGGATAGCTTTCAACATGACAAATCCTTTCCCAATAAAACCCACTGCTCACTGCCTAATGAAGGAAATTTCCAGTGTTTACACTGAATTTCTGTAGAGGCTTGTTTCACTTAAACATGCGCAGCCCTAGTTTCTCTGTATGGACTGAAGTTTCAGAAAAAAAAAGCCTAATTTGCTTTCATTACTTCAGATATGTTGACACCACTCTGTGCACAGGTCTATCTGTCCTGTCTGCCCGTGGACAGGAAAGAGAGGACCGAGTTATCTCACTGATTTGGTCTTCCAATGTGACTTCCAGCAAAAACTTATGAAAATGCAATAGCAGTAACACTGACATGGTACCTGCCCTCCCAACACTCTCAATCTAGTAGCAGCCTCTTGATAGGTTTAGCACTTTAGAGTTTATGTCATTTCACTTCATCTTTAATCCAACTTAAGAAGTAAGTAGTAGAAGCCCCATCTTACAGGCATCAGAGGTAAGGCTTGGAAAGGTCAAATGACTTGTCCCAGGTCATAAAATACCAGGACTTCCAACTCAAGTACAATGCTTATGCCATTATACCATGGAATTCCATCCTGTGTGAATTTAACTTACATGAATTATTATTATTATTATTATTATTATTTTGGAGACAGGGTCTGGCTCTGTCGCCTAGGCTGGAGTGCAATGGTGCAATCTTAGCTCACTGTAACCTCTGCCTCCCAGGCTCAAGCCATCCTCCCACCTCAGCTCCCCAAGTAGCTGGGACTACAGGTGCATGCCACCATACTTGACTAATTTTTTTTTAATTTTTTGTAGAGACGGGGGGGGTCTCACTTTGTTTCCTAGGCTGGTCTCGAACTCCTGAGCTCAAGGGATCCACTCACCTTGGCCTCCCAAAGTGCTGGGATTACAGGCATGAGCTACTATACCTAGCCTTACCTGACATGAGTTAAACTACGCCCACTCATAATAATGAAACAGAGACTAATAATTTAAATAGTACCATGAAACAACACTTGGCATGTATATTTCATTATGGACTGTATTTTAATCTATATTACCCATTCATACTAAGCAACAGATTTATATATACAAACCCATATATAACTGTATTTTAATCTATATTACACATTCATATTAAGCAACAGATTTATATATACAAACCCATATATAGTATATATTGTGGGTACTTTAAAGAATTTTCAGGATGATTGCAACTATTGGGATTTTTAGACTTATGAGCTTAATTTAAAATGTTGTACAAACCTTGCATAAAATGTGACTGCACTGTTCCACAACAATTCAAGAATGCAAAGTAACAGAAAACAATCAAACTGTAGGAAATCAGTCTAAACACTTTTTCTAAGAAAATCTTGCATAATATTATCTTTTTATTTTTCTTAATGCTAACTCAGAAACTAATATGTTTGTTGCAAAAAATTTGAAAAGAAAAAAATTCATAGTGAGCCATTTATATTCTGAATTTTAAAAATTATCACAAGTTTGCCTTCTTAAATATGTAACATAAACTAGTGTGACAATCTTCTTCAAGAACATTGGTAAATGCTTAGGCTTATAAAACCACATGAATAAAAAGGATTTTTTAACCTTTTCTGTAGGCGTAATTATATAGGTATCTTTTCTAAAGCATTAAGACTAAGTTTTTATAAATCAGCTTATGGACGTCTCAGGAATGTTCACACACCCAACACAGCACACCTGGTCCCTGGCTCTATTTTCTTTGTGTACTTTAGAAAGTAGCTAGGAAATTTCACTGCCCAGCACCTGACAGATGCCCTGGCTTCTGCTTCTCCTTTGGGCTAGCTTTTTCATCAATTTTCTATTGCTTTCACCCTTGGGTTCCATACAGACCTCTCCATTGTCCACAAAGCTTTGTGGTTTTAATTTTACCAACACCTTTTTTGTAGTACTCTACTAACCTCAGGTCATACTGATACTAATCCTGGCCACTGAACCAAGAGAGTAAATATGGATTTTACAATGGTGGGTCAGTTGTTCGTTACTGAACAGAGAACTCTGCGATCTTCTGGCACTGCCCTGATTTCATACAATTATATCCTTTTCAATAAAGGCAACTCTTTAAATATACAACCAAATTAATTTAATTTTTATTATTTTATAATACTTTTCATACAGAAAGCTTTTGTAAATCAGAAAAAATAATGTTTAGGCCACACACTCCAATTCTGCTAGCAAAATATGATTACTATACATGTATTTTATCTACTTGATCTGTCTATTCCAGTGGTTCTTAACCCAAGAATGCAAAACCATGTAGGCACTTATGGATGGGTTTTGGCTTGATGAAGACTACTCAGCAAAATTCACATTCTCCTCTTGTTCCTGGGCTCAAAGTGTTAGGCTACATGTCCCAGCTTCCCCTGCAGTTAGCTGTGGCCATGTGAGTTCTAGCTGAGGAATGCGAGTAGGAGTGACACCAGCCAGCACCAGGCCTGGCTGATAAAAACTTCCTGTGTGTATTCCTCCATGCTTTTTCCCTTTAGCCACGTGCATTCAGTAAATAACTAATATAGGATATATTTGTATTTTTCAGTACAAAATAATAATGCTAGCACAATGTCTTTTTTTTTTTTTTTTTTTTTTTTTTTTTTTTTTTTTTTTTTGAGACAGGATCTCACTCTGTCACCCAGGCTGCAGTGCAGTTGTATGATCTTGGCTCACTATAGCCTCAACTTCCCAGGCTCAAGCGATCCTCCCACTTCAGCCTACCAAGTAGCTAGGACTACAGGTACACATCACTGTGCCTGGCTAATTTTTGTATGTTTTGTAGAGATGGGGTTCCTCCATGTTGCCTAGGCTAGTCTATAAGTCCTGGGTTCAAGTGATCCACCCTCCTCATCCTCTCCAAGTGCTGGGATTACAGGCGTGAGCCACTGCATGCGGCAAGCACAAATGTTAATATAGCACTTTGCACCAGTGTCTGATTTTTTTTTTTTTTTTTTTGAGACGGAGTCTCGCTCTGTCGCCCAGGCTGGAGTGCAGTGGTGCGATCTCGGCTCACTGCAAGCTCCGCCTCCCGGGTTCACGCCATTCTCCTGCCTCAGCCTCCCGAGTAGCTGGGACTACAGGCGCCCGCCACCACGCCCAGCTAATTTTTATATTTTTAATAGAGACGGGTTTCACCATGTTGGCCAGGATGGTCTCGATCTCCTGACCTCGTGATCCGCCCGCCTCGGCCTCCCAAAGTGCTGGGATTACAGGCGTGAGCCACCGCGCCCGGCCAGTGCCTGATTTAAGAGCTATACATGCATTTACTCGCTTCATCTTAACAACGCTGTGAGATAGGTATGGTAGTAATATCATCCCCACTTTTTGGATGACGAAACTGAAGTTTGGGGAGGTTACGTAACTTCTATCACACAGTTAACTCGTAGCAGGTCTGGGGGTCTGGGGTTGGCACCCTGCGGTCCTGCTCCAGAGCCTGTGCACTGTGCTGTACAGCCTCTTTATATCCCAAGTCTTTCCTGGTGGTAGTGTTTCATGTTTGTGATTATGCCAAGTTAGCCTTAATGTCTATTTGGTCAGAACATCCTTACTGGCTAACAGCATCTCATTTTCAACTTTCCTAGTCTCACTGAGGTACCACAGGCCAATTCCGTACAAACTCATTCCTTAGCTGGTAGAATAGCTATCTTGGGTTTGAATTTCAAAGTCTCACGTAAGCACCCTTAATTGTTTTTTGTTAACAATTGTACCCACTGATATCAAGGAACAATCTGAGACAAAGGAAAAAGTAAACAGGGCTATTAGAAGGAATTTAATGGTTTCTTCTTCTCGCCATCTGTCTCAGAATCAGGAGGGCAAAGGCTTCGGATTGGGGCTTCTTTGTGCTGATGAGGACAGACACCCAGAGGGCAGGTCCAAGCAGCTCTCTGCCTTCCAAGGCAGGTGCGCATGAAGCAGGGATGCCCCTCGTGAAATGTCAAGGTAGAAGCAACCCATGAGGAAACTCTATCTTGGGGTCTAGTCCTGATGGATCAAGGGGTGGCCAGAAGTTTGCTCTGGGTCCCAGTTTTCAGAATATTGACGGGGATGGAGGTCCCACAATACCCACCATTCTGTGTGGTCTCCTGGCTCATCCTCTTCACATGGTCTTCAGTATGTCAGATACAATTTCTCAGATCTCTAGGTCAACCCTCAACTTATGTTTAACATTTTAAACTAACATCCTCTGCCATCAACTGAAACTGTCTCATAAGAATAAACTTATGTTAGATGAGAGAAATATATTTTTCTGATACTTAGAGGTACTTATTCTTAGAACTTTATTACTCTAATACATCATGATCTATACTGTTAAATCCAACTAAAATTTGTTCTGAGAAAGCCTTGGTATTAATACTTGCTTCCTTGAGTTCTTCAGTCTGAATTGTAACTTAACTTAGTGTGTAACAAACTGAAAACCTGAGGAGTTTCTTCTGTAACAAAAGCTGAGCCTCAGCCCATCACTCTAGCCACACTTCAACCATTGACAGGCAGCCAACTGTTCAAACTCCCTTAACATACTGGCAAAGTCAAGCTGGAACCAGTCCAGCTGTTTATGTACCTCATTTTCCTTTTTCTTTTTTTGGTCCATAAATCTTATCTGCTCATGTGGTAGCCCCAAAGTTTCTCTGAATCTGTTTTGATTCTGAAGGCTGTTCGATTTGCAAATCATTTTTTTCCTTGCTCAATTAAACTCTGTTAAATGTGTCTAAAGTTTTTCTTTCATCAGATCTGGAGTAGAAGTGAAGAGTGAAGTACAATTCCAGTGACTCCTTGGAACAGCAGGCAACGAAGCGGGGCACCTGCAGAGCCAATTGTGTGCGCTCTCTTGTTTGTAACTGGAGGTTTGTGGGTGAGTTTTCTCTCAAATCCCAAGCTCCACTGACTTGTGTTCTCAGCTCCCTGAGTTGATGTAAGCAGTATTTATACTGCACTGGGTATAGCATCAGATTGAATTTAGAAGCCCCAGACTTCAGATAAGTAACTTTTTGATAATGTGTTCATATCAATCCAAAGAATCAGAGACTGTAGCTTCTGAGACTCCAGCTAAATTTATCCGTAAAAATTATGGGTCCACAATGTACGTATTTTTGGAAAAACGGGTTAACCTTTCTGGAGACAACTTAGAATTAAGATGACCACAATAGGGAAGTTTGGTTTTTATTTTCTGTTTTTTGTTTTGCTTTGTTTTTTTGAGACGGAGTCTCGCGACGCCCAGGCTGGAATGCAATGGCACAATCTTGGCTCACTGCAACTTCCGCCTTCTGCGTTCAAGAGATTCTCCTGCCTCAGCCTCCCCAGGAGCTGGGATTACAGGCTCCCACCACCACATCCAGCTAATTTTTGTATTTTTAGTAGAGACTGGGTTTCAACATACTAGCCAGGCTGGTCTTGAACTCCTGACCTCAAGTGATCCACCTGCCTTGGCCTCCCAAAGTGCTGGGATTACAGGCGTGAGCCACCCCACCCAGCCAATAGTTAAGTTTTATTTTGGATAAGATTGTTTAGTTGGGAGGCGTATTAGAAAAAAGGGGATTTTAAAAACCCCACAAAACAATGAGATGTGTTCTTTAATTGGTATGCAAGGCATCTAAAAGGCTAAACAAATTAAAAATTGCCTCCTTAAATGATTCTTTGCAAAAAGCAAGCAAACATTTTAAACAACAGACTAAGAACATGACGAAAGAGGACTGTACTCTGAAATAACCCTGTTTCCTCTCTTTACCCATCTCTACCTAAATAATTTGCTCCACTAATCTTCTAGTCAAATTACCCTTTCACCCTTTAAAGATGACGAAAAAAGAGAAGTTGGACAGATGTCTTACAAAGTAAGAGCTTGTGATCAGCCAGGCCTTCCCGCCATAACCACCTTCACTCCATGTTCTAAAGCTGAGCTTAGAGCCATAGTAAAGGACTCCCTAGCCCAAGGGGAAGTCCTCAAAAATTTACTCATAAGAGCTTACAATCCAGGACTCCCTGACCTTTACCAGTTTATTCACATGATACTGGGACCTGTGGAAGCTTGAAAATGAGTGACAGCTGCAGAATGGAGCCAACCTGAGGAGGGTATTAAAGACCCCTCCAAAACCCCCTCACAGGAATGGCTGAAATAAGCTAGAAACATTGCCAAAATCATTTTAGATTCAATTCCTAAGATTTTTCCACACAAAAAAATTGACTGGTCCACCATACAGACAAAAGAAGTTTCGGACGACAGAACTCACTTAGAAACACTGCTTGTGAAGCATTTGGGGCTCAAAATAACAGCAAGGAATATTTCCTGCAGGAACTGCATCAACTACTCTATTTATAAATGGACTCTGTCCCAAACTTAGCAGTTTAATTAAAAAAACATAAACCTGGATGGGAAGTTACAGACATGACTGAATTGGTGGCCTTAGCTGAACATTTTGAGAGGACTCTGGAGCAAGAAAAAACCCAAAAGACTACCAAGCTTATGTCTCACCAATTACAACAGTTACAGGGGCTGAGACCAAAGGAACCTTCTTTTTTATTTTAAATCACAACCAAGAGATAGATCCTAGAACAAGAAATTCTTTTCCCCGAGATGTCTGCCTTCCTTGCAAATAAGCAGGACACTGGAAAAGAGTTGTCTGCTTCTCTGTTAGTCTACCAATAAGCCTCCTCCCATTAGGCCACACTGTTTCACCACTAAAGGAAGCCTAAGACAGATCCTGTGTCTTAAAAAAAAAAAAAAAATAGAAGCAGCAGCAGCCACCAAGTTGCTACAAGTTTCATCTGAGCTGGTTTTAGGGAATGAACTTAATTTGCAAATTCCACATGCTGTGGAAAGTCTATTAAATTCCAACCAAGCTCAGCATTTTTCAGCAAGAAAACTAACATCTTATGATCTTATGAAATTTTCTCCTGCCTCCTTCTGACCTCCATCTAAAATGCTACTCCATCTAAAACCTACTTAACCCTGCTACTCCATTACCTCTGACTGACTGTGGTAAAGATCACAATTGTGTAGGTGTAGTATCCAAACTAGTAGCCCCTTGTGTTGATTTATGAGATGCTCCATTGGATAATCCTGAGTTGATACTTTTTGTTCGTGGGTCCTATGCCAAAGTCTCAGAAGGAAAATATCAGGCAGGGTATGTTGTTACTGCCCAAAATGAGTTAATAGAGAAGGGAACTCTTCCTCAATTTAAGTCCGCTCAGCTGGCAGAGCTTTTTGCTCCCACCCAAGCTTGTCATATAGTTAAGGACACGTCAGTAAATATTTAAAAAGATAGCAGATATGCTTTTAGAGTAGTACACAATTTTGGCACATTATGGAAACAATGGGACCAGGTGCGATGGCTCATGCCTGTAATCCCAACACTTTGGGATGCCAAGGCAGGCAGACTGCTTGAGCCCAGAAGTTCAAAACCAGCCTGGGCAACATGGCAAAACCCCTTCTCTACAAATTATCTTGGCATGGTGACTTGCGCCTGTAGTCCCAGCTACTCTGGGGGCTGAGGTGGGAGGATGGGTTGAGCCTGGGAGGTCGACGCTGCAGTGAGCCATGGTCACGCCATGGCACTCCAGCCTGGGCAACAGAGAGAGACCCTGTCTAAAAAAAAAAAAAGAAAAGAAAAAAAGAAAAAGAAAAAGAAAAAAAAAGACAAATATGCATAATAAAAATTACATTATTAAAAAATAAACAATAGGGGTTTCTCACTTCTATTGGGACTCCAGTTAGATGAACTCCTTTCAGCTATCCTGTTAACACTGTTATCATCACAGATCGTTATGATTAAGATTGAAGATGATACCTGTAAAACTGAATCTGAATATCAAAGGAATGCCCTAGCCGATGTGCATGTTAAATCAGCTAGTGCTGACACTGTGAGAATATGCAATCTGAATGAACTCCATAAGACTGATCCAAATCAACTCCCATACGGTGATCTATTTAATAAACAGTGCAATGCATTTAATTTGGAAAAACAAAGTTGGTATCTAAAAAAATGTAAATTCAATGTTAAGCGTGGATTCACAAAGGGCCTGACAACCACTTGGTCCTTCCTGAGTCTTTAAAGCTTCCGTTGTTAAAAGGCCTGCACTCCACAACTCATCATGGAACACACAAAATGATCCAAATTATAAAAAAAATTGGTGAGGTATATGTTCCAAAACTGCTAAAATGGGTTACAACCAATGTTTGATTTACCAAACTCATAATCCGAGGAAAACAATAAAAACTTCAGATAGTATATTTCCACCATCTGATGGACCATTTGAACATTTACAAATGGACTTTATTCAGTTATCGCCCTTGCTGAGGTATCAGTTTTTGTAATAGTTTGTATGTTTTCTGGTCAAATCGAGTCTTTCTTTGTAGAAAAGCTGGTGCTGTGCCAGCAGCTAAGAAATTATTAGAAAATGTTTTTCCTTTATGGGGTATTCCTGGAGAAATCTCCAGCTATAGATAGGGAAACTCATTTTACTGGGTAAGTTAAAAGCAGTTAAATAAGGTGTTGTGGATGCAGTGATACTACCATTGCCTTTATCACCCTCAGTCTTCTGGAAATGAAACCACACTTGCAAAATTATAACTGAGACAGTGAAAGAGATCTGAGCTAACCAACTCCATCTTGTTTCTAACCTCCAAGCTGTCCTTGTTCATTCCTGCACATATGCTGAACTAACTTTGGGAATTACTTAGTTTATAGTTTAAAACAAAGATGCTAACAACCCTTTCCCAAAACAAACCTCCTTCTTGCCTGGGTACTAGACGGCCTTTTTAGGACTAATAAATTAGCCTGAAGATTAGAAATTGTAGTTTAGGAGTCATACAGCTGGAGGCTACAAGATTCCAACCCTCCCTAAACTGCTCCTAAGATCAGTGCTTGAGATATTTTGCAGACCCTGGATCAGCTGTCACCACCCAGATTGATAAACTGGCTCATCTGATCTTGTGGTCCCCACCCAGGAACTGACTCAGCACAAGAAGACAGCTGAGTTCTTCCACCCACCCAATTACCCTTAAAAACTCTGATCCTCGAATGCTGAGGAAACTGATTTGAGTAATAATAAAACTCCGGTCTCCCACAAAGCCAGCTCTGCGTGAATTACTCTTTCTCTATTGCAATTCCCCTGTCTTGATAAATCAGCTCTGTCTAGGCAGTGGGCAAGGGGAACCCACTGGGCAGTTACAGAAAGGCTGAAAGAACAAATGGTATCTTAAAACTGAAATTGGCAAAGTTAGCTGAGCCAATTGGGTTGTCTTGGCCAAAGGTACTACTGTTGGCATTAAATGGCAATCAGATCCACTCCCACTGGAAAACATAAGTTGGCCCCTTATGAAATAGTCACTGGAAACGTATGCCCCTAATAGTAGAACCTAATGGATGTTCCACTCTCCTAAACTCTGATATGACTAAATAACGCAAGGTTTTAATGCATTATGCCAAAGTGTATTTTTACCAGGTACAGGAAGCTTTTTGTGATCCACTGACTAAGTACAATCAAATCCTTCATGGTCTAGAGCCTGGAAATTGGGTCTTCGGGAAATAACATCAGAGGAAGACTGCCCTTGAACCCTGTTGGAAAGGACCACACCAAGTTCTTCTCACACCCACACCTGTAACCTTGGGTCCACATCTCACAACACAAAAGGGCCCCTTCAGACTCTTAGAACACCTGTTGGAGACTTTAAGGTAAAGCTGACCAGGAATACTTCTCCCCGAAAGTGGACAGCATCCTAGATGCGGACAGCTTTCCCAAGATCACAGATCAAGACTTTTCTGCCATTATGAAAGCCTTGTGCTTTTTGCTTTTTTCCTCTAATCTTTTATCCCAATACTTTCCTTTTTCCTACAGGAAAATCCATGGGACCATAATCACTAGATGGCATTAGCTCTACCTTATGTTCTAGCACAAAACCAGAGTAACTGTTGGGTTTGTGGGCAAATGCCAAAAAATCAGAAAACAATTCCATTGATGCCTCTCCATGTTCCCAATGGCAGTGATTCAAACTCCAAAGGAGGAGGGAGTGGAAACCTATCCTTGATATTCTAAAAATGACTGCTTCATTTGCTTTCCTGCACTCGCTAGAAACAGCACTTTAACTTTTCCAATGAATAACCTGGTTGTTACCAAACATAGAAAACCTATCCAAGTGATGCCTGCAAAAGGTATATTGTGCTTCTAGACATCACGCACTTGAGACCTGGGAATTAGCTATATGGATACAAGTAATTGCTTGTATAATGTTACCAGATTAAATCCAGTAGGAGGTTGGGAACAGTGGCTCATGCCTGTAATTCTAGCACTTTAGGAGGCCAAGGTGGGCAGATCACTTGAGGTCAGGAGTTCCAGACCAGCCTGGCCAACATGGTGAAACCCTGTCTCTACTAAAAATACAAAAGTTAGCCAGGTATGGTGCTGGGCGCCTGTAGTCCCAGTTACTCCAGAGCCTGGGGCAGAGAATCGCTTGAGCCCAGAGGCAGAGGTTGCAGTAAGCCGAGATCGCACCACTGCACTCCAGCCTGGGCGACACAGCAAAACTGTCTCAAAAAAAAAAAAAAAGAAAAGAAAAAAAAATCCAGTAGGGTCATTTTTTTACTAAATGTGGCTATACACCCTTACCGCATGCTATAAACGAACCCAAAAAAGTACATTACCCACTGAACTTTGTTCAGGAGCTATGCAGATTTACAGACAAATAAATTTAACTGACCCTTGCACAAATGCAACTAGGTAACCCTCTTTTCCAATCCCCATGGGCTTCTATTGGGTCTGAGGAAAATCTGCTTCCTGTCTGGTTTGGATGTTGCTATTTAGCCTGGCTCACTCCGGCCATTCAAATAGCTTCCCCTACAAATTCCCATAACAGCTCCTAGGATCAGAGGCCAAAATAATCAATAACTGAAATTACCCCCAACCTTAAAATAGATAAACTATTTTCAACTAAGAAGAAACTCCGGTGGGGCTCCTGGGGGCTCACTTTTGGCAGTAGTGGGGTATCAGTTGTATAGAATTTAAAGATAATCTGTAAATTGGGAAAAATCTTGGATTTTGTAGACAGTCAGACCTCCCAGGGGTTCAGATGGGTAGATGTCCCTCTCTGAAAGGTGGATAACAATATATGCATTCAACCAAAACACTTAATGGAACATCATGCAACTTTAGGGCTCCTTTTTGCTCTAGTTGGGGGCTTATATTTGGTACTGAGGAAAACTGAGTATCTCTCCCCTGATTTTGTTACTACAGAAGGCTTAATTTAAAAGGTAGCCTTAGATACTGCCACCAAACATACTAAGGAAATTAATCTCCTAAAAGAAGGGAACACGGCTAGGTGCAGTGGTTCACGCCTGTAATCCCAGCACTTTGGGAGGCCAAGGCAGGCAGATCACGAGGTCAGGAGATCGAGACCAACCTGGCTAACACGGTGAAACCTCGTCTCTACTAAAAATACAAAAAATTAGCCAGGTGTGGTGGCGGGTGCCTGTAGTCCCAGCTACTCGGGAGGCTGAGGCAGAAGAATGGTGTGAACCCAGGAGGTGGAGCTTGCAGTGAGCCAAGATCGCGCCATTGCACTCCAGCCTGGGGGATAAAGCGAGACTCCATCTCCAAAAAAAAAAAAAAGAAAAGAAAAGAAAAAGCAACTGATGTGTTTATGAGAGCAACTAACAGTTGGTCTGCAGGCATCCTCAATGGTGGATGGCAAGCTTGGGTTTTCCAAGGTTTTGTCATCTTTAAATATATTCTAGGTATGTCTCCGGGTTATTATGACTTGTGTTACCAGGCTAACAATGAAAATGAATACCTCTTTCAATCAGGCCATTATACAAGCAACTGTGGTCCTTAATCACCATCAGACCCTGAACAAGGACTATGACCAATTAGACTCAAATACTGTTGAACTGCCTATATTGCCTCAATTGTGACTTGTTTCATTTGGTTTGGTTTGTTTCATAAGAATGCTTGTGAACTCCTTGCTCTTTTGATATCATCCTCTTGGAAGTCATCATAATAGTAACTCTGGTGCCTTGTGTCTTCTCACGTCTTAAATGTTTTGTATGCAGCTATCTATTGAGTGTTGAATGGTCTCACTTCAACTAGGTAAGTAAGAAAGAATTATTCAGCTAGTTTCACATTGTCATCTGTGAATTCCATACTCAGAACAAAGGAGTCATTTACAACTGTAATGAGAGTGGTGCCCATGCTCAGAATTTAGGTTAATCTCTCAAAACTGAGAGGCCGACCAAACAGGTGGAATTCTGAAATCAAACTAAAATTTAGCCTGAGAAAGCATACGTACTCACCTACTTCAGTTCTTAGAAATGAACTACAATCTTAGTACATAACAAACTGAAAACGTAACTGAGGAGTGTGCTTCTATAACAATGGCTCAGCCAACCACTCCAGCCTTACTTCAACCACTCACAGGTGGCCAACTATTCAAACTGTCTTCAAATAAGGCAAAGGTCGAGGTATAAACCAATTCAGCTGTTTCTCTACCTTACTTCTGTTTTCTGTGTATCACTTTCCTTTTTCTGGTCCATAAATCTTATCTGACCATGTGGCAGCCCAAGTCTCTGAATCCATTTTGACTCTGGGAGCTGCCTGATTTCATGAGTCTTTTTTTTTTTTTTTTTTTTTTTTTCTTGCTCAATTAAACTCTGTTAAATTTAATTTGTCTAAGTTTTTATTTTAACAAGACATATAAACAGTACTTTCATACCATTCTTTAACTGGAAGTGAAGTAATTAAAAATCATGTGGGTGAAAAAACATGGACCCTGGGTTGAAAAATAACCCCCAACACAACTCACTGCTTTAACACCCTAAAGGGTAGCAGAAAGGCTACTGATTTTACCTATCAAAGAAAATTGGAAAGATAAGGCTAAATCTTGAGACTATTAATAAATAAAATCTTAATGCATACTTCATAAAACTTCCAATTACTGGCAGCCTATTTTCCCACCTTTGGCCTGGGAAATATTTCCAGAGGAATTCTTCAGCCAAGAATCCATCCTTGAGCCCCTTACACAGGTGAAAGGCATGCATTCATGTTTGGCAGGATATTATAAATAATATAGTTGCCTTGTTAAAAAATAAATAAGGAAATACTGATTAAAATGTCAATTCAGCAAAGCAAGTCTGCCTTCTGTATCTTGGAATAATTTAAGGCTCAAATCTTCTGAATGCCTTTCTGGACTGTTCAAAATATGTAGAGATTTCCGTCTCTGGTTTTTGAGTCGTAGCATGTGTTATTGGGAATTGGAAGAACTTTTCTGTGGCTCCTGCCTTCATCACACTGAGTTCCTAGTGGGTTGGGACCAAGCCATATTTCTTCTGGCCTTTAACAAGAAATAAAAAATAAAATAAAATTTAAAAAAAGAAAAAGGGAAGAAATCAAAACAATAATTCTTTTAAAAAAAGCATCCGCATACCTTAGGACACAGTGAGTTCTTTGAAACCAAATGGAAGCAGAATTACTGCCCAATCTGCTAAGTGTGTCACGGATTGATGAGTCAACATTTCAAAAGTGCTTGAAAGTTCTTAGATGAAAGACCACAGATCTGTATAAAGTATTATCATTATAAAAATAACTCGATTTTCCTGTGGCTTTTTTTTTAAAGGAATGTTCTTTTAGATGCTGTTTGTAACCAACTTTCTCTTTAAAAAATAATAAAAACCTCTGAAAGTGGGATATTCTTGTAGAAAAATATTAAATCATTAGTACTTTTCCTGGATTAAAAAAGGGAGTGGAGACTGAGCAATGCCTTTGAGAACACTCACAGTGCTGCCTGGTATATAACATTGGAGAACTGTATAATGCTTTTTGAAAAATTTATAATCATATCTAATGACTCATTAAATACAAAAATTTCTAATCACATTTTTATTTTTTCAATTCAATATTAAAGTGAACCCATATTTCTCCATGATCACAAAATAAAACATAGTTATTTCTAATATACTTTACATGTTTCCTATCATTCTTCCTTTTTTGTGTGTATACATCCCAGGTATACACAAAAAGGAATGTACTCAATAAACTACTAATAGTTTATTCATCCTCCATTGAGAGAAGATGTATAATCTTCTCACTTTACTGTGTGTAGTGGCTATAACTTGACTAAACATGTCAGCAATATATATCATTTACTGAAACTTCTACTACCTGAAAATTTGTATAGCATCTTGATGAAACAAAGAATAAGACAATATCATATCAAAGAAGTTGCTTGAAAAAATATTAAGCATTCGGTCACTCTTTGTTCAATCAATATATTAAATATGTAAACATAATAAACCAAAGGAAACTAAATTTGTTCTTTAAGGTCTACAAATAACTGCTCAGATTCTTCAGGTTGATTCATAATTTCTCATGAATAAACCAGATACAAAGGAAGGGAGAAATGATGTGAAGGCAGCAGTTTCCCTCTTCTGTCTCTTCTTTGAATCTGTGCAAAGTCCCCAGCTCCTTCTCAGAGTTATCTCCTAACCACTCATGCAACTGTTATTTATCAAGTTATGCTCTGGCTCCAAAGATGTCAGGTGCTTCCCAACATAATAAGATAAGGACCACACCACATATTTGTTAATTCCAAAGAATTCTGGAATCAGGACTTTCAAATTATATTCTTGGTCAAAAGGTATAACACTGTCTTTCGTAGTCTTTGAAGTAAGACAAGTAAAAATAGAAGCTTGGGGAAAGCATTCAAGTATTTTATCTGGGAGGTTTCTCCTAAATTTCCTTTGGCCATGAATCCAAAGCATTTCTGACAGATAACTGGACTAGAAACAATGCCCCTGGAAACCATCAGCCAGTATTCCCACCCATTAATTAGGTGATTCATTTTCAGTTTTTTCCTCCCTGTTTTTTTTCCCCTCATATCCTTTCCCCACCCTTTCCTTGTTGCCTTCTCTTTGGATCATCGGCTCCTCTGCTATCCGCCTCAACCTATTTATTTGTGTTATACTTCACTGCCCCTGGATATATTTCCTTTCCTTATTGCCTCTCCTGGACTCTGGGTTCCTCTTTGACAAATCTTCCTGCCTGGCTACTTAACCTGCCAGTAAAGACCTTAACCCTCTTGTGAGTGAGAAAGCTCTCTGGATGCCTCCCGTGACTGCCCCGACTTCCAGTGATTTTTATTTTCCTTAAAGTTTTAAGGCACCAATGATTGCACTTAATGGCTGTTTGTTCATCTTTCACGTCTTTTCTTTCCAAATGAGTAGGCAGCTACTTGAGAAGAGGAAATATTTTATCTAGCTCTTGGAAAATATACCATCCATATAAATGTAATGAAGCATTCACAAACTGAGCAGGATGGTGCACACATCTCACCGAGTAAGTTATTGCCTCATTTGGGGATAACAGGATTTGAGGTTAAAGGAGTTTTAGATATTAAAGTCTTTTACTGAAGAATATAGGAGACACGGTGGTATGAGAAGCTCACTGATGGAACATAGAACTTTTGCCTTAAAGAGGCATGTCTGCTGCTTGTTGAGTTAATGATCCAGAATCATGTGGGACTTGGGTTTTGAAATCCCTCCTAGGGGTTCTGAGAACATGCACTCATGAGCCCCGGGTTTGGGCCCATTTTTGCCATGTAATTCTCTGAGTAGCGATGTAAGGCAACCTTTCTTGGCCTGTTTCCGCCTCTGTAAAATGAGGGGTTAGACAGATGACCTTTAAAAACCAACCAACCAAAAGAAAAACACGACTGAAGAATGACTACTGCCCCCGTTTAGATCTCTGCCAGAGTGCGTGATGGTTCGCCCTGCCATCGATCCATTTTAAACACACGCCTCACTTGTAGGATCACTTATTCATATACCCAGAAAAACTCATCCCAAAAAGACCTGGGGGAGGAAAGTGACACGGAAATTCTAGACACTACTTTTGCTGACTCTAGAACCATATGTTTCCTATAGGTGTCTTGCTGAGCTAGAAAAAACTAGGAGGAAAATTTCGTCTTTTTTTTCTTCTTTGAGACAGGGTCTCCCTCTGTTGCCCAGGCTGGAGTGCAGTGGCACAATCAGGGCTCACTGCTGCTTCGACCTCCCCAAGCTCAGATGATCCTCCCACCTCAGCCTCCCGAGTAGCTGGGACTACAAGCACACACAAACATGCCTGGTTAACTTTAGTATTTTGTATAGAGACAGGGTTTTGCCATGTTGCCTAGGCTGGTTTCAAACTCCTGGGCTCAAGTGATCCACTGGCCTCAGCCTCTGAAAGTGCTGGGATTACAGGCGTGAACCACCATGCCCAGCCCATATTTCTTGTTACTTTGATGAATGAGATGCAAGATAGGAAAAAAAAAATTAACCAAACTTCAGTACCAATAAATATCAGATAGGCAAAATACTTTTAAGTCTGTAACAATCAAGTTGATAAGAGGTTGCAGAAATTCAAGTGTGCTGGAATGCCAATCTGACACTCCAACATTAGTAAAACCAAAAACAGCACATGCTGAGCTACTTTCTTCAATCAGACAATCTCTGTGGTAAAGGAAATGGGATCAAAATATCAAGATGAGCATGCCATTGGCTTGAGGTATGTGTCAGATTTATTGTGGCCAAGAAGATTAAAATCAGCCACCATTACGCAGGGTGGTATGTCCCGCACTCAGATGTCAGGAAGTCTGAAAATCATGTGATCAAACCAGAGAGGTTCCTGGGTAGATGATAAATAAAAGACATGTTTAAAACAGAGGCCTGTAGATAAAGTGATCACTTGAGTGGTGGCATTACCTGTGCCTGTGGTTAAGAGAGCAAAGCTAAAGATAGCAAGTTGAATCAAGGTCATATGAAAGGATATAATAAGAGTGAGTAGAAAGGCTGCTGACACAGGCTCAAAAATATGGTGTCAGGGTGGGGCATCAGAATGCCCTCCAGGCTACAGACCTTTGCAGAGAATGGAACTGGGAGTCGCGCCTGCGCCCACACCCACATTAGGAAGAGTGGAGGAGGAGGGCTGAAAAAGGAGTGGAAAGAAAGAGGAACAGCCCACATGTGCACTACTTTACTGCTGAGGGAGCGGACAATGGCCTAGTCCAATCAGGGCAGAGAGAGGAGGGCAGCAGCCCGAACACCCTTATGAAGGCCAGCCAGACACAGACAGACCTCAAGTAGGGCAGCGATCCTTTGAAGCCAAAGGCAGGTCTATAAAAACCCAAAAGATAGTGACTTTAATTTTTCTGGCTCTTCCTTAGAAACCACATAACCACTAACATTTTACTACTTTTCCCACTTGGCCGACCCAGATCCAACTTATATCTTCACTATCCGCAAATGTCACAGCGTACATCTAGTCATCACCTGGCACCAGGCACCAGTGGTGACCCCTGCCTGAGACAAGGCTGGCTCACTGCTAAACTGTAGCATCAGCAAGCTTGGCTTACTGGAATATGTGCAGTCCTGCCTCTGTAGCCTCTGGGTTCAAATACCAGCCTTCCCATCACCAAATCTGGGACCTTGAGGGAACTTTGTGTCTAAACTTCTCATTTATAAAATAAAACAAATACCTATCATTTGGGGTTGTTGTGAGGACTGAATGGGATTTGAATGTATGTAAGCCACTCAGCATCTGCCAGACAGACTGGTAGTCTAGAAATGAAAATGATTATTATTAATTCTCGATACTCTTCTCCTTAAAAAAATTCATGTTTTGACTGCCCCCCTTCCCTTTTAAAATAATTAATGTCTTCAGCTGGGCGCGGTGGCTCACGCCTCTAATCCCAACACTTTGGGAGGCGGAGGCGGGCAGATCACCTGAGGTCAGGAGTTCGAGACAAGCCTGGCTAACATGGTGAAACCCCGTTTCTACTAAAAATACAAAAAATTAGCCAGGCATGGTGGCGTGTGCCTATAATCCTAGCTACTTGGGAGGTTGAGGCAGGAGAATCGCTTGAACCCAGGAGGCGGAGGTTGCAGTGAGCCGAGATCGCACCATTGCATTCCAGCTTAGGCAATAAGAACGAAACTCTTTCTCAAAAAAAAAAAAAAAAAAAAAAAAAAAAAAAAAATTCATGGCTTCTATTCCTCCCTCTCCTGCCTGAGGACGAAGTGCCCAATCATGTTCCATCTTTCCTATTAGGGGAGAAATCAATTTGATAATGCCACTCCTATCAAAGGGTCACACTTAATATTACAAACTGTAAAAAGTAATGAGTATAATGAGATTGGGCAATGATTACCTAAAGGAAAAATCTGTGGAGAGAGATTCACAGCAGATACGCTGTACTCAGATGACATTCTACAGATAAGTAATCATTCATTCTGCTTCTGGGTAACACGAGCCGTATCTGGCTTTGATTCTATATTTCTACAGGCTTCCTTTTACACTAATTCAATTTCATTTGAAGGTAAATGGTCTAACCCAAAAAACATTACCAACCCCATTCTATGTGGGCTGTGCCATCCCACAGCAATTGATTGCCAAGAGACACTAGTAAACTTTTCCAGCCCACATTCCGCCCAGACAATGGGCTGAGTGGAAACTCAATACAACAGATAAGGGTTGATGACTCAAGTCTCCAAACAAATTTTTGGTTAAATACAGCCTCAAAAGCTAATCACTACATGCACCCCACCCAAGCTAGAAATAGGGCATTCACTAACAGTCAACAACTTAAAGGATCAAAAACTTGGAACTTCAGACACATAAAATTAAACTGGACACAAAGGCTATTGCCACAGCAACATGGACAAATTTTTAAAACATACAGCAAATGTCTTTATTTTTATTTATTTTTTATTTTTATTTTTTGAGACGGAGTCTTGCTCTGTCACCCAGGTTTGAGTGAAGTGGCGCAGTCTTGGCTCACTGCAGCCTCTGCCTCCCAGGTTCCAGGGATTATCTTGCCTCAGCCTCCCAAGTAGCTGGAATTACAGGTACACACCACCATGCCCAGCTAATTTTTGTATTTTTAGTAGAGAAGGGGTTTCACCATGCTGGCCAGGCTGGTCTCGAACTCCTGACCTCAAGTGATCCACCTGCACTGGCCTCCCAAAGTGCTGGGATTATAGGCGAGAGCCCCCATGCCTGGCCAAAAACATACAGTAAACGTTTTGAGAGGAAAAAACAAGCTGCAGGTTCCTAATGACACTGTCCACATTAAGTTTTAAAATATGGCAAGCAATACTAAATACATTCCGAATACACATGAAGTAAAATAATAAAGATACACATGAGAATAGAAAATTATAGTGGTTGCTGGGAGAGGGGCAGGGAAAGGAATGAAATCAGGGAAGGTAACATAGGGAGCTTCCACTGCATTGGCCTGTGTAGTCACAAGGCCCCACTCATCCCACACTTGGTTTAATGATCTGCTGTCACTGTCTTGAAACTCCTGTTAATGTTATCTTTGGACCTACGCTTTGTAAGTGAAATCTGATGCAGCAATGGAGCATGCATGGGAGCAAAGAAGCTTGGTGCAAAATGAAAATATGGGACACACAAATTATGTGTGTCTGCCACCATTTCTCACCACCTCATCCATACTAGCAGTCAAAATGCCCATGAACAAAGAATTCCAGTGGACCCTCAATGCACGGGAATTCGGTGAGACTCAAAGTGAGTACAAGGTAGCCGTGTTACATCTAAAATTGAAGAAAATAGATGTTCTCAAGTCAGCAAGCACAGTCCTTGAGATCAAGTGATTTGCAGGTATGATTACTCCCAGACAACTGCCTTCCCCAAACTGGTGAACTGCACTATTTCTGGTACATCTCAGTCTGGAAAGAAGAGGAAGTCACCTGTGGCCTCCAAGCTGCTTTACTAGGGAATGAGTGACACAGGCCTGCTATCCCAGTTGTTATGACCATTCGTGCTAAAGCAGCCTAGGAATTAGTAATTTTGGTCAGTTGTTTTAGTCAGCATTGGATTCGTTCATTTGCAGCTTTGGAATTTTTCTTAGTCATCAACAAATCTTTAAATTGGTGGTCACTGTCTGTAGGCAAATCTCCAGAGTGTTCTGTCAGAATGGAAAACAGCCAGGGGAGCATGGGTTGAGAAAACAGGAAGGATTTATATTATAAACATGTTACTCTGTCCGGCCTCTCATTTTCCTGGCTGGTCTGAAGTTATAGCTTTATTTGATACTTTGACATGGTTGAAATGAAAGGCAACTGGCTTAAATTACCTCGTTACAGGGAAGTGACTGCACCAGTATATAAGAAGCCAGGTTTATTCACCAAGAAATGTTCCCTGATATTCCGAATCAGAACAGATCCTATCAGGGCTGGGAAGACTTTCTGAAGAATGATAAGGGGTGCTGACTACAGTTTCATTCTAACTTCAGGCCAAGGTGTTTGCAAAGGGAGCATTCAGCTATCCTGGCTAGAAAACTAGGTGTCTTCCAGTCAGGAAAAGAGTCTGACAGAATAAGAAATCAGAAAGAAAAGCAAATCTACTCTTCAGTGTATGAGGTGAATGTTATCACTGTTTTAATGTACATTCAAATAATATGGGCTACGCAAAGTAGGAAGAATGCCTCAGATACAGTATTTTCTTTCCCTCTGTGAATCGTGTGGAACAGGCAGACTTATACGTGGACTGCTGAGGCTGACACTGAAGTGACCTCTGAAAGCAAACAGGCCAGGGAAACTGTTACGTAAACTGAAATGACTAGACATTCCAGGCCACCTCGGCCGAGAGTGGGCCGTGCTGACTACAGCCTGGTACCTGGAAATAGCAAGTACTTCTAAACAGAAAGGGGATAAATGCAAATCTTCTGTGATTTTACATTAAGCGTTGTATAAAATTTTGTTAAGTGAAGGAAATCTAAAACACTTCAAAATTTCAGAGAAAAGCTTTATAAACTTGATAGGTAATAACAGAAAGGCTTTGCTGTTTCAAATCTGAATGGTAGGAAGTAAATTTAATCAAAATAGCAGGCAGCAGACTGAAAAGTATATAATACAATATGGACTAATGTGTCATTAGCTCATCTTCACTGCAATGAGATTAGCTTCCCATAGCATCATAATTAGATCTTGGAATTTTGCTGGGTTAGATTTATGTCCAAATGACATACAGCCAGAAATAAGTTTCATGCATTTCACACCAACATTTTGACTTATTTTAAATAAGGCTGCTATTAAAAAATCCTCACATTTTATAAACTGATTATGAGTCACCAAACTCTTCAAAATCCCTTAAGTAAACAGTCTAAAAAATCCAATTTGAACACTGGTTACATTGATGCTGGCTGTATTTTTAATCAACCAATAAGCTTTATTTGTAAAACCAAAGATTTGGTTTGAAAAAGACTTATATTTGATGTACTTCACACCAAAAATTTCCATATTCAAATAAATTGTTTTTATAAAAATCCTACAATTCTATATACTGATTGAAATCATCAATCTCTTCTAATGCCTTTTCTTAAAGTAAACAATCTAAAATTTTGAAAGGTAGCTTCCTTGATGCTTGAAGCTACCTTCAAATTTTAGATTTTACATGTAAAGCCTATTAGTTTATTAAAAACATTATTATGATTAGTTTTTAATGAACTAGTAGACATCATTTGTAAAATTTAAAGTTTGGTTTCCAAATGCCAGGAGGCCTGGGTAGAATCATCAGAGAGGAGTCCTGTATTTCCTTTGTGCATGAGAGTTAATAGGATTAGGGCTGGAAGAATTGAATAAACCCTGAGCTGGTTAAGATGGATGTATCACATTTCAGAGTCCCCATTTCATAACCGGCATGCCCCACATTTCACAAAATAAAACACGCTGGTGAGCTTATTTAAATGATTCTTCAGAAATACACTGATTTCAGAAACTTGAAAAGGGCACGCATGTCCATCTCCCCCTTGAGCCACATGGCTCTTTGTGTGCTCGGCCCTCCTGGCTTCAGGCCGACTCCTGCTTCCCAGTCAGTGACTCCTTGCTACGGTCTGGTTACATGGAAAAAGAGAATAAAGACTTTTGTGTTCGGAGAATTTCTGTACGTAAATTAATAGTTTCTAATTTTCACAATGATGCCATTTGCAATGGCCCTCATCTCTGTAAATGTAGCAAATCTGAGTTAAAATGCCAAAGACCTGTTACCTTCCTCTAGATCCTGTCATGGAACAGGGGTCTGCTGCTTTCTGCTATCAAGGTGGTTATTATCAAGTATAATTTGCGGTTGGAAATGTTTGGCATTCCTGTCTAGCAGTAGCCCAGATTGTTTAGAATAGATTTTTACATAAGAGTTCCAACATCTGTCTGTTTTAGGTCAGATTTCTGTGAGAACCTATGCATATAGTCTCTAAACATATGCAGCTGTCCAAGATTAAACAGGAATGGTTTCTTGCATTACAGTGACAACAAAGGGTCAAGTTTAAATTAAGAATATAAAAATAAGGCTAAGAATGGTAAGCAAAAGGCATTTCCACCCTACAAAATGCCAAGTAATGTTACCAATTAAAAGTGGGCTTGAAAGCAGTTTAAGCCCTAGCCTAGCAAAAGACTCACTAATCAGCAATTTATAACACCAATATGCCTATGGACTGAAATGCAGCATTTCAATTTCATTACAGATTCCTTTCATTTGTAATTCCTGTTACAGAAATCAGTTCGTTTGAAGTGAAGAGTGGTTATTAAATAAAAGCTGTATATAAAACTGTGAAGAAACTTAACATCAAATTTTGGAAAGGAAGTAAAAAAAGAATTAAAACAAGCTGCGATGCTCTTAACAAAGACACACAAAACCTGTTACTAGGAGAGTCGTTTGGTCAAATTTCCTGTTTTTTCCTAAGTCCTCATTTGTTTTAAATATGTCGTCAGCACAGAGTTTATTGCTGTTGATTAACGTTTCTACATGTAAAATCCAGAACCATTCTCTAGGATTTCTTATTTAAAGATATTCCAAACAATGCAGATTCCCTTTTTTCTCCAGATTCTGGTCTTCATCATAGTTAGGAGATGATAAACCATGGATTTAAATAGCTGAAAATTAGTGTTAGACACTAGAAAATTACTCGAGTGTGTGTTAATGAAGGAGTCGTAAAATGAAGATTGTATAAAATAGCTCCTTAACCCTAAGCAATTTTAGTACAAGACTCCAGAAATCAGCGTGGAGTGTTAAAAAGTACATCAAATCAAAGCCACACAAGTGTTGCTGATGGCTCTTTGTTTTACTCACATTTTAAAAAAATCTCTCCTGCAAAGACAGATCTGGCTCTAACAGCAACCTATTATAAAATTAAAATAACTGAATTATACTGTTGTGTATGAAATGCAGGAAAATAAAAATTCCTACCTTGGGAAAAAAGTATAAAACATTAATATTTTTCTAAGTATTTTATAAATTACATTGCTTTATTAAACACATACCATTAGAAGTCTCTTCTATTACTGACAACACTTTTCTTAATGGTCTTTACATGTTTAAATAAATGGCTCCTGAAAATGTGCATTCATATTATATAAATAAAACCTTAATTAATATAAACATACCCAGATATAAACTTTTTAGAAATGTCAGCGTAAAACTTTCCAGTCTAAATAAATCCTCTTATGAATGGTCCAGCAAAGCAATTTTTAACGCATTTTTTTCCCCTCTAAAAAACTCATAGAGATTTACTGGCACAATCCAAAAGAGAAACCAAAATAGCTTTGATGAAGACTGAATGTCTCATTCATATAATAAGCAACTGAGTAATAGCCAATAAATGGAAAAGTTTTTAAACCAAGACCATGTGACTTTTTTCATATAGTACTTACTATTATCTCATAATTATTTCGTTCATTTATTTGTCCTCCTGTGTATTGTCTCCCCATGCTGAATTGTCATCTTTCTGAGAGTAAAGGCCATATCAGTCTTTTCTCTGTTCTATCTCTAATAATTACCACAGAACATAGCAGATGCAAAAAGTGGCTCACTGAGGAATTCATAAAGGGTCTGATAAGGCTAAAAAGACAGTTATTTCAGCATACCTTATTTCATCCAAATTGGCCCATGTGTGGGAGTATCCAGCTATTTTCCCCCTTCTTCCTCAGTACCCCCAAGTTTCCACTGAATACATGGCTATCTAGAATGAAGCCTGTATTCTCCAACCTCCCTTGCAGCTAAGTGTCACTAGGTTTGAACTGGTAAGATGCAAGCGAAAGTATTCTGCAGCAGCTTCTGGGAAAGCTCCTTGAAGGACAGTTGGTGCAGGCCTTTCACTCTTTCTTCTTCCTCCTTTCCTCCTTCCTGCTGCCTACAATGTGCATACACATACACTTGCTGCATTTCCAAAAGCTATTATGTACTATGAGTTGACCCTGAGAATGAAAATCATATGCTATGGCCAGGCGTGGTGGCTCACGTCTGTAATCCCAGCACTTTGGGAGGCCGAGGCGGGTGGATCACTTGAGGCCAGGAGTTCAAGACTAGCCTGGCCAACATGGCAAAACCCTGTCTCTACTAAAAATTCAAAAATTAGCTGGGCGTTGTGGCATGCACCTGTAATCCCAACACTTTGGGAGGCCATGCAGGCGGATCACCTGAGGTTAGGAGTTTGAGACCAGCCTAGCCAACATGGCAAAACCCCATCTCTACTAAAAATATAAAAAATTAGCCAGGCGTGGTGGTGGGCGCCTGTAGTCCCAGCTATTCGGGAGGCTGAGGCAGGAGAATGGCATGAACCCAGGAGGCAGAGCTGGCAGTGAGCCGAGACCACGCCACTGCACTCCAGCCTGGGTGACAGAGCGAGACTCCGTCTCAAAAAAAAAAAAAAAAAAGAGAAAAAGAGAAAGAAGAGGGAAACAGAGAGAGGAGAGGGGAGGGGAGGGGAAGAGAGGGGAGAGGAGAGAAAGAAATCATAGGCTAGGATGGTAGAGCAGCAGGAGAGAAGCGAGAAGCAGCCCCGGTTCCCACTCCACCCTGGCCTCTCTACCTGTGCCCTTGTTTCATATGGGGAAAGAAGGAAACTTCTGTCTTACCTAAGTCATTATTTCAAGTGTTCTGTCACGCACAACCAAATTAAATCTTGCCATTATGCTTTTGAAAATAATTTGGAAAACAAGTCCATGTAGACTTTATGTGTGTCTTTTTAAACCTATTACTCGACGAACACACTGAAACTCTTTTCTAGTGAATGATCAAGTATTTGTGCGCATATACTTTGTCCCGAGAATTAAGCCTAACACTATGAGAGAATATAAAGAAGTCCAAGACGGAGTTCTTGTCCTTAGGAAGTTAGTGAGTTTGCCACTGAGAAAGGACAAACACGCACCACCTATCCTCTCTCCCAACACATCCACCCAGAGGAAACAACATGAGGCAACAAAGTGCAAAACTGTGCAGTGTGATTGCAAGTGGGGATGGAATCCAGAAACCAAAAACAGGGAGGACGGAGACTCTGGGAGAAGGTTCCAGGGAGGCGCTGGCCCTTAAGGTGGGCCTTGCAGGAGGGGCAGAACCTGGAGATGCAGTGGAAACTGGCTGAGCATCCTCAAGGGTGGGGACCAGTCGCAGGCAAACCGCTGTTTCAGTAATGAACAGAGCATGTTCAAGGAGACTGGAAGGAGGTCAACCAGACGTGTGGCCTCTGGAAACAGAGCCCTCCCTTTTCTCAGGACATGGTTTCTCAGCCTTGAAAAAGAGTCCCTTTAAAGGATGATTTACCTCCCCATTCACCCCACATCTGAGAGATCAATCTGTGCTCCAGATCCTCCCTGCCATGCATCTAACAGGCTTGACATTGCTCAGACATCCCTGAGCATCGCCCTGAGGTATGCCTGAGGCCCAAGAACACTGTTTTTCTGTGGGGGTCCTGCTCAGCCAGCCCAGTGACTTTGAAAGAAACGTCCTTTTTACTATGCAACAGGCACATGTGAAGTCTCACTCACATACTCTGATGAGGTGTTTCAAGTTAAACTGTTAGGTAGAGGTGGTGTGCTCTGCTTCCTATGTTGTGAAATAGTAATAAACCAACAGAATGACTGGTCATTGCTTCCAAAGAGGAGGCCAGGGAATTTAATCACTCACAAACTAGCCACGATCACAGGATGAAGCAACTTTCCTAGTAAGCTGCTTTTCATAAACAAAGCCGTTGTTGAGTTTTTAAAATCCAACCAAACAACAAACAACTCTGAGGACAAGAAGAGCACCGTCTAGCCTCATGAAAGACGTAGTGCAGCCTTCACTCGCAGAACGTGCTTCAGAAGAGCAGGTCCTACAGAAGCACGGAGGACCCGACCCATGCAGTTACAGGGAGGATGGCTGTGGAATCCAGGCTGCACCAGGTGTACTACTCGTCAAGCACTGGCTGATGAGAGGGCCTGCACATTCAGTGGTTTTATATCGGGGGTTGGGAACAGTAAATAACATCTCTGGGATCTAGTCTAAGACAAATGAAACCAAATGACTCTTTTTCCAAAAATGGGCCTAAAACAGCTCATGGGAACCACCCCTGGCAGCCTGGTGGAGCAGGAAAGCACAGGCCAGGTGTGAAGAGACCTGAGTGCCAGCTTGGCTCTGTTGTCATGGAAGTCGTTGTTGACCTTGGTTGCTTAATCTGTAAATTAAGGGAGTTCAACTGGAGATGACCCATCCCTGATACTCATTGTGGCACTAATGATGACTCTGTGTCAGTAACAGATGAATACACAGGAAAGAACCAGTATATGTTTCTCTCTTCATCTTCTTTTCTGCCCATCACCATTTCTCCATATGCCCCCACATCATATTAATTTGCCAATTAATAAACAGCCATCCTCAGTTGCAATGTCATCTGAAGCTCAGTGGATTTCATGCTTGTTTGGTGACAGCAGCTGCTGCTGCTGCCCTCAAACCACATCCTTCCCCTTCGTCATGAAGCCTCCTCGAGAGCCACAATTTGCCTTGGCCAGAGCTCCCCGTACGTCAGCTTCCACCAGAAACTGCCATCCATATGCAGAGTTCTGGTTCATCAGCCCCTCTGAAGCAGATCCAGCTGGCCACAGTGGATTCCAGGTGGTCAAGACCAAAGAATCTCATAGCATTGTCAGCACACTGAAGCTGAAAGAAACCGCAAAAAGCACCGAATCTGACTGCCCCCAATTTGTAGATGAGGACACTGATGCCCTAAGAGGTTTATTTATCTAACATGGACTAGCCAGAGCTAGAACCCAAGTCTCCTGACTCAACGGTCAATTATGACTTTGAAATGGACAGAATTAGAAGCTACTAAAATCTACTATTTATGGTGTGCTCTGTGTCAGGCACTGTGCTAAGTGGCTTCTTAAACCTGACATGTACAGAGAACTCAGAATCTTTTCTCCTAATCTGCTCCTCTTCCTGTCCTCCCCACATTAGTCAATGGAGCACCCATCCATCCAGCGGCTTCTGCCAGAAACTCGGGAGTCACCCTTGACATCTCCCTCTTCCTCATCATCTCCCCATATAAAACTCTCAAGTCCTGCATTCTCCAGAGCATATCTTGGAACTCTCCAATTTTCCCCACCAGCACCCTCTCCACCCAGGTCTAAGCCACCTTCATCTCCTGCCTGGATTGCGGCCACACATCATCTCATCTCACCATTCCACTGCCACTACTCCTGTCGCTTCATTCTAGAACCAGAAACCTGAGCAATCTTGTCAAAACATAAGCCAGGTCACGACCTGCCCACCCCGTCCCCACCCTTGCCACTGCTTAAACCTGCTGGGCTTCCCAATACGCTCAGAATGAAGCTCAGATTTATATGAGGCCCTGCTTGGTCTGACGCCCTTATGATGCTGCCAATCTCATTTCACGCCAATCTTCCCATAGGTCACTAAATTCCATGAACACTTCTTTCGGGTCCTCCAAAGTTCCAAGTTGCTTCCAATCACAGCCTGTCCTCCTGTATAATATGCCCTTCTTCCTACTCCTGGCCTGGCTCACGTTCCACTGCCCTTCAGGTTTCAGCTTCTACATCACTGCCTCAGAGGCACCTGCCCCAAGGCCCTGCCAGGAGTGTTTCCTCTAACCCTGCATTCCTCCCACACAGGACTGACCAGTTTGTCGTACTCCATTTTTGAGAATATTTGTTTAATAACTATCTATCTCCCCAACCAGACTATAAGCCCCTTGAAGACAGGGACTGTCTCTATTTGTTCATCACTGTAGCCGAAGAATTTAGTGTTCAGTACATAGGACGCCCTAAATAAGTGTCTGCTGAATTTATTTATCAATTAGTTTACAGAAAACTTGAGTATAATAGTGCCTGTCATTTACAGATGAGCAAACAAAAGCATAAAGAACTTAAGCAATATGCCCAAGACCTAGAATAAGTAAGTAGCACAGAAGAGATTCCAACACAGGTTAGCTGACCCCAAAGCCCATGCCCTTAACTCAGATCACACCAGGATGGAATAGGCTGAGAGAAGATATAAGAGGCAGTAAGCCTTGATGCTTACTTGATTCATATGGAACAAATAGAGTCTGTGAAAGGCTGAAAAACAGCTCCCCAAAAGATATTCATATCCTAATTCCTGGAACTGTGAATGTTACCTTCTATGGGAAAAAAAGAAAAGCAAGCATGGGTCTTTGCAGATGTAATGAAGTTAATAAGGATCTTGAGTTAGTCAGATTATCCTAGATTATCTGCATGGGCCCTAAATGCAATCACACATGTCCTTGTAAGAGGCAGGCAAAGGGAGATTTGGCAGACAGAGGACATGGGGATGTGAAGACAGTGCCGACAGAGATTTGAAGATGACCTTAGTTCAGGCTGCTAGAACAAAGTACCACAGACTGGGTGCTTATAAACAGAAATTTATTTCTCACACTTCTGGAGGCTGGAAATGTGAGATCAGTATGCTAGCACGGTCAGGTTCTTATTGAAGACCCTCTTTCTGGTTTGCAGATGACTGCCTTCTCATTGCATCCTCACATGGTAAAGAACAGAGAGGGAAAACAAGCTCTTGTGTCTTTTTGCTTTGAGACAGAGTCTCACTCTGTCGCCCAGGCTGAAGTGCAGTGGCACAGTCAGCTCACTGCAACCTCCACTTCCAGGTCTTCTTTTTTTTTGAAATGGAGTCTCGCTCTGTCGCCCAGGCTGGAGTACAGTGCTGCAATCTTGGCTCACTGCAAGCTCCGCCTCCCGGGTTCACACCATTCTCCTGCCTCAGCCTCCTGAGTAGCTGGGACTACAGGCACCCGCTACCACACCCAGCAGACAGGGTTTCACCATGTTGGCCAGGCGGGTCTCCAACTCCTGATCTCAGGTGATCTGCCCGCCTTGGCCTCCCACAGTGCTGAGATTACTGGTGTAAGCCACCGAGCCCAGCCTCAGTGTGTTTTATAAAGCACTTATAGCATTAATGAGGGCTCCACCCTCCACCCTCATGACCTAATCACCTCCCAAAGGCCCCACCTCCTAATCCCATCACATCAGTGAGTTAGGATTTAAACACATCAACTCTGGGAGGGACATAAACATTCAGTCCATAGCAAAGATGTTGGCGATGTTGGCTTTGAAGACTGGAGTGATGTGGCCACAAGCCAAGGAACATCAGTGGCCACCAGAAGCTGGAAGAGGTAAGGAATAAGATTCTCCCCTGGAATCTCAGGAGGGAGTGTGGCCCTGCTGCCACCTTGATTTTAGCCTACTGGTCGTACTGATTTCAGCCTTCTGGTCTCCAGAACTGTGACAGAATCCATTTCCATTGTTTTAAGTCACCAAGTTCGTGTTAATTTGTTACAGCAGACACAGGAAACTAATATAGAATCCATAACGTTATTTTGCTAAAACACAGAGGTTTACATCTGGAAAGGTTTTACTCCCTACTTCCCCCATCTGTACAGCGCCAGATATTTCAGACACAGATAAACACAGCACCTCCATTCTTAGCACCATTTCCACTATACATACCCTAGGCCAAGAATCAGCATTGAGGAATCGGAAAATCGGAAGACAAAACGATGTAACAATTAACCAGGGTTCTAAATGTGTTTTTGTTTTTTTTTTTTTTCAAACTAGAACTAGAAATGCTTCAGGCCAGACGTGGTAGCTCAGCTACAGGCTGAGCTGGGAGACTTGCTTAGTCCCAGGAGTTGGAGGTTGCAGTGAGCTATAATCACACCAGGGTACGCCAGTGTACGCAGTGAGATCCTGTGTCTTAAAAAAATAAAAAATGCTTCAAAGCCCAGCACTTACGTGAAAACCAACGTAAATGATGTCTTAACATAGCTTCCAAAATGTTTTTGGATCCACAGAGATCTGTGTTTTCATTTTTGCCATACAATAAGTAACCTGTAGTAGATAAGCAACTGCTTTAAAATAGCTAAATAATCACATTCCATGAAATGATAAGCCTGTACTTGCAAGTTCACCTTTCAGCCTCACTTTGGGTCCTTGTTCTGCATCATATACTGGGGTTTGGCTTGAAATACCGTTAACTCACTCTGCTTGAAGACAATCTGTAATTTTATAAGATAGATAGGTAGAAATATAAATTTTAATGGCTTGTTTTAACATCCTAAGAAGTCAAATAATATTTACAAGGTGAGATACACTGAGAAGAAAAACATTTTAACATACTCTCAATCTCTCCTCCCAGAAGACAAGGAAAATGCGCTCCTACCAGAGCAGCCATCTTGCTATTATTCCATCCAGTTTCCAGATGGGAAAGGAATATTAAGTCGTTGGAGATTAATCCTACCAAAGCAAATCGGAAATTTCCAAAGCTGTTGTCAATATGGCTCTGCAGTTTAAGATGAACATACATGAGGTGAATTCGCAGCAGTTAAAACATGGTTGAAGAAATGACGATCATAAGAACTGCTATAAGAGAACATAACACGAACTCTATGATGAGAGGGATAGAGAAAAGATGGTTGAGGAAACTAGGTGAGCTGACTTCAGGTTGCTGAATCTTCACAGAGACAGAAGGGTGAGGATATTTCCATGTAAGAAAATGTCCTGAGCAAAGATATTTTTTCAGAGAGCCCAGAGCAGCTTTGGAAAGCAGTTAGAAAAACTTTAAAGTACTTCACTTACAATAATATGTCCAGAGCAGGAAAGAACTTTTAAGTTCAACAGCCCCATTTTATAGACGAAAAACTGAGGCAAAAACAGGTTAGGTCACGTCCCCAAGGACAAGCACCTGGTAAGTGGCCAAGCTGTGATCCAAATTTGGGCCTTTTAGACCCTCTTCTAGTACTGTCTGTTGGGCCATGAGCGAACTCTTTGCCTCTCCATGTTTATTTCAGATGCTAGAGGTGTGTCTACCAGCTTAAATAATGAATGACAAGCTACCTTTTATTTCTTATAGGCCAATTAATGTTTAAGCACTATGAATCTATCCTATGAGTCGCTTCAACCAAATTGCTTTTTACCAATTCTTTGTAATACGACATTTACACAAATGCCACCCCTCATCATCTACCTGCTTTTTTTTTTTTTTTTTTTTTTAAGACGGAGTTTCACTCTTGCTGCCCAGGCTGAAGTGCAATGGCACGATCTCGGCTTACCACAACCTCTGCCTCCCGGGTTCAAGTGATTCTCCTGCCTCAGCCTTCAAAGTAGCTGGGATTACAGGCATGCACCACCATGCCTGGCTAATTTTGTATTTTTAGTAGATACAGGTTTTCTCTATGTTGGTCAGGCTGGTCTCAAACTACCAACCTCTGGTGATCCGCCCGCCTCAGCCTCCTAAAGTGCTGGGATTACAGGCGTGAGCCACCGCACCCGGCCTTCTGCTGCCTCTTTTACCCTGGCGTCTCCTTGATCTCATGGGTAGTAAATAGCTATTTGGCCCAATTATTTTTACTGAGACTACCTAGCTTTTATACCTGAGTCCTTACCCGCCACACTGAAGAAAAAAACCTGTGCTAACACTATACCTGAGTACAGACACTCAGCAGGTGTGGACGTGTGCATGCTGGTCTATGAACACGTGGCCTGAGTCAAATGCACAGACATGGCACATTCCCAGCCATTCGTGGTCAGGGCCATTAAGCTCTCTGCTGCTGTGCCTCCACCCTAGAGCTGATGCCTGGAAAAGCTGCTTTGTGGCCTCAGTAGATAGAACATAGGGTGTGAGCAACCCCAGGCAAGAAACCTACGTATAAGTCCCATTGCTGGGGTTCTTATTCTAATGTTTCCTCAATGGTGACATCTGATAATAGGAGCATGCCTGTCCTTTGTTATATATATTCTTTCAGTCTCACCCCAGAATCTAAGAAGAGGACACCTGTGACTTTGTATAATGTAGGTTACATAAGGATAATTTATATATTTTCTCTATTTCTAGGTCATCATTTATCAAGCTTAATGAGCATTTGACCCACATGCGAACCACCAGTTCTAGGCAAATTAAAAACAAGATGCCCCACAATTTCTTTTTCTTTTTTTTATTTTTTGAGACAGAGTTTCGTTCTTGTTGCCCAGGCTGGAGTGCAGTGGCGCAATCTTGGCTCACCACACACAACCTCCACCTCCCAGGTTCAAGCGATTCTCCTGCCTCAGACTCCCGAGTAGCTGGGACTACAGGCATGCGCCATCACGTCTGGCTAACTTGTATTTTCAGTAGAGACAGGGTTTCTCCACGTTGGTCAGGCTGGTCTCGAACTCCCGACCTCAGGTGATCCGCCCGCCTCAGCCTCCCAAACTGCTGGGATTACAGGCGTGAGCCACCGCACCTGGCCCACAATTTCTAAATAATAAACTAAAACACGGCCAGGCCTGATGGCTCACACTTGTAATCCCAGCAATTTGGGAAGCCAAGGTGGGCAGATAACCTGAGGTCAGGAGTTCAAGACCAGCCTGGCCAATGTGGCGAAACCCCGTTTCTACTAAAAATACAAAAATTAGCCAGGCGTGGTGGCACACGCCTGTAGTCCCAGCTACTCAGGAGGCTGAGGTAGGAGAATCGCTTGAATCTGGGAGGCAGAGGTTGTGGTGAGCCGAGATTATACCATTGCACGACAGCCTGGGTGACAGAATGAGATTCTGTCTCAAAACAAAAATAAATAAAATAAAATATGCTAATTCTAAAATTATTTTAAAGAATAGGTTCATATCTATGAGCAGGATGATACTGTTTACAGTACTGTTTAGAGTATGTATAGAATCTGACATTTTATACATGCTTGTTACATGTATAATGACAAACAGTTTGAGTTGTCCTCCAGGTAGTTCATTTTCTTACTTTTTGTTTCTTCTAAGTTAGAACATCCTAACTCATATGTAGAGCTCGTTTGGTGCCTCTGTCAGATACATTTGGATGTTCCGATCCAACATAGTCCTACAAATTATGAGGTGATTTCATGTTTATTATGGTAAACATAAATTGATGGGCATATTAAATTCAAGAGCTAGAAGGCTGGGTTAAATGTTCCATCGGGGAAGAGAAATCAACAAATAGATGTGTAACCTGCTTTTGGTTGCAGTTAGCAAGCATGTTTTAGCATTTGGATGTCGTTTTAAAACATAACCTATAGTATGTCATTAGTTCTTTGACTAAGGAATAAAAATCCATTCATTCAGCAAATATTTAGTAGCTACTGGTGACACTGCTTGGCACTAGGGATACAGCTGGAAACCAGAAGATGGTCTCTGCCCTCACATACCTATAACAGGATTTCTTGTGCTTAGCATTAAAAATCTTAATGTTCAGCCTTAAAATAGCACATCATTTGAGAAAGCCACCTAAATAATAGAAATGGCCTTTAGAGACACTGTTCAGTGTCATGTTTTTAATTCATACCACATTCCAAAATCTTTCATGAGGCACCTTTGCCTCCAGTACATGACTTGCTGCCCATTTTCTTCATTTTTATAAGAAATTGTCACATTTTCACAATTCCTTTCAACTACAGTGTCAGCAGGCACAGTACAGACCACCACCTGCTCTCTGAAAATAAAATACTGCCGTCCACCATATTCTAATGCAACTTCTGAGTCATGTAACAATGTCCTTTTTGTCCTTTCTTACTGGTTGCCACTGACCCAACTTACCTTTTTCATTCTCCTTCATGACTCACAATATAATCATTAACCAAATCAAACAAAGCAGTCTTCTCTTACGATGTGGGTTTTCATTGAACAAAAACTCATCAGGCAATTCCCTTTCACATAAGTGCTGCGCATGTGCTAAGAGGTGATTGATAATCTGCCCATCACTGGTTCTGCCCAAGTGTGAAGTAAAAGCTCTGCTAGCATGTACCTATGAGAGTAACTGCTTCTCCATGCGTGTACCATGGATATTATACAATATCTGTCTGATGAAGAATACCCTATTCTGCTTTCTCTGCACATTAAACTCATCGTTAACGTCAAAGCTAATCTTACTAAGCTTTCCAATAGTAGTGCGACTTGTACCTTGTTTTCTCTGTGTGGAGTAGAGCTCTGAATATTGCCTCTGACATTTTTACCTAATTTCTGATATCACTGTAGAATCTCAAATTCAACATTTTCAAATCTCACTTTGAAAAACCACTATTTTGGATATGTTCTGGAAACAATAGGTTTATCTTTGTGTTTAAAAATAATAGAAAAGCTTCATGACTTCATGTCACCATCTGATAAAAGGACAGTACACAGTGAGTGAGGTGAGACTGAATGGACTGCTTGTTCGATAATTTTTTTTTTTTGAGATGGAGTCTCACTCTGTTGCCCACGCTGGAGTGCAGTGGCGCAATCTCAACTCACTGCAACCTCCACTTCCCAGGTTCAAGTAATTCTTCTGCCTCAGCCTCCCAAGTAGTTGGGACTACAGGCACACACCACCACACCCGGCTAATTTTTGTATTTTTAGTGGAGATAGGGTTTCACCATGTTTACCAGGCTGCTCTCAAACTCCTGACCTCAAGTGATCTGCCCACGTCGGCCTCCCAAACTGCTGGGATTAGGGGCATTAGCCACTGCGCCCAGCCTTGTTCAATAAAATCTAATTTCATATAGTAATAATTATTTTTTCCTTTTTTGGCTGTTTGTGTTAAATCATTCTACTCAAAGGAATCATTTGTCTCATCCACAACATATACATTTCTATATCTGTACTGTGGTCCTAGTCACTATAGTTCTAATATTTTTATGAATTCTAATATTTACTCGATTCATTCTATCTCTGCTTTTGCCCTTCAACACTGAGCCATTGAGCTATTTTTTGGAATTGGCGTAGAATACCTATAATCAATGAAAATTTGTGAATAAGAATGGCAGATAATGGAAAAATATATCAGCTGAGGTGAACTGCACTCAGCTGACCAAATACTAGCCAAGACAAAGTGATTAACACTCTTTTTGGCATATATATAATCTTAAAGATGATTAATAACAGGATTCCTACAACAATAATGATTCACACGATTTTTAATTAATAAAATACGTAAGAATAAAATGACTGCATTGATTTTTCCTCTGAAACTGCGAAAGCACCTGCAGATCACCTAACTGACTTTGGGGTATGGTGGTGGGGGGATCCCCCAGTGGTCTTTGAGCCACATTGAGAAACTCTGCTCTCAGTCTTCCAGCTTACATTAGTTAGGCTTGTGTAAACACACAGCCAAAAGTTGTCATGATATCCGATCCCACTGTCAATTCAAACTGAACTCCATGAAGAAGTATCTGTCTTCTCTCCTTGTTCCTTACCCTATGTCCAACTCCCAGCCACTGCTCTTCCCACCCTGGTCTATGCAAACCTCTCCTCAACATCTCAAGTCAGGAAGCCTGTGATACTAACATTGAACTAGGGTTGAATCCTACTGCTGTTCTTCTAAGGCAGTAATTCTCAACCTTGGCAACTCATTAAAATCATCTGGGGAGCTTTAAAAAAATTTCAAAGTACTGCTGCCTAGAAGCTACCCCAGATCAATTTAATCAGAATCTCTGGGGTGGGATCCAAGTACTTGTATTTTTAAAAGGCTTCTCTGGTGTAGGCAGGATGAGGATAACTGCCTAAGATGACACTGACATAAGGCATCTCCCATAGCAGCCGCTCAAATTATCATGTCTACGGGGTCCACCCTTGTTCTAGGTTCATCTCTCGTCAGGGCTACTGTGACAAGCTTCTTGTTGGATTCTCTGGATCCAGTGACATCTACTGTCATCACAGTTGTCAAACGGTCTTTGCTGTCTTTCCCTCTGGCTATGTCACTCTCTTCCTGCAACTCTCTTCCCAACTTGACTGCACACTGGAATCACGGAGGCCTATAAAGCACCAATGTCTGGGCTGTACCCCATACCAAATAAACCACCACCTCCAGGGATGGGAATCATGAGAGGGGTTAAAAAGCAGCTAGGATTGAGAAGCAGTATTCTAGGAGTTGCAGTATCTAGTATGACTACCACATCTAGGTTAATTTAGCTACTACAGATGAGCTTGTTCTGAGCTGACAGCCATTCTCAACAAGGAACTACTTTCGCTCAAGAGCTTACAGTCCACTGGCAAAGACAGACTTGAAAGACCAGTCATCAGATCACAGTGAAGTAAGTGCCAACAGAAAGATTAAACATCTTCTGAGGAGAGAGCAAGTAATGGCTGGTTAAGTTAGGGAAGGCTCGTCAGGGGAAATTATACTTGAACGAGGTCTGGAGGGAATCATCCAGCCCAAAGGATGAGGGGCAAAAGACGTTTTCTTAGAAACATACATTCATTCTTTAAAATATTTTAATTACCTATGCATACTGACACATAACATTTCTATTACATGTTTTTGATCAGTTAAGACAATGCTTCCCACTCTTTTAAATGCCATGATACAAAGAGAAAATATCTGCATATTCCCTGATTAAAGGAGGCTCTTACTGGTGGAGGTAACGGGCGTGGGACTCCAGCTGAGGGCAGCTAGATCTCAGCATACCGGTCACCCTTTGCATGCCAAGGCACGCCTGCAAGGACGCTCCAAATGAGCACCCCTTTGGCTACCAGTAACAGAAAAGCCAATTCAAACTGGCCTAAGCGACGATGGGTCTTTTCCTCTCACAGAATGAAAGGCACAGGGATGGGCACCTCCAAGTATAGACTGTCAGAGCTCCGCTTCTCCGTCATTTTCTTGGCTGTGCCTTACTTGGCATTGGTGTCATCCCCAGGCTGGTACCAGATTGCTGCCACATTGCTAGATGTGATCAGGTCAGGGGAGGAAGAGAGGTGTCCTTCCTTGTATGTCTATGTCTCCCTGTGAAGAAAGTTTTCTGAGAAGCCTGCAGAGAGTTACTCCTCATATTCCCGCAGCCAGAATCTTGTCAAATGTCCCTGCCTAACCCAATCTTTGGCAAGGAGAAATGCAACACCATGATCAGCTTAGATGAACCAGGATGAACTCACAGAAATGTGGACCAGATTTGCTTTCACACAGACACATAGGGAGGGGTAAACAACCACACAAAGTCAAGGATTTTCCAGCAAGTAAGACAGTGGGACTGGTTGTTGGGTAGGCAACCAATAGCGTTTGCCTCATATCAGAAAGAGGCTGTACAGCATCGTAATTAAGGGCACCACTCTGGAGTCGGGCGGTGAGCTCAAATTCCACTCTACCATTGCCAACTGAGTATATGGGCTTCAGTTTTTTTGTCTCTGAAAAGGAAATGATACGAGTTCCTAACTCGGGGTTGCTGGGAAGATGAAATGAGGATTAAAGGTACATTGCTTAGAAGCAACTCTGGCATATGTGCACATTATGATGTGGCTCAATGTTAGTGGTCATTTCTGTAGTGTCCGCCATGGGTTATAACAGCCAACAGGCAGGACCACATCTGTGGGTAAGACAGGTTTTCTCTGATTAGCACTGAGCCAGTGCCACACTCAATTAGACATTCAATAAGTTCATTTTTTTGCATATTAATAATTTAAAATCTATGTCTTCTTCTTGCTAATAAAAAATATGCTACCAACTAAAAAGTAACTTTTTTACAATTAGAAATACTTCTAAAGCAGAGGTGCTCACCCCGCAGGCTGGGGACTGTTAAGAACCAGGCTGCACAGCAGGTGAACCTCAGGCAAGTGAGCATTCTCGCCTGAGCTCTGCCTCCTGTCAGATCAGCAGCAGCATTAGATAGTCTTTTTTTTTTTTTTTTTGAGATGGAATCTCACTCTGTCGCGCAGGCTGGAGTGCCGTGGCATGATCTTGGCTCACTGTAACCTCCATCTCCCGGGTTCAAGCGACTCTCCTGCCTCAGCCTCCCAAGTAGCTGGGATTACAGGCTCACGCCACCACGCCTGGCTAATTTTTGTATTTTTAGTACACACGGGGTTTTGCCATGTTGGCCAGGCTTGTCTCGGACTCCTGACCTCAGGTGATCCACCCACCTCAGCCTCCCAAAGTGCTGGGATTACAAGCGTGAGCCACTGCGCTCCGCCTGGCATTAAATTCTCACAGGAGCACAAACCCAATTGTGAACTGTGCATGAGAGGGATCTAGGTTGCAAGCTCCTTATGTGACTCTAATGCCTGATGATTCGAAGTGGGACAGTTTCATCCCTAAACCATGCCCTCCTCCCCACCCCCGTGGAAAAACTGTCTTCCACAAAACAGGTCCCTGATGCCAAAAAGGTTGGGGACCACTGTTCTAAAGTATTTGAAGATATTACTGCAAAAAAAAAAAAAGAAAGAAAGAAAGAAAAAAAAGAAATGTTACCAAGTAAAAGGTAACATTTAACAATTGGGAATACTTCAAAAAATCTACTGCTCCCTGGAAAGTATATTAAGATAACAGTAATTACAATTTACTATGAATATTTATTGAGCCTTCACTATGTGCTGGGAACTGCTTTAAATGCCTTACATACATTATCTCATTTAACCCTAAAACCAATCTTTGGAGTCAGGATTATCAGTAAAACACTTAAAACTAAACTTCAATGAAAATATAAGTTTGTTTTTAAAGGACAAACTTTTCCAGAATTTCATGTTAAACAAAAATTTAAGCTACTCAATTCCTAGTTCTAAGACACACTTTCTCTCCTTACTATTCCTACCCCCTGCCCCATTTTAGCATTTCTGAACTCAGGATGCCTCTTAAAATATTTAGACTTGGCCGGGTGTGGTGGCTCACGCCTCTAATCCCAGCATTTTGGGAGGCCGAGGCGAGTGGATCGCCTGAGGTCAGGAGTTTGTGACCAGCGTGGCCAACATGGTAAAACCCGTCTCTACTAAAAATACCAAGAAAATTAGCTGGGTGTGGTGATGCATGCCTGTAATCCCAGCTACGTGGGAGGCTGAGGCAGGAGAATCGCTTGAACCCAGGAAGTGGAGGCTGCAGTGCCATTGCACTCCAGCCTGGGTGACAAGGGCGAAACTCCATCTCAAAAAATAAAACAAAATAAAATGTTTAGACTTCACTATAATAATGCTTTCCCCTTTTACCTGGGCTATTAGCTTGGTAGGGCATTCACAGGAGAGGAAGTGCAGCAGTTACAACCATCTCCGAGTCAAGCTCCATGTTTTTTTTTTGTTTTTTTGTTTTTGGTTTGTTTGTTTGTTTGTTTGTTTGAGTGGGAATCTCCCTCTGTCACCCAGGCTGGGGTGCAGTGGCGTGATCTTGGCTCACTGCAACTTCTGCCTCCCGGGTTCAAGCGATTCTCCTGCTTCAGCCTCCCAAGTAGCTGGGACTACAGCATGCACCACCATGCCTGGCTAATTTTTTTTTTTTTTTTTTTTTTGAGACGGAGTCTCGCTCCGTCGCCCAGGCTGGAGTGCAGTGGTGTAATCTCAGCTCACTACAAGATCCGCCTCCCGGGTTCATGCCATTCTCCTGCCTCAGCCTCCTGAGTAGCTGGGACTCTAGGCACCTGCCACCATGCCCTGCTAATTTTTTGTATTTTTAGTACAGATGGGGTTTCACCGTGTTAGCCAGGATGGTCTCGACCTCCTGACCTTGTGACCCGCCCGCCTTGGCCTCCCAAAGTGCTGGGATGGATTACAGGTGTGAGCCACTGCACTGGCCCAAGATCCATGTTTTACTTATTAACCAAGTATATGCTGGTGAGATCCTCTCTTCCACAGAGGGCCTTAAAATGAGAATCTAATAAGTAACTGCAGTGTCACATTTCCCCTGATGCTGGTAGCCAAGTAATCCCCACTTTAGATTGTAGAAATTTTGTGAAATAGTGTGGACCTGAACATTAAAGCCTAAGTGATATGTCCCCAGTCCTGCAGGTGGTTTATCGCCAAGATTTCTCACTTTGCTTCAGTCCAAGGACCAAGTAAAGAACTAGAAATTCAAGAACACCATTTAAATCCTAGGTCTACCAACTGATTTTCTGGGTGCTATGAGCAGTGACTGAAATGCCCTGGACTCTCCTCCTTCATCTGTTAAAAGATATCAACAGTGCCTACAGAAGGTCTAAGGGTATTAAGAGTAACTAACAGGATTGTTGTGGTTCCAAAATACCTCACATTTTCTCCCACTCATATCTGTTTCCTCCCTTACTGCACACGAAGGCCTAAATCTCCCAACCCATTAATGATTCATCTTATTAAAGGAAATCAGCTGCTTGCCTGGCAGCTAACATAGTTCTGCTTCATGACTACTTGAATTAATTTGATTTTCTTCAATCATCTATAAGAATCTATTCAATTTCAGAAAAGTACGTGTTAACAACGTATTGACAGAATAAAGAAGTAGAGTTCACCTGGCCCTGGCAGCAGCCTCTGTGCCCCAGGTTTTCCCAACCAGCCCTGCCCCACTGGAGTTCCTGCTGCCTCCACATCCCACAGAAGATCAGGCTCTTCCCATAATTACTAGCCACCAGGGCTCCCCTCTGCCCAAGAATGAGATCCAAACTCCTTAGGTGAATGGAAGAGCTTCTCCACAATATCCATTCCCCACCCACCCTTCCAGCTTCACAGCCCATCATTTCCTCCTTGTACCCTGCACTGCAGGCATGGTGGGAGGGTGGGGATGTGTGGAGAGAGAGAGAGAGACAGAGACAGAGAGAGAGAGAGAGAGACAGAGAGAGTGTGTGTGTGTGTGTGTGTGTGTGTACAAAGGGAACCACCAAATCTACCAACCTCCCTGCAGCCACCTCCACATGTGCCTCCCCATCTTTGATAGTGGGTAAACCTTCTGTGTGCTCATCAAAGACCCACTTTACTCCTATTGTAGATCCCCACCCTCCCACCACCTCAATAAATATGGTCACTGCAATCATCCACTATCCGCTCCATTCTCATCAGCTTCATTCATTCATTCATTCATTCAGAGACAGAGTCTTGCTCTGTCACCCAGGCTGGAGAGCAGTGGCGCCATCCCTGGCTCACTGCAGCCTCAACCTTCTGGGCTGAAGTGATCCTCACACCTGAGCCTCCCAAGTAGCTGAGAACACATGTACACACCACCATCGCAAGCTAACTTTTTAAAATTTTTGTAAAGATGGAGTCTCACTTTGTTTTCCAAGATGATCTTGAACTCCTGGGTTCAAGCAATCCTCCCACCACCTCGGCCTTGGAAAGTGCTAGGATTACGGGCGTGAGCCACCATGCCCAGCCAGCTTCTTTCTCTTTGCCCAGGTTATTCTCTTCAGCACACAAATGTGCTCTGATAGACTGTTCCCTTAAAACATCCTCACTTGGCTTCACATCCTTCTCCAGCAATTTCCCTATTTCTTTAATTTTACAGTAGGACTCCCTGAAAGAGCTGCCTGTACTTGATGTCTCAACTTTCTTGCCCCACCTTCTCTCAACTCACTCCAGTTAAACTTCTTTTCCCAATATTCTATCACAATTGCCTTCTTCCAGGTCACCAGTGACCCCCACTGAACCAAATCCCACAGTCCACCCTCAGTCCTCATAACTTCCACTTCTCAGCAGCTGATATTCCTGACACCACAGCTCAGTCCGCACACCACTGATCTTCTTTCCACCTCCTTCCACGTTGTGCTTCTCCAGTTTCATGACGTCAAATACCATCTGTATCCTGAAGGCTCCGCAAATTCAGATCTCTAGTCATGGGCTGCCTCATGAACTCCAGCTGTATTTCCACTAGCCATTTCAGACTCAAATTTTTTTTTTTTTTTTAAGATGGAGTCTCGCTCTCATCGCCCAGGCTGGAGTGCAATGGCGCCATCTCAGCTCACTGCAACCTCCACCTCCCAGGTTCATGTGATTCTCCTGCTTCAGCCTCCCCAGTAGCTGGGGTTACAGGCACCCGACACCACGCCTGACTAATTCTTGTATTTTTAATAGAGATGGAGTTTTGCAATGTTGGCCAGGCTGGTCTCGAACTCCTGACCTCAGGTGATCCACCCCCACCTTGGCCTCCCAAAGTGCTGAAATTACAGGCGTGAGCCACTGCACCCGGCCCAGACTCAATACATTTAAAACCAACCTTGATTTTCTCCTACAACCTTATTCTTCCCCTGCCCAGCCCTCCCTCAACAAATGGCACCAAATCTTGAAATTGTTCTTGACCTCTTTTTCTCTCACATCTTAGACACAAACCACTCCAAAATCCCAACAGCTCTTCAAAATATCCCAAATTTGAACACTTCTCACTGTTACCAACCCTAGTCCAAGCTACCATTATCTCGCATGTAGATTTCTCTATTAGCTTTTTAACTTGTATGTCTGCTCTTCCCTGCCCCTTTCCTGTCCCGTTCCCCCAAAACGGGTATCCACCCAGCATGATCTTTTCAAGGCACACCTCAAATCGTGTTACTCCTTACTTAAAACCTTCAAATGGCTCCCCACAATTGCTCAGAATAAAAACCCTGTAAGGCCCCGTGGAATTGGGTCCTCAGCAACTTCTCCAGTTTTACTTCCTACCATTTTTTCCCTCGTTCATTCAACACCAGCAGCCTGGCCTTCCTGCAGTTCTCCCAGCTTGCAAAGTGCTTCCCACCTCGGGGGCTCTGCCCCACCTGACTCTGTGTCTTGTCTGTGCTGGAATACCACAGTTTCCTAAAGTCCCACCTGAACATCCCACAGAAACCAGCAGGGTTCCTTATTCCCAAGTTTCCTTTCTCTGCTTTATTTCTCTTCATAGTGCTTTCATTACCTAAGAACATATTAAATATTCATGCATCTGCCTATTTGTCTCCCCTAGCAGAACTCAAGTTCCATATGCAATGGGCTTTGTTCTGAGCACCTGGAATAGTGCTTGCACATAGTAGGTGTTCCATAAATATTTGTTAATTGATTGAATGAATAATTAAATTCTTGGACTTCATCTTTTTTTTCTGAAATGGTCACTTTTCTATTTCCACAAAGCACTCACTCAGGTAACTTGTACCCTGGCCTCACAGGTACCATACCATCCCACCTGAACCCCACTCCCACGGACAGCCCACATCCGGCCTGCTCCAGTCTCACAGCAACCCTAGGAACAGACCATCTGCCCCCTGAGACTATGAGTTCTTCCAGGGCACAGATTTTGGATTTGTCTGGTACCCCAGTGTCAAGAGTTTCTGGCACAAAGTGGCTATTCGATATGTGTCTGTGGATTTAAATAATATGCCAGCATGGGGAGGAAGGACAGGAAAGGTTGGTCAGTGGGTACACAGTTACAGTTAGACTGGAAGAGTAAGTTCTGGGTTCCACTATACAGTAGGGTGACTACAGCAAGTAACAATGTAGTATATATTTCAAGATAACTTTAAGAGAAGATTTTGAATGTTGTCACCACAAAGAAATGACAAATGCTTAAAGTGATGGACATGATAATTACTCCGATTTGACCATTATACTATGTATACATGCACTGAAACATCACATTGTACCACATAAATATGTACAATATTATGTATCAATTACAAATTTCTTTTCAAAGTAATTGGATTTTTTGCCTTTTTTTCTTAAAAGGGTATGGGGGGCTTCTCAAAAATTAAAACTACTAGTTAGTGACCAGCCTGGCCAACATGGTGAAACCCCATCTTTACCAAAAGCAGAAAAATTAGCTGGGCATGGTGGTGAGTGCCTGTAATCCCAGCTACTCGTGGGGCTGAAGAATAAGAATCAGTTGAACCTGGGAGATGGAGGTTGCAGTGAGCCGAGATCGCATCATTGTACTCCAGCTGGGCGACAGAGGGAGACTCTGCCTCAAAAAAACAGAACAAAACTAATAAATATCCTCCTTTAAGAAAATAAATGATATGCCAGGCATGACTGTGCAACTCCATGGAGAAAAATAAATAGCCCAGATATAGTCAGATGAAGTAATAACTTTACCTAAATTTAAAAATAAAAGATAGCAATATCTTTAAATAACTTACCAACAAAAAGATAGCAATAACTTAAAAAATAACACCAAGGCATACATGAGATGATGGGAAGGTATATTTGAGGGAAACCAAAAGTCAAGTGCAAATACTATAGTTTGGATTATGAGAGAAAAAACAATGAAACAGTACAATCTTTTCCTTTCTGAATAGTAATGGGGTATTCAAGAGGCAAAATCATTAGAGCAATAATAGATGAGATAAAAAGCGAGTTGGGTTAAATGGAATGAGTTTAATATCCACTAAAAACTTGGTTTCAAAGGCTCATGGGCATTCTATATCTGGTCCTCAACCTATCCAGGAGGCTGAAGAAGCCATATGGTAATAATAGCAAACTGACTGCTCAGCCTCTGGTTGAGCCTATTCTAGATGCCAGACACTGTGCCCAGCACTGAGGACATAATAAGACACAGTAGACCTGAGCTCCTGAGAACCAAGGCTCAGAGACACTGACACAGACCCAGCAAACTAAAGTACAAAAAGGTCAATAAGCACACACGGACTCTACAAGGGTTGGAGGCTGGAATTAACTCACTCTAGGTGATCAAAGACAGGCCACAAAGCATGACATTCCTGAAGTGGATTTTCAAGGATGAGTAGAAGCTTGCTAGGCAGCAGGAAAGTGGGGTGGGGAAACAGGAAGGGGAGGCTAGGTAAGGGAAACAAGATGTGAAAAGTGCCGAGGCCTGAGAAACCCTGGAGCACGGAGGAATCTGGATGGGAGAGAGATCAGCGTTTCTGCTGAGTGAACCAATACTAAAAGGTCTAATATTTGTGTCGTTAGAGTCCCAGAGAGAGAGAAAGGCTGTAGTACAGAAGAAAATATTTGAAGACATAGAGTCAAAAACCCCACAAAATTGGCAAAATACATAAACTTACATACCTAAGAAGATGAGCAAAGCTTAAACAATAAAGAAGTCAATTCCAAGACAAATCATAATTAAATACTGAGAACTAAAGACAAAGTAAAAATTCTTGAAAACAGTCACAGAAATCCTTCTACTACTTATAAGGGAAGAATAATTTGAATGATGGTGGATTTCAAAATAAAAACTTTGGAGGCCAAAGGAAAAAACATAATGTTTTTATTTTTTATTTTTATTAATTTTTATTGAGATGGTGAAATAAAGATATTGTCAAATGAATGTAAATTGAGATAATTTCTTGTCAACAAATCTTGCTCTAAAATAATTTCTAAAGAAAATTCTTTAAATAAAAGGAAAATGAAACCACAAAGAAACCTCAAACATCAGAAATGAAGAAAGAACAGAAATGGTAAATATCTGGGTAAGTAGATTATCTTTCTGTTATTCAGTTATTTAAAATGTGTTTGACAATTGAAAGCAAACATAGGATTGTCTGATGAGATTTTCAATCTTTGCAAATGTAATATATAAGACAACTATAACATAGAGGGAAAGGGGAAGGAGAGCCTTGGATAGACAACTCCATCCAATAACAGCAGAACAGACATTCTTTTTTATAAACTTAGTTTTGGTTTTATTTTGTTTGTTTGTTGTTGTTTTTCTTTTTTTGTAAGACGGAGTCTCGCTTTGTCCCCCAAGCTGGAGTAAGTGGCACAATCTCGGCTCACTGCAAACTCTGCCTCCCAGGTTCAAGCAATTCTCCTGCCTCAGCCTCCCGAGTAGCTGGGACTACAGGTGCACGCCATCATGCCCAGCTAATTTTTGTATTTTTAGTAGACACAGGGTTTCACCATGTTGACCAGGCTGGTCTCGAACTCCTGACCTCAAGTGATCCTCCCACCTAGGCCTCCCGAAGTGCTGGGATTACAGGTGTGAGACACCACACCTGGCTTCTTGTTTTCTTTTTGTTTGTTTTTTAGAGACAAGGTCTTGCTCTGTCACCCAAGCTGGAGTTCAGCGGCACAACCATAGCTCATTGCAGCCTTGAACTCCTAGGCTCAAGTGATCCTCTCACCTCAGCCTCCTAAGTAGCTGGGACCACAGGCATGTGCCACCACACGCAGCTAATTTTTAAAAATTTTTGTAGAGACAGGGTCTCGCTTTGTTGCCCTGGCTGGTCTCAAACTCCTGGGTTCAAGCAGTCCTCCTGCCTTGACCTCCCAAAATGTTGGGATTACAGGTGTGAGTCACTGTGCCCAGCTAGGAGTAGATATTCTTTTAAAGTACACATGGAACATTCACCAAGATACACCATATCCTGAGACAAAACTCTTAAATTAAAAAAAGAAAATAATTTAAATCACAAAAAAAGTGTCCTTTGACGTAAGTGAATTAACTAAAAATCAATAATAGAAAGGTAATAGGAGCATCTCCCAACAACTGCAACTCAAACAACACACATCTAAACAGTCCATGGATCAAAGAGAAAGTCCCAAAGAAAATTAGAAGGCATCAAAGTGAATAAAAACGGAACATAATGTATCAAAATGTGTGGAGTGGCCAGGCACGTTGGCTCACATCTGTAATCCCAGCACTTTGGGAGGCCAAGGCAGGCGGATCACCTGAGGTTAGGAGTTCAAGACCAGCCTGGATAACACGGTGAAACCCCATCTCTACTAAAAATACAAAAAAATTAGCCAAGCATCGTGGCACACGCCTGTAGTCCCAGCTACTCAGGAGGCTGAGGCAGGAGAGTTACTTGAACGCAGGAGGGGGAGCCTGCAGTAAGCTGAGATCGCACCATTGCAATCTAGCCTGGGCGACAGAGTGAGACTCCGTCTCAAAAAAAAAAAAAAAAAAAATTGTGTGGAGCACAGCTAAAGCAGTGCTTAAAGGAGATTTATGTCATTCAGTGCTTGTTACAATAGAACAAAGGTCTCAAATCAATAAGCTAAGTTGCTACCTTAAGAAACTGGAAAAAGAAGGGCAAAATAAATTCCAAAGCAAGTAGAGGAAGGAAATAATAAAAGTAAGATCAGGAATCTATTAAACTGTAAGCAAGAAAAACAACAGAGAAAAATCAATGAAACCAAAAGATGATTCTTTGAAAAGATCAATAAAAGTGACAAACCTCTAGCCAGATGGACAAAGAAACAAAGAGAAAAAGAACAACTTACCAACATCAGGAATGAAATCATCACTAAAAACCATGAAGACATTTAAAAAAATGGGGAATACAATGAACAACTCTATACAGATAAATTCAACAACTTAGATTAAAAAAAAAATGCATGAATACTATAAACTTCCAAAACTCTCCCAGGATGAAAGAGACAGCATAAATAGTCCTAGAAATTTAATGAAATTAAATCTGTAGTTAAAAACCTTCTGAAAAGGAAATCTCTAGGCCCAGGTTTCACATGTGAATTATATCAAACATTTAAAGAAGAAATAATACCAATTCTACACAATCTCTTCCAGAAAACATTCTCTTCTAGAAGGGAATACTTCCAAACTCAGTTTATAAGGCCAGAATTACCCTGATATTAACACCAGTCAAGAGTACAGGAAAAGAAAACTGCAGGCCAATATCCCTCATGAACACAGATGCAAAAATACTCAACAAAATATTAGCAAATTAAATCCAACAATATATAAGAAGAATAATACATCAGAATCAAATGTGATTTTATCATGGCAATGGAAAGCTGGTTCAATATTTGAAAATCAACCACTGTAATCCAACATATTGACAGCCTAAAAAAGAAAAATCATAGATCCTGTCAATTAATACAGAAAAAGCATCTAACAAAACTCAACACCCATTCATGATAAAATTTCTCAGTGAATTAGGAGTAGAAGGGACTGTCCTCAACCTGGAAAGGACATTTACAAAAACCTACAGCTCATGTCATACTTAATGGTGACAGATCAAACACTTTCTCAATAAGATGAAGAAAAAGAGGCCAGACGAGGTGGCTCACACCTGTAATCCCAGCACTTTGAGAGGCCAACACAGGAAGATTGCTTAAGCCCAGGAGTTCAAGATCAGCTTGGACAACATAGCAAGGCACCAATTCTACAAAAAATTTAAAATGTTAGCCAGGTGTGGTGGGGTGCTTATAGCACCAGCTACTTGGGAAGCTGAGGTGGGAGGATCAATGGGGCCCAGGAGGTTGACACTGTAGTGAGCTATCATTGTACCACTGCACTCCAGCCTGAGCGACAGAGTGAGACCCTGTCTCAAAAAAAAGATCAGGAAGAAGAAAAAGATGTCCACTCTTACCACTCCTGTCCACATCATATTGTAAGTCCTAAGAGTGCAATAAGGCAGGAAAAAGAAAAAGTCATATAGATTAGAAAGAAACAAATAAAACTGTCCCTATTCACTGACTCACAGAATAAATGAGAAATAAAATGACTGGATACAAATCACCCACAAAATGAATCATATTTCTATATACTAGTTATGAAAATGAAACTAAAATACAAAAAGAATACCACTTATAGGCCGGGTGTAGTGGCTCACAGCTGTAATCCCAGCACTTTGGGAGGCTGAGATGGGCAGATCATGAGGTCAAGAGATCAAGACCATCCTGGCCAACATAGTGAAACCCCATCTCTAGTAAGAATACAAAAATTAGGCTGGGCGGGTTGGCTCACGCCTATAATCCCAGCCACTTTGGGAGGCCGAGGTGGGCGGATCACATGGTCAGGAGATCGAGACCAACCTGGCTAACATGTGAAACCCCGTCTCTACCAAAAAAAAATACAAAAAATTAGCCGGGTGTGGTGGTGGGCGCCTGTAGTCCCACCTACTCGGGAGGCTGAGGCAGGAGAATGGCGTGAACCCGGGAGGCAGGGCTTTCAGTGAGCCGAAATCGCGCCACTGCACTCCAGCCTGAGTGACAGAGTGAGACTCCCTCTCAAAAAAAAAAAAAAAGAATACAAAAATTAGGTGGGTGTGGTGGCGCACGCCTGTAGTCCCACCTACTCGGGAGGCTGAGGCAGGAAAACAGCTTGAACCCAGGAGGCAGCGGTTGCAGTGAGCCGAGATTGCGCCACTGCACTCCAGCCTGGCACAGAGTGAGATTCCATCTCAAAAAAAAAAAAAAAAAAAAAGAATAGCATTTATAGTGATTAATTATAGTAATTCCAAAAAAAGTGAAATACTTAGGTATCAATCTGGTAAAATACATACAGGACCTCTATGTTGTAAATTACAAAACACTGATGAGAAAAACAATAGAACCTCTAAATAAATGGAGAAACATATTTGTGGATCAAAAGATTCAAAGTAAGAACCATCATCTGGAAGAGACACTGGGAATAACCATGGTCAAGATGTCAACTCTTTCCAAATTTATCTCAAGATTTAATGAAAATCTGAACCAAATCCCAGCATAATTTTTTGGTAGATATACACAAGTGAATTCTAAAATTTATATGAAAAGGCAAAAGACCCAGAACAAAACAATTTTTAAAAGAACAATAAAGTTGGAGGAATCAAATCAGCCAATATTGAGATTTACTAGAAAGCTTCAGTGATCAAATCAGATGTGTTATTATAGAAGAGAGAGACAGAAATCAATGGAAGAGATGAAAACATCCAGAAATAGACCCACACAAGCATGGTCACTGATTTTTGATAAAGATGCTAAGGCAATTCAATGGAGAAAGAGTAGTGTTTCAACAAATAATGTTAAAACATTATTGGGTTTTTTGGCCAGGCACAGTGGCTCACGCCTGTAACCCACCAATTTGGGAGGCCGAGGCAGGCAGATCACAAGGTCAGGAGATCAAGACCAGCCTGGCTAATGCAGTGAAACCCCATCTCTACTAAAAATACAAAAAATGAGCCAGGCATGGGTGGCGGGTGCCTGTAGTCCCAGCTACTCGGGAGGCTGAGGCAGGAGAATGGCGTGAACCCAGGAGGCGGGGCTTGCAGTGAGCCGAGACTGCACCACTGCACTCCAGCCTGGGAGACAGAGCAAGACTCCGTCAAAAAAAAAAATTACTGGGTTTTCTAGATATACAATCATGTCATCAGCAAACAGTGACAATTTGATTTCCTCTTTACCAATTTGGATGACCTTTATTTCATTCCCTTGTCTGATTGCTATGACCAGAACTTCCAGTACTATGCTGAATAGAAGTGGTGAGAGTGGGCATCCTTATCTTATTTCAGTTCTCAGAGAGAAAGCTTTCAACTTTTTCTCATTCAGTATTACGTCGGCTGTGGGTTTGTCATAGATGGCTTTTATTTACATTGGGGTATGTCCCTCGTATGCCAATTTTGTTGAGAGTTTTAATCACAAATGAATGCTGGATTTTGTCAAATGCTTATTCTGCATCTATTGAGATGATCATGTGATTTTTGTTTTTAATTCTGTTTATATAGTGTATCACATTTATTGACTTGCGTATGTTAAACCATCCTTGCATTACTGGTATGAAACCCGCTTGACCATGGTGGATTATCTTTCTGATATGCCATTGGATTCAGTTAGCCAGTATTCTGTTAAGGATTTTTCTATCTATGTTCATCAGGGATACTGAACTACAGATCAATATCTTTTTTTGTTATGTCCTTTCCTGGTTTTGGTATTAGGGTGATACTGGCTTCATAGAATCATGCAGAGAGGATTCCCTCTTTTTTTGTATTGTGGAATAATGTCACTAGGATTGGTACCAATTCTTCTTTGAAGTCTGATAGAGTTCGGCTGTGAATCTGTCCAGTCCTGGACTTTTTTTGTTGGTAATTTTTTTTATTACCATTTCAATCTCACTGCTTGTTATTGTTCTGTTCAGAGTTTCTAATTCTTCCTGATTGAAGCTAGGAGAGTTGTATATTCCTAGGAATTTATCCATCTCCTCTGTTTTCTAGTTTATGTGTGTTAAGGTGTTCACAGTAGCCTTGAATGATCTTTTGTATTTCTGTGGTGTTGGTTGTAACATCTCCCATTTCATTTCTAATTGAGCCTATTTGGATCTTCTCTCTTCTTTTCTTGGTTAATCTTGCTAATGGTCTATCAATTTTTTTATCTTTTCAAAGAACCAGCTTTTGTTTCATTTAAAATTCATAAAAAATTTTTTTAAAAAATAATTAGACAAGCATAGGCAAAAAAAATGAACCTTGAACTAATCCTCGCACCATACAAAATATTTATCTCAAAATGACATTAGTTCTAATTATAAAGCATACAACTGTAACATTTTTGTAAAAACATAGTAGAAAATCTCTGTGATCTGGAGTTAGACAAAGAATTCCTACCCATAACACCAAAACCACAATCTATGAAAGAAAAGATTGATAAATTGTACTTCATCAAAACTGAAATTACTTGCTCTATGAGAGATACTGTTAAAGGAATGAAAAGGCAAGCTACAGGCTGGGAGAAAATATTTGCAAATCATACATCTGACAAAGGATTCTATCTAAAATACATAATGGAACTCTCAAAACTCAACAGCAAGAAAACAACCCAATTAATAATGTGCATAAATGACCTGAACAGATATGATGCCAAAGAAAGTAAGCATATGAAGAAATGTTCAATATCATTAACTATTAGGGAAACACAATGAGAAACTACAATGAGATACCCCTAAATACCTAATAGAATGACTAAAATTTTAAAAACTAATAATACCAAGCACTAGCCAGGATGCAGAGCAAGGAAAACTCTTGCTCACTGCTGATAGGAATGCAGTATTATAAAGCCAATTTGCTAGGAAATTTCTTAAATATATACATACCATATGATCCAGCAATCCCTCTCCCAGATATTTACTCTAGAGAAGTAAAAATTTATGTTCACACAAAAGCCTGTGCTATGACTGTTTATAGGAGCTCTATGTATGTCTTAAGTTACATGGCAATTACATTTTCCTTGGAAAAGGTGCATGTGCTTGTACACGTGTATACACACACACACACACACACACAAGCAGGAAACAAAAATCAACCAAATTCAGGCAATCTGATCAAGGTCCTTTCTTCTGTAGGTAAGCATCCCTACCCTGTACCACTGCACCTCAGACCTCAAGATCCCTTGCTTAGGGATTGACTAGTGATTTGGGTTAGAGGTATGGAGAGGTATAGGGATAGAACAAAGACAAAAACAAAGAGCGGTAGAAGAATCTAGAAAACCCACTGAAACATCAATCAGTTGATCAAAGGAGCCTTTGAACCATGGTCTGGAAGAGACACTGGGAACAGCCATAATAAAGAAATACCTTGGCCCTACTGCACTCCCTCCACTCACCCACTCTTTGGAATTTTGCATAGATACCACTTCAACTGAAGCAAAAAGAAAAACCGTTCAGGCATTTGCCTATAAGCTGTTAAAGTCTTTGCTCTGGTCTGGTTTAAACAGAAAGAGACAGAGCAAGATTTCAACATAAACAGGAGTCTCAATGCATTTCTCAGAAAGGCCTTGCACCCTTGTACTAATTTAAGTCACTGGGACGTGCAGGAAACCAGTTTGAGACAATGAGAGCAAGTTCAACTTCTTTTAAAGGAGAAAAAAATAGAGGTTATTATTTGATGGTTGCAAATTTTCTGTATCCCTTTCCATCCATCACTAGATTCTCCCCACTGTTCTGTTTCTAGTGATATGCAGAATAAAAGAAAATACTGGCCAAGGTTAGGAAGAGACAGACCAGGGGGATCACAGGTCGGACAACAGATGAGCCAAAGCAAAACCTTGACCACATCTATCCTTAGTACAGAGTCAAAGTACTCATTGTTTTGGGGAAAAAATTACTCCTGTACATCCTGTGGTGGCCTCCCCTAGCTAGACTCTTGTCCAACCAATCTATTCTGCCCACTTACGCACAATGAAATGCACTAATGGGGGGAAGGGAAAGTTATTCCAAAACAATACCCCGAAAAGACTGTCCTTTCCCCCTATGAAATAACTTAGCATTTCTGTTGAAAAGCAAATGACCATACATGTGTGGGTCTACTTCGACACTCTACACTCCTTATCCTATTACCATGCCTCTTCCTTTCTCAGGTACCCATAAGGATTATTCAATGTCTCTCAGATGAAGTATAAATTTCCCATTCTGACATTTGAATTACTTCAATCTAACAACAGAGTTTGTCTCCCTCAAAAAAATATTTCGGTATATAGCTCTAAAAGATAAAAAATCTTTTTTGTTTTATTGTTTGTATGTATGTATGTATGTATGTATGTATGTATGTATGTATGCATGCATGCATGCATGCATTTAGAGACAGTCTCGCTCTGTTGCCCAGGCTGAAGTGCAATGGTGCAATCTCTGTTCACTGCAGCCTCTGCCTCCCAGGTTCAAGCGATTCTCCTGCCTCAGCCTCCCGAGTAGCTGGGACTACAGGTGCACGTCACCACAGTGGGCTAATTTTTTGATTTTTAGTAGAGAAAAGGTTTCGCCATGTTACCCACAATGATCTGGAACTACTGGCCTCAAGCGATTCACCTGCCTCAGACTCCCAAAGTGCCAGGATTACAGGCATGAGCCACCAGGCTCTTTTTTAAACAAAGACTCTTTTTTAAACAAAACCACAATACCATTCTTGTACCTTAAATAATATAATAATTCCTTAATATCACTAACTATCCAGTCAGTGTTCAACTTCTTGATAAGCTCATAAATGTTTGTTTATATTTGGTTCATCCAAATTGGGATCTAAATAAGGCCCACACGCTGTAATTGGTTGGTATTTCTCTAAATTTCTTTTCAGTTCTCCCAATCTCTCTCTCTTTTCCTTGCAATGTATCTTTTGAAGAAACCACGTTGTTTATCTTACAGAGCCTAAGATTGCCTGGATTTTGCTCACTGTACTCCTGTGGTATCATTTAATTTGTTCCTCTGTACTTCCTGTAAATTGGTAAGCAGATATTCCTGATTGCCTATCAGATATTTCTATCCTCTGTATTCCGGTAGTGTCATTTAATTTGTTTCTCTGTCCTCTTTACTTCCTGTAAGCTGGTAATCAGATCTCGGGGCTTGATCAGATTCAGGTTGGTGTAACTTGGGCAACCTGGGCAAGAGTATTTCAACAGGGTTGTTATGTACTCCCATTAGGAAACACAAAATGATCATTGCCTAGATCCATTAATGATTTACGAGTTGCAAAAAATAATACTCTCATTCTACCATTACTTAATTTATTAGCTACATTCTATAAAGACAAACTCCCCTTCTCAACGATTTATGCTGAGATGCTGTATACAGGAAGACAAAATAAATGCCTGAGTCTCTTTATTTACCAGTTTTCAAAATAATGAGTTAATTCCCTGGTATCCTTAAAAGGTGGCCAATGATACAAGTTTATTTTTATTATTATGAACTCATGGACTTGATGCGTTTCAAACCATTGCAGTTATCTTATTAATGCTCAAATTGTCCCAGTAGAAACTTCAATTTGGTTCCTGAGTCCCTTGGTTGTGGCTCTAATAATCTTCAGTAGCTTCTTTGCTTCCTGGTGTAAGAAACTTCAGGCACAGCCAGGCGCGGTGGCTCACACCTGTAATCCCAGCACTTTGGGAGGCTAAGGCGGGTGCATCACCTGAGGTCAGGAGTTCAAGACCAGCCTGACCAACACAGTGAAACTCTGTCTCTACTAAAAATACAAAATTAGCTGAGTGTGGTGGCACACACCTGTAATCCCAGCTACTTGGGAGGCTGAGGCAGGAGAATCACTTGAACCTAGGAGGCAAAGGTTGCCGTGAGCTGAGATCATGCCATTGCACTCCAGTGTGGAAAACGAGCAAAACTCCATCTCAAAAAAAAAAAAAAAAAAAAAGGACGGGTGTGGTGGCTCATGCTTGTAATCCTAGCAGTTTGGGAGGCAGAGGCGGGTGGATCACTTTAGGTCAGGAGTTCAAGACCAGCCTGGCCAACATGGTGAAACCCCATCTCTACTCAAAACACAAAAATTAGCAGGGCATGGTGGCACGCACCTATAATCCCAGCTGCTCAGGAGGCTGAGGCAGCAGAATCGCTTGAACCCAGGAGGCGGAGTCTGCAGTGAGCAGAGATCATGTGCCACTGCACTCCCGCCTGGGCAACAGAGCGAGACTCTGTCACCAAAAAAAAAAAAAAAAATCAAATTTACAAAGCAAAGTATACTGAGGAGAAGTCTAACTCTTACTATCTGTACCCCCGACCTTTTCCCCCGCTTTCTTCTACTATAGGTAACCACTTAAAATTTTTTTATCATTTAAATTTCCATTGTTTTTATAAAAGTCCAATGGAATTGACATTTAACATATTGAATAAACTCCACCTTGCTCTTTTTACTTAACAAGACATCCTGAAGATTACCACAGTCTTAGAGATAGTGAACATTCATTTTTATAGCTATAGTGCTGCATTGTGTGGATATCCCAGTTTCTTTAAACTGGCACAAACTGATGGGCATCTGGGTTGTTTCTAGTCTTTTGCTATGCCAAAAAACAACTGTGTGTATATGTGCATATTTTCACATTTTTGCCAATGTATCCTTAGAATAAATTCATAAGATTTGGAGTCAAAGTCTATCTTGTTTTGCTAGATACTGTAAACTCCTTCCCATGGAGGTGAAGCCCCCTGCATTGACGCTTCCCCTGCAACTCCAAGAGAGTACGTTGTCAAACTCTTGGATGTCTGCCAACCTCATAGGTAAGAAATGATATCTCAGTGAAGTTTTAATTTGTATTTCTCCTATGATAAGAAAAGTTGAACATCTTTTCATAAATTTAAGAGACAGTTGCATCTCTTTTCCTGTGAACTGTTTGTTCTTATCTCTAGCTCATTTTTCTATATGACTGTTGTTTTTTCTATTCTGTTTTCAGAAGCTCATATTTGTCTGTGTTATAAATTAGGAATATTTTTTCCCAATGAGTCATTTGTTTTGCTTTTTTACATGCAAAAATATTTTGTATTCATGTGTCTAATATATCAATCTTTCCTTCTATTGGTTCTGGGTTTTAAAACCAGAAGTTTTCTCCACTTTCAGATTAAAAATAAATTCACCCATTGGCTCAACACAACATTTTTAATGATCATCACCTTTTCCCCTTCAGTCCCTTGGAGAATATACAAAAGCAGCCTCCTGTCCAGTCAGTTCACTTAATGGAAGCAGTCCACCTCTCATTTTAAAAATTAAACACCTTTGTTTGTGTCCTCTCTGATTTCCTTGAGCAGTGGTTTGTAGTTCTCCTTGAGGAAATCCTTCACTTCCCTTGTTAGCTGTATTTCCAGGTATTTTTTCTCTTTGTAGCACTTGGGAATAAGAGTTCATTCAAGAAGAACTACAAAACCCTGCTCAAGGAAATCAGAGAAGACACAAACAAATGGAAAAACATTCCATGATCATGGATAGGAAGAATCAATATTGTGAAGATGGCCATACTGACCAAAGTAATTTATAGATTCAATGCTGTTTTCATTCAACTACCACTGACATTCTTCACAGAATTAGAAATAACTATTTTAAAATTCATATGAAACCAAAAAAGAGCCTATATAGCCAAGACAATCCTAAGCAAAAGGAAGAAAGCTGGGAGCATCCCACTACCCAACTTCAAACTACACTACAAGGCTACAGTAACCAAAACAGCATGGTACTTGTACAAAAACAGACACACAGACCAATAGAACAGAACAGATAACTCGGAAATAAGACCACACACCTACAACCATTTGACCTTTGGCAAACCTGACAAAAACAAGCAATGGGGAAAGGATTCCCTATTTAATAAATGGTGCTGGGAGAACTGGCTACCCATATGCAGAAAATTGAAACTGGAACCCCTTCCTTAACATCTTATAAAAAAATTAACATAAGATGGGTTAAAGACTTAAATGTAAAACCCAAAACTATAAAAATCCTAGAAGAAAATCAAGGCAATACCATTCAGGGCACAGGCACAGGCAAAGATTTCATGACAAAAATGCCAAAAGCAATTGCAACAAAAGCAAAAACTGATATACGGGATCTAATTAAACTAAGGAGCTTCTGTACAGAAAAATAAACTATCAACAGAGTAAACACACAACGTAAAGAATGGGAAAAAAATTTTGCAATCTATCCATCTGACAAAGGTCTAATATCCAGAATCTACAAGGAACTTAAACAAATTTACAAGAAAAAAATAAACAACCCCATTAAAAAGTGGGTGAAGGACATGAACAGACACTTCTCAAGAGAGGACATCTGTGCAGCCAACAAACATGAAAAAAAGCTCAACATCACTGGTCATTAGAGAAATGCAAATCAAAACCACAACAAGATACCATCTCATACCAGTCAAAATGGCAATTATTGAAAAGTCAAGAAACAACAGATGCTGGCAAGGTTGCAAAGAAAAAAAGAATGCTTTTACACTTGGTGAGAGTGTAAATTATTTCAACCATCGTGGAAGACAGTGTGGCCATTCCTCAAAGATCCAGAAGCAGAAATACCATTCGACCCAAATAGGATGTAAGCAATACCATTACAGGGTATATACCCAAAGGAATATAAATCATTTTATTATAAAGATACATGCATGTGTATGTTCATTGCAGCACTATTCACAATAGCAAAGACATGAAATCAACCCAGATGTCCATGAAAGATAAGCTGGATAAAGAAAATGTGGTACATATACACCATGGAATACTATGCAGGCATAAAATAAACAAGATCATGTCCTTTGCAGGGACATGGATGGAGCTGGAAGCCATTATCATCAGCAAACCAACACAGGAACAGAAAACCAAACACCACATGTTCTCACTTATAAGTGAAAGTTGAATGATGAGAAGATATGGACACATGGTGGGGAAACCACACACACTGGAGTCTGTCACGGGGAGCAGGGAGAGGGAGAGCATCAGGGAGAATAGTTAATGCATGCTGGGCTTAATACCTAGGTGATGGGTTGATCTGTGCAGTAAACCACCATGGCACACGTTTACCTATGTAACAAACCTGCACATCCTGCACATGTACCCTAGAACTTAAAAGTTGAATAAATACATAAATAAATAAATAATAAAAATTAAACACCTGATGTAGTTCATGCAGTCACTCTCCTAATTTTGTTCTTTCACACACATGAACCCTTAGATCATGCAGGCAAAGCACAGAGATAGGTGTGAATATGTCATTGTGTTTCTCCTTCACAGAACTCCCTTGGGCCACCTGTAGTCATGACGTCAGATGGTAACTAAACCACCAATTGCTCCAAATGCCAAGAGAGCTAGAGTCAAGGCATTTGTTCCCTCCCTATTCAGGGAGTGAATGGCAAAGGAAATATAGGTGTAATGGGGTATTGGATTCTCCCCAGGGTTAACATATCTGACATGTGGCCAGGGTGAACATATCTGACATGTGGCCAGGGTGAGTGGAGGGGACTCACAAGGGTGTTTTGTGGGAGCTTTTATGAAACAGAGAATTTCGGTAGAAAAAGCAGCTGCAGCCAGCTGCTGAGGGAAACTGCCCCGTACCCTGGCATCATGGGCGTGGCCTGTTTGTTTTGTGAAGTACATCCAACTTAAGAAAGGGAGAAAAGTTTCTTACTTCTCTTTCCAGAGATATATCATGTTTCCCATCAAAACATTTCTTTGTCAAGATGCTTTTGGAAGAATGACTTCCACAACTGCAGTTGGGTATGTGGTTAGACAATGGCTTCACTTCTTTGGATCTCAAACTTTTAAGGCCACAGAAAAGGCCTGAAATTTTTCCACATTGAAAATAAATAGGTATTTGATAATCATCTAAGAGGAAATAATAAACAGGCCTAGCTAGCTTTTTTATATGTATTTATTATATGTAATTATGTGTGTGTGTGCGTGTGCGTGTGTGTGTGTGTGTGTAAACTGGTTTATATCTTGAAACTTAGTGGCCAGGCACAGTGGCTCATGCCTGTAATTCCAGCACTTTGGGAGGCCAAGGCGGGCAGATCACTTGAGGTCAGGAGTTCGAGACTAGCCTGGCCAACATGGTGAAACCCCGCCTCTAATAAAAATACAAAAATTAGCCAGGTGTGGTGCCCCGCGCCTGTAATCCCAGCTACTTGGGAGGCTGAGGCAGGAGAATCACCTGAACCCGGGAGGCAGAGGTTGCAGTGAGTCGAGATTGGGCCACTGCACTCCAGCCTGGACAACAGAGCAAGCCTCCATCTCAAAAAAAAAAACAGTAAGAAGAAATACAAATAAGATGTGAGAAATTATGTAAGAAATACATATAATAAGAAATATATATAAATAATGTGTTTATTATATAACTAAAGTATGTGATTTATATATATATATTGTGTGTGTGTATATATATATATTGTGTGTGTATATGTGTATAATTGGTCTGTTTGCTTTTTTAACAGGCAATCCAGGTAATTCTATGCAGTTTTCCTCATATTACACTTTTTGAAAAACTCTGCTCAAGAGCTGAATTCCTCCAAAAGTCTACCTTCTCAAATTTCTTGAAATGCTGTCTTTGCCCCCAGGTCCTGAGACACTATGACACTGATGACTGTTTTGGTGACTATTCTATCCCTGGCGTCCAGCACAATGTCTGGCATTTAATATGTACATAATATACATTTGATGAATTAAATAATAAAAATCTGGGATAAGTAGATATCCACAGGCAAAACACCCCTCCTCACACCTTACACAAAAATCAACTTAAAATGGATCAAAGACCTAAATATAAGAGCTAAAATCATAATAAATAAATCACTCTTAGCAGAAAACACAGGGAGAAATCTTTGTGACTTTGGAATAGGCAATGAATTCTTAAATATGACACCAAAAGCACAAGAAACTAAAGAACAAAGTAGATAAATTGGGCTTCATCAAATATAAAGACTTCTGTGCGTCAGAGGACACTATCAAGAAAATGAAGCCAGCCCACAGGGTGGGAGAAATAAACATCTATCGCAGCATTCTCCTCCACGCCTCCTATAAAAATATTCCCCGTGCTGACCACAACCACTGCTCCTCCTCCCTGCTTCCCTCGCCTTCTGCCTCTGGTCCTTTCTTTGCCATTACTTCTCCTCTTCTTTTTTTCTCTGTTCTCATCTGGTTCTCTCCCTTGTTCTTATTCTGTGTCCGGGAAATGCAAGTTATATTTCTGATTTTTATAAATGGGAATCTTTTTAAATAATATCACTAGAGAATCTGAGAGTTAAACAGCCTGGGCACCAGAGTCTACACTACAGCCTGCCTACTTCTGTACCCCTCTCTCTGGCTTATGAACAGGCACACACAAAGTAGGCCTTTGATCTTGAAAGCCTAGGGATCCCACTGGGACGAGGATAACTATTTATCTCTATTTGCTTTTTTCTGCTGGGGCCTGGTTTCTGGCTTGCTCAATGTCCTATTTGGACAAAGACCAGTCAGGTCAGGAAAAGATCACTCCACAGTTCCAGCCCTGAAAACATGCGGTAGGAGCCTCTAAACAGTTCCCATATAAATTTTAAAAGGGTCATCTTAGTACACTATCAGTGTAAGGAAATGTGTAGGAAGAAAAGACAGTCTATGTCCTCATGATAAGTTAGAGAAGAAACCAAATATGGAACATTCTCTTATGAATTTCTTCCCATACACTCACCCAAGACAACAAACATTTTAGAATGTTCTAAGAAACTATCTGGTGGCTTCAGTGGACGAAAATGTAAAGGGTTTGAGGCTCAAAGACCAAGATTTTCAAATCCTATGACCCAAGCCTCACTTTCCTCATCTGTAAAGTCAAGATAAAAACTTACTTTACAGAGTTGTTAAAAAGATTTACTGATTTAATATGTGTAAATCACAGGGCATGGTTCCTAGAATGTGGTTAAGCACTTCAATTTTGGTAGAAATACCACCATCTCTCTACTAATGACTCTGGGGTTCCAGAGCTCCAGCTCACCGTGTTCTTTGCTCCTAAACGAGAAGCCACAGAAAAGAAGAGAAGCTGTTCTCTGGCTCTAAAATGGAGACCAGCTTCTGAAAAGGGGGCATGTATCCATCTCTTCCACAAACCAAATTTTATCATGCATTGGTAGACAAGATCTACCAAAAGCCAGTTGCAAGTTCCACTGGGGCATGTTATGTAGAGGGAAGGGACAATGGCAGATTCCCTAAGCTGCTGCTTTCTGCAAAGATGAACAATGACTTGTGCAAACAGCTCAGGCAGGCAGGCAGAAATCTATAGCCCCAACTGTTGCCATGACCACTCATCACCACTGTCACCTCCCCCACTTCCACTGTACTGCCACCACTACCCTTGTGGCCATCACCACCTCCACTAATATCATCAGCTCCATCACCATGACCAATACCTCTTCTCCTTCCCCACATTACAACCACCACCACCACCACCATCATTATTATCACATGACATCAATCAAGACCCTAGCTGCTAGAAAAAGAATTGCTAAAGGTAAATCTGTCTAGCATGAAGTTTTAAAGAAAGTTTTATTGGAGAACTTTTGAATCACCTGTGCAATGTGTCACACCCATCTGTCAGCATGTACAAAAACAGACCCACCTAAAGCTACTTACTGCAACAAATGCCACCGAGCTGAAGAGAGATTCCTAGAGAGGCAAACTCCCTCCTCCCCTTCCCCACCATGTGGATCAGGAAAAGGGAACGAAGAGGCTCTGTGGTCCCCCCAGTGGGTCTCTATTATAGCTCTGTACCTGTGCTGCTCACTGTGTCCCAACATGTAGGGCCAGAGGGACAGGGCTGCGGGGAAGAGGAGAGTGGCCATGGCCTCACGATGGTTGGTCATGTTTCTTCCATCTGCCAAGAGGCTGCTGTGCACTCCTTGGCCAGGAGTTCTGTCACAATGAACTTGAAGCCCGCGGACGAAACAGCTTTGCCAGCAGTCCTATGGGAGGCTCATGTCTTCGGAGAACAAGGAGGGCATGTTCTGGTGCCCTGCCCGCTGCCACAAGGAAAACTGAAACAATACCCTTTTAAAATAGCTTTGACACAGATTTCACCGTATTTTCCTTTGAAGACATAAAAAAAAAAATCTAATAACTTTGTCCACATTAAAAAAATATGGGTCACAGGTTTTTGCTAAAAAAAGAAAAAGCTATTTTTATTTCCTTGAATCCTTGTAACAACAGTTATAAACAGCTAAACAGAATTTTTTAATTATCCTTTTAAAAATACTTTTTAAAACGTAAAGGTTATTCCTAGGCTGACACTGAATATGCCAGGTCTGTAGCTAGAAGCAAATTTTTATAGCTAGTTATAAACCCCTGAAATATGAGTTTACATTGGAAAAGCTGAAACAACCTTAACTTTAACCATGCCGATGGGCGCCCTGTAATTATAGTCCCTGAATGGAATAAAACAGTCTCTCTTCCACGGTAGCATCACAAAGAACCCTATTAACTCTCCAATTACCAAATGAGGAAACAACATTCTCTAGAACCCAAGCCAAGGAAAAAAGAACACTGCATGTTCCAACTGAAAACCTTAAAACTGAGCTTCAAAGTGACAGCGCCTAGGGAGGGCGCTCCCCTGGAAGGGAATGTTTACTTCACTTATTTAAAACGACTGAGCGTCTTCACCAAGGCTCACACAACACTACTTGTTTAACAAATAAAGATGTATGTTTCCTGGAGTGTTTCTAATTGGGATTTGAGGTCCCACCTCCTAAGAAATTCCGGGACTGGCTATCTCCCTGGAGATGCCTTCGACAACGTGGGTCTCCCCTCTCAAGGGGAGAGAAGGGCCCAGCCTTCGTAAGTAAAGAGGCACAGGCAAAACAGCAGGATGCGGGGCTGGTCTTCCACCAAGGCATCCATCACACTTTCAACAGGAAACAAAAACGGGGAAGCACAAAACCATATCCAGTAGGATTTGTAAATTGAGCTATTCAGTAGGCAAGCAAACTTTAAAAATAGTAACTTGGGGGAGGCCAATTTCCCTCCTCTCCTCCATTCTCTCCCTCCTCCCTCCCCAATCTGCTGTGCTCCCCTGGCCATCTCTTCTGCAGCAGCAGTTAAACAGCCCTGTTTTCAAAGCCATGCTAACATCTTGGGAAACGCCAGGGCAAAAATCAAAGATTCTTTGGTAGGGCGTGTAATATAAAACTTGAAGTTGTTTCTGTTAAATTGAAACAGCCATGTTAATTTTGGTGCCATTAAAAACACAGGAAAATGCTGTTGTCAAATGGAAAAAAAAAAAAAAACACTCACCAAATGGGAAGCAGTTGTATTTTAGAGACTTGAGAGTGGTATTACAAAAAGTAAAGAGCAAAACTGAATGAGAAAAAAGAAGTGTAAAAGAATGGTTATTTTCTCGAATTTATTATGTTCTTTTTCTCCACCAAGTTAAAAGAATGCATCCATCATTTCAAGGAGCCCTGAAATTCAGGTCTCAGGAGTTTCATTCTCTTGCTCTGCAAATAATGAAACATTTTCCTGCTTGAGCCATGAGCTCCTGGTTCCACCCTTCTGCAAATGCTCTCAATAACACACTCCCATGATATACAGATTAACTGAGCTATGCAGCAACCAGGAAAAATGTTCTGTACTCAAGATCCTGTTTCGAGCTGAATTTGACAAATGATCAGAAGAACAGAAATTTTCTCTTTTCTGGTTCCACCTGAAAGTTAGAGAATATTCCCAGTAGTGTTTCTAAACACCTCTGCATTCATAAACACAAGAATACATCAAGCTATACCTACAACGATGGTAATCATCTCAAAGGGTCCTCAGGAGTCATCCTCAGTCGATTTGACATCTTAGAGTATCCAAAGAGGCAGGGGCCATGATGTTACAGAAGAAGCAAGAACTAGAGAGAAGCAAAACTAAAGACTAAAGGCTCTTGAAATCCTCTTTTTGGGGGCTTAAGGAGATTTTGGAACACTGACTGTTGTTGTTCCTAAAAAACGTGTTGTGAGAGATTTTTGACTTTCATTTTAATTTGGAGGATAACTGTCACGGTGATTCCTGTTGTACCCTCCTCTGGTTAAATTGGTGTACATTGGGGAAATCACACTAGAGGTCTTCAGCAAAAAGCAAAATAACTTTAATCACCACTGCGATTCCTATTTCTATATCCCTTCTTTCTCTCATTTAATAAATAGTAGCAAAGGGTCACTTCCATGCCAGGGACTGCATAGTAAGCTGGGTGTGATACAATTCAACGTCACGTGACTATCTTTCATAGATGGTGTTTTCACTCCAAAGGCATGGCTTCCACAAAGTGATAGCTTGGCAATGCCTAGGGTTCTCAGTGATAGCAATGAGCACCCGATAACTGTGGACTTGAAACAAAATCTAAGTGAGATTTCCCTACTTCTGAGGCTATTGTAAAACTCTGACGAATTCTCCAAATTTGAAAAGATAGCTACTACCTAAAAATTCACGCTCCCAGACAGCTTGCTCAATCTACACCTCCTTCCACTCAGCCTGGTGTGGGAACCCGGGGAAGAGCCAAGGTAAGTGTGAAGGATGACATCACAAAGGGCAGTGGACACCTAAAAGCCCCCAGGAGGCTTGCCAGTTAAGAGACTTCATTAGATGCTCCAGAGAATCAAGCTACAGGAGGTGAACATGCTCTAGAAGGACCAAATTAGAATTCAGTGAGATTCAAAGAATCTGGAAAAGTGGTTCAACAAAATGAATTTCCAGAAGGACATGCAGACTAGTCTGAAGGAAGGCATGACTAACCATGTGTTAATAAAGGAGTAAAAGGTAGAGAGGTATACTGACCTTTAAATAGAAAGCGAGTCAACTGCCCAGTACAGCTGTTAGCATTTCATATAAGCCAGGCACGGTGGCTCACGCCTGTAATCCCAGCACTTTGGGAGGCTGAGGTGGGCAGATCACCTGAGGTCAGGAGTTGAAGACCAGACTGACCAACACGGAGAAACCCCGTCCCTACTAAAAATACAAAATTAGCTGGGTGTGGTGGCACATGCCTGTAATCCCAGCTACTCAGGAGGCTAAGGCAGGAGAATCACTTGAACCCAAGAGGCGGAAGTTGCGATGAGCCGAGATTGCGCCATTGCACTCCAGCCTGGGCAACAAGAGCGAAACTCCATCTCACAAAAGAAAAAAAAAAAAAGATTAGGGGACAGGTGAGTGAAATTGTGGCACCAGGGATAATGGTTCAGACTGCAGGCTCCACAGGCAGGGAACTGGGTAGAATTTCGGCACTATCACTTAGGAGACGGGCGAGATACAGAATTACTCTTTTCTCAGTTTCCTCATCTACAAAATGCCCAAATGGAATCTATTCCATAGAGGATGCAAGTCTTAAATGGGATGATACATGACATGTACTCAGCGCAACACGAGGCACAGAGTTCAGAGCTCGATAAACAGTTCCTATCATCAGCTATGGAGACATCTTTCCAGCTTGTTGTGTCTGGTTTCAGACTTCTTAATTTCCGAGCAATGAAGAGAATCAGAAAATGCTCCAGCAGAAAGCAACTGAGATGACTAAAGAATAGGAAAATAGAAGTTATAAAAACGGAACTCAAAGCTGTTGGGATTATCTAGCCCAGAAAAGAAAAATCTGGAAGGTAGCAAAGCAAATAAACAACAGTGCATTATTCAGCATGAGGTAATCAGATACTCTGCTGTTGGAATTAGGCTGTGCAGGGAGGTGTTTTGTTAAAGCAAAAACAGCAAAGCTTAGCCATAAAAAACAAAACAAACAAAAAACTTCCTTAAACTTTTCTTTTTAGGAAAAGTCATTTCCCTTGGTCTTAGAGACTAGACAAGCACAAGTCTATTTCACAGCTGATCAGGCATTCATTTGAAAGCACAACAAAATGACCCTCCTGCTGCTGTTTCAGCTTCTAACAAGATCAACACATCCTTAAAGGGGTCAAAGGGCCCTGCAAAGGGGCTAGAGTGTGTGACACAAATGACCAGCAGCTCGTCTGCCATGTTCTCTGGGCCTCTCAGCCCTTCTATGATGGTTCTCTTTGTCTGTTCCCTCTATGTAATGAGTGCCCTGCCAAACCAGCCTGGGGATCACTGTATTTCTGTGTGTCTATAGCACACAGCCACGAGCGGGGTCAGTAGGCTGAATGCCTGCGTGTGTGTGTGTGTGTGTGTGTGTGTGTGTGTGTGTGTGTGTTTACACACACAGGGTGCACAGATCTATGGCTTATGTTAATTTTGTATCCACTAAAATGGTTGCCTTTTAGAAATACAAAAAAAAACTTGCCATGCTGGTAAAGAACATTTTCTGAATTTGTTCTTATTGTCATGCCTTACTAAGGCTGAGATAAATCACATCTATTGCTTGCCTCCCATTGATGTTACCACCAAAAAGAAAAAATAGATTAGTTAGGCCAACATGAAACCATAACAGGGTAGCAGCATAGGCTCTGCCTACTATTTAAAATTGAGTTTTGGGTGGTATGCTCTAGAATTACATGTCAGGGGCATACGGATGTTCAACTGAGTCTTTAAAAAAGGTTTCAGCAACTCAGCTCCAGCTCAACTCACTCTTCCTTGAGGAGCCTGGAAATTCAAACACATCTGGTTGTTTCTGGAAGCCACCACTTTCCACTTCCCTTTCTGTCATGTCACTCCACTTTCTCTGTATTCAAATCATGCTTGGCCTCTGCCAAAGTCTGAAGATTAAAACCACTGAAAGTCTCTGTCTTCTCAACATCCTTCCATTTTAACAAAAAATACAGCATTAGCCTTCCCCTTCATTTTTTCTCATTGTGGTAAAATATGATTTCCCTTTAGTTTGTAAGACTGGTGGTTGGTCTTTTGGGCCAGGATCTGGGCAACCTCTTGCCTGCTCACCACTGAAACTGTGGGGTGAACGCTCTATCCTGAAAGCCCTGCTGCAGGTCCCCACACCAGCTAATGTCATTCACTCAACGCCAAGGCACCACCTAAATAAATAAACCCAAAAGCCCAAAAAAGCATAAATAATACTTACTTCTCTTAACCAGAAAAATAAATTGCATTTCTCCATGCTATTTAAAAACACTTGGTATGTGGATTTACTTTTTCAACAGAGTTTCTCTTTAAACTTCCAAAGTTAGTGAAAATAGGATGAACATAACTTTATAGAATTGTTAAAATTAGTGAAACCTGAAGAACTACATCGTTATAAAATTGCTGAAAAGGAGTCATTACGGCTTCCACTTGGTTTATTAAACAAGGTCTTAGACCTAAATAAGCAAGATCTTCACCAAGACACATTAGGTTGGGGGCGAGAGACTTCTTTTTCTTATCTCCATCCCTGCTATGGCATGTAGGTTTCTCTAAATATCAGTGAGCTACGCAAAAGTGCTGATATTCTACTGCTTTTAAGATTTCCCCAAACAGAAATTGCATGTGGTTCCACCTACAGTTACCAAGCACTAGTGAAGGATAAATAAGATGCAGGCACATCCCTACCTCCCACAATATGGCAGGTATGTTAATGAAATCTTTGTGATTCACTGACTATTTAAATATACCAGGTGCTCAACACAGCATTGTTTACAACAGTAAAATTTTGGAAAAAGTCAAAGATCCATATTTTGGAAAAGTATAACTGAGAGCATCCATAGACTAGAATACTATGCAGCTAAATAAAAAAGAATGAGAAACTCTTTAAGGCCTAATATTATATCTAGGGGATAATGATAATTGACAAAAGCACAGTGTAAAATAGGGTGTGTGTTCTATCTCCTTTTAAGAAAAGGGAGAGAGAGTAATAATATGTATCGTCTAATTGGCCTGCATCTGCATGAAGGAACACAGGGGGTTAATACAAAAAGCTCATAAAGTACTATACCTAAGGAATGGAAAATCGGAACAGAGGTGGGGAACAAAAACATAAAAGAATTGCACTGGCCAGGCGCGGTGGCTCACACCTGTAATCCCAGCACTTTGGGAGGCCAAGGCAGGCAGATCACCTGAGGTCAGGAGTTTGAGACAAACTTGGCCAACATGGCAAAACCCCATCTCTACTAGAAATACAAAAATCAGCTGGGCGTGGTGGTGGGCACCTGTAATCCCAGCTATTCAGGAGGGTGAGGCAGGAGAATGACTTAAACCCGGGAGACAGAGGTTGCAGTGAGCCGAGATTGCGCCACTGTGCTCCAGCCTGGGTGACAAAGCGAGACTCCATCTCAAAAAAAAAAAAAAAAAGAATTGCACTAAAGAAACTTATTATTCAAAGCTCTTTTAAGGTTGGTCCTTTTGCAAAATTAAAATCCCTTTTGGGCTGAGCACAGTGGCTCATTCCTGTAATCCCAGCACTTCAGAAGGCCAAGGCGGGAGGATTGCTTGAGCCTCAGAGTTTAAGACTAGCCTAGGCAACGTAGTCAGACCCCGTCTCTATGAAAAAAAAAAAAAATTTAGCCAGGCATGGTGGCACATGCCTGTAGTCCCAGCTACGCAGGAGGCTGAGGAGGACTGATTGAGCCTGGGAGGTGAAAGCTGCAATGAGCCCAGATCGTGCCATTGCACTCCAGCCTGGGTGACAGAGTGAGATCCTATCCCTAAAACTAAACAATAAAATCCCGTTTGCAAAGTGTCTTGAGACATTCCATTCTGGCCTACAAGATTATCTCAACCAAGACACACAGTTACTATTTACAAAATGCTGTGTATGCCCCGGGGAGGGCTGGCCTGTGAACACAGGCGGAGAGGGCTAGGCATTCAGAGGAAGAGTGGCGGGCAGGAGTTGCCCTGGCTCCCCGCAGCTGCTGGCCACACACTTGGTCTTCTTAGCCTTCTGACTCTGGGCCTCTCTGGCTCTATTTGGAAGATGCGGGTGGGGTGACAGAGGGTTCTTTCAGAAGTTTCCATCACGCAGTCCTTTCAGACACAAGTCAGATAATGGCTCAGATAATACTGAGAACAGATCAGAGACAGCTGTTTCAGGAGCTGACAGGCTCAATCTCTGATCCAAAAGTGATGGGAAAAGAGGTCAAGGACAGAGAGCTTTGTCTAACTGGTGGGAACAGAACTCCAGGAGGGCTGGAAGCCAGGCAAATAGGGCTTGGATAGTCTAGTTTAATCCAGGTGGGATCCCAAATCCCTGAAGATCAGGTACAAGATTTCTTTTTATTTTTTTTGTTTGTTTGCTTTTGTTTTTTGAGACGGAGTCTCACTCTGTCGCCCAGGCTGGAGTGCAGTGGCATGATCTCGGCTCACTGGAAGCCCGGCCTCCTGGGTTCATGCCATTCTCCTGCCTCAGCGTCCCGAGTGGCTGGGGCTACAGGTGCCCGCCACCATGCCCGGCTAATTTTTTGTATTTTTAGTACAGACAGGGTTTCACTGTGTTAGCCAGGATGGTCTCGATCTCCTGACCTCGTGATCCGCCCACCTCAGCCTCCCAAAGTGCTGGGATTACAGGCGTGAGCCACCGCGCCCGGCCTTTATTTGTTATTAAATGTGGAAAAGGAACTAAAAAATACATTTTGAGCTGAATCAAATAATGTCTGGTTTCTTTACCTTTACTGCCTTCTTTACCCTTCTTTTTGGGGGGAAGAAAAGTGAGTATGTATATTAAAAGTTCAAGCTACAGCCTTGAAGGAAAACCTAACAAAAATGTAGGTGCTGCTCTAAATGCTCCTTCTGAAACGGAGAAATTCCAATGTGTACAATGTAAGGAATGTGGACCAACAACTCTGTAACAAACCTTTCATATTGTCATACTACCATGCTAAGTCACCATACCTATTTTTATTTTCTCCCTGGAGCTATTATTTTAGAGAATTATTTTAGACATTGGGTTGATAGGAACTGTAGAATCTGTGATTCACACTAATAAGCCACAAAACTTATGTGTTTATTGACCCATAAAACTACCAAATTTTCCTAAGCCTACTGAAGCAAGGAACCAGTATCTGCTGAGGACCTAAGATGTAACGGCATCTACACATAATCTTATCCACAAGAGTTCTGGAGATGAGTGGTCTATGGCACCTTACCAGGGAGTAACAGGACACAGCAGTCAACGGCAGAGCTGGGGATAGAGCACTGACTGCAAAGCAGAGCTCTCTCTCCATCATCTTGGGCGACAAGCAGAGGTGGCAGGTCTGAGGCACCATGGTAGGGTGGTAGGGTAACATCCTATAGCTTGTACTGTGCAGTGGCTGGATGGCTTCCAAGGAGCATGATGACTTTTGCCCAGGAAGAGGCTTCCATTCTCCCAAGGGACCAGCTGTGCCAAAACACTGACCCTGGCTGGGAACTGTTTTCTCTTTCCCATTTTCTTTAAACTCAGCTCCTGAGATTTTCTCTTCTCATGCTTCTTCCTCATACTTCACATGAAAGCTTAGGGAACTCTTTGGACCCAGCAAGATAGGCATCTTAGATACTGCCCTCCGGAATGCCAAATCTAGGCCTAAAGTTCTTAAGGGGCCCCTTCAAGGTCCTTGGTTTATTGGCCATGCTAAATCACTTCTGTTCCCAACTTTTACTTGAGGATAAATATTCGGATGGATATTGGCATGCTTGCTGCTTTCAAATTATGCCATAACTCGTCCTACTAGACCTCAAAAGCCTTCTCATTTTCAAAGCCCCAGGAGCCAAGGATGCCTGGGCAATGCTAGGGCTCCAAGGACACCTGGACACTAAGGCAGCCAGCCAAGGGAACAAGGATGCTTGTCTCTCAGGCATGGCCATGGAGCTGGCCAATTGTAAGCACCACACTCGTCCATGCAGCATTTCGTAAATACTGGGACCAGTCCCTCCATGAGGGAATATGTTAACTTTCCTCTTCTTCTTCATTTCATGCCAAAGACAAGTCAAGGCCTTTCTTTTAGAACATAGGGTACAAGGGCCAGGTGTGGTGGTTCACGCCTATAATCCTAGCACTGTGGGAGGCCAAGGCACACAGATTGCTTGAGTCCAGGAGTTCGCGACCAGCCTGGACAACGTGGCGAAACCCCATCTCTACAAAAAACACACAGAAAATTAGCCAGGCATGGTGGTGCACGCCTATAGTCCCAGCTTACTCAGGGGGCTGGGGTAGGAGGATCACCTCAGCCTGGGAGGATGAGGCTGCAGCGAGCCATGATCGTGCCACTGCACTTCAGCCTTGGGTAAAAAAGTGAGATCCTAAAAGGAAAAAAAAGGAAACAGAATGCAGTACAATGGTAAGAGAACATGACCCTAAATTGTAATACCATTTTGCAATTAGATCTTTTTTATCAATGTCAGGAGAATTGAACTGAAACACCATGTGCACAGGCCTTCGTGGCCCTGTTAGAACCTTGACCGTTGCAGGAACTGCTGCCTTTGTTAGACTCACATCCCTTTAGGAGAACGAAATGGGAACCAGATATCCTAGATGATACCCTTTTTGGGAATATACCTCTCATAGCCTTCCCCCACCTCCTAACCCAGACCTAGGTCTAGCACTCCCTGCTCCTCCCTACCACCCAATTCCACCTCCAACTCCCCAGTCTTCTTCTAGCTCCACCATCTCCAGCCCTTAGTCTCCCGTTAGCCCACCTCCTTACCAACCTATATGCCCTCCCTACTGAAGGAACAGAGCCCTGCCAGGGTCACCTACAGTGGCATTTCCTACCTTCCTAACCATTCTAAGTTATGCTCACTTAGGGAGGTGGCCAATGGGGATGCTGGGACCATCCAGGTGCATGTACCTTTTTCAGTGTTTGATCTAGCATGATGTAGCCAAAGGTTGGGCCAATTTTTAGAGGACCCAACTAAATTCAGGACGAATTTCAGGCTCTCTCACTCTCACCTGAGTTAACTTGGTGAGTTATTCATATTACCTCGTCCACATGTTGCACCCTGGAGGAAAAGCAGTGTATCTGCGTGGAGGCCAAGGCTTATGCTGACAACTTATTAGCTGGGGACCCTGAACTATACACTGTGGGGGCCATGCCTGTGCCTAACAATGACCCCAACTGGAACTATCTACAAGGCCAGGCTAATCCAAGAAAAAGAAATTGTATGGCAATTTGGTTAGTGGAGAGAATAAAAAATGTACACTAAGGCTGTGAACTATGATAAAATAAGGGAAATAAGGAAAGGATGAAAACCAAGCTTTGTTCCAGGGTCACCTTGTGAAGGCCCTAAGAAAATATATTAACACTCACCTCAGTACTGATGCTGGCCAAATTTAACTAGGGACACACTTTATAAGCCAGTCAGCACCCAACATCAGGAGAAAATTACAGAAATTGTCTTTGAGACCCCAAATACCTATTAAACCAAAGCTTGATGAGGCTTTCCAGGTATTCAGTAATAGGGACAGGGCTGAAAAGGCTGAAAGGACCCAGTGTGGCAAACAATGGGATAGATGGCAGGCCCAAATGATAGCAGTTACTATGAGCAGCACCCTGCAACCTCAGGGTCATCCAGAGAGATGCTTCACCCATGGACCAAAAAGGCCTAACAGCAACCGTGCAGGCAATGGTTGCTGCTTCAAGTGTGGGAAGCCAGGACATTGGGATAAGATCTGTCGCAGCCAGGGGAGCCCACCCAGATGCTGTCCTCACTGCAAGCAGGGGAGCCATTGGAAAAGGGATTGCCTTCAGCTCCAAAGGAATAGGAGGATACCCAGTCCATAATGGCCATAACTGAGGCCTGAAGGGGCCCGAGGTTCTCGGCGGCTCCCATAAAAGGCCTGGTCATCATAACTGAGGAGCCTCAGGTGACTCTTGACATGGCAACTAAGAATATCAATGTCTTAATTGACACAGGGGCAAGTTACTCTGTCCTAAATGGCCACTCTGGGCCCTTATCTTCCAAAAGCTGCACTGTCATGGGTGTCAGTGGCACCCCAAAATCAAAACACTTTACAGTGCCTCTGAACTGCAGGCTAGGAAACTATATGGTAACTCATGAATCTCTAGTTATGCCACAGTATTCTACTCTTTCATTGGGATGGGACTTCCTAGCCACCCCTGAGGCCACTTTACATTTATCAGGCCCTGGGTGGGGGGCCCTCCTTTTTGGCAGTGTTGTTTCCTAAGCCAGCCTCGGAATGACAGGAGATCCATCCCAAAATAAGGTCTCAGACCCACAAATATGGGACCAAGAAAGCCCTGGCAAAGCAATTTATGCTCAGCCAGTGATCACCTCTTTAAAAGACAAAAATAATTTCCCACACAAGCGTCAGTATCCTCTCAAACCAAAAGCCAAGCAAGGACTCCAACCTCTAATTGACAAGTTTTTAAAACATGGCTTCCTGATTCCATGTCAGTCTCCTTGTAATACTCCTGGTCCTTCCTAACCAAAAACCAAACAGAGTACCGTCTAGTTCAAGACTTGAGAGCCATTAATGAGGCTGTAATTCCCTTACGTCCGACAGTGCAAAATCCTTATGCCATACTTACCCGAATACCGGGAGACCAACTGGTTCACAGTATTAGATCTTAAGGATGCTTTCTTTTGTATCCCTTTGCATTCTGACTCTCAGTATTTGTTTGCTCTTGAGAGGACTAATCCTGGAACTAATATTACCCAGCAGCACACCTGGACAGTACTGCCTCAGGGCTTCAGGGATGGCCCTCACTTGTTCAGAAATGCCTTGGCACAAGAGTAAAAGGAGCTAGAGCTAGAAATGGGGAGTCATTCTCCAATATGTGGATGACATCCTTGTATGCAGTCCCACTAAAGAGGACTCAGAGAAGAATGCCATTCAAGTCCTAACCTCCTGGGAAAGTCCTAACCTCCCTCTTTGGGTATCAGGTCTCTCCATCCAAGGCCCAGATTTCTAAAACCAAAAATTAAATACCTGGGGTACATCCTAAGCCCAGGAAACCAGACCTTCTCCACAGAGTGAAAGGAGGCTGTCTAAAAGGTGGGACTGCCACAAATGAAGAAGCAACTCAGAACTTTCCTGAGTACAGCAAGATTTTGCAGGATTTGGGCTCATTATTAAGCCATCATATGAGGCCCCAACAGGGCCAGAGCAGGAACCAATTGGAGGTGTTTGTGTGGTAATAAACCACACCTATTAATCTTATATTAACAATTCAGGATTAAACTGCAAGTTTGAAAGATTTACCAACAGACTACCTTGCTACATAATTTCAATAACCCCACTGCTCAACATAGATATTCCACCCCTTGGTTCAGAAACCCATAGAGATAGAAACCCCAGCCCCCCTTGTGCATGACTCTCTCTCTTTAGTACACCAAACTCCCTTTTCTTGAGTGTGTACTTTATCTTCCAACTTGTCCTTGAATTCCTTCTTGTGGCGGTGTCAAGAGCCTGAACACAGCCAGGGTGGAGGTCCCTCGAGTATCAATCTCACATTGCATCCTATGGGGAGCAGAATATGAAATGTTCTTGGTTGTCTGGGGCTTGCCCTTGCTCATGCTCCAACCCATTTCTGCAGCTCAGCTCAAGCAAACAACTCACCATTAGGATCCACCTGCCCTGTGCTTCAGAGGCCAAGAGCTATAGAAGCCCAGGCCCTGATCCACTGTCAGCACCTGCTGGGACTCATTACCCTGCATGAGAAACTCCTTAGGGAACCAGAAAGCACAGCTTGCCCTTCCTGGTGGGTGGAAAATCATGGGAGGGGCAGAGCAGAGAGGTCTCTCTGAGTAGCAAGGATTCCAGGTCTTAGCACAGGCTGGTGAGGGGGAGGACAGGGCTAGTCTGGAAGGAAGTTACAGGAAGCCTGTGATAGCAGGGCTGTGGAAGGACCTGGAGCTTGTTTGTGAGAGGAGACATATCTGAGGACACCCCGAAAGCTATAAAGTCAGGTGGTATCATCATCAAAGAATCTGAAGGTCAGAGGTGGACCTTCATCAAACCAGACACTGTCAGGTTTACTCAAAGCAACCAAGATCTTTAATCTGAAGAAAGTGAGTTATTTTAGATTATCAGGTCCAGAGAGACATTAAAATGAGGGAGCAATCACATCTTACCCCTCCCTTTGAGCTATGCACTCATCTCTTGTAACTGTTTGCTACTGCCAGAAGTAGCTATAAATCAACCTAATAATGCCACAGCAGACTCTATAACCCACCCTATAGCTTAACAACGTATAGCCAATCACTAATCAATGTTATTTCGAAAACCCACGAGAATTCCTAATAAACCACTTTGTACAGCCCACTCCTTGTCCCCTTTTTTTTTGCCTCTAAAAACCTGCTTGTAACAAAGGCAGGATGGAGCTCATATCCAAGGTTCCTTGGGTCTGAGTTTTCCAGGCAGCCATCCTCACTTTGGCTCAATAAAACGCTTTAAATTATATTTGGTGCTTCAGCTTCTTCCTTTTAGGTCTACACCACTGACTCCCCTTCCCAATCCTAAGGTCTAACTGATGCTTTTGCTTGTAAAACCAAAAGGGAAGTGTCCCTTTGTAAATTATTCAGGGCTGTGGGTGTAAACAACAGAAACTCAACTCAACCAGCTTTGACCAAATAAAGTCCTTATTTGAAGGCTCAGAGACCCATAGGAAGGGCAGGGGCACAGAGTGAATGCCATTTCTCTCCCTTACTCTGCTTCTCCTACATTCTCTGACACCAGGCTCCTCCCAGTGATAGGAAACATGGTCCAGTCATTCTCATACCACACATTTCTCAGCCTCCTCTACTTGGCATTCTAACTGGGAAATCCCAGGGCAGGATGTGTGCCAAAGGTAAGTAATAAGATTCCCTTACAGAGGTGCCCCTCAGGCAGGGGGTATAAAGAGAAAGTGGTTTGAGTCCCTTGGAGCGAGACAGTGTGATGCACTTCTATGGCCTTGGGAAGACTTCCGGATTCTGGGGAGGACAGGTTGGCAAGCACTGGTCTTCCTCTTAGATTCTAAGTCAGATCTCAGCAAGATATCTAAGGGGCCAGGCAGGGACCCTCTCCTTCATATGTTCCCGTAAGCCCACCAAACAGTGGAGCACATTGCTGGTGGTGTTACCCATTAGAGAAGTAAATATCTAGCTCTGGGCCTACTTCTTCCCAAGTTTAAGGAAGTATTACAGAGTGAGAAGATGTGCACGTGGTCCTAAGAACAAGCACCCTTTCCCTCATCTCTACCTTTAGAAACATAGTACAGGAAAATCCAAGCCTCATGATCTAATTAGTACAGGTCTCCTTCCTTGGACAAGGAAGCTGAAGAAGAAGTGTTCCCTGGATAAGGGACCATCAATTGTACTCTCAAATAACTTGAAACTATCGAAGTGTTGGTAGGCAGGAGGATGAATCCAATAGGTTCCTTTCATCTGTCCATTTATTCTCCTCACCCCAACTTGCCAGCACAAGCATGTGTGGCCTTTGAGGGTACGGGAGACACTCCAAGTTTAAACAGGTAAAATTCAGAGAGATGAACCTGGACCATCGGAAAGGTTAGAATAATCCTAAGAAGTTCTCCCCAGACAACACTTAAGCTGAGGAGATGCCGCCTCTGGGGGCTGCACCTGAGTGGTTACCGGGACAGGCACAGGGGCCTGGGCAGGCTTTCTGGGTGCAATTTCCTGCAGTGGCCTGGAGACTGGGGCCCAGTCCCCTACCAGGCAGTGCACCCTGCTGAGCTCTGGGACCCAGCATCTCCTGGTTGCTTACAGCTCTGCAAGGAGATATCAAAGCCAGGATAAATGGTTTGAAGCCAAAGTGGTGGTGGGGGGCAGCTGTGGTAGAGAAGGGATTGCTGATGGGGAGTGGAGAGAGCCCAGACGGAAGAGGTCTGGGGGCAGGGAGGGAAAGGCCAAGGGAGAAGAGAAATCAGAATTAAATGAAAACAGGGTTTGTAGCTGCGCCCCTCTCAGTAAAGTTCTGCCATGCATGCATTAACCTTCCATCAATGAAAACAAAATCCAGGGACCTCATGCCTGCCTGCTGGGGCATATAAAGCCTAGGGGACATAATATCTTCCAGGTGGGTGTGCCCAGAAGCACACATTGGTACTTGACAAGTCATTTAAAACTGACTGTCAAGGTCAAAACAACACCACCTGCAGGCACAACTGAAATGTCTTCATCCATTCCCCCGCTCTGAGTTCTCTGTTGTTGTTGTTTTAAACTAAAACACAGTTTGAGCAGCAGACAAGCCTGACAACTGTTCAAACATATGTATGTGCAACTTATTAGCTTGCAAATGGAGATATCTGGAAGCTAAAGACATGTGACAGGGGTAGGGGGCAGGTTAGCCACTGACTCTGAGGGGTCAAAGGAGGAGGTCCTTTGATGGGCTGAAGGAAGAAGGCCTTCAGTGATGGAACCCACTCCTGATGGAGTATTTGAAAATGATGCTTTTCACTGATGACACACAAAACAGAGGCAGTTATTATGAAAAGAAGGGGCCCCTGCCCTTGAGATCTGTTTATTTTGCAATTAACAAGGGTTAAAGAGGCCCCCTTCTGAAACTTTTGCTTGGGGGCCTAAAATTTAAACACCTACTACTGCCTAGGTGCCCACAGAGTCCAAGAAAATCCAAGCCTCATGATCTAACTAGCTCTTACATCAAAAAGAAAATATACATGTATTTTAAATTGCTGAACGAAACTGAATCACCCCCATGCCTTGTTGAAATAAAAAACCTGATTAAAGGCCAGGCGCAGTGGCTGACGCCTGTAATCCCAGCACTTTGGGGGGCTGAGGTGGGTGGATCATTTGAGGTGAGGAGTTCAAGACCAGCTTGGCCAACATGGTGAAACCTCATCTCTATTAAAAATACAAAAACGAGCCAGGTGTGGTGGCGCGCACCTGTAATCTCATCTACTCGGGAGGCTGAGGCAGGAGAATCGCTTGAACCTGGGAGGTAGAGTATGCAATGATCCGAGATTGCGCCACTGCACTACAGCCTGGGTGACAGAGCGAGACTCTGTCTCAAAAAAAAAAAAACAAAAAAACCCTGATTAAATCAAATGTAGGGGCCCTAAGACATTCTGCGGGTTATTCTAAATCACCCCCTTACTTTTCCAGAGAAGAAAATTAGGCCAGGGAGGCCCAGTGACTTGCCCAAAGTCCCCGCCTGTGACTGGATGCAGTTCCTAGGAAGCACGGCCTCCTTCTGAGCAACAGAAAAGCAGGAAGCCTCACCAGGGAGCTTTCTCACCCATTCACCGGCACGCTCCAGCCTCTTCCTGACCTTCTTACCTGTGACATGACGGCAGGGTCTGGAGTCAGTGCAAGCTGTCTGGGTGATACCAGTCCACACAGTCCCCAGGCAACACACACTGCTCTCCAACACCTGCAGCACAATCAGCTGGGAAGACCTGTTAGCCTTCCAGATACCAAGACTGCGGCTCAATTCACTGAGTCAGTCTCCAGGGTAGGGCCCAGGCAGCTGAAGGGAGCCCAGGGCACGTGCCAATTCTTTGGGATAAAAGTGACAGAATTTACTTTCATAATTGTTTTTTTCTCATCCTTTTACATTTTCTATTTTGTGTATGTGTTTTATAGTGTACCTAATATATTAACATTGTACTAAATGCATATAACTTATAAATAAATAAATATAGATATATGAATTGGGTAATTGCTCAAAAAGAGGTCTATAAACAGAAAAGCATGGGGGCCTCCTGCACCAAACTGTGAGTCCCAAGAGGGCAGGACCTGTGCTTCCTCACTGCTGTAAAGCAAAGCCCTTGCCCAGGGCCTGACGCATGCAGGTCAGGTCCTCACTCACCACTGACAGAATGAAAGGCGAATTCCATCTCCAGCTGTATCATGGACTCCCAGATATTTCTGAATAGAATCATCTCCCAAAGTGTGTTTTGAGGAGGTGGTTTTTTTGAAACCACAGTGGTTCCATGAAATGCTCACTGTAAAAAGGGCTCCCTCGACACAACAGTTGGGGGAATACTGCTTATCCTGTCTCTGTCTTCAAGATGCACAGATATACCAGGATATTAAATCAGGATCATAAGAATATTAAAGGCTTTCTTAGAAGCCCTCCAGTAAAGAATCTCTTTTAAGTTTATTTAATCCATTTATTTCCTAAACTAATTAACCTACAGTTCCTTTTCCCACATTATTAACATTCCATAAAACTAGTCTTCCTTGAAACCAACTTTAGAAACTCCCAATTTAGATTTAGGCTAAAGGTCTATACTTCCTCATGGCCACAGCATCATCAGCATTCATCACACCTGTCCGTTGATACATGTTTGTCGAGTGAGTTCTTGGCTTTGTCCATCCACCCCTTTCCAACTGCGCTTTCAATAGGATGTTCTAAGATTGCACATCTATGAAAAAAGGCAAAAACTGCAGCTGGCTCATTCCCAAAGAAAAGCACCATCCTTAGGTCCTCAAGATGTCCTTTTAGAGGAGACCTACTCAAAAACTAGGACCTGCCAACCACAGTTTCCAACAACTTAGCAAGGTGGGCTCCAAGGAGCACAGGCCAAGGGTGGGTAGGACCAGGCTCACAGGAGCACCTCCTCCTCCTTGCCTACCCCAAGTCTTGGCTGGGGAACCCAAATATCATTCACACTTTCTTAGAATGAAGTTCCAAGATTTCCATTTTATGGTGAGAAACAGGGAGGTGATTATTCTTAGCAAGCTAGCTGGGAAGGTAGGAGCAGATTTGGTTTGTTCAATGACTGCAGATTTGGCATTCTGTCTTCTGGGAACAATGTCTAGACTTTCCGAGGAGTCACCTCTATAAATAGCATGGTTAGTTAACCAAGAAATATAACATGTTCTACTCTGAGCTCCACTCTGGGGTTAAATCAGGGCGGATTTGTGCAATGTACCTCAACTCCCACTTGGTATTCAATTTTTTTTAAAAAAAAGTAATCCATTTTTGAAGGGGGCATCCCCCTCACATCTGTGGCATTTTAATATAATAATGTTAAACTTCTCTTAAAGAAAAGCTGAGGCTGGGCACGGTGGCTCACGCCTGTAATCCCAGCACTTCAGGAGGCCGAGGCAGGTGGACTGCCTGAGCTCAGGAGTTCGTGACCAGCCTGGGCAACATGGTGAAACCCCGTGTCTATTAAAATACAAAAAATTAGCCAGGCGAAGCAGCGTGCACCTGTAGCCCCTGCTACTCAGGAGGCTGAGGCAGAACTGCCTAAACCTGGGAGGCATAGGTGGCAGTGAGCCAAGATTGCACCACTGCACTCCAGCCTGGGCAACAGAGTGAGACTCCGTCTCAAAAAAAAAAAAAAAGAAAGAAAAAAGAAAAGGTGGCTGAGACACTCTTCCAATTACTTATTAGGGGTGAAATGTAGAGACAAGGCAATTTCTCACCCACTTTATGCAAACAGGCCTCTATGGCGCAGAGGTGGGCTCCAGCTGCATCTTGGCAATATTCCCTCCAGCAGAGCTGTTCACACATTGTACTTTGCCTGAGGACTTTCCAGAGTTGGTGTTTTCCCTAAAAGAAATCTACCCTTAAAAGAAATACTTACATAGCTCCATGACCACATGCATACATCAGCAGTACAGAAGCTGGTAGTATTTGCTCACTCTGTGTAGTGGTATAAGGAGAAAGAGCTTGCAAGATTGGGAATATCCCAAGTTAGGTAACTTTGTGCACTGAACTCCATTGTTCTTTTTCACCCAGGGAGTGTGTATGTTCTATTCAGTAATGATGCTTCGGTAAAGAAATAAGTGGCAAGGCGGGGGAAAAAGCCTTTTCTTTGCAATGGAAAAAATGGCAAGGTGGTGCTGACTGGCCGTCTCAGGCTCAAGGACTGGAAGACATTAGGAACCTAGGATGACATCAATAGAGAGATTACAAACGCAGGTAGAGGAATGATTGCTTCAGGAAGGCCTTTCAAAGGCCTGACAATTTCTCTTGAAGGATGGCCCCAGCAGTGTTCTCTGAAGGTAGGACTGTCAGTCTTTGTGTGGGGAGAACAGTTCAAAGAAAACCAAACACTTAAGCATAATCTTTCAGAGGGTGAAGAATCATGGTATAATGATGATAAGATGCTACTTCTCGATCTGACAAGCAACACAGCTGTTTAATGGCAAAAAGAAGATTCTAGTTAACCCAAAAGCTGTGAGTTCACTCTGCCTGTTGCTCCAACAGAAGAGAGAGAGCCTGGCCCCCAAGAACTCATGTGATCCAGGAATTTGCCTGGTATCCAGATTCTATGGCTGCCTCAAAGCCAGCCCACAGTGAATGCTGATCTTCAATGATATCTTCACTCACAGGGTCAGTATGGTTTCTGTGTGGAGACCCTAAATCAAGCACTCACTGCCTTAGAAACAGTTACACATCAGCCTTGCCTAAGTCTGGACCACCAGACTCTTGACAGCCATCACAAGATGAGGCCATTTTACTTGTCTCCCTGACTTCCTGCTTCTAAGTGACTTTGGGACATTATATATCCTCTTAATACCCGCTCTGTAAAAAATGGAACATACACACACATTCTCACTACCTACCTTGCTTAGTACAAAGTGGTATTGTCAAGACGAACAAAATAATCCTGGCCAAGGGCTTTCAGGGTCCCAGAAGAACATCACTTTATGAATACCAGTTACTATTTCAGGAACACAAAAATGAAAGAACCAGAACACATTAGAAGGGGAAAGCCCCTACCTATAACATAGGACGCAAATAAAGTCAAATAATTTTCTCAAGAAGGATAATTGAAATAAAAGAGAAAATGGAGAAAGTGAACACAAAGAAAGCAACAAAGGGGAAGCACACATGGGCATAAATCACCTTGCATGTGCCTCACAGCTCACAACTCATTCTGTTTGTTCATCTCTACAGCAACAGCAGGGTTGCCAGTAAACAAGGGATTAAAATTTTACAGAAAAAAAGGATGGTATGAGCTGCTTTCTATCATTCACACCCACCTGTTTGAAAAAGCAGAGAAGAGTTATACCACACAACAGGGGAAAGAAATGCCCATTCAACATCTTTTTAAAAAACAATCCATGCAGAAAGAAAATTGAGAATTTATTAAAATCTGAGAAAGAAACGACAACAATAACAAGAAACAAAACCCACACACAAAACAAAAATATGCAGCACATCGGAGAAAGTAGAGAAGTTGGCAGCCATGGTGAATTCAAAGGCATACTAATTTAAGGCTCAAAATCTGATTCCTGAGGCAAAGAATCACTATGGCTGCATCTTGCCTTGAAATCAGGGGGTCACATCCCCTGAAATCTAAAGAAGGATTGTTTAAAAGTAGGGTGGTTTTGGTTTGAGGGATCAAAAATTCAAGTAAAGCCAACAAAGAACAAACAAAGAAAAATTCTCAAAGCTGTGAAACCTTGCTACTTAAGATAATGACAGAAATTTATGACTGCTTCCTTCCCCAGCAGAAAGGAGCATAATTAGAAAGCTGAAAACAACAGGCCCTTTGTACCAGCATGTTATGTTTTGCTTATTCTATTACACATTGGCTGGGAGATAAGAATAAACAGGACAACACCCTGTCTAACCCGGGAGGAGGGAGTGGAGGAAAAGGCTGGTTACATTCATTCTTGGGCATGTACGTGCATACCGTTTATTTGCAAATTGAGGTACTTAAGAAAATTGTGCATGCAATAGTCAGGAACTAGTATAAACATTCAGAAGTCTTTTATTGCACAATCAAACCTTTTAAGAATAAGCCTTGTGTAATAGGGAGCTTTATAGTTTTTCCTCATAGTGAAGCATGTTGTGAAGATTTTAATAATTGATAATTTTTTCTATGGTCTTTAATTGTCAATCCTATTTTCATTCAGTTGTTGTTGCTTTTTTTAAAAAAAAAAACAAAAAACAAAAAACAAAAAACCTTTCAAACTAGGATGAGCAAATAAAACTAGGATGAGACACAGCTTCCCTCTCTGTGACCAACGATGTCAAAAACCCTTGCAAAGAATCAATCAACAGCTGCCAGGGGAAGAAAACGTGGTGATCTGAGACTTCTCCCTTCTCTACAAAGGGACGGTTGCCCGTCTGGGTGCCAGGTGTTCTGATAGCTTCAGCCATGGAGAATTCTGCTCAAGAACAGCAGCTGCTAAGCCAATCAGGTTCTCATTAGCCAGTCGGGAGATGGTATAGGTATCTACGGTCCCAAGAAAAAAAAAAAAAAATTTGATCTCTTCCCATAACCCGTCTGCCTAGAATGATGGACCTGACTTAATCTTGCCATTTCTTAGTGACTCACTTGCTCCTGGCACCCAAGCTCACTAAGAACGGGGCTAAGGAAAGCCATTTTAAGACCTCACTGACCTGCCACCATCCTGGCCTTCATTCTACTCCTCCAACCCATGAGAGTGGTTCCCACCTTGAGGCCTGTGGACCGGAGTGCTTTTCCACCAGATGGTCACAAAGCTGATTCCTTTTTATTCTTCAGTCTTAGCCCAAATGTCACCCTTTAAGGAAGCTTTTCCCTCTCACCCTAACGATGCTATTGATTCTCCCACTGTGACACTTACTTGATTTTATTTTCTTCATAGCATACATCTTAATTACTTGTTTCACGTACACTAATTTTCTCCCCTGACTAGAATGTCCATTTCATAAGGACAGAGGCCTCCTCTATCTCGTTCACCCTTGTAGGCTTTGCATCGTAAGTACTATCTGGCACACAGTATACGCTTGATAAATATTTATTGCAAGAATAAATAAACAATAACCAAATTATCAAGATTATCTGGTATAGAACAGGTGGGGAAAAGCTCAAACAATCTGTCACCTGTCATCGGCCACACTATAGTCATTTTTTTCCCCTCAATTTTCCCAGTGGGATGAAGGGTGAAGATGCATGTGAACAGCTGAGCCATGAAGCAGAACTACACAGCACATGGTTTTTTAACTTCAGTGCTCTTCACAGAAAACCACTCTGAAATAAGTTGCAAGAGATTCTTGAAATTCAAATACAAGGAAAAAAAAGAACATATATGGACGACAGCTAGGTAGTTCTGCCAACCTAACTATGCCATGACATGTAATTGTGAACTGCTGAGAGACAAATGCAAAGCAAAGCATTTCCTATACACACATACAAAGGTAAGATTAAGGTGTTAATTTTTAAGCAACTGTCATATGCCTGGTTCTAGAATATGATTCCATTAACGTTACTGCTGTTATAACAGAGAGTGTAAGTGTGATGATGAGCTCCTTTCATTATTTCTCAAAATTAAGAAACTAGGCTTGCCAGTCAATCCCCAGCAGAGACTCTGAGAACATACGAGGACACAATGAAAACAGTAGAATATTAATTAAACCAACAGGAAGAGAGCTGTGTGTACTTCAGAGATGCATTTTAAATGCATGCATATCTTCATACAGACATCATAGTAGTCAAGTCAAGAAATGTATACTTTACGGTTCCTGATATGGCAGATTCAGTCTTCATGGAAGGCAAAAACACAATGAAACAAAAACTGAAAGCCCACACACACCCACTGAGGAAAGCATCTGAAAGGCAAACTAGTGATTTTTCTCAGCAAAGAATTAAAGTCCCTCTCCCCTGGAACAGTGATTTGGAAAAGGACCAGGGTAGGGGAGGGGGTCAGTTAGTAATGGCTCCTGTTATATTAAAAGGTGACAAAAATCATGAAGAGCAGTATTGATAAATGTTCTAGTTACTGCCATGTTTGAAAAGCATTCGAAATTCTAAAATATTATTTGTGTATTATTTACCTTCTTATAAACTGATTTGTCATTATCATACATTCAAGTTTTATAAATGTGTTTTTCCTCACTTCACTGAAATATCAGAATCCAGCTCAAAAACAGAATCAAAGAGGAGACTTTTAAGCTTATTCAATAAAAACTATGATACGTAATATTCAAAATAGTGAAATCATTATATTATCTAAAATTCTCAGAAACTGCTTAACATGATTAATAATTTACCCATTTTAGTTCATGAGGGAATGTTTAATATCATTTGCCAAAAAAGAATACTGAAATGGTATAAAATGGTATTCATTATAATTAAGACCTAATCACTAAAGAAGTCCAGAGGTATGGAATTTACGATCTTGCATACATGTTTATAAAATATGGACTCGGGAAAGAGCCATTTAATTTACCAAGAAGTCCTTTGATCTCTCAGCATATTATAACTAAGAAGACAATGGCAGGTTTCAGTATGGAGGTCTTTTTGGATGACTCCTCCTAGCCTTGAGGTTTCTCTATTCCTGTTTAGGGTATGAAGTTGACTTACAAAACCATCGTTTTTGTTCTAGCTTTGCTTTATAAAACCTCAAGCAAAGTCTCGACCATAAATAAAGCAGCAGGGCCCCAGTAGCCAGCTGAGTCATAAACCCCACTCAGCTGCATGTAGCCCAAGGTGTTGGGATCCCGACAGAGTCAAGCCAAGCAAGCAGAATCAATTGAAGCCAGAGTTTGGAAAAACAGAGCACCTCCCTTCCCCACCCCACCTGGCAGTGGAAGAGACCACAATCCCCCTTCCACAGCTCTCATCCAGGGAATGGTAATAAGTCCAGAAAAACATCTAGACCTGGGCAGACTTTACTTCCACAGTCTAAAAGGAAGGGAAAAAAATGGTATTTGACAACCAACCACAAATTTTGAATATACGGTTCTCCTGCTTTTAAGCATAAAAGCAGTCTTGTTGTTGCTAAGTTATGATCACCACCATATTTTTCAAAATTTGTGCCCAGGACCATTTGGTCTTATGGTACTCAGGCTTGCCACTCTAAAAATACAGAGTTAAGCATGTTTAAATCACTTCAAATATCGCAAAAAGCAGCAAACACACAGCCTACCTGCTTGGGCATGCAAACTTGAAAAGAGAAGCTTTAGAGAATTGCCTGCAGGTCAACTCATTCTGTATTTGGCAGACTGATGTCAGGAAGGAGCTATAGAAAACAGAATCCTGTGCATGAAAAATACTCTGCCTTTGGTTCCCTCAGGCCAGAACTTGGAACTGCTAGCAAACATGCCTTAAAAAACTGCAATTCTCATGAAGTGCTAAAAACTCCCAAGTAAATAGGGCCCCTCAAACCCATGTACAAATAAGAAACATTTAATGAACAACTCTTTTTTCACCAACACCTCTACTACTTAAATTAAGGCCAGCAGACTCTTCAAAGGGACAAAAGAAGCCCCCCCCTCCATTAAGAAAAATTCTATATATAGACATCCAAGACAATTATATGATGCACGTAACCAAATATATATAATTATCCTAGTTCCTGCATTCCCATTATCTTCATAAACATAGGATAAAAATCAGTCTAAATGACTTTCTCAGACCTCCTCAAGGATTAAGGCAAGCCAGCCAGTCTTTAAAGTACATACATGTAGTAAAGATCAAAAGCAAATGTTCTGGTCAGTTCTTTTCTGCTCATGGTTTTACTAAGAATGTGTGCAGTTTTCAGGGAAAACACCACAAATGACAGCTGCTCAAAAGCATGGGAATTAATTGGCAGCAGGAATTTCCTTGACTAATAGGGAAAAACTTGAAGTCACATGTTTTGATGAGCTTATTTTTCCCATCCTTAGTCAAGCATATTCACTGCTAATGATTAAGATTTTAAAATGGAAATATAACCAAGTACATTCTCTATCTTTTCTCAGTGGAACACAGATACCCATTAATGACTGAACAATGGCATTAATTAATAGATTTTAGCTTAAATAAATACAGGGAACCAAACCAGGACACAACAGCAAAAGTGCATTTGTTAAAAAATAGTAGCACGTGACTCCTCCTCCAACCCCCACAGTAAGCCATCTGCTTTGAGCTGTTTTTCTAGCAGTAGGGATAGATTTACACTGATCCATCCACAGTCTATCTGACTCAGGGTCTCTCAAGTCATTGCCCTTGTGACCAGTGGTGAGAATGGACAAGACAGCTGGTCAGGATTAGGTGAGTAGCCTGTGGCCTTGGGACCAAGTCATGTTACTGTGCCCAGAGCCTGATGCTATAACCTTTGGCTCATTAGCATTATGCTGTCATCATCCAAGCTAACAGCCACTGATCAGCCATGATCCAACAGTCACCACTCAGGGGGCACTATGTATTCTCAATCCCAGCAACAATGTGAGCCTTTTCTTTTCAACACAGTCTGAACTGAGCCCATGACACTCAAAGGCTCGTGCATGAGGGAGTCTGCATTAAAATTGTCCCTCAAGGCAGCAATGAGATGTCCAAGCATGAGCAACCATAGCCCCTCCATTCTAATCAAATGACTGCTCTGACAGAGCTCAAGGAAAGCAAGACATAGTCAAAGAATTTCCAAAATGTATGTACCCCAAGTGCCACAATGGAACAACATACCTGGCCATCCCCAGACTTGGAAAGTTGGCAGGGACGATGAGAACATCCAGCCGAGAGAACGGGTGTGCTCCCAGAACAGAATGTGCTGCTGAGAGGCAAGGAGGGATCAGCCGCAGAAGGGTCTCTTGGCAGGCACCCGTGAGGCACACAGGGGCAAAGACCCGATGAGGAATGATCTCCTGGGTGGTGGCAGAAGCATTCTGGAAGCGGCAGGGGTATTCCATGTGACTGCAAACACCAACATGCCTGGGAATAACACAAAATAAATGGTAAAACATGTTTATTATTCTTGCTGTGGAGGTGAGGCAATCTTGCAGATGTAGACAACTTTTAGGAGACAGAGGTTCAGACAGACTCACAAGCAAAGACTGCTCATTTCAATTCTTGGCTTGACTGGCTCTGTGCAGCAGTGAAAATTTACAGGACAAAAACGTATTCATGTGTTTGAATCAATAGACTAGCTTCAATCTAAGATAAGAGAAAGCAGTAAAATCTTGTTTTAGAATAAACTTTGTTGTGGGGGGACCTCTAAAGACTCCAAACAATAAAACTTCTCACCAAAATACAAACAATTCCTGCCCTCGGTTAGATGTTTTCAAGTATCACCATATGAACAATCTCCAAATTAGAGACAATTCATAACTCAGAAAGGAAGGAGCAGTACACACAAATTAAAGATCCAATTCTGGGATTACCTAGAATAAAAGACTTGGACTGAGGGAGAACCATGAACCAAATGAAAGTTACAGGCTCAAACTCCTCGAAAGAACACAAACCATTTTACTGAATAGTAATCTAAATGTTCTTTACACAGCCCATCAAAAGCTGTTATTAAGGAATACAGAGGCACTTTTGATACAGTATTTTTCCCAACCCACTTTCAGAACAAATTTAACTGAGCCAGCCTTTTAAGGAAACAGATCAGACCCCAGCCTGCTTCATCCGACCACTGCCAGTTATTCCATCAAAGGCGGAACTGAAAGAGAATTCCTAGAACCTGACTCACAGGACTCAAGAGAACTTATCTACTCAAACCTACATCCAACAGTACTCCATTTTTTCACCTGCTAACATGTCTTTTATTCAAACACAATGAAAAACCCCTCTAATCATTATTTATTTCATTATTTTTTTTTTTTTTGAGATGGAATCTAGCTCTGTCTTCCAAGCTAGAGGGCAGTGGCATGATTTAAGCTCACTGCAACTTCCACCTCCCAGGTTCAAGTGATTCTCTTGACTCAGCCTCCTGAGTAGCTGGGATTACACGTGTGTGCCACCACGCCTGGCTAATTTTGTATTTTTAGTAGAGACGGGGTTTTACCATGTTGGCCAGGCTGGTCTCAAACTCCTGACCTCAAGTGATCCACCCGCCTCAGCCTCCAAAACAGCTAGGAGTACAGGCTTGAACCACCGCAACCGGCCTATTATTATTTAAGACAGGATTTCACTCTGTTGCCCAGGCTGGACTGCAGTGGCAGGGTCATAGCTCACTGTAGCCTCCAAGTCCTGGGCTCAAGCAATCCTCCTACCTCAGCCTCCTGAGTAGCTAGGACTACAGGCATGTTGCCATGCCACATCCAGCCTTTTTTTTTTTTTTTTAAGAGATGGGGTCTGGAGATGGGGTCTCACTTTGTAACCCAGAGTGGTCTCAAACTTCTGGCTTCAAATGATCCTCCTGCCTCAGCCTCCCAAAGGGCTGGAATCATAGGCATGAGCCACTGCACCCAGCCAATTATAACTACAGGTGCTCACTTGATTCACAGTGAATAATGAAAAATCTTAAGATGCTGGCATGTCCCAATATGGGCAGAATGCAACAATAATTCCTCTCCAAATGTAAGAAGTACCTTTCACTTACCCAAGGCCAGCGCTCAGGAGACCAATATGGCTAGGTACAGATAAGCCTCACCTTCTAGCAGCATGGTTCATAGAACACAGCTTCCAGCACTGAAGGCATTTCACCACAACGGAGAGTAAGAAAATGGATGGAGGCCCATAAAAACTTGTCAGAATAAGATGACATGAAGAATATAATTCTTGACATTTAATTCTGGCCAAAGTCCCTGGATTGATAACCTTGCTTTGTGGAGAGAGTGAGTCAAGGTGCCTGTTGGTGAACATTTAACTAAAAAGGCTGCAATGCCCACCTAATGACAAGTACTGTGCTTGTGCATGAATGTGGTCAAAGGTCTCGCAAAGTGAAAAAGGCCACTGATTAAATTAACCACCACAGTATCTTTTTCTCATGTATTTACACAGGTATATAATGTGCTACAGTAATTTCAGTTCATATAATCTCTATTGCAAAGCTTTCAGATCGTGTTAAACCACAGAGAAACTGGAGTGTGCAGGCATCTTCTGGACAAAGCTGAGGCATAAGCTTAAATTATATCTACCACAGCACAATTTTGCAAAAAGGTCATTCTAATGGTCTCTCTAAATATAACATGGGAAAAGATTATTTCCTGCTGCCAAGAACCCTAAAGTTAGAGAATACTGAGGTAGCCAAAGATACACCCAAAAGTGTTTGGCCGGATGAATTTCTGGTGATCGTATACAACCTAAACCTGATAGACAACATTCTGACTCCACGGTAAGTTCTCTCATATCCTTTTCCAATCAGGAACAAGGCAAGTTAGAATCTCTCTGGGCATAAAAGGCACTAGCTCAGATGATGAAGATGATTCTAGTTGTGTGAATTAGTACCATTGTAATCAAAGCCTGGGAAAAAATGCAGGACTTTAAGGCAATCAAGCTCTGACCAGGTGAGAAGGGTAAGGCTCCCATAGAAATGGACACAGAAATGGCATCAGGAAAGCCACTTCTGCGTTCCCACATAGGGATCAGGAAACCTGGGCTTCACTGTCTTCTCAGACTGGCTCACTTGTGACCAAGGCAGGCAACTCAGTATCTGGGGCTTCTTTTTCCCCATCTTTAACATAGTCTCACCAAAGTGGCTGCTGGAGGAGGTAAGGAATTGGTTAGAAAAGGATATGAGAGGCCAGACATGGTGGCTCATGCCTGTAATCCCAGCACTTTGGGAGGCTAAGGTAGGTGGATCACTTGAGGTCAGGAGTTTGAGACCAGCCTAGCCAACACGGTAAAACCCATCTCTACTAAAAATACAAAAAAATTAGCCGAGTGTGGTGGTGCATGCCTGTAATCCCAGCTACTTGGGAGACTGAGGCAGGAGAATCACTTGAACCTGGGAGGCAGAGTTGCAGTGAGCTAAGATCGCACCACTGCACTCCAGCCTGGGCAACAAAGCATGACTCTGTCTCAAAAAAAAAAAAAAAAAAGGTATGAGAGAATTTACTAACTTACTGTGGAGACTGAATGTTCTCTATCAGGTTTAGGCTGTATACAATCATCATAAACTCATCAAGCTGAACACTTAAGATCTGCACGTTTTGTTGTATGTTAATTATACTTAAAATATAAACAAATGAAAATCTTTTCTAAGGTTTCTTCTGGCACTATGATTCTATGATAACTCAGCACATAAGCCATTCTTCATAGAATCGCCTTGTTTCTGAAGAGGTCAGGGGATTCTGTACTTTTTTTTTTTTTTTTGAGACGGAGTCTTGCTCTATTGCCAGGCTGAAGTGCAGTGGTGCAATCTCGGCTCACTGCAACCTCCGACTCCCTGGTTCAAGCAATTCTCCTGCCCCAGCCTCCTGTAAGCTAGGATTACAGGCACACGTCACCACACCCAACTAATTTTTGTATTTTTAGTAGAGACGGGGTTTCACCATGTTGGTCAGGATGGTCTCGATCTCCCGACCTCGTGATCCGCCCGCCTTGGCCTCCCAAATTGCTGGGATTAATGGCGTGAGCCACCGCGCCTGGCCAATTCTGTGCTTTTTACAAAGTAATAGTCTTCCATAGATTCAGCACCGACTCAAAGATGCTGTACTTCCTATCAAAGCAACTTTTCATATACTTTACAACTCTAAAGAAGACCTGTTCCCCACCAGATTCTTCTTTCAAATAATCAGTCTCAATGTGTTTTCTTCTTTGTAGTGCCCATTTTCCATGCCTTTAATCATTTTTGCTAAGTTCCTTTGGACTTTATCCAAGTTTCTGTGTCGTGTTTAAACTGTATGGCCCCCACAAAGGCCTCAAGAGGTTAAAGAAACATAACACAAAGATTCCCCTGTGGCTGAAGGTTATACTACAGCTGAATAAAATTAATAAACTTTCAACAGCTTATCTGAGAGCCTTATAATCAATGTATTTACTAAAATGCTCACCCAGAGTGGCTGGAGCATGTGTGAAAGTGGAGCTGGAAGAGGGAATGTTCTTACTATAATTTTACCCACATGAACACTGATCATAAAAGTTCAGTGACCAACACTTTGGCCAAATTTCTGGAACCCAGATGAGCACTTTAGGCAAATGAAAACCTGTGGTATAGCAGGCCCCTGTGAAAGTTGGATTTACATGAATTTGATTGGTGGTCTTAGGAAGGTTTGAAGTAGAACGGGTGCTGGGGAAGGCAAAAGGGACCAGATGTGAACATAACCAAAAACACCACTGTGACTGGCACTTCAGAGCACCTTTGCTGGCAAACTTTGCATGCAGTCAGACATGTAATGGATGAAAACAAAGCCACTTTCTGACAGCTAAAGACAGCACACATGAAGTGCACAGCCAGGGCAGAACTAAGCAAATGCAAGCTATGATTTTATCAGCAGCATATTCCTGAAGGACAAGCATATTGATAAAGGAAGGGAAAACTCAGTCACAGTTTATTGGACATGGAAGGGGGCATGGGAGGAACCCCATTCACCAGTCCTCACAGTTCCATGGAAAGACGCGCTTCCCTAGAGTGGCACCCGGACCTCTCCCCAGCTTACCTGACTGGCTGGGCCATTCCAGGCTTTCTCTTTTGAATCTGCTTGCACACAGAGGGTGCACTTTGGGCCTGCCCCTGCCATGTGTCAGGTGGACTCTACATCTGTGTTATAGAGGACAGCAGCAGTCCAGCTGGGCTGGTAACTGGGTGGGTAAATTTGTCTCATTTGGAAATGGAGTCTCAGAAACCCCACTGAGACCATGCACCTGAGTATTCCTTCAGTCCAGCTTCTGTCAATAATAAAACCTTTATTTTTATCTCCTCTGTCTGTTCCTCAACTGGTGAATTTAGGAGGACAAGAGAGGAGTTGTACTTGCTTCTTCCCCTAAAGCCCGACAGGAATTTTAGACATCATCTCTTCCCAGAATCTTCATTTGATTTAACCATTTCTTCCTCCTTTCAGAATAGTGGATGCAAGAAAACTGAGAAGCCATTTAAGTTGCTTCTGAGCAGGAAGGAGAGAGCACAGAGTCAGTGGCTGCTGCCCACTCCTCAACCCCACATCTCTTTGGAATATGGCTAGAAAGGCAAAATAACAAATGTCTGTCTTTGCCTTCCCCTAGCCTTCCAAAGGCACACATTTTCCAACTGCACAGCTCCTCTAACAATCAATCAATGCTGAGGCCTTAGATGAAAAAGAGAAGAGTACTTCTTCACCATCAAGAATTTGAGAACCCATGGACAAAGCCTTCATTCTACAGATAAGGAAAGTGTGGCTTTGTCCAAAGAGGTATATCCAACCACCAAGAATGGCACTTTCAGGCTCAAAGGCATTGCTCTCAACTTCTGTTTTCTGTTCCAACACAACACACTCCAGTCAATAATGGTGGCTCAAATCATGGCAGTGACTCTCCAGATGGGAAGGTGGATCAGACTCCAGGTGAGGCATTAATGTTACATACAGTTTTTTAAAGTCTCCAGGTAAGATTCTGACTCACCTCTCTCTGGGGTCAGGCCTGGATATAAATCCAGGTATTGCTACTTAGTAGGGACATTAATGTTAACAAGTTGCTGAGCTTCAATATCCTTATCTATAAAATGGGAATAATAATCTATCCAATCTGTTTTGCAGGCTTATCCTTAGGACTAAATGAGATTATATTTAGATCAAGACTTAGTTTCTGACTTGGAACAACTAATGGCTACTGTATCAATTCAGGATAGGCTAGGATATGCTGCAGTAACAAACAACCCTGGTGTTTCAGTGGCTTAACACAAAACAGTGTGCTTCTTGCTAATACCAAGTCCACTGTAGATCTAAGTGACTCTCCAGACCACCTGTCATCCTCACTCAGAAATTCAGACCACCTGAAATTACAAAACAAAGCCTCCTCTGTTTTGTAGGCTCTGTTTTGTACTGCAGGAAAGAGAGCACAGGAGGATCTCACATGCAATTAAAGTTCCCACATGAAACTAGAATATGTCACTTCTGCCCACAATTCCCTTCTTCCCTCAAGAATACAGAAGTAAAATCTAATACGCAATCTAGGATGTTCATATAGCTCAGGAAAGACAGTCCAAAATAGGCAAGCTACTGAACAGGAAGTGGAAATTACCTCCCTTCTGCCAAAAAAGGAAAAATGCAGGCAATAATACATGCCCATCAGAAGAGAGAGAACATAGCTTCATCTCTGAAAGATGAAGACCAACTGCCACAGTTACTGTGGTACTAGTAAAAGCAGCATGACAAAATAAAACCAACACAAAAGGAATCTGCATTAGGAGTATACCTTAGCTGGTTTTCAAGGAGTAACTAATCATCTCTACCATTACCCTGGGCTTTCTCCACCAGAAGGTACTGACTTAGTGACTGTCTGTCAATAGGAAAAATGACACAATTGAGCCGGGTATAAAATCCTGGGAGTGCAGCATGATGCATGTGCTGTGCACCTTCTCAGCGTCCCCCTTCTCCCTCTTTTGGCTCTCAAAGCTAGAAACCATTGAACATCTAGACAGGCTGCCAGTAAATATCCAATGGCCTATAGTAATTTTTTAAAGCCTCAAAATGATTTTATCTGGTTCATACTTCAAAAAAGAAAGAAATCACTACTGATGTTAACAAAGCCCTGACCAAGCAGGATTCCCTTAACCCAAGGGCTTTGCATCAGTTTCCTTGTGTCCTGTGCTCCTAAAGCGGCGACTAGCCCCACTGAGGGAGATGCTGTCCCTACAGTGCACCGCTAACAGCAGTTGGTACAACCAAAACAGCAGAGTAGCATAGAAAGTAATCCATCAGAAGCTATGTTTTTGACCACATAAGCACTGAAAACCAAACTTAAAAGGTATGGGAGGAGAGGAGGCATTGAATCTGAGGATTCCTTGAATTTAGCCAAACACATATAAATATTTCAGCAGACTTCACATGATTTCATATATACTTACCTTCTTCTCTCTTTCTGCATAAATAATAGGCTCACATCTCTTCTTCTCAACTCGCTTTCCTTTCTTTTTTCCTTTTTTTTTTTTTCCAAGACAGAGTCTTGCTCTGTCGCCAGGCTGGAGTGCGGTGGCGCAATCTTGGCTCACTGCAACCTCTACCTCCCAGGTTCAAGCAATTCTCCTGCCTCAGCCTCCCAAGTAGCTGGGATTACAGGCATCCGCCACCATGCCCAGCTAATTTCTGTATTTTTAGTAGAGATGGGGTTTCACCATGTTGGCCAGGCTGGCCTCAACTCCTGACCTCGTGATCGACCCGCCTCAGCCTCCCAAAGTGCTGGGATTACAGGCCTGAGCCACCACGCCCAGCCTCTCTTTCCTTTCTTCTTTGTTTTGTTTTGTTTTGTTTTGTTTTTTGTTTTGAGACAGAGTCTTACTCTGTCACCAGGGTGGAGTGCAGTGGCGCAATCTCAGCTCACCGCAACCTCTGCCTCCCGGGTTCAAGCCATTCTCCTGCCTCAGCCTCCCGAGTCGCTGGGACGCCCGGCTAATTTTTTTGTATTTTTAGTAGAGACGGGGGTTTCACCATGTTGGTCAGGATGGTCTCAGTCTCTTGACCTCGTGATCCACCCGCCTCGGCCTCCCAAAGTGTTGGGATTACAGGCGTGAGCCACTGCGCCTAGCCCTCTCTTTCCTTTCTAATAGGGCTTTTCCTGCTTTGATTAATCCTATTTTGGTTTAGTTTCTCAGCAGGAATGACTCACATTCCCAGTGCTTGGAAGAAATGCATCATACCGCTCCCTCAAGTGTTTTTTTTTTTTTCCTTCCCAGCAAGTCCCCAAACACAAACCTGAAGTTGGCCTCAGAAGGTGAGAAGGGTCTCTCTGTTGCCAAATCATTTGATGACCATGTCTCCATCTTCATTTCTGTCCAGCATCCCACTGCAATTGTGAAGGTGGAGGCTGGCATTGGCATAGTTACATAGTAATACCAGCTTGAGCACTCTGTAAACAGGAAGAGAAAAACCATAATGAGGCCAATATATGATCCTGGGCTCTGCTGTATAATTTCTTCTCGAGGCACTTGAAGAGCTTTTGTGATAAGCTGGTAAGAGCCAACTCTTGGAGGTCGGTCACGTCAGCAGAAAGGGCACATTTCAGGGCTCAGGGAAAGCACAGGAGGGATGATGGCTTCAAGGCAACCAGGAAGGTCTGGGTCTCTTCCACGGATCAGTTTGAAGCCCTTCACGTGAGGGTGGTAGTGCAGGGGGTCCCTCACAGCTGTAAACACAGAAGGCCACAGGCTGTATGCTCCTACAGAGACAGAATACGTCTCATTCATCCAACACAGTATTTAGCATTAAAAAAAATGCTCAATTGATACCTGTTGAATGAGTGAAAGAGTGAGCAAAGCAGTGATTGCTTTGTGCTGTAACTATCTTGTCCAAATTCAATTCAAGGCAATATAAAATGAATATAGTAGAAAACACATGAGACTAGGGAAGGGAGACACTTGGGTTTTCATCCCAACTCTGAAATTAATTAGCTGTGGGAGTTCAGGTCTTACCCTTAGTCCCTGTTATCTGTTTAGCTGGTCTTCCACTCCTTGCTGAGCAGATGAAAAGCACGTGTAGAGGTTTAACGGAGCCAAGGACTCCTAACTAGTTTGTAACAGGACCAGGATTAGAGCTGGGGCTCCCCATTCCAGTTGAGGGTGTACTCTCCACTTGGTCCAAACCTTAGAGGCTTTTTATCAAAGGAATGAATGGCTGATAATTTGTAACACTATACTCCCCTCATTTCTGAGATGTAAAAATAATTTTCATGTTTCTGAAATCTGAATGTGTCATACAACCTGATTTAACAATGGTATATTTTCCGAGCATCTGCTATACATTAATCGTGTGTCTTAAGCAGAATTTATATCATCTTTTTTTTTAACTTTTATTTTAGGTTCAGGTGCAAGTTTGTATAACAAACTTGGATAAACTGCATCATGAGGCAGGGTAGGGGTAGGTTTAGTGTATAGATTATTTTGTTACCCAGGTAATAAGCATAGTACCCGATAGGTAGTTTTTCTTTTTTGAGACAGGGTCGCGCTCTGTTGCCCAGGTTGGAATGCAGTGGCGTGATCACAGTTCACTGCAGCTCAACCTCTTGTATACCCAATATCCAATGTCTCAAGTGATTCTCCCACCTCACCTTCCAAAGTAGCTGGGACTACAGGTATGTGCCACCACACACAGCTTACATTTTTTTTTTTTTTGAGAGACAGGTTCTCACTATGTTGCTCAGGCTAGTCTTGAACTCCTGGGCTCAAGCAGTCCTCCCACCTTGGCCTCCTGAAGTGCTGGAATTACAGGCTTGAGCTACTGTGCCCAGCCTGATAGGTAGTTTTTCTGTCCTCACCCTCCTCCCACCCTCCACCCTCAAGCAGGCCCTGGTGTCTGTTGTTCCCTTCTTTGTATCCATGTGTACTCAGTGTTCACCTCCCACTTATAAGTAAGAACATGCAGTATTTGGTTTTCTGATGCTGTGTTAGTTCACTTAGGATAATGACCTCCAGCCCCATCCATGTTGCTGCAAAGGACATTATCTCATTCTTTTTTATGACTGCATAGTATTCTATGGTATATATGTGCTACATTTTCTTTATTCAGTCTAACATCGATGGGCATTTAAGTTGATTCAATGTCTTTGCTATGGGATATCACTTTATATTATGGAACACATTTCTCCACTCCTCATGTTCCCATAGGGAGGAACTTCTGTTAGCGTAAATCTCTCTTTCAGTCCCTTCACAAACTCCTTTACAGGAGCTATTATTCCTTCTCTTGCTTTAAGTTTTAGAGGGTTAAACACATTTGACATCCAATCACTGACCAAATTGGCCTGTGGTTGTCCAATTTGGTCGGTGATTGGATGTCAAATTCAGAGCTGAAATATTAACATGCCCCTACTGGCCAGCAGACCTAACATGACATTTTTTAAAGTGCTTTACCACTAAAAACCAATAATAGAGATTAGATTTTGATCTCCACGTGCATGGTTCCTTTGTCTATCTCAAAACAAATTCTGAACTCAGGAAGGTAGGACTTAGTAAAAAATAAATAATATTTCGGTGAGATTCAAGTCTGGAAGCCATGAAGAGAGTTACTTGAAAGAGAGAGACAAAAGATGTGCTCAGAACTGCTGGAAACCCACCAGAGCCAGCCATTCTCTCCAACTTGCCTGGAAGCTGCACCCTGCTTCTGGAACCAGAAGGGCCACTCTTGAGATCCCTCTCTTTGTAGCTAAGAAGTTGAAGGTAGGCCGGGAGTGGTGGCTGTAATTCCAGCACTTTGGGAGGCAGAGGCAGGCGGATCACTTGAGGTCAGGAGTTCGAGACCAGCCTGGGCAATATGGTGAAACCCCATCTCTACTAAAAACACAAAAATTAGCCAGGTGTGATGGCACGTGCCTGTAATCCCAGCTACTCGGGAGGCTGAGGCAGGAGAATAGCTTGAACCTGGGAGGCAGAGGTTGCAGTGAGCCGAGATCGCACAATTGCACTCCAGCCTGGGTGAGACTCGGTCTCCAACAAAAAGAACAAGTTGGCCGGGCGCGGTGGCTCACGCTTGTAATCCCAGCACTTTGGGAGGCCGAGGCGGGCGGATCACGAGGTCAGGAGATCGAGACCATCCTGGCTAACACGGTGAAACCCCGTCTCTACTAAAAATACAAAAAAAATTAGCCGGGCGTGATGGTGGGCGCCTGTAGTCCCAGCTACTCGGGAGGCTGAAGCAGGAGAATGGCGTGAACCCGGGAGGCGGAGCTTGCAGTGAGCCGAGATTGCGCCACTGCACTCCCGCCTGGGCCACAGAGCGAGACTCCGTCTAAAAAAAAAAAAGAACAAGTTGAAGGCATACTCCTCCTTAAAGGGACAATCAAATCCAGAGACACTGAAGCCAATCCAGTGACAGCTTCTACTGGGCATGAAGCAAAACCACAGCCTCAAAGAGAATCACTGCTCTGATTCCAAGCCAGTAGAAGGAGGTAGGGACAGTCACAGACGTCTTGATGAAAGAATGACATGGATATGACATGATGGGCTATAGGGACTCCACCTCTCCCATTTTTCTGTCTTTCCGTAACTACCTACATTACCTGGAACCCAATGTCTCCCATGACTGCTCCATAAAAACTTTCATTTTCTACTGGAAACATAATGAGAGCTGAAGCAGGCAGAAAGGAGCGTGCAGATGGAAGAAGAAGCAAGAAGTTATGGGTAAGGAACTAAATCTTTTGAAAGCCTCTGGTTTAAAAAAAAAATCCTAAAAAAAACACATTTTCTTAATCAAAGGGCTGTGGTCTGTCATTCCTTCTCTGAAGTACATTTTAGAGTTTACCAAGAACCATTAGAATTTCCTTTTTAAAAATTCAGACCCTTGGCAGCTCAGTAAATAAGCAGCAATGGTGAGGCTTTCAGGTAAAAAGAGAGGTTTAACTGTATGAGGCCGAGGCCACCTTTGCTTCCTCCCCAGACTCTATTCAGGAACAGTAAAAGAACTTCTTTTCTAAAGACATGAACCAACAAGGAGAGAGAGAATAAAGCAGGAGACAATTCCTGCAGAATACTGGAAGCTAGAATGCAGATGGCAGAGTGGCAAATGACACAGCAGACCTGAATCCAGACCTGAATCCTAAGTTGGCAGTAGGGAAAGATAAGACCCACCTCATTTTACCCCTTAGAAGCTCCAAAAGGCTCTAGGGTAGAGGAAATGCTAAACTAAGCAGGCCCAGCTGCACATCTAAGAAGTGGTCAGATCCACAGATGGTCTCCCCAGCCCTGCACACCTGGGCTATTTGCCCATCCCACACATATCCCAACAAATAACTGGAAGTTTATTTTCTAGAAAGACTAAAGGGAGGGCCTCTGAACTGGCAGCTGTGGTGCTGGAGGAGAAATGGCACAGTTGAAGGCAAGTGAATGGAATTAGATGAATACATGCACATAGGATGCTGAGGCCACCAGCCATCCTCCCTTATTTGGTTCCAGAAGGCTGACAGCCAGGCTTTCACTGTCTAGGCAAGAGACTGAAAGAAGGGGATTAGCTTAAGAAATCAGTCTATGGTGAAGCTGATGGTTGACAAGCCCTCCAAATGTATTCACAGCTTCCAATTCATATTTCAGTCCCCTGCTCCTGAATGCTTGCATGCAAGCTTCCAGCCATCCCTAGAAAGCCTCTATTAGAAAATCAAGATCCAAAAGGACAAGCAAATGGGAAAAAAAAAAAACAAAGCATAAGACAATTATTAATTCCAACCAAGAAAAAAATTAACATGTACAGAAATAATAAGTCACAGTTTTGCTACAAGGCTTAGCTCTTAATAACACACAAAAATATAATGATATAAATGAAGGCCGGATGTGGTGTGATCCTAGCACTTTGGGAGGCCTAGGTAAAAGGATCACATGAGACCAATAGTTCAAGACCAGCCTGGGCAACACAGGGGGATCCCATCTCTACAAAAAAAAATTTTTTTTTATTAGCCAGGTGCATTGGTGGTGCCTGCCTGTGATCCCACGTACTTGGGAGGCTGAGGTAGGAGGATCACTTGGGCCCAGGAGGTCAGGCTGCAGTAGAGCTGTGATCACACCACTACACTCCAGCCTGGGCGACAGAGGAAGACCCTATGTCAAAAATAATAATAATATAAATGAAGAATACTGATCTAATCAACATTATGATATTAATTACATTGAGAAGACAGGATTTTAGGAAGGGGGCTTGTGTATGATGGAGTTTGGGGAGGGAGGAGGACAGCTAAATTACTTACCTGCCATAGTGGGAAGAACAACCCTGAACAATAAAGCATCTTACTGAAGGACATGCAGGTAAATATCAAGTAATCAGCCGAAAGAGGTAAAAGTGGTTACTTCTAAAAAGCAGGAAAAATGGAGGAAGAGAGATTACAAAGGACTGCTGCTTGGGAAAACGGGTATAATAAACCCATCAGAATTACTTGACTCTTTAAATATTGCATATTTAATGTAAAATAATTGAACTAATCAATTAATTAAAAGGTAATCTTAACAGAAAAAGAATAACACGTCTGGTACCAAGGTACTATTAAAATGATGAAATATAACTCAGAAGAAAGAAGCAATTTAGAGATAAGGAGCAGGCACTAGCCTATTAAGAAATCCTTTTAAGAATGAAGCACTACGCACAACAGGCTTTCTCCCTACATTTGCGTTGAATTTTTGACCTGATTTTCTTGCTGCCTGTCTGGTTCTTGTACCATCCACGTAGTCCATGGGCAAGATGATACTTGTGGAAACAGCAGAAACTGAAACTTACTTCCAAGAGAAAACACTGCTAATGGAGTAGAGGTATTTGTTAGATCCCTGCACAAGGTCAATAGAAATCCACGTAGAGCGCCCAATCCCATCACAACCCAGCACCTTCATCAGCATGTCTGCACTCTCAAGGTGACATGGGGAAGACACCGGAAGTCACAGCAGGATGTGGCAGGGGAGAGAAATGGAGATTAGCAATTAAAAAGTCAGAAACCGTAAATGACCCAGAGTTTGAGAGTGAGATAGCAATAGTGGTAACAGAACCTGAGGTGAGTCCAATAAAAATATGTTAAAACTGTCATTGTTTCCTCACAGTCTTCTCTGAAGTTCAATAATGGAAATAAAATAATTGGTTTTTAAATATCACACAAATTCATACTTTAAGTGCTCAAGATGATTTCCTCCTATACAGCGCGCAAGTTTTTTTTTATTTTCTTAGATTCCTAAAGTTCCTCTACTTAGTAGAGCTCATTTGGAATCAACTGTTTCAGACTTCAAGCTTTTAAAAGCAAAAAGGTTTCTTGGCTACCAAGTGACAGTCAAATCGGGGCAGATCAATTGGCTGGGCCAAATAAGAACCAGCCAGAAACCCAATTCCTTGTCAAACTCTTCTCAGAAGCTTCTCACTAGAGTCTGGCCCTGGGCTTCTTGCCTGGATCCTGGTTGAATGCTGGAGCCAGCGCTGAGATCATGGAGCGCTGCTAGTGCTCTGGAGAAGATTTTCATTAGTTCCCTGCTATGAGGATGTTTCTAGTATCCTCATTTGATAGAAAAGTCTCTTTTGAGTTGTCTCTTCATGGATTATTCCAATGAGCCCAATCTTACATGAAGACTGCCCACTGCCACAGGGAACAACACCTAACCTTATCTTCCAATCAGCCTACAAAAATTGCAAAGAATAAGGTGGAAATACTGCCCCAGAAAGCAGAGCATGCATTCCCAAAACAAAGATAAATAATTTCAGGATTGTCTATTGTTTGGAATAAGCCTACCTTGCAAGAGAATTAATGAGAGTTTATTGCTTTTGGATATGTCCATTCATTGAGTTCCACCTCTGGAATCTGACAGCTAGGGTTCAATTCCCTGCTCTGCATTTACCAGTTTGGGCACATCACTTAATTTCTCTAATGCATCAGTTTCCTCATGTATAACAAGAGAATTATCATAGTATCTTGCTGTGAGGATTAAGTTAGGATTAAATTAGATAATCTATAGAGTGATCACTAGGCATAATAATTGGCACAAAGTAAGTGTTCAAGAAACATTAGGTGCTGTCATCATCTGTTGTTGTTGTAGTCTTCATCTGCAAGCTCTCATCTTTACAGCTGTCTACCCTTGATGCTCACTCAGGCTAATTTTCTGAAGGCAAAGGCAAAGAATGCTGAAGGTATGGCTGCCACATGTGTACTGAAAACCGCGACCTGATGAGGCCCACATATGGAGTTCAAGGTTGAATGGCATTAAAACACAGTCCACACAAAGCGATCCATTTAAAGGAGAATGACAGCCTAAAGGGGGCATCCTGTATGACTTCATATAGAATGGGCCATTTGGAGACTATTTAAATGGTGTTTACTTTAAATGAGCCATCCTTGATGAAACAGACAGTGAATGCCTTCATTTTCCTTTTGATTCAATCCACTTGCACTAGACTCCCTTTGCTACACCAGCTGCAAAACAAAGAGAACACACTGTACTTGAATTAACCCAGAGTTTTTCCTCTGCAGAGGCCAGAAACCCCTCACACCACTGGATGATTTCACAGCCAGGTCGGGATTCATTAGCAAGACTAACAGAGAGGGTTGGTAGGAAGGGATGCAGAGGAAACAGCACTCCTTAACTTCAGGCACAAGCCGCCACCCAGCTTGCCCTTCTTTCTGGGCAGATTCTGTAAAGCTGGACTTCTGACCTCCTCAGAAAGAGACCAGAGTTCTCTAACGCCCCTACATCACTTTCTCCTATTGGACTGTATTTAGGGGGAAAAACTCTCATACTTCAGTTGTCTCACTAGTAAGATACATGTATCGTATGACGTATTGACAATAACAGCTGTTACAAGACCCAAATAGACATTTTCATCTCCACAACAGGACTGAAATTTTCCTTAGATGACTGTGCTTTTTGCAGCTATAACAGAACTTGAAATGGATCAATTTTCAAATCACAAGAGGCAGTTTAAAATTTAGTTTTTGGGCCGGGCGCAGTGGCTCACGCCTATAATCCCAGCACTTTGGGAGGCCGAGGCGGGTGGATCACCTGAGATCGGGAGTTTGAGACCAGCCTGGCCAACATAGCGGAAACCTCATCTCTACTAAAACTACAAAATTAGCCGGGCATAGTGGCACATGCCTGTAATCCCAGCTACTCAGGAGGCTGAGGCTGGAGAATCACTTGAACCCCGGGAGGCGGAGTTTGCAGTGTGCTGAGATCGTGCCATTGCACTTCAGCCTGGGCAACAAGAGCTAAACTCCGTCTCAAAATAAAATAAAATAAAATAAAATATAGTTCTGGGCCAGGCACAGTGACTCACGCCGGTAATCCCAGCACTTTGGGAGGCCAAGGCGAGAGGATCACCTGAGGTCCAGAGTTCAAGACCAGCCTGGCCAACATGGGTGAAACCCTGACTCTACTAAAAATACAAAAATTAGCCAGGCGTGGTGGTGGGCACCTGTAATCCTAGCTACTCAGGAGGCTGAAGCAGGAGAATCACTTGAACCCAAGAGGCAGAGGTTGCAGTGGGCCAAGATTGCACCACTGTACTCCAGCCTGGGCGACAGAGTGAAACTCCATCTCCAAAATAAAAATAAAAATAAATAAAATTTAATTTTGAAAATAAGTATCATAACTAAAGAGTGTTAAAACAGTTATCTTAATTATTTTTTCAATGACTTCTAAAAACTGTCCTGTGAATAGTTTTGAAGATTCTATTTTCCACAGGAGGAAGAATAATTCTCAGTGAAGAGGGAAAAAGGAAGAACATGAAGGAGTAGTCAGTTCATGAGAGGAGAGAGAACTTTTTATACTAAACCTGTGAGAAACTTAGCTGAGATAATCATTTTTCATAAAAAATTTTAAGAGAAGAAAAATCAAGATACGGTAGTCATTTTTACACATCAGTCATGCCTACCAATAGTAAATTAAATAAGAAATTTATGAAAAGTCAGTGTCCTATTAGTAGGTGAGTCTTGGATAAACTCACTTAATATAATTAAAAGCACAGCTATAACCACACACACATAACCACTCTGCTTGTGCAGAGGCTAAGTTAGATCATAGCTCTGCCAAGTTAAGCATCTCATGGAACTTCTCATATTAAAGAGTTATTGTTTTCACTGCAAATTAAAACAGGCACTTAAATTCTTCCTATGAAAACCATCCATTTTACTTTTTCAACCTCTCCACTATAGGTTAGACAAACAGCATGAAGCATTCGGAAATATCAAATTGATACGTGCTTTTATTTAACATATAATCTTTCTTTCCTCAATCCTTCAGTAGCCCCTGCTACTTTGCTACCTCAAAATTGTTTCTTTCTCTAACCACAATTCCTTATTTCAGCAATTCCTATCCAAACTATTATATATGTTATGATTACTTTGGAACATCTTTGTATCACAAATTAAAGATGCCTAACAATGTTTACAGGAATATGTATATTCAGAAACATGTACACTTATAAGTGTATACAGACATACTATAGAGAATGTATATATCATATATTTTAAATATATAATATACATACATCTGTACAATAAATATAATACATTCACGAAAAGGAGAGAGAGCTCCCCATTTTGGCTGCTCTTCCCCTCCTGGCCTCCTTCTCCACTGCTTGGGTCTTTCAGCAAACTAGCTTTCTGTCAGGACTTTGCAGATGCCGCGTCTACACCTTCCAGTTTTCTAAGTGAGTGCCACCCTCGTGAATACCCATAGCGTGACTGTCTCTTGTTAGTTCTTCTCCGCAGTTGCTCAAGGGTTGTAACTGGCACCAGAACAAACGAGACAGTAAGACGCCCTGGGCACCAGCATTGCCTAACCAGGGCAATGTGCCAGGTCAGGCCACCACTTTGCAAGCACTGATGCTACCCAGCAAGGCTTCGGTTTTCCTTGCCTGCAACATGGTACCGCCTCAGGCACAGGAGAGGCAAGAGAGAATGACCTTCAAGATCATTCTTGTGAACTAGGTAAAAGAGCGCCATCTGCTGAACACAAGCGCCTCTATAGGTTTTCCTTGTTGGCTAACGGGATACCTAAAGGAATATGCCCCACCAGGCTTGTTATTCAAGTCTCACCGGCCACTCTGACCTTCAATGCAGGTGACCCAGTTCCCCTTAAGCTGGATCAGCTAACTGGACACCAAATCATACTGCTCCAGGTGGTCACAGGTAAACTTGAGTGCTTTACTCACATGGAACATTCATGAATGTCAAGTCCAAGACAAAAATCCACAGCAATGAGAACTGGTATATACATGCCTGCCAGAATCATCAATGTCTGAAAGAAACCATGATGACTTTCACATATGTCGTGTACAGTAAGCGCAGTGCCAGGAGGGTAAGCAAGAACTAGTCAACAACAAATCACAAAACAAAAGAATTAACTGACACAGATTTAGAAATTACTGGCTCACCGGCATCTTTCTAATGGGAAAAGATTAATACGTTTACCCTTAAAAACATAGGAATGTATGTGTACTGGCGTGGAATAAAGTTTCCCTAGTTCTAGAAACAAGGAGCTTTCTCTACTTTGCATTCTTTCTTTGTGAGGAAAATACTTAATCATAACCATTCCTAAATGCCTCTTAATTTACCATTTCCTCATACGTAATTCCTGGTTGCATACTATGGGAGCAGTCTAAATAGTACTGCTCATTTGAAAAGTTGGCTTTCAGTTGCACACAGGAGGGTCTGGACTCTCAGATCTTGGCTTTTTCCTGGAATTTCCCACACAAAGTCAAAAGAAAGAGAATGTCAGAGAGCTAGTCTATTGGGCAGGCCAGAGAGTAGCATTTTGCCCAGAATGAAGTAATGTCTACAGTCTTACTTTTGCACTAAAAAATGAAATCAGATCCTATGCAAGGGCACATGTAGTTTTTAACACCTTTCACTTGTTCATATGCTTTTTCTCCTTCATCTGGAAGGAGCTTCCATTAGGCAGTCTTCTTCATTTACTTGAGGCTTCCCACAAAAAACAGAAGCAGAGTATTTTCTTTTTCTTTTTTTGTTTCTTTTTTTTTTGAGACGGAGTCTCACTCTGTCGCCCAGGCTGGAGTGCAGTGGCACGATCTTGGCTCACTGCAACCTCCGCCTCCCGGGTTCAAGCAATTCTCCTGCCTCAGCCCAAGTAGCTGGGATTACACGCGCCTGCCACCACGCCCGGCTAATTTTTTTTGTATTTTTAGTAGAGACGGCATTTCACTGTGTTAGGCAGGATGGTCTCGATCTCCTGACCTCGTGATCCGCCCGCCTCGGCCTCCCAAAGTGCTGGGATTACAGGTGTGAGCCATGGCACCCAGCCCTCAGAGTATTTTATTTTTCTAGGAAGCAGGGATATACTAAATTAGACTCTATAAAAATAAAACTTTCACGCCTATAATCCCAGCACTTTGGGAGGCCAAGGCGGGCGGATCACAAGATCACGAGATAGAGACCATCCTGGCTAACACGGTGAAACCCCGTCTCTGCTAAAAATACAAAAAATTAGCCAGGCGTGGTGGCGGGTGCCTGTAGTCCCAGCTACTCGGGAGGCTGAGGCAGGAGAATGGCGTAAACCTGGGAGGCAGAGCTTGCAGTGAGCGGAGATCGTGCCACTGCACTCCAGCCTGGGCGACAGAATGAGACTCTGTCTCAAAAAAATTAATTAATTAAAAAAAAAAAAAACTAAACAAAAAATTACTAGAAGAAAATAATAATGTACTAAACCAATTCTTTTTAAAATTTATTGAGGCTGGAAAAAAGGCATAAACTGTAATTAAGCAACAAAAGCAAAAGAAATGACCCTGAAGTCGATTTTGTTACTATCACTAGTAGTTTTAAATGTTTCTTCCATGAACATACTACTTCTGCCTGATTATAAAGAACACATTTATTCCACAAATGCATATTGGGCACTTATTCTATACAAGGCACTGTATTAGGCATTGGGTCTCTGCGCTCAATAGTTTAGCTATATTTTGGTAGAGAATATAGGCCAACAATAAGCCACAGGATAACATCTCTGTCTGCCCAAATCACATTATGCTGAGGAAGTTTAATAATAAAGGAGAATAATAAAAGAGCCAAGCAAGTTAATCTAAATCTATGGCCTTGTCTTAGCCTTCTTTAAAAAAAAAAAAAGAATAACAACTGCTCAGCTAATAGAATTCTTACAATGGTCATCACCCTACATCCAAACCATTACCCTTCATTTTAAAAACAGTTAGGAGAAATGATTTCCCTTATGAAGCAAGGACCCAGAGATCTGTCTTCTGATTTCTGTTCCCTGCCCAAGGGCTGCTGTCATTTCTGTTGCTGTTATCTGCTCCCAGGTGCCTTGCTTCTGTGGAAAAATCAGCTGGTGCCCGGGAAATGTGCTAATCAGGCCTATGTGTCACTGTGATGGAAACTGTGACTTGCTGGGTCGCGCTTTGCCAGTCATGTTTTCAAAGATAGCTCATCGTTTTAAAGGGCATTCTGCACAACAGAGTAGAGGTCCTATGAGACCAATCTGCCAATCGAGAAAACATGACTTAGAAAGGAAATAGCATCATCTTGTATCCACATCCCCTTTCTCTAAGGAGTGCAGATACATTTGTAGACATTATTCCATCCTCAGAACAGCCATTTTGGTTCTGGCAAACAGCTTTATTAGTACTGTTTCCTGATTGTCCTCTGATAAACCCTGTCTGTGGGAGGAATTGCAGTATTAAGCATAGAGTTCTTTTATCTTGTCTAGCTTAATTCTCCCTCAGCTTGAACTGGCAAAGATTGTTCTGTGATATCATATAAGGTGTAAGTGGTGTGAACGTAAGTAAATCTCAATAAGCATCTATTTTATTACTCTGTCCTCAACTGGAATTTGGGGAAAAAAAAAGGTCCACAGATATATTCCTGGGGTTATAAAAGTTTTTCATATTTAAAGTTAATTCTCAATTTTTTGATAATAATCTTCAAATAGATACACAACAACAGACAGACAGATGAATATGACAGAGGTCAGAAAACTTTTTTCTGTAAAAGACCAGGTAACAAATATTTTAGGCTTTGCAGGACCTTGTTGCCAATACTCAACTCTGCTGTTGTAACATGAAGGCAGTCAAAGACAATGGCCATGATCCAATAAAACTTTATTTACAAAAACAGGCAGTGGACTAGATTTAGCCAGCAGGCCATAGTTTTCTGACCCCTAAAATCATCCAGATGTGAGTACTGCCAAATGATTTCAGAGTTCCCATCTGTATTAGTGTATATGATTGCATGGGGACGTGTAGGACTGCGATAATTATCAAGAGATAATGAGAAAAGAACATAAGGATGATGCTTTTGGCTGAGTAAAGGCCAAACGATATCACAGCATGCTGTGTAAACAAAAGTTTACAGGGAGATGAAAGACAAGTGGTGGAGAACTGGATTATTTTGTGGCTCAGGGTAGAACAGGTGTTCAGTCTCAAAAGAAACTGCATGGAGCCGTCAGCACCATATTCATATTGTAAGGGGCAATTTCATCTCAGCAAAATATTAATATTTATATTCAATTTATATTTATATATTTATATCAATATAAAATTCAAATTATAAATTATAAATTTGAATTTTATTGATTTGCTAGTTTGATCTGCATTTCATTTATAATTTTATTTTGGCTTTACGGATGTGTAAGAGTTGTAAGAACACAGAGTTCATATCTAGTCTTAGATCTATAGTTTTTGAAATGTCATTCTAATATAAATAATTTAGGTCAACTGTGGTAAATCATGAGACCTTTCCCTCTAAAAAGAAGAATAATGCTCAAGTTTGGGAAACATTGTCAAACACAAGGCTTTACTGCAGGGCCAAACCATGAATGAGAAAATATGTAGGCTTGGTGAGGTGAGGGTGGGGAGAGCCACATGGCATCTTGGGAGGTGGAGTTATCACAAGCACACTGCTATAGGCAGAAATGTGAGTAGGCCACCTATCAGTGCCTATCTGAAATTGCAGTGTTTCATATACTCAATCAATTCAGCAAGTCAGGGAACCAAACAGAGACAACAGAGAAAAAGCCTATGTGAGTCTAGCAGAACCTGACTGGACAATTGCCAGCAAGACACTAGAGCCCAGATAAAGAAGCTGCGTGTATCTGCCAACCCCTTTAATCCAGTCAAGTTGACACCTAAAATTAACCACCGCACATATACAATAAATGTGTACTTTTTTTTTTTTTTAGACAGTATCATTCTGTCACCCACGCTGAAGTGCAGTGGTGTGATCTCAGCTCACTGCAACCTCTGCCTCCCTGGTTCAAGCAATTCTCTTGCCTCAGCCTCCTGAGTAAATGGGATTACAGCCGTGTACCACCACGCCCAGCTAATTTTTTTGTATTTTTGTAGAGACGGGGTTTCACTATGTTGCCCAGGCTGGTCTTGAACTCCTGGCCTCAAGTGATCCGCCCATCTTGGCCTCTCAAAGTGTTGGGATTACAGGTGTGAGCCACCACGCCTGGCCATAAATGTGTACATCTTAAATGTGTTGTTCAATGAGATTTCACAGATAAACACACTTACATAATCATTACCCCCATGAACATTTCCATTACCCCAGAAATTCCGCTGTACCCTTGCACTCATTTCTTCCTAACCCCATTCCAGCCAACCACTGATCTGGTTTCCATCAGTACAGACTGGTTTGACTTCTTCTCAAAATTCATATAAAAAGGGTCATTCAGTGTGACTCTATTTTACTCAGCATAATGTTTGTGAGATTCATCCATATTGTTGCAGGTGTCACTAGCTATTTTTTTTTTTTTTGATTTATCAGTAGTGGTCCATTGTGTGAATAAACCATAATTTGTTTATCCATCTACAGTTAGACTGTTTTTGGTCATTATGGAAAATGTGCTGTGAACAATCAGGTATTAATCGTTTTGTGGACGTAGGTTTTCATTTCTCTTGGGTAAATACTCAAGAGTAAAATTGCTAGATCGTGTAAATATATGTTTAAGTTTGTGAGTATCTGCCAAACTATTTCCAAAGTGGTTGCATTCTTTCATACTCTCACCAGCAATGTATGAGAGTTCTAGTTGTGGCTTATCCTTGGAAACACTTGGTATTTTCTGTCCTTTTAATTTTAGCCCTCTAACTAGGTGTAAAATACTATCTCATTATGGTTTTAATTTGCATTTCCCTGATGACGATGTTGAGCACCTTTTCATTTACTTTGCACATTCTTATATCTTCTTTTGAAAAGCATCTGTTCATGTCATTTGCTCATTTTCTTTCATGTGGGGTTTTTTATTGTTTTATTATTAGGTTATAAGAATACTTTATAGGCCAGGCACGGTGGCTCACACCTGTAATCCCAGCACTTTGGGAGGCCGAGGCAGGTGGATCACTGAAGGTCAGGAGTTCAAGACCAGCCTGGTAAACATGGTGAAACCCTGTCTCTACTAAGAATACAAAAATTAGCTGGGCATGGTGGTGCATGCCTGTAATCCCAGCTGCTCGGTGAGAGAATCGCTTGAGCCCGGGAAGCAGAGGTTGCAGTGAGCTGAGATCGCGCCACTGTACTCCAGCCTGGACAATAGAATGAGACACTGTCTCAAAAAAAAAAAAAAAAAAAAAAAAAAGATTATATAATTCTAGGTACAAGCCTTTTGCCAGATATATGTATTACAAATACATCCGGTATATGTGGCTTGCCTTTTCATTTTTATTTACACTTCGTCCTACTGATTTTCCATAGTGACATTTTTGTTCCTAATTTCAGCAGTAGAGATTTACATTATGTTATTTTAACATTAGTTTTCTTTTTTTTTTTTTTGAGATGGAGTCTCGCTCTGTCGCCCAGACTGGAGTGCAGTGGCACGATCTCAGCTCACTGCAAGCTCCGCCTCCCGGGTTCACGCCATTCTCCTGCCTCAGCCTCCGGAGTAGCTGGGACTACGGGCACCCACCACCACGCCCGGCTAATTTTTTGTATTTTTAGTAGAGACTGGGTTTCACCGTGTTAGCCAGGATGGTCTCAATCTCCTGACCTCATGATCCGTCCCTCGGCCTCCCGAAGTGCTGGGATTACAGGCGTGAGCCACCCCGCCCAGCCTTAACATTAGTTTTCTGTCAATCATTCAAATGAATGTCAATCATTCATTTTAAAAAATTTTCCTTCAAGAATGTTATACTTCAGTTAATAGGGCTGCTACAAATAAAAATATTAAAAAAAAGAATGTTATACCTAGCCAAGGATTGTTCATAAGTGAATACAACAAAAAGCCAATCTAAATATGGGAGGGCTCAGAAAATGTACCATTCATCCAGTCTTCTAAAAAAAAAAAAAAAATGAAGCTATTTCCCAGCCAACTTAAGAGCTCAAGAATGAAGAAAGTCTAAATACTTATTATGAAATCATTTGAAACTGAATGAAAATACAATAATAGTAATTCCTAGAAAATACATAATACAAAAAGTTATAGAGAAAATGTGAGTCCCAAATCCCAAGTTTTATTAAGTAAAACTGGAGAATATGGGTGCGGAAGGATAATGGAGTAAATACCCATCCAATTCCTTATTTGATATGAATTCCAGAGATATTGGTTAACTAAATTGTAAAACATCCATTTATAGGATACTCATAGCCATAACATAATGAGGAAAGGTCGGGCGCAGTGGCTCATGCCTGTAATCTTAGCACTTTGGGAGGCCGAGGCGAGTGGACTGCCTTAGCTCAGGAGTTCGAGCCCAGCCTGGGCAACACAGTGAAACCCCATCTCTACTAAAATACAAAACATTAGCCAGGCATGGCGGCGTGCGCCTGTAGTCCCAGCTACTCGGGAGGCTGAGGCAGGAGAAATGCTTGAACCCGGAAAGCAGAGGTTGCAGTGAGCCGAGATCACGCCACTGCACTCCAGCCTGGTGACAGAGCAAGACTCCGTCTCCAAAAAACAAATAATAATAATAAATAAATAATGAGGATACTCTTTACGCTCTGTTACAAAATATCTATAAAATAAATTTATTCTAAAAGGGAAAGCACAATACAAAAATGTGTCTAGCATGCTACAATTTGTACAACAAAAGAGAAAAAACATATTATTCAAGAGAAATTGGTAACCTTGGTTGCCTGGGGAAGTGTTACTGGATGTCTGGGAAATAGAGGTAAGAAAAACACGTTATTGCACATAATGCTTTGTCCTTTGTTCTTCTATAAATGAACCACGTAAATGTTACTTATTTTTAAATATAAAAATTTTATTTTATTTATTTATTTATTTATTTTTGAGATGGAGTCTCACTCTGTCACCCAGGCTGGAGTGCAGTGGCGTGATCTCGGCTCACTGCAAGCCCCGGATTCACACCATTCTCCCGCCTCAGCCTCCCGAGTAGCTGGGATTACAGGCGCCCGCCACCACGCCTGACTAATTTTTTGTTTGTTTGTTTATATTTTTAGTAGAGATGGGGTTTCACCGTGTTAGCCAGAATGGTCTCGATCTCCTGATATCATGATCCGCCCACCTGGGCCTCCAAAAGTGCTGGGATTACAGGCGTGAGCCACTGTCCCAGCCTAAATGTGTTGTTTTTAAGAATCAAGTAAGGCTGGGCGCAGTGGCTCACACCTGTAATTGCAGCACTTTGGGAGGCTTAGGCGGGCAGATCACGAGGTCAAGAGATCAAGACCATCCTGGCCAACATGGTGAAACCCTGTCTCTACTAAAAATACAAAAATTAGTTGGGCATGGTGGTGTATGCCTGTAGTCCCAGCTACTGGGGAGGCCGAGACAGAATCGCCTGAACCCGGGAGGCAGAGGTTGCAGTGAGCAGAGATCGCGCCATTGCACTCCAGCCTGGCGACAGAGCAAGACTCTGTCTCAAAAAAAAAAAAAAATCAAGTAAATACTCATCGGTGACTTCAGTACATACGTTAATCTAGCTTATGATAAAGACATCACAAAATTTAAAAATTCAATAAATGATCCTGAAGCAACTGGTTTTCTATTTGAAAAAAAAAGACAATGTTTAGTCCTCATTTCACAACCTGATGAGAATAAATTACAGACTGATTAAAGAGTTATAAAAATTAAACTATAAAAATATCAGAACAAAATGAATCTTAGAGAAATCTAATAAATTTAACTTCATAAAAAGACACATCATATAAAATTAAAAGATATACCAAAAGCTGGGAGCAATGCTTTTCATAAATATAAGAAATTAATATCTTTTTTTAAAGAGCCAATAAAATTGAAAAATAAGACAAATGGCAAAAATCTAGGTCTTCAGTATAAAAAATGGGCAAAGGAAATAAACAGAAAATGAAAATGGTTAAGAAACATATAAGGACATGTGAAACTCACTAATCATCAAAGTAATCCAATTAAAGAGAGACCTGCTGCTGCCTATCAGATGAGCAAAGTTCCAGGTGACAAGGACCCTCATAACTACAGATGAATGTATAAATTGGCACAGCCTTTCTGGAAAACATTATGGGATATGTACCAACAACCTTAAACATGTTCCAACTTTTGACTCAGTAATTCTAATTTTATATAAAATGTCTCCCCTGGAATTTAATGCAACTTTATTTATAACAGGAAAAAAACTGAAATAATCAAAATATTTAATATAGAAATGTTAAATTCTGATATATTCAGATAAAAAATATTGTGCCAATGTTAAAATCATATTAAAAATATTTAACGACCTGTAAATTGTTCAAGATACACTATAAGTGAAAAAGGCAGAATAAACACCATCATATGCTATCACAATTTGAGGATGATAACTGCACAAAACATATAGATTTTAAATACTGAAAGGAAATGTAACAAAATCTTAGCGATAATTTTCTCTATAATTTTTTTAATTTATTTTTAGTTTTCTGTATATTTTAAAGTTTCTATAATAAATATGTGGAAGGAGATGCCCTTTTTTTTTTTTTTTTTTTTTTGAGATGGAGTCTCACTCTGTCGCCCAGGCTGGAGTGCAGTGGCGCCATCTCAGCTCACTGCAAGCTCCATCTCCCAGGTTCACGCCATTCTCCTGCCTCAGCCTCCCGAGTAGCTGGGACGACAGGCAACCGCCCCCACGCCCGGCTAATTTTTTGTATTTTTAGTAGAGACGAGATTTCACCGTGTTAGCCAGGATGGTCTCAAAGGAGATGCCATATTTTAAATAAAGAAATAATATAACTATAAAAATGTTTCCTGGCCAGGCACAGTGGCTCACACCTTTGGGAGGCTGAGGTAGACAGATCACTTGAACCTGGGCATTCAAGACCAGCCTGGGCAACATGGCAAAATCTCATGTCTACAAAAAAAGTGCAAAAATTAGCTGGGCGTGGTAGCATGCACTTGTAGTTCCACCTACTTGGCAGGATGAGGTGGGAGGATCAATTGAGGCTGGCAGGTCAAGGCCACGGTGAGCCGTTATCAAGCCATTGCACTCCAGCCCGGGCAACAGAGCGAGACCCTGTCTCTCAAATAAACAAATTTTTTCCTGGCATCAACATGCTCAGGATCTCCACTGAAAAAGTTAAATGCTGCAATAAGAAGTAATTCATAGATAAAACCTTGATGATGCATTAGCACTGCCTTCCATCTTTCTTATACACCTTTGGTTCAGAACTTTACACAGGCAAACCATGTGTAGAAAAGATGCTTCATTAAGACAACTCCAGTGGGCCAGCCAACAAGAGCACTATCTCTTAACATAATGAATAACCATGTACAGACACCATAACAAATCACAGACAACTCAACTCTAATGGTGTTTCCATGGTACACCTGCCTGTTCAGAACGTCTTCAGTCAAGACCACCTACTTATGGCCTACAAACCACCAGGTGAAAGCAACTGCTGAAATAGTCTATGAACCGACAACTCTAGTATGAAGAGCCCCAAATCCCATGCCCAGGCTCCTAAGTGTCCCTCCCCATCCCCTGCTTGTTTTCCCTGGCAGGATGTTTTATACTATGATCATTTCCAACCCAACTAATAAAGGAGCTCTTTAAAGTTTAGAAAAATACTGTTTATTGGGTTCCTGGGTCCACATGTGTGCAATACATAAATAAGCAAAGAACACATGTACAGTACCTTCCCAAAGCTGCGTTGGTTTGGCAGAATTTTCCCCACTCATTAAAACAACAAAAGATGCAGCTGCTCGAACTGTAGCCTGCCATGTTGACATGGCAACGGGTGGCTCCTGGCATGGAAAAAGGGCCCTGTTGTTTATGGGAGATCCCACAGTATAAACACATGGCCTGCAGAAGAGAGACAAAGAAAGAAAGGGGGTGAATCTTTAAAATGAGTTGTCACTTTTCTCACCAGTATGGTAGTGCAGGTTAAGTTGAGCTTTCAAAGAAAACATTTGAAACTTTGTAGTTGACTGGTTTCCTAGCATTTTGAACTGAAGCTGCCAAGGGCTGGCTATGTGAATAGCTGAGTGGTTACTTCTCTCAGATGAATTACTTAAATATGTAAAAAGAGTTGGTTTATTTAAGGAGAAAAATATTTTTTGGATAAAGTTTTAAATACTAATCGGCCAAGTTATATTACCCTTGCCCCCTCCCCTCAGGCCCTGGTGCCTTCAAAAGAAAATTTTTAGAGACATTCTTACAAATCTTTTGGAAAGTATTCTGGAAAAGAAAATATGTTTGGAGATCACTGAGATATTAATGCTTGGAAAAACAAGCTGGTGGTCTCAAATCCAGGGCTGGCAGGCAGATACCCCCAATCTTGGAAGCCACCATCTCAAATAGAACCCTTGTGGGAATCCTTGTGTGGAGGCCAAGAACAGGGGCTGGCATATGAACAGGACTGTGGGTCACAACAACCAGGCTTGTGATGGGAAAGCCAAGGGCGCAGAGTCGTTACCAAGTCACCATGTGCAAAACCAATGACACAGCATTAGGACTCATTCTGCTGCGATTAGAAAGTACAGCCCTACCCAAACCAAGAAAGATCTGTCCCATGATAAAGTCATGGTTGACAAAGATAAAGATTCTCAAGATCAAAGGGTCCACTCTTGACACCAGAGTAGAAGGAACAAGACTGACTCCTCATAAAAAACTCAGGAGAATGTTTCTACTTTCTGTTTTTCAGTTATGACAAATGACAAATATGTAGTTTTAGTCAGCTTGACTTATAAAGTAAATGAATAGAGCAAAGCACTACTTCTTTTGGATAAACTCATTTTCTTTTTTCATTAACATCATTATAATTGAGCATTTATTGTGTTCACACAGTGTGCGAGAAAACACAGAAAGATGGTTCAACTCCATCAGTCAGGGTCTAGTATGGAAAAGAGAAACCAGTCTAGGTCTTAACAAACAGGTAATTTAAACTCGGGAATGAGTTTAAATGATAGAAGAGCGGAGAGACCAATCAGAGGACAGTAAGACAACCCAGGGATTAGCCACAGCAGTAATCAGCTGTGACTCCTCATATTGGAGGAGCTGGGTGATTACTGGGTTATGAGGCAGGAGTCATCTGGCAGAAGCCAGAGTCACAGTGGGGACTGTCCAGGGGGAGCTGGGACCACAGGAGACTCAACCACACTGAAGGGGCCAAAGGAAAACAGGAGGAGGAGAAATACGTTACAGAAGTAACGTATTTCTAGCCAGCTCCTGCTTTCAAATCTTCCACCAGTGGCCCCCACTGGCCAAACCTAGCAGGAAGCCAGAAGACAAGAGAGCCTAGGAAATGAAGTTCCTTGTCACTTGGAGAAGATCACAATAAGAGCAGAAAATGGATCTCAGCGCAAACAGGCAGTTGCTGTACGCTTATCCTACAAGTATACATGCCATGATAATGTGAAGGTTTGACATGGGGCAGGGAAAGATCAGAAAGTCTAAACACCTTTGTACCACCTGGGTTGCCAACTTACCAAATGACTGTGGGGAAGCTCCTCAACTTCTGAGTCACGGGTGAAATGGGTATTGGGCTGGTGAAGCGGGGAGCAGGTAGTGACTTCTATTGTCTGTTCTGTTCAATAAGCACCTAATTTGCATAGGGTAACTCTGTGTTATGGGTCTTCCCTTGCCTGCACAGGGAAGAAATCCTCCCCAAAAGACTGGCTTACCAAGATGTTGGTCTCCTCTCTATAAGGCTGGGTTGGAGGCCATGCTAGCATATTATTACACATTCCACTTGTGCCCTTAGGTATGTGGCCCCCAAGGCTGCCTCCATCAGCTTCCATACCACTTCCCCAAAGAAACAATCGGATTTGAGATGAGGTCAAATCTGAGAAATACTGTGCAGGAAGAATCAGGACTTAGTAAGTGATGTGCTGAAGAAGAGGGAGAAGGAAAGGAAGACTTCTGTGAAGTAGCCAGCTGCTGAGCTGGCCTCCAATATTTACAACCCCTTACTCCTAATATTTACATCGTTGTGTAGTCCCCTTCCATACTGTACCAGATCTGTGTGCCCAAACAGACCTGTGTAGAGCAAACAGGCAGTTGCAGTACACTTATTCTACAAGTATACAGGCCGTGATAATGCAAAGGTTTGACCTGGGACAGGGATGCAACAGGATACAGCAGAGGTGACGGCATGTCACTTCTGAGACTATTTTAAAATCTGTGGTTTTTATCTTAGACTATCTTTTCTCACTCTCTCTCCCATCATTTACTCTGGGCCATGAGTGTCATGAAGTCACTCAGGCAGCCTAGGGAGGCACCCACATGGTAAGAAACAGAGACCTTTGGCCAACAGTCAGTGAGGAACCAAAGCCTGCAACAGCCACGCGAGTGAGTCTGAAAGAGGATTTTCCAGCTCCTGGCACACCTTGAGACACCTGCAGCCCCGGCCAACAGCTGGACTGTAACCTTGCAAGATATTTTGAGCAAGAGACACCGGCTAAGCTGCTCCTAGATTCCCGAGCCTCAGAAACTGTGAGAGGTAATAAATGTTTGTTCTTTTAAACTGCTAAGTGTGGGGGTAATTTGTTGTGCAGCCATAGTTAACACAGACTTTTCTGAGGTTTCTGGCTCAAGTGATAAGATGGATGGCAAAGCTACTGAACAAGAAAGGAAGAACAGGATGGGTCCAGGGAGAAAGGTGGAGGGCATGCACCTGTTTAATTTGCTTATAAAGGGCTTTACATAAGCACATGACAGACGACACTTTTATGGACACAGAAAGGATGTTTTCCTAATCCCAGTGTGGTGTCCATGAATGGGTTCAAATGTCTGAAATCAGACCTGCCTCAGAAAATGTGAAAATGATGATTTGATGAAGTAGGACGCATAGATATTGTAGGCATATTTGAGTCAGTCGATGGGGGGCTGGTCCTTCCACCAACTGGATTAAAATCCACCATGTTGTCACCATCCTTTCCTTCCCAGTTCAGTATTATGTCCTCTTTAGCTATCTAGTTCTAGACATTTTGTTCTAGAATTTTGTCCTGATCCCTTCTGTCACGCTCTTGAAAGCTCTTTCTGCCATTGTGCATCTGGGCACCTGACCTCTTCCATCAAGGGGGTCAGTTACCTGGCCAGGCCCCCAGCAAGCTCTCACCTCCACCCTCCCCAGTGTGCTTACAATTCTCTATTCCCACCCTCCTCTTTCCATGGCTGGGTTATCTTTTCTGCTAAAGTCTAACATTTTTTTAGCTTCCACTTGGTATCCAGAGCTATAACTCTGAACATGTAGATCAAGTTAGCAATCTAAAAGCCACACCCCATTAATATACCCATGTCTGATAGGAGACTCAATCACATTCTTACTGAAATCCTTTCAAAAGCAGGAAAACAATCACATAAGAGGGAGGTCTTAGGGTAGGCACACCTTGAAAATGTAAATTATCTTTGTGCTCCCAGCCTATTCTTTTCTTGGCCTTTTTCTCTTCATCAGCTGCAGGCTCACTCTTCCCTTCCCAACATGCCCAAACCAAGCGCTAGGGAGTTAAGAGTCTTTATAACCAATGGCTTTTTGCTGTTTCACAAGCTGATATCCTATGCATGTCTGACATCACAGTGCAAACCTGAAATCAGTCTACAGTTGGGTAGCTACATTTTAGCAGTGTGAAGGTTTTATCCTCTGAATAAAGCTCTACTGGTGGAATCTTGGTCATCTACCAGCAAATTTAGGATGGGTGAACATGGGGCCTTCCCAGAGTCATGAAATCATACCCACTACATAGTGACTCCAGACTAAAGATGGCCCCCATCATGCACACATTCAAATGAGAACTATATGGAGGGCCAATTCCCTGCTTACCCATCCATGCCTTCCCCTCCACAGAAGGCAGGAAAATCTATGTGTGTTTATAATGAATGTGTAAACATAGAAATAAATGCAGCTGTGTTTATCTGACATGCACAGCCTTGCACCTCGGCCATGTTGCTAAAATGCTCATAGGATAGACGTGCAGGCAGCAGCCTGAAATTCTCCAATGCTTGTAACTTCATTATTTCTAGATCGAGTAATTCCTTCCAACATGCAAAGGAAAACTCTCTCACCAGGGTTCATCTCACATGCCCTGGAATACCCAATTGTATGGAAGACTCCTTGGGGAGCCCAGATTAACTGCACAGGAGTTGTGGGAATGAGAGGACAATGAAAATCAGAAAGAAGAGAAAAACAGGGTAGGACAGGGTGAGACACAGGTCCACGGCTTGCTGCCATTAAAGAACTTCTAAATTGAGGAAGAACTTGTCAGAATAACAATCACTTCAGCTTCTGGCTAAATGTTTGTGCATTTGCAGAGTGGTCAAATGAGGATGAGACATACTAACTCTGCCTTTCAAGGTAAGAGGTCAGCTAGGACTAACGTGTTTGCTAGTCTTCCTAAGGAGGAGCTACGCAACCAAACGTGTAAGGGATTGCTTAAAACCATATATTTTCTTTTTCTTCCGTTGACTGCTATACGCATTTGTCTTTTCGCAGCCAGGAGAAAAAGGGGTTTTTTTTTGTTTAAAAATGTTTTAAGTTCCACTACAGTCCATCAAGTCACCCTTTTTCTGAGACCTGGTTACTACTGTTAGGTGACTGGGGAGAAGGCTGCCAGAAGTAGGTTGGAGGTAATGAGCCCACAGTGGCCCCATGTGTGGCTTGATGAGGCCCTGACCTGATCTCTGGGGAGGGTGGGCCACAGATGCGACAGTTTAGGGGGTCAGAATCTTTTATAAGTTTCCAAGGGTTACAAGGTCTTCAGGCCTCCTCCAATTCCTTTCCATCTGTTCTTCTTTCTGCACTAATCTTTTTTATAACTCCACGTTCTCATTAAACCTAGATTACAGTCTCCATTATACGTGAGCAACCCTCTTGCTTTCTTGTGCCACAAAGAACCAGAACTACTAAAAGAAGTGTTTAGCAATGACTCACTCTCTCTCCTATACACACACATGCACCTCTTCCTTATTATTATTCTACTTTTCTACTTCCGGGCACAATTACCAAAACCAGAATTCATCAATCATACTGAATACATGGCAGGTCCAGGGAGAATGCTGCTTTGACTCAGAAAGATAGATTTTACGTAAAGTCAAAACGGACAAGGCTGCAAATGGCTTTGAGTCAGAAATTCATCACTTCTTCACCAGAGATGTTTTGGGTGCAAAACAGGCAAGCTGCTTGTAAAGGCAAAGACAGTTATTTCTCATCTGGAAGTGCTTGTGGGTATAGGATTGTGTACATGGAAAAAATCTGGAGATGCTCTCATGGAATCTTCTCGTTTTACAGATGAGGAAATGAAGAGACCTAAGATGACTATCTGAAGTCACACAGCTAGTTACCACACAGCTCTCACTAGTACTAGGTCTCTTGGCTTCCACCATCCAGGTTCTTTTGAACACACTATGCTCTTGGTGATACGGGGCACTGCGATTTGTTATTTTCTGTAGATGCTTTGTTACTTATTTCTCATTCGGTTGGTTATGTTGGTTACTTGTTGAGACTGATACAGTCCATCCTTGTATTTTCTTCCATGGTGACTCAACTGGGATTCTGGGAAATAGACATATGCACAGCCTGGGCAGCAAAGAGAGAAAGAAGCTAAAACACGACCCTTCCAAGCATTTTCACTCATGATTCCGACTCTGCAGTCATACAATATCATAGAATTAATGTGTATTCCACTTTAGTTCTCATAAATTTTGCATTGGTTTCTTGAAGAAAGTAAGGGGAAAAAAAGGTGCTAATTGTGGAAATGTTCCTCTTAGACCTGAAATCTCTCCCAAAACATCTTCTGCTCATTCTTTTAATTTTAAAACTTTCCTTTAGAGTGAGATATAAAATAATGAAATTAATTCAGTGGGGGGAGGGGGGAGGAAGAACATGTTTTAACATCTGGTTTTGATACTCCAAACTAAAAATACTCCCAAAGTCTACATCTTCCCTGGCCCAATAGCTGAGCAAGAAATATTACAGAAAAAAGTAGTTCTCCTTAGGATTTTGCTAACTTCATCCCAGTCTTGTCTAAAACAAACAAACAAAAAAATCACAATGTTTTACAAAAGTTTAAATGTTAATATTACTTTATCTTATAATGTATTTTCCCAGTTAGCTCTCTTATCTTTAACAAAAATCCAAATAGCTATAGTTTTTCTAATAAATTTCCTATACATAACCGAATTTTCCTCCATTCAATTCAAATTCAGTGATGTCATCAGCTTAAGCTCAGACCTCCTAAACCACTTGACTGCTTCCACAACTATTATAATGATTCTAACGAAAAAGAGAATGGGTTATCAAAGAGAATGCTTCAGTTTGTTTTGTTTTGTTTTGAGATGGAGTCTCGCTCTGTCGCCCAGGCTGGAGTGCAGTGGCGCGATCTCAGCTCACTGCAAGCTCCGCCTCCTGGGTTCACGCCATTCCCCTGCCTCAGCCTCCCAAGTAGCTGGGACAACGGGCGCCCGCCACCACGCCCGGCTAATTTTTTGTATTTTAGTAGAGACGGGGTTTCACCTCATCAGCCAGGATGGTCTCGATCTCCTGACCTTGTGATTCACCCGCCTCGGCCTCCCAAAGTGCTGGGATTACACGCGTGAGCCGCTGCACCGGGCCAATGCTTCAGTTTTAAATAACGTTTTCTTCAGGGGAATAGAAAAAATGTTAAAAATACAAGGAAAATGAAGAAAACACATCAACTTTGAATAAAGGTTTCCATTTTAAAAGTTTATTTCTTACGTATACCAAAGATCTAGAATTAAAAACATATTAAGTCCCATTCCTTTCTTGAAGCTTGGCAAGAACACCTTTACACAACTCTTGACCCTGTCTTTGTTCTCATCAAAATATTTTTAAAGGGCACACAGACCCGCGTACCACAGAAAAGCAAACATCTTTTCCAAGAAGCACATTGTATCTGATTGTTATATATGTATTCCTTCCATCAGTCATTTTAAATGTCACCTACAATCCAGTATCTGAATGATACAGGCAAGAAGCATTTAGGTTCAACAACTGGCACAACTCCCAAATGGCTAAACTAAGGTAGGAAAATTGAGTTTTCTATTTCCAGATATTTCATATTAGAAGTAGAATAATAATGATAAAATTATTGGTAATCATTCATAATAAATACTCCTTTACAGCTTCAAATATGTTTTCTTCTCCAGAGAACCCTGCCACATGGTAAAGTGGGAAAACAGCTCTTACAAAAGAGATTTCAGGGTAGAAATCTCCAAATTTGAAGTTATCTTTTTAATAATTTTTTTTCAAGACGGGGTCTCACTCTGTCGCCCAGGCTGGAGTGCAGTGGCACAAACATGACCCACTGCAGCCTCGACCTCCCTGGGCTCAAGTAATACTCCCACCTCAGCCTCCCAAGTAGCTGTGACTTATTATTATTATTATTATTATTATTATTATTATTATTATTTTTGTAGAGAAGGGGTTTCACCATGTTGCCCAGGCTGGTCTTGAACTCCTCAACTCAAGCTATCCTCCTGCCTCTGTCTTCCAAAGTGCTAGAATTATAGGCATGAGCCACCACATCTGGCATATATTTTTTTATATTAAAACAGTTTTAGATTTTAAAAATTGAAAAGATAAGGCTGGGCGCAGTCAGTGGCTCATGCCTATAATCCCAGCACTTTGGGAGGCTGAGGTGGGAGGAATGCTTGGGCCCAGGAGTTCGAGACCAGCCTGGGCAACATAGCAAAACCCTGTCTCTACAAAAAAATACAAAAATTAGCTGGGCGTGGTGCTGCACACCTGTAGTCCCAGCTACTTGGAAGGCTGAGGTGGAAGGATCGTTTCAGCCAAGGAGATTGAGACTACAAATATATTTTCTTCTCCAGAGAACCCTGCCACATGGTAAAGTGAGAAAACAGCTCTTACAAAAGAGATTTCAGGGTAGAAAGAACTTGGTGAGCCAAGTTCATGCCACTGCTCTCCACCCTGGGTGACAGAGTGAGACCCTGTCTTATAAAATAATAATAAAATAAAAACTAAAAATAAAAATCACAAAGATAATATACAGAGTTTCCATATACTCCATACTCAGCTTTCCCTATTACTGGCATCTTATATTAGTATGCTTGTCACAAGGAGTGAACCAATACTGATACATTTACACACTTCATTCAGCTTTCTTTAGTTTTTCCTCAATGTCTTTTTTCTGTTTCAGGATACTACATTACTTTTATTTTATTTATTTTATTTTATTTTTGAGACACAGTCACGCTCTATCACCCAGGCTGGAGTGCAGTAGCACAAAGACAACTGACTGCAGCCTTGACCTTCTGGGCTCAAGTGATCCTCCCACCTCAGCCTCCCAAGTGGCTGGGACTACAGGTGCCTGCCACCATGCCCAGCTAACTTTTTGTATTTTTAGTAAAGATGGGGTTTCGCCATGTTGGCCAGGCTGGTCTCGAACTCCTGGCCTCAAGTGATCTGCCCACCTCGGCCTCCCAAAGTGCTAGGATTACAGGTGTGAGCCACTGCACCCGGCCAGGACACCACATTGCTTTTAATCATCATGTCTCCTCAGGCTCCTCTTGACTGTGGCAGTTTCTTAGACTTTACGCTGACCTTATTCGTTTTCAGAAGTGCTGATCAGGTATTGTGTTTAATGTCCCTTGACTGGGATGTATCTGATGCTTTTCTCATGATTAGATTGGAGTTAAGAGCTTTTGCGAGGAAGACCACAAAGATGCCATTTTCATCATATCATACCAGAGAATAAACTATCCCCATAAATTATCACTATTGATATTGACCTTGATCATCTTGCTGAGGTAGTATTGTCAGATTTCTCTAGTGTAAAGTTACTTCTTTCTCCCTTTCCATTCTGTTCTCTTCGGCAGGGAGTCACTGACTGTATAGTCCACACTTAAGGAGTGAGGAGTTATGCCCCACCTCCTTGAGGACAGAACATGTCCACAACTAACTTGGAATTGTTTTGCACCATGGATTTGTCTATTCTTCCTCATTTGTTTATTTATTCAATCGTTTATTCACATCAGCTGGACTAATGGCTATTTCATACTTTTGGATGTCATTCGAAACTACTTGATATGTTTTGTTGCTTGGCTTGGGGCATGAGGAGCTCTTTCGGACGGCCCCTTGTCCCTCTGGCATACCCCCATCGCTGTGGGTTGTTGTTCCTGCTGTTTGAGGGCTTCCTTACTTTCTGACATTACAAGATGCTCCAGACTCATCTTGTATATTTCCTGCCCCTGTTCTGGACATTTCTCCAAGAAGTCCTAGTTCTCTTCATTGGAAAATGGTATCAGAAACTAAGATCTGGGTGCTAGGTGTGCTTACTTCTAAGACCCTCTCAGCTGACAAGCCAAGATACAGTGTGTGTATACACAAACACACACACACACACTAACCCTTGGAAACACACATATCTGTAATTATTTCCATATGCAACCATCCATATCAATATTAAGCTATTTCATTTTGATACAAGTTTTATTCTCAGCTGGGATACAGTACAGGTGGGAAATGGGGAAGCCACTAATGGAACTTAAAAGAAAAGGTACCAATTTACAGATTTTCTTATATTTGTCTAATTTAAAAAAAGAAATTTATTGAAAGCTAACATAATAAATTTATGTTTTAAATATACTTGAAAGCTTTGCATACAGTAAGTGACGTGAAGATCAAATTCAAAAAAAGTCATTCTCTTTCTCACTTGAGATACAGATTTATCTAGAAGCTTCCAGTCATTTTATTTTCTTACCTGTAAAATGAGAATAAAGAGCTTCTCATCCCAGCCTGAGAACTTAGAGCGGGTATAACTGATAATATTCTGCAATTCAGGAACAAATATGTAGAAACTATTTTAGTTTTAATAAATGTAGACAGACTCTGTCCCGTGGAGGAATAAGCTCTAGCTAGTTATGTTTTTCACGCAACTGTAAAATTTTATATTTTCACACAATTATATTCATAAAGTATTGTGATCCTGATAATTACTATTCATTTATATCACTAAGAAGTTATTTCTGTCTAGCAACTGGCATTCTTTACTCATTTTAAAGTCCTTAACATATCCAAACAGTTACCAGTACATCCTAAGATTTATTCTGCAGCGCAAGGGAGAGTTGAGAGAGACCTGGTGCTCATTCACAATTGACTGTAAATAAAACTCCCCACCCCAGAAAAAGGGAAAAAAAGAGAAAACACCTTTCTAGAATTTGTTTTTTAAAATAATTTTTCTTATCCTCAGAAGACTGCACAAATGGCATTAATATACTAACACATATTCCCAAACTTCCAAGGATACAGTTTAAACATCTTCTGTGATCATATATATTTACTGAATTATCAGAAAATGAGATATCAAGACTAAATTTATCATTTGAAGGAGCAAAATGTGCCCAAGGACCTCTTTAATTTCTTTTTTTTTTTTTTCTTTTTGAGACGGAGTCTCACTCTGTCGCCCAGGCTGGAGTGCAGTGGCACGATCTTGGCTCACTGCAAGCTCTGCCTCCCGGGTTCACGCCATTCTCCTGCCTCAGCCTCCCGAATGGCTGGGACTACAGGCGCCCACCACCATGCCCAGCTAATTTTTTGTATTTTTAGTAGAGACAGGGTTTCACCGTGTTAGCCAGGATGGTCTCGATCTCCTGACCTTGTGATCCACCCGCCTCAGCCTCCCAAAGTGCTGGGATTACAGGCGTGAGCCACCGCGCCTGGCCCTCTTTAATTTCTTCATAGAAACCATCATTTATCTGTAAGTACTCATCACTTTTACATGTCATTTAATTCACCAGTCTAATCTCTTTGTTTGCAGTAAGCACTCAGGAGAAAGTCATGTTTGAGGCCATAAATATTTCTTCCAAATTCTGCCAATAGTTCCTTCTTCCTCATTATTCTAGTTCAAAACTGAAATATCTAGGAGTATAAAAACTATAATTTCCTAGTTAAATATTCAGATAGTATATTGTTATATTGTATTGAAATTCCCATCTTTAATAATCTCAAAAAAGTGTGAAGATACAATAAGAACACCCGTTTCATTCTTTCACAGTCTCCAAAAACTATCTAATAAGGTATTCTATAAATAAATCACTACGCTTTTGTACTGAGGTAAGTTTGCACCAACCCTGCAATTTCACAATGGCTGCCTCAGACTCTAACAGAAATAAGACAGGAAGTGAACTCATTCTGAGCAGGGTGAGAGACCAGAACAGAAGGTAAGATTAGAGGCAAGGAATGAATAATTAGAGCTCAAAGTCAAAGTGAGGCTTTAAAAAACTATAGCTGCAAGGTGTTTTGGGGGATGAATTGAGGGAGACATGTAAGCAATTGCCGAAGACCACTGCTTCAATTAAGGAAATACAACGCTATAAAAGAAGGCTCCCAAACCCAGCTAACAGAGGTCAACGTTCCTCCATCCAAGCTCTGCAATAATTACCATATTGATTTGCAGTACTTTAGCACAAATAGGTAAAATACGGAGGAATCAATAAAGTTTGATTTTAAAATTCTCAAATTTAAAAAAATCTGAACAACTGTTGGAGGAAAGACAATAAGAAAAAGATTTTTAAAAATCTGAACAATTGTTAGAGCAAGGTCTGCCTAAATGTATCCTCTAGAAAACGACACCTCCATCAATTCCTTCTCCTCGAACGAAAACCCAGCGGTCTTTCTGGTACCAAATACCAAGAATCACAGCCAAAGAAGCCAGTGTGCAGTCTCAGAGGACTGTTATGCTGCTCAGAAACAGGTCTTTTGTATGCTTTGGGGGGGGTCACGTTACATGAAAACTGACAAAAGTCAGGGAGGCATAGCTGCCAATAGACAAGTACGGTAAGGAAGGCACAAAGCAGAGCTGGCTTTATTTGAAAGCACTTTGCCAGGCTTCACACCAACCCAGCTTCATGGCAGTCTGGTCTCTCAAGGGACTATGAAGGAACGTTAAGCAAGTATTCACTCGGAGACGTATCACTCCCATCTACAGCACTCCAAGTCACCAGCAGAGATCTCAATGGAGAGCGAGGCTCAGGATTTCATCATTAAGCATGGCTTTCAATCTCTTAACTCAGAAATAGGGAGGGCTTAATAATCTTTTCATCCTGACTTAAGGGAGCTAATCCTATTAAGGGTTTAGCATGCCTGGGAATTTACCTGCTTCACTGTAGGTCTAAGGATTTGAGGCTACTTGGGTAATGTCACAGAAGACACAGGAGCATCTCTGCAGAGCCGGTCTCATGTTTGAAAGCATCCCCGCAGCGTACAAGATTAACAGGCACAGGGCTTTGAAGTGCTTGGATAACCTACCTGCCACTCTGGTCTGAGGTCCATGTAACCGATCGCCCTTCAGGTTTAGTTTTGTACCATATCCTGATAGCATGAGGAAAGTCAGTAGCTGTCTGAGCCCCTGTCTTCCTTATCTGCAAGCTCCAAGTGTCAGTGTCAAAGAGGAGTTCCCCACAGCCAGGAGCCTGGCTGCAGCGAGCGTAATAGTCTAACTGCTCCCTCCAACGATTTGCAGGCAAAGTCACAAGTTCACGTACAATCTGATTCCTGAACTCCTCAGAAACAACCGTGAGCTCAGGAGACCTTGTAAATTTTTCCAGACCTGGCACAGCAGCAACATCCACCTCCTCGACTTTTAACACAGATAAATCACAGCAGTCCAACACTAGCAAAAAATCCTCACTCCCATGATTCCCTGTGTCACAGCAGTACTTTGAGCTAGAAATCCCAGAAGCATGTTCCTGGTTGTCATGGTTACCATCTTTATCAGAAGTATCTTTTTCACCTTTACTACAGATTGCAAAATCATTATATTCCATTTCAGATGAGAAGGTCCTTGCATTTGTCACGGGAATATGGCAGGGTTCAGGCATCCCAAATTTGCAGGCTTTGTTTGATTCTGATTGGCAGGCTTCCTCAATAGAGCTATTCTGTTTCTTGAATCTGTTTCCATCCTCGAGGAAAAGCACTATGGTCCCCTCAATGACTTGACTTTCAAAATCCACATCCAAATCCAGTACATAGTGCTTCACAAGTATGTGGCTGGTGTTGGCCATGAGAGGCAGGTCATCTCTGGCAGGGTCCAGCTGTATGTCCATGATGTGGTTTATTGTTTGAGGGATTTATTAAAATCTCAGATGGGGTTTCCTATCTGCCTTAATCTTCCAGAATCATAAATAGCTGCTTATCAAAGAAAACAACTGATGTCACAAATTATGGTTCCTTTCAGTCTCCTGGCAAAAAAGGAAAGCACAATTAGATAAAATTCCAAATAAGACCTAAGTGCTCCTGCAACTGCTGCTCCTGCAAGTTGACCACCATCCTTAAATAATCCCCCAAGCGGTAGATGCTCATGGCTAGAAGGCTGACTTATCTTTTCTACTGACATGAAAGAAAGCTGCATTATGGGTTTCTAAAAATATTTCAATTACCAACTGGATGGCATGGGCCTCCACAAAGCCAGAAGAAGCACGCTCCAATGAGAACTGTCCTTCTTTTAGAAAACAGCAAGTGTTATGCAAAAGTGTAACCCAGCATCACTGTGCCTCTAGTCTTAAAAGATATTAAATGTATCCCTTCTAATTTTGTGCATCAAAAGATAAGTGATTGTTTTTCCACTGTGATTCCAAGTAACAAGTGTGAATGAAGGCTAAATGGCCCCACACATTTTATTCCTTGAGAGTAATAATTTAATACATACAATGTAACTCCAGGGATTAATGTACTTTTCACATTAGGACTGCTCTCATATCAGCACTTCCAGTAAATTACAGGAAAATGAGCCAATTTACCAGGAGTGCATTCTAAGTATTCCTTTGAGATTGTTCACGGAGATTTTTCAAATTTATAGTTAAATACTCAAGGTATATCATTACATCTTAATAGCTGAAAACCCATTAACATTCTGGATAATAGCCTTCTTGTGGCAAACAAAAGGTCTTCTCACTTGAAAAAAAAAAGGCAGGCAAATACCTATAAAAGGAAGGAGAGAAATTAAAATGTAGAAACAGATGTTACAATAAAATGCACAAGTTCTTCATAAAAGTTCTGAATCAAAATATATTCTTATTGTATACTAGCAATCTGGCTAAAAGAAAAATTATTTGAAATTATTTCAGTCCCCGTTGTGTACCTAGTTTCTTTCAGCATATGCTGTTCTTTTTTTATTCTTTTACCAAAATCAAAAAAGAAATGGCAGGAGAACAGAAAGAAAAACTCTGACAGAGCAGATATGTTTAAAATAATTTTCGTATTTCTAAATATCAGGAGGCATTCTTTCAACAACTGCAAAACATCATTACTTGCTTGAATTTTCAAGTAAATCAAGCCCTCCCTTTGTATCCTAACTCCTCCTCACTTCCCTGCCAGCTTTATCTGCATCTCTACTAGACCCTTTTATTTCCTTTCCTTCTAGAATCTCATTCTAGGTTAATATCCCATTGATTTCAGTTTCTACCTCTCTCCACAGACTATTTCCTCTTCAAAATCTCACCTAACCTTAAAAAATCCTGCCTCCTGCAGCCTTGTACAATCCAGTTTCTAGCTACTTTTCCAGTCATGGAGACAACATTCCCTTGCATCCTTGTCCTCTAGCCAAAGGGCCTACTCAAAACACTGCTTCCTGAAGAGGACTTGACTCTAGGCCTCAGTGCCTTTTGGACTAACCCATGTGCTAGACCTGGAGCGCTCCTGGCTCCTGCCTTCCACCTCCACCTGCCAAATCCTATTCTTCCTCCATGTCCCAGTTTAAGTGCAACCACCTCCTAAAACCCTTCCCTGGTCCTTGCTCCCTCCCCCACTGAACTATATGTAGCACACTTTCAGTGCAATAGAAGTAGAGAGAAACAAGGTTGCAAAGAACAGTTTGAATTTACTTTATGGAGAAGCTGGTATTTCCCTTGGTTCTAGAAAAGTGAATGAGCACAGGGGATAAGCCAGAGTATTTTCTGTCCTGTCATTTTGAATAATAACCTTCGATAAATCCATTGGCTATTTCTATGTAATCAGAAACAGTGATCTTAAAACTTCATTCTGATGGTGGCTGTGGCTGCTAACATACAGTATTTTGTTGACTGGGCATCTTTGAAAAAACTTGTTTGATTAAAAAAAAGCCCTGAACACACACATGCTCACACACACACAGAAGGAAAACCAGCATCAGCTGAGACAAGGGTCAATTTAGTGGCTGGCTAAACTATTATATTCAGAGAAAAAGTTTAGTATTTTTAACATTATAGATATAATTATTTATTGTCTAACTCTAACAGATTCCTAAATTCACTTCTAAAAATCTGTATAATTTAGGCATAAAATATATTCTACAGAGCAGTTGTCACCACTTTTGTTTCTGGTGGCAGAGAATGAGGCTGCCCTAGAGCCCTATCCACTCAAGCCTGTTAGCAGAACCACTGTTATGAAAAGCCATGGCTGGCTTTCCAGTGGCTAACCACTGCCGCCTCTAAAATCAGTGTACTACGTGGTATGTGTTTTAAGTGATGAAACGTTTGTCACCCTGACTGACAATCCATTGGTTCTCTTTAGTGGATTCTTTCGCATACTCTCCACAGAGGCAATTCTAAAACTTTTAACTTTCCAATTCCAAGCTTGCTGACTCATTCTCAGTTGATGATCTGGCCCCCTGCTTTGCTGAGATAATTCTGAATCTCTGCAACTCAACCATACCTCAAAGTATCATTAGTTCTTCATAAGTATTACCTTCTCTTGATTCAGAGGGAACAATATCCCTTTTCACCAAAGCTTATTAAGCTTATTCTGCCCCACTGAATCCCAACTTCTGGGGTTTTGAGAGAGCCAAGTAAACAGCACATTCCTCTCCTATCCAGATTCTGAATGTAGCAAGAAATAAGATGAAGATATGGCAAAGGCAGACCAAAATATCGCTACTGATGAAGGCTAAGCTGGAGAACATGGCTTACTGTGAGAGCCAAAGGTACCTGGAAACTGAATCACAAAATTAGGTTTATCCACATGGTCACAGGCAATGCTGGATCAAGTTAAAGCTTCCAGAACGGGGGGTAGCCTCCCTCAGGTAAGACTTAAGGCCTGGAGGAAGAGAGAAAAATGGTTCTCTGTGGTCAGGAGTGCTGCCCAAAAGCAAAAGGGAGGAGATGAGCAGAGCACATCCAGTTTCTTCTTCCCAAATTTATCAGACTATGTCACCCCACCTCCCTTAGGATAAAGGCACCAGGAGTGTTACACTGACTGAACTCCAACAAGGAAGGAAACATGAGAAGTGGGGAAGAAGTGTTCTCTCAACACCATCCCCTTCCACTTACTTGAACCCTGTTTCATTTGACATTTTTCTCTTGCCAACATTTTCTCCCCTTCAATGATTACACCCTATTCTGAACATTCAAACATCCCTAGGGTTGCGGGCTCAAGCGATCCTCCTTCCTCAGCCTCCCAAGTAGCTGGGACCATAGGTGCATGCCACCACACTCATCTAACTTTTTAAATTTTTGTAGAGACGAGGTCTTGCCATGTTGCCCAGGCTGGTCTTGAACTCTTCAGCTCAGGCGATCTGCCCACCTCAGCCTCCCAAAGTGCTGGGATTACAGGTGTGAGCCATCACACCTAAGCCAACCTTAGGGTTGCCATCTTTTTTTTTTTTTTTGAGACAGAGTCTTGCTCTGTCACCCAGTGGCACAATCTCAGCTCACTGTAAGCTCCGCCTCCCTGGTTCACGCCATTCTCCTGCCTCAGCCTCCCAAGTAGCTGGGACTACAGGTGCCCGCCACCACACCCGGCTAATTTTTTTGTATTTTTGGTAGAGACAGGGTTTCACCATGTTAGCCAGGATGGTCTTGATCTCCTGACCTCGTGATCTGCCTGCCTCGGCCTCCCAAAGTGCTGGGATCACAGGCGTGAGCCACCCTGCCTGGCCTAGGGTTGCCATCTTTAAAAACAATCAACAACTTCATTTGGCCTACTTTAAGTCATCTTTATTTTATTGAACTTTGGAGCTGAAAAATTCCTTAGGGCTCACTGAATCCAACTCTCTAATTTTACAAATGAAGACAGTGGGTCCCAGAGAGGCAAAGTAATTTGCTCAAGGTCACCCATTTCTTTTTGTTTGCCACTAACAGAACATTTCCCACTTGCTGATGCTTTTCCTTGGAATTCTCATCTCCCAGGTCTCATGGCCATCTCCTTCATATTGTCTAAGTCATAAATCAAATGTCACCTCTAAGTCTCTTTTCCACATCTTCCTTTGACCTTCTTTATCTTCTTCAAGTTATGCAGACTAGTAACCAATTCTTATTGTAATAGCTTTGGGGGGCAAAGGAGAACTTTTAAGCCAGCCCCAGAAGATTCTGAAGAGCACTGTCACTTCTGCATGATTTCCAACCTAAATTATATATAAGTCTATTAAGTTGTTGCTTATTTGTCTATGTCTTACTTGTCTTAGATTCATGGATGACCTAAATCATCTTTCTCTCTGCAAGTACGTAACGCTCACTGACATCAATCAGGGTCACAGCCCCACATTTAGGGAAAAACTGAACTGCCTGTGGTTGCAAATGCATGTATGTGGCCACCTTGCAAGGCCTCTCTCAGCAAATGGAAACCATATTTCTAAGCAGTCCGTTGACTTCAGCACTTTTGGCTATTACTGTGCTCCAATTCAAAATGCCAGCCTGTCTCACTGAAGCATTTTTCCATTCTCTGTCATAAGCCATAACATACAAAGGTCCCCCCTTATAAAAACCAGTGGTTAGTTTTCCAGTGGCTAACCATTGCTGTGTCTAAAATAAGTGTGCTAAAAAAAAAAGAAAAAATAAGTGTGCTATGTGGTATGTATTTTAAATGCTTAAATGATTGTCTCAGCAGCACCATTAAAGGCTTTGAAAGGATTAGCGTACAGTAATATTTTTCTTAAGGGGGAAGAGGATCACATACTAAACAGAGCTATGGCACAAAGAAGAAACTGCTCTGCCATTCTCAGCCATCCAAAGTGGAATGCACCCATTTACAAATGTGGGATATAACCTCTGTAACGCCATCCCCAATCACCCCAACGAAAACAATTTCATTCTCCTTTCAAGCTACAAAGCAACGTGTATCCTCACGATTCTAACTTATCCTGGCTCATTTTATAGTTACTTCCATCCTCCAATGCTCTAAAAATTCCCTGTAACTCCTGAATCATTTTTGTGTTCATGACCAGGTTAAGTGGAGTATCCTCAACACAGCAGGTTCTCAATAAATATTTGTGGAATTGCCATCCAAAGGTATTTGTGATTTCAATGTCTAGTTACTTATACAACAGGGATTCTAGCTTGCCTGTACTCTATAGTCTAGTGCTAAGTTATTGCTTAACTAACATCTCCCTCCAGACATCTCATTTTTTCTTCTCAGGATACACCTGTGCCTCTTTTTATGCCTCATCTTTTTACTTGTAAGCAACTGGGGGAAAGGAGAAATTATTTTTGCACATATGCTCATTCTATAGCATAGAGCACACTGTTGAGTAGTTACTATTTAATTCCACCGATTACTTGATCAGAGAATGACAGCTTTCTGCTATTCCAGGTGTGTCCATTATTTAGGATATGCCAATTGCTCTTAATAACAGTCAGTGTATTTGCTGAAATACACTGTTTCTGGGCACAATTCTTCACACACTCAAATGCATATAGTCACAGGAACATAGCTTACTACTGTGAAATTCAATAATTTCAGAATTAGAAGGAAACTTAGAAGTTCAAATATACTGTTTTGTGTTTATAAATGTCACACTGACATATTACTCTGCAACTTCTTTCACTCAATGGTTTTGAAATATAGACATGTTGATGTATATAAATCTGTCTCTTTTAACTGCTGTTTAATGCCCCCACAGGAATATTCTATAATGTATCCATACGTTCCCCTACTGATAGTTATTTGAAAATTTTCTTGATTGCAAACAATGCTGAAATGAGCCTCCTTACGCACATCTCCTAGCTGCACACATGCAAGTAAAAAGATGTGGCATAAAAAGAGGCACAGGTGTATCCTGAGAAGAAAACACGAGATGTCTAGAAATTCCGTTTTGCCTGATGTTAATACTGTCATACCTACTTTCTTTTGGTTTGCTTTTTCCCGGCACATCTTTTCAATCCCTTCATTTTTAACTGCTCTGGACTCTTTTTGCCTTGGCTGTCTTTTTAAAACAACATTTGGCTGGCTATTTAAAAAATATAATTATCATTTTTAATGACTGAAATGAATTTCTTTACATTTATCACAATTACAGTTGTAACAGCACCATCTCAATCAACATATTTTATGTTTTCTATCGCCCATGATTTTCTTTGCTTCTTAGCTTTATTTTTCTGCTTTTTATTGAATTTTTCTACATTCCTGTTTTCCCCTCCACTGTTTCATAACTTACACAATCAATGCCTTTAATATGCCTAAAGTCAATCTCGAATAACCTTCCAAACAATATAAGGACCTTAGAAAGTTTTATAACCAGTCTTCCTCTTCCTTACTCCATAACAGCTTCCATATTATTGTTGCTATTATTTTAGTATCACATTGTTTGTTAAAACTCCATCCAACTTTTTTAAAGTCAATATTTATTTGTATTTACAAATATATTCACCAGCTTCCTTACTCCTGATAATTTATACATTCCACTCCTTCCTTCTGGGTCCAATTTTATTCTACTTGTTGCATGACAAATTAACTTTGTAGCTTCAAACAGCAACCATTTTATTATATTCTATAGGTCATGAATGTGGGTAACAGTCAGCTGGGCCACTCTTCTACATCTTATGAATCTGTCTATGTTACTCAATGGTACTCAGTTGGAGGATGGACTTGTCTGGAGGGTCTGATGCCCAGAAAGGCCGCTTATTTAAACTTACTTAAATAAGTTTATTTAAATAAAGCTTATTTAACACTGAGCTTTTGGAATGGCTGTACATCTTCTATGGTAGCTGGCAGCCCCCAGCACGAGCATCTCAAAGTACCAGTTGAAAACTGCATGGCCTTTTCTGACCGAGCCTCAAAGTCAACATGGTTATTATTGCTACCATAGTCTATTGCTTTCAGGTGCAAACTCATAAGGCCAATCCAGATTCAAGGAGAGGGGATTAGACTCCATCTTTTGATGGGGGAGTAGCAAGGTATACTGTAGAAAAGCATGGAAGATGGTAGATATTGTTATGGCCATTTTTGGAAAATACAATCTGCCACAATTTCCTTTTTACTTAAGTTTATCTTTAGTAATTATTTTAGGAGGAGTCCATGGGTAACAAACTCTTTTAACAGTTGTATGTTTGAAAATGTCTGTATTACATCCTCTCTACTGAATGACCACTTAACTAAGTGTAGAACTTTTGTTGATAGTTATTTTTAATTAACACTTTGAATACAAGATTCCACTGTAACCTGGCATATCTTTTTGCTGATAAGAAAGAATTTTGTTATTAGCATGCATTTACTGATACGTATGTGTTCTTTCTCCCTGGTACATGCATGTGGGGTGTGTGTGTGTGTGTGTGTGTGTGTGAGAGAGAGAGAGACTTGTGTGTCTGTATGTGTGTTGTTGTTTCTAAATACCTGAAGTGGAAGGGAGATTTCCTTACACTTCAGTTGATCACATTGGCCAGAAGCCCACAGACTATGATATACCACTTAATGGTCCAGACCCACAATTCCTTTTGGTGAAGAAGTTTTCATGAGGCTGGGTGCAGTAGCTCATGCTCGTAATTCCAGCACTTTGGAAGGCCAAGGCGGGAGGATCACTTGAGCCCAGGAGTTCAAGACAAGCCCGGGTAACATAGGAAGACCTCTCTCCACAAATAACAGTTAGCCAGACATGGTGGTGTACACGCCTATAGTCCAGTTACTAAGGAGACTGAGGTGGGAGGATTGCTTGAGCCTGAGAGGCCAAGACTACAGTGAGTCGTGATTGTGTCACTGTACTCCAGCCTGAGCAACACAGCGAGACCCTTTCTCAAAAAAAAAAAAAAAAAAAAAAGTTTTCATGGGTACTCTGTTCACAGTCTGAATGATGGGATCAATAGAAGCCCAAACCTCAGCATCATGCAATATACCCTTGCAACAAACCTGCACATGGACCCCCTGGATCTAAAATTAAAATTTCAGTTAAAAAAAAAAAAAAGAAATTTTCATGTAGGGTATTCTTCATTGTATAACATTAGAGGCACCAGAGCTATAGATTACCTTTTATTATCACAGAAGCCCAGAGAGATGATTAAAGATTGAGAGGTTAACAATATGTGCAAAGAAAAGAAGCCCAGATACATAGAAAGCTGGATTATATCACTCAATCAACAAATACGTGGAATCCTCTTCCATTCTGTCTTTGTCTAGTAACTCTCTGGACCCCATCATGTCCTCAAGGAAAACATTCCTGACCTCACCAATTAAGTCAAATTCCCCTATTATTAGATTTCATAGATGTGTGCTTCTTAGTAGCACAACAAACACAGTTTTAGTTTTACATTTAGTTTTACATGTGTCTGCTTGATTATTTAATTAATATAATTCTGCCCTCTCCTTAAATGAAAGGGAGTACCACTTCTGGTAATAGTGGAGTACCTTCTGGCAGACTAATCCTCCCACTGATAGTACTTATAAACTCTAGACAAAAAGACAAAATTTCTGAAGGCCCATGAGAGTGAGCAAAAAGCTGACAAGAACTGTAAGGCGCCAACACGTGGAAGAAGGGAATGGCATTGAGCTTCCTGCGTTATAGTTTTCCACCGGAGAGAAAGCCCTAGTTGGTGCCAGGCAAGGCAGTTAACCCATTTATGCCAGAGGTTGCAATTTTTCTTTTTTGTGAAAAATCAGACCTTTGGCCAGGTGCGGTGGCTCACACCTGTAATCCCAGCACTTTGAGAGGCCAAGGTGGGCGGATCACGAGGTCAGGAGATCAAGACCATCCTGGCTAACACGGTGAAACCTCATCTCTACTAAAAATACAAAAAATTAGCCGGGCGTGGTGGCAGGCGCCTGTAGTCCCAGCTACTCAGGAGGCTGAGGCAGGAGAATGGCGTGAACCCAGGAGGCAGAGCTTGCAGTGAGCCGAGATTGAGCCACTGCCTGGCGACAGAGTGAGACTCCGTCTCACAAAAAAAAAAAAAAAAGAAAGAAAAGAAAAGAAAAGAAAAATCATCAGACCTTGGAGATGAGCTCGAGCAGCAGGATATAAATAACTGCCATAAGTTTAGCATTCCAGTAATGGAACGCTAAGCATAAATGGGTTAAAACTCAGATTGAAACCTGAACTTTTTTTTGTTTTGTTTTGTTTTGTTTTTTTGAGACGGAGTCTCGCTCTGTCGCCAGGCTGGAGTGCAGTGGCCCAATCTCGGCTCACTGCAACCTCTGCCTCTCAGGTTCAAGTGATTCTCCTGCCTCAGCCTCCCGAGTAGCTGGGACTACAGGTGCCCGCCACCACGCCCGGCTAATTTTTTGTATTTTTAGTAGAGACAGGGTTTCACCATGTTGGCCAGGATGGTCTCAATCTCCTGACCTCGTGATCCACCCACCTCAGCCTCCTAAAGTGCTGGGATTACAGGCGTGAGCCACTGCACCTGGCCGAAACCTGGAGTCTTACTGGCTGAAGAATGAGAGACTAGAGTTCAAGACCAACACAGTAGCTGGAGAGAAAAGAAGGAAAACTTTAGGAAAGGTGATGTCTACAAAGCAAGAGTCCCATATTCTGTATATAAACTCTGCCCAATTCCCTAATTGTCCCCTGAACCATGCAAGTATGGAGGAGATCAAACAGCCTCCTTCAGGCAAAATGAACTCAACTAAACTGAGATTTTGATTGCTCTCCACAGCAGCAAAGGCAAAGTTAGAAGTCTGAGTTCAGCCAAGTTAACTGTCTGTTAATACAAAGCATCAATATTCTTCAGAAGAACATAACAGAATCCAGAGTTTCTACAAAGTATCAAATACAATGTCTAAAATAAAACATAATACTAGACATAAAAGAAATAAGAAAACATGACCCAAACTCAAAGAAAAAGCAATTAGTAGAGACCAACTTGAATGGACCCAAATATTAGAATTAACAGATAAAGATTTTAAAGCAGCTATTCATATTATAATTAGGCATAAATGCTGTAATACATGAACTAAAAGGAAAACTCAGCAAAGAAATAGGAATTACTTTTTTGAAAAGGAAAAGAAAATTCTAGAACTGAAAAATACTATATTTGAGATAAAAACTTCACTGGATGGTTTTAACAGAAGATTCATGATTATAGAAGACAGTGAACCAGAAAATAGTTACATAGAAATTATCCAGTGTAAAGAACAGAAAAACGTGAAAAAGAATGAACAGGTACTTTTGGGACAAATAATTGGAGTCCAAGATGGACAGGCAAAAGAGAATGTGGTCACAAAAAAAATACTTTAAAAAACAGTAAGCAGTGAGCACAACTGGCACCTAGATCTTGGTTTCTAAATACCATTTTCCAACAAAAGGAAACAGCCCTCCTTGGAGACATGGCTGATTCTCAGGCTGGGCAGGGAAAATACAAGATGGATCTGAAGCATCACATGGACCTCTAAAGTAAAGAAGAAAACAGACAGACAAACAGAAGAATTGGGACACAGGAACCAACCTGAAAGAGCTTTCAATGCCCAAAGCTGGAACACTTTGAGTAAGAAAATAAATAATGATAGTATTGGATTAAACCCAAAGAATATTCTGATATAAACAAATAATTGAATAAGTAATCATTTGTTTAAATTGAATAAATAAATTTGTTTAAATTGGTTGAACAAATAATCATGAAGGGAGAGACTACATCTTCCTTATGTAAGAATTCCAAAAAATCGATGTAGATATTACCTCTTCAAAGATGTAGAACTTAATTCCTTTCCCCTTGAATATAGGCCAAACTTAATTATTTGCTTCCAAGCAATACAGAATGGAAAAGAAAAAATATTATGTTTACAGTAGAGATATCAGGCAGTTTAATCAAGTTTAATATCACCAGTGATAAGTCATATTGTTATCATTATCCTCTAGGATGATGCAATGAGAAGGGTACCTTACCTCTGTAGTATTCCTGAAACTTCAGTGTAAGCATGAGGAAACATCAGACAAACCCATACTGAGGGACATTCTAAAATATACCTAACCAGTACTCTTCAAAAGTGTGAAGGCTATAAAAAACAAGTAAAATCTGACAAAGTGTTACAGAATGGAGGTGTCCAGGGGATATGATAAAATGCAATGTGGTATCCTAGACTGGATCCTAAAACAAACAAACAAACAAAAAGGACATTAGTGGAAAAACTGTAGATAAAAGCATTATGCCAGGGCTACATTTTTAGTTTAATAAATATACCATGATTATAAGAACATGAAGAGAAGCTGGATGATGAATTGGGAACTCCCTATACTATGTTTGCAACTTTTTGGTAAATCTAAAAGTATTTCAAAAGAAATCATTTATTTAAAAATAGTTAAAATTTTCCAAATTTGGTGAGAGATATAAAGCTTCAAAAGTTTATTTACACAGGAAAAATACAAAGGAAAACATACCTAGGCACATCATTATCAAACTACTGAAAAACTAAAAATAATCTTGAAAGTAGCCATTACAAAATGACATATTACACACAGAGGAACAACGACACAGATGACAGGGGGCTTTTTATCAGAATGATCTGAATTCTCAGAGAAACAATGAAGGCCACAGAAAACAGTGAAATGATACCTTTCAGGTGCAGAAAGAATGGGCAGGGGACATATTTGCTTCAAATATATTAGTCCTGAAATCTTACTTATATTATTAATTTATTAGAAAGTCTTTATTTTTGTACTTAGCAAAATGGCAGCCCATTCTTGGTTAATTTATCCAAAGTTTTGAATGACTAGAGGCTGAACTAATTTTTACTTTATTCAAGATTGGAATTTCCTATTTTTTTATTTATTATTCTATTTCAAAATAAATATATTCTAAAACACTAACCATCCCTCCAAAATATCTACTGGCTTCCTCCTTCAGGAGAAATTCTCAAGAATATTGGTTTGGACAAACTGACATAGCATGGAACCAGTTTTTTCCTCAAATGTTGGGGCAGGTGTTAAACTTTCCAGCCCTTCAGCACTCTTCTTTCAGCTCACTTTCATATCTCCCCGACTTGCTAAAAATTGTTCCTGGTACCCTTAAACAGTTAATAAACTTTGAAAGCTGATGTCATTTTAAACAGCAGAAACTGGCCAATCTAATGACCACCATTATCTCTGGTAAAATTTTAATCTTTGAGTTTAGGATATGCTTTTAGTCATTTTATTTGGTTTCTTGCATTTCAACCTTAAGCTTTTCCCCTTTGTTCATGCCTATTTATTTTTCTTTTACTCGAAGTAAAAATATAGTGTTAAAACAACATTGAGCTATATGTTCTAACTGTACAAGTACCAGCATATTCAGAGTTTAAATTCTCTCTGGAACCGTAACTCTAACTAGCATAAATATATGCTACAATAGGGTCTTTCACTACAAAACTCATACCCGTGGGGCAATGTCATTTATCACTGAGTAAATAATGCAAGATAACATAATGAAAAGGGGATTTTGCTTTATTCCCTTAACTATAAATAAAAATATGTAGCACTTTGCAGGATTACCACATGTGGTATGATATTAACTTAAAGACCAATCTTTAAGCCAAACTGTAAATAAGATAAACTGTGCTCTCTGGTCTCAAGTTTTAAACAGTCTCTCTTTGCTCTAAATTTACTGCTTTCAGGAAGCACGTAAGAGTGACTGCATATAATTTGTGATCATGTAATGAAAGACTCTATTGTGATATGTATATTCAAAAAAAAAAAAAAAACCCACTGGAGTTAATGCTGTTGTGGGAATTATAAAAAGTGCCTGTGTTGAAGATCAATGCAGTAAGGCCAAGTCAGTCTCAGTCAAAGACCTTTTCCTGAACAAAAAAAGCAAATCACTGTCAGTTGTGGCTTGATTTATATATTATAACCAGTCAAGTGGGGGGGAGGGGGTCTAAAATGTGAACATTGAAAACAAAAACTGATTTTATTCCATCAGTATATGTCTACCCTGAACTATGCTGAAACATGATGTGATGTGATGAACTCTGGCTTCCCTGATGGCAGCTTGTGTTGACTCTGGCTTTGTTGATCACATCTTCGCACCCAGATGCCATTCCTCTTTGGTGCCTAATGTGTTTATGCTCACATTATCAGCAGGCATTTGGGTTGCAAAGATAAGATTGGAAGTGATTTCACTCTACTTTAAAAGGTGAAAGAATGTATCCCTTTGATTGCTACTTGCTTGCAAAGTATAGCATGTTTCAGTTTTCTGAAGCGTACCACTTAAACTAAATTATAGCAGAGTGGTCAGAAAAGGATTCCTGGGAAAACTCATTACAGTTATAAAGAAATGGAGATTTCACTTTTCTACTCCATTTTTTAAGAGGTTATACCTGCCTAGGGGACTGACAATCAAGGTACTGGAAAGATTACAGATAATGAAATGATGCTCAGAGAGCCTAAGTGTCTGAGATTTCCAAGATGTCAACCCAAGCAGTTGAACTCCAGAGTGTTCTTAACCGAGATATCCATGGCCTCTATTGCACAGCAATCCAAGTAACCATGACATGATACCTTATATCAATGTCACATGGAAAACCAAACAGAGGTCCACTACCTACCATAGCAAAGGCTAGAGGAAACCCACTGGCTGGATTCAGGGTGGTGAAGGGAGAGTAATTAGGTCAGGGAAGGGAGAGGCGGGCACAACAATAGACACACTACATCTCTGCCCAGCTCTTGTCTCATTCTAACACTCGAAAGAGTTCAATGAAAGAGGCAATAACGAACGCAAGCAACGATGTGAAGAAAGGGGAACCCCTGTCGTACATTGTTGGTGGGAATGTAAATTAGCACAACCACTATGAAGTACAGTATGGAGGTTCCTCAAAAAATCACAAATAGAAATACCGTATGTTCCATCAATCCCACTGCTAGGTATATACTCAAAAGAAAGGAAATTAGTATATCAAAGACATACCTGCACTCCCATACTTACTGCAGCACTATTCACAATAGCCAAGATTTGGCATCAACCTAAGTGTCCATTAACAGACTAACAGATAAAGAAAATGTGGTACATATACACAGTAGAGTACTACTCAGCAGTTAAAAAGAATAAGATCCTGTCATTTGCAACAATATGGATGGAAACGGAGAACATTATGTTAAGTGAAAAAAGACAGGCACAGAAAGACAGACTTCCATGTTCTCACTCATCTGTGGGAGCTAAAAATTAAAACAATTGCCGGGCACGGTGGCTCACGCCTGTAATCCCAGCACTTTGGGAGGCTGAGGCAGGCAGATCACGAGGTCAGGAGATCGAGACCAACCTGGCTAACACGGTGAAACCCCGTCTCTACTAAAAATACAAAAAATTAGCCGGGCATGGTGGCAGGCGCCTGTAGTCCCAGCTGCTCCAGAGGCTGAGGCAGGAGAATGGCGTGGACCCAGGAGGCGGAGCTTGCAGTGAGCCGAGATCACCCATTGCACTCCAGCCTAGGCGACAGAGCCAGACTCTGTCTCAAAAAAAAAAAAAAAATTAAAACAATTGAACTCATGCAGATAGAGTACACTGGTAGTTTCCAGAGGCTAGGTAGGAGGGAGAACGGGGATGGTTAATGGGTACAAAGATACAGTTACAGACAATGTTGAGATACAGTATTTGATAGCACAACAGGGTGACTACAGTCAGCAATAATTTGTTTTGCATTTTAGAATAACTGAGAGTATGATTGGAATATTCGTAACACAAGGAAATAATCAATGCTTGAGGTGATGGATACCCCATTTCCCTGATGTGATTACTACATATCGTATACCTGTATCACAATATCTCATGTACCCTTATAGGTACATATATACCTAATATGTATCCAGAAAAATTAAAAATAAAAAAAGAGCTCAATGAAAATGAGAAGTCAACAGATTATTTCAACAGGTGGAAGTTTTGAAGCATTTTTCAAATTTTACAATGTTTAGAGCACTTAAAGCACTGTATCTGTATTTTTCATAACTTTGCTGAGTGTTTTCCAAAATTAGATATAATTTAAACTAAATAATTTTATCGTAAATCCAATTTGTACCATATTTTATTCTTTTTTTTTTTTTTTTTTTTTGAGACAGAGTCTCACTCTTGTTGCCCAGGCTGGAGTGCAATGGCACAATCTTGTCTCACTGCAACCTCCGTCTCCTGGGTTGAAGTGATTCTCCTGCCTCAGCCTCCCAAGCAGCTAGGATTACAGGCATGCACTACCATGCCCAGCTAATTTTTGTATTTTTACTAGAGACGGGGTTTCTCCATGTTGGTCAGGCTGGTCTCGAACTCCCAACCTCAGGTGATCCGCCCACCTTGGCCTCTCAAAGTGCTAGGATTACAGGCATGAGCCACCGCAACCAGCCCACCATATTTTGTTGTTGTTGTTGTTGAGACAGAGTCTCACTCTGTCACCCAGGCTGGAGTGCAGTGGCACGATCTCGGCTCACTGCCAAGCTCCGCCTCCCGGGTTCAGGCCATTCTCCTGCCTCAGGCTCCCGAGTAGCTGGGACTACAGGCGCCTGCCACCACACCCAGCTAATTTTTTGTATTTTTAGTAGAGATGGAGTTTCATTGTGTGAGCCAGGATGGTCTCAATCTCCTGACCTCGTGATCCGCCCGCCTCAGCCTCCCAAAGTCTGGATTACAGGCATAAGCCACCGCGCACAGCCCCATATCTTATTCTTAATCATGATTAAGGATTAAGTAACCCCACTCCATTCCTCCCTCCCCACCATTGCCTTGTTATTCAGTAACCTTCATTTTTACCGAGTGTGGACTAGAGGAAGAAGCTGAGTAGCCCACGCTGGACCCCATGGTCACAATGTCAAAGCACTTCATTAATGCTCTCACTGGGACTCCCAAGTCCCTGCTCGCTTAACTCTGACCACATCTACCGCAGCATCAAGACTAACTCCCAGGTATGCCAGCTTGCATTTTTCCCTGTTTGAGTCAACTGAGATTTGCAGATTCCCATCCACGTTTCCCCTCCTAATGACCTTATCTGCTGTGTGGGTAGTTACCTGGGTTCAATCCAACCCCTGTCCTCACCCCCGGGTCCACTCCCATGGCCTCTGTCCTCCACTCCATTCCCAGCCATGGAACACTGCCATCTCCCTCCTCCCTCATTGATTTTCCCATCTTCCAGGTGGTAGAAGCCTTTTGAGTTGCTCATGATTTCCTATTGGAAAAAACAATAACAAAATGTGCTTTCCCTTGCTGGGCTCAATAGCTAACACTCTAGTTGTTGCTTTTGTTTATCTATCAAACTTTTCTGACCAGAAGGTTATAACCTTTTCTATTTTGTGACTGCATATTTCTTAAACTGTTGAAATCTGGCATCTGATCACACCACTTCACTACAAGTTTACTTTCAAACATTCACAATGACTTACTTCTTGCCAAGTCTAGTTTAACCTCAGGCCTTATTTTCCTTGACTCTCTGTGGCATCTCATACCACTAACTTTCCACCACCTCCGATGATTCCTGGGACACAGTATCATCCACATCTCTTCTTCTTCTTCTTCTTCCTCTTCTTCCTCTTCTTCTTCCTCTTCTTCTTCCTCTTCTTCCTCTTCTTCCTCTTCTTCTTCTTCTTCTTCTTCTTCTTCTTCTTTTATATTGCAAAGTGAAAGCAAGTTTATTAAAAAAGTAAAGGAATAAAGGAATGGCTACTCCACAGAGAGCAGCCTGCATCTCTTCTTACATGCCTGTCTCCAGAACACTGGGTGCCTCCCAAGGCTTAGCCGTGGGCCCTCTTCTCTTTCTGAAGTCTTTCTCTTGCTCACATCTCAGGTACTCAACTCATTATTCTACAAAAAGGATTCAACTTGCTATCCAGCTCTGATCTCTACATCCCTGCCTCCTATCTCCAAAGCAATGCTTCTCCAACAATCTGCGGTTATTTTTCCCCTTATACTTTCATAAAATATAATAAAAATAGATCACTAAAAAGAAAAAGAAAAAAACACAAAATTACATGCCCCAAATTTGTATTAGATTCAACATAAATATAATCAGGGCAAACTATAGCATAGAAATAAAGAAAAGTGGCCAGGTGCAGTGGCTCACGTCTGTAATCCCAGCATTTTGGGAGGCCGAGGCAGGCGGATCACGTGGTCAGGAGATCAAGACCATCCTGGCCAACATGGTGAAACCCTGTCTCTACTAAAATACAAAAAATTAGCCAGGCGTGGTGGCGCGTGCCTGTAGTCCCAGCTACTCGGGAGGCTGAGGCAGGGGAATCACTTGAACCTGGGAGGTAGAGGTTGCAGTGAGCCAAGGATCGCGCCACTGCACTCATCAGCCTGGCGACAGAGTGAGACTAAGTCCAAAAAAAAAAAAAGAATTAATATAAACATTTCTAAATGAGTACCCTCTATTTCTGCACTTATTTCCTTGCAAACCAATTACTGCCTGTGGGTAGGCACTGGTTGGTGGGCTACTCATCAAGGAGCACAGCTCTAGAGGCCTTGAGGGCACCCCACTGGTCTGCTACCATCCCCTCAACACACACCAAAAGTTTTGCTTCACATTGACTCCTCTCTTCTTTGTAACTCGACCCAATCAATGATCAACTTTTAAATTCTACTGCTTTAAATTCTTGTATACAACTCTTCTCTGTATTGACTGCAACAACTGTGACCCAGCAGCTAAGACCACCCACTTCAACTATTACACAACCACCTTCTAAATAAGACTCCCTGTGTGGTCGTCAGTGCTATTTTTGAATACTTCCAGTTCTTTCTACCCAGCCCCTCCCCACAAACATAGAAGGTTTCTTGAACCCCTGTAACTGGTTACTGACATGTGACTGCACTCTAGTGCTGAGTTGTAAATGGAAGTATGCGTGTCCCTTCCAGGCCTAGCATTTAATCATTAGTGCATAACCCTCTAGAGTGCTCTTCTCTGCTCTCTAAAGGTAAACAAAATGTGACATGTTGGTTGTTCTATCAGCCTGGGTCTCAGAATGACTGTGATGAGCAGAGTCCCCAGTTCAGCTGTGATGGAATAGCATGACCAAGAAACGTACCTTCTTTTTTGGGGGGCCGCAAAGATTTTGGAGTTGTTTTTAATTACTACTAACTTAATCTATTCTGACTTATATAACCTGTCCAAGTCTCTCCTCTCTATAGAACCATACCACTAAGAGTAAGATTCCTGAAGCGCTAATTTAATGTCACGTCCCTGCTTTTAAAAAAAAGAAGGGGGAAGGCCGGGTGCAGTGGCTCACACCCGTAATCTCAACACTTTGGGAGGCCGAGACGGGCAGATGACGAGGTCAGGAGATGGAGACCATCCTGGCTAACACGGTGAAACCCAGTCTCTACTAAAAATACAAAAATTAGCCAGGCATGGTGGCGGGCGCCTGTAGTCCCAGCTACTCGGGGGGCTGAAGCAGAAGAATGGCGTGAACCTGGGAGGCGGAGCTTGCAGTGAGCCGAGATCGCACCACTGCACTCCAGCCTGGGCGACAGAGCAAGACTCCATCTCAAAAAAATAAAAAAATAAAAAAATAAAAAATAAAATAAAAACAAAAGGGGGAAAAAGGCCCTGAATGAATTTCCATGGTTTAAAGAAAAAATGCAAAATCCTTACCATTCACAACTCTCACCAACCTATTTTTTCAACCTTATCCTATCAGACCAACCTTCTATTACCTGAATTTGCCAGGCTCATTTCCAGCCACCACCCCACATCCACCCCAACCCAACAGAGAAACACTTTCTCACTCACTCTCTCTCTCCTCCTGCCACCTCCCCATCTTTAAGGTAACAATCAATTGTATCCACTCTGTGAAACTTTCCTCACCAGCCCTATAACAGCTGATGCTTACTGAGTTCTTATTAAGCGCCAGCCTTTGTGCTAGGCCCTTTCAATGTATTAACTCATTTAGTCTTCACTGTAACTCTGATATGGGTACTACTATTATTAAACTTATATTACAAATAAGGAAACTAAAACACAGGAATTTTCCAGCTTGCTTAAGGTTACACAGTTTGTAACTGATGAAGCCGGATATGGACCCAGCAGCCTCTGAACCACTGCCCTCTACTGCTTCTACAACATTCTCATCTCTCCTTTCTCTGAGCTCCCATTATACTATGCTGAACTTTCTGGCATGTGATCTTGTGTCCTGCATGGCTGGTCACTTTCATGTGTGCAGGCCTTATTTACTAAGCTAGACAGTAAACTCGAGGGGTGCAAGGAGCCACTTTACCATTCTTTCTATCACTCAATAAGAAAATGCTCCCAAAAGAATCACTTGTGTGATAAGCACAGTTCTGCTGGAAGGGTTATGCATTAATCATGTTTTTTATTTTCTATATTTTATGATGTTTTGACATCTTGGAGCCTTGCTAATCCTGGAGAAATTGCTCCTCCCAGGGCTAATTCCAAGAGATAGCAAAGAACTTGCCTGTGAGCATGCCTTTCATAGGCAAACCAACCAATCCACAGTCCACAACCACGTCCTTATCTAACTCTCATAGCCCAAGCAATATTGCCACTGTCCTACATCACCCCACAGCCAGGTACTACACAAGCAGGGACCACCCCTAGAGCCCTCCAAAATTATTCAAACTAGCCAATCCTTCATCTGCTCAGCCTGCTAGCCTTGCCTTTCCCACAGAAACCCCAATAAAAGCTCCTGCCCATGCTTCCCCCAACTCTTTCTGCCTCCTGACCAATCCCGGTGCTTCCTCATATGGCCCTGTGTCATATGAGGGCGTGATGCACCCCCTCCTTCTGGGAACTATAATAATAAACTCTTCTTTCAAAAGCAGCTTGTTTCTGTGTCTGTCATCATGCCATACCTGATTAGAACAAATCTGAGGTATCTTTTAAAATAGGGCATCAACTTATCTAGAGGTCCTTGGCAATGCAAACTCCACCCTCAAGATGGGGAGGGCTCTCGTGGTTCTTTCCTGATTTCCTCAGTCTCCACTAGTGGTAGAAAGGAGGGGTTTCAGTGGGTAGAAGAACAGTCCAACCAATAGAATAGGTCTGGTGAACTTCATGCCTAGCGTAACAAGGAGAGACGCCTGGTCTGGCTTCCAGTTACATCTTAGCGGTTACTATTTAGCAGTGGACTGATAACTACAATTGTAAACACTCCAAATCTTTTTTTTTTTTTTTTTGAGACGAAGTTTCGCTCTTGTCCCCCAGGCTGGAGTGCAATGGCACGATCTCGGCTCACTGCAACTTCCACCTCCCGGTTCAAGCAATTCGCCTGCCTCAGCCTCCCAAGTAGCTGGGATTACAGGCGCCTGCCACCACGCCTGGCTAATTTTTGTATTTTTAGTAGAGACAGGGTTTCACCATGTTGGTCAGGCTGGTGTCGAACTCCTGATATCAGGTGATCTGCCCACCTTGGCCTCCCAAAGTGCTGGGATTACAGGCGTGAGCCACTGGGCCCAGCCAACACTCCAAATCTTTAAACTGCCCTTATCTTTAACCAAATCTTTAAATTGCCCTTTATTTTTCCATAAGGATTAGTAAGAAAATCCTTAACCCCAAAAGGGTCTGAAGACAACCACCAGGACAACAAGGAAAGTTGGGAGCTAAGGAAAGTACGGCCACGCTGCAGCCAACCTTGGGAAATACAGAATTCCAGGAGATGGGTGGGTGGAGGCAGCTCTGAGAGCAGAGGAAGCCAGATGAGCCCTGCAAGCTGCCTTCAGGAGGAGAGCAGTTAGAACCTGACATGGACTTGAGACGTAGTTTTGGTCATGAGTGGCCCAGGAGCTTTCCTGGCATTCTTGCTCCTAGACTGACCAGTATGAATTCATGCTTAATAGACACTTTCTGAATAGATATTTCAATCATACAAAACTGAATGTAGTTTTATTATTCATGGGGATTTAGTTACAGTTCACTTTGTCCTTATCATTAATTTAAAATATTTTTCTCTTGGGGCACAGCGGCTCACGCCTGTAATCCCAGCACTTTGGGAGGCTGAGGCGGGCGGATCACGAAGTCAGGAGATCGAGACCATCCTGGCTAACACGGTGAAACCCCGTCTCTACTAAAAATACAAAAAAATTAGCCAAGCGTGGTGGCGGGCGCCTGTAGTCCCAGCTACTCGGGAGGCTGAGGCGGGAGAATGGTGTGAACCCGGGGAGCGGAACTTGCAGTGAGCGGAGATTGCGCCACTGCATGCCAGCCTGGGTGACAGAGCGAGACTCCATCTCAAAAAAAAATAATAATAATAATTTTTTTTCTCGTGTCCTTTTCTGTATCTCCTGTAGCACAGGTGGTACAAAACTGTTCACAGTGCTCTGATGTTCTAGTGTTCCTATGGATTATCTACACATTTAGCCATGCTCCTCTGAAAACCGCCAGAGAACTCCCACTACACAAACACTTCATGTCAGAGGCCAGGAACAAGGCAGGGACATATTCAGAGAGTGGAAGGCCAGGAGAATCCCATTCACCCAAAACTTCCCCAGGTGTTGTCCTGAGCAGGCAACAGGAACCTAGAATGACTTAGAGAAACCAGGTGAACCAGAGTCTTTCTCCTTTGGGAATTCAGTGAATTCAGAACTCCTCTATTCAGAAACCTTAGAGAAGGCCCTTGACCTTCAGACACTCATATTAACAAGTAGCAACTGCACCAAAAAACTATTGGCTGCTTGCTATGAGACAGGCTAGGTACATGAAGTACACTATTGCATTAAATCCTCACTACCCATTGAGGTATGTACTGTCATCTCCATCTTACAGATAAGTAAACTGAGGCCCAGAGAAGTTAAGATACTTTCCTGGGTTCACAAAGATGAGATGGCAGAAGTGAGATTCCCCTGGTTTGGCCCCAGACCCTGAACTCTCAGCACTACACTCTACTGCCCGAACCCCAGTCCAAGCCTAGATCAAAAATGGCAGTTTAAAGCACAGAGCAGTACATTCCATCCTAAGCTGAACCATAAGCTGAACCAGACAGTCAAAAGTGAAACAGGCCAGGAACTCCCTATATCCCCAACCAAATACGGATATTCACCACAACCAGAGACTTCTCCCTCACTCTTAAGCACACCACATCTTGTTGCTTATTGGCATGGCAAGTTATACATATTGCAGTCTTATATTTTAAGAAGTGACTAAACTTTACACATTATACCAAATGGAAGGTATATTTTAATCCTGATCTAATAAAACTTAGCTATATAAAATTGTATAATATCAAACAGCACTTTACAAATTTATACACTGTTGTTAAGGCTAAAATAATGCATTAATGCTGATGCAATAATTTAACATTCCATATATCCTGAACAGGTAAAATACAATCCAGAAACCATTCTTACCATCAGACACTGGACTAGATATTCTAGGAACTGAAAGATAGTGGAAAGGTACATAAGAATGAAAAACTGGGCTGGGCACAGTGGCTCACACCTGTAATCCCAGCACTTTGGGAGGCCAAGGCCAGAGAATTGCTTGAGGCCAGGAGTTTGAAACCAGCCTGGTCAATATAGCAAGACCCCCATCTCTACAAAAGAAAAATTTTAAAATTAACCAGGCATGGTGGCATGTGCTTGTACTCTCGGCTACTCAGGAGGCTGAGGCAAAGGATCGCTTGAGCCCAGGAGTTTGAGCCTGCACTCCAGCTGGGATAGCAAAGCAAGACTCTGTCTAACAGAAAAAAAAAGAAGAAAGAAACATTAAAAAAAATCTCCATGTTTTTGGCCTACTTATAACCCAACAAAATTAACAGCCTGTTGACATATCCTTTCACTCCAGTTTCTCCCCACTACTACCCAAAGGAAGAATAAGATTTCTCTAGACAAGCTCTGAATGGCTGGGAGGGCTGTCATTGCCTGAGTAGTCTCTTTAACAACTGAACAACCTCCATTCTTTCAGCCAACTCTCACATGACACAGTTTCTAAACCCTTCATAATCCTAGTCACATGCAAGTTCAGTCACTGTCCCCACTGCAGAGTGGTGGGCCCAGATTTTGAGTACCACAGTTGAAATAAGGTATGAGGAGAGCAGATGCAAAAAGGACCTTAATTCCATGAAGTGCTTTGCGCACTGTGGGCCCAAGGTAAGTACTATTAAACACTTTTATGGATATCATTCAATTAATGTAGCCTTTAAAAATAAAAAGAATTGGTTAAATATTTAAAGATGAAGGTGGTATCAGACCACCCAGTGATTTTTGTCATGCTGGGATAAAAATTCACAAAACATTTTAAACTCTATTAGAACTAATATAATTTATTACTGTCCATAAATATTTATGTGCTGGAAAGAGGATCTAGATTAATAGAGTTGGGTTATAGGGTTCGGTAGAGTAAAAATGAAGAGATTGGAAAAGAAAAGAAAATACAGACAAAAATACCAGCTTTTTCAGTAAGAGTTCCTCCTCCCCAGAAATGCTAAAGAATACTATTTTTAATAGAAACTATTTTGAAATATAGTCCTTAAACAAGTCATGTAAAAAGATTTTTTTCAATATCAAATGTTCTGCTATGAAGAAAAAGTAGCTGCTCTAGCTCTTAGAAGAATGTATTTCACTAGCCCAAAGAAATTACAGATACAGACTCCTCAAATCCATGAACAGAAGGGACTCTAAATCCAGTCCCCACTTCCTATAGGAATCCCCTCTAAGACACTCTACAGAATTATCCAGTGATGATTTGAAAAGGCCCAGATATAGTTAATATTGTTTTAAAAAACATACGCACAGCAAAACAACCAAATGACCATCAACTGATGAATGGATCAACAAAATGTCCATCCACACAGTGGAATATTATTCAGCTGTAAAAAGGAATGAAGTACTGAAGTACCGACATGCCACAACCTGGACGAACCTTGAGAACACCGTGAGACGTGAAAGAAGGAAGATACGAAGGGCCACATATTCTATGATTACATTTACATGAAATGTCCAGAATAGGCAAATCCACAGGGACAGAAAGTAGTTGCCAAGGACTGGGATAAAGAGAGAATGAGGAGTCACTGCCAATCAGTACAGGGATTCCTTGAGGAATGATGGAAATATCCTAAAATTATACAGTGGTGATGGTTGCACAATTCTGTAAATATACTAAAAATCAATAAATTATATTCTTTTAAAGAGTGAATTTTGTGGCATGTGAATTATATCTCAATAAAGCTGTTACTTTAAAATCACTCTCCTTGGAAATTTAGCACAGTGTTTCTCAAAATGTAGTCTGAGAACCACAAGCCCAATAAACAACGTTGCAGGTTGGGGGTGGGCTGGTGTGAGTGGTGCCTGTTAAAAATGCAGATTCTTGGCCGGGCGCGGTGGCTCACACCTGTAATCCCAGCACTTTGGGAGGCCAAGGCAGGTGGATCACGAGGTCGGGAGATCGAGACCATCCTGGCTAACACGGTGAAACCCTGTCTCTACTAAAAATACAAAAAATTAGCCGGGCGTGGTGGTGAGTGCCTGTAGTCCCAGCTACTTGCGAGGCTGAGGCAGGAGAATGGCGTGAACCCAGGAGGCAGAGCTTGCAGTGAGCCGAGATCGCACCACTGCACTCCAGCCTGGGTGACAGAGCGAGACTCCGTCTCAAAAAAGAAAAAATGCAGATTCTTGGACATGCAAGGATAGCAGCCAATAATCTACATTTTACACAGGATATCAAGATAATTTTTATGTATCTAGTGTTTCTGAACCAATGAGCTACTTAAACCAACTCTTGCCATCACAAAGCCATGAAAACAAAATTTCACTGGTCAATGCATATATAAATATTAATACAATCAAGGAATAAATATTTAAAACGAAAAAAGAGGCAAAGTGAAAAGCTCTCTTGTATTATAATCTGGCAGAATTTAGATTCCAGACCAGGGTGAATTGTAGCCACAAATGGGGGTATTCTCCACCTACAGGAACAATGTTGCATGTTACTGGTATCTATAACTGAAGCTGTTTTTTCCGTCCTTCAACTTGAAACAGCATTCCCTGCCATCCCTATATAAACATCAGAAGATGTTCTAACATATAATGAAGTTTTCACTCATTCTTTCCCAATATTTTGACTTTGCCACTACAATTAGGTTGAATTGGCTGGGCCAGTGGTTCAAACACAGACTACTGGGCTCTAAGAATCTGCATTTCTAACAAGTTCCAATATTAATATGCTGGTCCAGAGACCAAACTTTGAGAAAAGGCTTAATCTAACTCTGGTCTCCTCCCAACCAGTACTATTTAAAATCCACTGTAGAGTTCAGTGATGCTAAAAATGGCTGCATCTGGCAAATTCTCTGGCCACTTACTGCAGGGCTTCCTGTGTAGGACTCTTGCTGTTAAGTATATTGAGGAAATTCTCATTATTGAAAACTTGTATATGGGTGATTAGCAGGCCTTTTCTTGGCAACTCCAAGTATAAGCAGGCTTCCTTATCCCTCCCCCAATTGCTGGCCTCTGTCTGACCTTACAACTCCCACTTCCTACACTGCACCAACCATCTTTCTGTCCTTCTCTGTAGGACATTATACTTCCTATAACAGGAAAAACTGTAGGAAGGGCAAGAGGTCCCTCTGTTCCTGTCTTAGGCAACTACACTTCCTTCAGCCAGAAAGCAAGACAAGCTCCCCCACCCTAGGATTTATTTGGTGATCATGTTCCCGGCGCTGCAGCTGTGCAGATAAACTCGGCGGGGAGCACTGTATCTAGAGGCAAAATAAGCTCAAGTATAAACTCAGAGGATTGCCAAGGCCAGTAAATAAATCAATCAATAAAAATAAATAAATAAAAGGCATTCAGATCTCAATATTTATATTCTAGTTCTTTGTGGGAATAAATATAGAACGCACATTTCTCCATTCAGAGGAAGATCCAGACTTTACACACTGCAAATGGGTGCCCCTTTCTCTCTAAATGGTTTTGAATCCACCTCATCAAGGTTTAAAATATACTCCCAGCACCAGATTCTATGTGGTAAACTGAACATGTATTCAGTTCATCCTTGCCAAGACAAAATATTTCAACAAATTCCTGGAAATTGAAAAGCACCTGGGATTAAGGTAAGAAAATGCATTTGGTATAGCTTAAATATCTTTAGATCTTCAGGAGCTCAATCATCTTTTAAATTTAAACAGGCAACTGACACTTAATTTGTAGGTCATATTGAAATGAATTAGGAAGTTTTAAAGGTAAGTTTCAACAGTTTATTTTCCTTTAAGATTCCATTTCTTATAAAGGCTAAGGTATATATGCTGAAGAAAAAAGTGTAAACCTAGAGAACAAATACAGAACTACACCAATACAGAAGGAACCTAAGGGTATGTTTAAAGTGCTTGCCATGAGCTGGTTACACGGTGCAAATACTACATAACATTACAATTTGCCATGTGGTGTAAAAATAGGAATTTCTAAAACCATCATAAGAAAATGACTAGGCCAGATGCAGTGGCTCACACTTGTAATCCCCGCACTTTGAAGGTCAAGGCAGGTGGATCACTGGAGCCCAAGGGTTCAAGATCAGCCTGAGCAACACGGCAAAATGTCATCTCTAAAGAAAATACAAAAAATTAGCTGAGCATGGTGGTGCGCACCTGTAGTCCCAGACACCCAGGAGGCTGAGGCAGGAGGATCGCTTGAGCCTGGGAGATTAAGCTTGCAATGAGTTGTGATCATGCCACTGCACTCCAGCCTGGGCAACAGAGTGAGACACTGTCTCAAAAAAAAAAAAAAAAAAAGAGAAAGAAAATGATTAAACACAGCATATACAGTAACCATGATATTTCCAGAACCTGAAATACTCTCTTATTAGAAAAGATGTTATGCCATGTTCCAAAACAAAAAAAAATTTGTTATAAACTAACTGTCAAAGTCCTTGGGCATCCACTTGCTCAAACATGACCACTGAAGGATCTTGACTTGGCCAAGATTGCAGACAGCACAGAGACTGCTGCAGATAGGACACAGACAGATCTGTGCTATCTGCCACTAGAGAGCAACTGCCAGAATGTAATGCTGCTGCTTTTTAAAGTGTTAAGTTATTTGATAAAACATAGTCTTCTGTCATGCTCTTGAGTTTATATTCTGTATTTAGTATAAATGTCCATTTTCATGGTCTGGAGAGAACAACCCATTTCTCCTTTGATGTGCCAGATCCTAAACACCAAAACAAATCAGGTCCGTATGAAATCCTAGTCATCACTCTTTCTTGAGGTAATATCTTTTTCTTAGAAATCCTCATATTTAAGTATGTGAATAAGGTAATAAAATATCATTATTAAACACCAATAGGGAATTTACTGCCTATCATAGGAAATTCCTTGATAGAAGACACTTCTTATACCCTATCAAATAGACTAGATTCCTGAAAAATTTGTATGAGAATCAAGTTAAAACTCCAAGGCTTTTAATGCCACCTACTTACTGTTTTTCAGTGACAAGACTAATGATGTAACAACAAAACCTACATCAGCTTGTATCTGTGGATAAGACAGTTGTGTTTTTAATGCTTTGTAAAAGAGATGGGAATTAGTACCCATTCTTACTTGATGAATAATGTAGGTTATGCTCATAAAGATAAGGTAAAAAAAAAAAAAGTTGACTGAAAGCATGGATTATCAAACATGGGGAGAATATTAAAAGGCATATTCTAGAAGTTGCTTACATCCTCTAGAGTATACTGTAATTAGTTCCCAATTAACATTGTACATATGTATATGTTAAAAACGAATATGGAACAATAAAAAGTAAAAGGGAACAGGCTGGGCGGGGTGACCCACACCTGTAATCCTAGCACTTTGGGAGGCCAAGGTGGGCAGATCACTTGAGGTCAGGAGTTCGAAACCAGCCTGGCCAACATGGTGAAACGCCACCTCTACTAAAAATACAAAAATTAGCCAGGTGTGGTGCCAGGTGCCTGTAATCCCAGCTACTTGGGAGGCTGAGGCAGGAGAATTGCTAGAACCAATGAGGTGAGCAAAGATCATGCCATTGCACTCCAGCCTGGGCAACAAGAGCGAAACTCCGTCTCAAAAAAAAAAAAAAAAAAAAAAAGGCAAAAGAGAACAGACTAGGGAAAAAAGGCAGGGGGAAAAAAAACCTTCTAAGAGTTGTAAAATTTAAAGATATGTTGACATTTCTTTTACCAACGAGAGACTTTATAATCAGATGCCCAAATGCAAAAGAACTGCTCTAAAAGTATATCACATAGCACAGAAACCAGGGCTTTTTGGAGGCCTAGCAAAAAGATGACAAAATCAAATCAAGAGAATACTGAAGAACTATTCACCTAAAAAGTACTATTTAAAAAAACAAGTTGGGCCGGGCACGGTGGCTCACGCCTGTAATCCCAGCACTTTGGGAGGCTGAGGCAGGCGGATCACGGGGTCAGGAGATCGAGACCATCCTGGCTAACGCAGTGAAACCCCATCTCTACTAAAAATACAAAAACTAGCCGGGCATGGTGGCGGACGCCTGTAGTCCCAGCTACTCGGGAGGCTGAGGCAGGTGAATGGCGTGAACCCGGGAGGCAGAGCTCGCAGTGAGCCGAGATCGCGCCACTGCACTCCAGCCTGGGCGACAGAGCGAGACTCCGTCTCAAAAAAAAAAAAAACAAGTTGGATAAGTCTCTTGACTTGTTAAAACACTACAAGAGAGAAGTAAAAGTTGGGGGAAATGATTATGCTAGAAAAGAGCTGAGAAGCACTTACCGGGCGGAGTGAGAAAACAAGCATCCAGAAAGCCTTAGTCCTGGTGTCATTTCAGAAACTCTGAGGCTGTCCTGCTGCTGCTTTTCCAACCTGCTCCCTAACCACAGGTAATATTATCTCCATTTCCCCACTCTCAAAATGACCTACTCAGCGCCAACAACCTTCGCCTTCACTGCACGTAGCAAATTAATCGTCTTTTTTTTCTTTAACATTACAAGACATGCTTTACTTAGTATATAAATTTCTCAGTGTACATAAAATAGTATAATTATATTAAACAACCAGTCAGAATTACAACCACCGACCCAACTATGTCCTAATTCTTCATAACCACTGTGATGATGACTACACAATCCTGAGAAAACCTGCAGCAGAAACTAAGGTTGAAAACTAGTTTCTGAATACGTCTGAGTTACGCCTCTTATTTAGGCAACTATTTCATCCTTTTTGCTGTTTTTTAAAAACAATTTTTACTTGTAGAAAAAGTGTTTCTTCTCATTCTGTCCGAAGATAGAGAGATCCTATATTTTGCCATTTGGTATAAATCTCAATGTAAAATAGAGGTTTATTCTCAAATAGCATGTAAGTTACACGCTTTATGAGTCAAGAAATAAAAAACATCACTTTTCAAAAGAATTACTCAACAGAATTAATGGAGGTCAGGCTGAACAATGGTCACTACGCCTGGAAGTGGAAATAATCACTGCTGTTAGGAAACAGGCCTGGATGTCGTTTTTTCTTCACTCTCAAGGAAATGCATTAATGATCTCTGATATTAATCTGTTTATAAAATTTATACTAGACAGAAGAAGACCAATGGTCCATTCTTGACTTTTTTTTTTTTTTTTTTTGAGATGGAGTCTCGCTCTGTCGCCCAGGCTGGAGTGCAGTGGCGCAAACTCGGCTCACTACAAGCTCCGCCTCACCAGTTCACGCCATTCTCCTGCCTCAGCCTCACGAGTAGCTGGGACTATAGGCGCCCGCCACCACGCCCAGCTAATTTTTTGTATTTTTAGTAGAGATAGGGTTTCACTGCGTTAGCCAGGATGGTCTCGATCTCCTGACCTCGTGATCTACCCACCTCGGCCTTCCAAAGTGCTGGGATTACAGGCGTGAGCCACTGTGCCCGGCCCAGACATTTTCATTATGTGGAAGAGTTCCACCTGTGACATAATTTCAATAGTCTAACCTCCAAGCACAGCCTCCCAGTCTTCCTACTCTTTCTCTTGCTTACTTGCCAGCTCTTTCTTTTTTCATCGAGACTCCAGTCCCTTAGCTTTAACATTTTCTCCAATCCATCTGCTTCCTCTGACTCTATGGCAGTGGTTCTCAATTGGGGCTGATTTTGCCCCTCAGAAGACATTTGGCAACGTCTTGAGACATTTTTGATTATCACACTGGAGAGGTCTGCTACAGGCATCTAATAGGCAGAGACCAGAGATACTGCTAACATCCTACAATGCACAGGACAGCCCCCCACAGCAGAGAATTATAAATGTTTCAGAAGTAGAGACTCCCTGCTCTATGGTCTTCTTTTCTTTCTTTTTTTTTTTTTTTTAAAGACAGTGTCTCATCACTGTGTCTCCCAGGCTGGAGTGCAGTGGCGCCACCACAGCTCACTGCAGCCTCGACCTGCTGGGCTCAAGCTAATCCTTCCATCTCAGCCTCCCCCAAGTACCTGAGACTACAGGCATATGCCATCATGCCTGGCTAATTTTTGTATTTTTCGTAGTGGCAGGATTTCATCATGTTGCCCAGGCTGGTCTTGAACTCCTGGGCTCAAGGGATCCTCCTGCCTTGGGCTCCCAAGGTGCTGGGATGAGTGAGCCACAGTGCCCCCAGCCTCTATGGACATCTTTAGAATAACATAGTTCATTTCTTCAAACACTCTTGGAACATTTTAACCTCAAGTCTCTTGCTCTTTCATCCTTCTGACAGAACTTTTATAAAACCAAACCTTTAAGCAATGGAATCATCCACCTTCTGTACTTCTAAACTACTAAGCTCAACAAAAGCTGAATAAATATCACGATCACAAGAATATCTGACTCTAGATATTCATAGACTCCAACTTTGGTGGGACACCAACTTTCCTGGACAGGCAACCCTTCATGTTTCTCTCTAGTCTCCCCATCAAACCCTGTCCTTTTCCCTCAGTGATTATTCTAAACTTCTACCAACTTTCCTCAATCCCTATCCCAACAAATCAACGCAATGTCAGCAAATTCACCTGCTGCACTTAAGAACTTTTGCTCCATCACACAAGAACTTCCACACATTTCTTCCTCATCCCACACACTCACTCACGTCTGTGCCCACCCTTCTCCCCATCCCTCCCAGGAGAGTGGAAGAAGTGTCCCTCGTGCCCCGCATAGCCTGAAGGTGGCCTCTGCTCTGGAGATCGTCTTTTGGTGGCCTCTGGGACCTTGCTTCATCAATCATCCAGCCCTCTAAATCCTTGACCTCAGCATCTTCCTGTTTCCAAGCCCTTTCCACCTCACAAATGTGAATGTTCCAGTCTCTTCTTACAGGAAAAACCCACAAATGAACAAAACCCTCCCTTAAGTCCACATCTCCCTCTAACTCTTCTTTATCTCCTCACAGCCAAATTCCTTAGAAGAACTGTCCTCGACCGGGCACAGTGAGGTCAAAAATCTACTCGGCATCCTGAGTGTTTAAGAAGGCAAGAAATTGTGTAGTACATTTTTAAAATTTCCATCTCAAAGAGTCAATAAAATTTTCATTTCTAAAGAAGTATTAAGCTCTCAACTGTAAAATTACCCATTCCCTGAGGACTCCAAACAGCAGGGTTTTACTGCACAATCTTGTTTGCCATTTATCTCATTCTTAAAAATAAGGATGGTGTGTGTGTGTGTGTGTGTGTGTGTGTGTGTGCATGCGCGCACGCAGGAAGGATCACAAATTAAGCTTTCCAGGTGTTTTAACTCCAGGAATATGGGAACTTAACACAGTATTAAAGATATTAAAAAGTGTTAAATCATTTGTGTAGGTGAACAAACTCATAAAATTGTGTGCAACTATTGTAAAAAGCCTAAAATTTGAGCATTAGTAGAGTCCTTTAAGAAAAGTGCAGGCTTTGAAGTTATATTCAGACCTGAATTTAAATCTTGATTTTGCCATTTAGTTAACTGTGAATTTTTAGCAAGTCAATTTCATATAACCGAAACTCAATTTCCTTCTCTATAAATTGGGGGTAATAATTCCTAACTCACGAGGTGGTTGTATGAAGTAAGGAGAAAACATATGCAAAGTGTTGAACACAGTACCTGGGATAAAGCAGATGGGCCAACAGTAAGCAACTATTATTATACCCTAACCTTATTCTACTTTGTCCCCCAAATATTGGAAGAATCTAATCTTCCCAATTAGCAAGTCATTGGAAGGCTTCCCAGACTTATACGAAGCACAATATACACTATTCAAAAATGGAACAGACTAAAAGTATTTTAAAAATACAAAACCAAACAATCAATGAGATCAAGGATTTCAGAATTCTGCTTCTCGTCCCATATACTCAGCATCTATTCTGTCTGGTTTTGTAATAACCCATATTATTTCTTTATCAACCATATGAACCTTATTGTTGTTTTTTTGCGATCTAAACATCCCTAGCGGGTTATGTTACTTATTTTGAGGGCTACCTTTGCAAGGGTAATTGTCATCATTGCACGAAAACCAAAAAGAAATCAGGTACAAGGGGCATTTTATGCAATGCTATTAACTGTTCCATGCATCTCAACAGTGGATTGGATCCTAAGTGGATATTTTATTATCACAATAGATAATCATAATCACATTACTGTGCCACCCCCTCCCCGCCCATGCATGCGTTCATGAACAAAACTCCAGACTAACAGTATGAATGTTCTATAGGGACCCCAAAACTCAAAATGTGGTGCTCTCAGTAAAGATCCTCCGGGGGAAGAAGAGGCGGATGGGTTTCACTGCAAGTGGAAATGAATCGAATCGAAACTGTTCTGCCTACTTAAGACTGGAGATGAGCCCTGTGGGGCTAGAAGCCGAGACCGGCAGGTGACCGAGGGCCTGGAGGCAAGAGACGAAGGAGGAGGCACCCAGAGGCTGAGAAAGGTCTGTGCCGCCGGGGAGAAGACAGCCAGAGCCCGTGGCCACCTCTACAGCTGAGGTGGTAAGATGTGACCGCTCCGCCCAGTCCCCAGGATGGGTTTCAGCCCCAGGAGTCTGGGAGAACTGAGGAGGGGATGCGGGTCCTCGCTGGTCGAGCAAAAGTGAGGGTAAGGGAGGGTTCCCCGTCGCCTTCAGAACGGAATGATGCTGTCCCCGCCGCCATCCCGACGCCGGAGGAGAGGAAGGCAGGGACCCAACAGGGAGCGAACAGGTTACCTGTCTCAGCCGCGTCCCACGGGTCACCACTTCCGCAGACTCGGGGTTACTACGGGCTACCCCGGCACGCGCCGGGTGACGTCATCCACACGCGCCCGGGGCCGCATTCTGCCTGACCCGCCTTCCGCTAGGCCCGCCCCCTTAGGATGAGAGGGCGAGACCGCCCGGGGGAGATCTGCGCAGGCGCGGAGCTGCCGCGGTCATAGGAGGGCGCGAGCAGCTTGGCTGGCTAGGGCTTGTAGAGTTGCCCTGGTACCCTAGTATTCCTAATTGCAAAATCTTTATGAAGCTTAAGAAAAAAATCACCAGCCTGGGCAACCTGGGGAGGCCCCGTCTCTACAAAAAAATTAAAAAATTAGCCGAGTGTGGTGGCGTGCACCTGTGGTCCAGCTACTATGGAGGCTGAGGCAGGAGGATTGCTTAGGTCCAGGAGTTCGAGGCTGCAATGAGCTATGAACGTGCCACTACACTCCACCCTGAGCCACAGAGCAAGACCCTGTTTCAAATAAAATTTAAAAAAAGTTACTGAAATACAGATGTGCAATTTTATTCCTTAGCCTAGTCTCACCTCTGCTGCATGTGACTATTGTTCACATATTAATTCCACCACAATTTAAGGTCCTCCTGTGTGCCAGGCAAGCACCCTTAACAAAAGCTGGGGAAACAACCAGGAACAAGACAGACGCTGTGCCTTCCCTCATGGGGATTACTTTCTAGTTGAGAAAGCAAACATTAAATGTAGAAGGAAAGGCCGGGCGCGGTGGCTCACGCTTGTAATCCCAGCACTTTGGGAGGCCGAGGCAGGCGGATCACAAAGTCAGGAGATCGAGACCATCCTGGCTAACACGGTGAAACCCCGTCTCTACTAAAAATACAAAAAATTAGCCGGGCGAGGTGGTGGGCGCCTGTAGTCCCAGCTACTCGGGAGGCTGAGGCAGGAGAATGGCGGGAACCCCGGGGGGCGGAGCCTGCAGTGAGCCGAGATCGCGCCACTGCACTCCAACCTGGGCGACAGCGAGACTCCATCTCAAAAAAAAAAAAAAAAGTAGAAGGAAAATAAGTTGCTGAGAAATTAAAGGAAGACAGGTGACCTTTTGATTTGAGATGTCAAGAAAGTGCCCTCTGAAGAGGTTCAGTAAACTGAGAAGCAGCCAACTCTGTGGAGAGCTAAGGAAAGAACAGCCAAGAGAAGAATCTACATGTGAGCAAGCAATAGGGAAGGGGCAGAATGTGGTGCCTTGGAGAAAGTGAGAAAGTAGGTCATGGGAAGAACAGAGGATGAGATCAAGAAGGCAAGGAGAGTCCCCATCATGCACAGACTCTCTGGGTTCCTGTGAGGAATACGAGTTTATTCGAAGTGTAAGGGGAAACTAGTGAAGAGTTATCAACACGTAAGTGACAGGATCTAGTTTTATAACATCACCCTGCTAGCTGCTGTGTATACATGAAACTTTTGAGAAACAATTTAAAAGGATGCAAAGAGAAGAGTTGCTTTTGCAATGAGCAGGTAAGAAATGATAGAAATGGACAAATTTCAGGAATAATTCTGAGGTAGATGTGACAGACTTGGAGATGAGTTTAGATAAGGGAGATAAGGAAAAGAAAAGTGTCAAAAATAATTCTTAAATTTGGGGCCTAAGCAAATAGCTGGATCATATAGCTAAAACAAGGTTTGTTTCACCTCCTTTCAAACTTGATTTCTTTGCTTGTTTCCAAGTCAGTCCTCTAGGTTCTCCTGTCACCTATCTTTCCTCAGTTTCTATCACTGGCTTCCACTTTCCCTTTTCCTGAGCTCTTTTTTCCCTTGGCTTTCTTAGGCTCCATCAGAGGCTGCAAACCCCAAAGCCTACAGCAGCCGGGCAGTTAACACAAAGGAGTGAAGCCCAGGGATAGAGACTGTGGTGATCTGGAGCTCGTGGTCCCTACCACAGCTCTGTTGATTTTTGCCAACCAGGAATGCTGACCCGGTGATGTCAGATCCCCTGCTTAAAAGATAATCGAGGGCCGGGTATGGTGACTCACGCCTGTAATCCTAGAACTTTGGGAGACTGAGGCGGGCAGATCACAAGGTCAGGAGTTCAAGACCAGCCTGACCAATAAGGTGAAACCCTGTCTCTACTAAAAATACAAAAATTAGCCGGGCGTGGTGGTGGGTGCCTGTAATCCCAGCTACCCAGGAGGCTGAGGCAAGAGAATCGCTTGAACCCAGGAGGCAGAGGTTGCAGTGAGTCAACATCACGCCACTGTGCTCCAGCCTGGGTGACAAAGTGAGACTCCATCTCAAAAAAAAAAAAAGAAAAAGAAAAAAAAACACCAATCGATATACAGATATTTACATGAAATCTCACAAATTTTAAACATTGCTCACTAATTCACATTTTATTAAACTTCTGTTTTGGACCAAACAAAACACATCTGCTGTCCATATGAGGCCTGCAGGCCTGCACAAACTTTGCCTCCTTGATGTGTATTTTCCCAGGGTGGTGACTTTGTCTCTTGTCAGGTGACTACCACCTGTAAGTTTGTAAGCTGACAATTCCCAAGTCTATCTTTCCATTCAGACCTGTTTAAAAATTTCTTATTCAGGCCGGGTGCGGTGGCTCATGCCTGTAATCCCAATGCTTTGGGAGGCCAAGGCGGGAGGATCACCTGAGGTCAGGAGTTCGAGACCATCCTGGCCAACATGGTGAAACCCCGTCTCTACTAAAAATACAAAAATTAGCTGGGCGTGGTGGCATGCACCTGTAATCCCAGCTACTTGGGAGGCTGAGGCAGGAGAATGGTTTGAACCTGGGAGACGGAGGTTGCAGTAAGCTGAGATCATGCCATTGCATTCCAGCCTGGGCTACAGGGCGAGACTCTGTCTCAAAAAAAAAAAAAAAAAAAAAAAAAAAACTTATTCAAATATCCAGATTCCACTTAAACATCGGGCTAGCATTTAAAAACCTGAACTCGTCCTCTGTCCCCACCTCCAAACCTGACCTACTCATGTATTTTTGTCTGAGTTAATAGCATCAATATCCACCCAGTCACCCAAGCCTGAAATCCAAGATCATCCTAGACTTGTCCCTCTTTGTCATCCCACAGTCCAATCAGTATTTATCACACCTGCTCATCACCTCCATCCTTAATAACTCTTGCACTGGCTCAAGACTTCATCTTTCTTGGGAAACCTCAGTTTTCTCACTTATAAAATGAGAAGATGGAACTAGAAGATTCCTAAGATGTATTTATTTCCATCTTTATAGCCACCAAACATGTCAGAATAGTTGCCTGGAATTTGGGGTTTTATCTCATTGGGTTTTTTGTTGTTGTTATTTTGCCTGGCTATTGTTATGCCAAGGATATTGTGACCAGGTTGACAGGGAAAACTGGACTTGATAGAAATAAATACAAAATGAAATTAACAGTGGCCAAAACTGAACACAATTTAGTTATAAAATTAAAACTGACTGAAAAATAACTGCTGATTGGTAACATTGAAAACAGGAAAAATTGGCCGGGCGCGGTGGCTCACGCCTGTAATCCCAGCACTTTGGGAGGCCGAGGCGGGCGGATTACGAGATCAGGAGATCAAGACCATCCTGGCTAACACGGTGAAACCTCATCTCTCCTAAAAATACAAAAAAAAATTAGCCAGGCGTGGTGGCAGGCACCTGTAGTCCCAGCTGCTCAGGAGGCTGAGACAGGAGAATGGCGTGAACCCGGGAGGCGGAGCTTGCAGTGAGCCGAGATCGCGCGACTGCATTCCAGCTGGGCGACAGAGCAAGGCTCCATTTCAAAAAAAAAAAGAAAAGAAAACTGGAAAAATTGAGAAAAACAGACATGGTAAAATGTGTCACTTATTTTAAATTGATGAAAAAATCAATAAAATCTTTTTGACAAGATTTAGATCTACAAAGTTTCAGCGGAAAAACAACTGGTCTTGGTTAATTAACCACAAAAGAAAACTCATAATGTCAGAAACTCTAATGACTATAATTTGTCATGAAGTCAAAAAATAATGCTAAATTGTAACTTCAATGGGAAGCTTACATGTAAAAGAACTGGAAATGATTCCAGTGAAAATAATTCTAGTGAAGTAGAAAAATGAGAAACAGTTATATAAATGTTATATAACAGTTTGTATGTAATATAAAATTTAAAACATAAAATATTAAAATGAATTTTTTATAAATTTACAAAATGAAATTTGCTCCAGGACATACTTTTATTGATGCAAATCATTGATGCAAATATAATTTTGATTTAAATGTTTGTGTTTATATATACAAAATCAACACCTCATGGAGTCAAAGTGACATGAGTCAACATCTTGTATTCATTTGGTTACTCCTGAGAATACTAAGTGTTCCACTTGCAAAACTTACATTGATGAGTATTCATGTCGCAAGCAGAGATATACCCCTAAGGTCTGGGCTTAGGAATGTGTACTCCCTAGTGGATATGATTTTCATTAATGGGTTGAGATATGATTTTCATTAGTGACTTTTTTCCCCTCTGATGCTGTCAGCTCCATGAAATCTACTCATATCCTCACCGAGATTTAGTGCATTGGATTAAAGTTCAAAGAATTTCTGACAGAATTAGCCCAGATGAACTAAGTTCAATAGAGGAGAGGATGACAGAGATTGCTGGCCGGTCCTCAATATCCAGTTGTTGTTGTTGTTATTTTATTGTTGTTGTTTCATAATACTAGAACGCTCACATTCTAGGTAATAAAATATCTTTATCTAATTCTAACATGGCCACCCAGAAGAAAGACAACATTTTTCAGCCTCCCTTGCAGCTAGCTGTGGCCCTGTGACTATGCACTGGGTAATGGCTGTAAGAGAAAGTATCATGTAGCAAGGTGTGGCAACCATCCTTACCAAACAGATAAGACAAAAGTTTGTCTTCTTTTTTTCCATCATCCTTCCTTTTGATTGAAATGCAGATGTGTTGGCTTGTCTAGGTAGCCATTTTAGATCATAATTCAACCCTCAGAGCATTAGAGGAAAGCAGCAAGATAGAAAGAGTTCGGTCCCTGAGGACTTCGTGGACAGAGCTACCACATAAGTTGCACTTTAACCAAGATAAATAAGCTGCACTTTCATTTAAGTCACTTTATTTTGGGTCTATGTCTTCCACCAAATCTAATTCTAACTGAATCTAACTGAAGGACTAGGAGTCAAAAGAAAAATACACAGTAAAGACATTTGCAAACTTCACCCAGACTGAAACTGTCTTTGCAAAGATTATGACAGTGGGAGAAATCTAGCATGGTTGACTCCATCTTGCTTCCAGCCTCACAGGCTGGCTGTCTTTGCTCACTCCTGGGTGTAGGCCAAGCTAACCATGGGAGGAATTTATAGTTGAGCTTCGAAGCAAAGATGGTCCCTCAAAGTCCTCTTTGTTCAGAGACTGAAACTGCCTTTGTACAACTAACAAAAGGCCACTAGGTTAGGATTGTGGAAGGGGCCTTAATCTGCTAAGATGTATGTGTAATTAAACAATAACCAGCCATTGTCCCTTAGCTTGCTTTCTTATAATCCCTTACTGCTCAAAAGTCATAAAGCTGGAGGTCACAAGATTTGGGACCTCCCCAATTGCTCCTGTAGATAACATCATTATTGTAGAACCTAAGATTGGCCTTTTAAGATGTTTTTCAGACTTTTGCTTTCTGGGACCAACTGACTCCACCTGGACACATCACCCATGACTCAGCCAGTCCTGTGGCCTCACCCAGAAACTAACTCAGCACACAAGGACTGTTTTCCACACTCCTATGATTACATCCCCAACCAATCAGCAGCAGCACCCATTCCCTAGCCCCTTGCCCACCAAATTATCCTTAAAAACCCTAGCCTTGACCGGGTGCAGTGACTCATGCGTGTAATCCCAGCATTTTGGGAGGCCGAGGCGGGTGGATCACAAGGTCAGGAGATTGAGACCATCCTGGCTAACGTGGTGAAATCCCGTCTCTACTAAAAATACAAAAAATTAGCCAGGTGTGGTGGCGGGTGCCCGTAGTCCCAGGTACTCGGGAGGCTGAGGCACGAGAATGGCGTGAACCCGGGAGGCGGAGCTTGCAGTGAGCCGAGATTGCTCCACTGCATTCCAGCCTGGGCAATAGAGCGAGACTCTGTCAAAAACAAAAAAACAAAAAAAAAAAACCCTAGCCTTGGCCAGGCGCAGTGGCTCACACCTGTACTCCCAGCACTTTGGGAGGCCAAGGCGGGCGGATCACCTGAGGTCAAGAGATCAAGACCATCCTGGCCAACATGGTGAAACCCCATCTCTACTAAAAATACAAAAAATTAGCTGGATATGGTGGCGGGCACCTGTAGTCCCAGCTACTCGTGAGGCTGAGGCAGGAGACTTGCTTGAACCCAGGAGGCAGAGGTTGCAATGAGCCCAGATCATGCCATTGCACTCCAGCCTGGGTGACAAGAGCAAAACCCCATCCAAAAAAACCAAAAAACAAAATCCTACCCTCTAGGTTCTTGGGGAGACAGATTTGAAAATTAACTCTCATCCTTCTACTTGGCCAGCCCTTCAATCACTGTAACTCTTTATTTGCTGCAAAAACCTGCTGTTCTGAGTGCATTGACTTTTCTGGGCAGTGGGCAAGATGAACCTGTTGGGTGATTACAAGACCTGAATAGCATGAAAGAGCCTCTTGAAGAAAGTGGTGGCTCATTTCCGGTCCCAGACCACGAGACCAGAAAACAAAGGCCTGGAAGATATGTTGCCCGAAGGCAGTAACTCCTAAAATCAGTTTCTTAAAGCAAATTCTTAAGCAAATACTTTGTAGCCTCACTTATTGTATCCTACCCAGTATCCCCTCTTCCCCCTAGTAATAGAATGCTGATTTTGTGGAAGAAAATCCGTTGATCTCAGAGAATATAGACCCCCTCCTCCAACCTCAATGGATGAATGGTTATAAATCTGAGGCAGTCATGAAATCTCATTGCCCTCTGTCCTGTATTTATGGTCCTAGTTTATTTTACAGCTAAGGGTGGTCCTGTGACACAGTCTGGCCAATGAAATGGAAGGGGAAGGCTCCTAGGGGATTCTGGGACAGATGTTCCCTGCTTATGAAAAGACAGTCATAGGGCCGGGCGCGGTAGCTCACGCCTGTAATCCCAGCACTTTGGGAGGCCGAGGCGGGTGGATAACAAGGTCAGGAGTTCGAGACCAGCCTGGCCAAGATGGTGAAACCCCATCTCTACTAAAAATACAAAAAATTAGCTGGGCGTGGTGGCGGGCGCCTGTAATCCCAGCTACTCAGGAAGCTGAGGCAGGAGAATCGCTTGAACCCAGGAGGTGAAGGTTGCAGTGAGCCACGATCGTGCCACTGCACTCCAGCCTGGGTGACAGAGTGAGACTCCGTCTCAAAAAAAAAAAAAGACAAGCCAGTGAAAAAGAAGAGCTAGCTGGCATAGTACTCTTCCTCTCTATTGCTTGTGATGCCAGCCTGGGTGGGGGAAATGCCTGAAACACCCAGCAGCCATCTTGTGAAAGCAGGTGGCAAGCATGAGGGTGAAAAGTCAACAAGTGAGGAAGGAGGAAGGAGGCAGAGCAGGAGCAAGAGATCCTGTGTCATTGCTAGCATTGTTGAGCAGCTGACCCAGCCTGTTATCTCCCTCCAGACTTCTTAGTATAGAAACAATGTTGCTTCTAGGTTTAGCCCCTGCTAGTAGGATTTTTGTTGTTGTTGATGCTTGCAATTATTTTGTTGTTGTGGCTGCTTGCATTTTAAAAGCGAGACAGGGAAAATTCCAGCAATTTTTTGTTGTACATTTTCCTCTTCACTCTTTTCCATACCAACCCTTGTTTTCCATGCTTAAATACTAATTGCTGATGCTTCTGCTGTTTCACCTTGTTCTTGTTCTTCTCGCTTCGGTTGTTGCTACCATCTTTCTCTTTTGAATATGCTAGAGAAACCCTTCTGCATGAATTTAAACTATCTTTACAATACCCCTTTTGCATAGCTCTAATACCAACCCAGTTTTTGGTATGCGTTCGCATTGTTTTAGGCTGAACCATAAACAGTTCACAGGAAGGAAAGGGGTCTTTGTGTACAATAGAAGATATAGTTGTGCCTTGCCTTGTTATAGGGACTTCAGGATTTCTGGGTGGGAGCAGGCCACTAAATCTCCACCCACTAAAGGAAAAATCATAATTATTTATTTATTTATTTATTGTTTTGAGACAGAGTCTCGCTCTGTCACCAGGCTGGAGTGCAGTGGCACAATCTCAGCTTACTGCAACCTCTGCCTCCCTGGTTCAAGTGATTTTCCTGCGTCAGCCTCCTGAGTAGCTGGGACTACAGGCGCACACCACCACGCTCAGCTAATATTTGTATTTTTAGTACAGACAGGATTTCACCATGTAGGCCAGTATGGTCTCGATCTCTTGACCTCATGATCTGCTTGTCTTGGCCTCCCAAAGTGCTGGGATTACAGGTGTGAGCCACCGTGCCCTGCCAAATCATATTTTTGACTCTGCCACTATCTATATGACTCCAGCAACTCACTCGACTTCTCTGAGCTTACATTTTTCTCAAGTGTAATGACAGAATGTCTCTAAATGATTTTTTAGGATGTGGGAGGGTTGAAATTTTCAAGTTTCTACTCTTATAACTACCCCTATATACAAAACATAGTTGCATAAGCCTTTAAGATCTTAGAAGAATTTCCTTAAGGATAAGGAAATTTGTCTAAAGCCTGTCTGCCAGGTTTCTGACTCACGTAAATGTCACCATAGTCTGGCCACATGATATGGTTTGGCTCTATGTTCCCACCCAGATCTCATCTCGAATTGTAATCCCCATGTGTGGAGGGAGGGAGGTGATTTGGTAGAGCAGCATGAGGGGAAACCACCCCCCATGCTGATAGTGAATGAGTTCTCACGAGATCTGCTGGTTTTGTAAGTGTTTGACAGTTCCTCCTTCACAGGTTCTCTTTCCTGCTGAGTTGTGAAGAAGGTGCCTGCTTCCTCTTGCACCGTGATTGTTAAGTTTCCTGAGGCCTCCCCAGCCATGCAGAACTGTGAGTCAATTAAACCTCTTTCCTTTATAAATTACCCAGTCTTGAGTATTTCTTTATAGAAGTATGAAAATGGGCTAATACCCCACACGTTATACCAAAGGGAGTGAGCCTGTTCAAACCTCGCTTGGGTTTGCATGTCATTATCTCCTACGATGGGAACTGTTGCAAAAAAAATTCTCTCTAAAACTCACTGTGGGTTGATGAGAGACAAGTGGGATGAATGTGTCAAAATAGAAATGCAGGATTTGAAATATTTGCAAGTTTCTGGGAGAAAAATCCTACTAGAGTAGGATGGGCGGTAAATGAAAGTCGAATACGATGATGAGTTTACAGCCATGAGCTACAAGTCATCTCAGTGACTTGGTCAAAATGGGTTGGAGAGATTACTGTAGATTTTATATATAGCCATATAGCAGTTTTGGCTACAGGTTCTATCACTGTGGAGAGTATTGGTGCCTGATGCAAGAAGTAAACAAGGAGAAAAATCTGGCTCAAAGGGACAGAGTCATTTCCAAGGGCACTGAGACTGAAAATGATGTTCTTTTTACTAAAAAGTAAAAAATAAGAGACATAAGGAGATGTCAAAGTATTGTTGCCAAAGAGGATGGAATGTCATGATTCCTAGAAAGAAAGAAAGTGAAGGAAGTGGTATTCACAATGAAATCTTTGTTTATACTTGGGAAGGGGGCAACAACAGTTTTCAGAGGATTCCACTGAAAGTAAACACTAGGGGGCCAGGCGCGGTGGCTCACACCTGTAATCCCAGCACTTTGGGAGGCTGAGGCAGGTGGATCACAAGGTCAAGAGATCGAGACCATCCTGGCCAACATGGTGAAACCCTGACTCTACTAAAAATACAAAAATTAGCTGGGCGTGGTGGCGTGCACCTGTAGTCCCAGCTACTCGGGAGGCTGAGGCGGGAGAATCGCTTGAACTCAGGAGGTGGATGTTGCAGTAGCTGAGATAGCGCCACTGCACTCCAGCCTGGCGACAGAGCGAAACTCCATCTCAAAAAAAAAGAAAGTAAACACTATAGTGGTTCAGCCATGGGTGGCACAAAGCCTCTGGCTTCAAGAAAAGAGAATCTAGTCCCTCTACCCCCATCTCTGGTCTATCTTTTCTTCTCTAACACTAGTGAGCTTTGTAAGAATGGGTATGTGTAAGATTTAGCATTAACATATTCTTGCTAATTACATGTGTATCGTTACATTCATTTTTTTTTTTCAGCAACTTTGAGTGCTGCTATGTATTAGGTGTATTTCTGGGCTCTGGGGACACAAAGATGAAAAAATGTGTCCCTGACATCAAAAGAACTCCAGTCTACTGTGGAAATAAAAGTAGTTTATTGCATTAGCAATCAGAGCCTTAGACTTTGCCCTATGTAGGTACCAAATAGCAAAGCTAGGATGGCAAGAAAAGACAAACCAACCAAGAAATGGAGATAAAATGGGGGAGGGGAGATGGATGTTGAGAAACCAAGAAAGCTGGAAACAAAGTAGAGTGGATGAGGTCAAAGGGAGATAGATGGCCTGGGGTGTCCCTAGGATAGTCTTTCTGGTGGGCAGAATGGGAGAGGGAAATGTGGATTTGCTAGCTTCAGACTAACATGGAGCAGCTGGCCTTAACACTGGGCACTGCCTGGCCTCTTGAAGGTGCTCAGTGCATTTTTATCTATTCATTGAAAGAATGAGTGAATGAAACATAAGACTCGGTCAGGCGCGGTGGCTCACGCCTGTAATTCCAGCACATTGGAAGGCCCAGGCAAGTGGATCACCTGAGGTCAGGAGTTCAAGACCAGCCAGGCCAACATGGTGAAACCCTGTCTCTACTAAAAATACAAAACAATCAGCCGGGCATGGTGACATGTGCCTGTAATCCCAGCTACTCGGGAGGCTGAGGCAGGAGAATCACATGAACCCAGGAGCTGGAGGTTGCAGTGAACCAAGATTGTGCCACTGCATGCCATCCTGGGCAACAGAGCGAGACTCCATCTCAAAAAAAAAAAAGAAAAAAGAAACATAAGACTCCTGTATGACTTCTGTTTTCATGTTCTTGGGAGGCAGAAAAGCAGACACATGAAAAGAAAAATGTTTCCCACGGGTGGAACTAATGGGAAGCTTATTCTATCTAAACCCAGACATTAAGCCAGTACAGAACAGTATAATATTTCACCCAAGCACAAACCCAACAGCATAGCTTTGAGAGGACCCAAGCAAAACTGTCTTTGGTGGGCCCCATCACAAGGGACTGAGTCCCAGCAACACGGGCATCTACCTTGCAGGAGGACTCCTCCTGAACATGCTTGTGCAAATGAAAGCACATTGTCCTGACCACCAATGCAGTGTTGGAAACGGACAGGATTGGGGTACATTTGCCCACTAGAAGCCCAATGATTTCACAAACAGTAGCAAAAACTTACGTTTGTCCCAACCTAGAGAAACATTACTCCTAAGAACGTGTGGGATTCATCTGGACTGAGGCTTTTCAAAAGTCACCAAACTTTTCTAATTCCATCACTGCCAGTAACAGCAATGTTTTGTTTTGTTTTGTTCTGTTATGTTTTGAGATTGCCCAGGCTGGAGTGCAGTGGCACGATCTTGGCTCACTGCAACCTTCGCCTCCTGGGTTCAAGCAATTATCCTGCCTTACCTCCTGAGTAGCTGGCACTACAGGCGACCACCACCACGCCTGGCTAATTTTTTTTATTTTTGGTAGAGACAGGGTTTCACCATATTGGCCAGGCTTGTCTCGATCTCCTGACCTTGTGATCTGCACACCTCGGCCTTCCAAAGTGCTGGGATTACAGGCGTGAGCCACCACGCCCGGCCACGGCAATATTTTAAAGATTCTGACTATAATTCCTACTTAAAATATAAACACTTCCATATAAGGATTCAAAAACGCTCATCTCTTGTCTCCTGACAAAAGGTTGGATGCTCGTATTAGTTGGGACTCTGGTTTGAAGAATCATGTAAGTTAAAAATGGGAATTTATTATAAAAATGCTGTGGTGACTCAGAGACCAAGAGCAGGAATGCAGCTGGGTCAAAGGAACCCTGGGAGCCTGCAGAACTCTCTCTTCTCCTTCTCTGTCTTCTGCTTTCAGGCATTTCTGCTTCACTGTCCTTTCTTCCTAGATGGACTTTCCCTGAATCTATAGCCATGCATTGGGCAAAGATGGTTATCCCAGAATCCCCAAGTTTATATCTCTTCCTTCTAAGGGATACCAGATCTCTTAATTCCAATTCCAAATTACTGAGAGAAGGAATATATTTAAGACCATTTTAGGTCAAGTGTCTACCCCTAATTCAGTCAGCTATGGCCGGGGGCAGGTCACACAACACAACTTTGGCTTCTGAGTACCTTTCTTTAGAAGGCGGTGGAGGAAAGGGTGTTTCCTAAGTCTGATATTTTATTGCCAAGAGCATGAAAATACCCCATCCAGCAGATGAAGCAAATTCCCATGCTCATCCTGCAGAATTTCTGGGTAACTGGTGGCATCTCCTACGGCGATATGAGAATGCTGGCTGATGGAGAGGACAGCGATAAATCTCGGCAGCTTGACAGTATCACTGCCTCCTTCCCTCTCCCACATCCCTGGAAAAATTTAAAGTCTGCAGATTACCAGATGGGACCCCAAGTTAAATGCCTGCATACTCCCTGGGTGTGTATAGCTGCACCATTTGGTGCAAGAATGACTCTAGCAAAATAGTTTCAGTGAGGTTTCTTGTGCCAAGCCCTATTTTACTACTGTTGGCAGAAAAGTAATGTGATGACTTACTTCATAGAGAGGCATTGAGATTAGAGTCTGGGCTACATATGTTCTTTGTCCTGAACTTTGGTTTCTTTTAAATCATTAAAACCTAATTTGAGGGAAAAACATCCTTGATTTTCAAGAAATGAAAAGATAAAGTCAAGGAAAATTATAAGCATCCTCTCTTTCTATATTTACCTCTAGCCTTTTCAGAGGAAGGAGCCCTCTGATAAAGTTGCGTGTGGAATGAGATGAACATTCCCCAACATTCTCATCACCAGTGTTTGTATCTTTTTAAAAATCACGTAGCGCCTTATTGCCAACTGAGTTTTAGAGAGCAGGAGTCTCACTGTGAAGTCACACTGGAGAGGCTCTTGGGAGATTCTTTTGAACACAGAAAAAAAAATTTATGTGTTTCTCCAGAATGTCTCCAGTTTTCCATCAGTGCTTTTGGTTTTTGTTCAGAGAACTTGTTAGTACATTCTGTATTTTCTTTTGAATGAATTCAAAGAAGAGCAGACATTACTAAATCATTTCATTGATTGAAATGTGCCCAGAAAAGGCCTGTGGCCAAAGAGCCAGTGACCGTGACATCTTTGAGGAGAAGTAATGTCTGTAAAGATAATACGTATGTAAGAGGAATTTCAACCATTAAACAGTGTCTTCCTACATGAATAATGAATGCATAAGGATACGATTATGGAACTACTTTTGATGCAATAATTATGGCAGAATAAATGGTTTCTTCCTCGTGCTGTGGAAGTGAATAAAGAGTTGTCTTCTTTCCCCTTCCCAAGAAGTCTTCATGTTCTGCGTGCTTGTTCCCTAGCCTAGGAATGGATTTTTTGTAGAAAAGCTGAAGTGTAAGGCACCTGGAAATCAATTCTCTACCATCCAGCAAGGAGAATGGATGACGGGAGGATGGGACTAGTAATGGGCTTAAGGCATAGCTGGCCAAGCAGGGAGAGCAGTGGAAACCTTATCCTACAGAGGGGCGATGACAGCAGTGGAAGGTCAGATCAGCCTGTGGAAATGAGGGCTGAGGAGCATTCCAAGAGGGACAACATATGCAAAGATCCTGTGGCCAATAGATGCATGGTACATACAAGGAACTTGCATAAGAGAGGAGGAGCAAAGCAGGACAGAAGGTCTGAGGGACCAGGCTCTACAGAGTCTGTTAGCTGATATTAAAGATGCCGGTCTTTTTCTTGAGAACAAGGAGTTTTAAGCAGGGGAATGAGACAATCCTATTTGCCTTACAGGCATTTTAGCTTTATAAATTATGGATTATGATTTATACTTTATACAGCAATTCAATAAAGAAGATACAAAGCAGCGTTATGGAAATAGCTCGGAGGAAGCTTAGCAGCCCTATAATCGTTGTCAGCCACCCCGAATGAGCATACATTCTTATCCCAGACAAAAAGAGCAGTGCACCTATTGTGGAAATGCAGCTTCTGCACAAGCCCTTAAGCACTCCATCCTAACACCTGGCTCCACCCATATTCCCCTAGGCCCCGGGAGGTCACCTCCAGACAGTCTTCTTATGTGCCCACCAGCTTCCTGTTTACCACTCCATAAGGACGTTCTCTGGCCACTGGCATCTGTTTGACCTGTGCAGAGAGGTTTCATCTCATAGAAGTGACACTCAGCCAAGAAGGACAGGAGTTGGGAAATTAAGCCCAGCTTCCTCGCCCCTGTCTCAAATGATTCTGAGTTATTTTTCACAAAATCTCTCAAAGGATCCCCAGCAGCATGGAGCCTCAGTTGCCCACAGAAGTAACCTGACCATTAATTTACCCTTTATTGCTTTTTCTCCCTTCCCTACACATATTCCCTAACTCTCTCTTAGTGCTTCCTGGATCAACTTGTATATAAATTACCTGCACCTAAATTTTTGTCTCAGAGTCTGCTTTTGGGAGGACCCAAACCAAGACAGCTCTTACCCAATACAGTCTACTGCCTCTCTTAATAGTCACTGGAAATTTTCCCAAAAAATTCCCCCCGCCCCTTTTTTTTTGGAGACAGAGTCTCACTCTGTCACCCAGGCTGGAGTGCAGTGGCGCGATATTGGCTCACTGCAGTCTCGACCTGCTGGGCTCAAGCGAAACTCCCACCTCAGCCTCCCAAGTAGCTGGGACAACAGGCACACGCTACCACACCCAGCTAATATTTTGTATTTTTTGTGGAGATAGGGTCTTGTCATGTTGCCCAGGCTGCTCTCAAACTCCTAGGCTCACCAATCCGCCCACTGGGATTACAGGCATGAGCCACTGCACCTGGCTATATTCCCTTATTATCAGATCAATTTAACGTGCATTTAATAGGTAACATGGCCCTGTATCTGTAGGTACAAAGGAGCAACTTATGACACCTATTTGGTCCATGACTTTGGTCAGAAGGTAAGAACTCCAAAGAGTGAAAAAGGAATAAATGGCTGGGCGCGGTGGCTAACAGCTGTAATCCCAGCACTTTGGGAGGCCGAGGGGCGTGGATCACGAGGTCAGGAGTTTGAGACCATCCTGGCCAACATGGTGAAACCCCATCTTTACTAAAAATGCAAAAATTAGCCAGGCATGATGGTGTGTGCCTGTAGTCCCAGCTACTGGGGAGGCTGAGGCAGGAAAATCTCTTGAATCTGGGAGGCAGAGGTTGCAGTGAGCCAAGATCGCTCCACTGCACTCCAGCCTGGGCAACAGAGCGAGACTCCGTCTCCAAAAAAAAAAAAAAAAAAGAGTTCTAATTCCTCCTCCACATCCTCACCAGCATTTCCTAGGGCCAGTCTTTTTTAAATTTTAGCCATTTTAATAAGCATGTTGTAATATTATCAGTGATTTTAATTTGCATGTCCATAATACGAACGGTATGTAGCATCTTTTCAAGCCTTATTTGTGCATGTGGTATATGTGCAATCCATATACCCTCTTTGGTGAAGTATTTGTTGACATCTTTCATCCATGTTTTTGGGGTTGTTTTCTTATTACTGAGTTTTGAGAATTCTTTAAGTATTCTATATACAAGTCTTTAATCACATATATGCTTTGAAAATATTGCTCCAGTATTTGTCTTTTTATTATTGTATTGTATTTTATTTCGTTTTTTTTTCCGAGATGGAGTCTTGCTCTGTCGCCCAGGCTGGAGTGCAGTGGCATGATCTCAGCTCACTGCAACCTCCACCTCCCGGGTTCAAGCAATTCTCCCACCTCAGCCTCCCAAGTAGCTGGGATTACAGGTGTGTGCCACCATGCCCGGATAATTTTTTGTATTTTTAATAGAGACGGGGTTTCACCATGTTGGCCAGGCTGCTCTTGAATGCCTGACCTCGTGATCCACCCGCCTTGGCCTCCCAAAGTGCTGGGATTACAGGTGTGAGCCACCGCGCCCGGCCTTGACTTTTTATTGATCTAAAATATTTTTCAAAGAACATTAGTTTGGCTGGGCACAGCAGCTTATGCCTATAATCCCAGCACTTTTGGAGGCCAAAGCAGGAGGACCACTTCAGTCCAGGAGTTTGAGATCAGCCTGGGAAACATAGTGAGACTCCATCTATACAAATAAAAAACAAATTAGCTAGGTGTGGTGGCACACACCTGTAGTCCCAGCTACTCAAGAGGCTGAGGTGGGAGGATCACTTGAGCCCAGGAGGTTGAGGCTGCAGTGAACCCTGATCACACCACTGCACTCCAGCTTGGATGATAGAGCAAAACCCTGTCTCAAAACAAAGAGCATGAGTGCATGAGTTCTTAATTTTGGTAAAGTCCAGTTTATCAATTTTTTTCTCTTATGACTCATACTTTTGGGGTTGTATCTAAGGAATCTTTGTCTAACCCATAGTGACAAAAATTTTCTCCTACACCTTTTTCTGGAAGCATTATAGTTTTAGGTATTACATTTAAGTCTATAATACATTTGAAGTTAATTTGTGTAAAGGAAGATGGTCAGCAGCAGGCAGCTGTGTAAGGCAGATAGCGAATCAGCCACACCAAAAACAAGATGGATGGAGGTGGAGAACTGGAAACTGTGTCAAGGGCGACCAAGCCCTGTTTCTGGTTTGAGAAAGTCCCACTTATATTTGAAGTGGATGCAGAGGCAACAGAAAATTATGGTTTTTCACTACAGAAAGGAAATGTACCCAGCATACACAACCTGGCTCTGCAGGGAGTATACATATGGTCATAACGACGTGGGTGCTTGATTACTGATTTCACTAAAAGTAATAGAAAACTCCAAAGGGAGAATGAGAATAGTTAAAAGACTAAATCTTCTTCTTTCTTCTCTCAGAAGAAACTCAATATGTAATGTCCAAAATTGAGAAATCAAGACCTAACAGCAAGAGACTATTTTGAGTGATCGAAAGAGAACTCCAGGGAGGGCGGCTTCTGCTGGCTACTCGGCTCTAGGTACTGAGTGGATCTAGGGGATCAGGAGGGAGCGTGGCAGAAGCCAGCTGCGTTTCACTGTCAGCCTTTTAGTATTGTTTGATTTTATTTTAACAATATATATGCTATTTTGCTTAAAATAAAAAAATAGATGGCCGAGCACGGTGGCTCACTCCTGTAATCCTAGCACTTTGGGAGGCCGAGGCAGGCGGATCACGAGGTCAGGAGATCGAGACCATCCTGGCTAACACAGTGAAACCCTGTCTCTACTAAAAATACAAAAAATTAGCCGGGCTTGGTGGCGGGAGCCGAGATCGCGCCACTGCACTCCAGCCTGGGAGACAGAGTGAGACTCCATCTCAAAAAACAAACAAACAAACAAACAGAAAAATAGATTTGGAAATACAGGTATTCTTATCAGAATTTGATAGTTTTGTGTTTTTTTGTGTTTTTTTGTGTTTTTTTTTTTTAGTAAAGTTGAGCCTTTTTAGTTCAATAGTCTAGTGAAGGCCAGAGCTAAATGAAGCTTTTCAAGATGATTAAATCAACTAAGTATAGAAAATGGTCCTTTAATTAATTGACTAACTGTTGGAATTATAAATATCACATAGCCCCACAAGTAGGGTTGCCAAATTTAGCAAATAAAAATAAGTATGTCCCATGCAATATTTGAGATACTTATACTTTAAAAAGTATTTGTTATTTCTCTGAAATTCAAATTTAATTTAGCAGCCTAAATTTTTACCAGCAACCCTACCCCAAAAATAGTAGGAGTCATGAAAATTGCTAGAATGGGACATAACGGGGAATGAGAAGTGGAAGATTTTTCACTTACACATCCTAGATGAAGGTGGCCCGGTATTGATCTCAAGATATTTCTGAGTGAGATCCCAGTGGTGAGGTACATTTTTTTCCTTTGTTCATTCTAGTCTTCCATGCCTCCTATAACCAGTTATAGCAAGTGCATTTGTAATAGAAAGTGGTCAAGTTGCAATCATAGAAAATGACTGTTGGCCTTCTAGGAAGATAATGAACAATTTTTAAGGGCTAAACCATAGAGCAATCAGAAATGGAACAAGCATGCATTTCTGTTACTTTTACTTAATCCCAAAAGTGCAGTGTTGTGGGCATTCCTGAGCGGGAGAAACTTAGGTCTGCAGTTTTATGTTTATTGCTTAGTTGTGACCCTTCCATCAGATTCTCCTCTTCTATAAATGTAAATATATTTTTTTAGTATCATTATAGAAAATTTTAAACATGTGCAAAAGGAGATGAAATAGTTAAATGAACCTCCATGTATTCATCACCCAGCTTCAATAACAATCAATTTATGGCCAGTCTTGTTTCATCTATACTCTTTAATTCTCTCTGGCTATCTTGAAGCGAATTTCAGACATCATCTAATTTTATGTCTAAATATTTCAGCATGTATTTCCCCCTTTTAAACATAACTATAATATCATCATCATACACTCCAAAATCAACAATAATTCCAAAAAACATTTAAATAAAACTTGCTAGGCCAGGCATAGTGGCTCACGTCTATAATCCCGGCACTTGAATCACCTGAGGTCAGGGGTTCCAGACCAGCCTGGTCAACATGGTGAAATCCTGTCTCTACTAAAAATACAAAAAAATTGCTGGACCTGGTGGCACATGCCTGTAATCCCAGCTACTCGGGAGGCTGAGGCAGGAGAATTGCTTGAACCCAGGAGGTAGAGGTTGCAGTGAGCTGAGATCACGCCATTGCACTCCAGCCCAGGCAACAATGCGAGACTCCGTCTCAAAAAAAAAAAAAAAAAAAAGAAAAGAAAAGAATAAATAGGCGGGGCGCGGTGGCTCATGCCTGTAATCCCAGCACTTTGGGAGGCCGAGGCAGGCGGATCACAAGGTCGGAGATGGAGACCATCCTGGCTAACACGGTGAAACCCCGTCTCTACTAAAAATACAAAAAATTAGCCGGGCATAGTGGCAGGCGCCTATAGTCCCAGCTACTAGGGAGGCTGAGGCAGGAAAATGGCGTGGACCCGGGAGGTGGAGCTTGTAGTGAGCTGAGATCGCGCCACTGCACTCCAGCCTGGGCGACAGAGCGAGACAACGTCTCAAAAAAAAAAAAAAAGAATAAATAAAACTTGCTAGATGAAACAGAAATGATGATGTTATAGGATTTTAGCCAACACAATACTTCCCGGTATTAATTAAACAATGTGGACCAGTTTAAGTACCGTCCTGATACCATTTCAGAGAGGGTAAATTCAAACACTTGAGTAAGGTATTAAAATAGCTTGCCATTTTCCAAGGAGCTATTAATATTGTTCATTCATTCATTTATGGATCCAACAGATGTTGATTGAATACATACTATATCTTGTTAAGCACAGGATACAAAGATCCACAGGATCTGCCCTTTGCCCTGAAGACATTGTGAAACAAACAGGTTTACATAAGTACGTGGAATTCAAAGCAGAAGGAATTAGCCACAAATAAGGGTCCAAGTAGAACTAGCAATTGAAAACAGTTCCAAAGGGTGTGCCTCTATCCCGAGGTCGGCAGTGGAGGGTATTTCACTGGAGGGGGTCAGCATGAACAAAAGCATAAAGAAGACAAAGTATCCTAAATGACTCATTCTTCAAGAACGAAGATAGGCCAGGGTGCGGTGGCTCACACCTGTAATCCCAACACTTTGGGAGGCTGAGGCAGACAGATCACAAGGTGAGGAGATTGAGACCATCCTGGCTAACACGGTGAAACCCCTTCTCTACTAAAAATACAAAAAAAAATTAGCCAGGCATGGTGGCACACGCCTGTAGTCCCAGCTACTCGGGAGGCTGAGGCAGGAGAATTGCTTGAACCTGGGACGCGGAGGTTGCAGTGAGCCAAGATTGCGCCACTGCACGCCAGCCTGGGTGACAGAGTGAGACTCCGTCTCAAAAAAAAAAAAAAAAAAAGAGCGAAGATGAGGCCTTCCATATCTTTGCACATGATGTGCCCTGGCCTGTGACACTTAGCCCAGAGACTGATGCACAGTGAGGCTTCAATTAATATTTATTGATGAAATGACTGTAAAATGTACCTTTTACCCAGTAATAATTAATTCTCAGCCCGTCCTAAAACTCCTACATCATACTGTAATTTTTTCATACACAAAGACTGCCACAGAGCTCCTGCAGCTTCCATCAGAAAGACATAACCACTGAATTTTTGTACAACAAGGAATCGTGCTGAACATTTTTGGAAAGATGCTGCCTCCCTTATGCTCTGCTTCTTTTCATGTGCCTAAGTGGTTAGTTGAATTTTTGCTGGTCTCCTTTATTAGTTTAAAACATAACCAGAGCATCTGTGGTCCCTCAGTTATCATGACCTGCCCATTGGCCTTGTAATGAGTAGATATGAGATTTGCTTCACTGACCATTTTCTCTAAGAATAAAAGCCAGAGTCAAGCTTTACTGACTACATGATTAAAATTTATTGCCACTGAAAGGATTTTTCTCGTGTGTGTGTGTGTGTGTGTGTGTGTGTGTGTGTGTATGTAAGACAGAGAGAGAGAGAGTTGGATGAGCTCTAAATTAAAACTTAAATAGCTCTCTATACCCTTCTGAGTAAGATTTACTTCTATCTATTCCACAAGAGAGAAGGTCTGCATATTTGCCAGCCGGCCAGCAGTGTAGTAAACGTTATGTGGAGTTATTTTCCATATCGTTGTGTTTATTTATATAAGCCCAATTAGACCCTTTTAAAGGCTTAACTTAGTGTGGCTGCTGCAGACAGCTAGTTTACACCAAGTCCGTCTTGGCAAGACTTGAAAGCAAACAGTAAATAGCGTAAACAATTGTATGTGATTATACACTCCTAAATAATGTGCATCTGGGATGACAAACCAAACTTATTAAACAGACAACAAATAGCTGAGGTAAATATCAAATATGTTAACTCTACCAAATACAGAGCTGGATCTCGTCAAAGCCTTATTAACGCGGCACAGCTGGATTAGAATAAAAGAGCCATTTAGACTTAAAAGCAGGGGATCTCCAAGTTAGAAAGTCTGGATTCTGTTCCCGTCTCCATCACTAATTCACTAAGTGACACTGATTATTACTTTGATTTTTGCTTGTATTTTCCCATCAATAGAAAGGGAATTTCAGGACTGTTCCTGAGAGCTGGAGAGAATGGTTGCCAGATGCCTTCCCAGGAAGGGAACGAAAGAGAGCTGCTGTCTGGACGCCTCCTGCCTTGCTCTGCCATCTCCCAGACCTGATACCCCCTGGAAAAGAGAGTTGGCCTGGGCAAACATGGGTGAGGAGATGACAGCTGAAAGTCAGGTCACCACTGTGACCATGGCCAGCTCTGGGGACTCGGCTTCAGTATGGGGAGGTTAGATACTGATGACCAGCTCTACTTCTAACAGCTAGTGGGAGGGGAGGGAAGTAGGGACCCACCAGAGACGTTTGGGACCATACATGATTATGAGCATCTTTCAGTCTTCTCTCACAGAACTTGATTCTAATAGAACTTGCTTTAAAGCAAGCATTGCCAATCAATTCTTGTTGCCTACCTCGCACACCAGGTTCCCACTATTCTCTAGACAGAAATTTTCAACTTAGCTGCAAAGAAGAATCACCCAAGGATATTTTTTAAATCCTAATGTCCAGGCTGTACTCCCAGCCTGGGAGTGGGACTAAATCTCCAGGTTTTTTTTTTAAGTCCCCTGGGTGGTTACGAAGTACGACCAAGGTTGAGAGGAATTGAACTACTAAATCAGTGACCATGATTTAAAGCAGTGGTGCTCCTTAACCTTGAGGATGCACTTGAATCACCTGTGATGATTTAAATGTCACGTCTGCGTTAGCTCCACCCAGGCAATATGTTTCCAAATAGATCTCAAATGCAACACTCGTATTAATTCAGGCCACTAGCATGTCTTTCCTCCACCTCTGCAACAGGGTCTCTATTTCCATGGCACCTAGAACAAGCCTTTGGAGCATAAGTCTGGTCATTTATTGCCCTTCTCTCAATCTTTCAATATTTCTTGTAACGAAGTCCAAATTCGTCTGCCCGCTGCACGACAGACAAGGAGACAGGCCAGGCACGGTGGCTCATGCCTGTAATCCCAGCACTTTGGGAGGCCAGGGCAGGCAGGTCACCTGAGGTCAGGAGTTCAAGACCAGCCTGGTCAACATGGTGAAACCCCATCTCTACTAAAAATACAAAAAAAAAAAAGTGGCCAGGCATGGTGGCGGGGCACCGGTAATCCCAGCTACTCGGGAGGCTGAGGCAGGAGAATCGCTGGAACCCAGGAGGCAGAGGTTGCAGTGAGCCAAGATCACGCTACTGCATTCTAGCCTGGGCAACAGAGTGAGACTCCATCTCAAAAAAGAAAAAAAATACAAGGAGACAAGGAGTTGGAGCAAGGAAGGCGACTTTATTTCTGAGAGCCAGCAAGCCGAGAAGATGGGGGACCAATATGCTGAAGAACCACCTTCAGTCCAAATTTCAGGCCCTTTTAATGTTAAGGGCAGAGGGAAGAGGAGGGGCTTGCAATCAAGAGATGAACAATGACTACAGACAATTGGGTTCCAGTGAGGGTCCAGGGAGGCTGGGAGCTTCTTTGTCCTTGTCAGGTCAAAATGCTCCTATAAATCTTTAACAAAACATAGTTGTTTACATACTTCCCCTTTGATCCCAGAGTTAGTTTAAAAAAACTGCATGATTGCTGTTTTTGCATTTTATCTCAGCACTCTAAAATTATCCTAGCCCACATGCAGAAATGAGTAAAGGACCCCTTAAACGACAGTGGAGTGAGTTATGTTCTGCTGTTTCTCCGCTGCATTCCGGACTTGCCAAGCACGTTTTCATCTTGGGGTCTTTATACTTGCTGTCCCTCTCTCTGTGTGGAAGATTTCCTTCCAGAGCCACACATGGCTGGCTCCCTTGCTTCATTCAGGACTTTGCCCCTCACTGAATGCCTTTCTTGATCATGCCTATCTCAAATTTCCCTTTGTTTTGTCCCCTTGCCCTGCTCTATTCTCTTTCACAACTTTTACCATTACCAGAAACCTTGTTACTTGCTAGTGTATCTATTTATTGCCCATTTTCCCCCTAGAGAACAGAAGCTCCATGAGGGCTAGGATTTTGTTTGCCTTGTAACAGAATACCTAGAATACTGCCTGGCACACAATTGGCACTCAGGACCTAGTGAATGAATGCATAAGTAAATGTCCCCTACTCCCATTTCACTTTCACACTCAAACATATCATAATTAGGAGGCTATCCCAGAAAGAGGCTTTTTAGGTCAACCAGGTTTCTCAAATAAAGCAATCTGTGGCTGGGTGTGGTGGCTCACACCTGTAATCCCAGCACTTTGGGAGGCTGAGGCAGGTGGATCATAAGGTTAGGAGTTTGAGACCAGCCTGGCCAATATGGTGAAACCTCATCTCTACTAAAAATACAAACATTAGCTGGGCATGGTGGCAGGCACCTGTAGTCCCAGCTACTCGGGAGGCTGAGGCAGGAGAATCGCTTGAACCAGGGAGGCAGAGGTTGCAGTGAGCCAAGATCATGCCACTGCACTCCAGTCTGGGCGACAGAGTGAGACTCCTTCTCAAAAAATAATATAATAATAATAATAATAAATACAGCTGAACGCGGTGGCTTACACCTGTAATCCCAGCACTCTCGGAGGCCAAGGCAGGTGGATCACGAGGTCAGGAGATCGAGACCATCCTGGCTAACACAGTGAAACCCTGTCTCTACTAAAAATACAAAAAAAAAAAAAATAGCCGGGCGTGGTGGTGGGTGCCTGTAGTCCCAGCTACTCGGGAGGCTGAGGCAGGAGAATGGTGTGAACCAGGGAGGCAGAACTTGCAGTGAGCCGAGATTGCGCCACTGCACTCCAGCCTGGGCGACAGAGCGAAACTCCATCTCAAAAAAAATAAATAAATAAAATTAATAATAATAATATTAAATAAAATAAAGCAACCTGTGAAAGCATTTTGCTCTCACTTATTTGACTTTCTTTCATTTAAAACTTGAATTTTCCTAGATGTCACCAGTTCTTGAATACATTCGGTCATAAAAAACATCAATAAAATTGTCTTTTTATTGGAAAAGAGTGATTGTTCCAAATTAGGGCTGCAAGATTTAGCAAATAAAAATATAAGATAGCCAATGAAATTTGAATCTCAGATAAACAATAATTCTTTAGTATCAGTATGTCCAATGCAATATTTGGGACATATGCTAAATAAGTGTTTCTTATCTGAAATTCAAATTGAACTGGGCACCCTGTATTTTATCTGACAACCTTAATACAAAATGAAATGAAATTTGTTTTGGTACGGGATAAAGTATGAAGTCAGATAACCTAGGTTTGAATCTTAGCCACTTAATAGTTATATAAACTCTGGGAAATTATTTCACTTGGTCAAGCTGTAGTTTCCCTATCTCTAAACCTATTAGATAGTAATACCTGCTTTGTATGGTTATTGCGAAGATTTTTTTTTTTTTTTTTTGAGACAGAGTCTCACTCTGTCACCCAGGCTGGAGTGTAGTGGCGCGATCTCAGCTCACTGAAACCTCCACCTCCCAGGTTCACGCCATTCTCCTGCCTCAGCCTCCCTAGTAGCTGGGAGTACAGGCGCCCGCCACCACCCAGGCTGGAGTGCAGTGGTGCGATCTCGGCTCACTGCAAGCTCCGCCTCCCGGGTTCAAGCCATTCTCCCGCCTCAGCCTCCCGAGTAGCTGGGACTACAGGCGCCGCCACCATGCCTGGCTAATTTTTTGTATTTTTTAATAGAGACGGGGTTTCACCGTGTTAGCCAGGATGGTCTCGATCTCCTGACCTCGTGATCCGCCTGCCTCAGCCTCCCAAAGTGCTGGGATTACACGTGTGAGCCACCGCGCCTGGCCTTTTTTTTTTTTTTTTTTTTTTTTTTTGTGAGAGAGTGCAATCACAGCTCACTGCAGCATCAACCTCTTGAGCTCAAGCAATCCTCCCACCTCAGCTCCCGAGTAATTAGGACTATAGGTGCACACAACCATGCATGGCTAATCTGCTTTTCTTTTTTGTAGAGACAGTGTTTTGTCACGTTGCCCAGGCTGGTCTCTAACTCCTGGGCTCAAGCAATCCTCCCACCTCGGCCTTCCAAAGTGCTGGGATTACAGGCATGAGCCACTGCATTTGGCCAGAATTCCTTTATTTCCAAATAAAAATTTGAGAATTCTTTCAGTTTGAGAAATCATCCTTGGGTCTATGTGAAACAAGATGATGCCTTTCTAAAACTTTCTGAAGTAAAAGGGGCAAGGCGGGCATACAGGGCCAGGTGGAGGATGGGGAGGTGGCTGATGTGAAAATTCCAGATACCTGGAGGAAATCATTTCTGTCAAACCCAGACAAAATAGAGCCAGTAAGGAGAGGAGGCTCAAGCTTACATTCTGCGATAAACGATTTCCAAGGACTTTCTATAAGCCCTTCACACATCTCCTGCTTTAATAAGGTTTATCACTAGACATTTTTTTTTTTTTTTTAGATGCAGTTTCCCTCTTGTTAGCCAGGCTGGAGTACAATGGCGCGATCTCGGCTCACCGCAACCTCCACCTCCCAGTTTCAGTATATTCTCCTGCTTCAGCCTTCCCAAGTCGCTGGAATTACAGGCATATGCCACCAAGCCCGACTAATTTTGTATTTTTAGTAGAGATGGGGTTTCTCCATGTTGGTCAGACTGGTCTCGAACTCCCGACCTCGGCCTCCCAAAGTGCTGGGATTACAGGCATGAACCACCGCACCCAGCCTATCACTAGACATTCTTTAGGACTGCAGTGATTCAAATAAAATGTTCTTGGAAGAACACTTGCCCAGTAGCGACATCTCCACCAATGAACTGACAACAATTCTGGCTTTGAACCTCTGGAACCAATGAACTTGTTTCTAAGCAGTTTATGTCAATTTATTTTTGCTAATAAAAGTTCCCTTCCCCCTTCCTCACTGAATGCACTAGTGGCTTGCCATTCCATGCATTCCAGTCTATAATCCTTACTTCTATTCTTGAGTAAACCCAACATATTTAGAGACAATTTTCTGGTGTCTTTTTTTTTTTTAGGTTGATACTGACTACGTAGTCAGTGTCAGTAGAGGTTAGTTCATACCTTTACAATTATATGGCTTGATAAGCTGGTCTTGACTGTCACATAAACCTACCTACCTTTGTCTTATTATTACCTCTAGTAAACATGTGTCACTCTTTGGCCACCCAAGGGCCATTCTCCCTTCCTAACACTACTTACAGATTCCTTCAGGAAATCTATCCTTTCTCATTCTAGCCCTGTGGCTTGGGAGGGATTCACCCACCTCTCCTGCTCTACGGGTGGACTGTGGTTGGCTTAAACCAATCAGCTTTTCCCATGTACTTACTTACATCCTCCACTGATTCCCAGATAAATCAGTAACCCATTCAGATCCATGAAGACACAGGAGCCATTTGAAGCCTCTGGGAAAGACAAGCTTCCTCCTCTTCCAGAGATGCTACCAGGAAAGAGGCTTGCTCTTCCTCCAGAAGGTATAGGGAGATCTGAGGCCTGGAGTTACTGCAGCCATTTTCTGCCACACATGGAGAGCCAGGAGCTGCCTAGAAGAGGATGGGGATGGCAGGTAGGGACAATGTGGTATCTAAGGATGAAGCTGAGGCAGAGAGGAACTAGTGTCCGGGAGTTCTTGTTTGGATTGCTAGATCAAACCTTACCTGAGGCCAATATCTGTCTGTAGAGATTTCTATTGTGTAAGCCAAGAAACTTCCTTTGTTGTTTAAGCCAGGTCAAATTGGCTTCTCTGCTGCTTATGATAAAATAGCCTTAAATGGGCCGGGTGCGGTGGCTCACGCCTGTAATCTCAGCACATTGGGAGGCTGAGGTGGGCGGATCACGAGGTCAGGAGATCGAGACCTTCCTGGCTAACATGGTGAAACCCCGTCTCCACAAAAAATACAAAAAAAAAAAATTAGCCAAATGTGGTGGCGGACGCCTGTAGTCCCAACTACTTGGGAGTCTGAGGCAGGAGAATGGCGTGAACCTGGGAGGCGGAGCTTGCAGTGAGCCGAGATCGCGCCACTGCACTCCAGCCTGGGTGACAGAGCAAGACTCTGCCTCACCAAAAAAAAAAAAAAAAAAAAAATCCCTAAATGATATAAGTCCCTTGTTAAGAACATTCTATGGCTCCCCACTGTCTATAAAAAAAAGTTAATGGACATAAATATCTCCTTGATGGTGGTGATTGCTTCATAGGGGTATACTTATGCCCAAACTTATCGAGATGTATACATTAAGTAGACACAGCTTTTTATATGTCAATCATACCTCAATAAAGTGATTTTGTTTTTTTTTTAAAGACAAGTTTAAATTCCTTAGCTTACCACCTAAGACAGTGTACAAGTGAAACATGGGTAACCTTCTTCTTCTCATCAAACTAGTCTTTAGCTGTTCCCTCTGGCTTGTCCCTTTTCTCTGCTTATCCCTCCTTAAATTTTACATTTTCCACTATCTGAATTTCACATCATTCCTGATCTTTCCAAACAATACTTATCTCTCTTGACCTCTGTTTCCCTTCACATTCTTCTTCCAATTATAATTTAAACTCCTGTCTTTTCTTTGCCCTTTTCGAAGACTGTCATGTATTCTGAATTACTTTAATGTATATTTAACCTGTCTTCTTGAGAACAGGTCTTACAGGCTTCTGATCAATGTCTAGCTCATAGCATCTAGAACTATGCCTTATACATAGTAGGTATTAGAAACACATGCTGAGTAGTTGGCAATAGTAGTGTTTTTTGATCAATGTCAACACAAATGCTTATGTCTGGTTAAGGATCAGGACTCAGAGACTACCTAGACACATGCAAACAACAAACCAGAGGGGATCGACTAAATAGTTTTCACTTGAGAAGGCAATGGGCTACTCCACTATAAGAAAACCATCTGTATGAAAGAATCTTGGTGAGTGGACTGTAATCTAACTCTTCAAATCCCAGGGCTCATGGAAAAAAATGAAGTAAACTTATTTGACTAATATATCTCTATTGTGAAAGCACACTGGAGCTTGCTTAATCATAAGCAGGTATCAAGTGGCCATATAATATAGCCCTGTGATTCAAGAGCTGCCTGTGGCCAAACAGGCCTGCCAAGAAGCTGTGCAATTTGGTGGTCCCAATTCCCAGTTCTATGTAAAGCCTCTGGGTGACTGGCCAATCAAGAGGCCCATAGACCAAGTAGCCTGCAGAGCAGCTATGCAGAGCCTTCATGCCATCATTTCCCGCATCACTTCCCGCCTACCTTCCCTCTGGCTTCACAGAGTCTGTTTACAAAGAGAAGTGAATGCCCATATTCTGCTTGGCCTGCAGTGTAGGTGTTATTGTAACTCTTTAAAGCTTTATGACATTCAGTGGTGTACTTCCCTCGCATTCCTGAGTGACCCATGTCACGGTGGAAACAGGCTGTCCTTAGCATTTCACAGGCTGCACACTTAATGACATCATTCTGTGAGATGAAGGGAGAGCTCTAAGAAAAACCTAATTTGGCCTGCTGCAGCAACAGTTGCCTTAATTAGTCTCGATTTTTAATGCAATAAAAGGAATCAAGGTAAAGGTGGCTGGCCAGGAAAATTAATAAGCTTTCAGGTACACTTGGTTACTATGATTTTTCTGTTAGTAGAAAACGTTAAGCTGCTGTTTTGCTCTCTGTCTTGAGAACACAGGTTACAAGAAAAAAGAAAGGTACACACAGACATTGTTAAAAAGGCATTAGTCCGGGCAGGGTGGCTCATGCCTGTAATCCCAGCACTTTGGGAGCCCAAGGTGGGCGGATCACGAGGTCAGTAGTTCGACACCAGCCTGGCCAACATGGTGAAACCCTGTCTCTACTAAAAATACAAAAATTAGCTGGTCATGATGGCGGGTGCCTGTAATCCCAGCTACTCAGGAGGCTGAGGCAGGAGAATCATTTCAACCCCGGAGGGGGAGGTTGCAGTGAGCCAAGATCATGCCATTGCACTCCAGCCTGGGCAACAGGGTGAGACTCCATCTCAAAAAAAAAACAAAAAAAAAAAGCATTAAGATGAACTATCTGGTACTATCTGCCATCTTGGCATCTTATTCATTCCAGAGGGCATAAGCTCTTTTTCTCTGAATTGGTTCTTTCCCCTCCTTGCTAAGAGCCTTATAATATTATGAAACACAAAAATGTAATATGGAGCTGGACTGGGTTCACTCCTCACTATAGAGCTGCATTAACTACATTGGCATCCCTCTTAAGCAATCTTTAAGCAAAGAGGCATTTGGGACATCAGTAGAAGAAGGGACATTTTCCCTGTGCGTGGGCTCTATTCTTCTGAGTAAATAGATGCTTTAAAACCAGCCAAGTCTCCATTTGGTGCATCTGAGTAGGAGTTTGATATTTGCACTGAGAAATATTGAATTCCTAGAACACCAAGAGGTGATTCAAGAATTTTCTTTCAAGCCAGTTAGACTTTAAATAAAAATTATTTACATATTCATGAGCAGATATATTTCTCTAGTGTGTGCTAAGCATGAAAAAAAGAGCATCAACCATCAAGTTTACCTTTGCTATGGGCATGTCTTGTGATACACCAGAAACTTAGGTGATACAGTTTTGAAAAAAAAAAAGGATTCCATGTAAGATCCTCAGGAGGAATAACTACCCCGATCTTTCACACCTGTGGAGTTAGACCAACCATAGCCCTGATAAGGTCTCTGACGTGTTGTGATCTATGAATTGAAGTCCATGCTGGAAGTTATCAAATCACTTGCTAGTTAGGGGGCCTGGCCAGCCACCAGCATTCACATTCAAAGCAACTTTATCGCCCTCTTCCTCAGATAAGACAACTCTTACAACTTGTTAAAGACATTCCTCTAGAAAAATGGCAACGTCTCTCCTCCCCCAGCTCTCACCTCCAAAAAGGCAACGAATACTACCCATGGAAATGAAAGCACAGATGAAAAGATCTAACAGAGGAGTGGTGTTTATGCTCAGGCTCTCTCGAACATCAAGGTTGCTATGGTTGTGTGACCTTCAGCAAGCCACTCCACCAATCTAAGCCTTGCTCTGTCCTTTCTTCCCTCATTCCATCATTTCTTTGTCCCCTCACATACTTAGTATTTATAGACCACCCACTATGTGTCAGGCCCTGGCCTAGGAGCTCTGGATATAACAGTGAACTAAGCCAAGTCCCTGCCCTTGTGCAGCTTATGTTCTGGTGAGCAGAGGGAGAAGGAAGACAGACAACAGGCCATAGCATCTGGTCATTTGTAGTCAATTCACTGGGACAAATCAAGCAACTTTATTCTTATTTAATGGACAAGGCTTTATATTCCATTATAGTAAAATAAGGACTCTATGCCTATTGGTTAACCTTTATAAAATATTGCAAAGGGGCTGGGCACAGTGGCTCACGTCTGTAATCCCAGCACGTTGGGAAGCCGAGGCAAGCAGATCACTTGAGGTCACGAGTTCAAGACCAGTCTGGCCAACATGGCGAAACCCCATCTCTACCAAAAATACAAAAATTATGTGATGGGATGTGATGGTGAATGCCTATAATCCCAGCTACTTGGGAGGCTGAGGCAGGAGAATCACTTGAACCTGGAGGCGGAGGTTGCAGTGAGCTGAGATCTCACCACTGCACTCTTGCCTGGGCAACAGAGAGAGACTCCGTTTAAAAAACAAAAATAGGCCAGGCGCGGTGGCTCACACCTGTAATCCTAGCACTTTGCAAGGCCGAGGGGGTGGATCACGAGGTCAGGAGATGGAGACCATTCTGGCTAACATGATGAAACCCCATCTCTACTAAAAATACAAAAATTAGCCGGGTGTGGTGGCGGGCACCTGTAGTCCCAGCTACTTGGGAGGCTGAGGCAGGAGAATGGTGTGAACCTAGGAGGCAGAGGTTGCAGTGAGCAGAGATTGCACCACTGCACTCTAGCCTAGGTGACAGAGCAATACTCTGTCTCAAAAAAAAAATTAAAATTAAATAAAAATAAAAATAAATGACTGGGCGCAGTGGCTCACACCTATAATTCCAGCACTTTGGGAGGCCAAAGCGGGCAGATCATGAGATCAAGAGATCGAGACCATCCTGGCCAACATGGTGAAACCCTGTCTCTACTAAAAATACAAAAATTAACTGGGAATGGTGGCAGGCACCTGTAGCCCCAGCTACTCAGGAGGCTGAGGCAGAAGAATCGCTTGAACCCGGGAGGCGGGGGTTGCAGTGAGCTGAAATCGTGCCACTGCACTCCAGCCTGGTGGCAGACTGAGACTCCATCTAAAAAATAAAATAAAATAAAGTAAAATAAATTTTAAAAAAATAAAATATTACAAAGGGCATATTCTGGTACATTAGAGTATCATTCAGTTTAACCTGGAGACAAAGGAGAGAACAAGGCAGGCCCTCCTCCACTTACTGAATGTTACCCCTGCAGAAGTCATTTAGCCTTTTCACCCCTCAAGGTGGCAAGAGTACTTTCCTTACCACCTCCTAGGTTAATCTAAGCACCAAACTGAGCCATGGACAGGGAGCTATGGGATAATGGCTGATCAACCCTAAGCATTATGAAATACAGTGGCTGCATATGGTGATGCAGATTAAGGTGAGGTGATGTAGTGACGATAACTAATCAAGGGAAAGCACATACGGTCATTTCTCCCCTGAGTTTCTTCCCAATTTCTGAGGGGATCCAGAGTCAACTTAATACGGCACCATTGACAAAGAAATTGTGTTAGGCACTTGCCTAAGCATACACCTGAACCTGTAGATTCTTGACTGGCACTATTCCCTCTGCACTCATTCATTTCCTTGTTGTGCACCTCTGGCCATGGGCATTGCCAGACCAAATCCATCAATTAGAAGAAACTTCACCTCTGCAGGAATTCTCAGTCAATTTCGGCTCTGAATGAACAGTGCCTTTGCTTTGTGTTCTTTGGCACCCACATTAATATTTAAAGACATATAAATGGTTGTCGTTAGTTGAAAATGAACAGATGATTGGTGAAATGAAACTGTGGATAGAATATATCTTTCTTGATTCTCAATCTGTTTTGGATTGAAGACAAGAAAAGACCATATTAGCAAAGAAAAATTGGCCTAAATGTGAGAACAGTTGGCTTTAAATACACACACACACACACACACACACACACACACACACTCACACATATATAATTAAGTATTCACAGATTGGCATGAGGCCAGGAAAGCACTCAGTGGAGTTTTCCATTCCACTCCCCACATCTTGTTTGCAGAGTGTGTGCTTTTTCTCTTAAAGCACCATGCTTCCAAGTTGAGAAGCTTATCTGCACTTTAGAGTAGACTTTCTTTCTACTTTCTAGGTAAATAAAACAGTTAAGTAAGAGGCAAGCAGATTTTTGACTTGAAGAACAGATAATCAGACTAATAAATACTAAGCTAACAGAAGCCTTTCCCCTCGAAATCCTTGTCCTTGTTAGGAATGACGGGCTGGTCCTAACACAATACAGCTAAAAGCCAATTGACATTATAATTCCCCCAGCGTGGGAGTGAGGCTGGTAAAGAGACCAGGACCTGAAATCATGCAAGGGGTGGAATGATTATTTGTAGCTTCTGCTGTAATTTTGAGATTTTAAAAATTCCCTTCCACCTAAAAAAGATACATGTCATGATGTAGCAATAAAAAGGGATGCACTGCTGGTCCAAGCAACAACACGGATGAACCTCAAGACCATGTTCACAAAGGAGGCCAGATATGAAAGAGGAGATGCTGGATGATTCCCCTTACATAAAGTTCAAGGACAGGCAAAACTTGTCTCTGGAGAGTTCGGAAGCGTGGTTGCCTCTGGGAGGGAAGTATTGACTGGAGAGGGGCCTGAAGGAACTTTCTGGGATGATGCAACATCGCATATCCTGATCTGGGTATGTGTTGAGGTATGATATATGTCATTGAGCTATACCTTATGATTTGTGCACTTCATGTAAGTTGTATCTCTTTTATTTATTTACTTACTTATTTATTTATTTATTTATTTATCTGAGATGGAGTTTCACTCTGTCACCCACGCTGGAGTGCAGTGGCTCGATCTAGACTCACTGCAACCTCCACCTCCCGTGTTCAAGCAATTCTCGTACCTCAGCCTCCTGAGTAGCTGGGACTACAGGTGCGCACCACCATGCTCCACTAATTTTTGTATTTTTAGTAGAGATGGAGTTTCACCATCTTGGCCAGGCTGGTCTCAAACTCCTGACCTCAAGTGATCCACCCTCCTTGGCCTCCCAAATTGCTAGGATTATGAGCGTGAGCCACCACGCCTGGCCTCATTATTTTTTTTTAAAAAGACATCACATTTAGGAGCCACTGGAGGACACATTACAATGATTGATATGTTTATAACATTTGCCAGTCGACAAAAGACTCAAATGTAATTATCTCTTGATTCTTACAAGCATCCTTGAGATTAAATGAGGAAAGTGAGGCTCACTGGAATTCAAGATACTGAGGCTGTCCCTCCCCTCTGCATTCCAGCAGCCCAGGAACACCAGCATGGCTCCCTAGCAGCCCTTCTCAAGGGGGAGCTGCTGGCATTTGGTCAGGACAGGTCTTCATTGCACGGGTCTATTCCATGAACTGCAGAGCATGTGCCATTGCTGGCAAATGCTTTTCCCCGAGGACCAACGGGTCTGCCAGAAACACCTTCACACATTTCAGATGCCCTCAGGAGGGTATCAGACCCTGGCTGAGAACTTTGTGTTTACTGCATTCCTGGATACAGGAGCTCAAACCCCAGTTAACGTTTAACTCACAGAGAAGCTGGAGCCCTGGTGAGAGGCATCTTTGTTTGGGCACTGATGCAGAATGGAATGTTGGCCCAGGTCCTCTGGATGAGCCACCTGTCCTGCTTTGGCTTGAGGCCCACACACAATTCCCTTCACTTTATCCATTGGTTCAGCATCCAGCGTCCATAGGTGTGGTTCTGGGGGTGGGGCTGAGCTCACTATGTGTTCCCTGGAGGTCCAGGGCCATGTTTCTTTCCTCTGCTCTTCCTCCAGGACCAAGGATCCGAACTCCCTTTGCCCTCAGAACAGAAGGTTAGCCACCAACTCTACCTCCGCCCTATGCCCTGGGGAGTGGAGCCTCCATTGTCGGTGGAATCTCCCCCAGAGCCTTCTGCTCTAGGTTGGTAACACAATAATGAACCGAGTAAGGACTTGAGCCCAGCTCTCTTCACCTCAGTTTTGCTCTCAATCTACTACATCACAGGGTGGGACATCACAGCCCATCGTCCAAATCTGGTCCACTGCCTGCTGGCTCTAGGATGTTTTTTAAATATTCAAATGGTTACATTTGTGTCTATAGAAAATACCTCAATTTTACTTCTTGGCCCACAAAGCCTAAAATATTTACTATCTGGTTCTTTACAGGGAAATTTTCCAGATGTCTGCACTGCCATTACGCTTGCTTTATCCCGGTTTATAACTGGCAGAACTCTGACAGGGCTTACGAACAAAAGTTTCCCTGTTTGGAGCAACTGGGACTTCTTTTATACTGCAAGAACAAGACAAGGGTCAAGGAAGACATTAACTTTATTAAGATATCAGCCAAGCCTATTAGGGAGCAAAGAGAGATAAATGAGGGCATGGAGACAATGAGTCACATATAAGGTCCCATCATTTAAGTTAAATAGTTGTATTACACTTTAGGAGGCTGAGGCAGGCGGATCATGAGGTCAGGAGATCGAGACCATCCTGGCTAACATGGTGAAACCCCATCTCTACTAAAAATACAAAAAATGAGCCAGGCGTGGTGGCGGGCGCCTGTAGTCCTAGCTACTTGGGAGGCTGAAGCAGGAGAATGGCGTGAACCCAGGAGGCGGAGCTTGTAGGGAGCCGAGATCGCGCCACTGCACTCCAGCCTGGGCGACAGAGCAAGACTCCATCAAAAAAAAAAAAAAAAGTAGTTGTATTAGATTATCTCCCCACCTGACACTCCTCAGCCCCGTGACAGCTTGGTGACCAGCTCCTACATTGAGCTAGTTGACATTAAGAAAATCCCTCAAAAATGGCAGGAGAACATTAATGTAAAAATTTAGCAATTTGCTGAACTGTTTATATTTTTGCCTTGGAGTTCTTAGGGCCACACATAATTCATTCATCCATCATCAGACATGAGGATACCGAAGTAGGGGAAAGAAGAATTCCTTCTCTAGAAGAACTTACTGACAAGGAAATTGATGTGTTCCATGCTGCAGAGGCAGGAGCAGGGTGGAGGTGCGTGACCTCACTGGAATGAAGAAGGCGAAGCCCAGTCGAGGTCTCCAAGGATGAGCCCAGCTGCAGGTAAACAAGGATAGGGTGGAAGGACATTCTAGGCAGAGGAGAGCATGAACATCTATTGTGTATTTTTTGTTACTTTGCATATAATAAGTAAATTAAATAAAGGCATGGGAGCAAGATAGAACCTGGAGTGTTAGAAAAACAAAAGAGAATCTGGCATGTCAGGCACCAAAGTCAAATGTGAGGGCATGAGATGACCCTAGAAACAGGGCAGGAGCCAGAGCCTGAAGAATCTTGCAGGCAAGTGTCTTAGGTTGGGTTCCCCTAGCAGCAGACCCTGGCACAGGTGATGTACATGAAGGACGGCTGCAGTTCTTTGCTCTTTTTCCCATTTCAGGGGGCTGTCTTATTCATGACCCTCTGAATCTGGGCTGGACTCAGTGACCTGCTCAGCCAACAGAATTTGTAGAAGTAACATTCTGGGACTTCTGAGACTAACTTACAAGAAACCTTGCTGCTTCTACCTGGGTCTCTTGGAACACCCTCACTCTGGTAGCTTTGAGCCACCATGGAAGAACTCTGATGACTCTAAATTGGCCAAGTTAGAGAGATTACATGCAGGCTCTCTGGGACGTGGTCCCCGTCAGGTCCAGCCTTCTAGTTGTCTCTGCGACTCTGCCAAAGTGCCAGACAATGAACGGAGCTGTTGTGGATTCCCTCGACTTGCCCAGCTGTCAGTTGGACATCTCAGTCAACACCACATGGAACAGAAGAGTTGCGCAGCTGAGCCCTGTCCAAGTTTCTGACCCACAGAATGTGAGATAAAGAAAACGGTGGTGGCCAGGCGTGGTGGCTCATGCCTGTAATTCCAGCTCTCAGGGAGGCAGAGGCAGGAGGATAGCTTGAGCCCAGGAGTTCGAGATCTGCCTGGGCAATATAGCGAGACCTCGTTCTCCACAAAAAGGAAAAAAAAAAGACCAAAAAAAAAAAAAAAAAGAAAACGGTGGTTCTGGCACTAATTTTTGAGAATATTGTTATGCATAGCAATAGATAACTGTTAGTTTTCTAGGACCCCTGTAACACAGTACCATAAACTAGGAGGCTTAAAACAACAGAAATGTATTCCTTCCCAGTTCTGGAGGACAGAAGCCTGAAACAAAGGTGTTGGCAGGGCCACACCCCCTCTGAAGGCTCAGGGGGAACCTGTGCCATGCCCTTCTCTTAGCTTCCCATGTTACTGCGAATCTTTGGCATCCCTTGGTTGGAGACATGGCACTCCAGTCTCTATTCTTCTGCCACCTGACCTCCCCTCTCCCTGTTCACATGGCGTTCTCTTCCTTATGTGTGCTCGCTCTACTCTTATAAGAATACTAATCATAGTGGATCAGGGCCCACCCCTCATCTTAGTTATATCCATGAAATATATCTGATTAGATCCATGAAAACCCTATTTCCAAATCAGGTCATGTTTACAGGTACCAGGGGTTAGAACTTCAACTTTTTAGAGGACATAATTCAACCCACAACAATAGTCAAAACACAAAGATTTGAGTACAAGTTGTTTATTTGAGGGATGATTCTAGGAAGCTCCAGTGGGGGCTGGTGGGAAGGCGGGAGGGGGAAGGTAAGAAGGTCAGAATAATGGGCATCGTGGCCCTGTGGGCACTGGGAGTCAATGCCACCAGGAAAAATCTGGCAGACAGTGTAGAAAACACCTCAAAGTGATTCTCTCTGCACTGCCCCCTCCCTCAGGGGTGGGCAAGGTGGACAATTGGTCCTTCCATTCCCATCTCTCACTGGCTGAGGGCTGCTGCCTGGGAGCATTAACTTCCTCGCACTTAAGGCTCACTGCCCAAAACCAAGAGCAATCCCTCAAGTGAAGAGCAGCAGGTGCTTGCAGCAGGGCCCTGCGGGCATCATCTGGAACAGCAGGTGCTGAGGGGCATGGGTGGGGGGCTGACAATCTTTGCTATTGCCATGCTAGCGAGCTTGAATTGTTTTCTGAAGGTTATGGGGGCTGGAAGGAATTGAAATACTTAATGCAGCAGAGTGGTGAGATCAGGTTTGAATTCTAAGTCACCCAGGTGGGAGTCGAAGTGGGGCAGACTCTCCAGTTAGGAAGCTACACCTGTAGACCAGGGGAGAAATTGCATGCACAACCCAGTGCCATGGCCGGTCAAATGGAGGGGAAGGGCTAGGCTCAAGGTACATTTAGGAGGCAGAATCAACAGGAAATACACAAGGAAGGTGGGGACAAAGTTGAGGAAATTCTGGGACCCTGAAGAAATGCCTGACATTGAGCTGAGCAAAAGGTGAAATCTTATCCTGTCCATTACAGAAAGGAAAAGCTACTGATGTGACAGCAACCTGCCTCAGGACCCTGGCACAGGCTGCTTCCTCAGCCTGTGACATTTTCCATCCTTGCCCCTCTTCCCCAGTCACATGACTCACTCCCAGACACATTGCAGGTCTTTGCTAAAATGGCCCCTCCTCAATGGGGTCTTCTTCCCTGACTACCTAATTTAAAATTGCAAGCCACCTGTCCCCCACCGTCTTGCCATTTCTTTCTGTCACCCTATCCTGCTTTATCTTTCCCCACCTGTCACAGTCTGATATACATTTACTTTAATTATATATTGGTTTATTGTCTGTTGTGTTCCTTGTCACCATCCAAATATGAGCTCCATAGTGGCAGGGATTTTTGGCTGTGGTCACAACCCAGCATCTAGAATAGGGCCTGGCACATTGAAAGAAACACACACATACTTGGTTTGTTCTTGTTTTTGGAGATAGATCTCATTCTGTCACCTGGACTGGAGTGCAGTGGCACAACCACAGCTCACTGCAACTTCAAACTCCTGGGTTCAGGCAATCTTCCTGCCTCGGCCTCCCGAGTAGCTAGAACAACAGGCACACGCTACCATGCCTGGCTACTTTTTTTTTTATTTTTGTAGAGATGGGGTCTGGCTATGTTGCCAGGCTGGTCTCAAACTCCTGGCCTCAAGCGATCTCCCACTTTGGCCTCCCAAAGTACTGAGATTACAGGAATGAACAACTGTGACCGGCCAATACCTCTTTGTTGAATGAATGAATGAATGAACAATTCAAAAACCTATTGTTAAATACAAATGGGCTGGGCGCAGTGGCTCATGCCTGTAATCCCAACACTTTGAGAGGCCAAGGCGGTGGATTATTTGAGCTCAGGAGTGCAAGACCATCCTGGCCAACATGGCGAGACACCATTTCTACTAAACATACAAAAAATTAGTCGGGTGTAGTGGCGTGCACCTGTAGTCCCAGTTATTTGGGAGGCTGAGGCAGGAGAATTGCTTGAACCTTGGAGGCAAAGGTTGCAGTGGGCTGAGATTGTGCCACTCCATTCCAGCCTGGGCGACAGAGCGAGACTTCATCTAAAAAAACAAATAAACAAAACACACACACACAGAAATGGACTATAGCTGCTTCTGTCTTCTAAAGGGGAGAGGTAATGGTGGCATAATTTATATTCTAGGAGAAATAAAATGCCTCTACCATGCTCTTTCCTTCACAAACACTGGAGGAGAAAGAAGAAAAGGAGGTGTCTGGGCAGATGCCAACTTGTGTGAGCAGAATGCACGTGGCTCTTCTAAGCAAGCAAGGGAGAGGCTGGGTGTCAGGCAGGGAGTGCAGCAGGTGAAAAGGGAGAGTGTAAGCCTGTATGTATTTTGGGTTCTTGAGAAGAAAAGAATTTAAAGAGTGCAGCAAGGGGCCCGGTGGTAGAATGGCTAAAGAATTTTTCAAAGCAGGTGAGTCCCAGACTCAGTTTTAAATTATTTTGGAGTTTCTGCCATATAAACCCACTGAGTATCCTCAAAGACCTTAGTAAAGTCTGCTACAAGCATAGGCCTCATGTAACTTTTTTGGGAGGGAAGTTGAGGATAGGGTGCAAATCCCACATCTGGTTTGACACATGGAACGTGAACAGCAAGTAGAGAACCTGAGATGAAACAGAAATGGAATTCAGTGGAAGCAGAAGGGACAACCCTGATGATACAAGGCTGTGGTAATTATAGAAAATTGGGGAAATACTTTTTTTTTTTTTTTTTTTGAGACGGAGTCTCGCTCTGTCGCCCAGAGACTGGAGTGCAGTGGCAGGATCTCGGCTCACTGCAAGCTCCGCCTCCTGGGTTCATGCCATTCTCCTGCCTCAGCCTCCCGAGTAGCTGGGACTACAGGCACTCGCCACCATGCCCGACTATTTTTTTGTATTTTTAGTAGAGACGGGGTTTCACCGTGTTATCCAGGATGGTCTCGATCTCCTGACCTCGTGATCCGCCCGCCTGCGCCTCCCAAAGTGCTGGGATTACAGGCGTGAGCCACCGCGCCCGGCCAACAGTGTGTTGTTTTTATCTTCACCCTGTACAACAGAGAGATTAGGGAGTTCACCCAAGATCATGTAAATGTCAGAGCCAGAGCTGAACTTTGGCTCTGTAGACTAGAAGTCAAATACATTACTACCTTGCTCCTAGCTTTTGCAGATTCAATATTTGGGCTTTCAGCTATTTGAGAAGTCCAAGCCACGCAGTGATTTGATACTTTCGCCTCTGCACAGAAGAGAATCCCCTGTTCTGGAAGCCTGGTTTGCAGAAGGGAGTCCCTGGGCTAGTGAGTGGGCTGAGCCACTTGCTCAGCAGCCACAGTGCAACTCAGTTTTGTTGATCTCTGCTGTGGTACATGATAAAAAAAATTATAGCCTGGGAAGGTCTTTGGACCTATCTATGCAAAGGGCAAAGGGCAAAAACTTTTCTAATATGTTTCCAGGAGCGGGAGCTTACTGGTGCTTTTAGAGAATAAAATTATTCCAATTTCTCATGTCATATTTGGGTCCTCCATGGTTAAAAGCAGAATGGATCATAAGTCTGGGTTTTGAAAGTTTGAAAAGGTCTATTTCCACTATCTGTCTTCAGTTTAAGCCGTCGCCATGACATCTTACCCAAAGTGGCCTGACTCTTTTCCCAAGAGATTGCTCTTCTGGGAAAAAATGCAGTGATACTCAAGTCAGAACTGGAACACGCCACAAAGGACTCGTAACTGCTTCTTTGGGTTGAAGAGGGGAGGTATTTGTAGTTCTGGTTATAATTGGAGCAAAAATATTTTACATGGACCCTAATTAAAATGAGGGGGAAATGCACTTAAAGTTTTCTTTAACACGTGTGCTTATGAATCAAGTTTATGGGATGGGAAATCTATCCACTTGTTAATCCAAAAGATCATCCACAAATAGAACCCAGGGTGGCTGTTGTATGAAATTGAATTACGTGCCCAGATCTATTACAACCACTTTCTCCTCCTTTCTGTGAGTGGCTTCAGTATGCCCTGAAGTATGCACCAAAGGTAATTCTGTGGAAAATTAGCATCAAATCTTCTATTTCTGGTGAGACTAAGTGGGATTTGGGGTGGTTTATTTGCTATTTTTTTTGTACTTTTATTTATTACCTGATTTTTAAAATTATGACTGTGTATTAAATTCCAAAAACAAGTGTTTGCATTTAGAATTAAATAACCCATAACAAGGGAAAACTTGTCAATAATGATACTAGAACACAAAAGAAGAGAAAATGCCAAAGATTCAACTTGGTTGTATGTAAAAGCCTTTGCCATCTCAGTCAACTGAGAAATGACCAAACTTTAAGACTGTTCTTACCCTAGGATATCGTTAGGAGTGTCACGTATACACATCAGATTCATTTTGAGTCATGTTTTATTCAGTTCCTCACTTATACTTACTTTGTGCTGTATCTACTCTTGCCTGAAGAAGCAATATTGCATGCTTAGGATTTTTAAAAAAAATTTTCAGGAGATGCTGAGTGTTGCTACAAGGAGGAACTGCCTTTGGTTCTTCACTCTATGAAGAGCTTTATTATTTTATAATTGCATAATGAGTTCTTGGAACATTGTCTTTAAAAGGACAGATGTTGTATTGTAATAAAATAATGTTATTAAAATTTGATAACCTGGAAACAATCATTTGTGGTTCTTTCAGTACTTAGGGCTCCTTCAAGATGGTACTTGCAGTTTTCCTGAAGTGCATTATTTATGACTATAAAGGGAGAATAAAGGATTATGAGTTATGAAAAGAAATGTTATCGAGTACAGTACAAACAGTGCAATTGCCTATGGCTTTTCCTGAGCTTCACCTTCTTATCTAGCCCCATAGTTTAGTGGAAAGAGAATGGATTTTGGAGTCTATCAGATTTGGGTTCAAAATCTTGCTCTACGCCATTTTCCAGCACAATGACTACTGCCAGGATATTTCTCCATTCTGAGGCTCAGGCTCCTTATCTGTAACATGGGAATGATCCATCTTAGAACCAAATAATATTGTCGTTGCTCAACCATTTTTGACTTATAAATATGGCAATTTTATGTGGCTCAGTCTAGTATGCACTGCACAGCTTGGTAGCGAATTGAATGTCACTAAAGATGAAACACTTGGCTGGCTGGCTGCAACACTGTCAGTGTTCAAGGGATGGGAATTCTACTAATGCTGCCTTTTATCTAGTTTGACTTTGAGAGCATTTAAGGATCTACCTCTGTTTCTTTCCATTTATACCTTCTCTGAGCTTCTGGTCCCTCTGATCCTTTATTTTTATTTTATTATTATTTTTACTTTTTTTTCACTTTAATAGTGACGGGGGATCTCTCTCTATTGCTCAGGCTGGTCTTGAACTCCTGGCCTCAAGCAGTCCTCCCACCTTGGTCTCCCAAAGTGCTGGGATGATGCGCATGAGCGACCACACCCAGCCAGCCTTTATTTTTAAATCTTCCTGGTCTATTAAGGCTCTCAAGGCAGATCCTTAATCATCATCTTGAACCGCTCTTTCTAAACCTATGATCAGTTTTATCCCAAAACCAAAATGACAAGTTATAGGATCAGAAAAGACAATGTTAGGCCGGGCACGGTGGCTCACTCCTGTAATCCTAGCACTTTGGGAGGCCCAGATGGGTGGATCACTTGAGGTCAGGAGTTCGAGACCAGCCTGGCCAACATGGTGAAACTCCATCTCTACTAAAAACACAAAAATTAGCCAAGCGTGATGGTGCATGCCTGTAGTCACAGCCACTTGGGAGGCTGAGGCAGGAGAAGCATTTGAACCCAGGAGGTGGAGGTTGCAGTGAGCCAATATAGCGCCACTGCATTCCCAGCTGGGCAACAGAGCAAGACTCTGTCTCAAAAAAAAAAAAAAAAAAAGGCAAAAAAGAAAAAACAATGTTAGGCTGGCACAGGTCACTACAGTGTCAACCTCAGAATCTGTAGCATGTAGAAGATATAGGCGCGTTGGCAAAATCTGAATACAGTAAATCCTACCATATGCTCTGAGTGAGAACCAGGACCTGAAGACAATAAATCCTACCATATGCTCTGAGTGAGAACCAGGACTTGTGTAAAACGTAGGTTACGTTATTTTTAGGTCAACAGAGTGATAGGGATGAGCCTCTGGGCGAGCCAGGAGCTGGCCGCTGGTCCTCACACTTCCCCTTTGCATCATGTCCACATGGGGCTAGTGGGAGGGCATCACTGCGAGCTTCTCAGTCTCAGGGTGTCCGGGAGAGAAGCTAAGCAGGAGCACCAGCCTAGGAGGGGACACCCACCCTTCACTCTTCATGGGCTCCTCCACAGCCACATAGTCAGGAGGGGCCTTCTGCTTCTTCATTCAGAGAGTACCGCGACTTACAGAATCTTTTAGCCCCTTCCAGCGCTAACTTCTTTGGTTCTATAATTCTGTGTTCATTGATGTTGATTAACTCTTGATTGAATTACGTGGATTTTGATTGGCTTAAGATGTGAGTAAGGATTTGGGGCCTCCTCTCCAAATACCTGGGTTTTATAGTTTATAATGGTGACTGTGGGTTTTGCTGGAACGATGTGAAACTTTCCTCACAGTTGTTCTGGAAGGTGTTAAGCAGGCTCACATAAATGCGTTTCACAAACTCATTTAAGTGTTTGGGAAGAGAAGGGCACTGCCAGCGTTTATCTATTCATTCAACACAATTGCTGCATGCCTGTCCTTTGCCAGCCACTGTTCTTGGGACATATTAAATTTTTACATGTGGGGGGTAGAGAGAAAGATGGACAGTAAGCAATAAATAAACCTATAGGGAAAATGGACCCAGGTAAAGGGCTGTAAGCCCAGCAGTGACCAAACACAACCTCTTCTTGTGACATTCTCAAGGGAGGTCCTGTGGTCTGTAAGCTTTTCTTTTGGTCTTTGAGGGAACCGTCGGGTCACATTGATCCGACTGTCAATTCAGTAGCCACCAGGTTCTCATGGCAGTGAGTGGGGTATGTAGACACCATAAGGTGGAAAACACGCACTTGTGCAAGTTCCACACCCACTGGAAATGGTGTGATCTCTAAGATGGTTACCTTTGGGTACATCTAGACACTGAACACACTCACACATACACAAACAGCATTTCCTAATTTTGTGAAATGCTATCCTTAATTTTGCATTAAAAAGTCACCTAGGGGCCGGACGTGGTGGCTCATGCCTGTAATCCCAGCACTTTGGGAGGCCAAGGCCAGCGGATCACAAGGACAGGAGCTCAAGTCGCCCAGCCTGGCCAACATGGTGAAACCCCATCTCTACTAAAAATACAAAAATTATCCAGGCATGGTGGCGGGCGCCTGTAATCCCAGCTACTCCGGAGGCTGAGGCATGAGAATTGCTTGAACCCAGGAGGCGGAGGTTGCAGTGAGCTGAGAGAGCACCACTGCACTCCAGCCTGGGTGACACAGCAAGACTCCATCTTGGGGGGAGGAAAAAAAAAGTCACCTAGGAAGTTCTGAGACTTATAGTAAGGGCTTGAAAGCAACACATTCTCTTAGATTTGTTGTAGCCCAGTGGTTCTCAAAGTGTCCTCCATGGACCAGCAGCATCAGCATCACCTGGAAATTTGTTAGGGCTGCAAATTCTCTGGCCCCTCTTGAGACCTACTGAATCAGAAATGATGGGGTAGAGCCCAGCAATCCATGGTTTAATAAGCCATCTAGGTGATTCTGATCATGTTTAAGAATCCCTGCTAGATCATACAAAGGATATTTAATGATAGAAATACTATCTTACAGTTTTAATAGTCATTTTCTCATTTGAGCTGTGTTAAACAGTGCAGAATCAGCAACAGATATTATGCCCATGGAAAAAAAAGAAAGAAAAAAACAGAGGATTGAGTATCCCTGGATCCCACAGCTATTAAGCATTAAATAAATGATCCTGGTATTCTGTTTCATTGCTCCTTCTGAACTTTCTCCATTTAATTCTTTCTCAGCCCTTCCTTCTTTTATCCACAATACTGAGATGCCTGCCTTAAACCCTTCAGATAAGTAGGAGATAGAATATAGACATTAGAGTGGATACCTTGAAATATTGGTGACAAAAATCTCCAGTGTCTGAACTGTAACTTTCTTCAAATGAAGAGCTTAAAGTTGTAGTTCAATGTTTTTCTCTTTCACAAGACGAAAGGACCACGCAGAGCTGGAATACTCACTCCCAGCAGCCTCATCAGGGCAGCGGGTGGCCTGGCTACCAAGGCCGCAGGCCCGGGGCCTTCTGGTTACACCAGGATCCACGGGCTGGGGCTCAGTGGTACTGAGTGGATAGTGTGGTTTTGTGATCCACACTGCCATCTTCTGGGGAGTCTCATCAGAGACTGTGGTTCCGTTTTTAGTGTCAAAGCTTTGAGTCAAAGATTGGGGTAGGGGCACTTCTCATTTCAACTGGACCTATTCTAACCAGCTGATGATGGTGTTGATGATGGTGATGGTGATGGTGATGAGAAGGAGGAGGAGGATGGTGGCGGTGGTGATGAAAAACAGGATTCTGGAGTTTACAGTGGTTCTCACTCTTTTGAAAGCACATCCCATAAAGAGTACAGCTGATCAAACAACAAAAGAAGAAAATACATAAGAGAACTGCTACTATTTTTAAAAGGTAGAAGTGGACAGAATGGCCTTCAGAGGCAAGTGAAGAAAACTGGAAAATATACACTCTACAGCGACTGGTTCTGGAACGTGGGACCATGAGCACTTAGTGAATTCTCTGTTTTCCAAAGTTTCTACACTAAGCACCTTGCAGGGTGCATTGTTTCAGATGGCAGGCTGCATGAGCTTTAACAAAGTACGAAACAACTGAGACAATAACTCCAGATTTCCAGCCTGGAAAACTCTGAAACAATACATTTTGTTTACTTTTAAGCCAGCCAGATTGTAAGAGAAATGTAGTATTTCACAGTGGGGGAAGCTACAAGCCTGTAGTCTAGTTGTTGACAGGGCCTGTTCCGCCTTTCTCTTAGCTCCTGGTGTTACCAGCCTCCTCCTCACTCCAATCACTGCCCCCTCCATCATTAGGTGACATTCTTTTTGTGTGTCTGTCTCTTCTCCTCTTCTAAGGACACCAGGCATATCAGATTAGGGGCCCTCCCTCCTCCAGTATAACCTCATTTTACTTACATTTGTGATGATCCTATTTCCAAATAAGGTCACATTCTGAGGTTCTGGGAAGCACATGGATTTTAGGGGAACACTCTCCAGTACATGGGCTTCGGGTTCTGATCATGGTTTAGCTACTAATTAGCTGTTCAATCTTGAGGCAGCTATTGGCTCTAGGCATCCATTTTCTCATCTGTTAATGTAAAGGAGTTAGCATGTGCCTGGCACAGAGTATACTCAGCAGAAGACAGCTAGTATTTTTGCTTTCACTATCAGAAAAAAAGTTTTCATAAATTTAAAGAGAGAGAAAAAAAGATCATACAGTCCCTGGACCAAAACAGACCATTTAAATAAAGAGAGCTTTGGAAAGCATGATTTCTACCTAACTTTCTTTTTTCCCCGTCACATTACATTTAGCATGTAGTACAAAAATCTAATTTAGCTCAGGAGACACTGGGTTGTAGTTACCAATTGTTTCTGATGAGGTAGATAACATTTGGGTCCATTTCATTCTCCAGGGGAGGCTCAGAAGAGACACACAGCTCTGCCACCTTTTCTACCTGCCTCTCCCTACACTGTGCAAGCTTGTGTTTCCAGAACCAGGTTCATTCTGACTTGATCCCAGGTGTGTCCAAGGCCTTTTGTGTTAGCAGAAGGGAGTGTACAATCCAGCCTCCTCATCAACCTGATTGAACTTCTCTTCATTAACTTTGAGTATTGTGGATTTAGAGATATGTTATTTGAGAAGGCTGTGATATTAACATATTAGAAACCATGAATATTTGGGAATGAATTACTTTTCCAATAAATTAGAGCCCTAAGAGGACAGGACTTTTCGAAGAGAAAAAGGAAGTTCAAGAAAGTTCCAGAGCCTGACTTGCGGCAGGGCACATTTTCACCTGGGAGAGGTGGTAATGGGGTAACTGAGATCCTCTGAACAGTAACCAACTTGCCACCTGACAAAAAAAGTCCTGAAGGCAACAACTGCGGTATTTCCATGTGCACAGTGTTCCAGGCGCTCGCCTAAAAATGTCCATGTGACTTTGTGTATACATGTGTTTACAGAATGTGTAAATAAATAGGAGCAGAATATGAAACACATGCGTCTGCATTTATAAACTCCGCATCCACTTATGCTAATGAAATTATTTCCATCTGACAACAAACAGTCATTATCTGTGGAGGTGCTATGAATTAGAGGGATTACTGGGATTTTTGTCCTCGCACTTGGAGAAACGGAGTCACTAATGTTTTTACCATAAAAGGCAAGAAACTTGGCTTATGTCAGCACTGAAAACTTTATTGCTTAAGGAGCACATAAGTTGGAAATAAAGTTACCATCTGAAATTTCTTCAGGACAGAGGAACTTTTAAACTCAAATTCATTTCCATTGCCTGTTGCAATTGACATCTCATGTTTTCATGTATCCATTTTTAGCAAAGTTTTCCAAGCCTACCAATAAATTGGTGTGCATAAAAATCTCTGCAGAACTTGTTTAAAATGTGTATTTCTGAGCTCTACCTCCAAAGAGTCCAAGGAAGTGAGCCTCAGTGAATGCCAGGAACTGCCCCTCTCAGTCTTAAAACTTGAGAAAGTTACAATTGTCTTACCTGAGTTTCTTTCTCAGGAAACCAATCATCAGACCTCCCAGATAAGCATCAAGGAACGGAAACTCACCAGATTGCAGCATCTGGAAAATGCTGCAGACCCCTCACAGGTCATGACTGCCTAACCCACCACCAGCTTCTTGTGGACCAACTCCTCTTCCTTACCCCTCCCTCATTTTTGTTTTCCCATGCAGGGTCACATTCTTCGCTGCTACGTCCACTTTTAATTTGCGTCCCCCAGGGAGATGGATTTGAGGCTGAGCTCCCATCTCTTTAGCTGCAGCACCTGATTTAAGCCTTCTTCCCTGGCAATACTTACTGTCTCAGTGATTGGCTTTCTGTGCAGTGAGCAGCAGGACCTAGACTGAAGCCTTGGTGTTTCAGTCCCAGTGTCTTGCCACAACACACTGAAGAGAGAACTACAAGCATGTGGATTACATGTGATTTTCATTTTCTTAAATACTGAATCAAGGTTGGGAGCATGCTGTTGTCCTTAGGTGTTCTCAGAGGATAACCCGGGGTAGGGTTGACATTCAGATGCATCTTCTCTTACTTTTGTGGCACTGCCCCCTCGCGCTGCACATGGAGCACAGACCCCATCCACATCCATTGGTGGCTGCACTGCCAAGGCACATCACATCTCCTGGTTATTTAATCTCACACACACACACACACACACACTCACTCGCCCAAGGCATGGGGTCCTGTTGGTAGTCAGCAACAACAAAACCATTCATACTTCTCCCTCATACATGCACCACGGGCAGAAGCAATGGCCTGTTGTCCTCACGTTTCCTCCTGGTGTTTCTCAATGCGTCATTCCAGGTGAAGGTGTTTGAGAGCTGCATGCCTCCTCCGTCTCTTCCTGTGCTGCAGTGATCTTGGCAGATACTCGTTCTACATGGCACAGCTGCAGTATGGAAGGGGTCACCCAACTGCATCAGACTTTATAAAGGCACGGTTTCAGGGTTTATTTGTTGCTCCATGTCGCCTGGCCTAACTTGACTTACACATGTGCCAAAAGTTGATTCATACTTTGGACAGGGGCATTTTTATCCAGCTATAAAATATCTGCTCATACGCATATGATAGTAATGGCTTTTCCACATCTTAAGCCATTGAGTTTTATGTGCTATCCATAGAGATGTTTTAAAAAGAAATTTTGTGAATAAACTTTTCTACTTTTTCTCCTGGCATAACATTTGTAAATTTGGGATGATTTTATAAGATTCTTGGCAGCAAAGTAAACTACCTGTTTTTAGTATAAGAAGTGGGAGTTTGAATGATGTCTCTATGGTTTTGGCAACAAAATTGCATACTGCAAAGCATTATTTTGTGCTTATCCTAAAACCTAAATTGTTCTACTGGAGAGCTCAGAGTTTTCTTGTACAGAAATAAAGCAGAAGTTTGAAAAGGTTTTATTTTATTTATTTATTTTTTTTTAGACAGAGTATCACTCTGTCACCTAGGCTGGAGTGCAGTGGCGCACTCTCGGCTCACTGTAACCTCTGCTGCATGGGTTCAAGCTATTCTCCTGCCTCAGCCTCCCGAGTAGCTGGGATTACAGGCACCTGCCACCACGCCTGGTTAATTTTTGTATTTTTAGTAGAGACGGGGTTTCACCATCTTGGCCAGGCTGGTCTTGAACACCTGACCTCGTGATCTACCTGCCTCAGCCTCTCAAGGTGTTGGGATTACAGGCATGAGCCACCATGCCCGGCCGTTTGAAAAGTTGTATAGAAGACAGTACGCTGGGGACTGCATCGAACTTGATTTTCCTTTTTCTGTGTCATATGTGAAATAATTGTTTGTTTCACCCACTCAGACTCCTTTTGGCATTCACAAGAGATTCTTCCTCACTGCTCGTGTTTGGGATGCTTTTCTGAATTGTAGTTTATGTTATTATGCTCATTCTTCTCTTCATGCCTCAATGAGCCATTTTTACACACAACTCAATTGTGTAAATTGGGAAAATAAAATAACTGTCTTACCCAGGTCCTCAAGAAAGAGGAGCTGGAGTCCTGATTAGAGAGCTGGTATTTTATATGAGGGGTACAAACCTAGGGCCAAGAAGGTGAGGGAAAACAAGCTGTAAGGCAAGAAAAGATGCTGGTTAGTGTGGCATTGAGAGGTGAAGCCAGCTGGACTTACTGGGTCCAGTGGGGACTTGGAGAACTTTTCTGTCTAGCTAGAGGATTGTAAACGCACCAATCAACACTCTGTAAAAACGCACCAATCAGCGCTCTGTGTCTAGCTAGAGGATTGTAAATGCACCCGTCAGCACTCTATAAAATGGACCAATCAGCACTCTGTAAAATGAACCAATCAGCAGGACGTGGGCGGGGACAAATAAGGGAATAAAAGCTGGCCACCCCAGCCAGCAAACTGCCTGGGTCCCCTTTCATGGTGTAGAGGCTTTGTTCTTTTGCTCTCCACAATAAATCTTGCTGCTGCTCACTCTTTGGGTCTGTGCCACCTTTAAGACCTGTAACACTCACTGGGAAGGTTCGTGGCTTCATTCTTGAAGTCAGCTAGGCCAAGAGCCCACTGGAAGGAACCAACTCCGGACACAGCATGACATAGTACTGTATTGGCCACAGCATCACAATGAGTCACCAATGGATGTCCTCTACCTAAGGAGGACTTCTCCAGGAGGGTTACGACTCCACAGAAGAGGTGGAATTTATCTTCCCCACTCCTTCCTGTCTCCTGTATACCAATTGCCAATGTACACCCCCAGATAGCCAAAGGCCCCTCACTTCTGGGTTGCACCATCTAGCCCCTTGGTGGCTTCTAAGTCTCACTTCTGTCCTCTATTAAATGACCTTCCTTATGGGGTGTTTTGAGGATTAAACAAGATAATGAATGCAGGCAGGGCATGGTGGCTCACGCCTGTAATCCCAGCACTTTGGGAGGCTGAGACAGGTGGATCACCGGAAGTCAGGAGTTCAAGACCAGCCTGGCCAACATGGTAAGACCCTGTCTCTACTAAAAATACAAAAAATTAGCTGGGCATGGTGGTGAATGTCTGTAATCCCAGCTACTTGGGAGGCGGAGGCAGGAAAATCGCTTGAACCTGGGAGGTGGAGGTTGCAGTGAGCCAAGATAGCGCCACTGCACTCCAACCTGGGCGACAGAGTGAGACTCTATCTCAAAAACAACAACAATAAAAATCCAGATAATGAATGTAAAACCTTAGTCATTATAAGTACTCAAGAAAATGATTGACAAAAGAAAAGATGCTGGGGTCCTGAGTTCCTGCTCATCTATGAGATGAGGCGGAGCTTAGGATCAGCCACAGAGGAGCAGAGGAGACATCTGGGTATGGTGACAGACTTGGAACCATGTCCAATATTTATGTGCAGCTATTTCAACCAAATTTATGAGAGTGGAGGGAAAGGATAGGATCCAAAAATGCTTCTGCAGCAATAATAATAAGCAAAAATTAAGTAACTTTGGATGCAAAAGACTCACTGTGCAGTGGCCAAGTCCAATTGCTTATAATGGCCTCCTCAGGAAAATATCTATTTCAACAATGTTCCAGGAATGCAGAGAATGCTGGAAATCATTTATTCCAGCTTATTTCTGCCCTTTCTCATGAGGAATGGGGGTAAATATGTAGACCAAGAGCAAAAGTTCACAACTGCATCTGTTGTCTCACTGGGGCAGATTTGTTCCTTTAAAGCTGTGAGGTAAAAAAATCCAAGTTCCAAAAGCTGGCTTTCAACTTTCCCCCACAGGGAATTCACTTATTTTGAATGGCACGGTTACAGGTTTCACTACAGAGTGGCAACCCCACTTCATCTCAGCCAAGAAACTCACGTTAAAGAAAAAACATCCAAGGCCTGCGGAGAACAGATCTAACGCCAACACAGTCAAATTAAACCCTGAAGCCAAAACATCTAAAAATAGGTATTCTCATATTGCTTGTTACTTTTTTTCATGGCATACAATGGAATACCTTAATTCTCTGGTGACTCTGTTAAGGACACAAATTTCATTCAGCAAATATTCCCTGAGACTTCGGGTGGGGTCACAGGCCTTAACATGTAAGCATTGTGTGAGCTTCCTGAACTCGAGGACCTTGCAGTTTAGGTGAAAATATGTGACAATTAACAAATACAGTAGTGAAAAGACTGTTCTAAGGCAGCATGTGATTCTGGATGAATGAGTGAAAGAGATAGCCGAGGGCTCCAAATTTAAGAGAGAGAAAGGGCCCTGTGGGCTGGACAAATCCGTTAAGATTAGACTTAAGGCAAATTTTGAAAAGGATGAAAAGGATTTGGCTAGAGAGAAGGGGCTGAGAGAAGCAGACAGTCTAGGCCAAGGCAATATTATGGGTAAAGATGGAGGGAAAATATGCATGCCATAGTCCAGGGGCAGAGTGGGAAATAATAATAGCAAAAGTTTATTGAGCACCTACTGTCCATTTGGAGGTGCTAAGCCGTTCAACATTATTGTCTCATTTAATGCTCAAAATATCCCCACAAATGAGGCATTCTTTCATCCAGGCAGGAGTGCAATGGCACCATCTCAACTCACTGCAGCCTCCGCCTCCGGGGTTCAAGTGATTTTCCTGCCTCGGCCTCCTGAGTAGCTGGGATTACAGGTGCCTGCAAAGACGCCCGGCTAATTTTTGTATTTTTTGTAGATACAGGGTTTCGCTATGTTGGTCAAGCTGTTATCAAAGTCCCGACCTCAGGTGATCTACCCACCTCGGCCTCCCAGAGTGCTGGGAAGACAGGCATGAGCCACTGTGCCTGGCCAAAAGAGGCATTCTTTTTTTTTTTTTTTTTTTGAGACGGAGTCTCACTCTGTTGCCCAGGCTGGCGTGCAGTGGCACAGTCTTGGCTCACTGCAACCTCCGCGTCCCAGGTTCAAGCAATTCTCCTGCCTCAGCCTCCCGAATAGCTGGGACTACAGGCGCCCACCACCACACCTGGCTAATTTTTTGTATTTTTAGTAGAGACGGGGTTTCACCGTGTTAGCCAGGACGGTCTTGATCTCCTGACCTGGTGATCTGCCTGCCTCGGCCTTCCAAAGTGCTGGGATTACAGGTGTGAGCCACTGCGCCTGGCCGAAAAGAGTGACTAGCCCAAGGTCAGAGCAGGGCAGTGATTTGAACTCAAGATGCAGGTTCAGGTCAGACTGTGAGAAGCCTCACTGGCTGTTTGTGTGGGGTAACCCATGAGGCAGAAATAATACAAAGAAAAAGGAGACTCAGGAGCCCGGGCGCGGTGGCTCACGCCTGTAATCCCAACAATTTGGGAGGCTGAGGTGAGCAGATCAGTTGAGGTCAGGAGTTCGAGACCAGCCTGGCCAATATGGTGAAACCCCATCTCTATTAAAAATACAAAAATTAGCCAGGTGTGGTGGCATGCGCCTGTAATCCCAGCTACTTGGGAAGCTGAAGTAGGAGAATCACTTGAACCTGGGAGGCGGAGGTTGCAGTGAGCCGAGATCGTGCCATTGCACTCCAGCCTGGGTGACAAAGTTAGACTCTGCCTCAAAACAAAACAAGACAAGACAAAACAAAACAAAACTCAACTTTTATTTTAAGTTCAGAGATACAAGTGCAGGTTTGTTACGTAGGTTAACTCGTATTATGGGGGTTGGTCACACAGATTATTTCATCACCCAGGTATTAAGCCCAGTAACCAATAGTTCTCTTTTCTGCTCCTCCCTCTCCTCCCACCCTCCACCCTCAAGTAGACTTCAGTGTCTGTTGTTTCCATCTTTGTGTCCATAAGTTCTCATTATTTAGCTCCTACTTCTAAGTGAGAACATGCAGTATTTGGTTTTCTGTTCCTGTGTTAATTTGCAAAGGATAATGGCCTCCAGCTCTATCCATGTTCCCGCAAGACATGACCTCGTTCTTTTTTATGGCTGCATTCTTAAACATTTTATCACCCCAAGGAGAAATTCCATACCCATTAGCTGTAATTTCATTCCTTCTGCCCTCAGCCCTTGGCAACTATTAATCTACTTTCTGTCTCTATGGATTTGTCTATTTTTGATATTTTATATAAATGGTATCATACAATACATGGCTGTTAGCCTAACATAGTGTTGTCAAGCTTTCTCCATATTGTAACATTTCTTTTTATTGATGAATAGTATTCCATTTGTTCAGCCATTCATGGACATTTGTGTTGTTTCCACTCCTTGGCTATTTAGAATAATGCTTCAATGAACATTTTTGTATAAGTTTTTGAGTGGACACATGTTTTCAGTTCTCTGGGGTATATACCTAGGAGTGGAATTACTAGGCCATATGGTCACTCTGTTTAACTTTTTGAGGAACTGCCAGACTGTTTTCCAAAGCAGCTGTACCATTTTATATATCCACCAGCAGTGTATGAGGTTTCCAATTTTCTCCACATCCTTGCTAACACTTATTATTGTCTGTCTTTTAAAATTATGGTTATCCTACTAGGTAGGAAGTAGTATCTCATTGTAGTTCTGATTTTCATTCCCCTAATGGCTCATGATGTTGAATATCTTTCCTTGTGCTTACTGGCCATTGTATATTCTCCTTGCAGAAATATCTACTCAAATTCTTTGCTCATTTTTATTGCCCTTTTATTGTTTAGTGGAGTTCTTCATATATTCTAGAAACAAGTTATTTATCAGATATATGATTTACAAATATTTTCTCCCATTCTGTGTATTTTTTTCACTTTTTATTAGTGTTCTTTGCCACACGAAATGTTTAATTTTTTTTTTTTTGAGACAGAGTCTTGCTCTGTTGCCCAGGCTGGAGTGCAGTGGCACGATCTTGGCTCACTGCAACCTCTGCCTCCCAAGTTCAAGCAATTTTCCTGCCTCAGCCTCCCAAGTAGCTGGGATTACAGGCGTGTGCCACCACACCTGGCTAATTTTTGTATTTTTAGTAGAGACAGGGTTTCACCATGTTGACCAGGCTGGTCTTGAACTCCTGACCTCAGGTGATCCACCCGCCTTGGCTTCCCAAAGTGCTAGGATTACAGGCGTGAGCCACCATACCTGGCCAAAATTTTAAAATTTTGATGAAGTTCAATTTGTTTATTTTTAATTGCTAGTGCTTTTGGTGCCACAGCTAAGACACTATTGCCTAAGTTAAAGTCACAAAGATTCACATCTGTATTTTTCTCTAAGAGTTTTATAGTTTTAGCTCTAAATGTAATTTAGGTCTTTGATACATTTTGAATTTTTTTTTGTATGTGGTGTGAGGTGGGGGGTTCAACTTTTTTATTTTGCATATGGATGTGTGTGGTTTCCCCAGCATCCTTACTTTAAAAGACTCTTCTTTCCTCATTGAATTGTCTTATCACCATTGTTGAAAATCAATTAATCCTGAAAGTAATGGTTTATTTCTGGACTCTCAATTTTATTCCATTTATCACTATGTCTATCCTTACAATAGCACCACATCATCTTGATTACTATAGCTTTGGAGTGGAAATGTGAGTCTTTCTACTTTGTTCTTTTTCAGGCCTGTTTTGTGTATTCTGGGTCTCTTGCATTTCCATATGAATTTTAAGATCAACTTTTCAACTTCTGCATAGAAAGCAGGTAGGCTTTTGTTAGGGATTATGTTGACTAATTTGAGGAGGATTATCATCTTAATGATGTTATCCTCCAATCTATGAACATGGCATGTCTTTCTATTTAATTCTTCTTTAGTTTCTTCCAAAAATATTATATAGTTTTCAGTAAACAAGACTCACACTTTTGATTTTTTCTTCTTTTTTGAGACGGAGTCTCACTCTGTCGCCCAGGCTGGAGTGCAGTAGTGCGATCTCGGCTCACTGCAAACTCCACCTTCCGGGTTCACGCCATTCTCCAGCCTCAGCCTCCTGAGTAGCTGGGACTACAGGTGCCCGCCACCACGCTTGGCTAATATTTTTCCTTTTGAAATGGAGTCTCGCTCTGTCGCCCAGGCTGGAGTGCAGTGGCGCGATCTCGGCTCACTGCAAGCTCTGCCTCCCAGGTTCACGCCATTCTCCTGCCTCAGCCTCCCAAGTAGCTGGGACTACAGGCGTCCGCCACCGCGCCTGGCTAATTTTTTTTGTATTTTTGGTAGAGACGGGGTTTCACCGTGGTCTCGACCTCCTGACCTTGTGATCTGCCCGCCTCGTCCTCCCAAAGTGCTGGGATTACAGGCGTTAGCCACCATGCCCGGCCATTGGCTAATTTTTTGTATTTTCAGTAGAGATGGGGTTTCACTGTGTTAACCAGGAGGGTCTTGATCTCCTGACCTCGTTATCCGCCTGCCTCGGCCACCTAAAGTGCTGGGAGTACAGGTGTGAGCCACCATGCCCGGCCAAGACTCACATTTCTTTTGTTAAATTTATTCAATATCTCATTCTTTTGGATGTTATTGTTAATTGAATTGGATTGTTTTCTTAATTTCTTTCCTTTTTTGTTTTCTTTGTTTTTTTTTGGTGAGACGGAGATTTACTCTTGTTGCCCAGGCTGCAGTGCAATGGCGCGATCTCGGCTCACCACATCCTCCGCCTCCCAGGTTCAAGCGATTTCCTGCCTCAGCCTCCTGAGTAGCTGGGATTACAGGCATGTGTCACCATGCCCGGCTGATTTTGTATTTTTAGTAGAGATGGGGTTTCACCGTGTTGCCCAGGCTGATCTCGAACTCCTGACTTCAGCTGATCCGCCCGCCTCAGCCTCCCAAAGTGCTGGGATTACAGGCGTGAACCACCGCGCCCAGCCCCCCATCTCTACTAAAAAATACAAAAAATTAGCTGGGCATGGTGGCAGGCGCCTGTAATCCCAGCTACTCCAGAGGCTGAGGCAGGGGAATCGCTTGAACCCGGGAGTCGGCGGTTGCAGTGCGCCGAGATCGCACCACTGCACTCCAGCCTGGGCGACAGAGCTAGACTCTGCCTCAAAAAAAAAAAAAAAAAAAAAAAATTAGACACAACTCCAGGAAAGCAGGGAAGATCCCAAACTGACTACTAACATGATTCCATGGCTTGGCAGAAGAGAAGCTTAAGAGAAAATTGTTAAAAAAAAAATAAAACCAGAACAATTAGTCAAGAAAAAGAAATAAAGGGAACCCAGATTGGTAAGGAAGAAGCAAAATTCTTTGCATCTGCAGATGACATGGTTTTGTATATAGAAAATCCAAAGAACACACAAAGACAAACCAAAAAAACCTATTAGAGCTAGTAACAAGTACAAGTTTGCAGGATACAGGATCAATATACAAAAACCAATTACATTTCTATTGGAGTAGAGACGAGATTGCACCACTGCACTCCAGCCTGGGCAACAGAGCGAGACTCTTGTCTCCAAAAAAAAAAAAAAAAAAAAAGCACTTTGGGAGGCCGAGGAGGGCAGATCACAAAGTTAGGAGATCGAGACCATCCTGGCTAACACAGTGAAACCCCGTCTCTACTGAAAATACAAAAACAAAAACAAAAAAATTAGCCGGGCGAGGTGGCGGGCGCCTGTAGTCCCAGCTACTCGGGAGGCTGACGCGGGAGAATGGCGTGAGCCCGGGGGGCGGAGCTTGCAGTGAGCCGAGACTGCGGCACTGCACCCTAGCCTGGGCGACAGAGAGAGACTCCATCTCAAAAAAAAAAAAAAAAAAAAAAGGAAAAAGAAAAAAAAAGTGACAGAAAAAACGCTCTCTGCAGAGGAGAGAGGATTCCGAGTGGATTGCGGGGTTACAGCTGAGTTCAAAAGCTTTTATCAGAAACTCTTATCTCTAGCAGTTTGAGTCACTTCTCTTATCAGTAAAGCTGTCTGTGCAATTCCCCTTCTGTTACGCAGCCGTGGGTATGTCTCTAGGCCATCACGAATTCTGCTTTTCTAGTTTGTATTAACTGTGGGTTTGTTTTAGGTAAGCCCCCTCCCCATCTGTGCAAGTTTCCACCGTATATATGCCTGAAAAAAGGGAAGAAACTTTTTTCCTGGGAGCTCACTAAGTTGCTTATCTGTGCGCAGGTGCAGCCTGAGGTTTTTTGTTTTTTTTTTTCCCCAAGGTTGTTTCATTTTTGCCTGTTGCTGTAACTTTTCAGGCAGGTTGCTTCTGCAGTCTGCATTTTCCCCAACTGATTTTTTCCTTTCCTTCTTCTCACAGTGGCTCTCATCTGGGGTGACTTTGCCTCCCTGGGGATGTTTGGCAATAATATCTGGAGACATTTTGGTTCTCACAACTGGAGGGCCGTGGATGCTACTGGCACCTAGTGGTAGAGCCCAGGGAAGCTGCTAAACATCCTGCACTGAACAGGACATCCCCACAACAAATGAATTATTAGGTCTAACGTCAATAGGGTGGAGGTTGAGAAATCCTGCTATAAATCTCGTTTAAATCCGTGAGGATGTGGGCTTTTGAAATAATAATAAATAATTTTAATTTGATTTTCTGTGGTTATATTGCCATCCCTGGGACATGGAGGCAGAAGGTCTATTTGATTAGGGAAGGGCAGGGAGCAGGAGAAAATATCAAAGAGCATCTCAGTCGAGTACCACACAGCAATGAAAATGAATGAGCCATAGACACACACACCACACAACAACCAGATAACCTTGAACAAAAGAATATACAGCATGCGTTCATGTACATAAAGTTCAAAAACAGGCACAACTACTTTACTGAGGAGATTATAGCTGGACAGTAACACTACCAAGAAAAGCAAGGATATTATTGCCATAAAAGTCAGGGTAATGATTACCTCTGGGTGGCGAGTCAGAAAAAGGATACCAGGAGACTGGCATCATTCCATTCCTTGAACTTTTCATTTTCCTTTAAATAGTGCATTTTGTTTTATGAACTTCTACGTATGTTTCACAATTAAAATATAAAAAAAGGGGGACATTAGTTAACATTCAAAAATCTCATCCTCCTAAAACAGAAAGAGTCCCTAAGTGGAAAAACAGGTGAATTACTTTTCTTTTTTTTCTTTTTTCTTTTTTTTTGAGACAGAGTTTAGCTCTTTCCCCTAGGCTGGAGTGAAGTGGTGCCATCTCGGCTCACTGCAAACTCTGCCCCCTGTGTTCAAGTGATTCTCAAGCCTCAGCCTCCTGAGTACCTGGGATTACAGGCACCCACCACCACGCCGGGATAATTTTGTATTTTTAGTAGAGACAGGGTTTCTCCATGTTGGTCAGGCTGGTCTCAAACTCCCGACCTCAAGTGATCCACCTGCCTCAGCCTCCCAAAGTGCTGGGATTATAGGTGTGAGCCACTACGCCCAGCCAAACAAGTAAATTTCAAACGAAGTCTGGGGTTTAGTTAAGTCATGTACCAGTCGTAATCTCCTAGTTTTGACACATGTACTACGGTGATGTAAGATGTTCACAACTGGGGAAACCGGGACGGGGGGAAGGGTCTCTCTAAATTATCTTTGCAGTGTAGACCTAAAATTCGTTCAAAATTAAAAGTTTCTTTAAAAACAAGTCTCTAACACATTTCTAAATGTTTCCCTCTAACCTTTGGTCTTTTTCTCAGCTTTCAGTTTATCAACTTTTGATGATACGAGTAACAACGCTGGGAATAACAGCAGCTAATGCTTAAAGCAAGGCTAGCCCCACAGGCTGTGCTTCTGCTGTTGCTATTATGGAGGATTGGGGAAGTGCAGCAAAGTCTGAAGAAACAGAAAAAACAGCTACTCAGATGCAGTCACTATTTCACTGAGGCATGTTGCCGTCCTCTTTTGGTTTCTCTGTACATTTTAATTTGGCTTACACCATTTTGTAACCTGATTTTAAAAAAACTCTAAACATCGCCGGGCGCGGTGGCTCATGCCTGTAATCCCAGCACTTTGGAAGGCCGAGGCGGGCGGATCACGAGGTCAGGAGATCGAGACCATCCTGGCTGACACGGTGAAACGCCGTCTCTACTAAAAATACCAAAAATTAGCCAGGCGTGGTGGCGGTTGCCTGTAGTCCCAGCTACTCGGGAGGCTGAGGCAGGAGAATGGCGTGGACCCGGGAGGCGGAGCTTGCAGTGAGCTGAGATCACACCACTGTACTCCAGCCTGGGCGACAGACTGAGACTCCGTCTCAAAAAAAAAAAAAAAAAAAAAAAAAAGAAAGAAAGTAAATAATTAGACCAAGGTAGGAGGACAGAACATTTTTCTTTTTGTTTCTCCCACTTGACCATCTGAGGATTCTGTGCGTTCTCATTTTGGCAAAATTCAACAGGATATGGTATTGGCTCAATGTTACTCCTGCCTCGGGCAGCAGAGATGTATATGGCACCAACTCAGCAGCCAGCAGGAAAAGCCGTCTGCCCCACCTCACTCCTGCACAATCGCTCCTGGGGACATCACTACAGTACTGCCCGTGTTCAGTGTCCAGCTGAGAAGCACATCAGAGCCCACTCTGTCTGTTCAATGATCCTGTTTATTTGACCCTTATGACAAAAAGCGTGGAGGGGGCAAAATTCTGTCGCCCACAGCAAAATGTGGCATTTCCCTGGACATTGGAGTCTAGAACTTGGTAATTTAAGTTTGATTTATTTAATTTTGAATGTCACCCAGACACCCACATTGGTACAAACGTCATGGCAGGGTCAAGGGTCCCAGGTTGTTCAACAGCCACATCATCAGCTTTTTGCAAGAGCGGCTGACAACAACAGCGATTTCCCCATATGCAGGCTCAGGTCCGGCCCGACGGGGCTCCAGAGGCCTTACCTGCATCTGAACCTTGTGCCCTAAATTGAGCACCACACATTTCACAGCCCAGAAATCAGCTGATTCAGCTTTGTTGGAGTCTCTGGACTCGACCTTTCTCCTATAATCTCTAAGCTTGTTTTTAATAAATGTTTAACTTCTTGATTAATTTCAGTGATTTCTGAGGGTCATTTTTCACAGCTCAGATAATGAGTTCTAAATGCTTGCTGGGCTGTCCGCTCACTCAAAACTGTAAACGCTTCAGGTTGCTTTTTGTCTCCCTAATACTCTCCCTTATACTCTCCCTTATGTGGGAATGAAATTCAGTCTTTATTCTTTCTGCCATCTGCATAATTGCCAGCGTTTAAAGATGCTTGCTTCTCTCTTTCATAGCCACTGGGAAAAAAGTGTTTGTTCGACCTTCACTAAATTCGTATTTTTCTGGTGTCTTATGCTTATTTCTTGAAAAGTGGCATATAATTAATTCTTAAATGTTGATTTTTTCACTATACTGCCTTTTCTTCAGCAATTTACCTGTTTTTCATTTTCTTCCTCCCCATCCACTTATCCCAGGGAGAAAACTTTTCATCCACATCTTTATTCCATTTGCTTTTTAAAAAGCTTTCTGGTTCTTTGGAAGAAGCAAATGTGATCTGCTGCCCTAGAACCCAAGTGGTCTCCTTTGTCATTTTGTTTGAGCTCTGTGGGTCACATTCCCCATCCTCTGTTCCTGGGTATTGGACTTCGTGGCGCCACATAATCCTGTAATGGAACCACACTTAAAAGCCGGTGGATTCCTCAGAGTATGACTGCTCTCATGCAGTCCCATTACCAGCATTTGTCAGTACAGGACTGAGACAGCAAAGCTACCAGGAGGATATCTGAAAGTGGCAGGAAAGACCAGGATGAGTGGGTTTTCTCCCAGTGTTTCTTTCCCCTCTGGCCATACCACAGACAGACTTCTTTCCTTTTCTTTTTTCCATCTCCCTCCTTCTTACCATGTTGCCTTGTCTTATAATAGCACGTGCTTTAAACTTGCTATTGTATGCCCTGTGATATGATTTTTCAATCACTTATACACAGCATTTTAAAAACATAAGTTGAAGAATGCTGTACATACTGGTGGACACTTGTTTTTTTCGCAGAAATCTTTAATTTCAAGATGATTCCAATCTCTCTCTGTTCTTTTACAGAAATGTTATCAGACAGTATATTACTATTTTCACTTAACAATACGTAGACATCATGTTTCCATGCTTATAATCTCCCTTAAAATGATTTTTAAGAGACCTAATTTTCTACTTTGGGACCTGTCGTCTGTGTCAGTAACTCCTGTCTGCATCCCGCGATGTGCTATGTGGTTCCCGGGTGCTTCATCTACATTTGTGGCTGCACTAGAATTAAATCAACTCACTTCAATGGAAAAAGTCAAATGGTAGATTTGAAGAGTCAGAGTTGGGATTTAGAGAGATTGTAAGTTCTGCAGTCCAAAGGCACCCAAGATTTTTTAGTTTCTTGTTTCTGTTTGTTATTGCTTAATCTCTTTGGAAAAAGCAGAATTATTTTCTAACCTCTCATCAGAGTGGGGGTGGGTGTTCCTGTCACACAGGGAAGAGCAGAACCCATCCTCAGGCTCAGCATTGGCACATCATTTGGGTTTTCATCTCTGAGTTGATTGAGGCATGGACCTAGTTGGAAGGCTGGTGATTGAATGAGACAGTCTCTCGAGGCCTTTGCAACCCCGTTGGGGTTTTTTGTTTGTTTGTTTTTTGTTTTTGAGAGGGAGTTTCGCTCTTTTCGCCCAGGCTGGCATGTAATGATGCGATCTTGGCTCACTGTCACCTCTGCCTTGCAGGTTCAAGCGATTCTCCTGCCTCAGCCAGCTAAGTAGCTGGGATTACAGGTACCCACCACTATGCCTGGCTAATGTTTTTGTATTTTTAGTAGAAACCGGGTTTCACCATGTTGGCCAGACTGGTCTCAAACTCCTAACCTCAGGTGATCCACCTGCCTTGGCCTCCCAAAGTTCTGGGATTACAGGCATGATCCACCGCACCCATCCCAACCCTGTGGTTTTATAATTCCATGGTAATGTTAGGATGACTATCTTACACCTACTTTAAGATAAAACTCAGAAGATGGTGGAGACGTAAATTGAAGATTACCCTGGCTGGTCCTGAAAGCTTACAATTTGGCTTTCTTTCACAAGGGATAAAAATACTCCTTTAGTACCATGGTATTTTTACAGCTCTAAGATTATAATTTTTGAAGTGTAAGTGAGATCTAATTACCCTCCACCCCACCTTGTATAATGCTCCAGTGCCTTCTCCTTGCCAATAGAATAAATCCAAATACCTCATTGTGGCCCATAAGGCTCTACAATGAAGTCAACTGACTGTGACTGCCATGCCGTCCGTATTCTTTTATGTTCTGTCGATGGCTGCTTCCACACCACAATGGCAACACTAGACTATGGTGCACCAGAGACAGTATGGTGCTCAAAGACAGAAATATTTGCTGTCTGGCTTTTTTTTTTTTTATTCCAGGAAAACAAGCCCCCTCCTGCTGTATATGATCTAGCCGCTACCACCTCCCACCTGTTGACAGGTCAGCACGAACATCTGACCTCCATTGCTTCAAGACTTTGTCATCTCCACGGCTCTCAGCAAGCCAAGCTCTGTGACTTTGTCACTGCTCAGTGTACTTGAGTCAGCTCAAGGCTGCCTTTGGCTATTTGCACCCAAAGTCAATGAACTTTGGCTGAGGTGGGGTGGGACAGGGTCACAGGGCCTCCTAGGCATGGTGGCTGTTGACCATGTAATTATCTCTTGGAAGGAAAGTGCATATAAGGTATTCCTAAAACAACACTTGGAAATAATTTTTGAAAATCTGCTTTCCTAGGGAATGTAGGGAAGTTTAAATTTTTCCCCTGAAATTTTGATAATTTGGGTCTATAAAACACACTGAGACTAGATTGGTGGGAAATTTTATTAACGTGCACGTACATGCACAGGAGTCACACAAAATACGAAAACTCAAAGAATGGCAAGACGGTTGATGCTTAAATATCCTCTTGGTTGGAAAGAGGGGAGATGAAGGAGGTGTAGAAATAAACGATTTTCAGGGAAGATGGGAGAGCCCAAAGAACAATGGCCTGGAACCACATTTCTCGGGAGGTGGGGTCACAGGTTGAGGGGAGCGAAGGGAGGAACGCTGCTCACACCAAAGCTCTCATGTTACGCACGTGGAAATTGCTCAGGTAATCACTGAGCTGCTCTCAGAAAGAATGGGTGGGGCCTCAGAGAAAGCCTGGCTGTTTATTTCACCAGTGCAGACTTTTTCCTACAGACGCAAATCTCTTCCACAAAAGGTAGCTTTGCAGGGCTATTCCTGTCTGCAGGCCCTCCAAAGAGCCACCCCAAAGTATGACAAAGAAGTATATTTTGGGATAAAATATTTTTGGTTTCCTTTAAAAGAGAGCTGAGAAACCCAGGAGCCTAAGTAGAGGAAGAAGAAATAATATTAATACTGAGGAAGTTAGTTTTACAATGTAATAATGAATTTCCAAGTGCCTGAACCCCAAGAATTCTCTATAATAGAGGCTTCTAGACATAAGTATATATCAGAATCTTCTGAACAGTGGCCTAAAAATACACTACAGATTTCCTGGATTCTGATTCATTGGTTGAAGAGAGGGTGTATTGGGAATCTCTGTTTTTAGAATACCCTTCTCTGATTATTCTGATGCACAGTAGAATTTGAGAAAAACTACCACATAGGAATTGTCAGCAAAACTAACACAATAGAAAATCAAGCCTCTTTGCTAGTTAGAAAATTTCTTCTCAGTTGCCTACTGCCCTGGCTCTAGGGGGGTAATTCTAGCAGGAGAGAGGTTAGAATGCATTTAAAGGCTAAGGCAGGAGGATCACTTGAGCCCAGGAGTTTGAGGCAGTGAGCTATGATTGCACCACTGCACTCCAGTCTGGGTAACAGAGCAAGATCCTAGCCAGGGTGACAAACAAGACCAAAAACAACCAAGAATGTAACCACACCTGAATAGAACTCATTCACAAGTTAATCTCTGTTCCCTGTTCCATTCATTCTCCCTAGTAATCATTTATTGCCCCTCAACAGAATCACCTATATTCCCTATCTCCCCTCACCCCTCTGAAATAAGGCTGTATAAATATGTGGGCCCCAATGAGATAGGGAGCGATCACTCTGTGATTCTCCCCATGTGCACGTTAATACATTTTTATGCCTTTTCTCCAATTAGTCTTTAAAAACAAAAACAAATATGAACAAAACATCACTGAGAGAAGTGAAATAATACCTAAATAAATGAAAACTTATACATATTCAGGCGTCAAATTGCCAGTCAACATTCTTGCAAGATTTTGTGGGAACTGACAAACTGACTCTAAAATTCACAAGAAAACTTAAGAACCTAGAATACTCAAATGACTTTTGGGAAACAGTTGGGGATTAACACTACCTGATTTCAAGACTTATTTTAAAGCTACAATAGTGAAAACATATGGTGTTGGTGCACAGAGAGACAAATAGATAAATGGAATAGAATAGGGAGTCCAGAAATCAGAAACAGATCCACACATATATGGATAACTAATTTTTGACAAAGGTGCAAAGGCAATTCAGTGCTGGAGCAATTGGATCTACATTGGCAAAAATTGAACTTGGATCCATACCTTGCACCATATATAAAAATTAACTCAAAATATATCATAGACCTAGAGGTAAATCTAAAACTGTAAAATTTTGCCAGGCGCGGTGGCTCACGCCTGTAATCCCAGCACTTTGGGAGGCCGAGGCAGGCAGATCACGAGGTCAGGAGATCGGGACCATCCTGGCTAACACGGTGAAACGCTGTCCCTACTAAAAATACAAAAAAATTAGCCAGGCATAGTGGCGGGCGCCTGTAGTCCCAGCTACTCGGGAGGCTGAGGCAGGAGAATGGCGTGAACCCGGGAGGTGGAACTTGCAGTTAGCCAAGATCGTCCCACTGGACTCCAGTCTGGGTGACAGAGCGAGACTCCGTCTTAAAATAAAATAAAATAAAATAAAATAAAATAAAATAAAATAAAATAAAATAACTGTAAAATTTCTAGAATGAAGGAGTACAGAGAACTTTACCCTGAAATATGGCTTCCTGGTATAATGAGTATTTTGAATTAAAGGCCCTTAGAGGTCAACAGACCTTTGATCCGGAAGAGACTTTCTCCTACCTTCATAAAGACTAGATGTACCCATCAGGAGAACAATTGTTGTTCCCTCCCCCTCCCTATTATCTTATTATCTGTTGCAGAAAACAAGACCAAGGCGGTAACTCATGCCTGTAATCCCAGCACTTCGGGAGGTCAAGGTGGGCAGATTGCTTGAGCCCAGGAATTCAAGACTAGCCTGGGCAATGTAGTAAGACCCCATCTCTACAAAAAAAATTTAAAAATTAGCAGGACATGATGGCATGCATCTGTAGACCCAGCTACTCAGAAGGCTGAGGTAAGAGGATCAGTTGAGCACAGGAGGTCAAGGCCAAGATTGTGCCATAGCACTCCAGCTGGGGTGACAAAGCAAGACCAAAAACAACCAAGAATGTACCCACACCTGAATAGGACCCAATCACACCTGAATAGAACTCATTCACAAGTTAATCTCTGTTCCTCTTTCCATTCATTCTCCCTAGTAATCATTTATTACCCCTCAACACAATCACCTATATTCCCATCTCCCCTCACCCCCCTGAAATAAGGCTATATAAATACATTGGCCCCAATGGCATATGGGGCCATCACTCTCTGATTCTCCCCTGTGTGCACATTAATACATTTTTATGCGCTTTCTCCAATTAGTCTGCCTTTTGTCAGTTGATTTGCTAGTAAATCTTCACAGAGTGAAGGGGAATCTTTCCCTTGGCTCTTACAAAAACACAGGAAAATGTCTTATGACCCTGGGCTAGGCAAAGTGTTTTTGTTTAGATCCAACACCAAAACACAGTACATAAAAGAAAAAAAATTGACAAATTTGACTTCATCAGGATTAAGAACTTCAGGTCAGGTGAGGTGACTCATATCTGTAATCCTAGCACTTTGGGAGGCTGAACTGGGAGGATTACTTGAGGCCAGGAGTTTGAGACCAGCCTGGGCAACATAGTGAGACCATATCTCTACAAAATTTTTTAAAAATTAGCTGGGTGTGGTGTCACACACCTACAGTCCCAGCTACTCAGGAGGTTGAGGTGGGAGGAATGATTCAGCCTGGGAAGTAGAGGCTGCAGTGAGATGAAGTCACATCACTGTACTCCAGCCTGGGCTACAGGGAGAGACCCTGTCTCAAAAAAAAAAAAAAAAAAAAAGATGAAAAACTTCATCTCTTCAAAAGACACTGTTAAGAGAATAAAAGGACAAGCCACAGAATGAGAGGAAATATTTATAAACCATATATTTGATAAAAGACTTGTATGCAGAATATGTAAAGAACTTTCAAAACTCAGTAAGAAAACAACCAACCCAATTTTTATTTATTTATTTATTTATTTATTTATTTATTTTATTTTATTTTTTTGAGATGGAGTCTCGCTCTGTCGCCCAGGCTGGAGTGCAGTGGCACGATCTCGGCTCACTGCAAGCTCTGCCTCCCGGGTTCACGCCATTCTCCTGCATCAGCCTCCCGAGTAGCTGGGACTACAGGTGCCCGCCACCACACCCAGCTAATTTTTTGTATTTTTAGTAGAGACAGGGTTTCACCATGTTAGCCAGGATGGTCTCGATCTCCTGACCTTGTGATCCACCCGCCTCGGCCTCCCAAAGTGCTGGGATTACAGGCATGAGCCACTGCGCCTGGCCCAACCAACCCATTTTTTTTAAATGGGCAAAAGATTTGAATGAACACTTCACCAAGGAAGCTACATAGCTGGGAAACAAGCACAGGAAAATAGGCTCAACATCGTTGTCATTATAGAAATGCAAATTAAAAATCACCATGAGAGGCTGGGCACAGTGGCTCGTGCCTGTAATCCCAACACTTTGGGAAGTCGAGGTGGGAGGATCACTCGAGCCCAAGAGGTCGAGCCCATGATTGCACCACTGCACTCCAGCCTGGGTGACAGAGTGAGATGCTATCTCACACACACACACACACACACACACACACACACACACACACACACACACAAAATCATAATGAGAACCACTACGACTGTTAAAATAAAAACTTAAGACATTAAATTTAAGAGTTTAATTGAGCAAAGAACGATTCATGAACTGTGTGGCCTCCTGAGCCAGAATAGGTCAGAATAACGCTGGTGGCTGCCACGTGATTGGAGAGGAATTATAGAAAAAGAAAATTGAGTGCAATTTGATAATTGGCACAAGAGTAGGTTATAGTCTGTTTACACATCCAGTTAAGTTATAGTTCACTATGTACAGAGGAAATTAAGGCCCAACTTAAACTATGTATGGAGGCAGCTTTAGGGTAACCTTAGTTAATACCTATTAGAATGGCTAAAATTAAATGACTAATCATACTAGGTGTTGGGAAGATATAGATCACCTGGGAACCTGTAACAATGGTCCCAGGCTAATGGGAATGTAAAATGGTCCAATGGCTTTGGAAAAGTTTGGCAGTTTCTGAAAACGTTCACCATATAGCAGCCTATGACCAGCCATTCCACTACTAGGTATTTTCCCAAAAGAAATGAAAGCATATGTCCACACAAAAACTTGTATACAAATGTCTGCTGCAGCTTTATGTGAAATAACCCCAACCTAGAAAAGGTCCAAATTTCTCAACGATAAACATAAACAGACTGTAGTATATCTGGATGATAGAATGCTACTTAGCAATAAAAAGGGAATAATTATTGATAACTCAAAACAACATAGATAAATCTCAATTATGCTTTGCGAAAGAGCAAAAAAAGAGTACATGTAGTATGATTCCATTTATATAAAATCCTAGAAAATACAAAGTAGTCTATGGTGACAAAAGCAGACCAGTTGTTGCCCGAGTCTGTGTGAGAGGGAAGGGGTGGAGGGAGAGATGACAAAATTACACGAGGAAATTTCTGGGGGCAATGGATAGATATTGCAGGGACCAAGGGAAAAAGCTCCCCTGCATCCTCTAAAAACTTGCTGAAAAATCAATTTATAAAAGGCAGACTAATACTAGAAACAGCATACAAATTTATCAACGTGCATGGAGGGAAAATCACAGAAAGATGACCCCAACCCCCACGGGTGCAGAAGCTTGTGTATCTCCTCGAGGTTACAGAGAGAACAGGGGATCTGAGGGTGGCCCACAGTGGGTTAAGATGGCAAGTCGGGGGGGCCAGGTGCGGTGGCTCACGCCTGTAATCCCAACAGTTTGGGAGGCTGAGGCGGGTGGATCACCTGCGATCAGGAGTTCGAGAGCAGCCTGGCCAACATGGTGAAACCCTGTCTCTACTAAAAATACAAAAATACCAAAAAAAAAAAATAGCTGGGCGTGGTGGCATGCACTTGTAGTCACAGCTACTCGGGAGGCTGAGACAGGAGAATCGCTTGAACCTAGGAGGTAAAGGTTGCAGTGAGCCGAGGTCACACCACTGCACTTCAGCACCTCAGCATGGGCAATAGAGCGAGACTCCGTCTCAAAAAAAAGAAAAGAAAAAAAAGATGACAAATCAGCTTATGGCAGGGGCAGAAGAGGAGGCCTGGCTCACAAAGATGGTCTCTATGGACGCAAACCTCCCCCAGCAAGACAGCTTTTCAGCTATTCTTGGATTTCTAGCCCTTTTGAATAGCCATCTTAAAATATGCCAAAAAGTATATTTTGGAGTGAAATATTTTCATTTCCTTCAATATACTTATTATTCTGATTGTGGTGGTAGTTCCATGGGTATAGACATGTGAAAACATACCAAAGTGTGTATTTTCAGTGTGTGCAGTTTCTTGTCTGTTAATTGCACCTTGATGAAGCTGTTTTGAAAAAGGAAGATCTTCTTAGGATTCCTCACTTCCTGTGACTCTCCCACAGCAGCTGGGGGAATGGGCCAAGAGCAGAATCTGGTGACAAAGTAGCCTTGGGTGGCTTGGTTGGCCACACACGCCACTGAAAGCACCTCTCCCAGGAATCCAGTCGCCTCCAGTGCCTGCTGAAGCAAGAAAACCCTCCAAAGGATGACTCCAGCTGTGTCTGCATCATAATTAAGGCTGCAAAAACCCAAAATGAATGAAGTCTCCCCAGCTAATGTGCCACTTCTAATTTAATCTAATTGGCCTCTGAAAGAGAGCCTTGGCCTGCCTCAGAGGCAAAATCTTCCAAATGAAGTGAATTTAAACTAATTTAAGCTAACTAATTACAAACTGGGGGGTATTGTCACAAGACAATTGTTATTGTTCTTTGATTGCTTGCTCAACTGGATTATTTGCTCATTACCTTCAGAGCTGTTGGGACTTTCATGGGGTGCCCCTTGCCGCACATCAATAAGGCATTCTACAAGGCAGCCTGGAGTGGAGGGTCCCCACACCAGATTGGCATGGGAGCGCTGAGGATTAGCTTGGCTTTCTGCGTGTTTGGAGAATCTTAAAGCAAATGCACAGCATGTGCTGCTCATTCAAATAACCTGCAGCTAACTACACCTCTTTTTGGAGACGTAAGTTTTTCTTTAGCTTCGGGATGTAGGTTATGAGTTTTGAGGTCATCTGTTGAACCAACCTCTTTATTGTTCAGTCGTTCTGACCTTGAGATGCAGCTCGTTATACCTGGGTAGAGATCTGAAGCAAAAGTGGGGAGAAAAAAAAGACCTGTATCCAAGCCTGTTTCTCAGCAGCTGTGTGAGGTAGCTGTGCTGCCACACCTCTCTGAGCCACAGGCAGAGATCTGGTGGAAAACGCATGAAATTTGCAGACCCATCTATCTGCTGCTTCTGGTTTGAGCTTCAGTTCCCTCCTCCCAGGCATGTTAAATTTAGCCTACAGCTGCCTCCTTACTTATTTTAAGTGTAACAAATGTTATGTTACATTTGGGACCTGTGTGGCTAAAGGCTTCTCTGCACAAAGGGAACTGTCACTTAACTGGATGTGAAAGGGGCTGTAACCTACTCTTGTGACAAGCAACCATACTTCAACCACTCACAGGTGGCCAAGTCTTCCAACTGTGTTCGAGTAAGGCCAACGCTGAGCTGTAGCCAATCAGGCTGTTTCTCTGCCTCACTTCTGTTTTCTGTGCTTCACTTTCCGTTCTCTGCCCGTAAAGACTCTCACCACACGGCAGCACCAGAGACGCTCTGAACCTCTTCTGGTCAGGGGGCTGCCTGATTCCCATATCATTCTTTGCTCAATTAAACTCTGTTAAATGTAGTTTGCCTCAGTTTTCCTTTTAACAGGCAGAAACTACCACCTCACAGAATTGCTATGAAGACTGAACATGGTCACTCTGTGAAAACATTTCATAAACTGTGTGTCGCTTGCGAATGCTGTTATTTTTCTCATCTGTAAAATAAAGGAATTCAACCAGGGGATTTGAATAGTTTCTGTATTCATTTCCTGTGGCTGCCATAACCAAGCACCACAAATCGGGTGGTTCATAGCCACAGAACTGTGTCCTCCTGCGGTTCTGGAAGCCGAGTCTGAAATGAAGGTGGCGGCAGGGCTGTCCTTCCTCTGACGGCTCAGGACGAGTCCTCTCCTGCCTCCTCCAGCTCCAGGCGCTCCTCAGCATGTGGCTGCTTCGCTGGGTCTCTGTCCCACCTCCACATCACCTTCTGCTCTGTGTGTTTCAAATCTCTCTCTGCCTTTCTCTTGTGAGGACACTTGTAATTGGGTTTAGGGCTCACCTGGGTAATTCAGGATGATCACATGGCAACAGCCTTCACTTGATTACATCTTCAAAGACCCCATTTCCCAAATAAGGCCACCATCCCAGATTCTGGGTGGACACTGTGGGCAGTGGCACCATATTCAGCCCACTGCAGCCCTCCTTAGCTCTGTGGTCCTATCTTCTTCTGGATGTTACCATTTGGTCTAAATTTCAACCAGTCTGAGTTGCATATTGAGTGGTACAAAAGCAATGGCCACATTTGATGTTTCTTGTCTGAGAATGTATGTTTCTTCAATATTTCCATGAAAAATATGCATCGAATATTTTACTACGGTAGGAGTAGGGGCCAAGTATAGGGCAAAAACTTATTGATTACAAGTTTATGCAAATTAGACAGCAAAATGAAAATTTCAAGCAGCCTTGGCACTACAACAAAAAAGTCTGTCTAGCAAGAGATTGGATTTAATTATTAAGAAAGTTGGGGGCCGGGCCTGGTGGCTCATGACAGTAATCCCAGCACTTTGGGAGGCTGAGGTGGGTGGATCACCCGAGGTGGGGAATTTGAGACAAGCCTGACCAACATGGAGAAACCCTGTCTCTCCCAAAAATACAAAAATTAGCTGGATACGGTGGCACATGCCTGTAATCCCAGCTACTCGGGAGGCTGAGGCAGGAGAATCGCTTGAACCCAGGAGGTGGAGGTTGCGGTGAACCGAGATTGCACTATTGCACGCCAGCCTGGGCAACAAGAGCGAAACTCTGTCTCAAAAAAAAAAAGAAAAAAGAAAAAGAAAGAAAGTTGGGAGAGTGACTGTCCCACTGTGCTGTTTGATAGAATCAGTGTCTCTGGGTTAGTGGCTTTTGGCAGATGTCTGCTAGTCTAAAAAGCCACAGTTGAGGGTAGAAAGAAGAAGATTCTAGAAAGAATGCTCATAATGGACAATAATAGCTCTTTCTACTTCCGGGGAATCTTTCCATTTGGGAACACTGAAGTGCTTTGCAGACAGTCGTTACAATTACACAAGCGTTGGGATGTCCATGTTCTCGCTTCCTCATGTTAGACATTGAGCCACTGAGGAAGTCTAAGGACATGGGGTGTGTCATTGGAGAAGTGCCCCTAGCTGACTGTTGAGGGTAAGCAGAGCCACAGCCTCCAGATTTTATTCAAGGTGAAATGGACATTGGGTGAGCTCTCTTGTTCTCAGATGATCTGCTTTATAGTACAGGACTAGGGCCATAGCAGTTGCCATCAAAGTGGCTGGATTTCAATTACCTCCAGCCTGTGGACTGACAAGGTCTGGGTCGACTGTCCCTCCCTCCCTTAGGCTGGACGTGCTGAGGCACATGTGATGGGGAGTTGCTGGGCTGGTGACCACCTGACATGTCCTCTCTGTACTTCCTTCCCCAGCATCACTGCCCACCAGTTCCTGCTCTAGCCAATGACTCAGTCTCAGCGCACCCACTCGTCAGTACTCGCATGGAGAAGAACTCTGACTTCTCTGATTTCTGTTCCAAGAAGGCGGTACATGGACAGCAGTCCTCTTGGAGGACTATGGAGATGGCTCTTGATGGGCCTTGGAGAGGGGCTCCAGCTCTGAGGACTGTGCTCTGGGACTTGTGCTGGTTGTTTGCACCTCCAGGTCCATTTTCCATCCTTCTCCACCTGCTCGAGGCCCTGGGAGGCTGACCCGCAGGACGGCATCAAGGGTTCCCCTGCCCCAGGGCTGCCAGCTGGGTTCAGTCAGTGCACAGCCTCAGAGGGAAAGCGAGTCTGGACACTTTATTCTGGTGCCCTCAGGGGTACCTTGGACTGGCCACAGCCCTCGACCTGCCATCTTGGCTCCTGACAGGCAGCTCCTCCACTCTGCCCTCTCTGTGTGGGGTTCTGGCAAACTTCAAGCGTAGGGGTAGCAGTGAAGCCCCCAGCAGTCACTGTGAGCCCTGAGGCATCGCAGCCCCTTATGCCTTTCTTCCCCCCACCCCCGTCCACATGGTTGTGGAGGATTCCTTTGTGAAATTCTCCTGAAATCATCCTGAGTGTGCCATCTGTTTCCCACAGGGCCCCTGACTGGTTCCTTTGTTTATAAAAATGGAACAGTAATGCCCATCTCATGGTGTCTTCAGGATTAAATGGGTGAACACATGAGAAGCATTCAGCATAATGACCCGTAGTTTTACATGCTCAGTAAGTGCTAGCTCGAGACACATTTTCCAGTGGAGCTGGTGAGTGCGTCAACTCAGTTCAATTCAATCCTGCCAATATTTATGAAGCCCCCACTAGGTGCAAGGCCAGAGCCAGCCATTTCCCAAGTGACAAAGGTGCGTGACTGAATAGGCACAATCCACTCCCTCCGAACACTTGGAGCCCTCACAAGCGGCGGCCTCATTGCCCTCTCTCTCTCTCTCCACTTCAGTCACCATTTGACAAATATTTCCTGAGGGCCTACATTCTTCGGGGTGCCATGTTAAGAACACCTTGGGATAAAAGAGTGAGCAGAATAGATACCTCCGCTCTCAGAGAGTGAACAGCCTGCTGGAAGGAGACAGACATCAGTCCATCACTCGGATCCCTACGTTAGCGAGTGTGTTTCACAAACTGGCATCAGGGCTCTAAAGGAAGAAAACTGGCTTCTGTAAGGAATGAGACCTGGCCTGCATGGGGGTCAGGGGATGTTTTGCTGAAAACACAAACGTAGACACAACCCAAGCCAAGCAAAAGGCGGTGGCCAGGGCAGTGCACTCAGAACACCATGCAAAGGCCCTGCACAGGGAGGGCGCCATGTGGCTGGAGCAGAAACAGGGAAGCAGGGGCAGCTGGTGGGACATGGAAGATGACACTGGAGAGGCTGGGGGGCCAGATGGTGCAGGGTCTGTAGGCCAGGGTTAATATTTTAGCCCTTATTCAAAACACACACAACCAAAGTCATGTGTGTGTGTGTGTTCTCAGCTATTTCAAAATGTTGCTTTGGCTGCAGCAAAGAGAATGGGCTGGAGAGTGCAGGATAGATATGAAAGAGCCACGAGGAGGCCTCTGCTATAGTCTGGGAGGAGGATGACTGACAGCTTGGGCCGGAATGGTGCCAGAGGAGAAGGGAGAACTGGACCTGTTCAAAGACATCAGGAAAACACAAATTATGGGGGGTGGGGTGGGCTGAATATGGAGCGGGGGGCGGGGAATGAAGGAGAAACTTGGGGGTGGGCTGGATATGGAGGGTGAGGGGGGCTGTCAAAGAAAAATCCTAGACTTCTGGCTGATTGGTAACGTCATCACCCAAGAAATAAAATATTGGACAAAGATCTGGCTTGGTGTGGAAGGTCAGGAAAGACCATGAATTCAGTCTTGTGTGTGACATGACTTTTGAGACATCGAGATACAGAAATCAAGAAGCAGCTGGATATGGGGATTTGGAGCTCCAAGGGGAGAGCTGAGCTGGTGATGTGAGTTTCACAGCCATTAGAAAACAAATGGTAATTAAAGCCATGGGCTGGCCCCGGAAGACTGCCCAGCCAGAGAGTCCATGAAGAACCCCAGAGAGCTAAAGGCAGAGCAGGAGAGTGTGGGACAAAAAGCAAAGGAGTGTGGCAAGAAAAAGGGAGTAGCCCACAGTGTCTGATGCCCTGAGAAGTCAGGAGGGGAACTGGGAAGTGTCTGTTGCATTTAGCAACATGGAAGTCATCAGTGACCCTGGCAAGCATCCTTTCAATGGGCCACAGAGGTCAAAGCTGCCTGGGAGTGGCAGGAGGAAACAGAGGGAGTTTTTGTACTCACTGACTTTTTTTTTTTTTTTTTTTTGAGACAGAGTCTTGCTCTGTTGCCCAGGCTGTAGTGCAGTGGTGCGATCTCTGCTCACTGCAGCCTCCACCTCCTGGGTTCAAGCGATTCTTCTGCCTCAGCCTCCTGAGTAGCTGGGATTACAGGTGCCCACCTGCTAATTTTTGTATTTTTTTTTTGAAACAGAGTCTCGCTTTGTTGCCCAGGCTGGAGTGCAGTGGTGCGATCTCGGCTCACTGCAAGTTCTGCCTCCCGGGTTCACGCCATTCTCCTGCCTCAGCCTCCCGAGTAGCTGGGACTACAGGCGCCCGCCACCACACACAGCTAATTTTTTTTTTTTTTTTTTTGTATTTTTAGTAGAGACAGGGTTTCACCATGTTATCCAGGCTGGTCTCGATCTCCTGACCTCGTGATCCGCCCACCTCGACCTCCCAAAGTGCTGGGATTACAGGCTTGAGCCACTGCGCCCAGCCCTCATTGACTTTTGTTTTCCATTTTCTCAAGAGATTTGACTGTGAAATGGTAGCTGGAGAGGAGTAAGAGGGTCAAGGGAAGGTTTATACTTTTCTTTTAAGAAGTGAGAGACTTAAGCATATTGGTCTGTGAGACAGATCCGGTGAGAGGATGTAGTTGAATATTCAAGAAGGAGCCAGGTGGACATGGCGCAAGGCTCACTAAGAAGGCAGATGGATGCCATCAAAGCTCAGAGGCAGGGTTTGGCTTAGGAGGAGGGAAGCAGATTGGGTGCGAGGCAGATGTCATGAGACTTCTAGCCAGTCAGGAGAAGCCAAAGGGCTCCTACCTAAGGATTGTATTTAATCTGTCAAGTAGGAGGTAGGGGGTTGGTGGTTTGAGAAGAGCAGTGTCACCCAGGCTGGAGTGCATGGCTTGATCATGACTCACTGCAATCTTGACCTCTTGGGCTCAAGTGATCCCACCACCTCAGCCTCCCAAGTGGCTGGGACTACAGGTGTGCACCACAACAGCAAGCTAATTTTTAATTTTTTTTTTCGTAAAGACGGGGTCTTGATATGTTGCCCAGGCTGGTCTTGAACTCCTGGTTTCAAGTGATTTTCTTGTCACGCTCATCTGAGTGAAGAGACCACCAAGCAGGCTTTGTGTGAGCAACAAGGCTGTTTATTTCACCTGGGTGCAGGCGGGCTGAGTCTGAAAAAGGAGTCAGCAAAGGGAGGTGGGATTATCATTAGTTCTTACAGGTTTTGGGATAGGCGGTGGAGTTAGGAGCAATGTTTTGAGGGCAAGGGGTGGATCTCACAAAGTACATTCTCAAGGGTGGGGAGAATTACAAAGAACCTTCTTAAGGGTGGGGAAGATTACAAAGTACATTGATCAGTTAGGGTGGGGCAGGAACAAATCACAATGGTGGAATGTCATCAATTAAGGCTATTTTCACTTCTTTTGTGGATCTTCAGTAGCTTCACGCCATCTGGATGTATACATGCAGGTCACAGGGGATATGATGGCTTAGCATGGGCTCAGAGGCCTGACATTTCTCACCTTGGCCCTCCCAAAGTGCTGGGATTACAGGAGTGTGCCACCTTGCCTGGCCAGACAAATATTTATTAAACTTATTATGTGTTGCCAAAGAATAAAACAAATACCATCAGAACCATACATAAATACATATTATAGCAGTAATAATAGTGATAATAACAATGCTGAGTTGATTTACTGGCCAGACAAGGGAATATACCAGTGAAGAAATTTACTGACATGTTTTCTGGGAGGCAAAAACTTAGGGTTTTGATTTTGGTGGTGTTGTTGCTTGTTTTTTTTTTTTATTTTAAATAATTTTAAAAAATGGTTTTTCTCAGTGGTTATGCTAATTAAGGATTGGCAACATGCAAGCTGGGTAGGACAGAATGAGGCCTTTAAGTCTCAATAAGCTTGGTTAAGAAAAGCCGCATACGCTGGGCGCGGTGGCTCACGCCTGTAATCCCAGAACTTTGGGAGGCCAAGGCGGGTGGATCACGAGGTCAGGCGATCAAGACCAGCCTGGCTAACACGGTGAAACCCCATCTCTACTAAAAATACAAAAAATTAGCTGAGCTAATGGTGGTGGCACGTGCCTGTAATCCCAGCTATTCGGGAGGCTGAGGCAGGAAAATCGCTTGAATCCGGGAGGCGGAGGTTGCAGCGAGCTGAGATTGCCCACTGCCCTTTCGCTGGTCACAAAAGTCATTAGCGAGATCCTGGGCTACTTCAGCCGGTTGGAACCAGTAGAGGTGAAACACAGCAGCCCTCCGTTTAATGTTTCCCCAGCAAGGGCTGCTCTCAGAGAAAGTCTTTTCCTTTTGCAACACAGTGTGTTGTCTATGCCCTGGAGACACACGGTAGTTCCTGCCCTAAGAGTCTGTGGGCAGTGAGAGCCCACAGGAGGGTAGCTGACCCAGCCCTGGGGAACCCGGCCTTCAGAGACCTGCCTGGTGGCCGGGAATTACCCTGGACAAGTGAGCTCAGGGTGGGCTGAACTGTTTTCCCCAGATGGAGGAAGCAGCCAGGCCTGCACTCTGAGGTCGTGGAAGCCAGGCAGGCTAATAAGAGTGTGGACCCCAGAGCCAGTGCGTCTGAACTAGAATGTCCTTCCCCTGCTTCTCAACTGTGTGACCTTGGAAATGCTGCTGAGCTTCTCCAAACCACAGGTTCCTCATTTGCCAAAGGGGAGTGCTAACTGCACTTAATCATAAGGGTGTGGTGGGACCAAATGAGATAATTCATATAAAAGTGCTCTTAGCTTGATGCTAGGCGTGTAATAAGCCTTAACAAACGCGAGCTATTATTATTGCTCAGAGCAAAAGAATGCAAGAGAAGGAAGGAATTTGGCAAAACATATACCTCCTTATTTTACAGATGAGGAAGCTTGGCTAGCAAGATGAAGTGACCTTCCTAAGGTGAGCTGATTTCTAGCAGAGCCAGTCCTGGAATATGGGTGTTCTCTTTTTCAGTCTCATCTGATGAAAAAGAAGCAATATGTTTAGTACCTACAAGCAGGTTTCGGAATCAGAGAGGCCTAGGTTCAAATCCTGGCTCTACCATTTCCTACTGTGTGACCTCGGGCACAAGAGTAAAGCTGTTTAAGCTTTTGTTTCCTCCACTGCAAAGGTGGCTAAACACCTCCTCAGTGGGTTGTCACAGGAATTAAGTCAGATGAAAGGCATTGAGGACATAGGCAAGAAACCCAGCAGATGGAAGCTTCTTCGTGCCCTTTCCTGACCTTTCCTTTCCTTTGCTAAGACTGAACCCCCAAATGAAGCATTGCATGGAAGCTAGGCTGGAGGCGGGCACCCAGCCCTAGAGTGAGTGAGTGGTGAAGATTTCCCCACCCCGCCTCGGGTTCAGAGCAGTGGTCTTGCGGAATTTGCCCAACACAACAGGTACAAATTCATAGTCACAGAGTGAGCTGTGCAGGAAAGGCAAATAAAAGTGCAAAAGTGACTCTGGAACACTCAGCAGGACAGCTGGGGCAGGGGAGTGGTGGGAGAGGTGGTGTTCAGGGTGAAATGTGGGGTGGGATGACATGCACTGGGCTTTAAATGCCCTGCTCAAGGGCTGTTTGTTCCCAGACAATGGGGAGTCATGAGAGGTTTGGGAGTGAGGGAGTGGTGAGATCTGAGTTACTTTGGAATTACCCTCTGGCCTTCAGGAGTCATTCAGCATGAGGGCAGAGATGGGAGGGAGGAGAAGGGGACTGGCAAGGAGGAGGGAGGTGGAAGAGCTGTTTCGTAGGCAGAAAGAAAGTGCCCTGATGGGACGTAGAGGTTCAGGAAGGCAGGATTTATGCTGAGGTTATATCAGGAGTGGCAATGCCATCCGGCCCACATACTGGAATCCAAGATTTATTCCATATGTGTGTCTGAGGTTAGGGGAGGCGCTTTTGAGTACGTTAGAGCCTATAAGTCCAGTTCATTGTAACTTTCCTTTCACACGGAAGCCCTCACGTCGTTAAGGCGCTGGTGGAAAAAGAAACCCCTGCCCTGGGCCCTCCTTCCAGGGGTCTTCGCTCCCACCAGCCTCAGTGCAGGTCAGACCTCAACTGGCTCCCACCCAGATGGTGGCTCTCTGTTTCTGTCCCCTGCAGGCTCCTCTACGTGCTCCTTTGGGAGAAGCAGATGCCTTGGATGACATCTGTTAGAAAACTTGGATGGGCCTTGGCTGGGCGCGGTGGCTCACGCCTGTAATCCCAGCACTTCGGGAGGCTGAGGTGGGTGGATCACGAGGTCAGGAGATCGACACCATCCTGGCTAACACGGTGAAACCCCGTCTCTACTAAAAATACAAAAAATTAGCCGGGCATGGTGGTGGGCACCTGTAGTCCCAGCTACTCGGGAGGCTGAGGCAGGAGAATGGTGTGAACCCAGAAGGCGGAGCTTGCAGTGAGCCGAGACAGCGCCACTGCACTCCAGCCTCAGCGACAGAGTGAGACTCCATCTCAAAAAAAAAAAAAAAAAGAGAAAACTTGGATGGGCCCCTGGCATCCTGAGGAGTGCGTTTCAAACCGTCTGCAGTGAAGGACCAGTTTCTGAAACATTCCCAACCCATCACAGGTCACTGCTTTTGTAAAATACAACAAAGAATGAATTTCTAGAAAAATAGAATTAAAAAGACATGTAGAATATACCTCCCGGATTTTTATTATTAGATTACAGAGACATACATTTACTGTGTCAAATCGCTGTAACTTTTTAGCCTCCGTTTCCATAAGTATTGTGGACAGGTAACCATTTGTAGTCTGGAGGCCCCAGGGTAGCCGTGGCCAAGAGGGCAGAGCACGCCTTCCTCCTGCATTGGCGCCCTCCCTCCGTGGCCTCGCCCACCGGCTCTCGGGGCACGCTGACTCCTCTCTCACTAACACGCTCCACTTCGTCGCTCTGGGTTACACACTCACTTCAGCTTTCTCATGCTATTTTGTTTGTTTGTTTTTGTTTTTTTTTGATGGAGTCTCGCTCTGTTGCCCAGGCTGGAGTGCAGTGGTGCCATCGCAGCTCTCTGCAAGCTCCGCCTCCCAGGTTCACGCCATTCTCCTGCCTCAGCCTCCCGAGTAGTTGGGACTACAGGCGCTCGCCACCACGCCCCGCTAATTTTTTGTATTTTTAGTAGAGACGGGGTTTCACCGTGTTAGCCAGGATGGTCTTGATCTCCTGACCTGATGATCCTCCCGCCTTGGCCTCCCAAAGTGCTGGGATTACAGGTGTGAGCCACTGTGCCCGGCCTCTCATGCTATTTTATGCTCCCTCAGCTCCAGAATGCTCCACCCTGGCTACCATCCCTCCATATCTGCTGCAGCCACTGTGTATTGGGCGTATCCCAACTTCCATGATTTCAGTGAATCTGTGTAACAGAGCACTAATGTGTGTAATTACTTACACCTTTTATAAATTGGAGGAGGTCTGTGCTATCACTATAACAATTCTTGGCCAGGGAATGGTCACCTCTCTGGACCAGGAAGAGTTCCACACTGGATTTTTGCTGGAACTAGAGGGAAAGGAAGCTGGGCTGACTGAGCACAGTTCTGGGGATACCTGTGGCCATACATGGGGCTTCAAGGGGAGAGAGTGTCTGAGAGTGATGCCACACAGAGGAAAGGAAAGCCGAGAGATGCAGACAGACCCTGCTTCCCCGCAGTTTCTGGCCTTCCTTGCTGATGACGGTGGGTGCTGTGGGATGCCTTGCAGCTCCTCATTAAGGACAAAGAAGGGGCTCCCAGCTCTTGGGACTGCTGCCGGTGGGCGGTGCTCAGCTGTCATCCGTCTTTGGAACTGCCTCTGCTGATGACAGCTAACTCTCCCACGTCACGCCCCTTCCCAGGACAGCCAATAGCCCATGACATGTTGGCCTGGAGGTCTAACTTCCAGGCCTCTTTGCCCCAACTCAGGACAGCTCTGCAGAGTCATCTTAGCTTCAGAGGAGCTCCCCGCAGGGCTGGCTGAGCTCTTTACTACAACTGCATCATGGTTCAGTTGCCCTCTGCCCCATCCTGCTGCTGCAATCATCAGCCTGTTCCTAATATTATCAGCAGGGGGGAGAAAATACAGCTAGTTTCCTAGGAGAGAGGACCCCTGGAACATGAGGTGGAGCAGATGGGTGGAATCGTGGAAATAGAGCATGGGGTTATAAGGAGCCTCAAGGGGCCACCAGGTCCAGAACAGGAAGGGAAGAACTTCAAAATCTTGCCACCTGAGGAGCAGCTGGAGGAGCTGAAAATATTTAACTGGAGAAGTAAAGATGTATGGGGAATATGACAGCGGGCTTCACATATTTGACTGTAAATCAAGTAGAGGTTAGGTCAGACTCCTTCTGCTGGGTCTCCTGGCTTCTGCTCTTGACCACCTACGGTCCATTCTCACACCGTTTAGTAAGTCATGTCGCTCCCCAGCTTAAAACCCTCCCATCTTCTTTTTTTCTTGAGACAGAGTCTCGCTCTGTCACCCAGGCTGGAGTGCAGTGGCGCGATCTCAGCTCACTGCAAGCTCCGCCTCCCGGATTCATGCCATTCTCCTGCCTCAGCTTCCCAAGTAGCTGGGACTACAGGTGCCCGCCACCACGCCAGGCTAATTTTTTTGTATTTTTAGTAGAGACGGGGTTTCACCACGTTAGCCAGGATAGTCTCAATCTCCTGACCTCGTGATCCGCCTGCCTCGGCCTCCCAAAGTGCTGGGATTACAGGCGTGAGCCACTGCACCTGGCCTCCCCTGTCTTCTGGCTGCATGAATAGAACCTGAGCGACTTGCTGTGAGGCCTTTCATAATCTGCCCTCGTCTCTCTTTCCAACTTTATCTCCTGTGGTTCTTCCCTCACTTGCCCTTCAGGCCACACTGGCCTTCTCCCAGCTGATCCTTGAATGCACCAGGGTCTTTGCACCTGCCGTAGCCTTGCTTGTTCTTCTGTATGTTCCTCTATGAGCTCTTCATTTGCCCCATTCCTTTCTGTTGTTCAGTCTCTGATCAAAAGTCATTTCATAAGAAAGGCTTTGAGTTTTTACCTCATCCTGCTTTACAGTCTTCATAGCACTCTGCTCCCTGAAACAGTTTTGTGTCTTTGTTGGTTAAATGATTTTTTTTCTTATCTCCCCCACAAAGAATATAAACCTAAAGTGGACTGAGCTGTGTCTGTCCTGTTCACCACTGCAACCTCAGGGTGTGGTATGGTTTTGGCATACAGCAGGTGTTCAAAAACTATGTGTTGAGTGAAAGAATGAATGAACATGAGCCCAGAAATAGCTCTAGAGTCCAGAGAGCTGCCGTAGGCGGGCTCAGAGCCTTGCCTGTCCCTGGAGGCATGACGTGGAGGGAAACTGCCACTTAGGAAAGAACCAGCAAGTCAGTGGGAATATGGGGTTTGGAATCAGACAGATGAGGGTTTGAGTCTTTGTTCTGTCACTTCCTGCCTGGCTGCAGGCCTTGGACAGGTTATTTGACCTTGTTGGCCGGGCGTGGTGGCTCACATCTGTAATTCCAGCCCTTTGGGAGGCCGAGGCGGGCAGATTACCTGAGGTTGGGAGTTTGAGACCAGCCTGACCAACATGGTGAAATCCCATCTCTACTAAAAATACAAAAATTGGGCCAAGCACAGTGGCTCACGCCTGTAATCTCAGCACTTTGGGAGGCTGAGGTGGGTGGATCACGAGGTCAGGAGATTGAGACCATCCTGGCTAACACAGTGAAACCCCATCTCTACTAAAAATACAAAAAATTAGCTGGGCGAAGTGGCGGGGGCCTGTAGTCCCAGCTACTCAGGAGGCTGAGGCAGGAGAATGGTGTGAACCTGGGAGGCGGAGCTTGCAGTGAGCCGAGATCATGCCACTGCACTCCAGCCTGGACGACAGAGTGAGACTCTATCTCAAAAAAAAAAAAAAGAAAAGAAAAGAAAAGGAAAAGAAAGAAAAGCCTCAGTCCCTTCATCTGTAAAGACAGGGGTTTGATTAGAAGCCACCCCAGAGTGGTTCTGGATTGATTAAAGGCTGCTTCTGAAGCCCTGGGCAAGTGCCACACCCTTAGCAAGTGCTAAATAGATGTTTGCTGTTTAGTTTCCACACCAGGCCCCCGGGGCCACAGGAGCTGGGGGAGGTGTTTAAGGAAGGACCATGCTACTGCAATCCCTCTCACATACACCACTTGGCTTTTGTTTTTCTTTTTGTGTTTTTGTTAGAGACACACTCTCACTCTATTGCCTAGGCTGGAGTGCAGTGCTGTGATCACGGCTCACCGCAGCCTCGACCTCTTGGGCTCAAGTGATCCTCCTCCTTCAGCCTCTCCAGTAGCTGAGACTACAGGCATGCGCCACCACTCCTGGGTAATTTTTAAATTTTTTTAGAGACAGTGTTTTCCTTATGTTGTCCAGGCCGCTTTTAAAATTCCTGGGCTCAAGTGGTCTGTCTGCCTCGGCAACCCAGAGCATTGGGATTACAGGTGTGTGCACTGTGCCTGGCCTGTTTTTCTTTCCTGTGGCACTAACCGCCCCCACAGAGGGGAAAGTAAGCAGTGGAGCCCTGGGTTGAGGGCGGCTGTTGTAGGGGCAGGGACTGTCCACACTGTTACTTCTCCACTGCCCGCCTCCAACATAACCCCATCGTGGGAGCTGGGTGAGGAAATGCATGAGCACTGATTCTTCGCAGGATTTCGAGTGTTACACATGTGGTAATACTGCTCACATCACTTGAATCTGCAATCCCATGTGAAGTTGGAGTATGTGGCAAGAAGCAACTCTGCGAGGGTGGTGGGTGGAGGAGGGAGGGGCCCAACCCACAGGCCAGGAACCCATGTGAGGTGGCCGCCTTCCTCTGTCTCTTGCTAATACCTGGGTGATGGGCTTTATGCATCTTGACCCAGAAAAGAGCGAGTCACAATCGACCAATATGATGGAGGGGATATCACTGCACACCAGGCAAATACAGGCTCAGCTGCCAATTCCCACATCCCTCTAGCCCCTTTTGATGGCCAGGGAACTTTCTTGCTTCTGTTCACATGAAAACAACAGTTGGCCCTACCCATGTAACGAAGCAAACACTTACATACTGTGTACTTACTACATGCTGGGCACTGTTCTTAAACACTACCAGCACTGCCTGTATAATTCTCCCAGCAACCCTATGAGGTGGCTACAATCATTAGCCCCAGTTTACAGATGAGCCAATGGTTGCTTGGTGAGGTTTAGCCAATTGCACAGGCTTGCACAGCCAGTAAGTGGCCAGGCCAGGGTTTGGACCCAAGCCATGCAGCCCCAGAGTCTGTGCACTTCACCACAATGCGACGTGGCCTAGTCCCAAGGGGAATGGCTTGCCTTGTAGGCAATGAGCTGCCCATCATCGTGGGTGACAAGCAGAAGTGACTGAGCTAGACAGGGGTCTCCTCCACGTATTCAGTGTGTCCCCTGTGTGTAGCTCTGAGCTAAGCACTCTGCCAATGCCATCTCATTTCAGCCCGATGACACCACTGCCAGATGGAACCATTATTCCACTATATGGATGAACAAACTGGGTTTACAGAGATTAGGTAACTGGTCCGAGATCTCTGGCTGCTGAGGGCTGGAGCTGGGACTCAAACAAGTTTGCTTAATGCAGATCCCAAGCTCTTCACCTCTTATCAGGGATGGTGTCCAATGAGGGTTGGCTGGACTAGATGACTTTTACGGTCCTAGCCAATCCAAGATCCTGAGGGACTGAGAGTCTGGCAAGTAAAGGGGCACACTCCCCTAGTTACTAGCTCTAGCTCTCCCCTAGTAACTAGTTACTATGCCAAAAATACTAGTCATCACATTTCAGTTCTTTTTTTTTTTTTTGAGATTGAATCTCGCTCTGTTGCCCAGGCTGGAGTGCAGCGGCAGGATCTTGACTCACTGCAACTTCTGTCTCCCGGGTTCAAGCGATTCTCCTGCCTCAGCCTCCTGAGTAGCTGGAATTACAGGTGCACACCACCATGCCCGGCTAATTTTTTATTTTAGTAGAGATGGGTTTCACCATGTTGGCCAGGCTGGTCTTGAACTCCTGACCTCAAGATCTGCCCGCCTCAGCCTCCAGTTTGTTTGTTTTTCTTTTTTTTTTTTTTTTTTGAGATGGAGTTTTGTTCTTGATGCCCAGGCTGGACTGCAATGGTGCCATCTCTGCTCACTGCAATCTCCGCCTCCCAGGTTCAAGCGATTCTCCTGCCTCAGCCTCCTGAGTAGCTGGAATTACAGGCATGCACCACCATGCCCAGCTAATTTTTGTACTTTTAGTAGAGACGGGGTTTCTCCATGTTGGTCAGGCTGGTCTCGAGCTCCCAACCTCAGGTGATCTGCCCGCCTCGGCCTCCCAAAGTGAAGTGCTGGGATTACAGGTGTGAGCCAGTGAGCCGGGCCTATTTGAGTTTTTATGTTTAAGGATGTATTTCTCTTACTATTTTTTTTAACACAGGGTTTTTCCTGAAAAGTTGCCTGAGGAACAAAGAGTTAAATAAGACCCTTAAAGGATCAACTCTCTTTGCCAGGCATCTAAGTCCCCTCTGGGGCTTTGAGGAGACAGTCGCTGTCTTTCCTGGTGGTACCACCACCTTCCTTCATTCAACGCCGCCGCATCTGACAACCCTGGGCACAGGAATCTGCACCCCAGGTCTCCACGGTGAATCCAGCAGTCAATTTTCAGAGCTTGTCCTGCCTGCCCCATCCACACCGCTTGGCACATGGGTCAGCCCGCCTTTACTTACCTTCTTCATCTGGCTTCCCGGATGTCACATCTCTTGGTTTTTGGTTGGTTTTTCCAGTTGGCTTTTCCAATTTATACCTGCAGCATGGATCTCTCCTCTGAACTCCAGATACATAAATCTGTCTATTTGACATTGCCTTGGATGTCTAGAAGGCATTTCAAACTTAGCAGGTCCCACACTTAGCTCCTAATTGTCAGTCCTGCCTCCAGCACACGCCCCTCTCGGTGTTCCCCATCGCAGTCGAGGACAACTGCATTCTTCTAGTTTCTCAGGCCTCAAACCTTAGAATCATCCGAGACTCCTGTCTCTCACATATCTCATCTGTCAACGAATCCCATCAGCTCTACCTTCAAAATATGTCCAGAATCCACCACCTCCACTGCTAACACCTGGCTCACTATCTCCTAGTAACCTGGAGGGCACTGTCTTCAGTCTGATCTTCACACAGTAGCCGCAGTATGAAGACACAGGGTAGACCATGCCTCTCTTCTTCTCCAAACTCTCCAGTGGGTTCCTCCTAGTCAAAGTCAAACCTCACTTGGCCCTCTAGACCTCACCTCTGCATCCTCCCGCTGGCCTTATCTCCTCCACCTCTGACCCTTGCTAGCTCTATTTCAGCTCCACCGGTCTCCTGGCCATTCCCTGAACCTGAAACATGGTCTCCTACCCCAGGGCCTGTGCACTGGCTCTCCCGGTGAGGAAACCGCTCTCCTTCCCATCTCCACCGGCGCGTTGCATCCTTCACCTCTTTGCTCACATATCCCTTTCTCAGAGAAGCTTTTACTGAGGCCTCTGCTCACCCTCTTCTCCCCTCCACATTCCGTGTCTTCCTTTTCTATTTCGTTTCTCTCTATGGTACTTATGGCTTATGTAACAAACTAATCTATTGTTTATATATTTATTTTTACTGTTTCTCTGTGAAAACGTACACTCGAAAAGGGCAGGAGTTTTGTCTGTTTGGATCAGGCTCCACCCCTGGAAGGTAGGACAGTGTTCAGCACAGCAGGTGCTCAATAGGTGTTGTTTCGTGAATCAGCACATCAATTGCAGCATTGTGGCTACCAGGGGGTCAGGATGCGGGCGGTGGAGCCCTCTGGCCTTTGTGTGGTAGCCGAGGACTCTGTGTCAGCGACCGTTTTCCGGGAAACTTCCGGGCGAGACTCACATCTTGGAAATTCAAATACTCAATAGCTCTCGAATTCTAGGAATCTTGAGAAGAGGCCTGGATTAAGGATTCAGACGTGGGCCCTCAGATGGGTGAGAAACGGGGACTCTGTGTCTCCTAGCGGGGACAGAAGGGCCAGGTGACAGGCCAGGCAGAGTGGACGGGGCTTGGGCAGGGGGCGGGGGCAGGCAGCCACACGGGGCAGGAGCTGCAGAGCTAAAGCCAGGCCATGTGGACTGGCTGCGGGTTTCGCTGCCTAGCTGGTGGCATTGAGCAAGTTACTTAACCTTTCTGAACTTCCGTTTTATGATTTTGGAGGAAACAGTCATAGCTTTCTCTCTGGCAGAGTCCGATGGCCCGAGTCCCGCTCCACAGTGCGGGTGGAGGGCACGGAGGGGTGTGTGTGGGGGGCGACAGCCCAGGAAGACTAGGGGGCGGCAGGGCGCGTGGGGGCGGGGGTTGGGAGACCGCAGGGAGGATCCCCGACCTTGTCTGAAGATCCAAGCAGGCGGAGCCGCGGTCTGGTCCGCGGGGTAGGCGGGGCGCAAGAGTGTTCCCGGGGGCGGGGGGCCGACCCGCGTCTAAAGGTTTCCGCGATTCACCCGCCGGCGCCTGGCCTGGCCCAGTTGCACCACGAGCGCTGCGGACACTCGGGGCGGCAGTCGGTCTGTCAGTCCTCCCGCCAGGTCCCGCGGCCCGCACCTGCCGCCCGCACCTGCAGCTCCGCACCTGCGGCCAGTGCCTACTGCCCTCTCTTGCCGCCCGCACCTGCAGCCCCGCACCTGCCGCTTGCACCTGCAGCCCCGCGCTCTACCCGGTTCAAGCATGGCTGACCAGGCGCCCTTCGACACGGACGTCAACACCCTGACCCGCTTCGTCATGGAGGAGGGCAGGAAGGCCCGCGGCACGGGCGAGTTGACCCAGCTGCTCAACTCGCTCTGCACAGCAGTCAAAGCCATCTCTTCGGCGGTGCGCAAGGCGGGCATCGCGCACCTGTGAGTCGGGCCTTGGGCGGTGGGCCCCGTCCTGTCTGTCTGCCTGGGGAGCCTGCCCGGCGGGCTGACGTTGGGCCCTCTGAGCCTCCTGCCGTCAGCCTCTGTCTGTCCGTCTGATGTCTGAGCGCCTCTCTCGCTCTCTGTCTGGTAGCCCCTCTCTCCAGAAGCTGGCTCAGCCTCACTCAAGTCCTCATCTCCTCCCTTGACCTTGGAGGGGCCCACCTGGGGGTCCGTCTCACAGGTGTACACCTGATTCCATCTTGCATTCCTCTTCTCTGCCCTGAGCAGCCTGCCTCGTACCCCTCTCAGCCGGCCAAGTGTGGGCACCTGGCCTGCCCGTCATACCCGCCCTAGCCTCAGACAGGAAAGTGCTAGCTCAGGTGCCTTCCTTCCCCATTTCTTCTTTGTCCTCCTTCACTCTTTCTGCAATTAGGGACCCAAGTCAGGTTTCTAATCCAGTTATCTCTGACCTGAAACAAGACCTGTTAGGAGCGAGTGTCCCCCCCGCCCCCCCCGCAAGCAGGCTGGGAGGTCTCCTGTGTGTCCAGAGCCTTTAGGAGCAGCAGGGCTTGTGTGCAAAGGAGCTCCCGTGGGCTGCCCCTTGCTGGGACAGTTGCCATGCTGTGCCAGAAACAGGAAACACCCAGGGCTTCAAAACCCCTATCGATTTGCAATGATGGTGTGTGCAGCCTCTGCCCAATTAGTGGAAAGCTCAAAAGTGGTTTGTAGAATGGTTCTGAATGCGCTATGGAGTGCATCTCGAACGTCACTGGGCACAGGAATCATTTGGGGATCTTGGTAAGATGTGTGCCCTCCTTCCATAGCTCTGGGACAGGTCCTGAGATTCTGCATTTCTAAGAAGTTCTCCTGTGGTGGGTGCTGCCCATCAGATACTGTTTGTCTACTCATCACATTGTGAGTAGCAAGGGGTCAAGTGGAGTGGAGACTCAAAGGACCCCTTCTTGTGAGGTTTTTTGTAAGTCACACAACATCCTTTCGTTTGTGTTGGTGTGCACAGGTATTTTCTTTTTCTTTTCTTTTTTTTTTTTTTTTTGAGATGGAATTTTGCTCTTGTTGCCCAGGCTGGAGTGCAATGGTGCGATCTTGGCTCACCGCAACCTCTGCCTCCCAGGTTCAAGCGATTCTCCTGCCTCAGTCTCCCGAGTAGCTGGGATTACAGGCATGTGCCACCATGCCCAGCTAATTTTGTAATTTTTTTTAGTAGAAACGGGGTTTCTCCATGTTGGTCAGGCTGGTCTCGAACTCCCGACCTCCGGTGATGCCTTGGCCTCCCAAAGTGCTGGGATTACAGGCATGAGCCGCCGTGCGCAGGTATTTTCTAGCTAACTGATCCACACTTTTAACTGAAGTGTAACTGGGTTTTCAGATTGTCCATACACTTTACTAACATTCCCCGCACTTATGCACACTATAAAAATGACACATGATGGGCTGGGCGCGTAGGCTCTAGCCTGTCATCCCAGCACTTTGGGAGGCCGAAACAGGTGGATTGCCTGAGGTCAGGAGTTCAAGACCAACCTGATCAACATGGTGAAACCCCGTCTCTACCAAAAATTAGCTGGGTGTGGTGGCAGGCGCCTGTAATCCCAGCTACTCGGGAGGCTGAGGAAGGAGAATTGCTTGAACCCAGGAGGCAGAGGTTGCAGTGAGCCGAGATCGCATCATTGCACTCCAGCCTGCGCGACAAGAGCGTGACTTTGTCTTAAAAAAAAAAAAAAAAGACGCATGATGCTCAGAGCTGACCTGAACAAATACAACCCTGCTACTTGGGTTTGGAATGCATTTCTCCATTCTTAAAAACTCTTCTCCGCCCCGCATCCTGCAATCTAGATTCCTTTTCTTACTGGCAGGCTGTCTGGCTTTGGTCCCACAGTATGGACTGGTGGAGGTAATTCATGTAAAGGAGTGGTATGATCACATTTATTTTTGAATATTAAGCAGACATGTTAAGGAAGGTGATGACTCCATTACTGTTGCCTCTGGCCCCTCTTAATAATACATTCCTAAGGATTCTTATTTTAGAAACATACCCAGGTGAAATCTTAAGCTTTAATTTACAGCTAGTATAGGTGGCTCACAGCTTTAACTGCCTTTGAGGACCAGGGATATATTTTAAAAAGAGGGCTTGTCGACTGGGTGTGGTGGCTCACACCTGTAATCCCAGCACTTTGGGAGGCTGAGACGGGTAGATCACTCAAAGTCCAGGTGTTTGAGACCAGCCTGGCCAACATGGTGAAACCCTGTCTCTACTAAAAACACAAAAATTAGCCAGGCATGGTGGCAGGCGCCTGTAATCCCAGCTACTTGGGAGGCTGAGGCAGGAGAATTGCTTGAACCCGGGAGGCGGAGGTTGCAGTGAGCCCAGATCGTGCCACTCTACTCCAGCCTGGCGACCGAGTAAGACTCTGTCTCAAAAAAAGAAAAAAAAGGGCTTGTCATGTCTGATATTGTTTAAAAAATGTGTCAGTACCTTTCACACCCCTAGAGAGACTGAGAAATGTAAGATGTGTTTTGAGGTGTCCCACTGTCTAAGTAACCTTAGACAGTGGGACCTTGGATAGTGAGATTTTGATGGTGGGGCCTGGATGAAGCATGTTAATTTTGGCTACGTAAGGTATGCGTTTTATTTATTTATTTATTTTGAGATAGAGTCGCACTCTGTTGCCCAGGCTGGAGTGCAGTGGTGTGATAATGGCTCACTGCAGCCTCAACCTCCCAGGCTGAATTGGTGCTCCCACCTCAGCCTCCCCTGTAGCTGGGACTACAGGCATGTGCCACCATGCCGGATAATTTTTGTGTTTTTGTAGAGATGGGGTTTTGTTATGTTGCCCAGGCTGGTCTCAAATTCCTGGGCTCAAGCGATCTGCCCACCTTGGCCTCCCAAAATGCTGGGATTACAGGTATGAGCCACTGTGCCTGGCCAATATGTGTACTTTTATACTAGATAGTTGTGAATACCAGGTTTTAAAGAAATACTATGTTGCACTCATTGACAAAAATTTAAACCATTCAAAAGAATTCAAGGGAAGAGTGAAACCCACCCCATATATATCCCATGGGGTATCCACTGCAAATAATTTACTGCTTATTTTTCCGGATACTCTTTTACAGTCATATAAGTTTACACATGAACACATATTTACATATGCCTATAATAGCAGACAAAATGGGATCACAATACACATTTCTGTAGTTTGCTTTGTTATTTAACATTATTCAAGAAACATCCATTAATATCGGGACATCTACATCTACCTCCTTTTAACTGCTGTGTGCTGCTCCCCTGCACACATCATGAGGTATTGAAGTTTTTCTCTATTTTGGGGCACTTTGGTTTTTACTAGCCTTTGGGTATTACAGTGCTGTACCCTTGGAACTGGTGTGCATGCCTGGTTGTTGGGGTAGCTGACAGGACTAGATGCTGGACACTGAGGTGATCTTGTGGGAAGTTCAGCGTTTGGCCATTTTCAGTATCACATGTCATCAGGCAGGTAGCATGATTCTCAAGCCAGGCCCCCAACCTACATTCATTCCAGGCATTGAAATCCAGAAAGAAAAACCAGCATTCCTGCAAAGATCTTGTTAGTGCTGAAGACCGGACCTAGAAGAGCATGTACCCAGAGGGACGGGGTGATTGCAGATTTGCAGGAACCTCACTGGAGCCAGTTTAGGGAGCTCACCCAGGATCATTATGGAAACATCAGGAGTTTAAGCACAGAGCCTGGTGTAACCTAAAGTTGCTATTGTAGTCACTTTCATTGCTCCTGTTAAAATGTTCATGGAATCATTGAGTTTTAGACTGAAAGAGACTCAACAGTCAGCTAGTCTATCACCTCCTCATACAGAAGAGGACCCTGAGACCGAGGAAGATGAGATGACTTGGCCTGTGGCCGGGATCTCAGGAACCCCGGATTGGAGGTCTTTTGGCCACACTACACATCTCTTCCTTTATTTTTTAGAAATCAATTAGAATTCACCAAACTCTAAATCTCATCTATTAGTTAACTGGTTTTTTTTTTTTTTTTTTTTTTTTGAGACAGGGCCTCACTCTCACTCAGGCTGGTGTGCAGTGGTGCAATCTCAGCTTACTGCAACCTCTGCCTCCCGGGTTCAAGTGATTCTCCTGCCTCAATTTCCCGAGTAGCTGAGATTACAGGCGTACACTACCATACCTGGCTAATTTTTGTATTTTTAGTAGAGATGGGATTTTGCCAAGTTGACCAGGGTCGAACTGGCCTCAAGTGATCCACCTGCCTCGGCCTCCCAAAGTGCTGGGATTAGAAGTGTGAGCCACTGCGCCCGGCCTAATTTTTGTATTTTTAGTAGAGACAGGGTTTAGCCATGTTGGCCAGGCGACATTTTTGATGTGAATTCAGGCTTAGATACCAAGGAGTCATTGCTTTGGGCAAATGTGCCCTGGGAGACTTCCCTCTGGGCTTCTGGCTCCCTCCATCCACTCTTGGGAGAGAAACTGTGCAGATCAGAACAGTCTGCAACTTGAAGTCAAGCTGATGAAGTTGTGGTTCAAATGTCAAATTCGAGTGTTGTCCACTTTGCATTCCTTTGGGAGAAAGTGGTGCTCCAGTGGCTTCAGGTTTTTTGTTTTGTGGAGTTGACTTCCCTTTGTATCCATTTCCAAATCACTGACTGAAGAATTCACTGATTTCATTCAATTAACAAAATATTACTGAACATCCACCATGTACAAAGTTCCAGAAGACGAGAACAACACAGAGTTTACTCTGTAGGAAAAAATATTTGTATCGTTCTAACACGCAATAGAGGTTTTGAAAGATGCTTTCTTTTTCTTTCTTTTTTTTTTTTTTGAGGCAGAGTCTCGCTCTGTTGCCCTTGCTGGAGTGCAGTGGGGCGATCTCAGCTCACTGCAACCTCCGCCTCCCGGGTTCATGCCATTCTCCTGCCTCAGCCTCCCATAGCTGGGATTACAGGCGCCCACCACCAAGCCCAGCTAATTTTTTTGTATTTTCAGTAGAGACGGGGTTTCTCCATGTTGGTCAGGCTGGTCTCAAACTCCTGACCTCAGGTGATCTGCCCGCCCCGGCCTCCCAAAGTCCTGGGATTACAGGCGTGAGCCACTGCGCCCGGTCTGAAAGATGCTTTCGCGGTGGCTCACGCCTGTAATCCTAGCGCTTTGGGAGGCCGAGTCGGGCGGATCACGAGGTCAGGAGATCGAGACCATCCTGGCCAACACGGTGAAACCCCGTCTCTACCAAAAAATACAAAAAAATTAGCCGGGCGTGGTGGCGGGCGCCTGTAATCCCAGCTACTTGGGAGGCTGAGGCAGGAGAATGTTGTGAATCTGGGAGGCGGAGCTTGCAGTGAGCCGAGATCGCGCCACTGCACTCCAGCCTGGGCGACATAGGGAGACTCCGTCTCAAAAAAAAAAGAAAGATGCTTTCATAGAGGTGCCAAAAATACGATTCATGGTGAAGGACTGTGGAGCGCCAAGAATGGGCACGTGCAGGGGAAGCAAAAGGCCCGGCGGCTGGACCGCAGTTCAGGCTGGAGGTCACAGGGGGAGGAGTCCTGAGGTGGGAAAGTGTTTCTGGAAAAGTTGCCCACTCAATTTGACCAAAGCATGGAGTACTCATGGTAGGGCGTTCGTGGATGTGAAATTGTGGGTACATTGGGGAAGCATCAAATGGCAAGGGTGAACACTTTACACTTTTGGGGGTATAGAAAAGGAGAGATCAAGGATTTTGAAAGTTTTTTGAGTGGGGCAGTTGCGTGACTGGAGACAAATCTGGAGAAGGTGTGGCTGGAAGTATATCGGAAGAGCGAAAGATAGGATATGGGAAAACCAGTGGCAAGGGGGAGCCGTCAGTTGAGTAGCCAGCAGAGCTGCAGCCTTGGAGGGGAGAGGAAGGATTTGGAAGAAGTCTGAGCATGGATTAGATGAGAAGGGCTGTGAGGGAGTTTCTGAAATCGCTGGTCCTAGCAATTGAATGCAGAGCCCATGCCACCACAAAACAAAACAACACAAAAACAAAAACAAGGAGGAGCTGGTTTTTAGTCTGGGGAAGGAGGGAAGATGATCCCAACATTTTGGAAACGCTGAACTTGAGATGTTAGAGGGTGATCTGTTGGGAGATGCTGTCCAGCTGCAGGCTGTTTTGCCTGTCTGTTTTGGCACGCTTGCCCTGAGGCAGAGAAAAGAGGAGGAGATCTGGACCAGTTTAGCAGACAGGAATGTGCAGGGATTCAGAGCACGTTTTGGAGAGAGATGGAGCCAAGCTTAGATTCCTGGCCCTGCCATTCAACGTCTGTGAGGATTGGGCTGTTGATGTGACATCACTGAACCTGTTTCTCCAATTGTTAAGATGGAGACAGCCTCAGAGACTCGTAGGAGGATCAATTAAGTTTACTAATTGGGTACCAATGTTATTAATATCATTGTTTTCCTGAAGGCTATATTTCTTTATTTTTCAGACAGAGTCTAGCTCTGTCACCCAGGCTGGAGGGCTGTGGTGTGGTGTGATCTCGGTTCACTGCAACCTCCACCTCCAAGGTTCAGGTGATTTTCCTGCCTCAGCCTTCCAGGTAGCTGGGATTATAGGTTCCTGCCACCACACTCAACTAATTTTTGTATTTTTAGTAGAGACGGGGTTTCACTATGTTGGCCAGTCTGGTCTTGAACTCCTCACTTCGTCATCCACCCGCCTCAGCCTCCCAAAGTGCTGGGCTTACAAGTGTGAGCCACCGTGCCTGGTCTATTTTATTTTCATTTTTTTGTAAACTTTTATTTGCATGTTTTGTTCTTCATTTCTTAGCAGTAGCCTGTATGCTATCAGCAGGGAGAGAGTCCAGGCTAGCATGTTACATATTAGAACAATGTTGCACCCAAGAGTGGCTGCAGGAAATGTCCTCCCATCAGACTCATATTATGTCCAGAAGAGTTACTTTTATATATGGGGTCCTCTCAGCTGTTTGACAGAAGAAATAATAAAGAGCTTCAGATTTCGTTTTAGAATGACACGTCAGCTAATACACGTTTAGGCTTATCTTCCAATTTGCAGTTTTTGGCATTAAGCTTTTAGAAACTTTACCAGATTTATTTTATGTTTCTTGAATTCTCTTCTCCACATGACCAAGGAGTGAAATTGCAAGTTTGTTTGCATAAAAGAAGCGCAGACAGCCACGTTCCATCCTGTTTACCAGTTTAGGCCCCGGTGAATGCAAGCAGAGGCAGGTATTTGTGACCTTTGAAAGCAGCTCTCACTAGCACCTCTTCAATGTATTTCTGAACCTTTGGATGTTCCTGGCTGGGCAAATGGTTGATTACCATGGAATCAAGCAGTAACAAGCCAGTCTTACCTTTGACTTTAGTGATAAGGATTAAGTAATAATCTCCCTCCCTTTTGGTTGAGCTGCGTGTTCCGAGCCCGAGTCTGGTTCTTCTGTGTGCTGTGTGAAGTGTTGCTGCTGCAATCGTGTTACTCAGTCACAGTGACTTCGGGAGGAGATGGTCCTAAGTCAGCAGATCCAGGCAGCCCTGGAGGGCTCTAGTTCTGTCAGCCCCTGGCTCCAATCCTTGTGTCCTTCAGTGTTTTAGAGATGCTGTGGAAGGCAGCCTCCCCCAATCATCACAAATCTGCATGTTCAGTGTCACAAAGTCCATGGCTGTGAAATGGTTCATTCTGTTTTAGAAACCATTTGTAAACTTGGAAAACAATGCTAAAATTTAATTAAAATATCCAAGGATTTCAAAATACTGGCCACATTAATCTATGCTTCTAAGGTGTTCTCCATCATATGAATTAAAATGACTTAGAGCTCTTTAAATTTTTCAGTGGGATTTACAGTAAAAGTAAAGAAGAGATATTATAGGCAGTTTCTCCAGTTGAGTTCTGCTCCCCAAACTCCAGGAAGAGCTCCTTCGTATCTCTGGGGCTGGAAAGGGAAAGGACACAGAGACTTCAACCCTGCCTGGTGCTTTTCCACTTTACTTGGGCTGCAGGGCCAACTAATTTGAATAAAATTGAAGTGAAATGTCAAGAACATCTCAAATAAATAATATTCCCAGTGAGATTTTATCAAATGTAAACTTGGAGCACTTTTTTCTTCTTTTGCCAGTTCCTTATTGGCTGTCCTCCAAGAAGTTGCCTGCAAAACTGGTTTAGAGATACCTCCCCTTCCCCCAATCCCCAGATCAACCCACACTTACTTAGTGGATGCCTGCGGGGCTCTATTGTCATGTGGCTGCCTTGGTGGGGAGTACTATGAACCAGGTGCACCGCGCGCATTATCCATGATCCCCACAAACATGGCCAGAAACAGCCACTCAGGGGCTTTGCACAACTTGATGTCACATCATCAGTAAGAAGCAAAGGCAGAATTTGAACTGAGGTCTTTCTGGTGCTGAGTTCTTGCTTCTCCGCATGGTTGTGTTATGCCAAGGGAGCTAGAGGTGGAAACGGTAATATTTCTTGCACACTTGCCTATGCACCAGGCACTTTTCTGACCACTTTACCTGTATCAACTCAGTTATGCCCCCTCTCTGTAGACTATGAAGCAGACACACTACATTCCCATATTGCAGATGAACCAGAGGTCACAGATGCTAAGTGACTTTCCCCGGCTGCTGAGCATGGAGCAGAGCTGGGATTGGAACCCTGGTGGTGTAGAGTGCCAGCCTGGGGCCTTGACCATTACACTCTAGTTTCCTGAGGAACCGGGTGAAAGGCCATTGCATTTGTCTAACGCTAAGTTTGCACAGCAAACACACTTTTACCAAGAAGCTATGCTAATCTGGAGGGTTTTTTTCAGGAGTTGGGAGTGTTGGATGGTAGAGGTTATGCAGGCAGGCATTACCAATACCACTGGGTCTAATGGAGTTTATGATCTTAGGAATTCTTGGATCCTTTTATTACTCTCTAAATTTATTCATCCATTTACATTGAGAACTTACTATGTGCAGGCATTGTTCTAGGTGCTAAGGATACATGGTGAACAAAATATTCTTTTTTCCAGGATCAAGACTGATAGGTCTTTCTTCCTCCAGAGGCACATTCAGATGTGCCATGTTTATGTAAGAGTTTCGGTCCCCTTGGAGTATACACTCGGCATTTACCTGGTGCCCTGTACTTTTGCTTCAGACCTCACTAGAAAAACCTCTGGCTGCCTGTAAGGTTCTAATTTCGAATGTCCCAGGTAGAGGGCTGTGCCATCCTCAGGATGGCCCAACAGGTGAGGTGAGCTCAGAGGCCCTCCACTCTTGGCATTCTTGTACAAAGCAGGTTGGGCCCAGGCCTCTTAAGATCGAGGTTTTAGGTAGCATTTCCAGGGGTGGCAGCCCTGTCTGTGCCCTCCCTCCCAGTGGCTCTTAGAAGAGAGTGGGCCATTCCTAAGGCCATGAAGACAATGCCCCATAAAGGTCATGCTTCCATGCCTGAGGGCTCTCCCGGTCCTCTCTTGGTGGGGGTTGAGAGACTAGACCCTCCCCCCTACCTCCCCAGGAGTGGGGGTTATGTGATGTCACCAATGCTGGTGTCTCACTCTTGCACACATTTTCCAGGCTCCTGGCACCATGGAAGATCTCCTGGAGGCTGGTGCCTTCAGCTTCAGGCTCTGATCCTTCCTTGTTGCTTTAATTATCCGTCTTACCACCCAAATCAATTAACAGGCTTCCTAGTTAACAGGCTTCCATTTTCTAGGCCAAGGCTTGAGAGGTGAATTAGTTCTTCCAAGCAGCTGTGGTTTTATTTCCAGAAGCGCCCCCATATCAACAGCTGTGCCTATTCAATGGCCATGGATCTGTGAAGGGCACGAGCAGGACTCATGCTAATCAGCTCTGCTTTTTCTATATTAAAAAAAACCTTTGGCCAGGTGTGGTGGCTCACGCCTGTAATCCCAGCACTTTGGGAGGCCAAGATGGGCGGATCGTGGGGTCAGGAGTTCGACACCAGCCTGGTCAACATGGTGAGACCCTGTCTCTACTAAAAATACAAAAATTAGCCAGGTGTGGTGGCAGGTGCCTGTAATCCCAGCTACTCGGGAGGCTGAGACAGGAGAATCGCTTGAACCCGGGAGGGGGAGGTTGCAGTAAGCCAAGATCTCGCCATTGCACTCCAGCCTGGGTGACGGAGCGAGACTCTGTCTCAAAACAAACAAAAAACAACAACAAAAAGCCTTTAATTGAAATTACCCAATAGATTGCATGTAATATATACTTGTTTTATAAACTTGATACAACATAGAACGAGATTTTAAAGTATTTAAATATAGTGTGAATCATGATTAGTGTTTCCTCATCATTGTTCTCTTTGCTATTCTCAAGAAAATCTCAGCTTCAACTTGGATATATGGAAACCAAATATCCGGGTCTCTGGAACAGTGCAATTTAAAAGCATGTCCTAGAATTTTCAGCCGTGGTTTGAAAGCCACCTATTGATTCACACATGCCTGGAAGTAGCTGACATTTGTGCAACACTGTGCCCTGATTCGGCTGGGGCTCTGGGGTTCTATGCAGCCCGTTTGGCCTCCTTGCTGTGAGGTGCGGGGCATTTAAATTCTGTTGCCAACAGTAGCGGCCAGTGGTGCTCTGGCCTCAGCAGGTGCCCTGTTCTCTTGTTTGCTGCCTGCTACTTCTCAAGGAAGGCCTCAAGCCACTTTGCTCCTTATGCTCTGACATTTCTCCTCTTAGGCCCAATACAGAAAAGGTGGAGAAAACCTCACAATGTTGCCTTTCCCCTCTATGATAAATTTTTTTTTTTTTTTTGAGACAGAGTCTCTGTGGCCCGTTCTAGAGTGCAGTGGTGTGACCTTGGCTCACTGCAACCTTTGCCTCCTGGGTTCAAGCAATTCTTGTGCCTCGGCCTTCCAAGTAGCTGGGATTGTAGGCATGTGCCACCACACCTGGCTAATTTTTGTATTTTTAGTAGAGGTGGGCTTTGACCATGTTGGCAGGCTGGTCTCGAACTCCTGTCCTCAAGTGATCCACATGCCTTGGCCTCCCAAAATGTTGGGATCACAGGCATGAGCCACTGTGTCTGGCCACCTCTGTGATAACTTTTATTCAGAAAACATTTCCTTGGCAGATCAAGTCACTGGCTCAATCAAAATTGCCCTTCCTGCCCCTGCATGATCAGCCCCCAACTGCTACTGTTGACTCCTTTTCTGGCAGTGGGGCTGAGGGGCAGAGCAGGGGAGGGAGGTAGGGGAAGGGAGCTAGGCCTGGAGGTTTACATCTGGCTCAGTTCAGCCCATGTCTTGGCCATTTCACCTGTTCCTCTCCTTTAATTGTAAGGCACAGTTGGCCTGGGGAGGGCTTTTTTGGACAGGGTCGTGTGATGGTTTCCCATATCCCTCCAGCCTCATTTGCTGCCTTTTCCCATCCCTAGAGAATGGCAAATTGGGAGCTGATCTAGAAGGGAGCTGGGTGGTGTGTGCAAGGCTCCAGTCGAGTCCCACGGAGGGTAGTTGGTGTCATCACCTCTGGTTCACAGCTGCCTCCTGGAAACGCCTTCCAAGGCAGGATGGTCTTCTGGATCCACTGGGCTCTCCTGGAGTCTTCCTAGAACTTCAGACGGGGGATGGCAGCCGCTGCATTCGCTAGGGCTCAGGGCTGTCTCACCAGGAGCTGAGACCCACACCTGCTATTGACTCTAGGCTGCTGAGCCCGCCCTCTCTAGGTGGTGATTGGAATATAGAGTGAATGCTCTTGTTAATCTATCCTTCAGGGCCATTCAGGAATGATGACTGATCAGCAGGCAGACATTTATAATTTCTTTTCTTTTTCTTTCTGAGGTGGAATTTCACTCTTTTTTGCCCAGGCTGGAGTGCAGTGGTGTGATCTCGGCTCACTGCAACCTCCGCCTCCCGGGTTCAGGTGACTCTCCTATCTCAGCCTCCCTACTAGCTGGGATTACAGGCGCCCGCCACCACGCCCGGCTAATTTTTTTTTTTTTTTTTGAGATGGAGTTTCACTCTTGTTGCCCAGGCTGGAGTGCAATTGCGTGATCTCAGCTTACTGCAACCTCTGCCTCCCGGGTTCAAGCGATTCTCCTGCCTCAGCCTCCTGAGTAGCTGGGATTACAGGCACATGCCACCATACCCAGCTAAGTTTGTATTTTTAGTAGAGACAGGGTTTCTCCATGTTGGTCAGGCTGGTCTTGAACTCCCAGCCTCAGGTGATCCACCTGCCTCAGCCTCCCAAAGTGTTGGGATTACAGGTGTGAGCCACTGCGACTGGCCAATTTTTGTATTTTTAGTAGAGATGGGATTTCACCATGTTGGCCAGGCTGGTCTCGAAATCCTGAACCTCAGGTAATCCGCCTGCCTTAGCTTCCCAAAGTGCTGAGATTACAGGTGTGAGCCACTGTGCCTGGCCAGACATTTAGTATTTCTAAGGGGGCTTCTGAAAACTTATGGAGAAAATAAACTGCATGTGATCTTCAGCTAATTAAGTCCTTGAGCTTGTTTCTGAGGAATTTTTCCTCTCTCAGAATCACGGAAGCCTTGCCTGCTTGCCACTTTTCATTGACCTGTGTAAATGTGTTACTCGGGGAAATCTCAAGCCCTTCTTAGGGTCCCCGAGGTGTGACGGGGGAGGCTTGATGGAGCCTGCGTCTGGTCCTGACTGCTCATCATGGCTGTGCAGCCCTGACAGGACTAAGCCAGGGTGGTGGGACCAGCACGGTGTGGCCAGCTTAACTCACTGCGGCTCAGAGGAGACCTGGAGACATGAGGGACACCTGGACATTGTTGCTATCAACATGGCAGCATAGTTGGCTGGCAGCCGGGGGAATTTATTCTCTTGACCCACTGTTTCTACCTTAGGATCCTTTTCCTGTGCTTTTCTGGAAGCTTTTCCTAACGCCAGGATTAACCAGGAGAAGCCTTCCCTCAAGATATCTTAGCAAAGTTATAAAGTACGTGAACATTGAGTTGGAGCAGCCCAGAGTAATCTATCTTCATGTGTTCTCTTACACTTCAAAGACAACTGGAGGATAGCTGGAGAAGGGTCCTTCCTGCTAGAAGAGGGGAAGGACGCTTACTGGGGGTAAAGAGAAGAGGCGTTCCCAAGAAAGGGGCAGGAACCAGCTTAACGCATCTGTCACCACCCAGCGGGGTCATGGAAACGCGAAGCAGGTGGAGCCCATTTCCTGCCGTGGTTTGGTGGACGCAGGCAGCCCCATCCATGCAGGTGCTAAAGGCCCTGTGTGGCTTGGTGGATGCAGGCAGCCCTGTCCATGGAGGTGCTGAGGGTCCTGCGTGATTTGGTGGATGCGGGCGGCCCTGTCCTTGCAGGTGGTGAGGGTCCTGCGTGGTTTGGTGGACGCGGGCAGCTCCGTCATTCTTTCTTTTTGACGGAGTCTCGCTCTGTCGCCCAGGCTGGAGCGCAGGGGCGCCATCTGGGCTCACTGCAAGCTCCACTTCCCGGGTTCACGCCTTTCTCCTGCCTCAGCCTCCCGAGTAGCTGGGACCACAGGCGCCTGCCACCGTCCCCGGCTAATTTTTTGTATTTTTAGTAGAGACGGGGTTTCACTGTGTTAGCCAGGATGGTCTCGATCTCCTGACCTCGTGATCCGCTCGCCTCGGCCTCCCAAAGTGCTGGGATTACAGGCGTGAGCCACTGTGCCCGGCCCCAGCCCTGTCAGTTCTGTGGCGAGGGCCTGCATGGCTTGGTGGATGCGGGCAGCCCCGTCAGTTCTGTGGTGAGAGCCCCGCATGGCTTGGTGGATGCGGGCCGCCCTGTCCATGCAGGTGCTGAGGACCCTGTGCCATGCGTCCTTGCAGAGTGCTGTGTGGCCCCACAAGCCTACCATCGTGAACGGTGTACCACCCCTTCTGTGGCCCTCAGCTTCTCTGTGTTGGTTCCTCTGTGTGCCAAGGGTAGGAGCCATCTGAGACTCTTGGAATGGCAGTGGGGAGGGCTGGCTGGTGGTCATGATTTGCTAAGTCACCCACCCTGACACTGACTGTAACCTCTCGTAGGTCTGGGCATGATCTGGGGCAACAGAAGTTGCTTCTCACTTTAATCTGGCCAACTGCTGAGTCTGCAAGCTCGGAAAATGCAGTCCACTGCATGAGGAAATAGCCTACTTTCATTTAATCCCACAAAACAAGTCACGGTGCCCCTGTGTTTGGGACACAGTTACAGGATAACTTGTCTGTCTCTGGGTGGTGGGGCTGGCCCAGGAGTACTGCAAATCAGAGCCATCCTTACAAGGACTTTCTCCCTCCGGTCTCCTCTCTCTGAATTTAGATGCTTCCTGGATCCAGGCATCACAGGAAAAAGACCTCAGGCTTTACAAAATTACTTGTATAAATGTGCACATAGTACCCACTCCCTTCCATTTGGAAATATGTGAAAAATGTACTTACTGTTTCCTTTGGCTAAATTGCTAACAAACAGCTCTTCTCTGGAGTCATTACTAGCTGACTTATTTGGGCTTCTTTAGGGCTTTTTCATTTCCTCCCATTCTTTCTTTTTTTTATTTTTTTGAGACAGCGTTTCGCTCTTGTTGCCCAGGCTGGAGTGCAATGGTGCGATCTCGGCTCACTGCAACCTCCGCCTCCTGGGTTCAAGGGATTCTCCTGCCTCAGCTTCCCAAGTAGCTGGGATTACAGACATGTGCCACCACGCCCAGCTAATTTTTATGTATTTAGTAGAGATAGGACTTCACCATATTGGTCAGGCTGGTCTCAATTTTCTGACCTCAGGGGATCCACCCGCCTTGGCCTCCCAAAGTGCTGGGATTACAGGCGTGAGCCACCGTGCCTGGCCCATTTCCTCCTGTTCTTTTTTTTTTTTTTTTTTGAGATGGAGTCTCGCTTTGTCGCCCAGGCTGGAGTGCAGTGACGCAATCTCGGCTCACTGCAAGCTCCGCCTCCCGGGTTCACGCCATTCTTCTGCCTCAGCCTCCTGAGTAGCTGGGACTACAGGTGCCCGCCACCATGCCCGGCTAATTTTTTGTGTTTTTAGTAGAGAGAGGGCTTCACCATGTTGATCAGGCTGGTCTCGATCTCCTGACCTCAGGTGGATCCACCCACCTCGGCCTCCCAAAGTGCTGGGATTACAGGCATGAGCCACCGTGCCCGGCCTATTTCCTCCCATTCTTACGAAAAACATTCAAAGTACCATTCAGCTTGAATGCCCCCCTAGAGATCTTCCTGACCATCTAAATTAACCATCTAGCCTCTCATCTCCCTCTCCTGTCACCTTGTTTTTGTTTTATGTCAGCGAGCATCTGTCACTATCTGACATATCTTTTTCATTCCAAAACACTTATTTATTTCTTGTTTGTGCTCACCCCAGTAGAATATACGCTCCACAAGGGCGGGATCTGATCTACCGTGTTCGGCACTGTAACCCCAGCATCTAGAACGGTTCCCCGTGCACAGCAGGTCCCTGGTGAATATTTGTAGAATAAATGAGCACTCAGATAGCTGTCTAGGAAGATTTTGAGTAAAAGAGACCACATGGCCTGAGTGTTCCTGAGGGAAGTGCCTGAGCAGATGGGACTTGGGCCAAAAGGTAATATAGGACTTTCCTTCTGCACCTGCCTCAGTGCCTCATCCGTGTCCAGTGCCTTCGGCCCCTCTGCCCAGCCCTCCCGGCCCCCCGAGCTGTCCCTGTCAGGCTGCACCTATTAGTGCTAGGCCTTTTGTGTATGTCATCTCATGCAATCCTCTGACAGCCGCGTGGGGGCAGACTTCACTTCCCTCTTTGGACACATGTGAAAGGGAGGGAGGCTCAGAAAGAGCAGGGGAGCCTGGGAGCTGAGGCCTGGACCTGGTCTCTGCCTTGAAGCCCTTCTTCTGGTCCATCGGTGCTATTTGCCCTCCGGAATCAGAAGTGAGTTTGACAGTGGGCTGGGCACGGTGGCTCATGCCTGTAATCCCAGCACTTTGGGAGGCTGAGGTGGGTGGATCACTTGAGGTCAGGAGTTCGAGACCAGCCTGGCCAACATGGTGAAACCCTGTCTGTACTAAAAATACAAAAATTAGCTGGATGTGGTGGCATACGGCTATAGTCCCAGCTACTCAGGAGGGTGAGGCACGAGAATCGCTTGAACCTGGGAGGCGGAGGTTGCAGTGAGCCGAGATCACGCAACTGCACACCAGCCTGGACAACAGAGTGACACTGTCTCCAAAAATAAAAATAAAAATAAAAATAAAAATAATCATAAAGTGACTTTGACAGTGCAACTCTCAGGCTGGAAAGGAGAGAGCACTGCTGCTAGTGGGGTCACTGAGGGAGCTGCATTTGAGCTGGTGGGCCCTGCCAAGTCCCTCTGGCCTCCCAGATTTTGGCTGCCTTCTTCCTGCACAAGCCCCAGCCTCACAATTGGGGTCAGAAAAAGATCATGTGGAAATAGGATCGAAAGCCCAGGGACATGGGGTGGAGCTCAAAGCTCGATAGACATCTTGGTCTTTTACTCATGAAATAGGAGTGATGGGTGAAAAGAGAAGCAGCAGGAGGAGGGCTGGTGGGATGAGATGTGCTTTGCAGGCTGGAAAGGGAATGATGCCAAGAGTGGCTGAAAGACGCTGACAGGCGGGCCCGAGAAGACAGCCGGAGCTAGCTCCTGAGATAGTCAGGCCGGACCAGGCATGTGGGTTTGGATGGTTTCTAGGAGGGGCTCAGTTTTGCCCAGCCAGTCACAGCGAGTTATGTTTTGGGCAAATGCACTTGCAGGAGCTGAAGCAGTCACGGCCACTGGATCAGGGACCGTCAGTTCCCAGGCGAGCGCACATCGCCATCATGGCCAAGGGCGCGGGTGTGCCCTTACCACCCACTTTCAGAGGCTTGCTGGTGTCTTCAAAGACCCATCTTTTCCCCTTCCCACATCAAGGCTCTCGCCTTGCTCTGTGCATCCTTCCTGTGAGACGTCTCCCTCCTTTCTGTGTTCAGGGCAACCCCAGGCTATGACAACCTGCCGCTTCTGTAAGTCTAAGAAGCTAGGCTGCGTTTAGACAAGCCACTGGATTCTGGGAATTCTATAATTACTGACTTGCAGGTTGCTTAAAAATAGTGAAAACTCCAGGATCCCTGCAACTTCCATGCCCTAGGACTCCTGCCAGGGGCCCAGGGTGTCACCAAGAGAGCCCTGGCCTGGGAGTCATAGGCAGGGTCTCGCCTCCACCCTCTGCCTGGGAGTCATAGGCAGCGTCTCACTTCTACCCTCTGCCTGTGTGGAGAAGTCCACAGGAGTCTTGGGTCTGAGTTTTCTCCTCTATGAAATGAGGCAGAGGGGCCGGTTGATGCTTTGTTTCTTTTAGGGTCTTTTTAGTTATAAAGCCATAAACCCCTTGGCTTGGCTCGCAACTCAGGCTACCCCCGACCCAGGCTTCCTTGCTTGCTGGGTCTCTCTATTGATTCGTTTAACCCGTGTGTTTGGGGGCCAACACTGGTTCTTTCTGGGCAAAACCAAAAACACCCGCAAACTTTTTATGTAAAAAGCACTGAGACACATACTGCAATAAACAGATATCTACTATATCTGTAGTATTAAAAATATTTCATGGGGGAGTATGGTTGAGGAAAAAATGTTCTAAAAAGCTCCCTAGGGGAATCATAATGAAAACAAAGTTAAGAAACACTGATTTAACCACAAAAGTGTGCAGGGCACCATGACAGGTTCGAGGTGAAGAGGCAGATGATAGTATCTCCTCCTCTCTAGGGTCTGTCCAGACCTTCCTGCCTTGTTCTCCCAAGCTGATGTCCTCCTTCCTTTCTTCTAAAAATATATATATTTTTAGACGGAATCTTGCTCTGTCGCCCAGGCTGGAGTGCAGTGGTGCGATCTCGGCTCACTGCAAGCTCCACCTCCCGGGTTCACGCCATTCTCCTGCCTCAGCATCCTGAATAGCTGGGACTACAGGCGCCCGCCACCACACCCGGCTAATTTTTTGTATTTTTTTTTTTTTTTTTTTTTTTTGAGACGGAGTCTCGCTCTGTCGCCCAGGCTGGCATGCAGTGGCACGATCTCGGCTCACTGCAAGCTCCGCCTCCTGGGTTCACGCCATTCTCCTGCCTCAGCCTCCCAAGTAGCTGGGACTACAGGCACCCACCACCACACCCGGCTACTTTTTTGTATTTTTTAATAGAGACGGGGTTTCACCATGTTAGCCAGGATGGTCTCGATCCCCTGACCTCATGATCCACCCGCCTCAGCCTCCCAAAGTGCTGGGATTACAGGCGTGAGCCACCACGCCCGGCCCTTTTTTAAAAAAATTATTATTATACTTTAAGTTCTGGGATACACATGCAGAATGCGTAGGTTTGTTACATAGGTATAAACATGCCATGGTGGTTTGCTGCACCCATCAATCTGTCATCTACATTAGGTATTTCTCCTAATGCTCTCCCTCCCCTAGTCCCCAGCTCCCTGAGAGGCCCCAGTGTGTGATGTTCCCCTCCCTGTGTCTATGTGTTCTCATTGTTCAACTCCCATTTATGAGTGAGAACATGTGGTGTTTGGTTTTCTGTTCCTGTATTAGTTTGCTGAGAATGATGGATTCCAGCTTCATCCATGTCCCTGCAAAGGACATGAACTCTTTCTTCTAAATCTTACCGAACACTCACTTTTGGTGGGTTTATGGACTCATCTACATGTTCTGGTGGTCATGGCTTATTTTTTGTGGCTTTTGTTCCCTGTAGCTATGGCATTGCTGGTTCTACCAACGTGACAGGTGATCAAGTTAAGAAGCTGGACGTCCTCTCCAACGACCTGGTTATGAACATGTTAAAGTCATCCTTTGCCACGTGTGTTCTCGTGTCAGAAGAAGATAAACACGCCATCATAGTGGAACCGGAGAAAAGGGTGGGTCTGTACTTCCACCATTGAGGGTTTTAATGTAGCCGGTCTTCTTCCCAGCTTCATAATTGACTCCACTTGTTCAGCTGAGCTGGGTTTCTGGGAGTCCCTCTAGATCCCTGCTGTGGTCTTTTCATAGCTTCCACCTCACTGCTGCCATCTCTCGAATCCTCCCTGAGCCACTGTGCAGATGAGTGTTGTGGCTCACGCCGCCTTCTCCCCAGTGGACTCCCACAAACTCATCTCCATTTCTAACTTTTTATTGCCATGTTTAAGGCTCTTCAAACCCTGGCTTCTGTTGGTCACCTCTTGTACTACATCCCTATCCACCAAATTCCTGACCTTCACACTGACCCTCCTGTTGACCTAGACTGCTTGAAACTTCCATCCCTGATGCACGCATTGGAGTCCCTATTGGTCTGTCTCTGCTTCTTTTTTTTTTTTTTTTTTTTTTTTTTTTGAGACAGTGTTTTGCTCTTGTTGCCCAGTCTGGTGTACAGTGGTGTGATCTTGGCTCACTGCAACCTCCGCCTCCTGGGTTCAAGCGATTCTCCTGCCTCAGCCTCCTGAGTAGCTGGGATTACAGGTTCCCGCCACCACACCTGGCTAATTTTTGTATTTTTAGTGGAGATGAGGTTTCACCATGTTGGCCAGGCTGGCCTTGAACTCCTGACCTCAAGTGACCCGCCCACCTTGGCCTCCCAAAGTGCTGGGATTACAGGTGTGAGCCACCACACCTGGCGTTATCTCTGCTTTTTGAGAGCAGAAAATGAATCTTATTTGTCTCTGTGTCCCAGTGTCTAGTGCAATGCCTGGCACATTGGAGGGCCTCAACAACAAATGACTGTTGAAAAAGATTGTTAAATGAAAGAGTATTCCCAGCTTTTATAAAACAACAATTGTAATTAGAAAAAAAAACTTCTGAGATTAGAAGTGCAGTTATATGGGCTTACTATCTTTCCCAGTTTGAGAGGAACTGGGAACATGAAGGAGTAGAATTAGGAAAAAACAATGAGAAGATGAAGAGGCTGCCTGTCCTCACCCTATTAAGAGGGCAGGAGCCACATCTGATGAAGTTGTTTTTCATCATTCCTAAAATAGCCGTACATGCCAGACTTGAAGTTCATGTTTTTCTCAGCTGGGCCTTTCAAGGTCTTTGGCAGCTTTAGGCGTATGGCTTAGATTTGTTGTTTAATATTCTCCATCACTCACGCCGGACTTCTCTTGTCTATCATGGGCCTTCATGATAGGCAGCTTCCTGTGTTCCAGTTTCCAGTTCCTCCTGCATTAGTGAGGGTGGTCTGTGAAGAGCAAGAGGGCAGGGAATCATGTTAATCTGCTACAGACATTTAAAAACGACATTGTAAAGTGGCTAATTTGGAGATGGAAAACTCCCAGTGATGTGCTGGTAAACTGGGTCTCAAAGCAAACAAACAAGTCTCTGATATGTCCACTTGCCTCTGTCAATGGTGTGAATACTCTCCCATCGTTGATTTTAAGCTACCAATGTGATATCACTGAAGGCAGAGTTGGGAAGAGATGTGCACCGTTAGCTCCTGAGAGCCGATACCAGCCAGCTCCTGCACACCACTGAAAATCCCACTCAAAACAGGAATCTGCGGTATTCCCACTACCACTGAAAGTTATCTACTTTGGGAATTACGCTAGAAATTTGTTTTGTTTAGTTTTGTTTTTAGAGACAGGGCCTCATTCTGTCACCCAGACTGGAGTGCACAGTCATGGCTCACTGCAGCCTCGAACTCCTGGCTCAAGTGATACCTCCTGTCTCAGCCTCCTGAGTAGCTGGGACTACAGATGTGCAGCATCATGCCCAGCTAATTGAATTTTTTTTTTTTTTTTTTTTTTTTTTTTTTTTTTTACAGAAGGAGTCTCTCTATGCTGCCCAGGCTGGTCTCAAACTCCTGGGCTCAAGCAATCCTCCTGTCTTAGCCTCCCAAAGTGCTAGGATTAGGCATGAGCCACCGTGCCCAGCCAGGATATTTTTGAAAACTCTATGCACCCCAACCTCAAGGGGCATCTGTAAGACCTCCATGAGAAGTTTCTTATAGATCTCAACCCTAGCAAAGTCTCTGCTTCACCTAAGGAATTATTTTTTTCCTTACAAATAAAGGAAAATGAGTGACTAACCTTCTTTTTCCTTTGGCTGCCAGGAAACTCAATGCAAAATTATGATTTGATTATATCAACAATATAGGAAATCATGACTTATCTGTATTCCATTACCTTCATCTGCACCTCTTAAGTGGTATTTTCTCTGTTTAATGGTCTTGTGTGTATGTGTGTGTATCTGTGCATTCTGTATGCCATCTCATGCCTTCCATGACAGTACAAATAAATAAGACCCACATTTTTTGAACTTTCTTCTAAATTCCCATTCTTAGCCCCTAATGTATACTCCTTTAGTGTATCTTGCTATAACATTTTAAGGTTGTATTTCTTTTTTCTGTGCTCAGGGTAAATATGTGGTCTGTTTTGATCCCCTTGATGGATCTTCCAACATCGATTGCCTTGTGTCCGTTGGAACCATTTTTGGCATCTATAGAAAGGTAAAACGTGATATCTTAAGCACTTGGTTTGGGGACAGAAGTTAAGATTGAGCATCCAGTCCTATTTCACTGTGGCAGAGCAGCCGGAGTGGAGATCATGAAACTGTGAGACTGAAGTAGATTTGTATCTCAAGTTCTGAGCTTTTCAGCACTAATTGCATGACGAAGACCCACTAGATTGTTGAAAGAGAATATAGGGTAAAATATGGGTGGGAAGAGAAGGATATTTCACTCTTTTTACTATGTCTTACTTTTTATGATAGAAAATGAGATTTAAAAAAGAGGCAGTAGAGGGTAAGTATAGTGATGATACGATGTGAACTCAGAGTTGAGAGTGTAAGACAACAATAGAGACTATGTCAAAACTGTCCTTTAAGTCCCCTAGTCAATGGTCTATAAGCTATGAGCCCCGGGCTGAGTCCAGCCTGTGGCCTAATGTGTACAGCCTGTGAACAAAGAATAACCATTTTTACATTTTTAAATAGTTGAAAAAAACTAAAGAACAAAGTTTCGTGATCCATTTTAAGTTTTACTCTTCACGAATGAAGCTTTAATTGGCATTTGGTCACATTCATTTTTTCACATACTGCCTTTGGCTGATTCTCTGCTGCACTGTCAAAGTTTTGTAGTTATGATAGAGACTGTATGGCCCATAAAACTGAAAAATTTACTATCTGTCTGTCTGTAGAAACAGTTTACTGAGCTTTGCTCTAAGTCGTAGAAAGCACACAGCATAGGATGAGAATCCAGCCCTGCTCGGGTCTCCTAACACCTGACTCGGGCAGTCACCCCTCCTCCAGAGCTGCTTTTTCTGAGAGAGAGAGAGAGAGAGAAAGAGAGAGAGAGAGAGGAGAGAGAGGAGAGGGAGGAGGAGGAGGAGAGGGAGGAGAGGGAGAGGGAGAGGTGCTCAATTATACGAATAAGTGAAAAATAGAATGAAAACCCATCCACCCATCAGGAAACATGATAAAATCCAAGGTACATCCTCTTAGCTTTAGCTCTTGTTTTGTTTTATTTTTTCAAAGTATATATTTTAGGCCGGATGCGGTGGCTCACGCCTGTAATCCCAGCACTTTGGGAGGCCGAGGTGGGTGGATCACAAGGTCAGGAGATTGAGACTGCCTTGGCTAACACTGTGAAACCCCGTCTCTACTAAAAATACAAAAAAACAGCCAGGCATGGTGGTGGGCGCCTGTAGTCCCGGGAGGCTGAGGCAGGAGAATCGCTTGAACCTGGGAGGTGGAGGTTGCAGTGAGCCGAGATCACACCACTGCACTCCAGCCTGGGCAACAGAACAAGACTCCGTCTCAAAAAAAAAAGTATATATATATATAGTTTTAACAGCTTTGGGGGGTACAAATAGTTTTTGGTGACATGAATGAATTGTATAGTGGTGAAGTCTGAGATTTTAGTTTATACCTCACGAGAATAGTATATATTGTATCCAATATGCAGTTTTTTTATCCCTCATCCCCTCCCATCACCCCCTTCTAAGTCTCCAAAGTCTACCATACCATTCTATATTCAGCTCTTGTTTATTTCAGAACTGAAACCTCACAGGCTGGAATCGACTGAAGAGGTTGGTTCAGCTGAACTCTGTTCTAGGACACAAAGGCATTAACTTAAGAACTGAGACCCTTGGCCTAGCGAGATGGCTCACGCCTGTAATCCCAGCACTTTGGGAGGCCGAGGTGGGCGGATCATGAGGTCAGGAGATTGAGACCATCCTGGCTAACACGGTGAAACCCCGTCTCTACTAAAAATTACAAAAAATTAACTGGGCATGGTGGCGGGCGCCTGTAGTCCCAGGTACTCAGGAGGCTGAGGCAGGAGAATGGCATGAACCTGGGAGGTGGAGGTTGCAGTGAGCCAAGATCGCGCTACTGGACTCCAGTCCGGGTGACAGAGCTAGACTCCGTCTCAAAAAAAAAAAAAAAGAACTGAGACCCAAATTTGCACTTTATCTCTAAAAGTGACTTATTGTCTAGTATTATACATAATTTCCTTTCAAATATGTGAAAAGTAGAGCCCCCATGGCACAGTTATCTTTGGTCATTGGAACGTATTTTGCTTTTTATCTTGGGTAAGAGGCAGATCCACATCACAATCAGTTTGAGGAATAGAAGATTCAAATTCTCATACTAGAAAGGCAAAAAGGCAACAATTTATCCATTTTCCAAGTCATGCCAAGGAACATACCATTTCTGTTGTAGACATGGAAGAATGCAATTTTCCTTGCAAAATATCAAATCCACAGAATAGCAGGAGAGGTTTGTAGCAAAATTCTTCCTTGCAGAGGAAGACATCTGGCTAATGTGTTAACCACAACTAAAGCAGTGTTGATGTTTACTAAGCCCATTCTCCATCTCAGTCCCCCCAAATAATACTTTTTAAGGAAAAAAAACCTGGGAAATTGAGAGACATTGGCTATCAACTAAAAAAAAAAAATCAAGCCAGCTTGCAACAGCAGCTTGAATTATGAATGACAGAATTCTCAACAATAAGGCTCGGCTGTCTTCTCAATGAACCAGAAGTGACTTTTTTAAAAGACAGAAAGTGGGGCCTGGTGCGGTGGCTCACCCCGGTAATCCCAGCACTTTGGGAGGCCCAGGCGGGCGGATCACGAGGTCAGGAGATTGCGACCATCCTGGCTAACACGGTGAAACCCCATCTCCACCAAAAATACAAAAAATCAGCCGGGTGTGGTGGCAGGCCCCTGTAGTCCCAGCTACCTGGGAGGCTGAGGCAGGAGAATGGTGTGAACCTGGGAGGCGGAGCTTGCAGTGAGCCGAGATCGCACCACTGCACTCCAGCCTGGGTGACAGAGCAAGACTCTGTCTCAAAAAATAAATAAATAAATTAATTAATTAATAAAAAGAAAGTGATGATGAGTATGACACAGACCTCTAAGTCATTTCAGTTTTTTGAAGCCTTATTGATTGCTTGAAACAGCTGAAACCAGTTGAGGGCTCATGAGGCATAAACATAGACATCTATAATGCTTCCAAGGGGATTTTTCCTGCTTTCTGCAGAGATGATTGTTGGCTAGAATCGCACCATGGTGCCCACGCCCAGTGGGGCAGCATCAGTAACTGTGACCCTGCCATGGTGACCAGGCCTTGCTACACGATTCCTGGAAAGGCACGTGGAAGGATGTGTGGTCATGTTGCATGCAGCTCCTGCCACAGCATCTTTCCAGGGCCTACCGACTACTACTATTTCTTTTTTGAGACAGAGTCTCTCTCTGTCGCCCAGGCTGGAGTGCAGTGGCGCCATCTCAGCTCCCTGCGACCTCTGCCTCCCTGGTTCAAGCGATTTTCCTGCCTCAGCCTCCTGAGTAGCTGGGACTACAGGCGCCCACCACCACGCTTGGCTAATTTTTTGTATTTTTAGTAGAGACGGGGTTTCATTGTTTTAGCCAGGATGGTCTCGATCTCCTGACCTCGTGATCCGCCCACCTCGGCCTCCCAAAGTGCTGGAATTACAGGCGTGAGCCACCGCGCCCGGCCACGACTACTACTATTCTTTCTCTTTCTTCTCCCTGTCCCTCCCCCTTCTCCCTCCCTCCTCCTCCCCCTGCTCCTCCTCGTCCCCCCCTTCCTCCTCTGCCTTCTTCCCCTCCTCCTTCTCCCTCCTCTTCTTCTTCCTTTTCTTCCTTCTTCCTTTTTCTTTCTTTTTTTCTTTTTTTGAGATGGAGTCTCCTGTGTCGCCCAGGCTGGAGTGCAGTAGCACGATCTCGGCTCACTGCAAGCCCTGCCTCCCGGGTTCACGCCATTCTCCTGCCTCAGCCTCCCGAGTAGCTGGGACTACAGGCGCCCGCCACCACGCTTGGCTAATTTTTTTTGTATTTTTAGTAGAGACGGGGTTTCACCGTGTGTTAGCCAGGATGGTGGCAATCTCCTGACCTCGTGATCCGCCCGCCTCGGCCTCCCAAAGTGCTAGGATTACAGGCGTGAGCCACTGCGTCCGGCCTTTTTTTTTTCTTCTTTTTTTTCTTTTTTTTGAGACAAGGTCTCACTCTGTCGCCCAGGCTGAGAGCAGTGGCGCCATCATGGCTCACTGCAGCCTCACCCTCCCGGGTTTAAGCCATCCTCCTACCTCAGCCTCCTGAGTGGCTGGGACTACAGGTGCACCACCACACCTGGCTAATTTTTGTATTGTCTGTAGAGACAAGGGGGTCTCGCTATGTTTCCCAGGCTGGTGTTGAACTCCTGGGCTGAGGCGATCCTCCCGCCTCGACCTCCCAAAGTGTTGGGATTACGGGCATGAGCCACGGTGCCTGGCCCCACCAGTGTCTGGCTGGAGACATCCTGACAGGGCGAATTCTCCTGCAATGCTGGGTAACCATCATGGTTTGTCCAAATATTGAGTTGAAATCTGTTTCATTTTGCTCACTTGGCTGTTTAGAGCATAAGAAAATAAGATTCTTTGACATGTTTGGAAACAGTGTTTCTGCCCTCCCAATAATGCCCACCACACCCACTTTTTTTCCCTTTAAGCTGAACATCTTTCACAGGAGAGGGATCTGAGACTTCTCTCTAGCCTGATCACCCTCTACTGGACATACTCTAACTTGCAATGTCCTTTACAGCTCCCACCACAAAAGCAGAGATTCAGAAAAGTAGGGTTTGGTTTCTGCTCCGAGGAAAGACCACTGTGGACGTGACAGTCTCTCCTCCCCCAGGCCCTCCGTTTCTGTGCCTACTTCTCCTTATGTGATGACATGGAATAATATGTGATGACATGGAGCCAGTGCCTACAGCAGGTGGTGGCCTCAGATAGGCAGAGAAAGGAAGGGTCCAGAGGTTTCTGATTTTGCCAAGTGCTCCGTGCTCATTGGTCCCTGGGCATCTGCAGGAGAATGGAATATGTTTCCCTTGGAGGAAAGGCATGCATTGCTGAGCATTTGGAGGAAGGAATTAGAAAGGGGGCTGATCCCAGCTCTTTGGGAGGCTGAGGCAGGCGGATCACCTGAGGTCCAGAGTTCGAGACCATCTTGGCCAACATGGTGAAACCCCATCTCTACTAAAAATAAAAAAAAAAATTAGCCAGGCGTGGTGGTGGGCGCCTGTAATCCCAGCTACTTGGGAGGCTGAGGCAGGAGAATCACTTGAACCCAAGAGGTGGAGGTTGTAGTGAGCCAAGATTGTGCCACTGCACTCCAGCCTGGCGATAGAGCAAGACTCTGTCTCCAAAAAAAAAAAAAAAAAAAAAAAAATTGGGGGCTGGGCTAGAAAAGAATTCCTCCAAATCCATGGCTCAGTGGGATAATTTTCTCTTCGTTTTGAGTATGTGGGTCATAGACAAGTATTACTATTATTTTTTATTCCGTGCGAGGAAGTGTATAAATGTAGAGCATTTGGTGACCGTATGTCAGGGAAGGGCTGTTTACTTTTGCACCTTTGCCACAGGCCGGCACGGATGGTTCTGGGCGAGGTGAATCTCTGGGAAAAGGGGCCTTTATTGGCAGAGAACTGGTTACTTGAAGCCTGCAGTGGGAGGAGAGGAGAGTTAGAGTCCTGAGTCCACCCACTGTGTACCTGGCTTCAAGGGAAGCTGGTGATTGTTAAAATGAGCCTCTGACAGGCAGCGCATGTTGACAAAGGCCATTAATTTCATTTTTCAAGGTTGTGCATTGGCAAAACTTGGAATTATTCCCTCAAAGTTTTGATCCTGTAAGTTTAGTCTGTGTTTAGCTCCACTGTACTGTCTGGTGAATACAAACCAAACTGAATCAAATAACCCAGTGCAACCAGCTAACTAACCACCTCCCCAGGTGAAAACTAGGAGGGGCAGGGAAGCGGTGGAAAGAAATGGGTTTGTGGTTTTCTGGTTTGTGGTTTTCTCATTTATATGAGTAGTTGTTATGCTTGAATGTGAAGTTCTTACACTTGAGTGTGAAGGTCACCCCTTCACATTGCATAGTGCAATGCAGATTCTCAGGCCCCGCCATGGAAAGTCTGACAGTGTGTCTAGGCTGTAGCCCCAGAATATGCATTTCTTTTCTTTTTCTTAAAGAGGCAGGTTCTCATTCTGTCACCCAGGCATGTGCAGTGGAATGATAATGGCTCACTGCAGCCTCGACCTCCCAGGTTCAAGTGATCCTCCAGCCTCAGCCTCCTTAGTAGCCACAGGCACATGCCACCATGCCTGGCTAATTAAAAAAAAATTTTTTTTCGTAGAGATGGGGTCTCCCAGTGTTGCACAAACTGGTCTCAAACTCCTTGCCTCAAATGATCCTCCTACCTTAGCCTCCCAAAGTGCTGGGATTATAGGGATGAGTCATGACCCCGGCTGTGAATGTGCATTTTTAATAAATATCCCAGGTGATTCTAATGCAGGTGCTCTGTGGGCCACCCTTTTGAAAGTTATGGGAAGAAATTACCTGGAATGTTTTGCTGGGATGACTTCCTTCTCCAGCTGCGTGATACAGATGCCCCTGCTTACGCTCAGCTGCAGGAATCTAGGAAAAGAATAAGTGAAGTTCGAGAAATTGCATATTTTTATTTCTGCTTAATTCAAGCAGAGAGTAGTTAAGCTGAAAGATTTGTTTGGGGCTGTCTTGATGACCAAAGAGGTCAATCCAGTGTTAATAAAGAAGATCAGGCTGGGCGCAGTGGCTCACGCCTGTAATCCCAGCACTTTGGGAGGCCGAGGCAGGTGGATCACGAGGTCAGGAAATAGAGACCATCCTGGCTAACACGGTGAAACCCCCTCTCTACTAAAAATACAAAAAATTAACTGGGTGTGGTGGCAGGCGCCTGTACTCCCAGCTACTTGGGAGGCTGAGGCAGGAGAATGGTGTGAACCCGCGAGGCGGAGCTTGCAGTGAGCCGAGATAGCACCACTGCACTCCAGCCTGGGCGACAGAGCGAGACTCCGTGTCAAAAAAAAAAAAAAAGAAGAAAATCATTAATAGTAAGAAATCAGTGGTTAGGAGCTGTCTCCTTAAGGGGCTCCCTTCCCTAGTGTTAGAAAAACTCTGGACCACATGACCCAGTGGGCTGTGTTTTTAATGAAAAAATGGATTACGGCACATGCCACGTTCTAAGTGTAGGTATTATTTTGGTAACTTTTTGGTGTGTGTGTGGGGGCACTGGTTTGTGATGTAAAATGTGCTTCTTCCCATGCATCACGGTTAAAACACTGGACAGCATCTGCTCTACCCCATAATGACTCTGGGGAGATATTCTGAGTTCCTACGTTTCTGAGAATTTCCCTGACGTGTGAGTGATATAGACCACATGCTCAGCAGAGTATGGGCTGCAGCGGCAAGAGCTCACAAAACTGATTTCCTCCGCAGACTGGCTGCCCTGCAGCCCAGTGTTAATTTATTTAAATAAAGATGGAGTAGGCAGGTGACAGAGATGGATGCCCGTAATAAGATTAAATTAGTGGGAACTGGCAAGAAGGCATGCTCTTTTTTGGAACTGATAGTGGAGAGATGAGGGAATATCACATTAGAAAAATTGGAGGAGGGCCCTAATTGGAAAGAGGAATCCAGATGCAGGAAATCTGGGTTCTGGTGGGAAGGCTGCCGTGATAATCTAATCAGGATATTGCTGATGTGTAGGGGAAGGCCCCTCTGGGAAGATGCCCTATTTCATTAGAAGAGCACCTTGAGAATGCCTCCTGTTAATGGTTGAACTGTAAAAAAGAATCACAAAACAAAACAAAAACATTCTTTGATTTCTTTCTTGCTCTAGAAATCAACTGATGAGCCTTCTGAGAAGGATGCTCTGCAACCAGGCCGGAACCTGGTGGCAGCCGGCTACGCACTGTATGGCAGTGCCACCATGCTGGTCCTTGCCATGGACTGTGGGGTCAACTGCTTCATGCTGGACCCGGTGAGAGACCTCACAGGAGGCTGGGGGCTTGGCTGGTGTCTGTGAGCAAATGAATGATATGTGTGGGGGATTGGCAGGGGTATGTGGAGGTGGGAGGTGATGCCCATGGAGGGACAGAGATGATGATGTGTGGTGGAAAGGGGGCAGGAGACCAAGAGAGAGTGTATGCCTCCCGAGCAGACTATGGAGGTGAGAAATGCCATCTCAGACTGGCACAAGAGGGGGTCTTTGTTCCAATGTGAATTCCTCAGAGCAGCTGTTACTCAAATGACCCAAATGCCAGGTCCAGGCAGGCCATAGGGATGATGAAGTGTGCTGGGGAAGGAAGGCCGGGGGGCAAGGGTGGAACTGGGGTGAACTGAAGAGTTCCAGCAATTACAATTGGGAGGAGGGGGCCCGCCTTGCCAAGGCTTCTATTAATGGTTCAAGAAACACTGGATTGTAAAAAACATAATGTTTCTGCATGTGTGCAACACTATGTTGGCCAACTAAAATGCATTTATGGACCTGATGGGGCTGTAGATATTCTGTTTGCCATAAACTGTATCCATCCATTTCTAGCTTTTCTACTTTAGTCACCAAAAGGCTGTTTTCCTGAGACGAATGGGTGTGCCAACTGAAGCAGTGGACGACATTGCTTCTTCAAAAATAGCTCCCACATTTATTCGTGTACATTTACACAAACCTTCAGTTAACTGGTGCAGTCTTTCTTTCTTTTTTTTTTTTTTTTCTGAGATGTAGTCTTGCCCTGTCTCCCAGGCTGGAGTGCAGTGGCGTGATCTCGGCTCACTGCAAGTTCTGCCTCCTGGGTTCGAGCGATTCTCCTGCCTCAGCTCCTGAGTAGCTGGGACTACAGGCGCCTGCCACCACACTTGTATTTTTAGTAGAGACGGGGTTTCGCCATGTTGGTCAGGCTGGTCGCGAACTCCTAACCTCAGGTGATCTGCCCGCCTCAGCCTCCCAAAGTGCTGGGATTACAGGCATGAGCCACCATGCCTGGCCAACTTTTTTAACTTTTAGAGATGTCCTCCTATGACATTAGTGAACTATGTGTAAAGTGCTTTTTGCTGGCAAACTGAACCCCAGGAACAGACAAGGAACAGGAACCTTCTGTGCGAGATAGGCTGCTGGAGGTGAGGCCGGGTCTGTGTGTGGCAGGAAGGCTAACTCAACACAGGCTGCCTTTGTCCCAGGCTGTCAGGGAAGTGGACTTTCACCTCCTTGGAAGCATGGGCACTTAACAAATAAACAAGGGTAGGGTAATAGCACTAGTTAAAGTCGCCAAATGTGGTGACCTGGGTAGGGGTGGGGTGGGGGAGTTAGTGGCAGAACCAGAGCAAAGTTCCACCTGAGCCCAGGATGGAATTTCGGGCACCACTGATGTTTGCTGACTGTGATTTGCCGGGCCCTGACTGCTTCCCATTCTTCTGGTGCCTTCTCTTGTTACCTTTGAGTTGGTGGAAGCAGAGAAAACATTCAATCCCTTCTTGTTTCCAGATTGCAGGGGAGCATCCCTGTAGGGAAGCTTCTGTGTGTTTGATAGTCTTTTGCCCTCCTCAGTCCTGAATGTTTGGAAGCGCAATGCAGGGCTGCTGGGATTTGATTCCAGCCCTTCTGTCTGCGGTGCCTGACGGGGCTGAGCCTCCCGCCAGGGAGGTGCTAAGTGCTTCCTCTTTGTTTGCGCTTGCTGCAAAGCCAGGCTGACGGTTTCTGCTGAAAACACTGCTACAGCTGTACTCGGGTTTCCAGCGGCTTCAACTTTCTGGGAGCTTTTATGTTTTGTCTCTGTACACAGACTTTCCTCCTTTGCACCATGGACAGTCTGGCTGGGCCCTGCGCTCTGCACCCAGCAACTGTTGTGAGATGGCTTTCTTTTCTATATAGTTTTTTGAAAGACATTTATTTATTTATTTTTCTACCAACGATAAAAGAATATTCCGGTATACTTGTGGTCAAAAATTTTGAAAATATTAAAAAAGGCATAAAAGTAAGAAAGAAGAATCACTTCCAGTGACACCTTTCAATGGCCACTGTGAATTCTCCCCTCCCTTTCTCCCTGTCTGTCTGGTTTCAACGTATTCCATATGGGTAGGAACCAATTTCTGCTGTGGAATAAATGGCTAGGTAGAGAGGTGTCGGTGGGCCTTTTTTCTTTTCAACTCTTGTGTCAACGTCAAGCCCCTCCTAAATGGGCAGAGCCTCGATCACCCTCTTGCCAAAAACACACAGGAACCCATAACAATCCTCAATCCGGAGCAATAGGACTTCTGCAACACTTTTCCCCCAAATTCAAATCTCCTTTGAAGAGCCTAAAGCTTAAAGGCATAAGCTTAACCCTGGGCTATGTGGGAAGAGGCAGTCTGAGAAAAACTTCACACGCCAGCGAGCAAAGGCCATCGGAAGTTACGTACGCCAGACTCAAAACTCAGGGTTCTACTTTGTTCTATAAGAACGCCCAGAAAGGAGAACTCCCATCAAGGTAGAAATGTAAAGCCGAGAACAGCGCTGAGCACTTGGGTGTAACTCAGGGACTGATCCTGCGGTGGCCCGTCTCTCCTGAGAGCCCACCTCCCGCCTGAACCAACCCTTTTTTCTGTTTGGTAAAGGCATACACATCTTATATTGCTTTGGACACACGGTTCTTACTCTCTTGCAGGCTTAGCAGTTGTTTCACAAGTCTGCTCTCCCTATTTTTGTGTGGTTTCTTTCTTGTTTGACTGAAATCATATGCAAACAAAGTCGAAAGTGTCTGTTATCACCCTGATGGCTTCTGCAGCATTGTCTTGCTTCCCCTCACCCCATTCACAGTTCCCAGAGAGCCTGGCAGGTGTCTCGGGGCCCCAAGATGAGTGGTGCCCGTGCGCCGCGACCCCAGCCCAGCGTAGCCCAGCCCATCGCTCGCCTCATCCAGGCCTGGGGGACCCAGTGCGCTCGTCATCTCTCCACCTTTCCTTCCTTGTCTAAAAAGGCCATCGGGGAGTTCATTTTGGTGGACAAGGATGTGAAGATAAAAAAGAAAGGTAAAATCTACAGCCTTAACGAGGGCTACGCCAGGGACTTTGACCCTGCCGTCACTGAGTACATCCAGAGGAAGAAGTTCCCCCCAGTAAGTGAGGGCCCGGGGAGGGTGGTGCAGGTTCTGGGCATCTGGCACCAGAGGCCGTTCTGGAGGCAGGGGCATCCCCCGGAGATGAAAGGGATCCTTGGGATCGAGGGCCTTGGGCCTCATGTGGGGCTCCTGAGCAGTGTGGAAATCTATTGGTTGATGACTTACCCTAAAGGTGAAAGGAAGCAGGGATGGAGTGGATTGGGCTTCCGTCTACACTGAGCCCACGATGAAGTTCTCACCTCAGTACTGGAGACTGGAATTCTCACCCTGAGACATCAAAAATCAGTCTCCATGTCAGCCTTTGCTACTTTCTCTTGGCAGAAGAAAATTAGGATAATAAAGTTAAACAAATGAATGAATTCATGGCAGTAAAACATCTTCCCTTCTGGGGTCCATGGTCCCAGATGGGATGAAATGTGGTTCCCCCACTCAAATGCCCGTCAAGTGGTGTCTGCCCCTTGCTAGGCCTGCCTGAGGTGCATCTATCAGTTATCTCGAGACCGAGAGTGCCCATCGTGACATCTCCCTAAAGAGGTTACAAGCTAGTGAATATGAAGAGAAGAAATGGCTGTGTGGAGCTTGCTCTATATGGAATATCTGATTTTGTCCTTTCTTTGTTTAAAAGCCATCGATGGCTGCTGTTTGCTAGAGATGAAGCTCAAATGTTTGCAGGACGTTCAAGGAGGCCTCAGATCTGCCCCAGGCTTTCTCTCCAGCTTACTCATCTCTCCTTTCACCTTATCCTGGATTCCCCTCCTGCCCCCAAGCTCCGCACACGCACACCCGAGTCCCACAGGCTCCTCCTCCAGGACCATATCCCTCTCCACATTGCTAAGCAGACACTTGTGCAGTTTCCTCTCCTGTAAATTACACACTGCCTCCCACCCCTGCCCGGTTCCTTAGCTTGGTAACAAACTTTCTCAGCCTTTAAGGTGTTACTAAATGGTACAGTTTCTGTAATGCCTGCCTCAGCCCCATAACCAGAATCAACCATACCCTCGTTGGGGCTTCTGTGGGCAATCTGACCTATTGTGAGATGATGAGAGGCTGTCTCCATTTTTCCATTTTCTATTTATTGGGAACAGGATTCTCATCACATTTTTTAGCACAGCCCCAAATACATACCTTGTAGGTGCTCGGTGAATGGATGTGGAATCAAAGAAACTTAGGAGACACCAAGAAAACTCTCTTTCTTATTTTCTGCAATCCTAATTCTTGCTGGTCTTAACTTGCAGGATAATTCAGCTCCTTATGGGGCCCGGTATGTGGGCTCCATGGTGGCTGATGTTCATCGCACTCTGGTCTACGGAGGGATATTTCTGTACCCCGCTAACAAGAAGAGCCCCAATGGAAAGGTAAGGGTGTCCCCTGGAGAGGGAGTGAGGAGCAGATTTCACTTGCAGCCCACGCGATTTAGTTTAGGAAGAAGAAAGGTTTTGCTAGCTATTACGCTCCATGCTAGGTTGCTACGTGTGTCTGTAGCATATTCTTTTGTGGATTAAAGGTAAAGCCAGACGATATCAACTAAAGATAAAAATAGTCTCTTGAGAGCCCTTCCAGTGCTATGGCAAAAGAGAATGAACGGTCAGGACGAGGACTGAAAGTCCTTAGGGCTTCCAGTGGATACAGGGCTTGGCTGGGGCAAAATGAATTCCATTCATAAAGTGAAATGAAACAACCCAGCCTCACTTCCAAGGCAGCGAATCAAATGTGTATCCTCAGTAGAAGTCTTCTTTGATTGCTTTCAAAAGGTGTAAAACAGAGGTAACTAGTGAGTCAACATCCACTACTTGGAAAACGATACCTTTTAGGGGAGGAAAGAATCTCTGGGGAAACCTAGAGCTTTCAGGTGAGCCGTCACCACCGACTCACTAGTCCAAGCCCATGGTGTTCCCAGCAGGCTGCAGGGTGGCTGTGCTCCCTCACGCTCGCTCAGAGCTGCCCTGCTTTCCTTCTGCCAGGGTGACAGTGTGCTTCCTTCCCAAGTATTGTGTCCTTCTTATGTTTTCCCAGTGGACAGATGGCTTTTTAGGCAGAGTCTTACTCGTCGCCCAGGCTGGAGTGCAGTGGCGCGATCTCAGCTCACTGCAGCCTCTGCCTCCTGGGTTCAAGTGATTCTCCTGCCTCAGCATTCTGAGTAGCTGGGATTACAGGTGCCCGCCACCACGCCCGACTAATTTTTATATTTTTAGTAGAGACGGGGTTTCACCTTGTTGACCAGGCTGGTCCTGAACTTCTGACCTCAAGTGATCCACCCGCCACAGCCTCCCAAAGTGCTGGGATTACAGGCATGAGCCACCACGCGTGGCTGCCTTTTTTTTTTTTAATGCAAGAGGAGAACAGGAACAACAGTTCCCTTAAACACAAAACCTATGTGTTTGGATGTATTTGGGTCTGTTTGCAGCATGTGGCATCCAGAATGAAGGCATTTCTATTTACTGAAACCATCATCCAGCTGTAGCTGCCTCGGGCATATCAACCTGTGTGGTTAGCCTGCTTTCCAGCACTTTTCTCTAAAGTCCCCCGAAATTGTTCCTGAACACAAATATTGAGGCTCCTTCTTTTTTTTTTTGGTTTTTCAAAACTAGCCATGACACCTATGTGGAAATAGACTCAGGAAACACCTGCAGAAAGCTGTCGCTCAGTAGGCAGACTGCATGAAAAGGCATACAATAAAAAAGTTAATATTTAAAGGTGAATGCCAAGACGTATAATACACTGAATTCCAACCCAAAAGCCTTCGGAGAATCGTAAAAGGAATGCACACAGAGTTGCAAACAATATCACACTGTTTGGAGGAGCCGGTCTGCTTTCCAGATGTCTGTAGCCAGACACCACCATGGATTTTTTTTATTGCTTTTAGAATAGGCGAAGCTCCATCCAACACACACAGAATCACTCATTAAGTCCAGTTTCCATGGTATAAAGAGAAGGCAATGATCGCTTCTGCCAAAATGTCATTCTGTCCAGTATGCAGGTGGTCTGTCTCACATTTGCATCAGGTAATCTATTGCTGGCACTGGCTTGATGAATGGTTGAATTTAACCAAATGGTTAACTGTTTTGTCTCAGATGCAACCTGGGGTGGGAGGAAACTTTTACAGCCTCACAGGAAGGAAAAATACAGTATTCGTTCCCTTGGAAACTCCCACCAGCTCTGCATGTTTTGCTGCAGAAAAGTCTCTTTTTTACGCAATACCTTCTGATACAAGGAGGCCGCTACCCGGTCTTGTTTTCCAGCTGAGACTGCTGTACGAATGCAACCCCATGGCCTACGTCATGGAGAAGGCTGGGGGAATGGCCACCACTGGGAAGGAGGCCGTGTTAGACGTCATTCCCACAGACATTCACCAGAGGGCGCCGGTGATCTTGGGATCCCCCGACGACGTGCTCGAGTTCCTGAAGGTGTATGAGAAGCACTCTGCCCAGTGAGCACCTGCCCTGCCTGCATCCGGAGAATTGCCTCTACCTGGACCTTTTGTCTCACACAGCAGTACCCTGACCTGCTGTGCACCTTACATTCCTAGAGAGCAGAAATAAAAAGCATGACTATTTCCACCATCAAATGCTGTAGAATGCTTGGCACTCCCTAACCAAATGCTGTCTCCATAATGCCACTGGTGTTAAGATATATTTTGAGTGGATGGAGGAGAAATAAACTTATTCCTCCTTAAAAAAAAGTCTCCCTTGCTTTGTGTCAAATAATAATGATGATGACAATAATAACTGCTGATGCATATAACATTAGATAACTCATTTAATCTTCACAATAACCCAATGAATCAGATACTCTGAATAATCCATTTTATAGATGACAAAATGGACGAGGAGAGGTGAAGTAATTGGCTCAAGGCTTCCAGCCAATGAGTGGCAGAGTGGGGACCTGAATGCAGGCAGCCTGGCCACTGTGAGCCAGCATACGGCTTCTCCTTCATGTCGTCCCGTTCAGGCCTGGCCCATCATTCCCCAGCCTTGTTCAGGATTGCAGCTGAGGAACCATGCAGCCTGAACATGGCGACTCACGCCCTCCTAGAAATGGGGGAGCTAATGGCTTAGTGGTGGTACCTGCATGTGACCCTCTGGCCTCCCAAACATGGATGTAACCATCTGAATCCCAAGTGAAAGTTTACTGTTTACCCAGTGGTGATTTTTCTTTTTCTTTCTTTCTTTCTTTCTTTTTTTTTTTTTTTTTTTTTGACGCGGAGTCTTACTCTGTCTCCCAGGCTGGAGTGCAGTGGCGCAATCTCGGCTCACTGCAACCTCTGCCTCCTGGGTTCAAGCGATTCTCCTGCCTCAGCCTCCCGAGTAGCTGGGATAACAGGCACCCATCACCACACCCAGCTAATTTTTGTATTTTTAGTAGAGACGGGGTTTCACCATATTGGCCAGGCTGGTCTCAAACTCCTGACCTCATGATCTGCCTGCCTCAGCCTCCCAAAGTGCTGGGATTACAGGTGTGAGCCACTGCGCCCAGCCACCCAGTGGTGATTTTTCTATAAAAGCACGGCACTTAACTCACAAAGGCTAATAGTTCCTACAGTCTAGTTACCATAAGAAAAAGGATTCACTACAAGAACAGGGTTTAAGGAAATGCAATTTGTTGCAAGCAAGCAGGCTTCTCACTAAACTCTCTATAGAAACAGTTTCTCCCTCCGCTAACCCTGGTCTTACTGGACCAGAGTCCAAGATCGTGGCAAGCTCTGTCAGGCACTAAGTAACACCTGTGGCCCTCCTTGAGCTCTAGATATAAAATGGATCTATCCATATGATTCCACTTGGGAACTGAAAACATGTGTGTATGTGAATCCTGCTTCTTCCCCTCCAAACACTCCCCATTCATTTCACATTTTCCCAGCAGGAAATTGATCTTGAGCATTGGATCTGCTTCTGCCCACTGACCAGACAGACCCAAAGCCAATATTTCTCCACTCCAGCTGGGGCTGCCCTCTGGGAAAGTCCCCTGACGCACAAAGCACCTCTTGAGTTTTAAACTTCTTGTAACTCAGCTGGCATCTGGTTCTCAAAGCATGAAGGGAGAGAAATATGGTCTGGGAGCCTTTTCCATATATATATCAGGGTGCAGTGGCTCACACCTGTAATCCCAGCACTTTGGGAGGCCAAGGCGGGCGGGCGGATCACAAGGTCAGGAGATCAAGACCATCCTGGCTAACACAGTGAAACCCCGTCTCTACTAAAAATACAAAAAATAGTTGGGCGTGGTGGCGGGCGCCTGTAGTCCCAGCTACTCAGGAGGCTGAGGCAGGAGAATGGCATGAACCCGGGAGGCAGAGCTTGCAGTGAGCCGAGATCACACCACTGCACTGCAGCCTGGGCGACAGAGCGAGACTCGTCTCAAAAAAAAAAAAAAAAAAAGAAAAAAGAATGAGGGTCTTTGCAGATCTAATTAAAGTAAGGATTAAGATGAGATGAGCCTAGATTACCTACATTAGGATGGGTCCTCCTCTGAAGCCATGCATTTTTGTACAGGTTCATGACATGGCAGGAGCCTGGAGGCCTAAGCCACCGCCATGTCGATGTCAGCCTGGGACCAGAAGGAGAGACAAACCTTTGCTGTGCTAAGCCGTGGGGATTTCAGGTTTATTTGTTGCTGCACGATAACATACGCTATCCTGACTAAACTAGACCAAGCTTGGCAATATTTTTAACCTCTCTGAGTCTCCCTTTCTTCATTTGCAAAATGTTAATTGTAATATCTATTGTAGTCAAGGCCATTTTCATCGTAGGTAACAGAAACCCATTTATTCTGCTAAAGCAGAAAGGCAATTTGTTGGAAAGCTTCAGGGGACTCTCATGAAACCTAGCACCCACTGCTTTCCTAACCCCGAGGACACACCCTTAGTCCGTCCTGGCATTGTCAGCCAATCCACTGTGTCTCCATGTCTCACACCAAGTTCCCCGGAGAAAAAAACCTGACGTCTTAGCTTGTGTCCAGTTAGCTGCAGCCATAGACCCGGGTCATATAAGACAAACGTGGCCTTGGGTTTTCTTTTTATGGGCAGGGCACGCCTCTCTCTTAGATGGGGATCGTGGGCTGAGCAGATACCCTAAAGGGTCTGCCGTGCTGGAAGCAGAAATGCTGAGGTTTCATGAAAGAGCGTTTGTTGAGATCACTGGAGACGGGGCATGGAAGGCATTCTAACAGAGTTTTGCTAACAGAGAATATGCTCTCAGCTAGTACTGTAGAGTCACAGTCCAGATCCTAGACTTCAGGTGGGGGCCCCGCCCTATGAACTGCCCTAAGACTGCCTTACTGTTCAGAGACTCTGTTTGTCCTTACTACTTCCGCCCAGGCCTGTGAGGGCCTTTCACCAAGCACAGCAAGCCCATAAATAGCTCTGTGATCACCAATGCATCAGTGGCGCTGAAAAAAGCGTGAGCTGGACGCTGCCCCCCCCTTCCTCTGGGCCTTCCAGATGCCCCGTGTGTCCACGCTGTTGTGTGCCCTGAAAGAACTTTGGCATTTGCTGAAAGGTCACCAGCTGCAATTTCAGATCATGTAGGTAACTCGAACTTCCAACATTTAAATGTAGCTGAAAGGGGCATGACAGCTGCACAGGTGCCAGCCTGGGCTGGAGGGTGGCAGAAATAGCAGGCCCTCCCTTGGATCCCTTTACGGGGGGAGCTGACTTATACATGGCACTGGCCAATCCCCCTCCCTCCTGATCCCCAAATTATCCAGGCTTCTGCTCATCCTTGACACCCACAGTGCCGGACAACCGGCGCCTCTCCAGAGATCTGCTCATAACACTGGCTTGTTTGTTTCACTTCCAATCTGTTGTGAACAGATATGTTAATAAAACATAATAAGCCGAGCGCAGTGGCTCACGCCTATAATCCCAGCACTTTGGGAGGCCAAGACAGGCTTATCACCTGAGGTCAGGAGTTTGAGACCAGCCTGCCCAATATCATGAAACCCCATCTCTACTAAAAATACAAAAGGTAGCCAGGCATGGTGGTGCGTGCCTGTAGTCCCAGCTACTCGTGAGCTGAGATGGGAGAATCACTTGAACCTGGAAGATGGAGGTTGCAGTGAGCCGAGATCGTGCCACGGCACTCCAGTCTGGGCAACACAGCGAGACTCTGTCTCAAAAAACAAAACAAACAAAAAGCATAATAAAAATAATTACAGGAGTGGCTAATAAGCACCTGCTCAACATCACTAATCATTAGGAAGATGCAACTACTCTAAGCCACAGTGAGATACCACCTCACACCCATTGGGATGGTTACTGTAAAAACAAACAAACAGAAAATAACAAGTGCTGGCAATAAGGTGGAGACCCTGGGACTCTTGCTCACTGCTGGGGAGTGTGAAATGGTGCAGCCGCTGTGGAAAATGGTGCAGCAGTTCCTCCAGAAATTAGACAGACAATTACCATATGATCCTGCAGGTCCACCTCTGGGCACATCCCCGAGAGAATCAAAAGCAGGGCCTTGAACAGATGTTTGCACGCTGTGCTCATGGCAGCATTACTCACACTAGCCCAGAGGTGGAGGCAACCCAAGCGGCCATAGAGGATGAATGGGTGAACAGACTGTGGCGTGTCCATACCAGGGAATGCTGTTGAGCCTCAGAGAGGAGGGAACTCTGACCCATGCCACAGCATGCGGGGATGGTGAGGACATTGTGCTGAGTGAAATAAGCCAGTCGCAGCAGGACAGATACTGTATGGTCTATGAGGGACCCAGTGTAGCCAAATTCATAGAGACAGCAGAATGGCGGGTGCCAGGGACTAGGTGTTGGGAGGGGGAATGGGGAGTTCTTGTTTAATGGGTACAGAATTTCAGTTTGCAAAATTTGAAATTGGGATTATGACTATAATTGGGGTCTAGAACTGTTCTATCATGCAAACCCCCATTGCCCTGTCCCCTCCCCACACCCCTACCCCTGGCAGCCATGAGAGTTATCTGTCCCCACAGGTTTGCATTCTGGAGAGTCCCCTACAAATGGAATGAGACTGTAGATACTCGCTGGAGACCACTGCTGTCACTCAGCACAATGCCTCTGAGACTCGCCTAAGTGCCACACGTGACACTAGTGTTTGTGTTGTTAATAGTATTCCATTGTGGCCGGGCGCAGTGGCTCATGCCTTTAATCCCAGCACTTTGGGAGGCCGAGGCGGGCGGATCACGAGGTCAGGAGATTGAGACCATCCTGGCTAATACGGTGAAACCCCGTCTCTACTAAAAATACAAAAACAAAATTAGCCGGGCGTGGTGGCAGGTGCCTGTTGTCCCAGCTACTCAGGAGGCTGAGGCAGGAGAATGGCGTGAACCCGGGAGGCCGAGGTCATGCCACTGCACCCCAGCCTGGGCAACAGAGCGAGACTCCGCCTCAAAAAAAATAGTATTCCGTTGTATGGCTCTCCCAGTGTGTTTACCCATTCACTGTTAAGGAGATTTTGGGTGTTTGCAGTTTCTAGTTTAACTAGAACTGCTATAAACATCTGTGTGTGGGTTTTTGTGTGAATACACATTTTCAGCATTGTTTTGCGCCATCACAGGGGAAACCTTCTTTTTTTTTGTTTTGAGACAGAGTCTTGCTCTGTCGCCCAGGCTGGAGTGCAGTGGCACAATCTCAGCTCACTGCGAGCTCTGCCTCCTGGGTTCACGCCATTCTCCTGCCTCAGCCTCCCGAGTAGCTGGGACTACAGGTGCCCGCCACCATGCCCGGCTAATTTTTTTCTGTGTTTTTAGTAGAGATGCGTGTTAGCCAGGATGGTCTTGATCTCCTGACCTCGTGATCTGCCTGCTTCGGCCTCCCAAAGTGCTGGGATTACAGGTGTGAGCCACCGTGCCCAGCCGGAGACCTTCTTAATCAGATAACATTAGCTTCAAAATGAAACCTGAAAACTAATCAACCAGGCCTCCGTCTTCACCCTGCAGTCATTTACTGGACCAGAACTTGGAAGATCCAGCCACTCTATTTCTGTAGTGATGTCAAAGGAATCATCATTGGTTTCCCCATGTGAAAGGCAAAGCTTATTTGTTAATGGCAACATGACGTGTTAGGATCAAGGAAAGGTCCATTCCGCAGTTTTCACAATTCCCAGAGCTCTTGGGAAAGGAAGAGTTTTCCAAGTTTGATCCTCATGATATCAAAATTAAAATGTTCTTACCCAAAAAATGATAACTCCTGTTATTAGCTTATTATTATTATTAAACTGATACTGAGTGTCAGATGGGGTGAACAGATTAATACAAAGTGGCATCTCTATTTAGATGAGTCTTTCATTAAACAGGAACACACAGAGTAAAACACACTGGAATGGCCCTTTCTCCAGCTTCCAATAGGGAAGTTGGATTGATTATTATGTTGGCAGTGGAGCACCTTCCAGAAGAAACATGAGCTAGAAATGATACCCAAGTCTTTACCTTACCCTTAGCAACTGACAGAAGTGAAGCCATTGCAGAAGGCTCTCTTGCTAATAACTTTTTTTCCCCAGCATATTTCTCAATGTGACAGTATTGTTCTGAATGATGAAGGCAACCACTTTTCATTTGGATTCAGAAACACTTGGAAGCAGTGATAATATGTCTTTTCTTTTCTTCTTCTTCTTTTTTTTTTTTTTGAGATGGAGTCTCACTCTGTTGTCCAGGCTGGAGTGCAATGGTGCGATCTCGGCTCGCTGCAACCTTCGCCTCCCAGGTTCAAGCAATTCTCCTGCCTCAGCCTCCTAAGGAGCTAGGACTACAGGTGCACACCACCATGCCCAGCTAGTTTTTTGTATTTTTAGTAGAGATGGAGTTTCTCCACGTTAGCCAGTATGGTCTCGATCTCCTGACCTCGTGATCCGCCTGCCTTGGCCTCCCAAAGTGCTGGGATTACAGGTGTGAGTCACTGCACCTGGCCGAAAATGTGTGTTTTTAAAACTAAGTGAAGATAATACAGTTAGGGATCATGAAGTCTAATCCCATTTTTTTTTTTTTTTTGAGACAGACTCTCAATGTCACCCAGGCTGCAGTGCAGTGGTGCCATCTTGGCTCACGGCAACCTCTGCCTCCCAGGTTCAAGTGATCCTCCCACCTCAGCCTCCTGAGTAGCTGGGACTACAGGTGCACGCCACTACACTGGCTAATTTTTGTATTTTTTTTATAGAGATGGGGTTTCACCATGTTGGCCAGGCTGGTCTTGAACTCCTGGGCTCAAGTGATCCCCCTGCCTTGGCCTCCCAAAGTGCTGGGATTACAGGTGTGAGCCACTGTGCTCAGCTGGATCTCATTTTTAAATTGAGGCATCTGAGTCCCGGAGGGCTTTGATTCCCGGCCCAGGCTTCTTTCCTTTGGGTATAGATTTAGCAATACTCTGGTCTGACCCAGGCAGATGTTCTTGTTTTATTATACATAGCGATCTCTCTTGTTAGAACTCAATTCTAAGCTCATGTCTTATTCTATGTTCTAATTGTGTTAACAGGCATATGTGCATTGTCGTGTATGGTGCTCAGTCATCTAGGGAGGAGGAGCATCCTAGAATGGGAGAAAGTATCATATAAGAGAAAGAACGCTAACCTCAGGTAGCTCTGGGCTGAGATTCTAGCTAGTAGCTGTGTTATCCCTAGGAAGCCCTAGTTTCCTCATCTGTAAAAATAGCACTACTGGATCAAATAATTGGGTGGATTAATGTGTGCCACATACTGAGATAGAGGTGTCATCTGTCTCCATCTATCCATTCACCTCAGTGTTGAAAGTTGAAATAGATTGAATGAAAATCACAAAAAGGGTATGGGATCCTGTATTTGTTCTATTAAGAGGTAGCATATTTCTTGGTAAGTGAAGATAGACCCCCCCACACCCCCGCGAAAAGAATTAGAACATTGTCACATAGCAGTTCCTCTTCTGGGGTTGTATCTTACTGAAGCACTTGCCCCAATATAAGGATGTTTGTTGCATTACTATTTGAGGAGCCAACTTACCTAAATTATCTGAATGTCCGCAAGCTGGAATGATCCAAGCCTCTGTGTGCTGACTTGGACATCTTCCCATAATATTTGCTTTCTGGAACTAAAAACATATATAAATAACATATATATATATTTGGGATCTTAAACCTGCATATTAAGATCTACTGGTAGATGTTAGTTTTATCTGAAAGTTTCCACATAAATTGTGAGCACCAATGCCCATCTCAACCATTTGGTTGCCCTCCTCAACCAGTTTGGTTGATCCAATGCCAGCGCCCAGCTCCCACTGCAGGCATCACCACACGACCCTGATCTGGCAGACGCTGTGCACAGGGACGTCTACGGGGGTGGGAGGATGGGTTCCAGGGAAACTGTTCTTTCTTAATAAAAAGGAACTGATGTGGTTGGAGCTGCCCTTGCTCCCCTCTTTGCATCTTCAACGTGGGCCAGATGTTCAGAACTGCAGTGACATTTTGTGCCCCCAGGATGCCAAGCAAGGGGCACAATCCAGCCGACCAAGGATGACAGAGACGAGACAGAGAGGGGTCCCAGTGGAACCAAGAACAGCTGAATGAACACCAGCCACCACCTCCTAGTGCACTCCTGGTCTATGAGGAAATAAACCCCCACGTGTAAATTGCTCTAGTTGTTCTATTTCTTGCAGCTGAACACATTCTAATCGACATAACTGTCAGGGGAAAAGACCTTCAGAGAAATGTGCATGTTGTACTGTTTTGTGAAATGAGATTATGTATGATTGCACAATAGTTGTGAGCACATTGAAAGACTGGAAGGGCGGCTGGGCGTGATGGCTCACGCCTGTAATCCCAGCACTTTGGGAGGCCGAGGCGGGCGGATCACGAGGTCAGGAAATCGAGACCATCCTGGCTAACACGGTGAAACCCCGTCTCTACTAAAAATACAAAAAATTAGCCAAGCGTCGTGGCAGGCGCCTGTAGTCCCAGCTACTCGGGAGGCTGAGGCAGGAGAATAGCGTGAACCTGGAAGGCGGAGCTTGCAGTGAGCCGAGATCACGCCACTGCACTCCAGCCTGGGCGACAGAGTGAGACTCCATCTCAAAAAAAAAAAAAAAAAAAAAAAAAAAAACTGGAAGGGCAATAATAGGTAACAAAGTACTGAGCACCTACTATACTAGGTACATCTCATTGCAGCCACTCTATAAGATGGATGCTTCACGGTTATGCTCATTTAAGAGTGAGACAACTGAGGTTCCAAGGGGTTTAATAACTTTCTCAAATCATGCAACCAACAGATAGCTAGCTTGGGACTCACAGCCAGGTCTGGCTGGCCCTAGAGAAAGTGCTTCCACCACCATATGCACCCCACCAGTGCCTACTGGCTGCACAGACCGCCACCAGCCCTAGCAGCAGTGATTTCTGGAGAGTGGGATGGGAGAATGGGCTGGTGGTGAGGAGGTTTGTCTTTATCCACTTCTTTAGTGTTTCCTTTTTAACAAGCAATTTTTGTTACAAAAGTGGACATCCAGAGATATTGACAAAATAACACTGGTGCCAGGAACTGTGCTAGGAATATAATAGTTTTCTTCCGGATCTGGATCTCTACTGTGGATATCCACTGGTCATACATGCCTACTGGAAATAAAAAGCATTCTTTCCTAACTTATTCCAAACCCTGGCTAAAGGAATTCTGGGGTTGCCATTATGTTACTATGTGACCTACGTCCCAGATAAGGAACCTGCGAATCTGCCACCTCCGCCCTCGGGAGAGCCAGGCCCTGCAGTCACTATATGTGAAGAATCCTTTGGAGCCTGGAATAAGAGGGTTTTATGCATCATTTTTTAATCAACTGGATTTCTCACCTCCCACCTGTGCCTAAATGGTGGCTTCTTGGTATCTTGAAAGGGGGTGCTCAGCAGGAGAAAGCAGCTCCATGTTTCTGGGCAGCCCGTCCTATTTACAGACTGCTGCGGCTCCCTGGCAGCTGCCACAGTCCCCGAGGCCAGAGGGAGTTCCTTGAGGGCCCCAGCAGTTGTTTGAGTCATGTGTTTTGGGCCCTTTTCCTTAGAGATCCTGGCAGGGCCAGCACAGATTTCTTATCGGCTTCCACACTGCGGAGCTGCAGCCCTCAGAAGTAAGCAAGGTTTCCTGCCGGGAGAAAAGGATTTGAAGCATTCCAGCCAAAATGACGGACAGAAGCCCCTTCGAAACCGACATGCTCACCCTGACCCGCTACGTTATGGAAAAGGGGCGTCAGGCCAAAGGGACTGGGGAGCTCACCCAGCTGCTGAACTCAATGCTGACGGCCATCAAAGCCATCTCCTCGGCTGTGCGCAAGGCCGGTCTGGCCCACCTGTGAGTCCTGGGGAGCAGGCATGGGGCACAGAGCACCCCAGGCCCAGGCAGGGGTGTGGGAGCTGCAGGTGCTTTGGCAAGAAACTGGGTCCAAAGCTTATTGGCCCTGTGTGCCCTAGATGGAAGCTGCATTTCAAGTTCCTATCATGTGTGCTTTGATAAAGGGGCCTTTGACTTGTTTTGAGAAAGGAACGAAAACATGCTATGAAGAAATACACATATAATTTTTCCAGTTATTATAATGATACCAAGTGCAGTGGCTTGTTGCATTAAAATATGTATTGTGTTATCATGACTTGTACTTGCACAGAGAGAGTCTCACTGGAACAAAGAAGTAGAGGGGTGACGTGAAATATCTCTTTATGCCTCTTGCAGACATGAGTGTTTTATTGTAATAAGCTTTGCAAATATGTTAGGAGCTGGAAATTATGTACGACATAGGAAGCTTGGTAGAGCCCCTTCCTGCATCTGCTCTCTCATCATCTAAAGGAGTGTTTTGCTGGCTACGTGTTTTATTTCTTCTCTGTGACTCTTTCTTTATCTTCACCTCCACTTGGTGTGCAGGAAGCCGGGAGGTGCTAGTCCTGGGAGGGGAGCGCAGAGGTTTCTTCCACAGGGTTCTCTTTGGTGCTTTATCCGAGCATAGATGAGGCCAGGTTCACATTACACTGCTGATGGTCACAGCCCAGTGTCCAGTTTAAGTCTGTAATAAAAAGAATCCGGTGGCCAGGCACGGTGGCTCCTGTCTGTAATCCTGGCACTTTGGGAGGCCAAGGTGGGTGGATCATGAGGTCAAGAGATCAAGACCATCCTGGCCAACATGTTGAAACCCTGTCTCTACTAAAAATACAAAAATTAGTTGGGTGTGGTGGCGGGCGCCTGTAGTCCCGGCTACTCGGGAGGCTGAGGCAGGAGAATCGCTTGAACCTGGGAGATGGAGGTTGCGGTGAGTCGAGATCGTACCACTGCACTCCAGCCTGGGTGACAGGACGAGATTCCATCTCAAAACATACAAACAAACAAACAAAACCCCAGCTTTCTTTGGGCTTCCCTTGTAGTAATTCCAGGGGAGGTCCTCTCAGGAGCTGAAGGAACACATATTTTGGGGATGAAAGAGACTCAAAATGAGGAGCTAACAAAGTCCAATCATTTAAAATATTTACTCTGAGCAATTAAGTGCTTTTAACACAAAAAGTGATAGCATTAGATTACAAGATGTAATTATCATTTGATCACCACAGACTGTATTTATTTAGGGGTGGTGACCCAGTAGCAGGACCCAGGTTAACGGTGCATTATCCTTGCTTTTTTCCTGTGGGTGGATGCTTCAGCTCTGTTTTTACCTCATTTGGCAATAACAGCCACGCTCTGCATTTAATCGCCTTCCAGAATGTGAGGGCAGGCGGTGCCCTGTTCTGCTCCTGTGGGTGACAGCCCTGCTGAGTGACGGTAGACAGGGACTTTGCCTCTCCCTGTGCGGACCCTGCTATCCTCAATGCGGTTGCCTGAGTCCATCTCAGGGTGATTCATCCACATAAATTGGGCTCCCCCTCTGTGCAGGGCTCTTGGCTAGGCAGTGGCTGCCATGGTAGGGGTCTTGCTTATCTGCTGCAAAACTCTGACTTTATGGCGGTTGAGCAAGGAGACAAAGTGGCCCTAGGAACTGGATAATTGAGGTGCTTATTAATTTGGCATTTCCTACCGTGTGATAATGGGCGTGATTTACTCTTGCTAGGACCTTAGATTCCCTTTGTGAAATGGAGAGTATAGTAGCATCCCTAACTCTTAGGGTTGTTGCAGAGTTAGCGAGCGCATGTGATGACGATTTCAACTGTGCCGGCCCCGTAAGACACGCACAGTGCCTGTCACTACCGCGGTTCCAAGCCCAGACCAGATTTGCCTGTGCCTGAGCCGTCAATGACCACTGGCGGCATTTGAGGAGCCTTTCAGCCCCCCACTGCACTGTGGGAGCCACTTTCTGGGCTGGCCAAGGCTGGAGCCCACTCCCTCAGCTTTCAGGGAGGTGTGGAGGGAGAGGTGCGAGCGGGAACTGGGGCTGCGTGCGGCGCTTGCGGGCCAGCTGGAGTTCCGGGTGGGCGTGGGCTTGGCGGGCCCGCACTCCGAGCAGCCAGCCAGCCCTGCTGGCCCCCGGCAATGGGGGACTTAGCACCCGGGCCAGTGGCTGCGGAGGGTGTACTGAGTCCCCCAGCAGTGCTGGCCCACTGGCGCTGCGCTCGATTTCTCGCTGGGCCTTAGGTGCCTTCCCGCGGGGCAGGGCTCGGGACCTGCAGCCCGCCATGCCTGAGCCTCCCATCCACTCCATGGGCTCCTGTGCGGCCCGAGCCTCCCCGACGAGCGCCACCCCCCGCTCCACAGCGCTCAGTCCCATCGACCACCCAAGGGCTGAGGAATGCGCGCGCACGGCGCAGGACTGGCAGGCAGCTCCACCTGCAGCCCCGGTGCGGGATCCACTAGGTGAAGCCAGCTGGGCTCCTGAGTCTGGTGGGGACGTGGAGAGTCTTTATATCTAGCTCAGGGATTGTAAATACACCAATCAGCACCCTGTGTTTAGCTCAAGGTTTGTGAGTGCACCAATCGACACTCTGTATCTAGCTGCTCTGGTGGGGCCTTGGAGAACCTGTGTGTGGAAACTCTGTATCTAACTAATCTGATGGGGACGTGGAGAACCTTTGTATGTAGCTCAGGGATTGTAAACGCACCAATCAGCGCCCTGACAAAACAGGCCACTCGGCTCTACCAATCAGCAGGATGTGGGTGGGCCAGATAAGAGAATAAAAGCAGGCTGCCTAAACCAGCATCGGCAACCCGTTTGGGTCTCTTTCCACACTGTGGAGGCTTTGTTCTTTCGCTCTTGCTGCTGCTCACTCTTTGGGTCCACGCTGCTTTTATGATCTGTAACACTCACCGCGAAGATCTGCAGCTTCACTTCTGAGCCCAGTGAGACCACGAGCCCACTGGGAGGAACGAACAACTCCAGATGCGCCACCTTAAGAGCTGTAACACTCACCGCGAGGGTCCGCGGCTTCATTCTTGAAGTCAGTGAGACCAAGAACCTACCAATTCCGGACACACCACCACCCAGGCAGGGGACCGCAAGCCCCTGGCTCCTTTTGGGGAGATCTTTCTAGCAAGGGCTCCGTGAATGCAATTTAAAAGTTATGAGAGTCTCCTTTTCCCCTTCTCTTTCCTCTTCTTATGGTGGGAACAAGAGAGGCTGGAGTGCCCGCCTGGAGCCTCTCCTTGGCTTTCTCATGGCCGTGGGGGATCATTCCTTTAGAGACTGTTAGTTAGCTTTAGTGTCAGTCAGAACACTGCAAGATACTGTCCTACGGGCTAGAGAGCCCCTTTCCCCCATCATCTCAGGTGAAGCTATTGCCGGGAACTCACATCTCCTGGTGAGTTTCCATTCTTTCTAGGAGGAGGGGTGCTGCCCAGTGCCTGGAGAGAGGGTGCAGGGGGTCGGCTGAGGGGTGGGGTTAGGCGGATGAGGGGGCATTTGCAAAGCGCAGGACAGAGGCTGTTTCTCAGCTCTGCCCACCGCAGGCCTGGGCCTGCTGTTCATCCTCCAGTGGCAAGCGCATTCAGATTCCATATCGAACCAAGGCCTGTGTTTGTGGTCCCCTGAAACTCAGATGCAGTCAGCCTAGTTTTGTTGCTGCTGTTGCTTGCTTGCTTTTGTCTTGACCAGGAGGCACAGTCTTTGGGGTGAGGCTGCTAGGAGTGTTTTCCAAGACAGCTGACTGCTCACGTCATGGTTCCTCAGACACCAAATGATGTGCTGTGGGTGGGGGTTGGTGTTGGGGGGTGAGGTGGGGGTGCTGTTCAGGGAAGAGGGTGGGAAATGAGTTTGCCCCCAGCTTAAGGTAGATCAGTGGTTCTCAACCCTGGCTACCTGTTAGAACCACCTGAGATTTCCTTCAACAAATAAATAGCATTCACATCAGTAGGCAAAGGAAATTCCTTTCTTGCCATCCTTTCCTCATAACTCAGTGAGCAGACATGGAGCATGGGCTGTGTGTCTGGGCACTGCAGAAACAGACAGAAGGATGGATCCTGCCCTCTGCAAGCAGGTCATGCAGCAGGAAGCCAGTCCGTGAGTGTGGTGAACACTGAGGAGGGATGATGGGGTGTTTCTGGTGTGTGGGGCCCACTTGAGAGGACCAGGGAGGCGTCCCAGAGAGGAAAAGGAGGAATAGCAGGAAGAAAGCCGGGCAGAGAGCACTGCTGTGGTGGGAACACCATTAGTGAAGGCGAGAAGGACCAGAGCCGCTTGCTGGGTGCTGGCCCAGGGACATCTGCGGCTGTTGGAACGTGAGAGGGTGGCGGGGTGGCTGAGCCTTGCTGTAGTGGTGCAGGGTGGACACATGAAGGATACGGCTTCCCTCAGAATGGAAAAAAAAATCCTGCCATTGTGGAAGCTCACAGACAATAAACAGGACCTAGATGGTGGTCAGGGCAGAGGAGAAAATGCATCGAGTAAGATGTTGGGGACCAGGGAATGCTGCTCCAAACAGACGGCCAGAGAAGGCACTACTGAGAGATGATCCTTGAGCCAAAGCTTGACTGGGGTGGCCGTCACATGGCTCTTGAGGAAGAGTGTCCCAGGTGGGGCAGCAAGGCCACTGGGCAGTCAGTCACAAGGCAGGTGTGTGCCTTGGAGGTTTCAGAGGCTGGGGCTGACCCTGTGAGGATGAGAGAGACGGGCAGCCATGCCAACCCGGGCGCAGAGATTCCACGGTGGTGCCTGACACCCACTTGCGGGGACTTGGATTTTGCCTCTGGGTAAGACTGGGGGCACTTTAGGAGGACCCCTCCTGCTGGTGTGTTGAGAACCCCCTGAAGGGGCGAGGGTGGAAGTGGGGAGACCTTTGCATATGAATGCTCTAAAACCCAAAGCCTCTAGATAGAATTATTTTGAGGGTCTCCCTCCATCGCTCAGGCTGCAGTGCAGTGGCGTGATCACAGCTCACTGCAACCTCCACCTCCCCAGGCTTAGATGATCCTTTCATCTCAGCCTCCAAAGTAGCTGGGACTACAGGTGTGTGCCACCACATCCAGCTAATTTTTGTATTTTTTTGTAAAGACAGGGTCTCACTGTGTTGCCCAGACTGGTCTTGAACTCCTGGGCTCAAGCGACCTACACGCCTTGGCCTCCCACAGTGCTGGGATTACAGGCACGAGGCCCTGGCCCTGACTGGCATAGAATTCTCGTAGTAGCACTCTCTTATACTGCTTGGGATGGCAGTGAAGAAAAAAATGAAATAAGTCTGCCCCCACATTTCCTTCTCAGTTCAAGTAACACCAAGCTACCACAGGGCAATTTTAATTCATTCCAGCAGGGCACTGTGTGAGGACAATCCACAAAGACTTGAAATTCCAGGGCTTGGCCGGGCATGGTGGCTCATGCCTGTAATCCCAGCACTTTGGGAGGCTGAGGCGGGTGGATCACCAGGTCAGGAGATCAAGACCATCCTGGCTAACATGGTGAAACCCCGTCTCTACTAAAAATACAGAAAAAAATTAGCCGGGCGTGGTGGCGGGCGCCTGTAGTCCCAGCTACTCCGGAGGCTGAGGCAGGAGAACGGCGTGAGCCCAGGAGGCGGAGCTTGCAGTGAGCAGAGTTCGTGCCACTGCACTCCAGCCTGGGCGACAGAGCAAGACTCCGTTTCAAAAAAAAAAGGAAAAAAGAAAAAACAAATTCCAGGAGCTGGAGGCCACAGTCCTTTACTTTTGGAGTCCTCAGTTATGGCAATGGGTCTGATTTGATGAGTCCCCCCATCTGCTCCATCTCCTCGTGCTGAGACTGGGTTTGTGTTTTAGTGAGACTGAGTCCTGGGTCATCTCATTGGAAGGCTAAGAAAATATGACAACGACTCCAAGGTGTAAGGGAGGCAAGGCTGAGAGGTATCCTGCCAGGCATAATCGCCTTCTTCTGCACGTGTGACTTGGAGACTCCAGAGACACAGAACGAGAGGGGACTGCACTGCTGGCGTTTTAGGGTCCCAGGCTCTTTGCTGGAGTTAAGACCCCCTAGTGACTTCCTCATTCAGCCTTTTGTCTTCTCAGGTATGGAATCGCAGGAAGCGTTAACGTGACGGGAGATGAGGTGAAGAAACTGGATGTGCTATCCAATTCCCTGGTGATCAACATGGTCCAATCCTCCTATAGTACCTGCGTCCTGGTCTCAGAAGAGAATAAGGACGCCATCATCACCGCCAAGGAGAAGCGGGTGCGTCATGGGGCTGCGGTGCCCGCTCGCCAGTAGATGATGATACTGAGCCGGAAATAAGCTGCCTTACTTTTCTTTAATTCCCGGGATTCTCCTCTATTTCTTAACATTTGTTTTCTGGAAACAAAGGATTACATACTTCTCTACTTGGAAATCTTGTGCTGTCTAGAGAAAGAAGACTCCACAGTAGGACAGTGATTCATTCAGGAAATTGTTCAGAGTGATGCAGGAACCGCCTCAGTGGGCGCTTGTTCGTGGCTGTTCACTTAATCAGTAACAAGAGCCAAATTTTTGGGGGCTTAACCTTGTGGAGTCCAGGGAAGAGCTGTACTGTACAGCCTCTCACCGCCCCGCCTTCTCATTCCACCCCCGCCCCCAGCCGGCACTTTGCGAGGGGTTACAGTTTCAGCAGAGATTTCTTAGTGCCTGACAAGCTGTTAGACTGGTCCAGAAACAAAACCACAAGCCTCCTGTGCTCTTACCTCGTAGGATGGTGAAGTCGGTGAAGGAAGGCACGGCTGGGGAGGGTCTGCATTCACTATGGGTTCACACACAGCTTATTATACAGAGAGGTTTGCCAATGGCCAAAAGTTTCAATCAATGTTCAGCTGCAATATAGTCAATAGACAAGAGGCCATTTCTTTGTGATTAGCTGGAGGAATGGAAAAGAATTTAAAGTAAAGCCAAATTTATTTAACCTCTGCTCTATGCCAGGTACTGCAAAAGGCACTTTTGCCCTCGTCTCACATAATTTTAGCTACATCACACTATTACTTCCAACTTTCAGTTTCAGTTGATATGACTCTTGTTTCTCTCTCCAGTCTGATCTACCATTGTCTTCTCCTATTGGCCTAAGCCACATAGCCACATAGGTCTTCATGTCAGTTCCTTTATTTATTTATTTACTTATTTATTTATTTTTTTGAGACGGAGTCTTGCTCTACTGCCCGGCTGGACAGGCTGGAGTGCAATGGCGCAATCTCAGCTCACTGTAACCTCTGCCTCCCGGGTTCAAGCAATTCTCCCGCCTCAGCCTCCTGAGTAGCTGGGATTACAGGCATGCGCCACCATGCCCCGCTAATTTTTGTGTTTTTAGTAGAGACGGGGTTTCGCCATGTTGGCCAGGCTGGTCTTGAACTCTGACCTCAGGTGATCCACCCGCCTCAGGCTCCCAAAGTGCTGGGATTACAGGCGTGAGCCACCATGCCTGGCCCGTGGCAGCTCTTGAATACTCCAAACCTGCTGATCTCTCTGTCGAAAATTCTTCTTTCTAGGATGGGCGCGGTGGCTCACGCCTGCAATCCCGGTGCTTTGGGAGGCTGAGGTGGGAGGATTGCTTGAGCTCAGGAGTTTGAGACCAGCCTAGGCAACATAAAGATACAAAAGATAAAAATTTAGCTCGGCATGGTGGTGTGCACCTGTAGTCCCAGCTACTCGGGAGTCTGAGGTGGGAGAATTGCTTGAGCTCAGGAGTTTGAGACCAGCCTAGGCAACATAAAGATACAAAAGATAAAAATTTAGCTCGGCATGGTGGTGTGCACCTGTAGTCCCAGCTACTTGGGAGTCTGAGGTGGGAGGATTGCTTGAGCCCAGGATCTCTAGGCTGCAGCGAGCTCTGACCACACCACTGCACTCCATCCTGGGCAACAGAGTGAGACTCTGTCAAAACAAAACAAAAACAAGAAAACAAACAATTTTGCTTTCTAGGTCTCTGTGTGTTTCTTCATTCCTTAATTCTAGTCAGGTCTGTCATCAAATGTGACCCCCCCTCATGGCTCTCCAGCCCCCAGCCTATGTGGGTTTTCGTTAGGGCACGTGCCACAGCCTGCTTGTATGTGTCCTGACCTGTGTGCTCTCTGTCTGTTCTCCCACTGGAATGTCAGTGCCATGAAATCCAGCCTTGCTGCCGGGATCGCTGACCCCCCGGAAACAAACCCCAGGGCCTTGAACACTTACTTCCCAGCATATGCTGGAAGCTCAACATGTATCTGCTGAATGCATGCATGCATGAATGAATGGGCTAAATTGGATTTTTTTTTAAAAAATTGGATTATTATAGAGATGTTGGGGAATTTCCAAGTTTACAAATTATCTAACTTTTCTACTCTGGCTGAGCAAGGAAAAAAAACAGAAACAAAGCTCAAATGAAGCTAGGCCAATACTCATTGGAAAGTCAGGGAAAACTAAATCAAGTGGAGGGAGAAATGACCCTCATTTCTCTTGAAGTTGCATTACCCGTGTTTAATTGGCCTGGGGGTTCCGGTCGCCATCACTAAGGGTCTCTCGTGACCTTGCACACAGGGGGCTATAAAAAGGACCTGGGGCTTCCCTTGGTGGCTTGAGCTGCCTGTGACAGCAGAGTGGGTGGGTGTGGGGGACGTTGGTCTCTCAAGACACACCCACTTTATCTTCTGGTCTTCGCATCAGACAGGTGAGATGGATACAAAACCCAGAGGAGTATTTGTGTATAAACTGGCACCCTGCCCTCCGTAAGTCATGGTGTTTTTTGATAAAGATATGCTGTGGTTCTCAATCTCTTTTTGATGTGGTGTACTCTGCCACGCACAGCCCTGACACAGAGCAATTGTGCTAATGGGAAGATGTGCTGATCAGTTGGTGCTTTCCTCTCTGATTTAGGGGAAATACGTGGTCTGCTTTGACCCACTGGATGGATCTTCCAATATTGACTGCCTGGCCTCCATCGGAACCATCTTTGCCATCTATAGAAAGGTGAGTAGACAGGCTGACATTTTACACCTCCTTCCTGTGGTGGTCTCTGGAAGGTTCCTGGGCTGAAAACCGTGTGTTTGGAGTCCTACCCTTTGTCTTCCCACTAACGAGAAAAGCCACTGTAGGCAAACCACCAACTTTTCTCTGCCTGGGGCTCCTCATTAGAAGAACTGGATTGGCGATTCTTTCTCTGCCTACTTTCTGGCATTCCTGGGAGGGTAACACAGAAGGACAGCTGAGATCTTGTTTTGAAAGTCTGGGTGCAACACAAATGTCAGACATGGCATTAGGTTCCAGGTGGCATTCTGAATCTCTGACATCCTCTCCCCCTCTTGCCTCATCTCTCCTGTCCCCAGCCACAGAAAGTTTTCTGCTAACGCTCATTGGATTAGATTGAACTAATCTAACCTGGAAGGTCCACGGTGATCTCCCTATTTGAAATCTGAACCCCTGAGTACACCTGAAAAGTCTTTGTTGCCATGTAATGCTGGGTATTCACAGATCCTGGGGACTGGCATATCTTTTGGGCCATTCTGCCTACCCTGAAATCCTAGCAACAGAGAGCTGGGTGGGTTTGTGACATCCAGCAGGACTAGAAACTTCACAATTCAGAAAACTTGTCCTTCATTCTATATAAAGTGTACAACGGCAATAAAATCCATAGCAACCTCGCCAGCTGCGGTGGCTCACGCCTGTAATCCCAGAACTTTGGGAGGCTGAGGCGGGCGGATCACTTGAGGCCTTGAGGCTAGGTGGTCGAGACCAGTCTGGGAAACATGGTGAAACCCCGTCTCTACTAAAAATACAAAAATTAGCCAGGGTGATGGTGCACGCCTGTAATTCCAGCTACTCAGGAGGCTGAGGCAAGAGAATTGCTTGAACCCAGGAAGTGCAGGTTGCAGTGAGCTGAGATCATGCCACTGCACTCCAGCCTGGGTGACAGAGCAAGACTCTCTCAAACAAACAATCCATAGCAACCAAAGAGAAAAATAAGCAGAGTGCCAGTTACATTGTATTTGAGAGTCTTCTATGTATTAGGAAGTTGATTAAACCGTGCTCTTACAGAGTCTTGAGATAGGGAATCTATGGCAGAAATATGAGTATTTAAGGCCTGTATAGTTTGGGTTATATTGTGAGAATAATCTGGTAGATATCTAATTCTCAGCCTTAATTCATGCACAAGTGTTGCCTTGGGTTGTAGTTAGGATATCTAAAGCCATATGATTTAAAGACATTGTGGGATTAAGACATAGTAGCAGTTTGCTTTTCTGTGTCTTGTGGGGCTGAGGGTATGTTTTGGGCATTATTCAGGAAGTATGTACAGCACTTAGTTTTACTTATACTTCATGGTCCCCACTGTCAATTATATTTGGGGTTCCTGTGGGGCTTGACAACAGGTTGGCAAAATATACATATTTAACAGGCTGGGCATGGTGGCTCATGCCTGTAATCCCAGCATTTTGGGAGGCTGAGGTGGGTGGATCACCTGAGGTCAGGAGTTTGAGACCAGCCTGGCCAACATGGTGAAACTCCATCTCTACTAAAAATACCAAAAATTAGCTGGGCATAGTGGCGGGCGCCTATAATCCCTGCTACTCAGGAGGCTGAGACAGGAGAATTGCTTGAACCCGGGGGCAGAGGTTGCAGTGAGCTGAGATTGCGCCATTGCACTCCAGCCTGGGCAACAAGAGTGAAACTGTGTCTCAAAAAAAAAAAAAAAAAAAAAGGGGGCTGGGAAGGGTGGCTCATGCCTGTAATCCCAGCAATTTGGGAGGCCGAGGCGGGCGAATCACGAGGTCAGGAGATCGAGACCATCCTGGCTAACATGGTGAAACCCTGCCTCTACTAAAAATACAAAAAAATTAGCCGGGCGTGGTGGTGGGTGCCTGTAGTCCCAGCTACTTGGGAGGCTGAGGCAGGAGAATGGCGTGAACCCAGGAGGCAGAGCTTGTAGTGAGCCAAGATCGCGCCACTGCACTCTAGCCTGGGTGACAGAGCGAGACTCCGTCTCAAAAAAAAAAAAAAAAAATTAGCCAAGAGTGGTGGCATGTGACTGTGGTCCCAGCTACTCGGCTGAGACATGAGAATTGCTTGAACCTGGAGGTGGAAGTTATAGTGAGTTGAGATTGCACTGCTGCACTCCAGCCTGGGCAACAGAGCAAGACTCCCTCTCAAAACAAACAAACTATACACACACACACACACACACACACACACACACACACGCACACACACACATATTTAACAGATTATAGGAGGAGCTATGAATATTTATGAAGATGGTCCTGACATATGTGTATTGAATAAATATGCATGTATGACCCATGTTTATTTTGGGGTGGAATGTATTCCATTTAGGTCCTGTATATCAAAAGATCTTTCTAGGACATAAAGGCACACAGTGTGTGCTTTCTGTAAACTGGCCAGACCTAGCCCATGGTTGGTGGTCTTTTATCAGGAGAGCTACTGAAATTTAGTCTTTTGTCTAATTAAAGCTGTAGTCTTGGCTGGTGGAACAAGAGCCTGGGGGTGAGTTAGTCAGCTGATCTTAAGGCCAGCGCTTGTTTGGCTGCTAGAGAAAAAGAAAAACCTATGGCAGTTAGGACATGGTTTCCTCTTCAAAATAGGAGTGAGTGACTAACCCTTGCCTGGCGTGGCCTTAGGTCCCGTTTCTAATTGGGTATTTTATTGTGACAAACAGCCTATTTTGTCAATCTTAGGGTTTTCAGTTGTGCCTAATTCCAAAAAGTGGGGGAAGGTATAGGGAGGCCTGTCTGATCCCGCTTCCTGCCATGGCCTGAACTTGTTTTTCAGTTTATCTGGGGATTTCCTTCGGCCAAGAGGCAGGTCCATTCAGTCTGTTGAGAGGCTTAGGATTTTATTTTAGTTTATATTCTCCCTTTTTTGTCAAGGTATTCCGGGGGCAGTATTGATGGCCAAGCTTTTATTTTGTCCCATGTGGATGCTGGGGTGGTATGGTTACCTTCCCAGGGTCCATGATGTTCCTCGATGGGACCCCTATGGCCCAGGGACTTAGAGTCAAAACAGTGGAAGCCAGTTAAATGTTCCAGGCCAGATGGGAATGGAGGTGGCCAGGCATTCATTAACCTTAAAACCCCTTTTAAGCAATGTAAAAGCCAAAAACCCAAAGCCAAAAGGCAAGCTTCCAAAATTGACTTATCTACAAATCTATACATCGAGCTACTGTGAGCTTGGCTAGTAGCACTTAGCTGCACAAAACACAAGCCTTTTGTTCAGCTGTTGAAGCCTCTCTGTGTCCGTCCTGGATTTGGAGGCTCTGAATTAATTTGATCCCATAAGACTGGCCCTTACTATGTCAGACGCTCACTTCTTCCACTATAGTCTTTAGGCCTGGGGGATTGAATAGTTTCAATTCTGGAGGTAAAACAAAATACAAAGAATTAGTAATGTTTTAAAGTATCATAAGCCCAGCCTAGTTCTGAGAATGACAGGAAAGGAGGCTTATAGGTAGTTAAGCATTTTAATTATTTGGTATTAAGGCATAGAATAAATCATATTACTTTAGACAGAGGCAAAATTAATAAATTAATCTTACTGGTTTTGACTACAAGGCTGTCCTTGTGTCTCATTAAAGCAGGTGACTTTGATTGTCACCTTTGCCTGGATCCAGAGACAAGGCTTTGGTTAGCTTGAGTTTGGTATCAGATACTGGCAGGAGCCAATGCCTTCTTTAGATGAAATATGTGCACCCAGGAGTCAAAGCCCTGTAACTTAACTGCACAAGGATTTGTTAATAGTACCTGATAAGGGCCTTTTTTAGGGACTAGAGGTAGTGATACTAGAGACTTTGACCTGTCTGGAACCTGTAAAATGATTTTAAAACCTAGTGGTGATTAATTTTTATAGCTTTGGTAAACCCCAGCAGAAAGTCAGAAACTTAATTTAGGATTCAATTTTGAAAAAGTTAAAGATGTTAAAAGGCTCAAAACAATTGATTAAAACAGAACTGTAGGTCATTGTTAAACAATAGTTGCTCATTTAACCAGAGTGATAATTGAAAGATTGAAAAGGCAATCCAGGCTGGGCATGGTGGCTCACACCTGTAATCCCATCACTTTGGGAGGCTGAGGCAGGTGGATCACTTGAGGCCAGGAGTTCAAGACCAGCCTGGCCAACATGGCTAAACACTGTCTCTGCTAAAAATACAAAAATTAGCTGGGCGTGTTGGACCAGCCACTTGAGAGGCTGAGGCATGAGAATCACTTGAACCTAGGAGGCGGTGATTGCAGTGAGCTGAGATTGTGCCACTGTACTGCAGCCTGAGCAACAGAGCAAGATTCTGTCTCAAACAAACAAACAAATAAAAGGCAATACAGAACGTTATATGGTTGTACAAACTTTAACCCTTTTAGATCTCAACTTTTCTAAGCAATTAAAACCTAATAAAGACAACATAGGAATTATTTTGATAAAATGTAAAATGTTGTTTCTTAAGTGAATTACCAGACAGGGAAAGAAAAACCTGCAGTGTAGCTGCTTCTCTTTAGGGGAAGCCTATTTGGATAACCTGGAAGTCAAACTGTGAGTGTATCAGGGAAATAGATAATTCTCAGTAACTGCATGAGAAGCTTTCTAATCATATTGACAAATTTAGACATATCAAGGAAAGTACAGAATCAAGTAATAATGTAGGAAAACATTGCTTTTCTAGACCTTTAAGATAAAATGTTTTAGTGCCAGGCCATAATAATAAAATTGGAGGAAAAAGATCACAAGAGTTGAGGAAAAAGCTGAATGAGAGAGTTATCCTCTCAGGCCTTCTCAAGGGGAGAAAAAGCTGAAAGCAGCAAGACACAGCAAAGCCAAACTTCTGAGATATGATTCTGAGAAGTTTTTAAGAGAAAGAGGTTATAAAAGTAAAATTTCTTGTTATTAGGAGCAAATAAATACCTTAAGACAGACAACCTTGCTTTAAACATAGGGGGCTATTATAAAGAATCCCCTTTTAATTATAGGTAACTTAATCACATGCAAAATTCTTTTATAAATTCTCCACAAACTTTAATACAATTTATACAAACCATTTATGACATGCTTAAACTTTTTGACTTGTCCTGAATTTTGTTTCTTTAGATATCAGTCATTATTTTTAGGACAAGAATTTACCATACAACTTTTTTTTTTTTTTTTTTTTTTTGAGACAGAGTCTCACTCTGTCGCCCAGGCTGGAGTGCGGTGGCATAATCTCGGCTCACTGCAAGCTCCGCCTACTGGGTTCACACCATTCTCCTGCCTCAGCCTCCTGAGTAGCTGGGACTACAGGCGCCCGGCACCACGCCCGGCTAATTTTGTGTATTTTTAGTAGAGACGGGGTTTCACCATGTTAGCCAGGATGGTCTCCATCTCCTGACCTCGTTATCTGCCCGCCTTGGCCTCCCAAAATGCTGGGATTACAGGCATAAGCCACCGTGCCTGGCCAAGTTTTTTTTTTAATATATAAAATTATTCTCTCTTTTAAAATAACCTTTTTTTTTTTTTTTTTTTGACAGAGTCTCTCTCTGTTGCCCAGGCTGGAGTGCAGTGGTGCAAGCTCCGCTCACTGCAAGCTCCGCCTTCCGGGTTCACGCCATTCTCCTGCCTCAGCCTCCTGAGTAGCTGGGACTACAGGTGCCCGCCACCACACCCAGCTAATTTTTTGTATTTTTAGTAGAGACTGGGTTTCACCGTGTTAGCCAGGATGGTCTCGATCTCCTGACCTTGTGATCCGCCTGCCTCAGCCTTCCAAAGTGCTGGGATTACAGGCCTGAGCCACCACGTCCAGCCTATAAAATTATTTTTACAATACGAATACAATTCATAGAATTATATAGTCATTAGAATTTTTATTTCTACTAACTTTAAATTTTAGTGGAAACTTAGTAAGCAAGAAGTCCTGAACGGTTTGTCAGATGTTAGCATTTTATAGATGAAGTCATTTCACAATTTTAGAACCATGTTTTCCCATATTTTATTGTAAATTAGTCCCATAATTTATTATAATTTTTAAAAAATTAGAAGTAAACCAGACATCCAATAAGCATTTATTATTTAATTTAAAATAATTTTAAGATTTTAAATTACAGAAAAAATTCACTTAAAAAACATATTTCATTTATGTGTATTTAATTTTTTAATCTTTAAGTTTATCTAGATTCTTTCTGAAAACAGATATTATACAAAGTTAGTCATTATTTAAAGTTATTTCCCTGTTAACCATTTTAAAAGTCCGAACATTAGGTGAACACCTAAGTAAGAACCTCAAAGTTAAATCCATGGTCATTTTGCCAATAGCTCAGAGGATTCAGTTGCTTTCATTGAACTAACAATCCTAACTTAGTCTTATTTGTCAAAAAAATTACACAAAGATTACTCTGTGTTTGGCTGGGTTATAATCTTACAATCTTTGCGCCAAACCCTGACACTTTAAACATTTAGCAGAGACAAATACAAAATTTATTTGCTTAGACACAAATGTATGCTGATGATTCTGAAGGCATTTTTGTTTTTATTTTACTAATAATTTTTGAAGCCAGTTTTATTTATCAAAGATTCATGCGAACTTGGAAAGCATTTGAACTTAATTTATGTGTACTCACTTACTTATAAAGCCAATTTGGTAGCATGCTAGACACGACAGAACATAACTATAACATGTACATTACATAAACATATCTAAACATGTATACATCCATACACAAACAAAGGTCTAAGAGCTTTTATCTGAGAACTCTAATCATGAGATAGCATCACAAACTCACTGACCTATAAAAGCTGGCTTCAAGTTGTTTTTCTGACAAAACTGGAAGCTGTCCACGTGGCTAACTTTGTTTGCCCTGATAGGTAATCCAAGGAAAGCTGGCAGCCAAAATTTGGGGTAAAGCAGTCTCTATGGCAGTTTGGGTTTTTTTCTTTTTAAATCTTTTCCCCTTTTTGCTGTTCAGTTTCAAATGAGTTTTCAATGTTTATATTCAATTTAGACCATAAATAATGAGTCTTGTCTCGCGCCAGCAGTTTAATAACAGCAGATTTAAAGCAGGCAGAAAAGAGAGGAAGGTAGAGAGCTAAAGAAGATTCTACTTAACTCCACAGTGTAGGTTAACCATTTGAACTCTGAATTTTTCTTGTTGTAATTTGCCCATCAGTTTAAAATGTGCACAAAAATGGGCCAGAATATGTAACCAGTCCCAGAGAAGATGACAAAATCAGAGGCCATGATGTTGGAAACTGTTTTTCTCCTTCAAGGCTGAACCCCTGGATTGGACAGGAAATGAGAAAAAGAAAAGAAAGAGATGTAGAGGACAAAGGTCAAGTTTTACAGGAAGGAAGAGGAAAGAGAAAGGAAGGAGGGGAGGCTTGTGAGCCTTTCAGCCACTGCAAGGCTTGGGGTCAGTACCCTCACCACCCGGGTGTATCTCCTGTCAGGGAGAGCCTCAGTGCCCCAGACCTACATGGTGTGGGATGAACCCTTCCCACCTTTGCAAGTCACCAGTCAAGGTGAAATGTTTCTAGCCAGAGGGAGCTGTGGGTGCTTTTGGCCAAGAGGAATAAGGCTGTGGGTGCCCCAAGATTATCAGGAGGATGACTTGGAAGAAGTGGGGGGAGGGAGGGCTGAGTAGAGTCCCAAATCCCTCACCTCAGTTTCCAATGCCCCCCCAACCCCAGCCCTGGAACAGCCTGAACCCAGCAAGGCCCCAAGGGTGCCACAAATACAAACAAATACAAATGCATAAAATGCTCAAATGGTGTCACTAGTGGCCAAGTCTAAATAGAGCAGAGTCCCAGTGACATCCCAAAAGAGGCAGATGGTGGTCAAATGCACTCCGACTAACTCACCAAGTTCCGAAGTTTCAAAGTTCCAAAATTCCAAAGTTTGTCACTTCTCTAAAAGTCACTTTCAGTGCACCAGTGAAATATTGGAGGTAGCAGGCACTGCAGCAGGAAGAGAAAGAGAGGATCCCCAAGACAAAAGCATCTAGGCAGCTGCAGGAGACTCCCTAGCATTCCAGCCAAGGGGTCAGGTAGCCACAAGCAACTGGAGCCTACAGGCAGCCCCACAGGCCCTGTCCAATAGAAACCAGACCATGGGCTTGGGCCCCCAGAGCACACTGTATGGGCCACTAAAATTGTAACTGAATGCAGGTCCACATGCTCACTGCCTGCAGAGTCCAGTTAACAAGAGTGAGGCCTGGTAGATAGAAAGTGACTTTATTAACCACAACTAGTAAAGGGGAAGTGGCCAGATTCCCATCAAAGCAACCACTTTGACTATTTCGGGGGAAGGGAGGGGTTTAAAAGAGGAAAACTTGATTAAGGAGGGCATGCAAGAGAATTGTGCTGAGTACAGTATCTCTGGGTCTTGTTTTTATGATTATCTTTGGTGCCAGTCCACCTGGACCTCAGGCTGACATCATCTCAACAGTGGCCGAGTTGTTAATTAGCTGCATGGAAGTAATCTCTGGAATTTTGCAGCTAGGTCTCCATGCTTGGTCTGTCCGTCTCAAGATTACCTCCTGGAACTTCTAAGAAGGCACATAATAGATACTAGCATGCAGTTAGCTAAATGTGCAGGGAGTATATATGGTGAGAAAGGGAGCTATTTTATAGCTAAGAGAAAAGACTTCTGCAGTTTGCTTCAAGGTTATATCTTGAAACCCAAGAGAAGGGAAAAATGTTTTAAAATATATTATGAAGTTAAGCTGCCCAGTTACGTTAGGAAGATGGAAATTAAAACCACAGTGAGACACCATTCTCCTCTTCCAGAGTGGCTAAATCTAAAAAGACTAAGCATACCAAGTGTTGGCAAAGAAACTGGAATTCTTATACCTCATTGGTGGGACTATCAAATAGTATAACTACTTTGGAAAACATTTGATAGGACCTACTAATGCTAAACAGATATTTACACACTATGGCCAAGCAATTTCACTCCTGGGACCCACACAGAAGAAAGGAATTCTGTGTCTGCCCAAAGATGGAGAAATTAGTCATAGTAGCCCCAAACCAGAAAAATCCAAATGCATATCAACATGAGAATGGAGAAATAAATTGTGATATAGTCATACAACAGAAAACTACATAGCAATGAAAAAGAACAAACTGCTATGTATAACAACATAGGTAAAATTGCAAAGAAATAAACTTGAAAATCATAAGCCATACAAAAGAACATATGCAGTGTCATTTCATTTAGATGATGTTCCAAACCAGATAAAGTTAGATTTGGTGATAAAGGTGAGAATAGAGGTTACCTTTGGCAGGAGGTGATAGTGACTGGAAGAGACTACTAGGCCTGGCTTCACTAGGCTTAAAGTCCACTAGGTTGCTGGAAATGTTATATAAATGGATCTGGATGTTATGTAAAATATTCTATAAATACACATAAGTGTATATTATATATTTGTAAAAATTTATCAAGATGTACCATTAAGATTTGTATGCTCTGCTATATGCTTTATACCTCAACAAAAAGGAAAAAAGTCCACATTTCATAATTTCTACCACCAAATACATGGAGCTCTTGCAATTTTCATTAATTTTACCAAAAAGTAGTGGTAGGAAGCACCACTTATCTGATGGGCTCAGATATTTATTGGTGTAGAAAAAAATAAAAAGACGCACTAAATCATTTGCAAACTACTATAAAATTTACTGAGAAAGGTGTCATGGCAATGAAGATTGCTGATATAAACTGGGTTTTTGAAATCTCAGGACCGTGTTAGACAAATACAAAAACTGAACCATTCTTTTTTTTCCATGCATAGAAATAAATTACAGATGAGTTGATGAGTTTGGTAGAGAGGTGGGGAATAAAACCAGAAAGAAAAGACAAGAATATTTGTGTCACCCTGTCTTGATGTAGGAGAAATTCAGTCTAAACATAAAGACAAGAGAAGAAAACATATGGAATGTCATGAATAATTTTAATTTTAAAACTGCACTGCAAAAACAGGCACCATAAATAAGAAGGCAATGACAATCGAGGAAAATATTTGTGACATATACAAGACATTAATATCCTTTATATATAAAGAGCTATTAAAATAAACAAGAAGTTGAATATCCTGATAGAAAAATAAGCAAGACATGAAAGAGACAACTTACAAAATAAAAATGGTCAAAATAAACATATAAAAGGTTTTACCTGACTCATAAAAAATAGAAGTTAAAACAAAAGAGATGTCATTTTGTCCACCTGTCAAATTGACAAAGTTGAAAAGACAATGCTATCTTGTGTTTACCAGGCTGAATTAAAATGAACTCTCTTATTATTAGTGGTAAAAGTATAAATTGATGCACTCTTTCTGGAGGACAATTTTTCAATATGTATCAAAAGATTTTTACCCAATTATTTAATTATTGGGAATTTATCTTGGGAAAATGATCAGAGAATTGTGTATTTATGCAGTAGATTGTTAATCTCAGGTTGCCTTGTTTTTCAAAAGGATAAAAAGAGAATATTAGAAACAACTCCACATGCATACATTTGACAACTTAGATGAAACGAACCAATGTCTCAAAAACTACAATACTCTAACTCACCCAATATAAAATAGATACTTTGAATGGCTATCTACAGGGCTCAATACTATTAAGAAACTCATGCCCAAGAAAAGAAATCTCCAGGCTCAGATGGTTTACTGGAAAAACATAACAAATATTCACAGATTATTCAGTCTCTTCCAGAAAAGATAATAGGAAGGAACACTTCCCAATTCATTTTATGAAACCAGTGTTATCCTGATACAAAAACCAGACAAAGATTGTTCAAAAAAATACCACAGACCAATATTCCTTATCAATAAATGCAAAAACTCTTAACAAAATATTGGCAAATAGAATTCAACAATACATAAAATAAATTATACACCATGGCTGAGTGGGGTTTATTCTGGTGATGGAAGACTGATCCAGTATTCATAATCAGTCAGTGTAATCCACCATATCAACAGGCTAAAGAAGAAAAATCACATAATCGTATCTATTGATGGAGAAAAAACATTTGAACAAATTCAACACTCATTCATTATTTAAAAAAGAAACTTGCTGAGGTAGGAGGATTGCTTGAGGCCAGGAGTTTGAGACCAGCCTGGGCAACATAGCAAGACCCCCATCTCAAAAAAGACATTAGCTGGAGAGGGGGGTGGTAGTGCATACCCGTAGTCCCAGCTACTCAAGAAGTTGAGATGGGAGGATGACTTAAGCCCAGGAGTTGGAGGCTGCAGTGAGCCATGACCAAGCCACTGCACTCCACCCTGGGCAACAGAGCAAGACCCTGTCTCTGAAAAAACAGAAAGTCTTAGAAAACAAGAAATAGAGGAGGAGCGTCCCTTAACTCTATCAAGTACATCTACAGCTAGCATTACATTTAATGGTGAAAGACTGAATGCTTATACTCTAAGATCAGTAACAAAGCAAGGATGTCCTCACTCGCCACTGTTACCCAACATATGTAATCCTGAAAGTTGTAGCCAGCACAATAAGGCAAGGAAGATGATGAAACACATACAGATTGGAAAGCAGGTAATAACACTGTTCTTGCAGACGACATGATGGTCTATGTAGAAAATCCCAAGGAACCTACAAACAGAAAACCAAAACACTTCTAGAACTAGTGAGTTTAGCAAGGTCACAGGATACAAGATCAAGATACAAAATCAACTAGATTTCTATATATTAGCAATAAACTAATTCGTAATTATAATTACATTTTAAAATATGTGCTATTTACAATCACACAAAAAATGGAACAGTATAAATCCAAAAAATGTGTATAGGATTCTTATGCTGAAAATCACTGCATGTATGCATGTATATATGTGTGTGTGTAAACTCATGTGTGTGTTGTGTGTGTGTGTGAATTAAATGCAATATCTGTGGACTGGATTGTGCTAGGTGATGGGTAAACAGACAGGAACAAGACGGAGTTGGTACTTGCCACCAAGTTGCTCACAGTCTAGCTGGGAAGTCAGACACTAAGCCCGTGAATGAAAATGTGTTGGGAGCTTCAGAGAAGCAGCTCTGAGTGCTCATGGCGTCAAGCGCTGGAAGACCAGACCATGAGGTCAGAACATGGAGGCAAGAACATTCGGGTTTACAAAGCTTCTACGTACATCACAACAATGCTGTACTCCAGTTCTAGGTTTCTGGAGGAGAGACTCACATTGGGCCAGTTTGAATCACTAATCTATGAATCTATCCTTGACCCCATCAAATAAGTGTGCGTGTGTGTGTGTCGTGGGAGACGGGGTAACTCAATACAAATGTAGCAGCTAAGAGTCCCCATTTTGGATAAGGGGGTGAGGAAGAATCATTTTGCACCGGTTGGATGTACCAAGGGCCACAGAAGGACCAGAAGGAGCACCAACATTTAAGGAATCAGAGGAAGAGGTGCTGCCGGGAAGAGAGGCAAGTGAGAAGGAGCATCCACAGAGTCAGAGAGAAAGGCAGAATCAGGGCTTCCTGCTGCTGGGCGAGTTGTGCAGCCGCTCCAGCTGCAGTAGGTTGTTAATCTTAGGTGGTTTTGCTCTCAGAGTTCTCCCTCTGAGCCATGGAGGTGATGGTGCTATCTGCCCCAAAGGGCTGTTGAGTGTGCAGAGTGAGACACTGCACGCTCAGCTCAGTGATCTGAGTTGTGAGTATCGTGGCTTGGGAACATGGCTTATGATGAAGAGGGGCTACGGTTTTAGCATCTGGGAGTGCTTTTCTTGTCAGGCTACAGACACATGCGTTTGGAAAACAGGAAGGAAGAAGTCCAAGAATGGCCTTTGCCATGGCTCAGCTAGAACTGTTGGCAACATGGCCACTCGTTTCCTCTGGATGGATTTGCAGCAGCTTAAAATTCAAAGAACCGCGCTTCCTTCAGTGATTCGAGGAGATCTGAAGCCCAGGCCCCTGGCAAAGTGTTCTCTCCAGAGACAACAATAACACATGGCATTTATCCCTCTCTTCCACAGACCTCAGAGGATGAGCCTTCTGAAAAGGATGCCCTGCAGTGTGGCCGCAATATTGTGGCCGCAGGTTATGCGCTGTACGGTAGTGCAACCCTGGTGGCTCTCTCCACAGGGCAAGGCGTGGACCTCTTCATGCTTGACCCGGTAGGTACAGAATATGGCATCATCTGTGCCTGGGGACTCCATGGGCCTCTGTGCCTTAATGCCAGTTCTCTGCGATAATGTCCTGGTTATTCCTAATACTTGTTTTGGGGACCAGGGGTCCTGAGAGCCTAGTTTGGGGAGCCAAAACCATCATCAGAAACCATGAAGGGCCTCTGTCCCAGTGAGGGCACTCGGGGGGAGGAGTGTCCTGCAGAGCCAGTTGCATCAACTCAGGCCCTCTCCTTAAGGAGCTCATTTTCCAAAAATGCACTCAATCTCTTTGGCTTATGAGAATGCCATGATTTAAGAATCACAATGCTGCAAATTTCCAGCAGAAGCATGGGTTCGTTAGAGCAGCACCATCCAGTAGAATGCTCCATGAATTTCACTTTTAAATGCTGGATGGCTTGCCCATCAATTGTGAAATGCTTTGCCAAGTATACTGAGGTCTTGTGAAAACTCAGATAATATCCACCAAAGAACACGTCAAAACCTCTTGTTCACTTAGACCAAAAGGTTAAGTATTTAAGTTTTTGATTTACAGCTGTTTATTGAGCATCTACTGTGTCCCAAAGCACCACTCCAGACAGCGGAGATGGAGCATTGATCAAACACACATGACAGCCCTTGTGGAGTTCACGTGTTAGTGCACATGTGTGGAGAGAGGGGTTTGCAAAATTTCAAAATGACATGGAGTTAACTTACAAAACAGAGTTTACAGTATGGAAACCCAGAAACTTTTCAAATAGAATCTTTTCACCTGTATGCCCATTAGACCAAGACCCATTGCTGTGTCAGTTTGCTAATGCCCCAATTTCCCTTTATGTTCAAAGAAGCTGGCAAACCCTGAGAAATTCTATGGCTTGCAAATATTACCCTCAGACAATAAAACACCCTTTCTAAAGTTGTTGTAGAATAACAGCTAAGAGTTAGATAATTCTTCGTAAGTGGTAGGAATGTAAAGTACCTGTCCTATGAAATTTACATCTATTAATGCATTTAAATGTCACAGTGGCCCTATGAGATATGTCCTACAATTATTCCCATTTTCAGATGGGGAAAGTGAGGCGTAGAGAGAGTGAGTAACTTGCGCAAGGTCAAGCTAGTGACTGGTGTCAGGAGTCATGCTCCAGCAGTCTGTGCTTTAATTACTCTACCACACTAAATTTCCAACACAACTGCTCTTGAGTACAAGCAAAATATCTCCATGAACATTCTGAGCAGTTCTAAAGGTGATGGGAGATGCTTTGACTCAGGGACCCAATTCAAAGATTCCCAGGCACAGACAGAGCCTCTGTTTTCTGCCCTCAGTCATGAAAGCAGGGCCCAGTCTGGACATAGGTGGGCACCAGAGCTTGTCAACATGACAGAAGGAAGAGATGAACCATAGCATCTTTCCGGATCTCTATGTATTAGCCTGAAACCCCTTTGGATCACATCTCCCTACTAAAAAGGACATTTGAGCAAAGACCCAGTGCACAAAGCTTAGTGCCTGTTTGACATCCAGCGGAGGTAGCTTGTGGCAGTTGTCACAGATAGAAATGCCATGGAAGGCGGCCAGTAGCTTATGGAGGCAGCATTCCCTGGTGGGTCAAACTGAGCCTGTGAGGTCTGTGGGATTGCAGGGCTGGTGATTTGATTTTGTCAGAACACACATATTGTTCAGGCACAGAGAGACCACCTCCTGTTAACCAACTCTCCATTGTGGGTAAAGCTCAATGTCAAGGCATTCATTTACAAATGGGAGCTGTTGTTTCTTGTGACCAGGATCTGGTGTCTGATAATCGGTAACAGGGTGTATGAGAGCCCATATTAAAAATCAGCCGTTGTTGGTGACCACACAATCAGAACAAAGGAACACATTTTCCAGGTTAATAAAACTGTGGAAACAATATTCCCAGGGCCTGAGTGTCCCGGCCCCAGCCCCAGGAGTGGATCAACGTAAGGCGTTTTCACCCGCCCTGATGCAGAATGAGCGCCTCTGTTCAGGTGGTGAGTGAGTGCCACTGTTCAGATGACAGTTGTGCATCTCCATCCTCTTTGCTGGAAAGCAACAGCAAAATTGACCCCGGCTCAATTAAGTGAAAGGAGTTACTGCATTGATGGGAAAGCTGAGGACCCTGGCTAGGAACGGGCAGGACTAGAGGACCAGGAAGCAGGAAGCACGGCAGTGGTCTCGCAACATGGCCGGTCTGGCCTGGACACCACCCCCAGTGCTGCGCCTCTCACTCAGGTTTCAAATCCTAGGGAGGCGTATCTCATTTTCAAGCTAAGGTACATGCCTGACCTTGGCCTACAAGAGGCCCAGATATGAGTCTTCCTAGACTGGCATCCAATTCAAAGCAAGTCAGGGCACTTTTCAGAAGTAGAAATCAGCGCTGGGCTGCTCCAAAGCAACAGACACCCACAGCAAGTTAAAGGTCATGAGTCAAAGACCATCACTCGTGCACCTGTAATAACCCGAAGTTAGATTTAGCAGGCACTGCAGAGGAACCATGGGGTGTTGCATAAGGAGGGAGTTGAGATGGGCTTATAGGACTTGGGGTTTTGCTTGGTAATTCTAAAGAGGATTTGAGGAAGAGAGGGTCAGTCTGGATTGGATATTGTCTGGAAGTGGGTGCAATTAATGACTAGTTACCTTAATCATTTTTATCTAGGAGGCAGAGAGATTGAAGTCACTGATATAGAAGCAGTTGTCACTCATGTTAGGCAGGAAAGGATTGTTTAGTTGTTTTTGTTATTGAGTCTCCTTGGCACTGACTTGTTTCTGACAGGGACAGTGTCACCTCTCGTAGCAACACCTCTGCTATGTGGAGTCATTCTGTGGCCTTGCCTCTTTATATTCCGGGAATACCTCTGATGTTCCTTGGGAACCTTCTGGCCTAGCTGCCAACTGTGAGCTGTCATTTTGGAGTTTTTCACTCTCAAAATCTTGGACATTCATCAAAATGGATCTGGTTTCCAGGCTCTGGTTTTCCTCCTAGTGACTGAGACAGACATGAGCATTTAAGGTGGTATCTGCCACAAGCTGATCCCATTTTTAGTGACTGATATCACCAGAACTAGACATAGGGGTATTTGAGAGATGCCCTGCAGGTACTGACCACAGTGGCTACATGGGTTGTGGAGAGGGACTGGGCACACTTTTATTAATATGTCTGAGGATTCCTTTAGATTTTACCAACTTTTTCCTTACGCTGGGTGAACACAGTGTCTGATGAAAGCGGCTTCCTCTTTTCTCCAGGTAAGAGTGGGATACCAGAAACTGAATAGTTTCTATGATTGAATCACTAACATAAACAAAATAACTGTACCACACATTTTTTTTTTTTTTGAGATGGAGTCTTGCTCTGTCATCCAGGCTGGAGTGCAGTGGCGCGATCTCGGCTCACTGCAAGCTCTGCCTCCCGGGTTCACACCATTCTCCTGCCTCAGCCCCCCGAGTAGCTGGGACTACAGGTGCCCACCACCACGCCCGGCCAATTTTTTGTATATTTAGTAAAGACGGGGTTTCACCATGTTAGCCAGGATGGTCTCGATCTCCTGACCTCGTGATCCACCCACCTCGGCCTCCCAAAGTGCTGGGATTACATGCATAAGCCACTGCGCCCAGCCTGTACCACAAATTAATGGTTAAAATGCATCCCTCATACGACAATGTAACTTCTTCCTCTCACTGTTGATGGCCTATCTTCCTGAAAACATTAATCTGCGGGTGAGAACTTGGGAGATACACACAGTTGGGTTCACCATAAATGAGGAGCCTCACTGACAGTGGAAGATGCACAGGAAAAGAAAGAAGACTATGGGCTGCTTCCTTAGAATTGTCTTCCTGCTTGCTGTGTTACTGCTAGAGCTTCCTGTGTGGGCTCCATATGGTCCCTATTCTTCCCACCACTCATGAAAACACCAAAGAGCAGGTTCAGAGTGACCACAGCCAAGCCCCAGCTCTGCCAGCAGGCCCCCATCTTCTCCTGCTCTGATGTGGGGATTGTGCGGTTGGCTTGTTTCCTGGCTTCTCTCTTCTTCCTGGCATCTCTCTTCATGTTGCTAGGCTCTTGGTGAATTTGTCCTGGTGGAAAAAGATGTCAAGATTAAGAAGAAAGGAAAGATTTACAGCCTGAATGAGGGCTATGCCAAGTATTTTGATGCGGCCACCACTGAATATGTGCAGAAAAAGAAATTCCCTGAGGTGAGTGAAGAAAGCCAGGTGGGTGGCAGACAGAATGCTGTCCCCATGGGGTCCTGTTTGGGTGGTGGCTTCAGGGGCTTTGCTGAAAGAGGTTGGTGCCACTGTTTATGGCTGTGGTCAGTATGAAGATGATGGACTCTGCCTTTCTTCATAAGCATTCAGTATCTTATATAGCTAAAATTTACCTTCTAAAGGTAGTACTTATCTTTACATTTGAGTTTTTCCAGGATAAATTCTTTATAAAGAAGGCAGAGATCACATTTACAAAATTCAGAGCTCACGCCAGATCCTCTCTGAAGTCATTTGTTTAAGCTCCAACCTATAGACTCACTCAGTTGCATTTGCTTTTAGAATAAATAATTATATGAGAGGCCTTCAAAAAGTTCATGGAAAAATGAAATTAAAAGAGATTAGAAACATAAAATATAAACTTTATTTCTCAACATAAGCTCCATCAAGTTCAGATGCTTTTGTAAGGCTTCATACCAACCCTTTAATCCATCTGTAATGAACTGAGATACTGGGAATTTAATCTTAAGGCAGTCTTTTTAATGTTATTTGCTGAAGAAAAATGGGTGCCCTGCCAAGACCAGCTTGGTGGGGGAGACCCTAACCCAGCAGAGCTAGAGGAATTAAAGACACACACACAGAAATATAGAGGTGTGAAGTGGGAAATCACAGCCTTCAGAGTTGAGAGCCCCAAACAGATTTACCCACCTATTTATTAACAGCAAGCCAGTCATTAGCATTGTTTCTATAGATATTCGATTAACTAAAAGTATCCCTTATGGGAAAGGAAGGGATGGGCCAAATTAAAGGAATAGGTTGGGCTGGTTAACTGCAGCAGGAGCATGTCCTTAAGGCACAGATCACTCGTGCTATTGTTTGTGGCTTAAGAATGCCTTTAAGCGGTTTTCCACCCTGGGCGGGCCAGGTGTTCCTTGCCCTCATTCCGGTAAACCCAAAACCTTCCAGCGTGGGCATTAAGACCATCATGAACATGTCACAGTGCTGCAGAGACTTTGTTTATGGCCAGTTTTGGGGCCAGTTTATGGCCAGGTTTTGGGGGGCCTGTTCCCAACAGTGCCCTTTAAAGGTTTTTTAAGATTAGGAAACAAAAAGAAGTCAAAAGGAGCTAAATCAGGATTATAGTGATTTTCCATCAAAACTCTTGCAAAATTGCCATTGTTTGATGAGAAGATTAAGCAGGAGCATTCATGTGGTGGAGAAGAACTCTACGGTGAACTTTCCTGGGCTTTTTCTGCTAAAACTGTGGCTTTCTCAGAACACTCTCAAAATAAGCAGATGTGGGCCAAGGATGTTTCTCCCCAATGTTGTAAAAATGAATGGGTGTAATTAGTCAAGGGCAAATTGTATCCTACACCTTCAGAGGCCCTTGCTCTCCTCCCCCAAGTTACGAGCATCTATAGTTATCCCTCCCTCCTGCCCTCGCTCCCTCCCTCACTCTCACCTATCTATCATCTATCTATCTATCTATCATCTATGTATCTATTTTCTATCTATCTATCTATCATCTATCTACCTATATCTTTAACTGAGAGATTTCTCGTAGCTTTTCTTTATAGAGCAAAGGTAAGTTAGAGTAGAAACACCTGTCTCTGTTATGTCAAGTCCTTCTGGGCTAAAAAACTAGGAGCTTAGGAATATGGGTTCCATCTCTAGTTCCTGATAGTTCACTGTGTGTCTGCTGAAAGATTCTTTCTGTATTTAAATGTTTTGATTTTATGACTTAATGTTTTCCCCAAATATAAAAATTGTGTTCCTGTGTAACACATCACATAAAGACAACAAAAAATATAAGAAAATGTAAACAAAATTCATGTGTAAGATACTCCACCCTCAAAAACCCCACTGGGAACATCTTTTTTTTTTTTTTTTTTGAGGTGGAGTCTTGCTCTGTCTCCAGGCTGAAGTGGCACGATCTTAGCTCACTGCAACCTCCGCCTCCCTGGTTCAAGCGATTCTCCTGCCTCAGCCTCCCGAGTAGCTGGGATTACAGCCTCCCGCCACCATGCCCAGCTAATATTTTGTATTTTTAGTAGAGATGGGATTTCACCATGTTGGTCAGGCTGGTCTTGAACGCCTGACCACAGGTGATCCACCTGCCTTGGCCTCCCAAAATGCTGGGATTACAGGCGTGAACCACCATGCCAGACCCATTGTTTTATTTTTAATTGACATATAATAATTGTACATATTTATGGGATACATACTGATGTTTCATTATATATAATATACAGTGATCAGATCAGTATAATTAGGAAATCCATCATCTCAGACATTTATTATTTCTTTGTGTTGGGAACATTCAATATCCTCCTTCTAGCTTTTTGAAAATATGTCATATATTATTGTTAAATATATTCATCCTACAGTGGTTCAGAACACTATAACATATTCCTATGATGCAGGTGTAATTTTATTTTCTACACTTTTATTTTAGATTCAGGGGTAGTTGTGCAGGTTTGTTATATAAGTAAACTCCTGTCATGGGGGTTTGCTGTATAGATTGTTTGTCTCCCAGGTACTAAACCTGGTATCCAATACTTATCTTTTCTGCTCCTCCCCCTCCTCCCTCCCTCCACCCTCACGTAGGCCCCAGTGTCTGTTGTTTCCCTCTTTGTGTCCATGTGTTCTCATCATTTAGCTCCTACTTATAAGTGAGAACATGTGGCATTTGGTTTCCTATTTCCGTGTTAGTTTACTTAAGATAATTAGGCCTTCAGCTCCACCCATGTTCCTGCAAAAACATGATCTCATTCTTCTTTATGGCTGCATAGTATTCCATTGTGTATATGTAGCACATTTCTTTATCCAGTCTACCACTGATGGGCATTTAGGTTGATTCCATATCTTTGCTATTGTGAATAGTGTTGCAGTGAACATACATGTGCATGTGTCTTTACAATAGAATGATTTCTATTCCTTTGGGTATATACCCAGTAATGAGATGGCCGTGGTTGGAGAGTGGTTGGTATGAGTTCAGTTCTTTTGCATTTGCTGAGGATTGTTTTACGTCTGATTGTGTGTTCCAATTTTACTGTATGTGCTGTGTGTGATGAGAAGAATGTATATTTTTCTGGTTTTGGGTGGAGAGTTCTATAGATGTCTAACAGATCCATTTGGTCTAGTGTTGATTCGAGGTCTTGAGTATCTTCGTTAATTTTCTGCTTCAGTGATTACTGTCAGTGAGGTGTTGAAGTCTGCCACTATTATTGTGGGGGGGTGTCTAAGTCTCTTTGAAGGTCTCTAAGGACTTGCTTTATGAATCTGGGTGCCCCTGTGTTAGGTGCATATTATTTAGGATAGTTAAGTCTTCTTGTTGAATTGAGCCCTTTACCATTATGTAATGTCCTTTTCGTCTTTTTTGAACTTTATTGGTTTAAAGTCTATTTTGTCTGAAATTAGGATTGCAGCCCCTGCTTTTTTCTGCTTTCTATATGTTTGGCTTCCATCCCTTTATTTTGAGCCTATAGGTGGCACTGCATGTGGGATGGGTGACTTCCTTTTTCTTTGTTTGTTTAGCGGCTCTTTTAAGATTGCTGCAGGATATTGTCTCATACTTTAAGCAGTCCTGCATTTGTTAAGTCCAGTCACAAGGTAAGGTTTGAGGAGCTCATAATAAATGAAATGCACAATTATATAATCTTTTCAATTCCTACACTAGTGGGTGGAGGATAGGGATTCAAGAAGGCAGAGGTCACACCAACTGGACTTGTGACCACGAGCAGGTGCTGGCTAATCCTGAAAGCCACTGGATCTTGTCTCTTCGCTTTCTGTCTTCTAGGATGGCAGTGCTCCCTATGGGGCCAGGTATGTGGGCTCCATGGTGGCTGACGTGCACCGCACCCTGGTCTATGGAGGAATCTTCCTGTACCCAGCCAACCAGAAGAGCCCTAAGGGCAAGGTAATTCTCCCTTGTCCACTGGCTGTGCATCCGGTCAGGGAGGTGGGGGAGCTCCCTCCCGTCACACCTGCTGTTTGGCTACTGCACTGCTTCATGGCATGTCTGTGTGGGGATGGGCAGGGGAGGAAAAATGAACTCTGTTTCCCTTGAGTGAGTCTCCAGGCTGTGGGAGGTTTGAAGAAGAAGGCGACAGGCTGACGTTATGTGACTGGTGATTCTCACTGGTCTTACCCCCTCCAGCCTCACACCCACCGTTCACCATGAACCAGCTGTGTGTCTCACTTTCCACAGGCTGCATCTGACTTTTAGCTTCAGCACCAGCTGATCTGGGATGATGGTCCCTATAGGGAGCCTAATAAAACTTATCAACACACTTCCCAGAACAAATGCATGTAAACGTACACATTACATACAAATTACACGTTGAGGGAGTTCACTGATGCCCTGAAGTCCGCCCAAGTATCCCCTAGAGAATTTCCAAACCTCAGAATAAGAACTTCTACTCAGAACTCAGCCAATATATCTGGAAAGGTAGTTCCTGGAAGGTCTAATTGCAACTTAATGATGCAAAACTTAAAATACTTGTATTATCAAGTGAGAACCTTATGATCCAGCTATCTTGCAGAGAACCTCCCATAAAAATGCATCTGAATTTTAGCCAATCACAGAAATCGTAGGTAAGTAGTCAAATCAAATAAAGGCCTCTGTTTTCTCTGACACACCAACAACCAGCGACACATTTTTCTGTCTCTCAGAGTCACCTTGAGATTTGAATTATTCGAATGCTAAGAATCAAAGCCACGCTGAGAGATCTCACACAGCACATGAAGCCAGAGAGATTTTAATAGGTTGGTGTATCAGGTGTTTCTCTTCATGTGAGTGCTTAGCCCAGGTGTATTCACCCACTGAACTAAGAACACTGATAAGCCTGCAGAAGTGGTGCTGAAGGAAAGCTAAGCACCATGGAGGACTAAGTGAGGCAAGTAGAAGACATGGACAATGGACATTCTTTTTTTTTTTTTTTTTTTTTTTGAGATGGAGTCTTGCTCTGTCGCCCAGGCTGGAGTGCAGTGGCACCATCTAGGCTCACTGCAAGCTCCGCCTCCCAGGTTCACACCATTCTCCTGCCTCAGCCTCAGAGTAGCTGGGACTACAGGCGCCCGCCACCACGCCTGGCTAATTTTTTGTATTTTTAGTAGAGACGGGGTTTCACCATGTTAGCCAGGATGGTCTCGATCTCCTGACCTCGTGATCCGCCCGCCTTGGCCTCCCAAAGTGCTGGGATTACAGGTATGAGTCACAGCGCCCGGCGAAGACATGGAAATTCTTAGAACCACTCTGGTCACTTACTCAGTTACATTGGGGAGAACATAAAGATCAGTTATTACTAATTATTCAAATGATCGTAAATGAGTCAGAAAATACTCACATGGGATCACATACTCATGTCCCTTAAGCACATGTCACTCCATAGATAGATCTGCGTTTGCTGCGCATAACCACCACCCATACTGAAAGTTCTGTTGGATCCTAATCTCCGCATTTCTGCTGTCATGGTCCCTGTGCCGACGTCTCTCTGTGTGTGTGTGTCTGTGTGTGCATGTGCACACTCCTATCCTGTGTGTGTCTGCATCTGTATAGCTGTGTAGATTTAATTGCAGAGAAAGTACAGGTCATGGCTGGCTGCGGTGGCTCACGCCTGTAATCCTAGTACTTTGGGAGGCCAAGGCGGGTGGATCACGAGGTCAGAAGATCGAGACCATCCTGGCTAACACAGTGAAACCCCGTCTCTACTAAAAATACAAAAAATAATTAGCCAGGCGTGGTGGCATGTGCCTGTGGTTCCAGCTACTCGGGAGGCTGAGGCAGGAGAATGGCGTGAACCTGGGAGGCGGAGCTTGCAGTGAGCCGAGATCGCGCCACTGCACTCCAGCCTGGGTGACAGAGTGAGATTCCATCTCAAAAAAAAAAAAAAAAAAAAAAAAAAAATACAGGTCACATGTCACATGGCCTGCAGGCCAAGGTGCCATGAAGCCCTGGGCATTTTGATATTAAATTTCCTACAACAGGGGCATCTGAGGTCAGAACAAAAGTAACTTGGCTCCAAGACAAGCGCATTAGGTACTAATGCTGAGCTTTTTTTGATTAAAGTAGTTGACTCAACAGGATAATTGATTACAATCTGAGACTTTATTATCTGATACCCCAAATCCCCCACATAAAAGGGGAGAAAAATGCTGAGCGCTATAAGCTGTCAAGGTGAGAGTCTCCTTGGCTAGACTGTCCTGGACAGCATGGCCTCCAGTGTCCCTCCTGTGGGTAATGAGGGACAGAACTATCTGCCCCCAGACAGCCCGCATGCACCACAACTTTTTTACACCCTTCTGGACACCCACTACTTTAAGAGCCAGAGGTCTAGGGTGAGGGCACCTTACACTGACCAAAATGGCAGTAAATACCCCCATGGAGTCTTCACCTACTTTCTCTCGAATGCCTGGATCTCCAGCCTAGACCAAAGGCATCATGTTCCTCTCCTTAATATATATAATATATACAATAGAAAAAATATATAATAACATTATATAAATATATAACATATTATATGTAAATATATATTATATAATATATAATAACATATAAATATATAATAGAAAAATAGAAAAAAATTACCATAATATATGACTCTTTCTCAAAGTAGTTTAAACATATCACCAAAACGGACTGGAAGAAAAGAATGGTAAGGAAAGGCTGCACATAGCTGGGTCAACCATTTCGTAAGGTGATAATGGAGAATGAACTTTTGGGAAGTTACACAGGTTGCACTGATGGGGAGAAAGAAGAAGATGATACTGAGTCATGCACAGCAGCAGGGCCTCGGCCAGAACGACACCCTGAATCTAAGGTGATGGGGGTGTGTGTTGTGAGTCAGGCTGGGGGCGTCATGACATCATCACAGAAATAGACCTAAAAAGTCCATTCAATCCAACCCCATTCATTTCAATTCACTGCGTACTCACAGGACACAGGCAGCCTCCTGCCAGTTCTCATGTGCCTGCAGGAGGGTTAGAGAAGGCCTTCCTTCCTCTGAACAGCAGCCCTGGATCTTGTGCAGAGACTGGCAAGCAGGGCACAGGCTGATTTCAACCCAGTTTCTGCCCTCGGCTGGGACCCCTCGTGCAGGAAACAGTGGCCTTGCTTGGACACTTTCTTCGTTTTTGAGACAGGCTCTTGCTCTGTCACCTAGACTGGAGGGCAGTAGCATGATCACAGCTCACCGCAGCCTTGAACTCCGGGGCTCAGTTGATCCTCCCACTTCAGCTTCCTGAATAGCTGGGATCACAGGTGTGCGCTACCACACCTGGTTAATTTTTAAATTTTTTGTAGAGATGGGGTCTCACTATCTCAAATGGGGTCTCAAATGCCTGGACTCAAGCGATCCTTTTGCCTCGGCCTCCCAAAATCCTGGGATTACAGGCCGGAGCCAACACTTTCTCTGTGTCGGCACTACTGAGAATACAGATAGTACAGTGACCAGCTAGGATGGACAGCAGCCTAGAGAGGAAGCCAGGCATTAAAGAGGCCTCAGTGTGATGAGTGGTACCAGAGGGGAAGTACAGGATGCTATGGGAGTGCAAACGATGGGATTTCACTTAGTCTAAGGGTCAAAAGACAAGACCATTGAAACACCGGCAAACTAGTTAGACAAGTCAAAGCTTAAGATGTGGAGTTCCTCCACACAATCCCAGCCACTGTGGCTGTCCCCAGAGAGACAAGCCGGCATGGTCAAGGTGACCTTACTGTCCCATCCAAGCTTGACTCTTTACCAGCCTTGAGGTCTCACATATAAAGGCTTCCACCAAGGCCTGCAGCATCAGTTTGCTTCTTGTTGAACCAAGAAATAGATGCCTAGATCTCATATTTCCAAGTCAAGAGGCAGGTCTCTCATAAGCACAAGGATCACAAGATGGGTAGATACATGGCTCAGTCACCTGGCCAGAGGGGCCCCCAAGGCTTCTGGATGAGTGCCATCTGATGCATCTGGCCTGCTGTAGGCTCTAAAGCTCGGGCCCACTCTTGCAAGGTGCATGGTGCGCTCATGCTAGCCAGATGGAAGCACCGCAGTACAAACTCCTCCCCCAGCTTTAGGGGCATGGCTCGGGACATTTGGCCACTTGCAGAGTTTACTCACCTGCCTCTGTTCCTCCACAGCTCCGGCTCCTGTATGAATGCAATCCCGTGGCCTACATCATTGAGCAGGCAGGAGGCTTGGCGACCACGGGGACCCAGCCTGTACTGGACGTGAAGCCCGAGGCAATTCACCAGCGAGTCCCCCTCATTCTGGGGTCACCAGAGGATGTGCAGGAATATCTCACCTGTGTGCAGAAAAATCAGGCAGGCAGCTAGCGAGTTTGACCCCACATGCCCTCTTCTGTTTGTCTTGCACCTTGTCTAAGGACCCTAAATGAACGATAAACAGAGATGGTAGCTATGAGTATACAAAAGGTAAATCCACTTAATCACATACAGAAGAGCAACAACAAACTGCTTACGACAGGTTTGGAAGCCACAGGCGATTCTATGGTCAATGTGAAGGACTAGAAATAAAAACCCACATGTGGAAAGTGCGACTTTGGCTTGTCTTCTGTCAGAAACAGTGGCAAATATGGTTATAATTCCGTCTGTCAACCCACATAATTGGCGGCTGCATGCTTGTGGGCAAAGAGTACATAGATTAGTTAAGAATTTGTCAGCTGGGTGCGGTGGCTCATGCCTGTAATCCCAGCACTTTGGGAGGCCGAGGCCAGCGGATCACGGGGTCAGGAGATCGAGACCATCCTGGCTAACACGGTGAAACCCCATCTCTACTAAAAATACAAAAATTAGCCGGGCGTGGTGGCGGGCGCCTGTAGTCCCAGCTACTCGGGAGGCTGAGGCAGGAGAATGGCGTGAACCCGGGAGGCAGAGCTTGCAGTGAGCCGAGATCGCGCCATTGCACTCCAGCTTGGGTGACAGAGTGAGATTCCATCTAAAAAAATAAAAAATAAAAATTGTCTTGATTGGCTTGAAATTTGAACCTAGTGTCTTATCCTGTAGTGATTACCTCCCTCAAACACATGTAAATTTCCAACTTAATATCTTAGAAGAGTATTTGTGTCTTATTTTGGATAAACTTGAGTTAGAAATCTCATGGCAATTAAATTCTGAAATTTCTGATTGAGCCTATCTTAAGAGTCTATAATTTGGATGACCAATCACAGTTTGAATGGAAAATGGGGTCACTTATTGTTAAAGCCAGAAACAGAGTCAATATTTAGAAATTAACTACTTTTCTAAACCTCTTAACCTTGCATTTTCAGTTTTTGGGGAAATGTTTTAATCTATTCTAGGGACTAACTGGTGTACACTGGTTAAATGACTCGTCACTTGTCCAAATTATGTTAAGACTGGGGAGGGGTTGGCTTATGCATCTGAAATCTCATCTTGTTTTAGGAAGAATTGCTCTGAATATCTATGGACCTGGAGGCTAAGAAAGACATTCATGAAAGATTGACAAATCAAATCAAATCCAGAAGTATTTAAAGCAAAGGTGCATCAGGAGAAAGTCAGGCTTAACCTAGAAATTCAAGAATGATTCAACACGGAAAAATCTATTACAGTAATTCATTAGGTTAGGGGAAGGCAGTGTCGGGTGGGACCAGGCAAGGCCCTGGAGGAAGCAAGGCTCTCCTTTCCCACTTTAGCTTGGGCAGGGTGGGGCATACAGCCCACAGACACATTTCAACTTGAGTGTCATTCTGTACGCAACATCGTTCCTCAGTCTAGCATGGCTTGGCAACTTTAGCAGACACAGCAAAATCTTATTACACAACCAAAAAATTTTCACCTTCTCAAAAAGGAACAAAGATTTTCTTCTTTTCCCAAAATGAAAACTTCATAAAACATAGATGAAAGATATTAAAGCAGACACAAGTAAATGGAAAGATATCCCATGTCCATGCACTAGAAGAATGTTAAAATATCTATATCACCCAATGCGATCTACAGAATCAATGCAATCTGTGTTCAACTACAAGACATTCTTCATTTAAATAGAAAAAGAATCTTAAAATTAACATGGAAGTTCAAAATACCTCAGATAGACAAAAGAATCTGGAATAAAAAGAAAAGCTGGAGGCATCACACTACCTGATTTCAAAATATACTACAAATCTATGGTAAGCATGGTACTATCAAAACAGTATGGTACTATCAATAAAAGGGGCAGGGGAGAGACAGAGAGATGAACGAATGAGACAGACAGACATAGACAAGTGAAACAGAATAGAGAAATCAGAAATAAATTCACGCGTTTACGGTCAACTCATTTTTAACAAAGGCCCCAAGAACACACATTCGGGAAGGACAATCTCTTCAATAAACTGTACCAGGAAAACCCAACACCCACATGTACAAGAATACATCTAGGCCATTACCTTACCATATACAAAAATCTACTCAAAATAAAGATTTAAATGCAGGACCTGAAACTATGAAACTACCAGAGAAGAAAACATAGGATAAAATGCTTCATGAAATTGGTTAGGACAAGGAATTTTCAAATAGACATCAACAGCACAAGCAACAAAAGCAAAGATGTAATTACGTTAAACTTAAAGCCTTTTCCAAAGCAGAGGAAGCAATCAGTATAATGAAGACAGAACCCAGAGAATGGAAGAAAGTATTTGCAAACTATGCATCAGGCAAGAGGTTAATACACAAAACATCTAAAGAATTCAAACTACTCAAAAGTGAAAATACAAATAATCTTATTTTTAAAAATCTACCCAAAACCTTTGTCCCCCACCATTTCCCCACCTTCTTTTCCTGACCGCATTTGGCCCTCTCCCTCTCACCACCCTTTCTCTTCCTCCATCTACCCCAAACTTTTTCACCGTTTTCTCCCTACCGTCATTTCGCAAAGCCTTCTCTACTCTCCCGCTCACCACGCTTTTCCCCATCCATCTACCCAAACACTTTCTCCCACCGTATTTTTTTTCCCACCGTATTTTCCCCCTTCTCCCTGGCCACCCTCTTTTTCCCCCTCCCGCTGTCATCACGCCCTTTTGCTCCTTCATATAAGCAAAAACATTTTCCCCCGTCTTTTCCCAAAGCCTTTTCCCTACTGCTGCTCACCACCCTCTTTTCCCCCTTTATCTACCCAAAAACTGTTTTCCTCATCGTCTTTCCCCCGGCTCCTCCTTGCCACTCTCCTTCCCTTCTCCATCTACCCAAAAACATTTCCCCACCATCTTTTCTCAAAGCCTTTTCCCCACTCCTGCTCACCTCCCTCTTTTCCCCATCTACCCCCCAAAATTTCCCCATCTTTTCACAAAGTCTGCCCCTGCTTCCCACTCGTTCTCTTCTCTCCCCTATACTGCTTGCCACCCTCCTTTTTGCCTTCCATCTACCCCAAACTATTTTCCCGTCTTTTCCCCAAACTTCTTTCCCTGCTCCCTCTCGCCACCCTCTTTTCTCCTCCTCCTTGTCACCCTCTTTCCCTCCTCCATCTACCCAAACACTTTTTACCTACCATCTTTTCTCCACCATCTTTCTTTTCTGCCACTGTTTTTTCGCAAAACCTTGTCTTCCTCCCGCTGGTTACCCTCTTTTTCCTTCTCCCACTTGCTATCTTCTTTTGCTCCTCTACCCAAAAACTTCTCTCCCCACCATCTTTTCACAAAACCTTCTCTCCCTACTGCTCGCCCATTTTCCCCCCCTCACCACTCTTTCCTCTTCCCAATTGCCACCTTCTTTTCCCCCTTCATCCACCCATAAACTTTCTACCCACCGTCTTTCTGCAAAACCTTCCTTCCCTCCCTCTCTGCACCCTGTTTTTCCACCTCCATCTACCCAAAAACTTTTTTCCCCACCATCTTTTCCCCATCGTCTTTTTGCAACGCCTTCTCCTCCTCGCTATCCTTTTTTCCCTTTGGCACTAACCACACTCTTTACCCACCTCTATCTATCCCAAAACTATCTTCTTCTTCCTACCCCTCCAGCCGCGCTGCAATGTCCACCGCCACCACCAACCGCAGCGAGGCGAGCCGCGCCACGGTGCCGCGGCTCAAGCCTCCAGCATACGACCTGTGACTCCTTTTCCTGGTCTTCTAAGCCGGGCACTGAGCAGCTCAATAGAAACACACGGAAACCTAAAAAAACAAAAACAAAAAAAACAACAACAAAAAAAACGTAACTCTGCTTCAGCATTATTTATATCCTGAGGTTATGCGCATGCCGGTTCCTAGACTGCATGTTCTGATTGGATGAGAGCAAGTCTTAAGACAACCAATCACAGCATGAAAATAAAGTCCAATCAGAGTAGGCCTAGAGGTTTTTCTCTCATCCAATCAGAACATGTAGTCCAGGGTCTCCTAACCTCAGTATATAAAGCATGCTGAGGCAGCGGCGCGTCATTTCTGGCACTTATGTGTGGGTGTGGGGAGCTACTACGTACCCGGCTTAAAGAACTGGAAGGCTCCGTCACTTTTCGCCCCCTGGAGCCTGGAGCTTGGAGCCTGGAGCCTGGGGCACTCCCTCCCTGTTGGTGGTGGTGGTGACGGAGCGGTAGGAGGGAGGCTAGCAGCGAGAGCTTCTCCTGCCGGGCTGGAAGACAGAAAGAAGAGGCACCGCCGCGTGCTGGAGGCTGGAGCCGGAGCTTGCGCCTCCGCGGCTCGCCTCGCTGCGGTTGGTGGTGAAATCAGAGACCGCAGCTCGGCCACAGTGGTAGAAATGTGGTAGGGTAGGTGAGTTATCCAGGGCTGCACTGCCCTCTTCTGGGGGTAAGGGTTGGGTGTACTATAGGGGCTCACTGCCAAAGGCTACACTGCCTGTGGCATTGGACTGTTTGGGGGCACTCTCTGGGGTTGCATTGCTGGTGGTGGAATGGGGGGCTACACTGCCCGAGGTGGCAGGGGTGGTCGGGAGAGGCAGGTTGTGTACACTAACGTGTACTGCCAGTGGCGGTGGATGGCTTAGGGGCGTTGTCTTCTGCTGCACTGTCCGTGGCAGGGGCGGGTTGGGTGGAGTTATCTGGGGCTACAATGCTGGCAGTGGGGGGTGGTTTAAGGGCGTGGTCCGGTGCTGCACTGCCTGTGACTGGGGGTGCGCTATCAGGAGCTGCACTGCCCATGGCGGGGTGAGGGTGGGGCGGGTTTGGGGCGCTGTCTAGTGCAGCAATACCCGTGGCTGCGTCAGGTGGGCACTATCGGGTGCTAACACTGCCTGCGGCCGAGGAGTTGGGATGGTTTGGGGGGGTATTGGTTACATTGCCTGCAGCTGTTGGGTGTGCTATCCCAGGGTTACAGGGGGCAGGTTAGGGGTGCTATCGGGGGCTATACTGCCAGTGGGGTTGGTGGGCTGCAGAGGCAGCAGCGGCAGCGACAGCTGTGGCCTCCTTCCTCTTTCTGGTGGCCTCCATGGAAGGATGGAGTTCTTCTCTTCCCGGACTCCAGACTCTAGAGGGTGATCTCTTCGTGCTCATGCAATCTTGAGCACCGCAGGGCTCTCACACCCACTGTGGTTCCCTGGCCCGCGCCCTCACGCACGCTCTGTGTTGTGGAGACCATCTGGGACTACCGGGCAGGGAATAGAGGGCACCACGGGGGAGGGAGGGGGACAGGGCACTGTGGGTGGAGGCGTGAGGAATGGGAACCAGCACTTGGGTGGAGAGGGCTGGCTGGGTCTGAGTTTCTCCTACGCGGGCTCCCCGAAGAGCGCAGTGCCGATGGGCCCAGCAATTCCTGGCCAGCTGGACTTGGCCAGGAGCCGGTTTCAGTGAAGGCACTCACACCCAGCCCAGGCCCCAGTTCCTGGCCAGCTTTTGCCAGAAAGAGAGGCTGGACTTTGGAAGGTGGGTGTGAGTGCCTTTAATGAAATGGTCCCTGCCGCCCAGTGGCCAGCGTGACAAGGTGAAGCTCTAACACTTCCACTCCCTGCATCCTGTTCTAGGTTTCTCTGGCTTTGCCTGCGCAACTGCTCCCAGCCAGGCTGGAGGAGGAGGAGGAGTCACCTGTGGTATGCTGGAGCCTGTAGATGGCGTGGCTCTGCAGCTTGCCTCATGAGGTTGGTGGCAGCAACAGAGACTGCAGCTTGACCAGAGTGGTAGGAGGGCACCCGTGGGGGCCAAGTGATAGGAGCCTTGTAGGGTGGGCTGGTGCATTGAGGGCAACAGCGGTTGTACTGGCATCGGCGCTAGCGTTGGTAGCAGCGGCAAGTCTGGGGGCTGGGAAGGGGAGTAGGAGCGCTCACTTGCCCATCCTGTCCTGGGGTGGGGACGAACCTTAAGGTGCTATAATGCGGGCCTCAGTGGCAGTGGTGGAGGTGCATGTAGGGTAAGGAGGAGTCTTCCTCCTTGTCCTGCAATCTCTGGAGGGTGCCCTCCTCCTGCTGGCGCCTGAGCCAGGCATGAGTGGCAGCATTGTCTAATTCTTAACAAAATTCAGGGGGTGACTTTTTGTGTATCTTTTCGCTTGTTTTTTGTTGTGATACTCTTGGACTTAACTCAAATTTCATGAATCGAGGAAAGGATAAAAGGTATAATAGGCCTTCTAATTCACGCACCTGTTCTTTTTCCTTTCTTCCAGTCTGTATTTTCTTCTTCTTGTTCCTCTTCATTTTCTTTTGCTGCTGCTGCTTCTATTTGATGTTTCTATTCTTGTTTCTCCTCTTTTTGTTTTCTTTATGCCAAGCAATGACCTTAAACAACAAGCCCAAACTGAGTGAAAAATAAACTTGTCACTGTGATGTATTTTTAAAATAACTGGTCCCTTACTATGTTTTAGAGATGAGGAAACAAATAAGTCGTATAATTAGTTGAATAGCTATGATTTCATTATTGTGTTAACCCACTTAGGCCTAGTGTTCCATTATTGGAACGCTAAGCATGTGGGAGTTACTTATACTGCTCAAGGTCATTGACAAGGTCTGATTTTTCACTCATGCAAAAATTCAAAAAATTGCAACCTCTGGCATAAATGGGCTAATGAGTTGTAAGTAGTTATCCAAGGAACCAAAAAGTGAAGCATCACATAAGATATTGGTAGCAAAAGGCCATTTCATCTCTCTCAAATATTTGTCTGGAGCTATGTAAGAGTCACTGGGGTAATAAGTTCTAATTTATGAGATTATTAAGTGAACCATATTCCCTTCATTTTATTTCTCTGCAACCATTTTGAAGAGTATCATCATCTGCATGAGCAAACCTGGTTCATCACCACATTTTTGCAAGAGGCAAATGAAGGGGGGAGAATCATGTGTATAATTTTGCAAGGCAGAGATTCACTACCAAAAACAAGGCTTTATTAACTTTTGCCTTTAAGAACCTGCAGTGTTGAGCTCTCTTTTAATCGTAGTATTACTACCTTTGGTATGAACTCTTTTTTTTTTTAAACTGATTACTCTAGAAGTTTATGCATTTTCTTAGCTGCCTTAAAGACAATCTATATTGTATCATTTTTCAAGCCCACAGAAATGTGTAAGGCCTATAATTCTGACACTTTCAGTTATTTTTAAGGTTATGAGCATGTGAAATACTGTTGATATATGGAAGAATGTGTGTAAATACCACTAGATAGCTTATTTTGAAGAGATAGTATCTAAATTTTTGTCCAGAGTAGATTGGTTGCAGTTTCTTAAGTTTGTTTGTCAATACATTTCCTCAATGTTTTAAACCATATAGAAATTTGAATACGTTTAACCTCATATAGCCCTTTATTTATAGGTTTAATATTTCTAAAGACTAAGGACATCACAGCCTCCTTTAAGATTCAGTAATAATAAAATTTGAGATATGTAGGATTAGAATCCAACAAATTCAGAGGAAAATTGTTAAATTATATAGCTGTAGAGCAGGAATGAAACCCAGATTCTAAGCTCTAAGGGGGCCATGAGCTACCATACAGGTGCATCCGTGACTGGGCATAGAGTCGGCAAAATTACAGGATGGTTAAGAGAGTGAGCTGTGGAGCCTGACTCTATGTGAACATGAATTTTTAAACCGCATGGTGCCTCAGTTTATCCACCTTTACAGTAGGGACAGTAGTAAGTTCTTTTTTTGCTCAGTTGTCTGGATTATTTCCCTAATCTTTCTTGTTGCCACTCTTGATGCCCACATGAGAGAATCTAAGGTAATTTCTGATAGCCTGAGACTGCTGAAGGAAAAACAGAAGGTGCCACAAACCCATTTTAGGAGAAACCTCTGTTTTCCTCATGGAACCCCAAGAACTTTAAGCAGACAGGTCCCTCTCAAAATCTAAGGCTCTCCTGTTTTGCCTTGCATTATCTGACCTTTTTGGTTTGAGTGGGCATCAGAAATTAGTAGAGGGAAGAGATCTAAAGAAAGTTGTGGATATGAAGATGTATTTATGGTAAGAAATATTATGAAGGAAAGAAATGTTATGTGAGAGAGGATCTTGTATGGCAAATTCTTGTCCTAAAGTAGAATGACTAATCACAACAGAGGGAAATACAGGACAAGTCACAAAGTTAAATCATGTCCTAGATGGTCTGTGGAAGTTGTGTTAGGGTTCATAAAATGTGAAAGAAAAACTTACAACTGCTAGATCGTGTCCTGTCCAGAAGTGTTGTGTATGTGATGTATATATAAAGGAGCTCTAAGTACTCGACTTAACAGAAAATGAAAGCTCTTAAATATTTTGTCAGAAAAACAGAGGCTCTAATGCCTTTTATTTCACATGACTTCACTAATCTTTGGAAAATAAAGACGGTGTTAAAATCATTGGTAGAATAAAAATATCTTCAAAATCTATCCATTTTGTCTAATTTAAGTCAGAGGTTAAATTTTAGAAGTGCTTTAATGTCATAAATTGATTCTTTGACTTTGGAAAATTGTTGTGTTTACCTGGCTTGGAGCCGTGAAATTTCTAGGTAAGGCCTGGGAACAGGTGGAGTTAGCCATGTCTCCTAGATATGCTGAAAAGATTCAGACTTATCTACAGTTCTGTCTTGTATCCTAGACTCTGCACCTGTTGGTCATTAAAACGTCCTGCTGCTGCTAATCCCTGGACTCCATTTAAAACCCTTCCATCACATGAATACTATCCCCTGTACTACATTTTTCCACAATTAAATACTTAGAATCATTTTTGCCCACTTGAACCAACCATTAGTGATATATTTAAAAAATAATGTGTCTCAATATATTTAGCAAATGTAGGGAATGACATTTTTACTGTTGTCTTTTACATAGCATTTATGTAGCAATGCTATCAAGTATTTTTAGTCATTTAAATGTTATATAAGAGATGCTTTTGATTCCTTTGTTTCTATGTAAATAAATATAATTATGAGATATTCAATAAATAGTATCGATTACATGTTTAATTTATAGAATATATTTATAAAATTAGGATTATTTTTAAACAGTATATCATACTTGTTGGCTTTATGATAACTTAGAAGTAATATTCTGGATTAACTGTGACTCATGAGAGAGGGAGTTTGTGCAACTATAATCTTTACAAATTTTTTCTAGATTTTCAAGACTTACACTAGAACTGTGAGAACAAGGTAATAAATAAGCATATCTAATAATAGCATCTTTGGTCAACTCTTGGCTAGACCCAGTGATAGTGTAGGGATTAGCGTAATTTCTGCCACTAAAGTTAATGGATTTGTTTTGCGAGACCACAGTTTAAACATTGACATACAAAGTTTAAAAGTGTTAGATTAAAAATTTTTTAATGCCTTTGAAATTGTTTTATAGAAAAATAATGATCTGTCCTGGTTTACATTGATAGGTTTTTTTTTTTTAATAAGAAGCAGACCAAGAGAAAGGGAGAGTAGTGAAAAAGTCCAGGTTTTCAAGTTTGAAAAGTAACAATCAGTGTATTACAACAGATGGATTTGAGGTCAGGTTACAAATGCGGAAAACATTACATATAATCAACTAGCCAGAGTAATTATACAAGGCAAAAAAATGAAAGGCATCCAAATAGGAAAGGAAGAGGTAAGATTGTCTCTGTTTTCTGACAGTGTAATCTTAACATAGAGAAAATCTTGGACTCCACCAAAAAAAAAGTTAAAGCTTATAAACACATTCAATAAAGTTGAGAGTTACAAAATTTAACATAAAAATATAATTCTTGTTTCTATACACCAGTAACAAACTGCTACCTGAAAAATAATAAAGTAATTCCATTTATAATAGTATCAAAACAAATATATAAGTAAAAGACTAGGGGGTAATTTTTATGAAGGATGTGAAAGATGTGTATACTGAAAATTATAGCACATGGATGAAAGAAATTGAAAGTGACATAAACAGAAAAACATCCTATATTTATGAACTGAAAAAATTAATATTGTCAAAATTTCAATGCTACCCAAAGCAATCTACAGATTAAATGCAACCACTATCAAATTACAATGCCATTCCTCACAGAAATAGAAAAATTAGTCCTAAAATCTGTATGGAACCGCAAAAGATGCTGAAAAACCAAAGCAATCTTGAGCAAAAAGAACAAACCTGGAGGCATCAGACTACCTGATCTTTGATAAAGCAAACAAAACAAAGTGGGGAAAGGATACCCTATTCAACATATGGTCCTGGGATAATTGGCAAGCCACATGCAGAAAAATGAAACGGTTCTTCAAAAGGTTAAATATAGAATTACCACGTGACTCAGTAAATTCACTCCTATGTATACCTCAAAAAGAAATTAAAACAAGGTGCCTGCACAAAAAGTAGCATACAGGTATTTATAGCAACAAAAAGTAGGAAACAACAGAAATGTCCATCATTAATGAAATGTGGCCTGTCCATAAAATATTGACAATGAAAAAGAAAGATATTAATACATACTCTGAAAAGGATGAACATTGAAAACATGATAAGTGAAAGTAGTGAGTCACACGTAACTGTATATTATTATGATTCTACTTCCATGAAATGTCCAGAATAGGCAAATCCTTCCAGAATAGGCAAATTCTTAGGAAATAGATGGATGGTTGCCTAGTGCTGGGAGGGGTTTAAAGAAAGAGTGGGAAAAATTGCTAATGGGTGTAAGGTTTCTTTTAAGGAGCATAAAAATGTTCTAAAATTATGTCGTGATTGTTTATCCACCCAGTTAATAACACTAAAAAAATTGAATTTTATACTTTACATGAGTGAATTAAATAATACATAAATTATATCTCAATGAACCTGTGGAAAAAAGTTAAAAAATATGTGTATGCACACACAAAAAAATTCTTTATCTTATTTCCATAGGTTTTTGGGGAACAAGTGGTGTTTGATTATATGAGTAAGTTCTTTAGACGTGATTAGTGAGATTTTGGTGCACCCAACACCTGTGCAGTATACACTATCCAACTCGTAGTCTTTTATTTCTCACCCCTTCCCACCCTTTCTCCCAAGTCCCCAAAGTCCATTATAGTATTGTAATGCCTTTGCATCCTCGTAGCTTAGCTCCCACTTACAAGTGAGAGCATACGATGTTTGGTTTTCCATTCTTACATTACTTCACTTAGAATAATAGCCTCTGATCCCATCCAGGTTGCTGTGAATGCCATTATTTTTATCCTTTTTATAGCTAAATGGTATATGTGTATACATATATATATATACACACACACACACCACAATTTCTTAATCCACTCATTGATGAGCATTTGAAATTGTGAATTGTGCTGCTATAAACGTGCATGTGCAAGTATTTTACTCACTGCAAATGAAGTTGAACATCCTTTCATGTGTTTACCCACTGTTTATACTTCCTCTTGTGAGAAATGCCTGTTCATAATCTTTGCCTTTTTTTTATTGGATTGTTAGATTTCTTACTGATTTAGAAGAGTTCTTTATATAAGCTAGATACTAATTTCCTGGTTATATGTTCTGCAATATTTTCTGCCAGTTTATGCATTGCCTTTTTTACTCTCTCCTTGTCTTTTCAAAGAACACAATTCTTGCTGGGTGTGGTGGCTCACTCCTGTAATCCCAGAAATTTTGGAGGCGGAGGTGGGCGGATCACTTGAGGTCAGGAGTTTGAAACAGCCTGGCCAACATGGCAAAACCCCATCTCTACTAAAAGTACAGAAATTAGCTGGGTGTGGTGGCACATGCCTGTAATCCCAGCTACTTGGGAGGCTGAGGCATGAGAATTGCTTGAACCCAGTGGATGGAGGCTGTAGTGAGCTGAGATCATGGCACTGCACTCCAGCCTGGGTGACAGAGAGAGACTCCATCTCAAACAACAACCACCACAAAGAACACAATTCTTAATTTCTATGGAGCAAAGTTTATCAATCTTTTATTTGTGAATTTTGTTTTTTGTGTCTTGTTTATGAAATCCTTTCCTATCTTGAGATTATAAAAAGATATTTTGTATTTTCTTCCAAATTTTGAAACGTGGCTTTTTCATTGATCCATCTGGAATTGAGTTTGTGTACAGTTTGAGGTATGGATCCAGAATCAGTTTTTTATACACAAATAACTAATGGTTCCAACACTGTCTTAAATATTTCTTTTTTTCCCTATTGATCTGCATTCCCAAGCATTTTCATACGTAGATCTGTTTATGGGGTCCCCATTACATTTCATTGAGCTATCTGTCTATCCCTGATCCAGTATATCATGATATTTTAACCAACAGAGCTTTAAAATATATTTTAATATCTGATGGGACAAGTCCTCCCTTCCCCTAACTCACATTTGCTGACTCCCCAACATATTGCCTCAAAAATTCCTCAATAATGTTCTGTGTTCTCCCATCATAAGCTAAATTGGAACAACATAGTGCTAGATTGCAAAACTCAGTTTACCTAACTTGTGTGGAGGTCAGCCCAGCACCACATGTTGATAGCCATAAGCAGGTATTTGTTTCATAGGTGTGCATGGGAATGCTAATAGTATTGTCTAGGCTTCATGGGTTTTTTCTATGGGGAAAACATTTTGGTAAACGTTAATTGATCATGGAGAACTGTCTGTGAAAATTGCAAGGGTATGAGTAATCATATCTAGTTTTTAGATAGAGAAGTTGAGGCACAGAGAGATTAAAGTGTGATAATAGGGTTAAAAAGTAATGAGGCTAAAGAGCCCCAGGTTGCCTGACTCTCAGGCCATCCCCTTCTTATAACTGGAATAATGTTGAGAGAGTCTCCACCTAACTCGTAAAGGTCAGAATGCAAACTCTTTTTAGGAATGTGACCAGCTTTCTAGGAAAAGAGCTGCTTTTGTTAGGACTCAAGTGTTGGTGGGAACAGGAGAGGTTGCAGTTATAGTTTCTTTATCTACTTCTACAGACAGAAGTTAGGAGCTTCTTTTCTCTCAGTCATCAGCTGTCACCCATCATCTACCTGGGAGCAGAACCTCCAGTGAAAGTGAGATGAGATAGGTAATGCAGCAAGTCAAAGGGAAAGATGGCAAACATCTTTGGGGGAGCAGGCTTGAAGGATGAAGAGAAACCTACTTTTGGTTAAGCGTGCAATGACTGGCTGCAGTTATCTTAGGATAAAAACTCTGGATTCTATAAATCTCTTCATCCCAATGATTTTTCTGTATTCTTTTCTTCTTGTGCTCCCTCCCTAGCCCACCCCTCTTGCTCTGTCTCGTCTGTTAATCTCTGCTTCTATGCCTAGAGACTTCTGTTCCTGAAAGATGCCATTCTATACAAGTTCTTCCATTTTGCTTTTAGATGTTTTCACACCGTGCTGGCACTCTTGCTTCAGATCTTTGTTGAGGTTCTTTATCATAATGCCCATTATGTAATGTAGTAACAACTGTTGCCTATGTTTACAGCAGGCTAAATGAGGAAATGCCAGCTGTATGACTTTATTTCATGCGCGTCTGTGTGAAGAGACCACCAAACAGGCTTTGTGTGAGCAACATGGCTGTTTATTTCACCTGGGTGCAGGTGGGCTGAGTCCGAAAAGAGAGTCAGCAAAGAGTGGTGGATTATCATTAGTTCTTATAGGTTTTGGGATAGGCGGTGAAGTTAAGAGCAATGTTTTGCGGGCAGGGGCCGATCTCACAAAGTACATTCTCATGGGGAGAATTACAAAGAACCTTCTTAAGGGTGGGGGAGATTACAAAGTACATTGATTAGTTAGGGTGGGGCAGGAACAAATCACAATGGTGGAATGTCATCAGTTAAGGCTATTTTTACTTTTGTGGATCTTCAGTTACTTCAGGCCATCTGGATGTATACGTACAAGTCACGGGATGCGATGGCTTGGCTTGGGCTCAGAGGCCTGACGTTCCTGCCTTCTTATATTAATAAGAAAAATAAAATAGTGTTGAAGTCTTGGGGCGGCGAAAATTTTTGGGGGGTGGTATGGAGAGAGAATGGGCGCTGTTTCTCAGGGCTGCTTCAAGCGGGATTAGGGGCGGCGTGGGAACCTACAGTGGGAGAGATTAAGCTGAAGGAAGATTTTATGTTAAGGGGTGATATTGTGGGGTTGTTAGAAGAAACATTTGTTGTGTAGAATTATTGGTGATGGCCTGGATACGGTTTTGTATGAATTGAAAAACTAAATGGAATAAGAGAAGGAGAAAAACAGGTATAAAAGGTCTAAGAATTGGGACGACTCAGGACATCTGATTAGAGAGTGCCTAAGGAGATTCAGCATAGCCCTGCCAGCAAAGATTATTTATTTACTTCAAGAGTTAAGAATGGCAGTTTGGGGATAGCACGAGGAGATATCAGCTGTGATGGCTTGGAGAAACAGTGTAAACCGGCAGTGTAAACAAGAGCAGGGCATGTATGAGTAGTTGAGAACGGAGAATAGGAGTATGACTAGACAGAAAATAGTAGGGATGACAAGTTTTTTTGGGGCACAGTCTAAGTTGGCCCGGTGTCTGGAATGAGACTGGGGCCTAATAAAAAGGAGCTCAAATGGGCTGTACCTTGTAGCAGTCCGAGGACAGGCCTGAATTCTGAGAGAAGCAAAAGTGGTAAAAGTATTGTCCAGTCCTTTTTAAGTTGGTGGCTGAGCTTGGTGAGGTGTGTTTTTAAAAGACCTTTAGTCCATTCTACTTTTCTTGAAGACGGAGGACCGTGAGGGATATAAAGGTTTCACTGAATACTAAGAGCCTGAAAAACTGCTTGCCTGATTTGACTAATAAAGGCTGGTCTGTTATCAGACTGTATAGAGGTGGGAAAGCTAAACTGAGGAATTACGTCTGACAGAAGAGAAGAAATGACTGCAGTGGCCTTCTCAGACCCTGTAGGAAAGGCCTTTACTTATTCAGTGAAAGTGTCTATTTAGACTAAGAGGTATTTTAGTTTCCTGACTCAGGGCATGTTGAGTAAAGCTAATTTGCCAGTCCTGGGTGGGGCAAATCCTCGAGCTTGATGTGTAGGGAAGGAAGGGGGCCTGAATAATCCCTGAGGAGTAGTAGAATAGCAGATGGAACACTGAGAAGTTATTTCCTTGAGGATAGATTTCCACGATGGAAAGGAAATGAGAGGTTCTGAGAGGCAGGCTAGTGGCTTATACTATAGCATAGCCTGCCTTTGCTGGTGTGTGGCAATTAGGCCTGGTGGAACTGCCATCAATAAATCAAGTGTGATCAAGGTGAGGAACAGGAAAGAAGGAAATATGGGGAAATGGGGTGAATATCAGGTGGATCAGAGAGATACAGTCACGGGGGTCAGGTGTGGTATCAGGAATAATGTGGGAGGCCAGATTGAAGTCTGGGCCAGGAACAATGGTAATTGTGGGACTTAACAAAGAGTGAGTACAGCTGAAGGAGCCGGGGAGCAGAAAGTATATGCGTCAGGTATGAGGAAGAAAATAGATTTTGGAAGTTATGAGAAATGTAGAGAGTGAGTTGAGCATAGTTTGCGATTTTTAGGGCCTCTAAAAGTATTAAAGCAGTGGCAGCCGCCGCACGCAGACATGAGGGCTAGGCTAAAACAGTAAGGTCAAGTTGTTCGGACAGAAAAGCTACAGGGTGCGGTCCTGGCTCTTATGTAAGAATTCTGACCATGCTAACCATGCCTAGGAAGGAAAGGAGTTGTTTTGTAAGGGATTGAGGTTTGGGAGATTAATCGGACACGATCAGCAGGGAGAGCACATGTGTTTTTACGAGAATTATGCCAAGATAGGTAACAGATGAGGATGAAATTTGGGCTTGACTGAAGTAATGGGGTCTGTCTGTGAAGCCTTGCGGCAGTACAGCCCAGGTAATTTGCTGAGCCTGATGGGTGTCAGGGTCAGTCCAAGTGAAGGTGAAGAGAGGCTGGGATGACGGGTGCAAAGGAATAGTAAAGAAAACATGTTTGAGATCCAGAACAGAATAATGGATTGTGGAGAGAGGTATTGAGGATAGGAGAGTATATGGGTTTGCCACCATGGGGTGGATAGGCAAAACAATTTGGTTGATAAGGCGCAGATCCTGAACTAACTAGTAAGGCTCGTCGGGTTTTAGGACAGGTAAAATGGGGGAACTGTAAGAGTTTATAGGCTTTAAAAGGCCATGCTGTAGCAGGCGAGTGATAACAGGCTTTAATCCTTTCAAAGCATGCTGTGGGATGGGATATTGGCATTGAGCGGGGTACGGGCGATTAGGTTTTAATGAGATGGTAAGGGGTGCATGATCGGTCGCCAAGGAGGGAATAGAGGTATCTTATACTTGTGGGTTAAGGTGGGGGATACAAGAGGAGGACGCAAAGGAGACTTTGGATTGGGAAGAAGGGCCGCAATGAGATGCAGCTGTAGCCCAGGAATAGTCAGGGAAGCAGATAATTTGGTTAAAATATCTCGGCCTAATAAGGGAACTGGGCAGGTGGGGATAACTAAAAAAGAGTGCATAAAAGAGTATTGTCTAAGTTGGCACCAGAGTTGGGGAGTTTTAAGAGGTTTAGAAGCCTGGCTGTCAATACCCACAACAGTTATGGAGGCAAGGGAAACAGACCCTTGAAAAGAAGGTAAGGTGGAGTGGGTAGCCTCCGTATTGATTAAGAAGGGGACGGGCTTACTCTCCGTGAGAGTTATCTAAATCTCAGCGTCCGTGATGGTCTACGGGACTTCCGAGGTGATTGGGCAGCGTCAGTCTTTAGCCGCTAAGCCAAGAAGGAGTCAGTCAGAGAGCCTTGGGCCAGAGTTCCAGGGGCTCTGGGAGTGGCTGCCAGGTGAGTTTAACAGTCCGATTTCCAGTGGGGTCCTGCACAGATGGGACACGGCTTAGGAGGAATCCTGGGCTGCAGGCATTCCTTGGCCTGGTGGTCAGATTTCTGGCACTTGTAGCAAGCTCCTTGGGGAGGAGGTTCTGGAGGAACGCCTGGCCGCTGCAGTTCAGGCGTTTCGAAGTTCTTGTGTGCTGGAGATGTGGCTGGGGTTTGTCTCACAGTGGAGGCAAGGAAGTGCAACTTTTTTTTGTTATTGTACACCTTGAAGGTGAGATTAATCAAGTCCCGTTGTGGGGTTTGAGGGCCAGGTTCCAATTTTTGGAGTTTTATTTAATGTCGGGAGCAGATTGGGTAATAAAATGTATATTGAGAATAAGATGGCCTTTTGACCTTTTAGGGTCTAGGGCTGTAAAGCGTCTCAGGGTTGCTGCCGAATGAGCCATGAACTGGGCTGGGTTTTTATATTTGCTGAAAAAGAGCCTAAACGCTATCTGATTTGGGATAAAGAAAAAGGAGCATTAACCTTGACTATGCCTTTAGCCCCAGCCACCTTTTTAAGAGTAAATTGCTGGGCAGGTGGGGGAGGGCTAGTCACGGAACGAAAGTGTAAGCCGGACCAGGTGTGAGGAGGGGAGGCGATAAAAAGATTATAGGGTGGAGGAGCGGAGGCTGAGGAAGAATTGGGACCTAGCTTGGCCTGGCGAGGAGGGGAGGGGTCAGATGGGTCTGTAGAAAAGGAAGATTAGAAAGACTCAGCGACGCTTGGGGTTGGGACTGAGGGGACAGGCGGGAGGGAAAGAAGGAAGATTTGGGATGAGTTGCACTGGGCACAGAGACTAGGAAGGGACTGATGTGTAAAAGAATGCCTGGATGTCAGGCACCTCAGACCATTTGCCCATTTTACGACAAGAATTATTTAGATCTTGTAGGATGGAAAAATTGAAAGTGCCATTTTCCGGCTATTTGGAACTACTGTCAAGTTTGTATTGGGGTCAAGCGGCATTGCAGAAGAAAATAAGATGCTTAGATTTTAGGTCAGGTGAGAGTTGAAGAGGTTTTAAGTTCTTAAGAATACAGGCTAAGGGAGAAGGAGGAGGAATGGGAGGTGGAAGGTTGCCCATAGTGAAGGAGGCAAGCCAAGAGAAAAGAGTAGAGACATGGAGAAGGGGTGGGGGCTTCTTGCCCTCCAGAAAAGCAGAGAAAGGGTTGGGGCATGGAAATAAGGGATTGAGACACAGAGATGAGAGCTTGGGGTGCAGAAATAAGGGATTGGGGCACAGAGATAAGAGGTCGGGGTGCGGAAATAAGGGATTGGGGCACAGAGATAAGAGGTCGGGGTGCAGAAATAAGGGATTGGGGGTTCTTGCCCCCTAGAAAAGCGGGACTTGCCGCTAAGGGTGAAGGAGAAGGGGTTGAGGGGTACTTGCCTCTCCCCCAGAAAAGCAGAGAAGGGGTAGAGACAAGGAGAGAAGGGGTTGGGGGACTTGCCGCTAAGGGTGAAGGACCAAGGCAGGTGTCCCTGCATGGTCTGACGCCTTTGAAATGTGGGTGAATCAAATACCAAGGGGAGGCTGCCTTCCCAGTCCGTGACCGGCGCCGGAGTTTTGGGTCCATGGATAAAACGTGTCTCCTTTGTCTCTACCAGAAAATGAAAGGAATTGAAATTAAGAGAAGGGAGAGATTGAAGTGTGGCACCAAGATTGAAAGGAGAAAGAGGTTGAGGGATAGTGAGGGAGGTTGGAGAAGAGAGTAAAAAGAGGCCGCTTACCGGATTTGAAATTGGTGAGATGTTTCTTGGGCTGGTGGGTCTGAGGACCTGAGGTCGTAGGTGGATCTTTCTCGTGGAGCAAAGAGTAGGAGGACGGGGGATTGATCTCCCAAGGGAGGTCCCCCAATCCGAGTCATGGCACCAAATTTCATGCGCGTCCGTGTGAAGAGACCACCAAAGAGACTTTGTGTGAGCAACATGGCTGTTTACTTCACCTGGGTGCAGGTGGGCTGAGTCCGAAAAGAGTCAGCAAAGAGTGGTGGATTATCATTAGTTCTTAACAGGTTTTGGGATAGGCGGTGAAGTTAAGAGCAATGTTTTGCGGGCAAGGGTGGATCTCACAAAGTACATTCTCAAGGGTGGGGAGATTACAAAGAACCTTCTTAAGGGTGGGGGAGATTACAAAGTACATTGATCAGTTAGGGTGGGGCAGGAACAAATCACAATGGTGGAATGTCATCAGTTAAGGCTATTTTTACTTCTTTTGTGGATCTTCAGTTACTTCAGGCCATCTGGGTGTATATGTGTAAGTCACAGGGGATGCGATGGCTTGGCTTGGGCTCAGAGGCCTGACACTTTATCTTAAGTGTTGACATATACACCCATGCATGTAAAATTACTTAATCACAGGAGAGATTTTATTTGTTTGAAGACCTAAGGCTTTCTTTTTTTTTTTTTTTTTTTTGCTAAGTCAAATTTGCCATCGATACCATTGATCCTCACGTAGGAAAATGTTTGTCTTGTGCTGTCTCTAAATAGCCACTAGATATTGCTAAAGGGCTGGGGGAAGAAAAGAATCTTAGTTTTCATCCAAGGCTTCTGAGTTACTGAATTTTACAGTTCAAGGGAAGCTTAGTGATGTTGGAAATAGGATAAAAGCCTCAACATAAAGATGGGAAGTATATCTTCAAAAAGATAAGAAGGGTAGTAATACTGACTAAGGAATACTGAATATTTAAAGGCAGTGTTGGTGGCTGGGCACAGTGTGGCTCATGCCTGTAATCCCAGCACTTTGGGAGGCTGAGGCAGGCCGATCACCTGAGGTCAGGAGCTCAGGACCAGCCAGGCCAACATCGTGAAACCCTGTCTCTACTAAAAATACAAAAATTAGGCGGGCATGGTGGCACGCACCTGTAATCCTAGCTATTCCAGAGGCTGAGGCAGGGAGAATCACTTGAACCCGGGAGGCAGAGGTTGCAGTGAGCTGAGATCGTGCCACTACACTCCAGCCTTGGTAACAGAGCAAGCCTCTGTCTAAAAAAATTAAATAAATACATAAAGGCAATGTTGGCATAGTTGAAATTGTGCATTAGCATTTTGACACCTACTTGTCAACTAGATAGCAATGTCAAATCTTTAGAGATTATCCCTCCCGTAGCATGACACTAGACTGAAGGTTCAGATCAGTTTTCAAAAAACTGTGCAAGCATTCTAGACATTATTTAAAAATCACCGTCTTTTGATTATGAATGTATTGCATTGATGTTTAAGCAATTATGGAAATGTAGAAAATTATTATTATTATTTTGAGAGAGAGTTGTGCTCTGTCATGCAGGCTGGAGTGCAGTGGCTCGATCTTGGCTCACTGCAGTCTTCGTCTCCCAGGTTCAAGTGATTCTGCTTCTTCAGCCTCCTGAGTAGCTGCGATTACAGGCATGTGGCACCATGCCCAGCTAATTTTTTGTATTTTTAGTAGAGATAGGTTTTCGCCATGTTGGCCAGGCTGGTCCCGAACTCCAGACCTCCAGTGATGTGGCCACTTCGGCCTCCCAAACTGCTGGGATTACAAGTGTGAGCCACCATGCCCAGCCCATGGGAAATGTAGAAAATTATAATACAGAACTCCATCACTCAGGGTGACTATATAGTATACTACATAATTAATATTAATATACTGTATATAATTAATACATACTATATAAGTTAACATTATGTTAGTGTTGTATAGTATATATAATATATGGTTTACTTTATAATTAACATACATAATAACATCTACTATATGTATATCTTCATCCTGTGGAAGCAATGAAGAATAATAACAAGAAAACCACCCTGTGATGCACAATACAATTCAAGGCAGAGGCCATTACCAATGTTTTTGAGTCCCCTGAGACTTCTTCCCCACTCCATTTATCTGCCTCTCCCAAGAAGTAATTGCTACTCTAAAATTTTGTTTATAATTTATTCCTTTTATTTCAAGTTTTACCACAAATAAAAGCGTCCTAAATAACATATTATTTAGTTTTTTTGTTTTTAACTTTGTAAGAATGATTTCTAAGATTCATCCATGTTGATATATCTTCACTCATTTTCTCAGTCATAAGATACCCTGTCACATAAAGTACTGCAATGTATCTGTCCATTCTCCTCTTGATGAATATTTAGATCTACTCCCTCCGTGTAAGGACAATTGGGTTGTTTCTACTTTTGGCTGTTATAAAAAATGCTGTGCATGTCTCCTGGGTGTCCTGTAGGGGTTTTTCTAGGAGTGGAATTACTAGGTTGTAGGATGCATGTTCAATTTAGGAGATGCTGCCTAACTGCTTCCACAGTGCTGGTGTCACTATTCCTGCGAGTGGTGTGGGAGAGTTCCTGCTGCTCTGTGACCCAACCAGCACTTGCTGGTCTTGGACTTTTAAATTGTTGTCGATCTGCTAATTATGAAATTGCATCTTATTATGGTGTTAATTTGCATTTCTATCATTTCATCTTTTATTTATTTATTTATTTATTTATTTATGAGATGGAGTCTCACTGTGTCACCCGGGCTGGATTGCAGTACCACAATCTCGGCTTACGGCATCCTCCGCCTGCCAAGTTCAACCGATTCTTGTGCCTCAGTCTCCCAAGTAGGTGGGATTACTGGCATGCATCACCATGCCTGGCTAATTTTTGTCTTTTTTGTAGAGATGAGGTTTTGCCATGTTGACCAGGTGGGTCTTGAACTCTTAACCTCAGGCAATCCATCTGCCTTGGCCTCCTAAAATGCTGGGATTACAGGTGTGAGCCACTGCACCTGGCCGATTTCACCTTTTAATATGGTATCAGTCATATATATGTTTTTTCTTATTTGAAATGCCTATTTAAGGCGCTTCCCCAATTTTTACTGGGTGGTTCATCTTTTTCTTATTGATGTTGATGTACAGGTATTTTTTTTTTTTTTAAGGCAGAGTCTCACTCTCAAGCTGGAGTGTAGTGGCACAATCGTGGCTCACTGCAGCCTCAACCTTCCTGGCTTATGCGATCCTCCCACCTCAGCCTCCCAAGTAGCTGGGACTACAGTTATGCATCACTATGCCCGGTTAATTTGTTATAATTTGTGTAGAGATGGGATCTTACAGTGTTGCCTAGGCTGGTCTGGAACTCCTGGGCTCAAGCAGTCCACCTGCCTTGGCCTTCAAAGTGCTGGGATTACAGGCATGAGCTACGGCACCTGGCTAGGTATTCTTTATATATTCTGGGTTTTAGTCTTTTCCTAGTTATATGTGTTTTAAGTATCTTCTTCTAATTGGGAAAGAGAATGGTGTCTTTGGATAAACAGAAGTTCTTAATTTTCACGTTGTGCAATTTATTAATTTTTTTGTTGTTAATAAATATTAATGTAAAAAAATGAATTGTCTGTCGTGGCGTAGGCCTGCCCCAGGAGGGCGTCATATTACCACATGATTTGTGTGCAATTATTCAATCTTGACTGGTGTGTGTATGATGATTTTGTATCTTGTTTAAGAAGTCTCTCCTTGGCTGGGCACGGTGGCTCATGCCTGTAATCCCAGCACTTTGGGAGGCCAAGGCAGGTGGATCATGAGGTCAGGAGATCGAGACCACCCTAACATGGTGAAACCCCTTCTCTACAAAAAAAAAAATACAAAAAATTAGCCAGGTGTGGTGGCATGCTTCTGTAGTCCCAGCTACTTGGGAGGCTGAGGCAGGAGAATTGCTTGAGCCTGGGAGGCAGAGGTTGCAGTGAGCTGAGATTGTGCCACTTCTCTACAGCCTGGGTGACAGAGTGAGACTCTGTCCCCACACCCTCGCCCCAAAAAAAGTCTCTCCTTGTCTGAATTTATAAAGATATTCTATTATGTTAAATTGAAAGTTCTGAATAAGGCACCAAGAAACAATAGGTATCATATACTGTAATTAACTGTGAGATCAACCACCCTACAGGAATTTAAACACAAGATGACCAACAGCCATCATCTATACTGAGGACATTAAATGTTTGAAAGAGGAGAGATGTGCAGGGGATTTTTGTGATGATTTATTTAGAGAAATCTTCAGGTGGGCTGCTGGTAAGCTGTGACTTGTCTCTCTCCCCCAGTCAAGTCTAGTGAAAGGGGTTTCAGTAGAATCTCTTGAAGGCTTGACATGTCTTCTGCATTTAGGGACACAGAAGACTGGTATCTGATTCACACCTGAGAAACCTAATGGATAAGAAACTATGATTGGCTCTGATCATAAATGGTGTGATGGTAGAGCAAAGAGAATGATCAGTGTGCACTGCCAGGATTTATTCAGCCAACAAGTATTCCTTACAAGCTGCATAGGAGATATACTCAAGTGAGAACCAGCCTGGTTAAATCCTGTTGATAGGACAGATTGAAAGGTGAACAGCCCTCAGTAGAGAAAATGGAGATGGACTTTGCGTTCTGTATTCCAAGGATGAAATAAAGAATCTTTGAGGCTGGGCAAGGTGGCTCACGCCTGTAATCCCAGCACTTTGGGAGGCCAAAGTGGGTGGATTACCTGAGGTCAGGAGTTCGAGACCAGCCTGACCAACATAGTGAAACCCTGTCTCTGTTTAAAAAAGATACAAAAAATTAGCCGGACGTGGTGGTGCATGCCTGTAAATCCCAGCTACTTGGGAGGCTAAGGCAGGAGAATTGCTTGAATCCAGGAGGCAGAGGTTACAGTGAGCCGGGATCATGCCATTGCACTCCAGCCTGGGCAAAAAGAGCAAAACTCTGGCCAGGCACGGTGGCTCAACCTGTAATCCCAGCACTTTGGGAGGCTGAGGCAGGCGGATCACCTGAGGTCGGGAGGTCAAAACCAGCCTGAACAACATGGAGAAACCCCTTCTCCACTGAAAAGGCAAAATTAGCCGGGCATGGTGGCCTATGCTTGTAATCCCAGCTACCGGGGAGGCTGAGGCAGGACCCAGGAGGCGGAGGTTGCAGTGAGCTGAGATCACGCCCACTGCACTCCAGCCTGGGCAACAAGAGCAAAACTGCATCTCAAAAAAAAAAAAAAAAAAAAAAAAATTCCTTTCTCCCAGATGAAGGGAACTGAATGTGAAGGATTACCCATCAGTGGTAGGTCAGGTCTCTAAAGGCATTACAAAATTCCTTATGATAGAGTCAGCTTTAAACCAATGCCAGACTCAGAGGATGCAAAACTGCCTTAGAACAATACTACTCAGACAGATGTGTGCTGGTAAATGTTAAACAACCAGGGGGAAGTTGTTAAACAAAAACTTATTTAGTGACACGTGTTAAAGCACAGTAAGGAAGACATTGTTCAGGACCACTGCAATAAGGTCTCGTAGTGGGGGACAGAGATTGGTTTCAACCCCGGAACACAGCATAGGCAAGTGGGCATTTATAGCCAAGGAGCAGGGTGTGGTCAGTGGATTGAAAATTACTAAGAGGTAAAACATCAAGGGTAAGATTTTGGCTAAGCCAGCCTAACGATATTCTTGCTAAAGACAGGCCAGTGTGATCAGTCCTCACCTGGAGAAACCTCATCAGATATCAGGGGTGATCGGGAATTTGCAATTCAGTTACTACATAGAGCCATTAATGCACATAAAATTACAATTAAATAAATTGTATTTAAAGTAAATGCAATAAACACTAAAAACTCATCACTTCCTGATTATTTTGCTACATTTTACTCAGGGGTCAGTGGAGGAGGAGAGCGAGGAAATTAAGTCTGAAAAGTTCTTGCTAAACTGACTTAGCAGGGCTCTTTGCTAAAACTGGATTTTACGATGTCTCTCTAAGATGGACCTAGGGGAAGGCTCAGAAGCCTGACTAAAGTTTGACTAAGCAAAGAATCTTTGTCGGGGGATAGCCCTGATTTGTGGCATTTGAAGATTTTTGTGGTGTAAATGTTCTAAAATTATTTCCTTACATTATTATTTGTTTCTTTCCTGTCTCTCCTCCTCCACTGACCCCAGCGTAAAATGTAACAAAATAATTAGGAAGTGAAGAGTTTTTAGTATTTATTGCATTTATTTTAAATACAATTTATTTAATTACAATTCTATGTGCATTAATGGTTCTATGTAGTAACTGAATTACAAATTCCTGAAAGTTTAACAGTCAGTTCTTACAAGCTGCTAGGAGCTGGCTCCAGTTCACCACTGACACCACTCTAGTAAGAACTTTCCTGCCTTCTTGTCTCCATCTCTCTGTCCTCCCCACACTCCAATACTAGAAGGGTCAGACTTCGTGGTTAGCTAAGAGGAGGAGGAGAACCAGGAAAGAAGAAATAATAATGTGTATAATAAGTTTTAGCAGAGAACTGAGACATTCTCTGAAAGCCCTACTTGAAAGTCAGTCCTTTATTCAACAATATAGACATTATATTAGAGAACCATGTAAAAGGTTGGAGGAGGGCAGTAAGGAAGAAAGACGAGGGAAAACACATGTTGATGGCCGGGCCCAGTGGCCCACACATGTAATCCCAGCACTTAGTGAGGTCGAGGCTGGCGGATCACTTGGGGTCAGGAGTTTGAGACCAGCCTGGGTAACATGGTGAAACGCTGTCTCTACTAAAAATACAAAAATTAGCTGGGAGTGGTGGTGCGTGCCTATAATCTCGGCTACTCGGGCGGCTGAAGCAGGAGAATCACTTGAACCCAGGAAGCAGAGGTTGCAGTGAGCCAAGATTGTGCCACTGCACTCCAGCCTGGGCCACAGGTCTAGACTCTGTCTTAAAAAATGAATAATAATGTACATTCTACATGGGCTTATGTTAATTGTGATTGCATTGCCTGTGCATAACCCACCTGAGTTACTGCAGACAGCATTGGCTGACTGCTGCTTCACTGCTTGTGTAATGATTAACTAGGACTCAACTTTGAACTGCAATAAAGAAATCACATTCTTCTCTTTGCTAGGATGTAGTTCCAAATGAAGAGGTAGCTTTGGTTTTATGGCATTCAATGCCTGTGCCGTAGTGGTTCATCTTTATACCTGGTGTGGCCTTTCTTCTCTGTCTAGAAAACTGCTCCTTCAGTCTTCCCTCTTCTTGTTTCATGCTTTCCTTGACTGAGCCACATCTCCCCTTTTGTAATCATTGTCTACCACGTGATGTTTTAAACTAAAGAACACACATTCACATTTTTTTCCTACTACAGACGATGTGAGATGAGACTGACATCCACAATATAGTCTAATTATATTTAATCAATAATTAACTCTGACAGCTGTCATCTATCAGGGAACATGTGTGATTGTTTTTAAAGTAAGTGGAGGCACTAAATCAATTAAATGAGGAAAGGCTTTTTTTTAAAAAAAATACTTTAGGTTCTGGGATACATGTGCAGAACATGCAGGTTTGTTACATAGGTATATATGTGCCATGGTGGTTTGCTGCACCCATCAACCCGTCATCTACATTACGTATTTCTCCTAATGCTATCCCTCCCTTAGCCCACCACCCCACAACAGGCCCCAGTGTGTGATGTTCCCCTTTCTGTGTCCATGTGTTATCATTGTTTAACTGCCACTTATGAGTGAGAACATACGGTGTTTGGTTTTCTGTTCCTGTGTTAGTTTGCTAAGAATGATGGTTTCTGGCTTCATCCATGTCCCTGCAAAGGACATGAACTCAGCCTTTTTTTATGGCTGCATAGTATTCCATGGTGTATATGTACCACATTTTCTTTATCCAGTCTATCATTGATGGGCATTTGGGTTGGTTCTAGGTCTTTGCTATTGTGAACAGTGCTGCAATAAACATACATGTGCATGTGTCTTTATAGTAGAATGATTTATAATCCTTTGGATATATATCCGGTAATGGGATGCTGGGTCAGATGATATTTCTGGTTCTAAATCCTTGAGGAATCACCACACTGTCTTCCACAATGGTTGAACTAATTTATACTCCCACCAACAGTGTAAAAGCGTTCCTGTTTCTCCACATCATCTCCAGCATCTGTTGTTTCCTGACTTTTCAATGATCGCCATTCTAACTGGCATGAGATGGTATCTCATTGTGGTTTTGATGTGCATTTCTCTAATGACCAGCGATGATGAGCTTTTTTTCATGTTTTTGGCCACATAAATGCCTTCTTGTGAGAAGTGTCTGTTCATATCCTTTGCGTACTTTTTGATGTTTTTTTCCTTGTAAATTTGTTTAAGTTCCTTGTAGATTCTGGATATTAGCCCTTTGTCAGATGGATAGATTGCAAAAATTTTCTCCCTTTCAGTAGGTTGCCTGTTCACTCTGATAATAGTTTCTTTTGCTGTACAGAAGGTGTAAGGATGGGGTCCAGTTTCAGTTTTCTACATACGGCTAGCCAGTCTTTCCAACACTATTTATTAAATAGGGACTCCTTTCCCTATTGCTTGTTTTTGTCAGGTTTGTCAAAGATCAGATGGTTGTACATGTGTGGTGTTATTTCTGAGGCCTCTGTTCTGTTCCATTGGTCTATGTATCTGTTTTGCTACCAGTACTGTGCTGTTTTGGTTACTGTAGCTTTGTAGTGTAGTGTGAAGTCACACAGCATGATGCCTTCAGCTTTGTTCTTTTTGCTTAGGATTGTCTTGGCTATAGAGGCTCTTTTTTGGTTCCATATGAAATTTAAAGTAGTTTTTTTTCTAATTCTGTGAAGAAAGTCAATGGTAGCTTTATAGGAATAGCATTTAATCTATAAATTACTTTGAGCAGTATGGCCATTTTCACGATGTTGATTCTTCCTATCCATGAGCATGGAATGTTTTCCATTTGTTTGTGTCCCCTTTTATTTCCTCTAGCAGTGGTTTGTAGTGCTTAAACTTGGAATCAATTCCCCATGTAAACTGAAGGATAACTGTATAAAGAAAATATTTTCTGTAATAGGAAAATGGTGCTATGTATTAGCTTAAAATTGCAGGAAGAAATGACTAAGTATTCCTTCTTTTCTTGAGGCTTTAAGTAGGAATCCATTTCCTTGCATTTTACAGTTTGTAAAGACTGCTCGAATTCTTTATTTCATGCCCCCACCCACCTTTCATTTTCTTTTCTTTTTTTATTAAGTTTAAGTCCGGGTACATGTGCAAGATGTGCAGGTTTGTTACATAGTTGAACGTGTGCCATGATGGTTTGCTGCCCCTATCAACCCATCACCTAGGTATTAAGCCCAGCATGCATTAGCTATTTTTCCTAATGCTCTTCCCAGACCTACTCCATCACCCAACAGGCCCCAGTGTGTGTTGTTCTGCTCCCTGTGTCCATGTGTTCTCATTATTTAGCTCCCACTCATAAGCAAAAACATGGTGTTTGGCCGGGCGCGGTGGCTCACGCCTGTAATCCCAGCACTTTGGGAGGCCGAGGCGGGTGGATCATGAGGTCAGGAGATCGAGACCATCCTGGCTAACAAGGTGAAACCCCGTCTCTACTAAAAATACAAAAAATTAGCCGGGCGCGGTGGCGGGCGCCTGTAGTCCCAGCTACTCGGGAGGCTGAGGCAGGAGAATGGCGTGAACCCGGGAAGCGGAGCTTGCAGTGAGCCGAGATTGCGCCACTGCAGTCCGCAGTCCGACCTGGGCGACAGAGCGAGACTCCGTCTCAAAAAAAAAAAAAAAAAAAAAAAAAAACATGGTGTTTGGTTTTCCGTTCCTGCATTAGTTTGTTGAGGATAATGGCTTCCAGCTCCATCCATGTCCCTGCAAAGGACATGATCTCTTTCCTTTTTATGGCTGCATAGTATTCCATGGTGTATATGTACCACATTTTCTTTATCCAGTCTATCATTGAGGGGCACTAGAGTTGATACCATGTGTTTGCAATTGTGAGTAGCAATAGCTAATATTTTTAAATAATATATAAATTATTATAGTCATACTGGAAACCTGTAAAAATGATCAGTGAACTTGAAGACATAGCAATGTTGAACTAAACAAAACAAATCACAGAGAAAAGTATAAAGGTTAAAAAATAAAAAGAGCTCTAGAATAGTTTGCTGTAATATCAAGCAGCTTAATATTTAGTACTTTGAATATACAGATATATAATTTTAATTTAAAAATTGTAAAGTTATTCCTTCAAAGATAATCACACCATGTCATATCATGGTTAAGTAACTGAAAACCAGATAAGAAAATTAAAAGAAATAAAAAGGAAGGCAAGGAATACTTGCTACCTTTACAGAGAAGTTAAGAATGACTATATATATTGGCCGGGCGCGGTGGCTCACGCCTGTAATCCCAGCACTTTGGGAGGCCGAGGCGGGCGGATCACGAGGTCAGGAGATCAAGACCATCCCGGCTAAAACGGTGAAACCCCGTCTCTACTAAAAATACAAAAAATTAGCCGGGCGTAGTGGCGGGCGCCTGTAGTCCCAGCTACTTGGGAGGCTGAGGCAGGAGAATGGCGTGAACCTGGGAGGCGGAGCTTGCAGTGAGCCGAGATCCCACCACTGCACTCCAGCCTGGGCGACAGAGCGAGACTCCGTCTCAAAAAAAAAAAAAAAAAAAAAAAAAAAAAAAAAAAAAAATGACTATATATAGTTTTTCTGAAACTGTGAATGCCATAAGGGCAATAGAATGATGTCTTCAAGGTGGCAAATATGGAGTTAAATCTGCAAATCTAGAATTCAATGAAAAAATAAACACATTTTCAGACAAGCTAAATTAAATTTGTCATCAGCAGATCTATACAGTAGATGTTTTAAAAATTTTTGAAGCAGAAGAAAATGATAGAAACTCAGATCTATGCAAAGCACTGAAAAACAATAAAAAAGTTTGTAAATATAAAATAATGCTCATGTTAAAATATCTTTAAAAGATTATGAACTAAAACAAATAACATCATTACAAACAAAATAATGTGCTGTGATGCTTATAATATTTGAAAAATTAAAATTTGTGACTGTAACAGCACAAAAAGCACAAAAACTGGAGATGGTAAGTGTAAATGTATTGATGTAATTTCCCTCATTTTAAGTATGTTGATATAATATTATCTGAGGTTATAATGAAATAAATTTAAGATGTGTGTCATAAGCACTAGAGAAACACAAAAATAGAATTATGTGTAGTCAATCATTTAATTGTGAATATAAATTGAATTCTTTAAAATATCTTCTATCCAACAGAAGATAGAAGGAAGTGAAAGTGAACAGAACCAGATGGGAGGGGAGAAAACAGATGCTGTATTGGTGGATTTAAATACCATTGAAAATTGCATTTAATGTAAATAGTCTAAACACTCCAACTAAAAAACGGACATTGCCAGACCACTCAAAACATCAAGACTCAGGCAAGGCACGGTGGCTCACACCTGTAATCCCAGCATTTTGGGAGGCCACGGCTGGCGGATCACCTGAGGTCAGGAGTTTGAGACCAGCCTGGCCAACATGGTGAAACCACATCTCTACCTCTACAAAAGTACAAAAATTAGCCAGGCATGATGGCGGGCACCTGTAATCCCAGCCACTGGGGAGGCTGAGGCAGAAGAATCACTTGAACCTGGGAGGCGGAGGTTGCAGTGAGCCAAGATTGCGCCACTGCACTCCAGCCTGGGTGACAGAGCTAGACTTAAGTCTCAAAAAAAAAAAAAAAAAAAATTCATAATTAACAAATGGGATTCTCAGGAAGAGATGGTGGAGGTAATGTCCCCTCTGCCCTGCAGCTACAAAGAGTGAATTTTTTTCTATTTAATAATCTAGCTTAAGGAATCATATCTGACAATCTGTTTAATTGATCACCGTCACAAGACAATCTTATTTTCCTGTGCAAAATAAAGATTGTGTGAATATTCCTAATTGTTACCAATTTGTTTTGTTCCATTAAATGTAATCTTCAGAGTATAATTTGAAAAATGGGCCTTGAAAATTATCAAAATATATCAGAATCTGTTGCACTGTCTTGCAAAAATAAACTTCAAACAAACCTGTAATTCTTAGCAGTCATCAAACTGACAATTTACAATATAAAAAAATTATATCATAATAGCAATTTTATAAATAAAATCTCGATATTCTTAAATAATAGAAATCCTATTAATACTGGTCCACCAAACTGTAATAGGATCACTGACAATTTTCCTTTTCTTTCACATATTTCTTAAGGGAAAAAAGCCTGTATTAAATATTTCTTATTTTAAGGAAAATTGATGACTTGTCTCATTTAAATGAACACGGTTTATCAGTAATATATCTTACAGCTTCCTAAGATAAAACATGTAAAATACTTACCACAATCTTCAACAAATTTGAAGTAGCACAGTATAACAGGAAAGCAAAGGTTTTGAAGTCATCACACAGGTCTGGGTTCAAACACCAGTACCAGCCACACTTCTGTGGAATTTACTTAACTTTCCTGAGCTTCAGCTACAAAGCACTCAATGCCTAGCACATACAAGTTACTCAGTAAGTGTAATTTCTGCTGTTTATACCATTTTAATAAAATCTTCATATAAGGCAATATTTTAACTTCCCATGATAAAGCTTCCAATTAATATGGAAGTTCATATTCCAATAGTTCTTAATCAGTTACTTTCTTGATACCATGAAAGTCATTTTCCTTTTTTTCTAAAACCAAAAGGTGTATTATATTTACTTTCAATTATATAAAATGAGTTTTGGCTAAATGAATAAAGAGGAAAAAAGAAGTTAAAAGTTAGTGATTTTAAACATCCCAAAGTTAGAACTGTCTAAGATTCATGGCTTAAACTTCCAGAGAAGCACGGTCAAGAGAGCTGGAAAAGACCTATATCTGTGCTGTCCAATATGGTAGCCACATATCATGTATGTTACCTGAAAGGTGAACAGTTAACTGAGGAACTAAATTTTAAATGTTATTTAACTTTAACTAACTTAAATATAAGTTTAGCCACATGTGACTAATGGTACCATATTAGCCAGTAGCTCTAGAGCCAATATTAACATCAAATGAGCTAGAGAGAGGAGTTGGGTGATTTATCAGTTCAGTTGCTTCAAACATAGAACCTTATTTTAAGTATGTGTAGATTCAAGCAATTCAAGTAAGTATGGGTCTGTCTATGCTCACTCAACCAATTCCTTCTCACACTGGTTTCCCAGCAATAGAGAAGAATCACAGTTGATGAAGCCCAGAAGTTAAGCATCAGCCCCTGTGCTCAAGAATGGTCACACTGGAATCTCTAATATATATACAGGCAGACTCGGTCTGTGGTATCAGAAGATGGCTTCTATCCTGTAAATGATTCTGAACTTCAATGCTTCACAAGAGGAACATCTGAATGATTATAACTGGGGTCAGCAAACTCAACTCTTGGGTCAAATCCTGACCACAACCTGTTTTTTTGTGGTCGATTTTTTGTTTTTGAGGCAGGGTCTTGTTGCCCAGGCTGGAGTGCAGTGGCACAATCATAGCTCACTGCCACCTTGACCTTCTGGGCTCAAGCAATCCTCCCACCTCAGCCTCCCAAGCAGGTGGGACTACAAGCATGTGCCACCATGCAAATTTACTTTTTCTAGAGATGAGGAAGATTATAGGAACATGGTCATGCCCATTTGTTTTGTCTCTTGCTGTCTAAAAGCAGAGGTAAGTAGTTGTGACAGAGACTGTAACAACCCTCAAAACCTAAAATATTTACAATATGGACCTTAAAAAAAAGAAAAAAAAAACTTTGCGGACACTTATGAATCAAAGGATAGGAGAGATTTCAGGGAACCCACAGGTTTAGGTTTTAAGAATAAAGAAGAAGTCCCCTTCTGTTTTTGGTCTTAGGTGATCCTATAATTGGGACCAAAAGGGGAATAAACAGAGCTTCAACTGTTAACAGAAAAATGAACAAACAGAAACCTCCCTAAGCTCTTGCAGCTGCAATGTGAGTTAGATACTTCCTTTGACACAATGCAACAATGGTTCCCAAACTCCATTACACAGTGAAATCACTCAAATTTATTTATTTTTTATTTATTTATTTTTAAATTTTTTTGAGATGGAGTCTTGCTCTGTAGCCCAGCCTGGAGTACAGTGGTGCGATCTTGGCTCACTGCAAGCTCCAAGCTCTGCCTCCTGGGTTGGCCATTCTCCTGCCTCAGCCTCCCGAGTAGCTGGGATTACAGGTGCTTGCCACCATGCCCGGCTAATTTTTTTGTATTTTTAGTAGAGATGGGGTTTCACCATGTTAGCCAGGATGGTCTCAATCTCCTGACCTTGTAATCTGTCCGCCTTGGCCTCCCAAAGTGTTGGGATTACAGGCGTGAGCCACTGCGCCCAGCCATCACTTGTAAATTTATTAAAACAAAAAACACACAATGCTAGTGACTGGCTCTTATCACATCATGACTTAATTAGTAACTTGGGTATGGAGAGTTTTTAAAGTTCTCTAGGTGATTTTCATAAACAGCAAAATTTAAGAACCACTAACCGGCAGATCAAGTTGTAGTGCTGAGGTTAACAAGCCGGCCCCAGAGTGGCTGCAGGTGCTTCCCGCTACTGCCTATTATTTTCACATTAGGGTTATAACTCAGAGGTGAGACTCCTTAGTAGAAACTACAAGTGATTTAAATTGCTTTAGGACCTGACCCAGGTAAGAAAAGATGAGAATAATATTATTAATTATTATTTTTTTTTGAGACAGAGTCTTGCTCTGTCACCCACAGTGGAGTGCAATGGCGTGATCACAGCTCACTGCAGCTGTGACCTCCTGGGCTCAAGGGATCCTCCCACCACAGCCCCCAAGCAGCTGGCACTACAAGGCCATGCCACCATGCCAGGCTAATTTTTTTACTTTGTAGAGATGGGGGTCATCCTACGTTGCCCAGGCAGGTCTCAAACTCCTGGGCTCAAGCAATCTTTTCTCTTCCCAAAGTGCTGGGATTACAGGTGTGAGCCACCACACCCGGCCCACCCCGGGGAATTATTTTAAAATATAAAAGTAGAAATGTAAGTACCACTTCTAATTTCTAGAAGATGGAGTAGATATGCTTTTTCCTATTCCTCCCTCTAAGTACAACTAAAAACCCAGACATTGTAAATTAAAGAAATATAAGAAGACTGAAGGGTAGAGAGAAGTCAGGCTAGTTAGGGACTTTAGGACTCAAAGACTGATACGGTGGTGAATTCTCTCAATAACTGACAGACCAACTAGGCAGGAAATCAAGGATATAGAAGGACTTAACACCATCAACCAACAAGAGGTAATTAACATTTATACAACACTCCACCCAACACCAGAATGTACATTCTTTTCAAGTGCCCATGAAACATATATCAAGATTGGCAGGGCACGGTGGCTCACGCCTGTAATCCCAGCACTTTGGGAGGCTGAGGCGGCCAGATCACCTGAGGTCAGGAGTTCGAGACCAGCCTGGTCAACATGATGAAACCCCGTCTCTACTAAAATACAAAAAATTACCGGGCATGGTGGTGGGTGCGCCTGTACATCTAGCTACTCAGGAGAGGAAGGAGAAGTGCTTGAACCCAGCAGGTGGAGGCTGCAGTGAGCCAACATAGCACCACTGGACTCCAGCATGGGTGGCAGAGTGAAACTCCGTCTCAAAAAAAGAAGAAGAAAAAAAAGAAACATATATCAAGACAGACCATATCTTGGGCCATCACACAAACCTGAACAAATTTAAAAGAACTCAAATCATACAGCATATATTCTCCAACTACAATTCAATAAAAAATAACAGAAAAATTTCCAAATACTTGTATACTAAACACCACACTTCTAAATTATCCATGGATCGAAGAAGAATCTCAAAGAAAAAATTTTAAAAATACACTGAACTGAATGAAAATAAAAATATAACATATTGAAATTTGTGAGACAAAGCTAAAGAAATGCTGAGAGGAAAATTTAGAGCAGCAAATAGCTACATTAGAAACAGGAAATATCTCAAATCAATAATCTCAAAAATTGAGATTAAGAGAGACATAGGCCAGGCACAGTGGCTCACGCCTGTAATCCCAGCACTTTGGGAGGCCGAGGTGGGCAGATTACTAGAGTTTAGGAATTCAAGCTAGCCTGAGCAAAATAGTGAAACCCTGTCTCTACAGAAATATAAAAATTTAGCTGAGTGTGGTGGCGTGTGCCTGTAGTCCCGGCTACTTAGAAGGCTGAGGAGAAAGGATAGCTTGAGCCCAGGAGGTCAAGGCTGCAGGCAGCCTCATGATCATGCCCACTGTGCTCCAGCCTGGGCAACTGAGACCGTGTCTTTAAAAACCAAACCAAACAAAACAAAAGGCTGGGCATGGTGGCTCATGCCTGTAATCCCAGCATTTTGTGAGGACAAGGCATGCAGAGCACTTGAGGTCAGGAATTCAAGACCAGCCTGGCCAACATGGTGAAACCCCTACTAAAAAATACAAAAATTAGCTGGGTGTGGTGGCGTGCGCCTGTAATCCCAGCTACTTGGGAGGCTGAGGCAGGAGAATTGTTTGAACCCAGGAGGCAGAGGCTTCAGTGAGCCAAGTTTGTGCCACCGCACTCCAGCATGGGTGACAGAGTGAGACTCTGTCTCAAAAAAAAATTATTATTAAACCAAAAACAAGCAGTAAGAAGGATATAACAGGGAGCAGAAATCAATGACTTTGAAAACAGAAAAACAATAGAACATATCAATGATACAAAAAAAGCTGGTTCTTTTTTTTTTTTTTTGAGATGGAGTCTCGCTCTGTTGCCCAGGCTGGAGTGCAGTAGCTGGATCTCAGCTTACTGCAAGCTCTGCCTCCCGGGTTCATGCCATTCTCCTGCCTCAGCCTCCCAAGTAGCTGGGACTACAGGCGCCCACCACCACACTCGGCTAATTTTTTGTATTTTTAGTAGAGACGGGGTTTCACTATGTTAGCCAGGATGGTCTCGATCTCCTGACCTCGTGATCCGCCCACCTTGGCCTCCCAAAGTGCTGGGATTACAGGTGTGAGCCACCGCGCCTGGCCAAAAAGCTGATTCTTTAGTGAAATTGGCAAACCTCTAGAAAAAGACAAAGAGAAGATGCAAAATTACCAGTATCAGGACTGAAAAGAGATATCACAAGAGACCCCATAGTATAGATATACCATCCTCCATGATATGATTATTTCACATTGTATACCTATATCAAAACATCTCATTTATCCCATAAATAGATACACCTAGTATGTACCCACAAAAATTAAAAATTAAAACAGACCCTACAGACATCAAAAGAATAAGGGAATACTACCAAAAACCTTATACATATAAATTTGATAAGACAAAATGGACCAATTCCTCAAAAAGCAAGTTACCACAATTCATGCACTATGAAATAGATAATATGAATAGCCCTGTAACTATTAAAGAAGTTTAATTCATAATAATTCACAATTTTAAGACTTCCAAAAGAGAAATCTCCAGGCCCAGAGGTTTCACTGGAGAATTCTACCAAACACTTAGAGAAGAATTAACACCCAATTTTATACAATCTCCTCCAGAAAACAGAAGAGGAGGAAACACTTCCTAGTTCATTTTATAACCTAGTATTACTCTGATACAAAAACTAGACAAAGATGGTACAAACAGGAAAACTTTTTTCTTTTCAAAGAAAATGATCAGAGATAAAGAGGGGAATTACAAAATGATAAAGGAATCAGTACTCTGTGAAAATAAAATACTAAACGTGTGCACCTAACTATAAAGTGTCAAAATATGTAAGCCAAAAATGGATAGAACTGCAAGATGAATCCACTATTATCACTGCAGACTTTAATATATCCATTTCTCAGAAATGGACAGATGCAGCAGGCAGAAAATCAGAATATAGTTGAAGTTAATAGCACAATTAACAAACTGGATATAACCTGACTCTACAGACTACTTCAACCAAAAATAGCAGACAACATTTCTTTTCAAGCTTACATGGTGCATTCATCAAGACAGACCACATTCTGGGCCATGAAACACACCTTGACAAATGTAAAAGGGAAATCATACAATGTTCTGCTCTCTTACAATAATGGAATTAAACTAGAAATCAGTAACAGAAAGATAGCTGGAAAATCTCAAAACACTTGGAAATTAAACAAAGCACTTTTAAATAATACAGTAGTCGAAGAAATCTCAAGAGAAAGTTAAAAATATTTAGAACTTGAAGTGACACGAGTTTTTAATAAAAAAGAGTAGAGAGAAATATTTGGAACTAAATCAAAATCAAAATGAAGCATCATAAACACCTCATTATATACTGGGATTTATTACTTCAGAGTATTATATAAATTATTTATTTATTTAGAGATGGGGTCTTACTCTGTTGCCCAGGCTGGAGTGCAGTTGTGCAATCATAGCTCACTGCAGCCTTGACCTTCTGGGCTTAAGTGATCCTCCTGCTTCAACCTCCTGAGTAGCTGGGACTACAGGCGTGTGCCACTATGTCCACCTCATTTTTATATTTTTGGTAGAGATGGGCTTTTGCCACATTGTCCAGGCTGGTCTTGAACTCCTGGGCTCAAGTGATCAGCCTGCCTCAGCCTCCCAAAGTGCTAGGATTACAAGTGTGAGCCATCACGCCTAGCCATAAATATAATTTAAATCAAGCCAACATTAAGTATGACAGGGGAGCTCATTATTTGTGTATTAATAACTTTTTTTGAGACGGAGTCTCACTCTGTCACTCTGTCACCCAGGCTGGAGTGCAATGGCGCAATCTCAGCTCACTGCAAGCTCTGCCTCCCAGGTTCACACCATTCTCCTGCCTTAGCCTCCTGAGCAGCTGGGACTACAGGTGCCCACCACCACATCCAACTAATTTTTTATATTTTTAGTAGAGACGGGGTTTCACCGTGTTAGCCAGGATGGTCTCCATCTCCTTACCTCGTGATCCGCCCACCTCGGCCTCCCAAAGTCCTGGGATTACAGGCGTGAGCCGCCATGCCCGGCCAATAATAACTATTATGTATTTTAAAAATGTTTTTCTTCTTATTATTATTTTCTAAATCTTACCGGAAGGATGTATTTTGTTGTTGTTGTTGTTGTTTTGAGACAGAGTCTTGCTCTGTTGCCAGGCTGGAGTGCACCGGCGTGATCTCAGCTCACTGCAACCTCCGCCTCCCGGGTTCAAGCAATTCCCCTGCATCAGCCTCCCAAGTAGCTGGGACTCCAGGTGCCTGCCACCATGCCCAGCTAATTTTTTGTATTTTTAGTAGAGACAGGGTTTCACTGTGTTATCCAGGATGGTCTCGAACTCCTGACCTCAGGTGATCCGCCCGCCTCGGCCTCCCAAAGTGCTGGGATTATAGGCGTGAGCCACCGCACCTGGCCAGGATGTTTTTCAAAATGTGTCAGATTTGAAAGTGATAAAATTTAACTGACATAATACAATTGTTCTGAGAGCCTTACCTATTAATTAAAGGTAAAAATAATTGGAGGAAAAGAAAACTCCAGATCTATATTCATCATAAATACAAAAACAAAAATCTACAACAAAATAATAGTACAAAGAATTCAGCAACATACAGAAATAATTGTATGCCATGACCAAGTGGTGTTTATTCCAGGAATGCAAGGGTGATTTAATATTTGAAAATCAATCAATGTAATCCACCACATTAACAGGCTAAAAAAAATCACAAAAGTATGCGTATTAACTAAATTAGAAAAAGCATTTGACAGAAGGTAATATCCATTGATGATTAAAGCTCTCAGAAACATAGGAATAGAAGGGTACTTTCTCAACTTGATAAAGAACATGTATTTAAAAAATCTGCAGCTAACATTATATTTGACAATGAAAGACTGAATGTTTTCTCCAATGTTTACGGACTGGAAAAATCAACACAATAAAGATGTCAATTCTCTGGAAAAAACCACTTTAAAGTTCATATGGAACCAAAAAAGAGCCCGCATTGCCAAGACAATCCTAAGCAAAAAGAACAAAGCTGGAGACATCACACTACCTGACTTCAAACTATACTACAAGTCTATAGTAACCAAAACAGCATGGTACTGGTACCAAAACAGAGATACAGACCAATGGAACAGAACAGAGCCCTCAGAAATAATACCACACATCTACAGCCATCTGATCTTTGACAAACCTGACAAAAACAAGAAATGGGGAAAGGATTCCCTATTTAATAAATAGTGCTGGGAAAACTGGCTAGCCATATGTAGAAAGCTGAAACTGGATCCCTTCCTTACGCCTTATACAAAAATTAATTCAAGATGGAATAAAGACTGAAATGTTAGACCTAAAACCATAAAAACCCTGGAAGAAAACCTAGGCAATACCATTCAGGACATAGGCATGGGCAAGGACTTCATGACTAAAACACCAAAAGCAATGGCAACGAAAGCCAAAATTGACAAATGGGATCTAATTAAACTAAACTTCTGCACAGCAAAAGAAACTATCATCAGAATGAACAGGGAACCTACAGAATGGGAGAAAATTTTTACAATCTACTCATCTGCCAAAGGGCTCATATCCAGAATCTACAAAGAACTTAAACAAATTTACAAGAAAAAATCAAACAATCCCATCAAAAAGTGGGCAAAGGATATGAACAGACACTTCTCAAAAGAAGACATTTATGCAGCCAACAGACACATGAAAAAATGCTCATCATCACTGGCCATCAGAGAAATGCAAATCAAAACCACAATGAGATACCATCTCACACCAGTCAGAATGGTGATCATTAAAAAATCGAAACAACAGGTGCTGGAGAGGATGTGGAGAAATAGTGACATTTTTACACTGTTGGTGGGACTGTAAACTAGTTCAACCGTTGTGGAAGACAGTGTGGTGATTCCTCAAGGATCTAGAACTAGAAATATCATTTGACCCAGCCATCCCATTACTGGGTGTATACCCAAAGGATTATAAATCATGCTGCTATAAAGACACATGCACACATGTGTTTATTGTGGTACTATTCACAATAGCAAACACTTGGAACCAACCCAAATGTCCAACAACGATAGACTGGATTAAGAAAATGTGGCACATACACACTATGGAATACTATGCAGCCATAAAAAAAGATGAGTTCATGTCCTTTGTAGGGACATGGATGAAGCTGGAAACCATCATTCTCAGAAAACTATCGCAAGGACAAAAAAACCAAACACCGCCTGTTCTCACTTATAGGTGGGAATTGAACAATGAGAACACTTGGACACAGGAAGGGGAACATCACACACTGGGGCCTGTCGTGGGGTGGTGGGAAGGGGGAAGGATAGCATTAGGAGATACAGCTAATGTAAATAACAAGTTAATGGGTGCAGCACACCAACATGGCACATGTATACATGTGTAACAAACCTGCAGGTTGTGCACATGTACCCTAGAACTTAAAGTATAATAAAAAAAAGAAAAAAAGGAAATAAAGGTGTAAACATTGGAAAGATTAAAAAAAAAGTCAATTCTCCTCAAATTGACATACAGGTTTAATGCAACTCCTAGCAAAACCCCTGCCAGTTTTTTTTTTGGCAGATACAGACAATATTATTGTAAAATGTATATGGAAATGCAAAAGAGCCAAAATAATTTCAAAGGAAAGTGGGAAGAATCAGTCTACCCTAATTCAAGACTTACTAAATAATTGCAGTAATTAAGGACTGTGTGTTATTGGTGGAGGCACAGACACATGCATCAGTGGAACAGAACAGAAAACCCAGAAACAGATCCACCACAAATATATCCCCAGCTGATTGTTTTTGCCAAAGGTACAAAAGCGTTTCAATGAAAGAAAGATAGCCTTTTCAACAACTAGTGCTAACACAGTTGCCTATCTGTACACAAAAAAATGAACCTTGATCTAAGTCTCCCACCTAATTCAAAAATTAACTCAAATGAATCATGGACTTAAATGTAAAGTGTAAAACTATAAAACTTTTGAAAAAATATAAGAAAACTTTCAAGATCTAGACCTTGGCAGACTTCTTAGACTTGACATCAAAGACATAATAAGAGGACAAACTGATAATCTGAACTTCGTCAAAATTAAAAAAACTTGCCCTACAAAAGCCCCTGTTAAAAGTATAAAAAGACAAGTTATGAACTGCGAGACAGTATTTGCAAACCACATATCTGACAAAGGACAAGTACCTAGAATACATAAAGAACTCTCAAAACTCAACAGTAAAAAACAATCCAATCAGAAAATTGGCTTAAAAGATGAAGAGACAATTTGCCAAAGAGGATATACAAATAGTGAGTTAAAAGATGAAGAGACAATTTGCCAAAGAGGATATACAAATAGCGAGTAAGTGCATGAAGAGAGGTTCAACGTCATTAGCCATTAGGGAAATACCAATTAAAACCAAAGTAAAATAACACTACGCCCCTATCAATTAAACAAAAAGTTGTGACACCACGAAGTCCTGGCAAAGATGTGGAGAAACTGTATCACTTATGCATCGCTGGTAGGAATTAAAAAGTTTGGCAGTTTCTTAGAAAACTAAACCTGCAATTACTTAATGAGCCAGCAATTCCATTCCTGGCACTTTTTTTGGAGAAATAAAGATGTATGTTCACACACAAACCTGTACATAAATGTTTATAGCAACTTCATTCATAAAAGCCCAAAACTGGAAACAATCCAGATGTCCTTCAAAGTGTGAATGTTTAAACAAACGGTGGTATATCACACTGTGGAATATTAACTAGCAATAAAAAAAAAATCAAATTATTGATATGTACAACAACCTGGAGGAATCTCCAGAGAATTATGCTGAGTAAAAAAAGCCATGCTCAAAAGTTCATACAGTAGGAATTCATTTATGTACCATTTTGTTTTTTTGGGTTTTTTTTTTTTTTTTTTTTTTTTGACAGACTGTGTTGCTCTGTTACCCAGGCTGGAGTGCAGTGATGCAATCTCGGCTCACTGCAACCTCTGCCTCCTGGGTTCAAGCTATTCCCCTCCCACAGCCTCCCAAGTAGCTGGGACTACAGGTGCCGGACAACACACCGGGCTAATTTTTGTATTTTTAGTGGAGATGGGATTTCACCATGTTGGCCAGACTGGTTTTGAACTCATGACCAAGTGACCCTACCCGCCTTGGCCTCTAAAAGTGCTGGGATTACAGGCATGAGCCAGCCTGGCCAACACGATGAAACCTCATCTCTACTAAAAATACAAAAATTAGCCAGGAGTGGTGGCGCATGCCTATAGTATCAGCTACTCAGTAGGCTGAGGCACAAGAATCGCTTGAACCCCTGAGGTAGAGGGTGCAGTGAGCTGAGACTGCGCCACTGCACTCCAGCCTGGGCGACATCCTCACAAGCATTCAGTGTTGTCAGTGTTCTGGATTTTTACCTTTTTTTTTTTTTTTTTTTTTTTGAAATGAGAGTTTCAGTCTGTTGCCCAGGCTGGAGTCCAGTGGCACGATCTCGGCTCATGGCAACCTCCACCTCCCAGGTTCAAGCGATTCTCCTGCTTCAGCCTCCCAAGTAGCTGGTATCAGATGCATGCACCACCATGTCCGGCTAATTTTTGTATTTTTAGTAGAGACGGGCTTTTGCCATGTTGGCCAGGCTGGTCTCAAACTCCCAACCTCAGGTGATCCACCTGCCTCGGCCTGCCAAAGTGCTGGGATTACAGGTGTGAGCCACCACACCCGGCAGATTTTAAGCTATTCTAATAGGTGTAGTAGTTGTTTTAACTGGTAATTCCCTAATGACATATCATGTTGCACATCTTTTCATATGCTTATTTGTCATCTGAATATCTTCTTTGGAGAAATATCTATTCAAATCCTTCACCTGTTTTTAAATTACATTGCCTTTTTACTATTGAGTTGTAAGAGTTCTTATAAGTATTCTGGACACTAGACTGTTATATAAATGACTTGCAAGTATTTTTTCCCATTCTGAGAGCTGCCTTCACTTTCTTTCTTTTATTTTTTTAAAGAGACAGGGTCTTGCTATGTTGCCCAGGCTGGACCCAAACTCCTGGGCTCAAGTAGTCTTCCCACTTTAGCCTACCAAGTAGCTGGGATTGCAGGAATGATTACTCCAGCTGTCTGTTCTTTAATTTTCATGCCACTGCACCTCAGCAGCTTTTTTCACTGTCTTGAGTGTTCTTTAAAGCACAAATGCTTTTAATTCAGTAAAGTTCAAGTGTTTTTTTTTTTTTTTTTTGGTTGCTTGGGCTTCTGGGACAATGTTGAAGAAATCACTGCCTAATTCAATGTCATGAAAATTTACACCTGTGTTTCCTTCTAAGCATTTCATAGTTTCAGCTCTTTAATTTAGGTTTTCAATCCTTTTAAATATATATATATATATTGCTGGGAAGTGAAGCCTCTCTCTAGAAGGCAGAAACAGGTACTTTCTTTTGATCCATTTTTAGTTAATTTTGTACACTGTGTACCATAGGGGTTCATTCTTATGCATGAGGATATCCAGTTGTCCCAGCAGTATTTGTTGAAAAAACTATTATTTTCCCGTTGAATGGTCTTGGCATCTTTGTCAATATCTAAACTATTAATTATATAAATATATGTGTGTACTTTGGTCATGATATATTTCTTACTGTTTAAGACACTGTGCCAAAAAAAATCTTGTAAAGGATCCTGTATAAAATGTGTGAAGACCTTCAGGCAATAGAAAGGACCACTTCAGATGCAGAGAGATAGACTTACTAAAGCTACTATAGTAATCTAGTCAAAAGATAATTGTGGCCTAGATAAAGGCAGTAGTCACCAAAAAATACACAGACTTTAGCAATACTGAAGAGCTAAAAATCAGCAAGATTTGTGATTGATTGGATGTGAGAAATGGAGAGAGTGTTATCAAGGATGACTGTCAGCTTTCTGAATAGATGGATGATATTATTTACTGGGAGAAGCAACTTAGTTAAGCTACACTTAAGTCTTATGCAGTGCATACTAATGACTTTTCAGGGTACTATTTTCTACCTCCTAAAGGTAGAAAAGTGCCTCCAATTTCTTTGTTAGGCAGAATGCTACATTTTTTCCTTATCTTTCTTCCTTTGGGCTAAGGAAAAATTAAGAAAGTATATGACTCCTGTAGATGCTTTGTCTGAAAACAGTGCCCATGAGGTATGCACTTACATCTAACTTCTGCCTTCCTCTCTCCCTCAGGGATGGCTCTGCCTCCTAAACGACAGAGATATGGTAACCAAAAACTCTGAACTTCTTCAACTTTCTGCTTCCACTTACAAAATGGCTTGTATTCTCATTCCCATTCTTTCTTCATGAATTAACGGACAGGGTTCTGTCTTTCTTCCCATTCAAGTTCTCTCTTGGTTTTCTGGATCCCACCCATCTTGCATCCTCAGGGACAAAGCTGTGCTAATAATACCCTTTCTTACCTATATCTTCCTCTGTCATTTAAGCAGCTCACCCTGTTGTGGCAGGCCAGGTTGCACTAACGCAGGCCTCCATTACAACATTTTCAGCACTGACTGAGTGGTTAAGTTAAATATTAAAAGCTAAAAAAGCCAGTGCCCTTCTACAAAGGCTGGAATATAACAAAAGCCCATGGATAGTTTTGCCTAGGCCTTTCCTGGGCCTTAAGGCATGACAAAATAACGGAATTCTTAACAGGACTCATTTAGGATTAAACAAGTTTTATTGGGGGTGTGAAGAAATGCCACAGGCCTCAACTCTTTTCCTTCCCAGTTCATATTGCATCTCGTTATTGGGCCATGAGAAATAGCAGCCCGACCCTCAGTTTGGTCCAGGAACACTATGAACTTCTCAGTCTTTCCCAATTTTATTGAAACTGTTCTCAGGGTCAACAATGACCTCAAGCCAGGTGCAGTGGCTTGCAACTGTAATCTTAGCTAATCTGGATGCTGAGGTGGGAGGATCTCCAGGCCAAGAATTCAAGACCGGCCTGGGCAACACAGAGAAACCCTGTCTCTAAAAAAAAATTGTAAACAATTAGCTGGCCACCATGATGACATGGGCCTCTAGTCCCAACTACTGGATAGGCTGAGGCAGGAGGATTCCTTAAGTCCAGAAGTTCGAAGCTACAGTAAGCTATGATCACACCACTGCACTTCAGCCTAGGCAACTGAGTAAGATCCTGTCTCTTAAAACAAACAAAAAAATAATGACATCTATATTTTAAAATCCTTATACCTCTTTGAACTCTCAACAGTGAAGGTAGTGTCAACAATTTTCATTGTTTTAGTAGCACCTCTACCATTAATTTTCAAATTTGATTCCATTTTCTAATTTTCTCTCAGACTGTTAGAAAAGAGGTAATAATGCTACTACTAAAGCAGCTTTAATTTTGTTTGATATGTAGGGGTTGTATAAAAGATTTCATTTAAAAACCGTATTTCTGCCAGGTATGGTGGCTCATGCCTATAATCCCAGCACTTTGGGAGGCCAAGGCAGGAGGCTTGCTTGAGCCCAGGAGTTTGAGACTAGCCTCTTCTTATTAGAAGAAGAAAACAAATGTGGGATATGATGAGGTTTCTCTTAAAATAATCTGATCAATCTTTTATTCTTTAATTCATAGTACCCCCCAGCTTTTCTCCTTTATCTTTTTTCCTTTTTGCCTTTGTTAGATGCCCAGGCACGCCACAGTACCAGCTCACATTCCTTTCCTTATTTGGAAAGAGGACTAACTTTCTAGCTCATTACAGACACCCCTTCCCCTTCCTCTCCACTTTCTTTTACATGCTCACCTTATCTAAAAAAATCAAATGTTTAGCCAAAACCGGGATTAGTTTAGATTGTACGACCCGACCCTGGCCAATGGGGAAAGGGTACGGGGCAGGACTTGCATCAGGAATAAAGGCCCTCGTGCCCCTTTGTTCAGGTGTGCTTTCATGGTGACTGGCCAAGGAGGCACCCCTCTGCGAAGAAGTAAAATTGCTTTGCTAAGAATCCTTTGTTCGAGTGTTTAATTTCCTTAGGATTTTGAGTGTTATTCCTAACACAAATAGTATCAGGGATTTTTGTCCTAATTATTATCATGTCTCAGGGCCTCAAACATTTACTGAGGCCAGGTGAGGTGGCTCACGCCTATAATCCCAGCACTTTGGGAGGCCGAGGTGGGCGGATCATTTGAACCCAGGAGTTTGTGAACAACCTGGGCAACATGACAAAACCCTGTCTCTACTAAAAATACAAAAAATTAGCCAGGGATGATGGCACGTGCCTGTAGTCCCAGCTAATCAGGAGGCTGAGGTGGGAGAATTGCTTGGGCCTGGCAAGTCCAGGATGTAGGACTGCCACTGCACTCCAGCCCGGGCTACAGGAGTGAGACTCTATCTCAAAACAAACAAACAACAAAAGTATTTATTGAATGAATGAATGGAGTTGGTATAAATAATGGACAGCTAACTATAAAAGATTCAAATAATAAGTATATTTTACTTCAGCATAAAATGTCAGCATTTTCTTAAGCTGTAATCTCAGTGTTCATTTTATTTTAATAAACAATTCATATCCTATTCTCACAGCTGTCTTACGCAGTGTCCTCCATTAATGCCAGAGTGATTTGAGACAGTACTTGATTCTGGGTGTGAGAACCAGTCATTGCTTCATTCTGAAAATAACTAACAGATTCTAATTAGAAGACTAGATTCTCTGCAACTCCTAATACTTTCTGTAATTCCTCTGATATATATTTAAAATGTTTCAACTATGAGAGGCTGACAAGACATTCACTTAAAGTGGTGAAATACATAAACCTTTAAAATGACTAGACTGAGCCTTGAAGTGAAATCTATTTTCTGCCCTAAGTGTTTCCATTGTGTACAATTCCCTCGGAATGGTAGGCAGCTGCCATTTAGAACTCTGTGATGAATAAAGAAAAATCTATATGGAAACAGAAATACTATAGAAATATTATACTCTCCAGGCAAAGAAAAGTGGGTGATTGAGGCAAATGCACCGATAATTTGGGGTCAGGGAGAACACTTGTCTGAATTACACAGAAAATGTTTTCATAACCTTCAACTTTTTAATCACAGAAACATGCACTAATATGCAAAACAAGTGTGACAGAATCATGGGATAAAAGTATTTACTTGAAAGGTCTAAAATATCATCAAAGTCTACCATCTACCCAATATTTTAATTCATATCATACAATTCCTATCAGGAGGTTACCTAATGATGAGGACGTCACTGCCTCTTACGGAGCATATTTCATCTTTGGGCAGCTCTGATTATTCTTTAAATCTTTCACTGAACACCAGATGGCCATCTGAAGTGCTGTGATACCATACTTTAAAAAAAATTGTTCAAGGACACAAAGTTGATTTGAGAGAAGTTAATGAAATTACTACTCTCAGAGCTTCTGCTGAAAAGCACATTTTCATTTCTGGCCAATCTACAGCTTTCTAAAGGGAGTCACTTGAGAAAATGTCTTAAGGCAAAAAAAAAAAAAAAAAAAAAAAATCCCATGGGAGGAATAAATGTATGTGTCTTCTATAAAAAAAGTTTCCATCGTTGTTACTTTGTGGTCACCTTGACAAGAACAGTAACCACAAGCATTCATTTCATTCTTTACATAATTTTATTAACTTCAGGCATGATGTATATAAGCTGCAACTATCTATTTAAGCAGATCTCCAAAAATAAAAAATAACACATATACCCTTTCACCCAGAAATTCCACTTCCTGGGATTCATTCTTTCTATTTAAATAAACCTGACCTTGAGTTAACTCTCTAGTTCTGTTCCCCTGGAAACCTAATAAAGGTGAATGTCGACTGTGTTACCAGGTAACAGTACCTAAGAAAAAAAGACCTCCTGATATGCCTCTAAACTTGGGACGACTGCAAATCAACATGAATACCTGTTGGTAAGCCACAGTTTGGATTTGGACTCCCCTGTGTGCAGTCTATGCGTATGTCCCCTATGGGATCTGGAATTTAGATCTATGAAACTGTTAAAAAAGATATTGGTTCCTATTTGGGACATGATCTTTCTAAGCCAGGCTGGTTCTCCCATCTGTCTACTGCGGTCTTGTGCTCTGGTACTTGAGCTGCACAGGAAGGGAGAGAGGCACAGATGACAGCCCCTCCACTGCTATGTGGAGCACATGAGCAATGCCTGGCTCTACTCTGCTGGCATGCTGTGTGTTCCTTCTAACATCCGTCTCTAAGGGAATCTATCCTCAATATGGCCTGATTAGGTCCTGTGGGTTTGACTGCTTAGTTGAATCTAAAAGCAGCAACTGAAGCCCCACCCTGGGAAGGCAAGGTATCACAGATATGAATAAGTTGCTCATTACATTTTCTAAAATACAAAATTTAAGACATAGTTGTTCATTAACACAGAACTGACATGCTACATTCATATAGAAAAAAATAAGTAGATCCAAGTATACAGTTTATTTTGTGAAAGGATGTGTTTCTGCGATGTGATTGAGCTCATGTGAAATTAGTAAATAAGGGAATGGCATCAATATAACATGGAATCACGTTGGTTCATTGATTTTTCCCTGCATGTTACTATTTTGTGATGAAGCCTAAACACAAACTATACTAGGATAGCCAAACACAGCAATACAAGAATGCTGTACTGTGTATAGTGTGTGCTTACTCCATCTGCTTTCTGTTTGCTCCGTGTACCCAGTGGCTCTGCCTGGAAGTGTTTACTGTATGGTTCTCACAAGTCTACGTACATTTTACCCTTGTCCCCATTACTCAGATTTACAATTCCCCATACAGCTACCATGAGTTATTGTTACTGCTGATGTTGAAGGTAAAGAAATACTAGAGCAGCCAGGTGAAGTGGTACATGCCTGTAACCCCAGCACTTTGGGAGGCTGAGGCAGGTGGAATGCTTGAGCCCATGAGTTTGAGGTCAGCCTGGGTAACATGGTGAAACTCATCTCTACTAAAAGTACAAAAAGAAAATTAGCTGGGCGCGGTGGCACATGCCTGTAGTGTCACCTACTCAGGAGGCTGAGGTGAGAGAGTCACCTGAGCCCAGGAGGTCGAGGCTGCAGTGAACCGAAATCACGCCACTTGCACTGTAGCCTGGGCAACTGGAGTGAGACCTGGCCTTAAAAAAGAAAAGAAACGGAGAGGGAGAGAAGAGAAGAGAAGGAAAAGAAAAAAAGAAAAGGAAAGGAAAAGAAAAGAAAAGAAAAAAGTACTACAGTAGGCTGGGTGCACTGGTGTGTACCCGTGGTTCCAGCTGCTTGGGAGGCTGAGGCAGGAAGACTGCTTGAGCCCAAGAGTTTGATGCTATAGTTTGCTATGATCATGCCTGTGAATAGCTGCAGCCCTCCAGCCTGGACAACACAGTGAGGCCCTGTCTCTAAAAAATAAAAAAAATTAATAAAAGAAATACTAGATTAGATACAGGACTTCATTTATTGGAAATCTGATGTATTTTTAAACTGAGCTCATAGTTCTACATGACTTACTTGTTTCTGTTAGTGATCTGTTTACTTGTTTTTCCCACAAGTCTTGTTATTTTTAGTGTCCAATTTTGAAGAAAAAGGTTTTTAGGAAAGCATACATTGCATTATAGCAGAAGCACCTATAGTGCCTTGGAAAAAGTGAAAAAAGTTGCATAAATATGTGAACCCATTAAAAAATAAACAATTCTGCAAGTGTTTGCACATACATACATATATAACACTTATGAAAAGCATATACCAAAACTTAAAGAGTGATTACATCTGGACAGTGGATCTCAAGAGCTGAAGGGGTAAAGGGACAAAACATTTGTAACCTGTTTGAATAACGTTTGCCATAATTATGAATTATTTTATTAAATAAAGTCTAAAATTTAAAAACTGAACTCTAATAACCTTTTTTCCCAATGGTTGAGCTCAGTGCACTTACCACCTTGATTTTCAAGTTCCATTCCCTCCAGAACTGGACAATTAAAATGTTTTCGTGCTTCCTGCTAAGAACCAGAAGAAAAATCGGAAGAAAATATGGTACAAAAGTACCATAAGATAATGGCAAACTTTTCATCACATGAATATAAGTTAACATTAAAAAATTACTTTCTTGAAAAAAGAATTTCTTTTTAAAATATGGTTTTTAATATAATTAAATATTTTGATGCAGTCACACTTCTCTTTGCTAAGAAATTACTTCTCTTAGTATCTTTTCCTCTCTCTGAAGATTTTCACTTTTGTACCACATAGCTAAAAAATGTTATAGACTAGTATGATTGACAGCTGTAACTCATGTTAGTAACAATTTTACAATTTTTTATTTTTTATTTTATTTTAAATTGACAATTTATAATTGCATATATTTATAGAGTAGAGTGATGTTCTGATTTATGAACAATATGAAGTAATTACATCAAGCTAATCCATCATTTCAAATACTTATTTTTTGTGAGAAGCACATTTTAAATTTACTTTCAGTTTAAAAATGTGCAATACACTATTATTGTATTTTTAGTAGAGACAGGGTTTCACTGTGTTAGCCAGGATGGTCTCGATCTCCTGACCTTGTGATCCGCCCGCCTTGGCCTTCCAAAGTGCTGGGATTAGAGGCGTGAGCCACTGCGCCCGGCCGCAATTCACTATTATTAACCACATTCACCATACTGTGCAATGACCTCAAAAAAAAGAACAAAAATGTATTACTTCTGTTTGTGATTTTGTGCCCTTTGGCCATCATCTTACTATTTTCCCCAACCCCCAGCCTCGAACCACTACCCTCTGCTTCTGAGTTCAATAGTTTTAGATGTCACATGTAAGTGAAAACATTAGGTATTTGTCTCCTTGTTCCTTTTTTAGCATCATGTTCTCCAGTTTCATCCATGTTGTCACAAATGACAAATTTTCCAGCCTTTTTAAGGCTGAATAGCATTCCACCGTGATAAGTGGTGCCAACTTCCTATGCAGTTCAATATCTGTGTATAGCTGTTGATTTCCCCATAACTTAGCTATTCATAGCCTACTGTTGACAAGAAGCCTTACCAATAACATAGTCAATTAACACATATATTGTATATTTTATGTATTATGTACTGTATTCTTACAATAAAGCTAGAGAAAATGTTACAAAAAATATCATAAGGAAAATATACTCACTATTCATTAAGTGGAAGTGGGTCACCATAAAGGTCTTCATCCTTGTCTTCACATTGAAGAGGAAGACTAGGAGTTGGTCTTGCTGGCTAAGGGGTGGCAGAAGTGGTAGAAGTCCACAAATAAGTGGACCTGTGCAGTTCCGACTTATGTTGTTCTACGGTCAATTGTATATAACCCGTTTTCTTTACCCATTCATCTGCTGATGGACTGTTAGGCTGATTCCGTAATGTGGCTATTGTAAATAGTGCTGCAATGAACACAGGAGTGCAAACATCTCTTTGACAAACTGGTTTCAAATCTTTTGTGTAAATATGGAACAAGGATTGTTGGATCATATGGTAATTCTATTTTTAGTTTTCAAAGAACTTCCATACAGTTTTCCACAATGGCTGTATTACTTTATACTACCACCAACATTGTACAAGGATTCTCTTTTCTCCACATCCTCACCAACACTTGTTACCTTTTGTTTCTTTTCTTTTTAACATACGGAATGCTTCATGAATTTGCATGTCATCCTTGCACTGGGGCCATGTTAATCTTCTCTGTATCATTCCAATTTTAGTATTTGTGCTGTCAAAGCGAGCACTCTTGTCTTTTTGATAATAGTCATCTGACAGACATAAAATGACATCTCATTGTGGTTTGAATTTGCATTTCCCTAAGGATTAGTAATGTTGAGTATTTTTTCGTGTACCTGTTCATAATTTGCATGTCTTCTTTTAAGAAATGTCTATTTAGGTCCCTGGCCCATTTTTTAAATGGGCTATTTGTACACAGTTGTTTGCATTCCTTATATATTTTGGATATTTTTTCTGATGTTTGGCTTGCAAATATTTTTTCCCAATTTGTAGACTGTCTCTTCACACTTTTGTTCCCTTTGCCGTGCAGCAGCTTTTTTGTTTCATGTAATCCCATTTGTCCGTTTTTATTTTTGTTGCCTGTGCTTTTAGGGTCCAATTCAAAAACTCATTGCCCAAACCAATGTCATGTAGTTGTCCCCTTATGTTTTCTTCTAGTAGTTTTACAGTTCCTTGTCTTATGTTTAAATATTTAATACATTTGGAGTTGGTTTTTGTATATGATGTGAGATAAAGGTCAAATTTCATTCTTCTGCTAAGGATACCCAGTTTTCCCAACACCATTTATTGAAGAGACTTTTTCCCATTGTATATTCTCAGCACCTTTATTAAAAATCAATTAACTATAATTGATTAATCATAATCAAGTTAATCATAATTTATTCTGTTCCATTCATCAATGTGCCTACTTTTATGACAGGAACATGAAATTTTAATTATTATTCCTTTGCAGTATAGTTTGAAATACTACAAAGCTAGAGGCATCACACTGCCTCAATAGCTTTGTTCTTTTTGCTCACGATTGCTTTGGCTATTCAGGTTTTTTGGTTTTTTTTTTTTTTTCCAATCTTTCATTTTTTTTTTTTTTATACTTTAAGTTCTAGGGTACATGTGCACAATGTGCAGGTTTGTTACATATGTATACATGTGCCGTGTTGGTGTGCTGCACCCATTAACTTGTCATTTACATTAGGTATATCTCCTAATGCTTTCCCTCCCCCCACCCCACAACAGGCCCTGGTGTGTGATGTTCCCCTTCCTGCGTCCAAGTGTTCTCATTGTTCAAGTCCCACCTATAAGTGAGAACATGCGGTGTTTGGTTTTTTTGTACTTGCAATAGTTTGCCGAGAATGGTAGTTTCCACCTCCATCCATGTCCCTACAAAGGACATGAACTCATCCTTTTTTATGGCTGCATAGTATTCCATAGTGTATATGTGCCACATTTTCTTAATCCAGTCTATCATTGATGGACATTTTGGTTGGTTCCAAGTGTTTGCTATTGTGAATAGTGCCGCAATAAACATATGTGTGCATGTGCCTTTATAGCAGCATGATTTATAATCCTTTGGGTATACACCCAGTAATGGGATGGCTGAGTCAAATGGTATTTCTAGTTCTAGATCCTTGAGGAATCGCCACACTGTCTTCCACAATGTGGAACATTTGGAAGTTGTTCAATCACAAACAATGGTTGAACTAGTTTACAGTCCCACCAACAGTGTAAAAGTGTTCCTATTTCTCCACATCCTCTCCAGCACCTGTTGTTTCCTGACTTTTTAATGATCACCATTCTAACTGATGTGAGATGGTATCTCATTGTGGTTTTGATTTGCATTTCTCTGATGGCCAGTGATGATGAGCATTTTTTCCTGTGGCTATTCAGGGTTTTGTGTGTGTGTGGTTCTATATGAATGAGGATTTTTTACCTACTTCTATGAGAAATGACACTGGAATTTTGACAGGGATCTCACTGAATCCGTAAACTGTTTTGGGTAGTATGGACATTTTAACAATATTAATTATTCTACTCCATGAACATAGGATTCCCTTTTATTTATTATGTCTTCTTCAGTTTCTTTCATGTAGTTTTCAGTGTATAGGTCTTTTACTTCCCTGGGTAAATTTATTCCTAAGAATTACTTTTCTTGGTAGCTATTGTAAATGAGATTGTTTTCTTGATTTCTTTTTCAGGTAGTTTTCTGTTAGTATATAGAAAATTACTGATTTTTGTGTGTTGATTTTGTATCCTGCAACTTTATTTATTAATCCTCACAATTTTTTTATGGAGTCTCTAGGATTTTCTATATATAAGACCATGTCATCAGCAAACAGCAACTATTTCACTTCTTCCTGTCCTATTTGAATGCCTTTTATTTCTATGGTCAGACTGCTCTAGCAAGGACTTCCAATATTATGTAGAAGTGGTAAGAGTGTTCTTACCACTATGTTCTTCAATACTCTGTAGAATGTAGAAGTGGTAAGAGATCTTGGAGGAAAGGCTTTCAATTTTTCACTAATAAGTATAAGGTTTGTTTTGGGTGTCTCTTATATGGTCTTTATTGTGCTGAGGTACTTTCTTTTTGCACCTAATTTGGTTAGTTTTTTTTTTTTTTTTTTGAGATGGAGTCTCACTCTGTTGCCCAGGCTGGAGTGCAGTGGCCCAATCTTGGCTCACTACAAGCTCCACCTCCCGGGTTCACGCCATACTCCTGCCTCAGCCTCGTGAGTGGCTGGGACTACAGGAGCCTGCCACAACGCCCGGCTAATTTTTTTGTATTTTTTAGTAGAGACAGGGTTTCTCCGTGCTAGCCAGGATGGTCTCGATCTCCTGAACTCATGATCCGCCCGCCTCGGCCTCCCAAAGTGCTGGGATTACAGGCGTGAGCCACCACGCCCGGCCTAATTTGGTTAGTTTTTAACCATAAAAAGATGTTGAATTTTGCTAAATGATTTTTCTGCATCTACTGAGACAATCATATGGTTTTTGTTTTTTATTCTGTCAGCGAGATGTATCACATTTATTGATTTGCTATGTTCAGCCATCCTTGCATCCTGTGGATAAATCTCACTTGATCATGATGGATGACCTATTTAACGTGTTGTAGAATTCAGCTTGTTAGTATTTTGTCAGAAAATTTTTGTACTTAATGCTCATCAAGGACATTAGCCTGTAATTTTCTTTTCTTGCAATAGCTTTGTCTACATTTGTTATTAGACTAATACCACCCTGGTAAAAAGAGTCTAGAAGTAATCCCTCCTCTTCAGTTTTTTGGAAAAGTTTGAGAGGGATTGGTATTCATTCTTTGTTAAACGTTTGGTGAAATTCAGGAGTGAAACTGGTTCTGGGCTTCTCTTTGATGGTCGACTTTTATTACTGATTCAATCTCATTACTCATTATTGGTCTGTTCAGATTTTTCATTTCTTCATGACTCAGTCTTCAGAGGTTGTATTTGTCTAGGAATTTGTTCATTTCTTGTGGGTTATCCAATTCGTTGGTATATAATTGTTTATAATAGTCTCTTATGATCCTTTGTGTTTCTGTCATATCAGTTGTAATGTCTCCTCTTTCATTTCTTATGTTATCTGCATCTCTCTAACTAAAGGTTTGTCAGTTTTATCTGTTCAAAAAATCTACTCTGGCCAGGTACGCTGGCTCACACCTGTAATCCCAGCACTTTAGGAGGCCGAGGCAGGCAGATCACTTGAAGTCACCAGTGCCTCCTCTGTTGTGATACCTCTTAGGATCAGTGGTATTATTTCTATAATGAGTGATCATTTTATTTGGTATCTGTATTAGTCAAGGTTCTCCAGAGAAACAGAACCAACAGGATGTGTGTATATATCTATATAAATGTGGAGAAAGATACGAGAGAGGAGGGGAGGAAGAGGTTTCCTTTTTTTTTGAGACAGGGTCTCACCCTGGCCAACATGATGAAACCCCTGTCTCTACTAAAAATACAAAAATTAGCTGGGCATGGTGGCGGGTGCCTGTAATTCCAGCTACTCAGGAGGCTGAAGCAGGAGAACCACTTGAACCCAGGAGGCGGAGGTTGCAGTGAGCCGAGCTTGTGCTATTGCACTGCAGCCGGGGTGACAAGAGGGAAATTCTGTCTCAAAAAAAAAAAAAAAAAAAGTTGCTCAGTATGATAAAACCTTGCTCATTGGGTTCTGTCTGTCCTTTAGTTAGAGGTTTCCAGAGATAGGAAGTAGCCCAAGAGCAATGCAAAACTTTAGAAGTCAGACAGCTGTACATAGGCAAGGAAAAGGGGGAGGGAGAATAGCCGTGGTGCCCAGATATTTGGCCCAGATATTCTGGATGTTTCTGTGAAGGTATTTTCTTGAATGAGAGTAACATTGAAATCAGTGGACTCTGAAGTAAAGATCACCTTCCATAATGTGGGTGGGCCTTGTCCAATCAGTAGAAGGCCTTAAGAGAACAAAGATTGATCTCCCCTGAACAAGAAGTCATTCTGCCTTTGGACTCAAACTGCAACTCTCCCCTGAGTCTCCAGCCTGCTGGACTACCCCATCAGATTTGAACTCGCCAAGCTTCCACAGTCATGTGAGCCAAATCCTTAAAAGTTATCTCTTGGACAGGTGTTGTGGCTCACACCTGTAATCCCAGCACTTTGGGAGGCTGAAGCAGGAGGACTGCTTGAGCCCAGGAGATCGAGACCAGCCTGGGCACATAGTGAGACCTCATCACTTCAAAAAATAAACAGAATTGGCTGGGCCTGGTGGTGGTGCGTGCCTGTAGTCTCAGCCACTCAGGAGGCTGAAGTGGGAGAATCACTTGGGCCCAGGAGGCAGAGGTTGCACCAAGCCGAAACCACACCAATACACTCCAGCCTGGGTGACAGAGTGAGACCCTGTCTCAAAAAAAAAAAAAAAAGAAAAAAGAAAAAAAAGAAAGAAATCTCTTCCTCCCCTCCTCTCTCATATTCTTTCTCTGTGTGTACATATATATAGAAATATACACACATCCTGTTGGTTCTGATTCTCTGGAGAACCCTAACTAATACAGACACCAAATAAAATGTTAAGTCATTACAGAAATAGTACCACTGATCCTAAGAGGCATCACAACAGAGGCGGCACTGGCCTAAAGCACTGGGTAGGATGGGAGCCGTGAGACTCATTGCCAAGTTTCCATTTCCTCAGATTTCTCATGGCCCATAGCTTTATTACACTGCCTTTATATTACTTTTCCTACTATAGACTCTAAAATATTACAAGTTCTTAAATAATAATGATGAGTAAAGAAAGGACCACAATAAAGGAAAAGAACAGATGGCTCATGAGACATGAAGTTCAGTAATACTTACAACAAGAAGCGTTACCAGGAGATAAACAATAATACACAGTGTTATTGTCTCGAACATCCCATAATCTCTCCACTGTTCGAACTACTTTATCACTCCATTGATATAATCCAAGACTGCAATTATAGAATTAAAACAATTATTGTTGCAAATTCACAACTATAAATGTAAAAATATTTATATTTACTGTAAAAAGTCTTTATAAATATCAATATGAAATTAAAATATTTGGGAACATCCTATGTACCAAGTCCAAACAAAGTACTTGATAAGTATTTTCCTTTCTACATTTTGTAAAATTTAATTTTTTGGTTGGGTGCAGTGGCTCACACCTGTAATCCCAGCACCTCAGGAGGCCAAGATGGAAAGACTGCTTGAGCCCAGGAGTTTGATACCAGCCTAGGTAACACAAGAAGTCCTTGTCTCTACAAAAAATTTGAAAACTAGCTGGGCATAGTTGTACAGCCCTGTGGTTCCAGCTACACAGGAGGCTGAGCCAGGAGGATCACCTGAGCCCAGAAGGTTGAGGCTGCAGTGAGCCATGTTGATGCCACTGCACTCCAGACTGGGTGACAGAGCAAGACCCTGTCTCAAAAACAACACAAAATAAAATAAAATAATATAACATAAAATTAGCCAGCATGGTAGTGTGTGCCTGTAGTCCCAGCTACTCATGAGGCTGAGGCAAGAAGATCACTTGAGCCCAGGAGTTCAAGGCTGCAGTGAGCTATGTTCAAACAGCCACACTCCAGCCTGGGTGACAGAATGAAATCCAGTCCAAAAAATTTTTTTTAAATTTATTTTTTATTTTTTGCTGAGACAAGGTCTGCTATGTTGCCAAAGCTGGTCTCAAATTGCTGGCCTCAAGCCATCTTTCTGCCTCTGTCTTTCAAAGCTCTGGGATTACAGGTGTGAGCCACTGTGCCTAGCCTTGGTAAGTATTTTCAAATTTCATCTTTTCAACAACCCTATGAGATTATCGTCACTATTTTGCAGATAAAGAGACAAAAGTTCAGGGAGATGAAGTAACTTGTTCAAGTTCACATAGCTAGCACTTGGCTAAGATGACAATGAATTACTTCCTTTCGACAAATGCATTGGATAAAATGAAAACAAGTTCACAAACATATCCAAGTATGTAAGGAAACATAACCAACAAAATGCCATATTAATTTAGTGGGAAAGTAGAATTTATCTAATTACTGTGAAACTGATTATCCATTTAGAAAAAAAAAAGGTTAAATCCCTATTTCACCACATACAAAAATTCCAGAAGGATATAAGCAAAAATGACAGAGTAAAAATCTCTCAAAATTCTCTCCTATCAAAGCAACGAGAAAGCTACCCAAATTGGTGAAATCAACTTTTTAAACTTTGGAAATTAATCAAAGATTTACAGCAATGCAGAAAGCATTTATTCATGAAAAATGGATGAATCTCAGCAGAAACAGGAACTTTGTGGTGCTTTTCCATGCCCTCTCTCCAGCTTTCAGGCAGCCTTGCAAACCGACAGCCCACAATCATGGTGAAAACCAGTAGCCTGACAGCCACTGTAGCAGGCAGAACAGGGTTAATTGGAAAACTGAATTTAAAAACATGATCTAACTATGCATCTACAAGAGACATAGTTTAGACTAAAGAACACAAATAGGTGGAAAGTAAAAGGATAAAAAGATATACTATGTAGGCCAGGTGCAGTGGCTCACACCTGTAATCCCAGCACTTTGGCAGGCAGAGGTGGGCAGATCACCTGAGGTCAGGAGAATGAGACCAGTCTGGCCAACATGGTGAAACCTCGTCTCTACTAAAAATACAAAAATTAGCCAGGCGTGGTGGCACATGCCTGTAATTCCAGCTACTTGGGAAGCTGAGGCAGGAGAATCACCTTAACCTGGGAAGTGGAGGTTGCAGTGAGCTGAGACTGCACCACTACACTCCAGCCTAGGCAACAGAGACTCCATCTCAAAAAATAATAATAAAATAAAAATAAAAATAAAAAATTAGACGAGCATAGTGGCACACTTTTGTAGTCCCAGCTACTCAGGAGGCTGAGGTAGGAGGATTACCTGAGCCTGGGAAGCTCAACACTGCAGTGAGCCATGATTATGCCACTGCACTGTAACCTGGGCAACAGAGTGAGATCCTGTCCCCCCCAAAAAAAGTGTAAATCCAGCATAAAGATATAACAATTATAAACATATATGCACCCTACAAAAGAATCCCAAAATACATAAATCAAAAAAGTTTCAAATGGATCGAACCTACAAATGTTGAGAAGCCGAATAATAATTTATTAGAATAAATGTAAGAGAATATTTTTATAATCTTTTGAGGCCTTAAGCAACAAAGAAAAAAACATCTGGGTACAGTGGCACATGACCATAGTCCCAGCTGCTTGAAAGACTGAGGCAGGAAGCTTGCCTGAGCCCAGGAGTTCAAGACCAGCCTGGGCAATATAGTGAGACTCCATCTCAAAAAAAAAAAAAAAAAAAAAAAAGATAGATGAATTTAGTGATAAAAAACTTAAGAATTTTTCTATACGTGGCAAAAGCATGATAAATGAAGTAAAACGATAAACAACTAGGAGAAATATTTATAATAAACATGAAAAGGGGTATTATCTCTAACTTATAAAGAACTCCTACAATGTGATTAGAAAGGGAAAATTAACCTAAAAGACAGGACAAGGAAAATAAATAGGCAGTGTACAAAGAGAAAATGCAAATGGCTAAAACCTCACTATAGTCCTGGAAATACAACAATGAGATACCATCTTTCATCCATCAAATTGGGCTTAAAAAATAAAAAAGATCTATAATATCCAATACTGATAAACTGGTAACGAGCATTCATACACGCCTGGTAGGAATCTGCTTTGCTATACCTTTTTTTAAAAAAAATGTAGTATGGCAGTTTCTATTAAAATTTATAGTGTAAACAGATTTTAAATCAGCAATCCCAGTTTGGGAAATCTATCCTGCATAAATAAAAGCACTACTACAAAAGTAACATATTTATCTATTACAGAAAATTATGATGGATATCAATTTTTATTTTTCCCTGTAACCTAAATCATTTTTTTCTGGCTTATTCCCTAGACTGCTTCTGCCATTTTCCCTATAAATCTCTCATTCTCAGCAAAAGAACAGAAAACATAAAGAGAGTTTTCTTCTCCAATATTGTTTTATAAAAATCTCAAACATACAAAACATTAAAAGAATTGTTTAATAAACACTCTTACAATCAGTAACCAGCTCACCTAGATTCTGTAATTAACATTTTGTTATATTTGTTATCACGTATCTGTTCATCTACCCATGCCTTAAAGAGGTTGTTTTTAATTCCTTTATCTGTTTCCATGGCAAGGCAATGTTTAAACATAAATAGTGAACAAAGCCAGCCGGAAAATAAAGTTTTTACCTTATTAATCACTCCAGTCTCTCTTTACCATTCATACTTCAGATTGTTTCCCCAAATACACAGCTTAAAGCCAAATCCAATTCTTTTATCTGTAACAACTGAATTTATTACTCTATTTAATCTTCACTTTTACTGAAAGGTTTCTCTTTTTTTTCTCTTGAGACAGTCTTGCTCTGTCACCCAGGCTAAACTGCAGGTGCGTGATCACAGCTCACTGCATTCTCAACCTCCTGAGCTCAACTGATCCTTTGACCTCAGCACCCTGAATAGCTGGGACTACAGGCACATGCAACCATGCTCGGCTAATTTTTCTATTTTTTTTTTTTTGTAGAAATAGGGTTTTGCCACATTGCTGGGCTGGTCTTGAACTCACGGGCTCAAGCCATCAGCCCACCTCAGCCTCTCAAAGTGCTAGGATTACAGGCACGAGCCATTGTGCCTGGCCAGAAGGTTTGATGCTTTTGAGGAATATGCTCAATGCAAGAAAGCACTGCAAATTATCAGCTTAAGAATGGTTCTTGTGTATGGGTATCTCTCTCCTCCTTACTTACATCGTTATGTAAATATTGCCTATCTCACAAGTTATGTTTTCATAAAATGGCCTCTTATACCCTATTTTGTTTTATTATCTACAATTTCGATGGGTTTGCCATAAAGACGTTATTATTTATGGCATCTAATATGCTATGATTCTCAGATTCTAGTCTTGGCACCCTTCTAATAGAGGAGAACAAGAACAGAAATGAAAAATACCTATAATTGGCCAGGCGCGGTGGCTCATGCCTGTAATCCCAGCACTTTGGGAGGCCGAGGCGGGCGGATCACGAGGTCAGAAGATCGAGACCATCCTGGCTAACACGGTGAAACCCTGTCTACTAAAAATACAAAAAATAAGCCAGGCATGGTGGTGGGCACCTGTGGTCCCAGCTACTCGGGAGGCTGAGGCAGGGGAATGGCGTGAACTTGGGAGGCGGAGCTTGCAGTGAGCCAAGATCACGCCACTGCACTCCATCCAGCCTGGGCAACAGAGCGAGACTCCGTCTCAAAAAAAAAAAAAAAAAAAAAAAAACCTAAAATTAAAAAGTGGGAGGCCATCTGCAAATCTTGAAGTGAGAGGATTTCCATCTTCATCATGGCAAAATGCAAACAGCCCAGCAGAGAAACCCTGTAAGAAAAAGTTCAAAATGTCTTAATGTGAAAAATATCAACGCTGATTACAGGCCTGTGATCAAAAGAGAGCACTGATACCAACTGGGACATAAAAGCACCACGCCAATGCTTCTATAGGAACTTCTCACACATTGGAATCGAACAATTAAGTGTTCCATATTTATAAATTTTAAATTCTAATTACTTGAGGTAAATATTTCTAATGAGAAATTTTCTAAAATACAGTATTTTCAATTTATATACAGTATAAATACTATAAACATCTATTACTGTGCTATAATTATATTTCCAGGCACCATTAAGAGTTTTAAAACCATGAAGCGCACCAGCTGTTGTGTTTTTAATTCCTGTCTTCTGTGTGTGTGTGTGTGTGTGTGTGTGTGTGTGTTTGTGTACTTTATGAAATGGTTCTGAAAGTCTGTCTGCGTTTTAAAGTTATTTTGGCCTTCTTATATATATAGCAGAATCCTCCCAAAGTGCTGGGATTACAGGGGAGAGCCACCACTCCCGGCCTTTCTTCCTTTTTTGAGAATGTTTCAGGTATCACTTCTGAACAAGAGCTGTAAAGATAAAAGCAGCACACTGAGATGCATGGCCAAGACTGACATTTGCTTACAATAGATAAACTTAATTCAAAATGTCTGTGAAGACAAGCATTTGTATGTGCTCAAATATACATGTAAAAAATTATTTAGCTGATCATTTCCTTTCCTTTAATTTGAGAAAGTGGTAAGTCATCACTACTTTCTCCCTATAAGGATTTTCACATGGTTATCAGAAGCGGCAACAGAAGGGCCGGGCACAGTGGCTCATGCCTGTAATCCTAGCACTTCGGGAGGCTGAGGTGGAGGATCACTTGAGCCCAGGAGTTCAAGAACAGTCTGGGCAACATGGCAAGACCCCATCTGTACTAAAAATACAAAAATTAGTGGGGTGTGGTGGTGCGTGCCTGTGGTCCCAGCTACTCTGGAGGCTGAGGTGGGAGGATTGCTTGAGCCCAAAAGGTTGCAGCAGCAGGGAGCTGGACTCAGTGGCTCACCCCTCTAATCTCAACACTTTGGGAGGATCACTTGAGTCCAGGAGTTTGAGACCAGCCTGGGCAACACAGCGAGACCATGTCTCTACCACACACACAAAAAAAAAAAAAAAAAAAAAAAAAAAAAAATTAGCCGAGTGTAGTGGCACATGTCTGCAGTCCCGGCTACTTGGGAGGCTCAGGTGGGATCACTGGAGCCCAGGAGGTTGAGGCTGCAGTAAGCCATGGTAATGCCTTAAAAAACAAACAAACAGCAGCAGCAGCGCAGGCTCTGCCATATCTACATACTTTCATAGGCCTTTCAGTATCATTAATTCTTAAATCTTAGAATTTTAAGGGAGGAAAAAGCTTTATAAATCTTCTTGTTTGATACAAGGTCTGCCTTTATCACCAGGCTGGAGTGCAGCAGCACAATCTTAGCTCATTGCAGCCTTGACTCAAGCCATGCTCCCACCTCAGCCTCCCAGCAGCTGGGACCACAGGTGCACACCACCATGCGCCACTAATTTGTGTATTTTTATTGAACATGAATCTAGGAATCCATATCATCTTAAAATGGAATATATGTATAAAAACGAGAACCTAATAAGCAGAAAATCAAGGCATGAAGGAAAGAAAGTAATGGTAGAATTTATCAGGGCATGAATAATCTGTTTCACTGTGGACAGCATCCCAGTAAACTCCTGAGGCTGGGTAGAGATCATATTTGGACACAGGTTAGCATATCCTGCTACTGGCCTGTCAAAATAGACATTGAATTTTTAAATTATATTCCAGAACAATATTTATTACAATATTTATTAACATATACTTCTCCATCAAACATTGCTCAAGGACAGAAAAATCTTTGCAAAATGTCAAATGTAATTTTGTATCATCACTATCTTTTACTTTCAGACATGTATCCTCTGCTTTCCTATGGCATGGCAAATCAACACGTTTCCACAAAAGGACACAGTTGATTATACTTTAATGTGAATTTTTGAAATATATCAATATAATACCCAAAAAAGAATGAACTGAAAGGCTCAAATTCTAACAGTATTTTACTTGCAAAATCCGTATTTGACTTCAGCATTTTAGTATATCTACGGTCACAGAGACAAGCAGGTGAGCCCCCATGTCCAGCCCTCTGCTGCTGCAACCTCCTGGGCTCAAGCGATCCTCCCACCTCAGCCTCCAGAGTAGTTATAAAATGGGGCAAAAAGTGAATGGTTCAGGTTACTGAAAGTTGCTGACCCTTCTTATCTCTGTTTGCTATTCCCTTTCTCCTGCTCCAACACTGCCTACATTCACATAAATATTTCTACCTTCCCATCATCTTCTTCCAAATTCTACACCCTTTAGAATCTACACACTTCTGCATCTCACTTCTACATCTCTCTCTCTGCCTAGAACCTGAGAGTCCAAGGGCAGACTAGGACTCAAGAGTCTAAAGTAATTAAGTTCCACCATGTGCCTACCTGTCTTTCAAAAGCTGTGGCAAATGAACAACGCTGAGGAACCCCAAGCTTGGTTTTCCTACCACTATCTTAACATTTCACATAGCAACACCACAAAGCTCATCGAAGTATAATTGCCTATTTACAAAGTACATTTATCTTATTTAAATTTTTTAAATACTGTATATTTTCTTCATAGGTAACACCAACAGACTTAGAAAATGTATGAGTACAATTCATTTATTTAAAAATTGCCACAGTGACCTCTAAAATATAAAATGGATTTCACATCCAGGCTTAAGACCTTTCATGGGGTTCCTACAGCACTTAGAATAAAACAATCCTATCTGCCTCTCCAAGCCCTTTCCTCCAACACAGTGTCCACTGAAGTGGCTCCTGACATTAACAGGTACACATGGCTTTTGCCTTGCATAAGCTCTTCCCACATCTCTTTATTTGGCTAAAACCTATCAATGACCAGCTTGCAGCTAAAATTCTACTGTTTCAAAGAGGTCTTCCTTGCTCAATTGATCTACAAGACGTTTCCTCCTTTATTCTCCTCTATGTTACAGCATTCTATTTATTTTCTACAAAGTATTTATCACACTTTGAAATCACATATTTATTTGCAGGAATATTTAGTACCTGTCTCCCTCTGTAATCCGTAAGTTCCATGAGGCAGTTACACATGTATGTTTTGTTTGCCTAGTCTGTTGGCCACTCAGATATTCATGAAATTAAGGCAATATAGCAATTCTGAAGGAAGGTTTCATTTCCTTGAAAAAGAATAACGTAAGGCCAGGCACAGTGGCTCATGCCTGTCATCCCAGCACTTTGGGAGGCCAACACAGGCAGATCAGCAGAGGTCAGGAGTTTGAGCCCAACATGGTGAAATCTTGTATATACTAAAAATACAAAAATTAGCCAGGTGTGGTAGTGCACACCTGTAATCCCAGCTATTGGGGAGGCTGAGGCAGGAGAACTGCTTGAACCTGGGTGGTCAAGGCTGCAGTGAACCAAGGTTGCGCCATTGCACTCCAGCCTGGGCGACAGAGTGAGACATCATCTCAAAAACAAACAAACAAACTGAAGATAACTCCTTTTTCTTCTAACAAATCTAGGAGAAGTTAGTGTAACTAATTCATGTGCATGAAAGGAACTTTGCTGAGATGTTAAACATCCATCAGTCAAAAGACTAGCTGAGACTGGGCATGGTGGCTCACGCCTGTAATGCTAGTATTCTGGGAGGCCGATGCAGGCAGATCACCTGAGGTCAGGAGTTTGAGACCAGCCTGGCCAATATAGTGAAACCCCTGTCTCTATCAAAAATACAAAACTTAGCTGGGTGTGGTGGCGCACGCCATTGTCCCAGCTACTTGGGAAGCTGAGGCAGAAGAATCACTTGAACCCGGGAGGCAGAGGTTGCAGTGAGCTGAGATCACACCACTGTACTCCAGCCTAGGCAACAGAGCAAGAGTCTGTCTCAAAAAAAAAAAAAAAAAAGACTAACTCTCTTCAAAGTCAGCTAATCTCAAATCTAATCTCACCTAGATTTGAGAATGTTACATACAATCTATTCTGAGACATATGACAATTTCTACTTCCTTTAATTGGTTTGTCCGGTGTGTGACAGGCAATCTTATGCATATATAACTTTTCATTTCAAGACTGGGCTGTTTCATGGGAAAATTTTTTGAAATCTTTGGTAAACAGAACTCTGAATTTCTAAGTGATATTTAGCTAAGTGAATCACATGTAACAAATGATATGACAATTAAGATGAATAGTCATTAACATCTTTCTTAAGTTTTAGCACAGAAGTGCTAAAACTAAAGTTCAAATGGTTTCCTTAGAGCAGTAGTCACCTGGAAAGAAAATTCTCTTGACAGTAGACTTATTTAATTTTTTTTGGACACAGGGTCTGACTGGTGTAACCACTTTGAAAAACAACGTGGCAGTTTCTCAAAGGCTAAATGTATAGTTATCACATAATGTAACAATTTCACTCCTGGGTGTAAATCCAAGAGAAATAAAAATATATGTTCACACTAAAACTTGCATGTGAGTGGTTATAGCAGCGTGACTTGTGACAGCCAATATGCAAGAAACAACACAAGTGTCCATTGACTGATGAATGGATAAACATAAACTATTGCTCAGCTATAAAAGGAAAGAAATCCTGATACAAACTATAACGTGAAAGAAATTTGAAAACACTGTGCTAAGAGAAAAAAAAGCAAACTACAAAAGATCATATATTGTACAATTTCTATTTCTATAAAAAATCCAGATTAGGCAAAACTACAATGACAGAAAATCAGTGGCTGCCTATAAAGACACAGGAACATGGGGGAAGTAGAAGGTAGTGACTAAGAGGTGAGGGTTTCTCACTCATAAGTGGGTACCTCATAAGTGGGTAATCACTTCTAAAAGTGACTGTGGTGATGGATGCACAGCTCTGTGAATATTCTAAAAACCACTGAATTGCATACTTTCTTTCTTTTCGTTATTTATTTAGAGACAGGGTCACCTTATGTCACCCATGCTGTGGTGCAGTGGTACCATCTGGTCTCACTGCAACCTATCTAGGCCTTCTGGGCTCAAGAGATCTTCCAGCCTCATGTCCCCACGTAGCTGGGACTACAGGCATAAGCCACCACACCCAGCTAATTTTTGTATTTTATCTAGACATGCTGTTTTGCCATGTTGCCCAGGCTGGTCTCAAACTTGTGAACTCAAGCGATCCACTTGCCTCAGCTTCCCAAAGTCTTAGAATTATAGGAATTAGCCACTGCGCCCGGCCTGAATCGCATAATTTGATAAATGAATTGTATGATATGTTAATCATATTTCAATAAAATTGTTATTAAAAAAAGAAAATAGGGAGTTGAACACAGGTGGCTCACGCCTGCATATATATAATCCCAGCACTTTGGGAAGCTGAGGCAGAAAGATCACTTGAGGCAGGGAGTTTGACACCATCCTGGGCAACATAGCAAGATCCCGTCTCTACAGTAAAACATAAAGAAGTTAGCTGGGTGTACTGGCAAACGTCTGTAGTCCCAGCTACTTGGGAGGTTGAGGTGGGAGGATTGTTTGAGCCCAGGGGTTTCAGGCTGCAGTGAGCCATGATCACGCCACCGCACTGCAGCCTGGGTGACAGAGCAAGACCCTGTCTCTAGGAAGAAAAAAAAAAAAAAGAAATGCAAGTATTTATCACCTTCTGAGAGTAACTGAGTTTCAGGAGGAACAGAGAAGAACAAAAGACCATCAAGTGGTTGAGGGTGGGTTGCTGGTTAGGTTCAGTCGCTAGCTGAGTAGTATCTGAAAAATTCATTAGTAAAATTATGGCTCTAGGGGTGAGTCATGCAGTCGAATGATGAATACTAAATCCAGTACAAACGCCCATGGTCTTTCTTTACATGAATTCCAGTGAAAAATTCCTAAGTGCCTAAATAGCAAGTGGTCTGAAATGATACCAGCAGTTTATTAAAGACAAAAAAAAAAAAAAGTCATCTTCAAGAACCACGAGAGAGTTCTATGCTGAAGAAGCTCTAATTTTGCACTTGCTCAACTATTGACGTGATCTGGCCAATACGACACTAATCTTAAAGTGTGCAAACAACTCAATTTCATCTCCTCATTAATAAAAACTGATTAGTCTAATATCAATTCTGGTTTTTAAAAAGCTAATTAGAAAAAGAATTAATTAATTATGGAACCAATAAGATGTTCAAATAGTTACAAGCTATTCAAAGGAGAATTCAAAAAATCACACATATGAGCTCATCAAGTGTGATGAAATAAATTTTGTTAATATATTTAAAAATAAACTGATTGGACAAGCAACAACACCTGGGCACGGGTCTCCTCATCTCCAGCAACACAAACCCAATCGCACAGCTATGGGGTTGCAAAGGCTGCATAGTCAAAAAGGGACTGGTATGACTTGAGATTTCTTTACTTGTATTTGTATTTTGAGATAGGGACTCACTCTGTCACTCTGGCTGGAATGCGGTGGTGCTCTCATAGCTAACTGCTGCCTTGACCTCCTAGGCTCAGGGGATCCCTCCTGCCTCAGCCTCCCCATAGCTAGGACTACTGGTGAGCACCACAACACCCAGCTTTTTTTTTTTTTTTTTTTTTAATTGTAGAGAGAAGCCTTGCTATGTTGCCCAAGCTGGCCTCAAAATCACACCCTCAAGAGATCTGCTCACCTCGACAACCTGATAAATTGGTTCTACAGACACAAATCACCATGCCTGGATAATTATATTTTTATTATTATTATTTTTGTAGAGAGGAGGTCTTGCTATGTTGCCCAGGGTGGTCTCAAATTCCTGGACTCAAACAATTCTCCCATCTCTGCCTCCCAAAGTGCTAGCACTACAGGCATATGCCACTGCACCTGGCCTGACTTGAGATTTCTTTAATCTAGCATCCCATACTTCATATAATTGGGAAAGGCAGTAGTGTTTTTTTTTAATTACTTAGTATTTCAACAAGAATCAACCATCTCTCACCATTGCCAGGACCCTCGTCAGAAGCACTATCATCTCCTACCTGGATGCTGCCACAGCTTGGCCTCCCTGCTTCTACCCAAATCTTCTCACAGTCTTTCTCAACTCAGCCGCCATGGGATGCTTTTAAATCAGGAGACAGATCATGTCGCCTCTCTGCTCAGAACATTCTTGCAGTTCCCATCTCAGTCAGAGTAAAAGCCAAAGCCCCAGCAATAGCCTCCCAGGGCTTATACAATCTGTACTGATCTGAGCCCAACAACTCCCTGGCATCCTACCCTACTTCTCTCCCTCTCTGTGCTCCACGGGCCTCTTTCCTGAGCTTCAGACACACCATGGAGTTCCCTCCTAGCATCTTTATTCTATTGTTTCTGCCTACAGTGCTCTTCCCTCAGCACCTTGGCCAGCTCCTTCCCCTCCTTCAAGTCTTTGCTCAATTTTCACTTAGGAGGCCAATCCTGACCACTCTATTTAATATTGCCATCTGTCCCCATTCCTGCCATGCTCACTCATTTCTTTCTTTTTTTTTTTTTTAGACAAAATCTCACTGTGTCACTCAGGCTGGGGTGCCATGGCATGATCACAACACACTGAGACCTCAAACTCCTAGGTCAAGCAATCGTCTTGCCTCAGTTCCTCTAGTAGCTAAGACTACAGGTGCATGCCACCACACCTGCTATTTTTTTTCTTTTTGTATAGACAGGGTATCACTATGTTGTCCAGGCTTGTCTTGAACTCCTGAGCCAAAGCCATCCTCCTGCCTCGGCCTCCTAAATAGCTGGAATTATGGGTGTGGGCCACCACCCGTGGCTTCATGTCCATTTCTTCTCGGTGCTGTTACAAACTAGCCTACATTGAGTGGCTTAATACACCAGGAATCTACTACCTAATAGGTCTGGGGGCCAGAAGTCCAAAATAGGTCCATTAAGGCTAAAGTCAAGGTGTCAGCAGGACTGCATTCCTTCTGGAGGCTCCAGAGAGGATACATTCCCTTGCTTGTTTCAGCTTCTATTGCCACCCCCATTCCTTGGCTCATGGCCCCTAACTGCATCTTCAAAGCCAAAAGCAAAGCATATTCGAATTTCCCTCTCTGACCTCTGCTTCTATCATCGCATCTCCTCCAATTCTGACTCTCTTACCTCCCTCTTTCTCTTATAAAGACCCTTGTGATTGCTGGACACAGTGGCTGTGGCTCACACCCGTAATCACAACAGTTTAGGAGGTCAAAGTGGGAAAAACGCTTGAGGTCAGGAGTTCGAGACCAGCCTGGGAAACATAGTGATAACCCCCAAATCAACAACAACAACAACAACAAAAAGAAATAAGAAAAAATTAGCTGGGCATGGCGGTATGCATCTGTGGTTTCAGCTACTTGAGAGGCTGAAGTGAAAGGATTGCTTTAGCCCAGGAGTTTGAGACCAGCTTTGACAACATAACAAGATCCCATCTCTACAAAAAAAAAAAAAAAAAAAAAAAATAGAAAAATTAGCCAGGCGTGGATGGTGTGCACCTGTACTCCCAGATACTTTGAAGGCTGAGGTGGGAGAATTGCTTGAGCCCAGGTGGTTGAGGCTGCAGTTAGCTATAACTGCATCATTTGCACTCTAGTTTGGGTAAAAGAGAGAGACTCTGTGTCTGAAAGAAAAAGAAAAGAAAAACACATATGGTTTCTGCCCCTGGTCCTGACACAGAGCTTCTAAAGTTCTTATAAAGTCCTCGTTGATAAAGGTGATAGGGGCATCTTTTGTTTCAATATTTGGTGTTAGTCCCAGGTTTCTAACACAAGAGCCTCTAAGACCTTTGGGATCTCCACCATAGTACGAATGCATTTGGTGATGTTACTGGATGACTGGGTGACTGAAAGCTCCTAGACAGCTTCAGGAGGAGGGCTGGTTGCCAGAGGCTTGGAACTGTGAGTCTCACCCACTGAGCTCCAGAAGAAATGGTGGCCGAAGATTGACTTAATCACCAATGGTCAATGATTTCAACAATCATGCCTGCATAACGAAGCCTTCATCAACACCCTCAACAACAGGGTTTGGAGAATGCCTGGGTTGTTGAACACAAGGGGCATATGAGGAGGGTAACATGCACAACAGAGAGCATGGAAGTTCTGTGCCCTTCCCCCCACATACCTTGCTCTGTGCATTTTTTTTTTTTTTTTTTTTTTTTTTTTTTTTGAGACAGGGTCTGGCTCTGTCTCCCAGGCTAGAGTGCTGTGGCACAATCGTGGCTCACTGCCACCTATGCCTCCCTAGCTCAAGCCATCCTCTCAGCCTTCTGAGTAGCTAGAACTACACGCACATGTCACTGCACCTGGCTAACGTTTAGAAAAATTTTTTTGCAGAGATGGGATTTCACCACGTTACCCAGGCTGGTCTTAATCTCCTGAGCTTAAGTGATGCTCCCGCCTCAGTCTCCCAAACTGCTGAGATTACAGGCATGAGCCACTGTGCCCAACATGTACATCTCTTTCACTGGCTGTTTCTAACATATATCCTTTACAGTGAACCAGTAATAGAACGTAAATTGGTGAGACACAGTGGCTCATGCCCATAATCCTAGCACTTTGGGAGGTTGAGGTGGGAGAATTATGTGAGCCCAGAAATTTGAGACCAGCCTGGGCAACATAACAAGACCCCATCTCTACAAAAAATAAAAGAACATAGCCAGATGTGGTGGAGCAGGCCTGTAGTCTCAGCTATTTGGGAGGGTGAGGCGGGAGGATCACTTAAGCCCAGGAGCTCGAGGCTACAGTGAGCTTTGATCACACCACTGCATTGCAGCCTGGCAACAGAGTGAGACCCTGTATCTGAGAATAAAAGAAAATAACTTGTTTTTTGAGTTCCGCAAGCTGTCCTAGCAAATGATTCCACCCACGAAGGGGGTTATGAGACCCTGTTTCCTAACTGGTTTGTCAAAAGTACATGTTAACAACCCAGGACTTGCAATTGGCATGTGGAGTGAGGGTAGACTCCTGGGACTGAGCCCCCATCCTGCGGGGTCTGCACTAACTCCGGGGAGTGTCAGGATGGAATTGTGGGATACCCAGTTGGTATCCAGATTGTCCGAAAATCGGTGTAGAAACTCCACATGCACATTTGGTTAGAGGTGTTTGACCATAACTACTATTCAAGAAAAAGATCTACTCATTAGAAATAAAAATCATAAAATTATACATTCTACAAAAACAAATCAACCTTATCTACCTCCCAATCCTACCAAACTACAGAATGTTAGAACAGAAGGTCTGACCATGGACTCAAGAGCTGACGTTAGGAATGTCAGCACCATCCTGCTCTCCAAGGACTCCTCATCTTCAACAGACTCCTCATCTTCAAAGGAAAGGGTGGAAACTGCAACTTGTGCCATGATCCCTGCGTGAGAAAAGTAGTAAGAAAGTGAGTGATAGAAATCCAGTGTCCTAAATTCACATCCAGAACTGTGAGAGTTTTTCACTAGCTGGCTAATTCACAGGTTTCTTGCATCAGAGGAAAAATACGACTCAGAAACTAGGAATTCCATTTGCCCAAAACTCTCATCAGATTAGAGAATCCATCCGCTAACTTTCTTATCTAGTATTATTTCCATGAGTTAGATCAATATCATTCCCAAAATAAATGCACATGGCACCCAGAATCTGTGCATTTCTCCCAAGTAAAAGAGGAGGCGGCCAGGAACGGTGGCTCATGCCTATAATCCCAGCACTTCAGAAGGCCAAAGTGGGCGGATCACCTGAGGTCAGGAGTTCAAGACCAGCCTGGCCAACATGGCGATACCCCATCTCTACTAAAAATAAAAAATTAGCCAGGTGTGGTGGCACATGCCTGTAGCCCCAGCTACTTGGGAGGCTGAGGCAGGAGAATCGCTTGAACCCGGGGGGGCTGAGGTTGCAGTGAGCTGAGATCGCACCACTACACTCCAGCCTGGGCAACAGAGTGAGACTCGGTCTCAAAAAAACAAAAACAAAAAAGAGGAGACAAGGCGCTGTACAACCCAGTGCCCAGTGATGGGCTACCACAAGTCAACACAGGAAAGAGGTGCCAAGCTCCCTTTCTCCCCTGCACAACCCGACACAAAAAAGAGTTGGTGCAGTGGAATGAGACTGGATGGAGAGAAGTTCTTCTTTTTTGTTTTTTTGAGACCAAATCTCACTCTGTCACACAGGCTGGGGTGCAGTGTCTTTGTCTTGGCTCACTGCGACCTCTGCCTCCCGGGTTCAACCAGTTCCCTGCCTCAGGCTTCCAAGTAGCTGGGATTAGAGGTGCCTGCCACTGCACCCGGCTAATTTTTTTTTATTATTATTTTTAGTAGAGACTGGGTTTCACTATGTTGGACAGGCTGGTCTTGAACTCCTGACCTTGTGATCCACCTGCCTCGGCCTCCCAAAATGCTGTGATTACAAGCATGAGCCGCCGCGCCCAGCCAGGAAGTTCCTCTTCTTACTGAGAAAATAGATCACAGGGCATCAAGTAACATGTAAAAGTCTTTATAATAAGGAATATGATTTTTGGAAAAACTTTCCTAATATTTTGGTATTAGCAAAAACCCTCAGATTAATTTCAAACAGTATAAAAATACAGTATATAAACAAAATATTAACTGTCAGTAATGCTATAGAGAAATTGGAGGCTTTTTGGAATGTAAAATGGTACAGCCCACTGTGGGAAATGGTTTGGCAGCTCCTTAAAAATACTAAGCATAGAATTATTTGATCCACCAACACCCTTTAAGCGTATATACCCAAAAGAACTGAGAGCAGGGACTCAAACAGGTATTTGTACACCCGTTTAACAGCAGCATTATTCACAGTGGCCAACAGGTAGAACCAACCCTAATGCCCATCAGGGTTGATAAAGAATGGATGAATGGATGATGGATGAATGGTGAATGAAGAAAATGTAATATATACATATACAGAGTATTATTCAGCCATACAAAGAAAAATATTTGGCCAGGTTCAATGGCTTACACCTGTAATCCCAGCACTTTTCGAGGCTAAGGCGGGCAGGTCGCTGGAGCCCAGAATTTTGAGACCAGGCTGGATAACATGGCACATTTGGTTAGAAGTGTTTGATCATAACTACTATTCAAGAAAAAGATATACTCATTAGAAATAAAAATCATAAAATTATATGTTCTACAAAAACAAATCAATTTTATCTACCGCCCAGTCCTACCCGACCATAGAATGTTAGAACAGAAGGTCTCACCGTGGACTCAAGAGCTGACATGAAGAATGTCACCACCATCCTGCTCTCCAAGGACTCCTCATCTTCAATGGACTCCTCATCTTCAACGGACTCCTCATCTACAACGGGCAGGGTGGAAACTGCAACTTGTGCCATGATCCCTGCGCAAGAAAAGTAGTAAGAAATTGAGTGGTAGAAATCCAGTGTCCTAAACTCACATCCAGAGCTGTGAGAGTTTTTCACAGGCTGGCTAATTCAGAGTTTTCTTGCATCAGAGGAAAAGTAAGACTCGGAAACTTGGTATTCGATTTGCCCAAAACTCTCATTAGATAGAGAATCCATCCGCTAACTTTCTATCTAGTATTATTTCCATAAAGTTAGATCAATATCACTCCCAAAATAAATCCACGTGGCAACCAGAATCAGTGCATTTCTCCCAAGTACAAGAGGAGGTGGCCGAGCGTGGTGGTTCACGCCTGTAATCCCAGCACTTTTGGAGGCCGAGGAGGGTGCATCAGGAGGTCAGGAGATGGAGCCCATCCAGGCCAATATGGTGAAACCCCGGTGTCTACTAAAAATACAAAAAATAGCTGGGTGTGGTGGCGTGTGTCCCAGCTACTTGGGAGGCTGAGGTAGGAGAATTGCTTGAACCAGGGAGTCGGAGGTTGCACTGAGCCAAGATCGTGCCACTGCACTCCAGCCTGGTGACAGAGCAAAACTCCATCTCAAAAAAAAAAAAAAAAACCCAACAAATACAATAAAATATAAAATGTCTTTTTCTCTTAACCTTCTGCTGGAAAAACAAAACAAAACAAAACAAAAAAAACCTTCTGCTGGTACTTCAATTTCTGCTGGTACTGTTCCGTCATTGCCCTCTAAAGAATGATGGCTTCCTAAAAATAAAATAACCTATAATAAACCAATAAAAACTCACATTGAAAGAGAATCTAGGTAACGATGCAAACACTTTTAAGACATAGTAGGCCGGGCGTGGTGGCTCTTGCCTGTAAACCCAGCAGTTTGGGAGGCTGAGATGGGCCTATCACCAAGGTCAAGAGTTTGAGACTAGCCCGTGCCAACATGGTGAAACCTCATCTCTACTAAAATACAAAAAATTAGCCAGGCGTGGTGGCGGGCACCTGTAATCCCAGCAATTTGGGAGGCTGAAGTAGGAGAATCACTTGAACTTGAATCTATAAAGCAATAGATTAGTTAGGGAGTCACAAGGTAAACAGGCTCATCCTACTGGAGCAGAAGTTTTATTCACAAATACAAAAGAAATCTAAAATATCAGAGTGCCAGTCAGGATTAAGACCACGAGCTGCCCCCAGTATACATCCTCTGTCCTTAAAGATCTGAGCTACTAACAAGGAAAAGATTGAAAAACAGTGTCTTCAAGTATAAATAAAAATATATTACATTTCAGTAAGAATACATTGTTTAGGGGGAAGGGAAGCAGATGCTCATCTATTTTGTCCTATCTATTGATAACTAAATTCAGAAGCTGTACTAAAAGTAAAAGTTATAAATACATCTTCTCTTAATTTATTTTTTTTTGAGATGGAGTCTCGCTCTGTTGCCCAGTCTGGAGTGCAGTGGTGCAATCTCGGCTCACTGCAAGCTCCTCCTTCCAGGTTCACGCCATTCTCCTGCCTCAGCTTCCCGAGTAGCTGGGACTACAGGCGCCCGCCACCACGCCCAGCTAATTTTTTGTATTTTTAGTAGAGATGGGATTTCACCGTGGTCTCAATCTCCTGACTTCATGATCCACCCACCTCAGCCTCCCAAAGTGCTGGGATTACAGGCGTGAGCCACCGTGCCCGGCCCCATCTTCTCTTAATTTTTAAAGAGCAATGATTACAGTCAGAAAAACTCATTTGATGGCTAGTATTCTTGAATTAAAAGTACGATGCCAAAGTGAAATCTTTTTGGTTTTCAACATCGAGCTTTTTCATGTCACAATTATCTTGGGATTCTTTTCCACTTACTGCATATTGTGAAAACTCACCTGAACTCAAAACTCTAGGTAAATCTAAAAACCTTTATCTAGGAATCCATCTTTAATTCATTTGTAAAACATACTTTCTCTGCACACATTTCCTTTCTCTTCTTTTAACCTTAATATTTGGATTTAGGGAGCATTAAGTTCTTTGACTGTAAAGTGAAGAAAAAGATACGAGATCAAAGGAATGGGAGATAATAAAGAAGAGGCCACTAGTTAAAATGTAAAATTTCAATAAAGAGTAAGTTAAGACAGTTGTTCATGTTATTACCAAGGGTTTCAAACACCAAGGGTTTCATCCAGGTCCTGCTGCTCATTGGAGAAAAAGCCAATCACTGAGGCGACAAGCACTGCCAAGGAAGAAAGCTTTAACCTGGTGCTGCAGCCCAGGAGCTGGGAACTCAGTCTCAAATCCATGGCTTGACTAATAGGGGCAGGAAAGAAATGTAACAATGTATAAGAGAACAGAAATTAGGGAGGAGCAGGAGGCATATGGTGCTGTGATTTGTTATGTTTGTTATTTGATACTTCCTGAAGGTCTTTTTTTAAGGAGAGAACTCAGAACAGATACAAGTTTCAACCTTTAACAGCAGGGTCAATTTTTATGTTGATCCAAAAAAAAACCCATCCATGGGACAGTTGGGCCAGTGTCAATGTAAACAATGATTCTATAGGTCCTTTTTCTTCTTTTAAAATCTGAAATAAACAATTAAATTTATATTATATGCTAAACCTAAAGAAAATACATCTTATGTACTTGAGGCCAGAAGAGATCGAAGTAAAACCTATTACTAATAGCCTATGAGTGTCAAGTTTGGGAACACTGTAAAAATTTTAAAAAAAAAGGTAACAAATGCATAAAACTTACAGATTAACAAGTGCTATTTCAGAATTCTAAATACTAAGTATCAACACGACCTTATCGATATTTGCATTACTAACCATACAATAAGAACCTGACTTCTGACTGTTCTGAGATAAGGGATAAATGTGCACTTTACCTTAAACAGGAAAGTGTGCCATGTACCCACTTCAAGATTCACAACAGGGAAAACTGATTTGAAAAATTGTTGTTTATGAAGTTCATTTATATGTTAAAAAAAAAGGCCAATGCAGTTTTCCTTTTCCACATATAAAAGGAATACTATAGTTATAAATACTAAAATACAGTCTGTGGAATACAAGGAACCATTAAATAGAAACAGTATGTAGCAAAATTGAAGTGAAAAGATTATACGTTGCAAAGACTTCAGTAGAAGGAGTTTTTCATCAACGTCATCGGTTTCAGAAGGGCCTGTTTGGGATACAAAGATAATACTTCAACAGTAACCACCCCAGGCCAGACTCAGTAACTTATGCCTGTAATCCCAGTAATTTGGGAGGCCAAGGCAAGCTGACCACCTGAGGTCTGGAGTTTGAGACAAACCTGGCCAACAGGGTGATACCCCGTCTCTACCAAAAAATACAAAAATTAGCCAGGTGTAGTGGCATGCACCTGTATAGTCCCAGCTATATGGGAGGCTGAGGCAAAAGAATCCCTTGAACCTGAAAGGCAGAGGTTGCAGTAAGCCAAGATTGCATCACTGCACTCCAGCCTGGGTGACAGAGCGAGAATCCGTAAAAAAAAAAAAATTCGTGTTCACATAGAGTTAGGCTCCACAGCTCACTCTCTTAACCATCCTGTAATTCTGCCCATTCTATGCCTGGTCAATGATGTATGGTAGCTCATGGTCCCCTCAGAGCTTAGAACCTAGGCTTCATTTCCTGCTCTGGAGCTATATAACAATTTTCCTCTGAATTTGTTGGATTCTAACCCTACATACTTCAAATTTTGTTAACATTACTGAATCTTAAAGGGGGCTGCGATGGCTTTAGTCTCTAGAAATATTAAACAACTTACAAACAAAGGACTATATGAGAGTAAACAGAATTCAAATTTCTATGTGCTTTAAAACATTGAGGCAATGTACTGAGAAACACACCTAAGAAATTGCAACCAATCTACTCTGGACAATAATTTAGACACCATCTCTTCAAAATAAGCTATCTGGTGATACTTACGCATATTCTTCCATATATCAACAGTATTTTACATGTCATACCTTACAAATAATTTTAAAAGTGTCAAAATTATAGGCCTTACCCATTTATGTGGGCTTGAAAAAATGATACAATATAGATTTGTTTCTTTAAAGTAGTCAATCAAATGCATAAACTTCTAGAACAATCACTAAAAAAAGAGTTCATACTAAAGGTTGTAATACTAGGAATAAAAGAAAGCTCAATACTGCAGGTTCTTAAAAGCAAAACTTAATAAAGCCTTGTTTTTGGTTGTGGATCCTGGCCTTAAAACATTATACACATGATCTTCCCCTTCCTTTTCTTGTTGCAAAGATGTGGTGACAAACTAGGTTTGCTCATGTAGATAATACTGTTGAAAATAGTGGCAGAGAAATAACATAAAGGGAAATACAGCTCACTTAATGATCTCATGAATTGGAACTTACTCTTCCCCATGCCTCTTGCCTATTTCTGGACTAATATGTGAGAGAGATGAAATGGCTGTTTGCTACCACTATTTCACTTGATGCTTCATTTTTTTAATTTCTCGAGTAACTACTTACAACGCATTAACAGTATCAGGAAAGCATAGCTATTCAAGTAACTAAATAATTATGCAAATCTCTAAAACATAGTAATGGACCGATTATTTTTAAAATACAACACACTGACAAGTAGTTTATTTTCAACTCCGTTTTGGTTTGTTAATGCCATTGCTTGGGGAAAAGCAAAAGGAGGAGGAGGAAAGACAAGAATAGAAACAAGAAATAGAAGCAGTGGCATTAGCGAATAAAGAGGAACAAGATGATAATGAGAAAAAGAAAAAAACAGACTGGAAGAAAGGAAAAAGAACAGGTGAGGGAATCGGAAGGCCTATTACGATACCTTGATTCCCCTCCTTGATTCAAGAAATTTGAAAAAGTTTAAGACTTTTTCACAACAACAACAACAAAACAAGCAAAAAGATACACAAATAGTCACCCCCTAAATTTTGTTAAAGAGTGAGATAATGCTACACTCACACCTGGCTCACGTGTCAGCAGGAGGAAGGACCCTTCAGATTCTGCAGAAAAAGAAGAAGGACTCCTCCTTACCCTGGCTGCTCCTCCACCGCTGCCACTGAGGCCCACGGTACAGCACCCACAGGTTCCTACTGATGCCAGGCCAGGCCAGGCAGGCTGCCACAGCTCTCCCACTCCCACTTCCCTGACCCCAGATTTGCTGCTGCTGCTACCACTAGCGCTGATGCCAATACAACCACCGCTGCTGTCACCCTCAATGCACTGGTCCACCCTACAAGGCTCCTACCCCCTGGCCACTGCTGCACCCCTGGCCATAACCACCGCCCTCCTACCGCTCCAGCACACTGCAGTCTCGGCGGTGGCCACCCACTGCAGCAGGTGGTGGCAGCGAGATGAGCCACACAGTGTGGCAGGCCCCAGCCTCCAACAGGGGGCTCCTCCGGGCACAGAGCAGCTCGGCGGGCAAAGCCAGAAAAGCCTAAAACAGGATGGAGCGACTGGTAGTGTTAGAACCTCACCTTGTCAGGCTGGCCACTGGGTGGGAGGGGCTGGTTTCAGTGAAGGCACTCACACCCTCCAAAGTCCAGCTTCTCCTCTGGCCCAACGGGCCAGGAACTGGGGCCTGGGGTGGGGACTGGAGACTCCACAGTGGCTGGCTATCCATTCCACAGGAACTGCTGGGCACCGGGGCTGCACTCCTCAGGGAGCAGGAATAGCAGAAACTCAGACCCAGACACCTCCCCCCACCACCCAGGTGCCGGTTTCTGTTCCTGACGCCTCCACCCACAGGGCCTCCACCCGTGGTACCTGCTACTCCATGCCTGGGGGTCCCAGGTTGTCTGTCCGCCACACAGAGTGAGAGGACGCAGATCCAGGAACCACAGTGGGTGTGGGGGTCCTGCAGTGATCAGGAGTCTGGAGTCCAGCTCCTTCCTTGGAGACCACCACTGTGGCAGCCACCTCTGCTATCTACAGTGCAGCCTGAAAGCGCCCCTAACCTGACGCCGGCAGTGTATCCCCCAGTAGTGCCCCAAACACACCCCCCACTTGCCAGCAGTGTATCCCCCATAGCGCCCGTAACCCCTCCCCACCTTGGACACTGCAGCACCCTGTAGCGCCCCCAACCTGCCCCCTGTGGCGGAAGTGATGCCCAGGATAGTGCCCCAACCCGCCCCCCACTGTGGGCAGCGCAGCCCTGGATAGGGCCCCAACCCGCTCCCCGCTGCAGGCAGTGACACCCAAATAGCACCCCCAACCCGCTCCCCATCGCCAGGCAGTGCAGCCGCTGATATGCACTTACCCTGTTGTCGCCTTTCTACCACTCCGGCTGGTATGACGCAGTCTCCGTGGCTGCCACCAACCTCAGCGAGGTGAGCCATAGTGTCGCAGGCTCCAGCCTCCAGCCTGTGGCAGGCGGGCTCCCTTTTCTCTTCCTGTAGCAGGGCATGGAGCATGTCTGGCTGCCTTGCTGCCATCTTACCACTTTGGCCACACTTCCGTCTCCCTCGTGGCCACCCATGTTCTGATTGGATGAGAGAAAACCTCTAAGCCTATTCTGATTGGACTTTATTATCATGTTGTGATTGGTTATCCTAAGACTTCTCATCCCATCAGAACATGTAGTCCAGGAACCTCGGTATATAAAGCATGCTAAGGCGGAGTTAGGCCATTCCAGGCTCTTCAGAGTTTGTCTGTTCTGCTTGGTCAGTGCCTGGCTTGGAAGCGTGAGCTGCGGTATGCTGGAGGCTGGAGCTTGTGGCTCTGTGGCTCGCCTTGCTGTGGTGGGTGGAGGCTGGAGCTTGTGGCTCTGTGGTTCACCTCGCTGTGGTGGGTAGCAGTGATGGAGACTGCAGGGCTGCCTGAGTGGTAGGAGGGCTGCCTGCAGCTGGAGCTTCTCTGTGCACTGCTACAGGAGGAGAAGAGGGAGTCCTTGCCACAGGCTAGAGGCTGGAGCGGCAGAAAAGCAGCGGAGTAGGTGTGTAACCATGGCTGCTCTGCCCACGGCAGGGGGTGGGTTGGGGCGCTATCAGCTGCAGGCTGGACGAGGGTGGGTTTAGTGAGCCATGGTGTTGGGGGGGGCTACAATGCCTGTAGCAGGAGGCGGGTTGGGGGGCTATCGGGTGCTGCACTGCCCGCAGCTGGGGGCGGGTTGGGGGCATTATAGGGGGCTGCACTGATTGCTCTTGCTAGGATTTCCAGTATTATGTTAAATAACAGTGGTGATAGTGGGCATCCTTATCATGTTCCAGATGTTACAGGAAAGGCTTTCTGTTTTTCCCCATTCCCTATGATTATAGTTGTGGGTCTCATATATGGCTTTTATTATGTTGAGGTATGTTTGTTCTGTACCCAATGTTTTGAGAATGTATGGCATGAAGGGATGTTGAATGTTATCAAATACTTTTTCAGCTTCAGTTGAAGTGATCATATGGTTTTGTCCTTTATTCAGTTGACATGATGTATCACACCGATTGTATGTTGAACTATTCTTGCATCCCAGGGATAAAGCCCTCTTGATCATGATGAATTATCTTTTCAGTGTATTGTCTAATTTAATTTGCTTTGCTGGTATTTGGTTGAGGATTTTTGCATCAATATTAATTAGAGATACTGGTCTATAGTTTACTTTTTTGATGTCTTTGTCTGATTTTGGTGTCAGGGTAATAATGGCCTCATAGAATAAGTTTGGAAGTATTCCCTCTGTTTTTCAAAATAGCTTGAGTAGGATTGGTACTAGTTCTTTAAATGTTTAGTAGAATTCAGCCATGAAGCCATCAGTTCCTGGGCATTTTTTTACTGGGAGACTTTTTATGATGGCTTCAGTCTTATTGTTACTGATCTGTCCTGGTCTTGGAAGTTTTCATGGTTTAATCTTGGTAGGTTGTATGTGTCTAAGAATTTGTCAGTTTCTCTAGGTTTTCAAATTTATTGGCATGTAGTAGTAAGTTATGCTCCTTTGAATTTCTGCAGTATCCGTTGTAATGCCTCCTTTTTATCTCTGATTTTACTTGTTTGAATTTTCTCTTTATTCTTAGCTAGCCTGGCTAAAAGTTTTTTGATTTTAACTTTGCAGAAAACCAACTTTTTGTTTTGTTGATCTTGTGTATTTTTTAATTTCAATTTTATTTGTTATGATCTTTATTTCTTTTCTCATAATTTCAGATTTACTTTGTTCTTACTTTTCTAGTTTTTAAGTTATTTATTTGAAGATTTTCTTCTTTTTTGATGGTAGGCACATACAGCTATACATTTCTGCCTTTGCAGTGCTTTCTGCGTATCATAAGTTTTGGTATATTGTGTTTCCATTACCATTTGTTTCAAGAAATTTTTCAATTTTCATCTTAATATCTTCATTGACTCATTCAGGAGCATATTGTCTAACTTCCATGTGCTTGTATGGTCTCCAGAATTCCTCTTCTTGTTGGTATCTAGTTTTTTTTTTTTTTTTTTTTGAGATGGAGTCTTGCTCTGTCACTCAGGCTGGAGTGCAGTGGTGCCATCTCGGCTCACTGCAAGCTCTGCCTCCTGGGTTCACACCATTCTCCTGCCTCAGCCTCCCCAGAAGCTGGGACTACAGGCACATGCCATCACACCTGGCTAATTTTTTTGTATTTTTAGTAGAGACGGAGTTTCACTGTCTTAGCCAGGATGGTCTCAATCTCCTGACCTCGTGATCCTCCTGCCTTGGCCTCCCAAAGTGCTGAGATTACAGGCATGAGTCACCATGCCCAGCCATAGGTATCTAGTTTTATTCCTTTCTAGTCAGAAAAGATGCTTGGTATTATTTCAATTTTTTAATTTTTTAAGACTTGTTTTGTGACCTAACGTATGGTATATGCTTGAGAATGAGACATGTGCAGAATAATGTGTATTCTGCAGCTCTTGGATGAAATATTCTGTAAATATCTATTAGGTCCATTTGGTCTATAACACATACTAAGTTCAGTGTTTCTTTCTTAATTTTCTGTGTGGAAGATCTGTTCAATGCTGAAAGTGGGGTATTGAAGTCTCCAGCTATAATTGTATTGAGTTCTAGCTCTCTAACTGTAATAATATTTCCTTTATATATCTGGGTGCTTCGGTATTGAGTGCATAAATATTTACAATTGTTATGTCCTCTTGCTAAATTGACCCCTTTATAATTGTATAGTGGCTTTCTTTTGTCTCTTCTTATAGTTGTTGTTTTAAAGTCTATTTTGTCTGATATAAGTACAACTATTTCTGTTCTTTTTTTGGTTTCCATTGGCAGGGAATATCTTTTTGATCCTCTTATTTTCAGCCTATGCATGTCTTTAAAGGTGAAGTGTGTTTCATGTAGGCAACAGATAAATGGGTCTTATTTTTTTATCCATTCTGCCAGGTATGTCTTTTGATTGGAGAGTTCAGTCCATTTACAGTCATTGTTATTACTCATAAGTAAAGGCTTACTCTTGCTATCTTGTTATTTGTTTTTCAGTTGTTTTGTGGTCTTCTCTTCCTTTTTGCTTTTGTTCCTGTGTTCTTTTTAGTGAAATTGATTTTCTCTGATACGATTTTTTTTTTTTGCTTCTTACTTTTTGTGTATCCTTTGTATGTTTTTTTATTTGAGGTTATCATGAGGCTTGCAGATACTATTTTATAACTTGATTTTAAGCTGAGAGCGACTTAACACTGCTTGCATAAACTAACAAGCAAATAGAAGATGAATGAAGACTCTACACTTTAACTTTGTCCCCCTGCTTTTTAACAACTTTTGCTGTATCTCATGGGTTTTGGAATGTTGTGTTGCCATTTTCATATGGAAACATTTTTAGTTTTAAATTTATTTTTACATTTTCTCAATAAAGTTTTAAATTTCTTTTTAAATTTCTTCATTGACCCATTTGTTATTCAGGAACATGTTGTTTAATTTTCACGTATTTGTACAGTTTCCAAATTCCTCCTGTTACTGATTTCTAGTTTTATTCCACTGTGGTTAGAAAAGATAATTGACACAATTTTGACTTCTAAATTCGTATGGACTTCATTGCACCGTGTTAGCCAGGATGGTCTCAATCTCCTGACCTCGTGATCCGCCTGCCTTGGCCTCCCAAAGTGCTGAGATTACAGGCATGAGCCACCACGCCCAGCCATAGGTATCTAGTTTTATTCCTTTCTAGTCAGAGAAGATGCTTGATATTATTTCAATTTTTTAATTTTTTAAGACTTGTTTTGTGACCTAACATATGGTATATGCTTGAGAATGAGCCATGTGCAGAATAATGTGTATTCTGCACATTCCATTAGGTTAGGTCTATTAATAATTGCTTTATATATTTAGGTGCTCCAATGTTGGATGCATATATATTTATAATTGTTACATCTTCCTGCTGTATTGATCATTTTATATGACCTTTTATATAATGGTCTTTTTTCTCTTTTTACAGTTTTCGGCTTAAAGTCTATCTATGTATTTTGTATTAGTATAGCTACTCTTGCCCTTTTTTGTTTTCGTTTGCATAGAATACCTTTTTCCACCACTTTTCTTTGAGTCTGTGTGTTCTTACAGTTTAAGGGAGTCTCTTATAGGCAGCATATGGTTGGATCTTGTTTTTTTTTAATTTATTCAGCCACTATGTCTGCAGAATACATTTTGAATTAATGAAGAAACAGAATAAAAAGCAAGCCAGATTAGTATGGCTGTATAAAAAATTTAAAACTTGTAATTAAAAACAACACAATATAACAGGATGAAAAGGAAAGCACTAGAATGGAGAAATACTTGAGATAGTTAAAAGTTTAATATTATAGTATGTGAGGACATAGTATGTGAGGACATATTTCTAAGATTATGTCAAGGGAACTTGTTATGTCAATGTGTTGGTTCACACCATTGAAAACAAAACAGCAAAATTATTGAATTATGTAATTTATTGATCATTTTAAAATATAATCTTAAGGCTGTAAATAAATGTCTACTAACTGAACAAAAAATGATTTTAAAATCCTGGCAATGCTGGTGAGAAATAAATATATTGCTTTCATGTTATGTATTTAGTATTCAATCACTTGTAACAGGAGCTATTAAAATGACTACTTTTTTATTCAGTAATCTTACCCTTTGACATTCAAATAATTGAAACAAATAAGAACCTCTGCCAGGCATGGTGGCTCATGCCTGTAATCACAGTACATTGGGAGGCCAAGGCAGATGCATAGCTTGAGTTCAGGAGTTTGAGACCAGCCTGGGCGGCATGGCAAAACACCATCTCCACCAAAAAATACAAAAATTAGTCGGGCAGTGGCACATGTCTGTGGTCCCAGCTACTTGGGAGGCTGAGGGGGGCCGAGATCATGCCACTTTCACTGAGCCACTTTCAGTGAGCCAAGATCGTGCCACTTCACTCCAACCTGGGTGACAGAGTGAGAGCTCATCTCAAAACAAAAACAAAACAAAAAGGAATAAGAACCTCATGTGTAGATCTTTTAAAACAACATAACTGGCAGGGCACAGTGGCTCACACCTGTAATCCCCGTACTTTGGAAGGCCGAGGCGGGTGGATCATCTCAGGTCAGGAGCTTGAGACCAGCCTGGCTAACATGGTAAAACCCCATTTCTACTACAAATACAAAAAATTAGCTGGGTGTGGTGGCACACACCTGTAATCCCAGCTACTTGGGAGGCTGAGGCACGATAACCGCTTGAACCCAGGAGGCAGAGGTTGCAGTGAGCCAAGATCACACCATTGCACTCCAGCTTGGGCAACAAGAGCGAAACTCTATCTCAATAATAATAATAATAATAATTAATATAGCAAAAACAAATAGATTTTAAAAGCTTTGAGGCTGGGCACAGTGGCTTACACCTGTAATCCTAGCACTTTGGGAAGCTGAGGCAGGCGGATCACAAGGTCAGGAGATCGAGACCAACCTGACCAACATGGTGAAACCCCATCTCTACTAAAAATACAAAAAATTATCTGGTGTGGTGGCAGGCGCCTGTAGTCCCTGCTACTCAGGAGGCTCAGGCAGGAGAATAGCTTTAACCTGGGAGGCAGGGGTTGCAGTGAGCTGAGATTGCACCACTGCACTCCAGCCTGGGTGACAGAGCAAGACTCTGTCTCATACAAAAAAAAAAAAAAAAAAAAGTAATTGATAGCTGAGAACAAGCATTTTCAAAGAGAAGAAATTTTCCACCTTGCCCCTTGTGGAACTGAAACTACTCTTTGCACATGCTGCTGCCCTTCCAGCCTGCAGGCAGAATGCTGTTCTTGGCAAAGCAAGAGTCCCTTATTCCTCACCCCATCACTTTCCAACATAACCAGGAAGGTTCAGATGACCATAAGTGAAAAACAACCAGGAAAAGTCAGGAGAATAAAGAGCCTCTCTCATTTTCACTTGGGCAACAGGTGTGAACAAGAAAATTAAGTATTTTTGTTTTATTTTTTAAAATCTTAACTTCTCCTTTTCACCCTTCCTTAGATGTATCTATTTTAACATTTTGCATGTGACGGTGATGTTATCCATGCTGAATAAACTAGAAATGAGAATTGAGTTGTGAGGGAAAAAGAGATTGAAAACATATGCCTTGGATATATGAATTATGTTTGGATACTGAATTGAACCACTGAACTGTAAAAAAATGTTATGAGACAGGGAAACTGAACTGGCTATGTGACAATAGTAAGGAATTATTGCTAACATTTAAAAATGTGATATGGTATTGTGGTTATGTTTAGAAATAAAAATAATCCTTATCTATTAGAGATACATACCAAAGTGTTTATGCATGAAATGATATGATGTCTGGGAATTTTTATAAAACAATCCAAGGCAGGAATGAGGAACAGTTTGGGTGGGAGGGACCGATGAAATAAGATTGGCCATGTGTAGACACATGGTGCTTTGCTTTACTGCACTTTGTGAATATTGCATATTTTACAAATTGAGGGTTCATGGCAACCCTGCATCCAGCAGTGTTGCAGGAAGTCAGTGACTCCGAACGGAGGGACCGGCTGAAGCCATGGCAGAACATAAATTGTGAAGATTTCATGGACATTTATTAGTTCCCCAAATTAGTACTTGTATAATTTCTTATGTCTGTCTTTACTGCAGTCTCTGAACATAAATTGTGAAGATTTCATGGACATTTATCACTTCCCCAATCAATACTCTTATAATTTCCTATGCCTGTCTTTACTTTAATCTCTTAATCCTATCATCTTCGTAAGCTAAGGATGTATGTTGCCTCAGGATCCTGTGATGATTGTATTATCTGCACAAATTGTTTGTAGGGCATGTGTGTTTGAACAATATGAAATCTGGGCATCCAAAAGGAACAGGATGGCTGCAATTTTCAGGGAACAAGGGAGTAAACCATTGGGCCTGACTGCCTGAGGGGCCAGACAGAACAGGGTCATATTTCTCTTCTTACAAAAGTGAATAGGAGAAATATCGCTGAATTCTTTTTCTCAGCAAGGAACAGCCCTGAGAAAGAGAATGCATTCCTAGGGGGAGGTCTCTAAAATGGCCGCTCTGGGAATGTCTGTGTTATATGGTTGAAGATAAGGGATGAAATAAGCCCCGGTCTCCTGTAGCACCCCCAGGCCTATTAGGATTAGGAAATTCCTGCCTAGTAAATTTTAATTAGACCGGTTGTCTGCTCTCAAACCCTGTTTCCTGATAAGGTGTTATCAATGATAATGCATGCCCAGTGGGACATGAAACTTCATCAGCAATTCTAATTTCACCCTGGTCCTGTGATCTCACTCTGCCCCCATTTGCCTTGTGATGTTATTGCCCTTGAAGCATGTGATCTCTGTGAGCCACACCCTATTCGTACACCCCTCCCCTTTTGAAATCCATAATAAAAACTTGCTGGTTTTGCAGCTCGGGGCATCACGGAACCTGCCAACATGTGATGTCTCCCCTGGACACCAAGCTTTAAAATTTCTCTCTTTTGTACTCTTTCCCTTTATTTCTCAGACCGGCCGACACTTAGGGAAAATAGAAAAGAATGTACATTGAAATACTGGGGGCTGGTTCCCCCGATACAGTAATTCTTTTTTTTTTTTTTTTTGAGACATGGTTTCATTTTGTCTCCTAAGCTGGAGGGCAGTGGTGCCATCACAGCTCACTGCAGCCTTGACCTCCCACACTGCAGCTTTTTGATTTAAAGTGAGAGACATACATCTCTTCCTTTTACTCAAACACTTAGAAGCCATTGTAAGGTAATTAATTGGCCTAATTTCAACATCGTTGTATCTGAAAGAATAGGCCCAAAGAGAGGGAGGGACATGGGGGAATAGTCAGTGAGTGAAGCAGTCAGAACACACTCAACACTTACTGACCTCCCAGGTGGAAGCAATCCTCCCACCTCAGCCTCCTAAGTAGCTGGTAGCATTTACCACCAAATTTTTTTTTTTTAGTAGAGAACAGGGTCTCACTGTGTTGCCCAGGTTTGCATTGAATAATTCTGTTGGCACCATTTTTCCAACAGCATGTGCTCACTTCTTGTCTTGGTGTTACATTTTGGTAATCCTTGCAATATTTCAAAGTTTTTCATTAACATTGTATCTGTTATGATGATCTGTGATCAGTGACCTTTGATGTTACTACTGTACTTGTTTTGGGATGCTATCAAGCCGACCTATATATAAGATGGTGAACTTAATCGATAAGTGTTGAGTGCGTTCTGACTGCTCCACCCACTGACTCTTCCCTCATCTCTCTCCCTTCCTTTGGGCCTCTCCATTCTTTCAGATATGACAATATTGATATCAGGCCAATTAATTACCCTGCAATGGCTTCTAAGGGTTTGAGTAAAGGGAAGAGTTGCATGTCTCTCACTTTAAATCAAAAGCTAGAAATGATCGGACCTCTTCAAGGAGAACTACAAACCACTGCTCCATGAAATAAAAGAGGATACAAACAAATGGAAAAACATTCCATACTCATGGGTAGGAAGAATCAATATCGTGAAAATGGCCATACTGCCCAAGGTAAGATTCAATGCCATCCCCATCAAGCTACCAATGACTTTCTTCACAGAATTGGAAAAAACTACTTTAAAGTTCATATGGAACCAAAAAAGAGACCTCATTGCTAAGTCAATCCTAAGCCAAAAGAACAAAGCTGGAGGCATCATGCTACCTGACTTCAAACTGTACTACAAGGCTATAGTAACCAAAAGAGCATGGTACTGGTACCAAAACAGAGATATAGACCAATGGAACACAACAGAGCCCTCAGAAATAATGCCACATATCTACAACCATCTGATCTTTGACAAACTGACAAAAACAAGAAATGGGGAAAGGATCCCCTATTTAATAAATGGTGCTGGGAAAACTGGCTAGCCATATGTAGAAAGCTGAAACTGGATCCCTTCCTTACATCTTATACAAAAATTAATTCAAGATGGATTAAAGACTTAAATGTTAGACCTAAAACCATAAAAAGGTTAAAACCTAAAACCATAAAAAGACCTAAAACCATAAAATGTTAAACATAAAACCCTAGAAGAAAACATAGGCAATACCATTCAGGACATAGGCATGGGCAAGGACTTCATGTCTAAAACACCAAAAGCAATGGCAACAAAAGCCAAAATTGACAAATGGGATCTAATTAAACTAAAGGGCTTCTGCACAGCAAAAGAAACTACCATCAGAGTGAACAGACAACCTACAGAATGGGAGAAAATTTTTGCAATCTACTCATCTGACAAAGGGCTAATATCCAGAATCTACAATGAACTCAAACAAATTTACAAGAAAAAAACCCCATCAAAAAATGGGCAAAGGATATGAACAGACACTTCTCAAAAGAAGACATTTATGCAGCCAAAAGACACATGAAAAAATGCTCATCATCACTGGCCATCAGAGAAATGCAAATCAAAACCACAATGAGATACCATCTCACACCAGTTAGAATGGCGATCATTAAAAAGTCAGGAAACAACAGGTGCTGGAGAGGATGTGGAGAAATAGGAACACTTTTACACTGTTGGTGGGACTGTAAACTAGTTCAACCATTGTGGAAGTCAGTGTGGTGATTCCTCAGGGATCTAGAACTAGAAATACCATTTGACCCAGACATCCCATTACTGGGTATATACCCAAAGGATTATAAATCATGGTGCTTTAAAGACACATGCACACATATGTTTATTGGGGCACTATTCACAATAGCAAAGACTTGGAACCAACCCAAATGTCCAACAACGGTAGACTGGATTAAGAAAATGTGGCACATATACACCATTGAATACTATGCAGCCATAAAAAAGGATGAGTTCATGTCCTTTGTAGGGGCATGGATGAAGCTGGAAACCATCATTCACAGCAAACTATCGCAAGGACAAAAAACCAAACACTGTATGTTCTCACTCATAGGTGGGAATCGAACAATGAGAACACATGGACACAGGAAGGGGAACATCACACACCGGGGCCTGTTGTGGGGTGGGGGGAGGGGGGAGGGATAGCATTAGGAGATATACCTAATGCTAAATGACGAGTTAATGGGTGCAGCACACCAACATGGCACATGTATACGTATGTAACTAACCTGCACGTTGTGCACATGTACCCTAAAACTTAAAGTATAATAAATAAAGCTAAGATAAAAAGCTAGAAATGATTAAGCTTAGTGAGGAAGGCATGTTGAGAGCCATGATGGGCTGAAAGCTAGGGGTCTTGTGCCAAACAGCCAAGTTGTGAAAGTTTTTGAAGAAAATTAAATGTGCTACTTCAGTGAACATGCAAATGTTGAAGTGAAGCAGGCCAGTCTCAGTGGCTCACACCTGTAATCCCAACACTTTGGGAGGCCAAGGCAGGCAGATCATTTGTGGTTAGGAGTTCGAGACCAGCCTGGTCAACATAGTGAAACCCCATCTCTATTAAAACTACAGAATTAGCCAGGCATGGTGGTGCATGCCTGTAGTCCCAGCTACTCGGGATGCTGAGGCAGGAGAATCACTTGAACCCAGGAGTCGGAGGTTTCAGTGAGCCAAGATGGCACCACTGCACTCCAGTCTAAGTGAAAGAGCTAGACTCCATCTCAAAAACAAACAAACAAACAAAAAAGAAAGTGAAACAGGCTTACTGCTGATATGGAGAAAGTTTGAATGGTCTGGATAGAGGATCAAATCAGCTACAACATTCCCTTAAGCCAAATCCTAATTCAGAGCAAGGCCCTAGCTCTCTTCAGTTCTGTGAAGACAGAGAGGTGAGGAAGCTGCAGAAGAGAAGTTGGAAGCTAGCAGAGGTTGATTCAGGATGTTTAAGGAAAGAAGTCATCTCCATAACATAAAAATGCAAGATGAAGCAGCAAGTACTGATGGAGAAGCTGCAGCAAGTTATCCAGAAGATCCAGTTAAGATCATTGATGAAAGTGGCTACACTAACAACAGTTTTTATGCAGATGAAACAACCTTCTATTGGAAGAAGATGCCATCTAGAACTTTTAATAGCCAGGAAGGAGAATTCAAAGCTTCACATGACTGGCTGACTTTGTTAGGGGCTAATGCAACTGGTGACTTTAAGTTGAAGCTAGTGTTCACTTACCATTCTGAAAATTCTAGGGCCCTTGAGAATTATGCTAACTCTCCTCTGCCTGTGCTCAGTAAATGGAACAACAGCCTGGATGACAGCACATCTGTTTACAGCATGGCTTACTGACTATTTTAAGCCTCCTGTCAAGACCTACTTCTCAGAAAAAAATATTTCTTTTAAAATATCATTGGTCATTGACAGTGCACCGTCACCGAAGAGCTCTGATGGAGATGTACAGTAGACGAATGTTGTTTTCATGCCTGCTAACACAGCATCCATTCTGCAGTCCATGGATCAAGGAGTAATTTTGAATTTCAAGTCTTACTATTTAAAAAGTACGTTTCGTAAGGCTATATGGCTGCCATAGGTAGTGATTCCTTCTATGAATATGGGCAAAGTCCATTGAAAACATTCTGGAGGCCGGGCACAGTGTCTCATGCCTGTAATCCCAGCACTTTGGGAGACAGAGGCAGCTGGATCACGAGGTAAGGAGATCAAGAGCATCTTGGCTAACATGGTGAAACCCCGTCTCTACTGAAAATACAAAAAAAATTAGCCGGGCATGGTGGCAGGCGCCTGTAGTCCCAGCTACTCGGGAGGCTGAGGCAGGAGAATGGCGTGAACCTGGGAGGTGATGAGTCGAGATTGTGCCACTGCACTCCAGCCTGGGTGACAGAGCGAGACTCTGTCTCAAAAAAAAAAAAAAAAAAAAAAAAAAAGCCTTCTGGAAAAGATTCACCATTGTAGATGCCATTAAGAAATTTATGATTCATGGGAGAAAGTAAAAATATCAACATTAACAAGAGTTTGGAAGAAGTTGATTCCAGCCCTCATGGGTGACTGGGGAGTTTAAGACTTCAGTGGAAGAAATAACTGCAGATGTGGAAGAAATAGCAAGAGATCTAGAATTAGATGTGGAGCCTAAAGATGTGACTGAATTGCTGCATCATGACAATACTTGATCAGATGAGGAGTTGCTTCTTATGGGTGAGCAAAGGAGGTGGTAATTTACTCCTGGTGAAGAGGGTGTGAATGAACATTGTTGAAATGACAACAAAGGATTTAGAATATTACGTAAACTTAGTTGATAAAGCAGTGGCAGTGTTTGAGAGGAATGACTCTAATTTTGGAATAAGATCTACTGTGGGTAAAATGCTGTCAAACAGCATCACATGCTACAGAGAAATCGTCCGTTAAAGGAAAAGTCAATGTGGCAGACTTCATTTTATTTTTGTAGGACATTTTAGTTATAACATCAATTTCTGTAATAGTTGCAGGACTATTCAGATTGTCTGTTTCATCTTGGTTGAGTTTTGGTAGTTTATAGTTTTTGAGAAATCAGTTTATATTTAATAACCTGTTCAATTTATGAACTTAAAGTTCTTCATAATATTTCCTCATCTTTATAATGGCTGATGAATCTGTAGTAATATCCACTATTTTATTTCTAATATTTATAAGCATTGCCTTCTCTCTCTCTCTTTCTTTCTGTCTCTTTGCCAGTCCTGTTAAGGGTTCATCAATTATATTAGTTTTCAGAAGAAACAGTTTTTGTTTTATTATTTTTCTATTATTTCTCTATTTCAATTGTATTAATTTAGATTTCTATCACATTCTTCCTTCTAGTTGCTTTGAGTCTATTTTGCACTACTTTTTCTAGTATCTTGAGATAGGAACTTAACTAATTTTTTCCTTCTTTTCTATCTAGTCATTTTAGTACTATAAATTTTCCTCTTGGCACTGTTTTAGCTGCATCCCACATATTTTTATATACTGTGTTTTACTGCTCCAGTCTATGTATTTTTTTATTTCACTTGAAACTTTCTTTTTGAGTCATGGATTTCTTAGAAATGTGTTATTTAGTGTCCATATGCTTCGAGATTTTTCTACTGCCTTTTAATCACTGATTTCTAGTTTGATGCCATTGTGATCAGAGAATAAATTCTCTATGATTTCAGTTCACTTGAATATGTTAAGATCTATTTTCTGGCCCAGGATGAGATCTATCTTTGTCAACGTTTCATAGGGGTTTGAAAAACATGTGTATTGGGTGGAGTGTTCTGTGTCAGTTAGATCCTGTTGGTTGATTAAATACCTTTTATGATCTTTTCTGTTTTCTAAGGGTGTTAAAGTTTTCAACTACATTTGTAGATTTTTCTGTTTTTCCCTTAGTTTTAACTGTTTTTGCTTCCTCTTGTGAAGCTCTGATGTTTGGTTTTTACACATTTAGGATTTTTACACATTTCTGGTGGATCAATCATTTTATTATTTTGTGATGTTCCTCTTTGTCTCTAATACTTTTATTTGCCTTAAAGTCTACTTTGTCAGATATTAATATACCCACTCATGCTTTATTATTAATGTTTACATGGCATGTCTTTTCTTCCTTTTACTATCATTATGCCTGTGTTATTGACTTTGACATATATTTTAAGCCTTATGTAATTGAGTAATTTTTTTTTAAGATGGAGTCTTGCTCTGTTGCCCAGGCTGGAGTACAGTGGCGTGATCTTGGCTCACCACAACCTCCGCCTCCTGGGTTCAAGCCATTCTCTTGCCTCAGCCCCCTGAGTAGCTGGGACTACAGGTGCACGGCACCATGCCTGGCTAATTTTTGTATTTTTAGTAGAGACCAGGTTTCACTGTGCTGGCCAGACTGGTTTCGAACTCCTGACCTCATGATCCGCCTGCCTCAGCCTTCCAAACTGCTAGGATTACAGGTGTGAGCCACTGTGACCAGCCCAAATAATGCTTTTAATATATTCTGCCTCTCTTTGACTTTTGAGTGGCATATGTAGACTGTTTATATTTAAGATAATTATTGATATGTTAGTGCTTTGTCTGGCACTTTATTACGTTTTCTCGGGTTCTCATTCCTCTTTTACTGCTTTTCTTGCCTTCCTAGGGGTTATTTTCTTTTTTAATTCTATCTCCATTTTTTATAGTATATTCTAATGTGTTTCTTTGTATAGTTTTCAAAGTGATCGTTCTGGGCATTACAATAAAGGTATGACTTGTAACAGCCTACTGATACATTTGTTTTCTACTGCTACTATAGCAAATTGCCACAAACTTGGTGGCTTAAAACAACAGAAATTTCTACTCTCAGTTCTGGAAACCAGACGCCCACATCAAGTTTGCTAGGCCAACATCAAGTTGTGGGCAGGGCTAGAATCACTTCAAAAGCTCTGGGAAACAATTCTTTCCTTCCCTCTTCTGGCTTAGGGCAGCTGCTGGCATTCCTTGCCTTGTGGCCACATCAGTCTACTCTCCCATTCAGAGTCACGTGGCCATCTCCTCTGTCTGAAATCTCTGTCTGCCTCTCTCATGTATGGATACTAGTGATGGCATTTAGGGCCCACCTAGATAATTCAGGACAATCTCCCACATATAGATACTTAATTACACTTGCAAAATCTCTGCTCTAAAAAGTAAGATTCATAGATTGGAGGGATGAATGTGGGGACCTGAGTGACGCCATTATTCATCCCACTACAACTAATATCAACATTCACCACTTAGAGCGAAGTGTGGAAACCTCACTTGCATTTAAGACCCTTTTCCCTTTCAACTATTAAAGATAATTGTCTGAAGTACCAGAAGGTGTTCTAATTGTTGTTTCAGTCCTTAAGATTTACAGAACTCATGGTGAACAAAATAATCCATTTTATATTTCCGTATTTCTGCCCTATGCAGTGTTCCTTCTTCCTTCTGGATACTCTATGCTTCCTTTTGTTATCATTTCTCTTGTTTTTGAAGAATGTCCTTGAGCCAATCATTAATGGTAGGTCTACTATCCACTCTTAATTTGTAACAACAAATTCTTTGCCTGATAATTTTTTTTAAGTTTCATTTATTTGTGAAAGATAGATTCACTGAACATAGAATTTGTGGTTGACAGTTCTTCCTTCTGGCCTCTATGATCCCAAATAAGAAAATCATTGTTATTCAAGTAGGTGTTTCTCTGTAGGTTCCAGAATTATCTTTTGTTTCTTTTTGGTTGTTTTAAAAATTTTTTTCTGTCTTTAGTTTTTAAAAGTTTGATTAGATGTGTCTTGGAGTGGACTTGTTTGGGTTTATTTTTGAGAGGTTGACTTAGATTTTTTGGTCTATAAATTCATGAGTTTGCCAAATCTTGGAAGTTTTCAGCAATTACTTTTTAAAATAATTTCAACACCATCATCTAACTCATGTCTTTCTGAAATTCTAATGATACAAAAGTTGGACCTTTATTTTTTATCCCACAGGCCTCTGAAGCTTTGTTCATTTTACATTTTTAGTCTGTTTTCTCTCTGTTTTTCTGTGTAGGGGAATTCTGTTGATTTTGCTTATTTCAATTCTAATATTAAGCAAGTCTAGCAATGTTTGGTTTTCACTTTTTTTTTTTTTTTGGAGATGAAGTCTCACTCTGTCACCAGGCTGGAGTGCAGTGGCGCAATCTTGGCTCACTACAACCTCCACCTCCTGGATTCAAGCAATTCTCCTGCCTCAACCTCCCAAGTAGCTGGGACTACAGGCGCCCGCCACCATGCCTAGCTAATGATGTTTTTTGTATTTTCAGTAGAGAAGGGTTTTCACCATGTTGGCCAGGATGGCCTCGATCTCCTGACCTCATGATCCGCCTGCCTGGGCCTCCCAAAGTGTTGGGATTACAGGCATGAGCCACAGTGCCCGGCGAGTTTTCACTTCTATTATTGTATTTTTAGTTCCATAATTTCATTTCAGTTCATGTTTTATAACCTTTATTTCTTTGCTGAGATTTATAATTTTGTTTTCATTTGATTGCAGAAAATTTGTAAATGATCACTAAAGCATTTTAAAAAGATGTCTGCTTTAAAATCCTTTTCAGATGGATCCAACCTCTGATTCATTTCAGTTGGGGTCAGTTGATTGTCTTTCCTCATTCAAGCCATGATTTTCTTGGCTCTTGGTGTGATGATTGTATCCTGGCCCTTTTGTCTGTCATGTTATGTAATGCTAGGTGCTATTTACATCTTTGATAATTTTAGCGAGCAAGCACCTTGTTTGGGGTTGGCATGTGGGCCTTAGCCTATTTTGTGGGTGGGGGAGGAGGTTTCAATGATAGTTTGATTATTGGAGCCTTTAATGTTTTGCTTTGACATCCTCAGTGGATTTAGTGCCAAAGGAGGTTCCCACTGCTCTCTGCTGGTGCTAGCTGAGGGTGCAGAAGGGTTTACCAGGCTTCTGGTGTGTGGGGTGGGGGTGGGCTGGGGGAGATGTTGGTGAGGTGGGGTTGGAAGGATCCCTCTTCCCAGTGTCCCCTCACCTATTCTACCCCCTCTGCCTCTGTGTCTGGGATGAGGGGACTCTCCATCTCAAACCTGCAGGGACAAAGAGCCTTCTTTGGTCAGGTCACTAATGTAGCTGCACCTCTTTTGCAGGTTCTGCCTTTTTAGCTATTTTTCCTTTGAAAAGGCAGTCCTAGGCCCACAAGGAATATGGAGCCTTCCCTGGTCGCTTATTGTTGGTGTGGCTCCTGTATCCATCCCCTTTGCTGGTGGTGCAGCCTGTCTGGTAGTCAGAAGAGTACCAGTTCCATCTGGAGAAGGAATGGGCAGGGGTGGCAAACAGCAGGTCTGAGTGGCCTTCTGTTTGTGGGAGCCCACAAGTAAGTCACCCTATGCTCTGCTGTTTCTCTGGTTCTGGATCCCAAGAGGCAAGAAATTCCCAGAGTTCTCTGGTCCATAGAGGATGACCTTAGATAAAGAATTGTTGGCTGGGCGCAGTGGCTCACACCTGTAGTCCCAGCACTTTGAGAAGCCAATGCTGGTGGATCACTTGAGGTCAGGTGTTGAAGACCAGCCTGGCCCACATGTCGAAACCCGATCTGTACTAAAAATACAAAAAAAAAAGTTAGCCGGGCATAGCGGCATGTGCCTGTAATCTCCAGTTACTTGGGAGGCTGAGGCAGGAGAATTGCTTGAACCCAGGAGGTGGAGGTTGCAGTGAGCCAAGATTGCGCCACTGCACTCCAGACTGGGCGACAGAGCAAGACTCTGTCTCAAAAAAAAAATAAAAAATAATAAATAATAAAAAATAAATAGTTTAAGGATGGGATGGAAGTAAAGACACACCCCTCCATTTCACAGTAGACACTAATAGAAATAAACAACATGAAATATACAATTCCTGTTTGAGAAAAATGTCAGAACACTATATATTAAAAGTAAACCTTAACAAATGGATAGACAGCATAATCCTGGATAGCAAGACTCAGCATCACAGAGATGTCCATTCACTGGACAAAAATAAGTGTAAAATACCAAGCATAATAAGATAGATGTTCAGCACATACATTGGCCCTTACACTCTCACAGTTAAGAGAATACCATCTTCTCAAGCACATGGGGAACATTCATAAAACTACCATTATCAAAAAACCATTACCATCCCAGAACTTTTCTTACCTTGCAAAATGAAACTTTGTACCCATTAAATAACAGCTTCCTACTTCTCCCTCCCCCAGCCCGTGGTGAGCACTACTCTGCTTTCTGAACGTTAACTACTCTAGGCACATCATTAAGTGGCACCATATAGTATTTGTCTTTTTGTGATTGTCTTGTTTCACTTAGCATAATGTGTTAAATGCTCATCCATTTTGTATCGTGTCAGAATTTCCTTCCTTTTTAAAGCTGAATAATAGTCTGCTGTATGGATATACCTATTTTGCTTATCTATTCATCATCGGTCAATGGCCACTTAGGTTTTTTTCCATCTTTTGGCTGTTATGAATGCTATGAACGTGGATATACGCGTTTTTGTTCTGTCCCTGCTTTTTAAAAATAAAAATACAGATGGTCTCCAACTTCATGACAGTATAAAAGCGATACCCATTTAGTAGAAACCATACTTCAAATTTTGATTTTTTTTCCCAGGCTGGCGATATGTGGTATGATACTCTCTCGTGACATTGAGCAGTGGCAAGTGAGCTGCAGCTCCCAATCACTATGCACTCAGGAGGGTAAACAACCAACCAATACTCTACTGTGCTGATACCGAAAGTGCTGAAGCTTCTAAGCTGTGTTAATAATGCATTTGCAATGTATGATATTTTCAACTTACAATGGGCTTATCAGGATGGAACCCCATCGGTAAGTCAAGGAGCATCTGTAGTTACGATGTTTTTTTCAAGGAGCATCTGTAGTTACGATGTTTTTGAAGGGAGACTTTGAAGGAATTTTGTTAAAAATAAAATTTTTTTGAAAATACATACCTTTTGCATCAGCTGAAAGATTACAACTCAGTTTAATTGAAAGCCACCCAACAGAGAACCCAAAAGAGCAATACTATTTGCTTTAAAAAAAAGACACAAGACATAAAAGTAACCACTGTAAATTTATTATGCATTAGGAAGCTTAACCTAAAAACCAATAGCATAGTAAAAAGATATGTTATCTCTGTTCATAGCAGAACAGGTTTCAAAATATATTTTCTTTTAAATGTATTCAGTCAGTACACAATCCTTTATAAAAGTTGTATATATTTTTTTCTGTCAATACCTTCATTACATTTATAAATACAAGATTTACACAGCACCCCATCAAAAAAAAAAAATTAAAACCCTTTACAAATATCTACATATATTTCATACCTATAAAACTTTCAAAGGGGTGCTCTGTTAAAGGTGGGCCCTAGTTAATGGTCCATTTACTGGTGCAGCAAAATACATATAAATCTGTAAAGTTTTCTTTGTCCATAAAACATCTCAAAAAATAGCAAGACACTTATCGTGAAACTCAGCTTCATAAAACCTTATTTTAGAAAGGAACTTAATGTGCGTATTCCCATGCGATTCAAAAGTTAAACAGATTGAAATAAAGATGAATTGAAAACAAATGCATACTCAGAGCAGTTAAGGCAGGAGTGTGATGGATGAGAAAAACTTTGAGAAGCAGGACATGGAAGACATGGGAAGAAGCAAATCATAATAATGCCTTTGAGTCTGAACTTGGATATAAACTTCACTCGTATCCAGTTACTAACTCTCATCCTACTTAGGAATTTCCAAATTGTTAATAACTTTCTTAGAAGCAGCCTACAATCTCTATGTTGCCACCAGAATGCTTGAGTTGTTTTTTTCTTCTGTAAAATCACCTTGGACCCAACCAGGACACCAGGTCCAGGAATCTGAGTTGTTGAGTTTTACATGATTTAAGTTTGTAATGAAAATTTCTTTCATCTAGTAAAGGTAATTACTATTCAATATTATTATGTCCAGAAGTGTATATATGCTGAGTTTCATTCTAGCTAAGAATAGAAAGTAGAATAAAAGGAGACTAGGTTTTTATTTGACCTTTGAACAAAGACAGTAGATCCCTGATACTGAGTGACTCTTTAAGAGTGGCCACTCATCAACACCTATGGGCTGATTCAGAGAAACAGGAAGGTAGAAATTAAGAAGAGATTCTTTACCTGAAATCTTGCCAGAGATGGCAGTCCCGCTACTGTTCTGTGCCTTCTGCTGAAAAGGGCATGGAAAGATTGCTGCCACTCTTACTCTATAGTCATTACAGGAAAGCCATCCTTTCTACCAGAGAGATGACTTTTTCTATTTGAGTTTCACCTTGGGAGTTGCACATTATTTGCAAGGAAGTATTTCAAATCTTATCTTGTTCTAATGTATAAACAGGAAAAAAAAAAAGAATGTAAGAGAAAAAAAAAAAACAGGAGGAGGATGAGCAGAATGATGGCGGTGGTATTTATCAAACTTGGCCCTGAAGGATGCCGCTAGCGTCTCCCATCCAGCACCATGAAGTCACCAGGGGTGTGGCTCCCTCCATGGCTCTCAGAGATGGCGTATGCAGAATCCCACTTTCTGCCGAGTTTACAGCTCAGTGCACTGATTCCCAGGCTCCTCAAATGAAGAGAGCTCCCAGATGCTGCTGTCTTGCAGTAGTGGCTCAATGTCCTCATCACTGCCCCGTTCTGGGGTGTTGGTCAGGCTGCCGCTGCTGCTGTTACTGTGTTTTTGAACTCCACTGGCTTTACTGTATTCAGGAATGAATAAGGCAACCAGAAAAGACATAAGGACTATACATGCCCCAAATAAAAACGGCGGGCCTGGGATGACAGCTCCCTGTTGAACGTGGAAAACAAGTGGAGACAAAGAATACAGTTAGTCTTTTAACTCAAAATTATTCCTAGATTACCCAAAAAAAACACACCACCAAAAAGTGAATCATATTCTCATAAGCAAATGTTTCATTAAATGTCAAGGCAAACTCCACTAGAGCTTGGTGTTTGGAATATGACAAAGGGCAACTAATTAACTGCTTTTTGTACCACTTCCAAATAGCTTAAGCAAAACTGTAAGCTTGTAAGCAACAGCTGTTTACCTATAATCCCATCCTATGACTTCAGATCATGCACCTTTGTACATGAACATTAATTCCAGCTTTGTATAGATATGGCTTAGAGGGAACAAGGGAAGAAATTTCAAATAAATAGTACAAAAAGTACCCTACCTCAATTTTTAGCTGGATTTTTAGGTCATTTCAAATTTTAACTAGCCTGGGCTTATCCAGAGAATAGTGTAGTGATTGTGTAGGTGAAAACAGAATCTGAACAAAGTTAAGACATATCTTTTACATAAGATATTAAATCACTAAAATGACCCCTCCCTGATCCCGAGAAGCAATGAACACAATACTTATTGCTGCCAAATAAAATATAGTAACATACAAGAAAGAATGCTCTCCAAATTTAAGGTCACAAGATTTTGCTATAATCATACATAATTGTTGTTACAAAACTAGACTTATGACCAAATTACCTGCAGGGGAACGTTGTTAGAATTCAATTTCGGGCCCAACTCAGTCAGTTCCACATGGAACATGTAGAATATGAAGCCATACAGTGCTGGCCCCAGGCCATTGCATAGTCCTCTTATTCCAGTTATGATCCCCTGGGCAACTCCTAAATCAGAACAAAGAAAATAATGCCAGTCTTCTCAGAAAGGCATCTCAAGATTTGGAGCTGCACAGTACTTTCTCATAACCATGATACACTAATTCGGCAAGACTGAGGAAAAGAGAAAGCATGCTAATGAAAGTAGATTAGGAAGACTTTATCCATTATAAAATAAAATCCAAAACTAATAAAACCATATAAAACATATAAAATCATAAAAACATATACAATCCAAAACTTTAATATCTTCCCATTTCAGGCAATGTCCACTTTTCTGTCAACTGAGATTTCCCTGCTCTGGTCATTTACTGGTGCTTTCACAACAAAAACTTGCCCTTCACCTCTGGCAGCCCTGGTGTCAGGAATACAGACCAGTCCCCAGTAGGCAGACTTCATCTTCACAGGTGTATTCCAGCCTATCTCCCTAGAGACCTACACTGAAAAACCCAGAAGTGCCAAATTCCTAAATATCTCTGCTTTCTAACATAGCAAGTAAAAAGTTAGCTTGAACTGTATGAAATGAATGTTTCTGTAAATCAAAAATGGTAGTATATAATTCAGCCTAATACAATGTGTTCCAAAACTTTTATATGCTGACATTCAGAAACATGTATATTGACATGAATAAGTATAAAAAGTCAAAAGAAAATCCATGCCCCAAATGACAGGACGGTGTCTGTCAGATGCCAAGGCAGTGACAGTCCTCCACGGATGGGTCATCACATCTTCACTTCAGACACAGCACCTCCCTAAGGATGCAAACCAACTGAGTTACTGTAGCCAGGAGTGACATACAGAATGTGTGGTCTTCAAGGGACAATATTTAACAATGAATCTGAGTAAGATACCTAACTTCTGATATAGAAAAAAAAAATGCAATGAATAAACCATCCTTTCCAATATAGTTTTTTACTAAAACTTTTAAAAAAAAGGGCTCTTAGGCATTAAAAAATTTTTCTCCCTCTAAAATTGTCTACTTCTTCCTGAATACAATAAGGTGAGCCATTAGGAGATAGAGAAGGAAAGAGATTAAATCTAGCCATGGGAACTGCTTGAAAGGAAAGCAGTCCAGGCATGGGGGCTCACACCTGTAATCTCAGCACTTTGAGAGGCCGAGGCAGGCAGACTGAACCCAGGAGTTCGAGACCAGGCTGGGCAACATGGCGAAACCCCATCTCCACTAAAAATACAAAAAATTAGCTGGGCATGGTAGTGTGCGTCTCTAGTCCCTGGTACTTGGGAGGGTGACTGGGAGATCACTTGAGCCCAGGAGACGGAGGCTGCAGGGAGCCAAGATTGTACCACTACACTCCAGCCTGGGTGACAGTGAGACCCTGTAAGGGGTAGGAGGTGGGGGGTGGGGGGAGGAAGGGTGGGAAAAGAGGGAAGAAGGGATGGAGGGAGGACAAGACAGGACAGGAAGGGAAGCAGAGGCATGGGAAGGATGGGATATGGATCTAGATGGTAGAATGCTATTTTCCACATAGCAGTCTTAATTTTAATTTCATCTCTCACTCAACATCTATCAACAACCACACAGACTTTTTCTTACTACTCTCAAACTATTTTCTAAATTAAGCTCAAAGACTTTGAGTTATTCCAAATAATTAGTGAATAAAGTAATTAAGTAACTCGTGGTTAACTGGTTTTTCATTATTTAATAGACATCTGTTAAAATGTGATTATAGTCTGCTTAATTGTGACACTAAAGAAGAAAAGATGTATCAAAACTGAAAAGGGAAAATGAATAGTTCTATTTCTAATTGTTAGCAATCTGAACTGCTAAGTCTAGCTTTAAAAAATATAAGTGTAAGATCAAAGCAGAGAGGAAAATAGAATGTTCCTATCTGCCAAAGTAAATAGGTATGATAAAAGGGGCCATATGGCTGTCGGCTCCTGCTGTTGATGGGGAGAACTCAGAGCTGCTCCTGCTTCTAGCAGGGAGGTCTCCCGTTGAAGGAGAAAAACAAGTGGGGGGCAGTGACCTCACCTTGCTGATCTGACTCTGCATTCCGAGAGACGAGGGCACTGATTGCCGGAAACGTGATGCTGGACATGGCAGCCACGGTCCCTGCTGCCCACATCATCCTGCAATGACAGGACAGGCACAGTCAGGCAGCAGGTCAACCTCAAGGAGCTCACTATTCGGAATGCAATCAGTGGCAAAAGTACAAATGCCTTGTTTTCTCCTGTTACATTTTATTTATTTTTTCCTCTTTAAAAATGCATTTTTTTTTTAACCTACAAGGTTACATGTGACACTGGAGGAAACGAATGGCCTAGGATGGGGACAGAAGGGCCAGGAAACCTTTGTGTCTTGATTTTACTTCTTTTACAAACTTTTCTTCTCCCTGGTCTCCCTACTGCTATCTTTAGACATAAGCTCAATGAAGTTCGCAAGGAGATTTCTTTTGTTGCTATAAATACCACATTTTCTCCACTGACCTTTCATTTTTTCTTTGTACCTCTTGAAGGCTCACTTTCACACTGCCCTCGAGCTACAGCTTGCTACCCCTCAACAGAGAGAGCATGGTGTGCCCCCAACTGGAAAAACAGACCTGCCTTCCTCTTTAGACCTTTGTCCTCCTCTCAATAAGAGTCTTAACTATGTATCAGTATGAAGTGTGAGTGAGTAAAGTGAGGCCCCAACTTTGGGATGGTCATTACTGAAAAAGAAAAACCTCACATGATGACAAAGTCTTTTTAACACTACATGAATGTGACTAAATCAGCTACTGAACCAAAGTTCACAGGAGCAAAATCAAAAAGAACAAGGAGAATCAAGCAAGTTAATCTGGTAAAAAGTCACAGACGGCTAGGGACAGTGGCTCATGACTGTAATCCTAGCACTTTGGGAGGCCAAGGCAGGAGGATTGCTTGGGCCCAGGAGTTCAAGACCAGCATGGGCAACATGAGACCTTGTCTTTACAAAAAAAAAAAAAAAAAAAATCAGAATATTAGCCAGGCATGGTGTAAAAAAAAAATCAAAATATTAGCCAGGCGTGGTGGTGCGTGTACATACTCCCAGCTACTCAGGAAGCTGAGATGGGAGGATCGCTTGAGGCTGGCAGCAAGGCTGTAATAGTAAGCCATGATTGTGCCACTGTACTCTGGCCTAGGCAACACAGCCAGACCCTCTCTCTCTCAAAAAAAAAAAAAAAAAAAAAAAAAGGAAAGAGCAAGCGGATCAAATGAAATTCCAAAATTCAGAAGGGGCATATGTACTTACTCCCCAAACTAAACATGATAACTAAGGCAATTCTAGTTTCTCTAAATTATGTTGTCTGTTTGTGTCCAAAGTAAGGACCAGCTCTACCGTCTAAAATGGAGAAGGCATTTCTGCATCTGCCCACCAGGCACATGGAGAAACCTGCCACATTAACAAAACAAAACTCACGATTCCTTCTAATTTTTCTTATTCCACTGAGCTTATTTGGACCTTCCTTCCTGTTTATGGGGGAATCTAATATGGTAGTAATAACTGCGGCAGAATGCACATGGTTTTGGAAGAAATTTTAGTGTTCAAACTCAAATGATTTATCAAGGTTATGTTACTGATAGGTAATGATAAGTCATAGTGAAGCTTGCCATAATCAGTCATTTTTTTTGTATCTTCTTGTTTTGCTTTTGACTATATTCAATGTCTCTAAAAATTAGCATATGTGGCCAGGTGCGGTGGCTCACGCCTGTAATCCCAGCACTTTGGGAGGCCGAGGCAGGCAGATCACAAGGTCAGGAGTTTGAGACCAGCCTGGCCAACATGGTGAAACCCATCTCTACTAAAAATACAAAAATTAGCCGGGCGTGTGGTGAATGCCTGTAATCCTAGCTACTCAGGAGCCTGAGGCAGGAGAACTGCTTGAATCCGGGTGGTAGAGGTTGCAGTGAGCTGAGATCATGCCACTGTACTCCAGCCTGGGCAACAGAGTGAGACTCCGTCTCAGGGAAAGAAAAAAAAATTGGCATATGCTTTAAAAAGTAGACATAAAACTTTATTTGGGGGCTGGAGGGAAGAGAGAGATACATTCAATTAAGGAACAATTCCGTGAAAGTCCAATGACATAAAGGTAGTCTTTATAAATAATCCTGTTATCTAGCTCCACATTTCCCCAAATTAAAGCCTAATGGTTTCTGCAATGTTGAATACACCAAACCAGCAAAATAACCCTTGCTTCCTTCTCATCACACCCAACCACCCCAAGCTCCTCTAAGAGGCATCTGTCTGGCAGTTCACGAGAATCTAAGAGTGAGGCTTACCAGGCCTGTGATCCAAAACCGTACCAGGCTAACTGGAGCATCTGGAAGCCCAAGCCAAGGAGGACAGTATTCTTATTTCCTAATGATCTCATCAAGATGCTAAGAAAGGCCGTCTGCAAAGTAAAGGAGACAACTCTGAAAAACCACATCAACACACAGAATTAAAATACAAGCTCTGTGTGTGAAGACCCTTCCCTGATGACCAGAGACCTCTAAGGGCACACTGCCTGACCTGCAACCTCAGAGTCTGGACAGTACTGATGACCTTCTACAGGGGTGGAGTGTTGGGGGCTCCCAGCCTGACCTGGGGCTCAATGCTTTCAGCCTCCTCCCTAAGAAGCCTGTCTACCTGGTGCTCTGCTGGCACTTCCTGAAAGGATATCACAACTGTTCACCAGTTACCATGACTGAGAGGGACAGCCTCAGTCTCTGGAGAAATACTAATCACTTAAATATCTGTGAATAGCAAACTCCTGCTGAACATTTACAGAATATGAGAGCTTCTGCTGGAAGTTTACAAAGTTGGAATTGGGATGTAAGTTTGATTTTAACAAATATATACTCTGCTAAATATAACTAGTTGAGAAAGTCTAAAAAGGGGTTGGATGAAAGATGACTGGGCTGGCCGGGTGTGGTGGCTCATGCCTGTAATCCCAGCACTTTGGGAGGCCGAGGCAAGCAGATCACAAGGTCAGGAGTTCGAGACCAGCCTGGCCAGCAGGGTGAAACCCTGTCGCTACTAAAAATACAAAAATTAGCCAGGCATAGTGGTGCACACTTGTAGTCCCAGCTATTTGGGAGGCTGAGGCAGTAGAATCACTTGAACCCGAGAGGCAGAGGTTGCAGTGAGCCGAAATCATACCACTGCACTCCAGCCTGGGTGACAGAGCGAGACTCCGTGTCAAAAAAAAAAAAAAAAAAAGATGGCTGAGTTTATGTTTGATTTTGTAAAAAACCAAAATGATCAACTTGAAAGGTTAACATAATTTACATTTGCAACACATTTCAACAAAAACAAAAATATAAACGGCCTTTGTTTTGATGCATTCCCATAAGCCTTGTCAAATGTAGTAGTTTTGCGGCCTTCTCATTTCTCCTTGAGAGAGGTTACCACAGAAGAATGCTCTGCTTTCCTGGTAACCATTTCAGGGAAAACAACCCCTAGGCAGTACCATAAAATATAGTGAGTGTGCCTTGGCACAACAGTGAATTAATTTAAGGACAATATGCTTCATCTTTTCTGGTACTGTATTTACAATAGATAGGGAAATGGTTAATGCTCTCTACTCACTGAAAATCATTTATCAATACCTATATATAATAGATATTTATATATAATATCTATTATATATATATGAATATATATGAATATATGAATATATATGAATATATGAATATATATGAATATATATGAATATATATGAATATATATATGAAAATATATATATATATATATTCTCCCTCTCTCTTTTTTGAGATGGAGTCTCACTCTGTCACCTAGGCTGGAGTGCAGTGGCGCAATCTCGGCTCCCAGCAACCTCCACTTCCCAGGTTCAAGCGATTCTCCTGCCTCAGCCTCCTGAGTAGCTGGAATTACAAGCACATGCCACCACACCCAGCTGATTTTTGTATTTTTAGTAGAGACAGGGTTTCGCCATATTGGCCAAGCTGGTCTGGAACGCCTGACCTCAGGTGATCCACCTGCCTTGGCCTCCCAAAGTGCTGGGATTACAGGTGTGAGCCACCGTGTCTGGCCCTCACTGAATATGTTTTAATGCTCTGATTCATATTTCTTCAGTCCTGGGAACAGTCGGAGTTAAAGCAGTTACAGATTTTCATTTCTGCTTTTCATTTCTACTTACTTTTCAACATTAAAATAACACTGAACCATTTTCCTAGTTGATTTTGCAATCCAGAGATAGATTATAATTATTTACTATTTTGGTTGGTGTAAAAGCAAATAAAATAATTGACCCAGCAGAGGTTACGACAAATATTCTAAAAAGTAGGGAAAGTTGTATCAAAGTTCTCCTAAATCATCTTTTCTGAGAAAACACTAAATGGCAGATGATGCTGGTGCAAGGGGAGCACCAGAGGCCCCCAGGGGCCTGGGATGGGGAACCACTGTGGCTTCCGAGGAGACTTAGGCAGTGGCATCGGGGCCAGGGCCCCTGAGCTGAGGAGGCAAGGCTGAAGACAAGAGTGGATGCCAGTCACCAGGCTGGGCTGCCTGGTCAAGGATATAATTTTAAAAACATTGTTTTAAATAAAAACATAAAAAATTTCCCCTAAATTACAACCTCAAAAAAGAAAATAACCTCTACACATTATATAAGAAGGAATAGTTCTGTGGACCACATTCACATCAGTTTCTTGATCTGATATTATACTATAGCTTGCAAGACCTTACCATAGCAGGGGGTGAGGGACTGAGGTAGCAGCTCAGGGAATATCTTCCTGCATTTTTATATGTGGCTTCCTGTGAAACTATGGTTATCAGGATATTTTTTAAATTTTTTAAGTATAGATAAAATGATACTCACCTGAGCCACAATAGACAGAATTCCTACCATAGCTATGAATGCTGCAATTTTAACAGATCCAAAACCTATGACCTATGGAAATGAAATGAAAACACTTTAGTAATATAGATATTATAAAATAATAAGAAATATTATGTTCTATTACAATGATAAGTCTAGGAAAATTCATAAAACCAGTGGCAAATTAAGACATGCTGAAAGCTGAACCTATATAACCAGTAATTTATATCTAAAACTGATGTAAGAAATCGTTATAAGCAGGCACAACTTAAATTGTGAAATGTTTTATAGACATTTTCTATTATATGTCTACCTGTTGTTTTATATACCCTCTCCATCCCCAACCCACAAGTTGATAAATATGGTATCAAGTAATAAAAAATGAAACAAAATGACTGACTTTTGATGCTGCCAATACAGCATTGCTCATTAGCAAAGCCAGTGGCTCTCAACTTTGCCTGCACATTAAAATCATGATGTAAGCAAAAGACAAGGGATAAGGAGAGCAAGGGAAGGAGAGCAGTGAGATGCTGGAAGACCACTGGAGACCAGTTAAATCAGGCTCTCTGGCGGTATGACCCGGGCACAGGTATGTTTTAAAAGCTCCCATGGTGATTCTAATAAGCAGCCAAAGTAACCTGGCAATGATTTCTAAGCCTCTGACCGTAACAGTATCTCCGAAATGTCTACAACTTTTAAGACTTAAATATCAAGTTTTTTAAAAGTTACGTTATTTTGGGGCTAGGTGCAGTGGCTCACGCCTGTAATCCCAGCACTTTGGGAGGCCAAGGCAGGCGGATCATCAGGTCAGCAGTTCGAGACCAGCCTGACCAACATGGCGACACCCCGTCTCTACTAAAAATACAAAAAATTAGCTGGACGTGGTGGCGTGTGCCTGTAATCCCAGCTACTCAGGAGGCTGAGGCAGGAGACTAGCTTGAACCTGGAATGTAGAGGTTGCAGTGAGCCAAGATTGTGCCACTGTATTCCAGCCTGGGCGACAAAGTGAGACTCCATCTCAAAAAAAAAAAAAAGTTACATTATTTTGCCCTATATTAAAATTCAGGAAAAGGACCTTAAAAATTATGGGATTAAATTATATACATTATTCTCATTTCACAAATGAGTGTCTTGCTTCCAGGGACACAACTGGCTAATGAAAAGTCCTAGGGCTAGAACCTCTGGACAGCCAATCCAGTGCTGCTGACATTAACATTTTGTTTGAAGTTTTAAAAACTGGAACCGGAAAATGTAGATTTAGGGATTCTCAGCCTTTATTTGTAAATATATATTATTGTTAAAGAGCTTTATTAAGATAGAATTTAAATACCATACAATTCACCCATTTAAGTGTGTAGGTCAATGGTTTTAGTATATCCAAAGAGTTGTGCAACCATCAGCACAATCAAAAGTGATTTTCATCATTCCTCAAAGAAACGTAGCAGCCATTAGGAGTTCTACTCCCCTAACCTTCCCATCCCCCAACCGTTAGTCTACTTCCTGTCCCTATGGATTTGCCTATTCTGGGCATTTCACATAAATGAAATCATACAATGTGCAGTACTTTGTGACTGGCTTCTTTCTCTGAGCATGTCGTCAAGGTTCACCTATGTTGTAGCACGTATCTGTACTTCATTGCTTTTTACTGCTGAATAATTAACATTCTAATGTATAGGCATATTTGTTAATCCATTCATTAGCTGATAGACATTTGAGTTGATTCTACTTTCTAGACATTATGAATGATAATCTGTGTACAAGTTTCTGTGTTAGAAGTGTGTTTTCATGTCTCATGGGTATATATACCTAGGAGTATATTTGCTGAGTCATATGGTAACTATATGTTGAATATTTTGGGGAACTGCCAGGCTGTTTTCTTACAGCAGCTGTACCATTTTACATTCTCACCAGCAAGTATGAGGGCTCCGATTTCTCCACATCCTTGTCTGTCTTTTTGATAGCCATCCTAGAACATGTGAAATGGTTATCTCATTGTTGGTGTGACTTGCATGTCCTTGACGGCTAGTAATGTTATTCTTCTTTTCCTGTGCTTATTGGCCTTTTGTAGATCTTCTCTGCAAAATCCTTTGCCTATCTTTTCAACTGAGTTGTCTCTTTATTGTTGAGTTATTGTAAGATGCTATTAAGTCTTTTATTATAAGAGTTCTACATGTATTCTGGATACAAGTTATTTATCAAATATATGATCTTCAAATATCACATGCAAATTTAACTAAAATGTTAGTGTGTTAATTGTTCTTAGCAGCCAGCAATAATATAAAATAATATGGAATGATTCCGATTTGTCATAATTGGTGGTGGTGGTGACATGAGCATATGTGTAGGAGAAAAGCTAGAAGAATAAAATAGTCATAGTTGTTTATTACCTACATAAAGAGATGTAACTTTTTTTTTAGCTTTCTTCCTTGGACTGTCTCATCTTCCTACATTATTTTCTGTGTTAAATGCATATGTAATGTAATGCACAAATTAATTTAGACACAAGTATAATTTTCTACACTATCTCACCATTCTTCCCTCTAAATCTCTAGCATACAACCACCAAAAATGAACAAAAGAGAAATGCCTGGGAAAGATCGGGTGTAGTGGCTCATGCCTATAATCCCAGCATTTTGGGAGGCTGAAACAGGCAGATCACTTGAGACCAGGAGTTCAAGACCAGCCTGACCAACATGGTAAAACCCTGTCTCTACTAAAAATACAAAACTTAGCTGGGTGTGGTGGTGCATACCGATAATCCCAGCTGCTTGGCAGGCTGAGGCACAAGGATTTCTTGAACCCAGGAGACAGAGGCTGCAGCGAGCCAAGATCACGCCATTGCACTCCAGCCTGGGCAACAGAGCAAGACTCTTGTCTCCAATAAAAAAGTAAAAAGGTTTTATTTATATGCCACCACGTAAAATATTAGTCCCATACCCTCAGGAAAACTATCAGAATGAAGAATTTAATACACTTCATTTTTAAATACAACCAGAAAAAGAGGAATTTATCTTAGGAGGAAGCTTGCTGTGTCAAAGTAAACCATTAGGAAAAGGCCTGCCTTCCAATGAAATCAGTAAAAGACCACAGGATGCAATGGAAAGGCAGCTTAGGTCTGAGCAATCCCAGAGAGCTGAAGAACAGTTGAAAGGGGAAGTTTTTGGTTTTCTTTTTTTTAATTGCTTTAAGTCAATTATCTGTTTTGGGGGACAAAATAGGGTATAAATTTTTTTAAAGTGTAAAATACTCTAGAGAGGGAAGATTTTGATTAATGCTTTTGAGTCCCCCTGAAGTCCACAGCAGCAGTTGAGCTATGACCTACTGAAGGTGCCTCAGCAAGCTGGCTTCAATCAGACCTGGAACAAGGGCAGGTCTGAAATAAGTTTTATCTGTTAAATTTAATTAATATTATTAAAGATTAAAACATTACAGTACATGAATGTTACAGCAGCTTTATGCACAACTGTCAAAACTTTAAAGCAAGTAAGGTGTCGTTCAGTGGGTGAATGGATAAACTGGCAAATCCAAACAAATGCCAAAAACAAAATGAGCTATCAAGCCATGAAAGAACCTTAAATGCATATTATTAATTGAAAGAAACCAATCTGAAAAGGCTACATACTGTATGAAAAAAGGTAAAACTATGGAGACAATAAAGAGATCAGTGGTTGCCAGGGGTTGGTGGTGGAGGGAGAGATAAACAGGCATAGCATAAGGGATTTTTGCAGTGAAAATTCACTGTGTGATACTGTAAGGGTTGATACATGTTATCATGTCATCATACGTTTGTCCAAACCCATAGAATGTACAACACTAAGCATGAACCCTAATGTAAACTGTGGACTTTATGTTAAGATAATTTGTCAATGTAGGTTCATCAGTTGTAAAAATTTCCCACCCTCGTGGGAGATGTTGATAGTGGAGGAGGCTATGCATGTATGGGGATAGGGGATATATGGGAAATCTCTATATCTTACTCTCAATTTTGCTGTGAACCTAAAACTGTTCTAGAAAAATAGTCTATTTAAAAAAAAAAAAAAAAAAAACAGGCTGGGCACAGTGGCTCACGCCTGTAATCCCAGCATTTTGGGAGACCGAGGCGGGTGGATCACTTGAGGTCAGGAGTTCGAGACCAACCTGGCCAACACGGTGAAACCCTGTCTCTACTAAAAATACAAAAATTGGCTGGGCATGGTAGTGCACGCCTGTAATCCCAGCTACTCGGGAGGCTGAGACAGGAGAATCGCTTGAACTCAGAAGGTAGAGGTTGCAGTGAGCCAAGATCGTGCCATTGCACTCCAGCCTGGTGGACAAGAGCAAAACTCCGTCTCAAAAAAAAAAAAAGATAAATTATGTTTCTGCTAATTCTGGTTAATTCTCAAGAAAAAAAAATTTCCACAGTAATTATCTTACTATAAATCATTGCATTAAAGGTGCCCTGTTTACTAATTATATGCCAGCACCTACATTTGTAACTAGAAGCAAGTTCACATGTTTTTTCCTCTGCAGTGGTTTCCTCAAAATATCTTTAGACAAATCTCCATCTTTGATTTTCCTGGTATTGAAAGGCTACTAGCCACTCACTACTCACCTGCCTGAGATAGAGAAAAAAACTTGAATACTGTCCAGCTTCAGGAAGGTATGAAAGAAACACGGTGATGCAGATTAGTAAGACAGTAGAATCTTTTCCAACTTTCTTCAACGACTGAGAATAAGCAGAAAGAACACACTTAAAATGCCAATACACATTAATGTTGCCAATGTTCTGGGACATCAGCTTCATTATTTTGATCTATTAAGATGAATAACAAAAGTCAAATGGTTAATAAAAGGAAGTTCTATCACCATCTTTCTGAGGAAGTTACAAGTCTTAATTTCAGAGGTATATATTTCAAATCATATAGCTAAAAAAAAAAGCAAAAAAATAAACCCACAAAACACACTTACTCATCTTTGTTAACACACTGATTAAAATCCCTGAACAGATCCCGAACTTCCTATAAACAGAACCTGGAAATATATTCCTACAGAACCTTTTAAGAAAATCACTTCTCTCAATTCATAATGTAACTTCTTTAAAGCCATATTCAGTACAGAGCGTTTCCGTATAGGTAAATTCACTCTATTCTTCAAAGTGTTCATGTTCAACTTTTATATCTGGTAGACAAATAAGTACGCTCCAGCCATAAGGTCAAACTGGTAAGAACTTGTTGAATGTTACAACCTTGTTGAAAAATCCTTCTTACATACATTGGATTGTTGAATAGAACAAAATGGTAAGTTAATACCAAAGGAGTGGAAAGTGCTACAGAGCTTCTAGCTCATCAGACCATAGCTTTTATGTAATTAATAAGCAAAAGCAGCTAATGTTGTTGAGACTTTGCTGGGCAACAGACACTAGGCTAGTTAATTTACACACATTAACAGTAATCCCCACGATTGCCCGGAAAAGTAAGCCACAGTAGCTCTACTTCACAGAGGAGCTTTGATGCATAACTTGATCACTACAAAGGAAGGTGGGAAGCCTAACTGGCTGGCTCCCAACCCCACTACTGGCTTCCTTCTCTAAATATTTCTTTTGGTGTCTGACATTGTGACAATAATAGAACAGGCAGGATCCCTAGGTCATGCCCTCAGGGGGTATTTTAGAAAAAGTAATTTCTGATTGATTACATGAATTTTTCTGAAAGGTAAACTTGGGGGACGAAAAGCAGAAACCAAACTGCTGGTTCTTTTTTTGTCTACAAACTTTTTTTTTCCCCAAGAACAATTTCAAACCAGGTAGGGTAGAGAGAAGGTGAGAGATAAGATATGTTTTCCAGTGACACACCACCTTCCCATGCCAAAAAAGAAGGGGGTGGAAAAGGAGAGGAAAGGGAGGGAGGTAGAGAGGGAGAGAGAGACATATTATAGAAAACAATACTCAATCTGTAACAAACAAATTAAACGTCTCTGGTCAAAATTAAAATAACTCATTCAAACCAAAGGCATTTATCCTTTTTGAGTTAAAATGAGTGAAAATGACCACTTCAAATGACCACTTTCACTTATTTTGTTTAAAAAGGATGAAAACAACCATGCAAAAAGAAACTCTCTTCCCAAACTCTCACCAAGAATTAACTAGACATTTTCTCTCTCTTCGTTTATGACATGCTTAAGTACCAATTCTATATATTTCTTAATACAAAGACTAACTCAATCCCTTACTTGCAATTAATTTTTTCTATTTTTACTAAAGAAATAAGTCAACAACTGCTAGGATCCTTGAGGCTGCACATACATACTTTCATTTGCTTGGCTTAGAAAGACATTTAGGAAAGTAAATATTTCCATATTTTTATTTACCGCAAAAGGGTCTGCTTGTTTCCAAGAAATCTGAGCTCCCCAGGAAACCGGTCTCATTTTCTCAGGCAGAGATTCTGGAACAGCCACTAAGATGAAGCAGATGTCCAGAAGAGCCACCACTGTGGCCACCAGCACAACGAGGCTGTCTCCGTAACTGGCAGAAAGATATGCTCCAATGGCCGGGCTGCTGACAAGACTAGCCGCAAAGGTGGCTGAGACCTGTGGGAAAGCACACTCTCACCCAGGGTCCCATAGGTGAACACCTCTGGGGAAAGCATATCCTTACCCAGGTCTGCCTGCTGCAGGTGCACACCTTCAGGAAAGCACACTCAACCAGGGTCCCACAGGTGCATACCTGCAGCCATGCTTCCCTGGCTTTAAGTAAGACAAAAGAAATGTGTTGCATATAAATTTTAAGAATGAAAGAGAATTAAAGTGATTTAAGAATGTGTTCATAAACTATTAACTGGAGATACCCTGCAGAGCTACAAGAGTAAAAAAGGATTATCTTATTACAAACAAAAATTGTAAAAACCTTCCCCACAAATAAAACATTAGCTCTTTGGTCTTCTTTAACTGGGGACCGGGGATGTGAGATGGTATGAAAAGAATTCCTGCAGGGCTGATGATAAAACTTACAAACTACTCAAGTACTGTGCTTGATTTAATCTTCTAAAAACACTGCACTGTTTGAACATTTTATCATTTGGTGGTCATTTCATTAGCACTGCCTGGGGTCAGGGGGAACCCTCTGCTATTCTTAGAAAAAAACTATTAACAACAACAAAGAATTTGTTGAGGTGGAAGTTGAAGCTTTTTGACTAGACAGCTGTAGATTTCTGTCTCTCTGTCACCACCTGACCCTATCCAGTATAGAGACCACAGAGCCAGCTAAGCACACCCACAACCTGAAGCCACCTTGAGCCCCTTCACAGTGCACTCCTATAAGCATGTGGAATGTCCACTTTATTTTAGAACACAATCTGGATGGTCAGATGCTTATCGGGCAAACTCCAAATTATAACCACACTAAATGTCAAATGCATATCTATAAGTTAGCTTTTTAAACTTCTAATGGATTTTATTAAAAATCCCAAAATTTCTGGCAATAAAAAATTCTTTTTCATCCATCATCTCCCAACTGAATTAAAAAACACAGTATATCTGAAATTAGTATTATACTAAAAGTACTATAAAAGCTAAAACTCAAGTATTTTTGGAGGGGAAAAAAGAATGTGGAAAATTCCAATGTGGGGAATAGGAATCCTTTGTTCAATATTTACTGAGAATCTACTATGTACCAGATGAAGAAGACAAAGCTCTTGCCCTCAGGTTTTCCCACTTTATTCAAGAATATCAGGGCAACCAAATAACTGCATTATAAACTGCAACGACAAGCAAACAGTTATGGGAACATTCCTACACTCTTCTCAGGTGTTAAGGGGGCACTGCTGCAGCATCTTCAGGTGTTAAAGGGTCTATGGCCTCATGAAACTCTATGCAAAATGTGTCTATCTTAAAGCCTAAAGTAGCCTACTTGCTTAGTCTGTGTTTTTATCTAAACTCCTCTTTCACTTAACATTCAATACAACTCTGATGAATAAATCTAAAGAATGACTTCCCCACAACAAACTCTTAGTAAGTGTTAACTCACTTATTAACATGACTAATCATTGCCGTAGCCCTGAAAGAATTACCACTTTCTTGGTTTACTGAAGAAGTCTGAGTAAGGAAGGTGTACACATTTTTATACTGTTCTTTAATGGGTCTCAAAATGCTCCTTAGAACTTGACTGACACGTTCTGTAATTAATTGGCAATAAATTCTCCTATATCTAGAAGATAGGTAGACTGCAATCCAGGCAGCCTTGCATGCTGAGTTGCTTCTGCTGGCTGGGAGCACACTTCAGCTAAGTGCCGTCTCAGTCTGGATGTGTGCGCTCACTGATTGCTCTCAATGCCCCTGTGAGTAGATATTAACCCTAACTGCCATTATACAATGAGGAGCTGAGCTGGAGAGGGTAATTAAGTCACAGGCGCTTCTGGTTAGAACTCTCTTAAATCTTTCCTGAAAGCACTACTGCTCAGCACAACAGCTGTGTGAAGGGTTTCCCAGCTGAAAGCGAGAAACAAAAATCAAATATTGCAGAAAAATGAGTATCTCAACAGGTATTTCCCATGCTGTAGAAGAAAGCTGTCCCTCACTACTCTGTTGGCCAAGCCTTATGGGCACAACTTGAACAACCTACCTTCTTGTTTTTGTTTTTTCTTTTCTTTTTTTTGGCAGGGCGGGGGGAGGTTGTTAATTTTTGGAGTTTTGGGGGACATTTTTTTTTTTGAGGCGGGTCTGACCGTCGCCAGCCTGGAGTGTAGTGGCGCGATCTTGGCTCACTGCAACCTCTGCCTCCTGGGTTCAAGCAATTCTCCTGCCTCAGCCTCCCAGGTAGCTGAGATTACAAGCGCACACCACCACGCTCGGCTAATTTTTGTATTTTAGTAGAGACGGGGTTTCACCATGTTGGCCAGGATGGTCTCGATTTCTTGACCTCATGATCCGCCCCCACCTCAGCCTCTCAAAGTGCTGAGATTACAGGCGTGAGCCACCGCACCCGGCCTATTTTTGTTTTTGGTGTTCCTGAGTGAGCTCCAAATCTTGTCTTCTTCGAAGCTTTCCTATCAGCTTCTATCTTTGTCCTCCTCCATCACGACTCTGAAGATGCCCCTTTTTAGGGCATGACATGAGAGGGACATTCAGGAGTGGAGGGAAGAAGCAAGGAGAGAGAGAGAGGGAAGGTAGAAGAGTCAGAGGGAAGTGGGGTTGAAAGAGTAGTTTTCAAACTACTGATGTCTAAAGTCAACAAGTTAAAAATTGTTGTGTTTTGTGGAATAGTAGTAACCCATTTATATGCCCATCATTGATTCAGGAAGTTATTCATTCAGTCAGCAATGAATGAGAACTTACTCTACTCCAGGAAGTAGATTTAAAAGACCCAGGAAAAGGAGATAAATAACCTAAGTTTCTGGCATTCAATCTCCCTCCAACCTATTCCCCACAACCTAGCCAGATCATCTTTCTTCTTCCACTTTCTTATTCTGAATATTTTCAAATACAGAGGAAGACGGGAGAAGGGTACCAAGCATACTTCCATGTCTCACAGGTTCAGGCATGGAACACACATGCCCACACATGCACATCCACATGCTATGCTATCTTTTCCCCTGAAACATCTGAAAGTAACTGGCAGAGTCCTGACACTGATGTAAAACGCTTCAGCTATCTTCTAACAAGTCTTTCTTCTACATAATCATAATGCCATTATCATGCCTGAGAAAATCAGAAACACTGTCAGGTTTTAATTATCAGAAAAAAAGGTCTCCTATAACTTTTGTTATTCAGCAACTATGGATTTGATGAATGAGTGAATGTAGTCCTTTTCTACATACCATGTTCCAAATGTATGTCCAAAACACACAACCACTAATAGAGTTAACAATGGATTAACATTGCTGAGGTTCAGCACCTCTCCAAATTAGGTGCACAAAGAGCTTGTGCAACTTGACTGCTTAACGCTCCTCCGGGGATCAGATAACAAGAAACAAATCAAACTAATTTTTTAAAAAATTCAAATGTTCAATTGTAATCCCCAATGTTGAAGGTGGGGCCTGGTGGGAGGTGATTGGATCATGGGGGTAGTTTCTCATGAATGGCTTAGCACCACCTTCCTTGGTTGTTAATAGTAAGTGAGTTCTTGTGAGATCTGGCCGTTTAAAAGTGTGTAGCACCTCCCCCTTCACTCTCTCTTCCTCCTGCTCCAGTCATGTGAAGATGCCTGCTCTGGCTCTGCCTTCCATCATCATGAGTAAAAGCTCCCTGAGGCCTCCCCAGAAGCAGAAGCCTCTATGCCTCCTTTATAGCCTGCAGAACTGTGAGACAATTAAACCTCTTTTCTTTATAAATTACCCAGTCTCAGATATTTCTTTACAGCAGTGCAAGAAAGGACTAATAAACTCACTTTCCAGTAAATTTCTAATACAATGTTAATTACTATTCTGGTTAAAAAATATATATAGTCTATTATCTTACCCATCCATAAGCTGTACTTCGCTCGTGCTCCTGAGTGACATCAGCTACATAGGCAAATATAACAGAAAACGTGACCGAGAAGACTCCAGACACAGAAATCATCGCAAAATACCACCTATAAAAAGATTATTTTAATGACCCAAGGGAAAGGGAGTGTATGTTCACTTTCATTACCTGAGCCAAAGACATCATGTAAAGATTACGCACCAAGAAATAAGTATACTTGTATATGTATGTATACTTAAATATATCAAAAAAAATTTAAGTTAAGACAGGAAGAAGTAGAAACATTCTAATTTCATCATTGTTCAAAGGGGGTCAGTACATGCCCCCTAAAAAAACAAAAGAAGAGGAAAAACAAAGAATAAGGGGATTAGGTAAAAGTTATATTTTTAAAGGTAGCCAACAGACAGAAAAAAAACTTCTCAAATATCCTAGCTGTAAGTAAGGAAAAGACATACAACAAATGATTTGAAAAGATCTACATAAAAGCAGAAGTCATAATGAAAAATATTAGTGTACTTAAGACTAAAAATTTATATCATGTGATAGATGCTTTTTTTAAAAACCCAGTTTAAAATTAACAAAGAAAAACCTTATAGAACAAAAAGTGGGGTTTACTCCAGGATAGAAAAATATTTTAATATTTAAAAATCTATTAATATAATTATTCATTTTAGTAGCTCTAAAGAGAAAAGGTGGGCGGATCACGAGGTCAGGAGATTGAGACCATCCTGGCTAACATGGTGAAACCCTGTCTCTACTAAAAATGCAAAAACTTAGCCGGGCGTGGTGGTGGGCGCCTGTAGTCCCAGCTACTCAGGAGGCTGAGGCAGGAGAATGGTGTGAACCCGGGAGGCGGAGCTTGCAGTGAGCCAAGATCGCGCCACTGCACTCCAGCCTGGGCGACAGAGAGAGACTCCGTCTCAAAAAAAAAAATAAGAGAAAAGGCAAATAATATCCATTAATGCTATAAAGTCATCAAATAAAATCTGACATGTACTCTTAATGTTTTTTAAAAATCTGTGGATACAATAGGAATATTTTTCAGTCTAAAAACCAGCTTAACACCTAATGATGAAACATTACAATACTCCCTTTATATATATGAAGAAAATAAGCCCAAAATCTTCACTTTGATTTACTAATATTCATTAGTCAAAGCAATTAGCAAAAGCAGTGAGCAGTATGAAAACTGGAAGGAAAAAGAAAAAATTATTTACAGATGACATTAATATACCTAGAAAACCAAGCAATTAGAAGAGCTCATGTTGTAGCAGAACAAAAAGGATAAAATTTATAGGAACAAAACTTAAGAAATGTATAAGATCTAAAGAAAAAATATTAAGCCAAAAAAAGGACATTAAAAAGTCCCAACTCATTGGAAAAGCATGACATCTTGGACATAAAGACTCAATACCAAAAAATTCTTCAACTCGTAGAAAATAAAATGATTATAAGTACCCAATAAATTTAGAATGTGATAGGTGTTAGCATAAAATTCCTACCAAATAATCAAATGAAAATATTTTCACACGAGCTAAAAAAAAAAAAAAATCTATTAATAGGATTAAAAACCAAAACAAAACTTCCATATGTAAGTGTGTTCTTCACATAAGAAAGAGCATCTCTGCAATAGGAATACATACCAAAATACCATCTTCTGTTATCCAAAAAAAACAACTAAGTTACGGCTCACATGCAAATTCCAACCCACCTTTGGTAACTAAATGGGCTTTGGTCACATGCTAAATACTCTCCCGATTTATACAAAGAAAAAAAAAAAAAAATTGGGCTGCGCACTGTGGCTCACGCCTGTAATCCCAGCACTTTGGGAGGCCGAGGCAGGTGGATAACCAGGAGTCAGTTCAAGGGAAGCCTCACCAATATGGTGAGACCCCATCCCTACTAAAAATACAAAAATTAGCCGGGCGTCTGTAGTCCCAGCTACTCAGGAGGCTGAGGCAGGAGAATTGCTTGAACCTGGGAGGCGGAGGTTGCAGTAAGCCAAGATCGTGCCACTGCACTCCAGCCTAGTCAACAGGGCAAGACTCCGTCTCCAAAAAAAAAAAAAAAACGAACTCAAATTCACATTATTATTTAAAATAGGCTATCAGCCTTATTATGGTATATTTTAAAGTGACTCCCGCCTATTATGATATAAACTATGTTTGTGTCAGTGCCCCACAGCGATGAGCTGACAAAAATAATATATTTACAAAGTCAACTAAAAGTCACAGTAATGAAGACAGGATTGTTAGCCCATTCTCAGGGTTAAACTCCCATACCTGACATCATGGCAACATCAGCTGCCTGAAGAGGCATCTTTTATTTCTACTTCTTCACCTAAGTAACTTATCTCAGACTTAATTCTAGAATGTCTTCACTACCCCATTTATAAAATGGATATAATGACAACTGTCCAAACTGGTTTTCAGTATTACCAGAGAGATCAAATGAAAACACAAGCACAACTGCTTTGTAATAGTTAAGAAGTGCTCTGCAAATATAAGTATAATTTACATGTGACTCAAAACAAGCAGTCAGGAGGTGAAGGGCCAAGTCACTCACCATGGGCTGATCCTCATCAGTGGGATTGGGAAGCAGGTAAAGAATACAGTGCCGAGGAGAAAGGGCTTCCTCCCCCACACATCAGACAGGGCACCAATGAGTGGGGCACTCAAAAAAGAGAGCAGGCCCTGGAGAGGAAACCAAAGCAAAGGTTAGTTTTATAATCTGATCCCTCAATTACCTGTAATTCATATTTTCTAAATGCATTAGCTCTAATTCATTGTACTGCCCCCAAAACAGAATAATACTTTGAAACATTAAATACAAACTACAACTAAAAAAATAAAATTAGGCCTGGCGTGGTGGCTCATGCCTGTAATCCCAGCACTTTGGAAGGCCGAGGCGGGTGGATCACTTGAGGTCAGGAGTTCAAGACCAGTCTGGCCAACATGGTGAAACCTCGTCTCTACTAAAAATACAAAATTACAAAAAACTAGCCGGGCGTGGTGGCAGACGCCTGTAATCCCAGCTACTCAGGAGGCTGAGGCAGGAGAATCACTTGAACCCGAGAGGCAGAGGCTGCAGTGAACCAAGATCACGCCTTTGTACTCTAGGCTGGGCAACAAGAGCAAAACTGTTGTCTAATTAAAATAAAATCTAAAATAAAATTATAACCAAAAATGTAAATGTTCTATCAGAAAGGGAAGGAAGAAGTAAAAAAGCTTGTTTTCCAGAAGAAATTAGAAAAGAGCGATGACATGATATATATATACCCACATTTGACCCTTAAGACGAACACACACCAAGCATACGGGAAGAAGCTAGAAATTTGAATCACTTTAATAAATATATATGGCATATCAATTCTGCACAAAACTGCATTAACTGGTACAATGACACCCAAATGAATGTACACCATATACTATCCCCAGGGCCTCACAGGGATAAAGAAGAGGAGTGTACATATGCTTAATGATCAAAAGAAAACTAGATTCTTTGTCAACTTTGTCGATCAAAGTAAAGTTCTCTCTGCCTGATGAGTTTAGGAAGAAGGAGATAATCCAACCTGAACAACAACTACAGTTGAAACTAAGGGGAAGAGAGTCTGACATAGATAACACCACACAGAAGCAAAGGAAGTCAAGGAACTCACATTCACTGCTTGCCCACTATTTGCCAGTCACTCTGTTGGCTGGCCACCTTCATTTCAATGCTACAGATAAGCAGCAGGGTGGGGAGAGCAGGGATGGACAAGAGTAGAAAAATGCTGATGAATAATGAAATAGGTGATGAGTACACAGGTATTCATCACACTATTCTTTTGTGTATCTGAATTTTCATGATACATCTTAAAAATTCCTCAGCACATCACATAAATAGGACACTCCAAAACCCGGCTCCTGACACACATCCTCTGCTGTGGCTGCATGCGATACTTCCAGTTTTCTGGACATACAATGTTCCTGCGTGCCAACAGGCCTTTGCACGCACATCCATCCCACACTTGGAGCCTGGAAACTGCTAGTGATTCTTCCCAACCCTGGGAGAGAAGCACCTCCTCCTCTATCTAGTCTCTTAGCTCTTCTATTATAATTTCAGCACTCCATTAAATCACTTGTTATTTGTCTATCTTCTCTACTGGATTCAAAATTGAGATTAAGGTCAGAAGGATGACATTTCTTCTTATCTCTGTACCCGTGGTGCCTATCACAGGGCCTGGTAAACACTGGTTTTCAAATACGTTTGGTGAATTGAATAGAACTTTTCAGAGAAAATCAACTTACAGAAGTCTCCACGTTCACATAATTGGAAAGAAAAAGGAACAGATTCCAATCCCCTATCAGCCACCAACTGATTAACCCAGGACAGCAGACATAGGTAAACTGATAAGAGGAGGGACTCAAAGTGAAGCAGCTTCATTGTCTGGGGAAATACCTGCAGTTCATCATCTTGCACCAAGAAGATTAAGGACATGGGCACACATGGGTGGGTGAAGGAGGGGAAAGTTTAATAGGCAAATGAAAGAAGAGAGCTTCCTCGTACAAAAGAAGGATTATTATTAATACTTTATATAAAAGAAGCTGTGGGTAAGTTTAGCTTCAGGCATAGCTAGATGGACACAGGGAAGGAGTTGTTCATACAGTGTCATCTGGGTTCTCTCACCAATTCTTAGTAAGGTGTCTCAATGTAGTAAGCAGGACAGTTTTTGCAATCGTAGGCTTACTACAAGTTAAGTAACCCCAGTAGACTGAGAAAATCTCAATACCTCTAGCAGAAAATTCCTCTGGAGAAATATCACTGATCTAGTTTGGATCATTTGCCCATTGTCCATGCAACTAGTTTAAATCTCTACACAGCCAACCCTCTGTATATGGAGGCTCCGTATCTGTAGATTCATCCAATCATGGATGAAAAATATTTGGAAGAAAACAATTAAAAATAAGAACACAACAATAAAAAATACAAATTAAAAAATACAGTGTAACAACTATTTACACAGTATTAGGTATTATAAGTCATCTAGAGATGAATTAGAGTATAAGAAGACTGAGAATGAGTGGCCTAACAGGTAGAAAGAAAACTATGCTAGGTCAAGTGAAGAAAGCAAGTAAAGAAAGCCTTTTAAGAATGAAAAAGGGGCCAGGTATGGTGGCTCACGCCTGTAATCCCAGCACTCTGGGAGGTTGAGGCGGGCGGATCACCTGAGGTCAGGAGTTCAAGACCAGCCTGGCCATGGTGAAACCCCGTCTCTACTAAAAATACAAAATTAGCCAGGCATGGTGGTGCGCACCTCTAATCCCAGCTACTCGGGAGGCTAAGGCAGGAGAATCGCTTGAACCCAGGAGGCGGAGGTTGCAGTGAGCCGAGATCGTGCCATTGCACTCCAGCCTGGGCAACAAGAGCAAAACTCCATCTCAAAAAAAAAAAAAAAAAAAAAGAAGAAGGAAAAAGGTTCGGAATAATTCTGGTGGAAAAGTGAGTGTGGAAGTCTACTTGTAATGAATGTAAGATAGCATGGCAAAGAAAGAAATGGGGTAGTAGCCTGAGGAGAAAAGGAAAAGAGGTTTTGTTTTTAGATTGGAGAACTAGAATGCTTGTATGCTGGTAGGAATAATTTAGAGGGAAAATTTAAAACACTGGGGAAAAAAGGCATAACTGCTGAATTCTTGAGAATGGATGAGATATGTGAAGAAGCTGGCTTTAGCAAGGAACAAGGACAGTTCATCCTTAGAAACAGGAGAGGAGGTAGAGTATACGAGAACAGATGCATGTAGGTGGATAGTAGATGTGGTGATGGGAGACTGAAATTTCTCTTTGCATTGCTTCTATTTATTTAGTGACACAGTTAAGGTCATTAGATGGTGGAAAAGGTATTGCCTACAGAGTAGCTGGAGAATTAAATTTTCAAGCGTTGGGGTTTAGCCAACCAAGTGTGACAGAGTAAAAAGAGGGCACGCTTTATATGCAAAGCAGTAATTATAATGATTGACCACAGAATTTAAGCCAAGAAAGATGAAAGTGAGGATACAGGGGCAGGGGTGACAGTGAAAGGCAGGTAGGATGGGTTTTCAGTGCTGATATACTGAGCTGTAGTAAAAAATAGAGTAAGCTAGAATGGTAAGGAGGTAGTGGTTGAATACTAGGATATACAGAGAAACAGTATGTATAATAGTTAGAGTTTGGATGCTGGAAGCAATACTTTTTGGGATAAAATTCTGGTTTGAGCAATTGCAGCTGTGAAACAATGGGCAAATTATTTATCTTTCTCTCTCAATTTACTTACCTATGAAAGGGAATAATGAGTACCTATCTCTTAGAAAGTTTGCCATTATTAATACTGTGTAATGGTTAGAGTTATTATAAGTGAATGGCTAACAGGGTGGAGTGAAATAGATCAAGGAAATGAAAGACCACTATTATTGGAAGGATAATCTGTGTGGATATTGAAACCACCAAGAAATAAGACAGGTCTTTGCTGGACACAGTGGCTCACGCCTGTAATCCCAGCACTTTGGGAGGCTGAGGCGGGAGGATCACGAGGTCAAGAGTTTGAGACCAGCCTGGCGAACATGGTGAAACCCCGTCTCTACTAAAAATACAAAAATTAGCCAGGTGTGGTGGTGTGTGCCTGTAATCTCAGCTACTTGGGAGTCTGAGGCAGGAGAATCACTTGAACCCGGACAGCGGGGAGTTGCAGCAAGCTGAGATCGCACCACTGCACCCCAGCCTAGGTGACAGGGTGGGACTCCGTCTCAAAAAATAAAAAAGACAAGTCTTGAATATTGCTAAAATTTCCTATTCAGCCACTGGTAGGATTATATTGTTGCACATTAGTGGTAAACACAAATTACCTAAATTTGGTCATAATAGTTGTTAAAAACAAAATTTTTAAAGTATTGATTTTAAAACTATTTAAGTTTAATGTAGAATATTTTTTGCTAAATTTAAAATTTTACCCTAATTGTTATTTCACAATTTTTTCTTTTATATTTGTAGAATATACTTCAACAACAGCAACAAAAGGTTTCTCAACAATCTAGAATTGTTCAGAGTGAGACTGAAAAGTTGTATTAGCAGTTCATAAAGGTCTGTTGTATGTGGCAACACAATACATTGTTATAAAGCATAATGTATTTATGGAAGTAGAAGGTAGTTCTTTCCAAGTTTATGAGAAAAATCATTTCAGATTTTTAACTACTTTCCATTTTGAATTCATTGTTTCTTTCCAAGTTTATGAGAAAAAACATTTCAGATTTTTAACTACTTTCCATTCTGAATTCGTTGTTTCTGATGTAAGTAATAAATGTATTTTTACTTTAGGATTCTAATGGTTTTGTGAGGATTATTCCAAACAAAAGAGTGGCAAATTGGGAATTTTATTTAGAAATGTACTTATGCATAAACTCTGTATGCTACTAATACTTTAGTCATAGTTCTCTGTTTTAACTGGAAACAGAAAGTCTGTAAATCGTGTCTAGGTTGTGTTTCACTTGTTTATGTATCCAGTGTTTGTTAAATAATAAAAAGTACCCAAATGGGAGGATGTCTCTGGCACACCCAGCTAATTTTGCATTTTTAGTAAAGACAGGGTTTCTCGATGTTGGTCAGGCTGGTCTCAAACTCCCAACCTCAGGTGATCCGCCCACCTCGGCCTCCCAAAGTGCTGGGATTACAGGCATGAGCCACCGTGCCCGACCTACCCTGACCTTTTTTTTACGCAATGTGTCCTTCTGAACACTGTAGACCAAGCCCCAGAAGCTGCACCTGTGGGAAAGGCTGTATTTGTTATTTGTAGTCAGTCCAGGGGGATCCGAGGGCCACAGTGGCTGCCAGTGTGGGACAGAGCGAGGGGGCAAGCCCAGAGTGTTCAGCCATGGCTGAGCTGTACACCAGCACCATGGTAGCCATCCCACCAATATGCCACATGGCCTGGCCTGCACGGCAAGCTGCTCAGTGGCCCTGCGCATTGTGTACCGTCTCAAGGGCTGCAGGAAGGCCAAGTTACTGGCTGTATGAGAGTAGCACCCCAGGAGCTCCTGAAAGACCTAGTGCCAGGACCAGTGTCCCTGGTGATGGAACGTTCAGAGGAGCTCAACAACGACCTAAACCCCTTTACTCCTCTTACAAGGTATCCGGATTCCTGATTATGCCTTTATGCAAGACTTGGCCAAGATGTATGAGCATCCTCTTGCTCTCACTAGTGCCAACCTCAGCTCCCAGGACAGTTCTCTGAATGCCATGGAGTTATAAGACCTCTGGCCTCAGTTGTCCTTGGTCATTGATGGGGGACAAACTAGGGATAGCCAGATCCCTGAGTGTTACCTTGGCTCAACTGTGGTTGACTTATCTGTGCATAGAAAGTTTGGCATCATTCGTCCAGGCTGTGTCCTGGAAAGTACTACAGCCTTCCTTCAACAGAGGTATGGGTTGCACCCCTCATGTGCATCCTACTTGTGAAACTCAGGAAGCAGGAAGGCCCATGGCCTGGTGCTGGACACTCTGTGTCCGTCCACTGATAATTGCCAAGCCCTCATTTGCAGAAGCCACTGGAGCTCCTGCAGTAGTCTGACTTTTTTTTCTTTTTTCTGAGACGGAGTTTCGTTCTTGTTGCCCAGGCTGGAGTGCAATGGCACGATCTCGGCTCACTGCAACCTCCGTCTCCCAGGTTCAAGCAATTCTCCTGCCTCAGCCTCCCAAGTAGCTGGGGTTACAGGCATGCACCACCACAACCGGCTAATTTTGCATTTTTAGTAGAGACAGGGTTTCTCCATGTTGGTCAGGCTGGTCTCAAACTCCCAACCTCAGGTGATCAGCCCACCTCGGCCTCCCAAAGTGCTGGGATTACAGGCGTGAGCCACTGCGTCTGACCTAGCCTGACTTTTTTTTAATGCAATGTGTCTTTCTGAACACTGTAGACCAATCCCCAGAAGCTGCACCTGTGGGAAAGGCTATATTTAATATTTGTAGTCTCATATATCAGCCAAAAGCTGAACGGAGAGATTAACAACATTCCTAGGTGGCATTATTCTAATAAGTTTATTTTTTTAATTGAAAAGTAATTTAAATAGCAGATGTAGAATCTAATGAGAGCCTCCTCTCTGCTGGGTGGTAGCATTCAAAATGGTTCAGACCAGCTACAAGTGCCAATGCTGTTTAAAAAGTCTCAGGTGACCAAAGGCATGGGTTGGCCTCCTGAAGCTGGAACCAGGTAGAGCCACGGGCCAAACACTCTCTCCTCTGAACCAGTGGAGCTAGTGGTGTCAAATACTGTAATTGCTGGTGGGGAGAGCAGTCATTTTGATCTAACGCTGGGACGTCGGCTCAGTTGGTGGGGGTGGTCCAAATTAAAGAATATTGAGAAATAAATCTCCACTATCCTTTTCAGCCAGGGACTTTTTTCTTATTTATTCATAAATTAAGTTGTAGTTATACCTATAACACTTTTATCTAAGTCCAGTGTTCTCAGTAGCCTTTGGTCTATTTATGTGTACTAAGTGTTCAACATAATTACTGTTGGGCATTTTAACTTGGCTTTTCTTTAGTAAAAAGACATACAGCTATAAAAAAAAAAGTACCCAAATGATAAAAAATAAATAAAATGCCGTTTTACATATAAATATCCTCAAATTATTTTTGAAAACAGGCAAATAATAAATATGATTTATTAATATTTAACATTATTTATTATATGAATGTTTTTTAAGAGCTATGAAAATAACGAACTACAATGGCTAAATTCAGCACATTACTAGGGCATAATTTTTTTTTTTTTTTTGAGACGGAGTCTCGCTCCGTCGCCCAGGCTGGAGTGCAGTGGCACAATCTCAGCTCACTGCAACCTCCATCTCCCAGGTTCAAGTGATTCTCTTTCCTCAGCCTCCCCAGTAGCTGGGACTACAGGGGCCCGCCACCACGACCAGCTAATTTTTTGTATTTTTGGTAGAGATGGAGTTTCACCATGTTAAGCCAGGATGGTCTCGATCTCCTGATCTCGTGATCCGCCTGCCTTGGCCTCCCAAAGTGCTGGGATTACAGGCGTGAGCCACCGCGTGCAGCCTTGGGAATAATTTTAAGTATGTTGTTCAGTACAACGTATAATTATGCATAGATTGACATTATCTAAACTGGAAAGCACAAATTAGACCCTATACTCATATGCTTTACTATAAGAGACTAAAAAATACTATTATACTTTAAACTCCTATTTAACTCTTTTCCTATTTAGAAAAAACAAGTGCAGCTCACTGCCAGCATTCATATGATTTTACATACACATACTCTTTGAGGCTGAAGCAAATATGATTGATTTTTCAATGTGAAAATAAAATATAAAAAGTGTTCTTGGAGTTATTTCTAAACAGAACTAACATCAGAATCACCTGAATCATCAGAATTGTCTATTTCAAAAAACTGGATTCATCAAATGAATCTTCAGCCGGTAACTGTTCGAGAACAATGTTAACATCACAGGTAGAAGTGCTGCGTTTTCTAGGACTTGACATTTTCAGTGATAGAGTGTTACTGTAGTTTGTAACTGGAAACACCACTACTAAAAACAGAATACAGGCCAGGCGCAGTGGCTCATGCCTGTGATTGCAAGACTGTGGGAGGCCAAGGCGGGCAGATCACTTGAGGTCAGCAGTTCGAGACCAGCCTGGCCAACATGGTGAAACCCCATCTCTACTAAAATTACAAAAATTAGCTGAGCGTAGTGGTGGGCACCTGAAATCCCAGCTACTCAGAAGACTAAGGCAGGAGAATCACTCGAACCCGGGAGGTGGAGGTTGCAGTAGGCTGAGATCACACCACTGCACTCCAGCCTGGGCAACAGAGCGAGACTCCATCTCAAAAAAAAAAAAAAAAATTATTTAAAAGAATGAGGAACAGTCAGGCGCGGTGGTTCACGCCTGTAATCCCAGCACTTTGGGAGGCCAAGGCAGGCAGATCACGAGGTCAAGAGATCGAGACCATCCTGACCAACATGGTGAAATCCTGTCTCTACTAAAAATACAAAAATCAGCTGGGCGTGGTGGTGCATGCCTAGTCCCAGCTACTCGGGAGGCTGAGGCAGGAGAATTGCTTGAACCCGGGAGGCGGATGCTGCAGTGAGCCGAGATCTCACCACACTGCACTCCAGCCTGGTGACAGAGCGAGACTCCATCTCAAAAAAAAAAAAAATAAAATAAAGAATGAGGAAAAAGAATGCTATCAATAGAATGATGTCTTTTGTTTCCAAAGTCTATATACTAAAGCAATGCAAAAATAATAATAAAAGCAACATGTTTTGTGGCAAAGTTATCTTGGAGTAAATGCAGCACCGCTGGCGAGTATTCTCGGTGCAAACAGGAAAACGGTTTAAAGCCGTTTTTATATATATCATATTAAAATCGACATAATGAATTAAGACTAATTAAATCAAGTGGCTGAGTTATTACAAAGCCATGGCCAGTGTTACCAGCTCGGCTTCCTTCTTCCTCAGATATACTTCTTTTTAGTATACCTAAAAAGATGATGGTAGCAATTGCCCACTTTATTCTGTTGATAGGCAGAGAAGTTAAAAGTTACATAATAATTAAGCCCTTTTGTGTACACAATAATAAAAATGAAGTTAGGCCTATAGAGTATTCACACTGCTATTTGCCAGTAAACCATTCTATGCCTTATGTATTTGTGTTGTATTTTAAAGTGACTTTTAATAACCCAGCTAAAAATTTAGATTTCAGCCTCCAGAACAAATAGTATTTGTTTCCCAAAGTCCCACTAAAACTTCCAGAGTTAAACTACCAAGGATTCCTGACTTTGGTTCATTACAAACCACATAAAAATTTTTTCTTACCTTTACACCTTGAATGAGACCATTCATGAGGAATGTGTGTTGAGAAAATGTTTCATGTAGAACCTACAAAAAGCAAACAAACATCAAGACAAATTCAAATTTAAGTTAAAGGAAAAATTTTCTGCCTCTTTTAATGGCATGCTACATAAATGAGCCCTGCAATGAAAAATTATAAAATATCAACAAAATTCAAAAAAATAAACAAACAAACTGTGGTACATCCAGACTATCACTAAAAAGAAATGAGCTACCAAGCCACTAAAAAACATGGAGGAACCTCAAATGCACATAGTTAAGTGAAACAAACCAATCTGAAAAGGCTACATATTGTATTGTATAATTCCAAGTATATGACATTCTGGAAAAGGTAAAACTATGGAAACGATAAAAAGATCAGTGGTGGCCAGGGACTGTGAAGGAGGGAGGGATGAATAGGCAGAGCACAGGGGATTTTTAGGGCAATGAAAATGCTTTGTATGATACTATGATGGTGGATACATGCATTATGTATTTATCAAAACTCAGCATATAGAATACCAAGAGTGAAACCTAAACTACAGAATTTGGGTGATAACAGTATGTCAATGTAAGTTCATCAAATAAAACAAATGTACCCCTTTAGAAAGGAATGTCCATAGTAAAAAAAAAAAAGGGGGGGGGGTATGCATATGTAGGGAAGGGATACAGGGGAAATCTCTGTACCTTCCTCTCAATTTTGCTGTGAACCTTAAATGACTCTTTAAAAAATTAAGTCTTTAAAAAACGGAAATTAAAATCTACTCACAAATTATTTCCAACCTTTCCTCTAACAACATTATTTTTAAGGTTTAGAAAAAGTTTGTCATCTCAGCTACTGACATTTGAACTCTACCTGCCTGTACTGAAGAAAAAGAAAAGCAAATGAAGGACACCAAATATTTCAAGTGAAATACCAAAGTTATAAGAAAAAATCTTCCAAAAATAATAAATGTAAGTCACAGAGATACAGACATTTTCTTTAAAGAATATAAAGACTAGAACTGTTGAATAACTTGATTTGTCACATGCATCACAAAAACATGGTAAAATGCAAAACAAAAACGTATTTTTAAAAAATGCTTATCGGATCATGTCAACTTTTTTTTTTTTTTGGAGATGGAGTCTCACTCTTCGCCAGGCTGGAGTGCAGTGGTACAATCTCAGCTCACTGCAACCCCCGCCTCTCAGGTTCAAGCGATTCTCCTTGCCTCATCCTCCCGAGTAGCTGGGACTACAGGAACCTGCCACCATGCCCAGCTAATTTTTGTATTTTTGGTAGAGGTGGAGTTTCACCATATTGGCCAGGCTGGTCTTGAACTCCTGACCTTGTGATCCATCCACCTTGGCCTCCCAAAGTGTTGGGATTACAGGCGTGAGCCACTGCTCCCGGCCTGATCATGTCCATTATTAACCCATTGTCTCTCAGTCCCACATTCTCCCTTCTATACTCTATCAGATCAGAGATAAGAGACTATGGACATTCCTCTGACTCCCTTTCCCCACAGGCTTCCTCTTAGTTTCTTTCAGTGGGAAATACAGGGTGGAGTGAGTGCTGGTCAACACTGCACCAACACCTCCAGGGTTCTCTCATGCTGTCAAAGGAGCAGCAGTGCTGATCCTTCCCTGCCCCCACCTCAAACCTCACCCTCTCAACCTCAGACCACTGCTAGAATTCTACATGGAAAATGATGCAAACCTGCATTCCCTTTGTACAGGTGATGCAGTTTAGGAATAAGAGATCATCATTTTAATTTGGCAAAACCGTATCTATGGATGAATGACAAAATACATACTTAATGAGTTGCACACTAAATAGATCTCATGTAATTTCTGACCATATGGGCCCATTTCTGAGCAATCAAGCTACCATGCAGGCAATTCCTCTAAAAATGTTCAATCCATGCTTTTAAAAACTTTTCTACTGTTTTCTACCTACCCTCCCCCAAAAAAGGAAACAGTGAAATCTTACTAAAGAAAAAAGTAAAACAAGTCAATAATAATTTTAAAAGGCTAACCTTCATAAAATAAAGCAGTTGTAAATAAAACATATATTCTACTCAGGCTTATGATAAAGTTTAAAAACCAAAATAAAGTATGTAAATAATTTAGCTACAAAAGGCAACAAATGTTATCAGAATAAAGTAAACCTAATAATAAAAGGTGTATTAAATATCTCAGAGAAGATCAAAGCTTTCATTTTTAACATCTCTGTATGAAAAAAAATCTCAAGCTTAGCCAGGCACAGTGGCATACACCTGTAATCCTAGCTACTGAGGAAGCTGAAGTGGGAAGATTGCCTTGAGCCCGGAAGATCAAGTCTGCAGTGAGCTATGATTGCACCACTGCACTCTAGCCTGGGCAACAGAGCAAGACCTTGTATCTATCTATCTATCTAAATAAATAAATAAAAATAACTCAAGGAAAATATCCCCTTTAAGTATTCTTGAGAAGGACTACAGTAAACATAAAATAAAATGGCATTTGCCTGAAAAAAATAGGAAACATTTTAAAAGAAAAAAATGACACTTGCTTATCACTTTTAAAACAATAACTATAAAGTTTTAAGAAATGAACTGTCTTCCAGTACAACAAAGCTTAGAAATATCTACATGTAATAAACATACACAGAGCTGTGTTTCTCCACTTCCACAGATATAACAGAAAAAACATGAAATTAAATTTACAGCATTCCTAGAAAGCCAAGAATCATAAGGCGCTTCTGGATGATACAGAACAGATGAGAAAAGACTGACAACAAAAAAAGAGCTGAAGAAAAGTAGCACTTGAAGATGAAAGAGAAGACCTTGAAGAAGTTCATTTTCCAGAACCCAGAAAGAAACCTCCCAAATCAGAGGAGTAGGAAAAAATAGCCATAAATGAAAGGGTACTAAAAGGTCACAAAGTAAGCTCCCTGGTGTCTTCCTCTCAAAGCTGCTGACCTACAGATATGGCACCAGGATAACAATCACAAGCACAGTTCTCTGAAAACTGTGGGACTTCTAAGTGGGATACTTGCAGGATTGAACGGAATGAGATTCAAAAAGGACGGTGCCCCAGATCTCTTATGGCTGCCAAAAGTGCACAAAGTCCTATGACCACATAATCCTATAGAGTACTTCAGTACTCTAGAATATCCACACTTTCACAGAGCAAGAGGGCCTATAACCAGTCCCTGCATTAAATTTTAGGGAATAAGGCTTTCCACCTGGGCTGAAGAACTACACTCTTAGTAACCACAGGTATCTAGACTACAGGTGGAAAACTGGCTACAGCCTGACTGTAAACTTGAAACAGCCTTTGCAAAATTATGACTGAGACAGTGAAAGATCTAACTTAACCGACTCCATCTTACTTCTAACCTCCAAGCTGTCCTTGTTCATTCCTGGGCATAGCATGAACTTTGGGAGAAACTTAGTTTATAGTTTTTTAAAACAAAGACAGTAATAGCCCTTTCCCAAAGCAGACCTCCTTCTTGCCTGGAGACTAGACTGCCTTTGTAGGACCAACATTAGCCACAAGATTAGAAATTATGGTTTACGAATCAGGTAGCTAGAGGCTACAGGATTCTGACCCTCCCCAAACTGCTCCTAATATCACTGCTTGAGATATTTTGCAGACCCTGCACTTAATGGATCAGCTGGCACCACCCAGATCGATAAACTGGCTCATCTGATCTTGTGGCCCCAACTCAGGAACTGACTCAACTCAAGAAGACAGCTTCAACGCCCCATGATTTCATCCATGACCAATTCTGTAGTGTGGCTCATTTTCCTCAAGACTGCCTTAGTCTAAGCCTTTTTTATGTCTCCATATATTTTATAATCAGCTCTTCAATAGCCACAAAATAACTTGCGAAGAATTTTGATTATGATTGCATTGACCACAGAATAATTGGGAAAGAACAGACATACTGTCTTTTTGTTGTTGTTTGATTCAAAGTCTCACTCTGTCACCCAGGCTCAGGTGCAGTGGCACGATCTCGGCTCACCACAACCTCCACCTCCCGGGTTCAAGCGATTCTCCTGCCTCAACCTCCCGAGTAGCTGGGATTACAGGAGTGCGTCACCATGCCTGGTTAATTTAGTAGATATGGGGTTTCGCCGAGGTTGATCTTGAACAAGATAGGGAAACAGATGTCATTACACAAATACCACAGTAAAAACTGTTGCAGACAAGCATTTATGGATGCTAAAATTAGTAGGACAACAGAAAAGGAACAAGATATCTGGACAGTCTCAAAGTATTTCTCCACAACATACTCACTTGAGACCAGGAGTTCAAGACCAGCCTCGCTGAAACCCGATATTTATTATTTAAAAAAAAAAAAAAAGCCAGTTGTGGTGGCACACGCCTGTAGTCCCAGCTACTCAGGAGGTCGGGGCAGGAGAATCACTTGAACCCAGGAGGCAGAGGTTGCAGTGAGCTGAGATCTAGCCACTGCACCCCAGCCTGGGCAACAGAGTGAGACTCTCAATCAAAGAATAAAAAAAAAAAAAAAAAAAAAAAGCAGAAAACAATATGTCCATTCTTCCACAATCAATCTATAGTCAATGCAATCATAATAAAAATTCTTAGCAGATTATTTTGTGGGTATTGAAGAGCTGATTATAAAATATATATATACAGACATAAAAAAGGCTTAGACCAAGGCAATCTTGAGGAAAATGAACCACACTAAGGAATTTATACAAGATATTATGGCTGGGCGCAGTGGCTCACACCTGCAATCCCAGCACTTTGGGAAACTGAGGCAGGCAGATAACCTGAGGTCAGGAGTTCGAGACCAGCCTGGCCAACATGGTGAAACCCAGTATCTACTAAAAATACAAAAATTAGCCAGGCATGGTGGTGCATGCCTGTTATTCCAGCTACTCAGGAGGCTAAAGCAGGAGAATCACTTGAACCCAGAAGGCGGAGGTTGCAGTGAGCCGAGATCGCACCACTGCACTCCAGCCTGGGTGATAGAGTGAGACTCCATTGCTCCCCCCTCCGCCAAAAAAAAACATATTACTATAGAAGTTAACACAGGATGGTGTTGGCACAAGGAAATATAGCTCAACAGAATACTAAAAAATTTAGAAACAAACCCATATATGGACGGTTGTCTCATTTATGACAAAGGTGACACAGTACAGTGGGGAAAGAAGAATTTTTTCAATAAATGATGCTGGTTCAACTATATATTCTTCTGCAACCAAAGTGAATACTGACCCCCTACCAAACACAATGATCTTTCTGGATGATAGGACTACATGAGAACAATAAACCAATTAAGGTTTGTGGTAGAAAAAGTTGTCTTAAACAGGATTTTTTAAAAACACTAACCATAAGCAAAAATAAATTCAACTACATAAAAACTTAAATTCAATTAAAATTAGTGTCATCCAAAGGCATTAAGAGAACAGAAAGGCCCTGACATTGAAGAATTCAGGTGAAGATGCCACCATTCTTGAACTCTGAAAGCCAAACTAGAATCTTCAGAGCAGCCTCAGTCTTAAAATTCAAGCTTCTTTTTCCTACTTTTTATTTCAGTGATATTTAGGACACTCTATATTTCATAAGAGTTATGATCTAACTGGCTCTATAAGCCCAAGTATAAAAATCCTTACCACCTAGCAAGAGACCCACAGAACTAGTCAGTAGTAAGACTGAGGTCACATATTGGAAAAAATATACTAGACCAGGGTTATACACAGGGACCATCCAGCAATAAAGATGTTGCTGGCAAGTAACCATAGTGGTGGGTGACCACTAGCGAAAAGGGCTGAAGAGACCTCAGAAGGTTATCCGGGTTATCTGGGTAGACCTATGTCTTTTTCCATGCCCGAGGGTCACGACGTCACTATGCAGGGCACACGTGGCTTGGTTTAAAGGTCACCTTAATCGTAGCAAATGTAATAAATATTTTTTAGATCCTGAAATTTATAATAAAAATACTTTCCTGCCTACCCTGAAAAAAAAAAAAAAAGAGAGAGAGAGAACAGAAAGGCAATCCCAGGCTGGGCATTCTGGCTCACATCTGTAATCCCAGCACTTTGGGAAGTCAAGGCAGGCAGATCACTTGAGGTCAGGAGTTCAAGATCAGCCTGCCCAACATGGTGAAACCCCATCTCTACTAAAAATACAAAAATTAGCCAGGCTTGGTGGCACGCGCCTGTATTCCAAACTACTTGGGAGGCTGAGGCAGGGGAACTGCTTGAACCCGGGAGGCAGACATTGCAGTGAACCGATATCGCACCACTGCACACTCCAGCCTAGGCAACAAGAGCAAGACTCCATCTAGAAAAAAAAAAAAAAAGGAAGAAAGACAATCCAAGAATAAGGAAAATATATCAATAATAAGTATATGTGTGCGTATAGAGACAAACGTACACATGAAAAAAATTGTACCTAGAATATATAAAGAACTCCTACAAATAAGAAAAAGGGACACAACCCAATTTTTTAAAAACTGATGAAACACATGAACTGACACTTAACAAAAAGATATTCACATGGCCAATAAATATATGTTATACGTAAAGGGGGTTAACTTCATTGGTCGTTAGGAATATGCAAATTAAGACCATAATGTACCTACCAGAATTCAAATTGCTGGTGAAGACATGGAGTCTGCCTGGCTGAAGAGTAAATTGTTCACCCACTCTGGAAAACTTTTAGCACTACATAGTGATGCTGAACACAACCATGCAATTTTACTCCCAGATATATACCCCAAGAAACACGTATACATGTTCACCAAAAGATATATACAAGAAATATTACAACAGCAATATTTGTAATAGGCAAAAACCAGAAACCCAAATGTCCAACAGCAGAATGGATTTGTGTCAATAGACTCCAGGACCATCTCTAAGTTCAGCAATTTGCTAAGAGGATTCCAGGACTCTGAAACTGTTATACTTACAGTTTATTACAGCAAAAGGACACAAAGCAAAATCAGCAAAGGCAAAAGGGACATCAGGCAAAGTCTGGAGGAAGCCAGGTGCATGCTTCTAAGAGTCCTCTCCCAGTGGAGTCACACATAAAGCATTTAATCCCTCCAGCAATAAACTGTAACAATGGCCAGGCACAGTAGCTCAAGCACTTTGGGAGTCCGAAGCGGGTGAATCACTTGACGCCAGGAGTTTGAGACCAGTCTGGCCAACATGGCGAAACCCCATCTCTACTAAAAATACAAAAACTAGCCGGGACTCGGGAGGCTGAGGCAGGAGAATCACTTGAACCCAGGAGGCGGAGCTGCTGTGAGCCGAGATAGCGCAACTGCACTCCAGCCTGGGCAACAGAGCCAGGCTCTGTCTCGGAGGAAAAGAAAAGAAAAAGAGAAACTATAACAACATTATGTGAAGTGTTGTCTGCTATGGAAGCTCACAAAAGCCTAGGAGTCCAGGGTTTTTCTTGGTGGGTGATCTTCAAGGTACACAATGAATGACCAGCTACCAAAGCTCTCTAGTTCACGAGAAGGAAAGGTGTTCACCATAAATAATGCTGTTTGCACAAACTGGAACAATCAAGTTCAAAGATTCAATCACACAAAACGCAAAATATTCCAAGAGCTCAATTCTGGCCTGTCAAGGAACAGTCACAGAAAATGGTCCTCTTGGGAACATGAAAGACTTGAGCAACTTGGGCCTGCTGAATTAATCCTTTCCTGCCCAAGATAACAGAAAATCATATGTGGTTATGTAAGAACACACTATACAACAATGAAATGTTGCTACATACAACATGGATTAATCTCATAAACGTACTAAGCCAAAAAAGCCAGACAACAAAGAGTATACATTGTATGATTCCACTTATATAATATTAAACACACAAACACAAAGGCCAAACTGTCACATTAGAAATGTGACAAGGACAGAAATTACTTAGGATTGTTTCTGGGAGTGTGGTACAGTACTGGATATATAAGTGTACTTACTGTATAAAAATTCATCAAGCTGTGTATTTATAATTTGTACATCTTTCTGTACACATTATACTTCCATTAAAAGCTTACACAAAAAGGTATCTGGTTCCTATTTTATTTTAGCCATGAGGAAACTTTAGGAAAATATATCATTCTATAGAATCATATTTTCCTCAGATCAAACTCCTACACAGCTCAAAATCCTATAATTTTATATTGCGAGGGTAGGAGAACAGCTTTCCTATTTTCTAGTTTTTAGGACAATCAGGGAAATACAGAAATTGAAAAGTGCATAAAGTATTGAGATATCAGCTAGTCCACTGGTTTTTCTAACTATATTACTCAGAAATATAGGAACCCTCTAATGGTTTGATTTGAATTTCTTTCATTTATTTATTTTTTAATTTTAACTTTAATTTTTTTGAGACAGAGTCTCACTCTGCTGCCCAGGCTGGAGTGCAATGGCATGATCTCGGCTCACCACAATCACTGCCTCCTGGGTTCAAGCGATTCTCCTTTCTCAGCCTCCCAAGTAGCTGGGACTACAGGCGCATGCCACCATGCCTGGCTACTTTTTATATCTTTAGTAGAGACGGGGATTCACTATGTTGGCCAGGCTAATCTCGAACTCCTGACCTCGTGATCTGCCCACCTCAGCCTCCCAAAGTACTGAGATTACAGGCATGAGCCACCACGCCTGGCCTTGAATTTAAAAAAAAAAAAAAAGTATTATAAACCCAATATCTACAAGAAAAAAAAATTGTCAGACTTCTCACATTTGACATGACAGTATAAAAAGATTAACAAATTATCTTTCAGTACAGCTGTATAAACCTATTTCAGTGCTCTGGAATTCAATCAAAGGCATAAAACAAACTGGGAGCATTTATTTATTAAGTTACTGAACTTCAGGCAGAAATGGTGGTTTTCAGTTTTGAGCCGCTACCAGACTCCTGCCCCTCCCCCAATCCCAGCTCTGTGGGTATCAGTTTAAGCAGGGCATGCTGCTGCCTGAGAGGACTCGTTGGATTTGGAGTGTTGTCAAGTTAATGGGGCAAACACGGAAGACTAGTGGGTTAGGCCAGGGATATAACAGGTAGTTGTAGGAGGTGAGACAGCCACAAGAGGCTTGAAAAGCTCTCCCCAAATCGGTTGACTCTAGACGATACACACACATATAAGAGACTGGAACACACTCAAGCCACTCATACATCCTTGGCCATCAGAAGCTGCACATACAGAGATTTCAAGAGAATCTGGCAGAGAACAAAAGCCAGGGAAGAACTGAAAATGGCCTGAAGTAAGAATGCACTTCCAGCTCACATACAGATCCATTAGTAGAGAGCTGAAAGTTTACTGGCTCGAGGTGTTTAACTATAATCTCTTACCAATCTGACTGATCCCTAAATAATGGAGACAGAGAACCCAAGGAAGCCAAGCTTAAAAATAAAAATAAAAATAAAAACTGAAAAGAGACATCAGCAGCTGCATACTGTAGAGACTTCACAGATTTAGTCCAAGCAAGTTACTAAACAAGCAAAACAAAAACAACCTTCAAGGTGAGAAAAAAATCAAAATCCATGGCCAAGTGTAGTGGCACATGCCTGTAATCCCAATGCTTTGGGAAGCTGAGGTGAGAAGACTGTCTGAGGCGAGGAGGAGTTCAAGACCAGCCTGGACAACATAGCAAGACGCCATCTCTAAAATAAAAACAAAAGGCCGGGTGCAGTGGCTCACGCCAGTGATCCCAGCACTTTGGGAGGCCGAGGTGGGCGGATCACGAGGTCAGGAGATCGAGACCATCCTGGCTAACACGGTGAAACCCTGTAACTACTAAAAATACAAAACAAAACAAAAAAAAAGAGCCAGGCATGGTGGCGGGCACCTATAATCCCAGCTACTCGGGAGGCTGAGGCAGGAGAATCGCTCGAATCCAGGAGGCGGAAGTTGCAGTGAGCCAAGATCCGCCACTGCACTCCAGCCTGGGCAACAGAGAGAGACTGTCTCAAAAAAAAAAAAAAAAGAAAAAAAAGTTGAAGCTTTAGCCAAGCGTGGTGGTGCACAACTGTAGTCTTAGCTACTCAGGAGGCTGAAGCAGGACAATTGCTTGAGCCCAGAAGTTTGAGGTTGCAGTGAGCTATTATTGTGCCACTGTATTTCAGCCTAGGCAACAGGGCAAGACCCTGTCTCTTAAAAAAAAAAACCCAAAATTGCAAAACTATATTATCTAAATATACAGGTTTTAACAAAAAATGATTGCAATATGCAAAGAAACAAGAACATATAACTCACTCAGGTAAAAAAGGGAGTCAACACGAGGAGTCTCTGAGTGTTTCCAGATGTTGAATATTGCAGACGAAAACTTCAAAGCAGATACTATAAATATGTTCAAAGAACTAAACGAATCCATGTTTAAAGAATTAGAAGAGACCAGGTGTGGTGGCTCACACCTGTAATCCCAGCACTTTTGGAGACTGAGGCAAGAGGACTGCCTGAGCCCAGGAGTTTGAGACCAGCCTAGACAACATAGTGAGACCCCACTCGTGAAAAAAAAAAAAAAAAAAGAATTAAAGGAAAGTATGGGCCAGGTGTGGTGGCTTATGCCTATAATCTCAGCACTTTGGGAGGCCAGCCGAGGCAGGCAGATCACTTGAGGTCAGGAGTTCGAGACCAGCCTGGCCAATATGGTGAAACCCTGTCTCTACTAAAAATACAAAAATTAGTCGGACGTGGTGGCACACACCTATAGTCCCAGCTACTCGGGAGGCTGAGAATCGCCTGAAACCAGGAGGTGGAGGTTGCAGTGAGCCGAGATCATGCCACTGCACTCCAGCCTGAGTGACAGAGAAAGACTGCATCTCCAAAAAAAACAAAGTATGTGAATCACTCAGTGAATAGGAAATTTCAAATAGAATATAAAAATTATAAAAAAGAAATGTGGAAATGCTGCAGTTAAAAATTTGGTAATCCAAATCAACAATCCACTAAAGTGACAACACAGACAATTTAAGATGAACAAAGAAAGAAACAGTAACCTTGAAGACAAATAAATAGAAATTATTCAAACAAAAGCATAGAAAACAATTGGCAAAAAAATAAAAATAAATAAACAGCTCCTCAGAGATGTATGAGACATTATCAAGTGTAAAACACTTACCTATGACCAGGCACGGTGGCTCATGCCTGTAATCCCAGCACTCTGGGAGCCCGAGGCGGGCGGATCAGGAGGTCAGGAGTTCGAGACCAGCCTGGCCAACATGGTGAAACCCTCCCGTCGTCTCTACTAAAAATACAAAAATTAGCCGGGCGTGGTGGCACAAGCCTGTAATTCCAGCTACTCGGGAGACTGAGGCAGGAGAATTGCTTGAACCCGGGAGGCGGAGGATGCAGGGAGCTGAGATCACGCCACTGAACTCTAGCCTGGGTGACAGAGCAAGACTCTGTCGGGGGGGGGGGGGGGGGGTGGGGTGGGAACTTGCCTATAAGGAGAGTCTCAAAAGGAGTAAAGGGACAGTAAAAATATTTGAAGAAATAATGGTCAAAAACTTCCCAAACGTGATGAAAAGCATTAATCTACAGAAACAAGAAGCTCAACAAACCCCAAGTAAAATAAACAAAAAAGACATTCACACCTACACACATTATAGCATAGTCAAACTATCACAGAGTTGGGTTTTTTTGTTTGTTTGTTTTTGAGAAAGAGTTTTGCACTCGTTGCCCAGGCTGGAGTGCAATGACACGATCTTGGCTCACTGTAACCTCCATCCCCCAGGTTCAAGCAATTCTCCTGCCTCAGCCTTCCGAGTAGCTGGGATTACAGGTGTGCACCACCACGCCCAGTTAATTTTGTATTTTTAGTACAGACTGGGTTTCACCATGTTGGTCAGGGTGGTCTCGAACTCCCATCCTCAAGCGATCCACCTGCCTCAGCCTCCCGAAGTGCTGGGATTACAGGCGTGAGCCTCCGCGCCCGGCCTAAAGTTTCATTTTTAAAAGATGAAATGAGTTTTAGAGATGGATGGTGGTCACAGATACCCAACATAATGAAATGTATCTAATACTACTGAACTGTATACTTCAAAACAGTGAAAATGGTAAGTTTGTTATGTGTATTTTACCATAATTTTTCTAAATGGGAAAAAAAGTGATTTGGTTTATCTATATTCATATTAAAAATGTGTCCTGAACAAACACATGTATTTGTTCAAAGAATATATTTATTAAGCACCGACTATATCCCAGGCAGCACTATGCAAACAGTGAGGAAAATTAGAATCTCATGAAACTCAAAATGGGACTAATTATCCTCATTAACTAATAACTAATAACCTACTATAGGTTTCCTACTATGAAGGAAAAACTACTGCAATAAGAAAAAAAGGATTAAGGATGCAGGCAATTTTTAAGTCCTGTGTTCCACCCAAGTTATAATTTTAATGAATAAAACTGTATTTTTTTTTTTTTTTTGAGATGGAGTTTTGCTTTTGTTGTCCAAGCTGGAATGCAATGGCACGATCTCAGCTCACTGCAACCTCCACCTTCTGGGTCCAAGCAATTCTCCTGCCTCAGAATCCTGAGTAGCTGGGATTACAGGCATGCACCACCATGCCCAGCTAATTTTGTATTTTTAGTAGAGACAGGGTTTCTCCATGTTGGTCAGGCTGGTCTCGAACTCCCGACCTCAGGTGATCCACCAGCCTTGGCCTCCAAAAGTGCTGGGATTACAGGCGTGAGCCACCGCACCAGGCCTCAAACTGTATTTTAACTGTGCCAGAAGAATTAAAAACTTTAAAAGGTTCACAGCAAAGTCTTACGTAAGGCTAACGGGCTAACAGCCACCCTCTAAAGTTCTCTGCTGTCTAAACCTTATTTAAGAACAAAGATTATCCGTACCCAGAGGGATTCTTTAGTAAGGCAAAATGATGATTAGGAAGAGTTAAGCTCCAATTTTTTTTTTAATTTTTGTTTTTTTAGAGATGGGGTCTTGCTATGTTGCCCAGGCTAGACTTGAACTCCTGAGCTCAAGCAATCCTCCTGCCTCAGCTTACTGAATAGCTGGGCCTAAAGGCATATGCTACTGTACCCGGCCCATCAATAATTTTTAAAGAATAATTAAGACAACTGAAACTTAACTCCAGTTTAAAATATTTTATTAAAATTAAGTGTTAAATAGTTGTAAGCCACCTAATATCTGCCCCCGTCATCTTTTCTTTGGCATCTCTCTTCCTTCTAACCGCATCATAGATGAAACATACAAGTTCTTGCTAAGATATTCAATACCACCTCTGAAGAAATGGCTATAGATAAGCTACGAAAAACTGAAATTTAGACACTCCTACAATTATTACTCATTGTTACAAAGTACTCACCAATCTGCTATTTACTATGTTCTTAAGTCAAAGACCATTAATATCCTCCTAAAGAAGTTACAGACTTCAACAATGCTCTGCAATTTCCTGTAGGACAGGACCCTATGAGTCCGTGGCCTGTTATGAACCCAGCCACACAGAGCAGCAGGCGAGCGAGCATTACCACCTGAGTTCTGCCTCCTGTCAGATCAGCAGCGGCATTAGATTCTCATAGGGGTGCAAACCCTACTCTGAACTGTGCATGTTAGGGGTCTAAGTTGCGCTCATTATGAGAATCTAACTAATAATGCCTGATGGTCTGAGGTGGAACAGTTTCATCCTGAAACCATCCCCCAACCAACCCAATTCTGTGGAAACATTGTCTTCCACGAAACCAGTCCCTAGTGCTAAAAAAGTTTGGGAGTTGCTGCTGTAGAGTATCTTAAGGATCTTCCTAAACATATACAGTTCGTTTGTATAACAGCACCCCCAAGTTTACTTCAATAAGAGTGCAGTGCTACCCAGGAATATTTAAAGAGGTGTTTTGTGTTACATGTGGTTCAGAAACCACAATGGAAAAAAAAAAAACAATGAAACAAGCTGTTTTAAATCACTATCAAGAGCTACTCCCAAACACGTATCTAGACATACACAGTGATACGTGCCTAAGAACTTATCTCTTTCTCTTACAAAACACAAACCCAGTTCAGCAATACTTACAGTCAACATTGGAGTTGTCAACAGGCCCCACGCAAAGAATTCAAGGAAGATGACAATAGCAGCATGGTACACACTTGGTCGGCCAAAGCCTTGTAGCTAAAAAAGAAAGTTATTATGAAAATTAGCAAAGAAATATAAGAAATCTATTATCTTAAAATGGTATAGAAAAAAATGTGTAAAAATGTGTAAAAAAATTTAGGGCCTACCTCTGTCATTTAAAATAAAACTTCATTCTGTGTTATCCTTGATGCCTTCACTTTCCCTAATAAGGGAAGGTGCTAAGATTACAGACTTTCGGTTGGGTGTGGTGGCTCAAGCTTGTAATCTCAGCACTTTGGGAGGCCAAGGCGGGCAGATCACAAGGTCAGGAGTTCAAGACCAGCATGGTTAACATAGTGAAACCCCACCTCTACTAAAAAATATAAAAATTAGCCAGGCATGGTGGCAGGCTACTTGGTCCCAGCTACTTGGGAGGCTGAGGCAGGAGAATTGCTTGAACCCGGGTGCCGGAGCTTGCAGTGAGCCGAAATCCCGCCACTGCACTCCAACCTGGGTGACATAGCAAGACTCTATCTTGAAAGAAAAAAAGATTATAGACTTTCGATCTATCCCATCGACGCAAATCACTGGAGCTTTAGTAGAAAATCAACTGGATCTTCAAGAAACTAAGTTTCCAAGATCTGACTGCTCTGTCCCTTACGAATTACGTGTTCCTTAGCAACTTAACTTCTCTAGGGCTGAAGTTTCTTTACCTACATAATAAGAGAGATGGGTATGGGTATCACATGCTCAAAGGCCTGAGGGGCAGCTCGGATGACTTTAAATCAGTATGGAATATCTTGAGATATCTCAATTCCAGAGATGTTTAGAAGCAGAGGATGAAAAGTGTGCAATAATGTCTTTGCACCCTCTTATTTATCATCTCTCCCACAGATTACTGCAATGACCTGTTAACCCTGCCTTGACTCGTTTTCCCTGTCCCCTCCAAACTTGTGGTGACATTACACTCAGAGTGAACTTTTTAAAAATACAAATCTTATTCCATCACTCCTGTGGAAAACTGAGAAAACAAAGAACTGCAAAAACAAAGAGCTACAAATTGCTCTCATTCCTGTACACACACATTTTCACAATATGACTTTGCTGCCAATTCCATCAAAAGGTTCAATCTGTTTCTCCATGTCCCTAGATCAAAGCTGGTTTGACAACTTCCTCTAACCAACAGTCAGGTGAAGACAAAACATGGATTTCTGAACCTAGATTGCCAAAGATCAAGACTACCACAAGGAGAAATATCTTCCTGCCACAGGCATATGAGAGGATAAGAAACTCTCCCTATCAAGGCCTCACAGACAAACCAGTTAACAGACATCACCAACTGTCAGACATAGGAGCAAGGCCATCTTAGACGACCCAATTACAATCAGGCCTGCAGGTGACTGCAGAAGCATGAGACACACCAAGAGAAATCAGTGAAGAACTCTCGCTGAGTTCCACTCAAACCCCTAACCCAAAGAATTGTAATAAATGGTTGTTGTTTTAAGCCATTAAGTATAAGGGTTGTTTCTTAATTAGCTTTTTTTTTTTTTTTTTTGAGATGAAGTCTCGCTTTGTTGCCCAGGCTGGAGTGCAGTGGCGTGATCTCAGCTTACTGCAAAGTGCTGGGATTACAGGTATGAGCCCCCATACCCGGCCCACATTCTTTTTAATAGCTAACTACTCAGTATCTCATTGTATGAATGTGCCATAATTTTAACCAATCGAATACTGATAGGAGTACATGGAATTTTCACTTATTTAAAACTGCTGCAATTAACTTTTTAAATTTTGGAATAATATTAAACCTACAGAAAAGTTGCAAAAACCAAGAGTTCCTGTATATCCTTCACCCAGCTTCCCCAAATGTTAAAATCTTCTATAACCATGGTATAATTATCTAAACCAGGAAATTAGCATTGCTACAAAACTTTAATCTACATACCTTATTTGAATGTTGCCATTTTTCCCATTTTCTTTTTCTGGTTCAGAATCTAATCAAAGATTTAACACTGCATTTAGTTCTCACATTTCTTTAGGCTCTTCCAATCTAAGTCAGTTCCCAAGACTTTTATTTTTTTACTTTCATGATCTTGATACTTTCAGGGAATACTAGTATACTCTTCACCAATAATTTTATAGAGTGTCCCTCAATTTGAATTAATCTAATATTCTCTCATGATTAGATTGAGGTTATACATTTTATTTTTTAAAAATATGTCACATCTCATAAAATTCACCATTTTCAAGTGCACACAAGTCAGCGGTTTTTGGAATATTCACAAGATTATACAACCATCACCACTATCTAACTCCAGAACATGTTTATCACCCCCCAAAAGAAGCCCTACACCTATTAGGAGACATTCTTCATTTCCTTCTCCCCCTACTTCCCCTCAGAACCACTAATCTACTTTCTGTCTCTATGGATTTGCCTATTCTGGGATCATACATAAATAGAATCCATAAATGGAATCACACAACATGTAGCCTTTTGTGTCTAGCTTCTTCCAATCAGCATATTTTCAAGGTTCATCCATGTTGTAGCATGTGTCAGTATTTCATTCAATTTTATAGCTAAATGATATTCCACTGCATCGATATACTGCATTTTGTTTATCCATTCATCAGTTCATAGACACTTGGGTTGTTTCCATCTTTGGCTATTATGAATAATGCTGCTATAAACATTGATGTACAAGTTTTTGTATGAACATGTTTCCAGTTCCCTTGGCTATACACATAAGGGTGAAAATGGTGGGACTATTAATATCCTTTTATTAGCATTCTAGGATAAATTTCTAGAAGTGAAGTTGCAGGGCCAAAGAATATACACATTCTAATTTAGAATCCAATTATAATTTTAAAGTTTCACTAATTAAGAGTCAAAAAAATACTTCATCTTATGTCACCTAATCAACTATCTCTAACATATAAAAAGCTTCTAAAAATGTTAAGAAAAAGACTAACAGCCCAATAAAAAGATTGGCAAGAAATATGAACCAGTTCACTGAAATCAAATGTCCCTTAGTAGCCTCACTTGTATTAAGAAACATGCAAAATTAAGCTAAATTCAAACACAAGTTCTCAGTATCAGACATTAAAAGTTCAAAAATTCAAACGTTTGTAAACTATTGATGAAGCAACTGAAAAGAAACACAAACTGCAAATAGGAATGAAAAATGGTACACCACTATGGAAGAAAATTCAGCAACATCTAGACAAATTACATATTTACCCTTTGAAGCAACAATTCTACTTTATCCCTAAACTATGAGGTGCCATATGCACAAAGCTAAAACACTGTAACAGCAAAAATTAACTCTGGGCCAGGGGAAGTGGCTCACACCTATAATCACAGCACTTCGGGAGGCTGAGGCAGGCGGATCACTTGAGGTCAGGAGTTCATGACAAGCCTGGCCATCATGGTGAAACCCCATCTCTACTAAAAATACAAAAATTAGCAAGGCTTGGTGGCGGGTGCCTGTAATCCCAGCTACTAGGGAGGCTGAGGTAGGAGAATGGCTTGAACCTAGGAGGAGGAGGTTGCAGTGAGCCAAGATCACGCCATTGCACTCCAGCCTGGGCAACAAGCACGAAACTCTGTCTCAAAAAAAAAAAAAATCGGCTAACGAATGAAGAAAGGAATAATTAACTTAGAATCCTGCCACTTCACAGCCTTACTGAAATAGTGAATCTAGGCCATGACCATTAATGGCCACTGAAATCACTGGGTAAAAGCTGACAAGGTACAAGGGAATAATCAAACTGATAACACCTGAAACCTGATCAATCATAACATCACAGACAGAGATCATTTGCCACATGATGTAATACAACAAAAAAATACCACCACTTAAGAAGTATTCTTTGAAAAAACAAAGTGAAACAAAAAACCTGGATTCAATGCAGTCAAGACATAAACCAGTATACAGAAAATGCAGGTAAAACAAGATTGGCCTTGTTGCAGTAGGGTGATGAATATGGGGAGGTATTCCTAATAATATGTAAAGGTAACCACAAAAAAAGCTTTAAACAGATTGCTAAAAAGAAAAGAACTTACAGTCTCATTAACAATTTAAAAAAAGAACAACTTACAGTCTCCTTAACAATTCTGGAGGATACCTGTCCTGCCATATCCTAAGACTGCATAATAATTTTTTAATTTTTTGCCAGGTGCAGTGGCTCATGCCTGTAATCCCAGCACTTTGTGAGGCCGAGGCAGGCATTTCAGGACCAGCCTGGCCAACATGGCAAAACCCCATCTCTACTAAAAATACAAAAATTGGCCAGGCGTGATGGCAAGTGCCTGTAATCCTAGCTGCTCAGGAGGCTGAGGCAGGAGAACCACTGGAACCCAGGAGGCGGAGGCTGCAGTGAGCCAAGATCACACCACTGCACTCCAGCCTGGGGGAAAGAGTGAGACTCCATCTCAAATAATAATAATTTTAAAATTTTTGCTAATTTGATTTTTTTAATGGTTATTTAATTTTATTTTGTATTTCCCTTACTCCCAATGAAGCTGAGCTTCTTTCCTATGATTAGGAATTTGCGTTTCTTTTTCTGTGAACTGCCTGTTCATCTTCTGTCAATTTTTTATTGGTGACTTTAATCTTTCATATTGATTTATAGGACCCCTTTAGAATCAATATTAAAAACATTTATACAATGCAACATCAAATTATCATTCTCAGCCAGGAGCGGTGGTGTGCACCTGTAGTCCCAGCTATTTGGAAGGATCACCTGAGCCTAGGAGTTCAAGTCCAGCCTGGGCAACACAGCAAGAACCCCATCTCTTAGGGGGGGAAAAAAATAGGCCCAGTGCAGTAGCTCATGCCAGTAATCCTGGCACTTTGTGAGGCTCAGGTGGCAGGTGGGAGATTTACTTGAGGCTAGGAGTTCAAGACCAGTATAGACAACACAGTGAGACTCGATCTCTCCAAAAAATTTAAAAATTAACCAGGCATGGTGACATGTGTCTGTAGTACCACCTCCTCAGGAGACTGAGGCAGGAAGATCGCTGGAGTGCAGGAGTTTAAGGCTACAATGAGCTATGACTGCACCACTGCACTCTAGCCTGGGCCACAAAGTGAGACTCCAGTCTCGTTTAGGAAAAAAAAAAGCCATCGTCCTCACCTACCGGCATCAATACTCTCTAAAAATAAAAGGCACAAATACACAAATCAACAATAGCTGGAGACTTCAATACCCATTTTCAGTAACTGATAGAACAATTAGAAGATCAGCAAGAAATAGAAGACTTCAGTAACACTGAACACTAACTAAACCTAACAGACATTTATTGAACACTCTTCCCAACAAGATATAAATCCTCAAGTGCACATGAGAAGACTGTAAAACAAGTTTGAATAAATTTAAAAGGAGTTAATTTATACAAACTATGTTCTTGACCACACAGAATGAAATTAGACATCATTAACTTAAGAAAATTTGGAAAATTCATGAATATTAAAATATTTAAACATACTCCTAAATAACAGATAAAAGAAATCACAAGGAAAGTTACAAAACTTTCATTTGAACAAAAATGAAAATGTAACACACCAGTTGAATGCAGCTTAAAGCAGCGCTTAACAGGAAGTGTACAGCTGTAGATGTGTGGTTATAAAAGATCTCAAATCAATAATTTAACTTTCCACTGTAAGAAACTAGAAGAGAGCAAACTAAACTCAAAGCAAGGAAAGAAAGATCAGAGCAGATACAAACGTGATACAGAATAGAAAAGCAATACAGAAAAATCGACAAAATCAGGCCGGGTGCAGTGTGAGCCTAGCACTTTGGGGGGTCAAGGTGGGCAGAACACTTGAACCCAGGAGTTAAGAAGTTAAGACCAGCTTGGGCAACATGGTGAAACCCTGTCTCTACTAAAAATACAAAAAAGAAAAAGTTTACCCAAGCATGGTGGCACATACACCTATAGTCCCAGCTATTTGGGAGGCTGCAGTGGGAGAATCGCCTGAGTCCAGGAAGTTGAGGGTGCAATGAGCCATCATCATACCACTGTACTCCAGTCTGGGAGAAGGGAGTGAAACCTTGCCTTAAAAAAAAAAAAAAAAAAAAAAAAAAAGGAGGCCGGGCGCAGTGGCCTGTAATCTCAGCACTTTGGGAGGCCGAGGCAGGCGGATCACGAGGTCAGGAGGTCGAGACCATCCTGGCTAACATGGTAAAACCCCATCTCTACTAAAAATTAAAAATAAAAAAAATTAGCCAGGCGTGGTGGCGGATGCCTGTAGTCCCAGCTACTTGGGAGACTGAGGCAGGAGAATCGCTTGAACCCAGGAGGCAGGGGAGCTTGCAGTGAGCAGAGATCGTGCCACTGCAATCCAGCCTGGGTGACAGAGCGAGACTCCGTCTCAAAAAACAAACAAACAAAAAAAACAGAAAAAGGAAAGGGAAGAGAAAATCAACAAAACCAAAATTGATTTAATGAAAATATCAAACTAATGGACAAACCAAGAAAACAGAAGACCTGAATTACTAATACCAGAAATGAAACAGAAGATAATAATGGTCAACCTTACAGAAACAGGATTATAAGGGAGTCTCATAGACAATTAGCCAACAAACTGGATAAATGAAACAAAATGGACAAACTCCTAGAAACACATAACCTACTAAAAATGAATCATGAAGAAACAGAAAATATAAATAGACCTATAACTAGTAAGGAGATTGAATCAGTAATCAAAAACCTCCCAGAATTCCAGCAGAGTTAAGAATTAAACCTCTTCCCAAGACATGAAGAGGAGAGAGCACTTTCTAACTCACTCTTTGAAGCCAGCATTACAGTAGTTGCCCCCTTATCCAAGGAGGATACATTCCAAGATCCCTAGTGGATGCCTCGAAAAGTACCAAACCCTATACAGCTGTTCCTCGACTTACAAAGGGGTTAAGTCTCAATAAACCGACTGTAAGTTGAAAATATACTAACTTGAAAGTCGCTTTAGACTTATGATATATTCAACCTACGATGGGCTTATCCAGACAACCCAACCATAAGTAGAGGTGCATACTCAATGCATATTGCTTTTGCATCAAGGTAAAGTTGAAAAATCTTAAGTTCAACCATCAAATTTGGGACCATCTGTATATACTGTTTTTTCCTACACACACCTATGATTGAGTTTAATTTCTAATTAGGCACAGTCCTCTTGTGCTTTTGGTCATTATTAAATAAAATAAGGGCTACTTGAACACAAGCACTGTGATACTGCAGTCCATCCGATAACTGATGGCTGACTGACTAACAGATGGGCAGCATATAGAGTGTAAATGCTGGACGAAGGAATGGAGCAAGATGAAGATGGCAAAATATTTCATCACACTACTCAGAATGTGACGTGTAACTTAAAACTTATGAATTTTTATTTCTGGAATTTTCCATTTAGGATTATCAAACCTCAGCCCACTTCGGGTAACTGAAACCATGGAAAGCAAAACCACAGAGAGCAAAATCACAGATCAGGGAGTACTGCCATACTCTAAAAAAGCCAGACAAAGACACTACAAGAAAACTATAGGGCCAGGCACAGTGGCTCATGCCTGTAATCCCAGCACTTTGGGAGGCCGAGGCGGGTGGATCACAAGGTCAAGAGTTCGACACCAGCCTGGCCAACATAGTGAAACCATGCCTCTTCCAAGAATACAAAAATTAGCCGGGCGTGGTAGTGCGTGCCTGTAATCTCAGCTACTCAGGTGACGGAGGCCAGAAAATTGCTTGAATCTGGGAGGCGGAGGTTGCAGTGAGCTGAGATCATGCCACTGCACTCTAGCCTGGGTGACAGAGCAAGACTCCATCTCAAAAAAAAAAAAAAAGAAAACTACAGACCAATTTTCCTTATGCACATTGATGCAAAAATCCTCAACAAAATATTAGCAAACCAAATTCAACAGTTTATTAAGCAGTTTATTATGGTTATACACCATAACCAAGGACTTATTCTAAGAATGTAATAACAGTTCACCTATGAAAACCAATCAATGTAATACAACACATTAAAATAAAGAGGAAAAACCCACATAATCATCTTAATTGATGCAGTAAAAGCATCTGACAAAATTCAACACACTTTCATAATAAAAACACTTAGAAAGCTAAGAAAAGAATAAAATTATCTCAAATAATAAAGGCCAAATATGAAAAACCCATACTTCACATCATATTCAATGGGGAAAGGCTGGAAAAAGGCTGGAAACTTTTCCTCTAAGATCAGAAACAAGACAAAGATGCACACTTTCCCCACTTCTATTCAGTATAATACAATACTGGAAATTCTAGCCAGAGTAATACGGCAAGAAAAAGAAAGAAATGGCATCCAAACTGGAAATGAAGAAGTAAAATTATCTCTGTTCGCTGATGACAAGATCTCATAAGACCCTAAAAATTCCACACACAAAAAACCTGTTACAACTAATAAATGAATTTAACAAAGTTACAAGATACAAAATCAACATTAAAAATCAGCTGCATTTCTATACACTAAAGATTAACAATGTTAAAATGAAACTTAGAAAATTCAAATTGGGCTGAGTCCAGTGGCTCACACCTGTAATCCTAATGTTTTGGGAGGCCAAGGCAGGAAGACAGCATGAGCTCAGGAATTTGAGGCCCTCCCAGGCGACATAGTGAGACTTTGTCTCTACTAATAATCAAAAAACGGCTGGGCACAGTGGCTCACTCCTGTAATCCCAGCATTTTGGGAAGCTGGGGCAGGCAGATCATGTGAGGTTGGGAGTTTGAGGTCAGCCTGACCAACATGGTGAAAACCTGTCTCTACTAACAATACAAAATTAGCTGGGTGTGGTGGTGCCTGCCTGTAATCCCAGCTACATGGGAGTCTGAGGCAGAAGAATCGCTTGAACCCGGGAGGCGGGGGTTGTGGTGAGCCGAGATTGCGCCACTGCACCCCAGCCTGCAACAACAGTGAAACTCTGTTTCAAAAAATAATAATAATCAAAAAACTTAGCCAGACGTGCTGGCGCACACCTGTGGTCCCATCTACTCAGGAGGCTGAGGTGGGAGGATCACTTGAAACTGGGAGTTCAAGTTTGCAGTGAGCTATGATCACCCCACTACACTCCAGCCTGGGCAAGAGTGACACCCAGCCTCAAAAAAAAAAAAAAAAAAAAATTCAAGTTGCAATAGCATCATAAAGAATAAGATACTTAGGAATAAATGTAACGAAGAAGGTGAATGACCTCTATGCTTAAAACTGTAAGACACTGCTGAAAGAAATTAAAGAAGGTATAAATAAACATAAAGACATCCCATGTTCATGGATTTAAAGATTTAATATAGTTAAGGTATCACTGTTACCAAAAGTGATCTGCAGATTCAATGCCAGTCCTATCAAAATCCCAATGATGCTTTTTGCAAGAAGAGAAAACTCCATCCTAAAATTTATATAGAATCTTAAGGGACCCCCAAAAGCCAAAACAATCTTGAAAAAGAAAAAAAATTATCTCACACTTTCTGAATTCAGAACTTACTATAAACATATGGCAATCAAAACAGTGTGGTTCTGGCATAAAAACAGACATGTAGACCAACAGAATAAAAAGCCCAAGTGGGCATGGTGGTGTGTGCCTGTATTTCTACCTACTGAGGAAGCTTAGACAGGAGAATCACTTGAGCCCAGGAGTTCAAGTCCAGTCTGGGCAACATGGCAAAGCCCAGTCTTTTTTTTTTTTTTTTTTTTGAGACGGAGTCTCGCTCTGTCGCCCAGGCTGGAGTGCAGTGGCACGATTTCCGCTCACTGCAAGCGTGGTCCACCTCCCGGGTTCATGCCATTCTCCTGCCTCAGCCTCCCGAGTATCTGGGACTACAGGCGCCCGCCACCATGCCCGGCTAATTTTTTGTATTTTTAGTAAAGACGGGGTTTCACCATGTTAGCCAGGGTAGTCTCGATCTCCTGACCTCGTGATCTGCCCGCCTCAGCCTTCCAAAGTGCTGGGATTACAGGCATGAGCCACTGCGCCCGGCCTAGTCTTTTAAAAAAATAAATTAAAAGCCTGGAAATAAAAAGCCCAGAAGTAAATACATATATGTCACAAATGATATGCAACAAGGGTACCAAGGCCATTTAATGAGAAAGGAAGGACAGTCTTTCAGCAAATGGTGATGGAAAAACTGGATATCCACATTAAAAAGAATGAAGTTGGATCGCTACCCTAAACCATATATAAAAGTTAATTCAAAATGGACCAAAAATCTAAACATAAAAGCAAAACCTATGAAACCCTTAGAAGAAAACATGGAGGAAAGCTTCCTGGTATTGGATTTGACAATGACTTCTTGGATATGGCACCAAAAGAACAGCCAACAAAAGAAAAAATACATAAAAATCAAACTTCATCAAAATGAAAAACCTTCATATATCAAAGGATACTATCAAGACAGTGAAAAGGCAATCTACAGAATGGCACAAAATACATGCAAATCACATATCTGATAAGAGATTAATACCTAGAATATATAATAAACTTTTTCAACTCACAGACAAAATAACAACTCAATTAAAAACAGGCAAGGAAACTGAATAGCCCTCTCTAAAAGAGATACACAAATGGCCAAGAAGCACATGAAAAGATACACATAGGCCGGGCGCGGTGGCTCATGTATGTATGTAATCCCAGCACTTTGGGAGGCTGAGGCAGACAGATCACTTGAGATCAGGAATTTGAAACCACCCTGGCCAACATGGTGAAACCCTGTCTCTAGTAAAAATACAAAAATTAGCCAGGCATGGTGGCGCATGCCTGTGTTCCTAGCTACTCTGGGGGCTGAAGCAGAAGAACTGCTTGAATCCGGGAGGCGGAGTTTGCAGTGAGCCAAGATTGCACCACTGCATTCCTGCCTAAGAGACAGACCAAAAATCTGTCCCCCAAAAAAACAAAAAAGAGAAAGAAAAAAGAAAAGATACACATCACTTATCATTAGGGAAATGCAAATCAAAACCATGAGGTATCACCACATACTCATTAGGATGGCTACTGTCTTAATCTGTTTTGTGCTGCTATAACAGGATACTTGAGACTGGGTAGTTTATAAATAACAGACATTTATTTTCTCAGTTTTGGAGGCAGGGAAGTCCAAAACAAGGTATTAGCATCTGGGGTGGACAGTCTTACAGCATCCTCACAAAGCAGAAGGTGGAAGGGCAAAAGAGGATGAGCCCTCTCCCACAAGCCCTTTTTAATAGCAGCATTAATCCATTGATAATGGTGTAGCCCTCATGACATAAACCCTTCCCAAAAGGCGCCACCTCGCAATACTCCTGCACTGGGAATTAAGTTCCCAACACATGAATTTTGGGAGACACATTCAGACTACAGCAGCTGTGATTTTTTTCTTAAATAAGAAGATAAGTGCTGGCAAGGACATGAAGAAATTAGAAGCCTTGCACACTGTTGGTAGGAATGTAAAATGGTGCAGCCCCTATGGAAAATGGTTTGGCAGGTACTCAAAAAATTAAAAATAGAATTACTCCATGACCCAGCAATTCCACTTTTGGCTATCTATTCAAAAGAAACAACAGCAGGGACTTGAACAGATTTTTATATACCCAAATTCACAGAATTCTCTCACAACAGCCAAACCGTAGAAGCAACCCAAGTGTTCAACTTATGAATGTTTAAACAAAATATGGTACATGTATACAATGGAATATCATTTAACCTTAAAAAAAAAAAAAGGAAACTGACTGTCACAACATGGATGAACATTAAGGACGTTGTAGTAAGTGAAATAAGCCAGTCACGGCTGGTAACGGTGGCTCATGCCTGTAATCCCAGCACTTTGGGAGGCCGAGGTGGGTGGATCACCTTAGGTCAGGAGTTTGAGACCAGCGTGGCCAACATGGTGCAAACCCGTCTCTACTAAAATACAAAAAAATTAGCCAGGCGTGGTGGCGGGCGCCTGTAATCCCAGCTACTTGAGAGGCTGAGGCAAGAGAATCACTTGAACCCGGCAGGCGGAGGTTGCAGTGAGCCGAGATCGCGCCATTGCACTCCAGCCTGGGCAACGAGAGTGAAATGGAAATGGAAATGGAAAGGAAAGGAAAGGAGCCAGTCACAAAAAATCAAATATGGCATAATTTCACTTATATGAGGTACCTACAGTAATTAAATTCATAGACAGTAAGTAGAATAGTGACTACCAGGAGCTAGGGAGTTATTGCTTAATGGGCACAGAGTTCAGTTTGGGATGATGAAAAAATTCTAGAGACAGATAGTGGTAATGAGTACACAACAATGTGAATGTACTTAATGCTATTGAACTGAAACTTTAAAAACTATGTTATGCATATACACTAAAATAAAAATAAGTAACTCAAACTACATCATGCATTAAAAATAAAATGCAAAACTATTAGCTTCTAGAGGATTATTAGGAGAAAATATAAGTGAACTTGGTCACATGGTTTCAAGATGAGTCTGTAGGTACAAGACTAAAGTCATGCCACATGCAAGAAAAAGTTGATATAGTGGACTTCACTAAAATTAAAAACCTCTGCTCTGCAAAAGACACTGGTAAGTGAATGAAAAGATAAGCCACAGATTGGAAGAAAGTATCTGCAACAATCTTATCTGATAAAGAACTTAAGAACATAGAAAGCGCCCTTACAAGTCACTAATACAACAACCCAATTAAAAAATGGGCAAATGATCTGAGAAAAGGGAGAGATGGAGAGTGACAGTTAATGGAAAGATATAGGGACTCTTTTGGGGGAGATGAAAATGTTCTAGAATTAGATAGTGGTAGTTCTACATCACCGTGAATATATATTAAAAAAACCAAACTGTATACTTTTAAAATGATGAACTGTATGGTACGTGAATGTATCTCAATTTTTAAAATGCAATAGAGAGAAAAGAGAGCAGAGATTCTTTTTCTGTCTCTGGAATACTTTAACTGTATGTGAAGCCTAGAACTGTCAGAGGCGTGTGAACCAGAGCGACTCCATCTTGAATAGGAGCTGGGTAAATGAGACTGAAACCTACTGGGCTGTATTCCCAGACAGTTAAGGAATTCTAACTCAAAGGATGAAGATAGGGAGCACAAGATACAGGTCATAAAGACCTTGCTGATAAAGCAGGTTACAGTAAAGAAGCTGGCTAAAACCCACCAAAAACAAGACAGAAATGAGAGTGATCTCTGGTCATCGTCACTGCTATACTCCCACCAGTGCCATGACAGTTTACAAATGTCATGGCAACGTCAGGAAGTTACCCTATAGGTCTAAAAGGGGGAGGCATGAATAATCCACCCCTTGTTTAGCATATAATCAAGAAACAGCCATAAAAATGGGCACCAGCAGCCCTCAGGGCTGCTCTGTCTATGGAGTAGCCATTCTTTTGTTCCTCTACTTTCCTAATAAACTTGCTTTCACTTTAGGGACTTGCCCTGAATTCTTTCTTGTTCGAGGTCTATCCAGGAATCCTCTCTTGGAGTCTGGATTGGGACCCCTTTCCTGTAACTGAACTATGGCAGCCATCTTGAGACCATGAGAGCCAGACAAATCAACACACTGAAGATGGAAAGAACCTGGTCCTTGACGCAAAATCAAGGACCAATCCTGGAACTGTCTTTCCATCAGATTTCTTGTTAAATGAGGTAATAAATCCCGATCGTCAACAAGAAAAAGGGGGAGGGGTGACAGGACCGCAACAGTCTCCTCAAAGATGATATACAGATGGCAAATATGCCTATAAAAAGATGTTCATTGCTGGGCGCAGTGGCTCACGCCTGTAATCCCAGGACTTTGGGAGGCCCAGGTCTTGATCACCTGAGGTCAGGAGTTCAAGACCAGCCTGGCCAACACGGTGAAACCCCATCTCTACTAAAAATACAAAAAAATTTGCTGGTTGTGGTGGCGGACGCCTGTAATCCCAGCTACTTGGGAGGCTGAGGCAGGAGAAAATGCTTGAAATCGGAAGGCGGAGGTTGCAGTGAGCCAAGATCGCGCCACTGCACTCCAGCCTGGGTGACAGAGTGAGACTCCGTTTCAAAAACAACAACAAAAAAATTAGCCTGTGTTTGAGGGTCCTCTTTTCTATTGCAGTTGACCCCACATGAAAGAGCGAAACTCCGTCTCAAAAAAAAAAAAGGAAAAGAAAAGATGTTCATTATGTGTCACTGTCATTTTAAAATGCAAATTAAAACAACAAGATTGTTAGAAGGATGGATCTGAAATGCATATTGCTAAATGAAAGAAGCAAGTCTGAAAGGCTACAAAGTGTAAGATACCATTTAAAGGGCATTCCGGAAAAAGCAAAACTATAGATAGTACCAGATCAGTGGTAGCTGGAGTTGGAGGGTAGGGTTAAATGGATGAAGCACAGGACACTTTCAGGTAGTAAAATTGTTCTGTATGATATTTTAATGATAGGTAAACGGCACCACGCATTTTTCAAAACCAGCAGAACTTCAGAGAACAAGAGTGAGCCTCAGTACATGTTAACTTTTAGAAAACATTTCAGAGGTGGAGAATCCCAGGATGGAACGCAGAATGTAGCAAAAGAATCTAATTGCAGTACAAACACAGGAAACAACCTCACTAAAGGGGGTATGGGGAAAGGCAGTGATCCAAGTAACTCTGGGAAATAGTGGAGTCTTTTTTTTTTTTTCATTTGGAAGCTGGAATTTTATCATAGGCAACAAATATTATCAGTTGTTTTTTTTTTTTCCTTTAAGACTGGAGGCAAAAAAAGTTGCGCATAAATGAAACTGGCTCAATTTCCCCATAGAAATTATATGTACAGGTCTTTGAATAAACATAGAAACTGACCCTTCCAGTTTTAAAACCTAAAACTTATATTTGTCTCCAATGAGTTCTTTCCTCAGGCAACGGACTGAAACTCACCAAATCACCATTTGACAATGAGACCCCAGACACCTCTTTCCCCTCATAGGTCAGGACTGCTTCCTTATCCTTTTCCTAATTGCTGTTTTCCTCACACATAGTTACATTCCTTTTTTCGGTACATAAACTCCCCAGTTTTAGTTGGTCGAGGAGGCAGATTCGAAACTGATCTCCCATTCTCTTCAGTAGGCAACACCTAAATAAAAAGGCAAAATTTTTCTCTGGCCGGGCGCAGTGGCTCTGGGTGTAATCCCAGAACTTTGGGAGGCCTAGACGGGCGGATCACTTGAGATCATGAGTTTGAGACCAGCCTGGCCAACATGGGGAAACCTCCCATCTCTACTAAAAATACAAAATTAGCCAGGCCACCGTGGTGGCACACGCCTGTAATCCCAGCTACTCGGGAGGCTGAGGCAGGAGAATCGCATGAACCCAGGAGGCAGAGGTTGTAGTGAGCCGAGATCGCACCATTGCACTCCAGCCTGGGCAACAAAAGCGAAACTCCATCTCAAAAAAAAAAAAAAAGGCTTTTTCCCCGGCAATACTCACCTCAGTGATTGGCTTTCTGTGTGGCGAGAAACAAGACCTAGATCGACCACCTGGCATTTCTGTAACTTAAACACTGTTATGCTATAGTTGAAAGTTGTACCCCATGGAAATAAAGATTAACAATTCTGGAACCATGTATGCTGTGACTGACCAATTAAATAAACTGGATGGCAGATGGTGGAAGCCAGGTTTCTCACTGCTGGAGTGGAAGGTTACAAATAAACAAGAGAAGGAAGCAAGAATGATCCATGTAATCATGGATTAGAGTTGAGCACATCATTATGAACTCATTTTTAACTTCATATAGATACAGATGGTCACAAATGGAAATACTTACAAATGTGTGTATTATATACACCTGTTTCCTCACACTCTATCAGCTGAAAGAGCCTGAAAGAAACTACACCCTAGAAACTCAACGGCAATAAGCATATCTAGTGTGACACATCTTGGTTTCAAATGCCATTCTCAAATAAAAGAAACCAGGGCTCCTTGGAGAAACAGCTAATTCTGGGACTAGAGTGGGAAATATGTAAGAGGAGCGTGGAGTATCTTGTAATCCCAGAATATAAGCATGGCAAGCCAGGTCTCACTAACTCAGGCCCCCAAAACAACTGTTTCTGTACAGACTGAGTAGTTAAGTTAAATGTTAAAAGCTGAAAGAGCCGGCCGGGCACGATGGCTCACATCTGTAATCCTAGCCACTCTGGGAGGCCAAGGTGGGCGGATCACCTGAAGTCAGGAGTTCGAAACCAGCCTGGCCAAAATGGTGAAACCCCATCTCTACTAAAAATACAAAAATATTAGCTGGGTGTGGTGGCAGGTGCCTGTAATCCCAGCTACTTTGGAGGCTGAGGCAGGAAAATCGCTTGAACGCAGGAGGCGGAGGTTGCAGTGAGCCAAGACTGCCCCACTGCACTCCAGCCTCAGTGACAGAGCAGAGCAAGACTCCATCTCGGAGGGCGCGACGGGGGGGAGGGGAAGAGCCAGTACCCTTATGCAAAGGCTGGAATTTAACAAAAGCCCACCAAGAGTTTTGCCTAGGCCTTTCCTGGGCCTTAAAGCATGACAAAATAATGAAGGAATTCTTAAGGCCCATTTAGGATTAAACAAGTTTTACTGTGGGTCTAAAGAAACTTCCCAGGCCTCCACAAACAAGTTTATTGGGGTGTGAAGGAACTCCCAAACCTCCGTGATTTAGCAGGAGACAAGATAAGGGTAATCACTCCAGCACCTGGACCCATTTAGATTAAGTAAATGTACTGAGGCTCCAGAGGAAGGTCTTCAAGACTCAGACCTTAGTTATGGACCAAAAGTTGTTAATCATTAAGATGAATGCACACTTACAGGTAGACATATAACTTAGAAGGTATATAAGCTACGGAAACTTTGTAATATTGAGTTGGCCTGGTGATAATTTCCAGGTATTCTCCCTGTAACCCATTGCAGAAATAAAAACTTTCTTCCTCCCCAGTTCATCTGCATCTCATTATTGGGCCTTAAGAAGTAGCAGCCCAACTCTCAGTTTGGTCCAGGAACATAAGTGTTTTAAAAAAAAACAAAGATAGGGTTATATATGTCAAAGCACTCCCAATGGCCAATGCTAGAACAATTTGAACAAGAAAATAAAGCAATATTGGATTTGGGGATAATCCAAAGTACAAAATAAATATCTATGAGTTCATACTGATAAAATGATTAAATAGAAAAGAACAAGCAAATCTCCCATGCAGAGGAATTTCAAATAATTTATGCAGACACTCTGCCCCCAAGTAGGTGGAATATAACTACTCATTCTGAAAGCGTGGGCTGCACATAGTGACTTCCTTCCAAAGTGTACAGTATAGAAACGGGTAAAAGAGCAACTTTACAGTGGAGAAATCTGATAAACAGTATCTCAGCCAGGTGATCAAGGTTAACATCAACAGTGGCACATACTGTTGATATGATATAATGAAAATGGTACTTCATCTCTATGGGCTTCTTCCCAAACACCCGTAATTCCACTCTAATCATGAGAAAAACAACAAGATTAATCTCAATTGAGAGACATTCTACAAAACACTTGATGAGTCCTCCTCAACACTGTCCAGGACATCAGAAACAAGGAGCGCCTAGGAAACTGTCACAGTCCAGAGGAGCCCAAGAAGACACAACAACTAAATGTAATGTAGTAGCATGAGATACTGGAACAGAAAAAGAACATTCAGTAAAATACAAGAAATCTCAGTAAAGTATGTATGGACTTTAGGGGTTTTTTCTTTGGCAGTGGATTTTTTTTTTCCTTTTTTTTTTTCCAAACACTCTCCCAAGTAGCTGGGACTACAGGCACACACCACCATGCCTGGTAATTTTTGCTTGTTTGAAGAGCGATGCCCAAGCTGGTCTTGAACTCCTGGTCTCAAGTGATCCTCTGGCCTCAGTGTCCCAAAGTAGTGTGAGCCACCATGCCTGGCTGCTTTTAGCTGATAATAGTGCATGGACACTGGCTCATTAATTTTGACAAATGTACCATGCCAGTGTAAAATGTTAATAATAAGGGAATATGGGTATGGAGTATAGGAAAACTCTATGCTATCTGCAATTTTTCTGTGGATATAAAACTATTCTATAAAAAAGTTTTATTTTAAAAAATAAATGGACAAGAATATAAAAACATCCTGAAGGAGAAAAAGAAAGGGACAGAGGAAAAATTAGTACTATTAAATGTTAGAGGCCGGGCACGGTGGCTCACGCCTATAATCCCAGCACTTTGAGAGGCTGAGGCAGGTGGATCACCTGAGGTCAGGAGTTCAAAACCAGCCTGACCAACATGGAGAAACCCCATCTCTACTAAAAATACAAAATTAGCTGGGTGTGGCGGCGCATGCCTGTAATCCTGGCTACTTGGGAGTCTGAGGCAGGAGAACTGCTTGAACCCGGGAGGCAGAGGTTGTGGTAAGCCGAGATCCTGCCAGTGCACTCCAGCCTGGGCAAGAAGAGCGAAACTCCGTCTCAAAAAAAGAAAAAAAATATATTAGAGCAGGGGTTAGCTAACTACAGCCCACAGTCCAAATCTAGTCCACTGCTTATTTTTATAAAGTTTCACTGATATTTAGCAGTGCTTGTTCATTTACATATTGTCTGTCTATGGCTGCTTTTGTGCTATACTGGCATAGCTGAGTAACATATGGCCAAAAAAACCCTACAACATTTATTACCAGGTCCTTTACAAAAAAAGTTTGCCAACCCCACCCCACTTTGTTTTCATTTTACTTTAATTTTTTGGAGACAGAGTCTCCCCATCTGTTGCCCAGGCTGAAGTGCAATGGTGCAATCTCACCTCACTGCAACCTCCGCCTCCTGGGTTCAAGACATTTTCATGCCTCAGCCTTCCCAGTAGCTGAAACTACAGGTGCGTGCCACCACAGCTGGCTAATTTTTGTATTTTAGTAGAGATGGGGTTTCAGTATGTTGCCTAGGCTGGTCTCAAACTCCTGAGCTCAGGCAATCCGTCTGCCTCGGCCTCCCAAAATGCTAGGATTACAGGTGTGAGCCACTGCGCCTGGCGCCAACTCCACTTTGAATAAATAGAACCCAACGCAGAGTTCACAAATACCAATTATATGGGTATATCACAAATATACTCATATAATTTATTATCTGAGCAGCTGCGGATATCCCATGACTTGCCTGAGCAGAGGCAGGTACTTCACTGCCATATCCCTATAGCTTCTTTTCCATTTAGCACACATCCTCCTCCTATAATACACAACTCTTTCAAAGACAGGCTCTAGTAATATTTCTCTAAACGTATCCTGAACTCAGAGATAACAGACATTTGTTGTGGCAGAAAAGGCTGGCTTCCTACACTGCCCACTCCTCAGCTACTCAGGAGGCTGAGGAGGATCGCTTGCTAACATCTTCTCAGTTTTGTTCATGTTTCATTAACTGCATGCTTAAGCTGACCATGGTCACCATCTTGAGACTGCAGGCCAGAGAGCTCACTAGGTCCGGAGATGAATCTAATTCAACCATAATAATTCCATGATTTAAGACAGGAATGAGCTACATGGCCCAACTGTGGTCAATGAGATATAAGGGAAGACATGTGGGAGGGCTTGTGAACGGTTTTTCACTCTCTAAGGGACGCATAACAAAACAGTTTACTTCCAATTTGGGGGCACTGCTGTGTAATGATATGCTACAGTTGCTCAGTCATCTTGAGACCACAAGGGGTCAATCCTGAAGATCCAAAGCCAGCACACTGGGAAGAGCAAATAAGAATATAATGAGTCCAGGTCCTCAGCAATATCATTAAGCTGCTGTGCTAAGCACTCTATTCCTGGAGTTCTTATGTGCAATAATAAATCCCCTTATTATCAAATACATCATGTATAGGCATTTTGCACAATGCTAACTTATTTAAAATGAAATATTCAAGTTTTATTTTTATGAGCAAGTTAAGAAATCAAGAATATAACTGTCTAAACTGTTGACTCTACTGTACTTCTAAACAGCAAAAAAATATGATTCTAAAATACATTCAAATTGAAAACTAGTGCTCCCTAATTTGAACATACTGCCACAAGGCCAAGCATGGTGGTTCATCCCCGTAATCCCAGCACTTTGGGAGGCTGAGGCGGGTGGATTACTTGAGGTCAGGAATTCAAGACCAGCCTGGCCAACATGGTGAAACCCCCTCTCTACTAAAAATATAAAAATTAGCCAGGTGTGGTGGTGCACGCCTGTAGTCCCAGCTACTCGGGAGGCTGAGGCAGCAGAATCACCTGAACCCAGGAGGTGGAAGTTGCAGTGAGCCAAGATCACGCCACTGCACTCCAGCCTAGGCGACAGAGCAAGACACCGTCTCAAAAAAAAAAAAAAAACAAAAAAAGTACTGCCACAAGACTCATAGTCATTTCTGTATTGGTAATGAAGACATATATTAAAAAGTATGTTTCACTGTAAGCTGCCAATATCTTCATAATTCACATATTTGCTATTTTTTGCCTATATCACTTATAGCTATCTGGTTAGTAAAATGTTCCATCTAAAAAATTACTTATCTGGGCCAGACACAGTGGCTCACACCTGTAATCCCAGCACTTTGGGAGGCAAAGGAGCTCAGGACTTCAAGACCAGCCTCGGAAATGTAGTAAAACCCCATCTCTACTAAAAATACAAAAATTAGCTGGGCCTGGTGGCACATGCCTGTGGTCCCAGCTATTCAGGAGGCTGAGGTGAGAGGAACACTTGAGCCTGGGAGGTGGAGACTGCAGTGAGCCGAAATCCTGCCACCACACGCTAACCTGGGTGACAGAGCGAGACTTCATCTTGAAAAAAAAAAAAAATTCTTTATCTGAAAGTTTTTACATAAACATAAGGATGTAGAAGATGAACCATTTTAAAAACCAAACAAATGACTATATACTTGAAGACTTTGCAATTTCTCCCCCTACCTAATAATAATATTGGAATACAAGCAGAAAAAAGAATTTTACTGGTTATCTCTCCAGATAAAATAACTTTTCTATAAAAATTATAAAAATTTTCTCAGCACTGTATTAAATGGTTGAATAAATGGCATGCCTATCTCATTGGACAGACCAAGCAGCATTCATTAAATATTTACAAAATAACTGCTTTTCACAACTTTTCAAACAATTTATTAACCACAACCCAAATTAATGCAAACTAAGAGGCCAAGAACTGTTTTTGTAAATATTCTTATCTCTACCAAGATTTTTTTTTTATTTTTTTGTGGGTACATAGTAGGTGTATATGTCCAACATTCTATAAGAGTGAAAATACTCAACTCCAAACGATTCATTCACTCAACAAACATTTGTTAACCTTGACTATACCAGCTAGGTGTTGGGGACAATGGTGATACAGTCCTTGCTCTCATTTCACGGAATGTAAAATTATAAATGGAAATATACGCTCTGAAGGAAAAGGACAGAGGTTATTGAGTATATCACAAAGACCCCTGAGCAATATCTGGGCAAAAAGTATAATTATCCTATAACAGCAGCAACAATAGCAGCAACAGATATTATGCGGGGCCCTAATCAAAGCACATTATATATACATACCTTCATTTTATCCTCACTACAACCTTTGAGATAGGAACTATTATTATCCCGATTTCATAGATGACAAACTCAGATGCAGAGAATTTAAGCAACTTTCCCAACTCACATAGTAAGTGCATGAACTGGTATTCCACCAAGATAGTCACACACCTCCAGAGTATGTGCTACTAACCACTGTAATACATTACTTTTCTTATACAGCCCAAATGTTTCCACAAATAGAATCAGTACATACATATGGCAGCCAGCCTGCATTGCAGCAACCTGAGTAAGTGACAGGAGTCAAATGTAGCTAGTTCCTCAGGCAAAGCAAAGCGTAGACCTTCACTTGACCACTAACCCTGTTCCCCACACTAAGGAGTTCTAACCTGCTACTGTGTACTTGAGCAAAAGGGCAGTCTCTACCAACCCCTTCGCCTACTTTCTCAATATGACCCAAAAAGTTCAGATGAACTAGGCACCTGGCTTTTCTCAATCAATCAGGTCATCTGCTGTCCATCAAAAAAAGATAAGGTTGGAAGCTGTTCCCACACATGATGGCCAACTCAAAGATCACAATACACAGTAAATATCAGCAACTTGAAAGCAAAAGGAGATAGACTGTCATTTCCCCTGGACATGCAGTGTCATGGCTGTTCCTCCTCCTTGGCTCTGCCTGCTTTCTAATTCCACATGGATGGCCAAGAAGAGTTCAGAGGCTAATGGACAGACAAGATAACCACCTCAGTAAGAGAATTAATCACTAGCTTTTCATGAGATAATTTTTAGAAGGGGGTGGTAGCAGCATGTTATTAGTCCCAGACACAAAATGTGACCATTCCTATAAAGTAAAATCTAGATAAGATGCCTTAATTGGGAGGAAATACTAAAGATGATCATTGTGTAATCTTAACTTAAAATTGCTTTTAAGCCGGGTGTGGTGGCTCATGCCTGTGATCCCAGCACTTTGGGAGGCCAAGGCAGGCAGATCACAAGGTCAAGAGATTGAGATCATCCTGGCCAACATGGTGAAACCCCGTCTCTACTAAAAATACAAAAATTAGCTGGGCATGGTGGCACAAGCCTGTAGTCCCAGCTACTTGGGAGGCTGAGGCAGGAGAATCACTTGAACCCAGGAGGCGGAGGTTGCAGTAAGCCGAGATCACACCACTGCACTCCAGCCTGGCAACAGAGTGAGACTCCGTCTCAAAAAAAAAAAAATGCTTTTAAATACAAAGAAAATACTCCCACTATACTGCAATCTTTCAGTTCAACTGAAGATCCTGAGACAGATATCACACATTTAACAACAGCTATAATCTTCCTCAAAGGCAGTCTAAGGAGTCATGAGAAGTCAGGGTGGAGCCACAGTTAAGAGAAGGTACAAGGCATGTATAGTCTGAATGCTGAAAATAGGAAGCCCACCACTAGGAAGGATCAAGAACAAGTATCAATAATAAGGATGAACAGCATGTATCACGAGAGCAAAATATCAGAAATGTCAGCATTCCCAAGAGTTTCTTTAGAGTATCACTTCTCCCACCCCTCAATCTCCTGCTCTCTTTCAATCTTATGGGCTCAGTTGACACTACAACTTTGATACAAATAACCAGTGTCTCTACCTCCAACATCTCTCCCTGATTCCTCTCTCTAGATTTTCTCACCATCCAGCCTCAAAAACACACGTCAGGAAAAAATAAAGGGGGTGGGGGGAAGGCGCAATGGTTCATGCCTGTAATCCCAACACGTTGGGAAGCCAAGGCAGGAGGATCATTGGAGCCCAGGGGTTCAAGACCAGCCTGGGCAATTTAGTGAGACCTTGTCTCTACAAAAAAAAAAATTTTTTTTGGACACAGGGTCTCGCTCTGTTGCCCAGGCTGGAGTGCAGTGGCGCAATCTCGGCTCACTGCAACCTCGTTCAAGGGATTTTCCTGCCTCAGCCTCCCAAGTAGCTGGGACTACACGTGCCCACTACCACACCTGGCTGATTTTTTGTATATTTAGTAGAGACGGAGTTTCACTATGTTGGCCAGGCTGGTCTCAAACTCCTGAACAGAGGCAATCCGCCCGCCTCAACCTCCCAAAGTGCTAGGATTACAGGCCTGAGCCCCCACACCTGGCCAAAATATTTTTTAAAGAGTTCACATCCAAGTGCAGTTAGCACTCTCAAAATCAACAAAACCAAAAGAAAACTAATCATAGTAATTAATTTCTCCTCCTGACTTCTCTAGTGATAGTACTGTACTGATTTTTTACCTGATTACATTTTCTCATTCCCCAAAATTCAATCTGCTTCTAGCTCCTCTACTAGTTCCTCAACATCTCTCACATTAATCACTTTCCTTTTTCCTTTTTTTTTTTTTTTAAGACAGAGTCTCGCTCTGTTGCACAGGCTGGAGTGCAGTGGCCTGATCACAGCTCACTGCAGCCTCAACCTCCCAGGCTCAAGTGATCCTTCTGCCTCCCAAGTAGCTGGGACTACAGACACACACCGCCAAGCTCAGCCTCTTTTTTTTTTTTTTTTTTTTTTGGTAGAGACATTAGGCTGGTATCAAATTCTGGGGCTCCAGCAATCCTCCTGCATCTGCCTCCCAAAGTACTGGAATTACAGGTGTGAGCTACCACATCCAGCCAATCTTTTTCCACTAGGTCAAGACCCTGGTCCAGAAGCTCTTTTCTCCCAAGGTTTTGCCTCCTTATCAATCACTTAACTCTTGTGTCTCTCCACACTCAGGCACTGCATCAGATAAATCTTCCTGAAGAACAATCATGAGCATAGTTTCTCATTGTTCCCATGATCAAACTTGTCTAAACTTGTGAAGAAAGGAAGTAATAAGCTATGCATAGTTACACAGGCAGCCTTTGAATTGAGGTACTCCTAATTCCTAGAGACTGTGCTCTTCATCAACCAGCCTTGCATGTATCAGTACTACCCGACGCTTTCCAGCCACTATCAAAAAAAGTTGTTTCATGGTCTGTGACACAAAGGAGAAGGAAAGAAAAGAAATTTAACAAAGTATTACATATTTCAAAACATAAATGTTCAGGCATGTCTACACTAGACAAAAATCAAAGCAGTCACATGTGCACATCCATATATGGGATCAACATGTGTCCTCAGGCACGCATATCATACTGGGTAGCCCATTCTTTCATCTTCCTAAGCTGAGCTCACTAATCCTCCCCCAATAAGATTAAAAATGAATGGACTGTCTTGATGCAGCTTCAACTATCATCTCCAAACAAAAAATGCTCACAAACATATCCCTCTCTAAATGACGTCTCAGCTACTTTTACCGACTAGAAAATAATGACTTAGATGTCCTGGCAACACCTTCAATTCAACATATGAAAAGCACCTTACTCTACAAACAGCCCTTCCTTCCAACCATTCCAATTTCTATTAATGGATCCTGGTTACAGGGTTAGTCTGTATGACACTTTCCATTATGTCTGTTTCCCTTATGAGCGGGGTAAACATTTATCACACAAACGAGAACCTTTATTTTTCTTTGAGATGGAGTCTTGCTCTGTTGCCCAGGCTGGAATGCAGTGGCGCGATCTCGGCTCACTGCAAGCTCCGCCTCCTGGGTTCACGCCATTCTCCTGCCTCAGCCTTTTGAGTAGCTGGGACTACAGGTGCCCGCCACCACGCCCGGCTAATTTTTTGTATTTTTAGTAGAGATGGGGTTTCACTGTGTTAGCCAGGATGGTCTTGATCTCTTGACCTCGTGATCCACCCACCTCGGCCTCCCAAAGTGTTGGGATTACAGGCGTGAGCCCCTGCACCCGGCCAAGACACTTTTAAGAGTAAAAGAGGGGTCAGACATGGTGGCTAATGCCTGTAATCCCAGCACTTTGGGAGGCCGAGGTGGGAGCACTGCCTAAGGCCAAGAGTTTGAGACTAGCCTGGGCAACATAGTGAGACCCCATCTCTGCAAAAAAAATAACAAATTAGCCAGGCATGGTGGTGCACACCTATAGTCCTAGCTACTCCAGAGGCTGAGGTGAGAGAATCACTTAAGCCCAGGAGTTTGAGGCTAAAGTGAGCCATTATCGTACCACTGCACTCCAGCCTGGGCAACAGGGCAAGACCTTGTCTCAAGTAAATAAGGAATAAAAGGGGGTCCTTTTTAAGAATTAAGCATAGGCTGGGCACGGAGGTTCACACCTGTAATCCCAGCACTTTGGGAGGCCAAGGCGGGCAGAACACTTGAGGTCAGGAGTTTAAGACCAGCCTGGCCAACACGGTGAAGCCTCGTCCCTACTGAAAAAAATATATATATATACAAAAATTAGCTAGGGGTGATGGTGTATGCTTGTAGTCCCAGCTACTTGGGAGGCTGAGGCAAGAGAATCACTTGAACACAGGAGGCGGAGGTTGCAGCGAGCTGAGATCCCGCCACTGCACTCCAGCCTGGGCAACAGAGTGAGACTCTGTCTCAAAAAAAAAAAACCAGAATTAAGTGCAGACAAAAGGCATAAATTGAGATGTCTGATCACCCTACTTATGAAGAGCACACATAATATGGAAAAAATTCTCAAGTAGAAGCAAGGAAACCTGAGTTCTATTCCTGGCTCTGCTGCTAACTATTAATAGCTTCCTGTCTTTAACCAATTTTCTGGCCTTTAGTGCTCTCATACATATACTGAGAAAACTAGGACTGGCGTCTAAGGCCCCTTATAGCCTCTAGTGCATATATATCTGAAAGCAGGATCAACTCACACAAAAGGGGGATCCTTAGACAGGCAATGAGGCGAAGGACGGAAGATAGGTCAGAAAACAAGAAAGAGCTTGAGGCAACCCAAACACTCGGGACCAGGAAGTCTGTGAGGCACTTCCAGAATACTAACTTCCAGTATTCATGTATCCTTTCCACTGGTCTTTTTATTTTTTTCTTTTGGCTTTGTAACTTATACATGTTTAGTAGAAAACGTATAAATGAAAATAAAGAAACAGGCAAGAAATTATATTAAAATCAACAAAAATCTCAATATCAGCAATGATCACTAGTGTTTTAAAGTTTGGTATAAACCCTTCCAGACATTTTTCCATGCAAATATATAAATGTATTTTTAATGTGATAAAAGTTGTGTAGCCGATTTACATAAAAATAAATTCACCATATTCATATCAATAGGCATATAGTCATTTCATCACTTTTAACGGCAGCTTAGTACTCCACCTAATGTATGTGCCACAACTGTTTCACCAAGTCCCTTTTAAGTTACAATCTTTCATGAATATATACAATTAGTACATACATATCTTACAAATATACCTCTGTGGTCTTGTCCCAATAGTGCCTTACAGTAAGTTCCTTGAAGAGTGATTGCCAGGTCAATGGGTATGGCCTTTTTTTTAGTGTACATTAACTGGCCTCCATAAGTTTCCCACCCAAGGAGTATATAACAAAAGAATGGTAATTTAAGAACTGAAGATTACTCCAAAGCAGTATTCAAGATGCCTAAAGCTAAAAATAATCTTCACATTTCACCACACATTTTATGACTCTTTTTTCATGACCCATGATACTCACATGTATCTGGCTGACTAATAATTTAAAATATAAAGCCACTATTTTTTTCAGGGAACATATTACCACGCTACAGATCTTAAATGAAGTTTCTGTACTTCTACTGCATCACAGTATAAAGAGATATTCTACATTACGTGCAAAAGATACTTTCATTAATTACTTAAGTACTTCAAAGATCTATGCACAAAGAACTACTAATATATAAAATTCATACTTTTGCTATTTTTAAATTGAAGCAATTAGTCAGATGAATAGTAATTACCAAGAAGCGCATTATCCACAGAATTTTAAGTTTTTCTTCAGATCTCCTCGTGGCTTGACCTAATTTAACAATAGACAATGTAGAGCAGGGGAGCTATTTAGGCACGGAGTGACTACATGACAATGCCTAACTCTGTGACAGCACACAAATAACAACAAAAAACAATGCTCAGACAACTCAGGAGTCTTCTTCCTACCTCTACTCTTGAATACGAAAAACAAAATTGCCTATATAGGCAACATAAGGAACTAAGCTGTCAAATAAAAATTAGATTTGAGAACAGAGATGAAGAAAGTCCCAGCTCCATTGTTCAGTCAGCCTGGTCACTTTCAGCAAGTCAATTTATCTCCATGCACTGATGTTTCTCACCATTAAATCATGCACTGCTCTATCACCTACTTCAAAACTATCATGAGAATTGATGAGTCATAGTCAATAAAAGCATATCACATTCCTTAGAACATTGATTAGAATATTCATCAATTCTTAAAAAAAAAATAGCAAACCAGGTGAGACACACTCAATTAAGAAGATTAAATTTAAAAGGCGGGAAAACATCCAGGTTTTTAGGTGCTTAGTTATTCTGCCTCATTGGAAAGGTCTAATACTGTATATAAACAATATTAATATGATTTCTAGTAGAACAGTAGATTTCAAAAGAAGTAAGTGCAGAAAGGGACGTGGCAAGCACAGGAAAATGAAGATGGTGAGGGAAAAAACTTTTTTACATCATACATAGTGCCTTTCCTAGGAAGTGCCCCTTCCCACCCACCTTAATGAATGTCACAGTAGACATGAGAGTGTTCTCCACAAAAATATTAAAAGGATGGCCCAGGGCTGATGCGAAAGGAAAGAAAAGGTAGAAAACCACCGAGTATGGGGCAAAATAGTAATATTCATATTGAAATACTGATTTTGTAAGAGGAGGAAACTTTTAAGCCAGAGAGAAGACAACTGTTAATGTAAAATTAATATAAATGGATAGTAGAAAAAAAAGTCTGAAAAGCTGAGTTTTTCATCCATCTCAAGAAAGAGCCACAAAATCAATCTTTAACAAAGTGGAAAAAAAATAGTTAACAGTAATCAAAATTACCCTTCTGCTTTATACAACCAAGACACACTGGATGCCAGGCAATAAAGGACAGAGATCCCTGAAAATCAGGAAAGAAAAGATGTGCTGTACTATTATCCCAGCTTACTGCCTGATACAGATTCTAGGCCTCTGCTCTGGTAGGAAGAACCCAGACAAAGCCTGGAGGACAACTTTCTGAGTTGACATGAAAGTGAGAGCTAATGGAGATCAAGGCAGAACAGAGTAATGGAGGGAAGAGAGAGAGAGAGAAGCCCAGAGATCTGCAGAAGATCCACTTCAAGAATTCAGCAGGGTACTGATAAGCACATGCATGTGACGTAACTATCAAAAACCAGGGAAAAAACATCTGAACAGTATACAGATCTGGCCAGATGTCACTCTGAGCCTATGCATGTTTCCACCATCTAACCTTAAAAAACTTTTTTCACTCACATAGTGCTGAGTACAAAATCAGGAAAACCTTGCCTGAGTAGTGGAGAATAATTAGTCCTACACTGAGCACTGCTCCAAATGTGCCTAATAAGATAACTGCAGATTAGACAATGCAGAAAAACGATACAAACACGATATGTTCTATACATACATGAAATTAAGAAAGTGATTTCATTTATAACAGCATCTAAAAGAAAAAAAAATACCTAAAAATAAATTTAACCCAGGAAGTGAAAGACTTATACACTGAAAACTACAAATCGTTACCGAAAACAAATTTCACCTAAATAAAGACATTTATGTCCACAGGAAGGAAGACTTACTATCACTAAGCTATCAATACTATTCAATGTGATTTACAGATTCAATACAATCCCTATCAAATTCCCAAAGACTTTCTTGCAGAAATGGAAAAGCCCAGGAGTTTAAGATTACAGTGAGCCACGACCACACCACTGCACTCCAGCCTGGGCAACACAGCAAGACCTTCTCTCAAAAAAATAAGTAAAGAAAAAAAAGGAGGTCCTTATTCAGAATTCAGGATCACCTCAAATTCATATGGAATTGCAAAGAACACCAAACAGCCAAAACAGTCTTGAAAAATTACAAAATTGGAAAACACACACTTCCTGATTTCAAAACTACAAAGCCACAGTGATCAAAACAGTGTGGGACTTGCTTAAGGATAGACATACACCAATGGAACAGAATGCAAACTCCAGAAATAAGCCATGTATGGCCAACTGATTTTGAGCAAGGGTGCCATAAAAGAATGGTCTCTTGAACAAATGCTGTTAGAGCAACTAATTTTTGGCATGTGAAAGAGTAAAGCTGGACCCCTACTTCACACCATATATTAAAATTAACTCAAAGGGATTAATGGCCTACACATAAGAGCTAAAAACATAAAAGAGATAAATCTTGGATTTGGTAATAGATTCTTATATATGACGCTAAAAACACTAGAAAAGAGAGAGAGAAGTTGGGCTTTCTCAAACCACAAACTTTTAAAATGAACCAAAGACCTATCATTAGACTTAAAACTATAAAACTTAGAAGAAAACATAGGGCAAAAGCTTCATAGTATGCATTTGGCAATGACTTCTTGGATATGACAACAAAAACCCAGGCAACAAAGTCAAAATAGATACACTGGACTTTATCAGAATTTAAAACTTATGTGCATCAAAGGACGCAATCAGCAGAGTTAAAAGGTAACCTATGGAATGGGAGAAAATTTGCAAATCAACTACCTGCAAGGGAGTGTCTCAGTCTATTTTGTGCTGCTATAATAGAATACCACAGACTGAGTAATTTATAATGAAATGAAATTTACTGGCTCACAGTTCTGGAGGAGGAGAAGTTCAAGAGAGAGGGAACAGCATCTGGCCAGTGCCTTCTCACTGCGTTATCCCAAGGGAGAAGGCAGAAAGACAAAAAAGAGACAAAGGGGAGCCAAACTCATTATTTTATAAGGAACCTACTACCAGGATAACAAAACTCACTGCATTAATCCATTAATTAAGGGCAGGGCCCTCACAGCCTAATCACTTCTTAAAGTTCCCACTATTTTTTTTTTAACCATTTTCTTCAATAGCCCTGACAGTCCCACCTCTTAATACTATTACAATGGCAATTAAGTTTCAAAGTGAGACATTCGCACCATAGCAGGGAGTTAATATCCAGAATATATGTATAAAGAATTTTACAACTCAACAATAAAACAAAACGCAAATGACCCAATTTAAAAATGGGCAAAGAGGCCAGGAATGGAGGCTCATGCCTGTAATCCCCGCACTTTGGGAGGCCAAGGCGGGTGTATCACTTGAGCCCAGGAGTTTGAGACCACCCTGGGTAACATGACAAAACTGCAACTCTACAAAAAATACAAAAATTAGCTGGGCCTGCTCGTGCGCGCCTGTACTCTCAGCTACTTGGGAGGCTGAGGTGGGAGGATCGCCTGAGCCTGGGGAGGTCGAGGCTCCACTGAGCCGTGATCATGCCACTGCACTCCAGCCTGAGCAACAGAGAGAGAGACCATGTGTCCAAAAAAAAAAAAAAAAAGGAAAATTTGACACACGGCACACATGGACAAACCTTGAGGACATTATGCAAGATGAAATAAGTCAATCACAAAAAGATAAGGATGAATATGGTATGATTCCATATATATGAGGTATCTAAAGTAAGTCAAACACATAGAAACAAAGGAGAATGGTGGTTGTCAGGGAATGGGAGGATGGCAAAAAATGGAGTTGTTGTTTCATGGGTATAGAATTTGTTTTGAAAGAAGAAGTAGTTCTGGAAATTGGCTGCAGAACAATGTGAATATACTTACACTACTGAAGTCTACACTTAAGAATGGTTAAGATGGTAACTTCTTTGCTATGTGTATTTTACCACAATTAAACAATTTTTTAAAAATCAACCGTATTTCTATATGCTGGCAACAAACAATTGTGAATTTAAATTTTAAAAAATTACATTTATGTAATGATACCATTTACAATAACGTCAAGAAATATGAAACGGAATAATCTGACAAAAGATGGGAAAGACATGTCAACTGAAAACTACAAAACTCAGCTGAAAGAAATTACAGATCTAAAATAAATGGAGAGATACTACATTCATGCATCAGAAGACTTGATCAATTCTTTCCAAACAGATCTTCACGGCAAAAGAATACCAATAACAATCCCAAAAGGCTTTCTTGTGGAAATTGCCAGGCTAATTCTAAAATGCAAAGACCCAGAATCACTAAAACGACTTTAAAAAATAACAAGATTGGGGGACTGTTAGTTTTCAAGTCTTATGAACCTCCAGTAATCAAGACTGCAGGGTACTGATGTAAAGACAAATAGATCAAAGGAACAGAATAAAGAGTTCAGAGACTGACTAATATATGGACAATTGATTTTTGACAAAGATGCAAAAGTAGACCAGGCATGGTGGCTCACACCCATAATCCCAGCACTCTGGGAGGCCAAGATGGGTGGATAACGAGGTCAGGAGTTCGAGACCAGCCTGGCCAACATGGTAAAACCCTGTCTCTATTAAAAATACAAAAATTAGCCAGGTGTGGTGGCGTGCGCCTGTAATCCCAGCTACTCAGGAGGCTGAGGCAGGAGAATCGCTTGAACCTGGGAAGTGGAGGTTGCAGTGAGCCGAGATTGCGCCACTGCACTCTAGCATGGGCGATGGGACAAGACGCCATCTCAAAAAAAAAAAAAAAAAAAGATGTAAAAGCTATTCAATGAATAAAAACATATTTTTCAGCAAATGAACAACTGTTCATAAACAAATAATTTCCATCCTTATTTTGCACCATATAAAAATGTAATCAAAATTAAACACAAACCCAATTGTAAAATCTAAAACTATAAAGCTTCCATAAACATAGAAGGAAGGCCAAGCACAATGACTCACGCCTGTAATCCCAGACTTTGGGAGGCCGAGGCAGGTGGATCACGAGGTCAGGAGATTGAGACCATCCTGGCTAGCGCGGTGAAACCCCGCCTCTACTAAAACTGCAACTCTACTAAAAATACAAAAAATTAGCCAGGCGTGGTGGCGGATGCCTGTAGTCCCAGCTACTCGGGAGGCTGAGGCAGGAGAATCGCTGGAACCCGGGAGGCAGAGATTGCAGTGAGCTGGAGATTGCAGTGGGCAGAGATTGTGCCACTACACTCCAGCCTGGGCGACAAAGAAAGAGACTCCGTCTAAAAAAAAAAGAAAAAATAGAAGGAAATTCCTATGATTTGGGATTAGGCAACAATTTCTTAAATATGAAACCAAAACCCTGATCTATAAAAGAGCAAATTGATAAATTTCATCAAAATTTAAAATTCCTGTTCTTCAAGACACTGCTGAGAGAATGAAAAGATGGACCACGGCCTAGAGAGAATGTATTTGCAAATCATTTGACGAGGGACTTGCATCCCAAATATGTAACGAATTCTCAAAACTCAATTACAAGAAAACAACCAACCAACAACAACAACAAAAAATAGGCAAAAGACAAGAACAGACACTTTGCCAAAAGGGATATACAGAAGACATATAAGTTTAGGGAAGTTGGGCACATGGCTCACACCTGTAATCCCAGCACTTTGCGAGGCTGAGGCAGGTGGACGACTTGAATCCAGGAGTTCAAGACCAGTCTGGGCAACATAGTAAGACCCCATCTCTATAAAAAATTAAAAAATTAGCTGGGTATGGTGGCATATGCCTGTAGTCCCAGTTACTCGAGAGGCTGAGGTGGGAGAATTACCTGCGCCCAGGAGGTCAAGGCTGCAATGAGCCAAGATCACGCCACCGCACTCCAGCCTGGGCAACCAAAGTGAGACTCTGCCGGAGGAGGAAAAAAAAAAAAACTTATGGAAAGATACTGAATGCCACTAGCCATAGGGAAGCACAAATTAAAAGAACAATGAGACATCACTAAAGACCAATTGGAAGGGCTAAAATTGGCCAGGTGTTGGTAAGGATATGGATGAACTAGAATTATCATACAGTGCTAGCTGCAATGTACAACTGTACAATTACTTTTAAAATAATTAGTTTGGCAATTTATTTTATTTTATTATTTTTTTAAAGACGGAGTCTTACCATGTTGCCCAGGCTGGTCTCAAATCCCTGGGCTCAGGCAATCCTCCTGCCTCGGCCTCCCAAAGTGCTGGGATTACACGCATGAGCCACCATGCCCAGCCAACAGTTTCTTAAAAAGTTAAATACATCTACCATATGACCCAGCCATTTCACTCCTATTTACTTTTAAAAAAGTGTATTCTGTACAAAGATTGGCACACAGATGTTCACAGCAGCTTTATTTGTAATAGCCAAAAACTGGTGAGAAGCCGAAAGTCCATCAACAAGGGAATGTACAAATCGTGGTTCATCCACAAATGGACTACTACTCAGTAATTAAAAAGAATGAACTACCGATTTACATAACACTGATAAATCTCAAAATAATTTATGCTGAACTTTTTAAAAGCCAAAGAGGAGAATATGCTGTATTTATAAAATAACAAAAAAAAAAAAAAGCTAGAAAATTCAAACCAGCTGGGGGCAGTAGCTCACGCCTGTAATCCCAGCACTTTGGGAGGCCGAGGCGGGCGGATGGTCTGAGGTCGGGAGTTTGAGACCAGCCTGACCAACATGGAGAAACCCCGTCTCTACTAAAAATACAAAATTAGCCTGGCATGGTGGCGCATGCCTGTAATCCCAACTACTTGGGAGGCTGAGGCAGGAGAATCACTTGAACCCAGGAGGCGGAGATTGTGGTGAGCCGTTATCACGCCATTGCACTCCAGCCTGGGCAACAAGAGTGAAACTCCATCTCAAAAAAAAAAAAAGGGGGAAGAAAATTCAAGCCAATATATAGTGACAGAGTAGATAAATTATCGCCTGGAAATGGAGGTGTAGAGGGAGGTAAAAAGAAACATTTGAGGGTGATGAATATGTTTACTATCTTGATTATGATAATGGTTTCACAGGTGTATAGATATGTCACAACACAAAACTGTGCACTCCAAACACACAGTTTATTTTATGTCAATTAAACTGAATAAGGTTGTTTAAAAAAGACAAGCAAATACAAAGCTAACTATAAAAAAGTCAGACTAATGCTGGGCACAGTGGCTCACACCTGCAATCCCAATGCTTTGGGAGGCCAAGGCAGGAGGATTCTTTGAAGCCAGGAGTTCGAGACCAGCCTGGACAACAAAGCAAGAGCACATCTCTACAAATAAAAATTTAAAAATTAGCCAGGCATGATGGGACGTACGTGTAGTCCCAGCTACCAGGAGGCTGAGGCAGGAAGATCACTTGAGCCCTGGAGTTCCCGGGTGCACTGAGCCATAATCACACCACTGCACTCCAGCCTGGATGAAACAGTAAGACTCTTGTCTCAAAAATAAATAAATAAATACACATTAAGAATAGATTTCTCTCCAATTCTCACAGAACAATGCTCTTGCTATGCCATAACCTCTTTCTCCATAGCATATCTAAGATTTCATAACCACTTGTGAAAGTTCTATGACATGCTGAACTGGAGGAAGGGAAGAGGAAAAGGGGAAGAGAGAACACATGTAAGAAACTGAGAAATTTCTTTTTTTTTTTTGAGAAAGAGTCTCGCTCTGTCGCCCAGGCTGGAGTGCAGTGGCACGATCTCTGCTCACTGCAAGCGTGGTCCACCTCCCAGATTCACGCCATTCTCCTGCCTCAGCCTCCCAAGTAGCTGGGACTACAGGCGCCCACCACCACGCCTGGCTAATTTTTTGTATTTTTAGTAGAGACAGGGTTTCACCGCGTCAGCCAGGATGGTCTCAATCTCCTGACCTCGTGATCCGCCTGCCTCAGCCTCCAAAAGTGCTGGGATTATAGGCGTAAGCCACCGCGTCCAGCTGAAACTGAGAAATTTCAAAAATGCTTCCATAGGGTAATAAAGCATGTTTACGTGTATACAGCCAAAAGGATACCTAACAGTAAGAAAAAATTAATGTATTCCTGTTACGTAGAGGAGGTTGTATGCACTTTTACCATTACCATTGAATACTTTCCTGGATATTCTAGTTCATTTAACATCAAAATAAGATATAAAATTATCAACACGTGCAATATTTGTGAATATTTATCCAGAAGATCCTACAAAATTAAATATTTTTTGAAAGACAAAGCACAAGTTATCAATGCAGAGTACCAGCCAGGCATGGTGGCTCATGCCTATAATCCCAGCACTCTGAGAGGCTGAGGCTGGAGGATTACTTGAGGCCAGGAGTTCAAGACAAGCCTGGACAACACAGTGAGACCCAATCTCTACAAAAAAATTTAAAAACTAGCCAGGCATAGTGCCACGTGCCTATAGTCCTTGCTACTAGGGAGGCTGAGGCAGGAGGATCATTTGAACCCAGGAGTTTAAGGTTACAGCAAGCTATGATTGTGCGCCACCGCACTCCAGCCTGGATGACAGAGTGAGGCCTCACCTCTTAAAAAAAAAAAAAAAAAGGGCCAGGCGCAGTGGCTCACGCCTGTAATTCCAGCACTTTGGGAGGCCAAGGCAGGTGGATCGCCTGAGGTCAGGAGTTCAAGACCAGCCTGGCCAACATGGTGCAACCCCATCTCTACTAAAAATACAAAATTATCCGGGCATGGTGGCACAAGCCTGTAATCCCAGCTACATGGGAGGCTGAGGCAGGAGAATCGCTTGAACCCGGCAGGCAGAGGCTGTAGTGAGCCAAGATCACACCATTGCACTCCAGCCTGGGCAACAACAGTGAAACTCCGTCTCAAAAAAAAAAAAAAGGAAATGCACACCAAGAATCCCTACAGAAGGTGAAAAGAGCCTACGAGGTCATTATTCACAGCTTTATGCCAACTAATTTGACATTTTAGATAAAATGGGCAAATTCCCAACAAAACACAACTTACTGAAACTGACAGAACTAAAAATCAAACAGAAAACCTACGCTGTTCTAGAATTAATCTCCAAAAGGCCAAGAACTATAAAGTTCTAGAACTGTATTACCAATCTTACACAAATTCTTCCACAGAATAGAAAACCAAACTATCCAATTTGTTTTTAAGGCAGATAGCATTTGGATATCTGTCTCCTCCAAATCTCATGTTGAAATGTGACCCCCAGTGTTGGAGGTGGGGTCTAGTGGCAGCTGTTTGGGTCATGGGGGCTGATCTCTTCTCAATTGTTTGGTGTCCTTCTCACAGTAATGAGTGAGTCCTCGCTCCATTAGTTACCACAAGATCTGATTGGTTTTGTTTATTGTTTGTTTTTGAGACAGAGTCTCACTCTGTCACCCAGGGTGGAGTGCAGTGGCGCCTCCCAGTTTCAAACAATTCTCCTGTCTCAGCCTCCCAGGTAGCTAGGACTACAGGTATGCACCATCACACCCGGCTAATTTTTGTATTTTTAGTAGAGATGGGGTTTCACTATGTTGGCCACGCTGGTCTCCAACTGCTGACCTTAAGTGATCCACCGCACGCGGCCAAGATCTCATTGCTAAAAGGAGCCTGGCACCTCCTCCCCTCTCTCTCTTGCTCCCTCCCCAACACGTGATAAGCTGCTTCCCCTTCGCCTTCTGTCCTGATTGCAAGCTTTCTGAGGCCCTCACCAGAAACAGATGCTGGTGCTAAGCTTCCTGTACAGCCTAAAGAACCACTTTTCTTGATAAATTCCCCAGTCTCAGGTATTCTCAGGTATTCCTTTACAGCAACGCAAACAGCTAACATACACCTCCTTTTTTTTTTTTTGGAAATGGAGTCTCGCTCTGTCGCCAGGCTGGAGTGCAGTCTGTCGCCAGGCTGGAGTGCAGTGGCACGATCTCAGCTCACTGCAACCTCCGCCTCCCAGGTTCAAGCGATTCTCCTGCCTCAGCCTCCTGAGTAGCTGGGACTACAGGCGCCTGCCACCATGCCCAGCTAACTTTTATATTTTTATAGAGACAGGATTTCACCATGTTGGCCAGGATGGTCTTGATCTCTTGACCTTGTGATCCGCCCACGTCAGCCTCCCAAAGTGCTGGGATTACAGGTGTGAGCCACCGTGCCCGGCGACACACCTCCCTTTTCTAGAAGGAAATGATCTCTTGGAGTAAATACTTGATTCTCTTTTATTTTTCAGATTATGACATCTCTCTGCCAGTATCTTTTTCTGGTCAATATATCTCTTTGCCAAATAAGGTAGAAAAAAGTTGTCAGGCCAAGCATCATGGCTCTAACCTATAATCCCAGCACTGGGAGGCTGAGACAGGAGGATCATTTGAGCCCAGGAGTTTGAGACCAGCTTGGGAAACAGGAAGACTTCATCTCTACAAAAAATAAATTAAAAAAAAAAAAAAAAAAAAGCCAGGCATGGTGGCACATATCTGTTGTCCCAGCTACTCAGGAGGCTGAGGTGAGAGGACTGCTTGAGCCCAAGAATTTAAGGCTGCAGTGAGCCATGACTGGCCATTGCAGCCTGGATGACAGCAAGACCCTATCTCAAAAAAAAAAACACAGAAAACAAAAAAGAAAAAAGTTATCAGCTGGACAATCTTCCCTGTGATTACTAGTAGCATCTAAGAACCTGAAATCATGAGTGTCACTGAAACCAAGCTGTAAGGAAATTCCAACACATTAAAATGAAATCAATTCATATAGGGGCTATAGGACACAGCACCCGGAGGTGACATTAGAAACTGCAAACAGGAAAAACACATAATTCAGGGGTACTAGCATATGACACAAACATATATGATTAAAAGCATTCACTGTTCTCCCAACGTCCACACACTCAGAAAAACACTGCTACCTGCTCATGCTAGCCTTCTCACTATCTACAGCAAACACCAAGAAAACTCAGTATTCATCACAATTAACATCAACTCCATGCGTTCTCAGAGAGGAGGAAAGACCAGGCAGGAATCTACCTGTGCCCAAAATTAGGTTACCATCAGGATCCAACGGAGAAAGAACTGGGGAATAAACTGAGTCTAGGTTTCTTTGAGTAAACATCCCTCGCAAGTTTCTGCTCTTAAGCACACAAATTTAGCAACTTTAATTTCTAGGTTGGGGTCTAGTTCCTGTCAACACTAGGAAATGGGAGACAACTACTTTTATCACGGTCAGATCACCTATAGATTGTGATCATTCAATCATACATGCAAAGAATATTACAAAATACTAACAACATTAGTATGTATTAAGGGGCTTACTAGATGCCAAGTTGCAGCAACCCTCACAACCCTCTGAGGTAAATGCCATTATTAATCAGGAGTTACGTTAACTTATCGAACTGTGGAAACTGGGATTTCAAGCATGCTCGTCTAATCACTATACTAATAATGCTTCAACCTGCCAATTTATTTTTTTATTCTGTAAGCCATAAGGAGCCAATGAAAAAAATTAAGGACAGCAGTAATGATCATCTTTACATGCTAGAACACACTACTCAGCCACGTGCAAGGTGGACTGACGCTGGGGTGAGCAAGGGTCTTGAAAGAGATAGTCAAAGTCTGGGTCAAAAATGCTGAGGAAATTCTGAGCATAAGAATGCATAGGAGAGGATAAAAACCTAAAATCTGTATCTAATAAACTTAGCTAGACTTTCTGATTGTTTTAAGTATGGGAAGGGATGAAGGAAGCTACCTCGCAGGTTACTAGCTGGGCCACTGGTTAGTAATTACTGTCCATCAATTCATGAGACAGGAGGAGGAACTGGTGCTTTAGTTTTGTGTAGCAAGCAGGAAGAGGACAAGTCTACTTAACGCGAATCAAAATGAGAGCAAGCAATTATACAGAATTTCTCTCCCTCGACAAAATAAGCTTCTCATATTACAGAGATCTTAACTTTGAAATGCTTTTCAAAATAGGGAGTCACTTGGGCTGGGAGGGGACTTCAACTAAGTCCTCATTTTACAGAGGAGGCACTGAGGGGCAAGGCTGTTTCAATACCCTGTCCAGAGTGCGCACTGTTCAGGCAAAACCAGGACTAAAAACCAGCTCTGCCGGATCCGTTCTACCTACTGCTCCTTCTGCTTCAGCTGCCCTCCCAACCTACTAATAGGGATTTACATCCCCAAATACGTTCATGTAAACACTTAGCATTCTTCAACTAAACACAAAATCAGATATGTAAGCTAAAAATCTAAAGCCAAAAACATGTATTTAATTTCCATAAAATTTCTACTTTTCTTTGGAAAAACTTTCCCATTGTGTCAGTTTCTATTCACTGTAACATTCTCTATATTTCAGGTCCTAAGACCAAAAAAAAAAAATCCTTTTTAAACTTAGGCCTTGAAGAAACGACAAACCCTCTAGGCTTAATATTGCACCATATGAAACCACTGACACAGACAAGGCCTGTTCTGCCGAAACCAGGCCAGTTAAGTCAGGGCTCAATTGCTTCTGTATCATTGTCAGAAGCCATCTCGACCTCAAGCAAAAGTAAAACTGGAGAAAGAGGCCAGCCTAACTTGCTCCTCGGCTGGTCCCCAGCAACGCCCCTGGAAACTCTGCTCCCCATCGCTAGGACCGCCCCTCCGACGCCGGGAGAACACGGAAGGAGCAGCAAGGCGCTGCCCGGCATCTGCCGCCAACTTCCCCGTCGACGGTCTGATTCAAATGCTCCCTACCTGTTTTCCATGTAGACTTGGAGAGAAACTGCGCCAGGAAAACTGTTATCAACTGTTACAGGGACGGAGAACTCCGAAATAACCAAATTACTACTTATATTCACTGTCCCATGTCTAGCGCCTTTTGAAACAATAACCAAATCCTGTAAAGTTTTGTCTGCGATGAGCAGTCACTAGGAAAAACCTGTATTCGTGATGAATTCGCCTCCCCCCCCAGAAAAGGACCGACTTTCCAAGAGCCGAAGCCCCTGCCCGGAGCGGCGGGCTCGCGGGCCCTGGGTGCGACCCCACCCAGCCTCCCCGGGATTCAGGCAGCCGGGCCCCGCGCCCGCGCTCACCCAGGTGCTCCCCGCGGCCTGCGCGCCCGCGCGCTTCTCCGGCATGGCTCCCGCCTCGGGCTCCGACGCCGCCTTCTCCTCCAGCTCCGGCGGCGGCTCCACGCTCATGCCGCGGCCATGCCCGCGCCAGCCCGGGGCGCTCCGGGACGACGGCGACGCCGCGGAGGCGGCGGCGGTGCCCGCGCCCTCATGGGCTCTGCGGCCCGCGGCGGCCTGCGGGTCAGGCGGCGGCGCCAGCGGCGGCGCCGAGGGCTGAGGAGGCGGCGGAGGCTGAAGCTGCGGATCAGGCTAGCAGAAGACCGCAGCTCCAGGAACCGACCACTTATCAAACCGCACCGACCCCGACTCTCGCAGTTACCGGCGGCGTCAGGGGCGGGCTGCACGGTTAAGAGACTGTGCCCCGCCCCGCCTCCCCACAGGCCGGCGCCGGGCAGGAGGCCCCGCCCCGCACCTCAGCTCCCGCCTCGAGAACGAGTCCCGCGCCTGAGTAGCCTCCAGCGACGCCACGCCCACTTCAGAGACCCCTCCTTTACCTCGCGACTGGCCCCTTGGCATCAGGACTTCGCGGCGCGCGGGAAGTACGTCATTTCGAGAGCCCGTACGACTGATTTCTTTTTCCGGAGAATCTGGACTGAGGCTAGCAAGCGGGGAGGGGCAAACTCGTGGGGGTTTGGTAGTGATTGCAGTTCAGTTTTGGTCTTGGTTTGCGCCAACCCGCCAACCTCTCAAGTTTTTCTATGGTTCTCTAAGAAGAAAATAATATACTAGCAATGTTTCCCAAACGTACTTGAACACAACACTTTTTATTCTTGACACATGATTAATATCTTGTAGAATGTGTAGGACGCAGTTGGAAAAGCCTGGCTTATGTTTATTTATTTTGAAAGATATGCACCTAATACTGAAATATAAAAAAGCCTACAGGCCTGGAGCGGTGGCCCACACCTATAATCCCAGCACTTTGGGAGGCCGAGGCGGCTGGTTCACCTGAGGTCAGGAGTTAGAGACCAGCCTGGCCAACGCGGTGAAACCCTGTCTCTACTAAAAAACAAAAACAAAAACAAAAAACACCAAAAAAATTAGCCGGGCTTGGTGGCGCACGCCTGTAATCCAAGCTACTCGGGAGGCTGAGGCAGGAGAATAGCTTGAACCTGGGAGCCGGAGGTTGCAGTGAGCCGAGATAGCGTCACTGCACTCCATCCTGGGCGACAGAGTGAGGCTCTGTCTCACAAAAAAAAAAAAAAAATCTTTTTACAAACATCAATAGAAAAAAGAATAAAATTATTTCTATTAACAGGATTAGTAATTTTAATTGAATTAAAGTCATTTCATTTAAGAATTTTTTCAGGTTGGGCGTGGTGGCTCACGCCTGTAATCCCAGGACTTTGGCAGGCAGAGGTGGGCGGATCGCCTGAGGTCAAGAGTTCCAGACCAGCCTGGCCAACATGGTGAAACCCCGTCTCTACTAAAAATACAGAAGTTAGCCGGGCATGGTGGCGGATGCCTGTAATCCCAGCTACTTGGGAGGCTGAGGGAAGAGAATCGCTTGAACCCAGGAGGCGGAGGTTGCAGTGAGCCGAGATGGTGCACTGCACTCCACCCTGGGTGACAAGAGTGAGACTTCGTCTCCAAAAAAAAAAAAAAAAAAAGCCTCTTTTTCGCTTCCCACCCACTACCCCCAAACACACACACACACACTTTGCAGAAGTCTTTACTTTTATTTATTTATTTATTTATTTGAGACAGAGTCTTGCTCTGTCACCCAGGCTACAGTCACCCAGCCTAGATCAGTGGCGTGATCTAGGTTCACTGCAACCTCTACCTCCCGCATTCAAGCGACTCTCCTGCCTGAGCCTGCCGAGTAGCTGGGATTACAGGTGCGCGTCACCATGCCCGGCTAATTTTTGTATTTTTAGTAGAGACGGGGTTTCACCATGTTGGCTGGGCTGGTCTTGAACTACTGACTTCAAGTGATCCGCCCCCCTCGGCTCACCGAGCCGGCCTGGTCTTTTTTCTTTTTTTTTTTTTTTTTTTGAGACGAAATTTCGCTTTTGTCGCCCAGCCTAGATCAGTGGCTCGATCTCGGCTCACTGCAACCTGTGCCTCCTGGGTTCAAGCAATTCTCCTGCCTCAGACTCTCGAGTAGCTGGGATTACAGGTGCATGCCACGACCTGGCTATCTTCTGTATGTTTAGTAGAGACAAGTTCACCATGTTGGCCAGGCTGTTCTCGAATTCCTGATCTCAGGTGATCCACCCGCCTCGACCTCCCATAGTGCTGGGATTACAGGCGTGAGCGACTACACCCAGCCTGATTTGTCTACTTTTCTGAATGATTGTTTTAACAAATAGTTTTCAAAACACAGAGGGAATATATGTATTATGTTATGCTGTTTGAGTATTATGTTTATGCCACTTATGAGCTTGGGTATCAGTTTCTGATTCCTGTATCCATGAAACAGAAAAGTTTGTAAACTGTTTTTTTGTTTTCTTTTGAGACAGTCTTGCTCTGTTGCCCAGTCTGGAGTACAGTGGCGCGATCTCAGCTCACTGCAACCTCTGCCTCTCCGGTTCAAACGATTGTGGTGCCTCAGCCTCCCGAGTAGCTGGGACTACAGGCACCTGCCACCACACCCAGCCAATTTTTGTATTTTTAGTAGAGACAGGGTTTCACCATGTTGGCTGGGCTGGTCTCCAACTCCTGACCTCAAGTGATCCGCCTGCCTCAACATCCCAAAGTGCTGGGATTACAGGCATGAGCCACCATGCCCAGCCTGGACTGTTTTCTTAAATAGACTTACAATAAAGTTATCCTAGAGGGAATAATGGAGTTTTTTGAAGTTTATTTTCTTTATCACAAAAGCCACTAAAGTTTGCTATAATACTAGCAGTGTATATTTTTAACTACAGAATAGGCTGTGATTCTACTGAGGCAAACTTATAAATTATACCAGATAAGTATACCATTATATCTTTGATGGTTGATATTGCCATATCAGCTATATCAGAGTAACATATGCTAATACAGTTCTTTTTCCTAAGAGGAGAAATTCAAACAATTTGCTGATCTTTTTTTTTTTTTTTTTTTTGATACAGAGTCTTGCTCTGTCGCCTAGGCTGGAGTTCAGTGACGCGATCACAGCTCACTGCAGCCTTGACCTCCTGGGCTCAAGTGATCCTCCCACCTCAGCCTCCTGGGTAGCTGGGACCACAGGTGCATAAAACCATGCCTGGCTACCTTTTTAATTTTTGGTAGAGACAGTGTCTCACTGTGTTGCCCAGCCTGTTCTCCAACTCCTGGGCTCAAGCAATCTTCCTACCTCAGCCTCCCAAAGTACTGGAATTATAGGCGTGAGCCACCGTGCCTAGCCTTGCTGATTTCTATTTAATATTTTTGTTGAGATTTTTCGCTTTAAATAAATTAATCATCTGGTCTTAAAGCTGGATTTTAAGATTGGGTTAAACTTAATGCTAAAATAGGGTATCTAATAACTGAGAGTCTTTAATCCCCAAGACTATCCTCTGGTTTAATGATTCACTAGAAGAACCCCAAAAAGCTATTTTACTCATAGTTACAGTTTATTATAGTGAAAGGATACAGATGAAAATAGCAAAGGTAAGAGGCAGCAGAGTCCACGAGAGACCACGCACAAGCTTCCAGTTGTCCTTTCTGAGTAGAGTCTATGGGCAGCACCACTAATTCTCCCAGCAATGATATGGATCTGGGTGCTGTGCTCTCTCTCTCTCTACTTGTGTGTGTGTGTGTGTGTGTGTGTGTGTGTGTGTGTGTGTGTGTTAACAATACATGTAGTTTCAGAATTTCTAACTCTGTGGAAGCAAGTTTTCCAACTACAGTGTTTATGTACGGTTCTTTTTGTTTTTATCCTGAAAGTAGCCAGTCAAAACAGTTTTCCAAATCAATTCAATTTCTTTCTTATTTACTCAAATCAATTCTTTTTTGATTGAGTAATCAATCAAACTTTTATTTATTTACTCAATTTATTTTTTCCCCACTCACTTTGGTGAGGTTATGCCATACCTTTGTAATATAATTAAGTTCATTTGTCGTGCTGGCCATTCTATCCTAAGATCCCACATTAATTTGCATAAAGTTAACTCTCTGCAGTGTATTGTTCTGTGGATTTTGACAAATGGATGGGCCAGGTGCAGTGGCTCAGGCCTGTAATCCCAGCACTTTGGGAGGTCGAGGTGGGAGGATCACTTGAGACCAGGACTTCAAGAGAAATAGGTAGTTATGCATCTACTGCCACAAGACCCTAAATATTCCCTTGTGTGGTCAATTTGTAATCAACAGAAAGGGGGAAGTGGTATTGAATTCATCACTTTTTATATATAATTTGAATCTTTTTTAAAGTATGATGCAATTGGGTTGTTCAATAATGTCTGTGAGTCTCCTTGTACTGGCAGTTGTCTGCTGGGAAGGAAATCCAGAGCTGGCACCTGCATGGCCCAGATCCAAGCCAAGGTGTATAAAGCAATACCTTCACATGGTATCTTTGTTGCTGTTTCTCCACCCGTCTACTGTTCCCTGTGTGAAAGGATAACAAACTGTCTTACGATAATTGTCTAAATGTTTAAAACACACTTCACTTAATTTTGTTTGTTCCGAGCACTACTTTGTAATTGCAATTATAACAATGTGTTAAGATAAACTTATTTTCACAGATTTTTTTTTTTTGAGATGCAATATCGCTCTCTCACCCAGGCTGGAGTGTGGGGTGCAGTGGTGCAATTTTGGCTCACTGCAACCTCTGCCTCCCAGGCTCAAGCGATTCTCCTGTCTCAGCTTCCCAAGTAGCTGGGATTACAGGTGCATACAACCACACCCAGATAATTTTTTTTTTTTTTGAGATGGATTCTTGCTCTGTCGCCCAGACTGGAGCGCAGTGGTGCAATTTTGGCTCACTGCAAGCTCCACCTCCCGGGCTCAAGCAATTCTCCTGTCTCAGCCTCCCAAGTAGCTGGATCACAGGCACATACTACCACACCTAGATAATTTTTTTGTTTTTTCAGACGGTGTCTCGCTCTGTCACTCTAGAGTATAGTGGCACAATCTCAGCTCACTGCAACCTCCGCCTCCCAGGTTCAAGCAATTCTCATGCCTCAGCCTCCTGAGTAGCTGGGATCACAGGTGCCCACCACCACGCCCGGCTAACTTTTGTATTTTTAGTAGAGATGGGGTTTCACCATGTTGGCCAGGCTGGTCTCAAACTCCTGAACTCAGGTGATCTGCTCGCCTTGGCCTCCCAAAGTGGTGGGATTACAAGGGTAAGCCACTGCGACTGGCAACAGATTTTAGTTTAAGATAATGTTCTAATGAAAACTTGTTTTCAGTATTTGCAATGCATTATCAGTCCTATCTGAGAGTATTCAGTTAGGTTGGCGCTTTTTTTTCTCTTTTTTTTTCTTTTGTTTTTAATGGAGAACTATCCTTACTGAACCTCCTCAATTATTTGCCTTCCATTCAGCACTAAGCTAAAAGGCAGATGTGAATTGCCATCTGGAAAAAAAGTATATTTGGCAATTATACATACCAAGGTGATTCAGAGTCAAATGGACCGGGCAAATGTTTTATACAAAGGGTGGAATTTTAGTTAGAATGGCGATCATTAAAAAGTCAGGAAACAACAGGTGCTGGAGAGGATGTGGAGAAATAGGAACGCTTTTACACTGTTGGTAGTGTAAACTAGTTCAACCATTGTAGAAGACAGTGTGGCAATTCCTCGAGGATCTAGAACTAGAAATACCATTTGACCCAATGATCCCATTACTGGGTATATACTCAAAGGATTATAAATCATGCTACTATAAAGACACATGCACACATATGTTTATTGTGGCACTATTCACAATACCAAAAACTTGGAACCAACCCAAATGTCCATCAATGATATACTGGATTAAGAGAATGTGGCACATATACACCATGGAATATTATGCAGCCATAAAAAAGGATGAGTTCATGTCCTTTGTAGGGACATGGATGAAGCTGGAAACCATCATTCTGAGCAGACTATCACAAGGACAGAAAACCTTGACACAGGGCAGGAAACATCACACATGGGGGCCTGTTGTGAGTTGGGGGGCAGGGGGAGGGATAGCATTAGGAGAAATACCTGATGTAAATGATGAGTTAATGGGTGCAGCAAACCAACATGGCACATGTATACCCATGTAACAAACCTGCACGCTGTGCTCACGTACCCTAGAACTTAAAGCATAATAATAATAATAAAAAGGTAGAATTTTACGTGACCCAGGCAAAGGGTTTATTCTACAATGTGTGTGAACCATGTAAAAAGTAGGAACGTAAGGACTTTTTTCCTTGCCCTACTTCCGTTTCACATGCTAGAAATATATACAGCATGCTGCCTGCTGTCCCTGTAGTCTTCGCAACAGAAGTGATACCATCTCTATGCCAGAAGCAGGAATTGCTGATGTAGGTCAGCCCCTCTTTTTCCTTGTCACCCTCGCATAGTCAATGATCAAATCTTGCTTATGCCCTTTCTCACCTCCTATCTCTTTCACCACTCCATCAAAGCAACTGTTGTGCCCTATTTATTTTATATGTCAGATTGTTCTATGCCTGCTTACTGCCTTAGTTCATACCCTTCCCATTTCTCAGCAGTTTGCTGTACATCTTTGGGTTCATTTCCACTTATGCATTGTACTCTTCACACAAAATTAGTCTTTCTCACCAAAAGCAATTGTAACAAAAGCAAAAATTGACAAATGGGATCTAATTAAATGTAGGAGCTTCTACATAGTTAAGAAACTGTCAACAGAGTAAACAGCCTACAAAATGGGAGAAAGTTTTTGCAAACTATGCATCTGACAAAAGTCTCACATCCAGGCTCTATTAATATAAGGAACTTAAACAAATCAACAAGAAAAAAAAGCCAACCCCATTAAAAAGTAGGCAAAGGACATGAGCAGACACTTTTCAAAAGAAAACATACATGCGGCCAATGAACATATGAAAAAAAGCTCAATATCACTTATCATTAGAGAAATGCAAATCAAAACCACAATGAGATACCATCTCACACCAGTCAGGATGGCTATTATTAAAAAGTCAAAAAATAACAGATTCTGACAAGGTTGCAGAGAGAAGGGAATGCTTTTACACTGTTGGCGGGAGTGTAAATTAGTGCAAACCATTGTGGAAAGCACTGTGACGATTACTCGAAGAGCTAAAAACAGAACTATCATTCAACGTAGCAGTCCCATCTCTGAGTATATTACCCAGAGGAATATAAATCATTCTATCATAAAGACACATGCATGTGAATGTTCACTGCAGCACTAGTCACAATAGCAAAGACATGGAATCAACCTAAATGCCCATCAATGACAGATTGGATAAAGAAAATGTGGTACATACATGCCATGGAATAGTATGCAGCCATAGAAAAGAATGAGATGATATATTTTGCTGGATCACTCATGGAGCTAAAGGCTATTATCCTTAGCAAACTAGCACAGGAACAGAAAACCAAATACCACATGTTCTCACTTATAGGTGGGAGCTAATTGATAAGAACTCAATGACACAAATAGGCGAACAACAGACAGTGGGGACTACTTGAGGGTGGAGGGTGGGGGGAGGGAGAGGATTCAAAAAAATAACTATTGGGTACTAGGCTTAGTACCTGGGCGACAAAATAATCTGTACAACAAACCCCCATGACACTAGGTTACCTATATAACAAACCTGCACATGTACCCCTGAACCTAAAAGTTTGGGGAAAAAAATGGTCTTTCTAAAATACAAATCTATCTTACTACATCACTTTCTTGCTAAAAATTCTTCAAGATATCCCGTTTTCATGAAGGAAAAGGCTCTGGTGCGTTAGCATGACATGAATGCCTCAGGCTCTGGCCTCTCCCCACCTGTCAGCCTTATCTCCTGGCATTTTTCTACACCCACATCATTGGGCTCCCATCATCTGTCAGGCTCCCTCAGTCTGAAATAGCCTCTTTCTCCTTCTCCTCCAGCCATTTATCTAATTCCTGTTTATAGGTATTCTAACTCCTGTTAAGACTCAGCTCAGGTATGGTCTCCACCAGGTTTTCCCCAAGTTTCCTTTCCGTATTGCAAAACCTTTCCTTGCACCTTCTGTACACTTTGTTTAGATTTCTGTCAACATATAGTTCTCTGAATGTTTAAAAAAAACAAAAAACAAACAAAAAAACACATAATCTTGCCGGGCACAGTGGCTCACGCCTGTAATCCCAGTACTTTGGGAGGCCAAGGTGGGTGGATCACTTGAGGTCAGGGGTTCGAGACCAGCCTGGCCAAAATGGAGAAACCTCGTCTCTACTAAAATACAAAAATTAGCTGGGCCTGGTGGTGGGTGCCTGTAATCCCAGCTACTCAGGAGGCTGAGGCAGGAGAATTGCTTGAACCCGAGAGGCAGAGGTTGCATGAGCCAAGATTGCACTATTGCACTCCAGCCAGGCGACAGAGCGAGACTCCGTCTCAAAAAACAAAAACAAACAAACAAACAAAAAACATAATCTTATCCAAAGAGATAGTGAGCACATGCCAACATTTTATTTATCTCGGTAATAAGGGAACCCATAAAGTGGGTTCAAAAGAGAATTTGAAAAACGAGGATTATTACAGTCAATGTGAACAAAATGGAAGGATGAATTAATATTGGCACATTAGATGCAGCCCTAGTTAATGTCCTATTGGGCAATTAAACTGTAGCAGTTGGGGTGATCTCATTTTTCCACCATGGAAAAGAAAACCAACTCATCAGTTTCTTAGGAGATAATTTCTAACTTTACAGGGCTGTAAAATATCTGAGCCTACCAGTAATAACATCAAAAATAAATAGTCAAAACCCTTTGAGAGTCAGAAGACCCTTGGATGGGTTTGTCAGACAATCGTCTTATAGCATGACATTGATGGAAGTGGAATCTCTTTACTTTGTTTCCACGTTTTGAGTAATTTTGCCTAGCACTATCATTGTTTACCCTGATGCTATACTTTTTAATTCACTCAACCTGGCATATACTGTGAACTTGAGAGAACTTAAGCTTTGGTGTTCAAACTGGGGTATGTATACCCCTTGTAATATGGAAAGACTTTTCAGGGGTTACGTGGCCATGGATAGCTTTTAGATGACCAATTTCCAGGCCCTCGTCCTAGGTGTGTACTCTTTCCTACAGCTAACCTGCTCCCTGAAGTGTCTCTGTTTTGCAAGTTCCTCTTTTCTTCCCAGTCCAATCACCCTTCTGCCACTTCACCAAAGCCTCCCACCCATCCCAGCCTGCTCATGAGCACACCCTGAGACCTAAACACTCCCATTTTCCATTAAGCAAAAGAGCCAAATTGGCCTCAAAAGTCTGACAAAAATATACTGAAAGCCAGTCTACAATATCCTGGAAAATACATTCTTTATCACAAACTAATGATAAATGTAAATGTCAACTTAAAAGTGTAGGGGGGGGACGTTAAACAGTTTATTAACATTTTTTTTTCCTTAGGAGACAGGGTCTCACTCTATCACCCAGGCTGGAGTACAGTGACATGATCATACTTCACTGCAGCCTCAAATTCCTGGGCTCAAGCAATCTTCCCAGCTCAGCCTCCAGAGTAACTGAGACTACAGGCGTGCACCACCATGCCCAGCTAGTTTGTTGTTGTTGTTGTTGTTGTCATTGTAGAGCCAAGGTTGGTTTCACTATGTTGCTCAGTCTGGTCTCAAACTCCTGGCCTCAAGGATTCTCCTGCCTTGGCCTCCCCAAGTGCTGGGGTTTAAGGGACGAGCCACCGCACCTGATCAACATTCTTTTAAGGATCGACAAGCACAACACTGAAGGCCACTGCATAGGAGGAAAATTCCGTACCTCCAAACTCCAGTGGAAGCCACAGCCGAGACCCTTGTCTTTTTGCTGTTGACTCGCTGAGCAATGTGGTACCTCATTTGGTTAGTTTACCTCTCCCTTCAGCCTGGTCAGCTGATCCTTTTCCACTGGTTTGATTTTAACACTTTGAGTGTTGGCTTAAACCATCCCTTTCTGTCTGTTCCCATTCCTCACTGCCTTTAGTTGGATGAGTGAGAAGGTCTTAGGGTTGATCCCATCCTGGTTCCCCTGTGGAGAGTGTTTGGGAAATGCCAGTGAATGTAGCCTGGATCACATTACTATAATTTTAAAGTTTCCTGGTCACTCTCCCTGTTACTTTTTACCCTGTGCACATTTTTTTTGTTGTATTTATCACAATTATTTGTGTACCAGACAGACTCTTTCTTTCTGGACGTTCATCTTTTTTACAGCAATACTTTTTATTGTTCATCTGTTAACCAATAGTTGAACTGAAATAAATCCAACTGGCCCACTAGACTGCAAGCATCCCCAAGACAAGTGTGTGTTTTATTTGCAATTGTACATCCAGTGTCAACACAGAGAAAGAACAGTAACACATTTATTGAGACATGACAGGCCAATAGTAAGCCCTTTAATACAGAGTCATTGAGTCATTAGGGCAAACCATGGGCATTGCCTGCATTTTAAATGCAGGGAAATAGAATTAGAGAGATTAGTTATGGCATCTGAGATCACATAGCAGTAAGTGGTGCCAGGATTCAAGTTGGGGCAGAATGACCCTGGAGTTTTTGGCCTCAAGTCAATTCTGTCTCGCAAATTGGATTTCTTGAATTATAGGGGTAATGAACAAAACAGCCTTGTGTTACTTACTTGTATTCAATAGGCTTTCAGAGGACCGGGGCCCAGGTGATCTATTGAGACCCAGAATGGGAGGTGCATACCTCCCATCTGGGGGGTGGGGAACTCAGCAGCAACTAGGAAGCTGTGGGGGCACCTTGGCCTTGCACTCAGGGCTCAAAGGGCATGGAAGCATCACAGTGAAAGCCACCATCATGAGAGAGAGGCCCAAGAATACAGATGGACTTGCACTTGAGTCCACTGGGCTTGTCCTCGTGGACAAGACGAGGTGACACTCAGGTAGGGACTAAACACCGGTATGAGCAGATGTGGATGGTGAGGAGGTGCTCGGAGGTGTGAGGCTACAGCCTCACATTCATGTGGTAGACTGTTTCAGGCTGGGGAAGCTTGGGATACTCTGGCTTCACTACAGTTGTTCAAGAAATTATGGAAGTATTGCATTGTTCTCTTAGCATACAAACTTTGTTTTCTTTATTCTTATTATAAATCTTTTACAAAAAAGATAGTGCTAAATAAAATTGTCTTATCTCTTAGGACATGTTTGCTATCGAGTTTGTGAAGTTAATATCTTCATACTTGACTCATTAGCTTGAAGTCAAATTTCAATATTATTGTAATTTCTAACAATACTCCCATTATTTTCCAGTTCCTGTGTTTAGCCATGAAAACCAATGTCACTTCGACTGAGTTACTTCATTTCTATGAGCTCATCTATTAAATAAGGCAGTTGGACAAGCTGTTTTCTACTATGCTCTCATAATCTCAAAGACAGTGACTGAGAGCCTGACTCTTTAAATGCTCAAAGTGAATTACTATTGATTTTTGCCTTTAAGACATTACTTAATGTGGTTATGACTTGTTTGATGTTAGTGAGTCTTTGATTAGAGTCCATTTCCAAGGTTAGCTTTGCTTCCATAGAAATGCAACTGCTATGCCATGACCTGAGTTAAAACCAATGGCCAAACTGTACCCTGTATGGAAGATTGGGGTTTCTTATCATCCAACTTAAGAACCACTGACCCTAGTGAAGTCCATGAAACAGAGAAGATAAACTCAGAGGAAAATACAATGTAAACTGCCAAACCAGACTGATGTACAGTCCATCAATTGATGAAGACACTTCAACCAAATAGATGTCTTGAAAAATTATAGATGATAAAGTATCGAATGGCCAGATAAATTGACAGGGATTTTATTGATTTTACAAAGGATGACATAGTTTCACTGACACTGCACTATAAGAAATATAATAGCAAAAAGATATTGCCTCCCACCTCCCCCAACCCCCGAGAACTTTCGGTAACGGAATTTCAAACTAAACATTTCCTTTTCATCTTTTCTCTTCTCTTTTCTTTCTTTTTGAAACAGAGTCTCACCCTGTCTCCTGGGCTGGAATGCAGTGGCGTGATCTTGGGTCACTGCAACCTCTGCCTCCCAGATTCAAGTGATTCTGCTGCCTCAGCCTACCAAGTAGCTAGGACTACATGTGTGCGCCACCACACTGGGCTATTTTTTGTATTTTTAGTAGAGACGGGGTTTCACCATGTTGGCCAGGCTGGTCTCGAACTCCTAACCTAAGGTGATCCACCTGCCTTGGCCTCCCAAAGTGCTGGGATTACAGGAGTGAGCCACTGTACCCAGCCAGACTAAACTTTTCTAAATGTCATGTGGAGGATGAAATTATTTGTATAAATGTTTTCATAAGTATATTATAAAGCATTTCAACACCTAGTAATCCATCACTAAAAGCATTAATTTTTGAAAATCATTGTGATATTTGGTACCATTATATAATGGAAAATAAGGTAAACGTGCAGACTGTATACAGTCCAATTCAATTACCAAATATGAGCAAAACCTATTAGATCAATTTCTGGCTTTTTTTGAAGAAACCGAATCAAGTTTATTCAATAGCACCCCATGGTCTCAATGTAACAGGAAAGGAAAGAGGATGCTAAAACCCACCTCCTTTGATAACCTCCAATTAGATGACCAACTGGCCTGATTTGCCTGGGAGTAAGGGTTATCAGGATGTCGGACATTTAGTGTTAAAACCAGGGCAGTCCGGGGCCTACTGGGACAGCTTGTCCTCTTCATCCCTCCAGGTCTTTTTAAAATGTGTGGAATATCCACATTTCTTTATCCTGGGACTTTTCTGTTTGCATGTAGGCTCTCCAGGAAGTCACAAAGCTGCACAACGGTGGGGCTGAGGAAATTAGCCAAGGAATCAGCCACGTCTCCGGGGCATCCGCCTCTTGTATTAGAGGTGTCTTCAGCTCTATCTTTGGGTGTCCAGGCTGCCACCAGGTAGCTAACACAGAACTGTCCTGGGCAACTTTTGTCTTTGGTACTCTGTGCTTTCCCTGTTGACATCCTCAGCTGCCACCTCCACAGGCCTCACATTGTATTCCCTGTGGCTCATGCCCGTGAACACTCTCTACAGGGACTTGCTTTCAGCACACTGTTAACTAATTGACAAAAATGCTAGCTATTGAAGCTCAAAGTGTGACCTCTTCTAGAAGTGCTGAGGTCTTAAAAGGTCATTCTCAGAGCTCAAAAATCTTTCAAAGACACAAAGCTAGACAGTAAAAATTGTTAGCTCTGTGAAAACCAAAGTGCAAAGCACTTAATAGCAATAGTTGTTTCTTACTGAGTACCATGTGTCAGGCACCATGCTAAATATTTCACAAACATTAATTCATACATACTACAGCAGCCCTGTGTGGTGTACTGAATCAAGCCCATTTCACAGGTAGAGATGCTGAGGCTGAGCTTGGTAATATGCCCTGCCCCATATCACAGAGCCAGAAAGATCAGAGCCTGATTTGAACCCGACTCCACGCTTATACACCTCAAAAGTCAGGCTCTTTTTTCCCCCACCATGAATAGGTTATTTTTTTCTGATATCATACACATACATACACACACATACACCATATATATATAGTTTTTGAAGACAGACAGGGTGTCGCTCCATTGCCCAGGCTGGAATACAGTGGTGCAATCATAGCTCACTGTAACCTCAAACTCCTGGGCTCCAGCAATCCTCCTGCCTCAGCCTCCCGAGTAGCTAGGACTGTAACTATGCCCAGGTAATTTTTTTTTTCCCAGAGACAGGGTCTCGCTATGTTGCCCAGGTTGGTCTTGAACTCCTGGGCTCAAGCAATCTTCCAGCCTCAGCCTCCCAGAATCCTGGGATTACAGGTCTGAGCCACCATGCTGGGCCTCACATGTTAGGTGTTTTTTGTTTTTTCGTTTTTTGTTTTGAGACGGACTTTTGCTCTTATTGCCAGGCTGGAGTATAGTGGTGCAATCTCGGCTCACTGCAACCTCCGCCTCCTGGGTTCAAGTGATTCTCCTGCCTCAGCCTCCCAAGTAGCTGGGATTACAGGCACCTGCCACCATGCCCAGCCAATTTTTTGTATATTTAGTAGAGATGGGTTTTCACCACGTTGGCCAGGCTTGTCTTGAACTCCTGACCTCAGGTGATCCACCCCTCGGCCTCCCAAAGTGCTGGGCTTACAGGCGTGAGCCACCACACCCAGCCACATGTTAGGTTTTAATGAGGTCTCTTAGTTTGCAGCTAGGATCAAGTCCTCTCTCTTACCTCTCACTGATTCAGCCACATACAATTATTTTGATCACCTGCTATGCACCTATGGTGTTCTTGGCACTAGGAATCCTGCTGTGAGTGAAGCTGAGCTCCTGCCTGTGTGGAGCCTGGGCCACATGGGTCTCCCAGATGTGCTCTGAAGTCACTGTCAAAAGTCATGGGCACTGGAGAGTTTCATGTGCCTGACGCTACGGAAGATACCAAATTCTACATTTGCCTCCAATGGGCACAAATGTCAGTTTCCATCAAGCTCCACCCTGTCCAGGTGACTCCTGTTGTGGCTCTTTTCATACCATCTCCCCTTCTCCCACAAGTGCCACCAACAGGCAAAGGTGGGGAGCTGGGTTTGGAGATGCTGGTCTGACCCTTAGGTGAAATCCTCTCCCCTGATGTTGCAGGAGAATGGGTGCTCAGATGGAGAATCAGCACTCTTCTCAGGTTTGGAAGGTGCTGTGGCTGGGGGAGTCTGCATTATGTTCTGGGCTGTGAGCTTTTCCAGAATTCCACTCCACAGGCACACGTCTGCTGTGTATGCATTTCTTGATATAAATCAGAAGTCCCTGAGTTCTCTACTCTTGAACGTCTATGTAACGTGTCTAGCACCATCTGAGGATGCTGGAAGTCGAGTCTGTTAGGAGGCCCCTGAATATGTGCTTGTCCCATTGGTGCTCCAGGAGGTTGCCTAACCCCTCATTTCTCTTTTGTTCTGTGTTTCTTGCTCTAGGCTATTACTCCATTTTCTGTAGGTCACCTCCTGCCACCTCTTCTCCAGGGTGATGCTGTTTGCAACACACAGTTCCTTGTCTTGGTTTCCTAAGCATCTTACTTCTGAAGGTGAGATACTGGCTGTAACAATTAAACTATTATTATAAGCTTGGGGATAACAGTAGGTACTTAAGAAAAGAATAAAATCAAACCTGAGCTTCAGATAAGGATCACAGGATTAATGCCTGCCTTGTACCGGACAATGGGGATAAAGACCAGTTGCCTCCACAAGTGACTCTCCTCAGGTCCCAGCCAGCTGACAACTGCATGCACTGATTATCTCTTTCTTTCCTTTTCTTTATCTGCATACAGGTTTTTCCAGGCCTTTGCTCACCCTGAAGGAGTCTCTGTTGCAAAAAATTGAGGTGAAATTCACATAATATAAAATGAGCCAATTTAAAACACACATTTCAGAGGCATTTAGTATCTTCACAAGGTTGTGACAAACATCACCTGTAGTTCTAAAATATTTTCTTCACATCAAAGGAGACCAAACCCCGTACCCATCAAGCAGTCACTCGCTGTTCCCTCCTCCCCCAGCCCCTGGTACCCACCAATCTGCTTTGTGTTTCTATGAATTTACCTATCTTGGACGTTCCATATAATTGGAACCATACCACAACATATGACCTTCAATTTCTGCCTTCTTTCACTTGTCATAATGTTTTCTGGATTCATCTACATTGTCAATGAAGTATCAATACCTCATTTCTTTTTAAAAATTGTGGTAAAATATACATAACAAAAATTTATCATTTTAACCATTGCCTTTTTTCTTTTCTTTGAGACACAGTCTCCCTCTATTGCCCAGGCTGCAGTTCAGGGGCACAATCTTGGCTCACTGCAACCTCTGCCTCCCGGGCTCAAGCGATTCTCATGCCTCAGCCTCCCGAGTAGCTGGGATTTCAGGCATGCACCACCATGCCCGGCTAATTTTTGTATTTTTAGTAGAGATGGGGTTTTACCATGTTGGCCAGGCTGGTCTCGAACTTCTGACCTCAGGTGATCCACCCACCTGGGCCTCCCAAAGTGTTCCACCCACCTGGGCCTCCCAAAGTGCTGGGATTACAGGCGTGAGCCACCGCACCTGGCCCATTTTAATCATTTCCAAGTGTACACGGTTCTGTAATATTTAAGTACATTCTCATTTTGGGACAACCGTCACCACTGTCCATCTCCAGAACTTTTTCACCTTCCCAAACTGAAACTCCAAGTCCATTATAGACTTTCCACTCCCTGTCCCCCAAATCCCTGATAACCACCATTCTACTTTCTGTCTGCCCGGTTGTGAGTATTCTAGGTACCTCCTATAAGTCGAATCATACAGTATTTTTCCTTTTATGACTGAGTTATTTAACTTACTATAATGTTTTCAAGGTTCATCCATGTGCCAAAATTTCCTTCTTTTTAAAGTGAGCTGAGATCACGCCACTGCACTCAAGCCTAGGCGACAGAGTGAGACTCCATCTCAAAAAAAAAATTATAGTTATCCTTGTAGGTATGATGTGGTACCTCACTGTGGTCTTGATTTGCATTTCCCTAATAAGTAAGGATGCTAAATATCTTTTCATGTGCTTGTTGACTATTTGTATATCTTTAGAGAAATGTCTAAGTCCTTTACCCATATTTTAATCTTTTTGTTGTTTAGTTGTAACATTTCTTCCAGATATTGGACCTAGGAGCTCCCTTTAAAGATCTTGGACCATAGGTACCATATTGGTTCATTTTCTGTTACTTATGTCAGAATACCTGAAACCAGGTAATTTATAAATAAAATGAATGTATTTCTTCCAGTTATGGAGGCTAAGAAATCCAAGGTTAAGGGACTGCCTCTGGTATTCCTGTCTCTTCTCCTTTTTCCACTAAAGGCCTGGTTGCCTTGACTGCTTCCAAGAGACTGGCAGGGAAAAGCAGTCTAACCATCCACAAATGTTAGCTAGATGGTAAGCCTCCAACTCTCAATAATGAACCTGCCTACTGAGGGAAACACAGCCAACTCCAAATATAATGGGATTTTCTTGTGTTGTTTGTTTGTTTGAGACAGGGTCTTCCTCTGTCTCCCAGGCTGGGGTGCAGTGGCACCGTCTTGGTTCACTGTAGCCTCAACCTCCCGGGCTGACGTGATCCTCCTACCTTAGCCTCCTGAGTAGCTGGGACTATAGGTGTGTGCCACCACATCCCGCTAATTTTTTATTTTTAGTAGAGATGAGGTTTTGCCACGTTGCCCAGGCTGGTCTCAAACTCCTGGGCTTAAGGAATCCTCCGACCTTGACCTCCCAAAGTGCTGGGATTACAGGTGTGAGCCATTGTACCAGGCCAAAATTAGTTTAGACCAGATCAGATTGTCCTATTTAATAGCCTTTACTCTGAGATATTGGTTAAGCTCACAGAGCTGGGTCCCAGGCAAACTAACTGAGTCTAAGCCCCAGGGTGGTGGCACCTGCCCCAACCTCTGCATTGCCCAACCCTCACAGAGGCAGGAAATTCCTCCTTCCTGATGCTGCAATCAGTCCTAGTCAGTTTCAGAATCGGGGGTCATATGCAGATTACAAAAGGCCATCTTCAAAGAAGCTGCTTATAGATTTCATGAAGTTTCTTAGGAAGTAAAACTTTCTGACTTATAGACAGCAAATGGCTTCCAAGAAGAATAGTACTGCTCACATAATAGTGCAGTATGAGCTGGGTGCAATGGCTCACGCCTGTAATCCCAGCACCTTGGAAGGCCAAGGCGGGGGGATCACCTGAGGTCAGGAGTTCGAGACCAGCCTGATCAACATGGAGAAACCCCATCTCTACTAAAAATACAAAAAATTAGCCAGGCATGGTGGTGCATGCCTGTCATCTCAGCTACTCGGGAGGCTGAGACAGGAGAATCACTTGAACCTGGGAGGCAGAGATTGCAGTGAGCTGAGATCGCACCATTGCACTCCAGTCTGGGCAACAAGAGCAAAACCCTGTCTCAAACAAAACAAAACAAAACAAACACTGCAGTATAACCTGAAATGGGGTATACAAGCATCTTTTCACCCATGATAGGCCACTCCTTACAAGAAATCCCATTATTCATTTTAAAAAAGAAATGGCAGCCAGGTGTGGTGGCTCATGCCTGTAATCCCAGCACTTTGGGAGGCTGAGGCAGGCAGATCATGAGGTCAGGGGTCATGAGATCAGGAGTTCAAGACCAGCCTGGCCAACCTGGTGAAACCCCGTCTTTACTAAAAATACAAAAATTAGCTGGGCATGGTGGTGTGCGCCTGTAATCCCAGCTACTCAGGAGGCTGAGGCAGGAGAACTGCTTGAACCAGGGAGGCAGAGGTTGCAGTGAGCCAAGATCAGGCCACAGCACTCCAGCCTGGGCAACAGAGCAAGACTCCGTCTCGGGGTGGAAAAAAAAAAGAAATGGCTATGTTATAGTTTTGACAGTAAATAATTTGTAAGTCATTACTCTCATATGGTGAAAACATCTACTCTCCTATAATTGAAAAAAAACTTTTTTTTTTTTTTTTGAGACAGAGACTCTCTCTGTTGCCCAAGCTGGAGTGCAGTGGTGCAATCTTGGCTCACTACAGCCTCTGCCTCCCAGATTCAAGCAATTCTCCTGCCTCAGCCTCCCGAGTAACTGGGATTACAGATGTGCACCACCACGCCTGGCTAATTTTTGTATTTTTAGTAGAGACGAGGTTTCATTATGTTGGCCAGGCTGGTCTCAAACTCCTGACCTAAGGAGATCCTCCCACCTCGGCCTCCCAAAGCGCTGGGATTACAGACGTGAGCCACTGCGCCCAGCCTGAAAAAAAAACTTTAAGGAAGGTTTTTTAAGGTTCCTAGGGCTGGTTATTGCTGGAAATCATAAACAAAGTGACCATTTAAGTATAAGAATCATCTGTATATCTAGCCTAGCCAACGTGGTGAAACATCGTCTCTACTAAAAATACAAAAATTAGCTGGGCGTGGGGCATGGTGGCACACACCTGTAATCCTAGCTACTTGGGAGGCTGAGGCAGGAGAATGGCTTGAACCCGGGAGGTGGAGGTTGCAGTGACCAAGATCGCGCCATTGCACCCCAGCCTGGGCAAACTCTGTCTCAAAAAAAAAAAAAAAAAAAAAGAAACATCTGAATTTGACTTTTAAAATTATGACTATATATCATAATTCAATCAATAAATATGTTAAATGATTTTTTTCTATGAAGGATAAAGTAATATTTTCCCTAAAACCAATCATAAGAAGAAAAGTACTTCCTTTAGTGCAAAGTTATAACATAGGCCAGTGGTTCTCAAAGTGTGGCATAGGGAACCCTGGAGAATCCCCAAATCTTTTTTTAGAAGAACGGTCTATGAGGTCAAAAGTATTCTCAAAACAATACTGGGGCCGAGCGCAGTGGCTCACACCTGTAATCCCAGTACTTTGGGAGGCCGAGGCAGGCGGATCACTGGAGGTCAGGATCCCTGACCAACTTGGTGAAGCCCTGTCTCTACTAAAAATACAAAAATTAGCCAGGTGTGGTGGCAAACACCTATAATCCCAGCTATTTGGGAGGCTGAGGCAGGAGAATTGCTTGAACCTGGGAGGTGGAAGTTGCAGTGAGCTGAGATCACGTGAGTGCGCTCCAGCCTGGGCAAGAGTGAATCTCCATCTCAAAAAAAAAAAAAAAAAAAGATACTGGGAATGACTTGTCTAATTTACTTTCATTGTCTCATGAGTGTAGACAATGAGTAGAGCTTTGCTGAGCCTGTAAGATACATAGAATTACATATATACAATTGAATCCTGTGTCTTCTGTTAAGGCAGAAAAAATTCTTTGCAAAATTGTAAAACAATGTCATTCTTCTCACTATAACTTTTTTCTTTTGGAAATTCTTTTGTGAAGTTATTTTTTGCATAACTGTTATTTATGTTAACATTTTTATTGTATTCATGTAAACATTATTTTATATATTTTAATTTTAAGTTAGCCTACAGTAAAATTGACTTTTCTTGTGTACAGTTCTATCAGTTTATTATTATTATTATTATTATTTTGAAACAGGGTCTCACTGTCACCCAGGCTGAAGTACACTGGCATGATCACAGCTCACTGCAGCCTCCCCCTCCTGGGTTCCAGCGATCCTCCCACCTCAGGCTCCGAAGTAGCTGCGATTACAAGCATGCACCATCACACCGGGCTAATTTTTCTATTTTTTGTAGAGATGGGGTTTTGCCATGTTGCCCACGCTGGTCTTAAACTCCTTGGCTCAAGTGATCCTCCAGCCTCGGCCTCCCAAAGTCCTGGGATTACAGGCATAAGCCACCATGACTGGCCAGTTCCTGAAGTTTTAAAAAACACAGATTCATATAGCCACTGCTTCAATGCAGATACAAAAGAGCTCTATCACCCTAAGAAACTCCCTCGTGCTGCTCCCTTAAGGCCACATTCTCCCACTAACTCCTGGCAACCACCGATTTGTTGCCTAACATTTATAGTTGCATCTTTTTGAGGTTGTCATAAATGAAATAATACAATATGTAAACCTTTTGAGACAGGCTTCTTTCACTCAGAATGTTACCTTTGAGATCAATCAAGTTGCTGGGTCCCTTTTTTTGCCGGGTAGTCTTCCATTCACTGTATGGATGTACCAAAGATTACTTACTCATTTACCAGTGGGAGAAGTTTTCAGTGTTTCCAGTTTGGGGGTATTACAAACAAAGCTTTATGAAACACCGCTATACAAGTTTTCATGTGACCATAACTTTTCTTTTTTTTAATTTTATGGTTTTTTTTTGTTTGTTTTTTTTTTTTTGAGACAGAGTCTAGCTCTGTCGCCCAGGCTGGAGTGCAGTGGCGCAATCTCGGCTCACTGCAAGCTCTGCCTCCTGGGTTCATACCATTCTCCTGCCTCAGCCTCCCGAGTAGCTGGGACTACAGGCGCCCACCACCACACCCGGCTAATTTTTTGTATTTTTAGTAGGGAGGGGGTTTCACCGTGTTCGCCAGGATGGTCTCGATCTCCTGACCTTGTGATCCACCTGCCTCGGCCTCCCAAAGTGCTGGGATTACAGGCATGAGCCTCCGCACCCGGCCGTAACTTTTCATTTGCTAAGGTAAATACCTAGGAGTGGGACTGGTGGGTCATATAGTAAGTATATGTTTAACTTTATAAAAGGCTGCCAAGTGTTCTTCCAGAGTGACTGCATCATTCTCCATTCCCACCAGAAATGTGTGCAAGTTCTAGTTACTCCACATTCTCCACATCACTTGGTCAGGTCAGTTTTTCTATTTTAGCTGATGGTGTGGTGTCTCACTATGGTTTTTTTGGTTTGTTTTTTGGGAGGCAAGGTCTCACTCTGTCACCCAGGCAGGGGTGCAGTGGTGCTATCATAGCTCACTACAACTTCAATCTCCAGGGCTCAAGTAATCCTCTCACTTCAGCCTCCCAAGTAGCTGGGACTACAGCGGTATGCCACCTATTTTTTATTTTTAGTAGAGACATGCCCAGCTATTTTTGATTTTTAGTAGAGACAGGGTCTCACTATGTTGGCCAGGCTGGTCTGGAACTCCTGAGCTCAAGCAATCCTCCTGCCTCAGCTTCCCAAAATGCTGGCATTACAGGCATGAGCCACTGTCCCCAGCCTCACTATGGTTTTAATTTGCACTTCCTGATAGCTAATGATGTTGAAAATATTTTCTTGTGCTTATTTTCCATCGATATAACTTCTTTGATGAAGTATCTGCTCAAGTCTTTTACCCATTTTTTACTTAAACTCTATTTTCCTTCTGTTGAGTTTTGAGAGGTCTTTATATACTCTGAATACTAGTCTTTGTCAGATAAGTGATTTCTCAACATTTTCTCCAAGTCTGTGGTGTGTATTTTTATTCTCTTCACAGTGTATTTTGCAGAGCATGGGTTTTAAATTTTATGAATCCAATTTGTCATGTTTTTTAGTGGATCAGGCATTTGACATCATATCTAAGAACTTTTTGTCTAACTTCAGTTCATGAAAATTTTCTTCTGTTTTCTTTTTTAAATATTATGCTTTGAATTTTAACATTTACGTGTAAAATCAATTTTTAGTTAGTCTGTGTATAAGGTGAAATTTAGGTCAAGGTTCATTTTTTTGCAGGATGACTAATTATCCCAACACTGGTTTTGGAAAGACTGTCCTTTCTCCTTTGAATTACTTTTGCACCTCTGTCAAAAATCAATTGGTCATCACCTCATACCCATCAGAATGACTACTGTAAAACAAAACAAAAAACAGAAAATAATGAGTGCTGGTGTCAGAGGCATTTGAGCCAGAGCAACTCCATCTTGAATAGGAGCTGGGTAAAATAAGGCTGAGACCTGCTGGGCTGCATTCCCAGGAGGTTAGGCATTCTGAGTCACAGGATGAGATACAAGGTCAGCACAAGATACAAGTCACAAAGACCTTGCTGATAAAACAAGTTGCAGTAAAGAAGCCGGCCAAAACCCACCAAAACCAAGATGGTGATGACAGTGACCTCTGGTGGTCCTCACTGCTCATTTTACACTAATTATAACGCATTAGCATGCTAAGAGACACTCCCACCAGCACCATGACCATTTACAAATGCCATGGCAATGTCAGGAAGTTACTCTATATGGTCTAAAAAGGGGAGGAACTCTCATTTCTGGGAACTGCCCACCCCTTTCCCAGAAAACTCATGAATAATCCACCCCTTGTTTAGCATATCATCAAGAAATAACTATAAGTATACTCCAGTCAAGCAGCCCATGCCGCTGCTCTGCCTATGGAGTAGCCATTCTTTATTCCCTTACTTTTTTTTTTCTTTTTTGAGACTGAGTCTTGCTCTGTCACCTAGGCTGGAGTGCTGGAGTACAGTGGCGCAATCTTGGCTCACTGCAACCTCTGCCTCCTGGGTTCAAGCAATTCTCCTGCTTCAGCCTCCCAAGCAGCTGGGACTACAGACATGTGCCACTATGCCCAGCTAATTTTTGTATTTTTATGAGAGGCAGGGTTTCACCATGTTGGCCAGGCTGGTCTCGAACTCCTGACCTCATGATCCACCCGCCTCGGCCTCCCAAAGTGCTGGGATGACAGGCATGAGCCACCGTGCCCGGCCTATTCCTTTACTTTCTTAATAAACTTGCTTTCACTTTACTCTATGGGCTTGTGTGAATTCTTTCTTGGGAGAGGTCCAAGAACCCTCTCTTGGGCTCTGGGTCAGGACCCCTTTTTGGTAACACTGCTGAGAATATGGAGAAACTGAAACTCTTGAGCACTGTTGTCATGAGAATGTAAAATGGTGTAGCCACTAAGGTAAACAGTACGGTGGCGCCTCAAAAAATTAAAGAGAGAATTACACTATGATCCAGCAATTCTACTTCTGGGTGTATATTAATAATAATGTATGCTAAATAACATATACTACTAATAATAACCAAACTTGATTTATCCTGCTATACTCACCAACACAGAGTACTTCAGACACCAGATGTGTATGGGGTTCTCCCCACACACCAAGTAAGTAACCAGCTCTGCAGCATGGACACCAACTGGGTGTCCTCTAATTCAATTCAATTCTGACACTATCTACCTGGAGAGAGCATCAGATCCCACAGGTTGAGTGCTCAGTCCACAAGACTGCCCCCCACTTCCTATGCCAATTGCAAGCCCCAGGTTGCTTTACCTGCACTTCTTACTGACTGGCTATAAATGGGGGATCCCCACCTCTGGTCCGATTAATTTGCTAGAGTGGCTCACAGAACTCAGGAAGACACTTAACTTTTAACTTACATTTACCAGTTTATTATAAAGAATATTACAAAGGGTATTGATGAAAAGATGCCTAGGGTAAGAGATGAAAATAGACGTGGAGCTTTTATACCCTCCCAGGCATGCCACCCTCCAGGAACTTTCATGAGTTCAACTATTCAGAAACTTCCCACACCCTGTCATTTGCAGTTTTTATAGAAGCTTTGTTAGGTAGGCATAATTGATTAAACCATTGACCGCTGGTGATCAACTTAACCTTGAGCCCCTTTTTCCTCTCTAAAGGATGGGGGTAGGGCCAAAAGTCCCAACCGTCTAATCATTTCTGGTGACCAGCCCCCATCCTGAAGCTACCTAGGAGCTGCCAGCCATCTGGCAACTCATTAGCACACAAAAAGACATCACTTTGGAGATTCCAAGGATCTTAGGAGTTGTATGCCAGGAAATTGGAACAAAGACCAAATATATATTTCACAGTACAACAATACCCAAAAGAATTGAAAGCAGGGAATCGAACAGATATTTGTATACCCATGTTCATAGCAGCATTATTCACAATAGCCAAAAGGTAGAAGGAACCCAAGTGTCCATGCATGAATGAATGGATAAACAAGATGTTGTATACACAAACGAGAGAATATTATTCAGTGTTAAAAAGGAAAGAATTTCTGACAAATGGATGAACCTTGAGGACATTACATTAAGTGAAATAAGCCAGTCACAAATACTGTATGATTACTTATATGAGGTACCTAACATAGTCAAGCTTATAGAAAGAGAAAGTAGAATGCGGGTTGCCAGGAGCTGGGGAAAGGAGAAAGGGGCAGTTGTTGTTTAACGGAAATAGAGTTTGTTTTGCAAGACGAAAAAGTTCTGGAAATTAGCTGCACAACAATATGAATATATTAAACCATACTGAACTGTATGCTTAAAAATGGTTACGATGGTAAATTTATGTTACATGTATTTTACCGCAATTTAAAACAATTGGCCATATTTGTGAGGATCTATGTGTGGGTCCCATTCTGTTCCATTGATCTATATGTCTAAGTCTTCTCCAATACCACACTGCCTTGATTTCTGTAACTTGATAGTGTCTTTTTGTGTGTGTGTGTGTGAGACAGAGTTTCACTCTTGGTCGCCCAGGCTAGAGTGCAATGGCATAATCTCAGCTCCCTGCAACCTCCATCTCCCGGGTTCAAGCGATTCTCCTGTCTCAGCCTCCCGACTAGCTGGGATTACAGGAGCCTGCCACCACACCCGGCTAATTTTTGTATTTTTAGTAGAGATGGGGTTTCACCATGTTGGCCAGGCTGGTCTCGAACTCTTGACCTCAGGTGATCTGCCCACCTTGGCCTCCCAAAGTGCTGGGATTACAGGTGTGAGCCACCGTGCCCGGCCTTGATAGTGTCTTAAAATTGAACATTGCTTATTTTTTATCTGGGGAAGGGGGTGAGGTAAGATGGATAGCTATAAACAGAACTACTAGTATTGGAAATATATTCTTAAATAAACACAATGGACACAGTCTGATAAGCTTTATGCTGAGAAAGATGGGGACATGTTATATTTCTCTGTTTTCCAGTGCCCAGGCCAGTGCCTAACTACCATTGAGTAAGCACTCAATAAATGTTTTTTTTTGTTTTTGAGACAGGGTATTGCTGCGTTGCCCATGCTGGAGTGCAGTGGTGCAATCATGGCTCGCTGCAGCCTCCAGTTCCTGGGCTCAAGTGATCCTCCTGTCCAGGCTGGTCTTGAACTCCTGGGTTCAAGCTATCCTCCTGCTTCGGCCTCCCAAAGTGCTGGGATTACAGCACTTGAGTGCCCAGGCACTCAGTAAATTTTTGACAAAGGAATGAAGATATACCTTTCTTCACCCATTGCAGCCTAAAATGCAAGAGAAGCTCTGGGATATTAAAATGAGAAACAGTCTTGGAAAAAAATTAATTTGAGCACACAGAATATTTTCCAGTGTGCACTACAAAAAACATGTAGTCAAAAATATCCATAGAAGTGTTGCTTAGAATGGGGCAAAAGCCCAAGGGAAAACCCACCCTCACAGGGTTAATGAGAATTACAAGCCAGGCTTTAGGCTTGTATTGTAGTCAGGCATCAACCAGCATGCACTGGTGTGCTCTGACTCATTTCCCTGCAGCTGCTAACTAATCGAGGGTCATGCAGCACACTGACCACCTGCTCCCCCATTGCTCCCATAGATAGAATCTGACACTGGACATTTTACCCAAGAATTGCTTAAGGTGTTTTTCAGATCCTGAATTCCAGCAGAATGGCTGATGCCAACCGTCTGAAAACCCCTACCAAGAAAACGACTCAGCATCTCCTGGTCCCATGACTTCACTCCCCACTTCTCAACCAGTCAGCAATCCCCATACTTTAGCCCATCACCTGTCCAGACCCCTTAAAATCCCCATCCCCAAACCTCTCAGGGAGGCAGATTTGAAGTTTCCTCTCGTCTTGTCTTCTCATTCGGCTGCCCTACAGTTATTCAACTCTTTCTCTGCTGCAATCTCCACTGTTCTGGTGCATTGGTTTGTTACCATGCAACAGGCAATCGAACCTGGTGGTCCTATAACCATATTAAAATGAAACTGAGAAATAAATAAATAAATGTGAAACAGAGAGGTGTGACTTAGAAATTGTACACATTGGGTGTCACAACTTCCCTATACTTTGTGTTTTCATACTGACCTTGTTCACACTAATAAAGTGCCAACCTTGACTGACTGATTGTGATTCTGATGATGAGGAGGAAGAGGAGGAGAATAGGGATATGGTAAGAAGATTTTAAACCATTCTCTTTTCTCATCTTCCAAGTATTTACAAGTGGCTCAATTTTTCCAAGTATTCCTTTCTTTCTACAGAACTTCCATTAAAATAAAAAACAATTCTAAATCAAGCCTTATGGACAAGAATTAATGGTTCTCCCTAATATATCCCAAATCGGTGTGTCACTTGGGCAAGTCACCTCTCTCCCAGATTCTTATTTGTCCTACACGTAACTGGGGTTTTGCAACAGATGTTACTCTTCCTTCTCCTTTCCAGGTCTGTTAGAAACTTTATTAGGAAAGCCTGAAAGTAAAATCTGTACTGTTTACATCCAGAGAAATGTTTATACTGACTAAATAATTTCCTCAAATCTGGTCACCTTTCTATGGGAAAATTCCTCATCTTAACAATGTTTCATGCATAAAGTCATCTGGCCTCTTAACTGCATTGTTGGATATTTTTAAGACCAAAAGCTTGCTAAACCCAAAACAGCGAAAGCATTCAGTTGAAAATAAAGTGAAAAGCCACATATGTCTTAGAGGGAGAAAACAGTGCTAATGATTTTAGGCCTTAATAGTTTCAAGATCCCGATTGGCTGCTCTGAAAAGCCATCTTTGCATTGTTCCTTGTCCAGCTCCTTGCTCGCCGCGGCTGCCTCCGCCGCAGACTCTGGCAGCTTTATCGCCGGAGTCCCTGAACTCTCGTTTTCTTTTTAATCCCCTGCATCAGATCACCGGCGTGCCCCACCATGTCAGATGCAGCTGTAGACACCAGCTCTGAAATCATTGCCAAGGACTTAAAGGAGAAGAAGGAAGTTGTGAAAGACGCGGAAAATGGAAGAGACGCCCCTGCTAACGGGAATGCTAATGAGGAAAATGGGGAGCAGGAGGCTGACAATGAGGTAGATGAAGAAGGGGAAGAAAGTGGGGAGGAAGAGGAGGAGGAAAAAGAAGGTGATGGTGAGGAAGAGGATGGAGATGAAGAGGAAGCTGAGTCTGCTACAGGCAAGCGGGCAGCTGAAGATGATGAGGATGATGATGTCGATACCAAGAAGCAGAAGACCGACAAGGATGACTAGACAGCAAAAAAGGAAAAGTTAAACTAAAAAAAAAAGGCCGCCATGACCTATTCACCCTCCATTTCCTGTCTCAGAATCTAAACGTAGTCACCTTCCAGTATTGAGGCCCGCCCCCCCACCATGGGCAGTGCCACCCACAGATGACACACACTCTCCACCACCCAACCTAAACCGTAAGAATTTGCAACAGGGGAGGAAAAAAGAACCAAAACTTCCAAGGCCCTGCTTTTTTTCTTTTTTTCTTTTTTCTTTTTTTTGAGGCAGAGTCTTGCTCTGTCACCCAGGCTGGAGTGCAGTGGTGCGATCTCGGCTCACTGCAAGTTCCTCCTCCCGGGTTCATGCCATTCTCCTGCCTCAGCCTCCCGAGTAGCTGGGACTACAGGCGCCCACCACGACACCCGGCTGATTTTTTGTATTTTTAGCAGAGATGGGGTTTCACAGTGTTAGCCAGTATGGTCTCGATCTCCTGACCTCGTGATCTACCCACCTCGGCCTCCCAAAGTGCTGGGATTACAGGCGTGAGCCATCGCGCCCGGCCTGCTTTTTTTCTTAAAAGTACTTTAAAAAAAGAAATTTGCTTGTATTTTTAATTTACATTTTATATTTTTGTACATATTGTTAGGGTCAGCCACCTTTAATGATCTCGGATGACCAAACCAGCCTTCGGACCGTTCTCCGTCCTACTTCTGACTTTACTTGTGGTGTGACCATGTTCATTATAATCTCAAAGGAGGAAAAAAAAAAAAAACTTGTAAAAAAAGGGCCAGGCGCGGTGGCTCACGCCTGTAATCCCAGCACTTTGGGAGGCCGAGGCGGGCGGATCACGAGGTCAGGAGATGGAGACCATCCTGGCTAACACGGTGAAACCCCATCTATACTAAAAATACAAAAAATTAGCTGGGCGCGGTGGCGGGCGCCTGTAGTCCCAGCTACTCGGCAGGCTGAGGCAGGAGAATGGCGTGAACCCGGGAGGCGCAGCTTGCAGTGAGCCGAGATCGCGCCACTGCACTCCGGCCTGGGCAACAGAGCAAGACTCTGTCTCAAAAAAAAAAGATTGTTTTTCTGTTGTCGTTTTTGCTTTTCTTACAAGTTTTTTTTTTGTTTTTGTTTTGTTTTGTTTTGTTTTTTGAGAGTTAGTCTCGCTCTTTCTCCCAGGCGGGAGTGCAGTGGCGCGATCTCGGCTCACTGCAAGCTCTGCCTCCCGGGTTCAAGCCATTATCCTGCCTCAGCCTCCCCACTAGCTGGGACTACAGGCGCCCGCCACTACACCCGGCTAATTTTTTGTATTTTTAGTAGAGACGGGGTTTCACCGTGTTAGCGAGGATGGTCTCCATCTCCTGACCTCGTGATCCGCCCACCTCAGCCTCCCAAAGTGCTGGGATTACAGGTGTGACCCACCACGCCCAGCCCTGAAAAACAATCTTATTCCCACCATTGCAGTAACTTTTTTGTGTATGTACTTAGCTGTACTATAAGTAGTTGGTTTATATGATCTAGTTAAAAAGGCCGGCTGGCATGGCGGCTCACGGCTGTAATCCCAGCACTTTGAGAGGCCGAGGCGGGCAGATCATCTGAGGTTGGGAGTTCAAGACCAGCCTGACCAACATGGAGAAACCCTATCACTACTAAAAATACAAAAAATCAGCCGGGCGTGGTGGCTCATGCCTGTAATCCCAGCTACTGGAGAGGCTGAGGCAGGAGAATCGCTTCAACCCGGGAGTCGGAGGTTGTGGTGAGCCAGGATCCGCCATCGCACTGCAGCTTGGGCAAGAATGAAACTCCGTCTCGAAAAAAAAAAAAAAAAAAACTAACTAAAAAACAGGCCAGGCGCAGTGGCTCACACCTGTAATCTCAGGCCTTTTTTTTTTCTGGGAGGCTAAGGCGGGCAGATCATGAGGTCGGGAGTTCGAGACCAGCCTGGCCAACATGGCGAAACCCCGTCTCTACTAAAAATACAAAAAATTGGCTGGGCGTAGTGGCGGGCGCCTGTAATCCCAGCTACTCGGGAGGCGGACATTGCAGTGAGCTGAGATCGTGCCACTGCACTGCAGCCCGGGCGACAGAGTGAGTTTCCATCTCAAAAACAAAAAGGCCAGAGATAAAAGGCTTCTTTTTTTTCCTTTTATTTTTTTGAGACAGAGTCTCGCTCTGTTGCCCAGGCTGGAGTGCAGTGGCACGATCTTGGCTCACTGCAACCTCCACTTCCCGGGTTCAAGTGATTCTCCTGCCTCAGCCTCCGGAGTAGCTGGAATTACAGGCGTATGCCATCACGCCCGGCTAATTTTTGTATTTTTAGTAGAGATGGGGTTTCACCATGTTGGCCAGGCTGGTCTCAAACTCCTGACCTCATGATCTGCCCACCTCAGCCTCCCAATGTGCTGGGGTTACAGGCGTGAGCCACTGCGCCCGGCCTTTTTTTTTCCGTTTGTTTGTTTATAAAGTTGCTGGGGGTTTTTTTGGCCTGTTTGATATATGCATGAAACAATGTTGTCCAACAATAAACAGGAATTTTATTTTGCTGAGTTGTTCTTAAAAAAATAGTTGCAATATACCAGAGAGAAAATAAACAAGTAGGCTTTCAAAAATATCAAGGTTATTGGTATTTAAAATCAAACTATGGCTAGGCACGGTGGCTCACACCTGTAATCCCAGCTCTCTTGGGAGGCTGAGGAGGGAGGATCACTTCAGGCCAGAAGTTCGAGACCAGCCTGGCCAACATGGTGAAACCCCGTCTCTACTAAAAATACAAAAACTAGCCAGGTGTGGTGGTGCACATCTGTAATCCCAGCTACTTAGGAGGCTGAGGCAGGAGAACCACTTGAACCTGGGAGGCGGAGGTTGCAGTGAGCCGAGATCACACCACTGCACTACAGTCTGGGTGACAGAGTGAGACTCATTTCAAAAAATTTTAAAAATAAAATCAAACCATTAGAGTAGTTCAGACCTTCCCCTAACACTTGCAGGGCCCAGACTAAGAATGCAAAAGAAGGCCCAAATATCCTATATCCAGGTATTTAAGTTGCAAATCGAATTAAACTGTCAGAGAAAACATGCTCTATCTTCCTAGCTTGACAAATGCGCCCTTCTAAAACATTAAACTTTTTTTTTTGGCGGGGGGTTGGAGGGGACGGAGCCTTGCTCTGATGATGCCCAAGCTGGAGTGCAGTGGCATGATCTTGGCTCGCTGCAACCTCCACCCCCCCAATTCAAGCAATTCTCCTGCCTCAGCCTCCCAAGTAGCAGGATTACAGGCATGGGCCACCACACCTAGCTAATTTTTGTAATTTTTTAGTAGAGACAGGGTTTCACCATTTTGACCAGGCTGGTGTCAGACTCGCAACCTCAGGTGATCTGCCCACCTCAGCTTCCCAAAGTGCGGGGATTACAGAACATTAAACTTTTAAAATTGGTTTAAAGCTCTATTTCTCCTAAGGTAAAAAAATGGAGCTAGTGCAATGGTGTGCACCTATAAACTCAGCTACCCAAGAGGCTGAGGCAGAAGGATTGCTTGGCTCAAGAGTTTGAGACCAGCCTGGGCAACACAGCGAGACCTTGTCTCAAAAAAAAAAAAAAGGCAAAATGTCAAGATAATTGAGTGTGATTATGGTTGAATGTGTCTGGATGCTCTGATGATAAGCTGGTGATTAGGGGATGAGTAATAAAATAAAATACATATTGCATTATTATTATTTTTTTGGGCCTTCACTTATGTTATTTTATTTTCCAAGACGGAGTCTCACGCTGTCACCCAGGCTGGAGTGCAGTGGCGCGATCTCGGCTCACTGCAACCTCCGCCTCCTGGGTTCAGGCAATTCTCCTGCCTCAGTCTCCTGAGTATCTGGGATTACAGGCATGCATCACCATGCCAGGCTAATTTTTGTATTTTTAGTAGAGACGGGGTTTCACCATGTTGGCCAGGCTGGTGTCCAACTCCTGACCTCATGATCTGCCCGCCTTGGCCTCCCAAGGTGCTGGGATTACAGGCGTGAGCCACCGCGCCCGGCCCACTTATGTTATTATAATTGAAATCGGCACATAATTTATGCTCTACTGACGGTATAGATGCTTGTTACATCTAGTCCTACATACATACAAATGTAAGAATAGCATGCATCATTCAGTGTTAGAAAATGTTTCTCAGGTGCTATACGCAACTGTGGTGAATACCAAAGTGATTTAAGTACCTCAGGAATCAGAATTGGAATGTGAAAAGAACACGAATGCTCAGCATACCAATATTTCAATTAGGCAAGAGCTAATTGCTTTCATGCTAACCACGTGTAAGGATTTGGCAGGCAATTATGTTTTTTTCTTTCTTAAGTGCTTCCTCCTCTGGAATCCTTCCTCTAATTGGAACAGTATCTGCTTTGACATCAGTGGCATACAACCCACAAACTCTCATGACCTTTGTATGCAGGTGCCTTGTGTGTTGGGAGCATAGGTCAAGAGATATCCCTTGGTGAGCAGTGTTGCACATAAGCGTTGGTGTTTAGGGCTTTAGGTCATGCTGTGCCAGCACAGGGCATGGGGTCCTGAGAGACGAAAGCACCATTTGCCTGTAACAAAGCAACATAGGTATTGGGGTGCATAAAATGTGTTGGGGTGCCAGGGTTCACAGCAGGGTCCCTCTTGCCTGGGTCTAAAGGAGATATTGCTGCACTTCATAAACAAAACATTTGTACTAATTATGCCAAGAAAATTCTTTGTTCAACCTGATTCTACCCCTTTTAGGTATCCAATGTAATAAATTACAACTCCATAGTATTAAATTAATGTCTTCTTAAAGTAGAATCATAAGAACAGTAGAGAAATATAGTAATAAGGGAAACAATAAATTGGGGTCCTGTTCACTAGCAAATTGTGCCTGCTCTTTGTTGAAAATGTGAAAATTAAGGTAAATAGCATTATTTTCTAAAGCATGTACACAGGGTAGAGCTGTTGTAATTGTGTTTTTGTTTTTTTGCATTTCAAAAAGTCTCCTAGGCCGGGCACGGTGGCTCATACCTGTAATCCCAGCACTCTGGGAGGCCAAGGCGGGCAGATCACCTGAGGTCAAGAGTTCGAGACCAGCCTGGCCAACATGGTGAAACCCCGTCTCTACTAAAAATCACCCATTTTCCTTAGTTCATTCAACAGTGGGATTCCTGTGGACTTATGTTTTCTAGTTTTGTGGGGGAAAATCAGAACTACTTTCCCAGAGGAAGTGAAAGTTAAGCTGAGACTTAAGGAGGTGGCATTCAGCCAGGTGAAGGGCAGTAATCCAGGTAAAGTATCGAACCATATATCCCCCCAGTTCTCAGTAGTGCTCAGGGGACATTCCCCTTAGTGATGATTCATGTGGCAGTGAGCAGGAGAAGCAGCTGACTGCCACGTAGGACAACTGCTGTTTTACTCCTAGCTATCTCTCTTGCCCAAGCAGTAGTATACAAGTGGGCATGTCATATATTAAAAAATATATATTCAATATATACAAATATGTATCATATATTATTTATATTATATATATCTATAGGTATCCATCTATCTATCTAGGAAACAACATAAGAAATGTAAGAGCTGGTCCCTTGCATTGGAGAAGTTTATACAGCAGTGAAGGATATAAACAGGAGAATCAGACTTAGGGAAAGTGAATAAGGAAAAAACATCACGAAATGCCAGGTGAGTGAGTGACCTGCATCATACTTGCACTTAAAGCTTCATCTCTTCACTCCCTGAACAACCAGTGAAACAGAAAGCAAGGATAGGGGAACTGGCTAACAGCTGGTTTTGATGTCTTGTCCCAAGAACTCCTTTCTGGCCTGGCGCAATGGCTCACGCCTGTAATCCCAGCACTTTGGAGACTAAGGCGGGCGGATCACTTGAGGCCAGGAGTTTGAGACCAGTCTGGCCAACATGGTGAACCCTGTCTCCACAAAAAGTACAAAAATTAGCCAGGCATGATGGCGCACACCTGTAGTCCCAACTACTCAGGAGGCTAAGGCATAAGAATCACTTGAACCTGGAAGGCAGATTTGCAGTGAGCTGAGATTGTGCCACTGTACTCCAGCCTGGATGGCTGAGTAAGACTCTGTCTCTGGGAAAAAAAAAAGAAGTTATTTCTGATATCCGGAACCCCTTCCGTCAAAAAGAAAAACACCACCAAAAGAAACCAGTCATCCCATTACAGTGTGCAGGTAAAGAGCACTGAGTTAGACTTCTTCCTCCAAGGGCTGGTCCCAAGCTGCAACCTGGACACTCCTATAGCTAGATGCCTGCAGTGTGCAGCGGCTCCCCAGCCCGAGGCCTTTGCGGAGGCTGGGCTCATCCCACTCACCTAGACCTGGTGAAGGGGGAAGGGAGGAGGGCCAAAGGTGTGGGGCAAGGGAGGGTGAGGAGAAAGAAGGAAGACAGAGACTACAGCACTCCATGGTCAATGGCATAAAAGAGGGCCGGCTACCTGTTGTCAGGGCCACTATCACAACCTCCTGCTACTCCCATGCATGGGAGGGGCAGGGCTGGGCCTGGGTGCTACCTGGGAGGGGCATCCATCCATAATCTGGATCCAGGCCCCACCTGTGCCCCTTCCCTTCTGGAACTCCCACCCTCACCCGCTTCTCTCTGCTGGGTTCAGTCTTTCCGTCGGGGAAACCTGTGGCACTGTTTGTCTAGGTAAAATCAGGGCCCCGGCTTTATTCTGGGAAGCTCTGAATAATAATTACTAGGGAGAAGAGGGAGGAAGCAACGCGGTAAATCAAGAAAGGACTGGGCGCTGATGAGGTCCCCGCCACTGTGTTGTCACTGAGCTGTTGTGGTGCTGCTGTCAGCGCACCCGGGCCCACCTAAACCTTTCCATTTCTTACCTACATTTGGTCTCATTCATTCGCATCTAGAAATGTATTCAAATGAAAAACAATCCAGGATATATGCATACGTTAATTTTCAGGGATGTTTAGCAAGGCTATTTGTGGTAGAAAAATTGGAAGCTACATAAATAACTAACAATAGGTGACTGATTCTAAATCATGGAAATTCGTTTAGTAAAACTTTTTTTTTTTTGAGACAGAGTCTAGCTCTGTGACCTGGGCTGGAGTGCAGTGGTGCAATCTCGGCTCACTGCAACCTCTGCCTCCCGGGTTCAAGCGATTCTCCTACCTTAGCCTCCCAAGTAGCTGGGATTACAGGCGCCCACCACCACGCCCAGCTATTTTTTGTATTTTTAGTAGAGACAGAGTTTCACTGTGTTGGCCAGGCTGGTCTCAAACTCCTGACCTCATGATCCGCCCGCCTCAGCCTCCCAAAGTGCTGGGATCACAAGCATGAGCCACCGTGCCCGACCAGAATTTTTTTTTTAGACAGGGTCTCACTCTTTGCCCAGAATGCAGCACAGTGGCATGATCATGACTCACTACAGTCTCCAGTTCCTGGAATCAACCAATCCTCCTGCCTCAGCTTCCTGAGTAGCTGGGATTACAGATTCATACCACCACCCTTGGCTAATTTTGTGTGTGTGTGTGTGTGGAGATGGGGGTCTCTCTGTGTTGCCCAGGCTGGTCTTGAACTCCTGGGCTGAAGCCACCCTTGCGCCTCGGTCTCCTGAAGTGCTGGGATTGTAGGTATGGGCCACCACACCCAGCCTTTTGGTAGAATTTATTGCGCACATTTAAAGTCATTTTATGGGAGAATATTTATGATTGACAGAAAATGCTCACTATAGGCCAGGTGCGGTGGCTCACGCTTATAATCCCAGCACTTTGGGAGGCCGAGGCAGGTGGATCACTTGAGTCAGGAGTTCAACGCCAGCCTGGCCAACATGGTGAAAGCCTGTCTGTACTAAAGATACAAAAATTAGCTGGGCGAGGTGGCCTGTGCCTGTAGTCCCAGCTACTTGGGAAGCTTGGGAAGCTGAGGGGGGAGAATTGCTTCAACTCCGGAGGCGGAGGTTGCAGTCAGCTGGGATCATACCACTGCACTCCAGCTGGGCAACAGAGGGAGGCTCCATCTCAAAAAAAAAAAAAGCCCACTATATATTGAGTAAGGAGAAAGCAGTTTACAAAACAGGTTTTGGCGGGCTTCAGAAGAAAACAGGGAGACATAATATGGATGGGCAGAGACAGGAAAGTGGTATCTCTAGGTAGCTGGCTGCTAGGAATAAATTTTATGCCGTGTTATTTTTGCAAAGATAAGAGACAAAAGGATATGTTTTAAATTGCGGGGGTGGTCAGCAGTTCACTCACCGGTGCTTGTGGGCTTTGTTCCCTCCCTGGAAAGGGACGGAGAATTCCACATCCAGAGGGAGCCCTGCCGTCCATGGTTCTGAGCTTGAAGTCACTAGGACTTCTTTCAAACTTGTGTGCCGAGGAGACTCCGATGTTGGCCTCAGTTCCCAGGCTGAAGTCAGCAGCTCAGCCCATGAAAACTTCTGTATTGAGACAAAGGAAAGGATCTGTCAGAAAGCAACACCTATTGTCCTGAACTTGACACTAAGAAAGAGGACAAGTGATAAAGAAACTGAAGACAAGTGGTAGAGAGAGGTGTAACATTCCAGCCCCTCAACCTAGAAATGTTAGTAGAATCAACAACAGCTTAATAGACCAAGAGTCAGAATCCCCCAATGAAGATTCTTCATAAGAAAAAAGAAGACAGGGATATAACTCATCAGCAGCTGCAGGGCAGGCCATGCAAGACGGGGGAAAGAACAAAAATTTTCCAAAAAATCAAAATTGGAACTCTGAACTTTTCAGGTCCCAGCTTACTTTTTAAATCTCAAGCTAATCAGAACTTTGCCAGGGCCAAATGTAGTGAACCTCCATCACCAAGTGTTCTTCCCAAACCACCAAGCTGTTTCCTTTAATTCTTCCGATAAGGCAATAATGACATTTTAACTTAAAACCTTACTTAAAGTACAGGTACAAAATAAGATAAAGTACTAATGTTTACATTTAGCTATGTTTACAGATAGTTGTCAACTGGTCTAAAACAAATACACCAAGGGATTAATGTATTAGTGTAGAACTGTTAATTAGTATAAAAAATAAAATTGACTTCATCTCATTTGTTTTATGTGTTGGGTGCACTGTGATGTAATGATAGCATCAGTGCAACTTAAAGTAACTAAATTAATAATTGTACTAATTATTAAGGGTTCTCAAATGAGTTTTTTTTTTTTTTTTGAGACAGAGTCTTGCTCTGTCACCCAGGCAGAAGTGCAGTGGTGCAATCTTGGCTCACTGCAACCTCTGCCTCCTGGGTTCAGGCGATTCTCCTGCCTCAGCCTCCTGAGTCGCTGGGATTAAAGGCGTGCACCACTACGCCCAGCTAATTTTTATATTTTTTGTAGAGACGGGGTTTCACCATGTTGGCCAGACTGGTCTCAAACTCCTGACCTCAAGTGATCCGCCTGCCTTGGCCTCCCAGAGTGCTGAGATCACAGGCATGCGCCACTACACCCAGCCTCAAATGAGTAACTTTTAAGTGAAACCATTCAAGTTTAGATTTGGGGACTAGCAAGGGCATCAACTTTTTCTATTGAATGTTGGGGGAAAATAGTAATATACGATTATTATTCATGGATAATAGATTGCTGAAAGTGAATCAGATTGTAAACATCTAGCTAAGACACAGGATTAAGAAGTAGGTAAACTTCTGAAAGTTCAGTATACTAGAAGCACTCAAACCAGTAATATGCCAACAACCTGATGCACTGCCAAAAGAAAATGTGAAGTTTTCCTAATAGTTGCATTTTAGTAAATTGTACAGTGGTGAAACTGGAAAGGGCACTTGGGGTTTATTAGAACGAGGCAGAGTATACCCCAATGTCCCTTTCTCTAAATGCAGTGGATAGGTGTCTGCCAACAAATACACCAAAACCTTTTTTTTTTTTTTTTGAGATGGAGTCTCCCTCTGTTGCCCAGGCTGGAGTGCAGGGGCACGATCTCTGCTCTCTGCAAGCTCTGCCTCCCGGGTTCATGCCATTCTCCTGCCTCAGCCTCCCGAGTAGCTGGGACTACAGGTGCCCACCACCATGCCCGGCTAATTTTTTGTATTTTTAGTAGAGACGGGGTTTCACCATGTTAGCCAGGATGGTTTCGATCTCCTGACCTCATGATCCGCCCGCCTCGGCCTCCCAAAATGCTGGGATTACAGGCGTGAGCCACCGCGCCCAGCCCAAAACCATTTTAAAAAAAATAAAACATCATTTAACAGTCACTCAATAGCTTTCAAAATACATTTTTATGGCTGGGCACGGTGGCTCACGCCTGTAATCCCAGCACTTTGGGAGGCCGAGGCAGGCGGATCCAGGGTCAGGAGTTCGAGACCAGCCTGACCAACATGATGAAACCCCATCTCTACTAAAAATACAAAAATTAGCCAGGCACAGTGGCACATGCCTGTAATCCCAGCTTATTCAGGAGGCTGAGGGAGGAGAATCGCTTGAACCCAGGAGGCAGAGATTGCAGTGAGCCAAGATCTCGCTACTGCACTCCAGCCCAGGCAACAGAGCGAGACTCCATCTCAAAAACAAAACAAAACATTTTTATATTATGGCACTGCCTAAGCTATTCTGATAGTAATACGACCTCATCATTTCTGCAAAGCTTGCCTTGGGGAGAGGAAGCTTGCTTTGGAGAGTTGTATAATGTGAAAGTTTTAAGTAACTAGGGAAGAAAGAGCCATGTAAATACATGTAATAAACTTGTAGCATATGTAAAGTTTTCTTGGCCTTTATCCTACAAAAACAGAATATTTTAGTATGAATTTGCTGAACATAAAAGAGTGTGGACTTTTTTTTTTTATAGTATGGTCTAATTTTAAAGGTCCAAAATAATTTTTTTTTTTTTTAAATCACTTTATTCTGGCCGGGTGCGGTGGCTCACGCCTGTATGTAATCCCAGCACTTTGGGAGGCTGAGGCGGGCAGATCACGAGGTCAGGAGATCGAGACCATCCTGGCTAACACGGTGAAAGCCTGTCTCTACTAAAAATACAAAAATTAGCCAGACATGGTGGCACATGCCTATAGTCCCAGCTACTCGGGAGGCTGAGGCAGGAGAATTGCTTGAACCCGGGAGGCAGAGGTTGCAGAGAGCCGAGATCACGCCACTACACTCTAGCATGGGCAACAGAGCCAGACTCCGTCTCAAAAACACAAACAAAAAAAAGAACTTTATCTTAAACTAAAGTCTGTTGCCAGGCACAGTGGCTCACACCTCTAATCCCAGCACTTTGGGAGGCCAAGGCGGGCAGATCACTTGAGGTCAGGAGTTCGAGACCAGCCTTGCCAACATAGTGAAACCCCATCTCTATTTTTTTTTTTAGATGGAGTCTCGCTCTGTCACCCAGGCTGGATTGGAGTGCAGTGGCACAATCTTGGCTCACTGCAACCTCTGCCTCCCAGGTTCAAGCAATTCTCCTGCCTCAGCCTCCCAACTAGCTGGGATCACAGGCGCCCACCACCACGCCCAGCTAATTTTCGTATTTTTAGTAGAGACGGGGTTTCACCATGTTGGCTAGGCTGGTCTCAAACTCCTGACCTCATGATCCACCCGCCTCGGCCTCCCAAAGTGCTGGGATTACAGGTGTGAGCCACTGCACCCGGCTGATAATTTGCATTTTTAACTGCTTCCCAGGTGATGCTGATGCTGATGGTCCAGGAACCACACTTCCAAGAATCACGGAAACAAAGCCTATATTCAACAACAAAATTTGCATAATTCTGTCTCCCTTTTATCTCAAACAACAGCTTAAAGGAAAGAAAATAGATTAAGTATCATCCAGAACACACATAATGTCATTTTATTTAATTCTCACAACACTCTACAACATAATTGTTACATCATTTTGTGGAGGAGGATGTTACATCTCAGAAATTAAGCAACTCCTCAACATTATACAGTAAGGAAGGGGTGAACAAATGTGTTTGACTTCAAAATCTACATTCTCTGTTATACCTTGTTGCTTCTAATGATGTTTAGCCAGCATAATTGTATTAGCCCAGAATTTTAACTTCATTCTACTTTCTATGTCGTGGTCTGTCTTCTACTTAGTTGTAGTCTATTTTAAAATTTTTGTTATAAACTGGTTCAAATTATCTAAAGAAGGCCAGGCACGGTGGCTCACGCCTGTAATCCCAGCACTTTGGGAGGCCGAGGCAGGCAGATCACGAGGTCAGGAGATCGAGACCATCCTGGATAACACGGTGAAACCTCGTCTCTACTAAAAAAATCCAAAAAAATAGCCGGGCCTGGTGGCAGGTGCCTGTAGTCCCAGCTACTCGGGAGGCTGAGGCAGGAGAATGGCGTGAACCCGGGAGGCGGAGTTTGCAGTGAGCCGAGATCACGCCACTGCACTCCAGCCTGGGCGACAGAGCGAGACTCCGTCTCAAAAAAAAAAAAAATTATAACTTGGGGGAAGTGTAAACCACACTAACCACATGACAAAAGACATTACGAAGAAACACATCTTACTGCTCACCGGTAGCACAGGTCACTGTTCCTTAGGAACCGGTCCACCATATTCTCCACTCGCACAAACCAGCTGGGCACTGCTTTGTAAACGAGGGGAGTGTCTCTCACATCGCCAAGTACTAACCAATAACCATATCACATACCTCTAATACATATAAATTCAATTCTCTCACTCTCCTGTATAAACACAGAACCCCATCTCTCTATCAGAGACACATATACTACATTCCCAGAATATATAACCCTAATAACCACTCACTGAAAAATACAAGCACATAGCTCCACAAAACATTCATCCAAACTGCCATGCCCTTGAACACACACACACACTCAATACTCATGGAGTTCCCTACATGCCCTAAATATACCTGCGATTAACTAACACGCCACAAATATGCAAACATGCCACCTCATATCCCCAAATACACATCCAGTCCCACAATACCTGCACATATGTAATCACACCTCTAAATGCTCACACAGAAATAACTCCTCCATTTTCCAAGACACAGAATCATACAAAGTCCACCTCACAACTGCACACATTCATTCTACCAGTCCCCCAATAGTCATGGATCTGCCCTCACACATTGAAATGGCCATACACAACCCCTGAAAATCGTGAAAAGAAACACACACAATGATGCAACATATCCTAAGCACACAAATGGTCTTCCTACATTCCCCAAATATGTAAACCACAGTGTACATCCACAAAAATAGACACAAGCACTTTCTCTATTATTGCCCACATGCACAACAAGGTAATTCTTCCAGATCTGCCAAACATTAGACAAATACAAATCCCCAACATTCATTTCAGAAAACTTATGGAAAATACATCTTCACAACCCAAATCACAAATATCGAACCCCAATTCTTCTTGTATACACATATTACACCTCATATCCTCCAAATATAAACACTCACACCTACACACTCTCACAAAAGCAGTTATGAATAGTTATGAATGACCTTCTTTACTTTTCCTTTTTTTTTTTGAGATGGAGTCTCGCTCCTACCTTGAAGTGCAGTGGCGTGATCTCCTCTCACTGCAGCCTCTGCCTCCTGGGTTCAAGCAATTCTCCTGTCTCATCCTCCCGAGTAGCTGGGACTACAAGTGCATGCCACCACGCCTGGCTAATTTTTGTATTTTTAGTACAGATGGCGTTTTGCCAAGTTGGCCAGGCTGGTCTTGAACTCCTGACCTGAAGTGATCCGCCCACCTCAGCCTCCCAAAGTGCTGGGATTACAGGCATGAGCCACCATGCCCAGCCCAATTATGACCTTCTTTAATCTGCAATCTCCACACAGACACCACCAACCCACACAGGTGAATACATATTAGATTCTCACGAATTAAATACGCAACAAATTCCAAACTAAGCATTCATATAAACACATTTTCACATACACACAGCCACCCCCACAAATCTCACACCCCCCAAAATGCAAAACAAATCTTTCTCACATTCTCAAGTACACACACTGACCAACTGCCCAGGACACACACGTGTGTGCAGTAAATTTTAGATATAATACATGTGTAGTCTACAATTTACAAATAATAATATACACTACTTTTTATTTAAATTCCACATAAGTAAGCGATTCTCATAGAAGCTTTTCTTGACTTTGGCCACACTCTTGCTTCCACAACCAACTTGTGCTACCAAGTGAACAGACTATGAGTAAAGGCCTCTTCTTCCACTTTGCAGCTGCTCATATCATTGACAAACGAGCATATTAGAGCATGCATGCTGGCTGATCATTCTGATTAAGGCAACAAGCTTCACAACTCACTCAATGAGGTCGTCCGTGAGAACTTCACTGATTTTACGAGGACAGGAGCTACTTCTTTGCTGAAATGCATCACGGTTTCAACTGCTGAGGTTTTCCTCAACCTTTTGCATTGTTTGGAATGTGAGCAGCACGGCCGAGACAAACTTTGGGGTTCCCACTGCATTGTTAAACCTCCCCCTTCACTTCAAGGCCAGGCGAGCAAGGGAAAGGAGCGCGGCCTGGGCGTCCCGCAGGGCCCCGCTAAGGACCGCTCCCGCCTTGAGCGCAGCCACAGGCCCTCTCTGGCCACAAGGATGGGGTCGCCCCGCAGACACTGTTGACCAGCGGAAGCATGACCAGGAGGCGATTACCTTCTAATCACAAATAACTTTATTTTTAGGTAACACCACGGAGGACGCCATGAGAGCTAAGGCCGTTGGGTAACCGCCCTTTCCGCTCGCGCTGCGTCGTCTCCCTGCCCCGAACCACCGGCAACCGATGCTGGGAGCGGTTGAGGGCGGCCGGCTGCGCGCTGGAACCCCGCCCGCCTCAAGGCTCCTGCGCAGGCGCGCAGGGCAGGCGTGGAGCCCGCCCTGGGAGGGCCCCGCAGGAGATGGGGAAATGGAGGGACGCTGCACCAGGGCGCTTCCTGGGGCCAGGCGACGCCTTCTCCTTGGAGCCTCCAAGACCGTCCCTCCTAGAAACGAGAGAGTCTGACCGGGCGCGGTGGCTCACGCCTGTAATCCCAGCACTTTTGGAGGCTGAGGCGGGTAGATCACCTGAGGTTGGGGGTTCGAGACCAGCCTGGCCAATATGGTGCAATCCCGTCTCTACCAAAATTACAAAAATTAGCCAGGCGTGGTGGCGCGCACTTGTAGTCCCAGTTACTTGGGAGGCTGAGGCAGAATTGCTTGAACCCAGGAGGCGGAGGCTGCAGTGAGAGGAGATCACACCACTGCACTTCAAGGTGGGAGCAAGACTCCATCTCAAAAAAAAAAAAAAAAAAAGCTAGTACAGAAGCAACTCACTGACTTGAGTTTGTAGTAGCTTCAGAACAAACTTTCATCATCAGATCCTTTCTGCTCATTTGCAGGATTCCTACCGTCTGTCTCCACGTGATGACACTGAAGAGCCTTCACGTCTATGACGGCCTAGGGTCTCAAGTGCAGAGACTGAGAGCTCTGCCAGACACAGCATGGAGCCGCCATTCCTCTACTGTTCAGTGATTGGGTGGAAGAGCATCTGTCCTCTGAACAGGGGATCCAAGCCCTGAGATGATGTTTCTCAGCAGTCAGTGTGGCCCAGGACTTTCTGTGGGCATGCTCAGAGAGCAGGGGCCAGAGGACTTTTAGCCACCACCTTCTATGGCCAGTCTTCACAAATTACCTTTGGCTAATTTGATTGTCTCTCCTCCTGGGGTCTAGGACTTCAAACACATACAGAAGCGATTGCAGAATTGAAACAAGACACTTCCACAATATACTTTTTGTATCAGTGGCTCAGAAAAAGACTCATTCAAATCCTGTATCAAAGCCATGTGTGAGCATCTTGAGAAAGCATTGACTGACTAACTTGACAAGGGAGGAAGCAAACAAGAATTCTGCCCTTCTTCAGTGCCTGAGTGTGATATTTTGCCTCAACATCCCTCTTAGATGAAGTTACTGATTGAAAATCATTTAAGTTTTTGCCCCGTGATAAAAGATCGCGTCCTCAGAAAGATCTCCAAAGCATTTACTGTTTGTTTGGTTTGGTTTTGGTAAGTTTACCATGATTTTGCTTGAATTGCTCTCCGCTGATCTTCTCAGCTAAGATCGAGGTAGAGTTGCACAGCAGAAGAGGGCTGCATGTAAGGAGGCAGCTCTGTCTCGGAGGACAAAAGGCCTGGGAGCATCCAGACAGGCAGTCACTGTGTGGAGGTCACTCCCCTCCCAGTGGCCACTGTGGAGGCATTTCATAGAAATGCTCGCTGGACCATTCAGTTTTAGAGTTGGGACAAAACCGAGAACTCATGAGGATATCGGATAGGAGTTAGGAAATGACTTTTTCACACAACCCAGGCAAGGAGGGGAGAACCCTGGGCTTGAGACTTGCAATCCACTGCCTGCCCCTGCAGTGTGGCCCGTTACGTTTTCTGCAACTCTGCCTTCTTGAGTCCAAATGTCTTTGAAAGGGGCAAATGCTTCTTAAGTGCCAACAGGGTGTGTTTCAGTGAATGTTCACAGTGTGCACTGGTCCGGCTGAAGGCCTCTTCCCTTCCCCAACACCCACCCATCAGTGCAAAAGACTGCTGCCCAGCAGGGAGTGACATCTGTGTCTCAGATTTTCTTGCTGTGCTCTGAGTACTCACTCCTCATCTCCTTTGACCAGTTTCCTAACACTCCCCTTGTTCACAACACAGAACATGAGTGCTCTTTCCTGTCATTTTGACGCTGATAAACAGCAATTCTGTGTGAAAATGAGAATGAAGATTTTTTTAAAGACAGGCTACAATAATTCCCATGCTGAGAACCACATGTGATGACACTTGTGATGAAGATGAGGACAGCAACGAGCTGAGAGACTCCAACCAGGATTCACACATGCAAGGGGATGCATGAGAATGGGGATGGGACATTGGTGGTTAGCATCCTTGCTTGTCTCAGAATGGACGTGGGTTGTGGATTTCTAACTCCTGGAGAAACCAGAGTTCTAGGAATTGTAAGCCACTTTATGTTAGGAAAGAAAAAGACGGTGTTCTGCTCTCCTGTCCCTTAAAACTGTGCGTACTGCCACTAAACCTGGAAGCTGAGAACGGTATAATGGCTACTCCTGACTTCCTTTCATCAAATCAGCCTGCTATTGTTTTCTGCAATGGTTGTGGTGCAGAATCTTTTTGTGGTGCAGCCAAGATTCACACTTGAGTCTCCTTACTGCAAGTTCGCACTCTCACAGTGGAGAGTTAACAATAATTGCCTAATATGTTACACTTTTTTGGGAAGAGTTACCAGATAAAGTGCAAGATCCCAGTGAAATGTGAATAGCACAGATAAAGGACAGATTTTTTTTTTTGTAAAAGTGTACTCTAAATGTCATATGGATCATAATTATAGTAAAAACTAATTCACTGTTTATCTTCAATTCAAATTCCACTTGGTATTCTTTATTCATACTTGCTAAATCTGGCCACTATGTTCTTTCATGTATTTTTAATTTTAAAAAACAGTCCAACATCTCATTCTAGCAATTTACCTACAGAAATAAAGAGAGGAACCACATTACTGGGACAAATACAGTCACTGCAAATATCAGAAGAATACTAGAACATATTAATATATTAATTTTTACCCCCAAAAAACTGAAAATATTTTTAGACAGCAAAAATAGCTTCATTATGCTTTTGATTGCATAATATATCTCTGGAAAGATGAAAAAGAATCAGATAACACCTATTTCCTCCAGGAAAGAAAATGTGGTGGCCAGAGAAAAGAGGTGGGAGGAAGGCTGGTCATTGTCTATTCCACTGTGCACAATTTGAATTTGGAACCATGCAAAAGTATTGCTTAGTTAAGTTAAAATCATGTAAAAGATACAAAATAAACATTTAACACCAGCACAATATGCTGGGAAACAAAATGAAAGGATTTCTGGTCTCGGTGCTGTAGGTCACATAGCCTCTCTTTCCTGGACTGAGTCTTCCTAAGAAAGGGGACGGGAAGTAAGGCTGGCCTACTGGTGTGGACAGATTCCAGCAACATACATGACCTGGGGGCACAAGGACTGCTTCCTAAACAATGATGAGCACACAGCCACCTAATAGCCTGGATCAGCTGAGGCCATTCTGATTTCAAACACTCAGTCCCCTTGCCTTCCTAAGAACCCCTGTGTTTCTCAGACTGAAAACGTGTTCTGAATTTTGTTAAGTAAGTGTGGCCCCTGTTGAAATTCATCAAGAGTGGGAAAGAGCCAAAGTGGGAAGGAGCATGGGTTGATTGGCACAAAAGTAGGTCTGTTGATAAAGAATGGAAGTAAAGGGGACATCAGGTAGAAGCTTTTGCTGTGAGTCAGAAGGACAATTTAAAAGTTGCCTAAAGAGGCGCACACTGTCTGTGTTGCTGCCATCCAGTTGGATGGCAACCAACTGAACCAAGGGAACCTCAGGTTCTTGCCTACTGGCCAGAGCCCTTCACAGAATGTCCCCCACCCCCGCCAAGCCCGGCTGCCCACTGCCCCTCCCCCTCTGCAGAATGTCTGGGGTCCTGTGTTCCAAACCTGTTTATATGCAAATTATCCCTGCTCCACTTGGACTCAGGAGGATCTGCTGAGTCAGGTCACTCTCTGGGTCCTGCCCTTGACTTTTTTCATTGCGGAAGCTGCCAGACAGTGGTGGTCAGTGCCCAGCCTGAGGGGATGGCTTCAAATGGAGGTGAGCCTGTAGGGATGGGGCATTATCCGAGTCTGCCTTGCCTCAACTCCTTGGGAATTCAAATTTGAACTGTCCCTGGGGACAGCTTATAGGGCTGATGTTGAGGGAGGGAGCACTGGATGTCCCCAGGGACATCACACCTGGGGATGGCCATGGCACCCTGAGTCTGTGGTTAGGGAGGAGGGCTCCTTAGAGGCGGACCAAGATGCCTGGGGGAATACACCGTGTAGTGGAAAGGATGGAGAGGATGGGTTGATCCTTTCTAGAGGGGGACAGGTCACGTCATTGTGTTTGTAGGGAGTGGTGGGATCGTGTTGTGCTGGTGGCCCAGGGAGAATGACGGGCAAGCCTGAGCCCTGTGCCGTGTCTTCAGGCACCTGGAAGGTGCCCTTCCATAGTGTTTAGAGGGATTTGGACTGGAGTTTTCTAGTTCTTAGAGAGGAGTGGGGAGAAGTGGTCTCAGCCAGAAAACTGTTGGGTGGGTTGGCTGTGACAGAGCATGTAGTGACAGCCTCTGGGTGGGCAAGGCTGGGGGCCACTGCAACTGCCACAGCCCAGAGCCTCTCAGCTTCCTCCCCAGAGATGGCTTCTCCGTCAGTTCAGGTAGCTGTTGGCTTTGATTTAACAGGGGTGGGGGCAGAATGGGGAAGTTCAGGCAACACAGGGCCTGGGTTTCCTGAGTTGTTCTGAATTGTTTGCCCTTTGGTGGAAGCTCAGGTCTTCAGACCCACTTCCTCTCGTCAGCTAGCTCATGGCCCGTCCTCTGTACTTTGTGTTACTGTGGAGGTGAAGAATTTGCTCCTGTTCCATTTATACTACCTCATGAACGGGCGACAGGTGTGGATTCTTGCTGGTTCTCAGTGGAAGGCTCTGAAAAGGCTGGTTTCCTTTTCAGTAGAGGAAGGAGAGTAGCGCACAAATAGGAAGACAGTCCTATTATTATTATTATTCAAACTAGGATGTGTGTCCTGACTGATGAGGTGCATGTGCTGTATCCCTTATTCCCCTTGGCTAGAGACTGCATGAGGTCCTAGTGAACAGGGATGAGTTCCAGACAACTCTGCCTCACCTGGCCTGTGGCCCAAGAACCCCTGGTTCTTCGTTGGTCCCTATGTTCAGTTACTGGGAGCTCAAAGGAGAAGGACCAGAGATGGGCTCCCTGTCCCACTATTTAGTGTAACATGACTAGCAGCTGTGAAAATCCCTGGCCGGGCGCGGTGGCTCACGCCTGTAATCCCAGCACTTTGGGAGACCAAGGCATGTGGATCACGAGGTCAGGAGTTCAAGACCAGCCTGACCAATATGGTGAAACCCCGTCTCTACTAAAAATACAAAAATTGGCTGGGCATGGTGGCGGGCGCCTGTAATCCCAGCTACTCAGGAGGCTGAGGCAGGAGAAGTGCTTGAACCTGGGAGGCAGAGGTTGCAGTGAGCTGAGATCGCACCACTGCACTCCAGCCTGGGTGACAGAGCGAGACTCCGTCTCAAAAAAAAAAAAAAAGAAAAAAAAGAAAATCCCTAGACACCTCCCCTGATAGCCCTGCTGCTCACCATTTGCTGGCTGTGTTCTAGTCATGTGCAGCTGTTGCTGGCTACACAATGACAATATCTCAGGGGACTCCACCACTGCTTCTCAGATCTGCTCCCTGGGAACTGAGCTTCCTGAGTGGCAGCTGGGACCACTGAGCACTGAGGAATGGGTGGCCTGAATCTGACCCCTATTTAACACTTGTGTGGGTGGTGCCAGGACAATCACTTGCATGCTGGGCGTGATGTGTTATGGGTTATCTTCAGGGTTCCTAGGGCACTGGCTTGGGTGAGTTTCCATCCAGTGGTTTTCTTTTTTTTTTTTTTTTTTTTTTTTGAGACGGAGTCTCGCTCTGTCACCCGGGCTGGAATGAAGTGGCACGATCTCGGCTCACTGCAGCCTCTGCCTCCTCGGTTCAAGCAATTCTCCTGTCTCAGCCTCCTGAGTAGCTGGGATTACAGGCACGCACCATCAGCTAATTTTTGTATTTTAGTAGAGACGGGGTTTCACCACGTTGGCCAGACTGGTCTTCAACTCCTGACCTCAGGTGATCCACCCGCCTGGGCCTCCCAAAGCGCTGGGATGACAGGCATGAACCAGCACGCCCGGCCTATCCAGTGGTTTTCTTTTGTTGTGTTGAGCTAGGAAAGAAAGGGGTTTACAAGAGCTTCAGGGAAAGGAAGACTGAAGAGGAGATGGGGCCATAATATTCGGAAACTTCTGGTTTCCTGTCGGCCTTCTGAATGCCGAGCACTGCCCTGGGGTAGGCCCCTCACCTGCTGCTGAGCACACTGAGAGCCACCAAGCCACCGAGAGACTCATCCCTGACCCATGGCTTGGGAGATGCCTGTGAGGCTGGTGCAGTCTGCCAGGGACACCCGAGGGAGACCCTCAGAGACAGCAAAGGCTTGGCTGTTTCTTCTTGGCAGACAAGGGTCAGGGAGTCTTGGTGACTGGCGCCAGGCTCTCTAGTGGAGCGACTCTGCCGTGGAGGAACAGAGCATCTGATGCACACTCAGGGACACTTGCAAGCTGCAGAGTTTCCCTGTCACATGCCCTCAGCTGTTGGGACTCCCCTGATTCCCCAGTGACTAGTGTGGACCTGGAGACGCCAGCTCATTCACCTCTTTCCTTTGTCTCCACAGCATACCCAGTGCTGGGACCCGGCGTGACCGTGAACCCTGGCACCTCCCTGTCTGTGTTCACGGCTCTGCCCTTTGCCACACCCGCTCCCGGCCCAGCACACAGGCCGCCCCTCGTGACTGCAGTGGTTCCTCCAGCCGGCCCTCTGGTGCTCTCTGCCTTCCCCAGCACCCCTCTAGTGGCAGGACAGGATGGCCGCGGCCCGAGTGGGGCCGGGGCTTCCAACGTCTTTGTCCAGATGAGGACAGAAGTGGGGCCTGTGAAGCCCCCTCAGGCACAGACCTTGATCCTAACTCAGGCCCCCCTCGTCTGGCAGGCTCCAGGCACCCTCTGTGGAGGTGTCATGTGTCCACCTCCCCTACTCCTGGCAGCTGCTCCTGGGGTGCCCGTTACCTCTGCCCAGGTGGTTGGGGGCACCCAGGCCTGTGAGGGAGGCTGGTCCCATGGCCTTCCTCTTCCACCACCACCACCGGCTGCCCAGGTGGCCCCCATCGTGTCCCCAGGGAACGCTAGGCCATGGCCACAAGGGGCTCATGGAGAGGGCAGCCTGGCTCCCTCCCAGGCCAAGGCCCGGCCGGACGACTCCTGTAAACCCAAGAGTGTCTATGAGAACTTCCGACTCTGGCAGCACTACAAGCCCCTGGCCCGGAGGCACCTTCCCCAGAGTCCTGACACTGAAGCGCTTTCCTGCTTCCTCATGTGAGTGTCCTCGGGGCGCCGGAGCTTGTCCTGCAGCTCACTCATAAAGAGGCTGCTGGATGGACAGGAGGTCACACTGTTCAGGGGAGCTTGCAGGGCGGTTGTGAGGGTGATGGGTTGTGCTATGGGAAGGTACGTTTTCAGCAACATTAATCTGGCTGCGGCTCAGGACAGACTGTCAGGGGCCTCACGTCAACTGCCTGTCACTGTCCCGTGAGTCCAGCCAATCCTTAATTTTTTTTTTTTTTTTGAGATGGACTTTCACTCTTGTTGCCCAGGCTGGAGTGCAATGGCGCGATCTCAGCTCATCACAACCTCCGCCTCCCGGGTTCAAGTGATTCTGCTGCCTCAGCTTCCTGAGTAGTTGGGATTACAGGCATGTGCCACCATGCCTGGCCAATTTTGTATTCGTAGAGATGGGGTTTCTCCATGTTGGTCAGGCTGGTCTTGAACTCCCGACCTCAGGTGATCTGCCCGCCTCAGCCTCTCAAAGTGCTGAGATTACAGGCATGAGCCATCATGCCCCGCCCCAATACTTACTTTCTTTTCTTTTCTTTTCTTTTTTTTTTTTTTTTGAGATGGAGTCTCACTCTGTCGCCCAGGCTGGAGTGCAGTGGCGCGATCTTGGCTCACTGCAAGCTCTACCTCCCAGGTTCACGTCATTCTCCTGCCTCAGGCTCCCGAGTAGCTGGGACTACAGGTGCCCACCACCATGCCCGGCTAATTTTTTTGTATTTTTAGTAGAGACGGGGTTTCACCATGTTAGCCAGGATGCTCTCAATCTCCTGCCCTGGTGATTCGCCCGCCTCGGCCTCCCAAAGTGCTGCGATTGCAGGCATGAGCCACCGTGCCTGGCTTTCACTTTCAATAATTTTCACAACAATGTTTACAGAAGACCCAGGTCAGAGAGCGTTCTTGGTGTGACATGAGCCACGGTTAGGGTTTAGGTCTTTTTTGTTTGTTTGTTTGAGATGGAGTCTCGCACTGTCACCCAGGCTGGAGTGCAATGGTGAGATCTTGGCTCACCGCAACCTCTGCCTCCTAGGTTCAAGCGATTCTCCTGCCTCAGCCTCCCAAGTACCTGGGCTTACAGGCGCCCGCCACCATGCCCAGCTAATTTTTTGTATTTTTTAGTAGAGACGGGGTTTCACTATGTTGAGCAGGCTGGTCTTGAACTCCTGACTTTGTGATCCACCCGCCTCAGCCTCCCAAAGTGCTAGGATTGCAGGCGTGAGCCACCGCACCCACCCTGGGTTTAGGTCTTTGAGTGTACACCCCAGTGCCTTCCCTCGAACTGAGTGTCAATGGCCAGGGGCACATCACATGGGGCTGGGGGGAGGAGCTGCAGGGCCCAGCAGGAACCTGGCACACACCCACACTGTTCTGCCGCGGTCCAGTTAGCACAGCGGTGGTGGAGCCTGCACAGGGGGATGGTCTTGGGACCCGCACTAGGGTCGATGCTGGGCAGGTATTAGCATCTTCACCGTCAATCCCCCCTAGAAAAAAGGACAATGGTGTTTCATTCAGAGGATGGCAAAGAGATGACCTGAGCTCACATATGACATACGTAGCACAGTGCCTGGCACATACTATGACACATTACATGACAGCAGTTATGATTACTGTCCCCATTACTACCATTATCAGGACTAGGCCATCTAGGAGAGTGCTCCCCAAAGCCACGGGCTCCAGTGATAGCTCTGAGTGCACCACGAGCCCAGCAGCCCAGAGCCGTGGACTGTGGTGACTGTGAGGCAGCAACATCAGCATCTGGGAGAGTTTGTGGTTTCATTCCCAGTCCCTGCCTCTCTCCACCCCGCGGCACCTCTGTGACCCTGTGTTTCCCGCTGATGAGCAAACAGGAGCTTGAGCATATCCACCGTGCAACACACTGGCCATTCCCCTAGGGGAGTCCCCTGCCTGGGGTGTAGGTGAAGGCGGCCCCGTCTTCCTCCCCAACAGTCTCGCTGCCCCCACACCCTGGAACTGGTTGCATCCCCCCTTGGAGCGGAGTCCCGGTGCACTGGGGACCCTGATTCTTGGAGTGTAGCCGCCCCGGGCTCACAGGCCTTTGCCTTGGCTCCTGTGGGAATGTGGGAAGCTGTGCCTGGCTGCTTGCAGTGGCTTGGACACCGCTCTGCTTTGGTTCTGGACGTGTGCTCCTGCTCCTCAAGCTCCAGGACCCTGAGGCTGTGTCCCCAGGGGCTGCCTTGCTCCAGAGTCCCCAGGAAGCTGGTTAAATGCTCAGTCCTGTGGCCCAGGAACCTGCACTTTAACCCTCGCTCCCAGGTCATTCTGTGTGCATGGTGTCTCAGTCAGCTCAGGCTCTGCCGTAACGAATCCCATAGACTGGGTGCTTTATCAAGACACATTCATGTCTCCTAGTTCCAGAGGCCAGAAGTCCCAGATCAAGGTGACAGCGGATTGGGTGTCTGGTCAGGGCCCTCTTCCTGGCTGGAGAGAGCTGCCTCTGGCTGTGTGCTCTTGTGGCTGAGAGCAAGAGCCCTGGTGTCTCCTCCTGCCCTTATCAGAGCTCGGATTCCATGACTGGGACCCACGCTCATGACCTGCTCTAACCCTGATTGCCTCCAAATACTGACACACTGACACTGAGGGCTTCAGCACAGGAATGTTGGGGACACACATGTTCCACCCATAGCACTGAGTTCGCTTGTCAACATCATAACACCGAGGACTTGAGAGGCAGTCGGAGAGGCCACTCAGTGGCTTCTATTGATGTTGGATCTTGGGGGTGTGTCCTGGAGGCTGAGGAGCCCACATGGGGGAGAACAGGACAGGGACAGATGGCAGGACAGGTGTGGGGAGGACAGGAGCCAGGTGTTGGGACCAGGTGGGCCCGGGATGGAGGGTGGGCTTACAGACTGGGACTGACTGCACTGGTTTACAGCCCAGTTCTCCGATCCCTGGCCCGGCGGAAGCCCACCATGACGCTGGAGGAGGGACTGTGGCAGGCCATGCGGGAATGGCAGCACACGAGCAACTTTGACCGGATGATCTTCTACGAGATGGCGGAAAAGTGAGTCTGGGGTCCTGGGGGCAGGGCCCGTGTGGCGGGGTGAGAGTGAATGACAGAGGCCCGGTGGCCGTGGTGGCTTCTCAGCATGGAGCATGAGGAGGGTGTGGACAAACACAGGATGCCCTGGGCCCCTGGCTCCCTCAGGAAGCTGCTCCTGACACCTAGAGTGCTCTGGGGTCTCTGTCCCGCCCTCTTGGGAAGCACCCCCTGCCTGGCCTGGGGCCAACCGCTGTCTTGACACTGGGGGTCATGGCGGGAGCAGCCAGCATCGCAGCCCAAAGGGGGTCTCCTCCAGCTGTGGGGATGGGGAGAAGGGGTGCTAGTGACTAAAGACAGAGTGGGGGGCAGGCTCCTCACAGCAGTGGCCAGAAGTCGGTTTTCTCCCATCCCAGCCTGGCCAGGGAGTTGGGTCAGGGGAGACCTGTACCTGGGACACCATGAGACCCCTCTCTGGCCTGACTGCCTTTGCTCCTGGGCAGAACCGTCCGTGAAGACAGACAGACAGCAGCCTCAGGGGAAACGGGCCCTGTCCTCTGGGCTCAGCTTTTGCTTCCTCCTGACCAGGGGTCTCCCGGGCCTCGTGTCCCTGGGTTATCCTTCAGGGGCCCACAGTCCCAGCCTCAGGACTCCTGCATCTGGGCATCATCCCTGACGCCTTCTGCCATCAACCCCACCCCCGGCCAGCTGATACCTGGAGGAGGGGTTCCCGGGACCCTCCTGGACCTCGTGGCCCTGACTTGAGTCAGGAAGCCCCATTGATGCCATGGGCTCTGCAGGGGCCGGGTGAGGGAGGGTGAGCCCAGAACTCTGGGAGCAGCTCCCTCCTGGGACTGGGGGATGGGTCCCAGTGAGGGCCTGGACAGCCCGCCGGAGGCACTCCCTCCCATCCCTGCCCTCAGCTGCTGCCTGGTCCTGGGGGGAGGGGGCCTGGACCCTCTCAGCACAGCCTGGGCCTCCTTCACCCACAGGTTCCTGGAATTTGAGGCTGAGGAGGAGATGCAGATTCAGAAATCGCAGTGGATGAAGGGGCCCCAGAGCCTGCCTCCTCCAGCCCCGCCGAGGCTTGAACCTCGAGGACCCCCTGCCCCTGAGGTGGTCAAGCAGCCAGGTACAGCTTCCCACATTCCCACAGGAGCCATGGCAAAGGCCAAAGGGGCCAAGGGAGGCCACTGTCCCCACACCCCATGCTTCCCTTCAAGAGGGGGATTTGCTCCCTCCAACAGGACAGCTTCCGGGAGTGTATGTTGGGTATTGACCAGGTGAATACCTACTTCATGGGTGGCCCGTGATCACGAAGCAGGGTATTGACCGGGCCAAGTTTCCTACTTTCTCTCTCCCCTTGCCTGTCCAAAACTCCACATATGCTCTGCCCAGGAAGCAGAGATGAGCGGGGAGAGTACACGGCATATCGGTGGCTCCAAACTTCCTCCCAAGCGATGCTGTCTCAGATGTGCCCCTCCTGTGGCGTCTCCTCCGGGGCGCTGTGGTTCAGGTGGTCCTGACCCAGCTGGGACCCACTTCACATCCCCAAGCCCTGCCCTCCCCTGTGTGGTGCAGGCAGGAGGAGCGGCCCTCACCACACCCATCCTCCTCCCTCTCTGCCTCAGTGTACCTTCCCAGCAAGGATGGCCCCAAGGCCCCGACTGCCTGCCTGCCACCACCCAGGCCCCAGAGGCCAGCGGAGACCAAGGCCCACCTGCCACCACCCAGGCCCCAGAGGCCAGCGGAGACCAACGCCCACCTGCCACCACCCAGGCCCCAGAGGCCAGCGGAGACCAAGGTCCCTGAGGAGATCCCCCCTGAAGTGGTGCAGGAGTATGTGGACATCATGGAGGAGCTGCTGGGGTCTCACCCTGGGGACACAGGGGAGCCTGAGGGACAACGGGAAAAGGGCAAAGTGGAGCAGCCGCAGGAAGAGGACGGGATAACCTCAGACCCGGGCCTCCTGAGCTACATTGACAAGCTGTGTTCCCAGGAAGACTTTGTCACCAAGGTGGGCTTGCCTGGAGTGCTGTGGTCTGTAGGATTCCAGGGGGTGGCACTTCCAGGTCCTTGGAATTAAGCTCTGTTCCTTAGCTACTCAGTAGTATGTGTATTTCCATGGATTTGAGTGTCTGTGTATGTGACTGTGTGTGTCTGTGTGTTGCTGTGTGTTTGTGTCTGTGATTTGTTACTGTGTCTTTGTGTGTCTGTGTGGGTGTGAGTGTGGAGTGTGTATGTTACCTGTGTCTGTCTTTTCCTGTGTTGTACATGGGTCTGTGTGTCTGTGTGTGGTTTGTGTGTCTCTGTCTGTATGTGTGTATGCTACGAGGTCTGTGGTCTGTGCGTGTAGCTGGTGGTCGCCATGATATGAAACAGCCCCAGGAGGGTGGGAATGGGGCCCTCCCCGCTTTCTGCATCTCCTCCGGGTGTCCTTGGCTCCAGGTTACTCCCTCCCCAGGAAGTTCACACCTTCTTCCTTCTGTTTCCAGGTGGAGGCCGTCATTCACCCCCGATTCCTGGAAGAATTGCTTTCCCCAGATCCACAGATGGATTTCTTGGCCCTAAGCCAGGAGCTGGAGCAGGAGGAAGGACTCACCCTTGCCCAGGTAGAGCAGCGGAGGGAGGGGAACCCAGGTACTCCAGGGGCAGGAGGGACCCGGCACACAAGGCCCACCCGATTGTCTAAGCCCACCCTGCTGGGGATGTTCAGCTTCTTGGGGAGCCACTCCGGGGTGGGAAGATGCAGGTTCAGAGGGAGTAGGATGGAGAGGAGCCAGGGAGGGGAGTCAGGATGCAAGCTGCAGTGAGGCCCAACGGGATGCCCGGCAGAGCCACACCCTCTCTCTTTGACATGAAGCCCAGCTGCCTCAGGCTTCCCTGCCTCCCACCCAAGTGCCCTGGTCTCCACCATTCTGGGCCCTGCTCACACCTGGGGCAGCGCCAGTAAGTGCCCCCTTTCCTTCCGCAGCTAGTGGAGAAGCGCCTCCTGTCCTTGAAGGAGAAAGGGTGCGGGAGGGCAGCCCCTCGACATGGCACGGCCAGGTTGGACTCAAGTCCTTCTGAGTTTGCAGCTGGCCAAGAAGCAGCGAGAGAGGTCCCTGACCCCCAACAAAGGGTCAGCGTGGAAACCTCCCCACCCCAGACAGCTGCCCAGGACCCTCAGGGACAGGGCAGAGTGCGCACTGGCATGGCCAGGTCCGAAGACCCTGCTGTGCTTTTGGGATGTCAGGATTCCCCCAGGCTGAAGGCTGTCCGGCCAACCTCTCCTCCCCAGGACCACAGACCCACCTGCCCCGGCCTGGGGACCAAGGACGCCTTGGGTCTCCCTGGAGAGTCTCCTGTCAAGGAGTCACATGGGCTGGCTAAGGGGTCAAGTGAGGAGACGGAACTCCCTGGCATGGTCTATGTCGTGGGTTCCCACCACAGGCTGAGGCCCTGGAGGCTGTCCCAGAGCCCTGTCCCTTCCTCGGGCCTTCTCAGCCCAGGAGGGAGAGGACCCCAGGGAGCTCTTCAGTCTCCATCTGCTCAGAAAAGAGGCCTCAGCCCATCACCTTCTCCTGCCAGCAAGTCCAAGAAGCGACCTCTCTTTGGAAGCCCATCCCCTGCTGAAAAGACACCGCACCCAGGGCCTGGGCTCAGGGTCTCTGGGGAGCAATCCCTGGCTTGGGGGCTGGGTGGCCCCTCACAGTCTCAAAAGAGAAAGGGTGACCCCTTGGCCTCCAGGAGGAAGAAGAAGCGGCATTGTAGCCAGTAGGGGCCGCCATGGGGCAGACTCTCTGATGCCAGTCCCCAAAAGTGGGGCTCTGAAGTCTCGGACCCTCATGGCACCCGGTGCCCCAAAGCAAAGGCTGCTTCTCCTCCAGTGCTGATCTTGCTGGGCCTTAGCTTTGGAGGGTAGGGGAAGGAGGGGAGGGAGAAGGTGGCTGAACGGGGAGGGCAGGAAGGGAGGGCCTGGGGGGTGGGAAGCAGTGCCTTGGGGGCCTTGTGTGTAAATGTGAATAAATGTAGTTGTTTTGGAAAATGCTCTCAGGGCTGCTGCCTCTGCCCTTGGCGTTGTGCTGCTTTGTGGAGGGTGTCTGTGAGGCCTCAGGGCTGAGGAACTGGGAGAGGCCAGGCACTGGGAACCCACAGGGGCTGGCCCCACTCTTTTCTCCTGTTATAGGGGGCCCCTTCAGATGCTCTGGGGACTGACAGATGCTGAGGAAGCCCTGATCCCTCCCACCATCCACTCACAAGGCCCCGCCTGCTTTAGGGAGGCTTCTCGGGGCCTCCCATCATTATCAGTATCCCTGGAAAATCCTGGGATGGAGAGAGCTGGCTGGCTTTTTTTCTGCTCGGTGGGAGCTGAGGAGAAGGCAGCTGCCTGCAACATGGACATGGGGAGAGGCGGCTGCTCCTGCTTAACCCTCATCAGGAAGAGCACGGGCACTGGGCTGAGGGGAGACGTTGAGGTGACCGTCCACATGGGTGTGTTTGGGATATGATGAGGGGCGCAGAGCAGGGGCCTGTTTCTGGGCAGGAGAGAGTCTTGTCCAACTGGCTGAAGCAGATGCTCCTTGCTGTGGCCACATGGAATGGCCTCAGGGGCCCTCAGGGTCTTGCATGGAGCTCCCCCAACAGCTATGATTCCCTTCCCATATGATGACTGAACTCGTGTGGAATTGATGTAGACACAGATTTACATTGGCATCTAAAACAGTTCCCTCCCAACACACCATCACCAACGGGAACAAGCATGACCAGCCTGCCAGGCGCAAGGTGGGTGTGTCTGCTGGTCCCAGGGCCAGGAGAAGCTGGGGCCCAGGCCGAGAGGGGCCGAGGGTCAGTCGCCCTTCTGCCAGGCACAGACCCCAAGGGCAGAGCAGGGGCTGCCTGGGATGTGGCACTGGCTGTCTGGGAAGTGCCCTGAGAGTCGGGGGCCAGGTGTTCACTGAAGGGAGACTTCTGGAGTCTACGAGTGAGATGAGGACTGCATCAGGAGAGGGACTGAGGCTGGGGAGGATACTCTGCTTTTTCCCAGGTTGTCCTGTCCTCCCCATCTCTGCTGAACTCCCCTCACCCCATGTGGCCGACCTCTGCCCCCCTTACCCCTAACCCACCTCTCAGAATCTCAGATCCCAGCATGGACAGGACCCAGCACCTGCCCTGGTTCCCTCCTGGCCAACACCTTCTTCTCCACAGTCTGAGTTCTGATTCCTCCCCAGGGCCCTTGTTGGCTCAGGACCGCTGTGACTGCCAGAGCACTGGTCCCAGCACTGCCCGCATGCAGAGCTGTGGTCATGGTGCTGGGAGTTGGCCCAGCAGCAGAAGCTGATGGGGCAAAGCTCTCTGGTATATGGCGGCCTGGTCCCTCTGCCAAGTGACAAAGGGAGCCATGTTTGGGTTCTCTCTGGCCCCATCTGCCCACAGAACACAGCAGTCAGCCAGACAGATGCCTCTCTGCCCCATCCCTTCCGCTCCATGTGGGCAGTGTCGGAGGCCTGCCACCCGCTTTCGCCTTTGGGAAGGAGAGTTTATCTTGGCAGGGCTTCCCCAGCTGAGGGCACAACAGGCCCTTGGGGAAAATGTGGGGAGTGAAGAGTCACTGGTGGGTGATGTGGGCAGCTCCCGTGACTCCTCTACATTCAGGGCCATCCTCAGGAGACAAGGTAACACCTCCCCTTTGCAGGGTTTAGGAATGTTAAGTGAGCCGTGTTTGAAGGGAATGTGGTCTGTACTCTGGCGTGTGTGGGTGCTCAGCCAACTTCCTCACCTAAGTGTGAAAGTGATACCTTGGTTTAGTGACACCTCGGGGCTTCTGCTGGTTTACCCCACTAGCTGTTTCCTGCCCCACTGTCCCTGTCCTTGTTTTGGCTGAGCCATTTCCAAGAGGCAGAACCTATGCTTCCTTCACCTCTGTGTCCCGCCTGAGCCCTACAATCTGCCCCTAAATGGGCACAGTGGGGCTGACTGGGGGACTCTGATGGACTTAACATGTGTCCCCCCCGCCCAGTTCCTGTGGTGAAGCCCTAACTCCTAACGTGATGGTATTTGGAGATGGGGCCTTTGGGAGTTACTCAGGGTTAGAAGAGAACATGAGGGTGGGGCCCTAATGATGGGATTAGGGCCATGGTAAGAAGCAGAGATCCCAGCACTCTCTCTCTCTCCCTGACATGAGGACACAGTGAGAAGGCAGCCGTCTGCAAGCCAGGAAGAGAGCCCTCACCAGAACCTCACCTTGCTGTGACCCTAACGTCAGACTTCCAGCCTCCAGACTGACAAATACATTTTGTTTCTTAATACGCACCGCCTCCCCCACCCACCAAGTCTAGGACACTTTGTCCTAGCAGCCCTATGTGACTAGGACAAGGTCCATCATCTCAGGAACTTCCTTCCTGACTGGTATCTGGAAACTGTATCAGAGCCATGGGAAAGAATGAAGAAAGGCTCGGCTCTTTACGACTGTCAGCACACCTCCACCCCAAGTGCAGTGTATCACACGTGAACCAGTACTGCTGTGGGACACAGTGCAAGGGAATCTGTAAACACCCATGACATCGTCATATCCACACTTGGGGAAGCCAAGCAGCTTGCTCACAGCAGGTGCTGGGGGTATGCTGAGGCTCTCGGTGGGTTTGGTCTCCCTGCTCACGCAGCCAGGTCACTCTCTGGGAGCCAGTGCAGTTGGGGCGGCCCCGGGCAGGTTTGCCTCCAGAAACCACTCCCTTCACCACTGGACAACAGATCCCTGAAGAAGCCATGGCCTCCTGAGAAACTCCATCTGACAATGTGAGCAAGGCCGGCCCCCGTTAGTAAACATGCAGTGCTTTCTGACAGCTACCAGGATGGACTTGCTCCAGGTGGCTGCCCTTTTGTAGCTGCACTTTGATTCTAACTTCAGCATCCCATGATGTCCTTCAGGTCTTGGTGCCCTGGGCAATGTTAGTGAGAGTCACCTGGTTTGGGGGATCTGGGCCAGGCTGCCCCCTCCTGGCCAATCGGCTGATACCCGGCCAGGGCTGCCAGAGTCATTGTCACTGAGTCCCTGACCATTACTGGGTGCAGACTCTCAACAGTGGCCCCCACCCTGGCACATCCCCTGTGAGGGAGCTGATACGCTGGGTTTTACTGAATTCTGAGTTATGATGTCATTGAGCATGCTTTGTCTGCACACTTGTGCCCTTTGAGCTCATTTTAGGCAAATGTATCCGGACTAAGGTTGTATTTACCGATGGTTCATTTTCCGTCCTCATCTCAGTCCTCGGAAGGATGAATTCCACCTCTCAGGCCATGGTCCTTCCTCAGAGTTTCCTTTGTCTTAGTTCATTCCAAAGATCATGTTGTAGGGACGTTTATCACGTATACGGTATTTGCATAAACTGTATGAGCGATTAAAAGATATTCTCTGACATTAAACACAAACAACATAGAAATCTCACGGGTGACGATAGGATCACAAGATTCCTAATAAATGTTAAGTGGATGGTTACTCAAGGTAAATCCCTTCATCCCCTTGCCCTTCATTAGAATAGACAGAAACTGACTGTATACAGGCTTTACTCCTTTATAATGTGCCAAAATAAAACCCCAAAGCACAAATCGCACAAACCAAGTCATGCCACTGGGACCATCGTGTGTCATCTGAGCTAGCTGGGCCATGCCAACTCCTACTCCATCTTCTGCTTTTCCCTGCATTCCTCAGGAATGAGAGCTTCTGTGTGAGCATTCATAAGACATCCTGCATTCACGTCCACTGATGTGTTTTCTTTTTTAAAAAACTATGCACATTTTATTAGGAATGTTTCAACCACATAGAAAACATATAATAGAAACCAATATAGACACCACATAGACGTGGGCCATGTTAACATTCTACCGTTTGCTCATTTTTTAAATAAAACCTTTATGAAGACATTCACATAGCATGCTTTCACTCATTGAAATTGTACAATTTGGGTTTTTCATAGAATTTGCCACCATCACCACATTAAATATATTTATAGAATTTGCAACCATCACTGCATTAAGTCTACTTATAGAATTTGTAAGCATCATCACTATAAACTTTAGAACATTTTTATCACCTCAAAAAGAAAACCCCTAGGCTGGGTGCAGTGGCTCACGCCTGTAATCCCAACACTTTGGGAGGCCGAGGTGAGTGAATCACTTGAGGTGAAGAGTTCAATACCAGCCTGGCCAACATGGTGAAACCCCGCCTCTACTAAAAATACAAAAATCAGCTGGGCATGGTGGCACACATGTGATCCCAGCTACATGAGAGGCTGAAGCAGGAGAATCGCTTGAACCGGAGAGGCGGAGGTTGCAGTGAGCCGAGATAGTGCCGCTGCACTCCAGCCTGGGTGACAGAGTGAGACTCCATCTCAAAAAATGAAGAAGAAAAAAAAACCCTTGTCCTTTAGCTATCACCCCCTGCCCCCCACCGATCTACATCCTAGGCCTACATAACCACGAACTGATTCTATATAGCTTTACATGCTCTGGACTTGCATATGAATGGAATCATACAATATATGTCTTTCACACCTGTCTTATTTTACTTTAAATATTTCCAAGCTTCATCCATGTTTTTAGCATCTATCATTACATCAAACCTTTTTATTGCTGAATAATATTCCATTGGTGGATATCCTGAAACTTATTCATTCATCAGGTGATGAACATTTGGGTTGTTTTCACTTTTTGGCTACTGTGAATTATATATATATTATAATATATAATATATATTTTATATTATAATATATTTTATATATTATAATATATAATATAATATATGTTATATTATATAAAATATAAAATATATTATATTATATTATATAAAATATAATATATATTATATTTTATATAATATAATATATATTATATATTATATTTTATAAAATATAATATATTATATTTTATATTATAATATATATTATATAATATAAATATATTATATATTATATATTACATAATATATATTTTATATATATATAATATATATTATATATATATAATATATAATATATTATATAATATATATAATATATTATATAATATTTATATAATATATATTATGTAATATATAATATATAATATATTTATATTATATAATATATTATACATATTATATAATATAAATATATTATATACATATTATATAATATATAATATATTATATATTATATATTATATTATATATATTATATAATATTATATATATTATATAATATAAAATATATATAATATATAATATATAATATATAAATTATATATAATATATATAATATATATTATATATAATATATATAATATATATTATATATAATATATATAATATATAATATATAAATTAGATATAATATATATAATATATAATATATAAATTAGATATAATATATATAATATATAATATATAAATTAGATATAATATATATAATATATAATATATAAATTAGATATAACATAAAATAAAGAAAAAGAAAAATATATTATATATAAAATAAAAAGAAAATATATATTTTATTTATATATATGTATTTTTAAATCCTTTACAGGATATAATTTGCAGAAATAGTCTCCCATTCCATTGGTCGTCCTTTCTTTTTTTTTTGAGACAGAGTCTTGCTCTGTTGCCCAGGCTGGAGTGCAGTGGTGCGATCTCGGCTCACTGCAAGCCCTACCTCCCGGGTTCACACCATTCTCCTGCCTCAGCCTCTTGAGTAGCTGGGACTACAGGCGCGTGCCACCACACCTGGCTAATTTTTTTTTTTTGTATTTTTAGTAGGGACAGGGTTTCACCATGTTAGCCAGGATGGTCTTGATCTCCTAACCTCGTGATCCACCTGTCTCAGCCTCCCAAAGTGCTGGGATTATAGGCGTGAGCCACTGTGCCCAGCCTCTTTTTTTTTTTTGAGACAGAGTTTCGCTCCTTTGCCCAGGCTGGAGTGCAGTGGCGTGATCTCGGCTTACTGGAACCTCTGCCTTTGGTTTCAAGGATTCTCCTGCCTCAGCCTCCCCAGTAGCTGGGATTACAGGCATGTGTCACCACGCCCGGCTAATTTTTGTATTTTTAGTAGAGACAGGGTTTTGCCATGTTGGCCAGGCTGGTCTTGAACTCCTGAAATCGTGATCCGCCTGCCTCGGCCTCCCAAAGTTCTGGGATTACAGGCCTGAGCCACCGCGCCTGGCCATCATTTACTTTCTTGACAGTATTCTTTGAAGCACAAAACTTTTTTACTTTGGATGAAGTCCAATTTATCTATGTGTTCTTTTGTTACTTGTGCTTTTGGTGTCATATTTAAGAAATCATGAACTAGTGCTAGGTCATGAAGATTTATTCCTATGCTGCTGCTTTTTAAAAAAATCATTTAAAACATTTTAAAGTATACAGTTCAGTAATGTTAAGTATGTTTACATCATTGTGAATATACTTAACACGTTAAGTATATTCTTACTTCTTAATCTTTAGAAATTTTTCATCTTCCAAAACTAAAATTCTGTACATATTAAACACTAATCCCACCACCACCACTCCCACTCCCAGCCCTTGGCAACCACTACTGTGATTTTGACTACTTTAAATACTTCATATGAAAAAAAAAATCTGTCTTTTTGTGATTGGCTTATTTCACTTAGCATAATGTTCTTGAGGTTCACCCATGTTCTAGCATGTGACATGGTTTCCTTCTTTCCGAAGGCTGCTTAGTCTTCATATATATATACACAAATACACATATATACACCATATTTTATCCTTTCATCCACCAAAGTCATTTGGATTGCTTTTATCTCTTGGCTATTGTGAATAATGCTGCAATAAACATGGGTGTGCAAATATCTTTTTGAGATCCTGCCTTTAATTCTTTAGGTTATATACTGAGAAGTAGGATTGTTGAATAGCATGGTAATTCTATTTTTCATTTTTAAACAACCTTCATACTATTTTTCATCACTGGGCACAGAGTCTCAAGAGTGGCCACCACCCTAGCACATCCCCTGTGAGGGACCTGATGAGCTGTTTTACTGAATTCTGAGTTATGATGTCATCAAGGATACTTTGTGCATACAACTGTGCCCTTTGAACTTATGTTAGGCAAATGTATTGAGACTAAGGCTGTCCTAATGCTGGTTCATTTCTCATCTTCATCCCAGTCCTCTGAAGGACCAATTCCATCTCTCCTGCCATAGTCCTTCCTTCTAATGTTCTTTGAAATGTATTACTTCATTCCAAAGATCACGACTAGGGACTTGTATTGGATGGATCTGTAGAAGCGTATTTGGGATTAAAAGACATTCTGTGACAGCAAATACAACAGACAAATGCCCAACATGAATACAGGATCAGTAAGTTCCTAAAACCAATCCTAAAGGGATTGCTCATGGTAAATTTATCGTCTCTTCCAATCTGTTCATGTGAACATGTTCAAATACAGATTCGCTCATTAATGCACAGAAGGAGTCTTGAACGAGTTATGTTACAAGCCAGCTTATACCATGGGATCCTGCATGGGTCATTAGAACCAGCTAGGTGATACCAGGGCATTCTCCATCCTTCTATCCCACTGCCCTTTAATGAACACTAACTCTGGCTTTGTTGGATCCCTGTGTGCTGGCCTAGAAAGTAATGAGCACTGAGGAATCAGAAAATTCCCACTATTTCTGTCTCTGTGAGCTTCTCCAGCGGCCTGAGGGCCATATTTTCAGGGTATTTTTTACTTGCCACTCTACAAGTGCAAAAGACTGACAACCACTACATAAAGTTAATATTTGAAAAGTTTGCTCCAATGATACTTGAACAACCTATACAATGTAACTAAACAAGTGTAATTGAATTTTAATCTAATGTGTCTATAGTATAAGCTTTAATTACATAAACATGAGAAGGAAAGGAAAGTTCTCAAACATTTGGAAATTGAAGTGCATTCTTCTAAATAGCTCATGAGTTATAATCTTGGGGGAAATTAAAAATAATACAGACCTAAATAAAAATAAAACATAAAACGTGGTAAGGTACAGATAAAGCATTGTGAAGAGGGAAATAATCAGCGTTAGAAGCTTATATTAGAAAAGAAGAAAAGTCTCACATCAATAATTTAAGCTTTCACCTAAAGAAACCAGAAAAAGAGCAAAATAAAATCAGAGCACGCAGAGGACAGGAAATAATAGGTAAAAGACGAAATCAATAAAATTGAAAAGAGAAAATCAATACAATTTAATTTTTTTTTTTTTTTTTTGAGATGGAGTCTCACCATGCCTAGGCTGGAGTGCAATGGTGTGATCTTGGCTCACTGCAACCTCCGCTTCCTGGGTTCAAGCCATTCTCCTGCCACAGGTAGCTGGGACTACAGGTGCACGCCACCACACCCGGATAATTTTTGGATTTTTAGAAGAGATGAGGTTTCACCATGTTGGCCAGGCTGGTCTCAAACTTCTGACCTCAAGCGATCCGCCTGCTTTGGCCTCCCAGAGTGCTGAGATTACAGGCTTGAGCTACCGCACCTGGCTTAAAATTGCTTTTTAATACAATCAGTAAAATTCATAATCTTCTGATGCTAAAATAATAGAGTAGATTCAAGTTAAGAATGCCAGCAATGTGCGGTGGCTCACGCCTGTAATCCCAGCATTTTGGGAGGCCGAGGCGGGTGGATCACGAGGTCAGGAGATCGAAACCATCCTGGCTGACATGGTGAAACCCCGTTTCTACTAGAAATACAAAAAAATTAGCCGGACGTGGTAGTGGGCTCTTATAGTCCCAGCTACTCGGGAGGCTGAGGCAGGAGAATGGCATGAACCCAGGAGGCTGAGCTTGCAGTGAGCAGAGATCGCGCCACTGCACTCCAGCCTGGGCAACAGAGCGAGACTCCGTCTCAAAAAAACAAGAAAACAAAAAAATGATGCCAGCAATGAAAGAGGAGATATAACCACAGATCCCGTAGTCATTTAAGAGATAATAAAATAACATACTAACAACTATATGCACACTCATATTAAAAAAAATATTAAAAACTAACATGGGCCTGGCACGGTGGCTCACGCCTGTAATCCCAGCACTTTGGGAGGCCGAGGTGGGTGGATCACTTGAGGTCGGGAGCTCGAGACCAGCCTGACCAACATGGAGAAACCGTCCCTACTAAAAATACAACATTAGCTGGGTGTGGTGGTGCATGCCTGTAATCCCAGCTAATCGGGAGACTGAGGCAGGAGAATCGCTTGAACCCGGGAGGCGGAGGTTGCAGTGAGCTGAGATTGAGCCATTGCACTCCAGCCAGATTACGACTATAGTCCTAGCTACTTGGGAGGCTGAGGTGGGAAAATGGCTACAGCCCGGGAGGTAGAGGCTGCAGTGAGCCATGATTGTTCCACTGCTCTCCAGCCTTGGTAACAGAGCAAGACCCTACCCTGTCAAAAAAAAAAAAAAAGGTTATTTACATATCTTAAAATTATCTTCTAAAACATTTGTTCTTTTTTTTTTTTTTTTTTTTTTTGAAACAAACACTCTCTCTGTTACCCAGGCTGTAGTGCAGTGGTGTGATCTCAGCTCACTGCAACCTCCGCCTCCTGGGGTCAAGCAATTCTCCTGCCTCAGCCTCCTGAGTAGCTGGGATTACAGGCATGTGCCACTACGTCTGGCTAATTTTTGTATTTTTAGTAGTGACAGAGTTTCACCGTGTTAGCCAGGATGGTCTCGATCTCCTGACCTTGTGATCCGCCGTCTTGGCCTCCCAAAGTGCTGGGATTACAGGTGTGAGCCACCGCGACCAGCCTTCTTCATTCTTTTCACGGTTATATTTGACTCCATCATGTGTTATTCAATCCATTTCCTATGCTTGAATGTCCAAGCAACTTCCAATATTTTGCAACTATAAATAACGCTGACAAGTAATCATGTGCACCTGTAATTCGTATCACTGGAGGTGACTCTTTTTTTTCCTTCTTGAGATGGAGTTTCGCTGTTGTTGCCCAGGCTGGAGTGCAATGGCGTGATCTCGGCTCACCGCAGCCTCCGCCTCCTGGGTTCAGGACCTCAGCATCCCGAGTAGCTGGGATTACAGGCATGCGACACCACGCCTGGCTAATTTTGTATTTTTAGTAGAGATGGGGTTTCTCCATGTTGGTCAGGCTGGTCTTGAACTGCCGACCTCGTGTTGGCCTCCCAAAGTGCTGGGATTACAGGCATGAGCCACAGCTCCCGGCCCAGTTTCCCTTTGTTGCCCAGGCTGGAATGTAGTGACATGATCTCAGCTCACTGCAACCTCTGCCTCCCAGGTTCAAGCAATTCTCATACCTCAGCCTCCTGAGTAGCTGGGAATACAGGCAACTGCCACCACACCTGGCTCATTTTTTGTATTTTAGTTGAGACAGGGTTTCACTATGTTGCCCAAGCTGGTCTCGAACTCCTGAGCTCAGGCAATCCGCCCATCTGGGCCTGCCAAAGTGCTAGGATTACAGACGTGGGCCACTGCATGCGGCCTGGAGGTGACTCTTAAGGGATAAATTCTTATTTATCCCTGCGCTTGCTTGCTGTGTCAACAGGTATGTGTATATATAATTTAATTAAATACTGCCAACTTCCCTCTATAGGACTTAAAACATTTTGCATTCCCACCAACAATGTATGAAAGTGCCTGTTTCTCCACAGTCTTATCCGTAGAGAGTACGGTTAAGCTTTTAAGTTTTTGACAATCTGATGGGTGAGAAATGGTATCTCAGTGTAGTTGTAATTTACGTTTCTCTTACCATGAGTGAAGTTGAACATCTTTTCATATGTTTATACATCTTTTGGTAAAGAGTCTGTGCATGACTTTTGCCCACTTTTCTATAGGATTTCTAATCTTTTCCCCTCAATTTTTAAAACGTTTACAAAGTAAGGATTAACCCTTTTTTTTTCTTTTTCTTTTGGAGATGGAGTTTCACTCTTGTTGCCCAGGCTGGAGTGCAATGGCGCAACCTGAGCTCACTGCAACCTCCGCCTCCCTGGTTCAAGCAATTCTCCTGCCTCCGACTACCAAGTAGCTGGGATTACAGATGTGGACCACCACGCCTGGCTAATTTTCGTATTTTTTGTAGAGATAGGGTTTCACCATGTTTGTCAGGCAAGTCTCAAATTCCTGACCTCAGGTGATCCGCCCTCCTCAGCCTCCCAAAGTGCTGGGATTACAGGCGTGAGCCACCATGCCCGGCCTCAGGATTAACCCTTTATCAGTGAAGTATGGTGATTTACATGTTGATAAAGATTTTTTGTAGTCATTTGTCTTTTGATGTTATGGTACACTTTGTCCATGCAAACGTTTTTTGGTATTTGTAGACATTATTTATTAATCCTTTACTGGCTCTGGATTTAGAATTAGAAAGCCTCTCCCTATACCAGGTTAAAGATTATTTCATCCAAGTTTTCTTCCAGCATGTTTCTAGTATCTAGCATGTTTCTTCTAGCAACGTGAAAAAATAAAATTTTTTTCACATTGAAATCTCTGACCCATTATAAATTCTCATGTATGATGGGAGGAATGGAATTTTATTACTTTTGAAATGGCTAGTCAATGTCCCATTTATTAAAAGAGTATTTGCCACAGTGATTTGATATTCCACCTTTTGATAGGCATTTTTAATGCATTCTGCTCTTTTGTTACTTTGACCTATTCATGTGCCATTACTATGCTGTTTAAATTATAGAGGTTTTGTCAAGTTTTCAAATCTGGAAGGGCTAGTCCCTCTAAAGCACTTCCTGTGCAGCATTTTTGTTGCAATTCTTTAATTTTCCGTAAGGATTTTAGGATTAACTTATAGTCCACGTCAATGAAAAAACTCATTAGAATTTTTAATGATTGCAAAATTTTGTAAACTATAAGGTTAGTGAGACTGACATCTTCATTATATTGAGATGTTCTCACCAAGAAGAGAGGATGCCTTTCTATTTATTGAAGTCTATTTCTGGTTTCAGTGGTGCTTTATAGTTTTCTACTTGTTGGTTTCGAACATTTTTTATTAAACTTATTCCTAAACATTTTATCTTAATCCAATGTTACCAAAATTGGAGTCACTATTTTTTTTTTTTAAGATGGAGTTTCTCTCTTGTTGTCCAGGCTGGAGTGCAATGGTGCGATCTCGGCTCACAGCAACCTCCACCTCCTGGGTTCAAGCGATTCTCCTGCCTCAGCCTCCCGAGTAGCTGGGATTACAGGCGCCTGCCACTGTGTAGTTTTGGTAGAGACAGGGTTTCTCCATGTTGGTCAGGCTGGTCTTGAACTCCTGACCTCAGGTGATCCACCTGCCTCGGCCTCCCAAAGTGCTGGCATTACAGGCGTGAGCCACCATGCCTGGCCTGGAGTCACTAATTTTATATTTCATTTTGTGCTGTTTTTAGGTATTAACAGCCAGGTTTATCATATTCCAGAGTTCAAACGGAGTAACCCGAAAGATGTTTTGGTGGTATGTTTTTTCTTTTCAAAAGGCCTATAGCTGAATGTTGTGTAGTAGTGTTAAGCATAGTTTTTTTTTTTTTTTTTTTTAACTTTTTTTTTTTTTGAGACAGAGTTTCGCTCTGTTGCCCAGGCTGGAGTGCAGGGGTGTGATCTCTGCTCACTGCAAGCTCCGCCTCCCGGGTTCACGCCATTCTCCTGCCTCAGCCTCTTGAGTAGCTGGGACTACAGGCGCCCGCCACCACGCCCAGCTAATTTTTTGTATTAGAGATGGGGTTTCACCGTGTTAGCCAGGATGGTCTCGATCTCCTGACCTCGTAATCCACCTGCCTCGGCCTCCCAAAGTGCTGGGATTACAGGCATGAGCCACTGCGCCTGGCCAGGCATAGATTTCTTATTTCCATAAAACACTAATATTCGTTTCTGGTGTGGTTTTCTATTAACCCAATTAAATCATTCTTTTCCCCTTCTTTCATCACCATTTTTATCTAAAAGAGAGGTTTCAGATGTAACTAGCAGAGATATTATTTTTTAAAAAGTTCCATACACACACACACACACACACACACTTTCTTTTTTTTTTTTTGAGATGGAGTCTTGCTCTTGTCGCCCAGGCTGGAATCAACGGCGCAATCTTGACTCACTGCAACCTCCGCCTCCCGGATTCAGGTGATTCTCCTGCCTCAGCCTCCCGAGTAGCTGAGATTACAGGTGCCTGCTACCACGCCCCGGCTAACTTTTGTATTTTTAGTAGAGACGGGGTTTTGCCATGTTTGCCAGGCTGGTCACGAACTCCCCACCTCAAGGGATCCACTCACCTTGGCCTCCCAAAGTGCTGGGATTACAGGTGTGAGCCACTGCACCCAGCCTGTTTTTTATTTATATATCATTTATCAGGTCCATTTTGGGTGAATGGCCATAGAAACTTCCATTATGGAAAAACACTTTCAAGTACAAGGTCAATATATATGCTGGAATGGTTATTACTTCTATTTATATTCTCAGTAGAAATTTTTAAACTGCTGGCATGAAATGACCCCATACCACACATATGCGTGTGCACGTTCACGTGCACACACACACACACACGCTTCCCTTGTGACTTCAGCTCTGGCCACTGGATAACTCGCTGAGGCAAAATGGCTTCAGTGAAAATGTGTTGATAAGGGCTGTCCCCAGTGGTCTCAGGGCATCCCCACCAAAGCTAACCCAAAGACTGTCTCCAGCTGAGATGCTGGGGTCAGTGACCTCCATCTGTCATTCTTCTTTCATCTATCCTCCCAAGGCAAATTCTTCCAAACTAAAATCTCTTTTCATTCTGGTGAAAAACCCCTCTGAGCCAGCAGTGGCTCCAAGCACTGGGGAGACTGACCATGCAGTAAACATTCGGTGCTGAAGGAACAGGGCCAGGGCCATTCTTGGTGTAGGCATTTGTCAGGATCTGGGGCATTTGGGCTCTGGGGATCAGGGAACAGGAGGGACTATAACTAAGGGGGCAGTGTCTTGGGCTGGATAGAAGGGTGGGTGGCTTCAGAGCCTTAGCTCCTGATTGGAGTTTTAAGGAAGGTTGTGGCTGAAGGGCTGGATCACTGGCACGTAGGCATAGCTAACATGACAGGGATGTGAATAAATGCCCTTCAATCTGGCATCAGGGAAGGTGAGCATGTGGCCAGTGGCTCTCATCACAGACAATGGAAGACTTAGGAAGAGGTGAGGTTGAAGACCGTAATATCCCTGTCCCATAGGACAGTAGCCTAGAATAAATACGCAGAGTAATTCCTCCATGTCTCCGAAGAGGTTGAATGCCTTGGGGTTCTCCTCAAAGTATCAGTGAATGAGGTACATAGCCAGGTATGCAGCTTTGTAGAGAAGCAGTTTATTAAAACAAAAGACCATAAAATACAAAGGACCACTGTGCAGAAAGTAAAGCATAAACCAACTATCTCATGATCAATGAAGGAAAGCAACTCTTTTTCCTCCATTCCATATCAGGAAAGTGGAACATCTGTTATTGATTTCTGCCATCTTCACACTTATGGAGAAAGGAAAGGAATTCAAGAGAGCACTCTTATGGCAGGCGCTCACGGCTAGATACGAATTTTGGAAGTCCAGAAGGCAGAGTGTTATGGACTAAATTGTGTCCCTCCCCACCCAAATTCATATGTTGAATCCCTAATCCCCAGTGTGACTGTTTTTGCATACAGGACATTTAAAGTTGTAATTAAGGTTAAAACAAGGTCTTTAGGGTGTTGCCCTAATCCAGTATCACTGGTGTCCTTTTAATGAGAGACACCAGGAAAGTGTGTGTACAAAGAATAAGCTATGAGACACCACAGAGGGAAGGCAGCCATCTGCAGGCCAAGGAGAGAGGCCTTAGTAGAAACCAAACCTGCCAACACCTCATTCTAGGACTTCCAGTTTCCTGAACTGTGAGAAGATAAATATTCTATTGCTTAAGGCACCCAGTCTGGTGTTTTCTTATGTCAGCCCTAGCAAATTAATACAGATTTTGGTACTGTGATTGGGATGCTTTGTAACCTAAAATGTGGAAGTGACTTGGAACTGGGTACTCGGTAGAAAGAAGCTACAAGAGTTCTGAGGCACATGTTAGGAAAAGCCTGGATGACCTTTAAAACACTGTTGGTAGGAATGTAGATGTTAAAAGGTTCTGGGCTGGGTGTGGTGGCTCACACTTTGAGAGGGCAAAGCAGGAGGATCATTTGAGGCCAGGTGTATGAGACCAGCCTAAGCAACATAGCAAAAACCCGTATCTACAAAATGTTTGGGGTTTTTTTTTGTTTTGTTTTGTTTTGTTTTTAATTTTAAGGTGATTGTGGTTAAGTCTCAGACAGAAATGAGGAATGGGTAATGGGAAACTGGAATCCTTGCAAAGGACTTGCCCAAATTGCGTTCTAGTGTTTTGTGGAGTACAGAAATTGTGAGTGAGGCAGTGCAGAATATTCAGGTGATATTTCTACACAAAGTGATGCAAGTGGAGTCTGTTTTCTCCTTGCTGCTTATAGTAAAATATTAGAGGAGAAAGATAAATTGAAGGAACTGTTAAGCAAAAAAGAACCAGTACTTAAAGATTTGGAAAATTCTCAGCCTGTCCGCATTGCAAAAAATGAGAAAGTATGTTCTTGAAAGAACACTAGGGTGTGGCTGGACAACCATGTGATAAAGAGATTAGTATAGGTCTGAATGGAACCAATTAACCATCTCACCAGAAATGCTGCCAGCTTGAACTGAATAGAGAAAGAGACAGGACAAAAATGAAGGCAGGCTGTTAGACTTCTGGGATTCTACGGGAAGGTACAATAGAGCTATCCAGTTGCAAACGCACGTTAATCTTCAAGAAAAGGGAAGAATGTGATTCTCAAAGGTTCTAATGGGCCCAGAGAGTACAGGTCTAGAGGGCAAGTGTGTCTCCTCCTCAATTTCAGTGGGCCAGGAGCCGCTGCCAAGGGCCAAGGGAGCGACACTGCAGCTCCCGTGAGCCTAAAAAGCAGGGCTGCCAATCCAGTTGGCCCAGAAGGCAGAGCACTGAGCCAAAGGGGATTATTCTCGAGACTTAAAATCTAATGGAAGTTGCCTTGCCAGGTTTGAGACTTGCTTGGGATCCATCATTCTTCATTTCTTTCTCATGTCTTTCCTTTGGAATGGGGAAGTCCAGCCTCTGCTTGTCCCACCATTGTAGAATATTGTGGAAGCAGATATCTGTCTGGTTTCACAGGATCACACCTGGAGAATTTTGCCTAAGGATGAATTGTACCTAAAGTCTCATTCACACTTGATTTAGATGATATTTAAATGAGATTTTGGATCTAGAGGTGAAGTTGAAATGGGTAAAGAATTTTGGGACTGTTGGGATCATGTGAATGTATTTTGAATGTCTGAGGGACCTGAACTTTGGTAGTGGAGTGTTATAGACTAAATTGGGTTTCCCAGAAATTCATATGTTGAAGTCCTAACTGTGTAGTGTGACTGTATCTAGAGATAAGGCCTTTAGGAAGGTTATTAAGGTTAAACGAGGCCATGTGGCTGTGGCTCTATCCAAAATGACTGGTGTCCCTAGAAGAGGAGGAAGCCACACCAGGAAAGCATACACACAGAAAAAAGCCCACGTGAGGACGTGGCCAGAAAGCAGCCATCCGCAAGCCAAACAGAGAGGCTTAAGCAGCAGCCAAACCTACCAATACGTTCATCTGGGACTTCCAGCCTCCATAAATATGAAAATATATTTCCGTTGTCAAAATCACCCAGCCTGGGGTACTTTGTTATGGAACCCCTAGCAAGCCAAGACAAATTGTGAATATAGAAAGTAAACCAAAAATCAACTATCTCATGATCGATGAAAGAAAGCAACATTTTTTTTTTTCCATTCCATTTCAGGAAACTGAAGCATTTACTAGTGATTTCTGCCAGCTTCACACTCACGGGGAAAGGAAAGGTCAGAAGACCTCTTGGGGTAGGAGCTGATGACCAGACTTGGTCCTCCTGTGTCTATGCAAGTGAGACTTCTGGCTAAAGCCACGCCCACACTCCCTGCAGACATACGGCTTCTCCCCAGAATGGGTCCGCTGATGTCGGATGAGGGCAGACTTAAAGCCAAAGCCGCGCCCACATTCATCGCAAATGCAGGGCTTCTCTCCTGAGTGTGTCCTTTGGTCAGAGATAAGGTGTGACTTCTGGCCAAGTCCTTGTCCACACACCCTGTCTACGTAAAGCTCCTCCTCTGAGTGTGTCCTCTGGTGTCGGGTGAGGAGCGACTTAAAGCCAAATGCACGCCCACACTTGGGGCACAGATAAGGCTTCTCCCCTGTGTGTGTCCTCTGGTGTCTGATGAGGGTGACCTTCTGACCAAAGCCACGCCCACAATCAGGGCACAGGTAGGGCTTCTCCCCTGTGTGTGTCCTCTGGTGTCCAATGAGGGTGACCTTCTGGCTAAAACCCCGCCCACACTGGGGGCACAGGTAAGGCTTCTCCCCTGTGTGTGTCCTCTGGTGCCTGATGAGAGTGACCTTTTGGCGAAAGCTGTGCCCACACTCAGCACAGACATAAGGCTTCTCTCCTGAGTGTGTGACCTGGTGACTAAGGAGGAGTGACTGCTGCCTGAAGCTACGCCCACACTCAAGGCACAGGAAGGGCCTCTCCCCTGTGTGTGAGCTCTGGTGCTGGAGGAGTGATGCCTTCTGGCAAAAGCCTCTCCCACACTCAGGACACACGAAGGGCTTCTCCTCCAAGTGCGTCCTCTGGTGTAGAAGGAGGGCTATCTTCTGGCGAAAGCCTCGCCCACACTCCTGACATACAAAGGGCCTCTCCCCGGAGTGAATCCTCTTGTGATTAGTGAGAGAGGATGTATACCTGAAGTGTCGCCCACATTCCCTGCACACATACGGCTTCTCCCCCGAGTGCTTCCTCTGGTGTATGGAGAGGGAGGCCTTCTGGCTAAACCGACGCCCACACTCAGGACACAGGTATGGCTTCTCCCCGGTGTGTGTCCTCTGGTGCTTGATAAGGTCTGATCTCTGGCAAAAGCCTCTCCCGCATTCAGGGCACACATGATGCTTCTGGTGGCTGAACAGGCTTGACTTTTTGCTAAGTCCCAGTCTATAGTTTCCACGTATGACTGCTCCAGATTCTGAAGTGTCTGCTCCCTTCAACATTGTGTCTGACCCCCCAAGACTCATCCTTTGGGCCAGGCGAAGGTCTGTTCCTCCTTCTCTGTTCCCTTCTACCCATTCTACTGGGTCACCTTGATGTGGGCTGAAGAATGTCCTAGAAATTCTGCTTGGCCTCTTTCTTAATGAGCTGTCGGGGCCTTCTGTCTCTCCACTTTCTCCTTTTTCACTAGAGCATCTTGGAGCTTCTAGTTGGAAGTCACCTCCTGCAGATGAGCTTGGGAAGATCTGTGTGGGATGGCCACTTAGCGCATATTGTCTGAGGAGCTGCGAGCTAGAAAAGGCCACCAGGTGGGGAAAACTTGGCTGGAATTCTGTTCTAGGCTCTGCTAGAGAGAAAGTCTTGGTCAGAATCACCACAGGTGACCATGGATTGTAATACCTGCCCAGCAGTTTTCTTCAGATGTTCACAACAAAGACTTATCTTCCAACCCACAAGGGCACATTACATGCTCTATTGCAGCACAGAAAACCCACACTACAAACTAGTCCTATCAGCCAAACTAAAAGGTTCAAAAAAGCATCACAGGCAGCTTCAGCTCTATAAATTGCTGCAAGTAGAGTTACACATTTATCTTCCTTTCTTGGGCGCCGCTCCCTTGCTTTTGCTCCAGCTCAAGCCTATTAAACCTTGCCTGAGAAACATTTGTTCGGCCTGCTGTTTATGCAAGAGCCAAGAACTTGGTGTCTGAGCTGCAGTTAAGAAACAGACTGATTATGATCTTGAAGGTGCTATAAATAAGATCTTAGCATCTGAAGGGGAGCCATGCTTTGGGCTTCCTTGACTGTGGTGACTCAAGTAAGGGGCACCCACGAATCAGATAAGCTGTAGCAAGAGATACTGGCTCCTGTGTGGAATAGGCTTTAGGCCAGGGAGCTTCCATATCAGCCTGATGTGAGTTGTCTCCTGAACTGTATGGACACCCTTAAGTCCTCTTGAAGAAGAGGAATCCCTGATGCTGCCCTCCGGGCAAATGAAGGTGCTGTCCTCTAGCCTCTGGGAAGACTGCAGCCAAGTATATTCCCCGAATAGCATTGCACAACACTACGTACACTGTTTTGCTCAATAATCCAGGATTTTTAAAAAAATCTGGTGAATTAAGGAGAAGCTCAGCGTTTGAAAGTTAATAATAGATGACTTCTCATTAGCATAAAGATGTTTCAGGGATTATACATATTTCGGCTTAAGCATATTCTTATCCATGCACAAAAACTGTTAAAACTATACAAATTGACTTTTTCAAAAAATTTTGTTTCTAGGTTTAAATAGGCTGCCAATTGGAGATAACACTAATTCCCATGATGGTATAAATTAAAGGCTCTGGAAATTGGCAGTGCTTTCAGCTTCCGTAAGTTGATACCGTAACTCCTAGGTAATTATTGACTAAGTTCTTTTTTTTTTTTTTTTTTTTGAGACAGAGTCTCGCTCTGTTGCCCAGGCTGGAGTGCAGTGGCGTGATCTTGGCTGACTGCAACCTCTGGTTCAAGCAATTCTCCTGTCTCAGCCTCCTGAGCAGCTGGGATTACAGGCGTGCACCACCATGCCCGGCTAAGTTTTGTATTTTTAGTAGAGATCGGGTTTCACCATGTTGGCCAGGCTGGTCTTGAACTCCTGACCTTAGGTGAGAGACGGGGTTTCACCATGTTGGCCAGGCTGGTCTCGAACTCCTGACCTTAGGTGATCCGCCTGCCTCGGCCTCCCAAAGTGCTGGGGTTATAGGCATGAGCCACTGCGCTCGGCAGGACTAAGTTCTTATGAGTCATTATGGGACAGCCCTCAATAGAGAAGTCTGCTTTCATTATCTCTGAAATTGTTTGCTGTAGTGAATAAGCAAAGCATTTGGTAAGAGAAAAATAAGGCATTTTCTTATTCATGGCTAGTTTATCTTTTTTATCTTACTTTTGTTTAAAGACTCCTGCTTTTTAACTCAGATTAGAAATTGAGTCTCCTTGAACAAATTTTTTTTTTTTTTTTTAAAGGAGTCTCGCACTGTCGCCTAGGCTGGAGTACAGTGGCACTATCTCAGCCCACTGCAACCTCCACCTCCTGGGTTCAAGCAATTCTCCCACCTCAGCCTCCTGAGTAGCTGGGATTACAGGCGCACCTACTACGCCTGGCTAATTTTTTGTATTTTTAGTAGTGACAGGGTCTCACCATGTTGGCCAGGCTGGTCTCAAACTCCTGACCTCAAGTGATTCGCCTGCCTTGGCCTCCCAAAGTGCTGGGATTACAGGCGTGAGCCACCGCGCCCAGCCCCTGGAACAAATTTTTAAGAGCATTGATCAGAAATGTACCTGGCAAGTAGCAACCCATAGCAAGAAACTGAATCAGGGTTTCAAGTGCCCTATCAGAACAGAAGTGAACAATTTAATGGAATTAAACTACTTAACAGAAGACCCTTGGTTCAAGGCAGACGATTATAAATACAATACTGATTTATATGTTATTCTATTTGTTAACTATTTTTAATCACAAAATACGTATTTCTTATTTTTGACCATACTATTCCTAAGAAAAACTCTTTGTATCATTGATTAGAGTCAGTAAGATCATATCTGCAAGAGGGAACTTCAGCAGCTTTAGGGATTGCCATTCACATTCCATCTGGAATACAGAGAAGGTCCTTCATATTAAAATATTCCAGTGGAAAAAGATGTGAGTTTTGCAAGATTACAGCATACAAAATCACTATACATAAATCCATTTTATTTCTACATACCATCAATAAACAACTGAAAATTGACACTTAAAAATAGCATCAAAATATGAAATACTTAGGGGCAAATCTGACAAGAGATATGTAAGGCCTGTATACCAGAAATGACAAAACAATGCCGACAAAAATGAAAGAAGTCTTATGTAAATGGAGAGCTATACTGTGTTCACGTACTGTAAGACACAGTATTATTTATGTGTAAGTTCTCCACAAATTGATACAGATTCAACTCGATCCCAATCAAAATCTCAGCAGGCATTTTTGTTAAAAACTGACAAGCTGATTCTAAAATTCATATGAAAAAACAAAGAATAACGAAAAGAACTTGCAAAAAAAAGCAAAGATGGAGGATTTTTTATTTTATTTTATTTTATTTTGAGATGGAGTCTCGCACTGTTGCCTGGGCTGGAGTGCAATAGTGTGATCTCGGCTCACTGCAACCTCCGCCTCCCGAGTTCACGCGATCCTCCTGCCTCAGCCTCCCGAGTAGCTGTGATTACAGGTGCGCACCACCACACTCGGCTAGTTTTTTTTGTATTTTTAGTAGAGATGGGGTTTCACTATGTTGGCCAGACTAGTCTCGAACTCCTGACCTTGTGATCCGCCTGCCTAAGCTTCCCAAAGAAGATGGAGGATTTACAGTGAGTTCAAGACCTAATAAAGCTACAGTAATCAAAACTGTGGTATTGGCATAGAGACACTAACAGAGGAGTAGAAAAAACATAGAGTCCAGGTATAGACCTATCACATATGGTCAACTGATCTTCCACAAAGATACATAGGAAATTCAGTTAAAAAAGGGTAGTGTTTTCAATAAATGGTGCTGGAAAAATTGGATATTTGTATGCCCTTCCTCCCCTAAAAAAGTACATAAATTCAGATCTTTTATCAAGTATATTTACTCAAAATAGGCTTATAGACCTAAATGTAATTAAAAATTGTAAAATTACTAAAAGAAAAAAATGAGAATCTTTTTGACCTTACTTTAGACTAAAATTTCTTAAATACACTACCAAAACTGCAATTCATAAGAGAAAAGATTGAAAACTGGACTTCATCCAAATTAAAATTTCTCTTTGAAAGGCACTATTAAGATTATAGAAAGTAAACCACAGAAAAAATGTTTGTAAATCATATATCTGATAATGGACTTCTACATAGAATATGTGAAGAACTCTCAAACTCAATAATACAAAAATAAGAAACCACATTTTTAAATGGGCAAAAGATGTGAAAACGTACTTCACTAAAGAAGATATAAGATAGCAAATAAGCACATGAAGATACTCAACATCATCAGTCATTAAGAAAATGTTAAAACCACGGTAAGATGCCACTCACTACACAGCTATAAGAATGTCTGAAATTAATAACCAAGCCAAGTTTTGACAAATATGGAACACCTGGAGCTCTCATACACTGCTGTGGGAATGTGAAATGGTGCGGCCACTTTGGAAAGCAGTTTGTGAGTTTCTTCAAAAGTTGAATATATATTGTATCCATCATCATACAACCCAGCCATTCCAGTCCCAGGTATTTATTCAACAGAAATGAAAGCATTATATTCACACAAAAACTTGCATGCTTAAAACAGCTTTATTTATATTTGTCAAAAATGAAAACCCAAATACCTTTTAATAGGTCAGTATTAAAATGTGACCTAGACATATAAAGGAATACTCAGCAATAAAAATTAATAAACTATTGATACACACATTATAGATAAAATTCAAAATACTTATGCTGAGTGAAGAATCCAGTTGTATCCTGTATAATCCAGTTATACAAATTCTAGAAAATGCAGACAAATCTATAATTATAGAAAGCTGATCAGTGGTTGCCCAGGTACAGGGGAGGACAGGAAGGAGTGGGAGGTAGGATTACAGTAAGGCGAAAGAAAATTTTCAAGGATGACAGACATGCTTGTTACTTTAGCTGTGGCAGTGCTTTCATGCATGTATACATATGCCAAAACTAACCAAATTTCACACCTATATAAGTGTAGTTTATTATACCTTAAAAAACATATCTTATAATATACCTTAATTGCTGTATCTTAATAACATTTTTATCATTATTTTACTTTATTTTTTTTTGAGACAGAGTCTCACTCTGTAGCCCAGGCTGGAGTACAGTGGTGTGATCTCAGTTCATTGCAACCTTCGCCTCCCAGGTTCAAGCGATTCTCACTCCTCAGCCATCCGAGTAGCTGGTATTTCAGGCATGCACCACCAGGCTCGGCTAATTTGTGTATTTTTAGTAGAGACGGGATTTTGCCATGTTGGCCAGGCTGGTCTCAAACTCCTGGCCTCAAGTGATCCACCCACCTCAGCCTCTCAAAGTCTGGGATTACAGGCGTGAGCCACTGTGCCCACCCCATTTTTATATAACGAAATGCTTTTAAAAAGACAAAAGCACTCAGTTGCTACATAGTGTAATACCAGCTATATAGTTACATTTAAAAGCAAAAAATAAAACAAAAATAAAATGCCAGGAAACCATGAAAATAAACAAGTAAGAAGATAAAGCAGGCAAAAATTTATTTCTATCTCCCAGCATTCATATAAAATTAATTCCAGTTAAAGACCTAAATGTTTCCATAATTTATATGGGATTTCTACAAATCAATAACAAAAAGAATAGACCCATTGAAAAGTAGGCAAACACCTTGAATGGTCAAATCACAGATGGGGAAACAGGAAGGGCCAAGCAACATATGAAAAGATGCTCATGCTCACTAGTAAGCAACTTAAAAACCCCTCTGAGATTTCACTTCCAGCTGAATAGATGGATAAAACATGAGGTCTCACAATCCCAAATGTTGGTGAGGATGTACAACAAGAATTCTCATAGACTCCTGCTGGGAGCATAAGCTGCCATGCCCACTTCAGAACACAAGTTGGCATAACTTATATAAGTTGAGGCTATGCATGCCTGTGAACCAGCTACTACACACCTAAGTATATATCTTTTTTTTTTTCTTTGTGAGATGGAGACTCGCTCTGTCACCTAGGCTGGAGTGCAGTGGCGCAATCTCAGTTCACTGCAACGTCCGCCTCCCGGATTCAAGCAATTCTCCTGCCTCAGCCTCCCAAGTAGCTAAGATTATAGGCATGCGCCACCACACCCAGCTAATTTTTCTATTTTTAGTAGAGACGGGGTTTCACCATGTTGGCCAGAATGGTCTCGAATTCCTGACCTCGTGATCCACCTGCCTCGGCCTCCCAGAGTGCTGGGATTACAGGTGTGAGCCACTGCACCTGGCCGGTATATATTTTAAGAGAAACTCTTGGACATGTTCCCAAGGAGGCATACAAGAATACAGAGCAAGATTATTTCATAGCCAAAAAGTTGGAAACAACTTAATAACATTATGTGCAGAGAAGTTTACAGACATGCAAAACAACACCCTATATGAGTGAAGAACCCATCAGATGGAATAAAAGGATAAAGACAGTCATGGAATGCTAACTCAGAAAACAGAGGCGGAGGAACGGGACACAATCAGGAAAAGTATGGGGCTATTACCTGGTTTTATAACATGCTATCTCTTAGGGTACAGGGCTGCCCCAACCCTACTCATTGTACAGTTTTTCACACCTTGCTGTAATCTTAAATAATCTATGATAAAAGAAACAAAGTTATGAGAATTTACAGGATAGAAATGATGCACAAAAAAGCTACCAGGTTAAGAATAGAAACTGGCTGGGCGTGGTGGCTCACGCCTGTAATCCCAACACTTTGGGAAGCAAAGGCAGATGGATTGCCTGAGCTCAGGAATTCAAGACCAGCCTGACCAATAAGGTGAAACCCCATCTCTACTAAAAATACAAAAAAATTTAGCTGGGCATGATGGCGGGCACCTGTAGTCCCAGCTACTCAGGAGGGTGAGGCAGGAGAAATCACTTGAACACAGGAGGCAGAGGTTGCAGTGAGCCGAGATCATGCCATTGCACTCCAGCCTGGGTGACAGAACGAGACTCTGTCTCAAAAAAAATAAAAATAAAAATAAAAAACCAGGGGCAGGGACTTAGTCTCAAAGGACAGGTACTGTTTTGAAGATCATGCCAACCACATGAGCCCAAGAATGGAGAAATCCTGAATGTGCTCGAGAAAGGAAGCCAAGTGAGGAGTGAGGCTCCCTGATGGAGGAAGGAGATGGAATGCCAGGGGTGCCCTGTCCTGGGGGGAGGCACACAGTGTGGAAGGCAGGCAGTGCCATGCAGCCTTTACCAGTGGCCTAGGAGGCCTGAAGAAGAACTTCCTCCTAGCACCTCAAAGATAGCCCCTCCTTCCTTACCTGCTGAGCTCCTCACTGCCCTGCACCCTCGCTTGCCCAGGGCTTCCCACTCACCTGGACAAAGGTCCAGAAGATGTTCGTTCTCCTCTCTCCAAGGTTCGTCGCCTTGCTCCAGCTGTTCGATGAGTTTTGGTTTGGAAAATGCAATTCCTACTCACAGGAAAAAAAAACCAAGGTGATCTTGAGTTAGTGGCTTAAGAGGCTATCTCAGAACTCAGAGCCAACCCAGGAATGCAATAAACCCAGAAGGTGGTAGGGAGGTGCAGGGGTGGAGTAAACTATGTCTGAATGCTAAGAAAGGATGCATACAGGGAGGGGATCCTAGACCTAAAGGCAGTATGTTGATTCTACCCTGTGCTTGAGTCAATAAAAATATTCCTCCTTTTGAAGGAGGATAACCTTAGAGGAGGAGCCCAGCCAGGGTAAACAGGCCTGAAAAATGCAGTGTCAGACACACCACACGCTCACAGCATGTGCACGCGCACACACACACACACACACACACACACACACACAACTGCACTGTGAAAGCCAGGCATTCTCTGGGGGAATAGGGGAAAAAACTGTTTTTCTGAGTCAGAAGCATGGCAGCTTGCTATGTAAGAGCTTAAAATACCCACAAGCAGAATCTGAAACCTTAAACAGGCCAGCCTTACCCAGGGAGACCAGATGGCTGTAGTTCTCCAGCATCACCTCCCTGTACAGGGTCCTCTGAGCAGAACTCAATAGCTTCCACTCCTTCTGGGTGAAGGCCACAGCCACATCCCGGAAGGCCATCAATGCCTGTAACACAAACACATCCCTGCTCACTCAACAGCCAGCCATGCCCACTAACCAACTTAAGCCACTAACCACAGTCAAGGCAGAAAGAAGCAGTCCTAGAGCACCCAAGTGAGATTTACAGATCCTGCTTTTAACCTGAAACCTGGTTCCATATATTCAAGACTATTAATCCCCTCCATACACTGATGCTGGTTCTATTTCTGGGCTCTCTGTTGTGCTGATCAAACACACAAGTTTGATTATCGCAGCTACATAGCAGGACTGGAAATCAGGTAAACCGATTCCTCTCACTTTATTCTTCATGTTGAAAGTTGATTTAGCTATTCTAAAATAGCCTGTGCCTGTGCCTTTCTATGCAAATTTTAGAATAATCTTGTCTATATCTCTAAAAGCCTTTGCTGAAATTTTGATAGGATTCCCATTAAACCTGTATATCAATTTGGTGAGAACTTACATCTTTACTATATTGGATCTTCAAATCCATAAACACAGTATGTCTCTCCATTTGTTTAGACCGTCTATGATTTCTTTCATCAACATTTTGTGATTTTCTGCAAACAGACCCTACACATTTTGTTAGATTTACACCTAAGAATTTCTTCAGCTTTCTTCTTTTTTTTAAGTAATTTTAATGGTACTGTATTTTAACTTCAGTGACCATATGTTCATGCTATGACATATGATACAATTGTTTGTCTGTTTTTTCTTCTATACGGCAAGCTGACTAAACTTTACTTAGCTTTAAAAGCTTTTTTTCCCTTCGTTCCTTGAGATTTTCTACATAGACAATCATGTCCTCTGCAAATAGGAACAGTTTCATTTCTTTGTTAATGATCTGTATGTCTCTTATTTCCTTTTCTTGCCTTATTGCTGTGGTTAGAACTTCCAGCGCTATGTTGAATGAGAGTGGTAAGAACAGATATAACGTTGGTTTGTTCCCAATCATGGAAGGAAAGCATTTAATCTTTCACCATTAAGAATACTGTTCTGGCCAGATGCAATGGCTCACATCTGTAATCCCAGCACTTTGAGAGGACAAGGCGGGTGGATCATGAGGTCAGGAGTTCAAGACCAGCCTGGCCAAGATGGTAAAACACCATCTCTACCAAAAATACAAAAATTAGCTGGGCATGGTGGCAAGCATCTGTAGTCCCAGCTACTTGGGAGGCTGAGGCAGAGAATTGCTTGAACCTGGGAGGCGGAGGTTGCAGTGAGCCGAGATTACACCACTACACTCCAGCCTGGGCAACAGAGCAAAACTCCATCTCAAAAAAAAAAAAAAAAAAAAAAAAAGAATACTGTTCCATAGACCAGAATCAGAGTAGATGTTTAAAAAATTTTTTTACTTAAAAATAAATTAAATAAAAAATACTGTTCCACAAACAGGATAACTACTACCAGAAAAAAGAAAAACATATTTTTGTGGGGTATGGAGAAATTGGAAACTTTCACATTGCCGATGGGAATGTAAAACAATACAGTTTCTATGAAAAACAGTTTGGCAGTTCCTCAAAAAATTAAACATATAATTAGCATCTGATCCAACAATTCCACTCCTAGGAATATACCCCCAAAAATTGAAAGTAGGGACTCAAACAGATACTTGTACACCAATGTTCATAGCAGTACTGTTCACAACAACTGGAAACAACTTGAATGTTTATCAACTGAATGAATAAAGAAAATGTGAATGAATAAAAATGAATGAATAAAGAAAATGTGGTATACACATACAATGGAGTATTTTTCAGCCTTAAAAAGGAGGGACCTTTTCTGATGGACGTTTTTAAGAGACAAGCCTTGAAAATATGCCAAGTGACATAAGCCAGTCACAAAAGGACAAATATATGATTCCACTTATGTAAGGTACCTAGAATAGGCAAATTCATACAGACAAAGTAAAACAGAGGTTACCAGGGGCTGGGGGGAGTGGGGATGGGGAGTTATTGTTTAATGGATACACAATTTCTATTTGGGATAATGAAAAAATTCTGGAAAGTGGTGATGGTTGTATAACAATGTGAATGTACTTAATGCCACTGAATTGTAAAAATATATAGTCAATTTTGTGTTATGTATTACCAAAATTTTAAAAAGAATGTTAGCTGCAGATTTTTAGAAGATTCTCCTCTGTTCCTATTGTACTGAGAGTTTGTTTTGTTTACAAATGGTTGTTGAATTCTGCTAAAGTCTTATTGCATTAACTGATAAAATCATGATTTTTCTTCTTTAGCCTATCGATATGACCAACATTACATGACTTAAATTAGAAAAAATATTTTTAACTAAAGAAATTTTTGCTTTATGTTGGTTTATGGCCCAGGATATGTCTAACTTCATCTGTGTTTCTAAAGGCACATGAAAAGAATATGCATTCTGTTCTTATTGGTTGGAATGTCTGCCATTTAAGTTTTATTTGTTTGTTCTCTGGGCTTTTTGCCTCTTTGTTTTCTTTACAAATTTCTCATGGGTTACTCAAACTTTTTTATAATTCTGTCTTGATTTGCCTACAGTGTTTCTTAGTGTATTTCACTGTATAGCTTTTTTTTTTGAGACAGAGTCTCATTCTGTCACCCAGGCTGGAGTGCAATGGCACGATCTCAGCTCACTGCATTCTCTGCCTCCCGAATGCAAGTGATTCTCCTGCCTCAGCGTCCTGAGTAGCCAGGATTGCAGGCTCCTGCCACCAAGCCCAGCTAATTTTTGTATTTTTAGTAGAGACGGGGTTTCGTCATGTTGGCCAGGCTGGTCTTGAACTCCTGACCACAGGTGATCCACCTGCCTCGGCCTCCCAAAGTGCTGGGATTACAGGCGTGAGCCACCATGCCCGGCCATTGTATAGCTTTTTAAGTGGTTGCTCTAGGTGCTACATTACATATATATAGCTTATCATAATTTGCTGGTGTCATCGTTTTACCAGCTTGCTTTTTTGTTGTTTTTATGAGGCAGGATCTCACTCTGACACCTAGGCTGGAGTGCAGCAGCATGATCATGGTTCACTATAGCCTCAATCTCCCAGTCTACAGCAATCCTTCCACCTCAGCCTCCCAAGTTGCTGGGACCACAGGTGTGCATCACCACACCTGGCTAATTTTTTTATTTTTTTAACAGATGGGGTCTTACTATGTTGCCCAGGCTGGTTTCAAACTCCTGAGCTCCAGCAATCCTCCTGCCTCAGCCTCACAAAGTGCTGGCATTACAGGATAAGCCACCACACCTGGCCATTTTACCAGTTTGAATAATTGTATAGAACTTACCTCCCATTACATCCCCTTACTCTTTCTGTTTAAAAACATAATTTTCCTAAGCATTTCCTCTATATACATTCAAATCCACATCAGACCATACGATAATCTTTGCTTCAGCCATCAACAAGTTTAGGAAATTCATGAAGAATAGCAATGCCTACATTTACCCTGTATGTCTTCCTTACCATGTTCTTCTTTTCTTCCTGATTGTTTCAGGGGACCCTGCTATAAAGAACTACCTGAGACTGGGTAATTTATGAAAAAAAAAGGTTCAATTGACTCACAGTTCCACAGGCTGTACAGGAAGCATGGATGGGAGGCCTCAGGAAACTTACAATCATGGTGGAAGGATGAAGGGGAAGCAAGCAAATCTTCACATTGTGGCAGGAGAAAAAGTGAGCAAGAGGGAAGTGCTACATACTTTTAAACTATCAGATCTCGTGAGAACTCAGGATCACAAAAATAGCATGAGGGAAACCTGCCTCTGCACCAGAGCCCCTGTCATAGCTGCCTCTGAGCCTGTTGCCGCCACCTCTGAGAAGATGGCTGTGCTACTCACATATGAGATCCTGTCAAATCTGCCAGGGATGTCTTCACCAATGGCTATGGATTTGGCTTAATAAAGCTTGATTTGAAAACAAAAGAGAAGAATGGATTGGAATTTACAAGCTCAGGCTCAGCCAACACTGAGAATACCAAAGTGACGGGCAGTCTGGAAACCAAGTACAGATGGACTGAATATGGCCTGGCATTTACAGAGAAATAGAACACCGACAACACACCAGGCACTGAGGTTACTGTGGAAGATCAGCTTGCACGTGAACTGAAGCTGACCTTCAATTCGTCCTTCTCACCTAACACTGGGGGAAAAAAATGCTAAAATCAAGACAGGGTACAAGTAGGAGCACATTAACCTGGGCTGAGACATGGATTTTGACATTGCTGGGCCCTCATTCCAGGGTGCTCTGGTGCTGGGTTATGAGGGCTGGCTGGCTAGCTACCAGATGAATTTTGAGAATGCAAAGTCCCGAGTGACCTAGAGCAACAGTGTAGTTGGCTACAAGACTGATGAATTCCAGTTTCACACTAAAGTGAATGATGGGACAGAGTTTGGCAGCTCCATTTACTAGAAGGTGAACAAGAAGTTGGAGACTGCTGTCAATCTCGCCTGGACAGCAGGAAACAGTAACACTAGCTTCGGAATAGCAGCCAAGTATCAGATCGACCCTGACGCCTACTTCTCGGCTAAAATGAACAACTCCAGCCTGAGAGGTTTAGGATACAATCAAACCCTAAAGCCAGGTATCAAACTGACACTGTCAGCTCTCCTGGATGGCAAGAACGTCAATGCTGGTGGCCACAAGCTTGGTTGAGGACTAGAATTTCAAGCATAAATGAACACCGTATTGTTTAATTTTAAACTATTTTTGGCCGGGCACAGTGGCTCATGCCTGTAATCCCAGCACTTTGGGAGGCTGAGGCAGGCGGATCACGAGGTCAGGAGATCAAGACCATCCTGGCTAACACAATGAAACCCTGTCTCTACTAAAAATACAAAAAGTTAGCCAGGTGTGGTGGCGGGCGCCTGTAGTCCCAGCTAACCGGGGGCTGAGGCAGGAGAATCACTTGAACCTGGGAGGTGGAGGTTGCAGTGAGCAGAGATTGCGCCACTGCACTCCAGCCTGGGTGACAGAGCGAGACTCCGTTTCAAAACAAACAAACAAACAAACAAACAATTTTGCAGTATAGCAACCTTCAGAATTTAGTGTATCTTTTAATGTTGTATGTCTGGGATGCAAGTATTGCTAAATATCATGTTAGACCCCCAAGTTAAAGATGATTCAGCTTTAAGATGTTACCCTTTCAGGGGTACAGAAGAAACCCAATTCCAAAAAAGGTTCTTTCAGTGGTAGACTTGGAGGGAACATGGTGGCCCTTCTGAGATGCCAAGTTTCTTTTTTATCTAGAAATGGCTGTAAGTGGAAGCTGATAATATGTAGATACTTTGTAAATTCATATTGAGTAAATGAATGAAATTGTGATTTCCTGAGAATGGAACCTTGGTTTCCTAACCCTAATTGATGAGAGGCTCATTGCTTGATTGTGTGTACAAACTCACCTGAAAGGGACTTTTTTAGACAGAGCTTCATGACCTGTTCCCACCCCAGTTCATCCTCACCTCTTTTACGCCAAAAGGTCTGCAGGGTGGGTTCACTGTGTCTTTTCTGCCATTTTGGGGTGGAGAGGGTAATGTGATGAAGCCAATAATTCAGGACTTACTCCTTTTTGTGTTGTGTTTCTTTGCCCTTGCACGAGAGTATGAAATAGCTTCCAGGAGCTCCAGCTGTAAGCTTGGAAGAGTCTGTATGATTGTAATCACATGATGACAACACTCAGAATCTAAACTGGACTTCTGTCATATTCTCACCACTCAATTTGTTTTTTAGCAGTTTAATGGGTACATTTTAGCGTCTTGCATTTTGTGTGGAATTAATTCCTCCCCTTCAAATGCTGTAGTTAATATCAGTTAAAAAAAACTTGAATAAAATATTGAAACCTCAAAAATCCACCGCCCTGATCCAATCACTTCCCACCAGGACCCTCCCCCAATATTGAGAATTAAAATTTAACCTGAGATTTGAGTGAGGACACAGAGCCAAACTGCATCAGACTCCAGTACCACTCCCAAGTATGATGATTCACTAGAAGGACTCATAAACCTCATCATATAGTTATACGCATGGCTATGATTATTATAGTGAAAGGATGCAAAACAAAATCAGTAAAGGGAAATGGTTTGAGAGACAAGTCTGGAGGAAACCAGACACAAAATTCCAAGAATTCTTTCTCAACAGTCACACATGACTCTGTAATTCTTCAGTAATAATTTGCGATATGTTAAATGTTGTCTATCAGAGAAACCTATTAGAAACTCAGTGCCCGAAGTCTTAATGGGGCTAGTCAACAGACATCCTCTGCCTAGCACACACTAAAAGCCCAGATCTCATAAAGAAAGCAAGTGTCCAGCATAAACCATATTGTTTATGCACTTTAGGCACAGTAAGCTATACTTTTTTTTTTGAGATGGAGTTTCGCTCTTGTTGCCCAGGCTGGAGTGCAATGGTGTGATCTCGGCTCACTGCAACCTCCGCCTCCTGGGTTCAAGCGATTCTCCTACCTCAGCCTCCTGAGCAGCTGGGATTACAGGCATGCACCACCACATCCAGCTAATTTTTTTGTATTTTTAGTAGAGACGACGTTCTCCATGTTGGTCAGGCTGGTCTCGAACGCCCGACCTCAGGTGACCCGCCCACTTCAGCCTCCCAAAGTGCTGGGATTACAGGCGTGAGCTACCGTGCCTGGCCAATTCTTATCAGTTCTGTGAGAAATCCATTGGCATTCTAATTGTTTTCCCCTATAAGTAACATAATTTTTATCTGGCTGCTTTCGGGATGATTTTTTCATCTTTAGTCTTCAGAAGTGTACTTATAATGTATTCTGACATAGACTTATTGGGTTCATCATGTTTCAAATTTACTCAGTGAGCTTTTAAAATCTGTAGGTTTGTTACCTGCCAAATTTGTGACATTTTCAGCCATTATTTCTTGAAGTACTTTTTCAGCCCTTCCCTCCTTTGTTTCCCCTTCCAACCTCCAAAGATATAAATATTATATCTTTTGTTGTACTCCCACAATTCTTGAGGCTCTATTCATTTTTCTTTCCACTCCATTTTCTCTCTGTTCTATCTTCTAGTTCACTCATTTCTTTGTTACCGCTAATATACTGGTAAGTCTATCCCGTAGCTTTTTATTTCAGTTCTAAAATTTCCATATACTTATTCTTAAAACCTTTTATTTCCTTGCTGAGGCATTCTAATTCTTTCATTTATCTCAAGCGTGTTCTTTTGGCTGTGGATATCCAGTTTTCCAAGTATCATTTGTATACACTGCCCTTTTCTGATGGAAGGATCTCGACATCCACCCTTGTAAAAAAATCAATTGACCATATATGTGAGATTTTTTTTCAGGACTGCCAATTCTATTCCACTGATCTACATGTATCCATCCTTATGCCAGTATGACACTATTTTGATTATGATAGCTTTGCAGTAAGTATTAAACTCAGGCAGTGTGAGTCCTCCAACTTTGTTTTCTTTTTCAAGATTGTTTTGGCTATTCAGGGTACCATGAGATTCCATATAAATATCAGTATGAGTCTATTTCTGAAAAAAAAACACCATTGGAATTCTGATTGAACTAAATCTATAGATCATTTTGGGTAGTACTGCCATCTTAACAATATTAAATCTTCTAATTCATTCCAAGCATGGAAAGTCTTTCCATTTATTTAGGTCTTCTGTAATTTCTTTCAGCAATATTTTGCAGTTTTCTTTATCTTTTACATCCTCGGTTAAATTTATCACTAAGTATTTTATTCTTTTTGATGCTGTTATAATTTTTTTAAATTTCCTGTTCAGATAGTTCATTGCAAATGTACAGAAATACAACAGATTTTTGTGTGTTTACTTTGTATCCTGCAACTTTGGTTAATTCATTAGCTCTAACAATTTTCTCTGTGGATGACTTAGTCCATTCCTGCTGTTATAAAAAAATTGCTACCTGGTGCAAGCTAGTTTCTTCTAACTATTTTATTTTATTTTTATTTTTTGAGATGGAGTCTCACTCTGTTGCCCAGGTTGGAGTGCAGTGGCACGATCTCATCTCACTGCAACCTGAGCTTCCCAGGTTCAAGCGATTCTCCTGCCTCAGCCTCCTGAGTAGCTGGGATTACAGGCACGTGCCACCACGCCCGGCTAATTTTTGTATTTTTAGTAGAGATGGGGTTCCTCCACGTTGGCCAGGCTGGTCTTGAACTCCTTACCTCAAGTGATCCACCTGCCTTGGCCTCCCAAAGTGCTGGGGTTACAGGTATGAGCCACTGCGCCCGACCCTTGGGAGGATTTTTATTACTAATTCAATATACTTACTAGTTATAGTCCTTTTTTTTTTTTTTTTTTTTTTGAGACAGAGTCTTGCTCTGTTGCCCAGGCTGGAGTGCAGTAGTGCAATCTCGGCTCACTGCAACCTCCATCTACTGGGTTCAAGCAATTCTCCTGCCTCAGCCTCCCAGGTAGATGGGATTACAGGTGCCTGCCACCATGCCCGGCTAATTTTTTTTGTATTTTTAGTAGAGATGGGGTTTCAGCCTATTGGTCAGGCTGGTCTCAAACTCCTGACCTCAGGTGATCCACCAGTCTCAGCCTCCCAAAGTGCTGGGATTACAGGTGTGAGCCACCGCACCCGGCCTCATATTATACTTTTTAAAATAAGTTTTCTATACTGATATTCTCTGTTGAAAATTGTTGACTTCATTTCCTTTAGTTCCATGTCCATGGTTTCCTTGGTTCTTTGTGCTTATTAAGAAAGTTGACTTAAAGTCTTTGTGCCTGGGCTTCCTCATGGACAGGTGGGAGGCAGGCAACTTAATGGTAGCCAGGCAGTCTGAAATGCTATAGTACTCTCTCACCACTAAGCAGCAGCTTATTTCTTCACCAAGTCTTCCAGTTTTGACAAGATTCCAGAATTTTACGAAAGTTGATTCTGACAGTTTTTGCCAGCTCATTAGTTGCTTTTGGGGAAGGACAGAGGCCTGGATTTCCCTACTATTTATTTATTTATTTATTTAGAGATGGAGTCTTGCTTTGTCGCCCAGGCTGGAGTACAGTGGCGTGATCTCAGCTCATTGCAACCTCCATCTCCCAGATTCAAGCAATTCTCCTGCCTCAGCCTTCCGAGTAGCTGGGACTACAGGCGCATGCCACATGCCCAGCTAATTTTTGTGTTTTTAGTAGAGACAGAGTTTCACCGTGTTAGCCAGGATGGTCTCGATCTCCTGACCTCATGATCCGCCCGCCTCAGCCTCCCAAAGTGCTGGGATTACAGGCATGAGCCAACACACCCGGCCCCTACTCTGTAATTTTTTCTGATACATGTTTCGTTTTTGTTAAATTACATGATCTCATGTATATAAAATATCCAGAAGAGGTAAATCCATAGGACAAAAACGCAGATCAGTGGTTGCCAGGGGCTGGGAGAGGGGCGAATGGGGAATAACTCCTAATGGGTATGAGGTTTCTTTTAGCAGTGATGAAAACATGATGGTGAAGGTCACTCAATAATAAAATCTTCTGAATAGTACATTTTAAATGTTGGATTGTATGGTATGTGAATTATACCTCAACCAAAAAATTTTTTTTAAGTTTTAATTCCAATGAGGAGTGAACCCCTAAATAAACCAGGAATCTTACACAAATTGATGCTATGCTGTAGGTATCATTATTCCTAAACCAACAAAGTCTCCTGTACACAACAAATATTTTTAAAAATTTTAAGATTCAATGAAGGGGTTATGAAAGGAAAATAAATCTTGGGGCGCCCAAATCACTAAGCTAAAGGGAAAAGTCAAGCTGGGAACTGCTTAGGGCCAACCTGCCTCCCATTCTATTCAAAGTCACCTCTCTGCTCACTGACATAGATGCATATCTGTTTGCCTCCTTTGGAGAGGCTAATCAGAAACTCAAAAGAATGTAACTGTCCCTCTCACGTATCTGTAACCTGGAACCCCTCTTGTTCAAGTCATCCCCGCCTTGCTTCAAGTTGTTCCGCCTTTCCAGACCGAACCAATATACTGCTTACATACATTGATTGACGTCGTCGCATGTCTCCCTAAAATGTATAAAACTAAGATGTATCCCAACTGCCTCGGGCACATGTTGTCAGGACTTCCTGAGGCTGCCATGGGCACATCCTGAGGACTAAGCTCTGATTTTTTTTATCTTGCCCAAATTCCTATCTAAGGGGTCTGGGAAGTCATGCCCTACAAACCATAAATTCTCATCAGATGGGTTTTATTTAACCCTATATATCGTGGCTTACTTTCCAATCTGACTCTGGCATAACATTATGAGACAAGGAAGAAAATAAAAATATTTAACCTCAAAATATATTTCCTTGCCATACCTTAAAATTGCTCTGCAAAGTCTCTTGTGGGAAAAATCCACATTCTATAGAGAATCCCCTTCCCCTTTGTTTTCCTTCCTTCCTTCCTTCCCAGATCCAGGAGATCATCAACTAAGAGCCAGGCACCCTTTTAGGTCCCATAAGAAACATTTTACAACCTGCTTTCTCTCTGAAGTCTGCTATCTGAGAGCTTCTTCTGCACAATAAAACTTGGTCTCCACAATCCTTTATCTTAACCTGAACTCTTCTTTCTATTGATTCCAGGTCTTCAGACAAACTCAACCGTCAACCAGAAAATGTTTAAATTTACCTATAGCCTCGGAGCCCCTGCTTTGAGTTGTCCCGCCTTTCTGAACCAAACCAATGTATTTCTTAAGTGTATTTGATTGACGTCTCATGCCTCCCCAAAATATATAAAACTAAGCTGTACACTGACCACGTTGGGCACATGTTCTCATGACCTCCAGAGAGCTGTGTCATGGGCCATGGTCACTCATATTTGGCTCAGAATAAAACTCTAAAAATATTTTACAGAGTTAGACTCTTTTCGTTGACAATCCTCAACCTTGGCAAAATAAACTTTCTAAATTAACTGAGACCTGTCTCAGGTTTTCTGGGTTCACAGGGTGCTAACTAGTTTCTTATTAGCTAACATATTGTGCTTACCAGCTCCCTTTCTATGTTACAACTATAATGCATGTTACAATTCTCCTCTCAGGCAAAAGCCCTTAGGAAAAATGCCTAAATGTCATGTTGCATAAAGGTCAGGTTTTTCTACATAATTCAGATCTGATGCATAACAAAGTACCAGGAAATGCAATTTTAAAAGTAATAAAATACACAATTTCAATGCTTCAAATAACATGCATCATAACAAACAAACCTCTTTCCCTTTATGCAACAAGTGGTTTTTGACTAAGAGACACTATTCTAGATATGGAAGCTTTGTTTTAAAATGCTAAGCCTCTTAGATGCTTATATCTTTTCATCAATTTTTCACAGATGTTAGATATAGTGAACTCCAAGATTCTCTTCAAAGAATCAGTATGTCAGTATGTTCAGCTCTCTTATTCTTTGATTCTCCATTTTAAAGTTTAACTTCCTGGTTCTCTTCGCCCCCTTGCCTCTAGTTTCAGTAAACAACTTTCCCGCCAGTTCTACTCAGTAGTTCACATCTGTTCCCCTTGTCACCTGCTTTGACCTGAGTCACCCCTGGTCACCTGCTCTGGCCTGAATCATCCTGAGTAACCGCCCTTCCGTCAAACTACCCACCCCACCACTCTGGCTGGTACCCCCGCTCTCTTTAAAATAGCCAACTGGAATTAGCTTAGACTGTGCGGTCCAACCCTAGCCAACAGGGGAATGACACAGCAGTGAGGCTACCTGCGTCAGGAATAAGAACCCCTTCCCCTCCCTTGCCCAGGTGTGCTCTCACCATTACTCCATTCGCGAGTTGCACCATTCTATAGAAGTAAAAATTGCCTTGCTGAGAAAATTAAATTTATGTTTGAATGCTGTTTCTTTGCAGCACTGAGGAACAAGCATTTTGTTTCTAACACAAAGAAATGGCTAAAACAAACAAACAAAAATGTATATTGAGAGAAGTTGGTCACAGACAGAATAAGGTTTAGGGCCTGCTAAAGATTCCACAGGAAGTGGAAGAGTAAGGACAGAAAACATAAGCCAATATTCCATGTTTTGCTAGAATGCTTCTCTGTTAACATACATAGTAAAGTGCAACACACGGAAGAAAAAAGTCTCCTGCTACCTTGGAAAAAAATCCTGAACTGCCTGTGCTACATACACATTTTCTCTCAAAGATGTTACAGATTTCTCTCAAAGGTGTAACAAATAAGGGACTCACAGCTCTCAGTGACGTTCTCATAAGATCAAAACCATTTTTAATTTATCCAGAAATATGCAAATATCCACCATGAGCCCCAGAATATGATTACATACAGATCTCTCATTCTACACTTGACATATTTATAGCACAAAGCAAAACTGAATTAGCAAAAATGACAATAAATATTTTGTGTAATTGATAAAATCAATACAAAAATGCCCTGCCTGGCAGCTATTTATGTTGTCAGTAAGTGTTAATTCCATTCAGCTACATCAAGTTCACATGCTGCCTAGCTGGTGGAGAATAATCTATTTTCAGAGAAGTAGGCAATCTGGACCTTTAAGCATAATCTTCCAATTTTTAAGTACAGAAAACTCACTTTATAAAGTATGGGCCTGCAAAACTAAATCTATCCATGCACCACACAGAAATAGCAGGTTAGAGCCCTCACCTATACACAGAAAACTAATGTGGCTAAAGACCACTGGCTGTTGAAAGCTTCCCACACGGTGAGGGATAGCCTGCCAGTCATCTCATCCCTGAAAAGGGATAGGATTCTTGCCCCATTTTCTTTCCTTTTTTTTTTTTGAGACAGAGTCTTGCTCAGTCACCCAGGCTGGAGTGCAATGGCGCAATCTCGGCTCACTGCAACCTCCGCCTCCCGGGCTCAAGCGATTCTCTTGCCTCAGCCTCCCCAGTATCTGGGATTACAGGCACGCGCCACTGTCCTGCGCCATTTTCACAGCAGTCTCTTCCCCTAACTCTTCAGCTTGCCAAACCCTTCAGGGGCAAATCAGACAATTTCTCTTTTGAGAGCCTTCTTATACTTTTTTTTTTGAGATGGAGTCTCACTCTATCGCCCAGGCTGGAGTGCAGTGGCGCGATCTCAGCTCACTGCAACCTCAGCCTCCTGGGTTCAAGTGATTCTCCTGCCTCAGCCTCCCTAGTAGCTGGGATTACAGGCGCCCACCACCACGCCCAGCTAATTTTGTACTTTTAGTAGAGATGGGGTTTTACCATGTTGGCCAGGCTGCCCTCGAACTCCTGACCTCAGGTGATCCTCCCGCCTCGGCCTCCCAAAGTACTGGGATTACAGGTGTGAGCCACTATACTTTTGTAGGCCTTCGGAGTCACTGGGCACATAAGCATGGATGTCCTGTATTTTTATTTTAACTGCCCAGGATGTGATGGTCACAGTTAACTACTTGGTAAATAACTGAGTCATAAATGTAGCAAATAAGACTGAGAGAAAACTCCAGATAAGATGAGTCACGCCTACAAGATCAAGATAGGCTTTGCCTAACACCAAGAAGGCAGCCTTCAGGACAAGAAAAGATTATGAAACCTTCCTGCAATAGCTAGGAAGAAATTTCAGGACTTACCTCCTTCCTGGTTGTCAGGAGTCCTGGTGACATATCCCTGCTCTCTGGAGTACTCTTCCTAGAGGAGAGTCAAGTTGCAGAGGCAAATCTGGGGAAAGAGATGAGAAGTGAGAGAGGTACTTGGGAAGAACACCCTTCACACTCTGTCCAGCCTCCCAATTCAGTAGGGAGTAGAGGAACAGGGAAGCAACAAAGACAGGTTGCAGAGGGCATCGGTGAAGCCCATTCTTAGCCAGTGTCTCATAAAAAAAGCCCACAGAGCTGGGCCAGCAACAGGCTTACATCCAAACTCTAGTTAGGGAATGAAGCCCCCATCTTCCAGCAGCTGGGTGAGACTTTGTGTGGACTCCATTAAAAGAAAAAGGCCTCAGAGTGCCCTCAAGTGAGCATTCATGTTAAAAAATAAAATGCCTCATCATACTGAAAACAAAAGCATCCCATCCATATTTACTGTGAGGCCAAAGGACAGGTTCCAGGAAGTCCAAAGCAGAAGTTCCTGGTTTTGAGGGAGACATGAAGCAGGGTGGAGGCCATAACCTGAGTTTCCTTCTATGTGACTCTGGCTGCACCCTTCCCTCCACTCACATATCAAAAATTAGGTCCCAAAATTTGAAATGTGACTTGGAATTTAGGAACAGGCAGTCAGTAACTGACCTAGTTTTATAACGAGTCAATTTCATAAAGAGATTTTTAAGAAGCGAGAAGTAGGGGTAGATTTTTTCTTAATGAAAATATTTCTTAAGAGATAAATCATACTTCAGATGACAAGTATAGGTCTTGACTGGATCCTGTCTTGCACAAATGAATGAGAAAAGCAGACTACAAGAGACAATTCAATATGTGATGAGAATTATTGTTAATGGTGTTAGGTTTTGAGAACAAAGCTCTGATTTTTCTTTTTTCTTTTTTTTTTTGAGTCGGAGTCTCGCTCTGTGGCCCAGGCGGGAGTGCAGTGGCGCAATCTCGGCTCACTGCAAGCTCCGCCTCCCGGGTTCACGCCATTCTCCTGCCTCAGCCTCCCGAGTAGCTGGGACTACAGGCGCCCGCCATCACGCCCGGCTAATTTTTTTGTATTTTTAGTAGAGACGGGGTTTCACTGTGTTAGCCAGGATGGTCTCGATCTCCTGACCTCGTGATCCGCCCGCCTCGGCCTCCCAAAGTGCTGGGATTACAAGCGTGAGCCACCGTGCCCGGCCCTGATTTTTCTAAATCTTGCCAAAATTCCTATCTAAGGGGCCTGGGGAGTCGTGCCCTACAAACCATAAATTCTCATCAGATGTGTTTTATTTAACCCTGTATATCATGACTTACTTTCCAATCTGACTCTGGCATAACAAGGAAGAAAATCAAAATGTATTACCCCAAAGTATATTTACTTGCCATACCTTGAAATTGCCCTACAAAGTCTCTTGTGGGAAAAATCCATATTCTATAGAGAATCCCCTTTCCCCTTTGTTTTCCTTCCTTCCTTCCCAGATACAAGAGATATAATCAACTAAGAGCCAGGCAGCCTTTTAAGTCTGATAAGAAATATTTTACAACCTGCTCTCTCTGAAGTCTGCTATCTGAGAGCTTCCTCTGCACAATAAAACTTGGTCTCCACAATCCTTTATCTTAACCTGAACATTTCCTTTCTGTTGATCCCAGGTCTTCAGATAAACTCAACCAATTGTCAACCGTCAACCAGAAAATGTTTAAATTTACCTATAGCCTGGAATCCGCCCCCCTACTTTGAGTTGTCCCGTCTTTCTGAACCAAACCAACGTATTTCTTAAATGTATTTATGTTTCATACTTCCCTAAAATATATAAAACCAAGCTGTACACCGATCACCTTGGGTACATGTTCTCAGGACCTCCTGAGGGCTGTGTCACGGGCCATGGTCACTCATATTTGGCTCACAATAAATCTCTGAAAATATTTTACGGAGCTTGACTCTTTTTGTCAACAGTGTGATCATGATATTCTGGATATGGAGGAAACAGTCATTAAGAAATGATACAAACGTTCTGTGGTGTGAACTAACATGTTTGCAACTTTTTAAAAATGCAACACTTTCAACAAATGGATAGCACTAAAAACACAGTAGAAAAAATACAATAAAAAGAGCTCTTATAGATCTTATAGAATAAAAAGAGAATTAAAGAGACACCAATCGGCCTGGTGCGATGGATCACGCCTATAATCCCAGCACTTTGGGAGGCCAAGGATGGATGACGAGGTCAGGAGTTCAAGACAACCCTGGCCAAGATGGTGAAACCCTGTTTCTACTAAAAATACAAAAATTGGCCAGGCACAGTGGCTCACGTCTGTAATCCTAGCACTTTGGGAGGCCGAGGTGGGTGAATCATGAGGTCAGGTGTTCAAGCCTGGTCAACATGGTGGAACCCCATCTCTACTAAAAATACAAAAAATTTGCTGGGTGTGGTGGCGGCGCCCATAATCCCAGCTACTCCGGAGGCTGAGGCAGGAGAATCACTTGAACCTGGGAGGTGGAGGTTGCAGTAAGCCGAAATCACGCCATTGCACTCTAGCCTGGGCAACAGAGCAAGACTCTGTCTCAAAGAACAAAAAAAAGAGACCCCAATCAACTGTAATGTGTGAACCTTGTTTAGACATTTTTGAGGCAATTGAGGAAACCTGCACATGATTAGATATTAGACAACATTTAAAAAATCAGTATAAATTGTATTAAGTTTAGGTTAAAAATGGTCTAACCGATGTTCTCTGCAAATAATTGTGGCTATACTTAAATGAAAAGAGAGTGCAGGCCAGGTGTGGTGGCTCACGCCTGTAATCCCAGCACTTTGAGAGGTGGCTGAGGCGGGTGTATCACTTGAGGTCAGGAGTTCGAGGCCAGCCTGGCCAACATGGTGAAACCCTGTCTCTACTAAAAATATAAAAACTAGCCGGGCATGGTAGCAGGCGCCCAGCTACTTGGGAGGCTGAGGCAGGAGAATCACTTGAACCTGGGAAGTAGAGGTTGTAGTGAGCTGAGATAGCACCACTGCACTCCAGCCTGGGTGACAGTGAGACTGTCTCAAAAAAAAAAAAAAAAACAGATAGTGCAGAGCCTACAGCTGACATCATATTTAATGGTGAGAAACTAGATGCTTTCCCCCTAAGATCAGGAACAAGGCAAGGATGCCCCCACGACTCCTATTTTACATCACTGATAAGATAATGAAAAGACAACCCACGGACTGAGAGAAAATACAGGAAGAAAAATGACAGAATAGGAGAAAGAGAAATAGACCAATGCATAATCATAGTTAAGAAAATTTATTACACCTCACTCAGTTAATGGAAAAGTGAACTGACAATAAGTCAGGAAATGGATGATCTGGAAAACACTATTGGGCAGTACTGATCTAATGGACCTTTGCAGAACACCAAACCCAACAAGTATAGAATACATATCCTTTATAGGTGTACACAAAATATTCACCAAAGTAGATGAAATACTGAGGCATAGAAAACAAATCTCCAATTTCAAAGGACTACAGTCCCCAACTTACAATGGTTCAACTTACAATTTTTCGACGTTATAATGGTATGAAAGCAATACACATTCAGTAAAAACCATACTTCTTTTTTATTTACTTTTTGAGAGACAGTGTCTCACTTTGTCACCAAGGCTGGATGCAGTGGCACAATCATAGCTCACTGCAGCCCCAACTTCCTGGGCTCAAGCAATCCTCTTGCCTCAGCCGCCAGAGTAGCTGTGGCTACAGATGTGTGCCACCATGCCTGGCTATTTTTTTATTTTTCATAGAGATGGGGTCTCACTGTTTGTCCAGGCTGGTCTAGAACTTCTGGCCTCAAGTGATCCTCCTGCCTCAGCCTCCCAAAGCACTGGGATTACAAGGCATAAAGCACCATGCCCAGTCAAAACCCTACTTCAGATTTGGAATTTTAATCTTTTCCAGGGCTTGCAATGCTGGGCAGCAGCAGCAAGCCACAGCTCCAAGCCAGCCACACGATCTTGAAGGTAAACAACCCATATTCTATAGTGGACCATGTTGCCAGATGATTTTGCCCTTTCTGAACCAAACCAGTGTATTTCTTAAGTGTATTTGATTGATGTCTCATGCCTCCCTGAAATATTATATAAAACCAAGCTGTGCCCCAACCACCTTGGGCACATGACTGCCCAACTGTAGGCTAATGTAAGTATTCTGAGCAAATTTAAGGTAGACTAGGTTACGCTCTGATGTGCGGCAGGTTAGGTATATTGAATGCATTGTCAACCTAAACAATATTTTCAACTTACAATGGGTTTATTGGGACATAATCCCATTGTAAGTCAAGGAACATCTGTATATTATTTGCCCAAGATGGAACCAAAGCAGAAATCAATAACAATAAGATATTTTTAAAAACCTTGATAATTAGGAATTAAGCAGCCCTTATCTAAAGGAGATATGAATCAAAGAAGAAATTCCAAGGGATATGAGAAAATATTTTGAACTCGGTGATTCTAATAAACTTATTAATACATATTACAACTTACCAAATTTGTGACTTGGAGCTGTTCCAGGCTGAATTATTCCTTGTCTCCCATATTCGTATGTTGACATCCTAACCCCTAGTACCTTAGAATGTCACTGTCTTCGGAGGTGAGGTCTTTAAAGAGATAACTAAGTAAAAATGAGGTCATTAGAGTGGGCCCTACTCCAATATAACTGGTGTCATTGTAAGAAGAGAAAATTTGGACATAAAAACTTCCGGTGGGAAGACCATGTGAAGACACAGGGAGGAGATGACCAGCTATAAGCCAAGGAGAAAGGCCTCAGAAGAAACCAACCCTGCCGAAACCTTGATCTTGGACTTCTATCTTCCAGAATTATGAAGAAAAAATTTCTGTTGTTTACAGCCACCCATTGTGTGGTACTTTGTTATGGCAGCCCTAGCAAATGAATACAGCCGGTAATAAGGCAGTTCTTAGAAAGAAAGTTATAGCTTTTGGCCGGGCGCAGTGGCTCACGCCTGTAATCCCAGCACTTTGGGAGGCCAAGCTGGGCGGATCACAAGGTCAGGAGATCGAGACCATCCTGGCTAACACGGTGAAACCCCATCTCTACTAAAAATACAAAAAATTAGCTGGGCCTGGTGGCAGGTGCCTGTAGTCCCAGCTACTCGGGAGGCTGAGGCAGGAGAATGGCGTGAACCCGGGAGGCGGAGTTGGCAGTGAGCCGAGATGGTGCCACTGCACTCCAGCCTGGGCGACAGAGCAAGACTCTTGTCTCAAAAAAAAAAAAAAAAAGAAAGAAAGAAAGTTATAGCTTTAAATGAATGTACTTTAAAAAAAGAAGTTTTAATTAAAAATAACTCAGCTCCCATCTCAAGAAGCTAAAAAAAGAAAAGCAAAAAGAACCCAAAATAAGAAGAAAGGAAGTAATAAAGAGGAAAACATAATGAAATAGAAATAAAACTATAGAGAATTAAAAAGTCAAAGGGTGTTTGCAAAAAAAATTAAAATTGCTAAACCCTAGACCTGAAACTATAAAACTCCTAAAAAAAAAATAGGAAAAAGCTTCATGATATTGGTCTTGACAATGATTTCTGGAATATGACACTAAAAGAACAAGCAACAAATATAAAATAGACAAACGGGACTACATCAAACTTACCAACTTCTTTGCAGCAAAGGAAACAGCCAACAGAGTGATAAGGCAACTTACAGAATGAGAGAAAATATTTGCAAACCATGTATCAAATAAGGAGCTAAAATGTAGAATATATAAAGAACTTCTACAACTCAGTAACAAAAAACTCAATTAAAAATGAATAAATGACTTGAATAGACATTTCTCTAAAGAAGATATAGAAATAGCCAAGAACCATATGAAAAGATGTTCAACATCACAAATTACCAGGGAAATGCAAATGAAAACCAAAATGAGATATCACCTAACCCCAATTTGTATGGCCACTACAAAACAAAACAAAACAAAACAAAACAGAAAATAAGTGTTAACAAGGATGTAAAAAAGTAGAACCTTAATGAACTGTTAGTGGGACTGTAAAATGGTGTAGCCACTACAGAAAACAGTATGAAGGTTCCTCAAAAAATTAAAAATAGAACTACCACATCATCCTGTAATCCAACTTCTGGATACATATCCAAAGGAATTGGAAGCAGATGTATCCATTCAATGTATGAACGGATAAAGAAAATGTAGTCTATCCACACAAATGGAATATTATTCAGACTTTAAAAGGAAGGAAATTCTGGCTCATACTACAACATAGATGAACCTTGAGGACATTATACTAAATAAAATAAGCCAGTCACAAAAAGAAAAATATTGCATGATCCCACTAATATGAATACTAAAGTAATTAAACTGATAGAAACAGAAAGTAGAATGGTAGTTGCTAATAGATGGGGAAGAGGAAAAGAATGAGCTGCTATTCAATAGGTAAAAGATTTCAGTCATGCAAGATGAAAAAGTTCTAGAGCTCTGTTGTACATAGTTAACAATATTATACAGTATACTTAAAAAGTATTAAGAGGATAAATATATGTTACGTGGTTGTTTTGCCACAGTAATTTAAAAAAAGAATAAGAAGATCAAAGCTCCTACAACCCCCTCCAAAAAAATTACTAAACCCCTAGGAAAAATGATTAAATTAAAATTTAAAAAGACAAATTTCCAAGATCAGGAATGAAAGAGGAAACATTGTTACAGATCCTACATACATTAAAAGGACAATAAGAGATTCTTATTAAAAATAAAAACGACAGGCCCCAAATTCGTGAAATGAACAAATTCCTTTAATCATAAGGTTTACCAAAACTAAAATGGTAATTTTGAGTGGCCCTACATCTGTAAAGATATTAAAATCATGATTTTAAACTTTAACCAGAAGTAAAAGTTCAGGCTCACAGATAAATTCTGTCAAATACAAGTAGGAGAGACGGCAATACTTCCCAATTCATTTTATGAGGCCAACATAATCCAGACACCAAAACCTGACAAAGCCATACACTTCCTGCAAAAGTCCTTTAAAAATAATAGAAAGTCAAACCCAGCAATAGGTTATAAGGATGATATGGCAACACATGAGACCTATCCAAGAAATGCAACGTTAGTTTAACTTTTTTTTTTTTTTTTTTTTTTGAGACAGAGTCTTGCCCTGTCGACAGGCTGGAGTGCAATGGCACAATCTCAGCTCACTGCAACCTCCGCCTCCTGGGTTCAAGCGATTCTCCCACCTCAGCCTCCCAAGTAGCTGGGACTACAGGTGTGCACCACCACGCCCAGCTAATTTTTGTATTTTTAGTAGAAATGGGGTTTCAGCACGTTGGCCAGGGTGGTCTGGATCTTTTGACCGAGTGATCTGCCCGCCTCGGCCTCCCAAAGTGCTGGGATTACAGGCGTGAGCCACTGAGTCTGGCCAGTTTAACATTTGAAAAGCAATTAATTACTTGCATTAACAAAATGAAAGGTGCCCTGGACCACTCCTGCAGTCCCAGCACTTTGGGGAACTGAGGCAGGTGGATTGCTTGAACTCAGGAGTTCAAGACCAGCCTGGGCAACATGGTAAAACCCCATCTCTACAAAAAAATACAAAAATTAGCTGTGCATGGTGGCACGTGACTGTAGTCCCAGCTATGCAGGAGGCTGAGGTGAGAGGACTGCTTGAGCCCAGGAGGTTAAGGCTTCAGTGAGCCATGATCGTGCTACTGCATTCTGGCCTAGGCAAGAGTGAGATCCTGTCTCAAAAATAATAAAATAAAACAAAATAAAGGAGAAAAATCACCTTCGTAGTTGCAAATATATATATATTTATATATATATAAATACATATATTATTTATGTATATTTATATAATATATAATATATTATTTGTATATTTATATAATATATAATATATTATTTATATATTTATATAATATATTATATATTATTTATATATAATATAATATAATATATATATTATTATATATATTTATATAATATAATATATATATTATTATATATATTTATATAATATAATATATATATTTTATATATATTTATATAATATAATATATATATTATTTATATATATTTATATAATATATAACATATATATTTATATATTATATAAATACATTAATTATATAATATATAATATTATATATTATATAATTATATAAATTATATATTTATATATATTTATATAGTATATATATTTAAAAATATATTTATTTTTATATTTATATAAATTTGAAATTTATATATATTTAAATTATATAAATATATTTATATATATGAAAAAATTCAATGGCTATTCATGATAAAAACTCCTAACAAATTAGCAATAGAAGGAAACTTCCTCAATTTAATAAGCATCTACAAAAACATAGCACTAATACCATACTTAATAGCAAAATATTGAATGATTTCCCTGAGATCAAGAACATGAAAAGTATGTCTCATCTCACCATTTAATTCAACACTTAGGAAATATAAAGAATACAAAAAGTGAAGAAAGAGTAGAAAAGAAGTGAAAAAAGAAAACCAGAAAGATGTAATAATTTAACTTTACATCAATCAGGGCAGGTAAAAGACAGAAAATAGCAGTGTTGGCAAGAATGAGGCAACAGAATTCTCGTACAACCCTGGTAGGATTGTGACAGGCTAAGTATCACTAACAACTGCTTCAGTACTGACTGTGTGGTTAAGTTAAATATTAAAAGCCAGTGCCCTTATACAAGGCTGGGATGTAACAAAAGCCCATCAAGAGTTTTGCCTAGGCCTTTCCTGGGCCTTAAAGCATGACAAAATAATGAAATAATTCTTAACAGGATCCATTTAGGATTAAACAAATTTTATTGTGGGTCTGAAGAAACTCCCCATGCCTCCACAAACAAGTTTATTTGGGGCCTGAAGGAACTCCTCAAACCTCCTGATTTAGCAGGAGACAAGGTAAGAGTAATCACCCCAGCACCTGGACCCATTTAGAAAAGTAAATTTACTGAGGCTCCAGAGGAAGGTCTTCAGGACTCAGACCTTAGTTATAGATTAAAAGAAGTTAATCACTTACATCTTTAGACAAATGCACACTTACATGTAGACATATAGCTTAGAAGGTATATAAGCTCTGGAAAACTTTGTAATTTTGAGTTGGTCTGGTGATAATTTCCAGGCCTTCTCCCTGTAACCGGTTACAGAAATAAAAACTCTCTTCCTCCCCAGTTTATCTGCATCTCGTTATTGGGCCACAAGAAATAGCAGCCCGATCCTCAGTTTGGTCCAGGAACAAATTTGGTGAGCTAGCCAGGAGATAAGGAGAGTGCCGCTTTCAGTGGCTGGCAGCTTGCAATGAGACAGTCTTCAGGAGGATTCCAGCAGCTGCCGGGTGAGGTTTTCCCAGGGGACCCTCCAGAGGGCTGTTTCATGCATGCGCAAATCTGCATGTCCCTTTCACTACTAGGGAAGCATGGAGATCAGGAGTGGATGGGCTCCAAGGGTGAGTTGCCCAGATAGTATGTCAGGAGCCTACTGTTTTCCTGTCTGGGCTTGCGAAGCCATTTGTCCGGTACCACCAAGGGAAGCAAGAGGGCTCGCTCATACACCCCCTTTGCATTTTGGTTGAGATCAGGTTTTGAGTTGGTTTTGAGTCTGTTTTGCCTGAGTGCACTCCCCCTTGTGTTGTCCAAAATTTGTCTCCACTTCTTTGTGTATCTGTCTTATTCCTTTTGATACCATGTAAACTTGATAATGGGAGGTATTGGGTTCATTCCTGCTGAGAGGCCTCTGGGAAGGAAAAATTTTTTTTTTTTTAGGAGCTCAATGGTTGACAGTCGGCCTAAATAAAAGCTAACATCCAAGATGTGTATATATATGTGTGCATGTGTGTATGTTTGTATTTAAAAGGCCTTCATGTTTTTGTTTATTTCTTTCCTAAGACCTTGTCTTTTTGAGCAAAAGTTTTTTCTTCTCTGTTGACTGAATTCTGTTTTCTTCATTAATAGCTATTACAACAAAAGCTACTCTGGGGTTTTTAGGAAAACATATAATTTAGACACTTAGAAATGTCTTTGGAAATTTTTTTTTTTTTTTTTGAAATGGAGTCTCACTTTGTCACCCAGGCTGGAGTGCGGTGGTGTGATCTCGGCTCATTGTAACCCCTGCCTCCCGGTTCAAGCAATTCTCCTGCCTCAGCCACCTGAGTAGCTGGGATTACAGGCCCCACCACCCCGCCCAGCTAATTTTTGTATTTTTAGTAGAGATGGGGTTTCACCATGTTGGTCAGGGTGGTCTCGAACTCCTGACCTCATGATCCACCTGCCTCAGCCTCCCAAAGTGCTGGGATTACAGGCGTGAGACACTGTGCCAGGCCAACATTAATAGCACACTAATGTAAAGATGAAATTGGGCTTATTTGGTATAAAAATTATACAGAAAGCACTGTTAAATATGAAATCATGTTTGGCTTTCTTTGGGCTATATTTGTATAAATACATTGTTGGTATGTGTTCCAAAGTTATGGGAAACTCCTATAATTCTATTTTAGTGTATGTTATCAGTAATAATTATAATTGTTATGTTAAATTATTTTGTACCACAGAGTTAACAGATTTCCTTGTCAATTGTGTCTTTAACTATGGCTACCCTAAAACTTTTTGTCATCCATAAACAATTGTCTTGTTTCAGTCCTCTTTAGAAGGCAGTTTTATAGGCTAGACACGGTGGCTCATGCCTGTAATCCCAGCACTTTGGGAGGCCGAGGTGGGCGGATCACCTGAGGTCGGGCGTTCAAGACCAGCCTGACCAACATGGAGAAACCCCATCTCTACTAAAAAAAACAAAAAAAATTAGCTGGGTATGGTGGCACATGCCTGTAACCCCAGCTACTCAGGACGCTGAGGCAGGAGAATCGCTTGAACCCAGGAGGGGCAGGTTGCGGTGAGCTGAGATCACACCATTGCACTCCATCCTGGGCAACAAGAGCAAAACTCTGTCTCAAAAAAAAAAAAAAAAAAAAGAAGGCAGTTTTATAATCAGCTGTAAAGCTCTAACAGGTGCTTTTGAATGCAGGTTTCTGATAACTTTAGAGATTGTGACATCAGAATAGAGGAAAAACGTTCAGGACTCGTGAAGAGCTAAAATGTTCATTAATATCAAGCACAACAGGAATTAACTGCATGAACTGAACTAATAGACTGGAATGACCTTTTTGACATTTTTGCTTAAAATATTGCTAATCCTTTGTTTTGCTTTTCAGTGTCAAGGAAACTTTTCTTCTGAGCTATTAACAGCTTTTAACAATTAAGTGTATGCCCATGAACAAAATTTGGAGCATATTTGTTCCTCTCTACCTGGTTCCTCTAGAATTTGGAAACTATCTGTGAGTATTCTTAATTTATGGCAATACAGTTATTTGCATAAGTGCAATAAGAATCTGTTTTCTTTTGTAACAGGACACAATTGGAAAAACTGGTTGTTTTACCAAGGCTTTAACTGGAATGGTGTGCTCTCCTTTAAGGAATCAAAGTTCACTTATGAAGCCAAGAAAGCCTTTAGAAACTGGCCTCATATTTTGTGTACACAGTCCCTGTACAGGGTTTCTGATCTGTGGTAAGTAAAGAATGTCACTTTCTGACAGTCCATGAACCCCAGGTTACCTTAGAACCTCAAGAGGAGAGGTATTCACCCAACTGATAGGTACTTGATGATACAAATCCATGGCTGGGCGTGGCATTAAAAAGTCTTATCTCAGATTCCTTCTATGAAACAAAGTTCCATCAAAGCCAATTTAAAAAGCCTACATGTTAGCTGGGCGTGGTGGCGCTCGCCTGTAGTCCCAGCTACTCGGAAGGCTGAGGCAGGAGAATGGCGTGAACCCAGGAGGCGGAGGTTGCAGTGAGCCAAGATCGCGCCACTGCACTCCAGCCTGGTGACAGAGTGAGACTCTGTCTTAAAAAAAAAAAAAAGGCCTACACGAAAAATAATTATTCTTTCTGCACTGTATACAAATAATTAGGCCAAGTACAATGAAGCAAACCAGTTCTACCATGATTTATCTTTTAATAAAAATGGGAAACTGGAAAGAGAAAAATTATGTTTCAAAAACTACAGTACACCTGTTGTTAAATTCTAGTTTCACCTGATGTTTTTCAGTTTTTATTATTTTCTACAATTTGGATTAAATTCTAATTTTTCTGTCTACAGGTCTCCAAAATAATGTTTTCAATTTTTTCCTCCTTCTTTTCCTTTTTCCCTATTTTTCCTAATTTGAAACCACTGAAACCTAAGCTGTGCCTTCTTGAAGCCCTGTGAACTGAAGACTAGACAACTTAAACTTCAGAAGAAAACAGTGGCAACCTATTTATATGTGTTGCTGTTGCACACTACTATGTTTCAGCAGGCGCTGCCTCTATGCCCCCAAAACAGAGACTGCTACTGGGAACAAATTGAACTCTTTCACTCCAGCGCTGCGTTCGATGCTCCGTAACAACGACCCCATCTCAGCAGGAAGTAGCCAGAAAGATTATAATGCCCCATCTCCCTACAATTCTTGTGACAAATAAATATACAAGCATGATAGAAATCATGTGCAAATTGACAGTGGGGATTGTGGCAGGTCAGGTCTCACTAAGAACTGTTTCAGTACTGACTGAGTGGTTAAGTTAAATATTAAAAGTCAGTGCCCTTATACAAAGGCTAGGATGTAACAAAAGCCCATCAACAATTTTGCCTAGGCCTTTCCTGAGCCTTAAAGCATGACAAAATAACTAAGAATTTTTTTTTTTTTTTTTTTTGAGACAAAGTCTTTCTCTGTTGCCCAGGCTGGAGTGCAGTGGTGTGATCTTGTCTCACTGCAACCTCTGCCTCCCGGGTTCAGGCAATTCTACTGCCTCACCCTCCTGAGTAGCTGAGATTACAGGCATGTGCCACCATGCCCAGCCATTTTTTTGTAAATAACTAAGGAATTCTTAACAGGACCCATTTAGGATTAAACAAGTTTTATTGTGGGTCTGAAGAAACTCCCTAGGTCTCCACAAACAAGTTTACTGAGGATCTGAGGGAACTCCCCAAGCCTCCATGATTTAGCAGGAGATAAGATAAGGGTAATCACCCCAGCACCTGGACCCACTTAGATTAAATAAATTTACTGAGGCTCCAGAGGAAAGTCTTCAGGACTCAGACCTTAGTTATAGATTAAAAGAAGTTAATCACTTATGTATTTAGATGAAAGCACACTTACACATAGAGATATAGCTTGTTATATAAGCTCTGGAAAACTTTGTAATTTTTTTTTTTTTTTGAGACAGAGTCTCGCTCTGTCCCCCAGGATGGAGTGCAATGGGGCGATCTTGGCTCACTGCAACCTCTACCTCCCGGGCTCAAGTGAGTCTCCTGCCTCAGCCTCCCAAGTAAGTAGGATTACAGATGCCTGCCACAAAGCCTGGTTAATTTTTGTATTTTTAGTAGAGATAGGGTTTCACCATGTTGGCCAGGCTGGTCTCGAACTCCTGACCTCAAGTGATCCGCCTGCCTCAGCCTCCCAAAGTGCTGGGATTACAGACATGAGCCACTGCGCCTGGCAAAACTTTGTAATTTTGAGTTTTGTGATGATTCCCAGGCCTTCTCCCTGTAACCGGTTACAGAAATAAAAACTCTCTTCCTCCCCAGTTCATCTGCATCTCGTTATTGGGCCACGAAAAATAGCAGCCTGACCCTCAGTTTGGTCCGGGAACAGGATTGTAAAATGGTACAACTATTTTTGAAGACTGTATGGCAGGTTTTTTTTAATGTTAAACATACCTATGATCTGGCAATTCCCAAAGTACCTAAGAGATATTAAAAAAAAAAAAAAAAAAAACAGGGTACAGAAAGAGATATACATCAGCCTAGTAAAAGAACCCTGGAAAAAAAAGAATTGTACAAGAATTGTCACAGTAGCTTAATTACTATACCTAACAATCAAAAACAACAGAAAAAGGAGAATGGATAAACAAAAGGTAGTAGAATCATACAACAAAATACAATAAAAAGGAATAGGAATAAACTACTGATCAAGTAACAAGAAGGCAGAAACAGAATACGTACTATATGATTTCATTTACATGGAATTCTAGGAAAGGCAAAACTTTAGTGATAGGGAGCAAATCAGTTACACAACAATATACATTACTTAAAACTCATCGAATTGTACACTTAAGAGTTGTGATTTTGTAATAAATCTGATTTTTAAAAAGCCTTCAAAGACATTTTCAAGTAAAAGAAAACCAGTAAAATTTATCGTCAGCAGACCTGCCCTGTAAGAGTTTTTGTGAACTGAAGAAAAATTATGCCAAATGGAACCTTGGATTTTCTGTGGTGATTGAAGATCACCAGAAACGATAAATAACGTTCACACCCAAAAAAGACTATTTCTTTTTTCTCCTAATTTCTTTAACATATACAACTGAAGCCAGGCGCGGTGGCTCACGTCTGTAATCTCAGCACTTTGGGGGGCCAAGGTGGACAGATCACTTGAGGTCAGGAGTTCAAGACAAACCTGGTCATGGTGAAACCCCATCTCTACTAAAAATACAAAAATTAGCTGGGCATGGTAGCGTATGCCTGTAATCCCAGTGACTCGGAAGCTGAGACAGGAGAAGCGCTTGAACCCGCGAGGCAGAAGTTGCAGTGAGCCAAAATTGTGCCACTGCACTCCAGACTGGGCAACAGAGCAAGACGCCACCTCAAAAAGATAAAATAAAAGACTGTTTATAGCAAATACATTATATTTGCATTGTGATTGACAGCATATGAAGATTCAATACATATGACAATTACAGCCTGAAGAATGACGGAGTAGGTAGGTACAAGTACCTATACAATTACAAGAGCCCTCATTTTACATGAAGTTGTTCGACATTACATAGACTGTGAAGAGTTACAAATATATACTGTCATCTCTAAAGCAGGCACTAAAAATATAAAGTAAAAATGCAAAGCACTATAGCTAAGTGGCAATTAAGTTATATTGAATTAAGTTAAATTAGAATGCTAAAAAAAAAAAAAAATTCAATTGGCCCAAAGAAGGCAGAAATAGGAACAGGGGAAGAAAAAAAACAGGAGGCAAATAAAAAAACAAACAGTAAAAGAGACCTAATCTAATTGTATCAGTAATTACATGAAATACGCATTCCAATTAAAAGGCACAGACTGGCTGGGCACGGTGGCTCATGCCTGTAATCCCAGCACTTTGGGAGGCTGAGACAGGAGGATTGCTTAAGCCCACGAGTTGGAGAATAGCCTGGGCAACACAGCAAAACATCGTCTCTAAAAATAAATAAAAAAGGCACAGATTATCAGAATAGATTAAAAAAAAAAAAGCAAGACCTAACCATATGTTGTCTACAATATAAAGACTTTAAATATAAAGACATAGGTCAGTTGAAAGAAAATGAATGAGAAAAGAGATAACATGCAAAGAGTAAACATAACAAGACTGAAATGGCTATATTACTATCAGATAAACTACATTTCAAGAGAAAGTGTTACCAGAGATACAAAGGGATGTTTCATGAAAATAAAACAGTCAATTCATCAGGAAGATATAACAAAGATAAATATGTATGCACCTTATAATAACAATGCTTCAAAATACGTGAAGCAAAAATTGACAGAACTCGATGGAGAAATTGGCAATTCCATAATCCTAGTTCGAATTAACACCTTGCCACAACAGTTGATAAAATAACTAGAAAAAAAAATCCATAAGGAAATACAAGATTTGAACATAATAACTAACTTGACCAAACTGATATTAGCTCATCACTGCTCAACAGAATGCACATGCTTTTAAAGGGCCCATGGTACATTCCCCAACTCACACTACATGCTGGGTTGTGAAATAACTCCCAATAAATTTGCAAAGACTGACATTCTACATCATTTGTTCTTTGACCTGAATGGAATTAAATAAGAAGTCAGTAAGAATAGCTAGAAACCCTCCAAATACTTGGAAATTAAATAGATGATGCACAGAAAGGCACTGCATTCATCAAGTGCATGCAATTTTTTTGATGACTTTCACTGTAAAAGGGAGCAGAGAGATAGGGTAATGAGTGTAGTCAGAAATCATGACCCTTCTCAGCCAAGCGAGGTGGCTCACACCTGTAATCCCAGCACTTTGGGAGGCCGAGGCAGGCGGATCACGAGGTTAGGAGATCAAGACCATCCTGGCCAACATGGTAAAACCCCGTCTCTATTAAAAATACAAAAAAATTTAGCTGGGCATGGTGGCGCACGCCTGTAGCCCAGCTACTCAGGAGGTTGAGGCAGGAGAATCGCTTGAACTTGGGAGGCAGAGGTTGCAGTGAGCCGAGATCGCACCACTGCACTCCAGCCTGGGCGACAGAGTGAAACTCTGTCTCAAAACAAAAACAAAAACAAAAGAAAAGAAAAAAAGAAATCATGACCCTTCTCTTGTCAGAACCCGGCAGTAGATCTCGCTGACCTCAGATAAGATCCACACACAATCTTGGCACCCTAGGCTTTCCCCAGTAATAGCCTAACCCCCTTTTCCCATCTGAGTTTCTATCCTCCATGAACTTCCTTTTCCAGGCAAAAAAGACAACTGATACCCTCAAAGTCAGTCAGTTGCACAGTCCAGGTGGGTGCCAAGCACTGTGTCAGTGACCCATGAGGAGCCAGACAAGGTGCCTGTCCCCTCAAAGAACTATCTCAAAACCAGTGGGACAGTCAGACAGTTGAGATATACCATGCCAGCCGTGGAGTCCTCATATAATAAAGTGCTCTGAAACTAAAAAGGACAATGGAAGTAATTCTGCCAGAGAAAACTCAGGAAAGCTTTGTAGTGGACAAATATCTGTAGTGAGGCAACTTTTGAGACAAATACGGAAACAACACAGCCTGAATAAGTGATACTAAATAAATTCTGTTAATTTTCTTGGGTATGATCATTAATGCTGAAGTTGTTTTTCTTTAAATTCCTTATTTATGAGAGATGCATACTGAACACTGAAGTATTAGATTGGTGCAAAAGTAATTGTGGTTTTTGCCATTTACAGATGAAATGATATGACATTTGAATTTTGTTTTAAAGAACTACATCAGAGAAGTGTCATACACAAGTTTTACTTCGTTCTACATTCACAGCAGCTCCACGAGGTTAAGTACCTTGCTCAAAGTGACAGTGACAAAGGGAGAGACCTGGATTTGAACTCACTCTATGAAGGGTCACTCAAGACACCAAATCCTGGTATAGACCCCTAGTGAAAGAGACAATTTCCAAAGAGATCCACACTTGGGGTTGCAGATTTGGGGGAAAGAAGACAGGTGAGTCATTTGTAAGTGGTGAATCTGAGTGATGAATCCATGGAACTTCAAAACTACTTCTGGATATCTTTGCAATGTTTTCATACTGAGAAGTTAGAAATAAGAGTAGGTCTTGGCCGGGCGCAGTGGCTCACGCTTGTAATCCCAGCACTTTGGGAGGCCGAGGCCGGTGGATCAGGAGGTCAGGAGTTCAAGACCAGCCTGACCAACATGGTGAAACCCCGTCTCGAGCGGGGTGCGGTGGCTCACGCCTGAAATCCCAGCACTTTGGGAGGCCGAGGCGGGCGGATCACGAGGTCGGGAGATCGAGACCATCCTAGCCAACATGGTAAAAACACAAAAATTAGCCAGGTGTGGTAGCGCGTGCCTGTAGTCCCAGCTACTCGGGAGGCTGAGGCAGGAGAATACCTTGAACCCGGGAGGCGGAGTTTGCAGTGAGCCGAGATCGCGCCGCGCCACCCCACTGCACTCCAGCCTGGCGACAGAGCAAGACTCCCTCTCAAAACAAACAAACAAACAAACAAACAAAAAACAAACCCCGTCTCTACTAAAAATACAAAAAAAATTAGCCGGGCGTGGTGGCGGGCGCCTGTGGTACCAGCTACTCAGGAGCCTGAGGCAGAGAATTGCTTGAACCCGGGAGGCCGTGGTTGCAGTGAGCTGAGATCACTCCACTGCACTCCAGCCTGGGCGACAGAGTGAGACTTCATCTCAAAAAAAAAAAAAAAAAAAAAAAAAATGTAGGTTTGGATGCCTTCCACCCAACTTCTTCCCCCACCTCCAGGAATTCAAGGAGTCACTCAACAGCCCCCTGAGGCTTGAGAAAAATGTTCCTTGGCCCTATGGGCACCATTCTGCTTGTTGCAACCCATGCTCCCGGAAGGGTCCCCAAGTCCGAGGGAGCCACACAGCTGCAGAAGCCGACAATCTGGATACAAGCACGCCCCCATGCAACCCACAACCCAGGGATGTCTAACTCCAGGCAAGCCCTTCTCAACTCACCAACTTGGGTCCCCAGGCCCCAAGGCTACTGACCCGAGTCGCACGGCCCTAGCCGTCCCCCCCCCCACTATCAAGACCAAGTCTGGATGTCTACCCACAAACAATCCTCCCCCACAAACCCGGGTCCTAGTGGCCAAGCTGCACCATCACCACCACAGTGCACCAGCCATCCACAAGAGCCCTAATAACTGGACTGAGGTTGGGCACGGTGGCTCACGCCTGTAATCCCAGTACTTTGGGAGGCCGAGGCGGGGGGATTACTTGAGGTCAGGAGTTCGAGACCAGCCTTGCCAACATGGTGAAACCCCGTCTCTACTAAAACACAAAATATTAGCCGGGCGTGGTGGCGTGCGCCTGTAGTCCCAGCTACTCGGGAGCCTGAGGCAGGGGAATCACGCCACTGCACTCCAGCCTGGGCGACAAGAGCGAAACTCTGTCTCAAAAAAACAAAACAAAACAAAAACCAAAAAATTAGCCGGGCGTGGTGGCGGGTGCCTGTAATCCCAGCTGCTCGGGAGGCTGACGCGGGAGCATGGCTTGAACCCGGCGGCTGGGGTGGGGCGCGGAGATTGCAGTGAACCGAGATTGCGCCACTGCACTCCAGCCTGGGCGACAGAGAGAGACTCTGTTTCAAAAATAAATAAATAAATAAATAAAATTTAATAAATAAACAAATAAACAACCCGACTGATGCCCAAGCCGCGTGCCTCCCACTAATGGGGAAGTTTGCTCCAACCGAGGATATCATGTCCTCCAAAGGCACATTTGCTGGCCCAGAGACCTCCGAGGCGCGATGGTGGGGAGGGGATGGCGGGATACTAGTGGCAGGATGCTGTCTGGGTACCCCAGGCAGAGCCCACTCAGCGGCCCCCGAAGTACCGGGGACGCACCTGCGAAGTAGCTCGGGAAGTCGGTCCCAGGCCTGCACTGGCCCCTCCAGGTCAACATACTGGGCCCAAAGTCCCGCCAGAAGCACGCGACAACGCCAACGCCCCCTCCCCACCAGAGGACCTCCGCCAAGACCTCTCTCCGGGGTGGACCACGCACGCCCAGACCCCACAGCCGAAACTCAAAACACCAAGGAACATGTGGCCACGACATGGACTGCCCATGCCAGCTTTCCCGACCTTCCTTCCAGTGGAAGGCCCGCGAAAGCGGGGACCACCTCCGGGCTAGCTCACCAGAACTGTGAAAGGACACTCACCACGCACCAGGCGACGATGCCGGAACGCGGAAGTACGCGAGCCGGACTGCCCCTGGGCACGGAACTACACTACCCAGACTGCCACGGGGCGCGCAACTACCCTACCGTGGATGCCCTGGAGCGAGGGACTACAACATCCAGAATGCTGCGAGGGGCGGGACCGCAGCATCCAGGAGAAATTGTGAAAAATCAGAAAGTAAAATCTAACTTTCGGGTCTATGAGAAGGGTGGTCAGGTGAGCAGTAAGTCTTCTTTAACTTTTTATACGGTCCTTCTAATTTTTTTTTTTTTTAAAAAGATGTTACATGTCCTCCATCCTGCAAATTCACACCTGTGATTGTACACCCCTGAACTTTATCTACTTACTTATTTTTTGAGAAGGGGTCTTGCTCTGTCGGCCAGGCTGCAGTACAATGGTGTGATCATAGCTCACTGCAGCCTCAAACCCCTGGCCAAGCAATCCTCTCACCTCAACTTTCTGAGTAGCTGGGAATACAGGTGCATAGCACCACACCGGGCTAATTTTTTGTTTTGTTTTTTAGAATCTGGGTCTCGCGGCCGGGCGCGGTGGCTCACGCCTGTAATCCCAGCACTTTGGGAGGCTGAGGCGGGCGGATCAGAGGTCAGGAGTTCGAGAGCAGCCTGGCCAATGTGGTAAAATCCCGTCTCTACTAAAAATACAAAAATTACCTGGGCGTCGTGATGGGCGCCTGTAGTCCCGGCTACTCAGGAGGGTGAGGCAGGAGAATCACTTTGAACTCGGGAGGTGGAGGTTGCAGTGAGCCAAGATCGCACCACTGTACTCCAGCCTGGACAACAGAGTGAGATTCCTTCTCAAGGGGGAAAAAAAAAAAAAAGAATCTGGGTCTCGCTATGTTGACCAGGCTGGTCTGGAACTCCTGGCCTCAAGCAATTTTCCCACTTCAGGCTCCCAAAGTGCTGGGATTACAGGCGTGAGCCGTCCTTGTGGCCCAGGCTGCCTTTCGAGTTTATTTAGGGCCCTCTAGCCAGAGGTGGTGAGATTGGCAGTAACTCAAATTCCAACTGCTGGGATAGGTGATTCTCCTCGGGCTAAGGCTGGTGTAAATACTCCCTCCATGCGTGAGAATCAGCTGTGTTTGATCCAGTTTTGCTTTCTGGTATAACAGGGCAGCACTGAGTTCAATGCAATGTCTCATCATTGCTGTGCTTGCCGTCTCCCAAGAACATAGATTCTCTCTCCGCACCACAGAGCCACTGCTGGGGGATGGGTCAGGGGCATTGGTGATTCAAGACTGTCTTTCCTACCTTTTCAGTGCCTCTTTCAGTCATATGAAGTAAAAACCAGGTACTGCGAGTGCTTACCTGATTTTTGGTTCTTGTGAAGGTGCTTTTGTGTGTAAATAGTTGTTAACTTGTTTTTCTTACAAGGGGGAATGATCAGTGGAGCCTTCCATTCCACCATCTTGCTCCACCTCCCACCCCCATGTTTTAAATGACAGTGTGTATGAATGTACTTCTAAAAATGCCAAAAATACTGGGGTTTTTTTTCCTGTTATAAAGAAGAAGATTCTGAAGTTTTTTTTTTAATTCCAATTGATTACAAGAAGATAAGGAAAAACTAAACTTGAGGACATTTAACACTATAGCAATTAAAGTTATCTTACTAATGCAAAGATTGTTTATTAGATGTAACAGAATAATACGCTCAAAAACATACCAAAGTCTTTGCAAAATGAGTTATACTCTTTTTCTAAGAATTTGATAAAAAGTGGTATTTTTAAGTTACTTCCTATTTGCTTCTTCTCAAAATGAAGTAACAGGAACCAGATTTAGCCCTTCACCTTAATCAACATTTAAAAGGACAAAATATATGAAACATTTGAAGACATTTGACATCAGACAATGAAGAGCAGTGGAAATCATGGAGGTGAGCCTTTGAACTTCCCGCAGATGGAGAGAATTTCCAAGTCATAGCACAGAGAAGGGAAACTCAAGTGAAGCATGGAGTTCAACTTGAGGAGATGGAACTGGGAATCTGAGGAGGCATATGCATCTAGAGTTCACAGGGCAGAGTACAGAAAGGGAGAGAGAGCGCCAGAGATGTGCAGAGAGTCCTCTTCCTCAGGTATTAGTTAAGTGCTGACCAGCATGTACATGTGAGGAAACTCCTCAAAATTAGGGGTAAAAAACACTAGAAAGGGTTAGAGGGCAATACTGTGAGCTCAAAAAGAACAGGAATAATGTCTGTTCCCACGAGACAGAGTGGAAATGCTAATTCACATGGCATCAAGTCATGTACTCGGAAGGGTTTTGCCTCAATAGTGGGGCAAAAATTAACCTAAATGCTTCTCTGGTCTCACCTAACAGAGCTTAAATCCAAGCCTAGAAAGGACTGAATTGTTCCCAAGTAACTTAACTGCATCCCAGATAAAAAGCTCAAGAATATTTAAAAGAATACAAAACTATCCAGCATCCAATAAGGCAAAATTGGGGACTTTTTTTTTTTTTTTCTATTCTTACACCTGCTTCCATCCTAAGACCCTGGATTTTAGAATTCCAATTAAAAAAATGCTAGCATGCAAAGAATATATTCCCCAAAATGAAGAGAAAAGTCAACCAATAGAAATTACACAGAAGATATAATTAAAAGGTAAGGACACAAGCTGGGCACAGTGGCATGCGTCTGTAGTTGCAGCTACTTAGGAGGCTGCTTAAAACGATTGGGACAATTGCTTAAACCTAGGGGTTCCAGACCATCCTGGGCAAGACCCTAGCAAGACCCTGTCTAAAAAAAAAAAACCAAGATAAGAGCACTAAAACATTTATTGTAACTACAACTTCAAGAAGCTACAGGAAACACTTCGAGACCCTGTCTAAAAAAAAAAAACCAAGATAAGAGCACTAAAACATTTATTATAACTACAACTTCAAGAAGCTACAGGAAACACTTCAAGAAGGGTTTTTCTATACATCATGCCATACTGGATGGTATGATGATTAATTTTACATGTCAACTTGGCTACACTATAATGACCAATTATTTGGTAGTAGTCTAGATACTACCATGTAGATATCTTACATGTGTAATTAACATTTTCAGTCAGTTGACTTTAAGGGAGATTACACTCCATAATGTGGGAGGGTTTCATCTAATCAGTTGAAGGCCTTAACGGCAAAATCTGAGGTTTCCAGAGAAGGAATTCTGCCTTAAGACTCTAACAGAAATCCTCCCTGATGTTTTAGCCTGCTGTCCTGCCCCGTGAATTTTAGACTCAAGATTGCAATATCAACTCTTACCTGAATTTTCAGCCTGCCTGCCCTACAGATTTCAGACTTGCCAGCCCCTGCAATTGCATGAGCCAATCCCTTAAATAAATCAGTCACTCTCTCCCACTTGATAAACACTTGATAAACAGATCAATAGATAGAATATATATATGTATATATACACACATATATATATATATATATACAGATACATATATCCTATTAGTTTTTTCCTATCCTATTACTTTTTTCTTTATATATCCTATATATACATATATCCTACTCACTCTCTCTCTCTCTCTCTCTCTATATATATATATCCTATTAGTTCTATTTCTCTGGAAGACTTTGACTGACACAGTTGGTATTGCAGCAGACTGGACATTTCAGGGGAAAAAGAAGTTAGCCTGAAGACATGGAAGGGGAAACTATTCAAAGTAAAACAGGGATAAAAAATACTCAAATGAAAATTATGTGATGAAAATTATAAGCCAACAGATTAAAGCATCTCAGTGAAGCCTATGCAGAGGAAACATGAAAATAACAACACCAAGGTACAACTGCTTAAAAGCAGCTATAAAGAAACTTGTTTTAAAAAGCCAGAAAGAGGAGACATATTATGTACAAATGAACAAAGATAACAGCAGATTTCATTCAATAAAAAATGCGGCCGGGCACGGTGGCTCACGCCTGTAATCCCAGCACTTTGGGAGGCCAAGGCAGGTGGATCATAAGGTCAGGAGTACAAGACCAGCCTGACCAACATGGTGAAACACTGTCTCTACCAAAAATACAAAAATTAGCCGGGAGTGGTGGTGCGCACCTGTAATCCCAGATACTCAGGAGGCTGAGGCAGGAGAATCGTTTGAACCCAGGAGGCGGAGGTTGCTGTGAGCCAAGATCGCACCATTGCACTCCAGCCTGGGTGACAGAGTGAGACTCTATCTCAAAAAAAAAAAAAAAAAAAAAGCAAGGTAAAAGGAGCAACATCTTTAAAGCACTGAAAAAAAAAGCCAATGTATCAACTTAGAATTTTTTACCCAGTGAAAAAACAGGATGTCCTTCAATCAAAAGGAAAAGGATACTAGATGGAAATAAGGATCTACACAGAGAAATGAAAAATGCTAGAAAGAATATGTAAAAGCTGTGTTTCTATTTAAATAGCTTTAATACATAATAAACTGTTTAAAGTAATAAGAAGGTATTGTGATGTTTATGATATATATAGAAGTGAAATGCGTAACTATGATAACAGAAAGGCCAGGGCTGAAATGGAAGCACATTGTTGTAAGGTTCTACTTTGTGTAAATAGTATAATACCACCAAAGGTAAATTGTGGTAAATTAAAGATGTGTAATATAAACTCAAAGATATAACTGAAATAACACAACCAACATATACCCAATGAACCAACAAAGGACAAATGAAATCATTAAAAATACTCAATTCAAAAGAGGGCAGGGAAAAGAATAATAATGAGCAGATGATGGGTGGGCGCGGTGGCTCACACCTGTAATCCCAGCACTTTGGAAGGCTGAGGTGGGGAAATCACCTGAGATCAGGAGTTCGAGACCAGCCTGGCCAACATGGTGAAACCCAGTCTCTACTAAAAATACAAAAATTAGCCAGGCGTGGTGGCACACGCCTGTAATCCCAGCTACTTGGGAGGCTGAGGCAGGAGAATCACTTGAACCTAGGAGGCGGAGTTTGCAGTGAGCACCACTGCACTCTAGTCTGGGTGACAGAGCAAGACTCTGTCTCAAAAACAAGCAAACAAAACAAATAAACAAAGGGAAGTTGCACATTTCCAGTTCCCTCACAGTGGTCAATCTTTGGATCCACGTTTCAGCCAACCAACCAAACTGTTAGAGCCCTTTCTAAGTCCCTGAGCTGAAACATTAAGTGTAGAATCTCTGCTTAGTGGGCTCATATTAATGAATTCAACCTGATCCAACTTTACGTTCCTTCCCCCGTTACCCCACACCCTTAATATTGATTCCTAAACATGTTCCCTGGTTTCTGCTTGTTTAAACTAGAAAATCAAGCAGTTCTTTTGGAATATAGTATACCTTTTCATGGGTCACACTTTGTACCTCTTCTTCAGGAACCTGCTGGGACTTCAGTCTAGGTATAGGTTTAGAAATGAAAAGGGGTGGTGCGTATGGGTCTTGAGAAAAACCAGCAGTGTCTTGCAAGACAACTGCCTCAGGGTAGGCCATTACCATTTCCTCAGGCAATGCAAAGTTAATCCCTTCAGGCAGAGGTGGAAAGATGAATATCACTGCAGGTTTGGAGGCCAGCTCCTCTGGGGTTGGGGAGACCTCTTCCACTGGCAAAAAGATTCATCAGAGTTTGGAGGCTCAATGTCTCTAGCCTTATTAAAGTCATCCAAGTTTACAGAACCCCATTCTTTTCCAATGTCCTCACTTTAACAGTAGACACCTATGCGGCTTGGAGTTCAACTTGTGTTGTAATTCAGCCAATCATAGAATGAGGTTCTGCATTTGATTTTTCAGCAATTTCAGCCCTGTGCCTATAGGAGATAAGGCTCTCCTTCAGGGTATGCTTAGAAACTCTTGGATCATTTATGCAGCACTTGACCTGGGAATTCAAATCCCTGAGTTTGTCTTTTTCTTTCACCACTTTGTCCAGTGACATTAGCATTAGCCAACTACATCATTATATTCTTTAGTTTTCCAAAAATGTTTGAAAGTATCATATACAAAGTCACTTATCTCCTTGCTTCTTATAAGTGGCTGATTGGGAGTATCCAAAGCAGATATTTTGTGTATCTATATGAACATGCCATGGATTATCTAGTTTATACCATGGATTATCAGTGCTCTCTTTTTACTACTGGAAATAGAATTATTAACATCTTTAAATCAATTCATACTAGACAGCCAATTCCAGAACCAATTCAGAAAACTCATCTTAAAAATTCTGTTCCACTAGAACCACTCTCAGCACTAAAATCTGTATTAGGGTTCTCCAGAGAAACAGAGCCAATTTTATATATACATGTATAAAACAGATAAAAGAAAATTTATTTTAGGAATTGGTTCACATGGTTATGAAAGCTCAAAGGTCCCATGACCTACTATGGGACCTACAGCTTGTAGCTGGAGAACCAGGAAAGCCAGTGGTATAATTCAGTCTGAGTCTGAAGGCTGATAATATAAGTACTGGCCTGAACCTGATGGCCCAAGAATCAGGGGCATCAATATCTGAGGGCAGGAGAAGACAGACATCCAAGCTCAGAGAGAAAGAATTCACCTTTCCTATCACGAGGTCAAGAGATCGATACCATCCTGGCCAACATGGTGAAACCCCATCTCTACTAAAATACAAAAATTAGCTGGGGATGGTGGCAGGCACCTATACTCCCAGCTACTCGGGAGGCTGAGGCAGGAGAATCGCTTGAACCCAGGAGGCAGAGCTTGCAGTGAGCCAAGATTGCGCTACTGCACTCCAGCCTGGGTGACAGAGCGAGACTCCATCTCAAAAAAAAAAAAAAAAAAAAGAATTCACCCTTCTTCTACTTTTATGTTTTATTTGGGCCCTGAGTGGATTGGATGCGGCCCACATTGGTGAGGGTGATTTTTTTCACTCAGTCTACTGATTCAAATGCTAATCTTTTTCAGAAACACCCTCACAGACACAGCCATTAATAATGTCTTACCCGCTATCTGGGTATCCCCTAGCCTACTTAAGTTGACAAATAAAATTAACCATCACAATAAAGTTACCTTCTCCTCCTAGTTTGTCGTTGAATATTTTCATCTTGAAGATATAAATCTTCAAGTGGAACAGAACCACTTAAATGTTGTCAAATGCTCTTTCTGAATATGAAGATAATCCTGTGGGGTTTGTTCTTTGTTCCACCAATATGATGCATTATATTGATTTTTGGATGTTAAATTAATCTTGAATTTCTGGGATAAATTCCACTTGAATGTGGTATTTAGCCCTTTTTTATGTTGTTGGATTTAGTTTGCTAGTTTTTAATTGAGGGATTTGCACCTATTTCATAAGATATATTGACTTGTAGTTTTTTCGTGATGGCTTTTTCTGATTTTAATATCGAAGCAATATTTGCTTCAAAGACTGAGTTGGAAAGAGTTTTCTCCTCTTTTGTTTCTTAGAAGAATTTGCGAAGAATTGCTATGGATTCATCTTTTTTTTTTTTTTGAGACAGATTCTTACTGTCACCCAGGCTGGAGTAGAGTGGCACAATCTCGGCTCACTGCAACTTCTGCCTTCTGGGTTCAAGTGATTCTCCTGCCTCAGCCTCCCAAGTAGCTGGGATTGCAGGCTCCTGCCACCGTGCCCGGCTAATTTTTGTATTTTTAGTAGAGACGAGGTTTCACCATCTTGGTCAGGCTGGTCTTGAACTCCTTACCTCGTGATCCACCTGCCTCAGCCTCCCAAAGTGCTGGGATTACAGGCGTGAGCCACCATGCCAGGCCTGAATTCATCTTTAAGTGTGTGGTAGAATTTACCAGTGAAGGCATCTGGGACTGAACTTATCTTTGTAGGTAGTGTTTTCATTATGAATTCTATCTATTTTCTTGTTATACGTTGATATGGTTTGGATGTTTGTCCCCTTAGATCTCAAGTTGAAATGTGATTCCAAATGTTGGAGGTGGGGGCTAGTGGGAGGTGAGTAGATCACGGGGGCAGATCCCTCAAGAATGGTTTAGGCCAGGGGTGGTGGCTCATGCCTATAATACCAGCACTTTGGGAGGCCGAGGCAGGAGAATTGCTCTAGGCCAGGAGTTCAAGACCAGGCTGGACAACATAGTGGGACCCCATCTCTTCAAAAAAGTTTAAATTTAGCCAGATGTAGTGGTATGTGCCTATGGTCCCAGCTACTTGGGAGGCTGAGGTGGGAGGATTGCTTGAGCCCAGGAGGTCAAGGCTGCAGTTAGCAGTGATCACACCACTGTACTCCAGCTTGGGTGACAGAGCAAGACCTTGTCTCAAAATAACCATAGAGCACCCGATTCTGTCGCTGTTCGGGGCGCCACTTGTAGCCTGCACGGACCTAGGAGGACTGAACAAAGCGGGGGTGAACATGAGAATAAAAGACAAGAGACAAAAGAATCTATTTGGAAGAAGGGGTCAGGGGGCACCTTGCCTCTAGTGGACAAGGGCCCTGAGCTTTACACAGCCCTCCGTATTTATTAGGCAAAAGAGACAGCAGGAAAGGTGGGGGTGATTGTTGGGTAATTGTCAGCCAGCTTTGGTTCACAGCAGGCTTGTGAGACTGCATCCTTTGAACAATAGGCACTAATTTTCTCAGTAGATAACTGCAAGGAACCCCGTGCCAGGGAGTGATGTCTCTCAGCAAACCTTTTGGTGGCAGGGCAGTGTGAGTTTGCCCACATCCTGCATTCATGATAAACAGTCTGCTGTTTGATCATATAGCCTCCAGCAAAATGCTGAGTTGGTCACGTCTCACGGGCCTTCGGCTCCCTGCAATGATGATGATGATGATGATGATGATGATAATAATCAAAGAATGGCTTAGCTCCATCCCCTTGGTGATAAGTGAGTTGCTGCTCTGAGTTCATGCAAGATTTGGTTGTGTGGCATCATTCTCCCTCTCTCTTTCTCCTGCTCTTGCCATGTGACATACTTGCTCTCCCTTTGGCTTCACAATGATTGTAAGCTTTCTGAGGCCTCATCAGAAGCCAAGCATATGCTGGTGCCATGCCTGTATACCCTGAGGAAACATGAGCCAATTAAACTTCTTTTCTTTATAAATTACCCAGCCTCAGATATTCCTCTGTGACAACACAAGAACGGCCTGATACTTTGGTATGTTCAGATTTTCTATTTCTTCCTTGGTCAGATTCAGTAATTTGTATCATTCTAAGAATGTGTTCATTTCATCTAAGTTGTCTAATTTGTTGGCAAACAGTTTTATAGTATTTCCTTTTAATCATTTTTATTTCCCTAAGGTAGGTAGTAATGTCCCCTTTGTCATTTCTGATTTTAGTTTCGTCTTTTTTGTTTGTTCAGTCTAGCTACATGTTTGTCAATTTCATTGATCTTTTCAAATAAACTACTTAGACTGCATTTCTTTTCTTTATTTTTACTATCACTATTTTAATGATTTTAACTCTACACTTTATTATTTCCTTCCTTCTCCTTGCTTTTCATTTGCTCTTCTTTTTCCAGTGTCTTACTGTGAAAGGTTAGGTTATTCATTTGGTATGTTTCTTCTTCTTTTTTTTTTTTTTTTTTTTTGAGATGGAGTCTCGCTCTGTGGCCAAGGCTGGAGCGCAGGGGCGCAATCTCGGCTCACTGCAAGCTCTGCCTCCCAGGTTCACGCCATTCTCCTGCCTCAGCCTCCTGAGTAGTTGGGACTACAGGAGCCCGCCACTGCGCCCAGCTAATTTTTGGTATTTTTAGTAGAGATGGGGTTTCTCCGTGTTAGCCAGGATGGTCTCGATGTCCTGACCTCGTGATCCGCCCGCCTTGGCCTCCCAAAGTGCTGGGATTACAGGCATGAGCCACCATGTGGCCGGTATCTTTCTTCATTTTTAAAGTAGGCATTTACAGCTATCAATTTCTATCTAAGGCCGGGTGCAGTGGCTCTCCCATGTAATCCCTGGTCTTTGGGAGGCCGAGGCAGGCGGATCACCTGAGGTCAGGAGTTTGAGACCAGCCTGGCCAACATGGTGAAACCCCATCCCTACTAAAAATACAAAAAATTAGCTGGGCGTGGTGGCAGGCGCCTGTAGTTCCAGCTACTTGGGTGGCTGAGGCAGGAGAATCGCTTGAACCCGGGCGGCGGAGGTTGCAGTGAGCTGAGATGGCACTACTGCACTCCAGCCTGGGCAATAAGAGCGAAACTCCATCTCAAAAAAAAAAAAAAGAATTCTATCTAAGCAGTGCTTTAGCTGCATCCCTTAAGTTTTGGTATGTTGTGGCTTCATTTTCATTTCTTTCACCCATTGGTTAAAAATGTATTTTTAAATTTCTATATATTTGTGAATTTCCAAATTTTCATTGTTATTAATTTATAATTTTACTTAATTGTGGTCAAAGACATACTTTGTCTTGTTTTAATCTTTTTGACTTATTGAGGCTTGTTTGATTACTTTACATGTGGTCTATCCCAAAAAATGTTCCATGTGCTTTTGAGAAGAATGTGTATTTTTCCATCGTTAAAGATGGAGTGTTCTGTTAGAACTACTTGGGAGTTACATCATCTATTGTGATATTCTGCCTATTTGTTCTGGTGTGTTCAGCTGGGGTAGAGCTTCCACCCTAGGAGTGGGTGTTGAGTGGGGTAAGGTCTCAGTCTCACCAGGAATTATAGTCTCTTCAACGTGGAATGAAAGAGGATGATGAATGCTGGAAACCTATCCCTCCTGTGATATGCCATATCCCCTGATTAGGAGCTGAAGGAGAGGGGTCCCTGTCTTCATGGCCACAACTACCCAGAATGGAGCTTCCAAAAAATCTGAGCTGGGGGTAGGGGATGGAGAGAGTGTGCCACGGTTTAAGTGCCACAGACTCTAGCTGCTCTAACCATGACTTTCTTGAATAAATATTTCTTGATTTGCTGTATGCCCTTAGGAGCAACTTCCAGTTAAACCATTAAAAAACCATTAAAAAAAAAGTTATATTAGCCGGGCGCAGTGGCTCACGGCTGTAATCCCAGCACTTTGGGAAGGCTGAGGCAGGTGCATCATCTGAGGTCAGGAGTTCAAGGCTAGCCTGGCCAACATGGCAAAACCCCATCTCTAGTAAAATAAAAAAATTAGCTGGGCGTGGTGGCGCGTGCCTGTAATCCATCTCAAAAAATAAATAAAATAGTTATATCTTGCCAGTTTCCTGAATATTGTTTTACCAGTCCCAGTGATGTGTAGAAACTTCATTTTACCTTTACATCCTTTTACCCTCCCTCATTTATTTATTTATTTATTTATTTATTTATTTTTTGAGAGGAGTTTCGCTTTGTCCCCCAGGCTGGAGTGCAATGGTGTGATCTCGGTTCACTGCAACCTCCACCTCCCAGGTTCAAGTGATTCTTCTGCCTCAGCCTCCCAAGTTGCTGGGATTACAGGCGCCTGTCACCACGGTAGGCTAATATTTGTAGTTTTTAGTAGAGACAGGGTTTCATCATGTTGGCCAGGCTGGTCTCCAACTCCTGACCTCGGGTGATTCACCTGCCTTGGCCTCCCAAAATGCTGTGACTACAGGTGTAAGCCACCGTGCCCGCCCTACCCGCCCTCATTTATAATTGTCTTAAATATTGCCTTTGTATACATTGAGAACCACATTGGACAGTGATATAATTTTTGCTTCAATAAAGTTATTCAGAAAATTTAAGAGTTCACTGCATTTACCTATATTTTTTCTCTTCTTATTGTTCATTCCTTCTTCCTGATGTTCCAAGACTCTTTGTTTTATTTTTCTGTTTAGAGAACTTCTTTTAGCCATTCTTTCAGGGTATATCTGCTGGTGACAAATTTACTTTTAATTCCTTTAAGAATGTCTTGGGGCCAGGTGCGGTGCTCGCGCCTGTAATTCCAGCACTTTGGGAGGCAGAGGTGGGTGGATCACTTGAGGTCAGGAGTTTGAGACCAGCCTGGCCAACATGGTGAAACCCCATCTCTACTAAAAATACAAAAATTAGCTGGGCGTGGTGGTTCACACCTGTAATCCCAGCTACTCAGGAGGCTGAGGCAGGAGAATAGCTTGAACCCAGGATGTGGAGGTTGCGGTGAGCTGAGAGAGTGTCACTGCACCCCAGCCTGGGCATTAGAGTGAGACTCTGTCTTAAAAAAAAAAGAATGTCTTGAACACTCCAAACGGGGATATTCTTCTCTGGATATAGGCTTCTGGGTTAACATGTCTTTTCTTTTCTTTCTTTTTTTTTGAGATGGAGTTTCACTCTTGTTGCCTAGGCTGGAGTGCAATGGCACGATCTCAGCTCACTGCAACCTCTGCCTCCTCGGTTCAAGTGATTCTTCTGCTTCAGGATTGAAAATCCAGGTTCCCCACTCAGCCTTTGTTGACACCAGAGGAAAGGGGCTCTTCATTACTGCTAGGTGGGACAGGAGTTCAGGTTCCCCTCTAGGCCTCTGCTAATATCACCCTGGCTGGTAGGCACCAGGGTGTCTTAATACTGCTCCCCATGTGGTTTCCACTAACACCATAGTGGTGTGGCTTCATTCTTGCTAGGTAATGGTGAAAGTCCTGAATCTTCACTAGGTCTCCTCTGGCACCCATGTGTGGGAATGTGAGTGCCTTGTTAAGCCCAAATAGGGCTGGAAGTCTAGATTCCATAGATAGTCTCCATTGACACTGTGGAAGGAGGAGGGATAAGGATCATAAGGATAAAAGTCTCAGCTCCCCACTCAGCTTACTCTGACTTGATCAATGTGCCTCATTAAAACCTGGCAAGGGTGGTAGAATTCTAGGCTTCCCACGCAGCCATCTGTGGGGTGGGCCTGGGACTGAACTTTTTCTGCAGTGTTTGGGGTGGATAAATTAATATCTAAATTTTATCTCTTGCTAGGTTGCTTCTTTCCTGATCTTTTGACTAGACAATCAGTCTTTCCTAGGTCTTTATTTTTGCCTGTGCTCACTGGCATTATTGTGTTGCAGGCTTCTCTAGCACCCAGTTTGGGATATACAAGGCAAAAAGAAAACCAAGGGAGCTTCCATGTTCTTCCTCAGGTCTCCATGTACTTAATCAGTCAGGTTTCATCCCTCCATCTTTCACGGACTTATGTTTGCTTTTATCTGTACTGAATGGGAGAAATAGGGAAAACTATGTCTATTCCATCTTTTCAGAAGTAGAAATCCCTCTCTAGTTTTAAAGTATAATTCTCTTAAGTATTTCCTCTACATACATTAAACACCATATCATGTGACAAAATTTTTATATCAAATATGATGTAAGAAATTCATGAAGGGAATGAGAGTCCTTCATATTTATTCCTATTTTTACCCATTCCATTGTTCTTTTTCCAAAGTTCCAAGCCTCCTTGTGCTTTTTATATCCTATTTTGACATTTTAAGCCATTTTAAAACGTAGGCCTGCTAACAACAAATACTCTTTGTTTTCATTTGTCTGAGAAATAAAATTCTTTATTTTCTACTCATTCCTGAGGATATTCTTGCTACATGTAGATTTCACCAACAATCCTTTTCACAACTTGAAGAATGTTATGCCATTTCCTTCTAACATGCATGGTTGCAGATGAGAAATCTGCTGTCATTTTAATTGCTTTTCCCCTATAGGTAAGGTGTCCTTTCTCTCACATGCTACTTTCAGGATTTTTTTCTTTGTGTTTAGTTTTTTTGTTTTTTTCAATATGGAAGTCTTCATGAATTTGTGTGTCATCCTTGCACAGGGGCCATGCTAATCTTCTCTGTTGCCCAGGCTGGAGTGCAGTGGTGCAACCTCGGCTCACTGCAACCTCCTCCTCCCAGGTTCAAGCTATACTCCTGCCTCAGCCTCCCTAGTAGCTGGGATTACAGGCACACACCACCACACCCAGCTAATTTTTGTATTTTTAGTAGAGACAGGGTTTCATCATGTTGGCCAGGCTGGTCTCGAACTCCTGATCTCAGGTGATCTGCCTGCCTCGGCCTCCCAAAGTGCTGAGATTACAGGCGTGAGCCACTGTGCCCAGCCTGAAGCAAGCATATCTTTGTGTTTTGTTTTTAGAAGGTTAATTATAATGTGTACTGGCATGGATTTCTTTTGGCGTATCCTATTTATGTTAGCTCAGCTTCTTGAATCTGTAGGTTTATAACTTTAGCCAACTTTGGGAAAATTTCAGCCATTATTTCCTTGAATATTTTTCAGTCTCATACTCTTTCTTTTCTCTTTCTGGGACTCTGATGATATAAATGTTTCATCTGTTGGTATTGCCTCATAGGACCCTGAGGCCCCATTCCTTCTTTCCTAGTCTGTTTCTCTATGTTGTTAAGAGTGTGTAGTCGCTAGGTATCTGTCACTGAGTTCATTTTTTTTTCTTTTTTCTTTTTTTGAGATGGAGTGTCACTCTGTTCCCCAGGCTGGAGTGCAATGGTGCGATCTCAGCTCACTGCAATCTCCACCTCCCGGGTTCAAGTGATTCTCCTGCCCCAGCCTCCCGAGTAGCTGGGATTACAAGCGTGTGCCACCATGCCCGGCTAATTTTTGTGTTTTTAGTAGAGACGGGGTTTCGCCGTGTTGGCCAGGCTGGTCTCAAACTCCTGACCTCAAGCGATCCACCCACCTCAGCCTCCCAAAGTGCTAGGACTACAGGTGTGAGACACCGCGCCCAACCTGAGTTCATTATTTAGTACTCCAGTCATGTTTAATTAACTATTTTGCCCATCAGTGAGTTGCTAATTTCAGTTATTGTTTTTACAGTTCAGTAATTTCCCTTTGGTTCTTTTTAATATTCCCAGTTTTCTGCTGAGATTTTCTATTGTTTCCATTTGTTTCAAAGAATTCACAATTATTTATTGGAGCATTTTTATGATTGCTGCTTTTATGATAGCCTGTGAACTTCAATATCTGATTCATCACTGTTTGTATCTGTTGATAATGATTATTTTTTCTCATGAAAGTTGTAATTGTCCTGGTTCTTGGTATTATGTGTGATTTTTAAAATTATATTTTGGATATTTGGAATATTATAATGTGAGACTTTACATTCTAAAAAATATTATTTTTTAACAGCAGTCCCCTTGCTTAGGTATAGCACACAGGTCTTGGTGGGAGTGAATGTTTAGCTCCCTGATAAGCCTGGCTGACACCAACCTGCAGAAGTAGAGTACTAATTTATACTGCCTCTTTCACATGCTTAGGGTAGAAGTTCAGCTCCACTCTCAGCCCTACTGACACCTTTACAGAAAAAGCTGAGCACTAACTTACATTCATTGTCTCTGAGTAAATGTATAAGTTCAGCTTCTCACTGGAACCCACTGACACTGAGGGAAGGGAAAGTGGAGTCCGACTAGCTTCAATCTATACCATTTCATTCAATCTCACTGCTATCAGATGAGGATGGAGGATCCTTTCTCCACAGACATTCCTATACACTAATAACAGTCAAGCTGAGAGCCAAATCAGGAATGCAATCCTATTCACAATTGCCACAAAAATAATAAAATACCTAGGAATACAGCTAATCAGGGAGCTGAAAGATCTCTACAAAGAGAACTACAAAACACTGCTCAAAGAAATCAGAGATGACACAAACAAATGAAAAATATTCCATGCCCATGGATAAGAAGAATCAATATCATAAAAATGGCCATACTGCCCAAAGCAATTTATAGATTCAATGCTATTCTTATTAAACTACAATATAGATTATTTACAGAACTAGAAAAGACTATTTTAAAACTCATATGGAAGCATAAAAGAACCCAAACAGCCAAGGCAATCCTAAGCAAAATGAACAAAGCTGGAGGCATCACGCTACCCAACTTCAAACTATACTACACAGCTACAGTAAACAAAACAGCATGGTACTGGTACAAAAACAGACATATAGACCAATGGAGCAGAATGGAGAACCCAGAAATAAGGCCACACCTACAATTATCTGGTCTTTGACAAAACTGACAGAAACAAGCAATGGGAGAGAGAACACCCTATTCAATAAATGGTGCTGAGATAACTGGTTAGCCATATGCAGAAAATTGAAACTGGATCCTTTCCTTACACCATATACAAAAATAAACTCAAGATGGATTAAAGGTTTAAATGCAAAACCCCAAACTGTAAAAATCCTGAAAGACAACCTAAGCAATACCATTCAGGACATAGGAATAGGCAAAGATTTTTTTTTCTTTTTTTTTTTTTTTTTTGAGATGGAGTCTCGCTCTGTCACCCAGGCTGGAGTCTGGAGTGAAGTGGCATGATCTCGGCTCACTGCAACCTCCATCTCCCAGGTTCAAGCAGTTCTCCTGCCTCAGCCTCCCGAGTAGCTGGGATTGCAGGTATGAGCCCCCACACCTGGCTCATTTTTGTATTTTTAGTAGAGACTGGGTTTCACCATGTTGGCCAGGCTGGTCTCAAACTCCTAAGCTCAAGTGATCCACCCACCTCGGCCTTCCAAAGTGCTGGGATTACAGGCGTGGGCCACCGTGCCTGGTTGGAACGGGAAAAGATTTCATGATGAAGACACCAAAAGCAATTGCAACAAAAGCAAAAATTGTCAAATGGGATCTAATTAAACCAAAGAATTTCTGCACAGCAATGGAAACTATCAACAGAGTGAACAAATAACCTACAGAATGGGAGAAAATGTTTGCAAACTATGCATCTGACAGAGGTCTAATATCTAGCATCTATAAGGAATTTAAACAAACTTGTAAGAAAAAACCAAATAACCCCATTAAAAAGTGGGCAAAGGACATGAACAGACACTTTTTAAATGACGACACACATGTGGCCAACAATCATGAAAAAAAGCTCAACATCACTGATCATTAGGGAAATGCAAATCAAAACCACCACGAGATACCATCTCACACCAGTCAGAATGGCTATTACTAAAACGTAAAAAAATAACAGATGCTGGTGAGGTTGCGGAGAGAAAGGAACACCTATACACTGTTGGTGGGAGTGTAAATTAGTTCAATCATTGTGGAAAACAGTATGGCAATTCCTCAAAGACCTAAACACAGAAATATTGTTCAACCCAGCAATCCCATTACTGAGTATATACCCAAAGGAATATAAATTGTTCTGTAATAAAGACACATGCATGTGTATGTTCATTGCAGCACTATTCACAATAGCAAAGACATGGAATCAACCCAAATGCCCATTAGTGATAGATTAGATAAAGGAAATGTGGTACATATACACCACGGAATATTATGCAACCATATAAAAGAACTAGATCATGTACTTTGCAGAGACATCAGTTGAGATGGAGGCCATTATCCTTGGCAAACCAACATAAGAATAGAAAACCAAATACCACATGTTCTCACTTAATAGTGGGAGCTAAATGATAAGAACACATGGACATATAGAGGGGAACAACACACACTGGGGCCTATCGGAGGGTGGAGGATGGGAAAAGGGAGATGATCAGGAAAAATAACTAATAGGCATTAGGCTTCATACCTAGATGATGAAATAATCTGTACAACAAACACCCATGACATAGGTTTACCTTTATAGCAAACCTACACATGTACCCCTGAACTTAAAATAAAAGTTTAAAAAAGATAGTGAAAATACAACAAATACAAATTTGTGGGGATTTAGCTAATGTAGTGCTTAGAGAAAAATGTTTTTTTAAGTAGTTAATGGGATTTATTTAAGAATCTGTTTATAATAATAACTCAACTTCTGTGGATATAAAATAGATTTCTTCAATTTTACTAATTTATTATATTATTTTTTATTTTTTTAATTATGTATGTATTTATTTATTTATTTTTGAGATAGGGTTTCACTATGTTGCCTAGGCTGGATTTAAACTTCTTTTTATTTATTTATTATACTTTAAGTTTTAGGGTATATGTGCACAACGTGCAGGTTAGTTAAATATATATACATGTGCCATGTTGGTGTGCTGCACCCATTAACTCATCATTTAACATTAGGTATATCTCCTAATGCTATCCCTCCCTGCTCCCCCACCCCACAACAGGCCCCGGTGTGTGATGTTCCCCTTCCTGTGTCCATGTGTTCTCATTGTTCAATTCCCACCTATGAGTGAGAATATGCAGTGGTTTTTTGTCCTTGCGATAGTTTGCTGAGAATGATGGTTTCCAGCTTCATCCATGTCCCTACAAAGGACATGAGCTGATCCTTTTTTATGGCTGCATAGTATTCCATGGTGTATATATGCCACATTTTCTTAATCCAGTCTATCATTGTTGGACATTTGGGTTGGTTCCAAGTCTTTGCTATTGTGAATAGTGCCGTAATAAACATACGTGTGCATGTGTCCTTATAGCAGCATGATTTATAATGCTTTGGGTATATACCCAGTAATGGAATTGCTGGGTCAAATGGTATTTCTAGTTCTAGATCCTTGAGGAATCGCCACACTGACTTCCACAATGGTTGAACTAGTTTACAGTCCCACCAACAGTGTAAAAGTGTTCCTATTTCTCCACATCCTCTCCAGCACCTGTTGTTTCCTGACTTTTTAATGATCACACTCTAACTGGTGTGAGATGGTATCTCATTGTGGTTTTGATTTGCATTTCTCTGATGACCAGTGACGATGAGCATTTTTTCATGTGTCTGTTGGCTGCATAAATGTGTTCTTTTGAGAAGTGTCTGTTCATATCCTTTGCCCACTTTTTAATGGGGTTGTTTGTTTTTTTCTTGTAAATTTGTTTGAGTTCATTGTAGATTCTGGATATTAGCCCTTTGTCAGATGGGTAGATTGCAAAAATTTTCTCCCATTCTGTAGGTTGCCTGTTCAATCTGATGGTAGTTTCTTTTGCTGTGCAGAAGCTGTTTAGTTTAATTAGATCCCATTTGAGAAAATTTTACAATTTATTTTTTATTTTTATTTTTTTGAGATAGAGTCTTGCTCTGTCGCCCAGGCTGGAATGCAGTGGCACAATCTCAGCTCACTGCAACCTCCACCTCCTGGGTCCAAGCAATTCTCCTGTTTCAGCCTCCTGAGTTGCTGGGATTACAGGCACTTGCCACCACGCCTGGCTAATTTTTGTATTTTTGGTTAAGATGGGGTTTCACCATGTTGGCCAGGCTGGTCTTGAACTCTTGACCTCAGGTGATCCACCCGCCTCGGCCTCCCAAAGTGCTAGGATTACAGGTGTGAGCCACCGTGCCTGGCCACAGAAATTTTACAGTTTTAAATGCTTACATTTAAAAAGTAAATAGGTTTGAAATCAGTGATCTAAAATTCCACATTAAGATGAAAAAATTAAAATGTAAACAGAAGGAAAGAATAGTGAGTAGAAATCAATGACATATAAAACAGTCAACTTAAAAAATTAAAATGCCAAAAGTTGATTCTTTGAAAATATTGACAAATTGGACATTGTTCAGGTTTTATTCAGGAAAGCAGAGCCTTAATGAGTGTTACTGGATGAGAGAGTAAGATTAGGAGCTATACCTTATATAATAGTGGGAAGAGCTAGAGAAGTGAAGGTTCAGAAGTCCTCCTGAAGCATTGGTGCTAGATGACAAATTGGAGCCTAAAGAGATAATTGGCAATCCAATACTACTTTACTCTTGCAAGAATGGCCATAATCAAAAAATCAAAAAATAGTAGATGTTGGCGTGGATGTGGTGAACAGGGAACACTTCTACACTGCTGGTGGAAATGGGAACTAGTACAGCCACTGTGGAAAACAGTGTGGAGATTCCTTAAAGAACTAAAAGTAGAACCACCATTTGATCCAGCAATCCCACTACTGGGTATCTACCCCAGAGGAAAAGAAGTCATTATTCGAAAAAGATACTTGCACACACATGTTTATAGCAGCACAATTCGCAATTGCAAAAATGTGGAACCAACCCAAATGCCCATCAGTCAACAAGCAGTTAAAGAAACCGTGGTATATTTATATACAATGGAATAGTAGTCAGCCATAAAAAGGAATGAGTTAATGGCATTTGCAGCAACCTGGATGAGATTGGAGAGTATTATTCTAAGTGAAGTAACTCAGGTATGGAAAACCAAACGTCCTATGTTCTCACTCATAATTGGGAGCTAAGCTATGAGGATGCAAAGGTATAAGAGTGACACAATGGGCTTTGGGTGCTCAGGGGGAAAGGATGGGAAGGGGGTGAAGGAGAAAAGACTGCAAATAAGGTGCAGTGTATACTGCTCGGGTAATGGGTGCACCAAAATCTCACAAATAGCCATTAAAGAACTTACTCATATAGGCCGGGCACAGTAGCTCACGCCTGTAATCCCAGCACTTTGGGAGGCCAAGGCGGGTGGATCACGTGGTCAGGAGATTGAGACCATTCTGGCTAACACGGTGAAACCCTGTCTCTACTAAAAATACAAAAAATTAGCTGGCCGTGGTGGCAGGTGCCTGTAGTCCCAGCTACTTGGGAGGCTGAGGCAGGAGAATGGCGTGAACCCGAGAAGCGGGGCTTGCAGTGAGCTGAGATCGCACTACAGCACTCCAGCCTGGGTGACACAGCAAGACTCCATCTCAAAAAAAAAAAAAAAAAAAAGAGAGAGAGAGAGAGAGATAAAGATAGATAATTGGAGAAGCCTAGCACATTTAGTTACCAAAATGGGAATGGAAACAAGGTCATATGGTGGCTGTTGGCTCTGTTTAGATAACACTTCTGAAAGTTTGCAGCCAAGCATCTCCTGATTGGGCTGGGTTCAGCAGCTGGGAAGGAGAGCTGGATGTAAAACAGAGGAGCACCAGGATGAGCTGGAAACCACCAGGCAACTCTGCATCTGTCCATCAACTATCTCACACTGAACAGCTTCAGAGAGAGACTGCTTCTGCTTCTAAAATCTCATGCAGATTCACTAACCAAAACCATAAGGAGAAGTGAATTCTGGGTAATGTCGTTCACAGATTGACCAAGTTGCCAGCACAAGTATCCAGTACACCAAATAAGACAGAGAGACAGAGAGATGAGAGAACACAAATTCCTCATATCTGAAACAAAACTGGGAAGATTAGCAGTTTAGAATTAAAAGGATAATAAGTTATGCACAAGCTTATGCCAATAAATGTAATAACTTGGATAAAATAAATTTCTTAAAAGATATAAACTATTGTTAAACCTCACTTTAGAAGAAACAGGAAAACTTAACAGCTATAATGTGTTAATATAATTGAATTAGTCATAATTCCCTCAAAGAAAACTGCAGGCCCAGATTGCTCCTCTGGCCAACTTTGTAAAATATTTTAAGGAAGAAATAATACCAATCTTAAGTGCTTTCAAAAACACAGGAATGAGGAGCACTTCCCAATTTGTTTTGTGAAAACAGCATAATCTTAATATCAAAATCTGACAAGGACATTACACAAAAAAATTAATGCCAACATCCATCATGAATATAAATGTATCTTTAGCAAAATACTAGTTAATTGATTCCACCAGTGTAACCTTTTTGTCTGTGGCTCTAGTGCTATGAAGAACTCAAAATGGCCAGATAGTCTCAATTTCCAGTTCAGTATAATCACTGTGGTGTGCCCCAGAGAAATTATTCCCCCTTTGAGTACTAAAATCTCTAAGCCAGTGGAGCCCAAAGTCACGAGAACAAGAAGTAAAAATTTTTCTAATGGGTCATTTTGGTAGTAGAAATATAACTTCCACTTTGCTTTTTGGTACCTAGTGCAAATGGTGTAACTATGGGACAAACAGAACTATTTATTGTAAACAGTTCAACTATTTAAATAGTTATTATAGTTATTTATTGGTTTGTTGCTGCTTTAATTTGCGTTTTCTTAATAATGATGTTAAACATCTTTTCACATGCTTAATAGCCATTTGAATATATTCTCTCGTATTTAATTTTTTTCTATTTTTTTCTTTTATACTTTGTTGTAAAGTTTTAAAATATATATTCTGGGCCTGGCACGGTGGCTCATGCCTCTAATCCTAGCACTTTGGGAGGCTGAGGTGGGTGGATCACCTGAGGTCAGGAGTTTGAGATCAGCCTGGCCAACATGGTGAAACCCTGTCTCTACTAAAAATACAAAATTAGCCGGGAGTGGTGGCACATGCCTGTAATCTCAGCTACTTGGGAGGCTGAGGCAGGAGAGTCACTTGAATCTGGGAGTTGGAGGTTGTGGTAAGCCGAGATTGTGCCATTGCACTCCAGCCTGGGCAACAAGAGCAAAACGCTGTCTCAAAAAATAAAAAAATTAAATAAAAAATTAAAAAAATATATATATATGTTCTGAATACAAGTCCTTTATCAGATATTTGATTTGTAAAAGTTTTCTTAGTACGTGAATTATTTTATTTTCTTAATGATATCTCTTGAAATACAAATGTTTTTAATTTTGATCAAGTTCAACTTATCACATTTTTTTCTTTATTGGTTGTGCTTTTGGTATCATATCTAAGAAATATTTGCCCTAGCCAATATCATGAAGATTTTCTCCTATTTTTTTCTAAAAGTTTTATATTTTCAGTTCTACTTTTTAAAAAAAAATATTGCTATTTTGGTTCCATGTCGACTAATGTAGGCATTATCAAAAATATGCATTTTTATTTTATTTATTTTGTGAGACAGTTTCACTCTGCCACCTAGGCTGGAGTGCAGTGGCACCATCTCTGCCAACTGCAACCTACGCCTCCCGGGTTCAAGCAATTCTTGTGCCTCAGCCTCCTGAGTAGCTGGGATTACAGGCATGTGCCACCATGCCTGGCTAATTTTTTTTTTTTGTATTATTAGTAGAAACAGGGTTTCACCATGTTGGCCAGGCTGGTCCCGAACTCCTGACCTCAAGTAATCCTCCTGCCTTGGCCTCCCAAAGTGCTAGGATTACAGGCATAAGCCACCATGCCCAGGCTTCAGTTATACTTTTCTATAATCTATTTGGAGTTGATTTTTTTGTGTTTGGTATGGAGTAAGGTCTAAAAATTGTTTGTTTTGCATATGTATATCCGATTGTCATAGCACCACTTGTTGAAAAGACTATCCTTTTCCCTACTGGATTGCCTTAGCACTTTTGTCAAAAATCAATTGATCATGTATATGTGGGTTAATTTCTGGACTCTCCATTCTGTTCTATTGATTCATATGGCTATCTATACACCAGTACCACACTGTCTTCATTACCATAGCATTCTGTTCAATTTTAAAATCAAGAAACAGAAGTCCTCCCACATCGTTCTTCTTTTTCAAAATTGTTTTGGCTATTCTGCATCCTTCCATTTCCATATAAGTTTCAGGATCAGCTTGCCATTTCTGCAAAGAAGTCTGCTAGAATATTGACATGGATTACATGGCATTTATAGATCAATTTGGAGAGAGTTGTCATTGTAACAATATTGAATCTTCCAATCAATGAACATGGTATATCTTCTCCATTTATTTAGGTCTTCTTTAATCCCCCCACCCTGCCCCAGCAATGTCTTACAGTTTTTAGTCCACAAGTCTTAAAACCTCTTTTCTTAAATTTATTCCTAAGTATTTCTTTTTGATCTGTTATTATTTGAATTTTTGTATTGCTAATTGCAGTATATAGAAATACAACCAATTTTTTTGTATTGAGCTTGTATTCTGTGACCTTCCTGAATTCATTTATTAGTGCTAATAGTTTGCTATGAATTCTTTAGGATTTTCTACATATAGGATCATGTTGCCTGTGAATAAAGACAGTTTCACCTCTTTCTTTCCATCTGAACACATTTTATCTCTTTTTCTTGCCTGGTAGCATGGACACATACTGGCTTAAAACATATGCTATAGCCTATAGGAAAACATTCTGGCCAGGGCAGTGGCTCATGGCTGTAATTCCAGCACTTTGGGAGGCCGAGGAGGGAGGATCTCTTGAGGTCAGAAGTTCGAGACCAGCCTGGCCAACATAGTGAAACCCTGTCTACTAAAAATACAAAAATTAGCCATTTCTTTTCTTCCCTCAAAGAAAACTGCAGGCCCAGATTGCTCCTCTGGTGAACTTTGTAAAATATTTTAAGGAAAAAATAATTCCAATCTTACACAAGTGAGTGGCGGGCGCCTGTAGTCCCAGCTACTTGGGAGGCTGAAGTGCAAAAATCACTTGAACCCGGGAGGCGGAGGTTGCAGTGAGCTGAGATCATGCCACTGCACTCCAGCCTGGGCGACAGAGTGAGACTCCGTATTTAAAAAAAAGAAAACATTCCAGCTTCTCAAGGTGATATCTCCCAGCTGGTGCCATGCTCAACTTTCAAAAAAGCACTACACTAACGCTATTATAAAAACCTAGCAGTCTGTGTCACACTTATTCAGAGGTAATTATATGTCTGGAATTTCTCCAAGTCCCCACCCGACCCAGAAGCCCAGCTGGCTTCACCTCCCAATTATATGTATAATGCCATAACAATGACTAAGGCAAACAAATTTCCATAAAAGATGTTGCTAGCCCAACATTGTAAAAAGGAGGAAATTAAGATCTAGAATAAACTGTTTACAGTGTCAATGAATTATTGGTCTTTGCTGCTGGAAGGCTGAGGACTCAGTGTTGCAGCAGCCAGGTGAACCTGGGTGAGAGTAAGTCCACTTGTTAATCCATTTGTAACATCTGTTTCTATTACCATGTCTATTTTGTTCAAACACTAGCTGAGAAAGCATAGCCACCACCAAGAAAGAAGTTGGCTGATATTCAGTGTATTTTATTAACAATGTTATTATTGTGACTCTCCTCTGCAGGAGAGGATTATTTAATTACTTTTCACATGGGGGTGGGGGAACATCTTCACACTCTGGCCTAAATTCTGAGAGGCCTTTTTGTCTAATTCTTCTGTCACTATTCTATCATTTTAATTTCAAATCCCTAGAATTATGCAAATCACTTACAAAAAGGTACATTCACAGAAGTCTCACCTCCATTCATGTCCTGTATACCCTGTTCCTTCATAGACTTTTTGTGTGTGTGTGATGGAGTTTTGCTCTTCTTGCCCAGGCTGGAGTACACTGGTGCGATCTCAGCTCATTGCAAGCTCCGCCTCCTGGGTTCAAGTGATTCTCCTGCCTCAGCCTCCCGAGTAGCTGGGATTACTGGCGCCTGCCACCACGACTGGCTGATTTTTTGTATTTTTAGTAGAGATGAGGTTTCTCCACTTTGGTCAGGCTGGTCTTGAATTCCTGACCTCAGGTGATCCACCCATCTTGGCCTCCCAAAGTGCTGGGATTACAGGTGTGAGCCACCATGCCCGGCCTTCATAGACATTTTTTGTACTCATCTGGAAATTAGAAATGGAGAAAACTTCTCCCATGTCTATTGCTTAAATCTATTTGGTGCTTCAGTTTATTACCACACTCAGAGCTACTCCTATTAGGGATAAATATTTGTGGCAATTTCTGTGTTCTGAAGCCCTTAGGACTACCAGAATTCTCATTTCTCTTCCTTTCACACTTCCTGCAAGAATGCTGATAGTTTGGCCCACCCTGTTTTCTTCTGGGATTATTAGTTACCTTGTTCCTCAGTTCAGTTAAGATGTCCATGTTTCTTTTACTATTCTGTTGCTTCATCTATTTTGATTAGAGAATGTAGGGAGATGAAAAAACTGCAAAACTGTCATCTTGCTCCAAACAGAATTCTTTGCCTCAGTTTTCTAAAGATGCCTTTGCTGGGTGTAGATTTCTAGTTCAGCAGTTATTTATTTTTTCAACACTTTGAAGATCTTTTATTGTCTTAATTGGTGGTCTTTGAAGGCAAAATGTGTCTTTTAAGCTTTGGCCGCTTTTAAGATTTTTCTCCTTGTTTTTGTTTTCTTCTGTTTTGTTATGATGTGTCAAAGTGTGGATTTCTTTTTGTAGATCCTAATAGGGGTCATTGGGACTTTTACTATGGAATTTGATGTCTTTCACCATTTGGGGAAAATTCTTTTTTTTTTTTTTTCAATCATGTTAGATGGGTAATGTGCTGATGTCATAACAAGGATTGATGGTGACACATCTTACATGTGTGTGTGAAAACCCAATCATCATGTTTATGAGATACAAAAGGATCAGGGAAAATCCTTAACCACTTTTCAAATGATTTTTCTGTCCAATTTTCTCCCTCTCTTCTAAAACTCTGATATTATTATTTTTTGAGATGGAGTCTCGCTCTGTTGCCCAGGCTGGAGTGCAGTGGTGTGATCTTGGTTCACTGCAACTTCTGCCTCCCGGGTTCAGGCAATTCTCCTGCCTCAGCCTCCTAAGTAGCTGGGATTACAGGCACACATCACCACACCCAGCTAATTTTTGTATTTTTAGTAGAGACGGGGTTTCACCTTGATCAGGCTGGTCTCGAATCCCTGACCTCGTGATCCACCTGCCTCGGCCTCCCAAAGTGCTGGGATTACATGCGTGAGCCACTGCGCCTGGCCTAAAACTCTGACATTCTTAAACCCTCACACTGCATCCTCCATGTTTTTTTCCATCTCTTCTGTTGTGTTTTTCTTTTTGTTTCAGTGTTATTTATTCTAAATATTCATTCTGATCTTTCAGTTTATTATTTTATCAGCTGTTTCTAATATTCTATTAAAAACATCCATTTGGTTTAAATTTAAGTTCCTATATTTTTCAGTTGTACAACGTCTACACAGTTCTTTGTCATATCTGCTTTATTTTTAGAATTTCTAGTTATCTCACAAAATTTTCCTTCTTGACTTTTAACTCCTTGAACAGAGTAACCATTTATTTTGGAGTCAAAATCTGTTAATTCCAGTATCACAGCCCCCGTGAGTTTGTTTCTATTGTTAATTTTTTTGTTTGAGTTTTGGTTATGCTGTTCTATACGATTGTATGCCTGCATACATAGTGTTTGCTAGACCACTGTATTGAGAAAGTGTTTGTAGAAAAAGTGTGGAGCTTAGAGCCTAGGATGATGTCATCTTTCTTCAGAGAGGATTTTTACTTGCTTCTGTCAGATTATTGGGTTACAGGGGATCCAGAATCACCTTAGTATCGTTTCACAAATTGGAATTTTTCTGAGCTACCCATATGACACAAAACTGAGCTATAATCCATGTGAGAACTAGTTTACTTCTGGCTCATTCTTACCTCTAGGGTACAGGTTTTAGAGGCCAACCCAGAGTGTGGACTGGTACCCTCTTGCTCCAAAGTGCTATGAAAAGCACTTCTCAGCCTCTCAGCCACCTCTCAGTATACACAAATATCTCCATACAAAAAATCCCCAAAAGCTTGTCTCACCTCTCTGGATTTCTACAATACCTTTTTTTCATCTTGACCAGATTTTTCACTACCTTTTTAGCTCTTAAATGCCTTCAAGTTTTTAGAAACAATTTTGTTCCACTGTTTTAATTGTCATTAGTCATAGGGTTGTATTGAATTACCAAGTTTTCAGAAGAGAAATTTAAATGTATTTATCATGTTTTTGTTTAAGGAAAGAGAAGCATCAATAACCCAAATAAAAATTAAAGAATATAGTAATTGGATGCTTTCAGGGCCCACATTCCTGCAACCCCCACCCCCCACCTCACTTTGTTTCTTCAGAGTAGTCCCTGCTTCTGCACTCAGCAGTTTGGATACAAGTTGTTAGCAACTCTTCTGTCATCTCTCCCCAGTTCTATGTAATTCATTACTAGATTGAGGTCCTCAATTTTTTTCTGAAAAGTAAACAATCCCAGCATATGCACAAGTGCATGACTGGTATTAGCAATATGTGAGTGGTTAAACTTGATGGGAAATTGACCACATACAACCTCTTGTGCTCTAATGCTGTCTCTTTTATGTATTTTTTGATATAAAATAGCAATTAAAAATTTGTATAGAGTGACATCAAGGAATATGGCATAACAGGAAGCATCAGGAATCTGTCTTTACACCCAGACAGCAATTACGCTAGTAGAAACTATCAGTTAACTAACTACCGATGTAACTATTTTGTAACTCTGGAGGTCATTTGAACACTTGCAACTTCCAGGGAAGGGCTTAGCTGCTAAATTCTGATTAATTTCAGTCAATTTCAGTCATAGCTACCTATCTCTTCAACATCAGTACCATGGTAAGCAGCCATGGCCACATTCCTGGTGAGAGTTTCAGAAGCCAGGGTGGTCAATACAGATCTCATCCTCTAATAATTCTGTATTCTGAACTGCTGACTGCTGCTTCTGATGATGGAAAAGTGCAGACACAGAAAAGTGAAGCCATTGTTTCAACCCCACCAACAGAAGCAGCATCCAGGGACAGTATCTAGAATGGTGTGAGAAGGGTCTTTTCTTCTTTTTTTTCCTCCCTTTTTCTAGTGTTGGGAGCCAGACGTGTAAAACTTAGAACATTGAAAAGCAACCATATATACGAGAATATTTACAATGTCACCATACCGCCCAGGGAAAGACAAAGTATAGAAAAGCCTTTAAGCTTTTGCCTCAGGATGATCTCTAGCACAGAGATACCCGACAGCAATAAAAAATAGAAAGCAACCCTGGGGAAGGGGGAGAATCTGATTTCCAGAATTACCACATTATATGATAAACAAATATCCAGTTTTCAACATCAACAACAAATCCCAAAGCATACAAAGAAACAAGAAAACATGGCTCATTCAAAGGAACAAATTAAATCTTCAGAAACTATTCCAAAAAAATCGCAGGCATTGGACTTCTAGACAAACACTTTAAAACAAGGGTTTTTTTTGTTGTTGTTGTTTTGTTTGTTTGTTTTGAGACAGAGTCTTGCTCTGTCACCCAGGCTGGAGTGGAGTGGCATGATTTCGGCTCACTGCAACCTCCACCTCCTGAGTTCAAGCGATTCTGCTGCCTCAGCCTCCCAAGCAGCTGGGACTACAGGCATGCGCCACCATGCCCAACTAACTTTTGTATTGTTAGTAGAGATGGGGTTTCACCATACTGGCCAGGCTGGCCTTGAACTCCTGACCTCATGATCCACCTGCCTCAGCCTCCCAAAGTGCCTAACGCCTGGCCAAAACAACTGTCTTAAAGATACTCGAAGATCTACAGAAAGAAATGAGCAAAACAGGAAAATGTTGTATGAACAAAATGAGAATATCAATAAAAAGATATAAAATATAAAAAAGGAACCAAAAATAAATTCTGGAACTAAAATGTACGATAACTGAAATGAAGATTTTACTAGATGGTTACAAAAAGAGATCTGAACAGGCAGAAGAAAGAATCAGTAAAATTGAAGATAGGACAATTGAAGTTATAAAGTGGGAGGAATGGAAAAAAAGAAATGAAGAAAAGTGAACAGAGCATAAGGGACTTTTGAGATACTACCAAGCAGACCAACATATGCATTATGGGAGTTCCAAAGGGAAAAAAAAGCAAGAAAAGGGCAAAAAGAATTTGAAGAAATAAATAATGGCTGAAAACTCCCCAAATTTGACAAAAGATATGAATCTCCAAATTCAAGAGGCTCAACGAATTCCAAGAAGGATAAATTCAAAGAGATCCACACGAAGACCTCTTATAATTAAAATGTTGAAGACAAAGACAGAGAAAGAATCCTGGAAGTATTAGTAACTCATCACACAAAAGAGATCCTCAGCAAGATTACCAGCTAATTTCTCATGAGAAACTTTGGAGGCTAGGAGGCAGTGGGTTAACATATCCAAAGTGCTGAAAGAAATAATAGTCTACCAAGAATTCTATATCCAGAAAAACTGCCCTTAAAGAATGAGGGAGAAATTAATACATTCCCAGATAAACAAGAGCTGAGGGAGTTCATTACCATAAGACTTTCCAAGGCCAGGCACAGTGGCTCACACCTGTAATACCAGCACTTTGGGAGGCCAAGGCAGGCAGATCACTTGAGGTCAGGAGTTCGAGACCAGCCTGGCCAACATGGCGAAACCCCGTCTCTGTTACAAATACAAAAATTAGCCAGGTGTAGTGGTGCATGCCTGTACTCCCAGCTGCTCGGGAGGCCGAGGCAGGAGAATTGCTTGAACCTGGGAGGTGGAGGTTGCAGTGAGCTGAGATCATGCCACTGCACTCGAGCCTGGGTGACAGAGCAAGACTCCAACTCAAAAAAAAAAAAAAAAAAACTTTCCATGCAAAATATGCTAAAGGGAATATTTCAAGTCAAAATAAAAGTACTGATAGTAATTTGAAGCCATATAAAGAAATAAAGCCTGGGTGCAGTGGATCACACCTGTAATCCCAGCACTTTGGGAGGTTGAGGCAGGAGAATCACTTGAACCCGGGAGGCAGAGGTTGCAGTGAGCTGAGATTGTACCACTGTGCTCCAGCCTGAGTGACAGAGCAAGACTCTGTCTCAGGAAAAAAAAGAAAGAAAGATCAGAGGTAAAGATAAATATATGGAAAATCATAGAAGCTAGCATAATTGTAATTTTGTTTTTTAACTCCTCTTTTTTTCTGTATGTTAAAAATAATATATAAACATTATGAAACTATATTATTGGGCACACAATATATAAAAATATAAGTTGTGACAGTGGTAACATCAAAAGAATGGAGCTATATAGGAGCAGAGTGTTTGTATGATATAGAAGTTAAGTTGGCATCAATTCAAGAATGGAATCAAAATGTTCCACTACAAACCAATTACACACAAAAGAAGGCAGTAATGGAGGAAATGAAGGACAAAAAGGCTATAAGGCATATAGAAAACAAATAGCAAAATGGAAAAGCTAAGTTCTCCCTTATCAGTATGTACTTTAAATATAAATGGGTTAAACTCTCAAATAAAAAACAGCAGTTGGCAGAATGGTTAAAAACAAACCAAAAACCCCATGATCCAACTTTTGAGATGCAGAAAAAGCAGTGTTCAGAAGGTAATCCAGAACTGAAAATGCCTACTTTTAAAAAGATGTTCAAAATCTATAACCTAACTTTACACCTCAATGAACAAGGAAAAGAACATACTAAGCCAAAGGCTAGCAAAAGGAACAACATAATAAGAACTAGAGCTTAGATAAAATAGAGTAGAGAAACAGTAGAGAAAAGTCAGTAAAACCAAAAGTTGGTTCTTTGAAAAGATCAACAAATTGACTAAACTTTACTTCAACTGACAAAGAAAAAAAGAGATATGTAAATAACTAAAATCAGAAATGAAAGTGGGGACATTACTCTCAACCTTACACAGATAAACAGGATTGTAAGAGAATACAATGAACAACTGTATGCCAACAAGTTAGATAACCTAGAAGTAATGGACACATTCCTTAAAACACATGAATCATGTAAACTGACTCAAGAAGAAACAAATTTTGCATAGCTTTATAACAAGTAAGAATATTGAATTGGTAATGAAAAGCCTCCCAACAAAGAAAAGTCCTGGACCAGATATTGTACTGGAGAATTCTACCAAATATTTAAAGAAGAATTCACATCAATCCTTCTCAAACTCTTCCACAAAACTGAAGCGGAGAGAATAGTCCTAACTCACTCTACAAGGCTACATTACTCTGATGCCAATGTCAGATAAAGACATCACAAGAGAGAAAATTATAGCCCAATATTTCTCATAAACATAGGTTAAAAAATCCTCAATAAAATATTAGCAAACTGAATCCAACAGCATATTAAAATGATTATTTGGGCTGGGCGCGGCTCACACCTGTAATCCTAGCACTTTGGGAGGACGAGGCAGGTGGATTGCCTAAGCTCAGGAGTTCCAGACCAGCCTGGGCAATACAGTAAAACCCTGTCTCTACTAAAATACAAAAAAATTTAGCTGAGCGTGGCAGCGTGCACCAGTAATCCCAGCTACTTGGGAGACTGAGGCAGGAGAATCCCTTGAACCCGGGAGGCAGAGGTTGCAGTGAGCCAAGATTGCACCATTGCACTCCAGCCTGGGAGACAGAGCAAGACTCTGTCACCAAAAAAAAAAAAAAAAAGAAAAGAAAAAAGAAAAATAATTATTTATGATATCCAAATGTGATTTATCTCAGGAAAGCAAAAGTGGCACAACATATGAAAAATCAATGTAATAGATCACATAATCAGAATGGAGAAAAAAACATGACCATCTCAATTGATGCAGAAAAGGCATTTGACAATATCCATACTCTTTCATGATAAAAACTCAGAAAATTAGGATTAGAGGGAAAATGTCTCCACATAATAAAGGTATTTGTGAAAAGTCCACAGCTAACATCATAATGGTGAAAAATGGAAAGTTTCCCCCGAGATAAGGAACAGGAAAGAATGCTTGCTTTCAGTCATGCTATTCAACACGATACTGTAATTTCTAGCCAGAGCTATTAGATGAGATAAAAAAATAGGTGTGTGTGGGGGGGCTTTCAAATTGAAAGGAAGAGGTAAAATTATCTCTATTCACAGGAATCCCAAAAATCCACATGAAAGCTACTACAGCTAATAAACAAATTCAGCAAAGTTGCAGTGTACAAATCAATATATGAAAATTATCTGTTTTTATATGTCAGCAACAAACAATCCAAAAAGAAAACTTAGAAAGCAATTCTATTTACAGTAATATCTAAAATAATTAAATAGTGAAGAATAAATCTAACCAAGAAGGCAAAAGACTAGTACACTGAAAACTATAAAACACTGCTGAAAGAAATTAAAAAAGACCTAATCTAAATACATGGACAGACATCCTGTGTTTATGGACAGGAAGACTTAACATTATACTGATCCTCAAATTCATATGAAATTACAAAGGGCTTTGAATTGCTAAAACTGCCTTTAAAAAGAATAAAGTTGGAGGACTCATACTTCTTAACTTTGAAACTTACTACAAAGCTACATTAATTAAAACATTACGGTGCTAGCATAAAGCCAGACATATAGACTATTGCAATAGAATAGAGTTCAGAAATAAACCCTCACATATATATGATCGATTGATTTGCAACAATGATGCCAAGACCATTCAATGGGGAAAGGACATTTTTTCACCAAATGGTACTGGGAAAACAATATCCACATGCAAAAGAATGAAGTTGGATCCTTACCTTGGACAACATAAAAAATTAACTCAAAATGCATCCAAGATCTACACATAAGAGCTAAAACTATAAAACTTTTAGAAGAAAATTTTGGAGAAAATCTTCACACAATTGTATTTGGCAACAGTTTCATGGATATGACACCAAAACCACCAGCAACAAAAGAAAAAAAGTAAGGCTGTGTGCAGTGGCTCACACTTGTATTCCCAGCACTTTGGGAGGCTGAGGTGGGTGGATCACTTGAGGCCAGGAGTTTGAGACCAGCCTGGCCAAGATGGTGAAACCCTGTTTCTACTAAAAATACAAAAATTAGCTGGGCATGGTGGCGCATGCCTGTAGTCCCAGCTACTCAGGAAGCTGAGGCAGGAGAATCGCTTGAACCTGGGAGGCAGAGGTTGCAGTGAGCCAAGATCGCACCACTGCACTCCAGCCTGGGCAACAGCGTGAGACTCTTGTCTCAAAAAAAAAGAAAAAAAGTAGGTAACTTGGGTTTCACCAAAATTTAAAACTTTTCTGCATCAAAGGATACTATCAAGTAAAGGCAAGCTTTAGAGTGGGAGAAAATATTTGCAAGTCACATACCTGATAAAGAACTAGTAATCAGAATATATAAAGAACTTTTGGCTGGGTGTGGTGGCTCCCAGTGTGTCCAGAGTTGGTTCCTTCCAGCGGGTTCATGGTCTGGCCGACTTCAGGAATGCAGCTGCAGACCTTCACAGTGAGTGTTACAGCTCTTAAAGATGGCACGGACCCAAACAGTGAGCAGCAGCAATATTTATTGTGAAGAGCAAAAGAACAAAGCTTCCACAGCATGGAAGGGGACCCCAGCCCATTGTCACTGCTGGCTGGGTGGCTAGCTTTTATTCCCTTATTTGTCCCCTCCCATTTTCCATTTCTGTCCTATCAGAATGCCTTTTTTTCAATCCTCCCTGCGATTGGCTACTTTTAGGATTCTGCTGATTGGTGCATTTTACAGAGCGCTGATTGGTGCATTTTACAGAGCACTGATTGGTGCATTTTACAGAGTGCTGATTGGTGCATTTTACAATCCCCTTGCTAGCTACAGAGTGCTGATTGGTGAGTTTTACAATCCCCTTGCTAGCTACAGAGTGCTGATTGGTGAGTTTTACAGTCCTAGCTACAGAGTGCTGATTGGTACATTTTTACAAGCCTCTTGTAAGACAGAAAAGTTCTCCAAGTCCCCACTCGACCCAGGAAGTCCAGCTGGGTTCACTGCTCACCAGCATTTTGGGAGGCCCAGGCGGGTAGATGGCTTGAGCCCAGGAGTTTGAGACCAGCCTGGGCAATATGGCAAAACCCGTCTCTACACAAAATACAAATATTACCCAGATATGGTGGCATGTGCCTGTAGTCCCAGCTACTTGGGAGGCTGAGGTGGGAGGATAGCTTAAGCCCAGAAGTGGAGGTTGCAGTGAGCTGAGATCGTGCCACTGCACTCCAGCCAGGGTGACAGAGTGAGACCTTGTCTAAAAAATAAATAAAAATAAAAATACCCCCTACAACAGGAAAACAATCCAATTTTTAAAAATGGGCAAAGGATGTGAATAGACACTTCTCCAAAAATAGTACACAAATAGCCAATGAGCACATGGAAAGCTGTTTAATATCATTTGCCATTAGGGAACTGCAAATCAAATGACAGTGAAATACCACTTCACATCTGCTAGAATGGCTATAATTTTTTCAGAAACAAAATAATAAATGTTGACAAGTATGTGGAGAAGTTGGAATCCTTTTGTATTGCTGGTGGGGATGCAAAATAGTGCAGCTGCTGTGGCATACAATTTATCAGTCAGTTCCTCAAATGATAAATACAGAAATCCAGCAATTCTACTCTTAGGTATATATCCAAAAGAATTGAAAGCAGGGACTTAAACAGATATTTGTACACCACTTTTCACAGTAGCGTTATTCACAATAGCCAAAAGGTGAAAACAACCCAAGTGTCCATCAACTGTTGAATGAATAAACAAAATGTGCTATATACATATAATGGAATATTATTCAACCATTAAAAGAAATGGAATTTTTATATATGTTACAACATGGTTGGCTTTCAAAAACATTATGCATAGTGAAATAAGCCAGATACAGAAGGACAAATATTGTATGAATTCACTTGTATCAGATAGAATAGGCACATTTATAGAGACAAAAAGTAAGATAGAGATTACTAGAGGACGAGGGGAAAGAGGGAAGGAGGAATTTTTGTTTAATGGATTCAGAGTTTATGTTGGGGTCGAGAAAATTTTGAGTATATATAGTGATGATAGTTAACAACATGTGAATGCTTTTAATGCAACTAAATTATACACTTACAAATGGTTAAAGAGATATTATGTATATTGTACCACAATAAAAAATTTTTAAAAATTCAGTATAATCTTGGCCAAAGAATAAAGGGATCTCTAATTTCAGCTGGTTCTACAAAACTACCTCAGGGGCGTATACTGTTGTCAGTTTCAATTTGTTTCTTTCCAGAATGGTTGAACAATTATATATCATGTTACAATGCATATTATTAAACATGCCTCATTTCATACATTGGCAAATGTTCTTTAAAGTACATTTAAAAAGTGAAATTTCTGAGTCATGTAATTTTAAAATATTTTGCAAAACAGCTTTCCAAAATGTGTATGTCAATTTACACGACCACATACTTGACAATTTACATTCCCAATACATGCTAGCCAACACAGATATTATTCAACTTCTGTAAACTTTGCTAATATGATAGATAAAAACGTCTATCTTACTATTCCGTAACTTTTCATTTTCCTAATTATTTCACCATTCCTTTTGTGAATTGCCTTTATATAAATCTGCCTATTTTTCTTTAAAGATGTGTGTCAGTTGAGTCCTCTGGGAAGCAGATGCCGAGATCGAGGAGTAGAAAAGCAATTATTAAGGAGTAACACTTATGAAAGGAAAGGGGATGAGGCAGGATTGGGCAAGGGGAGCCATGAGAATGTGCTCTTATAGCCTATGGTAAAATAGGCTAATTGATGTCTTAGACCTTCGGTGGATGTCTGTAATGGTGGGTAGTACTGAACCTTATATACACTATGGTTTTTCCTACACACAAATACCTATGATATAGTTTAACTTATAAATTAGACACAGTAATAAATTAACGGCAATAACTATTAATAAAATAGAACAATTATAATAATATACTGTGATAAAAGTTATGTGAATGTGGTCTCTGTCTCTCAAAATATCTTATTGTACTATATTCACCTATTTTCAGACTGCAATTGACCACTAGTAACTGGAACTGCAGAAAGCAAGACCAAGAGACTTGAATCAGACAATGGGGGACTGCTATATCAGACAAAGGATTTGTATCTGGAATATATAAAGATCACTTATACCTAAATACTAAGAAGACAAACAGCCCAATTTAAAAATGGACAGAATATTTGAACAGGTATTTCACCAAAGAATGTATACAAATAGTGAGTAAGCACAAGCATGATGGACAGTATCATTAGTCATCAGTCAACTGTAAATTTAAACTACAATGCAATACCACTACACACCCACTAGAATAGCTAAAATTCAAAAGACCGACCATGCCAAGTGTTAGTGAGGGTGTGAAGCAACTGGAACCCTAATTGTGAGTGGTGATGGAAAATGGTACAGTTACTTTGGAAAACAGTATGGCAGTTTCTTTTCTTTTTTTTTTTTTTATACTTTAAGTTCTAGGGTACATGTGCAGGTTTGTAACATATGTATACATGTGCCATGTTGGTGTGCTGCACCCAATAACTCATCATTTACATTAGGTATAGCTCCTAATGCTATCCCTCCCCCCGCCTCACCACACCACAGGCCCCAGTGTATGATGTTCCCCATCCTGCGTCCAAGTGTTCTCGTTCAATTCCCACCTATGAGTGAGAACATACAGTGTTTGGTTTTCTGTCCTTGAGATAGTTTGCTCAGAATGATGGTTTCCAGCTTCATCCATGTCCCTACAAAGACATGAACTCATCCTTTTTATGGCTGCATAGTATTCCATGCTGTGTATGTGCCACATTTTCTTAATACAGTCTGTCATCGATGGACATTTGGGTTGGTTCCAGGTCTTTGCTATTGTGAATAGTGCTGCAATAAACATACGTGTGCATGTGTCTTTATAGCAGCATGATTTATAATCCTTTGGGTATATACCCAGTAATGGGATGGCTGGGTCAAACGGTATTTCTAGTTCTAGATCCTTGAGGAATCGCCACACTGTCTTCCACAATGGTTGAACTAGTTTACAGTCCCACCAACAGTGTAAAAGTGTTCCTATTTCTCCACATCCTCTCCAGCACCTGTTGTTTCCTGACTTTTTAATGATCACCATTCTAACTGGTGTGAGATGGTATCTCATTGTGGTTTTGATTTGCATTTCTCTGATGGCCAGTGATGGTGAGCATTTTTTCATGTGTCTGTTGCCTGCATAAATGTCTTCTTTGGGAGCTGTCTGTTCATATCCTTTGCCCACTTGTTGATGGGGTTGTTTGATTTTTTTCTTGTAAATTTGTTTAAGTTCTTTGTAGATTCTGGATATTAGCCCTTTGTCAGATGAGTAGATTGCAAAAATTTTCTCCCATTCTGTAGCTTGCGTGTTCACTCTGATGGTAGTTTCTTCTGCTGTGCAGAAGCTCTTTAGTTTAATTAGATCCCATTTGTCAATTTTGGCTTTTGTTGCCATTGCTTTTGGTGTTTTAGACATGAAGTCCTTGCCCATGCCTATGTCCTGAATGGTATTGCCTAGGTTTTCTTCTAGGATTTTTATGGTTTTAGGTCTAACATTTAAGTCTTTAATCCATCTTTAATTAATTTTTGTATAAGGCATAAGGAAGGGATCCAGTTTCAGCTTTCTACATATGGCTAGCCAGTTTTCCCAGCACCATTTATTAAATAGGGAATCCTTTCCCCATTTCTTGTTTTTGTCAGGTTTGTCAAAGATCAGATGGTTGTAAATGTGTGGTATTATTTCTGAGGGCTCTGTTCTGTTCCATTGGTCTATATCTCTGTTTTGGTACCACTACCATGCTCTTTTGGTTACTATAGCCTTGTAGTATAGTTTGAAGTCAGGTAGCGTGATGCCTCCAGCTTTGTTCTTTTGGCTTAGGATTGTCTTGGCAATGTGGGCTCTTTTTTGGTTCCATATGAACTTTAAAGTAGTTTTTTCCAATTCTGTGAAGAAAGTCATTGGTAGCTTGATGGGGATGGCATTGAATCTATAAATTACCTTGGGAAGTATGGCCCATTTTCATGATATTGATTCTTCCTATCCATGAGCATGGAATGTTCTTCCATTTGTTTGTGTCCTCTTTTATTTCATTGAGCAGTGGTTTGTAGTTCTCCTTGAAGAGGTCCTTCACATCCCTTGTAAATTGGATTCCTAGGTATTTTATTGTCTTTGTAGCAATTGTGAATGGGAGTTCACTCATGATTTGGCTCTCTTAGTCTGTTGTTGGTGTATAGGAATGCTTGTGATTTTTGCACAATTGATTTTGTATCCTGAGACTTTGCTGAAGTTGCTTATCAGCTTAAGGAGATTTTGGGCTGAGATGATGGGGTTTTCTAATTATACAATCATGTCATCTGTAAACAGGGACAATTTGACTTCCTCTTTTCCTAATTGAATACCCTTTATTTCTTTCTCCTGCCTGATTGCCCTGGCCAGAACTTCCAACATTATGTTGAATAGGAGTGGTGAGAGAGGGCATCCCTGTCTTGTGCCCGTTTTCAAAGGGAATGCTTCCAGTTTTTGCCCATTCAGTATGATATTGGCTGTGGGTTTGCCATAGATAGCTCTTATTATTTTGAGATATGTCCCATCAATACCTAATTGAGAGTTTTTAGCATGAAGCGCTGTTGAATTTTGTCAAAGGCCTTTTCTGCATCTATTGAGATAATCATGTGGTTTTTGTCTTTGGTTCTGTTTATATGCTGGATTACATTCATTGATTTGTGTATGTTGAACCAGCCTTGCATCCCAGGGGTGAAGCCCACTTGATCATGGTGGATAAGCTTTTTGATGTGGTGCTGGATTTGGTTTGCCAGTATTTTATTTAGGATTTTTGCATCAAAGTTCATTAGGGATATTGGTCTAAAATTCTCTTTTTTTTTGTTGTGTCTCTGCCAGGCTTTGGTATCAGGATGATGCTGGCCTCATAAAATGAGTTAGGGAGGATTCCCTCTTTTTCTATTGATTGGAATAGTTTCAGAAGGAATGGTACCAGCTCTTCCTTGTACCTCTGGTAGAATTCGGCTGTGAATCCATCTGGTCCTGGAATTTTTTTGGTTGGTAGGCTATTAATTATTGCCTCAATTTCAGAGCCTGCTATTGGCCTATTCAGGGATTCAACTTCTTCCTGGTTTTGTCTCGGGAGGGTGTATGTGTCCAGGAATTTATCCATTTCTTCTAGATTTTCTAGTTTATTTGTGTAGAGGTGTTTATAGTATTCTCTGATGGTAGTTTGTGTTTCTGTGGGATTGGTGGTGATTTCCCCTTTATCATTTTATATTGCATCTATTTGATTCTTCTCTCTTTTCTTTTTTATTAGTCTTGCTAGCAGTCTATCAATTTTGTTGATCTTTTCAAAAAACCAGCTCCTGGATTCATTGATTTTTTGAAGGGTTTTTTGTGTCTCTATCTCCTTCAGTTCTGCTCTGATCTTAGTTATTTCTTGCCTTCTGCTAGCTTTGGAATGTGTTTGCTTTTGCTTCTCTAGTTCTTTTAATTGTGATGTTTTGGTGTCAATTTTAGATCTTTCCTGCTTCCTCTTGTGGGCATTTAGTGCTATAAATTTCCCTCTACACACTGCTTTAAATGTGTCCCAGAGATTCTGGTATGTTGTGTCTTTGTTCTCATTGGTTTCAAAGAACATCTTTATTTCTGCCTTCATTTCGTTATGTACCCAGTAGTCATTCAGGAGCAGGTTGTTCAGTTTCCATGTAGTTGAGCGGTTTTGAGTGAGTTTCTTAATCCTGAGTTCTAGTTTGATTGCACTGTGGTCTGAGAGACAGTTTGTTATAATTTCTGTTCTTTTACATTTTCTGAGGAGTGCTTTACTTCCAACTATGTGGTCAATTTTGGAATAAGTGTGATGTGGTGCTGAGAAGAATGTATATTCTCTTGACTTGGGGTGGAGAATTCTGTAGATGTCTATTAGGTCCGCTTGGTGCAGAGCTGAGTTCAATTCCTGGATATCCTTGTTAACTTTCTGTCTCATTGATCTGTCTAATGTTGACAGTGGGGTGTTAAAGTCTCCCATTATTATTGTGTGGGAGTCTAAGTCTCTTTGTAGGTCTCCAAGGACTCGCTTTATGAATCTGGGTGCTCCTGTATTGGGTGCATATATGTTTAGGTTAGTTAGCTCTTCTTGTTGAATTGATCCCTTTACCATTATGTAATGGCCTTCTCTGTCTCTTTAGATCTTTGTTGTTTTAAAGTCTGTTTTATCAGAGACTAGGATTGCAACCCCTGCTTTTTTTTTTTTTTTTTTCCATTTGGTAGATCTTCCTCCATCCCTTTATTTTGAGACTATGTGTGTCTCCACACGTGAGATGGGTCTCCTGAATATAGCACACTGATGGGTCTTGACTCTTTATCCAATTTGCCAGTCTGTGTCTTTTAATTGGAGCATTTAGCCCATTTACATTTAAGGTTAATATTCTTATGTGTGAATTTGATCCTGTCGTTATGATGTTAGCTGGTTATTTTGCTCGTTAGTTGATGCAGTTTCTTCCTAGCATTGATGGTCTTTACAATTTGGCATGTTTTTGCAGTGGCTGGTACCGGTTGTTCCTTTTCATGTTTAGTGCTTCCTTCAGGAGCCCTTGTAAGGCACGCCTGGTGGTGACAAAATCTCTCAGCATTTGCTTGTCTGTAAAGGATTTTATTTCTCCTTCACTTATGAAGCTTAGTTTGGCTGGATATGAAATTCTGGGTTGAAAATTCTTTTCTTCAAGAATGTTGAATATCGGCCCCCACTCTCTTCTGGCTTGTAGAGTTTCTGCCAAGAGATCTGCTGTTAGTCTGATGGGCTTCCCTTTGTGGGTAACCCAACCTTTCTCTCTGGCTGCCCTTAACATTTTTTCCTTCATTTAAACTTTGGTGAATCTGACAATTATGTATCTTGGAGTTGCTCTTCTCAAGAAGTATCTTTGTGGAGTTCTCTGTATTTCCTGAATTTGAATGTTGGCCTGCCTTGCTAGATTGGGGAAGTTCTCCTGGATAATATCCTGCAGAGCGTTTTCCAACTTTGTTCCATTCTCCCCGTCACTTTCAGGTACACCAATGAGACATAGATTTGGTCTTTTCACATAGTCCCATATTTCTTGGAGGCTTTGTTCATTTCTTTTTACTCTTTTTTCTCTAAACTTCTCTTCTCGCTTCATTTCATTCATCTGATCTTCATTCACTGATACCCTTTCTTCCAGTTGATGGAATTGGCTACTGAAGCTTGTGCATGCATCACATAGTTCTCCTGCCATGGTTCTCAGCTCCATCAGGTCATTTAAGGACTTCTCTACACTGTTTATTCTAGTTAGCCATTCGTCTAATCTTTTTTCAAGGGTTTTAACTTATTTGCGATGGGTTCGAACATCCTCCTTTAGCTCAGAGAAGTTTGTTATTACTGATCATCTGAAGCCTTCTTCTCTCAACTTGTCAAAGTCATTCTCCATCCAGCTTTGCTCCATTGCTGGCAAGGAACTGCGTTCCTTTGGAGGAGAGGAGGTGCTCTAATTTTTTGAATTTTCAGCTTTTCTGCTTTGGTTTCTCCCCATCTTTGTGGTTTTATCTACCTTTGGTCTTTGATGATGGTGACATACAGATGGGGTTTTTGTGTGTATGTCCTTTCTGTTTGTTAGTTTTCCTTCTAACAGTCAGGACCCTCAGCTGCAGGTCTGTTGGAGTTTGCTGGAGGCTCACTCCAGACCCTGTTTGCCTGGGTATCACCAGCAGAGGCTGCAGAACAGCAAATACTGCAGAACAGCAAATGTTGCTGTCTGATCGTTCCTCTAGAAGCTTCATCTCAGAGGGGCACCCGACTGTATGAGGTGTTGGTCAACCCCTACTGGGAGGTTCCTCCCAGTTAGACTACTCGGGGGTCAGGGACCCACTTGAGGAGGCAGTCTGTCCATTCTCAGATCTCAAACTCCATGCTGGGAGAACCACTACTCTCTTCAAAGCTGTCAGACAGGGACTTTTAAGTCTGCAGAAGTTTCTGCTGCTTTTTGTTCAGCTATGCCCTGCCCCCAGAGGTGGAGTCTACAGAGGCAGGCAGGCCTCCTTGAGCTTCAGTGGGCTGCACCCAGTTAGAGCTTCCCGGCCGCTTTGTTTACCTACTCAAGCCTCAGCAATGGCAGGTGCCCCTCCCCAAGCCTCATTGCTGCCTTGCAGTTTGATCTCATACTGTTGTGCTAGCAGTAAGCGAGGCTCTGTGGGCGTGGGACCCTCCAAGCCATGTGCGGGATATAATCTCCTGGTGTGCCATTTTCTAAGACCGTTAGAAAAGCAAAGTATTAGGGTGGGAGTGTCCCAATTTTTCCAGGTGCCGTCTGTCACAGCTTCCCTTGGCTAGGAAAGGGAATTCCCTGACCCCTTGTGCTTCCTTGGTGAGGCAACGCCTCACCCTGCTTCAGCTCACACTCCGTGGGCTGCACTCACTGTCCTGCACCCACTGTCCAAAAAGCCGCAGTGAGATGAACCCAGTACCTCAGTTGGAAATGCAGAAATCACCCATCTTCTGCATCGCTCATACTAGGAGCTGTAGACTGGAGCTGTTCCTATTTGGCCATCTTGGAACCTCTGGCAGTTTCTTACAAAGCTAAACATTCACTTCTCATTTGACCCAGAAATTCCACTTCTAGGTATTTTCTCAGGAGAAAGGAAACTTTAAAGACAAATGTTTGGCTGGGCGCAGTGTCTCACGCCTTTAATCCCAGCAATTTGGGAGGCTGAGGCGGGCAGATCACCTGAGGTCAGGAGTTCCAGACCAGCCTGACCAACATGGTGAAACCCCGTTTCTACTAAAAATGCAAAAATTAGCCAGGCATGGTAGTGCATGCCTGTAATCCCAGCTACCAGGGAGGCTGAGGCAGGAGAATCGCCTGAACCCAGGAGGCAGAGGTTGCAGTAAGCCAAGATTATGCCATTGCACTCCAGGCTGGGTAAAAAGGGCGAAACTCCGTCTCGGGGGGAAAAAAAAATACTTGAATGTTCATAGAAGCTTTATTCATAGAAATCCCAAACTGGAAACAAAATGTCCATCACCTGGTAAACAGATAAACTGATATATCTATAGAATATGATATCACTTAACAATTTAAAAAAGGTATTGCAGAAAGTCCTCACTTAACATCAATAGGTTCTTGGAAATAACAACTTTAAGTGAAATGACATATAATGAAACCAATTTTACCATAGGCTAATTGATGTATATAAGAGTTAAGTTCCTATGGCATATTTCTGTCATTAAAACATCATGAAATATCTAAATAAAGACTTCAAATACTTCTAATATTAAACATTGAAATAGAAGTGAGCTATACATACATTTGAGAAAGATTAATAAAAACAAGTAAGATCATTATTTACACAACTTTTGGTGAATCAGTAAGTGACAGTGTTCATAGTGGTGGTGGATTGAATCAAAGAATAAATGTTTGCAAAGCAAAAATTATCAGGAGCATCTCCTACGACCATGCAGTTCAAAAACAATCACAAATACAGAGGGCTTGCTGAGAGCTTTCAGACTGTTTTCTTTGATGTCATGCATTGTAGGATTATCATATACTTTACAGAAATTCTTTTAACAATAATTTGTATTCACTCATTCATCCACTTTCCAACCTGCTTATTCCAGTTCAGGGTTGCAGGTGGCTGGAACCTATCCCAGCAGCTCAGAGTGCAAGGCGGGAGCCAACTCCAGACAGGATGCCGTCCCATCCTGAGCCACACTCATACACCCAAGCTCACTCACACTGGGACCATGTAGATGTAACAATTAACCTAGCGTGTACATCTTTGGGGATGTGGGAGTAATCTGGAATACTCAGAGAAAATCAATCCAGGCGTGGGGAAAATGTGCAAACATCACACAGACAGTGGCCTCAGCAGGGAATTGATTTTTTTTTTCTCGTCAACATTATAGTAAAACAATGTTCGACAAAATATTATTCAAGGATCTGCTGTACTTTGATACATCATACATGCAACAATATGGATGAACTGCATGATCTATATGCAAAGTGAAAATATCCAGACAGAAAAGATTACATTCTATTGCATTTCTATGATATTCTGGAAAAGGCCACTATAATTATAAGGGCAGAATCCAGATCAGTAGTTGTCAGAGGCTGAGGTGGGAGTGGGGAAATTAACTGCTAAGGACCACTAGGGAACTTCCTGGAGTGATGGCAATGTTCTACATCATGATCGTGGTGGTGGTTACAGAACTATACACATTTGTCAAACTGTACACTTAAAATAGTGAATTTTTATATGTAGATTGTATCTTTAAAAGCTGATTTTTAAAAAAGATATTCTTTATCTATCAAAATTACATAGGCACATATCCTTGGGCCCAACAACTCCATTTCAAGAAACTATTCTTGAATAGTATACCCGTATAGTCTATGGATATACTTGCACATGTAAAAATAATATGTGGGGCTGGGCATGGTGGCTCATGCCTGTAATCCCAACATTTTGGGAGGCCAAGGAGGGGAGATTGCTTGAGCCCAGGAGTTTGAGAGTAGCCTAGGCAACATGGTGAAACTGTCTCTACATAAAATACCAAAAATTAGCCACGTGTGGTGGCTCATGCCTGTATCCCAACTACCCAGGAGGCTGAGGTGGGAGGATCCCTTGAGCTTAGGAGGTCGAGGCTGCAGTGAGCTGTGATCACGCTGTTGTAGGACAAACCAGGTTCTTGTCACACGACCAGGAACGATTAGGCTCACAGACACTTTGAAGGGTGAGGGGGAATGGAATTTATTGGGCAGAAAGGAAAAACAACTCAGTAAAGTGAGATGGAGTCCTGCTAACAGGCTCTCCACCTGACTGATTGAATCCCAGGTTACCACACAGGAACAGCAGAGGCCAGGCCCCTCCTGCTACAAACGGTGTTAACTTCCCGAGGCCCCACCCAGTCCTCCCAGTTCGCAGGTGGGCAGTATTCAGAAAGAGTCAGTAGGGCAAAGGGCGGGCTTCATCTGGACCGGCAGTCTGGTTTTTCAGCCTTAAAGGTGGGTGTCGGGGGTCCGAGGGTGGGGGCGTGCCTTGGCTGCCTCCTGTCTCTATCAACGCCACTGCACTCCAGCCTTAAGACTCTGTCTCAAAATAATAATAATAAAGTGTACAAGCTTATCACAGCATTACCTGTGATGCCTCACTAAAGGGGAACTGGGTAGTTAGGATTCGTGGGGATGGGAAACTCTGCTTTTGCATTTTGAAACGTGAATGGATTCATTACTTTGTAAAAAAACAAACAAACAAAAAACAACGAAAAAATCCCCAATATTTTCTAGGCAATTGCCTCGGTCTAGGTACGATACTCTGGTGGCTGGGCCAAGGCTGTCCTCACCTCAGGGCAGCTACGAATTTATCACATGACCCCAAGCTGGTGATTTCCCCTTCTCATCTCCACATCTGTGAAAGATTTCCTCATGTTACAGCCTTTTCACTTTCAAATCTCAGGGCATGTAGATAGGCTTCTCTTCCGGGACTTTGCATCCTTTGCTCTGAACTCTAGGTTGAGGGCACCGAAGGGCGGGAAGGATGTAACTTCTGTCTTCATTGACCTCGACGGGGCCAGCCCAGGGTGGATGCCTGAGGAGTTATTTGACAAAGTAACCACCAGATGGCAGCATGGCTCTGTTTCCAGGAAGCCGAGTCTAAGCCATAAACTCTCCAATGAGGAAGCTATCAGCCGCCACATAGTAATGGCTATTTGAGTTCTTGAAATGTGACTTGTCCTAATTAAGACTATTTTCCATGATGTGTTTATGACACACATGGTACTTTGAAGACTTCATATAAAAAAACTCATTAATGTTTTAATATTGATTACATATTATAATGATAATATTTTGAATATATGGGTTGAGTATCTCTTTTCTATGCTTGGGACCAGAAATGTTTCAAATTTCTGATTTTTTGCGGGGGGTGGGGAGCGGGGGGCTTGACACATTAACATTATACTTACTGGTTGAGCATCCTAATCCCAATATCCAAAATCTGAAATGCTCCAGTGAGCATATCCTTTGAGCATCATGTCAATGCCCATTTTGGGTTTTGGTGCATTTTGAATTTTAGACTTTCAGATTAGGAATACTCAACCTCTATTGGGTTAAATAAAATAAATATATTACAATTATTTTCACCTGCTTTTTATTCTTTTTAACGTAATTACCAGAAAACTTAAACTTACACATGCAGCTCACACTACATTTCTACTGGACAGTGTGCTCTTATAAAACCTTCCAGCAGAACCAGCACAGAGCCAAGGAGCTGATGTGCCTGCCTCTGCTACCAGGTGGAAAGTGACATGGCACATGGATGTCACAGAACTTCTTTACCCTTACAACAGAGCCAGTCCCAGAGGGATGGGTCACAGCAAGGGCCTAGAAAGCAACAAGGGAGCTTCTGACCATCCTGACTGCTCCTCCCCTTAGTTGAGTCTCACAGGCACCCACGTGGGAGAATCAGCCCCCATCAGGAGCTAATAGTGCTGGCCACCATGCAGCACTTTACCTGCATTATCTCACTGGCCCCTCACATCAACCCTATTTCAACAAAGCAACTGAGGATCAGAGAAAGGGAGGTGCTGCCCAAGTTCACCCCGTGAATGAGGAGAAACATGACTATCTGCATCTCCTTTGTTTCTTTCTCTGCATCATACTGCTCTCCTGGAGAGCTCACTGATGGCTCCCAGGAGGCGAAGGGAAGTACCTTCGCAGGTGCCTTCTAATGTACTGGAAATCTGAATCACCAGTTATCTCTGTTCTGTGACCACGGATTGTTTGTGTTTTCTGAAAGACATAAACTGAGTGGCTACTTCTCAGGTGATGCCCACACACTGGACAAGTCTGTGTATGGAATGTGCTGGAGGGAAGGCCAGGGCAGATTAGTGCCTATGCTATGCACTCTTCTTACATTATCTTACTTAATCCACATAGCACTCCTCTAAAGCAGGTGCTGTTATCTCCATTTTACAGCTATGAGGCATAGAGATTTCCATGTAGACAAGCGGAGAGAATGAGATCTTGTGGTCATGTTGCATTCCAGAAGCTTTCTCTGGTCTTCAGGTTGCAGCATCTCAGTGGTATGAGACTGCTGATAGCACTCTTCTGATAGTGAGTGAGGCTGGGCCTCCCAGAGACCATGAGGGGAAGGACATGGGGTGGGAGTGCTGAGAGTCTACCCCAGACTAACTATGGAAACCCTGAGACAGTCTGAGTGAAAACTGAGCCAAGATGTCCTGCAGGGGCACAGGTGGCCATGTCCTTAGCTCTGACATCATGTCCGAGGATTCCTAATTGCCTATTAAACAGGAAGTAGGCATCTTAGACCCACACTCATGGCCTACACAGTCCAGCTAATGTTCCAGTCTCATCTTCAACTCCCCCTTTTTGTGTACCCAACATGCTGTTAGATGGACTGTTTCCTTTTTCCCATATACACCATCATGCTTACCTGTCCCCTGGTCTTCACCCCCATTATTTTCCCCCTGGGAAATGCCCTCTACCACCCAATCTATCAATAGCCCTCTCCATCTTTGTATGTGCTCAGAATTCCAGGCACAGCCAGGGCACTCGTGGGCTAAACATAGCAGTGAGGCATATTTGACACATAAGTTTTGTCTAGCACTGTTAGGAGGCTTGAATGTTAGCATAATTAATCTGGAGTGGTAGAGAGAGTCCCTGGCATTGATAACCAAACAAAGGTCTTTGGACAAGGGAGAGACCTTAAAAGCATGGTGTTTTGTTTTATTTTGTTTTTAATTATTTAAGTAACTCAGTTCTCTTGGCATCTTGTGGAGTATGTAACCAAGGTGAGGCAGAAAACTCAAGTAAGCTATTGAAAGACCACAGAATTCAGTGATCCTGAATGATATCTTTGGCATCACAGACTTGGACTCTAGCCAAGCTCTGATGTATACTGACCATGTGGCCTTGGGCAAGTAACTTCCGGTGTGCCAGGCACATACCATAAGCATGGCATTTCTCACAACAACCCTTATGGAGTTATATACTATTTTTATCTCCAGTTTACAAATAAAGAAACTGAGATTTAGGGATGTTATATTATTTCTCCAACACTACAAAGCTAGTAAGAGCTGGAGTCAGGAATTCATAGACCATATTTGTGATAGGGATAGCACAGATGCCTAAAGTGCCGAGTCAGGCTATCTAGCACATAGAAAGCCCCAGGTGAGAAAAGATGGGCCCAAACCAGAAAGTTGAAGTACCAAAGGGGAGAAGACCTGGGTTCCATAGACAATGAGGCAGTACAAATAAACAAAACTTTTATCGTTAGTAATAACAGGTACATGCCAATGTACATTTTACAGAGCTCATTCACATTCATTATTCCAGAAGAATCTCCCAAGAGACTTGTGAAGCAGACAGGGCACATAATTTTATCTCCATTTTGCAAGTAAAGAAACTAAGGCATTTCTTGTAGAAGGCAGTGCCATTTCCTGCCTAATGTTTCCCTGAGGCTTTTCCCGTTGCCCTATCAATCAGAACACTTGGGGTTGCAATGAGGTTTACCAGACTCTACCCAGCTTAAACAAAAGGGGAGGCTTAGTGGAAAATGGGGATAATTATGCCAAGAGAAAAAAGCCAACCACAAAATGTTACGTACTACATGATTCCATTTATATAAAACTGTTGAAATACTAAAATCATGGAGATGTATATCAGATTAATTGTAACCAGGGATTAGGGATAGGGAAGGAAGGAAGGTAGTTGTGGCTAGAAAAGGTTAGCATAAATGATCCTTCTGATAAAACTGTTTTATATCTTGACTGTGGTGCTGGTCACATAAATCCACACATATGACAAAATCACACAGAACTACACACACACACAAATGTAAAGCTCTTGAGATCTAAATAATAGTGGAGGATTGTATCAATGTCAATTTCCTAGTTGTGATACTGTTCTTACAGTTATACAAGATGTTACTACTGGAAAAAATGCATAAAGGGTATATGTGATCTATCTGTATTATTTCACAGCTGTATGTTAATCTACAGTTATGTTAAAATAAAAAGTTTAAGAAACAACAATACAAAACGTACAAAACACAGGAGAAAATCTTTGTGACCTTAAGTTAGACAAAGGTTCTTGTTTTTCTTTTTTGTTGTTGTTGTTTTTTTTTGAGACGGAGTCTCGCTCTGTCGCCCAGGCTGGAGTGCCGTGGCGCAATCTTGGCTCACTGCAAGCTCCGCCTCCCCCAGGTTCACGTCATTCTCCTGCCTCAGCCTTCCGAGTAGCTGGGACTACAGGCGCCTGCCACCACGCCCGGCTAATTTTTTGTATTTTTAGTAGAGACATCGTTTCACCATGTTGGCCAGGCTGGTCTGGAACTTCTGACCTAAGGTGATCCATCAGTCTTGGCCTCTCAAAATGCTGGGATTACAGGCGTGAGCTACCACGCCTGGCCAGGCAAAGGTTTCTTAGATAAAACACCAAAAGCATGATCCATAAAAGAACTAATTGATAAATTAGTCTTCATCAAAATTAAAACTTCTGATTTTCAAAAGACACTGTGCAGACAATGAAAAAGGCTAACCATTGGCTGGAAAGAAATATTTGCAAAGCAGATATCTGATAAAGAACTTATATCCCAAATATAGAAAGAACTCTTTATATAGTTTAACAGTAACAAGAATACTAACAACTTATTTTTAAAGTAAACAAAAGATGTAAGCAAAATTTTAACAAATAAGATATTTGGATGGCAAATAAGCACGTGTATAAAAGCTCAATACAATTATTTATTAGGGAAATGCAAATAAAAACCACAATGGGATACCAGTAAACACCTATTGTAATGGTTAAAATTAAAAACTAACCATATTTTTTGTTGTCAAGGACGTAGAGGAACTAGAACTCTGATATACAATTGGTGAGAACTGAAAATGGTACAACCACTTTGGGAAACTGAGGCAGTTTCTTTATAAGTTAAACATATAATTACCATATGATCCAGCCATTCTCCTCTTAGGTATTTACCCAAAATGAAATGTATCTCTATATAATACCTGTACACAAATGTTCCTCATAGCTTTGTTTGTAACAGCAAACTGAAAACAATCCAAATGTCCATGTAATGGTGAATGGATAGACTGTGCTCTACCCATATAATGGAATACTACTAAGTAAAAACAATAACAGACTGTTGATACATGCAGTAACATAGAAACATCTCAGTACAGGCTGGGAAACATCTTCTACATCCTTGACATACAAAATATGGTTAGTCTTTAATTTGAGCCACTCCAATAGGTAAAAGAAGCCCGACTTCCCAGTGTATATTATTCCATTCATACAAAACACTAGAAAATGTCAACTAATCAACAGTTATATAAAACAGAGAAGGGGGCCAGGCGTGGTGACTTACACCTGTCATCTCAACACTTTGGGAGGCCGAGGTGGGTGGATCATCTGAGATCAGGAGTTCGAGACCAGCCTGACTAACATGGTGAAACCCTGTCTCAACCCCATCTCTACTAAAAATACAAAAGTTAGCCAGGCATGGTGGCAGGTGCCTGTAATCCCAGCTACTCAGGAGACTGAGACAGTAGAGTCACTTGAACCTGGGAGGTGGAGGTTGCAGTGAGCCAAGATTGTGCCATTGCACTCCAGCCTGGGCAAGAAGAGTGAAACTCTGTCAAAAAAGAAAAGAAAGAAAGAAAGGAAAAAGGAAAGGAAAGAAAGAAAGGAGACAGGAAAGGAAAGGAAGGGAAAGGGAAAGGGAAGGGAAGGCAAGGAAAGGAAAGAGAGAAGTCATTGTCTGGAAACAGTGGACTAGGAGAGAAAGTGTACAAAGGAGTACGGGGAAACTTTTGGAGGTGATAGATATGTTTACTATCTTGACCAGTGATGATTCCATGGATGTGTACATTTTAAATATGTGTGATTTATTGTATGTCAATTATTCCCTAATAAAGCTGATTTCAAAAAATGTGACAGAGTGTCTGTTACACGTATCTCTTTGAGATACGTGAGACAGAATTGAAGAGTTTAACTCATATGTGATTGCAGCACAAGAAGGAAGCATGGGACAGATAAATATTTGAAGATTTGATGGCCAAGATTTACCAAAATCAGTCAAATATATCGACCCACAAGTCCAAGATGCTCTGTGAACCCCAAGCAGGATAAATGCAAAGAAATCCACATATAGGCCCATTATCATCACCTGCTAAAAACCAAAGGCAATGATAAAATCTTGAAAGCAGCCAGAAAAAAAAAAAAAAAAAAAAAGACATAATGCACAGAGAGGCACAGTACAAGAAAAATGTCTGACATTTCACCAGAAGCAGTAGAGGCCGGAAGACAATGGAATGACAGTTTTGAAATGATGAAAGACAAAGATTGTCAGCTTACAATTCTGTATCCAGTGAAAACAGTCTTCAAAAATGAAGGCAAAGTAATGTCAGACTGACAAAAGCTGCTAGAGACAATTTTGTCTCTAGCAGACTGAAACTACACAGAATGATAAAAGAAATCCATTAGGCTGAAGGGCTGAAATGATACCAGGTAGAAACTCAATTCTGCAGGAATAAATTTGTAAAACACCAGATAAAGTCTTTCTAAAAAACGAAGACTGTTATGTCAGTTGGGTCCCCTAGGAAGCAAATGCTAAGATAGAGTTAGGAGTGCAAGAGGTTTATTGAGGAGGGGAAGGTTAAAAACGAGGGTCAGAATTTGGCAGGGGAAGGCTTCAGACCACGATGTAAACTGAACACCTGTAAAAAGAGTGGAAAAGGAGGCAGAATTTGGCAGGGAGGGCTGACAAAATCTTAGGCAATTCAGTAAGAAGCTTCATAGCAAAGCAAGCCCTTTAGAGGAGTCTTGCATTGTGCCGAAATGGTCAAGCCCTAGTAAGTCTGCCATGCTCATTCATTGGCACAGAGATCATGTCCTCAGTTCTAAAGATGAGGCAGATCCTGAAAGCCCTGCAGCTGGAGGCTCTCAGGCAACTGCACTTGTCACAGGTGAACAGCAAAGTTTTTCTTAAGTGGAGTGCTGAACAACACATGTCCCTGGGTGCCTCAACTGTTTAAAGTAAAAATAACAATATAACGTGGGGATTCTGGCATATAGTGTAGTAAAATATATGACAACAAGAGCATAAAGTTTGGGAGGGTAGCAATTGGAAGTACACTGTTGTAAAGTTCTTACATTGCCCACAAAGTAGTATCTTAAAAACAGACAATGATGGCTGGCCGTGGTGGCTCACGCCTGTAATCCCAGCACTTTGGGAGGCCGAGGCGGGCGGATCATGAGGTCAGGAGATCGAGACCATCCTGGCTAACACGGTGAAACCCCGTCTCTACTAAAAACACAAAAAATTAGCCGGGCGTGGTGGTGGGCGCCTGTAGTCCCAGTTACTCGGGAGGCTGAGGCAGGATAATCGCTTGAACCCGAGGGGAGGAGCTTGCAGTGAGCCAAGATCATGCCACTGCACTCCAGCCTGGGAGAGAGAGAGCAAGACTCTGTATCAAAAAAAAAACAAAAACAAACAAACAAAAAAAAAGACGATGATAAGTTAAGGATGTATATCGTGACCTCCAGAGCAGTGGTCCCTAAATATTTTGGTCTCAGGACTCCATTAGATACTTAAAAATTATTCAGGACATAAAGAGCTTCTGTTTAAGTGGGCTAAATCTACAAATACTTACCATATTAGAAATTTAAAAAAATTAAATAACGAAAATAGCTGGGCATGGTGGCTCATACCTGCAACCCCAGAACTTTGGAAGGCTGAGGCAGGAGGATCACTTGAGCCCAGGAGTTCGACACCAGTCTAGCCAACATAGCGAGTCCTCATCTCTATGAAATTTAAAAAATTAGCGAGGTGTGGTGGCGGCGCATGCCTGTGGTCCCAGCTACTTGGAAGGCTGAGGTGGGATGATGGCTTGAACCCAGGACTTAGAGGCTGCAGTGAGCTATGATTACACCACAGCACTCCAGCCTTGGCAACAGAGGGAGACCCTGTCTAAAAAAAAAAAAGAGTAAAATAAAATAGCTAAAATAAAGCTATTGCATGTTAATATTTTATTTAAAAAAATACATTATTCCAAACAAAAATGGGGAGAAGAGTGGCACTGTTTTATGTGTTTGCAAGTCTCTTTAATGTCTCTGGCCTAATAGAAGTAGATTTTCATATCTGCTTCTGCCTTCATTCTGTGCTGATATATATTTATTTTTGGTTGAAGTATATGATGACAAGACAGCCTCATCCAAATTTGTAGTTGGAAAAGGGGGCATTTTAAAACAGCCCTTTTAGGTAATTATGGATATTCATCTTTGACACCACACCAAAATTTAATAAATACTGGTTTCTTAAAGGTTAACTGCACTGTGGCATCTGAATACTAGTCAATACATTTTTCTCGTTACATTTAAATCCATTAACTTATTTTTCACATTGAATATATATCTTTACCCACACTTAATTTTGTTTTCTGTTTTTTGTTTTGGTTTACAAATGATACTATTAGACTACTCAAAAGGTAATAGGCAAATCATTTTTATGAAAAGCTGCTCTTTTATTTATTTATTTATTTGAGACAGAGTCTAGCTCTGTAGTCGGGCTGGAATGCAGTGGCATGATCTTGGCTCACTGCAACCTCCGCCTCCCGAGTTCAAGCCATTCTCCTGCCTCAGCCTCCTGAGTAGCTGGGAATACGTGCCGCCACGCCCAGCTAATTTCTGTACTTTTTATATTTTTAGTGGAGACTGGGTTTCACCATGTTGGCCAGGATGGTCTCGCTCCTGACCTGGTGATCCCCTGCCTCGGCCTCCCAAAGTGCTGGGATTACAGGCATGAGCCACTGCTCCTGGCCAGAAAGCTGCTCTTTTTAAAATTCATTAATATTTTAAATTGCCAAATCATAATTGTATACATCTATGGGGTATAATGTGATGTTTTAATATAGGTATACAACATGGGATTATTAAATCAAACAAATTAACATATCATCACTTTATCTTTTTTTGTGCAGAGACATCTGAAATTTACTGTTATTTTTTATTTATTTGTTTGAGGCAGAGTGTTGCTGTCACGCAGGCTGGAGTGCAGTGGTGCAATTTTGGCTCACTGCAACCTCCACCTCCCTTGTTCAAGCGATTCTCATGCCTCAACCTCCCAAGTAGTAGCTGGGAATACAGGTATGTGCCACCATGCCGAGTTAATTTTTATGTTTTTAGTAGAGATAGGATTTCAGCATGTTGGCCAGGCTGGTCTCGAACTCCTGACATCAGGTGATCCTCCTGCCTCGGTCTCTCAAAGTGCTAGTGTGTCTGGAGTTGGTTCCTTCTGGTGGGTTTGTGATCTCACTGACTTAAAGAATGAAGCCACAGACTTTGACGGTGAGTGTTACAGCTCTTAAAGACCAGCAGGGACCCAACGAGTGAGCTGTAGCAAGGTTTATTGTGAAGAGTGAAAGAACAAAGTTTCCACACCACGGAAACGGACCCCCAGGGCATTGCCGCTGCTGGCTGTGGGGAGGGGGGCAGCCAGCTTTTATTCCCTTATTTGTCCCCTCCCATGTTCCGTTTTGTCCTATCAGAGCGCCCTTTTTTCAATCCTCCCTGCAATTGGCTACTTTTAGGATCCTGCTGATTGGTGTGTTTTACAGAGTGCTGATTGGTGCGTTTTACAGAGCGCTGATTGGTGCATTTTATAATCCTCTTGCTAACTACAGAGCACTGATTGGTGTGTTTTACAATCCTCTTGTAAGACAGAAAAGTTCTCCAAGTCCCCACTCGACCCAGGAAGTCCAGCTGGCTTCGCCTCTCACTGGAATTACAGGTGTGAGCCACTGCACCCAGCCAACTGTGTTGTTTTGAAATATTTAACATATTGTTGACTATAGGCACCCTGTTGGGCAATAGATCACAAAAGTTATTCCTCCTTTTATGAAACTTTCTACCCTTTGATCAATGACTCCTCATTCTCTCCCTCCCACCCCCATCATTCTATTCTCTATTCTGTATGAGTTCTCTTCATTCTATTCTCTATGAGTTCAATTTCATTAGATTCCACAGATAAGTTAGATTACGTGGTATTTGCCTTTTTGTGTCTGCCTTATTTCATTTAGCATAATGTCCTCCAGATTCATCCACGTGTCACAAATGACAGCCTTTCTAAGGCTGAATAGTATTCCATTGGGGAATATATATATATAAATAATAATATATAAATGGATAAAGAAAATGTGATGTATATATCATATATATGTCATATATATATATCACATTTTCTTTATCCATTCATCTGTTGATGAACACTTGGGTTGTTTCCATAGCTTGGCTCTTATGAATAATGTTATAATGAACATGGGAGTGAAGATATCCCTTTGACATATTGATTTGTTTCTTTGGATATATACCCAGAAGTGGGATTACTGGGTTTTATGCGAGTTCTATATTTAGTTTTTTGAGGAACCCCCATGCTTGCTGTTTTCCATAATGGCTGTGCTAATTTGCCTTCCGGCTAACAATGTATAAGAGTTTCCTTTTTTCCACATCCTCTTATCCTCTTCAGCACTTTCATCTTTTTGATAATACCCATTCTAACAGGTGTGAGGTGATATCTCATTGTGGTTTTAATTTGCATTTCCCCCCAGTGATAAGTGATGCTGAACATTTTTTCATGTACCTGTTGGCCATTTGTATATCTTCTTTTGAGAAATGTCCTTTTAGGTCCTTTGCCTATTTTTTAAGTGGGTTTCTTTCTTGCTATTGAGTTGAGTACTTTATACATTTTAAATGTTAAACCCCTATCAGATGGGCCCATACATGATTTTGTTACACCATGCAGTGGTCATTTGGAAAATACTGGTTCACTAAGATATGCAGGGCTTTCCAATGTTAACACAATTCTTTTTTTTTTTTTTTTTTTTTTTTTTGGTTGAGACAGAGTCTCACACTGTTGCCCAGACTGAAGTGCAGTGGTGCAATCTCGGCTCACCGCAACCTCCACCTCCTGGGTTCAAGTGATTCTCTTGCCTCAGCCTCCCAAGTAGCTAGGATTATAGCACAATTCTTTATATAATATCAAAAATATCATTATCATTGATCTTATCAGCAACATCTTTAAATATTGAGAAGCAGATACAAATTTCCAAAATACTAAATTTTGCTTGAAAGCTCAAATTTTATCATTGGCAACAAATGCTATCAGAATGACAGGCTCATTTTATTAATTTTTGAGAAAACGCCTGCCAGATATCCAAGTCTGAATATTCATATTTTTGTCTATCAGTAATTCAAAGAAAAATGGTTTTCCTACATATAAAAAAAAAAATCAGGCGGGGCACCATGTCTCATGCCTGTAATCTGAGCATTTTGGGGGCCAAGGCAGGAGGATTGCTTAAGCCCAGGAGTTCTGGGCAACATAGTGAGACACTGTCTCTACAAAAAAAAAAAAAAAAAAATTAACCAGTCATGGTGGCACACTCCTATAGTTCCAGTTACTTGGAAGGCTGAGGTGGCAGGATCACTTGAGCCCAGGAGGTCAAGGTTGTATTGAGCCATCATCATGCCACTGCACTCTAGCCTGGATGATGAGGGAAGACATTAAAAAAAAAAATCAGTTACCAAAGCTCACAAACTCAAATAATTGCTCAAATGCTTTATGCATGCTTCCCATTTTGTCACACAAAATATTAAAAACTCATGTATGTAAGGGTGGAGAATTTTTTTAATTAATAAATTTACTACTTCAGCAAGGACATTCTTAAGTAAAAGTGGCGTTGTTTTGATTTTGTTTTTTGAGATAGAGTCTCACTGTGCTGTGGCGTGATTTCAGCTCACTGCAATCTCTGCCACTTGGGTTCAAGCTATTCTCCTGCCTCAGGCTTCCAAGTAGCTGGGATTACAGGTGCCTGCCACCACACCTGGCTAATTTTTGTATTTTTAGTAGAGATGGGGTTTCACGTTGGCCAGGCTAGTCTCAAACTCCTGGCTTCAAGTGATCCACCCACCTTGGCTTCCCAAAGTGCTAGGATTACAGGTGTGAGCCACTGTGCCCGTCCGTTTTTGTTTTTTTTTGTTTTATTTTTTGAGACAGAGTCTCACTCTGTCACCCAGGCTGGAGTGCAGTGGCACGATCTCAGCTTGCTGCAACCTCCACCACCTGGGTTCACGTGATTCTCATACCTCAGCTTCCCAAGTAGCTGAGACTGCAAGCATGCACCACCACACCCGGATAATTTTTTTGTATTTTTAGTAGAGATGGGGTTTCACCATGTTGCCCAGGCTGGTCTCGAACTCCTGTCCTCAAGTGATCCACCTGCCAAGGATTCCCAAAGTACTGGGATTACAGGTGTGAACCACTGTGTCTGGCCAAAGTGGCTTTTTATTTTTATTTTTTAGACAGAGTCTTGCTCTGTCACCAAGGCTGTAGTGCAATGGCGGCATCTTGGCCACCTCACCTGGCTATTTTTATATTTTTAAGAGAGACGGGGTTTCACCATGTTGGCCAGGCTGGTCTCAAACTCCTGACCTCAAGTGACCTGCCTGCCTCGGCCTCTCAAAGTGCTGTGATTACAAGCATGAGCCACTGCACCTGGACCAAAGTGGCTTTTGAATGATTCTTTGTATGGCAGTGAAGAAAAAAGTGACTACTAGTATAGTTTTGTACTACTGCTTTGATTCATGCTAAATGGGCCAGCAGTGTTACCTATCATTGCTTTTGGACCATCTGTGCAAAAATTAACACACTGAAAAAAGTAAATAAGATATGAAATATTATAAAAATAATTTTAATATTTTGGATCCCCAAAAGAATCTTAAGGATCCCTGGGAGGTCCATGGACCACACTTTCAGAACTGTTGCTTGTCCCGTAATCAGGCAATGTGCCAGCTTTTTAGTTAGGGTTCTCTTAAACGTCAGTATTTGAATGTCTTTCTCTGGGCCAATTATTTCTACAGTCTCCTGCCAGGGGGAACTGAACTCACTTTACTTGAAGCAGAGTGCAAAAAGCGGTATACCCAGCAACACTATCAAAAACAGTAGCAATCTAGGTAGCAAACAAATATGAAAGGCCAATGACTCAGCTACCCTGGGGTTGCAGTCCTGGTTGGGGGAAAGCAAGGCACCAGCAGACTAGCCAGAAATTTAACAAGGAGATGTTAAAAATGAGATAGACATAGAGAACCTTGATAGGCTCTCCATACGTCCCAAACTTATTGGAAAGCTGCACACACGTGTAGAAGAGGCCGGAGAGAACTAGAGCTATTCACACATTCCTGGATGACTGCAAGACTGTGCACACAGGTAGAAAAGGCCTGAAAGGGCTCAAAAGAAATAAGAGCTAGGGAAGATTTGAAAGCCTAAACTTTGAATGCTTTCTTAGTCCATCTTTTACTTATAACAAAATACCCGAAACCGGATAATTTATAAGAAACAAAATTTATTTTTTACAGTTACAGAGGCTGAGAAGTCCAAGATCAAGGGACCACATCCAGTGAGAGCCTTCTTGCTGGTGGGACTGATATGGTTTGACTGTTTTGTCCCCTATACATCTCGTTTCATGTGACCTCTGATGTTGGAGGTGGGCCTAGTAGGAGGTGTTTGGGTCATAGGGGTGCATCCCTCATAAATGGCTTGGTGTGTCCTCACAGTAATGAGTGAATTTCAATCTGTGAGTTCACGTGAGATCTGGTTGTTCAAGAGCCTGGCAGCTCCTCCCTCTCTCTCTTGCTCCTTCCCTTGCCATGCCACACGCTGGCTCCCCCTTCAGCTTCTGCCACGATTGTAAGCTTCTTGAGGCCTCACAGGAGCAGCTGTTGGTGCCATGCTTCATGTACATCCTGCAGAACCATGAACCAAATAAATCTTTTTTCTTTATAAATTACCCACCTTCAAGTATTCCTTCATAGCAACCCCAAAATGGACTAACAGAGGGACTTTCTGTAGAGTTCCAAGGCAACATGGGGTATCACATGGGGAGGAGAATGAGCATGCTAACATGCTTGCACAGGTCTTTTTTCCTCTTCTTATACAGTCACCAGTTCCCCTCCCAAAATAACCCATTAATCCATTTACCCACTAATCCATTAATCTATGAATGGATTAATCCATTCATGAGGACAAAGCCCTCATAATCCAATCACCTCTTAAAGGCCCCACCTCTTAATATTGCTACATTGAGGACTATATTTCAACACAAGTTTTGAAGGAGACAAATATTCAAACCACAGCAAATACATTCTCCAAACCATACACAGATCTATCAGCAAAGAGTGGGGACCTAACTGGCTTGAGATGTTTGAACCAAACCTCTGACTAATCTTTGGCTGACAAAATATGCTGAAACAAGAGTAATTCTAGAAAGCCTCTCTTTAAAAAATGTGAGTGCAGACATTAGCAGCCTCACATTGTAGTGGAGACAAATTCCACAGAATTAGTCCAGACAAGTGTATCATACAAACAGCAACCCCCTTTGGGGCAAATCACAATGTAGCATTCCTATAACATAATGTGTACAATGCCAGTTTTTTTTTGTTTTTTTTTTTGAGACAGAGTCTCACTCTGTTGCCAGGCTGGAGTGCAGTGGTGCAATCTCGGCTCACTGCAACCTCCGCCTCCTGGATTCAAGCAATTCTCCTGCCTCAGTCTCCTGAGTAGCTGGGAGTACAGGCGTGCTGGCGCCCGGCTAATTTTTGTATTTTTAGTAGAGATAGGGTTTCACCATGTTGGCCAGGATGGTCTCTATCTCTTGACCTCATGATCCGCCCGCCTCAGCCTCCCAAAGTGCTGGGATTATAGGCATGAGCCACTGCACCTGGCCAGCAGTGTGTTCTTTACTTAGGAAACAAGTCAACAGAAATCATCTTTGAGTAATCCCAAACAATAGATTTAGCAAAGACTATTTTAAATATATTTCAAAGAAAAGAGATCACATTTAAATAAAGTAATAAATGATTACAAGTAGGGTTTATTACAGGCATGCATGGCTGTTTCAATATTTGAAAATCAATCAATCTAAACTACCATGTGGATAGGCTAAGAAAAATCACATTTTGTTTTGTTTTTCTTCCCAAGATGGTGGATTGGAAACAGTGTCAGCATGACTCTCCCACTTGGAAAGACAAAATGGTGAGTAGAAATTCATACTGTGAACTTTTTTCTAAGAAGCAATGCAGGAACTGAACAGAAAAACAGAAACCATAGACCCTTTGAAAGAAGCAGCAGGCTGCAGCCTACACCCACTGTGAGCCAGGTGAAAAATTGTAAGTCCTCAGAGTGTGACAGGGGGAGAGACTGCCTCCAGGATATACATCCCCACCAGGTAACCTGGCAATTCAGCCCACAGGGGAAGGCCTTAACCATACCCAGCACTGGAACTAATATAGGGAGTGGTGGGGTAATATAAAAGTAGGAGCAGCAGCAAGCAGAGCCTTGCATGCATTCCTAGTCTCCAGCACAGACCGAGGGAAGCCACTCCTGATTCTACGTCACAGAGGGCCTCACGGAAGTCAACTAGCTCAGGCAGAGGTTGCAGGTTGAAAGAAGCTCCCAACTGAAATTCATATAATCTTGAGTGGGGATGAACTCCCTTGACCAGAACCAGTGGGTGAGTAAGAAGTGTGCTGCAGCCACAGGCACAGGAACCGGGCACTCTTGCTTTGCAGGTAGATTGGGAGGGGGCATGGCCTGAACACTGGTTCCTGTCTCCACAGGGAAGGCTTATGGCCTAGGGCAGTTTTGAGTTCTGAGCTTACACGGCCTGGAATTTAGCTAGCGGCTGCTAGTGAACACTATAGGTGAGAGACCTGCCTTGCCAAGTGCATGAGAGCTGGGTGAGGCTTGTGAACTCTTTTATGTGGCAGAGGCAGCTATGTTCCTTCCTGAAACATTACCCCAGTGGCCAGAGAAATGCCCCCTAAACCCCTCAGGAGCCTCTGCTTGCCCTGCACATGGAGAGCCAAAGCATGGACCTGCCTAACCCAGCCCCTACCTGGCTTTGCCCCTACACCAGCCCTGGTAGTTCACTACAAGGGACAGCAACTTTTGGGAGCCCTATGGCCATTGCCTGAGAATCCAGAGTACCTCTCTGGGGTAACATAAGGCAATTAACATAAAGCAAAGCAGTTAATCCCACCACTTCTACTGTAGCTGGTGCTCTATTGCAAGTACCACCTCCTGGCTGGAGGCCAACTGATACATTATAGCATCGTTGGGTAGAATAACCCTGTGCCCAGGAAAGAGAAAACTTGTGCATGACCTCAGCTATCACCATCGCCTGCACCACCCTGGCTAACCAGGAGGTCCTGATCTGTCCACATGACAGATTCATTGGTACTACAAGCAGCATTTGAGACAGCCAATACATGAAGGCTATTTACAACCAAGGAATCTCACAGAGTCTACATCACTCCCCTGTGACCCGCATCAGAAGGGGTGTTGGTACTTGCTGCTGGGACAATTAAGGACTGGTCACATCACTGGATCTCTTGCAGACACTCCCCAGCACCAGCCTGGAGTGTGGCAGCTCCACTAGGTGGCTAGACGCAGCAGAGCAGCAGCATTCACAGTGGTCTGTTTCTTAGGGAATCCTACTCCTAGGGGAAAACTTCCTAGGGGAATTGGGTGTGCACCACATCAAGGGAACACCCCATGGAACAAAAAAATCCAGATGCAGGCCTTGAGTCCTGGATCTTTCTGCTGATGGAAAGTCTCTTTCAGCAGAGGCACAGTTACAATACTGAGCTCAGCAGGGAAAGTCTGAAGCTCTACCCCAACACACAGGTAACCCTGGTGCTCATGAAGGGTCTTGGAGAAGGGGACTTCTTTTTCCCCTTGTCCACCACTGCAGAAACAACTGGGGCTTTTCCAGTGGGAGCATGTGTGGGTACACCATAGAGAGCCTTGCTGGAAAACTTCAGGGTAACTGCATCCCCACAGTAGAGAGCACCTTCTATGTTCAGACTTGGATGAGAGGTAGACTCACGATTCCTCTCAACTTGGAACATCAACGTTCCTGCAGACAAAATGAGGTGCCTGTCTGATCTGCATAGCTGGAACACTGAGTCAGGAGTGTGTCTGGGAGGTGGACTGCTTCCCTGCGCCTTGCGGGGGAGCTGATGTGGCTCCCAATCTACCCCCTGATAAGACCTCAGTGTGTTTCACTGAGAGCTCCACCTATCACCTATGTCAAGATTGGGACTTCAGCCCGCCATTGGGTACTGCATTTACCTACTACAATAACCACAACCAGTTTCTACCAGAGATGTCTCCCCTACTGGCCTGAAGCCTAAAATATTCAACCCAGTAAATAAAATACAGGGAAAATAAACAAATATAAGTGCACAACACAGGAGAACAAGGTAAGCTTCAAGATACCTCTGCAATTCCAACCCCATTGGAGACAGTGAGCACAATGCTACTACAACCATTATCTGAGAAAGCCATCAAACAAAGACTTTCTATAACCAAGGAATTAATAGTCTTCACCTCTGAAAGCACCAAGAGTCGAAATAGGCTACAATAAAGTCACATCCTTAAGGGAGAAAAGATAAATAAAAAAAACCAACAATTGAATAAAAAATAAATTCAAGACTAATTAGAAGATATATTCTACCCAAATGAGAGAGAGAAAAAAAACAGAAAAATAATTCTGGTAATATGAAAAAAACAGGATTCTATTACACCCCCAAAAGATCACACTAGCTCTCCAGCAATGGATCCAAACCAAGATGAAATCTCTGAAATGCCAGACAAAGAATTAAAAAGATTGATTATTAAGTTACTCAAGAAGATACCAGAGAAAGGTGAAAGCCAATATAAAGAAATTTTTTAAAACTTCAGGATATGAATAAAAAATTTTATAAAGAAATAGATATTTTAAAGAAAAGCCAATCAGAACTTCTGGAAATGAAAGACACATTTAGGGAAGTACAATATGCATGGAAAAGTTTTAACAATAGACTAGAACAAGTAGAATAAATAGTTTCAGAGCTCAAAGATATAGTTTTCAAATTAATAATCAGACAAAAATAAAGAAAAAAATCAAAAGAAGTGAATAAAGTCTCCAAGAAATATGGGATCATGTAAAATGGCCAAACCTAAGAATAACTGGTGTTGCTGAGAGAGAAGACAGCAAACAGTTTGGAAATTTTATTCGAGGGAATAATTGAGGAAAACTTCTCTGGCCTTGCTAGAGATATAGATATCCAAATACAAGAAGCTCAAAAAATTCCTGGGAGATTCATCACAAAAAGGACTTCACCAAGGCATATATAATAATCAGTCTATCTAAAGTCAACATGACAGAAAGAATTCTGAGAGCAGTGAGACAAATGCACCGGGTAACCTATAAAGGAAAACCTATCAGACTAACTGCAGGCTTCTCACCAGAAACTTTACAATCCAAAAGGGATTGGGGTCCTACCTTTAGCCTCCTTAAACAATAACTGTCAGCTAAGAATTTTGTATCCAGCAAAACTAAGTTTCATACATGAATAAAGTCATTTTCAGACAAACAAATGCTGATGGAATTTGTCACTACCAGGCCAGCCCTACAAGAAATGCTAAAATGAGTTCTAAATCCTGAAATAAAAGGTTGATATGCACCAGAAGAGAACCTCTTGAAAGCATAAAACACACAGGGCCCATAAAACAATAACAACATGAAGAAAACAAGTACCTAGGTAACAATTAACATGATGACTGGAACAATACCTCACATCTCAATATTCACATTGAATGTAAATGGCCTAAATGCTCCACTTAAAAGATACAGATTGACAGAATGGCTTAAAAAAATCACAAACCAAATATTTGCAGTCTTCAAGAGACTCACCTAACATGTAAGGATTCATATAAACTCAAGGTAAAGGGGTAGAAAAGATATTCCATGCAAATAGAAACCAAAAGTGAGCAGCAGTAGCTATTCTTTTTTTGTTTTTTTGTTTTTTGAGCCAGGGTTTCACTCTTGTGGCCCAGGCTGGAGTGCAATGGCACGATCTCAGCTCACTGCAACCTCCGCCTCCTGGGTCAAGCAATTCTCCTGCATCAGCCTCTCCAGTAGCTGGGATTACAGGCATGAGCCACCACATGGGCCAATTTTGTATTTTTACTAGAGACAGGGTTTCACCATTTGGCCTGGCTGGTCTGGAACTCCTGATCTCAGGTGATCTACCCGCCTTGGCCTCCCAAAGTGCTAGGATTACAGGTGTGAACTGCTGCACCCAGTCAGTAGTAGCTATTCTTATATCAGATAAAACAGACTTTAAAGCAACAACAGTTTAAAAAAAAAAAAGACACAGAAGGTCATTATATAATGATAAAAGGATCAACTGAACAAGAAGATTTTACAATCCTAAATTTATATGCACCTAACACTGGAACTCTCAGATTCGTAAAACATTTACTACTAGACCTAAGAAATAAAATAGCAACACAAGAGTAGTGGGAGACTTCACCCACTCCACTGACAGCACTAGACAGATCAAGACAGAAAGTCAACAAAGAAACAATGGACTTAAACTATACTCTAGAATAAATGGACCTAATAGATACTTACAGAACATTCTTCCCAAGAACTGCAGAATACAAATTCTTCCTTTCAGCATATGAAACATTCTCCAAGACAGACCATATGAGAGGCCACAAAACAAGTCTCAATAAATTTACAAATATCAAAATCATATCAAATATCTTCTAAGACCACAGTGGAATAAAACTAGAAATCAACTACAAAAGGGACCCTCAAAACTATACAAATACACAGAAATTAAACAGTCTGCTCTTGAATGATTTTTGGGTTAATAATGAAATCAAGATGGAAAGTTTAGGCTGGGTGTAGTGGCTCATGCCCGTAATCCCACCACTTTCAGAGGCCAAGGTGGGCAGATCACCTGAGGTCAGGAGTTAGAGACCAGCCTGGCCAACATGGCAAAACCCCATCTCTACTAAAAATACAAAAATTAGCCAGGCATTCTGGCACACGCCTGTAGTCCCAGCTACTCAGGAGGCAGAGGCTGGTGAATCGATTGAACCTGGGAGGCAGAGGTTGCAGTGAGCCAAGATCACGCCACTGCACTCCAACCTGGGAGACAGAGCAAGATTCTGTCTCAAAAAGAAAAAATAAAGGAAATTTAAAAATTCCTTGAAATGAAGGATAATAGTGACACAAGTTATCATTACCTCTGGGATAGGACAAAAGCAGTGCTAAGGGAAAGTTTGTAGCACTAAATGCCTACATCAAGAAGTCTAAAAGATCACAAATTGACAACCTAACATCATACCTCAAGGAACTAGAGAAACAAGAACTAAACCCAAATCTAGCAAAAGAAAGGAAGTAACAAAGATCTGAACAGAACCAAATGAAAATTAAATTTAAAAAAATACAAAATATCAATGAAACAAAAAAGCTGGTTCTTTGAAAAGATAAACAAAATTGATAGACCATTAGCCAGACTGACCAAGAAAAGAAGACTCAAATACACTCAATTAGAAATGAAACTGGAGACATTACAATGAACACCATAGCAACAGAAAAAATCATTCAAGTCTACTATGAACCCCTCTATGGAGATAAACAGAAAAGCTAAAGGAAATGGATAAATTCCTGGAAACATACAACCCTCCTAGATTAAATCAGGAAGAAACAGAAGCCCTGAACAGACCAATAACAAGCAGTGAGACTGAATCAGTAATTTCAAAAAAGATTGCCAACAAGAAAAGCCCAGGACCAGATGGATTAATGGATAAATTCTATCAGACATTCAAAGAAGAACTGGTGCCAATCCTACTGAAACTATTCCAAATGACTGAGAAAGAGGTAATCCTCCCTAACTCATTCTATGAAACCGGTATATCCCTGATAGCCAAACCAGGAAAGGACATACAAAAAAAGAAAAAAAGAAAATGACAGACCAATATCCCTAATGAACATGGAGGCAAAAATCATCAACAAAATACTAGCTAAGAAAATCCAACAGCATATCAAAAATATAATACACCATGATCAAGTGGACTTCATCCGAGGAATGCAGGGATGGTTTAACATACTCATGTCAATAAATGTGATATATCACATAAACAGAATTTAAAACAAAAACTACATGATCATTTCAATAGTTGCAGAAAAAGGATTCAATAAAATCCAGCATTTCTTTATGATAAAAACACTCAACAAACTAGGCATAGAAGGGACTTATCTCAAAATAACAAAAGCCGTATATGACAAAGCTACAGCTAACATCATGCTCAATGCGGAAAAAGTGAAAGCATTCCCCCCTGAGAACTGGAACAAGACAAGGATGTTTACTTTCACCAGTTCTATTCAATATAGTACTGGAAGTCATAGCCAGAGCAATCAGGCAAGAGAAAGAAATAAAGGGCATCCAAATTGGAAAAGAGGAAGTCAAACTATAGCTGTTTGCAGATGATATCATCATATAACTAGAAAACCCTAAAGACTCCTCAAAAAGACGCATAGATTTGATAAACAAATTCAGTTGGCTGGGCGCGGTGGCTCACGCCTGTAATCCCAGCACTTTGGGAGGCCAAGGCAGGTGGATCACCTGAGTTCAGGAGTTCGACACCAGTCTGACCAACATGGTGAAACTGTCTGTACTAAAAATACAAAAATTAGCCAGGCATGGTGGTGGGTGGCTGTAGTCCCAGCTACTCGGGAGGCTGAGACAGGAGAATCGTTTGAACTTCAGAGGCGGAGGTTGCAGTGAGCCAAGTCTGGGCCACTGCACTCCAGAGCAAGACTCCATCTCAAAAAACAAACAAAAAAATCAGTCAAGTCTCAGATTACAAAATCAATGTACACAAATCAGTAGCACTGCTACACATCAACAACGACCAAGCTGAGAATCCAATTAGGAGCTCAATCCCTTTTTATCACAGCTGCAAAACAAACAAATAAACAAAAAACCAACCTAGGAATATACTTAACCAAGGAGGTGAAAGAGCTATACAAGGAGAGCTACAAAACCCTGCTGAAAGAAATCATAGATGACACAAACAAATGTAAACACATCCCATGCTCATGGATTGGAAGAATCAATATTGTGAAAATGACCATACTGCCCAAAGCAATCTACAGATTCAATGCAATTCCTATCAAAATGCAAACATTATTTTTCACAGAATTAAAGAAAACATCCTATAATTCATATGGAACCAAAAAAGAGCCTGAATAACCAAAGCAATCCTAAGAAAAAGAACAAATCTGGAGGCATCACATTACCAGACTTCAAATTATACTACAAGGCTATAGTTACTGATGTGGTTTGGATCTGTCTCCCCACCAAATTTCATGTCAAATTGTAATCCCCAGTGTTGGAGGTGGGGCCTGGTGGGAAGTGACTGGATCATGGGGGTGGAGTCCTCATGAATGGTTTAGCACCATCCCTTCGGTGCTGTTCTCATGACAGTGAGTAAGTTATCACAAGATCTGGTTGTTTTTAAAGCGTGTAGTGCCGGCTGGGCGTGGTGTCTCATGCCCCATGTGAAAATCCCAGCACTTTGAGAGGCCGAAGTGGGTGGATCACCTGAGGTCAGGAGTTTGAGACCAGCCCGGCCAACATGGTGAAACTCCATCTCTACTAAAGATACAAAAAAATTAGCTGTGCATGGTGGTGGGCGCCTGTAATCGCAGCTACTTGGGAGGCTGAGGCAGGAGAATCGCTTGAACTTGGGAGGCGGAGGTTGCAGTGAGCTAAGATGGTGCCATTGCACTCCAGCCTGGGCAAAAAGAGTGAAACTCCGTCTCCAAAAAAAAAAAAAAGTGTAGCACCTCCCACCTCTCTCTCTCACTCCTTCTCTGGCCACGTAAGATGTGCCTACTTCCCTTTTGCCTTTCACCATGATTGTAAGTTTCCTGAGGCCTCCCAAGAAGCAGAAGCCGCTATGCTTCCTGTACAGCCTATAGAACCATGAGCCAATTAAACCTCTTTTCTTTATAAATTACCCGGTCTTGGGTATTTCTTTACAGCAGTGCAAAAACAGACTAATACAGTACCAAAACAGCATAGTTCTGGTATAACAGTAGGCATGTAGACCAATGGAACTGAGTAGAGAACCCAGAGGTAAAGCCAAATACATAGAGCCAAATGATCCTTGACAAAACATACAAAAACATAAATTGGCAAATGGACACCCTATTTAATACATGGTGCTGGGAAACTGGCTAGCCACATGTAGAAGAATGAAACTGGATCCCCATTTCTAACCTTACACAAAAATCAACTCAAGATGGATGGAAGACTTACATCTAAGACCCAAAACCATACAAATTCTGGAAGATAACCTAGGAAAAACTCTTTTGGATATTGGCCTAGGCAAGTAATTCATGACTAAGACCCCCAAAGCAAATGTAACAAAACAAAAATAAATAAATGGAATCTAATTAAACTAAAAAACTTCTGTGCAGCAAAAGAAATAATCATCAGAGTAAACAGACAACCCAGAGAATGGGAGAAAATATTTGTAAAGCATACATTTGACAATGGCCTAATATCCAGAATCTACAAAAAACTCAAGCAAATCAGCAGGAAAAAAACACCTACAAATCATCCCATCAAAAAGTGGGCAAATGACATGAACAGACATTTCTCAACAGAAGATATACAAATGGCCAAAAAATGTATGTAAAGATGCTCAACATCACTAATCATCAGGGAAATGCAAAGTAAAGCCACCCTACTCCTGCAATAACGGCTATTTAAAAAGCTAAACAACAATATATGTTGGTGTGGATGTGGTGAAAAAACACTTTCATACCCTGCAGGTGGGAATGCAAATTAGTACCATCTCTATGGAAAAGTTTGAAGATTTCCAAAAAAATTAAGAGTAGATCTACCATTTGATCCAGCAATCTCACTACTGGGTATCTACTCAAAGGAAAAGAAGTAATTATATCAAAAGGACACCTGCACAGGTATGTTTATTGCAGCATAATTCACAGTTGCAAAGATATGGAACCAACTTAAGCGCCCATCGACCAATAAGCGGATAAAGAAAATGTGGTATATGTATACCATGGAATACTACTCAGCCACAAAGAAGAACAAATTAATGTCTTTTGCAACAACATGGATGGAGCTGGTGGCCATTATTTTAAGTGAAGTAACTCAGGAATGAAAAACAAAATATCATATGTTGTCACTTATAAGTGAGAACTAAGCTTGTAAGTGACAACGTATGGTATAAGTGGGTACATAAAGGCATACAGAGTGATATAATGGACTATGGAAAATGAGAAGCAGGAGGGGAGTGGAGGGTGAGAAATAACAATCTACATATTGGGTACAACGTACACTACTCAGGTGATAAGGGCACTAAAATCTCAGACTTTCTTTACCACTATATAATTCATCTATGCAACCAAAAACCATTTGTACCCCCAAAGCTATTGAAATTTTAAAAATTCATTGGAATAACATAAAAACAAAGATAAAAGACAAAAAAGAAATTTCAAAATATATATTTTAAAAATCATATGATCATGACTATACTAATAAATACAGAAAATCATTTGACAAAATTCATAGCATTCATAAGAACTCTCAAAAAACTAGCAATAGTGGGAAATTTCCTAAACTTGATAAAGATTTTCTTAAAAATAACTATAGCTAACATACCTAACAGTGAAAGACTCAATGTCTTCCATGTAAGAACAAGGCAAGGATGTCTTCTCTCACCATTTTTTTTCGTATCTGTGCTGGAAGTTCTAAGGCAAGCAAAAGCAGTTAGGTGATGCCACATAAATGATGGAGTAGGGAGTTCCAATAATCAGTCCAGTCCCTCCACTGAAGCATCCATTAAGCTGGCAAAATCTGACAGAATCAACTTTTTCAAACTCTGGATTCTAATACAAAACTGGCGGCAACCAGTGAAGTGCTTAACGAAAAAAAATTTTTTTGCTTCCTTTCTTATCAATTCCATTTCCCAGGTCACCAATAGCAATGGGAACAGGGATCTGCATTCCTAGTGTGGCTTTCTGATGCCAATAACCATGTTTCCCAAAAATTATGGCTCTGAGTTATTTATTTATTTATTTTTTTTTTGAGACAGTATCTTGCTCTGTCACCCAGGCTGGAGTGCAGTGGTGCCATCTCAGCTCACTGCAACCTCCACCTCCTGGGTTCATGCCATTCTCCTGCCTTAGCCTCCCAAGTAGCTGGGACTACAGGCACCCGCCACCACACTTGGCTAATTTTTTTGTATTTTTAGTAGAGATGGGGTTTCACCGTGTTAGCCAGGATGGTCTCGATCTCCTGGCCTCGTGATCCGCCCACCTCAGCCTCCCAAAGTGCTGGGAATACAGGCGTGAGCCACCACGCCCGGCCTGGCTCTGAGTTTTGACCTGACAATTCCCTAAGGGACTGGTGCATAGGATAAGCTCTTTTACAACCCCTTCAGCCTAGAGTGGCTTTCCAGGTGACATCTGTCAAAAGCATTCAGACATATACTACACATAGCTGTCTGGATCAAGGTGTGGTGGATGGGGCAGGAGCTGGTGGGTGGTATATAGAATCAAACATCTGGAAAGAAGAAAGCTGAGGCAGAAGTTTCTTGGGAATTAATGGTTTTGAAGGGCTACTGCGTATACTGGAGAACCCAGAGTGCAATATGCATGCATGAGGCTGGGAACATGCTCATAAAAAAAGAATGATAGAACCCTAGGCTTGCACCTTTGGCTGATTTTTGGACTCTGTGCAAGTAGGAGGTAAAGACTAAGTCACAGTCATAGATAGCCTGGCTAAGCATTGAAGGAATCCCTCAGCTCAGATCCAATCTGCAAAGACTAGGAGAGTTTTTTGGTTTTGGTTTCTTTTTGGCCCCAGCCATTAAGGCACATCTCTGTGAAATAACTGACTGCTAAAATAAGAGAAGAGACTTCAGTGACCACACAAGACAAGGAATATAGTATTTGCAAATATAATTTGGAAAAGTCACTAAACAAATGGATGATGGCAAACACCTACAATCAACAACAGCAAACACTGGGGAGGTGGGAGAATCAGCTTTTCACATTATAATATTCCAAATATCCCCCTTTATTTTATTTTATTTTATTTTATTTATTTATATATTTTTGAGATGGAGTCTCACTCTGTTGCCCAGGCTGGAGTCCAATGGTGTGATCTTGGCTCGCTGCAACCTCCGCCTCCCAGGTTCAAGCCTACTTTCTCTTTACCTCAGCCTCCCATATAGCTGGGATTACAGGCACACCCCACCACACCTGGCTAATTTTTGTATTTTTAGTAGAGGCGGGTTTCACCATGTTGGCCTGACTGGTCTTGAACTCCTGACCTCAAGTGATCTGCCTGCCTTGGCCTCCCAATGTGCTGGGATTGCAGGCGTGAGCCACCATACCCAGCCCAAATATCCCATTTTTAAGAAAAAAATTGTATGGCATACAAAGAAACAGGAAAGTATGGCTAGCCAACAGGAGTAAAGAAATTAATAGAAACCATCCTTGAGGAAGCCCAGACTTAATATAAAAGGCTTTAAATCACCTGTCCTAAATATGCTCAAAGAGCTGAAGGAAACCAAGAACAAAGAACTAGAGAGAACCAAGAATATAATATATAAACAAATAGAGAATATCAATACATAGATAGAAAATATAAAAAGAAATTCCAATAGCAATTCTAGAGTAGGTGTTTAGTCATGAGAGAGCTCCACCATCATGAATGAATTAATGACCCTATAAAAAGGGTTTGTGGGAGTGGATTTGCTCTCTCTTCTCCTTCCACCTTCCACTATGTGAGGATGCAGCAAGACCCACACAAGATGCTGGTGCTTTGATCTTGGACTTCCCAGTCTTCAATACTGCGAGAAACAAATTTCTGTCCTTCATAAATTAGCCAGTCTGTGGTATTTTATTATAGCAGCATAAAACAAAGTAAGATACCTCTTCTTACCACTTCTATTCAATAATGTAATGAAGATTCTAACTAATGGAATAAGGCAATTTTTTAAGGAGAAGGAAGAGAAATTGCATCCAGATTGATAAGAAATAGTAAAACTGTCTTTATTCACAGATGACATGATCCAAATTGTAGTAAACCCTAAACAATCCCCCCAAATACTACCAGAACTAATAAATGAGTTCAATAAGGTGACAAGACACAGATCAGTATATGAATGTCAACTGTATTTAGCAATGAACAATCTGAATATCAAATTAAGAAAACAATATGTTCACAATATTATCAAAAACAATAAAGAGCTGCACACAGTGGCAAACACTTGTAGTCCCTGCTATGTGGAGGATGGGGCAGGAGGATCACTTGAGCACAGGAGTCGAGGTTATAGTACACTATGATCACACCTGTGAATAGCCACTGTACTCCAGCCTGGGCAAAAGAACAAGACCCCGTCTCAAAAAAAAAAAAAAAAAAAAAGAATGTAACAGGAATAAATTTAATAAAAGAAGTGTAAGACTTATATACTGAAAACTCCAGAACACTGCTCAAATTATAGATCTAAAGAAATGGAGAGATCATTCCAGGTTCGTGGACAGGAAAACTCAGCATTGTTATCAATTAGCTATCCCCGTCAAAATCCAAGATTTTTAAGAAACTTACAGGCTGATTGTAAAGTTTACATAGAAATGCATGTAACTTAGAGTAGCAAAAACAATTTTGAAAAAGAACAACACTGGAGGACTTATACTACTCATTTCAAAACTTTATAAAGCCACAGTAACCAAAACAGTGTGGTACTAGCATAAAGATAGATATATAGATTAATGAAACAGAATAGAGGTCAAGCAATAAGGCCACCTATATATAGTGAATTAATTTTCAATTAAGGTGTCAGGCCAATTCGACTAAAAAAAGACAGTCTTCTCAACAAATGGTGCTGAAACAATTGAATAGTTTGACGGTCTGACAGTTTCCTAGAAGGTTAAATTTACCATGCAACTCAGCAATTCCACTCCTAGGTATTTCTCCCAGAGAACTGAAAACAGATGTCCACAGAAAGAATTGTGGACATTAATGCTGTGTAGCAGCATTAATCATAAGAACCAAAGCTAGAAAAAAAGAATCCAAATACCCACCAACTGGTGAAAGGATAAACAAGGCCGGTGTGGTGGCTCACGCCTGTAATCCCAGCACTTTGAAAGGCCAAGGCAGGTGGATCACCTGAGGTCAGGAGTTTGACCTCAGCCTGGCCAACATGTGGAAACCCCGTTTCTACTAAAAACATAAAAATAGCCAGGCGTGGTGGCAAGCGCCTGTAATCCCACCTATTCCAGAGGCTGAGGCAGGAGAATGGCTTGAACCTGGAAAGTGGAGGCTGCAGTGAGCCAAAATCATGCCACCGCACTCCAGTCTGGGAGACAGAGTGAGACTCCATCTCAAAAACATAAAAAAAAAAAAAATTAAAATTAAAAAAAAAAAGGCCAGGTGCGGTGGCTCACGCCTGTAATCCCAGCACTTTGGGAGGCCGAGGTGGGCGTATCACCAGGTCAGGAGATCGAGACCATCCCTGCTAACATGGTGAAACCCTGCCTCTACTAAAAATACAAAAAAGTAGCTGGGCGTGGTGGCGGACGCCTGTAGTCCCAGCTACTCGGGAGGCTGAGGCAGAAGAATGGCGTGAACTCGGGTGGCAGAGCTTACAGTGAGCCGAGATAGCACCACTGCACTCCAGCCTGGGTGTGCAGAGCGAGACTCTGTCTAAAAAAAAAAAAAAAAAAAAAAAAAAAGAAGATAAAGAAGATTTGATATCTATACAAGAAAATACTACTCAGAAATATAAAGAAACAGTTGAGCTCAGGAGGTCGACACTGCAGTGAGTCAAGATCACAATGCTGCACTCCAGCCTGGAAAACAGAGTGAGAACCTATTTCAAAAATATATATATCACAACAAGAATGAACCTTAAAAACAGGCTAAATGAAAAAAGCCATATTCAAAGGTCTACATATTACATGATTCCTTTAGGGATTAAGTCACCATTTCCCCCAATCACAAAAGAAGGATGTATCAACAAGATATTATTATTATTATTATTTTTTGAGATGGAGTCTCACTCTGTCACCCAGGCTGGAGTGCAGTGGTATGATCTCGGCTTACTGCAAGCTCCGCCTCCCGGGTTCACACCATTCTCCTGCCTTAGCCTCCCGAGTAGCTGGGACCACAGGCACCCATCACCATGCCCGGCTAATTTGTTTTGTATTTTTAGTAGAGATGGGGTTTCACCATGTTAGCCAGGATGGTCTTGATCTCCTGACCTCGTGATCCGTCTGCCTCAGCCTCCCAAAGTGCTGGGATTACAGGCGTGAGCCACCGCGCCTGGCCAGATATTATTTTTAATGCAGTTTTCCAGTCACAGGATTATTTTTCCCAACTATTTAGGCATCTTCTGCTCTGCCATTCACCATACTCTGCCCTTCTTTCCCCTATACTGAAGTGCCCAAGATAATAAAATAATCATAAGACTACTTAGGGAAACTTATTTGCAATCTTGGGAGATATTAGACAAATGTATTATACCTGAAACCTTGTGCATCTTTTCAGATTTTCTCAACCACCTCATTTCTCATTTTGGTCAGTGACCCTCTACTGGGTCACTCCTCTGCTTTCAGACCTAGTTAAAACACCACACTTCAGGGTAGAGTATAAAAAGCTTCCTAAGTAGCTGCCAATGGGCTGGATGATACAACCTGAAAGCTTAGAGAAGTTAGTTCCCCATGAGGACCTATGACCAGTATTTCCAAGACTAATGAGAAGACAAAGACATAGAAGGGTGCTGGGCATATTTTAAGAAGGAAAGGGTACATACAGCATACACAGGGAGTTCTTACATTTCATGATACCATGCTAATACAAACTTGTTCATACTGGAGCCTTGTTCTTGCTTTGCATAGTTCTCTACCAGGCAAGGCAAAGCAAGGACATGGTTCTTATGTGCATGAATTACTGTAACAAGATGCCAGGCAATGCAAGGACTACACACACACACACACACACCACAGACACATACACGCACACACACTTGCATTTAAGAGCCTGTCATGTGAAATGTGCTCATATTCAGTACTCTGGACAATATACCTAGGTAGCTAAAATGAGATCTTGGGTTTAAGAAACTTAGGCTACGTTACTTAAGTGAGACAAGCTATACAGTTTTCTTTTAAACATCTGTTTCTATATCAGTATTTCATTGTAAATCATCAAAAAGTCTATAAATAATAAGTTCTGCATTAGGGTAACTGCAGAGGTTCAAAGTTTACAGTTGCCATTCAAGAGAGCAAAAATGTAACAAAAACTTTTGTTGCCGAGTATCTTGAGCCCCCATGTCTACTAATGGCAGAACACTGAAATTTCATCCATTTAAGAGAACTGTCTCGATTTAAAGCAGTTTTTAGGAGAGTTAGTTTATCAAATTCAAGAGGATCTAAATTTCCAAAGGGCTTAACTCATGTCAGCACTAAGAAGGGGTGTCCTTACTGTTTGGTCCATACTGTCTTGAGCTTGGTCCTTGCTGCCTGCCACTTGTAAGATCCCAGTTTCAGAAATGTGGTCTTGCCATCAGCCTCTTACCACTTCATGTTCATGCTCACGTTCAGGGTCCTGCTACAGATGTCAGAGATCCATTGTCTACCATCCTTATCTAAGCCATAGGCTTCTTCCTGATGGCCCCTTAGCACCTTTCCTCTTCCCTCACATTTAGGGGCTTTCCCTGGACTTCCCTATGTGGGATCCTGTGAGGAGAGCTTTTCCCTGCAAGTCTCATAACCCCCATTCACTATAAGGTAGTTCATTTTTCTCATATAATACAAAGTGTAGAGGAGAGCAGATGCTGGCATTGACTCAACAGCTCAGTAATGTCAGAACTCTTGGTTGGTATTATTGACCTAACCTACCCTTCGTGGTCACAAGATGGCTGCAGCAGCTCTGATCATCACACAACCACATTCAAACCTAAGCATGATGCAGGCAGGTGCAGTGGCTCACAGCAGTAATCCCAGCACTCTGGGAGCCCAAGGTGGGAGGACTGTCTGAGCCCCGGAGTTCAAGACCAGCCTGGGCAACATAGCAAGACTCCGTCTGTAAAACAGAAAAAAATTAGCCAGGCATGGCGGTGTGCGCGTAAAGTCCAAGTTATGTGGGAAGCTGAGGTAGGAGGACCGCTTGAGTTGGGGAGGTCAAGGCAGCAGTGAGCCGTGACCACGCCCCTGCATTTCAGCCTGGGTGACAAAGCGAGACTCTGGGGTGGGTCGGGGGAGGGAGAAGAAAAGAAAGAAACCCTCTCCCTACCACTGGTCTTTACATCTCACTGATCAAATCTGGTCACATGCCTACCCCTAGACAAAAAACTAGGGTAACTTTCCTGAGATCCATACCTCAACAAAATCAAGGTTCTCCCAGCAAGGGGATATTTGGGTAGGCAAGTAACAGTGCCTGCCACAGCACCTCCGTGTCTTTAGCCAGAGCATTCTTCAAGCCTCTCACTGCTGTGGGGCCATGATGTACACAACCCTTCCCTAGAAGCTTTGTGGTCTCAGGTTATGCCCTGGGGAAAAAAATGCAGATCAACCATCCCCTGACCCTTGACTCCCCTTAATCCATACAGGTAGTCCTACCATGCCCATGCCGGAGTGTGCACAGGGACCGCTTCTCCAGCACTCAGCAGTCTGACTGGTTTCATTTCCTCTCATCTTACTGCTTGCTAGTAACTCTTCTTGGATGGAAAAAAAGACATGGTTGAATATGCATCTTCCTCTAGTCCACTGCATATAACTCATTGTTCTCAGCAATCCAGGTTTACCTCTTCAAATTTATGCAGAACTGCAAAAAATCATTTTCTCTGAAGTAACTGCTTCTGTCATTTTCAGCCAATTTTGGCCTCAAAGCTAAAAATACGTTGCTTGGTCATTGCTATTTGTCCTTCCTTCCATGGGGCAGTAAGCTAAGACTTTTAGCCTAATTCTCATGATGGAACAACTTCAAAGAAAAGGGAAAAACAAACTGCTTTATTAAAATGTACCATTATGGTCAGGACTTCAGTAGTGAGGAAGGCAGTGTGTGCGTAATAAACAGGGAAGTATATGTGAACACTATACTTTCTGCTCAATTTTGCTGTGAAACTAAAATTGCTCAAGAAATTAAATTTTAAAAAATGCTTTATTGTTCCAGTTCTGTACCATGTCCTGTGATAGAAGTCATATATATTGTAGGGTCCAAGTAATGTGGGAAGCCTCCGCAACTAACCAGCTTTCTCTGCTCCTCTGCTTGAAATTGAGAACAGTCCCACACAACTGTGGCTGAGCCTCATCAGACTCCCAGTGAAAATTTCTGAAGCCCAGGGTCAGGAGGAGTGCTGCCCATCTGAGGCCACTTGGTGTTTTTATGCGTGTGTGTGTTTTTCTTTAAATGGCAGGAGTGGAACAGAGCTTGTCAGTCTTTGTCAAGTTTTTTTTCCTAATGCCAATTACTGCAGATAACTATCTGTGTTATTTCCTTTCTCCCCTCCTTACTAGTGGGACCCTGATTGTATTCAGCCTGGCAATCAGTCCTGCCAGGACCACTTTCCAGGATTCCTTGGTCTAGTCTGTGATAGTTCCAAGGGATTACACGTAAAGGAGTCACTAGGTGGCATTTCTTGAGAAAACTAAATGAATTCAACCATAAAAGTGTCCCTTCTGCCTTTTCCTTTTTCCATCTTCATGAATGGAAAAACGACGTGGCCAGTTATAGCAGTCAGTTGTTACAGAGGTAACCTTGAGAATGGAAACCATGTGTTAGGGCTGGAAGAAAAGCTAGAAAGAATCCAGGACATCAGTCACAAAGCTTCCGTATCACTGGGGTACCTCATTTCTACCCGTGTTTCTGATGTTACCAGTTCAATGCAGTTACACCAACCCTGCATGCTTACTTATGGATCGTTTTTAAGTCAAACTAAAATAAGTTATGGGTTTCTATCAAGAAATAGGATTTCAGAATCCCAAGGAGTCTGATGCTTCCTTCAGGTCAGCCATTCAACCAGAAAACAAAACACTGCTCAGAACAAAGATTGATGACCAGTCCTAAGAGGGCCCAACTCCTTTCCCAGCCCTCCCCATAGGACCCCAACAACAGAAAGCAAAGTAGGAAATAAAATGGGGGGAGAGCAAGGAACCTAGAAAATTACTTCAACGCTGTAGGAAAAAGGCTAGCTGATGTGACTCAAATACTTCACTAAAAATGGTTAGACATAAATTTAGAATAAGTGAAACTAGAAACATTTTTAAGACAGTCTTGCTCTGTCGTCCAAGCTGGAGTGCAATAGCGTAATCTCTGGTCACTGCAACCTCCACCTCCCTGGTTCAAGCGGTTCTCCTTACATCAGCCTCACAAGTAGCCCACCACCATGCCAGCTACTTTTTTTTAGTAAGATGGGGTTTCATCATGTTGGCCAGGCTGGTCTCGAACTCTTGACCTCAGGGGATCTGCCTGCCTTGGCCTCCCAAAGTGCTGTGATTACAGGCGTGAACCACTAGGCCAGGCAGAAATACTCATTTTGAAATTACCCCAATCCTATCACACCTCATTTCCTTGCTCTTTTCCTACGCATCTTCGCCTAAATCAGTGCACATGAAATTGATGCAATTTTGCCACAACTTAAATCTTCAACTTTAAAGAACTGTACCATGTAAGGTACCTTAGAAAACATACCCAACCATCTCAATTCATAAAGGAAATTTAAAGCCCCAAGTATGAGAACATCCCTAGATCACGATTCTTCCTTCCACTGGAGCAAGGGGCTAGGCAGCAGAGGGGCAGGATGGGAAACTCCACTGAATTTCCTTTCAACTTTCTCACCCCTGGAGACTTTTAAATGTATTACTGCTCATGATCAGGCAAGGGTGGTTCACACCTGTAATCCCAGCACTCTGGAAGGCCACGGCCGGTGGATCACTTGAGGCCAGGAGTTCAAGACCAGCCTGGCCAACATAGTGAAACCCTGTCTCTAATAAAAATACAAAAAATTACCTAAATCCTGTCTACTCTACCCAGGAGGTGGAGGTTGCAGCAGTGAGCTGAGATCACACCACTGCACTCTAGCCTGGGAAACAGTGAGATTTTGTCTCAAAAAATAAAATAAAATAAAAAAAAATACTACTGTTCATAGTAGTTGGAAAAAGATGGAATGCTAATGCACAAATTCGTCTCATTCCTAGAATGATAAATGCTCAAACTAGACTAGTGAAATGAGACATAAGAGTTTTTACAAGGTAGTGTCTGCCTGAGCAAACTCAAATAATTACTCAAGTAAAGAAAGGAGGCTGTCCTGGCCAGCACTTTGGGAGGTAAAAGCCAGAGGATAATCAGGAGTTCAAGACCAGTCTGGGCAATATGGTGAAACCGTCTCTACAAAAATAAAATTAGCCAGGCATGGTTGTATGCACCTGTAGTCCCAGTTACTAGGAAGCTTGAGTCCGGGAGGTCAAGGCTGCAGTGAGCTGTGATCATTTCACTACACTCCAGCATGGGTGACGGAATGAGACCATCTCAAAAACAAAACAAAAAGGAGGGTGATCCTGAGCAGTTAATTGTCTGTACAAAGTCACACAAGTGTTTACAAAAATGGAAGAGCTGGAAATTGCTCGTGTTAGCTTTATTAAAACATCTGTAAATGACCATCCAATCACCAAATTATTGCTAATGAAAAATGAAACTAAGAACAAATCATAATAATTACAAATGAAAAATGCATCTACTACTGCAAGGATGGGGATAAGGGTTAAGGATGACTTAAAAAGCACTAGTTTTGAAGTATGCAGTGTTTTTATTGAAAAGATGTATAACTTTTAACAAAATATGTAACACTATTACCCAGTCAAGACAACCACTTTCATTTTATTGACCTTCCAGTTCTTGTACATATTAAACAGACAAATCACTGTTACATACCATAATGAGCAGCAGCTCAATTACCCATTCCCAAACCATGCAATTCCACCCCAGCCGCCCCAAATTTTAAATCCAGAAGACAAACCTAGAAAAGCAGCAAGATAAATATTTACAAACATTGTAGAAAAACAGCAGTATTTCAAGTTTTGTTAAATTCTTTCCTTCAGACATAATGTAGACATAGAGGAGGAACAGCTGAGAGTCTCTGCATCACAGAAAGAGAAACCTGAGCAAAAACAAAACCATGCTTTCTAAACTTTCCAGTGACACCAAAAGGGAGACACTAGCAACTAAGTGTACTTCAGAAGTCTCAAATTCTCATTAGTTGACTTTCAGTTATCAATGTCAGCACCATGCTGCAGTTTATAATCACTAACGCAAACACTGCTCTCTTTGATATTCTTGCAATGTTTTCATTTGAAAAAACCTACAGAAAGAACTCTGCTTACACCAAAGCAAAGTAGCAAGGAAACAGGTTATCGGTGAATAATAAGGCCCTAAGAAAGGCAGCAGGTCGTATAGTTACCTCCTTGTGGGCAAAATCCCTGCCCTAAAACTATGCAACCTACTACCTCTTCCTAGGAACCCATTTTTTTTTTCTTGCTGGTCTTCTACTTGGCAGATGCACTTCAAATTAACCTGTTAAATTAGGTCATGTTCTTTGAGTTTTGTTTCTAATTCAAACTAATCAGAATTCTTTAACTAATGCTTTTGAAAAGTTATCTGGCCATATGACCTTGGTAAAAAGCCACAAATACATTTGCTTAAAATCCAACCTCAAGTCACAAACGAACAAGAAAGTAATGACATCAGAGGATGTAAGCCAGTAGTCTAATACTCAGCCCACCACGTATTACTGGAGTCGCTGACTTTTAACATTTAATTATCAATTTTTTTTTTGGACAGTCTCGCTCTGTCACCCAGGCTGGAGTACAGTGGTGTGATCTCGGCTCACTGCAACCTCTGCCTCCTGGGTTTAAGTGATTCTCCTGCCTCAGCCCCCAGAGTAGCTGGGATTACAGGCGCCCACCACCACGCCCAGCTACTTTTTTGTATTTTTAGTAGAAACAGGTTTTCACCATTTAGGCAGGCTGGTCTCAAACTCCTGACTCAGGTGATCCGCCCACCTTGGCCTCCCCAAAGTGCTGGGATTACCGGCATGAGCCACCACACCCGGCCTAATTTTTGTATCTTTATTAGAGACTGTGTTTCACCAGGCTGGTCAGGATGGTCTTTAACTCCTGACCTCAGGTGCTCCACCCGCCTCAGCCTCCCGAAGTGCTGGGATTAGAGGTGTGAGCCATGGTGCCCAACCCAGTTACCAACATTTAAATATCAAATTTCATAAAATCTCCAGTCTCTCCTGTTAACTGGAAAAGTAGGTGACAATGTATATAAACCCTGCTTGCTACCTATCAACCAGAGCAAATTAATTTACTATATTTGCCAGTTACAACTAGCCCCTCCTGGGCCTCTGATGGTATTTCAGTTTTTGACCCCTGAATTAAAGCAAACAGAAACAAATTCTGATCATGAATTTTATCATCATTAAAAACAAGCTTTCAGAGATAGTCATTCTCTCCATAAAGGCATTTTTAAAGTTTTATTTCGATTTACTTACTCTGCTTAGCTAATAACAATGTCCTTATGTAATTAATAAAATATATAAATTAATTTTTCTCCAGGGCTTAATTATTAGATAAGGATACGTTTCCAACTGAAGGTGGCAACGTTATGCTGGAAGAACATGTCAGGAAGACCACAAAATTTCATGACTGTACTTGCTACACTTTCAGCAGAAGAGTTATACATATTTTCAATTCAACAAAGATTAAGCCAAAAAGAATTCTTAGAACATTCCCACTCTTCTTTGGCACATCAAAAGGCAACAAATGTCATTTTCTCCCATGTTTTTATGTGCAGTTTAGAACAAAGACCAATTATCTATGCAGCTGTCCACAGTGGATAAAACAAAAAGCATACATTTGGTCCAGAGTTAAGTCACCTGGGTTGGGCCCATCCAAGGAAGTTTGATGTTTCTACTCTCATGAAAAGTACCAATGGCACTGCACAGTGATTATCTTAGATATTAAGGATAAACACAAATTTCTCCTTAAATTTCCATTTATTGGAAATGATTGGAGGGAGGGAACTTCTCCCTCACCTCCACACTGCCTCTTTTCCAACTCTTCTTCCAACACAAAATAGTTTAAACAGCAAGCACTTAGAGAGCTTTTAGCCTTGCTTGTTGATTACAAGGCCCAAGTTAGTGTATGGTTTGCCCATCGGAGGAAAGCTAAAACATGGGCCTTCATGGGTATTAAAATTGAAGAAACCTTTTCCAGCATTTTTTCTATTTTCTTTAAAGTAACAACCTATGGACTTCCCCATCTGACATTTTCGAGTGATCCCACTGTGTGAATGAAGGACTACTTCAGGGTTTGAGGGCAAAGCTGAAATCTTAGCAACTTACCAGTGAGCAAAGGTAGAACCCAGAGCCCATCTCTCCTTTTCCAGGCTGCTGAGTAAAGTCTGGCTCAATCAACCTATCAATGAAGCAGTGCTTACAACATTCTCCAAGACCACCCAAAACCCAAACTGGAAATGAATCATGACTAATCTGACTCATTTTGGCTCACACAGTGCCCTTCCAATTTGTATTTACCTTTACCACCCAGGACCTGACCTTGGACATGTGTACCAGGATGTAAGGCAATAAACCTATTCACAATTCCAAAAGGGCCTGGTCCTCTATGAAGATTTCCTGAAGGCTACTTACTTTCTCTACTCATTAAAATTTTTGCTTAACTTCAAATTTCTGAAATATACCATATGTGAAAAATTTAAATGTTAATCTGTGCCTACTGTACTACTTGAACAGAGAAAATTAACTGATAAACTGTAAATACAAAATGTCAAAATTAATTCTTCTGAGTTTTAATATCATCTAAATAAAAAGAAAATAATGCAGCAAGTCTACTCCTCAGGGAAGGCAATAGATTGTATAGTTATCTCCTGAACAGGGTAAAATCACTACCCCACAACTATACAATCTACTACCTCACTCTGATAGAGCAATGTTTTCTTCTGGAATGGAAAGTACAATCTCTTTCGAAAGAAAATTTCAACATAAAATTATCAGCATAAATCAAAATAAAAAAATACATTTATTCTGACACAGAGAAATAAGACAAGAAGCAAAAGGTTTCCCCACCCCCATCCAGTGTACTTGCTACAGACTTTATCTCTAAATTAATTTATTTCCAGGCCATAAACAAATGCTGCACTACATCTCTTTAAGACAAGTTAATCTTAAATATTGTACAATTAGTTAACTGACTTTCTATCAGACCGCCTGGATGCAGACTTTTCTATCACGTTAGGAAAGACAGTAGATTGTATAGTTATCTCCCAGTGGTGGGTGTGACCCTAAAACTATACAACCTACTACCTCATCCCACAGTGAAGAGAACATCCAGGGTGAATGGTGAAAAGGAATCACAGTTGAGCACCACAGGAAGGCTTTTTTTCCTCCTCGGTAATCCTGGTTTCCTGTGTGAGTGATAAGAAAAATAGTATTAGACCATTTTCATTCACTTACGTTGAAAATGAAGTTTAACTGAACATTTTGGCTACATGCATAATCTATGCTGTGGTTTCATTTCCTGTATTTCATTAATAGTATTTTAAATGCTTGGTTATCTGAATCCGCTCCTAAAACCATGTATTTACAAGATTCAGAAATCACCCTCTTACCACCACCTTTTACTATTATTAACTGCTGGTTTTCTTACAGTTCCTACAAATGAAAATGCATGAAATAACTTATCCTTCAAGAAACAACAAAAAATCATTACAGAAAAACATGACAGCCTCTAATTAAAAATCCAATGACTTCAAAACCCAAAAGTCCTGTACATCATGCATAATCCAAATGCACTAACATACAACGAGATAATATAAAAAACACACACAAATAGAAACTAATTTTTAAAGGAACCTACTCATTTATCCCATGCGAGCAAACACTAAGTGGTCTTATTAGGACTAAATCAAAGATAATCACCTGGATCTGATTCAGGGTCAGGATCCTTTCCTTTAGATAGAAAGGTAATATGTGGATTGAAGGCAGAGTCCAAAATCTTTAATAAACCCAAGTAATCTAAACTGTATTATTACCCTTTAATTTACAGACTTCATATTTAGGAGGTAGCTACTACGAAGATTATCTTTTAAGATAGGGACTAAATTTATTTTGTAGTGATTTAGTAACCAAAAGCACTAATTTTTAAAATTACAAAACGTAATAAAAAACATACGGCTCAATATAATAGAATTTAAAGTCTAGAAATAAACCCATACATGGGTCAACTGATTTTCAACCATGACAAGACAATTCAACTGGGAATCGTTTTTTCAACAAATAATGCTGACGGCTGTATAGCCACATGCAAAAAAAATGGATCTGCATTCTTTGTAAACTGGTGTGCAAAACACACATTAAAGTAACTTAAAACAACCTAATTTAATGGTAAAATATTTTAATAGATATTTCACCAAAGATATGACTCATAAGCACAAATGGCCAACAGGCACATGAAAAGATACATTATTCATTAGGATGGCTAATAAGATTAATAAAAGTGTTGACAAGGATGCGGAGAAAATTGGAACCCTTAGATTGCTGGTGGGAATGTGAAATGGTGCAGCTGCTTTGGAGAACAAAACTTGTAGACAAGTCAAACAGTTGTTAAGTGGAATCAGAAACACGTATTTCGTCTTTGTCTCCATTTGAAGATCCTGGCTGGCATACAGCTCCTAAAACCCTCAGAATTTCCTAAGTGATGAATGTCTGTTTAATGCTACTGAGTCGATTGGTGGCTCCTGTAGTTTCAGGAGGGGGATAGTCACCAGAAAGACCAAGGTGTGATTAGAGGGGTGGAACTTTCAGCCTCACCCCCTCAACCTCCAGGTAAAGCAGAGAGGACAGAGAGTAAGCCAATCATCAAAGGCCAATAATGTAATCAATCATGCCTAAGTATGAAACCTCCATAAAAACCCCTTAAGTGTCAGGGTTTGGACAGCTCTGAGTTGAAAAACACATCTTCATGCCAGGAGGCTGGTGTAACCCTAACTCCATAGATACAGAAGCTCCTGTGCTAGGAACCCTCCTGGACTTCAGCTTAAGGACCTCTTCATCTGGCTATTCATTTAAATCCTTTATAATAAACCAGTGATAATGAGTGTCTTCCTGTGTTCTGTAAGCCATCCTAGCAAATTATAGACCCAGTGGAAGAGGTTGTGAAACCCCCTAATTTATAGCTGGTTGGTTAAAAATTCAGGTAGAAACCTGCATCTGAAGCGGGGGCAGTCTTACGTGTTTGAGCCCTCAACCTGTGAAGTTTGTACTAACTTCAGGTAGTTTCAGAATTAAATTTAATTGTAGGACACTCTGTTGGTGTCGAGTTGAAGAATTGATTGTTGGTGTCAGAACTGGTTAGTGATGAGTAAAAAACAGTTCACCATATGACCCAGCAATTCCATTTCTAGGTATATACTCTAGAGAACTGAACATGGCTGGGTGTGGTGGTGCAGGCTTATGGTCCCAGCTGAGTTACTCAGGAGGTTGAGGCAGGAAGATTGCTTGAGCCTAGGAGTTAAAGGTTGCAGTAAGCTATGACCACACCACTGCACTCCAGTCAGAGCAAGAGAGTGAGACCCTGCCCCTCCCCGCAAAAAAAAAGGGCAAGAGAATTGAAAAAACGTGTATTTGAATGTTCACAGCATTACTCATTTGGAGTCAATAAAAACCAGGGTTCAAATCCTGGCCCTACTAATTCTCTGCCATTGAAATCTTGCAAAAGAAATTTAGCCGAAGTCCCTCAGCTTTCCTAGCTGCAGTATCAACACGTCTGTAACAAAAAGGGAAAGATTTATTAATACCATATATCCAAAATATGTAAGGTCCAACTACTTCATCATCTCTAGATGAAAACTGGTGGTAAGAAGCTTAATAACTTGCCCCAAATTAGAGACAGTACTGCATCACTAAACTATACTACATTTGAGACCATTTCAATTCTACAAGGCCAGGTTATGCAAACTAGGAACTCACAGACACACTTGTCCCTAACGTCAGGCCCTTTATAAGCCAAAATATTTCCCATGAATCAGCACTGTCCTTACTTTTATTTTTTTAGAGACGAGGTCTTGCTCTGTCACCCAGGCTGGAGTGCAACCGTGTGATCTTGGCTCCTGAAACCTCCGCCTCCTGGGTTCAAGCGATTTTCCTGCCTCAGCCCCCCAAGTAGCTGGGATTATAGGCATCCACCATCACGCCCAGCTCATTTTTGTATTTTTAGTAAAGACGGGGTTTCACCATGTTGGCCAGGCTGGTCTCGAACTCCTGACCTCAGGTGATCTGCCTGCCTGCCTGCCTTCGCCTCTCAAAGTGCTGGGATTACAGGCGTGAGCCACTGCACCCGGCCTAGTCCTTACTTTTAAAACAATAACAGCCAAAAAAAAAAAAAAAAAAACCAAAACCAAAACCAACCAAACAACAGCAACGAAAAAAAACAGCTAAAAGAAAAAGCATCTGGTACTTCTACTACAATCCTCAACCTCCTACCGATTTTCTCATTTAAAACATGTTTGAATCCTCATCAAACATTCAAAAACACATTTTTTTTCCAACCTTGGTGTCACATGCTTACTTTGTATTATTCTTTCTCAATCCAGCTATGTAAATAAATACCATATTGCTAGAAAGCATTCTGGTAATTTACATACCAAGTGCTATTAACATGACCCTCAATTTTTTGAAAAGTATATGTATATAAGTAATCCAATAAATAATATTGTTCACAAATCAATACTTACTCTAATATGTTATTTTATTATATACATGAACTGATTTTATAATCTAATGGTTCCCAGCCTGCAGTTTAGAAAACACTGATTACAGCAAATGGTGGAAACTAAAACCAAACAGCCGAGCAATGTTCAGTTAGGGCCAGCTCTCATAAACACTGAACATAATCCATGAATTTATGGATTACAAGAACCCATGGAAATATTCATTTGGAAGTTAATTAAAAGCCCTAACTAACTAATCACAACTATGTAATGCTTGCGTACTGGGAAAGAGTGGGTTGATAGCTAGTATACATTTAGGACTTGAAGTTTTTCTGTCTACAGTTAATGCTGGCTCCCCATTTACTATGTCCTTGGACATATCATCTAATTTCTGGGCCTTTGTTTACTTCTTAGGTAGAATACTATTAGCTAAAATTATCAGAATTTGAGCCTTCTGATAATTCTTTCTTAAAAAGTAACAAAAATACTTTTATATCCACTTTCTATCCTTATTCACATACTACCTCAATCTGTAGCTGGAACTACCCTCTCATTAAAAGTTATGGCAAATGGCCAGGCACAGTGGCTCATGCCTGTAATCCCAGCACTTTGGGAGGCCCAGGAGGGCAAATCATGAGGTCAGGAGTTCGAAACCAGCCTGGCCAATATGGTGAAACCCCCTCTCTACTAAAAATAAAAAAATCAGCCAGGCATGGTGGCATGCGCCTGTAGTCCTAGCTACTCGGGAGGCTGAGGCAGAAGAATCGCTTGAACCTGGAAGGTGGAGGTTGCATGGAGCCGAGATCATGCCACCGCACTCCAGCCTGGGCAACAGAGCAAGATGCGGTCTCAAAAAAAATATATATATATTACGGCAACTGGCCAGGCACAGTGGCTCACACCTATAATCCCAGCACTTTGAGAGGCCCAGGCGAGTGGATCACCTGAGGTCAGGAGTTTGGGACCAGCCTGGCCAACATGGTGAAAACCCATCTCTACTAAAAATACAAAAATTTGCCAGGCATGGTGGTAGGCACCTGTAATCCCAGCTACTCAGGAGGCTGAGGTAGGAGAATCGCTTGAACCCAGGAGGCAGAGGTTGCAGTAGACCAAGATCGCACCATTACACTCCAGCCTGGGCAAGAAGAGCAAAACTGTCTCAAAAAAATATATACAATAATAAATTATTTAATTAATTTATGGCAACTAAAAGTCAAAATTCAACTTACACAAAATGTATCTTCATTTCATTCAGCTCAGCATACCAGTACAGGAAAATGGTTAAGGGCAATGGTTTCAGGGTCAAGCAGCCAAGCAGCTACTTAGTGGCTGTGTTCTCTCATCGCCATTTGGGGGAACTGTAACAGCCACACCTCATGGGGTTGCTGTCAGGACTGGGATACATGCAAAGATATTGAATGACTGAGAAATTAACTCAACAAATGGCAACTGTACTTAATAAATTAATTTGACAAACTATCCTAACAGGAATTTTACCTTTCCAGATATACTTGTGATAGTTAAAAATATTATCAATTTAAAGCATGCTACAAAGCAGGCAAATCTATTAGTTATAGACTTGTCTATATCTACATTTACATCAAGTAAGTTTTCATAACTTATTAACATTCACATTCCTAATTTCATTTTTGTAATGAATTTGTTTCAAATTGACATAAAAATTGTTATTTTTATGGTGTACATAAAATAGGTTTATATTATAGCTAAATCAAGTTAATTAACATATGTACTATCCCCACAGACTTATTTTCTTATGGTGAAAACACTTAGGAACACACTCCTAACTTCAAAATATTTTTTAAAATAGCCTCTAATTTCCTAAAACACTCTAAACTTTAGTTGAAATGCAAGCATACTCTACCTTTTAAGCACTTAATATCTAGTAAGTTTAAATTTTCTGAGCTAAGACATTTCCCTACACTTTTACATTAATTTAAATACTCCTAAAACAAAGTAGCTCAAAAAGTTCACAAGTAAACTATTTCCTCCAGTCTCATTTTTGTTTCATACGCTGTAATCAAACACAGATCAAAATTACAACACTGGCTACTTTAACAGATTTCTTTCAATCTCAAATAGTTGAATTATCAACAAAATTATCCGACAATGATGCAGGCTGAGTATTACATTAATAAGCAAACTCTCCAATAGTATTTTGCTCCCTTCGATAGAGCATGTGCAACACATGAGATAATAAATTCTTTACATTTATAAATAAGTTTCTCTAAAGCAATTTAACCTAATTCTAATTTAAGATCTTATTTCCTACTCTATCAAACATCACATTAAGTCTGAAATAGCTAAGTACTAGGTCAGGTTTCCCAAAAGGACTATTGCTTATTTCCTTTCACTTAGACACATAGCAGACACTTAAGATAGTCTTGAAGAATATCCAACTTGGCTGGCTTGTTCTGCTTACTGACCATTATACATATACCATTATTTCTCAACCCTTTAAACATCTTCTGCCTTCCTATCCTCCATTATACTGTTATGTTCCTGGGTTGAAAAAACCACTATGTAGTCTACACATCCACAAGCCAAGAAAAAAAGTAGGGTGTAATTATTTAATCTAGATTCCACAGTTTACTATAATTAACTGTATCCTTAGTAGGCAATTCACAGTCTATACTGCACAACAGTGAAATCATTAAGAAATGAATTCTAAGCATTCGAGAATTATATATTTGGCTAATAAAAATATGGGGTGGGTTTCTCAGGTGACCAGAAAAGTACTGTAACTTCCTGTTAATGAAAAATTCACACAAAGTAGAAAAGTATCCTCAGGGGATTGCCTCCAGGATACCTCCTTCTCCCAGAGGAAAATCCTCAGATGCTCAAGTCCCTTATAAAATGTGGTGTCATATTTGCATGTAACCTACACACATCCTCCTACATAGATTACTTACAATACCTAATACAATGTAAAAGTTATGTAAATAGTCGTTATACTGTATTATTTTTGATCATATTATTTTTGTTGTACATACTTTTTTTCCCCCAAATATTTTCCATTTGAGGTTAGTTGAATTCAAGGATGCAAAAATCCTTGGACAGGAAGGCCAACTGTGCTTAACAGAAGAGCAAAATGCTCCCAACTTGTATTCATTACGTTATGGTAGAACAAATGATCCAAAATGTCTTATTCTTAGAGAAGCAAGAGACTTAAAGGTATAGCTGTCGGCTGCCTCAAAACACTTAAACCTTGTATTTAGAAAGGGCCTAAGAAATCACCTGATTCGGCCAGGAACCCGGTGGCTCACACCTGTAATCTTAGCACTTTGGGAGGCTGAGGAAGAAGGATCACTTGAGCTCAGGAGTTGGAGACCAGCCTGGGCAACATAGTGAGACGTTGTTTCTATTATTTAAAAAAAAAAAAAAAAAAAAATCACCTAATGCAATTTCTTCACAATTGAGATGAAGCTGTGGAGAGACAGAACATTTTTGGCTGTTTATCTGAAACTACAACTATTCAGCTAGAGAAATCTAATTTTAAAAAAAAATCTAATTTTTTTAAAAACAGTGCACTAGAACTGCACTGTTCATTTGGTAGCTGTTAGTCACATGTTGCTACTGAGCACCTGAAATGTGATTAGCCCCAAGTGTATGTGTTGCAAGTGTAAAACAGTCTGGATTTCAAAGACTTAATACCAAAAATAGTGTAATGGCTCTCATATTTTGTCTATTTAATGAAGTCCATTCTTAAGTGATTATACAACGCTTAGAACACCTACACAGGCAAAAAGCATATGATGATCAGTCCTGAGGTCACATTAAGCAATGCTGACAACTCATTACTGGGGATTCGGATTCTTCTAGTCTCATCTAGACATGGATAAATAATTGGCAATAAATATTATGGGATGGAAAAGACCTCTTATGGTCTAAAGAAAAGCTTCACAGGCTATTAAAAATACTATGATTAAAACGCATACTGGTCCTGGATGGCAAATTTACTTCCCAACTTGTGAAACTAAAGTAGGTGGCTCATGTTCCACCAAATATAAACAGCCCATTTAATACTCGTTAAAAAATATTAAACTATAATACTTTACACAATGCTATAAACGAGAAAAACACCCTACAGAAGTTGTTTTTCAACTTTTGACACTCAGCTTCACAGGATTATTTTACAGGAATACACATGTGTCGAGCTGAATCAACACGCTATTTTGTATTCAATGGAATATTTTCTACTTTTTAAAAAATTCGGATCACCACCCACTAAAGTGACTTCATGACCCTATAACTCAGGACCTACAGTTTGAAACACTAGTTTGGCGCTCTTAACACTCGGTAATTCCCATATGAGTAGTTATTATACTATCTTAGCTATTAAAAGTACACAATGTCTTGTGTGCTGCTCTCTAAACCAAGATATGTCTAGTTAATGATAACAGGAATAAAATGACCTTAAGATATAAACGTTTGAGACTAACTTGTTTAATACTTATTTCTTCACTGTGTAAAACTGAACGCAGTTACACATTTTCGTTTTAGAAATGGTTTTGTTTCACTCCACTTTTCACACTTGCAAGATTCTTAAGTGTCTCAAGTTCAACAGAGCTTCAATTTAAGTGAGGGGAACCCACAGCCTGTCTACACATAAAAATACTCTCTTGCTGTCACTGCAATGTAACTATTCAAAAAAGTTAACTTTTCCCCTCACACTGTAATTGCACCTAAGTGATAAATTTTAAAATGCTATATAATACCACTGAATTTACAGGACGTCAAGAAATTTGTCTATTCTCAAAGTTGAAGTTTCAAAGTAAACTTTTAACAAATATGTATAATGAATCAAACATTCTCACAAAACCCAAAGTAACTTCCAAGTTTTTACTTCCCTAACTACACATACTTCCCGAATATACAGTAAATAAAACCAGACCCCGCCAAACACCAAAAGAATTCTGGATATAAACAATTATTTCCTAAACTACACATAAATTTGGAATTTGACATTCAATGTTCTTATACTTCAGGCCAACAGAAATAAATGCAAAGGAATGCCACATGATGCTTTAACTTTAGGAACTGTATGCCAAGAAAGCAGTATTATCAATGAAGTTAAAAAGCAAAACTCAACCAGTCTCCTGATTTACCTCAAAATTTTAACATTCACTGTCTTCCCTGCCTTTTTCCTGTCTGCCCGCCCTCTCGTTAGTCAATTTTTTAAAAACCGGTAAGTTGAAGAATACATACCATTACCTCTGACACAGAATCTACTGTAAAAAGTTGAAAGACCGAAGGGCATTACTGGCCAAGGACATACAGGTTACCACATTCCTCACACTAGAGCCCGCCCGGGAAGTTTATTAGCAAGCCTTCTGAGAGGCACTCGGTTCCAAGAGTTTGCAGCGTCGACTCAAAAGGCCAGCGCTGTTTCCGGTGACACCGAGTCGCAAATCTCCAAGCCCCGTCCCCCGGGATACGATTTCCTCCCGCTCCCGCGTTCCCCTCCCCCTCGCCAAGGACGGCTGCCGCAGCGGACCTCCAGCCGCAGCAGCTGCTTCAGGAAGGGAGGCTGCACTTGGCCGCGGGGAGCAGGGGCATGCAGCCAGCCACGACTCTCCCGCCCTCCCCGCCCGCGCCTTCCCGCCCTGTCCCCCCGCCCCTCGCACTTCCTACCTTCCCTCCTTCATCCCAACCCCCAAGGCCAAGGTCTCCCCGGCCCACAAACTTGATAGCGGAAGTGACGTCAGAGGCACCTGGCGGCGCCTACAACCAGTCACGCCACAGTCAGAGGCGGCGCCGGCCAACAGGCGCCGGCCGGAAGGCGGGCCTTCCGCCCGCCCCAAGTTTGATTGAAGCGGGGGGAAGGGCGGGGTAAGGAATGTGAAGAATGACCCCCCCTCCCCCGCCCTGTCGGTGAGGAGCTGGGCGGGAAGCGGAGGGGGTTGGAGCCGGCCCCGCGGCGGCCACGCGGCACCCCTCCCCCGTGCCCCGAGCGCCCGCGACTTCCGCTAGCAGCCCGCCGGCCCCCCGGGGCCACCCGCCCGCTGGAGGGGGCAGGCCGCCCCACCAGTCCCAGCCCGCGTTAGCCGGACAGGCGCGGGCCGGCGCACGGCTCTCCCATTCTGCCCACCCGCTGCCGCGAGTCTCCGCGAAATAAAATGGCGACGGACCCGCGCTCGCTGCCGCGTCCGCCATACCCACCTCGCGCTCGCGGAGAGGGCCGTCGCGGCCGTGGGAATGCCCCGGCCCTCGCGCCCGTCGCTGCCGGGAGAGCACCGCGCCAGGACCCGGATGGAGGCGCGGGCGGGCGCCGCCGCGGCGGCCTGAGGGAAAGCAGCGCGGTCGCCGGGAGGCCGATGCAGGGGCGGGCGCCGCGGAAAGCGCGCAAGCCCATTGGTGAAGCCGTCTGATTGAAGTGCGCGTCGCTCTTTCGCCTTGGCCTAGCTGAGCTCGTCCGTCCCCTCACTGGAGGGCGGCGGCTGGGCCCGCCTCGCGCGGGGTGGCCACCGTGGGGGAGGCGGGTCTGGCCCGCCCACCAATACCATCTCCTTCTTTCCTAGTGGAGGGCTGAGAGAGTGGCGGGGGTGGTGTCCTCCAGGCCCTGCCCTTTGCGCGTGATGGGCTGGCTGTGTCACGTGGCCGCTGAACGCGCTGCCCGCGGGGCGGGGCGGCTGCTTTGCTCCCTCAGGCTCCTGGGGGCAATTTACACGTGCGCGACCCGGAAGGTCCGAACGCTGTCCAGCGTGCAGCCTCTGGCTCTTTTCCGTCAACTGACCCTGTTCCCTCCAGGAGGCCTTGGCCAGGCCTCCTGGAGTTCTGTGCCTCAGTTTGCTCATCTGTCAAATGGAGGAGTTGTGTCCGCCCAACCTTTTACTTTTATTCCTTGACGTTTTGGGGTCTGAGGGTTTTTTTGTTGTTTGTTTTTTCGAGACACGGTCTCTCGCTCTTTCTCCAGGGCTGGAGTGCAGTGGCGTGGGTCACGGCTCACTGTAGCCTCGACATCCGGACTCTAGAGATCCTCCCACCTCAGCCTCCCTGAGCTTTTTTTTGTTATCTTTTCCAACCCATGTTTTGAAGATTTTTGTCTTCAAATGTTTTTCAAAGCAATCCTTGATTTTGTTGTTTTAAAATTAATCCAAAGCCCAGTTCCTCCATCCCCATTACAACTTTCACATGCTAGGACTCTGAAATCACTAGTTAAGGTGTCGTTTGAGGTCTCTGCCAGTTTTAAGATTTTATGGCTGGGAACCGCAAGACCTGGGCTGTAGCTCTGCTTTTTGTAATTCATTGTGACTTTGTGCAACACTTTTAAAAAAGTGGGTCCTTGTCTGTAATAGAACTATGGGAAATAGTACTTGACATGCTGTACGTTTACATTTATGATCTTAGGTGGTGGTATCAGCTCCCCTTTTAGCACTCATATTAGTGTATGCAATAAGTGCCAAAGGAGTTTGTTTCGTTTTGTTTTTAATGGGGACTTTATTTTGTGAGCTAAAGTGAACAAGAAACTAGAGGGGGGGAAACTTGAGCTTAAGCCATGGGTAGGATTTGGGGAGGACTTCTTGAGGTTAGAAGATATATTGAGAAAGGAGAGAGCAGGCCCCAGAGCTAGATCGAGTACAGTTCAGGGGAAGAGTGTGGTTATGCTGCAGGGGATGTGGAACTCTTCAAGGGCAGAAACTGTTTTGTTCCTGTCTATGCCAAGTACCTAGCACAGCAGTAGGGTAGGATTAAATGATATCTAATAATGATGAAGTAGGCTGAGGTGGGAAGAAAGCATTAGCAAATAAACCAGGATATTGTTGGATATCAGAGTTAAGAGGTACTGTGAGCCTCAATTAGAGGTTGGTAGTAGAGGCTGGTGGGCCAGTGTGTTTTAGAAGAAATAAGAAGCCTTATAGCACTATGAGCCCTTCTGACATTTTCTTCATATGTTCATCGGAAACTTCTTGGTGAGTTTGCAAAAGTGCATATGACATACATTACCCTTTACCTTCCTATCTGTGCTTCATTTTTTACCCTTGAAGGTCAACTAAATGACGCTAAAGTAGAATCCATTTGGAAAATGTTAATGGATTTGACAATATAAATGAAAACTGAATTTTAAAAACTTTGAAGTTAAAAGACAAAAATTGGAAATATTGTAAAAGTCTAAAAAAATCTCTAAGAGACAAAACATTAATTTGAATGTCCAGTGGTTAAAAGCAAGGATCTGGAACCAGACTACTAAGTGTGAATCCCAGTTCTGCCTCTTCCTAGCTGTACAACTATGTACCGGGCAAATTGTATATCTTTTCTGTGCCTCAGTTTCTTCATCTATAAAATAGGGATAACAATACTTACCTTACAGGCTGTTGAAAAGATTAATATAAACATCTTAAGAACTAAGAACAGTGCTTGGTACACATAAGTACTACATAAGCATTTGCTAATATGTTATCCTTAATAAAGTGGATTTTTTTTTTCAAATCAATAGGATAAAGTGAACACTCCTATTAAAATATGGACTGTTTAAAAAGGATGTGAACTGACAATTTACAAAAGAAAATGGCCAATAAATATGAAAAGATGCTCATCCTCACTAGTAATCAAATAAAGACAAAGTTTTAAACAATGAAAGCTTTCTTATCTCTTAGTTGATCAGTGGCATTGTAGAAGGAAACATTGGAGGCATTAGTATAAATTTCTGCAAGTCTAGGGGCCAATTTGGCAGCAAGAATCGGAATCTTTGAAAGTGTTCCTTAATCCAGCATTTTGCCACTGCTAGGAATTTATGCCTAGAAAATAACAGGACAAACATACAAAGATCCTCCACAGGCTGTTCATCATCTTGTTTATAGTAGCCTCAAATCACAACCATCTACCAGTACACCATAGGTGACTGCATAAATTACGGTCCAAACATGCCATGAAAAGGTATGATCGTGGCCAGGCGTAGTGGCTCACGCCTGTAATCCCAGCACTTTGGGAGGACGAGGCGGGGGGATCACTTGAGGTCAGGAGTTTGAGACCAGCTTGGCCAACATGGTGAAATCCCATCTCTACTAAAAATACAAAAATTAGCCGGGCGTGGTGGCGTGCGCCTGTAATCCCAGCTACTCGAGAGTCTGAGGTGAGAGGATCGCTTGAACCCAGGAGGCAGAAGCTGCAGTGAGCTGAGGTCATGCCATGGCACGCCAGCCTGGGTGACAGAGTGAGACTCCATCTCAATTGAAAAGAAAGAAGAATTTCAGCTTAAAATGTTCTTACTCCTTCAATAGAACCAAGATACTAATGGTTGACAAATATCTACAAGTCAAATCAAAGCATTTGTAAACAACAGGGGAAATAAAATTCATTGAGCTGGAACTTTGTCTTGCTCTCTCTTGTGCACCCAGTCACCACCACAGGGCCTAGCACCTGACAGGCATCCAAGAGATACAGACAAATAAGGCTGAGGCAGGAGAATCACTTGAACCCGGGAGGCAGAGTTTGCAGTGAGCTGAGATTGTGCCAGTGTACTCCAGCCTGGGCGACAGAGCGAGACTCCGTCTCAAGGGAAAAAAAAAGTTCTCATAGTAATGTAGATCTATGTTTATTGATACGGGAAGATTATCAGGATATACTATTTTTTTTTTTTTTTTTTTGAGACAGAGTCTTGCTCTGTCGTCCAGGCTGGAGTGCAGTGGCACGATCTCGGCTCACTGCAACGTTTGCCTCCCGGGTTCAAGCAATACCCTGCCTCAGCTTCCTGAGTAGCTGGGATTACAGGCTCCTGCCACCATTCCCAGCTAATTTTTGTATTTTTAGTAGAGACAGGGTTTCACCATCTTGGCCAGGCTGGTCTTGAATTCCTGACCTCGTGATCCACCCACCTCGGCCTCCCAAAGTGCTGGGATTACAGGCATGAGCCACAGTGCCCGGCCAGGATATACTATTAAGTGAGAAGTAAGGTTACAAAAAATTTGTTTGTCTTATAACAACAGTTAGATCTGGAATTACTCCTAACCTTTATTTTCTTTATATATATATCTGGATTCCTGGTAGTATGTATTGCTTTCATAACTAGGAAAAAATATAAAAATAAAAGCCATGCCAGTGACCGATAGTTGTTCCCCAATATCCAATGTCTCCTTTTTCTATAATAAACAGAAACCCAGTTTTTTGGTGATGGTAGACTTAAATTACTCCCTGACTGTACCTGTGTGACTAAGTTCTGGCTGGTGAGCTGTGAGCAGGATGGAAGGGGGTTCTGGATTCCCTCTGTCTCCCGCTTTCTGATTTCTAGCTACTTGGATGTGATTGGGGTGTGGTGGAGAGCCACTATGTCCACCAGTTGCAAGCAGCAGTGAAGAGCTAACCTGAGTCCCCTGGTAGCATCACAGGGCACCCTCTACACAAGCTTGGACTTTAAGTGAGAAAGACATGACTTCCATCTCATGTAAGCCCCTGAAATTTGGGTATACTTCTGCCGGAAGCTGGCCCGATGTGGTAGACATGCATGTAGGCATTTTGTGGAGAGAACATGCAGCCTTTGGAACAGAACAAACATGAGTGAATGTCCAGCAACTCCGTTTCCTAGGAACGGAGTTCCTTTGGATAGAGACTCCGTATTTCAGCTAGATCATACCTAGGAAAGTGATTTGGGATTGCTGAGTGATAAACAGCCTGGTTGTCATTAATGATCATTATTTGGCAAGGGTTAGGAAGAGCATGCATTTCGCTGTTTGTCTGGGGTCAAACAGAACAACCTGCTTGCAGAGCAAAGCAGCGCATGGTATTCCTTGGGTTCAAGTCCGAGCTTGCTCCCGTGTCCAGCCTGGGCCTCCCTCTCCATTCACCACTCCTGCCACTGCTCAGGTCACCTGGCATGCTTGTCCCATCTTCGTCTGGCTGGTCCTTGTCACCCAGATGGCACTTGAACCTCCCCTATTTAGGGAGGACTTTGCTGGCCACCCAGTGTAAATCTCCATCTTTAATGAGATTTCACCACTCTGTTTTTGTAACACTGTAACATTTTGGCACTCTCTGGCTCCATCTTGCTTGTTTTATTGATGTTCTACCCCCATGAGGGCGAGGAACTTGTCTGGCATGTTTTCACTACTGTATTTTACATTCTAGAACAGGGCCTGGCAAACGCAGTAGGTACCCAGTAAATATCTCTCGAAGCGTAGAATTAAAAGTGAAGAGATGGCCAGGCGCGGTGGCTCATGCTTGTAATCCTAGCACTTTGGGAGGCTGAGGCAGACAGATTGCCTGAGCTTAGGAGTTTGAGACCAGCCTGGGCAACATGGTGCAATGTGATGAAATCCCACCTTTACTTAAAAAAAAAAAAATTAGCCAGCCAAGGTGGCAAATGCCTGTAGTCCCAGCTACTCAGGAGGCTGAGGCACAAGAATCACTTGGGCGCAGGAGGCAGAGGGTTGCAGTGAGCGCAGTGAGCTGAGATCACACGACTGCACTCCAGCCTAGGCGAGAGAGGGAGACTCCACCTGAAAAAAAAAAAAGTGGAGGCTGAGCTTGAAGGACACAAATAAAAGGAGTGGCCACAAGGGGAGCCTAGCTCATGAAAGTCAGGACTCACAGAAAGTATGAATAAGTTGAGGGAGAAGCAGCTGACTGGGCCCAGGAGAAAACTGGGCAGAGATGCTGAGTAGTGAGTAGACCAAAATCCTGCAGCTGAGGTTCCTAGAGTAGCCAAACTCCAAACCACAGCCAGAGGCCCCTTGTCCCTAAGGCCCGTGTCCCAGAGGCCTTGCCATCTCATGATTGCAACTCTACCTGTCTATCTGTCTCCATGCAGCCTTAGGACAGAACCCTCCCTCTACCTTTCTGCAACTGGACAAATGAGTCTGTTTTCCTTGTAACCAAGACAACTAAGGTAAAGCAAACACATACTCCTGGAAATTGTGACCTTCACCCTCCCTAAGCCCCTTTCTCTAGGAGAGATTTAGTGCTCTGCCTTTGTGTAGCTGCTCTCCTCCGGCCCTACACTCATCACATGGTGTTGCAAAGATGAGTTTGCCTCTTGGTCTCCCAACTATTCACAGGTTAGACTTCCTGCTCTTATTCCTGAATGTGATAGTTTTATGTGTCCGCTTGACTGAACCTCAGGGTGCCCAGATATGTGGCCAAGCATTATTTCCACGTGTGTCTTTGAGGGTGTCTGGAAGGCAGCAGCATTTGAATTGGTGGACTGAGGAAAGCAAGTGGCCCTCCCCAGTGTGGGTGGGCAGCATCCAATCCATTGAAAGCCCAAATGGAACAAAAAGGTGGAGGAGGGTTGAATTTGCACCACCTATTTCAGCTGGAATATTGATCTTCTCCTGGTCTCAGTGCTCCTGGCTCTCAGGCCTTCAGACTCAGACTGGAATCTACACCATCAGCTCTCAAGTTCTCAGGCCTTTGAACCACACCACCAGCTAGCTTTCCTGGGTCACCAGCTTGCAGATGGTAGACTGTGGGATTTCTCAACCTCCATAAATCACACAAGCCAATTCCTCATAATAAATCTGTTTATATCTGGATATATCTCCTCTTGGCTTTGTTTCTCTGGTGAACCCTGCCTAATACGCTGGGTCTTCTGCAACAGTCAACCCAGGTCTGTCTTAGCACAGAGCATGGTGGATGTGTTGACCATGAGGGTGATGTCTGGATAGTGCCTTCCAAAACCTCACCTAGGAGCCTCCCATTTTCTGTGTGCTCAGAAGAGCTGCCTTTTGAAGAGTTACAGCAGAAAGAGAGAAAACCCACAGCTGGAGGCTCCAGGCATAGTGAATCTCCCCAGGGAGCATTCCCGGGGTGGAGTGGACATTTATTATATTTTCTACCTACAACCAGGGGTTTGCAAACTGGTGATGGCCTGGGGGTCACATCTGGTTCACAGAAGTGCCTTCTTATACCCACGCAATGTTTTAAAGCTATTTTTAACTAGCTGACAGCATGCAAAAGAATCAAGACATTTAACAGGAAAAAAAAAATCTAGATTTCTTGCTTCTCTCAGAAAAAATTGGCATCTCTGGCTACACTCAGCCTACATTCCAACATGACAATATTTTCTTTATGTGCAGCGTGGGCTCTGCTATTTGTCACAGTCCCCATTGAGCCTGCTTCATTCTTACTACAAGCCTGGCCCCTGAAGTCATCTAAATTTGTGTCCTCTGGCCTGGAAGCATGCCTCTTCTTTTGAAATACAGCTCCTGCCCCACTTTAGTTGTGGGGTTGTGGTCTCAGCTGTTAATCACAGTACCTTAACCACAGAGGTGAGTGGGTAACACACACTGGTAAGTCCTATAAGGGGACAGTACCTCAATAAGGCCAGTGTCCCTTCCTGGAAATGTAAACATGGACTGGGAGAAGGAAGTCCTCTTAGCTGCAGATCCCAAGCTGTAATGACATGTGAGAAGAAGTCAGTCCACAGCAGAAAAAGCAAAGCAAGAGTCAAGAAACAGAGTCAAGGCTGGGCGCGGTGGCTCACGCCTGTAATTCCAGCACTTTGGAGGCTGAGGCGGGCGGATCACAAGGTCAGGAGCTTGAGACCAGCCTGGCCAATATGGTGAAACCCCGTCTCTACTAAAAATACAAAAATTAGCCAAGTGTGGTGGCGGGCGCCTGTAGTCCCAGCTACTTGGCAGGCTGAGGCAGGAGAATGAATCGCTTGAACCCAGGAGGCGGAGGTTGCAGTGAGCTGATTGGTGCCACTGCACTCCAGCCTGGGTGACAGAGCAAGACTCTGTCTCAAAAAGAAAAAAGAAAAAGAGACAAAAAACAGAGAAAGAGGTCATGATAGCAGCTGAGTCCCCACATCCAGGCATCCTCAAGGACACTCCATCCCTTCCCCGTTGAGCATCAGAAGCTGTACATTTCCCTCTTTTCTCACCTGGAGCTGGATGGAATTTCTGTCACATGCAACCAGAGATGTTACTAATAAAGTGGTTAGGAGGAGGACTGGCTTGAGAGTAACATCTAGAACCCACATTTCTACCATGCTATTTGCGATTTTCGACAAACTGCTGATCTCCTTTCACCTCAGTTCATCTGTCTGTTCGTTCGGCACTAGGCACTCTAATGCTTACCTCCTCAGGTGGAATGGAGTTCTCATAACGTAATGTATGTAAAGCATTAAACTCAGTGCTTGTCATAATAGACATTCACAAAGTAATTCATAAACACTGAATTTTAAGATAAATGTTTAATAAAAACTAGTGGACTGGAAAGAAGAGTGAGTGAACTTCTGGAGAATTGTAATAGTGGTTTTTTTTTTGAGATAGGATGTCACTGTCACTCAGGCTGGAGTGCAGTGGCACGATCATAGCTCACTGCAGCTTCGAACTCCTAGGCTAAAGCTGTCCTCTCACCTTAGCATCCCAAGTAGCTGGAACTACAGGTGGGGGATACCATGCTTGACCATTTAAAAAAATTTTTTTTTTTGTAGAGACAGGGTCTTCCTGTGTTGCCCAGAATGGTCTCAAGCTCCTGGCCTCAAGTGATCCTCCCGCATTGGCCTCCGAAAGTGCTGAGATTACAGGCGTGAGCCACCGCGGCAGGCCAGCAGTGTTCTTTAAGGTGATGTTTCCAAATCAGTACTGCTTTCAGAGACTTAGGAATATCCTACAAGAAGTCAGGCCTCACCCAGATGGACTTGAATTTGTTTTACGGCTCACTGTTTAAGTAAATATGTGATCCTAAACCAGTTATTTACATTTTTTGACCCTGAGTGTCCACCTATAAGGTGGAGATAATAATTCTCAGCTCTTTTAGTTATTTTGAGAATTAAATTAACTCATTAATATAAAGGGTGCATAGTAGTCTATGGTAAGCATTTAATAAACTGTAGTTAGGACTGTTGTGAAGGAAAAAGAACAAAATCCATGGACAAGAGCTAACCAAGGCTTCATTTCTGTGGAGTCATTGCCGTTGTAATGTCTAGTATTTGAAGCTCAATTGAGCTGAAATTGCACAGTAAGTCATCAGAGCACGATGCTGTTCTGTTCAGTTGTGCCAAGAACTCACCTCCTGCACCACCTCCAGCCCAGCCAAGCTCAGCATCTCCCACTAGTTAAAGCCCTCCTATGTTAGCTTTCAGCAACAAGCTTTTAAAGCAGGTTTCCATTAAAAATGGAAAAAAAAAAAAAACTTTGGATGATTAATTAGCAGCAGAATAACCCAAATCAAGAGAGAGATCACAATGTGGAAAGTTTTTTTTTTTTTTTTCTTTTTAAGAAGTGAAGTCTAGCAACTTTCAAATTACAGGCAAAATGATCAAAGTTTTTGACATTTTGAGGCCAAAATATGACTTTACGCTGTTGATTCCCTAGACTTAAGCCCACTTCCTTGTGTGGAGAACACACCAGTGGAGGAAGTGGAGGAGGAATAACATGGGTCCCCAGGAAGCTTTGCCTCTTTGTTCGGTTTTGGCAGCAAGCCCAACTCTGACTTGCATAAAATCTCCTGGAGCGTTTGTTCCAACAGTTCGCTCTGCGTGGCCCTGCCCATCCTGCAGGCCTCGGGCAGCCTGGCCACGGTGGCCAGCGCCTGGGCTAACTCAGGCAGGACCAAGTCAGCAATATCTATTCCTTTAATGAGCTCTTGAAATTAGTGCCTGATAGACATGTTGTCCTTTTCAGGGACCTGGGGGACCATGCCATCGTGCATGAGCCTCTTCATCTCCGTCCTGAACTTTTTGTCCTTTCTCGCAGAAACTATATCGCATTCTGGTGCTGCTGCAGGAGCCTCAGCATCTGGTGGCAGAGCTGGCGGGGGACTGTGAGGTCCCAGGCCACCCACTGCAGCCTCTCCAACTCGGAGGCATGCTCCAGCTCCTGCTTTGAGGTAACCATGTGGCTGCGGCTGTGGATGCCGCTGATCAGGCAGTTTCCGATGGTTTTGATCATGGTCCTTGTGCTGGTGGTGCTGGTGGACAGGTCTGATGAGCCTCTCTGTGTCCTGCCAAGGGAGCACTAACACACACTTAGGCAAGCCCTGCAGGGAGGCCCTCCAGCCCACAGGTTCTGCTCTGCCCGGGCTTCCACCCTGAGGCAGGGAGGCCCCAGGCCTGGCAGACACTGCTGGTTGCCAGCCCACTACCCGTTTTTCACCACTTTTCTACCCAAAGAACTCTGATTCTTTGGGGGAACCAATGTGGGCAGCTAAAAATACTACATTCATTTCCTGCTTCCCTTGACATTGGGAGTAACCAGGTGTGCAATGGAAGCAGAAGTAGAATCCAGTCAGGTGGGCTTTTAGGAAGCTGCTTAAAAGTGGGCATGTGCCCCTGGGACCAGTCTTGACCCTTCCCTTTCCCTTTGCCGGGATCATGGACAGGATGCCTATATGGGACAGCCATCCTGTGACTACGTGCTGACAAGAGCACCTACCAAATGGCTGAGAGAAAAGGGCTGGAGCATCACGGATCCCAAGCCAGCCAGCCTTGACTTCCTACCTTGGGACATTTCATTAAAGTAAAAAAATAGAACCCCTAATTTTTTAAAGCCACTGCTCATGGACTTCTGCTACAGCCAAATGCAGATCATTGTTGAAAGAATAGCCACATGGAAGAAATCACCTGAATAATTTAGAGGGAAATAAATGAAATCTCAGATGCAACCATTCTAATATTTCTAGAAAAAGTCAAGATCTCATACTCCGGAACTGGTGGTCTTCAGTTCACCCCTAAAGCCCAGCACCAAGCTGGGCACGGCAGCTCACACCTGTAATCCCAACACTTTGAGACCCAAGGCAGGTGGATTGCTTGAGCTCAGGAGTTTGAGGCCAGCCTGGGCAACATGGCACAACCCCATCTCTGCAAAATATGCAAAAATTAGCTGAGCATGGTGGTACATGCCTGCAGTCCCAGCTATTCGGGAGGCTGAGATGGGAGGATCCCTTGAGCCCAGGAGGTCAAGGCTGCAGTGAGCCGTGATTGTGCCACTGCACTCCAGACTGGGTGACACAGCAGGACCCTCTCTCAAAAATAAATAAAAGAAATAAAACCCAGTACCAGCATCACCCCATGATCAGGTCTTTCCAGATGGGGCAGCAAAAAGTAGGGGAAAGCACACCAATGAAGAAGCCACACAGACCCAGGAGAATCTTGGTTCTTGCTAGCTGGGCAGCCTTGGATCTCAGTTTCCTGCCTTCTAAGAAAGGGATCCTGGCCAGGCACAGTGACTTACACCTGTAATCCCAGCACTTTGGGAGGCCGAGGTGGGCGGATCATGAGGTTAGGAGATCGAGACCATCCTGGCTAACACGGTGAAACCCCGTCTCTACTAAAAATACAAAAAATTAGCTGGGCGTGGTGGCGGGCGCCTGTAGTCCCAGCTACTTGGGAGGCTGAGGCAGGAGAATGGCGTGAACCCGGGAGGTGGAGCTTCCGGTGACCTGAGATTGTGCCACTGCACTCCAGCCTGGGAGACAGTGAGACTATGTCTCAAAAAAAAAAATAAATAAATAAAAATAATTTAAAAATTTGAAAATTTTAAATTTTTGTTTGAGTACATAGATGTAGATCTAATTTGAATATTTTTATATTTTCTGTCTGTAACTTTCTGAAATATGGAATATAATTATAATAAGTTTCAGTGTCTTCATCTACTAATTCTAACATTTGTCTCAGTTCTGATTTGATTTTGATTGTGTGATTATTGTCCTCATTATAGACTATGTTTTCCTGCTTCTTTGCCTGCCTGGTAATCTTTGATTGGATGCCAGACATTGTGAATTTTACTTGGTTGGGAGCTGGATATTTTTGTATTCCTATAAATCTTCAATTTTGTTATGGGATGCAGTGGAGGTACTTGGAAAGAGTTTGATCCTTTCAGGTCTTGCTTTTATTGTTTTTTAGGTGGGTCCACAGCAGTGGTCCATCTAGGGCTAATTATTCTGACTACTTGGAGGCAAGACCTTCTGAGTGCTCTTCCCAGTGTTCCATGATGTATGAGTTTTTCCGGTCTTGTGGAAATAGGCATTGTTCCTTGTCCTGTGCAAGCATCAGGTGCTCTTCCCTCAATATTTTTATGTTTCCTTGTCTGACCTTGGGTAGTGTCTTCACAGACATATGCTGATCAGTTCACTGCTGAGTACTCAAGGAAGACCCCTGACAGGTCTCCAGGATCTCTGTTTGTGTAACCATCTCCTCTCTGAACTCTGTCCTATGTACTCTAACTGCTTTGGTCTCCCTAGACTCTTAGCTCCATCTTCTGAACTCAGGGAAGGTAAATTAATTGGCTATTAACTGTTCATTTTTTGAAGTCCTGAAAGCAATCAGGACTGACCCAGTTCTTAAGGTGCGCATTTCAAAACTTGGCATGTTTCAGGACAGACTCAAGGGGAACCTGTCTCTAGAGAATGCAATCTATGATTTCTCCTTTGCATTTATACACTACCTTTGTTGGCCTAGTGCTCTGAAGAGAAAACTGTTGAAACCAGAACCAAACATTGTCTTCCTGTTAATGTGGGGACAGGAGAGGAACCATTCAAGCCATACCTCCGTTTCCTGGGCTGTGCTCTCAGATCTCTGCAGCACCTGCTGAATGTCCTCAGCAAAGCTAGCTTTCCTTTCTGTGTACACATCAGCAATCTTGGCTACCTGGTGAGAACTGTGGTCCCCAGAGAGCTTGAATATCCTGCATATTGGCTTTTCATCACTTAGGCACAACTGATTGAGAGAAGAAAAGTCAGTGAAACTTTCTTTCCTTCCTTTTCCAACCCTATGCACTAGAGACCTGCCCTACCCAGGCTGATGACATTGTGAATGTGTGAAGCAAGTATTAAAAGTCAGTTGCACAGGACACCCTGGTGTGTGTAGAACAGAGGTGATGATAGTACTAGGATGGTCTGGTGGTGATTTAGTAAGTGCATGTTGTTATTTCACGGAATCCTCACACGACCACCCTTTGCTTTAGATAGTATGGTTTTTGTTTTGTTTTGTTTTGTTTTGTTGTTGTTGTTGTTGTTTTAGACGGGGTCTTGCTTTGTCACCCAGGCTGGAGTGCAGTGGTGCAATTTCAGCTCACTGCAACCTCCGCCTCCCAGGTTCAAGTGATTCTCCTGCCTCAGCCTCCTAAGCAGCTGGGACTACAGGCACGTGCCACCACACCCGGCTAATTTTTTGTATTTTTAGTAGAGGCAGAGTTTCGCCATATTGGCCAGGCTGGTCTCCAACTGCTGGCCTCAAGTGATTTGCCCGCCTCAGCCTCCCAAAGTGCTGGAATTACAAGTGTGAGCTACTGCACCCAGCCTACATAGTACGGTTTTATGGGTGACGAAGCTCAGAAGGCTGCAAATAACTTGCCAGGAAGGGACAGCACTGGGATTAGAAGACAAGGTCCTTCTGAGTCTAAGGTCAGAGCTTTTCCCACATTACCACACCACCTGCCTCATAGGACTGCCATGAGAATTAAATAGGGCGATGCACGTAAGATGCCTGGAGTAGTGCCTGACACCTGGATGACATTAAACCCCTGGTAGCTATTGATAATATTACAAGGACCTTCACAAACAAAGTGAGCCCCACTACGGGACTGAAAGCTGAGCACATTTCTAGATGGAGGGGATCAAAGAGGAGCCATCCCCTCTGCCTGCTTCTTCTGCTTCCACCCCTTCCTTACTCAGTTCAGGGGCAGGCTCTGAATGAACACCATAGAGGTGACTGCTGAAGATGAGGCAGAACCATAGCAAACTTGTGAAAAACTAAACCAATTCTTAAAGGCATAGTCTAAAGAGGAATATATAATTGCACCTCAGGGGCTTGACCTAGCCTGTCCCAAGCAGTGTCATTGATCTCAGCAGAAGTGCAAGCTGCAAGGAAGAGAGGAGTGGCTCAGGCGGTGGCCCAGGTAGCTGGTTGAGGGTAGAGGATCTCAGGGAGACCCTGCCTCACCGCGGCAGACTTGATTCAGAGCTAGGAGACCCTCTTCCAGAGCCTCTTTCAGAGCCACATCTCTGCTTTTGGAGTTGGCTTCAGAGTTTCAAGTTACGGCAGAATTATGAAGTCTCATGAATACTTTTGACTTCTTCCAAGTAAATTGTCAACTTAGGGGGCCGGGCGCGGTAGCTCATGCCTGTAATCCCAGCATTTTGGGAGGCCAAGGTGGGCGGGTCACCAGGTCAGGAGATCGAGACCATCCTGGCTAACACGGTGAAACCCCATCTCTACTAAAAATACAAAAAAATTAGCTGGACGTTGTGGCGGGCGCCTGTAGTCCCAGCTACTCGGGAGGCTGAGGCAGGAGAATGGCGTGAACCCGGGAGGCGGAGCTTGCAGTGAGCCGAGATGGCGCCACTGCACTCCAGCCTGGGCGACAGAGCGAGACTCCGTCTCGAAAAAAAAATTGTCAACTTAGTTTACACCTGATAATGAGCAAAGACGAAGCAACCTAGATGAGGCCCCTAAGGCTGGTGGCTGATGCTACCTAATCTATGAAACATGGAAACTCTGCCTTCTCCTGCCCCTCCGGGGTTGCTCGGGGAGTCAAGTAGGCTAAAGGTTGTAAACGTGCTTTGTGAACAGCAAAGAATTAAAGCCTTTTAAAGGGGTATCCCATCTGACAGAAGGATCCATCCTAAAGTCAGTGCCAAAGGGGAAAATTACCTCAAAATTCCCTTTGAAGATCCCTTAGCAAGGGAATGTGGAGTGTCTTGTAGAACACATCTAGTTTTGTACAAGGCACACTGTAGATATGTGTGTAGAAATGTACAATGTACAGAGCATTGCACAGAAACAACCAAGGGTTCATATGGCACACTGTGCGGAAAACGTGTGCTGAGCATCCAAACGCCAGAATTACACTCAGCTCTCCAAAGGAGTCCCTCCTCACCAGCCATTCAGGAGGCAACAGAAGGAATAGCCGGTTCGCCAGTCTCATCCTACCGCACCCTCTCTCCGAGATGACTGAGGGTGGCTGGAGTCTCATAAATCTCATAAATCACTGTACCTGTTTGAGCCCTTCTACATGTGACCCCTTCAACCCCACTGTGGGCTGCAGGGCTGAATACTGCATGTGTGTGTGTGCGCGCACACACACATGCACCCCCCCTACACATGCACCCCCTCACCCCCCGCACACACACACACATTCGTCCCTGGGCTCCACGTTACAAATCAAGAATAAAGTTAGCACTGGGCTGTGGATTTGGAAAGTAATCCTCTACTATACTCCTGAGTAAACATCTGGTTTCAACTATGTAGGCTTACCGAGTAATTTGACAGATTGGGCAGCTAGGCAAAAAGAAAATTTTAAAAAGTATAATTTAATACCAGATTCATGATTTTTCCACGCTTTTCACACATCTGAGCGAGCTGGTTTTGCTCCCCGGTGTGAAGTGTCTCAAGTACTTCCTTAAGCTTTTCCAGGATATTTTCAGCCAGGATGTTTCCCTGCAATCCATTTGTTCCCCTGCCCTTCAAATAAATGTCCTAAAACACAGAGATCACATGAGTTTGTGGCAAATTCCTGAGGCCAAAGGCCACCTCATCTTTGGGGGAGGTTGAAATATGTCCCTTCCTGGTCACTAAAACACCATCTGGGAGGAGGAAAGAACTCACATTCCACCCTGGGGAAGGCTGACAAGACCTGGAGAGGGAAGTGACTGTGAGAACCCTGCACGATGACACTTCCAGGCTGGCCCTGCTGTGGGCCTGTTACCAGTATCTGTTGTGAAAGTCACTACAAACTCCATCAGGTGAAACTGGAATCTGCGTTCCTTCAGTCCATTGAGTTTTGGTTAGGACCTACTCTGTCTTCCACAGAAACTCAGTCCAGTGGTAAGAAATGCTCACAGTCAATGACTGCACAGTTGGATATGCCAGTGGAGTGCAGAGAACGAAGGACCAGGTCTCACTGTGTCTTTTATTTTCTGTATTTTGATGTTTTGGCACCTGGGGCCTGCCCTCCCAGGGTTAGCCAACTCCTAGACAGAGTAAAGGATCTCACCTGGGACTGTGCTTTTCAGATGCAAACCAACCAACCCAGATCCCACACCCCCAACCATCCAACCTTCTCACACGCAGGCCACTGTCCATCTGCCCTAATTACCAGAGAGCAAGGCACAGCTCCTATGCCTCAGAGCCCACTGAAATGATTCACACTAGCCAGTCTTTAGCCTGCTTACCCTCCCCTCCCCATTTCTTCCTGTGGAAACCACAGCAAAGGCCCTGGACCACAGTTCCCTGCCATTCCTTTTGCTTCCTGATCAACCCTGGGGCTTCCCCATGTGGCCCTGCGTGGTGGGGGGCTCCCTCCTCTTGGGAACTCTGAGTAACAAACTACCTTTTCAATGGCAATCATCTCCTGATCTTTTGGCCCCAACAGAACCAGTGCAGGGAAGTGATTTCTTTTCCCTGGTGCCTCGGAAATGAGAAAAGAACTTGTCTTGAAAAGAGGTGGACCTGGGTTTGAATTCCAGCATAACACTCACTACAGAATGCTGCTGGTGTATAAATCTTTTCCAGGATTCAGCAGAATGAATACTCCAGGGAAGATGAATGGGCCTGCGCCTGGGATCTGGGCCTTTTTTCTTTTCAAAGAAAACTGAAGAGCACTGAAAATGTCCCAGAGGGTCTGCCTTCAGAGCTGGGCACACCAGTCCTCTTCCTCCCTCCCTTCTCAAATCTCTGCCTCTACTCAATCAGTCCAAAGCTCTTTCCCGCCCTTCTAGGCCGCAGGTGCAGCCAGTATCCCAGCCAGCACTGTCCCTCTGCTCAATCCTCTGTGTTCTGTCAGGGTGAGGACGCACAGCTACTTCTGCTCAACCCTCTTGGGACCGCACCTGCATGACCTGCCCAACCCCCAAATCCAGGCTCAACAAAATTTCTGCGAAGACCTCCAGTGTACTTCCTGTGCCCTTTGCAGGTTCCTTATGGGCTCCCGGAGTCTGAGGAGCCTGTGTGTCTGTCACCTGGGAGCAGGAAAGCCAGAGAGCAGGGCAGGGGACAAGGACCGCCTCCCTTACAAAGTGGAGCTTCAGAGGGTGCCATTATCTCTAGTTGCTTGGTGCATTAACTTAAAATCACAATAGAGAAATTAAGGTTGCCATGGACCTGCTCAGGGAGGGAAGATGAGGAAGGAGCTGTGCACGAGAAGCTCAGTCGTCGGAGAGGCAGCAAATGCCAGTAGCGTCTAAAACCAGTGGGCGAAGAATGGTGAGATAAACACATACTCAGAGCTATGGTGGTGACTGCAGGAAGAATGAGGTAGAAAAAGTTAGGAGAGATTGCCTCTGGAGAGTGGGACTAGGGGTGGGATGGCAGCATTGCTTTTCATTATAAACTCTTTTCTACACTATTTCTTTGATATGATTTAAAAATAAACATACAAATAAGTGAAAATTCCAGGTTGACAAATAAAATGATCCATCCAAATGTGTGGTGCTTCTGAGCTGTTGCCCCTGTCTCTGCAGTCACCTCATGGCACCCCTCCCCCAAAAGCCAGGTGATGACCGCCTGCCTCTCTCCCTGCCCTCCAGCCCCTCAGGATTCCTCTGCCTGCAACCTATTCCTTCTAGATTTCCTTCCTTCCTTCCACAAATATCCAAAGGGTCTGGGGCAACACCAGTCATGATTCCTACAGTCCAGCTGGCGAAATGTTACACAAAGAATTTCCATGAGAGCATGTGACATTGTGCTTTCAGAAGTCAACGTTATGATGACCCTTTCCAGGTTAAAATATGTCACTAGCTCCCCTCTGCTTACAGGATAAAATGCAAAGCCCTTTGCTTGATGTGTAGGGCCTCCTGGAATATGTCCTACTTACCCTTCGGGTGGGTACCCTAAAGCCCCAGGTGTCTCCCACAGCACCTTATGCTCAAGCCTCCGTGATCTCTGGGCCAGGCCCTTAAGCACCTCCTTTCTTAGGCTCTCTTTCTCGGGCCTTGCTATCTGCCACTGTCTCTTCCTAGATTGCCCTCTCCATCAGCATCAGTCCTACCGTAGATTCTATGCAGCAGTGCCTCCCCTGTGGCCTTCCTGTCCCCTGCGGTGCATTGCAGACCTGCACTGTGGGGTCTCCCATTATATGTGTGGTCTATCTCTCCTTAAAGGGTGAAATCTGAACCCTCATCAGCTCTGCTTCTCTGGTCTTCCACCACAGTGACAAGGCACCTAGCAAGTGCTAATAAATGGCCCTACCTACCCCAGCGCATACTGAACAAGCTGTTCTGTAAGAAAGTTCTCTCCAACCTTAGGCCACAATGTACATCCTCCTGTAGCTCCTCCCTGTGGGTCCTGATGGATCTTCTAAGCCTAAAGGAAAAGCCTGTCCTCCCCTGCCGATGCCCTCTCACAACCCTTCAGAGATGTGGGTCTGCCTTGCTGGTCTTCATTTTGGGGCCCAAAGTCCCCAGTTTTCTCATGGGCTAGAGTTCGAAGAGTGCAGACCAGAAAGAAGTCTGCTCCCTCGTGGAGTCAAAGGGCCCTGATTTTCCTCTTACTTTCCTACACACTGGACAACAGAACCATCCCTGGACCTGGGTGCAATTCTGGTAAACCAAGATCAGCTCCAGGCACTGTTTGCAGAAGTTGTGGGAACAGGACAGCAGCAGTGCAGGCAACGTAAGCAGCTCCATGCACACGGGCAGGACAGTGTTGCACCCAGCGGCTCCATGGCTCTCAGGCTGCCGCCCCGGCCAGATGCTAGAACAGGCCTGAAACTGCTCTGGGAGCCACGTCACAATAGCGCCATGGCCAGGCCCGGCTTTCCTCCAGGGGATGAAGCAAGGAAGCTCCTTGAGTGCTTCGGGGGTGCCAGGACGTGTCGGGGAGCCAGGCGGCCAAATCCAGCTGCAGCTCCTTTCTTTGCAGCTCGTGTGCCAAGATGGTTCTTAGATTTTTTAGACTCTTTTTTTTTTTTGAGACGGAGTTTCATTCTTGTTGTCCAGGCTGGGGTGCAATGGCGTGATCTCGGCTCACAGCAACCTCTGCCTCCTGGGTTCAAGCAATTCTTCTGCCTCAGCCTCCCGAGTATCTGGGATTACAGGCATGTGCCACCATGCCCGGCTAATTTTGTATTTTTAGGAGAGACGAGGCTTCGCCATGTTGGTCAGGCTGGTCTTGAACTCCTGACCTCAGGTGATCTGCCCACCTCGGCCTCCCAAAGTGCTGGGATTACAGGCATGAGCCACCGTGCCTGGCCATTTTTTAGGCATTATATAAAACAAAAAGCGAAAAACAAAACAACAAAAACAAAGATATGCAACAGAGTCCACGCATGACCTGCAAAGTCTTAAGTATTTACTTTCTGGCTCTTTACTGAAAGAGTCTGTGGTCCTGTGTAATTGAGAAGATGAACCTACTAAAATCCAGCTACTCCTAGGCACAGCATCCTGGCCTCAGGTTAGCAGGGAGGAGTTGGGGGATAGGGCCACCACCCCACCACAGCCGGACCATCTGAGGCAGGTAGCCCCTGGCCTCTCCTGTTCCTTCTTCATTCACGTGTGTTGAACGAGGCCATCTCTCAGCCCTTCCTCTCTGATCCTGGGCATCGCCAGTCTGTGGACTCTGACTTGGCCTTTCCCAGCCCTCAGTGCCTGTCTCGTCTGCCTGCCTGGGGGTTCCTGGAGGATCAGCCAGTCCAAACAAGGGGCACTAGTTGAGCACCCATGTTGGGCCGGCATTGTCATGTGTTATCTCTTATTTCATCTCCACAGCCCTAAGAGGCTCAAGAAATTAGCTTTCATTAAGTCAGAGAAACTGAGGCACAGAGAGGTAGGATAACCTTTCCAAGGCTGCAATGTGTCATGTTCCATATGACTCTTTCTCTTTTCCTGGCAAGCTATGTTGCCTCACAGATGAGGTTGTCCTATAGATGTGAAGGTTCATGGTAAAATGTATGGGTGTGGCTGGGCGCGGCGGCTCATGCCTGTAATCCTAGCACTTTGGGAGGCCTAGGAGGGTGGATCACCTGAGGTCAGGAGTTCGGGACCAGCCTGGCCAGCCTGGTGAAACCCCGTTTCTACTAAAAATACAAAAATTAGCTGGGCCTGGTGGCAGGTGCCTGTAATCCCAGCTACTCAAGAGGCTGAGGCAGGAGAATCGCTTGAACCTGGGAGGCGGAGGTTGCAGTGGGCCGAGATCACGCCACTGCACTCCAGCCTGGGTGAAAGAGCAAGACTCTGTATCAAACACACAAAAAAGCATGGGTGTGTTACACTGCTAGACATGCTCATGAGACCATGGGGAGCAGGGAGGAAGGAGTGAAAACCCACACCCCACACTCTCAGCCCCTATTCAGCATGCAGGCACCCAGCATCAAATATGTTCAAGACACAAGATGGGCCCTGGGGGGCTGAAGGTGCTGTGACTGCTCCTTGTTCATGATGGCGACAGCCACTCTTGGATGGCTCAGCACACATGAGTTCTCAGCATGCACTGTCCCAGTTACTTACCACAACACTCCTGTATAATCAGGTCCAAGTCATAAATAAGAAACAGGCTGGGCGCAGTAGCTCATGCCTGCACTCCCAGCACTTTGGGAGGCTGAGGCGGGAGGATTGCTTGAGCCCAGGAGATTGAGACTAGCCTGGGCAACATAGCAAGACCCTGTCTCTACACAAAATAAAATAATAATAAAAAAAGAAATAAGCAATATCCCTGCTCTTACAGAGCTCTCAGTCCAAAGGAGATGACAGATACAGAAGGAGAGCTGCAGGCATCCCAGCTGGCCCACCAGTCATGACATCCCTAACCATCTTCCATCAAGGCCAGAAACGCTGACTACTCCCCTCATCAGACTGACGTCAAGGGGTGGTCATGTGATAGGCTTTTGTCCAATGAAACATGTTGAAGTCTGCTCAGAGGCTTCGAAGAAACTTTTTTGCACTCCTGAAAAAAGAAACATGCAAATGTCACCACACCTCCCCATATCTTTCCACATTGTGTGAAGACTCAAAAGCTGGAGTTGTAGCAGACGTTTTGTAACCATGAGAGAAACCACCAAGAGAAGCACAGATATGGACGCTGACATTAGTGAACTGCTGGACCCATGTCAATGCTCACTTCTCTCCAACCTATAGTTATGTGAGAACAACAAAGCCACTGCAAGCCAGGTTTGCAATCCTAACTGATAACGAAAAGGTAGGAAATATTATGAGCCATGGGAGATAAGAAGCTGTAAACATTTAGAGAATACAAGACTACTTGCAAGTGGAAACAGAAAGGATGGGGAAGGTGTGGCAGCCTCTGTCTGTTGCTGACTCTACTAGAGCCATTGCCTTCTTTTTTTTTTTTTTGATACTGAGTCTTGCTCTATTGCCCAGACTGGAGTGCAGTGGTGCAATCTCGGCTCACTGCATCCTCTGCCTCTGGGTTCAAATAATTCTTGTGCCTCAGCCTCCTGAGTATCTGGGATTACAGGTGCCTGCCACCACACCTGGTTAATTTTTGTATTTTTAGTAGAGATGGGATTTCACCATGTTGGCCAGGCTGGAACTCCTGACCATAAGTGATCCACCCACCTTGGCCTCCCAAAGTGCTGTGATTACAGGCATGAGCCACTGCGCCCAGCTGCCTTCTGTCTTGCTAGGAGCACCCTGGCTGCTCTTAACTCCTGAGACAGGTCCATGATGGATGAGACCATTATGTAAAGGTCATCCCCCAGGCCAGATACTATCCCAGATACCCCAACATTTAGGGCAGGTTTGGCTACATGGACTAGTATTCGCCAATGAGATGTCAGGGGAATTTTGCTAGAAGGTTTGCTAGGAAATGCTTCCTTCTATAATAGAAAAGGAAAACTGCCCACCTTTTTTTTTTCCTGCTGCCTCTCCTTCTTTCTGCCTTGACTGCAGTTGTGTAACGACATGATCACGGCACTACTGCAGCTGTCTTGTGATCAAGAAGTAAAGCCCTGAAGGTCAGCAGAGATGCTGATCCAGACCATTGACCTTGACATCAGCGAGCTGCTGAAAGAACCTGGAACCACCTTGCTGGAGACTTCTGGTAAGATAAACGTCTCTGTTACTTAAGCCACTATCAGTTGGGTGTTCTAATGCTCATTCTTGGCTTGTGCACAAGCCTTCCTGGAAGACTTGGCATTTGAGCTGAGGCTTGAAGGATGGGTGGTGCTTGGACATGCAAGAATGAAGGAGAGGACTGAGGAGAGGTAGATTCCAGGAAACCAACTGTTTGGAGCCAAGGCAGGGAGCTGGAAAATGTGAAGATAGTGAGTAGTCTGGTTTAACAAGAGTGTTCACAGTTTATTGGGCACTGAAGAAATGCAGTGTGTGCTTGATAGTTTGCGGGAAATGGGAAGCTGTGGGGCTGGGCTGGGGGCTGCCTGCAGGCAGGACCTGCAAAAACAGGCAGACAAGGGCCAAAGATGGCCCTTTGCTTTTAAGACTCAGGCACCTAATGACAGTGAAGACCAGCTCCTTTACAGAAACCCGGATCCCAGGAGCAGAGCCCAGGTTCAGATCTACAAGGTGGCAGACCCTCTTGTCACCCACTATCCACTGGCTGTGCTGTGTTTCTCAGCCTCCGCCAGGCTGTATGGTCCTTCTGGTCCTAGGACACACAGCAGCAGGTGGGCAGTTAAGCTCCAGCCTCCTCTGTCCACTGTCCCCTGCACAGCAACCCCAGGCCTTGGGTTCTGGACCTGGGGAGAGCCACCTAGCCCACCCCGTGGGAATTCAAACAAGAATCAGGCTATCGTTGGTTAAGCCACTGAGATTTAGGAATTGATCTGTTATCCTGGCACAGCCTAGCTTGGGGCTTTTCAAACTATCTATGGTAAAGGCCTAGTTCTTTTTAAAAATTTCTTTTTCTTTCTTTCTTCTTCTTCTTCTTCTTTTTTTTTGAGACAGAGTTTTGCTCTTGTCACCCAGGCTGGAATGCAATGGTGCGAGCTTGGCTCACTACAACCTCCACCTCCTGGGTTCAAGCGATTCTCCTGCCTCAGCCTCCCTAGTAGCTGGGATTACAGGCACCTGCTACCGCGCCCGGATGGTTTTTGTATTTTTAGTAGAGACAGGGTTTCACCTTGTTGGCCAGGCTGGTCTTGAACTCCTGGCCTCAAGTGATCCATCCACTTTGGCCTCTCAAAGTGCTGAGATTACAGGCATGAGCCATGGTGCCTGGTCTCTTTTTAAAAATTTCTAATATAACACAGATCAACACTTTCATAACGTAAAGATAAACTACTGGAAAAATATTTTTAAAAGACATCCAGAATACAAACCCAACTTTAATTATTCTATTCATCAGACACTGTCAGATTGGCATAGATTTTCTAAATCCTGACTCTTATTTTCTGCACCCCACTTTCCAAGTGGGGACCACTCTGGGAGCTGCACTGCCCAGGCCTGTCTCGTCCCACCCCTGTTTCCTCTGTCAGGCCTCTGTGTGTGGAGAACAGGCTGAGGGGTAATGGGAGTGGGATTCAGTCTGGGCTCTGCTCTTGGCAGCGTCAGCCCCAGCAGGCATTTCATTTGCCCCAAGACGAGGTATGAAGGGTATGTGGGAGTGTCTGGCAGGCAACTGGAGACTGTGACTGAAGATCTAGAGATAATTTAGAGGTCATTTATTGAACTGTTATTGGATGCGGGCATTGCATTCAGTATTCTGCAAACATCATCCCATTTAATCAGTAAGCAACAGTGCAAAGTAGGCACTATTGGGCAATGCTCTTTCTTCTCATTTAAAAATATTGTGGTAGGCTGGGTGCAGTGGCTCAAGCCTATAATCCCAGCACTTTTGGAGGCCGAGGTGGGAGGATCATGAGGTCAGGAGTTTGAGACCAGCCTGGCCAGTGGAGTGAAACCCCATCTCTACTAAAAATACAAAAATTAGCCAGGGGTGGTGGTGGGCACCTGTAATCCCAGCTACTGCAGAGGCTGAGGCAGGAGAATTGCTTAAATCTGGGAGGAGGAGGTTGCAGTGAGCCACGATGGCGCCACTGCATTCCAGCCTGGGCAACAGGTTGGAGCAAGACTCTGTCTCGAAAAAAACAAACAAAAAATTTTGGTAAAATATGCATAACATAAAATTTACCATCCTCACCATTTTTAATTGTCCAGATCAGTGGCATTAAATGCATTCACATGATTGTGCAACCAACACCACCATTCATCTCCAGAACGTTTTTATTGGTTCAGTTCAAACTGAAACTCTGTCCCCATTGAACAACAACTCCCCATTCCCGCTCCCCATAGCTTCTGACAACCACCATTCTTGGCACTGCCTTTTACAGATGGAAATGAAACAGAGAGGGTACAGGAGGCAGCAGGACAGCCAGCCTTCATCCTGGTGGCCCTGGGGCAGGACAAGCTCCAGGGCCTTGTGTTTGGCTCTGGGTGGTGAATGCCAGCTCCCAGGCCACAGCGGCTGGGAGGGATGGGCGCAGTGGGGTGACCCCTCCCCAGGAGGCAGTGAGGGGTGTGGGCAGCACTGACAGTTGGGCCAGGAGGAGGAGTAGGACCCAGAAAAGGGGTCAGACAGCCAGAGGGGCCAAGGGAGGAGAGCGGGCAGTAAGTCTACACTGCTTCTGAGGTCAGAGGGAGCAGGGGACCTGGAACCTCAGACATGACCAGTGACTGGTTCCAGAGAGGCCAGATGCCTGGGGATTCAGGGACAAGGGCAAAGGTGGTGGGAGCGCAACCGAGGGAGGGGACACGCAGGCTGGCAGGGGGGCAAATGAGGGGGCAGAGAGGGGGAGGTCTGCCCCACACCCCTGCGCCCCTGTCCAGAGGCCGCCCGACTTAAATGGAGGTGGACCCTTTCCTGACTCTGTGGAACCTGTTCCATTCCTGCCTGTAGCTCATGATGCTGATGTGGTTTTGCCTCGTTGCAATTTTCTCCACACTGTAGAATCTCCTGTAGAATCTCCTTGTAGCAGATTCTTCTCCTCCTCTGCTCCCCTTGGACACCAGCGGGCTCTGCGGGTCTGGGGAAATCTTTGTCCTGAGCCACCCTTGCCTCCCAGGAGCCCGCAGTTGTCTGGGGCAGCATGCTCACTGCAGGAAGTGAGTGCTGTCTGAGGAGAAGAATTTGCCAAGTTCTCAGACTAAGAGAAGGTCACTGGCCTGGGGTCTGGGGAAGTGCATGGAGAAAATTCCTCTGAAGTGGGCCAGGAGGGCAGATGTCACCGGGGGAAGGGTGGAAACACAGCAGAAGTGAGGTCTCAGAGGTGAGGGGACTGTGCTGTGCGGGATGATGCGACATTGGCCCCCACTGTGGGGGACAAGCTGGACTCCAGCTGGGACCCATTTTGGTACCTATCAGACAAAGCCAGGGAAACCATGGGACTTGGAAGTGGGGAAAGAATGTGGAGGATGCGTCTTTAGACAGGCCCTGAGGGGTGTGGAGGGAAGTGGAAAGAGACCCAGAGACTGACCCAGGGTTGGAGACAGGGAGTTGGAACTGAAAGACATTTGCCCAAGAATCTGTAGACAAATTGAATGGCTGGGGGTGTGGCCAGCTGACTTCACACAAAGAGAAAGATAAAAGTGATTTTCTTGGGGTCAAGAGAGGATGCCAAATTAGAAGACAGGTCTCTGAACTCCTGGAACCCGATTACCAGGATGTCTGTGGTTAAAAACCTCGGACAGAGCCATCCATGCAGATGGTGGAATGGGAACAGGCTTAATGCCAGGGTTGCTCTCACCCCCGGCCCAGCTGGAGAGAGGCCCTCTGCATGTTTGGAAATGCTGGCCTCTAGGCACATTTCTATCCTTTAAAGAGAGAATACACACGTGTTCCAGCTTTGCTAGTGGTCCCTCCCCAGAGGCTCCACATCTCAACAGCCCAGGCCCTGGGATGGGGAGCAGAGGACCTGGCCCAACCTGTAGGGCTGCGGATGGTCTTGGGACCGTGGCACATTCTTGGAGGCCTGGCATGACTGAGATCAGGTATTTCACCTGCCTGGGGAGAGATGGGGGCTTGAAGTCTACACTGAGTTGGTTTAAAGAAAGAGAAGAAATGCGCTACTCTTGCTCACCTGTTTGTGGACTGTTTTAAAAAGTGGGGGTTGGGGCTGTTTGAAATTTGCCACCAGAATGACTCACTGACTTTATTTCTACCCCAACCTCTCCCTACAGTCCGTGGACAAAGGATGATTTGGCTTTTCAGAATGAAAGGCCGGGAGTGCTAGTATCTATTGTTTTGTTGTCCAGAATTCTTGTCCCTCTATTTTCTGCATACAAATCCACGAGTCATGTCCCCTCCTCTGTGGAGCCTTCTCTGCCTTCCCAGAGGGCTCTTGGCCTCACATGACCTGGTATGTTCCCGGTAAGAAGCCATCTGGCCTGGGGCTGCAGTCTGTTCCCAGAGCTTGCCTCCCCACTTAGTTGAACTGCTGAGGAGCCGACGCAGCCCGTGGTCCATTTGTGTCCCTAAGCCCAGGAAGGACTCTAAGATGCTCCATAATGAAGTGCTGAATGAATGGCTCCAGCGGGAGGGAACTTAGCTGGCTCTGTATTTCATTCAAATCTTGAGTCCATGGCTCTGATACAGTCCATTCTAAGGTACCGTTTCCCATTTGCCTGAAGGATTATTTTACACGTGGGGTTTCTTCATGACTCAGTTTCTGGGCAGTAGCCAGCAGGCGCTCCGGGTTAGAATTCCTGTGGAGGAGGACTTCTGAGCGCCATTCTGACCTCCTGGCCTGCCCTGCGGAAGTCAGACAGGCTGAAATCTTTCTTAAGCTCTTTAATTAAATCAAGATTTTTTTTGTTTTGGTCTTCAAATTAGTTTGCCAATGCCGATTGTCAAAACTTTAAACTGTTGACAAAAAAATAACTATGTGGCTATACCAGCTAAATCTCATCTGTGACTTTTAAATATAGAAAGCAGGAAGACAAACATCTGGTAATAGAGGTTGTGTTCTGAATGGGCGGTGGCCAAAAAAAAAAAAAAAAAAAAAAAACCCAAAGAAGCATTAGTCAGAGTCTAGAAAAATAGTGTGTTACTTTTACCAAGTAATATTTAGAGACAGGACTGAGGAGGGAATGTAAGACATCTGTTAAAAAGCAGATTTTTTCCAAACACAGTCCTTTAGAAATTCTTAGGAAAAACATTTTAAATAAAAATAAATTTCAGTTCATTTAAAGATATTTTAGATTGTAAAAACAAAGCTCCTACTGTAAAAATATTACAACTCATAGAGGTTTGCTGAAGATTCAGAATCAACAAACATCAGAACTCAGTTGTGAGCTAGAAAATTTTTTCTAACTTTAAAAAATAATACAGTTAATATGTCGGCACATTTGTGCCATAAAAATTCAAATGATAGTTAAAGCTCAAGTTCCCCTTGTATATAACAACCCTTCCCAGAGCCCTCCCCAGAGAAAACCACCATCATTATGTTACAGTAGGTAGTCAGGCAGACATGAGCAGGGCAGGAGAGGGCCTCCAGGGGTGGGAGGGAATGTCAGGCAACCATCAGGTGATGGTCAGGCGGTTATTTATTTATTTGAGACAGAGTCTCACTCTGTGTTGCCCAGGCTGGAGTGCAGTGGCGCGATCTCAGCTCACTGCAACCTCCGCCTTCTGGGCTCAAGCGATTCTCCTGCCTCAGCTTCCCAAGTAGCTGGGACTACAAGCATGTGCCACTTCGCCTGGCTAATTTTTGTATTTTTAGTTGAGACGGGGTTTCACCATGTTGGCCAGGGTAGTCTTGAACTCCTGGTCTCAAGTGATCTGCCTGCCTTGGTCTTCCAAAGTGCTGGGATTACAGGCATAAGCCACCTTGCCCAGCCAAGAGATAGTTTAAATTTAAAAAAAAATTCTCTTATTTATTTCTTTTTCTTTCCCTCTCTGTTTCCTGCTTCCTACTTTGGCCTTCAGAAATGCAAATATAATCTTCACCTCCCCTCACCAGACACTACCTACAAGGCAAATTCATCTAACTATGTGCTCCAAGACAGTTGACAGTTGATTTGCAGACTGAAACATACCCCATGGAACTCTCACCTCCAGGGGATTGCCTCAGAACTTGTACCCATGCAGAGGGCATGTCAAAAGCATGCTGGTGTGGCCACGTTTACAACTTATTTTTGCCCAAGAAGGTGCCAACTCAACTGTTGGATAGATAAGTCACCAAGCTAGCATTGGGACCCCCTGCCCATGCACACTTCACCCCCTACCTTTCTTTTTTTTTTTTGAGACAGAGTCTCACTCTGTCGCCCAGGCTGGAGTGCAGAGGCGTGATCTCAGCTCACTGCAACCTCCGCCTCCTGGGTCCCGGTTCAAGCAATTCTCCTGCCTCAGCCTCCCAAGTAGCTGGGATTACAAGAACACACCACCATGCCTAGCTAATTTTTGTATTTTTAGTAGAGACGGGGTTTTCCCACGTTGGTCAGGCTGGTCTCGGATTCCTGACCTTGGGATCCACCCGCCTCGGCCTCCCAAAGTGTTGGGATTACAGGCATGAGCCACTGCGCCCGGCCCACGGCCTACCTTATAAAAGTTTTCTGCTCCAAAAGTGAAGCAGCACATTTAAAGTCACGGCGCCTTGTGCCTCTTTCCATAAGCTAGCTTTGGAATAAATTCACTTGTTTTGTACCAGATCTCACTTTGTTAATTGGATACTGTGTGTGGCAAGCAACTAACCTGCTTTTCAGTTATGATCATGCCTCCTTCCTCTCCCTTCCCCACCTCCAGGCAACCACAGATCAGCTATCTGTCACTACAGATTACTTTGCATTTTCTAGAGTTTCATATAAATGAAATTACAAAGTATATAATTCTTTTTTTGTCTAGAGTCTTTCACTCAGCATAATTAGGTTGAAATTCATTCCTGTTGTATGTGTTAATAACTTATTCTTTTTAAATTGCTAGATAGTATTTCACCTATTTTTATAACCACAGTTAGTTTATCTGTTCACCTGTTCATGGATGTTTGTGTTATTTCCAGTTTTTGGCTATTCCACATAAAGCTGCTGTGAACACTCATGTACAAGTCTTTGTAGGGATATATGTATTTTTTTTCTTTTGGGTAAATGCCTAGGAGTGGAATTGTTATTGGAAAGGGATCCTGATCCAGACCCCAAGAAAGGGTTCTTGGATCTCTCGCAAGAAAGAATTCGAGGTCAGTGCATAAAGTGAAAGCAAGTTTATTAAGAAAGTAATGGAATAAAAGAATGGCTACTCTATAGGCAGAGCAGTCCTGAGGGCTACTGGTTGCCCATTTTTATGATTATTTCTTGATGATATGCTAAACAAGGGGTGGATTATTCATGCCTCCCCTTTTTAGACCATATAGAGTAACTTTCTGACATTGCCATGGCATTTGTAAACTGTCATGGTGTAGGTGGGAGTGTAGCAGTGAGGGTGACCAGAGATCACTCTTGTTGCCATCTTGATTTGGTGTTTTAGCCAGCTTCTTTACTGCAGCCTGTTTTATCAGCAAGGTCTTTATGACCTATATTTTGTGACTACCTCCTATCTCATCCTGTGACTTAGAATGCCTTAACCTCCTGGGAATGCAGCCCAGTAGGTCTCAGCCTCATTTTACCCAGTTCCTATTCAGGATGGAGTTGGCTCTGGTTCAAATGCCTCTGACAGAATGGCTGGATCATATAAGGTATTGCCAAACCATTTTCTAAATGGATTGGGCCATTTTATATTCCCACTGGAAGTGGATGAGAGTTTCCATTTCATTATATCCTCATCAACACTTGGTATGGTCGGTCTTTTAAATTTTAACCATTCTAAAGTGTGTATTTCTCTAAAGCTAATGACGTTTTAATTTGCATTTCTCTAATGACTAATAGTGCCTATTTTCATGTGTTTATTTATCAACTGTATATCTTTGTTGGTCTATTCAAATCTTTTGGACTCTTAAAAGTTTGGGCTGCTCTTTTTTTCTTACTGTTGAATTTTGAGAGCTTTCATATAGTCTGGATGCAAGTCCTTTAACAGATATATGCTTTGCAAAGATTCTTTCCTAGTCTGTGGATTGTCTTCTCGTTCTTCTCATAGAGCAGTTAAGTTTTTTTGTTTTTGTTTTTGTTTTCATTCTCTCTCAGTGTCTTTTGAGGAACAAACTTTAAATTTTGATGTAGTTCAATTTACCAACCTGTTCTTATGGATTGTACTTTTGGTGTTGCATCTCACAAATCTTGAGCTAACCCAAGGCCACACATGTTTCTCTCATGTTTTCTTCTAAAAATTTTATAATTTTAGATTTTACATTTAGGTTTATGATCCTTTTTGAGTTGATTTTTTAATATGGTGAACGATATACATCCAAGTTCTTTTATATATCTATAAATGTCTAATTGTCCCAGCACCATTTGTTGAAAGACTATCTTTTCTCAGACAGGTGAGGTGGCTCACGATTGTAATACCAGCACTTTGGGAGGCCAACGTGGGAGGATGGTTGAGGGCAGGAGTTCAAGCCTGGCCCAGTCAACCCAGTGAGACCCTCATATCTACAAACAAAACAAAACAAAAAATCACTATCCTTTCTCTACTCCTTTGCCTTTGTACCTTTGTCAAAAATCATGTGTCCATATATGCATGGGTCTTTTTCTAGAATCCTTATTCTGTTCCATTAATCTATCTATATACCAAAACCACTCAGTATTGATTACTGTAGTTTTATAATAGTTCTTGAAATCAGGTAGTGTTAGCCCTCCAATTTTGTTCTTTTTCAAAGTTGTCTTGGTCATTCTAAATCCTTTGCCTTTCCACATGAACTTTATAATTAGCTTGTCAATTTCTACAAGAAAAGCCAGCTTGAATTTTGATTAGCATTGCAATGAATACATAGGTCAATTACGGGGGGAAGTTGACATTCTAACAATCTTGAATCCTCTGACTCATGGACAAGGTGTATGTCTCCATTTATTTAGGTCAGTTTAATTTCTTTCAGCAGTATTTTGTAGTTTTCAGTGTATGGATGTAGTGAGTTGAATCATAGCCCCTGCCCCAAAATATGCCCATGTCTTAATACCCAGGGTCTGAGAATATGACCTTATTTGGAAAAAGAACTCTGCAGATACAATTAAATGTCTCAAGATGCAGAGCTCACTCAGAATTCTCCAGATGGGCTCTAAATCCAAAGACATGTTTTTGTAAGAGAGATACAGAGGAGAAAGACAGAGGGAGGAGAAGATGACGTGAAGATGGAGGCAGAGATTGGAATGATGGGGCTACAAGCCAAAAAATACCAAGGAACATCTGAAGCCAACAGAAGCAGGAAGAGGCAAAGAACAGACTGTTCCTTAGAGCTTTCGCAAGTACTGCAGCCCTACCGACACCTTGATGTCAGACAGACTTCTGGACTCCAGCACTGTGAGAGAATAAACTGTTGTTTTAAGCCACCCAGGTGGTGGTAATTTGTTATGACTGCCCTAGGAAATGAATAAAACAGGTCTTTCACATTTTCTGGCAGATTTATCACTAGTATTTTATCTTTTTGATGCTATGGTAAAGGACATTGTTTTGTCAATTTCAATTTTGGATTGTTCATTGCCAGTTTATAGAAACACAGTTGATTTTTGTATGTTGACCTTGTATCCCTCTGCTTTGCTAAGCTCACTCATTTGACCTAGTAGCTTTGTTTTTCTAGAACCCATCAGGTTTTCCACATAGACAGTCATGTTTGAGAATAAAAATAGTTTTACTTTCTATTCTCCTTGTCTTTTATTTCTTTTCTTGCCTGATTGTGTTAGCAGTGGCAAATCTGTACAGGTCCGCAGCAACCTCATTTCTTGCCTCCTCAGAAGAACTTGTGTGAGGGGCATAAAGCAGAATGAGAGACGGAGGCAAGTTTTAGAGCAGGAGAGAAAGTTTATTAAAAAGCTTTAGAGCAGGAATGAAAAGAAGTACTCTTGGAAGAGGGCCAGGCGGGCGACTTGAGAGATTCAAGTGCACAGTTTGACCTTTGACTTAGGGTTTTATACACTGGCATACTTGTGGGGTTGTGCATTGCTTCTCCCCTGATTCTTCCCGTGGGGTGGGCTGTCTGCATGTGCATTGGCCTGCTAGCGCTTGGGAGAGGCCGCATGTGCAGTGTGTTTACTACAGTCTATGCATGCTCACTTCAGGTGTTTTTCCTCTACCAGTCTAGCATTCCTAGAGGAAGGTCATATACCAGTTAAACTCCACCATTTTGCCTCTTAGTGCACATGCTTGAGCCCACTCATCCAACTCTTGAGATCTTATTGGGAAGCTGCTGATCACCAGTTTTAGGTGTTTCTGTCTATTGGGAAACTGTCTTTCCCTGGCACTGGCTGCAACCAATAATTATTTCAGAGAGACAGTTTAATAACTGCCTGGCCATCAACTGATGGTCACCTGGCATTCCTGGTGGGAGTGCCTCTCCTGCCCTGCTCATGTCTGACTGGCTACCCACTGTAACAACTGCACTAGTGAGAACCTCCAGTGCAATGCTGAATAGGAGTGGCAAGAGCATGCATTTTGGAACTGCTCCTGATCCTATGGGATCAGCGTCCAGCCTTTCATCATTACTAGGTACAATGGTGCCTGTAGGTTTTCTGTAGCTGTCCTTTACCAGATTGAGAAAGTTCGTATTACCAACTTGCTAAGAATTTTTATCAAGAATCTTGTTGGATTTCATCAAATGCTTTTTCTGCATCTTAAGATTATCACATTTTTGTTTTCTCAGATTTGTTAACATGATAATTTTCTCATGAATGAAGTGCTCATCTGAATACTCCAGGGTGTCTCTCTGCAGATCCTTGGGAGTTTCTGCCAGTGTGTCTCTCTCCTCTCTAGACTCTGCTCCATCAACTCAAGCTGCCTCCATCAACTCAAGCTGCCTTGGTCTCCCAGGCCCTCAGCTCCATCTTCTCAAGTGCAGGAATCTTCCAGGCTCTGCCTCTGTTCTCTCTTTGCCACAGTCTGGAAGCTCTCTCCGGGTGGTAAAGCTGTGGCGATTGTGCAGTTCACAGTGTTTTTTCTCATCTCTCAGGGATCACTGTCTTTCATTGCCTGAGGTCCAGTGTCTTATATACTATTGCTTTTGTCATTGTGTGTGTTTGCTTGTTTCAGGAGGGAGGTTAAGTCCAGTTCCTGTTACTCCATCTTGGCTGGAAGGGGAGGTCATATATAGTTTATGTAAGTTTTTTCAAAATGATGTTATACATATTGCTGTTTTCTAGCTTTGTATTATGGAAAATTTCAAATGTATTCAAACATAGAGAAAATAGAATAACGAATCCCAATGTATTCGTCACCCAGCTTTAACAATGATAAATCGATGGCTAACCTTGTTTCATCTATAATTCAGTTCACTTCTCTGCCTATGTCCTTATCTCATGAGGACACTTCCCCCTACCAATTTTGAAACAAATTGCCCACACTGCATCATTTTATTTGCAAATAACTCTGTATCTTTAAAATTTATAACTTTTAAAAGCAAATGATCGGCTGGGTGCGATGGCTCATGCTTGTAATCCTAGCATTTGGGCTGCCGAGGGTGGCAGATCACTTGAGGTCAAGAGTTTGATACCAGCCTGGCCAACATGGTGAAACCCCATCTCAACTAAAAATACAAAAATTATCTGGGCATGGTGGTGTGTGCCTGTAATCCCAGCTACTCAGGAGGCTGAGGCAGGAGAATTGCTTGAACTTGGGAAGCAGAGGTTGCAGTGAGCCAAGCAGTGCGCCAGTAAGGACCAAGATTGCGCCACTGCACTCCAGCACAGAGTGAGACTTCATCTCAAAAACAAACAAACAAGAGCAAATGATTATCATTCTTTAATATAATAAAATATCTAGCTGTTGTCATTGCTGTTTTACAATAGTTTATTCATATCAGGATCCTCACCAGGTCTACACATTGTATTTGGCGGATAGCTCCTTTTCAATTATTGATTCCTTCCTAGTCTCTCCCTTGTAATTTATTTATTGAAGAACGCAGGTCATTTGTCCTGTAAAGCTTCTTAGAGAATGGTTATTCTGGTTGCATCTCCATGTTGTCTTCAAAGTGATTCTCTGTCCTCTGTTAAACTTACAGTTAGATGTGATTCAGTTTCCAGTTTTGGGTGAATATTTCAGAGGCTGTCATGTATATTACCATCAGAAGTTTATAATGTATTATTGTATCTCTCTCTCTCTTTTTTTTTTGAGACAGAGTTTTTCGCTCTTATTGCCCAGGCTAGAGTGCAGTGGTGCAATCTCAGCTCACTGCAACTTCCGCCTTCTGGTTTCAAGCAATTCTCCTGCCTCAGCCTCCCAAGTCGCTGGGATTACAGGCACCCGCCACTACGCCTAGCTAATTTTTTTGTATTTTTAGTAGAAACAGGGTTTCACCATGTTGGTCAGGCTGGTCTGGAACTGCTGACCTTGTGATCCACCCACCTTGGCCCCCCAAAGTGCTGGGTTTACAGGCTTGAGCCACTGTGCCCGGCATTGTGTCTCTTTTGTAGTGTTCTAGTAGCATCCTGTGCACACTCCTGCCATAGTACAGTCATGCACCTCATATTTGTCAGCTCAGGCTACCCCAGCAAAATACCACAGACTGAGTGGCTTAAACAACAGAAATTTTATTCTCATAGTTCTAGAGGATTAAAGTCCCAGAGCAAGATCCGGCAGGGTTAATTCCTGGGGAGGGCTGTCTTCTTGTCTTGTAAATGTCCACCTTCTTGTGTCCTCACATGGTGGAGAAAGACCTCTGGTATCTTTCTCGTCTTATAAAGGCACCAGCCCTATCAGATTACGAGCCCACCCTCGCTTTATGAGCTCATTTAACCATAATCACTTCTTCATAGGCCCCATCTCCAAATATAGTCACATGGAGTTTGGGGTTTCAACACATACATTTTGTGGAGACACAAACATTCAGTCTAATATATACCTTAAAACTTTCTTAAAAATAAACTTTTAAAAATAATATTTGCAGGTTAAGAAAAGTTGCGAAGATTGTACAGAGAATCACTCTATACTCCTGACCCAGTTTCCCTATTATTAACATTCTATATCACCATGGTACCTGTATCACAACTAAGAAACCAACATTGGCACATTGTTATTAGCTACATGTGATGCTTTATTTAGATTTCGTCAATTTTTCCTCAATGTCTTTTTTCTGTTCCATGATCCAATCTAAGATGCCACATTACATTTATTCATTCTGTCTCCTTAGCCTTCTCTGGTCTATGACAGTTTCTCAGACTTCCCTTGTCCTTGATCACCTTGGTAGTTTTTGAGAAGAACTTCCCAGACATTTTGCAGAATGTCCTTCAATTTGGGGTTGCCTGATGTTTTTCTCACAGTTAGTCTGGGATTACGGGTTTGGAGAGGGAGGCTGCAGAAGTGGCATTCTCATCACAATATATCATGGATACATGCTATCGACATGACATTACTGAGGACGTTAACCTTGATCATATGGCTGAGGTAGGGTTTGTCAGGTTTTTTTCACTGTAAACTTATTCTCTGTTCCCACAACCTCACTTCAATACTCTATTGTTTGGAAGCCAGTTGCTAAGTGCATCCCCCATTTGGGTAGGGCGGAGAGGGAATTAGCTACATAAATTAATATGGAATTATTCTGTCCAGGCAATTTATCTAATCTCCCCCACTTATTTCATGTTGAAACATTTATTTATATCTATATGGACCCATTGATATTTACGTTACACCTTTTGTATAGCTCATGCACCATACAAAAACAAGTAGTGAGCTAGATTGGCCTGCAGGCCATAGTTTTCTGATCCCTAGTCTAGAAGACTCCTCAGGAAGGACTCATTTGAACAATATTCAATTAAGTTATTCTACTGTATGAGTCCATTCTCACACTGCTATAAAGAACTACCTGAGACTGGATAATTTATGAAAAAAAGAGGTTTAATTGACTCACAGTTCTGCAGGCTGTATAGGAAGCATGGCTGGGAGGCCTCAGGAAACTTACAGTCATGGCCAAAGGCAAAGGGGAAGAGAGCACGTCTTAACATGTCAGAGCAGGAGAGAGAGAGAGCCAAGGGGGAGGTGCTACGCAGTTTCAAACAACCAAATCTCGTGAGAACTGACTATAATGAACACAGCAAGTGGAACATCCGCCCCCATGATTCAGTCACCTCCCATCAGGCCCCTCCTCCAACACATGGGGATTACAGTTTGACATGAGATTTGGGTGGGGACACAGAGCCAAACTATATCATCCATGTTCATGTAAGTTTGTGGTCTTTACATATAAAAGGGTTGCACTGGCTGAATAGAAAATCTCTTTTCCATTTCTGTAAAGAAAGACTATTGGGGCCGAGGCAGGTGGATTACGAGGTCAGGAGATCAAGACCATCCTGGCTAACATGGTGAAACCCCGTCTCTATTAAAAAATATAAAAAAAAAATTAGCTGGGCATAGTGGCGGGCACCCGTAGTCCCAGCTACTCTGAAGGCTGAAGCAGGAGAATGACATGAACCTGGGAGGCAGAGCTTGCAGTGAGCTGAGATCATGCCACTGCATTCCAGCCTGGGAGACAGAGCAAGACTCCGTCAAAAAAAAAAAAAAAAAGAAAAAAGAAAGACTATTGGAATTTTTACAGAAATTGCATTTATTCTGTAGATTACTTTGGATAATATTTACATCTTAACAAGATACTTGTATCAGTCTGTTCTCACATTGCTATAAATAAATAACTGAGACTGGGTAATTTATAACAAAAGAGGTTTAAGTGGCTCCTAGTTCCACAGGTTGTACAGAAAGCATGACAGCATTTGCTTCTGAGGAGGCCTTGGGGAGCTTTTACTTATGGCAGAAGACAAAGCTGGAGCAGGAGGAAGAGAGAGAAGAGGGAGGTACTACACATTTTTAAACAACCAGATCTTGTGAGAACTCACTCACTGTAGAGTACTGAGGCTGGGATGGTGCTAAACCATTCATGAGAACTCTGCCCCTCATGATCCAATACCTCCTGCTAGGCCCCACTTCCAACACTGGGGATTACAATTCAAGATGAGATTTTGGTGAGGACAACATCCAAACTATATCATTTCACCCCTGGCCCCTCCAAATCTCATGTCCTACTCACATTGGAAAATACAATCATGCCTTCCCAACAGTCCCCCAGAGTCTAAACTTATTCCAGCATTAACTCAAAAGTCAAAGTCCAAAATCTCATCTGAGACAAGGCTAGTCCCTTCTACCTATAAGCCTGTAAAATAAAGACCAGGTGAGTTACTTCCAAGATACAGTGGGGGTACAGGCATTGGGTAAATACTCATGTTCCAAAATGAGAAATTGGCCAAAAGAAAGGGTCTCCAGGCCATGTGCAAGTCTGAAACGCAGAAGGGCAATCATTAATCTTAAAGCTCCAAAATAATCTCTTTTGACTCTGTGTCTCAACTCCAGGGCACACTGGTATAAGGGTAGACTCCCAATGCCTTGGGAAGCTCCACCTGTGTGGCTTTGTGGGCGTCAGCCCCCATGGCTACTCTCACAGGCTGGTGTTGAGTGCTTGCAGCTTTTCCAGGCATATAGTGCAAGCTGTCAGTGGCTCTACCATTCTGGGTTTGGAGGATGGTGGCCCTCTTCTCACAGCTCCACTAGGCAGTGCCCCAGTAAGGACTCTGTGTGGGGGCCCCAACTCCACATTTCTCCTCTGCACTTCCCTAGTAGAGGTTCTCCATGAGTGCTATGCCCCTGCAGCTGGCTTCTGCCTGACCATCCAGGCTTTTCCATACATCCTCTGAAATCTAGGTGGAGACTCCCAAGACTCAACTCTTGCACTTTGTGAACCCACATGCTTAACACCAAGTAGAAGCCACCAAGGCTTATGGTTTGCATCCTCTGAAGCAGTAGCCAGAGCTGTACCTGGGCTCCTTTGAGCCATGGTTGGAGTTGGAGTGGCTGGGATGCAGGGAGCAGTGTCCTGAGGCTGTGCAGGACATTGGGACCCTGGGCCTGGCCCACAAAACCATTCAGTCCTCCTAGGCCTCCCAGCCTGTGATGGGTGGGGCTGCCACAAAGTTCTCTGAAGTGCCTTTAAGGGCTCTTCCCCATTGTCTCTGTTATTAGCATTTGGCTTCTTTACTTTTGCAAATTTCTGTAGCCTGCTTGAATTCCTCCCCTGAAAATGAGCTTTTCTTTTCTACCAGATGGCCAGGCTGCAAATTTTCCAAAATTTTTTGCTTTGCTTCCCTTTTAAATATGAGTTTCAGTTTCAGGTCATTTTTTGCTCACACATATGAACATAGGTTCTTAGAAGCATCCAGGTACCATCTTGAATGCTTTGCTGCTTAGAAATTTCTTCCAAGGCTGGGCGTTGTGGCTCATGCCTATAATCCCAGCACTTTGGGGGGCCAAGGCAGGTGGATCACTTGAGGTCAATTCGAGACCAGCCTGGCCAACATGGCAAAACCCCGTCTCTACTAAAAATACAAAAATTAGCTGGGTATGGTGGTGCATGCCTGTAATCACAGCTACTCGGGAGGCTGAGGCATGAGAATCGCTTGAACCTGGGAGGCAGAGGCTGCAGTGAGCTGAGATCCACTCCAGCCTGGGTGACAGAATGAGACTCTGTCTCAAAAAAAAAAAAAGTTCTTCCACCAGATAACCTAAATCATCACTCTCAAGTTTAAAGTTCCACAGATCCCTAGAGCAGGAGCACAGTACAGCCAAGTTCTTTGCTAAAGCATAGCAAAAGTGACCTTTACTCCAGTTCCCAATAACTTCCTTATTCCTGTATGAGACCTCCTCTGCCTGGACTTCATTTTCCATATCACTATCAGCATTGTGGTTGCAACAATTTCACAAGTCTCTAGGATGTTACAAATTTTCCCTCATCTTCCTTTCTTCTTCTGGGCCCTCCACATTCTTCCAACCTCTGCCTGTTACACAATTCCTAAGCTGCTTCCATGTTTTCAGGTACCTTTATAGCAATGCCACACTTTTCAATACCAATTTTCTGTATCAGCCTGTTCTTGCATTGCTATAACGAAATACATGAGACTGGGTAATTTATGAGAAAAGAGGTTTAATTGGTTTACAGTTCCACAGGCTATATAGAAAGCATGGCAGCATCTGCTTCTGGACAGGCCTCAGGGAGCTTTTATTCATGGTGGAAGGCAAAGCTAGAGCAGGTATCTTCACATGGCCAGAGCAGGAGGAACAGAGAGAGGGAGACAGTGCTATATACTTATAAACAACCAGATCTCGTGAGCACTCACTCACTATATGGTACCAAGGGGGGATGGTGCTAAACCATTCATGAGAACTCTGCCCACCATGATCCAATCACCTCCCATCAGGCTCCACCTCCAACACTAGGGGTTACATTTCTACATGAGATTTGGGCAGGGAGAACATTCAAACTATATTAACACTTGAGTATCTGAAATCATTGTCCTCTGGCCTAGTGTTGCTTTTGAAAAGTCTGATGTCAGTCTGGTATCATTTCCCTTATAAATGACTTGGTCTTTTTCTCTCTGATTGTCCAAAGGTTTTTTTTTTTTTTTCTTCTCCCCTTTAAAATCCAACAATTTTACTAGAACATTTCTCATTGCTGGCCAGCTGGGTTGATTTTCCCATGTAAATGGAGTAACTTTTCCGTATACAGTTTTAAGTCTTCTTTTATTGAACAACACTTTTTGTTGCATTATAGCTTTTTAACATTTATTTTTTTCATTATTTTTCTTGTTAGGTACTCCTATTATACTTATGTTGAATCTTGTTTGCATGTCTTCTATATCTATCACTTTTTCTCAAACCTTTTAAATCTTTCCTTATTAAAAAAATGTTTTTTTTTTCTTCTCCCCTCTTGGTTTTCTTGTAGACTTATTTCTCTTGAAGACTTATTTGCCCATTTAGTTTAATCTTCCACTTCTGAAAGTTTCTCTTTTCATTTCTAATTCTTTAATTCATCATCTTTTTTTTCAGATCTTCCTTTTATCAAATCATCTCATCTGAGTTTTCAAATTCTAAATTTTGCTGTTCTATCTATAATCTCTTAATTTTTAGATGAATAAAAAGTCTGGCATGAGGAAGTAACTGCTTGAGCTAAAGCCAACCCAATTTTCTTAATTTTTAGAGCTCATTTTGAAGTGTTGGGTAATGGTAATAGTTTTTATTTTGTGAGCACATACTCTGGCACACTTTCATTATGTATAGGGATGTCATTCTGCACATTAATTCATCAATTTTTTACTCTTTTAATAATTTTATATGGTATTAAACTGTGGTCCTCTACTATTGCTCATATGATTTGAATTGGGACAGAACTGCTTTCCTAACTTCATGGCTTAAGGGCTTCTTTCTCTGTGGTTTTTGAAATAATGAAAAAGATGAACTCCAACTTGCTGTTCCTCTTCCTACTTTTAAATAGTTTTTCTAATTCCTTTGCCCCAAATTTCTCCCTCTTCTTCAAATTGAGTTCTATTTCCAGCAGAACTCAACTATCTCCTTAGTTGGAGGCTTTCCTGGAAAGGAGCTTTGGCTTATTGGTTTTGAGCATTTATAGAGCTCATACACTGTCAGGAATAATTGAGGGACCCAAGACCCTTTCAAGGTGTCTGAAAAATTAAAACTGTTTTCATTCTAATACTAAGATGTTATGTGCATTTTTCACTCATGAGTGTACAGTGGGAATTTCCAGAGATTATATGATTTGTAATACTATAACATAGATTATTGTATCAGAAGCAGCTATGAGAATCTAGCTGTCTTCTATTAAGTCAGATCTTAAAGAAGCCTGCCTTGGCCTCCCAAAGTGCTGGGATTACAGGCGTGAGCCACCGTGCCCAGCTTAATTTTCTATTCTTAGGAGAGATGGGGCTTTGCCATGTTGGTCAGGCTGGTCTCAAACTCCTGACCTCAGGTGATCCACCTGCCTTGGCCTCTCAAAGTGCTGAGATTACAGGTGTGAGCCACAGCACCTGGACTGAAGATTATTGTTTAAATGTCAAAACTACCCAATGTGATCTACAGATTCACTGAAATCTGTCTCAAAAACCCAGTGTTTTTTTTGTAGAAATAAAAAAGCTCACTCTAAAATTCATATGGAATCTCAAAGGACCTTTAATAGCCAAAACAACATTGAAAAAGAACAGAGCTGGATAACTCACATTTCCTGATTTCAAAATTTACTACAAAGCTATTTTAATCCAAACAGTATGGCACTGGCAAAAAGACAGACATATAAACCAATGAGATAAAATAGAGAGCCCAGAAATAGCTCTTGCATATATGGTCAAATTACTTTTTTTTTTTTTTTTTGAGTTGGAGTCTTGCTCTGTTGCCCAGGCTCGAGTGCAGTGGCCCGATTTTGGCTCACTGCAACCTCTGCCTCCCAGGTTCAAGTGATTCTTGTGCCTCAGTCTCCCAAGTAGCTGGAAATACAGGTGCATGCCACCATATCCAGCTAATTTTTGTATTTTTAGTAGAGATGGGGTTTGGGGTTTGGTTATGTTGGCCAGGCTGGTCTTGAACTCCTGGCCTCAACTGATCCGCCTGCCTCAGCCTCCCAAAGTGCTGGGATTACAGGGGAATGAGCCGCTGTGCCTGGTCACCTTTTCTTTTTCTTTCTTTCTTCTTTTTTTTTTGAGAGGGTCTCCTTAGGTTGTCCAGGCTGGTTTTGAACTCCTGGGCTCCAGCAATCTTCCTGCCTCAGCTTCCCTAGAAGCTGGAATTACATGCACATACCACCACATCTAGTCTCAAATAGCTTTTGATAAGGGTGCCAAGACCTTACAGTCCTTTTCAACAACAAGTAGTGCTGGGAAAACTGGATATCCACATGCAGAATAATGTGGTTGGACCCTTACCTAATGTCATGTAAAAAAATGAACTCCAAATGGATGAAAGACCTAAATGTAAAACCTAAAGCAATAAAACTATTAGGGAAAAAAATGGCAAAATTTCACAACATTGGATTTGGCAGTGATTTCTTGGAAATGGCAACAAAAGAGAAATAGAAAATTAGACTTCATGAAAATTAAAAAATTTTGTGCATCAAAAGACACAGTCAACAGAGTAAAAAAGCAACCCATAGGATGGGAGAAAATATTTGCAAATCATATCTTTAATAAGGATTTAATATCCAGAATATGTAGAGAACTAAAACTCAACAACAAAATACAAACCAACTGAAAAATGAGCAAAGGACTTGAATAGACATTTCTCCAAAGAAGATACATGAAAAGGCAATAGGCACATGAAAAGATGCTCAATATCACTAGTCATTAGGGGAATGCAAATCAAAACTACAATGAGAAACCACTTCATATCCATGAGGAAGGCTATTATCAAAAATACCCAGAAAATAACAAGTGTTGGCAAGGATGTGGAGAAACTGAAACCCTAGTGCACTGTTGGTGGGAATATACAATGGTACAACCACTGTGGAAAACAGTGTAGTGGTTCCTCAAAAATTTAAACACAGGATTACCACATGATCCAGCAATTCCACTTATGGCTGTGTACCCAAAGGAATTAAAAGTAGAGTCTTGAAGAGATATTTGTATGCTGCTGTTCACAGCAGCATAATTCACAATAGCTCAAACATAAGCAACCCAAGTGTCTATTGAAAGATGAATGGATAAGCAAAATGTGGTATATACATACAATGGAATGTTATTCCACTTTAAAGGGGAAGGAAACTGCATTATACTACAACGGGGATGGATCCTGAAGACATTTTGCTAAGTGAAATAAACCAGTCACAAAAGACAAATACTGTATTATTCCACTTATATAAAGTATTTAGAGTAGTTAAAATGAGAGACACAAAAAGAATGGTGTCACCAGGGGCTGGCATGTTGGAGGATGGGGGAGTTCTTGTTTAATAGGTACAGCATTTCAGTTTTACAAAATGATGAGTTAAATAGATGGATAGTGGTAATGGCTGTACAACATTTATGAATGTATTTAATAACACTGGACTATATACTCAAACATGAATAAAATGATAAATTTTATTATATATATTTTACTACAGTAAAAAAATTGAAAAATACATGAACAAGCACTAGAGAAAAGAAACAAAAATGGCTCAAAACATATAACAAGGTAACATATTTGAGGTACTATCTCATACCAACTGAGTCTGGCAAAAATCAAAAAGTCAGTCAATACTAAGTGTTGACAAGGATGCAGAGCAGTGGGAACTCTCATTTACTGCTGTTGGGAATGTGAACTGGTACAATCATTTTGAGAAATAATTTGTCATTACCTAGGAAACTGAAATTGTATATACCCTAAAGTTCACAAATTTTACCCTTAGCTACATAGCCTACAGAAACTCTTGCACATGTATACCCAGAGACATGTGAAAATATGAACAACCCAAATGTCCATCACAAGTAAAAGAGGTAATTTGTGGAATATCCACACAATGGAATGCCATACAGCAGTGAATACAAATAAGCTACAGCTCACACATCAATATGGATAAATGTGAATAGAACGTTGAAAAGAAAAGGCAAGTCACAGGAGAATACACACAGCATTGTTCAATTTATGTAAAGTTTATAAACAGGCAAAATCAAGAAATATGTTGTTTAAGATAGAATTATAAAGAAATACACACAAGTTATAGTGGAAGAATTAAGGAACAGCAGGGAATTTTGTCTTCTGTATTAGTTTACTACGGGCTCCATAACAAAGTACCACAGACTAGGTGGCTTGAACAAGAGAACTGGAAGCTAGAAGTCTGAGATCAATGTGTCACCAGGGTTGGTTCCTTCTGAGGCCTCACTCCTTGGCTTGTAGATGACAATTTTCTCTCTATGTCTCCACATAGTCTTACCTTTGTCCATGTTTGTGTCTCAATCTCCTCTCCTCTTTTTTTTTTTTTTTACTTTTTTTTTTTGAGATAGGGTCTCCCTCTGTCACCCAGGCTGGAGTGCAGTGGCACAATCTCTGCTTACTGCAACCTCCACCTCCCGGGCTCAAGTGATCTTCCCACTTCAGCCTCCCAAGTAGCTAGGACCACAGGCATGAGCCACCATGTCCGGCAATTTTTTTTTTTTTGTAGAGACAGAGTTTCGCCATGTTGCCCAGGCTGGTCTTGAACTCCTGGCCTCCAGTTATCTGCAGGCTTTGGTTTCCCAACATAGTGGGATTACAGGCATGAGCCACTGGGTCTGGCCTCAATCTCCTCGTCTTATAAGAACATCAGTCAGATTAGAATTGGGACCACCTCAATGATTTCATTTCACTTTAATTACCTCTTTAAAGACCCTACCTCCAAAGACAATCACATTTTGAGTTACTGGGGTTAGGACTTCAACAGATGAATTTTATGGGGGATACATTCAGTCCATAACACCTCCCCATCTCTTTGGGCTGTGTGGTAGTTAGGTAGATAAATTTAATTATATTTAACAAAAATTAATTAGCATATATTCTGTTCCCAGGAAAAAGAGCTGAGTTTTGAAGGACATGTTGAGTATTAATCATCCAGCATTGTATATAAGGAATGAAAGTGTGGACTGAAGGAGGTATCTAGATGGTAGGCAATGCCAAACTAATTAGGGTGACAACAGAGGTACAGAAAATGTCATGGACAAGCGCTGCTGTAGGTATGGATGTGCACTATACTTGTGTCTTAGTCTGCCTGTGCTGCTATAACAGAATATCTGAGACTGGGTAGCTTATAAACAACAGAAATTCATTTCTCACAGTTCTGGAGGGTGTGAAGGCCAAGATCCAAGATGCCAGCATTTAATGAAGTTTGCTAGCTGCTTCCAAAATGGTGCCTTGAATGCGGCATCCTCCAGAGGGGAGGAATGCTGTGTCGTTACATGACAGAAGATGGAAGGATGAAAAAGGACCACACTTTCTCTGTCAAGTCCTTTTATAATAGCATTAATCAATGTATGAGGCTACAGAACCCATGAACTAAACACCTCCCGAAAGGCCACACCTCCTTAACACTACAAATTTTGGGGTACATATTCAGATTGTAACATTCCACCTCTGACCCCCCCAAATTTATGTCTTTCTTACATGTAAAATACATTCATTCCATCCCATTGCCCCTAGAGTCTTAATTTGTTCCAGTAACAATTCAAAGCTAAAGTACAGGGTCCCATCTAAATCAGATATGGATGAGACTCAAAGTAAGAGTCATCCTGGGGCAAACTGCTCTCCAGCTGTGAGCCTGTGAAATCAAACAAATTATATACTTCCAAAATACAATGGTGGAACAGCCATAGGACAGACATTCCCATTCCAAAAGGGAGCAATAGAAAAGAAGGAAGGAGTAAGAGCTCCCAGGTAAGTCCAAAACCAACAGGAGAAACATTAAATCTTTTTTTTTTATTTCAATTTTTTTTGAGACAGTGTCTTGCCCTGTCACCCAGGCTGGAGAGCAGTGTGTATGATCATAGCTTGCTGCAACCATGAACTTCTGGGCTCAAGCAATCTTCCTGCCTTAGCCTCTCCTGTAGCTAGGACTACACGTCTGTCCCATTCTGCCGAGCTATTTTTTTTTTTCATTTTTGTAGACATGGGGTCTCACTATGTTGCCCAGGCTGGTTTCAAACTCCTGCCTCAAGCACTCCTCCCTCCTGGGCTTCCCAGTGGATTGGGATTACAGGCACAAGCCACTGTGCCCAGCCCAACATTAAATCTTGAAGCATGAGAATAATCTTTGACTCCATGTCCCACCTTCCAGGTACACTGGGATGGAGGTTAGGTCCCCGTGGCCTCGGGCAGGCCCACCCACATGGCTTTGCTGGGTACAGCCCATGCTTCAGCTCCCATGCACTGAAATAGTCTGCCCGCAGCTTTCCCAGACTGGCACTGTATGCTGGTGCTTATACACTTCTGGGGTTTCTGGAGCAGCCCCACTCCTATGACTCCACTAGGCACTGCCCTAGTGGGGGCTCTCTGCAGAGACTTTGTCCTTGCAGCAGTTCTCTGCCTGGGCCCACTGAGGCATTCTTTGAAATCTAGGTGAAGGAAGCCAGCCTCCACTGCTCTTGTACTCTGCACACCTGCAGAATTAAGCACCACATGGATGTGCCAAGGCTCACTGCTTGCACCCTCCAGAGTAGTGGCCCTACCTGGACCTGGGCCTGCTTGAATCAGAGCTGGGGTAGCCAAGGAGCACTGTGCCAGAGTGCAGGGTGCAGAGACCCAAGGTGGCCCTCAGCAGTGAGCAAACAGGTCCCATGGGCACCCTGGGCCCCTCCTCAAAATTCATCTGTCCCCAAGACCCTAGCACTCTGGCCTTTTGATGGGCATGGTTGCCCCCTCCCCTTGTACCAAGATGTCCATAATATCTTTGGGGTCATTCTCCCATTGTCTTGATAAATAGCACATAGCTTTCTCATATCCATACTAATCTTATCAAATGGTGGCCTGGCCACACCGTGTGCTATCTTCTAAACACACTTTTTCTTTTTTTTTTTGAGGTGAAGTCTCGTTCTGTTGTGCAGGCTGGAGTGCAGTGACGCAATCTCCGTTCACTGCAACTTCCACCTCCTGGGTTCAAGTGATTCTCATGCCTCAGCCTCCCGAGTAGCTGGGATTACAGGTGCTTGCCACAATGTCTGGCTAATTTTTTTTTGTAGTTTTAGTAGAGATGGGGTTTCACCATGTTGGCCAGGTTGGTCTCGAACTCCTGACCTCAAGTGATCTACCCACCTCGGCCTCCCAAAGTGCTGGAAATACAGGTGTGAGCCGCCGTGCCCGGCCCTAAACATCCTTTTTTTTTTTTTTTTTGAGATGGAGGCTCACTCTGTCACTCAGGCTGGAGTGCAGTGGCGCCAACCCAGCTCACTGCAACCTCTGCCTCCCAGGTTCAAGTGATTCTCCTACCTCAGGCTACCAAGTAGCTGGGATTACAGGCGCCTGCTACCACACCCGGCTAACTTTGGTATTTTTAGTAGAGATGGTGTTTCACCATGTTGGCCAGTCTGGTCTCAAACTCCTGACCTCAAGTGATCCACCCGCCTCAGCCTCCCAAAATGCTGGGATTATAGGCATGAGCCATCACAACCGGCCTACATACTTTTTTATTCTTTACATGGCTGGACTGAAAATTGTCCAAATCTTTTTCATTCTTTACATGGCTGGACCAAGAAATGTCCAAATCTTTATGTTCTGCTTCCCTTTGAATTATAAATTGTCTTTAAATCATTTCTCTTCTCCCATTTTAACATGTTAACATAAGCAGTTAAGAGAAACCACACAGGGGAGGAGCCAAGATGGCCGAATAGGAACAGCTCCGGTCTACAGCTCCCAGCGTGAGCGACGCAGAAGACGGGTGATTTCTGCATTTCCATCTGAGGTACCGGGTTCATCTCACTAGGGAGTGCCAGACAGTGTGCGCAGGCCAGTGTGTGTGCGCACCGTGCGCGAGCCGAAGCAGGGCGAGGCATTGCCTCACCTGGGAAGCGCAAGGGGTCAGGGAGTTCCCTTTCCGAGTCAAAGAAAGGGGTGACGGACGCACCTGGAAAATCGGGTCACTCCCACCCGAATATTGCGCTTTTCAGACCGGCTTAAGAAACGGCGCACCACGAGACTATATCCCACACCTGGCTCAGAGGGTCCTACGCCCACGGAATCGCGCTGATTGCTAGCACAGCAGTCTGAGATCAAACTGCAAGGCGGCAACGAGGCTGGGGGAGGGGCGCCCGCCATTGCCCAGGCTTGCTTAGGTAAACAAAGCAGCCGGGAAGCTCGAACTGGGTGGAGCCCACCACAGCTCAAGGAGGCCTGCCTGCCTCTGTAGGCTCCACCTCTGGGGGCAGGGCACAGACAAACAAAAAGACAGCAGTAACCTCTGCAGACTTAAGTGTCCCTGTCTGACAGCTTTGAAGAGAGCAGTGGTTCTCCCAGCACGCAGCTGGAGATCTGAGAACGGGCAGACTGACTCCTCAAGTGGGTCCCTGACCCCTGACCCCCGAGCAGCCTAACTGGGAGGCACCCCCCAGCAGGGGCACACTGACACCTCACACAGCAGGGTATTCCAACAGACCTGCAGCTGAGGGTCCTGTCTGTTAGAAGGAAAACTAACAACCAGAAAGGACATCTACACCGAAAACCCATCTGTACATCACCATCATCAAAGACCAAAAGTAGATAAAACCACAAAGATGGGGAAAAAACAGAACAGAAAAACTGGAAACTCTAAAACGCAGAGCGCCTCTCCTCCTCCAAAGGAACGCAGTTCCTCACCAGCAACAGAACAAAGCTGGATGGAGAATGATTTTGACGAGCTGAGAGAAGAAGGCTTCAGACGATCAAATTACTCTGAGCTACGGGAGGACATTCAAACCAAAGGCAAAGAAGTTGAAAACTTTGAAAAAAATTTAGAAGAATGTATAACTAGAATAACCAATACAGAGAAGTGCTTAAAGGAGCTGATGGAGCTGAAAACCAAGGCTCGAGAACTACGTGAAGAATGCAGAAGCCTCAGGAGCCGATGCGATCAACTGGAAGAAAGGGTATCAGCAATGGAAGATGAAATGAATGAAATGAAGCGAGAAGGGAAGTTTAGAGAAAAAAGAATAAAAAGAAATGAGCAAAGCCTCCAAGAAATATGGGACTATGTGAAAAGACCAAATCTACGTCTGATTGGTGTACCTGAAAGTGATGTGGAGAATGGAACCAAGTTGGAAAACACTCTGCAGGATATTATCCAGGAGAACTTCCCCAATCTAGCAAGGCAGGCCAACGTTCAGATTCAGGAAATACAGAGAACGCCACAAAGATACTCCTCGAGAAGAGCAACTCCAAGACACATAATTGTCAGATTCACCAAAGTTGAAATGAAGGAAAAAATGTTAAGGGCAGCCAGAGAGAAAGGTCGGGTTACCCTCAAAGGAAAGCCCATCAGACTAACAGCGGATCTCTCGGCAGAAACCCTACAAGCCAGAAGAGAGTGGGGGCCAATATTCAACATTCTTAAAGAAAAGAATTTTCAACCCAGAATTTCATATCCAGCCAAACTAAGCTTCATAAGTGAAGGAGAAATAAAATACTTTATAGACAAGCAAATGCTGAGAGATTTTGTCACCACCAGGCCTGCCCTAAAAGAGCTCCTGAAGGAAGTGCTAAACATGGAAAGGAACAACCGGTACCAGCCGCTGCAAAATCATGCCAAAATGTAAAGACCATCGAGACTAGGAAGAAACTGCATCAACTAATGAGCAAAATCACCAGCTAACATCATAATGACAGGATCAAATTCACACATAACAATATTAACTTTAAATATAAATGGACTAAATTCTGCAATTAAAAGACACAGACTGGCAAGTTAGATAAAGAGTCAAGACCCATCAGTGTGCTGTATTCAGGAAACCCATCTCACGTGCAGAGACACACATAGGCTCAAAATAAAAGGATGGAGGAAGATCTACCAAGCCAATGGAAAACAAAAAAAGGCAGGGGTTGCAATCCTAGTCTCTGATAAAACAGACTTTAAACCAACAAAGATCAAAAGAGACAAAGAAGGCCATTACATAATGGTAAAGGGATCAATTCAACAAGAGGAGCTAACTATCCTAAATATTTATGCACCCAATACAGGAACACCCAGATTCATAAAGCAAGTCCTGAGTGACCTACAAAGAGACTTAGACTCCCACACATTAATAATGGGAGACTTTAACACCCCACTGTCAACATTAGACAGATCAACGAGACAGAAAGTCAACAAGGATACCCAGGAATTGAACTCAGCTCTGCACCAAGCAGACCTAATAGACATCTACAGAACTCTCCACCCCAAATCAACAGAATATACATTTTTTTCAGCACCACACCACACCTATTCCAAAATTGACCACATAGTTGGAAGTAAAGCTCTCCTCAGCAAATGTAAAAGAACAGAAATTATAACAAACTATCTCTCAGACCACAGTGCAATCAAACTAGAACTCAGGATTAAGAATCTCACTCAAAGCCGCTCAACTACATGGAAACTGAACAACCTGCTCCTGAATGACTACTGGGTACATAACGAAATGAAGGCAGAAATAAAGATGTTCTTTGAAACCAACGAGAACAAAGACACCACATACCAGAATCTCTGGGACGCATTCAAAGCAGTGTGTAGAGGGAAATTTATAGCACTAAATGCCTACAAGAGAAAGCAGGAAAGATCCAAAATTGACACCCTAACATCACAATTAAAAGAACTAGAAAAGCAAGAGCAAACACATTCAAAAGCTAGCAGAAGGCAAGAAATAACTAAAATCAGAGCAGAACTGAAGGAAATAGAGACACAAAAACCCTTCAAAAAATCAATGAATCCAGGAGCTGGTTTTTTGAAAGGATCAACAAAATTGATAGACCGCTAGCAAGACTAATAAAGAAAAAAAGAGAGAAGAATCAAATAGACACAATAAAAAATGATAAAGGGGATATCACCACCGATCCCACAGAAATACAAACTACCATCAGAGAATACTACAAACACCTCTACGCAAATAAACTAGAAAATCTAGAAGAAATGGATACATTCCTCGACACATACACTCTCCCAAGACTAAACCAGGAAGAAGTTGAATCTCTGAATAGACCAATAACAGGAGCTGAAATTGTGGCAATAATCAATAGTTTACCAACCAAAAAGAGTCCGGGACCAGATGGATTCACAGCCGAATTCTACCAGAGGTACAAGGAGGAACTGGTACCATTCCTTCTGAAACTATTCCAATCAATAGAAAAAGAGGGAATCCTCCCTAACTCATTTTATGAGGCCAGCATCATTCTGATACCAAAGCCGGGCAGAGACACAACCAAAAAAGAGAATTTTAGACCAATATCCTTGATGAACATTGATGCAAAAATCCTCAATAAAATACTGGCAAACCGAATCCAGCAGCACATCAAAAAGCTTATCCACCATGATCAAGTGGGCTTCATCCCTGGGATGCAAGGCTGGTTCAATATACGCAAATCAATAAATGTAATCCAGCATATAAACAGAGCCAAAGACAAAAACCACATGATTATCTCAATAGATGCAGAAAAAGCCTTTGACAAAATTCAACAACCCTTCATGCTAAAAACTCTCAATAAATTAGGCATTGATGGGACGTATTTCAAAATAATAAGAGCTATCTATGACAAACCCACAGCCAATATCATACTGAATGGGCAATAACTGGAAGCATTCCCTTTGAAAACTGGCACAAGACAGGGATGCCCTCTCTGACCGCTCCTATTCAACATAGTGTTGGAAGTTCTGGCCAGGGCAATCAGGCAGGAGAAGGAAATAAAGGGTATTCAATTAGGAAAAGAGGAAGTCAAATTGTCCCTGTTTGCAGACGACATGATTGTTTATCTAGAAAACCCCATCGTCTCAGCCCAAAATCTCCTTAAGCTGATAAGCAACTTCAGCAAAGTCTCAGGATACAAAATCAATGTACAAAAATCACAAGCATTCTTATACACCAACAACAGACAAACAGAGAGCCAAATCATGAGTGAACTCCCATTCACAATTGCTTCAAAGAGAATAAAATACCTAGGAATCCAACTTACAAGGGATGTGAAGGACCTCTTCAAGGAGAACTACAAACCACTGCTCAAGGAAATAAAAGAGGACACAAACAAATGGAAGAACATTCCATGCTCATGGGTAGGAAGAATCAATATCGTGAAAATGGCCATACTGCCCAAGGTAATTTACAGATTCAATGCCATCCCCATCAAGCTACCAATGACTTTCTTCACAGAATTGGAAAAAACTACTTTAAAGTTCATATGGAACCAAAAAAGAGCCTGCATCGCCAAGTCAATCCTAAGACAAAAGAACAAAGCTGGAGGCATCACACTACCTGACTTCAAACTATACTACAAGGCTACAGTAACCAAAACAGCATGGTACTGGTACCAAAACAGAGATATAGATCAATGGAACAGACCAGAGCCCTCAGAAATAATGCCGCATATCTACAACTATCTGATCTTTGACAAACCTGACAAAAACAAGCAATGGGGAAAGGATTCCCTATTTAATAAATGGTGCTGGGAAAACTGGCTAGCCATATGTAGAAAGCTGAAACTGGATCCCTTCCTTACACCTTATACAAAAATCAATTCAAGATGGATTAAAGATTTAAACGTTAGACCTAAAACCATAAAAACCCTAGAAGAAAACCTAGGCATTACCATTCAGGACATAGGCGTGGGCAAGGACTTCATGTCCAAAACACCAAAAGCAATGGCAACAAAAGCCAAAATTGACAAATGGGATCTAATTAAACTAAGGAGCTTCTGCACAGCAAAAGAAACTACCATCAGAGTGAACAGGCAACCTACAACATGGGAGAAAATTTTCGCAACCTACTCATCTGACAAAGGGCTAATATCCAGAATCTACAATGAACTCAAACAAATTTACAAGAAAAAAACAAACAACCCCATCAAAAAGTGGGCGAAGGACATGAACAGACACTTCTCAAAAGAAGACATTTATGCAGCCAAAAAACACATGAAGAAATGCTCATCATCACTGGCCATCAGAGAAATGCAAATCAAAACCACTATGAGATATCATCTCACACCAGTTAGAATGGCAATCATTAAAAAGTCAGGAAACAACAGGTGCTGGAGAGGATGTGGAGAAATAGGAACACTTTTACACTGTTGGTGGGACTGTAAACTAGTTCAACCATTGTGGAAGTCAGTGTGGCGATTCCTCAGGCATCTAGAACTAGAAATACCATTTGACCCAGCCATCCCATTACTGGGTATATACCCAAAGGACTATAAATCATGCTGCTATAAAGACACATGCACACGTATGTTTATTGCGGCACTATTCACAATAGCAAAGACTTGGAACCAACCCAAATGTCCAACAATGATAGACTGGATTAAGAAAATGTGGCACATATACACCATGGAATACTATGCAGCCATAAAAAATGATGAGTTCATGTCCTTTGTAGGGACATGGATGAAATTGGAAACCATCATTCTCAGTAAACTATCGCAAGAACAAAAAACCAAACACCGCATATTCTCACTCATAGGTGGGAATTAAACAATGAGATCACATGGACACAGGAAGGGGAATATCACACTCTGGGGACTGTGGTGGGGTCGGGGGAGGGGTGAGGGATAGCATTGGGAGATATACCTAATGCTAGATGACACGTTAGTGGGTGCAGCGCACCAGCATGGCACATGTATACATATGTAACTAACCTGCACAATGTGAACATGTACCCTAAAACTTAGAGTATAATAAAAAAAAAAAAAAAAAAGACAACACAATTCAAAAAAAAAAAAAAAAAAGAGAAACCACACAGCATCCTGCACACTTTCCTGCTTAGAAATTTCTTCTGCCAAATATTCTGGTTCATCGCTAAGTTCTGCCCCTTACAAAGTCCTAGAACATGGACATGGACATAATTCAGCCACGTTCTTTGCCACTTTGTAACAAAGATGGCCTTTTCCCCAGTTTCCAATGATAGTCCTCATTTCTGTCTATGACCTAATCGGAATGGTCTTTACTGTCCAAGTTTTTATCAGCATTCTGTTCAAAACCACTTACGTAGTTTCTCAGAAGAATGAGTGATAATTTCCTTACAGCTCTCCTCTTCTTCTGAGCCCTCACCAGAATCACTCTTAATGCTCCACTCGTGGCAATACAAGCTTTTTCCTGCTTTCATTTCACAACTCTTCTAGCCTCAACCCATTACCCAGTTCCAAAGCCGCTTCCACATTTTTAGGTATGTTTTAGCAACACCCCACTCCCCTGGTACCAATCGCTGTCTTAGTCCATTTTGTGCTGCTATAACAGAATAGCACAGGCTGGGCAACTTAAACAACAGACATTGATTCTCACAGTTCTGGAGGCTGGATAGGCCAAGATTAAGGCACTGCCATCTGGTGAGGGCTGCTCTCTGCTTCCAAGATGGTGCCTTACATGCTGCATCATCTGGAGGGGAGCATGCTGTGTCCTCACATGACAGAAAGTGGAAGGGCAAAAAAAGAATTCCCTCCATCAGGTCTTTTACTAATAATATTAGTTCATTCATGAGGGTGGAGCTCTGACGACCTAAACACCTCCTAAAAGGCTGCACCTTCCTACTCTATTGCATTGGGAATTAAGTTTCCAACACATGAATTTTGAGGGATAGGCAACGTGACTCCTAGAGGGATGAATGACTGAATAAATAATTCCTGTGTGTCCCCAGAATTAGCAGAGGGCCAAGCAGAATAGGCACAGACGTGTTGCTAAAAGAATGTTTCATATTTGTCACTTACAGTTGTATTGGAACTCTACTGTAAGCATACAGGATAGTCTTAGAAAATAATTGATCACCTAATCTAAACTTACCAAAATTAATTCAGGAAATGTCACCTACTTGTCCTGGAAATACTGAGTTTGATTTTAGGTTGAACCACATAAAATGGCCAGTACTTGATCATTTTTTTACCAAAAAAAAAATGGCCACTCCCTATGGTTCAGCCTAAATCAAGAGCCTGAGTAGTTTGTTTTCTTTTCTTTTCTTTCTTTCTTTTTTTTTTTTTCTGGAGATGGAGTCTCGCTTTGTTGCCCAGGCTGGAGTGCAGTGGTGTGCTCTCGGCTCACTGCAACCTCCGCCTCCCAGGTTCAAGCGATTCTCCTGTCTCAGCCTTCCAAGTAGCTGGGAATACAGGTGCCCACCACGCCTGGCTGATTTTTGTATTTTTAGTACAGACAGGGTTTCACCATATTGGCCCAGCTGGTCTTAAACTCCTGACCTTGTGATCTGCCTGGCTTGGCCTCCCAAAGTGCTGAGATTATAGCCACCGTGCCCAGTCTGTTTTCATTTTTAAAAGGAGAAAAAAAAATGATAAAGCAACTCATTAAATCAAAACCAGAGGCTACTGTCAGACCACTTTCTAGAGATCGGGTAAGCAGGAGCCCATCCTCAAAATGTAATTTTTCTCTAAAATAGGCAATCTCAAGAGTAAAATATCTTTTCATTTTAATCAAGAAAGCCGAGAGGTAAGGGCTTAGCAGGCTTCTCTTACTGTACAAGTTTCAGTGGATGTATGAAACTTTTATTTTCGTTGCAAAAGGTTTTATGACATTTAAGTCTTATTGGGACATTATTTTTAGTGACTGAAGGGCTTTGAACAAAGGCTTGTCAAGCTCCAATACTGAATGGTTCCATTGTGATTATTTATAAATCAGTTTTATTGTCAGTGTTGAGGTAATCAGAGATTAGCTCATGCCTAAAAGCATAACTAAAAAAATAATGACCCACTGAGAAACAGGATTTTGTTGAATTTTTCTCCTGCTACTTTATCTATAAACAATTTGCAGCCATCTAGCATTGAGAAAAGCTCTCTTAGGTAACATGCTAATCTTGTGCCATTCATAAAAAGCATCAAAGAGAACATTGTTCTTGATTTACCTGCACTGAAAATATATTAATGCTTGCTAATTTGGAATAATAATAAAGATCCTATGAGTAAGCTGTCATTTTTAAATTGACCCCCCAAATTACATGGGGCTGTCAGATGTCAAGAACTTGGGGCTTGCATTCTATCTACATTACACTGTCCCTGGATATTTTTTCGGACATGTGGAGACTAGCCTGAAATAGCACCCAATCATATCAGCAAGCATTCTCCATTTAAGAGAAAATAGAGACACTTTACCTCTGTTGAATTATGATATATGGTGGTTTTCATGGAATCCAGAACGATGAAGCAAGTACTTTTTCTCAGATAAGACTGGCAAGCTGGATGAAGATATGACTAAGTAACTCAGCACAGATTTTCTGAGTTACATAAATAAATGAAGCGAGCTCTACCACCAGCAGCAATTTGTCTCAAAGGGCATTAGTAAGCTCTCTGAAGTAAGAAAAGGCAACAGTGGCAAGAAATCATGTACTTCCTCTAAGTGTGATATACTAGAGAACATCATAGGATAATAATAGAGCTGGTTCAGCCTTTTCCAGGACAGATGTGTGATATTTTCACTAAGTTATGGACAGCACAGTGTTCTCTTAATGCCATCATAAAATTTAGTGCTAAAGGGACCTCAAGGTCCCTGAGAAGGCACTTTGACGGGCAGCTTTGCCAGGTTAAGAGTCCTATAGGCAGGTAACATGAGCAGAGAGGAGGGCACAGCACGGGGTCCATTGGACTCCACATCTCACGTCACACAGTTATGATTAAGACTTCTGAGGCCAGGTGCGGTGGCTCACACCTGTAATCCCAGCACTCTGGGAGGCCGAGGTGGGAGGATCACTTGAGCTCAGGAGTTCAAGACAAGCCTGGGTAACATGGTGAAACCCTATCTCTACAAAAAATACCAAAAAAACAAAAAAACAAAAAATTAGCCAGATGTGATTGCATGTGCCTGTAGTCCCAGCTACTCAGGAAGCTGAGGTGGGAGGATGGCTTCAGGCTGGGAGCGGAGGTTGCAGTCAGCCAAGATCATGCCACTGCATTCCAGCTTGGGCTACGGAGCGAGACCCCCGTCTCAAAAAAATATATATAAATAAATGAAATAAAAAAGACTTCTGTCAAGATAATTCAGTGAGGTAATGGATACGGCTGGCCCATGGTAAGTTCTTAATATGTGTGTGCCCTTAACCTTCCTATTTCTGTTGAACTGAATTTTTCAACCTTATCACTTCTCCCAATATGTGAGATTTCTGTCCTCTGGGCTACAAAGAACTCCTCATCCAAATATGGGAAGTTAGGAATCTTGTCAGCTTGGAGATTTTCCCCAGCTATTCCTCTTAGAACTCACCTATCCCAACCCCCCAGTGTTTGGTCATGCTGAACTGATGGAAGGAGTCTGCACTAACTAGAGCTTGGCTCACTGAATCAGCCGACAACTCAATCTGCCTATTAGGATAATCTAAGACAAAACCTTGTCTTTATCATCAGATGTCCTAGAGCATCAAGGTAAAGAAGTACAGGACTAGGATTATGGGTTGCTCTTTTTATTTTTATTCAAATAAATACAATACTTATGTATAGCCTGATTAATTTCCCTTGTCATATCTCTTTTTTCAGGTTTCAGGCTTAGATTTTTAGTTGTGCCATGCTATGGTCACATCATAACTGTTCTCTAAGTTGAAACAAGTATTTCAACAGGCAAATAGCAAACTCGCCAAAAGACCTGTGGGTCACTTGCCCAAATGAGGCCTACTGAGATGAGAACAAACATCTTTTTTTGGTAAAAACTCTATTTTTATAGTGTATCTTTGGATATAATGCAATTGTTTCTTCCCCTTCTTTCCCAGGCCAGGCACTTGAAAATAAGACATTTCAGGGATGGGCAACCCACTCCATTAACATCCACTGGACTCAATTTCCCAAGAAAATTAAAACAGTGTGAAAGAACACTGCATTTAGCATTTGGCATTTCAGTTAATGAGACTGATAATGACTGAAATATTTTTGATGTGCTAGAAGTCAATTCAGAAATGTAGGACTGGAGAAATTTCATTTGTTCTAAATGAGTCTTGCTTCCCCTGAAATTCCGTCTTTAAGCAGTAACTTCTTTAGTTCGAAATTAGTCTGATTAATATCACCTTTATTGGGAAGAACTATTATCCTCTCTGTGGCTTGGCCTCTGGTATCTACGTATATTAATTTAAATAAAAGTATGGCTTCAACTGATAATTGATGGTTCAGCTTACAAGGAACTAGTTTAGGCAGTCACCCTTCTTACATGAAGCCAGTTAGGGCTAATGCAACCTGTATGGTCAACTTCAGTTTAAAAATCTTAATTCTCATTGTAAGAAAGCAGCCAAATATAAAGCCTTGAGGCAAGTGGGTCTATGGAGTGGCAGATTTGGGAGTGTGGGGCCAGGGCCACGCTGCTCATGCTAATACACCATCAGTACAAACAGTGGCCCAGTTTTGACTTCCTCCAGCTCCAAGAGTCACCTCTGCAGAGTGGCTGTGGCATCTGAGAGAGCAGGGCTGGCACAGAGCCCCTGCCCTGCACGAATATCCCTGTGGAGTCCCCGGGAGGACAGAGGCAAGCCCTGCTTCTTAGCAACTTTCCACACTTCCTGCCTCTGATCCCACTTCCTCTGTAAAGATGCTATTTGGCTCAGCAGCAACCCAAGGGAGTGGGAATAAGGCTTGGTGTGTTGAGAACTGCTCCTGCCTCCTTTTGACAGCCAAGGCTGGCAAGGTTGTTTGGAAATCTGACAAAGAGCAAGTCTACTTTCTACAAGCAAAAAATCCCAACCACTTCACAGTCACTCCATTAAAGTAAAACTAAATCTCTCTGAAAAATAATATGCTTTGAAACCCTCTGTTACATTTATAAAAAGAAAAGGAAAAACAAAAAATTTCAAAGTTAAAAAAGAAACCTTTAAAAATATTGTAGCAATAGCCTTCTTCGTAACAAATATAAAACAGCTTAAGACACTTGGTGACTTTCTTAGTTCATCTGTGGGGGAATGGATACACAATGAGGTTTTACTACTAAAGTTAGCTATTTGGTAAAAACTCTAGGAAGAGTTCCATCAAGAAAATGGTTATTTTGGAAAGACAAGTTATGATTATTTCCAAAATGTCAAAAGAAATAAGAATGTAAACACCATATACTTAAAATGTTAATACAATAATATTAACTCAGTCAAATAAATAAAAGAAAGTGGCACCAAATTTATGGCAATTTTTCAAAACAAAAATGTAGCTTAAATATATTTTAAAATAAATAATTGGTTCAAATACGGACGACCATTCTCAGCACAAACTAACAACATTCAAAATAAAGTGCTATGAGAAAAAGTAGCCCCACAATCTTCAACTTATTCACATATGAACAGAGATACTATCTGGATCTTTAGGTCTGAAATATTCACCACGAGTGAAAGCTAGAGGCCAGGCTTAGGGCCATCTTTTGTCATTTTTCTTTTTTCTTCCAGCGTGTGCTTAAATATTTTCTTCAGGGTGTTGTAAACTGTTGGTCCATTTTCAGAATCAAAATTAACCTGGTGACAAAGAAATTTATATTCAGGACACTGTAACAAGAATTTGAACTAGTTTCTATTTTGAGAGAAGGAGGGGGTGGAGAAAAAAAACAGACTTACAAACAAAACTCTATATAAAATACACATAATAAATTTCACACATTTTATTTGAAAGACTATTAGAACTGCCAACCATGTCAATATCAAACTTATGAATGAAAACCCCAAAATTAAATCTAGTGCCTGGATATTTAGTCTAATTATATACACCCAGTCATGAAGCAAGTCAACAGTGGGTGTGAAGTGAATTTTTTGAGACTAATCATTGATGGTATAAGAGAAAAGTTTCCCATATTAAAACAGCACATCAGCTGTATACGTCCTGCTGAGAGGCCCTACGGCCACTCTGGACAGGGTCAGAGTGACCTGAATAGAAGCCCAGCTCCCCACCTGCCAGCTACATGTCCTCATCTCATACCCAACCTCTCTGGACCTTGATCTCCTCCTTTGTAAAACAGAGATAATGATACCCACCTTCATAGGATAGCGTATCTATGAGTCTAACATGTTTGGCACATATATACAAACCTCAACTGGCTGGGTGTGGTGGCTCATGCCTGTAATCCCAGCACTTTAGGAGGCCGAGGTGGGAGAGTTGCTTGAGCCCAGGAGGTTGAGACCAGCCTGGGCAACATGGCAAAACCTCATCTCTACAAAAAATTAAAAATTTAGCCAGGCATGGTGGCACATGCCTGTAGTCCCAGCTACTTGGGAGGCTGAGGTGGGAGGATTGCCGGAGCCCAGGAGGCAGAGGATGCAGTGAGCTGAGATTGTGCCACTGCACTCCAGACTGGGTGACAGAGTGAGACCTTGTCTCAAAAAACAAACAAACAAACAAACAAACAAACAAACCCCACCTTGATAAAGTAAATTTCCTTTCCCCTTGATGGGAGCGCACTATTTACACATATTTGCATTTTTCACCCAAGTTTACCATACTCTGGGTTAGCAGTGATGGCAGGACAGAGAACCAGAGCAAGTACCCACCCTCAACCCCATTCCCAGAGTAATGTGTAACTCCCTGGGAAAGAATCAGGGTCACACAATCACTGCTTCTCTGCTTCTGGAATTTCTCCCTCTCTGATAAATTTTGACAAATGAAAGGTTGTTCCCTCTGTCAACAACTGTAAAGGATCTGAGACCTTAACCTGTTAGCTTGCCAGTGTTATGGATACTGGTAGAAGATACGAGATTCCTGGGTCAGAGACAGACAACTTTTATTTCTCACAGCTGCATGTGCTTCATGTTCACATGGGTTCTCCTTGTCTCTCAAGTCTCATGGAGGCAATGCAGAAGGGCCTAGGTGGAGGCTGCACAAGCACGGGGTTTGCCTCATAGCTGAGGAGCCCCAAGCTTAGGAAACTCCAATGTTTCACAAGGGGGCTGCAAGCAAATCTGCCAACCTTTGCCCTGAAGGGAAACATTTTTATTATCCTGGAAGTCAGAACGTGTGCCTTCTGCTCTCCAGGCAGAGCTCTCCAGACATTAGTGAAGAGTTGATCCTCAAAGAGAGTGGTCAGGGCATCTGCTCATCAGACTATGAAGAGACATGAGAGACCCAAGGAAAACTGTCTCCTAACATTTTCTATAGACAGATTTTGAACAACTGTTATCTCTAACTTTTCATTCGTATCCCCTTAAAAGGCCAAAAGAAGTTGTAAAGAATTCCTACTGCTTTCAGAGAGACCAATCGTAAGGATTTTTTTCAGTTAAGCTCAGGAATTTAATTTTATCTATAACTATATTATCTATCCCCTTTGCAAAAAACTCCTTATTAACATTAATAATGGTGTGAATTGTTTACTTTTTTTTTTTTGAGATGGAGTCTTGCTCTGTCGCCCAGGCTGGAGTGCAGTGGTGCAATCTTGGCTCACTGCAAGCTCCGCCTCCCGGGTTCACACCATTCTCCTGCCTCAGCCTCCCGAGTAGCTGGGACTACAGGCGCCTGCCACCATACCCAGTTAATTTTTTTGTATTTCTTTTTAGTAGAGATGGGGTTTCACCATGTTATCCAGGATGGTCTTGATCTCCTGACCTCGTGATCTGCCCACCTTGGCCTCCCAAAGTGCTTGGATTACAGGCTTGAGCCACCATGCCTGGCCACTTTTTTTTTTTTTTTTTTGAGACAGAGTCTCGCTCTGTTGCCAGGCCGGAGTGCAGTGGCGCGATTTCGGCTCACTGCAACCTCCACCTCCCGGGTTCAAGCCATTCTTCCACCTCAGCCTCCTGAGTAGCTGGGACTGCAGGCGCACACCACCATGCCCAGCTAAATTTTTGTACTTTAGTAGAGATGGGGTTTCACCATGTTGGCCAGGATGGTCTCAATCTCCTGATCTCATGATCCACCCATCTCAGCCTCCCAAAGTGCTGGGATCACAGGCGTAAGCCACCACTCCCAGCTCTGTTTACTTTCTTAAACACCAAACCACAACCTTCTTCACATGGTGGGTAGCCTCTCAGTCTATGAAAGTGTAAATACAGATGTAAAGGACCACGCGGTTTGGATTTGAGACTACTGACTCTGGAAACAGTGGAGAACAGATTGAAAAGATGTCAGTGGTTAGTGCCATAGAATCCAGATGAGGAACAAGGAAGGCCTGAAGTAAGAACATCACTCCGGAAAGAGTGGAGGGGAAGGAGACTGGACAAATATTAAAAAGGAAGAATCTTTATAACTTGTTAATGAGTATAAATAATAACTTCTTATCATTAATGTTACCACAGATGTTGTCATTCAAAAGCTGGGTTCTTTGTTTAATGACACTTTCATATCAATGAGAGGTAACAAACAAATTATAGATACTTTCATATCAATGAGAAGTAATAAACAAATTATAGCTGATGGGGTAAGGGGAAACTTTTCTCTCAGTATGAACCTGGCTGCTTCTTCTTTCTTCAGCCAGGAAAAACTGCTGCATCCAAAAGGATGGGCTTTTAGAAAGGAAACCTTTTTTTTAACTCTTTCCTTAGGATTTGCCAACCAGGACTCAGTACTGAATTAGCAATGTGGGATGTTTAATTCTCAATAGATGGCTTCTTACTTACACCCAAGGTAGAACTGACTCGACAAGCAAAGATTCTCTGACTCTGATTAGGCACATGATCTAAAAATATGTATTCAACACTCAGTTGTTTCTCTCTTTCTTTTATATAAAAGCTCTTTGTTCCAACGTTCTCCTTCAAAAAACTCACAATTCAGCTTTTCCTAAGATCATTGTTTGGAAACTTTTTTTTTGGTCAAGACTCTGCAACTACTTAGAAGAAATGTCAAACAGATTTCCATGAAGGGAAAACATACACATACATGTTTTATTTTAGAGGAGGACGGTGACCTCTGGATTCTGATTTACAAAGATGATGCTGATCTGTGGTTCAGAGAGGGGAAAGGAAGAGTATGACCCACCTTAGTGAATGCCTTAATGGCATGGGCAAGGAAAGCTTCCTCCACATCCACGGGAATTGTCTGCAGGTTCACTATGCAGTGCAACACGCAGAGAATAGTCTGGTGCTGTCCCTGTTTTTGTAGAAATCAAAATTTAAAAAATTTTTCAAAAAATGCCTCAATAAATCAATTCAAAACTATCGTAGAGTCAAGAATTGGTTTGTGACCAAGTACTCATAATGTCAAATGCCAAAATATCTAACAAAATATCTAAACATCAACAAATGTTTATTGTTATGTGTTAATATAATTTGAAAAGCTTTCAGGAGATAATATCAAAGCTGGCTAGCTATTGTACAAAGTAAAACTAAATTTGAAGATCAGTGCACTTTTAAACCAAGTGTTTCTCTTGCAGTGAACTGAATAGATTTTCCCATTCTTGTTGTTTCTGGATATGTCAGTAGTCTAGTAGATGGTGACATGTCATAGAGATACATGGACTAATTAACTGGGCACTGAGTGGTCAGGATCTGGGTACCCAGCCACTGCATATGATATGGAGGGAGGCAGGTAGACAAAGAAAAGGACAAGGACAACCCCAGTCCCCCAGGAGCAATGCAGTGCTTAAGTGCTTAGCCTCCAACCTAAGGGGGTAAGATACTTAAAAATGTGTCCACTGACTTGACTCCTGGGGGCTGTTTACCTTAGCAAAGAAGAAATTCCATCACCTTCAGCAATACATATCCAAGATGTAATGTACAGGGACCCATAAATTTCAACTCTGAAAATCTACTCTAAGAGCATAATCTATAATAAAGAAACACCTGCAAGCACAAATTATCATTACAATGACGCCTATGAAAGTAAAAAACCTGAAGCAATATAAATGCCCTAGGTGAATTGCCCGAGGGTGAATTAGGATAAAACAGGCAGCCTTATGTAATAGAAAGCACATGGGCTTTGTGCCAAAGTGGTCTGAGCTTGAATTCTGCTCTGACATGTGGTGCCAACCTTGGGCATGCAACCTCAGCTTTCCTTGTCTGTGAAATGGGCCTCTACCTCTAAGGGGTATTGAGATAAACAGAAGAGAAAATGTAAATTATGTCCTGAAGGGCTTGGCCCAGTCACCTACCAAACATTAATCTGCCTTTTCACCATCTCCTGTTTTAACTCTGTGATTTAATTGCTGAGAAAATATCCTAAGAAAAGGACTTCGGATACAGGAAAAATCACTTCTTAAAAGATATGTATTGCATAACTGTGGTATGTGAGTGTATGTGTGTGTGTGCAGGCACGCACATGTCTGTGTATTGTGTATTGTATCTGTGTGCATGTGTGTGAACACATGTATCTGCATGTCTGCATGTGCATCCGTCCATGTGTCCGTGTGTGTGTGTGTGTGTGTGTGTGTGTGTAGTAACAGCAGAAGATTTTTAGTGAAATTTAGAAACTGAGGAGATGTTTACATGGAGCATAGCAGGTAACTCAAGGCTGGTTATTCAATAACATTGTTTGTTAAAACAAAAACAGGCCTGGCATGGTGGCTCATGCCTGTAATCCCAGCACTTTGGGAGGCCAAGGTGGGTGGATCACATGAGGTTGGGAGTTTGAGACCAGCCTGACCAACATGGAGAAATCCTGTCTCCACTAAAATTACAAAATTAGCCGGGCGTGGTGGCACATGCTGTAATCCCAGCTACTCGGGAGGCTGAGGCAGGAGAATCGCTTGAACCCGGGGGGCAGAGGTTGCAGTGAGCTGAGATCGCGCCATTGCACTCCAGCCTGGGCAACAAGAGCAAAACTATGTCTCAAAAAAAGAAACAAACAAAAACAAAAACAAAAACAAACCCTGTTTTAAACTGAAAATTTAGTATCTCTGTATGGATAAAAATGATAAATTATATAAAAGGATTCATACAATTTCTCCCGTTTCCTAGATCCATTGTCTTCTAATATCTTTTCCTAAAGGTGACCACTATTACCAGTTTCTTATTTCTCCTTCTATATTTTATACATATATACATATTTCCTCTATTTTAAACATATATCTTTTATATATAAAATATAGAAAACATCTATATTTTACAAATAAAAATTATATATACATGTATATATGTGTGACACCTACCCCTTTTTAAAAATACGAATGAGTGCATATCCCAACCTAATTCATAATTTTTCCCATATGCATGCTCACAGCAAATAAGTAGAAACAAACAACCAACAGTGAAACAGTGCTTAATTATGGCACAGTCTCGTGTTACAGCATCATATCCGTTAAGAGTCAATATTTATGAAAAGCTTACATTATTCACAGGAAAATAGCTATGTTATAACTTTAAGCAAAAATGAAATATAAACTTGTATGTTAAAATGATTTTTAACAAGTTAATATACATATTGGTAAGTTTAAAATGTTTGAAAATGTTTGCAGTGCCTCTCCCAGGACTATGGATAGTTCTCGTTTTTATTTTTGTATTTTCTAAGTGTTTACACTGGGTATCAGTTTCTTCTCTTCTCTTGGAAAAACTATTAAATTAGATCTAGATTTGGGATTCTGTGTGAATTCTCTTTTTTTATAATGGATTTTTTTTTTCTGCGTGAAAAACTAAGGGCCTCAGTTACAGTCATTAACTGGTCCTACAGCCACTTTACCTTCTCTAATAAAAAAAGTGCTTCTGCGGCATCTGCTCGCCTGTCAACCAACATGTCCACATCCTCTTTGGTGATTACAGGCTCCTTCAGTTGCTCCACCCAAGACCACATCAAGCTGCATAGGATGAAAGGGTCCCTCTCGCCACATATTCTTTCCCAAGCTCCATCTCGGGAATTAAGCTCTTTCTAAAAAGGAAGAGAAAGAGACAGACAGACAGAGACAGAGACAGGGAGAGGAGAGGGAGGTGCACCATTTGACACTGCATGATTCTTGCGCTGCCCACAAGAGTGAAAGACTCAGGCTCCAGAGTGCAGAACTGGGACCCCTCCCAGCCTCTCCACTTCCAGGCTGGACACTGGACTAAGACACTGAATTCTGTAAGCCCCAGTTTCTCTCTATGAAACTCATCCCCTGCTTCACAAGCTGTTGGGCTGATTGACTGAGATAAGGTCGGTTAAAGCTTATAGCACAGGGAAAGGGCTTAGTTAATCCAAGTTCTCTACTTTATTCAGAAACCACAGAAACAGTTCACAAGAGTCTTCCTTTTCAGCCTTCTGGTGAACAAAACAGAACTATTTTTTTGCAATAAAGTAGATGGTAGATGAGAAAGTAGAAATAAGGGAACATTTATACATTAACCTGGGGTCTAAGGAAAAGGAAAAGCTTTGAGCTTCGAAGTCTGCAAAAATAAAATAAAGGTGCTTGAAAGCTGGTAAATGGGGCATATGTACTTCTTTGAAATATCTTTTTAGCATCCTATGTAGGATTTAACAATAAGCCCCGAGTCCTGAAATTTGACATAGGGAAGATAACTGGAAAGTTTTTCTAATACTCCAAATGCCTAGAGAAAATTTAAGCATGAGATTTTAATACTTTACCTCACAGAGAGCAAGGGAAAAGTGAGATAAGGATTTTCATGAATTTCTGACAGGGTTCAGATTTATGTTTTAGTGAGTCAAATACATTTTAACAAAATAGAAGTTAAGTGTAATAATTGCTACCATTCACTCATTCATTCACCTACCCAATATTTACTACATGCACACAGTGGGACAGAGACTGTAATACATGTCTTATCTCTAACTCTCAAATGGCACCCAGCAGGGAGCTTCCTCACCAATACATATAATGGGGCTCAAGAAAGATGAAATAACTCACCTAGGAGCCAAAAGCTAGAAAATGGCAAAGGGGGTGTTCATACCCAGTTCTGCCTTACTCCAGAGTCTGTGCTGTTTCTATTATGCCACAAGGGCCCTCTGGTACTGGGCTTCTCTTTATTATCTTATGAATACACCAATACTTTGTTATTCACAGTCCTTCATATCCCATAGATCATGTATAAAACAAAGTAGCTCTTGATTCAATCTTATGAAGGAGACAAGCTGGGCAGAACTGACACTAATCAAAAATGCTCTTAGCAAAATGACTATCTTATCATGATGTTTCCTGAGGCTCTCCAGGGAGGTTAGCCAAGAATCTTGGGATAATGGAAAGTGTTAAACACATGTGCTGTACCCTGACTCTGCCACACGCATGCCACGTGACCCTGAGCAAGTCACTTACCCTCTAACCTTCATGACCTTTAGCATCCTCATCTGTGATACTGAATTCACAAGATTAACAAAGACTGTAGAAATAGTATCATCTGCCTTACAGATATGTTCTATGATAACTGTGAAAAATCACATGAAATAATATATGTGAAATGGTCTAGTACAGGCATGGGTGGCATTATACTATTCAAATAATGTTCATTTTATTCTTTTCCAGAATTCAACTGATTTTTTTGATAACTAAAAGTCCTAAAATAAAATCTAGAATGGAAAAAAATGCAAAACTATCCTGATTAAAGGTCTGTGTTCACCTCCAGAAAATGCTTTCATATACACTACATACGGTCTGGCCCAAACCAAGTCCTGAACGCTTCATCACCACAGCAGAGCTTGCATGGGCACTGGGGCTGACCCAGGAGTGGGGGTGCGAGATTTTCATCTAAAATAGAAGACTCTCTTTCTTGCTAACTCTTAACACACAGTAATGCCCAGGAAATATTTGCTGACTGAATGAAAGACTTTTTCAGTTTGGAGCAGAAAATAAAGAAAACAATTCATTTTGGAAGAAAGCAATACATTTAACTATTGGATAGGCGAAACACAATTCTGAAGAACAAAATTTTTATCAAAAGTTCTCTCCTCCCATCATATAATTAAAAGTTAATGTGAAGCTCCAAACTTAATTTTCATGCCTCTGCAACTGAAGAGATACTGGCACTCAGAAATTTTATATGCCTTGTTTAATCAATGGCAGACTATGAAAGCGAGCTATTAAAATAATTCACAGTAGGTTATGGGCTCAAAAGTCAAGATCTCGGTGATTCACGACTGTCCAAGTCAGCCTCCTTTTGGGGTAGTTTAGCTGTTTCTCATAGCTAGGTTTATAAGGCCTATCTTTTCTCGAGAACAGGTGCTCATTCAGGGCAAAGAAAGTGTGGCTGACTTATGACTGTATCCTAGTAAAAGCACAACACAAAAAAGAGTTAAACATTTACATTCTAATTGAAGTAAAAGCTAAGAAATGGACCCCAAAGACCTCAACTCAGCTAAAGTGAATGGCACGTAGTAATCTGTGGTTTCACCCACTTGCTCTCCTGATTTCCCATAGTTGCCCTATTAGGGCAGGATTGGCAAGTCTGAAGGAGAGGATGCCAAAGAGACAGCCTCACTCTTCTGACCTTGCTCAGCACCAGTGTTGATGAGCTTTGAAAAATAAACATTTTATTTATGTCTGCACGTCAGTAGTTCTCAAAGTATGATTCCCTCTGCCAGGCCTCATAAAGATGCTTCTAGTCAGTTTCGAATGCTGTCTGCTGTGGGCCAGTTGCCCCCATAGGCCCAGGAAGAAGGAAACTACTAATATCAATGCCTTGTGTGGGTCAAGCATCACACCAAGTGCTTTCTTGAGTATGCAGATTTAAATGAAACCATACAAACACCCTGTGTTTTTTCTATAACATCAGGTTCGCATCAGAGACGAGAAACCTGAAGTTAGAAAGTATTATGCAAACGTATCTTCACATTTCTATAATAAATAAGTTTGGGAAAATGTATCACACTTTTGCCCTGACATAAATATTTCCCACATATCTATAATTAAATTAAGTACTAATAATACCTGCCACATTTCTACCTTCCTTTTTAGTTCCTCCTTTTCTACAGATTCATTTAAATTTGCTAGGGCTTTGGCCGCCAGTATTCTTCTTGCCTCAGCACTCAATTCAGACTGTAATGCAGAGTGTGAAGCTGCTTCAGACAGATCTTTACTGTCCTGGGTTTCATGTTCAACCAAGAACTGTGCTTTGGGACTGGAGCCACAGTCCAGAGGGCTTCGGGGTGTCCTGCTGTTCTGCCTGACAGAGCCAGGGCTCCCAACACCATGAGTTTTACACTGACAGTGAGACACTTGCTGGTGAGCAGGGTTTGGATCCTTATGGACATTTGCAAAGCTGGGTGAAACTGGCTCCCCAGGGCTGTGTGAGCCTGAAACATCTGCAGAGAAAGCTCCACTCTGCTGTGCTTCCTTTGGAATGATCCTTCCATGGAAAATTGGTGACCCATTATCTTTGAGTCCTTCCAGGCCTCCAAACTTTGACTGACTCCAGAAAGAAAGTGTGCTGCGAACCAAGGCTTCCTTGTGTAAGTCTGGTTCTGGAGACTGTGGGATGTAACAATGGCTTATGAGCTTCTGCTGCCTGGGCTTGTGGCCAACCAAGATCTGGGCAGGCACTGTCTGTGGAGTCTCCCCTTGCTCCAGGAGGTTCTCGGCCCTCTTTAAATCTGAGTCACTGTAGCTGAGCCGCCTTTTCAGATGAGTCAGGGGTTGAAGGCACTCAACATTCCGCCTTTTCCAAAGAGGGTCAAACTGTTGCTCATTGGAGAAAATCATGCCTCGATTGTCAAAATCTGCTGCCACTGCAGTGGGGTTAGGCGGGTTGGACACATCACTGTCATGCCTCAGTAACTCTTTATCCAGCTGCATGGTGACCATCTCAGACATTGTCTTTTCTATTTCAGCAGAGAGACCAGGTCCTTCGGACACATCCTTCATCATCACTGGCCTGTTCTCCGCTAAGTCCAGCAGCAATTTGCAAACTAGGTGGATAATTTTTGGCACGTGTTTCAGAAGTCGTGCCTCATAACCATGAAGCAGATGACGCTGGCGAATTAGATATTGAGGTAAGGTGACAGCATGTGCTTTGGGATCACAGCAAGAGAATATATTGCGGAGAGGAGTTAGAAACTGAGTAAATTCCCTTACACAGAGGAGCTGTCCTCTGGTTTGTATGGAATTGGGTCGCTTTGCCCGCACAAATATAATTGCTTGGTCAGCAGTCATTCTCGTTGCAAAAACTAAGTAACAGGCTATTAAAACACCTAAACAGTGAAGAAGAGAAGACTGGTATGAGAAAAGCTTACATTTTTATTTATTTTATTTATCACTCTTTGATGATTTACAATTTGAATATGTGTTAAGAAACCATATAAATAGAGACACATTTTAAGGACAATTATGATGATAACTTTGTGACTTTTTGTAGAGGTGTTATTTTGCACGTTCCTTACTGCACAGAACTTTATTAAATGTCTATGTGGCACCGCCTCCCCATGACTGAGTCATCTCAGTAGCCCAGAGCTGTGCCAGCACAGGCACAAGGTAGGTGAGTAAGTGTGCAGGAGGGAAGGGAAACTGATCATCTGGCCCATCTATCCTCCTTGTTCTACTTAACTCCATCAGAAGAAAGCAAATCCTGTTTCTATTTTCCACTCTGAACAGTTCTTGAGAATTTCCATCCAATCAATCCATACACTTTGTGTTTGGAACCTCCCACCCTGCTATCTTTGCCATCAACTGCTGGCACATCCCAGCTTGGCACTCTCCCTACCACGGCAGTTTCTTCTTTAGGGATTATTCATATTTGCAGCCTACTTTTCTTCTTGGCAATTCTTTTTCCAGATTGTGCCTATACTAATATGTGTTTTCCTTCAGACCATGATATAATTCTATTTTTCCATAAGCAATTATGGAAAATTAAGCAATCTTAAGGAAGCCAGGCTTAGTGGTATAAACATTAGGTATTCTTACTAACATCTAATTAAAAGGAATAACTAGTAAGGTTATTACTAGTTAAAAGGTAATAATTAATAAATTAATTCAAATATAACAGTCAATTAATATTAAAGTAAAAGGCAAATCAAATACACCTGTGTGATCCCCAAGTTTGTGAACATCTTGTTACATATGAAAATCAGAACCTCTGAAAACTGCATGCTCTCCAGTTCACAGTCGGTAACAACATACCTTTCTCACTAGGACACAGAAGATCTTAGTATAAATGTAAAATGTCTGCAGAGCTATCATGTCAATGTCTAGAAACAGTGAGATTTTGGCTTGATCCTAAGAGCTACTAATCTCAAGCAGAGCTGAGTCCCCTCCCCTGCGCATGCTTCCAGGTATGTGGCAGATCCCCTGGCAGGAGCACAGGTACACTGCGGACAGAGCTGAGCTGCATGTGGTTGGATCAGATGACAATGAAAATTTCAGCCCTACGGCCTTCATTTTTGCCCCAATATCAGCACTGTAATGAAATTCAGCTGAATGTTTTAAGTAAAATCACTGACTTTTTAATAGAATTCTGGGCACAGATAGACTCTTCTTCACAAACAAAATCCTTATACCTCCAAAAATGGAAAGCACATGAACTCTGGAGTCAGACAACCATGGATTTAAAGTGTGGCCCTGGCACTTACTAAATGTAGCAAATTACTTCTCTCAAATTGCAGTTTCTCCAACTCACATTGTTGCTAAAGACTTTAAAATGATATATATACGGTCATTGTAACTACCTGTTTACGGTATTTCAAATATCTTAAAATTTTTTTTGATTTAATTTTTAATGTTAACATAATAATTATACATATCTATGGGGTATATAGTGATGTTTTAATACATATAATGTATAGTGATCAGATCAGTGTATTTAGTATACGCATAATCTTCAACATTTATCATGCATTTGTGTTGGGAACATTCAATATCCTCCTTCTAGCTATTTGAAACTATATATCATTTTAACTATAGACACCCTACAGTGGTACAGAACACTAGAACTTATTCCCTTCTTCCACCTGACTCCAAAGCTTTGATAGGATTCTGAGAAACATTTACCCTCAAATTAGGAAATCTTATTCCTTTTATGTTTAAATATGCCTACAGGCAATAAACCACCTCTTAGGACCTACCTGTTCGACCAAGCCCTGCATGACAATGGATAGCTACTTTTCCTTCCTGTAAGGCAAATGTCATCACCTTCACCATATCTAGGATAGTAGTAAGAGACGCTACACCATAATCCTTCCATCCGAAATTGTAGAAGTAAACTAGGAAAAAAGAAAAGGAAAAGAAAATCAACATACAGGAAATTAATGAAAGTACAAACACTAATGAAAAGTACACAGATCTACACTGAGACTGAGGCATGTAGATCTCAGTGCATACACTGCATAAAATAAGAGGGATTTTACATTCCCAGTAACTTTACTGTTAACATTTACTCACAAAGCACATTTTATGTTACTTAAGACATTTCCTGAGGGGAGGAGCCAAGATGGCCGAATAGGAACAGCTCCGGTCTACAGCTCCCAGCGTGAGCGACGCAGAAGACGGGTGATTTCTGCATTTCCATCTGAGGTACCGGGTTCATCTCATTAGGGAGTGCCAGACAGTGGGCGCAGGTCAGTGGGCGCACGCACCGTGCCTCAGCCGAAGCAGGGCGAGGCACTGCCTCACTTGGGAAGCGCAAGGGGTCAGGGGGTTCCCTTTCTGAGTCAAAGAAAGGGGTGATGGACGGCACCTGGAAAGTCGGGTCACTCCCACCCGAACACTGCGCTTTTCGGACGGGCTTAAAAAACTGCGCACCACAAGATTATATCCCGCACCTGGCTCGGAGGGTCCTACGCCCACGGAGTCTCGCTGATTGTTAGCACAGCAGTCTGAGATCAAACTGCAAGGCGGCAGCAAGGCTGGGGGAGGGGTGCCCGCCATTGCCCAGGCTTGCTTAGGTAAACAAAGCAGCCGGGAAGCTCGAACTGGGTGGAGCCCACCACAGCTCAAGGAGGCCTGCCTGCCTCTATAGGCTCCACCTCTGGGGGCAGGGCACAGACAAACAAAAAGACAGCAGTAACTTTTGCATACTTAAATGTCCCTGTCTGACAGCTTTGAAAAGAGCTGTGGTTCTCCCAGCACGCAGCTGGAAATCTGAGAACGGGCAGACTGCCTCCTCAAGTGGGTCCCTGACCCCTGACCCCAGAACAGCCTAACTGGGAGGCACCAGCAGGGGCACACTGACACCTCACACGGCAGGGTATTCCAACAGACCTGCAGCTGAGGGTCCTCTCTGTTAGAAGGAAAACTAACAAACAGAAAGGACATCCACACCAAAAACCCATCTGTACATCACCATCATCAAAGACCAAAAGTAGATAAAACCACAAAGATGGGGAAAAAACAGAACAGAAAAACTGGAAACTCTAAAAAGTAGAGCACCTCTCCTCCTCCAAAGGAACGCAGTTCCTCACCAGCAACGGAACAAAGCTGGATGGAGAATGACTTTGACAAGCTGAGAGAAGACTTCAGATGATCAAATTACTCTGAGCTACGGGAGGACATTCAAACCAAAGGCAAAGCAGTTGAAAACTTTGAAAAAAATTTAGGAGAATGTATTACTAGAATAACCAATACAGAGAAGTGCTTAAAGGAGCTGATGGAGCTGAAAACCAAGGCTCGAGAACTACGTGAAGAATGCAGAAGCCTCAGGAGCCGATGCGATCAACTGGAAGAAAGGGTATCAGCAATGGAAGATGAAATGAATGAAATGAAGCGAGAAGGGAAGTTTAGAGAAAAAAGAATAAAAAGAAATGAGCAAAGCCTCCAAGAAATATGGGACTATGTGAAAAGACCAAATCTACGTCTGATTGGTGTACCTGAAAGTGATGTGGAGAATGGAACCAAGTTGGAAAACACTCTGCAGGATATTATCCAGGAGAACTTCCCCAATCTAGCAAGGCAGGCCAATGTTCAGATTCAGGAAATACAGAGAACACCACAAAGATACTCCTCGAGAAGGCAACTCCAAGACACATAATTGTCAGATTCACCAAAGTTGAAATGAAGGAAAAAATGTTAAGGGCAGCCAGAGAGAAAGGTCGGGTTACCCTCAAAGGGAAGCCCATCAGACTAACAGCGGATCTCTCGGCAGAAACCCTACAAGCCAGAAGAGAGTGGGGGCCAATATTCAACATTCTTAAAGAAAAGAATTTTCAACCCAGAATTGCATATCCAGCCAAACTAAGCTTCATAAGTGAAGGAGAAATAAAATACTTTACAGACAAGCAAATGCTGAGAGATTTTGTCACCACCAGGCCTGCCCTAAAAGAGCTCCTGAAGGAAGCACTAAACATGGAAAGGAACAACCGGTACCAGCCACTTCAAAATCATGCCAAAATGTAAAGACCATTGAGACTAGGAAGAAACTGCATCAACTAACGAGCAAAATAACCAGCTAACATCATAATGACAGGATCAAATTCACACATAACAATATTATCTTTAAATGTAAATGGACTAAATGCTCCAATTAAAAGACACAGACTGGCAAATTGAATAAAGAGTCAAGACCCATCAGTGTGCTGTATTCAGGAAACCCATCTCACGTGCAGAGACACATAGAGGCTCAAAATAAAAGGATGGAGGAAGATCTACCAAGCCAATGGAAAACAAAAAAAGGCAGGGGTTGCAATCCTAGTCTCTGATAAAACAGACTTTAAACCAACAAAGATCAAAAGAGACAAAGAAGGACATTACATAATGGTAAAGGGATCAATTCAACAAGAAGAGCTAACTATCCTAAATATATATGCACCCAATACAGGAGCACCAAGATTCATAAAGCAAGTCCTGAGTGACCTACAAAGAGACTTAGACTCCCACACATTAATAATGGGAGACTTTAACACCCCACTGTCAACATTAGACAGATCAACGAGACAGAAAGTCAACAAGGATACCCAGGAATTGAACTCAGCTCTGCACCAAACAGACCTAATAGACATCTACAGAACTCTCCACCCCATATCAACAGAATATACATTTTTTTCAGCACCACACCACACCTATTCCAAAATTGACCACATACTGGGAAGTAAAGCTCTCCTCAGCAAATGTAAAAGAACAGAAATTATAACAAACTATCTCTCAGACCACAGTGCAATCAAACTAGAACTCAGGATTAAGAATCTCACTCAAAACCACTCAACTACATGGAAACTGAACAACCTGCTCCTGAATGACTACTGGGTACATAACGAAATGAAGGCAGAAATAAAGATGTTCTTTGAAACCAACGAGAACAAAGACACAACATACCAGAATCTCTGGGACGCATTCAAAGCAGTGTGTAGAGGGAAATTTATAGCACTAAATGCCCACAAGAGAAAGCAGGAAAGATCCAAAATTGACAACCTAACATCACAATTAAAAGAACTAGAAAAGCAGGAGCAAACACATTCAAAAGCTAGCAGAAGGCAAGAAATAACTAAACTCAGAGCAGAACTGAAGGAAACAGAGACACAAAAAACCCTTCAATAAATTAATGAATCCAGGAGCTTGTTTTTTGAAAAGATCAACAAAATTGATAGACCGCTAGCAAGACTAATAAAGAAAAAAAGAGAGAAGAATCAAATAGACGCAATAAAAAATGATAAAGGGGATATCACCACTGATCCCACAGAAATACAAACTACCATCAGAGAATACTACAAACACCTCTATGCAAATAAACTAGAAAATCTAGAAGAAATGGATAAATTCCTCTGCACATAAACTCTCCCAAGACTAAACCAGGAAGAAGTTGAATCTCTGAATAGACCAATAACAGGAGCTGAAATTGTGGCAATAATCAATAGCTTACCAACCAAAAAGAGTACAGGACCAGATGGATTCACAGCCGAATTCTACCAGAGGTATAAGGAGGAACTGGTACCATTCCTTCTGAAACTATTCCAATCAACAGAAAAAGAGGGAATCCTCCCTAACTCATTTTATGAGGCCAGCATCATTCTGATACCAAAGCCAGGCAGAGACACAACAAAAAAAGAGAATTTTAGACCAATATCCTTGATGAACATTGATGCAAAAATCCTCAGTAAAATACTGGCAAAACGAATCCAGCAGCACATCAAAAAGCTTATCCACCATGATCAACTGGGCTTCATCCCTGGGATGCAAGGCTGGTTCAATATACGCAAATCAATAAATGTAATCCAGCATATAAACAGAGCCAAAGACAAAAACCACATGATTATCTCAATAGATGCAGAAAAAAGCCTTTGACAAAATTCAACAACCCTTCATACTAAAAACTCTCAATAAATTAGGCATTGATGGGACGTATTTCAAAATAATAAGAGCTATCTATGACAAACCCACAGCCAATATCATACTGAATGGGCAAAAACTGGAAGCATTCCCTTTGAAAACTGGCACAAGACAGGGATGCCCTCTCTCACCACTCCTATTCAACATAGTGTTGGAAGTTCTGGCCTGGGCAATTAGGCAGGAGAAGGAAATAAAGGGTATTCAATTGGGAAAAGAGGAAGTCAAATTGTCCCTGTTTGCAGACGACATGATTGTATATCTAGAAAACCCCATTGTCTCAAGCCCAAAATCTCCTTAAGCTGACAGGCAACTTCAGCAAAGTCTCAGGATACAAAATCAATGTACAAAAATCACAAGCATTCTTATACACCAACAACAGACAAACAGAGAGCCAAATCATGAGTGAACTCCCATTCACAATTGCTTCAAAGAGAATAAAATACCTAGGAATCCAACTTACAAGGGATGTGAAGGACCTCTTCAAGGAGAACTACAAACCACTGCTCAAGGAAATAAAAGAGGACACAAACAAATGGAAGAACATTCCATGCTCATGGGTAGGAAGAATCAATATCGTGAAAATGGCCATACTGCCCAAGGTAATTTACAGATTCAATGCCATCCCCATCAAGCTACCAATGACTTTCTTCACAGAATTGGAAAAAACTACTTTAAAGTTCATATGGAACCAAAAAAGAGCCCGCATCACCAAGTCAATCCTAAGCCAAAAGAACAAAGCTGGAGGCATCACACTACCTGACTTCAAACTATACTACAAGGCTACAGTAACCAAAACAGCATGGTACTGGTACCAAAACAGAGATATAGATCAATGGAACAGACCAGAGCCCTCAGAAATAACGCCACATATCTACAGCTATCTGATCTTTGACAAACCTGACAAAAACAAGCAATGGGGAAAGGATTCCCTATTTAATAAATGGTGGTGGGAAAACTGGCTAGCCATACGTAGAAAGCTGAAACTGGATCCCTTCCTTACACCTTATACAAAAATCAATTCAAGATGGATTAAAGACTTAAACGTTAGACCTAAAACCATAAAAACCCTAGAAGAAAACCTAGGCATTACCATTCAGGACATAGGCATGGGCAAGGACTTCATGTCTAAAACACCAAAAGCAATGGCAACAAAAGACAAAATTGACAAATGGGATCTAATTAAACTAAAGAGCTTCTGCACAGCAAAAGAAACTACCATCAGAATGAACAGGCAACCTACAAAATGGGAGAAAATTTTTGCAACCTACTCATCTGACAAAGGGCTAATATCCAGAATCTACAATGAACTCAAACAAATTTACAAGAAAAAAACAAACAACCCCATCAAAAAGTGGGCAAAGGACATGAACAGACACTTCTCAAAAGAAGACATTTATGCAGCCAAAAAACACATGAAAAAATGCTCATCATCACTGGCCATCAGAGAAATGCAAATCAAAACCACAATGAGATACCATCTCACACCAGTTAGAATGGCAATCATTAAAAAGTCAGGAAACAACAGGTGCTGGAGAGGATGTGGAGAAATAGGAACACTTTTACACTGTTGGTGGGACTGTAAACTAGTTCAACCATTGTGGAAGTCAGTGTGGCAATTCCTCAGGGATCTAGAACTGGAAATACCATTTGACCCAGCCATCCCATTACTGGGTATATACCCAAAGGACTATAAATCATGCTGCTATAAAGACACATGCACACGTATGTTTATTGCGGCACTATTCACAATAGCAAAGACTTGGAACCAACCCAAATGTCCAACAATGATAGACTGGATTAAGAAAATGTGGCACATATACACCATGGAATACTATGCAGCCATAAAAAATGATGAGTTCATGTCCTTTGTAGGGACATGGATGAAATTGGAAATCATCATTCTCAGTAAACTATCGCAAGAACAAAAAGCAAACACCGCATATTCTCACTCATAGGTGGGAATTGAACAATGAGATTACATGGACACAGGAAGGGGAATATCACACTCTGGGGACTGTTGTGGGGTGGGGGGAGGGGGGAGGGATAGCATTGGGAGATATACCTAATGCTAGATGACGAGTTAGTGGGTGCAGTGCACCAGCATGGCACATGTATACATATGTAACTAACCTGCACAATGTGCACATGTACCCTAAAACTTAAAGTATAATAAAAAAAAATTAAAAAAAAATAAAATAAAAATGTAAATATGAAAAAAAAAAGACATTTCCTGCAGAAACTCAGCCAGAAAGAATTATGGCGAAGTATAATTACAAATTAATAAAGTCAATGATTCATGCTATAGTTACTCAGCTTTGGAGAGAAAGCATACATTCTTGTTTAAGCAGGGAAATGTGTCTAAATGACTGATAAATAGCTTAAGACAGTATATATGGATTTTCTATCTAGTGTAAATAAGCTTCTTAAAAACAAGTTCCAAGATTGTTTATCCTTTCCAGCCTGGTTTGAAGGACACATGTTGAGTGTATTTCATCCCAAAGCTCCTGTGATTGAGGCGGCTTTGAAATTGTTAGAAGTAGAATTCCTGGGCATCATTTTGGGAGCAGGGCTGGACAGCAGTAAACCTGGAGCATGTCCAGGTTCCAAACCTGACTACCATTTCTAAGCTGTGTGATCTTAGGCAAACAGGTAATTCTCTAAGCCCCGTGTGGCTTCATATGTAAAACAGAAATAATAATTTTGTTACACAACTGCTTTAAGGGTTAAATGAGATAATAGTGACTGGCACACTGTAAGCATTAACTAAATGTTAATCATTATTACTACAGGGTCTCCTCCCAACATCCCTCTTACAGGAACAAAGAAATCCTTTACTTTCAACAGCAATACCAAAGAGAATGGTAGCTCATTTTTTCTAAACCTTACTATGATGCAGAAGGTATTTATTTCCATCATCTTTTTAATCTAAGAACCCAGCAGAGAAAAGCCTCTGAGTGCTGCCCTTGATAATTCATGAGAGGAGGGTGGGAGGAACTTACTGCCAGCCTCCATGAAAGCCTCAGGAAGGTATGTGAAGCCACTTTCTTGTTCCAGAGGGTTCCCACAGCTAGCATGCTCACCAGGGCGCTGGAGGTTGATTATTGTTTTTATGCCATGGCTTAAAGGAAAAAGGGCAGTCAGTCATATTGGGAGCTAGCATTTAAAAAAAATTAACCATTTTTGGTATTAATCAACATTATTAATTACTCTCAAAAATCTTAATTTCTCATTTGAAATACACTCTTCACTGCCTATTGTTAAAATGAAAGCACTCTTTCACTTGAAACAAAGGCAATGAAAGAAAAAAACACATGAGTTTGCTCACTCGTGTGTGAACAATACAGCATTTACCTGAGGAACTGATCAATGATGTGGTACTTCTCCAGGAGCTCAGAGGATGGGCGGGCCATGGCCAGTATATTATCAGTGACCCTGCAAATAGGTGGAGGGACTGGTGAGATGTGCTGAAACCTAGGAAGTTCCAGTCCAAAGAGATGTTCCAGTCCTGAGAGATGATTTTTTCTATGATTTCAACAACTCTGTTAGAATATTCTTTTTTGTGTATAAATTTTATTTGAACAGATAATACAGTTTCATGGTTCAATAAAATCAAAACAATACAAAAAGGTATGCACTAAAATGTTTGCTCTCAACCGTTTTCATCCACTCCATTCAGTTTGTTCCCCATATGTAATCATTTGTATTAACTTCATGTTTACCATCTTAGTGTTTATTTTTGCAAATATAAGCAAATATGAATATTTATTCTTATTTATCTGCTTTTTCTTGTACAAAAGGTAGTCTAGTAAAGGCACTGTTAGATACTTTGCTTTTTTTCTCTTTAGGTTAATTTTTAAAATTTCAATAGTTTTTGGGGTACAGATTATTTCAGGTTACATAGATGAGTTATTTAGTGGTGAATTTTGAGATTTTGGTGCACCCGTGTAAGAATATTCTTATACAAATCTGGCTTCAATTTTGGATGATTAGAGCTCTAAGAAACTCTAGCTTCTTAAATCCCTGGAAAAAATTCCAAGACATAAATTATTTGTGGATTCCAGCAAAGTATTTTCAAGAACTCTCAAGAGATTTTAGTGGACATGATGGAGAAAACTCAGCTGGTGGTGAAGGTAACAGTCTGGATTGTTACTCAATGGGTAGTGACTTACATGAGGAGGGCCAACTGGGAGATATTTTGTTATTCAACTATCTGAATCTTAGTTACAAGGTGTTAAATGGGGATAATAATGCCTGTCTCACAGGGTTGGTGTGAGAATTCAATATGATGTGGATGTAAAGTCTTTGGCACAAATCCTGACATGCAGTTATGAATAAATACTGAGTTACTGTAATTTGGTGACAAATATGGGCTCCAGAGTCAGTTGGGCTTGGTTTCAAATGCTGGCTCTTCTACTTTCTAGCTTGGTAGCAAATTACTTGGTCTCTCTGGAACTCAATTCTTTCATTGATAAAATGGCATTAACAGCTCACAAGAGTTTTATGAAGATAAAAGATAATAGTATGAAAGCATCTAGCACACTGACTGGCCTACAGCCAAATGGATATTTACTGAATGAATGAGTGGGCAGACGCCCAATAAATGACTATTACTCTTGTCAGGCCTCTGGGCTCTGGCTTCACTCTGTTCTGTTCAAATTTCTCATCAGTGGCCTGATGAGATATATAAGGTAAGTCTGTTGGAAGTCGTGGGTCACATGAATCTCAGGGGAATAACAGAGACTGTCAGGGCAGGATCCAAAATGACACCTTTCCCTCTGAAAGAAGGCATATGGTTTAACATGGGACCCAAAAGTTTGGACCCCCAGTGATAATTAGTGTAAGATGAAGGGGGATGTAACGTGAAAGCAGCAGAGGTGAAAAAGACTCACATGATTTAGTCAGCAATAAAGCAAAAATATGCAAATGACCTAAGCTACATTATTAGAAATTTTCTTGTCTGACTATGAATGTTTCCTTCTTCATACTATTAGTATGATAGTGATGGACCAGAATATGACCTGTGGTGAACAATAATGACAGTGGACCCCAGACTATATCACTACAGATGTACTGAGCAAATCCAATATGAAAAAGTACAGGTTGTAAGCTGGATAAGCCAGTTGACAAATATCTAATTGAAAAATGGGTTCTTGATGTATAAAATAATTCACTACTAGAATTAAACAGTGAATTCCTCTAAGTATGCTTCAAATGTGATTTATCAGAATTTTTCAGATGTTACTACATCAAAAAGGTGTATTTGACTAGTTTACTGTTTAATAAAAAGCAGTATGATTAAAGAACAATATTAATTTCACTTATACACCATAAAAAAAGCAAATATCTTATGTTTTCTACTGAGCTGACAACTTGTACCACTTTTATTAGGGTAGACTGAAGGGTATTTGTATGAAAATGTGACCTTTCATATAGAATATAGGAATAACATAAAAGCTAAAGCTTACCTACATGAAACTGAAAAATTACACATGTACATCATAATTTTCTCAAATTTATAGCTGAAGTTTTATTATTTCTAAACATTTCTGAAATTTAAGAGCTATCTAATTATCCATTTCTTCAATACACTTTATATATATCATTTCACTTAATTAAAAAACCCTATGGTTTTGGTTTTATTATTTCCACCTTACAGATAAAGAAACTGAGGGTCAATAGGCCAAGATCACACAGCTAAGGCAAAGCCAGAACTGACTGGCAAAGTGAGGTCCTGACTTCAAAGTCCCACACTGCTCCTCCCACACTTCAGGGCTCCTGGCTCACACAGAGTGTCCTTCCTGTATCCAACAGAGCTATGAAAGACCAACAGGATCACTCACCAGGATGAGTAAACCCCCTTAATGGCTTGCTCCTGCTCACTCCAGCGGGCTGGGTTCTCATACTTGCAAGCTCTACCGCCACACGCCATGGAACATGCCATGTGTCCAGGAATGACATGCCGTAAACGCTCCCCTACTTTTGTGTACTTTGGTGTTGGACGTTCTAAATTTCCTAGAACATATAAGGAAAGGAAAATTCAAAATTCCACTCTCCAAATGAAATTGTAACATGGGAAATAGCTTCCATTTTATCTCAGGATGGTAGATGACAAGCCAGTGCAAAATCACCTTCATCTTGTCAAGAAAACAAAACTGTTTCCCTGTCAAAGTGACATATATCTCTTAATGTAAAAAAGCTTTCACATATAATAATCTCCACACATACTGGCAATTAGGAGGAAGAAACTGTAGAAGCAGATGTTTTACAAGAGAATGAGTTTTGTTCAAACCTATATTTTTAATAAAAAAACACAAAACATTTGATCATTTTATATCCTCTTATATATTCACTAAAATAGCATAACAGACAGCAAAAAGTATAATATAGAATAAACTGCCAATATTTAAAAAGGTATAAACACAACACAGCTGATTCCCATTCCTCAAACTTATATACATAGGTATGGCAATCTATAAGAAGAAAGAGACCTTTACTTTTTCTTTCGGGGAAAGTTGGGTTTCCCTCTGCATGGCTGACTGAGGAAACAGCCACCATCACCTGGAGAGAGGACGAGGACAGCAGCTTCGTGGCAGAGCCGGAGCCCAAGCCAGAGCCCCGCCGGGCCTGCTGCAGCCGCAGTACTGGGTCTGAGGTGGAGTGCCGGCGGCCCTGGAGAAAGGAGCTGAGGAAGCGCACGGCTGAGGGCCGCCTGGTTGCATCCTGCACCTGCATGGCACTGGGAGGCAAGAGCCGGAGGCAGGAAGAGTCAGCCCCACTCACTCAGTGAGGAACTTTCACTGAGAGCAGGGAGCATTGCATCGTTCTGTATGATCTAAGAGCCATTCAGATTGGCTGACTGGTTTCCATGGCGACAAACAAAGAAACTACTGATTCCCACTTAGATCTGAACAGGCAAAATCCAATATGAACAGATTGCATTTTGGACAAATTGTTCAAATATAGGGAAGAATAATATAAATTTTAAATATATTGATTACTAAATTTTGTTTCTCAAATGCACTTAAAATATCTAACCAAAGAATTACTCCCCAAAATACTGTAGTGAATTTAGAAAACTGTCTTCCTGATGCAAAAACTGCCTTTTACATACATGTTAAAAGGCTTAAATTCTGTTATTCTGTTCACAACCTGTCTCTGGATATTTTGAAAAAAATTACCTTTCTACTCCTCGTTTGAATAGTGCAGAAAAAAGTTAATTGTAATAAAGTGGGATATGCTGGACACCTTACAAGATTATTAAAATATCATCCAATTTTTCATAACCAAAACCACTTCTATTTTTTCTTGGTAAAACTATTAAAGAAATACTTGGATAGAACAAATAAAGACATTTTTAGAGGTGATATATTATCAGAAGACATTTAACTTCATGTGTTCATTTTCAGAATATAAAAACCCAATTCTTAGTTATGCCTCTGTTGGACAGTTATAGTAGCCATGCCTCTCAAAAACTCAAAACACCATTCTCTGCCTTTTGTTGCAGTGAGGGAAAAAAGAAGCTTCAATAATGTCTTGGCAGAGGCATACAAAGAAAGATCACTAAATATCACATTTTTAAAGGAACTAGATGAGGGGGAGGTTGCAACTTGAAGATAAAGGATATAAAGAAAACAGAAAGTGCAACAACCACTAATGTACTCATTGTCCGCCTCCTCCCTTGTTAATGTCAGGCTGCGCCCTCGCTTGCTCGCTAGCTCTCTGCACAAGTGGTATTTCAGATGTGTGTGCACAGAAACAAACTACTGTACTGCTACAGATAAGGCTATTTTCTATTTTTTTTTTTTTAACGATTACTAATGCTATACCAAGCTCCTTTTAAAATGCCGCCCCCATCTCCCCAGTAATGTGCACTTTTGTCGAATAAGACAGGGACACAGAATCCCGATTTGGTGTCCAAATTCCTACTCTATGTATAGTATCATGCCTTTGTTATTTAGAATGCAGCCATGGAAGAAAGCACAGCTTTCCTGTCGGAGGAATTATATGAGGATTATTCTAGGCAAGGCCCTCAGGACCCTAAGGGCAACACAGAAACAGCAGTTGCACAGAGGTCTGCATGACAAGAACATGAACTTACTGGCAGGAGGCCCTAAATGCTCAAACTAAGGAGCTGTGTATTTGCTATCTGTGTAAGAGGGAGTCTAAGAAGATTTCTGGGCAAGTCTGTGCTTCTGAGTATGTGGCACTCCAGAATGTTAACTTAGCTCTTGAGAAACAAGAGTGGTGAGCTCTGCAGAAACAAGTCCATGGCCTGGAGAACCAGCATCTGAGGACATCTACAGAGAAAAGTCAAAAGTAACTGCTTTCAACTACACTAAAAATGACAACTAATTTCATTAGATAAGGGGTAGGGGTAGGACTTATTTGGACCAAGCTAAGGAAGGGATGGTTTATAGATCACCTCAAGAATAATCTCTGTGGTGAAATCTTGAGCCCTGGGTTGACCTCAAATAAACACAAAATGACTGAGCTTACCCCAGTTACCGTACAGTCAGTGACCCTGTGTCAATGTCTAAGGAAGTCAAGCCTAACGCAAACAGGATTCTGCAAGGTGAAAGCAGCCCTTTCTGCATGCTTGCTCAGTGTTCCCAACAATGAGGTGCTGTGAATATACCTTGCATTGATGAGGCAGATGAAAAGAAATGTACCCACCTCTGGACACGAGAACCAAATTTAGAATAATATTTAAGGAACAAAATGAGATACTGATCATGACAAATATGAAATCAGTTACAATAAACACAACAAAGAAACCCACTAAAATGTACCAGTGAGTACTGAGTCTTTTCTTCCTTAATTTCTATAAGTGGGCAGGTAAAACACTGAAAAGTGAGATCTAGAACACCAAGAACTAGTAATTTCCTTCTATACTCAAGATTTCAGAAAGGGATCATTGCTTCCTAAAGTCATAGAACAATAGGCTGAGAATGCAGTGGGTGCCTGGTGGGCGTGGGAGGCCCACCTATCCGCATTCTTAAGTCCACGGAGGAGTTACTTCCAGGAATTTGCTGTACAGCTGAATTTCCAGCCTCGTGTTCTCTACTTTTTGTGACAAGAGGCTCACTTTTCACAAGGGAACTGACTATTCCACTGTTAGACAGCTCAAATGTTTTCTTTCCTTCCTTCTTTAGAGATGGGAATCTCACTTTGTTGCTTAGGCTGCACTCAAATTTTTGGGCTCGAGGGCTCCTCCTGCCTCAGCCTCTTGAGTAGCTGGGACTACAGATGCCTGCCAACACGCTGGGCTTCAAATGTTCTCTAGTGTTGAGTTAAAATCCATTCTATAAACATCGGTTCTGGTTCTTCCCACTGAAAATAAAGAATAAAGCTTCTCTTTGTCTTGAAAGATTTTCAAATATCCGAAGACAGAACTTTTCCAAGACTTTCCCTATTTCTGTTTTTCAAACATTCCTAGGTATATGTAATTGTTTCCAGATCTTTCACTATAATTTCCCTTCTTCTGAGGGCCCTTCTTCTCTCCCCTTCATAGCTAAACCTCCAAACCAAGGTGACTACACCTGCCATCTCCACGTGTCACAGGTCTCATCCTTAGCCTACTCAGCTCTGGCCTCTGCCTCCACTCTCAAATCAAACCACTCTTGCTAAGGCCTCCGATGATCTGTTTTGAGGTGGACTTTTTAGAGTTTCTATTTGACTGTGCAGCAGCATGCAACACAATCGAACACTTTAGTTTTAATTTTTAATTTTTTTTTAAAGACAGCACCTTGCTCTGTCACACAGGCTAGAGAGCAGTGACGTGATCATAGCTCACTGCAGCCTTGAATTCCTAGGCTCAAACAATCTTCCTGCCTCAGCCTCTCTGGTAGCCAATATGACAGGTGCCTGCCACCATGCCTGGCCCATATATTTTTGAGAATATTTTATATTTTTACTTTGAATCAATGTCAAACTTACAGAAAAGTTACAAAAGTTACAAATAATATTTTTCCTTGGCTGGGCATGGTGGCTCATGCCTGTAATCCCAGCACTTTGGGAGGCTGAGGAGGGCAGATCACCTGAGGTCAGTAGTTAGAAACCCACCTGGCCAACATGGTGAAACCCAGTCTCTACTAAAAATACAAAAATGGGCTGGGTGTAGTGGCGCATGCCTGTAGTACCAGCTACTTGGAAGGCTGAGGCAGGAGAATTGCTTGCACCTGGAAGGCAGAGGTTGCAGTGAGCTGAGATTGCACCACTGCACTCTAGTCTGGGTGACAGAGCGGGACTGTCTCAAAAAAAAAAAAAAAGAAAAAGAAAAAGAAAAAAAGAATATTTTCCCTTGAATTTTTTAGAGTAACTTGCAGAAATGCTGCCCCATTACGCCAAATAATTTAGTGTATATTTCCCACAAAGATATTCTTGAAAATTACCCCAAATCAGGAAATTATGGTTGAGATATTACTACTTGCCCTCTATTCCTCAGACCTCATTCAAGCTTCACTGATTACTCCAAAAATGTTCCTTACAGTAAAACGACATGTTGTATTTAGTTGTCCTGTTTCTTTCACCTATTTCACACTTGAACAAGTTCCTCAGTCTTTCCTTGACTTTGATGACCTTGACACTTTTGAAGAGTATAGGCCAGTTATTTTGTAGCAATCTCTCTCAATTTGGGCATGCAGTTTCCTCATGATTAGACTCGGAAGCCCTTGCATTTATTAGTAAAGAACGGTATCTAGAAACCAATGTCTGTGTGTTAGGTATGCTCATTGCCATTAGAGTGTTACTGCTGCCAGGCCCTCTCAGTGGACAGTGCTAAAGAATATGGATATTATGCACAGGCACATACATTATCACACTTTACATCTATATTTATTCCCATATGTAGGCATATATACATATGGAAAACCAAGAGTTTACCCTGATGCTACCAATTCCAAGCCAACACCACAGAGTTCCTCTAATTTCCACCCTTTCCACAACTGTACCTATAATTATAACTCTGTGAGAAGCCTGGGCACAGTAATCTTTAATATATTTACCTAATTGACCAAGCCCCCTACATGTAACCAGTCTCCCATCACTACCTCTGCTCCCTCCTCCATGTGGATGCCTCTCTCATCCCATCTGGGCTTTAACACCTATGCCAAGCTGCTGCTGCCACCCACCTGGGTAGATGCTCTCCTCATCCTGCCTATGTTCCAATATTCCATGTAGGGTCACCCTGCCACATGGAGCCCTCCCAACCTGACCCAAGCTCTGATGCCTGGGAATGTTCTAATAACCTGGGCCAGGTCACTCTCCCACACAGGTGTTATCTGGCTCAGGCTTCGCCACTGCTGGGCTGCTCTCCCATATGGATTTCCTCCTCACCCTGGCTGGCTTCTCCCAAGTGCCCCTGCTCCACCTCATCTGTAGGTCAAAGATTCCACACTTAGGCAAGCCAAGAAGACCAGAAGCTATCATTCCTGCTCACCTTGCAAAGTAGGGGGATCACTCAGAGAAGTGGGCTGTTGTCCCCGCCTCAAGCTCCAGAGACATGGCTAGTAGACTTCAGCCAGAAGGAGAAGCAGGCCTTAAAAACAGAGAATTCTGAAGCTCTCCCCCTACAAAACTATCTTTATCTGAAACACAGCATGGGAAAGTTCAAGCTTTCAAAAACAATGGAGGTTTTGGTTAAGCAGTTATTAATAAGAGTAACCTCATAGCTTCATGAGACCAATAAGCTGAACTGTAGTCACACTAGTTTGCCAGAGAGAACCAAGGAAAGAGACAACTAAGTCCTCTCATGGAGCATGATCAAACCTCAAGACTGACCTCAAAAACAGCCACCACCCAAACTTAATTAGATCAGATTGTAGGGCAACAGATGACCCAGGGCTTTGTCAAAAACAACAGAATGATCAGCAGGTAATTAGTGGAACCCAACAGCTGGTGTGCTAACAACTGAGGGAGACAGCCTAACAGAGACATTCGTGGAAGAGGGAAAGAGTGCCCTGCTAAAAAAAAACCACTGTCTTCTCAGGGTGACTGCGTTTGCTTGACCAAGGCCATGCCCTCTTAGGAGTCACATCAGAGGCTTCAAACTATGAAGAAAAAAAGACTAGTCCATCACTAAGATGATCTAGTCAAGTCTCTGATCAAATAGACAGGCAAATAACAACAAAAACAAGTCCGGGGAGGGAAGAGTATCTAGAGGTGCTAAAAAATATTACCTAAAATGTCCAGTTTTCAACAAAAAGTATGAGACATGGAAAGAAAGAAAAAAGTATGACCTATACACAGAAAAAAGTGTAGTCAATAGACACTATCTGTTAGAGAGGCCAGGCATCTGATATACCAAAGCCTTCAAAGCAGCCATTACAAATATATTCAAAGTCCTAAAGGAACCCATGTTTAAAGAAGTAAAAGAAGCTATGATGACAATGTTTCTTTCATCAGATACAGAATACCAATAAAGAGATGGGAATTTTAAAAAGGAAGCAAATGGAAATTCAGAAGTTAAAAAGTACAAAAACAATGAAAAATTCACTCAAGCAGCTCAACAGAGGATCTGAAGTGGCAGAAGGAAGAATTAGAGAACCTGAAGATAAGACTGATAGAGATTATGCACTCTGAAAAACACAGAGAATAAAAAATGAAAAAATGAACAAAGCCTCACAGAAATGTGGAATACCATTAAGTGAACCAACATATACCCTACTATAAGTGAACAGAAAGAGAGTTGAGAGAGGAGTAGAAAAAACTTTTAGAAATAATGGCTTAAAGCTTCCCAAATCTGATGAAAAACATTAATCCACACATCCAAGAAGTTCAAAAAACTCTAAGTAGGATACATACAAATAGATCCACATTAAAACACATCACAGTAAAAATGCTCAAATAGAAAAATGACTCCTTGTGTACAAAGAAACCTCAAAAAGATTAAGTTTACTTCTCATCAGAAACCATGGAGACCAGAAAGTAGAGGAACGACATATTCAAAGTGCTAAATATTAAGCTGTCAATCAAGAATCTTACATGCAGCAAGATTTCTGTCAAAAATGAAGGGGAAATAAAGGAATTCCCAGGTAAACAAAAAGCAGAGAATTTGTTGCTAGCAGACTTAGCGTGTAAGAAATATAAAGGAGGTTCTTCAGATTAAAAGCAAGTTACCCAAGACTAATGTGAATCCATGTGAAAGAAAGGACACTGGCAAATTAGAAGAGACAGTATGTATTTATATGAAATGTCCCAAGGAGGCAAATTGACAGGGACAGAAAGTAGATTAGTGTTTGCCAGGGGGACTAGGGTGAAAGTGGAATGGGAACTGACTGTTGGGATACTGTGAAATACATATTTGGTCTTGGTCCCTGTTTCTTGGCATACAATTCCTGAAATCCTTGGAATCTCCAAGGTGATATCTTTTTGTATGTTAATGAGTTGACTAGTGGCTGTCAGTCCCTCTGTAGCTTCAGGATGGGGGCTAGCCATTGGAAAGACCAAGGTAGGATTACAGCGTTGGGACTTTCAGCACCAAATCCAGCTTCTGGGGAGGGGAGAGGGCTGAAGGTTAAGTTGATCAACAATGGCCAGTGGTTTAGTCAATCATGCCATGTGATGAAGCCTTAATAAAAGCTTAGGATAGGGTTCAAAGAGCTGAGAACATGGAGGTTGCTGGAGGGTGGCACACTTGGGGTCAGCATGGATGCTCTGTGCCTCTTCCACCATATGTCACCCTTATGCATCTCTTCATCTCCATCCTTTGTAACAGCCTTTATAATAAATTGGTAAATGTGTTTCCTAGAGTACTGTTAGCCACTATAGCAAATTAATGAAATCCAAAGAGAGGGGTGTGGGAACCCCAATTTATAGCCAGTCAGTCAGAAGCACAGGTTAAACAAGCTGGGGCTTGTGACTGGCATCAGAAGTAGGAGGCAATCTTATAAGACTTAGCCCTCAACCTGTTGGATCTGACACTATCTCTAGGTAGATAATGTCAGAATTAAATTGGAGGACACCCATCTGGAGTCCCCTGCAGAATTTATTGCTTGTTTGGTGTGTGGAAAAAACCCCGCACATCTGGTGTCAGAAACATGTTATGAGAGTGTAGCAGGATAAACTGAGTTTGCTTATTATTCTGTATTCTCAAGTGCTAATTGGTAGAACATTTCTTTTTGGTCTGATGAAAATAGTCTGGATTTAAATAGTGTTGATGACTGCACAGCCTTAAGTATATACTAAAAACCAATGACTACTTTAAAAGGTTCAATTTTATGGTATGTGACTTATATCTCAATAATTTAAAAAGGGCAAATAATTTGAGTGGGCATTTCTCCAAAAAAGATGTAGAAAGTTTCAATAAATACATGAAAAGATGCTCAACATCACTAGTCATTAGGGAAATGCATATTAAAATCACAATGAAATATCACTTCATACCTACTAGGATGGCTACAATCAAATGCCCGACAATAATAAGTATCAATGGGGATGTAAAAAAAAATGAGAGCCCTTATCTACTGCTGGTGGGTAAATAAAATGAAGCAAACACTTTGGAAAATGGTCTGGCAGTTCCTCAAATGATTAAACAGAGTTACCATATGACCCAGTTCTTTCCTCCTAGGTAAATACCCAAGAAAAATGAAAACATATGTCCACACAAAAACTCAGGTTTTATTATTACTCATAATAGCCAAAAAGTGAAAAGAGTCCAAATGCCCATCAGGGGAATGGATAAATGGAATGTGTAGATAAATAAATATCTACACAATGGAAAATTATTCAACCATAAAAAGGAAGCAGCACTGACGCATGCTACAACATGGATGAACCTTGAAAACATTATGCTAAGTGAAAAAAGCCAATCACAAAAGACCACATATTTATATGGTTCCATTTATATGAAATGTCCAGAAAAAATGAAATCTATAGAGACAGAAAGTAGTCTGGTGGCTCCTTGGGCCAGTGGGGAGGGAAACAACAAATGGCAGCTGGTGCTTGCTAAAGAGTACAAAGTGGCCAGGCGTAGTGGGTCACGCCTGTAATCCCAGCACTTTGGGAGGCTGAGGCAGGTGGATTACCTGAGGCCGGGAGTTAGAGACCAGCCAGCCTGACCAACATGGTGAAACCCTGTCTCCATGAAAAATACAAAATTAGCTGGGTGCGGTAGCATGCGCTTGTAATCCCAGCTACTTGAGAGGCTGAGGCAGAAGAATTGCTTGAAAACTGGGAGACAGAGGTTGCAGTGAGCCAAGATCATGCCACTGCACTGCAGCCTGGGCAACAAGAGCGAAACTCCGTCTCAAAAAAACAAACAAACAAACAAAACACACACACACACCAAAACAAAAAAGCACAAGGTTTCTTTTTGGGGTGATAATAATCTTCCAAAACTGACTTTGTGTTGGTTACATAGCTCTTTGAATGTTCTAAAAACACTGGATTGGTACTTTAAATGGGTGAATTATTGATAATTATACCTCAAAAAAGTTAAAGGAAATTCTCCCTTTCTCCCTCCTTCCTGCTCTCCTTTCCTTAATAAAGCAAAAAGCTACTAGGCAGACTTCTGTTTCTGTCCAAGTAGAGTTGCCCCATTCCTCATCCTTACGTCTTAGAAACTCTGGACACAATAGAACAGATAAACATAGGAAGACTCTGAGAGTGAGAGACTGTCTAAGGACCTCAGGACTTGAGGAACAGTATGGCTGTGAGCTACCTGGGATTCTTTATTGCCTCCAGTATATCCCCAATAGGGTGCTGCAGAAGCCTTCAACCCAGAACAAGCTATAAGAAAAGCCTGTCCCCCTTTGCCAAAGGTCTGTGGAATATGTGACCTAACGACTGAATATATTTTTGGCAATACCCACGCTACTCCAGTTAAAAATGCCACATCATCTTCCAACCCCCAGTTTCAGAGAGGATGGAGAGGGAGCTGATCATCTATCAAATACTCCTGCTCTGCAGAAGTGGAATCAATCTACTTCTCCCATCAGGTGGTGTCGGAGAGATAAACATGGATCTCATCTTCTACTGTGTCTAGAAGGACCATGTGGTGCTCTGATTCCCCCACTGGGTGGTTTTGGGGCTGATCAGGGAGCTAATTTTCCATACCCCAATTGGAAGAAGCAGGTGGCACTCTGATTCCCCTGCTGGGTGGTGGTGGTGACCTGAGCAGAAAGATGATTCCCCCCATCAGATAGAAATGGGCAGTGCTGCAGTTCCTCTGCCAGGGTGGTGTCATTGGGGTCTATCTGTGAGCTGTGCCTCATCCAGCAGTAACCAGTCTTAACAGGGTGGTTTGAAGTGGGATTAGTCAATACCAGGCTCACCACCTGCCTCTACGTAAGTGGGACCCAGTGGAGACCTGAACCTTCGTTCTCATCCATCATCAAGGACACTGAACAAAGCTGTGCAAGTGGGGGCCTGTAAACACTCTACTTTCCCCATAACTTTCATCTTAGTGAGGCCCAGTGGGGAGACAAACCTCCACATTCAATTGGCGTCCACAAGACTGAACAGTGCAGTAGGAGGAAAGACTAGTTGGTATTCACGTCCCTGCTGCTGCTGCCCCAAGCAACAGGGGAGCTTCAAGGGGAGCTGAGCCTCCACACTCATTTGCCATCAATGAAGCAGAATGAGGGGGTGTGAAGCAGGATAGTCAACATTCCCATTTCCCAATCCCCTGGTGTCAATGGGGTCCAGTGGGGAGCTGAACTCCCAACTCCACCTGTATGAGGAGGAAAGAGGTGGTGGGGAGTGGGAGGCTTGGCATTACACTTTCCACCTTCTCCTCCCCTGAGGACCACAGGGCCCAGCCGGGAATGAGCTTCAGTCACACCTTGCAGAAACAAAGCAGTGTGAGTTGCCCTCTACTTCTTCCTAGGTGGCAGTGGGGCCCAGATTTGTTTTTTCTCATGTTGCTGATCTTATCCCCCCGACTCAAAGGCAACATGACAGTGCAAGGCAATGTTCCACTTTTACCACAAAGATGTCAAACAGAACTGGTGAGAGAGCTGAAATTCCACTTCGTCATCTGGACTGAGGCAGTGTTTCGAAGCACCCAACTTTTGTTGGGGTGGTGTCAGTGAGGCTGAACAGGGAGCTGGGCATATACACTCACCTGGCTCCTGGCTAATGCTTCAAGAAGAACACTGCCTGACAAGCGAGAAAGAAAAGGACCCAAAATGTCCAGAATACAGTTGAAAATCACTTGTCATACCAAGAATGAGGAAAATCACAACTTGAATCATAAGAAACAATCAACAGACATCAAAATGGAGATAAATGATATGCTGAAAATTTCCAATAAGGACTTTAATTATAATGTGTCTTGGCACTGATTCCTAGAATAACTGGAATCATACAGAGAATGTTCTCTGCCCACAATGAAATCAAACTAGAAATCGATAACAGAAAGACAGCAGGAAAAACTCCAAAGACTTGGGAAATTGAACGTCAAACTTATAAATAAATCATGAGTCAAATAGGAAGTCTCAAAGGAAATTACAAAACACACAGAACTGAATAAAATGAAAATATATCAAAATATATATAAGATGGTGGTAAAGCAGAGATTTGTAAGAAATTTCTATCACTTAATGCTTATGTTAGAGGAGAGGAAAGATCTCAAATTAGTAATACAGATTTCAACCTAAGTAAACTAGAAAAATGAGAGCAAAGCACACACAAAACAAGCATTGGACAGATAAAAATAAGAACATAAGTCAGTAAGATTAAAAATGGAAAACAACAGTGCAAATCAGTGATATAAGAAGCTGGCTCTGTGAAGAAAATTAATAAAATTGATAAACCTCTAGCAAGACTGACAAAAATTTTAAAAAGACACAAATCACCCATATCAGGAATGAAACACAGCTATCACTACAGATCTGGCAAGACTGACAAAAATAAAAAAAAGACACAAATCACCCATATCAGGAGTGAAACAGGAGCTATCACTACAGATCTGGCATCCATTTAAAGGATAACAAGGAACTAATACAAACAAATTAGAAATTGTTGACATAAATTTGACAACTTAGAAGAAATGGATCAAATCCTTGAACACTGCCAACTACCAAGACTCAACCAAGATGAATGAGACAACCTGAACAGTTCTATAAAAATTAAAGAAATTGAATTAATAAACAAAAAGTTCCCCAAAAGAAATCTCCTGGCTTAAATGACGTCACTGGAGAATGCTACCGAACATTTAAAGAAGAATGGGCACCAATTTTCCACAATGCCTTCCAGAAAATAGAAGAAGGAACATTTCCCACCTCCTTTTATGGGGCTAACATTACCCTGATACCAAAAGCAGATAAAGAGAGTACAAAAAGAGAAAACTATAGTCCCACATCAATCCTGAACTTAGGAAAAAAATCCTCAACAAAATACGAGCAAATCAAATCCAGCAATGCATAAAAAGAATTATACACCACTACCAAATGAAATTTATTATAGGTACAGGCTGGTTTAACATTAAAAAATCAATCAATATAATCCACCACACCAACAGGCTAAAGAAGAAAAATCATATGATCATATCAATTAACACAGAAAAAGCATTAGATAAAAAAATTCAACACTGACTCATGATAAAAACTCTCAGCAAGTTAAGAATAGAGGGGAACTAATTCAACTTGTTATGGAAAACTTGCTGCTAACATCATACTGAAAGGTGAAAGACTGAATGCCTTCTCCCTATGGTCAGGAAGAAGGCAAAGACTCTGCTCTTGTGACTCTTATTCTGCTTGGTAGAAGTTTTAGGCTACTATGATAAGGCAAGAAAAAAAAAATAACAGCATATGAATTGGAAAAGAGGAAATAGAACTGTCCTTATTTGCAGACATGATTGTTTATGTAAGAAAATCCCAAGGAATCACCAAAAACTTCCCAGAATGGAAAGTGAGTTCAGCAAAGTAGTAAGGCATAAAATCAACATACAAAAATCAATTGCATTTCTATACACAAACAAAAAACATGTGGAAACTGCATTTAAAAACACAATACCTAGGCCAGGTGTGGTGGCTCATGCCTATAATCCCAGCACTTTGCAAGGCCAAGGCGGGCAGATCACCTGAAGTCAGGAGTTTGAGACCAGCCTGGGCAACATGGCGAAACCGTCTCTGCTAAAAATACAAAAATTAGCTGGGCGTGGTGGCAGGCGCCTGTAATCCCAGCTACTCAGGAGGCTGAGGCAGGAGAATTGCTTGAATCTGGGAGGTGGAGGTTACAGTGAGCTGAGTTCATGCCACTGCACTCCCATCCTGGGCAACAGAGTGAAACTCCATCTCAAAACAAACAAACAAAAAAACCACAATACCAGTTAAAATCTCCCCAAAGAAAATGAAATACTTAAGTATAAACTTAAAACATGTATGAATCTGTATGCTGAAAATTATAAAATTCTGATGAAATAAATCAAAGATATAAAAAAAGAGAAACGTGATTATAAATTAGAAGATGCAACAAAGTAAAGATGGCAATCTCCTCAAATTGATTTACAAATTTAATTCTTATAAAAATCCCAGTAATATTTTTTGCTGACATAAATAAGCTTATTTAAAGTCACAGGTCCTATCTAAGATGATCCTGAAAAAGAGGGTAAGTGGGAAGAATCACTCTATCCAATACTAGGCCTATTACATAACTACAGTATTCATGACAGGGTGGTATTGGTGGATGGACAGATATATAGATCAGTGAAACCCAACAGTGAATCTACAAACACATTCACATAGCTTCAGGGCACTGGGATAGATGAAAAGTTCTGAAGACTTGACAGCAAAAGTGTAATCCATAAAAGAATAATTGGACTTCATGAAAATTAAAAACTTTTTCTCAGAGAAAGATCATATGAAGAAATGGAAAGGTAAGTTACAGAGTGGGAGAATGTATCTGCAAACCACGTATCAGAGCAAGATCTAGTATCTAGAGTATATAAAGAACTCTTAAAACTCAACAGTAAAAAAAAATAGTGGATAAAAGACATGCACAGATATGTAAAAAGAGAATATGCAGATGGCAGATAAGCACATGAAAAGAGGTTATCATCATTAGCCATTAAGGAAATGCAAATTAAAACCACAAAAGACACCACTATAGAACTGCTCTAATGGCTAAAATAAATACTGATAAAACCTAATGCTGGTGAGGATGTAGAGAAACTTGATCACTCGTACATTGCTGGTAGGAATGTAAAATGGTACAACTACTCTGGAAAACAGTTTGGCGGTTTCATATAAAGTCAAACATGCAACTATCATATGACCTAGAAAGTAAATTCTTGGGTATTTATCCCAAAGTAATAAAAACCCATCTACACACAAAAATCTGTACATGAATGTTTACAGCAGCTTTATTCATAATAGCCCCAAACTGGAAAGAATCCAGACACCCTTCAGTGAATGAACTGATAAACACACTGTGGTACATCCATACCACGGAATACTACTCAGCAATAAAAAGGACTCAACTATTGGTACACACAACAACCTGGATGAAACTCAAAGGAATTAGGCTGACTGAAAAAAGTCACTCCTAAAAGGTTACATACTGTATGATTTTATATACATAACATTTTTGCGATGACAAAATTATAGAACTGGGGAACAGATAGTGGTTGCCACAGGCCAGAGTTAGGAGTGTAGGTGGGTTTAACTATAAAGGAAGTAGGAGGGATCCTGTGTTGATGGAACTGTTCTGTATTTTGACCAAAACAATGTCAATATCCTGGCTGTGATATTATTATTACACAATAGTTTTTCAAGCTGCTACTATTGGTGGAAACTGGATAAAGGGTAAATATGATTCCTCTGTATTATTTCTTATATTTGCATGTGAATGTACAATTATCTCAATATTTTAATTAAAAATGTATATATAATCAAAGAGAAAGAGCCATACATAAAGCCTAAGCAAGGGTCATCCAGCAAAGGTCAGGGCAACACAAGGCAGGCAAATAGTAGGGTGCATGGCATATGCTGTGGGGCCTGGCAGGGTACGGGCCCTGTGTGGAAAATACAGCCGAGTTGGGTGATGGCCTGGCAGGGTTGAGAGACTGGTTAGGAAAAGTACGGCTGAGTAAATAAGCAAACATACTGGGGATAATAAGAGCCAGGTTTCTCATTCTTACATAATTATAAATGGGAACAGCTATAAAGATGGTGTAATAATGGATTAGAATTGAAAGTATTGGCCAGGCGTGGTGGCTCATGCCTGTAATCCCAGCACTTTGGGAGGCAGAGGCGGGCGGATCACGAGGTCAGGAGATCCAGACCATCCTGGCTAACCGGTGAAACCCCATCTCTACTAGAAATACAAAAAATTAGCCGGGCGTGGTGGCGGGCGCCTGTAGTCCCAGCTACTCGGGAGGCTGAGGCAGGAGAATGGCGTGAACCCGGGAGGCGGAGGTTGCAATGAGCCAAGACTGTGCCACTGCACTCCAGCCTGGGCGACAGAGCGAGACTCCGTCTCAAAAAAAAAAAAAAAAAAAGAAAGTATTGGCTGGGCATGGTGGCTCACGCCTATAATCCCAGCACTTTGGGAGGTTGAAGCAGGCAGATTACTTGAGGTCAGGAGTTCAAGACCAGCCTGGCCAACATGGTGAAACCCCGTCTCTACTAAAAAAATTAGCTGGGCGCAGTGGCGGGTGCCTGTAATCCAAGCTACTTGGGAGGCTGAGGCAGGAGAATTGCTTAAACAGAGGAGGCGGAGGTTACAGTGAGCAGAGATTGCACCACTGCACTCCAGCCTGGGAAACAGAGCGAGACTCTGTCCAAAAAAAAAAAAAAAAAGAATTGGAAGTACCAAAGTGAACTTGTGGTTTTCAATATATATAGACAGAAACAGAAATAAATATACAGTTGACTCTTGAGGTTTTAACTGAGCTGGTCCACTTATATGCAGATTTTTATCAACCAAAAGGTACTGAAAATACAGTATATGCAAGATGCAAAACCCTTTAGTATGGGTGGGTACCACAGAGGAGACTGTGAGACTTGAGTATGCATGGATTTGGTATACCGGGGGTGGGAGGGTCCTGGAACCAATCCCCTGTGTACAAGGAGGGATGACTGTACCCGTAAAAATGGACAGGTACATATGTATATGTATGAACACATATTTCCCAGCTTTGTCCCCTAAAAGGGGTTGGGAATCATGATATACCAGTAGTAGTGAGCATACCAGATCTTGGTTATATTTCCTACTAAAAAGAACCAAGGCTCCTTGAAGAAATGGCTGATTTCTGGGCCAGGGCAAGAAGAGAATAAAATGAGCTGGAAGATCTTGCTGTGCCAGAGAGTGAGGAATATAGGAATGGTGGGGACATGTAAAATGGACATTGTAAACAGCTTGATGGGGTTCTTACTGTCCAAATATGGGGAAACTGAAGCATCCAAATAAATCATAGTAAAGGATTACAATCCACTGAACAAAATAGGAATCCACGCTAAATAAATAAATAATCGAACAAATAATGGGAAATTCTTCCTTACACTAGAATGCTAACTAATAAAAACAGAAGGAATAATGAAATTAGAAAATCTCCAGTTATCGGAGGGTTGGGCAGGCGAAGAAAATCTCCAGTTATCTATCACAGTAATAATTAATTCAGGCAAGAAACAGCAATAGATGCTAAAACTGCTAGGTAAAAGTTGGATGTGGAACAGGATATTTACGTAGTCTGAAATCATCTCTCCTTAAAATATTAACTATGAGGGGAGAAAGAATAATTTATAATGGATAAACTTTGGCAGACACCACTTTACTGATGTGATCAAACTAAACATAACCAGTGACGGGGCAAAATGACATCTTGTGTTATCTGTGACCCTTCTACCAAAAATGCATAATCTCAGTCTTATCATGAGGAAACAGCAGACAAACCCAAACTGAGGAACATGTTACAAAAAAAAAATTGTCTATAATCTTAAAAAATGTTAAGGTCATAAAGGTCAAGAAAGGAGTGACTAGGGCCTTTGAAAGGGATTTAAAAAACATTACCAGAATCATTTTCCTATTAAAGGATATTATTGGGACTGCTGACAAAACTTGAATGGGGGTCTCTGAGTGAACAGAATGTAGGAGTTCTTTTGTGTGCTTTTCTTGTACCTTTACTGTAAGTTTGAAATTATTTCAAAATAAAAAAATTAACATCACAAAAAGCAAGACAATCATACAGCCTGGGCATCCTGAGGGAGGAATATAGCACTGCCCATGAAACAGTCTTGTTAATTAAAAAAAATCTGACTAGACTCTACATCTATCTACCAATTTATAGAAAATATCATGTCGATATTATCAGCAAAATACAGGTTGTGGCAAACTCCACAAGGCAAAAAAACCTGTTTTCTCCAACAAATAAACTGTAAGGAAAAAGAGACAGAGGGAAGCCCAAGTTTAAAAGAGATTGAAAGCCGGGCACGGTAGCTCACGCCTGTAATCCTAACACTTTCAGAGGCTGTGGTAGGTGGATCACCTGAGGCCAGGAGTTTGAGACCAGCCTGGCCAATATGGCTAAACCCTGTCTCTACTAAGAAAACAAAAATTAGCCAGGCATGGTGGCGCATGCCTGTAATCCCAGCTACTCGGGAGGCTGAAACATGAGAATCGCTTGAACTTGGGAGGCAGAGGTTACAGGGAGCTGAGATGGTGCCACTGCACTCCAGCCTGGGAGACAAAAAAGAAAAGAGATTGAAGCTAAATAGCAACCAATTACAATGTATTGACTTTTTTTGGATCCCAATTCAAACAAATTATACACACACAATATATACATGTATAATTATATCTATGGTATATCTATAAGACAATTAGAAAATTGAACACTGTTTAGATATTTGATGATATCAAGTAAATAATGTTGATTATTTGAGGTATGGTAGTAATAATGTGGTTTATTATTATTATTATTATTTTTTTTTTTTGAGATGGAGTCTCACTCTGTCACCCAGGCTGGAATGCAGTGACATGATCTTGGCTCCCTGCAACCTCTACCTCCCGGGTTCAAGCAATTCTCCTGCCTCAGCCTCTCGAGTAGCTGGGATTACAGGCATACGCCACCATGCTCGGCTAATTTTTTTGTATTTTTAGTAGAGATGGGGTTTCACCATATTGGCCAGGCTGGTCTCGAACTCCTGATCTTATGATCCACCCACCTCAGTGTCCCAAAGTGCTGAGATTACAGGCGTGAGCTACCGCGCCCAGCCAATGATGTGGTTATTTAACAAAATGACGCGATGCCTTGAGTTTGCTTCAAAGTAATACTGATGCAGGGAACTGAGTGAGAGAAGTGAGTGGCTGAGATTGTTAAAGCTGGGTTATGGTACATATTTGAGGGATGATGCATATATGGGGGATGATACAAATATGGGGATCTTTATTTTATTCTGTATACTTTTGTGTTTGAAATTTTCTGTAATAAAAGTTTTTTTATTTTTTATTTTTTAATTTTTTTATGGCCGGGCATGGTGGCTCACTTCTGTAATCGCAGCAGTTTGGGAGGCTGAGGCAGGCGGGTCATTTGAGGTCAGGAGTTCAAAACCAGCCTGGCCAACATGGTGAAACCCCATCTCTACTAAAAACACAAAAATGAGCCGGGCGTGGTGGCATGCACCTGTGGTCCCAGCTACTCAGGAGGCTGAGACAGGAGAATCTCTTGAACCTGAGAGGCGGAGGCTGCAGTGAGCCAAGATTGCATCACTGCCCTCCAGCCTAGGCAACAGAGTGAGACGCCATCTCAAAAAATAAAAAAAAAGTAAATTTTTTTTAAGTAGTAGAATCAAGATTTAACTCTAGTTCTGTCTCACTCCACAGCTACTTCTTGATAAGTTTTCTGTTTTCCTTTAAAAATAAATACTTTATGTATCCCCCCAATTAAATTTTCCCATGAATCATTATATAACATTTAAAAAAATACTTCCCATCCACAAACATAATAAAGTATAACTATCTTTATAGATGAGATATGCTTTAATAAAATTAGCTATAAAGCAGATGTTATTTGTCTAGATTTTTTCCTAATTAAAAATTAGCTGCATTTATACTAAGAGGAAAATTTTAATTAAAAAATGTTTTTTGGAAAGGTAAAAATCAGCATACCTAGTGGATCACAATACAGGTGGTACAACCTTCCTGGGGGTATTTGGAAATATGCCGGGTTTTTTCATTGTCACTGGAACCTGGGGATGCTACTGGATTTAGTGGTAGGGGTCAGAGATGCTATATGTCTTAGGTGCTCAGAGCTCTCCAGCACAACAAAGAGTTGTCCCACCCGCAAAGCCAACAGAATTGCCATTGAGAAACACCAACTAAGAGGTAACATTTACAACAGAAGAAAGAAAAGGGAAAAAGGTTTGTCTGACTCAGACTTGTTGGCTGAAGAGTTACTCAGGGGGAAAGAAACATTATTCTAGAAGGGAAGCAGCCACTAGACATCTAGAAGGGAAGCAGCCACTAGACATCATTCTTGTGTTTGTTTTAGACAGTACTTCTTTCTAAGACCAGGGAAACTAACACATTAAGTCTGGCACCTAGAAGCTGTCCACAAATGGTAGTTACCAGTAGTATTAGTGCCTCTAGGGCCAAACACAGCAAAGACAGATGAAGGAGTATCTACAAGCATACGGAGTTTAGACAAGATGAGAAGTGGGAAACAATGGTTTTCTTGATGAGAGAGAACGCCCCCTGGTGGAGTGGTCAGATTCCAGCAAGAACACAACAGAACTGACTTGTTCCTAGCAAGTGTTGAACTCAATACCTTTAGTTAGACCCTTACTCCTTTACTCTTCTTCCTATCATCTAATCCATACTTAGGGGAGAAATCCTTCAAAGTTCTCCATACAGTAGGACTAAAGTGAAGGTGGGCAAAGCCCCAAGGGGGCAGTTAGAAAATACTGCAAGTGGTACTGCCAAGAGAAATTACTTAACATCTCCCTTGGCTAACTGCCGGTGGTGGTAGCAAGACCAGCAATATCTAAAGCAGAAGCAGGGAGGCTCCCAGCTCAGAGCTTGTGATGGTCAGGACGAGTAAAGGGCAAATGTGGTAGTAAGAGTTCAAGTCACGACACTTGTCCTTGCCTGGGGTGTCATATAAAAAGCAAAATGGCATGGGAGAAAAGACACTGGGAGAAGTAGGGCTGGAGTGCTTCTGGATGTGCTAAGTGGCACTTACAACTAATGAAAGGAGAACAAAATTAAAGTTTGATTCATAAGTAGGCCTTTGATGATAGGAACAAATGCATAATCTCAGCTGATGATAATTATGCAGGAGACAAACACTGTTTGCAATACTCCTTCTTAAAAGGCCAAGGCCATTATTCAGGATTTTGAAAAGGAATTCTAACAGGCCAAGATGGTAAGGCAGTAAGTAATACTTGCAACCTGGGATTCCAATATGAAGAAGAGAGCCTTTTCTTTTGTGTCCATTCATATAGCTACTTTTATTAAATGCCAGCTTGCACAGAGAGACAAAAAGTGTATTAAAGAGACATTACCTTTCATGTTTGCAACACACTCGCTGTTATTCACCAAGGTAGAATATGGTTGTTCATTCTGAGGCAAGACTCCTGCAGCCATGGTAGTCTGTTGGAAAAAAAATTATTTTTTGAAAGTTTGCCTTGGGACAGTCATTTATTAATCACCCAAAATATGGCTAGACCTTTGTTATCCAATGCTGCAGTCACTGGCCAAGTGGCAGATACTTGAAATATGGCTAGTCAGGTTGAGATGTGCTGTTAAGTGTAAAATACACACAAGATGCTGAAAATTTAACACAAAAAATACAATGTAAAATACCTCAATAATTTTTACATTAATTACACATGCTAAATTTCATGGCTAACAGATTATTGTATTGCTCAAATGATACAGTTTCCATTGAGAAAAGTTAATTAAATCTTCTTAGATGTCAAAAAACCAAAAATTATACTTATTAAGTTATTTCTATGTGCCAGACACCAGTATTAAGTCACTTTTTTCTAAAAAGAACTCTACGAAGTAGCTATCATCCCCTATTTTAAAGGGGTAGAAGTCATGTCAGTAGGATTAACACACACTAAGTAGTAGGGTGGTAGTTAATCCCATCTTTCAGCTTCCAGTTCAGTTTTTTCAATTAGTACACAGCTGCGGATGAAAGAAATTCTAATAAAGATGATCTCAACATTTTTGAGCTTCCAGATAAACAACTGTGTAATTCAACTTTGTAGTTCCTAAGTGTACCTCAATGTAAATATTGATGAAAACAAAACTCAGTTGTGGAATTTTATAAATGACAAAACTATTTCCATAAAATGCAAGCACATAACCCAGAAAAGTTTATGGAGTTGACTGTGATACAAGATAAAATAACACGATTCAAACGTTTTTTCTAAATAATGATTTTAATAATTTTCTTGGCAAAACCATGTTTACGGTTTGAACATCTATTATTGGGAGGTCAAATATTATACTTTTATTAGCTTATTAAATGGCTATGAATTTTATTTAAAGGCAATAAAAACTTGTTGAAATTCTTGTACCAATAAATCTACAATGGTAATTAAATCCAGCCCTAATTAATATTTTTCTTTGGTGCACTGGATCATTCCTCTGAGAAAAAAGTCACTTCTCAAATCTCAGTGATTCTTTGAGAATTTCAAGTTCACTAAAATTTTACTTCTAAAAGCAATCTTTATACGCTCAAAAAAGTACAAAATTTAAAATCTAAAATCCTATTTGATAAAGCTGTTTCCCTTCAAAAGAAATACAGGAATTAAAATCACAGGGGTGATCTAAAGTGAAATTAAAAAGAATGCTTCCTGAAATATTAATAATGTCACACACCAGGTATCATACTAATTAATGCAAAATTTTATAATGTGCATAGTATTTCAAATGAACGTTACATAAAGACATTAAGTAAAGGGACTAATGGAACAAGTTGTTCCAGGAAATTCATTAGCAAAAACTTAATTTGAAAGGATATCCATTAAGATTAGACTTAGATAAAACATTTTTTACCATATTTTAAAATTTGGACTATTTTCTTAAAACATTTTGATGAGAAAAACAATTATCACCATATTAGAATCATGGAATTTTGGAGCAGCTGGGACGCTAGCCCTGGCTATTTTGTATATAAGAAGTTATGAACCATGTCCCAGAGAAGGTCCTGCCTTGTCCCACATGATACAGCATGGAGAGTGACAGAGCATGCTGGTGACAAACTTGGACCAGTCATCACTTTTTTTGTGAAGCTTTCCCTGCCCTCACTCTTTGCTCTTCAGCTATAATGTAATGAAACATGTATACCTGACAGTCTCCCCTGTAGACCATGGGGTCATGAGGATGAGTTATGACTGGTTCACCTTTATGTCTCTAGAGAATGGAAAAGCCAGTATATAGGTACCCTCGTGACACAACTGTCAAACTGAAATGGACCATATTAGACTGAGTTCCTTGAGTCTATTCACGTCTTATTTATCTCTGTATCCTAAAGCCTACCGAAAACATGTCTAATATGGTTTGGATCTGTGTCCCCACCCAAATCTCATGTCAAATTGTGTTCCCCAGTGTTGGAGGTGGGGCCTGTGGGAGATGACTGGATCATAAGGATGGATCCTTCATGAATGGTTTTGCATCATCTCCTTGATGTTGTGGTAGAGTTCTCATGATATCTGGTTGTTTAAAAGTGTGTAGCACCTCCCCGCCCTTCCTCCTGCTCCTGCTCCCACTTTGCCTTCCACCATGAGGCCTCCCCAAAAGCAGATGCTGCCATGCTTCCTGCACAGCCTGCAGAACCATGAGGCAATCAGACCTCTTTTCTTTAGAAATTACCCAGTTTCATGTATTTCTTTATAGCAATGCGAGAATGGACTAATAAAGATACTTGAAAATGTGGAGGCAGCTTTGGAACTGGGTAATGGGCAGAGGTTGGAAGAGTGGGAAGGGGTCAGAAGACTGGAAGATGAGGGAAAATTTGGAACTTCCTAGAGACTTGTTGAATGGTTGTAACTAAAATGCTGATAGTGATATGGAAAGTGAAGGCCAGGCTGAGGAGGTCTCAGATGGAAATGGGGAATTTACTGGGAACTGGAGCAACAGTCACTTTTGTTAAACCTTGGCAAAGAGCTTGGCTGGATTGTGCCCCTGCCCTAGGTATCTGTGGAACTTTGAACTTGAGAGAGAATTTAGGGTATCTAGTGGAAGAAATTTCTAAGCAGCAAAACATTCAAGAAGTCACCCGGCTGCTTCTAAAAGCCTATGCTCATATGCATGAGCAAAGACATGACCTGAAACTAAAACTTATATTTAAAAGGGAAGCAGAGCATAGAAGTTTGGAAAATTTGCAGCCTGGCCATGTGGTAGAAAAGAAAAGTCCATTTACAGGAGAGCAATTCAAGCAGGCTGCAGAAATTTGCACAACGAAAAGGAAGGCAAGTGCTGATAGCCAAGACAATGGGAAAAACGCCTTGAAGGCATTTCAGAGACCTTCCAGGTAGCCCCTCCCAACACAGGCTCAGAGGCCTAGGAGGAAAGGATGGTTCTGTGGGCTATGCCCAGGGCCCTGCTGCCCTGTGCAGCCCCAGGACACTGCTCCCTGCACCCCAGCAGCTCCAGCTGTAGCTAAAATGGGCCCAAGTACAGTTGAGGACACTGCTTAAGAAGGTGCAGGCCGTAAGCCTTGGTGTCTCCCATGTGGTGTTAAGCCTGCAGGTGCACAGAATGCAAGAGCTGAAGCTTGGGAACCTCCACCTAGATTTCAGAGGATATATGGAAAAACCTGAATGTCCAGGCCGAAGCCTGCTGCAGGGGCAGAGCCCTCATGGAGAACTGCTACCAGGGCAGCACAGAGGGGAAATGTGGGGTTGGACCCCCTACACAGAGTCCCCACTGGGGCACTGCCTAGTGCAGCTGTGAGAAGAAGGCCACTGTCTTCCAGACCCTGGAATGACAAAGTCTCCAGCAGCTTGCACCCTGTGTCTGGAAAAGCCATAGGCACTCAATGCCAGCCCATGAGAGCAGCCTTAAGAGATGAACCCTGCAAAGCTACAGGAGCCGAGCTGCCCAAGGCCTTGGGAGCCCACCCTTTGCATCAGTGTTCCCATGGAGTATTTTGGAGCTTTAAGGTTGAATGAGTGCCCTGCTGGGTCTCAGACTTGCATGGAGCTTGTAGCCCCTTTCTTTTGGCTGATTTCTCCTTTTCGGAATGGGAGTATTTACCCCATGCCTATATCCCCATTGTATCTTAGAAGTAACTAATCTGGTTTTGATTTTACAGGCTCACAGGTGGAAGGTACTAGCCTTGTCTCTGATAAGACTTTGGACTTTTGAGTTAGTGCTGGAATGAGTAAAGACTTTGGGGGTACTGTTGGAAAGGCATAAGTGTATTTTGCAACGTGAGAAGGACATGAGATTTGGAGGGGCCAGAAGTGGAATTGTATGGTTTGGATCTGCATCCCCACCGAACTCTCATGTGGAATTGTAATCCCCAATGTTGAAGGTGGGGCTTGGTGGGAGGTAACTGGATCATGGGTGGGGGCAGAGTTCTCATGAATGGTTTAGCATGATCCCCCTTTGGTAGTGTATAGTGAGTGAGTTCTCATGGGATTCAGCTGTTTAAAAGTGTGTAGCACCTCCCCCTGCCTTCCTCCTGCTTCTGTCATGTAAGATGCCTGCTCTTGCTTTGCCTTCTGCTATGAGTAAAAGCTCCCTGAGGCTTCCCCAGAAGCCGATGCTGCCATGCTTCCTGTACACCTGCAGAACTGTGAGCCAATTAAACCTCTTTTCTTTATAAATTACTCAGTCTCTGGTATTCCTTTATAGCAACGGGAGAACAGACTAACACAATGACTATTTAAAAAGTATATGTTGAGTTAATTGTCCTCTTCTGGGTTACAATTATGGACTACTTTAAAGACTTATTTCTAACTAATCCTTCAGAAACTTTAAGTTGTAAGGAACCTCAGAAGTTCCTCTCGGAGAATCCTAACCAAATGTGAGCACACTCTCCACAATATCTTTGTCTAAACAGTAACAGTGACATCATTACACAGCTCTGGTAGCCAGAAAGCTTTTTATAATATTACCACTCTGTAATTTCTACCCACTGGTCCTATTTCTGCTCACACAGAACAATACACCCTTTCTTCCATATATCTAAAGCTAGTGATCATGCTCCCCTCACTTCTGATATATAGCTTCCCAGATGATACATCAGCAGTTCCCTTTACCTTTTGTCATAAGTAATGTTTCTAGATCTCCTCATCAGCTTGGATGCTCTTTTCTATATATATACTCTATAGTTATTAATATTCTAGTGCCCAGAACTGAAGTCTAGTCCCCAGATGTGGAACAATCATCAAAAATCAAAACAAAACCAGTCACCTTCCTTATCTGAAAAGTTTATGTGGCTTATTATCACATTAGCATTTTCAGCAATCTCAAGACACATCAGGATACAACAACAGTCAAAGAATAAAGCTGGTCCATATATTTTGATGCTAAAAAAGATATTCATTAGGGATAATTAAACATATATGAAAGTTTCAAGTGAATAAATGGTATAGAATGAAAAATAAAAGTCTCCACCTTCTATCCCCCCAAGCCAAGTTTTATCCCACAGAAGTAGACCATTTAAACTCTCACTTTAGTTATTCTGGGGCTGGGGGTAATAATCACTATACTTAGACCTCCGGTTCTTATGCTACCGTCTTTAAACCATACTACTGAATTCCTGATTTAAAGATGAGGAAACTGCCTCATTTACCATACTTTCCATCATGCCAACCTTCCCCTATTTAATACATCAAAATATTTGTCTTCTGATTATCTCTGTAATTTTAAATTCTGATTATCTTTGTAAATTTTAAAGGTGAATATCCTCTAACCAATCTCTTGTTCTATCAATTTTAAACAGTATCTTGATTCCCTCTATGTAAATTAGTTAACTTACACTACTGTCCACTTTATTTTCCCCTCCACTTTCAAGTTCTGCCAACCATACCATTTTTATATGAAGATTTTTAACTTTTAAATTTCAGTTAATCTATAATTTCCTCAAGCTTTGTCTGTAGGCTTATTCTAAATGTGAGACAAAATACAATTGTTATTACTATCATATATAATACATATACACATATAATCTGTGAACACATACTTTTTTTTTACCATCTTGTATCACCAAACTATGTGACGCTTTAAGTAAGATATCGCAAGGATAAGTGTCAAATGGATTATCTTTTCTTTCACTCCAACAGTTGCTTAAAATAAAGGCATATTTTGTTTTGTTGTAAATTTGGACAGTATGTTTCTTATATAGACTTTCCTGGGTTTTTTGTTTGTTTGTGAGACAGAGTCTCATTCTATTGCCCAGGCTGGAGTGCAGTAGCACAATCTCGGCTCACTGCAACTTCTACCTCCTGGGTTCAAGTGATTCTGCTACCTCAGCCTCCCAAGTAGCTGGGACTACAGGCATGTGCTACCATGCCCAGCTAATTTTTTTTGTATTTTTATAGAGATGGGGTTTTGCCATGTTGGCCAGGCTGGTCTCGAACTCCTGACCTCAGGTGATTTACCCGCCTGGGCCTCCCAAAATGTCCGGGGTTTTTAATAGCTTTTTTGTTTGTTTTTTGAGACAGAGTCTTGCTCTGTCCCCCAGGCAGGAGTACAGTGGCACAATCTCGGCTCACTGCAACTTCCCCCTCCAGGTTCATGCAATTCTCCTGCCTCAGCCCTCCGAGTAGCTGGGATTACAGGTGCATGCCACTACACCCGGTTAATTTTTGTATTTTTTTTTTTTCAGTAGAGATGGGATTTCACCATGTTGGCCAGGCTGGTCTGGAACTCCTGACTTCAAGTGATCCGCCCGCCTCAGCCTCCCAAAGTGTTGGGATTACAGGTGTGAGCCACCGCGCCTGGCCCAATAGCTTTTTTCTTACTGACTAAAGTAATATATATCTTCAACACAGCTTCTTAATCATACTATCATAATCATACTACCTACTTGCTTTTTGAAGATATTTTTCTTCTGAGATCTTTGGATTCCTACTCCAAAGAGAAGTTTGTGCAGATCGGTACTCAACCAAACACCTTGGGCCAGCAAAGCCTTGAGGGCCCTCTGCACCTTCCTGTGCTGCTCTCACATCTCCAGGACCTGACTCTGCAAATTCTAGCCACCTTGGCCACACTGAACTCTGCTCTCTGCACACCTCTGGGAAAGCTCTGTCTTAGTCCCCCTCCCTGCACTGAAGCCTGGAAACTGCCCCCAGGGAGACAGCTGGTGCAAAGGTAAACTCACTGTGTTTGTTTCTCTTCTCTCAGAGATCTAGGTCCTCAGCTGCTTTCTTTCCAAAATCCAAAAGATATTTTATTATATATGTTGTCCAGTTTTCTAGTTGTTTTAGGCAGAAGGGTATTAATAAATATCTAATTTCTCTTATTTCATCTTGGTTGGAAGTGAAAATCCCTTCTGGCCATCTTCAAATAACTCAAACCCAGGGGAACTGTGAAATAGTGCCTAATATGCATTACCTTTGCATAAAAACATTCATTTATAGTCCAACTGTATATAACTGCTGATCAAAAATTATATTTCAAATATGTTAAACTATATTTTAGAATCAGAAATTCTGTGTTTGAGTCTTGACTCTGTTCACTGTCAGCTATATGAACAATTCTGAGCTTCAATTTCTTCTATAAAATGAGGACTATAATATTTACTCTTTTTGGTTGTTGTGAGGATGAAGAAAGGGGTGTGTGTGTGTGTTCCTACCACAACACCTGGCTTTTAAGTATTCAATAAATATTTGTTATCTTACTTTGCAAACCAGTATCCGCAATATCTTTTTGCTTTTTCCCTTCTTAGTCTGTACTCACTTCATTTCCCATCTTTATAAGAATTTGTAAAGGATTCTATTCATACCTCTCCAACACTCCTGTTAATAGTTAGTAATGGGCTGCATGCAGTGGTTCATACCTGTAATCCCAGCACTTTGGGAAGCTGAGGTGGGCAGATCGTTTGAGCCCAGGAGTTCAAAACCAGTTTGGGCAAGATGGCAAAACCCTGTCTCTACAAACAAATTAAAAAAAAAATTAGCCAGGCATGGTAGCACATGTCTGTAGTCCCAGCTACTTGGGAGGCTGAGGTGGGAGGATTACCTGATCCTAGGAGGTTGAGGCTGCAACCTCGGTGAGCTGTAATCGCGTCACTGCACTCTAGCCTCAAAAACAAAAAAGAAACAAAATGTTAGTAATGGCTAAGCTCCTTTGACTTAAAAAACATTATTTTCATTCACAACTGAACTTATATCATATGCCTGGCTGTAGAATCAGGAGAGAAGGGTTTGAATAATAACCCTGTCATTTCACTGCAAAATCGCATATTATTTATTTCTATTTCCTGTTGTCAATGACAGATATTTTTCTCACTCAGTCCTACAGTTTCCTTTTATCCCTAAAAGCACTCAAATGACTCAACTGTTTATAATTAGCCACACACTCACTAATTAGTACTGAATACTTAAAACGTAAGTGCAGGAATGGACTATTACTCATACTGTTAAGAACAGTAGAACACAAAGAATGTCCTACTTCATAAAAGTCATTTCACACAAGAGACTAGGTTCTGAGATGGACTGAAGAATTCTTAGGTCACTACTTTCCTTTCTATTTCTCAGACACATGGTGTTCTGCCAAAATCTACATGTGTATTTTCTGGACAAATTTGTGGGGAACTACATTAAGCAGTGCCTGGGAGGTCAGAAGTGGTATAATCCTTCCCAGACTCTCACAGCACTAGCTCTCTAACTCTGGAATGCACCAGGATTACGCAGGGTGCTTGTGGAAATGAAAATCTGGAGTGCAATAATCTGTATTATCAATTCACACTCTAGGTCATTCTGACGTAAGAGGCCCTCTGCTCACACTTAAATAAATATTGTCAATGTGATTAGATTCTAGACAGCAATCGTAGCAGAAGAATTTGAGGTTGAAAAACTTAAGCTTACGTAGCAAAAAATAGGAGTGGAAGCCCAACTACATGAGTGAACCTATAAAAGCCACATAAATATTTTTATGCTCATTAATAATATAATAATAATAACTAAATCACATAAGCTTACACCATGCCAGGTACTGTTCCAAGTGCTTTATATAATCTTAGCTCATCTAATCCTCAACACACATTACTGAGTACCACTAGTATTCCCATTTGTTTTTAAAATAGACTTTGTTTTTTAGAGCAGTTTTGGGTTTATAACAAAATTGAGCAGAAGGTATAGAGGCTTCCCATATACCCATCCCCTAACAGACTCCCCAACAGAGTGGTAAGTTTGTTATAATCAACTTACGCTGACACATAATTATCACCCAAAGTCCATAGTTAACATTATGTTAACTCTGTGTTGTGCATTCTGTGGGTTTAGAATGCACTCTGTGTTGTGCATTCTGTGGGTTTAGAAAAGGTATAATGATACTTACTATAGTATCATGCAGAGTGATTTCACTGCTCTAAAAATCTTCTGTGCTCCAACTATTAATCTCTCCCTCTCCTTGAAACCCTGGGAACCACTGATTTTTTGTTTTTTTATATACTTTAAGTTCTAGGGTTCATGTGCACAATGTGCAGGTTTGATAGATAGGTATACATGTGCCATGTTGGAACCACTGATCTTTTTACTGTCTCCATGGTTTTGTCTTTTCCAGAATGTCACAGGGTTGGAATCATACAGTAGGTAGCCTTCTCAGATTGATTTCTTTCACTGGACAATGTTCATTTAAGGTTCCTCCATATCTTTTCATAGCTTAATAGCTTGTTTCTTTTTAGCAGTGAATAATATTCCATAGTCTGGATACATCACAGTTTATTTATCCACTCACCTATTGAAGCACATCTTGGTTGCTTCCAAGTTTAAGCAATGATGAACAAAACCGCTATACACATTCATGTGCAGATTTCTGTGTAGACCTAAGTTTTCTGCTCATCTGAGTAAATACCAAGTAGCACAACTGCTGATTATATAGTAAGCATGTATTCAGTTCTGTATATTATTCCTGTTTATAGATGAGGAAACTAAGACAAAGAAAAGTCAAATAATTTGCCTAAAGTTACACAGTTATTAAGCACTAGAACTGGAATTTGAATTCCCACAGTTCAGCTCCAGAGTTTGTGCTGTTAAGGACTACACATATAGTTTCTGAACAATAAAGACCTATTAAATAATAAAATTTACAAAAATAGTTTTAAATATTTAATTGGCTTTTATTCACGATTCATGAACTAGGCAACATAATATTCGCTCTACAAAATAGAATGGAGCTCCACTGTGTGTGGCAGGACAATTGGCTTTTTATAAGGCAGCTGCAGCAGGAACAGGGAAACAGCCCAGTACAAAGAGCAGACTGGTTATCCTCTGGTCACTTTCCTTGTATGAGTTTAAGCAGATGTGAGTTCCTTATGCTGGCCAGGTTGACTGGGCCCCTTCCAACTGGTTGCTGCAAATCTCCTGTTTTGTTTTGCTTTTTCCTAGAAAACTGGCCCATTTGGGGATTTCCTGTTGGTTTGTGTTTTAAGTTTTAGCTTAATTATGTGGCATGTAGCATGAGTGACTCCATTTTGGTTTGGTCTATTAGAGTCTAGTGTAGAAACTCGGTCCAAATCAATGGGCTCACATAAATTTTATTTACCAAATCTGTTTTCCTTTGTGCAGATATTGATAATTTACTGATTTTTTAATCCAAATTTTTATTCACTGTTATCTCAGACAAATATCAGGAACGTGGCCCCTTTACACATTTTAGCCTTCTATCTCCTAACAGAAACAGGAATGCTAGTCTAAATGTAAGACTATAAAATCCCAACACATTTTAATAGAGGAGTTGGCACGTATTAGCTTTGTGATCTTAGGCACATTTATTAATATCTCTGAGACTTAGTACCTACCCTACTGGATCATTGTAAAGATGACTTGAGAATGTATATGCAGACCTAATTCTGTCCCCAATATGTAAGTCAGTCTATTCTCAATACAGCAGCTACAGTAATCCTGTGAACTTCAGCCAGTCATGTCACCCCTCTCTTCAAAACCCTCCACATCACCCTAATTAAAATTTAAAACACTCTCCCATTTTTCTCCATAGGACTTATGAAGAAAACACATCTAATACATTATATACTTTATTTATTTGTCCTGTCTATTGTCTGCCTTGTCCTACCGGAATGTAAGCTCCATGAGGGAATAGATTTTTTTTGTCTGCTTTGTCAACTGCTTTATCTCCAAAGCCTAGAACAGGACCTGGCACATAGTGCTACTCAGTATTTGTTGGATGTATACCTGCATAAACATTCAATAAAAGGCAGCTGCCACCACCACCACCAAAACTATCATCACTTAATCTCTCTGAATGCCGGCTTTTTCATCTGTAAGGTAGGAACAGTAATCATGCCTTACGCATCTCAGGGTTATTGCTAAGAACATATATAATTATGTGGCGGCACTACACAAACACAAGAAATAGCACTATCCTTATTTACTCTTCCTGATCACATTTATATCTCTAACTTCCTGCCCATTTTCTATGTGACAGATTTGTGTTCCCATTCCCTGAGGGTTGGATTTGTTTTCTTCTCAGCAGAAGGTACAGAGGCTTGATACGGATGCATGATAGCAATAACTTCAACCCTCAGCCCAATTTTCTCTCCTTTAGGATGCCTTCCCTAGTATCAATTACATATTTTACCCACATCCCTCATCATGTAGGGTTGAGTGAAGATTTATTGTATCTAGGTTTATGTGGCTCGGATGCCATAAAAACAGCCTCCTAATACCACTGTAGTATTTTCTTCTTAAAGAATTAAAGCACTGCTTATGATACCTTATGTAGTAAAACTAAACAAAAATAGTCTTCTTTTAAACTGAAATGTCCTCACCTCTGAATTTATAACCTAAAAAAATGACATGACTATATAAAATTCCTTTTTTTTTCCAAATCACCCCAGAGGAAGCCAGGCAACATTAAAAAAAAAACCCTTTTCTTTTTTCAGACCCCTCAACATTTCTGATAAGGTTAGTCCTGGGGAAAGGAGTGACAGCCACCTAGAAATGTGTTATATCTGGTAGTTTACTACAGTATTACCTTCACTGGCTTCTGTGATTTCACACCTCAAATATACCCTAGAGAAGTCTCCAAGGCTCTCAGGAGACTAATCACAGATTGGGGAAAAACAACACTTCAGCAGGAACTCTGCTATTTCATCATTTAAAGAAATAGGCTATTTGATTTGGATCCTTAAGAAAACACATTATAATAAAGAATGGGTAAGATGTTAACTATAGATGAAGCTGGTTTTTACAACCAAGGTTTCTATATTTCCCATCCTTTTTCCCACAAGCAGCCACAGGTGGCTTATTTGATTGAAACTTATTCCCATAGGTTCAATCAACCTCAAATCAAAGATACTATCAAAGACACTTCGAAGCTCAACAAAAGGCCAACAATTCCTAATTGATACCCATCAGATCACCTGGATGGCTTTCTTAAAATCCCAAACAAAAATGCAAAGACAATGAGGTAGACAAAGTACAGTCTTTCCAACAAACTGTGCTGGAACAACTGAAAATCCATATGGCAAAAACATGAGTCTCAATCTCTTATATCACATATAAAAATTAACTCAAAATTGATCATACATCCAATTGCAAGAACTAAAAATATTAACTTCATTAATACAAGGCAAAAACTAAAGGAGAAATAGACAAACCCACTATATATTTATATTTATAGTTGAGGCTTCAACATCCTTCTCTCAGTAACTGATTAAGCAGGCAGAAAAATCAGTAAGGATACAGATGACTTGAACAGCACTATCAACTAAGTTTTGATCTAATTTATATTTATAGAACATTCCATCCAACAGCAGAAGAGCACATGGAACAGTCACCAAGATAGAACACAATCTGGGACATAAAACACACCTGAACAAATGTAAAAGAAGAGAAATAATAGAAAGTATATTTTTAGACCACACCAGAATTAAACTGAATCAATAACTGAAAGATAGTTGGGTAACTGGAAATATTTGAAAAATACCCAACACACTTCTAAATAACACATAGATTAAGAAGTCTCAGGAGAAATTTAAAAATATTTTGAACTAAGTAAAAGTTAAAGTATATATATATCTTGCACAACAATGTGAATGTACTTAATAGCACTGAAATGTATACTTAAAATGGTTAAGATGATAAATTTTGTTATGTGTATTTTACAATTAAAAATAATTTTTAAAAACACAACATCAAAATTTATGGGATGCCGCTAAAGTAATGTTTAGAGAGAAACTTATAGCAGTAAAAGCATATTTTAGAAAAGAAGAAAGACCTAAAATCAATAACCTATGCTTCCTCCTTGGGAAACTAAGGAAAACGAATTTAAACCTAAAGCAAGAAGGAAGGAAATGACAGACCACTAACCAAGAAAAAATAAAAAGTGAAGACACAAATTGCCAGTATCAAGAATAAAAGAGGTTATCACTATTAATCCCATGGACAGCAAAAAGATAATAAAGGAATACTATGAGTAAATCTGTGCCTATAAATGTGATTAATTATATAAAATGGACCAGTTCCTTCAAGTGCACAAACTATTAAAACTCCCTCAAGGGGATATAGATAATGAATAATCCTATACCTGATAAAGCAATAAAATTAGTAGTGAAATTAGAAAAGAAACTTTCCCAAAAAGGAAAACAACAGACTCAGATGGTTTCACTGGTGAATTCCACCAAACATTTAAGGAAGAAATAATACCAATTCTATAATCTCTCCCAGAAAGTAGAAGAGTAGGGATCATCGCCCAATTCATTCTGTAAGGCTAGCATTAACCTAACACCAAAACTAGATAAAGAATTTCCTCAACCTAATAAGGACTATTTTTAAAAAGTCACAGTTAATATCATACTTAATAGTGAGAGACTTAAAGAGGGTTGAGCCAAGATGGCTGAATAGGAACCGTTCCAGTCTACAGCTCCCAGCATGAGCAACACAGAAGACGGGTGATTTCTGCATTTCCAACTGAGGTACTGGGTTCATCTCACTGGGGAGTGTCAAAAAGTGGGTGCAGGACAGTGGGTGCAGCGCACCCAGCATGAGCCGAAGCAGGGCGAGGCATCACCTCACCCGGGAAGTGCAAGGGGTCAGGGAATTCCCTTTCCTAGTCAAAGAAAGGGGTACAGACGGCACTTGGAAAATCAGGTCACTCCCACCCTAATTCGGCACTTTTCCAATGGTCTTAGCAAACGGCACACCAGGAGATTATATCCCGCACCTGGCTTGGAGGTTCCTATGCCCACGGAGCCTCACTCACTGCTAACACAGCAGTCTGAGATCAAACGGCAAGGTGGCAGCCAGGCGAGGGGAGGGGCGCCCGCCATTGCCAAGGCTTGAGTAGGTAAACAAAGCGGCCGAGAAGCTCGAACTGGGTGGAGCCCAGTGCAGCTCAAGGAGGCCTGCCTGCCTCTGTAGACTCCACCTCTGGGGGCAGGGCATAGCCAAACAAAAGGCAGCAGAAACCTCTGCAGACTTAAATATCCCTGTCTGACAGCTTTGAAGAGAGTAGTGGTTCTCCCAGTACGCAGTTTGAGATCTGAGAACGGACAGACTGCCTCCTCAAGTGGATCCCTGACCCCTGAGTAGCCTAACTGGGAGGCACCCCCCAGTAGGGGCAGTCTGACACCTCACATGGTCGGGTACTCCTCTGAGACAAAACTTCCAGAGGAACAATCAGGCAGCAACATTTGCTGTTCAGCAATATCGCTGTTCTGCAGCCTCCACTGCTGATATCCAGGCAAACAGGGTCTGGAGTGGACCTCCAGCAAACTCCAACAGACCTGCAGCTGAGGGTCCTGACTGTTAGAAGGAAAACTAACAAACAGAAAGGACATCCACAACAAAACCCCATCTGTACGTCACCAACATCAAAGACCAAAGGTAGATAAAACCACAAAGATGGGGAAAAAACAGAGCAGAAAAACTGGAAACTCTAAAAATCAGAGCGCCTCTCCTCCTCCAAAGGAACACAGCTCCTCACCAGCAACGGAACAAAGCTGGACGGAGAATGACTTTGATGAGCTGAGAGAAGAAGGCTTCAGATGATCAAACTACTCCGAGCTAAAGGAGGAAGTTCAAACCCATGGTAAAGAAGTTAAAAACCTTGAAAAAAAATTAGATGAATGGCTAACTAGAATAACCAATGCAGATAAGTCCTTAAAGGACCTGATGGAGCTGAAAACCAAGCCACGAGAACTACATGACAAATGCACAAGCCTCAGTAGCCGATTCGATCAACTGGAAGAAAGGGTATCAGTGATGGAAGATCAAATGAATGAAATGAAGTGAGAAGAGAAGCTTGGAGAAAAAAGAATAAAAAGAAATGAACAAAGCCTCCAAGAAATATGGGACTATGTGAAAAGACCAAATCTACATCGGATTAGTGCACCTGAAAGTGACGGGGAGAATGGAACCAAGTTGGAAAACACTCTGCAGGATATTATCCAGGAGAACTTCCCCAATCTAGCAAGGCAGGCCAACATTCAAATTCAGGAAATACAGAGAACGCCACAAAGATACTCCTTGAGAAGAGCAATTCCAAGACACATAATTGTCAGATTCACCAAAGTTGAAATGAAGGAAAAAATGTTAAGGGCAGCCAGAGAGAAAGGTCGGGTTACCCACAAGGGGAAGCCCATCAGACTAACAGCGGATCTCTCGGCAGAAACTCTACAAGCCAGAAGAGAGTGGGGGCCGATATTCAACATTTTTAAAGAAAAGAATTTTCAACTCAGAATTTCATATCCAGCCAAACTAAGCTTCATAAGTGAAGGAGAAATAAAATACTTTACAGACAAGCAAATGCTCAGAGATTTTGTCACCACCAGGCCTGCCCTAAAAGAGCTCCTGAAGGAAGCACTAAGCATGGAAAGGAACAACCGGTACCAGCTGCTGCAAAAACATGCCAAATTGTAAAGACCATCAAGGCTAGGAAGAAAATGCATCAACTAACGAGCAAAATAACCAGCTAACATCAGGTTAGTGAATTTGACAGGATCAAATTCACACATAACAATATTAACCTTAAATGTAAATGGGCTAAATGCTCCAATTAAAAGACACAGACTGGCAAATTGGATAAAGAGTCAAGACCCAACAGGGTGCTGTATTCAGGAAACCCATCTCATGTGCAGAGACACACATAGGCTCAAAATAAAAGGATGGAGGAAGATCTACCAAATGGAAAACAAAAAAAATAAGCAGGGGTTGCAATCCCAGTCTCTGATAAAACAGACTTTAAACCAACAAAGATCAAAAGAAACAAAGAAGGCCATTACATAATGGTAAAGGGATCAATTCAACAAGAAGAGCTAACTACCCTAAACATATATACACCCAATACAGGAGCACCCAGATTCATAAAGCAAGTCCTTAGAGAACTACAAAGAGACTTAGACTCCCACACAATAATAATGGGAGACTTTAACACCCCACTATCCCCATTAGACAGATCAGCTATACAGAAAGTTAACAAGGATATCCAGGAATTGAACTGAGCTCTGCACCAAGCAGACCTAATAGACATCTACAGAACTCTCCACCCCAAGGCAACAGAATATACATTATTTCCAGCACCACACCACACCTATTCCAAAATTGACCATATAGTTGGAAGTAAAGCACTCCTCGGCAAATGTAAAAGAACAGAAATTGTAACAAACTGTCTCTCAGACCACAGTGCAATCAAAATAGAACTCAGGATTAAGAAACTCACTCAAAACCGCTCAACTACATGGAAACTGAACAACCTACTCCTGAATGACTACTGGGTACATAACAAAATGAAGGCAGAAATAAAGATGTTCTTTGAAACCAACGAGAACAAAGACACAACATACAAGAATCTCTGGGACACATTCAAAGCAGTGTATAGAGGGAAATTTATAGCACTAAATGCTCACAAGAGAAAGCAGGAAGGATCTAAAATTGACACCCTAACATCACAATTAAAAGAACTGGAGAAGCAAGAACAAACAAATTCAAAAGCTAGCAGAAGGCAAGAAATAACTAAGATCAGAGCAGAACTGAAGGAAATAGAGACACAAAAAACCCTTCAAAAAATCAATGAATGCAGGAGCTGGTTTTTTGAAAAGATCAACAAAATTGATAGACCGCTAGCAAGACTAATAAAGAAGAATAGAGAGAAGAATCAAACAGATGCAATAAAAAATGATAAAGGGAGGATTCCCTCTTTTTCTATTGATTGGAATAGTTTCAGAAGGAATGGTACCAGCTCCTCTTTGTACCTCTGGTAGAATTCAGCTGTGAATCCATCTGCTCCTGGACTTTTTTTGGTTGGTAAGCTATTGATTATTGCCTCAATTTCAGAGCCTGTAATTGGTCTATTCAGATATTCAACTTCTTCCTGGTTTAGTCTTGGGAGGATGTATGTGTTGAGGAATTTATCCATTTCTTCTAGATTTTCTAGTTTATTTGCATAGAGGTGTTTATAGTATTCTCTGATGGTAGTTTGTATTTCTGTGGGATCAGTGGTGATATCCCCTTTATCATTTTTTATTGCGTCTATTTGATTCTTCTCTCTTTTCTTCTTTATTAGTCTTGTTAGCAGTCTATCAATTTTGTTGATCTTTTCTAAAAACCAGCTCCTGGATTCATTAATTTTTTGAAGGGTTTTTTGTGTCTCTATTTCCTTCAGTTCTGCTCTGATCTTAGTTATTTCTTGCCTTCTGCTAGCTTTTGAATGTTTTAGCTCTTGCTTTTCCAGTTCTTTTAATTGTGATGTTAGGGTGTCAATTTTAGATCTTTCCTGCTTTCTCTTGTGGGCATTTAGTGCTATAAATTTCCCTCTACACACTGCTTTGAATGTGTCCCAGAGATTCTGGTATGTTGTGTCTTTGTTCCTAACTCATTTTATGAGGCCAGCATCATCTTGATACCAAAGGCTGGCAGAGACACAACAAAAAAAGAGAATTTTAGACCAATATCCTTGATGAACATTGATGTAAAAATCCTCAATAAAATACTGGCAAACCAAATCCAGCAGCACATCAAAAAGCTTATCCACCATGATCAAGTGGGCTTCATCCCTGGGATGCAAGGCTGGTTCAACATACACAAATCAATAAATGTAATCCAGCATATAAACAGAACCAAAGACAAAAACCACATGATTATCTCAATAGATGCAGAAAAGGCCTTTGACAAAATTCAACAACCTTCATGCTAAAAACTCTCAATAAATTAGGTATTGATAGGACATATCTCAAAATAATAAGAGCTATCTATGACAAACCCACAGCCAATATCATACTGAATGGGCAAAAACTGGAAGCATTCCCTTTGAAAACGGGCACAAGACAGGGATGCTGTCTCTCACCACTCCTATTCAACATAGTGTTGGAAGTTCTGGCCTGGGCAATCAGGCAGGAGAAGGAAATAAAGGGTATTCAATTAGGAAAAGAGGAAGTCAAATTGTCCCTGTTTGCAGATGACATGATTGTATATCTAGAAAACCCCATTGTCTCAGCCCAAAATCTCCTTAAGCTGACAGGCAACTTCAGCAAAGTCTCAGGATACAAAATCGATGTGTAAAAATCACAAGCATTCTTAAACACCAATAACAGATAAACAGAGAGCCAAATCATGAGTGAACTCCCATTCACAACTGCTTCAAAGAGAATAAAATACCTAGGAATCCAACTTACAAGGGACGTGAAGGACCTCGTCAAGAAGAACTACAAACCACTGCTCAAGGAAATAAAAGAGGATACAAACAAATGGAAGAACATTCCATGCTCATAGGTAGGAAGAATCAATATCGTGAAAATGGCCATACTGCCCAAGGTAATTTATAGATTCAATGCCATCCCCATCAAGCTACCGATGACTTTCTTCACAGAATTGGAAAAAACTACTCTAAAGTTCATATGGAACCGAAAAAGAGCCTGCATTGCCAAGTCAATCCCAAGCCAAAAGAACAAAGCTGGAGGCATCATGCTACCTGACTTCAAACTGTACTATAAGGCTACAGTAACCAAAACAGCATGGTACTGGTACCAAAGCAGAGATATAGACCAATGGAACAGAACAGAGCCCTCAGAAATAATGCCACACATCTACAACTATCTGATCTTTGACAAACCTGACAAAAACAAGCAATGGGGAAAGGATTCCCTATTTAATAAATGGTGCTGGGAAAACTGGCTAGCCATATGTAGAAAGCTGAAACTGGATCCCTTCCTTACAACTTATACAAAAATTAATTCAAGATGGATTAAAGACTTAAATGTTAGACCTAAAACCATAAAAACTCTAGAAGAAAACCTAGGCAATACCATTCAGGACATAAGCATGAGCAAGGACTTCATGTCTAAAACACCAAAAGCAATGGCAACAAAAGCCAAAATTGAAAAATGGGATCTAATTAAACTAAAGAGCTTCTGCACAGCAAAAGAAACTACCATCAGAGTGAACAGGCAACCTACAGAATGGGAGAAAATTTTTGCAACCTACTCATCTGACAAAGGGCTAATATCCAGAATCTACAATGAACTCAAACAAATTTATAAGAAAAAAACAAACAACCCTGTCAAAAAGTGGGCAAAGGATATGAACAGACACTTCTCAAAAGAAGACATTTATGCAGCCAAAAGACACATGAAAAAATGCTCATCATCACTGGCCATCAGAGAAATGCAAATCAAAACCACAATGAGATACCATCTCACACCAGTTAGAATGGCGATCATTAAAAAGTCAGGAAACAACAGGTGCTGGAGAGGATGTGGAGAAACAGGAACACTTTTACACTGTTGGTGGGACTGTAAACTAGTTCAACCATTGTGGAAGTCAGTGTGGCGATTCCTCTGGGTTCTAGATCTAGAATTACCATTTGACCCAGCCATCCCATTACTGGGTATATATCCAAAGGATTATAAATCATGCTGCTATAAAGACACATGCACACGTATGTTTACTGCGGCACTATTGACAATAGCAAAGACTTGGAACCAACCCAAATGTCCAACAATGATAGACTGGATTAAGAAAATGTGACACATATACAGCATGGAATACTATGCAGCCATAAAAAATGATGAGTTCACGTCCTTTGTAGGGATATGGATGAAGATGGAAACCATCATTCTCAGCAAACCATTGCAGGGACAAAAAACCAAACACCGCGTGTTCTCACTCATAGGTGGGAATTGAACAATGAGAACACATGGACACAGGAAGGGGAACATCACACACCGAGAACTGTTGTGGGGTGGGGGGAGGGGGGAGGGATAGCATTAGTAGATATACCTAATGCTAAATGACGAGTTAATGGGTGCAGCACACCAACATGGCACATGTATACATATGTAACAAACCTGCACATTGTGCACATGTACCCTAAAACTTAAAGTATAATGAAAAAAAATAGTGAGAGACTTGATGTTTCCCCCTTAAATCAGGAACGAGGCAAGATGTGCTCTCTCACCACTTCTACTGAACTTCATATTAAAAGTCCTAGCTAAGTGTAATAAGACAAAAAAAAAAAGAGAAAGGTATGCAGATTGGAAAGAAAGAAAGCTCTCTTTATTCACAGACAACATAATTGTCTTTCATGGTTGTCCATGGATGCAGAAAACCCCAAAGAATCTACTGAATAACTCCCGCACAGGTGAGTTTCACAAGGTTGCAAGATACAAAGTCATCCTCAGCAAACTGATGCAGGCCACATGTTCTCACTTATAAATGGGAACTGAACGATGAGAAAACATGGACACACAGAGGGGAACAACATACACTGGGGCCTGTTGGGGGGTCGGGGGAGGAAGAGCATCAGGAAGAACAGCTAATGCTGGGCTTAATACCTGGGTGATGGGTTGATCTGTGCAGCAAACTACCATGGTACACATTTACCTATGTAAAAAACCTGCACATCCTGCACATGTACCCTGGAACTTAAAGTAAATCTAAATAAATGAAGAAATATTTTGTGTTCTTGATTGAAAGATAACACAGTAAAGATGCTAATTCTCTCCAAGTTGATCTATAGGTGTAATAAAATTCATATTGAAATCCCAGCCAGGTATTTTGTAGACATATACAAGCTTATTCTAAAATTTATATGAAAAGGGAAAGGTGCTAGAAGAGCCAATTCCACTCGGAAAAGAAGAACAAAGTTGCAGGATTTACATTACCTGATTTCAAGACTTAATATAAAGCTACAACAATAAATATAGAGGGGCAAAACATTAGACACTTCAATCAATGGAACAGAATAGAGAGATTGGAAATAGACCCAGAAAAATATAGTCGACTAATTTTTGAAAAAGGTGCAAAGACAATCCAATGGAGAAAGAAAAGTTTTTTCAACAAATGATGCAAGACATCTGGATGTTTATATGAAGTGAATTCAACCTCACTCACACCTTACATAAAAATTAATTCAAAATGTATCTTAGACCTAAATATAAATGCAGAAACTATCAAACTTCTAGAAAAAAATATAGGAGAAAAGCTACATGACCTTTGGTTTGCTGATGAGTTTTTATTTTTTTGAGACAGGGTCTCACTCTGTCACCCAGGCTGGTGTGCAGTGGTGCGATCACGGCTCACTGCAGCCTTGACCTCGTGGGCTCAGGTGTTTTTCCCACCTCAGCCTCCTAAGTAGCTGGGACTACAGGCACACGCCACCACGTCTGGCTCATTTATTGTATTTTTTGTAGAGGGGGGGAGTCATTTTCAGAAATTTAGGTGTGGAGCAAAGAGGAAGGGTATATCCTATTTTATTCCCTTTATACATTTCTGTATTGTTTGAACTTTATAATTATTTTTAAATTATAAATAAAACTTTGATACTATATTTTAAAATTTCTACTAAAAAACATAGGCACAAGATCTGAACAGACACCTTGCTGAAAACATGTAGATAGTAACTAAGTATATGAAAAGATGCTCAGTATAGGGGATGTGCAAACTAAAACCATAATACGTACCATTACACATCTATTAGAATGGATTTTTTAAAAAAACTAGCAATATCAAAGTGGCAAGGATGGAGAGTAACAGGAACTCTCCTTTATGAATCACAAATGAAGGACATTTGCAATTCATGGGAGGAGGTCAAAATACCAACATTAACAGGAGTTAGGAAGAAGCTGATTCCAGCCCTCATGGATGACTTGGAGAGGTTCAAGACTTCAGTGGAGGAAGTATCTGTACATGTAGTGTAAACAGCAAGAGAAGTAGAATTAGAAGTGGAGCTGAAAATGTGACTAAATTGCTGCAATTTCATGATAAAACTTGAATGAAGGAGGGACTGCTTTTTACGGATGAGTAAAGAAAGTGGTTTCTTGATAGGGAATCTACATCTAGTGAAGATGCTGCCCTCTGATGAACTGAAAACAAAGGATTTAGAATATTCCTTAAACTTGGTTGATAAAGCAGTGGCAGGGTTTAAGAGGACTGACTCCAGTTTTGAAAGAAGTTCCACTGTGGGCAAAGTGCTATCAAACAGCATCACATGCTACAGAAAGATCTTTCATGAAAGAAGAGTCAACAATGAAGCAGTAAACGTCATTGTTATTTTAAGAAACAGTCACAGCCACCCCAGCTTTCAGCAGAAGTCTATCCCGATCAGTCAGCAGCCATCACCACTGAGGCAAGACCCTAAACCAAAACAGATTACAACTCACTGGAGGCTCAGTTGATCCTTAGTATTTTGTAGCAATATTTTAAAATTAACGTATATACATTATTTTTTTTAGACCTAATGCTACTGCACACTTAATAAACTACAGTCTAGTGAAAACATAACTATTATAGGCACTGGGAAACCACATTTGTATGACTTGCTTGATTGTGATATTCACTTTATTGTGGTGGTCTGGAACCAACCTGCAATATCTCTGAGGCATGCTTGTATAATAAATGCATGACATGACACAATCTCACTGAAGGGGATGGGGAGACTGCAGTTTAAGAAACTTTGGAAATGAATGGAAACTGTAAAAGAAAGCAACAACAACAAAAAACCCTGTACATAAGTACCGTTCTGTAGTTAGTTTTTATGGAAGTATGGGTTAATAGCTCTGATACTGCTGTATATGTATACTGGAATTGAAAAAATAAGTAAAAGGATGGTGAATGGTAGGAGCCAGATTTCTCACTATGGACTGGGAGGTTACGGATAAGTAAGGAGGAAAGGTTAGAATAAACTGTGTAGTTCTCAGTTAGATTCTAAGACATCAGGGTGAAATCCTCTTTAGCTTAAATATAGACACTGATGAGTAAACATAGAAATAAAAATATGTATGCATACACAGATTAATATACATACATATAGTTCCTACCTATGGTCACTGACACGGCCTAAAAGCAATGACACTCCAAGAGTGATGAGCATATCAGAGCAAATCTGGTTTCTAATACTATTTTCCAATAAAAGGAACCAGGGATCCTTGGTTGAAATGATTAATTTTAGGGCTAGAGCAGGGAATATACAAGATGAGCCTGGAGCATCATGTATTGCCAGAAAAGTAGGGAAGTGCTCAAAACACAGAGACTGATGAGAATGTCAAAAAGATGCAGAAGCAACAGAAAGAGCTCCCAATGGCAAAAGTGGAAACAATTTGAGTAACAAAATAAATAATGCAGTATTAAGTTAAAACTGGCCAGCAACAGAAGACCTAGAATTTAATAAAAACAGTTCAGTTTTATCTACATCTTTACAAATTTGAGGTATTTTTAAGTTGATTGTCTACATGGGAGGTCTACCACGGATCCAAGTAATAATCACTTAGAAAAGAGAATTTAGAAGGTGTAGGCTAAAAGTATAATTATTCTACAATCTCTTTATAAGAATTTAAGCTATTAAGGGCATTCACACTTTAAAAATCTGCAAGTAATTAGCAGGAGTCTGTTTTCCCTGTTTTGAACTATCTAAACGGCAGCATCAGATGGAACAGAAGAAAATGATCTAAATGACGATACTTTCCCCATGTGCACCAGGCAACAAATGCAACTAATCACAGAGAGAAGAAAACCTTCCCTGTGGTCCTTGCTTAGTATCTCTGTTTTCAAAGAGCTTTTGCTCAAAGGAAAGAAAACACTGAACTAGAGTCAGTTGATTTGTACATCCTGGCATGATAAGGCTGATTATGTTGGAGGCATGATAGAACTTTTGCAAAAAAGGCATATAGAATGAAGGAAGATGTAGAGATCAGTCAGCATGGGGGCTGAAAATACTAACTCAACTATCAGGTAGAAAGAAAGAGATAGCCATCCAATAATAATGTTCAATGGACATGGTGAAGGAGAACTTGTTCAGGTAGGCCACTGATATAAAGTATCAGAAACATAAGAAGTGTTCAAGAAATAATAGCAATGATGACAGTGAATACTATAAATTGCCCAAGTCAGGATGGTCAGCACCTAGGAGTCTTCAGGTAAAAGGAGCTAGAAAAGATATGTGTTGGCATTAGCTGCAGAACATTATCTTGGCAATGCATTAAAAATCAACTTTTTAATGGTAAAAATGGTAAAAATTTCTATAAAGGAAGTAAAATACAAAATTGTGTACAAATATGTAAAAATAAATATATACAAACTGAAACAGATTGACCAAAATACTAATGATGGGAGTATGGCTGACTTTTTTCCTTTATATGTTATTTATTCTATTATTATTATTTTGTTATTGTTATTACTCAAATGACTAAAACAAACTTTAAAAATTAGTTTTTACTAATACCTTTCATTAAAGACACATGATGGCCCAGATATCTACAGGTATCCAGGGGAAATTAATCTGGAATTAAATTAAATCTGCTGTGGTTTATACACAGGGTGGATAAAAGCTTCTGATCTTAAAACAGGAATAAGACCATTTGTTCATGGGATAGGTTAAAAATAGATACTTAATGTATACATATTCAATTCAAATAAAGAGGATGTCACATAAAAATTATGGGAGGCCATTGTTTTGGACTGAGTACTTGGACTAGGCTCAACTGGCCAGACCAAACCAGAATGGAGTCACTCATTAATGTAATTAATCAAACTCTAAAATGAGCCAATATTCCAAAAATCCAGAGATTCACAGCAATCAGTAGAGGCCCAGTTTACCTGAGCTGGCATGGTAAAGAAGTCTCCTTTGTTTGAATCCTGTAAGGAAAGTAACTTTGTAACTACCAATCTGTTTTTTGCTCCTTCTTTCTGCTTTCCTTGGCCTTTTTCTACTTATAAGTACCTCCTTTGTTCAGCTCATTGGAGTGGCTTTTGAAGTCTTTAGATGGGATGCTGCCCAATTCATGAATCCCTAATAAAAGATCTTTAAGTAAAATTTGTCAAAATTTGATTTTTAACAAGGGTCAAAAAACACAGGAGAGCTGTCCTTTGATAATAACCATTTTTAACAGAATCTACTATAGATTAAGAAAGAGACAGATTAGTAAACTAATGGAATATTCACAGTGGTGGGATTGTAAATGATTTGTGTTTCTTTTCTGCTTACTGGTATTTTCTTTCATTTTACTTTTGTTTTTGGGAAGGTCTTGCTCTGTCACCCAGGCAGGAACATACTGGCATGATCATGGCTCACTGCAGCCTCAACCTCCTAGGCTCAAGTAATCCTCCTGCCTCATTTAAAAAATTTTTTGTAGAGACAAGGTCTCACTATGTTGCCCAGGCTGGTCTTGAATTCCTGAGCTTAAGCAATCCTCCCTCCTTGGCCTCCTGGCATTACAGGTGTGAGCCACAGCACCCGACCCTTATTGGTATTTTCTACATTTTCATAGTCAATGTTTTACTTTTATGGGACTAAAAATGCAATTTTCAAATGACTATAGCTGCACTGGCTACTATTACATACATTTTTAGGAATACACTTTCATGCTACATTTTAAAACACATTCCTACCATTGTTTTTAATATCTAGTATATATTTATTTAATCTGTGGCCTGAGTTATTTGTATATAATTTCTCATAGACTATAAAGACATTTAGAATGAATAAAAAAATTGAGTATTTCCAAACAGAGATAATTTATTTATCTATTTTTCATGATCTGTGGTTTTCTTTTCAGTTATTTTAAGTCTTATGATCACACATAATTTTAAAATTTGTGTATATCTTCTCTACTTTTAAGTTGGCCAAAGCACCATTCCCAATCACGAATACACAGCAGTTCTACAGTTTTATCTTTCTGAATGGCTCTTTAAAGACCATCCTAAATTATAACTTAGTTTGACTTAGATTATAAAGAATTCAAGAGTGAAGTTTAACTTGCTACTATTTTAAAAGCATGTGACCTTATAGATCATCTATAAAATTTTAAAAGTGTTAAATGATCTTTGATATTACACACAAACCACACTAAAATGCCTTTCAATAAGTAAAAGGAACCATTTTAAATACAGTGATTCTGGTTAGATTGGCATAATTAAGGCCAAAAATATAAAGTAGACATTGCTACCTTATTTATCTTCAACCCTTGCCTTTAAGAGGCAAATGAACACAAAACACAGGTGAATCTTGCTTGGTTCTGACACAGTGAAGGAATTTCCCCAGTATTTAAATATATTCACATAACTAGTTATATAAATCTAAATATAAAACCAAACTCCAGTAAGTTTTAAGATGGCACTCACCATCTTTGTGAAAAGTTGAACATTACTAATGAAGTCTAATTATATTTTTAGAAGGGGTAAACAGTGATAGCATTTACTGAATTGGAATTACTATTAAAATTCAAACACTGAACATATTCATTTAACCACAAGCCAGTCTTAAATCAGTTTTAAATCAGGACGGCCCAATAAAATATTCTGTCAGTAATTCACGATCTGAATTCTGGTGTATGAGATCTATTAAAGTATGGTACACATAAAAAAGTCATGAGACATTTGTAATAAATAAGGCAGTGGTCAATAATTACTCACTAGTAGCTTTTTTTGAGATAAGCTATCATTTTTCTTTCTGCCTTCTTCTTAATGCCAGCAAAGATCATTTTTGTTCCAGGGATGTACTTCTTGGGATTCTCCAAATACTCCATCAGTGTATCCTCTCCCCAGGTGATGCCTTTGTTTTTATTGGCGTCTGTGTAAGAGAATCCAACGGCCTGACCTGTCTTCTGCCCGAAGAGACCATGGAGATTATGCTCAGTCTTATGCTTGCCTCCCTTTTCCACGGTGTGTCACTGGGCACACTTCTGAACAAAAATCTTCTTGCCCTTCTCAACATCACCCATATTTAATTCTTTTTTGTCGCTGGCGCAACGAAGGTTCCTACCCCGAAGCCGGACGTCCCACTCTCTCAAAACAGAGATAATTTAATAGTCAAATATATTTGCACATTAACAGTAGATCATTCTGAAGAATGATTAGCCGTAGAACTTTCTGAAGAGTTAGCTGAAAAGCTCTGCAAAGAAGAGAACTTAAAGTGCTAACTATATATCTGACTGGATAACTTTCCTTCAGCGACTTCCCCAATAGAACCCTCGTACCCTGGGATTACGGGACGGGAATGGGGCAGGAATTAAGGACCGAAAGGGGCAGGAATTAAGGATGGAAAGGAGCAGAGAAGTGGATTTTGTTCCTGGGTTCCAGTTTGGGTTTCTGAATTTATCCTGTACAGTAATTTATTAATAGTATTCTTCTGGTCCCTGTTCTAGAAAAAAAAAATTCTGTTTAAAAACAATCATGAGAGTAAAAAGCTACTTACTTACCATATATTATTAGATTAAAAATTACAAGCTACAAAAGAGAACATATCTCATTTTTATAAAAGAAACACACACATACACATATATAAAATAAGTACACATATAAAAGACTGGAAAAATATAAACTAAAATATTAACAGGGTGGATTATGGGTGGTTTTTATTCTCTACTGATATTTTCTAAATTTGACAATACATATTACTTTGAGAAGAAAACAATGTTATTTTTAAAAGACAATTATACTGCAAACTTCTTGGGAAACAGTATTGGGAACAGAATAAAATAAAAACAGTCACAACACTAATTAAATAGGCAATTTAATTCCTAAAACAGAAGACTCAAGGAAATGGAGAAAATGTAAATTCCTAGAATCTTTTCCACCTAAGAGTTGAATTAGTCTTTATAAGGTATAAAAGTAACACATTAAGATTGACTGCAAAGGCAAGATTCTAAATGAGAAAATATTTCCATGAAAGCTAACATTACCTAGATCTTCTTAAGCATATAAAATTTGGCCATGCAATCTTGTAGTAGATCCATTTAAACCATTACAATGCCTGGCACATAGTAAGTGCTCAAAATTTAATAAAAGAATGTTCTGAGTTCAAACCATATAGGACAAGGTAACTTTCCTTTTGAAGGGTAGATTGCTACAAATTACCGGATAAAACAGGCGTCAAGGGAACAAATGGTGCTGCTTGAATTGTAATGTATAGAAATGACTCTTAGAGATGAAAAAATGCAACTCTGTTCCCTGGATTAATTATTTGTGAGTCTTCTAACCATTCTCCACCTATAGTAGCCAACTCCCTCTGCTGTGCACTGCAGCATCCAGCCAGGGAAGTCTAATCCAGAGATTGATACTTACTCATCCCACATAGAACAGAGAGGAAGTATTCTTTTGTAGCCACCAGAATCAGAGCAGGTTATGGCCTTGTGGTGGAACTTATCACTCAAAAAGTTACGGGTTAATATCACAAGGTTTACCATCCAAGAACACAATGGTTAGGTTTTAAAACATGACAAAAAATTAATCTAAATAAACCCACGCATATATGTTCAATATTTGACAAAGGTGCCAAGAGTACATGATGGGGAAAGGATAATCTTTTAAATAAATCGTGTTGGGAAAACTAGATACTTACATGAAAAAAAATAAAAGAAACAAACAGGACTCCTATCTTACACCACTTACAAAAATTATATAACTCAAAATGGATTAAAGACTTAAATCTAACACCTAAAGCTGGAAAACTCTGAGACAAAAACAGAGGGATAAAGCTCTTTGACATTAGTCTTGGCAATAATTTTTTGGATGTGACACTAAAAGCAGTCAACAAAAGCAAAAATAAAAAAGGTCTACAACAAACCAAAAAGATTCTGCACAGCAAAGGGAAGAATCAACAAAATGACAAGACAACCTACAGAATGGGAGAAAATGTTTGCAAACCATATATCTGATAAGGGATTAATATCCAAAATACATCAGGAACTCATACAACTCAGTAGCAAAAAAAAAACAAAAAAAAAAACAAATAATCCGATTAAAAATGGGCAAAGGACCTGAACAGACATTTTTCCAAATAAGACATACAAATGGCCAACAGGTACATGAAAAAGTGCTCAACATCACTAATCATGAGGGAGTGCAAATCAAAATCATGAGGAGATATCACCTCACACCTGTTAGGATGGCATTACCAGTAAGTCAAAAGATAGGTGTTGGCAAAGATGTGGAAAAAGGGGAAACCTTGTGTCCTGTTGGTGGGTATGTAAATTGGTATAGCCATTACAGAAAACAGTATAAAGTTTCCTCAAAAAATTAAAAATAGGACTACCACTCTATTCGGCAGTCCCACTTCTGGGTATTTACCCAAAAGATTTGAAATCAGTTGAAGAGATGTCTGCATGCCCACGTTTATTGTAGCAGTATTCACAATGGCCAAGTTACGGAATCAAACTAAGTGTCTATCAACAGATGAATGGATAAAGAAAATGTGGCATATATACACAATGGACTACTATTCAGCCTTAAAAAAGAAATACATTCTGACATTTGCCACAACGTGGATGGAATAAGAGAACTAAGAGACCATTATGCAAAGTGAAATAAGCCAGGCACAGAAGTACAAATACCACATGTTCCACTTATATGAGGAATCTAAAACACCTGAACTCATAGAAGCAGAGAACAGAATGGTGGTTACCAGAAGCTGACAGCTGGGAGGAATAGGAAGATGAAGGCAAAAGGGTACAAAGCCTCAGTTAGACAAGAAGGATAGGGTTTTTAAAAATTGAGATCTATTGCACAGTGTGGTGAATATAGTTAATAACAGTGTATTACATTATATTGCAAACTTCTTGGGAAACAGTATTGGGAACAGAATAAAATAAAAACACAGTCACAACACCAATTAAACAGGCAATTTAATTCCTAAAACAGAAGACTCAAGGAAGTGGAGAAAATGTAAATTCCTAGAATCTTTTCCACCTAAGAGTTGAATTATAAGGTATAAAGTAAACATATTACTATTGACTGCAAAGGCATGATTCTAAATGAATCATATACATTTTAAAATTGATAAATTTCAAATGTTCTCATCACAAAAAATAAGTACGTGAGGTGATGAATATATTAATTAGCTTGACTTAGTTATTCCACATTGAATTAAACCACAGCATCATTTTGCACCCCATAAATATATACAATTATAAACTGTCAATTTAAAATAAAATTTAAAAAATTCAGAGAAACCACTGAGAAAGATTATTGGGGGCACAATTTTCTAATAAAGTGTCCATATTAATTGTTCTTATACAGAATGATTTCTAAGAAAAATGACATCATAATTTCTTAGAAGTTAAGCAGAAAAATTACCAAAACATTGATACTTTAATGGAAGAAATGTAAATTACATCCCTTGGATAAACTGTAAAACATTTCAGACCTAGGAAATCTTTAACTGTGTTCTCATTTATTTTCCTTAAATCTCTGTTTTCTTTTCTGTTTGTTTGGTTTTTTCTGAGACAGAGTCTCACTCTATTGTCCAGGCTGGAGTGCAGTGGCATGATCTCGGCTCACTGCAACCTCCGTCTCCCAGGTTCAAGCAATTCTCCTGCCTCAGCTTCCTGAGTAGCTGGGAGTACAGGTCTGCATTACCACACTCCACTAATTTTTGTATTTTTAGTAGAGATGGGGTTTCACCATGTTGGCCAGGCTGGTCTTGAACTCCTGACCTCAGGTGATCCACCCGTCTCAGTCTCCCAAAGTGCTGGAATTACAGGCGTGAACCACTGTGCTTGGCCACAAATCTCCCATTTTCTGACACAGCCTAATTTCAAAACCTTAATTAAGACTTAAGAGTTTAAGATAATTTCCTAATATTTTTTCACAAATTTAAACTCAGTGAGGAACATATTTTCTTACCATGTTAAATTCACTGACATTATTCAGTTTTACTGTTTAAGCATTTATCAAAATCTGTAATTACTTTATTTGCTTACTATCTTTTTCTTATATAATTTATTTTAGGTTAGGGACCTTGTCTGTCTTCTTTACAGTTATATTGTCTACATCTACTATACTGCCTGGCACATGATAAGTGTTCATAAATATCTGCTAAATTAACAAATGGATGACTTTGGTCATAGAGAGCAAAACCTGATAAGAAACTAGATAGTCAATTTGCCCTTAGTTTTCTCAGCAAAGTTTTTTAAAAAGATGGCCCACTATTTTTTTTATGAATTTTTTTATGTCTCACATACAGTTAAGTGCTCCAGAAAATGCATCTTTTTGGAAATCAAAATGATCTTAAATATTACAGCAGGATAGGAACTCATAAATTTGCTCTAAAGAGAGTGAGAGAGGAAAAAAACTAATATTAATAGAAAATAGTTGTGCTTAGCACTCTACTAGGGCTTTACACATGCTGTCTCATATAAATGTCACAACCCTGGAGGCACTGTCCCCATTTTAAAGATTAGGAAAGTGAGAATCAGAGAGGAAGAACTGAGAATCAGAGAGGACGTCACCAGCCCGAGGTCACATAACTAGAAAGTACTGGAATTGGGATTAGAACACCGGTTCTTCCTTAAACACACTTTATTTCCTGTACCCCATGTTGCCTCCACAGAAACCAGAAAAATGAAATACAACTTTTTCAGTAACAACACATGAGGTACGTGAAACGATCCAGATAATAATTGCAAAGAAATGTTTTGATTATTCAACTTACATCATTTTTAGAAAAAGAAATATATAAGTAACTTATATAAAACATGATTCTGAAGAAACATTTCGATGTATACATTTTCCCATCCTCTATACTGCTTAATTTAGAACAAAGAAAATGTCTGGACTTTGAGGCAGTTGTTGGTTTTGAAAAAGGACGTGCAGGCTGGGGACGGTGGCTCATAGCTGTAATCCCAGCACTTTGGGAGGCTGAGGCGGGAGATTACTTGAGCCCAGGAATTCAAGACCAGCCTGGGGAACATGGCGAAACTCCATCTCCATAAAAAATACAAAAAGTAGCTGGGCGTGGTGGCACACAGCAGTAATCCCACCTACTTGGGAAGCTGAGGTGGGAGGATTGCTTGAGCCTGGCAGGTTGAGGATGCAGTGAGCTGAGATTGCACCACTGCACTCCAGCCTGGGCACCTGAGCGAGACACTGTTTCAAACTTAAAAAATAAATAAATAAATAGAGAAAAAGAAAAAGGATGTGCTTTTAAGAGAACTGTGAGGCCAGGTGTGGTGGTTCATACCTGTAATCCCAGCACTACAGGAGGTCAAGGATTAATTTAAGCCCAGGAGTATGAGACCAGACTGGGCGACAGAGTGAGACCCCGTCTCAAAATAAATAAATAATAAAACTTTAATAGTAACTTTCAAATAAATGCCTTGAACCTAGTTTTCAAGGAGGATCAGAATATCACAGAAGGAAGCTCATTTTAAAAAAGCAAAGCAAAATTGTCAGGACTGTCTCAAAATGAGAGCTGTTCCACAGGATAGGGTGCTGTCTCCTAAACCTTGGTTTCCTCCAACAAAAGATTTCCTTCCAAAGCTTGAATGGTCACTTGTCTGGAAAAGGAGATGGAATCTCTGTTTGGGAGGAGAAATTTGAGCCCCTTGGGTACAACCCCACGAAGACTTTGGGATTGGGTGGGAAATTAGACTAGAACAATTGTTCTTAAAATGGTCCCTGGGTCACCAATATGGGAATCATCCTAGAAGGGTGTGAAAATGCAGATCCTCCAGCCCTGTCCCTGATACTGAATCCTCATTTCTGGAGTGGGAGCTGAGATTTTGCATTTTTAAAAAGCCACAAGGTGGAATTCTTGTGCACTAAGAGGTCTGGACACAACTGGACAAGCTGGGAGCCAACAGGATGAGTGGGTGGTTTTGGAGCCACATAGACTTGGATTTAAATCCCAGTTCTTCCATTTAATATTAATAGCTCTGACTGTGACACGTCACCCAAACCCTCTGAGCTTGTTTTCCCACACAGTAAATGAAACGACACTTTGTTGTGGAGATCAAATAAAATTGTGTGGACATATGTATGTGTGTATATATGTATGTACCTGTACGTGTGTGTGTTAACAGTGCCTGGCATGGAACATTTATAAGATGACCTCTCGGAGTTTTCCGGTTCTCAATCTATGAATGCTAGTATGTTTTAATCCTTCCACATACATAACTATCGCAGGATCATCTGCTTATCCACCTCCCTAAAGCAGTGTTTCTCAACCTTTTCTTGATTTTCCCCCTCTCCTCCCAGGAGACGTTTTAGACATTTTATTTCCGAATCTGCTAACCCCATAAAATTTCAATGACATAGGTATAACGTATATCTGCTTGTTTTGAGGCTCTTTGGAAGGCCACAAAGGACGGTAATATCTACGATCTTTTTTCCCCCTAAGAACATGAGCAATATCACCCATGTTGAGAATGCATGTCCGAGAGATAAATGACTTGGTCAAGGTCACGTGACTAATTTAGTGGCAGAATTAGACCTAAATTAGAGGTCACAAACTGGCAGACTAGAACCAGCTTATAAATGTCTTTTGCTTGGCTTCCAGTGTTTCTTCTTTTTTTTTTAATTGATTGCCAACATTTACAAATCAAGAGATTTCACATAAAAATCCCGATATTCAACTTCTCATGAAAAATCTGAGATCGCTTCCAGCGGCAGTTGAGAGGCACTCGCCACCCCAGAACGTGGGGGTTCTCCCAGCATCTCCCAGCCTGGTCCCTGCAGACATCTGAATGTGAGACCCTCAAATCCAAGACCTTTAAACTTTAGTTTCAAGCTCACGACCCTCAGTGATTTGCCTCCACCACGCATCACTTAATATCTAGACGTTTAAAAAAACAAATCTGAAAGAACCATACTGAGTGTGCGGCTAAACTAGCTGCGAATTCCGAACCTTTTCCCGCTCGAGATTCCAAGCCCTCGGCGCCGGCTGGGGTCAGCAGGACGCGCCGTCCGTGTCACAAGTCGTCTGCGGTCGGCGGACCAGGGCGCGGCCGGCCCGGAGACGCTGCCCCGCGGAGGGTCTGTGGGTAGCGGGCCCGAGGGCAGCCTCTGCGCACCCTCACGGCGCGGCACCGATCCCTGCTGCTCCCGACGCGCCCTGGAGGCAGAGGGGTCCCAGCCCAGCCCGCCGGACAACGTCCTGGGGCGAGCGCCTGGGCTGCTCCCCGTGGCGGGGCGCCCCTGCTGAGGCCGCGTCCCCGGCGCTGCCCTCAGCGCGCCCGCCCGCCAATGTCAGCCGCCACACGCCGCACGTGACGTGTGCTGGCCAATGGAGGCCTGAAGCGGACCGTGACGAGAGCGGTGGCTCTGGGCATTTTCGAACGGGCGCGGGCGGTGAGGGAACCGTGAGGGACGCTGAGGGGATGGCGCGGGTGCGGAAAGGGGACCCTAAGTAAGGGGACGGCGTGAGGACGGCTAGGGGACGGCGCGAGCCAAGAAGGACGGCGGCGGAGCTGGCTGCAAGCGCTCCCCGGCCACAGGGTCGAGAAGAGTGAATGGAGGAAGAGCCAGGAGAGCCCTGGAGCACCGCGGACGGAACCCAGCGACTGGCCGCCTCTCCGGGCGCGCTTCCTGTGTTGTTCCTCCTGCTTCTACTGGTCCTATCGTCCCAACTCTTACGGCGTCGCGGCCCCAGGTGGTTCGTCGCGGCCCCAGGTGGTTCAGAGAAATCCGAGGAGCAGAATCTGGGTGAGAGCAAGGCCCAGCAGTTTACAGAGTGGCTGACGGGGTTTGCCTGCGTGTAACAGGAACCCCCAGATTCCAGTATCCTAAACCCACGAGGGGCTTTTCCCCTCTCCCATAAAAGAAAGTGGGAGGAAGGTACCTAAGGTCGTTCGGCTCTGTCATCCCTACACCTGGCTTGTGTCCACCAATTTGCCTTATGGGCCAAAATGGTAGTTGGAGCTCCAGCCATCACATCCTTATTTTAGAAAGGGCCTTTCTGGAAGTCCCACACAAAACCTTCTAACTACATCTTACAGACTCGAATTTAGTATCATGACCTCTCAGAGCTGGAAACTGTAATCTTAACTTGGCACATTGATGCCCTTAAAAATCTTTCCAAAATGAAGGGAAGAATGAATTTGATTAAGCAACTAGCAATCTGCTGCATCTTGTTTTTTCACCCTCGCAAGTGGTCTTGGGTCTCATGGCTCAGTAGAAGTAAGTCCTTCCCCTGCATGTGCAGAACAACTCACTAGGCAAATACATACTCTGTGGCAGACCCTATACTGGATACTTTACATATATTTTCACATTTAATCCCTCTAGGTAGGCATTACTAGCCCCATGTTGCAGATGACACTGGAAGATAGAAATGGTGACAAACTGTGAATGCAGAGAGGCTGTTAGATTGACCAGATGGTCTGATACCAGTTGGCTGCAGAGTTGCAAGCACATGGACCTAAGAATGTAATTTTCTGTACCGAGTCCACAAAGGCCACTCTGCCTAAAGCTGACAGGAATCAACAAACAAGATGAAGCTACCATACTGCCCTGTGGCTCAGGAAGCGGGCCCCATATAATACACCAATGCAAAAATAGTGTGACATCTAAACACCAGTATGGTAATGATGTAAAAAATTTGTTTTAGTAAGCAGCAGATGAAAAGACATTTGAAAACGTTGACTTGGTATTTCTCAGCACTGTCCTACAGAGAACAGTGCCCATACTTGGGCTTGTTAATAAGTAATGGAGACTGGGCATTGTGGCTCAAGCCTGTAATTCCAGCACTTTGGGAGGCTGAGGTGGGCGGATCACATGAGGTCAGGAATTTGAGACCAGCCTGGCCAACATGGAGAAACCTCGTCTCTACTAAAAATACAAAAATTAGCCAGGCGTGGTAGTGCACGCCTGTAATCCCAGCTACTAGGGAGGCTGAGGCAGGAGAATTGCTTGAACCCAGGGGGCAGAGGTTGCAGTGAGTGGAGATCGCACCACTGCACTCCAGCCTGGGCCACAGAGCAAGACTCCATCTCAAAAAAAAAAAAAAAAGTAATGGATTGGTTTCATACATTTAATAAACAATGTCTTGTGTATACTTGTGCTGCACTAAGCATTAACAATTCCAAGGTGAATTAGACGTTACCCTGCCCACAGTCTATGGGGAGACAGACAAGTATAAAAACAATTAGAACACATCATGATAACGGTATTTGGGCGGTGTGGGAGACATGAGAAGAGTATCCAACCTGGCTGGAGAGAGGGAAAAAGAGGGATTTTCGTTAGAGAAGACTTTCTAAAGAAATGGTGATTGACCTGAGTCTTGAAAATCAAGCTTGAGCGGATCAAGCTAAGTAAGTGGAATGGCAGTCCAAGCAGAGGGATCAGATAGTCTAAAATTATGTTGATGTGAGAGAAGCCAGCATATGTGACACTGGCTATGAAGAAAGTGGGGGTAGAAGAACATATTGAGGAGTTAGTGTCCTGTCATGATGGATCATGTGTGCCATGCCAGGGAGTTTGCATCCTTTGGCCATAGCATCCACTCCTTCCCTTGCTTTGGGGAAACTATTTCTTCACCTTGTGTGTAGTCTTGGTGGCATTATTAAGATGCCTTGTGTTCCCCCAACTAGTGGATAGATGGATAACCCTAGTTAGGCCAACCAGATTATCTGCCAAGGGTGAGAGGGAAAGTAGTGGGATAGGAAGTTGAGAGTGTTTAAACATGCCCCCCTTGGGAGGGGATGAGATTTCATTTGGATCCATGAAAAGATTATTAAATTGGATAGAGAGCACAATCAAGGATAGAGGTCATGTGTGTGATGTTTTCTTCAGCAAACTCAATAGCACAGAGTCTCTAGTTGATTTTCACATCTTACAACTGGATATAAATACTGTATTCCAGCCATTTGAAAGGTGTATTCTATAGCTATTAGGATTATATTTTGTAACCAAAAATTAAATGACTTTAGTATTTTAAATAAGCATTGTATGGGAAATCTGGACTATGTAGACCTCATTCCTCTACTGTAACTTGGATGGTTATTCCACAAATTTGAGTAATATGTGGGTATTACTTTCATTCCATGTTTACCTAACAACCTTCTTGGAGTTCCAACTCAATAACAACAGGATCCCGCAGTGGAAAAAAAAATCACTGTATTATTTATACATAAATTATTTAGTTATACATAAATTCTTTAGTTTTCTAAATTTCTAAGGGCTTAAAACTGTAGCATCATTATGACACAAAAATTACACATCACAGATAAACTCTCTTCCCAAGGTTTTGGATATTGTTTTTTCTTTAAAAATGAAAATACATCTATCTTTATAATATACATGTTCATTGAAGATAAGTTTCAAGAAAGGCAGAAAAGTATGAGGAATACACCTAGTGGTTTACATTGTCCAAGACATTTTTCTATGAACATTTATTTAAATATAAGTTTACTTTAAAATAAGATCATATCATACGTACTGTTTCATAACTTATTTTTTACGTAACATATCTTAGACAGCTTTGCTGAGTACCACAGACTTAATGGCTTAAAACACCACACGTTTATTATCTGTTTCTGTGCATCATCAGTCCTGTCACAGTTTCTGTCAACAGATTGCAATTCAAGTACTGGCCAGGGCTACAATCTTATCAGAAGCTCAACTGGGAAAAGATCCACTTCCATGTGCCCTCAAGTTATTGGCAGAATTCATCTCCTTGCAGCTATAGACAGGTCACCATTTTCTTGCTGACTATCAGCAATGGGCTGCTGTCAGCTTCTAAAGGCCACCCTCAATTCTTTGCCTCGTGGTCCTCTCCATAGACCTCAGAAATGGCAGCTTACTTCTTCAAAGCCAACAAAGGAGAGAGAATCATTATAATTTTTAATGGTAACATAATATTCCACTATAGGACTGCAACATAATTTATTTAACTATCCTCTATGGATACTAGGATATTTTAAATTTTTCATTATAAACAGCATTACAGTAAATGTCCTCATGCATATACCTTTGTGACTTCTCTGATTATTTTCTTAGGATAATACCCAGAGTGAATTGCTGAGTCAGATGGTATACTTTTTAAATCTTTTTTTCTTTGCATATTGTAAAATAGCTATCCAGAAAACTAAGCCCATTTATATTTCTAAGAATGTTTGACAATGCTGGTTGGTATGCATAACTTGCCAACATTGGCATTACCCATAAGTTTAATATTTGCCAATCTAATGAGTGAAAAAAATATTTCTTATTGTTTTAATTTGAATTTGTTAAATTAGTGAACTCAAACATATTTTTATGTGTTTACTGGACATTGTGTTTTTTGAATTATCTTTTCATGACTTTAGCCCATTTTGCAATTGTGAAAGCACTTTGTATGTTAAGTGCCCTTTGTTTGTGGATTGCAAATATGTTTCCTAGTTTATTTATGTTTGTTAATATTTTTGTTATTTTGTTTCTAGGGGATAATTTTGTTTATGGGGGATTTTTGGCCATAAAAAGTTTTTAGTGTTTTTTGAAATCAATTCTATTGATTTTCCTGATGCATTCTGCCTTTGATGGCATGCTTAGAAATGTCAGAGGGGGGCAGCCAAGATGGCCGAATAGGAACAGCTCTGGTCTACAGCTCCCAGTGTGAGCGATGTAGAAGACAGGTGATTTCTGCATTTCCATCTGAGGTACTGGGTTCATCTAACTAGGGAGTGCCAGTCAGTGGGCGCAGAACACTGGGTGCAGTGCACTGTGCGTGAGCCGAAGCAGGGCGAGGCATTGCCTCACTCGGGAAGCGCAAGGGGCCAGGGAGTTCCCTTTCCTAGTCAAAGAAAGAGGTGACAGATGGCACCTGTAAAATCAGGGCACTCCCACCCTAATACTGCGCTTTTCCGACGGGCTTAAAAAACGGCACACCAGGAGATTATATCCCGCACCTGGCTCGGAGGGTCCTACGCCCACGGAGTCTCGCTGATTGCTAGCACAGCAGTCTGAGATCAAACTGCAAGGCGGCAGCGAGGCTGGGGGAGGGGCACGCACCATTGCCCAGGCTTGCTTAGGTAAACAAAGCAGCCAGGAAGCTTGAACTGGGTGGACCCCACCACAGCTCAAGGAGGCCTGCCTGCCCCTGTAGACTCCACCTCTGGGGGCAGGGCACAGACAAACAAAAAGACAGCAGTAACCTCTGCAGACTTAAGTGTCCCTGTCTGACAGCTTTGAAGAGAGCAGTGGTTCTCCCAGCATGCAGCTGGAGATCTGAGAACGGGCAGACTGCCTCCTCAAGTGGGTCCCTGACCCCTGACTCCCGAGCAGCCTAACTGGGAGGCACCCCCCAGTAGGGGCAGACTGACACCTCACACGGCCGGGTACTCCTCTGAGACAAAACTTCCAGAGGAACGATCACACAGCAGCATTCGCGGTTCACGAAAATCCGCTGTTCTGCAGCCACCGCTGCTGATACCTAGGCAAACGGTCTGGAGTGGACCTCTAGCAAACTCCAACAGACCTGCAGCTGAGGGTCCTGTCTGTTAGAAGGAAAACTAACAAACAGAAAGGACATCCACACCAAAAACCCACTGTACATCACCATCATCAAAGACCAAAAGTAGATAAAAGCACAAAGATAGGGAAAAAACAGAGCAGAAAAACTGGAAACTCTAAAAAGCCGAGTGCCTCTCCTCCTCCAAAGGAACGCAGTTCCTCACCAGCAACGGAACAAAGCTGGACGGAGAATGACTTTGACGAGTTGAGAGAAGAAGGCTTCAGACGATTAAACTACTCCGAGCTACAGGAGGAAATTCAAACCAAAGGCAAAGAAGTTAAAAACTTTGAAAAAAATTTAGACTAATGTATAACTAGAATAACCAATACAGAGAAGTGCTTAAAGGAGCTGATGGAGCTGAAAGCCAAGGCTTGAGAACTACGTGAAGAATGCAGAAGCCTCAGAAACCGATGCGATCAACTAGAAGAAAGGGTATCAGTGATGGAAGATCAAATGAATGAAATGAAGCGAGAAGAGAAGTTTAGAGAAAAAAGAATAAAAAGAAACGAACAAAGCCTCCAAGAAATATGGGACTATGTGAAAAGGCCAAATCTATGTCTCATTGGTGTACCTGAAAGTGACGGGGAGAATGGAACCAAGTTGGAAAACACTCTGCAGGATATTATCCAGGAGAACTTCCCCAATCTAGCAAGGCAGGCCAACATTCAGATTCAGGAAATACAGAGAACGCCACAAAGATACTCCTCGAGAAGAGTAACTCCAAGACACATAATTGTCAGATTCACCAAAGTTGAAATGAAGGAATAAATGTTAAGGGCAGCCAGAGAGAAAGGTCGGGTTACCCACAAAGGGAAGCCCATCAGACTAACAGCAGATCTCTTGGCAGAAACTCTACAAGCCAGAAGAGAGTGGGGGCCAATATTCAACATTCTTAAAGAAAAGAATTTTCAACCCAGAATTTCATATCCAGCCAAACTAAGCTTCATAAGTGAAGGAGAAATAAAATCCTTTACAGACAAGCAAATGCTGAGAGATTTTGTTACCACCAGGCCTGCCCTAAAAGAGCTCCTGAAGGAAGCACTAAGCATGGAAAGGAACAACTGGTACCAGCTGCTGCAAAATCATGCCAAATTGTAAAAGCCATCGAGGCTAGGAAGAAACTGCATCAACTAATGAGCAAAATAACCAGCTAACATCATAATGACAGGATCAAATTCACACATAACAATATGAACTTTAAATGTAAATGGACTAAATTCTCCAATTAAAAGACACAGACTGGCAAATTGGATAAAGAGTCAAGACCCATCAGTGTGCTGTATTCAGGAAACCCATCTCATGTGCAGAGACACACATAGGCTCAAAATAAAAGGATGGAGGAAGATCTACCAAGCAAATGGAAAACAAAAAAAGGCAGAGGTTACAATCCTAGTCTCTGATAAAACAGACTTTAAACCAACAAAGATCAAAAGAGACAAAGAAGGCCATTACATAATGGTAAAGGGATCAGTTCAACAAGAAGAGCTAACTATCCTAAATATATATGCACCCAATACAGGAGCACCCAGATTCATAAAGCAAGTCCTGAGTGACCTACAAAGAGACTTAGACTCCCACACAATAATAATGGGAGACTTTTAACACCCCATTGTCAACATTAGACAGATCAACGAGACAGAAAGTTAACAAGGATACCCAGGAATTGAACTCAGCTCTGCACCAAGCGGACCTAATAGACATCTACAGAACTCTCCACCCCAAATCAACAGAATATACATTTTTTTCAGCACCACACCACAACTATTCCAAAATTGACCACATAGTCGGAAGTAAAGCTGTCCTCAGCAAATGTAAAAGAACAGAAATTATAACAAACTGTCTCTCAGACCACAGTGCAATCAAACTAGAACTCAGGATTAAGAAACTCACTCAAAACCGCTCAACTACATGAAAACTGAACAACCTGCTCCTGAATGCCTACTGGGTACATAATGAAATGAAGGCAGAAATAAAGATGTTCTTTGAAACCAACGAGAACAAAGACACAACATACCATAATCTCTGGGACACATTCAAAGCAGTGTGTAGAGGGAAATTTATAGCACTAAATGCCCACAAGAGAAAGCAGGAAAGATCCAAAATTGACACCCTAACATCACAATTAAAAGAACTAGAAAAGTAAGAGCAAACACATTCAAAAGCTAGCAGAAGGCAAGAAATAACTAAAATCAGAGCAGAACTGAAGGAAATAGAGACACAAAAAACCCTTCAATAAATTAATGAATCCAGGAGCTGGTTTTTTGAAAGGATCAACAAAATTGATAGACCACTAGCAAGACTAATAAAGAAGAAAAGAGAGAAGAATCAAATAGACACAATAAAAAATGATAAAGGGGATATCACCACCGATCCCACAGATATACAAACTACCATCAGAGAATACTACAAACACCTCTACGCAAATAAACTAGAAAATCTAGAAGAAATGGATAAATTCCTCAACACATACACCCTCCAAAGACTAAACCAGGAAGAAGTTGAATCTCTGAATAGACCAATTACAGGCTCTGAAATTGAGGCAATAATCAATAGCTTACCAACCAAAAAGAGTCCAGGACCAGATGGATTCACAGCCAAATTCTACCAGAGGTACAAGGAGGAACTGGTACCATTCCTTCTGAAGCTATTCCAATCAACAGAAAAAGAGGGAATCCTCCCTAACTCATTTTATGAGGCCAGCAGCATCCTGATACCAAAGCCAGGCAGAGACACAATGAAAAAAGAGAATTTTAGACCAATAGCCTTGATGAACATTGATGCAAAAATCCTCAATAAAATACTGGCAAACCAAATCCAGCAGCACATCAAAAAGCTTATCCACCATGATCAAGTGGGCTCATCCCTGGAATGCAAGGCTGGTTCAATATACACAAATCAATAAATGTAATCCAGCATATAAACAGAACCAAAGACAAAAACCACATGATTATCTCAATAGATGCAGAAAAGGCCTTTGACAAAATTCAACAACCTTCATGTTAAAAACTCTCAATAAATTAGGTATTGATGGGATGTATCTCAAAATAATAGAGCTATCTATGACAAACCCACAGCCAATATCATACTGAATGGGCAAAAACTGGAAGCATTCCCTTTTAAAACAGGCACAAGACAGGGATGCCCTCTCTCACCACTCCTATTCAACATAGTGTTGGAAGTTCTGGCCAGGGCAATTAGGCAGGAGAAGGAAATAAAGGGTATTCAATTAGGAAAAGAGGAAGTCAAATTGTCCCTGTTTGCAGATGACATGATTGTATTTCTAGAAAACCCCATTGTCTCAGCCCAAAATCTCCTTAAGCTGATAAGCAACTTCAGCAAAGTCTCAGGATACAAAATCAATGTACAAAAATCACAAGCATTCTTATACACCAATAACAGACAAACAGAGAGCCAAATCATGAGTGAACTCCCGTTCACAATTGCTTCAAAGAGAATAAAATACCTAGGAATCCAACTTACAAGGGACGTGAAGGACCTCTTCAAGGAGAACTACAAACCACTGCTCAATGAAATAAAAGAGGATACAAAGAAATAGAAGAACATTCCATGCTCATGGGTAGGAAGAATCAGTATCGTGAAAATGGCCCATACTGCCCAAGGTAATTTATAGATTCAATGCCATCCCCATCAAGCTACCAATGACTTTCTTCACAGAATTGGAAAAAACTACTTTAAAGTTCATATGGAACCAAAAAAGAGCCCGCATCACCAAGTCAATCCTAAGCCAAAAGAACAAATCTGGAGGCATCATGCTACCTGACTTCAAACTATACTACAAGGCTTCAGTAACCAAAACAGCATGGTACTGTTAACAAAATAGAGATATAGATCAATGGAACAGAACAGAGCCTTCAGAAATAATGCCACATATCTACAACTATCTGATCTTTGACAAACCTGACAAAAACAAGCAATGGGGAAAAGATTCCCTATTTAATAAATGGTACTGGGAAAACTGGCTAGCCATATGTAGAAAGCTGAAACTGGATCCCTTCCTTACAACTTATACAAAAATCAATTCAAGATGGATTAAAGACTTAAACGTTAGACCTAAAACCATAAAAACCCTAGAAGAAAACCTAGGCATTACCATTCAGGACATAGGCATGGGCAAGGACTTCATGTCTAAAACACCAAAAACAATGGCAACAAAAGCCGAAATTGACAAATGGGATCTAATTAAACTAAAGAGCTTCTGCACAGCAAAAGAAACTACCATCAGAGTGAACAGGCAACCTACAAAATGGGAGAAAATTTTCGCAGCCTGCTCATCTGACAAAGGGCTAATATCCAGAATCTACAATGAACTCAAACAAATCTACAAGAAAAAAACAAACAACCCCATCAAAAAGTGGGCAAAGGACATGAACAGACACTTCTCAAAAGAAGACATTTATGCAGCCAAAAGACACATGAAAAAATGCTCACCATCACTGGCTGTCAGAGAAACACAAACCAAAACCACAATGAGATACCATCTCACACCAGTTAGAATGGCAATCATTAAAAAGTCAGGAAGCAACAGGTGCTGGAGAGGACGTGGAGAAATAGGAACACTTTTACACTGTTGGTGGGACTGTAAACTAGTTCAACCATTGTGGAAGTCAGTGTGGCGATTCCTCAGGGATCTAGAACTAGAAATACCATTTGACCCAGCCATCCCATTACTGGGTATATACCCAAAGGACTATAAATCATGCTGCTATAAAGACACATGCACACGTATGTTTACTGCGGCACTATTGACAATAGCAAAGACTTGGAACCAACCCAAATGTCCAACAATGATAGATTGGATTAAGAAAATGTGGCACATATACACCATGGAATACTATGCAGCCATAAAAAATGATGAGTTCACGTCCTTTGTAGGGACATGGATGAAATTAGAAATCATCATTCTCAGTAAACTACCGCAAGAACAAAAAACCAAACACCGCATGTTCTCACTCATAGGTGGGAATTGAACAATGAGAACACATGGACACAGGAAGGGGAACGTCACACTCTGGGGACTGTTGTGGGGTGGGGGGAGGGGGGATGGATAGCATTAGGAGATATACGTAATGCTAAATGATGAGTTAATGGGTGCAGCACACCAGCATGGCACATGTGTACATATGTAACTAACCTGCACATTGTGCACATGTACCCTAAAACTTAAAGTATAATAATAATGAAATTTAAAAAAAAATGTTTTTCCCACCTAAGGGCATAAAACCTTTCACTTATTTTTGTTCTAGAATGTTTATGGTTTCTTTTAACATTTACATTTTAATTGTTTTAGAATTATTGTGTTGCAAAATAGATTGATTGCTATTGTCCTGTGATGAGTTTTTTAAAAAATTGAGTTATTCAATTGAGAGGGGTAACTCTAGAGTTATTTTTAAAATCTGTAACTTGTTACTGTAGATTTGTGGGAAATAGAGAACAAACCAACACTGTGAAATGTTTTCTTCATCATGTGGTTCTCTAAGCACTTTTTGTTCCAGTAATGTCCACTTTTTCCTGAAATTATATAGAAGTGTATCACTTGTGCTGTAATAACATTATATGAGAGGACTTATTAGTGACAAATTGACAACAGGGAATAAATAAGCATAATTGACCAGGAGGACATGGGACAAAGACCAAACCACAAATGCCCTTAATTAAGAGGGCAGGATGATCCTGCCACAACACAATTACTTTCAAAAACAATAATATTGAGGCCAAGGGCACCAAGGAACTGGTTGAGAAACGAGTCATTCATCACTGCAAATGGGCAACTGAAGATAGAGAGGAGTGGCAAGCTGAGAAAGAAGGAGCTGAGGCCTGGCTGAAGTGTGAAGCAAGTCTCTGAGGTATATTCTTCTGCTCCAGTGAAATTCAGAGAAGAGATTCTGGCAACCAGAAAGCCATAGGAACTTTCATGAGCTTGATTTCTCTTAAGGAATGAATGTGTGAAGTGAAAAATCAAGCATTAAATTCATTAAATTCCAGTGCTGTGACTTATTTGCCTGGGATTCCGAGCACTTAGTGCAGTGCCTAGCTCAGTATGGGTTCTCGATAAATGTTATTTTCTTACCCCTTTCTCTTATTCCATTCTCTTATTTGTCTCCATTTTTTATCACCCAGTGCAGATATTGGTGTGTATTAGTCACTTAGTGAATCTTTATGGAATAGTTTCAAACCTTTGGTTTCAATACCATGGGTGGTTTGAAGAAGTAAATGTATAGAAATGTATTTGAGAAGAAATTTAGTTACATACCAATAACCACAGTAGCCCATGTGTTGAATGTTCTGTACCGAGCACTTTGCACACTTAATTAATTTAATTTTCATGATAGACCTGCAAGGCATAACTCTTTGTATTATTCCCATTTTATATATGAAGAAACGGAGGCCCAGAGAGGTAAAAGGAACCAAAGTTACCCAGTTAATAAGTGGAGAAATGAAGGGCTGTAACCCTGAACTACAAAGGCCTGTCTGACTACGAAGGCCGAGTAGTTTTCCAGTATTCCTTTATGGCTTCTAAAAAGTTCACATATCACTTTGGCAAGAGAGCTCTAATCATTGTATAGGCATGTGCACACCCGAGGCATTTCAAGTGTGTGTTTATCTTCTAAAATGGAAGAGACCCAGACCCACAGATTGTGCAAGACTACACGAGCCAGAGAGGGCTCATTAACCTCTGTGAATTCCTTCAGCTCAGCTCCCCAGAGAAGAAGGAGCAGATGGTCAGTGTGCTGCTGCTCACTTCCTCAGCTACACAGCTATTGTCTAGAGACAATTTCAAATTGACAGCCTGGCTTAGAATTTCTAGGGACTGTTGGAGCTAGCACATTTAAGTTTAGCTAGAGTCTCACTACTTGCTTATTAATTCTGTTCAGAAGGCAGACACCAGGCTAGTATAGTGGGAAACAGAATTGCATACTAGAAAGTGTTGGATAAGAAGTGAAGAGAACTGGGTTCCAGCTCACTGGTTGGTTGGTTCGTTTCATTTATTCATTCTGCAGATGCTTTTTGAAATATCTGTTATGTGCCAGGCCGTGTGTATTTAGCAACGAAGCGTTGAAGGAGACTATCACATAGTGATTTCTTCTGCTTAAGAAGGAAACAGTTCATGTACTATAATCATCATTCTTAAGCAAGTTGCACAAGGTCTGTGTGCTCCTTTCTCAGAAACTAAGCCACACTGAAGGAAGAGAAAAATGGAGCTCCTACAGATGCTTATGTTGGCTTGCTTTCAGTGGTTTTTTTCAGACAATAGAGAATCTTGCCCTTCAGTGTTCTAAATTTAGAGAGTTGTTACCATAACTCACAATTTCTGCCCTAATGTTCAGAAGCAGGGAGGGGTGGACAGGCTGTGCTCCTTGCTGAAACACTTGCCTGGTCACCTCTGTAGTGCCTTGCTTTAATCTGTAGGACAGTCATCTGAGTTAGGTCCCAACTGTACTAGATGAACCATGTCAGCATGGAGATCCAGGACTGTCCCACAGATTGAAGAAGAATCCCACCTTCAGTGGAGGGTCAGAAGCAGTCCAGATATATCTGAATGTGGCTTTGCATTGCCTTAGATAGGAAATAAATGGCCATTTGAAATACTTTATCTACCATCTGTTTCTTGGTGCTCTAAACTTCCATCTTATTGTCACTAAAAGATAGTAAGGCTCACTCAGACCCTGATTTTGTCACGTCCTTAAGCCTCTAACCTTAAGGATCTTTTTTTCTAGGGGATGCCGTATACTTGTGCACAATACTTCAATTAGACCCTGCCAGGTAGTGCCTTATACCTTAAAAACACTTTCAGACTGGGCGCGGTGGCTCATGCCTGTAATCCCAGCACTTTGGGAGGCCGAGGCGGGCGGATCACCTGAGGTCAGGAGTTCAAGACTAGCCTGGCCAACATGGTAAAACCCCGTCTCTACTAAAAATACAAAAATTAGCTGGGCATGGTGGTGCGCGCCTGTAATCCTAGCTACTCAGGAGGCTGAGGCAGGAGAATCACTCGAACCCAGGAGGCAGAGGTTGCAGTGAGCCAAGATCGTGCCACTGCACTCCAGCCTGGGTGATGGAGAGAGGCTCCATCTCAAAAAAACAAAAAACAAAAAACAGAAAGTCACTTTTGTATCCATTTTCTCTTTAACCCTTACAAAAGGCATGTATAGGCATGTGGGGTATTCTCGTTCTGCAGAGGAAGAAACATAGGCTCAGTGAAATCAGAGATGTTAAGTGGTAACGTTGCTATCAAATCCATGTCTGTATGATTCCCAAATCCTTGCATGGTAGGCAGGAGTCTGTGTCTTCTAAGATTTCCCTCCTTGCCATCCCCATGTACACATTCTATATAATCCTTAGGAGTGTGAATTTGATTGCTTTTACTGCAATGATTACATGGCAGTAAATATTATATGGCACAGCCGATGTTAAGAGAGTATACAGGTGGGCCTGGTCTAATCACATGAGACTTTTAAAACCAGAGAGTTCATTATGGCCAGTAGCAGTGGCAGAAGTCAGAGAGATTAAAAGAATGGGCAGGGCTTGCTGCAATGTTTTTACTTTGATGGAGGAGACGTGAGGAGCTGAGAGCAGTTCACAGCCAATGGCCAGGAACGAAATGGGACCTTTGTCCTGCAACTGGAAGGAACTGAACCTGCCCACAAGAAAGGGCTTAGGCAGGTCTTTCCCAGAGCCTCCAGACTAGAACTCAGCCTGGCTGACACCTTGCTTCACCTTTGTGAGAGCCTGAACAGAGAACCCAGCCAGGCCATGCTGGACTCAGAAGCTACAGAACTGTGAGCTAATGAATGAATATAGTTGTTCACCTCTAAGTTTGTGGTGATGTGTTATGAAGCAATAGAAAACTAACACACCCTGCTTTTTTGGTGAGATCTTGGGACTTGAGACAAGTCTTTGAACTTTTCTGGTCTTAATTTTCACTTGAAAGAGGATTAGATGTGATCTTTAAGGTTCTTTCCAGCTCAGATGACTCTTAAGATTCTTAAAACAGTTTCTCATGAAAAGTAATCTGTATTTTAGGGCCATACTATGGATATGTTGGGAAGATAGAGTTTGTGACTCCTGATTCGAAGGCCATCAGCTCATCTGTGGAAAACTCAGGGAGCACATGGAGGGAATGAGGCTCTTCAACGTCCTGAGGCCCTGTGCTAGAGCTCGGAGGTACCACAGGAATAATGCAAGGTGCCTGCCCTTACACTCTGGGTAGGGAGGCTGAGCATTGGTGTCCATATGAATAAGCAGTGACTACAAAGTAAAGTCCCAGAGGAGGGAGGGAGTCTTGGTTGAAGGATGTAAAGCTTGGGCTGGATTTTAAAGCTAAGTGGTTTGCCAGGCTATTGGTGCTGGAACAGCCCAAATAGAGGTAGCAGCATAAAGGAAGGCATGGGACATGAGTGAGACTGACCGTGTCGGTTATACCTGCTGATTCTAAAGCCCAGGGCAGGCATTGAGTAAATGGGAACTGTTAGCAAATAGATTATTGCTGGAGTATTTGGAGTGGTGAAGCTGGAGAGAGGATTTTGTAAACAGGATACCTCTATGCTGAACACGTTGAGCATCACTCTGATATAACCTCGCTTACTTTATTTTATTTTATTTTATTTTATTTTATTTTATATATTTATGTATTTATTTTTTTGAGACTGAGTCTCACTGTGTCACCCAGGCTGGAGTACAGTGGCGCCCTCTCAGCTGACTGCAACTTCCGCCTCCTGGGTTCAAGCAATTCTCCTGCCTTAGCCTCCCAAGTAGCTGGGACTACAGGCGCCTGCCACCAAGCCCAGCTAATTTTTGTATTTTTAGTAGAGACGGGATTTTACCACGTTGGCCAGGCTGGTCTCTAACTCCTGACCTCAAGTGATCTGCCCGCCTTTGCCTCCCAAAGTGCTGGGATTACAGGCGTGACCCACTGCGCCTGGCTCCTGCTAATTTTAAATCCATGTAATCAATATTTACTAATCCTTTAATCTAGTGCTTATCCCCCCGAAGGATAGTTTTGTTGAGCTTTACTTTCTGTAGTTAAAATGATAAAAATCAATAAGAATATACTGAATATATTCTTCCCAATGACTTCAGAACTTAACCCTGCTCCCACCTGCCACCTAACACAGGATCCTATTAGGCTCTCCTGAAGACTCACTTGTCCAAAATATAACCTTAATGTGAATTACAGAATCACAAGGCTGAAATAACAATTACTGGATTGCAAACTTCCTTTCACTTCTCAATATCACCTAAAACACTCAGCACGGTTTCCTGCACACAGCAGGTGCTCAATGTCTAATTAAATTTAATTGGAGATAAATTGAAATGAGCACACAAAAAAGGAGCAGGGATCCTATTCAGAGCTTCCTGATGGATTGTGTTCAGGCTTTTTGCACACACCAAACCCGAATGGCTGGAAAGCATGGAGCAGCTACAGCACACTTCAGGAGAATGCCACAGTTGACACCCCTGATACTGGAGAGAAGTCATTCAGCTGCCAGAGGGCAGCTGCCGGGAGGAAATCCCCTCTTCACACAAGGACCGAGCTGTTCTATGAGCCACCAGAGATTATTACCACTCAGTTATTATTACTGTAGTTGACTGCTCCATGAGCTGATGGTTAAATTACATTAACAATTATGGAAAATAGTGTGACACTAAAGAATTATTAAGTAGTTCATATGCATTGCTAATCTCCCACCGTTATACAGAATAAAAGACCAGATAAGATAGACAGTTGGTAGCTGCAGGTTTATCTGCTTATTTTTGGTGGGAAGATGTTTTCCCCCTAAAATCTACCATTAATTTATTCATTGACCAAAGGTTTATTGAATACCCACTGTGACTCAAACACTGGGCTGGCCTCTAGGTTTGAACTGCAAAAAAGATCAACATGGTCCCTTGCCCTTATATGAAGCTTAAAATCTAGAAGTTAGAAACTTCAAGAGTGTAAAGTATTTTGATGGCTAAGGGCAAGATGCTCTGGGAGTGAGTGCACAGGGAACAAACCTAGTCCAGGGAGGTGAGGTTCTCTAAGGAAATAATATCTTAGGTGACAACTGAATATGAATGTGAGTTAACAGGGGGAGGGAGGGAGGAAAGGGTGGGAGAGATTTCAGGCCAAAGAAATAACCACACTCTTATAAGTTAGCTCTTATTAAATTGAAAAATCAAGACAATATCTAAAAGAAAAAGGATATTCTAAGTGGAAAAGGCAAAAGTGAGATTTCAGACTTGGATCAACATCATTCCTTTTCCTGAGAATTTTGCCCTCTTGTGGCAGTTACCTGTCAATGACCATACTGTGTCAACAGGTTTCCTTAGATTCCTGGTACTTTTTGAGCTGGAGGTCTTTGCTTTAGAAAAGGACTATTCCATTGGTTTCCAAGTTTTGTTCAGAGGGACACCACTGATTATCTGCTTCCCACATGCGCCCATATTTTGAAAGATTTCTGTCAAACAAAGATACACTGGTTTTTGTTTGTTTTTTGAGAGATGGTCTCACTCTGTCACCAGGCTGGAGTGCAGTGGCATGATCATGGCTCACTGCAGCCTCAACTTTCCAGGCTCAGGTGATCTTCTCACTTCAGCCTCCTGAGTAGCTGGGACTGCAGCACACGTCACCACGCCTGGCTAATTTAAAAAAAATCTTTTGTAGAGATGGGGTCTTGCTATATTGCCCAGCTGGTCTTGAAATCCTGAGCTCCAGCAATCCTCCCACCTCTGTCTGCCAAAGTGCTGGGATTACAGGCATGAACCACCAGGCCATGCCCGATACACTTCCTTTTCCTTTTTTTCTTTTTTTTTCTCTAACTTGATTATCTTGGTTACATTATTAAGTTGATATAATTCTATATAAAAGCAAAGAAATTTGTTTTTGTGTTTTATTTGGCCTTGTAAACTCTAACTCTGCCTTAATAAAGCTATCTTGCCTCTCTGTGGGATCATTTCCTCATCTGAAAATGGAAATGATAAAATAAATATAACAACATCTACTTTTAAGTAACTGTGAGGAAAAATGAGCTGTTAAGAGGGTACTTAGTAAATGTTTATTCCTTTTCTAGCCTTCTCATGGGCAAAAGTTTGGTTTTAGTAAGCTTACTAACCCCCATTCATATCGCTGAGCTCCCTACACCCAAAATTCAGGGATCCCAACCTTGGAGTTTAACCCCAATCTAGTTCAACCTTCTTATTTTATAGATGAAGAAACTAACAGCTAAGAGGAAGGAAGTGACCTCATTTCTGCCCTTGATCTTAATTTGTATATCAGCTTATTTACAGTCATTATTAAAAAACCGGTGAAAATAAGGGCTTAATTTGTATATCAGCTTATTTGCAGTCATTATTTAAAAAAAAAACAACAGTGAAAATAAGGGCCAGGGCCTCCCAGAAATAAAAAGAAGCCCACTGTAGCAGAAGAGTGAGCAAGAGGGAGAAGGCCGTGCAATTAGGTTGAACAGGTAGGCCAGGCTCAGACCACACAGGGCCTTCTGGGCAATTTTAACTATTTTTTTAGTCCCTGTTCTAGGGGCATGGGCATAAATAATGTCAATGTTATCAGTTGAAATTTGGAAACATCTGAACAACTGCATTTAAAATTTTTCATCCGTATGTTTGTAATAGTCAAAAATCACAGGTTTAAAGTTGTAAACTATTGTGTAAGCTGACAACAAGAAATTAATCTGTTTCCAATGAAGATCAGAGCCTAAAACAATGGGCTTAAGTAGACAAAAGAAATTTACATTGGATATGGAGGGCAATTCTTGACTAAATGTTATGTGATACTGGCCATGTTACTGAGGCTTCTCTATCCTGGAAAAGTATATCTAGGCAGCAATATTCTCAGATCGTTACGAATCTGAGGGCTTTAAAACCATGGTCCATGCAAGATGAAGATTTAAACCATCTAAAGAACTTTTAAAATATATTTCAGATATTGGAGTTCCAGTTTGACTTCCTTTTAAAAAAGTTCTGTGGAAAATGGATGCAGAGTTTGAAAATAGCTGGATCTAGAGTATCTTTCATACTAGCTATTAGTCAGTAATGTGATTCTAAAACCTAATTTTGTCTTATATTTATCTTATATTTATCCATTTCAGATCTCTCTCCTGTGCTCCAGAACCCTATATTTAACAGTCATTAGACACCTCTACTTCTTATCCCACAGACTTAACCTTCTAAAACTTGATTTAGTCTTTTTCCTCCTAACTGCTCCTAGCCAAGTGAATGTAACCACCACCATTTATCTGTTAGCCCAAACTGGAAACTGGGGAGCCAATTTTGATCTTTTCCTTTGTCTCCATGCTTACCAGCTATCTGTCTTATGGATTCCAACTCCTCAGAACCACTTGGATTAATTAACTAATTAACTCTTCTTCTCCACTTCTGTTACAGTTGCCCTCCCTAGATCCTCAACAGGGTTACTGCACCTGCTCCCTGAGTGATCTCTCTGTCTAGTCTAGACTGCTTCCAATCCATCTTCTATACTGCTCTCCACCAAGTGAGCTTTCTAAATACAAATCTGATCATGGCACTGCCTCTTTAAATGCTTTCATTGTTTCCCACGTCTGTGAAAAGTCCACACTCCTTAGGATGGTGTGCAAAGTGCTTCACCCTCTCTCTCTAGCATCCTTCCTCCCACTCCATTTCCCTTAATTTTTAAACCTAGCTATGCAAACTTCAGGCACTTTGTCAGATGTGCCAGGCCCTCTCTCACTGTTGCCATGCTGCTCTCTTGGCCCAGAATGTCCCTGCTTTCCCTTCCTCATCCTTCATGATTGAACTTAGTTATTAGTTCTTCCATGAAGCCTTCCCTCAACTTCTCTACCCCAGCCTGAGAAAGGTGCTCATACTATGAAAAGGACTGTGTAATTGTATTTTGCAGTTTACAAAGTTCTTTTACATATATAATCATTTAATTCTTGTAAAAGGATAGATTGGGTAGACTTGTATCCATTTTATAGATGACATACAGAATCATTTAATTCTTTTTCAAAGGCTAGATGGGGTAGATTAACATCCACTTTATAGGCAAGGCTGGGGGAATTGACATCCAAGGCCGGGTGACTGATTAGTGACAGAGCTGGGTTATGGTCAGAGACTGTGGCCTCAGTCTTCTGACTTCAAATGCAGTGCCCTTTTTCATCTAGCCTGCTGAAACAGAATCAGAGGAGAAAGCAGAGGGTGTGCCCTCCAGACTGTGGCAGGCTGCCACAGAAACAGAGAAATCATCCTGCCCGCTTCCACCTCCCCCGGTTCACTCTGATCTAGCCTAGCAGGAAATCTTTTCATGTAGCACAGCATTTCAGGCCGAGCAATGCATTTTTAAACTTTGAAAAATGACATTTCCCCTGACATTTCTGGAAGTACTTCCAAAAATGAAAGCCAATTAACCAGCAACTTTGTTGATTAATTCATTACCTAATTAGGGCTGTGAGGACATTTTGAAATAGTCAGATGAAAGAGGTTGGATAAGAGCACTAAGAACAGAAACTTTTCCTGATGTTTCAGGCTCTGTGGCTTGGGGCCTGGGGAAAATTGTATATTCAGGACAGAAAATGAAGGGGAGGACTTTTCTCTGAGAACAGATTTTAGTGGTCTGATTGAGTTGGCAACATGAAAGCCTGTTGGGGCATAAAGACTGAGAAGAACTCACATCTCCCCCCAGATTTGCCCTGTGGGCTAAATTGTGCCCTCTCCCTACCCAATCCATATGGTGAAGACCTAAACCCTTATGGGACTGTATTGGAGTTGGGGCTTTTAGGAGGTAATTAAATGAGGTCATAAGGGTGGAGTCCTAATGTGACAGGATTGATGGCTTTATAAGAAGAGGAAGAGAGAGACTGCTCACTCCCTCTCCTGGCCGGGCCTGGTGGCTCACACCTGTAATCCCAGAACTTTGAGAGGCCAAGGTGGTCGGATCACCTGAGGTCAGGAGTTCGAGACCAGCCTGGCCAAAATGGCAAAATCCCGTCTCTACTAAAAATACAAAAATCAGCTGGGCATGGTGGCGGGCGCCTGTAATCCCAGCTACTCAGGAGGCTGAGGCAGGAGAATCGCTTGAACCCAGGAGGCGGAGGTTGCAGTGAGCCGAGATTGCACCACGGCACTCCAGGCTGGGGTACAGAGTGAGACTCTGTCAAAAAAAAAAAAAAAAAAAAAGAAAAGAAAAGAAGAGGAAGAGAGAGATTGCTCACTCCCTCTCCCATGCACCAAGGAAAGGCCATGTCAGCACATGGTGAGGTGTCCACTGCAAGCCAGGAAGAGAGCCCTTACCAGGAACCCAAGCAGCTGGGCCTTGATCTTCAACTTCCAGACTCCAGAGCTGTGAAAACAATAAATTTCTGTTGTTTAAGCCACCTAGTGCATGGTATTTTGTTACAGTAGTCCAAGCACACTATAATAATTTCTATGACCACCTCAACCCTGGTACACTAAGAACAGATAGCTCAGCATAGGACTCAAATGGAAAAGCTAGACGGATTTCTGCCCACCCTTGCTTTGTGCCCACATTTAGAGGAGAAGACAGAAGGATTTGGTGCCTTCTTTGCTAGTGGGTGTCCTTCTCTTGACTTTTGTTTGTCTTTTTACATTTATTGCATTCAGATAACTAATTATTTATTCCTTAATGTGTCAGGTGCTGTTCTAATTTTTTTTTTTTTTGAGACTGAGTCTTGCTCTGTTGCCCAGGCTAGAGTGCAGTGGTATGATCTCGGCTCACTGCAACCTGGGTCTCCCGCGTTCAAGCGATTCTCCTGCCTCAGCCTTCCGAGTAGCTGGGATTACAGGCACCTGCCATCACGCCCTGATAATTTTTGTATTTTTAGTAGAGACGGGGTTTCACCATGTTGGCCAGGCTGGTCTCAAACTCCTGACCTCAAGTGATCTGCCTGCCTTGGCCTCCCAAAGTGCTGGGATTACAGGTATAAGCCACCGCGCCCGGCCTGTTCTAAACATTTTACACATATAAACTATTCCATTTAGCTTGAAACCTCAATTACAGGGCATGCCTGACACTGATGCTCCTTGTTACATAGTAGACTCGAGGTAACATTGATTTGCTTTGACTGCCAAACATTATTTAGAACACTTATGAGAAGGAGGCCAGGTGCAGTGGCTCACCCCTGTAATAGGAAGCCAAGGCGGGTGTATCACTTGAGGACAGGAGTTTGAGACCAGCCTGGCCAACATGGTGAAACCCTGTCTCTACTAAAAATACAAAAATTAACTGGGCATGGTGGCACACGCCTGTAGTCCCAGCTACTTGGGAGGCTGAGGCAGGAGAATCACTTGAACCCAGGAGGCGGAGGTTGCAGTGAGCTGAGATCGTGCCACTGCACTCCAGCCTGAGCAACAGAGCGAGACTCTGTCAAAAAAAAAAAAAAGGAAAGTCTATTCCATTTACCCGTACTTTTACCCTTTCAATTTTTTACTTTTCCTCCCTGATGTTCCAAAATTATTCTTTTATCGTTTCCTTTCTGTCTCAAGAGCATCTTTTAGGGTAGATTTGCTATTGACAAATTCTCTTAGTTTTCCTTCAGATGATAATGTCTTGATTTCCCCTTCATTTCTAAAGGGTATTTTCACTGGATGTAGAATTCTGGTCTTACAGTTCCTTGAAACAATGCTGTGCTACTCCCTTCTGACCATGGTTTCTGAGGGGCAATTTGCTGCCATTTTTATTTTTTCTCCTATGGATAAGGTGGTATTTCTCTCTCACTATTTTTGAGATTTTTTTTCTTTGTCTTTAGTTTTCAGGAGATTAACTGATATGTCTTGGCATAGATTCCATTAGGTTTATACTGTTCAGAGTTAGTCAGCTTCTTGAATCTGTTTTTATGTCTTTTGCTGAATTTCGGAAGTTTTCGGCCATTATTTTGTTGAATACTTTTTTAAGCCCCACCTTGTCTCTCTTCTCTTTCTGCAACTCCAATGGCATAGTATTAGATTTTTTGGGGGTTATAGTTACATAGGACTCTGAGGCTGCAGTCATTTATTTCCAGTCTGTTTTTTCTCTGTTTCTCAGAAATTGGGTAATTTCTCAGATTGGGTTATTTTTATTATCCTAACTTCAACTTCACTGATTGTTTACTCTGTTCTTCCCATTTTCCATTGAGCTCATCCATTGAGTTTTTCATTAGTATCTTTTAGTTCTAAAATGTTCACTTGATTCTTCTTTACGTCTTATATTACTTTGCTGAGATTTTATGTATTTTTGTTTTAAGTGCATCCATGTTTGCTCACTGAAGCATTTTTATGATAGTTGCTTTAAAAACCTCACCAGATAATTCCAACATTGTGTCCTCTCAGTGTTGGCTTCTGTTGATGGTCTTTTCTTATTCAAGTTGAGATTTTCCTGGTTCGTGGTTTGACTAGTGATTTTCTAGTGTGTTCTGAACATATTGAGTATTATGTTATGAGACCCAGATTCTTACTGAAATCCTTTGCTTCAGCAGGCCCCCTCTGGCACTGCACTAGTGGGAGAAGGAGTCCACTCTGTTGGTACTACCAAGTGGGGATGGAAGTACAGCTTCCCCCTCGGCTTCTGTTGACACCCCAGGGAGGCAGTTCCTTATTACTTCAGAACAGGGAGTTCATGCTCCCTGCTTCGCCTTCTCTGACATCATCCCAGTGGGAGAGAGGGGTCACCTTGTTACAGCCATGTTGGTAAAACTGGAAGTCTAGGCTCTGCACTAGCTCTTGGCCAGTGGGGGTGGGGCTGCAATGTTTTCTGTGGGGTTCGATTGGTGTTTTAATTTGTATTTTAGTTCTAAAATTTCTACTTGGTTCTTCTTTAAAAGTTAGAGTCTAAATATTTTCTGTCTTTCTAGGCTTCCCCTTTCCTGTTCCTTTGGCTAGAGAGAAGAGGCTTTTTGGGGACCTCTTTTTGTCTATACCCATTAGTGTTTGTGGGCTGCCAGCCTGTTCAGCTCCAAGTCTGGGATATAGGAGGCAAAAAGAAAACCCAGGGAACCCATCTGTATGTTGTTCCTCAGGTCTCAAGGTCCCTAGCCAGTCTCCCTTTTTCTCCACGTTTCAGATTATTCTTTTGTTATGTATCTCCAGGGATTTTAGTTTTACTTGGTGGAGGAATAGGAAGAAGTGAGTCTATTGTATCTTGTCCAGAACCAGAAGTCCTTTTTGTCAACTTTTGAAGAAGATCTTAGAAAATACATTCCCATTATCCTAAAAAAGTCTTAATGGAGTAGACAGTTGCAGTAGCACTTCTGAGGTAGTTAGAAGCTGGTTCATTATAGGTTTGATATTGTTAAATCCTTATAGCAACCCTTTGCGGCAGGGATTATGATACTCATTTAACATAAGCGAAAACTGAGTTTAAGGTTAAGGAAGGAGGGTGAAACCTGGTGTCCTTTGCAGTACATCATAAAGCCAAAAGATAAAGTTCCTTACCACCATCTTTTCCACTCTCTGAAAGCCACCATGCTTTGCACTTCACCAAGCAAAGTAAGCTGTCATGCTTGGGTTTTCCTCAGCTTCCTTTCCAGTTTACTTGCACCTCTCATTTCTTCACTCCTAGAGAAAGAGGTGCCAGTCTTTCTCTTCCAAAATGTCTCTACTTGCTCCAAATCTCATTCCCCCTCTAGGATCTCGCTTTCAAACCTTTTACCTCTCTCATATCTTTAATCTCTTCCTGTTGATTTTTTCCTCTTATGCTACAAAAATGATGAGGACCCTACCATCCCAAAAACATTGTTCTCTGACCCTTCCTTCCTGTAAGCCTGAGCGCCACCCCCTTCTGCCTGTCTGCTGAATCATTTGGCAAACACAGTCAGTGCTTTTGCACCCTTGTTTTGTGCCCACATTTAGGGGAGAAGACAGACGGATTCGGTGCCTTCTTTGCTAGTGGGTGTCCTTCTCTTGACTTTTGTTTGTCTTTTTACATTTATTGCATTCAGATAACTAATTATTTATTCCTTAATGTGTCAGGTGCTGTTCTAATTTTTTTTTTTTTTGAGACTGAGTCTTGCTCTGTTGCCCAGGCTAGAGTGCAGTGGTATGATCTCGGCCCACTGCAACCTGGGTCTCCTGGGTTCAAGCGATTCTCCTGCCTCAGCCTTCCGAGTAGCTGGGATTACAGGCACCTGCCATCACGCCCTGATAATTTTTGTATTTTTAGTAGAGACGGGGTTTCACCATGTTGGCCAGGCTGGTCTCAAACTCCTGACCTCAAGTGATCTGCCTGCCTTGGCCTCCGAAAGTGCTGGGATTACAGGTATGAGCACTTTTGCACAAAAAGGACTTCTGGTTCTGGACAAGATACAATAGACTCACTTCTTCCTATTCCTCCACCAAGTAAAACTAAAATCCCTGGAGATACATAACAAAAGAATAATCTGAAACGTGGAGAAAAAGGGAGACTGGCTAGGGACCTTGAGACCTGAGGAACAACATACAGATGGGTTCCCTGGGTTTTCTTTTTGCCTCCTATATCCCAGACTTGGAGCTGAACAGGCTGGCAGCCTACAAACACTAATGGGTATAGACAAAAAGAGGTCCCCAAAAAGCCTCTTCTCTCTAGCCAAAGGAACAGGAAAGGGGAAGCCTAGAAAGACAGAAAATATTTAGACTCTAACTTTTAAAGAAGAACCAAGTAGAAATTTTAGAACTAAAATACAAATTAAAACCTTCTACCTCTTGCATTTCAGCACACTGCCCGGTCATGCTGGCTCCTGGTCCCACAGCCATGCCAAATGCTCTCTGTGAGGACAAGTGACCTGCATCCAAGCCTCAGGCTAAGGGCCTTCTTCCTCCATCTAGGTACCTACTCTATCAGACTCATGTGAGGAGTTTCTAAAAACACCCACTCACCTGTTGATTCTGATATAGAGGGCTGAGGTAGAAGTCCGAATCTACTTTAATCTCCCAAGGTGATTCTGATGCATAGCAGGCTTGGACTTTGTTGCTGCATCTGACTCCTTCTCAGGGCTCCTTCCTCGTCCTTGAGGACCTCACAGCTCCTCCCTTCATCTGTGCCCATGCTAGGCTGGGTGGGTGGACAGACTGGGAAATTTCCAAGTCCTTGCTCACCAGGGCTGACTCAGCTGATAGTAACAACTGTAAAGAGTATAAAAACTTACATAATGTTTACTATTTGTCTGGCATTTTGCCAAGTACTTTACACTTACTTGACCTGACCTGGCCAGAGGAGATTATCCTTCCTTTGCCTGAAGGCCTTGTACTAACCCCACCTGAGGGTAATGTGTCTTATCCTCAATACCTGCCCCACCACCCTCTTTGCTTCTGGATTCATAACTAGAGTCAGAACCCAGTGTGGATAAGTGCTCAGTCTGACCCAGATAGACATAGCTGATCCATAAAAAGAACAGAAGAGTTTGGCCAATTAACATCAGCAACAACAGAATCATACATGTGGGAAAAGATTCTAAATATGGTAGTTCAATGAGGATGGAATATAATGTTGAATTGGGAAAATTTTACCAGTATTATGCCAGTACTTGAGATTCTGAATTAAATGCTTAGCTGCAGCAATGGGGGGTGGCTCTAACATTTACTTGCCTGGCCAGCTAAAACCTGGGTCCAATAGTGAACTACAGTCAATAAAATTGAGATGCCAAGACCTCCCTGGCATAATCTACATTAGAAGGAATCTAAGAGCTTCAAGAAGCAGGAATTACGGGTTACATTGTATGTGATCCACTGCTATGGGCTGAATAGTTGAATAGTGTCTCCCCCAACTCCACATTCATATGCTGAAGCCCTAACTCCAAATGTGACTGTATTTGGAGTAAGGAAGTAAGTGATATCATAAGGGTGGGACCCTGATCCAACATGATTAGTGTCCTTATAAGAGGAAGCACTAGAAAAATTACTGTCTCTCCACCTTGTGACGACACAGCAAGAAGGCAGCTGTCTATAAACCAGGAAGAGAGCCCTCTCCAGAAAGTGAATGGGCTGGCACCTTGATCTTAGACTTCCAGCCTCCTGAACTGTGAGGAATTAACTTCTGTTGTTGGAGCTACTCAGTCTATGGTATTGTATTATGTCAGCCCGAGCCGACTAAGACAACCACCTACTTATAACCACTGTGTCTGGACTGTAGCTCTCTCTCATTTCAAACATTGACAGATTTCTATCCACATTTAATTTGCAGTAAATGGATTGAACTCTCACCTGTTGATATTTTCCCCTCTTGTTCCTTTTGCTATCTGGGTTGATTAGTTTTGTAAATATCTACACCTTTATTTTAGTTGGGTTCTGGGAGGTAAGGAAGTTGAACATATATTTTCCATCTGCCATCTTTACCAAACCACAATTTTTGATACCGTAGTTTATTATTATTACAGAAACCACACTAGGTATTTAAACAGAGAGGAATTTATATGGGGTATTGGTTACAAATGAGTTGAATGTGCTGGAAGAGCCAAAAGGAAGGTGTGATATCCAGGAATCCAGAAGCTGCTCCCCACTCCTATGCTGCAGGTGCTGGGATGGGCCATGGGAGTTCAGCAGGCCCCCTCCCACAGCTACCCAGCAACTACTTGGTATTTGAGCCACAAGCAGGAAGTGTATGTCTTCTTCAGTTCTGATCTTCTGCTGATGCCTTTTATTGTTAGAACCTGATGACTCCATCTGTCAATCTAGGCAATATAGATTTTGGATTCCCAGTTCCAGTAGTAGAGGACAAGGAAAAAAATGGATATGGGGCTAGGTTACAACAAAAATAGCTCATGTGGTCTACTCCTTTAGCAACTCAGCATTGCTACACACCTCACTACCTATATACAAAATTGTATACAACAAAAATAACAGAACATCATGCTTCTTCCAGTATGATGCAACCATTCTTGGTGGGGGAGTTGCTCTTATTCTCATCCCCCAAAGGGGAAACACAGAGTCATATAAGTCACCATAACGATGTTTGGGTATTAATTCCTTTTCTGATTCACTTAAAATCCCACCTGAACATTCTATGGCCCCAAAAGTAATGAAGATTACTACCAAAACTACTTAATAAATAATAAGAAAGAAGGAAGGAAAATGCTTGCTTTACACACACCATAAAATGATGCTATATTTTACAGTTTTCATTTATGCAACTAGTCTTGAAGCTATGGTGAATATTTGTGATTTTCTTCCTTCACTACCCCCTCCTACATTCTCTTTGCTATTGGCTAGTACTTCAGCTGGTTGAGATCCTACTTAACCCAGTGGTGACCCAAACCTGCAACGTTGAAGGGTTTGAATTCTCAATGATCCTGCTTTTATTGAAAGGCCATAGTTTTCCATTAACATTCAAACATTACCTTTATTAAAGCATAACTTATATAAATAATATGCACTCATTTAGTATAGAGCTCTATAAGATTTGAAAAATGAACATAACTCAAGTAACCACCACTGTAAAATCAAATATAGAACACTTCCATCACTCCAGAGTCTCTCATGCCCTTTGGCAGTGATGCCTCACCTGAGTAACAGACAACTGCTGGTTTGCTTGTTAAAGTTTTTCATGTAAATAGAATGACACAGGATGTACTATCTGGGGCCTGGCTTCTCATATCAGCAAAATGTTTTTGAGATGCATCTGTGTTGTTATGCACATAGTAGTTCATTCCTTTTTATTTCTGAGTAGTATACCATTGTAAAGATGTACCACCTGCTGGTGGACATTTGTGTGGTTTCTACTTTGGGGCATGTGCCAGTTATCAATTTATTGCCTCATAGCTGTGGATTTGCTCTAAGAGTACCTTTTCCATATTAGTGGCCTGGATTTCCCTTTTACAGTGAGCAAAATGTTAAGCATTGTCAGCAGAGGGCGCTAGAGAAACATTGCAATAAGAAGGGGGCTCTTCTTGGTACTCCTGTGCTGCGTTCTGCCTTTTCTTGCTTTTGCACTTCCTCTAGTTACACCCAGTGGCACTGCACCCCAGCCATGCACCCAGAGTCTGTCGTCCCTTGCCAACCGTGCTGCCTTGGGTCAAGCCTAGAGGCCACTTTGCTTCAGTCCTCCCAACATGGACACCGTGCACCAGAGGCTGTGTGTTGTCCTGTCAGTGAGCAGGCAAGCTCAGAGGGCTATTTTGTGCTGCCCTGGGACAGTCAACCAGTGCTGGCCACGCAACCCAGCAAAATCCTGTGCCATCAAGTAAATAAGCTGCAACCACACCTCCAACAACAATGTCCAAATCCCATTCTTGGGGAAAAGGGGCCCTGTTCTTTCTTGTACATACCATATGCAAGATCATATATATCATTTTTTTTTCCTGTACCACAGTTCGTCTATCCAGCCCTAAGCTACTGGTTAGAGCTTTCTTTACATCTTTACAGTACTCACCGAATCACAGTTTAATAATTCTTTATACTCTACTTCCCTTGCTTACTGTACAGTGACTCCTCTCCTGAGTCATGGCCAACTGCTGGTTTGCCTATTAAAGTTTGCTTGGTCCAAACTGATATAGAATTGGTTCTGAGACTGGTCTCAGGAAATAGACCTGTGAACATGGAGTCTGAGGATGGGTTGGGTCCTGCCCTCGCGCTCATATGCAGTGCTGAGCTCCTTGCTACTGGGAAATGGGAGGCTAGTAACCCAGCAGCATCCCCGTGGTTGATTGTGAGCCAAGTGGCTGCTGTGTCTGACCATTATGACAGTAATGATAACTGTAAGGGCTGTGGTGTAGGACGAATTCTTTTGGGTACACTGAGCTCTTGCAGAGAGAAAATGAGAAGCTCAGGCCTGTTAACTTTCAATTCAAGCCATCTCTGACAACCAGAGAGCTTCCATGACAGCCCCTAAAAGTCTCTTATTTCTTATAGCTACAGCACTGCTGAAAACCAAACACACAATTTAGTTATGCAAGTTTCTGAATTACAATGACAGTAAATTTACAGTCTTGCCATGTTTCTCAATTGAAAGTTAAGGTATTGATCAGGAAAGAATGGGATCTTGAAAGGTAGATTAGAGAAATCTGATTGGACCCAGATGAAACCAATAATATTGAACCCACAACTCATTTTGAGCCTCCCTCAACCTGGGACAGTTGCCTCAAAAAGGGATACTCATCCTTCTCAAGACTCACCACAGCCATTCCCTGTTGCCACTAGATCTATAAATCAGGTCAGATCTCAGCATGGTCTATGGGAATAGGTACACACTATGACCCAGGAGGACAGAGCCCAAACACTAAAATACTTTCTAGACTTCACTGATATATATCAGTAGAAACTTGGGGAACATCTGTGGAAATTGTTTCTAAGGGTGTTAGACTATGGAAGACAGCATATAACACCAGATAACCTGAGTTCATTGACAACGGTATACTTACTAGAGAGTTTGAATTTATTGTCTTACTGGAGGTGGCTCTAACAGCTTGCCTGGTTGAGTGACTGAAATGTGGGCTTAACACTGGCTTACATTAGGTGAGACTGAGATGCTAGTGCTTCCCTGGCATGATGTGAAGGAGGGAATCCAAAGGCTTAGGGAGATGAAAATGTTGGACTGGTCTTATGGTGTGTGACCTGCATACCTTCTCCTGAACTGTGTTCCACAGGAGGGCCCAGAAGACATCCCCCTCACTAAGACATTGGGAAATACATGAGAGTGAGGAGTACCTGGGTTGGGAAAAGTGCACTGTGGTAGGCCAGGTATGACTGTGGCAAATTCTTATTGAGATGGGCTCCCTGATTTCAATTGGAATGATGAGATTCTGGAGTAGAGGAGGACATGTGACAGCACTTAGCCATCAAAAACAAGATGGGGATATTTATCAAAAAAGGCAGCAGAAATGTACTAATAATCAGAATGCTTTGGCCTGCAGAACCCGTTGGTGGTGGCTCATTGATCTTGGTATGCCTAGGAATAAAATAGATGGGTCACCAACTAGAGTGTGGCCTGATACATAGGAAAGGAAAAACTCTAGATCTTTAGCCAAAAACCTGACTTGAGGGGCCATAGTGGAGAGTCATGGCCTCTTACCTAGTTTTCAAACTTGTTTCCAAACTTAGTTTCCTAAGTCAGTTCACAGACCTTGAAGCCCTTTATTGAAGGGGAGACTTGATTCCTTTGAGAAAAGACAGCCCTGCACTGTTGCTCCAGGTTCATACCATGCCTTTTCCTCCAAGCCTTCCCTAAAGAGGCCTATGGGCCATTTACTAAAGTGACTGTGCATTGGAGAACAAGAAATGCCCAGACCTTTTAGGGAAAGCTGGAAACTGACTCTGAATTGGTGCTAATTCCTAGGGCTTCAAAATGTTATTATGGTCAGCAAGTCAAAGTAGAGGCTTATGGTGGTTAGATGATAGATGGAGTCCTACGTCTCACTAACAGTGGACCAAATTAGTCCACAGACCCACCCTGCAGTTGTTTCCCAGCTCCTAAATGTAGAGAGATCTATACGTCAGGACAGATCTCAGCAAGATCAAAGGGAGTAGGTACACACTACAGAGCAGACATACATGGAACAGACACACATGGCAACTGGCACATTCCCACATTGGTTCTCTGACCCATGCAGTGAAGATCACTATGGTAGGAAAGGCTAAGTGGTAGCACCTGGAACTTCCCTACCAGGATAGTAAACCAGAAGCAGTGCTGCATTCCTAGGAGAGCTGCAGAAGTAAATGCCACTATCAAAACCTTGAAACAAGCAGAGGTGGTGATAGCTATAATATCTCCCATTTAACTTACCAGTTTAGCCTGTGCAGAAGCCAGATGAACCTTGAAGAGTGGTCACGGATTGTCATAAATGTAACCGATGGGAATTCCAATTTCAGCTGCTGTCTCAGATGTAACGCCTTTATTGGGGCAGGTCAACACAGCCTCTGACAGTTGGTATGCAGCTATTGACCTGGCTAATGTCTTTTCCTCCATACCAGTTTGTGAGGACCACCAGAAGTGGTTTGCTGTTACCCAACAGGGCCAATGGTATGCCTTTACGGTGTTGCCACAGGCTACATTAGTTCTGCTGCTGTCTGCCATAATACAGTCTAAGTGATCTTGATTGTCTTGACATTCCATGAAATATCACACTGGCTCACTCTACTGATAAAATTATGCTGATGGATCTAATCAGTAAGAAGTAGCAGTACTTTAGATGCCTTAGTAAGATGTATGTAAACCAGAGGGTGGTAGATATACCCCACAAAAATTCAGGTGGTGAGAGGGGCCTGTCACCTCAGATAAATTTCTGGGGATTCAATAGTCAGAAGCATGCTGGGATATCCTCTCTCTGGTATGTGACAAATTGCTGCACCTTGAACCAGCTAGCAGACACACACAGAGATAAGGCACCATGATAGTTTTACGTAAACTTGACTGGGGTACCCAGATATTTAGTTAAACATTATTCTGAGTGTGTCTATGACAGTGTTTCTGGATGAGATTCACCTTTGAATTGTTAGACTCAGTAAAGCAGATAGCCCTCCCAATGTGGGTGGGCCACATCCAATCCATTTGAGGCCTGAATAGAACAAAAACCTGGGTAAGAAAATAATTTGTTCTCTCTGGCTGTCTTTGAGTTGGAACATTGGTCTCCTGCCTTCAGACAGACTTGAACTAGAACATACACCATCAACTCTCCTGGTTCTCAGGCCTTCAGACTTCAACTGGAACTCCACCACCAGCTCTCCTGGGTCTCCATCTTGCAGAGGGAAAATCATGTGACCGCTCAGCTTCTATAATAGTGTGAGCCAATTCCTTATAATAAATCTGTCTGTCTATCTATATATCTATCATATCTATTTTATTGGTTCTATTTCTCTGGAGAACTTTGACTAATATAGGCACTGCATTTGTTAGGTCTTTGGGGATTTGGGGAGGTGATAAATATCACATTTAAGTGTGCTATTTTGACCTGTCTACACAATCACATGAAAATCTTTCAGTTTCAAGTGGGGCCCAGAACAAGAGAAGGCTCTGCAGCAAGTTCAGGCTGCAGGGCAAGCTGCTGTACCACTTGGTCCTGTGATCCAGCAGAGCCTGTGATAGTTGAAGTATCAGTGCCAAATAGAATTGCTTTGTGGAGCCTCTGGCAAGCACCAGTAGAACAGTACAGTAGACAGTGAAGACCTCTAGGATTCTGGAGTCAGTGAAGACCTGAAGGATTCTGGAGTAAATCTATTATTCCATTTTTGAGAAAGTGCTTCTGATTTGCTACTGGGCCTCCGTAGAGACTGAATACTTAACCATGGAACATAAGGTAACCATGTAACCTGAACTTTCCATCATGAATTTGATGTTGTCTGATCTACCTAGTCATAAGACTTAGTGTACAGGGCAGCATTCTATTATTGAATGGAAATGGCATATAAGAAACCCAACTCAGGTAGTTCTGGAAAGTACAAGTAAGTGGCATGAACAGATGGCTCAGACTCCTTCAATCTCAACTTCTAGGGACTCAAAATGCATTTTCTTCTATTGCATTGTCTTCTGTCCCTTAACACATGTCTTCAGCCTCCCATAATGTTTCTCACAACCAGTTAACCAAGAAAGAAGAATTCGAGCCTGGTTTACTACCTACAGATTAATTTTTGCACCCCACTAAAGAGTGATCATGAAGGACAGCTGATAGGCTTTGAATGTTTGTCCCCTCCAAATCTCATGTCAAAATGTGAATCCCAGTGTCGGAGATGGGTGATAATTAGATTATTGGGGTGGATTCCTCATGAATGGTTTAGCCCCATTCCCTTGGTGATAAGTGAGTTCTTGCTCAGTTAGTTCACACTAGGTCTGGTTGTTTAAAACAGTCTAGGACCTCCCCCTTCTCTCTCTTGCTTCCACTCTCACCATATGACATGCTGGCTTCCCATCACCTTCCGCCATGATTATAAGCTCCCTGAGGCCCTCACCAGAGCAGATGCCAGCACCATGCTTCCTGTACAGCCCGCAGAACTGTGAAATGGTTAAACTTCTTTAATTTGTAAATTACCCAGCCTCAAGTAGTCCTTCATAGCGATTCAAGAACATACTAACACAACATTGTGATGGGAAATTGTCCCAGTAGGCAGAACTTTGAGCAGTGATTTTGGTTATGAGAGGGGGAAAGAGATGGCTGGAAGTACAAATCTAAACTGATTCATGGTAAGTAATGGTTTGCTTGAGTGGTCAGGCACTTGCAAGGAACAGGACTGGAGGATTGGCAATAAAGAAATCGAGGGAAAAGGTATGTGGACAGACCTCTTTGATCAGGCACAGAATGTGAAGATATATTTGTGTGCCATGTGAATGACCACCAAAGGGACATTCACTGCAGAGGAGGCTTCTAACCAAGTGAAAAAATAACTTGTTCTGTAGATGTCAGTCAGCCTCTTTCCCAAACCACCTCAGTGCTTGCTCAATGGCCCATAAACAAGTTGTCATGGTGGCCAAGTGGAGATAATGTATGGACTCAACAACACAAACTTTCCCTACCAAGACTGACCTGGCTGATACTACTACTGTTGAGTGCTTAATCTGCCAACAGAAGGAACAACATTGAGCCCTGATAAGGCTCCATAGCCACCTGGTGGTAGGTTAATTACATTAAGCCTCTCTTATATGAAGGGCCAGAATTTGGTCTCACTGGAATAGACACATATTCTGGAATAGATTTTCTTTCCTCATCCATAATGTCAGTGCCACCATCCATAAACTCACAGAATACTTTATTCCCTATCAAGACCTCCCTCACAACATTGTGTCTGATCAGTGAACTAATTTCATAGCAAAGAAAATGTGGCAGTGAGCGCATACCCATGAAATTAACTGGTCCTGCCAATACTCCATCACCCAGAAGCAGTTCTTCTAATTGAAATGTGGGATGGCTTGTTGAAGACTCACTTATAATGCCAGTTTGGAAACAGCACCCCAAAAGGAAGGGGTACTGTTTTGCAGGATGCAGTAAATCAGACACTGTTATATGGTCCTGTCACCTCCATGGCCAGAACACATGGATCTGGGTATCAAGAGGTGGAAACGGGAGTGGCTCCTTCCACTATCAGGCCAAATAAAACAATCATTCACAGATTGTTTGCTTACTGTCTAATTTTAAACTTTGCTGTGTTGGAGCTCTTAGTCCACAAGAAGGGAATGCTTCCATTAGGGGCCACAATAATGATTCCATTAAACTGGAAGATGAGACCGCCGCTGTGCCATTTTGATCTGTTTATGCCACTGAATCAATAGGCAGAAAGGGGTGAATCTACTCACAAGAGTGATTGATTCTGATCATTTTACAAAGTGGTGGTTATGAAGGGGAAATGGGGTTACTCCTGCACAATAAAGACAAGGAGAACCAGGTCTGGAACCCAGGAGATTTTCCGGGGGCTCCTCTCCATACATCCATGCCCAGTCATGAAGTTCATGGAAAACCACAGCAACTAAAAGAAGGGGCAGGACAATTGAAGACACAGGCCCTTTGGGAATAAAGGCCTGGGTCACTGCACAAGGTAAATATTGCAGAGATGTTGCACTTCTTGCGAGGAAAAGGAAAATATGCAATGGGTAATTGAAGAAGGAAGCCATAGATATCAGCTACAACCTCATGACCAATTATAGAAATGGAAATGTGGTAGCTTTGGATATTTTCTCTCTGCTTATTAAATGCATGTGTTTATTTATACATACTAACCATTTTTTCACTCTCCTCCTTCTATTTTTTAAATATTTAAGTTGCTGGAAGTTAACTTTGCATTTTAGTCTTTAGGTAGTAGAATATTCAGTGGAACTTAAATGAAATTGAGGAGTAATTAATATAACTGGCAGTGGATACAATGACTTTTGAGAATGAGTCTTCTCATTTGGGGTAAGGATGAGAACTTCACTTGTAAGAAGGATGGTTGTATTTTGTTAAGAAGTGTGAAGTTCTTTTGTTGTTGTACAGGAGTTCAAATGTATATAAAGAGTACATATGAAAAATAAGTAGCCATAGAAGTGGATGGTGGCAATGACTAATTTATTACCTCTCAGTTCAGATTCACCCTCTGATATCTGCTGTGCAATAATGGCCTAGATTCTATAAGCATTTATCTTTCATGGTGAACATGGTGTTAATTAAACTTCGTGAGCAGAGGATGCTGGAAGGACACTGCAGGAGGAAGGGGGCTTCTCTTTCTGATGGTGGTGTGCTATGTTTTGCTCTTTCTTGTTCTTGAAATATGGTCTCAGCAGTGTGTGTGGGGGTGGGCAGGGAGATCCACTGGTGTTTGTCCCAGCCATCGACTCAGAGTATTCATTCCCTTAGCAAACAGCCCTGGCTAGGCCCAGTGAAAACCTCTGCTTGCACTTCCTGACATGGACACTGGCATGTTCTAGGCGTTGTGCCCACAGTGATGCCCTGATCCCTCTGCACATCTGCCCACCAGCATCAGCTTGCCTGTGCCCCAGAGGGTTGTTGTCAGCTGCCCAGGAACTATGGACCAGCTCCGGCCAAGGCAACCAATCAAAATTCCTCCCCATCCAGCAGGCTGTGATCACCCCTTCTCCAACAAAGATCCAAATCCTAGGCTTAGGAAGAATCCCCCCTTCCAAGTTTAATCCTTTTTCGAGCATTCTCCTTCAGTTCTAGGATCATATAACTATATGATAAGTTACTCTCTTATCATGGTTTAGTAATTCTTTATGTTCAACTTCTGTATAAAAATTACTGTGTGGTTTCTGTCTCTTGATTGCACATAACTGATACAGGGCTACTATGAAGAACACTGCTATGAACATTCATGTAAAAGTCTTTGTGTGGACATATGTTTTTATTTCTCTTGGGTAATTATCTAGAAGTGGAATTGATGGGTCATATGTTAATGTATGTTTATCTTTCTAAGAAGCAGCCAAATTGTTTTCCAAAGTGGCTGTCCTGTTTTGCATTCCTACCAGCAGTGTATGAGCACTCTTGTTACTCTGCATCCTCTCCAACACTTCACATTGCCAGTATTTTAAGTTTTGGACACTCTGGTGTGTAATGGCATTTCATTGTAGTTTCAAGTTGAATTTCGCTGGTATTGAGTGTCTTTTTATGTACATATTGTACATGTATATATTCTCTTCTGTCAAGTATCTGTTTCAATCTTTTTAAATTGCATTGTTAAACTTATTAATGACTTGTAAGAGTTCTTTATATATTGGGTCAAGCCCTTGAAATGGACTCCCTGTGGCAAAAAGAGACCCAGAAAATGTTAAAACCAGATTCTACAGCTTTGGCCAGGCAGGAGGTCAGTGACCCCTCAACACTCCCCTACCTTGCCAACTGCCGCAAGATTTTCTTTCCTGTAATTAAACAGAAACCAGTTCCTGAGAAACAATGTTTGGAAGATTTCCCCACCAACCTTGACAGACCGCTTGACATCGTAGCTGACCTCCCCTCTCTTATTATGGTCTTGCCTTTACAACTGACCAGCCTTACAAAACATTCCTTCCTGGTAGATGACCACCAACCAGAGCCTGGTTCTGACCAGTCCACAGAGGCTGTGCATGGGATGCCTTTGTGTCCTGTCTTTCACCTCTTGACATAAAAAGCCAAATTTTACTTCATTTTAATGTTAAATCTCTACCCCAAAGTGAACATGGAATGTATTTAACATATATGTTTACTCACTGAGCATGCGTTTAGCTCCTCTCATAAATATTCATAGATTCTCCTATAACCTGCGAAATATGTATATATCACCAACCCTATCAGGCATAAATCCCAGCCTCTCCCCTTCATCTTTGAAACGTATGCTTTTAGTTTGGGCTAGGATCTTTGTTTCTCAATCTGCAGGTTATAATCTTTTATAGGATATAAAGCTTTCCTTTTTCTTCCTCCACAAATTTTGGTCTCAGAAATGTTATATATATATATATATATAATTTATATATTATATATATTTTATATATAATATATATACACCAAATAGTTTCTCCCTGCCTATGACTTATCTTTTCATTTTCTTTTGAAAAGTTGAAGTTTTCATTTTGACGAGGGTTAATTTGATGAAGGTTAATTTATTTTCTTTCATGGTTTATGCTGTTTGTCTTAAATCTAAGAAATCTTTGCCTGACCTAAGGTCAAAAATATTTCATTTTTTGCTTTCTCCTAGAACGAGGATCTTCAAACTACAGCCCCCAGTTTGGTATACAAAGTTTTACTGGAACACCACCTATTTTTGTAAAGAAGGCTTTATTGGAACATAGCTGCACCCAGTTGTTTGTGTATTATCTGTGACTGTTTGGTGCTACAATGGCAGAGTTGAGTAGCTGCAATAGAGATCTTTTGGCCTGCAAAGCATACAATATTTACTATTTGTTTCTTTAAAGAAAAAAAATTGTAACCCCTGTTCTAGAAGTACTATAGCTTTAGCTCTTACCTTTAGAACTACCCTCCATTCAGAGTCATTTTTTGTGTATGATGTGAAGTAAAATTTGAGATTTGCTTTTTCCTATGTGAATACCTCTTTATTCTATACCTTTCCCCCATTGACTTGATATATACATCTGGATTCTCAATTCAGTTCTATTGGTCTATATGTCTATCCCTGTGCCAGTAACACACTGTCTTTATCATTGTAACTTTATGCTGACTCTTCATTTCAGGTAATATTCATTTTTTCAAAAGGGTTTTTGTTATTCTACGTCCGTTGCCTTTCATTATGTTTTAGAATCAGCTTGTCAATTTCCACATTAACCTTGTTGGGACTTTTATTGAGAACATATTAAGTCTATAGATCAATTTAGCACAAATTGACAACTTGACAGTGTTGAGTCTTGTCTTAGTCCATTAATGTGTGTATTAAAAAATACCTGAGACTGGGTAATTTTTAAAAAACCAGAATTTACTTCTCACAGATCTGGAGGCTGGATGTCCAAGATCAAGGTGCCAGCAGGCTTGGTGTCTGGTGAGGGTTGCTGTCGCTGCTTCCAAGGTAGTATTGAATGCTGTGTCCTCTGGAGGAGAAGGGACAGGAGGGCAAACCCCTGTGTCTTCACATGATGGAAAGACAGAAGAGAACAAACTACTCTCTGAAGTCCTTTTATGAGGTTTCTAATTCCACCCATGAGGCTCTGCCTTCATGACTTAATCACCTCCCCCTTTTACTTATTAATATGGTGAATTACATTGATTTTCAAATATTAAAATAATCTTGCATTCCTGGGATAAACCTCACATGGTCATGATGTGTTTTAGTTTTTCTCTATGGATGGATTCAAATTGCTAAAATTTTATTAGAGATTTTTTGGCCTAATAAACATGTATCTGTAATTTTCTTATAATGCCTCTGTTTAATTTTGGTATCAAAGTAATGCTGGTGTTGGGACTCAGAAAACAATACCCCAAATGAAGCCCTCAAAACAGCCTCAAAAGCAAAAGTTTTTCTCTAACTCTGTCCTGCCCTCCTATTTCTCAGTCCCATTCTCCCCCAAGGCTAACTATAGAAACTAGAATCTCTCTTCCCCAAGGCAGGTCATGAAAACCAGAATGCCTTTTCCCCAAAGCCAGCCATGAAACATAAAAATATTGCTCTAACATTCCCTCTGCCTTTCTGTGTAAAAACTGGCCATAAAGAAATAATCTGACCTTGTTTGACTGTAGGTCCTAAGACCCCCATTCCAGAGAGGTTCGTGCCTCACACCCCAAAGAAAAAAATGCATACTCAGAGAGGCCAAGAAAAATCTAGACAGATAGGCCTTGCTGGGTTTTCCCACTCAGTCTATTAGCAGTAGATCATACCTTTTTAGTCCAATTCTATTTTACATGGCTGTCCCTACTTTGTTAAACCTAAACACAAAAATGGACAATTTCCCCTGCATCTTTGGGCCTTCATTCTAAAGGTTTATGTGTATTAAATTAAATAAATGTGTATGCCTTTTCTCTAATTAACCTGCCTTTTGTGGGTTAATTTTTCAGCGAAACTTCAGAAGGAAAAAAGGGAATTTTTCCATTGGCTCTGAAACTCTAATGCTGTGAGCAGAATGATCAAAGCTCTGCTCTTCTGGAAGCCACAGTTAAGGGAATCCAGGACCTGAGCAGCTGGCAGAGGAGTAAGAATTTCTTACCAGCCAGGCTCTGACCTCTCTCTCTGTGCAATCTGGTCAAGTGGATAGTAAAAATCAGCTTCCTTTGCAAAACTTTTCATTAATGGGATAAAAGGATTTGTGTGTGACTAATCTTGATGTATTGACTCTGGTGTACTTTTTGGTATTTTGTGGTCATATTGTTTGATCCCTTTATGCCTCCAAATCATCTTTTTCTCTTTGTCTTTGTCTTCCTGTGTTGTTGTGTCTTAAAGAGAGGTACCAGAGGGGTTTCCCTCTCATCTTGTCTTATTTCCTCAAGAGTTTCAATTGTGATCAAGTGGGAGCACTCTCTCGGTCTCTGCCACCCAGTGGGGGAAGGGGGCATGATTTTTGGGTCATGTCAGGCAGCCAGTCTAAAAATCCCTAGAAACCTTAGACTTTTTGTTCCAAATGTGCCAAGCTCTTGGGAGAATTTGTCTATCTTAGCCTCTTTCTGGGAGTGGTGGGGTGCCACGGAGGCGGATCTTTGAGATTGCTTCTTCTCTGAAGAGGCTATTGGATTTAGCTGCTATTGGAATAAGCATGCCATCGGAAATTCTAATTGTCAGTGATCAGAAGATGGATCTTTTAAATGAGACTCCTAAATTTAAAAAATATATATTTTAGAGATTTATTATTGTAAACAATTGATGGGAAGATCAATTTTTAAAAAGACAGGTAATAGTGTCATGGCTAACCTTAAAAATTCTCTTTACTAAATTAAAGAACAAAAATCTGACTTAAAACAAAGTTAAAAATCCTACACTCAAACTGCCTGCTTTAGAATCCCTGCAAGGTTAGCAATAAAAGCCACTCCTCCTTGTGACCTAAGTTAACATTCTGTGCTTTCATTGCCACTTCTTGGGTTCTAGATATAAGATCATATCATCAGCAAACAAGAATAATTTGACTTCCTCTTTTCCAACTTGGATGCTTTTTATTTCTTTTTCTTGCCTAATTGCTCTAGCTAGGACTTCTAGTACTGTGTTGAATAGGAGTGGTGAAAGTGGACATCTTTGTCTTGTTCCAGTTCTTAGTAGAAATGCTTTCAACTTTTCCCCATTCAGTATGTTGTTAGCTTGGGGTTTGTCATATATGGCCTTTGTTATTTTGAGGTATGTTCTTTCCAAGTCTACTTGTTAAAGATTTTTATCATGAAGGGATGTTGAATTTTATCAAATTTTTTCCTGCATCTATTGAAATCATCATATGGTTTTTGTCCTTATTCTGTTTATGCAATGTATCACAATTATTGATTTTGCATATGTTGAACCATCCTTGCATCCCTGGTATAAAACCCACTTGATCATGGTGTATTATCTTTTTTATGTGGTGCTGAATTCAGTTTGCTAATATTTTGTTGAGGACTTTTGCATCTGTGTTCATCAAGGATATTGGTCTGTAGTTCTGTAGTGTTCTTTTTTGTTGTGTCCTTGTTTGGTTTTAGTATCAAGGTGATACTGCCCTCATCAAATGAGTTATGGAGAATTCCCTCCTCCTGGATTCTTTTGAAATAATTTCAGGAGATTGATATTAGTTCTTCTTTATACATTTGGTAGAACTTGGCTGTGAATCCATCTGGTCCTGTACTTTTCTTTATTGAAAGATTTTTTATTACTGATTTAATCTCACTACTTGTTATTGGTCTTTTCAGGTTTTCTAGGTTTTCTATCTCTTCCTGGTTCAATCTTGAGAGGTTATATGTTTCCAGGAATTTATTCATTTCCTCTAGTTTGTGAGCATATAGTTGTTTGTAATAGTCTCTGATGATTTTTTTTTTTTCAGGAGACCAGAGTCTTATTATTACTCAAATCTCAAATTAGTCTCCCTGAGCATTCAGGGATCAGTTTTTAAGGACAACTTAGTGGGTGGGGAAAGCCAGTGAGCCAGAAATGCTGATTGGTCAGGTCAGAGATGAAATCATAGGGAGTTGACTCTTCTTGTGCAGAGTCAGTTCCTGGGTGGGGGCCACAAGATCAGATGAGCCAGTTTATTGATCTGGGTGGTGCCAGTTGATCCATCATCTGCAGAGTCTGCGAAATATTTTAAACACTGATCTTAGGAGCAGTCTAGGGAGGGTCAGAATCTTGTAACCTCCAGCTGCATGACTCCTAAACCATAATTTCTAATCTTGTGGCTAATTTGTTAGTCCTACAAAGACAGTCTAATCCCTAGGCAAAAGGGGGATTTGCCTTGGGAAAGGCCTGTTATCGTCTTTGTTTTAAACTATAAACTCAATTCCTCCTAAAGTTAGTTCAGCCTATGGCCAGGAATAAACAAGGATGGCTTGGAGGTTAGAAGCAAGATGGAGTTGGTTAGATCAGATCTCTTTGACTGCCTTGGTTACAATTTTGCAATGGAGGTTTCAATCCCTCCATTTGGGTTTTATAACACCTTAATCTTAAGGTGTTGGCTAAAGAAGATGGAAAAAGGACAAAATCTGCTGTAACTTCTTCCTGCTGACCAGGGGTGTAGTAAGGGTAGGTGTCGATACAAAGCTGAGAGGAGTGGAACTGCTTTGCAACTGTCTGAGCATACTCATGCAGGCCAGGCTGGGGTTCCAAGGCTTGCATGATAAAGGTGTTAGTGTTGTCATCTGATGATCTTTTATATTTCTGTGTTACCAGTTATAATATATCTTTTTGTCATTTCTGATTTTGTTTGGGTCTTCTCTCTTGGTTAGTTTAGCTAGTGGTTTATCAATTACGTTTATCTTTTCAAAGAACTGACTTTTTGCTTCATTGATCCTTTGTATTTTCTTTAGTCTCTATCTCATTTAGTTATGCTTTGTTCTTTCTCTCCTTCTGCTAATTTAGGGTTTGGTTTGTTCTTCCTTTTTTAGTTCTTTGAGGTGCATCATTAGATTGTTAATTTATAATCTTTCTACTTTTTTGATGTAGGCATTTAATGCTATAAATTTCCCTCCTAGCACTGTTTTGCTGTATCTCAAAGGTTTTGGTATATTGTGTTTCCATTTTCATTTATTTCAAGAAACGTTTTGATTTTCATCTTAATTTCTTCATTAACCTCATGGTCATTCAGAAGCATGTTTTTTATGTATAATTTGTATGTGTTTGTAGTTTCCAAAGTTCCTCTTGGTATTGATTTCTAGTTTTATTCTACTGTGGTCTGAGAAGATAATTGATATGATTTTGATTTTTAAAAATTTATTGAGACCTTTTTGTGGCCTAACCTATGGTCTATCTTGGAGAATGTTCCATGTGCTGATGAAAAGAATGTATACTCTGCAGTTGTTGGCTTAGAATATTCTGTAAATATGTTAGGTTCATTTAGTCTAAAGTTCAGGTTTAGTCCAAAGGCTTTTTGTTGATTCCCTGCATAGGTAATCTGTCTGCTGGGGTGTTGAAGTCCACTACTATTTCTGTATTATGGTCTATCTTTCTCTCTTTAAGTCTAGTAATATTTGTTTTATGAATCTAGTGTTCCAGTGTTGGGTACGTATATATTTAGAATTGTTATTTCCTCTTGCTGAATTGATTTTTTTTTTTTTAAGACGGAGTCTTGCTCTTATCACCCAGGCTGGAGTGTAGTGGCATGATCTCAGCTCACTGCAGCCTCTGCTTCTCAGGTTCAAGTGATTCTTGTGCCTCAACCTCCTGAGGATTACAGGTGTGCATCACCACACCTGGCTAATGTTTGCATTTTAGTAGAGACGGGGTTTCACCATGTTGGCCAGGCTGGTCTCGAACTCCTGACCTCAGGTGATACACACACCTCGGCCTCACAAAATGCTGGGATTACAGGCGTGAGCCACTGTGCCTAGCTGAGTTGATTTCTTTATCATTATAGAATTTTTTTTTTTTTTTGCTGCCTTTGACTTATCTGTTGTTTTATCTGTTGTAAATATAGCTGTTTTATCTGTTGTAAATATAGCTACTGCTGCTCATTTTTGGTTTCTGTTTGCGTGGAATATCTTTTCTCCTTTACTTTCAACCTATATGTGTCTTTACAGATAAGGTGAATTTTGGGTTTCTTGTAAGCACCATATAGTTGAGCCACTTTTAAAAATCCATTCATCCAGTCTGTCTTTTAAGTGGAGCCTTTAATTCATTTACATTCAAGGTTATTTTTGGTATGTGAGGTTTTGTTTCTGTCATGTTGTTAATTGTTTTCTAAATTTTTGTTTTTTTCTTTTTCTCTTACTGTTTGTCATTGTGGTTTGGGGGAATGCTGTAGTGGTGCCATTTGATTATTTTCTCTTCCTCCTTTGTGTGATTGCTTTACCAGTCAGTTTTATACTTTCATGTGTTTTCATCATGGTAAATAATATCTTTTCACTTCCATGTTTAGGGCTCCCTTGAGCATTTCTTGTAGGTCCAGTCTATTGGTGATGAATTCCCTCAGCATTTGCATGTCTGGGAAAGACTTTATTTCTTCTTCATTTATGAAGGTTAATCTTGCTGGATGTAGTATTCTTGACGATGGGTTTTTTTTTTTTCTTTAGGACTTAGAATATATTATGTCATTCTCTTCTGACCTGTAAGGTTTCTGCTGAGAAGTCTGCTGTTAGTTTGATGGGGTTTCCTTTGTAATGACTAGATGCTTTTCTCTTGCTGTTTTTAGAATTCACTCTTTCACTTTGTTTTAGACTGTCTGATTATAATGTGCCTTGGTGAAGACATTTTTGTGTTATATTTATTTGGGGGTTACTGAGCCTCGTATATCTGAATATCTAAATCTCTTGCCATATTTGGGAAGTTTTCATCTACTATTTTGTTAAATATGTTTTCTAAACCTTTTGATCTCTCTTCGTGTTAGAAACAAAATGCTTGTTCCTTGGTGCTGCAAAGACTTAGCACTCGAACATAAATTTAAGTTTTTCAACAAGGCAATTTTTACTTCTATTGAAGGGTGCAGCTCATGGATGGAGTAATGGCAAGAGCACGCCTGGACAAGGGAGGAGAAGAGGTTCTTATTCCTGATGCAGGTAGCCCCTACTGCTGTGTCATTCCGCTATTGGCTAGGGTTGGACCGCACAGTCTAAGCTAATTCTGACTGGCTGTTTTAAAGAGAGCAGGGCTACGAGCTGGAGTAGCGGGGTGGATAATTTGGCAGGAAGGGTGGTTACAGAACAGGGGACTCAGGATGATTAAGGTCAGAGGAGGTGACCAGGGGTGACTCAGGATGGAGCAGGTGACTGGGGTGACTCAGGTCAAAGCAGGTGACCAGGGGAACAGATGTGAACTACTGATTAGAACTGGTGGGAAAGTTGTTTACTGAAACTGGAGGCAAAGAGAACCAAGAAGTTAAACTTTAAAATGGAGAATCAAAGAATAAGAGAGCTGAACATACTGATATACTGATTCTTTGAAGAGAAACTTGGAGTTACTATATCTAACATTTGCCATAGGAGATACCAATAATTCATAAATTCTATTGCTTTATATTGTCCAAAATATTTTGAAGACTTTGTTCCCTTTTATTCTTTTCTCTTTATTTTTGTCTGACTGGATTATTTCAAGAGACGTTTCTTTAAGTTCTGAAATTCTTTCTTCTATTTAACCTAATCTATTGTTGAAGCTTTCAAATGTATTTTGTATTTCCTGCAATGAATTCTCCAGTTGCAGAATATCTAGTGTCTTTAAAAAAATCCATCTCCTTGGTAAATAGATATCTTATTCATATCATAAATTGTCCTGGATTCTTTGTATTGGTTTTTCAATTTGCTTTTGCATCTAATTGAGCTTCTTTAAAATCAATATTTTGAATTCCTTATCTGGGATTTCAAGAATTTCTTTTTGTTTAAGATCTATTGCTGGATACTTATTGTGTTTTTTTGGGGCTGTCGTATTTCCTTGCTTTTTCACATTTCGTGTGTCTTTACACTGATACCTGTTTGTGCCTCAGGGTAGTGTATGCTGGCACCTGCGTTGGCAGTTTCTGAAAACTTTTGTTTTGGATATTTTATCTGGTTTTCTGGTTTTTTTTTTTTTTTTTGATAGCTGACAGCAATTCCCATAGCATTTACTCTGTTATGGAGAGAAGTGGAGACATCCATTGAGTTCTTAATTTGAGTTATTATAGTTTTCAATTCTAGAATTTTCATTTGATTATTTTTAATAGTTACCAGTTCTCTAAAAAAATTAAGCAGTTTCTTATTTGATGTATTGATGATATGATATATGAAACATAATTATTTTAAAGTACATGTCTGGTAATTCCAATATCTGGCCCTTCTATGCGTCTGTCTTTGGTCTTACTTTTTTCTCTCAAATTTTGGTCAGTTCTTGCCTTTTTGAATGCCAGCCTAACTTTGATTGAGTGTCAGACTGTGGTTTAAAAATCACAGAGGGAACGTCTCAAAAGACGTTGGATTCTGTCTCATACAGAGAGGATTTGTCTTTGCTTCTGGCAGGAAGTTAATGAGAGGCAGATCACCTTAATCAAACAAAAGGCTGAGCTGATTTAAAGCTGGCTTTGGTCCTTGTAAGAGCTGATATTCTTCCTGTTTGCCTACCTGAGAGCCTGGATGTTTGACAGGGCCTTTTCTGTTTGGCTGACTTTGCATGACAATTATTGTCCCCTAGGCCAATGCCACCACCTACAATCTTGCTCAGCTTCTAGGCCTCTCAGCTACAACAGCATTTGTTACTGGCAAATGTCTTGAGGAGAAAATATACCAGTTATCAAGCTCCCCTCTCTGGGCTTGCTGTCTCTCTGCAATGCTGTCAAAAATATATTTATTTATATTTTGTCCAGCTTTCCTAGTTGTTCTTGGTGTTAATTTGAAACAAGCTAGTCCACCATTGCAGGAAATAAAGCTCAGTCTTAATTTCTTTTTAGTAATACGTATTTTCAAAATTTCAACTTTTATTTCAGATTCAGGGGGCACATGTGCAAATTTGTTACAGGGTATATTATGTGAGGCTGAGTTTTGGGGTATGATTGAATCCATCACCCAATTAGTGAACATAGAACCCAATAGGTAGTTTTTCAACCCTTGCTCCCTCCCCACCTCCCCCTTTCTTATAATCCTGTGTCTATTGTTCCCATCTTTATGTCCATGTGTACCCAATATTTAGCTCCCACTTATAAGTGAGAACATGCAGTATTTGGTTTTCTGTTTCTGCATTAATTTGCTTAGGATAGTGGCCTTCAGCTGCACCCGTGTTGCGGCATGATTTCATTCCTTCTTATGGCTGTGTAGTATTCTATCCTGTATATGTATCACATTTTCTTTATCCAATCTGCCATTGATGGGCCCTAGGTTAATTCCATGCCCTTGTTTTTATTGCAAATAATGCTACAATGAACATATGAGTACATGTGTCTTTTTGGTAGAATGGTTTATTTTACTTTGGGTATATACCCAGTAATGGGATTGCTAAGTCAGATAAGAGTTTTATTTTTAGTTTTTTTAAGGAATCTTCAAACTGCTTTCCACAGTAGCTGAACTAATTTACATTTTCCTCAACAGTGTATATGCATTCCCTTTTCTCCATAGCCTCATCAACATAATATCTTTTGACTTTTTAATAGTAGCCATTCTGACTGGTTTGAGATAATATCTCACTGTGGTTTTGATTTGCATTTCTCTGATGATTAGTGAGGTTGAGCATTTTTTTTCTTATGTTTGTTGGCTGCTTGTATGTCTTCTTTTGAGAAATGTCTGTTTCCTTTGCTCACTTTTTAATGGGGCTATTGTTTTTTGCTTGTTTGTGTATATTCCTTATAGATTCTTGATATGAGACCGTTGTCTGACGCATAGTTTGTGAATATTTTCTCTCATGCTGTAGGTTGTCAGTTTACTAAATTGATAATTTCTTTTGCCATGCAGAAGCTCTTTAGTTTAATTAGGTCTCATCTGTCTATTTTTGTTTTTGTTGCAAATGCTTTTGAGAACTTAGTCATAAATTATGTCCCAAGGCCAATGTCTAGAAGGGTATTTCCTAGGTTTTCTTATAGGATTTTAATCTTTTTATGTATTACATTTAGGCATTTTATCCATCTTGAGTTAATTTTTGTATATGGTGGCATGTAGTTGTTCTATTTTTATTCTTCTGCATGTAGTAAGCCAGTTATTCCAGCACCATTTATTAAATAGGGAGTCCTTTCTTCATTGCTTATTTTTGTCAACTTTGTCAAAGATCAGTTGGTTATAAGGGTTCAGTTTTATTTCTGGGTTCCTATTCTGTTCTGCTGGTTTATGTGTCTGGTTTTTTGTACCAGTACCATGCTGTTTTGGTTACTGTAGCCTTGTAGGATACTTCGAAGTTGGGTAATATGATGCCTCTCACTTCATTCTTTTGGCTTAGGATTGCTTTGGCTATTCAGGCTCTGTTTTAGTACCATATGAATTTTAGAGTAGTTTTTTTCTAATTCTGTGAAAAAATGGAAAAAATGACATTGGTAGTTTGATAGGAATAACATTGAATCTGTAGATTGCTTTGGCTTTATGGACATTTTAGTAATATTGATTCTCCCAATCCATGAGCATGGAATGTTCTTTCATTTGTTTGTGTCACCTGTGATTTCTTTTAGCAGTGTTTTGTAGTTCTACTTGTATAGGTCTTTCACCTCCTTGGTAAGATATATTCCTAGATATATTAGTTCATTTTCATGCTACTGATAAAGACATACCTGAAACTGGGAACAAAAAGAGGTTTAATTGGATTTAGAGTTCCACATGGCTGGGGAAGCCTAAGAATCATGGTGGGAAGTGAAAGGCACTTCTTACATGGCAGTGGCAAGAGAAAAATGAGCCAGAAGCAAAAGCAGAAACCCCTGATAAACCCATTAGATCTCATGAGACTTTTTCACTGTCACGAGAATAACACGGGAAAGACCAGCCCCCATGATTCAATTACCTCCCCCTGGGTTCCTCCCACAACACATGTGAATTCTGGGAGATACAGTTCAAGTTGAGATTTGGATGGGGACACAGCCAAACCATATCACTAGATATTTTATTTTTTGTGGCTAGTGTAAATGGAATTGCATTCTTGATTTGACTCTCAGCTTGAACATATTGGTGTACTGAAATGCTACTGATCTTTGAATATTGATTTTGTATCCTGAAACTTTACTAAAGTTATTTATTAGGTCTTGGAGCATTTTGATGGAGTCTTTAGGGTTTTCTAGGCATAGTGTTATTTCACCAGCAAAGAGACGTCATTTGACTTCTTTTCCTATTTGGATGCCTCTTATTTCTTTCTTTTGTTGATTTCTCTGGCTAGGACTTCCAGTACTATATTGAATAGGGGTGGTGAGAGTGGGCATTCTTGTCTTTTTCCAGTTCTTAAGAGGAATGCTTCCAGCTTTTGCCCATTTAATATGATGTTGGTTGTAGGTTTGTCATAGATGGCTCTTACTATCTTGAGGTACGTTCCTTCAATGCCTAGTTTATTGAGGGTTTTATCATGAAGGGATACTGGGATTTATTGAAAGCTTTTTCTTCATCTGTTGAGATGATGATATGGTTTTTGTTTTTAATTCTGTTTATGTGGTGAATCACATTTATTGATTTGTGTATGTTGAACTAACCTTGCATCCCGGGAATAAAGTCTACTTGGTCATGATGAATTAACTTTTTGATATGCTACTGGATTCAGTTTTCTAGTATTTTGTTGAGGATTTTTGTGCCTATGTTCATCAGAGATATTGGACTGTAGTTTTTGTTTATTGTGTCTTTGCCAACTTTTGGTATCAAGATGATGCCAGTTTCATAGAATGAGTTAGGGAGGAATCCCTCTGTATTAGTCTGTTCTCCCATTGCTGTAAAGAAATACCTGAGACTGGGTAATTTATAAAGAAAAGAGGTTTAATTGGATCATGGTTCTGCAGTTTGTACAGGAAGTATAGTGGCTTCTGCTTCTGGGGAGGCCTCAAAAAGCTTCCAATCATGGCAGAAGGCAAAGAAGGAATGAAGCACTCCACATGGCCAGAGCAGTAGGAAGAGAAGAAAGGGGAGGTGCCACACACTTTTAAACAACCAGATATCATGAGAACTCACTCACTCTTGTGACCACAGCACCAAGGGGGGATGATGTTAAACCATGAGAAACTGCCATGATCTAATCACCTCCCACCAGGCTCTACCACCAGCGTTGGGGATTACATTTAAACATGAAATTTGGGTAGGGATACAGATCCAAACCATATTACCCTCCTTCTTGATTTTTTGGAAAAGTTTCAGTTGGATTGGTACCAGCTGTTCTTTGTACGTGTGGTAGAATTTGTCTGTGAATTCACCTGGTGCAGGGCTCTTTTTGTTGGTAGGTCTTTTATTACTGATTCCATCTTGGAACTCATTATTGGTCTGTTCAGGGTTTCAATTTCTTCCTGATTTAATCTTGGGAGGTTGTATGTTGCCAGGAATTTATCAATTTTCTTTTAGTAATATTTTTTTTGTGCTGGAGAGGGCAAAGGTATACCCCATAATGAAATACATGCAACCAAAATCTTCCCTGTATTCAAGGCTAACTTTAAATTTTTGAACATCAAGACCTCAAACAAGGAACAGACCTGTGCCTAAATAACTATAGTATACACACCCTTCAATAAAGCAGATGAAAATCTGAATCCTTAGTTCAGAATCCCTGAACTAAGAAGATTTCAGGCAGAAGAAATTTCCCACCATGATACATGCAAATACCTTATCGGAAAAGGGCATGTTCACCTCTGATACCACACCTACTGTATTTAAACCTCACAGCAACTCCACGAAATAAGTTTCATCAGTAATGCCATTTTACAGAAAAGGAAATTGAGGCATAGAGAAGTGAGGTGAAATAATTTGCTTGAAATCACCAAAACAACAAAGTAGCATTGCAGAAATTTTATAGCCAAACTAGTCTGAGTTTGACACTACCACTTATTAATGATATAATCACGTATTAGTTTCCGGTGGCTGCTGTAATGATCTACCACAAACTGGGCAGCTTAGAACCACAGAGTGAGTTTATTCTTTTACAACTCTGGAGGCCAGAAGTCTGAAATGAAAGCACCAGCAGGGCTGTGCCCCTTCTGCAGGGTCCAGGGCAGGATGGATCCCACTCTTTCTCCTTAGCTCCTGGTGGCTGCTGGCACTCCTGGGCATGACCTGGCTTGCAGCTTCATAACTCCATTGTCACATGGCGTTCCCCCCGTGTGTCTCTCCTTATGTGGCACTTTTCTTTCTGATAAGGATACCATTCATATTGGATTAGAGCCCACCCGAATGTCCTCATCTTAACTTGATTACATCTGTAAGACCCTATTTCCAAATAAGGTCATATTCACAGCTACTAGGAATTAAGACATCAGCCTATCTTCAGAGCAGATTACGATTCAGCCCATATCAAGCACCACAGAGCCTTGATAATAGGTCTCCCCTCCCTAAATCTCACATCACTCATCTACGTTCACAGTCCCTTGGGGCACCTCCTGTGCCAGACCCCACAGCCAGCCAAGTGCAGTCCCTGCCTCCATGAGGTTTTGGTCAAATGGGAGGATGCACATTAAATGAGTAACGCTCAAGGAAACGTGCACATGCAGACTGTGGTGCATGCTGTGAAGGAATATACATGGGACAGAAAACCTGCCCTTTGGACTGGGGTCTAGAAAGCCTGCCCTGAGGAACTCACACTCCAGCTGAGATAGGGAGGCCCTGCCAAGGGAGAAATGCAGGCAGGAGGGGAGAGCAGATGCACATTCTCAGGGAGGGAAAGAGCTGCTGACTAGAGGGCAAGAAGGGGCCTGCATGGCCGGAGCTTGGGGACAAGAGGAGGGGTGCCGCAGGGGAGGCAGCTAGGCCTGTGGCCAGTAGGAGAGAATGCTCTTGGAAGCTAGAAGAGGCTTTTAAACTTGGAGCAACAGGATGCAGACCAGGATTTAGGGAAATGGGATGTGGAGCAGAGTGGAGACGAGAGTAAGTGGGCTGTTGTGGAGGCTGCAGGAGTTCAGGGAAGGGTGGACTGGGACAGCAGAGTGAGTATGGGGGCCAGGAGGGAGTTTGAGGTGACAGCCACATGGGTTGTAAGGGGGCTTAACAGGAGGAGCAGCCTGCAGGTCACTGGGGATCCCGAGGAAGCACTTGGTCAGTGGTCACCCCTTGTTCTAGATCTGATGCCAATGAGCTGGGGGCCTCGGCCAAGGGACTGCACCTAATGGGGCTGAGTTCCACTGACTGTCACACCACTTTGCATTGGGCCTGGCATTGGGGGAGCCCTTGTACCTGCTGCACCCACTTGCCCTCCGTACCATCACCAGATGGCCTCCAGAGTGCTGTTATCTGTGTGCACAGTGGGGAGGGCCTGGGGTCCACTTGAGCCCTTGCCCTAGTGCTGCACGAATGAAATATTCCTCCTTATTCCTGGAGGCCAGTGCTTTCCAGACTTGGCTGACTATAAATGTCACTCTAGCTACTTGTGGAAAATGCAGACTCCCTGGGTCCCCCACTGGATGTTCTGAGTGGAAGATTTGGGAATCCATATATCCAGCCAGCATCCTAAGGGTTCTTACGAGAAGGCCTTCTCCTAGCCTGAGATGGCCTCACTGCTGCACAAAGTGATATCCCTTGGTGAAACTCACTGTGGCCAAAGCCGGGTGATCATCTGTGTGGCTGGTTGATTTGTGTCTTTTCAGCTGACAGTACCCCAGGGAAGCAGCACCACCCTGTCTCACTTGTGTGTCCTGGTGACTGCAGATGAGCTCATGAGAGCACGAATGAATGAATGGCTTCCCAATGAAGCATGTCCCTCAGGGCAGAGTAAGGAAGAGAGGTGGTGACAATGGGCTCAGGACCAGGAGAGGGTGAGCTGGGAGGGTGCTGTCAGGAACAATGTTGTAAATATCAGGACCTGGAGAAGACTTAAAGCAACATTGCTCAGGCTTGCATCATGCACTGTTTGGCACATGTGGGGCAGAGAAGCTCTGGGATAGAGCTGAATGCTCTGGGGCATGGGGTTCCCCCTGTCTGGGTTGGGGCAGGGAGCATGGGAGCAGCTTAAGGTGAGTACATACTAGAAGGATGAGGAGGAATTTTCCAGGCGAAGGCATGCAGGATGGGCATTGCCCTGGCCCAGGGAATAGTCTGGACAAAAGTTCAGAGGAGGGAAGGAAGGAGCATGACAGCTAGGAACTTCAGCTTGCTCGATGGTAGGACTGGGACCCCTGCCACCCACAATTTTTCTTTTTGCCTTTTATTATGCAAATTTTCAAACAGAGAAAAGTGAAAAGAATAGTACCATGAACAGTCATCTCTACCTAGGTTTAATAATTGTTAATAGTTTGCTTTTTCTCTTTTTCTGTTTTGCAGAGCCATCTTAAATTAATTATGGACATTGAAACCCTTCACTTTTAAACATAACCCCGATTATCACAGCTTAAAAAATTAGCAGTAAAACCTGAAGAGCACTCCTACCTGGTTCTTTTGGTTAAGGCCTGGCAGGAAGCAGGTGGTGTGCTGGAGCCAGGCCATCAGGGAGAGAAGAGTAAAGGACAATTGACAAGGATGGACAATTAGGGAAATAGTTGTCACCAGCTATGGGCTTGCAGGGCAAGAGAAAAAGTTGGCTGGAATTCAGAGAAGCAGCTGGATGGAGCCTGCCAGCCGCCTGCCTGGAGCAGTGGCTTTTGGTGGAGGCACAAAATCCACCTGAGCACCTGCGAGTGCAAGAGAAATAAACCCCCATCCTCTCCGTCTCCCAGGGGCTGCCCTCCTCCAGGTGCACCCATCAGCCAACCCACTGGAAACAAGGCTTCTGCTAACTAAGGTTGAACAATGGTGCCAACATCTCAGTGGCTTCCAGCAGCATCTGTTCATTCTTTCCCTGCTTCCATGTTGACTGTGGATTGGGCAGTCCTCTTGTCTGGGACACACCAAGACCCACACCTCGGGTCTTAAAGCTTCTGTTAGGAAGTGGTGCCCATCAATTACACTCATATCCCACTGGCCAAAGCAACACACACAACCCAGCCAGCTGTCAGCAGGACCAGAGGTAAGACCCTTTCTCATGGCAATAGGTAGGGTTGTAAATTCTGAGTGTGAGGAGAAATGAATATTTGGAAAAATACAATTTGTTCAGCTGGGAGCCTGATGATGTATTTTATAGAGGTCAGCTCCAGGGCGCAGAGCAGAAGGAAGGAGGAGAGTGGGCCTGGTGGAGAAGAAGGAGATCCAGTGTAGTGATTCAAGCTCAGCTTCCCTCGTTGCATTTGTTAAAGCCAGTCTCCAGTTAGGGACCATGCATTGTGTTTAGCTATTATTTCTCTATGGCCTTTCAGTCTAAAACAGGGCACACCTTTTTCATGCCACTGACTTGTAGAAGAAACGGGGCTGGGTTCCTTGGAGAATGTCACCTATTCTAGCTTTTTCTGATGGTTCTCACCTCTCTACAACTGGAACAAGTGAGTCAGAGCAGCTCGATTTGCATGGAGAAGCAGACAGGAAATGATGGGAACATTCTCAGCTCCTGTCTTCCCCTGACTCACCTGGTGCAGGTTACACCTGAGATCCCCTCAGCCTGGAATGAAGTCCAGTGGTAGGGACGGCCAGCTGTCCACCAGCACTGGGCTTCCCCTGCCCCAGCAGGAGGTGGTTGCTGGGCGGCAGCTGCCCAGCCCCTTCACATCCACGTTTGGCTGCATGGCTACAAATGGATAATGGAATGGGAGAAGTAATGCATCTTGCTTTTGCAGTGAGGTGCTCTTTCCATCCTTTCTCTCCCCTCTGTACCAGTTTCCTAGGGCCACCATAACAAGTATCACAGATTGGCAGTGGTGGGGAGCTTAAACAACAGACATTTATTGTCTCACAGTTCTGGGGGACAGAGCCTAAGGTCGAAGTGTTGGCAGGGTTGGTTTCTCCTATGGCCTCTCTCATTGACTTGCAGATGGTATCTTCTCCCTGTGTCCTCACATGGTCATCCCTCTGTGCAAGTGTCCTCATCTCCTCTTCTGATAAGGACACTGGCCATTTTGCACTGGGGCCTGCCCTAAAGGCCTCATATTATCCTATTCAACCCTGTAAAGGCCCTATCTCCAAATATAGTCTCATTCTGAGGTGCTTGGACTTAGGGCTTTGTCATGAATTTTGGGGGAATACTATTCAGCTCATCACAGCCTCCTACCTCCTAGACATAGAGGACTCTGAGGGCCCAGAGGATGGAGGTACTTACTGCAAGATGGAACCAGCCTGAATTCCTAAGTCACTGCATGGTGAAAACCCTGCACAGATCAGCAGCATCCATATCAGACAAGCACATAAATGAAACATAAACTGCTATCGGGTTTGTTAAAGCACGTAGCAATACTCTAGCCATTAGAAATAAACTGCTGACTAGGCAGGGGATGTAGGATCAGACACAGGAGGGGAAAGACACTGCCCAGGAAATATGATAACAGGCTGAGGAACAAAGCAGTGATTCTGGGCCTGGAGTAAGGTCTTTGCTAGAGGACATCGATCCTAGGATGATAAGATTCCCAGTTAAAAGGAAGCCAGGGGATCTCTACTGGTGCCTTCCCAGGGCTGTCAGAGCACCCAGAGCTTACAGGGAATGTGGCTGGTGCTGCTGGTGACTCACCCAATAATGCCAGGGCTGGCAGGGGCCTTGAGAACTCTTGAATCCAGCCTTCCTGTCACAGACAGGGAAACCGAGGTTCCGCCGTGAAGCAGCTTTGCTAATGCCACAAAGCTGCAAAGTGGCATTCGGGGCTCTAGGGCTTGTGTGGCCCTGAATTTTCCTTGTGTGGGAGGAGACCAGTAATGTGTATCTGTGGCAATGATGACACAGGGCCATGGGGACTGAGCTCATCGTGGCAGTGGAGGCAGGCATCGCCAGGCACCATTCACACACAAGGAGCCTGAGCCCACCAAGGGAACACTGTGCGCTGAGCACCAGCTTTTGCACCCAGGGCTGCTCCTGGGGCTCCCACTGGCCCAGGCCTGATGGTTTCTGGCCCACGTGGCTTCTCCCCAGGCATCCATGGGTTTTGTGTCCCAAATCATCTAAAGTTACCCCTGTCGGCATGAAGACTGTTGAGTTTTCTTTTTGGGGGGATAAAGCTTTCCAACATGTGTTTCCTTCTAAGAACCAAATGCAGAGTGAGTTTTTCCTCATGACTCAAGATCGTGTGGGCCTCTGCATTTTTACCACTCAGGTCCAGAGGCGCAGGGGCGGGGCACTGGGCAGAGCCAGGGTCAGACCCTGGTGCCAGGGAAGATCATTCTGGTTAACACGGACAATTGCACCCACAGTAGCATCTGGCAGATCTGACAGTCCACGTGGACCTCTATCCCATCCTCCCTTCAGTGCACTGCAAAATTTTTTAATAATAATTATGAAATGACATGAGTAACAATCATAATCATAATAATGGCAAGCAAGGAACTGGAATGGTAAACTTTTACTGAACTTCATGCCAGTAAAATAATTAAATAAATAATACTATTAGAGAAGGAATAGAAAAAAGCCTAATGGATTAGTCCTTTCAATGTACAATCATGTACTCTCTAAAGGGGGAAAGCCTTCAACCCATATATTGGTCTGTTATGGTCTAGTAACAAATAAAAATTAAACAAGCAGCAGAGTTTTAAAAGAAATGGCTGAGCTCAGTGGCTCATGCCTGTAATCCCAGCACTTTGGGAGGCCAAGGCAGGCAGATCACCTGAGGTCTGGAGTTCAAGACCAGCCTGACCAACATGGCAAAACACCGTCTCTATTAAAAATATAAAAATTAGCCAGGCATGGTGATGGGCACTTGTAATTCCAGCTACTCGGGAGGCTGAGGCAGGAGAATCGTTTGAACCTGGGAGGCGGAGGTTGCAGTGAGCCGAGATCACCACCACTGCACTCCAGCCTGGGTGACAGAGCAAGATTGTGTCTCAAAAAAATAAATAAATAAAAATAAATAAAACAATTATACATTTCAATTTCAAAATTTCAAATTCAGTAAAATATTTCATGTACAAAACAATTTGTACTCATGAGCAAAACTATTACATCTGTAATTGGCACTGTTTCACTGTTTGTTTTGGGGAATTATTCTTGTCCCTTTAAAAAATCTTTTTGTTTTGAATATAGATTGACAGGAAGTTGCACAGGTGACAGAGAGAGGTCCATATACCTTTCACCCCCCCCCCCCCCCCCCGTGGCCCCATTGGGGCATGCTGGGTTAATTAGCTATTGTTAATCGAAATTGAAAGCAGGAGGTTGGCTTTGGTACTGTGTGTTGTTCTATGCCATTTTATCACGTGCAGATTTGTGTAACCACCACTGAGTTCAAGATTCAGAACTGGAGCCAATGTTGGGGTTCTGCCAGCTGCTAAGTATGTCTTAGTTTGCCAATTATGCATACTGGCACTGGAAAAATGACCACAGGATAAGCCTGGGAACCCACTGAACCCACTGTAAGTCAGACCTGAGCTAAAACTCCATTAATTACCTGACCTCCATAAGCCTTTACTTTAACTGGAGGACCACAGTGATATTTTGGGTTCCCTGGAATCAACATCAGCTAAGAGCCAATGTCCAGTAGTCCCTGAAATGTCTGATAATTTCCCTTTCCCCAATGCAATGGTAAAAGGCCAGAGGTCTCCCTGGGGAAGGATGGGAGAAAGATTCACAGCATAAATTGTTGGCAATGTAGTGGGGTCCTTCCTCAAGGGGACCTGGCCTCCCCTTCATTCAGGGGGTTCTGGGTCTGTAAACTGGCTCAAATCTGGGAATTGATTGAGGGGCCATGATTCTCTGTTTTTATAATTCAAATTAGTCTTTTGTCAATTTGATCAAGAAGTTTTCTGCTTACATAAAGTAGGAATTCAGTAGGCTTTCTATCAATTTCACCTCTAAAAACACCATGATTAATTAGCCAATACCAGAGCTCTACATGATTCAGACTATTGTGATTGCTGCTTTGCTGCTTCTGTCCATTACAGTAGCTATGCCCACCTTGCCTTTGACGGTTGAGTGCCGCCACTTGGCCCCTGCCACCTTGGGATCCAATTATTCCCACTGTATTTAAATTTTGTAGTTGAGTGACTGTGTTTCCCACTGTTAGATCTGACATACAGAAAAGAGCAATTAAAGGGCTCTTCAAAGGTGCAGGTGCTGGCCTCACAAATCTATTTTGCAAGGCATCAGTCAAGTGTATATCTTCTGGACCCTCATAGCTGGGATGATTAGGTCTAACGTGACTAATCCAGTCCATCATCTCAACCTCCCTAAGCCTTTGGATCCCTTCCTCTACATTAAACCAAGGGAGATCAGGCATTTCTAGCTCACTCACAGTGGGCCATCTTTTAATCCATATTTCAGCTAACCAAGCAAATAAACTATTAGAACCTTTTTTAACTCCCCAAGCTGCAACATTAAATGCAGAGTGATATGGTTTGGCTGTGCCCCCACGCTAATCTCAACTTGAATTTTATCTCTAAGAATTCCCATGTGTTGTGGGAGGGACCCGGTGGGAGGTAATTGAATCATGGGGCCTGGTCTTTCCCATGCTATTCTCATGATAGTGAATAAGTCTCACAAGATCTGATGGGTTTATCAGGGGTTTCCGCTTTTGCTTCTTCCTCATTTTTCTCTTGCTGCTGCCATGTAAGAAGTGCCTTCCACCTTCTGCCATGATTCTGAGGCCTCCCCAGCCATGTGGAACTGTAAGTTCAATTAAACCTCTTTTTGTTCCCAGTTTCATGTATGTCTTTACCAGCAGAGTGAAAACAGACTAATACAGTAAATTGGTACCAGAAGCAGGGTGTTGCTGAAATGATACCCAAAAATGTGGAAGCGACTTTGGAACTGGGTAATAGGCAGAGATTGGAACAGTTTGGAGGGCTCAGAAGAAGACAGGAAAATGTGGGAAACTCTGGAACTTCCTAGAGACTTGTTGAATGGCTTTGCCTAAAATGATGTTAGCGATATGGACAATAAAATCCAGGCTGAGGTGGTCTCATATGGAGATGAGGAACTTGTTGGGAACTGGAGCAAAGGTGACTCTTGTTATGTTTTAGCAAAGAGACTGGTGGCATTTTGCCCCTGTCCTAGAGATTTGTGGAACTTTGAACTTGAGAGAGATGATTTAGGGTACCTGGTGGAAGAAATTTCTAAGCAGCAAAGCATTCAAGAGGTGACTTGGGTGTTGTTAAAGGCATTCAGTTTTATAAGGGAAGCAGAGCATAAAAGTTTGGAAAATTTGCAGCCTGACTATGTGATAGAAAAGAAAAATCCATTTTCTGGGGGAGAAATTCAAGCTCGCTGCAGAAATTTGCATAAGCAGCAAGGAGCCTAATGTTAATTCCCAAGACCATGGGGAAAATGTCTCCAGGCCATATCAGAGAACTTCATGGCAGCCCCTCCCATCACAGGTGTGGAGGCCCAGGATAAAAAAGTGGTTTTGTGGATGGGTCCAGGGTCCCCATGCTGTGTGCAACCTAGGGACTTGGTGTCCTGTGTCCCAGCTGCTCCAGTAGTTGTTGAAAGGAGCCAACGTACAGCCCAGGCTGTGGGTTCAGAGGATGGAAGCCCTAAGCCTTGGCAGCTTCCATTATGTTCCTTGGCAGTGTTGAGCCTGCAGGTGCACAAAAGTCAAGAATTGAGGTTTGGGAACCTCCACCTAGATTCTAGAAGATGTATAGAAACATGTGGATGCCCAGGCAAAAGTTTGCTGCAGGGGTGGAGCCCTCATGGAGAACCTCTGCTAGGGCAGTGTGGAAGGGAAATGTGGAGTTGGAGTCCCCACACAGAGTCCCTACTGGTGCACTGCCTAGTGGAGCTATGAGAAGAGGGCCACCGTCCTCCAGACCCCAGAATGGTAGATTCACTGCCCTGTGCATCTGGAAAAGCCGCAGACACTCAATGCCTGCCCATGAAAGCAGCCAGGAGGGAGACTGTACCCTGCAAAGCCACAGGGGCGGAGCTGCCCAAGACCATGGGATCCCACCTCTTGCATCAGCGTGACCTGGATGTGAGGCCTGGAGTCAAAGGAGATCATTTTGGAGCTTTAAAATTTGACTGCCCCACTGGATTTTGGACTTGCATGGGCCCTGTAGCCCCTTTGTTTTGGCCAATTTTTCCCATTTGGAATGGCTGTATTTACCCAATACCTGTACCCCCATTGTATCTAGGAAGTAACTAGCTTGCTTTTGATTTCACAGGCTCATAGGTGGAAGGGACTTGTTTTGTCTCAGATGAGATGTTGGACTGTGGACTTTTGAGTTAATGCTGAAATGAGTTAAGACTTTGGGGGACTGTTGGGAAGGCATGGATGGTTTTGGAATGTGAGGACATGAGATTTGGGAGGGATCGGGGTGGAGTGATATGGTTTGGCTGTGCCCCTACCCAAATCTCAACTTGAGGTTTATCTCCCAAAATTCCCATGTGTTGTGGGAGGGACCCAGTAGGAGGTAATTGAATCATGGGGGCCAGTCTTTCCTGTGCTATTCTCATGTTAGTGAATAAGTCTCATGAAATCTGATGGGTTTATCAGAGGTTTCTGCTTTTGCTTCTTCCTCATTTTTCTTTTGCTGCTGCCACGTAAGAAATGCCTTCTACTGCCCACTATGATTCTGAGGCTTTCCTAGCCATGTGGAACTGTAAGTTCAATTAGACCTCTTTTTGTTCCCAGTTTTGTGTATGTCTTTATCAGCAGCATGAAAACAGACTAATACACCGAGTCCCTACTTAGTGGGCCCAAATCAGCAAATTCAGCCTGATCCAACTCTGTGTTCTTCCCACTATTATCCCACACCCTTAATACCCATCCCCATGCCTGTTCTCCAGATTTCTGTTTGTATAAATTAGAAAACCAAGCAGTTCTTTTTGAGTGTAGCATACCTCCTCATGGGTCACACTCTAAATCTCACCTCTAGGGGCCTGCCAGGACTTTAGTCTAGTTATAGGTCTGGAAGCAAACAGGGATGTTGGGGGTGGCTCCCGAGGAGAATCAACATTATCTTGCCTGGAAACTGCCTCAGGGGAGGCCATCACTGTTGCTGCAGGCTGTACAGGGTTTATCTCCTCAGACAAAGGTGGAAAGGCTGATGGCAGCATGAGTTGGGGAGGGGATGTTGCCACTACTGGGGATGGGGAAGCTATTTCTTCTGGCAAAAAAGTTTCATCAGAGTTTACAAACTCAGTGTCCCCAGCTTCATCAGGGTCCTCCCACATGTCCCCATTCCAAGTTGCAGGATCCCATTCTTTTCCAATCAATGCCCTCACTTTAACAGGAGACACCTGGTGAGGCTGTACATGCGTCTTTCATTGCTGGTCAGCCACTTGCAAGATAAGAGTTTATATCTGTTTTTCCACAATTTCAGCTCTTTCTCTACAAGAGATAAGACTCTTACTCAGGGCAATCTTAGCAGATTTGAGGCTCAGTATCTGCTTCTGAACCCGGGAGACAGAATCCCTGAATTCATCATTTTCTTTCATCACTTTGTCCTCTGAACTTAGGAGCAACCAACCAGCTTCCTTATGTTCCTTGGTTCTCCACATATGGTCAAAGGTATTATGTATAGAGTCACTAAACTCCTTGCCTCTCATGAATGAAGAATCAGGAGTGTCAAATGCATTTATTTTGCCTAATTCTCTAAACAGTTCGTGCCAAGGACTATTAGCGTTCTCCATACTATTAGAAGTAGGGTCGGCTGGGTGCGGTGGCTCACTCCTGTAATCCCAGCACTTTGGGAGGCAGAGGCGGGCAGATCATGAGGTCAGGAGGTCGAGACCATCCTGGCTAACACAGTGAAACCCCATCTCTACTACAAATACAAAAAATTAGCTGGGCATGCTGGCACGCACCTGTAGTCCCAGCTACTCGGGAGGCTGAGGTAGGAGAATCTCTTGAACCCAGGAGGTGGAGTTTGTAGTGAGCCGAGATCGTGCCACTGTACCCAGTCTGGGTGACAGAGCAAGACTCCATCTAAAAAAAAAGAAAAGAAAAAGAAAAAAAAGAAATAGGGTCTTTAGCATAGTCATATTAAGCAGCCAACTCCAGAAACCCCAAAACCAACGAAATAACCCCATCCTTAATATTCTGTTCCTCTAGAACCACTCCTGGTATGAAAATCTGTATTAGTCAGGGTTTGCTAGAGGGACAGAACTAACTAATTAATTAATATTAAGCTAATTGATTAAACTAATTAATCAATCAAACTAATTAACCTAATTAATATTAATTAATTAAACTAATTAATTAAACAAAGAGCAACCAGCCTCCTCCCCCAGCCCCAGCCCACACCTCACCCCTCACCGGGCTGCATGGATGCTCCAGAAGGCGCAGGCCTCGGGAGCCCCCAACTCGCACCCACCCCAGACGTCAGGCCGCACCCGGTGGCCACGGCCATCTGATTCCTGCCAAAGAGACTCTGGTTCACTTTGCTGCTGGTTAGGGAAGCAAGTGGACCCTGAATGTGCTCCAACTGTGGATGGTATCCTTGGCATATGGGCCGCCGCAGCTGCTGTCCCCACCTCTTGGTGAGGCCTCTGCCCAGGGGTCATCTTCAGACAGGACGGATTATGTGGACCTCTGCTGGAGGCCCAGGGCTCTCTCTGTGGCTTGCAGGACACGCAGCAGACACTGTCCTAGCTCAGATCAAGGGCATTAAGGTAGCACGCATAGCAGCATCAGAGCTTTCCTGGGTGCTTCATTCATTCACTTCATTCGTTCTCACTCCACTGACTGAGGAAAGCCCTGCCAGGGCCAATCACTTCTTCCCATAGAAGCTGAGTCCTCCATTGGAGGGACAAGAAAAGCAAGTATCAAGGAAGCTGAGGCTGTGGGTCTCGGTGCTGGGGCAGCTCTGGCTGACGCTGGTCACGTAGTCCCCTGAAGGAACGGCTGTCAGGCCACCTCTGGCAGGGCCCCGAGTGCTTGGTGGAGGGAAGACGAGCTGGTGGCAGTGGTAGCCAGCCTGGATTCACTGTGCTGGTGCAGGGCTCCCCCGCCTCATTCGTTCAGTTTATTTAGCAGATGACTCACCAGCATGTGCTGGGGGCCTGGGCTGGTCTGGGGCTGCAGGAATGTGCATCAGCTGGTCCTCGCCTCACGAGAACTCCAGGACGCAAGTGCTAGTGGTATCCTCGTTTCTCAGTGGGAGAAACTGAGGCACACAGAAGGAATGTGCCTCTGTCACTGAGCGGGACAAGGTTTGAACCGGACACTGTGCCACCTCGCTTGCACCTTCATCTTCATGTTCTTGCTGTTTCCTCATGCATAACTGGTGCTCCCTTTATCTGATTGTTCTCTTTAAATGACAATGTTGTTCTTACTGAATAAATGTGTTTAAAAGTGATCTGGTCACGAGGTCAGGAGATCGAGACCATCCTGGCTAACACGGTGAAACCCCGTCTCTACTAAAAATACAAAAAATTAGCCGGGCGTGGTAGCGGGCGCCTGTAGTCCCAGCTACTCGGGAGGCTGAGGCAGGAGAATGGCGTGAACCTGGGAGGCGGAGCTTGCAGTGAGCCGAGATCGCGCCACTGCACTCCAGCCTGGGCGACAGAGCGAGACTCCGTCTCAAAAAAAAAAAAAAAAAAAAAAGTGATCTGGATCTTAGTTTTAAAAGCTGTGTGCAGTGGCTCACGCCTGTAATCCCAGCACTTTGAGAGGACCAGGCGGGTGGATCACCTGAGGTCAGGAGTTCGAGACCAGCCTGGCCAACATGGTGAAACCCTGTCTCTACTAGAAATACAAAAAATTAGCCAGGCATGGTGGCAGGTGCCTGTAATCCCAGCTACTCGGGGGACTGAGGCAGGAGAATCACTTGAGCCTGGGAGGCAGAGGTTGCAGTGAACCAAGATCGCTCCACTGCACTCCAGCCTGGGCGACAAGAGCAAAACTCCGTCTCAGAAAAAACAAACAAACACAAACAAACAAACAAAATAAGTAAATAAATAAAAATAAAAGCTCAGCATCACCTAGCAATTGTGGACGTAGTTAACTGGGGTCTGAATCCCATTGCAGAGTGTTGTGCCTTCACTCTCCCAGGCACGGCTGGCCGGGGGGACCTGACTGGTCCAGTGAGGCAGTGATGGGCCTGTGAGCACAGTGAGACCACACTGGCACCAAACTCAGACTCAAGACTTAGCATGATTGGAAAGACAGAAAGTGCCTGGGGAGGGAGTGACTCCTGCTGGGGTGTGTTGTTGATTAGTGCCATGCTCACATCAGCTGAGACAGCCCGTGTAGCTCAAAGCCCTTGGGGTAGGCCTGGGTCGGCCTCACCTGCACACATCCCTGCTTTCCCCTAACCTGGGAGAAGCGAGGGGAGGACAGGAAGGGGTAGAGTAGTGGTCAGGGTGCTCCTCCAGCCCAGGCCTGGCTGGCAGAACGTGGCATCTCACAGGCTGTGTCAGGCATCAGCCGCAGCCGGCGCTGGTGCCAGGAGCCTCCTGAGAGCCCACACTGGATCCAGCAGGCTGAGAGGCACTTGTCCTGCAGGGCATGGAGAGGGAGGGGTGACCTCCTATGGGCAGCACCTGTGCCCTGAGAGTGGGGCTGGGTGGGGTGGAGGCTGTGGTGGGCGCAGAGCAGGGTGGCCCCAGCCACCAGAACTAGGGTCTGAGAACATAGTCAAATTCTGCATGCCACCCTGTCCTGCATCTTGGAGCCCAGGACAATGAAACCAGGGGTAGGAGAAAAAGGAACCAGACGTGCTCCCTGGTCTGCGTCCACTGCTGGCAGCTCTGCCGCCTCAGCAGAGGATGGCCACCACCTCTGCCCTGGGACTTGCCTGGGTGAGAGGGGCCTCCCCTCTCCGGGCAGCGTCTTCCTCGGATCTGCTCCTTTTTTTTTTTTCTTGAGATAGAGTCTCACTCTTGTTGCCCAGGCTGGAGTGCAGTGGCGCAATCTCGACTCACTGCAACCTCTGCCTCCCTGGTTCAAGCGATTCTCCTGCCTCAGCCTCCCAAGTAGCTGGGAATAAGGCACCCGCCACCAGGCCCAGCTAATTTCTGTATTTTTAGTAGAGACAGACTTTCACCATATTGGCCAGGCTAGTCTCAAACTCCTAACCTCAGGTGATCCACCTGCCTCGGCCTCCCAAAGTGCTAGGATTATAGGTGTGAGCCAAGGATCTGCTATTTCTTAATCACAGCAAGGTGGCGGCTGCAGGCCATCACAACACCAGGGCTGGCCAGAATGTGGCCCCTTGTTCTCTTGTCCATGCTGTGGCCAGCCTCCTGCCAAAGGGGCTTCCTCAGGCACCAGCGGGCATTGTAGGGATGAAGGACATCACAGTCCCTCTGCAGGCAGGGTCACTGGCCGGGGGTGGACTCCGAGGTTTGCCCCTGGGTGATGGGAGAGGGCGAAGATTCAAACAGGATGTCTGCCCTCCTGTGGTCTCTCTCCTGTGGCAGACATGAGGCTCCCCACCAACACACACACCTCCCTGGCTCAACTTGGGTGCTACTGCAGCACAGCAAAGCTCTGCAAACACTGCTATTATCTCATATTATTATCTCCTCCATGGGTCAGGATCTGCTCAGGGTCTCATAAGGCAGCAATAAGGTGCCAGTCAGGCTGCGGTCTCACCTGGAGCTCTGCTAAGGAAGACCCACTTCTGAGCTTATTCAGGCTGTTGGCTGAGTTTACCTGCTTGCTCTGGGTCCTGGCCAAGCGGGCCCTCTGTCGGCCGCTCACAACATGCAACTGGCTTCTTCAAGGCTGGCAGAACTTCTCTGACCTCAGGGAAGACCTCAGTCACTTTTTTTTTTCTTTGAGACAGAGTCTTGCTCTGTTGCCCGGGACGGAGTGCTCTGGTGTGATCTCAGCTAACTGCAACCTCTGCCTCTTGGGTTCAAGTCATTCTCCTGCCTCAGCCTCCCGAGTAGCTGGGATTATAGGCATGCGCCACCACGCCCGACTAATTTTTGTATTTTTAGTAGAGATGGGGTTTCTCCATGTTGACCAGGCTGGTCTCGAACTCCTGACCTAAGGTGATCTGCCTGCCTCAGCCTCCCAAAGTGCTGGGATTACAGGCGCGAGCCACTGTGCCTGGCCCCAGTCCCTCTTAAAGGGGTTGTCTCTTAAAGGGGTAGTCAGGCCCAGGACAATCTCCCTTTCGATCAATTCAAAGTCCACCAGTTAGGGACCTCAAAATCCTTTTTGCCATATCAGGTAGCACCATCAGGGTGATGCTATCCTATCACACTGATAGGCCCCCTATATTCAAAGGGATGGATTATGTAGGCCACAAACACTTTGATGGATGAATTTTGCTCTAATCTGTAATAGAAACATAAAATGGAAAGCCAGTAGACTTATAAATTAAGGTGGATTTTTAACAGCAAGTATGCAGATAGGATATGTTTTCTTCCCTTGTTTCAATATGTTGCTTATCATCTGGGGAAGGAGCAGGCAGAACTCAAAACAATGATAACAACCTTTTCTACCCATTTGGTTTGATGAGAAGAGAAGCAAACAAATAATTGGCAGGACTGTTGGGAACAGTTGTGTGGGTTGCACACTGCACAATCAAGAAGTGCTATTCTCAGCACAGTCAATGACACGCCTGGGAGTTACGTAGTCTGTAAATGGCAGTCCTGCTCTCCTAGACTGAGCCAGAATGGGATGGGGTTGGGACCAGCACAGGGCCAACCTATGGAAGGAGCCCAGTACCATGGGTGTCCTGACCAGAACTGAGTCCACAGGGCCCTGCCCTTTGACTGGAGATGCCTTGCCTGCTGTTCGTGCTTGGGTAGGAACAGGGCTGCCTCCCAGGGCACTCCCTGGTCAGTGAGCTGTGTCTGCAGGGGATGGCTGCTCCAGTCCATCTTCTCCACTCAGAGCAGGATGAGGTGGGTAACAGTAAGTCCAGATCTGGACACAGTGAGCGTGGTGTGCGGGTGACCTTTGGGCAGCTGGAGCTATAGGTCTGTCTCAGTGGCAATCAGCGAGGGAAAGTAGGGGTTAAGTCAGAAGGTGAAGGACCCCAAAAAGGTCATTGTGATACTGTGGAGGGAGCACTGGTTCCAATCCCAGCTCCACCTCTCAGGCAAATGAGGTCACCCCTCTGTGCCTCAGTTTCCTTGTTAGTAAATTAAGGGTAAAATTGCCAGTCTCCTACAGTGGAAGACATAAGTTTAAATGAGATCATGTAACATGGGGCACAAGGCCTTGCACAGAGGGTGTGCTCTCTAGAAGACTGACTAGGGCTTTTCCAGGTTGGGGAGTGCAGTGGAACCCACAACTGTACTGAGAGACAGACATCCCTTTTCAGTAGCAGGCCCAGAGAGCATCCCCATGGGCTTCAATACGGGGCACAGAGCTCAGCCTCTTAAGTCCCTGAAGGTCAGAAGTAGCTGGCTCTAAAAGTATCCAAACATTTAAAATCCAACCTGTGCTGTCTGGCCTGCTGAGCGCAACACCAACACCCCACAGTGGAAGCCATGAGCTCACTGTGTATGTCTGGAAGCTCCCCACCCCCGGGACTGAGGGCCTCCCGCACGCCTCTGCTCCATGGCATGCTCCCTCCTGCTGTGTCCACCACCTTCTGCGTGCTGTGTCTTTGCCACTGGCTGTGAGCACATTTGTACGTCTCTGCATGGTTAAACTGCACTTCCCGTGGGCAGATAAGATGCCTTTTTCTTTGTATCTTCAGCAACCAGCAAGGTGTTTGATACATAGAGAGGGAAAGTAAATACTGGATTATTTTTCTTTTTTTAAAAAAAAAATTTCCCTCAGCTTTACTGAAGTATAATTGGCAAATAAAAATTGTATATATGGCTGGGCATGGTGGCTCATACCTGTAATTCCAGCACTTTGGGAGGCCAAGGCAGGTAGATTGCTTGAGCTCAGGAGTTCTGGAGAACAGCTTGGGCAACATGGTGAAACCCTGTTTCTACCAAAAATACAAAAATTAGCCGGGCATGGTGTGTACCTGCAGTCCCAGATACTAGGGAGGTTGAGGTGGGAAGATTGCTTGAGCCCAGGAGGTGGGAGGATTGCTTGAGCGCAGGAGGTGGAGGTTGCAGTGAGCTGAGAGGGCACCAGTGGGCTCCAGCCTAGGTGACAGAGTCAGACCCTGTCTCAAAAAAAAAAAAAAAAAAAAAAAAGGATGTATTCAATGTGTACAATGTGATGTTTTGGTATATGTATATACCGTGATGATCACCACAATCAAGCTAATTAACATATCTATCGCCTTACATAGTTACCATTTTGGTGAGAACACTGAAAACCGACCCTTTCGGCACACTTCAAGCACACAATACGTGATTGTTAACTATAGTCACCATGCTGTACGTAGATCCCCAGAATTTATCTTATAACTCAAAGTTTGTACCCTTTGACCGACATCTTCTCATTTCTCCCTCACATCCCGGCCCTAATAACCACCATTTCACTCTATTTCTATGATGTCAACTTTTTTAGATTCCACATACAAGTGAGATCATGCAGTCTTGTTTTCCTTTATAAGTGGAACGGTTCCGAGTGAGCATGGTTAAGACTCAATATGACCAGCAGAGGGCGCAAGAACCAAGGAAGATGCGGGGGCGGGGCGATAAGGCCTCCCTGTGAGCAAGATTTCCTGGAAACACTTCTAGCAAGCAACACATTTATAATCTCTATTTTTTCTGTCATATTCTTTCCCTTTGCCTAGTCCCTGCAAGATTTGTCACTTGGCAGCTGCAAAGGCTCAAGGCTTGGGAAACTCCCAGAAAATCAGAGCCACCGCCCCCTGTCCATCCACATTTCAACAGCTGGAGAGGATTTAGATGGAATTGCCAGGGGTTGGGAATGGCTGGTTGGGAAGAAGCACTGTCGCCGGGGGTGGCCTTCGCCCTTAAGGGGCGTCAAGCCTACGTCACTGGGCTCTCAGCAGTTCGTTAGGCAGCCACTGAAGGGAGTGAGCGCCCTGTCTCCAGGGGTGTGCAAGGAGCTGGAAGGCAGGGTAAACTATTTCTACTCCAAAGGCTGTTGCAAGGATTGAGAGGGTGATTGTACGTTGTGCAATCCGGTGTCTGGGTATAGTATTAATAAGGGAAACATTTAAATTGTTGAGAACTCAGAAATGGGTGTAGGAAATGAGTCAGGTGATTCTGTGTTCCTAAGTCCCAAATACTGTTAAATTAATAGATGCTTTCCTGGAGAAAAGAATTTAAAAGAAAAAAATGTTAACATAAGGCAACATGTCTGATATGGAAGTGCAATATTTGTGCTATCAGAATAATTGAAACTGCACAAGAATTGGCAAACTGTGGCCCATTGCCTGTTTTTGTTTGGCCAGCAAACTGAGAATGGTTTTTACATATTTAAGTGGTTGAAAAAAAAATAAGAATCATATTTTGCGATGTGAAAATTAGATATAATTCAGGTTTTCATATCTATAAATAAAGTTGGTTGGAACACAGCCATACCCACTCATTTATGCATTATCTAGGGCTACTTTCACACTACAAAGACAGGGCTGAGTCACCACAATAGGGCCATGTGGCCTGCAAAGTCTAAAACATTTGCTTATATGGCCCTTTACAGAACAAGTTTTTCAATCCATGACCTAAGCTGTTAACACTAGCAAGGAGAAAGATTCACCTAAAAACCCCCTCTTGTTTTCTCATTTGGGAAAACTGAGGCTTGGACAGGAAATGGGCTTGCTCAAGGGCAGTAGCAGGAAGAGGTCTGCAAACCAGGGGTCCAGCTCATCTCGAGGTCCCCTGTGTGCTTTGCCAATCTGCAAATATGTGGAATTTGGCCATTTGGGAACTGGGCTTGTAAGCCCATTCCTGGCACCAAGAGGCAGGAACAAGGCAGAAAGTACAGATGTGACATGGGAGAGGGGGCCCAGGGAAGCCCAGTGCCTGTGGAGGTGGCACCAGCTCCTGTCCCATCCTCTTCGTGTGTCATCTTCAGTCAGTTCAAACCAGCAGGAGGCAGGAGGGCTGGCCTGGAGCCAGGGTACCAGAGGCTGATCCTGCCTGGCATCTGAGGGGTGGTGTGGCTGTAGCCTCCTTTTCCCCACCTAGACCCCAGAACTCTTGCCTGTAAAAGAAGCACCATGCCCCCTGTTCCATCCCCTCCCGAGCAGCACCCAGTGGGAGGTGCAGCTGGAGGAGGCAGTACCCAGCCCCCTCTCCCTTCCAGTCCTGGCAAGGTGGTGGAGGGGGGAGGTGGCAGGTGAAGACAGGACTGGTAGCCACAGTAGAGTCCTGTGTCAGGAAGGACAGATGCAAGTGTGAGTCCCTGCTGGAATGTGGGCAGGCCAATGTGATCTGGCCTGGCCTCCCTGCCACCAGGAGACATTCTGGAGGAGATGCTGTGGTCCACCTCACCTGGCTAAGGGGCCAGGGCCCAGACCCCTTCCCCAATCCCAGGCCTAGCTCCCCAGGCTGCCCAAGCTGGAAAGAATTCCCCACCCCCTACACAGGCTATAGAACCCTCCAAGAGCTCTGTGCCTATTAAACGTATTAAATCTGCAGAGCGTCTGGCACCTGGTGGGCACACCGCGAGCATGAAGGCCTCTTCTCTTATTAGGAGGACGGGACTGTGGCTTGGCCGTCCTTCTGATGAAAAGGAACAGAAAGTGGGGGGAGCGGGAGCAGAAGAGGAGACAAGAGCGAGAGTGAACGAGCAACAAAAGAAAGAAGAGGGGTGGGGGGAGGACTAAAAAAAAACAAAAGAAAGAGGAGGGGGAAATGGGTGGAAGAAGGGAAGAGAGGAAAAAAAAAAGCAAATAAAGAAAGAAAAGGGGAAAAGAAAGAAAAGCCGAGTCGTTTCCGCGGGCGCCTCGCCGCGTTCTGGCCCGCACGAGCCGGCCGCTCTCTGGGGTCTCAGGCTCTGCACGTCGGGGAGGCTCCTCGAAAAGCCGGGTCTGCAGCTTCCAGGGGCTGTGACCAGCGCTTCATGGGCTCTGTGGGAGCCCGGGGTGGAAACCAGGTCTCGAGCTGCGGCCTGGCACCAGCCCAGATGGGGCAAGGGAGGGCCTGCGGAGTCGGTCCGCACCGACCCTGACTCTCCTCGGAAGGCCGAAGCTGTATGCTCGTGGGGATCAGTCCTGGGCCAAGGGAGCATTCTCGAAGGGTCCACACTCGCCGGGGGGAGAGCGCCTGTGCGGGTCGCAAACACCATCCCCGCCCGGCCTTGCAGTCCGCGCCCAGCAGCGCGGCCGTGCCCACAGAGCCCCGGCACCCAGACGGCTACTTCCTGGCTCTGGGTGTGGCCTCAGGCGCCGCTGGTTCGCGTAACTGGACTCGGATGCAAGGTCTCTGCGGGAGCCGCCGGGGCTGGCGAGCGGTGGGTGTGAAATGGAGGCGGGACCCGTCCAGGGCCTGGAGGGCTGGGAGCGGCGGGCTGGCGGCTCCGCGAGTCCAGGAGCATCGCCTCAGGTTCCTGGACCACTAAGAACCGGGTCATCTCCGGGTCACAGGAGCGAGTTATTTATTTCCTATCTAAGGATCTGTCTTTTATTTTTATTTATTATTTTGGTTAAGAGACGGGGTCTGGATCTGTTGCCCAGGCTTGTGCAGTGGGGCAATCATTGTTCACTGCAGCCTCGAACTGTTGGGCTCAAGGAATCCCCCTACCTCAACCTGCCTAGAAGCTGGGACTACAGGCGCTTGCCACCACGCTGGGCTGTTGGATGTATTTAAACTAACACTTCCATAGAAAATTAAACATTAAAAAAATCAACAACAAAACTTACAAAACAAAAATAAAGTAGCGAATTCCAAAGGAACAAATTTGTAAATTGCTCCAAGAGGGGGAGCTTGGAAAGAGAGGGGGATGTGTCTAAAGGCGCTGTCACCCGAAACACAATTTGACCCCGAGCTTCTAGGGCTTTGAAATGACTCAAAACGAATGCCCACATTTGAGTTCGAAATTTTCATGAAAGAAAGGGTCACAGAGACTGGCTTCTCCAAAGAGAAAGCGAGTTGGTGGTCTCCAGGAGATAATGACCTGTAAGCGTGGGGAGGGGGTAATTTTATAATTCCAAAATTTTCTGTTTTGAAGCTAGAAAAGATGTTGCCAGTCTCGGCTCGGGGCAAAAGCAGGGCGAACGCCGCAGCCCACCCGGACAGGGCGTTCCGGGCGCGGTCCAGGCGGCCTCTGTCGGGCACAGCACACCTGCGGCCAAGGCCGGTGCCCCAGTCCCAGCAGCACCACCAACGCCACCAACAGCCTGCTGGGCCAAGGACAATCAGAACCAAAGGTTTAAAAAAAAAAAAGAAGAAGAAGAAAAAAGAAAAGAGGAAACGAGCTCCATTCCCGGCGCTCGCGACGCGTCCCCAGGGACGGACCGTGTGCTGGGTGGCTGGGCGCGCAAGGCTGCGCGGGGAGCAGAAGGCCGCGAGGTGGGGCGGCCCGGGGCCGCCTGGGCCCCTAGGGGCTGGACGTCAACCTGTTAGATAGAGGGCGTGGGACCCCCCGCAGGCGGCTGCTCGGACGACCGCATCCGGAGGTGAGCTGACCGTTCTGGAAGAAGCCTCCGCTCCACCGCGGCCCCAACTTCGTTTTGCCAATTAAGATGCAGACCCGCTGCAAGTGGGAGCGGAAACAAACTGCCCACGGCTGAGGCGGATGGAGGAGAGCCCAGCGCCCTCCAAGCGATGCACGATCCCCCTGCCGCTGGCTGCTGGCCGCTGAGCCTGCTCGAGTGCTCCTTCCAGACTTAGCTTCCTCCTCTGTACAACGAACGGCTCCTGGACCCGTTCGCACGCGGAGCCATTTCACAATCCCGTCTGGGAGGCGCTGGAGTAGGAGAAGGGTGTGGGTGGAGGGGAGGTGGTTCTGGAACCTACACCTGAATGCTTAGGGGATTCGGTTGTGGGAATGAGGTGGTCCCCTCCCTGTCCCGCAGCCTCCAAAGGGGCTGTAGGGTCTGAGGGGCAGAACATGGGTGGGGAGGGGGCCGGTTCTGCGCTCCGAGGGCCCCTCATCCAGCGACCGGGCGGCGCCGAGGAACCCCTGCCGCCCGGAGCCCCTCGCCGCCCGGCTGCTAGGGAGGGCGGCTGGCCCGGGGCGCTGAGGTCACCTTTTCCACTGCGCCCGCCGCGAGCAGGACGGTTTCCGGGATTTTCGCGGCGGCGGCTAGAGGCCTCGGGAGGGGGTGTGTCCCAGGCGTTGGGCTGGCAGCTGCGCCCCTGGGGTGGGGACTGCAATCCCAGACTGCACCCCACTGGGGAGGAGGCTTCCCCTCTCTGGGCCTCGGTGTCCTCGACAGGGAGGGGGTTCCCCTTCTCTGGGACCCTCTTTTTTCGGCCGCCAACGCGGCAGTGCCTGAGCAGAGGAGGCCCCGCCGCCGCCGCCGTTTTTGTGTAATTTTCGCCTAAAAGGGGTTTATCTGCTGGTTTGCCCTGGGGTCGGGCGACGGGGAGGCTGTGTCTATCAAGAGCCGGGGGATCAGGGACAGACCTACAAGGGAGGTGTTTTGGGCGACCGGGGGCAGGACCCTGGCTCTCTCAGCCCCTGGAGCCAGCTGCGGTCTCCCAAAGTTCCCTAGGCGCTGGGCATTCTCCTTCCAGCCCTCAGGGCCTCATTCCCAAAGCCACCCTCTGCTCATGCTGCAGGGCTGGCCTGGGGCTGCAGGAAATGGTCCTGGCCAGAGTCCAAGGAGCTGGGGGTGCACACCTGTGGAATGGGGTGAGGGCTGGGCTGCACTACTCTTTTGACTCCCCAAAATCTAGAGATGAGGCCTCCATCCTGAAAATGACCCCCTTCCCCACAAGCTGACCAAGAAGCTACCCCAGGGGGATGGCTCATAGTAAAATAAGTTTAGTGACAGCTGATGAACAGTGTGATCCCCAAATCCTTGGATCTGGAATCTGGGGACCCATTTTGAGGATGTGAGACCCTCAGGTCTTGAGCATGGGGCAGAGATGGTTCAAATTTGGGTAGCTTCTGTTAGGGCCCAAATAACAGGGGATGGGACAGAGGCTAGCTGGGCCTACTCAGGGGAGAAACCACCACTAGGCTATGCCCTTAGGGAGATGCAGAAGCCAGGGGGTGAGGAAGGGGCAGGGGCCCTGCTAAGATGGGGGAGGTGAGGGAGGAAGCCGGAAAAAGGAGCTTGATATGGCTCTGTACAAGAAGCAATAGTAAACCAGCCCTACTCACTGGAGTCCCTGCACCAGGGCTGCCTCTTGCTGGGCCTCAGTTTCCCATCTGAAAAAGGAGATGGTTGGATTGAGTGATACTATTGCACTCATCTAGGGAGGGTTCTCTGAGTCTACCCGTTGATAGGGGGAGCCTGACTGGGCTGCCCCAGCCTCCCAGGAGACACTGGCTTGTTTCTATTTGCCAGGTAGGATGTCAGTGGCTGCTTGGCCAACAGCGACAGGGCCAGCTTCCTGGTCTCTTGGTCTCTCAGGAGGAGGCCTGCTCAGTGTGGGATACTGTTGCTCTTAGTGCGCCCCTCTCCACCCTTTCCAAAGAACCATGTAGGCTCACAGCACCACTCTCCGAGGGAGTCCGAAGCAACTGGCGGCCATTGAGGCCACCTTCTTTCAGTCCCAATGGTAACTCTGAGTTCAGAAAGTCATGCAACAACTGGGAAGGAGAGACAGTGGGCTCTTGGGACTGGGATCTTACCAGAGTAAGGTAGTCTTTGTCCTCACTCCAGGCCCTACAGACAAAGGATCTGGGCCACTTCCTAGTCCCCACCTGCCCCCCACCCCCACTCCCGAGTCTGGGGCAGGTGCCAGGGACTGAGGGCCAGCCTGAAGGCCTCCCCACCAGCAGCTGGAGCTGGAGAAAGGACTTCAACTTGGGTGGGGGGCATGGCTGTAGGTGTGGTAAGCCCTAGTTACCTGAGGTAAAGACTGAGGCCCCACATGGAGCTCACAGAGGAAGTCCGGGTGGCCCAGGACACCCCCAGTGCATCAGGCGCTGACTGGCAATGGTGGATGGGGCTAGGAGGTAGGCCCTGTGATTCCTGAGAAGGAGGAGGGCAGATGCTCCTCCCCCAACCTCCTGGGGACACTTCTCCCCTCTTGCCTGGAGGAACTGTTTTCTCTCCAAACAGACCTAAGGGCTCCCAGGGTGCAGGACCCTCGGAGTGCAGGACCCCCTCACTGAGTTCTCACAGTCTCTCTGGAGCCAAAGGTCAGCATCTCCTCAGGACAGGTAAGGAAACAGGCCCAGAAAGGGTCAGTGGTTTCACCAGTAGTGGCAGGACCAAAGAGAGGAGTTCAGCGTAGGGTAGCTTTGGGGTTGTTCACTCCACGGCTTGGGCTTATACTCTTCTAAGGATGGAAAGAAAGATCTAGAGAAGGTACTGCCAACTTCCTCCACCATGTTGGAGCTTTTGAGGCTCCGCAATGGAGCCAGGTCCCACCAGAGTTTGGTCTTTACACTCTCAGAGCACCCACTGGCCCCCTGGCCCCAACTCCGCCCAGTAACAGTTTCTTGATGCCCCAAAGCTGGGAAAAGGCAAAGCTGCATCCTTCCCTTCTCCTCGAATCCTTTTCCTTTTCTAACTAGGGGGATGTAACCAGCCTACAGTCTTCTGGGGGCTGTCAAGGAGGATGTGTCCATGGATCACTTGAATTTCCAATTCAAGCAAATCTCGGCTGGAGAACATTTTTCTCTCAGGGCAGCCCGGAGAGAAATGAGGCCGTACATGGTAAACTGAGGCAGAGGTGGGAGGGGTGCACAGGTGCCGCTACCGCTCTGCCCCTTGCATCCCTGAACGCTGCCTCACCCTTGCCGGGTTGGCGGTGTTGAGCCCGGGACTGGAGGCTGCTTGAGACCACCTCCTTCCCAGCTGAGGAGCGCGGCCTTTGCCCCTCCTCCTCCCGACCTTTCCGGGGCTACCTAAAAGCCGATCAAGCCGCCGGTTTTCTAGCTGTTCCCATTTCTTTACCGCCCCCTTCCTCTGCCCCGCCTGCCTCTGTGCCCTCCGTCACGTCACAGCCCGCTGGCTCTCACGCCTCTTTTGGTCTCTCTGCGCACATCTCGGTGGCGTCTCTGGTGCCCTCACATCACTGTCTGGAATCTTGTTTGGCCCACGCCGTCTGCCTCTGCCCCTTCTCTCACCTGTGTCGTTTGATCCCTCCGACTCTCGTCTCTGGGGGTCTTGCCTCCCGAACTCTCCGGCTCTCTCCTTCCAGGGCGTGCGCTCCGCTCAGTCTCCCTCGGTCTCGGTCGGCCGGCCTCTTTCACGTGGCCCCCTCCTTTTTGGCCTCCCTTCCGCCTCCCTCCCTTCTGGGTCCCTCCCTCCGGCTCAGCCTAGGGGTTGGGGGCGGCGGCGCGGGGCGGGGCGGGGCGGGGCGGTGACGCGGGGCTGGCCGGGCAAGAGGCGCGGCGGCGTGGGGAGGGGGCGCAGTCCCGGGTTCGACCGGCCGAGCCCCGCGCGCCCCGCCCGCGCCCTGCGCCTCCGCCCGGCCGGCCGGCGGGGGAGGGGGCATGAGCCGGCGCCCGCGCGCCGCCCCGAGCTGCGGGCCGGCCTAGAGCCCCGCGCGGGCCCCGCGCCGGAGCCAAGCCGTCGCCGCCGCCGCCGCCAAACCGCGGGCGCAGCAGTGGGCGCCGCGATGCAGCGGCCGGGGGAGCCGGGCGCCGCGCGCTTCGGCCCGCCCGAGGGCTGCGCGGACCACCGGCCGCACCGCTATCGCAGCTTCATGATTGAGGAGATCCTCACGGAGCCACCCGGGCCCAAGGGCGCCGCGCCCGCAGCCGCCGCTGCCGCGGCGGGCGAGCTGCTGAAGTTCGGCGTGCAGGCGCTGCTGGCGGCGCGGCCCTTCCACAGCCACCTGGGTACGTGTGGCGGCCGCGGGGTCGCGGGCCGGGCTTGGCGGGAGACAGCGAGCTGAACCGCGGGGGCGCCCCGAGCCTCCTCCGGCATCGAAGCAGCCCCGGGAAGCTGCTCTGGGAGCGCAGGTTCTGGGACCGTCTCTCGGAGCCCTCCAGGCGGGAGGCGGAGGGTGCAAGCTCCAGGCCTCACAGAAACCAGGCCTCGTGCCCGCGGGCCGCCCGGGGAGGGTGTTCGCTCTTTCCTTCACTGCTTCCCTTCGGCCTCCAGCCCGGGGACCCCGAGTGAGCATCCCCAGTGCAGGCGCACTGCCAGGCTACGGACTCTCGTGGGTGGAAGCGACCTCAGGCCACGGGCGCCTGGGCTTCGCCGCAGAGGGATGGCCGGGAGTGGCCGCGGCTGCCCAACCCAGGGAAGTCGGACCTCTGGGGAGGAGGCCTGCGCTCCCGAGGGCTGGGTGCTGACGCGGGCCCAAGCCGGCCCGGAGTCCCCGGGAGCTCCAGCGGGCGAGGAACGCGGCCTTGGCCGCAGTGCGGACCTGCTTCGGCCTTGCCTTGGGGCCAGAGGCCTGACTGTGAGCAGCTGCCTGGCTGTCCCTTCTGGTTTCAGGTCGGCTGGGCCTCTGCAGGGCTTGAACGGCCTGCGCAGACCTTTTCAGCTTCTGCCCTTTCTTCTAATTTGGCGGGGCCTGCTCTGCCCTGATGGTGCTGTCTCCATCGCACTCCACCCTCGTCTTGTCTTTCCCTATCTCGCTTTCCAACCGTCTGCCGGTCGGCCTCCCTCGCTTCTCTCATTGGGGTCGGCCTGCCTCCCATCTCCCACCTTTTCCCTACGGGTCCTCTGCCCCACATTTACCTGCGCCTTGCCCTGCCCTTTCCGACTCCAGCCAGGCTAGGACTCGCACCTCAGTGACAGGCCTGTCGGGGAAGGGAGGCTCCTACGCTGTAGCCGGGACCCCAGCCCTTCAAGTCGCCTTCCCTGCACCCCCCCACCTCCTAGTCGGTGCTCCCTAGCCTGGAGACGGCAGGGCCAGCGCGCTCCTTCTAAGTCCAGCTGGGACTCGGCCATTCGGCTACCTTTCGTCTCCATCTGCTCTGTTGCTACTAATTCGTTTGAAGCGGGCACACAATCATTTTAGGACTGAAGAAAATGGAAACATCTGCATGGGGAAGCGTCTGAAAATAGAAAACGTGAACAATAATTTCCAGGTTCTCAGGGTACTTTGGAATTTCCGGGAAGCACCCAACTCCGGCCCAGATGACTCCTGGCCACCGCATGGCTGTTGTGCCACGCACGGAAGAGCAAATGTGCACGCTCCGTGCATGTTCTTTTTCTAACGCAGCAAGGCTGATTTGGTTGGAGCAAACGCCATCTTCTTAGGACCAGCTGCCGTTTTCTTTTTGGTTTCTACTTTCCCCGAAAGACAAGACACACTCCGAGTTTCTCGCAGCTGCAAACATGTTCATCAGGAACCCCGAGATCTCAGAGGCAGCTGAGGCCTGGGGAACTCCAGGACAGAACACGGACAGGGTCGAGGAGATACTCCCTCCCAAATCTGGGGAACGGCAACGTTGAGGAGGGTCTCCATCTGCGCCACCGGCGCCGACCGGCAGGGCGTGGAGGTTTTGCGCTGGGAGGCACTGGCCAAGCGCGAGCACCCCCGCGGCACGTGGTGCGGCAGTCCCTGGGGCAGAGGAGCGCGGCCGTAGCTCACCCGGGTCCTCATTCTCTTTCTTCGCAGCCGTGCTGAAGGCCGAGCAGGCGGCGGTGTTCAAGTTCCCACTGGCGCCGCTGGGCTGTTCAGGGCTGAGCTCTGCGTTGCTGGCGGCAGGGCCCGGGCTGCCCGGCGCCGCGGGTGCGCCACACCTGCCGCTCGAGTTGCAGCTCCGCGGGAAGCTGGAGGCGGCAGGCCCTGGGGAGCCAGGCACCAAAGCCAAGAAGGGGCGTCGGAGCCGCACTGTGTTCACCGAGCTGCAGCTGATGGGCCTGGAGAAACGCTTCGAGAAGCAGAAGTACCTTTCCACGCCGGACAGGTAGGGCGGTACAAGGCTGGGGCCAGCGGGCTGTGGGAGTGTGGTCACTTGCCTTGCTGAGGGTGCGCCCTGCTCTTTCCAGAATAGATCTTGCTGAGTCCCTGGGCCTGAGCCAGTTGCAGGTGAAGACGTGGTACCAGAATCGGAGGATGAAGTGGAAGAAAATAGTGAGTGTGCCTGGTGGCTTCCCACCCCTCAGCTTCCTGGGCCATGCCCCGGTGCATGCAGAGCTGCTCTCCTCTTTCTCCCCACTGAGACTCTGCCCAACCCCCCGATTCCCTCGGTGCCTGGTACGCACCGGAATCCTCTCAGTTTTTTCTGCCCCTTGGGTAAGCCAACATTTCGTCCTTTCCCGCGGCACCTTCAGGCCTCCTGGCAGTCTTATGCTCCCCAGGCCGGGCCGCTCCCCAGGCGGCATTTGGACAAATGGCCGCCATTTCCCGGGACATTTCCCCACCATTTCCTCATATGGACCCTGCACTCCTTAGTCCTACCTGGGTTCAAGTCTCCTCGGGGGTCCCCAGTCCACGTGCTGGCTCACCCAGGTGCTGGCGGTCCCCCGTGCAGGTGCTGCAGGGCGGCGGCCTGGAGTCTCCCACCAAGCCCAAGGGGCGGCCCAAGAAGAACTCAATTCCAACGAGCGAGCAGCTTACTGAGCAGGAGCGCGCCAAGGATGCAGAGAAACCGGCGGAGGTGCCGGGCGAGCCCAGCGACAGGAGCCGCGAGGACTGAGGGCGGTATACGGTGCGGGGCCTGGGATGCCCGCGCCACCCGCAGCCCCCTCACTCGGCGGAAACCCGCGAGCCGGCCCTTCCGCGTCCAAGAAGTTTACTTCCTAAGCCTTTTTATTATGATCTTGAATGCGGACAATTGGGGCCAAACGAGGAAGGACACAGACCCAAAAGCCAGACCCAGGTCCCAGCGCGCTTCTGGGCTCTAACCTGGGAGACTCGCATCCAGCCCGGCGGAAGCTACAGTCTCTACCCTGAGCTCCGTGGCGCAGAGCGCTCCACGCGTATTCACGCCCCGCTCCTCGCCTGCACCCCCACCCCGTCTGGGGCCTGCCCTCCCGGCCGGGGAGCCTCCAGGCACACACCCGCTTCTGGACGTCGGGGACCCAGCGGTTGGGCTCAGGCCACAACGGCCTGAGATTGCCCCGGGGCAACCCGTCGGCTCGGCCTGGAGGCCGGGTCCCCGATGTCGCTGGGGCCCCTACCCCCTCTTGCGAAGACGGTGACTTTTTTTCCAATAAAATATTTTATGACACAATCGGGCTCGGTGGAGCAGCTTCTGAATCCGCAGGGGGTGAGGGTGGGGGTGGGGGTGGGCTCGGCAAGATAAGCGGAACGCGGGCAGTTGCTTCTTAAACTTCCTTTCCTCCGGCTCTGTCGAAGGCAGCTGTGCTCTTCACCATCAAGCCCGGGCTAGGCACGGCGGGCGGCTCGGTGGCTGCAGGATCCTAGGAATCGCTTCCACTCTGGGCGTGAGGGGCCAGTCTGAACTCCACCTCCTCTCCCTTGCCAGCCAGAGAGTCGCTGGCAGGAGCGGTCTGGCCGCACCGCGGGTGCCCAAAGGAGCGGGAGCCAGAGGTCCGCCGCAGAGCTCGCTCCGGAAGTGGCCCGGACAGAGAGCCGCCTCGGTTGTTGTTTCGGTTTCCTGGGACTTGAAGGACCAGTTCGTGCGGTCCTTGAGATGGTCTTCACCAACCCTTTATGAGGCGGATGGGAAGTCGAGGACGCAAGGTTTGGACAGAGCCCCCCCACCAGCGCGGTAGCCCGCCCGCGGGTCCTTGCAGCAGCAATGGCTCCCCAGAGTTCTCACATTTTCCGCAGGATACTCAGGGCGGCGGCGCCTGGGCTGCTGAGTTCCACCTCTGGGCAGTGAGGGCACCTGGCCGACGGAGAGAGAGGACTCAGCTGACACCGGCCTAGGGAGGGTGGTCCCTTGCAGGGACACAGCTTGGTTGCATGTGCTCTCAGGTGCCCCCTTCTCATGGAGGTCTCAGTTGCCTTCCCGCAGTCTAGGCTGGGCTCAGGGCTGCCTGTGGGTTCCTGTCCTTGTGCTTCCTGAAGCTGGGGGTGGGGAGGATGACCAGAGGTGGGGATGGAGCGATGACCACTTTACTGGTTAAAGCTCAGGAAGACTATGAAACTTGGCCATTCAGAGTTCCTGAAGCCAGGTCCTTCCAGACTCAAACAGGAAAAGAGATTTAGGTACAACAATAACAACAACAACAACAACAAAAGAGATTCAGGAACAAACAAACAAACAACTCAGCTGCAGGCTTTGTGTTTCAGAATGTGAAAGTGACTTCTTCTGGCCCCCACCTATTGTGGCAACACCTTTCCTTTCAGATCTTGGCTTGATAGGCTCTTCCCAGAACCTGAGCTTGCACTTCCCCTGCCGGTACCTCAAGGCGGAAGGAATGAGGGGTGGGCGGGGGGGTGGCGGGGGGAGGGCGGCGTGGGGAGAGGAGAGGGAGACAGCAAGCACTTTCCGAAGGCTGCAGCCACTTTCCTCACCCCAGTCCTGCCAGGTGTGGTAAACCAGCTCTTGCTCACTCTGAGTTCTTAATTCAGCCTTGCAAACAGCTCCCAGACTACTCGCCTGCTTTTCCTGAGGAGCCAGAAAACCTACCCAACCTTGACCGCCTGGAATGAATGAATCATCAGTCTGTGACTGCGGCCCTTAATCCCTTCCAGCCTTGGGGTTACTCCTACGTCTTTCAACCTAGTGACCCTACAGTAACTTTCCTGCGCTGGTCCCAGCAGCCAAGTGACTTACGTGACTGCATTTAATCCTCTCCATTTGAAAGGACAGGAAGTGAAGGTCTGACTTCTGTGGAAAGGGAGGCCTGAGGGACCTGGTTTCCAGCTATGTCTCTACCATACAGAGTTGTGAAAGAAGGTAGAATGCACCTACACCAGTCAAGAGGGGAAAGGAGGGGGATCTGACCAGCATCAGTCACAGTTAGTTCAGGGCTCTCCGGTTTTACTAAATCCGAGGAAGGCAACCTTCAGCAGATTAGCTGCCTTGCGAATCTTTGGCATTTTCCCAAGGTGCCTTGCTGTTCTGGACCTAGTGGTCTTTGTAGGACCAGGGCTCTGAGGGGTTGGGGAGGGGGTCTGGCCAATCCGGAGTCAGAGCACAAGGGCCCCAATATTTCAGCGAGAACAGCCACCTCCCGGCACAGAGGGGAACTTGATGCGGGAACTCCGGTCCGGGGGTCACCTGTGGGTCAGTGGGGAAGTTGGGCCTCAAATGAGGGAGACCAGATTCCAGGCCCTGCAGTGCGGGAGGGGTGGAGTTGTTGTCACTGCCTTCACCTCTGTGCTCCTTGCCGGGACAGGGAACGCAGAGGCAGACCGAGTCCCCGAGACTGGGGAAGAGGAGAGGGCTGCACGCCATTGTGTTTGGGCAGCTCAGGGCTTCCTTGCTTGGTGGAACCCTTGAGACCCAACGGAAGCTCCAGGCCCGCTCCAGGGAGCTAAGGCGCAGAGGCAGACGATTGCCCGCCGGCCCGGAGACCCCGTGCTGACCTAGCCCACAAAGCTGCCACTCTAGGTAAAGGGCCGCATCCTGTCTTCCAAGGTGACACAGTCTGTCGGACTGCGCGTGCCCGACCGGAGCTACCTGGCGCCCGCCCTGCGTGCCACTGCGCCCCAGCCACCGAGCGCTGAGGTTGTCTCTCTGCCTGCAGGCAGCAGTCGCATCCTTCATTTCAGGCCCGGGACTTGAAGGAAAGGTCCCTTGGATCCCATTCCTCTTCCGCTCTATGCACAAGTCTCTTCTCATCCCCAAAGTCCTGGGAAAAAAACCCAGATATGGCGTGGGCCCAGGTGGCTGAGCTTCCCGGAGCCCGGGGGCCGCAGCCAGGGGAGGGAGAGGGCTCAGGAGTCTCGCGAGAGCTGTGGCCCTGCGGGAGTGGGGAGCGCCTGCGACCGCCTGGACCCTGGGGACGCGAAGGGCTGGGGGAGGAGAGAGGGCTGGGATTAGCCTGGCCGCAGCGTTCCCCCAGAGGCGCGAAGTTTGCGCTCAGTGTGCTTTGTTCAAGGTGGCCTGGGGAATGAGGGAGTCCTTGGGGAGGCTTGTCAGAAGGGCCCCGGCCCGGGATGGGGGAGGGGGTCGCTTCTCCACTGGTGTGATCCTGGCCGGAGCAAGACGTTCTCCTGGTCAGTAGAAGGGGAGCTGGAGAGTCTCGGGAGAGAGAAGATTTGGGCGGCGCCCAGCTGGGCCCAGCACGCAGGAGGCGTGTGGGGAACGGAAGGCCACTTGCAGCTGGCTTGGATATTCCAGCTTACCGCGGGCTCCACGCACAGCCCCCGCAGCGCGAGGACAGTCGCAGGCGTAGTCGCGAGCGGGGGCGCCCCATCCCTCCCCCTGGCTTTTCACCTAAAAAAAAAAAAAGTTCCTCTGGCTTGCTCCCTTCCCTGTTCTGGATTCCCCTAGAGGGTCACTTGTGGGGACTAAGAAAGAAAAAAAAAAAAGAAGAAGCGCGGGTCCCAGCCCAAGTCGACAACAGCAGAATCTGAAGTTTTTGTCCCCTGGAGCTGGAGGGCACTGTCTTACTGTGCCTACAGGGAAACCGAGCAGGGCCAGCTAGGAGTGGCCAAAATGTGGTCCTCTCAACCCCGAGTGAGCACCTTCACTCGGCCATCTCTCCCCATCTCCCTGGAGCTCCAGGGTCCGAGCAGAAACCTGGTACCGCCTTTGTTTTCAGTTGCTCCCCTGCCTGATTTCCTTTCTACAGGTCAGGGAGCCTCTGCCCTAGAAATGACAGTACCGGAGAAGGAACGCAAAGGACATCCCCTGAGCCCACTTTGGGTTCCTGTGTCCACGGAGGAGACTAGCTGATGCTGGGAACCTCTGTCCCCTCTGTTCAGGCTGGGTTCCCCAGCGGTCCCACCTACAGCCCCCACCCTCCCTCCCAGCTCAGCCCGGGGCCAGATCTCCGAGCTGAAGGAAAACTTCTCAAATGCCACCTCCCCAACCCCACTGTAGGGAGGTAAGGGAGCTGGGACTCCTCGCTCCGCTGGGCGGGGCAGGAAGGTAATGGCAGCCGAGGGGCCAGCAGGTGCTGACTCTGGCTCAGCTCTCTACCTCTATTCTGGTCCCCCGGGCCACTCATAACTTCCTGCCCCAGGACTGTCAGAGGCCCCTCCAGGGAAGGGCCTTTCCTCTTGGGATCTCTCTGACTTTGGAAGGGGGACCCTCACTGGTGTGACTTCAGAAGTTCAATTTGTCTTAGCTCTTACACAGTAGTGTCCCTAGGTCTCGACTTTAAGACAGCATCTTCCCATTTCTGAAATCTGGGTTCCATGACAGTTGAGATGGGGACGAGGGTCCCAGAGGCTGTGGGTGTCATGGATGCTCCATGTGACCTCCCGCCCACTCCCATGGGTGTACTGCCGAGGTTATTTAGCCATTCCAGTGAACAGTGGTGGCCCCTGGCCTCTCAGGCACCAACACTGGAGGGGAAGACCACAGAGGGGAGTCCTTCAGCTAGGCCAAGGAATTCACAGGGGAGGAGAAGCTTGGGGCGGGGCGGGGTGGGGGGTGGTTCTTCAGCAAGGCATAGAAATTCACAGGGGAAGAGCAGCTTAGAGGGTGTCCATTGAGAGAGGTGCCTCTGACCTCTCTCAAAGAAGGCTTCTCAAAGAAGTTTTAGGAATACCTCCACTGATGATTGATTGCGCTGATAGTTGCCGTTTTGATGTAAACTCAATAGTGATCTGTGGTTTTTTTTTTTTTAAATCTATGTGCTAATAAGCCTAAAAGAGATATTTGAGTAAGTATAAAATAAAAATTCCAGGTGATATGAGAGCAATGGGTTATGGCTTCATTCGCAATATTTAAACAACGTTTCTTTCTCAATGCTTCAGGAAATAATCGTGCATCTGACATCAGTGGCAGCATGGACTGGCTGATATGTATCAAGCTCTTATGTCAGCCCTTCATTCCTTTAACAAGCACTTATTGAGTATGGCAGACAATTCCTAGCGCTAGGGACAGAACCCCCCCCCCATTTCTTCTGAATTACTTTATCGATCCAGGGACACCCCAGTAAGCTAGGTGCTCCTGCTCCCATTTTCCAGAAGATAAAGCTCACAGATGTTAGGCAACTTGCCCAGGAACACAAAGTCATTAGCAACGAACTGGATCTGATTTCAGCTTGGTTAGTCTCCACTGCCCCTCACTCAGCAGCCTCAAGGTCCAGCTTGGAGTGCCCCACATGCCTTAGAGTCTCCAAAGCCCCTGCCTGCCTGGAATAAGTCTCACTCATTTGTTCACCAATTTGTTCAACATGCCCTCTGCGTGCCAGACACTGTGCTGGGGAGGGGTGGACAGACGGTGAAGAAGCCACAATTAAATCCACAAGATGATTTCAGAGAGTGGTCGTTGTCATGTGGAAAATGCAGCAGGTGATAGAAGATGAGTGGGGTGGGGGCTTTAGTCAGGGTGGTCTGGGAAGATTGGTCTCAGGAAGTGACCCTTCAGTGGAGACCTGAGTGACCAGGAGGAAGGGTCTGTGTTGTGAAAAGCGCCTGGGGATGAGCGAAACCAAGTGCAAGGTCCGGAGGCGGTTATGAGCCTAGCGGAGGGAGGTGGTGCAGTGGGAGGCCAGGGTGTCCGGAACGAGCAAGGAGAGGTGGAAGAGTGGGAGAGAGCAGGCAAGGATGTGGGCCCAGGCGCCACTTGGAAGCGCTGGGAGGAGGCAGCGTCTTGCTCTTGCGCCTTGGCCCGGGAGAGCCCCTGACAGCCGCCCCAAGTCCGCCCTGCCGAACGCAACTCCGCCCGCACGCGCTGCCGCCCCAGCCCCCGCGGCAGCTCCGCTTCCACCAGGCAATTTGCTTTTTTTCTCCTTTTTCATAAGGATGCAATTTTCTGCGTGCTTTAAGGACATTAGAAGGGCGTTTGACTGACGCGCCATGCGAAACGCATTAGCGAGGCTCGTGCTGCGCATGGCAGGCGGCGCCGCCCGTGCAAGGGGCAGGTGGAGGCCGAGGTAGGGGAGGACACGCAGAGGGACTCGACCCCGAGGGAGCTGGGACCGAGACACGGGGTAAGAAATGCAGAAAGGAGAGACAGAGGTGGAAGACAGCGGCAGTGTCTAAGAGAGAGAAAAGGGGAAACAGGGAAGTGTGTGTGAGAGAGTGGGGGTGGGGAGGCACAGAAACGGCGGAAAGGGAGGGGAAGAAATGGAGAGACAGGCTGGAGAAAGGAAAGGGAAAGAGCAGATAGGAGAAGAAGGTGGAAAAGTTGGGGTGAGGAAAGAGTTACTGAAGGAAGGCAGCCCAGCTGTCCCGCAGACCACCATGTGACCTTGAGCACAGAAACGGGCGAGTTCCCTGCCTGGTAGTGGAGAAAATGGAAAGTGACAGAAAACTTCCTCCTTGTGTTTCTGCTTTTCGAATGAGCCAACTCCCTCCTTCCCCAGGGCACTCGCACATGCTGTTCCTCAGTCTGCAATGCTCTTCCCTGTGCTCCCGGTTGCCAGGGACTGTCTCCTTCTTCCGTCCTGGGCTCCAAAGGGTCGTTTCGCAGAAGAGGGCTGCTCTGACCCTGACTCACACTGCAGTGCGCTCTGGCACTCACCACCACTCACAATGCCTTCTGTATCTACCTGGGATCTATCTTTGGGGCAAGGTCTCTCACAGCTCCTGTCCACCTAGCATTCCCCTGCACTTTAAAGAACTTACTCTGCAAATGCTCCGACACCGCTCCCGCCCCCCAACCTCAGAGTCAGGAGGATGCTGGCTGAGTGGTTCTTTTTTTTCCCCCAGGGGTATCTGTAGGAGTCCCTCCTCCTGTCTGAATGGTGGCTGGTGGCTGAGTGTGGGCGGGGGGAAGGTCTGGAGGGGTTTGGGCTGGTCCTGCAGTCAGGATTTGGGAATGGTCCAGGGGTCCATGTGGGGATGTGGTGCAGGAGCACCAAGTGGCATCGTTTCCCAGCCCTGGAGCCTGAAGGGAGCCCAGGCCCTCTCCAAGCAGAGGCAGGGATAGAAGCCAGCTTGCACTGGGGACCAGCTATGTGTGCCAGGCCCAGGATGGGGCCTCTCCACCCCCATCTCCACCATTTTGGAAGCATTGATGTTGGGCATGGCCGTGGCTAATCCCAGTGTGGTTAATCCTAAAAACCTCTTGAGATAGAGAGGGTGAAATCTGTTTCTCAGATGAGAAAACTGAGGCTTAGAAAAGGGTCTCACACCTAGTGAATGGCAAGCAGAGCTGGGGTGTAATTCAGCCCAAAGTAACTTGATGAGCTAGTCCTGTACCTTCAGCCCTGAGAAGATTCCCAGAGAAGGCTTAGCTGGCTGAACTGCGTTGCAATTCATTCCAGAATACAGCTGTTCTGAGTTCAATCAGTGAAGGCCCCGAATACAAGCACAGCTGAGCCATGGGGCAGCCTAGCACTGTAGTTAAGACCCAGGGCTTCATCATTTGTTAGCTGTGTGATCTTCGGCAAGTTACCTGTCTTCTCTGTGCCTCAGTATCCCCCTCTTTAAAATAGGAACTGATAACATGATCTCATGTCCTCATTAGGTGCCTGGACATGCAATGAGTGGGATTTCCTCCCAAAAGATTTTTGGAATAAATGTGAGGGTATAACTTGGTGTTCGCGTACTGTCCCTGGAGCTGATGGGAGCTGCTAGGATGGAGCAGCTCACAGAACTGCAGGGGGCACCCCTGTTCTGGGCAAGGGGACAGGGCTGGCTCTCTGCAGGCCTTTGCTGCTCCTTTCTCCTTGTGGGCTGATGATGGACTATTGTCAAGGAGAGAGCCTGGGCTTTGGAGGCAAGTTTGTGCTGGGGTCCCTGAGGGTCTGGCATAATTCCCTTCCATTGTCTTCATGGCACTTACACGAGGGCAGTCCTCGGGAGCTGCCCATCTCTCCCACCAGCATGTCTGCTCCGGAAGGGCAGAGACCCTGCCTGTCGTGCACCCCAGTTCCTGGACAGTGCTGGGATGTGGCAAGTGCACAGCAAAGATCTGTGGACCAGATGAATGAATGTCCTGCTGCCCTGACACTTACACACTGGGAGGTCCCGGCCAAACTCTCACTGTCTGGTTATGACCCATGTGTGAAGATCTCATATGACAATAGTTAGCTTAGCCTTCCCTGTCACAGCCAGTGGAATGCAATGCCCTCTCCTCCCCTGCCTGCTGGTGGTAAACTGAGGCAGGGGCAGGGGCAGGGTGATTGACAGTCCCTTGGCAGCATGGGTGTCACCCTAGGGGTGCTCCACTCTTGGGGCTCCTCAGGGTCTCATAGGTCAGGCTATGTCATTCCTACACTGATGCTTCAGCAGCTCTCAGTCAAACCCGTCAGGCCCTGCAGTGAATGAATGAACGAATGAATGAATGAGTGATGGCCCAGTTCTTTCAGCTATAAGCTCTGGCTTTGAGTTGGCTCAGGACTTCGGCTGCCACCAAAGCCTGCCCTTGCAGCAGCCTGAAAGTGCCAAGAAATTCACCCCTTCCACCCTTGAAAGTGGTCCTCAACCAGGGGTGGGCGGGAGTTTGTGGATAGACACCCGCCTCACCCCCAGATAGATGATGCTAAGGGGTGCTGTCCACACTGGCTCCCAGAGTTCCCCTGCAAGGTCAAGCTCCAGCTGCCCCTGGGTTGATTTGCTGGACCCCACACCCTTTGTCAGCTGTGTGGTGTTGGTCTTGTTCTGTGTAACATGAGTGGATGGGCAAGCTCCATAGAGGGCCACTGTGGGGAGGGGAAACCATGAAAGCAGCTCCCCTCATGTCTCCGAACTGTTGTGGCTCTGGGTAGGCTTTTATCTGAACAACAGGATAGCTGCAAAGCGAGGTTTAAGACCAGCTAAGAGTAGAGACTTTCAGAGGACCCTGCCCAGCTCAGAGCTTCTGGAATCCTCACGTTCCCCTTCAAGCAGCCACTGGCTTTGCGTCAATCATGCAGCAGCCTCCCTGGTGTGTAACAGGGAGGAGGAGGAGGAAGGAAGAGGGAAAGAAAGGAGGAGAAAGCAAGGAGGATCGCACACCGTCTGATGCCCGGTCTGTGTAATGCTGGCAGCAGCTATTCAGAGGCTGGGATGGCTGCCTGCATTTCCTGATCTTCAAGGAGACCTTGGACATCCTGTGAACATAAGAAAGCAGAATCCCTTCTAAAGAAGGGACAGCGTGCTTCATTGTGAAGGGGCCCCGCTGGGCAGCTCAGCGGGTTCTTGGAGGCCCAGTCCACATGGAGCTCCTGTGCTCTTGCTGATGGGGGATGCGCAAGGCCGGAGAAAGAGGAGGAGGAGGAGGAGGAGGCAGCGGCAGCAGCAGCAGAAACCAGCATCATAGTCAGGGAGTGAGTGGGGCTGTGGGAGAAGCGCAAGTGTGGATGCCCTTTACATATCATTTATTTGTTCATTCATTCATGTATTCATTTCCTCATTCACTTATTTGATCTTACAATAAGAAGTTATTCGTGCCTTATTTGTACACCCATGTTCGTAGCAGCATGATTCACAATAGCCAAAGGGTGGAAGCATCTTGAGTGTCTATCAGCGGATGAATTGAGAAATAAAATGTGCTCTGTACACACAATGGAATGTTATTCAGACTTAAAAAGGAAGGAAGTTCTGACCCATGCTACAACGTGGACGAAACTTGAGGACATTATGCTAAGTGAAATAAGGCAGTCAGCAAAGGGCAAATACTGTGTGATTCCAGTTATATGAAGTCCCTACAGTCATCGAAGTCATAGAGGCAGAAAGTAGAACGGGGGTGCCAGGGTTTAGGTGGCTTTGGACAATCTCGCTTCTCCCCCTTTACTCACCTGTAGTCCTCAAGAATAACTGTAGAATGTGCTGTGGATATGACACCCATAGAGAGGGACGGCTGGGGCAGCCCTGGCTCTGTTCCAGTTCCCCCCATAGAAGCAGGATGTCCTTCAATGGTTTAGCCAGCAAGCCTCTTTGCTCCATGGTCTAAAACCCAGCCCAAGACCTGCTTTCCAGGACCCTTCAGCTGGGGTGCAAGTGGGGCACACATGAATGAACAAGACAGGGGATCCCAGGCTTCCATTGTCCCTTGCTACCTACTGTAAGGAACAAACCCGCTTCATGTAACCTGTTGGGTGCCTGTGTGTTCTCTCACTGGACTCTGACAATTTGCTAGCCAGTGCACAGTGAGCCTACTCTGGGGCTGGAGGAGGGGCAATGGGGAATTCGTGTTGAAGGGGGACAGATTTTCAGTTTTACAAGATGGAAAGAGTTACACAGATGGATGATGATGATGGTTGCACAACAATGTGACTGTACTTAAAACCACTGAACTCTTAAAAATAGTCACAATGGTAAATTTTATGTTATGCATATTTTACCACAACTGAAAAGTTATTGTGCCTTCTTTGGACAAGATTCTGGGCTTGGCCCATTCCCTCAGAGAGCATGCATTCCCTCACCTTCTGCATCATTTACTCTGAGCTGATGACTGCTTTCTTCACTTGTTAGTACATTCAGTGAACACAGCTGGGCATCTGATGATTCTAGGACACAGCTGACAGCAGGACAGACAAGACCCCACCCTTGGAGCCACATCTAGTTGTGGGGACAGTGAACAAAATTAGTAAGTAAAGATGTAATAGGTCACAAAATGGAAGTGCTTTGGTGAAAATAAACCAAGGAAGAGGAATGGGTGCACAATCCGACAGGCCCCACGGAGGTGGTGGTGACACGGGAGCAAGCGAGAAGTGGGAGGGGAGGAGCACAGCAGGCACAAGGGCCCGGCCAGTGCGGCAAGAGTTTGTGGGGCAGGCTTGGGCCTAGCTTTTCCTTGGAGAGGGGGTCTGACGGAGGTTTGAGGGTTCCTCTTGCTGTGTCTGGGGGTGGGAGGAGGGTCTAGGCAGGGAGCCGTGGGAATTACTGCCACCATCCAGATGAGAAATGATGGGGCTGGATCAGATGTGGCAGAGGTGGACAGAGGTGGGATTCAGGTGCATCCTGAGGAGCGCTCAGTTGCTGCTGCTGAGCTGGAGGAGCATTAATGTGAGGCCTGAGCTGTGGCAGGTGGGAAGGACCCTGGGGAGTAGAGGTGGGAAGTGGTGCCAGCCGCTGGCAGTTCCCTGCTGGCTGCCCTCCAGGCAGCTGGGACTTGATGTCTGTGATTAGGCATGGGCAAGGAACAGGGTTGGGGACTCACAGAGAAGAGGAGCAGCTCATTTGATCGAGGAGGAAAGCGTGCGTCCTGGTAGGAGGACCAAGGTAGGCTTCAGGAGAGGTCCCAGGTCCCATGAGAGGAGCAAGGGTAGGCTGGGGACAGTCCCCCCATGGAGTTCTGGGAAACAACCTCTGGGGCTGTTCTCCTAGGGAAGCTGGTGCCGGCAAAGAAAAGCTTTCTCCTAGCGTCAGCTGCCAGAGATGTCTGTCAGGGGGTAAGTTCCCCATCACACGAGGTGTGTGATTCAAGAGGGGCGGTCACAAGACAGCTGCAGCAAGTGGGCAGCGCTAGCCCTTAGAGTTGTTTCCTAAATGAGACGGAAGCCAAGGGGGAGTGGGTGAGACCCAAAGCACCATTTCCGTGCCTATGCCCAAACCTCAGGGCCACCATCTCTGCCCGTGTGTCTGAGCTGGTGGACAGCACGGAAAATGGAAGGGAGGACTCAGGCTGGATGCTCATGGCGCTATATACCTTGCTCTTCTATGTAGTACCTGGGTATAAGCCAGGCTCAGTGTCCCACTCCTGGAAAGGCCAGCCTTCAGGACTACATCGTAGGGGTCCCATTGTGTCTGGAGCTGGTTCCTTCCAGTGGGTTTGTGGTATGGCTGACTTCACGAATGAAGCCGCACACCTTCACGGTGAGTATTACAGCTCTTAAAGATGGCACGGATCCAAAGAGCAGCAGTAGCAAGGGTTATTGTGAAGAGCAAAAGAATAAAGCTTCCACAGCACGGAGCAGGACCAGAGCAGGTTGCCGCTGCTGGCTGGGAGGTGGCCAGCTTTTATTCCCTTATTTGTCCCCGCCCATGTTCCGTTTCTGTCCTATCAGAATGCCCTTTTTCAATCCTCCCTTTTAGGGAGGCTACTTTTAGGATCCTGCTGATTGGTGCATTTTACAGAGTGCTGATTGCTGCATTTTACAGAGTGCTGATTGGTACATTTTACAATCCTCTTGCTAGCTACAGAGCGCTGATTGGTGCGTTTTTACAGAGTGCTGATTGGTGCATTTTGCAATCCTCTTGTAAGACAGAAAAGTTCTCCAAGTCCCCACTCGACCCAGGAAGTCCAGCTGGCTTCACCTCTCACCATCTATGTCCTGGCCCCTCTCTTCTGGGGTCCCTTGTCTGCAGGACAAGCCTCTGTTTCTGGATGTCTTCACCACAAAGTGCTGCTTGTGATTTTTTTTTTAAACAGTCTGTGAGTTATTCATGCATTTAAAATTATTTTAATCTATTTTACACGCTATATAAATGGGGTTGTATGTGTTTCCTTTTTATTAAAGGTTTCTTATTTAGGCTGCTTGTAATATGACCAGGAGGCTGTCTGCTGAGGCCTGGGATTTTTGTGGGGCTGTGGAGTGGTCCACAGCATGGAGGGCAGCTCTGCCTATGGGATGCTGTTAGTACCTCGCCTGGTGGCCTTGGCACACCTCCCATCTGTGGTGCTGCAGCCTCTGGGGCCTGTATGTGTGGGCTGCAGGTCTCCTGCACACGGTGGCATGAGATGCTTGCCTGCCCAGGTGGTCACTGCCAAGGCCCCAGGGAAGGAGCTGGTCAGATAAGAAATGTTGTCAGGACATGGTCTAGACACTTGATGGACACAGTGGAAGACCAGGCAGCCCAGGTCCTGTCCCCATGGGGCTGGCTTGATTTGCTGCATTTTTGAGAAGCTGTGAAGTGCCTGGTTTGTGCTGGGGACACACAGAGGGGTTAGAGCCAGCCCTGCCTCCATCAGCTCCTATCTGTGGGGAGGTAGACTCTGCCTTTCTTTCTTTTTCTTTTTCTTTCTTTTTTCTGAGTCTTGCTCTGTCGCCAGGCTGGAGTGCAGTGGCGCGATCTTGGCTCACTGCAACCTCTGCCTCCCGGGTTCAAGTGATTCTCCTGCCTCAGCCTCCTGAGTAGCAGGGACTATAGGCATGCACCACCACACCCAGCTAATTTTTGTATTTTTAGTAGAGACGGGGTTTCACCATGTCAGCCCGGATGGTCTGATCTTCTGACTTTGTGATCCGCCTGCCTCGGCCTCCCAAAGTGCTGGGATTACAGGTGTGAGCCACCGCGCCGAGCCAGACCCTGCCTTTCTTTTGGCTCTCCTGAAGGCCCCCTCCCCTCTCTACTGCTTCTGCCTCCCCTTCTGCTCAAGACCCCCAGCCACACTGACCTCTTGGCTATTCCTCCAACATCTGCCCTAGGGCCTTAGCTCATGCTCTTCCATCTGCCTGGACTCTCCTCCTCCAGACTTGCCCACAGTCCACTCCCTCTGGCCTCTCACAAGCTGCTCAGGTACCCAGATACTGTCTCCTTAGTGAGCACCCCATTATAGCCCCAGCCCAGAACCCCTAGTCTGGCCCACCCCCTCTCCCCACTCACTGCTCCAGTGTGCTCCACAGCTTATATACCTATTGGGCACACATCCGCTGTCCTTATTTTGTCTTTACGTCTCTCTTCCTCCAGAATGCAATCTCCCAGCACTTTAGTCTCTTTTATCATGTGTGTCCTGAGCTCTCAGGACAGTGATTGGCACATAGGAGGTTCTTGATAAGTACTTGTGGAATGAGTGATGGATGTGCTGACGGATTAAGTAACATCTTTACGTCAATCTATCGTATGCATTTCAGTAGGGTCTGTGCCCAGGGGTGGAACTGCTGGGTCATAGCATATGCATAGGTTCAGCTTTCCTGGATCAAACAGTTCTCCAAAGTGACAACACCATCTTATCCTCCTCCTGGGAGAATCCTTAGTGCTCTACGTCCTCCTCAACACTGGGCATAGTCAGCCTCTTTCATTGTAACTTATCTGGTGGGTGTGTAGTGCTAGCTTGCTGGGATTTTAATTTGCATTAGCACCTTTTCATATATATAGTGCCACGTGGATATCCTCTCTTGTGAAATGATTATTCAAGACTTTCCGCCGGGTGTGGTGGGTCACACCTGCACTCCCAGCACTTTGGGGGGCCAAGGTGGGAGGACCACTTGAGGTTAGGAGTTTGAGACCAGCCTGGGCAACATAGTGTCTACTATGTTTTGTCTCTACAAAAAGTACAAAATTAGCCAGGTGTGGTGGCATGCACCTGTGGTCCCTGCTACTCAGGAGGCTGGGAGGGCAGGATTGTTTGAGACCAGGAGGTCAAAGCTGCAGTGAGCTGTGATTGTGTCACTGCACTCCAGCCTGGGCAGCAGAGTGAGACCCTGTCTCAAAATGAAAGACTTTTGTCCATTTTTCTACTGAGGTACCTATTTTCTTCTTATTAACTTGTAAAAGTCTTTATGTATTAGGCACAAAACCCTCTGTCACTGCATGGGTTGCAGTAAGAACATAGTCACGTGACACTAAGTCCACACCACCCTCCCTCCCTGCACACTTGTCTGGAGCTGGGTGTGCATGTGCAAGTCAGTTCTTCAGGCACCCTCAGTCCTGGGAAACCTTAACTGTGAGTACTCCACCTCAATTCAAGCTGTTCATTCAGCTGGTGCTCAACTGAGGGAACAAGTGGTCCATTTCCAAGTTGCAATAAAGACAGGCTGGGTCAGCCTGGGCTTCTCATGGGCTGTACTGGCAGTCTTGGGCGTGACTCTTTCCTGAGGGTGATTTTGGCTCTGAGTGTCCATCTTAGAAGTAGACACTGTGTGGGAAGTGGCCACACCACTGGGTCTCAAAGGAACATGCTTACTTCAGTCTCTGGTGCTTCACTCACAGCATACCCCTATCCTCCCTTGGCCAACCACATCATTGACACATTGCTGAAATGCCTGCCTGGCTTCTAGGCCTGGTGAACTCCTGCTTCCCTTTCAAGATTCAGTGTAGAAACTGCCTCCTCCAGGAAGCACTCCAAGCCCTTCCGAGGATGAAGTAGGAGCCTCCTGTGTCTGACTGACTGGCTATCTGGCTGGCTGACTGACTATTTGAGTGACTGACGGACTGGCTGACTGACTGACTGACTGGCTGGCTGACTGGCTGACTAGCTGACTGACTATTTGAGTGACTGACTGGCTGACTGACTGGTTGACTGACTGACTGGCTGACTGACTATCTGACTGGCTGACTGGCTGACTGAGTGACTGACTGACTGGCTGACTGACTGGCTGACTGACTGACTAACTGACTTACTGACTATCTGACTGACTAACTGACTATCTGACTGTCTATCTGTATGACTGACTGATTATCTGACTGACTGGCTGGCTGGCTGACTGACTGAGTGACTATCTATTACTTCATGTTTCTCCTTAAACCCATTCACTGTTTTTTAGGTTGGTAGATCTCTCCATTTATTTTAAAGTAATAACCATAATTTCTTCTTTTCATATTTCTGAATTTTCTAATTTTTAAAAACTAGACTTTATTGTTTAGAGTAGTTTCAGGTTCACAGCAGAACTGAAGGAAAGTGCAGCAAGTTCTCCTATACCCCTCCCCACGCATGCACGGCCTTCCCCATAATCAGCATCCCCCGGCAGAGTGGGGTATTGGCTGCGACTGATGAACCTACATTAATGCACAGCGATACCCAGGGTCCCCAGCGGATGTTAGGGTTCTCTCTTGGTGCTATATACTCTGTGTGTTTGGACAAATGTCTGATGCCATGTATCCACCACTATAGAATCCCACAGAGTAGACTTACTGCCCTCAACACCACCTGTGCTTGATCTCTTCATCCTCCCTTCCCCCAAACCCTGGCAACCACTGATCTTTTTACTGCTCCAGGGTTTTGCCTTTTCCAGAATGTCCTATAGTTGGAATCACACAGCATGTATCCTTTTCAGATTGGCTTCTTCACTTGGTGATATGCATGTAAACTTCCTCCCTGTCTTCTCAGTACTTGCAGCCCCTTTCTTTTTAGCAATGGATACTATTCCGTTGTCTGGATGTCCCACAGTTTGTTTATCCATGAGCCTATCCATAGGCATCTTGGTTGCTTCCCAGTTTTGGCAATTATTATGGATAAAGCTGCCATCAGCATCCATGCGCAGGTTTTCATGTGGACATACATTTTTCAACTCCTTTGGGTAAATACCCAGGAGTGTAATTGCTGGATTATATAGTCAGAGTATGTTTAGTTTTATAAGATGTAAATAAACTGTTTTTTAAAAAAGAAAGACTATATCATGGCAATAAGTGGAAAACCAGTATCGTCTTGCCGTACGTAGAAAGTAAATTTAAGAAAAGAATACAATAAAAGAAAAAAGCTCATCAACTTCTGGCTAAACCATGATCTTGCAGAGTCAGAAGCCTTAGATCCTGAGGGCTGCTCTCTCTCTATTCAAAAGGGCACCAGCAGGTGTTGGAAGGTATGCCAGGTTTCTAATGCAGTGGCAGAGGACGAAACAAAGTGTATGGATGACCCCTAACCATTCACTCTCCACCTAAGTGCCCCAGGGGCCTGCACGCCACTCTTGGGACTTGAGGCCAGGCCAAGCATTTCAGGCCCGAGGATGGTGGTGGGCGATGCAGAGAGACTCAGCTTCCCATGCCCTGGTGCTTTCTCCTCCTCCTGGTGGGCACAGGGCCCAGCATCTAGAGCCCATCTGTGCCCTCCTCCCTATGCTGTGCCCTCCTCCCTATGCTGCATCTCCTGCCGTCCAGCAGCTCCCGCCCAATGGCACTCAACCAGAATGGCAAAATGGATCCTTTGCTTTATTTTTAATTAAAAAGTCAAGCGTCTGTTGATTCAATAAAGACTAAAATAAAATTTACCTGAAATCCCAGCCCCCTCCGTGAGTCTCTCCAATTCCTCTCCTATCAAGACTGCTAGCCACAGGGATTTGGGGTGTGTCCTTCCATACAGGTTTGAAGCTCAGAGACTCTCACCTTTCTCCTGTACTTTTAAAATCGATCATCTCTCTACTTCCCTTTGTCTCCCTATCCTACTACCTTGTGTGTTACCACTGGGTGTGCTAACTGCTGAGCTGCACGCAGGACAGCCATGCATAGTTTTGTGGGTCCAGCACTGCCCAAGGCTGACAACTGTGTGGTGAGTGGGGCTGAAATCTGGCCTGCGTTTCACTGGCTGAACTGCAAGTACTGGGTCTAGACTGCATTCTCCTCCCACAAGAGGAATCTTCTATTTTTCCTAAAAACTGCCTGCAGATAGGCAGAGGCACTCATGGATGTGTTGTTTTGCCTTCGGTCTGTGGGCTCCAGTCAGCTGAAGCAAAGTACTGGCCATCCGGCCCTGGGCCCTGTATCTCTCCTTTATCTGCGTTCCCTCTCCTACGCATGACTGTTCTGATGTATTTAGGGGGTTTGCTTTTATGTTCTTATGAAGTGTGTATCACTGTTTGGATGTTCAAGACAGTGCCTGGCTAATAGAGGCACTCTGTAAATGTTTGTTCAAGGAAATGAATGAATAAGATGAGTTTTTAACGTAGACCATTGAAATTGTGCTGTAACCGTGCCTCCTTCTGCATCTTGCTTTTTGCACACCGCACTGTGGTTTTTCACAGTCTGTCTGTGTTGCTGGGAGGGATCCCGCCCATTGCTCCTGACGGCTGCTGGGTTGTGCCCAGGAGGTCCCTGAACTGCTTCCCCAGTGGTAGACCCCGGGCTGACCCCAATTGTCACCTCCATCCCCTACCACACCAGGGCTCCTCTCAGGCTGAAAGAGCGTTTGGCAGATACCCAGGAGCAGAGTGGTTAGTGTGAATTTACGGGGTAAAACACCATGCACCCTTTGTGATCCCCTCAACGCTGGCTTGTGCAGTGCCAGGCTACGCTGGGTGGCCCCTCACTGTCAAACCTGGAGTTCAGGCTTCCTAGGGCTTGAAGTGCAGGGGTGTCACTTCCTGGAGGCCTTGGCTGGTGGAATACAGGAGGGACAGGGCCAGGCAGATACATTCCCTACTCTTTCCTGGGGCTCCCCCTGGAGAAGTCCCAAGTGCTGACCAATCAGGCCTGCCTGGGAGCCTCTCTCTGCAGCTGGACCCACGCTAGAGGGTCAGGAAGCTGGCGACGAGGTGGCTCCTGAGGCCCAGCGACAAAATGGTCAAGTGGAAATCGTACAAGAGGGACCTTCCCCCGGCAGCATTTGCTGCTGGATCTCCCTGGTATTGGTTCTCTCCTCTTCCTCCCTACTTTTTTCTTTCCTTCACTCTCACCCCCCACTCCCACTCTCTCTGCCCCTCCACCTGGGGCTCAAACACTACTTTTAGAGTCCCAGGGAAGGTATGAGGAATGCAGAGCTGCCTAGGCCATGCGAGCACCCGCTCACCCTGCAGGACACACGGCCAGGCTCCCTCTGGGTGTGAGCCTCCTCCTGACTCTGCTTAAGGGTGCGGGCCAGCTGGGCTCCCTGAGGTGCTGAAAGGACCAAAAGATGGAGTCACTACTCTGGCGCTGAGCCCACGTGGGGCTCAGCTCCGCCACAGGGCAGGGCCCCGTCCCTATGTCCTGACTGAGCCACAGAGAATGGCTCCCGTAGCTGGTTGGCGCTGGCTCCTGCCTTCACCAGGCTGGAAGCCAAGTGGGGTGTTAGTCGTCAGCTGTTCCTGTGTCCCCATTTTACAGGTGAAAACTGCAGACCCGGGTCAGGGAAGGGACACAACTGAGGGTGGACAAGAGTCTGCCCTTGATTCCCTGTGCCGAGCTGCCATTGCAGTTGGAAAGAGCTTTCTGTTTTGGGGGAATGTGAATGTCTGTGCTCTTCTAATTTTAAGACAGCAGAGTTGCTGTGGTCAGAACTATGTATGGCATGAATCCTTGTGATGGGCCAAATTGTGCCTTCTCCCAACCCCATGTTGAAGTTCTAACCCCCAGAATCTCAGAAGGTGAATGTATTTGGAGACAGGGTCTTTACATAGGTAACTAAGGCAAAATGAGGTCATATGGGTAAGCCCTAACCCGACATGACTGAGTCCTATGAGAAGAGGAGATGAGGACACAGCCACACACAGACGGATGATCCTGTGAGGATACAGGGAGAAGACGCTGTCTATAAACCAAGGAGAGAGGGCTCAGGAGAAACCAACCCTGCCGACACCTTGATCTCAGAGTTCCAGCCTCCAGGACTGTGAGATAATAAATATCTGTTGTTTAAGGCTCCCATTGTGTGACATTTTGTTATGGCAGCCACAGCTGACAAGTACAGCCCCACAGACTTTTATTTTTCCTGTTTGTATAGTACTGAGCCTAAGAAATTTTGAAATTCTCTTAGTGCTTTTAGAAGCAAATGGAAATCAGCCTAGAACTGATTCGATTCAACAGTGCAGAGCTCCATTCATCCATTGGCTAACTCAGTCTCCAGACATTTGCCCTGTGCAGCTCTGAGCCCTGCACGCAAGCCATGGGATTCATGAACCTCAATTTGGCCTCGAGGAGCTCATGCTGTGGTGCAAAGATGAGGTCCCTGTTCATCCCATATCTATTAGTGCTTGCTTCAGGTTGGCTTCTATAGCAGGTATCATGGGTACAGAGGGGAACAATGCACAGCTCCTGCCCTTAAAGAGAGTGCGGAGCAGTCATGGAGCTAAGACATTCATTCACTCATTCATTCACTGGACAAATGTCGGCCCTTGCGAGGCATTGTGCCTCTTGAGATATTAAGAAGCACACCAGGGAGGGGGATACTAGCTGGATTCTTCCCCCCGTGGGTCCCTTCAACTGTGACAGCGGGAAACTCACCACGCACCAGGCACTGGGCTGGGCACGTTATGAGGTCAGTTCATCCACGTTTCCAGCAGTTCCTGTCCCAACTGCCTAGTATGAAACCTTGGTGCTGGATGGTTCAGGCTTTAAGTGTTTCAGATGTCGGAAGGCACGTGCACTGTGCATTATGTATGTGTCTCATGTTATCAAACATGATGAACGGATTGTGGAGATGATGATCCCAAGAGGGTAAATAGTCCACAGATGGCCTCATGCAAGGTCGGGGCATGGCACCAACCCAGGTTTCCACAAACTTACCAAAACACCTCCCATTTTTCAGGGTCTTCTGGATTTTAAGTGGGGACTGTGTTCTTCTTTTTTCCATTTCACAGATGAGGAAACAGAGACACCAAGAAGGGAAGTAACTTGCTTGGCAAGTGGGTGGTGAAGGCAGGGCTTAAACAAGGCTGAGGGGCTCCCGTGACTTTTCTGCCTGTGTGCCTTGTCCCAAACACCACACAGACCAGGACCTCCAGCACCTGCCTCTCCCTGAAGCCAGAGGTGCTGACTCAAGTGCACACCTGCTCAGTTCAAGTGTTTGTCAAATTCAGGGTCTCCCACCTCTGCAGAGGAGTGGGCATTGTTGGGAGATCCTTCTGAGGTTCCTGGTCAGTCTTGCCCCCTTTCCTCTGTGGTGATGATTTCAAGCCTTTAAGTCTCCACCACCTGTGATAGATTGATTGTGAAAATATCCCATTCTTCACCCCTCCAGGCATCCCTGTGTCCATGCCCTTGCCCCCGGCCCCCTTGAGTCTGTCTCAGCCAATAAAATGTGGCGGAATTGAAGACATGCCAGCTCTGAGCTCAGCCCCAGGAGTCCTTGCAACCTCGGCTCTACTGGCCCTTGCCTATGGGGACAAGGCTGGGCTAAGCTGCCAGCTCCTGAGAGACCGCATGGAACAGAGATAGATGGGACCAGCCAGTCCAGGTCCGAGTCACCAGACAATGCCACGAACAGGCCTGGTGCATTCATAGACTTGTGAAAGATAAGAAACTGGAGGTTTTAAGCCACTTTTGTGTATGTGTGAGCCAGGGTCTTGCTGTCACCCAGGCTGGATTGCAGTGGCGTTCCTCCTACTTCAGCCTCCTGAATAGCTGAGACTGCAGGTGTGCACCACCATGTCTGGCTAATTTTTGTATTATTTCTGGAGACGGGGTTCAGCTATGTTGCCCAGACTGGCTTCAAACTCCTGGGTTCAAGTGATCAGACCACCTTGGCTTCCCAAAGTGCTGGGATTACAGGCATGAGTGCCTGGGATGGTTTTCTTTTCTTTTCTTTTCTTTTCTTTTCTTTTCTTTTCTTTTCTTTTCTTTTCTTTTCTTTTCTTTTCTTTCTTTCTTTCTTTTCTTTTCTTTTCATCTTTTCTTTTCTTCCTTTTCTTTTTGAGACAGAGTCTTGCTCTGTCAGCCAGCCTGGAGTGCAGTGGCATGATCTCGGCTCACTGCAACCTCCGTCTCCCAGGCTCAAGCAATTCTCCTGCCTCAGCCTCCGGAGTAGCTGGGATTACAGGCACCTGCCACCATGCCCCGATAATTTTTGTATTTTTATTAGAGATGGGGTTTCACCACTTTGGCCAGGCTGGTCTGAAACTCCTGACCTCAGGTGATCCACCTGCCTTGGCCTCCCAAATTGTCGGGATTACAGGCATGAGCCACCACGCCCGGCCACTGGGATGGTTTACACTGCAATCGCTAATTGCTTCCCCTTAGGGAGGAAGATGGAGCCTCCTCCTGCCTGAAGCCGTTTCCTCCCCGGAGCTCTAGGGTCCACTCTCTCCAGCCTCCCTGGCCTCTTCCTCCAGTGCTTTAGCTTCCTGGGCTGCTGTAACAAAGTCCCACAGAGCGAGCAGCTTAAACTGCAGGAGTGCATTGTCTCACAGCTCTGGAGGTCAGAAATCTGAGATCAAGGTGTCGGCAGGGTTGGTTCCTTCTGAGGCTGTGAGGGAGAACCTGTTCAGGCCACCCCCAAGCTTCTGGTAGTTTGCAGCCATCACTGGTGTTCCTTGGCTTGTAGAAGCATCACCCCCAACCTCTGCCTTTATCTTTAGGAAGGATTCTCCAGTGTGCATGTCTCTGTGTCTAAATTCCCCCCTTTTCTTTTTTCTTTTTTTTTTTCGAGATGGAGTTTTCACTCTTACTGCCCAGGCTGGAGTGCAGTGACACGATCTCAGCTCCCTGCAACCTTCGCCTCCTGGGTTCAAGTGATTCTCCTGCCTCAGCCTCCTGAGTAGCTGGGATTACAGGTGCCTGCTACCATGCCCAGCTAATTTTTTGTATTTTTAGTAGAGACTAGGTTTAATCATGTTGGCCAGGCTGGTTCAAACTCCTGACCTCAGGTGATCTGCCTGCCTCGGCCTCCCAAAGTGCTGGGTTAGAAGCATGAGCCATTGTGCCTGGCAATTTCCCCTTTTTCTAAGTACTCTAGTCATATTGGATTAGTGCCCACCCTACATCAGTGTGACATCATCTTAACTAATTACTTCTATAGGATAGCTCTATTTACAAATAAGGTCATACTCTCAGATCCTGGGGGTTAGGACTTCAATACACAAATTTGGGGGGACACAAACCAGCCCATCACACCCAGTGAGCATTACTTCACTCCTCCATGGCAGTGAAGTGTGTGGTTAGGGACGAGGACTTTGAGGTTAGGCTTAATAGGAGACCTCTTGACTCCCTCTGTGCACACAGCTCAGTCCTAGAGCACTGAGCCCTATCTGTGAAATGAGGGTGCAGTTAGGAACTGCATTGCTGGGCTGTTGCCAGCTCTTAGATTTGAGCATGGCATGCAGTAAATGCTCAGTAAAGCATAGCTCTGCATGTTTTAAATCATCACTCTGCTGCCCTTATCTTCAGCCTCTCCCTTCTCTATTGACCACTTTCTGGTCAGCTCTTAAACATGAGCAAGTCACAACCATTTGTAAAATACATCCTGCTGCAACCTTAGAGTGCCCTCCCGCTAGTCAGCTGTGTCTTGGCCCTGTGGCATACTGACTTAGGTGGCTCTCAATGAGCCATGCTTCCCGTGCTGACTCTGGGCTTGGCCATGTGAGTAGCCTGGTCCATGGGCAAACATGATGCAAACAGAAGCTTAATACACACTAGCACCCTGGACTTGTCCTTTGGGAGTGCTGGGTCTTGACACTTAGCAACCATGCCATAAGGAAGCCCAAGCAGCCACATGGAGAGAACCTGGGGCTGAGAACCAAGATACTCCTAGCCAATGGCCCAGACCAACTGCCAGCTGTACGCACAAGGCCATCTTAGCACTCCCAGCCACCCCAGAGCCCCAGCAAAGCCCAAGTAGGAGTCACCAGAAAAATAAATTGTTATTTTAATTGTTATTTTGGCATGCTTTGTTACCCAGCCGTAGAGAACCAGCACACATCATTCACAGCTAAGCTTCTTAAGGAGTTGCCCTCCCCAGCTGTCTCAGGTCCTCTTCCTCTCGCACCCTCTGCACCCTAAATCTGGCTTTGTCCACTAACATTGCTCTCACTAAGTCACTGTGATGGGCTGAATTATGTCCCCAAGATTCATATGTACTGGGAGTTCAAGCTCGAACCCCCAGTACCTCAGAACGTGACTGCATTTGGAGGTAGGGCCTTTAAAGAGGTGATTTAGGTAAAATGAAGCCCTTAGGGTGGGCCCTGATTCAGTACTGCTGTGCACGTAAGAAGAGGAGATGAGGACACAGGCCCACACAAAGGGATGACCATGTGAAGGCACAGGGAGAAGATTCCACCTGCAAGCCAAGGAGAGGCCCCAGGAGAAACCAACCCTGCTGATACCTGGACCTCAGACTTCCAGCCTCCAGAATGGTGAGGAAACAAATGTGGTCGTTTAAGCCCCCAGTCCGTGGTGCTTCATGATGGCAGCTGGAGCTGGCTGATCCAGCCACCAGTGATCTTCACGTCAGCAAACCCAGAACTTGCAGTACCCATGGGCAGTGTGCAGCAGTGGTCCGCGCAGGCTCTGGCTCTAGACCACCTGGTTTAGATCCTGCTGCTGCTGCTTCCGAGCTCTCAAACATAAGGCAGGATTCTTTCACCTCTATGTGCCTTAGTTTCCCTCCCTGTAAGATGAGGCCAGTGATACAACTACCTCCCAGGGTTGTAGTGAGGAGTTAACAAGTGAACACACCTGATACCTTACCTAGATGGTGGCTGTCACCTCTTGACTATCCACAGCAGCTGGCCTCCCTCTCCTCCTGAAATACAGCTCCCTGATTCCCAACCCCTGCTTGTCCAGTGTCCTCTGTTTTCTTTTTAGGACCTTGAGGCTTCAGGCCAGGGCTCCCTAGGGGTCAGCCTTCTGCCCTGCTGCTCTCACTCTAAACCACCCCCATGCCAGTAACTCCCAAATGTGGACTCCTGACCCAGGCCTCGCCGTGATTTTAGCCCGTAGAGCCAGTTTCTTCCTTGAGGCCCCCTAGATGTCTGACGAGTCCCTCAAACTCACCATGTCTGAAGCCAGACTCCAAACCTTCCCCTGAACTCCTGCTCCCCAGCTCCCTACTGTAGCAAATGGCATCACCACCCTGAGTCTCAATGGATCATCATCTGTCCCTCTGCCTTCTCTGAGTCCTGTCCTGTCTATGGAGCTTGCCGCCTCCCCGTGGGTTTCCCCGTGGCTCTGCTTTTCTCCTTCAGTTGCTGTTGGCAGAATCTCCCTGAAGCTCAGATCTGATCTTGTGCACTGATTAGTCTTAAAAACCTTCAAGGGTATTCTATTTGACCCAGCAATCCCATTACTGGGTATATACCCAAAGGATTATAAATCATTCTACTATAAAGACACATGCACATGCATGTTTATTCTAGCACTATTTACAATAGCAAAGACTTGGAACCAACCCAAATGCCCATCAATGATAGACTGGATAAGGAAAATGTGGCACATATACACCATGGAATACTATGCAGCCATAAAAAAGAATGAGTTCATGTCCTTTGCAGGGACATGGATGAAGCTGGAAACCATCATTCTCAGCAAAGTAACACAGGAACAGAAAAGCAGACATTGCATCTTCTCACTCATAAGTGGGAGTTGAACAGTGAGAACACATGGACACAGGGAGGGGAACATCACACACCGGGGCCTGTCGGGGTTGGGGGGCAAGGGGAGGGAGAGCATTAGGACAAATACCTAATGCATGCAGGGCTTAAAACCAAGATGACAAGTTGATGGGTGCAGCAAACCACCATGGCACATGTATACCTATGTGACAAACCTGCACATTCTGCACCATGTATCCCAGAACTTAAAGTAATATAAAAAGCAAAACAAAACAAAACAAAAAATCCTTCAAGGGCTCCCAGGGGCTTTAAGCCTCAGCCACATTCTCCACACAACAGACTCTCTGTACTCAGCCCCAAGTAGACACACTCTCCTGCCCCAGGGCCTTTGCACAGGCCACTCCATTTGCCTGGAAGTCTCTCCCCACTTCCCTTCCTTGGTTAATTACTCTTTTTTTTTTTTTCCAGACAGGGTCTTGCTCTGTTGCCCAGGCTACAGTGCAGTGGTGCGATCACGGCTTACTGTAGCTTCAACCTCCTGGGCTCAAGTGATCCTCCCACCTCAGCCCCTTGAGTAGCTAGGACTACAGTTGTACACCATAACACCTGGCTATTTTTTGTATTTTTAGTAGAGATGGGGTTTCACCATATTGCCCAGGCTGGTCTTGAACTCCTGGACTCAAGTGATTCACTTGCCTTGGCCTCCCAAAGTGCTGGGATTACAGGTGTGAACCACTGTGCCTAGCAGTTAATTCCTGTTTATCCTTCCACACTCTACTTGAAGATCATTCTCTGCAGAGCCTTCCTCAACAGACCCATCAGGGCCTGTCATTCATGGACATGGCTGTCCCCGTGTCTCTGCTGGGACACCTGCGTGTCATCACTGTCATGAACAGAGTCATGATCTGAGTGGGCTGGTGGCTCTTCCTTCACACACAGTGTGGTGGCTGTGTGAGCAGTCACGCTTTTATCTTGTCTATGGCTGTATCCTGAGTCTAGCACAGTGCCTGACAAAGAGCAGGTGGTCAGAAAGGACCTGTGGGAGGCTGTTGAAGGAGTAAGGCTTCAGGTGACAAGGACTGAGCAGAAAGGGCAGGGCTGGGGCGGGAAGAGAGGGACACTTGCCCAGCGCTGGGGTGTCATGGAGGAGGGCGATGGTCGGAGGGACTGTCCCTGTTGCTTTCTCCTGAATCTCTCCCTCTTACTCCCTGTCCCCTCTCCCCCGTCCCCCTCTTCCAGAGCCCTGGTAGGAGACCGAGAGTTTCCACTGCGGACTTGAAGCATCCGAACCCTCCCCCTACACCAATGGCTTTGGTAATTGTTCTCACAACCATGTCAGTATCGAACAAACAGATGTTTATAGTTAATCCCTAATTTTGCCATCAAAAAATATACAATCTTGGGTAGAAACTGAAGAGGAAAGAATTTTTTAATTTACAGTGTCTCCCCACTGCCCCACTCCTGAAATTTGAAATTGCTGAACGGCCTCCAAATTCAATATTCCAAGTCAAACAAATGTATGTGTTCTCCAAAAGGAAGTATTGGGTATCTGACCAAGATGGAGCGGGATAGGAAAATCAGAAGAGGGAAAAGCTGCCCGCCCAGCTGGGTCCAGCATGCAAGCTACTTCCAAGAACGCCTCTTTTCCGGTGTTTGTTCGTTCTTTCTTCTGTTCATTTTTTTAATGAAAGAAATGCCTCTGTGTGTTGGCCTTCCTCAGAGGAGCTCTCAGGCAGCGGTCAGAGAAAGCAGACCCTGCCTTTTTGCCCTCTTAATGCCCACCCTCTGCTGGTGGGGGTGAGGCCTGGGTGCTGGCTTTGGTGTGGTGCAGCCTGTGCCCTTCCTGGGGAAAGGACCCATGGGACATTCATGACAAGTGCTGTGGTGAGGAGCCTGATTTCAGTGGGAGGTCAAGGAAGGCTTTGTGGAGGAGGAGACACTAGATCTGGGCCTTGAAGGTGAAGCAGGAGGTCACCTGGTAGGGAGGCCCGGAGAGCTAGGATTGTAGAAGCCATGCCCGCAGGAGTAAGGGGCAGCCATGGGGAAAGGCCTGAAGTGCCTGGGGCTCGGCTGTGACTGTGTGAGCCCTAGGAGGCTTTCAGGCAAATGGTGGGGCACGGAGGGCAGGCACAAAGGGTGGACCGCATCTGGGAGTGTGCTGAATGAGTGCGCTAGACCACCAGCTCAGGTGTCGGCCCTCCTGGAGCCTGCCCCATGTGCTCAGCTGCAACTTGCCCCGCCCTCCCCCTACTCCACCATGAGGTAAGCGGCCCCGTGTGACCCTTCTCCAGTCTCCTAGAAGGCCTGGGCCAGACTCCATATCAGTAACTGAACATGGAAGGCCACGATCTAGATTCCTTCCATGCCACTCTTCCTCCTGCTTCAGTGGCTCTCCACCACCTGCTCCTGCTCAGCCATCCTGCCCGGCATCTGGCCAGGCTTTTGCTGGGCTGCCTGGTTCCTTAGCCATAGCCTCTGACCCTAGACTTCTGGGGCCTACTTTCTTGTCAGAGATCCGGGATGGCAGGGTTTGTCCTCACAGTCAGTCTTGGAGAAGCTGGGGTGGCCTCTGATTTACAGATGGGGAAGTTGAAATTAAATGACCTGCCATGTTAACAAAGACCCTGTTGGTTACCAGTGACAGAAGCCAACCCCAACTGGTTTAAACATAGAAGGGGACTTCTTGGCTTGCATAACTGAAGGGCCCAGGAACTCAGGCAGCTCCAGGGAAGGGAACAGGTCTTCAGCTGGGCACTGCCCCTTCCCCTGTGGTGGCCCAGGCCTGGTAGGAGCCCTCTCAGCCTGTCAGCAGCCTTAAGTGAAAGCCTCTTTTTCCAAGAGTCCGAGAAAAGGCCTAGGAGGAGCTCTGACTGGAGCTTGTGGTCACTGCTGTAACAGTCACAGTGGCGGGCAGGTCGGTGCTGGGCCTGCTGGGACAGACCTGGGCATCCCAGGGCCTGGATAGTCCCTTGTAAACCACATAGGCTGAGGCTGGGGGCGTTCTCAATGACAATTGGTGGCTGCACCTGAAGGAGAGGTGCCAGCAGGTGTCCATAACAGTTACTCACAGCAGTAGGGCCAGGATTTGAACCCGAGCTCCAGGTGGAGCGTAACTGTGTTTATATGAATATAAATTTGTTTAACACATCTTTTTGTTGTTTGTTTTTTTTGAGACAGAGTCTCACTCTGCTGCCCAGGCGGAATACAGTGGTGCAATCTTGGCTCCCTGCAAACTCCACCTCCCAGTTCAAGCGATTTTTGTGCCTCAGGCTCCTGAGTAGCTGGGATTACAGGTGTGTGCCACCATATCCTGCTAATTTTTGTATTTTTAGTAGAGATGGGGTTGCACCATGGTGGCCAGGCTCGTCTTGAACTCCTGACCTCGTGATCTGCCCGCCTTGGCCTCTCAAAGTGCTGGGATTACAGGCATGAGCCACTGCACCCTGTCTGTTTAACACATCTTTTTTGAGCATTGTGACAAGGGCTAAACAGTTATACCTGGATTGCAGCACTTGCCATTCAGGGACATTCTTACGCAGCGGAAGCACCTGGTTTGTAAGCCTGCCCTGTGCTGAGTGCTGTTTCCCATGATGGGGTCTCATACCAGTTATTACTGCCACCACCCTCTTGGCCCTCCAGGGCCCTCCCCTATTAATGTTCCATGTTCAGACATACAAGCTTCTCTGTCAAGGTGTGGCCCAGTTTAGAAAAGGACAGAACATTTAAACAAGGCCTTAAGAAAGGCTGGAGCAGCACTAGCCAGTGGAAGTTTCTCCAGTGATGAAATGTGGCTGGTGCCACAGAGCTGCCTCCTGTGACTCTGACCTGCATCCAGCACTGCCCATATCAGCGGAGGAGTCTGCGCCGGCTGGCTGTGGCACTGCAGGGATGTGTGAGCCAGGCATTAACACAGTCGTTATGAAAAGTCAATTATATAAATGTACAATTAAATGAATTATATATGCTGTTTTAGAACCAAGGGTGGCTGTGCTGCTGTTATCCGTGCTCTGCAAGTCCTGCTGCGTGTGCACCTGCATGGGAGGTACGGCGTGACGGCTGCCCCTGGCCTCTCTTCCCAAAACCGTGCTCAGTGACTGCATGTTAGTAGTTTAAAACCGGCCACAAATGTCGTGGAGAGCTGTAAATACTACAAATCAAGGCTCAATTTATTGTTTGATAGGTTGTCTAAATGAAGGGTCTGCAAACTTTGCCACAAGAGGTCATATTCTAGGCTTTGCCGGCTACTTATGGTGGCTGCTGCACCTGCTGTCACCCTCTCCCCTCCCTCTTCCTTCTTCTCTGTCTTCTTTCCTCTTCTGCTAAGGCTCTTTGCAAATGTTAATACTATTCTTAACTCGCAGGCCATAGGCTAGATTCGGCCTGAGAGCCTTTGTTGACAAACCTATGGTCTGAATGGAAGAAAATGATGGGGAAGATGTTGGTAATGCAGATTCAGGTTAAAAGTGCCCTGGATCTGAAGCCATTGCATTGTGACTAGCACAGGAACAGAGGCAATGTCCTTCCAGCATTTGATTCGGCAAAGAAGCCATCCGGGTCATCAATGGCAAGTGAAATTTTAACACTGACCTTTGTAGTTCTTTCTTACTGCTCATTTATAGATCTCTGATGCAACCCTGGTGCACAGGTGGTGCACCGTTGGCTGGCCTCCTCCTGTCACCCCTGCCACTTGCTGTGCATGGGGGCCCTCTGTCACTTGCTCATCAGGAGCAGAGGGGGAACCTGAGGCTCAGATTGCTCTGGGTCACAGGGGTTGATGTGTGGGTAGGGGCCTGACACTGTCAATATGCCCAAGCCCATCGCTGCCAACCACAGCTTCCCATCTCAGCTACCACAGGCCGGACATCAGGTACAGGCTCTTGGTTTGCCGCGTTTCTAAGGTTGCAGCAATAGCAGTCGGAGTGTGGGACCTGAGATTGACCATCAACCTCCATGCCGGGCTTGGGTGCTCAGGGGGCTCCATGTTGCCCTTCAGTGGGGACATGGTCAGAGTCCTATCCAGGAGGACCACTGCTGCAGAGAGATGCTGGAGGTGGTGAGGGCAGAGGAAGGTGATATGAGAGCTTGTACTGAAGTCCGGGAGAGAGGTCGAGGCCTCAGCGGGGCACAGCGATGGTGAAGAAAAGGTGGCTTAGAGCACGAAGAGGAAGGTCCGGTGGGGGTGCTGTGTGTCCCTGAGCTGACAGGAGTAGTCAGGTTGGGCCCCTCCATCCTCCCACGTGGGCTCTGCCCTTGTTGGGCTCCCTGAGAGGCTGCCGGGGCTGGGTGGGCACATCTGGGTGGCATGTGGGGGAAATCCCTGCACTGGGCGGGAATTAGAAGCTCCTAAAGTCCTCTCGTTGGCACCCTCCCAGTGTACGGCACATGGCTCGGGGCTCAGGGATGGGGACCTGGAGGCATAAGGCACCGTCCATCTGTACCCCAGGCTCCCACACAGGCCGGGGCAATACATAGGGGCCAGCATGGTTGTCCCAGTCTAGTCCAAGTCTCTCAAACACAGAGATTAATCAAGTGCCATCCTAAGGCCTGTGGAGAAACTGCTAGCTCTCTATTGAAGTCTCTTCTCTCAGGGGACAGACGCAGGGTCCATGCACTGGGTGTGGTTTTGTGTTAAGACAAAATGATGGGGTCATGGCTTGGCCTGGCCAAGTCTCTCGGGTCCACCCCCTTCCTGCTGGCGGAGTCCTAGTGGTGCTGATGCAACTTGGAAACGCAGAGGACTATGAGCCCAGGATAGGCGAGCCCCTTGGCCAAAACAGCGCAGGCCCCTGGGTGTGGAGCAGAGTAGCAGGAGTGTGGGGACAGATGCCCCCAGCTCTCCAGTTCCCCAGCAGGAAACTGAGGTTCAGAGAGGGGAGAGTCAGGCACAGCCAGAACCCAGACCTGAAGTTGCTCCAGCATTGCCCGCTGCTCCCCAGAATCCTTGCACATGGACAGCTCCTGTCCACCCATGTGCCTCCAGGCCATGGAGGTGTCCGCCAGACCCTCAGACTCCAGTACCTGGGAAGGAGGGGTGGGGAAAGGAGTGGTTCTGGGAAAAGTGGGGGCTGAAGGAGTCTGAGGTGGGTACACAGGTTCAGAGAAGCAGAGCTAGGGGATCAGAAAGAGGGCAAGACCTGGATATGCGGAGACAGAGAGGCAGAGACTGAGAAAATGGAGAGAGACAGGGAAGGAGAGATGGAGGCAGAGAGAGAAAAAGGGGCCTAGAGGGAGAGAGGCTGAAAGAAAGAGAAAGAGAAAAGGACAAAAAGAGACAGAAAGGCGAGGCTCCTGAAGATGAGGGGCCTGCATGCAGGGGGAGTGTCTGGCCTGGAGGGGGCTTGGAAGAGGACAGCTGGGGGTGCGGGAGCAGCAGCCATCAGCCCAGCCGGGCCTCCGCTCTCCTGAGCCACCCTCCTCCTCCTCGTGGGCCTGGGGGCCGTGACTGGCCCAGGCAATCTGATATCCACCAAGACCCTCCCCAGTCAAGGACGTGGGAGGCGCTGCCCTGTCTCCAGTACTGCTGTCACCTCGTCAGCCCCAGACCTCCATCCCGACACCCTCAACGTCCCATCACCCAGCACCTTCTTCACTCCTGACCCCCAGAATCTGTTCCCCCAGCATCCCCTCACCCCATCACCCGTCACCGTGTCCCCATCATGTCCTGGGGCAGGGGGCTGGCAAGAGGCGGCATGGCCAGACCTTGCCGCACATGTACCGGATGAGCTTAATTACTGCGAAACCTAATTCTTCAAGGCTGCGTGCACCGGTCAGTGGGGACTTGTGCGTGTTTTCCTTGGCTGTCTTCTGACAACAGGATTAGGGGAAGAGAAAAGTAATTGGGGCGGGAGTGCTGCAGCCCAGGAGGGGCCCTGCCTGCTGCACCATTCAGCAAACCCCACCAGCACTTCTGGGTGCCAGCCTTGGCTGGACACTGGGCCCGGACTGGGTCTTGGCCTCGAAAAGACTGATGTCGGAGCTGGATCGTTCTCCCGGGTGGGGGTGGTCCTGTACACTTCAGGGTGCTGAGTGGCATCCCTGGCCTCCACTCTCCAGATGCCAAGAGCACCCCCTAAGTCATAACAACCAAAAATGTCTCCAGATGTTGTAAAGGGGACCCAAACTTGCCCCCGTTTGAGAAATGCTGGTAAGAGACACCTCAACTCTGCTTGGAGGGGGTTGGGGGACACAGACACTGCACAGACTCAAGGGAGATTGGTGAGTGCCAAGGGACGGAGGGGGTGCCCACAGTAGAAAGGGTGTATTTCCACTTGGGTTGGGGAGGTGCTATTTGAAGGCTGAGTTGAAATTAGCCAGCTTGGCAGGGCGCAGTGGCTCATGCCTGTAATCCCAGCACTTTGGGAGGCTAAGGCAGGCAGATCACCTGAGGTTGGGAGTTCGAGACCAGCCTGACCAACGTGGAGAAACCCCGTCTCTACTAAAAATACAAAATTAGCCGGGTGTGGTGGCACCCGCCTGTAATCTCAGCTACTTGGGAGGCTGAGGTAGGAGAATCGCTTGAACCTGGGAGGCGGAGGTTGCGGTGAGCCAAGATTGTGCCATTGCACTCCAGCCTGGGTGACAAGAGCAAAACTCCATCTCAAAAAAAAAAAAAAAAAAAAAAGGCAACTGGCCAGGTGGGAGAGGGCGGCAGAGGCATTGCAAAGGCCGCCTGGCCAAGTTGGGAGGTGGAGGCAGCCCTTGCTGGGCAGAGAGCTGGGGAGGGGACAGAAGGGGCACATGAGGCAGAGGTGAGAAGGCCACGCCCAAATCTGGGAGGGCAGGTGATGTCTGTGGACCAGGGTCTCCATGGTGGGGTGTGTACAGCCCAGGGGTCAGGTTAGGGGTGGTGGCAACAACAAATATTGCATTTTAAAATCTAGAGGCATGGGAAAGAAACTGGGCATGACTACTGTTAAACTCTGAAATGCGGCTGCGCCCTGTCTCTGGCACCTTCTTGCAGGTCCTCATAGGGAACTTTGTGGGTAACATTATCCAGTTTTAACAGAACCAACGTGACCCAAGATGGGCAGCTGCCTTAAGTCAGGCCAGGGCCTATTGAGACAGCATCAATGACACAAGCCCTGGAGATAGTAACGTTTCGGTGGGAGCCAGGCTCCCTTGGGGGTCCATGCAAGTTAGCTCAGTGTCCACAGAGCAGCCCTGGGTGGTAAGAATGATTGTTAGCATCCCTTTTCCAGGTGGTGAAACTGAGGCACAGAGTGGTGAAGCAACTCTCCCAAGGTCTCACAGATCCTAGAGGCCACCCTGGCTGTGAGGACATCTGCATCAGAGCCCCAAGCTCACCGAGTCCTCCATTCAGATAGGGCTTCACGCTGAGCACCAGGCTGCCTAAACTTTTGCTGCACATCCAGATATTATCGAGTGGGAGCAGGATGGGCAGATCTTTTCCAGATAAGTAAACCTACCCATTGGGTGGGGGTCCCGAAATTCCTTTCCTGGGGTGGTTTCGGCAAAAAGAATTTGGAGTTGAGCGCCCTAGGTGATGAGGGAGGGTGTCCATCATCAGAGCACAGGTCTCATTTGGGCGTGAGAAAGGCGGTGGGGGTGAGTTGAGAGGAGAGGATTTGATCTCAGTGAGGAGTGCCTAGGGTACAGACTGCATGGGGATGGGGGATGGAGTCCACACAGAGGCTTCTGGAAGTGAAGGAGAGGTGGTGGCAGGAAGCCCAGGCCCTGGAGCACAAGATGTCACCTGTCTCAGCACCAACGGTCATTGAGGGGAGGAGGCGGGTGGCCGAGGAGTCGTGGTCGGCTCTCAGCCATGGAACTCCCCCTGTGAAAGACCCAGGCGCAGGCTTCCCAGGGCTCAGGTTGCTGCTAGTTGAAGCCTCTTCCTGGGAATCCACCCCTCCCAGGTCTTGATTTTCATGCCTGGTAAAAGCTGTTGGCTCCTTCGGCAAGTCAGGGGCGGGAGTGGGGGTGGTGGGGCAGAAGGTTAGGGAGTAGATGGTGTCCTGACTCCAGGCCAGTGCCTCCCTCCACTGTCCTTTCCACGGAGCTGGGCAATGCACCAGGATGTGACTGGGCCTCGGGTGGATGGTCCGGGGAGCAGGGGCTTCTGGTGCTTTGTAGCACATCCCAGAACTTCTCCCAGAACTGCCGCCAGATGCAACATGTCCCTAGCTCCTGGGGCACTCAGTAGGAAGCCTCACAGGTGTGCCAGCCCTCTGGCTTCTACCCTCTGCCTTCAGTGAGCTTTTGTCTGTTTGCTGGGGGCTCAGGGAAATCACAGCACATACACACACACTCACACTCACACACACACTCACATGCATGCACTCACACTACATTCTCATATGTACACACACTCACATGCACACATTCATACCACATTCTCACATGTACACACACACTCACATGCACACACACACTCACATGCACACACTTGCTCACACACACATGCACACCCCCACACTACATCCTCACATGTACACACACAAACACACAGGTCCACACACACGTTCTCACATGCACAAGCACTCACACACCTGCACACACAAATTCACGTCCTTCAGCACTTTCGGAGTGCGGAGGCCATCACGTGGTGGAGGACAGCATTTGGAGTCATGTGACCTGAGGCCAGTGTCTGCTCACCTTTGTCCCAGTTTAGATCCCAGGCCCTTTGAGACTCGATTTTCTCATCTCATTGAAGGCATCGGAAATCCAAGTCCAAGGCTGAAGTGTGTAGCTGACAAATCCAGGATAGGTCTGCCTTCAGGCACAGCTGGATCCAGTGGCTCCAGTGTGCCCCTCTCTGCCAGCTTTATTCTCAGATGGTCTCTCCCCTTGCAAAGTCAGAGCTGGCATGGGCACCTAGGGAAGACTTGTGTCCTCTCAGTGGTCAGAGGAAGGGGCATGACCTCTTTCCCACCGACGCCAGCCGAGGCTCTGAGTGAGCTCTGATTGGGTGAACTTTGTCTTGTGCATTCGTGGCCTATCATGGTGCTAGGCGGGCTAATGCATCAGGACCCCTGCACTAGGACAGGGTCTGATCCATTGGAACCATACAGATGCAGAAGGGGGGCAGGTGCCTGTGTGAAATTGGGGAGCTAGTCCTGGAACAGGAGGAAAGACACCATAAAGCCATGCCATGGGGACACCGAGTGGGGAGTCAGTAGGAAAATCCCCTACAAAATGCAAAGAGCTGGCCTCTGGGATTGTGTTGTAGGGTGGTGGCCAGGAATAGTCCCCTGGGTGCACCCCTGTATCTCTGGTTTGTGGTCCCACCCCACGTGGCAGGCACTCCACAAAGCAGCTGGGAAGGCTGATCTCCAAGTGCAGGCAGGCACCCCATCCTGCAGAGGAGGTAACTGAGGCCTCGTCCAGGTTCACTCAGCTGGGAAGTGAGAGTGACGGGGGTCATGGTGGGACCTTGGGCATAGGAATGCCAGGACCCCAGTTGGAGATGGAGGAGGTCACAGCAGGAGATACAAAGCTGAGTGTTGAGTGCTGAGTGAGGCAGGATGGCCTGGGGTGGAGCTTCTGATGGGGTGGGGCCCTGGAGAGGCCTGGAATGAGGTGGGGCCTATGGCAGGGCTGGGGTAGGGTGTGGGAGGGCATCTTGTAGCGTGGTAGGGCCTGTGGTGAGGCACAGTGAGGTTGGGGAGGTCTTGTTGTGGGGGATTGGATCCGGGCCTGGGTGCAGGGACTTTAAAGTGCTGGAGTACACAGTCACAGTGCCGTGTCCTGTGCCGTGCCACCTGTATTCGAAGACCATTGTTTCCTTCTTTCCTTCCTTCCTTCCTTCCTTCCTTCCTTCCTTCCATCCATCCTTCCTTCCTTCCTTCTTTCATGCAAACATCCTCCATGGGCCAGGACCAGAGGCAGAACTGGTCCAGGAGAGGGAGACCCAGCTGCAGCTTCCCCAGGAGCTCTGGCACCTCTTTCCTGCAAGTCTCTTCCTGGAATGAGACCCGCCTGCTGGTGGACTCTCTGACCTGGAGCTGGCAGCCTGTGCCCTGGCTGCACCTCTCACACTGTGAGCTGTGGGCAGGGCTTTCTGCTGCCACGTCCCTTGCTGCCTCTCCACTTAATTGAGCGAATGCGCTTCTCTTTATTTTTGGTTTGCATTTGGTTTCTGCCACTTGTCACCAAGATATCATCACTGTGCACCCAGTTCTATGGCTCCCACGCCCTCTTGGCCTGAGTATCCTCTCTGGAACCTGGGCTCCTGACACCTTAAAGTAGAGCTCGACGACACTATGGGCCTGGGTCCATCCTTGGAGTCTCTAGGCTGAAAGAGCATGGATCTGGACTACAGACCAGAGGGGCCCTGTAGCAGCTCGTCCGCAGGTGGGTCACCTCGGCTCTGCCCTCTGGTCTTGAGATGACTGTTTCCTGCTGGTTTTGGTCTCATCTCTGAACCACCTCCCTCCATCCCTGGGACAGGAGCTGTTTACTGAATACTGCCAATGCCCAATGATGGTTTGTTAATGTCCTTTACAAAATGTAGAGCAAGAAACAGAGGACATTTCTTGAGATGGAGGAGGATAGCAGTTCTCTCCAGCTAGAGTGTAAGTGCCACCCCTCTCAGCTTCTGAGAAAACCTAATTTTCTTTGTGCAGCCTGAGACCGTATCTCTGTTTAGCCGTGAAGTCTTCATTTCAGCTTGTGGTCAACTAAGACCCTTAGGTGATTTCACAGCAGCTCTTGCCATACCATGGATGTGAACCTCATTATGCTGGGAGCTGGGGCTCTGGGGTGGTTTTTCCTTGAATCTTGACACTAGCCAAGGCTTGCCCTTATCTGTGTGTTCCAAAGCTACTTTTGTCTCTAGTGATTTGAGGTGCCTCTCCCACCTCACCTCATTTCATATAGGGCCTGAAATATCACCATCTGTCATGCCTTTGGTTTCTTCCTTGGAGGTCCCTATTAAAAATACAAATGTTCTCTGGGCAGGAGATGGCATGGATTAGGTAGGTTTTTCCAAATTCCAGCCCTGTGGGCACCACCTTCAGGCTTGGCCAGAGCTGTGGGCCTCGGGATCTTATGTATTTAACATTATTCTTGCAGTGGCCCTTGTTCTGACCGATTATACTTTGCGGTGCTCAAAGAAGCCATAGCTACAAAATGATGGACAAGTTATACTTTTCTAAAGTGTGCCCTGGTGACTATTACAATCGGCGTGCTACTTCCCTCCTCTGGCTCATGGTGCTCTGCGTGGGTCCATGGAAGGAGGGCTGAAGCCGAGTCCTTTCATGGCCTCAGCTCCTCATTCCCTGGTATCTGTGTCCTTTGCAATTGCTCCTGGAAGGAGGTTGGATTCCCTACCCTTCACTGCTTGGACAAGTGGGATGCAGCTGTGGTCTAGGGCCTTGATGCTCAGAGTGTGTGTTTGCGCTACTGCTTCCCTCGTATACATCTGATATTGCCCCAGGATGAATGTGCCTCCTTGGGGCACTCACATGGCTGTTGTTCCAGGACCTGAGGCAGTCAGGTTGCTCCATCGAGTTCAGTCTCCATCATCCCATCCTCAGTCAAACCTCAGCTGAATCACAGGCGTGGAGCCAAATCCATGCTTCTGTCGTATTGCTAAATGTGTGCTTGGTGTGCTAAATGTGAGCTGTTGTAGTTGTTTGCTATATAGCATCTTTGCAGCCACAGCTAACCCATGCAATGGCCCGGCAAGATGAGTGCCAGGCTTCCCAAGGGCCTCATCTGGCCACAGGAGCCCTGCAGTGGGAAGACCCAGCATTGCCTGTCTTCCTGTGGGAAGATGGGTAGGGAATGGTAGCACGGGCTGTGGCCACTGATGCTAAATGAGGAAGCCCGCCTGGGACATAGACTCGCTGGAGGTCTTGAGCCTCTCCCTGTCTGGGGTGACCTTCTCACCTGTAGAACAAGGAGGTTGGACTCAGGCTCTGAGTCATTCTGATCTGCTCTTGCTTCATCCCAGCAGCTTCTGGTTCACTGGACTGTGTGTGATGAGCCACCCCGAGGTGGGGCTCACTGTGGTGCCCCCGCAAGACCACACGGCAGCAAGTTGCTCCTGGTGATGGGTTCAGTTATTGCCCCATACTTGAGCTGTCCCTGAATAGTAGCATCTATTGACTTCCATTGAGGGTTCCTGTGTGTCACGCACAGTGCTACAGCCCTTTAGGGAGATTCTATCAATCAACAGCTGAAGCAGCCGAGGCAGGTCTGTTACTCGTCCCGTTGAGCGGATGAACAGACTGAGCCCAGAGAGGTGAGGTGACTGCTGAGCACCAGGGAAGGGGGCCCATATTCAACCCCAGGCCCACCCAATCTCTCACTGGGGAGTTTCTGGTGATGAAGGTCAGGGTGCTCCAGACCCTCAATGGCCCGTATCAGCTTCCTAGGGCTGCATAACCAAGCACCAGACACGTGGTGGCTCAAATTGCAGAAGTTTATCATCCCGCAGTTCTGGAGGCCAGAGGTCCAAGATCAACGTGGCAGCAGGGTTGGTTTCTTCTGAGGTTGTGAAAGAGAATCTGCTGGCTGTTCTAGCTCTGGTGTTTGGCAGCAATCTTTAGCGTTCTGCAGCTTGCAGGGGAATCACCCAATGTCTGCCTCCATCTTTACATGGTGCAGTCCCTGTGTGTGTCTCCAAACTTCCCCCCTGCTTTTTTTTTTTTTTTTTTTTTTTTTTTTTTGAGACAGAGTCTTGCTCTGTTGCCCAGGCTGGAGTGCAGGGGCACGATGTCGGCTCACTGCAAGCTCCGCCTCCTGGGTTCATGCCATTCTCCTGCCTCAGCCTCCCGAGTAGCTGGGACTACAAGCACCCACCACCACACCTGGCTACTGTTTTTTTGTTTGTTTGTTTGTTTTGTTTTTTTTGTATTTTTAGTAGAGACGGGGTTTCACCATGTTAGCTAGGATGGTCTCGATCTCCCGTCCTCGTGATTTGCCCACCTCGGCCTCCCAAAGTGCTGGGATTACAGGCGTGAGTCACCGCACCCGGCCAATTTCCCCCTTTTTATAAGGACACAGTCATGCTGGATTAGGGCCCCTCTACTCCGTTATGACCTCATCTTAACTAATTACCTCTGTAACAACCTGTTTCCAAATAAAGTCACATGGAGAGGTATTTGAGTTAGGGCTTCAACAAGTACATTTAGGGGGGTATAATTCAACCCACATTAGCCCCCCAGCATGGCTATCAGAGCCCTGGTTGGTTGTTGGTGTGTAGGAGCAGTGACTTGGGAGGGTGTGCCCCCTCCTCGAGGAAGCTGGGGCAACCTCTGTGTCTGTGGAGGCCTGAGCTGAGGTGTGGCCCTCAGGGAGAAAGGCAGGGGCGGGGCTGTGTGGGTAAGTCACAGCTTTGCCAGAACAGTGGCAGGACGCTGTTATGCAAATGCTCTCCCACAATGATCCCCACCCCAAACTGCAGAAAACCCTGCCTCTGGGACAGGACGGTGGTGGGGGCTGAGGGAGGAGGAGACCCGTCCGTGAGTGCTTGCCACTTGTACATTTTGAATTGTGAACCATGTAAAAGGATTGCAAAAACAGTTTTTGAAAGTTCTTATTAAAAATAGCTCTAAACTCTGAAAAACAGGACCTACCTGGTAGGCAGGATGAGGAGCCAGTGAGCTGATGGATGGAAACGCCCTCCCCTGCCTGGCCCCAGCAAACGGTGCTGCTATTATTAGCTCCCGGACCGTGCTGGCCTCTGAGGTGGCTCCAGGCTTGGCGGGCTTGGCAGCGCTGGGACACACGAGGTCCTTTTAACCCCCACACCCGGAGGAGCCCAGGGAGCCTGCCCTGGGCCTGGATTCATGAGGATCAGCTCAGGAGAGAAGCTAGATCCGGGGGCCAGGAGGTGGTCAGGCCATCTCAATGCAACAGCCCCAGCCCCATCCTGGCCTGGGCCTCCTGGCTGCCTTCAAACAGGTGGGAAAACCCCCACAGCCTCTCCCTTCTTGCACGAAGCCTTTTCCGCCCCCGCCAGCCCTGCTGCCAGGCCAGGCGGCCCATGGGCCCTGGCAACCTGGTTGGAGCCTCCAGCTGGGCGGATGATGGATGGGGCCACGTCAGCACCCGCCTCAGAGTGGATTTTGTGTGTGTTTGACATTTATTTACTGTCCGTATAAACACTAACACCTATGAAGCATGCTCGCCGTGTGATAGCTTGGCTGAAGGCAGCTCTTAAGTACATAAATTATGTGCACCTCGCTAATGAACGGTTTGACAGGCGGGAAGTTTTATTTACCGCTGGCCCGAGTTTTCGTATAAAACCAGGGCACCGGCAAGCCAGGATTTGTGCACCGTCATAGTCTTGCCTATTCAGAATCCAACTCATTTCTTTCTTCTTTCTAAAAAATTTCTCCTCCTTCTTTTTTTATTTCCCTCTTTAAAAGACTCGACATAAAGCTGAGTTCTGTGTATAACTGTGCTGCCTGGAGCAAGTGTCGGAGGGGGAGCCAGCCCATCTGGCGGCAGGCTCTTCTGACGGGCGAATGCTTGAACAATATGTGGTTTGACAAATTTCAAGGCAGGCTTATGAAAAAATAACAGTGGTGCAGCCGTCTCGGTGAGTGCCCGTCCACCTGTGGGCGCGGGCAGGGGTGCCAGGCCGTGTGAGTCAGGGTACCCGGCGGGGGATTAGGAGGCCCGTGTAAATCACTGTCATCCGGCACGTGTGGGACACATCAACGTCCCAGCTCCTGAGACTTGTTTCCCATCACGGGGTCTGCCCAGGGCCAGGTGCTGCTGGCGATAACTGGCAACCTGTCCCCCGTGACCATATTGGGGTGCACTGCTCTCAGTGGGACGTCTGCTCCTTGGAGTGGAGGGTATGCCCCGAGGCCTGGGCAGGCATCTCCAGGCATCTGTCTTGTCAGCCCTCAGGAGGCCTTGAGACACTCCGGGCAGGGTGGTCCCCTGGCCAGACATTCCTTGAGGACTTAGTCTGTTTATCTGAGAGGGGGTGTAGTGGACCCCTTCACCCTGGCCAAGCTACAATGGTAGAGCTCTCTGTCTGTCCAGCCCTATGGAGCCAGGTGGGGCTGAGGTGCATGGGGAGCTGGCCTCCAGGCAGCCCCTCTCTGCAGGCCCTAGCCGGCCACTTTGGGCCACAGCCCAGGGTTAGCACATGCTGTATGAGGCCTTAAGCCATTTCTATCCCTCTCTGCGCCTTGGTTTCCCCACCCAAAAAGTGGAGGTAGCACTAGCCCCTGCCTCTCAGGGCTGCACTGAGGAGATTCAAGGGCACAGTGTGTGCTGGGGGCAGAGTGAGCCCCTGCCACCCTGTGGCCAGCCTGCGCAGTGTTTCATTTCACCCCCGCAATACCCTGTGTGCAGGGAGGAAAGGGGCTTGGCGAAAGCCTGGAGTTGGCCTTTGTGGGGCCCAATGCCCCTGCCCCTCCCCAGCAACCCTGCCTCTTGGGTCTCCACCGGCCCAGTCAGACCCAGAGTCACTGTGATATCGGCCAGAGGCTTTCTGTGGTGCGGGGGCTCTGTCAGGAGGCAGACAGCAGCCTGCAGTGTGACCTGTGTCTATGGGGCCTTCCAATGGCTTCTGAAGCATGTCGCAGGGGACGGCCCTGGGACTCTGTTTTTATGGGCGGCATCAGCCATTCTGTTCTGAGCATCCTGAGTAGGTTCCCACTTCGAAGATGAGGAGATCCAGATGCCTGCCCAGCCCACCGGCTGCATCTTGGGTTGGGGTGTGAGGGGCCCCCAGAGATGCTGACACTGCTCACATGGTCACGCTACAGCCAGCTCCCCACCTGCATCACAGGAAGCACCCACATGCGGCAGGGCGACAGCCACATACTGGGAGTCAGGGCTGTAAGGAGTTGCCTCTCTCCCATCACCGACCATTCCCCATGGCCTCTGCCCTGGAACTTCCCCGGCTACCCCAGGCAAACCAGCCACCCCACTCCTCCTGGCCTGATCGCAGCCTGGGCACACATCTCTCCCTGCAGGTTACCACGCCCACATCTGAGCCCCCACCAGGGCAGGGACTGTTTCCCTTTTGTCTGTGTCTCTGTGTCTCAGTACACAGAAGGTGCTCATAAGTGTCACAGGAAGGGCAGGAAGCAGGAGGTGCAGAGACCTCCATCCAGCCAGTGCTGGGCCCTCAGGGACTTTGAGGAGCTGGGCAGTTGTCATCCCTGGGCCCTGCTTTTCCCAAGACCACTGCAGCCACCAGGCCCTGTTCCTCTTGGTTCTTCTATGAACCTGGGTGACTGTTCCCCGCTCCTGGAGTTCCAATCTTATTCTCTACCCAGCAGCAGTGATGAAACCCACCGGAGGCCTGCTGTGCCCAAAACAGTTTTGGGAGGCTGTGGGTCCACAGCAAAGGGCAACTGGTGGGTGTGGACATAGGCACTCAGGAATGCCACAATGCCAGGGAGGCCTTCCTGGAGAAGGTGGCATGTTGGTCATAGGAGATCATAGGATATGGCTAGGAGGGGAAACTGCAGCACAAGCAAAGCCTCAGTCCCCAGAATGGCTGTGCTGTGTGGTGGCTTGGGAGCTACATGGTGGCTGAGAACCTGTTGGGGCAGGGGTGGTGCTATCTCCACAGTCCCACCTGGAGACTGTGTGGACCACTCTGAGGCTCAGGAGGGAACAAAAGCTGCCAAGCTCACAGAGCAAGTAAGTGTGAAGCCTGCACTGGCCACCAGGCTGCCCAGCTTTGCATTCCCAGCTACTGGGACACATTCAGAGGCCCACGGAGCAGGGCCACGTGCCGCCAGCTTTATTAAATTCATATTTCCACCTCCATCCCGCACAAATATCTGTATTTACCATCAAGCTCGGCAGTATTTATTTTCTAAAGTAGTTCTGTTTAAACAAGGAGTTTCTCTCTTAAATTCATCGACTCCAATTTCCTGTGGCCCCAGCCCTCCACGGAGCTGACATTAATCATTTGCATGACTGCAGGTTCTGCGGCTGCCGAGGGCCTCCGGCAGGCGGCAGCCATGGCGCTGGGCTTCGCTGCGGCTTCCCCTGACTCTTTCAATTAAAGCTGAGGGAATGGGACACAGTCCCCCCAGAGTGACCAGAGGTGGAGTGTGGCTGGAAGAGGCAGGAGGCAGGACCAGCTCAGCAGCTCCCGGCTCCCACCCTGGCTCAGTCTGTTAGCGCCAGATGACCTCTGCCAGCCTCTTTGCTCAGGCTGCCCATCAGGGGCTGCACTCCAGCTGCTGCCTGCATCCAGCGCTGGCCCCACCATGGGCACTCACTGTGCTTCACTTTGCTCACCCATGACATGGGGACACTATGTGTCCCTGCTGCACCTGATGCACTGAGGTGGCAGGTGCACACAGAGCACCAGCTGCCACTTCAGCAGTTGTCATTCATATTTGGTGCCATTGGCAGGGAGAGCACCCGGTGCAGGGCTAGCCCATAGCAGGTGCTCCGTGAGGTTCCTTCCTGTCTTGTGCATGGTCTCATTTCCTTAGCAAGATGACCGGGCATCCTGGCGCTTTGGGAGGCTGAGTGGGAGGATTGCTTGAGGCAGGAGTTCAAGACCAGTCTGGGCAACATAGTGAGATCCTGTCTCCATTTCTTTATTTCAACAAAAGTCTTTCCCACAGCATAATATACTCTAGCCTCATCCTTGGCCTCTGCATATGTGGGGTAGTGCATACAACTTGGGAGACCCACTACCCTCTTCTGGGGGCTGACCCTCTCCCCCACTTCAGGGCCCTCTGGATTCCTGAAGTGTGAGAGGGCCACCGAGAGAACACCCTGGGCCATGCCACCCACCCACCTACCCCCCTGCCTGCCTTGCTCCAGCCACACACCTCTGCTGCTCCTGTCAGTTTCCTATTGGGCATCTCTGTGCAGTGCTGTGAGCTGTGACAGCCAGGACAGCCTGGTTGACAGCAACAGCAAGAAGGGAATGAACTGGAAGGTTATGGGGAGGCTAGAGTTTTGGATTTTGAGAGACCGTAGGGTCCGCCTCATAAGACCTTGAAGGCAGAGGTGATGGTAATAATGTTAGCAACTGCAACAACATCAGCTAAGGTTCACAGAGCGCTCACTGTGTGCTGGACACCATGCTAAGCACATGCACATACAGTTTCATTGAATCCTCTTTGCAGCCCTGCCAGCAGGTACCATAGCCCATTGTACAGATATGAAAACTGAGGCACAAAGAGGGTGAACAGCTGGCTGGAGGTTGCACAGCTGGTGAGTGGTAGAGTGGGAATTTGGGCCCTTGACCTTGGACCCCAGTCATGATGCTGGGTTTGTTTCTGTAGGCTGCACAGAACCCTCTGTTGGGGACCTTTTAGGAAGGAGTCAGCTCCTGCTGGGACCAGTCCTTGCACCTTTGCACTGTGGAGGGATTTCAGGAGAGGGTGGAGCCTTTGGCTGCATGCCTACCTCTAGACAAGGGGAGGGCAGGCCGCGGAGCAGCAGTCCCAGCTGATTGTCTCCAAGGGAACAGGGAACCTTGGAAAGAAAGCTGGACACATTGGGAGGTTGAGGTGGGAGGACCACTTGAGCCCAGGAGTTTGAGACCAGCCTGGGCAACATAGCAAGACCCCATCTTTATTTTTTGTTTTTTTAAAGAAAGAAAGCTGGGTGCTGTTTCCAGAACAAGGTGTTATGGATTCTGGCCAGCCCAAGATTCCTCTTGTTCACTACAAGGACTGAAAATGTGCAGACATGGCTATTGAGACACCTGGCTCTCAAGCCTGCATTGAAACCCACGGTGTCAGCCTTTTCCTTTCTCTTACATTTTTTTTGTTTGGGGCATGTCTCAGTCCATTGACGCTGCTATAGCAAAATACCTGAGGTTGGGTAGTTTATACACAACAGAAATTTATTTCTTATAGTTCTGGAGGCTGGGAAGTCCAAAATCAACATGCCAGCACTGGTGTCTGGTAAGGGCCTTCTTGCTGTATCCTCACATGGTAGAAGAGTCAGAGGGAGCAAACCCACTCCCCCAGTCTTTTTAGAAGAGCCCTGGTCCCATCCATGAGGGGTCTTCCCTTGTGATTTAGTCACTCTTAAAAGTCCCCACCTCTTTACACTGTCACATTGGCCATTAAGTTTCAGCACGTGAATTTTGTGGCACATATTCACACCACAGCAGGGCAGGGGGCAGCCTTCAAGTGTGTAAGTAAAACCTGCAGGCAATAGCTCTTGAAAAAATTAAAACCTTACAAGTTAAGATTAATGTCCCTGTGGATGCCACCCCCTCCCAAGTCCCTGCCTTACCTCCAGAATTGAACACTTTATCTGTTTGGAACACATCCCTTCAGGCATTAAAAAAAAATGCCTTTATTTACATGCATGTGTGTGTGTGTAGAAAATATGTACTATTGCATTATGGTGCTTAACTCATTTTGTCAAAATTTTCCATAGACAAAATAGTCAAAGAACCCCACGTCCTCACAGCCCAGCCCCACCTGTCACCCGCTCACAGCCAATCTTGGCTCCTCTGAGCCCCTCCCCCAAACCCAGGCATCCCCAACTCCCTGGCAAGTGTCTCAGGGTGTGTCTGCCTCCACGGGCTGGGCTCCCCTTTTCTTAAATAACACCATTCCATCAGCACTCTCACCAAAGTCAGCAAGCGTTCCTTAAGATTATCTAATGCCCATTCAGCCTCCAAATTTCCCTAGTTGTCTCAAAAATGTCTTCTCAGGCTTGGTTTATTTGTCTCAGGATTTGCCGGGCTGTCAAAGGCCTTCGTGGAACCCTGCTCTGGGCCCCACCGTGCCTGCATCTCCAAGGCCCATCCTGCCCAAACACGCAGAGGGCCTCCCGCCTCCTCACGGCCCTGCAGCTTCCTCCTTCACTCAGTCACACCTCTATTGATGGAGACACAGTTAGGTGGGTCTAGGGTTTTGCTACAAAAACAAGGCTGCAATTAACATTCTTCATTCTTTCTGAGCCTCCTGGGTGTTTTTCTAGGGACAATGGCTTGCTGTTGGGCAGCTACTTCCCCTCTCTGAGCCGTGGCTTCCCCCTTGGAGAGGTGCAGAAGGCTGAGATTCTAACAGTATCTGATATTCTAAGAGGAAGACTCCATCATATACCCTGAGGCCATGTTGTTCTGAGCAGAAGGAGGCAATGGTGTTTTGCTGTGGGAGAGACTTCCCACCGTGCTCACTGGTCCTCAAACTCCACAGAAGGGACGCTGGCGTCGGGGAGGAGCATCCTCGGGCCATCTCAGAATCTGCCCGCCACGCTGCCCAGGAGAAGGGCTGATGGGACTCTAGCAGTGAGAGCTGAGTCTGGGGACAGTGAGAGGAGTGGGGTCTGGGGAGTGGGGTCTGGGGAGTGGGGTCTGGGAAGTGGGATGCAGGTTGCAAAGCAGGAAGGGATCCCTTTCCTGCCTTCATTAGGGTGGGAGTGCCAGGGAGAACAAAGCTGACAGGCACAGGTTCTTGTCCAGGCCTTGCCTCTCACTCTGCCCTTGACCTCTCCAGCCTCAGCATCCTGATCTGTGAAATGGCCACAGGGACAACATGCTCTTCCCGGGCTTGCTGTCAATGCAGCAGTGCACACACATTACTCCAGCACATCGAGCACATAGAAGGTGCCCAAGAAATGTCATTTCCTTTCCCCACACCCAGGCTGGGCTCCAATTCAGTGCACAAGCAGGTGCTACTGGCTGCCTGGCCAGGCCCATAACAGGAAGTCGGGTCTTTGGGGTGACTTCCTGGGCAGTGCCAGTGACTCTGTTTCCCTCTGAGTCTTACAGAGGAAAGACCCCAGCTTGTGGCCAGGGGCACTGGGCTGGGTGCAGAAGAAGGTGTTGCAGGAAAGGAGGGCCCTTCCCAGTGCTAGCGACAAACCCCTCTGACCTCAGGACCTCAGGTATGTTCTGGGAACTCCCACTTTCCAAGCCCTTTCCGTAGATGTTTTTGACATTCATAGGTGGGGAAACTGAGGCCTGAAGAAGGGAGGCAGGCCGAGTGACTTGTCAACGAGCTCAGAGTGAGTTGGGGCAGGGCCAGGACAGACCCAGAGACGGGCCTCTGCCCACCAGGTCCGTAGGGCAAAGGCTATATGTCTGCTGGGGTCTTCTCTTTCATAAAGGGCCTCCTAAGATGTGTGGCAGGTTAGGAGCCAACAAGGAGGTGGTGTGGGTTGTGGGCCAAGCCCCAGCCTAAAGGACAGAGGGCGAAGCCTGTGATGCTGTAGCCTTGAGCAGGGAGCCACTGCCACATCCCCCCAAAGCCAGGGGGGCATCGGGAGAAACACCAACCTGTCTCTCTGCCCATCCTCCCAGCAGGTGGGGGCTCAGGGTCCTCTGTGGGGTAGGCTCCAGGACCCAGGCCTGTGAGCCAAGCAGGACTGGGTGGACCCTCACCTCAAGCACCCCCAGGGTATTGTCAGAACCCTGCTGTCCTCCTGCATCCCCGCCACCCAGCACTTGCACTGTGCACAGTCATGTGCTTAGCTCGGTACATGGGCCGTGGTGCATCGAAAGGATCTTTTTGCTCATGTTTCTATTGAGACTTCAAGGGGCAAGGGCAGGACAAGTGGGGCCAACTGCCCCACATTCCATGTGGAGGACTTGCAAAGAGGGTGGTGAGGCCAATTTCACCGGCCCCTCACCTCCCAGTGATGAGCACTTGAGTAGAGAAGGGAGTAGGGAAGTGAGACAGCAATGGGGGTCACTGCTGTGGTTGCTGGGGCTCAGCCCTGCTGCAGGGCTGGGGAGACCTGGAGAGCCCAGATCTGTCACCCCAGCCAGAATGAGGGTGCCTGGAGCCATCAGCACCTTCCATGGGGCATGAGTTGGAGGTAACTCCCTGGGGCCGTAACTCCCAGGTATGAGGTGTGCCTCATACCTGCCAGGCACACTCCTGGCGGGAGAATGTTCTGACCCATGGGCTGCTGAACGCCTTGTAAGGAAAGAGCCGTTGGTGGGTAAAAGGGAGGCCAGTGACCAGGGTGCAGGCATTGATGTCTGCTGCAGGAAGACCCATGATGCCCCCGGGAGCCTCCAGGAGAGGGGCTGGGTGTGGAGTCTCTGTTGTGCTGCCAGAACATCTTGTTTACCCTCTGTTTGTGAGGGACACCACCGTGTGCCCGGTGGGTACAAGCTGCCATGCTAGAAAGGGTGCTGCCTGGGGCCTCGTCACAGAGCAGACACGGGAGGGTGTCCCAGGAAGCCACTGGAGGTGAGGCCTTTCAGGGAGAGGGGACAGAAGGAGAGATGTCCCCAGAGAACCACAGGTGTCCCAAGAAACAGCATCAGCTTCAAATGTCACCAGGCCCAGGGCACGCAGCCACCCTGGAGCCGGTTACTGCTTCTGTCCCTCCCTCCGCAAAGGCCAGTCCTGTCCGTTTCCTGCTAAGCACAGGCCAGAGAGGGTGGGGTACTACAGAAATGAGAGATTTGAGGTTAAAGGACTTCTAATGACCAAGAGTGGTCAGAGGAGATTTAGGAAGCTGCTGGGGACTTCCTGCAGGGTGAGGGGCATCTTGTCCCTGGGCAGGTTGGAAGGACAGTTGGGGAGGATCAAAGTTGCTTCAGAGATGGAGAAACAGGCTCGGAGAAACTCATGGCAGCCTGAGGAGGGGCCCAGCTCCTGCTGTGGGCTCCACACTCCCATCTTGGCCTCATTTTGCCACGCAGCCTTAGGAATTGCATGAGCCAGGGCTGCTCCCCAGAAGCCTAGGTTCTGCAGCCCATTTTGGGGCATTGATACCCCTGCTGTATGTTTCATGCACCTGATGTGTAACCAGCCCTGCCATGAGCCAGGCAGCGCAAGTCACTAAAACAAAGCTCTGGAAGTCTGAGACTTGCAAATCCCTGACCTCAGGAGCCCCTGTCACCCGAAGATGGGGTTATGGCAGCAGCCCAGGGAGAGTCCCCAGGCAGCTGCCCATTGTCTTCCCAAAGCCCTCTGCCTGCCTGGGTGGGGACAGACCCCCTCCAGGATGGCCCCCACCTACCCCCACCTGCCACATTCTTCTGTGACAACACCCTGTGCGGGGCAGGTGGCAGCCAAAAGCCCCACTGGCAGGCGGACAATGAGCCGGGATTAGGCCTGAATGACAGGCCTGACAGAGCCTTGGGTGGATCCTCACTGGGGCTACTGCTACCCTGAGCCAGTGGGAAGGGCTTGGCTCTGAGCTGCAGTGATAGGTGGGCGTCTGTCTTTGCGGGGCCACCCAGCCGCTGGGCTCTGTCCCAGGATGGTCCCTGGACCCCGAGCACTCTCAGACTGCTCTCTTCCCTGCAGCTCTGCAGCCCCCGCTATCCTGTTCCTTGTGCTAAAGTCACCCAGCAAGAAGCTGGCAGGGTGGGGATCTGAACCCAGGGCCCCAACCCTGGGGAAGTGTACACCCACCTGCACCAACCTGCCACCCCTCATTTCTTCTGGAAGTCTCCCAGGCAGGCAGCACTACCTTCATTTTGCAGATGAGCAAACTGAGGCAGCCCAGCCACTAGATGCCCACAGATGCTTGTGAAATGGAGGCTGGTGGAGGTTCCCCAGTGGGAGGTGATGCAGGGACTCTATGGAGGGGCACCAGGAGGAACAGCTTGAGAGCTCACCTTCCCTCCCACCTTGGGCTCTGGGGTCGGCCTGCATCAGCACCCGGTGGGCCTCTTGGGACAGAGATGAGGAGGCCCCATGGACCTGCAGGCGCTGAGATGTTAGAATCAAAACTGTCCAAGAAAGAGTGGAGCCTTCGAGGGGCTCCTTGAGGGGCTGAGGGACTGGGCAAGGTGGGCTAGGGCTGTCCTGGTTGGGAGGGGCTTTGAGGCATGTCATTGGCTGGTGCCCTGAATGTCTGTCCAACCAGCCCGGAGGATGTGTCCTCCCCATGGGATTGGGACAGAGCCTGGGTCAACCTTTAACAGATGAATTTTAGCCCACAATGGGGAGAGATTCCTCTCCAGCCTCAAGAGCCTAGAGACTAAGTGGGCTGCGGCGGGAGGCACCTCGGGATGAGCCACCACCTGTGGGAGGCCTGAACAGCTCACGATGACAGCAAGAACGCTTGCTCGTCCCTGGCCTGGGCCCAGGAGCTCTCTTGTCTCAGGGTCCTCTGTCAAGTGGGGATGGTTGTCCTTCTTCTCTGGACCATGGTGGGAGGACAGAGGATTGTGCCCAGGAAGTGTCTGAGACCAGTGGGTGCTTGACAGGTTAACACCCACCCAGCCCCTGCCTCTTCAATCCCCCGGCCCTTCATCCTCTTCGGCACCTCTTCTTTCTCCTCTTCCCTGCTTCCTTATCTCCTCTGTGGCCAGTCTCCTGAAATGATCTCAGCATTGGCCTCAGCATCCCTCGCCACTGAAGAATATCACCCCCACCCCCAGGGCACACTGGGGGGCGGGTGCCTCCCTCTCTCATGGTGCCTCCTGGATCTCCAGGGAGCCTGTGACCAGCCTCACCTGATTCCAAGCTGGGCTGAGCCATGGGCGTAGGTGCATCCTTTGGGGGCCTGTCACGGTTTGCGACACAGACCATTGAGGCCAGTCTCCATCCCCATCGAGTCTCTGCCCTCCCTCAGGTCCCCATCATCTGGCACGTGAACACTGAGGCAGGCTTGGGGCTGTGCCCTTCACTTCCGCATCCTGATGGCCAGACACAGGCGTGTGGCTGCCTCTCTCCTGCTGGGCACCTGGGAAGAGGAGATGGCAGGACAAGTGACCCCAGCATGCTCCTGGGTGGAGACTGCTGTTCTGGGGGTGGTCACAGGATCCACTGACCGGGTTGCAAGGAAGGCAAGACACACCCAGCCCCATCTCCCTGAGCCTTCATTAGCTGCCCCTGGGCCTGGAGTGGAGGACACACACAGGCAAGCTCTGCAGTCCAGGGAGGTGACTCCCAGGGCCATGCCCTCTGCTGGATGACCAGGCCCCCTGACGCTGCTAATTTGCTTTTCTCTTGGAACAGCCTCTGCCATCAGACATCTGCCAGGTGGAGAAAGATAGGGCCCATCTCTTCCCTTGCTCTAGCAAATGGCCAGCCGACGCCAGCACAGAACAAGGTTGGTGGGTCAGGGTTCTATGAATCCCTCGATTCCAAGCCTCCAGCAGACACATGCCTTGCCCTAGTCCTTCAAACACTCCTCAGTTGCTGCTGTGAAGGGAGTTTGCAGATGCCATCAAGGTCCCAGTCAGGTGACCTTAATTGACAGGGAGCTGACCCAGGTGGGCCTAACCTACTCAGGAGAGCCCTTTCAATCCAGTCTAGACATCAGAGACAGGCAGCCAGGGATCAAAAGCATGAGAAGAATTTCATCTGAGGAAGTCTCCATTGCTGGTTTTGAAGACGGAGGGAGCCACACAGCCAGGGCTGGGGGAGGCCACTAGGAGCTGAGGGCAAGGAGGAAATGAGGACCTCGGTCCTCTCACCTCAAGGAACTTAATTCTGCCAATAAGGATGAGCTGGGAAGCGGATTTTTCCCCAGAGCCTCCAGATGAGGACTCAGCCTGGCTGGCACCTCAATTCAGCCTTGTGAGACCCTGAGAAGTGAACCCAGACATGCCAGGCCAGGCTTCTGAGCTGCGGACCTGTGCGCTGACTGACGGTGGTGTTTAAAGTGGCTAAATATGTGGTAGTTTTATGCAGCAATGGAAAATGAATACAGAGGCCAGCTCCAGGCCAAATGCCATCTGACCCACAGATGGGTCCAGCAAGGTCAGTGGAGACTAGAAGAACTGGCTGACCAGTAGACTCATGAGCAAAAGTAGACTTGTGGATTTCAGCCACAAAGTGCTGGGGTAACTTGTTACACAGCAGGAGCTAACTGCTACGGCTTGTCAACAACCACAAACTGTGAGGGAAAGAAAGCCTAGGAGGTGCCGCACAGGCAGCTCTGGGAGGTTGGGGGTGGCAGGTTGGAGGTCAGGAGGCTCCACAGGGATGCCTGGGGCTGAGGCAGGAAGGAAGGTGGAAAGGAAGGCATGGGCCTTCGGGGACGTGGTGACATGTTGGGAGGGCAGTGGAGGGAGAGGAGTCTGCAAGGCTGAGCTGGGGCAGGACCTCGGAGGGCCCTGGGTGACTTTGTCCTGGGGGTACTAGGGAGCTGTGAAGGACTTGAGCAGGATGAGGGTGTGGTCATGCTGGGGTTTGGGAATTCTCCTCTGGTGTCTGGGCTGATGGAGGGGAAGGGAAGGGAGTAGGGCAGTGAGACCAGTCAGAAGCATTTGGGTGCTCATCCTGGGAGCCTCCCCTTCAGGGTAAATGGAGGCTGAGTGATGTGGGGCTGGTAGGGGTAGAGGAGGGAAGGGAGACCATGGCTCAGGGCCCTGAGAAAGGAGGCTCAGGCAGCAAAGGGTACACCCCGGCCCCCTAGACTGGGCCAGCAGGTCTCCTGCCTTGAGTGGGCTGGGCTATATGGGAGGGAAAGGCTGCCTCCAAGGTCCCACCAAGAGGAAGCCAGCCCCAGCCAGGGCTCCCCAGGTAAGAGGCCTGACTCCCTGGGCTGTTGTGAGACTCACGGCCCCTAGATGGTCTTAGGCATAGAAGCCCCTGTGAAAGGCGCTACCAGACTGTTTTGCAAACTGGGAGACTGAGATGTGGAGAGGCTGGGTAACCTGGCAAGGTAACACGGGGAGTGAGTGGCCCAGGAGGGGTTTGCACAAAGGGCATCCCTTCCCTGAGGGGTGAACAAGTGGGGAGACTGCTGCTGCTCTGCCTGGAGGTGGCTCTGTATGAGGAGGGGAGCTGGAGCCCCCACCGCCTCTGCCTCTTCCCTTCAGGAGGAGCTGGGAGTGATGTTATGACTTGGAAAGCTTAAGACCACACGAGAAACCAATTTTTGCCTCCACTTATGTAAAATAAAATAAAATAACCCCAAAGCATTTGAAGTTCTGCCTGCCTTGGCTGCCTTCCCCAGGGGTTGTGTTGGAACCGCCCCTACTTTTCCTGGTGGAGGCTGTTCCAGGGACTGCCCATTCCCAGTGATTCTGGGGCCAGAGCCGGACATGGGCCCAAGGCCTCCTCCCCCAGCCTGGCTCTGCTCAGCCCCTCTCATTGCTGTACTGGCTATTGACCAGCACACCTCCAAGTCCTAGAAAGGTAGGACCTCAGGACATAGACTCTTCACTCTCAGGACCCTGGAACAATGGAAACCTAGAGCCGCAGGTTCTTAGGAAATGCACAGTCCTTCAGAACTTCAGGCCACCCATTCCTTCCCATAGGAGACTGTGGTGGTCCAGGGAAGGGCTGTCAGCCCCAAGCAAGAGAGCACCTCTGCAGACAGGAGCCCCTCAACCTGTTGTGTGACAGTGGTGCCACCAAGTTCTTCCCCATGGGGGAAGCCGCCTCCTACACCCTGTGCTGCCAGGGCCCCCGCTCTGGGTGGGAAACGAGCCACGAGCAGCTGCTCCTGCTCTCTGGGCACGGCTCTCTGGTCCACGGTTTGCTCTGGCCCCTCCTTCTTCCCCTAGAAGAGTCTCCTATCACCATCACCTCACTGGCCATTCATATCGTGGGCGGTGGGGACTGGGCTGTCTCTGGGTGCCACGTAGCCCTGTCAGCCACTTCCAGCCTGGAGACAGACAGGAGCCCAGGGCTTGTTTTACGCCCTGACCATGCTCAGGTTGTCTTCGACAGGAAGTCAGAGCTCCCAGCAGACCGCTGTGATGGCCGCAGTGCTTTCTGAGGCCTAATTTCAGTCTCTGCTGTATGTCTCTGCTTTCGCCCCGAGACGTGTGCCTTTCCCTCTCCCCTTCCCTCTGCCTCTAGTCTCTCTTCCCCCTGCCTCTAGTCTCTCTTCCCCCTTATTCTCCCTCTGTGATAGGCTCCATTGTGTCCTCCCAGATTCTCCCATGGTACCTCAGAATGCAATCTGATTTGGAGACAGGGTCTTTAAAGAGGTGACTACACTTACAGGAAGTCACTAGGGTGGGGCCTAACCCAGCACAACAAGGCCTGAGGTGCTTTGTGCTGGCAGCTCTAGGAAACGAATCTCCACCCTCCCTCACTCCCTCCCCACCCCTCTGTCTTAGAGAAGGCCACCTTGAGGCTATCAGCCTCAAAGACCCTGAATCAGATGCACCTTCAGTCCCATCGTGCCCAAGGCAATGTGATGGGTTGCAAGATTTTAGGAGGCATTTGTCCCTCAAAGGCCTTTTCAGTTCATCATCTATATTTGGAGTTGAGAAGCAGCACTTTGGTTCTCTAACCTCTGGCAAGTTTCTGGACCCTCTCCTCCTTTCCTGTTCAGCTTGCAATCTGACGAGTTTCTCTCCTCAGCACCTGTCTGTCCTGTCATCTTTTGATAGTTGCAGCCAATGGCAGCCGGCACCCCAACTCCTGATGTCTGTTCCTCCCATCTCTTCTCTCAAAGCCACACGGTCACTCGGTAAGTTCTAGTGGCCATGTGGGTCTTCATCCTTCCAGCCTCTGACATGGGATGCACCCCACTTTGTGTGCAAACACTATACCAGTGCCACAAACTCTTGCTGGCTTTAGTTGCCACCCCATTTCTGGTGCCAAACCAGTACTTGGACACAGAAACAACCAACCTCATTTTCAGGCTTGACACCACAAAGGCTTATTTCTCATGCAGTGGTCAGTTGGGGAATTGCTCCTCACGCAGCCCCTTGGGGGCCCGGGCTCAGGCAGCTCCACATTCTGTAGCTGTACCACATGGCCCCTTGGGCACCAGCTCAGAGGAAGAAATAGCTGAAGATGTAGTCTGGCCCCTGCCTGCCCCAGCCTGGAAGTGACACCCATCCCTTCTGCCCATGGCCATTGTTCCATGGCCCACCTGAGGCCAACAAGGCTGGGAGATGTGGGGGCTTGGTGGCACTCAAGCCATTTTGTGTAGAAAACCAGAGATGTTCCCAGGGAACAGAGAACTTGGAGACACTGGGTTAGCCTCCATCCCCTTCAGCACCTGTCTGGTGTGGACTAGGGCCGGGGCTGCCCTTCACCTCTACTCCTGCACAGCTCACCTCGAGGGCCCTGGGCATTGCACTCTGCTGTCTGGGGCCTCAGCTCTGAATCCTGTTCAGAACAAAAGGGAAAGTAAAGGCCCCCAAAGGCTTTGCTTTCTGAGGCTGCAACTGCCTACCAGCCACTGAATTCACCAGGCTCCTGCCTTGAGACCCAGAGGCAAGTGCCTCCTGAGGGGTGGAAAAGGCCAGCTGGGACGGGGAGGTGGCTCTGCAGGGCCTCAAGCCCCTGAGCCTCCTCTTCCTAGGCCTTGGCCCTCTCCTGGGGTGGGGCCATGCATTCCTCCCACCAGTTCCCACCTGTGGGACTATGATCCCATTCTGCAGAGCAGAGCCCATTGCTGATATTGGCTCACCTGCCCTCACAGTGCAGGTGCCCGGCCTGCTGAGGCTGGTGCCAGGGGCATCCCTAGGACACTATGATAGATGAGGCCTGGGGAGAGGTTGAGGGGCTGACCCGTCTCCCAGTTCACTCTGCAGGCCCTGCCGGACAGCTGAGCCCCTCTGCTGGGAGGAGCCATGGCCCGGAGTTGGGGCGGGAGGCACCTGGGCCCACCTTCCAGGGCCTCTCTCTAGCCGCCTCCACCTGTACCCTGTGTTGTTCCAGGCCTCGTGCTGGTTCTGTACTCCCAGAGCCCTCAGACTGGAGGGGGGACAGGGCCACTAACAGTCGTGGGTGCCATGAGAGCTGTGGGGCTTCTGACCAGAGAATGAGCAGGAGGGGTCCTGCAACGTGTTGTGGGGGGAGAATCCAGGGGAAGGAACAGAATGGGCAGGGTGATTCCTGGCAGAGGGACCCCGGCACCTCTGCTGAGGGCTCCTCCCAACCCAGGCCCTGATGCTGCCTCCACCAATCCCTCAAGGGCCACTAGGGGCACCTGGTGCCCTTGGCGCAGGACCACTGGGTGGCACATGCTGTGGCCCAGCACTCCCTCTCAGGAGGCAGGACCAGCCTCATCCTCTCAGGAACCTGTGGGATCTGGGGTTCCTTTGCCTCTTGCTTCCAGCAGGACTGCTGCCTCCCACTCCGGCCTCCACCACCGAAGGAATCACATTGAGCCTCACCCTCCAACCCCTCTGGGCACCTAGCTCTCACGGCCTGACTTGACCAGGGTAGGGCCTTCAGCCCGGTCTTCTCCCACCTGCAGAGGAGAGGTGCACCCATCCCCTCGGTCTCCTCCAGGCTGCGGAAACAGCCCATTACTCCCAGTGCCGATAATGGCCTCTCAATTGAATTAAGAGAGTTCATGGGAAGCCCAGGCATGAAATCTGTTTCCGTAAAAGTCCAAATTTGGGACAGTGGCGGGGAGCAGCGTAGGGAGGGGACTTCGGGTCCACCAAAGAAAACACCCCCGTGCATTTGTTTCCAATTCCCCTTCCAGCACCATTGCTCCCTCCCTACTCGCCCAGGGACCTTGGGCGGTGGGCCAGATGCTGCGTTTGTAATTCTCTCTCATTAATGGGTAATTTCCCCTCCTGTGAATGGAGGAGAGAGGCAGACCCTGGGGAGGCAGGCAGCACATGGCCCTCAGGCCTGAGGCCTCAAAGGGCAAGTGGGCGCAGCCTGGGCACCCAGGCATCTGCAGCCACCAGCACCTCTCAGGGCCCTTCTCAGGTGGCTCAAGGCCTCCACCAGGCTGGCATTCAGATTCCCATGGACAGATGGGGAAACCGAGGCCCTAGCAAGCTGTGGCTTATCCAGCACACCCAGCAAATGAGTGCTCCATGTGCTCCATGAGCACACGGAGAGGGGACAGGAGCCCAGGAAAGACACAAAATGACCAGATTTCCAAATTACGGGCCACAAAGCTGAAAATCATTCTGTGGATTGGGGTAGAGGATGGAGGGGGTGGTGCCTTGAGCTCAGACGGGCCTGGGTGGGAATCCTGAGCCATCTTCTGGGGCTTTGGCAGCGGACCTTCCCAAGCTGAGCCTCAGTTTCTCCATCTGCACATGGAGGTGTTTCACAGGGGGATCTGTGCCTTGCCTGGGAAAACCACTCCATCTCAGAGGTCCCTGTCAACTCTGGAAGGCAAGATTTTAGATTCTGAAACCTCTTTTCCTACCCACTCTTTTATCATTCTTGAACCCTGTTCCCTGCTTTGCGAACTATTACCTTCAAAAACATCTAGGAAATGATCATGAATAGCCCAGATGCAGCCGCCTGGTCGGTGTTGATGTGGCATTAAAAAGCTATGGTCTGAGACTGAAGCAACTGTCCCCAAGGTGGAAGCAGGCGGAGAAGTGAGGGGAGCCCTGCAGGGAGAAGCAGGGAGATGCAGGAAGGGGGCGGGGTTCTCAGCCTGTTCATTCCTGCTGAGACCACTCTGGGACCAGGCTGAGGCTGGGCCCTTCCTCCTGTCTCAGTGGGAGCAGTCAGCCCACCTGACAGGTGAGAGCACCTGCCAGGCTGCACACCTTGGCAACTGACTCAGCTGCCAAGCGCCGGCCCTGGCCCCATGTGGATGCACAGAGAAGGCCCAGGTCAGACCCCAGACACAGGGCAGACCCAATTTAGAAACCAAGTGGGTGCTGTGGACTTCCTGAGCAGAAACTAGTGCTCCCTTGCAGTTTCATCAGCCCCTGGGCCCCAGGTCCCTCTGCACATGGAGGTGTTTCATAGGAGGATCTGTGCCTCGCTTGGGTGAAACAGTCCATCCCAGAGGCTCCTGCCCACTTTGGAAGGCAAGGTCCCAGGCCCGGCCTTCCCAGCCTGACTGCATGGAGACCTACCCAGGAAGCTGTTCAAACCCAGGCCCAGCCCAACTCAACTCAGCTGCCAAGGTGGCCCAGGAGGCACCTGGGCTCAGAGCCTAAACGGGGGATCCCCTGGCAGAGCAGCTCGAGGCAGCACTGGGTGGGTGGGATAGGCCAGGGCCAGGGTACCCAGGGACACTTTGAGACCAGCTGGGATGCCCCACAGTAAAGGGGAAAATGTGAGCCAGCACCGATGTGGCCCAGGGTGTGCTGAGATCGGGCTCCTCCCTTTCCAGTGCTGATGGACGTGGTGTGACTAAAGGGCACAATCTGAGGCTAATGGAAAGCAAACAGCTCGCTGCACGGGGAAGAGCCTGGACACACACGATATTTTCTCAGGAGCTCAAAGTGCAGGCAGGAGAGGCTTGGCTGAGGCTGGGGCTGTGTCAATCACTCCCTGGCTGTTTGTCTAACCTCGCCAAGTGTGTTTTCTCCTTATTAGCAGAACACAGATAGGGAAGCAGATCTGCCCGCAGATGCGCAGCTGCAGGAATGCGTCCTCCCAGCAGAGCGGGAGGGAGGTGGGAGGGGACCCCTGTCTGCCAGCCAGGGCTGCTCTGGAGACCCTGATGGGGCTTTGGGAAGCCAGGCTCCTCTCTGCTGAGCCCTCACCTGTGCCAGGCTCTGGGAAGGGTGTTTACGGATGTTCTTTCTGAATCCTCGAAAACCCCCAGGTGGCTGTAATTCTGACCATTTTCCAAGCCTGAAGCTGAGGCTGGGTGGTGAGGTGGCCCACTCAGAACCACACGGTGAGGAAGGATGGGGGTGCTGGGGTTTGAACTCCACTGCTTCTGCTTCTTAACCCATTTCAGTGCCTGTCCCAGTGCCTCTGGGCTGAGCCTGGTCTGGGTCATCCCTGGTGAGTCTGGCTGCCTCCCAAAATATCTCTGGGCCTTCAATTTTCCTCATCTTGTGCTAGATCAGGGCCAGCAAACTTTTTCTGTAAATGGCCAAATAAAAAGTATTTAGGCTTTGCAGCTCACAGAGGCTCTGTCAGTCACTCAGTTCTGCTTTGGTAGTGTAAAGGCAGCCATAGGTGATATGTAATAAAATGGGTATGGCTATGTCCCAATAAAACTTTATTTACAAAAACAGGAAGCAGGCCAGATTTGTCAACCCCTGTGCTAGATTGATTGCAGAGAATGGTCCCAACTCTTTAGACCTCTGTTTCAACTGGATCTGCTATAACAAAGTATCATAGGCTGGATGGTTTAAACAACAGGCATTCACTTCTCAATGTTCTGGAGGCTGAAAGTTCAAGATCAAGGTGCTGGCAGATCCAGTGTCTGGTGAGGGCTCTTTTCCTGGTGTGCCGACAGCCTTCCTCTCATTGTATCTTCACATGGCTGAGTGCAGAGAAGAAGCAAGTTTTTGGTGTCTCTTCTAATAAGGACACTAATCCCATTACAAGGGCTCTGTTATGGAAACACCAGGGGTTCAGTCTACGTCCTGCTTCTCTCAGAAAGCCAATCACTGAGACAGCAAGTATTGCCAAGGAAGAAGGCTTTAATCGGGTGCTGCAGCTGGGCAGATGGGAGCTCCATCTCAAATCCGTCTCCCTGGCCAGCTAAAATTAGAGGTTTATATAGCAGGGAAGCAATGTAATAACACATAAAAAAACCAGGAACTAGGGAGGGGTAAGGAAGCAATTATGATGAATGAAGGGCCTGGCGTCTCATTGTCTGGATGAGTTTCAGTTCTTTGATACTTTTTTTTTGAAAGGCCTGAGAGTTCTTCACTGAGGAAGGAACTCAGTTAAAACAAATGTAAGTTTCAAGCTTTAAGACCTGAAAGGTCAATTTCTGTACATGTATATATATATCACTGTCTATATGATTATACGACTATTGGTTCAGTTTCAGTTCCACCCCCCCATGACTTAAGTATCTCCCAAAAGCCCCACATCCTAATACCATCCCACTGGGGATTAGGATTTCAACATTTGAATATGGGGGGACACAAACATTCAGTTCCTAGCAGCCTTCCTGTGTCCAATCCTCTGCAATCTGACTTTCAGTTCCTCCCAAGAAGAGGTCAAGTTGATCCCCTGCTCCATGAATCCCAGCCAGCCTCTTGACTTTTGTGGTGACAGAACACAGTGGAGCTAGAAGTCACTGGTTCCAAGCTTGAGCCTCAGAGGACAGGCACACATCCCTCCTCTCTTTGGGTACCTTGACACAAGGTGCAGACAAGCCTGGACTAGCCAGCTGGAGGATGAGAGTCACATGGAACAGAGGGGAGCCACACTAGCTAAGGCCATCATGGACCAGCCTCCCGCCAGCCAGCTATGGGATATGTGAAAGGCCAGCCAAAATGAGCTGGGTGGGCAACAATTTCCTCCAATGCCTGAGTCAGCCCAGCCTAGCCCAGCCCAAACCAACTACCCAGCTGTGGGCATAGCTAAGAGCAATGATGAATGCTTCCTGGATTTTGAGGTGGTTTGTTATGCTGCAGTAGCTCACTGTTACTTGTGCCAATTCATATCCTTCACCGTGGCCAGATTCATTACCCTGATTCAGAGACCCGATCAAGTTCTTCCTCAGCTCAGGGATCTTCCAGGGCTCCCTGTTCATCACCTCCAGCATAAAGTTCAAACTCCTTTAACTTGACACTCAAGACCCCTCCCAGTCTGGCACCTGTCAGCCACAGTGACCCACAGGGAGGTCTGCAGGACTCAGAAGCCTCCTCTGGCTCCACCCCACAGAAGCTCAGAGTCAGGTCAGGAAGCTAGGAAGAAGCTGGTACCTGCCAAGTGTAAAGTCCAAAGTTAGCTTTGCAGCTGGGATGGGCCCTTGTGTGCTCTTAACCAGGCCTGTCTTTTCTGTGTTCTGGTGCTTTGACATCTGACCCTTGCTGACGCTGGAGGACTGCACTGCCCCTACCTGGGCTAGCAAATTTCTGTGATCACACCCTTCCAATGCAGACCAATCCACCCAGAGCCCACACCCACCACCTCCTCTCTGGGGCCCTTGCACTCTGGGCCACCATCCACCTGCCCTCACCCCAGGGCAGGTACCAGACAGCCAGGGACAGCCCCTGTACCCTAGAGCCCACTGAAATGATTCAAACCAGCCAATCCTCAGCCTGCTGACCCGGACTTACCCATTTCTTCCAGCAGAAACCCCAGTGAAGACTCGAGTCCATGTTTCCCCTGTGCTCCCTCTGCCTCCTGACCAACCTGGTACTTCTCCGTGTGGCCCTGCACAGCCTGCCCTGCCTCCTGTTTCCAGGGATCTGTATGAAAACTTCTTCCTCATGACAGTCATCTTCATGTTTGTGTGTCTCATCACACCTGATGTTTCACTGGGCAAGTTCACTTTCACAGAGCTGCAGTCACTCCTAAGCCTGAGCCCACGTGACCACGATTCTGCTTCGTCTCTGATCACAGCTGCAGTTCCTGGCCATGTGACTCTGGACAAATCCCTTCTCCTCTCAGAGCCTCCATTTCCTCATCAGTAAGATGGACATAGAAACAGCATAAGCAATTGTATTATTTAAGGGAATGCCAAAACAGAGAAACCTTGAGGTCTCAATGACTTAACACAGTAGAAGTTGGTTTCTCAATCATGGATGGTCTGGAATGAACATTGATGATTGTTGGCTGTGGGGGAAAGTGAGTGAGGGGCCTCTGCTCTCTCAGTCATCCTGAGGTCAAGGTCGATAGGCCTCCTCCATCTCTAACCCACAGCTTCCCAGGTCCCCCCAGGGGGCCAGCATTAAAAATCTTGTGGAAGGATCTGGAAGCAGCACGAGTCTTCTCTCTGTACATCCTGCTGGCCAGACACAGTCATACAATACAACCTAGTGACAGGGAAGATTGGGAGATGCCATTTGGCAGTATGCCAGGAAGAGTAGTAAGCAGGTTTGATGCTGAGCTTGCAGACTCTGCCACAAAAGTCATTGTATTAACAGTAGGAAAGGCCATGAGGTCAGACCTCTTAAAATGGGACCAACATTTTCTAGTATGTGTGAAAAAAATGACTCTGCCTTAAAAAATGAAATGGAAAATTCTGAGCACAAGTTTATTCTGTCCTTTATTTAATACATTTAGGTTAAATTTAAAATGTTGTATTAGAACTCTTTCCCTTTTTAACGCGAAATAATCCATTGTAAGGAGATGCTGCATTTTGTGTATCCATTCATCTGTTGAGGGACACTGGCTTGTTTCCACTGTTGGCTACTGTGAGTAATGCTGCTATGAACATTCTATACAAGTCTCTGACTCCCTGTTTGCAGTTTCTTTGGGTATATACCTAGAAGTAGAATTGGTGGATCATATGGTAACTTCAGGCGTAGCTTTTTGAGGAACTGCCAACTGTTTTCTATAATGGCTGCACTATTTTACGTTTCTACCAGGAATGTTTGAGGATTACAATTTCTCCACATCCTTGACAATGTTTATTTTCTGTTTTTTGTATTTTTTTTAAATAGCCATCCTAGCAAGTGTAAGTAATGATATTTATTTATTTATTTTGAGACGGAGTCTCGCTCTGTTGCCAGGCTGGAGTGCAGTGGCGGATCTCGGCTCACTGCAACCTCCGCCTCCCAGGTTCAAGCGATTCTCCTGCCTCAGCCTCCCGAGTAACTGGGACTACAGGTGCCCACCACCACACCCAGCTAATTTTTGTATTTTTAGTAGAAACGGGGTTTCACCATGTTGGCCAGGATGGTCTTGATCTCCTGACCTCATGATCCACCCGCCTCGGCCCCCTAAAGTGCTAGGATTACAGGCATGAGCCACCACGCCCGGCCAAGTAATGTTATTTTTAAAAATTGAAGTCTATAGTTTCTGTAGATTTCCTTAGTTTGTCCCTAACGTTTCTGTTCCAGAACCCCATCCAGTATCCCACGTTTAATCATCATCTCTTCTGTATTAGTCAGCTCTCGCACTGCTATAAAGAAATACCAAGACTGGGTATTTTATCAAGGGAAGAAGTTTAATTGGCTTACAGTTCTGCAGGCTGTACAGGAAGCATGGCTAGAGAGGCCTCAGGACATTTACAGTCACAGTGGAGGGAGCGCTGATATGTCTTCATATGGCCAGAGCAGGAGGAAGAGAGAGAGGGGAAAGGTACTACCAATTTAAACAACGAGATCTCGTGGCAACTCTCTCACAAGAGAACAGCACTAGGGGGATGGTGCTAAACCATTAGAAACCATCCCCAAGACCCAGTCACCTCCCACCAGGCCCTGACTCCAACATTGGAGGTTACAATTTGACACAAGATTTGGGTGGGGACACAGACCCAAACCATATCATCTCCTTAGGCTCCTTTTTGCTGTGACTGTTCCTTAGATTTTCCTTATTTTTGATGACCATGATTATTTTGGGGAAATAGCTGGTCAGGTATCTTGTAGGATACCCCGCTATTGGGATTTGTCTGATTTTTTTCATGATAAGGTTGAGATTATGGGTTTTGGGGATGAAAACCCTAGAGGTAAAATACAATTCTTATTACATCATATCAAAGGTACGCACTATCCACACGACTTCCGACTGTTACTGTTGTCCTTAATCACCTGCCTGAGATAGTGTTTGTAAGATTTGTACATTTGTGAAGTTACTCTTTTTCCTCCCTTTCCAACTGCACACTTTAGAAGGAAGTCACTACGTGCAGCCCACCCCTAAGGCACAGTACTTATGCTCCCCTTCCTTGAGGGTGCAGTATCTACATAATTTATTTGGAATTCTGCACAAGAGAGTTATATCTTCTCCCCATTTATTAGTCGTTCATTTATTTATATCAGCATGGCCCCATGGATAGTTATTTTATCCTTTGGGTTATAACCCAATGCTACTTTATTTTGTTGCTCAAATTGTTCCAGCTTTGGCCATTGGAAGCTGTTTCTTTGGCTCCCGTGCATCCTTGACATGTCCCCATCAATTTGTGTGTGTGTGTGTGTGTGCATGTGTGTGTTTGGAGTACTTCCCTATTTTCTGCCACTACAAGATGCTACAGGTCCATCTTGTACAGTTCCTGCCCCAGTCCTAGAATCAGCCATTTCTCCAGGAAGCCCTAAGTTCTGTTTATTGGAAAATAGTATTAGAAATAAAGATCTGGGTGCTAGGTGTGCTCATTAGTATTGGAGTGTTATTTCTCTTAGGTACTCTCAGCTGACAGTGCAAAAAAATACATGTGTTTAGACTAACCTATGTATATACACGTATCTCTAAATATTTCTATATGGAATTATATATCTGTATCTATATTAAGTTGACATGGGTTCATATTAATGATTCCAACTCTAATCCACCACCACATGGATCATGCTAGCCTTCTTCCCTTGCTTGTCTGTAATGGCCCCTCCAACAGTGAGAAATAGGCTCCCACTATCCACCATCCATTTACTTAATACATTCCAGTATGCATGGACAGCAGATTTGTTAACTTATACTCCTGTGGGAAACAATTTTATCAACAAGAGTACATTGCTTATGTGCAGTTCCTTTTGCTGTTTGTCTTTTTTTTTTTCTTTGAGATGGAGTCTTGCTCTGTCACCAGGCTGGAGTGCAGTGGCACAATCTTGGCTCACTGCAACCTCCGTCTCCTGGGTTCAAGCAATTCTCCTGCCTCAGCCTCCCAAATAGCTGGGACTACAGGCATGTGCCACCATGCCCGGCTAATTTTTGTATTTTTAGTAGAGACGGGGTTTCACCATGTTAGCCAGAATGGTTTTGATCTCTTGACCTTGTGATCTGCCTGCCAAAGTGCTGGGATTAAAGGTGTGAGCCACCGCGCCTGACTCTGTTCTTAGTCTTACAGACTCCACTCATTTTCAAAGTTACTCAGATCAGCACAGTTCCTCCCACATGCTCAGTGAGTTTGTTTTATGCATTTGTAATGCGGTTCAATTTTCTTATCACATCCGCATTCCACCCAGGGACCCCCAACATCCTAAGAGATTTTTAAAAACTTTTTACATGTTAAGGTTCACTGTTCATTCTGTAAAGTTCTATGGGTTGTGACCAATGCGTAATGTCTTGTATCCACCATTATAGAATCATATGGGATAATTTTCCTGCTCTAAAAATGTTCTATGCTCCACCTACTCATCTCTTCTCTCTCCCCCTGACTGGCAAACACTGACCTTTTTACCATCTCTATACTTTTGCCTTTAGCAGAATGTCTTAGAATTTGAATCATACATAGAGTAGGGAAGTCACATTCTTTTCACACCTACTGTCACCCTAGAGTCTGTGCTCCCATTGCCTCTTGCTAGTGCAGTGACCTCCACACAGGCCTCCCTCCTCTGCCCTGGCTTCCTGTGTCTCCTTTCCACACAGCAACCAGTGTCAGATACTGTCTCTCCTTACGCAGAGCCCTCCCACAGCTGTCTCTCCCTAAAGAGGCCTTGCACGATCCAGCCCCTGCCCACGCTCTGATCACATCTCTCAGCCCCTCCCACTTGCTCCTGTGCGCTAGGTGTTCTCAGACGGGCTGGGATCCTTCTGCCTCCAGGACTTTACACTGGCTATTCCTTTGGCCTGTTCCCAAAACCCCTCAGGGCTCACTGCCTCACCTCCTTCGGATCTTCCTCAAAGGTTATCTCTTCGGAAAGACTTTTGCTCCACTTCCCTACTTTGCCTTTCTTTCTAATACTTATTACGGTTGAACAAACCATATGTATACACACACCGTTGACCCTTGAACATCATGGGCTTGAACTGTGTGGGTCCACTTATATGGAGGATTTTTTTCAATAGAATATTTGAAAAGTTTTGGAGATTTGCAACAATTTGAAAAACTCCCAGATGAGACAGGTAGCCTAGAAATACCAAAAAGATGAAGAAAAGTTAGGTATGTTATGACTACATAAAATATGTGTAGATACTAGTCTACTTTTATAAATTACTCCCATAAGATAGACACAAATCTATTGTTTAAAAAGTTAAAATGTATCAAAGCTTACATACACAAACACAGACTGTACATAGCATCATTTGCAGTTCGGAGAAAGCTATGCAAACATGAAGATACAGTATTAAATTGTAACCCCATAAAATTAACTGTAGCACATTCTGTACTATTATAATAATTTCACAGCCACCTCCTGTTACTATCGTGGTGAGCTGAAGTGTTGCAGGTATCCACTTAAAACACCATGTGATCCTAATTATCTCAACATGAGCAGTTCACTTGTCTAGTAAATCGAGTATCACAGTAGAAAGTGATCTCATGGTTCTCACATATTTTTCATTGCGTTTAGTGCAATACCAGAAATCTTGAGTGACACCATGGGACCCATACAAAGTGCCACTAGTGATACTTGGAAGTGCTCCCAAGAAGCAGAGAAAAGCCATGACGTTGCAAGAGAAAGTTGAATTGCTTGATATGTACCATAGATTGAGGTCTGCAGCTGCAGGTGATGTCGTTTCAGACAGACAATTCATCTAGTAAACAGATGACGTAAACTTACAGTATCAATAAATATAGTACAGTACTGTAAATGTATTTTCTCTTCCTTATGGTTTTCTTAATAACATTTTCTTTTCTCTAGCTTACTTTAAGAATATAGCATGTAACACATCTAACATACAAAATATGTATGTTTACGCTATCAATAAGGCTTCCAGTCAACAGGAGGCTATTAGTAGTAAATTTTGGGGGAGTCAAAAGTTATACTCAGATTTTCAACTGTGCAGGGGGCCAGTGGCCTTAACCCCTGCATTGTTCAATGACCAACTAGATATATAATTATATATGCATATAATTATAGAATATATACAGTTTAACAACTTTATTGATATAGAATTCACGTAACATACAATTCATTCATTTAAAGTGTATATTTCAATGGCACATTACCAACTTCAAAAATTGTGGCATATATATACATATACATGTATCTATATGTATATATTCTTATGTTGTATTATTCTTATGTATTCTTATGTATTACGTATTACTATGTATTACATATTATTATGTTGTTCATGTATATGTATACATGTATACATATATATATAACAAAATTTGCCATTTTAAGCAATTTTAGCGTTCAATTATGAGGCATTAATTAAATTCATTGTTGTAAAACCATCATCATTATCTATTTCCAAAACTTTTCCATACCCTAAATTAAGTCTGTAACTACTAAACACTAGCTTCCCACTCTCCCCTCACCCCAGCCCGTGGAAACTGCTAATCTATTTTCTGTTTCTATGAATTTCCTTGTGATAGATATTTTACATAAATGGAATCATGCAATACTTTTCCTTTTGTGCCTGGCTTATTTCACTTAGAATAATGTTTTCAAGGTTTATCAGTGTGGTAGCATGTGTCAGAATTTCATTCCTTTTAAAGGCTCAATAATTTCCCATTGTATGTATATATCACATTTTGCTTATCCATTCATCTGTTGATAAACCCTTCAGTTGTTTCCACCCTTTGGCTATTGTGAATAATTTTAAAATAAACATTGGCATACAAGTATCTTGTTGAGTCCTGTTTTCAATTCTTTGGGGTGTGTACTTAAGAGTGGAATTTCTGGGTCACGTGGTAATTCTATGTTTACTTTTGAGGAACTACCAAACTACTTTTCACAATGGCTGCACCATTTTGCATTATCACTAGCAATGTATGAGGGTTCTAATTTCTCCACATCCTTGCTAACACTTGTTATTTTCTGTTTTAATTCATTGATTTTAGCCATTCTAGTGAACTTGAAGAGGTATCTCCTGGTGGTTTTGATGAACATTTCCCTAATGACTAATGATACTGAGCATCTTTTTGTGTACTAATGGGCCATTTGTATATCTTCTTTGAAGAAATGTCTGTTCAAGCCCTCTGCCCATTTTGAAACGGATTGTTTTATATTGTTATTGAATTGTAGGAATTCTTTATATGTTCTAGATGTTAAACCATTATCAGATATGTAATTTGCAAATATTTTATCTCATTCTGTAGCCTGTCTTTTCACCCTCTTCATAATGTTTTTTGATGCACAAAAGTTTTTGATTTTGTTGAAGTTTAACTTATCCCTTTATTCTTTGTTGTTCATACATTTGGTGTCATATCTAAGAACCTATTGTTCAATTCAAAGTCACAGTGATTTACACCCTATGTTTTCTTCTAAGAGTGTTATAGTTTTAGCTCTCATATTTAAGTCATTGATCCATTTAGAGTTCTTTTTTGTATATGGTGTCAGGTGGGGTCTAATTTTATTTGTTTTTGCTTGTAAATATCCAGTTGTCCCAATACCATTTGTTGAAGAGATTATTCTTTTCCCAAAAATGGACTTGGCACTCTTGTCAAAAGTCAATTGGCCATAGACATATGGGTATATTTTTGTACTTTTTTTTTTTTTTGAGACAGAGTCTCGCTCTGTCACCCTGGCTGGAGTGCAGTGGCACAATCTCAGCTCACTGCAAGCTCCGCCTCCTGGGTTCACCCCATTCTTCTGCCTCAGCCTCCCGAGTAGCTGGGACTACAGGTGCCCGCCACCACGCCCAGCTAATTTTTTGAATTTTTAGTAGAGACGGGGTTTCACCGTGTTAGCCAGGATGGTCTCGATCTCTTGACCTCGTGATCTGCCTGCCTCAGCCTCCCAAAGTGCTGGGATTACAGGCATAAGCCACCGTGCCTGGCCTATTTTTCTACTCTTAATTCTATTGCATTGGTACGTACAACTATCCTTATGCCAGTACCACACTTTTTCTGATTGTGTAGATTTGTAGTAAGTTTTGAAATCAGAAAGTATGATTCATTCAAACTGTTCTTCATTTTCAAGATTGTTTTGGCTCCTTGAGATCCCTTGCAATTATATATGAAATAGAAGATTAACTTTTCCATTTCTGCAAAAGACATTTAGAATTTTATTAGGGACTGTGTTGAATGTGTAGATCACTTTGGGTAGTATTGACACCTTAATGATATCATGCATTCCTATCCATAAACATGCGAGGTCTTTCTACTTATTTAGATATTCTTTGTTTCAGCAATGTTTTGCAGTTTTCAGTGTCCAAATAAGTCTTTTACCTCTTTGGTTAAATTTATTCCTAGGGTTTCACTATTGTAGATGCTATTGTAAATGAAATTTATCCTTTAATTTACTTTTTGAATTGTTCATCCCTGCTATATAGAAATACAACTAATTTTTCCATGTCAATCTTGTCTTCTGCAACATTGGTGAATTTTTAAGTTAGTTCTAGTAGCTTTCTTGTGGATGCTTTGGGGTTTTCTATATGTAAGACCATGTCATCTGATAATAGAGATAGTTTTACTTCTTTTTTTCATATATATGAAAACTATCTTTTACTTTTAACTAAAAGTGTCTTTTAACTAACTTTCGACTAACTTTATCTATATATCTATATATAGATATAATGATATATCTCTATATATTTATATGTAATTATATGTATGATATGTTTATATATTATATGTCTATATAGATACAGATCTATCTATCTATATATTGAGAGACAGAAAGACAGGGTCTCACTCTGTCACTCAGGCTGGAGGGCGGTGGCATGAACACAGCACTGTAGCCTTGACCTCCTGGGGTTCAAGAGATCCTCCTACCTCAGCCTCCTTAGTAGCTGGGTCCACAGGCATGCACCACAATGCCTGGCTAATTTTTCTTTTCTTTTTAGAGACAGGGTTTCACCATGTTGTCCAGTCTGGTCTTGAACTCCTGAGCTCAAGCAACTCTCCCACCTGGCCTCCCAAAGTGTTCAGGTTACAGGTGTGAGTCACCACACCCAACCTTACTTCCTTATTTCTATTTGGGTGCCTTTTATTAATTATTGTCTCTAATTGCTCTGGCTAGAACTTCCGGTACAATGTTGAATAGCGGTGGCAAAAACAGGCATTCTTGTCTTGTTTTTGATGTGATGAAGAACACTTTTAATATTTCACCATTGAATATGATGTTGACGCAGGACAGGTAGTCAAGAAAATGACCATGTTCTGGGGATGGAGTGACCATGGTGATTGTCTAATCAACACCATAAACCTCAGCATTTGCATTATAATTGAGCTAATTCAAGCAAAGCTATTTTCAGTAAGGACTTTCCCCTCTAGAGACCATATGCACTTTGATTTTACCTGTCCTCAAACTAACTGCTCATTATAATAGTAAAAAAATCACATCCCTGGGTGGAAATTTAAGATGCTAATGAGACATGTGATGTACGAACGAGCATGTAGTTACTGTGCATGTGTACCCAGAGGACCACCTAGAACACTCTTACTAGCAACACCTCTTTCCACCTCCTTATGAATATTCATGCTGTGTCCAGAATTGGTGGGTTCTTGGTCTCACTGACTTCAAGAATGAAGCCGCGGACCCTCGCGGTGAGTGTTACAGGTCTTAAAGGTGGCGTGTCCAGAGTTTGTTCCTTCTGACGTTAGGATGTGTTCGGAGTTTCTTCCTTCTGGTGGGCTCGTGGTCTGGCTGCATCAGGAGTGAAGCTGCAGACCTTTGCGGCGAGTGTTACAGCTCTTAAGGTGGCGCGTCTGGAGTTCTTCCTTACTCCTGGTGAGTTCATGGTCTCGCTGGCTTCAGGAGTGAAGTGCAGCTCTTCGCAGTGAGTGTTACAGCTCATAAAGGCAGTGTGGACCCAAAGAGTGAGCAGCAGCCAGATTTATTGCAAAGAGTGAAAGAACAAAGCTTCCACACTATGTAAGGGGGACCCCAGCGGGTTACCACTGCCGGCTCGGGCAGCCTGCTTTTATTCTCTTATCTGGCCCCACCCACATCCTGCTGATTAGTTCATTTTACAGAGAGCTGATTGGTCTGTTTTACAGAAAGCTGATTGGTCCGTTTTGACAGGGTGCTGATTGGTGCGTTTACAATCCCTGAGCTAGACACAAACGTTCTCCACCTCCCCGCTAGATTAGCTAGATACAGAGTGTCCATTGGTGTATTTGCAAACCTTGAGCTAGATACAGAGTGCTGATTGGTGCATTCACAATCTCTTAGCTAGACATAAGGGTTCTCCAAGTCCCCACCAGATCAGCTAGACACAGAGTGCTGATTGGTGCATTTACAAACCTTGAGCTAGATACAGAGTGCCGATTGGTGTGTTCACAGTCCCTTAGCTAGACATAAAGATTCTCCACGTCCCCACTAGATTAGCTAGATACAGATTTTCCACGTCCCCACCAGATTAGCTAGTTCTTGGCAACAGACAGCCGGCCTGCAAAGAGCCACTCTGGCTAAGGATGAGATATAGTAAGTTGTTTGATGAACACCCTTAGCTACAGATTGGATGGAGGATGGGTGAGATTCAGAGCTGTTTGCCAGGCTAAAAGTGCCAAATTGGAGGATGTATCTGAGTGGGGGAGTTGGAAGTGCAAGTACTCCTCTCTACCCTGGTTACAGACCATATCCCAATTTTTACCAGCTGGCATTCAGTAGCATATTATAGTAACTTAAGCAAGTACCATATGCATAAAATAATCACTCCACTAAACAGTGAGAATTCAGAAGTCGCAGGATGAGCTGTAGTCTGAACAAGCAAAGGAAAGAGGCTGTTAACCAGATTTCAGAAGATGGTCCTGACATGATTTGGCTGTATCCCCACCCAAATCTCACCTTGAATTGTAATAATTCCCACATGTCAAGAATGGGGCCAGGTGGAGATAATAGAATTATGGGGGTGGTTTTCCCATAGTATTCTCCTGGAAGTGAATATGTCTCATGAGATCTGATGGTTTTATAAATGGGAGTTCCCCTGCACAAGCTCTCTTGCCTGTCACCATGTAAGAGGTACCTTTGCTACCCCTTTGGTCTCCACTATGATTCTGAGGCCTCCCCAGCCACGTAGAACTGTGAGTCCATTGAATCTCTTTCTTTTATAAATTACACAGCCTTGGGTATGTCTTTATTAGCAGCATGAGAATTCAGGACTGGAGTTTGAGACCAGCCTGGCCAACATGGTGAAACCCTGTCTCTACTAAAAATACAAAAAATTAGCTGGGTGTGGTGGCAGGCATCTGTAATCCCAGCTACTCGGGAGGCTGAGGCAGGAGAATTGCTTGAATCTGGGAGGTGGAGTGCCGATTGGTGCATCCACAAACCCTGAGCTAGACACAGGGTGCTGACTGGTGTATTTACAATCCCCTAGCTAGACATAAAGATGCTGCAAGTCCCCACCAGACTCAGGAGCCCAGCTGGCTTCACCCAGTGGATCCTGCACTGGGGTCACAGGTGGAGCTGCCTGCCAGTCCCGCACCATGCGCCTGCACTCCTCAGTCCTTGGGTGGTAGATGGGACTGGGCGCCGTGGAGCAGGGTGGGGGGGGGCACTCGTCGGGGAGGCTCAGGCTGCGCAGGAGCCCACCGCGCAGGGGGTAGTGGGGGCGCTCAGGCATGGTGGGCTGCAGGTCCCAAGCCCTGCCCCGCAGGGAGGCAGCTAAGGCCTGGGAGAAATCGAGCACAGCAGCTGCTGGCCCAGGTGCTAAGCCCCTCACTGCCCTGGGCTTGTGGGCCGGAGGGCCACTCCGAGCGCAGGGCCAGCCAAGCCCATGCCCACCCGGAACTCGCGCTGGCCCGCAAATGCTGTGCGCAGCCCCGGTTCCCGCCCACGCCTCTCCCTCCACACCTCCCCGCAAACTGAGGGAGCCGGCTCCAGCCTTGGCCAGCCCAGAAAGGGGCTCCCACAGTGCAGCGGCAGGCTGAAGGGCTCCTCAAGCATGGCCGGAGTGGGCGCGGAGGTCGAGGAGGCGCCAAGAGCCAGCGAGGGCTGCGAGGGCTGCCAGCACGCTGTCACCTCTCAATGTAAGACTCCCATAAAGGAAGCCTCCCTAGTGCCCGTCTTTGTTGTCTCATCCTTAGGAGCAGCCTGCCCTTGAATTCTTTCTTACTCAGGGTGTATTGTCCATTCTGCATCTAACTTTCAAAATATTCTTTTCTTTTGCAATAAATTACTCTATGCTGCACCTCCTTTGCTGTGTGTTTCTTGTTTAAATTATTTTAAATCAAGAAAACAAGAACTGAGGTATCACCACAGCCATCAACAATGTTAGCTATGAGTTTTTCATAAATGCCCTTTATCATGTTGAGGACATTTCCTTTTATTTCTGGTTTTCTGAGGGTTTTTTTTTTTTCATGATAGGTCATTGGATTTTGTCAAATGCCTTTTCTGTGTCACTTGAGATGATCATGTGATTTTCTCCTTTGTTCTATTATTTTATTAATTTTAATTTCATTAACTTATTTTTAATTAATAAGTAAAAAATATATATTCATAGCACACAACATGATGTTTTGACATCTGTATACACTGTGGAATGGCTAAGTCAAGCTATTTAACATATGCTTTCTCTCCCATACTTATCTTTTTTGTGATGAGAGCACTTAAAATCTCATTTAAATTTTTAAGGATAAAATATATTGTTATTAACTCTAGTTACCATGATGTGCAATAGATCTTTTGAATTTATTCCTCCTATTTAGCCTTCATTATATTAATGTGATGTATTACATTGATTGATTTTCTTATGCCAGACTAATATGCATTCCTAAGGTAAGGGTCACTTGGTCATGGTGTATACTCTTTTTACCATGCTGTTAGATTCAGTTTGCTATTAATTTGTTCAAGATTTCCACATCTATATTCATAAAGTCTGTAAATTGATTTTCTTGTGATGTCTTTACCTGGCATTGATTTCAGGTAATTGGACTTATAGAAAGAGTTTGGGAGTTTTCTCTCCTTTTCCCATTTTTGGAAGTGTTTTAGAAAGATTGGTATTAAGCCTTCTTTAAATGTTTGTTAGGATTCACTAGTGAAGTCATCTGGTTGTGAACTTTTCTTTGTTGGAAGATCTTTAATTACTAACTCAATCTCCTTGATAAAGATCTGTTCAGATATTCCATTTCTTCTTGAATCAATTTTGGTAATTTCTGTGTTTCTAGGAATTTGTCCATTTCATCTTGGTTGTCTATTTTTTTGGTGCAAAATTTTTCATAGTATTTTCATATAATTCTTTTTATTTCTGTAGAGTCAATAATAATGTCCCCACTTTTATTTTTTATTTTAGTTATATGCATTGACTCTTTTTTTCTTTGTCAGTCTAACTAAAGGTTTGTCAATTTTGTTGAACTTTTCAAAGAACTGATGTATTAGTCTGTGCTGCCATAACAAAATATTTCAGACTGGGTGGCTTAAACAACAGATATTTGTTTTCTCACAGTTCTGGAGGCTAGAAGTTCATGAATTTGTAGGTACTTACAAATTAAGTTTCTGCTGGGCTTTCTTTGTGGCTGTATACAGCTGTCTTCTTGCTGTGTGTCTTTAGATGAACTTTCTCCTGAGTACTAGGAACGAGAGAGATAGAGCATGAGAGAGAGAGAGAGAGAGAGAAAGAGAGAGAGAGAGAGAGAAAGAGAGAGAGGGAGAAAGAATCTTAACGTTTCTTCCTCTTGTAAGGACACCACTCCTATCAGATTAGGACCCTACCTTTATGACCTCATTTAACCTTAATTACCTTCCTAAAGGCCTTATCTTCAAACACAGCCACATTGGAGGTTAGAGCTTCGGCATATATATATATATATATATATATATATATATATATATTATATATAATGATACAATATGATATATAATATGATATATATCATATATAATTATATATTATATATCATGTATAATTATATATTATATATCATATATAATTATATATTATATATCATATATAATTATATATTATATATCATATATAAAAATATTTATATATAAATACATGTATATAAATATATATAAATACATATATATAAATTTTGGAGGACACACTTCCATTCATAGCAACCAACTTTTTGCTTCTCTTGTTTTTCTATTCTCTAGTTCAATTATCTCCACTAGAATCTTTCCTTCTTTCTGCTAGCTTTGGATTTGGTTTGTGCTTTTTTTCCTAGGTCCTTAATGTGTAAAGTTAGGGTATTGATTAAAGAGCTGTCTTATTTTTTAATATAAGCATTTACAGTGACATATTTCCTTTATAGCACTGTGTTCATTGTATCCCCTAAGTATTGGTATGTTGCATTTTCTCTTTTGTTAAACTCTAAGTGTTTTCTAATTTCTCTTATTATTTCTCCTTGACACATTGATTATCTAAGACTGTGTTATTTAATTTTCACATATTTGTAAATTTTCCTGATTTCCTTGTTATTGATTTTTAGCTTCATTCCATTGTAGTCAGAGAAGATTCTTTATACATTTTTCTTTTTAAATCTATTGAGAGTTATTTGTGTCCTAACATATGATCTATTCCAGAAAATGTTCCATGTGTACTTGAGAAAAATGTGTACTCTGCTGTTGTTGAGTTTATAAATGTTTCTTAGGTCTAGTTGGTTTATAATGTCTTTTCATTTTCTATTTTGATTGATCTTCTGTTTATATGTTGTCTGAATTACTGAAAATAGGGTGTTGGAACACCCAACTATTAATATTGAATTGTCTGTTTCTCCAGTCAAATGTGACAATGCTTTTGTCATATATTTTTGGGCTCTGTTGTTTTGTGTGCATACGTTTCTAGGTGTTACATCTTTTTGATTATTTGACCTCTTTATCAGTATATAATGCCCTTCTCTGTCTCTTTTAACAATTTTCTACTTAAATGATATTAGTATAGGCACTGCCACTATCTTTTGGTTCCAGTATGTTCATGGAATCTATTTTCCATTCTTTTATTTTCAACCTATTTGTGTCTTTGAATTTAAAGTGAGTTTCTTGTAGACAGCATATAGTTAGATTTTTGTTTTGCTTTGTTAAAGATAGGGTCTTGCTATGTTGCTCAGGGTGGTTTCGAACTCCTAGCCTTAAGCAATCCTCCCATCTCAGCCTCCCAAAGTGCTGAGATTACAGGCATGAATCACTGTGCCTGGCTTATTTTGTTTTTGTTTTAATCCATTTGGCCAATCTCTGCCTTTTGATTGGGGAGTTTATTTTATTTACGTTTAAAATAATTACTGTCAAGGAAAGACTAATTTCTGCCATTGTGGTATGGCAGAAATTTCTCTATGTCTTAGCACTTTCTCTATGTCTTAGCTTTTTTTTTCCCCTCATGTCCTCCATTACTGCCTTCTTTTCTTCTTAATCTTTTTGTAGTGAAACATTTTGATTCCCTTCTTACTTTGTCTATATTCTTTAAGTTTTTTCTTTGTGGTTACCATGGGAATAACATTTGAAATCCTAAATTTATAACAGTCTAATTTGAATTTTTATCAATTTAATGTCAATAGCATCCAAAAACTCTGTCCCTATACAGTTCTGCCCTCCTCTTTATGTTATTTTTGTCACAAATTCTATGTTATGTGCCAAATAATATAGATTTATAATTATTTCTATGCATTTACATTTTAAAACATGCAGTAAATCAAAAGTGGAATTAGAAGCAAAAATTAAATACACTAGATTTTATATCTGCCCATGTATCTCACATTAATAAAGATATTTATTTCTTTAAACGTTTTCAAATTACTGTCTAGTGTGCTTTCATTTCCATCTGAAGGACTCCTTTTTGTACTTTTGCAGGGCAGTTCTAGCAGCAATGCACTCCCTCAGCTTTTGTTTATCTGGAATGTCTCTCTCTCTCTCTCTCTCTCTCTCTCTCTCTCTCTCTCTCTCTATATATATATATATATATATATATATATATATATATATCTTGCCACCACACCCATCCCCTTTCTCTCATTTTTGAAGGACAGTGTTGCTGTTTATAAAATTCTTGGCTGACAGTTTTTTTATGCTTTTAGCACCTTAAATATGTCAGCTCATCACCTCTTGGTGATCAAGGTTTCTGATGAGAAATCAGCTGTTAATCTTATCAAAGAATTCCTTGTACATGATGAATCACTTCTCTCTTGCTGCTTTCAAGATTCTCTTTTGTCTTTCAACAATTTGTGTCTTGGTATAGTTTTTCTTGTTTAGTTTATCCTACTTAAAATTTTTTTTGAGGTTCTTGGATTTGTAGATTCATGTCTTTCATCAAACTTGTGAAATTTTTGGATGTTATTTCTTCAAATAAATTTTCTACCTCTTTTTCTCCTCTCCTTTTTGGACTCCCATTATGCATATGTTGGTCCACTTGGTGGCACCTTACAGGTCAAAATTAGTACTGAGGAGTGGGGCATTGCTATAAAGATACCTGAAATTGTGGAAGCAACTGTGGAACTGGGTAACAGGCAGAGTTTGGAAGAGTTTGGAGGGCTCAGAAGATAGGAAGGTGAGGGAAAGTTTGAAACTTCTTTGAGACTGGTTAAATGGTTGTGACGAAAATGCTGATAGTGATATGGAAAATGAAATCCAGGCTGATGAGGTCTCAGATGAAAATGAGGAACTATTAGAAACTGGAGCAAAGATCACATGTGTTATGCCTTAGCAAAAAGCTTGGCTGCATTCCGTTTATGCCCTGTGGGGCTGTGGAAGTTTGAACTTTATAGTGATGATATAGGGTACCTGGTAGAAGAAATTCCCAAGCAGCAAAGCATTCAAGATGTGGCCTGGCTACTTCTAACAACCTGTGCTCAGATATGGGAGCAAAGGAATGACTTAAATTTGGAACTTATATTTAAAAGGGAAGCAGAACATAAAAGTTTGGAAAACTTGCAGCCTGGTCATGTGGAAGAAAAAGAAAAAGCTTTTTAAGGAGAGAAATTCAAGCAGGCTATGGAGCAACCATTTATTAGCAATATTCGCATAACTAAGGAGCCAAGTACTGATAGGCAAGACAATGGAAAAAAGGCCTTGAAGGCATTTCAGAGACCTACATGGCAGCACCTCCCATCACAGGCCCAGAGGCCGAGGAGGAAAGAATAGTTTCATGGGCCAGACCCAAGGTCTCACTGCCCTGTGCAGCCTCAAGGAACTGCTCCTCACATCCCAGCTGCTCCAGCTCCAGCCTCAGCTCAAAGGGCCCCAGGTAAAGCTTGAACCACTGCTTCAGAGGGTGCAAGCCATAAGCTTTGGTGGCTCCCATGTGGTGTTAAGCCTGCAAGTGCATAGAGTGCAACAGTTGAGGCTTGGGAACCTCTGCCTAGATTTCAGAGCATGTAGGAAAAGCCCAGATGTCCAGGCAGAAGCCTGCTGTGGGGTGGAGCCCTCACAGAGAATGTCTACTAGGGCAGTGCCAAGGGGAAATGTGGTGTTGGAGCCCACACACAGAGTTTCCAATGGGGCACTGCCTAGTGGAGCTGTGAGAAGGGGGCCACTGTTCTCCAAACCCAAGAATGGTAGATCTACCAGCAGTTTGCACCCTGCACCTGAAAAAGCCACAGACACTCAACACCAGCCTATGAGAGCAGCCCTGGGGGCTAAACCCTGCAAGAAAGTGAAAAGTAGAACTAAAATGAAAAATTCATTAGAGGGATTCAATAGCATATTTGAGCAGGCAAAAGAAAGAATCCATGAACTTGAAGATAGGACAACTGAATAATTAACAATTCAACCTCAACAATTGAAATTGTTGACACTGAGGAGCAGAGAGAAAAAATAATAAAGTGAATATAGCCTGATAGATTTTGTATTAGTTTGTTCTTACATTGCTGTAAAGAAATACCTGAGACTGGGTAATTTATAAGCAGATAATTTTAATTGGTTCATGGTTCTGCAGGCTGGAGAGGTCTCAGAAAGCTTCCAATCATGACAGAAGGCAAAGGAGGAGTAAGCACATCACATAGTGAGAACAAGAGCGCGTGCGCGTGTGTGTGTGTGAGAGAGGGAGAGGAGCAGGGGTGGTGGAGGTGCCACACACTTTTAAATTATGAGATCTCATGTGAACTTAGAGCTCACTTATCACCAAGGGGATGGCCCAAGCCAATCATGTGGTATCTGCCCCCATGATCCAGACACCTCCCACTAGACCTCATCTACAACACTGGGGATTATAATTCAGCATAAGATTTGCGCAGGGACAAATATACAAACTATATCATTCTACCCTGGCCCCTCCTAAATCTCATATTCTTTTCACATTTCAAAATATAATCTTGCCTTCCTAATAGTCTCCCAAAGTCTTAACTAATTCTAGCATTAACTCAAAGGTCCAAAGTGCAAAGGCTCATCTGAGATAAGGCAGCTCCCTTCCATCTATGAGCCTGTAAAATAAAAAACTAGTTAGCTACTTCCAATATACAATGGGGGTATAGGGATTGGGTAAACATTCCTATTTCAGAAGGGAGAAATCAGCCAAAAGAAAGGGGCTACAGGCCCCATGCAAGTTTGAAACCCAGCCAGGCAGCCATTAAATCTTAAAGCTCCAAAATAATCTCCTTTGACTCTATGTCTTATATCCAGGGCACACTGGTGCAAGTGGTGGACTCCCAACGGTCTTATAAATTACCCAGTTTCAGGTATTTCTTTACAGCAATGCAAGAATGAACTAATACAAAGTCCATCAGGCTATATTCACTTTATTATGCCTGTGGTCTGCAGAATAACGCCCCCCTAAGATGCCCACCCCAACTCCTGGATCCTGTGAATACACTGCCTTACATGCCAAGATGGATTTTGCAGTTGTGCTGGGGGATACAGACCAGAAATAGGGAAATTATGCTAGATTGTCCAGTAGGGCCCAATCTAATCACTTGAGTTCCTAAAAGCAAAGTACTCTGCCAGTTGGTGTCAGGGATATCTCAGACGAGGAAATCGGAGAGATTTGAAATCTGAGAGGAACTTGACCCTCTGCTACAGGGGGAGCCATGTGGAACCCTTGGAAGGGATGTGGCACTTTCTTCTAGGAGCAAAGACCCCTCAGCCCTGGCTGAGAGCCAACAAGAAAGGGGACTTCAGTTCTGCAACCACAGGAAGCACTATTGAACCAACAACCTGAATGAGTTTAGCAGCAGATTCATCCTGAGCACTTCCAGAAAGGAGCACAGCCTGACTGGCACCTGGGTTACAGCCTTGTGAGACCCTAAGCAGGGGACCCTGGTGAGCCTGGAGATACAGAACTTCTGGTTGTTTGGCCCACAGCACTGTAAGAGCATGAATGTGTTGCTCAAAGCTTGTAGCTCAAAGCTTGCTCAGTTGGTAGTGATTTGTTATAGCAGGGACAGGAAACCCAAGCACCAGGTCACAGGGTCCCTTCTGCCCTTGGTAGCCCGGTGGCAGCTCTGAATTCAGGTTTCTCTGTGGTTCTGCTACTCTCAGCTCTTTTCACAGCCCATGGCCCAGCTGCAGGGCACCAGGAGCTCTTTAAACATGGCTGTGAGGCCACGGGTATTGCCTGTGATTTCCTGACCTGAGCTTATTTCCATTCTACTTCTCATCCACCCACAGCAAATTGCAGCCCTTCTCATTACAATCTACCCCCATCTCTTAAATGCTAGATGCATTGCCCGGCCCGTGCACACCCCTGCCCCCCAACTTGGAGGAAGGGGGATTGTAGCAAGTGCATTTCTGCAGCAGCCAGTGGTTTCTGCCACTCCACTCAGCACCAACAGTGGGGTCCCTATGGCCCTGTACCCAGTTGGGGCCCCAACTCCAGAGCCTCACCAAAAATGTGCTTGCTAGGACAATTTTTTTCTTTCTTTCTTTCTTTCTTTCTTTCTTTCTTTCTCTTTTTAAGAGACAGAGCCTTGCTCTGGGCAACCTTGCTCTGTCACCCAGCCTGGAGTGCAGTGGCACAGTCACGGCTCACTGCAGCCTCAACCTCCTGTGTTCAAGTGATCCTCTTGCCTTAGCCTCCCTAGTAGCTGGGGCTACAGGCATGCGGTACCACACCCGGCTAATTTGTGTTTTGTGTGTGTGTGTGTGTGTGTGTGTGTTTTATATATAGAGACAGTGTCTTGTTATGTTACCCAGGCTGGTCTTGAATTCTGGCCTCAAGCGATCCTCCTACCTTGGCCTCCCAAAGTGCTGGGGTTACAGTTATAAGCCATTATGCCCAGACTTGATAGGACAATTTTCAGTAACCAATCCCAGAAGCAGAGCCTGAGTTGAGGGCTGGTGTGAAGGTGACTGATGAGGAAAGAGCAGAAAAGGCAGAGGAGCCAAGAAAGGGTGTGAGGCCAGGCAAAGTCCATGAGCCCCTCCTGCTGGGCGCTTTTCAAGCCCATTCCAATGTGGAGCGAGGACTGCCACATTCCCTGTCTGATGGTCATCGGCCAAGGACTGGTAATACCTGAGGTCTGAATTCTGAGGTGCTCCCCATCCTTCAGGTGTAGACGCAAAGTGGGTTCCAGCAGCTTCAGGGCACCTCTCTCCCTGCAAAGGAGCCTCAGGGGCTGATAGGGGAGTGGATTTCACCTTGAGACTGTGGGAACAGAGGGTGCAGAAGGCCAGGGCTGGGTGGGACCTGACAGGTCCACTACATCCCAGACTGTGGGAGGTCAGGTGTCTTTGTGTGTTTGCTTAATAAATAGAGAACATTGGGGCAATCTCCCATTTGGTAGCTTACTCATAAGAGTGCAGCTGCCCTGTCAGCTCCTGATACTCGGCTGGGTACTGGGCACGGACAGGACCCACCAGATAAGGTCTCTGTCTCAGAGAACCTGGCGGGAGGAAGGGAGTAGCACTGTGTGTCCAAGTTGGAACAGGTACTCCATGCATCACAGGGGTACCAGTTCATCCCGGGGTGAGCCGGGGGAGAGGGAGCCAGGGAGAACTTCCTGGAGGAGCAGATGTCTAAGGAGAGACAGATTTACGGTAAAAATAGCAAAGGACTTGTCCTGCCAGAGGAAAGTGTAGAATCCTCTAGTTCCAGGGGCCAGGGAAGGCCTGAGGGTTTGGCTGGGTGGGAAGCCCCATCCTGTTACCTGCCAGCTGTGTCACAGCTACTCTCTGGATCTCAGTGTCCCCACCTGTGAGAGGAGAGGGTGGCCAAGTAGGCATCCAAGCCCCAACAGAGCAGGGGGTCAGAGGCACCTGGACTCAGTAATGGGGTGGCTGTGTGAGTGGTCATAGGGTGGCTGTGTGAGGGGTCATGGGATGGCTGTGTGAGTGGCTGTGGGCAGGTGTCCTAGTCCCACAGGCTCAGCTCCCAGCCCACGGAACCCAGGGCTGCAGTGCGGCTGGGGCAGCCAGTCAGGCTTTGGAAAGTGTGAAAGCTCAGTATTGTGTGTATGTGTGTGGTGCACGTGTGTGCATGTGGTGTGTGAAGCTTGTGTGGTGCATGCGTTGTGTGTGCGTGTGATACATGTGAAATTTCTGTCCTCCCATCCCCTAAGGTGAACCCCACCAGCCACAGATCCTTGCTCAGGAGCCAACATGGCCATAAGACCCTCACCCTGTCCCCAAGGCTGTGTCTTCCCTCCAGCCTTGGCCTCCTGGTCAGGGAGCAAGCAGGTGGTAGTACGAGATATCTGAGGCTCGGCTGCTGCTCTGCTCTGGGGTTCTGGGATGGTGGGAGGTGGGATGCAGGGTCAGGACTAGCCGAGAACTCTAGTCTGGCAGCCCACAGCTGACATTTCACCCCCTGCCCAGGCCATGCCACCTGGGGGCGGGCTCCCCAGCAGCTGGCTCTCAGGCTTCTCTCAGGCCAGAGACGGGGGTGGGGACCTGCTGGGCAGGAAATGACCTTGTCCTCTCACTGGCTCTCCAGGGACCTCTGCCCACAGCGCGAGAGTGAACAGAAGGCCCTAGGCAAGGCTTGGATTTTGGGGGCTCTCTCTGCACATCCATGTCCACTCCACCTGCGCCCATGAGTTCTCACTGGTTGCTCATGGGCATGAACTCCCCAGAGCCCTGGGTTCCTGATGAAAATGTGTGGAGTGGCCTCTGGCCAGGAGTGGTGCCTGTTGCATAGATCAGAAAACCCCTGGCCCAGTGAGAAGCTCCTGGAAGTCCCAGGAGACTGTGGCCATCGTGACATCCTTGTACTCCACTCTGACAGTATTTCACAGGGTCTGTGCCTTTTGTGTGTAAAATGGCAGCTGTTATTTTCATCTGGGCCTGTTACCCAGTGCCCTCAGTTGGCGGGGAGTCACCCCTACCGGCTGGCCAGGCAGCCCTCTAATTTAAATTTCGGACTTGTTCCCTTGTTTCCAAATCCCTCCCCAGGAGGCCCCCATTCCTATGCGTTTGGTGTTTCCTTTTGTCTGGAATTTGTTTCTTGAACACATGTTGTTTTGTGCCTGTGAGTTTTTCATGTCGGTATTTTGCTTTTTCTGTTCAGCCCTGTGTCTGCAAAGTTCATCATTGCCCGTTACTGCCATCTGGCCCTCTGAACAGTGCATCAGTTGAATGTCACCGTCCACTGTGCTGGTCACTCAGCTCCTGCTGATCCCTGCAGGGCTGGACTCACAACTTTCTCCTTGTCCCCTCTGTGCGAAGTGAGTGCATTCTTTAACATAACAAGGCCATTGGTGCTCTGCCCAGAACAAAGGCCTGCACACAGCATCTGATGTGATTTGTTTTGAGCAATCGGCAACCAGGCTTCCAGTGAAAAGTTTGAGAGCAAATTTGGGTCTGAAAATGAAAACTCATAGGGCCAGTGTGACCAAGTGAGTGATACACACATACATATGCACACACACAAATACATGCCTTGTATGGACACATAATACACACAAGTGCACACACACCATATATGCGTGTACACACATGTACACGCACATACATACATGTGCACACAGAAAACAGATACAATAATATACTCATAAAAACATACAGATAGACATACCCACACACACACACATGTGTAAATGTGCACATATACACATACCCACATAAATACACATTCACATTCACACATGTAAAACCTAAATATATAATATACATATACATGCACAAATGCATACAAACTTTTGCATAGCCATACATTTATACATGCATACATATTACAGACATGCATGCACACACATGCATACATAGGACAAACATGTACACACACACATATACACATATGTATGCACACACATATACATACATACTGCTCTTGCCATCTTCATCATCTTTTTTTCCATCCCCTCCCTTTGTGTCTCACCAGTGCTGGGCTATCAGCTCATCTCCCTGAGGCTCCCTTGTAAGCCTGGGGCAAATTTATTACCACCTTACAGATGAGAAAACTGAGGCCCCATATGAACAAATGCTCAGGGTCACACAGCCATAAAGGTTGGTGTCAGGGTTTGGTGTGGTACATGATCATCCAGTGCTCAAACCCCCATGGCTCCATTCAGAACTGAGGGACAGTGAGTTCTGCAGACGTTCCATACACAGATGCCCTTAGGGGCATCCTTGAGCTCCACTGTGTGTCAGGCTCTGGGGACAGATGGCTCCTCCCTCAGAAGGGTTGGAGTCTGAGGGACATGGGCTCTGGGAACAGAGACTGCACAGGACAGACATGGGCAGCAGGCACTGATGACAGATTTGTTGCAGATGTGAGTGGTGGTCTCAGGCTTGTTTGAGTGGTTGGGGAGACATACATCAAAACACAATGTGCACCTGTAATCCCAGCACTCTAGGAGGCCGAGGCGGGTGGATCACCTGAGGTCAGGAGTTCACGACCAGCCCGGCCAACATGGTGAAACCCTGTCTTTAGTAAAAATACAAAAATTAGCTGGGCATGGTGGCACACGCCTGTAATCCCAGCTACTCAGGAGGCTGAGGCAGGAGAATCACTTCAACCGGGGAGGTGGAGGCTGCGGTGAGCTGCGATCGTGTCACTGCACTCCAGCCTCGGCGACAGAGAGAGACTCCATCTCAAAACAAAAAACAAAAGCAAACAAACAAAAACCACAATGTGCAATATCATTAATCATCAGGGAAATGCAAATCAAAATCACCATGAGGTATCATCTCACTCCAGTTAGAATGGCCATTACCAAAAAGACAAAAGGCAACAAGTGCTGGTGAGGACGTGGAGAAAAGGGAACTCTTATACACTGTTGGTGGGAATGTAAACTAGTACAGCCATTATGGAAAACAGCCTGAGTTCCTCAAAAAAATTAAAAATAGAACTACCATATGATCCAGCAATAAAACCAGTATGTTGAAGAGATCTCTGCACTCCCACATTTATTGCAGCATTATTCACAACAACAACCAAGATATGGAGTCAATCTAAGAGTCATCAGTGGTTGAATGGATACAGAAAATGTGGTACATACATGCAATGGAATACTATTCAGCCATAAAAAGAAGGACGTCCTGTCATCTTGGCAACGTGGATGAACCTGGAGGACATTATGTTAACCGAAATACTCCAGACACAGAAAGACAGATACCACATAATCTTGCCCATATGTGGAATCTAAAAAGGAAAAAAAAGTTGATAATCATAGAAGCAGAGAGTAGAACAGTGGTTACCAGAGACTGGGGAGGGAAGAGAGTGGGGAGGATGGGGAGAGGTTAGTCAACAGGTACAAAGTTACATTTAGAGAGAAGAAATGAGTTCTGGTGTTCTATTGCATAATAGGGTGCCTATGGTAAAGAGTATTGCATTTTCCAAAATAGCTAGAAGGGGGTCTTTTGAATGTTCTCACCACAAAGAAATGATAAATGCATAAGGTGATGGATACATTAACTACCCTAATTGGATCATTATACAACATAGATATACATCAAAACATCAAAATGCACCCTATAAATACGTACAATTACAATGTGTCAATTAAAAAATAAAGTTTGTCATTTAAACAAAAAAGAGCATGTAGTTCGAATTATTAAAATTCAATCTGATGACATTTGTCTTTTATGGAAGCATTTGGCCCATGTACATAGAATGTAATTACTGGTATAGCTGGGCTTTAATTTTCCATCTTATTTTCTGCTTTTTATTTGTGGTCCGTTCCATATTTCTTTTCTGTTATTCCTTTGAATTGATTATTTTTAGCATTTCATTTTTTCCACCACTAGTTTGAAAATTATATACCATTTTTCTTTTGAGATTACTCTAGAAATTACAATATGTATTATTTCCCAAAGTCTAACATTAATAACTATTTTTATTCCTTGTAAATAATGTTAAGATCTTACAACACTTTAATTATCTTAACCTGATAGTTAACCTTAATGAATAACGTTATTCATGTGCCCTTTTTATTTAAAAAACTATTTTATAATTGTGAAATATATCAAACGTGGGTAAGCATATGTAATGCATGAGGATGTTTTAAAGAAGAAAAATTAAAGGAAAACTCAAACATCCCTAAGCCCAAAAAATAAAGCTTTTAAAACCTGACAAACCCGCCCTCACCATGATGTGGGGGATATAGATTCAGGATTGGGGGTTTAGGAGGTCGGAGGGCGCAGAGGAGATGCTTCCTGGAAGTGACCTTAGAAGGCAGGAGTGAGGCTGCAGGACCTGCCCCCAACTCCCCCTCCCTAGCCCCCACTGGGCAAGGGGGTTGAAGGCTCAAGGGAGCTGCCAGAGAGGAGCACGGAGGTTCTGCTGACACTCCACCGTAGGGCTGGTTCTGGGCTGGGGCCGTCAGGAAATCTCTTTCAGGCTCACTAAAATGGGTGCTGAAGGAAACTGGTCTTTTACGTTACACTGCTGCAATGTTCAATGTTCTTGTTATTTGAGTAGCACGAGGGCCTGCAGAGGCCTCTGGCTCCATTCCTGGAGCAGCCCCAGAGCCTGCTGCTCACAGGTGAGGCCAGGGCCCCATGAGGGTCCCGCTGTCTGAATCGCAGAGCCCAGCAAGTGGAGAGTGCCTCCCTGGAGGGCCTGGGCACCTGGGGGACAGGAGCGTCCCTTGGAAGGGCCTGGGGCCCCCATGCCTGCACCATGTCCCTGCACCCTGCAGCTCCCCTGCCTGCAGCCCCTCCTGTGCCCACCCCAGTGTCAGGTTCTCAGCTCAGGGACACTGTCCCACCAGGGCAGGGCAGGCAACACACAGCTCTAGGAGCCCAGTCAAGTGGGGGTGGAGAGTGACCCAAGAAAATAAGTAAATTCTGTGTGTGTTGGGGGGCACAGTGAAGCAAAATTGCAGGGCCTTGGGCCCACAAGAGGCCCCTCTGAAAAGGTAACATTCGGTGGTGACGGAGGGGTCAGAGGTATGGTCTCTGGGACGTTGTGGGGCCGGCTTCTCTCTGAGATGGCCATGGAGGGTCTAATCTGAGGAGGGATGGTCAGGCTTGGGTGGCCACAGTGGAGACAGGCTGTGGGGGTGCGGGGAGCCAGGGCCTGAGAGGCGGCAGCTGCCACTGTCCAGGATGGGGATGAGGGCTTGACTGGTAGAATTGCAGAGTCTGAGGCCAAGTGGGCAATGGTGAGTGGGGAAGGGAGCAGACACGCTGAGGCCTGTGGCCTGGAGAGGTGGGGCTGACATGCCTGAGATGGACCAGGCAGGTTTCTGGGGAAGAAGATGGACTTTTAACACAGTCCTGCAACATTTCCCCTCCCTATAAAGCCTTCCATTTTCTGGAAGCCTTCTGTTTGTCCACCTGTGGTCCCTGCAGAGATCCCTGGGGATGGGAAGCCAACAAGAGCTGCCTCAGTGAGGAAGGCCCAGGTCTGGTCAGGTGAGATGGCTGGGTCCTGCCGTCACCCACTCATGGCCTGCCTCTAGCAGCATTGCCCTCTCTGCGCCTTGCCCTCCTCTTAGCCTAGCAGATCGGGGCAGTCACTCCTCTGTGCAGTGAGGGCCATGCAGACAGCAAGAGGGTTTCATCCCTGTGCCTGCGCGTCCATGGTTCCTCTGCGTGAAATGCTGTTCTTGCCACCTCCATGTGGCCGGTTCCTATTGCTCCTCCCAGACTTCACTCAAATGAACTTCATCACCTCCACGCAGCCCGCCCTGACTTCTCCCACCCCCACCTAAAGACCATGAGCCTTCTTGTGAGCCTCCCAAATGCTTTGTTCATCCTCCACTGCTGCAATCCCCCACCCCTAGGTGAATACTCCTCTGAATCCCCTGGGTAGAAAAGGAAGGAGGAGGGGGAGCCAGGCTCTTTGCAGGGTATGTGTAAGGGGACAGTTGGAGAGACAGAGATGAGAGAGAGAGATGAAGAGACAAAGAGGGAGAATCAGTCAGACAAGGAGAGACAGAGAATCGTACAAGGAGAGAAATACAGAGAAAATCAGAGAGCAGAACACCGACACACAGAAACTGAGGCCAAGATGACAAAGTAAAAGAACCACAAGCAGGTCCAGAGAGTGAAAGACAGAAAAAAGAAAGAAGAGATGCAGGGTGAGACAAAGGGAGACAGAGTAGAAGAAAGGGCTAGAGAGAAAGGGGAGAGAGAGAAGCTGGTGAGAAGGTGGAGGAGTGGGGAGAAGGGAGGGGAGGAGGAGGAGTGGGGGAAGGGGCCCGGCCGGTTGGGCTGGGTGTCTCCTGGGGACGCTGACCCCACCGCAGGCGGACCAGCCCACTCACCTCCCAGCTGAGCTCAGATTTCAGGGCTTGGAGCTCACGCAGATTCAGTAACAAATGCATGTGTAACGCATTATGAAGAAAGCCTTAAAAAGCCCTCGTTTATCGCTGTTTACGTTATGTGATTGAGGGGAGAATTTGCCAAGACCAAAGGTTACTGCTGGTGTTTCTGTGACGAATATTACCTCAAACTAAAGCAATTAGCTTCAAGGAACGGTGCATTGTCTTTGGGAGGGTTTTCAAGAGCGAACCCCATAATGTGCCCTGATGGATTTCAACGCTACCAATGTCTCCACGTGGCGCACAACCCACACAATGCACAATCTGCCGTTTTGCTCACAGACTTTCCATGGGAGCTGGGTCGGGCCACGTGGCCTCCATGCGCCTCAGCTTCCCTTTCTATAGAATGGGGAGGGGCCTAGACTGGACCCAGACGTTCCGGGTCTCCCCGTGGCCTGTGTGGTCTGTTTCCATTGGTTTCTGCACCCCGTGCTGTGCCTTTGGCTTTCCCTCCGCCGAGGCTGTTTCTGCTCACAGTTTGGCTGATCAAATCTTTTCTTGAGACAATTATGGAAATTGCCTGAATGGTAATTAGCGAATGGTAATTAGTAAATGTTCTCCGTTCTTCCAAAGAGGACAGGCCTAAGAAATCTGCCCATGGGCCCCTCTTTTCCCTAGCTTCCCAGGCTGGGAGGCAGGGCCTTATGCACCCTCAAACCTGACTGGGCGCCCCTGCTTCCCCATCTGTAAGTACAGTGATGATGGCACCTACATTGCAGGGAGCTGCGACAGAGGGTACCAAGAGTTTCTAACAGTTCCCAGGACACAGGTGGCACTAGTTGAGTGTTGTACCTGCTGCTACCACATTGCTACCTCAGCCAATCAGACTTCCCAGGATTAGGGTATTGGAGAGAGGCAAGAGAACCCGCTGTGCTCCCTGGGTCCAGCACCTGCTGCCTGCTCCTCACTTCCTATCCCAGGCACTTTGCAAACCAACTAGCTGAAGTCACGAAGCTGTTGTATCACACCACACCCCCCTTCGTCCCCCACTGAAGGTGAGAGGTGAAGCCAGCTGGATTTCTGGGTCAGGTGGGGACTCAGAGAACTTTGGTCTTACAAGAGGATTGTAAAATGCACCAATCAGCACTCTGTAGCTAGGATTGTAAAACGCACCAATCAGCACTCTGTAGCTAGGATTGTAAAACGCACCAATCAGTGCTCTGTGGCTAGCTAGAGGTTTGTAAAATGGACCAATCAGCACTGTAAAATGGACCAGTCAGCACTCTGTAAAATGGGCCAATCAGCTCTCTGTAAAATGGGCAATCAGCAGGATGTGGGTGGGGACAAATAAGGGAATAAAAGCTGGCCACCACCACCACCACCTTCCCTTCCCCGCACCCCCCCCCCCCCCCCGCAGCTATCAGCCGGCAACCCTCTGGGGTCAATTTTCATGCTGTGGAAGCTTTGTTCTTTTGCTGTTGCTCACTCTTTGGGTCCGTGCCACCTTTAAAAGCTGTAACACCGCGAAGATCCGTGGCTTCATTCTTGAAGTCAGCGAGACCAAGGACCCACCGGAAAGAACCAACTCTGGACACAAAGGCACATCTTTTGCGTTGCAGTAAGCTGAGACTCTGGCCTGACGTGGTTTGGAGGTACCTGGCCCCCAGGCATGCCAAGAGCTAGACTAGCTTCAGAGGGTAGCCAGGCAGCAGGAGTCCACCCCTGCTCCTCCTCTCACTTTCTGTTGGCACTGGGAAGGTCTCTGCTCTCTGGGTTCCTCATTGGAAAACAGGACCAATGGTATCCCTCTCTCATAAGGTTATGGAAAGGGGGCAGTGGATTCTACAGCATGGCACCCAGTAACAGGCACAGAGCAGGCTGTGCACAGTGAGGCCCATGAGTCCTTGATAAGCCCCAGAGCCTGGGGGATCAGGATGGGCCCAGAGGACGCTACAGGAAGGACAAGGCCACCAGGGGATGCATGCTGGTGGGGAAAACCCACTCAAAGGAATGGCACTATCACTGCAGGATCTGGAAACAGCTTTAGATACCAGGGGCCAGGCCTCCAAATTTGGGGAGAGGTCTGGCTGCCTGCCCTCCTACCTCCAGGAGGAGCTGGTGGGCTCCTTCCTGCAGAGGCCCCAGGACAGCCTCACAGCAACATTCCTTCTTGAAACCGCTTCTGAGCCAACTGCAGAGCCTGGAGCTTCAGTTTGTCCCCAATGGAACAGGCAAGACAGTTTTCAGGTGGCATAATGGGCCCAAGTCACAGCTGGGAGCAGGGGACAGAGGCGACTCCGGGATGGGGGCCCTGACAAGGTTCTGTCCACAAAGGGCCACTATTCTGGTCACTGTGACTTCAGCTGTTGGAGACTCACCTCTGCATCCTTCATAGCAAACAGTCTGCCCCAGAGGGTTGTAGAGGGAGGATCAAAACATGCCAGGATGGCCAAGCTCCGCAGCCAGTAGTGGGCAGATGCCACAGGTCCTGGGCAAGAAAGGGGACATCAGGGATCCCCAAACCCACAGCCTGTAGTTTCTTCCTCCCCTGCGATTACCCCATTTTATAGCCGTGGAAACTGAGGCTCAGGGTGGATGTAACCACGCATTCAAGGCTCCAATAGACTTTTGCCAAGTTGCTAAGCGTTTGTCTTACTCGTTTGGGTTTGGAGCCCCCAGCACCAAGTGCACAGCCGGGCAGGTCCTGGAAGCCCAATGGACACCTTCTTGGCATCTCCACATACGAGTATCAAAGGCACCTCAAGTTCCTTCAGTCCCAAGCCAGTGCACGGCTCACTCTGTGTTGGCACACCCCAACCTCTCCTCTGGGACATTTTCTGATCCCGGATGGCAGCCCCCAGAGCCAGGCCCCCAGGCCGCACGCGGTCTCTTGAGAGCCCTGCAGAGCCCCAGGCACTTTCCGCGGGACCACCCAGCACTCAGGAGCCTGTCCATGCTCTCAGTCCCCTCAGCCACCGCCCCCTGGCAGCCCCTGCCACGCCTCCACACCTCTGATTCCACGCTCTCCGGAGCCTCCCTCCACGCAGCAGCCAAAGGGGGCTTTTTGCAGCAAACCGCGGACGTGTCCTCTCGGATGGACTCTACCTTGCTCTCATTGCCCGAGGGTCCCGACCGCTGCCCTCTCAGGCCTCAGGCCTGGATGCCCGGGCCCTTTCCCACCTCCCCAGCGACTTAGCTCCAGGCTCGCCGCGCTGCCCCGGCCCTCCGCACCGCCCCGGCTCCTGCCTTAGGGCCTGGGGACAGACGCCCCTGCTGGATCCTGCCCCCCAGCGGCCCCGCCCCGCCCTCCGCTAGGCTCCAGGCTCGACCCACGTGGGTTGATCACCCCCTCCGTGTCACGCCGCCTCCCCCTGTTTGCATGCTGGCAGCACTGCATGGCCCGATTTGTGCAATCCTTTGCTTCCCCGTAGCGCCGCCGCTCCCCGGGCTGTGTGCTCAGTACACCAGGGTGCCCACCCAAGAGGGACAGCCTGGGCTTCACGGCTAATGGCCAGGAGGGTGCCGGGCTCCAGGAGTGTCCACACTGGTCCTCAGACCCCAGCCCAGGGTTGGCCTCAGCACTGCCAGCCCCTCCTGGGTCAGTGACCACAAACCCTGTAACCCGAGGACACACGGAGGGACCCGGCAACCAGTCACAACTTCACTTCCCCCTCCAGATGAAGGCAGCTAATTCCTCAAGGTCGCCTGTTCACCTCGGCATAAAGCACCCATTCTTCCTCAGCGTGGGGATCGGGTGGGAAAATATTTTCCAAAGGTCAGTTTTCCAATTATACTTAAAATTTGAAAGTTCATTTTTTTTTTTTTTTTTTTTTTGCCTCCCCTCGGTGCAGCCGCGTTCTGCTAATTTCATAAAGATACCATTTAGCTGAGGTAGGTGGGATTCTGGGCATCAGAACAGCTTCCCAACATCAACAGCCAGCCGTAACCGTAACTACCGACTTCCCATCATTTGTGGGGAAAAAAACGTTTTTCTCCCCAAAAATTATGGCCTGTAGGAACCAGACAACATCCCCATTGCCCGGCGGGAAATTACAGAGATTTTCTTATGTACTTAACATTAAGCCCAAGTTTATAAAGTCTACTCGGTTTTAATGACCTGCTCACGGGCCGCCCTGGCCGCTGGGGATGAGGGGCTGTTTGAGGCCATAGCTTTGGTGTGGGGTGATGTGTCTGAATCCCCAAGTCACAGGATGGTAGCCCGGGGTGTCTGGGGGCTGGATCCCTAAACAGGGCCATGCAGCTCTGAGGGCAGGTGCAGGGGCTGGGACCCCCAGGCTGGGATGGCCCTACATGCAGCAGCCTCACTCAGTGGCTGAGGTACCAGTCCCAGAGGGGACACAGACGACAGACAGAACTGTCTCTCGAAGGGCTTCTGCCCTTCCCCTCTAAGATGAGGACACCAAAGCACTGCTTCCTGGGTTGCCATGAGAATGAAATGAGGGAATGCAATGGAGATAGCATCAGAGGCTGTGGGTGTCAGTCAGGTGGCGGGGCGGGGGGAGTCCAGGAAGGCTGGCTCCAACCAGGAAGGGTGGCCAAGCTTTTCTGGGATGGGAGGGCAGGATGGACCCCCTACCTCCAGGGCTCTCTCATTACCTTTGCCCAGGCTGTGCCAAGGCCCCTCTAAGAGTGAATTGGGCTTGAGGTGGCTCCCTCTAGGGCCCAAGGAGGCACCCAGCACAGCTAAGCTGAGCAGAGGACCAGGAGAGGCAGCTGGCAAGAAGTCAGAAACGAGGGCCCTGTTAGGGGCCAGGCTGGAGTCTGTACCTGGAGGATGGGGTGCAGGGGGAGTGATGGGCCTCTCTCCTGTGGGGGCCAGGGAGGGCTTGACGCAGGTGTGTGTGAGGTGCAGGGTTCAAACGAAACCCACGGAGAGTCCGGCAGGGGTGTGGGTACAAATACCAGGCCTGGTGCATAGGTCTTACCCCAGCTACAGGGCTGAGGCACCTGCCTAGCCCAGCAGGGGCGGGAGCGAGACTCTTGACCAATTTACAGGCTCAGAGATGCCAGTAATACCAGTGTTTAGAAGAAGCTGGGCATCTGGCTTTTGATGTGAAATGCCCTCCTTTTTCAAGTCTAGCACCCATTTACCATACTTTTTGGGCACATCAGACCACAGGGGACTTCGGGCCTCTTCTGTTCTCTCATTTCCTGTCCTTCCCCCACTCCCACACCCCAGCCACCACTTTGAGTTCCCTGTTCCTGCCTCAGGGCCTTTGCACTTGCTGTTTCCTCTGCCTGGGACACCCTTAACCCATCACTGCAGGGCCAGCTCCTTCTCCCCTCAGAGGTCCCTGGCCATTGTCACAATGCCACTGCACATTTGTTTTCTTCCCAGCCCTGACCTCAGTTTGACATAATATTATGCACAGTGCTGACTGGCTTGAGTGTTTACTGTGTTTCCCCCACAGCACAGTAAGCTCCTGAAGGCAGGGACTTAGCTGATTTGTTCACCGCATTGCTCTCAGTGCCTGAACAGTAGGTGCATGATACATAGTAGGTGCTTAATAAAATCCTAGCAAATACACAAACAAATAAGCACATGACCTTTCCACCACCTCCCCCCCATGGCTGGCAGCACCCTCTGCCCCTCATCATTCCACACTCCTCCCCTGACCTTGGGCACCTCTATCACTGGGTCCTGAGCTGAGTCCTGCAGGAAGGGTTTCCTGCTCTAGAGGGAGAAAGGGGCCAGCCTGGGGTGACTTTGCTGGAAGTCCTTCCTGCCCTACCCTGTCTTACTTTGCTTTCAGAGCTATTCACCATCTGAAATGTTTGGGTTTACCAAACATGTCTGTTCAGAAGTCCAGAAGCAGAACCGGCCTTAGCACATCTGGGGGATGGTCAGGAGGTCAGTCTGTATGTCTGGGCACTGGTGTGAGGGCTCTGATGGAAGTGGCAAGGTCACTGGGGCTGTGGGCACAGTGAAGAGTTGAGATTTTATTCTAGGGAGCCATTGATGGGTCTATATCAAATATGGCGAAATATAGAGAGGAGTACAGAGAGAAATCTGATGGACCAGATCTGTGTCCTCAAGCAGCATCCAGGTGGTGAAGGTGTGCAAGTAGAACAGATACATTTCTTGGCAATGTCTGTGGTTGTCCAAATACAAACACCCAAGGTATGGACCTGTCTTCAAAGACCTAAGATTCAAAGGAGGAAGACAGATAGGCAAATAGAATAAACATTAATTAACTCCCACATTGACATATCCACCCACCCATCCATCATCCACCTATCCATCCACCCATCATCCACTTACCCATCTACCTACCCACTATCCATTATGCACTGATCAGCTCTCCTACCCTTCCTGGTCAGGGTTCCCAGCTGAACATTTGAAAATGGAAAAGATATTGGGCCCTTTTCTCAATGGGCTCACAGTAGAGGGAAAGATTGATAAATAACCTCATAGTTCCCTTTCAGCAGGATTGCTGTGATGACCATGAGAAGGAAGGGCCAAGGGTGGCAAAGAAGAGGAATGACTCACTTTGCCTGGCTTATCAGAGGGCAGAATGGAGCATGGTATATCAGAACAGGGTTTTGAAGGATGAATAGGAGCTTGTCAGATGGACATTGGAGGGAATTTTTTCTGTGTGGTAAAACATATTGTGGAAGCCTGAGAAGGCAGGAAAGAACCAGAAGTGTTCACACAAAATGTTTAGCTTTGGAAGGGTGGGGGCAGAGGCACATGAGATCAGTGGAGGGAGAAGTCACTGGAGATGGAGTGAGACCAACTTATGGAGAATGTTGTGCTCTGGGTGAGGAGCTTGGACCTTGTCCTGTCAGTAGTGGGGAGCTGGGTGGGGGCATGGCCAGGGAATGGGCAGGCTAACATTTTACAAAGGTCATGATGGGGGCTAACAGGCAGAGACCAGAAAGGACAAAACAACATAAAATCATCCTTCCCAAGCATGTTAATAAATGACCTCTCATTTTTATCCTCAAGGAACACATTTCCCCATTCTGTGATAAGAAGACAGTTTTAACAGGAATGAGATACCTAAGGTAGCAAAGGAGTAGAAGCAGCACTGAGATTGGAAGGCAGATTCTGTGAGTCCAAATGCACCCATCATGGCAACTCCTAACAGCTTCCTGGAGGCTCCCAGGCTGTACTGAAGGACTTGGCTTCGCTGGCCTCCTGGCTGTCTGGACAATCCCCTGCGCTTACTCTTCCAAGATGGGAATTCCAGTGGGCAAAAGGCAACATCCCAGGCTCTGGACCAAAGGTTCTGTTACTGTAGCACTGAGTGGGGAGGACAAAAATAAAAAAACATTTTTGAGCACTTACATGATAGTATGGACTTGTAGAAGGCACTCTAGAGGAGCAATTTCATTCAATTCTCAAAGCTGTCTTATGAGGGAAGGATTATCCTCTTTATTTTGCCTGTAAGAAACTGGAGATCAGAGAGATTAAGTCAGCTTACCCAAAGTCACTGAACTAGTAAGTGGCTGAGCCAGTATGCACACCAAGGGTTAGTTCATTTCAAACTCTCAGACCCCTGGTGAGAGGGAGAGGGAAAGGGAGAGTGGTTGGCAGGCTGTGAGGAGGTAGTGCATAAGCTGAACAGGCAAGTCAGGCACTGCCTGCACTGGGGATGTTTACACCAACATTTGAAGAAGTTAATATAAAAATAATATATACACAAGGTGAAAAATTTAAATATAAAATTTGAACAATAAAGAGGGAGTTTGTACCTCCAGCTATGGTCACGATGGAGTACAGAGTATCAGATTTACCCTACCCATAAGCAGCATAAGCAGCTGTAAAACTAGACCAAATATATATGAAGCAACTACCTTCAAGCATTGGGCAGCAGAGAAAGCAGAGCTGTGATTCTCGGGAGAAGGAAACACACAGGCGAGCCCTGCATTTGCTCTGGCTTTTTGCCTGGGAGCATTTTTCAAACTGTGGCACAGGGATATAAACCTACAAAGCAAGCTCCATGGGCAGAGGAAAGACTGGAGGTTGGGACTTCTGAGGCAGACGGAGTTTGAAGGGCAGAGTACTGGGAAGGAGGAAGCTATGCAGAGTAGTAGAATTCTGTACAGAAGAACTGAGTCTCTAGCAGAATGCTAAGCTGCAAATGCATTAAGGTGAGATTCTGCGAGATTTAGCAGAGAACCACTGCTAGATGGTTGAGAGGTAAATGGAGATTCTAGAGGCTGGACAATTCTTGGAGACATTGGAATTCTGCCCAGCCAGTGTGAAGGGCTATTCTAGGCCCACCATAAAAAGCCTAACAAGTACCAATCATTTTCTAGTAAACTAAGTGCCTGTCAGAAAACTAGTCAACACTCTTTAAACAACACCCAGGCTCTCAATATCATAGCATCCACAATGTTTAAAATGCAACAAAAAATTACCAGATATGCAAAAACAAAACCAAAAAACAGGGAAAGGGGAACCCAAAACCAGGAGGAAAAAAAGTCAACATAAAGAGATAGAAATAAATAGTTTGTTGGATTGACAGAGAAAAACTTTAAGTAATCAGTTATACTATGCTCAAGAATTTAAAGAGGGGAATGGACACAATGAGTGAACAAATGAGAAATCTCAGTAGAGAAACTGAAACTACAGAAATGGATCAAGTGGAAATTCAAGAACTGATAAATAACATATTTGCAAAGTGAAATTTGGACACGTCAGAAGAAAGGACCAGGCTTGAACTTGAAGACAAGGCAATAGAAGCTATTCAAAATGAAGCATACAGGGGGAAGAGACCAGAAAAAAACAATCTAGAGCCTCAGAGATATGTGGGACAATGTCAATCAGTCTAACATGCATGCAGCTGAGGTCCCAAAAGAAGCAGCAAGAGATTGGGACAGGAAAAAATATTTGAAGAAATATTGGAGAAAATGTTTGAAATTGGATAAAAACTATAAACCCCACAGATGCAAGAAGCTCAATTAAATTCCAGCAGAATAAATAGAAAGAAAACCATACCAGGACTCATCATATTCAGATGGCTAAAAAGCAAAGTTAAAGAGAAACATTTCAGCCAGGCAAAAGACACAATTATAATATGGGGTAGCCAAAGACTTAACAAAAAAACACCAAAACACTGCTGAGTATCAGAAATAAGGCAAGTCAATAGAATGATATCTCTGAAATTCTAAAAGAAAAAAAAACTTGTCAATTTAGAATTCTACAGACTGCAAAAACACCCCTTAAAAATAAAGGAAAAATAAAGATATTTTCTTATGAACAAAAGCTGAGAGAATTCATAACCAGTAGATTTGACCTACTAGAAATGTTAAAAGAAGTTTCTTTGAATTGAAAAGGAATGACATCAGGTGGAAACAGACTTGTATGAAGAAATGAGGAATGTCAGGAATGGTAACTATGGGAAAATGTAAAAGACATGAAAACCAGAGAAAGAGAATCAATTTATAATGCTAAGAGTTAATTCTATAAAAAGACATATTGATGCTAAACACAAACACAACTAATAACAGACACTCAAAATGCAGAGAAGCATTTTGACAGAACTAAATGACAAAACTAATGACAAATAGAATTAACAAACATAGTTGGAGAGTTAACCTTCCTTTCTAAGTAACTGATTAAAAAATAATTATGTAAAGATATAGAACAATTGAACAACATTAAGAACCAGTTAACCAAATTGACATTTACAGAAAACTATATTGGAAATATGCATTTTTTCCAAGTGTACTTGGAACATTCACCAAAACAAGTCTTAATAAAGTAAAATAATTTAAAGCATATAGGATATGTTTTCTAGCCTTAACAGAGTTAAATTAGAAATCTATAACAATAAGATACTAAGGAAACCCTCAAATATTTAAATGTGGCACATTTCTATAGCCTACAGATCAAAGAGGAAATCACAAGGGAAATTAGAAAATGTTCTGAACTAATGAAATTAAAACAGAACATATCAAAATTTGTGGAATGCAGGTAAAGTTGTGCTTAAAGGGAAATTTATAGCTTTACATGCTTATATTAGCAAAGAAGAAAGGCCTAAAATCAATTATCTAAGTAACCAACTTAAGAATCCAGAAAAAGAAGAGATCAAATTCAAAATAGAAAGAAGGAAATAAAGATAAGAACAGAAATCAATGAAATACTGCAAAGCAAAAAATAAATAAATAAATAAAATAAAGAGTAAACAGATGACCTATAAAATGGAAGAAAGTATTTGCAGATTATGCCTCCAACAAAGTACTAATATACAGAATCTACAGGGACTTAAACAACTCAATAAGAAAAAAAAGCCTCATTAAAAACTAGGCAAAGGACATGAATAGACATTTCTCAAAAGAAGAAATACAAGTGGCCAACTAACACATGAAAAAATACTCATCACTAATTACCAGAGAAATGCAAATTAAAATCGCAACGAAATATCATCTTACACCAGTCAGAATGGCTATTAATTAAAAAGTCAAAAAAAAAAAAAAAAAAAAAAACCACAAACAGATGCTGGTGTAAATGCACAGAAAAAGGAAAGTTTATACACCACTGGTAGAAATGTAAATTAGTTCAGCCTGTATGGAAAACAGTATGGAGATTTCTCAAAGAACTAAAAATAGAACTGCCATTTGACCCAGCAATCCCACTACTGGGTAACTACCCAAAGCAAATCATTATGTTAAAAAAAGACACTTGCACTTATATGTTCATTGACTGCAGCGCTATTCACAATAGCAAAGTCATAGAACCAACTTTTAAGTGTTCACTAATGATTGACTGGATAAAGAAAGTGTTACACACACACACACACACACACACACACACACACATCACAGAATACTATGCAGCCATAAAGAAGAATGGACTCATGCCTTTTGTAGCAACATGGATGGAGCTGGAGGCCATTATCCTAAGTGAACTAACTCAAAAACAGAAAATCAAATACCACATGGTATCACTTTGAACTGGGAGCTAAACAATGGGTACACATGGACATAAAGATGGAAATAATAGACACTGAGGGTTCCAAAAGTGGAGAGGATGAGAGGGGGAACAAGGGTTGAAAAATTACCTATCATGTTCAAGGTTCACTGTTTGGATAATGGGTGCAGTAGAAGCCCAATCCCCACCAGTATGTAATATACCCATGTAATAAACATGCACATGTACCCCCTGAATCTAAAATAATAAAATAAAAAGTGAACAAAAATAGAGCAAATCAATGAAATGGAAAGTTGGTTATTTGAAAAGATCTATAAAATTGATCTCTTTCTCTATCTCAACTGTGAATATATCCAATATAATGAACCATTACAACTCAATAAAAATAACCCAATAAAAATGGGTAAAAGGCTTAAAAAAAGAAAATATACTGATGGTCAGCAAAAATGTGAAAGTGCTCCTCACTTTAAAAACAACATGAGATACCACTACTACACACCCACCAGAATAGCTAAAACTAAACAGACAATACAAAGTGTAGGCAAGGGTGTAGAGCAACTGCATACCTCATATATTGCTGATAGGAATGTAAAACAGTAAAATCATGCTGGGAAAGGTTTGGCAGTTTCTCATAAAGTTAAAAGTATATTTACCACATGATTCAGCAATCGGCTCCCAAGCATTGGCCTAGAAGAAATGAAATCACCTATCCATCCAAAGACTTGTATAAAATGTTCATAGAAACTTTGTTAAGAATTCTCCCATGTTGGAAACGACTTAGATTCCCATCAGCAGGAGACTAGATAAAGTGGAGTGCACCCACACAGTGCACCCAGCAACAAAGAGGAGCCAACTGCTGACACATGCAGCAACAGGGATGAATCTCAGAAAAATCGTGTTGAGGAAAAGAAGCCAGATACAGCGGATTCCATAATGTATGACTCCATTTACATGAAAGTGAAAAATAGGGATTTGCATGGCTTGATGCAATGCAGCATGTGTTGAACTCTGTCTGCACCTAGTCTTTTCCACCTCACAATACATCCTGGTCACTGGTCCCTATCAGGATGTTTGGATCTGCCTCTGCCTCTTCATCAGCAGCATGGTGTTCCATTGGGTAAAAGGAGCATAAATTATTTACTGCTGCTATTGGAGGACACAGATCGTTTTCAATCTTTTGTTCTCATGCCACCATAGTGAAACTCATTGTAGGTTTTCTTGTGATTGTTGACAAGTCTAGCTAGCTGGGGACAAACTCCTAGAATGGATGTCTGAGGTCAAAGAATGCACTGACTTTTTCCTTGGGAAGCCAGAACACAGTCCCAGGCAATCTGGGAAGCAAGGGCTCCCCTGGGCCATCTCAAGGTTACAGCCAAGGGCCCTGCATCCAGAACTGCTAGTATGAATAGGCATTATGAGTCACTGACAGCCACCAAGATCATGCTGGCAGCCTCCGGTGACTGCTGAGGTGTACTGGTAATACCCAACTATGGCCATATCATGTACCAGACCTCAGGTGCTCCTGCCCACCTGCAGGTGAGCAGGTAGGAAGTGGGCACAGACACATGGGACAGGATATGCCTAGGACAGAGCCTTGTCTGGACACCAAAGGGGTCTGAGAGGAGTCACAGGTGCCCTACCCCAGAGAGGAGGCAGCCAGAGCCCTATGCAGAGCCCTTCCTGCCAGGTCTCCAACCACCCTGGGCCACAGGGCTGGAGCAGTGACCATGAAAGCCTCCACACTTGTCTCTAGGTCTGGTCCTGCTCCCTCAAACTCTAGCCTTCCAGTCCACACCCACATACCTCCCCAAGGCAATCATTCTTTATACAAATAAACTTATGAAATTAAATTATAAAAAGCCTTCATCTTCTGGGCAAGATGGAATGATAGTACGGATCTACCTTTCTCCCTGAAACAACCTAAAGAATAAACAGGATGTATGAAACAATGGTTTTTCAAGACACTGGACATCAGGCATTGAAGGACAGTGATCTATAAAAGCCAGGAAATAAAGGAGACAAACTCTACAATTACTCCAGATCAGTGCCTTTGAGAGTTTCCAGGCCATGGTATAGAGAGAGGGAACTGCATGGAGTCTCAAGGTCTCACTGACTTGAGAGACAGAGCTAAGAGTCTGGAGAGACTAGGTGGCTAGAGTTTGTAAGACACAGTACTAGAGAGTAGAGAGGTGCACAGATAGAGAACTCCAAAGAACTGTGGAGAGTCTTTCCGAAGTATTCAACAGAGTCTGGATCAGCACATGCATGTGAAGAAACTACTCAAGGATGGAAAAAGAATCACCTGAAAGGATTAGCAGTAACAATACCCAGTACTCACACAGGACCAAGAATAGTGCCTGTACCCACCAGACAGATTGGAAAACGTCATGATTAACAGGGCATTACGTAGACTATGCAGAAAAGTCTTGCCTCATTAGTAGGGAATAATTCGCTCTAGACTGAACACTGCCCTGTCTCCACCTAAGAAAGCTTAAAAGCTTTCTTAAATCATCACACTGTTTCCAAGTAACTTTACTGTGTTTCAGAAAAAAGCTTAATCTTTGCAGGAATAAAAAATCACTCAGCACCCAACAAGGTAAAATTCACAATGACTACCATCCAATAAAAAATTACCAGGCATGAAAAGAAACAGGAATACACAACCCATAATGAGGAGAAAAGTTGATCAATCAAAACTGACCTAGAAGTGACACAAATGCTAGAATTAGCAAAGAAGAATATTAAAACAGTTATTGTAATTGTATTCTGTACGTTCAAAAGGTTAAGACATGGAAAATATAAGAAAGACACCAAATCAAACTTTTTTCTGAAAAAGAAAAACAAAATTGGGGGACAAACACTATCTGATTGCAAAACTTATCATAAAGTCACAGTAATCAAAAACTCTGTCACTGGCAAGATAGAAAATACATCAGTGGAACAGAAAATGTCCAGAAACAAATTATCACAAATATATTTAGCTGAATTTTGACTACAGATAAGGGCAATTCAGTGGAGAAAGGAGAATCTTTCAACAAATGGTGCTGGAAAAATTGGATCAAGTAGGCAAAATACCGAAATTCAACCCAAAATTTATACCCCAAATTTAGTCCCCATATAAAACATACTGAAATGTAAACCTCCAAACTATAAAATGTCTAGAAGAAAACATGGCAGAAAACTTTTTGACCTTGGGCTAGGCAAAGATTTACTAGCTACAACAGCAAGAGCACCATACATAAAATAACACATTGATAACTTCAGCTTCATCAAAATTAAAAACTTTTGCTTTGCAATAGGCACTGTTAATAGAATGAAAAGACAAGCTACAGATTGGGAAAAAAAACTTTGCAAAGGATCTCTCAAAACTAAATAAATAAGAAAAATTCTAATTTAAAAATAGGCAAGAGCTTTGAACAGGCAGTTCACCAGTGAATATATGTGGATAGCAAATAGGCACATGAAAAGGTGCCCAACATTGAACTCATCAGGAGATGCAAATCAAAAACACAATGAAGGTCAGGCAAGGCGGCTCATGCGTGTAATCCCAGCACTTTGGGAGCCCAAGGCGGGCAGATCATGAGGTCAAGAGATCGAGACCATCCTGGCCAACATGGTGAAACCCCCTCTCTACTAAAAATACAAAAATTAGCTGGGTGTGGTGGTATGTGCCTGTATTCCCAGCTACTCAGGAGGCTGAGGCAGGAGAATCACTTGAACCCAGGAGGCAGAGGTTGCAGTGAGCTGAGATTGCGCCACTGCCCTCCAGCCCGGCGACAGAGTGAGATTCCATCTCAAAAAACAAACAAACAAACAAAACAAAACAAAAAAACAAAGAAACACACACACAATGAGATACTACTATACATCTATCAGCTGAATAGACTCCATTGGGTATATGTACCACATTTTCTTTATCCATTCATCTGTTGATGGACACATAGCTTGCTTTCAAATCTTGGCTATTGCGAACATTGCTACAATAAACATGGGAGTACAGATATCTCTTTGATATACTGATTTCCTTTCTTTTGGGTCTATACTTAGCAGTGGGATTGCTGGATCATATGGTAGCTCTTTTTTTAGTTTTTTGAGGAATCTTCAAACTGTTCTCCATAGTGGTTGTATTAATTTACATTCCCACCAACAGCATATGGGGGTTCCCTTTTCTCCACATTCTTACCAGCATTTGCTATTGTACATTTTTTTGGATAAAAGCCATTTTAACTGGGGTGAGATGATACCTCATTGCATTTGATTTGCATTTCTCTGATGATCAACAATGTTGAGCACCTTTTCATATACCTGTTTTCCATTTGTGTCTTCTTTTGAGAAATGTCTCTTCAGATCTTTTGCCCATTTTAAATCAGATTATTCTATGTTTTCCTCTTGAGTTGTTTGAGTTGTTTAATTCTGGTTATTAATTCCTTGTCAGATTACATATCTATTAGAATGGCTAAAATGAAAGAGGCTGACGATATGAATTGTTGGTAAGAATGAGGAGAAACTAGAACCGGTGGGAATGTAACAGGGTACAAACACTTACAAAAACAATTTGTCAGTTTACTGAGAAGCTATAGAGGGATGTTAGAATATGAATCTTTGCAGACTCACTTCCAGTGAAAAAAGCAAAACTAGACCAGGTATTGTGGCACATGCCTGAATTCCCAGCTACTTGGGAGGCTGAGGCAGGAGGATCATTTGAGCCCAGGAATTCAGGCCTGTAGTGCACTATGATTGCACCTGTGAATAGCCACTTTACTCCAGCCTGGCAACATTGCAAAACCCCATCACAAAAAAAAAGGAAGACTGTCAACAGCTATTTTTTAAAAAAACATTTCTTTAATAAGTCATTAAAAGTCTCTGGAAATTGTCCTGCAGCATACAGCAAATAAAGAAATATTTATTCAAGAAAACATATTAAAACTCAGTAAGAATAGCAAGAATCTGTGGCATTGAGCCATGGCCCATTCCCTCCCCGTGTCCCCCCACCCCAGCTTCCTCTCTATTCAGCTTCACAGAAGCTCCACTCTGAGTGAGTGTGATCAAAATATGGTGCTCCCTCTCCCTCTTCCTCCCAACCAAGTCATTCCATGCCTTACTGAGAAGGGCAGACCACTAGCATTTCTAATTCCTTTCAATTCCAAGTTTAAGAGTTCCTGGTGAATGTGACTGAGAGATACGGAGCTTCCTTCCTCTACCGATAGGACAGAAGCTCTACCCTAGCACATCAGGCCAAGGATACTGGCACCCTAACCACCGTTGCCTCAGCTGAAGGCAGAGTGTTTACACCAAAACAGGCAAGCAATGAAGACAGAGGCCATGGCCCATTCAGGGCTCAGAGACTGTGCCAGGGGAGAGGCGGCACATAGAAAAAGCTCTCCACAAAGGACCTGACATTATTTGAAAGAGACTGGAGAAGTTTAAGCCTAAGGATGCTCTCAAAATCAATAGTTGCTCTTAATTAGGAGGAACAAGCTAAACCATAGGCCATCTAGGTCACCAGGGAGAATCTGGGAAAGAGATAGCTAAGAAGACTTCCACTGGGTACAGAATAAACCTTAAAGACTGAGCTCACAATCTAGCCCTCTCCAAATTTGATTGGATTGGGCTGCTCAGAAATTAATGTTTCAGGGCATTGTCAAAAAAGACATAAAGCAATCAGTTGGTAATTTGTGGAGTCTAAAGGATGGAGAGTAATACCAAATGAAACAGACAGCTTAACAGAGAGATCAGAAAAGAGACAAAGAGAGTGTGCTAAAACCACCCTCATCCCAAGGTAACTGTGTGCATGCCCCAGGCTGTGCCTTTTGACGAGCAACACCAAAGACTTCATTCTGTGTGAAATGGACTTCACTAAGATAGTCTAGCCAAGTCATAAAACACATAAGCAAACAAAATTAAGCTTCAGAGAGGGAGAAGGGCAATCAGTCTCCAAAGTTGCTATATTACCAGAAATGTCCTCATTTCCAACAAAATATTATAAGACATGCAAAAAAACAGGAACATGGACCCATACACAGGAAAAATGTAGGCAACAGAAACTGCCTGTGAGAAACTCCAGATGTTATACTTAATAGACAAAGTCTTCAAAGTATGCGTTATGAATATGTTTGGAAAACTAAAGGAAGCCATGCTTAAAGAAATTATAAAAGATAGGAAGATCATGTTTCATCAAATGGAGAATATTAATAGAGATAGGAACTATAAAAAAACAAAAGTTCTGTGGTTTAAAAGTGTAATAAATAAAATGAAAAATTCATTAGAGGGGCTCAACAGTAGATTTTAACCAGCAAAAGAAATACACAGTGAACTTAAAAATAGATCAATAGAGACCATGCAATCTGAAGAACAGAGTAAAAATAGACTGAAAAAAATGAGCAGAGCCTCAGAGTAATGTGGGACACCTTTAGACACACAAACACACATGTAACAGAAATACTGGGAGGAGAGAAGAAATGAACAGAAATAATATTAGATGAAATAATGGCTGAGGCCAGGCATGGTGGCTCATGTCTGTAATCCCAGCACGTTGGGAGGCCAAGGCAGACAGATCACCTGAGGTCAGGAGTTCGAGACCAGCCTGGCCAACATGGTGAAACCTCATCTCTACTAAAAAAACAAAAACAAAAACAAAAATTAGCCAGGCATGATGGTGGGCACCTGTAATCCCAGCTACTCAGGAGGCTGAGGCAGGAGACTCGCTTGACCCCAGGAGGCAGAGGTTGCAGTGAGATGAGATCACACCACTGCACGCCAGCCTGGATGACAGAGCGAGACTGTCTCAAAAAAAAAAAAAAATTGTAGCTGAAAACTTCCAATTGCTGAAAAACATTAATCTGCATATCCATGAAGCTCAGCAAAGTCTGATTAGGATGAATACAAAGACAGCCACACCCAAACACATAATAAAAATGCTGAAAGCCAAAACCAAAGATAAAATCTTGACAGCAACAAGAAAAAATTACATGCAAGGGAACCCCAATAAGATGAACAGCTGACTGCTTAGTAGTATGACACACTTAAAGTGCTCAAAGAAAAATATTAACCATGAGTCTTATATTCAGTAAATGTATCTTTCAAAAATGAAGGTAAAATACAACCATTCCCAGATAAACAAAACTTGAGATAATTTACTGCTGTCAGGTTCACCTTATAAGAAATATTAAAGGAAATCAGTCAGGCTCAAAGCAAGTAAACCCAGATGAAAATTTGAACCCACATTAAAAAAAGAGCCCTGTTAAAGGTAGTTATGCAATTATTAATAAATAAACAAATGCATATTTTCTTCTTTCTTCTCTTACCTGATTTTAAAAGCAATTGTATGAAACAGAATGTATATATGTATACATATGTATATACATGTATACATATGTATGACACTAACATATAGGTATTGTTAGGCCTATACATGTGACATGTTTGACAATAACAGCACAAAGGAGTGGGTAGGTACTGGAGTAAGGAAATGATCCCAGATGGTAACTCAAAACCACAGGAACCAATAAAGAGAACAAGAAATGATAAATAAGAAGGCAAATATAATAAGCTAAAAAATATTTACTTGCTCTCTATACAGAAGTGTCCATATATAAAGTAGCAATTATAACAGTGTATTGGTAGGTTTTTGACATATTCTGATGTAATATGTATAACAATAGTAGCACAAAAAGGAAAAGAGGACATAGAGTTTTCTAGAAGTAACATTTCTATAGTTCACTGAAATTAAATTAGAAGAACTCTAAGTAGATTCTGATAAATTGAGACTCTATGGAAGCCCTAGACCAACAACCAAAGAAATGACTCAGAAAATATAGAGATTTGGAGTACTTCTGGTTCCAAAATCATGGTGTAGAAGTAAGCTGGCTTCACCTCCTCCCACAGAAAACTAAAAACAAATAGACAGCATGGACATTATCACCAGCAATATCCCAGAACTCAAATATCAGGAGAATATATGTGGTTCCCTGGGCCACAGAGAAGTGAACAAACTCTGAGCAGATAGTAAGAAAATTGGATTTTCATATCCACAATGTCCCTCCCCACAATCCATCCAGCACCTAGCCATAGAAAATTTTCCCCAACTCACAGTTGGAAAAATACTGGAAAAAATAAGATCAAGGTGGTAAACCAACTTCCTCATCCTCTTGGGTTCACTGGCAGGAGACCCATTTCTGTTTCAACCATGGGAAGTATCAGGAGTGCCTGAAAGAAGAAAGATCACTGAGGATAGCCAGAGACAAAAGAGGGAGGCTAGACTACTAGCCCCAGCCTTGGAAACTTAACCCTGTAACTTGATCAAAGGAGACACCAAATCACAGTGGCTGTTCACCAGCACCATGCTGTAGGAGGTTCATCCCACAGGTCCCCTGGGCATGAGCCTATAGCCAGCAGTGCCACACTACTGAGTCATCCCCTTTGAGACCTCCCCTATTTAAGACCAGTGACACTAATTGTCTATTAGAACTGAGGCAAACCTGGGCTTAAGGCACCATCTAGTACAAAGAAGGAGGCAGAAACCTAGCAGAAAAAAAAAGAAAGAAAATCAATGGGTAAACTACAAAGAATCTCTGAGGAAACATATCCAATAAACAACAAAACGAGGCTGATTAGACTGGGACAAATAACTAAGCCTTCAATGCAAAGATATAGGCATACATCAACAAGAAACAACAGCAAACAGGGACCCATGATTTCTCTAGATTTACAAAGCAAGAAATCAGAAACTGACCCTAATGAGATGGCAATATGTGAACTCTCTGATCAAAAATTCAAAATAGGCCAGGTACAGTGGCTCACCCCTATAATCTCAGCACTTTGGGAGACCAAAGTGGGAAGATCACTTGAACCCAGGAATTTGAGACCAGCCTGGGCAACATGGTGAGACTTGTCTCTACAAAAAATTTTTAAAAATTAGCTGAATGTGGTGACACATACCTGTGATTCCAGCTGCTCAGAAGTCTAAGGTAGAAGGATTGCTTAAGCCTGCAAAGTCAAGGATAGAGTGAGCCATGATCATGCCACTGCACTGCAACCTGGGTGACAGAGCAAGACCCAAATAAAACTACTCCAATGCATAATCAAACCCTCAAAGGTCAAGGACAAAGAGAGGATCCAAAAAGTAACAAGAGAAAATAAGCAAATAACATACAAAGAAAACCCAATTTGTCTGGCAACAGATTTCTCAATAGGAACCATATAGGCCAGGAGGGAGTGGTATAACATTTTCAAAGTGCTGAAAGAAAAAAAATAACTGTCAGCTAATAATACTATATCTAGCAAAGCTGTCCTTCAAGTATGAAGGAAAGATAAAGTCGTCCTCAGACAAACAAAAACAGAATTCACCACCATCAGATCCATCTTCCAAGAAATGCTAATGAGAGTTCTTCAATTTGAAAGAAGAAAAACACTAACGAACAGAATGAAAACATTTCGATGTATAAAACTCACTTGTAAAACTAAGTATACAGACAAACCCAGAATACTCTAATACTCTAATTGTGGTGTGCAATCCACTCTTAACTCTAGTATAAAGCCCAAAAGACAAATCTATCAAAAACAACAATAGCTATAGAAACCTGTTAAGAGATAGGCGTCATATGTAAATTGAGACAACATAAAGTCAAAACGTTGAGAGAATGGAGTTAATTTGTAGAGTTTTAAAAAATGTTTTATTTGTTTCTATTCTTCTCTGTGTTCTCTCTCTCTCTCTCTCTCTCTCTCTCTCTCGACAGGGTCTTATTCTGGCCCCCAGGCTGCAGTGCAGTGGTATGATCATGACTCACTGCAGCTTTAAATTCCAGGGCTCAAGTGATCCTCCTACTTCAACCTCCCAAGTAGCTGGATTACAGGCACACATCACCATGCCTGGCTAATTTTTTAAAAAACATTTTTTGTAGAGACAGGGTCTCACTGTGTTGCCCAGACTGGTCTCAAACTTCTGGACTTAAACAATCCTCCCACCTCAGACTTCCAAAGTATTGAGATTACAGGCATGAACCACTGTGCACAGCAGTTGTCATCTCTTCAAAATAATTTGTTATATATCTATGATTTTTTGTAAGCTTCATGGTAACCATAACGCAAAAACCTATAATAGATTCACTAAAAATAAAAAAAGAATTAAAACATAATGCCAAAGAATATCACTTAACCACGAAGGAAGACTGTAGGAAAGGAAGAAAGGATGCGGAGTTACAAAACAACCAGAAAACAAGCAACAAAATGGCAACAATAAGTCCACATTTAATCAATAATAACATTGAATGTCAACAGACTCAATTCTCCAATTAAAAGGCATAGTGTGGCTGAATGGATAAAGAAATAATACCTAACTATATGCTACCTACAAGAAACTCACCTCATATATGAAAACACACATAGACTGAAAGTGAAGGAGTGGGAAAAGATATTTTATACTAACCAAAAATGCTACACATGCTAACCAAAAAAGAGGAGGAGTATCTACAGTTATATTAGGTTGAATAGAGTACAAATCAGAGACTGTAAAAAGGGACTAAGAAGGTCACCATATGATGATAAAGGGGTCAATTAAGTAAGATAATATAACAATTATAATTATATATGCACCCCATTAACTGTAGCTTCCAAGTATATAAAGCAAACATTAGTAGATCTAAAGGAAGAGAAGGATTGCAATACAATAATGGTAGAGGATTTTAACACCCTACTCTTAGTAATGGGCCAATTATCCAGACAGATAATTCGCAAAGAAACATCTAAGTTAAAAAAATACAGGATATCAATGAAATGAAAAGTTGATTTTTTGAAAAGATAAACAAAATCAACAAAATTTTAGCTAGACTAAAAAAGAGAGAAAGAAGTCTAAATAAATAAAATCAGAAACAAAAAAGAACTCATAACAACTGAGACCACAGAATTACAAAGAATCATTAGAGGCTACTATAAACAACTATATGCCAACAAATTGGAAAACCTAGAAGAAATGGATAATTTCCTGGACACATACAATCTACTAAGATTGAACCATGAAGAAATAGAAAACCTCAACAAACCGAGAATAAGAAACAACATTGAAGATGTGATAAAAAGTCTCGTATTAGAGAAAAGCCCAGGACCTGATGGCTTTACTGCTGAATTCTACCAAACATTTAAAGAAGAACTAATACCCTCTTTTTCTATTGATTGGAATAGTTTCAGAAGGAATGGTACCAGCTCCTCCTTGTACCTCTGGTAGAATTCGGCTGTGAATCCATCTGGTCCTGGATTTTTTTTGGTTGGTAAGCTATTAATTATTGCCTCAATTTCAGAGCGTGTTATTGGTCTATTCAGAGATTCAACTTCTTCCTGGTTTAGTCTTGGGAGGGTGTATGGGTTGAGGAATTTATCCATTTCTTCTAGATTTTCTAGTTTATTTGTGTAGGTGTTTATAGTATTCTCCGATGGCAGTTTGTATTTCTGTGGGATCGGCTTCTGAAACTATTCCAATCAATAGAAAAAGATGGAATCCTCCCTAACTCATTTTATGAGGCCAGCATCATCCTGATACCAAAGCCTGGCAGAGACACAACAAAAAAAGAGAATTTTAGACCAATATCCTTGATGAACATTGATGCAAATATCCTCAATAAAATACTGGCAAACTGAATCCAGCAGCACATCAACAAGCTTATCCACCATGATCAAGTGGGCTTCATCCCTGGGATGCAAGGCTGGTTCAACATACGAAAATCAATAAATGTACTCCAGTATATAAACAGAACCAAAGACAAAAACCACATGATTATCTCAATAGATGCAGAAAAGGCCTTTGACAAAATTCAACAACCCTTCATGCTAAAAACTCTCAATAAATTAGGTATTGATGGGATGTACCTCAAAATAATAAGAGCTATCTATGACAAACCCACAGCCAATATCATACTGAATGGACAAAAACTGGAAGCACTCCCTTTGAAAGCTGGCATAAGACAGGGATGCCCTCTCTCACCGCTCCTGTTCAACATAGTGTTGGAAGTTCTGGCCGGGGCAATCAGGCAGGAGAAGGAAATAAAGGGTATTCAATTAGGAAAAGAGGAAGTCAAATTGTCCCTGTTTGCAGATGACATGATTGTATATCTAGAAAACCCCATTGTCTCAGCCCAAAATCCCCTTAAGCTGATAAGCAACTTCGGCAAAGTCTCAGGATACAAAATCAATGTGCAAAAATCACAAGCATTCTTATACACCAATAACAGACAAACAGAGAGCCAAATCATGAATGAACTCCCATTCACAATTGCTTCAAAGAGAATAAAATACCTAGGAATCCAACTTACAAGGGATGTGAAGGACCTCTTCAAGGAGAACTAGAAACCACTGCTCAATGAAATAAAAGAGGATACAAACAAATGGAAGAGTATTCCATGCTGATGGGTAGGAAGAATCAATATTGTGAAAATGGCCATACTGCCCAAGGTAATTTATAGATTCAATGCCATCCCCATCAAGGTACCAATGACTTTCTTCACAGAATTGGAAAAAACTACTTTAAAGTTCATATGGAACCAAAAAAAGAGCCCACATTGCCAAGTCAATCCTAAGCCAAAAGAACAAAGCTGGAGGCATCACCCTACCTGACTTCAAACTATACTACAAGGCTACAGTAACCAAAACAGCATAGTACTGGTACCAAAATAGAGATATAGACCAATGGAACAGAACAGAGCCCTCAGAAATAGTGCCGCATATCTACAACTATCTGATCTATGACAAACCTGACAAAAACAAGCAATGGGGAAAGGATTCCCTATTTAATAAATGGGGCTGGGAAAACTGGCTAGCCATATGTAGAAAGCTGAAACTGGATCCCTTCCTTACACCTTATACAAAAATTAATTCAAGATGGATTAAATACTTAAACGTTAGACCTCAAGCCATAAAAACCCTAGAAGAAAACCTAGGCATTACCATTCAGGACATAGGCGTGGGCAAGGACTTCATGTCTAAAACACCAAAAGCAATGGCAACAAAAGCCAAAATTGACAAATGGGATCTAATTAAACTAAAGAGCTTCTGCACAGCAAAAGAAACTACCATCAGAGTGAACAGGCAACCTATAGAATGGGAGAAAATTTTTGCAAGCTACTCATCTGACAAAGGGCTAATATCCAGAATCTACAATTAACTCAAACAAATTTACAAGAAAAAAACAAACAACCCCATCAAAAAGTGGGTGAAGGATATGAACAGACACATCTCAAAAGAAGACATTTATGCAGCCAAAAAACACATGAAAAAATGCTCATCATCCCTGGCCATCAGAGAAATGCAAATCAAAACCACAATGAGATACCATCTCACACCAGTTAGAATGGCGATCATTAAAAAGTCAGGAAACAACAGGTGCTGGAGAGGATGTGGAGAAATAGGAACACTTTTACACTGTTGGTGGGACTGTAAGCTAGTTCATTGCATTGTGGAAGTCAGTGTGGTGATTCCTCAGGGATCTAGAACTAGAAATGCCATTTGACCCAGACATCCCATTACCGTGTATATACCCAAAGGATTATAAATCATGCTGCTATAAAGACACATGAACACGTATGTTTATTGCAGCACTATTGACAATAGCAAAGACTTGGAACCAACCCAAATGTCCAACAATGATAGACTGGATTAAGAAAATGTGGCACATATACACCATGAAATACTATGCAGCCATAAAAAATGATGAGTTCATGTCCTTTGTAGGGACATGGATGAAGCTGGAAACCATCATTCTCAGCAAACTATCGCAAGGACAAAAAACCAAACACCACATGTTCTCACTCATAGGTGGGAATTGAACAATGAGAACACATGGACACAGGAAAGGGAACATCACACACCGAGAACTGTTGTGGCGTGAGGGGAGGGGTGAGGGATGGCATTAGGAGATATACCTAATGCTAAATGACGAGTTAATGGGTGCAGCACACCAACATGGCACATGTATACATATGTAACAAACCTGCACATTGTGCACATGTACCCTAAAACTTAAATTATAATAATAATAAAATTTAAATAAAAAAATCAAAAAATCAGAAAAAAGAAGCCCAAATTTCAGCATCATGCAATATACCCATGAAACAAATCTGCACATGTGCCCTATGAGTCTAAAAATAAATTAAATTTTTAAATTAAAAAAAAAAGAACTAACACCAATTCTACTCAAACTCATCAAAAAATTAAACAGGAGGGAATACTTCCAAACTAATTCTATGAGGCCAGAATAAGACAATACAACATAAAAGAACATAACAGGTCAATGTCACTGATGGATATGGATGCAAAAATTCTCAACAAAATACTAGCAAACCAAATTCAACAACACATTAAAAAGATTGTTCACCATGATCAAGTGGGATTTATCCTAGGTATGCAAGAATGGTTTAACATATTCAAATCAATAAGCATGTTACATCACATTAACAAAACCAAGAATAAAAGCCATATGATCATTTCAATGATGCTGAAAAAGCATTCAATAAGATTCAGCATCCCTTTATGTTAAATTTTTATGCTAAAAAGTTAAGAATTTTTATGTTAAAAACTCTCAACAAACTGGGTATTAAAGGCACATATTACAAAATAATAAAGGCCATATATGACAAACCCACAGCTAACCTCATACTGAATAGGGAAAAATTGAAAGCCTTTCCTCTAAGATTTGGAACAAGGCAGAGTCCCACTTTCACCACTTTTATCCAACATAATACTTGAAGTCCCAGAGCAATTAGCTAAAAGAAATATAGAAAAGAGACCAAATTAGAAAGTAAGAAGTCAAGTTAGCCTTGTTCACAGATGACATGATCTTATACTTAGAAAAACCTAAAGACTCCACCAAAAAACTTCTAGGATTGATAAACAAATTCAGTAAAGCTGTAGGATATAAAATCAATATACAAAAATTTGTAGAACTTATATACGCTAACAGTGAACAATCTGAAAAGGAAATTAAGAAAGCAACTCTACTTACAGTAGCTACAAAAATATAAAATACATAGGAATCAATTTAACCAAAGAAGTGAAAGATCTATATAAGGAAATCTATAAAACACTGATGAAGGAAATTGGAGAGGACACACACACACACACACACACACATAAACACACAAATTGAAAGATATTCCATACTCAGGGACTGCAAGTATTAATATTGTTAAAATGACAATGCACTCAAAGCAACCTACAGATTCAATGCAATCCCTATAAAATAACATTGACATACTTCACAGAAATTTTTTAAATACTAAAATGTACATGGAGCCACATCTATTTGATGAAGAAATTTTGAGCAAAAAGAACAAAGCTGGAGGCATCATATGGCTTTTGAAACATATTACAATCAACATGGTAGTATATATAGCAAAATATACCGCCAAATCAGCATGGTACTGGCATTTAAAAAAGACACATAGACCAATGGAACAGCGTAGAGAACCCACATATACGTCTATTATTTTTAACAAAGGCACAAAGAACATACACTGCGGAAGGGGCAGCCTCGTCCATAAATGGTTCTGGAAAACTGGATAATCATGCAGAAGAATGAAACTAGACCTCTCTCAAATCAAATCAAAATGGATTAAACGCTTAAACCTAAGACCTGAAACTAGGAAACTACTAGAAGAAAACACTGGGGAACTGCTCCAGGACATTGGTCTGGGCAAAGATTTTTGTGTGTGTAAGATCTCAAAAGCACAATCAAAGCAAAAATAGGCAAATGGGATTACATCAAGCTAAAAAGCTCTGCACAGGAAAGGAAACAATCAACAAAGTGTAAAGACAACCTACAAAATGGAAGAAAATATTTGCAAACTACCCATCAGACAAGAAATTAATAACCGGAATATATAAGGAGCTCAAACAACTCAGTAGCAAAAAACTCCAAATAATCCAATTTTAAAATGGGCCAAATATCTGAAGAGATATTTCTCAAAAGGAGTCATACAAATGACCAAAAGGTATATGAAGAAAATGCTCAACTTCACTGCCAGAGAAATTCAAATAAAAATCACAGTGAGAGATCATTTCACCCCAGCTAAAATGGCTTTTATAAAGAAGACAGGGAATAACAGATGCTGGTGAGAATGTAGAGAAAGGAGAGCCCTTCTACACTGTTGGCGGGAATGTAAATTAGTACAGCCACTATGGAAAACTGTATGAAGGTTTCTCAAAAAACTAAAAATGGAACTATCACATGATCCAGCAATTTCACTACTGGGTATATATCCAAAAGAAATGAAATTAATATATCACAGAGACATATGAACTCCCACATTTATTGTAGCACTGTTCACAGTAGCCAAAATATGGAATTGACCTAAGTGCCCATTGGTGGATGAATGGATAAAGAAAATGTGGTGTATATATACGCAATGGAATATATTCAGCCATTAAAAAAAATTTCAGTCATTTGCAGCAACATGGATGGAACTGGAGATCACTATGTTAAGTGAAATAAGCCAAGTACAGAAAGACAAATGTCACATGTTCTCACTCATACATGGGAGTTTAAAAAAGTGGGTCTCATAAAGATAAAAAGTACATTGGTGATTATCAGAGACCGGGAAGGTGGAGGTGGGAGAAAAGGGTTTAATTAATGAGTCTAAATATACAATTTGACAGAAGAAAGAAGATCTAATGTTTGACAGTTGGTAGGGTGGCTGTAGTTTCTAATAATCTATTGCATATTTCAAAATAACTAGAAGAGAATAATTCAAATGTTTCTAGCATAATGAAAGAATAAATATTCAAGGTGGTGAATATCCCAATTATACTAAATTCATCTTTATAAATTATATAAATGTATTAATTTATCACATATATCCTGAAAATATGTATATCTATTATGTGACAACAAATTTTTTTAATAAAGGAAAAATCATTAAAGGAATTAAAATGTTATACTATAAAATATTAACTCCACACAAAAGAAAGAAATCAAGGAGGAAAAGAGGAACAAAATAAAGGAGACATATAGTAAACAAAAATGAAATGTCAGATGTAAGTCCAACAATATCAATAACAACATTAACTTAGAATGGATTAAACAATCCAATCAAAAAGCAGAATTGTCATACTGAATAAAGCACATAATCCAATTACATGTTGGCTTTAGGAGATATGTTTGATTCAAAGATACAAATAGGTTGAAAGTGAAAGGATGGAAAAGATATATCATGCATATAACAACCATAAGAAAGCTGGAGTGGCTATATTAATACCATATAAAATAGCTTTAATTTTTTTTCCCTGAAGATAAATAGGGATATTTTATAATGATAAAAGTGTCAGTCAATCAGGAAGTTGTAACAATTATAAACATATGTGCACCTAACAACAGAGCTCTGTGATATACGAAGCAAACCCTAACAGAATTGAAAGTGGAAATAGACAATTCAACAATAACAATTAGAAACTTCAATACTCTATATAATGGATAGAACAACTTGACAAAAGGTCAACAAGGAAATAGAAGACTTGAACAGCAATATACACAAACTAGACTTAACAGATATGTATAGAACACTGTGCCTAACAAGAATCACATTATTCTCAAGCACAAATGAAACATTCTACAGGACAGACAACAGGGCAGATCACCAAGTAAGCCTAAATAAATTTAAAATAATTGAAATTTACAGGACCTCCAATTACAATGGAGTGAAATTGAAAACTAATAACAAAAAGAAATTTGGGAAATTCATAAATATGTGAGAATTAAACAACATACTATGAAATACCAATGGGTCAAAAAATCACAAAGGAAATTAGAAAAATACTTTGAGATAGGTAAAAATGAAAACACAACACATGAAAATTTCTGGAATGCAGCTAACATACTGCTTAGAGGGAGATTTACAGATGTGAATTACATGGAATAAAAATAAAGATCTCAAATCAATATCCTTCCACCTTAAGAACCTGGAATAAGAAGTGCAAACTGAGCCCAAAGTAAGCAGCAGAAAGGAAATAATGATTACAGTGAAAATTAATGAATCAGAGAGTACAAAAATAATAGAGAAAATCAACTAAATCAAGCATTGGTTCTCAAAAAAAATTAACAAAATTAACAGACAACAAAATTTACACTTAGTCGTGGTACAGAATCCTTTTTACACTAAGGAGTAGTGTAAATTCTTTTTTACACTAAGGACTAGTATAAATCATTTTTACACTAAGGACTACATCTAGACTGACTAAGAAAAAAAGAGATGACTCAAAATTCCAAAATCAGAAGTGAAATAGGAGACATAACTACTGACTTTACAGAAATAAACACAACTACAAAGGAATACTATGAAAAACTGTGTGCCAAAAATTATATAACTTAGATGAAATGGACAAATTCCTAGAAAAAAGAGCAACTGAAGCTGACATGAGAAGAAATAGAAAATCTGAATATACTTATACAAGTAAAGAGTTTGGCTTAGTAATAAAAAAAAAAAAACTTCTGCCAAAAAAGCCCAAGACCAAATGGCTTCACTAGCTAATTCTACCAAGCACTTAAAGAAGAATTAATATTATTTTTTCACAAACTCTTGCAAAAATAAAAGAGGTTGGAGCACTTTCCACCCCATTCTATGAGACCAGTATTGCCCTTATTTCAAAACTAGACAGATACTCCACAGGAAAACCATATTTCATTCATTCTCACTTTTAATGAATATAGACACCAAAAAGTTCAACAAAACACTATCAAATAGAATCCAGCAATGAACAAAAAGAATTATATACTATGATCAAATGAGATCTATCTCAGGAATGCAAGGTTGCCTTATCATCTGAAAATCAGTTAAAGTGATACACTACATCAACAGAATGAAGGAAAAACCCATACTTTCATCTCAATTGATGAAAAAAAGACAGTTGACAAAATCTAACACCTTTTTATGATAAAAACACTGAACAAACCGAGAATAGAAGGAAACCAATGAAAAACCCATGAAGTTAACTTCATATATAATAATGAAAAGCTGACTTATTTTCTCTTAAGATCAAGAAAAAAACAAGGATGTCTGTTCTCACCACTTCCGTTCAACTTTTACTGGAGGTTCTAACCAGCGAAATTAAGTAAGAAAAAAAATAAAATGTATCTAGATTGAAAAGTAAGAAATAAAATGATCTCTATTTGAAGAAGAAATGAACTTTTATACATAAACTCCTAAGGAATTCGCTAAAAAAACTATTATTAGAACTAATAAACAAGTTCAACACAGTTGCAGAATATAGGATCGATATATAAAAATCAAATATATTTCTAAACAACATTTACAATAACATGAACAAGAATAAAATACTTAAGAATAAGTTTAACAAAAGAAGTGCAAAACTTTTACTTTCAAAACTACAAAATATTGTTGAAAGAAATTAAAGAAGACCTAAATAAATGGAAAAACATCCCATATTCATCCCATATTCATGGACAAAAGACTTACTATTGTCACGAACGCAATGTTATCCAAAATGATGTGCAGATTCAATGCAATCCCTATCAAAATTTCAGCTGATTTATTTTTGGAAATTGATAAGCTGACCCTAAAATTTATAAAGAAATTCAAAGGACCTGAAATTGTCAAAATAATCTTGGAAAAAGAACAAAGTTGGAACAGTCATTCTTTTCCTATTTCAAAACTTACTACAAAGCAATAGTGATCAAGACATTTTGGCAGTGGCATAGGAAAGACCTTTATTTAAATGGAATAGAACTATGAGTCCAGAAATGAGCTCTCACTTTTATCGTCAATTGATTTATGATGAGGGTAGCCAGATGATTCAATGGAGGAAGAAAAATCTTCTTAGCAAATGGTACTAGGACAACTGAATATCCACATGCAAAAGAATGAAGGAGTATCCCTACCTCACACCATATACCAAAATTACCTCAAAATGGATCAAAGACTTAAATGTAAAAGCTAAAACTATATGTCTTAGAAGAAAACACAGGTGTAGATCTTCAGAATCTTAAATGGGAAATAGTTTCTTAGATTGACATCAAAAGCACAAGCAGCAGAAAAAAAATAGACTGAACATCATCAAAATTAAAACTTTTTACACTTCAAAAGACACCATCAAGAAAGTAAAAAAAAACACAAAGTGAGATAAAATATTTGCAAATCGTATATCTTATAAGAGATTTGCATCTAGAATATAAAAAAAATTACTACGAAATAACAAAAAGACAAGTAACCCAATCTATAGATGGGCAAAGGGTCTAAAATGACATTTCTTTAAGGAAGATATACAATAGATATTAAGAATATAAAAAGATGTTTGCTATCATTAGTCAACAGGCAAATGCCAGTCAAAATCATGAGCTATACCACTTCACATCCACTAAAATGACCAGAATAAAAAAGACAATAGCAAGTATGTAGAGAAATTATAACCCTTATGCACAGTTGGTGGGAATGCAAAATTGTGCAATTGCCTTGGAAAACTGTTTAGCAGTTCCTCAAGATATTACAGTTTCCATATTACCCAGCAATTATATACCTAGGTATACACTCAAGAGAAATGAAGACTTGCATATGAATGTTCAGAGAAACTATTTAATAACCAGAATTAATAGCCCCAAACTGGAACCAACTCAAGTATCCTTTAGCAGGTGAATGATCAAACTACTGTGTGGTGTATTCACACCATGGAATCCTACTCAGCAGTAAAAAAGAATAAAGTATTTATACATGTGACAGCATGGATAAATTTCCATGCAATTAGGCTGAGTGAAAAAAAGCTACACATGAAAAATTTTGGGGGGTGATTTATATGTTCAGTATTTTCATTGTGGTGAGGGTTCCACAGATAGATAGATAGATAGATAGATAGATAGATAGATAGATAGATAGATAGATGATAGATAGATAGATAGACACAAACACATACACATATGTACAGAAGCATATCAATTTTTATTAAGAAAAAGACAAATTACAGAATGGAAGAGAGTTATTTGTAAACCACATATCTGATAAGGGTTTAATATCCAGAATATATAAAAACCCTTACAACTCAACAACAAAAAGACAATCCAATTAAATAATGGGCAAATAGCCAACAAGACATGAAAAGATGCTTGACATCATTAGCCATTAGAAAAATGCAAATCAAAACCAGAATGAGATACCACTTTACACTTACTAGGATGGCTATAACTAAAAAAAAACAGAAAGTAGCAAGTGTTGACAAAGAGGTGATGAAATGGAACCCTCATACATGCGTGGTGAGAATGTAAAATGGTACCAACACCATGGAAAAGTTTTGAAGTTCCTCAAACAACTAAACATAGAGTTATCATATAACCCAGCAATTTCAGTCCTAGCTATATACCTAAAAGAATTGACAACAGGAACTTGAACAGATACTTGTTTGCCAGTGGTTTATGTAGCATTATTCACAATTAGCCAAAGGGTGGAAACAACCCACCCTTAGAGGAATGTGGTTTATCCATACGATGGAATATTATTCCACAATAAAAAGGAAGGAAATTCTGATACATACTACAGCATAGATGAACTTTGAAAACATGCTAAGTGGAATAAGCCAGACACAAAAGGACACATACTCTGATTCCACTTACATTAAATATCTATAATAGGCAAAATCATAGAGACAAAAATTAGAGTTTACTAGGGGCTAGAGGGGAGGGGAAATGGAGAGTTACTGTTTCATGGGTACAGTTTCTGTTTGGGGTGATGGTTGCACAACAATGTGTATTACTTAATGTCACTGAATTATACACTTAAAACAGTTAAGATGGCAAATTTTGTGTTATATATACTCTACCACAATTTAAAAAATAATTAATAATATACCAAAAATCACTGAATTTTACACTTTAAATGGGTGAATTGTACGGTATGTGAATTATATCTCAAAAAAGCTTTTCTAAGAACTTATCAACTTTCATACTTTACTTGTTTGCATTTTACTACGTATCAGTTATACTTCAATAAAGCAGTTAACAAAATGCTGCAATGCATGACTTTGATAAAAATAAAAATTAAATCGTAAGGAAAAAATTAAATTCCAAATGCAGTCTCTTAATCATTCCAATAATACGGATTGATACAGTGCAGAAACATGCAGTCCCTCTTCATTTCCCTGCTTCCCTGAAATCCATTCATTTAAATAAGAATAGTGTGTGCCCCACTCAGCATGTGCCAGCGGGCTGTGACCTCCAGCACACCATGCCTGAGTTTATTTACACTGGTCTTAGGAGGTGAGTGCTGAGGCACTGAGATTCAAGGGACATAGATGGGACAATGGTGACTTAAGCTCAACAAGCCTTGGTTTCTTTATCCATGAAATGGGAATAATAATATCTGCTTCTAAGGATTAATGAAGGCATCTTTCCAAAAGGGTGGTGTGTGGCACATGGAAGAGGCTGCCTACACACAGCTTTGAGTAAGTGGGGGTCTGATATCCTCCCGTGAAGAACACGTCGTCCTTGCCCGGACTTCCACATCGAGGGAGGGAGGAAAGAACTCAGAAGGGAAGGGCGAGGGGAGCAGAGTGGCCTGGGATTGGTGTGGAGTCCATGTGCTTCTCAGCCCCTAAGAAGTTGTGGAGTGATGGGTGAGTGTGACTCGAGAGGGGTGGGCAGCACCTGGAGTGGGGAGCTGAATATCAGAAAACAGAGGGGCCCGAAGTGGAGACAGAGTCCCCTGGACAGTAGGCTTCTCAAAGTCCCTTTGGGCAAACGCTGGCCTCTGTCCCCAGGCCCACTGTTAGTATTTTATTCCATCCCATCCCTGCAACGTGCCTCCTATCCTCACCTGCAAGAGGCAGTGAAGCTACCTGGCAAGGGGGTGCAGAGGAGGAAGGGGCTCAAGTTGCACCCCCATCCACCCTCTTCCCAGCCCACAGGCTCTGCTACTATAGCACCCCCTTCCCGCACATTGTCCCCTCAACCAGGGAGGCTGTGCAGTGCCAGACATCCCTGGCTGGGCAGTTGGTGGCAAGGGGCTCTCTCTCTGTCCCTCGGTCTCCCCACCCCTGGGCTGTGATCTCCCCACACCTCTCCTGGCTGGGACCTAGCCATGCCCCCTGCCACCCTCCCAGATTTGTCCATCCCTCCAGGCCTTCAGTCCCCCAGGACCTAGCTCTGGACAGCCAGGCTGGGCTATGAATAGCACACAGCCCTTTTCCTTTCCAAATATAAAATGTTTGCTTTCAATCAGGGGCGTCTGGGGAAATGGAAATTATAGGATTGGAGAGTGTCCTTGGGTAAAGAAATACCTCGAATGCCGAAACCTCGCAGGGCCTCTGATTAGGGCTGGAATAATTCCTGCTCTAATATAAACAAGCCTCACTAGGCTAATGGGGGGCAGGGAGCGAGGCCGGGAAATAGGGGCATATGCCTCGTCTTTGTTCTCTTTCCTCCCAGCATGCCAGTGCAGCAGGGCCCGGGGGCCCGGGGCGTGGAGCAGCTCTGGGGGCCCCTCAGGACATCAGAAACCTTAGCTTTGTGGCGTGCTGAGTGACCACAGGCAGGTGGCTGTCCTGAGGCCTGGTGATCCCACAGGGGTGGGTTGGGATAGATGGGGCATCCATCTTAAAGGCTGTCTGGTCTAGTCCCGGCTCCTTGAACCCCTCCATGCTTCTGGGCCTTAGCCTGGCTCTGGGATTTGGAGGAGTGACCAGGGCTGAAGCCAGCAAGGCAGATGGGCTGGGGCCAGAGAGAAAAGAGGGGAGCCTGGGGAAGCGGTGCCAAGCAGAAATTTCCCAAATGGTCAGTCAGTCAACAAACATTGGTTGGCATCTTCTCGAGGCACCAGGATGTAATGGGGGTGAAAACGCTGTCCCCATCCTCAAGGGGCACAGAGTTGAGTGAAAAAATAAACACACCAACCGTAAGTGTTAGCAGCGTAGCACAGGGTGGAGGCCTGCAGAGGGAGGGCCTTGTTCCCAGGGTGGGGACAGGAGGGAGCAGCTCCCCGTGCCTTGGAGGGCTTGGCCCTCTCCTCAGCACTGTGCTGCCACCTCCTCATGGCATTCCCTGTCAAGAGCCCCCGTTAGACCAACACCTCAACTTCCCAGAGCAGGGAAAGTCCTCGCAATTACCAAAGATGTTTGATAACACCCAGCGTCAAAGCACAGACTCATTATTTGTTTTCTTTTTTGCAGAGTGAACTCTCAGGCTAACTGCTCTTGCTTGGCATCCAGTGCGAAGGTGTGCAGCCACCTCCACGCAAAGCATTCAGAGAAAGGAGGCAGGCCCAGGTGAGCACAGCTAATGAAACATAGAGATTGGGAAACTCTGGAGAGCGTTCATAAAAACTCAAAGGTCTCAAAATATGTGGTCATGTAGTTTAGGAACCTCAGAGGCCTGCAGAGGAACAGGACACGGTGGGTGTTGGGTCGCAGGGGTCGGGTGGGGGTGCCTCGTTTCAGTTCTGGCTCTCTGTCTCTGTTGCCTCAGGCAGCTCCTTCTCCATTCTAAACCTCAGTCTCTCATCTGTAAAATGGGTACAGTTGGTAAAGAAAAAGCCATCTGAGGTGATGCTAAGGAAGAAGGATCATCAGGACATTGGGGGTGAGCAGGCTGAAAGTCCTGGAGCCCCCCAGTCCACGGCGCAGGCTGGCTGCGGTGTCTTGGTCAGCACCAGCTCTCCGAGAGGCCACCCGGCTTGGCTCAATGTATACTGGAGGCCCAGACAGGTCAGGGAGGAGGCAGAGGGCTCAGCTGGTATCTTTGGAGAGAAGTGGAGGTGCCAGCAGTGTGCGCAAATCACCTTGTTTTGTCCTTGGGATAGTCTGGGGGGAAAGTTGAGAGCCCCTAGGTCTTGGGGTTGGGGGAAGCCTTGGGAACTGGGACCCACAGGTGAGGGAGGGGCTGGGAAAATGCCCCAGCTCCTCCTCCCCTGCCTCCAGGGGCTGAGCTCTGTCAGGATGAGGATGAGATCCACTGTCCAGAGCAGGAAGGAGGAGGGGAAGAGGCAGCCAGGCCCAGCGTGGGACACCTGCCCAGTCTCCCCCTGGGTGGAAAAGAGCCCTGCCAAGGCCTGCCAGGGGCTGCTGCGGACCCCTGCTGAGTGACTGAGGCGGGACTCACCCTTCACGCCCCTGTTCAGCATCTTGGGTGAAAAACTTGAGAACGTGGCAGGCTGCAGCCGCAGGCCTCAGAACCAGCAGGGCCCAGCAGGAGGAAGCCGGCACCTGGAGGAGCAGGCTTGGCCGGGGATGAGGGCAAGGGGTGGGACCCCTCCCCAGGAGGGTGGGAGCGGGAACACGCCCCAGGAATGTGATGGCAGCCTCGGCAGATGGCCCCCTGCCCGCCCGCCCGCCCTGGGCCGCCAGCGGTTCCGTATTTACACTACATTAATAATGGTTTAAACGTTCTCATAAATAGATGCTGATTAATTGGCAATCCATTTGCTGAAGCCCGGCCTGCCAGACGGTTTCCTGGAGGCCCGTTCCACATCCCTATAAACACCATCAGCGAGCAAAGCAGGCGCTAATGTACCCGGCGCCCAGCCCGCCCCCCGGCCGCCGGAGCAATTCCTCAGGCCTGAAAGGGCCACCGACCCGCAGCTGCACCGGCTGCCTGGAATTCCCGGCCTCGGCCGTGGGAGGACGACTCCAAGGGCCCCTTCGGGGCAAAAGGGTTCCACTGGGTGGCAGAGAGGGCAGAGGCACGGTGGCCCAGCAGCCGGTGCAGTGGGGCGCAGCTGGCCCCCACAGGCTGTGCTGGCAGAAGCTTGCTGGCTGAGCTTGTCCCGCCTGAGCCGGGGGCGGCTCCTCTCTGCTGCCCCCAGTGGCCTGCAGACCGCCATTGCAGTGGTCACTCTATACCACCGGGTCCAGGCCCTTGGGTCTCTAGGGATCTGGAGACCATTCTGGGACAGTGGGCTGAGTCCCTCCATGCCGGGGTGAACCAAGCCCGGGCTCATGGCTGCTTTAGGGAGCAGTCACTGCCCTTCACTGCCCGTGGGCAGTCCGGCACCTCCCTGCTCTCTCTCGGTCTCCCTGGCCTGCGTGTGCCCTCTCTTTTGTTCACCTGGCAGAGGCCTCTCTTCTGTACATTGCGAACCAGGTTGCGCCTTGTGCACAGGGTGTCGGGAGGAAGGGTACGCATTCATGCAAAAAGCAGAGCCGCTGCAACCTACCTGACCTCTTGGCCCTCCTCTACAAAGCTCCTGTCCCTTAGGGGGAGGGCTGAAGGAGGGCTCGCCCCCTGCCCCTGCGGCCCCGCCTCCCTCAGCACCTCACCAACATCAACTCTTCTCTGCGTGCCTCCTGCATCCATTTCGCAGATGGAACACTGACGCTTGACAGTCACCTGCCCAAGGTCGCCGGCTGGCAAGTGACAGTGTCAGAACTCAAATCCGGCATCTGCCCCAGGGGCCCTGACCAGGGAGTCCTGCTGCCCTAGGATGGGTTGTTGAAAGAATGAATGGGAGTGAATGAATGAATTTTACAAACCCAGGTCCAGGGAGGGAAAAGGATGGGGGAGGGGAGAGCCGAGGAGAGGGAGCCCCTCCCACCCCTTCCCTGATGATTGGTTTTTAAACCTCGGGCAGACCCAGCCCGAGTGGGGAGGTCAAAGGTGGCCACTGATGGCTGTCACTCAAGCAAAATAGCCCCGTTTTCATTTTTCACTTGGGCCCAGACCCCTCCAAACAGACAGTGATTAGGCCCTGATTGAGCCTTTCCTCTGCCTGATGACTCCCACATGTGACCCGCTCCCAAATTACATGCAAATGTTCCGCGGACGAGCTGCTGAAAGCCCCCGCCCGCCCCTGCCTCCGCCCGTACTCCCGGGAGGGGCGGCAACCCGCCCCGCGCATACCCCCTCCCCCGCAGGTGCGCGTCCAGGTTCGGGTCTGCCTGGCTTTACCTTACCTGCGTCCTCTCCGCTGCTTCCCGTGCAGGTGCGAGGCCTCGCGCACCGCAGCGCCGCCTGCCGGTGACGTCTGGCCTCCGTTTGCTCATCTGTGAAGAGGGCGCGATGATGGAGGCCGAAGGGTGCCTGTGGACTTTGGCACAGCCTGTGCGCGGTGCATTGTGTTCTCCAACCGGAACGGGAATGGTGGCGGCGGCGAAGGCCATGACTGTAATTGCTGTTAGAGTCATACAGCTGAAATGCTACGAGCACCGACTGTGAGGCCAGAGTGCTAGGCTCAGAGGAGGCGCAGCACGCAGTGCCAGCCCAGCCTGCGGCAAGTTATTGGATCTGGCTGCCCCCGATTCTCGCCGATGGAATAGGGGTCACAAGAATGCCCACCTCACAGAGGTGTGGAGAAACAGAATAAACACACTCATCTACAGTGCTTACAACGGCACCGGCCACACAGTATTACGTTTATAACTGACGCTGCGCAATTCTGGGGGCACAGCGCATATAGAGGGGACTTTGTGGGCAACAACCTGGGACGGGGCAATCATGCAGCGGGAACAGCCCCGATGTCTCACTGCCCCACGCAGTGATACCAGCAGCTGTTGTCCTGGAGTCTTCTGGGCACCAGTCTGTCCTGGAAGCACCTCTGTGGCCAGCTCCTTCATCCTCGGGTCGGTCCCGTGAGGTGGTAACACCACGATTTTCATTTTCAGAGGAGGACATTGTGGCCCAGAGAGGTTCGGCAGCTGGTCAGTGGTGGAGGTATCCTGAGGCTGACCTCACCTGCAACTTGGGAGCTGAAGCCCTGGCCTGCAGACGGCAGAGAGGACAGCTAGAGGAGGCTGCCATGGGGTCAGCCTAGAGGCCTCAGCTTATCCTAGGCCAACACCTCCTTAGATTATCCCACCTAGGCCCTCAAAGGACAGGACTCCTCTCTGCAGCATCCTAGGGGTGCAGCCGTACAGGCCCTGGTTACATGCCTCCTGTGAGGGGGAGCTCAGTCTCATGCCTGGGAGAGCACTGCAGCCCTGAGCCAGGGAAGGGAAAGGCCTTCCTATTGCACAAAGCCTCCTTAGCTTCAGGAGGCATGCTTGTCTCACTGCCTTGGGTCAATCACTATGAAAGACACACTGAACACACATACACACACATGGAGAGGACGAGGGAGAGGGAGAAAAAGTAAGAGAGAGAGGAGAGAGACCCACTCATGGACCCAGGGAGAGGTGCAGATCTGGGAGGGAGATGATCAGGGTGTGCAGTAAGTCCCCAGGGCAAAGGGCTTTCAGAGAGAGATTGGGTTGGGGATGGGAGAATTTGTGCTTTGGACTGGGGAAGAGGGGAGTGAGGCTGAGGCAGAGAGGAAGGCAGGTCTTGGAGGCAGCAGAGCTCAAGAAAGAAGGAGCAGGCAGGTGGGGGGCAGAGAGGTGGGGCCTTTGACTTCACTCATTTGAAGTGACCAAGAGCTCTTTCTGGGGACAGGCTGAGTGGGCAGAGTGAGGAGGAAGGAGATGAAGACATGAGCACAGCTGGGCTGCAGAGGGCTGTTGGGCAGGTTGTGCACTGCACACAGGAGCTCCAAGGAGTCCAGCCAGCTCCTGCTGGACACACTCAAGGTTGTAGCCTGCGGCCAAGAGGGGCATCTTCCCCTGAATCCCACAAAGGTACCCTAAGGCTAGCAGGTCCTTGGGCAGGCTCTGGGGGAAGGGAGGGCACTCGGGAAGACTGAACTGCTGGCTGGTGGGTTTGTCTGTGAATTTTGAGGTGAAAAGGACGAGGGCCTGTGCAAATACTGGTTGGGGAGCAAGTCAGGACAGAGAAGGGACCCTGTGGTGACTTGCCCTGGGTCACAGGGCCAGCAGTGACACAGGTGGGAATTGCCCCCACCCTCTAACCATGCTGGCCACCCCTGCCCCTTGCACAGTGGCCCTCCATTTCTGGGCAGGAAGCCGGCCGAGCCCCTCCCTCACCGGCAGGTGGGTGGCCCCTCATCAGCCTGATGTGGAAAGTGAAATAACTTCTCCCAATTACCCTCGAATCTGGAAACTTTTTGTGCCTCCGACATTTCCTCCAGCCTGGGAGTTAATCAGCCCCTTGGCTGTCCCCTTGCTGGGGCCGGGTGTGGGGGCACCAGGGGCAGTCGTGCCCTAGAAAATTATTTCTCATCACCAATTATTGCCCATTAGAGCTAATGGTTGCGCTTAATCACCGTACACTTATCTGGGGTTTTTTAAGCCACTGGAACAGCCTCCCCTCCACCTTCTCCCCCCAACCCAGTTCTCTCTTGAGCAAAGCTGAAGCCATTGCCAGAAATATATATTTTTTTAACCAAATCACACATCTGATACCGTTTTGTTTGAAAAATGAGCTGCCCTCCCCTTTCGTGTCTGCTGGTCACACAGCCGTGAAGTTGTGGGACAGCAATGGGACCTCTGTGGGGTGCATTCCCAAGGCCTCTGGAGGAGGTGAGACTCTTCCTCCCCAACAACTCTGCAAGGGGGAGGGGACTTAGCCCCAGTGACAGATTAGGAAACTGAGGCTTGGAGGGATGTGATGAAGGTCACCAAGGAGTGATGTGAGGCGGCATGAGTCGCCCCGCGCTCTTTCTGCTTCGGTCTAGGTGCCAGAGACGGAGCAGGAAGGCAGCCCTGGGGAATTCTCACACTGTTGGAATTGGGACCAGGTGAGTCAGGTGGAATGTGGCTCACCCACAGCAGCCCTGCTAGGCCAGGACATCAAATCAGAAATTCTTTTGAAAACATTATTCACATGTCCAACCAAGAAATGGACAGGCTCAGATGTTCCACTCTGCACACACAAAACCTTTGGCTCATGAGGGCAATTCATGATTTTCTTGGGCAGAAATCTGCTCCACAGTCTCTTTCCAAAGAGGCCAGAGCCTCTTTGAGCCTTGGTTTCCTAATCTGCAAAATGGGGCTCTGATTCCTGAAAGAGCAGGACTGCTGTGAGGACTCCAGGTGCTGCCTTGAACCTGTAGCTAGTGTAGAGAGTCAAGGAATGGGCACAGAGGGGCCTGGGAGCAGCTCCGTCCCTAGAGGGCTGGCTTGAGGAGGGCTGCAGACAGGTACCAGGGACATAGGGCTGTTGCCTACTGCCACAAGCCAGGGCCTGAGACCACACTGTCCAACAAGCTAACTTGTTCCATGGACCCTTGCTGGGAATCTGAGAGCCTCAGGCAAAGCCTTGTGGGGCCTACGGAAGTGGGTTCATTCATTCGGAAGTTCTTAAAGATCTCCAAGCTGGGCACACAGCAAGAGAAAAGACAGGAGGCCAATCCCCACTTCCAGGGCACTTAGGAATGGATCAGGGAGAGGGAGGATAAATAGATGTCAGATTAGTCACCCGGATCATTCCAGCTCAACCTACAGAAAAGGATGATGGAATGACAAGCTATTATAGAATACGATGTGGTGTGTGTATGTAAGGTCTTGAATGCATGCACACATCTTTTGTATCTGGCTCTGTCTGCTGAGAGAGCTCTGAAGCAGACACCTCAGTGGCAGTGAGCACATCCTGTACCCAGATGTTGGTCTCTAATACCATCCTTGGGAATGGGATCCAGGGCTCCTTGGAGAAATGGCTGATTCCAAACTTGGGACAGGATCAATACATTATAAGCCTGGAACATGTTGTTATGCACTAAAAAAGGAAGATTATACACTATTTATACAGGTATGTAATACCTGACCTCGGATCAGATGTGGTGGTGAAGGGGAAAGACAGGCTATAAAGGGCAGCATTGCATCAGTTGACAAAACTGTGGCAGGCTTGTGGCTCGAAAAAAAGGCCTCTCTCCTCCCCCATTTCCCAGTTGAGAGCCAGCTGGGAAATGTTGGGGGAGGATTTGGGTGGAAAAATCAACATTTTGCAAGCATTGTGGCAAAGATTGGCTCAGGCAAGAGTCATCAATGGCTGATAAAGCCGGTGGAAAGCTTTGACAAGGAGTAGGGTGTTTTTGCATGCTCTGCAGGTGTCTCCTCATAGACCAGGTATTCAACGCAAGGAGGGGGGAAAAGTTATACAGTGGAGAAATCAGGACCCACCCTGGCAGGGTGACAAAATCAACCACTGACCACCATGGAGGTGCATGCGGGCACCGGGGGCCACCAGTTGTGATGCCCTACAAGCGCACATCCCTAACACCACTGACACCAGGTAGGAAGGCACAACCCACACCCAAACAGGAGGAAATGCAGACAAACTCCAAGTGAGAAACATTTCACTAAAAACACTGTGTTCTTCAAAAATGTCAATGCAATATAAGACAACGAAAGATTATGGACACCATTTCAGGCTGAAGGAGACCAAAGAGACAAAACAACTGAATACAATACCTGACCCTGGATCAGATGGGGTGATGGAGGGGAAAGACATGCTATAAAGGGCGGCATTGCGTCAGGGCAGCATTGTGTCAGTTGACAAAATTGGCACATGGATGGCAGATTAAAGTGTTTTGTCAATGTTAATGTTAATTTCAATATTACCAAAGTCAAGAACGGAGCTGTAGTTACATAAGAGCATAATTCTATTTTTGGGAAACCCACACCAAAGTATTTTGGGGTCAAGGGCTATGACATTTGCAATTTACCCTCAAAATATGTGTGTTTGTGAGAGAGGCAGACACAGAGGAGAGACACAGTGATAGAGACAGAGAGAAAGAACAAGAGCAAATAACCCAGTAAATAATAAAAAGTTAACAGTAGGTGAGGAGTATGCAGGTGTTTTTGGTCCCATTCTCATCCCTGCAAATTTTCCACAAATTGTATATTGTTTTCAAATAAAATGTTTTTTTAAAAGTGATGTGGGTAGGGGACGCCTTGAGATGCAAGTGGTCAGGGATGAATGCTCTGAGGAAAAACATTTGGGCAGAGCCTGCAACATGAGAAGAAATCATCCAGTGCTGCAGAGGAAGGGAATGGCATGTGCAAAGGCCCTGGGGTGGGAAGATAGGCTGGGTGTGCTTGTGCTCAAGACAGGGTGGTGTGGGGAGGAGCAGGGAGACAATGAGGCTGAGGATGTTGGTGGGGACCAGGCAGGTCCTGGTAGGGAGTTGGGGATTTAGTCTTAGTGCAATAGATGCAATAGGTGGCTGCCCATAACCCCAAGGATGCCACTGGGTGAGAGAGAGTTCCTCCTTCATTCGCTTATTCAACAAATATGTATTGAGCCCCTCTCATATCCTGGACTACTTGGGAAAGATGATGGTGCAGAGAGAGCTTCCAGTGCTTTGGGAACAGCCACTAGGTAGTTGGAGAACATTCTGCTATGAAGAAGGGCAGGGATTTGCCCTGATTATAGTTTCAGGGTCTAACAGTCAGGGTGGGCTGGGTTCTATTGCAGCAACAAACAAGCCCAACATCTCATGTCTGCACACAGAAAAATGCATTTTTCAGTCAGTTACATGATGTGCCTTCATGGGCCAGCCCATCAGTCACCCAGGGAAAGGGGACGGGGCTTCTACCCTGAACCTGCACGTGTTTCTTCTGCTCACATTTCATTTGCCAAGCAAGTCACACAGCCACACCTAACTTCAAAGGGACTAGGGACATGCCCAGAATGAAAGGGAGAAGCAGGTGTTTAAGAATAGCTGCAAAGACAGCCACAGGGACAGAAGGAAGCTTGCAGTCTATACAGCTGTCCCCCCAGTGTTTGGCTGGGAATGCGCCATAGGGACTAGCACTAATGCTTCAGTCTGGCACCGAACAGATTCCAGACCAGCAAGGGCCCCCAAGTGGTCGAAGTGGGCAGTTAGGTGAGCTAAATGAGCGTTAGTGGGAAGGAGAATAGCCTGGGACTGGGACCCTGGGGAGGGACACCAGCATGTCCACAGCAGGCAGCTAAAGTGACAAGGGGCCTGGAGACCCCATCCCCTGGGGAGCTGGGGCTGCTAGACTCAACTAACAGCCTAAGTAGAAAGTAGTGAAATCTACTCACTGTCCCCCACCTCTGAGGGCCAGTCCTGGGGCAGGAAGAGCTGATGGAGTCCTAGGGCTAGGAGAGCAGAGCTGCGTCCCCAGGAGGGGTGGGGGCATGGCAGAGATCAGCAGTAAGGACACAAAAATGGGGAGGGCTGCTTGACGGGTGAGGAGCTCCCCGTCATGCAGGGCATGCAAGTAGAGCAGCAGATGCCCAACATCTAGGGAAGCTGTAAAGGAACTTCCTGGGATCCAAGGGCCCTTCCTTTCTCCCAGAGTCTACATTTCTAGTGAGAATGGTGGGGGACAGCCAGGTCAGAGAGGGAGCGTGTGTTTGGAGAAAGCAGGTAGTGGGAAGGGCAGTAAAACTAGGGCCATTCGGGGGAAATGAGGAATCATCTTAGCCATCTCCACCAGTTCTCTACCTCTCCCCACCAGCTTGGGGGCCACCCCTCCAACTCAGTGACTGTGGGTCACCTCTGTCTGTGGCCAGGCCCTCCGAGCTTCCCATCATGAACAATGCCCCTGAGAGACCCTAAGGCGTGTTGCAGGAATGAGCAGAAGACAGGCTGCTCACATCATCCCTTCTAACACCATGGGGCATGGCCTCAGCATGTTTCAGTCTTGCCCTGAGTGCCTTAGGGATGTCAGCGGCTCTACATAAAGTCAGGCCATGGTGCTATCCAAGGGCTGTGATGTGCGGCCAGCAGCAGGCAGTCAGTAGAGCTTGGTGAGTTCATTATTTCTCTCTCCAGCCCTCAGTTCAGAACACAGGGGTACAACCCTGAATGCCAGAAGGAGGAATCAGCCAGTTATCCGTGGTCAGACCTGGAGGTTGCAGAGAGATAACTTTGGTTTGTACAGGGGTCCCTGGAGAAATCAGAAAAAACAGCCGTTCTGAATTCAGACCCCTGAGTGGCCTGGCTGGCCATAGTATTGCCACTTTCTACTGCCCCAAGGGAAGCCCTGTGCTTGGTGGGGCTGGTGTTCTATCTGAAACCAGGAGAGACACAAAAAGGCTACAGCCATAGGGGAGGGAGCAGGTTTCTGTGGAACTAAGGAAACTCCAGAGAGTCTATTGTACAGTGTGTCTGGGTCACCTCCATCTGTAGACCCTGGAAGCACTTGGCTTCATTACCTCACTCTCAGCTCTGAATCCCACAGTTCAGGGCTGCAGCCACAGCAGAACAGCTCTGCCTCCACCCAGCTGTTCCTGCTGAAGCCCCCGGCGTCACCCTCAGGGCGTCCTGAGCTGTGGCACCTCCACAGTGGAGACCCATCCATCACAGAGCCCATCAACGGCCCAGCGCCACCCGGAAGGGGCCAACACCGATGTCAACTAGGGCCACTCTGAAAGCCGCCAGGGCGCGGCCCCAAGGGCAAGATGGATGGGCGGAACCAGCCACTTTAAGGCTGTGTTTATGGGACACCCAAACAGCTGGTCAATCCCCCGGGACCATCACTCACCCAGCTACCAGGGGTCCCTGACAGGCTTGGAGATTGCGTTGCCGTCTTAACTCCAGCAGCACTTAGAGTCTTAGCCTATCAGGCTGAGGGGTCCTGTCCCAGCCACCGGCACTTGACAGATGAGGCACCTGAGCCCCAGCAAGGAGGGCACGTGGCTGCCAGGATCACCCAGGCTGTGAGCAGAAGATGGGCTTGAACCTGGTCCCCCCTCCAGCCAGGGCTCAGAGGGCCCTCTAGTCTCCTGTGCACACACGCAGGCCTTGGCTTGTCTCTGGCACTTTTAGTAATGGAAGGCTTGTCCGCCTGGATGTACGAGCTCTCTCTAGAGACATACCTGATTTTTGGTTTAGTCATGTTCTCATGTTCTACTCAGGGGAGACCAGAGAGGAGCTGCACTTTTACTTCCTCTAGGAAATGACCTCCCCTCCCTCCCTCCATCCCTTCCTTCCTTCCTTCCTTCCTTCCTTCCTTCCTTCCTTCCTTCCTTCCCTCTTTCCCTTTCTTCCCTCTTTCCCTTCTTTCCCTTTTCCTTCCTTCTTCCTTCCCTCTTTCCTTCTTTCCTTCCCTCTTTCCCTTCATTCCTTCCTTTTCTCTTCCTTCCCTCTTTTCATTTCCTTCCTCCCTCCCTCTTTCCCTTCCTTCTTTCCTTTTTTCTTCCTTCCCTCTTCCCTTCCTTCCTTCCTTCCTTCTTTCCCTTCCTTCCTTCCCTCCCTCCCTTCCTTCCCTATTTCCTTCCCTCCCTCCCTTCCTTCCTTTCATCCCTTTTTCCCTTCCTTCCCTCCTTCCTTCCTTCCTTCTTTCCATCCCTTTCCTTCCCTCCTTCCTTTCTTCCTTCTTTCCCTTCCTTCCTTTTTTCCCCTTCACTTTCCTTCCTTCCTTCCCTCCCTCTTTCTCTTCCTTCCCTCCCTCCCTTCCCTCTTTTCCTCCCTCCCTTCCTTCCTCCCTTCCTTCCTTGCTTCCTTCCTTCCCTCTTTCCCTCCCTCCCTCCCTTCCTTCCTTCCCTCTTTCCCTCCTTCCCTTCACTCCTTCCCCCTCCCTCCCTCCTTCCTTTTGACAGATGAGTCTGTTGATGTAGGAAAAAGAGAACATAGAATATCTAGCCCAGAGTCACTACCTACACCTCAAACAGCCCAAAGAAGTCAGTAGATTGGGGTTTCTGAGGAAGAAAGAATCTGGTGAGTAAGGAGGTCACCCCACTTCATAGCAAAGCTCATTTTTCCTGGGGAGGAGGGCAGGAGGGTTAAGGGAAGAACACAGGCTCACCTCATTCTGTCCCTTTGATTTTACCTTCTCCTCAGAAGTGTCCATGTCCCCACCTATGAAGTGGGGTCACTAACATGTATAGGGCTGGGTGAGCGGGGAATGAAATGATGGGTGTGCCATTGATTTCCTTATGATGAGACACCTTCCAAAACCAACAAGTATTGTTACTAATAAAAACAACATGAGCCAGACACCACAACTGTTTCTCATAAAGTGCCATTTTAAGGTAGTCAGCTTTAGAAAGAAATTTGTTACAAAGAACAATATACAAACCCACCATATGCAAAAGTTATCTCAAAGTGGATCAAAGACCTAAATGTAGGAGATAAAACTACAAAGCTCTTAGAAGAAAACTAGAAGTAAATCTTTGTATACTTGCATTCTTAGATATGACACCAGAAACATAAGCAACAAAAGAAAAAACAGATATATTGGACTTCATCAAAATTAAAAACTTTTGTGCCTCAAAGAACACCATCAGGAAGGTAAAAAGAGAACTCACAGAGTGGGAAAAAATATTTGCAAGCTATATATCTGAAAAAGGTCTTTTGTCCAGAATATAAGAAGAACTCATCAGTAAAGGCAAATTTTCTTCAGTGGGCAAAGGATCTGAATAAATATTTATTCAAATATTTTTCCAAATATTGGCAATACAAATGCCAATAAGCACATGAAAAGATGCTCAATACCACTGTGCAAATGAAGTCCACACCGAGATACCACTTCACACCCACGAGGATGGCTAACATCAAAAAGACAGATGATAACAAGCATTGGTGAGGATGCAGATAAGGTGAAACCCTCATATATTGCTAATGGGAACACAAAATGGTGCCGCTACTATGGAAAACAGTTTAACAATTCCTCAAAATGTTAAAAAGAGTTACTGTATGACCTCAATCCACTTCTAGGTGCATGCCCAGGAGAAATGAAAACATCCACATAAAAATGCATACATATGTTTATTGCAGCATTCTTCACAATAGCCAACAGCTGAAAACAATCCAAGAGTTAACCAACAGATGACTGGATAAGGAAAATGTGGCAGATGCATACAATGGAATATTATTTGCCCACAAAAAGGAATGAAGTGCTGATTCATGCTGCAATGTCAATGGACCTTAAAACATCATACTAGGTGAAGGAAGCCAGGCACGAAAGGACAAATAGCATATGATTCATGTATACGAAATGTCCAGAATAGGCAAATCCATAGAGGCAGAAAGGAGATTGGGGGTTGTCAGGGGCTTTGGGGACACAGGGTATGAATTAGGAGTGACTGCTAATGGGCATGGTGTTTCCTTTTAGGGAGATAAAATGCTCTGGAATTAGTGATGATGACTGCACAACTCTGAATACTAAAGCCATTGAATCGTACACTTTAAAAGAGTGAATTTTATGTTACAGGAATTATATCTCAATAAAGCTATTATATCTATTAAAATGTAGTTATCTGAGCTGGCGCTAGGCAGTGCCTCAAAGCCATTTTTGAGAATTCCTGCTTTTTTCATTCTGGCTGCAAGTTGCTGTCAGGTGGGTGAGGGCTGCAGGATTTTATAGGCGAGTAGGGATTCCTCCACCATTTGGTTCCAAATCTCCTTTAAAACCCTGCAATCATTGGGAATAATTAATGACTACTTGGAATTTTTTAACAGAGAGACCAGCCCACATGTGGTTAATGAATAAAGGGAAAAATTGTCCATCAGAACCTACAATGATAAGTGAGTTTAGTGTGCTTCAATATTTGCAATGGAGACATTAAAAACATTGGAAGCAGCCCTCCCAAATGCTCATAGTCCTTGGCAAAGTAATCCCCCTCTTGAGAATATTTGTCTTATCATAATTACTTAAAAAGCAAAAAGCTGTATGCATATGGTGACTTATCTTAGGGCTGGAGGAACAACAGACCCTTCCCATGTCACAAATCAGAGCACCGAGGTGTAGAGAGGTCGTGGCCGGCTTGGGAACATCAGTGGGTGAGTGGCGTGGCTGGGGATGGCCATGGTGTCATAACCCTTTCTGAGCTATGTCCACCTCTTCATGTCAAACAAGCTTCACAGAAATTAGAGGAAGCCTAAATCCCAGGGGGTGTGGCAAAGTCAAGGGTGGCCTACAAATTAGGCAGAAGAGCATGAAAACTTTGAAAAGGCAGGACGGGAAAGCTTTACAGCAGAGGAAAATGCCCATGGAGGACTTGAGAGGGACAGACGTTATGCGTGTGTTGGCTTCTCACAGCATACCTGAGGCCAGCAGGGGCTGGAGAATGGGGCTCAGCCCACAGAGGCTTTCACGGAAAGCCCTCATGTGTTTAGAATACAAGGCATTTAATGCAGAGAACTGGTTGCACATCCTAGAGGAAGGTGGGCTGCACTTAGTGCCAGCAGGAAGCTGCTGCCACCAAAGCTGGAGGACAGAGAGCAGTGGCACCACTGCTTCAAATTATTCAGGGCACCTGCAGGGTGTTTGGGCCATGCACATCTCTGGGCACAGATAAGAAGGAGGGACACCCGCCGGCTTCTCTCATCCACCTCCATCTCCCACAGGGAAGGGAGGTGAGGAAGGGCTCGAAGGACAATGGGCCAGTGGAAAGGGGAAGTGGCAGGGCCTAGAGGAGAGGAGCGTGCCCCTTCTGCTGGGCCACTGTGCAAATCAGGGTCCCAAACTGGGTTTGGATGCAGATTGCTGGAGCTAGGGAGGTCAGGGTGACTGACCACTGTCTATGTCTCATGTCACAAGCCCCTGCAGGCTCTGCCACACCCTCCACTATGATTCACCCCTTTTCTCTTCTATGGATTTCTTTATTTTCCTTAAATGAATTTACTTCAAAGGAGCCTTTTTACCACTACTATAAAACCCAACAGAACTTGCCATAAACTGAAGCATAGCCAGGAAAGTGAAGACAACAGGAAGCAAAGGATGAGATTAAATTCTAGCATTGCAGAGCTTGGAGCCTGAGAGATCAGTTGCTGTGGACTTGCTCTCAGAGGTGCCCAGAGGGTTGGCAGGGTTGCTGCCCCCTCTGCAGGGCCCACACTGTTAGGACGCCCTGTGTCTGTGCACTCTGAGCTGATGGGCAATGCCACAGGCATGAGTTCTCCACTCTACGAAGCACCGAGGTCAGGGAAACCAGAGAGAGAGAGGGAAGGGGACCCAGTCAGGGCTGCAAGCCAGGTGCCGCCAGTGCTAGGACACAACTGGGCCCTCCATGTCCCCTCATGAGGTTGAAGCATTTCTTTTGTGGTTGTGTCTGCTTGCTCTCCTCCTCTGCTCCCCTTCCTGAGAACATCCACGTCCCACTGGAGGATGAAGCATCCCCCAGTGCTGCGGAGCAGAGCTCTTCCTGCCTCCATGCAGGGCATTTTGTTCAGAGCCATCCTTTGTGTGACTCTGCAGGTGGGGGTGGGGGCTTGAAGGAAGAGATTGTAGCCTAGTGTCACTGGGAATCAAAAGCCTTTCCTGAAAGCATCCTGCAGCTGTCAGAGGGCCGGCCTCGGGAGGCAGCTGGTCCATTAGTGGAGGCAGGTGATTTGTATTGCTGGCTGCTGCTTGTGTAAACAGAGGGCTTAGGGAGCTCAAGGGGGACGAGGAAGGTGGGGGTTGCACCCTGTGCACCTGAGCCGGGAGGGCTTGGCCTGGCAGCTGCCCCAGTCGCTGGGTGTCTTCCCTCAACACATACCAGGGTCTGTCTGTGCTCTGCCCACATCAGCACTTGGGCACAGCGACAAGGCCAGGTGCCACATCAGGGTGTGTGGCTGTACACTGAGAGAGAGCCAGGTAGAAATATATGACCAGTTCAACCACACCTATGTTCCTGTTAGCACCTGGGATGGAGACTCCAAGACTGTGGGGATACCCTGCAGGGTCCTGATGCCCCAAATCCTCTCCCACCTCCTGGCCTGGACACCCTGCAGAGATCTCTGCACGAAATTGGTGTCCAGTTCATTTCAGCTCAGCTGGGCTTCACGTGGCAGCTTCTCTGTCCTCCCCCGATCCAAGGGGGGGCTCAGATGCCTCCTCCAGGGTCTCTCATCAGCCTGTGCCCCCACTCCCAGCACTTACAGCAGGGCTTCATGATGGTCTGTTTACAAGTCTGTCTTCCGCAGCAGACTGAGTGGTTCTTGAGGGATTTTAATGACCTCCACCTCCCACCGTCAGCACTAATCAGTGTTTCTTGAATGAATGGATAAAGGAATGAATGAAATCTTGAACATGTACCATTTGCCAGGCTCTGTGTGGAGACTGCAAACAAGACAGAGAACCGTATGTTGGATGGTAAGGTGGTGGTTGATGGGGTGCAAGATTCTGGGAGACATGTTGAGATGGGGTGGGGGCTTCCTGAGCAAGGAGCTTAGAACAAAGACCTGAGGAGGTGAGGAAAGGAGCTTTGTGAATGGACATCTGGGGAAGAGTGCTCCAGGGAATAGCACTTGCAAAAGCCCTGGGGCAAGATCAGCCTGGGGGATTCAAGGATCAGTGAGAAGGCGAGCTAACATGACCAGAGTCCAGTGAGGGAGGGAGGAAAGCAAGGCTCAATTCCCACCCTGGAGAAGCTCCTGGCCTAGTGGGCTGATCCCATTCCATCCATTCCATCTCATAGGAAATGTGGTTTTAGTTGGTTTCACCTGTAATTTGCTAGCCCTGGATAGGAGCCATAGGAATGATATTGAACTTCATTAATCCTAGTCCATCAGATCTGTGACTGGTTTCCTCAGAGCTGTGAAGTGTTTTGTTTCTTCTCCAACCACAATTACATGTGTGAAAAACATCTGGAGAATCTGCTGGGGCCACCTCTTTCCCGGAACCTGCCCTACCTGGGCTCCTGAGTTCCTCCCTGGGCTCCTGGGTTTCTCCCTGGGCTCCTGGGCTCCAGGCCATCAGCACTCAAGAGAACTCTTCTCGAACTTGGGCCCCAATGGGCTGGGCCCCTGAGAAGAACCAGCAGGAGGCTCCTACCACTTTCAGTAATGTTTCCCCAGGGGAGTGATCCCAAGAACGTGGTCCTATGAGATGCTCTTGGAGAAAAAAAGAGTCAGATACCTTTAGGAAATGCCTGGCGGTAAGCCTCACAGATTCTGACAGGTCCTGCCCAGAAGCCTGTCCAGTCCACCCCTACAGCCAGCCCCACGTCCACTCCCCACTCACACTGGAAGGGCAAGAGAGCCAGACCCTCACTTTAATTTCCAGTCAAGGAGGGTGGGAAAGGGGCAGGCAGTTCTGGCCAGTGAGACAATGTAGAAAAAACTCCCTCTGGAGGAGGTGTCTGAAAGAGATTCATCCTGCCTAAGGAGATGAAAGAGGCTGTTCCAGGTGCCACCTCCAGCCTCAGATACACACACTTCATGTCCTTGCCTTTGGCTGCGGTCCTGTGTACATGTGATGTCTGGAGCTGTGGCAGCCACCTCATGCCCATGAGTGAAAGGCCAGGAGTACTTCAGAATTCCTGGCCTGGCAGCCTCATGGGGAGAACAGCTGCATCCCCCAATGCTGTATGAGTCCCGGCTCTGGCTTGTGTCACAGGATTCTGACCCATGTCACCTCCCCAGGAAGCCCTCCTGGGCCACCTGAGCCAGAGTTCTTGACCTCCTGGTCCATGACTTGTGTGACTTTCTTCAACTTGCTCTCTCTTTAAAAGGATTGTTTTCTGTCTAGATGTCTCCTTTTGGCTTTCCTCCTCAGAACATCAGTTCAGGGGCTCAGAGCTTGCGATTGTTTTGCTCACATATACCTCTGCTACTTGGAGCAGGGCCTGGCACAGAGCAGGTGCCCAAATATTTGTTTAGTAAATGAGTGAGTACTCTGCCTGCAAGAGTGCGCACTGGGTGGGACCATCACTAGGTGGCTCTCCCACTTCCTCTGCTCCTGTTGGAGTTGGGAAGGGAGATCTGTGAGCTGAGCACAGTGACTCCCTGGAGGCTGCAAGCCCATAAGTGGTGGGAGGGAAAGGGGAGAAGTTTGTGGACCCCTCAGCCTGCCCACCTGCCCAGTCAGAACCAGCACCCACCTCCTGATGAATTTTCTGACATCCTGTGATTACCACATAATACCTCAACTGCAATTGAGGAAGGCAAAGGAAATTAACACTTAACCTTTTAAAAGGTGCATTTCAAGGCTGGGCGCGGTGACTCATGCCTGTAATCCCAGCACTTTGGGAGGCCGAGGGGGGCAGATCACAAAGTCAGGAGTTCCAGACCAGTCTGGCCAATATAGTGAAACCCCGTCTCTACTAAAAATACAAAAATTAGCCGAGCTAAAAATACAAAAATTAGCCGGGTATGGTGGCAGGCGCCTGTAGCCCCAGCTCCTCGGGAGGCTGAGGCAGATGAATCGCTTGAACCCGGGAGGCAGAGGTTGCAGGTTGCAATGAGCGGAGATCGCGCCACTGCACTCCAGCATGGGCAACAGAGCGAGACTCCGTCTCAAAAAAAAAAAAAAGATGCATTTCAATAGACAAGTGTCAAGGCGTGGAGACACTAGACGACGTCAGGTGGCCCTCAGACGCCTACACAACGACGCAAGTAGAAGTCGGAATTAAAGGAAGTCAGAGGCGCAACCGCGTCCCGCCAACACCTTCTCTAGGCATGTGCAACCTGGGAACTGCGGCTGGTGACAACAACGGCGCAGCTGTGCGGGCCTTGCGTAGTGCCAGGCACGCTGCTGTTTCCCAGGAGACCCAGCAGCGCTTTACAAAGCAGGGAGTGACTGTACCACGTCTCCCATAGGCATTGCCTTGGAAAAGTCAGAATACATGGGAACCATGGAAAAACCACTCATGTTTTTGTATAAAACAGTGTAGAAACAGTAATGCAGGCATGGATACTGACTCCACTGTACTCTCCCCAAGTGGGTGTATGTGGGACCCTGTCTAGGGGAGGACGCTGAGCTGGCCCCGGCACTGGAAGCCCTGCACCTTCAATGTTGCAGCCCCTCTCAAACGGCCGCCGCTGGTCTCCAGCCTGCCCCTGCTCTGGACCCCCCAGACCTGTCTCCCCTCGGCCCTTTCTTGCAGCAGTCCCTCCCCTACTGGGGTGCTGGATCCTAGTCCCCCAGCTCCCAGGAGACAGGCCGGGCCTACCCTGGCCCAAGGCCAGGAGCCCCTGGTGTCAGGCTGCGCGAACCCCCCTGCTGGGGCTGGGCACTGGCGGAGCAGGCCTCCGGCGCCCCCCCAAGCTAGGCCTCCCAGAGGCGCACCCTGGCCTGCCCGGCACAGTCAGGGGCTCGGCAGGCGGTGATGGATGGGTGGAGGAGGCTCCGTTCCGCCGGCCTCGCAGACATTCCTCCCCGCAGATAAACGCGGAGGCGGCGGACGCCCCTGCAGGTCCAGGGGAGGGGCGCTCCTGAGAGGCAGGAGATGAGGGGCCTCTGTATATAATAAAGGTGAACGATTGTCATCTAGACATTTTTATGCTCTTTTCGAGGCCCCAACTGCCGTGAGGCCGGAAGGAAGGACCCAGGGCTCTTAGCGAGTGGCTGCAAAAGTGGCTGCTTTGAGGAAGCCGGAGAAGAGCTCGGGAATGGAGGCACAGCCTGGGGCCCCCTCTGCAACCCGAGTCAGCTCCAACCCCTCCTCTGCAGGAATTCTGGAGATGCCTGCAGGTGCCGTTGGCGGCTTGCTGGGGCACTCTGAGCTGGTGTCTGTGCACACTTAGCCAGCGGGACCAGGTCAGTGGCAGTTCCAGCCCAGCTCCCCACGTGGGCGCCTCAGGCTGCCCCTAGCAGGGCTGTGGGCCAATTGCCTGAGCCAGGTTTGAGGATCGCCCAGCTTGTCACAGCGTCACGGTGCCGAGCATCGTCCCGTAACACAGATGCTCAGAGGTCTGGGCCTAATCTACCTGTGACTCGAGGCCCATTCTGGTACGGTGTGGGGTCGGTGAGACCCCCTTACAATGGGGCTGGCACTTAGTGGGTGCTCACTAACATTTTAGCTCGCTCCCCTTCATTGCCCCCTCCCTCCCTCTCTCCCAGGTCTGCAGTGGTTGGGGAATGGAGTCTCGCACATGAGAACCCGAGGCTCAGGCCACCTGAGGCCACAAGTAGGGAGAGGACCGCAGAGCTGGGGCTGAGGACTCTCACCAGCAAAGGCCCCAGCCGTCTGAATGTCCAGGGCAAGGGACTCGTTCATCCTCACAGGCCTGGTGCCCTCTCTTCAGCCAGCACCCAGGTCTGTTCAGCCCACCCACTGCCTTGGTGTCGGGATCCTCTCAGTCCATCAGCCTGTTACCCTACAGCTCTGGGGCAGCCCCCAAATGTAAGGGTAAGATAATGTGCAAGGAACCCCAGGGGCAGGGGTTGAATGGACCCATGGAGAGGAGGGGCCTCAAGCCTGGAGCTGCTGGAGGCAAGGGTCCTACAGGAAGATCCCGAGGCCCCATGCGAGGCTGGGTGACACAACATGCCCTCAAGGCAACCCCGCAACACCGGCATTATTATTCCCATTTTAAAGAGGAGTAAACTGAGGGACAAGAAGTGAACAGCTCTGCTCAAGATGTCAAAAGGACAGGGTTTTGGATTCAAACCTGTGTGCATCTGCCTCGAAATCTAGGATTCTTTGCACCACCCCACACAGCATGATCCCCCAGCCAACAGACATTAAGTGCTTGCTAAATGAATGAAAAAGAAGCTCCTCTTGGAAAAGGAAATTGGAAGTGGTCTAGCATTTGATCAATAGCACAGAGCTGACCCAATGCCAGGCAAGGGCCTATATAGAGCTCAGAGTTTTCCAGAAAAGCAGCTGAAGGGATATTTGTTATGAGCCACTCAGGAGTGGAAGAAACAGCATATTCTTCAGCTTTTTAGTACCGTCCTAATCCTGATGGCGAGCCTTATCCCACTGGGCCAGATCAGTATTGGGATCCTGATCTTCAGGGGTCCCCAGCAATGGGCCCTGATCCTCTAGGGACCCCTGAGAAGCCAATGGTTTCAGCTCCTTGCCGTCCCAAAGCAACCCGACTATGTAAGTGGGAGCAGGTGGGGCTCCTCGCTCCTTCAGAGGAGGACTGAGAGGGCCCCAATCCTCTATAAACTCTGCTGCCTTATCCTCTCCTTGTCCCCAACAGCCTGAGCTTGTAGAAGACCTGTGGGATGTGGCTGTGAGGTTGAGAGTGAGCCTTTCCCAAGGATATTGTAGCTGGAAACTGCTGCACCTGCAGCAAACCCTACCCCCCGACCCCGACTTCTCAGCCCAAACCCCACCCCCAACCCTGACTTCTCAGCCCAAACCCCATCCCCCTACCCTGACTTCTCAGCCCACAGCCAATCGCTCCCTCTGTCCTTTAACAGTGGAGCTGGGTTCATACCAGGCAGGTCACAAAGCCATCACCATGGTCCTTTCTTAGAAAGTCCTTGATGCTGAGAGCTCTGCTGCTTGGAGATAACAAATGGCAGTGGGTTCGTGTTAGGGCCATTGGGTCTGTCCTTGATGACACAGAGTGAGCAGACCTAACTTTTAAAAAGTGATAGGTCCATGAAATCCCATGACTAGGAGCTCCTGGGCCCGCTGGCCCTAAGAGCCTTCAGAGGGGAGGGTCAACAGATTGAGGCTGTGTTCATGCCCTGTGTCCTCACAGTGAGGTCCTGGCCAAGTGGCCTTGGCAACAGCAGAGCCCCATGCTGTCCACTAGATACTTTTACATCAAAGCCGGTGTCTCTGACTGTCAGGAGCCATCCAAGCCTCAGCTGAAGAGGCAATGTCTTGTTTATTTTAAATTTTGGATCGATAATGCAGTACCTGGTTCAAAATGTGAAAAATACCAAATGGCAAACAGTGAACAATCTCCATCCCATCCCCTGGTCCAGCCACCTTCTGTGGCTGTGGGGCAGTTGCTGTCCCTCTGGGCTTTAGTTTCTGAGTCTCTGAGATGAATTAGGCCCGTCCCTCACACTCATTCTAGAGGAACCCATGGACACTGCACTGAAGCCCCCAGCCCTGGAGCCTCCAGCACAGGCCAGCAGGGCCTCTGCCAGCTTTGGGGACTGGACGCTCGGCTCCAAGCAGCCATCACCACCCACCCACCCGCGGCCACGGGTCAGGTTTCCATCCGCCGTCATTAGGCAGATGTCAAACTGGAAGGGGCAGCAGTAATTTGGACAATTACAGCCGTTATTATTGCTTCCTCTTCTTAAACGGGGGCTAAATTACTCACTTAAACACAACCACCAGTCACTCCCCACAGGCGGAGGGGACAATGGTGGGGGAGGGGACACATGGGAGGGGAAGGGACAGCTGGCAGGGGAGGATTCAGAAACTCCAGCAGCCCATCTGTCTGTGACTGCCCTGTTTGAGCGCCTACTGTGTGACATCAGCATGTCTGTCCACACTGCCTGGGACTTGGTGGTATCATTGTCAGGGGAGGTGAAGACTGGTGCCCTGGGGGAGGGGGCGGTCATGCTGCCCTGCTGGTCACTGCAGGACCAGGCTGGAAGCAGGTTAGGGTTCCAAGTCTAGAGTGGCATTGCCCCCTCTGAAACCTCTACATGGTGTGAGCTGAGCATCTGCCCAGGGCAGGCTTAAGAGGGGCCAGGAAGCCTCAGGCTGGCCCAGGATGCCCACTGCCCAGGAGGAGATAAACCTGCAGCCGAGGCTCATTTCTCAGGGATCAGGCAGGCCAAGGTGGCTCTTCTGTGGATGTAGGCAGGCAGACCTGGGCACCTGGCTCCCTGGCTGAGTGACAAATGGGGACAAGGACCCTAGTGGGCACCATGCAGGGAGGGAAGGTAAGTCTAGGCCTATTCCACTTCTTAGAGCTAATCACATCCACACCCGAAAGTACAGACAAAAGTCACTCTAATGACAGGAAGCATTTATGTAGCACCTGCTATGTGTCCAGCACTCTGTTTATATATAGTAGCTAATTGAATCTTCAGAACAAAGCTTTGAGGTAGGCATTCTTATCACCCTCATTTTACAGAGGAGGCTGAGGTACAGAGAGCCTAATTAACTTACCAGGGGTCACACAGCACCTCAGGAGAGAGCTGACCCCCTTCCTAGAGCCATAGGATGAGCACCTTAACCTGCTCAGTTGCAGGCTGCTATGAAACAGAAGGAAACCTTGCAAGGTATTTCCTTTTAAAAAATTTTTAATGTATTTATTTATTTATTCTTAAAAAAATGGGATACATGTGCAGAATGTGCAGGTTTGTTACCCAGGTATACATGTGCCATGGTGGTTTGCTGCACCTATTGGTCCATCCTCTAAGTTTCCTCTCCTCACCCCCTACTCCCCAACAGGCCCTGATGTGTGTTGTTCTCCTGTCTGTGTCCATGTGTTCTTTTTTTTTTTTTTTTTTTTTTTGAGGCGGAGTCTTGCTCTGTCACCCAGGCTGCAGTGCAGTGGCGCGATCTCGGCTCACTGTAGGCTCCGCCTCCTGGGTTCATGCCATTCTCCTGCCTCAGCCTCCCGAGTATTCAACTCCCACTTATGAGTGAGAAAAGGCAGTGTTTGGTTTTCTGTTCCTGTGTTAGTTTTCTGAGGATGATGGCTTCTAGCTTCATCCATGTCCCTGCAAAGGACATGATCTTCCTTTTTATGGCTGCATAGTATTCCATGGTATGTATGTGCCACATTTTCTTTATCCAGTCTATCATTGATTTGGGTTGGTTCCATGTCTTTGCTATTGTAAACAGTGCTGCAGCAAACATACATGTGCATGTGTCTTTATAGTACAATGATTTATATTCCTTTGGGTATATACCCAGTCACGGGATTTCTGGGCCAAATGGTATTTCTGGTTCTAGATCCTTGAGGAATCGCCATACTGTTTTCCACAATGGTTGAACCAATTTACATTCCCACCAACAGTGTAAAAGCATTCCTATTTCTCCCTAGCCCAGCCAGCATCTATTGTTTCCTAACTTTTTAATAATCACCATTCTGACTGACGTGAGATGGTATCTCATTGTGGTCTTGATTTGCATTTCTCTGATGATCAGTGATGTTGAGCTCTTTTTAATGTTTGTTGGAGGCAATGTTTAATGGAGGCAAAGTGGAGGTCCCTGAGCTTCCAGGCCTGCATAAATGTCTTCCTTTGAGAAGTGTTTGTTCATATCCTTTGCCCACTTTTTGATGGGGTTGGTTTTTTTTTTCTTTTAAATATGTTTAAGTTCTTGTAAATTCTGAATATTAGGCCTTTGTCAGATGGGTACGTTGCAAAACCTTTCTCCCATTCTGTAGGTTGCCTGCTCACTCTGATGATACTTTCTTTCTTTAGTTTAGTTAGATCCCATTTGTCAATTTTGGCTATTGTTGCAATTGCTTTTGGCGTTTTTGTCATGAAGTCTTTGCACATGCCTATGTCCTGAAAGGTATTGCCTAGGTTTATAGGTTTTCTTCTAGGGTGCTTTATGGTTTGGGGTTTTACATTTAAATCTTTAATCCATCTTGAGTTAATTTTTGTATAAGGTGTAAGAAAGGGGTCCAGTTTCAGTTTTCTGCAAATGGCTAGCCAGTTTTCCCAGCACAATTTACTGAATAGGAGATCCTTTCTCCATTGCTTGTTTTTATCAGGTTTGTCAAAGATCAGATGGTTGTAGATGTGTGGTGTTATTTCTGAGGCATCCGTTCTGTTCCATTGGTCTACATATCTGTTTTGGTACCAGTACCATGCTGTTTTGGTTACTGTAGCCTTGTAGCATAGTTTGAAGTTAGGTAGTGTGATGCCTCCAGCTTTGCTGTTTTTGCTTAGGATTGTCTTGGCTATATGGGGTCTTCTTTGATTCCATATGAAATTCAAAACGGTTTTTTCTAATTCTGTGAAGAATGTCAATGGTAGCTTGATGGGCAGTATGGCCATTTTCTTTCTTTATTAAAAAATTATTTTTATTATATTTTAAGTTCTGGGATACATGTGCAGAACATGCAGGTTTTTAACATAGATATACATGTGCCATGGTGGTTTGCTACACCCATCAACCCATCATCTACATTAGGTTTTTCTCCTAATGCTATCCCTCCCCTACCCCCCTACCCCCTGACAGGTCCCAGGGTGTGATGTTCCTCTCCCTGTGTTCATGTGTTCTCATTGTTCATCTCCCACTTAGGAGTGAGAACATGTGGTGTTTGGTTTTCTGTTCTTGTGTTAGTTTGCTGAGAATGATGGCTTCCAGCTTCATCCATGTCCCCCTGCAAAGGACATGAACTCATTCATTTTTATGGCTGCATAGTATTCCACGGTGTATATGTGCCACATTTTCTTTATCCAGTCTATCATTCATGGGCATTTGTGTTGGTTCCAAGTCTTTGCTATTGTGAACAGTGCCACAGTAAACATATGTTTGCATGTGTCTTTATAGTAGAAGGATTTATAATCCTTTGGGTACATACAGAGTAATGGGATTGCTGGGTCAAATGATATTTCTGGTTCTAGATCCTTGAGGAATCACCACACTGTCTTCCACTATGGTTGAACTAATTTACACTCACACCAACAGTGTAAAAGCATTCCTATTTCTCCACAGCCTTTCCAGCATCTGTCGTTTTCTGACTTTTTAATGATCGCCATTCTAACTGGTGTGAGATGGTATCTCATTGTGGTTTTGATTTGCATTTCTCTAATGACCAGTGATGATGATCTTTTTTTCATATGTTTGTTGGCTATCTAAATGTCTTCTTCTGAGAAGTGTCTGTTCATATCCTTTCCCTACTTTTTGATGGGGCTGTTTGTTTCTTTCTTGTAAATCTGTTTAAGTTCTTTGTAGATTCTGGATATTAGCCCTTTGTCAGATGGATAGATTGCAAAAATTTTCTCCCATTCTGTAGGTTGCCTGTTCACTCTGATGATAGTTTCTTTTGCTGTGCAGAGTCTCTTTAGTTTAATTAGATCCCACTTGTCAATTTTGGCTTTTGTTGCTATTGCTTTTGGTGTTTTAGTCATGAAGTCTTTGCCCATGCCTATGTCCTGAGTGATATTGCCCAGGTTTTCTTCTAGGGTTTTTATTGTTTTAGGTCTTGCATTTAAGTCTTCAATCCATCTTGAGTTAATTTTTGTATAAGGTGTAAGGAAGGGGTCCAGTTTCAGTTTTCTGCAAATGGCTAGCCAGTTTTTGCAGCACCATTTATTAAATAGGGAATCCTTTCCCCATTGCTTGTTTTTGTCAGGTTTGTCAAAGATCAGATGATTGTAGGTGTGTGGTGTTATTTCTGAGGCCTCTGTTCTGTTCCATTGGTCTATATATCTGTTTTGGTGCAGTACTATGCTGTTTTGGTTACTGTAACCTTGTAGTATGGTTTGAAGTCAGGTAGCGTCATGCCTCCAGCTTTGTTGTTTTTGCTTAGGATTATCTTGGCTATATGGGGTCTTCTTTGATTCCATATGAAATTTAAAATAGTTCTTTCTAATTCTGTAAATAATGTCAATGGTAGTTTGATGGGCAGTATGGCCATTTTCATGATATTGATTGTTCCTATCCATGAGGATGGAATGTTTTTCCATTTATTTGTGTCCTCTCTTATTTCCTTGAGCAGTGGTTTGTAGTTCTTCTTGAAGAAGTCCTTCACATCCCTTGTTAGCTGTATTCCTAGGTATTTTATTCTCTTTGTAGTTATTGTGAATGGGAGTTCATTCATGATTTGGCTCTCTGCTTGCCTATTGTTGGTATAAAGGAATGCTTGTGATTTTTGCACATTGATTTTGTATCCTGAGACTTTGGCAAGTTCTTTTCAACGTCATCACAGGCATACAGGTGGGACCTGAAGGCTCAGGGATGGTGGTGCTTCCCAGCATCACATGGGGCAGGGCATGATGGGCAGAGGCTGCTGGCCCTCCCAGCCCCAGGCATGGCAAGGGGTGAAACAGTGGCTTGGTGAGGGGTTCAGAGGAGATGAGGAGCTGAATGGTATTGACAGGTCAGGGAGGGGCCGAGGGTGGGGACAGTCAAATTGCAGGCCAAGGAAGGGCCAGGTGAGCAGGTGGAGGGTGAGGCCTGCCTGGATTGCATTAGGGGCATCCCAGGGACCCAGGACTCTAGGAGGGTGGGACCAAGGCGACCTTCAGTTCCTGGAAGTCACCAATCATGGATGGTGCAGTCATCCCAGACTTTTCCAGGAAGCAGGGTCACACCATGAACCCAGAGCTGGCCCCATCACAGGGAGATAGTGCAGGACCTCTTCCCTAGAGGATGTGTGAGCTCCAAGAGAGGCTAGAGAGAAACCTAAGAGGCTCCAGGACAGCGGCTGGGCCACCACCCAGCAGGTGTGAGCAGGGCTGTCCCTGTGACAATGACTGCTGCTGCTGTGGGGCTGATTACATGACACCCACAGCAGCCTGGGCAGCCTGGACACAGGGACCACTCTTCCTGGAGTCCACAGAATGAATGGGCTTTAGGCTCCGATCTTGGCCCATCCTCTTCTGTCTGCTGTCTGCCTGGGGAGAGGTCATTCAGCCTTTTCAAGCCTTGCTTTCTTTGTCTGAATCTTCAAGCCCATTCCTGAGTTGACTAGGTGGTGGAGACCAGCACACCTCCCAGGCTTAAAGGTGGCAGCTGTGGGACCCCAGGGAAGGACTTCATCTTCCTGAGCTCTTCTGAAAATGCAAAAAATTTTAGGCTTGTGCTTCATGGGATTTTGTGTTGATTCAATAATATACTGAAGGGTTTCAAAGCAGGGCTGGGGACTTAGCATTTACTGTGTGAGGCTGGTGGACCATCACTACCACTATGATTACCATGTGCAGAATGGAGGCAAAGTGGAGGTCCCTGAGCTTCCAGGCCTGCCCCGTCCCACCACACAGCAAACCCCCATGTGAGGACTATGAGGCTGGCACATGTGCAGCTGAGGGCCTCGAGGCTCGGGCTGATCACAGCCAAGGTGGCAGAGCCAACGTTAGAGCTGAGACTGTCCCCCTCCACACACCCCTGGGCAGGTGCCATTGTCTCAGGGAGTCCCCTGGAGCCTGACACCTGGACTTCCAGTAGCCAGAGAGAGAAGAGCTGTCTTCATCCTGCCCTGGAACTGGTGTCACTCCTTGTACTTTCCCCCAGTAAGTCGCCCTTATGCCATCCAGACTGGGGATGAAGCTGGGCCACCCAGCCCTGCCACAGTGTTAAAGTGTCTGACAAAGTGCAGGCCTCAGGACACTTGTTCTGAGCATGTAAACACTTGCTGCTTTGAGAGCCTGCAAGGCACAGCTTTGGAAGCGGAGCCCACATAGCCCTGCCATTTATCAGCTCCTCATTAACTATGAGTCTGGAGGGCAGGCCTGGGGCCATTGCCCCTGCACCCTCCAAGGGCCAACAGGAGAGGCCAGGCACCTCTCTGCCTGGGAGGGGGATGATGACAACTGCGATGATGGCTGATGGTGATTAAACCCTTCCTGTGCACTGAACACTTCCACTGCATGCTCTCGTGTCATTATGACCCCATTCTGCGGGTGGGGAGACTAAGGTCAGAGTGGGGGTGTCACATGATCAGGAGAGGGCAGATCAGGGTTTGGCTGGTGCATCTCCCTGACTCAGAAGAGATGTCAGCTGGAAGAGGCAGCTGCTGATTGCTGGCTGTCCAGCCCCTGAGCAGCCTCCATCGTGGCTTGGCTGGCCTGGTTCCACGGGAGGCAGGATAGCTTCCAGCCATCTCAGCCTCTTGCATCATGGGAGAAAGAGCCCCCCACCGCCCCCAGCCCCTGGCTGAGGCATGGCTTTCATGGAGCTCCCAGCCTTGTCCAGAGGAGAGTTAGACCTGCAAACAGACAGACCCAAACACTGGGGTGTGCAAAAGACTTTCAGGATCAGAGAAGACAGTCAGTAAAGGCTTCCTCAGGAGGTGACCTCAAAGCCAGAGACAGAGGGTCCTCAGATGTGCCCACCCAGAACAAAATGACATTTGTCCCCTGGAATGCCTGCGCAAGTGGGAAGAAGATTGGGGCTCATATAAGTGGATTACATGCCCAAGTGTACACAGTAGGACTCCTACTCCACCACCTCAGACCAGTGCCTTCAAGCACTGAAAACCCATAGTCCCAATTTTTCTACACATCCCTGCTGAACCACCCTTCCCTTATAGTATATAAGCCCTGGGTCAAGGGAGTAATGGTGTGGGATCCACCATCTTGTCTCCCTGCTGCCAAAGACTCAGACATGGTTTCTGTTAGTAAGACCTTATTAAACATTTCTTTCCAAGAAACTGGGTTTCCAAGAAACTGGCCTCTTTCTTTGGCCTATCAGCTTCCTCTGACTTTGGGGAAGGTGTGCATAGGCCTTCCCACTGTGAAACACACCCCAAAGCACAGACGATAAGCCAAGTTATATCATCATCCTTAAGCACAGATGTGGTATCCAGTGATACTATTGCCAAATATACAGATGAGGAAATGAATGATCCTGCTACTACCTCATTGTACAGATGCTGATCCCAGTGATATCACTTAACCTGATTTATGCCACTCAACCCAAAGTACAGATGAGAAACTAGTGGTTCTACTACAGGCTGAGCATCCCAAATCTGAAAATCTAAACTCCAAAATGATCCAAAACTTTTTGAGCACCAGCATGATACTCAAAAGAAATGCTCATTGGAGCATTTCAGATTTGGGATTTTTCTATTTGAGTTGCTCAACTAGTAAGTATACAATGCAAATATTCCCAAATCTGATGTACAGATGAGACATAGAGTGATCCTATTACCATGCCAAGGTATAGATGAGAAATCAAGTAATCTTACTATTATCCCAAGGCATAGATTACCAATCAAATGTTGTCCCATCAACCCAATGTACAGATGAGGAACACAGTGATATTATAATCACTCCAAAGAACTAATGAATTTAATGACTCTACTATTACCCCAAGGAGCAGATGATGAATTGACGAATACTGTGATCACATCAACGTACAGATGAAGATGTGACTGATGCTGTTGTTAACCTAGTATATGAATAAAATCCTGAGTGATACTGCATTCACCTCAATGTACAGAGAATGAATGAAGTGGTACTATTGTCAACTCAACATAGAGAAAAGAAAGCAAATCATGCTACCACCCCAATGCAACATGAGGAACTGAGGGATACAATGATCACCCCTACACACAGATGAGGAACTGAACTTTCATCCAGAGAACTCTTGGGAAACTTATTAATACTATCATCACTTCTGTGGACAGGCAGCTAACCTCAAAAATAGAATAGCCAAATTAACTTGTTAACTGTACTTAATGGATAAGTAGGGATGACAGAAGGATGAATCAGAGAACTTGAAGACAACAGTAGTATTTACACAATCTGAATAATAAAGAGATACTAGACTGAACAAAATAAATAAAGCTTCCAGTATTTGTGAAAGAATAATACAAGTTTCAACATTCATCATTGATGTCCCAAACGGGGAGAAGAAAGAGTGTGTGACACCAAATATATTTAAAGAAATAATGGGCCAGTCATGGTGGCTCACACCTGTAATCCCAGCACTTTGAGAGGCTGAGGCAAGCAGATCACTTGAGATCAGGAGTTCAAGACTCACCTGGCCAACATGGTGAAATCCAGTCTCTACTAAAAATACAAAAAATTTAGCCAGGCATGGTGGCATACACCTGTAATACCAGCTACTTGGGAGGCTGAGGCAGGAGAATCACTTGAACATAGGAGGCAGAGGTTGCAGCCTGGGTAACAGAGCGAGACTCTGTCTAAAAAAAAAAAAAAAAAAAAAAGAAAGAATGGCTGAAACTTCTCAAATTTGGTTAAACACCTAACCCTACAGATTTAAAAAGCCGAGCGAATCACAAATAAAATAAGCCCAAAGAAACCTCCACTTAGTGTATTAGTCAGCTCCAGCTCCAGTAACAAAATATCACATACTGGGTGGCTTAAACAATGGATGTATATTTATCATCCTTATGGAAGCTGGGAAGTACAAGATCAAGGTGCCTGCAGATTTTATTTCCAGTGAGGGCCCTCTTCCTGGCTTGTAGGCACTGCCTTCTCTCTGTGTCCTCACATGAAGAAAGAGAAAGAGGAAAGGAAGGAGAAAGAGAAAGAGGGAGGGAGGGAGGGAGACAGGGAGAGAAAGAGAGAGAGAGAGAGAGTGCGTGTGCGTGTTGTCTGGTCTCTTTCTCTTCTCATAAGGACACTAATCTTATCATGGGGGCCCCACCCTCATGACCTTATTTAAGCCTAATTACCTCCCAAAGTCCCTACCTCCAAATATTATCACATTGGTGGTTAGGGCTTCAATATATTAATTTGGGGGAGGGACGAAAACATTCCATCTATAATACTAAGACTCATCATAATTAAAATTCTGAAAACTAAAGATAGAGGGAAAAAGATCTTTAAAAGCACCAGAGAGAAGTTATGTATTACCTATAAAGAAAAATCAACTCAAATGAAACGACAGCAGATTTTTCATCTGAAACCTTGAAGGCCAGACGAAGTGGCACAACATTGATCAAATGCTGGAAGAAAAGACCTGGAAACCCCAAATCCTATATCCAGTGAAGCTATCTTCAAGACTGAAGGGGAAATACACACATTTTTTTAAAATGAAAAAACAGTAAGAGGATCTGTTCCTAGAAGACCCACCTATCCTGAAAGAATAGGTAAAGGAACATATCTGTAACAGAAAAATAATATTAACAAAAGGCTGGGTACCTTCAGAAAGGAAATAACAACAGGGTAATGGGCAAAAGTAGAAGTAAACATAACAGACAATCCCTCACTTCTTGAGTATCTTAATCATACTTTATTGGTATATTTGTTTGTTTGTTGTTTTCTTGAGATGAGATCTTGCTATGTTGCCCAGGCTGGACTCACACTCCTGGGCTTAAGCAATCCTCCTGCTTCAGTGTCCTGAGTAGCTGAGACTACAGGCATTCACCACCATTCCTATCTATTGTACTTTATTGTTGAAGCAAAAGTTGTAACACCATCTGATCTAGTACTGAATTTATGTAGAGGACATACTTAAAACCATCATATTTAAAAAGTGGAGAGTGTAAAGGAAGCTAAGTGGAAATAAAAATAGAAGAAGAGGGCTGACTTCCCAATTCATTATATAAGCCCAGTATTACCTTGATGCCAAATCGGCAAAAAAAACAAAAAAACAAAAGAAAAATACACCAATATCTCTGATTAACTTAGACCTAGAAAATCTTCAAGAAAATATTAGCAAATTGAATTCACTAAGGTATAAAAAGACTAATATGCTATGACCATGGGGGATTTATTGTAGGGACATCAGCCTGATTCAATATTAGAAAAATCATTCGGTGTAATCCAACATAGCAACACGTTAAAGAAGAAAAATCATTTTACACCAATTGATGCAGAAAAAGTATTGGACAAAATTCATTGCCAATTAATGATAAAATTCTCAGTACAGTGGGGATAGAATGGAACTTTTTCAACCCCATACAAAGCATTTATTTAAAAAAACCTACAGCTAGGTGTGATGTCAAGAACGATGGCCGAGTAGGAAGGTTGGGAATCTGTCTCTCCACCTACACAACAAATATACAGGCAGAAACTATCTGGAGTAACTATTTTGGAACTTGGGAGTCCATTTGAACACTTACAGCTTCCAGGAAAATGCTTGGCTAGTTAATTTCAGTCAATTTTAGCCCTTAACGTGGTAGCAGCCATTCATCCCCCACCAACCAGGCACATGCCCTAGTTCCTGGTTGCAGCTTGCTAGAGCTAGGGTACAAAACAAGAATCTCATCCTTCAAATATTGGGATTTTGTGTTCTGATTGCTGATTGGTGCTTTTAGTCACTGGGATGGATGCACAGAGGCTGGCTGCCATTGTTTCAACTCCACCGGTTGAAGTACCATCCAAGAGGTTTAAAGATGCAGTATCTGAGGGTTTTTTTTTTTCCTTTTTACTCTTTTAAGACTTACACATTTAAGGAATAGGACATTCAAAAGCAATTGCATATATGGGGAACTACAGAAAGCCAACATACATGCCTAGGTAAAGATGCAGGCTTTGCTAGGCACAGTGGCCCATGCCTGTATCGCAGCACTTTGGGAGGCTGAGGTGGGCAGATCACTTGAGGCCAGAAGTTCGAGACCAGCCTGGCCAACATGGTGAAACCATATTTTAGTACGGACTATGTTTAGTCTCTACTAAAAATACAAAAATTAGCCAGGTATGCTAGCACACACCTGTAATCCCAGCTACTCAGGTGGCTGAGGCACAAGACTTGCTTGAACCCAGGAGGCAGAGGTTGCAGTGAGCTGAGATTATGCCACTGCACTCCAGCCTGGGCAACACAGTCAAAAAAAAAAAAAAAAAAAAAAAAAGATGCAGGCTTACAAAAGACCTAAGAAAACCTTAAGCTTTCACTTCAGGATGATCCCTGGTACAGAGGCACTGTACAAAAATAAAACAAAACAGGAAATCCTGAGGAAGGGAGAGAATATAATTTTCAGAGTTGCCACATTATAAGATTTAGTTGTCCAGTTTTCAACAAAAATATCACAAAGGAAACATAAAAATAAGAATGTATGGCCCATTCAAAGAAACAAAATAAATTGACAGACACTATTGCTGAGGAAGCTCAGATGGTGGACTTACTACAAAAAGACTTTAAAACAACTGTTTTAAAGGTTCTCAAGGAACTAAAGAAAGACATGAAAAAAACAGGAAAACAAATACATAAACAAATGAAAATATCAGTAAAGAGATAGAAAATATACAAATAAACCAAAATGAAATTCTGGAGTTGAAATAAAAATTTACTTGAGGTTTTCAAAAACAGATTTGAGAAGGCAAAAGAAAGAATCAGTGAACTTGAAGATAGGACGATGATTGGAATTATTGATAATGAAGAGGAAGAACAGCAGAAAGACTGAAGAAAAGAAAACAGAGCTTAGGGGACCCATTGAGACACCATCGAGCTAGTCCAGAAGGATAAGAGAGAAAAGGGGACAAGCAAAAATATTGAAGAAAGAATACCTGACAACTTCCCAAATTTGATGAATGACATTAATCTACAAATCCAAGATCAACAAACTTTAAGGAGGATAAACTCAAAGAGACCCACATTGTAATCAAACTGAGACAGATTGTAGTTAAACTGTAAAAAGACAAAGACTCTAGAAAGCAGCAAGAAACAAGAAATTCATCACATAAAAGGGGTTCTTCAATAAGATTATGAGCTAGTTTCTCATCAGAAATCTTAGAAACCAGAGGCAGTGGGTTGATAGTCAATCAATTGATAGAGAAAATTTTTCAACTGAGATTCCATATCTGGCAAACTGTTGTTCCATAATGAAGGAGTAATTAAGGCATTCTCAGATAAATAAAAGCCAAAAGAGTTTGTTACCATTATATCTGCACTTCAAAAAATGCTAAAAGAAGTCCTGCAAGGTAAAATAAAAGGAAACTTGACAGTAACTCAAAGCTGTATGAAGAAAGAAAGAGTTTTGGTAAAGGCAAATACATGGGTGATTATAAAAGTTACGATTATTTTTACTTTGTAAATCCATTTGTTGTGTATCCGGATCATAATCCTGAAAGACACAATCCCAAATGCCATAATTCCAAATTTTTAAAAATCCCAAAAGATAAAAATCTCTGAAGTCTAAATGCTTAAAATCTAAAGTTTCTAATGTCTAAAATTCTGAAAATTACAATCTCAAAAGATTAAAATCCCAAATGTTGAAATCCAAAAAGCTGAGTTAGGGGATGGTATTAGTGCATTTGGAGTTGTACACAGGAGGCCGAGGCAACCCCATGTTGCATCATGTTAATTGCATTTGTATGTTAGGTAGAACTATTACATTGTTATTGTCTTTATTTAAAAATTAAATATAGTCTAAGGAAACATGTATGGGTGTCAAGTTGACAAGGGATGGACTTTTGGACTTAATTTTCAATATCAACTTGACTGAATTAAGAAATACCTATGAACCTGTTGAAGTATTCTATTGGGTGTATCTGTGAGGATGTCACCATAGGAGATTAAAGTGTGAGTCTGAGCAGACTGGGTGGGAAAGATCTATACTTAATTTTGGCAGACACCATCCCATCCGTCAGGTATCTGATGACAACAAATACAAAAGGCAAGTTGGTCCGTCTCTGAGAGCTGGGCAGCTTTTTCTTCTGCGGCTTGAACATCAGAAATTTGACTCCACAAAAGTGCATTGTCACAATGTTGACTGTGTGTAAGCATTATGCATGCACATAAAAACATTGAACCTTCCTCAATAAATGAAGAGATGTCCTTTTGTACATCTGCATGTGTGAAAGATAAAATTCTCCGAGATCTCAGCTCTTTGAGTGGCAGCATATGTTGTGGCAAACCATAATGATTTTTTACTGATCTCCTCAAAAGATTTAGGTTGTTCATCACAGCATTTCAGATGACCACAGTTGTAAAGCTGAGTGCACACAATTACCAATCATAGTTATATGCGCTTATATCTTATATATTTCCCTTTCTGATCTATTTCTTTATGCATATAATTTATCTGCTCATAAATGATTTACCTATGTGGCTGTTATTAGTATACCTGAGTGTTTATGCTTGCAAAAATGTGTATGTTAATATTGCCTATTTTATTGTGTAAAATGGCCTATAAATTGTTCTGTCATGTTTTCCTATGTTTCCAAAATAAATTCCCTTTTGTACAACTTGAGGCTCAAAAAGTAAACAAATACCTTTTAATAAATTTTTAAATTATTTTTTTCCAGAATTATATTTTTAAGATTTTGATCTTTTGGGGTTGGGATTTTGGGGATTTTAGACTTGAGGGATTTTGATCTTTCAAGATTTCAACATTTGGGTTTATGGTGTTTGGGATTGTCTTTCAGGATTATGATCAGTTCCCTTTTTTTCCTAAAAATTTAAAAGACAAATGTTTTTAAAAAATGATTACTAATCTATATATTGGGCACACAATGTATAAAGATGTAATTTGTGACATCATCCTAGAAAGGGAGAGACAGAAGTAGTGTGTAGGAGGAGATTGTTTGCATGCTATCAAAATTGGTAGTATTAATTGAAATTAGATTGTTGTAACTTTAGGAAGTTAAGTGCAATTAAGTTTCTTTGATAACAACAAAGAAAATGTCTAAGGAATAGATACAAAAGGAAATGAAAAAGGACTCATTACAAAAACATCAAATAAGCATAAAGGAAGTCAGTAATGCCGGAAGTGAGGAAGAAAAAAGTCATAAGGTGCTTAGAAAACAAATAGCAAAATGGCAAAATTAAGTCCCACTTTATAGATAATCACTTTAAATCTAATAGATTAAACTATACAACCAAAAGAAAGAGATTGGCAGAACACATAAAAAAAGATCCAACTATATACTGTCACAAGATATTTACTTTAGATCCAAAGACAAAAACAGTTTGAAAGTAAAACAACTTTTAAATCCCAAAAGTTTACAGGAGACAAAGAAGCAGATTTTATATCAATAAAATGTTCAATAAAGCAAGATGATGTTATAATTATAAATATTTACACAGCTAATAACAAATCCTTAAAATTTATGAAGCAAAAATGAACAGAATCAAAGGGAGAAATAGATATTTCTACAATAATAGTTGGAGACTTCAATAATTCACTTTTAATAATAGGTAGAACAACTACATAGAAGACAAGTAAAGAAAAATAGAACTTAAAGAACACAGTAAACCAACTAGACCTAATAGACATATACAGAATAATCCACCCAACAACAGCAGAATATATATTTTTCTCAAGTACACAAGAAACATTCTCCAGGATAGACTGCAGAATAAGTCTCAAGATTTGGAAAGATAGATATCATACAAGGCATATTCTCTGACTACATGGTGATGAAGTTAGAAATCAATAACAGAAGAAAAACTGGAAAATTCACAACTATGTGAAAATTAAACAACACACTCTGAAACAATGAATGGGTCAAAGAAGATATCACAAGGAAAATTTAGAACATGCTTATAGACTACTAAAAATGAAAATGTCATATGCCAAATCTTATGGGAAAGAATGAAAGCATTACTCAAAGGGAAATTTGTAGCTATAATGCCTACATAAGAGAAAAATCTCAATCAATAACCTAACATTACATCTTGAGGAAATAAAATAAAATAGGAACAAACTAAATCCAAGGTTACCAGAAGGAAGAAAATAATACTAATTACAGTGAAGATAAAATAGAGAATAGAACAGAAAAACAATATTTAAAATCAATAAAACTGGCCAGGAGCATTGACTCATATCTGTAATCCCAGCACTTTGAGAGGTCAAGGTAGGAGGATCACTTGAACTCAGGAGTTTTGAGACTAGCCTGGGCAACATAGGAAGACCCTGTCTCTAAAAAATATTCAAAATATTTAAAACAAAAAAAAATCAATGAAACCAAAGTTGGTTTTTTGAAAAGATCAGCAAAATTGACAAACCTTAAGCTAGACTGACAAAAAAAGAGCGAAGATGGAAATAACTGAAATCAATATTACTACTGACCTTGCAGAGACAAAAGAATTATAAAAGAATACCACAAACACTTGTGTGCCAACAAATCAGATAACCTGGAAGAAATGCCAAATTATTAGGCAGACTCAAGAAGAAATAGAAAATCTCAACAGACCTATTACAAGTAAATAGATTTAATCAGCAATCAAAAATCTCCCAACAATGAAAAGTTCTGGGCCAAGTGGATTTACCAGTGAATTCTACCAAACATTTAAAGAAAAATTAATACAAGCCTTCTCAAAGTCTTCCAAAGGGCAGTAGAAGAGGGAACACCAAATCATTCTATGAGGCCAGCATTACTCTGATACCAAAGCCACATAAAGATTTCAACAGAAATTACAGACAAAAATCTTTATGAATATAGATGCTAAAATCCTTAACCAAATATTAGCATGTATCTAAGAGCATATTGGAAGAATTAGTTACCATGGCTGTCTTAGTCTGTTTTATGCTGCCGTAAGAGAGTACCACAGATTGGGTAATTTATTTTAAAAAACATACATTTATTTTCTCAGAGTTCTGGGTGCCACTATCTGGAGTCTTCTTGTTGTGTCATAACATGATGGAAACAACACATGGCAGAAGGCCAAAGAGTCGGCAACAAAGAAAAGGGGGGTGGAACACTTTCTTTTAATAAGGGAACCCCGTCTCTCAATAACAAACCCATTCTTATGATAATGGTGTTAATCCATCCATGAGGGCAGAGCCCTCATTGTCTAATTACCTCTTAAAGGTCCCATCTCCTAGTGTTGTTACAATAGCAATTAAATTTTAATATGAGTTTGAGAGGAGAAAAACATTCAAATTATAGCAATGACCAAAAGAGATTTATCTCAGAAATACAAGGGTGGTTCAGTATAAGAAAATCAACCAGTGTGATACATCACAGTAATAGAATGAAGAAACAAAACCACATGATAATCTCAATTGATGTAGTAAAGACATTTGACAAAATTCAATAGACTTTCATGATTAAAAAAAAAATCTTAGAAGACTAGGAATAGAGAGAAAATTGTTCAACATGATAAGGAGTATTAAGGAATAACCCACAGCTAACATCATACTCAATGGTGAAAGATTGAAAGCTTTTCCCCTAAGATCAAGAACAAGACAAGGATGCCTGTTTTTACTGCTACTATCTAACATTGTGGTAAAAGTCCTAGCCAGAGCTATTAGATAAGAAAAAGAACTAAAAGATTTCAAAATTGGAAAAAAAAAAAAAAGAAATAAAGCTACCTGTATTCACAAGTGGCATCATTCTATATGTAGAAAATCCCAAAGAATTAAGAAGAAAGCTACTAGAGCTAATAAATTAAGAAAAGTTGCAGGGTACAAGATCAAAACACAAACATCAGCAGTGAATAATTCAAAATAGAAATTAAGAAAGTAATTTTATTTATAATAGTATCTGATATGGTTTGGCTCTGTTTCCCCAACCAAATCTCATGTTGCATTGTAATTCCCAGTGTTGGAAGTGGGGCCTAGTGGGAGGTGATTGGGTCACGGGGATGGTTTCTAATGGTTTAGCACCAACTCCCTAGCACTGTCTCGTGATATAGTTTTCACAAGATCTGGTTGTTAAAAAGTGTGTAGCACCTCCCCTCTTCACTTTTTCCTGCTCCACCATGGGAAAACGTGCCTACTTCTTTGCTTTCTGTCATGACTGAAAGTTTCCCAACCATGCTTCCTGTACAACCTGTGGAACTGTGAGTCAATTAAACCTCTTATTTTATAAATTACCCAGTCTCAGGTAGTTCTTTATAGCAATGTGAGAATGGACTAATACAATATGTAAAAGAATTAAATGATTAGGAGTAAATCTAAGCAAGGAAGTGAGAGACTTGCACATAAACATTACAAAACATTGCTAAAAGAGATTCAATTATATCTAAACAAATGAAAATATATTTCATGTTCATAGATACAAAGGCTCAATTATGGTAAGATGTCAATACCACCCAGAGATCTCTAGAATCAACACAATCTTATCAAAATTCCAACAGCCTTTTTTGCATAAATGTAAAAGCTTATCCTCAAATTCATATGAAATTGGAAAGAGTTCTAAATAGCCAAAGTAATCTTGAAAAAGAACAATAAAGTTGGAGGATTCAAACTTCTAAACATTAAAACATACTAATTAAAACAAAATGGTACAGCCATAAAGACAGATACACAGCCCAGTGGAATAGGATAGAGAACCTAGAAATAAACTCTCATAAGTGTGGTCATTTGATTTTTGGCAAGGGTGCCAATACCATGCAATGGGGAAATGACGCTTGTCTTTGGGGAAAAGACATTTGTCTCTTCAACAAGTGATGTGGAAAACTAGATATCCACAAGCCAAAGAATGAAGTTGGATTCTTACCTTATATTATCTACAAAAACTAATCCAAAATGTATCAAAGACCTAAGCTTAAGAGCTAAAACTATAAAACTCTTAAAAGACAACATTAGGGAAAAATCTTCCCAACATTGGCTTTGGCAATGATTCTTAGATGACATAAAAAGTTCAGGCAACAAAATCAAAAAATAGATAAATTGGATTTCATCAAAATCAAGTATGTTTGGGAGAGGGTGGAGCAAGATGGTTGAATAGAAGCCTTCACCAATTGTCTCTCCTGCAGGAAGACCAAAGTTAACAACTATATACACAGAAGAAACACCTTCTTAAGAATCAAAAATCAGGCAAATAATTCAGCATCTGGTTTTGACTTCATATTGCTAAAAGAGACAATGAAGAAGCTTGGAAAGACAATCTTGAATCACCAACGCCACACCTCTCCCATCCCGACAGTGGTCATGTGGCATGGAGAATCTGTGCACTTAGGGGAGAGAGAGTTCAGTGATTATGGGACCCTGCACTGAACTCAGTGTTTCTCTGTCACAGCAGAAAGCAAAACGGGGCTAAACTCAGACAACACTTGCTCACAGAGGGGGAGTTTGGACCAGCCCTAGCTGGAGGGGAATTGCCCATCCCAGTGGTCAGAACCTGAATTTTGGCAAGTCTAACCACTGCGGGATAAAGGGCTCTGGGATCCTAAATACACTTGAAAGGCAGTCTAGGCTGCAAGGACTACAATTCATAGGCAAGTCCTAGTGCTGTGGTAGGCTCAGAGCCAGTGGACATTTTGGGGCATATGACCTAGAGAGACACCAGCTAGAGTGGCTAAGGGAGTGATTGCACCAGCCTAAACCTCCTTCCCCAGGGAGCACAGCTCACAGCAACAAAAGTGGCTCCTTTCCCCTAGAGAAGAGGAGAGGAGGGAGTAAAGAAGACTTTGTCTTGCACCTTAGAGACCAGCTCAACCACTATAGGATAGGGTACCAGGCAGAATCATGGGACACCCATTCCAGGCCCTAGCTCCCAAATGACATTTCTAGGCACACCCTGTGCCAGGGGAACCTGCTTCTTGGAAGGCAAGGACTCAGTCCTGGCAGGATTCAACATATGCTGACTAAAGAGCCCTTGGGCCCTGAAGAACCAGCAGCAATACCCAGGTAATATGCCATGGGCCTTGGGTGAGACTCTGAGACATGCTGCCTTCCAGTGAGATGCAGCACATTTCCAGCTGTGGTAGCTGCAGTAAAAGATTCTTTCTGCTTGAGAAAAGAAAAGGGAAAAGTAAAGGAGATTTAGTCTCGCATTTTAGGTACCAGCTTGGCCACAGCTGGCCTGGTAGAGCACCAGGTGGGCTCTTATAATCCTCGATTCCAGCCCTTGGTTCCTGGATGGCATTTCTGGACTTGCCCTGGGCCAGAGGGGAGCTCATTGACCTGAAGGGTAAGTTTCAGGCCCGGCAGCATTCACCACAAGCTGACTGAAGAGCCCATGAGTCTTAAGTGAACATCAGTGGGAGCCTGGCAGTACCCCCCATGTGTTGGTGGTCATGACGACCATAAGTAGAGGTTCCTCTGCCTGTGGAAAGGGGAGGAAGAGCAGGAAGGACTTAGTCTTGTGGTATAAGTACCAGCTTAGCCACATTAGAATAGAGTAGCAGGTAGATTTCTAAGGTTTTTAACTCCAGTCCCTGGCTCCCAGATGGCATCTCTGGACCTGCCCAAGGCCTTGGGTAACTCGCTATTGTAAAGGGAAGGACACAAGCCTGGTTGGCTTTACTACCTGCTGATTGTAAAACCCTAAGGCCATGAGAGAACATAGGCAGTAGCTAAGTAGTAGTTACAGCAGGCCTTGGGTGAGACCCAGTGCTGTGCTGGATTGAGGTCTGACCCAGAGCAGTTCCATCAGTGGTGGCCAGAGTGGTACTTTTGTCACCCCACTCCTAGTTCCAGGTGGCTCAGCAGAGAGAGAGATAATTCATTTGTTTGGGAGAAAGTAAGGGAACAGAACAAGAGTCTCTTCTAGATGTTATTCAAGACCACCAAGGCAGTAGCTCTATGAGTCTGCAAGAGCCACAGAATTACTGGGTTTGGGGTACTCCCTAATGCAGATATGGCTTAGACCACAACACTCAAGTCCCTTCGATTATCTGGAAAGCCTTCCTAAGAAGGACAGGTACAAACAAGCTTAGACTGTGAAGACTACAATAAATACCTAACTCTTCAATGCCCAGAAACTGATGAACATCCACGGGCATCAAGACCATCCAGGAAAACATGACCTCCCCAAACAACTAAAGAAGGCACCAGGGACCAACCCCAGAGAAACAGAGATATGTGACCTTTCAGACAGAGAATTCAAAATAGCTGTTTTGAGAAAACTCAAAGAAATTCAAGATAACACAGAGAAGGAATTTAGAAGTCCAACAGATAAATTTAACAAAAGATTGAAATAATTTAAAAGAAGCAAAAATTCTTGAGTTGAAAAATGCAATTAACATACTGAAGAATGCATCAGAGTTTCTTAATAGCAGAATTAAGCAAAAGAAAGAATTAGTGAATTTGAAGACAGGCTATTTGAAAATACACAATCAGAGGAGACAAAAGAAAAAAAAGAATACAAAAGAATGAAGCATGCCTACAAGATCTAGAAGATAGCCTCAAACGGGTAAATCTGAGAGTTATTGGCCTTAAGGAGGAGGTTGAGAAAGAGATAGTGTAGAGAAGTTTGTTCAGAGATAATAACCAAGAACTTTCCAAAACTGGAGAAAGATATCAACATTCATGTACAAGAAGGTTGCAAAGCACCAAGCAGTTTTAACTCAAAGAAGACTAACTCAAGACATTTAATAATCAGATTCCCAAAGGTCAAGGATAAAGAAAGAATCCTAAAAGCAGCAAGAGAAAAGAAACAAATGACATGTAACAGAGCTCCAATATGTCTGGCAACAGACTTTTCAGTGGAAACCTTACAGGCCAGGAAAGAACAGCATAGCATATTTAAAGTGCTGAAGGAAGAAAACTTTTACCCTAGAATAGTATATCTGGTGAAAATATCCTTCAAATGTAAAGGAGAAATAAAGACTTTCCCAGACAAACAAAAGTCAAGGGATTTCAACAGCAGGCCTGTCCTACAAGAAATGCTAAAGGGAGTTCTTCAATCAGAAGGAAAAGGATGTTATTGAGCAATAAGGGATCATCTGAAGGTACAAAACTCACTGGTAATAGTAAGTAAACAGAAAAACACAGAATATTATAACACTGTAATTGTGGTGTGTAAACTACTCTTATCTTAAGTTGAAAGACTAAAAGATGAACTAATCAAAATAAGAGCTATAACAACTTTGCAAGACATAGACATACGATAAGATATAAATAGAACAACAAAAAGTTTAAAAGTGGAGGGACAAAATTAAAGTGCAGAGTTTTTATTCATTTTCCTTTTGCTTGTTTGCTTGTTTTTTATGCAATCAGTGTTAAGTTGTCATCAGTTTAAAATAATGGGTTATAAGACAATGTTTGCAAGCCTCAAGGTAACCCCAAATCAAAAAACATACAACAGATACATAAAAAATAAAAAGCAAGATATTAAATCATATCACCCGAGAAAATCACCTTCACTAAAAGGAAGACAGGTAACAAAGAAGAAGAAGAACATAAAACAACCAGAAAATAAGTAACAAAATGGCAGGAGTAAATCCTTGTCTATCGATCATAACATTAAATGTAAATGGACTAACTCCTCAATCAGGGGACATAGACTGGCTGAATGGATGAAAAAACAAGACCTAATGATCCATTGCCTACAAGAAACACACTTTACCTATAAAGACACAGATAGACTGAAAATAAAGAAATGGAAAAAGATATTCTATGACAATGGAAACTGAAAAAGAGGAGTAGTAGCTATACTTATATCAGACAAAATAGATTTCAAGATAAAAACTATAAAAAGAGACAAAGAATTTCATTATATAATGATTAAGGGGTCAATTCAGCAAGAAGATATAACAATTGTAAATATAAATGCACCCAATTTGGAGCACCCAGATATATAAAGCAAATATTATTAGAGTTAAAGAGAGAAATAGACTCCAATACAATAAAAGCTGGGGATTTCAACACCCCACTCTCAGCATTGCCAGACAGAAAATCAACAAAGAAACATTGGACTTAATCTCCACTATAGACCAAATGTACCTAATAGTTGTTTACAGAACATTTCATCCAATAGCTGCAGAATACACATTCTTCTCCTCAGCATATCATTCTCAAGGATAGACCATATGTTAGGTCACAAAACAATTATTAAAACATTCAAAGAATTGAAATAATATCTACCATCTTCTCTGACCACAATGGAATAAAACTAGAAATCAATAACAAGAGGAATTTTTGAAACTATACAAATACATGGATCAATGGATAACAACTGGGTCAGTAAAGAAATTAAGAAGAAAATTGAAAAATTTATTGAAACAAATGACAGTGGAAACACAACATACCAAAACCTATGTGATAAAGTGGAAGTAGTATTAAGAGGGAAGTTTATAGCTATAAGTGCCTATGTAGAAAAAGAAAAGAAAAAACTTCAAATCAATGACATAACAAAGCATCTTAAAGAACTAGAAAAGCAAGAGAAACTAAACTCAAGATTAGCAGAAGAAATAATAAAGATAAGAGCAGAAATAAATGCAACTGAAGTGAAGAAAATAATAAGATCAACAAAACAAAAAGTTGGATTTTTGAAAAGATAAATAAAATTGACAAGCCTTTAGCCAGACTAAGAAAAACGAGAGAAGACCCAAATAAACAAAATCAAAGACAGAAAAGGAGACATTAAAACCAATACACCAGAAATCCAAAGGATCATTAGTGGCTACTAGGAGCAACTATATGCTAATAAATTGGAAAATCTAGAAGAAATGATAAATTCCTAGACATATACACCCTACCAAGATTGAACCATGAAGAAATCCAAAACCTGAAGAGACCAGTAACAAGTAATGAGATAGAAACCATAATAAAATTTCTCCCGGTAAAGAAAACCCAGGGACCTGAGTCTCCATTGCTGAATTCTACAAAGCACTTAAAGAAGAATTAATACCAATCCTACTCAAACTACTTAAAATATAGAGGAGGAGGGAATACTTCCAAACTCATTCTATGAGGTCAGTATTGCCCTCATACCAAAACCAAAGACACACTAAAAAACAAACAAACAAACTACAGATCAATATCCCTTTGAATATTGATGCAAAAATTATCAACTAAATTCTACAATACATTAAAAATATCATTCATAATGACCAAGTGGGATTCCCAGAGATGCAAAGATGGTTCAATATATGCAAATCAATCAATGTGATACATTATATCAACAGAATAAAGGATTAAGAACACTATGATCATTTCAATTGATGCTGAAAAAAATTGACAAAGTTCAACATCCCTTCATGATAAAAACCCTTTAAAAACTAGATATAGAATGAACACACCCAACAAAATAAAAGCCATATATGAGAGACCCACAACTAGTATCACACTGAACAAGGAAAAACTAAAAGCCTTTCCTCTAAGATCTGGAAAAAGACAAGGATGCCCACTTTCACCTCTGTTATTCCACATAATACTGGAAGTCCTAGCTAGAGAAATCAGACAAGAGAAAGAAATAAAGGGCATCCAAACTGGAAAGAAAGAAGTCAAACTATCCTTATTTGCAGGCGATATGATCTCACATTTGGAAAAACCTAATGACTCCACCAAAAAACTGTTAGAACTGATAAATTCAGTACAGCTGCAAGATACAAAATCAACATCCAAAAATCAGTAGCATTTCTTTATACCAATGGCAAAGAATCAGAAAAAGAAATAAAGAAAGTAATCGCATTTACAATAGCCACAAATGAAATAAGGTATCTAAGAATTAACCACAGACGTGAAAGATTTCTATGATAAAAACTATAAAACATTCATGGAAGAAATTGAAAAGGACACCAAGAAATGGGAAGAATATTTCATTTTTGGAATGGAAGAGTCAATATTTTTGATGGATTGGAAGAATCAATATTGTTAAAATGTCTATACTACCCAAAGAAATCTACATATTCAGTGCAATCCATATCAAAATACCAATAATACTCCTCACAGAAATAGAAAAAAAAATCCTAAAATTTATATGGAACCACAAAAGACCCAGAATAGCCAAAGTTATCCTAAGCAAAAAGAACAAAACTGGAGGAATCACATTATCTGACTTCAAATTATACTACAAAACTATAGCAACCAAAACAGCATGGTACTGACATAAAAACAGACACATAGACTAATGGCACAGAACAGACAACCCAGAAACAAATTCACACACCTACAATGAACTCCTTTTCAACAAAGGTCAAGAACATGCGTTTGGGAGAAGAAAGTCTCTTCAATAAATGGTGCTGGGAAAACTGGATATCAATATGCAGAAGAATGAAACTAGACCGCTATCTCTCATCATACACAAAAATCAAATCAAAATGAATTAAATGCTTATATCTAAGACCTCAAACTACAAAACCACTAAAAGAAAGAATTGAGGAAACTCTCTAGGACATTGAACTGGACAAAGATTTCCTGAGTAATGCCCCAAAAGCACAGGCAACCAAAGCAAAAATGGACATATGGGATCACATTAACTTAAAAAACTTCTGCACAGCAAAGGAAACAATTGACAAAGTGAAGAGACAACCCACAGATTGGGAGAAAATATTTGCAAACTACCCATCTTACAAGGAATTAATAACCAGAATATAAAAGCTCAAACAGTTCTATAGGAAAAAAATCTAATAATCTGATTTTAAAATGGGCAAAAGATCTCAATAGACATTTCTCAAAAGAAGACATGCAAATGTAAAACAGGTAAATGAAAAGGTGCTCAACATCGTTGATCATCAGATAAATGTAAATCAAAACTACAAGCAGATATCATCTCACCCCAGTCAAAATAGCTTTTATTCAAAAGGCAATGACAAATGCTGGTGAGGATGTGGAGAAAAGGGAACCCTTGTACACTGTTGGGAATGTAAAGTAGTACAACCACTATCGAGAAGAGTTTGGAGGTTCCTCAAGAAACTAAAAACAGAGCTACTATATGATCCAGCAATCCCACTGCTAGGTATAGACCCAAAAGAAGGAAAATCAGTGTATTGAAGAGATTTCTGTACTCCCACATTTATTGCAGCACTATTCTCACAGTACTATCCTCAATAGCCAAGATTTGGAAGCAACCTAAGTGTCCATCAACAGATGAATGGATAAAGAAAATGTGGTACATATACACAATGGAGTATTCTTCAGCCATAAAAAAGAACAAGATCCTGTGATTTGCAACAACATGTATGGAACTAGAGATCATTATGTTAAGTGAAATAAGCCAGGCACCAAAAAACAAACGTTACATGTTCTTACTTATTTGTGGGATCTAAAAATCAAAACAATTGAAGTCATGGAGATATAGAGCAGAAGCAAGGTTACCAGAGACTGGGAAGATAGTAGGGAGGTTGGAGGTGGGGCGGAGGAATGGGGGAGGAAGTGGGGATAGTTAACGGGCACAAAAATAGTTTAAAAGACTTAATAAGACCTAGTATTTGATAGCACAACAGGGTGACTATAGTCAATGACAATTTAATTGTATATTTTAAAATAACTCAAAGAGTATAATCGGATTGTTTCTAACACAAAGGATAAATGCTTGAGGTGATGGATACTTTATTTATCCTAATGTGATTATTACACCTTGCATGCCTGTATCAAAGTATCTCACATACCCCATCAATATACATAGCTGCTATGCACCCACAAAAATTAAAAATTAAAAAAAAAATAAGCACTTTTGTGTAGCAGACACTATCAGAAAGTGAAAAGACAACCTATTAAATAAAAGAAAATTTTCAAATTATATATTTAATGAGATGAATATTCACAATATATAAAGAACTCCTACAACTCAACAACCCGCAAACCAAACAATCTAATTTTTAAAATGGGCAATAATCTTGAATAGACATTTCTCCAAAGAAGATATACAAATGGCCAATAAATACACGAAAAGATGCTCAATGTATTAGTCATTAGGGAAATGCCAATCTAAACTACAAGAAGATATCACATCACACTCATTAGAATGGCTATAATAATAATAATAATTTTTAAAAGAAAAATAAGTGTTGGCTAAGTTGTGAAGTAATTAGAACCCTCATATGTTGCTACTGATAATGTAAAATGGTGCAGACTCTATGGAAAACAGTTTGGCAATTCTTCTAAAAATTAAGCATGTGACTTTGCAATTCCACTCCTAGATACACATCCAAATATCCAATATATCCAAAACAACTGAAAACAGGGGCTTGAGCAGATATTTGTACATTGATGTTCATAGCAGCATTACTCACAATAGTCAAAAGGTGGAAACACCCAAGTTTCTATCAACAGATAAATGAATGAATATACAACAAAACGTAGTACATGCATACAATGGAATATTATTTAGCCATAAAAAGGTCTGAATTGCAATATATGCTAAAGATGGATGGACTTTAAAAACATTATGTAAAATGGAATAAGCCAGGCATAAAGCACAAATATTGTATGATTCCCCTTATATGAGGTACCCAGAACTGGCAAATTCAAAGCCAGAAAGTAGAATAGAGGTTATCAAGGATTTGTTGAAAGGGAGCATGAGAAGACATTGCTTAATGCATACAGTGTTTATTTTGGGGATAAGGAAAATATTTTGCATATTGATAGTAGTGTTGGTTACACAACATTGTCAATGTATTTAATGCAAGCAAATTGTATGGTTACAAATGGCTAGAATGATAAGTACTACGTTATGTGTATTTTAACATAAAAATATCTGGTAAGAGGTGCAGAAGGCTGCACACTTAGAAATGGCATCTGAGTGTTGAGCCCTAAATGATCCTGAATCTGAGAAATGGTGAGAAGGCTGACCTGTTTCCTTGATGCTAATCGTAAGATACCCATCTCTGGTGTCGTGTCACATCTACCTTTAGTGCACCTTCGATGCAAGACGGTGGCTTCAGAACCTAAAATGACGGAGAACTGAGGCTTCATTTGCCTACAGGATAGATTGTATGAGTTGTTTTGTCCATATTTGCTAATAAATACTGGTTTACTTTCAAAAAAATCCCTACAGCTAACATCATCCTTAATGGTGAAAGGCTTAATTCTTTTCCTCTAAAATTGGGAACAAAAAAAGGATGGTGGCTCTCATCACTTTTATTCCACATATTACTGGATGTTCCAGCCACTCCAGTAAGGCAAGAAAAATAAATAAAAGGCACACAGATTGGAAAAGAATAAATAAAATTATCTCTATTTGTAGATGGCATAATGTCTTTGTAGAAGAATTCAAGGAATCTTTTTTAAAAACCTTCTAGAAATAATATATGAATTCATTAATGTCATTGGATACAAGATCAACATGCAAAAATCAATTACGTGCTGATAATAGAAATCAAAACCAAAAATGCAATAGCATTTAAAACCACTACAGAGATAATACAATTATTAAGTATAAAACTAACAAAACATGTACAGAATCTGTGTGATAGAAATGACAAATTGTTGATGAAATAAATGAAAGAAAACCTAAATTAATGGAGATACATATGGTGTTCATTGACTGAAAGACTCAGTATAGTAAACATGTCATTTCTCCACAAAGGTATAGGCTTAACACAATTACTCTCAGAATCTCAGGGCTTTTTTTTTTCAGACTTAAACAAATTTAGTCCAAAATTTATATGGAAACACAGTTCCTAGAGTAGACGATTTTGAACCAAAACTAATTAAATAAGAAGAATCACTCCTCCCAATGTCAAGGCATACTGTGGCTACAAGAATCATGGTACTGGCTGAGGGGTAGACACATAAATCAATGGAACAGAATAAAGACTCCACAAATAAACCCTTAAAAACATGCTCAATTGGCCAGGCGGGGTAGCTTAGGCCTGTAATCCCAGTACTTCGGGAGGTTGAGGCAGGTGGATCACTTGAAGTCAGGAGTTTGAGACCAGCATGGCCAAACTGACCACAGTGAAACCCCATTTCTACTAAAAATACAAAAATTAGCCAGGCTTGGTGGCACACGCCTGTAGTCCCAGCTACTAGGGAGGCTGAGGCACAAGATTTGCTTGAACTGGGGAGGCAGAAGTTGAAGTGAGCCAAGATCTCACCACTGCACTCCAGCCTGGGCGACAGAGCAAGCCTCTGTCTCAAAAAAAAAAAAAAAATTATATACATATATATATATACACACACACACACACACACATATACACACACACATATATATAACCACATTTAGTATGTTTAAAAATGTGTAATTATATATAATTACATATATTTTATATGTATTTTTATGTATGCTCAATTAATTTTTAAGTTAACCTTTAATTTTAGACCAGAGTTACGGTGATGATAACGCAGAGTGTTCTCATATATCTCACACTCAGTTTTTCCTATGACAAACATCTTACATTAGTATGCTGTATTTGTCATAATTAGTGTATCAAAATTCTTATTGATAATAACATATTAAAATACGAGAGCCTGTATTTAATACAGATTCCTCATTTTGCTCTTAATGCTCTTTTCCATTTCCTTTAGTCTTACAGTTTCTATTCATTTCCAAAGTTATTTACTTATGCCACTCTTTCAGTGAGGTTGCTTTATATATTTTTAATATGTTGAGCTTCTTTTGTCACATTCTGCACTCATCCAGGGATTACCCAAACTATTACATTATTTTTCTTAATTTACATGCATTGAGGCTTTGTGGTGTTAAAGTTCTATGGGTTTGGACAAAGCTTAATATCTTATATTCACCAGTATAGTATCCCATACGTAAGTTTTACTCCCCTAAAATATCTCCTGTGCTTCACCCAATAATCCCCACATCTCTCAACCTCCTGGAAACCCACTGATCTGTTTCTAAGGTTTGCATTTTCCGAAATTTCTTTCTTTTTTTTGCACAAAATGTGCTAATTTTACTAAGTACTTTGTCATACACTGGCAACCTTTTTAACATCTAGAGACTAGATGTTGCAAAATTACGACTCATTTGTCCATTATATACATATACACACAGCAAAACAAAACACACAAAACATACACAATGGTGTCTAAAAATGTCCAAATATGAACACACTGACATATTACCTTTTGCAATTTCCTCCCTCCCACTTCTGCTAAGCCGTTGAACAAGCATAAGCAGTATTATACTGCTCACAGACGCGGTTTAAAAATTCCATTTCCGGCCGGGCACAGTGGCTCACACCTGTAATCCCAGCACTTTGGGAAGCCTAGGTGGGTGGATCACAGAGTCAGGAGTTCAAGACCAGCCTGACCAACATGTTGAAACCCCATCTCTACTAAAAATACAAAAATTAGCTGGGCGTGGTGGCGGGCACCTGTAATCCCAGCTACTCGGAAGGTTGAGGCAAGAGAATCGCTTGAACTCGGGAGGCAGACGTTGCAGTGAGCCGAGACCAAGTCACTGTACTCCAGCCTGGGTTACAGAGTGAGACTCCATCTCAAAAAAAAAAAAAATCCATTTCCAAAAGACAATATTTCCTATGAATTTTAGGAAAAAGACATTTACAAAGTGATATTTTACTACCTCTACATTTAACATAGGTCTGGCACTTCTAAATATCTAGATAGACAAGCTGTTTCAGATAAGGAGTGAATTTGTCCACTATGTACACAGCAGTCTGGAATAAACTGCACGCATGTAATCATAGTTATAATTTGAAAGAGTCTTTGAAATATGGGCATTCTGACCTAGGACCCTGCCTATCTCCATCAAGCATCCATTGTTGATGCTCCATGAACATCAACAATGATGCTCAGATTTTCAGAAGACAATCTTTCCTAGGAATTTTAAAACAAAATGTACAAAATATATTAGTTTATGAATTCTACTTTTGTTATACACTGGCAACCTCTTTAAGGTCTAGAAAGATGAGATGTAAGTTAGGACTCATTTGGCCTTTATACACACCATATACACACAGATAAGTAAAACAAAACACACAGACATGAGCACCGATGGCCCATCCCGCCTCACTGTGAGCACACGGGCACAGAGCTCTCCACACTTCCTCCTCTTCCCTCCTCCCCTGAACCAGGGCACAAACACAATGTGTGTTGCTCAACAGGTGGTTTGGCCATCCCATCCCCTCCCCAAAACAGTATTTCATATGAATTTTAACATAAACAAGTTTTACAAACTGTGTTATTTTACCACTTTTAATTTTAACATCTATCAGGCACTTCAGAACATCTAGAAACACTAAATATTTCAAAAAACAATACTTAGCAGTCTCAACTATATATACAGTAGTGAGGAACAAAATATTCACATAAAACAATGGTTCAAATATGAACATGGCCTCTCAATAGACCCAGTCTGGCCTAGAGCCTTCTTTTCCTCCTCAGGTCTTCCAGCCATCCCCTCTAACCCACAGAACAGAGGTGGACAGGTTGCTCCTGGTGTGGCTTCCAGAGGTGCTCCAGCGACCATTTCAAAGTCATCTCCAGAAGGCATTTATTTTCTATGATTTTTTTTAAACAAATGAGCATTTACAACACATGTGATTTTCTAACTCTTCTTTATCATATGTGGGCAACCTCCAGATGTAGCAAACGTTTTCTTTTAAACGCTTGGGGGAAAGTTGAGAGCAGATTTTTCATGTTATATACACAGGCCTTCTAGAAATGGCCAGCAAACCTTCCCAAAGGGTAGTGGCATTTCCAGTGTGCCAACTGAGGAATGTCCTTCTACCATCTCTCTCTGCAATATCAAGATCAGGTAGAAGGAAGGCTGATGGCCGGGTGGCCACTACTGGTTCCCTGCCATGGTCCGGAGCTTAAGGCCTTTGCCTGGCCAGGACTAAGCAGACCTCACTGAGTTAGGACAGAGGTCACCCCGGGACCTGGGGCTGGTGGTTCCAGGCCTAGAGAGACAGCTGAGTGTGCGTCCTACACCTGCCTTCCTGCCCCGCCACACCCGCTGCCACCCAAAGGCGCTGTGTCCTGGCGGCTTGTCGGGGTTTCTTCTAGGCTGGCGGGGTCCAGGCTGGGAGGGGCCTCTGCCACCCTCAGGGCACCAAGGCTAGGTGGGGAGAAAGATTCGCCACTTCTTCAAGGGCTGGGCCTGGCTGCTTTTCACCATGCTCTCTCTAAGTTTTCGTATAATTGAAATAACACAGTTTATAATGTTTTTCAGGCTAGCCTCTTCGACTTTGCAGTATGCATTCAAGAGTCATCCTTGTCTTTTCACAGCTTGACAGCTCACTTCTTTCTTCCTTTTTTTCATATTCCAGTGTGTGCATGTGCCAGTTGTTTATCCACTCATTTGTTAAAGGGCATCTTGATTGCTTTCAGCTTTGGGTTATTACAAATAAAGCTGCTATAACCATTCACATACAAGTTTTTGTGTAGATAGAAGTTTTTCTTTCATTTGGTTAAAACCTGGGAGTGTGATTGCTGGATCATATGGCAAGAGTATGTTTAGTTGTATAAGAAACTGCCAAATATCTGAAACAACTGTGCCATTTTGCACTTCCACCAGCAATGAAGGAGGGTCCCTGTGGCTCTGCATCCTCACCAGCAGTTGGTATTGGCAGGTTTTGTTTTTGCTTAGCCATTCTGGTACGTATGCAGTAGCATCTCATTGTTGCTTAAATTTGCAATTTTCTAATGACATATGTTGAGCATCTTGTCATATACTTATTTACCATCTGTATATCTTGTCTGGTGGGGTATCTGCTTAGATCTTTTGCCCATTTTTAAATTGGGTTGTTTGGTTTTTTATTATTGAGTTTTAAGAATTTTTTGTATGTTTTGGATACAAGTCTTTGATCAGATACGTGTTTTGCATATATTTCTCCAAGTCTATGCCCTGTTTTTTCTTTTCAGTCTGTTAACAGTGTCTTTCACAGAGTAGTGGTGGTTAATTTTAATAAAGTTCAATTTATCTGTTATTATGGAATGTGTTATTGGTATTCTACATAAAAATATCACCAAACTAAAGATTATGTAGATTTTCTCCTTTGTTTTCTTCAAGAAGTTATGTAGTTTTGCATTTTACTTGTAAGTCTATGATCTATTTTGAATTAATATTTGTATCAAGTCTGAGTGTCTAAATTCTTTTTATTCTTCCGTATGGATGACCAACTGTTCAGCAACATATATTGAAAGACTATGCTTTCTCCCTTGAATTGCCTTGTTCATTTGCCAGTGATCAGTTAACTATATTTGTGTGGGCCTATTGCTGGACTTTCTATTCTGTTTTTGTGTGTGTGTGTGTGTGACGGAGTCTCACTCTTTCACCCAGGCTGGAGTGCAGGGGTGCTATCTCGGCTCACTGCAAGCTCCGCCTCCTGGTTCACACCATTCTCCTGCCTCACCCTCCCGAGTAGCTGGGACTACAGGCGCCCGCCACTGCGCCTGGCTAATTTTTTGTATTTTTAGTAGAGACGGGGTTTCACCGTGTTAGCCAGGATGGTCTCCATCTCCTGACCTCGTGATCCACCTGCCTCGGCCTCCCAAAGTGCTGGGATTACAGGCGTGAACCACCGCGCCCTGCGACTTTCTATTCTGTTTCACTAATCTGTGTGTCCATTCTTTTACCAATGCTACATGGTATTAGTTTGCTAGGGCTTCCATAACAAAATAACACAGAGTAAGTGGTTTAAACAACAAAAACGTATTTTTTTGACAGTTCTGAAGTAAAAGATCAAGGTGCTGTTAGAGTTATATTTTTCTGAAAGCCTCTCTTCCTTGCTTGTAGATGGCCACCTTTCACTGTGTCCTCACGTGGCCTCTTCTCTGTGCATGTAGAAAGAGAGAAAGTGAGACCTCTGGTTGTTCTTCCTCTTCTTATAAGGACACAGGCCTGATCAGACTAGGGCTCCACCCTTAGGAACTCATCTCCTATTTGGAGATGGGGCCTTTACTTACCACTGTAAAGGCCCTATCTCCAGATATAGTCCACACTGGGGGTTAGGGCTTCAATATATTAATTTGGAGCGGGGAAATACAATGCAGTCCATAATATTCTGCCTTTTGGCTCCAAAATTCATGTCCTTCTCACATGCGAAATACAGTCACCTAATTCCAACAGCTCCCAAATTCTCAACACATTCTGACGTCATTCCAAGTTCAAAGTCTCGCCTAAAAATCTGCTCAATCAAGTGTGGGTGACACTTGAGGTACTCATCCTGGGGCAAAATTCCTCTCTGGCTTTGAGCCTGTGAAACCAGACAAGTGGTGTGCTTCCAAGATACAATAGCGGGCCATCCATAGGATATATATATTCCAAAAGGGAGAATTAGGAGAAAGAAAGAGGTGAGGGGTCCCAAGAAAGTCCAAAACCTAGCAAGGGTAATTCCATTAGCTCTTAAGCCTCCAGAATAATCCCCTTTGGCTGGATGCTCTGCCTCTGGGCTCACTGGCACAGCAGCATCACCCGAAAGGATGTCAGCCATGACCCTGCCCTCTTGGCTCTGTGTGCCCGCTCTGCCCCCATGGCTCTTTGCCAGTCCTGCCACCGAGGCACTGGTGGGACAGCCTGGCCTGCTGCAGCTGAGGAAAGGACCCTCACCCTCTGAAACCAAGTAGGAAGCAGTCTTGCTCCCTGGGCCTGTGGTAAGAGTGGCAGTCCAGATGGCCTATGAATCACCTTCAGGGCCATTCTTCCTTTGTCTTAAGGGATAAAGCATGTTCACAGCCAAACAGCTTTGTCATCCCATCCTGTTCAGTCCCAGAATTCTGAAGGCTTTCCTTCATTTCATCCTGTCTCTGTTCCCCTTGGTCCAAGATGGCAGTGTCTGTGCTGGAATAATCTCATCTCTACTCCTGGCTTCTGCTGAGATGGTTGGTTAACTCCATGGGCAATCTCCTTATGAAAGGATTATCCAGCCACACCTCTAGTGTTGTCTTCAGAAAAAGGTTTTCATTTTTTGCAATATGGATAGGCTGAGAAGTTTTAAAAAAAATTTTAAGTTCTACTTCCATTTTGCTTAATGCTTCTCTCACTTTATCTCTGTCCTCTCACATTTTACTATAAGAAGTAAGGAGACGCCAGGCTGTACCATCAACTTCGCTTAGAAATCTCCTCAGCTAAATATCCAGTTTCATCATTTGCATGTTCTACCTTCCACAAAACACTAAAACTGTCCCTGTGAACATTATAAAATTAATCAGGAAAGAAAGGAGGGGGAGAAATGAGAACAAATTAAGCTTGTGGCACATCCAACATTAGTCATTAGGTCACCCTGCTCTCTGGGCCACTTCTGCATAGTTGTTTGGTGCCTGTTGCCTCAGAATCACATAGATCCTGTCACAGAATAATAGATGCCCGTAAGTGCTCCATAGCTAATAACTTGAACATTGTGAAACATTACATTTTCCATGTGAAGTACTCTTTCTGGTCCTGCATACTAGTGAAACTACAGATGTCAACTGGTCTGAACAACCCTGCAGGAGCTGACTCACTAAAGAATGCTGTTTCCTGCAACCCATCAAAAAACCCAATTTCTAGCCCCTTGCCCTCCATGATCCCCTTTAAAATCCCAGCCCAGAACTCCTCACAGAAATGGATTTGAGGATGTCTTCCCATCTCCTTGTCCTGAAAGCATTCAACTCCTTCTCTACCGTGAACCCTGCTGTCTTCATTTATTGGTCTGTTACTGCACAGTGGGCATATGAACCTGGTGGTCCTATAATAACACTAGAACATGATTCAGTTAAGTTCCTTGTCATTTGATAACAAGGGTTGGCTTTCTTCCAGTTTCAATAGTATGTTCCTCATTCCATCTGTAATATCACCAGAAGCACATTTAATGTCCATATTTCTACCAGTAGACCCTTCAAGACAATCTAGGCTTTTTTTCTGGCATGCACTTCAAAACTCTTTCATCCTCTACCAAGTTCCAAAGTCACTTTACATTTTTTAGTATTTGTTACGGCAACACTCCACTTCTTGATATCAAAATCTGTATTAGTCTCCTTGGGCTGCCATCACAAAATGTCACAGACTGAGCAGCTTAAACAACAGATGCTTATTTCCTCACAATTCTGGAGGCTAGGAAGTTCATGATCAAGGTAACAAGAAATTTAGTTTCTGGGAGGGTTCTTTCTGCTACTACAAATAGAGTCACTAGCATTTTAAATGTATTCAGATTAGAAAGCCTATTCTAGAAACCCCAGAACAAATTCAGGAAAACTCATCCTTAAAATTCTGCCCCACTTAGAACCACTTTCAGCACCAAAATCTGTATTAGTCAGGGTTCTTCAGAAAAACAGAACCAATAGGAGATAGGCATATAAAAAGAGCTTTCTAATAAGGAGTTGGTTCATGAGATTATGAGGGCAGGTAAATCCTAAAATCTGAAGTCCCAAGATCTGGGTCACACTGCAAGCTGGAGACCCAACAGAGCCTATGGCTTTGTTCCTGTCTGAGTCCCAAACCCTGAGCTCAAATGCCTGAGAACTAAGAGAGCTGATGGTGTAGTTCCTGTCCAGAGGCTCTCAGGCTTGAGACTTGGAAAGAGCCAATGTTTCAGAATAAGTACAAAGGCAGGAAAAATCTGATGTCTCAGTCAAAGGCAGGCAGGCAGAAAGAATTCTGTTTTACTTGGGGGAGGCTCAGCCTTTTTGTTCTATTCAGGCCTTCAACTGATTGGATGAGGCCCAGCCACACTAGGGAAGGCAATCTGCTTTACTCTGTCTACTAATTTAAATGTTAATCTCATCCAAAAACACCCTCACAGAAACACTCAGAATATTTGACCAAATATCTGAACACTCCATTATCCAGTCAAGTTGACACATAATTTAAACCATTACACATGATTTTTTATTACTATAGCCTCATAGTAAGTCCTGAAATAAAGTAATGTGAATCCCAGTCTTAGGTGGAAAGCATCCAGTTTCTTACCATTAAGCATGATGTTGGCTGTCAGTTTTTTGCATATATTCTTTATCTAATTGAGAGAGTTCCCCTCTATTCCTAGTTGGCTGAGAAGTTTTTCTTTTTAATATCATCAATGGGTATTGGTTTTGTCAAATGCTTTTTCTGCATCAATAATATAAACACGATTTTTCTTTTTTAGTTTGTTGATATAGTGGGTCATATTGATTGATTGATTGATTTTAATCTCAATGTTTATTTTAGATTCACAGCATACATGTGACGGTTTGAGGTATGAATGATCCCATCACCCAAGCAGGGAGCTTAGTACCCAACAGTTAGGTTTTCAACCCTTGACTTCTTCTCTTCCTCCCCACTCTAACAGTGTCCAGTGTCTATTGTTGCCATCTTTATGTCCATGAGTACCCAATGTTTAGCTCTCACTTATAAGTGAGAACACATGGTATTTGGTTTTCTGTTCTTGTGTGTGTTTTTTTTTTTAAGTTGAACCAGCCTTGCATTTCTGGAACAAATCCCACTTGGTCACTTTTTATACATTGTTAGATTTGATTTGCTAATATGTTGTTAAGAATGTTTGCATCTAAATTTATGAAAGATATTGGTCTGTCGTTTTTCTTTCTTGTAATGTCTTTGTCTTGTTTTAGTATTAGGGTAAATGCTGACCTTGTAGAATTAGTTAGGAAGTATTTTGTCCTCATATATTTTTTTGAAGAATTATATAGAATTGGTATAATTTCTTCATTAATTGTTTGGTAGAATTCACCAGTGAACCCATCTGCACCTGATGCTTTCTGTTTTGGAAGGTTATCAATTCTTCACTCAATTCAGATTGTCTATTTCTTCTTGCATGAGTTTTGGCAGATTGTGTCTTTTAAGACATTGGCCCATTTCACCTAGGTTATCAAATTTGTGGGCAAAGAATTGTTCTTCGTATTTCTTTATTATGCTCTTAAAATTTGTGGGATCAGTAGTGATGGCCCCTCTTTTATTTCTAATATTGCTAATTTGAGTCTTCTCTGTTTTTTTCTTGATTAGCTTGGTTAAAGATTTATCAATATTATTTTTATTTTCAAAGAGCCAGTGAAGCTTTCAGTTTCATTGATTTCTCTATCGTTTTCCTATTTTCAGTTTTATTTATTTCTCCTCTAATTTTTATCATTTCTTTTCTTCATTTGTTCTAGGTTTCGGTTATTTTTATTTCTTTATTTTACTAAGGTAGAAGTTTAGGTTACTTATTTTAGAGCCTCCTTTTTTAATAACTGATTTAATACTGTAAATTTCCCTTTTGCTGCATCTCAGACATTTTTATTTTTATTAGTTCAAAATATTTTAAAATTTTCTTGAGACTTTTTTGGACCCATATGTAATTTGGAAATTTGTCATTTAATTTCCAAATATTGGGGATTTTTTTTATCAATCTCTCCATTATTGACATATGTTTTACTTCTATTGAGGTCCCAGAACATACTTCATGTGATTTCTATCTTTTAAACTTTTTAAGCTATATTTTGTGGCTCAGAGTGTGGTTTAATTTGATTAGTGTTATATGTAAGATTGAGAAGGATATGCATTATGCCATTGTTGGATAGAGCATTCTATAAATGCCAGTTATATCCACTTGTTTAATAATACTGTTCAGATCAAGTACATGCTTATTGTTTCTGCCTTTTTGATCCAGTGTTGAAGACTCCACTATGTAGTGGATTTGTCTATTTCTCCTTGCAGTTCTATAAGTTTTTGCCTCATGTATTTTAATTATCTGATGTTATGTGCATACATGTTTAGGATAGTTATGTTTTCTTGGATAATTAACTTCATCATTATTTAGTATTTCTTTATCCCTAATAATTTTTCTTGCTGTGAGGTCTTCTATACCTGAAATAAACATAGCTATTTCATGTTTTAAAAATTAATGTTAGCATGGTATATCTTTCTCCATCACTTTACTTTTAATTTATGAGAATCATTATTATTAAAGTGTGTTCCTTGTATACCATATATAATTGGGTCTTGTATTTTATCCACTCTGACAATCTGTTTTTCACTGGTGTACCTATGCCCTTCACATTTAAAGTGATTATGGATATATTTGGATTAATATCAACCATGTTTATAACTGTTTTCATTCTTACTAGAGGCTCCTTTTCAGCCTTTTCTTGTTCTAATTGAGTATTTTATGATTCCACTCTACTTTCTCTCTTGGTGTACCCATTGTACTTCCTTTTAAAGTTTTTAGTGCTTGTCCTAGAGGTTGTAATATACATTTTTAACTAATTTAAGTCTACCTTCAAACAACACTCTTCTGTTTCACATTTAATGCAGGTACCTTATAACAGAGTATTCTTAATTACTACTTCCCATCTCTTGTGACACTGCTGCCATTGATTTCACTTATCCATAAGTTATAATCACTCAGTACATTTTTACTAAAATAATGATGCTTTAAACAAAATAATAATACTTTTAAAAGACAGTTGCATTTTGGATTAATGAAGAATAGAAAAAGATTTTTATTTTACCTTTATTCCTTCTCTGACTCTCTCTCTCATTATTTATGTAGATCCAAGTTTCTACATCTACACACACACACACACACACACACACACGAAAAGATTTCTACAAAAATGAAAATACTTTAATAAAGTCAAGATAGTCACGTAGTTAGTATCAGCTAAGTGTTCATCACCTCCGCTTGCCAAATATAACTCTATCACTTTTAGAAAACAAACCCAACTCCTGACCCAAACATTTCACTGGTTGTCTGATTTCTGCATTACTTTTTAAAAATCGACTTTATTTTTTAGAGAAGTTTTATGTTTACAGAAAAATTGAACATACAGTACAGAGAGTTCTCCTTTGCCCCGCTTGCCCCAACACACACAGGTCCCTCTATTGCAGGCATATCTTGTTTCATTGTGCTTAACTTTATTGTATTTGCAGTTATTGTGTTTTTTACAAATTGAAGGTTTGTGGCAATCCTGTGCTGAGGAAGTCTATCAGCTCCATTTTTCCACCAGCATCTTTTCACTTAGTGTCTCTGTGTTGCATTTTGGAAATTCTCACAATATTTTAACATTTTCATTATTATTATATCTGTTGTGGTGATCAGCGATCTTTAATGTACTATTATAATTGTTTTGGGGCACCATGAACCACATCCATGTGAGCTTATTCTATAAATATGTGTGCGTACTGACTCCTCCACTGACTGGCCATTTCCCCATCTCTCTTCCTTTCCCCAGACCTGTCTAGTCCCTGAAACACAACAATGTTGAAGTTAGGCCAATTAATAATCCTACAATGGCCTCTATGTGAGTGAAAGGTAGAGTTGCACATCTCTCACCTTAAATTAAAAGCTAGAAATCATTAAGCTTAGTGAGGAAGGCATGTTGAAAGCCAAGGCAGGCTGAAAGCTAGGCCTCTTGTACCAAACAGCCAAGTTGTGAATGCAAAGGAAAAATTCTTGAAGGAAATTAAAAGTGCTACTCCAGTGAATGCATAATAAGAAAGTGAACTATCTTTATTGCTGATATAGAGAAAGGTGTAGCAGTCTGGATAGAAGATCAAACCACTTACATTCCCTAAAGCCAAAGCCTAATCCAGAGAAAGGCCTTAACTCTCTTCAAGTCTCTGAAGGCTGAGAGAGGTGAGGAAGCTGCAGAAGGAAAGTTTGAGGCCAGCAGTGGTTGGTTCATGAGGCTTAAGAGGCCATATTCATAAGTTAAAAGTGCAAGGTGGGCCGAGCGCGATGGCTTACACCTGTAATCCCAGCACTTTGGGAGGCTGAGGCAGGCAGATCACAAGGTCAGGAGTTCAAGACCAGCCTGGCCAACATGGTGAAACCTCATCTCTACTAAAAATACAAAAATTAGCTGGGTGTGGTGGTCCGTGCCTGTAATCCCAGCTACTCAGGAGGCTGAGGCAGGAGAATCACTTGAACCTGGGAGGTGGAGGTTGCAGTGAGCCAAGATGGTGCAATTGCACTCTAGCCTGGGCAATAGAGTGAGACTCCATCTCAGAAAAAAAAAACAAAAAACAAAAAATAAAAGCGCAAGGTGAAGGAGCAAGTGATAATGTAGACGCTGTAGCAAGTTATCCAGAAATCTAGCTAGTTAATGAAGGTGGTGACACTAAAAGATAGATTTTCAATGTAGATGAAATAGCCTTATCTTGGAAGAAGAAGCCATCTAGGACTTTTACCACTAGAGAAGAAAAGTCAATGGCTGGCTTCAAAGCTTCAAAGGACAGGCTGACTCTCTCGTTAGGGGCTAATGCAGCTGGTGACTTTAAATTGAAGCCAATGCTCTTTTTCCATTCTGAAAACCCTAGAGCTTTTAAGAATTATGCAAAATCAACTCTACCTGTGCCCTACACATGGAAAAACAAAACCTGAATGACAGCATATCTAGTTACATCATGGTTTACTAAATATTTTAAGCCTACTGTTCAGAAAAAAAAAGATTCATTTCAAAACATTACTGCTCATTGACAATGCAGCTGGTCACCCAAGAGTTCTGATGGAGATATACAAGGAGATGAACATGCTTTTATGCCCATGGATCAAGGAGTCATTTCAACTTTCAAGTCTTATTATTTACAAAATGCATTTTAAAAGGCTATAGCTGTCTAAGATAATATTTCATCTACTGGCTCTAGGCAAAGTAAATTGAAAATCTTCTGGAAAGGATTCACAAATTTAGATGCCATTAAGAACATTTGTAATTCATGGGAGGAGGTAAAAATATCAACATTACCAGGAGTTTGGAAAAAGTTGATTCCGACCCTCAAGGATGACTTGAAGAGATTCAAGACTTCCATGGAGGAAATCACTGCAGATGTCGTGGAAACAGCAAGAGAACCAGAATTAGAAGTGGAACCTAAAGATGTGACTAAATTGCTGCAATCTCTTGATAAAATTTGAATGGATGACAAGATGCATCTTATGGATGAGCAAAGAAAGTGGTTTCTTGAAATGGGGTCTACTTCTGATAAAGATGCCATGAACATTGTTAAAATGACAACAAGGTATTTAGAATATTACATAAGCTTAATTTATAAAGCAGTGCCAGAATTTGAAAGGATTAATTACAATTTTGAAAGAAGTTCTACTTTGGCCAAATGCTATCAAACAGCATATTATACTATAGACAAATCTCATGAAAAGAAGAGTCAGTTGATGTGGCAAACTTCATTGTTGTCCTATTTTTATAAACTGCTACAGTCACCCCAACCTTTAGCAACCACCACCCTGATCAGTCAGCAGCCATCAACACTGAAGCAAGAACCTCCACCAGCAAAAGGATTATAACTCACTGCAGGCTCAAATGAGGGTATTTTTTGGTAATAAAATATTTTTAAATCAAGGTATGTATATTTTTGACATAATGTTATTGCATACTTAATAGACTACAATATAAAATAAACATAACTTTTATGTGCACTTAGAGACCAAAAAATTCACGTGACTCACTTTATTGTGATAGTCACACTGTTGCACTGGTCTGAAGCAGAACTGGCAATATCTCCAAGTTATGCTTGTTATTAACATCTTGCATTGGCCAGTACATTTGTTACAAGTAATGAACCAATCTTGATTCATTATTATTAATCCTCTGTGCTCTGCATATTCATCCTTCTTCTGCTGAACCCCTGCCAATCACTGTTCTTTCTACTATCTTCATGATTTTGCCTTTGCCAGAATGTCCTACAGTTGCACTCATATAATATGTAGACTTATTAGACTGGCTTCTTTCACTTAGCAATATGCATTTAAGGATCCTCCATGTCTTTTTGTGACTTGATAGCTCATTTCTTTTTAGCACTGAATAATATTCCATTGTCCAGATGTACCACAATTTATTTATCCATTCACCCATGGAAGCACTTTTTGTTTGCTGCTTCTCTTTCAGTTTTGAAGAATGATTTTGGTGGATACAGAATTCTAGGTTGGTGAAGTTTTTTTTTCTTTCAAAACTAAATATTATTTCCCTTCTTATTTGTATGGTTTCTAATGAGAAGTCTGATGTAATTCTTATCTTTGTTCTCGTCTATAGAAAGGGTAATTTTCTCACCTCTAGCTTCTTTCAGAATTTTCTCTTTGTCTTTGATTTTTTGCAATTTGAATACATAAATATGCCTAGGTGTAGTTTCTTTGGTATTTATGCTGCTCATTGTTCTCTTAGCCCTCTGAATGTGTCATTTGTTGTCTGTCTTTAACTTATAAAGTTCTTGGCCATTATTACTTCAAATATATTTTTATGCCCTGTTTTCCTTTCTCCTGGTGTTCCAATTATACATATGTTATACCTTCTGAAATTATCCCAAAGATTTTTTTTTTCATTTCAGTTGGGGTAGTGTCTATTCACTTATCTTGAAACCCATTAATTCTTTCCTTGGTTGTGTCCAGTGTAATGGCCAGGCCATTAAGGGCATTCTTCATTTCTGTTACAGTGTTTTTATTAATAGTATTTCATTTTGGTTCTTTCTTGTACCTCTCTGCTTATCCACCTATTCCTGCATGTTTTTCACTTCTTCCACAGGAGTGCCTGTGACCTGGTAGTAGATTGGGATCTGCCTCAGTAGCAGCAGGCAGGCGTGAGGTTGTGGTGCTGATACTTCCTCTTGCTCAAAGGGGAGCCTTTGGCCTGGTTTGCCATGTGAATCTGGACAAAATGCTGCCTGTCCTGTGCCTCAGCATTTTCCAGAGATAACCATGGGGCAGTAAGGGGATAGGGAACCAACATTTCTAATGGCCTCTCTAACTCTAACTTGCTGAGAGTTAGTTCTCTTAGTCCAAAGCAGTATGACCTGGTGCTATGGTCTCAATGTTTGTTTTCTCCTCAAAACTCATCTGTTGAAATCCTAACCCCCAACGCAATACTGTAAGAGGTAAGATCTTCGAGAGGTGATTAGGTCATGAGGGTGGAGCCATTATGAATAGTATTAGTGCTGGCATAAAAGAGGTCCCAGGACCTCCCTCTTCCCCGCCACCAGGTAAGGACAAAGAGAGAAGATGCCATCTATGAACCAGTAGACGAGCCCTCACCAGATATTAAACTTGCCAGCATATTAGTCTTGGACTTTCCAGCCTCTAGAATTGTGAACAGTAAATTTCTATTGCTTATAAACCACCCAGTTTATGATATTTTGCTATAGCAGCCCAAACACACTAAGACACCTGGGATATCTTTGAGCTTCAGTTTCTTCTTCTTCAAATCAGTTATGATAGTCCCCCACCCATGTTATTCCTTCCATCCTTCATTCATTTAGCAAATATTTATTCAACACCCAAAGCCAGCCCTGTGCTGCACGCTGTGGATATGGTGGAACTAAAGCAGACCAAGCCCTTGTTGAGTTAATGCCTCAGCACAGAAGACCACAGTTAGCACAGTGTAAAGTAAACTTTATATCTGTCAGAGGTCTAGGAGCTCAGGAGAGGAAGACAGGAGTAGTGAGGGCTGGCATGGAGCCTGGCAGTTTCAGTCAGGTGACCTCAGGTAGGCCTCAGTGAGAGGAAGCATTTGAACCGTCTTGTGGCCAGTGAGGGAGAAATCCACAAGGATGAACAGAGGGGACAGCAAGGGCAAAGGGCAGAAGGGGGGCAGGCATGAGACTGAGAAGTGAAGAAGGCCCATGGTGGAGGCGGTGGAGGAAGGAGATGAGTCAGGGCCATGGACGTTCAGGTGAGGTCCCTGGAAGCTGCCAGAAGGCTGCGAGCAGAGGAGGGTGGGGCCTGACTGTGGAGGTACAAATGGGAAAGGGAGGCCTCAAGGGGGAAGTGTGACAGTCCAAGAGGGACTGTGGGGGCTCAGCCCCATGGCCAAGAAGTGCATGCAAGAAGGGGGCAGACTGTAGGTGTATCTGAAGGCAGAGGCTTCAGAGTTAGCTGGTGGATTGCAAAAGGGTGAATCAAGGAGACTTCTGAGCTCTGGGGGACAGAAATGTTTTGAGGATGAAATGCAAGACGGCATCTAACTGCAACCAAGTTACAATTGATGGGCCAAAACTGATCTGTTTTTGTTAATTAATGTCCACAGTATATATTAGTGTTCACCCTTAGTGTTGTGCATTCTATAGGTTTTGTGTAATGTGTAAGTGCTTGGTCTGCTTTAGTTCCACCATATCCACAGCGTGCAGCACAGGGCTGGCTTTGGGTGTTGAATAAATATTTGCTAAATGAATGAAGGATGGAAGGAATAACATGGGTGGGGGACAATCATACCTGATTCGAAGAAGAAGAAACTGAAGCTCAAAGATATCCCAGGTGTCTTAGTGTGTTTGGGCTCCTATAGCAGCCCAATGTGTAATGACTTATGTTCACCATTGTAGTATCATACAGAATAGTTTCACAGCCATAAAATCCCCTGTGCTCCACCTATTCACTGCTTGCTCCCCCTTAATGCCCTGGCAATCACTGACCTTTTTACTGTCTTCATGGTTTTGCCTTCTCCAGAGTGTCCTACAGTGGGCATCATACAGTATGTAGGCTTTTCAGAGCAGCTTCTTTCACTTAATAATATGCATTTAAGCTTCCTCCATGTCTTTTCATAGCTAGATGACTCATTTCTTTTCCGTGCAGAGTAATATCATTTTCTCCCATTCCATGGCTTGTCTTTGGATATCAGAGTGGATAAACATGTTTATCCATTCACCTACTGAAGGGCATCTAGGTTGCTTCCAAGTTTTGGCATTCATGAATAAAGCTGCTGTAAATAACCATGTGCACGTTTTTCTGTGTAGACATGTTTTCAGCTCTTTTGGGTAGATACCAAGGAACAAAATTGCTGGATTGTATGGTAAGAGTATGTTTAGTTTTGTAAGAAACTGCCAAACTGTCTTCCAAAGTGGTAGTACCATTTTGCATTTCCACCAGCAATAAATGAGAGTTTCTATTGCTCCACATCCTCACCAGCATTTGCTGTCCCTGTTCTGGATTTTGGCCATTCTAATAGATATATAGTGGTATCTCATTATTGTTTTAATTTGTAATTCCCTAATGACAATGATATGGAGCATCTTTTCATAAGCTTATCTGCCATCTGTAAATTCTGTTTGGTGAAGTGTCTCTTAAAGTCTTTGGCTCAGTTTTTTAAATTGGGTTCTTGTTTTTTTTTAATTGGGTTTTAAAAGGTGTTTTTTTTTCATGTTTTGGTTAACAGTTCTTTATCAGATATGTCTTTTGCAAGTATTTGCTGCCAGTCTGTGGCTTGTCTTCTCATTTTCTTCACATTGTCCTTCATAAAGCAGAAATTTTTAATTTTAACAAAGTCCAGCTTATCAATTATTTATTTCATGAACCATGCCTTTGATTTTGTATCTAAAATGTCACTACCATACCCAAGGTTATTTCAGTTTTTTCATATGTTGTTTTCTAGAAATTCTATTTTTTTTTTTTTTTTTTTTTGAGACCAAGTCTCTGTCTGTCACCCAGGCTGGAGTCCAGTGGCATGATCTCGGTTCACTGCAACCTCTGCCTTGCAGGTTCAAGGGATTCTCCTGCCTCAGCCTCCCAAGTAGCTGGAACTACAGGTACGTGCCACCACGCCCAGCTATTTTTTGTATTTTTAGTAAAGACGGGATTTCAGCACGTTGGCCAGGCTGGTTTTGAACTCCTGACATCAGGTGATCCACTGGCCTTTGCCTCCAAAAGTGCTGGGATTACAGGCATGGGCCAAAGCACCCAGCTTCTAGCACTTCTATACTTTTGCATTTTATCTTTAAGTCTATGATCTATTTTGAGTTAATTTTATGAAGGGTGTAAGGTCTACGTCTAGATTCATTATTTTGCCCATTTATCTTTTTATGAGTGCAATCTATTTTCCTTTAGATAAATGAGAGCTACATAGGTAGATACATACATTTACACATAGAGAGAAATATGGCTAGATGATAGACAATAGATAAATAAATAGATGATGGAGAGATGACAGAGATACATACATATATATGTATGCACATATACATGAATATGTGTTTATATATAGGTATGTATGTATGATTCCGTTTATATCATGTTTAAGAACAGACAACTGTTATCAATGATAATAGAAGGCAGAATATTGGTCACCTCTCTGCGGAAGGATATTGACTCAGAAGAGGCACAAGGGAGCTTTCCAGGGTGCTGGAACTATTCGATGCCCTAGTTCATGGGTGTACAAGAAGTACAAATTAATCAAGTTGTGCACTTTTATATATACATATGTCTCTCAATTTTTTAAATGTTAAGCTATGTTCACACCAAAAAAGCAATATACAAGACTTTGCCTTCATACCAATTAAGCTATTATCTCACAGACTTCATTTCAAATCATTTGACGAATGTTTCAAACTATTAAGAAAATTTTGAATCTGATTTTATCTTCACTGGTAGTTATATATGATTTAAATGAAATAGGGATGGAACCAAGAACAAGTTTTTAGTGCTAGCTCTTTGAGTTGCTTTAGTCACTGAAATCTTCCTAACTTTGGACTCATACTACTTACATTTATTCATTTTATCAGGTTATTCACAAAAGCTTTGTCAAATGACTCACCAAAGTAAAGACAGAGTAGGACTCATTGATCTCACAAGTAAAACTATTTTACCCATTTTTTAAAATCCTGTATATCCTTACAGATACTTTATACTTGCTCCATCAGTTACCAAGGGAGATGTGTCAAAATATTCTGTGATGACTGTGGATTTATCTATTTTCTTTTTGTCAATTTTGGCTTTATGTATTTTGAGGCTCTATTCTAAGGTGTTTGCAAATTTAAAACAGTTAAATGGCTCATATCATTATAAGATGTTCCCCTTCGTTACTGATTTACTTTTACTTAAATGTGGAGGGGGAGGCCAGGCACAGTGGCTCATGCCTATAATCCCAGCACTCTGGGAGACTGAGGTGGGTGGATCACTTGAGATCAGGAGTTCAAGACCAGCCTGGCCAACATGGTGAAATCCCGTCTCTACTAAACAAACAAAAATTAGCAGGGTGGTAGTGGTGCACACCTGTAATCCCAGCTACTCGGGAGGCTGAGGCAGGAGAATCGTTTGAGCCTGGGAGGCGGAGGTTGCAGTGAGCCGAGATTACACCACTGCATTCCAGCCTGGGCGACAGAGTGAGACCCCGTCTCAAAAACAAAAAACAAACAAACAAACAAAATGTAGAGGGGTTTTTTGCCTGCTATTAGCTTACTTTTGGATAGTTTGCAAAATGTATTTTTTTATCTTTTCACTTTTACCTGCCCCTATATTCTAACTCTTTCTTGAAGTGTACTTATTTAAATAAAAGTGGAGTAAGGGTAAATAAAATTTCACAAAAGGATAGTGCAGACAGTATGCTGATATGGTAAAAATCAAGAAGAAATTTCACAGATAAGTGAAGCTTAGGAAATTTCACAAACAAGTGAAGCTTAGGAAATGTCACCTTAAGAGTCTGGAAAGTGGCATTAGCTAGGCTGAGCTATGAGGTGAGGGACAGAGGCCAGGGTGAAATGTGTGGCTAGAAGATGGCATGTCAAGGGTCTGAAGCAAGAGTAAGCTTGGCCAGTTTAGCTGGAGGGCAGGGAGAGAGCAGGAAAGTGGAGGGAGGTAAGGCCGGAGGTCAGCAGAGACTCTGGTGGCCACAGAAGAGTGTGGGTTTTCTCCTAAGTGAAACAGGAATCTGCTGTGGGGAAGTTATGAGATATGATTTCTGTTTATGAGGATCTATTTGGCTACTCTGGAGTGTGGAAGGACCCTCTGGCTGCTGAGTAGAGAATGGACAATAGGAGGCTCCAGGGAGGAGGTAAATGCTATTGTCTGGGCAGATTCCAGGGTGGCAGCAGTGGGATGGCCCTAATGGAACTGACTTTGGGTGTGGATTTCAAATGTAGCTTTATTGAGCTATAACTTACATCAATAAATTATAGCCATTTATGTTTGCAATGATGGATATCCTAATTATCCTTATCTGATCACTACATATTGTATGTATCAAAGCATTGCTATGTACCCTGTGATATGTAAAATGATTAAATGTCAATTTTTTTAAGTAGCCATTTTAAACATATGGTTTGATGAATTTAGACAAATGGATTCATCTATGTAACCACCACCGCAATCATTATATAGAATACTTCCATCACCCCAAAAATTTTTTTTATCACCATTTGCACTTAATTCACTCCCATTTCCTGGCAACCACTGATTTGGTTTGATCACTATAGATTTGCCTTTTTCAGAATCACAGATAAGTAGAATATTACAATATGTAGCCTATTGTGTCTGGCTTCTTTCACTCAGTGTAATACTTCTGAGATTTATTTATGTTGTTATGTGTCTTCATTGTTCATTCCTTCTGGTTGCTGAGTAGTATTCCATTTATGGATGTTATCACAACTTGTTTATCAATTCAACATTTGATAAGTTTAGGTTGTTTCCAATTTTGTACCTAGTACAAATAAAGGTGATATGAACATTAAAGTACAACTCTTTGTGTGGACGTATGTTCACATTTCTCTTGAGTAAATACCCAGAAGTGGAATAGTTGGGTCATATAGTTTTAAATTTATAAGAAATTGAAGCTTTATTTCCAAAGTAGTTGTATAGGTTTGCATTCCACCAGCAATCTATGACTGCTCTAGTTGATTGACATCCTTAGCAGCACTTGGAATTTTGTTTGTTTGCTTGTTTGTTTTAGTCATTCTACAAAGTATATAGTGGTATCTCTTTGTGATTTTAATTTGCATTTCCCTGGTGACTAATGAGGTGGGGCGGGGCATCTTTTCATATGTTTACCAGCCATTTGTATGTCTTCTTTGAGGAAATATCTATTCAAATCTTCTGCCCATTAAAAAGATTTTGTCATTTAGTTATTGAGTTGTAAGAGTTTTTTATACACTCTGAATGCTAAAAGTTTAGTATTCAAATATATGATTTGCAAATATTTTCTCCCATTCTGTAGGTTGTCTTCACACTTTCTTGATTATGTCTTTTGATGCACAAAAGTTTTTAATTTTAATGAAGTCAAATTTATCAATTTTTTCTTTTGTTGTTTACGATTTGGTATCATGCCTAAGAATCTGTTGCCAAATCCAACATCATGAAAATGTACCAGTATGTTTTCTTCTAAAAGTGTTATGCTTTTAGCTCTTAAGTTTTGTCATTGACCCATTTTGAGTTAATATTTGTGATATAGAGTTAGAAGGGGCACAATTTCATTCTTTCGCATGTGAAAATACAGTTGTTCCAGCATTTGTTGGAAGAGACTATTCTTTTGCCCTTCAAATAGTCCTGGCACCCTCATTGAAAATTAACTGACCATAGATGTGTGGATTTATTTCTGAACTCCCAATTCTATTTCATTGGTCTATGTCTACTTGATGTTAATACTACACTGTTTTCATTACTGTAGCTTCGTAATAAGTTTCAAAATGGGTAAGTGTAAGTTTTAAACTGGTTTTCTTTTCCAATATTATTGTGGCTCTTTGAGGCCTCTTGCATTTCTCATGAATTTCAAAGTTGGTTTTTCCACTTCTGCAAAAACAATGTGAATGTTTATAGAAATTGCATTAAATCTGTAAAACACTTTGGGTAGCTGTAACATTGTGACATACATACTGTATTTGGTCTTCTTGCCTTTTCTTAGCATACAACTCCTAAGATCCTTAGAATCTCCAAAGCGATGACTCTTCATATTCTAATGAGTTGACTGATGGCTCTTAGCCCCTAGGCAGCATCAGGATGGGGGCTGCTCATAGGAAAGAACAAGGCAAGATTAGAGGGTTGGGACTTTCAGCCCCACACTCCAATCTCCAGGGAAGGGAGAGGGACTAAGGGTTAAGTTGGTCACCAGTGGCCAATTATGCCTATGTAATGAAACCTTCATAAAAACCCAAAAGGACAGGGCTGGGGAGCTTCTAGATAGCTGAACATGTGGAGGTTCCTGGAGGTTTGTGCACCTGGGGAAGGCATGGAAGCTCCATGCCGCTTCCTGCATGCTTTTCTCCATGCATCTCTTTATCTGTGTCATTTTTAATTATCTTTTATAAAAAAAAATCAATGTAAGTAAGTGTTTCCTTGAATCCTGCAAGCCACTTTAGCAAGTTAATCAAACCCAAAAAGGGGGCTGTGAGAATCCTGATGTATAGCCAATTGGTCAGAAGCACAGGCAAAATAACCTGGGGCTTGCAATTGGCATCAGAAATGAAGCTCAGGTCTGGTGCAGTGGCTCACACCTGTAATCCCAGCACTTTGGGAGACCGAGGCAAGTGGATCAGGAGGTCAGGAGTTCGAGACCAGCCTGGCCAATATGGTGAAACCCCGTCTCTACTAAAAAATACAAAAAATTAGGCAGACATAGTGGTGTGCACCTGTAGTCCCAGCTACTCAGGAGGCTGAGGCAGGAGAATCGCTTGAACCTGGAAGGCAGAAGTTGCAGTGAGCCAAGATCATGCCATTGCACTCCAGCCTGGGTGACAGAGTGAGACTCCATCTCAAAAAAAAAATAATAATAATAATAAAAAAAGAAGTGAAGCTCAGTCTCGTGGGACTGCATCTCCAACCTGTGTCATCTGAAGCTATCTCCAGGTCTCCAGGTAGATTGTGCAGAATTGAATTGAATTGGAGGACACCTATGTGATGTCCCTGCAGAACTGATTGCTTGCTTTTTGTGCAGAGAAACTCTCACACATTTGGTCACAGAAGTCTTCTGTGTTGATTTTTGTGGTGTGAGAGCCGAGAAAAAAACAGTTTGTTTTTTTTCCATTCAATGGTGTCAGATAAATGGAATTTGCTAGAACAATCCTGGCTCATAGACACTAACTCTGGACTGGGCTTTGCTTATCCAGTAGAATTAAAACCAGAACAGGAGATATTGCACAAATTTGGAAGTCAATCATCATTTCTTCTGGCCAAGGAACACACAGTACAGTCCTTATGTCCAGCAATGGGCAGAGAGATATCCACCTTAGAGTAACAGTTTGATAGAGAAGTGGAACAAGCAATTAAACATTGGTTGTCTAGGCATCCCTGGTGCTCCTGAAGGGTCTTGGAGAAGGGGACTATTTTTCCCCCTTGTCAACCACTCCAGAAACAACTGAGGCTTCTCCCCCACAGAAGACTGGCATGGATGCACCTACAGACAGCTTTTCTGGAAAAATTCAGGGTGACTGCATCCCCATAAGTGAAGCACCCTCCAGATTCAGGCTTGCATGAGAGATAGAGTCACAATTCCTCTCTACTTAGAACATCAACGTTTCTGCAGATGAAAAGAGGTTCCTGTCTGTTCTGAATAGCCAGAACACTATGTCAGGATTGTGTCTGGGAGGTGGATCATTTTACTGCTGGTCTGGCAGGGGAGTTGAAGTGGCTCCCACCTTTCCCCCTGATAAAACCTCAGTGTCTTTCACTGAGAGCTCCCCCAGCCACCTCTGTCAAGGCTGGGACTTTTGCCCACTTTTGGGTATTGAATTTACCCACCTGCTTTAGCCACAACCAGTTTCTACCCAAGCACACCTCCTCTACTGACCTGAAGCCTGAACTATTCAACCCAGTAAATAAAATACTGGGGAAATAAATAAATAAATAAATAAATAAATAAATAAATGCACTGCATGAGGCAACAAGGTAATCTTCAAGAGACCTCTGTCATTCCAACCCCGTAGGAGACAACGAACTTGCTCAAACACTGAGCACATTGCTACTACAACCAGTATCTGAGAAAGACATCATATGAAGAATCTCTACAACCAAGGAACTCATACAGAGTCTTCACCTCTGAAAGCACCAAGAGCTGAATTAGGCTACAATAAACTATAAACATTAAAGTCACATCCTTAGGGGGGAAAAAGAAATTTTTAAAATGCACAGTCAAATAAAAAATAAATTCAAGAAGAATTAGAAGAATTAACCTACCCAAATGTGAAGAAACTGGAAAAACAATTCTGGTAGTATGACAAAACAGGGTAATATTACACCCTCAAAATATCACACTAGCTCTCTAGCAATGGATCCAAACCAAGATAAAATCTTTCAAATACCAGATAAGGTATTTAACAGGTTGATTCTTAAGCTATTCAGGGAATTACAAAAGGTCTTAGAAAGTCTTAACAATAGAACAAGCAGAAGAAAGAATTTCAGAGCTTGAAGACAAGGTTTTTGAATTAACCCAATCAGACAAAAATAAAGAAAAAAAGAATCAAAATAAATGAACAAAGTGTTTGAGAAATATAGGATCATGTAAAACACCCAGACCTAAGAATATCTGAAGTTCCTGGGGGAGAAGAGAAAGCAAAAAGTTTGCAAAACTTATTTGAGGGAATAATTGAAAACTTCCCTGGCCTTGTTAGGTGATGGGAACAATCCCCCCAAAATCTGGCCATAAACTGACCCCAAAACTGGCCATAAACAAAATCTCTACAGCACTGTGACATGTTCATGATGGCCATAACGCCCATGCTGGAAGGTTGTGGTTTTACCGGGATGGGGGCAAGGAACACCTGGCCTGCCCAGGGCGGAAAACCGCTTAAAGGCATTCTTAGGCCACAAACAATAGCATGAGCAATCTGTGCCTTAAGGACATGCTCCTGCTGCAGTTAACTAGCCCAACCTATTCCTTTAATTTGGCCCATCCCTTCATTTCCCATAAGGGATACTTTTAGTTAACTTAATAGCTATAGAAACAATGCTAATGACTGGCTTGTTGTTAATAAATACGTGGGTAATTCTCCATTTGAGGATCTCAGTTCTGAAGGCTGTGAGACTTCTGATTTCCCACTTCACACATCTATATTTCTGTGCCTATGTCTTTAATTCCTCTAGCGCCACTGGCTTAGGGTCTCCCCAACTGAGCTGGTCTCAGCAAGTGGCATCAATCATGGGGGCTCGAATCCAGGTTGAAGAGTTGCCGGAGTGACAGTTGGAGAACTTGGAACTAGCTGGAAGACACCTGAGTACTCTTAAAGCAATCCCCATGGTGAGTAAGAAGCGGAGCTCGGAACATCAGGGTAATAATGGGACAAGTGTGGAGTCTGGTATGTTCCACGTTGGAACTTTCTCACACTGATGATGAGGAGGAAGGAGAGTATAGCGAAGTAACAGAAAAGGTTACAGAGCATGTTTATTTGCCAGCTAAAGCTAAAGCAGCAAAGGAGGAAGATGTTAATCCCTACCCTTCTGCACCCCCTTATTATTATTTTGAAGAAAAAGACCCTCCAGTTCTTTCTTTTCTGGAGGACACTGGGTGAAAAGTAGTTGCCTCAGTGACTGTTCGAGCAGCGCCTCAAGCGACCACTCTTGGTTCTATTCAGGCAGGAATTCAGCAAGCTAAGCGAGAGGGTGATTTAGAGCCTTGGCAGTTCCCTGTTAGAATACATCCCCCAGATCAACAGGGAAATATTAGAGCTACATTTGAGCTTTTTCCTTTTAAATTTGGGAAAGCACATTTAGTTGATTATATCAAGGCCTGTGATGGTATTGGAGGTAATCTGCATAAAGTTACTTTGTTGGCACAGGCAGTGGCAGGACTGAGAGTGGATAAAGGAAATACTCCATTTCCTGGAGCTTGTTTTAACTGTGGGAAGCATGGTCATACTAAAAAAGAATGTAGAAAAAAATCAGTGAGTCAGGCCACCAGATAGGGGAAAAAAGAAAACTGCTGAGCCTGAAATATGTCCAAAATGTAAAAAGAAAACATTGGGTTAATCAGTGTCACTCTGAGTTTGATAAAGAAGGGAACCCAATTTCGGGAAACACCATGAGGGGCCTGTCCCAGGCCCCATTCTAAACTGGGGCATTCCCAGCTCAGGCCATTCCCTAACCCCTGTACAATGTCTGTCCCCTGCCACAGCCGGTAGTGCCACAGTAGATTTATGCTGCACAAAAGCTGTGAGTCTTCTGCCTGGGGAACACCCGCAAAAGTCCCAACAAGAGTCTGTGGACTTTTGCCAGCAGGGACAATAGGATTACTTTTAGGAAAGTCTAGTTTAAGTTTAAAAGGGGTACAAATACATACAGAAGTCATTGATTCAGATTACAATGGGGAAATTCAAATTGTTATATCTACTTCTGTTCCCTGGAAAACAGAGCCAGGAGAGCACATAGCACAGCTCCTGATTGTGCCATATGTGGGAATGGGAAAAAGGAGGATTGGAAGTACAAATGAACAGGAGGATTGGAAGTACAAATAAACAAGGCAAAGTAGCTTATTGGGCAAATCAAATCACTGATAAATGTCCTCCCTGTGAAATAACTGTTCAGGGAAAGAAATTTAAAGGTTTGGTAGATACAGGAGCGGACATTTCAATCATTTCTCTACAGCACTGGCCATCTGTGTGGCCAATTCAACCCACTCAATTTAACATAGATGGAGTTGGTAAGCCCCTGAAGTATATCAAAGTAGTTATATTTTGCATTGTGAAGGGCACGGTGGACAACCTGGGACTATTCCACCAATTATAACTTCTGTCCCTATAAATTTATGGGGAAGAGATTTATTACAACAATAGGGAGCACAAGTTCTAATTCCAGATCAATTATATAGCCCTCAAAGTCAACATACAATGCATGAAATGGGGTATGTCCCTGGTATGGGACTAGAAAAAATTTGCAAGTTTTGAAAGAACCGCTTCAAATGGAAAGAAAAAATTCCCACCAAAGATTAGGATATCATTTCTGATAGTGGCCATTGTTAAGCCTCCAGAACCTTTACCTTTAAAATGGTTAAGAGATAAGCCAATTTGGATAGAACAATGGCCGCTAAGTAAAGAGAAACTGGATGCTTTAGAGAAATTAGTTACTGAACAATTAGAAAATGGGCACATAGATCCAACATTTTCCCCTTGGAATTCTCCAGTTTTCTTAATTAAGAAAATATCAGGTAAATGGAGAATGTTAACTGACTTAAGAGCCATCAATTCAGTTATACAACCTATGGGAGCATTACAGCCAGGATTGCCTTCTCCTGCTATAATTCCAAAAAATTGGCCTTTAATAGTCATAGATTTAAAAGATTGTTTCTTTACTATCCCCTTAGCTGAGCAAGACTGTGAATGCTTTGCATTTACAATTCCTGTGGTAAACAACCTGCAGCCTGCTAAGCATTTTCATTGTTTACAGATGGGTCTAGTAATGGTAAAGTTTCTTATTCTGGATCAAAAGGTAAAGGTTTCCAGACGCCCTATACTTCAGCTCAAAAAGTGGAGGTTGTAGATGTAATTGAGGTCATTATTAACTTTAAATTTTTTGAGCCTGCCCAAAGGCCAGATGTTATCAGCAGCTGAATAGCATCTACAGAAACCAGCTGCAAAGACAGAAGCAGAACAACTGATTTGTTGGAGAGATCTGATAACAAAAATTTGGGAAATAGGTAAAATAATAACTTGGGGTATAGGTTATGCTTGTGTTCCTCCAGGCCAAAATCAACAGCTGATTTGGATACTATCAAGACACCTGAAATCTTATCATGAGCCAGATGCTGAGGAAGAGATGCTGGGAGGATCCCAAGGACCCCCTGGTTGCAGCCACGTCAAGACTGATGCTGAGGAGGACCCCAACTGTCACAAGCAACACCTGTCGAACACAGCCACCCACCTGGGGACAGATCAAGAAGCTGTCACAGATGGCAGGAGAAAACCTGAGGAAAGCAGGACAACCAGTCACAATGAGTAATTTAATGGTAGCTATGATAGCAGTTATCACCACTGCCATGAGTATTCCTTAAACAAGGGCTGACACAGAGAACAATTATACTTATTGGGCATATTTATCAATCCTGGCTGGTAATAATGCCTGGATATAGTCACTCTATGACACAGTTACATATGCCTTCTGATCTCAGTGTTTACCATAATAAATCTGCTCCTATAATTGAGGCATACCACCTTCAAAAACCTATTTGTAAACAAAATAGAACCTGGCCAGAAATAATGAATGTACTTGTTTGGGAAGATTGCACTGCAGAACAGGCAGAGATGCTGCACAACAATTCCTATGGAATCATTATTAATTGGTCCCCTAAGGGGATGTTTAGCTTAAATTGCTCTTCTCAGTCTGTGTGCCATGGCCACACTATGTTCAGATGGTCTGAACAAAATGGTCAGATGGTAGAAATGATAAAAAGTATGACAAACATTCCTATTATCTGGAACCATGGCGGTATAGTGGCACCTCAACCTCAAATGATATGGCTCGTTGTAGGAGCTTAACATAAGGATTTGTGGAAACTATTAATAGTTCTTAATAAGATCAAAATTTGGAAAAGAATAAACAAGCATCTAGAAAGACACTCTACAGACTTTTTTGGATATAGGAAAATTAAAAGAACAAATATTTAAAGCATCCCAGGCACACCTGACCTTAATGCCAAGAACTGGAGTGCTTAAAGGAGCTGCAGACAGATTAACAGCTAGTAACCCATTAAAATGGATAAAAAAAACCCTTGGAAGCTCTATGATTTCAGTGATAATTGTGTTTTTAATCTGTGTTGTTTGTCTTTGTATAGTCTGCAGATGTGGATCCTGACTCCCACGAGCTCACAATGACAAAGCTGCCCTTGCTTTTATCACTTTGCAAATCAAACAAGGGGGACAAGTTGGGAACAAGCCCCCAAAATCTGGCCATAAACTGGCCCCAAAACTGGCCATAAACAAAATATCTGCAGCACTGTGACATGTTCATGATGGCCATAATGCCCACACTGGAAGGTTGTGGGTGTACTGGAATGAGGGCAAGGAACACCTGGCCTGCCCAGGGCGGAAAACCACTTAAAGGCATTCTTAAGCCACAAACAATAGTATGAGTGATCTGTGCCTTAAGGACATGCCCCTACTGCAGTTAACTAGCCTAACCTATTCCTTTAATTCGGCCCATCCCTTCGTTTCCCATAAGGGATACTTTTAGTTAATTTAATATCTATAGAAACAATGCTAATGACTGGCTTGCTGTTAATAAATACTTGGGTAAATCTCTGTTCGAGGCTGTCAGCTCTGAAGGCAGTGAGACCCCTGATTTCCCACTTCACACCTCTATATTTCTGTGTGTGTGTCTTTAATTTCTCTAGTGCCACTGGGTTAGGGTCTCCCCAACCAAGCTGGTCTCAGCAGTTAGGGATTTAGATATCCAAATACAAAAAGCTCAAAGAACTCCTGGGAGATTCATCACAAAAGGATTTCACCAAAACAGATAGCCATCAGTCTATCTAAAGTCAATATGAAGAAAAGAATTCTGAGAACAGTGAGAAAAAAGCACCAGGTAAACTATAAAGGAAAACCTATCAGACTAACAGCAATCTTCTCACCAGAAACCTTACAAGCCAGAAGAGAATAGGGTCCTATCGTTAGCCTCCTTAAGCAGAATAACTGTCAGCTAAGAATTTTGTGTCCAGCAAAACTAAGCTTCATAAATGAGGGAGAAACAAAGTCATTTTCAGACAAACAAGTGCCAAGGGAATTTGTCACTACCAGCCCAGCCCTACAAGAAATGCTAAAAGGAGGTCTAAATCCTGAAACAAAAGTCAATATACATCAGAATAGAACCTCTTGAAAGCATAAAAATCACAGACCCTATAAAACAATAACACAATGAAGAAAACAAAGTATCCAGGTAACAATTAACATAATGACTGGAACAGCCCCTCACATATCAATATTGATTTGAATGTAAGTGGACTAAATGCTCCACTTAAAAGATACAGATTGGCAAAATGGATAAAAATTCAGAAACCGAATATCTGCTGTCTTCAAGAGACTCACCTAACATGTAAGGATTCATATAAACTCAAAGTAGAGGGGTGGAAAAAAATATTCCATGCTGATATGGTCTGGCTCCGTGTCCTCACTCAAGTTTCACCTTGAATTGTAATTCCCATGTGTTGGGGGAGGGACCCCAGGGGAGCTTATTAGATCATGAGGGTGGTCCCCCCATGCTGTTCTCATGATAGTGAATGAGTTCTCACAAAATGGAATGGTTTCATAAAGGGTTTTTCCCCCTTTGCTTGGCACTTCTGTCTCCTGCTGCCTTGTGAAGAAGGATGTGTTTTCTTCCTCTTTTGCCATGATTGTAAGTTTCCTGAGGCCTCCCACACCATGCAGAACTGTAGGTCAATTAAACCTCTTTTCTTTCTAAATTACCCAGTCTCAGGTATTTCTTCATAGCAGCATGAGAACAGACTAATACAGTAAAGCAGTAGTTGAATAGTGGGTTGCTGCTATAAACATACCTGAAAATGTGGAAGAAAACTTGGAACTGGGTAACAGGCAGGGGTTGGAACAGTTTGGAGGACTCAGAAGAAGTCAGGAAAATGTGGGAAAGTTTGGAACTTCCTAGAGATTTGGAGAGCTCAGAAGACAGAAATATGTGGGAAAGTTTGGAACTTCCTAGATACTTGTTGAATGGCTTTGTCCAAACTGCTGATAGTGATATGGGCAATGAAGTTCAGGCTGAGGTGGCCTCAGTTGGAGATGAGAAACTTGTTGGGAACTGGAATAAAGGTGATTCTTGCTATGCTTTAGCAAAGAGACTAGCAGCATTTTGCTCCTGCCCTAGAGATCTGTGGAACTTTGAACTTGAGAGAGATGATTTAGGATACCTGGCAGAAGAAATTTCTAAGTGGCAAAGCATTCCAGAGGAACCAGGGAATAGAAGTTTGGAAAATTTGCAGCCTCATGATGCAATAGAAAAAAACTCTCATTTTTCTGGGGAGAAATTCAAGCTGGCTGCAGATGTTTGCATAAGTAATGAGAAGCCAAATGTTAATCACCAAGACAATGAGGAAAATGTCTCCATGGTGTGTCAGAGACCTTCATGGCAGCTCCTCTCATCACAGGCCCAGATGCCTAGGGGGGAGAAATGGTTTTGGGGGCCAGGCCTAGGGCCCCCCTGCTGTGTGCAGCCTTGGGACTTTGTTCCCTGCATCCCAGCTGCTTCAGCTTTAGCCACGGCTAAAAGGGGTCAAGGTATAGCTTGGGCTGTGGCTTCAGAGGGTTCAAGCCCCAAGCCTGGGCAGCTTCCACATGGTGTTGAGCATGTGGGTGCACAGAAGTTAAGAATTGAGGTTTGGGAACCTCTGCCCAGATTTCAGAGGATGTATGGAAATACCTGGATGTCCAGGCAGAAGTTTGCTGCAGGGGCGGAGCCCTCAGGCAGAACCTCTGCTAGGGCAGTGAGGAAGGGAAATGTGGGGTTGGATCCCCCACACAGAGTCTCCACTGGGGCACTGCCTAGTGGAGGTGTGTGAAGACAGCCATCATCTTCCAGACTCCAGAATGGTAGGTCCACCAACAGCTTGCACCATGCACCTGGAAAAGCTGCAGGCACTCAACACCAGCTGGTGAAAGCAGCCAGCAGTGGGGGCTGTACCCTGCAAATCCACAGGGTAAGAGCTGCTCAAGGCTGTGGGCACCTCTTTTGTCGTTGTGACCTGGATGTGAGGCATGGAGTAAAGTGAGATTATATCAGAGCTGTCAGATTTAATTACTGCCTTATCGGATTTTGGACTTGCATGGGGCCTGTGACCTCTTCATTTTGGACAATTTCTCCCATTTGGAATGGGTGTATTTACCCAATGCCTGTACCTCCATCATACCTAGGAGGTAACTAATATGCTTTTGATTTTACAGGCTCATAGGTGGAAGGGACTTGCCTTGTCTCAGATGAGACTATAAACTTGGACTTTTAGGTTAATGCTGAAACGAGTTAAGACTTTGGGGAACTGTTGGGAAGGCAAAATTGTGTTTTGAAATGTGAGAAAGATGAGATTTGGGAGGGGCTAGGGGTTAAATAATACAGCCTGACTCTGTGCCCCACCAAAATCTCATCTTGAATTGTAATCCCCATGTGTTGGAAAAGGGACCTCGAGGGAGTGGATTAGATCATGGGGGCAGTCCTCCCATGCTGTTCTCATGATAGTGAATGAGTTCTCATGAAATATGATGGTTTTATAAGGGACTTTTCTCCTCGACACATCTCTCTCCTGTTGCCTTGTGAAGAAGGACATGTTTGCTTCCCCTTCTGCCATGATTGTAAATTTCCTGAGACCTCTCTAACCATGGAGAACTGTCAGTTAAAACTCTTTTCTTTATAAATTACCCAGTCTCAGGTATTTCTTCATAGCAGCATAAGAATGGACTAATACACATGCAAATGGAAAGCAAAAGCAAGCAGGAGTAGCTATTCTTATATCAGATAAAACAGACTATAAAGCAAAAGCAGTAAAAAAAAAAGACAAAGAAGGTCACTACGTAATGATAAAAGGATCAATTTCCAACACAAAGATATTGCGATCCTAACTTTATATGCACGTAACACTGGAGCTCCCAGATTCATAAAACATTTACCACCAGATCTAAAACATGAGATAAACAGCAATAGTGGGGAATTTCAACACTCCACTGACAGCACTACACAGACCATCAAGACAGCAAGTCAACAAAGAAACAATGGACTTAAACTACACTGTAGAACAAATGGACAAATACATCTCATAAACAACTATTTACAAAACATTGTCTCCAATAACTGCAGAACATACATTCTTCTTATACATGAAGAAGATAGACTATATTATAGGCTGCAAAATAAGTCTCAATAAATTTACAAATATCAAAATCATATCAAATATTTTCTCAGACCACAGTGGAATAAAACTAGAAATCAACTACAAACAGAATCATCAAAACTACAGAAATATGTAGAAATTAAACAATCTACTCCTGAATGATTTTTGGGTTAATAATAAAATCAGATGGAAATTTAAAAATTCCTTGAGACAAATGATAATAGTGACACAAGCTGTCAAAACTTCTGGCAAGAAAAATCACTGCTAAGAGCAAAGTTTATAGCACTAAATACCTACATCAAAAAGTCTAAAAGATTACAAATTGACAACCTAGTGTCACGTCTCAAGGAACTAGGGAAACAAGAAAAAACTAAACCCAAAGCTAGTAGAAGAAAAGAAATAACAAAGATCAGAGCAGAACTGAATTAAATTGAAACACAAAAATACAAAAGATCAACAAAGTGAAAAAAAAAGATCCTTGAAAAGATAAACAAAATTGATAGGTTGTCAGCTAGACTTACCAAGAAAAGAAGTGTCAAGATTCAAATAAACTCAATTAGAAATAAAACTGGAGACATTACAACCAACACCACAAATATGCAAAAGATCACTCAAGACTACTATGAACACCTCTATGCACATAAACTAGAAAATCTAGAGGAAACAGATAAATTCCTGGAAACACCCAACCCTCCTAGATTAAATCAGGAAGAAGTAGAAACCTTGAACAGACCAATAGCAAGCAGTGAGATTGAATCAGTAATTTTAAAAAATTCCTACAAAAAAAGTCCAGGGCCAGATGGATTCACAGCTGAATTCTACCAGACATTCAAGAATTGCTGCCAATCCTACTGAAACTACTACAAAAGACTGAGAAATAGGGATCCTCCCTAACTCATCCTATGAAGCCAGTATCACCCTGACACCAGAACAAGGAAAAGACATAACAAAAAATGAAAACTACAGACCAATATCCCTGATGAACATAGATGCAAAAATCCTAAACAAAATATTAGCTAACTGACTCCAACAGCCCTTAAAAAGATAATACACCATGATCAAGTGGGCATCATTCCAGGAATGCAGGGATGGCTTAACATATGCAAGTCAGTAAATGTGATACATCACATAACAGGATTAAAAACAAATATCATATTATATTTCAATATATGCAGAAAAAGCATTTGCTAAAATGCAGCATCCCTTTATGATAAAAACACCCAACAAACTAGGCATACAAGGGACTTTCCTCAAAATAATAAAAGCCATCTATGACAAACACACAGCCAACATCATACTGAATGGGAAAAGTTGAAAGCATTCCCCCTGAAAACTGGAGCAAGACAAGGATGCCCACTTTTACCACTTCTAATTAACACAGTACTGGAAGTCCTACCCAGAATAATCAATCAGGCAAGAGAAAGAAATAAAGGGCATCCAAATTGGAAAAGAGGAAGTCAAACTATCACTGTTCACTGATGACATGATCATATACCTAGAAAGCCCTAAATATGCCTCCAAAAGACTCCTGGATTTGATAAACAAATACAGTAAAGTCTCAGGTTTCAAAAACCAATGTATATATATCAGTAGGACTGCTATACACAAATGACCAAGTTGAGAATCAAATTAAGAGCTCAATCTGTTTTACAAGAGCTGCAAAAAAAAAAAAACCTAGGAATATACTTGATCAAGGAGGTGAAAGATCTATACAAGGAAAACTACAAAACGCTGCTGAAAGAAATCATAGATGACACAAACAAATGGCAACACATCTCATGCTTATTGGTTGGAAGAATCAATATTGTTAAAATGACCATACTGCCCAAAGCAGTCAATAGATTCAAAGCAGTTTCTATCAAAATACCAACATCGCTTTTCACATAATTTTAAGAAATCCTAAAATTCATATGGAACCAAAAAAGAGCCCAAATAGCCAAAGCAATCCTAAGCAAAAAGAACAAATCTGCAGGCATCATATTATTGAACTTCAAATTATACTACAAAGCTATAGTTACCAAAACAGCATGGTACTGGTATAAAAGTAGAATACAGACCAATGGAACATAATAGAGAACCCAGAAATAAAGCCAAAACCTAAAACCAACTGATCTTTGACAAAACATACAAAAACATGAACTTGGGAAAGGACACCCTACTTAATAAATGGTGCTTGGAAAACAGGCTAGCAACATGTATAAGAATGAAACTGGATCCCTGTCTCTCACCTTATATAAAAATCAACTCAAGATGGATCAGAGACTTAAATCTAAGACCTGAAATCATAAAAATTCCAGAAATTAATCTAGGAAAAAACTCTTCTGGATGTTGGCATAGGCAAAGAATTCATAACTAAGACCCCAAAAACAGATGCAACTACAACAAACATAAATAAATGGGACCTAATTAAACTAAAAGCTTCTGTACAGCAAAATAAATAATCATCAGACTAAACAGAAACCCAGAGAATAAGAGAAAATATTTGCAAACTACGCATCTGACAGGACTAATATCCAGAAGCTACAAGGAACCTAAACAAATCAGTAAGAAAAAAACAAATAATCCTATCAAAAATCAGGCAAATAACATGAATGGACATTTCTCAAAAGAAGAAATGACCAACAAACATATGAGAAAATGTGCACTATCACTAATCATCAGAGAAATGAGAATTAAAACCATAATGGGATACCACCTTACTCCTGCAAGAATGGCCATTATTAAAAAGTCAAAAAACAATATATGTTGGCAAGGATATGGTGTAAAGGGAACACTTATATATTGTTGATGGGAATGTAAATTAATACAATCTCTATGGAAAACAGTATGGAGATTTTTTTAAAGAACTAAAAGTAGATCTACAATTTGATCTAGCAATCCCACTACTAGTTATCTACCCAAAGGAAAAGAAGTCATTATATCAAAAAGACATCTTCATGCATGTTTATTGCAGCACAACTTACAATTGCAAAGATATGTAACCAACCTACGTGCCCATTGCCCAGTGAATAGCTAAAGAAAATGTGGTATATATACATCATGGAATACTACTCAACCATAAAAAAGAACAAGATAATGTCTTTTACAGCAACTTGGATGGAGCTGGAGGCCATTATTCTAACTGAAGTAACTCAGGTACGGAAAATCAAATACCATATGCTTTCACTTATAACTAGTAGCTAAGCTAGGGATATGTAAAGGCACACAGAGTGGTGTAATGGACTATGGAGACTCAAAAAGGGGAGGTGGGGCGAGAAATAAACTATGTATTGGGTACAATGTACACTACTAGGGTGATGGGTGCACTAAAATCTCAGACTTCACCACTATACAATTCATCCATGTAACCAAAAACCACTTGTACTCCACAAGCTACTGAAATTTTTAAAATATTTATAAATAATCCCAGCACTTTGGGAGGCCGAGGCAGGCAGATCACGAGGTCAGGAGATCGAGACCATCCTGGCTAACACAGTGAAACCCCGTCTCTACAAAAACACAAAAAAAATTAGCCAGGCGTGGTGGTGGGCGCCCGTAGTCCCAGCTACTCGGGAGGCTGAGGCAGGAGAATGGCGTGAACCCGGGAGGCAGAGCTTGCAGTGAGCCCAGATAGTGCCACTGCACCCCGCCTGGGCAAAAGAGCGGACTCTGTCTAAAAAAAAAAAAAAAAAAAAAATTATTAAAAACAAAACAAAACATTAGTTATCTAAAATGCGGGGGGGGGGGGGGGGAGAAAAAATCATGAAGGGCTGGCCTACACATTCATGAGTGTGTGCTCATGTTCAACATAAAAGGTACTAAGAGTGTCCCCAATGGAAATTTCTCTTTCTGTGGATCTGGGGAAGGGGCCAGGGAAGGATGCTGGTAAGACTATGCAATACTTGCCATACTTGCCAAGAAAGGGGGAGTTTGGTATAACAACTATAATTATCTTCTTTTTTTCACCACGTAGCCTCAGTTTATTACCCACTATGTGGTGCAGTGGTCCTAGGACCAGGGCTGCAACTACAAGTGCTGGAAGCAGGGATGATTCCCAAACAAGAAATTGTAACTGTTTTTAAAACTTATGTCAGAATTCCCAAGTGCCTGATGGGGATGGATTGTGCCTGTTCCCCATCTGACAAAATTGGAGCTAAGAGTGAATGCAGCTACATTTATTGGTGGTAAAAAATAGCCCACTAATCCTTCACCTGTGCAACTTTACCCTGTCTGAAGGGGAGTGAACTGATGGGAGGCACTTGGTAGACTAATGTTGTTGCCTGCAATCTAGACCAGCACAGTGGCTGAACTTAACATCCTTCCAAAGGTGAAAAAGCAACTAAGATCCTTGGCATCTCCAAAGTGCTATTTTTTGTATGCTAATGAGATTACTGATGGCTAGCAACCCATAGGTAGCTTAAAAATGGGGGCTAATCACTTTAAAGACCAAGACAGGATTAGACAGTTTGGATTTTCAGCCCCACTCCACAACCTCCAAGAAGGAGGGAGGGGCTGAAGTTTAAGTGGATCACCAGTGGCCAATGATTTAATCAATCATGACTACATAACGAAGCAATCAAACCCCAAAAGGACAAGGTTCTGGAGCTTCTGGATAACTAAAAAACGCGGAGGTTCCTGGAGGTTGGGGTACCTGGAGAGGGCATTGAGCTCTATGCCCCTTCCTGTATGCCTTGATCCATGCATCTCTTCATCTGTATCCTTTGTAGTATTTTTATAATAAACCAGTAAACATAAGTGTTTCCCTGAGTTCTGTGAGCCACTCTAGCAAATTAATAGAATCTGAGGAGGGAACCCCTATTGCCAGTCAGTCAGAAGCACAGGTAAAACAACCTGGGGCTTGTGATTGGCATCAGAAATAGGTGGCTGTGTGTGTGTGTGTGTGTGTGTGTGTGTGTGTGACAGAGTCTCGCCCTATCACCCAGACTGGAGTGCAGTGGTGCAATCTCAGCTCACTGCAAGCTCCACCTCCCAGGTTCAAGCGATTCTCCAGTCTCAGCCTCCAAAGTGGCTGGTACTACAGGTGCATGCTACCACACATGGCTTATTTTTGTATTTTTAGTAGAGACAGGGTTTCACCATGTTGGGCAGGCTGGTCTCGAACTCCTGACCTTGGGTGATCCACCTACCTCGGCCTCTGAAAGTGCCAGGATTACAGGCATGAGCCACTGCGCCTGGCCAGAAGTAGGTGGCAGTTTTGTGGGAATGAGCCCTCAACCTGTGGGATCTGATGCTATCTCCAGGCAGATATGCCACAACTTAATTGGAGGTGGTGTCCCTGCAGAATTGATGGCATGCTTGCTGTTGTGGAGAAATCCCCAGGCATCTGGTATCAGAGCCTGTTGTGAGCATGTAGTGGAAGAAACTGAGCTTGGCTTTTTGTCTATAGCCTCATTAGTATTGATATTTTAGCACTATTAAGTCTCCCAGTTCATGAACAAAGGATGTCCTTCCATTTATTTAGGTCTTCTTTAATTTCTTCCAGTAATAATTTATAACTTTTAGTGTACAAGTCTTTCCTATCCTTGATTATGTTTATTCCTAGATATCTTATTATTTTGATGCAATTGTAAATGAAATTATTTTCTTAATTTCATTTCCAGATTATTTGTTTCTGGTGCATACAAACAACACTTATTTTTGCAAGATTTTGTTCCCTGAGGATTTGCTGTATTTATTAGCTCTAGTAAATTTTGTGTGGCTTCTTTAGTGTTGTCTATAGATGCGATCATGTCAGCTGCAAATAGAGGAAGTTTTACTTTTTCCTTTCTAATTTGCATGCCTTTTATTTCTTTTTCCTGCTTAGTTGCTATGGCTAGAAATTCCAGTGCTATATTCAATAGCACTGGTGAAAGCAGGCATTCTTATCTTATTCCTGATCTTAGAGCAAAGCTTTCTGTCTTTCATCTTGACTATGATGGTAGCTATTGGATTTTTATAAATCCCTTATTATGTTAGGGAAGTTCCCTTCTATTCCTAGTTTTCTGAATATTTTCACCATGAAAGAATGTTGAGCTTTTTTCCCAAATGCTTGTTCTGCATCAACTGAGATAATCGTTTGACTTTTTTCCTTCACTTTATTAATGTAGTATATTGCACTGATTGGTTTTCTTTTTTCTTTTTTTTTTTTTTTTTCGATATGGAGTCTCGCTCTGTCACCCAGGCCGGAGTGCTGTGGCGCAATCTCTGCTCACTGCAATCTCTGCCTCCTGGGTTCAAGCGATTCTCCTGCCTCAGCCTCCTGAGTAGCTGGGATTACAGGTGCCTGCTGCCATGCCCGGCTAATTTTTGTATTTTTAGTAGAGATAGGGTTTCACATGTTGGCCAGGCTCATCATGAACTCCTGACCTCAGGTGATCTGCCCGCCTCAGTCTTCCAAAGTGCTAGGATTACAGGCATAAGCCACCATGCCCACCAGTTCTCTTATTTTGAACCACTCTCGCATTCCTGGGAATATGGGCATTTTAATAATATTGAGCCTTCTGACTTATGAACATGCTATATCTATTTATTTAAGTCTTCAATTTCTTTCAGCAATATTTTATAATTTACAGTGTACATATTTTGCATAAACTTTGTTAAATTTCTAAGTATTTCATATTTTTGATGCTTTTGAAAATGTTAATTTCATTTTCAATTTCCAAATATTCATTGCAAATGTATAGAAAGACAAGAAATTTTTGTACATTAACTTTATATCCTTTCTAAACTCACATTATAGTAGTTTTTGAAAATTTACTTAGAATTTTCTACATTGAGGACAATGCTGTTTGTGAATAAGGCCAATTTTGCTTCTTCCCTTCCAAATTCCAAATATATATAGTAATATATATAATATATATTATTATATAGTATTATATATAATATATATTATATAGTATTATATATAATATATAATATATATTATATATAATATATTATATATTATATATAATATATATTATATATAATATATTATTATATTATATATAATATATTAAATATATAATATATAATTTTATATATATATATTTTTTGAGACAGAGTCTTGCTCTTGTGTCCCAAGCTGGAGTGCAGTGGACCAGTCTCGACTCACTGCAGCCTCTGCCTCCCAGGTTCAAGCAATTCTCCTGCCTCAGCCTCTAGAGTGGCTGGGATTACAGGTGCCTGCCACCACGCCAAGCTAATTTTTGTATTTTCAGTAGAGGCGGGGTTTCACCATGTTGACCAGGCTGGTCTCAAACTCCTGACCTTGTGATCCACCTGCCTCGGCCTCCCAAAGTGCTGGGGTTACAGGCATGAACCATTGCACCCAACCAGCCATAGGCTTTTTATAGATGCTTTCATCAGATTAAAGAAGTTATTTCTATCCCTAGTTTGTTGAGAATTTTATCATGAATGTGTGTCGACTTTCATCAAATCCTTTCTTAAAAAATTCTGTTAATCAGACACATGAAAAAATGCTCATCATCACTGGCCATCAGAGAAATGCAAATCAAAACCACAGTGAGATACCATCTCACACCAGTTAGAATGGCGATCATTAAAAAGTCAGGAAACAACAGGTGCTGGAGAGGATGCGGAGAAATAGGAATACTTTTACACTGTTGGTGGGACTGTAAACTAGTTCAACCAACCATTGTGGAAGACAGTGTGGCAATTCCTCAGGGATCTAGAACTAGAAATACCATTAGACCCAGACATCCCATTACTGGGTATATACCCAAAGGATTATAAATCATGCTGCTATAAAGACACATGCACACGTATGTTTATTGCGGCACTATTCACAATAGCAAAGACTTGGAAGCAACCCAAATGTCCATCAATGATAGACTGGATTAAGAAAATGTGGCACATATACACCATGGAATACTATGCAGCCATAAAAAAGGATGAGTTCATGTCCTTTGTAGGGACATGGATGAAGCTGGAAACCATCATTCTCAGCAAACTATCGCAAGGACAAAAAACCAAACACCACATGTTCTCACTCATAGGTGGGAATTGAACAGTGAGAACACTTGAACACAGGAAGGCGAACATCACACACTGGCGCCTGTTGTGGGGTGGGGGGAGCAGGGAGGGATACCATTAGGAGATATACCTAATGTAAAAGACGAGTCGATGGGTGCAGCACACCAACGTGGCACATGTATACATATGTAACAAACCTGCATGTTGTGCACATGTACCCCAGAACTTAAAGTATAATAAAAAATATATATATATAAAAATTCTGTTAATCACAAGGTTTACTTCTTTATTCTGTTAATACGAACTACATTGATTGAATTTCAGATATTCAGTCAACCTTGCATTCATGGTACAAAATCCCTTGATCATGATACACAATGTGGTTTTGGTTTTTTAATAATTTATTTATATTTATTTCTAGATTTAAGTTTCAAATGTCTTGTTAGGCATTTTTTGGGTCTGTGTTCATGAGGAATATTGCTGTGTTTTTATTCTAATAACTTGGTTTTAGTAGCAGGGCAATGCTATCCCAATAAAATGAGTTCAGAAGTGTTGTCTTTTCTTGTATTTTCTGAAAGATTTGATGTAGAATCACTGTTATTTATTCCTTAAATATTTGGTATAATTAGTCAGATAACTCACATATGTTGATGTTACTAATGAAATGGTTTTTAGCTATGAATGCAATCCAGTTAACAGACACAGGACTATGTAATCTAGGTAACAGACAGGAATATTCAGGTTATCTAATTTTTCTTGAGTGAGCTTTGGGATTCCATGTTGGTTCAACAGATGCAAATCAATAATTTTGATTCATCACATAAACAGAATTGAAAACAAAAGCCATGTGGTCATCTCAATGAAAAGAAATAAAGATTTTGTCAGAAAAGCAAAAATGGAGGTAATCTGTCACAAGTAGAATTTTTAAATAAGAAATATTAAAAGATATTCGTCAGACAGAAAAAAACTGATTATAGGCCAGAAATTTGGATGTACATAAAGAAAGAAATAGTGTTAGAGAAGGAATAAATGAAGGTAAAATAAAATATTTTATTTTTCTTAGACTTAATTAACCTAACGGAAAACAGTTTGTTCAAACTAATTATGACAATGATGTATTTGCTGATTAGAGCTTATGAATAAGTGAAATGAATGAAAGCAATATTAAAGGGAGTGAGGAATTGGGAATACTCTGTCATAAGGCACCTGCACTACCTGTAAAGCTGTACAGTGTTATTTGAAAGTAGACCTGATTTAGTTGTAAATGTATATTGCAAACTCTAGACCAACCACAAAAAAGAATTTTTTAAAGGAGTGCAATTAACATACTATGAAAGAAGAGAAAATGGAATAATATAAAATGCCCAGTTTAGAGAAGTCAATTAAAAACAGAAGACAAAAATAAAAACAAAACCCAAAGAACAATGGCAATGAATAGAAAACTGTTACAAATAAGGCAGATATTAATCTGACTATATAAATAATCATTTTAAATAGGAATAATCTGTCAGAGTAGGTTAAAAAAGACCTAAGAATATGTGGTCTATGAGAAAGCCCCTTGAAATATAAAGATACAGATTAAAAGTGAAGGGAAGGAAATAGACATACCATGCTAATGCACTAATTAAATAAAGCTTGAGTTGCCATATTAGTTTAAGACAACACAGATTTCAGAGCAAAAAATATATATATATCAGGGATAAAGAGGAACACTAATTAACAATGAAGGTGTCAATTCTCCAAAAAGACATAGCAGTTCTTTTTTTTTTTTCTTTAAGTTCTGGGATACATGTGCAGAACGTGTAAGTTTGTTGGATAGGTATACATGTGCCATGGTGGTTTGCTTCACATATCAACCTGTTATCTAGGTTTTAAGCCCCGCATGCATTAGGTATTTGTCCTAATGCTCTCCCTCCCCTTCCCCCAAATCCCCTGACAGGCCCCAGTGTGTGATGTTCCCCTCCCTGTGTCCATGTGTTCTAGTTGTTCAACTCCTACTTAGGAGTGAGAACATGTGGTGTTTGGTTTTCTGTTCCTGTGTTAGTTTGCTGAGAATGATGGTTTCCAGCTTCATCCATGTCTCTGCAAAGGACATGAACTCATTCTTTTTTAGGGCTGCATAGTATTCCATGGTGTATATGTGCCACATTTTCTTCATCCAGTTTATCATTGATGGGCATTTGGGTTGCTTCCAAGTCTTTGCTATTGTAAATAGTGCTGCAATAAACATACATGTGTGTGTGTCTTTATAATAGAATGATTTATAATCCTTTGGGTATATACCCAGTAATGGGATTGCTGGGTCAAATGGTATTTCTGGTTCTAGATCCTTGGAATCGCCACATTGTCTTCCACCATGGTTGAACTAATTTACAGTCCCACCAACAGTGTAAAAAGGTTCCTATTTCTCCACATCCTCTCCAGCATCTGTTGTTTCCTGACTTTTTAATAATCACCATTCTGACTGGCGTGAGATGGTATCTCATTGTGGTTTTGATTAGACATAGCGATTCTCAATGTGTTTGTACCTTATAATAGAGCATCAAAGTACGTGAGGCAAAAATTGATAGAACTGCAAGAAGAAATAGACAACACTATGATAGTTGGTGAATTCAACACACCAACACCCCTCTGTCATTAATTAACAGCTACAGCAGACAGAAAATTGGTAAGAATACCGTTGAAGTGAATAGCACCATCAATCAACTGGATCAAATTGATGTTGTTATAATACTACATGCAACAACAGCAAAATGCACATTCTTCTTAAGCTCACATGGTATATTCATTAGGATACGACACATTCTGGGTGATAAAACACACCTCAACACATTTAAAAGAATAGAAATGATACAAAGTATGCTCTCAGGCCACAATGGAATTAAACTATAAAGAAATAATAGAAACAAAGTTGAAAAATCCATAAATATTTGGAGATTAAGCCACATGCTTTTAAATAACCCATGGGTTAAAGAAGTCTCAAAAGCATTTTCAAAGTATTTTGAATGAAATAAAATGAAAATAAAACATCAAGGTTTGTGGAGTGCAGAGAGGGCAATGCTTAGAGGAAAATGTGTAGCATTGAATGCATACATTACAAAGAAGAAATACCTAGAATCAATAATCTAAACTTGCGCCTTAGGAAACCAGAAAAAAGAGCATATTAAGTCCAACGTAAGCAGAAGAAAACTAACAATAATATTAGAGCAGAAATCAACGAACTAAAAACAGGAAACAGTTAAAGAAAATCAACAAAACCAAAAGCTAGTTATTGAAAAGATCAATAAAATTGATAAACCTCTAGACAGGCTAATGAAGAAAAGAAGAGAGAAGATACAAATTACTAATATCAGAAATGAAAGAGGGGTCATTACTACTGATCTCAAAGATAATAAATGGATAATAAAAGAATTCTGTGAACAACTATATGTACACAAATTTGACAACTTAGATCAAAGGGACCAATTTCTTGAAAGACACAAACTACCAAAACTCACATGAGGAGAAATAGGTAACCTGAATAGTCCTATGTCTATTAAAGGACTTAATAATTAATAACTTTCTGAATAGACAGCGCCAAGCTCATATGAGTTCACTCCTGAATAGTGCCAAATGTTTAAGGAAGAAATGGTTCCAATTCTCAAAAACAATAAAACATGAGCTATGAAGCCAATTACTCCAAGTGTTTCTACAGTCACTGACTTTAGCAGTAGCTTCAGCTTATGGTAAGCTGTAATTCTAACCTAACTCTTCAGTACCTTCCTAACTCTCCAGTTTTTAAAATGTTTTTTACATTTTTAAAGTTTAACTTTTATTTTGACTTTCAGGGTATATGTGCAAGTTTGTTATATAGGGAAACTTGTGTCATGGGGGTTTATTGTACAGATTATTTCATAACCCATGTATTAAGCCTAGTACCCATTAGTTATTTCTCCTGATCCTCTCCCTCCTTCCACCCTCCACTCTCTGATAGAACCCAGTGTCTGTTATTCTCCATGTGTCCATGTGTTCTCATCATTTAGCTCCAACTTATAAGTGAGAACATGTGGTATTTGATTTTTTCTTCCTGTGTTAGTTTGCTGAGGATAATGGCCTCCAGCTCCATCCATGTCCCTGCAAAGGACATAATCTCATTCTTTTTTATGGCTGCATAATATTCCAGGGTGTATATGTACCACATTTTCTTTATCCAGTCTACCATTGATGGGTATTTAGGTTGATTCCATGTCTTTGCTATTGTGAATAGCACTGCAATGAACATACACGTGCATGTGTCTTTATAATAGAATGATTTATATTCCTTTGGGTATATATCCAGTAATAGGATTGCTGGGTCTAAAGGTAGTTCTGTTTTTAGGTCTTTGAGGAATCATCACACTGTCTTCCACAATGGTTGAATTAATTTACACTCCCACCAACAGTGTATAAGCATTCCTTTTTCTCCACAATCTCCCTAGCATCGTTATTTTCTGACTTTTTAATAACAGCCATTCTGACTGGTATGAGATGGTATCTTATTTGGTTTTGATGTGCATTTCTCTAATGATCAGTGATGTTGAGCTTTTTTTCATAAGGTTGTTGACCACATGTATATCTTCTTTTCAAAAGTGTCTGTTCATGTCCTTTTCCCATTTTTTAATAGGGTTGTTTGGTTTTTATTGTAAATTTGCTCAAGTTTCTTATAGATGCTGGATACGAGACCTTTGTCGGGTGCATAGTTTGCAAATTTTTTCTCCCATCCTGTAGGTTGCCTGTTTACTCTGTTGATAGTTTCTTTTGCTGTGCAGAAGCTCTTTAGTTTAATTAGATCCCATTTGTCTATTTTTTGTTTTGTTGCAATTGCTTTTGGCATCTTCGTCATGAAATCTTTGCCCATTTTATGTCCAAAATGCTATTGCCTAGGTTGTCTTCCAGAGGGTTTGTAGGTTTGTATTTTACACTTAGGTCTTTAATCCATATTGAGTTAATTTTTGTGTATGGTGTAAAGAAGGGGTCAGTATCAATCTTCTGGATATGGCTAGCCAGTTTTCCCAGCACCATTTATTAAACAGGGAGTCCTCTCCCCATTACTTGTTTTTGTCAGGTTTTTGTCAGGTTTGTCAAAGATCAGATAGTTGTAGGTGTGTGGCCTTATTTGTGCATTCTCTATTCTGTTCCATGGTCTATGCATGTTTTTGTACCAGTGCTATGCTGTTTTGGTTACTATAGGCTTGTAGTTTTAAGTTCCATTTTTAGGTCTTTGAGGAATTACCTTTGAGGAATAGTTTTAAGTTGAGAAGCATAATGCTTCCAGTTTTGTTCTTTTTGCTTAGGATTGCCTTGGCTCTTTGGGCTCTTTTTTTGTTCCATATGAATTTTAAAATAGTTTTTCTTAGTCCTGTGAAGAACTAAGTTTTCTTTTTATTGTTGTGTCTCTGTCAGGTTTTGGTATAAGCATGATGATGGCCTCATAGAATGAGTTAGGGAGGTGTCCCTCCTCCTCAGTTTTTCAGAATAGTTTCAGCGGGAATGGTACCAGTTCTTCTTTGTATATCTGGTAGAACTCAGCTGTGAATTTGTCTGATTCTAGGGTTTTGTTTGTTTGTTTGTTTGTTTGTTTTTTGGTTGGTAGGCTATTTATTACTGACTCAATTTCAGAGCTTGTTATGGGTCTGTTCAGGGATTCAATTTCTTCCTGGTTCAGTCTTGGGAGTGTGTATTTGTCCAGGAATTTATCCATTTCTTCTAGATATTATGTGCATAGAGGTGTTCATAATATTCTCTGATGGTTGTTTGTATTTCTATGGGGTCAGTGGTGACATCCCCCTTGTCGTTTCCAATTGTGTTTTGTTTGGATTTTCTCTCTTTTTTTCTTTGTTAGTTTAGCTAGTGATCTATTATATTATTTTTTTCAAGAAAACCAGCTCCTGGATTAGTTGATCTTTTGAATGCTTTTTCATGTCTCAATCTCCTTCAGTTCAGCTCTGATTTTGGTTATTTCTTGTCTCCTACTAGCTTTGAGATTGATTTGCTCTTGGTTTTCAAGTTATTTTAGTCGTGTTGTTAGGTGTTACCTTGAGATCTTTCTAACCTTTCTATGGGAGCATTCAGTGCTATAAATTTCCCTCTTAACACTGCCTTGGCTGTGTCCCAGAGATTCTGGTATGTTGTATCTTTGTTCTCATTAGTTTCAAAGAACTTCTGATTTCTACCTTAATTTCATTATCTACCCAAAGGTCCTTCAAGAGCAGGTTATTGAATTTCCATGTAATTGTATGGTTTTGAGTGAATTTCTTAGTCTTAATTTCTAATTTGATTGTGCTATATTTAAGAGGCTGTTTGTTATCATTTCAGCTCTTTTGTATTTACTGAAGGGTGCTTTACTTCCAATTATGTGATCAATTTTAGAGTATGTGCCATGTGGCAAAGAAATGAGTGTATATTCTGTTGTTTTGGGTGTAGTCCAACTCTGCAGTTTTAACTGTGGCCATTTCCTCTATGAATTCAATTCTCGGATGGATTTAAGAGTTCTTGATTTTCCATTTGTTCACCTTTCTTCATTGTGGGGACAGGAGTGATGACTTCCAGGTTTCTTACTTATTAGAACAGAAATTGAAAATCTTTGATGTCATCTTTTCTTAAGTGATTGGCTCTAGTTTTTAGAAGTTTTAGGTTTACAGAAAAATTGAGCAGAAAATACAGAGAGTTCTCCTACACCTCATCCTCCCCCAAACATACACAGTTTCCCCCATTACTAACATCTTGCACTGGTGTTGTAAATGTATTATAATTGATGAGCCAATGATACATTATTATTAACTAAAGTTCATAGTTTATATTAGGGTTCACTCTTCAGTTGTACATTCTGCGGGTTTTGAAAATTGTATAATGACATGTATCCACCATTACAGTATAATATAGAATAGTTTCACTGTTTTAAACATTCTCTGTGCTTCACGTATTTATCCCTCCCTCTCTCCCTCCCCCCTGGTTACTACTAATCTTTTTACTGCCTCCATAGTTTTGTTTTTTTCAAGATGTCATATAGTTGAAATCACACAGTATGCAACATTTTCAGATTGGCTTCTTTCACTTAGCAACATACGTAAATGTTTCCTCCATGTATTTTTGCAGCTTAATCACTTATTTCTTTTTAGTGCTGAATAATATTTTATTGTATGGACATACCACAGTTTGTTCATTCACCTATTGAAAAATATCGATTTATTTCAGTTTAGGGCACTTATGGATAAACCACTATAAACATTTGTGTGCAGGATTTTGCATGGACATAAGTTTTCTGTTCATTTGAGTAAATACCAAGGGAATTACCTGAGGATTGTATTGCAGGAGGATGTTTAGCTTTGTAAGAAACTGCCAGATTTTCTTCCAAAGTGGCTGTACCATTTTGCACTCCCATCAGCAACGAATGAGAGTTCCTGTTGATCTGCTCACCTGCATTTGGTGTTGTCTTTACCTTCATTTTGCCTCCACTCTTTTCTGACTTGCATAGATTCTGAGAAGAAGTCAGCTGTTTTTCTTATCTTTGTACTTCTGTATACAATGCTTCTTTTTTCTCTTAGATTTTTCCTGTTACAATTGCTTTTCAGCAATATGAATATGATATGCAGAGACTCTGGATATGTTTTGAAGTTAGAGGCAAGAGAATATTGGTGATGGATGAGATGTGAAGTCAATGAAGAAAGGGATCAAAGATATTTCCAGAGTTTGGGTTTGAGTGATTGGAAGAATGGGGTACAATTTGCTGAGAACAGGGAGACAGTTCTTGCAGGCCATGGGAACTGAAGTTTGGTTGATTCAGAGATGAAGAAGACACATCCTTTTGGGCTTTTCCAGAAGCCAACCTGTGGACAAGCATTACAAGTGCAAGTAGCTTATTTGAGGCATAATTCCAGGAAATACCAAAAGGGGAGTAGGGTCATAAAAGAGGGAAGGGCAGGCAGAGAAGTAGAAGGTACATTTTTAAGAAACATACCACTGTAGGCAACTGCAGCTTAATCCCACTAGAGATCCCCATGACCCAATGTAGAATATGCTTCTCAGAGATATTCGACCCAAGGGACAAGGAAAATGCAGTATTTGTCCAGTTGGATGTAGGCTGAGGATACAGGCAGAGACTGGATGGTGGGCCAGAGGACAGTCACAAATCAGCAGCTCTCTAACTGGTGGTTGCCAAATTGAAGAGTAAAGAGAATATTAGTGACACCTCCTATTGGTTTGCTGTTTGCCTAGAATCTGCTCCACCATCTGATTTAACCCTCAGCAAGCCAGGGTGGCTCTCTCCTGAGGCCTTTATAGCCATTCATTAAGCCCCCTGCCCCACTGCCCGCTGGCATGTGGACAGAGGTTTACATTCATCCATTCATCATTACATTCCATCCTCTCCATAAATCTGGGAGTTGACATCCATTTCATGTACATTTTATAGAAGGAAATGAGGCTCAGAAAGCTGCAATGACCTATCTAAGGTCACACAACAAGGAAGTTGGAGCCAAGATTGAAACCCACTCCTGCAGGACACCAAAGTCTTTTCCCCCTGCAGTCCCCAGCTCACTCCCCACCCAGGAACCCATTCCCTGAGTGTTGGAGTGAGGATTAGAGAGGCTGCGGCTCCTATTCACTATTCATCACCATGTCTTATGAATTAGAAACAACGTTCATGAGGTCATTTCCATGGGGCTCTGGGGTTGGCTGTGTAAATATTTGGCCTTCGGGGCTCTTCTCGGCCAAGCTCCTCAGGGTGCTGACGTTAAACACACTCCTTCAGGAAAAATGCAATTGGTTTCAGGAAGCCCCTAGAGTCGGGCGCTCAGAGGGCGTCTGCTCAGGCTAATGTTTGACAACACAAAGCCCATTTTTCCTATGACTTTTTCTCATTTAAGACAAGAAAGATTGCCTTCCACTCGTCAACACACATACTCACCAGTCATTAATACACAGGCATTTAAAAACATTGGTGATCAGAAAGGTCTGTGTTTTCTCATTTCTTTACAGAGTCAGGGAAGTTTGAGAGAGAGAGAGAGCAGGAGTGTGTAGGGAAAGAGAGAGAGAGAAGATATAAGAGAGGGAGAGAGGGAGAGGGAGGGAGCGAAGAAATAACCTTAGTATACACCAACAGCAGCTTTGTTAAAGGCTGTTCTTTCCATGCACGCAATGCTGCACTCATTTGAATCCATGCTGTAGATCCATGTGTAAATATCTACCGTATATCTGCAAGCAGGTTTCAGAGCAGCCCGAGAAGCACGCCTCGGTGCTATAAATCAGTGCAGTGGCTATGCACAGGAACTACTCGGGAGGTGCGGCTGTCAGAAGCTGCAATTTCCTCTGGGTGATGGAATTTCAGGTGGTTTTAGCTTTATTTGGTGATGAGATAGCCAGCGTGTTCGTTTCCTGAGCTGCCGTCACAAACCACCACAAACTTGGTGTCTTAAAAAAATAGAAATTTATTCTCACAGTTCTGGAGCCTGCAAATCTGGAATTAAGGTGTCAGCAGGGCCGCACTCACTCTGAAGTCTCCAGGGGAAGATCCTTCATGCCTCTTCCAGCTTCTGGTGGTGACCTGCAATCTTGGAGTTCCTTGGCTTATGGCTGCAGCACTTCATCTCTGCCTCTGTGGTCACATGGCCTTTTCCCCCTGTGGATCTGTGTCTATGTCTCTCCTCCTGTAAGAATATGTCATGTTGGATTAGGACCCACTCTGCTTTAGTACGGCTTCTTAACAAATTACCTGTGCAACAGTCTTATTTCCAAATAAGGTCACATCCTGAGGTCCTGGGGGTCAGCACTTCAGCATAAATTTGGTGGGGGGTCATTCAACTCATAACTGAGTGCTATTCAACTCATAACACCCAGTGTTGAAAAAAATGGGGTGCCCATTACTTGGGGGACTGAGCCCCTGTGTTTCTGGCCAATCACAGCCACAGACCCAGTGCCATGGGACGCCCCCAAGGGCCTGTGTCCTGACTGCAGAGCAGCTCCACAGCCTGTTCTGATGGTGATGAGCCTTAGGAAGAAGGGTCTGGACCCCAGGGAAGGAGAAGCTGATCACACCCAGGGACAGGCTGGATGCTTGGCAAGACCGGGCCAAGGACACCAAGTGAAGCATCTGCATTCTGGTCAGGACGTCCCCACTATTAACTGGGAGCCTCCGGGAGCATTTTCCCGGTGTATTGGGAGGGGTAGAGAGAGGACAGGACACCCAGAATGAACTGATGGGACAGGGAGGACACGCTGAGAATATTAAATCAGAATGTTTTATCATGAATCCCTTGTTCATTCTGAGAGCAGATGTGGAGGACGAGATCGGGGAGTCTTCCCTATGGCTACAGTAGAGAGGCCTCTGGCTAGACCCTAGAGGAAAAGCAAAGCCATCCTGTTTGGCCAGGATCTGCGGGAAAAAGAGAGAGTGAGGCCAGCAGGCAGGGAGGAAGGTGAGCCGGGCTGTGTATCTCAGGGTGGGCCCCTGGGCTGTTAGCACATGAAGGGAAGTAAAATAATAAACTCCTCAATTATTTTCAATAATAGTGAAGTCTTAGGAATGATGATGTATAACACACATATAAGGGGTAAAGAATACTAAGAAATGCCCATCTATGCCCCATCACTTGGCTTAAGAAATAGAAATGCCCGTGGGCATCCCTTCAATCTAGAGGTAACCACCACCCTAATTCTGTGTTAACAATTCCCTTGTTTGTTCAGATTTCATCTCACCGTGTGTGTCTGCATCCCTAAATGCTGCAGTGTGTAATTTTGCATACTTTCAGACTTGATAAAAATGGAACCATGTGATATATATTTTTTGTGACTGGCCTCTTCACTCAACATCATGTTCTTAAGATTCACACATGGCTAAGTATGTAACTGTAATGAATTTGTCCTCAATGTGTTGTTTTTGTTGTATGAATTCACACAATTTGTCCACTCTACTGCCAAAGGCTGCCTCACTCCTTTGCTACTCTGAACAAAGTTCCTGGGAGCATTTTTGTGCCTGTCTCTGGGTACATATGTGTGGGGACTCACCCAGGAGTGGAATTGCTGGGTTTAGGGCAGGCATCTGTTAGCTCTGCTAGCTGATGTCACACCGGTTTCCAAGTGCCAGGGCCAAGTCACATACCCAGTCATGGGGCAGGAGCCTGTGTTGCTCACACCCTTGCCCACCCTGGCACCCTCGGACTGTTAGTTCTGTTTCTTGGATTTTCCAGAATTGTCAAAATATTAGTTACAAACACCACAGAGTAACAAGAGAAAAGGGCAATTAAGCAATTTATAATTCAAAACAAAGAAAAACCGGAAAAGGAGGTTTCAAAAATAGAAGAAATATTTAAAAGGAGTAGGGTAAGGCCCCTGCCCCCTTGAAATAGTCAGTGCACTCCATGGAATGGCCCTATTGACTGATCCCATCAAGGATTCTTTCGTGAGGAAACAAGATTAACATTTGCATTTTTTCTTTTCATAAAATCCCATGGTACAGTCTTTCTCTGGAGCCACAACTTCATTCTTTATGACTCCCACAGCTCCAACCAGATGCAGCCTGGGCCCAGAAAAGCCCTGAGCCCCAAGCCCCGAGCCCCAGTTTCCCCACTGTCTGCTTGTAGCGATTCTTCTAGCTACCCCATATTGCTGAGGGAAGCTGAGTCTAAGGAAATGACAGCAACTCATGGTGGGACAGAGTTGGAACCTGAGCAACAACCCCAGAGGCTGGGAGTGTCTCTTTGTCTCAAGCTGCCACACACACACGCATGCACACACACATGCAGGCACACACACACAGGACAGAGTGGGTGACGGGGTTTGGGAATGCCAGGGCCGGAGTGGAGGTTCTGCTGTCCTTGTCCCCTGGCAGCATCCTTGAGCTCCCAGACCTTGGAGAAGTTCCCCCACCTAGGATGCCTAGGACAGTGGCTGAACAGAGCAATACTGATGACTCAAAAGGTCAGATCCTCTGTGCTCCTTGCGTGGCACCAAGGAGGCACAGCTGTCACCATCTGGTCACATGCCCCTCAAAACCCATCTGTGCAGTGGATAATCCCTTGCTTCTAAGGGACATGCTGAACCTGGAGTGAGGCTGTGGGAATTGTGGCTGGGCTGGGCAATGGGTAAGCCCTGGGACTGGCTGCAGGATGTGGCCCCATGACCCCCACAGGGACCCGGGCTCCTCCCATGGCACACTGTGCTGGCTCCACAAATAGCGGTAAAATAAGAAACCACACATGCTGTGCAGGGTGAGGAGGCACAGGCAGAGGAGGGCCCAGAAAGAGGAGTTAGTGGGGGATGTGGACATGAGGACCAGGGGTCTGCAGGGGTTCTCACACCTGTGAGAGCTCAGTGGGAGGGTGTAGGAGCGGCCGGGCACCTCAGAGTATCACATGGGTCTGGCAAGGTGAGCACGGGAGGTGGTCAGCAGCTGCTGTGTTGGAAGAGCTCCCAGCACCCCCGTGGTCAGAGCCAGCACCGTACCCTGGGACAGCCCAGCAATCCTTGGGCTCTCACGTAGGTCCAGGACTCTGGCTCTGTGAAGCAGTTGTTGCCCGGGCTGGCCAGAGCTGGGCACCATGCTGCCCACTTCTGCCTGCTAGAGCTCACCCCAGCCTCTGGGTGGTCAGAGGGCAGACCCAGCACAGCAGAGGTGGCCTGGGTGGTGTCACAGCTGGTCTCAATCCCCAGCTCGGCCCTTCCCTGGGACCTTGGAGAAACCATGTCCCTTTGGTGCCCCAGTATTGCCATCTGCAGAGTGTGGTCACACCACCCTCTCTTCTGAGCCTGCTGAGTGCAGATGGGACCTTGCCGGGCAGGCAGCAGTCAGAAGGGTTGGCTAGGCTGCCCTCCTTATGCCAGGGTCTTCTCAGGTCTCACAGGACCCCGTAGCCCAGTCTCGAGGACTTGTATGATTCACAGAGGGCCTGAGGCAGGGTGTATCCTCAGTCTGAGTCAGGAGGCTCGCTGGCCGTGGGTTGCTGAGAATGGAGGTCTCAGGCCAACTACTGCCCCCAGGACCTGACCTGCCAAGTGCAGCCACCACAACCTGCCCAGCCCTGCTGCAGATACTTCTTTCTCATCTGTTAACACTACTTTGGCATTGTCCAGGATTCTGAGCTGAAAGAGTTCATGCAACTTGCCCAAAATTCCCAGCTTGCAAACTGGATCCTCTCCGTGCAGTGTCGACCTACATTGGTCTTGACCCGTTGATGCACAAGTTCTTAAAGAAGGAGGCACACAGGGAACGTCATGGGAGATGGTGTGTCTTCCCACTCTCAGATCAAGCCACGCATACTGATCATGTGCCTGGAGTGCCAGCTGCCCCAGGAACTGGCCTTTCCCACCCAGTGGGGCCAGGCCCTGCCCGAGCTGCCCTCCCCTCCACCTTCCAGACCAGCTCCCTGGAGGAACCTCCTGAACACCCCTACCTGGGGCCCATTAGCCCTGCTTACCCCTTCGGTAGGACTCTTGGTTCCTGGAAGGGGGTGGCCTTCCTATTGTCAATGAGCAAGAGAAAGGCAGAGCCTTCAGGGAAGAAGAGAGGTTCCCAGGAAAGGCTAACACCTCAGGCTGGGAGAGAAGGAGGGGACCTCCCCTTTGTCCAGGAGTCTAGCTGAACCTTCTAGGTACTAAATACTCTAAAGCAAGGGCTTCTCTTCTCATAATGAGACACTGAGCTCTTCAGAGCTGCTCCTCCTCCAAGATACCAACAAGCTGTTGAAATCAGACCTGTGTGTGTCCTGGGAATTTATGTGCCCTGCCAGGTATGTAAATGAGAGGGGTGAGGAGGAAGCAGAGGAGAGAAGGCATCTGGCCATTCCGAGTGCTGGGGGCCATCAGGTGAAGCGGTCACCTGCAGAAGGGGTGATAGCCCTGACTGCTGACTCCCTGGGGACTCCCTGTGGCAGGCACCTTCTAGAGACCTCACATACCTGCTCAGTTAAATCTCACCAGGAGCTCAGTGCAGAAACAGGCTCAGAAAGTACACATGGCAAAGCTGGAGCTGGCTGCAGCCTTCTGACCTTGGTCTGGCACCTTCCTCCTTGTGACCTTTCCCACATCACCCCCTGCCTCTCCCCTGGCCGATGAAGATGAAAAGCGGAAGTGTGCTTTTCAAAAAGCTCCACGCCAGCACTGTTTTCTGGGAGACTTTCATGAGTTCCCTGGGCCTCCCATTCCTAACACGTTCCTAACCCCAACCTCCTAACTGCTTATCCTCACCCGCGTGAAGTCATAAACTGTGGAGGCTGCTTAGGTATTTATTTTAGTTAGTAAAAATGTCTTGGACTTTGCCAAGAGCCATTTGACTTTAATTGGAAACTTTTGAGGCATTAAAAATGCACCAAAGTTTAAGACGTGTCTGAAGGCTCTGGAATCATCGATCATGTGAGCGATGCTTGGACCAGGTGGAGCGAAGGCAACCTTTTAGCAAATCCACCTCCCTTAATGGACTCATTTATAACTCTCTGCAACATTGGGCAGCGTCTCTTCCTTAGAACTCTACTAGTGCCAGCCAACAGGGTTAAAAGCAGCCAACATCTGGTGACTGTAAACGGGGAACCCAGAAATAACAAAACATGACATAAACAAAAGGCAGCACAGGGAGGGGCAATACGGACACCCCCATGCTGTCGTCAAGGAAGATATTTCCTCTAAAATGTGCAGGAGGCTAGAGGAGAGGCACCATCTGCAGCCCATCCTAGAAATGTCAGTGATCAGCTTTGTTTATGGAGGATGTGCTGGATGCCAGGCCTGGTCAGGAAGCCTCCAGGCCAGGGCCAACTGCTCTGGCCCCACCTCCAGGCATATTCCCACTAGCCTCTCAGACTCCACTGCGTGCAAGGCCTTGCTCATGCTCTTCCCTGTGCCTGGAGCATTCTCCTTCCCTCCCCTCATCTGTGCTGTCTCACTATGGCTGCATAACACATTACCCTAAAACCTAGCAACTGAGAACAACAAACACTTATAACTGCACAGTTCCTGTGAATCTGGAAGGCAGGAGCAACTTTGCTGGGTGGCTCTGGCTTAGTTCTATTGTGAGGATGCAGGTAAGCTGTTAGCCAGGGCTGTGGTCTCATCTGAAGGCCTGACTGAGACTGGAGGATCTGCTTCTGACTTGGATCAGAGCTTGGACTCACTCCCATGGCTGTTGGCTGGAGGCCTCAGCTTCTCACCATGTGGACCTCTCCACAGGCTTCTGAGAGGGCTTACAACATGGAGACTAACCTCCCCTAGAGTGAGTGATCTGAGAAAGAGAGTTAAGATGGAAGGCACGCAGTCTTTTATAACCTAATTTTGGAAGTGATATGCCATCACCTCTGCCATATGCTGTTGTGTATTGGTTTGAAAACATCCATCAAAGCTGAGTGCAGTGGCTCATGCCTGTAATCCCAGAACTTTGGGAGGCCATGGTGGGTGGGATGCTTGAGTCCAGGGGTTCAAGACCAGAGTGGGCAACATGGCAAAACCCTGTCTTTACAAAAAAATTAGAAATCAGCTGAGTATGATGGTACATGCCTGTAGTCCTAGCTACTAGGGAGACTGAGGTGGGAGGATCACTTGAACCCAGGAGGTTGAGGCTGCAGTGAGCTGTAATCACACCACTGCACTCTAGCCTGGGTGACAGAGTGAGACCTCGTCTCAAAAATTAAAAAAAAGAAAATATCCATCAAAATGCAGGTGTACCCAGAAACTCAGAATATGAATTTATTTGAAAATAGTGTATTTAGAGATGTAATTAGTTAAGATGAGGTCATACTGGATTAGGCTGGGTCCTAAATTCAATGAGTGGCATTCTAACAGAAAGGCTGCATGAGGACACAGATACCCAGAGGACACAGTCAGAGGGCTGTGTGAGAATGGAGACAGAGACTGGAGTGATGCCTCTAGGAGCAAAGGAATGCCAAGGATTACTGACAGCTGGGAGAGAAACATGGAAAGGATTCTCTGTCAGAGCACCTAGAAGGAAACAACCTGACCAACACACTGATCCTGGCCTGGCCCCAGAACTGTGAGAAAATAACTTCTTGTGGTTTTAAGCCACCCAGTTTGTGGTACTTTGTCATGGCAGCCCTAAGAGACTCAAACACATTGTTCACACACAACCCTGGTCCATGTAGAAGGGACTGCAAGGCTGCCTACTGCAATGCCTAAGGGACTCGATTCAGACTTCAGGCCTCAGCGACTGCAGCTTCCTCCAGGAGGCATGCCCTGACCCCAGGCTTCCTGGTGCCCTAGGCAGGCTTCTGGGACATCCGGGACTCCTTGGTAGCACACTTCCCCTTGGGGTTGTTTCCACTGCCTTTCCACCCTCTTAGGCCAAAGTCAAGGGAGTTCTGTCTGGCTGGCCACCTTCTTGCTCCTATCCCTGGAGACAAAGCACATGCTGGCATACAAGAGGTGCTCCATAAATGCATGAGGAGTAGGTGGATGTGCTGTCCAGCTGCTACTCCTAGCACCCCTCCATCATCAACAATCCTTTCCCCACTTTACAGATGAAGAAACGGAGGCTGCCAAGCTGGTAGGACCACCCTCACCCCCTCATAAGGTCACACAGCAAGTAGGCGGCAGAGCTGGGATTCAAACCCACATCTTTCCAGCTCCAAGTCTTGGGCTTTTCCCACTGCACCAACACGACCTCACAGACAGCTGTCAGTGCATAGCGGGAGCTTCAGAAATGAGTGTGGTCCCTGAGGAAAGGCATCTGTCTCACAGGGAAGCTCTGGAGAGAGACCCAGTTCTCATGGAGCAGGAGCAGCTGAGATGTGAACCCTTCTCCCTAAGAATCCACCACTAATTACCACAGCCATCCCCTGCTGACCTGGGCCCTGCTGCACTGTCTGGGCCATCTGGGGCTCAGGACACCTTCTTTTGCTCCCCTGAGGATGGTGGAGACCCAGCCAGAACAAGAATAGATTTGATCATGGCTCAGGAGTGATGACAAGGAAATACACACAGAGGCTAAAAGGGGTCAGTGCTCACCCGGGCTGCAAGAGCAGCAGAGAATGGTTATATCCCTATGGCCCACTCTTCCATGCATGCTTACTCATAATCATATGGGTGGATGCATGAGCAGTCTCTATTTCCCAGCCTCCTGTGCAGGTTGGTATGGCTAATGGCATCACAGCAGAAATTCCACATGGGACTTCATGGAAGTGATGTAAATAGAAGATGGTGAGCCCTTCTTTGCCACTTGTACTACTTCCTGCTTGCTGGAATGGCAGCTGTGATGGCTGGTGCTCAAGCAGCCATCTTTGACCACCGGATGGAAGCAGTGGATTGAGGAAGGCTGAGCAGAAAGACAGAAGGACCGGGGTCCTTCATTCCTACCTCTGCATCTTTTATATGAAAGAGAAATAAATTTTGATCTCTCTTAAGCTACTATAACTTTGGATTTTCTGTTCATGATAGTCAAACCTAATACCAATGTGTGGAGGAGATTGTGTCTTCTCTGCCTTTAGTTGAGGTTCTGCCATGATAACTTTCAGATAGAGAACACTTGAGGGCCACTGAAATGAACCCGGGGATTAGTGGTTCTGACGCCTCTCATTCAGCCCGTTGGGGCTGGGGGCAGGGTGGGCTGTTGAATGTCAGCTGTGTCTGGAGGCTCCTGCACACACCAGTGGCCTCCCTCCACCTCTTCACTCCCAGGACTCAGTCTCTTTTTCTGCGCCCAGGGACAGGGAGCTTGCATGTATTGAGCACCAACTGTGTGACAGGCAAGGTGGTAGGTCTTATGTCAGTTGTCTCGTGTAGCTCTCACCATTATGCCCCGAGACAGTGGTGGAGTCTACAGAATAAGAAGCCGAGGGTCAGAGATGTCACTCGCAGCCTGTGTTCTCGATGAGCATGTGCTGCGGTGGCCGGAACCTTGCCTGGCACCAGCGGGGATGTGCAAAGGCCCTGGGGGAAAAGGCAGAGACGCTGGCTCTGGACTCGGACAGGATGTGATGGTCACCCTCCCTCTTGGTCCTGGAGCCGCATTCCCCGTGTGGGTGCCTCTGCAGGGTCACAGGATAGCAGTCTCCCACCCCACCCAGCAGCCTCCCACACACCAGGCTCTCTCTGACTGGATGGCTGAGGTCACGTGCTCAAAGCCAACTATAACTGTGGATTTGGCTGTTTGTCCTTTCAGCTCTCCTAGTTTTCCCTTGTGCAGTTTGAGGCTCTGTTGTTTAGTTAGGACCATTATGTCTTCCTGGTGGATTGAGCTTTTTCTCATGATATAATGCCTCCCTTTGTCACTAGTAATTTTCTTAGCTCTGAAGTCTACTTTATCTGATATTTATATAAACACTTCTACTGTAAAACAATTAGCATTTGCATCCTATTATCTTTTCTAATCTTTTACTTTTAACCTGCCTATGTCATTAAAGTGAGGTCCTTGTAAACTACACACAATCTGTGGTGTATTTCTACCCACTTTGCCAAACTCTGATCGGGCTCTATGTCAGATGGCTCTGAGGCCCTCATGACCGCCAGGGCAATGCCATATGTGCTGACCAAGGACTAGGCCCCAGGGTCAGCCCCACCTAAACCACCTGGACCCTGACAGAAGGAGACCTGTGAGCCTCCAAAGAAAAACAGAAGATGGCAGGATGGAGGGCAAGCAGCAGAAACAGCTGCCATTGCCCTGTCCCTTCATCCACCAGGCACATTGTGGTCTCAGACGAAGGGGCAGACAGCCTTGTCATCCTGTTCCACCTCTATGCTTCTGCTCTGAGGTCAGGGGTGGGTTATAGAAGGCTCCTCAGAGGGGCTGTTTCCCAGCCTTCTGCCTTCCCACACTTCCAGGTTCCAGCATGCCTTGGGACCTGGCAGCTGCGATTGTGTCTGACAACACCCCAGCTCTGTGCTCACAGAGCCAAGAGCCAGGTAGAGTCAGAGGAGGCAGACCCACTTGAGGGCACCTGGGATTGTGCACCTGTGCCAAATTATCAGATAGGTGCAGCAGGAGAGCCAGAATTCTGGGAAGGGGCAAGTCAGGGAGCTCTGTGCCCCTTAGAAAGTCCTGTGGGGCAGGGGCGTCTCTGTCAGGAGGGAGGAGGGCTTCCTTCCAGTAATGAGGGAGCCAGAGCACTCAGCACCCGGTCAGCAGGATCTCCTCCTCACAAAGCTGGGTGCTACCCAGACCCCTTCACATCCTGAACCTGCACAGTCTTCCCGCTGCCAGGTACTTCCCAGGTGCAGATACGGAGCTGAAGGAGGGTGCCCAGGGGCACACCACTGCTCAGGGCAGGCAAGGACTCAAGGGAGGGCTGTCTGGCCCCAGAGCTTGGGCTCTGCTGGGAAACTGGGTGTGTGTTCTCCCAAGAGGAACAAAAACATTCAGCCATTTTTACAGGGGGTGTGGGCAGGGGTTGAACCCCCTCACAGTCACAAGCCAGCTTGAAAGCATGGCCAGGTCCTGTTCTCCCTTGCACCCATCTCCTCACCTGCTGGGTGCAGGAGTATTTTCTCCCTCCTGGGGCTGTGGAAGGTGGCGTGCCCAGGTGGCATGCCCTGGGGCTGTGGGAGGTGGCAGGCCTGGGAACCCTATGGTGGACTCACAGCCAGGAATGAGGCCTGCATGGGCAGGAGGAAGCTATTGTGCCTCTGCTGGGTCCGAATGGACATTGCCTCCTGTAACGCTCTCCTTTCTGTCTCCCTGCTGGGTCCAGCTCCATCCCAGAAGGCACAGGAGGGCCCCCTGTATTTCAGGAGCTCTCCTGGCTTCTGCAGAGGTTTCTGAGGGGCATCAGCAAGACAGCTGTACTCTGGGGACTGGGAAAGATTTGGACTCAGAACTCAGAACAATGCTGCTGGGGCCTCTGCCCTCAGCTCTGACTGCCAAAGATCCAGTGGGAAGGGAAGGGGGAGAGAGGATGAGGCCAAGTCATCAGAAGGAACAAGGAAGCTCTGTACACGCTTACGAGGACTAATCTCCAAGACAGAGCAGCAAGTTAAAAAATCCCAAGGCACAACATCTGTGCACCTAGACAGTATTTGTTTAAAATGGAAGCATATATGGATCAAATGTTTATGCATAGAGAAAACCTGGAAGGACATGCAGGAACTAGGCGGGATGGGGTGGCTGGGACTGAATAGGGAGGGAAGGGATTTTCCCATGCACCCTTTTCTACCTATTGAATTTTGAATCATGGAAAAGAGATACCTGTTTTTAAAAAGAAAATAAATCATATTTGAAACATAAAGTTTCCATGTTTTGTTTTTTGTTGTAAGCCAGCTTTGATTAACATCTCGGTGGTTTAATTTTCCAACCTGTTTGGAATTTGATTCAGATGAAATTAGATGGTTTAGCCACACTGCAAGTCTAACTCTGAGAAAGTCTTCCTGCATCACTTGCCTTTTGGTGTCTTCAATTTTAGTGGGCGAGTAACCTCTGTGAAATTCTAGGCTTAGACTTTTTTTTTTTTTTTTTTGAGACGGAGTCTCACTCTCTCACCCAGGCTGGAGTGCAGTGGCACAATCTCGGCTCACTGCAAGCTCTGCCTCCTGGGTTTACGCCATTCTCCTGCCTCAGCCTCCCAAGTAGCTGGGACTATGGGCGCCCGCCACCATGCCCGGCTAATTTTTTGTATTTTTAGTAGAGATGGGGTTTCACCGTGTTAGCCAGGATGGTCTCGATCTCCTGACCTCGTGATCCGCCCGCCTCGCTCTCCCAAAGTGCTGGAATTACAGGCGTGAGCCACCGCGCCTGGCCTAGGCTTAGATTTTTATATGGCATGGTAGTTATTGCATGGCTATGAATTCTCTGGGTTTTCTGATAGCACTAATTGGTTTCTTAAAAGTGAGGTAGTTGGTTTTTACACAAAGAATGTCACTGTGCGATATCCCATCATTCCATGGCATTGGAGACCAGCAGTGAAGCCTTCAGTACTTACCTGTCTGAAAGACAGCAGAGCTCTGCAGCCAGGCTGCCTGGCCTCCGACCTGGCTCCACCACCTACAGGCGAATCACTCGGACTCCCTGGCCATCAGTTGTCACCTATGTAATGAGAATACTCATGATATCACCCTCAGAGGGCCACCAACAGTCAAAAAAGAGAAAGGCCTATTCCACACAAGAAACGAAAGAAAAAATAGGTAAACTGGATTTCATTAAAATTAAATACCTTTATGCACCAAATTACTCTATCAAGAAAGTGAAAAGACAGTCCCCAGAATGGAAGAAAATACTTGCAAGTCAATGTCTGATAAGAGTCTAGGGTCCATAATAAATAAAGAACTCTTGCTAGGCAGGGTGACACATGCCTGTAATCCCAAGACTGAGGTGGGAGAATTACTTGAGTGCAGGAGTTTGAGACCAGCCTGAGCAATGTAGCAAGATCCCATCTTAAATTTTTTTTAAGTTTTAAATTTAAAAAAGAACTCTTTCCATTTAACAGCAAAAAGACAAACAACTCAATTATAGAATGGAGGAAAAGACTTGAATAGACATGTCTGAAGAAGATATTCAAATGAAATGGCCAACAAGCACATGAAGATGGCTGACACCATTAGTCATAAGGAAAATGCAAATCCAAACTATGAAGAAATACTACTTCACACCCACTAGCATGGCTAAAATTAAGAAAAAGAAACAGAAAATAATAAGTGTTGGTGAGGATGTGGAGAAACTGGAACTCTCATACATTGCTGCTAGAATGTAAAATGAATGGTACAGCTGATGTGAAAAAACAGTATGGCAGTTCCTCAAAATTTAAAAGTAGAATTACTCTTCGACCCAGCAATTTTACTTCTGGATATATTCCCAAAAGAATTAAAAATGGTGTTCAACAAAAACTTGTAGATGGATGTTCGTAGCACAGCATTCAGAATGATGTGGAATGCTTCCCAAGTAGTGGGAACATCCCAAATGTCCATCAACAGATGAATGGATAAATAAAATGTGGTAATGCAGGCAATGGAGTGTTATCCAGCCATAAAAATGAACAAAGTATTGATATATACCACAACACTGATGAACCTCAAAAATATCATGCTAAGTGAAAGACATAAGACACAAAAAGCCACAGTAGAGCCTATTCTGGACATTTCACGTAAACGGAATCATGCAATAGAGACAGGGGGGCAACTAGCTGTTGCTAGGGATGGGGAGGAGAGAACAGGGAGTGACTGCTGAAAGGGGACAGGGTTTCCTTTTAAAGGTGACGAAAATGTTATAGAAATCAGTATTGGTAGGCCAGGTGTAGTGGCTCACACCTGTAATCCCAGCACTTTGGGAGGCCAAGGCAGGCAGATCACCTGAGATCAGGAGTTTGAGACCAGCCTGGCCAACACAGTGAAACCCCGTCTCTACTAAAAACACAAAAATTAGCCGGGTGTGGTAACAGGTACCTGTAATCCCAGCAACTCAGGAGGCTGAGGTAGGAGAACTGCTCAAACCCGGGAGGCAGAAGTTGCAGTGAGCTGAGATCATGGCTTTGCACTCCAGCCTGGGCAACAGAGCAAAACTCTGTCTCAAAAAAAAAAAAAAAAAAAAAAATGTATATTGATGACAGTTGTACAACATTGGGAATACACTAAATGTAACTAATGGTAAATTTTATGTTATGTGTATTTTGCCACAATAAAAGAATATAAAAATCCTTAAAGTCTATTCCTCCTAGCCAAAAAATGAAAAAGGGTAGCCTAATAGCAGAAAACTAGCAATACCCACCCTACTCCAGCCAAAGATGAAGGGAAACCTGTACCCACCTTGCCCTTGTGGTTTCAGCAGGTCTGAACAGGAAGTCAACCTTCCATTCTCTGCTTAGTATTACTCTGGGTGGTATTGAGTGCTGTTCATCTTCCATCCTCTGCCCAGCAGAAGCAGGCGGCACCCCAGTTCTCCTGCCAGTGGTGTTAGTGTGATCCAGTGGCAAGCTAAGCCTCCATCACCTCCAGCATCAATAAGACTGAGCAAAGTGATGTAAGTCAGGGCTCCTGGTGTCAGTGAGGCCCAGAGGGGAATTGAGTTTGCATCCCTCCCTGCAGCAACAAAACAGTGTGAGCCAGCCCTCCTCTTCCCCTCCCTGGTATCAGTGGGGCCCAGAAGGAGGGTGATCTTACATCTCCATTAAGAGACAGTGCAGTGACACTTCAGCCAAGAAGGTATCAGCAGGGCCAAAGGGAAAGCTAAACACTCACACCCACTTGCCCCTTGTATCTATATAATACAAGGGACTTCCAGATTAAAAGAAGAAAAAAAGGAAGATTAAATAGAATCAAGAGTTTCATAATATAATCACCATTCATCAACAATGAGATGTGTTAGATGTGGAATGATCTGAAGAGATGAATACTGAAGCCAGTATTACGCTGATACCAAGACCAAACAACAAATACAGTACTAAAAAAGACAACTACAGACCAAAATCTCTCATGAAATCAGAGGCAAAAATCCTCAACAAAATATAAGCAAATCAAACCCGGCAACGTGAAACAAAAAATTATACACTGTAACCAAGTGGGATCTATTCCATGAATGCAAGGTTGGTTCAATATTTTAAAATCAATCAATGTAATTCACCATATCAGCAGGTTAAAGGAGAAAAATCATTGTACAAAATGATTGTATCAATTGACGCAAAAAAAGCATTTGACAAAATTCAACACCCATTCATGAAACAGACTTCAGCAAATTAGGAATAGAGGGGGAACTCTCACAACTTCATAAAGAGTATGTACAAAAAAAATCTACATTTAACACCTTACTTAAATGGTGAAAGACTGAATGCCTGCCCTCTGAGTTTGGGAAAAGGGAAACACTGCCCACTCCCACTACTCTTATTCCACATATAGTGAAGCTCTAGTCATGGCAATAAGACCAGGGGAAAAAGCACTTGTGCTGTAAAGGAACACACAAAACTATCCTTATATGTAGGTGACATGGTTATTTGTATAGAAAATCTAAAGGAATCTACAAAAAGATTTCTAGAACTAATAAATGAGTTCAGCAAGGTTGCAGGATACCAGAGCAACATACAAAAATCTATTGCATTTCTAGCAATGAACATGTGAAAATTGAAATTAAAAGCAATACCATTTACACTCACTCCAGAGAAAACAGAATACTTAGGTGAAATGTAGCATGTACAGAATCTGAAATGTTTATAGTTACAAAATATTGACAAAAAAAATTAAAGACCTAAATAAATGGAGAGCCATACTGTGTTCACAAATTGGAAGACTCAGCCTCGTAAAGATGTCAGTTCTCCCAAACTGATCTATAAGTTTGATGCAATCCTTATGAAAATCCCGACATGGTTTTTGGTAGACATAGACAAAGTTTTTCTAAAATGGATGTGGAAAAGCACAGAGCCGTGGGTAGCTAAAGCACTGTAGACAAAGAGGAGGAATAAAGTATGGGGAATCGCCACACTCAGCCTTAAGGCTTACTCCACAGCTGCAGTGACAGAGACCATATGTTGCTGGTGGAGGGATGGACACACAGATCCATGGAACAGAACAGAGATCCCACAAAGAGGCCCACATGAGCATGCTTAATCGGTTTTTTTATAAAGGTGCAAAAACATTTCAATGGAGGACGAATAACTTTTTCAACAAACGGTGCTGGAGCAATTCCACATCCATAGACAAAACAATGAACCTGGACCTAAACCTCATACCTTTTACAAACATTGGCTCCAATGGATTACTGAACTAAATGTAAAACATAAAACTAAAAGAAAAACTTTTTTTTGAATAGGCGGAAATATTTATGATCTAGGCAAGGCAAAGGGCGACACCAAAAAATGACTCATAAGAGCCTAATTGATAAATTGGACCCCATCAAGTCAAAATCTTTTGCTCTATCAAAGACTCTGCTAAGAGGATGAAAAGGCAAGCCAATAACTGGAAGAAAATATTTATAAACCACATATAAAAAAAGACCAGTACCTCAAAGATAGAAAGAACTCTCAATACTCAACCAAAAAAAATCCCAACAAACCAATTAGAAAATGGAAAAAAATACAAGAATAGCCATGTCACTGAGGATACTCCATTAGCAAACAAGTACATGAAAAGATGTTCAATGTCTTTAGCCATCAGGGAAATGCAAATTAAAACCACAATGGAGTGTTATCTACACACCCATCAGAATGGCTAAAATAAAAAATAGTGGGAACGCCAAATGCTGGCAAGGATATGAAGAAACAGGGGCACTCATACTTTCCTGGTGAGAATTTAAAATGGTGCAGCCACTCTGGAAAATACTTTGGCAATTCCTTGTAAACTTAAAAATAGAGTTACTAAAAGACCTAGCAGTTGTACTCTTGTCCATTTATCCTAGAAATGGAGACTCACACAGAAACCTGGACGTGAATGCTCATATCAGCTTTTTGAAACATTTTAATTTTTTTTTTTTTTTTTTTAGACAGAGTCTCCCTCTGTCGCCAGGCTGGAGTGCAGTGGCATGATCTCAGCTCACTGCAATCTCTGCCTCCCGGGTTCAAATGATTCCCCTGCCTCAGCCTCCCAAGTAGCTATGACTACAGGCACGCACCACCACGCCCAGCTAATTTTTGTGTGTGTGTGTGTTTTAGTAGAGATGGGGTTTTACCACATTGGCCAAGATGGTCTCGATCTCCTGACCTTGTGATCCGCCGGCCTTGGCCTCCCAAAGTGTTGGGATTACAGGCATATTAGCTTTATTTGTAATAGCTGAAAGCTGGAAACAGCTCAGATAGTCTTCAGTGGGCGGAGCTAACCTGTGGTATGTTCATACCATGGGGCACCCCTCAGCAACCACAAGGAAGGAAGTTATGATGTACACAAAATTGTGGATGAGTCTCTAAACAGTTATGCTGAGTCAGGGAAAAAAAGCCAACCAGGAAAGGTTATATGCTATATAAATCCATGTCTATGATAGTCTAGAAATGACAAAATTATTGAAATGGAGAACAAATTAGTTGTTGCCAGGGTCAGGGACAGGGTGAGAAGGAAGGAAGTGGATGTGACTATGAAAGTTTAACATGAGGGATCCTTGGGATGATGAAAGTGTTCCGTGTCTGCGCTGTGTCAATGTCAGTATCCTGGCTGTGACACTGTACTGCAGTTGTTTTTCAAGATGTTACCGTCGGAAGAAGCAGGGTAAAAAGGTACGAGGATCTCTCTTATCATTTAATACAACTGCATGTGAATTTACACTTAACTCTAGATAGAAAATGTAATTTAAGATAATCAGCAATGTAACAAAATGATGCTTCCCACTCACCACGGCAGAGCCCACACTGTTGGAGCAGGGGACCACACCCAACTCTGGAAACCTTTCTCTTTGTCTCAACCTCCTGGGACTCCCCTCCATAGTACCAATCCCTGACCCCAGAACCAATGAAGTCCAACTAGAAAATTGTGACATTATCTCAAAAAACTGCCTGTTACCAGGTCAGCCCCAGGAATGCAGCTGAACCTCCTTTGAAAACCCATGCCTTTGAAAAAGCAGTGCCCATAAACCCGGGACAAATGGACTTTGAGGGGATGTGTGCTGAAAAGGAGGCTTTGCCCGCCACGGCTCCATTCCTCATGGGGAAGGCACTTGGACCTAAAGGCACTTGGACCATTCACAAGTTCTTGGCTCCGCCTGGGTCTGCTCATAGATCTCCTCTCATGGAGGAAGTTGCCAGGAACACCCGCAAGGGGAAAGAAGTTGCTGTGATGGAATGGAGACAGACGGTCTGGGGCCCACGTTGCACCCCACCTGGGCAGCCCCTGCGCTACCCACTTCCCTGCAGCCACAAACCGAGGTTTGTCCCAGTCACCAGCCAGGATTATTCTGCAAAAAGCCCTGATCCCTCAGAATATTGTCTGTTGAGGTGCTGGCATTCTGGAATGTCACCTTGGGAAGAGAATAGCCAGGGAAGCTGGGAAGTTGCCACCAAGAAAAATGTCAGGGAGTTGGGTAAAAGATCTCTTCCCGGAAACTGCAAGAAATTGACCTCTGGCCTTGCTCACCCTGGGGACAGACAGCTCATGCACCTCCATCATGCCCTTCAGGCCACAGCGCTGGTTATGGCTTGTTTCCATTTGTGTATTTTTCATTCAACAAGTATGGGGTGAGCTTTGGGGCAGTGAAAACCCCTTAGTGTTGAGTCACAAAGAACTGGGTTCCTGTGCTCTCTGGGTAACTTCAGAGCTGCCTCCTTGGGTAAGATGTGCTCCCTACAAGTCACATTCACCGTCTGTGAAAAGCAGGTAATAGGTCCCCTGTTTTCTTGCCTATTACTTGTTTTCATGTGATGACTAGAAGTAATCTGTGAGAGGCACTGGTGTGTTGGGGCTCTTCAGAGAAACAGAACCAAGAGAATATTCCTCTGTCCACACCATATATAGTGTGGTAGTGTGGGGTGTTTTTTTGTTTTCTTTTTTTTTGCTTCGGGGGGTTTCTTTTGAGACAAGGCCTCAGTCTGTCACCCAGGCTGGAGTTCAGTGGTACTATTTTGGCTCACTACAGCCTCAACCTCCCAGTCTCAGGTGATCCTCCCACTTCAGGTCCCAAGTAGCTGGGATTACAGGCACATGCCACCATGGCAAGCTAATTTTTTGCATTTTTTGTAGAGATGGGGTCTCACTATGCTGCCCAGGCTGGTCTTGAATTCCTGAGCTCAAGACATCTGCCTGCTTCGGCCTCCCAAAGTACTGGGATTACACCTCAAAACCACTCCTGGCCAGCGGTATTATGGTTTTAGTTTGCATTTCCCTGATGGCTAATTATACACACACACACATAACACACACACACACACACACACACACACACACTGAGATATATAAACATATATTGAATCTCTATGTCCTCTCTCTTTCTCAGATATATATATATATGAGAAGGCATTTGCAATGCGTTATGAAGCATTGGCTTGTGTGTTTACGGAGGGGTTGAAGTCCCGCAGTGTGGTGTCTGCAGGCTGGAGACCCAGGAAAGCAGTGCTGTAATTCCAGTTTGAGTGCAGACACCTGAGAAGCAAGGGAGCTAAGAGTGTAGGTCCCAGTTTAAGGTCAGAATACTAAAGTCACAGCACGAACAGGCAGGCAGGAAGAAAAGGGGCAGATCCCCGCTTCCTCTGCCTTTTTGCTCTATTTGGGCCCTAGAGGGATTGGGTGAGACCCACCACACTGGGGAGGCCACCTGTTTTGCTCAGTCCACCAATTCAAGTGCCGATTTCATCCAGAAAGGCCCTCACAAACACACCCAGAGATCATGTGTAACCAGCTAGGTGGACACCCCGTGGCTCAGACAAGTTGACACATAAAATTAACCATCATAACTGGATACTGTGCATTCATCAACACATCCTTCATCAACTGTGGTGGTTGGTTGTTGGGAACATTTGGTCTTGGCCTCCCCACATTCACTCCTGCCTCTTGCATCCATGTCTTTGGCACTTGGGGAGTGTTCCTCCTCCCTCCTCCGCACTTGGTCTATGGAGCAGGGATTAGGCTCTACCACCGATGGGAAACATGTGACCAGGCCTAGCCAATCAACATGGTGTTGTCCCCACCCTTACCCCCACAGGGCTCAGAAGTGGCCCTGCCTCACTGGGGAGGTTGGCATAGAGTCTTGCAGCTCTGTGCAGGGCTGGAGTCAGGAAAGGGTGATGCCAGAACTGCTCATGGCTGCCTGTGACCACCAGGGCAGGCCTGTCTGATATTAGAATCAAAAATCATTAAGTGGAGCCCAGAAATTGAACAGGACTCAGGATCCTGGTAAGATCACTGGGACTCCTGTATCCAGTCACACCTGAGGCCAGTTGACCTGGAACTGTTTCACAAACGACCCACTGGAGTCCAGCACCTGCTTAAACAGTGAGGCTGAGGCTCTGTCACTTGGGTCCACCAAGGAGACAATGATGGGTAAGAACTTATCACTCGCCCTAAGTCGCTAACATCCCAGAGCCATTAAAGAAAACAAATTGAGAACAGTGTTGTGACCACTGTAGGGGTCAAATCTAGCCACATTGTGAGTCCTGAGGAGGAGGGATCAAGGAATGAATCTCTGAGCCCTGATAGGGATAGAATCTATGATAGGGATGGACTCTAACGTTCTGGGGGTCCTAGACCCCTGTGAGAATATGATGGAGTTCTGTGCCCATGACGCAGAACGATGCACATTTGTGAGCAAACACACCCATGCACATGCACACACATGCACCCTACACGTGCATGCACATGTGTGCACACACACACACATATACACACTTGCATGCATGCACACACTGTCATCCACAGCATCGGTCATCCATAAACCCAGTCTATGAACCCTCCCCCACTCGCTGCACACTGGGAACCAGGAACAGCTTCACAGATGTGGCAGTGATCAGCAGAGAGAATGGCCCCGGGGAGGCATCCCCAGGTTGGAGGGATGGAGGGGAAAATGTTACTGTAGTAACACAAAGGCCACAGTGTCAGGGAACATGTAAACAGCACCCGTAACCAACTGCAGGGTGGAACAGGCAGTGGAGTGTTCCTGCTTAGGGATGGAACCCCAGATCTGGAAGCCCAGGCCTGAGCATTCTTGTGTCCTGACCCTCCAGCCAAAGCCATGTGGTCAGGAAACAAGAAAACAGAGACAACCACAAGAGGAATCTAGGCTCATCCAGGCCAGCTGCTTAGCATCTCCAAACCACACACTGTGGACAGGAGCTCTTCCTGTGAATGAGGTCTGTGCCTCTCTCTTTTTTTAAGAGAGAAATCTTGGCTTAACCAGAGGCAGAAACCACTAAGAACTGCATTGCTTTTCTCCACTTGGCCTGGACAGCAAGTCACCTGAGAGGTTTAGGGAACAAACAAACAGAGCAGATCCAGACTCCATCCTTGACCTGGTGACTTAGAGTATTGGTGTGAGTAATAATCAGATAGATGATAGATAGATAGATAGATAGATAGAGAGATAGATAGATAGATAGATAGATAGATAGATAGATACATAGATACATAGATAGATACATAGATAGGGATAATAGAGAGATAGATGGGTGATACATAGATGATAGGTGGATAGATAGCTAGATAGAGACAGATAATAGGGAGATAGATGACAGGTGGATGGATAGATAGATATAGATAATAGAGAGCTAGATAGGTGATATATGATAGGTGGACAGATAGAGACAGATGATAGATTATAAGTGGATAGATAGGTGACAGATTTTGATTGATAAGTGGGTGACAGATAATAGATGATAAATAATATATAAATTTTGATAGATTTTGATAGATAAAAGATGATAATGAAGACAGATTTAGATAGATGACAAAAATAAATAAATTTTAACAGATAGAGTTAAGATAAATGATAGCTAGCTAGCTAGCTAGATGACAGATCAATGATAGGTAGATGATACACAGATCATAGATAAGATAGATGATTGATAGATCATAGATAAGATAGACAGGTGATAGATAGATAGATAGATAGATAGATAGATAGATAGATAGATAAGGCACTCAAGGAGGGGGCCCAGGGTCTCCCCTCCACTGAACCTGAACCAGGATATAGACAGAGCACCATGAGGCGTGATGCCACTAACTGAAACCAGAGAGGGATGGCAAGTTGCTGAGGCTCACACAGTGAGCCCGCAGCTGAGCCAGCTCCCCATTCCAGGGTAGGGTTTCTGCCACTCTAGGCAGCCTCTTCCACAATCCCCATTTGACTCCAGAGCTCAGAGGCCACAGCAGGCACAGACCTGGCTGCAGCCCAAACCATCACCCTACATGCCCTGATTTTCAATCAGATGGAGCAGGAGGACTGGGCTGAGGGCAGTGGGGCAGGAGTGAGGATGAAGAGCATGGCCATATTCTGGCCTCTGTCCCATTCTGGTCCATAGAGGGTCGGCATGCAGGCCTACCAGTTCTCATATGTGACTATATCAGGTTCCAGCTGGCCGCCACTACAGCCTGGCTGGATTCTATTCTTAGCTTTCCCAGCAAACCTCACTCGGAGAGACAGAGACAGAAAACCTCAAAAATGACCATCCAGCACTGTTCCTGAGGCCTTGGGTTGGGGGACATGGCAGCATCTGGTTTCTGACTGGAAGGAACATGGAAACCCCCAAATTTCCTCAATGCTCAGAAGAGGAAACTGAGGCCCAGAGAGGTGAGTGGCATGCCCAGTTTCACTTGCAGAGAGGTAGGGTTGGCACCCCTCCCAGCAGCACCCTCTGGAGCCACCCTGGTCATAGGCAGCCAGAGTTGGCAGGGCCCTCTGTTGGCCAGCAGGCAGGGAAACTGAGGCCCAGAGAGGAGCTAGAGAAAGCTGGAGCCACTCGGCAAAGCAACTGACTACAAGATGTGGCGCCTGACCTTAACACGCAGTGGGGTGTCGGGAACACAGTGCTCCCCATACTGACTGGACCACGGCCTCTGTTTTCTCTCTTCAGAACTCATTGAGGGGGGCAGTGACCCACAGAGGCCTCTCTGGGAGACATGAAGTGATAACACCAATAATAAGCCCTGTACCCTATATCCCAGGCTCTGTTCTGTTCCCATTACCCAGCTGGCCACCCTCTTCAGCACCTACTGTATGCGGAACACCCAACACCTGTAACCAGAGCTGGATATAGGTGTTTGGCACACAGTAGGTGCTTAATAAGTTCCATCTCCTTCTTCCCCCTGCAGTCATGGTTTGCTCAGAAGTGCTTCCTAACCACCAGCTCAAGGCCACCAGTTCCATGACATCATTCAGAAGGGTGTTGTCCAAATATGGCAGAGCAGCTCCTATCCCTGCCCACACCCTCCTGGTGCCCCCCAAAGCTCAGAAGTGTAGGTCACTGCATGCTTTCTTCTCTGGCAGCTGGATAGGCCCTTCAGGAAGCCAGTGTCAGTGCAGAGAATAGAGCTTCAAAGACAGATGCGGTAGTTTTTAAATGTGGCTGCGAGCTATTTTACACTGCTCCATCAAGAAGTGGGTCTGCTTGCCCTTTTTGAATCTGGTAGGCTATGGCTGCTTTGACCAAAGAAAGAGCCAAGGAACAGAATTGTGTGACTTCCAAGGCCAAGGCACAAAAGGCCATGCAGCTTTTACCTTGCTCACTGGAACACCCACCTTTGGAGCCCCAAGAAGTCCCACTGCTCTGGTCTGCCATGCTGTGAGGAAGCCCAAGCCACACAGAAAGCCACATGGAGTCACTCCAGTCGACATTCCCAGCTGGCCTGTCCCTCAGCTGTCCCAGTCCCTTTGAAAGATCAAGAATGCTATCTTTAAATGGACCTTCATGCTCAGCAATCCTAGCTCCCAACTGTTGAAGTCACACAAGACCCTTTGGTTGTCCCAGCAGAAGTACCAGATATTGTAGAACAGAGATAAGTTGTTCCCACTGTGCTCTGTTCCAGTTTCTGACCCACAAAATCTTTGAGAATAATAAGATTATTGTTGTTTGGAACCACAAAGCTTTGGGGTGGTTTACTGTGCAGCAATAGTTATTCAGAATACAGGCATACCATGGAGATATTACAGGTTTGGTTCCAGATCACAATAAAGCAAATACCAAAATAAAGCAAGTCACACACATTTTTTGGTTTCCCAGTGCATGTAAAAGTTATGTTTACACTACACTGTAGTATACTAAGAGTGCAACAGGATACAGTCTAAAAAAATTTACATACCTTAATTTTAAAATACTTTATTGCTAAAAACTTCTGACACTGAGACATAAAATGAGCACATGCTCTTGGAAAAATTGTGCCGATAGACTTTCTCAATGCAGGGTTGCCATAAATCAATTTGTTAAAAATGCAATATCTGTGCAATGCAATAAAACAAAGTGCAATAATATGAGGTATGACTGTATAGGATTATTGGGTACTGGGTTCTGGGCCCAAGGCCCAGCCCTGCAGTGGACCAGTTGTGTGGATCTCTCTGAGTTTCAATTTCCCCACATGTAAAAGGATCAAAGTTGATCATAGAATACAGATGACAAATATACAATACGTGTGCTCCTCATCCCATTCCTGGGCAGATATTACTAAATGCACACAGTATTGCTTCCCATGCTCATCCTTATATCCTCAAGAGAGCCCTCCTAGCAAGCACAGGCATCAGTTAAACTTGCCCTCAATGAGGGGCCACAACACCTGTCCCCTAGAGTTCCCATGGTGACCAAGTACACTTGCTATACACAAGGCTTGCCTGACTCTGGTACCCAGGTGTGGCTCAGAGAATCCCTTTCTGGGCACCATATCATCTCTCAGTCAGGGGGGTTTCATGAAAGAATGCTCAGAAGTGTGATCAGGAAAATGGTGAACTGGGAAGAACCAAGCTCCTTTTCCTCCACAGTAACATTCTTCCCCCACCTCAAAAAACATCAAGCAGCAACTATCAGAACCAACTTTGTCCAAAGTCTGGAAAGCAGTCAAGTGTTTAGAGCAATCAAGCTAATGCCCAATAAGAAAATAATCTTCAAAATATTAATAGTAAGAAAGTTTTGTTTTAACCTGTTCTTGTCCCACCCCCTCCCTTGTGCAGCACGTCTTGGTGTTGAGGTGGTGGCAGGCAGCCTGTGGACTCCATTTGAGATCATCAAACAAACAACAGGAAACCCTAGAGAAGAGAAAGAGACAGACTTAAAAGTTACTATATTATAGCAGTCAAATTCAACTTATTAGACCAAGATTTTTAAATGATTCTTAAAAATGCTCAAAGAGCTAAAGCAAAACAGGTACAAAGGGCTGAAGGAAATCAGGGAACAGATACAGGAACAAAATGAGAATATAAATAAAGAGAAATTATAAAAAGGAGCCAAACAAAAATTCTGGATAGTATAATAACTGAAATTTGAAAAACTTACTTGAGGGCTTAATAGCAGATTTGGGCAGGCAGAACAAAAAAATAGTTAACTTGAAGAAAGAGCAATTAAAACTATTGAGTCTGAGGAACAGAAAGAAAAAGCAATGAAAAAAGTGAATGTAGCCTAAGGGACCTGTGAGACACTATCGAGCATAACAACATATGCATTGTGGGGATTCCAAGTAGGAAAACTCAAAGACATCCATACGAAGACACATTATAATTAAAGTAGTAAAAACTAAAGACAAAGGGAAAATGTTCAGAGCAGCAAGAGAGGAGCAACGTCACATGTGACAAGAAATTCACTATAAGATTATCAACTGATTGCTCATCAGAAACCTCACAGGCCAGAAGGCAGTGGGAATGACACATTTAAAGTGCTGAGTGAAAACAAAAACAAAAACAAAAAAACCTTTCAACTAAGAATTCTATATCAGCAAAATTATCCTTATAAATGGGGGCAAAAAAAGACATTTGCAAGTAAACACAAGCTGAGAGAGTTTCTTCCTACTAGACTTGCCCTGAAAGAAATGCTAAAGGGAATCATTAGGCTGAAAAGAAAGGATCTCAAATATAACCTGAACCTGCACAAAGAAATAAAGATTTCCAATAAAGATAAATACATGAGAAAATGTAAAAGCCAATAATATTTGAAAATTGGCTTATAACTCTGCTCTTTATTTTCTATGTGATTTGAAAGCCAAATCTATATTACTGAGCACACAATGTACAAAGATGTAATTTGTGACAACAATAACCTAAAAGGGTAGACAATGCTGTATAGAAGCACTGATTTGTATACTGTGGAAGTTAAGTTGATATTAATTTGAATTGATAACTTTAGAATATTAAATGGAAGGCTCATATTAACCACAAAGAAAATATCTATACACAAAAGGAAATGAAAGGGGAATCAAAACACTTCACTACTTTTTTAAAAGTCAACAAAACACAAAAGAATGTAGTAATGAAAGCAATGCAATAAAACAAAGTGCAATAATATGAGGTATGTCTGTATAGGATTATACAGAGAATAAAAAGCTATATTCTTTTGAGAAACAAAAAGCTATAAGATATACAGAAAACAACGAAATGACAACAGTCTTTCCACATTAGTAATTACTTAAACTCTCCAATCAAAAGGCAGATTGACAGAATGAATAAAAAATGATTCAACTATATACTGTCTATAAGAATCTCACTTTAGATCTAAAGACAAAATAGAAGCCAGGCATGGTGGATCACACCTGTAATCCCAGCACTTTGGGAGGCCAAGATGGGTGGATCACTTGAGGTCAGGAGTTCAAGACTAGCCTGGCCAACAAGGTGAAACTCTGTCTCTACTAAAAATACAAAAATTAGCCAGGTGTTGTGGTGCACACCTGTAATCCCAGCTACTTGGGAGACAGAGCCACAAGAATCACTTGAACCCAGGAGGCAGAGGTTGCAGTGAGCTAAGGTCATGCCACTGCACTCCAGCCTGGGCAACAGAGCAAGACACTGTCTCAAAAGACAAAATAGATAAAAACCAATAAGATGAAAAAATATTTCATGCAAATAGTAACCAAAAGAGAGATGGAATAGCTCTACTAATATCACACAAATAGACTTTAAGTCAAAACAATTAGAAGAAATAAAGAGAGTCATTATATATTGATAAAAGGGTCATTCATCAAGAATGCATAACAATTATGAACATATATGCACCAAACAGCCAAGCACCCAAATATACAAAGAAACATTAACAGAATTAAAGGGAGAAACAGAAAACTTTACAATAATACTTGAAGATTTCAATACCTGACTTTCAATAATGGATAGGACAACCAGACAGAAAGCCAATAAAAAAAATAGAGGACTTGAACAACACAAAAACCAATTAGACCTAAAGGACATATTCAGTCCACCCAACAACAGCAGAATACAGGTTCTTTCCAAGTACACATGAAACATTCTCCAGGATAGAACATGTTAGGCCACAAAACAAATCTTAATACTTTTTTAAAAAATTGAAGTCATCAAAGTATCTTTTCTGATCACAAGGAATGAAACTATAAATTATTAACAAAAAGAAAACTAAGGCCATGAGTGGTGGCTCACATCTATAATCCCAGCACTTTGGGAGGCCAAGGCAGGCGGATCACCTGAGGTTAGGAGTTCAAGACAAGCCTGGCCAATATAGCAAAACCCCATCTCTACTAAAAAATACAAAAATTAGCTGGGCATGGTGGTGCAGGCCTGTAGTCCCAGCTACTTAGGAGGCTGAGGCAGGAGAATCACTTGAACCCTGGAGGCGGAGTTTGCAGTGAGCTGAGATCACACCACTGCACTCCAGCCTGGGCGACAGAGTGAGACTGTGTCTCAATCTCAAAAAGAAAAAAACTGAAAAATCCACAAATATGTGAAAATTGAACAACACACTTCTAAACAAATCAGTGGATTAAACAAGAAATAACAAGGAAAATGAGAAAATACTTTGAGATGAATGGAAATGAAAACACAACATACCCAAACTTAGAGGACACAGAGAAAGCAATGCTAGGAGAAAACAGTATGCAGTGAACACATACAGTTCTTTAAAAAGATGTCAAATAAATAGCCTAACTGTACACCTTAAGAAACTAGAAAAGAAGAGCAAATTAAAATTCAAGCTAGCAGATGGAAAAAAACTGCACAGAGATAAATGAAATAGACCATCGAAAAACAATATTGAAAATCAATGAAGCCAAAAAGTTGGTTCCCTGAAAAAATCAATAAAACTGACAAACTTCTAACTAGACTGACAAAGAAAATAAGAGTTAAGACACAAATTACTAAATTCGAAGATGAAAATGAAGACAATGCTACAGATTTTACACAAATAAAAAGATTACAAGAAAATACTATGAGCAATTGTACACCAACACATTGGGTAACCTAGAAATAATGAACAAGTTTCTAGAAACACAATGTACCCAAACTGAATCATGAAGAAATGAAGGATCTGAATAGACCTCTAAGGAGTAATAGTAATATTTATATATATATATCACTTTATTACAAATATATTACTTTATTATTTTATACTTTTATACTTTATTACTTTATTACAAATATATACATTCCTTATATAATGGAATATTCCTTATTTAATATAATATATTAAATATATTCTTTTAATAGCTTTAAAAAGCTATTAAAATAGTTTTAATAGCTTTTTAGTAATTCATACTCATTATAGAAAAGTGGAAAAAATATAGTCAAGTAAAAAAGAAAACCAAAAAAGACTGTTTTTTCCAGCTTCCCAGAAGAAAACCACTATTAACATGTGTGGAGTTTCCTCCCGAGGTATCCACTCCTTCCCTGCATCTCTCTGGGTCTGGCTTCCAGCCACCCACCGCTTGGCTGGAGCCCAGGCAGTACCCGCCTGGGTGGACCTTGGAAGGACGCCCCCTGGCTGCGGGGTGCCACACCTGGGCCTTCCCCAGATGTCACTGGGGTCTCCAGTGCCCCTGCCTGCCCCAGGCATTCCTCACAGGTGCCTGGGCCCAGCTTGCCTGCCTTGCAGCAAGTGGCTCCAGAGTCAACCAGAAAATATATTCGAGCTGTTGTGTGGAGTTGAGTTTCTTTGGGCAGACGCTGGAGACTGACAAAAATATTCATGTCAAAACATTTCTAGTGCAAAATTTATGAAAGCATTTGAATTTGGCCTGGGCATTTTCTCTTTTCCTTCTCCCCACCCCCTCCCAGTCCTGACTGGGGGTGGGAAGAAGAGATAGAGTCCAGATGTTGTGGGAACTGCTCTCCTCAGCTCCCTCCCCCGCCCCCTGGCCAGAGGGACCGAATCAATGACCGCTGTGTGCCACATGAGCACAAAAGGCCCCATCCAGCGGGGCCCTGGCCACTCCGGGCTGGGTGAGCTCTGAGGAAGTATCCCCCCGCCTGGAGTTTGCCCCCTAACCCTGGGGTCTGGGGTAATTGTCTGCAGAGGCGGCCTGGGGCTGGGCGGGCCATAATGATTTAGGCAGGATCGATTTCACTTCAAGCCTTTTCTACTCCAAAGAGGCCTAATCGAAAGTAATCTGAAAATTAGGGAAAATAAAAACCATGCCCACCGTTACATAAATACCCATTTCCTTGCATCGGCTGCTTGAAATCACCTCATTCCAGAGCAGTGTGATGTTTCCCTGATGGGCAAGGCCAGGCCCTGGGGGGCCGTTTGATCTGCCGCCTGTTGACTGAGACCAAGGAGAGGATGGGGGTGGGGGGTCAGAGGGTTGGCCTTGGCAGTGACATCCAGGTCTTCATGGAGGGGCCAGGTCCTCCTTATAGATCCAAGCACGTGGCCTGGGAATGGAGAGGGAGGGATAGAACAGGGTTTGGGGTGGCCTTGGTGAGTCCTTCCTTTACTCATCCCTCCCGTTTCCTCCCCTCTACCTGCAAGGCCCTAAGGATGGCTCCAGGTGACCTCTCCACTCACACCCCCTCCCCAACCTCCCAAGTCTCTGCTGTCTCTCAGCACCCACCTGGTTCAGTTGCACCCAGGTCCTTAGCATGTACTGTATCCAGTGCCTGGAGGGCCCTTCCCCTGGGTCTGTGCATACCTCAGGCCTTCTTTCTACTGAGATCTCAGATCACTAGTCCTTGTCCTGCTCCTCACTGCACCCCTCACCCCAACCCTCCTGGGGCTGGCATGTCCTTGTCGGTTTCTTGCCTCTCAAGTCCCATCCATGAGCTCCAAGAACAAGGGCCTCATCCAGGTTGGTGGTCATGATTGACACTCAAGAAACATTTGGGCCAGTGTGGTGGCTCATGCCTGTAATCCCAGTACTTTTTGGAGGCTGAGGCGGGCAGATCACATGGTCAGGAGATCAAGACCATCCTGGCCAACATGGTGAAACCCCATCTCTACTAAAATACAAAAAATTAGCCAGGCGTGGTGACACACGCTGGGACTACGCTCCCGATAGTAGTCCCAGCTATTCAGGAGGCTGAAGCAGGGGAGTTGCTTGAACCTGGGAGGCGGAGCTTGCAGTGAGCCGAGATTGCGCCATTACACTCCAGTCTGGCAACAGAGCGAGACTCGTCTCGAAAGAAAAAAAAAAAGAAACATTTGATGACAGAATGAAGAAGGCTTTCATGCCACAGTGGTGTGCAGTGGTTTACAAATGGGAAAGGGAGGCTGGGTAGAATGGCTCACGCCTATCATCCAAGCACTTTGGAAGGTCAAGGCAGGAGGACTGCTTGAGGCCAGGAGTTTGAGACCAGCCTGGGCAACATAGCAAGACCCCTGTCTCTGTAAAAATAAAATAAAACAAAACAAAAGGGAAGAAGGCTGGGAGGAAAACCCTGGAGGCCAAATCTTGCCCACACTACTGGCCTGACTCCTCATGGGGTGCCCTGAGGGTGGTAACATCCACCTCACAGAGTGTCATGGGTGGGCAGGAGGGGACAGGCAAGGCCCAGCACCCAGCTCAGTGAACAGTCATCACTACTGCTATTTGTGCTGATGCTAAACTTGGGTGCAAATTCTCTGACATCTCTCCCATCAAGAAGTGGGTTCGATGTCCCTACTTTGGAATGTCCCGGGGCTTGTGACCTCATTGACTGACAGAGTAAGAGGAAATGGCTCTGTGATGTTTCCTCCTTTAGGGCCCAGCTTCCAACAGGTTCACAGCACCACTGCCCACAAAGCCCTGCAGCCTCTCATAGAAGCCACCATGCTGTGAGGAAGCCCAAGCCGTGTGAGTCATCCCACTCCCCAGCCAGATAAATGAGCAAAGAAGCTTCCAGATGATTCCAGGAGTCTCCAGCTATTTGCATCTTCCAAGGCAGGTTCCACTTGGAATGGAGAGATGCCCTCTTTGGGCCAAGCCAAGTGCTGAGTGTGCAGATGTGACAAGGAGCAAGATTCCTATGTCCTCAAGACATGGGCTCACTCACCCGTGTCCTCACACAGACACCACAACTGCCCACCCACCCCTCAGCACTCACCACTTCCAGCTCTGGGTTGAGGTCCAACCTGGCACCTGGTACTCCTGGCTGGAAGACTTTGTCCTGTCACCAGAGAGCCCTCTGCCAATGCCGGGTACGGGGGAGGTGCCAGGATACAAGGGCCCCTTGGGAGCAGCCCTCAACCAGCAGCTGACAGGAGTGGTGGGGGAACTGAGGTTTCAGTTCTGCCCTGGCCCTGCTTTGTCACCCACTGCTGCTATTTCCTGGGCTTCCTTCCAAGATAAACTACTGTACTCAAAGGCTTGTCTCAGGGTCTGCTTCCAGTGGGTTCACCTCGCTAGGACCCCATGTCCTCATTTGTTTCAAGAGACAAGTGTTCCATTCTGCTGTGTTTGGGGCCCTCGGGACGCTCAGATGACATAAACGATGGATCCAGTGACCAAGGGGGAAACCAGGGATCACTGCACCCACATTTACTGAAAGGCCAAGACATCGGCTCATCTCCTTAGCATGCCATCCAGTTGGCTTGCATTTAGCTCTCAGCAGCATTTATAAGAACGGGATCAGGAAGTTTCCCCACGGTGGGGTCAAGGCTGCTGTCCAATGCCTGCCATCTTTAGGCTAGCAGAAGATTCCAGAACACTGGAGTTCAGGTGGGGCAAAGTAGCAATTAGGGCAAGAGCTCACCAGGAACCAAGCTAGTCAGAGTCACTGAGTTCAGGGTCCAGGGGGCTGGGGAAGCTCAGACTGGTGTTGCTGGGGCGGGAACGTGTTCCCCAGTAGTTTCCCATTCTGTGGCCTTTCCAGAGGTATAGAAGGCACCCACCACCAGGGCTGACCTGAAAGACTGGGCTCCAGCTGGGCAGAGGGCTGTTAGCTCAGAGGTCATCTGGTGCCCATAACTCTGGCAATTACATCCGTCCATCCTGTATCCAGCCAGAACTATGAGTTTGACACATGTCACCATGCCTAAAGCCCACTGCCGTCTTGCAAATTCAAGAAGTTGAAGTTCAGCCCCACATCTTTTTAAGATGAGGGTACTGAGGCGCGAGGAGACCTCGTGACTGTCAGTGTTCGCTCTCCCTCCCTCCCTCCCTCCACACCTGACCTGATGCTGAGCCAGGCTCCTCCTCAGCTGCACAGGAGGGAGGCTCAGACCTCTCCTGGACGCCTCCTCCTCCCAGCCCGCTGCTCGGTTTTCCCCGCAGCTTAACAGGACCACACGGGGCTGCAAGGTCCAGCCAAGAGGCCTCAGCGGCTCTGTGTGCAGAATGTCCCCCTGGTGAGAGCTCAGCCAGGGCGGAGCAGATGCCTGGGAGGAGTGAGGGTCTGTGGCTGAGGTGTGGCAGGGAAGGCAGCCCTGGGCAGGAGAACAGAGGCTTCCGGGCTTGGGCTGAAGCTGAACCCAGGGCCTGCAAGTGCTCCCACCCCTGGCTTCCATGGGCCTGTGTGGCTGCATGGAGGCGGGGCCATTCAGAGCCCCCCCCATACCCAGCTGTGTGCAGCCCCCGACCCCAACCTCATGGAAGCAAGGGAAGGTCCTTCCCGAGGGAGACTTGAGTTGTCTCAGGATTCTGAGCACCAAATAGGAACACTCATGTCAATTCCCAGGTAAAGGCCAGCCGGGAGGGGGACAGAGTGGACCTGCACGTGGTGGGCATGAGAGTCCTTGGAGCTGAGGCCTCCAGATATGGCAGGGAGAAGCAGGCCCCCCAACAGGGTGGGCAAGAGGGAGTAGCCTGGAGACCATTCGGGAGCTCTTCTGTCCCTGGGGACTCAAGTTGGGACGCCAGAGCTGAAGGATGAATAAGGACATCCCTTACTCAGGGAACATGGGAGACAAGACACCAAGGCTGAGGCCCGAGGAAGCTGCACGCTCCCTTTCCCCAGGGAGAAAGCCCCTTCCACAAGCCCCAGTCTTTGTCTTGTGGGGTGGGCGCCCAACTGGCATGTTTTAGACCTTGAAGCCTTGGGGGTGGTTGCCACGGGGCTCCAAGGCCAAGGCGTGTTTACCCGCAGTAGTCAGGGAGGGGACGCCCTGCAGAGGCTCCCTAAGCGAGACAGTGTTCCGTTGCAATTACCCGTAAGCCTGGTGTTTACACGGCAGCGAAGGCGTATCAAGTGAGTGTTCAAGAGGGCGGAGCCACGTTTGCAAAAATAAAAACCAAATGGCAGGGTAATTTCCACCAGAGAAGAACTCACTCTCACAATTGCACGGTCTATTTAGCACGCTTTTATAAAACCTTTTAACCAATCAGCTCTGAACCCCTGAGAGCAAGGCCCACCCCACCTGTCAGGCTTGGATTTCCAAACACAGGTAGGGCGGTCCGCTCCGAGACTGGATGCGGGTTTCCTTCCCCAAACACAGCAGAAGCCCTGGCAGTTTTAGGACAGGCACTGAGCAGGGGGTCCTGAGGGCCGGGCGTCAGGGGCTCTGTGCCAGCCCTGTGGATGGAGGTCCCTGATCCGGAGGGATTCCTAGGGGAGAAGGGAGCCAGGGTTTCTGGAAGGACGAAACAGCAGGTCGGGACTGTGGCACCACAGGGACTCGAAGGACCCACAAAGGCCCGACTAAGCCTGGGGACCCTGGAAATCTTCCTGCAGAAGGAAATGCCTGAAACAGACTGAAAGGGAAAAGTAGGATTCAACAGACCAAGAGCAAAGGGAAGGGCCTTCTGGATGGACAACAGCCCCGCGCAAAGAGGGGCACAGGTCAGCCTCGGCAGGGTTATGTTTGTTTGTTCCCCCTGCCCCCACCCACCCGAGACGGAGTTTTGCTCTTGTCACCCAGGCTGGAGAACAATGGTGTGATCTCAGCTCACTGCAACCTCTGCCTCCCGGGTTCAGGTGATTCTCCTGCCTCAGCCTCCTGAGTAGCTGGGACTACAGGCATGCGCCACCATGCCCAGCTAATTTTTCCATTTTTAATAGAGATGGGGTTTCATGGGGTTTCACCATGTTGGTCAGGCTGGTCTTGAACTCCTAACTTCAGGCGATCCACCCATCCCGGCCTCCCAAAGTGCTAGGATTACAGGCGTGAGCCGCCGCGCCTGGCCGGGATTATGCTTATTGCCTGAAGGAGGCAAAGTAGAGGAAGAGTGCTATCCCATGTAAGTCTCTGTCCGGGAAGAGAAAGGCATGGGCCATGCCAAGCTCCCAAGCAGGGATGTTGGAGGTGATTAACCAGACTGAACTTTAGCCTTAGAAAAGGGCATTTTAAAATCAACTTTATTGAAGTATGATTTAAATACCATGGAATCCACCCATTCTCAGTGTTCAGTTCGATGTGTTTTGATTCCCACCACAGTGAAGCTATAGTGCACACCCACCCCCGGAAGAGCTCCTTCATGTCCCTCAGTACTTAATCCCCATCCCATCCCCTGCCCTGGCCCCAGGCAGCCAGTAATTGCCTTTGTTACTATTAGGCAAACTTCACTTGGAGACTTTTATATAAATGGAATCATACCACAGGTACTATTTTAGGTTGGGCTTCTTTGGTTCAGCATAATGATTTTGAAATTTATCCCTGTGGCTGTGCATATCAGCAGTTCATTCCTTTTCGTTGCTGAGTAGTATTCCATTGTATGAATGTATCTGAGTTTGTTTATCCATTTACCTGTTGCTAGATTTTCGGGCTGTTTCCAGTTAAAGGAACGTAAAGCTGCTATGGCCAGGTCCTATGTGGCCATAACCTTGGATGGTGCTTATGGTAAGTACATGTTTAACTTGATAAGCAAATACCAAAATGTTTCACCCAGTGGGGAGCATTTTATACTGCTACCTGCTGTGTGAGAGTTCCAGTGGCTCCACATTTTCTTTAACACATGGTCACTCACTTTAATTTTAGTCATTCTAGTGGAAATGTAGTGAGTGGCACCTCATTACGGTTTTAATTTGCATTTCCATGGTAAATAATGCCAAGCATCTTATCATGTGATTATTGGCCATTTGAATATCCTCATTTTGAAGGGTCTTTCAAACATTTTCCCCCATTTTTATTGTGTTTTTTTGTCTTCTATTGAATTTTAAGAGTTCTTTATGTATTTCCAATAATATATTCCATTTAGATTTTTTCCTCCAAAGTGTGGCGCCTTTTTAAACTTTTTATTTTGAAATAATTGTAGACTCAAAACAATTTGCAAAAAATAAAATGTATGGGGAGGTCCTATACACCCTTCACCCAACCTTGCCCAATGAAAACATATTGCATAACAGGAGTACAATATCAAAATCAGGAAATTGACATTGGTAAAATCCACGGAACCTATTCAGATTTCTCCCGTTATGCATGCACTAATTTGTGTATGTGTGTGTGTGTGTGTCAGTATAGTTCTGTGCAGTTTTATCATGTGTAGCTTTATGTAACCATCATCAGAATCAGGATCCTTAACTACACCATCTCCAAAGACTCCCTCATCCCAGTCCTATTATCCACAGCCCTAACCCTGGGCAACCTCTCATTTGTTCTCCATCGCTGTAATCGTTATTTAATGAATATTATATGAAAGGAATCACACAGTCTGTGTCCTTTTAAAACTAGCTTTTTTGTTGCTCAGCATAGTTCCCTGGATTAATTCACATTTCTGGTGCATCAATACTCATTCCTTTTTATCACCAAGTTGCACGCATGGTGTGGATGTACCTCTGCATTTCGACATTCACTTGTTGAAGGTCAGTTGGGCCTTTTCAAGATTTTGGCTATTACAATGAAAGCTGATATGAAAGTAGCTGTTCATTTCTCTGGGATTAATGCCTAAGGATTTATCTCTGGGATACATTTCTTCTCAGATAAATGCAATTTCTGGGTCCTCTAGTAAATCCATTTATAGGCTTAAAAGGAACTGCCAAAGTACTTTCCAGAATGACTGCACCAGGAATGAATGAGTGATCCGCTTTATCTGCATCCTCACGGCATTTGGTGTGGTCACTATTTTCTATTTTAGCTGTTCTGATAGGTGTGTAATAATATCCCATTGTGGGTCTAATGTGCATTTTCCAAATGGCTAGTGATGAGCATTTTTTCGCTTGCTCATTTGCCATCTGCATATCACCTTCGGAAAAAGTCTGTTCAAGCATTTTGCCAATTTTCTGATGAGATTGTTTCTACTGTTAGGTTTTGAGAGGTTTTCGATCCTAGTCCTTTGTCAGATATGTGGCTTGCAGACATTTTCTCATGGACTGTGGCTTCTTTTTATCCTCTTAATGGGTCTTTCACAGAGGAGCAAAAGTATTTATTTTTTATTAATTTTTCTTTTTTGGATTGTTATTTTGGTATCAAGTCTAAGATCCTTTTTATTAGTCTAATCCTAAAGATTTTATTCTATATTTTCATCTAAAAGTCATTTAGTTTTACATTTTACACTTAAAACTATGAGCCATTTTGAGTAAATATTTTTGTAAGGTGTGAGGCTTCGATCAAGGCTCATTGTTTTGTCTATGAATGTGTAATTGCTCCAACACCATTTATTGGAAAAGCTGTTCTTTCTCCACCACATTACTTTTGCACCGTTGTCAAAAACCAGTTGGCTGTACTTGTGTGGGTCTTTCTGGGATCTCTGTTGTGTTCCATTGATCTGTGTGCCCGTCCCTCCAACAGCACCATGCTGTCTTCATCACTGTAGCTGTGGAGTAAACCTTCATATTAAGTACAGTGATTCCTCTCACTTTATTCCTCTTTGACCAAACTGCTTTAGCTAATTATATTATGGATAGTGGGCTAGGACTGCCATAACAAAGTACCACCAACTCAGTGGCTTAAACAACAGAAAGGTACTGTCTCGTATTTCTAGAGGATGAATGTCTGAGATCAGGGTGCCGGCAGGGTTGGTTCCTTCAAAGGGCTGAGGGAGAATCTGTTCCAGGCCTCTCCCTTTGGCTTATAGATGGTGGTCTTCATCTTTCCTTGGTGTTCTTCCTGTGTGTGTGTCTGTCTCCAAGTTTCCCCTTGTTATAAGGACACCAGACACATTAAATTAGGGCCCACCCTAATAACCTTAATTTAATTTGATTACCTCTGTGAAGACCCTGTCTCCAAATAAGGTCATGTTCTGAGGTACTGGGGGTTAAGGTGTCAACATATGAATTTGAGAGAACACAAACATTACTTTAAGTCTTGTGCTTTTCCATATACATTTTGCAATAAGTTTCTCTATGTCTACCAAATGCCTTCTTGGGATTTTGATATGAATTGCATTAAACCTATAGATCAGTTTGGAAAGAACTGACTTCTTTACCATGTTGAGTATTTCAATTCATGAACATGGTATGACTCTCCACTTATTTAGGTCTTCTTTGATTTATTTTATCAACATTTTGTAATTGTCAGTGCTTCAGACCCTGTACATGCTTTGTTATGCTTATACCTAAGTATTTAATTTTCTTTGGAGTGAGTAAAAAATGGCATTGTAGTTTTAAGTTTCAGTTTCCAGATGTTCACTGTTAGTATATAGAAACACAATCGACTTTTGTATAGTGATCTTTTATCCTTCAACCTTGCTGAACTCACTATTTCTAAGAGTTTTTGTTTTGTTTTGTTTTATAGATTCCTCTGGATTTTCTACATAAACAATCATGTCATCTGCAATGGGAACAGTTTCATTTCTTCCTCTACGATCTATCTGCTTTTTTTCCTCCTTGCCTCATCACAGTAGCTAGAACATCCAGTACTGTGTGAAATAACAGTGGTGATGCAAATATCTTTTCCTTGTTCCCAAACTCAGAGGGAAAACATTCAGTCTTTCACCATTAAGTATAGTATTAGCTATAGGGTTTTTGCAGATTTTTTTTAGCGAATTGAGGGAGTTCCTCTCTGCTCCTAGTTTGCTTAGGTTTTGCTTCTTATGAATTGTTATTGGATTTTGTCAAAAGCTTTTTCTGCATCAATTGATATAATTATATTTTTCTTCTTTAACCTGTTGATATGGTAGATTGTATTGATTTATTTTTAAATATTGGACCAGCCTTATATACCTGGAATAAATCCTACTTGATCATAGCGTAATTTGTTTTATACTGCTGGATTTTATTTCCTTCTATTTTGTTGAGGACCTTTTAAATCTAAGTTCATGAGAAGTATTGGTCTGTCATTTTCTTTTCTTGTAATGTCTCTGTCTGGTTTTGGTATCGGGATAATGGTGTCCTCATAGAATGAGTTAGAAAGTGTTTCTTCCTCTTTCATTTTCTGAAATAAATTATGTAGAAATGGTGCTAATTAAGTGTTTGCTAGAATTTTCCAGTGAACCATCTTGGCCTGAAGATTTCTTTTTTTAGAGCTTTAAAATGATCGATTCAATTTATTTAATGGCAATAAGACTATTCAGTTTGCCTTATTCATCTGATTGAATTTTGGTTACTTGTGATATTTGAGAAATTGGTCCATTTCTTCTAAGTTATCAAATTTATGAGCATGGAGTTGTTTACAGTATTCTCTTATCACATGTTAAATGGTTGCCGAGTCTCTTAGGATATTCCCTCTTGGTATTGGTGATTTGAGTCTTCCTGGTGTTGGTGATTTGGGTCCTCTGTCTGTTTATCTTAGGTTTTTTTAAGAAGATTATCAACTTTAATAATTTTTTAAAATTAATTTTATATATTATTTTTCTGTTTCCAGTTGCACCAATTTATGCTCTTATCTATATTATCTCCTTTCTTCAGATTGCTTTGGAGATATTTTGCTATTCTCTTTCTGATTTCTTGAGGTATGAATGTTGTCTTAGTCTGTTCAGGCTTCTATAACAAAAATACCATAGACAGAGTAGCTGAAACAAGAAACATTTATTTCTCACAGCTCTGGAGGCTGGGAAGCCTAAGATCAATTTGCTGGCAGATTCAGTGTCTGGTGAGGTCCCACTTCCTGATTCACAGACTGCCAGTTACTCATTGTATCCTCACACAATGGAAAGCAGCAAGAGAATGCTCTGTTTCCTTTTATAAGGGCACTAGTCACATTCACAAGGGTCCTACACTCCTGAACTAATCACCTCACAATGATCACACCTACTAATATCATCACATTGAGAGTTAGGAGTTCAACATACGAATTTTGAAGAGACACAAGCATTTAGTCCATTACAAATACAGATTATGGTTTTGAGAACTTTCCCTATTTTAATATAAGTGTTTAATGCTATAAATTTCCCTCTCAGCATGGCTTTTGCTGCATACCACAAATTTTGATATGCATTTTTTTTTTTTTTTGAGATGGAGTCTCACCCTGTGGCCCAGGCTGGAATGCTGTGGTGCGATCTCGGCTCACTGCAACCTCCGCCTCCTGGGTTCAAGCAATTCTCTTGCCCCAGCCTCCCAAGTAGCTGGGATTACAGGCGCATGCCACTACACCCAGCTAATTTTTGTAGACAAGGGGTTTCACTATGTTGGTCAGGATGGTCTCAAACTCTTGATCGTGTGATCCACCCGCCTCAGCCTCCCAAAGTGCTGGGATTACAGGCGTGAGCCACCGAACCCAGCTGATATGCATTTTAATTTTTACTCAGTTCTATTTATTATTGATTTTTCTTTGAGACCTCCTTTTTGCCCTCATGGATTATTTAGAAATGTGTTGTTTACTTTCCAAGTGTTTGGAGATGTTCCTTTTGTGTTTACCCTGTTGATTTCTAAGTGATCATTGATTAAATCACCGACTATTGATTAAATCGAAATTGTCAGAGAACATTCCTTGTATGATTTCAACTTTTTAAAATTTGTTAAGGTTTGTTTTATGGCCCAAGTCTATCTTGGTAAATGTCATGGCTATTTGAAAAGAATGTGCATTCTTCTGTTGTTCAGTGGATTGTTCTTTCAGTTGCTAAGAGTTGAGTGTTTAAGTCTTAACCATAATTGTGGATTTCTCTCTTTCTCCTTTCAGCTTTATCAGTTTTTGCTTCATGTACTTTGAAGCTCTGTTGTTTAGTGCATAAATATTAGGATTGCTCTATCTTCCGGATCAAATGTTGCTTCTATCATTACGTCCCTCTTTGTTCCCAGATATTATCGTTTTTCTAAATTCTACTTTATGTGATATAATTGTAGCCACTTATTCTTTTCTCTTAAATTAATGCTTGCAATGCATATCTCTCCATTCTTTTACTTTCACTTAGCTATATAATTTTGTTTGAAGTGAGTCTTTTGATGACAGCCTATAGTTGAAGCATGTTTTAGTCACACTGCCAGTCTCTGCCTTTTAATTGATGTATTTAGACCATTTACATTTATAGCAATTATTGACATGTTAGGGCTTAAGTCTGTCACTTTATTATTATTTTCTATTTGTTACTTTTGGCTTTTTATTCCTCTATTTTTTTTTTTTTTTTTTTGCCTTTCTGTGTGTTATGTGAACATTTTTGAGAGTTCCATTCTGATTTATTTTTAATGATTTTTAATAATATAGCTCTGTATAGTATACTTAGTGATTGTTCTAGATATTACCATGTACATACATTATTTATTTGCAATCTAGTGGTGCAGATGTTTTACCAATCTGAGTAATTTCTAGAAATCTTACTTCCACTTAGGCTTCATTTATAGTCTCAACTTTCAAAATATAATGTTCCTAATTATTTCCTCTACATATATTGAACACCATATCTGAGGATACTATTACCTTTTTTCAACCACAAAATATGATTAAAGAAACTCTTTTGAAGAATTTACTTCTATTTTTAACTATTTCATTTACTTCTATTTTTGTCTTTTTAATTTTTATCTATTTTGTTGTTGTTCTTTCCTTTCTAAAGGTCCCAGTATTCTTGTTATTATTTTCTTCTTTGCTATTTTTTTAAGAGTGGATGTATTAGCAAAAAGTTATCTTAGTGTTTGATCATCTGAGAGTGTCTTTATTTCCTCTTCATTCATGAAAGATAGTTTCACTAAGTACAGGATTTGGGGTTGACAGCTCTTTTCTTTCACTTGAAAACTGTTGCACCACTTCCTTCTGAACTCCATGGTTTCAGATGAAGAATCTGCTGTTATTTGAATTGGTGCTCCTTTGTAGGTGATGTGCCATTTCTCAGACTTTTTTCAAAAAGACATTGTCTTTGTAACTTTCATAAGTTTAAATGTAATGTGTCTTGGTTGGTGTGGATTTCTTTAGGTTTATCCTATTTGAAATTCATTTAGCTTCTTCTATCTGTAGGTTTATAGCTTTCCCATGGCTTACCTTTTAATTTTTTTATTAGAAACTTACAAAAAAATGTATTTTGAAGTCCAGCTTGTCAATTTTTTTATTTTACGTTTTGTTCTTTTTGTGTTCAGTCTAAGAAGCCTTTGCCTATACAAGTTTATTAAGATTTCTCCTATGTTTTCTTCTAGAAAATGTATTGCTTTAACATTTAAGTTTAGGCCTTGAATCCCTTTGGCCTTAATTTTTGTGTATGGTATGAGTTAAGAGTAAAAGTTCACTTTTTTGCCCTTAGGCAGATGTCTAGTTTTCCAGCATCATTTGTTGAACAGACATTCCTTTTCCATATTGAGATGCCCTCATACTTTTGTTAAAACTCAATTAACCATATGCATGTGAATTAATTTCTGAATATTCCATTCATTTGCATTTTTCTTTATCTACTACACTGTTTTATTTACCCAGCTAATAAGAAGTCTTTATAACTTTATATTCACTCTTGACATCAACCAGTGTAGTTCTCCAAGTTTGTTCTTTTGGAAAATTATTTGTTTTGGATGTTCTAGGTCCTTCATATTTCTATGTCAATATCTTTCAATTTCTATCAAAAATATTGCCAAGATTGAAATGCAATAAGTGAATAGATTGGTTTGGGGGAAATAAAATCTTAAAAATAGTGACTCTTCCAATTTGTAAACACACTTTGTCTGTCCGTTTAAAGCCTTCTTCAGTTTCTCTTGACAGTTTTGGTAGTTTTTAGGGTATAGGCTTTGCAAATATTTTTGTTAAATTCATCCCAAAATATTTCATCTTTATTATGCTATTGTAAAAAGTATTGCTTTATAATTCCATTTTCCATTTGTTCATTGCTAGCCTATAGAAATACAATTGACTTTTTAGTATTGAACTTGTATTCTATAACCTTGATAAACTGGCTTTTGCCAATCTTTCCAGTCTTATTACTTTTTCTCTTTGCCTCCTCCTTTGGCCATTACACACAAAACTGATTCATGCTCCAGGTCTTTGCTCAAAACAGTTCCAGTAGCTCTTTACTAGATTCCTGAGGAATTTCTACAAATATAATAATGCCATCTGTGAGTGCCATCTAAAATGTTTTTTATAATTTATTTTTCTTGCCTTATTACATTGGCTAAGTACAAAGCTGAATAGAAGTGCTAAGAGTGGATATTCTTACTTCAATTCTGTTCTTGGGGGAAAGTGTTCATTCTCCTTACCACAAAGTATGCATCGATGCCCTTTATCAGGCTGAGGACATTCCCTTCTAATTCTACATTTCTGGAAACTTTTGTCTTGAATGGGTATTCAGTTTTATCGAGTGATTTTTAGTCATATGGTTTCCTTCTTTATTCTCTTAGTGTGGTTACACTGATTGATTTGAGATAAACATCACTTCAACATGATGTATTATCCTTTGTATATATTGTTGGATTTAGTTTTCTAGTATTTTGTGGAGAATCTGTGACTGCATACATAAGAAATATAAGTGTATAGTTTTCTTTGTAATTTATTTTTAATGTCTATAATTTTGATACCAGGGTAATGCTGGCCTTGTAAAATGAGAGGTTTTGCCTCGTCCTCTATTTTCTGAAAGAGTTTATATACCATATCTTTATAAAATGTTGGAAGACATTTAATTATGAATTCAATTTTAATATGGCAAGAGCTAATCAGATTTTCTATTTTTGCATCAGTTTTGGTTACTTGTGCTTTTCAAGGAATTTTTCCATCTAATTCGTCAAACTTATTTGTATAAGCTTGATCCTAATACTCACTTGTTATTCTTTTAATGCCTGCGGGATCTGTAGTAATGGCCACTCCTCTGTTTGTGATAATAGTAATTTGTGCCTTCTACATTTTTTTCTTAATCTTTCTAGCTAGAGGTTTATCAATGTTATGGATCTTTTCAAAGAACCCATTTTTTGTTTCATTGATTTTCCTCTTTTGCATTTCTATTTTCTGTTTCTTTGATTTTTCACATGATTAATTTAAAATTAAATAAAATTTAAAATTTTGTTCCACAGATCCACTCAATTTTGAAAAAAGAGAAAAAAATTAAATTCATAACTTAGTCACACTAGTCACATTTCAAGTGCTCGATGGCACGATATGAACATTTCTGTCATTGCAGAGTGTTCTACTGGATGGTCCCGCTCTGGGGAATGGGAGGTCTGTTCCTCAGTTGGTTTCATTTCTCTTAGCTAGGCATTTTCTCCAAGCTTCCCAGGATTTATAGGAGGACAGGTGGCTCTCAAATCTATGCTGTCCTCTTCATGACTCTGGCCTTGGCCCCAGCTCAAGACTTGTTAACCACCTCCCTTCTTCTTGGTCCCTCAACCCTTACCATCTGTTCCCACTTCTGCTTCTCGAAGGAGCTTCTAACTCAGTAATCCACCCTGAAGCATCCTGCTCAAATCTCAATGCTCTCATTACCTGGACTTCCACAGGGCTTCCTAGTGGGGGAGGATCTGTCTCTCCCACAAGCCTGAAGTATGATTGCTTTTGGATGGGCCATGAGAACACCCATGTCACTTGGTGTCACTTGGCCTCAGTTGCTTACTGTACTGCCAGGGGATGGGGGCCATAGACAATAGCTGACAGCCTCAGAGCTGTGTTCCTACTTCTCTTTGGTTTGGTCTATGGCCTCGGACCCAGAGCTAAGACTGAGGCCAGAGGGGAAATCTTTTCTCCAGGCCCCATCCCTAAGGCTGGCCCAGGAAGGCAGCTTCCAATTCGCAGTCTAGCCGAGTTTGGGCTGAGCACCCAGGATAGACATGGTCACCCTCAGAGGAGTATGGGATGGAGGGCCAGAGGCCACTTGTCTGGCACAGGCTGTGGTTGGACAATCCCAAGCCTTGCCCTCTGCCATCTAGACTTCCAGGAGCCCCTGGCCTGCCTGTTTAGGCCAGCCAAGCCCACTGTGGTAGAGGTGGCCAGACCCAGCCCCCTGCTACCTGACCATGCCCCTGACTGCCTGCCTGTGCACCCTCAGGCCTTGAATCACTAGGGTCTCGGAGGAGGCAACAGCGATAACCGCAGACCCCAGAAGGGCCACTCAGATACATTGTGTGTCCTAATCCACATCTGCAGGGCCAAGCTCAATGCAGCTCCTTCCTCCATCCCCACCTGCCCCAGGACCCTGCGCAGCCTGGGGCCCAGCCCCTGCCCCATACACGTCGCACTTCTCCAGCAGCCTGGCCAGTCGCCAGACCTGCCCCCTGTCCTTCCCTGCTCTCACTCTGGACCCTACTGTGCACTCATGGGTACCTCTGCCTGGAGCCCCTTCCTCTGACACTCTCTTTCCCCACCTGGAATCACAGTCTCTTCTTGTCAGACTCCATTCTGGCACTTCCTCTTCTAAAATTCCCTGTGTGCCCCTCCTTACCTTGGTCTCCAATCCTTTTCTCCTCCAGGGTCCCTGGCCATTCCTTTCACCTTGCTACCCACTGACCACTGAGGCCCTTACCTGCCCAGGAGCTGGGGCTCCCCAAGGGGAAGACCACAGCTGGCTCACCACTGTGGCCCCAGCGCCAGCTAACATGAGGTCAAATGGAGACCATCCTCAGGGGTGAAATGGGCCTGGGGAGGCCTGATGACTGCGCAAAGGATGCCCTGCTGGGGCTGTGAGAGTTGTAGTACAAAACAATGGAGGATCCTTTGTTTGACACAGAGTGTCAGGATCCTGTAACAGTGAAGAGCCACAGATGGTGGTTGAGCAGGAAAGTGACCAGAGGAAATACTGTTTCAAAGCTGAATTTGGAGCAATAAAGAAGGGAATCAGGAGACCTAGACAGGGCAGGGCTGGTGTAGGGGGTCCTGGGAGATTGCACACCCCCCCCACCCCATGACCCGCCCCAGAGTGAAGTGGAGAGCTAAGCCCAGAGAGTGTCTGCATTGAGCTGGGGGAAAAGGGAGGGTTTGACCAGGAGATCGCACCCCTCCTCCCTGAACAGGGAAAGTGGATGCAGCCTGAGGTCATCAACAGCCTTCAGGTTTGCTTCATGGGTTTGCAGCTCATCAATCCAAGGAGGACAATAAGGATCTGGTAGATTGGGAACATATTCCAGCATTGCACCTGGAAACCCTGGACAAGCAGAGTCCAGACATTGATTAAACTTTTACACCGGGAAAATCCCATCTTCAGGGAAAGTAATTTCTGTGTATTTATGTGCCACAAATACCTGGATACCAACGGGGAATATATCAGGGCGATCCCAGTGCTCTGCAGCAAATTACAATACATCCCAGTGGAGCAGAGCTGCGTGGTTTAAAAAGTAAATAATAAGGAAACAGGACTGTCTTTTTCCCCAGATGTAAAGGTGAAATAAATGGCTTTTTTGAGCAATGATAATAATCCCAGTAAACGTCTGACACTGAGCTAAGGTGGCTTACCTCTGTAATCCTGATGGCGCTGGAAGGTAAGATGATTGTCCCCACTGGGGTCCCTGCCAGCCCAGGGAGCAGAGCAGAGATGCCGATGGCCCCCTGGAGGCACAGACATGTAGTTTTCCTAAACTCTAACAGAAAGGAGCCCAAGACGGAAGGAAGGAAATACAAATGTACTCCTGGGCATGTCGCAGACCAAAGCTTCCTCTACCAAATATGTGAGTCACTGCACATTTATGTAAGATTTCCCTTTCACAAGTGGACAAAACCTCACATTGGTGTACACACATGGTACTCCTGGACAACACATGGACAAAATCCTTCCTCTTCTGGATAAAAAGATATAGGTAACAACATGGAGGTGGCCTCACACACTTATTAAATCAGCCACAATGAGCAGAAATCACCCAGCACCGCAGTGGGCTGCTCCCAGGCAGGGCGTGCTGACAAGAGGGCTCTGTGGAGCTGCCGGCCCCTTTGGCAGCCCACCCTTCCCAACCAGGCAGCCTGAGAGACTTGTCCCCAAGAGCACACCGGGCAGGTGGAATCGTGGCACACCAGGCCCTCGATTCTCATTCTCACAAGACCCTCAGGAAACCAGGGGTATTGCTGTATTTTATAGGCAGGAAGTCAAGGCCCCAGGTCATACAGTGGGCAAAGGCAGCACCAGGACCTCCACCACCCACATCAGCACCAGAAGTGGGGTGCACGCTCTCTTTCTGCTCCTGCCTGCGAAGCCGGCGAGTCCATTGTTTGGTAAATGCAGTTTGCAGGGGACAAGGAGGATTCTGATTTTGGAATAGCACTGGCTGGACAGTGGGGCCCAGGGCCCAGCCTGGCCGGCGGGAGGACGATTAATGACAAGGATCCTACTTGGAGGCCGGGCGAGGGCCCAGCCAGCACCGGGTGTTTACAGCTCGCTCGTCTGTTTGGGGCCTGCAAATCCGTGTCAGATGTTAATGGAACAGCATCATTTTTCTACCGAGGTGGCATCGCTGGGGTTGTTTGGATGAGGCAACGGTGGGACTCGGCCTGGAAGAGGGTTCAAGGGCAATGGGTGGCTCAATGGGGCAGCTGGGGCTTGCCAGGGGGCATCCATCAGGCATCCGCAGCCCAGCTGGGCCCCTGAGGGCACCCCACCTTGCACCCCAGTCACCACAGCCAGTCCCTCTGGCCACAGGGCTCTGCAGACAAAAACTTTAAGTTGCGGCCAAGAAAAAAATGTACTGCAAAATGTGAGAAAGAACCGAAAACTGGAAATCAGTAAGTGTTTAAGCATCAGTACAGGCCTGAGGTCCAGGACATGGTTTCCCCTGCACCTCCTACTGTGCTTCAGTGCCAGGTCCACCCACGGAAGCTCTCGGGCCAGGCCTGGTCGCCCAAGGCAGCGCTGCAGGCCATCACCACTCTCGATAAGGCCTAGAGGGCAGAAGTCAAGGCCTGGGTGAGGACACCTCTCCCCTGCCTCAGCTCCAGTGGGAACCTCCCCTGCCCCTCCGGGTGGAGGCAGCCTTGCCGTCAGCAAGGCAGAGGGAAAAAAAAGAGGCCCAGAGAAGGAAAGTGACCTGCCCAAGGTCACACAGTGAGCAAGACCCTCTGAGCAGGGCTTGCAGAAGGGTAGAAGAGTGCTCCACAAGGGGCTGTTGGGAAGTGGGGGGCACACAGGGAAGCGTGGGCCCTGGAGCAACTCTATGTGGGTCAGCGCCATCACCCCCACTCTGGAGATGAGGAGGCTGAGGCTGTCCTCCAAGGCCACACAGCCAGGCTGGGCAAGGACCTGCCAAGGGCTTGAGGGGATGAAGCCTCCCTCTAACCCTGGCCCTGCTGGCTCTCAGTGCCCTCTCCTCACCTAACTGCCTCCTGGCTCTTCCCCAGCAAGCTGGCTCCTGCCTGAGGGCCTTGGCACAGGCTGTCCCCTCTGCTTACACTCTTCTCTCAGGCTCTCAAGGCTCTGCTCAAAGGCCCCCCAGGCCAGACTGTCTAAGCCTGCCCAGCCCATGACCCAGCCCTGTTCCCTCCATGGGCCGGGGCTTAGGGAGCATGCTAAGTGGTCAGCCAGCCAGAGGAAAGCTTGTAGTGCCCTGCATAGCACACAGTAGGTGCTCAGGAACTGTGACCACACTGGCCACAGGGTCACTGGACAAGACCAGCGGTATTGGACCCGGATATCTGAGACCTTCCGTCTGAGTACTTATGTCACCGTCACCACTGGGAATTATTATTAAGGAGACTGTTTTCGCGAAGACTGGAACACAGCTTGGATTTTAAAATCAGCAACATCTCTCTCTCTCTTTTTAACCCTGTACCGTAAGCCCTCTCAACTCTCCCTTCCACACTACCCTCCAGCCTCTTGATACTGCGAACAAGGAGGGCAGAGACCCTTGGCAGCCATATGTCTTTGACAAGACCTGCCTCAGTGTCACCATCCACAAATCAGGCTCCTTGCCCAGGGCTGTGCAGAGTCTGGGATGGGCACAGAGCTCAGGCTAGGCTAGGCTGGGGCAGGCAGGGGAAAGAGACCTGCCTATCTAGGGGAAAGGGGTGGTAAAGAGAGAGCCGCTGTGGAGACAGCGCTGGTGCCCCTTAGCTGAGCTCCGAGCTACACCCTGCTCTTCCACTGGCTCAGGCCCTCGCTGCAGCCATACACCTCAGGGCCTTTGCTCCTGCACCGCCCCTTGCCCCACACCCACAGCCCTCCTTCCGCAGGCCTTGCAAGCTGCCTCCTGGCTGCTGGCTGCAGAATGTCTCTCTGCAGGTCTCACTTATAAGCCCAAAGGCCCTGGAGCTGACCTGCTTGGACGTAAATTCCTGCTCTAGCAGCTGAGAGACTCTGTGCCTCAGTTTCTTCATCAGTAAAATAGAGACGCTCAGGGGATCTCCCTTGGGGGGCGACTGTGAAGCATGAACAAGGTAACAGAGCACATGTGCATCAATGACTAAGCTGAGCTGATTTTTACTGTCGCCTTCCTTCCCAGCACTCACAGCATGCTTGTTTTTTTGTTGTTGTTGTTGTTTTGGCCCATAGTTACCATCACGCCTGCCATTAGCCCTTAAGTCCCAGCACCCGCCCCAGCCCCAGGCACTAAATAACCTCACACAATTGTCCTCCTTGTTCCCGGCCCTGCCCTGCCCCCCGGTGGTTATTCTGGGTATGGCCCCAAAGGTTCGCAAATTGAACCCTGTTTTGCCAACTGCAGGTTCAGGGACCGGCTCTGGGTCCAGCCGGGGCGAAAGGATGTGGGCACATATATAGGCAGGGTCCTGCAGAATAGACTGACCTGGCCGAGTTTCTGAGCTCCCCACCAGGCATGGAGATGATGGGCACATGGCAGGGGCAGGGGAAGAGTCCCTCGCCTCTGGCCAACCAGCAGCAGGCTGTAGTCCTGGAGAGCTCACTCCACCTGCTCCCGAACTGCGGGGCTCCCCAAGGGCCTGACGCATCCCTCCACTGTGACGGTGGCCCCAGGGCCCTGCTCTGAGCCGCTGCAGACTCTCCTTTCTGTTCAGCCCACAGGGCCCATGTCTGACAACCCCAGGGTCTTGCTGCCTGCCTCTACCTCTGCTCATGTTGCTAGAAACATCACTTTCTATGGTCAGCTCCAGGCGCCCCTGGAGACCTGCCCTTCCCACCTGGAGGCATGTCTCCCCCACACGCTGTCCTGTGGTCCTGTGATCCTGTGGTCCAGGCGGCAGGTGTGGGTCCCGCTCTACCGTGAGCAGCGGGTGCCTCTTCTGAACCTCGGTGGACTCCTGGGCAGAACTGGCTGATGATAACACCTGCCCCAGGTTGTCAGTCATGGTGAAGTCTGGGGCAGGTTCTCCACACAGTCTCGGACACACAGTAGCCACTCAGTAAACAACTGTGGAATCCAGCGAGCTTTGGAGGGCGGGACCGGGGGCAGTTTGCTTGTGTGTGTTCACTGCACTGCGCACTGAACTTGCTCAGGCCAAGCTGGGCAGGCTGCAGGGACAGACAGGCCTGAATCTCAGAGGCGTGACCCACAAAGTCCGCTGCTGGTCGGCAGCTCCCTCCCAGACCTCACCCTCCCAACTTCACTGTCATAGGGCAGTCAGCACCGACACCAAGGTTAGGGGAAGAGCCACAGCTAGGGGCATGCTTGGGGCCACATGGGCCCCTGGCCTCCCGGCTGCAGGCGCACACCCAGAGATGCATGTCCAGGTCTGTGTGCCGCACACCTGGGCAGGATCCTTGCATGACACTTGGCTCACAGGCTGCCTGGCACTCAGTGGGGGCTGGGCTCGAGACACTGGGCCGGCCCGAGTGCAGCACAGGGCGGAGCCTGGGCTCCAGGAGATGCTGGGCAGCCGCAGAAGCCCCTTCCAGGGCCCAGGGTGCTCAGCTCCTGTGAGTCCTAACAGCAGTGCTTGGTGGAGGTGGACCCAACTAGCACCCAGACAGCTCCACCAAGATCCAGATGCTGGGCCCAGGGGGCCGGCCAGACTGAGGGTGGTTGGAGCTCCAGAGCCCGGGCCTGAAGGGCGCTGCACACTTTATCTCAGTGGCTGCGGGGCTGAAGGTGCAGGGACTCCTGGGGGAAGCATAGGACAGTCTCTAGCTGGACCTGGCAAGGACAGGCCAGCTTCCCAGGCAGCCTGGGGGTGTGCAGAGGATACCCAGCTCTTGTGGAGTCCAGCGGAGTGGCTCAGGCTGTGGGAGTGCCCACAGCCCAGGGGCATCCAAAATGCCTGGCAGCCTGGGCAGCCCCAGCATGGGTCCCAGGCACCACCTGGGGGCAGCACTGGGACCCCGCCCTATCCTGGGGAGCCCCCAGGTCCTGGAGGGGTTCCTCCTGGGGGCTCGACCACCATGCGTGGTGGGAGCATCCCCCGGAGCACCCAGCAGGGACTGGAGGAAACAAAGCTCAGAGCGAGAAAGGACTTGCCCAAGGGCAGCCTTGGGTTAGTTTCCTGTGCCACATGACAAACTGCATGGAGTGAATGACCACAGGTCTGCGGGTTGACAAAACCCCTAGAATCTTGCAGTGGTGGGTCAGACACCCAGCACGGCAGAGCCCTCTGCTCAGGGTCTACTGGAGATCCTGCTTCCTCAGGGTGTTGGCAGCCAGGGCCGACCCTGCTCAGCAACCTGCAAGCTGAGCAACCTTGGGTGACCCAGGCCAAACTTGTCTCCAGCTTATCCCACTCCCAGCTCCCATCCCAGGGCAAGACCCCATGTGTGGGGGCCTGGGCCAGTCCAGCCGTCATCACACCCCTTGATTCTCAGCATCTGCCTGCCCAAATGGCCCGAGGTTATTCATGTTTCTTCAATAAACGCCAAATGGCCTGTTTATCCGTGGTCCTCAACATTGTCACCAGCACCCCCACGCATGCACCCCCACCAACAGACTGACCCAGGCCTCACCTGTGTCCCAGCAGCCCTGCCTGCCACACATCACGAGCAGCGACCCCACCCCTGCGCTCAGCACCCTCCCTGGGCTTGCACCATTTGAGTGCCTCTGTCAGGTAAGGGCTGTTCCTGGTAGTTAGCTGTAATCACATCAGACTTAGGCTAGAACCGTGCAAGGGACTGAATGCTTCTGGGTGTGCATCCGTGCTGGGGTGCACATGTGTGTGCCTACTGGACTCAGCCAAACGCCATACCCTTGAGTCCAAAAGAAGGTTCTAGAGGCTTCCCAAGGACATCCTCAGGGCTGGGACTGACAAACGCTGCTGCCACCCCTGCAGCCCCCGAGGGTCTCTTCTGTCCACTCCTGCCAGCCAGCTTGGGGTGCTGTGTGTGATTTGGCTGAGCAACCCGAAGCTTTCCATGAGGAACGCAGGTGGCTGGAGCCTCCCCACCACCCTCACTGCCAGGGTGAACAACTACAGTCGAGGCAGAAATGACACAGACATGGTTCTGTACAAAACCTGAAATATTTTTACTTTTTTAAAACTTTGATCTAAGTTGCCTTAGACCTCATGGACTCGATACAAGAGTAATATGAATTGGGAAATAAAACACTTTAATAGCCACGATAAACTTTGTTAGAAATGTACATGTTGCCAAAATAATAATAATAAAATTAAAAAAAAGAGAGAGAGAGAACAGCTTGATGTCCAGGTTAGATTATATAAATGTTCAACAAGGGCAGGGTAAAGGAAACTTTAAAAACACCAGTTCTGAATAAGCCTGGGGCCCCGTGAGACTCCCCCTCTCCCACCCAGTCTCGGGCCCTAGGGACTGCGTCCCTCCAAACAGGACAAGTGGGAGTGGATAAGGCCTCCACCAAGCTGCCTCTCCCAGTGGACAAAAACATCCAGGTAATGGGTATATAAACAAAGCTCATAAGAAATGTACAAATATAAAAAGCTACAAACATTAATAAATTACAGCATCACAAAACACGGAAACACTTCACAAGGTGCTAGTAAAATAACTGTATCCCCCAATCCCCTCATCATACAAGGAAAACAAAGAGCTGGTATTAAAGTTGAAGATTCATCTTCAAAATGTGTCTGAAATAGATCTTTTGTGTACTATTTGCTTCTGTAAAGACAGAGTGTAAGGCTGCACAGACATCACTTGTTTTTCAGGCAATACCTTAGTTCTTAAAAGAAAAAAATAATAATAATAAAAGGAAAGGAGAAGGAAAAAGCATCAGAACCCAACTGTCCATCTGACTCAGCAAAAAACTCGTATAAATGTTAATGAAGAACTCTATAGAAAGAAATTCCTAAAGATACTTTTACTCTTATAAAAAAGAAGTTATTTAAAAAGCTATTTACACGCTACATTCTATGAAAAATATGCTTCAGGAAATACATCTAAAATTAAAATACAGGATTGCCTGAGAAACAAATCCAGCCCCTCCGTGTCGATGGTGGACACACCATCCAGGTACGACCCATGCAGGCGACACCACACGCTGACACGGGAGAACAGAGAAGTGCCGACCGTAAGTCCTCGGGCCGCCTGGCCACTGTCCCTGCCCCTGCCCCTGCCCTGCCAGTCCCAGGGCAGGGGTGCCTTGGCTGAGAAGTGCTTCTCCAGAGTGTGGCCAGCAGGGCAAGACGGTCCCTGCCACATGGCTTAGCCTGGGCCTCCCAGACCCCAAGATGTGGCTGAGCCCTTGCCCTTTCCTGGGGACCCCACAATGGCTCCCCTGCCCGCTAACACACCAACCCAGCTGCCAGTCTTAGCTGCCCCCCAGAAATGCTCCTGGGCATTCAGGCTGAACACCCACCATCCTGCTGCCACCTGCCAACCAGAAAGCTCGGGGCAGACCCTTCCTCACCCGCCGAGCACTGTCTGGACTTGGCTGAGAATCACTCAGGAAGAGAAGGGGGGACATAAACATCCCACTTGCTCCTCCTCTTTCTGTGTTCTTTGCCTTTTTTTTTAAGCCCCTGGAGGCTGCCAGCCTGTGGCCAGCTCTGACTCTGGGGCTGGTGAGCATTGGCTCACTCTGTCTTCCTTGAAGGACTCATGCTCTCAGCAGAGCTGCAGAGGCCCTGCAATCACACCCACGCTCAGGGGGCCTGAAGGCTGTCCTTAAAGTGGAATAAGCGGTCCTCAAACTTGCAGGGCCGCTTTTCTGGGACAGATCACTCTTAGCAACTTGAGAAAAGACGTCCATTTTCAAATTGAGGGGCCACGCTGGGCTCGCTCTGCCGGCTGAAGGGACAGACGCTTGTTGGGGAGATGGCAGCCGGGAAGAGGCAAGGCCCTCCCTGGTGAGGCAGCTCGGCACCCTCCTGGGAGGCAGATGTTTTCGCGGGGCTCCGGGGGTCCTGAGCGGAGCAGAAGGATCCTGGCTTTCCAAATCTTAAAGGAGTAGTTTCCCGTTCCGATGAATTTTCAAAATTTTCCCAAGCCTCTGCTTGGCGGTCGCCATGCCCTTTTTCGTACGTTTTCCTAGGGGAGTCGGGGAGGGGACACAAAAAGGGAAGGTAAGCTAGATGGCAAGGGGCGTGGCATGCCGGTGGGGGGGAGGGTCCCGCTGACACTAAGGGGCAGCCTGCAGTCCCCCATCTGTAAAATGGGCCTATGAAGCCCCAGCTCCGAGCTCAGCACCCTTCAGGAGTCTGGGATCACTGGCAAAGCCTCCGCCTCAGAGGCCGTGTCCTCAAGGGGCCCTGGCAGGTAGGATGGACATGGGCTTGGGGATGGCATTATGAGGAGGACATGAGGATGCCTGGGCACCACCCCCAGTAACAAGGCCAGGAGCCACTGCCAGCACCCCGTGCTGCATCACTCAGTCCCCACAGCTGGCCGGCCCCACGGCTGGGGTGCAGGGGTGCAGGCAGATCAGGGGCTGAGCACGCCCACTGAGCAGAAGGATGAAAGCACACGTCCTGTACTGTGGGATACGCTCACACAAAGATGCAACCAACTTGGACCACAGCACCCTGCCACCCAAGGCCCAGGAGCCCTCCCAATGTGCTGCCCTCTACCATGGGCCGAGTCTGCATGTCTGGGGCTGCCCATGGGGGCAGGCAGGGCAGGGGGGCTGCAGGCTCCCTCCAGCAGGCACAGTACCTTTGGCAGCGGTGTTGTTGTTTGGAGACGATGCGGAGGGCCGCCTCTGTGTGAGAAAGACCCCAGGGGCCATGGGCTGGGAGGTGCGGCCAGCCTGGGCCCCGGTGAAGGTGCCAGCGGCTGTGTACTCATGGTCCGCCAGGCTGCTGCTATGCGACTCAGGCGGGGGCTCTGGCGAGCTGCCCTCCTGCGAGGCCTGGCTGCTGGCCGTGCTGGTGGAGGCCGGGGTGGTGGAGGCCGGGGTGGTAGAGGCTGGCGTGGTGGAGGTGGAGGTGGTGCCGGCAGAGATGGAGGTGGAGGTGGAAGGGGAGGTGGTGTTAGGAGTCAGCTTCCTCTTGGCACTCTTTTTTTTCTTGCTTTTCTGCTCCTCCTTTGAACAAAACATGCAGGGCAGCCTCAGACGCACAGCCCACTTGGGCCAACAGAGCAGGGAGCTCCCGGCATGGCCTTGCCAGGGGCCCTTGAGCACAGCAGGGCTGGGCAGCAGGGGCCTGAGGCCTGACTCTGGGCCGCCAGGGGCACAGCATGCACACGGACAGGGCGCCAGCACCCACAGCAGCTGCCTGGCCTCCCTGTCAGTGTGAGTTAACCTAGCAGTTGAGCCTGTAGGATGGCACTCCTACCCCATCACCCCACTCAGTGGCCATATACATCTCCCAGTTCTGGAAGAATATTCACTTTGATCCTAATAACTTCCTTGTGTGCCCAGATGAGGTTGGGCCTGGTTGGGAGGGTATGTGAGGCTCTAGGACCCTCCATTTCTGAGCTGGGAGGAGCTAAAGGTGGGAGATGAGATTTTTAGGAGCATGTAGAGACAGAACACCTCATTTCCCAACTGAGGACAACTCAAAAACACCCACATGATGGGGGGAGGGGAAGGGGAGCTCCCTCCAAGCTGCTGTTGTACCAGAGAGTAGCCCAGCCTTGGCACGAATAGGGCTGTCCAGTGTCAGGGCCCCAGTCGTCAATTCCTAGCTCCCCCGGACCCCACACGGGGAATTTAGGGCCTGGAGGAATAGGGCACTCTCTAATCAAATGTCCCCAAGCCTGTGACCACCCCTGGCTCAGTGGGTCTGTGTATGGGGTGGAGAAACAGGTGCCTTGGGGAACCTGAGCCCACCAGGTGGGGGTAGCAGGGACCTGGCTGCCGTGTGTCCTTCTCGCCCCTCCTCACCTGCTGGGACAACTTAGCTGCAGCAGCCGCCAGCCCGGTCTCGATGGAAGCCACCCGTGTACCCTCACGCACAGGCCTGTCCTGTCTTGGCACCGATGGGCCGACCCTTGCTGTGGAAAAGAAGGGCCAGCCCCCTCAAGCTGTAGGCCACAGCCTGTCCACCCCTCCTGGTTTGGGGCTACCCTGCCCCCACCCCAGCCTGTCCCCCTGGCCAGGCAGGCCTAAGCACAGGGATTCCTGGCTGTGAAGCCGCCTCACAATAGGGCAGGGTCAGCTGCCCCACCCAAGGGGGAAGATGCCACAGTGGGGTTTGCATGGGGCAGAGCCCAGGAGGCCCAGCAACATCAGAGTCTGGGCAGGCGGGTGAGGGTAATGTGGAAGGTGGACAAGGCCTCACCCCACTGGCTGCCCCAGCAGGTGTCCCTCAGCCACCATCAAGTGGGTGCCTCCGGTACAAAGGTGACCCTCACAGAGCTGCCCATTGAGGAAGAAACCAGAGAGGAGCCAGCCAGAGGAGTGAGGGCTTTTGAGTTGGGGCTGTGTAGAAGCACATCTGGGCTCCCAGGCCCCCAGAAGCAAAGCAGAAGTGAAGCCCACGGCACTCCTGCAAGCAGCTGACCAACCCCAGCGGGACGGGCTGCCCAGCCCTCAGGATAGGACAGGTGCAGAGCTGAGCCCACATTCTCAGGGGCTGGAGGGACCACAGACAAAGTCACAGCTTCCACACTGGGTGTCAGGTGGACCCCCTACCCCTGTCCCAGCACTACCTGTTGGGCTGTAGGGAGCGTCGTCTGAGCCTTTCCTTTTCTTCGACCGGGACTTAAAGATGGGGTTGTCTTCATCTGACTCCAGTGAGGGGTAAACTAGAGGGAGGCAGAGGGAAGGCGTGGCCCGCTGAGTGCAGGGCAGGTCCACGGAGGAGGGCGGGGGGGTACAGGTGGCTGCAGACCTTCCTCGCCAGCAACCCCAGGGCCTACACTAAGGCCTGCCACGCTGTGTCACTGTCAGCTGTGATGGAAGCTGCCCATGGTGAGGACACCCCAGGCATGGGCACAGGCCCCAGAGATTATCCAGAGGGGCAGGGACTCTCCAGACAAGAAGGCACCTGCATCTACCTGCCCAGCCTCATCTGTGCAGCCTAGCCCCAGTGCCTGCAAGCCCCTGGCCTCTAAGGGCTGCCCTCCGTACATCTGTTCATGGAGCTTGAGATCCCCAGAGGCCCCACCTGGAGGAAGCTACAGCAGAGAGTGGGGAACCAGGGAAGGATGGGACCCCATAATCAAACTAGGGCATCTCAGTTCCTGCAAGAGAAACACTTTGAGGCTCCAGGAAAGGTTCTGTTTGGTGAAAACTCCTCACAACTCCTTCCGTTGCTATGAAAAGGGAAAACGTCTAACGTCCATGGAGGGTGGGCTCTGACAGCCCCCACCCTGCCTGGCGGGTCTAGGTGGAGGGGACACTGTAGGGCATGACCTGTGGCTGGTGGGGAGCTGCCCCAACACGGTGAGGCGGTGACCCTGTGACCCTCAAAAGCCAAGTGCCACCCTACACTCACTGCAGGTTGTGGTCCTTCAACCTCCGGGGCCTGTCGAGGAATGCCCAGGACCCAAGGTTCAGGAGGAAGCAAGATGGCGCCCGGTGCCACACACCTCCAGAGCCCAGAAAACAGGAGTTCACTTTGCTGTCATTCTGTTTGTCAAACTAGAGTAGGCCCCACCACGAAGCCCAAGCCTGTCCACCAGATGTGGGCCCCGGCCAGTCTCGCTCACAGGAGGGTCTCCGGGGACAGCAGTCAGAGGCCGAGGGTTTTGCTGAGCTGAGGCCTGCTGTAACTTGGAGAGCTGCATGTTTATGCTACTGTCTCCATTCTCAGCCAGGCCTTCTAGGGCTGAGCATGGGCCCTGCCCCACGCAGGAGTGACACTCACCGTAGTCTGAGTCCTTGAAGCAGGCATCCAGGTGGTCCTGCTCTTCCTCGTAGTCGTCCAGGTCGACACTGTTCTTGGCAGCCCTCTTCAGCAGTCGTTTGCCTGCACTCTTGCCACTGCCACCCCCATTCTTCCGGGCACCATGGGCAGCCAGCGAGCTCCCCTTGGCCTGGCCAGCTCCCCACGTGGTCTGCAGGCAGGAGTCGGAGGCCTGCAGGTTGGCCATGGACAGCATTCCCTGAATGGCTTCCTGTGTGCTGGGGGAGGCCGGGGGCTGGCTAGGGGCACAGAGAGACAGGCACTCAGCCCAGTGCTCTTGGCCTGCAGCCCAGGCACTTAAACAACAGCCTATGGCCTGCACAAACTCCTGCACAAACTCCTGGCCCAGGTGGCAGGCAGAGGGCGTGGAGCAGAGAGGGTGGCAGTGAGCTGATGACTTCTCCCTTGGAAGAGGCCAGCCACTCCCCTCATCCAGCTCTGCTCATCCACCCATATGCCACAGGGAGGGCTGGAGGCCTGGAGACAGAGATGGGCATGGAGAGGAGACGGAAGACAGCAGATGGGAAGGAGGGTCCAGACCCTCATATGGTCACGCACTGGTCTCTCACACCTTAAAGCCAGCAAGCCGACTCAGTGACCTTCCTCCTGCACCCCAGCCACTCTGTGTACCCCCTCGGTCCACCCTGTGCCTCTCTCCCAACTACAGAACTAGCCCTGGGCATTCCTTACCCCACTTTGTAGGGAACCTTCCCATGTGTCACCCTGAGATGGGGCAGCGTAGCCCACTCCCTCCCATGGCACACGCTTTCCCCAGTGACCTGCAACTTCTCTCCACACCCCCACCTTTACCCACACCTGCATCTGCACCTACACCCATACATGCATCTACACCTGCACCTACTCCTATACCCATACGTGCATCTACACCTGTACCTACCCTCACACCTGCACCTGCATCTACACCTGTACCTCCAACCACACCTGCATCTACACCTGTACCTACCTCCACCCCTGCACCTGCATCTACACCTGTTCCTACACCTACACCCATACATGCATCTACACCTGTACCTACTCCTATACCCATACCTGCATCTACACCTGTACCTACTCCTATACCCATACCTGCATCTACACCTGTACCTACTCCTATACCCATACCTGCATCTACACCTGTACCTCCAACCACACCTGCATCTACACCTGTACCTACCTCCACCCCCGCACCTGCATCTACACCTGTGCCTACACCCATACCCACACCTCCATCTACACTGGTGCCTACACCTACACCCATACCTGCATCTACACCTATACCTACCCCCACACCTGCATCTGCACCTGTACCTACACCCATACCTGCATGTACACCTGTGCCTACTCCCACACTCACACCTGTGCCTACTCCCACACCCACACCTGCACCTGCACCTGTGCCTACTCCCACACCCACACCTGCACCTGCACCTGTGCCTACTCCCACACTCACACCTGCATCTACACCTGACCCTACTCCCACACCCACATCTGCATCTACACCTGTACCTACATCCACACCCACACCTGCATCTACACCTGTACCTACATCCACACCCACACCTGCATCTACACCTGTACCTACATCCACACCCACACCTGCATCTACACCTGTGCCTACTCCCACACCCACATCTGCATCTACACCTGTACCTACATCCACACCCACACCTGCATCTACACCTGTACCTACATCCGCACCCACACCTGCATCTACACCTGTACCTACATCCACACCCACACCTGCATCTACACCTGTACCTACTCCCACACCCACACCTGCATCTACACCTGTGCCTACTCCCACACCCACATCTGCATCTACACCTGACCCTACTCCCACACCCACATCTGCATCTACACCTGACCCTACTCCCACACCCACATCTGCATCTACACCTGACCCTACTCCCACACCCACATCTGCATCTACACCTGTACCTACATCCACACCCACACCTGCATCTACACCTGTGCCTACTCCCACACCCACATCTGCATCTACACCTGTACCTACATCCACACCCACACCTGCATCTACACCTGTACCTACATCCACACCCACATCTGCATCTACACCTGTACCTACATCCACACCCACACCTGCATCTACACCTGTACCTACATCCACACCCACACCTGCATCTACACCTGTACCTACATCCACACCCACAACTGCATCTACACCTGTACCTACATCCACACCCACACCTGCATCTACACCTGACCCTACTCCCACACCCACATCTGCATCTACACCTGACCCTACTCCCACACCCACATCTGCATCTACACCTGTACCTACATCCACACCCACACCTGCATCTACACCTGTACCTACTCCCACACCCACATCTGCATCTACACCTGTACCTACATCCACACCCACCTGCATCTACACCTGTACCTACATCCACACCCACATCTGCATCTACACCTGTACCTACATCCACACCCACACCTGCATCTACACCTGACCCTACTCCCACACCCACATCTGCATCTACACCTGACCCTACTCCCACACCCACATCTGCATCTGCACCTGTGCCTACTCCCACACCCGCACCTGCATCTACACCTGTGCCTACTCCCACACACCTGCAACTACACCTGTGCCTACTCCCACACCCACAGCTGCATCTACACCTGTACCTACTCCCACACCTACATCCACACCTGCATCTGCACCTACACCTACCCCCACACATGCACCCCCACCTGCGTCTACACCTGCACCTACCCCCACCCTGCACCCCCACCTGCATCTACACCTGCACCTACCCCCACACCTGCACCCACCTGAACATAGACCTGCAGCTGCATCTGCACCTGAACAGACACAGCTGCACCTCAGCTCAGTCCAAGTTCACCCACTTCTGGCAGGCTCCACACAGACTCCCAGGCTTTCTCTTTGCCCTGTCTGCACCCCCGCTGCCCTCAGCTTCAGGTGGCCCCTCCCATAGCGCCCAGCCTGTCTCGCATCCGCATCCTCCTCCTCTGCCCCATGCCTATGCACACACCTCCTCCTGTCTACACTGGCTCCCCTCCTTCCAGAAGAATCTTCTGAGACACCCAGTGTGTGATCAGCCTGTCTAGGCTCACAGAGTGGTGAAATGGGGTGACCACTGTCATCCCACAGAACCAGGGGCTTGGTGCTGCTGGACAGCAAGGACCCCCAAGGCCAAGTCCTGGGCTCCTTGGGGACCTCCCTGCCAGGCCCTCCCATGGGATGCAGCCCTGGCCTCTTCACAGGGCCCTGCCCCACCGCCCACAACCCCCTGCAGCCAGGACCCTCACCTGTCTGTGCACCAGAACTACCTGGGAAGCTTTATAAATGTCAAGGCCCAGGCCCCACCCAGAAACTCTGAGTCAGGGGCCTGCCCTGGGCTCCAGATGCTGTATGTAGCCAGGACAGGTGCCCCAGGCTTCCCCACCACTCACGTGGTCCAGCCCAGCAGGTACACCCTGCAACGTCCCTTTCTAGTCCTCACCCCTGCCCACTTCCCTGTGGCTCAAACCTGGCCCCAGGACAAGGCAGCCCGCCCCACCTTACAGGGGAGGCCCAGCCACACCTGTCACTGCATCTAGCCACTCCTGGGCCCATACTTGGGGCACACGGGGTGCCTGCCGTCCTCTCCCTCTGCTCCCTGGACCTGCCCCTTCAGGACTCTTGCATCAGCATCACTGTCTCTCGAGCTGCCCATCCCCTCTCCACCACTTCCCAGAAGCACTGGAGGCACTTTCAGTAAAACCATTCAGATGAGAGGGGCTGGGAAGCCTGTGGCTGTGAGCACATCCAGGCACTGTAATGGGGGCTTGTATACCCAGAACCCCTTGCCAGAGACAGCACACATGTGAGACAAGAAGGAAGAGGCCAATACAGTGGCAGGCGGGCCACCCAGCTCTGCATGCCTGTGCCCACCTCTGTTACCAGACACAGAGACTGAGGCACCCAGGGCAGTGGCCCCACCAGGACCAGTCCTGGTTCAGAAGCAAGAGGGCTCCCAAGACTGAGGCTCTGCTACAGCAGGACAGGGAGAGGAAGCTGCCACAGGGAGCCCAGACACAGAGGGAGTCCTAGGGCTGGTGAGGCAACTTGGACAAAAGTTACCCATGCTGGACAGTGCTGAGGCCCGAACCCACTGCTCTCTGAGGGTCCGGCAGACTCAGGAAGATGCCCAGTGCCGGGGCAGGCGCCCTCACTGCAGCCCTCACCAATGCCACCTCCCAGGCCCTGTCTGAGACATACTGGACTGCGTTGCATTTTGGGTTTCACAGGGACTGAGCAGGATTGAGGTGTGAAAGCCACAACAATGGGAAAATCAAGCATGGTCAGCCTCAAGCACTCCTCAGAAGGCACTGCCGGGAGCTGCCCCCACAGTGCCAGGACCACACTGCCCCTGCCACACAAGCTGCAGCACTGAAGGCCTGCCTAAGTGAGCGCAGTCACTCCTGCCCTCACTGACATCTCCGCAGAAGCAGGCTCTCCCAGCCCCAGCTCAGGAGCCAGCCAGAGCACGCAGCTTGCCCTGCATCCTCTGGCAGGCCCTGCCCCGACCCCTCAACTGGCCTGCAAGGCCCAGACAGACTGGAGGGCGGGGGCCTGCACTTAGCCACGGGGGGCTGGGGGGTGGCCAGGGACACCCACTACGAGGGTCCATGCCATGCCGTCTGGGCAACCCAAGAGGGTGAGGACTGCATGCCCAGGTCCCGCAGGGTTGCTGGTGAATCAATGAGCAACGTCTAACTAGTCGGCATGGAAAATAATACTTTTAATCCACCAATTATCATACTCAAATCCTTTCCTTTTCCCCCAGCAATAAACACTGAGCAAACTATTCACAATAAATTAACATATTTTCCTCCATTTTCTTCAGCAGTTTTTTCCAAGCAGCCGATACTTAAAACAGAGCAAATAGACCATCAAAAACTGACCTACGCTCCAAATGGGAGACTTTGGGAGAGGAACTGCCTGCAGCGGGCTGAGGGGGGCCGGCGGCCTCAGTGGCCCCTAGCAGGCACATGTGCACGTGCACACTGCTCCGAGGCACGGGCTAGTTGTGCGGGGCGGGGAAGCTCTGGGTCTTTTGTTATCAGTGTGTCCACAGATGGGCTGCCCTACTCCTGGGCTCAGATTCACAGCGGGGAGCCCAGGACACAGCGCCTCCTCACAGACCTGAGCACAAAACCCTCCCCACCTCTGTCCCCATCTCCACTCCCCCTGCAAGTCCCAGGTGCCCACAATAAAGCACCTGGTGGCCCCCAGGCTTTTGGCCCTGTCTGCCCTCATCTTGGGTGGCCTCAGACACCCCCAACCCCCAGGACCCCCAGGCCTCTCCATGGACCTCGGGAGGGGCCTAGGGTGTTTAGGGGCCTCTCCTGCCCCTGAGGCCAGTCACTGAGGTGTCAGCTAGTGCATACTTCTTCCCAGAAGACAGGCATCCCCCAAAGAGCTGTGTGAAGCACCACAGCCTCCGACAGGGAGGAGGAGCTCACAGCCAGGCTTCAACCCCAGCCACAAGCACATCTCTGCAGCAAGGGGCTTAACATGGACAGGAACCACCTAGTGCCAAGCAGGAAATCTGTCCCCTAAGGCGCTATGGAAGCCTCCTGTCATGCTTCACTCCCATTAAAATAAAAGCACCTTACAGCTGGCTTTCTGATCAATATTACATGAACATAATATTGCATGTAAAATAGTAATATATGAAAGAAAGTACGGCCAATTGATTTAGCAAAAGCTCTTTTCAATCAAGCCCTTCATCTACCTTGCCCAAGCCCCCCATCTGTCTAAAAGCAGGCCTCCACCTGCCCACTGAACAAGCTTGGGGCTGTGTGGAGCAGCTAGCAGCATGGCCCTGGGTTGCCCATGGATTCTGGAAACCACAGAGTCTCTGAGGCACATCTTGGGAACTGAGCAGGACCCAAGCACAGGCTCCATCTTCCTCAATCCAAGTCACTGCTGGACAAGGGACCAGCCGCAAACACCCGGATATCACTGCCCAGCATTAGTCAACCCCCCAGGACCCCCAAGCTCAGGTTCTGCAATCAGGCAGATGGAAATTCTGGGCCTGCCTCTGCTGCTTCCTAGCAGTGTGCCCACGTGCAAGTATAAGCCCTCAGAGCCTCGGTTTCCCCATCTGTGCAATGGGAATCTGCAGCTGTCAAGAAGACCAGGAGGGCTGTGCTCCCCATGGCAGCTGCAGCCCCCGACATGGGCCCAGGGGCACCATGGAGGGGGCTACACCTCTGCCCCCTGAGTTACCCGTCTGTAGTACATGTGGAAATTCCCAAAAGATTTCCACGTGAAAAAAACAACAGTCTCGGCACATAAAATTGAAAACCTGTGGTTCTGAATTTACCCGAAAAATTAAAAGAAAAAGAAGCCCTTGATTGAAAGGAAAGCCCCAGTGGGACGAACCAGTCCAACATCTGAGGTGTGCCCTTCTGCCCAGGCCCAGGGGCGGCTCAGCACTGGCTCCAGCTGTGCGTCTGCCTCGCAGGCTCCCACCATCATGGCCGAGGGCCAGCCCTGGGCCTGCCTGGTCCCCGCTCTTGGGTGCTGCCGGGTGGTGGGGCCCACCTGCTGGGGTTGTACTCCAGCGCGCCAACCTCCTCACTGGCCTGCAGCAGGTCCAAGATGCCAGCTGCCGAGCTCCCACTCTCCTTCTTGACTCTGGCATTGCGGCCGGGCTTGGTGTCTGTGTCGATGTGCAGCGAACCCTCGTCCGAGGAGTCATCACTCTGCTGCGCGAGGGACAGGGCTTCGGTCAGGGGAGGGTCTGGCCACCAAAGTGGCCTGGGAGTTGGGAGGAGGATACTTTTTCCCTTCAGGGACTAAACTAGTTTTTTAACATTTTTATTTATTTTATTTTTATTTTTATTTATTTATTTAGTTTTGAGATGGAGTCTCGCTCTGTCGCCCAGGCTGGAGTGCAGTGGTGCGATCTTGGCTCACTGCAAGCTCCGCCTCCTGGGTTCACACCATTCTCCTGCCTCAGCCTCCCAAGTAGCTGGGACTACAGGCTCACTCGCTCGGCTAATTTTTTGTATTTTTAGTAGAGATGGGGTTTCACCATGTTAGCCAGGATGGTCTCAATCTCCTGACCTTGTGATCCACCCACCTCAGCCACCCAAAGTGCTGGGATTACAGGTGTGAGCTCTGCGCCCAGCCAGTTTTTTAACATTTTTAAAGAGCCGCTGCCCTTCTAATGAACATTGCTGGGGTCAGACAGAGGCCCCTGGAGCCGACGGGCTGGATGGCCAACACACGGACACACAGGGCAGACGTGGGTGCCAAAGCTCTCTCAGAACCACAAAGGACCAAACTGTCTTCACACTGTGCACCATGTTCACAGAGGAACTCTGGTTCAAAGGAACCCTTACACAAGACAGCCCCAGTGTGTAACACATGTAAAGAGACACCGCCATGGTTGGAAGGAGAGGCGGGGGCAGGGCCTGCAGCCCCAGAGGGACCTCAGGCTGGAGGAAAGCAGTTAATACACTAGATCCCAATAACCTCCCCCGGCAGGAGGCTCAGTGGGGACACACCCCTCGCACGCCCAGGCAGAGATGACCACTGTGTCTTAGAGTTGGATGTGACCTTAGAACACTCATGAAAGGGTGGGGTGAGGGTAAGGGGCCCCTTTGCCATCTCATGCAGAAACACCCCCAGAGACCGCCCTGGAGTCACTCAAACCATGGCCTTGGGGACTGCCCAGAGATGCCCCCCGAGACTGAGGGGGGCCTGTAAGGCAGCTCACCTTGTACGCTGCCGAGTCCAGCTTTGGCTTCGTGACAGGCGTGGGCAGCACAGCCTTCTTATCCAACAAGACTGAAAGCACAGCAGATGGCAGTCCAGCGGGAGGCCTTGCGGGGAGCCAGCCACCCTGGGAAGACCTCTCCGGGGCAGGATGGGCCTCTCCCACACCCCTCCCCCAACACCCCCTCCCAACTCACAGGACAAGTCCCTTTTCGGGGCGTTTTTCTTCCTCCTGATGGGAAACTCGTCGATCTTGAGCTCACCGTCATCCGACACGTACTCATACTCATCCCGCACGGGCTTGGGCTTGTCCTCCTTGAAGTTCTGCAAGGCCCCGAACACACCAGGGCTCGTCGGGGGCCTGAGAGCCTTGGAGCTAGGGCAGAAGCGAGTGGGTCAGCAGCATCCACATAGCCCCACAGCCAGCGGACAGGTAGGACCTCCCGAGGGGTCCTCTGCCAGGGCCGCGGCAGGATGGCCTCCAGGAGGCAGGTGACGTTGCCACTATTTGAATTTCCATCCGAAGAAGCCTCAGGCCCAGTTGAGATGGGAGGAGGGTAGAGGGCCCAAGCCTCTGCAGACAGGAGGCCAGGCTGGGCCTTCAGTCCCCACTGTGGGAAGCTATCTGCCCACAGGAGGGGACACTCCCCAACCCCATGGCCTCCTACACAATGCTGTGCCTCCCCACACACCACATTCAGGCAGAGAGAGCCCTTCCCCAGGCAGTTTAGATGCTCAAGACAGTGACCCCCAACTGTCCCAGGGCCACTGGACAAGCTTAAGCCCCGCCTCGGGCCTGCCTAGGAATCCTGGCACATGCTGAATTGGTCTTTAACCGGAAAAGGACCCAAGTTTCCTGGTTTTTTTCTCCATAGCTATGTTGGAAAAATAAACTCAGGGCCAGGGCTACAGGATAGATGTAACAGTCTAAGAAACAGTGTGTAATTTGTCTCCCTGCCTGGGTGAAGGAGGACTACTTCAGAGCTTGGCCTGCAAGCAGCTCCAGCCTTTGCCTTCCCAGGGGTTTGAGGACAGGTTTCTCTCTATATAGTAGCAGGGACAACAGGCTGAGGCAGAAAAGTCTGGAACTTCAAACAGACACAGCTCCAATTCTGAGCAAATGGAAGTGCAGACACCTGGATACAGTGCCTAGGTGAGGCGGCTTCCAATGCTCTAAGTGAAGGGGCGGCGAGCCCGCTGCCTTACGGGCTGGGCCGCAGAACACACGTGTCCACAGGCTAGAGTCACACCGCTCTTTCTCATCTCTATCGTCAACTCCCTAGCACCGTCACAGAGTGAATGCCGTTTAATAGCTTCCCAGGAACCTAGAAGCAGAGCTTCAGATAAAGCAAGTGACACGCCCAGGGCCATGAAGCTGGGCAGCCACAGGACCCCGCAGACCTGCCCCTTGGCTGAATGGCCTCGCGTGTTGCCCTGAGCTCCCTGACACTCACAAGACTCTGCCTGGGCACTGCTCCCTTTCTCCACCACCCAGAAAGAGGCCTTCTCCTCTCATCTCTTCAATGAGGAAACTACAACCTGGCCAAGTTAGTCAGTGGCTGCTGCAGAAAAGTGGCCGCCCCTCCTGCTGGGACCTGTCTGACTCCGGCCAGGCCTGGGGCCTCAGCAGGTGACATGTCCCACGCACCGGGAGCACACACAGGCCCAAGTGTTGCCGCTGGAACCATGAGGCTCTCGAGGTTGCCACCGGGCTCACAGCCCTCCGCACCCCTTGCCTCACCCCGAGGCTCATCCAGCATGCCCACACCACCCAAACACACCCCCTAATCTCTGCTCAGTGCCGTCTCCAGGAGGCCCTCCTGACTCCCAGGTGGGTCACGTTCTCAGCACCCAGGGTCCCATGTTGGGTTCACACCAGGCCCTCCCCACTGGCCACCGGGCTCTGAGAGCCAGGACCCTGTCCCCCATGCACGTCCTCAGCACCAGCTCACAAGAGCCAAACATCTAACACTCATGGAGTCCCACGGCCTCCCTCCCTACCTGGGGGGCCATCCCTCATTGCAGGCTGGCTGTATCTTCCAGCCCAGTCCCACCCAGGCATGTCTGCTTCCTCACACCCACACTACAGGTGGAGCGTGGTGGGAGGCAGGGATGTGGCTCTGCTGGTGTCTAGGCCTGATGAAGACGTGCCAGGAACAGGGCTGCAATCAGTGAGGTCAGCAGCTCAGAGGGAGAGGAGTCCCCAGAGGTGTGTCAGCCAAAGGCTGTGTGTTTATGGGGTACGTGATGTGCAGTGTGTATGGTTGTGTGTGATGCAGTGTGTGGTGTGTGTGAGATGCAGAGTGCATGCATAGTGTGTGTGTAATGTGTGTGTGGTATAAGGCAGTGGGTGTGATGCAGTATGTATGGTGTGTGTGATGTCGGTTATGCGCGAGGTCACCCCTCCCATCCAGGCACTCACATACCCGAGGAGTTTCTTGTTGGAGAAAGAAAAAGAGAACTTATTGTCTTTGTTTCCAGCTAGAGGCGACTTCTCTAGCTTCTGCTCCTCTTCCATCTTCAGTAAGGAGTCAGGTTTGCTGTTCTGAAAAGCAAGACCAGGGCCGTCCCTGAGCCCCACACAGAAGTGGGGGGTCAGGACCCCAATTAGTGTCAGTGAGAAGAGGCAGCTACTGGGAACACGACTAAGGAAAGTCACCCATAGCTCTGGTGGCCACCCGGGCCACTGCGGGGTGCTCAGGGGCCTGCACCCCATGGACTCAGTGCCTCGATGTTGCCTGACCCCCATGGAGTGGGAATGAAAACCAGTGTGTGGACCGTGAAGGGAAACACTGTCAACATACAGGGTGTACATTCAACCTCTTGCATCCCAACCAACTCAGAGGAAGATGTAGTCCATGGGTGGTCACACACACCTCAGACCCACGTAAGCACACCCCACAGCACTACCTACTCAGGACAAGCAGACACATGTCTGCACATTCCTTCACACACACAGGGCCTCACAGATTCACCTCTGCTCACACTCACCAAGCTGACACACACACGTGTGCATGCATATGTGCACTTCTCACCTTGTACTTCCACTTGGCCTCTGACTTGCTCTTGGTTTGCTCTCGAATTTCCAGCCTCTCCACATCATTCTGCATGTGAACCACATCTTTGTTGGGCACACTCAGGACACTCTTTGTGGCCTAGAAAAAAGGGCTGCTGTGACCCAGAGGCAGACATAGAGGGCTGGTGGAACTCTCTTGAGCCACAGATTCCCTGTCTTCTTCTGGCCCATGTGCTTGCAGCTCAAGCCTCCATCCATCTACCCATCCACGCATCCATTCACCCACCCATCGATGTACCCATTCACCCACCCATCCATCCATCCATTTATTCATTCATTCGTTCATCCATCCATCCGTTCATTCATCTGCCAACCCATTCATCCATTCATTCATCCCGTTCATTCATCCACCAATCCATCCATCCACTCACCCATTCGTTCATTCATCCATCCATGCACCATGCATTTGTTCATCCATCCATCCATCCATCCATCCATCCATCCATCCATCCGCCCACCCATCCATCCATTCGTTCATCCCATTCATCCACCCACCCATTCATCCATCCACTCATCCATTTATTTATCCATCTACCCATCCATTTATCCATCCATCCATTTTTTCATCTATCCTTCCATCCATCCATCCACTCATCCATTTATCCATCTCCCCATCCACTCATCCATTCATCCATCCATCCATTTGTTCATTCATTAATTCATCCACCCATCCACTCACTCAATCATCCACCCATTCATCCATCTACCCATCCATTCATTTATCCATCGATCAGTCCATTCACCCACCTATCCACCCATCCATTTGTTCATCTATCCATCCATGTATCTGCTCACCCATTCATTCATCCATCCATCTATTCATTCCTCTGTCTATCCATCCATCCATCCATCCATTCATTCATCCATTTATTCATCCACCCACCCATTTGTTCATCCATCCATTCATCCACCCAACCATCCATCCACTCATCCATCCACTCACCATTTGTTGATTCATTCATCATCTACCCATCCATCCATTCATTTATCCACCCATCCATTTGTTTGTTCATCCACCTTTCCATCCATTCATCTATCCATTTATTCATCCATCCATCCATTTTTTCATTCATCTATCCATCTACCCATCCATTCCATCCATCCATCCATTTGCTCATCCATCCATCCATTTATTCATCAATCCATCCATCCACCCAACCATCCAACCATTCTTTCATCTATCCACCCATGCATCCATTCATCTATCCATCTACCCATCCATCTTATGCACTCATCCATCCATCTACCCACTCATCCATCCATCCCTTCATTATTCCATCCATCCATCCATTCATCCATTCATCTACCCATTCATTCATTATTCCATTCATCTACCCACCCATTCATTTATTCGTCCTTCCATCCATCCATCCACCCATTCACCCATCCATCCATTTATTCATCCATCCATCCACCCATCCATCAATTCGTTCATGTAGCCATCTATTCATTCATCTATTCATCCATTCGTTAATCCATTCAACCATCCATCTATCCAGCCATTCACTGATTCATTCATTCATCCATCCGTCTGTTCATCCATTCATCCATCCATTCATCCACCTATTCATTCATTCACCCATTCATCCAGCCATTTAGCCATCCATTCATTTGCTCATGCATTCATTCATGCTTGCCCTGAGAAAGAGAACACAAAAGCGTCCCACTACACCCCTGTGATGCCGGCCCTGAAGTTTCCTGGCCCCCAGGAAGCAGATAACGACCTCCTCCTGGCAGAAACTCACACTCAATGGTGCTTCAGGGGTTCATGGTCCCTGAAGCCCAGACCTAAGATCCTCTAGTCAGAGTGGGTCTTCAGGGCTGGGCCCATCTCTTCACTGTCCACAGGGGCTCAGACTATCAGGGCCACCCTGCTCTTGTCCTCACCCCTGAACCCCCTCCCCTCCAATGGCATTCTCCCTGTTGTTTCTGCACAGACACCTCATCTACCTTCAGGTTTCAACCTCAATGTCTTGGCCCCAGGGAGGACCCAGGGCTTCTTTGTCCCCTGGCAACTGCTCATCTGGCTAGGAAACCTAAACTAGACATCCCCTTCTGGAAAACCACCATGCCTCCTCCACCAGGTGGCCCTCTTGGGTGCCACCTCTGCCACAGCACACACACATTGTGTTGCCTTCCTCAGTGAGGGACCCTCTTCAGGCCCACTGCTCTGTGGCTTGTTGGGCAAAGCCTGTCCACTCTGGGGGGTCTGGGCCTGGATGCTGCAGGACTGGGTCAGGACCAGGCAAGGAAGTGCATCTTCTGGGCATACAAGCCCACAGCAAGAGCCCAGACCCCCACATCTTCTCAGGGGCCCCTGGGGAACAAGGACAATGGGCCCTAGCTATCTCCATGGGACTGGCCCACAAGAGATGCTGCAGCACCTCTGGTGATAAGGTGGGGAGTCAGGGTGAGGGGGTCCCACCTTGCCCTTCTTGGGCGGCTCCATCTTGGTCAGTGCCTCCTTGGTGTGGGCTTCGAGCAGGTCCAGGTTGGGGATGGTGGGTGAGGCTGACTCCCGGGACTTCTTCCCTTTCTTCTTGCCTCCATCTTTGAGCTTCAGCGTTTTGGGGGGCCTTGGGGGCTTAGGGGGCTTCGGGGGCTTGGGGATTTTGGATGGCTTGGGCATCTTCACAGTTTTGGGAGTCTTTTTTTTGGACACTTTCTCCAGGAGGGATTGAGGCGGGGTGGCCTCAATGGGAGACGGGGGCTCCTCCTTCTCCCGGTCCCCGTCACACACCTCATCTGACGAGGCGACAGTATTCACTTCCGGTCGGACGGCTTTGGAGGCATTCTGGGATACAGAAAGGAGAGGGTCACATGCTGCTTCTGCCAAACTGTGGCCCAAGACGGTCCACACACCAGGATGCTGGAGACACTCAGTGCCAGGCTGGCGGGGAACTATCAGCCCAGAAAGGCTCAGCTACCCCACACCATCATGTGACACACTCACACCCAACCCATGCTATTGTGTGACACACTCACACCTGCGACATGCCATGAGTCACTTGCTCTCCCCAAGGCTCTTCTGTCCTACCCCAGCACAGCGGCTGAGGGCTCATCCAGGAACACACAAGCTGGGACTGCAGGGGCTGAGTCAGGGGCTCCTCCCACAGAGTGCCCTCCCCATGGGAGTTTCAGAGAGGCTGGTGCCATTTCTCAGTCCCTACACACTCACACCAGGACACAGACCCAGCCAGAGACCTAGGACCCTGAGCCCTCACAAAGGCAAGCTTGCCCAGGAAAGTGCAAGGAGGACCATCTGGGGCACTGGCCTTCCCAGACCTGGCAGCTCTGTGTTAGGCTGGCCCCTGGACCCAGAGAAAGACAGGTGGGCCCTCCCCAATCCCCAGGGGTCCAGCCCAGCACCTGGACACGGCCCCACCTCACTGAGCCGGATCTCTTTGGCCAGGTCTTTGATTAGCTGTGAAGGTTTGAAGTGCTCCGGGAGCTCGTCCTCATGCTCTGCCAAAGCCTGCAGGACAACCGGACCCAGGGTCAGCACCAGACACCTCCCGTGGTCCTGACTTACCCCTGCATTCTTGCAGGCTGTCGCCTGACTGCCGAGCCACTCAGATGAGCATGAGGCGAGGGGCTTCCGAGCCAAACTCTGCCCTGGCAAGAGGTCTCTGCTGTGAGCCCCCATCAATAGGTGGACAAACCAAGTACCAGAGAGGACAAGCTTGCCTGAGGCCACCACCAGCAGGCTATGGAATGGACAAGGGTCCCATCCCTTCTTCCTGGTCAGAGGCCACTCCACCCAGCCACATGGCTAAGGTGAGGTGGCAGGGGCGCCCTGGACTGCCCTGGGCCTTGAGGCCTGACGGAGGTGGTGGCTGCAGGATGGCCCTGGGAGTGCACTGGCTGCCTCTCCTGCCTGGCCCACCCATGAGAAAGGCAGGCTACACATGGTATTCCCTGCAGCCTGTATTCCCTGAAGGCTTCCTGTAAATCTCCACTGGCCTTCTCTGGCCTGGGAGAGGGTCCTCCTCCCTCAAGAGTGGGCATAGTACCTCTGCACAATGAGCCCAGTAGGAAACACTGTCCCAGAGGGTGCTCGAGGCTGGGCCAGACCTTCCCCTCCCTTCTGTAGCCAAAACCAAGGGAAGATGCTAAGCAACACAGTAAGTGGCTTCTGTGGGGGCGCGCACAGGATGGTCATCGGTAAGAGTCACAGGGAGGGGCTGCCCGGGTCACAGAGCAAGGTGGCTGGGGTGCTGCACCTGCAATCAGGCAGCTTAGCTTCTGAGCTGATGCCAGGGCCAGCCAGGAGGAGCCGACAGGGTGTCCCCAGCACTCCCTGTCCTGGGGCCAGCCACTCCCCCAGTCCTTCCCTGCCCCCACCAGGTTCCAGGCCTTTCTGTGCTCACACAGTGTCATCCCACCATAGGCCATCTGTCCCCCACCCACAGACCCACCTTCCTCCCAGGACACACCAGCACCTGGTCACCCTCCTCCCACCAACTTGTGACTAAGCTGTGAGCCCCTGATGGAGGGGGCTCTGCATCTACATCTGTCCTCCCCCAGCCCTCAGGTGGCCCAATCAGTGGACAGCAGGGGACGGACCCATGGGGTGTCTGGGGCAAAGGCACACCCCGGGCCAAGCCAGGCAGGGGAGCACCACCGTCCTTCCCAGGCTGGATCTCACTGAAGCAGGACAAGTCCTGGACATTGCTGCTGGGTCTCCAGGGAGGTCCTCCCGCCTGTCACTGCTCTCCTGCCCTAGGGCATTTGTGACATGATTCCTACCTGCTTCTTCGTCCACGATCGGAAAGCACCATTGAGAATTTTAGCTCCTTGGACTAGATGAGGGGGCAGCTGCTTCCCAGATTTGTGAGAGCCTGGGAAGGAGACACTGGGTGAGGTGGGTGGGTGCCTGCTGCCCACAGGTGCCTTCATGCCCAGCCACATAGCCAGACCGGGGGATGCCAGGTCCAGCCTTCCAGAGGTCTCCCTCCGCCCATGGCCACCAGCTCAACTGCCAACAGTTCCTCTTGGAACCTGGGGGCGCCCATCCTCCTGGTGGCCTGCCCTGCTTGAGGAAAGATTGGCCCTCCCACCATCCTCCCACTGTCTCACCCTCCAGGCCCCTAACACAGGCTGCCTTGCTCTCCTCACTCTGCCCAATACCCCAGCCCTACCTGAGCAAGGGGACACAGTCATGCCAGGACCCAGGCCACAGGCTGTCCATGGGCCCACACCAGGCATCCCCAAGCATCTCTTCCCACCTCATGGCGCCCCTTAGCACAGTGTAGGGACCAACTACATTTCAGCTGGGAGGTGTGCTCCTGCTGTGGGCCTCCCCTCCCTCTTCCCATTGAAGAGGGCTCCAGGGCTCCAGGGCTCTGACGCACCAGGACCATGGCAGCTCCCTGGGTCCTCTCAGTCCTGGGGGCCAACTGAACTGTCGTCCACTCAGAGAGGGAGGGTCAGGCAGAGAGGATATGGCCACAGTGGCCTGGCTGGCCAGTAGTCAGGCTGGCCCTGTGGGGTGGCTTCCCAGGTGCTGCCCTGATCCCTGCCTCCCTGGCACCAGTCCCCTGAGGGCAGGGTTAGACTCCCATCTTGGGCACTTCCTTCTGCCAGAGTCAAGCTCAGGGCTCCAGATTTGGGGAACAGTGGGAAAATCTTACCGCAACCTGGCCAGCCGTGACTAAGGACCATTTTACCTTCTCAAACTAGGGCCAGAGTACAAAGGGTCTGCATAAAAGAGCTCTTGGCTGCTATTAGAACCAAAAAAGAGCAACTAAGAGCAACCACACCGAGAAAGGAAATCACGCATAAATGCAAACTCTCCTGCAGGCTCCCTCACGCTGCTGGGCAGTCTGGAGGCCTGGACAGGGTGGTGGCTGGCAGGAGCCACCTGCTCTCATCTCTGAGGGTGTGGCCAGGCAGGACCTGGGACAGAAAAGGGCGGCCCGGGGATGCCAAAGTGCATCCACAGAGGGCCACCGAGCCACAAGCCTGCCTCACGGTCCAGTTGCCAGGCCCCTGAGGGAGCCTAAGGGGACCCAGAGCCCACTCGCACCCACTCCTCAGCTGGTGACAGAGCCAGGGCTCCACCCTCCCAATGGAGGCAAGTGTGGAGGGTGGAGCAGGTGTGATTGATACCTGCACTGAGGCCATGCACACTCACCCCTCTCAACCCACAGCCCAGTGTTCGTTCTAAAACAAGGGACAGTCCAATCGGAAGGAGAGGCCCAGCCTGTTCAATCTAGTCCTGCATTATACAGATGGGGAAACTGAGCCCCAGGGGTCTGAGTCCCAAGAGGACTTGCTCAGGCCACAGGAAGGCGGCACTCACACCCAGACAGTCAGCCCTGACCAGGTCTGGCTGCCCCCACAGCCAAGAGCCCCAGGCTTGGACGCCCACCCCGGAGTGACCAGTACCTTTGAATGCCTCCAGCAGGTGCTTCCCCATGTACCAGCACGCAGTTTCAAAGTTGGGAAACTGAGTCAGGCTGCCCAGTTTCAACCTCCTTTCCACTTCATATGCTCTAGAAGCCACCAAAGAGCAGTTCTCAGTGCACTGACCATCAAGCAGGCGACGCTGGGCATCAATCCAGGCCCCAGACACACCAGCTCAGGCCTCCCCACTGGGCCCTGCATAGCTGAGGAGGACCAGGGGAAAACTGCCCTGGTGGCTGCAGACCTCGGGGCCCATGAGAGTTCTGTCAGTGCCCAAGAAGAGAAGGCAGCAGCCTTTTAAGCAACCCCAACCCCACCAAGGGCAACTACAACCATCCAGCAGCCAGGTCCCTTGAGGAGCCGGCCTGCATGAACCCAGGGCCCACCTCCTCCTTCCCTCCACATCACAAAGAGGCCCACCGAGGCTGACGGTCATGTCCAGGCCACCCACAGGCGGGCTGTGCCAGGACTCAGCCCAAGGCATCTAGCACCGACCCAGCTAGAGGGAGGACGCTGCTCTGCGGAGCCCGAGGGCAGACAGCGCGGCAGGCACTACCTCATCTGCATCTCCACACTCAGGCTGTGGAGGAAATGTCCCGCGAAGGCCAGGCAGTCCACAGGGGTGAGTGTGGCGTAGATCCAGCCTGGGAGAGAGACAGGAGTGGCTGGTGCCCCACCTTGCTCCCATGAACGGGCTTCTCATGGCTCTAGATCAGGGAGCGGCGGAGACCAGCACAGGCCTTTCCCGGCCCAGCCCAGGCTCCAGCTCCTGCCCGCCTACACCTTGGTGCCCTGTCCACCTCTGCGGCTTCACCAGCAGCCTGGGGCCTCCCTGGGAGAAGCTCTCTGGCTCTGGCCCAACCCCAGCCTCCATGGAAGGGGGTCGGGGGAGAGGCTGTGTCTGAGACAGCACAGACTAGTCAGTCCAGCCCTGCACAGACAGGGAAACCGAGGCCCAGAGCTGAGGGGACTCACTCAGACCACTTGAGGGGGCAGTACTCAGACAGAGAGAGGAAGCCCCAGTCTGTGTCCAGCTACCTGGCCTCCCAACCACACTCAGGAGCAGGAGACAAGGCTGGGGCAGCTGCATCGCAGCTGGGACTGGTCCCCAGGTTATCCTCGGAGACAGAGCCTGGGCCAGACCCTGGGAAATCCACAACTCTTTCCTAAATAGCTGCGACTATGAGGAAGCCAACGGAGGGAGGAGGGACCCAGAGATTACAGAAGATTCTGAGCCTTATAAATCATTAAAATATGAGGGCCTCAGTTTGATACTTATTTAAAATGAAAAAAAAAAAAAACCAACCCTATAAAACGATTTAAAAATCTGAACACCAATTGGCTATTTGATGATACCAGGGAAATGCTGTTAATTGTTCATTTTTCAAGGTGTGACAACAGTATTACAGCTATGTTACTTAGAAGGAAAGGAAGCCCTTCAGAAATAGTGGAATATTTAATGAAACAGAGGAATGTCTGGGATTTGTTCTAACGTCATCTAGGGGCACACAGTGGCTCATGACGGGCCTTCTCCTTCAGCACAGACTCAAAATGTCCCCTACTATTGTCTTAATTAGCAGCTAGCGCCCTCCTCCCTCGCTGGCTCTGATGTCATGGCTGCTGTCTCCACACAAGGCTCTCTGAGCTGGGTCTCCAGCCATGGGCTCGGTCATAGTGAGCCCAGCCAGGATGAGAAGGCGGGTGACTGGCTGCGCAGCTCCAAGGTGGCCTCGGTGGTGAGGAGTGCCCATGCTGACGAGACAACACAAGCCCCATTGCTGGCCCCTCTGCAGGGACTGGGCTGGGGTGGCGGTAAGCTCCGGACAAGGGAGCTGCCCAGTTTCAACCTCCTTTCCACTTCATATGCTCAGGACAAGGGAGCAGGCATGCCAGGGATGCCGAAGAGACCCCATGGTGGGGACACGGTCCAAGGGACAGGGCAGTAAGCTTGATGAGGGCCGGCAAGCCCTAGTACATGGTCCCCAAAGCTGCCCGCACTCACCTGAGGGGATGAAGAGGGTCTGGCCCTGCTTGACGATGCACTTGTAGCATTTGTCGACCTGGTCAGCAAAGAACATCTCGCTGTGGTTAGAGGCAGACCGCCAGCGCTCATACAGGGAGATGTTGGCCGAGGCCGGCCTGATGAGATAGAAGGTCTTCTCCCCCTGCCAAGAGAGCCTGTTGGCAGAGCCGCCCATACTGGGATGCGGGGGTCGGGGGTGCAAGTGACAGGTCCTAACGTGAAAAGTACCCTGCCCAGGTCCACGACTCCCGCCTGCAACACTGAGGGCACAGGTGCTTTGCAATTCAGAAATGTGCATGTTAGGAAGGTTCTGGGTATCTGGGCCCTCTGCACAGTTAAGAGCTAAAGCCCATAATCCCACATTACATTGTTTCGAGGCACTACAAATGGTGTGGGTGCCCAGGCTGCAAATAAAGCTGCAAATGACTGTCAAAAGCATTCCAGGTAGCTCCACTCTTGAGAGCCACTTGGATCTCAGGCTGGGTCAAATGATGCCACTGTGTCCCAGGCAGTCTTATGGCAGGCCCCAGGAGGGGTTCTGCACCAGGAGCAGTGAGACCCCTGTCTTACTGCAATGGGGCCAAGGCAGGTTCTGAGGATGCCCCAGTGACTTGCTCAAGGCCTCCCAGAGGTGGGATCAGCATGTGCACCTGCCCGCCCCCAGATCCAGGTCCAGCTGGTCTGAAGAAGCTCAGTTAGCAGCTGGGGGAGCCCACAGCTTAGGGTTTCCTTTGTTTCTGTTGCTATTTACGTCTCATTTTTCTTCTGGCTTCCCTCTCTCAGCCTCGATGATGAGGCTCCTAGCCTTCCCTGCCCACTCAGATGCCCCTCTCCTGCCCCCTGGCTCCTGTGCGGGGCCCTGGCTATGGCTGGCCCCTCTTCCAGGATGTTTTTGCAACATTCCCCTTTCTCCTCTAAGTGCATGGTCACCTGGTGGTCTCACCCAATTGTTAACGAGCCTGAATCCCATCAGAACAAGGAGACACTCATGCGGTTCTCTGGTCCCACATGCACCCCTGCCCCTCCACCCAGAGATGTCTCCAGAGGCCTCCTGTCCCAGGGATGGACAGTCCAGGGGCCCTCTGGGGAGTCGCATCCTGGCCAATCAGGGCTTGTGGGGACTGCAGACAATCCTGCAGATGGGTCATGGCCATGGCAAGGCAGAGGTGCCCCGAGGGGCGTGGCTCACCTTGAGCACGTGGTACCAGGCAGAGGCGCCCCCAGAGTCGATGTGGAAGTCGGTGTAACTGTCCTTCACGCAGATTAGGCAGTACTTGGTCACTTTGGGCTTGGCCAGCAATGCATCATCTGGCCAGTAGTTTTCTACCCATGACAGTTTCTTTACAATGTCAGGTGGCTCCACGAAGCTGGACATTCTAGGGGTGGGAGAGGAAGGTGGTGAGGGAACCTGGGACTCCCTTTTTTATTTCCCCTGCAGTGGGAAACATGTTCTGTGAGGCATGTCCCACGCTCTCTCACCACCTGCGGGCCACGGGTCACAGCTCCCATTTCACAGAGGAGCAAACAGGATCACAGAGGACGGAATGAGCCCAGGCGCTGGCTGTGGCCCTGGCAGGAGACTGGGTCTGACGCTGGCCTCCACCCCCAGAAGATAATGAGAAGGCCCCAAAACCATCTACCCCTGAGAGGGAACCTCCTTTCCTGGGAACTGGAAAGCGAGTCTTTCCAGACTGGCCACGTGCCATGTGCTGTGGCACACTGGGCTGAAGCGTAGATATCATTTCTCACACTCAGCCCGGCACCTCTGGCGTCACCTGGATAACAGCCACTGCTCTCCAGAGCTGACAACAGGGTGCCCACGACCCCTGGCCACGTCAAGTCACTGTCAAATCCAGCCAACTCATATCCAGGGAAGATAGGGAGATGCAGAGGCAGCCTTCAATTCAATGACATGTCACTGTCCTGGATAAAACGTGTTAAATTTCATCAAAAATGTCAAACTAGGCTGGGCATGGTGGCTCACATCTGTAATCTCAGCACTTTGGGAGGCCGAGGTGGGCGGACCACGAACTCAGGTGTTTGAAACCAGCCTGGCCAACATGGTGAAACACTGTCTCTACTAAAAACATAAAAACTAGCTGGGCATGGTGGCATGCCTGTAATCCCAGCTACTTGGGAGACTGAGGCAGGAGAATCACTTGAACCCAGGAGGCAGAGGTTACAGTGAGCCAAAATCACCCCACTGCCCTCCAGCCTGGGCAACAGAGTGAGACTCCATCTCCAAAAAAAAAAAAAAAAAAAAAGTCAAGCTCAACAGCACCCGTGCAGTGACATTTCAGCTGCCACTAAGAACCAGATCTGGGGGTTCTTGCTGCCTCCAGGAAGACAGGGTCTGTCATGTCTCTGTCATCCCATCTGCAAGTGCTGTTGTCTCTACTCGAAGGCCACAGCAACCTAGACAAGTTGTCCCCGGACAAGACTGTCACAAATCACAAGCAGAGTCCTGCCGCCCCAATCCCACTAGCCTCAGTCACAGACCTCACCTTTAAATCTCCAGCACGTTCCAAACTAGCACCCTTCTCCATCCTCCAGGAGTCCTCATTGCCCCCATTCATACCCACTGCCAACCTCTGAAACCTCAGCAGTCTGGGCACATCACGGCCCACAGGAGAGGGTTCCCTGCCACAAGGGCCCTCATGACCCATCTCCAGCCATGTCCTTCAAACACCACACACCACAGGGGGCCAGGCTGTCCCTGCCTCCCACCACACCCTCAAACGTCCTTCTTTCCCTTGCTTGGCCTGTTTAGGTGCAAGCCACACCTTTCTCTGAGTTGGCGGGAGGAGGTCCTCAAAGCCCCCATGGACACGCAAGGCCACCATGAGCAAGAGACCAGATGTGACATGTATCTGAATTACCAGCAGTGGGAACATCACCCTAGACCTGCCACAGAGCAGGCATCTCTCCGGTCTGGGGGTACATTGGTCACTGTGGGCCCCCCTGAGGCAGCAGGCCCCAAGAGCTACCCCAGACAGCCCATGGTGTCAGGCCTGACCTTACCTGCTTGGCCAACATCCTTGGGGACAGACTTAATGATGAAGCAGAGCCCACTCCATGGACCCGACCCAAGCCCATGTGAAGGCTCTGGTAGGTAAGTGCCCAACAAAAGTTGCAAACAACCCCCTAATGATCCACGGACTGGGCCAGTGGAAACAGGAGGCAAAGGGGTGGCCCTGAAAGGCCCAACAGAAAACCACAGGCCAAAGTACCATCTCTCCCTAGCTCCATAGCCTAGACATCTCTCTGTGAGAACCCCTCAACCCAGGCAGGGCAGTAAATTAAGCTGATGGAGACATGACTCAGTTATGTTGTTTGGTACCAAAGCAATACATACCACTTTCTCTGGTACCATAACCCACTCCATTTCCCTTTTAGTCTTTGCTGTTAGGAAGCTCAACCAAAATGAATGCCCATTACCTTTTTTTTTTTTTTTTTAATTTTTAAAATAAAGACAGGATCCTGCTTTGTTGCCCAGGCTGGTTGCAAACTCTTGGCCTCAAGTGATCCTCCTGCCTCAGCCTCCCAAAGTCTTGGGATTACAGGCATGAGCCACCATGCACAACCATATTACCTTTTTGTGGCTCTTGGCATAGTTTTGTATTCTCTTTCTTGGTTTTAGATAATTCTTTTGTTTCTCCCTACCTGCCCCTTTGCACGTGTTATGTGCTTTCAGGAAGTAGGCATGACGGAAACGATGAAGACTAAAGCCATCCTTAGCCACCCGCGCCTTACGGTGAGTGAGTGTTCTGGATCTTTCCCAGGGGCCAGCTGGAGGGCAGAGGTGATGTGATGGAGCGGGGGTGAGGGGTGGATCCAGGGCAGGCACTGACCACACCCGAGCTGACAGCCTGGGGGGAGAACAAGGTCAGAGCCACAAAGTGCAGGGCCAGCATCTCTGCCACCAGGAAGCCAGGCTGGTGTAGGTCAGCCCTGACAGAGGATGCCCCACCCAGTGACCGCAGGGCTGACGACAACTAGTGCCAGGAACTCAGGGGGACCGGGCCAACCAAGGTGTATCTGTGTGGGGCCTGCCTTGCCTGGAAAGCAGGGAGGCAGGTCACAGCAGCCGCCCCTGCAGGATCTCATGTGTGTGAGTGTAGGCGTCTACACGGGTGTGTGCAGGTGTTAGTAACTGTGCCAGGGATGCGGGTGTTAGGAGTATGAGTGTGCCAGTGAGTTAGTATCTCAGTGTGTCAGGGATGTGTGTGTGTCATAAGCGTGTCATGAGTCTATTGTTGTGTTTGAGTGTGTCAGTGTCTGTGTATGAGTGTGCCCACAAGTGTGTCCATGAATGCCCGTGGGTGTATCGCATGTCTATGTCATGTGAGTGTGTCGGTGTGTTGTGAACGTGTCACAGGTGTGTTGGCGAGTGTGTCCATGTGTGAGTGTACCGTGTTGGTGAGTGCTAAGTGTGTGTCCATGTGTCTGCTAGTGTGTCGTGTCTATGAATGTGTCATGAGTACGTCCATGGGTGAGTGTCGGTGTGTTGTGAATGTGTCGTGTGTTGGCGAGTGTGTCCGTGAGTGTGAGTGTACCACGTGTTGGTGAGTACTGAGTGTGTGTCATGTGTGTCCATGTGTCCACTAGTGTGTCATGTCTATGAATGTGTCATGAGTATGTCTATGAGTGTTGGTGTGTTGTGTCACGAGTGTGTTGACAAGTGTGTCCATGAGTGTGACTGCACCACACGTTGGTGTCTGTGAGTAGGTATGAGTGTGTCATGACTGCAGGTGTGTGACATATCTATGGGTGAGCATGTCATGGGTATGTCCATGAGCGAATGTGAGGGTCAGAGTGTCATGAATGTCTCATGCATTGGAGTGTCCATGAGTCAGTGTGAGTGTCATGAGTGTGTCCACGAGTGGGTGTCATGAGTGTTGGTGTGTCCATGAGTAAGCGTGAATGTTGTGTGTCCGGAAGTGGGTGTGTCATAGATGTGTCTGAGTGTGTCATGAGTGTGTGCATTCTGGAAAAAACTACACATTGTTACCAATGGTTCTCTCTGAGGAGTGGGATGGGCAGGGCCAAGACCAGAGGAGGCTTTGCCTTTTTGCTCCTTATTTTTGTTTGAATTGTTCTCAATACGTCACCTTCATACTTTAAAAGAGAAACAGTCAGCTGTGGGCCAGTCTTATAAAAAAAAAAAAAAAAAAAAAAAAGGAAAAAATTTAAAAGAGAGAAACAGTAAAAATCAGTGTGTGCCATGTGCAGTATTCCAGACTCTGATACCTTCGACCTGTGCTTCTCAGGCGACTACCAAGGACGGCACAGCGCCCCTGCCCCAACCCCAGCCCCCACACCCCCAGGGTGGTAGCACTCACCGGGTGTCAGAGAACTCGAGGTTGGTGACGTTGAGGACCCGCTTGCGGTTGGTGCTGTAGTAATAGTCCACAAACTCCTTCAGCTTCATCTTGCAGTCCTTCTGCTTGGTGACATCTGTCACATCCACACTCCGTTCCGGCCCTAGGGAGGTGGTGGGAGGAGCTTGAGCACCCTGGGAAGGCGGCACAGCCTCCCTGAGGCCAGGACGTGTGGAGTGGACACACACTCTTGGCTGCCCTCACACACAGCAGGAGCTGCCAGGGGCTGGATGCGGAGGCTCTAGGTGCCAACGTCGAGCTTCACCTGCCTGCTTTTCCCCTGGCTCAACTCTGACCACTCCTCTGACCTGGTGATGCTGTGAGGCGGCCAGGTCACAGGCCTCAGCGACGGTGGCCAGATTAGCAAATAAAAACACAGGATGCCTGGCCTGCCTGAATTTCAGATGAACAGCAAATACATTTTAGTGTTATGTTCCAAGTAATTCATGAGACATACCTACATTTTAAAAATTAAGCTATCAAAACCCCTGCATTTCTAGGGTACCAATTCATTACTCTGAGAATTGGCAGACTGATAAAGGGAAAAGCCTTTTCTGTAGTTGACAAAGAAAAGTTCAGGATAACCAGATGAGCTGAGGAGGAAAATTTCTTTATAAAAGACTCATGACTGATAGAGGGAGGAGGACAGAATTGCCAGTCGCCCTTTGCAATAGTTCTCCATGGCTGCTCTGACCACAAACTGCAAGGCCATGGGGTTTAGTGTGGACAGATGAGGTGGATGCCGGGGCCACTGGCCTTGTCTGCATCACTGCAAGAGTGTGGCCAGGCACAACAGGCCTCCCCACAGATGAAAGCACTCCCACCCAGAGGGAGTCCCACCAAAAACTTGAAGGCAAGTCAAGCAAGCCTCTAACCACGAGTTTATAGGAAACACCCGGGACAGAGAGACCTGCTCAGCAACACCACTGGGACGCTGGCAACCAAATCCTGGATGTGGGACATTCTGCAGGACCAACATGGCCTTCTCTCCAACAAACCAACAGGATAGAATGAAATGGGGCTGTCAGAAGAAAAGAGACTTCAGGGATATAAAAAAATGCAATGTGGGGGTCTAATTTGGATTCCACAGCCAAATGTAAAAAGGCACTTTTGAGGCAACTGGGAAGAATTAAACTGGGTCTTACGTGCCACCAAGGAATTACTGTTAATATTATCGAGTGCGATGATAGAACTGTGATTATATATTTTTTAAATTGTCTGCTAGAGCTATGTACTAGAATTTTTATGGGTAAAATGATGTATATAAAAAGAATTTTTTTTTTTTGAGATGAAATCTCATTCTTTTGCCCAGGCTGGAGTGCAGTGGCACGATCTTGGCTCACTGCAACCTCCACCTCCTGGATTCAGGTGATTCTTCTGCCTCAGCCTCCCGAGGAGCTGGGACTACAGGTGCCACCACCACACCTGGCTAATTTCTGTATTTTTAGTAGAGACGGGGTTTTGCCATGTTGGCCAGGCTGGTCTCGAACTCCTGGCCTCAAGAAATCCACCCACCTCAGCCTCCTAAAGTGCTGGGATTACAGGCGTGAGCTACCATGCCTGATCAGAATTCCTTTTAAAATACTACAAAGAGAACAAAAAAGTGGGGAAACGGAAAACTGGCTGAAAGCTGGTGGCTTTTGTTTCTGGTGCTGAGTGCATGAGGGCTTACTGTTTCTCTAATTTTGTGTGTATTTAAAAAGTTCCATCATAAAAAAAAATTAAGAGGAAAAAGAAAGACATAGAAGCAACACAAACGACGAACCATCTCCTCCCTGCTTCTGCAGGGACAGCTGTGGAGGGAACACGGCCAGGGGAAAAACCAGGCCCCACCCGCATGATTAGGTGAGCCCAGGGCCTTGGTGGCAGGGCAGGACCCAGCTCTCAGAGCTGTGGAAGGGAGGAAATTAGCTCCTACGTGGGAAGAGCTTAGAAAAATGCCTGGCACTAGGCAGGCCCTCACTATATATTAGCTGTTATCCTGTGTGCACCATGCCAGGGTCTGGGAAGGTGAGAAAGAGCACTGGCCTGGCAAGCATGAACATTACAGCTGGGGTACACAAGGCTGCCTGACCAGCATTGTGCAGCAAGACAGAAACAGCCCACCTGATGGCCATGGCCCCCTCTCAGGCAAACCTGCGGTAAAGCCGAGCACAGGCGAGACCAGGGGCTGGATCCCGGCTCAGGGCAGGATCAGCCACAGAGCTAGTGCCACAGCTCCAACTATGTCCAGCCTGCCCTCCTCCTCAGTAAGAACCCCACAGAATCAGCCCCTGTGCATGGACACCCAACACCCTCACCCCAGGTCCCGGGACAAGCACTTTCTAGCCCCTCTTCCGAGATGTCTGACAGCTACCAGGGTGCTCGCTCTTCCTCTTCATGACGAGTTTGGGAGCCCAGTCTCGGTAGCCCCAGGGTGGCCATGTGGCTCCCGAGAAAAGCTGTGGCCCCAGCCCCCTGCTGAAATTGAACTTGATGGCCTCCTGGTGGGTGCCCCTATGTGCCCAGAGGCTTGTACAGGTGACTTCATTTCACCTCCAGCACACACCCCATGAAGGGTGCACAGAGGAAGAGAGTGAGCCTCAGAGTGGTGGGGCCAGTCGTCTCGGAAGCCCCAGCACTGAGAGGCCAGTGTGCCTGCCTGCCCACCTTCTGTCCTGGGGGTTTGCCCGTTCAGGGTTTTTCCTCCTCGTGCCAGCCACCCAGGCATCCCCCATGAGCACCTTGAAGCCCTGCAACCATGTGGGCCTCCATGCTTGGCCATGTGGCCACTGGCCTGTCAGGGTCACTGCTAGGTGTGCTGGCCTCTCCCTGCCACTGCCTCTTGAACGGCACCCCCACAGGTGCTTCCTCTACCCACAAGTGCCCACCTAACCCCAGTAGCTCTGGAGCTGCAAGGGGACATGAAATGGGCACTGCTGATGGCAATGGCACTGGCTAGAACCCAGACGGAATCCAGACGAGGAGATTCTGGTGCCGTGGGGGCAGGTCATGGTACAGATGAGGAAGGCCAGGCCCCTAATCAGGCAGCCAGGATGGGAACATGGGCCCGCACCACCAGGGCCTCCCAGGCATGGCAGTGTCATGTAGCACCCACAGTAATGCAATTCATAGCTGCCAGAATCAAAGGGTCTCCCAGACCAGCCCCTACTTTGCAGTCAGAGTATCTGGGAGGGCAAGGGACCTGCCAGGTCATATGTCATCTCAGTGGGACGCAGGGTCTGAACTAAGAGCACCGGGAACAGAGTACGGTGAGCCTTGAGGCTCCACTGCTCACGGCACACATGGACACAGCCAGGGCGTGGGGAAACAGCATGCACAGTGGTGGGTGTCCCAGCACTCCCAGCTCCAGCCCCAGAGCACTGTGAAGGGGATGGCGCTTACCCACGTAGTTCTCGACGTCACTGACATAGAACGTGGGGGCCGGGACAGCCAGACCCAGCCCGTCTTTCTTAGGGACGAGGATGGGCTCGGTGAAGCCGTGCTCCTCCATGTAGCCCAGCGTGAGCTGACTTCCTGGCACACGGGCCACCACGTCTTCAGCACTGCAGGGAAGCACAGGTCAGAGGCCACATTGGGCCCGAGGCCTCCTGCACCGGGACAGGTGTGGACAGGGCCTCGGTGCTGGAGAGGTGAGCCTGGGTCTGGCCACCCACCTCCCACAGCCACAGGAGGAGGCCTGGCCGTGGTGCCACAAATGGGACGATAGAGCAGCCAGGGCAGATGCCGTGCTGACTCCAGAACCCCACTGTTTGGGGGAGCAGGGACATGGGGTCTCACGTGTCACATGGAAATGTCAAGAGGTGACAAGGGCCTGTCCTTCCCAACAAGACAGAGAGGCAGGAGGCGCCTGGGCCTGAGCAAGGTCGCTCCCCAACCACCGGCACCCGGGCTGACCCATAGGTGAGGACGGGGGCAGCTCCTCCACTGCACCTCCCTTGTACCCCTTCTCGGCTAGGTGCCTCCCCATGGCAGGGCCACCGAATCACAGCTCAGGAACAAGAGCCACTAAGATGGCTCTGATATTGGGAAGACCTTGGACAAAGCCATGTGGAGAGGACAGGGGTGAAAACCAGGTCTCCTTCTGTCTCTCTCTCGCCCTGCCTAGCCTGTCCCCACATTCCTGCCCAGAGGAAGCAGCAGAGGGGCAGGGCCAGGAGGAGGCCCCTGGCTGGCAAGGATGAATGGCATGTGCGGTGACAACCCAAGGACCCGGACAAGAGCATCCTGTCCTGGCCTGCTCCCTACTAGACATGGCCACCACCACAGGGCCAGAGGCAGACGAGAGGGGCCCACAGGCAAAGGGGAAAAATGACCTTGGCAGAGCATTTACACACCCTAGGAATCCTCCCAGGGACATGAGGCCCAGGGGAAGTGTGGTCTGCCCAAGGCCATACAGCTGGACCCAGAGCCCTCAGCCCCAGCCCATGCCCCAGGCTGCCTCCTGCTCCTTGAGAGGCCCCTGGGCAGCTGTGGTCCACAGGGCCCGCTAGAACAGCCTCTGTTTGGTGACCCTGGGGACATGCTTCTATGGGATGGGCACAGTTGTGAGCAGCGCTGGGGAGGAGGACAGCAGGGAACAGGGGAAAGAGCACCCTGCAAGACAGGGCCGAGGGGAGGAGTGCACCACCCAAGGCCTCTGACGCGGACAGACAGTGGCAGGTGTGAGAATGACAGGAGCCGCAGCTGGAGGGCTCCCGCTGCACACCAGAAGCACTGGGAGCCGCCAGAATTCTTTGCACACCAGCAGCACTGGGAGCTGCTGGAATTTTTTTTTTTTTTTTTTGAGATGGAGTTTCTCTCTTGTTGCCCAGCCTGGAGTGCAATGGCGTGATCTTGGCTCACCGCAACCTCTGCCTCCCAGGTTTTAAGCAATTCTCCTGCCTCAGCCTCCTGAGTAGCTGGGATTACAGGCATGTGCCACCATGCCTGGCTAATTTTGTACTTTTAGTAGAGATGGGGTTTCACCATGTTGGTCAGGCTGGTCTCGAACTCCTGACCTCAGGTGATCCACCCACCTCGGCCTTCCAAAGTGCTGGGATTACAGGCGTGAGCCACCGCGCCCAGCCGAGCCTCTGGAATTCTAAGCAGGGCAGTGGTGTAGTCTGCGGGTTGTCCATTGCTGTGCGGACAGTGGCCTGCAGCAGGGCAGAGTGGGGGCACAGAGAGCATCAGGAGGCTCAGGGCACCATGCCTGGACTAGGGGGCAGGGAAAGGGCCAAGGGGGTTCAGGAGATCAGTAAGTCTGGTGATAGCTGAGAAAGTGGGAGGGAACAGGAAGAGGCAAATATGGACGGCCAGGAGACTGTTGTGAGTGGTGGGGGCAGAGGCGGGGCCATTTACAGAGGGCCCACGGTGGAGGGGCAGGAGCTGGGGACAGGGACAGATCTGATCTGGGGACACATGTGGTCTAAGATACCTGTCAGATTCTCCAGGGATGTGCCAGTTGGATAGACAGGCCACAAGCTCAGAAGAGCTAAAGAAGTTGTGGAGCTGAGTCCCCAGAAAAGCCTCAAGGAGAGCAGTTAACAGGACAGGAAGCAGGCAGGTGGGAGGAAATCCATCCCCAACAAAGGACAAGACTTCAAGGAACTAGAGGGCTGCAATGCCTAATTTTGCCAAGAGGGCAGTTAAGATTAGAACTGAAGAATGTCCACTGGCTTTGATCACATGGGAATAGCGTTAAGGATAAACCAGGGGGGACTAGACGGTGAGGAAGAAGAAAGAATGTGTACAGGCAACCGTGTGGGAAGCTCGAGGCATACAGACCATGCAAAGGAAGCTCTGAAAGCAACAGGGAAGGCCTCCCATCCACCTGGGCCACAGGCAGAAAATTGTCCTTGATGAATCCCAATGCCAACGTCCTAGCAGTGAGAGTTCCAAACTTGCACTAAACCCATCGGTTGGGAACCCCAAACTGGATCTGGAACTAATCTTGTGAAAACCATAAAACCTTAGCAAAAGGCAAACACAAACCGTCTTGTAGGTGGACAGCAGCCAAGGACATACTAGTCCCAATGGAATGTGACCCCTCTGAAGCACCATGCCCCACAGAAGGAGGTGAACCACCAAGAGGGTCAGTCAATAGACACACCAGTCAAAAGAGATCACCAGAACTGAGGATAATAGAACAACCGAAAAGAGATTTGAAAATAAATATACTCAACACATTCAGAAGGAAATCAAGAGGATGCGGCAAGGCACAGGGATGTATTAAAAAAGAAAAAAGACCAGGCAATATTGAAAAGGAAATTTATAGAAATTTTAGAAATAAAAAATACAATGATCAAAATTTTTTAAACTCAATGGATGCACTAAACAGTAGATGGCTGAAAAAATAGTAAATTTGAAGAAAAATTTTTAAATGATACAGAGAATACAGAAGAAATGCTACTAAAAGAGAAAACAGAGTATTTTTCAGAATTGACATGTGACTCTCCAAATTAAAGAGGCTTACTGGGTTCTAAGCAGAATAAACAAAAACAAATGTACATCTAGAGGCAATATCGTACACTCATGTACTGAGTACATCAAACAATATAAAGAAACAGCAACTAGACTAACAACAGATATCTCATTAGCAAGAGATGTCAAAAGACAATAAAATACCTTTCAAAGAATTAAAGAAAAACAGCTTTCACTCTAGAACTTTAGATCCATTTTAGAATATTAGAATCATGTAAGAATAAAGACAGTCATTGTCAGACAAGACAGTATGTATTTTCATAAGCCTTTGCTGAAATAACTAAAAGATATAATTCTATAAGAAGGAAATCAAACTTAGAAGAAAGGTGTGGGATTCAAGAAACAATGGAAAACTAATCTACAGATTCCACATAATCCCTATCAAAATCCCAGCTGACTTCTTTGCAGAAATTGACAAACTAAACTTGGAATGCTGAATAAAAATGCAAAGCACTCAGATGACCAAAACAGTCTTTTAAAAGAACAATGCTGGAAGACCCTTCCCAACCTCAAAATTCAATACGAAGCTCCTACAGTCAAGACGGTGGTACTGTCATAAGAAAAGATATACAGAGGAATGGAATACACTTAAGTGCCCAGAAATAAATCCTTAACACCCACAATCAACTGCTTTTCAAGGAGAGTGCCAAAACAGTTCAATGGGGAGAGGCCAGTCTTTTCAATAAATGTTGCTAGGAAAAGTTGATATCCATATGCAAAAGAATAAAGTTCTTCCTACCTCAGATAGTATACAAAAATTCAATCAAAATGAGTCAAAGACCTAAATATAAAAGCTTAAACTATGAAACTCACAGAAGAAAACAAAGGCATAAATCTTCAAGATCTTGGATTAGGCAATGATTTATCAGCAGTGATACCAAAAGCACAAGCAATAAAAGGAAAAAAGAGGTAAGTTAGACTTCACTAAAATTAAAAACTTTTGTGCTTCAAATGACGCTGTCAAGAAACTACAAAGACAACACAGAATGGCAGAAAGTGTCTGGTAAGGACAAGTATCTAGAATATGTAAAGAATTCTTACAACTCAAAAATAAAACAACAGATAACCCAATGAATTTAAGGTGGCTAAAATAATGTGGAATTGTTCTTCTGGTTTCAGCTCCAACATGTGAAGAGTTTGGATGTTGTCACTCCCCTCTTCCCCACAAGAAAAAGGCTGAACAAACAGAAAATCAACAACTTTTCTTATATTCATCAGAGAATTGAGCTCATAGGGCAAACAACCAACCACCCAAAATCTGAGGAGACAGAAAATCATAGCTGAGATCGCCTTACCTGAAGCGGAAGCTGCTGGAGGCAGTGACCTGTAGGAACACTTAAGTGATAACTTTTGTCAAACTGCCAAAAGTTAAGTGTAGATCAGTTTAAGAGTTAAAAACTCCTTAATCCGGCAGAAGGATGGAAATAGAATCTATTTTTAAATACATCCAGAGTGTTGTTCTCCATAACAAAAGTCTGCTCCCCTGTATCAGACTCTACTGGACATGGGGAAAGCATTTGGCGACCTCCAGCCCCCACTAACCTTCCTGTCTCAGATAAGGAGAGAAAAATTAAAAAGGCTGAGAAATGCTCCTAATGATCACAGCCCAGAGACTCTACAAAACTGAGATTTAATCCTGAAATTATAGAACACTTCCCCTCCCCAAAACCTACCACCATACATCAGTATAATAATAGCTGACTATAACTGAGAGAGCTGCAGACACAGACTCTGTTTAACATGAAATTCTTAGGAAAACCCAAAGAAACCAGGAGAAAAACAAACAAACAAACTAGAAGAAGCTGACATCTCTGGCACCTAGAGCTATAGCAAATTTAACACAGCCCAGGTCCTACTCAGATTAACATAAAACCTCACACTAAATCCTAATTACCTCAATTCCTATTACACAATACATCGTGTCCAGCTTTCACAAGAAATTTTAAGCCTGCTAAATGGCAAGAAAAACTGTAGTCTGAAGAGACAAAGCAAGCATCCGAAGAAGACTCAGACATAGCACAGATTTCCGAATTATCAGACAGGAAATTTAAAATAACTAGGATTAGTATGTTAGCTACACTAATGGGAAAAGCTGACAACATGTAAGAACATATGGGTAATGTAAACAGAGAAATGGAAATTAAGACAGAGTCAAAAGGAAAGGCTAGAAATTAAAAAACAATAATAAAAGTAGCAAAAATGAAGGATGCCTTTGATGGGCTCATCAGTAGACTAGACATGGCCAAGAAAAGAACCAGTAAGCTTGAAGTTATATCAATAAAAACTTCCAACCTGAAATCCAAGCAGAACAAAGAAGCATGTGGGTGGGGGTCAAGGGGAGGCGCAGAATATCCAAGAAATGTAGAAGAAGAACTACAAACAGCCTAATGTGCATATTGAGAATATAAAAAGGAAGAGAAAATGCAGTAGAATAAATATTTATTTGAATTAATAATGGCTGAGAATTTTCTAAAATTAATGGCAGACATGAAACCAAAGATCCAAAAAGCTTAGACCACATAAAGGAGGATAAATGCCAAAAATTCTGCACCTAGGCATATCATATTTGAACTGCAAAAAAAACCAAAGACCAAGCAACTATCTTGAAAGAAGGCAGATGAGCGAGGTCAACTTCCAGCATGACAATGAAATGCTGAAAATTATTTAAAAAACAATTATTCAGAGCCTCTGGAAATGGTCCCAAGACCAAACAGCAAATGAAGAAACATCTATTTAAGAAAATCTCCAAAAACTCAGTAAGAACAGTCTGTGATATTTGGACCAAGACTGCTCCCTCCATTCACATTCAGAGCTCAGAGGTGGACACTCCACTCCCAAGTGCTGCAGCCAAAAACACAGGCTTCGTCCCCACCGGCTCCCAGCTAGAGAGCTTTCTTCTTGGGAGAGCAGGACTTCCACTTCTCATTCTGCCCCAGCTGCCTGTTGCTGAGTTTACGTCTGCAGCAAGTAATGCCAAGAGGTGGGGGCTGCCTTCTTGCATCCAGCTCTGACTAGTGAAACTGAAGCTCTCCCTTGGGTGTGGCATGCTGATAGTGCTGAGGGGGGCCCTGACCACCCTCACCTTGCCACTTCTATTCAAGGTGATATTGGAGGTTCTTGGGAGAGCAATTAGGTAAGAAAAATAAATACAGGTCACCTAGATGGGAAAGGAATAAGTCATACTATCTCAATTTGCAAATGACATGGTCATATGTATATATAAAATACTAAGGAACCCTCTAAAAAAAAACTATTAGAACTAATAAACTAGTTCAGCAGGGTTGCAAGATACAAGATCAACATATAAAAATCAATTGTATTTCTACACACTATCAATGAACAATCTGAAAATTAAGAAAACGATTCTATTGACAAAAGCACCAAAAAGAATAAAATACTTCAGAATATATTTAACAGAGGAAATGTAAAACTTATACTCTGAAAACTATAAATAATTCTTGAAAGAAACTTAAAAGATCAAAATAAATGGAAAAGTAACCATGTTCACAGCTTAGAGGTTTTAACACTGTTAAGATGGAAATACCTGCAGAGTGATCTACAGATTGAAAGCAATTACTTTCAAAATCCCAGCTGACTTCCTTGTAAAAACTGACAAGCTGACCTTAAAATTCAAATGACATACAAGGGACCTAGAATGATCAAAACAAACTTGAAAAAGAAAAACAAACTTGGCCAGGCATGGTGGCTCACGCTTGTAATCCCAGCACTTTGGGAGGCCGAGGTGGGCAGATCACAAGGTCAGGAGTTTGAGACCATCCTGGCCAACATGGTGAAACCCTGTCTCTACTAAAACTACAAAAAATTAGCCAGACGTGGTAGTGCACGCCTGTAGTCCCAGCTACTTAGGAGGCTGAGGCAGAAGAATCACTTGAACCCGGGAGGTGGAGGTTGCAGTAAGCCAAGATCGTGCTACTGTACTCCAGCCTGGGTGACAGAGTGAGACTCCGTCTCAAAAAAAAGAAAAGAACAAACTTGGAAGACTTATACTTCCTGATTTCAAAACTTACTATAAATTACTATAGTAATTAAGACTGTGTGGTACTGGCATAAGCAGAGATATAGATTAGTGGAATAGAATTGAATATCAGAAACAAACACATCTATGGCCAATTGAGTTTGATAAGGGTGCCAAGACTGTTTACTAGCAAAAGAATAGTTTTTTCAACCAATGGTACTGGGACAAATGAAGAGCTGCATGCAAAAAAAATGAAGTTCAATCCTTACCTCACACCATATACAAAAATAAGCTCAAAATGTATCAAAGAACAAACTGTATGTGCTAAAACTACAAAACTCTTAGAAGAAAATATATCAATAAATCTTCATGACTTTGGATTTGGCAATGGATTCTCAGATATGCAACAAAAGCACAACAAAAAATAGATTAATTGGACTTTATCAAAATTAAAAACTTTTCTACTTCAAATGGCACTATCAAGAAAGTAAAAAGACAACCCACAGAATAGGAGAGAGTATTTTGAAATCATATATCAGGTAATGGGGCTTGTATCTAGAATGTACTATATATGAAACTTTTAAACTCAATAACAAAAAAAAAAGCAAAAAAATTAAAAATGGGCAAAGGACCTGAATAGTCATTTTTCCAAGGAAGATATACAAGGATCGACAAGCTCATGAAAAGATGCTCAACATCACTAATCACTAGAGAAATGAAAATCAAAAAATAAGATACCAGTTCATACCCACTCGCATGGCTAGAATCAAGTTAAGTCAGATAATAACAAGTTCTAGTGAGGATGTGAAGAAATCGAGACCCTCATACCCTGCTGGTGGGAAGGTAAAACGGGGAACCTGCTTTGGAAGACAGTCTGACAGTTCTTCAAACAGTTAAACAGAGAGTTACCATATGACCCAGCAATTCCACTCCTAAAACAATAAAAGCATATGTCCACATAAAAACTTGTATAAAAATGTTTATGGCACAATTATTCATAGTAGACAAAAAGTGGAAACAACGCAAATGACCATCACCTGATGAATGGATAGACAGAGTACCTATGTGGATATCTATACGATGAAATATCATTCAGCCTCAAAAAAGGAGTGAGGTGCTAACACATGCCACAGCACAGACGACCCTTGAACACACTCTGCTAAATGAAAGAGGCCAGTCTTGTTGTAGAACTCCATTTATATGAAGCAAATCTACAGAAACAAGAAAGTGGATTAGTAGTTGCTAAAGACAGCTGGGAGGGGGGATGAGAAGACAGGGATGATGTATAAAGGTTATGGGATTTATTTTGGGGGTGATGAAAATGTCCCAAAATCAGTGATGTGCACATATCTGTGAATACAGTAAAATCCACCGAACTGCACACTTTAAATGGGTGAACTGTATTATTTGTATTTTATCTCAATAAAGGTCAGAAAAGAAAAAATAAAGAAGCCAGGAAAAAAACACCTTACCCAGAGAAGGGTCAGAACAAGAGTTCCATTGGATTTTGCATTAGAAATCACACATGCAAGAAGGGAGTTGGAATTTAAAATGTCAAAAGAAAAAAAACCCACCAACTTAGGATTCTGCGTCCAGCGGAATTATCCTTCAAAAGTGAGGGAGAAATAAAGGCTGTGTGACAAACAGAAACTGACTCCAGCTCATGAACGGCTGCAGGGCAGCTCAGAGGTGCCTCCCCTAAACAGCTCCTTTCTCACCAGGAGCCGCTCCCGGCTGTGTCCTTCCTGTGGCCAAGAATTCTGTCCTCTGCCCTCATGCAGAAAAAGAGTGTGGGCACTGGGGGTCTCTGAGAAGGAGACATGAGGACAACGCCTGCCTGGGCCATGGGAGCATGCTTGTGGGCAGAGGAAGGACTGGGAGCCAAGGGCTCAGGAGAGTACCTGGCATGTGCTGGGCATACTCAGGTTGGGAGAGAGGTCCCTTCCACCCAGCGGGAGAAAGGTCACCAATACTTGTCCCCCACCCCCAGGGAAGTGCTGACCAAGGGAAGGAGAGGTTGGCCCATTTGCAGGGAGCTTTGGGTTGCTGGTGCAGGCTATGCTGCCTCCAGGAGACAGGCTTCCTGCTTCCTGCTTTCCAGCAAGGATAGCAAAGGAAGCCCCCAGCAATGGATAGCGGGACAAGGGACGGAGAGAGTGTGCATCCCCTGGCTGCAGGTGGTGGAGCATACAGGAAGGCCAGCCCACCTGGGAAAGGTCCGGCTCCGCAGCTCCTTGATGAAGAGCTGGCTGCCATTCTGCACGGGCTTGACGTCAGGCGCTTGCCCCGGGCCGTGTTTGTGCCAGGTCCGCTTCTTCTTTACTGTGGAGGAGACCGGAAGCAAGGTCGGTCACACAGCGCAGCCCCAGCAGGGCTCCACAACTTCCCCTAAGAACCTTGGCCCACCCAGCCTACTAACAACTCCCAGCATTGCTGGGCTCATGCTCACCTCTCAAGACTGATGACACCCCCACCCTGCCATGCACATAGGGAGGAGTCAACCCCCTACCTCGACCTCGTGTCCTCTCCCATCCCACACCTCACCATGGATGGCACCAGTGTCCTCCATTCCCTGACCCAGAAGCTGGGGTCTCCCAGGACCCCTCCTCATTCAGGCCCTGAGTCTGCAGAGACCACCAGAGAGCCACCTCCTGAAAAGGTCCTCAGCCACGGTTTGGCCTCACCATCCCATGGCTTCCACAGCTGGACTCTGTCACTTCCCTACTGGGACCTCCATCACCCCAACTGCCACAGCCACAGACAGGGGCAGGTCAGGTCCCACCATCTTGTTCCGTCTCCTCCCCACCTCCCCAGGTGGTGCACATCCCCACTCCTCTGTGCTGGCCACACTCCAGCCCTCCCCTGACCACCGCCAACCCTGGGCCTGTCTACCCCACCTACTTCCTCACACTGCCCAGGTCACACCTTCTCCTGGGGCACGAGGTACACACACCTTGGACTTTTTACATGTGCATGTGAGCACATGTGCACACATTCCTAGTGGACTATGCGCCCATGCAACAATGCAGGCACACACATATGTACATATACATGCACACACCCCTACTGGACCACAAGCCCTATGCGCACACACACACCTCTACTGGACTTCAAGTCCCTAAGGGGAGGGAAGCAATTTCCTCTCCACCCCGCTAAGTCCCTAGCTCCCAGCCTTGTATTCAACCAGGCAGAGAAGAGCAGCTGGGGTAAGGGAGGCCACTGGGGCCTGGAGATGCCCTCCTCGGGGGCTGCTTGGCTGAGTCTGACACAGGCTGACCCTTGAGCAGTGAAGGGACTGAATTCAAGAGCAGAGCCAGGCAGGGCCCGTATTGTGCCCTTCCTTCACAGACAAAGGCAAGGTGGGGGGCGCAGGGGATGGGGGCCTTAGAAGGCCATGTGTCATCCTCCTGAGTCTCGGTGGTTGTGGGGACAAAGGGAGCTAATGACCACCCAGTGACAATGCCTGTCTCTGAGCAGGATCTGCTACCAACACGAAGGAGAAGGGCTGGGTGGGGCTGGGACCTTTTATTTGCAAAGAATCTTCGCATTGTGTTCAATCTCCCTGCCCACAATTCAAGTGGACATTATGGAAACTTGGCAAAATCCGACAGAGTCAAGGCCAGAAGCCAGGACTTCTGAGGGAAGCATCGGGCACAGATGAGCAACAAACAGGGTTCAAATCTGTTTTGGCCAATCCTCTTCCAGCTGTGTGACCTTGGGCAAATTACTTGACAGCTCTGTGCCTCGTCTTTACTAGAGAAAGGCTCACACGGGCCTTGTGGGGTGGCTGTGGGATGTAGGTTGGCACATGCACACTGTCTGCTCCAGACTCTGCTGGGCCTTTTCTCAGGGCAAAGCCACCTGGTGCGGTAGGTGCTTGTTCACGGGCAGAACACACTCACAGGCTGGCTTGGTGCTCCTAACAGACCCTGGGCTCATCCCTGTGTGTCCCCTATGCCCAGTACTGGGCCCAGCACACAGTGGGCACAGGGGGAGTGTCTGCGAGCAGATGAAGTCTCCCATCCTTGTCACACTGGCTGCTCAGCTTCAGAGCAACTTGGAAGGAGAGGTGGATGCATCTGCCTTCATAACTATCAACAGAGAAGGCTCAGTTCAGCCCATGCTCCTGCCCTCTTGGTGCCAGCCTGAGCCAGGCAATGCCAGGGCCATAGATAGCTCCAACCTGCCCTCCTGTTGCAGTTTGCAAGCACTCACTGAGTATCTTGGCTCCGTGCAAGGCTGGGGGTGCTGGAGCAGGTGTTACCCAAGCGATAGATGCTTGGGAGCCCCTGCTTCTTAAGAGCTGAGATGGGAAGGGGGCCAAGGCCGGCCCTAGAGGTGTGTGTGCTGAGATGTTCAGCCCAGAGGGTAAAGGAGTTGGAAAAAAGACACCCCCAGTGACAGCCCAGACCCTCCTGACCCCCCAACAATCCTAAGCCTCAGTGACTGTGAATACCATCACCCTCCTGCTGGGCCTGCTACTACCTGGGGAGGTGTGGATATCAAGGGAGCAAGGGGCTCCAGAGTTCACAAAGTGCCTTCCCTGCCTTGGAAGGCCTTGTGGAAATGGAGGCAGTTATATCTACTCCATGGGGGAGCCAAGTGGGACCTAGGGAGGAAACTTCCAGAGCTGAGCTTTCTGCACCAAGCAGAGCTCCCTGCCTGCCCTTAGGTCACCACCTGCGAGGAACACCGAGTGTGGGCTGGGCTCCAAGGAGAGGCTGCAATGAAGGTCCAGGACAGCGGCGGCTCAGGCAGGAGCGTGAGGCAGCCCCGTGGTTATGCAGCAGCAGTGACATTGCAGCTGGGAGAGGCCTCAGGGCTGGCTGAGGAGATCAAAGAAAAGGAGGCAGCCCACAGAGACAGGGTGCCACGGAGGGGAGCCAGCAGGGGCCCAGCACTGCTGGCAGGGTGGGGGCGTCCTCCCCGTCACCTGTCTGCATGGTCATTATTTCACCAATTGCACTCCTGTCCAAGGACGCTCACTGAGGCCAGGGGCCCCCGGCTACACCTGCGTACCTCCTCTCTCGTGGGGCGGGGCCCTCACTTCACAGATGAAGCAACTGAGGCCAGAGACGTGGGGCCGTGCCAAGGTCACCAGCAAAGGTACACAGAGGGGCAAGGAGGTCTACTGCCCCTCCTGCTGCACCAGCATGGGGCGCCCTATCCCAGAGCCACATGCGGAGCATGAGGACAGCGCCCCTGTGACAACACACCCACTGAGACAACTGCTGAGCAGAGTCACCCCAACCCCACAGGGCAGGGCGGGATGAGGAAAGTCAGTTCAACAAGAAAACTGACTGTGTATAAGTCAGGAGCTGCAATTCAGGGCCGCTTCTAACCACTATGTGGCTTCCTCATCAGATGGGGATGCCTTCCCGAGTTCCTGGCCAGGTACCTTGGGACACCCTGTACCAAATCTGTGTCAGTCAGGTAAACCTGTGGGCCTATGGCCCCTGCCCACAGGCCATGGCCAAAATCAGCTCAAGGGACATATTGGAACGGGGAGGGACCCTGCAATCCCCACCACTGTGGCTTTCAAAAAGAGGGGACAAACTGTGAGGACCAGACCTCAGGCACAGCTCGCTCTGGGAACCCTGAGCAGCCCCCATCCCCACCCGCAGGCTAGGGTGGCAGGAGCAGGACAGGTGGAGGCAGGTTCAAGGCCTCCAGAGGTTCCCAGCACTGGCTTAGAGCTTCTCCAGGGACACAGAGTGGCCCTCTTATCCCCAGTGTGCCTTGGTGTGCAAGGCGTGCCTGGAGTAAATGCAAAGACCAACTGGGGCATCATAGCCTCTGGGCACAGTGTACACTCACTTCAAATCTGAGCATGCACACTGGTGGAAGGTGCTAGAACTGTGTACCTTTGTCCCTGATGGAGCACACATACTTCAGTAACAACTGAAAATCTGCTTCAGAGAATTTATATAGCACATTCAGCACACAGATGTGTGCATGCACACACATACATACAGCTGTGGACTGAATATCCATCCCACCAAAATTTATCTGTTGAAATCCTGACCCCTAAGGTGATGATTTTATGAGGTGGGGCCTTTGGGAGGTTATGAGGTCATGAGGGTAAAGTCCTCCTGAATGGGATTAGTGTCCTTATAAAAGAGACCCCAGAAAGCTGCCTCCTTCCTTCCACCATATGAGGACATGGCAAGAGGGCACTGTCTATGAACCAGAAGCAGGCCCTCACCACACACTGAATCAGCCAGCACCTTGATCTTGGACTTCCAGCCTCCAGAACTGTAAGAAATAAATTTTCTATTACTTAAGCCCTCCAGTCTGTGGTATTTTGTTACGGCAGCCTGAACAGAGTATGACATACACACAAGCACATGCACACACACATACACATGCACAAATATGTAAGCATACATGTACATGCACACACACATGTGTACAGCCAGGCAGGGGCTGGGGGTCCCACCATCTGCAACCTCAGCACTGTCTGCTAGTCTAGAATGTCTCTCCCTGGGCAGCTGGCCGTAGGAGACAGGAAGGGGAGCCTGCACTGAGGTTTTAGCTGCAATCAAGGGCAGGTTGGGACACCAGGCCTCTGCCCAAACTCCCTGCAGGGACAGGGGCAGGGTCTGGGTGAGGCAGGCACACAGGGCTCCCATGGCAGGTGGGCTGTTTCTGGGGATGTCTGGGGACATTAGAGAAATCAAAACAGTGTGCTCACCAATATGTGAAACCTGCCCAGCCCCAGCACCACACCATTGCTCTACCCCAGCCCCAACTCATGCAAGAGCCCCCAAGCAAGGACCCCTTGAAATGTATGCTGACTATCAGAAGAGGCCCCTGGCCCAGGGGTTTCTGACACTTTCTTTTCTACCAGTCTGAAAGCCTCTTCTCAAGTGATGCACACGTGTACCTCCCACACAAAAGCAACGCCACCCCAGCATCCTCCCAAGCCCAACTCAGGTAGGACCTGAGAGGGTCCTACCCCCCAGGAAAGCACCTCCTGGGGTATCCTGGCTCCAACCCTACTCTGCTCTGACACCTGCCCCCTAGGCCCCATGGGGCAGCCCCAGGTCCCCACTGGAAGCTCAGCCCTGTTTGTGTCATTCCTGTCGTAAAGACAGCTTGGCCCTGAGCTTTCTGGGTGGGCTCATTGAGGTGCCAGAAGCATGAGGATGCCCCGCTGGGCTGAACCTTCCTACCCTTTATCTGTTTTTGAGCAATAACCAGATGATAGGTTAATGAGCTTGCCGTAGGCAGATGCATTCTGAGCATAAATGCAGCCAACTACTGGGGACCAGGAGTAAGAAGGCAATTTAGGAATCCCAGAACCTCCCCACAGGCAAACTATCAGCCTGAAAGTTCAGGAAGAGCTGCTAGCTGCTAGCTTCTCCTCATCACCCGCTTGCATATTTGTTGAGGCTGTGCTGGGGATAGGGTCGAGACCTGAAACACATGCAGCCCCCACCGCTGTCCAGCAATAGACAGGAGAAAAGCATTCAGGCCTTGGGAGAGGCCAAGAAAGAGCAGCCAGGTCCTCAGAGTAGTGAGACCCAGCATCACCAGCTGCCAGGCCAGGCCTCCAAGGCTCCCTCGACCCAGCCTCAGCTCACAGAACAGGGGTGCTGGAGCCCCTTCCACCTATTGCCCGCATCCTCCCTCTGCCCCTACTGATTCCATAGGACTCATCCCACAGGGGTCCGGGGGTCTGGTGCTTCAGCTTGCAACTGGGCACTGGGAGGGGTCTCCCTTTGAAGGGGAGTGACTCAGACTGGCTGTGACCTGGAGCCAGATGCATTTCCTGCCCCACCTTGTCCAGGGCTCAGGTCAGCAGAGATGTGATCAGCTGACCCAGCCAGGGCCCATGTCCAGCCTGCAGATTCTGTGAGCACCCAAGACCCTCCAGTGAAGTGGAAACCAGAGGCCACATTAACACACGCACACCCATATCCATACCATCTGTCCTGTCTACAGGCCACACCCCTCCCGAGTCCTTGCAGACCACCACACAGCTCCCCCTCTGCAACCAGGGCTGAGGCTTGGAGCTCAAGGCTCATATAACCTCCAGCTCACCTGGCTGAACCTGCACAGGGTGAACCAAGCCTGTATCCCAGGACCCAGCACACCTGAAAGGGCCAAGAAGAAAACGAAGCCTCAGCCCTTAGGACACACAAACAGCAGGTTGTGTGGGAAAGGCAAGGGCCCTCCAAGATTCTCTGCAGAGGAAGAGGTGGGTGGCATGAGGCGGGGCTGGAAAAGGAGGGGAGGACAGAGCCCACCAACAATGCACGTGCCCAGAAAACAGACAGGCTGGGCCCCCCGTGTAGCAGTGGCTGGCTGGGCCGGGCTAGGCTGGGGGCCCCTAGAAAACCCCCGCATCACCATTTATCCAGGTCCCCAAGTCCGTGTCCCCCTAACTCAGGCTGGCCTGGCCTCTCGCTAGGCCTCAGAAGGCCCTTTGAGTCTTTGCACAGCTGCCTCTGCCAGCGGGAGCTGATCAGGAGGGGCTACAGTGGGCCTAGTGAGGCTACAGGGGACAGTAAGCTAGGCTGGCAGGGTCCCCAGGCCTAGACACTACTCAGGGCGTTTTGCCCCCAGCAACCCAGGGCCCAGGCCCAGCAGAGACCTCACCCTCCACGCAGCCCAGGCAGGGTGGATGCTGCTCTCTTCCGCAAGAGATGGCCGCTTGGGCTGCGGTACTTACAGGTGGACTTCCCATGGGTTTTCTCACAGTTTGGGCAGTGGTATATGTCGATGTCGGGCGCCTCCTCCTCTTCCACCCCAACACAGCTGAAACGAGACGAAATAGACCATTACCTAGGCATTCAGCACCCCCTCAAGCACTTTCCATCTGCGAAGCTCTAGGGAGAATCCCTGCTCATTGTCTGGGAACCTGGGCCAGATGGAGCACAGCTGTGCAGGGACAGTGTTCTACTAGGAAAGCAGGGTGGAGGGAAAGAGCTGCAGAGATGTCCTCCTGGAAAGGCCTCTGCAGCCTGGACCTAGATACAGCGTCTGGATATGCCCCACCATGAGGACCCAATGAATAGGCCATCTACCAAGCCTGCCTGGGTGAGGGTCACCAATGCCCCGTCACCCAGGGGGCAGGGAAGGAAGAGGGGTTCTCAGAGCCAGGCTGTCCCCATCACTTCACCAGGGGTAACCTGAGGGGGCAGAAAACACCAGAGGCAGCTCAGAGCCCCTCCTGTGGGCCATACCATAGCCACCCATCCAGCTCATCCTCATGGGGGCCAAGAAGAGGCCTACCAGCCTGGCCTTAGGACATGTCCAGGACTCCAGACATCATGACCACTCTTTCCTCATTCCCTCCCTGGAGTTCCTCCAGACCCCTTGCAAACCTGCTTGGAGACTTAGAACAAGAGAGAGCCACCTCCTATGCAGATGGTCGGGCTACAGGCCTTAAGCCATTTGAGGAATGAACACAAAGAGTATCAAAGGACACAACCTAAGACATCAATAAACTTCTACAGAAGCTAACCCAGCAAAATGGAAATGCTTTGTTTTATTCTGATACTTTTTTTAGTTAAAAGTGACATGAGGCCAGGCACGGTGGCTCATGTCTGTAATCCCAGCACTTTGAGAGGCCGAGGTGGGCGGATCACTTGAGGTCAGGAGTTCGAGATCAGCCTGGCCAACATGGTGAAACCCTGTCTGTAATAAAAATACAAAAAAAATTAGCCGGAGCACAGTGGCACACACCTGTAATCCCAGCTATTCGGGAGGCTGAGGTGGGAGTATTGTTTGAGCCTGGAAGGCAGAGGTTGCAGTGAGCCGAGATTGCACCACTGCACTCCAGCCTGGGCAACAGAATGAGACTCCATCTCAAACAAAAAAAAAGTGACGTGAGAATGGGCATCTGTAACATGTAAAGAAGCCCCCAAGACTAAATAAGAACACAGTGGATAATGGGCAGGGCACAGGTCCAGACAACTCCCACAAGAAGAATGCAGCAAACAAACTGGAAAATACTTCAACATCTTCCTCTAGTGAGCAAATGCATGTAAATAAAACTGACCAGTAAATTTAAAAAGGGACATTCCCCCCAGGTAGCCCCAGAATGTCGCCACAGCAGGGGGTCAGGGCAGCAAGCTACCTGGAATGGAAGCTATAGATGTGCATGAAGCAGACTGTTTTTACTCAGGGCAAACAAAAAAATGAACATAAAGACACTGTTGACCTTAAGGAAATAAAAAAGGATTATAACAGAATACTATGAAAAATTATAGGTCAATAAATTACATAACCTGGATGAAATGGAGAAATGCTCAGAAGCACACAAACTGCCAAAACTGACTCAAAAAGAAACAGAACATTTGAACAGACCTGTAACAAGTAAAAAGATTAAATCAGTAATCAAAAAACCTCCCCCAAAAAGAAAATCCCAGAAACCATCACTAGTGAATTCTATCAAACATTTAAAGAAGAATAACACCAATCCTTCTTAAACTTTTTCAGAAAATAGAAGAGGGGGGAACATTTCCTAAGCATTACCCTGAGCCCAAAGCCAGACAGAGACACTATAAGAAAACTACAGACCAGTATCTCTAATGAATATTGATGTAAAAATCCTCAACAAAACACCAGTAAATAAAGTCTAGGAGCATATTAAGGGGACGGTGCACCATGACCAAGTGGGATTTATCACAGGAATGCAAGGACGGTTCAGTACATGAAAATAAATCAGTGCTTCAACACCTAAAGCATCAAGTCTGACTGCAAGAAGAAAAAGATGCAATCCTGGGGCTCTGTCCTGGAGGATGGGACAGCAGAAGCTGTGCTTCTCTTTCCTTCACCCTGGAGGACAGATCTCCCCAAGTGGGTAAAATACAAGAAGCAGCAGGGCTCACCTGGCTCTTTCTCCTGAGCTGGCACAGCCCTCTGCCTCATTCTTATGTTCCCATCTCTCCCAATCCTTCCCCAATTCCCCATCCTCCCCAAGACACATTACACCATATTAACACAATGATGAAAAATCCTACGTGACCATCTCAATTGATACAGAAAAAGCACTCAACAAAATCCTTTCATGATAAAAATACTCTACAAACTAGGAATAGAGGGGAACTTCTTCAACATGATGAAAGCCATGGATGAAAAATCCACAGCAAACATTGTATACAATGGTGAAAGACTGAAAGCTTTTCCCATAAGATGAGGAGGAAAATAGGATGCCTATTGTTGCCACTTCTGTTTAACACAGTACTGGAAGTTCTAGCCAGAGCAATTAGACAAAAAAAAAAAAAAAATCCTGAAATAAAAGGAGTCTGAATTGGAAAGGAAGATATAAAATTACCTTTATTTGCATATGACATAATCCTACATATAGAAAACTCTAAAGGAATCCATACACAGAAAAACTTTCTATACCTAACAAATAAATTCAGAAGGTGTAGGTGCAAAAACAACACACAAAAACCAGTTGGATTTCTACACACTAGCAATGAATAATCTGAAAATAAAATCAAGAAAGCAATTACCATTATAATACCATCAAAAATAACAAAATATTAATATGTAGGAATAAATTTAACCTAGGAGATGCAAGACTTGTATACTGCTGAAAGAGGTCTTAAAGGATACAAAGAAATGGAAATATATTCCATGTGGATGAACTGCAAGACTTAATAGTGTTAAGACGGCAATACTACCTAAAGGAATCTACAGATTCAATGCAATCCCTATCAAAATCCCAACAACTTTGTTTACAGAAATGGAAAAGCTAAGAAAACTTACACTTCCTGATTTAAAACTTACTACAAAGCTATGATAAAACAGTGTGGCACTGGCATAAGGATAGACATATAGATCAATGGAATAGAACTAAAACCTCAGAAATAAACCCATACATCAACAGCCAACTGATTTTTGACAAGGGTTCCTAGACCATGCAATGGAGAAGGAATAATCTCTTCAACAAATGGTGCTAAGGCAAGTGGACATCCACATGCAAAGGAATGAAGTTGGATGTCTACCTCACACCACATACAAAAATTAACTAGAAATGGATTGGCAACCTAAATATGAGCTAAAATTATAAACCTTTTAGAAGAAAACATAGGAGTAAATCTTCATGACACTGAATTTGACAATAGATTCCTAGATATGACACCAAAAGCATGAACAACAAAAGAAAAAATTGCTAATTTGGATTCCATCAAAATTAAAAACTTTTTTGCCTTAAAGGACACTATCAACAGAGTAAGAAGGCAAGTGACATTAAAGGAGAAAGTACTTGCAAACCATAAATAAGACAAGGGTATGGCATCCACAACATATAAAGAACTATTACAGTTCAACAATAAAAAGACAAACAATCCGATTAATAAACAGGTAAAGGACTTTGAACAGACATTTCTTCAAAGAAATATGCAAATGGACAACAAGCACATGAAAAGAAGCTCAACATTCTCAGTCATTAAGGAAATTAAAATCAAAACTACAGTAAGATATCACTTCACACCCACTAGGATGGCTACAATTTTTTTTGTTGTTTTTGAGATGGAGTCTTGCTCCCATCACCCAGGTTGGAATGCAGTGGCATGATCTCAGCTCACTGCAACCTCTGCCTCCCAGATTCAAGCAGTTCCCCTGTCTCAGCCTCCCGAGTAGCTGGGACTACAGGTGCCTGCCATCACGCCTGGCTAATTTTTGTATTTTCAGTAGAGATGGGGTTTCACCTTGTTGGTCAGGCTGGTCTCAAACTCCTTACCTCAGATGATCCACCCACCTTGGCCTCCCGAAGTGCTGGGATTATAGGCATGAGCCACCGCGCCCGGCCAATTTTTTTTTTAAAGTAAGTTTTGGAGAGGATGTGGAGAAATCATAACCCTCTTACATCAATGGTAGAAACGCAAGCACTGTGGGGAAAAATTTGATGTTTCCTCAGAAAATTAAACATAGAATTACAATGTGACCCAGCAATTCCACTGACAGATACATACCCAAAAGAATTAAGAATAGGTACTGTGTATTGTGACTCATGCCTGTAATCCCAGTACTTTGGGAGGCCAAGGTGGGCAGACCACTTGAAGTCAGGAGTTTGAGACCAGCCTGACCAACATGGCAAAACCCTGGCTCCACCAAAAATACAAAAATTAGCTGGGCATGGTGACACATACCTGTGGCCCTAGCTACTCAGGAGGCTGAGGCATGAGAATCACTTGAACCCAGGAAGCAGAGGTTGCAGTGAGCCGAGACTGTGCCACTGCACTCAAGCCTGGCCAATGAAGCAAGACTCTGTCTCCAAAAAAAAAAAAAAAAAAAAAAAAAAGGTACTCAAACAAATCCTTGTACATAAATGTTCCTAACAGTATTATTCACAATAACCAAAAAGTGGAAATTGCCCGAATGTCCACTGACAGATGAATGGATAAACAAAATGTAGTCTGTATATACAATGGAATATTATTCAGCCTTAAAAAGGAATGAGGTCCTGATACATCCTACAATGTGGATGAATCTTGAAGGCATTATACTAAATGAAAGAAGCATGACACATGAGGACTAATGCTGTATGATTCCACTCACATGAAATGATAATATGTTTACAATAGGTATATCCATGGAGACAGAAAGCTGACTAGTGGTGCCAGAGGGTGGGAGGAGAGAGGAATGAGGAGTTACTGTTTAGTGGGTGTGGAGTTTCCTTTGGAAATTAAAATATTTTGAAGCTAGATAGAGGCAATGGTTGCATAGCATTGTGAATTTACTAAGTACCACTGAATTGTTCATTTTAAAACAATTAATATTATGCTATGTGAATTTTAACTCAATAAAAGAGAAAAAAAGAACCTGGCCCTGTGAGAGTGACAACATCATCTCCATCACCACCATCACCATCACCAACATTGCCACACCATCATTATCATCATCACTTCAACCACTATCATCACCACCACCATCATCATCATCACCATCATCATCACCATCACCATCACCAGCACTGCCACACCATCATTATCATCATCACCTCAACCACCATCATCATTATCATTACCATCACTATCACCAACACACCATCATCATCATCACCTCTACCACCATCGCCACCACCATCATCATCATCACCATCACCACCAACACCATCACCAACATTGCCACACCATCATTATCATCATCATCTCAACCACTATCATCATCACAACGACCGTTGTCATCACCAACATCGCCACACCATCATTATCATCATTATCATTTCAACCACTATCATCATCACCACCACCATCACCGTTGTCATCACCATCACCACCATCACCATCACCGCCACACCATCATCATCTCAACCACTATAATCACCACCACCACCATTACCAACATTGCCACACCATCATTATCATCATCACCTCCACCCTCATCACCATCATTTTCATCACCATCACCAACAATGCTACACCATCATTATCATCTCAATCACCATCATCATCCTCACCAAGATTATCATCACCATCACCTTCACCATCACCATCACCATCAACACCATCACAAACTCCATCATCACTAACTCTGGCTGAGCACTCACTCTGAGACACGCAGCATGCTAAGAACTCTAAGAGCATTATTTTCCAACAACCCTGCAATAATGGGAATTCTTATTATTAGCCTTATTTACCACAATAGGGAAATTGAGGTAGGTATGAGAGGTTAAGTGCCTGCCCAGACACAGAATAGTCTCCTTATTCATTCACTAAGGATAGTACTGCCCTTGCCCTTGGGGCATTTACACATGCAAAGGAAGCCAGGCAAAGAGATGGGTGGGCCTGGCCCGGAGTGAACACTCGTTAGACAGTGAGCTGTTACTGCTAGTGCCCAGTGTATCAGACTAACCCTGCAAGGCCACCAGGGTCTTGGGCCCTAGACGAGTGTTCTGTTCCACAGCCACCACAGTCTTGAGTTCTGGGAACAGAGCATGAAGCCCAGAAAAAGATCTTGGCAAATTGTTTTTGAAAATATAAAGTTCACTCTATCTTAGAATACAAGCTAAAGTCAAGTCCACACACTCCAAAGAGTCAAGTGTAAAAGAAAAGCCATCAAAAGCACAACATGAGGGAATATTTTTCTGCTCTCAGGGTGCAAAGTGAGAGCATCTTCATAATGAAACAAAGAAAAATTGGAAAGGAAACTCAGAACATTGATGAATGAAAATTATGCTCCAAAATACCAAAACAAACTTTAAAATGCACAGTGTTAATATTCTTCCTTCATGAAGTTTATAAGGGTGTCTGCCCAATAGAAGCAAAGGCCCAAAGCCAGGAACAGGACCAGGGCATAGCACTATGGCATGTGAAGAAGAGCTCAGCACAGAGGAGGGCAGGACAGGGCTAGAAAACGTCACGTGCACTCACTACAGTGCCACATATACCTCAGGTTCTCATCAGTGACACCAAGTATCAGCCACATGCAAAGACTTTTGTGGGACCAGATGAACTGGGAGCTGAAGACAGTCCCTTCAGCACCATCATTACTCACTTCAAGCATACATGTTATAATATATTGCCCTGGAGCTGGTTGAGCTCTTGCAGCCCAGAAATTAGACCCAGAATCCACATTGCACATCAGACCCTACATCCATGTGAGACCCCAAATCCACATCCACAGCCACAACCACACTCCATGTCCATGCCCACATACACAGTCACACCCATGCCCCATGTCCACACCCTCACCTGGCCCCTGGCTGCTCCAGGCTGTGCCCTCACTGCAGCATCTGGAGCAGATGAAGGCACAGGACAGGCTACACCAACCTGACCTGATTCTGCCACCATCCCAGCAGGGCCCTTGCACACACATGGCCCATCACACACACCTGCCTGTCAGGCCTTTATGGGTTGGTGCTGACCCTCAGGCAGAAGGTCAGAGGTCAGACCACCAAACTCAGAGTAGAACAGACAGACAGACTCGGGGCTCAGTTAGCAGGGCCAGCACTCCCTGGAACATGCCTGTTCTGGGGACAAGACTTGGCGTGAGGGGCTAGAGACACCAGGATCCTCACAGGGCCTTTGGACAGGAGCCCCCTGAAGGATTCACTCTCCAGGCTGGAGGTCAGAAGTCCAAATGGGTCTCACCGGGCTAAAATCAAGGTGTGGGCAAGGGCAGCTCCCTCTGGAAGCTCTAGGGAGAATTTGTTCCCACCTCCTCCAGTTCCTAGAGGCCATCTGCACTCCCTGGCTCCCGGCCCCTTCCATGTTCAAAGCCAGTGATGGCCAGCCGAGCTCTCACAGACGTTGCCCTGACTCAACCCTCCTCCCCTCCTAAGGACCACTGTGATGACGCTGCAGCTGCTGGGTCATCCAGGACAGTCTCCCCATCCACAGCTGGCTGAACAGCCCCAACTCCATCCACAGCTTCCCTTCCTCCCCTCTTGCAATGCTACTTAAAGTTGCAGGATTAGGACATGGGTGACAGCGGGGGCTGTTATTCTGCCGACCGAGCTAAGAAACACACCTCAGGGTGACCTCAGGCTCGGTGTATGGACAGGCTGGCTGGGCCTTGACCAGACCCCAAGCCCAAACTGAAGCCCACATGAGGCCCCAGCAGTGCCTGTGAATGTAAGGAAGTCCTAGTCTCCTCAAACTCCATCCCTCTGGCCACCCAGGCCTCACCCCTCCCTGTGATATAGCAGGGACAAGGTGACAACAGCCATGGTGAGCCAGTGACTCAGCACAGGAAGGACAAGCCATGGCTAGGAGCTGCACCCACAGCTTGGACCACCTTGGTGCATGGAAAGGCCCCCAAATGCCCCAGGTGGTTGGGCACGTCCCCAATGAACAACATCCTTTTAATAGTCCAGGGGTTGGTGCACCACAGGAGCTGAAGGGCTCTCCAGACCTCGGCTCTAAGGGTGCAGAGGGAACTGCCCTGTCCAAAGGCCACATGGGAGTTAGAGCTGCAGTCAGTCAACAAGGATGGAAATCAACATGTCCTTAAAATACACCTCCCCACCAAGAATCAGGCTCCTCAGCTCTGGATATTGGCACGGGGTCCTGGATCCTGGGGGCAGACAGCACAAGCCTACTTTACAGGGGGGAAGGCCGAGGCTCAGGGGTCACAAGAACGTGCACGGCCAGCACAAGGACTCAGAGGCACAAAGGTCAGGTGGGGATCCAGTCCTCACACCTGGCCCCGCCCTCCATAACGTGCCCACCTGTGTGGCTCCAGGCTCTGGGCCAGTGTCCACTTTAGGACGCTCTGCCCTGGCACAGCCAATCCACTTGCACAAGGAGGGGCCCCTTGTGGGCTTCCTCCTTCCAGCACCACCCACCCCTGGGCCATCTGCTGGGAGGATGAACTGGGTGGCACAGGTGAAAGGCCTCACCTTGGCCAGGACAGCTGCCTTGGTCAGTCATTTACTGCTTTGTGCAGGAGACCCCAAGAGACTGAGAGAAAAGAGAGGTGGTCATGGTGGAAGGGTCCTTCTGCCGCCCAAAAGAAGCTCAGAGAACCAAAGGCCTCAGCACCCCCTCACCACCTAGGTGCCTGGGCCAGAGGCAGGGGCTGCATCCAGGGCCCGCCCACCAGGGTTGTGGGGGGTGACCACTGGGCTGCCCCTCCTGCCCCTCCAAGGCTGAAGGAAGTAGACCCTCCACAGGGATCCAGGCCAGATCCCCTGCTAGCACCGACCCTACATCTGCATTGCTGCTCCAACCCCTGCTGCCTGTGCCACCAACCCCGACAGTGGCCACTTGGCAGGTGAAACTAAGTCTCAGGGCATTCAGCCTGGCTCTGCCACTAGCTGTGGCTATATGCCAAGGAGACAGCACCTAACGAGGATCCAGGGCTTCGATTGTGCAAGCTCCAGCACAGTGAGCTCCATTAGGGGCCATCCTGTTCTCACAGAAGAGACTGTTTGCCGACACTGGGCATTTATTTTATTGTACCAGAATTAGGGCTTTCTAAATGCCCCCTAAGAAATTATTCAGAAAATTGGCAAAACGAAAAATAAGAGGAGAATAATAACTACAGAAAAATGGAAAATATTTTCCTCACACTAAAGCCAGGAGCATAAGATACTGAGAATCTGAAGGAGACTAGGTAACACCAAAACAGTTACAGCATCCCAAGGCCATGTTAGCAGATGACTTCATTATTTCAGAGACAAAAACAAGCACAAGCTTCTCATTAACAAAAAACCAACCTCAACCCCTCACTAATGCAGAGTGGGCAATTCCCAGATATCCACGTGCTTGTGGCCTGTGTCCACTCTGCCCTCTGCAGGAAGCCCATCGTGGGCCACCTGAGAGGCAAGCAGCCACATCTTGCTGACTTCAAAGGTTGTCGCCCATGGGGACAGTGCTGGCTCACAGGAGCTGAGCTCACAAAGGATCCCCCAGCCAGGCCCACTCGTCCACCTATGTCCTGCAGACAGGCCCTCGTGCCTCACCTGCTGCCCCTGCCCCAGCGTGGGGATGCATCCCAGGACACAGACAGAGGCTCCATGAGGACCCAGATGTGGGGAAGTGGGTGAGGACGGTCCTCACAGAACCAGGGCCCCAGACTCAGACCTTTCAGAAGACAGAAGGTGGGCCTCTCCCTCCTGGGAACAGGAGCTGGAGCCCTCTGCAGGCCGCTGGCCACCTAGCCTTGTACACTCCCAGGCTGGGCCCTGCAGGTCTGTCCCGGGAGCCCACCCACATCTGCAGAAAGAGCAGGTCACAGGCTGCTTGTGGTCAGGTGAGCCAGGACTGCAGAGTCCGAGGGAGAGCAGGGCATTTGGCTGAGCTGAAGCCCAGGGACGCCTTCTAAGGCTGTGCTAAGCAGGGCTTCTGCTTCTCCAAAAACTCAGGGCAGACCAGACCAGGAGAAAACCCAGGAGCTGAGAGAGGCGGTGCCTGGCCACACACAGACCTCAGAGGCCACCAGGGGCACAAATGTCACCCCAGGACCTTAGTATTAAACAGAACATCAACAAAAAGGCAAAGTTGGCCGGCCCCTTTCCCTTTTTAACCCTGGCTAAGAGCAGCACCCCCTGAGTTTCTTCCTGCGACAACAGAAGCTTGTTGGCCGAAGTGCAAACTTCAGGGGCCGCAACAGGCCCACCAGGGCTGGGTAGCAGGCATAGAGCACGGGCCACGGGGTGCCACCAGCAGGTATGGAGCACGGGCTACCGGAAGCCACCAGCAGGCATGGCACACAGGCCACCAGGAACCACCAGCAGGCGTGGAGCACAGGCCACCAGGGGCTACCAGCAGGCGTGGAGCACAGGCCACTGGGGGCCATCTGAGCACCAGCCTGGTGAAGGCCCGCATCCACCACCCCACGAGTCGCCTTCTTGGCCTCCACCCTCCACCCTGAGGACACTTGGAATGCTCAGCCTCGTACAGGCAAGGTCAGCGGAGCAAAGTGCCAGCCCAGGATGCCAGCCCAGGACGCCGAATCAGGCCCTCTGAGCAAGTCCTCCTCGGCCAGTGAGGATCAAGTCGCCTGGTCCCTAAGAGATGGGCTCCAACGAGAGCAGTGTTTCCACCCACTCACAGGCCCAAGGGTCTGTGTCTCAGCTTGTGACCTCCCAGGAGCCAGGAGATGGCTGGGCAGGGGTCTCGTAAAGGCACACTGAGGGAAAGGGTAGGGCAAGGACCAAGGACAGACCCAGGCCTCAGAGCTACAAAGGAGAAGCGGAGAACATCCGCCTGAGCCAGTGAGGCCTGGGGGTGATCCACCTCTGCACAGGCAAGCGAGGTCTGCAGACCCCCAGTGTACCACATGGTGGGCAAGGACAGGCAGCTGCCTGTGAGCAGCTGGAAGAGGATCAGACCCACAGGGAAGTGAACAAGCACTAGAGTGAGGCCTGGGACCTGGCTTAGCACACATACAAACTCACACACCACACATGCAGACGCACATACACACACACACAAACATATGCAAACACAGAGACACACGAACACCACACACAGGCACACACACACACCACACACATCACACATGCAGACACCCTCATACACAGAAATACACAGATACAAACACAAACACATGCAGACACACAAACACAGGCATACACACACACATACACACAGGTGTGCAAGCGCAGAGTGCTGTGTGACCAGGATGCTATTAATATTACAATTTTTAAAAATAAAGTAGATCTTTACATACTGACATGGTAAGACACCAAAAATATATTGTTAAGTGAAGAACATCATGTTTTAGAAGAATGCGTATGGTACAATTCCTTTTGGTGGAAAACCCAAAACAAAATATGTGTGCGTATGTGCATGTGTTTCTATGTCCATATCTATGCACATGCATGTATGTGCACCCATGTGTATATGTGTGCACTGTGTGTGTGTGCTTGTATGCCCGTTTGTGTGTGCACGTGTATGCAGGCAGACGTACATTGCCATGTGTATGCATGCGTATGCGTGTCCATGTCTGTGTGCATCTGTCTATGCGTCTGCCCACGAGTGTGTCATGTGTGCGTGGTTCAGTCCACCACACTCACCTTGCCCCTGGGGGGCCCCAGTGGTGAGAATGGGGTGGAGGGCTGTGTGTTCAAGTGGCACAGGTGCAACAGCTGCATTAGCTCACTTGCCAACCAGATGAGGCCATGCTGGCTACTGGATTCATCTGAGCCAACTGTGACCCCAGCTTCCCCAAACTGAGTCAACTCCAAAGAAGTTTAAAGCTAATTTAGTGCCCAAAGCCCAATAACTAGAAAGATAATAGAAATTTCAAACACAGAGGTGAGTGGGTGTGGCAGTGATGAGACACTGCAGTGACTGACTGTCAACTTGATTGGACTGAAGGATGCAAAGTATTGATCCTGGATGTGTCTGTGAGGATGTTGCCAAAGGAGATTAACATTTGAGTCAGTGGGCTGGGAAAGGCAGACCCACCCTTAATCTGTGTGGGCACCATCTAATCAGCTGCCAGTGTGTGGCTGGAATATAAAGCAGGGAGACAAACCTGAAAAGACTAGACTTGGCCTAGCCTCCCAGCCTACATCTTTCTCCCGTGCTGGATCCTTCCTGCCCTCGAACACTGGACTCCACATTCTTCAGTTTTAGGACTCGGATGGCTTTCCTTGCTCCTCAGCTTGCAGATGGCCTATTGTGGGACCTTGTGATCGTGTGAGTTAACACTTAATAAACATATACATATCTATTAGTTCTGTCCCTCTAGAGAACCCTAACTAATAAAGACACCACAGGAAACGGCCAAGAAAAAGAAAGCTGAAAGGCTTCGGGGGCGGGGAGTGTAGAATTCAGATGCTTCCAGAGGCCCCACAATTGCCTCTTGGGATCTCTAAAGAAGCCTGTCTACTCTCTAAGAAAGTAGCCTGCTCCCCGCAAAACCTGAGTTCTCTCCCAGGTGCTTCTCTGGCTGCCTAAGATCCTCAGGCAAGGGCAGCCCCAGAGGGGAAGCGACTCTTCTGAGCTCTTCCCATAGGAATCCTTGTTCTGCAGACAGGACACAGTGGCTTTCTCACGGGTGATATGGAATTCTGACCCCAAGCATGCCAGTGCTTGCTAGCCCTGCTCATGGAGCTGCGGCCCTGCTGCAGGCTACAGGGTGCAGCCTCCTATGAGGACTTGAGTGGGCTAGGGGTTGCCTTCAGGGGAGCTGGAGGGTCCAGCACAGAAGCCCAGCCAGGAATGACCGACACCTGGCCCTGGCCCCTGGCTCAGACACCCTCCGACCATGCCACCCTCCAGACCATGCCAAGCCTGGAATGATCTCCCGAACAGCACAACCGGATTGCATTCCTGGTTTCTTCTGTTGTAGTTAAGAACATTCATTTAATGTAAACCATAATTTTTGAACCTAATTTTGACATTTAAAAAAAAAATTGGCTGGGTGCAGTGGCTCATACCTGTAATCCCAGTACTTTGGGAGGCCGAGGTGGGTGGATCACCTGAGGTCAGGAGTTCAAGACTAGCCTGGCCAACATGGAGAAACCCCGTCTCTACTAAAAATGCAAAATCAGCCAGGTGTAGTGGCACACGCCTATAATCCCAACTACTTGGGATGCTGCAGCAGGAGAAATCACTTGAACCCAGGAGGCGGAGGTTGCGGTGAGCCGAGATTGAGCCATTGCACTCCAGCTCCAGCATGGGCAACAGAGCGAAACTCTGTTTCAGAAAAAAAAAAAAAATTATAGGAGAAACATCAAATAAAAAAAAGAAGTGGCCTCTTTCACTCCCAGAGGTGAGGCAGACAGGCAGAGCCTTCACCTTACTTTGCCGCCCTCTGCAGCATCTGGCACAGGGTTCAAGGCACACTGTCGGAGCTCAGTTGGTGTCAGGCACACATTCAAGCTAGAAATGTCCCTCTGGCAAGGCTTATCTTTTGATAATACAAATCCACAATGCAGGTGGGGCTGCAGGGCAGGCACTCTTACCCTTCTAGTCAGGGGACTAACTTGGGAAGGAGTTTCCTGAACCCCAGCTGTATGTATCAAAAGCTTTAAAAAGATTTGCACCCTTCAGGCCAGAATTCCACATCGACAAATCTATTTTAAGGCAAAATGTACATATGCACACAAAGATTCATGTTAATGTGGTTTCTCCCACGGTTATTTAAAATAGCAAAAATTAGGAACAACACACATCTCCAGCCAGTAAGGGTCAGGTAACCAGGGCATGATGTGCTCCTGTGATGGGAGTATTACACAGCCATTAAACAATGGGTTGTACAAGTCTTTTAGTTTAGAAGTTTAGAGTCTAGGCAGACACTAAAAACTACAGCCCTTTTCCCTGGTGCTAGGCAATGGCCATGTCTTTCTTCCCTTATACTTTCCTGCGGTTTCCTAAATCACAGAAAATGAGCATGTATTCCTTTTATAACAAGCAACAAAAGTCCTGCTTTATTTTTAAAACCAGAATGGCCCCCGACAGCTCCCTTCCCAGCTCATCTCTTCCTGGCTTTCCTGTGTCCTGGTCCCCTGCAGAGAAGGCCTCCTGAACCATCCACCCTGGAAGGAGGCTGAGGACCCCTGTCTCCAAACCAGTGGGCAGATGGATTACTGCTGTTTGGAGTCCCCCAGGTGTCTCATAAGGAACCTGTGGGGAGGAGGGAAGAGGTCAAGTGTCAAGGAGCTAACAGGATGACAAGGGCAGGGCTCCCAGCACAGCACATGAGGCATCACCTGCAGCCTGTGACACCCAGTGCATGCAGAAACCCTGGGCAATGATTGCCACCAACAATTGTGGGACCACAAGAGGTACTCAACGTCAGTGAGTCTCAGACTCCTTCTCTGCAGAGTGGATCATCATATCTAGTAGAAGGTCAGTGACAGAAATACTGGAGGGATTGTATGTACCATGCCTACCACAGTGCCTGGCACATAGCTGGTGGCTGTAAAGATAGTTTACTGCTTGTCATAGTTATCATCACCATCATCATCGTCATCATCATCACTGTCACCATCATTACTATCACCATCATCACCATCACCATCATTGCTATCATCACCATCACCATCATCACTATCACTATCACACATCATCACCATCACCATCATTACTATCATCACCATCACCAATCATCACCATCACCATCAACACCATCACCATCACCATTACTATCACCATCACCATCACCATCATCATCACCATCGCCATCACCATTACTATCACCATCACCATCATCATCACCATTACTATCACCATCACCATCATCATCGCCATCACCATCACCATCTTTATTACCATCACCATCACTACCATCACCACCATCACTGTCACCATCATCGCCATCATCATCACTATCACCATCATCACCATCACCATCATTACTATCATCATCACCATCATCATCATCACCATTACCGTCATCACTATCATCACTACCATCATCATCACCATTGCCATCATCACCATCACCATTACTATCACCATCATCACCATCATTACCATCACCATCACCATCACTGTCACCATCATCACCATCATCATTACTATCACCATCACCACCATCGTCATTACCACCACCATCACTATCATTACCATCATCATCCTCGCCACCACCATCATCACTTTTTTTTGCTGGGCTAATGGACCATGACCCTAGCTTTCATTTCTGGCAGGGAGTAGCTGAGAAAGTGCAACACTCCATGGACAGAAAAAACAGAATCTCCGTGGAAAGAATGTTGACATTTCATTTCTCTTCCCAAGTGTGCTATGTCCATTCCTCCAGGACTGCGAGCTGAAGAGACCCCAGCTCAGCCCCTTCCTGTCTTTAAAGAAAGGATGGAGGGGCTGGGCAGCCTCTGTCCAGCTGGGCTGTGCCCCCACTTCACCCAAAGTTTCTTCCTCCCAAGCCATGATGCCTTCATTTGCACTTCTCTGTGCTTCTCTTCAGCAGGAGGGGCAGCCAGAGGGAACAGAAGCTAGCTGGGAACAGAAGCCACAGGGGAAACAGAAGTCACTGGGGTATAGAAGCCAAGAGGGAAATGAAGCTGGGCCAGTAGGCAGGAGGGGAGCCTCACCACCCTCTATGTCTGCCCCAGGGACACTGCTCCAGGAATCTGGAAAATGCCCTGCTCCTGGGTGAGGAAGTGAGGTCCACCCTGTGCTACTTAAAGAGCCTGTGCTGCTTTAACTTCTCAATTTGTCACAATCCACAAAACAAGTGGGTGACCACCCTGTAAGCCAAAGTCACTCACTCTAGAGGGAGGTGGCCATGGTCTAAGGTAGAGGGCAAGTCCTGACACCTTGTGCCTCTCCCGTTGGCAGCCTTGGGGCAGGTAACTCAGTGCCTTCCTTCATCCAGAGAGGGGACAATGCACCACCTACTCCACAGGCACTTGAGAGGATTAAACAGCAAGAAAGGGATGTGTAGAGGCAGCAGCACCAGGTCCACCCGGCAGCCAGGAGGAGAGGGGCCAGCCCAGGAGCTGACAACCCATAGAGACTTCTGGTCTGACAATGCGGGCCAGGTGTGGTGGCTCATGCCTGTAATCTCAGTGCTCTGGGATGCTGAGGTGGTATCCTTGATACTTGAGCCTAGGAGTTTGAAACCAGTCTTGGCAACACAATAAGACTCTCTCTACAAAAAATATAAAAATTAGCCAGCCATGGTAGCACATGCCTGTAAATCCCAGCTACTCAGGAGGCTGAGGCAGGAGGATCAAGGAGTTCCTTGCTTGAGCCCAGGAGTTTGAGGCTGCAGTGAGTTATGATTGCTCTACTGCACTCCAGTCTGGGATACAGGGTGAGACTCTGTCTCAAAAAAAAAAAAAAAAAGAAAAAGAAAATCAGAAGAACCCCAATCTCCACCGGGACCTACTGAGTCAGAACCTGTTCCTAAAGACAAGCCAGGCCTGGGCACCACTGCAGCAGAGCCTGTTTTAGGGCCCTTGGCCAACCCTAAGTGTCCCATCACTAATTACCCAGGGTTCCCCATGACCCATCGGGGCTATAACTTCTGTTACAGGGACCACAGAATCCCATCTAGAGGAGCAGCCCAAATGTGTGGCTAAAGTCCCAGAGCTGCCTTCCTGCAGGCATCTTTGCATGCGGCCACAGAGTCTATGCTGAGGTGCTGCCTTGAACCCGCTTCTCAGGGAATTCACTTCTCAACTACATTTCTAGAATATATTTGCTCAAAGAAAACCCCAAACACGACTGATGGGAATCACATACAGAGCAGAGCCACCTGAACTGTGGAGGTAAGTCACTTACCCTGGACAAGCCCTGGTTACTCAGCTCTCAGACAAAGTGCTTTGCCAGGCACATCTCAATAGCCCCAGACAGCTAAAGCTCTGTGACCAGGAAGCCTAGGGGCCTGGCACCAGCTGTGCTCGCTTACAGAGGAAGTGAGGAAGCCCTGGAGTTCCCATCAGCACCATCGCTCCACGTGAAGGGTGCAATTAGAGAGAAGTCCCCCATCTGTGAGCAAACAAGAGCATGTCAGGGCTGGTTATGGCATGGGCCTCAGAGGAGAACCGGCCCTTCTCACAACCCCACAGAGACACTGGTGGGTGGGGGACACCCCTCCCGGGGCCCTGCAAGAGTCTGCTGCAGCCAACCTTGTGGATACAAAAATCAAAACAATTCAGGACAATACCATAGATTCCTATTATTCTGAAAAACATCAAGACTCAAAATAAATGCTTGCTTGCAAATGAGTCATATGTACCTAAAGGAAACCTCCATCTACTTCTGAAATGCATGTGAAGGATGTAGTATACAATACAAAAATTCATTTTCCAAATCACAAAATGAAAACGTATCTGCCTGACTAGTGATTTTGTGACTTTAAGTAAACAGTTTATATAAAAGGCCACACAAACTGCTTTTTACCATATGAGAAGCTGTGCAATGTCACTTGTAGTAAGAAATGGAACTTGCAACTGCAATAAGATTTCTCACCTATCAGGCTGGCAAAGGTCAAAGGTGGGTGACCTTTAGGGTGTGCCTCACATGTTCCTGCTGCCACAGACCAACAAGCATTCTCCCATATTCTTGGCAAAACACACACATTAGTAAAAACTTCTTGGGTAGGAGCTGTTGGTATTTTAGACACAGACACCTGTTACATGTCCTCTCCCCATAGATACGTGGATCATGTGTATTCACTGCAGCAGCAAGATTAGAGCCAAGCTAAGTGTCCATTCTTGGGAGACTGAGAGGAATATTCTGAAGTGCCAATAAGTACAAATCCTGTATTTGCTGATCTGGAACAATTTCCAGGATGTATATTGTTCAGCAAAGAGCACAAGTTGCAGAAGAGTATAGAGACACACCTTTTTTGTGTGTGGAAGATTGAAGGAAATCCATAAATATGCCCCTCTGTAATCAGAATGTTCAGGAAAGACACACAGGCCCTTGATTGCAGTGGCCATCTCTGGAGAGGCCACACTTTGGTGGCTGTGCTCAGCAGGGAGAGAGGGCAAGCTTCTCACTGGAGACAAATTTTTTATTATTGAATATTTTCCTATGTATATATATTGCTACCCATCAAGGACTTTAAAGAATATTTTTAATCCTGGTGAGGCACAGTGGCTCATGCCTATAATCCCAGCACTTCAGGAAGCTGAGGCTGGAAGATGGCTTGAGTCCAGGAGTTCAGGACCAGCATGGGCAACATTGCAAGACCCCATCTCCACAAAAAATAAAAATAAAAAAGCGCCAGGCATAGTAGCATACACCTGTAGTCCTAGCTACTCTGGAGGCTGAGGTGGGAGGGTTGCTTGAGCCCAGGAGTTCGAAGCTACAGTGAGCTATGACCACACCACTGCACTCCATCCTGGGTGACAGAGCAAGACCCTGTATTAAAAAATAAAAGGAATATTTTTAATCCAAACAAACTGCTTTGATTCAAATCAGAGCTATTTTAATTTAAAATTTTATAACTGACTTTAAAAAGAATACTCTTTTTTTTTTTTTGAGACAGAGTTTTGCTCTTGTTGCCCAGGCTGGAGTGCAATGGCATGATCTCGGCTCACTGCAATGTCCACCTCCTGGGTTCAAGCAATTCTTCTGCCTCAGGCTCCTGAGTAGCTGGGATTACAGGCACACACCACCACGCCTGTCTAGTTTTGTATTTTTAGTAGATATGGGGTTTCACCATGTCGGTCAGGCTGGTCGTGAACTCCTGACCTCAGGTGATCCACCCACCTCAGCCTCCCAAAGTGCTGGGATTACAGGCGTTGAGCCACCGCACCCAGCCAAGAATACTCTTCTGACTCTCAAAAATAAATCTGTATAGAATGCAAGTCAAAAAAAGGGATGACATGTACAGAACTTCCAGAGAAAGTTGCTAGAAGCAGGCAAGAACTTGAGGCTATCACAGTATCCGAAAGAAGACTGAACAGAAGCCCATCCTGCCCAATCTTCTGATCTGTGAAACAAGGACACGAAAGCCAGGAGTGGAGACTGAGTTTGCCACAGCACTTTCAATCCTTCAACAATCACTGCCTGGCACTGCTGCAGGAGGCCCAATGCACAGGGAGAAGTCTTCTCTAAGACCATCCTAGGGAAATGTACAGACCAAAACAAAAGAGGCCCCAGAAGTCACATTTCTCCAAATAGGAAGCAGGGGGGCAAGCATATACAGATACTCCAGGTGACCTCCTCTGGATGGTAGTGTATAAGGGAACAGTCTTTTTGTTTTCCAATTTTTTTTTACTACAAAACATTATAAAGTACAATAAAAGCAAAATAAAACAAAACAAAACAAAAAACAACCTACACAGTCTGAAAAGACAAAGCAAACATGAGAACTAGACCCAGAGATGGCACTGATGTTGCAATGATCAGATCACAAATTTATTATTAATATGCTAAAGTCTGTAATAAAGCCTGCAAGGATAGGTGATGTAAGCTGAGAGATTGAGACACTAAGAAAGAATCAAAAGGAAATGCTAGAAATAAAAAACACTGTAATAGAACTGAAGAATGCCTCTGAAGGGCTCATCAATAGACCGGACCCAGCCAAGGAAAGAATCAGAGAGCCTGAAGATATGCCAATAGAAACTTCCCAAACTGAGGCATAAAGACAAAAAGGAACAAAAATGACAAAACAATATTCAAGAACTATGGGTTAATTACAAAAGGTGTAACAACATGTAATAGGAATACCAGAAGGAGAAGAAAAAGAGAAAGGAATAGAGGATATATCTGAAATAATAACAGCTGAGGATTTTCCAAAATTAATAACAGCAAGCAAACCACAGATCCAGGAAGCTCAAAAGATACCAAGCAGGATATAAGCCTCCCCGCAAAAAAAAATCTACACCTAGGCATATCACATTCAAACCGCAAAAAAAAATCAAACACAAAAAGAATATCTTGAAAAAAGTCAGGGAGGTCAGGCGCGGTGGCTCACACCTGTAATTCTAGCACTTTGGGAGGCCAAGGCAGGCAGATCACGAGGTCAAGAGTTCAAGACCAACCTCGCCAACGTGGTGAAACCCCATCTCTACTAAAAATGCAAAAATTAGTTGGCTGTGGTGGCACATGCCTGTAATCCCAGCTACTTGGGAGGCTGAGGCAGGAGAATTGCCTCAACCCAGGAGGTTGCAGTGAGCTAAGATTGTACCACTGCACTCTAGACTGGGTGACAAAGCAAGACTCCATCTCGAAAAAAAATAAGAAAATAAAAAAGAAAAATGTCAGGGAATGGGCTAAAAACACCTTACCTACAGAGAAGCAAGGACAGAATTGCGCTTGGACTTCTCCTCAGAAGTCATGCAAGCAAGAAGAGTGGGGAGTAAAACATTCAAAGTGTTGAAAGAAAAAAAAAAAAACCAACCTAGAATTCTGTATCCAGCAAAATTATCCGTCAAAAGTGAAGGAGAAATAAAGTCTATCAGACAAACAACAGTTCAGAAAATTTGTCACCAGTAAATCTGCCTTGCAAGAAATGTTAAAAGAACTTCAGAGAGAAGGAAAATGATATAGATCAGAAATTAGAATCTGTAGAAAGAAAGGGAGAGTATTAGGGAAGTAACAAGTGAGGATAAAATAAAAACTTTTTTCTTATTCTTGATCTAGCAGACAAGTTTGTTCACCAATAATAATAGCAACAATGTACTTCATGACTACTTCATGACTACAGTTTATGAGTAAGTGAATAACAATAATATTTCAAGGTATGGGAGGGAACAATTAGGAATACTATTTCTTGCTCTACCCATAGAGTGCTAAGTATTTGAAAGAGGACTTGGATTAGTCATAAACGTATATCGCACATTTTAAAACAACCACTAAAAAAAAGTTTTTTAAAAAAGCGTTATTGATATGCTGAGAGGAGAAAAAAATGGGATCACATCGAATGCTCAATTAAAGCCAGAGAAGGCATAAAAAAGATTAGACAAAAAGAAAAAAACAAAACAAATAACAGGAGCAATAAACAGGAAACAGTAACAAATACGGTATATATTAATCCAACTACACAAATAACCACTTTAAATATCAATGGTCCTAAATATAACAACTAAAAAGCAGACACTGTTAGAGTGGATTAAAAAACAAATAAATAAAATTTAAAAAAACAAGGACCAACTATGTTGTCTAACAGAAACCAACTTAAAATATAAAGACACAGATTAAAAGTAAAAGGATGAAACAACACTATGCCCACAAATTCAATAGCCTAGACAAAACAGACCAATTCCTCAAAAGATATACTCTGTCAAAACTCACACAAGAAGAAACAGAAATCTGACTAGGTCTATAACTATTAAAGAAATTGAATAATTAATAACCTTCCAAAATATAAAGCACCAGGCTCAGACAGAACCCACTGGTGAATTCCACCAACATTAAAGGGATAAATTATATCAACTTTCTACAGTCTCTTTCAGATGATAGAAGCAGAGGGAATACTTCCTTACTCATTCTGTGAGGCCAGAATTACCCTAATACTAAAACCAAACACATTACAAGAAAAAAAAAAAAAACTACCAATCAATATTTCTCATGCAAAAATTCTCCCAAAAACCAACGATGTACAAAAATAATAATTATTATTATTATGAGACAGTGTCTCAATCTATTGCCCAGGCTAGAGTACAGTGGCGCAATCACAGCCCACTGCAGACTCAAACTCCTAGGCTCAAGCAATCCTCTCACCTTAGCCTCCCGAGTAGCTAGGATTACAGGATTACTTGAAGCTTTCCCACTGAGATCAGGAAAAAGGCAAGGATGTCCCTCTCACCAGTTTTCCAACACTGTCCTGGAAGTTCTAGCTAATACAATAAGGTAAGACAAGACCAAAAAAGAACTCCTGGATTAATAATACATCTTTCTTCCTTCCTTTCCTTTCCTTTCTTTCCTTCCTCCTTTCCTTCTCTCTCTCTCTCTCATCTCCCTCCGTCTCTCTCTCATCTCTTTCCCTCTCTCTCTCTCTCTCTCTCTCATCTCTTTCCCTCTCTCTCTCTCATCTCTTTCCCTTTCTCTCTCTCCATTACATGCTGCTATGGTCTGATTAATAAGCAATTATATAGCAAGGATGCAGGAATACAAGATTGATATACAAAAGTCAATTGCTTTCTTATTTATCAGAAATGAACACTTGGAATTTGAAATTAAAAACATGGTATCATTTACATTCAAAATAAAATAATTAGATATAAATATAACAAAATATGTAGATCAAAGAATTAAATAAATGGAGAGATATTCCATGTTCATGGATAGGCAGAGTAAGTATTGACAAGATGCCAGTTCTTCCCAATTTGATCTACACATTTAGCACAATCCTAATCAATATCCCAGGCCAGGCACAGTGGCTCACACCTGTAATCCCAACATTTTGAGAGGCCGAGGTGGGCAGATCACTTGAGTCCAGGAGTTTGAGACCAGCCTGGGCAACATGGTGAAACCCTCTCCCTACCAAAAAAAAAAAAAAAAAAAAAAATTAGCCAGGCATGTTGGTGCATGGCCTGTAGTCCCAGCTACTCGGGAGGCTGAGGTGGGAGGATCGCTTGAACCCAGGAGGTAGAGGTTGCAGTGAGCCGAGATCACACCACTGCACTCCAGCCTGGGTGACAGAGTGAGACCCTGTCTCAAAACAAACAAAAAACAACAACAACAACAACAAAAACCCCAGCAAGTTATTTTGTGGATATTGACAAATTGATTCTGAAGTTTACATGGAGAAGTAAAGGACCCATAATAGCCAACACAATAGTGATGGAGAAAAACAAAGTCAGAGGACTGACACTCCATGACTTTGAGGCCTCCTATGAAGCTACAGTAATCAAGACAGTGTGGTGTTCGTGAAAGAATGTACTTTAATGGGACAGATTAATGGGACAGAATACAGAGCCAGAAACAGGCCCACACAAATACAGTCAACCAATCTTAGAAAAAGGAACAAAAGCAATACAACGGAGACAAAACAGTCTGATCAACAAATGGTGCTCTAACAGACATCCAAATGCAAAAAAAGAAAAAGAAAATGAATCAACACAGATCTTACTCATTTCACAAAAAACAACTTTAAATCATAGACCTAAATGTAAAATGCAAACTCATGAATCTCCTAGAAGGTAACAGGAGAAAATCTAGATGGCCTTCAGTTTGGTAATAAACTTTTAGATGCAACACCAAGCACACGATCCATGAAGAAAAAATTGTTAAGTTGGACTTCATTAAAATTAAAAACTTCTGCTGTGCAAAAGACACTGTTAAGAAAGTAAAAAAGACAAGCCACAGACTGGGAGAAAATATTTTCAAAATATGTTCTGTTAAAGGACTGTTATCCAAAGTATGCAAAGAACTCAACAATAAGAAAACAACCCAATTATAAATTGGGCCAAATAACTAAACAAACACTTCACTAAAGAAGATATACGGATAGCAAATAAGTACATGAAAAGATGTTCCACATTATATTTCATCAGGGAAATGCAAATTAAAACAACAATGAGCTCCTATTATGTAAGGCCAAAATCCAGAACACAGACAACACCAAATGCTGACAAGGATGTAGAGCAACACGAACTCTCATTCATTGCTGGTGGGGATGCAAAATGGTACAGCCACTATGGAAGACAGTTTGGTGGTTTCTTATAAAACCACACAGGCTGGGCATGGTGGCGCCCAGCCTGTAATCCTAGCACTTTGGGAAGCTGAGGCAGGTGGATTGCTTGAGCTCAGGAGTTCAAGACCAGCCTGGGCAATGTGGCAAAACCCCATCTCTACAAAAAATACAAAAATTAGCTGAGCACGGTGGCAGAGTCTCAGCTACTTACTTAGGAGGCTGGGGTGGGACGCTGGCTTGACCCCAGGAGGTGGAGGTTGCAGTGAGCTGAGATCACGCCACTGCACTCCAGCCCGGGCAACAGAGCCAGACCCTGTTGAAAAAAAAGAAAAAAAACCCAAAACTAAACACACTCTTACCAAATGATCCAGCAATCATTATACTCCTTGGTATCTACCCAAAGGAGCTGAAAACATGTCTACACAGAAAAACTTGCACATGGATGTTTATAGCAGCTTTATTCATAATTGCCAAAATTTGGAAGCAACCAAGATGCCCTTCAGTAGGTGAATGGATAAATAAACTGTGGTACATCCAGACAATGAAATATTACTCAGTGCTAAAAAGAACTATCAGGTCATGAAAAAAACATGAAGAGTCTTAAACGTATATTACTAAGTAAAAGAAGCCCAAGTGAAAAGCCGACATACTACGTGATTTCTACTATATGACATTCTGCAAAAGGCAAAGCTACGGAGACAGTAAAGTAGACAGAATGTCTACTACATGACATTCTGCAAAAGGCAAAGATATGGAGACAGTAAAAACATCAGTGGTTATCAGAGGTTTGGGGGTACTGGGAGGGATGGATAGGCAGAGCACAGAGGACTTTAGATGAAACTCTTCTGTATTACATTGCAATGGTGGATACATTTTAATGGTGTATATTACATTGTAATGGTTTGACTTTACAGTCAAAACCCATAGAAGGCCAGTCACAGTGGCTCACGCCTGTAATCCCAGCACTTTGGGAGACTGAGGTGGGAGGACTGCTTGAGTCCAGCCTTTAGAGGTTACAGTGAGCTCTAATCACACCACTGCACTCCAGCCAGGGCAACAGAGCAAGACCCTGTTTCAAAAAAATGTATAAAATAAAAATGTACAACACAAAAAGTAAATACTAGTGTAAACTACAGACTTTGTTAATGAGTATGTATCAATACTGGCTCATCAATCATAATAAATATACTACATTAATGCAAGACGCTATGAATGGGGAAATCGGGGAGGAGTTATGTGGGAACTCTCGATCTTTTCACTCTGTCTTACTGTAAATCTAAAATTGTTCTAAAAAACTTAAGTCTATTAAAAATAAATCACGTAGAAGAAGTTCTGTGTGCATGTCTACATGCTTCCTAAAGGAAAGATTCTGGGGAAATGTGGGGTCATCAGTGGTCATGGGTGGGAATGCTAAGACATAAAGGGAAGAACTACCCAGATGGGAAAATCTCATGAAGGAAATGCTAAAAAAAAGGCTCAGAATTCAAGGATTCTATCTCAGGTATTACTTAAAATAACAATGGGCATGCAAATGGATGAGCACTAGAATATAAGAAATTCTGGGCCAGGCACGGTGGCCCAGCACTTTGGGAGGCCGAGGCAGGCGGATCACAAGGTCAGGAGATCGAGGCCATCCTGGCTAACACAGTGAAACCCTGTCTCTACTAAAAATACAAAAAATTAGCCGGGTGTGGTGGCGGGCGCCTGTAGTCCCAATTACTTGGGAGGCTGAGGCAGGAGAATGGCGTGAACCCGGGAGGCGGAGCTTGCAGTGAGCCGAGATCGCGCCACTGCACTCCAGCCTGGGCGACAGAGCGAGACTCTGTCTCAAAAAAAAAAAAAGAAAGAAAATAAAGAAATTCTGTTTCTTGAATTCAGGAGATCATGAACCATGCTGCTATGGAATCTCAGAATCCTCTAAATCCTCTACGAATATAAAGAAGTCTTGCTCTCCGTCTCAAAAAAAAAAAAAAAAGAAGTCTCGCTAAATTTAACAGCAAGGCCTCCTGCCCCTGCCAGAGCCCATTCCTCCTCCAGGGCTCCTCCCACACCCAGGAGTCGAGAGCCAACTCACTCACTCGGTCCCCGGCACCTGCACTATGCCACCCTTGCCCAGACCTCAGCCCTGCAGGCCTCTTCCCTACCACACATCAACCTGTTTTTCCCATCTCAGAGGGGTGTCCCCATCTCAGAATCCCCTCTGTGCCTCCCTGCACTCCCCCATCTGTTTCCAGAGTTAGAAGCTGGGACTCTGCCCAACTCAGCAGAGATGCTCACTTTGACAGTCCAGGAGAGGCCAATGGGCACACACTGCCGTCTCCTGACTCCAGCAATAGGCTGCTGGGGCCAGAACCAGGCTTCAGGCTGGGGGATCTGGAGGTGGCCAAGCAGAGCCAGCCCCAAGGCCTCAGACTGAAGGTGAGCATTTAAGGAGAATGCACTGTATCAGGGCACACAGAACCCTATGGGGATGCCATGGGAGAGAGGAATGCCTCTGGGAGGAGGCGATGCTGGGGCTGGTCCTGACAGATGAATGAGGCTTCCCCAGGTAGGTAGGTGTGCAGATGAGGGGCGCTACCAGGCAAAGAAAGGTGAATGTGCACCTTGAGGTGGCTCTGGCAGTGATGTAGGGTAGCACCCAGCATGTCCTGACAGCAGATTGAGGTCAGATCCCCCTTGAATCTGCAGATGACGGGTGTCCCAGGCCCCATAAGGTCTGCATCGTGGGTGAATGTTCCACAACTGGACTTAAGCAGGGAGAGGCTAGAGACAGAGATCAGCAGCTGTAGGTCCCAAGGTGAGGGCTGGCCCAGAGGGGAACAGTGACCCCAGCAGTGTGTCCTACAGGAGTCCAGAGCCAGCATTACTTTGGGAAGACCATGAGCTTCTCAAAAATAACCACAACAACATAGACCGTGTCCACTGCTTGTCAATGCCCTAAACTCTGTCGCCGGAAATGCCAGCCTTCCCTGCCGTAGACAACCACAGCTAAGTCGGGGTCGGGAGGGCAGCGTGCAGTCACTGGCCTCTCCTGGGCCATCCGAGTGCCTCTGACCCTGGGGTCTTTTCTCAGACCGGGATCATAGAAAGCAAGTGTTTAGGTTGGCCTTTGTTCCTCCTGTCCACATAGCCTACTGAGGCAGAGCCCAGCCCTCGGCACCAACACGGAATCCACAAGATTCATGGCATGAACGTGATCATCCAGCCCAGCAACCGCTGAAGCCCCAGGGCCCTGAGAGGAAAGGGCAGACCTGGTCACCCACTACATTTCTTGGCCCCCACCTCCGCGCCCCCCTCCCAGTCCAAGCAACTCAGCGGTTCCCTTGCTTCACAGCATTCACCTCTGCCCTGCTGTATCCTGAGACCCCTGGGTAGGGCTCCCAGCCTCGGGCTCTGGGAGAGCCAGAAGGTTCCATTCTTCATGCAGGCCTCACCAGTCTGCCCTGAGGCTAGGCCACACCTAAGTGACCCTTTGAGGGGCAACATCACAACAAATGAGCTATAAAACTCGACTACAATCCTTTGACCAAATAACCTTACTCCTGGCAATCTGCCCCCAAGAGTGAGTCCAGAGAATCTAAAAAGATGCTTCTGGCATTTCCCATGCACCCGAGGTCCCAGGTGGCAGAGATGTCCATACAGCTAGGACCCAGGCATAACCATGAGCTTGCTGGGAAAAAAAAAATTCAAAACAGGGAACTGCACATTCACACACGCTAGAAAAAAATGATCAAAGTCAATAAACAAGAACCTCTAGGAGGCCAGGTGTGGTGGCTCACACCTGTAATCCCAGCACTTTGGGAGGCCGAGGTGGGTGGATTGCCGGAGCTCAGGAGTTCGAGACCAGCCTGGGCAACACAGTAAAACCCCATCTCTACTAAATTACAAAAAATTAGCCAGGCGTGGCGGTGTGTGCCTGTAATCCCAGCTACTCAGGAGGCTGAGACAGGAGAATCACTCGAACCCGGGAGGCAGAGGTTGCAGTGAGCCGAGATCGTGCCATTGCACTCCAGCCTGGGTGACAGAGCAAGATTCCATCTCAAAAAAAAAAAAAAAAAAAAAAAGAATCTCTAGGAATGCAAAATGACTTTAAAATGCAAAACTCAACGAACAATTTACATACTCAACGAAGAATTTACATACTTTTGTTCGATAGTTCCACCACCTTCAGAGAACTCGTGAACTGGAAGAGAGATCTGAAGAAACAACCCAGGCTGGGACACAGAGAAGCAGGTAGAGGATGAGAAAGCCCAGTTAGGAGCCACTGGGATGGAAGAAGAAGGACAGGTGAAAAAGAGCTCCAGAGAGGAGGACAGATGGCCGTGTGATGGTGTGGAATTGACAAAAGGCTGGCCACCCCCACCCCACCCTACCACCCCCGCACTCCCATCCTTGGGCGTGAGATCCCCATGAGAAAACCTGCACACTCACAGGGCTCCCTTCCATTTCCACAAGCCACAAGCCTCCTCCCATTGCTTGTCACCCTCATCAGGGACCCTGGCTGCTCTGCCCGTGGAGCTCCAGGAAATTAATGAGCCACTGATTCCTCCAGGGACAGGGGTGCCTAAACACAGCCCTCAGCACACAGCAAGCAATCCACGAGATTCATAGGGGCTCTGCACACACCTTCCCAAGACCTTGCTGAGGCCCTCCCTGCACACTGAGCCATCCCCTGATCTTCCCTGGGACCACGGAGACACCCTCGCAGCAGTGGGCCAGCCTGGGGGTGCCAACCATCCTGCCAACCACACAGAGCCCTCCCAAAATGCCAATCTAAAACATTTGCTTAAGTCCACCACTGGCTAATTCCTCCTCTTTTATTTATCAAATAAAGACACTGAAGGGAAAAAAAGACTAGGCCCTCTTAGGTGTGTTTTCCACCTGCCACAGCCTGTTTGCAAACTTAGCACCACTGTAGTGTCTGACATTCCTTCCCTCTCAAGCCCGAACCAACCTTAACTATTTTATAAAGTTATGCTACTTACAATGTCCCTTTCTGACACAGTTGCCACTGGGGGCCCTCAAGAGGCTCCCACCATGGGCTGGAGTCCCTGGCTGTATATGTGCAGACAGCCAAACCTGGGTGGGCCCCGGCCAATCTGCACGGTTTCAGTAGATGGGAATGCAAAGCTCTGTACACTCTTGAACACAAATAGCAGGGGAAGTAAGGATAATATGCCTTTTTTTCTCCTAGGGGATGTAAGTACTCACGGGACAAAGTCATTTGTGCTAATTAATAAAAACTACAGAAGGAAACCCTTACACCACCATAGCACAACGGAAGGCTATTCAGTTATTGCAAGAGAATTCTGTCATTCTCTGAAGTCACTCTTAACATTTATAAATCCAGAAATACAAACTTAAAGTTAATTGTTCCTTGAATGTGGTGGACAAGCACCTGCATTAGGAGGCTCAGATCATCTATGGCAACCCCACACTGAACACACCAGATCTGGTCCAGTCTTGGAAGCTAAGCAGGATCAGGCCTGGTTAGACTTTGAATGAGAGGCTGGCCTCCCCATAGCGCAGCAGAGCAGCAGTCCCCTTCAGGGCAGGGTCTGGGTGTGGCTGCTTGGGCCGAGCTCCCCTCCCCCAGTGCCAGCTGCTTCCTGCCACAGCATGGAGCCTGTGTTACCATTTACCCAGCCCTCCCACATGCCAGGGCCACCATCCCACAACCTGCGAGATGGCTGTGTCATCTGCATTTTACAGGTGAGCAGGAAGAGGCTGAGAGAGGTGAAGAGCTCACTCTGGTCACACCTGAGGTGGCTGAGCAGATCTGAATTGCAAAGCTGTCCCAAGCTACAAGAGCTTGCAAAGCTGTCCCACACTGCAATACCGTCCCATGTTGGGCCTTTCCCCCTCAAAGCAGTGTGGCTAAGGTAATGTGGGTCCCCACAGATAAGGACAGGCATCGGACTGGGAGATCACAAAGACGCAGCTCTGGACACTGAGTGCCCTGCCCTCCAGGAGCTGCCTCTTCCCCTTGGAAGAAATGTGAGGTGCCTAACACTTAGGACCAGGGCCTCCAGCAGACTGTCAGGGTGACACACACACACACAGACACACATCCACACACCCCCCATGCACCACCACACCACATACCACACACACATGCACATATGCTACAGACACACAGCACACAAACTGCACACACCACACACATTCACACACATTACACACATACCACACACATACTACACACATACAGACCACACAGACACAAACATCATACACATGCCACACACCACCCACAAGCACAGCAGGGACTTCCTCTCACCTGGCCACGCAGGCTGCATGGAGCTGGGGGCCAGGGGAATCCCCGGGGCTGTTCCTGGGCAGCATGAGGGCCGTGGACGTCCTATCTTTCTTGGCCTCAAAGTCTTCACTGATAAAGACAAAGGGCTGGTCTCCACCTGGGTGGCCAGACTCAGCAAACAAAACCACAGGACACCCAGTCAGACGAGTTTCAGATCAACGGAACTGGGAGCGTGGCTGGGCATCATGTATACACCTGGCCCCACCGGCGCCTCTAAATCCCTTTCGTGCTCCGAATCCCCCTTGCTGCAAGCAGCTCACATGTGAAATGAGGTGCTGGACCACATCAGCCCTCGTGGTGGCATGTTATGGTTTAGTGAAGTCCAGGAAAGGTGAAACTCACAGGTAACCACCGAATATCTCGGCTGAGAGGCCAGTCCCCCATGAGCTGCTTCACCGGCATTTGTTCCTGGTTTTGAAACACTGGCATTCAGGCAGTGAGTGTGGCATGCTCTTTGGCTTGTTTTCTAAAATCACTGTTTCCAACCTCCACGCACTCCATCTCCTCGCACCACCTCTGCCACTGTCATTTGGAATTTGTCAGGAACCCCCTGCCTGGATCCCAATGGGGTCCCACTTCTTGGGCTTGCTGGAGCAACAGGAGCTGGCCTGTGGTAATTGAGAGGGGAGAGCAGCCCACAACGTGGTGGCAGGGCAACCTCCCAGTGGGCACAGCCACTCTCCAGCCACACCAGTGCCACCTAATCCCTGCCTATCATTGCTCCTTGAAGATGAAGACGATGACGGTAAAAATAAACACAGCAGCAGCCCGAGGTCCAGCAGGCCTTCTTCGGAACCCACCCTGGAGAGCCCCTGCAGGTGCATGCAATAGGCCACCTGGTACTTCCCCATCTCCCTGGCAGAGGGTCCCTGGGATACCATGAAAGCCACACCCATGGAGATGGACACGGGACTAGCTCGCTGAGACCTGTGCTGGACACAAGAAACAGGCTGCTGAGCAACAGTGCAATAAATGACATCATGTCTGAGAGGCACGCACAGTACAAAACAATGCTGCTTCCAAGGGCGCACACGGACATACCAGCCACGTCAAAAGGTGGGGCTCAGTGGGAAGCCCATAACGGTGTGGAGGCCAACAGGAAGGGAGGGGCTTACGGGGAGGGGCTTACAGGATGTGGTGATGGGCTTCTTAGGGGAATGCATTCCTGTATGAGCTGGAGGTGATTAAAATGAAAATTTTAAAGAAACAAGGGCCTCCATGTGAGCCCTGCCCTGCCTGCCTTGTTGTCAGCAGCCTGGGATGGGGACTGAGGAAAAATGGTCAAAGTACAGCCTCATCCCAGCCCCAGGCCCCGTGGATGCCCCTCCTCAGTGGGGCCTGCCAGGGTGAACCCCCGCCCTGATACTCACGAACAACCTCTTAGGAGGGTGGGGGGCTGACAGAATGCCTGCACCATGCCTGCTATTAGCAGGTGATGGGACAAGGGTGGCTCAGAGGCCAGGACTATCATGGACACAACCCACTTCTGACGGGGGTTGGCAGCTTTGTTTTCTCAAAACTGCCACTTATGGAAGGGTGGTACATCCAGCCCCCCGGGGCCCCATGGACTGACAGCCCGACAAACACCCAATGTCCCTCTGGACTGCCATCCTCTGGTAGGATGAGAACCAAGGTCCTGATGATAAGCGCAGTGGCAGGGTTCCCGCAGCACGGCCCTCTTCACTGGCTGGGAGTGAATCGCGATTAAATGCTAAGTCTGATGCTCACTTGTCAAAATAACCCGTCCACAGTGTGCTGCATGCCTGGCGTGAGTTGGGCTTTTCCTGTCTCTCCTTAGAGGCATCTGGACTTCTCAAGCCCCATCCCTGGGGTGTCACCAGGCAGATGGCAGGCCTCCCCGCAAGGGGCCTGAGGAGCTGCAGGGGCAGGCCTGCCAGCCTCCACCCCAGCTGGGGACCATTCAGCCAGAACAAAATGCACTCGGCCGGCCCATAAAGCCCACTGATGGCCAGCTGAGCTGGCAGAGGTGCCCCCAATGTGCCATGTTGACCTGAGGACCCCTGCCCATCAGAGTGACCCCAGAGTGCCCAGAGGAGTAGAGGTGTCAGGCCAAGATGCTCTCCTGGGGAGGAGGAGGGATTTGGAAATTAAAGGAAGATCTGAGAGGAAGAGGGGAGAGTTCTTTAAAAATCCCCCAATCTTGGCTATAAGATACTTCCCAACACTGTTCTCAAAAGGGAGGCTGGAAGAACCCACAAATGTAAGGGGCACATGAAAAGGTGCTCAGCAGCAAGGTGACTGCAGTGCCACATAGGCCTAAGGGTAGGTTCCAGCCTCATGGGGATGAGCCTCCCTCACCTCAGGACTACACCAGGCTCCTCCCTGGCAGTAAAACACTCAACCATACCTGTACCCTGAAACTCAAGCCGAGCAGCCAAGCCATAGCCATGCTGTGGACCAATGTCCCACTGCCTGCCCCCAATGCCACCCCCAACCCCGCTTCCTGCCCCACAGCCTGACTGATTCCAGGGCCCTACACTCTCAACCAGGTCAGCCCACCATGCTCTCCTTTCCTGACAGAGAGCAGGTGGGAGGCTACCTGCACAGTCTCCCTCCAAGCCCAGTGGCCCAAGGGTCTGCATGGTCTCTGCAGCTCAGCCTCCCACTTCTCAGAGCTAAAGGGTGTGGAGTCCCAGGAGCAAAGAGAAGCTAAGACCAAAGACCCTGAATGCCTGACCCTCCTGCAGCCTAGCCAGATTCCATGGCCAGGCACTCTTTTTAAGATTTTTTAAAACTTGGCAGAGGCCAGGCGCGATGGCTCACACCTGTAATCCCAGCACTTTGGGAGGCTGAGGCAGGCGGACCATGAGGGCAAGAGATCGAGACCATCCTGGCTAACACGGTGAAACCCCGTCTCTACTAAAAATATAAAAATTAGCTGGGTGTGGTGGCGGGCACCTGTAGTCCCAGCTACTCGGGAGGCTGAGGCTGGAGAATGGCATGAACTGGGGAGGCAGAGCTGGCAGTGAGCCGAGATCGTGCCACTGCACTCCGGCCTGGGAGACAGCGAGACTCTGTCTCAAAAAAAAAAAAAAAAAAAAAAAAATTAGCTGGGCGTGCTGGCGCGTGCCTGTAGTCCCAGCTACTCAGGAGACTGAGGCAGGAGAATCGCTTGAACCCAGGAGACAGAGGTTGCAGTAAGCCAAGATTGCACCATTGCACTCCAGCCTGGGCAACAGAGTGAGACTGTCTCAAAACAAAAAACAAAAAACAAAAAAAAAAAACGGCAGAAACACTGAGGCATGAAGGTGCAATTTGCCTGACTCTGCCCAGAGACACATGCTCAGCTGCATGCATCAACACCTTCCTGGGAAGCAAGCTCCCTAGGCACACAGGAGGCCAGTGATCATGAAGCCCTCCAGCACCACACAGCCTCTCTTCCTGCTACAAAAAGGAGTAGCACTCGAGCCCTGCCCCTCCCGACTCCCAGTCCTCTGAAGGTTCTGGGTGCTGGCTCTCCCACTAGGATAAACCTGGCCCACCAAGAAGCACACCATATTCAAGAAGGGCAGGTTTTTAGGGCTGAGACATCACAGTACACACCAGCTGGCCAGTGCACACGCATTTCTTCATTCATTCAAGCACTCCTTCATTCCTTCAAGCATCCATGGAGCCTTGATCCCTGGTGCTGAATTTGGGCTAAATGAAAAATGCAGGGGCCCCAATGAAGCTTCAGTCAGCTCCACTCCTCCAGCTGCCATCCAGGTGACATGCAGCTTGCCCTCCACTCGTGGGCACAGGGGGTCCCAATAGAAACAGGGAAACCTCCTCCTAACCCACAGCTGTGCAGAGTATCATGCTGGACTGAGGTCAGCTTCCCAGGACAGCCCCCACTCCATGCGGCCTGCCTCATATGCCACTAGACCCAGCACACAGAAGAGGAAGAGCCAGCTTAACCAGAGAGGCCAAGAGCAGTGGAGCCGGGAGGGCAGTTCGCCCATGAGGACAGACCGTGGGTAAGCCAGCAACTGGGAAATGCCCCATCCTGCTGGTGGCCACAGACATAAGAATTCAAAGACTAGTTATCAAACCTGAAAGAGTACAGTATCACCAGTGCCTGTGAGACAGGAGTAAAACTAACATTAACACAACCCTTATAAATTTGCCCACTCAGGGATTATAGAGAAAATGGATTAACATCAGGATGTTGACTTTTTGTTTCATGAAATCCACCTCAGGAAATCCAGGTCTAGCATCCTCAGGGAAGTTCCATCAAGAGGAAGGCATCTCTGGTTACGCACATATTTACCTGCAAACCAGGTATGTATACACACATATGCCCAGTGGGCGCATGCACAGCCGCACTCATCCTTGTTCACAGAAGATGCAAATCTCGGTCTGTGTATAAAGTGTGTCTGCACATGCAGAGAGGAGCCATGCACAACGCTCAGACATATGTGCAGGCATTCCAGACACAGCTTTGGGCCAATGAGTGGTCACACAATGAAGACAACTAGGAAATATCTTCTGTGACTCCAAATCCTAAATTTCTTCAGGTTTACATTATATTTTCATAAATTCCTTACCGTCATTCCTAAAGTAGATTCAACTGAAAGCGGCTCCTCATATTGTAGCGTCAGGCTTCCCTACTCTCTACCTCCAGGTGAAGAGTATCTGTAAGTATCTGAGCATCCACAGATAATCACACAGCATCCCTAAGTATCTAAGTACATATAAGTAATCATTTAGTGTCTATAATTACCCAAGTATCTGTTAGTAATAATTTGGCATCAGTAGGTACCCAAGTATGTGTAAGTAATTATTTAGTATCTATAAATACCTGAATAGTTATGACTAATCATTTCTCATCTGTATTTGGGTACCTGCAAGTAATCATTTAGCATCTGTAAGTACCCCTTTAAAGATAAGCACCCAAATGCCTGTTAGTAATTATTTAGCATCTATAAGTACCCAAGTATCTGTAAGTATTCCTTTAGTATTTGTAAGTACCTGAGTACCTGCTGGTGATTGGCATCTGTAAGTACCTAAGTAACTATAAGTATTCCTTTAAAGCCTGTGCAGGAAGAATCTCCATTCTTCAAATGAAGATACATAATTCCTTCAGAATGATATTAGGCTGGTGCAAAAGTAACTGCCATTAAAACCAATAGCAAAAACCGCAATTACTTTTGTACCAACCTAATAACATCTTCAGACTGGAACTTAGGCTGGTCTGTGTCCTCAGCCGGTGTGGACTAAGGCTGGTGTCCACTGGGCTCTCCTCAGCGGTCCTATCTTCTGTCAAACCCCCATGTACCTTGCAATCCACATGTTTTAGGCACAAGGTCCCAATGTGCTCTCCCACTCATGCTGTCACTGGGAGCAGTGACTGGGAGCTTAGCTGCCAATCAGCAGGAGGGCAGTGCCAGAGGAAGCTCAGTTCACACAGCCTGTGGGGTCCTCTGCAGGTGTCCACAAGCTGGGATCCCCACTTGCAGTAGACCCTTGGGGTGAGGAAGTACACCCGATGACAGCTGTGACACGCCCTGCTGCTCTGGGAAGTGGTGGCTGCTCCTGGTGCCATGGGAGGCCCATCCCTGACCCAAGAGTCAGGAACCTATCAGCCTGAAGAGGCTGGGAACAGGAGCCGCCCCGACCTGGAATGTTCCCAAAGCAGGGGAGGGGCTGACTGGGCGGGGCCCTTTTCAACTGAAAACTCTTACATGCAGGCTCATGGTCAATGGCCTGTCCACCCACAGGGGCCCTCGGGTAGCTCTGGCCAACACAGGCAGATAGGCTGCAGACTAAGCTAATGTGCATTGTGCATTAATGGAGGGGGGGGGGGTCACATGAGAAGAGGGGGTGTGCCGGAAGGGCAGATATCTCCGGAAGGGTGAGGTGTCCTCACCCACCACAGCTCCTTCAGGGAGGCCTGGGGCCAATTGCTGTGCAGCAGAGAGAGCTACCCAAGCCCCAGTGTCTATAAAACCCACAGTCCATAAAATCTGTAAAACAGGAGGCCAGGCAATATGACCTCTAAACCCTGATGGTCTTACTCCCTTGCTTACTTTATATCTGATTATAAAAGTATTAAGCTCTTGGAAAACAAATTGGAATGTACAGAAAAGTACAAAAGTGGTAGGAAAAACGTAATCTTAACCTTTAACATGTTGGCATATTCCCTCCTAGACCGTCTTCCATTTTAATTGGTTGACACCAGCCATCACATTATGTGTGTAGTGTTTCATTTAATATCATCATAAAGATATCCCCATAGCATTAAAGCCTTGCTGTAAACATCACTGCTGACGACTGCATAATTTCCGATTTACAAGAGGACACTGTCATTTGCCTAGTCATCCCAACTTCATCATTCAACAGTGTAGAATTCTTGATAAATTAAATAAATATCTAAAATATTCATTCTTTATATACTTTTAAATTTGTTATGGTGGATTTTTAACAGATATTACAGATAAAGGGCATGGTCTCTTTAAAAAATCCAAAGCAGGTTTTGGAGCATACTCCAGTGGTTTCTAAGGAAACCAATTGTATGCAGATGTAGAGCAAATATCTCCTTTGGGAAGTTCTGGGAATTACAGCCTTCAATCTGGATAAAAGCCTCAGAGACACAAGACAAATTTGACCAGAGAGCAAATGTAGTCCGAGGTCATATTAACAGAAATAGGAACTCTAGACTAAGGGAGGTGAGGGCCCTGTCCTCAGCCCCCACCATACCCTGGAGGGTAATTAATGACCTGGCAGGTGCCTTGGGTCCAGGGGGTGCAGCCCTCAGGGGTCAGCTTTGGAATAGAAAATGGAAATAAAGGAGGCCCTCCCAACAACTCCAGGGAAGGGGGTGCTGCCATGTCCCGTCCTGCTGGAACAGTTTAGCATCTGTTCTTAGTCCTTTTTTTTTCTTTTTTTTTTTTTTTTTTTTTTTTTTTGGCATAAAGGACAAGAAAAGCAAAGATTAGGATGTGGAAACCTGGATGGGCAAAAGCAGCTTGAGGCCCTCCCTCCAAGGACCTCTGGATGTGCCCTGCCCTAGACTTCTTGAGGGTACAGCTGCAGGGCCTGGGGCCTGGATTAGGACAGAGCTGTGGTCCTCCAGTTGGAGAGGGAGTCTGGGGCTATGAGGCTGGGATGGTACCAGCTAGGGCCTCTCTAGCAATACTTCTAACAACAGCCAGGTGGACTGTGAGCCAAGGTGCAAGGCCACGTACTGGTGCTTGGCCCCCTCTGTCTGCAGCTCCTGAGCCACTCAGAACATCAGTGTTCACATCTATAAAACAGGGACACAACCTGGCTCACCGGATGAACTGCAGGTGGCAGACATCAGCTCAGATACCCCAGTTACACCTCAGGTCACTGGCACCAAGAGAAGAAAGGACGGACAACAGCACGCTTTGGCTCGGGAAAGAGCCTCTGAACACTGAGCGACAGAGACTCACCAAGCAACCACAAGCATTAAGTCTTGTCCCTAAGCTCCACCCAGCAGGCGGGATATTCCAGGAACTGCCATGAAACACTCTCTTACCAAGCAATTGGTAAAACTTACAGGTTGCCAAGTGTTGCTAGGGGAACTTCACCAAGAACCTATGGCTTAAATCACTAGGCAAAGGATGCAGATAATTTTAAACAGGTCAGTGATGGGGGCAATGATGCTGCGCTCCCCAAATGAGTAAAGAATGGGCCCGCCCTGAGTGTTGTGTCTGCCTGGGATCACCCCGCTGCTCCCACAGTGGGGACCAGCAGCCCCTGCAGAGGCAACTATCTTCCCAGGGATCCCCCAGGAGTTTGAGAAAAAGACCCTGAGATCCCAGCAGGCCAGGAACAGAAGTGTGGCCCCAGTGAAAAAGGGCTCCTGGGAGGTGCACACTGAGAGCCCCTGGCCCTGCCACCCATCACAAGGTGGCAGGACTGGGGACCTCCAAGAATGGGGACCAAGGTGTCCCTGGTTAAGGCAGAATTACAATGACCCCTGGGTAAAGAGTGAAATGCACAAACACCAGAGAAGGCAGGAAGCAGAGTGGGCGCTGAGCAGCTGGGGAAGGAGCTGGCTCTCCCAGCAATGCCCTCGGGCAGGTATGTATTCACAGCCCAGAGCCTCAAGGCCTCTGCAGGTGAGCAGCCAGACTAGGAGCAGGCCACACAGCTAGGTCCCCGAGCAACGGCCAAGCATCTGGGGTTGAGGTCCCTGTGGGGCACTGGGCTCTTGACAGATGCTCTCTCGGGCTTCTTCCTCTGACTCCCTTGCTAGGGAAGCTGTGACGTAGATTATCACTCATCAAGGCCAGAGGCAGAGGGGATCCCTGCACTCAGACATGTAGGCCAGGACACCCCACCCACATGGACCCTGCCCAGGGTCTGGAGTCTTCCTAGGATCGAAGCTGAATTCTGTTACAGTGATTTCATTCAGAGAAAAAAATTCAGTGTAAGGGAAAGAATAGGTCAAGGGAGGAAGCAGGGACTCTGGTCCCCACCCTGCCCCTAACTCACTGTGCAGCTTCAGTTTCCCGCTTGTGAAAAGAGGCTTGCTCCCTGAGACGCCCCCAGTCCACACGTCCTACTCACATGGTATGCAGAGGCAGGTGCCCGTGCAGCAAGGCCACGGTACAGCCTGCTCCTGAATGGGTGCCTAGCCCAATCCCAAACTGTTCTACTAGACTTGGCTTTTAACAGAGACGAGTTCAGAAGACTAATTTCATTACATCTTCCTTTCCAAAGAGTAGTTTAAAATCTAATAAAATAATACACATTTGGCATCTAGAAGAAACTATGATCAGGAAAAAGCATCTGTGGCCATAAGTGGTTATGACAGACACGGTCAGGGCCAGACAAATGTCAGTGGGGAGAGGGGTGCTGGGACCTTGAGTCCCAGCAGACTGTGAGTGAGCATGGGTCACAGGAGGCACGGCTGCTGGCCCCCATGACAGGGCCTCACCCACCACATGTCTGCTGAGTGATGTTGGATCCCTCGGAGGGTCACAGCAGTCTGCCACCTAACCAGGCCAAGTATGGCCCCGGAGCTGTTGGGATGTCCACACTCAAGTTGGGGAGCCACCCAGAGGTGTGTGAAGGCATCTGGGGAGAAGCGGCCCCTCAAAGGAACACAAATCATAAAGGGATATTCAAATCTCAGCAGTGCTGCTCATGTGTGCCAGGGCCATAGGACAAAGGGGAGTCAGAAACCACCACCACAACCAGAGGGGCTGAGGAGACGTGAGGACCAGCCCATGGCCTCTGGGGTGGTCCCTTCAGGGGAAGGATGCTGCAGGGAGGACTGTGGCCCCAGCAAGCCTGCAGCCTCCTTGGTGGGAATGGACACTGGCTCCTGCCACGGAGATGTAAGATGTGCACATTCAGGAACACTGGCCGGGGTATGTGGAGATGCTTGGTACCATGTTTACAACTTTTCTGTAAATCTAAAACAATTCTAAAATTAAAAGTTTATGGGGAAAATAAAGCAAATGAGGCTTGGCCTCACAACAAGAGTCAAACAAAGAGGGGTATTTAGGAAACAGATGAGCTTTCCACCTCTGTGGACTGAGCATCCAGGAAGCACCTGCCCTGGAGTTCTGTGGGGCTCCACCAGCTCTGGGGCAGGAGTGGGAGAGAGTGGAAGGGCCTGTTCCCAGCCCATCAAAGTGGGGCGCCCTTCTCATATCTACTTCTCAGGGAAAACCTGCTTTTCTGTCTTCATTAGAAAGCACCAGGGCTACTGACACAACTCTACAACTCTAGGGAGGAAAGGATTTAAAAGTGAGTGAACTCAATAATTAGATAACTGCACATTAAACCATAGTGAGGTATTCTTTTTCACCTTTCTGGTTGAATTGACAAAGATCAAAGGCTCAGAAAATGTGTTGCCCAGTGTGTAGAGAAATCAGTACAACCAATCTGACGATTTTAAAATCCGAAATGCTATATCCTTCAGCCCAGCAACTTTACTTATTTGAATATATCCAGCAGATATACATGCATACATGCACAAAAACATACAGACCAGGATAGCCAGGGAGCAACACCGCAGTGGCCTCGGATGAGAAATGAGCTACATGCCAACCAGGGGAAGCAGGAAGTGCAGGAGGAGCATGTTTGCTGGAGCCCCAGCAGTCAAGAGTGACGACCCAGGGTCACTGCAGAATCACATTCACAGCGCACTGCTGTTTGTGTGGAGAGAGGGAAAGGGGGTGGCTGTGGAAACATGAGACATCACTGGAGCTGGGAGTCCGCTCCAGAGAGAAGAACGGGGAGACAGGGGAGAGGCACGCATTCCACTGCATTTCTTTCGAATTCTCACTCTTTTTAAAATTTTTCTTACCATGTGCTAATGTTCTGTTTGCAAAATAAATTCAATCAAACAATTTCAAATGAATAAATGTAGCTGATGCCTTATCAAAATAAATAAATATAAGAAAAGACAGGTGGGTCACTGACTTTAATTTCCAAGTGATAAAGACACAATACATTCAACAGGTTAGTCATTTCTTGCCCTCAACTGGGTATAACTGTGTCCCCAGGAGACAGTTGGCAATTTCTGGAGACACTCTGGCTTGTCAAATGTGGGCGTGGGGCAAGCGGCAAGGTGCTCCTGGCACCTGCTGGGTGGAGACCAGGACTCAACATCTACAGCGCACAGAAAGCCCCTACACAAAGAATTCTCCAGCCCAGACGTCAGCCGTGCAGAGGCTGAGAAATCCCACCCACCACACACACAGTTTCCCTACACAGTGTCTGCTGTGGGGCCAGTTTCAATTATTAGAAAGGTTTCCCTCAAACTGAACCCAAATCTGCCTGCTTATAAAGCTTCCTGCTCCAAACTTTCAGTGAGCACTTGGTTCCTTCCCAGGACTGTTATTGGGACAGCTGCTTTGTAGAAGGAACTAGAGAAAGAGACATACCAGGACATGACTAAGCCTCAGAATCCCTGGACCTTGAGGGTCCTGGGAAAGCGGCTTCACCTTCCTGCTGCCTCCAAGGTCCCTCTCTTCTTCACTTGATGGAGTAAAGGATGGCCCTTCAAGTGGCCAGAGGGACTTCCCTAAACATAAATACCATCAGGTCACTCCTGGCATTGCCTTCAGGGCCACGAACAGAGACTTCATAGGGTGTTTTTTGCTTGTTTGTTTGTTTTTGAGACAGAGTCTCACTCTGTTGCCCAGGCTGGAGTGCAGTGGCGCAGTTTCGGCTCACTGCAACTTCTGCCTTCCAGGTTCAAGTGATTCTCCTGCCTCAGCCTCCCAAGTAGCTAGGATTACAGGCACCCACCAACACGCTCAGCTAATTTTTTGTATGTTTAGTACAGACAGGGTTTCACCAGGTTGGCTAGGCTGGTCTCGAACTCCTGACCTTGTGATCCGCCTGCCTCAGCCTCCCAAAGTGCTGGGATTACAGGTGTGAGCCACCGTGCCCAGCCCATAAAGTGTTTTTCTGGGGGGCAGGGAGTGCATGGCAGGGGAGTGGGGAGGGCAGCTTCAGTAAGGCTGGGCTCATCCTCTGAGTCCCACAGACTCGGGCCTCTCAGGTACAGGCTCCCTCCAGGTCTATGCCCTCTGACCTCCAAAGAGAGTTATTCTCGTTGCTGGCTTAACTTTAAGAAGGGCTGTGTCTGGCCTGAGGAATCATTTCTCACAGCCCCCAGGCTAGAACGGACCTCTCACCCTAGCTGACTCCAGAGCTCACCTGGAGCTGCTCCCCTCTATCCCGCAGTCCCATGGTCCCCAACACAACGCCACCAGGCACAAAGACAGAACCATCTTTATCCAGATGTACACCTGCGACAGGAAGTGACCTGCCTGCCTAGGGCCACACAGTGCAGGACACAGGCCCTGCCCCCAGAGCATCTGGTCAAGCACTGAGATAAACAGGTCCGCAGAGCTGTGGTTCTGCCCCCAGCTGCTGCTCAGAGACAGGGAGAGATGTGCAGTGGCCGCCCAGACCCACAGACACACGACAGTCCAGGCACCCAGCTCACTGTCATGGGGGCCTCCAGGGAGGTGACCCTGTGCTGCTTCTTTACCTGCCCACCCCGCCACACAGCCACCTCCTTCACCAGGATCCAAGTCACATGCCTTCACAGTGGGCAGGTGGCACAGACGGCCAATGGCAGGGTCAAGGGCTACCCAGCAGACAGGGGGCCCATGCTGCTGGAGAACGGACGGTCAGTGAGGCCAATGGGCAGCTCCAGGGACAGTTGGCCACTAGGTGGACCAGAGGGCTGGCTACACAGACACAGGCTGGGATCATGAGAGTCACATAACAACACTGTCCCATGAGAACCTCCAGACCAAATAGCAGCTAGTGCTTCCACCCTCCAACTGGCACTGGGGGAGCTCGGGCAGAAGCAGTGCCTGGCAAGCAGGGTGGTAGGGTTAGACACCCTCCAGTCCAGCCCTCCCACCCCTCAGAGCTCCTCCATCCCTCACCTGGGGCTCCTCCATCATCTCTCACCCAGGACTCCTCCATCATCCCTCACCCGGGGCTCCTCCATCCACTATCTGGGACTCCTCCATCATCCCTCACCCGGGGCTCCTCCATCATCCCTCACCCGGGGCTCCTCCATCCCTCATCCAGGGATCCTCCGTCATCCCTCTCCTGGGATTTCTCCGTCCCTCACCTGGGGCTCCTCCGTCCCTCATCTGAGGCTCCTCCGTCCCTCACCCAGGGCTCTTCCATCATCCCTCACCCAGGGCTCTTCCATCATCCCTCAACCAGGGCTCCTCTGTCATCCCTCACCCAGGGCTCCTCCGTCATCCCTCACCCAGGGCTCTTCCATCATCCCTCACCCAGGGCTCCTCCATCATCCCTCACCCGGGGCTCCTCTGTCCCTCACCCGAGGCTCCTCCATCCCTCACCCAAGGCTCTGCCAGCCCCTAACTAGTCTCTGGCCTCTCTCCATCTTGCCCTATACTCCATGCCTCCCACAGAACTCTGAGAGAACTTTACAGACTGCAAACTAAAGAATGTTGTGCCTTGTCCTCATCTTCCTGCACTGGGGCCAGAATGTAACTCCCACCCATGGCCAACAGGCCAAGGTGCCTCCCTAACCATATCTCCCCTCATTTGGGGGCCAGCCACATGCTGCCCCTCACCCCACACAGTGCAGTCTGTTGTCACCCCAATCTGCTCTGGCACAGACTCGCAGGCGGCTGGTGATGAGGGCCATGCCACCCCAACCCTGTCCCCCAGCACTAGCTTCAGGGGCCGTGCAGTCTTCCTCACTGCTGCCCGTGCCTAGAACAGAGCCTGGTCTCCCCTGGTGTTCAGGAAACGTCACCAGCTAGATGGACAGACTGAGGGACGTGCTCGCTCATGAACAAGGAACCAAGCCCAGTCGTGGCAAACCTCTTGACTCCTAGCACAGCTCATGCTGGATTCCTGGGCCATTTTGAGACTCAGGATTCCTCATGTGTGACATGCAGAGCTGCCAAGCGCAGCCAGGAGTGGCACAAAAGCCTCACAGACTGTTCCCATCCGGCCTGTACGTTGGCTGGCATGGGAGGAGTGGGGGCTGCTGGCCGGCTGCTGGCCCTCCCCCAGCTGGCTTCTCCTGAGTAGCCCCTCCATCCAAAGCCCACCAGGGAGCTGCTGCAAGGAACAGGGTGGCATCCAGAAGTGCCCAGTGCTGGGTGCAAACAGTGGAGAAAACCTCTCCCTGCCTGGCTGCTTCTGCACACCTCTGCTATGTGCTGCTGGGCAGTGGTCGCCACAGTGCCTCCCACTTCCAAGGAGAGATTCCACAAGCACCAAGGGCAACTAATCCTCATGTTTGGCTGACTCCAGCCAAGGAAGGTTTAGTGAGACTCCCCACTGCTTCCCATTTGAGCCTGTGTGTGCTGCTTCATGCGGGGCCATGGGGTCCCTCTCCCCGGGTTCAGTGAGCCCTCCCAAAGCCCCACTTCACCCCTTCTCCAGGCAATGTGCAGAAGACTAGCTAAGGCTGCAGTTTCTATACTGTTCCAGGATACCAAGTGTCTCAGGACTCCAGGCCTCAGTCTCTCCTTCAGGGAAATGGGCCTAAACCCCTAAATCAGTCTGCACCATTGCTCCAGCAAAAGCAGGTCAGCCCAGACCTGCTGGTGAGGTGGAACCTGGCAGGGAAGGGCCTCAAGCTCCACTTGACGCTGCCTTCCCACCAGGCCCCACGTTCCTGGTTAGTGCTTCCCAACTACTCTTTCCAATGGCCCAAGCTTTCCCGGAGATTCATACACAGAATACGCCTTGATGGGGTTTTATAAGGGGAAGGGTAAAATAAGGGACAAAATCACAAAGCTACAATAAGATCTCAGTGATCTGGAATTGTGGGGTGAAGGTGCTGGGGTCAGGGTTCAATGCCTGAGTCTGGCAGCCCCAGGGGTGGGTGTATCAGTCCCCAGGTCAGATCCTGGTCCCAGAGCACTCTCCAAGGCCAATCAGATCCTCATGTTTGTCCAATACTGTGGCCTTGCGCCCTACCCATGGCATGTCAGGAACAAGAATGAACAAGGGCTTTACACATGCTCTCCACCTGAGCAGAACCATCCACTTAATGCATGGAGATCAATGAGGCCACGTGCTGCCCACACAGAGCGGCTGGCACTGCTCCATAACTGTGCTTGCTGTCCCTACTCTAGGAATCCAGAACCCTGGCCTTGCTCCACAAAAGGATCCTCAGCAGTGAAGCATGTAGCCAAAAAGATAGCCCCTGGGGAGGATGGCGGTCAGGGAAAGGAGATGGAGACCCACACAAGAGGACCCCATACACAATATGAGAGAGGTCTTACACATGTATGGAAAACGCCTAGTTCGACATCTGATGCAAAAATACTTATGGTTAAAAAAGAAGACCCTCCTTCGCAAGCATGCAGGCATGCACTGGGCACACAGCAGCACATGCATGAACACGGAGAGCATGCCAGGGGTGGGCAGCACCCTGCGCATGTACAGTTCTGTAAATTCAGTCATCACACATTAAAAGGTGATTACAAAAAAAGATAAAAGTGCCATCAATGAACAATCTGAAAAAGAAGTTAAGAAAATAATACCACTTACCATAGCGTCCAAAAGAATAAAACATCTAGGAATAAATGTAACTGAGTCGGTGAAAGACTTGTAAACCAACAACTATAAAACACTGCTGAAAGAAACTAAAGAAGACACAAATAAGTGAAAAGGTATCCCACGTTCATGGATCAAAAGACTTAATACTATTAAGATGACAAAGCAATCTACAGGCTGAACACAATCCCTATCAAAATTCCAACAGCGGTTTTTTTGCAGAAATGGAAAAGCCAATCCTCAAATTCATATGGAACGCAAGGAGCCCAAAATAGCCAAAACAACAGTGAAAAAGAATATAAAATCAGAGGACTCATACTTTCTGCTTTCAAACTTACTACAACTTTGCAGTAATCAAAGCAGTGTGGTACTGGCATAAGGAGACACATATAGACCAATGGAATAGAACTGAGAGTCCAGAAATAAACCCCTGTGTATACGGTCAAAAGATTTTTGGCCAGGGTGCCAAGATCATTCAACGGAGAAAGAATAGTCATCAACAAATGATGCTGAGACAACTGGATATCCAGCTTCAAAAGAATAAAGCTGGACTCCTACCTTCCATCATTACAAAAATAAACAGAAGATGGATCAAAAACCTAAGATAAGAGCTAAAACTATAAAACTCTTAAAGGAAATCACAGAAGTAAACCTGTAATTATAATCTTGGATTGTACAGGCAATGAAATCTTAGAAATGGCACCAAAAGCACAAGCAACAAAACAAAAAAGAGATAAACCAGACTTTATCAAAGTTAAAAACTTTTGTGCATCAGTAGTCATTATCAAGAAAGTGAAATGACAACCCACAAAATGGAAAAATGTATTTGCAACTCATGTATCTGATAAGGATACAGCACTTAGGCTGGGCGCAGTAGCTCATGCCTATAATCCCAGCACTTTGGGAGGCCAAGGCAGGAAGATCACCTGAGGTCGAGAGTTCGAGACCAGCCTGACCAACATGGAGAAACTCCATCTCTACTAAAAATGCAAAATTAGCCAGGCGTGGTGGTGCATGCCTGTAATCCCAGCTACTCAGGAGGCTGAGACAGGAGAATCACTTGAACCAGGGAGGCAGAGGTTGTGGTGAGCTGAGATCACGCCATTGTACTGCAGCCTGGGCAACAAGGGCAAAACTCCGTCTCAAAAAAAAAAAAAAAAAAAGAAAAGAAAAAAAAGGATACAGTATCTAGACTATATAAAGAACTCTTACACTTCAGCAATAAAAAGACAAGCAATCCAATGTAAAAGTGGGCAAAGGCCTTGAGTAGACATTTGTCCAAAGAAGATATACCAATGGCCAACAAGCATGTGAAAGCTGTTCAACATCATTGGTCAGTAGAGAAATGCTAGCCAAAAACATAAGGAAATCCCACTTTATACCCACTAGAATAGCTTTAATTTAAAAAAAAAAATTAGGAAAACAAGTGTTGGTGAGGATGTGGAGAAATTGGAACGTTGCTGAGGAGAATTTAAAATAATGTAGCCCCTGTGGAAAACAGTTTGCCAGTTACTCAAAAAGTTAAACATAGAGTTACCATATGATCCGGCAATTCCATTCCCAAGTATATATCCAAAAGAACTGAAAACAGGTGTTCAAACAAATATTTATACACAAATGTTTATAGCAGCACCATATACAACAGCCATAGGTGGAAAGAACCCAGATGCCCATACACTGATGAATGGATAAACTGTGGTCTATCCACACAATGAAATATTATTCAGCCATAAAAATCAATGAAACACAGACACATGATACAATGTGGATGAACCTCAAAAATATTGTGCTAAGTGAAAGAAGTCAGACACAAAAAGTTACATATTGTATGATTCTATTCGTATGAAATAGTAAATATCCAGAATAGACACACCTATAGAGACAGAAAGCAGACTGCTAGTTGTCAGGGGCTAGTGGGAGGAAGAAAGGGCAGTGACTACTTATTGGATACCGGGTTTACTTTAGGAGTGAGGAAGATGTTTGGGAACTAGATAAAGGTGGTGGTTGCTCAACACTATGAAGACACTAAATGCCACTCAACTTCACACTTTCAAATGGTTAATTTTATATGAATTTCACCTCAATTTTTAAAAAAGGTAAAAGGCTCGTTTCCCCATGTGCACATTTCTAGCTAAATATTTTCAATAAAAGCAAACATTCTGGCAATTAAGATGAGGCTCACACCAAATTGCTTCCTTCAAGACACGCCTCCTTTGGAAAGCTTTGATAGACAGGGACAGATACCACAAAGATTTTTCAGTTCCTATGCTTTGAGATCCAAACCACTGGCTAGAATTCTAAATATGTTCATATGTTCTTCTGTGAGTGACCCAGCACTATGGTGGCGGGGGGGTCCAGGAGAAAAGTAAACAGGTCCTGTACCCTAAAGCATAGAAGCCAAGTCCCATTCTGGACCTCACAGCTAGGGCCACCTACCTGCCACAGAGCCAAAAAGCTGAGAATCAAGGTTGGCAGAAGTTAGGGGACAGAGAAGGAGAGATGCAGAGAGGGAGGCACTACAGCGAGAGACCCTGAGAGACACTGGGTATATTCAGACCCAGGAGGGAGCTGCTGCAGTCAGCTGCTTGGACAGGGAAGCACCTCCCATCCCCTAGCTCAGTATGTGGCCTTCCTCTGTGACTACATTTCCGTCCGTGTTACACTGCTGAAACCATGGACACGAGCAGTTATCAGCCCCGGTATTTGCTCAGGCCCTTGAGCCAGAATAACCTAAGCCAGGTGCCACCTCCTCACCTGCACCCTCTGGGAGGTGAGTGTGTCCACCTGCTGCAGCTCAGAGTGCACCTGATGAAGCCAGAGACCTGTGTGTGACAGAGGCCCTAGCTGCTTCTGTGTCCATGCTGGGAATGAAGGTGACAGGGTGACCCACACTATCTGCCCCTCGCAGTCGACGTGGGAACCAAACATGATGAATGAAAAACCCCTATGGCATTAAACCCCGACTGAATGTTAGCTTCCGCAGCACAATCAGGCCCATCTGTTATTTAAAAAAACCAAGAGATGGACTTTGTTTTACCCACACCCTGAATTTCAAAAGTGAGATTCTCCCAGAGAACTGTGTCACGGAACACTATTTTCTGGCCCACACTTGCTCCCACCAGAAAAACTCACTCTTTTAGAAGGACCTGGCACATGTCGAGGCACTACAGGGACAGCCATAAAAGAGGATGCCTGGGGGTGGCAGCGTCCACCCAAATCTCTGCCCAGATTTTAGGGCATCTGTGGCCACATTTCACCCAAGCAGCCCCAAACAAACGTGGGCTGCAGTCCAGAAGTTCAGATCAAGCACACTTCCAGTCAAATATTAAGTATATTCAATAATAGCAAACGTTCTGACAATTAAGATGAAGCTCCTTGCTTCCTTCAAGACACACCTCCTTTGGAAAGCATCGACAGAGAGGGATGTCTACTTTACCCTCTAGAAGCTGGCCTGACATTCTTCCCACCTCCTCCAGAACTTTCAAAACTCACACAGGGGGAGAATTCCTTGTTTTAAAATGATTTATTCCTAAACACATCACAACAACATCTCCATGAGGAGAGCCCCTTCCCCCAGTACTCCCCGGCATTTGAGGTTCTAGGATTTAACTGTCAGTTCTGATCACCCAGATTTGACCCACGGCAGGACCTCCTTCCCTCTCGCACACACACTCCACTGGCCAACAACAGAGCTGGCCTGCAGCGCGAGGCCACAGCCCCGCCTGGTGTTCCCAGGTAGCCCCTGAACATGGCTCTGCCTCAAGAAGCTTAAGACTAGGTGGGCACAATGAGAGCCCAGAAAGGCCAACTCCATCCCTAGGGAGGTGGACACAGAGACAGGGCCCTGAGGAGGAGGGCAGGCTGAGCCCAGACAGACAGACGGACACAGAGGAATTGGAGGGAGCCATGCCAGGCAAGTCTTGTCCACTCTACCTTCTGAGCACTTCCAGAATGTGACCCTTCTACCGACCCCAGTCCTCACTCCCCACCCCCTGGGTACACAGGCAGGGTGACAGTCACCTCCTCACTGGCTCCCTGCCCCTAACCTTCTCCCAACCTCTCCCCACAGCAACATGCAACACGGGGGACAGTCAAAACCTCAGTCCACTCTCGCCCCTCCTCTGCTGAGACACTCCCCCTCCAGGGTGGCTGCCACCAATCTGAGAAGCTGCCTGGCTAACCCCTGGGCCCTCACAGCCAGCTCTGAACTCCGTACAGAATACAAGCCCAACAAATATTTACTGAGGTATGAATGAAATGTCTGTCACTTAAGTGACCTGAACAGCTTTCAATTTCTTTCAAGTCAGTTTTACTGATTACACCTCCAAAAACCCTTCCAGTCCAATAGAACAAGCAGCTGAAAGAGGGCCAGAAAGCTACATGTTAAGGATGTTTAAAACTTTAACAGAAGCATTCCTGCTTCCCAGAGATTTAAATTATTCAAAGTAAGTTGGTGACAAAGTGAGATGCCAGCTCACTTTGCAGGCAGGAGTGGAGGGCATGGGGCCTGGTCTCCATCCTCCAGTTGGAAGGCACAGGCACAAGGGAACACAGTGTACGGCCCAAGTGGCTTTATGTAAGAGTAGGATCCCTAAAAGGAGAGGACAGGTCCTCCTCAGTGCCGGTGCAGAGCGACACATCCCCACCAAATGAGGCAGACAAGACACCTCCGAAGGCAACCGGCCTCCAGCGGCCTCCTGCCAGGTCCTGCCACAAAAATCCATCCCTCCCAGGTCAAAGCCCACATTCTGGGACAGCACTCCAGTCGGTGCCAGTGAAGAAGGGCTGGGCTGGCGAGGATCCCCACCCCAGGAGTGATGAGCCACGGTCAAGATGGGGCCGGAGGAGGAATCTTGCGAGAACTTGGTGAAGGGACACACATCCCAAGGACAGAGGGGGGCTTCAAAGGAGGGCCTGTTTCCCCGACCTCTACTCCACACTTCCCCTCCAGTGAATGCAGGATGCATGACCCCAAGGATAGAACACAACGATTCTCCCTCCCCATGGTGAACATTCTCCCCAACCCAGGCCAGCGGGGCAGCCCCACCCACCAAGGCAAGAACACTGGGAGGGATGCTCAGAGTCCCTGAGTAGGCAAACACCCTAGAAGCAAGTTCTGGCCCCAAATGGCCAAAGCTCTATCCCAAACAAGTTCTCGGCTGCCGCCAAAGCTGCCAAGAGCAAAGACGCAGCCACCGCGACTGTAGCTGATGACTTAGAGACCCTCTCTCCAATTCTCCCCAAAACGGGGCTGGCTGGAAGAATGTGATGTGGCCACAGGTGGGACAGACAGGCATTTTACTCTAACAGTTGTGTGTTTATTTTTATAGTTACTGTGTATGGTAAGTTACAGTAATGTTTTATTTCAGGAAATGATATGAAGTTTCCTTTTAAAAGCAATATTTTCGAGAGTAAGGAGACATGAGGATTAAATGCAAGGTGGGATCCAAGAACAGAAAAACGACATTAAGTGGGGAACACTGGTTAAATACATTTGAATAAAGCCTGTAGTTTAGTCAGCAGCCCGGCACCAGCGTTAACTCCTTCATTGTGGTACTGGTCCCATGGCTGGGTAAGATGTTCACTGCAGGGAAAGGGAGAGAAGGATACAGGGAAACTGTACCATTTTTGGAACTCTTTTGTAAGTCTAAAGTCCCCTCAAAATAAAAAGTTTAAAAGTATTCAAACTTTTAAAAAGAGAGTTGAAATGTTAAATAGGAAGTAAATCACAGTACAGGCGGTACGAAGATCAGGAAAGAACCACCGGGGCCATACAAGACTATCTGGAGGTGGAGAAACCCCGGGGTCTGGTCACACACGTTCATTTTACTGATGAGAAAAGAAAAGTGATGCTGAGAGACCAAAGGATTTGCCCAGGGCTGTGAGAGCTGTACCAACACCACCAACCCCTGACGGCTGTCCTCCCCATCACACACCTGCCCAGAACAATTGGGGAGCAGGCACACCCAGAGGCTTTCTCCCTGTAGGGTTCACTTTGGCAGATGACTCTTGGTTAGATGCAGGAGAAAATGACTTTCATGGCCGAGGGAAAGCACAGCTTCTTTCAGACCCCACAGCCACCCCAAATAGGTGAGAATAAATCTGTGCTGATCAACTGCCTGTATTGGATTCAATCAGAGACCTCAAATAAGAAAAAAAGGAGCTAGAGCCTCCCCAGACATCCCCCTTTTGGGGATTTTTTGCATGGGCCAATACAGCAAATGACACCAACCAGCTCTCAGGCCAGCTCTCAGCCCCTGTCGCCTGCCTGCCCCTCATTCCTGGAGTTTTTCCCTTGGCCTCGAAGTCTAGTTCAGAACTAGCCTTCCCTTCCCAGAGGGTCCCCTAAGCAGCGAGACAAAGGTCTTCTCGCGTTCTCTCACTCTCCCTACTCTGGGCCCCGAGTGTGGGCAGCAGCCAGGAGCTGACACAGGTGCCCAGAAGGTTCTGTAGCAGAGTGACTGCGCTCGCCAGGTCAGGGCTCCGGTGGAGATGGGGGAGAAGGCAGAGGCCCCACCACTTTCAGGGCTTTTCAGGGCCAGCAGCTCAGCATCCCTGGATATGAGGAGCCTTAGAGGCTCTCACTCACTTTGGCCCGGCCATGAACTTCTCAACGGCTGCCAGTTGAGGGTGTGCATGTCAGCCCTGTTCTGGGCAGAGCCCGGTGTTCACACTCAGTCTCCCTTGCTCTAAGGGGCTTCCACAGCCCTGGGCATACCCAGGAAGGCAGCCCAGATTTCCGTGGGCATCCCCACCCCACAGAGTCCCAGGCCCTTCTAACAGCAGGGAGGTAGGACTCAGGACTGGGGCTGACAGACATAGCAGGCCCTGTCACATCCCAGCCACCCAGGTCCCCACATGTAAACTGGCAGGACTGGACTTGGGGCCACAGCCCACTCTTAAGCACCACTGACCAGTCTTGAAGACCCAGTCTTAGAACCTGCAGGAGGATCTCCTCTCTGGAAGGAGAATCCCGGACCACCCACCACCACACACCCCTCTCTTTCCCCCGGCTGCTTGCTGCCGGTGGTTTGGGACTGGAGCCCCAGAGGGCATACAGCCCTGGCCAGCCCCGGGTCCAAACACATCCCACAGGCAAAGTCAGATGCAAGAGAACCTGTTGGAGCAGTTTGGGCAACACTGTCACCTCCTCTTCCTCCTCCTCCATTTACTTCTTGGTGGGAAGGGACCTGCCCTAGGCATGGGGCCAGGTCATGGCCATCGGCAAGGGCCAAGAGGGCGGGGGTTTTCAGTGTCTCCAAGCGTTACCTCCTTCCCCCCTCCCCATCTTCCTTAGGGAGCATAAGATCATGTCAAAACCGGCGTTCCTGCCGGGAACGGAGAGGAGAGAAACGGGGAAAACTGAAGGCCAGGGAGGAGGTGGCAAAGCCACAACAAACCCCCCTTACCCAACTCACAGACACTATTCTGTCACCGCACTCCTGCCCGCGGACCTGCAGGCCTGCCGGGTCTAGCTGCTCCGCGGGGGTCCGGGAGGGGTCCTGCCCTCGGGGACAAGGTCCAAGGGAGCTCGCCGGCCACGGCGGAGGGTGGGCGCGCCGGCTGCCACCTCGCCGGAGCCCCCACGGACTCCCCAGCCCTGCCGGAGTCGGAGCCCGCCACTCGCGCCTCTCCCGGGACCCGCGCCGGGCTGCGCGCCCGCTTCTCCCGGCCCGGCCAACCCCGAGCCCGCGCGGGGAAAGTTCCTGCAACTTCGCAGGGGGGAGGCGGCGGGGGCTCCGGGCCTCGGCCTCCCTCCGGATGCCCGGCCTCTGCGGCCGCCGCGACCCAGCTGACAGGCGGCCCGGCCCGGGCCTGGAGCCCCAACTTCCCCGCGCCCCGAGCCCCGAGCCCACCTCCCGGCCCGCGGGCCTCGCTTTGTGCGCGGCGGCCAGGGGCGCCCAGCGCGGGCCCCGTGCTTGGCGCCCCCGCCCTGGGCACAAAAGGGCGCGCGGCCCGGCACGGCCCAGCCCCGACCGGGGCGCCCGGAATGCGGCGGCGGCGGCGGCGGCCCGTCCCCGAGCCGGGCCTGCGGGCGCGCAGCCGGGGGCGCGGGGCTCGGTCGGGCAAGGTGGCCGGGCCGGGCCGGGCCGAGCCGAGCAGCCGCCGCGCGCTCACCTGCCGTGGAACCAGTCCTTGCAGGCGTCGCACTCGATCATGAAGCGGGTAACGTCGTAGGGGAGCCGGCAGACGCAGTACACGGGCACCGTCGCCATGTTGCCGCGCCGCGCCGCCGCTCGGCCCCGCCGCTGCGCTGCCCGGGTCGGTCCGGGCCGGGCCGGGGGCCGGGCCGCGCGGGGGCGGCGGGGGCGGCGGGGCGCAGGCGGCGCCGCGGCCGGGAGGGGACGGGGACGGGGGCGCACGACAGCCCCCGCGCGCGCTCCCGGCCAGGCGCGTCCACACAATGCCGGGCGCGCTGGCTGGAGGGGCCGCGCCGGGAGCCGCCCGCCGGCCCGCGGGGCTCAGGGCGCTAGTGTGCGCGGGGGACGGGCCGCGCGCGGGACACAAAAGGGAATGGACGCGCGGGGGCGGCGGGCGGGGAGCCGCGGCCCCACCGAAGGGACCCCCGGCCGCCGAGCGGCCTCTACGTCAGCGCCCCGGGTGGCGCCGCCTCCGCCCGCCGGCCTGGGCCGCCGCTCCCGCCGCCGGGAAGGCGGGCTGGGGAACCCTGCGGGGGAGAAGGTGGGTTGGGGGACCCTGCCGGGGGAGAAGACGGCCGGGGGGACCCTGCCGGGGGAGAAGGCGGGTGGGGGGATCTCGAAGGTGGAAGATAGGCCGAGAAGGGCCCCCAAGGCTGAAGGTAGACCCAGGGGTCCGCGGGCGCGAAGGTGAGCTGGGGGAGCCTTGAGACTGAAAGTGGGGTGGGACCCCGGGGAGAAGGTGGGCGGGACCCCGAGGATAAGATAAGTTGGGGGAACCCGGGCAAGGCAGAAGGAGAGACGCGGGGTGCGGGAGTGGAGCCCGCAGGAGAGCCTTCCTAGTCTAGAAGGCCGACAAGCAAATACTTGGCCCTAACTTTCTTCTGACCCCCACCACGGTGGGGGTGTTCCTCCTCCTCGGCCGCGCTGCCTCCCTCCGTTCCCCACTGAGTTTCTGGTTGGGACACCACTTCCTCTTTCCCCTCATTTTCGGCTGGGGACTGCCGCCTCCCTCGCAGGATCCCGCGGACTTCCCTGATGCTCAGCCCCAGAGGAAGAGGACAGAAGCCCGGGCCGGGAGTGCGCTGGCACGGGCTGGTCAGCTCTGTTCCCTGGCATTTGAGCCCCCCAGGCCCGTGACCTAAGGGGCCGGGCTGGTCAGCTCTGTCAAGAGAGAGCTCCCTGGCATTTGAGCCCCCCAGGCCCGTGACCTAAGGGGCGAGGAGTATGGGAACCCTGGCCCCCGTGTCCAGGGAACTGAGCCCCCACGGTGGGGAGGAGAAGCGGAGGTGCGCTCTGAGGGGTCACTTGCACGCGTTCTAGAGGAGGACTTCCCTGCCTCGCCAGCGCTGCATCCTTGGGGCATCCGCGCTGGGCAGGGGCCACATCCCTGCCCGCCCTTCCTCCCTCACCCTCTTTCTCTCCCCATCCTCCCTCAGCAAAATCCGCATCGTGCTGGGAAATGTGGGCCACCCCTGCTCGGAATTCCAGAATCTCCGGACAGGAAACCTGGCTCAGTCTCCTAGCAGCATCCATGACAAGGCTCCTTAGCCCCTCAGCCCCTCACCATCACCGCCCACCTGCAGCTGCCAAGGGGCCGTTTGCTCCACCGCAGGCGGCTCAATTAAGGTCCTTCCTCCTACTGAGCCAAAATCTACCCTCAGAGTCAGCCACCCACCCCCAACAAGTGACCCCGTGGATACAGACTCAGGGCAGTGCCCAAAGCACTGGGCACTGGGGAAGGGGGCGGGGGGAGAAGTAGCTGGCCATAGAGGGAGAGGAAAGAGCAGGAGACCCCCAGCTCCCACACCTCTGGACTGGCCAGGATGGCCTGCAATAGGCCTTCCTACCTGAATTCCGGTTGTCACTGGTTCCCTTCCTCCTGGGTGAAAGCCTGGAATTTTTTTTTTTTTTTTTTTTTTACATACTGAAGTTCTGGGAAAGAAGTAACTCTTAAGCCATTGTCTACTATTATGTAGATAGAATGCTCAGCCTGAAGGTTGAGAGCCCAAAAGGCGGGTTTCAGGTGAGTGGTGCCCACTTCCTTGATAGATACACTCTCCCTCACCCTTACAGCAGTACTAAAGTAGTCAGGTGAGCAGTGCCCAAATGAAGCTGGAAACTTCTAGAGGCTGCTGTGATGCAGGGGAGGCTGCCCTGATGTGGGCATCCCCCCATCCCTTAACACTCCTATTAGCCTGTTTACAAACAGTGACAGTAGTTAGCCAACATTTAGCAAATGCTTTTACCAGGACAGTGCCCTGGGCTCAGTTCTTCACGAGGTTTTACCAGTACCTAACCAGATGTTTGTAAGCGCTTAGCAAATTCCTGGGTCATGATGGCAATTACTACATACTCAGGACTCTCCTTTGGTGCCTTTAGGTATTGGTATTAGTGCCATTTCACAGAAGTGAAAACTGAGGCGCTAAGCAATTAAACATCCAGCCAGACAGAGGATGTCAGCTCCCTGGTGAGAGGGCAGAGGGTGGGAGCCAGTGAGGAGCCCTCAGCTGGTCTCCAAGTCTTGGGCCTGTGCTCCCTGCCCCGCAGCCACCGCACAGAATGTGTCTGGAGAAGCTCGGCCTCCCTGCTAGTCGTTCGGGGTGTCCACCCCACCCACCTCCCAGCCCTGCCCTTCAGATGGTCTCCTGTGCCCACCAGATACATTCCTTTTGTTCAAAGCCCTTCCATGGCTGCCTGCCATCTATGGGATAAAACAAGTGTCATCAGAAGCCCACAAGCTCCCTCTGTTTGGCTTCTCCCTATGGCTTCCCCTTTCTTTTTGTTTTTTCTTTTTCTTTTTTTTTTTTTTTTTTTGAAATGGAGTTTCACTCTTGTTGCCCAGGCTGGAGTGCAGTGGCACGATCTCGGCTCACTGCAACCTCCGCCTCCCGGGTTCAAGTGATTCTCCTGCCTCAGCCTCCCGAGTAGCTGGGATTACAGGCATGTGCCACCACAGCTGGCTAATTTTGTATTTTTAGTAGAGAAGGGGTTTCTCCATGTTGGTCAGGCTGGTCTCAAACTCCTGACCTCAGGTGATCCGCCCGCCTCCACCTCACAAAGTGCTGGGATTTCAGGCGTGAGCCACTGTGCCCAGCTGACTTCCCCTTTCTTTTTTCCATCTCCTTCAGGACATGCACCTCCCCACTCCTCCCTCCTTCCCTCCTTCTCTCTCACTCCTCTACTGAGGTATTTATTGAGCATCTACTGTGTCCTGAGCAGTGTTGTAGACACTGGGGACTCAGCAGAGTCTCAGCTCTGTTGGAGTTCACATTGGAATAAAGGGAGACAGTCAATACATACATCAATGCATACAAGATGATTGGGGAGAAAGAAGGGCACTGGCTAGAGGGACACTCCCCTGAGAAGGTGAGCTGGGGGCAAAGGCCAGGATAGGACTGCTCACAGAGGGTAAGGACCATAGCGAACTCACTCTTGCTTGGTGGTAAGGAGGGAAAGGCCCCAGAGAGGAGGACGGTGGCCTTGGAAATTCAGGTAGCATCTTACTGCCTCCCGCACCTCATTGCCTTTGGCCCCAAACTCAATGGCCTCCTCTGCTTAGTGGTTAGCCAACTACTAACTGCCTCAACTACTAACTGCCCGGTGCCTCAATGCCTGCCCACCACACCCTCCATGTTGCCCAGGGCTCAGCTGCACTTCAGCACTTAGGAGGCTATGCCAGTGTCAAGATGTCCCTACCCATAACCTCAGTCAGACTGGCATTGTGCAGGTGCAGCATGAGTGGGTTCACAAGCTCCAGGGCCTCCATGCACCTGCACCCTGGTGCTGCAATGACAGTGCCGCTGCAGCATGGATGTGTTTTATTCCCCTTCCTACCCAGCCATCAGCATAGCCTGCTCCAGGGCCTGTGGTTCACACATTCACTAAACATGTGTTGAGTGCAAGTGCAGGTTTTTTGGCAAAATTGGGGTTACATATACATGATATAAACCTTACCATTTTAACCATTTTTAATGCACAGTTTGGTGGTATTAAGTACATTCACACTATTGTGCAACCACCACCACCATCCATCTCCAGAAAATTTGCCACGGTCCCCAGTGGAAACTCTGTCCCTTATAACACCACGCCCCTCCTCCTCCAGCCCCTGGCAGCCACCATTTGCTTTTTGTCTCTATGAATTGGACTCCTCTAGGTATCTTATATACGTGGAATCACACAGTATTTGTCCTTTTGTGACCAGTTTATTTCACTTAACATAATGTCCTCAAGTTTCATGCCTACTGTAGCATGGGTCAGAACTTGCTTCCTTTTTAAGACTGAATAATATTCCCATTGTATGTATGTACCACACTTTGTTTCTCCATTCATCTGCCAGTGGATACTTGGGTGGCATCCATCCTTTGGCTGTTGTGAATAATGCTGTTATGAATGTTAGCATGCAAATAACTGTTGGAGTCCCTGCTTTCACTTCTTTTGGGTATATATCCAGAAGTGGAACTGCTGGATCACATGGTGATTCAATTTTTGTATTTTTTGAGGAACTGCCATACCATTTTCCACAGTGGCTATACTATTTTACATTCCCACCAGGAATGAAAAAGAGTTCCAGTTACTCCACGTCTACATCAACGCTTATTATTTTCTGTTTTGTTTTTTTAAAGACTATTTTGGCTACTTGGGGTCTCTTGAGATTCCATGTTTTCTAGAATGGATTTTTCCTTTAGAAAATTTATTTCTGCAAGGAAACAATGTTGGGATTTTCATAAGGATTGCGTAAATCTGTAGATTGCTTTTAAGAGATTGACCTTTTAACAGTAAGTCTTATAATCCACAGACACAGGCTGTCTTTTCATTTATTTGTCTCTTTTTAAATTGCTTTGAGCAAAGTTTGGTAGTTTTCCATTTTCAGTGTACAAGTATTTTGTCTCCTTGACTAAGTTTATTCCTGAGTATTTTATTCTTTTTGATGCTACTATAAATGGATTTTTTTTCCATAATTTCCTTTTTAGATTTTTTTTTTTTTTTTCTGAGGCAGAGTCTTGCTCTGTCACCCAGGCTGGAGTGCAGTGGCATGATCTCGGCTCACTGCAGCCTCCACCTGTGAGACTCAGGTGATTCTCCTGCCTCAGCTTCCCAAGTAGCTGGGATAACAGGCATGTGCCACCACACCTGACTAATTTTTGTATTTTTAGTAGACACAGGGTTTCACCATGTTGGCCAGACTGGCCTCGAACTCTTGACCTCAGGCCATCCACCTCCCTCCGCCTTCCAGAGTGCTGGGATTACAGGTGTGAGCCACTGCGCCTGGCTGTTTTAAGATTGTTCATTGTTAGTGTATGGAAACAAAACTAATTTTCATATGTTGATTTTGTATCTTGCTCTTTGCCAAATTCATAGGTTTTGGAGTGGTTTTATGTCTGTGGACTCTTTAGGGTTCCTATATCTTGATGATCTTACATGATGATATAAGATCATGTCATCTGTGAACAGATAATTTTACTTCTTTTCCAGTTTGGATGCCTTTTTTTTTTTCTTTTCCTTTTTCTTGTGTAATTGCTCTGGCTAGTACTTCCAGTACTATGTTGAATAGAAGTAGGGAGAGTGGGCATCCTTGCCTTCTTCCTCATCTTACAGAAAATGCTTTCAGCTTTTCACCATTGAGTAGGATTTTAGCTGTCAGCTTTTCACATATGGCCTTTACTATGTTGAGGAAGTTTCCTTCTATTCCTAGTGTATTTAATTTTTTAATCAAGAAAGGGTGTTGAATTTTGTTAAATGCTTTTTCTACATTAATTGAGATGACCATGTAGGTTCTTATTGCTCATTCTGTTAACATGTGTATTACATTGATTGATTTTTGGATGCTGAACCATCCTTGCATTCTGGGAATAAATCCCACTTGTTCATGGCGTATGATCCTTTTAATACGCTACGAATTCAGTTTGCAAGTATTTTGTTGAGGATTTTGGCATCAATATTCATAAGGAATATTGGTCTGTAGTGTTCTTCTAGTATCTTTGTCTGGCTTTGGTATCATGGTAATCATGGCCTCATCAAAAGAGCTTGAAAGTATTCCCTCCTCTTCAATTTTCTTTAAGGGTTTGAAAAGGACTGGTGTTAATTTTTCTTTAAATGTTTTGTACAATTCACCAGTGTAGCCATCTGTTCCTGGACTTTTCTTTGTTGTGAGGTTTTTGATTAGTGATCCAATCTCCTTACTAGTTGTAGGTCTGTTGAGATTTTTTGTTTCTTCATCATTCAGTCTTGGTAAGTTTTGTATGTCTAGAAATTTGTCCATTTCATCTAGGTTATTTTGTTGGCACACAACCAATGCAGGTTTCATAGACTGAATGAGGCAGAAACATTCCTACTTCCATAGATACCATAGGCCAGAGCAAGAGACAGGTAACTAATAATTGATGGGGGTGGAAAATGTTAGAAAGGAAATACTAGCTTGAGGTTGGGTGTGTATTTGTGAAAGATCAGTTGATTTGGTCAGTGCATAGAAACTTCAAATACTGGGCCCCTTCTTGGAGTACCTGGGGAAATTTTTTAAGCCATCTGGGCTTTTCTGACAGGTATGAAAGTGACCCTCCTTCTTGACCATCTCTAGGATGGTCCTGTGATGTTTGGATGCAGTGAGCTTGTGGACAAGTCTCTGAGCCAGGTGACTACATTATTTACTACTATCCAAAAGGGTGCTGTTAATAAAGCACCAAAACAGGGGCAAACTGAGGCTATCCTGGGCAAACTGAGACTGATGTGACCCTCTCTATAGCCCATACTGGCATCAGTTGAGTTTGTAGAGATGGACATTCACAAATGCCAGGAGTAGGCATGGTTTCATGAGGTCAGGATGGGTCTGCACAGGTGCCTCCAGCTGTTTGCTTCCTGAACTGATGGAACTTGCTGGGCACAGCCTGGGAAAAGGCCATCCTGGGTGGCCATCCTGGTCCACCCAAGGTGCCTGGAATCTGCTTGGGTAGCTCCCACCTGCCCTCTAGGTCATTCTTCAGAGAGGCTTCCCTGACACCTTCCTCCTACCCCCACCCATGTAAGTTCCTCATTTCCTCTGCATTTGTCCTTCATAGAACTTATTACCACTGCTGTTGCATTTTTTTTTTCTTGAGTGCGTTTTCACATGGCTGTCCTTTACAAACTCTGGTGAAGTCCCACAGCCAGTTCAGCACAGGGCAAAGCACATTAATGAAAAGCTTATTTTGTCCCATGTGCAGGTCTTTGGTCAACTTAGCCTGGGCTGTGTTACAGCCAAGACTGGAAGCTTCCCTGGGGTACAGGGAGGAGTAACCAGACAGCTTGGGGACAAAGGTGGGGTGGATGAGGGCAGGGCTGCCAGGCTGGCCAGCAGCAGGCTCCTGGCAAAAAGGCCTCTGCACCATCTACTCCACAACGTGGGGAGCCAAGTAGCATAGGACTTTTGTCCAAGATATAGTGAGTAAGGGTAGGGAGTTGAGGCTAACAAGAAAGTATTGCATTCTCAGAAGAACTGAAAGTAGAATAAAACTGAGGGAGGGATGAGAGTCACCCCTAAGGTTACTGTCCATCATAAAACACCTGTATTCTGCTGTCTGCCCCATGCAGTGCAGAGGTAGGCTCCCTCTGAGCAGGGAGAAGGAATGCAGGGCAAGGAGGGGTGTCCTGGAAAGCAGAGCAGCCTAACACTACCTTGGTCCTTGTTGTTGATGGTATAGAGAAAGGTATAGACAGTGAATTATTTCTTAAAATTCTTACCTGATTGTTTGGGAGATCATAAAACAGCCAGGAGAGACATTAGAAGTTCCCTGTCAATTGAAAAATGAAGAAATTATGGGCAAATTAAATGTAAGAGGGGAAATGTTCACCCTCACTAGAAATCAAAGTCATGCAAATAAAAACCCATTTTTTAACCTGTCAAATTGGCAAACACCAGTGCCTTGACTGTGCCCAGCAGCCAGGCTAGTACAGACAAAGAGCTCCTGGACCCTGGATACCAAGCAGCGTTCCGGAGCTAAATCAGCAGGAGCACCAAAAGACTCCCTTCCCTCACCCTTCCCCCACCCTTCCCCCACCCTTCCCCACTGGGAGATTCTTCTGATGAAATGCTAACCAGGAATAATGACACTGGTCCTCACAAGACTCACCTACAGGGTAGCATGGATACCTGGAGCCCACTGGGCATCCAAGCACAACCCGTCCTGCCTCAAAGCCTTCAACAGACCACAGCACTGGAGGATACAGCAAGCCCTGTCCTCGGGGTGGCCATGGGCTTCTCCGCTCTCCATGGATTCCCCTTGGCTGGGTGCTCCATCCGCTGCTCCTGGCCCAGACCTGTATTCCCAGATAGCCTCCACTCATGGCTGCATCACTTGCCCATGCCACCCATCTCCCCATCTTTTCTCATTTTCTTGCTTGAAATATTCTTATTTGTACACATGTATGTTGTCCCCCTACTCAAATGTAAATGCCAGAAAGGCAGGGGCCTTGACATCTTCTGTCCCATGGGGCCTAGGGCTGGGCCTGACACGGACTCTCCGCAAGTGCTTGCAGAACAAGGTAATGTCCAACCATGCTGGTGGGGAAAGACTGAATACGTTACGATGCAGCCCCACCGTGGAGTCTGTGGAACTATGGCAGAATATGGAATGGTAGGGAAAGGCAATCATCAAATGATGCTAAGTTGGGAAAATGTTACAAAATATTAACATGATTTTTTTTGTATAAGAAAAAAATCTATATATTGTATAGAAGGAGAGAGACCAAATGTTAAAAACAGGTGTCTCAGGATGGGGGAATTACCGAGGACTTCTTTTCCTTTTTGTGTATCTAGCCAGTATTTCTTAAACTTACCACAATAAACACATATTGCTTTTGAAACAAGAAAAAAAAATCAGTAAAACCTATTTTTTTGAAAAGGAAGAGGATAAATGGCCAGGCAGCAGAACATACGACTTGCCCCAGGATATCATGCTGCCAGGAAGGAGAAACACCAGCATCACCATTCAGTCCAGCCCGCACCAGTGCCACCCACAGCCACTGACCCCTGGGCCCATGACAGCATCGCCCTTGGGCCTTCCTCTGCAATTCTGGTGGTGTGGAAGGAGTGGCCAGCATGGCTCCAGCAAGGAGGGATGTCCTTGGCCTCCTTGTTCCAGCCACAGGGTCGCCGGAGCCCCAGCACCCTCTCCCTTCCTCTCTCCTTAATGCCCACGCCTGCACCTACTGGAGCTTCAGGAGCGGGTGGACAGACCCAACTTGGAGCTAAGGGTTGGGTTCCAGCCCAGTCCCTGCTGAGAGTGACCTAAAGCAAGCTGTGCTGCTCTCTCACCTACAGCAATTGCAACTAAGAGATGAGAACCACCGGAAAGAAGGAGCACCTGCTTGTCAGGGAGCAGAGAGGGACCCTTGACATGCGCGCGCTCCTGCTGCTGAGACTGTACTGTTCAGAAACCTGTCCCTCTCCCCTCTTAAAGCCAGAGGGCTCTCCCTGTCAGTTTGCTATTCTCAAGTGGCGTGGGCCTGCCCCTTGAGAGAGGGAAGAAAAGCGCGTGGTTGTCACGGTGGGAGAGGTACTGCCTAGCAATGGATGGTGGAAGCTGGTGGGCCTGGAAAGTGTTCCTCCACAACGCTGTCCCTCTGCCAGGCACGTGCGATCCAGAGTGGGTTAGACTGGTTCCCGTCACAGGCAGGGTCCTCAGTGGAATGGTGTTTTTGAAAGATGGAGCGTCCGGGCGCCCCCATCTTCTCACAGCACAGAGAAGGGGCTGGCTGGCCCGCCACCGGGAGGCTGGCGCAGAGGGACTCAGCCGTGGCCCCGGAACAGCGGGCCACCGTCAGGAACCGGCGAGTCAGGGTGGGAAGAGGCCCTGGAGTGAGCGAGGCTAGCTTCACTTCCTTCAAACTCTGAAGGCCCACCCCATAAAAAGAAGGGGTAAATTCGTCTGGGGTCTGAACAGCCAGGACCAAGAGCGCTCTCAGGCTGCTAGTTGGAGAAACTGGCTCGGCTCGGGCCTTGCTGGGACTCGGGCTCCCAGGGTCTGCTCGGTCTCTCTCGGGGCACTCGGGTCTTTGCTGGGCCCGGCGCCGGCCCCGCACAGAGAACCGGCTTCAACGGCGCAGTCTCAGCCTCCGGGAGGAAAAAGCTGGGAGTAGGCCTCACTGACACGGCCCCGCCTCGCGGGCTGCGCGCGCACCGGGACCTGCGCGGTGGCGGACGGGGAAGCGCCACGCAAGGCCCCGCCCCGCCCTTCCACAGGAAGGAAACGCGCCCCCGGGCGAGCGCCAGCCCCTCCCTGGAGCGGGATCGCCGCAGCTCTCCTGGCCGCCTCCGGCGCCGTTAGCCCACCATCCCCCGCTAGAGGGCAGCACGGGGCGCTTTCTCCAGGCGCTCGGCGGACCTGGGTACGGGGACCTCATATCAGGCTGCAGAGAAGAGCCTTCAGTCAAAAGGATGGCATGAAAAACGGACTATACTTGTAACATCCAGCTTTTAAAACGTGGTGGAGTCAAATTTATTGCTTCCTCAGGGCTTAAAAAAACCTCTTCTGTAAGTCTGCTTTATCAAACAGAATTTTTTTATCCCCTTGGTTGCTTGAAACTGAGCTATCAAACAAATTAATCATATATTAATGTCCCTCTAAGCCGGAAACCTGGAATTACTTTGAAAAGGTAAAATATTTTTCAACTTTGGTTTTCTGATCTTTTCAGTAGTTGTTTCGATTTGAATTAAACCTCTATAAAATTAGCTTTTACAAGTGAATTTAAAAGCCACGCCATACTTTATACTAAAAGAATAAAGATTTTTATTAAGCATTGTAAGTTGCATTCAATAGCCTTCAGATACACCACACCACAATCCATCGACAGTCAATCAAACCCAACAGCAGTTCATTCTTGCACAATCCATGAGTTAGGGCAAAACTCCCTTCAACTTACAGTAAGATCCTACTTAGCTCTTGCGGGCAGGGGTTGGGGAATTACACCTCATTTCTGATCACTAATGTGATGAAGAGCATCAGAAGTATATGAAAACGATAAGAAGTGATTCTGATTTCAAAGTACATTGTTTGGAAACATTAACAAAAACATCAAAATGATAGAAGTATACCTGCTTCTACTAAATTCTTGATGGGAAAGTTCTCAAGAACAAGCAATTTGTTTCCTGCTACAGAAGGGGGGGGTGGTTTTTTTTTTTTTAAGATCAAAGGGTTTTTTTTCACAGAATTTCATATTTGCTAATATGAAGGCATAAAACAGCAACAAAGAACAATAATGCATACAGCAGTGAATACACCAGGGTAATGTTGATATTCGAAACGGCTAGATAATTTTTGGGGGGCTTTAGAATAAATGCAACAGAGGTCAATAATCACAAAATTTTAAGGTTAGAGCAAGATCAGTCAATGACTAAACAGAGTTAACATCTTTTATAGGACTATTACTGATTATTAGCATTTTTGTTTTGCAAATGGGCACATACTGTTAAGAATGGAAGAAAGGACGATAACATGCATATTAACTACACACTTTAAAAATTATGAACCATGCAGAAGTTTAGCTCAAGTAGTAGTACTAATGGTCTACATCCGATTCAAAACCACATAGTTCATTGATCACAGATGCATGGTATTAGTCACGAAAGTTTCAGAACACATTGTGTTGATTTTGAAAGGTCATTTGCATCTTCTATGATTTCAACTTTATCTCCATTTAACTTGCTTGTAAAGTATGTATGATGTATTGTATATTTAAAATCAGCAGAACGGCAATATTACTCTATAATTTTTTAGTTTTGATAGTTGCACTTTTTTTTTTTAACACAAAAGAACCACATCAACAGTGATGAAATTTAAGAAAGAAAAACTGTGGTTGTGCCTTATTTCTTTCATAATCATAAAAATCAAAGCCTTAAAGAAAGCTTCATTGTGAAACAGTAATGCAAAATCAAATATAATGGCATACATATGGTGCCAAATGCTAAAAATTATATTTTAAGCTATATATACTTAAAGACTGCCAAAATTTGTTTTCTTTATAGTTCAAGAAACACAACTAAAGGCTTTTGTCATAACCAGTTTAAACTTTATGTGTACTTCATTTTAAGTGCGGGAGTCAAATGCTCTTCATTTTCTTTCTCTTTTTTGTTTTATTGTAGCATTTTGACTACAACTGGTTAAAACTAAAAATGTGTTGTTTAAATCTCTGATATCAAAGAGGGATCTGAATTTCCAAAGTCCTCATTTTTCTCTTACGGAAAGGACAAAATGTACATAACTGCAGGCTCTCTTTCTCTCCAGATATTCCTAAATCCTTACCCTTCCAGCATCCTTCACCCTCTATAAAAAATAAGTTTACTCTTCTTTATTTAAGACAGCTGCCTCCAGAGCAGCTTCTCTGCGGCAAGCGCTGTCTGTACTTAGTGCATTTAAATGAGGATTTGTATTGCACGTTTTAGAGTCATTATTCAAGGCACTTTCAGAGTGGCTGGGGGCCCTGGCGTCACCCGTGCTCCCGTTCATCTGGGGAGCCGGCTTCTCCTCGGCCATCACTCCGTTTTCAGCCAGGGACCCGTCTGAAGACATAGCAGAGGACTTCGATTCCCCAGATTTTGACTTAAGTTCTTTGGCCACTTCTTCTGCTGAAGCAGCATAAGGAGGTCTGCCCTGTTTAAAATGAAGGACAACAAATGAGAAGGTGGTTTCTGATAAACAGAAGAGAGAGGATGCCAATTTTGGCCTAATGACACTCTCTGCAGATTCAAGAGCAGAAAATGCCCAGCTGGGTCCTTCTAACCCTGTCTTTGCTTTGACTTTTGGGCGGTAGATGCTCTACCTGTCTCAGTCAGTTCCCTCCATGGCCCCTTCCCTCAACTCCTCTGTAGTTAACACCCTGAAAATGAGGGAGATTCCCCCTTCAGGAGCTCTGTCTAATCCTTTGTATGGCACTAAATTGTTTAAAGTAACAAATGCCCCTCAATAAGTCCTCTCTAAAATTGCGACTGTTCCCACTGCCACAAAACAAACAGGGTCTCCCACATCTGCCTGTGATGTGCAGCAGCACACACACCCCATTTCTACTGGGGAAATACAGTCATTGCTAGGGAACCTTAACAAGAAATCTGCACTGATAATTGCCACGTGTTTGTGAAATAACTCTTCTGAATGGGTCTTCCCCACTCCTCTGAACAGATTTAAAAATAAGCCTCTGAAAAAAATGGTCCTTGAGACTAATCCAGCACATTTTCTGAAAGACATGGCTCTCTGTGAAGGCAGTGAAGACAGATCTTGAATTGCTCCTATCATTAGACCAGGGCTCCTCAACCTTAGCATATGATACGCTGGCTCTGTCCACTCTCCGTGATGGGGCTGTCCCACACACCGTAGGGTGTTTAGCAGCACAAACATCATGTTGTCTTCACCCGTTAAAATGTCTAGGCTTCACCCATTAAAATCCAGTGCCCACACCAAGTCTTGACAATCAACGTCTCCAAATGTCCCTTGGGGGCCAATCACCAGGGCTGAGAGCCACTGTCATAGACTGACTCGGTGCTGAAGAAAACATGGATGTTTTTCACCTTCAAACAGTCATTTTACAGACGAGAACAGGAACCTTCCAGCTCGTCATCGCATTCCCTTCCCAACAAAGATGGTGGTACCTTCCAGCATCTTCTAGGCCTCCCATTCTGAAAACCAGGGTATTTGCCTTGTTGATGACAAAATCATCAACCCAGATGGAGATGTGACCCTTGCCTAAGGAATGGCCCCCATAAACCAAGGGTCCCCACATACTCTCCTACAACATCCTCTATTTTACCTTCCAACCCTAAAGTTCAGAAATATTAACGCACCCTTCTCCATGAATCAATGCAATCGTCATTTTCTTTGAACCTTGAGACAAATAATATAAAACATAAAAATATAGCAGGACCGCTGGGCATGGTGGCTCACGCCTGTAATTCTAGCACTTTGGGAGGCCAAGGCGGGCGGATCACCTGAGGTCAGGAGTTTGAGACCAGCCTGGCCAACATGGTGAAACTGCAACTCTACTAAAACTACAAAAATTAGCCGAGTGTCGTGGCACACACCTGTAATCCCAGCTATTCGGGAGGCTGACGCAAGCGAATCGCTTGAACCCGGGAAGTGGAGGTTGCAGTGAGCGGAGATTGTGCCACGGCACTCCAGCCTGGGCAATAGAGCGAGACTCCATCTCAAAAAAAAAAAAAAAAAGAAAAAGAAAGAAAGAAAAAAAAAGAAACTACAAGTGGCTGTTCCAGCTCTGTCAGGGCTAGGCAATGCCCAAGGTAAGCCAAGCCCATCGTGTCACACCAGGCGGGAAGCTACCAGAGACACAGGGTCATGGCAAAGGGGAGAGACAACCTGAAGAGGCACTTAACAGCAAAATGATCTGGGCTCTAGGGAATGGACATTTGGTGAGCAGCTGTGTGCCAGTTACTGTGTTAGACACTTGACAGCTAAAGCATTACCCTCACAGCTCTTCTGTCTGAGCGCAGGTACTAGAAGTGCAAGCTCAGACAGGAGACATCCCTGAGGGCATTGAACTGGCACAAACATCATGTTGTCTTCTTACCTGAATTGCTGCCTGGTTTTTGTAACCTCTGCCATAGTACCTTCCACCTCTTCCAAATGTTCTAATCACTGGGGTGGAAATAACTCCTCTTGGACGCCTAAATGAATGAAAAAGGACAACAGTAAACACTTAAATCTGTTACAGACAACATTTAAAATAGTATCAAATGATTTTAAAGCCATCCAATCTTACGTTTTATGAAGCACTGAATTAACCCATTTATGCCGGAAGTTGCAATTTGTTGAATTTTTGCAGTCAGACCTTGAGCAGTAGGACATAAAGAACTCCCACATGCTTTGCGTTCCAATAATGGAACACTAGGCGTAAACAGGTTAAGTATGATCATAGGGAAGATTTATTCCAAGGAATCAATCTTATTTTTTTGGTTCATATCCAATGCATTTGCAGTCAAATGCTCTACCCCTGAGCTACATCTCCCATATCCAATGCATTTGATTTGAAAACTAATACTTTAAAAATATTAAGGCACCTGGTTAATTGAAAATTGTATGGTTAATTATTTAATAATTGTTAATTATTTAATGGTTAATTAAATAATTACATAATACTATAAATGGGATCCTATGCAAACATTATAAATGATGTTAAAGGCTGTGTGCAGTGGCTCACACCTGTAATCCCAGCACTTTGCAAGGCCGAGGTGGGTGGATTGGTTGAGCTCAGGAGTTCAAGACCAACCTGGGCAACATGGCGAAACCCTGTCACTACCAAAAATACAAAAATTAGCCAGGCATGGTGGCACATGACTGTGGTCCCAGCTACTCAGGAGGCTGAAGTGGGAGGATCGATGGAGCCCAGAAAGTCAAGGCTACACTGAACTGTGATTGTGCCACTGCACTCTAGCCTGGGTGACAGTGAGACCCCATCTTAAGATAAATAAATAAATAAAAACTAAATAATTAAATACAAATGATATTAAAGAAGAATGTATCTAATGATATAAAAATGTTCCTACTTAAACTTCCAAAAAAAAGCAAGTTAGAAGCTGTTTTCTTTACTTATACAAAAGACATTTTCGTGGCTCAGAACTTACCCTCTAGCTGGTCCTCCGACAGAAACCACCTGCAGGGGGAAAGGCCCCCGGCCCCCACGGCCCCGCCTGCTCCCAGCCCAATGGCCAACCACAGTGCCAGCTATTTCTAGTTTGCCTCCCTGAGAAGGTATAGGTTGGACTCCTGCATAAAAAATATACAAAAAGACAAAATCTTTACAATCACAGAATTAAGAATAGCAAAAAGATACAAGCAAGAAACTTCTTTTCAGTTTTGGTTTATATTTACTATGAAGCTACTTTCTCCTGTTTTGTACAATTTTTTATTATGTAGTGTATCTATGTGCACACTGTTTGACTTTAAACTACTGTGAAGAACCCATGAGAACTGAATTAGGTTACAACTGCAAATGTGCAAGGCTTTTTAGATAGAAACAGATACAATAAAGTGTCATCAGGTGCATATGGCATGCCTTCTATATTACCAAGATGGCAATCTGCAAACTCAAGAATGTTTTTCTCTTTAGGCGAATACTTCTAGGTTTACTACCTTAACTGAACATCATAGAATCAATAAATCTAGCCTGTATTTCTTACTGTGTTTTTAAATTAGAATTTCCATAAGCAGAGTCACAAATAGAATTTACTAACTTCTTTTGATTACTGCAAATTGTAAGTTTTCTGACCTAAGAAAATTCTCTAATTGCTAATTGGCAGCAAAACTTCTGTTTAAAAACAAAAAAATAAGCAAACAAAACCAGAGCCCCAAGCATCTTGTTTTCTGACAGTGAGAATGGATAATAAACAACTATCATCTTGGTGTTAGCTGTGGCAATTCAGCACTGTCCAACAGAAACCTACAACAAGCTTATATTTTTTTGTAGCCACATGAAAAATGTACAAAGAAACAGAGGAAAGAAGTTTTAAAAATGTATTTATTTAACTCAATGTATCCAAAATAATACTATTTCAACATGTAGTCAAGATTTTTTTTTTTTTAAGACAGGGTCTCGCTCTGTCACCCAGGCTGGAGTGCAGTGGCACAATCACGGCTCACTGCAGCCTTGACCTCCCAGCTCTAGCGATCCTCCCGCCTCAGCCTCCTGAGTAGCTGGGACTACAGGTGTGCACCACCATACCTGGCTAATTTTTAAAATTTTTTGTAGAGGCAGGGGTCTCACTATATTGCCCAGGCTGGTCTTGAACTCCTGCCTCAAGCAATTCTCTCTCCTTGGCCTCCCAAAATGCTGAGATTATAGGCATGAGCCACTGTGCCTGGCCCAAGATAAAAAATTGATTAGCTATTTTAGTCTGCTTCCCATTTTAAGTTTTAAAATCTGATATGTATTTTACATGTTCTAGCCAGAGCTTAAGTGCTCAACAGAGCAGTGGCCAGCAGCTACTATACTAGGCAGTGCAAATCTGAGTTCCAGACACAATTTTAAGAAACTCAGGAAGCAGGTTCCTTTTATCATTCCAGTGTAAGAATTCACTTCTTGCCCTACACTATCCATAGTACAATCTCCCCTCTCCCTCCATCTTTGATCCCAACTACAGGCCAGCTTCAGTTTCAAGGCACTAGAAGGAGCTGAAGCAAATCAAGAAGCAGAGAGGAAACATGGCTGCGAGCTGCATGAGGAGCAGTCACAGAGCAGAGTAGCACACTGCAGGAGGCTGGTGGGCAGACAGAGGAGGCAGAGAGGCATGCAGCTGCACCAGGGAAAGGAGAGGTGACCTGCAGACAGAGGGGCTGACCCGTCGCCAAATCTGCAAGTCACCTTTCCGCACAGTTCCCTTGCTGGCCTCCCTAACTATCCCATGTAACTGAGTTGGAAAAACATTGTTGATCAAGAGAGAAAGGCTTGCCCATCCTCAATGCAACTCCAAAATCACATCTGAACAGTTAATCCTGTTATGTGACTTGATGGGCAGATTTAGATCTGCAGTCCCAAAATGTGGGATTAGGACAAAGATACAGGTCACTGACTTCCAATTACAGCACCATCACAAGACATTGCTTCCTATGCTAAATGTTAAGACCCTTTTCTCTTTTGCAAGCCTAATACAAATGCAAAGAGAAGCACTGGGAATCTACAGTAAACTGCCTTGTTTATATGCCCAACATTAGATCTTTGTTTAAAAATGTTTCTGCGAAACAAACTGTGACAGACTTTTTATGTCAGGAATTCTGTGACCATTAGCATTTTCTATACAAGCATGATAATCTTTACCAAAAGATGGCTGCTTGGGAAAGAAACGCCACTATTAGCAGCTCATCCTATGAACACGAGGCGATGGTCAGGTTACCCAGGTGCACAGAAAGGTTCTGTTCTAGGTGGACACTCAGTGGTCTACCCTGAAAGGAGAGACTGGCCACAGCAGAGCCGCTGCTGAGACCTGAGAGCAGAGAGTCTCAGGAGGAGTGGTCAATGAGGGTCAGAGCGGGGACCCAGAAGAAAGGCCGTTCTGCTGGAGGAGGGGCTCATGAGGACAGTAGAGGAAGGAAGGCGCCAGACGATGGAGCGAAGGAAGTGCTGGCAGGCAGAAGCTCTGGGAAGGGGTGGGTATAATTACCGCCCTGGGACTTGCTAGTCCTGCTGCTGTCACTGCCTGAGAAGGCTCCGCAGTGTCCCGATGCTGCCGCCACACGGAAGGCACGGTAAGGGCCTGTTGCTACCGTTTCCCCATAGGGGCCTCCAAAGCCACAGACGCCTGTGGGACCCGGGGTAGAGAGAGAGGGGAGAAGTGTAAGGGACAGGACTCAGGGCCCTGCTGGGTATTCAGGCAGAGTGGCCCCTGCCTCCTCCAGCTGCCATGGAGGGGTCTCCTGGCCCCTCTTGTCACCTCACTGTCCTGTGCCCATGGTCCCTGGGGACCAGTATTGTAAGGCCACCCTCCCTGCAGTGGGTCATTCAACAGGGCACTAGCATGGGGCTCAGGAAGGGCCCTGGGAGATGAGTCCTGGAAGATGGCTCTCTCTGACCTGGGTGGGTTTATTTTCCCTTACACATGAGAAACAAATATATCTTAAAATGTGAGCAGAGTTTTCAGCTTGATTGACAGATTTTACGGTGCAGCTTTTGCATCTGCATCAGCAGGTCCCTCTCCCCTATCTCCAGGATTAAACTTGCTCCTCACGGACTTGAAGAACTGCTGCTGCAGGATCTCCAAGACCAACAGTGACAAGGTCAACACAGCAGATGGGCTTGCCTATAAGGGCTGCACTTTCTTTACAGGAATCTGGCATCTGTTACCCACAGGAATACGTCCCAATCAACTCACCTGCAAAGCCTCTGCCCCTGCCCTGAGAGGGTGGGACAGGCCCAAAGTGCCGGGGGTACGCAGAGGCAGGGTAGAAGGGCAGGGCAGGTGGCGGCGGGAAAGGGAGCGTGTGGCTCTGCCTGGAGAAGCTGAGCCCCTCGAGGACGCTCTGGCGCATCTTCTCTACCTTGGCAGCCTGATCAGCCTGGAAGACAAGGACCAGCATGTGAAAATGCCATCCACAGGGGGTTTTAATTGAATTTAAATGAGCACTAAAGAAATAAGATCTATCAACTATACAGTTGGTTCCCTTTATTCATGAATTCTATGTCTGCAAATTCTCCTACTTGCTAACGTTTATTTGTAACCACAAAAATCAATACTTATGGCAGTTTTCTGGTCGTCTGCAGACTTGTGCAGAACACGGCAAAGATTTTTGTTGCCTGATGCACTGACCCCAGCTGAGGTCAAACAAGACAACGCTTGCCTTCTTGTTTCAGCTCATACTGAAAACAAGAATCCTTTTCACAGTTTATTAAGTGCCACGTGTTTCACATTTTTGTCCTTTTTTGTTGGTAATTTCACTGTTTAAAATGGTCCCTGGCTGGGTGCAACAGCTCACGCCTGTAATCCCAGCACTTTGGGAGGCCAAGGTGGGTGGATTGCTTGAGGTCAGGAGTTCAAGACCAGCCTGACCAACATAGCAAAACACCGTCTCTACTAAAAATACAAAAATTAGCTGGGCATGGTGGCAGGCACCTGTAATTCCAGCTACTAGGGAGGCTAAAGCAGGAGAATCACTTGAACCTGGGAGGTGGAGGTTACAGTGAGCTGAGACCGCACCACTGCACTCCAGCCTGGGCGACAAGAGCGAAACTCCATCTCAAAAAAAAAAAAAAAAAAACCAAAACAAACAAACAAATAAAATGGTCTCCAAGTGTAGTGCTGAAGTGCTGTCTGGTGTTCCTAAATGCATAAGGAGGCTGTGATGTGCCTTACAGAGAATATACGTGTTACAGAAGCTACTGGCTGTGAGTTCAATAATAATGAATCAACAATCCATATTATATAAGGTGTCTTTAACGAAAATGCACATGAAATAAGATTATATACTGATTGGTTAACAAAAATATGTGACCAGAGCCTTGAAGGAACCCAGCACCTTGTATTGCCCCTAGGAGCAATGGTCAGTATTCACTAATTTGGCGTTCAAGGTGAATTTTAGAACATTACTACCACAAATAATGAGAAACAATGTTATATCAGGAGCTTGGCTCATCCTGGGTACTGAAGTGATATTTAGTGACACTCAGTACCAGGCCCAACCTAAAACAGAATCTTGAAACACAGGATGATAAATATGGTATAAAAGATGACAGATTTAACCAGTGAGCTTTATTTCATTGCAGTTAAAGGCAGCCACCCGGCCCCGCAGCATACCTGACCATCACAGAGGTCAATGAGTGGGGTCTTTTCCCGGCTGGCTTTGAGGAGTTTGGATTGGAAGAGCTTCCCATCAAAATACATCCAAGGACAACAGTGTTCCCAGGGGATTGGCTGTCCGCATGCATCATTTGCAAACAAGGCCATGTCTACTCCACTCATGAAGAGAGCTGATAGCTGAATTCCTCGGGGATCTAGGTTCTCAATCTTTAAATTGAAAAGAGTAATTTCTATGGAATAAGAGTACTACAGTATTAAATTCTTTCAAAGTCTTAGTAAAACTCTCCAAAGTTAACAGAATATTCCTCAACAAAACAGCACCACTAAGTAGTCCTACCATTACCTTATATTGACCTAACACTGGCCTCATTTGAACAGAAATACTTATGTGATTTAACACATTTGAATTTAAGAGAATATTTTATAAACATACTCAAGTATTTCAGGTTGGGTTTATAAAGCGTTCCGCAGTGTAGAGTAACACTGTACTTAAGGCTGACGTGTGACAAAATGAGCAATGATGTGTGGTCTCCTTAGAGCCCAGGGCTCCACAATCTCTTCGTAAAATAACACTTCACATTTCAGATCTGCACACAGGTAACGTATTAACAGAAAGAGTGTCAAAACTGAACACTCTATTAAGATTCTGCATTTTTAAATAGTTACATTAAAAGATTATTTGGTATAATTACATTCTAAAATAAATTTATACTTTATGTTCACATTATTTTATATGTCAAGGTTTTTAATTGCAACTTATTAATAAGACTGTCAAAATGTCTTTTGGAGAAATGGATAGCTTATAAATGAAAGAAGACAACAAAAATATGGTTCTTGAACCATACATACTACTAGAATTTGTGCAGACTTTTACTTCCCTCAGTGTTAAGTGCTGGGTGCCTACCTTCTATACGTAGAGCCCACGCTTCTAGTGTCTGATAAGCAGAGTGAGAAACATTAACACGAGTACAGTCAACTCTTGATCATCTGCATGTGAAAGGCCTAGTTTGTGGATTATCCAGGATCAAAGTTTAGCCCTGCTCTGGCTTTTGTCTTCCGACTTTGGTGGCTTTTCAAGAATGCAATGTTTATGGGAGATCAATCTAAGCAATGCCTACATGTGGCAGGTAAAGGGGCTTTTCATTAAAGAGAAAAAGGTCATTCTGGTGCCAAATGCTAATAAACTTACAATCATCTGCTGTTTTTGTTGTTTGTGTTAACAGTTCCTATTATCAACTAACACTGTTTCCCAACCTTTTTTTAAATTTTCACAATACAGTTGACCTTCCAAAACCTGGAGAAGTCTGTTCACCAATTTATAAAAGGTGTTTATACCTCTGGATCCTATTGTACATCACCAGCTCCTCCTTTTCCCATGCAGTTGTTGGGAAGTGAACTAAAAAATGTTCCCTTGGGGGCAGGTAGGGCTGGGGTGATAGAATTAGATGCATTTTTATATTTATGTGCAAAGTGGAGGAAGAGAGGTCATACTAGAACAAAATGGAGAAAATGTACTTGATTCATTTAGACCCCAGCCACCCCCACCTCTGAGCTGCAGAAAGGGAGAATTCTCAAGGCAGAAAGAGGGAGCCAACCCTGTTGGAAAGCAGCCAAGCACAGGTGTGGCCCATGAATGAATAGGACACCCATCTCCTGGCCCCTTGCACTGCAGAAATTATGACCACAAATCCCTTCCAGTCAGGTGGGGCTCCGCTGCTTCTAGCCCAGGGGCCTCCGTGCCCCTCTCTCTGCCCTACACCAGAGAACAGAGAATCCAGGTCAAGGATTAGGGAGAGAAAATGCTGCTCTAAAGTTGTTTGCCTGGCTATCCAAATGTTAAAACACAAAATGCCACCAACACCCTTTGTGTAAGCACATGCAGCACCATCCTAATGGTGTTTCTTTTTTTTTTCTTTGAAACAGAGTCTCGCTCTGTCATCCACGCTGGAGTGCAATGGTGCAATCTTGGCTCACTGCAACCTCTGCCTCCCAGGTTCAAGCAATTCTCCTGCCTCAGACTCCTTAGTAGCTGGGATTACAGACGTGCGCCACCATGCCTGGCTGATTTTTGTACTTTTAGTAGAGTCAGGTTTTCACCATGTTGGCCAGGCTGGTCTCAAACTCGTGGCCTCATGTGATCTGAGAAGATCCTCGGCCTCCCAAAGTGCTGCGATTACAGGCATGAGCCACCGCATCCAGCCCCTGCAGGTGTTTCTTAGGAACGGGCTGGTGCCAATCACATCCAGATTCAAACCTTTAAGACTAATGTAACCAAAACCATTTACCCGGCAAACGGCTATCTGCATTGCCAAACTGAAGAAACAGCAGCAGATGTATACGGCACACAAGCGCCCTAGTTAAAACTATTAATCTCCAAATTTGCTGACAGGAAGAATGCAGCAAGGCTAGTGTGTGTGTGTGTGTGTGTGTGTGTGTGTGTGTGTGTGTGTGTGTGTGTGTGTGTGTGTATCAAATGGCCTTAACATTAAAGGATTATACTTTTAAGAATTTTTTAAATGTTATTTATAGTTTCAAGATAATTAATGGTTCAATTAGCATTAATCTAATAGAGAAAAGTTCTTAGAATAAGAGCTTGCATAAACAATCTGAATAAAATCTTGACTGCAGTGTAAATTTGCTTCCTTTGAAAATTTTTTAAACTTACATTATGTGGTGTTTTTCTTTCCCTAAATGTTATATATAAATAATAACATTTAATATTTATGGGGAACTTAAGAAATATATATCAAGCACTGCTTTTTTCATTATCTCACTGCCATCTCTAAACAACATAGAATGCAGGCACCTCTAAATAGTACTCCCTTGTACAGACGGGTCACAGAGGGTTCAAGGTCACAGAGCTGGTAATTGGGAGAACCCAAATCTGAACCCTTGATTATAAAATAGCTGCAATATTCACATTCTAACTTCATTCTCTTATATCAATTGAGATAAAATATTCAATATCATCCAAAGTTCCTCAACTAGAGAAATACAGACAAAAAATTCTGACTTTATAAGAAATACAAATATGGAAGTTAATCTCTCTGACCGATTAGCTCAAGAACCAAATTCCAGTAAAGTTACTTTGTCCAACATCTGATTACTGGGCAACAGACTCTTACTTCAATTTGTCATATTTACCTATATGCAAAATAATTCTTACACGTATCACAGACATGTTGCATGCCCCTAATACTGTCTTTAAAGCTCTTCATTTTCCATCTTTTATATTCTGCACTTGGCATGTGAAACTGTTAAAAGAATTTAAGGCAATTATAGGAATGTCAAGGCAAGGGAGAAAGAAACTGGACAAATACTATAATGGTACAAAGTTCCTTCTCATCCTTTACCCACCCTCCTCAAAACACAGGGGTCAGTGCTAATTTTACCTTAATTACATTCATGCTGGTAACCTAGGAGAAGGGCTTAAAAAATATAACAGGAAAAATGAGGGTCATCAATCACTGTCACAGGTATTTAAGGAGCCACATGGAACACTCTCAATTATTCATGGACATGGCAGACGAAGAAAGCATGGATGAGATGAAATTCTTAAAAATTCATTGTAACTAATGGTTTCAATGTCTTGTCCCACCAAACCTCCCATCAGAAAAAGCTAACAAGAGTCCTAACTGTCACCACTGGGTTTTTCCTTCCTCTTTTCCTCCTCTGATGGCCAACCACAGAGTGGACGATAAATGGGAGAAGAGAAACAGGGTCTGGGCAATCCACAAACTGGGTAGCAGGCCCAGACACACCAGTTAACAGTCAAGAGTTGACTATATCACAAACTATGAATGGTGTATTACAACAAAGCACTGTTGTTGCTTTTGATATTGCAAAAAATTTTAATGGTTAAATGAAAAGGCAATTTTAGAATTTAATTTTCTATCACTGAATTTTGGAACCCTCAGCTCTGCATAGGAATTTTTGTAGCATTTAAATAATGATCATTCCTATCAATTCTCAATCTGATGATAGCTGAGAGGATCTTCAATCTTAAAAAACAAAAAAGCAAATAACTGCCTTTCCCCCCCAACAAATGCTATTTTTCCTTATAGCTTTCTCAGAATTTATACTAATCATGAAAATGAAGCACTTACAGGTGTAGGCTGCTCTTATTAAAGGGAACTGTCGACCTCCAGACAAGCAAGACCCAGAGGATCGATGAGTCAGACTGAAGTTTACTATACATACATATGTCTTTCTGAGCATATCTCTACAAATGTCTGGCTTTAGATGAAGAACCAGGAGAAAACCATGAAAGCACTAAGATCTCAAAAGAACCAAAATGAAAGCTTAGAGTGTGATTGTTTTTCAAAAGTTATATCCTATGTGTTGATCCAAAAATGAAAAGGATATGGGATATAAGATGAACTTTGAGTAAAAGTAACTTGATGGTGAATAAGGCTTAGTGGGCATACCTGATACCTGGCGGTCTGATTTTCAGAACTGGGATGTCAATACTGATGTAATAATCTATATAAGAGAAACAGGAGTAGAGGTAGAGGGATGGCACCACACACTAGCAAAAGTATCTCCAACCCCCTGAAGCACAATCTGTGACGAAGACGGTGGTGATGAGACAAACCAGGTGAGGACACGGGAAAGGACCTGACTTAGCACCAGCCACACTGCCTGACGGGGACACCTGACCAAACATTGAAAACAGAAACGTAAATTCAAAAACATTAAAAATAATAATTTCTGTCTAACAAACAGAAAAGCTTGATCTACAAAGTAAAGAACACAATTTGAAGTGAATTCTCCTAAGTTTTGTTTTTTTTACTTAGCTTATTTCTAAGTCACAAGAAGTCTCAGGTGAGCTCCACACAATTGAGGAGGGTCACTTAACACCAAATTACTCAATTTAACATGATAATTTAGGGAAAACTAGAAATTTATTAAGCAACAACTATTGAATACTGAAAATCTATTAAGTGAGCCTAAAATTCCCCTCCATGGAAAGAATGCCTTCATAAAGAATGCCAAAAAGATCTAAAGGTGAAGGCAATTTTGTGGAAAGAGATTAACTGATTACAAATCAAACTCTGTAAAACAAAACAAAATAAAACAAAACAAGAACTGATGGCAAAGAAAAAAACAAAACCCTATACATTGAAAAGAAAAGGCTGATCTACTAATTTAACTAGCTTTGAAAAGTCTTGAACTTTCTAAAATTTAATATGGAAATTAGAAAGCAATTACAACCATGTGAACAAGGTAACTAATGAAAGTATACCAAAAAAGATATCCACACTGAAAAATTAGGTGACAACTTGGAGAAAAATCAATATTGTCAAAACAATTAAAGAACAAAAGGAATTACTAGAAGGCAAAATTAAAAGGAATATGATGTTAAATGCTGACTTAAAAAGGGATAGAAATGATGATGTAACATCGTTCTTCAAGTGGTTTTTTATAAGGGATTTTATAATAGTTGAGGGGCAAAGAATATTTTTTAGAGAAAACTAAAGTTGTAATTAGGAACAATGAAATGAAATAAGAAAAAGAATCCTTGCTAGATGTTAGAAAATTCTTAAGATCAAGCCCTCTCAGGGTTTGGAATCCCCCCCTAAAATATAAAAGGCAAGTTTATTTCATGATGTGATAAATAAGAATAAACATCCAATGGTAAACAAGGGGAAATCATTCTCTGACAAAGTGGGACTAATCATTTCCAAACTGGGGATAGCAAATCCATAACTAGAAAGGAATATTCCTTTTGCCATGAAGGCGATTGATCAAGTTCTTATCATATTAGTATTATTAGTTTAGTGGACTAAAGCAATTAGTTTAAAGAATTAGCAATTCTGCCTGTTGAAAGTTAGCAGTATTACACCAAAATCCAAAGTGAGACTGTCCAAGACAATGCAATGAGGCTGATAAATTACCTTGAGCTCCTGGAGCTGATCAGGCTCGTAGAGTTTGGGGGACAGCGCCTGAGCCAGGAAGGCATCTAGCTCCTGACGCCGAAGGATGCGTGCTCCCGGCCACTGCACCATGTACCTGGTGAGGGGCAGAAACAAAAGGTTGGTGATTACTGAGTGGTCGCCCGTCATATAGACAAGTCCAGTGGGAGGTTCTAGGTAAATCCCGGATGATGTGAGCTAAGAAGACCCATGTGATTTCTTATTCAGCTTTTCTACTTTTCTACTTTCATTTGATGATACCATTACAAATGAAAACAGGATGTCAGAATGTTTTACTTTAGAATAATTAAAAATAGCACACTGAATTGTGGATACTGAAAACTAGCTAGTCAGTGATTTTTGATACAACCTCACTCTTGTGAAACATTTAAACCCTGGAAGTACATTCTAAGTACCAATTTTCAGGATTCATTCATTTTTTTGTTCAAGCCAGGATAGCCAGGAGGCAGACCCTAGGTATAAATAAGAAAGACAAATCCCGAGATGAAAAGCAAAGACCATTGCCTGGCCACTCTGCAGCTGCAGGTCCATGGAGCAGGTAAATAACCGAAGATAGGGCCAGTACCACAAGGTGAGCGGGAGTCAGACTCAAGAAAAGCAATGCGTAGGACCATCACTAGAGCCACGGCAAAATGTGCCCACCCTGAAGTGGCTGCTAAAGGACAATCAATCTCCAAATCTTCAACTTCAACTAGAACAGGTCTGCCTGGGAGTCTCCTTCCCTTCTCAGTAACAGCACTGCCTGAATCACAAACACCCTACAGTACTGCACAAGGCACAACCCCAAGGAGTGTCTGGGCGTGAAAAAGTGAAGGGCTAACTATAATGACTTAGTCATAAACCTTTCTGAAGTCTAACGTTCCCAGTTCTTTGCATTCCATAAACTTGAAGGACAACCTAATCAAGTTGCCAGCTGATCACTAAAAATAACTTCTGATGATAGATTACGACGTGATCTCTGGCAAATAACTCAAAAGGAGTTCAGAGAACCGTGACATGCTTAACAAAGCTCTTTCCATTCCCATCTGCAGAGTAAGTTTGCTCAGTGCTTAAAATCTGAGTTAACAAAACCCAGGGTTAGAGTTGGTGCTGAGCACTAAATCATTCTTGTATTAATTAATATTCATCCATGGGTACACAAACTAAGTAAGGGAGGTTCTAGACAGCTCATTGAGATATATTTTCAGTTGAAGCCCAAAGTAGAAAGTTTACGTGCTCACTAGGTGCCAAGGCATTGGTCTAAGCACCTTACACACTTTAACTCATCTACTGTTATAGAAATTCTGAGACAGGAACAATAATTATCCCAATTTAGAGAAGGGGAAACTGAAGCACAGAGAGCTTATATACGTCATGGTCAAATTAATGTGGCAAAAGTAGGATGTAAATGCAATTTCAAGGAGAACAAACAGCAAATGTTACATTTCTATGGTATTTATATTTGATGAGATACATAAAAGAGTGATGTGAAAGTTTCATTTAATTAAACCATCAATATTTGCAATGACAAAATCACATCCTTTGCAATTGATTAACTGCCACAAATCTTAAATACAATGGTCTTACTGAGGTTTGGTTTTTTTTTGGTTTGTTTTTGTTTTGTTTTTTTTGAGATGGAGTCTTGCTCTGTGGTCCAGGCTGGAGTGCGGTGGCATGATCTCGGCTCACTGCAACCTCCGCCTCCTGGGTTCAAGTGATTCTCCTGCCTCAGCCTCCCAAGTAGCTGGGATTACAGGCACACGCCACCCCACCTGGCTAATTTTTGTATTTTTAGTAGAGACAGGGTTTCACTGTGTTGGCCAGGCTGGTCTCAAACTCCTGATCTAAGGTGATCCACCCACCTCAGCCTCCCAAAGTGCTGGGATTACAGGCGTGAGCCACTGCACCCAGCCTGGTCTTACTGAGTTTTAATCAGGGCCGGATGCAAGAAACAGCAAATATGAAGAAGGTCCTCTCCTCCTATTTTTGTCTCAAGAAATTATATACAATGTTCTTTGCCCTGAAGTATCTATGTTTTATATTCCTTTTATTTTAATTTCTTTTTATTTTTTAATTGAGGTAAAATACACAAAAAATTTACCATTTAAGCCATTTTTAAGTGTACAGTTCAGTGGCATTAAGCACATTCACACTGCTGTGCAACCATGACCATCATCCATCCACAGAACTCCTTTCATCTTCCCAGACTGAAACTCTGTTCCCCTTACACAACAACTCCCCAGTCTTCCCTACCTCAGCCCCTAGCTATTGGTTCCTTTTAAAATGTTGTAATCCCAGCACTTTGGGAGGCTGAGGCAGGAGGATCACGAGGTCAGGAGATCAAGACCAACCTGGCTAACATGGTGAAACCCCGTCTCTACTAAAAATACAAAAACAAAAAAATTAGCCGGGCGTGGTGGCGGGCACCTGTAGTCCCAGCTACTTGGAAGGGTGAGGCAGGAGAATGGCGTGAACCCAGGACGGAGCTTGAAGTGAGCCGAGATGGCACCACTGCACTCCAGCCTGGGCAACAGAGCAAGACTCCATCTCAAAAAAAAATTTTTTTTTTTTAATCAGAAAAAGACTGTATTGCAGATACACTGGTTCTCTCAAGATCTTTCCTGGCTTTCCTGGCAGCTAAGACTCTCAGAATTCAACTTCGCCAGGACAGCAAACAATGTTGTTGGTCAGACTATCTGCTATTTCCTCCATCTGGCTTTCTATAACAGAGATAGTGTTTAGACCCTTCTCATCATAGGTCCTCTGAACACCTTGCTGGATACAGAGTATGAATTACTAGGTACATACATACATACATAGATTAAATATCAAAACAGATCCTGGTTAAGAGTCAAGATAAGAGCGGCTGAGAACTTAACTCTTGGTCAGCTTATTTATTTGTGCTAATTCCTACCTGTGCATTTAGAATGTTTTCAGATCCCTTTTACGCTACTAAATCTATCTATGGTATTTCTGGAAATTTTTTCTCTCCATGTTCTTTTCCATGCAATCAAGCAGATTATGAACATGTCACTTAATGTGCTAATATAGACAGCTATAGGGCCTCAGGGAGTTGTCTAACTTCCCACAGCCTTCATTTCCTTACCACAGAAGGGTGGGGGCATTATAAATTGTTCTGGAGCCCTCCTAAGGCTGGCTGACCTTGACCCCATCTCCTCTCACTGCCCTTTACAAGCATGGAAGCTGGGGTAAAGCCAGAGCTCCAAAAGGAGAGAAGCAGGCCTCAGCCAGCATGGGCCACCTGCTGTGTCACCCAGGCTGACCACCAACCACCCGGGTTGCACCTCTAGAGCACACACTGACGGCGCCAGCATTGCTCTGGAGCCTTATGCCCTCCATCCCTGTTACTGTATTTACTGATTTAAGTCAAGTTTTTCTAAAACCTAACCCAGTCTGCATCTTTGTGTCTGCCATATTGCTCCTACAAGAACATAAGCTGCTGCTTTTGGACAAGAGCCTTGTCTATTTTATCCATGCTGCATCCCCAAAAAGACCTGCTCTGCTCTGTGCCCTCAGCCTGCACCCTCACACTGCAGCAACCTCTGCTCAGACTCCATCCCCCGTCTCTGCTATCAGGGATTCTAGAGATTTGACTGATATTCTTCCACTGTCCATCCCCATTGCTGCCATAGTATAGCATTTAAAATATATGTATGCCCAACTCTACCTTAACCAAGTGATCGATGTTAACATCACTAGTAAAAGCAAAAACTAAATTCCCTTAGGGAGCAATGAGAAGACCACCATACCCCTTCTGTGGGGTTCCACCCCAAATGCATCACCTGACTCTAATGGTGAAGAAACATGTGTCCAATAGAAATTGATAATAGTCTATAAAGGAATAAAAAAAACTGTAGCCATGAGCTGGCTACCTGTGTTTGTAAAGAGAAGGTTATTGGAGCATGGCCGTGCCCATTCATTTCTGTCTTGCCGACAGCCATCTCAACAGTGCTGAGGAGATGGCTCAGGTGTTTCTGGGATCACTGCTGAGAAAGGGCCAGCACTCCGCTGCCAGGCCCCAGGCATCGAGAGGAGCAAACAAAAGAGTGGGCTGGGAGACAATGCCACCAGGACCAGCTGCATGCATGGCCTCTTCCCTGTCCGTGCATCTCAGTGCTCACACACAGCAGGCCACGAGGCACCAGCCACAGGAGGGGCAGAGTAAATACACCAGATGGGACGGCATTAAGAGTCTGAGCACAAACTTAAACACGAAGCTGAAACGATGTGACCCTAGCCCCCTATAGTGCAACAGCAGCTCATCCTCTGCCATGGCCGCGGGGCCCCAGAGTGTGTCCTCACTCAGGGTCCCAGTATGTACCTTAGGTCAAGTATATGGTGGCCTGTCAGGTGCTCTGCTAGATTAAAGGCCATGTGTCACACTAAACTTGGAAGAGAAAAATACAAAAAAAGTAATCAAATTCATTATTGCTAATTTGATCTCACAGAATCCAAAGTCTTAAACTTTCTATGAATATAATATTGTTATTAATAAAAACATGTCTTTAATTGAATTTGCTATCAGAGGAAACCAGAAGCCTCTAAAAACAAAAATAAAGAAGGAATTGGCCAGGTGCGGTGGCTCATGTCTGTAATCCCAGCACTTTGGGAGGCCGAGGTGGGTGGATCACCTGAGGTCAGGAGTTCAAGACCAGCCTGACCAACATGGTAAAACTCCATCTCTACGAAAAATACAAAAAATTAGCCGGGCGTGGTGGCGCATGCCTGTAATCCAGCTACTTGGGAGGCTGAGGCAGGAGAATCACTTGAACCCAGGAGGCAGAGGTTGCAGTGAGCCATGATCACACCATTGCACTCCAGCGACAAGAGCAAAAAACTCCGTCTCAAAAAAAAAAAAAAAAAAAAAAAAAAGGAGTCTTTCCCATCAGCCAGTCTTCAATGGAAATCACGTTCAGCTGACACACTGTGATTTAAGTCAATCTCCATTTAATTGAATCTTCCTAAATAAGTTATTGGCCTTAACATTTGTTATAAATTTAAGAACCACCAGGAAATAAAAACAAGAATAAGCTCTGTCCCTCCCTTCCTAAAGTCAGGTAGTTGGGACCCAGTGGGAGGGATGGTCAGTCATGCCTGCAAAAGCGGTGCCAGCCCAGAGGGTGAGACAGGCCCCAAAAGAAACAGGGGCAATAGGGACTGCACCACACAGGGATCCTGACCAAGTAAGGGGCCATGGGGCTTCCCAGCCAAGCCTCTCACTGCCAGAGCCAGAAGCTACGAATGCAGCAGGATGCTAGACCGTACCCTATGAACACAGGGAGGGACACTGGACTGTGCCAGCTTGGAAGGACCAGGGTAAATCCACTGTTTTCAATGAGATATAGGAATACACAACAGCAATGTTGGGGTGGATCCCTCATGCTGCACTGGGAGGGCCAGGGCGGCAAAGTTCCTGCAGCACAGAACCTCCGACTCTGAGAGCCTGGCTTCTAAATGCCATCCCCCACTTGGAAGAACTGGGGCTGCTTGGAGAAATGGGGATCCCAGGGCTGAGGCAGGGAGACACAGGGGCAAGCAGAACATCTGTGGAGAAGAAAGGAGGTGCTCAGAGAAGATGACGAAGGCCAGTTTGCAAGGTGACAAAGGGAACATCAAAACAGATGATGGTGCAGTGAGCTGAAGGCCCCTAGAGAAACAAGAGGCTCTGAGTTCATGCTGATAAAAACGTGCTGCCTGTCTGAGGAGTGAAACCTTTACAGGGCCTCTAAGCACTTCCATGTGAGACGGTTACAAAAGGTGAGAGCAGCACCACACGGAGAAGCCACAGTCACCCTGCACCAAACCCTCTGAGCCAGTGTCCTGCCTAATGGGACAGAAGGAGGTGTGCACCCCCAGGCAGGGCATCACTCCTGAAAGCAGAGACGACCTGGAACAGGAACAGGTTCCTTGTCATAAAGGACACTGTTGGGACAACAAGCCTAACAGCTCTGAAGGGTGGAATGGACCACAGCATCACTGCGGATTGATTTTGATGGTTCTTTGGTGGTTATAAAGTAAAATGCCATCAACTGTTAGAAAATCAGTAAAGTATTTAAGTTAAAAAAAAGGTTTCTGTATTGTACTTGCAACTTTTCTCTATGTTTGAAGTTCTTTTAAAATGAAACCAAACCAAACGAATCAACTCCAAAACCTAATGAACATCCAGTATGTATCCCAACTCAACTGAACTTCAAAACGTCAACAGTATCTACCCATACTGAGCTGTGGGCTGTGAGGGCACAGACACAGAGACATCCCAGCAGCAGGACCACACCAGCACCCAGACCTGGGTTTCCAGACACCTTTTTCACAACAAGGAACAAGGGCTGCTCTTTGGAGAGATGGCTGATGCTGGAGCAGGGAAACACAAAGCGTGCCTGAAGCATCTTGTAGGGCAAAAAAGCAAGGAAGCTCTCCTAAAACAAGAGGATGGTGTGTGTCACACGGGCCAACCTAAGACAGCTCCCAAGGATAAGCCGGGACAATGTGCGTAAGGATAAGGCAGAGCTGGATATAACCTCAAGTGAATTGATTATGACCCTATAAAAAGAGGACAGGAGCCCATACTGATACAAATACGGCATGTGCCACACTAATGTGTTGGTCAACAATGGACCACATATATAATGGCATAAGATTATAATACCATATTTTGACTGTACCTTTTTCACATTTAGATACACAAATACTCGCCGTGTTTGTATATACTCTATGATGTTTTACACAATGACAAAATCACCTAATGATACATTTCTCAAAATGTATCCCCATCATTAAGCAATGTGTGACTGTAAATGATTAAATAAATGAAGGGGGAAGAAGTGGCACATTTTCCCTACAGAAGAACTCCAAATAATATATAACAAGAATCCCCTCTTATAGCCTTCAAAATCTTCAATATTTAAATAATAAACCATGTTTAAAATCATTATATAATATTTACATACCATACATGCTTACAAAATATACCTATAAACATACTGTATCATATAAATTAAAATATATTTTGCATTTACATAACCTACATTTCTATCACATATATAAATATGGGATGACAATAAATTTCAACATGATTGATCAGGAATAAACTTTACATCCTTTCTAGAACTCATCTGACACCATGGTCATGGCCCCTACACCTGGCGGGGACCCAGGTCCCAGCTCCCATGCATGGCACCCACCGTAAGACGCAGCAGAGCACCATGAGGTGAGTGGGCACGTTGGCAGGGTTGAGCATGGCTGGGGTGTCCGACCTCATGCAGGCCAGGAAGGCCCTCATCCTGCGGTTCTTGTCCTCTACCGCCTTACCCAACCACAGCCTCTTCAGGTTGGGGCAGGTCCACTCCCTGAAGGCAAGAGCTTCAACCAGTTCCGGGGTTTGAGGAGACTTTCCTTTGTAAGCTGCCCATTCTTTAATGATCACTGGTGAAACTACAGGAAAAAAAAGCCAGAGAAGACACATTCATGCATCATTCACCTGCTTTCAGTCTTAACAAAAACAAGCAGCTCTAGTAACTGGTCTAAAGATTCGCCTCTCAGGTAACAATGCATTCTCTCCTTAGCAAAACTACCAATCATCAAGTCCTTGTGGGTATTTTGTTTGTCCCTCTATTCTGTGCAATTAATGGCTCATTCAGATTTTCAGTTAGGCCACAAATAAGTTTCATCCAATCAAATCATGACTTGATTTTCTCATATAACTAGTATGCATAAATCAAGATGTTAGACAAAATCCATTTTAATATTTTATATCTACAAATAGTTTTAGTTATAACAGTGTAATTCACGGAAGTATGTGGTTATCTAATTATTTTAACATGCAAAATCCAATTTGGATAGCTAATCCCTTTCTACATGGATAAATACCCTCATAAATTAGATTTGAGAAATAATTTGCATGCAGTAGCCACTTTACTGAACCTCCCACTTCAACAAATGTAACTGTTAAACTCTATTTTTAAGACTGGCCAGTAAAACACAAGTAGATGCAAATATTCCAAGTTTTGAAGTCCCAGATGATGCCAGCACACAGTAATTCTATTCAGCAAGACTTCAGACAGAGTGTAAAGTTATCCAACATTTCGCCTCAAAAAAGACAAGAAGTTCTAAGTTGATGTAACATGGAAACAATACCTTTTATCCACAGATGTTTCACTATTAGTCAATCAATTCTTACAAATACATAAACATGCACATTTTCCCACTTGATTGATTTCCCAATAAATTAAGGAAAAAACAATGACAAGGAAATAAAACAAAAACAATCCATATTGCACAGTAGAATGTTAAAATCTCATCAACTGCACTGAGGTAACAACCCAATAGGGAAATCTGGGTATGCATTTTATAAGTAACAAGTGGTTCACTTTAGTTGAATAAACACCAGAACCAAAGCGGGGCCTGGTGTTGTCCCTTGCCCAGTGCTGCTACACATGAGCAAAGGCACCGTCCCTGGCTGACACACTCCAGTGCACGACCCACTCCAAGGCCAGTGTCTGTACGGAGACCAGGATGCTATCATAAACTCTAATTTGATCTTCAACATATTCATTCTATCCAAATTACATTAATCTCTCTGGGTTTGTCTTCTCTAAAGTAATACCTAAGGCATTCTGAAGAATCCAAAAGCAGGACAGAGTTAAATGTATTACTGGCTGATCTCCAGTTCCACTCTGAGTCTAAATATAGTCAGGCAATACAATAATCTCTTAAAATGTCATGAAAAACACCAGGAGTTAGACACTTGGATACACAGTTTCTCAGCAACAGAAAAAAAATGCTTAAATACATTTCAATACCTGACAAGTCAGGTAACAGTGTCACGTATAGGAACACGTTGAGTCAAGACCTCATAGGGCTCTGTGACAAGCCCTTCTGGAGCCAACTCCAGATAGTGTCCCCTTACGTGAAGCCTGCCGGGCAGAGCTGGGGTACAAGTTAAGGCAGTCACTGAAAATTTTCCTTTTACAAAAATGTTACTGCTCTCATTAGGCAAATGTCTTTCATTTACATTTGAATATCTTAGTGTTTAGATGTTAAAGGAATATTTCAAACACTCCAAATGCTTAAAGTCCATCAAGTCAAAACAGACATACATGTATATATAAATACATGCTTATTTGTTTTTATTCAATACTTTTAGGTATAGATATAAAACCAATAAGGTCTCCATCACGAAGCATATCCTGTCGTTGGACGCACAATCTAAGGCACTGCCCCCACCCCGATCCTGTGGATCTCCAGCACAGCTCAGCTTCCAGAAGCTTTCCCAGAAGTAGACTCGGAACATACAGGATCATCTCCACAACCACCACTACCATGCACAGGCCTTCCTGTGAGCCGACCTGCCTTCCCTCCTGTGATCCAACACCAAGGCTGCTCCACCCCAAGAGAAAACAGGCAAGGGGAGCTTCCAGAATGAGCTGTTCGCCAATATGCTATGTTGCTATCAGATTACTCTACATAACCACACCTCGCAAACACATAGGACACACACATCACACATTTCATACCATGCACACATCACATATTTCACACAACATATCCCCCAACAAACCCCACCACACACACCCCCCACCACACACATACCACAATACACACACTGAAACATACCCCACACACAGAGCATGGGTTTAGGTTGTGCATGTCAGGAGTCCCCTAGGGGTTATAAAGAGAGGCATTCTTACTAAATTGGCCTTTAACTTTTTCATTTTTTTCTTTCCCTTTCATCGGCTCTGTTCTCGCCTCTCTTTAATCATTTTAGCAATCATTCATGTTTTGTTTTCATTCTATAAAAAAAAATTATTGGTAGAAGATTTTCCTTCTCAATTTCAAAACCTTTAGGCCTCTGCAGAGTTCGTCCTGCAAGGCCCTAGATTGCAGAGTGAAGAGGAGGTCACAGGCACTAGTCCTAATGCATGGTATCCTCAGAAATATGCACTCCAGCTGCAGGCTCCGACAACTCTCCACATTAGAGCTCAGAGGGCCTCCCGTGTACCTGAATGAGCCTGGCCTGGTGCTGTGTCTCCAGACTCGACACAGCCCAGAAAGAAACAGGTGAACACACTCCTGAGAGCCGAAACTGGACTCTTGCTGATGGACTCATGGCAATACTCCAGCCAAAGGCTGCTCCGAGTCCTAGAAGGGCTCGGAACTGTCCTGGGTAAGCCTGTCGACACAGTAGGGACAGAGAGGGGTTAGTGTCCTCTTTCACAGCACTAAGCATGTTGTTGCCCACATGCAACAGTTATGACAAGAACAGCAAGTCCAATTCAGGAAATACATGTCTTTATCAAAGAAAATAGATGTGACTGACACAAAGGCTTGCTCCAGAAGCAAAGGCGCTCATCTCTAATAGTTAGAGATCTTTTGAGTATTCCACCAGAGAATAGAGGTGGAACCTTAGGCCAATCAGTTAATAAGTATTTATGGAACATCTACTGTGTGCCAGGTAGGGCTGGGATAAGAGGGAAGCAGGCAATCTGCACAGGCATGTGCCTGAGAGGGAGGGTCTCCTTGGGTTCTCAGACCTGGGCCTAGATCCAGGGACTAAGATGAGAGGTGACACCTAACTTTGCAACACAGTCCTGATGATTAAACATGAAAAGCACCTAGCACCCCTCATTATGTAGAGATAATGAGATGAACTCACATTTTACACATCACTTACATTAAATTAATTACAAATTAGTGCTTATGAAGAATTCCAAGGGACATCCAATTTTCGGGTTGAAACAGCTGCCTCAAGAGTGGAAGAAGTTGAGGAAAGAAAAATGCTTGGCTCTGATTTACAAGTCCCCTGCAAAGGGGCAGCTGGAGGGTAGCCTCTAGAGATGAGAATGTCTGCTGCTCTTCTCTCTCTGGGCTGCTGCTTTCTTCCAAAGAGTCACTGTTGCCCAGGAGGAAGGACTTCTCAGCCCTCACGGTATTATTCAATCCACAGGAAATAAGCAAATACAAAGTAGCCAGCTCACAGAAAGTAATCTGAGTTTTTACAGAAACCTGGGGGTATGTGGGCTTGCCCATGGCACTGGGCTCCAGCACATCCTGGGTGGGTACCATCTGGGACTTAGAGCATGGTAGTATAAAAATGAACTCCGTACTGGTAGTTTTGAAGAGCAACATGTTCCTACTGAGTCTTATTAAAACAGTAAGAGATTCCTGGAGGTCAGCTCATCTAACTGAAAACCTCTGAATAAATCTTGTGTATCACCACCAACAAATATTAATCTCTTTTCACTGTCAGAAAAAGTTACTACTTCAGGAAGTAGCCTACTTCTGAAAGACTGAATATTAAACTGTCTTCCTTAACTTACACTAAACCAACTTTTTACACTGGCAAAAACAACTCTAGGGCGGCCAGGCGCGGTGGCTCACGCCTGTAATCCCAGCACTTTGGGAGGTCGAGGTGGGCGGATCACGAGGTCAGGAGATCGAGACCATCCTGGCTGACACGGTGAAACCCCGTCTCTACTAAAAATACAAAAAATTAGCCAGGCATGGTGGCAGGTGCCTGCAGTCCCAGCTACTGGGGAGGCTGAGGCAGGAGAATGGTGCCAACCCAGGAGGCGGAGCTTGCAGTGAGCCGAGATTGCGCCACTCCACTCCAGCCTGGGCGACAGAGTGAGACTCCGTCTCAAAAAAAAAAAAACAACTCTAGGGCTGACATGTTACTGGAGGCTAAATTTATAACGCATTTTCCTTACAGAAAGCACCCCTTCAAAATACAATTTGGGGCCATAAAATACTATCGTACTTAAGCTGTCAGTAAAAAAACTCAATGTTTTCCATCAGGTGTTAGTCATCTTCTTTTAGTAGCACATTTAACATGACAACTAAGCCACCTTGGAAATCTGTTATAATGCTGACTTTGGGATCTATCCTAGCCCAGGAATAATATACATGGTTCATTTTGTAAGCCAATCCCAACTTGCTGGAGTGGCCACCTGTAAGACCGTATTATAAAGTATGTCTCTAAGCTCAGTGCCACAGCTTGACCATTAATTAGCAATGCCCACTAAGGGCGCAGGAGAGAGAACTGCAGTATGCATGCACGCCTGTTCATAGGTGAGGAAGAGATGCGGGCAGATGAATGGCCTCCAAGATGGTGGCCGACTAGACTTCTGGTTGTGTGTATTTAGGGAGCAGCTACTATTATACTTGACGAGCTTTCCTGGGGTTGTTATGACCATAAACAACAACAAAAACCTCCAATTCATTTATATCAGGAGAGAAACAGAAAAATGGATACAACGAAGACTGTTTTTTTTCCTTCTGATAGAAAAACTGCCCCCTAATTTTTAAGCAGCCCCAGCGTGTAGGTAGCAGGTTGGGTTCTTCTCCTCAGGCTGATACGTCTGTAAGCACCCTCTGTAATTCTCAAAGGTAAAAGGCTGTGGATATTTTCTTAAAACTTTGATAGTTGAGGATGGAGCAGCCCACAGTCCACAAAAATATAAATGCTTAGTAAGGCACAGGACATGTAGCAGAACACAGTATTACAGACATGTAGATAAATGCTGTTCATATTCCTCATTCCATGTATGTTATTCCTAATATATTAGAAACTCAAAAGCTCAAGGATTGGCAAGTAACACTGGTTAAAAAAAAAAAAGAGTACAAGGACTTATGAAATGAATATTAATCCAAAAGAGTAATATCACAGATTGGCCTGTCATATCATTTGCCTTCCTAAGCAATCATCTGTTGTGCTAGGTCTACTCAAAGTTCTGTGAAAAAAACCTCAATGCTGCTCCTAGAAAGCTCTGTAGAATAAAGAAATTCAGACAGACTTATTAACAGAAATCATGGGGAAAATGTTTACAATACCAATTTTCACAATATTAAATCAGCACCATAATATTGATTATTCTGTTTCATAGTATAATCCACAGTGAGCAGACTTAGTTTACTTTTTATTAGCAATTCCAATTATTAGCACAAATAAAAACATTTCTGAAGCAAACTATACCAGGAAAAAATGCTCCTTTCGGCTTTTCTTGGTGGTTTAAAAATACAGGAATCAATATAGGAAAATCTTTCATAAAAATAGTACTCACCTATAAACTTGCTCCCTCATTCCACATATTTATTTCATGTGTGTATAATTTTTATCTGTCTGCTTCTTATAAGCCTGTTTCTCTTATTTACTTAATTTTGAGGTATTAGGGAAGACTTTTGTAGGAAATGGGAGGCAAGAAACAAAAGCCAATTTTATTAAGATGACGTTAATTTTAAAAATGTGCGAATCACTGAGCTTTACTTTCTGAACTTTGCGCTCTTCAATTATAGCTGGGTATTCTTATTACTCTACAATCTTTTAAAATGTAGGCCTTTTACTCTGTCTCATTTGCCCTCAAACCACTGCAGCCTCTCCCACTGACCCCTGGAAAGAAAGAACCCCAGTGACTGGGAGCGACCAAGAGGCACCCTGAAGGAGGAAAAGCCATTGAGGCATGTAACCACCTCCACCACAGGAACGAGTAGAAGAAACTCGCCACAGCATCTGTATTTTTGCAAGGTGCAGGCTTCAAAGCCAGGAGTTCTTGCGTCAGACCCCGGACTCATCTCGAGGCCCAACCTTTATTCCAGCATCAACAGAAAAGGTCTCTGGGTTCCACCCTCCCTACCAGCAGGTGCCACTATCACCGTGGATCACGTCTGCAGGAATCTGCATGCCCCTGGGTGTTACTAGTTCTCTTCTACGTGCACCACTGGGAGGGCTTAGAATTTCAAGGCATATACTGCCATGATAAGCAAATATTCTTCTGAATTTCCTAAAAGTGAAATTATAGAACTTAGGGATGGAAAGAAAGGCGTGGAAAATAAACTGCCAGCACAGAATACAACGTGACTTTCAAAAGAATTTTTTTTCTTTTTCTTTTTTTGCTATCACCTAGTTCAGGAGCAGAAGGGTTAGAAATTTTTAAAGGTCTCATATCCTACTTTCGCCATATAGTGACTATAAAAATGAAAGTTTGGTAAATCACAGGAAAGCTAGCTGTAAATTATGAACACTTGACCATATGCCTTAATCACTGACTAGGTTTCCAAATGAATATACATGTCTTAAATCTGCTGAGAGTTAAATATTTTTAAGAAACCCTTAAGACTTCAACATGCTTGCCTTTTGAATAGTTCTGTCTGATAATAAGGCCATCTTGGGACATTCTTTATTGTTACAGTGACCATTAACAGGAATATATAGCTGCGCAGATAAGGTTCTGAAGCTATTTTAGGTCACAGATTTTCCATTCAGAAAGGCCACACCAGCTGCTGGAGCAGCAGGCTCTCACTGGAGCCCATATGCAGAGGGCTGGGTTGCCAGATCACATCAGAAAGCCAAGGAAGCAGGGTCGGAGGAGAACGATCCTTCACAGGGACATGGCCTCCCAGGACTCTTTCTTTGGCTTATGGATCTTCTTCCAGTACGCCAATAATTTCATTCAACCTCCATGTGGTCCAAGAGTGGCCATAGATTAGACAGCAAATTTCAACAAGATCTAAATACAATCATTGTTCCATCTTCTCAATCAAGAACTCCTGAGAAACTTTTCAATGTCAGCTTCATTGTGGCACAATGAGACATTTTCCTATCCTATTTAGTGTCAAGAAGCTATAGCACTCTCCTTAGTACAAATATGTGTTACCAATTAATAGATATTTCAAGTAATGAAGTTTAAATCAATGGCCTGAGCAGGGTCAGTATTTAGTCAGCTAAAATCTAATAAACAGGTTATATGGAAGGCATTTTAATGCATGCAATGTTCATGAACACAGATCACACTGTGCACATTACTCAATTCTCAAACAAGGTTGGTTTTGAGCAAGTTGAGAGCATTGAGACTTAACAATCACAAGATATTCTCAAAACAAAAATTTCCCTTCTGGAGAGCTGGTGTTCCAATTACAGTGATAATCATGGATATATCACTGACATAAAAAACTTTTTTATAGGCTTGTTTCCCCCTCTTGAATGTAACTAACGCATGAAACAAGTTCAATTTTATCAGCTCCCTATAAAGACCTAGATTCTAAAGCTGCTTACAAAAATCTCACCCACTGAAATTACAGTACTGAGTAAGGTCTCCCAAATTCTAAACTCAGGTCAAATCTACACATCTTTTCCATTCAGAAATAAATATGTATTTGTCATAGCACATTAACAATGCATTTTTCTAAACACTTAAATTCTAGGGTCTTAACTGTCTAGGCAAAGGTCATCTGCACCTGCCCTATCTTTGACACGTAAAGGCTTCATTTCTGTTTTGGTTCAGTCCATACATCGCTATCCAACTCATCTTTCTAAACAGAAACATCATTTGTACCAAACCTTCAATGGCTCCCCATCTCTACAGAATATCAAAATCAAAGTTCATAAATCACTTGAGCAGAAAAGACTGCAATTTGTTTAGCACTGACCTTTCAAAGCATCTCAGCACTTACGCACACCCTCACACAACAAAGTTTAATTTTCTGACGCACCAAACCGGGTCTTCATCTCCAATAAGTTGTGTGTACCTAAACCAATTATTCATTCTTTCACTGCCTGCTGCACACTGCTCTAAGGGTAATACACACAATAGCAAAAGACATAAATGTTTATGAAATCCTTTTAAAATCTCATTTACCATTGAAGAAGTACTAAACTACCATTGGCAAAGAAGTACTAAACTACAGTGCAGAAAATACCCATGCTCCATGATCAACTAATAAGTGCAGCTGGCTGGGCCTCTGTCCTTTTCCTCAGTGCTAGTTGACTCCCTTTCCCAAACCAAATCTGAGGTATCCTTACCCCCAATCCTTCCTGCCTTCACCAACAAAGATGGCCCCAAAGTATGGACTTCTGCCTCTGCTTCTCCTTCCCACCTAAGTCTACTAATACAAACTCTTTATCAGGACTGTCTAATTTTTTCCTATTCTCTCTGATAAACTCACCTCTCCCCCACTAAATCCTCCCCATTGGCCAAAAAAATAACATAACAATAACCAAACTATTCAGTCTCCCATCCTTAAAAAGAAGGAGAAGAGGAGAGGAGGGAAGGGAGTTCCTGTAAGTTCTCACTTTGAAGATACGGCGTTCCCTTGTCCATCTCAGCCATGTCTCAAGAGAAGACCCAGTGCCACCTGCTGCCACCATCCTGTTTTGTGTTCTCCTGTGTCCCTTTCCTCCTCCACCTACATCAATGGCACCCCCATTCACTTGAGTCATTTCACACTTCCCCAACCCTTCTTGTCTTTTCTTCCTTTGGAAGAAAAGGAGCCACAGGATGGCTCCATTCCTGTGACCTCTGATTCCAGCTGGAGTTGGTGTGCTCAGAGAAGGTCGGGGCAGTCTGACACCATGAAAGCTGTGGCCTGCCCTGGCTTCCACAATCCCCACCTCCCCTCCTGTCCCCCACCACCTACGTGCTCTGCATATTCTGGCCCTTCTGAGAGCCTTCTCTACTGTGCATTAACAGGACAGCCTCTCCCAGGCCCAGACGGAGACCTCCCAACCTAGACCAAGACAGCTGATGGGGAGCTAGCATGAGAAGCACCATCAGCCGTGCGTGCTGCAGACATGCAGCAGGCACGAGGTCAAGACTCCACTTCCTGGGCGTGTTTGGTACTGCAGCACACCAATGATGCCGAATGGCCCAACACTGGAGGGGTAGGGGACTGTCACATCTGACTCCACGGGACAGCACAGAAGCCACAAAGCCTGTTCCTATTCAACCTGAGGTGATCATTGGAAATGCCTGAAGGAGTTTGCTATGTAAAGGTAACTCTGTTTTTAGAACACACAAGCAAATAAAAAAGAATACCTTCTACCATGAAGCCACTGCAGTGCGCTGAAACTGAGGACAAAGGAGCTGCAACACCCAGGATGTCACAGGATTTGGGACTAGACAGAGCCTGCAACACAAGCAGGCTAAGCCCAGGAGAGAGGAACAACTGAAAAAAGGGGGTCTGAGGGCCTGGTCAGCCTGCAGAAGTGAAGGGTAGAGACAGGCCAGGACAAGTGACCAGCCATGTGCAAAGTAAGAAATGTCATTCTTTTGAGAGCAAATGGATCACACAATGTGAGAAAAGAATGAAAACAGGTACATTGAAGAATGTCCTGAACCTTTGAGAAGAATGTCATTTACAATGTTCATTGTTCCACATGGTATCTCCAACCACTGAAGACACAGAGGGTGGAGATGCTCACAGCCCTGCAGAGCGAGCATCACCTCCTGCCAGTGACAGTCACACCAGCAGCTCAGCAATCACTCTCAGGACAACTATCACCAAGGAAAGGTAGTGAGAACTGCTTCACTTTAAAGCCTTACAGATTGCAAGTTTGTCATAGTAATTGCAAACAGAAATATTTTAAATCTAATGAACTTAGGTTAAAGTTCCAAAGCTCAGCACTGCACACAGTCAGTGCTGACAAGGAGCTTCACCATCTCAGGAGGACTGCATTGACCCACCACACAAACAAATAGTCTGTAACTAATTATCCATGGCTCAAAGAATGATCTAGTAATTTACAATTTCCACAATTCATAATATTCTCAGACTGTATGTTTGAGGATTCTTTTCTGTATTTCCAACTAAATATACAGTTACTTTTACATTCCTTACATTAGGAGATAAAATTACCTAGAACAGAAAGGCATCATTTTCTCCAAGTATTACACAGGCCCACTAGAAGATAAAGAAAAATGCTTTGACCTCATCTTTGACCAACTTTTCAAACAATCCTTTTCAGTGTTTCCACCTGCACCCCCCACTCCCAGAGTTGATCAGCTGGAAGTGCACAGGTCTCAGAGGATTCCGAGACAAATCATCACAATCCTGCGACGATCCGTGAGTCCCACGACCTTCGCTACAGCTGCAGAGCCATGCGTGGTGGCACTCCAACAGCACAAACATGGCCAACCAGAGACCTGCTGGAAGTTTTCTCCAGGACCCTGGCCTTCTGGAGAGAGCAGATCTGTGCTTCATGAAAACCAGAGCACAGAAACTCACTCGTCCTGATTACCAAGACGTGGTAATTACAGAGAGTGGCGGCAATTCAAGTCTGCTTTCAGATCAACATTCACTTTAAAGTGTAAACCTGTTTTATTATTTTACTGAATAAACATCATTATTGGAATGTTACTGAGGAAGAAAGTCTGTGGCTTCTCCTCCTTTTCTAAGAGCCTTTACCCTGGCCTACTGCCCCGATGATGGGCCCACCTCCTTTACACAGAGGCACTCGGGGTCAACTCAGTCATGATTCTTCTAAGGCTTTAGAAAATGCACAAGAGATTACGAGGTACCGAGGAAAACAAACAATGGATTGTTACAGTACATACATTCTGGTGGAAGTCTGTTCTTTCTAAAAGCAAGTCTCTCAGTTTTCTTTCTGCTTTCTGCCAAACTAAACAGGACTCCGTAAACATACTGACGAACTGGCCTATAGAGCAGAGCGGCCGGAGGCAGGTCCTTGTTGGCTTCATCTTCAATAGAAACAGCAATTTTGATTTCACCCTTTGCATGGAAGAAAGCAGAATAACATTGCACATTTTTCATGTTGAATTTACAATACACTCACAGAAATATACTGTATTATCTCCAGTTAATGACATTGCAATTCCATTCCAAATCAACTGCTTAACAACTTGCCTAAATAAAGATGTTTAGGAAGAGTTCATTTGGCAGGCTGTGGCCAAAGCATATGCTCAAAGAATCAAAATAAAATCTACATCATTTTATGTTTAATCCAAAACCAAGAACAAAAGAAAACCATGTAGATGTTCCAAAGTCTTTGAAACAATCCAGACAGATAACATCAGACAAGAAACAGAATAGAAAAGACTGAGAACTCGCAACTTTTATTTAGAGAGTTGGGATGGTCACATGCAATATAATTGAAAATTTTCAATTACCTACATGCAAACTAAAGAACTGAGTATCCTGAAAATATAATGGTCAAATTTTCTTTGCTAAGTTCTTCCATGGCAAATTACCACCTCGTGTGTTAGGCTTCTGCCATAGTGTGGCAGGTGCTCAAGAAATGTGTCTCAGTACAGTGGCTAGGACATGCATAGCCACTAGGGCAGAAACCAAAAGCACTCCACCTTTTTCATGTCCCAGGGCCAATACGGCAAGAACTGCATCTGACTCAAGAACGTGCTGCCAAGAGACAAATGACTGACTGTGGCCTTTGGCAGCTAAGATTGTTGCCAAAATTAATCTGTCTCAGGGATCTTACAGCATCAAGATACATCTCAAGATATCATGCAACAAATTTTATTTAATTATACTCAGAGCACAACAATGCATTTATGACCTCAATGTCTATGAAGTTCATTGATATATATGCTTTAAATAATAATTTTGTAATATTTGCTGTTTCTTTCATTCACATAAGTTTAATTTAAAAACTGGTCTTTCCCCTTACCCTCCATACTTTCATATTCATTAATCCAGTAGCTACATGTGTTCTAACACTCTCATCTAGGGAATATTTATCTCAATAATATGATGCTTTGCAAATTCTCTTCATTACCATAAAGATGCATCTCACTGTAAATGTCTTAGCCTGGGCAATTAATACCAGAGCCATTCAGCTTATAGGATAAACTGAAAAAACTTAAGTAGCATTTTAAAATGTGAAAAGACAATTTTCTCAACCATGGTCATTTTATCAGTATTTGCCCTTGAAATTCATAAGAAATAAGAAAGCATGTCGGTACAATTTGCAACCCTCATATAGATCTAACCGACTATCCACGCATCAGATCCAGCAGTGTGGACATAACAGGTAGCTCCTGGGGACCTTACATTTCAAACAGCCCCACGAGGAATGAGTGTTGTTTCTTCACACCTTATTTTGAAAGATGTCTTCCCAAAACTTTGGTTCCTTAAACTTAGCAAAATGTTTTCCCCACAACAATTACTTTTCACTTACCCTTTATAATTTATGTTGAACCTGAAAAATAAAATGTTCACCTTACAACCATAATCTGAAAAGTGATACTATAAATGCATACCCATATCAAATAATAGATGAGATTTGGAGGCATTACAACTAAAAAATAAATTAAAGGATCTGAGCAAATAGTACTGGCTACATGTTTTCCATGTCCTTTAATTAATAAAAGTAAGCAATATTTGGATTAGTCAGTTAACAGTTGAAGTCCACCTCAGGAGTATTTGAGAACAGGAGTTCATTATTGCATTTATTGACTCCATTTTACAAACCACAGATGGGTTGTAGAGAATAGACAGAAAAGTCTGGTTATATATGGTCATATAGGTATTCATGTTAATAATACATGATAGCAATAAACCAGTTCTGCAGGATTAATCTAGTAACTGAGGTAACTTGTTAAATTGTGGGGCTAAGATTAAAAGTGCCAACATAAAGACTACAAATCACTGAGGAAATTTAAATACACATAGATACATTTGAGACACCAAGATTAAAAAATAATTGATGCCACACTATATGTATATATTTAAGCATACATTAAGACACTAATAAAGTGAAATTATGACACTGTATAAAATGATAGTTTCATTTTCTGACTATGCGTATGTTAACAAAATCCTGTATTATATTTTTTGTTCTTAGCACTATTAAAACTGCACTCAATGAGGTCATGAACAAGTCAAAACACATGAAGCACTATGAGCCATTCAAAGGGGGAAACATTATTTTCTAAGCACAAATGATAAAGGAACCAGATATTGTATCTGACATCAGAATTAAACCTGACATTACAGCACAAATATGGTTTAAGAAAATTCTGAAATTGAAGTAAAAAGAATAAAATTACAAGTCATAAAATAATGTGATGCATTATTTCATTAGAAGTATAAAATATTCTATACTAAGTTGAAGGAAAAAAGTGAGACTTTTCACGAGTTATTTTAAAACTATTTACAGTTATAAATGTTCATCTTTCATTCAATGTTTAGAAAGGGGAAAGTGAACTTTGTTTCAAGTAGATTAGTAAGACAGAAAAATGGTTCAAAAAAGGACAAAAGGACAAAACACCCATAGGAATGGCCACTCATCAAATAACAGAAGCCACTCCAGGGCCCCTTTGATAATACCTTCGTCAGGACATGGAAGATGTAGGGGTACATCAGCCCCTTCTTGTGCCTGTGCTCGGCCACTCTCAGCACCTCAGGTGCGACGGGGGGCAGGGGAGGTGTGGTGATGTCCATGTGGTTCCTGGTGGGCATCGACAGGAGGCACGGGATTGGCTGGACAGTGCCCATCTGGCTTCCCTTGCCTTCGGCTAGTTGGCTTCCTGAAGAGGCAGTGGACGAGCCTTCTGCCTACAGTGCAGAGAGCAGAAGGGAGGAAAACGAGTGTATGTCATGTTTTCATTCATTTAAAGTATGGTAGGTGCCTGTTCACCTGACAGACACGGAGGGGACAAAGATGAGTCCTGTCTTAGAGAGACCAGATTTGGTGCCACCCTAAAGACAGAGGAAACAGAGAGCACTCTGATCCAGTCCTCTCCTTGAACAGCTTCCCACACTGAAACAGCATCAACATCTACTGTGCCACAGGAGAGCGGGCCTGTTGCTCCCTGCTGTTCTGTGTCACCCTGCAGTCCCTCTGCAGATACGGCAGGGTGCTGGGAGGCAGGAGCCTTGCTATCTTGTTTGGCTCTCACTTGTCCATCATCCATGTGGTCCATTCCTGTGTTTCTGTTTTCTCGAGACTTTGCCTAAGATCTCTACACAAACAGGAAAACTAACACTCCAAGAGGCTGTGCAGTCTGAACACAGTTACACAACCCTAACACATAGAAATGGAATTCTAATCCAGGGCTGACTCCATGCCACAGCTGGTACTTAAAGAACAAACAAAAACCCAAACTCAAGCATTCTCTGTAGTCATTATAAAGCCCTAAGTTAATTATACACAAGCAAAAATTAAACCAAAAGCCCCAAAAACCTGCTAAGCCACAGCATAATCCCATTAAAAACAATGTCTCAGATCTATGGATAATGACATAGAAAGAGGTCCATGATACACTGTTTGGTGAAAACACCCATTCTGTAACAACTAAGCCCCCAAACATGGAGTGTATGGACATACACAGGAAAGAGTCTGGTCCCCAGATTATTACCACAGTGATGGACTGCTGCGAGGCAGTAGAACTAAGGAAAGGAAAAAGGAAGGAGACACTTTAGCAGTCTGAATTGTCTGAATAGTTGCCTAAGAGCAATGATTATTTGTATAATAAACTTTATCAGAATAATGTTGAAAATAAGAACTGCTTATTGATTGATTTAATGCCACCCTAAAGACATATACATTTTTCTGTTTTGAAACAAAGTATACTCTTTACAATGGTGTGTAATTAAGTCCTTAATTTTATTTTTTAAAACACAAAGTGCCAAAATTAGTCTTAAGAAGAATAACTCATAGATAATTCACTGGTGTTTTCTACACTTTCCATTCCATAAGAATACAGATGTAGAACAACTCAAAATGCTTTGGAAGGTGCTTTGAAAATAATATGTATCCACAAAGGATTTTTGTTGCTTATTTGCAGAACAATCATTTAATAGTATGACTTCTTTAGACAAACGTCTGATATTCAGGCAACCCTGCATATTAACCACCAAAACCTTCAGGCAGGAAACCGGCTCCTTCTTGGTAATCACATGTGGCAGACGTACATGGCTTTGCAAATTAAAAAGATATTTTTAGATATCACTATTAACAGGTAGAAGTAGAAGAAAAGCAGGGAGACAGGGCGTGGTGGCTCACGTCTATAATCCCAGCACTTTGGGAGGCTGAGGAGGGCAGATCACTTGAGGTCAAGGGTTCGAGACTAGCCTGGCCATCATGGCGACACCCCGTCTCTACTAAAAATACAAAAATTAGCCAGGCATGGTAGTGCACGCCTATAATCTCAGCTACCAGGGAGGCTGAGCCAGGAGAATTGCTTGAACCCAGGGGGCAGAGGTTTCAGTGAGCTGAGATCACGCCACTGTACTCCAGCCTGGGTGACAGAGCAAGACTCCATCTCAAAAAAAAAAAAAAAAAAAAAAAAAATTAAATACAAAAATTTTTTTAAAAAGATAAAGAAAAAAGGGGGGTGGGGGAGTTAAATTTAGCATCCCCGGTGCCTTTTCAGTGAATTTTCACAAAAACCTACAACAAATGTGGGCTCAGGAAGGTCCTAAGCACCTTGTCCAAGATGACACAGTGAGCAAACAAGGAAATGCATCAGGTGCCTGCCATGCAGAAAGACTAGCCGGCTTGGGCATAGCTCTGAACTCTTCCTTTCCCGCTTATCCCCTTTGTAAAGGTTTACATGACCCGATTAAAAGAGAGAGATATTATTTTTCACTATTTGATCACTAATACAGTGTGCTAATACAAAATGAGTCAGAACTCAAAAACTAAAAGGCATAGACTTTCTACCTTTGTTTGGTCTCCTGGGTCTCCTCGTGCCTGAGGCTCTGAGTGGCTTCCCGTCTTCTCCCAGCCAATCTTGTTCCCGCTGATATGGCTAAACATAAAATGAACATGATTACTGTCCAATCACTTTCACAAACCAGCTGACAATGATAAGAAGGGCCTCAGCTAAGTCTTCAGGCTCATAATAACAATACTTTTAAAATAAACACAACATCGAGAAATAACTCTATTATACTAATATTTCTTCCTGCTTCAAAAGGGTAGGTGATAACCACATACTATGGAAAAGAAACTATCGAACACCTAACTTAGAGGAGTCACCAGGCAGTTCAGAGATGGTCTGTGATTTGCTTAGCGCTATAGAGGATGCAGAGGAAACAAAGGCAAGCCTTGCCTTGGAGGATCTTTCCATCGTCACAGCAAGACAAAGATCAGCATTTAATTGGCAATTATGAGGTAGTAGAAGACTTAAATGTTATCTGGATCGAATACTACACATAAGTTATAAATAAATGTAAGGCGACAATACACCACACAGGGCGCTCCAGCCTATTCATGTGGAGGGGGCATTAGAGCTAACACTGGAGGTGACTCGAACTGGAAAATCTGAAAGACAGGGAAGGTACACTCTAGGCAAAGCGAGATGGCACAAACTTGGTGGGTTCACAGAACAGGGAGTTCATGGGAACTTATTTGGAGGATGGCTTTATTTAACAAAGTAGTGAAAAAAAAAAGGGGATAAGGAAAAAGAGATGAGAAGATCAAAGAGCATCTCAAATTACAGAATGAGAGGTAACTGTGCTGTTACCCATTAACAGTCTGGGAATACAATTTCGTGGGTTTAATGAGCATTTAAAAAAACTGAAACAGGACAGACCAGAATGCATGGTGTGAATAAGCATTATTTCCTAAAGTCTTTGTTCACTTGTAGTATATGGGTTTACCATAGTCCTCAGGCGAATGTGAAATGCACTGTCTACAGGTAGCAGAGGATGTGCAGGGGCTTGAGCAGGGCCAGCAGGATGCAGCACCACACTGGAACCTCAGTGCACAGTGTGACCCTGAGGCAGGGATGGCTGTGGTGCTCCGTGCACTCACCCTTCGACTATAAGGTTCCATGCCCAAACTACCTTCTGAAAACCAGTGCTGGCCATAGGACATGCCAGCATGGGTCAACTGGCCTGCCTTTGTAACTGACTCACATGACAGATGGAGAGGTTTTAAGACCAGATAATTCTCCTATCTTCCAATCAACTTCATTATAGTTCTGTCTTTTAAAAAAAGGGGGAAAAAAAGCTGCAAAAAGATTCTGCTGTCACACAATGGACTGTCCAGCCAAGGATACTGCATGCACGCCATGAAAAGTTCACCCACCCTGTTCAGGTTTCCCGGTCTTCATGGAGCTTGGAGAAACCACTGCTCATGCACAATCTCTGCCTGCAACTTAACAAAACTAGAGGAAACCCCAGCAGTGGCTCAGACACGTCAAAAACCATTGCAGGCATCCCCAGAGTGTAGTGGTCTGTCCCACTGAGAAAGCAGCCACTGAGGGCGCATTGTGAGCAGACAATGGATAGCGGCTCAGGAGGTGGATGAGCATGTGCTGATAGAGATGCATGAGTCAGCAAGCTGGGAGACGCAGGGGGCAAAAAATTACTAAATCCTGGCCTAGAAGTACATGGCAACATTGGCACAACTCTTGCTTATCTTCCATAGCATGTAAAGAACAATAAGTGTTCTCAAACTGTTGTTAAGCTTAAAGGCTCATGTGGAATGCTTATTAACCACGCAGACCCACAAGCACCCATCCCCAGGGTATCTGTCCCTAGAGTGTCTGGGGCTCTTGGAGGGTAAGAGGATCTAGAGGATCATGCACCTAGGATGGTGGGGCAGGGGAGGCCAAGTGTTAGGAAAGTGCCAAGCAAGGAGGGGACACACCTGTCTACTAAAACTGGAGAGCCGAGGCACCATGCCAGCGCCACCTGAGATCACACAGACCCTACACTTGCAAGCCTTAGTGTTGTTCTATGTAGATTATCAATCTAAAAATAAATGTCATAATCTGGATGCCCATATAACCTTCTAACAATCATACTGTAAAATCTAAAATTCTGCCTGAAAAGCATCTTGACAAGAAACAGTTTTTGAGAAGGCCAATATATTTCAATAGGACAAATATATTACTTTACAATTAAAAAAAAAAAGAATATGACAAATGCCTTGCTTTGAAGAACAGATGGATAACATTTTAGAATACTTCTATATATATTTATGTTTCATTTTACACAACTAATAATACCTTAAACTGATACCTGGAACCATGTACGTAAACCAGACATTTCACTGACTTACACTGCGCTGAGACGTGCTGAGACAGGCACCGGCCACAGGGAAGTAGAGTCAGTGACCCGGGCACTGTGCAGGAAGCCTGTGGCGCTCTCACAATCTCATCCCCACCTCCACACTATAAATCTCTAATGATAAAATGATAAAATCCAGGCTCAGAGAGAAGGAATCTACCCACAGTCACAAATAAGGTAGCTGGATTCAAACCCAGACCCTTATTTCAAACTATTGGCACCTGCTACCACAGCAGAGCCGAGCCGACGCTACAGACAGTTTCACACATATGTGAGAATGCAGCACACAAGCAACAGAAAGGGTGACTCTGGCAAGTCAGCTTGGTGGCTGGGGAAGCCCAGCACTATAGGATGGGGTATTCACAGGCTGTCAGAGAGGTGTGCCAAGGCCTCACTTCACTAGGAACGTTTGGAGCTTCTTCCGTATGAAAGCCTGGAAAGATAGCAAACTGTTCTAGTCACTGAATGATTTTTTTTTACATCTTTCAGCAGGTTGGTGAGACTAGGATGGAAATGTATTGGTGTTCATTTACACCAAGTATACCAGGGTATGACGTGTCACTCATGTTCCTGACTGTCAGGGGTGTAGAGTTTTCCTTTATGGAGGAGAAAAGAAAGAGAACGTTAAGTAAAAACTGACTTCTGTGTCAACAGGAAAGAGCAAAGGCAAATAAACCAAAATGGAAGAAAATAAATCATTAAATTTAGAAAAGAAAAGATCAAATTCACAGCAGAACTATCTGGCATGTGTAAATTTTTCATTTCTATCTGCTCCCCAACTCAACAGGGCTGAGAACAGACAGCCGGGAGGGTCTCTGATAGTGTAACAAAGAGGGCCTGGGCCCTGCTGGTGCAGGGCAACAGAAGGCCTCAGCCTGGCTGGACAGATGCTCAGAGTTCTCCTGCACGGCCTGGCCCTGCCAAGTGCTATCTCCCTACAGAAGCACCAGTATCTGGGTGCCCTGACCAGGGAAGCTACAAGAGTCACAGAGACAGACACCTAATAGGTCTAGTCTCCTCATGCTCTAGTTAAGCTAACATCACACATTCAGTTTCCTTCACATAATGGGTGAGCTTAAAATGTCAGGAACACAGAAAGCACTTTTCCATGTGGCAGTCAGATGATGGCTCAAACTTCTTTCACAGCCTTGTTGGCACTTCTCGCTGTCATCAGAAGACAGTGTGACCAAGAAGCCCCAACTGGTCACGGAGCTATCCCCTTGCACCCCACAAGTGAGGGTTCAGAGACACCTAACTGTGTCAACACGTTTGTCTTAAGATCAATACGAAATGTCTACACAGATTAGTGGATGGCTAGAACACAACGTAATGATATAGATCACAATTAATTTTTGCCAACATATAAAATTCAGAATCACTTTTATGAGAAGATATTAGAAATGGTACCATGTGTCAAAACATAAATATAAAGTGGATATCTGTCTGGAACAAGAGCATAACAATCTGAAAGAAAAACCTACAGTTACACTAAAGTCATTCCCTCAGCCCCAGGCCTACCTACCCATGCCTCAGGATCCTGGAGCAGAGCACGATGGAATTCTCTTTGTGAAACACAAAGTTTTTTTGCAAGTAGAGTTGGAAAGGCCTTAAAGGACAAGAAAAACATTCAACACCATCTTCAAGCAAAAGAGGCACATCAGGCACAAACTTCCTGGGATACCAGATCAAAGGGAGCCAAATAAAATTCTTTTAGCTATTTTACATTAAAAACCACATCAGTGTTCTGATTTTCTAGCATACTAAGAGTTAATTTTTAAAAAGTAGTGATAGCTACCATTCATTGAGCTTTTTCATCAGCTAATTTAATACACAAACAACTCAGCAAACCTGTCACGCACATTTGAATGCTCTGAGGTTCTGCGAGCTTCAGGTCACAACATCACCTAGAAATACCAACCAAGAGACTCTGAGCAAACCGGTTCCTGCCAACAGCTAGGTCTCAGTGCTGCTCACAGAGCATGCTAACACCAAACAGCCTGCCTTCCTGTGGTTCATCTTTCACAGTCCAGATTTGGTCCAGGGAGTACATGTCATTAGCAAAAATTAACAGGGGAGGGGGATACAAGACTTATGCAAAAGATGCCTCCATAACACTACATGTCAAAATAAAAATAAATGTGGAGATGTCCTTGTTCCACAGGGCTTTCTCTCCTAAGATACATACATAAGTTCTCAAGAAAATGAAACCCATTTATACAAACAAGGTCACAAGGTGGAAAAAAACTCAGTCTTCTCTCTCAATAAGGACTTTTACATATCCATTTAAAAATGTCAGTAATTTTATGCAAAAATATTAAAGCAATAAAGTGGATGTATATAGATCTTATTAAATATTGGGTATTAAGTACATGTACATATTAATACTTACATGCACAAATAAGAATACATAGTTACGTAAGTATATTAAGGATAAAAGATGGAAGAAAAGGAAAAAGGGCAAGTTACTCTCCCTAAGATAGGACCTAGTTATTGTAAAAATCTTATTTTAGCAGATGCAGAGGAAAATAAGGTGCTTGAATATTCACCAATCTTTCAAATATAATTACCTCTCTAGAAGTAGGATCATGGGGAATTCTCTATACTGTATTGTCCAGTGTTTGAATTCTATATAACTTTGTATCAAGATGATAATTAGAAAAAAGATATAAAACAAAGAATTAAAAATTGTAATACAGTAACCTCAGATTTGATTCAGATTCTGCAAGTCCAAATGAATCTATGAAAATAACATAAAATAAACACCTCCACAAGGATTCAATTGTAATTTTTGTTTTGTTTTGTTTTTTAAACAGGATCTCACTCCGTTGCCCAGGCTGGAGTACAGTGGCACAATCTCGGCTCATTGCAACCTCCACCTCCCAGGTTCAAGCAATTCTCCTACCTCAGCCTCCCAAGTAGCTGGGACTACAAGCAAACACAACCACGTCCAGCTAATTTTTGTATTTTTTGGTAGAGAAAGGGTTTCACCATGTTGGTCTTGAACTTCTGACCTCAAGTGATCTGCCTGCCTCAGCTTCCCAAAGTGCTGAAATTACAGGCATGAGCCATTGCACCCGGCCTCAACTGTAATTCTTAATTCAACTGAAACAAGATTACAAACATCTGACAGGCACCAGGAAGGGAAAAAAGACAAGAATGTCACTTTAATTTTTAAAATTTAAACAAGAATAAAGCAAGTGTATGCTGGTACTGCTCTACTGTTCTAACAAAGGAACTGGAGGAGACATTACTTAGAAAGCCACACACTTCATTCCTTTTCTTTCTTTCCTTTTTTTTTTTTTTAAGAGACAGGGACTCATTCTGTTGCCCGGCTGGACTGCAGTGGTGCCATCATGGCTCACTACAGCCTTGAACTCCTGGGCTCAAGTGATCCTTCCGTCTTAGCCACCCAGGTTGCTGGACCCACAGGCACATGCCACCATGTCTGGCTAATTTTTAAATTTTATGTTGCCCAGGCTGGCTTCACGCAATCCCCCTGCCTCAGCCTCTCAAAGTGTGGGGATTAAAGCATGAGCCACCACATGTGGCCCCTTTTTCTTATTTTATTGCCAAACTGTTTTAGGCCTAGAATAACTGCCAGTTCTGATCACCACCCAAGCACCAGCCTATTTTCTTCCAAGGGACATGCTAGAAAGAGAGTGTTGTGTCTCTGCAAAGTAGTCAATTAAACTCAGAACTGAGCTTCCAACAGGTTCACCTTCAATTTTTTTGGAAAAATACATCGGGCAGGCACAACTATGTGGCAAGAAGTCTTCTCATATTCTCAGAACTCCTCCTCTAACAGATTTTCCAAAACTTCTAAAGAGAAATTTGTATTTCAAAAGAGTAACATAGCCCATGACGTCCATTCCAACAGCACAGGAGAACTGTACAGTACAAAGACACTGAACAACTCATCCAACTAAAGAAACTAAAATGCTGAATAAGATATTAAAGAAATACAACGAAAAGAAGAGATAAAGTTCAGGGCTGCCAAGCGCACCCAGATGAAGGCTGCCCTACTGCCCCTGAGGACTGGCTGAGAGCATTTCCTGATCTGCTGCCATCTGTGTGGATGCCTCCCCATGAACTTGGGGTTACAAGAGCATATTTTCTGTAGTGTGTATGAGGCTCCTGTGCAATGAACCCTGATGACAGCATGGGGGCACACACATCTGTTCCACCAATGTTGCTGCAATGCACACCACACACCCACCTTCCTACAGGCACAGAGCAAATCTCCACAAAGAGCACCCGCATGCTCGCAGCTCTGAGAAGTCCACAAGTCATGACAACATTCAGCAATGCTCAGTGGCGACAGCCAGGACCCAATAACTCCACCCATAACCGCCCACCACATTTTATTTTTAAAAATAAATGTTTGACAATTTTATAGGCTTTTGTAAAAGGTATCTTATGGTCTAAGTTGTAGAATTTTGATATTCTTAGTGACGGTGAACAACTTTTTATGTTTCTTGATGGCTGCTTCCCTTGTGAATTCCATGCTTATACCTTTAAGAGATGAGATGAGATCTCACTACATTGCCCAGGAGAGAGCGCATTGGCCATTCACAGGTATGATCATAGCTCACTGCAGCCTCAACCTCCTGGGCTCAAGTGATCCTCCCACCTCAGCCTCCCGAGTAGCTGGGACTACAGGTGTACAGTACCATACCCAGCACAGTTGTATCTTTTTCCATTTAAAACAGTTGCCATCAGCTGCACACAGTGGCTCATGCCTGTAATCCCAGCACTTTCGGCAGAGGTAGGAGGATTGCTTGAGGCCAGGAGTTTGAAACCAGCCTGGGCAATACAGCGGTACCCCATAACTACAAATAATACAGGTTAGCTGGGTGTGGTGGAACATGTCTTTCGTCTCAGGTGGAACATGCTAAGGTGTGAGGATCACCTGAGCCCAGGAGTTTGAGGCTACAGTGAGTTATGATGGTCCCACTGCACTCCAGCCTGGGTGAAACAGCAAGACCCTGTCCCTAAAAAAATAATAATAATAATTTTAGAAAACCACTTACCTTTTTAATTCATAGGAAGCTTTTTTCTTTTTTTGTTGTCTCTTTTTTTATGTAACAATCCCCATCGCCCATCACTACCACCCTTTAAAAGAGTGCCACTGATTCATTGTTGGGGAAACTAGGCCATTTATTTTGCAGGGTGTCCCACATTATTCCTTCCTTGTGGTATCACTGAACGTACACTACAGAAGACAGGAGAAGTTAGGTCTGGACAATGAAAGGCAGAGTGCAGCAGGTGGGGTCACACCTTGCTATGCATCTAGAAGGCCAATCGCCTCCGCTATTTTACAGTCTAGAAATTATAAATGTTTCTGGCCAGGCACGGTGGGTCACGCCTGTAATCCCAGCACTTTGGGAGGCCGAGGTGGGGGGATCACCTGAGGTCAGGAGTTTGAGAACAGCCTGGCCAACATGGTGAAACCTCATCTCTACTAAAAATACAAAAAATTAGCTGGGCATGGTAGTAGGCAACTGTAATCCTAGCTAGTCAGGAGGCTGGGGCAGGAGAATCGCTTGAACCTGGGAGGCAGAGGTTGCAGTTAGCCGAGATCATGCAATTGCACTCCAGCCTGGCCAACAAGAGTAAAATTCCATCTCAAAAAAATTTAAAAATACATACATATATATAAACATTTCTACCATCAATATATTTTAAGACCAGAGTTCTGGAGTTCAACTGTTTCCACCAGCTGAATGGTCTGACTGTCCGGAGACCCACTGTCCCGAGGGCAAATGGCATCAAGGTGTGAGTAAACTCACCTCCAAAGAAACACCAGGGTCTCTCCAGCCTAAGGTCATGCTAAGCACACTCTGGATCAGGAGTGTCTAACCTTTTGGCATCCCTGGGCCACACTGGAAGAAGAAGAATTGTCTTGGGCCCCATATAAAATAGACTAACAATAGCTAATGAGCTTTAAAAAAAAAATCAGAAAAAAAATCTCAATGTTTTAAGGAAGTTTATGAATTTGTGTTGGGCCTCCATCCTGTGCTGCGTGCGGCCCGTGGGCCACGGGATGAACAAGTTTGCTCTAGATGTTTCCCGTGGCACGTAGAACACATCCAGCTGTGCACGGCCCAGCCCTGCTGGTCCTCACACCACAGGCCATCAGCTGGCTCACTTCTTTCTCCCAGTTTTCCTGCCCTCCTTTGCTCTGGTGCTCCCAGTTCCCCGCTCCTCACTCTCGGCATGTCTTCTTCACGCACTCGTCAGGGCTTCTATGTTCACTGCTTACATACTCTCCTCCAGAATGCAAGCTCTGCGCACAGACCTCATCACTCCTGTCCTCTGCCCTGTTCACTGGTAAATAAATGCCCAAGTATTTCTTGCTAAGAGAATGAATAATTTCTGTTCCCTTAGGGCCATCCTGAAAAGGCAACGTAGGTCCCGGGGTCCTCATTCAATTCTAAACCAAAGGGTAAAAAAGTAGTGACTTTTTTTCTAAACTATAAAAGCAATTCTTTGTTCTCTTATGCACAGCCTAAGGGGCACATTATACACTGCAGATACAACCAATTCAACACACTAGAACCCTTGCTGAAAATCATGAACACTGTCTCTACTTGGCACACGCGTCATACCCCTGCACCTGCCACAAGCAAAGGATGCCTGTGATCAAGGGTTTCACCCCAAGTTGAATGCTAGTTTCTGACCCCAAAGCCTTCAGGAACAAGCACCCTTGTCTCCTCTGCCTTCATTCATCTCAAGTCTAACATGTCTGTCTCTTCCTTATTATAGGGTGTACCCTGCATTCCTCATGGCACTTCATACCACAAGGATGGCAAAACACAAGACCCCGAGCAGGTCAAATTCCAGTGGCAGAAACAAGATGCATCTCCAGAAAACAGTAAAGATGCCATACCAGGAATAAAGACAATAAGCACTTGGAGAGGTCAGATGCCCAGAGCTCCAAAAAGCTGACCAGAACCTTCACAGACAGGTAGGAAGTGCATACCCAGAAAAGACAGGACATGCTCAGGCAGTCCTACTCACTCCAAGTTCAGCTCATCCTAACAAAGACAACTTGCCAAATTAGATGGGCAACTCACATTCTTCTCAATCCCTCCCCACCGGAGGAACAAGCACCTCAACTGAAACATGCCCCAGTCACCACCCACGTCCCCAAGTCAGCACCTTGACCTGGTTTCCACATCTCCATCACTAGCATGGAACTCTTGTTGGGGTCATAAAGCTTACTTCTTTTGCTTTTTGTCTTACTTCTTACCTATGTTTCACAGTTTAGAAAGAACATTTCTTACTAAGACAAAAACTGTATTGTACAGACACTTGGACCTTGCTGACATGAGTCACGTTTTACAACAAAATGCACATGCCTTAGAAATCTGGCACATAAGGGCTTCCAAGACCATCAAGCAGTTGTTCTCAAACTTCAGTGTGCTAAAGACTGACTGAGGTGCTTATTTAAAATGCAAATTTGGGGGCCCCAACCAGAGATTCTGATTCAATGGGTACTCAATATATTATCTTGCTAGAGGTTAATTTAAAAATTTGAATATTCAATTGCAACTCTTTACTTCATTTTAGAGTCTTGGCATTGCATATACAGCAAATAAACATTTATTAATTTTATACTTCTCTGCACATACAACAAATCAACATTTATTAATGTTATACTTCTCTGCTATAAACAGGGTATGCATCCCTGGATGGCAGAGAGTCCTTCAGTAAGCTCTGCCCTGGGTCAACAGACATTTATTCCCATTTCACAGATGGACAGAGGACAGAGAGGAAAAGATCACCTGCTTCAGGTGACACACAAGGTAAGAACTGGCATGGAAGCTGACACCTATGTCTCTTACATTTCCTACATCAGAAACAGATGTAACATCAACCAGCCCTGGTTATCTGCGCTGTAAAGTAGAGTTCACACCAAGGAAAAGGAGACACTGACTTAAAGAAAAGAAATATTCTTTCCCTGTTTTTTTTGTTTTAAACATAAGACAATTTAAAGAAAGGGAGGAGTGCAAATTAAAGATTTCCTCGATCAAATTTTAACCAACTATGTATTTGTGAACCCATTTATTCAGGGACACACAGTGTTTAAAATACTCCTCTAAGGAAACAATTCCAGCCTGGGTCTAGGCAGCTTTCTAGGGTTTTGCTTGGGCAAACAGTGTTATTTCCAAAGTGTCCTGTAACCTGCTGAGTTTAGGAGAAGGAGAGGAAATTCAGAGCTCCCTTGATCCAGGAGCCAGAAGATTAATGTTTCGGGGGTCGGCAGGGGGTTGCTGTGACGGGTGTGAGTGGCACCACACCGGACAAATGCCCCCATGTTTTGGTCATCACACAAACCAGTTCTTGTCAAATTCCTCCCCAGAAAGTTTCCTGTGGCTCCAGGCCATGGGGCTGGGATAGTGCAGATTTTAAATCATGGAAACTTCAAGAACATACCTACTCTTCCTCTCTCCTCTCTGTCCAAGGAGCCCCCATCTGAGTACAGACTGACCATCACCCACCTGCAATAAACTACATCTCTGAGCAAAACACCAGCTGGGCTGGCAGGCCAGAAGGCAGCTTCCCCAGGTCACTACCCGCCAGGAAGCACCCAGCGACCCACGCACCACTCACTTTGTCGCCCCTCCGCTGCCCTCGTCGTTGTCGGAAGATGACGATGTAGAAGAGCCAGGGAAGTAGGCGGAATCCACGTGGTTGGGGCTGCCGCTCTGGGCCGGGTTGATGGGCGAGGACCGCTCATACAGCGGCGTGTGCTTCCCTTCGTGAGGAATGTTGCTGTAGCTGTTCTGCTCCGTCAGATTCTTCCCGCTCGTGTCCAAAGTGAGAGGTGCTGGCTCAGAGAGGCTGTACGGGTATGGACCCTGGCCCGGGGCGCCCCCTGGGCTGGGCACCTGTGGGGCCTGAAGCGAAGGGCACAGGTCACGCACACGTGGCCAGCAGGACCCGACTCAGGCCCAGGCTGACGTTTCCTGGCTCATTTTTATTTCAACAAACACTGGCATCTATTTCACGTATCAATTCAAGAGGTTAGGAACTTATTTTAGCATTCGTTGAAATTCAATGCACGCACCCTGTCTGAGACCCGCCACCCGACCCAACGCAGGGAAGGCCTTACCACGGGCTTTGCTTGCAGAGAGGTCTGCGGAATGTTGAGCATCTGAGGAGGAACATGCGGCGGCACCATCCCAGGCATTCCAAACGGACCGGGTCTGGCTGCTTCACCAACACAGAAAGAAAAGAATCACACAGCTGTGAACAGAATGCGTTTTCCAGGGCATCCTGGGGGCCAGCCCATGGCGCCAGGGATCTCACCCTCACCTGGCTCAGACATCGACACCACCATGGGTCCCACTTCTCAGAAATCATTACAAATTGCCATTTCACAGTAAGGAAAACTTAATTTTATGATGCTCCATTTGATGGACTCGGGCTGGGATTCTAACTTTCCAGATTTCTCAGTGAACTTGCCATAGTGGTTCTGCTCTCGTGTACTTCCTGAGGGCCTCGGCTGTCCCTCTGCCTGCAACTTGGTGGGGATTCTCTGTAACTCAGTCTCCCTGCTCAGGGCTGCTCCTAGCCTGAGGTCTCCGTGAAACCAGAAGCCCTGGCAGGCATGAAAGGAACAAAGTCGGACCGAACAGTTTCCTTTACCTTTGTCAAGCAAGAGGACTTTTCTATTTAAAGTACATTGCAACTACCATTAGGTTCTCAGCTAACTAGTGAGTTTTTAAATATAAAAGGAATTGCTTTTCATTGTTCAGCAATTAGGTTACACATTTTAACACATATACAGGATGAGTAATTTGTGATTCTGTGTTCTCTTAAAACATAATTTCATAAACCTGCCTGATGTGTGCTGCCATGTGCTAGTCATCATTCCCACGCTACCTTGCAAAAATGAAGAAATCTGTGAGAGGACTGAAAGCCACATAGAGGAATGGCTGAAGCAGGACAGCAGGACATGGAACCAGGCCAGCCTGAAGCTGGGACAGAAGGCAGGGGCTGGAAGCCTCCCCACTCAACCTCTGGCCTCGCGCGGCCTAACTAAGCACAGGAAGAGAGCTCAGGGGCCACGTCAGCCAACAGAAGTGAATGAGTGAGTAGATGGTGCCCATAAAGGGCTGTTCCAGAGACAGCACAAGACCCGCAGTAACAAGGACCGACTGGGGCCCAAATGATATGCAGGAAGCAGGAGGACATGGGACATGGACCTCTAGGAGCTGCACTCCCTCTCAGAACACTTAGGTGCTGAGGGCCTATGATGTGTCAAGCTGAGGACTGGGCCTGGGGATGAAAGGAGCCCTGAGGCGGTTTAAGTAAGATGCACACTGCTGAAGACACAGAGAAAATAGAAAACCTGTGTGAGACACAACAGATCCACCAGGGGCTTGCACGGCTGCACCATCTCTTCCTTGGGTTTGTTTTAAATGTGGAAGAAAACCAAGCCCAGAGCTTGCTGACTCCAATTTCCCTCTTTAAGCAGTAGATATGCTTCTACAACCTCTTCATCTGAACACCAGTTGATATGGTTAGGCTGCACATCCCCACCCAAATCTCATCTTGAATTATAATCCCCATAATCCCCACGTGTCTAGGCAGAGAGACTAGGTGGAGGTAATTGGATCATAGGGGCAGTTTCTCCCATGTTCTTCTAATGATAGTGAATGAGTTCTCACAAGATCTGATGGTTGTATAAGGGGCTCTTCCCCCTTCACTCGACACTTCTTACCGCTGCCTTGTTAAGAAGGTGCCTTGCTTCCCCTTCAACTTCTGCCATGATGCTAAGTTTCCTGAGGCCTCCCCAGCCATGCTGAACTGTGAGTCAATTAAACCTCTTTCCTTCATAAATTATCCAGTCTCAGGCAGTTCTTTATAGCAGTATGAAATCAGAGGAAAACACCAGGCAAGGGGAACACAACCCAAGAACCACCACCTCTCACACTGCCTACTGCCAATATAGGTAAGGACAGAAACATTCCCCAAACCTTCACTCTCGTTCTCTGAAAAGCAAATGTCCATGGCTGCATTCACAAGAGGTTCCCTAAGCCAACACTGGGCGTGGTGAGACCAGGAGTGCAAACGCTGTCCTTGGTCCGGCCTCCTGAGAGCCAAGCATGGTCAACAGACGCTGGGAGTGAAGCACAGATCATTGTTGACTCCCCCCAGAGAACGACCAGGAATCTTACAGACTACAATTTATCTGAGGTTCCTGCCTTCCAAGGGCCTTCAGCTCGCAAGCTTTAAACACCATAGCCCTTCGATCCTGGCTCGCATCAAGAAAAAACCTTGGCAGAGCTTCCACCTTTGTACCAAACAAAAACAACTGCAGTATGAGAAGCTGGGAATAATGAGACTGGCATGTGTGTAGTCACAGACACCTCACACTTGCATGCAACACGCACATAGACACACGTGCACACAACACATTCCTAACTGACCGATAAGTCCACAAGTCCGTGCCTCTAAGGGATGTGTGTGCATGATCAAGTGGTCACTCACACACAGGCGTAGATACACACAGAAGTGCACACAAACACACCCCACACGTGCATGCATGGCGCACACACACGCATGGCACAGACAATACAAGGAGCTGTTCCTAAAACAGTATGTTGGCTAGATCTGCACCTCCACGTGTGCGATCAAAGTCGCTATTATTTTAAAAAACTGTTCACAGGTGATTCTGATAGGCAGGTTTGGTCCAAAGAATATTATAAAATCTATTCAAGCTCCAACCATATAATTTAAATCAATGTAAAATGTCTAGTGTATAATATCTTGTGGCTGACCTCACTTACCTAACTTTGGAATAATACAAATCTAAGGCTAGACTCATGTAGCACCCGCATTCAAGTGAAGATGATCATTTTTGTTTTTTGATTTTTGGCCATTTCATCCTAAAACCTTCCTTGAAAGCACAAACTTTCCTTTAAAGCAAACAAACAAACTACATTACAGCATAAAACCAAAGAATTCCAAGGAAAGAATATTTTCTAAAATCACATTCCAATCATTGACCTCAAATAATCCTCTGTGAATCCACAGAGCAAGCCACTATTCTATTAAAGCAGTCCAATAAGTGAATTAATTTGTCTGCATTTTCTGAAGGCTGCAGAAGTGCCTCCTAACCCAGGGTCTCCCTCTGCGGATTCAGGCCTTCGTCTATATCGGTTCTTGTTCTCCATGCCCAAGTGCAGCTGAGCAGAACCACTGTGTGTCCTCTCTACAACAAGAGGCATCTTTCTCAGAAGGGACACGGGGCTCCAGAGTAGAGGTCACACCACCAGTTTCTCACTCTCTTCCTTTCACACTTACTAGAGAGGTGGGCTTTCGGTAAAAAAAAAAATATGCAGACTGAAGACAAGAAGCAAAAGAAGAAAAAAAGGCCAAAAAAGTTTACTATATTTCAAAATATTTCGTAACTTTAAAAATAGTTTTTAAATAGTGAGAAGTTCTTTCAGAATGAAAAGAGACATGCACTGCAATCCCTCGGCTGTATGATCTTGACTTGTTACAGCTCAGTCACCTACTTCCTCAAAGGACTCACTTACGCCTATATGCAGCTGTGTGGCTTTTGCTCTGAATTAAAATACGGTAAAATTCTTTAAAGAAATGGTGTTAAACTGGAACCTCTTCTTAGAACTACAGTCGGCCTTACCCCAGTCCCCATTCCTAGCCCAACCTAACAAATGTTCCTCTATTACTTGGCATATGATCCTGAAATGTTAAACAAAACAAAGAGTAACAAAGTTAAGTCTTAAAAAACAAAAAACAAAACAAAACAAAAAACTGGCCTGGTTCAGTGGCTCATGCCTGTAATCCCACCACTTTGGGAGGCCAAGGCAGGCGAATCACTTGAGGTCAGGAGTTCAAGATCAGCCTGACCAACATGGCGAAAGCCCGTCTCTACTAAAAATAAAAAAATTAGCCAGGCATGGTGGCAGGCGCCTATAACCCCAGCTACTCGGGAGGCAGAGGCTGAAAATCGCTTGAACCCTGGAGGCAGAGGCTGTAATCAGCAGAGATCGTGCCACTGCACTCTGGCCTGGGTGACAGAATGAGACTCCATCTCATAAATAAATAAATAAACAGGCAGACATTGTATGATTTTCAAGTATCACCCAAAAAATATAGCTTTGAAGATGTCGAGTCCAAGATTAAACAAATCAATATAATCCCTACCACCTTTAATTTTCATCGCTTGCAAACACAGACAAGGCAAAACATTCCAACCATTTTAAGCATGTGCAAACAGACATGTTTACTAAATCTCAATAGTCTACAGAAGATAAAAAGTTATAGAAAGGAAACTGTCATGTGACCTGTTCCCGTTACACTACAGATCCAGTGTCCAGAGAGGCAGGGTGGGGCCTTGGAGCACAGTGGGAGGGCGCGGCGTCTGGCCATCCTATAGGGAGAGGAGGCCCCACAGAGCCGGTCAGGCTGGCCAAGCCTGGACTGAGACCAGGTGCAATGTCAGTGCCCAGGGAGGCAAAGGATGGAGGAGCAACTCCCAAGAGCTAAGAGCCTGGGAGCAGCTGATGCTGGCCCAAAGCCTGCGGTGTTGGCCAGACCCCAAGGGAAGAGCCAGAGGCCGGCGCCCAGAAGAGGAGGCCTGGTGACAGAAGGAGGCAAAACCTGAGGCATGATCAGCTTGAAGAAGGCTAAGTACAAGGCCCATGAGAAGTAAGATTATGAACTCAGTGAACAGGCACATCCTGCGTGGCACGTGAAAGAATTCGGAACAGCGGGAAAAATTAAACCACGGAAGCAAATTTCAAGTCAACAGAAACAAGAACTTTCTAAGAATGAGAGCAGTTCAACAATGAAAAGGGTTGCTTTACTGACTGCTGGACTGCTCATACAAGAACATTCTACAGCAGGGAGCTGGGCTGAACTTCTATAAACATTCCTCACTCCCCAAATCCTTTCCATCCCTGAATGTGGATAGTGAGAGGGTAGACATCACGAGATACGGCATCATTCGAATCTACCCAGTGCCCCAGTCTCAAGTAGCAAGTTTTATCTAAATGTATTCAGTTCCTGGGTTTAATTAATCAGTTTGAACAGAATACTTGTACTGACTGAGCAAAGTTCAAGAAGGCAGAATAGGAACATTACATCTCATCAAGGCTGGTTACGGTGGCTCATGACTACAATCCCGACACTGGGGGCTGAGGCAGTTCAGACCAGGCCAGGCAACACATCAAGACTGTTTCTACACACACTCATAAAAGCAACACAAAAACAAACAAACAAAAATCCCAAATCCCATTTAGCCACTGAAATGTGTTTTATAAGTCTATGATGAAATAAGATAAATTAGTTTCTGTCCATTTGTGGGTTTTGGAAAAGCACAACCTAAAAGAGAACTCTACCAGGTCGCTACTTTGAAGTCACTGGTAAACTGAACTGACATTCCTCATTTGTAACCAAATATTGAAACGCCATTAACAAATACAACATTAATAAACCTAAGTGCATCCACTTTGGGAAGACACACACTGCAGTCTTTTAAGTCAGACAATAGCTCAAAGGAGGGTGTAGGTTCTTCCAAAACATTCGATTTTTAAGTTCAAAATAAAAATGACCTTCCAAAATGGCCACATGATCAGGCAGCCTGTGTCACTTCCTACTTCACACTAACTACCACAAACTCACTGAAAATGGAGCGAAAGGTCGCAGAGCAGACGCTGAAAGCAAAGCCCCCAGCACCAGCAGAAGAATCCAATTTTCTACTTGGGAATTCTGGACCAGAAGGGCAAGATGAGTGGCCGTTCTACTCAATGGGAGTAATGCTCTGACTTCCCTCTGGTGCCCTTTATTCTGTCAGCCTCCGGGGCTTAACATCAACGTCATCTGCATTAGCTTTAAAGATAAAAACTCATCAAGATGAACTAGGACGCATCTCAAAAAGACCAAGTGCAGAACAGCAAGCACAATACAGAATTTAATTTAAAATTAATGTATTAATTATTCCATATGTATGAGGTGAGAAAATATAAAAACATGTTCAAGGGGTCTGTACATGACTTTTAGAAAAGCCTGAAGCATCTCTTTTTTATTAAAAGACTGATCTGAAGCACAGGTTGCCATTTGTATAACCTGAAGTAGGTACGCCACCACTCATTCTACTGTTTCTTCTATTTTTTGTTAACAGTTTTTCATCACAACAACAACAAAACTTTAGTAAAAATCTAAGAAAGGGCAAGTCTAGTAAGCAAAGCTACAGGACAAAGTGAGGATTTAATATAACATTTTTAAGGAATATCAAATTTTTAAGGTTATTAGTAAAATACTGCAATAGTATAATATTGAATACCTCATGAAAATAAAATTTTTTTAAAAATCATTATAGTAGCAAAAAACTAAACACGTTCTTGACAACGACAGCAGAGACATGGCTAAATTACATAGCACCTCCACATTGCAGAGTACCAGACCATCTCTGGAGAAAATAAGAAAGTCATCACCAGCTTCTATAATGGGCCCCACTTACGGCTCATAGCCCCCAGGCTTGGTCAGTCCCAACCCCCGAGGCCATCCATGCTCCCTGCTGAGCCCACTCCTCTGCAGGAGGCCCCAGGCACTCCACTTCTGCCCTGACCACAACAGGACAGGAGGGCCACTGGGTGGGTCCAGGTGGGTCCAGCCATCCAGCTGTCAGCCAGGCATGGCCTGGGGCAGTGTGGGCCACCATGTGGTCTCTTTCACATTTCCACTCTTTCTGCCCTAGAGGACCTGCCTCTATCCTTTGGTCCTTTTGCTAGAGCACTCAGCTGACTCAGGCAGGTTACACTACAGATTTCTCACCAGAGCCTGCAGTGGGCTCTGTTCAGACCTCCAGGGTCTGAGTGGCATGCCATTGAGTTCCCTGGAGGCTGAACACCTTTTCTCCGCAGCTTAGGATCAGTCATCTGGCATTTAAAATCATTCTTTACATATTGTCTTTCCAACTTCCGAGTGGGATATTTTCTCATGTTCTCAGATTCTGGGGGGTATGTTATTGGAGAGAGATCGTGTGTATTTTCAAAATAACTGTTAACACTATCTATTGAGCAATGCGACACTGGGATCAGGGCTGTGGTGACACATATGAAGTAGGGCTGTTTATTCTATGGAAAAGTCAGGGGAGCAGCAGGACACACAGACCTCATGCAGCACAGGAGCCCCTCTCAGTCAGGATGGAGTGATGCCCAAGAGCAAAGCAGGGGCAGGATCCCCATGGCCAGAGCCCAGAACACCAGCCCCAGGACCAACCCAGCTTCTCCCTCAGGTTTGTCACAAGTAACTTTCACAACATGAATTCCCTCTCCTGGGCAGGCTGCCTGAGCTGGAGGTAGCAGTGCCCACCCCAGGCCACTCAGCCTGCTGTCTCCTAGGTCTGCATCCAGGTCAGTCACTGGGCGTTGCAGGAAGGTGATCCCTCAGACACAGTCTGGTCTGGTAGAATGTGACCAGCCTTGGGGACCTGTCAGGGCACAGGCTGACCACAGGCTCCTGTCCCAATGAAACACACCACGGGGCCCTTCCCAAGCACCTGGCAGCTGCTACACCCAGAGGTCACTGTGTTGCTGTGACCAGGACCAGGTTGCTCATCACTGTGTAGCATCTGTTCTTTGCTTAGTACTGATTAGCACCTTTTTCAACATGGTCCTATTTGCAAATTTCTTCTCTGACACACAGCAGCCTGGCTGCTCTACACATATGCCCTCAGTCTACTCACTCTGTGACCTCCCCATGCTGCTTAGTGGAGGCTAGACTTTCAAAAGACCAGGTAGCAGGAGGCTGTCTGCTATGAGAGATCAAGCTCCCCTACCTTCACTGTAAAACCACATGTGCACCAAAACCACTCCCTTCTGTATCTTTAACCCCTCTCTCTCAGTAGTCATCATCCCCATAACAACTTCAACCTGTTCAATTCTCCCCTGCATTTCAAAGCCCCACCCCTTTATGGAAATGACTGGAGAGAGGCGTGGTACTTGCCACCCATCCTATCCTCTTCTACGAATTTCTATACTGAGGAAGAAGGAAAGCTAAAAATGACTTTTCCTAGGATCCACTGCCTCTTATTGAGGGCCAACCAATTGTACATACACAAGGTTTGGGAGCTCCAAATTCAGCCGAAGCCTGCCCTGAGTGGTCCTACTGACACTCCATCTATCAGGCAGCGCCCTCATCTTGCCCAACCTCTCAGAACTCAGCGCTGCTAACAACTGTGCACAGGGTATCTCCCCTGGCCTCGCTGAGCCACTCTTTCTGTGCACCCACCTCCTGCATCTGGCCCCAGGGGCGCCATCTCTTTATCCTCCGCTTCCACCACCACAGCTCCTCTCAGCATTACACACCAGCAAAGCTGCAACCCATGACTCCAGCTTAGCTCCTCACTCTGCTTTCACCTGTGCATTCTAATGCCTGTTTCCCATCTCCACCGGGATCCTAGAAGGCGCCTCAACATTCGTATCCAAAACCATCCTCCAAATCTGCTCTTCCTCCAACCATCTTTATCTCATTAATGGCATCCTCACCTGAGCTGCTCAAGCCAAAACTCTGGGAGCCATTTCCCCCGAATTCTTTTCATTGAGCTTCTATAATCAAGCATCAATATCTACTATCTACTTATTCCATCTCCCAAAAACCTATGAAATCCACCCAGCACTCCTGCCTCCCACAGAGGAGAACTTGCCCCAGGGACTGCAACCATGCCTTGCCTCAATACTGAAAGAGTTTCCCACTCCTTTCCCTATACCTGCCCTTGCCCACTCTGATCCCCTCTGCACACTGAGGCCCAAGCAATTCAAATGCACACCTCAGCACACCACTCCCAGATTAAAACTCTTTCATGAGGATATTTCTTTAACATGGAAAAGGTAGAGGAGATAATGCTAAGGGTTAAGATGACAAGACATCAGACTCCCCCTTAAGATCAAGGGCTAGACAAGAACAGTCACCATCGCACCTTCTATTAAAAATCGTGCCCCGGCCAGGTGTGGTAGCTCACACCTGTCCATTTGTGGACAGCACTTTGGGAGGCCGAGGTGGGCAGATCATGAGGTCAGGAGTTCGAGATCAGCCTGGCTAACACAGTGAAACCCCGTCTCTACTAAAAATACAAAAATTAGCCGGGCATGGTGGCAGGCACCTGTAATCCCAGCTACTCGGGAGGCTGAGGCAGGAGAATTGCTTGAACCCAGGAGGTGGAGGTTGCAGTGAGCTGAGATTGTATCACTGCACTCCAGTCTGGGCGACAGAGCGAGACTCCATCTTGAAAACAAAAAAAAAAGAAGAAAAAAAAAAATCATGCCCTAAGTCACAGCTGGCTCAGTGGATCAGGAAGATCAAAAAGATACTAGAGGAGACACAATCAGCCAAAGCAAGATACAAATAAACTATGAAAATTAATAAGAACTGAGCAAAGTTGTTAAGATAAAATCAACTTACAGTATTAATTTGAAAATATAAGACACACATAGAAATAGCACCCAAAAATAAATATTTAGCAATATCTCTAAGAAAAGATGTTATGAATGCTTAATGAAGAAAATTCAAGTTTACGGAAAGATATTCAGGACAATTCAAATCAATAAAGAAATGTAACATTTTCTTTAGTACACTCAATAATAAAGATTTTATTCTTTCCAAATTGATCTACAGAGTTGGTGTAATTCCAATCAAAATCTCCACAAGGATCATAAAATGTACATAAAAGTGAAAAGGATCAAGAACAGTCTCGACCTCTTGCAGAAATATTACATGGGCAGATTTCCCCAATCAGACATCAAGTATTATTACAAGGCTATGGCAACTAGAACGGCATAATCCTGTGGCATGAAGATAATCAGAAATTCAACAGAACTGAGCCCAGAAACAGACCCACACACGGAGACACTCAACATGTCAGAAGAGGATAGCATTCTCAGTGGACAATACTAAGGCAACAGGTTCTCCACACGGTGAACAAGAAACTGAATTCCCTCACTCAAAAACCATAAACAAAATTCAGTGCCAGGTAGTATCAAAGGGCAAAATCATAAATAAAACTTTTAGAAGACAAAGTGTTTATCACCTCAGGCTAGGGAGGAATTCTTCCTTTATGTTTTCTTTTTCTCCTTCTCATGTAACACTTTAAACAAACACAAGAAAAAAGGGAACTGTACAATAAGCCACACATATCTATCAACCACCCTCAAAATTAACCAGCACACAGCCTATTGCGTGTCATCTGCACTTCCACCCTTCTTTGCCCACTACTGCATTATTGTGAAGCAAATCTCAGACATGACATCATTTCATCCATAAATACAGGATAGGACTTAAAGGTACAAACAACAAAGGGAAAAATTCATGTATTTGACATTAAGAACTCTGATATCAAAGCACATCATGAAGACAGAAAAATGCAAGCCACAGATTGGAAGATTATTATTTGCAGTCCATTTATCTGACTAGCATCCAATATATATATTAAGTATCCCTATGAATAAGCAAAAAGAAAAACAACCCAACAGAAACACAAGCGAACAGGCCGGGCGCAGTGGCTCACGCCTGTAATCCCAGCATTTCGGGAGGCCGAGGCGGGCGGATCACGAGGTCAGGAGATTGAGACCATCTTGGCTAGCATTGTGAAACCCCATCTCTACTAAAAATACAAAAAATTAGCCAGGCGTGGTGGCGAGTGCCTGTAGTCCCAGCTACTCGGGAAGCTGAGGCAGGAGAATGGTGTGAACCTGGGAGGCGGAGCTTGCAGTGAGCCGAGATTGCGCCACTGCACTCCAGCCTGGGTGACAGAGCGAGACTCCTTCTCAAAAAAAAAAAAAAAAAAAAAAAAAAACACAAGCGAACAACATGAACAAGCATTTCACAATAGAGGAAACCCTACTGGCCCATAAACATAAAGATTCTCAACCTCATTAGTAATCAGGGAAATGCAACTGAAACCTTTACAGGATATAGTTTCATAATCACTAGACCAAAAAATAATAAAACGTGGAGCAATGAGAGGGTTCTTTCACTTCTGCCAGGAGAATAAATAGGTGTATCCGTGTCCGGCAGCAGCAGAGGCTTGAACAGGGCCCTACCCTGGAGGTTCCCTGGAATTCCACTCCTGGGCACATCAGGTCACATGAAACAATGTTCACAAGTGCGCTATCCATCATGGCAAGCAGCTGGAAACAGTCCATTTTCCATCAACAGTAGAATGGACAAATATATATTAATACAATGGAATGCTGCACAGCATTAAAAAATGAACTATGCCAACATGAATGAAACACAATAATATAAATATTAAGAAGGCAAGTCAGAGGAGTACATGCTATATGATTTTATTTCATAACAAACAAAATGAAACTATTTAGTATCCAGACATACAGACACGATAAAATTATATAGAGAAGCACAGAATAACTAATACAAAATTGAGGGTGGTAGAGAGTCGAGGAATGCAACCAGCGAAGACATATAAGAGGGCTAAGATATTAGTAATGTTCTAAGACTAACACATTGTAGTATGATAGTTACAAAATCATTTTTTTTACAGGTAAAAATTATTCCATGAGCTTTCACGTTCTAAGAATAAAGTCTAAAATCCAAGGTGGTGCCTGGCAACTGCACTGCCGCTCTCAGCATCACCTGACCACTCTCCCCGCTTTCTGTGCTTCAACCACATTCTTCTTATTTTTCTTCTTCACTATGTCCTCCTAACTCAGGACCTCTCACATGCCACCTCCCCTGCATGGAATACACTTCTTCCCATATTGGCACCTTGCTAGATGCCTGAACCCCCAAACCCCACTCAACAATAATCTAATCAATCAGAACCAGCCATTTTAATCGTAGATTGATTCAATCAGGTTGGTCTTCCTTGAGGTTCCTGTTCTCTTTCCTGCAGGATTCCCTGGTGTTCACTTCCCCACTATACATTCATCTGTAGGGGCAACGGTAACTCCTCTCTTATTTACCACACCATTCAGCACCCAGCACACTGCCTGTCATGAAATGCACAAATCAACGAGCTCTTTACTTTAAAATATATATATATATACTTTTTTTTTTGAGCAGTTTCAAGGTTACAAAAATCTTGAGCAGAGTACACACTTCGCATTGGTGTGACACATTTGTTCCAACCAATGAGCCAAACCTGGCTACATTATGATTACCTAATGCCCACAGTTGGCATTAGGGTTCACTCTTGGTGCTGTACGTATTCTGGATATGGCTAGAAGTATAATGCCATGTATCCACCGTTACAGTATCATACAGAATAGTTTCACTGCCCCAAAAATCTGCCTAATCATCCCTCCCTCCCCACAACCTCTGGCAACCCTTGATCTTTTTCCTGCCTCCATACTTTTGGCCTTTTCCAGATGTCCTATAGTTGGAATCGCACAGTATGTAGCCTTTTCTGATTGGCTTCTTTCACTTAGTGATATGTACTTATGTTCCTCTGCATCTTTTCATGGCTTGATAGCGCATTGCTTTTTAGTGTTGATTATTTCATTGCTTAGATACACCAAACTTTATTTCCCTGTTGACCTACTGAAGACATATTGGTAGCCTCCAAGCGTTGGCTATTATGAATAAAGTTGCTTTAAATATCTGTGTGCAGGTTTTTGCGTAGACATAAGTTTTCAACTCCTTTGGGCAAACACCAACAAGCATGACTTGGGAATTTTGTAAATATCTGCGAAGCTGTCTTCCAAAGTCGCTGTACCATTTTTGCAATCCCATTAGCAGCACAATCTGTTGCTACCCATCCTCACCAGCATTTAGTGTTGTTGGTGTTTTCTATGTTAATCATTCTAACAAATGTGTAATTAAAATGTGTAGTAGGAGCCCATTTACTTTTCACTAAGGAAGGCCAATGACACAGTGGCTACTTCTTCAGCCTCAATTTCACCTGCACACGGGATCTGTGCCCATAGATTCCACATCCACAGATCTGAGGTGAGACCTCAGTGTTAGTTGTGTTACTTGTTACTTTAGTAAATTCCACCAATGATTTTGAAGCAACTGGTTTAACTAGGGAACTAAATATTTTGAAATCTCAACTATCACATATCTTATTTGTGCTTGCATTTAGATTGGTGATTTCGTGGAGAGCTATAGCAGATTTTACATGCTGAGACAGAAAGAACAAATCACAACCATTTCCAGATAGGCAGGTCCTCGCTTAGTAATTATGACATAGTGAATGCTTAAAAATAAGTATGCATCTCACCACCACTTATTTTCAAAATCATCTCAAAATACACAATTTCTGGGAGACTATATTGCAAGTGTGCGTGTGTGTGTGTGTGTGTGTGTGTGTGTGTGTGTATGTGTCCTCCTAAGAACTCTACACTACCCAATAACTGTTTAGAGATCTGAGGTATTTTTCTCAATATTGCAGATAGATTTACAGGCTTACAAAGAAAGGCACAGAGGATGAGTTGTGGTTCCTAAAAGCCAGGCCAACTGGTACCTAGCTAGGAACATTCCTTTTTAAAAAATATAAATTCCTAAGGCCCAATTAAGATGCTAAAATAGCAGTTTTGAGGTGGAATCTAAAATTCCAGCCAAGTTTAGAAACCTCTGGTTAGATCAACTCACCCCATGTTTTTCCCCTATAGCCATGCTCTCTAAGCTTATAATATGATTACCCTAAAATTTCTTCAAAACTCTACACATATTCCAATTTCTGAATGATTAATAAGATAAATTCTAATACAACAAGAAACTAATATCCCCACATTGGTTCTTCAAAATTCTGAATTATTTTCCTGTAGAATAATATAATGGACTGTGGTTGGATTCTATGACAGATCACCAAAGACCACTTAGGACCTATCTACTACTTATAAAAATATTTCTGTGGAAAATACATCATGGGTTCTAACTTGAGTTGCCAGAAAGGGTCCCACCGACTCCATGTTGTTCCTTCTAGACTTTCAACTTAGGTTCCAGTCTTCGCCCTGTTAGTTTCACTGGTAGGATCCCAGTAGTATGCAGGGGTAAAAATCAATGACAGCTAATGTAATTTATGTTTCTTCAGAGTTATCAGAAAAAAACTAAAGTTATTTTTACAAGAATCCATTTCTGCTAGTTCCAAATCATGTGTATGCAGCTTGAAACAAAACGTCCTTCCCAATCTTGCCTGAAGCCTCTCTCCAGGCTTGTCTCCTGCCATTCCAGACTGCATACCCGTCATCTTAAAATTCTACACTGCCCAAACTTCCTGCCTGGCTGTCATTCTGTGCCTGTACTTTTGTTAGTCCCTCCGCATACAACCCTCATTTCTGCAACAGCCAGAAGCATCAGGGAATGCTGTACAGGAGGATTTACAGGCAGTTCATGCCTACCCTAAGCTGCCTCAAACTATCATCCCAAGCATCCCAAACTCTACCAGTTACTTTGCTGTTCTCCATAAACCACCGAGTAGTGAAAATGAAAGTGAAACTAAATTCTGAGTAAACTTCACCTCTAAAATACTCACCTAAAATCTTAATAATTTGATAAGAACACAAAAGCACTTGACAGAACATATTTTTAAGATATTCAAACTTAACTCACCTTGCCTATTCAAAACATCTTCATAATTATGAGCCCAGATCAATGCCAAATATTAAGTGTGCTGCCTTTCTCTATACTTATCTTCCTAATTTTCTCCTAAGTAGATTTTCCAGTCCCAAGTACACTCTAAGGACTTTCTAAACTACACCTGCCATACAGACTGTCCCACAGGAGCACAATGTCAGTGAAACACAGGAGACTGCCGGCCCCACCTCTGAGCGCTCCTTCAGGCTCCTCACTGCTCATTCCAATGCCCAATCATTCAGTGCCTGTTGAGGCCATTCTGCCAATGAGAAGAATAATGACAGTATCTACTATCAGACAGTATCTGTTATTCTTATAGGCAGAATTACCTAAAAGGGCATTGAATGACTGAACAAGTACTTCACTAAAGCACCTTACATACGCCTTCTCTTTTAATATTCACATAATGACCCCATTCTATAAAATAGGGAGCTCGAGGTCAGGAGGCAGTAGGCCACAGGTGGCAATGTTCATGCTCCCCATCATTCCCACAAGCAATTATTAGACATCTTCTGTGTGCAGGGTATACAGTAGACACACTGAGATCTGGTCCCATAATGCCTCACCTTAACTGATGAAACAGTATACAGCTAGTCTCCCTCCTGCTGATGCTCTGTGCCCCCTTTTCCAAAAATAATCCTAAAACACATCTCACCACTTCACTCTCTTGATTTAAAAACCAAGTGGATCAATTCATTCAGTCAAATATTTATCCACTGGGGATATAAAAGTAAAGGTGACTAATAGGCCCTCATTACCCTAGACTTTACATTGTGGGGAGTGACGGGGGAAGGGGTGGTGGTGGTGACAAATAGAAGCCAAGGAGTGTGCAGAGATTTAAAGCCAGGCAGACCTTGGAGAACACGACAGCCTGGATCTCACAAATCAGAAGGGCACAAACACAAGCTGGTCAGAGAAAGGAGCCCTCCAGGCACAAAAGCCGGCCCAGAGGCCCAGGGCAGAAGCTAGCTTGGTTCATGCAAGGCAAGAAAGGAGGCTGCGCTCAGGAGTGAGAAGCCAGCAGTCTCAGATGATGGGGAGGAAGCAAGGTAAGTAGTTGGGAATTTATTCCAAGTGTGACGGGAAGCCAATGGGGAATTCTGAGCATGGGAGTAGCACAGTCCAACTGCCATTTTTAAACATTACTTTGGCTGCTGGGAAGAAAATGGATTGCAGGGGAGCAAGAGAGCAGCAAAGAGCCCCACTGGGAGGCTGCTGCCATTTACTGACCTCGCAGTGGAGATTCAGCCACTCCATGCCCATCTCCAGGTTACAAGCCCTACCTCCTTTATTACAGGGCATCGGCACAGGCCATGTTTCCCTGTCCACCACCCAGCCACATACATAGGCAGCCAAAGCCAGTGCCATGCCTCTGATCTCCAATGCCCAGTTCCTAGCATACAGCAGACACTATGCTTGAATAAATGAAGGGTGCAGCTCTTAAGGCCACTTTCAATCTTGGAATTAGTCTTCTCAAATAAATACAAAGTCTCCTTCCAGTAAGAGTCTCTTGAACATGCAATCATTCTTTTGTTAACTTAGATGAAGCAAACAACACAATTTAAATGAGAGTTGGGGTCTATTTCTCATACTTCTACTTACAGTTTAGTGCTTTATAACCTCCACAAGACGTTCAATATGAAGCAGGCTTCAGGCTAACAGCTTATAAATATTTTTATTTCCCAATTTCAAATCTCTGAATTAACTTTTGGTCTTTTGCAGGCTGAACGTGGTGGCTCATGCCTGTAATCCCAGCATTTTGGGAGGCTGAGATGGGCAGATCGCTTGAGGCTAGGAGTTCGAGACAAGTCTGGCCAACATGGTGAAACCCCATCTCTACTAAAAATACAAAAATTAGCTGGGCATGGTGGCGCATGCCTGTAATCCCAGCTACTTAGGAGGCTGGGGCACAAAAATCACTTGAGCCTGGGAGGTAGAGGTTGCAGTGAGCCGAGGTCACACTACTGCACTCCAGCCTGGGCGACAGTGCAATACTCTGCTCAACAACAAAAAAGAATTAAAAAAAAAAAAAGGCAGGGGTCAAGAAAAGAGAGACTACAAATACACTGCATTTATGAAATCACTTGCAGTTGTGGAGGCCCTTCTACGTCCTCAGGCAATTCTGTATTTAGAAGCGGATATCTCAGAGCTGCCAAGACGTCAACATCCCCTCGACCTGCTGCCTCATCTGCACAATGCCCTCTGATTCTTCTTCATCCTATGAAGGCTGTTAAGTTCTCTTCCTCCTCAATATTTTCAGGGATTGCTACTGAGTCTGCCCAGGAAGTTTGGCTATACTTACTGGCATAACTACAGAAAATCATGTTTCAAAAACATAAACCTACAAGATTATATGGTGAATATTTAAACCTACTTGGATTATCATATGGTCAATATTGATCACAGGCTTTTATTTACTTACCTAAGTAATGTGGTGGATGAAATGACATAGGCTTACTAGTCGCTGAATAATATCCAATTGCTCTCTTAAATCGAATAACTTTGTCATCTGTTCTAGACTGAAATAAAGGCAGGAAAACCTTCATAAATTAGTGTGCCACTGGTCATGTGTATCACAATGTTTTTTATAATTCAGCACATGTATAATATTCTACAGCTTTTCAAGTTAGAGAAGAATTTTGAATGACATTAAAACTTTCAGGGAAAATCAATAGATTACTACAAAAGAATCAAACCAAACGTGAATTCTTTTAAAGCAATGTAGTCACAAGAGCAGAACTCCAAAGTGGTAGTCAGGGCCCTGGGTTCTAGCTCTAGGACTTCCCTGACTTCCACTCTGCTCGGTCTCTGGTCCTGCCCAGAGAGGAATCTCAAGCCATCTGTACCAAGGGAACGGATGGCAGTGACAGACTGGGGATGTTCCTGCCCAGGGTTTCAGCTCTCTCTTTTTCTTCTGAGACGGAGTTTCGCTCTTTCACCCAGGCTGGAGTGCGGTGGCATGATCTCCGCTCACTGCAGCCTCTGCCTTACGGTTTCAAGCGATTCTCCTGCCTCAGCATCCCGAGTAGCTGGCATTACAGGCGCCCACCACCACGCCTGGCTAATTTTTGTATTTTTAATAGAGACAGGGTTTCACCATGTTGGCCAGGCTAGTCTCAAACTCCTGACCTCGTGATCCGCCCGCCTCGGCCTCCCAGAGTACTGGGATTACAGGCATGAGCCACCGTGCCTGGCTGCATTTCAGCTCTCTAGAGACACAGCAGGAGTTTCACAGAGCCTTGCCTATTCTACTGATGCCAACTTGTTGGCACACCTACTTCCCCAAAAAAGAAGAAAATCCCTGACAATCACCTGAAGAAAACAGACAAATCAGAGATTTATAATGCCATATGACTGACTTGATACAGTTCATGTTCTGAAAACTCTGAAATACAGATCCTATTAAGTTAAGATCGAGAACTTATGAGCAGGAGACCTCACCAACCGTCTAACTGAATCTCCCTTTTATTCAGCCTGGAAAAGCTGGGTGAAGTGGCTGAGACTTCCTGGCTGGCAGGGAACATGACCAGGCTACCTCAGCCTCTGGCCTTGCAACCTGCAGCTTTCTTCCAGTGGCCTGAGCAAGAGCTCTCAGACCCATCCAGTCAGCTTGCACCCTCAAGTCCCCTTCTTCCAAACCTGGCCACACCACTATGCAACGTCATATCCCATGAATCTGTTTTTTTGTTTTGTTTGTTTTTTTTTTTACCTGTGAATGCTGGAAAACATCTTTAGCTATGGCATCCAAGTCAGAGGTGTCCTGAATGTTGCGTACATAGTCAGCAACGGCTTTGATCACTACGTCGCAAGGTGGCAAGACCAGCTGGTGGGCCCGGACCTGAGAAAACAAACGTAAGTGTCAACAGTGGATGGTGAGCAACCAGTACCAGGCTAATCTGAATGCAGGAGCCAGAAATTCAACAAGGAGCTACCATCTAAGATCTTATCAGTGCCCAATGATTGTCCACTTGTAAGATCTTGGCCCTAAGACTTTCCTAAGCCGTTCACGTTCTGAAGCTCAAGAACTGGATTTTCCTTTCAGTGGATGAAATACAACTCAGCTGCTTAAACTGTGTTGGGTGAAAAGAGCATCTGACAGTCTTCCACCACTTCTGAGAAGTCCAAGACTTGTTTGCGATTAATTCCAAGGCCAGGACCTGCACCCATAACAAGCGAAGCACAAAGCAGCCCAGAGAGAAGGCCTGGAGCCACCATTCGCTCCCTTTCTTTCAACACCAACCAACAAAGATGAAGGCCTGCACAAGTAGAATCTTTAGATTAGAGCCCAGGACTCCCTGAAACTGTAAGCAGAAATGCAGTTACCAAGTCCTTGAATCCACCTTCAAAGGCCAACTTCAGCTCTAACTGGAGAAAAATGGTATCACTGCCTGTTGAGGGGCATGTTTGAGGAAAGTGACAAAGAATATCAAATAAAGAGTAGGAACATCTCATTAGCCAAAAACAGCTGACACTAGAAAAACGTAAGTTAACAGGTTGAAAAAGAAGACCAGCCACCTAATAAGAGCTTTGCGGTAGGCAGGACAATGACCTCCCAAAGCTGTCCACATCCTCCTCTCCAGAACCTGCGAATATGCTGCATTGCGTGGCAAAATTCAATGAAGGCTGCCTGTCAGCTGACCTCCAAATAAGAATCCTGTCCTGGATTACCCAGACAAGCCCAAGGGAATCACAGGGTCCTCAAAATGTGGAGAAAGGAGGCAGTGATGCAGCATGACAGGGCCTCAGATGCTCGAGGCTGGACGGGCTGGGATCCTCCCGAGAGCCTGCAGAGGGACCAGCCCTTGCATGTTAACATACAAGGAAAGGAATGTTGTCTTCATGCCTGTTGACACAACATTCATTCCACAACCCATAATGGATAAAGGAGTAATTTTGACACTCAAGTCTTATTATTAAAGAAATACATTTCATCAGGCTAGAACTGCCATAGAAAATGACTCCTCTGATGCATCTGGGCTAAGCACATTGAAAACCTTCTGGACAGAATTCACTACTCTAGTAAGTGAATGCCATTAAGACCATTCATGATTCATGGGAGGATGTCAAAATATCAACCTTAACAGGAGCTTGGAAGACTTGGTTGATTCCAACCCTCGTGAATGGCTTTGAGGGGGTTTAAGACTTAAGTGGAGGAAGTCACTGCAGATGTGGTGGAAATAGCAAGAGAATCAGAATTAGAAGTGGAGCCTGAAGATGTAACCAAATTGCTGAAATCTCATGATAAATCCTGAATAAATGAAGAAGTACTTGTTATGGACAAGCAAAGAAAGCACCTTTTTGAGATGGAATCTACTTCTGGTGAAGATGCTATCAAAGATATCAAAATAAAAGCAAAGGATTTAGAATAGGACATAAGCTTAGTTGATAAAGCAGTGGCAGGGTTTGAGATTAACTCCAATTTCATAAAACATTTCTACTGTGGGTAAACTGCTATCAAATAACATTGCAGGCTATAGAGAAATCTTTCATGAAAGGAAGAGTCAATTGATGTGACAAACTTGAATGTTGTCCAATTTCCTGAAACGGCCACAGCCACCCCAACCTCCAGCAACCACCACCCTTATCAGTCAGCAGCCATCAGCAAGACCCTCCACCAGCAAAATGATTCCAACTCGCTGTAGACTCAAGCGATCATAGCATTTGAAAGTATTTTTGATTAAGGGATGTATCTTGTGTTTCAGACATAATGCCATTACACTCTTAATAGACTACAGTACTGTGTAAACATTTCTATTACATGTACTGGAAAACCTAAAATTGACATGACTTCTCTATCATTCCCCTCCAGGCCCCTGCTCTCAAAGCCTCCATGTATGTCACAAGGTGGCTGCAGAACAGCAGAGTCCCCTTTGGTAAGTGCCTCTGCCTTTCCAAGTCTGTGCATGAGGAATGCACAAAACAGGGACATGTTCCAGTGAGTTATAACGGTGTATTAGGTTACTGTTATTTTGTTGTTGTTGAGGATCATGGTGGTATATTAGCTAACATATCTTAGCTAGACACTCTTTTAAGTGTTTTATGTATAGTACTGTATTAATTCTCACACATCTAATATGGCAGCCCTTGTTTGTGTTAGAGATGGTACCCTCCACAGGGTTCTAAGTGGTCAGTTGTGGCCCACAGGCCACTGGCAAGTGGCGGCAAACCCTTGGCAGCCACGGAGGGCCTGCTGCCCACCACACAATGCCTACTCAGCTGCTGCTGGCCCCCCTGTAGGCAGCAGTACTACTGATGTACAGAATCATGGGACTAGTGGCAGTGAAACTATGGAAACCCTGGGTGATCTGGGCATGCACTGCTGTGGTGGCCTTCACGTTCATGACGCACAGTGGGAAGAAAAGAGGAGTCGGCCCAAAGGTATTCAGCCCAGGGTGAGGTCCATAGAATGGCCAGATCCAAGATGTGGCTAGCACCCCAAGCCTGTGGTGGCCTAATGTCACCCGTGCCAGAGGCCAGTCCTCGATCACTCCAAACCCCCTGCTTGAGGGTTCCAAATGAAACAAGCAGGTCTTCCTACCAGGACCTAGGTGAGCTTCTGAAAGAGCACAGAAAAGCAGGCCTCCTGAATTTCCCCAAGTGACTGAACAAAGCAGGTCCCACATGCTTCACAGCATGATGGGGAAGATCTTCTGGGGCAAAGCAAAGATGATCTGAATGACAGCACTGACCACTGGCAACCTGCAGAGCTGCCCGACCAAGAAATTGTGAGATGGAAGCAATGCCTGCAGATAAGAAGGGGAAGATGAAAAGCCGGAGCAGGCAAAGACAGTAATGGAACAGGCCACGAATGCTGGAGTGAGGCAAATGACCTCCCTGTCCCACACCCCTCCAAGCATCCTGCATCTGCTGGAGAGCAATAGAAACCACGTGCAGGATGGAGACTTGGCAATGGAGGGGAACAGGGAAGTAGGATATGGTGGTCCCATAGCATCCGGGCTACAAGTTCCTCCGAAGAATGTGGATGGTGACGGTGACTTAGGTGCATCCTTCAAATGTCCTGAAGGAAAGATTGAAGCAACAAATAAGCAATTGTGGGAAGAATTCCAAAGGAGTAAAGAACGCACAGCACAAATCCAAAGTCCGATTGGCGAGAGGCCTCTCTGCAGGGCACAAGGGCACAGTTGGGGAAAGAGCTCGCAAAGCTGCAGCTGAAGCTTCCTGCTCTGCCTGAACTGCACTAAGAACCCGTGATGGGGCCTCAGTAGGAGTCCACACAGGAGGACGCCTACTGCCTGGACCTCGATCAGAGACTTCGCAAGGTGCACTAGTATTTAAACCGCATGTGTCAGACCTGCAACCGCTAGGAATTGAAGGAAGACACTTCCAGTTTTCAGAAGCAGATACTCTTCCATAAGAAAAGGGCCCAGGAAGGCTGGATGGCTGCCAGGCCCACTGAGAGAGCGCTCCAGGAGCTCCAGAAAGAAAATGACCACCACTACGGACAGAAGCTGGCTGACTGCGAAGCCAAGTTTCAGCCTTTCCTGAGTGGCCCTTTGGCTCCTGGGACTCTGCCCAAAACCCACAGGGCCTGAAAGCCCCCAGGAGGACACTGGGCCCCCAGGAGGGAGGCAGGTCACCATGTGAGGGCTTGGGTACAGAGCACCTGCCTGTTTTATTCTATTTCCCCTGTAGTTGGGTCCCGGACGCTCAGAGACTTGGCAGAACATCAGCCGCTGCTGCTCCCTTTAGAGCACATTTGGGTACTCTCTTGTTAGTTTAGCTACCGTTCAAGAGTTGATGCTGAAACTGCTCTCACTCAAGTTTGATAGATAGCATTAGGATTGTAAGGTACTGTTTATCAAATGGAGATTGTTTAATATAATTCTTACAAATACACTGATTCCACATCTTTGGGCCCTCCAAAATTATATAGGGTAAGTATTGTATTTTCATTTAGAGAAAGGGCCCCTCTTAACCTCAACATCATTGTGTTTGATATGGATGGGAAGGTTTAAAACAGAGACCATTTCTGATCTATGAGCTGTTACTTGAACATAGTACATTAAACTGGCTGGAATAAACTTTGGTTTGAACACAATGCCAAAATACACTCAAAAACAAGACCATACCACTCAAAGATCATATTTTTAACAGTTTGGTCCTAACCTTTGTGGTTTAATTTAGGGAGGTGGACATTTTGCCACCATTGCTTCTTATTTTGCAACAGGCAGTAGCACCCGGAGAGCCTGGGCCTTGCATAGCAAACAAGTCAGCCTCCCGGGCCAGAGCAGGCAGGAACAGCAACAGGCTTTCCCCAGAAGTAAAGAAGTTCATAGAGAAGGTGCAGGGCCTCCTGTCTCCCAGGGGCATGTGCAGCCCATGACGATGGCTTACACCCAAGACACCACAAGTAACTGGGCAGCCCTGCTTCACTCCCATCCCACTTCAAAAGAAAACAGAACCTGCTGCTTTTGTTCCTGTGGATATCCTTGTCATCACTATCCCCAGCCCTACAACATGCAGCTAAAAGATCCTTGAAGTGAATAGATGCTATAATTAAAGTGTCCCCTAAATCCTTCTGAGTGGCTCAGTAACATCTACCCTCTGGTCCGAAAACACCGGCCGTTTATAATTTGCTGACCATGCAGCTGCCCTCCCCACCAGCCACCCTCCACCACCCCACTTCGCAGGCAGCTCTGAGCCTGTGCAGAGAAGCTTGCTTCCCTCCTGGATGGCTCCTAATCTAGCCTTCTAAATCCAGTCCGGGATGAGCTCCCTGACGTCTTCTTTAATCCTTAGGGTCAGGACCTGGTGTGCATTTGCTACCCACGTGCAGGAGGAGTCAGAGGTGCTGTCCTAAGGGCTTGGTCCCATCAACAAACCCCACCCCTGCCACATGAGAAAGTGGCTGGAGACAGAAATGCAACACCACAGGGACATATGGATGGACTTTACATGAGACATTTTAAATTGAAGAAGATAGATTGGAGAGTTGTAATATATCTTTATTTAAAAATAACAGGGAATCTTGGTACTAAAAGGTATTCTAGGATAAATCCTTTAGAAACTTGTTAAGTGTTTTAACATGATAAAAGCATATATGTATGAGAAGTTAATTTATATGCTATCTATCTACATAACTCTATATATACATATATATATATATACACACACACACACACAACCTGTATAAACACCACACACAAAGGTAGTTATCAATATACTTACAAGTGGGAAAAAAACACATCAAGACTTGTTTGTCCATGAAAGGCATCATCAGCAGTGTTGCTAAACTTTCCCTGAGATTCTAAAATAGCACATGGTTCATCTCATCACAGCAGTAACTACGCAGGAGGGTTAAAGTAATTTGCCCTTGCCTATTCATAAAAACAAAATTAACACTCAAACTAAACAAGTGAAGTGTCTGCTGCTTAGAGACAGTGTATAAAAATTTATGTCCCATTTATTTCCTCCTCTGCTTTCTTTAATCAGTTTTTTTAAATCTTAGCCCAAAAACTTAACATTTAAAAAAAAAAAGTCAAATAAATTGCGACATATCTAGAGCTAGAACCATATGTACATTCTATCTCTAAGGAGAGTAAGTAAACTTAATTAACAAGCAAACGCTTATGATCAATTGCTTTTTTCACATCACTGTGTAGCAATTTCACTAACTGTGACTGAAATTTTACCTGCTTTGTAGGTCAAGAAAATAATTTAGGGCTGGAAAAGACCTTTGAAAGATTCAACCTACCCCTTTACTTCCAGGCAGAATCATTAAATAATAAATAGATACTGTTTGGGTGGAAATTGATCACTGTCTCCATGCAAAAATATCCTCTTATGTGAAAGATTTTCACTTTTAGCGTCATCTTTCCCCAAATCTCCTCATCATTTCCTACTGAAAAACATGTTCTGCAGTCTTCTAAACATCACTGACAGACGGATATAGCTGAATGCAGAATGCCACCAAACCTGACCCAGGCAAGCATGCCACAGGGCTATCTCCCTGACATATCACAATCCATGAGCGGTGGTGCCCCATTGTCACCCATTACAATTTCTTGTCCTTTGGCCACTCTTGACAACCTTTGTTTTGTTTTTTAAAAAAAACCTCCAAGAGGCTGCAATCTTGGGGTTGGGTCAGTGGTGTGGGCACCAGCCTGGCCACACTACTGGGCCTGTTCCCCAAATGGGTGGTGCTGGGAGCACTGGCTGGACTTCTGCTGTGGCCACGCAGGGTGAGCCCCTGGCCTCATCTCCAAGCAGCTTGACAACCCCAGGCATAACTTTCAGAACAAGCAGTATGTGTTCTCACCAATCTATCTATCAGGCCCATGTTAGGGGTGAAGAGTGGAGGCTGGCACCCATACTACATACTACAAGGACACAGAAGTCCATGGAAACCCTGTCAGGCACGTCCTCAAAGGGGACTTCAATGGGAAGCCCTCACTGAAGCTGCCTGGTGACTACTCCAGACAGAAAAGATCTTTGATGCTTTAGAGCCACTGATTTCAGTGAATTATTTCAGGCACTCAAGGGGCGTCTTAAGGAAGCTAAGAAACAACTACACTATAACAACATTTGAAATCCAAAGAAAACAATCTCTTCCTGGTTCCTGAAAGCAAAATAATAAATAATTTAGCCCCTGCTAAAGAAGCATTTATTTATTTATTCACTGTTTTCTAATATTTCACTGCTTAAAAATCTGCAGTCTCACTCTTGGTTACATCTTTAAAATCAAACATTTTTTTCTATAGCTGTGAATTCATTTAAATGAAGTTACCATGTAATATTCCAACTGTTAAACCCAACATGCCACAGTACTCAAATGATTCAATAAAATCCAATATTCCTTTTCATATAACATGTTGACTGAAAACTCTTTCAAAGCTCTCTAAAATGTACCACTAGACAGGATCATTTGACAGGGTCTGACCTAATCTCTAAAATCCACTTGGTCATATTCCTGTGGGATGTATAAGCTAATTAAATATACCATACAAAACAATGATTAAATGATTTTGAGACTGTTGGTGCCACTGCTCCCAAAGTGTCTCTCAGCTGCTCATTTAAAATGCAAATGAATATAAATACAGGTTTCACAAAGTACCATTGCTGAAGCAGAACTGATCCACTTCATTACCAAGTGGAAAACAGTGAAGGGGAAGTACTCTGCATTTTGGCAATTTCAAGGAAGGGAAATGGAAGCTCGATTTGGTCAATATTCATTCATGGATGAGGCCTGTGCTAGAAAAGGAACACAGAACCACCCTTCAAATTTCCTGACTTCGAGAAACTCTCATTCTTCTTGGTGACAAAATGTTGCCCCAGTCTAGGACACAGTGGAGCACAGGTCTGGGGGCTGAGGAGGGAGAAATGCTTCCTTGGTCATCCAATGTGGGCAAAGCTCAAAGTGTAGTCCCCAAGAAACTGTCACCACCACAGTCCTTGGCCCCAGCAGTCTCTGCTTTTGACCAAGCCCTGCAAGGTACAGAATCACCAAATGCACCCTGCAGGCCCAAGGTTTTCTAGTACAACAGTCAAGAGAAAGGAAAACACATAGACCCCAGAATTGTCAGATACCACTAATAGTCATGCTTTCAAATTTCTTGAAACGTTATGACACATATGAGTATTCTGTACACATTTGCCTAAATAAAGATTTGAAAGGCTGTTAAAATGCAATTAATCACAAATAATGCTAAGTGTGACCATCACTCCAAAGATGGAAACTGCTATGCACGTATACTGAAGTACCTAAAGGATTTAAACTGAACAAAGAAAAGTTCTTCATCCCATTTTACAGGCCTAGAGCCTAGGACGAAAAGGCAGGTAGGCCAGAGGTGGCTTCAGCTGTCCTACTGGAACCTGGGCTCCATCGTGCAGTGACAGGATCTCTTTACAAAAAAGTGCCACCAGTCCAAGGAGGAAACTGTAGTGTACTGTGGTCACCTTCCCTTCTTGGGGGAATACCTGTCATGTATTCTAATCGTTTTGAGGGCTGTGTACCCAGGCTGTGCCCTAAGGATGCATACTCCATTTAATCCTCACAACTCTATGAGTAGTCACTGTTAAAATCCCCATCTTATAGAGGAGCTTACTAAGTATCCACCACAGCCAACCAGGTGAGTGGCTGAGTGGACGCTACACACTTAGCCACAGCACTGTGGTCTTTTTATCTTCCATTCAAAATTGCGCCTTTTTTTAAGTGTTGAAATGTGCTTATTTAATGAAAAGATGGTAGACGGTGAATTCCTTTTTCTTCCAATATTCTTATTTAGAAAAATTAAGAGTTGGCAACACAACAGTAGTCTTCCAACTTTTTTTTTTTTTTTTAACAGATACATGGAATTCAAATCACTGCTACAGATGAAGAGAGTCACTGAGAAATTCTAAACAGGGGAATGATGAGATCAGACCTGAATTTAAACAGATCATTTTTGTTAGCCATGTGGAAGATGGACAGCCGAGGAAAAGATCAGCAAAAGGGAGGGTCCATGGCTCCTGCATGAATCCCAGCAAGCAGTGACTGAAACAGAAGTAAGGAGAGGATGTGGCAATTCAGAAAATATCAAAGCAGATGCAGGAAGGGGAAGAATCAAAGATGACTCCCAAGTTCTACCTTGGATGAATGGCAGGGTCGGTGGTGGTACTAGGTGGCAAGCACAATACAGGAGGACAAGCCAATTTAGAGAAAATGAAGACATTTGTAAATCAGAAATGCCAAATCTGATGTGCAGGTGCAACATCCAAGTAGAGAGGACTGGGCGGAGAGCTCAGTGAAGGGGACTTGTCTGGAGAAATATATTTCATGGTAGCTGAGACTTCAGCACAGATCTGCCAGGAGAGTGTGAGAATCACAGTACAGATGGAACCCGTAGGAGGCAACAGAGGCGAGGAGGAAAAAAAGAAAGACTACAGAACACTGACATGTGGAAAGCCAAGCAGGAGGGCCCCGGTGAGGAGAGGAGGATTATGATGAGGCTGAAAACCATCCACAAGATCAGCTCACACAGCCATCCATGGTCTTGACAAAAGCAATCTTATGACAATGAGATTAAAGAGAAGGAAGTTAAGCGTTGGGGATGTGACAGGAGCTACCATTGGAAACACAAGATGGTAGTCAGAAGAACATGGGGCAGATCTGTTCATATTTACAACTGAGGGCCAAGAACCAAAAGAGAGGGAGAGATTACACAGAGGTCCCACCAGATGTGTTCAATGACAAACGCTCAAGAAGGCCAGGAATACTCTGGTGTCAGGCTAGAAAAGAAAGAAGTAAAAATGGGAAAATAAATGTGTATATGAGGAAAGAGAAGTTGAGGAAGACCATGCCTGAAGGTGTCAATATTCTGGCATAAAGAACCTGCTAAGAGAAAGCAGTGTGAAATAGAGCAGAGGCCCAGGAGAGAGTGATGAATGTTCACAGTAACTGGGAAGGAGAATAGAATCATACTGCCCACATGGAGGGGCTGCCTACAGTCAGACACCAGCATTTTTTAAATCAGTTTTACTGAAATACTTCACATGGAATAAAATCCATCAATTTTAGCATATAATTCAATGAGTTACAACACATGCCTCCAATACTGTAACTACTATCACAATCAAGAAAATATCACATTCCCATCACCCCAGAGTCCCATTGTGTCCATTTCCCACTGCAGTTCCAGACAACCACAAGTCTACTTTCTATCACTATTGTTTTGCCTTTTCTAGAGTTTTACATAAATGTGATCAGACAGATTTCCTTTGGGTTTGACTCTTTGCTTAAGGTAACACTTTGGGACGCAAACTTATTGCAAAGATTAATAGTATATTTTTAGATCATATATCTAATAATAGACTTGAATCTGGACTATATTAAAAATCCTTAGAATGCAGGCCAGGTGCGGTGGCTCATGCCCATAATCCCAGCACTTTGGGAGGCCTAGGTAGGTGGATCACTTGGGGTCAGGAGTTCAAGACCAGCCTGGCCAACATGGTGAAACTCCGTTTCTACTAAAAATACAAAAATTAGCTGGGCATGGTGGCGCACACCTGTAGTCCCAGCTGCTCGGGAGGCTGAGGCAGAAGAATTGCTTGAACCTAGAAAGCGGAGGTTGCAGTGAGCTAAGATCACGCCACTGCACTCCAGCCTGGGCGACAGAGCGAGGCTCTGTCTCAAAAAACAAAAACAAAAACCCTTAGAACTCAATGATGAAAAGACAAATAACCCAATTTTAAAATGAGCAAAGGATTTGAAGAGACATTTATCCAAAGAAGGTCTGAAAATGATGAATAAGCACGGGAAAAGATATTCAACATCATCAGTCATCAAAGAAATGCAAATCAAAACAAAAATGAGAAACCTCATTAAGCTCACTAAGATGGAGAAAATAAAAAAATAGACAATAACAAGCATTGGTAAGGATGTGGAGAAATCAGAACCTTTACACGTTGCTGGGGGGAATGTAAACTGTGCAGCTGCTGTGGAAAACAGTTTGGTGGTTCCTCAAAAAGCTAAGCATAGGTCAATTACAGTGGCTCATGCCTGTAATCCCAGCACTTTGGGAAGCCAAGGCAGGCAGATCACTTGAGGTCAGGAGTTTGAGGCCAGCCTGGCCAACATGGTGAAACCCCATCTCTACTAAAAATACAAAAATTAGCCAGGCGTGGTGGCACACACCTGTAATTCCAGCTACTCAGGAGGTTAACACAAGCGAATCACTTGAGCCTGGGAGGCAGAGGTTGCAGAGAGCCAAGATCATGCCACAGCCTGGGCAAAGGAGTGAGACTCTAAAAAAGTGAGTCTCAAAAAAAAAAAAAAGAAAAAAGAAAAGAAAAAGAAAGAAAAAAATATCTAAGCATAGACCTACTACATGACTCAGCAATTCTACTCCCAGCCATATACACATGGAAAATGAAAACATCCACATAAAAACTTATACACAAATGTTCATAGCAACATTATTTATAATTGCCAAAAGGTACAAATAACCCAAGTGTCTACCAACTGATGAAGAGAGCAATAAAATGTCATATATTCACACAATGGTATATCATTCAGTCATTAAAAAAAAAAATGCAGTAGGCTGGGTGTGGGGCTCATGCCTGTAATCCCAGGACTATGGGAGGCCGAGGTGGGAGGATGCTTGAGGCCAGGAGTTCGAGACCAGCCTGGGCAACATGGTGAAACCCTGTCTCTAAAAAAAAAAATAAAACATTAGCCCAGTGTGGTGGTACACGCCTATAGTCCTAGCTACTAAGGAGGCTGAGGCAGGAGGATTGCCTGGGCCCAGAAGTTCAAAGTTACAGTCAGCTATGATCGTGCCACTGACTGCACTCCAGAGTAGGACACAGTTTCTTTTCTTTTCTTTTTTTTAAAAAAGGAATAAAGTACTGATACATGTTACAACATGGAAAAACCTTGAAAGTACTATACTCAGTGAAAGAAGACAGACATAAAGACCACATGTTGTGTGATTCTATTTATAAATGTCCAGAATAGGCAAATCCATAGAGACAGAAGTCATATTAGTGGTTGGCCAAGGGGTTGTAGAGGGAAAGAAGTGGAGAGTGACTGCCGAAGCGGACATGGCTTCTTTTTGGGGTGACAGGGGCTAGAGTCTCAAAGACACAGCAAGAGGGCCAGGAAGAGAAGTTGACCCTGGACAAGGCCTGTGAGCAAGAGATATAAGAAACCAAGATGCTGGACATAGCTGGGACTGCTGCTGGCAAGCCCTCTGCTTCTTTTTATTTTTTGTGGAGATAGGGTCTTACTCTGTCGCACAAGCTGGAGCACAGTGGCACAGATCAAGGCTCACTGCAGCCTTGATATCCCAGGCTCAAGCAATCCTTCCACTTCAGTCTGTCAAGTAGTTGGGACTACAGGGGTATGCCACCACACCCAGCTAGTTTTTTTATTTTTTTATAGAGATAGGGTCTCACTATGTTACCCAGGCTGGTCTCGAACTCCTGAACTCAAGTGATCTTCCCACCTTGGCATCCCAAAGTGTTAGGATTACAAGCATGAGCCACCATACCCAGCACAAGCCCTCTGTTTCTGACCAAGAATGTCTTGGAAGGAACTTGCCTGGCACCAAATCTGGTGCCAGATTTGGCTGGGCAGGGGGTGGTGGCAGTTCCCAGGCAAAATGTCTTAAGGGTGATATTCTCTAGGTTGAGGAGCCCTCAGTGTACAGTTAGCGTGCAACAACAGTGTCTGATCTGCCATGAGTGGAGGGGGAAGACATAGGACTAGGACTAGGACATGGCACTAATTCACACGTGTCACCATGGCATTCAGAGGAAGGTGAATATGCTAAGCAGAAAGTGATGGAGAAAGCCTGGTTAGAAACAGGGCTGACGTTTTGAACTCACAGAGTAGGAAGTAAGCTAGAAAATGTTTACACACTCGTTTTGAAGACTGACATTATGCTGCTTATTTAAAATAAAACTAGAGCATTCTAGGTCTAAGCACAGTCAGCAGGCCGGGCGCAGTGGCTCATGCCTGTAATCCCAGCACTTTGGGGAGGCCGAGGCGGGTGGATCACCTGAGATCAGGAGCTCGAGACCAGCCTGGCCAACATGGCGAAACCCCATCTCCACTAAAAATACAAAGATCAGCCAGGCGTGGTGGCACACGCCTGTAGTCCCAGCTACTTGGGAGGCTGAGGCAGGAGAATCACTTGAACCCAAGAAGCAGAGGTTGCAGTAAGCCAAGATCATGCCACTGCACTCCAGCCTGGGTGACAGAGCAAGACTCTGTCTTAAAATAATAATAATAATAAAGCACAGTTAGCAAAGACACTATTGCTGAGCTTCTCTTTGCTTGCTCTACTCTAGTTCTCTCCCAGAGATACCGTAAGTGCCAGCACTACCAACACGGTATCTTTCAGATCCCACTCAGACTGTGTCTTGTCTTTCCCTTGCTGGCCTCTGTTCCTGCTCCTGCTGGCAGGGTCGTCCATTCCAGGTCAATCAGGAAGAATCCTGCTTGGCAGTCCCACTCACTCCATGGGAGGAGCCAAACTAAAAGCAATCCTGTAACAAGGAAGGAGCATAAACCTCCCACAACTTGTATCCCTTTCTTCCCAGCAATATGACTGGAGACCTACTCCTAATCTGTGAATAAAAGACAGAAGCTGGGTGTGGTGGCGCACACCTGTAGTCCCAGCTACTTGGGAGGCTGAGGCAGGAGAAGGAGAATCACTTGAGCCCAGGAGTTTGCGTCTGTACTGCACATGATCACACCTGTGAACAGCCACTGCACTCCATCCAGCCTGAGCAACAGAGCAAGACCCTGTCTCTTAAAAAAAAAAAAAGAGAGACACAGAAAAACTATTCTTGAGCCCCAAGAGATTCCAGCAGATTCCTCAGAATTCTAAGCTTTCCAGTTTTATTTTAAAACAAACAGGCAATAGAGGACACAGACTGGAAGATATGAACAAGCAGAAATCCTTTTGAGTTCAGTTTGTATTTTAAATTATTTCATTTAACAACTCCACATATAAATTAAAAGGAGCAAATAACAAATTTCTTATTAAATGCAGGTTTTCAAGACTTAAAAGCTTAAAATCCAGTACAATGAATCTGTATACATTAACCATTAAGAACATTTAGCTAATGTCACATGCATGATGATGGTGACAATGATGAGCACCACTAGCAAGACAGACATTTTTATTACACTTCGAAGGATCAAATATCAATCTGTCTAAAGTGGTTATCTCCGAGAAGTGGGATTATAAGTACCTTTCATTTTCACATGACATATTTCTGTACTGATTAAATTGTTTCTTATTATTTTTATAATAAAAATGAATTTTTAAAAAGATAACATAGGCTTCTATCTAAAACAGTAAAAATGCAACAGAAATATGAAGACTACAAAGATTAACAAAATCAGAGGGTTCAGTCAAACTACGTCATCTTGCCTGTCTCTCTTTTTTTCCCCAATAGACTATGTTTAAAAAAAAAACAAACAAACAGAAGAATGTTTTAAATTTACTTACCTTTCAGGCCCCTAATATTATATTTTCTAAAGCTAAATAAGTACTTAGATTTTAGGAAGTTTTTCTTAGCTCTTACTAAACTATTATAATATAACGACTTATTAAGAAAAAAATATATGAAGTGAACTTCAATTAACACTAACATGTAAGGAGAAATTCCTTCTTTGGAGGGTTCACAGAATTCAGAACTACCCCCTCCTGCTATGACAATATAGGTGAAAGTCAGAAATAAACGAAGTTCATCTTTCTATTTATTTACAGTTTATACCCAACTTAATTTTTTAAAAAAAGATTTCAGAAAGATCAAGTCATCTGATCACTGACCTAGCTCCAGCAAGGTTACGTGGTAAATGCCACACACAATGAAGCCTCAAAGTGCCTGAAATGCTACAGCTCTTCTCGGACAAAAGCTGGCTCCAGGCACTGCATGAGACCTACTGGGACCTCTAGCCCTAGTCCAGAGACAGGCACCATGCACAGCGGTCACTAGGACCACAGGCTGGGCAGCAGCTGCAACAGCCACCCAGGTGTCCATCTGGGAAGCCCAAGAGAGAGGACTGTTCAGTTCCTCTTTGTCTCAAAGGGCCAGTCTACTAGACTGGCCCACTGTGGGGTCTGCTGTGTGTTCCAACCCTGGAGGTGACACAGTCCCTGCGATAAGAAGGCCAGACTGACGGCCCTACCATCGTTGCTCCTGGAGATCCTGATGCTACCCTCCTCACTACTCTCTCAGAGCCAGACCCAACTGCTGGCCCTAAAGGACATGTTTTAAAAGTACCACTCAATGACTTCTGGTTGAAGACAATAAGATATAAAAAATATAGTTAAAGATACCCCTGGGAAAAATTCGAGGTGAATGGCCAGGCACAGTGGCTCACGCCTATAATCTTAGCACTTTGGCAGGCTGAGGCAGGCGGATTGCGTGAGCTCAGGGGTTTGACACCAGCCTGGGCAACAAGGTGAAATCCCGTCTCTACTAAAATACAAAAAATTAGCTGGATGTGGCAACAGCGTGTACCTGTAGTCCCAGCTACTAGGTAGGCTGAGGCAGGAGAATTGCTTGAACTCGGGAGGCAGAGGCTGCAGTGAGCTGAGATCGCACCACTGCACTCCAACCTGGGCAAGGGAGCAAAACTCCGTCTCCCAAAAAAAAAAAAAAAAAAATGGAGGTGAATCTAAAAGTTTTCTTGATACAGCCTGATAGATTGCCCCCGGTATACGGGTGCCTCAGGGAAAGATAATGCTGGTAAAAGATTACCAAAATAAGTGAATCAGAGTGGTAAGGTGATAAATACACAAAGACATTTAAATCAAAAGGAAGAAATGCCAGGGCTAGGAATTAGAGGGAGCTCCTAAGATGATGTAGAAGAAAGCAAGAAGAGTACTTTAGGGGAAGCTCCAAGAGAGGATCATACAGAGAAGATGGCGTTCCATGAATGAGGGTGCAGCCTGGCCCAGGACCCAGCCTGGCCCTAGGATAACCAGCTGATGGGGTCAGAAAGGGCTGGGGGAGGACAAGTACTTCTAGGGGAGGCTCACCATGCAGAAAAGGGGTCTTTCAAAAAGACTGGGAACTGCAGTGTAAACAGAGTAAAACCGACTAAACCTAACTAGAAAGTAGAACTGCTGGTAGTGAAGTCTCAGGAAAGGATCAGTCCATATAAAATCTGCAAGCTGGGGTGTCCCAGACAAGGAGGCAAAAGGAGCTCGAAGGGCTCAGTGGTTGGGAATACTTGGCCATCACAAACAACTGGCATGGATGGAAACTCAAAATATATGAAATTGAATATGAAGTTAAGGAACACAAAAACCACTAAAATGAATACAATGACCTGAAACTAAACAGGTCCAACTTAAATGTTATTATACCCAAATACGAGGTCAATAGGATGTAGAACACCCAAGTGACAAAAAGCCTTCTGTAAAGTGTTTAAAAACCCAAGATTCAAGAAAACCAGAGGCAACAAGAAACATGTTTTTTTAAAAAAATAAAGCCAGCAAACATCTATAAAACATTTTTAAAAATTAAAACAACAAAATGCCCACCCAAAATAAAAAATTCCCGTAACCAGTTAGGACACAAAATCATACAATTTTTAAAACCCCAAAAGTCACATTTTGAAAAACTGCTCACTTAGCACATGTCTACAGCCAGGGGGCCCTGCCCAGGGTGGACTGCCACAGCCGCAGGCCGCCTCTGATGAGTACAGGCCACACCAGCTATGCAGGGCACCCACAGGCTCACTAAACCTTATGTCCAGGCAGACCGAATGGCCAGCCACTCCCAGGGCACAGGAGGAGGCAGGCATGGGGGCACCACCTGAAGGGAAACAGAGGCTGGGCTTGGGACTGGAGCCCATGCTCTGCAGGCTCAGCTCTCTGGGTACCAGGCTGCCTGACGCCTTCCATTTCTCTCATGCAACACTGCCAGCCACACTAAAACCATGAAAGGAGCACAGCGGCCCAGAGCAACACAAACAGTGGGAGCCTCTTCGAAAGACCAATATGCATCCAGCCCACTTTTCATTACTGTAAATACAATCACAAATCTTCCTAATTATAACACTGAGTCCAAAAACACATTGAAAGGATATTCAATGTATTTTCCTTATTAAAGATATGACCCTTTTAAGAAATATTGCCATTGGAAAAAGTTTAAATGAGCGAGGAAATGAGATGCACTCCTGGAATGCCTTCCCCATTGTTTGGGAGGCATTCCAGGAGTGTATCTCAACTCTTCCAGGTACATAAAAGATTCTCTTATGTTTCCAATCAAACAGAGTAACTTACTTAGAGCAAAGTAAGATAAACGCAGCCTCAGGCTTGGGTGTCTGTGCAGCCCTGGGGTTTTACCCATCCTGGCCCAGCCTGCTCTGTATCATCTGCTGCCAGGCTCCCTGTTCTGCAGGACCTGGGCCTGGGTAGAGACAGAGGTCGCACTCCAGCCCAGCCTCCAGGCATCTCCGGGACTGCAGCAAGGAATCCCAACAGCAGGTCTCCCGAGGAATAGGGAGTAACACATAACTCTTGTTTTCTTTCTCTCATTATAGAATTGACCACATCTTAGAAGCTATCTGACCCCTAACCCCATCCTACAATTTTACATGTTACATGAAATGGCCCAAGTGTTCTGAACATAAATGAAGTAGTCTTTGCATCTAAACCTAAGAAATTCAATGCCCACCTTACTAGCAGCTCTTAAGGTTACCATTGAGGTATGAAGAAGTCACCTTACATCCTATTTCCTACTGTCTTCTACCAATTTTAGGTTCTGAGTATGTCTAACATTGCATTCATAATCTAGTAATAAGCACGATCTACTACTAACTAATAAGGCAGGACAAAACAGAATTTGGCTCCCATCCTAGCTTTCCTCTCTGCAGATATTACCCAATGATTTAACAGTTGTTCTCCCTTGTGCTTCTGAGCCCGCAGAGCCCCAAAGCAGACGTGCTATTCTTTCAACACAACCAGGGCTGTGGACAGTCAGGGAGGACTTCACAATTTCTAACTGATGTAGCTGGTTCGATGACAGTCAGAGAGTTAAAAATTTACAGTGAATGAATGAATGCATGTAGTGAAATTGGTAAAGACACATGTTTAAAAGATGAGTCTAAGGATGCTACTTATAAAGAAAACAAAAATTCATAGTGCTGCCAACATACTGAAGATTTGGAATCACATAAATTATCGACTACTGATGACTTCCTATCCATGGTATTTTGTGATTTTCATCAGATGGTAAAAAGATGAAATTTTCTCATGATTTTTATTGGTTCCCTTTCTAACAGAGTATACTGGAAAAATAGCTGTTAAGGACACGTGACTTTGCATCCTCAAGCTTAAGCCTCCTTGGTCCATCCCTTTTATCATATTATATTTGTACTATTTTGCCAAAGCCAAATTTATTATTGTTCACAGAGGGCTGGTGTTCTATGAAGTTAATATCTAATCAATTCAAAGCACCTCTTAAAATGCAATACCCTACTTTGGGAGGCCGAGGCGGGCGGATCACGAGGTCAGGAGATCGAGACCATCCCAGCTAAAACGGTGAAACCCCGTCTCTACTAAAAATACAAAAAATTAGCCGGGCGTAGTGGCGGGCGCCTGTAGTCCCAGCTACTTGGGAGGCTGAGGCAGGAGAATGGCATGAAACCGGGAGGCGGAGCTTGCAGTGAGCCGAGATCCCGCCACTGCACTCCAGCCTGGGCGACAGAGCGAGACTCCGTCTCAAAAAAAAAAAAAAAAAAAAAAAAAATGCAATACCCTAATCTTAAACCTCTCATCATTTCAACATAATACAAAAACACAAAGAATATTTCAGAAAATAAAACTCAGAATATTATGGAAGATATGTAACAACTATCCAAATTTTCAAAAGATGCAATTGGTTTTACAACTGGGGAAAAACAAAGAGACTAAAATAGCAGGTGGGATACATACAATTCTGTAGCACATCCATCAGTCATGCTCATGGGGAGTAAAACCACATCCAATTTCCCCTATGTATATTAAAATCACTGAAATGGTGCTGCATACAAAAATGTGAATGAAGGGTCAAAACATTAAAGTGAGCCGGGTGCTGTGGCTCACACCTATAATCCCAGCACTTTGGGAGGCCAAGGTGGGTGGATCACCTGAGGTCAGGTGTTCGAGACGAATATGGACAACATGGTGAAACCCTGCCTCTACTAAAAACACAAAAATTAGCTGGCGTGGTGGCAGGCGCCTGTAATCCCAGCTACTTGGAAGGCTGAGGCAGGAGAATCACTTGAACCCTGGAGGCAGAGGTTGCAGTGAGCCGAGATCTCACCCCTGTACTCCATCCTGGGTGACAGAGCAAGACTCTGTCTCAAATAAAAACATTAAAGTGGCTAACAAATGCAATTTCTGAACTTATCTCAAAACCAGGTGCACTTGCATTTCATGTGTGACTTTAAAATCCTACAACGTATCAAGTCATCTGAAAAATAATTTAGGATTTCTTCTCCAATATGCCATAAAAGTACTCAGCTAATATCAAAATGCATGCATAAAGCTTGACTGGATCTCGATCAAAAAAAAAAAAACCTATAAATGACTCTGAAAAAATTTGAATATGGGCTTAATATTAAATGATATTAGACACTGCACTCCAGCACAGGTGACAGAGCAAGACCCTGTCTCAAAAAAAAAGATATTAAAGAATTATTAATTTAGTTGATGTCATAGGAGTAATATGATAAAGTATCAAAATGTCCTTATTTTTAGGAAGTGATGGAGCAAGCTGAAGTGGTGGAGCAAGCTGACATTTTCATGGGTAAAGTGTCATATCTGCAACTTACTTCCAAATAGTTTTTGTTAAACAAAACAAAACACAGACATATACTTTATGGCAAAATGTTTATAATTGTTGAACCAAGATGGGGGATATACGGATACACATTTCTCTATTCTTTCCACATTTCAATACTTAAAGATTTTCTCAACAAAATTTAGGAAAAACACACATATAATGATGTTATTCACTTGGCAATAGATTGAGCTGGTTTTCCAATAATTCTTCAAACAGCTCTTCACTTCTAACCCTGTGACATATGAAGCAGGGCTAGTTTAACTTAGACATACACATATAGCCAGAAACCTTGGGAGTATCTCACTCCTGCTCTTCAAAACAAAATAAATCTTGTAGGAAACAAGCTTTCATTTGTGTCTCACTTACAAAAGCATAATGCTTAACAGAGCTACTGAGCACAGGTGCAGTGCTCTTAAGTCCAGCTGATTACACGCTGCATTTCCCCAATCCACATTTCAATCATGGCATCACCAGAAGCTTAGAGTCCGAATGACAGATCACATCACTTCATTCATGAAAACATACAGGAGGGATTCTATGGCCAGAAATGTAATTTCTAACAAGAGAAGAAAAACTAATTTTTGAACAAGAAGTTGAAAACAGTCCATACCAAACCCCATTAGGGTGAAAAGGAGAACATTTTATAGCATGCCAGAGATGAAAAAGAAAAAGCATGCCAGAGATGAAACAGCAGGGAACAAAATGAAAGGAGGAAAGGAATTCTACTTCAGCTTTTGGGTATCACCAGAGTTAAAGGTAAATTAAAATGTAGGAAGAAAAACTCCCATTTGAAACTAGCCACCAATTAAAATTGTTTATGGAGGGAGGGTAATTACGACAACATTCAAAATTTTACAGCCCTTCGGAAAACACCCAATTTAACCGCCACTCTTTACTGTAAGGAAGCAGTCCCAGGGTGGGAAGCAGATACAAAGTCTAGGTCCCCATCTTCCTAATTCCCCAAGTCAAGAAAGGCACTTGAACTGACAAATGATCATTACAATCACAGGAGTCACTAACAAGTCCAAGCTGAAGTTTTCCAGTGCCTCGTGCATATCTCACTCATTACTCCTATGCTCACATCAAACACAGACACTTCCACTGCAGAAAATCAGAATTAAGTGCCTCATCTCTGATGTTTATTACTATCACAAACAGGAAGGGAATCAAAAGGGAGAAAAAGAATATTAAGTTTTAATAAAATAGTACAAATGGATCACTTCCATTTGAGTCTCCCTCATCATCCAAAAAGCTTTATAAACTATTTTATAATTGTAGAAAATTAGTTATGAAATTTATCAACTATGCAAAGATGTTGCTCTAAGTGACAAGTAACTATACTACCTAAAGACAAAATTAAAATTTTTAAGTAAGAAAATTAATATATAAAACATCAGCTCAAAGATTTCCTTCTATCTAGGTACACAGCACAAAGAATTCCTTAAGGGAAATTTTCAAGGACATTTATACATTTACCTAACATATAGGTGTTGAGAACAAGGGATGGTAGCATTGTTGCTTGCTTTTTAAGGCAGTGCAGATCCTGAAATTATGGGAAAACATGGTATTGCTAACTTTGTAGCATCACCAATAAAGGGCCTAACATGTTATTAAAGTAATAGCAAACTCACAGTTGATTATTACAAATGCTAGAAAAATAAAGTGAAATTTGTACCTTTAGTGAGGCTAGTGGATGTTCTGGACCAAGTAAACTCCAGTGAAAGGAAGCCAGATCTTCATCAGGCAGAATGTGATTTCCTGGAATATAAACATGGATAACATAAAAGCAATCATCTTAAGTAACATAGGGAAACTTTCAAAAGTGCTGCATATTGTCACCTATAGTAGAAAACTTTCAAACAGAAACTGAGAACAAATCTTCATCTCTTAACATAAAGCGACATACAGCAGGCAGAATCTTTGCAGCTGCTTCAAGAATGACGGGAATTTCTAGTGCAGTCCCAACAGCATTCAACCTAAGAACTGCATAAAACTGAAACAACTTCACAGCACAGTATTAAAAATAAACACCAGTTTGCAAAAGGTCAGTCTGACAATGTCAGGATATCAAATACCAATTAGATTCAAGTTTTCATTTGTTCATGAAATGACTATGGTTCAAGCTTTCATCTGTTCATGAAATAGCTACGGTTCAAAATTACATAAAAACACCAAATGTGAAATCTGCACAATTATAAAACCTTTCTTAGCAAGATTAAATGACAATGACTGCTGATTGTAACATGAATCAACACCCTTCTCCCATAATTTCCATCACCACCCACAAACATATGTGAAAAGGCCCATCCTACAGTAATACTCATGAGGCCATTAAGCTGCTCATCCTATCACCAGTGCTGTCACAGTCTACAAACAAAACTGTATTCAATTGAGAAACTATATTTGGGGGTAATACTCTACTTTCATAATAATGTTCGTATGCCTGGTATACCTGATCTTTAGTAGGTTAGCTATCTCATTGAAATCTCAAAGCAGTAATTTCCTAAATAACCATGATTTTTATAACATTACTTAATCACCTCCACATTATGATAGCAAATTCATTAATTTGCTACTAACAGAATGCAACACAAACTAAGACCATTTGGAATATTGCTACGTTATAATATAGGTTGAGCATCCGTAGTCCAAAATGATGTAAAGTCTGTAAAATCTGATGTAAAATCTGAAACTTTTTCAACATCAACATGATGCAAGTGGAAAATTCCACACCTGTGCTCATAAGATGGGTCACAGTCAAAAGGCGGTCAAAATGTTGTTTCCTGCACAAAATTATTTAAAATGTTTTACAAAATTACCTTTAAACTATGTGTATAAGGTATATATGAAACATAAATGACTTTCATGCTGACTTGGGTCCCATCTTTAAGATACTTCATTAGGCATATGCAAATACTCTAAAATACTTCTGGTCCTAAGCATTTCAGATAAGGGACACTCCACCTGTATTCCAAACACACAAACACACAAGCCAGAGGTACTGAACTCCCGTGATGTCCAAATGAGCAAATCTGAACCGTAACTGCTCAGGTTTGCTGGCTTGATATTGTTTTCCCGTTAATGGATTGCATAGAATTTCACGGTGAAGAATGAAGTGTCTGGCCGGGCACGGTGGCTCACACCTATAATCCCAGCACTTTGGGAAGCCAAGGTGGGCGGATCATGAGGTCAGGAGATCGAGACCATCCTGGCTAACACGGTGAAACCCCATCTCTACTAAAAATACAAAAAATTAGCAGGGAGTGGTGGCGGTTGCCTGTAGTCCCAGCTACTCGGGAGGCTGAGGTGGGAGAATGGTGTGAACCTGGGAGGCGGAGCTTGCAGTGAGGCGAGATCATGCCACTGCACTCCAGCCTGGGCGACAGAGCAAGACTCTGTCTCAAAAAACAAACAAACAAAAAAAGAACGAAGTGTCCGAAATTTTGGAAGCTTCAATTCGAAATAATATTAAGGCAACTCCAACATTAGTAACAGTCCCTGTGAAAAATTGGGGGGTGAAATACTTAAATGAATATTCCAACATTCCTAAAACAAAATACTTTATATAGCTATACTTTCCATTACAGAAGGGAAAAGAAAAATAAGCTTTCTCATTTGAGCACAGTGAAACTTTTCCAGCCTGGCCAACGTGGTGAAAATTAGCCAGGTGCGGTGGCACACACCTGTAATCCCAGCTACTCGGGAGGCTGAGGCATGAGAATCGCTTGAACCTGGGAGACAGAGGTTGCAGTGAGCCAAGATCGCACCACTGCACTCCAGCCTAGGCAACAGAGAGAGACTCCATCTCAAAAAACAACAACAACAACAACAACAACAAAAACTTAGGAGCTTACCTATAACTTCACTAAACTTTTTGAAGAGATTGCAAGCCCTAAATTAAATTGACAACATATTGCAATTGATTTTTTCATTTATTTCAAAACTTCACAAACTAACAAGCTAGAAAAGTATCAGTTGGCATCATCTTCCAAATACCATATTCAATGTTTCTTAAACAAGATAAACAAGTATTCTTCCATTTTTCAAATGAGCTAAGGCATCCATATTCTAAGAGCATATGATTTTCACATTCAAAGTCAATTAATATGCCAAGTTATTTTACATAGCATTTAAGCAAACATGGAACTTTCCATATAATGTGCCACCCCCATACTCACTTTTAACATCAGAGGAAATATCCTTTTATATTTTAATATTTGAAAATATATTTAAAAGATTCGTTTTAATCCCCAAATCCCCAAAGGCACAAGAGTTCCCTTACTAAGCACTGTATTTGAGATTAGATCCAAACAAACACAAGTTGTGAAATCACAATTTTGTTGACTGACTCATATAGTAAAACATGAAATGCTTTCACAAAATAACATATAAAAAATTATGTGGCCAGGCGCAATGGCTCATGCCTGTAATCCCAGCACTTTGGGAGGCTCAGGCAGGTGGATCGCCCTGAGCTCAGGAGTTGGAGACCGGCCTGGCCAACATGATGAAACCCTGTCTCAACCAAAAACACACAAAAAACTTTAGCCGGATGTGGTGGCATGCACCTGTAGTCCCAACTACTTGGGAAGTTGAGATGGGAGGATCACTTGAGCCTGGGAGGTGGAGGTTGCAGTGAGCCGAGATTGCACCACTGCACTCCACTCTAGGCAACAGAGTAAAAACCTGTTTCAACAACAAAAAAAGGCTGGGCGCGGTAGCTCACACCTGTAATCCCAGCAAAGACAGAGGTGGGTGGATTGCTTGAGCTCAGGAGTTCAAGACCAGCCTGGCCAACATGGTGAAACCCTGTCTCTACTAAAAATATAAAAATTAACCGGGCGTGGTGGTGGGCGCCTGTAATCCCAGCTTTCAGGAGGCTGAGGCATGAGAACTGCTTGAACCATGCAGGTGGAGGTTGCAGTGACCCAAGATCACACTACTGTACTCCAGCCTGGGCAACAAAGCAAGACTCCATTTAAAAAAAAAAAAAATTGTCCAAAGATATCTTAACGATGAAAACTTGAAAAGCATAGCCTCTGCAGCCCATGGGCTGGCAGTTTGCTGATCTTTTAAAGTTAATCTTTCCCTGCCCAGTCCCCATTTTCTGGTAAGGTTTCTAGGAGGTCTGTTGGTATACATCCTACAACTTATTGACTTAAAATGTACTCTCCTTTGAGACCGATTGGGAGAAATAGAAATCAATAGCGCAATCGTTTTGATACTGAATATTGAAAAGTGTCTCTTTGAAATAAAGAACCAGTCCCTCCAAAAAAATAAAAATAAATTGTGACTCCTTACAATTTCTAGTTGTGTAAAACTGTTTTGGAATGTTTATAAAAATCTTTCTGATAACTAGGCATTTCTAAAAATAATCCACAATATAATCCCCTCTTGAACAGGACTGGATTGGACTGCTAGCCTCTATAGAATATATACTGCAAGGGAGCACAGTAACTGAGCACTAGAGACCACACAGCTTCCCAAACTGGCCTTGTGTGTCCAAAACAGCCCCAAATCCCATCAGATTCATGGATTCTAATCACAGGAGTGCCTCCCTCCAAAACATGTTTACTTATATTTGGACACAATTCTTATAAACTAAGTAAACTAGAGCTGGATATTAAAGTAGGGTGAGACAAGCACAATGAAAGCATAAGAAAGGGTAGCTGACAAAAGAGCAAAGAAAGAAAACACACAATGCAAATATAAAGTGACAGACAAATATATTACTTCTTGGGAATTTTTTTTTTTTTGGAGACAAAGTCTCACTCTGTCTCCCAGGCTGGAGTGCAGTGGCACGATCTTGGATCACTGCAACCTCCACCTCCCTGGTTCAAGCCATTCTTGTGCCTCAGCCTCCCAAGTAGCTAGGATTATAGGCGCCCACCACCATGCCCGGCTAATTTTTGTATTTTTAGTAAATACAGGGTTTCACCATGTTGGCCAGGCTGGTCTCAAACTCCTGACCTCAGGTGAGCTGCCCACCTTGGCCTCCCAAAGTGCTGGGATTACAGGCGTGGGGGAATTATTTTTAATTAAAGAAAATTAAAATCTAATGTCATAGTTAAAACAAGATTTCATCCTTTCTGGGTATTCAGCATAAGGAATTCCTCCAAGGAAATTTTTTAAAGACATGTATACATTTACTTAAAATGTAGGTGTTGGAAACAAGCTACGATAGCTTATTTTTGTTTCTCTTTTAAAGTAGTGAGTATCCCGAAAATGAGGTGAAAACATAACCATTCTAACCCCATAGCATATTTTCTTCTACTATAAACATAATTTATGTCAAAGGTTTAAATGTCTAATTTACATAGTGACCATGTGTTGACATCTGTGATTTAGAATGTTAGTTTTCCAAAACCTTAAATGAGTTTTTTCACAAAATTAATCTGAACAATTCCTGGATAGAACAATACCTCAACAAACACTTAAGAACAAAAGTAGCACATTAGCTATGCCAAAAAATAATACGAAGCAAGGAATGCTAAGGAAGAGCCCACGCCTTGGTTCTTTTCAATGTGTGATACATATCCAAAACATTCAAGCACAGAAACACTTAAAAGATCAATGTGCTTATCATATGGTCACTCCCTTATAAAATATTTTCACACTGCTCCACCTACCTAAGAGAGCAGCAAAAATAGGAAAACGATTTGGATTCAGGTCCAGTTGCTTGGCAACTTCATGCATCAGATATTGGCTTGTGGTGAGACTTTTCCCGTTCCGGCTCAGTTTTAGGGCATGGGCACTGAAATAGTAGGGGATGTTGCACAGTGCATAATCAGAGTCATACGCAACCAAGCCATGGAAACCATTCTCTCTGCAGAAACCAATCACTTCCTGATGGTGATCCTCAATGCTCTGTGCAACCTGGCAAACGAGAAAAAAACTTCATCAGATGTAGGGTAACACTGTAGCAACAAGCTCAATAAGCAGAAATGTTTGCACAGAAGCTGAAAAATCACATTTATGAAAACTATCCGTGAAAGCCAAACAGTCAAAAAAATGCCATAATAAAGTTTGCAACACATTGCTCCACTAAGAAATTTCTGTGGGAAATCGCATTTAAATCATCTCCTGTCAGTAACTTATGATCCCATCTAGACTGTAAATCAATTTTCAATTCTTGTCAAGCTCAAAGATCACCTTGCTTGAAAATACACAAAGCCAGCTGACCCCATGACAGTATTTTCAAGAAAGAGAGGGGGAGAAAGACACAAGAAAATAAAGAGTTCTGTGAGAAAGGAGACAGAAAGAAGCCACCCACTGTCAATGAAATCAAAACAATTTCTTCAAAGTAGATCAAATGTGTCAGGTGAAATCATCAGAATTTAAAAAATAAAATAAAAGTATGATCCCTCGGCCTACCTGTCAACCAGTTCTTATCCTCCTAAGGCCTCCCACACGTGGAGACCATACAAGGATGCACACGTTCACCCTCAATGTAACTGCCACAGGCTTATTCTATGTCCCACACACTATGTCAAGACTAGGTCTATATCAATTGCCTTTTCAATGATGAAAAAATCTAAGACACCCTCTTTACTTCTACTGAATCCCCAATGTAACATCCACAATACCTCGGATTTCCACAACACACGAAGGAGCAAGCAGAGAAGCAACACCTTTGAGAAGTCAAAGTCCTCTGGGCTCTCTCTAGTCCAAAAAATATACCAAAACACCTGGAAAAAATGTTCTAAATGATTTACAGTCCAAGACCACCAAATTCTCTCCTGCTGTTTCACATACTCATTAATCCAACTAAAATTCTGGCAGGTTTTTCGTTTCTACAATGGATAAGGTAATTTTGAGAACAGAATTTTAAACTAAATTAGGTGATTCCAATAACAATGGAGTATTAACTCTCCACAGGGCCTTGGAGGAGAAAAATGTGTGCCACCCTTAACCCCAAGTTTTTAAAACTACTGTCCAATGTGTGGCTACATTGAGAGAAAGTTTATATTAAATTAAATTCAAAATTAAGTTCAAGTATTCAGTGGTCACAGGAGACCAGAAGCTAACATACTAATTGGACAGCACAGAACATTCTCACTACGTCAGAAAATTCTACTGGACATCACTGTAGAATGGACCTCACTTCTCACCAACTTTCATAATAAAAGCAGTCGCCACATTTTGTTGGAAGGTTAGCTATAATGAAATCTCACTGAGAGGCAAAGCAAACCTTTTCAAGATGCATACGTAAAAGAAGAAATTACTTTCTGAATTCTCGGTAAACATTTCCATAAAAACATTTTACTTAATAAGAAAAAAACCAAACAACATCCAATCAGTCAAATAACATTCTATTCTTTAGAATAAGAAATGCTGTTTTATCCCTCAATCTAAAAACACTGTATACCAGCTAAAATAGAATAGATTTTTTTTAAATCCAAAATTAGGCCTGCTTCATCCTCTCACTTCTAGAAATGGTAATTTCTAATCCAAGTTCTTTACCTCAAATCTTTTTATTATGTACAACTTTACATTTACAGTGATTTTTAAACTATTTTAAAATCATTAGAAATTACTGGCTTTTTTCCAGACATCTTTAATAGTTAAGTCTGTACACTCTATTAAGAGACACGAAAATGAAAGGAGACAGTAAGTGACCACTCCCTTCTTGGCTCACCCTCCTTCACTCCTCCAAGGAGATCTAGAAAAGTCAGCTTGTTCCTTAGATTCACACATGTTGGGAAGGAAGCTGGGCAGAACTAAAACAGAGGCTAAAAGGAGGTGAGAGCCCAGCCCTGCCCACCTCCATCAGCAGGGAGTTCAGAGACAGCCAGCACTCATCTCCCAGCTTCACAGGGTGGTGAACAATGCCTGGGTGAGAAGGGGCTGCTGGCCCACGGTGGAAGCAAAGCCATCTCACAAGAAGAGGCTTTCTAACCAAGACCTGAAAGGAGGGGCTGGCCCTGGGCAGGACCTCCAAGGAAGAGTATCCATGCAGCATGGGCAGGGGACCTAGAAAGGTCAGGAAATGAGCCTGGCCTGTTGCCTGGGCAGAGGGACCCACTGTGTTCCAATCCTGGGATCAAGAGGAAAAGCGGGGGATGATGAAGTCTGAGAGTAGCAGGGATCAGGTCTAATCTGGCAGCTTTCAAGTAATGCTGTCAGTATTGTAAAACAGCAGGCAATATATTTCAAGAGCTGTAAAACGTTCACACTCTTTAACCCGGTAACCTCACTCCAGGAAATAGAGCCTAAGAAACTAATTCACTAAATAAAAAACATTAGAAGCATAAAAAGGATCACGGTAGACTCCTAAGGGAAAAAAATAAATTACGGAGATAGACACAGCCACTACGCTGTACTGTGGAGAAACAGAAAAAGCTTAGGATAAAGTATTAAACAAAAGCATTTCAGAATACAATATCATATATACCCAACTATGTAAAACTTTGTGGTAAAAGGCTGGAAAGAAAAAGGCAAAGGTCAACATAGTTGTAATCAGAGTGGTGGAATTATGCCTTAAAAATCCTCTTTTAAAAGAAAAAAACCTAATGAAAAGCTGAAGAAGTACTATTATAAACCATACCTACACTCTGGTCACCTCTCTGCTACAGCACTTTGGACAAACTACCGTTCTTTTACATATATGTCTCTCCAACAGGACAAGGGGCACAGCTTACGCATCTTCACGTCAAGGGTCTAGCTTGGTGCTGGCAGCCAGCAAGCACCAAAAAAAATTAAAAACTGCCCCAGTTTGGTGTTGCATTTCATGGTTCCCCAAAGATTCCTTAAATTAGCAAATTAAAACTAGTAAGATACAGTCTATCCAGTACAGGCCAATATGCAGTAGAACCTCATAAAACAAAGGTGGTAGCCGGGCGCAGTGGCTCACACCTGTAATCCCAGCACTTTGGGAGGCTAAGGTGGGTGATCACCTGAGGTCAAGGAGTGTGAGACTAGCCTGGCCAAAATGGTGAAACCCCGACTCTACTAAAAATACAAAAAAATTAGCCAGGCGTGGTGGCGGGCGCCTATAATCCCAGCTACCCGGGAGGCTGAGGCAGGAGAATCTCTTGAACCTGGGAGGCAGAGGTTGCAGTGAGTCAAGATCACACCACTGCACTCCAGCCTGGGCGACAAGAGCGAAACTCCGTCTCAAAAAAAAAAGAAACCAAAAAAAATACAAAAAAACAAAGGTGGCATGTGGGGCTTTTCATAATTACCTCCTTCCTCCACCCATAACAGAATTACCTATTCACTGAGAACACTTGACTTTAGATTGGCATTAAAAAGCAAACAATAATTCAGTACAACTCTAATTTGCAAATGATTAACCATACCATAATCCTTCCCAAAACCAGACAGAGCATTAAACAAACATCTGACTGCTAGAATTTGTGTCCTAAAACAAAAGATAAAGGACCACACCCATGAACACAGCTTCACACCTGCAGCAAAGGTAGGACCACTCCCAACCTGGCCTCAGTCCATCTTTCCTATCCCAAGTCTCCTGAGTAAAGAGGGTCGGGGGGAGGGAAATCGGAGTCTACGCTCCAGCTCTGCCCCAGATACCCAACCTGCCAGGACAACCTCCCCAACAACCAATGTAAAATCTCAGATCTCTACATTCCTTCAACTTCTAAAATTCTAGAACTCTTCCCTCTCGTTAAAATTAATTGTGCTTTTATCTGAGGAAATGCAACCTGGCATTAAAAACCACAAGAGTAACAGAGAGGATGTCCTTTTCCATGGGTGAATAATGGAAGTGTGGTTCCACAGTTATTCAATGGGGGAAAAGGGGGGGGGGGGTGACAGCAGATCTGGCAAAGAAAATCACAAAAAACTCTGAATGAAAGAGTTCAAAGTCGATTGCCTAGGGGTGGTAGCAACAAGATGACTCAGCATTTGTCGAAACTCATACAATTGTACATCACACAGAATAAACTTTAATGTATGCAAATGAAAAAACAAATCAACCTGGGTGTCAGGGGATGCCAGGATAGAATGCAGACTGACAAATCTATAAAATTGTATTATAAAATGTATGAAATAGCCTCACTGAAACTGGTTGGGGAAAAGGAACTGCCTGAGTACCTGGGAAACAGTGCACTCGACTTGTGTAAGTATGCCTCCCAGAATCTGTGTTAACAATTCTGAAATTACTTTGCAGGAACACTAGGGTTAAAGCAAATGCCGTATGAGCCAGGTCCTCACTGTCAGAGAAAGAAACTACAAATAATCATGCAAAAGGAGAAGGCTAGAATGAACCTCATGGTGCTGCATTAGCCATGAGACATCAGTGAGAACCGGTGTTCAGGTGAAAATACACACATAGGTGGGTACAGAAACAATGGAAGATCTGGTGTTCACACAGATCTCCTTACACGGACCCCCAAGCAGCAGTAGCACCTGTAGCTGTCAGCTATGAGGGCCTAGACACAGAGACACCCCAGCAGCAGGACCCCACCAGTGCCCAGACCAAGGTTTCCAGGCACCTTCTCCATAACAAAGAACCGGGGCTTCTCTTTGGAAACAGCTGACACTGGAGCAGGAAAACACAAGGTGCACCTAAAGCATCTCGTAGGTCCAGAAAGCAAGGAAGCACTCCCAAAACAAAAGGATGGCATGTGTCACACGGGCCAACCCAAGAGAGCTCCCAAAGCCAGAGCCAGGACAATGCAAGCAAGGATAAGGCAGAACTGGATATAACCCCAAATGAATTAGTTATGACCCTATAAAAAGAGGACAGGAGCCCATAATGATATAAATAAATGATTAAATGAAGGGGGAAGAGACACATTTTCCCTACAGAAGAATTCAAATAATACCATACAATTTTCCCCCCAGTAGGTAGAGTTTAACCCTATCCCCTTTGAATGTGGACTGGACTCATCTACTGCTTCCAAAGTATGAGGATGTTATAAATAAGCGAAAGGAAAACTGGTCACTGCAGAGCAAACACCCACAGAGAGCTCCTTACCCAAGCAACCAAGGTCAGCGTCATCCAGTGCTAAGCCGAGTCAATGCCACGTGCCATGTGGGGTGCTGAGAAGCGCCCTGCACCTCTGGGCTATTCTTTTCCCAAACACACAGCCATAATTTAATATAGAGAAAGCATCAGACAAACCCAAATCGGGGACATTCTATAAAACACCTGATTAGTACTCCTCAGAAGTGTCAAGATCACCAAAGACAAACAGAAAAGCTGCCCCAGAAGACAGGGGATGGAGGACACTAGAGGTCCTGACCAGGGTCCCGGAACAGAAAAGGACACTGGTGGGAAACAGATGAAATCCAAATGAAGTCCATAATGAAGTTCACAGTAGTCTACCAAGGGTATTTTCTTGGTTTAGATCACTGTGCCAGCTAGCAGGAAGTGAACATTCCCTGGAAGCTGAGTGAGGGATATTTGGGAAGTCTGTACTATCTTTGTAAATTTTCTATAAAATTATTCCAAATAAGTTTATTTTTCTAAAAAAAAAGAGTCAATATTCTAGAAGACAATACATCAGCTGAAAGACTATTTCAAACCACTTTATTAGATGAACAAAGTATAACAGGCACGTGAAAAATAAATCCTGGCCTAAAGGCAAGTTTCAAAAAGCCTATTATATAAAAACAGAAATCTTCCCACAGGTAGTCCAGTTGAAAGAAACAAGAAAACCTACAAAGTATGGAATTTGGTTACCAATTAATTTATGAGTGAATAAATGCAGTCAAACTACTAAGAATATTCGTAAGAGGCCCAATAAACAATTCCTTAAGATTTAAGTCAAGGAAAGCCTGGTTAAAAATCTGATCAAGGATATGAGCAGGGGTAAAAAGACAATACAATGCAAGGTTTGGGTGGGAATGGAAAAAAGATTCTGGGTTGCATCAAAATAACTTACAAGGCAGTTATTTAATTAAGAATAAACGTTAAGTACTGGGCTGAAGCTTTGGTCTGACAGACTTGAGCTCCCCTGCTGTTCATCTGGTCTTCTGAAGCTCCTTCCTGTTTTCCCTTCTCCTATACTAAGCTACTCTCTCACTCTTATTTATCTGCTTCTTCTCTTCCCTGGCCTTCCAATGCCTGGCTTGGACTGGGCATAATACAATGAAATGTGTACTTCTAGTTCTTAATGTTAATTTCAGAAGTGGGTTAAAACTATTAAACGCAATGTTCAGATTATTTGATTTTGAACCCCCTCGAAGAACAAAATGACGTAAAAAATTAAGCCCTGAAAACACTTACTTACAGGTAGCCCTTCAAAGGGGGTAAAGTCATCCACCAGAGGTAAATCAGACTTCGAACTATGAGCTGCCTCCTTGCTGAAAGTCCCAGGCTAGTAGCCACTGAAAGTATCTGCCATTTTAAAAGCACCAGGCCTTGATTAATTTTTGTCATGGCTACCATTTCCACTCTATCAAAATGCAGGCTTCAAGATCAAGGAAGTGAAACTCTAAAACTCCTTCTGTAAACAACCCCGAGGAGCATTAGGCTTCAGCTCTTGTGAAGTGATGAGGGGGCTAGTGTCCAATACAACACTCTAACCTGGGGCAGCCAGGATGGGAATCACAACACTTCTCAGCTTCTTCCTCCCTGTCTACCCCCTCCCCAAGAAATATGGTAGGTGTCATTAGTGTTGACAAGTTTAAGAAGTGGCAAAAGGGCCCGTTTCTGGTCTCAAGAAAGTACTCTGTACTTCGATTTACAATGATAACTTTATGCCACTATAAATTTACCAAATATACCTAGGTAAATCTTTTTATCTCAGTAGTTTTACATTTCATCATTAAAAAGGCAGATATATCAAAACTCAGGACTTTTACAAAGAATAATGACTTAAAAACTCCCAAACTTACTTGGCAAGTATAATTGTTTATTAATTCTGAAACACAGCTACAGGAAGACCCCATAAGAAGAAAAACTTGACACTGTTACTTACTCCTAGTTTCCAGTGAAAAAACACTCTACAATGAGGTTTGTGTCTCTGGCACCAGGTAGGTGAACTCCACTGCCTACTTTAATACTTTCTGTACTTCCATTTCCTCATCTGTAAGAATAATAGTATTCCTCTATCTCATAGGGTAGCTGCGATGATTAAATATACTACATGTAAACAGCTCAGAAGCATTCACAAATAATAAGCGCTTGACAAATGTCAGTTACTATGTACTTTTAAGGAAGCTATGTAAAAAGGTTTCTTTATACTTTTCACACAGGACCTGAAACACTATGGGTTCTCATACATACATTTTCTGACACTAGGAAAACATACCGTTAATGTGGTTTTTCTTCAGAATAATTTTACACCAGTTCAGGGAACAATGTGACACATCCTCCAGCCAGCTAGCTGATTTAGAAGATATAAAACAACCTGACATAAGAGCGTATAGGTCCACCTAAATTATTTTGTTTTAAAAAACAACTACCAAAAAGGCAGTCTTCAGCCTCTTCCCAATGGGCAGTCAATAGGTATGAAATGGGAAAAACTAACACTGAAGCTTCTGTTCCCTACTCTAGTCCAACTGAAGAATAAGAACATTAAAAAAAGTCAACTCCAATTTGGTGGCAGATTTTTGTTGCTGTTTAAAGGGCAATTTAAATGTTATGACACATAGCAGCAATGCCTCTAAAAAGAAATCTCTCTCTTCAGGTAAGCTGAAATCATAGCTGAATAAGCTTATCTTATATATCTCATTTAGAATAAATGAGAATTGGGTACAGTGATCTTAAAAACAAGGAAAAACATTTCTTAAAATAAGGGAGTGGGACATGAAAAGATGCTCAACTTCACTCATTATTACAGAAATATAAATCAAAACCACAATGAGACACTGAATACCTCACACCCATTAGGATGGCTACTATTTTTTTAAAAAAAAGAAAATAACAAATGTCAACAAGAATATATGGAGAAAAACAGATTCCTTGTGCATTGCTGGTGGGAATGTAAAACAGCGTGGCCTCTTGGGAAATCGTATGGTGATTCCTCAAAAAACTGAACGCAGAACTACCCTAAGATACAGCAATTACACTTCCAGGTTGAAAAAATGGGTCCGAAGAGATGTCGGTACATTCATGTTCACAGCAGCACCATTTACAATGACAAAAAGGATGAAACCCAAGTGTCCACCCACTGATGAATGGATAAACAAAATGTGGTCTATCCAATACAACAGAATGTTATTGAGCCTTAAGGAGGAAATTCTGACACGTTACAACATGTATGAACCTTGAAGACATTGTGTTAAATGCAATAAACCAGACACAAAATTACATATACTATACGATCTCATTATATGAGGCTCATAGGGTAGACAACTTCAGAGACAGAGAGGAGAATGGTGGTTACCAGGAGCTGGGGCATGGAAGAAATGGGGAATTACAGTTTAGTGGGTACACAGTTCCAGTTTGGGATGAGGAAAAAATTCTGGGAATGGATGGTGGTGATGGTTATACAACAATGTGAATATACTTAATGCCACCGGGGACAGGCGTGGTGGCTCACACCTATAATCTCAGTACTTTGGGAGGCCAAGGGTGGTGGGTCACTTGAGGTCAGGAGTTCAAGACCAGCCTGGCCAAGATGGTGAAACCCTGTCTCTACTAAAAATACAAAAATTAGCTGGGTGTGGTGGCAGGCGCACGCCTGTAATCCCAGCTACTCAGGAGGCTGAGGCAGAACTGCTTGCACCCGGGAGGCAGAGGTTGCAGTGGGCTGAGATCACGCTACTGCGCTACAGCCTTGGTGACAGAGCGAGACTCCATCTCAAAAAAATATATATACTTAATGCCACTGAACTGTACATTTAAAAATGGTTAAATTGGTAAATTTTATGTTAGGTGTATTTTACCACAATTTTAAGAAACAATAATAATAAAAAGAAGGGTATCTCCCTGTCTTCTCAGAAGGCCTAGGTGCTTTGGCTCCAAAATTAACTTCCTACTTGTAAAAAGGCAGAGTTTTCCTTTTCCTTTGATTAACGACAATTAGGATGTATGTAATAGTTTGTATCTGCCAGGCTGTATCAAAGGGTGACACTTCTTTTTGGCTTTCGCAATCTCTTTAGCACACACTGCTTGTGATGTGATCACAGTCTGGTTCAATGGTTATTCAATAATACAGGTTAGGTGTCCTTTACTGAAACACTTAAGACAAGAAGTGTTTTGGATTTCAGGCTTTTTCAAGTTTTGGAATATTTGTTATTATGCTTACCAGTTGAACATTCTAAATTCAAAAATCAAAAATCCAAAATGCTCCAGTGAGCATTTCCTTTGTGCATCATGCTGGTGCTCAAAAAGTTTTGAATTTTGGAGCATTTCAGATTTGGGATGTTCGAATTATAAAACTGCTTGATTTTTCCCTCTAAAAATATTAATAATAATAAAGGAGTGATGTCATAAAAGAAATGCAAATTAAACTTTACAAACTTTAAAAATAAAAAAATACAATGATAAAAGGAAGAAACACACACATTATTTGTATTCAGAATCTATTTAGCCTACTCTAGTAATCTAATGACTCAGCTAAATCCTAGTAATATCATTCTTATTAAAATACCATTCCAAAATCTAAAACATAAAATTTCAATTTTCATAATTTAGGAAAAAGAACCACAGGTTGATACTATTTATTTCAAGATAGTAACACTTGCAAACTCTTCATAGGTCCAGGAAATTAAAACACCTCATCCATGGAGTCTAGTGACCCCCTCCAACAGTCTGGGCTGGCTTGTTACTACTATTCATAAATGTGCTCTACCTCAGAGGATGAATGATGTACTTCAGACCTGTGAAGTCAACCCTCCAGCAATAAACCCTCTAGTATACTTTCCTGCACTAACCAGTAAAACACCAACATGGTAAATTCATCCTTTCAAGAAAGTTAATTGATTCCAGAGACAACTGAGAAATGCCAAATGACTGGCGCATAAAAGTACCGTTTCTAAATCACAGATCCTAAACTCCATAATGCAGATTGACCATCACCTCTACAAATACTGCAGTGGGTCAAGTTCAACTCTTTTACACTGTCCCCTAAGATGCCTAGAAACAATGTGTGATAAAGCCAGGTGTAACAAGAGGAAAGGTGGCTAAATGCAGCCCATTTCCTGAAGCAGTCACCCATTTTATGCCCTCAACACATCTCCTAAGTTAAGAAGCATAAAAGGTTTACTCAAAGATAAAAGCTCTGCACCAGGTGGCCAAGCTGACACCAGTGATTTTGGAATTAACTCTAGGGGGACTTTAAAACTTCTGCTTCCTACCATCTTTCTGCCATCACACTTCCTTGCCTGTAACTGGTGATTCATATCCATTTATCAAATATTTTCTGAGCATGTACTACACACCAAGCATCGCTCTAAGAGCTGGATAACAGGCAAGGTCTTCATCAGATTTACTTCTAGAGAAAACATAAAAATAAGCAAAAATAGGGCCAGGCATAGTGGCTAATGCCTGTAATCCCAGCACTTTGGGAGGCCAGGGCGGGTGGATCACGAGGTCAGGAGTCCGAGACCAGCCTGGCCAACATAGTGAAACCCTGTCTCTACTAAAAATACAAAAATTAGCTGGGCATGGCGTGCCTGTAATCCCAGCTACTTGGGAGGCTGAGGCAGGACAATCACTTGAACCTGGGAGGTGGAGGTTGCAGTCAGCTGAGATTGTGTCACTGCACTCCAGGTTGGGCAACAGAGTGAGACTTCATCTCAAAAAAAAGCGAAAAGGAAATAAACGATGAACTATATGGAGACATTTAGATAATTTAAGAATATTTTTATCTGAACTGTGATTCATTTAAATGCCTGTTTTATTTAGAAAATTCTGCCTATAAATCTACTGGAAAGTAGTCTAAGTTTTCAAATCCTAAAATCTCTCTTCTTCATGTTACGCGATATTTGACATTTATTCCTATGGTGTAGTGCTTATTAAGGTTGGAATGTGTAATATGTGTTAATTAGTTTCTTCCTATTCATATAAATTTCAGAAAACTAAAATGAAGAACAATGTCGATCTAAACATGTTAGACATAGGAGGAAGTATACCTGCGTGTATTTTGATTCAGAAAATTAAGTTGTAGTTTTGATTACTTTCTTCCTGGTGTACTTGGACATCTCTATCGCAAACATTTATATGACTTTACAAAGGCATAAAGCTTATAATTCTTTGATTTGCTCATACCAAGATTTCCTTACCTTGGCACTACTGGTATTTTAGGCCACATTATTCTTTGCTATGGGGGCTGTTCTGTGCACTGTAGAATGTTTGGCAGCATCCTTGGCCTCCACCCAATAGATGCCTTCAGTTAACATCCTCCCCCAGCTGTGACAACCAAAAATGCCTCCAGGCACTGCCAAATGTCCCCTGCCAAATGTCTCAACTGTCAACCCTACTTGAGAGCCACTCACAGGTCTTCACTGAGTAAACATATTGTTCTACAGTATTAAAGAAAGTTCCAAACAAGAAAAAAAGGATTTAAATGAACCTCCTCAACCCAGAGGCTATAGGCTCCCTGAAGGTTTCCTTCCTTTCCTGTTCTGTTCACTCCTCCAGGCCTGGGCATTAACAGGTGCTCAAACATTTGCTGAAAGGAGAATCAATCACCATTGGGAACCAGTCAGAAAAGAGAGTATGAGAAATTTAAGATTAAAAAAACAAAACAAAACTTAAGTAATGGCCATTGATCCAGATTTTGAAATAATTTAATTTGTCTGGCTATATAATGGAATGCAGCAAATATTCTGATTAGAGTTGAGTGCCTATGCTAAGCATAATGGGGTACAAGAGGAGTAAAACAGTCCCTGGCCTCAAGGAGCCTACGGGTGGCTGGGGGAGGTAAATATGCAGTTATGCAGGTAGGTGCAATACAACAGACTAGAATGTCCACTGCAAACATACACCATGCTGTGTGTGTATTCCCAGTCCACTTTTTCAAATATCAAGAGATTCCATGAAGAAGGCTGGCATTTGACATGGGCTTTGAAGTGTAAGTAAAATTTTGATGAGCAAAAGTAGGACACAGTACAGTAGTTAAACAAGAGGGAATGACATAAGCAGAAACTGGATATTTCTTGGGGAAATAGTGACCAGTTGGGTTGGGAACATTTTAAAAAGTACAGTAGAGGGATTGTGAAACATTAAGTAAGGTCAAATGAGTTCAGGTCGCAGGAAGGTCTACAAGTCTGAATAAGGAATTTGGACTTAATGGTTTTGTTCAAGTCCCAACAGGAGAGTGACCTCCCTGAAGATGTGGCCGTCTACCCTGCCAAAGCTGTGCAAGATTAGTTCCACTGGGGCGCGGGGGTAGGTGCAGAGGCCATTCTTACTGCTACCCACAGTAATACAAAAGTGTAATGACATGGAATTTACCTATAGTATATGCCTTGCATTCTATTTTTCATTCTATTTTACTCCGTTATTTTTAAGTAATGGCAAACATCCAATAATTTGGTTTCACAACCCACTGAAGGGTTTGCAAAGCATTTCTTCGACCTTTTGGATAAATATGGTGAATTCAAATGTTGGGGGTACTGGAAAAAAGGAAGAGTATAACAGTTAAGTAGGAGACTACTGAGCCAGAATTGGCCTGGTGTGTCATTATTCTAGGGACTGGGAGGATGGGATGCTGGAATACCAAGCATGACTCTATGGTGGTAGAGGGTGTAACTCTGAAGTGAATGATCATGAAGTTCAAGCTAGTTACAGCTAAAAAGGAAGCCAACAGAATGGGAAAAGAGAAATGGCGGAAGGCAAGCAGGGGACAGACGGTGGGAGCGGCAAGGAGTGACAGGGACACAGCGTTCAGAAGTGTTAAAGGTGGGGTCACTTTTCTCACTAATTATACGGTCCAAGCTCTGGAGTATCTAAAGTGCAATTAGAAATTCACTCCAGTTGCAGAATCAGGATGCCAGATGAGAGAGGTGAAGAGTCAGTGTCTGTGTTGATGGGACACAGTATAAATAATATATAAGAATGTAAAACCAGGTGCTGAAGTGTTTGAGGACAGTGAGGCTGTGCCTTGGAAATGGTGAGATGTCAAATAAACATGTGGGTTAGCACTCACCTCAAAATATGTAATATTGAGAAGTATATAATGAAGAATATACTATGGAAGTGGCCAAGAGGATTGTGGCATTTAAGGAAACATCATATTGCAGTAACCCCAGGAAATGGAAGCATTTTGATCATTGAAAAAGGTTCAAGGAGGCAGACAGGAAAAGACAGAGTGGTTTTTGATAGGTTTAATTTTAAAGTAAAAAAAAAAAAAAGGAAGAGATTTAGATGACCATGATAATTGTTGATAAAGATCAGTGCTCAAATAACAAATTGGTGGCACAAGAGCTGAAGCTAACTTAGAACCAAGTTTTCCTTCGCTTGGCATTTTTAAAATGGAATAATTTTTTTAAAAATCTGGGTTTCTGGCTTTCTTGCAAAGTCTGAAGTTCTGGTAATGTTGACTCTATGGTCCTACGTGGCTTTTAAAATGTGCATACCTTTAGCTCTACTGTGTGTATATATCATGTGTATACCATCTGTCGGGGTTGGATAAATTATGGAATACTATTTAGGGACTGAAAAGACTTAGAGCTCTAAGTATAGACATGGAAAGATTTCTTACAAATAAAAAAGCAAACTGCTGAATAACGTATAGTGCAATCACATTAATGTGAAAAAATGGAACTATATTATAATAATATATATTATATAACTTATGACATAAAATATATGGCCTACACAGCCACTGTGGAAAATATATGGCCATTCCTTAAAAAGAAAAACAGAATTACCATATGACCCAGCAATCCTACTTCTGAGTATATACCCAAAAGAACTGAAAGCAGGAACTCGAACAGCTCTTTGTATACTATGCTCATAGAAGCATTATTCATTATTCCCAATAGTCAAAAAGTGGAAGCAACCCAAGTATCCACCAGTGGATGAATGGATAAACAAAATGTGGTACATATACACAGTGGAGTATTACTTAGCCTTAAAAGTTAAGGAAATTCTGACACAATCTACAACATGAAAGAAGCTTGAAGACATTATGCTATGTGAATTAAACTAGTGACAAAAGTAGTACAACAGAGAAATATATACAGTGACTAGTTTGAGGTATAATATGGTCAGTTTTGAACCTTAAAAATCTTCCAGTCAATTAAAGGTCCTTAAGAATAAGATGTACTGTCAGTGTCCAGGATCTACTGATGGACATTTTTCTTCTGAATAGCAACATGACTGTTCCTATCCTAACTAGAAAACATAGCTGAAGCAGTTAGCTATCGTAATTGACCTGGGGGTGAGAATTGTAGGTAGGCACACCCACAAAGTATTCTTACACAAAGAAGCTGAACTTTGACTTTAGCACTCCACTTCCGTCTTGAGGTTACTAATGACTTGTCCCCAGATGTCACTTAATCACTAGATCCTGTTTTTACACATGAAAAATGGGGTAACAAAGCACTCTGAGGATTAAATGAGATGGAATATGTGAGAAAGGATCTAGCAAGCACCTGGTCTGATACCAGTTCATTCTCTTCCCCCATCAAGTATACATGAAGGGAGACCATCATCTCTAAATACAAACATGTAATTATGCTAACCATGAAAATTCTAAACCATAGTCTAACCTCACATTCTTCCACTGACTTATAGCATGAACGCCATTTTATGTAAGAGCATTATTTAACAAAATTCCAATGGAAGCAAATTCAGAAGATCTGAAGGACTTTATTATAAACCCTTACACTGATACCACAAGTCATATAGCAGAAACATTTATGAAAGCTCCAGTGACTTCATGCCACTAAGATTTTAAAATAAACATAAGTCATTCACTGAAGTTTCAAAGGTTATAATGACCCAAGGCACACAAGAAGAAACACTGTCCAAGTAACTAGCTAAAGCCAAGTTCAAATTAGGCTATTTTAGGACCTACACAAAACTAGTCAATACATAGGCCAAAGTATTATTATTTTCATTGTTCTGGCTGTCTTTCCATGTAGACCAACTTCTAATGGTTAAAGAAATACAATTACTACTACTGAACAAAAAAATACAATTACTACTCTGTAAAAGAAATAATCTCTAAATCAAAAAAGATTTCTCCTGGCCAGGCGCAGTGGCTCACGCCCGTAATCCCAGCACTTTGGGAGGCCGAGGCAGGTGGATCACGAGGTCAGGAGCTCAAGACCAGCCTGGCCAAGATGGTGAAACCCCGCCTCTACTAAAAATACAAAGATTAGCCAGGCATGATGGCAGGCGCCTATAATCCCAGCTACTAGGGAGGCTGAGGTAGGAGAATCGCTTGAACCCAGGAGGTGGAGGTTGCAGTGAGCCGAGATCGCGCCACTGCACTCCAGCCTGAGAGACAGAGTGAGACTCCATCTCAAAAAAAAAAAAGATTTCTCTAAGCAAAGGTAACAGGAAATTATGCCCCTCTGCCAATTTACAAAACACTAGAAAGCACCAATAAGATGCTTAAAGTTTTTATAAATGTCTCATTTACTCAACATTATATATACTGAATTGTTCATGTCAATTCCTTTGCCAGTGGTTTTTACTTAATCTTAAAAAAATTATCATATGATAAAATTAACACATTTACTTTGGATGAATAGTTCTGATTTTAATGTATGGTAGCATCACCACCATCAGAATACAGAACAGTTCCATCACTCCACAAAGATCTCTCCTGCTGTCCCCTTTATGTGTACATCCTTCCCCTCCTCTACTCTCAGCACCACTGAATTGGTCCCTATCACTATAGTTTTATAATCATCCCTTTTGAACCTGGCTTCTTTCACTCAGTATAAAACCTTAATTAAATATTCATGCAAGTTGTTACCTACACCAGCAATTCCTTCCTTATTATTGCTAAGTAGTATTCCATAGTATGGCTATACTGTAGTTTAACCATTCACTTATTAAAGGATACTTTGTTTCCACGTTTGGGCTATTATGAATTAAGCTGCTATGGACATTTGAGTACCAGTTTTTGCACAAACAAAAGTCTTCATTAGGAAAATACCCAGGAGTGGAATTGCTGGATCGTATGATAAATGTATGTTTAACTTTATAAGAAAGTGCCACTGTTTTCTGGAGTGGTGGTGCCATTCTGCATTCCCACAAGCAATGTGTAAGGATCCAGTTGCTCAGCATTCTTGCTAGCACTTGGTATTGCTCATATTTTTTTCTCTTTTAGCCATTCTAATAGGCATGTAGTGATATCATGGTTTTAAACGTTTTAACCACTTTATGGGTATCTTTTATTAAATGGTATACACTGTTTCAATCCCTTAAACAGAGAATGCTGAATATTAATTTTTATGACTCAAAATCATCCTTATAGAATAAACATTGTACTACCCTCAGGGACCAAGGAAGTACATAGGGTTGTTTTCCTTTTCTTAAAATAGCCCCAGAATTATGTTTGCTTTTTATAGCTTTTTAAATCTCTCTTGTCACTTCTTGCTATTAATGGTGCTCCTGCCTCTGGCAGACTCTCCTCTTCATCCTCTTCTCAAGCTGAGTTTAGAAAATAGATAACCAAGCTTGTTAGAATTACATATGAAAAGAGGCCAGTCCATGAGTGAGAGAGCTTAAAGGATTCTTCAGTGAGGAAAGCAAAAGCACCCCCCTACACCCGCCAACCCCCCACATCACTGTACCCAAACTTCCTGACATCTTGCTTGGTTGCTGAGAAATTTCTAGTAGCTAAATCTCTTAGGCACTTTTCAAAAAGGTAAGGTTGCCAGCTAAGAGACCACCAAGTAATTGAGTTATTACAATATTCATTTTGTGCAATTCGCACTATAATATGACCCTAGGTCAATAATTAAAAGCTTAGCAAAAGCAAAATACAGACAAAATTATCCCATTATCCCGTGTCCAGAAACCTAAGTGAAAAAGACGATCTTAAATGGAGCTTAAATCTAGTTTCCTAACACTGACACATTGGTCTGAATTCTGAGCACCTACTAGGTGTGCGAGGCATTCAAAGGGGTGCAAAGATAAAGAAACTGTAGAATTAAAAAGAACTCAACAGTTCTTTAAAGATACAGTGACCATATGCATACATACTGATTCTAATCCTAAGTAATATTCACAGTGTTCCCTTGAAAGTCGCTTGACTAGTTAAGTAGAGAGCTGTGCGGTTACCAAAGGCAAGTCAGTGCAGCTCATCCTGTCTTTTAAGTAGTCTTTTCCATCTCTGAACAAGACTAAACTATGAACACTTTTACGCTCTATTAGGGAGATGGATCGCTTCAGACAAATGGCAGCACCTTACTTCCCTGAGCGCCCCAGGCTCCGATTCAGAAATTAAAAGGCAGGCACTTCCTCTCACCCGAACTTCCCTGAGGAATGGCAGCTGTGTGTCTGCCAGGCGCAGGGGCCAATCGGGACTCTGCCGGCCGCCTCCACCCACGACTTAAACACCATCTCACCAATTGCAACCGGATCGTGGGTGGGACTTCCGCTATCATTTTAGGCTTAACTACCACCATCTCCTCGCGGGCAGTGGGGGCAACCGCGAAGACAGAATTTCACAAACTTTCAGCTCCAGCAGTTTCAAGGAAATGTCAAATGACAAGATGGAAGACCGAGTGTCAAGAGCTAAGACAACAAAAAGGCCCCCAAAATTTGTTTTCAAGAAAACCAATGAAAAAAGCAAGCAATCAGAACGTGAAGTCCAGGATCATGGATGTGCTTATCTTCACAGTCACTGCTGGGTCCTGAAGTTCTCCTCTGGCCCAGTGCCAGCTGCGAAGCCCTCTGCCAAAGGGCCAGAGGAGGCCGGTGATATAGAGCTCTGATTACCCACCCGTCAGGGCACCGCTGAAGGTCACTGAATACTTACTGTGCACCCGAAAAATAAATCCTGCGAGTTCACGCCCGCGTAGTTCGCCCCCTGATTTTGAGCGACTCCTTTCGCATGGGATCTACAAAACCGAACTGCCTTAAAGACCTCTTTCACACGGACGTGAAGTCACAGAACTGACAAAATCCCATCCTGTCAAAGTGCACGGGTCTTTGAAATCTAACACAAAAAGCCATAGAAAGATTCTCTAAACACCCTGTACTAAGAGGAACACGGACAGGGCACTGCGTTCTGAAGTAGAGGCCAGGGCACTGGCCCTTAGACACGTCTCGCTGTCACCGGGCTAACAACATTGGCAAGGGCGGCGGCAGCAGCACTGATATTTGCAGCCCCCAAGGGCTCTGGCGAAACCCCCTCTATTACTCTGTATCCTGCCTGCTTCCAAGATGAACCTGTTGCTGGGAAAGAACAGGCTAAATTAGAAAAGGGAGTATTTTGTCAAAGTTGAAGGTGAGTGATAGCCTGCCCGCCTCAAATAGGATGGGAAAAACTAAGGATATTGGGGATGATGACACTGTCGCCTCCGAATTCTGGTCCGGGGCTCTCTCCCAGCCCTCAAGTGTCCCCACGCGGCCGCGGACCCCGAACAGGGACAGCTGGAGACGGGCTTGGGCAGCGCGCGGCCTGCACCCGCGGCCATCCATCTTGCAGCCCGGCCCGGCCAGGCTATCCCGGGCAAGGGCTGGGGGAACTCGCTGCCCCCAGCGCCGCCACGGCCGGGCGACATTCTGCGCCCTGGGAAGGGGGATAGGGGTGCGGCGCGGCCCCGGTCCCCGGCCCGCCCGGATCCCCGGCCTCACCTTGACGTGGAAGCGGATGAGCGCCAGGCGGATGCAGTGGGCCATGCAGACGGGCGGCAGGAACCAGACCTTTGGCGGCGGGGTGCCCTTGTTCTGGACATGGCTGACGATCTGCTGTGCCGTCTGGCGCTCGTTGCCCTGCCGCTTGACCCACTCGTGCAGCCGGGCCTTCTCGAGCGCGCCGTTGAAGAAGACGAAGAGCTCGATGTTGCCGCCGAAGCAGGCCTTGGCCAGCGCCGCCAGGTAGCCAAGCATGTGGTTCCACTGGCCGCCGCTGACCCAGTCGGTGTAGAAGCCGCCGTAGAGGCGGTGCAGGCAGTTGTCGGCGTCCACCAGCAGGCGCAGCGGGGTCTGCGGGGGCCGCTGCCGCCCGCCGCCCACCAGGCTGCCCCGGGCCAGCTTCTGCAGCTCCACCGGCACCACGGCGCTCGGGCAGTGCTTCTCGATGTAGTCCTGGAAGCCCTGCACGCCCATGGCGGCGGCGGGGGCGCGGGCGCGGGTGCGGGCGGGGGGCGGCGGGGCCGGGGGTGGTGGGGCCGTGGCGCGCGGGCGGGCTGGCGGGCGGGGGCGGCGGCCTCTAGGGGGGACTGGGGCGGGTCGGGGGCGCGCTCATGGCCGCCGCGGCCGCCATGTGCTGCCGCCTCCCAGGGCCATGTCTGGGGAGGGACCTGCCGCCGCCGCCGCTGCCGCCGCTGCGAGGCCGAGGCCGAGGCCGAGGCTGAGGGCCGGGGCGGGGCGGGCGGGCGGCGCTGACGTAGCGGACCCGCCCGGCGCGGACGCCGCCCAGGCCCGCCGGCTAGCAGGCGGAAGAGGCGGCGCCGGCGGGACGCGGCTCGGGGCTCCCGGAGGCGGCGGCGGAGGCGGAGGCCCGGAGTTGGGCCGGGACGGGATCCGGGAGGCTTCTGAGCCGGAGCAGGCAGCGCCTGGAGGCCAGAGGCCGTTCGCCCGCCTCAGGCCGGTCGGCCGCCGCTCCCCTCCCCTGCGCCCTGTTCCCGGCAGGGCCAGAGAGGCCGCCGCCTCCGCCCGGTGGTTCTCGGGCGAAGGGAAGCCGCGAAGCAGGTCCTGGGGAAGAGCTCGCCTGCTCCTGAGGGAAGCAGCGATAAGATGGCGCTTTGAAGGGGAGCCGAGGCCGAGTCACTCTGTTCGTCGGGACGCCGCCTTTCTAACGCCGCCGTCGGCTCGCACCACTCTGGGCCTGCTGCCCACACTGACTGCGGGGTCCGGGAGAGCGGGATGCTGGCCGGCCGCGCCTGGCTTCTTGGAAAGAGCAGGAAGGAGCGCGAGAATGCAGTTCCGCGGCAGGTGCTCATCCCAGCAGCTTCGGGCTCTCGGTTGTGGTTTTTACACCTATGACAAATGACATGGCCAAACACACCATAATGTCTGAAGGTACAGGTAGCCCTAAGCGCCTGCTCGTCACGGAAGAGACTGTCTTGAGAGCACAGGTCTGTTGCAGCGTGGGAAAGCCTGCGTTACCACTGCGCAATGGCTAGACTGAAACGTGCGCCTTTGCAGTGGATCTCCCAGCTCTTCTGAGGGAGAGGGATTTGAATCTTGTTGCTTTAGTAGCATCTTCTGGAAGGAGGTCGTTTACGTAAATTCTGTTCCAAAGCTCTGTCGTAACTGCTTCTAAAATGAGGTTGATACTGTATGTATATTAGGCTTGCATAAAACATTTTCAAAAAGAGATTAATGTCTTTCAGAATATAAATTTAGAAACCCAGCACTCTAAAAGTTTTAAAGTGCCGCTTTTACTTACCTTCATCTCTCCATTTGTTCTTTTTTTGGAGAAACCTCTGTAGAGGAGCAGGATGCAACCGACAGGCTGTGGCCGGACAGCTGCTGCCCAGCACATGGAGCCTGCACGCGCACGGTTTGGCCAAAGAAGCCCCCATACTCCCGGTGAAAAAGGCAAGTTGGATTTTTCTGCTTTCTTTTCTGATACCCACCTCAAATGCAAGCCAGTATCATACGTACATAAATTAAATGCTGCTGGTATTTTAGGAAGTTACATTTAAAAGCAGGCTGACAAGTTATGCCACTCACCTATGCATAAAATTAGTCACAAAGCCAGGATGACATGTTATCTAAAAATAATACAGGCCAGGTGCGGTGGCTCACGCCTGTAATCCCAGCATTTTGGGAGGCCGAGGCGGGTGAATCATTTGAGATCAGGAGTTCGAGACCAGCCTGGCCAACATGGTGAAACCCCGTCTCTACTAAAAATGCAAAAATTAGGCGGGCCTGGTGGTGTGTGCGCCTGTAATCCCAGCTACTTGGGAGGCTGAGGCAGGAGAATTGGTTGAACCCGGGAGGCGGAGGTTGCAGTCAGCGGAGATGGCACCACTGCACTCTCTAGCCTGGGCAAAAAGCGAGATTCCGTCTCAAAAATAAATAAATAAATAAAAGAAATAATACAGTTAGCCATTAAATAACGAGCAAAATCCAGAAATATCCAAATTTGCTTTTATAACCCAAGGCAGGTTCACAAGGTGAGGAGTAGTAGTTTTTAATCACTCGTATTTTCATTTGTAGCATTGCATTCCGTGTATTTACCTTTTCTTTAAACACTCTTGCTTTTAATTTTTAAAAATGCATTAGTGCGGCCGGGCGTGGTGGCTCACGCCTGTAATCCCAGCACGTTGGGAGGCCGAGGCGGGCAGATCACGAGGTCAAGAGATGGAGACCATCCTAGCCAACATGGTAAAACCCCATCTCTACTAAAAACACAAAAATTAGCCGAGCGTGGTGGTGCGCACCTGTAGTCCCAGCTACTCGGGAGGCTGAGGCAGGAGAATTGCTTGAACCTGGGAGGTGGAGGTTGCAGTGATCACGCCACTGCACTCCAGACTGGCAACAGAGCGAGGCTCCATCTCAAAAAAAAAAAAAAAAAAAAATGCCAGTGCCAGTATCTGGAATTCTGGAAATAAATTTATTTTCACCTTATTATATTGTAGAGGTCTAAGGTTCTGGAGTCAGGCCCCCAATATCCATCTTATGATAAGTCTGTGCCCTTGCAAAAATATTTACCTTATTGAACCTTGGATTTTATCATCTGTAAAATCAACATATTAATAGTACTTAACCTCCCAGGTTGTTATAAGGATTAAATCAGATAACCTGTGTGCCTGCCACACAACAAATGCTCAATAAATGTTGGCTTTTGTAGTTATTTCCAGAAACTGTATTTGTCTAGACTTATACTCGAGAACATAGACCAGTTATTGTACTTTTGGAAAGTTTAAAATTCATTATTGTATCATAACACATAAAACTCAATTCTTAGTTGCCCTATTTAGCTTTGTGTTCTTTAAAAAAAAAAAAAAAAAACTTTATTTATTGAGTAGCTATTGATGGTGGGCAAAATGTTTAGCTGACAAACACTTATATACTCTGCATCCTTAACTCAAATTCAGGGGTTGGTTGAAGTTAAATTGCTTAAATATTGAGGTAAAAATAAACATCTGGGCCGGGCGCAGTGGCTCACGCCTGTAATCCCAGCACTTTGGGAGGCTGAGGTGGGCGGATCACAAGGTCAGGAAATCCAGACCATCCTGGCTAACACGGTGAAACTCCGTCTCTACTAAAAAAAATACAAAAAAAAATTAGCCGGGCGTGGTGGCAGGCGCCTATAGTCCCAGCTACTCAGGAGGCTGAGGCAGGAGAATGGCGTGAACCCAGGAGGCGGAGCTTGCAGTGAGCCGAGATCACGCCACTGCATTCTAGCCTGGGCAACAGAGCGAGACTCCATCTTAAAAATAAAAAATAAAAAATAAACATCTGTATTTAAAATTTAATAAAAAGTTATGTCTTCTTGGAGGTTACAATATGACAACTAATGGTTGGGGACTTTTTCTTTTTTTATTTTGTATTTATTTTATTTATTTTTTCTCCCCCAAGATGGAGTCTTGCTCTGTTGCCCAGGCTGGAGTACAATGATGTGTTCTCAGCTCACTGCAACCTCCCTCTCCCAGGTTCAAGTGATCTCCTGCCTCAGCCTCTGGAGTAGCTGGGATTACAGGTACACACCATCACACCTGGCTAAGTTTTGTATTTTTAGTAGAGACGGGGTTTCACCATGTTGGCCAGGCCAGTCTCGAACTCCTGACTTCAAGTGATCCACTTGCCTCTGCCTCCCAAAGTGCAGGGATTACAGGCATGAGCTACCGCGCCCAGCCTAATATCATTAATTAATATTTTACTTAGGTGAGGTATCTAACCACCAACAATAACAGATGAGTTTCCAGTTTTTCAAACAAGGTAATAAGAGACCTTAATGCTGCCCATGTAATCATTAGCAGATGTTGGGAGACCAGCAGACTGGAGCTAAGCAGGGAGTCTGCGATCATGGAAGAGAGCAAATTAATCCACACTAGGGATTCTAACCTATAATGTTTACCTAGCACCAGCCCTGTTAATTAATTGTCAATTTAAATTACCCAGAAGAACACACACATCTGTAGGCCTGCTTCATAAATGGTAGATCAGTAACTGACCACACTGCAGCCGTGTATCGGCAGTTGAGTTTTTTGGTCTTCAGGCTCTGCTATCTCTCCAGTACTATGAGTTATCAGCAGTAGCAGAGGGTAGGAGAGCTCCACAGAGATCAATATTCGGACTCTGGAGACCATGACAAAATACATTTCATATTCCAAACTAATATATAAACTACCTTTTTTTTTTTCTTTTCAGATTTCCAGAAGCTGTTCTGTCAATAACAAAGTCTCAAAGAAAACCACAAAACCACCAACACTAAGATCATTCTTGAGTCCAATTTGAAAAACTAGGGTCAAGTTCTGCAGAGGCATTGAAAGGACAAGAAACCACCCTGATACCCATCGTGTGAGGGAAAATGCTCTATTCACCATTCCTCAGCTTCTGCTTCTGGTTTCAGAGTTCTCTCTATATTGGAGGGTGTTTTAAAGCTAGAGTGGTCTTTATCCACTTTTATTAACACATCTGAATGTGAAGGTCAAGAGAGGAAAGTGATATGTCCTAAGTCAGAGTAGAGTCAACAAGAAAATAAGACAAACAGCGACTGAGCCCCTGGTGTATACTGGGCATTGGCCAGCTACTGGGGATATGGAGATGAAGAAAACATAACCCTTCTTCAAGGAGCCCAACCTACCAAGGTAGACAGACATATAGACAAATAGATACTTGCATAGAAAAAAAGAGGAAAAGGGGATCAGTGTGACCTGTGTAACTAAGTACCCTATAAACCCTCCTGCAACAGATCATATTGCCCTTTATAGTGGGGATGGTAATCCCATCTGAATTCCACAGGTACTTTGCAGTCATACCACACCCATGTGTCTGTCGGTCCTGACTGTACCATTTATAAACAGCTTCACTTTCAGCAGTTCTCAGCCCTCTTAAGCTAGGGTCATTGTCAGTAGGGATACTGCTTCATAAGCACCAGCAGAACACCAAAGGAGACCATATGGGTGAAAGCAACCAGCACTGCCCTGGCGCTTCATAGGTTCTTAGAGTTTTTATCTTTTACTTTCAGTCTAACACAGCACTGCCTGCTTTTTGTTTTTGTTGCTTGGTTTGTTTTTTTCTTACCGTGTTCACCAAACTTGTGTCCAAATAGCTTTGGGCTGATGCAAAAATATCTATGTGGAAGAGAAGAGTTGTTCTCATGGAGGGCCTTCAGATGAGTGCTATAGACTCTCTAGGCAACTCCAAGAGGCTTCTCAAGCAGGGTGGGCAGTGAGAGCTGCTATGGAATCAATGGACAAACTGACAGGGACTGCTTTGAAAGACAGTACTCAGTTGAGTATATATATTCTCTCTTAAGGGCTAAAAGTTTATAATCATCCCTTAAACACTCTGTGATGGGATCTTCAGGATCATCTTTTGAAGTAAACTATATTTTACAATGTGATATAAATCAAGTGAGTTTTTTTTTTAATTAGGAATTCCCGTAAGTATAAAGCCATTTTAAGATGTACATTTTAGAGACTAGCTATTGTTAAGTGGTCTGTTACATTTGTGTAAACCATAAAGATCTTTCCAGAGGAAGCAAGTCTCTCATACCAGAATATGAAAACACTAGCCCCAGGCTTGAGTAACCTAGATCACATGAAGCTGACTTCCTCTGAGGAGTCTAGGACCTCAGATATAGGTGGGAGCACACAATCACCCTTCTGGAAACAGCTAAGACTTGTGGCTCAGGCGTTTGACCTTGCTGACAAAGGAAGAGGTCAGGGTTGACGAGAGCTCCAGGAAGAATGAAAGTGCCTCTGGAAGGCAGGAAGAAAGTTACTGTAATACTTTATCCTTAGGGTGGAACAAGAGTCTGGGAAAGCTCTGCCCTATAAAGTCCCCTTCCCCATTCCTCCCAGGTCCCAGGTGTGGTGGTATAAGGAGAGTTGGCCCAATCTGGGAGCTGAGGGATCTGAGACATCCATCTACTGCATCAGTGCACTCAGAAGTGAGGATTTTGGCACAGTTATTCATGAGACATCAGCCCATCATATAAAACATGCCTCCAGTTTGGTTAAACTAGGAAGCACTATATAATATTTTAAAATCAGTTACATGTCACTGATAAAAGACTTAGTATTACCATGATGTTATTTTTCTTGAGGCAACATGATGAAACCCATTGTCTACAAAAAATCCAAAAATTAGCCAGGTGAGGTGTGCACCTGTAGTCCCATCTTCTCAGGAGGCTGAGGTGGGAAGACTACTTGAGCCAAGGTGGTGGAGGTTGGAGTGAGCCCAGATTACACCACTTGCACTCCAGCCTGGGCAACAGAGTGAGGCCTTGTCTCAAAAAAAAAAAAAAAAAAAAAAAACAACGATTTTTATGAAAGTTGGAGAACCAGGATTAAGACTGGGTGGGAACTAAGAATGACAGGTACTTTTAACAATACAGCTGGGATGCTGTTGATGACATGAATGAACCCCACTCTTACTGTAGTCATTTGCTCAAGATTCAAAGTCATGAAAAAGAGTAGAATGGACCAAACTTAGGTACTAAGAGTCCCCAGCCTGGCAGTGAAAACAGTATAGTTCCTTTGACTTTAATATGGGGAAACAGGTTCCTGGATTGACGATCTCACCAAAACTATACACAATTTTTTTTTATTTTTTCTCAGACCTTTCAGGGATGAATATATACAATTTCTGAGAAAGAAACCTGAGTACCTTTAGGAAGGGAAAAGGAATGCTGAATATCCCCAAATAACATGTCTTACATGTTTGGTAAGACTTACTGTACCCTGTCCTAGAAGATAGAAGATGCCCTGCCCTTAGAAGACAAAGAGACTGTAGAGCTATGCCTTCTAAATCTTAAGCCACTCTTCAGATAATGGATCCCTTCATGGTCAGCCCAAACATCTCAAGAACTTTTAATTTGTACCGTTTGTCTTTTTTTCCATTTATTTAATACCACAAATTCACTTTATTATTATGAAGCCAATATCTACATCTTCTCACAAAGATTCTCTTAAGAAATGCAGAACTGGCCGGGTGCAGTGGCTCATTCCTGTAATCCCAGCACTTTGGGAGGCCGAGGCGGGTGGATCACCTGAGGTCGGGAGTTCAAGACCAGCCTGACAAACATGGAGAAACCCTGTCTCTACTAAAAATACAAAATCAGCTAGGCGTGGTGGCACATGCCTGTAATCCCAGCTACTAGGGAGGCTGAGGCAGAAGAATCCCTTGAACCTGGGAGGCGGAGGTTGCGGTGAGCCGAGATCGCACCATTGCACTCCAGCCTGGGCAACAAGAGCGAAACTCCGTCTCAGGAAAAAAAAAAAAAAGCAGAACTCCTTACTGGCCTCAAAACATACTGTGACATTTCCGTAACCTACAGGTCTAGAAATCCTGTGCCAAATATGGTTAACTTGTTTGCTGAGAAGGATGTGGAAGAACTGGAACCCTCATACACAGCTGATGGGAAAACAGTCTGGAACTTTCTTAAAACATTCTGGTAAATGGGGGCCCGGCAAGCTAGAAAGTGTGGCTATAATCCCTTGCTTTTTTCCTTTTTTAAACTTTTTCTCTCTCAGTCCTGACCTAAAGATGACCCTAGTCAGGCTGGACACGGTGGCTCACGCCTGTCATCCCAGCACTTTGGGAGGCCAAGACGGGTGGATCACCTGAAGTCAGGAGTTCAAGACCAGCCTGACCAACATGGAGAAACCCTGTCTCTACTAAAAACACAAAATTAGCTGGGCGTGGTGGTGCATGCCTATAATTCCAGCTACTCGGGAGGCTGAGGCAGGAGAATCGCTTGAACCTGGGAGGTGGAGGTTGCAGTGAGCCGAGATCGCGCCATTGCACTCCAGCCTGGACAGCAAGAGCAAAACTCCGTCTCAAAAAACAAAAACAAAAACAAACAAAAAAATTCCCCTGAGAGAAAACCTGTCTTTCCAGCCAGAGGAGCAGGAAAAAATGACCCTATGGTCTGAAGAATGTGGAAATAATCCATCTTTTTTTCTCTCTCTGCTTTCTGCCTGAGGGGCGTTCCTTTTGGCAAAATGAGCAGGCAGTGTAGGCAGGTAATCATCAGAGAGAAAGCCCATCTTTCTAAGCCAGAGGATGAGGAAAAGGGGCCCCCTGGGTGCCAGGGAGTCTGGGGGGAAATCCTGAAGAGCAAAGACCTGAAAAGAGGATTCTCTAATTCTGTACATGAGCTGAATTCCGTGCTCAGCCCAGAGCTGCACATACAAGAGACAGAGCCCAGGCAACACAGCCACACTCTGAACTGACACTCGGACCACCACCACCAAACAGAAGGCAACGCAGGACCTGCAGACTAAGGCTAACGAGGCTGATTGCCTGACAAAACAGAAAAAAAAGAAACATTCTTCAGGGAATTTTAGCAGAACACAGAGTCTCCCAACATAAAACAGACAGTCCTCACTGCACAGCAGTTCAGAACTGTAAAAATGACCTTCCAACCTGAAACTGCCATGTGCTGTTCATAATCATTAATGGGTAAAATTGTGATTTTTTTCCTGTCTTTTGAAAATTGTCAAAACATTGATAATCTTGTACTGTTAGAAATGTATAAGGAAACAATAAAGTAAATATTTTTGTACACTGTAATTTAAAACATTAGCAACACAGGGAATTAAAGTGCTTGATGTCTTCCTAAAAAAACCATCAACAGACATTTAAACAGTGCTTGCCTTCTTCAAAAGTCATGTACCTTATGATATAGAGGGAGCACCTTTTCTGTGTTCAAAAACTTGTCATGCCCCTTCTAAGTTTGGATCAGCTTCCAATATTTTATCCTTTTTGCTTTCAATGTCATGAAATATCTCCAAGTCCCTTTAACGTGAAGGTTTTTGCTGACGTTCCTTCCTCTGGAACATCTTCATCCTTTTCATCACAACCGCTTTCTTCATTTATTTGAGGAATTCACCTTCTCGGCAGCAGTGCCAGCATCCCCATAGTCTGTTTCTTCAGTGACCCCATTTATGTTTGATTTGCATTCACGTTCAGTGTTTTCAGTTTGAGTTTCTTTGCTGCATTTCTATCTTTATTTGTCAGTTTTCTCTTTTGAATATCCATTTGTGTAAAAATGCCATGTGGGTTTATCACTGGAAGACAAGGAGGCCACACAATTCACACTTTGCTGTCTGTGCGTGAAATGAACACAGATGCACAGTGACCAATCACCCGTAGGTTTTGGAAAGAAGAGGCATGATTGGTCACTGATCATGATGTACCTGTGTTATTATGTAGTGATTTGTGGACTGGGGAGCTAGCAGAAAGTTTGAACTTCATGCAATTACAGTTAATATATTCTGGTAACTCAAATTTGAACCATGTTGTCAGGGGACTGGTGTTCACCATAATAACTAAAATTTCAGAATCATGAAATGTCACTTCTGATATAGTCTATTCATTAAAAGTCAGTCCTAATTCTGGCTCACACTCAAGGGGAGGGGAATTAGGCCCCAGCTTCTGAAGAGAGGATCTCCAATTAATTTGTGGACATATTTTAGGATTCTTCAGGAAGTCCATATTCCTGAAGAATATTGGCACTGGGTATAGAATTTTGGATGGATGATTCTTTCCTATGAGTGCTTTAAAGGTATTGTTCCACTGCATCCTGGCCTACATGATTTTTTATTATATGTCTGAGATAACCCGTATTTCAAATTGTTCTTCCCTATACCGAATGTGTTGGGTTTTTTTCTGGCTACTTTCAGGATTCTTTCAATCTTTGGTTTTCAGCAGTTCGATTATGATATGCTGAGCATCTTCTTTGGATTTTGCTGAGTTTCTTGAATGTGTATTTATATTGTTTGTCAAATTTAAGAAGTTTTCAGCAGTTATTTCTAAAAACTTTTTTTGTGTCTGCACCAATTTCTCTTTTCCCTCTGAGACTCTAGTGTCAAAAAATACGTGATTTTCTGGTGTTGTCTCCCAGGATCCTGAAGTTCTATTCATTCTGTTTAATCCATTTTCTCAGTGTCCTCTGGTTAATTTCTACTGATCTGTCTTCAATTCACTGACTCTTTCTTTTGTTATTTCCATTCTGCTAGTAAGTCCATCCATTACATTTTTTAACTTCAGAAATATAATTTTTTCAGTTCTAGAATTCTTAATTTTCATAGCTTCTGGGTCTCCATCAATAACTTCTTTCTTTCTTTTTTTTTAGGCAGAGTCTCACTCTGTCACCCAGACTGCGATCTTTGCACACTGCAACCTCCGCCTCCCAGGTTCAAGCAATTCTCCTGCCTCAACCTCCCGAGTAGCTGAGATTACAGATGTGCATCACCACGCCCGGCTAATTTTTGTGTATTTTTAGTAGAGACAGGGTTTCACCATGTTGGCCAGACTGGTCTCGAACGCTCAACCTCAGGTGGTCCACCCGCCTTGGCCTCCCAAGGTGATGGGATTACAGACATGAGCCACTGCGCCTGGCCCTTTGTTTTCATCTTAAGAGCACAGTTATAAAAGTTGTTTTAAGTTGTTGTCTGATGATCCAAGATCTGAGTCATTTTTGGAATGACATGTGTTGGTTGTCTTTTTCCTTGTGAATAGGTCATACTTACCTGGTTGCTTGCGCATCTAGTAATGTTGGATCATATTCTGGATGTTTTGAATACCAAGTCCCAAGAGTCTGCAACTTGTTAAAATCCCTGGAGAAGACTGATTGTAAGCAGACAACCAATTCAGTTAAGTTCAGATGACAAACTGTCTCCCCTTCTGTGGTGGTGGTCCCGGTGGCACCACTTCAAGTTTCAAAGACTCTGTTCACTTCTCTGTATCTGCCTGTGCATGTGCGGCTTAGGCCTGAGCCCAGGACTTGTGCCAGCCCATACCCAGACTTAGGGATTCCCCTCCTCTAGCTCTCTCTTCTCTAGGATTCATCAACACACACTGCTTGGCTCACAGAAACGTCTTGGAGTTTTGTTGCCCATCTGCCTCTTTATGGTAGCATGACTGGGGTCTCCCTCACAGCAGGGCTGGGAAAGAAAGAGAAAGAGAGAGAGGAAGAACACAGGGATATCCCCCTGCATTCTTTGGTTCACAGGGGCTCCTTTTCCTGGTCCTTTGGCCAGAAAGACCGAGCTCTTCTTGGAGTTTTTACTGCACATGTCAACTGGGAAGTCACTTGACGGGGGGTTGGGGAGGGGTCTGCCTTTATATCAAAGCTGAAAGGGGCTGGGCGAGGTGGCTTATGCCTGTAATCCCAGCACTTTGGGAAGCTGAGGCGGGCAGATCACTTGAGGTCAAGAGTTCGAGCCTGGCCAACATGGTGAAACCCAGTCTCTACTAAAAATACAAAAATTAGCCAGGTGTGGTGGCAGGCGCCTATAATCCCAGCTACTTGGAAGGCTGAGGCAGGAGAATTTCTTGAACCTGGGAGGTGGAGGTTGCAGTGAGCTGAGATTGTGCCACTGCACTCCATCCTGGGTGACAGAGACTCCATCTCAAAAAAAAAAAAAAAAAAGCTGAAAGGGGTGGGAGTACAAAAAACTGGGAAACACATGCCTGTTTTGTGACTTCTTCAAGTTTTGTCACCCTCCTTCTTCCAATTTGCCTGCCATTATTTACTTTCCAGAGACCTCAAGGAGTTGGCATTTGTTTTGTTTAGAATTCTTAGTTTTCTTTTCTTTTCTTTTCTTTTTTTTTTTTTTTTTTTTTTTTTTTTTTTTGAGACAGAGTCTTGCTCTGTCACCCAGGCTGGAGTGCAGTGGCGCCATCTCAGCTCACTGCAGCCTCCGCCTCCGCCTCCTGGGTTCAAGCGATTCTCCTGCCTCAGCCTCCTGAGTAGCTGGGACTACAGGCGTGCACCACCATGGCTGGCTAATTTTTGTATTTTTGGTAGAGATGGGGTTTCACCATGTTGGCCAGGCTGGTCTCCATCTCCTGACCTCGTGATCCGCCTGCCTCAGCCTCCCAAAGTGCTGGGATTACAGGTGTGAGCCACTGTGCCCGGCCTAGAATTCTTAGTTTTCTTTGGGAGGCTGAGGCAGGTGGATCACCTGAGGTCAGGAGTTCGAGACCAGCCTGGCCAACATGGTGAAACCCCATCTCTGCTAAAAATACAAAAATTAGCCTGGCGTGGTGGTGCATGCCTGTAATCCCAGCTACTCGGGAGGCTGAGGCAGGAGAATCGCTTGAATCCAGGAGGCGGAGGTTGCAGTGAGCTGAGATTGTGCCACTGCACTCCAGCCTGAGAGACAGACCAAGACTCTGTCAAAAAAAAAAAAAAAAAGAATTCTTAGTTTTGATGAGTGGGAGAACTGAACTGTGCTGTGCCTACTCCATCTTGCCCAGCACAAGAAGTCCCAAAACTTAAAAAAATTTATAAAATTTAAACTTGAGGAGTAGTTTTGCTTCTGTTTGTAGGTAATCAGGTGTTTGTTTGTTTGTTTGTTTGAGACGGAGTTTTGTTCTTGTTGCCCAGGCTGGAATGCAATGGCGCAATCTCAGCTCACTGCAAACTCCGCCTCCCGAGTTAAAGTGATTCTCCTGCCTCACCCTCCCAAGTAGCTGGGATTACAGGTATGTGCCACTATGCCCAGCTCATTTTGTATTTTTAGTAGAGACAGGGTTTCTCCACATTGGTCAGGCTGGTCTCGAACTCCCGACCTCAGGTGATCAATCTGCTTTGGCCTCCCAAAGTGCTGGGATTACAGGCGTGAGCCACTGTGCCCAACCAGGTGTTCTTAAATATAATTTTTTATCTCCTTTCCTACCAAGAGGGGTTTTTAGAACTGTTTGCTTGGCAGGTGAAGAATCTGCACGTTGTGGTTCTTTATTACTGAATGAGAAAATACCAGACTTTACCTTAGCTTTATTTGTTCCCCAGTTCAACGGAATTTAACCTTAGAATTTCCTAAAGATGCTTTCTAAAAGTTTTTTATTTCTCTAAGTGTCATAGTACTGCATTTATGAATCCCAAATTGGCTTCCACTGTCTATTTAAACTTGATATAAGATACAGGAAGATTATTTTGTCACCACCCTCTTTCTATTCCAAACACTATTTACATGAAGGAAACTTTAGTAAGAGAAGATATTTTGGAAAAGATTTTGTAACCAACTTACACTTGTGTCTGTTTTTGTTTTTTTTGGTTTAAATTCAAGGGGAGGCCAAGCGTGATGGCTCATGCCTGTAATCCTAACACTTCGGGAGGCCAACACGGGTGGACCGCTTGAGCTCCGGAGTTCCAGAGGAGCCTGGGCAACATGGTGAAACCCTGTCTCTACCAAAAATACAAAAACATTGCCCAGATGTGGTGGCATGCACCTGTGGTCCCAGCTATTTGAGAAGCTAAGGTAGGAGGATGGCTTGAGACAAGGAGGCAGAGGTTGCAGTGAGCCCAGATCACACCACTGCGCTCCAGCCTGGGCGACAGAGTGACTCTGTCTCAAATTAATTAATTAATTAATTCAGGGGGAATGTGTACCTTATTTCATTAAAAGCAATCTTTTTAAGTAAATGGATTTTTAAAAAATCAAGCCAAACAAGTATGCCAATGTGAATTTTTAAAAATTTGATTTTGAAACATGCATTTTCTATCTTGCTGCAGTTTAAAGATAGAATTTACACCATATGGCCCATCAGTAATGCAGCATAAGAAACTGCATCTGTATTCCTCAATAAATAAGAGTTTGTGGAGGTTCTGATTGGCTTTTTTGTAGTCCCCCATAGAGAGGAAGAGCCAGTTAACCTGTTGCTAAGCAACAGTGCTTCATAGACCAGAACTTCTGGACACCAAAGAGAGGGTAGGGGTATGAATTGTCCAAATTTACAAAGGGAAAGAGAGGGCGCAGTGCACAAATGAATAGAGATCCAGGAAGCCACCTTTTGAAAACTAAGCAGAGGCAATTCAAGTGAGTATTGCAGAAATAAACCAAAGGCCCAGTTCTTAAGTTCTTCCATGCACATAACACCCATTGAACTCGAAGGAGTTCTGCATGTGTGAGGGCCAAAAGATTAACCCCAAAATAACTCAATGAAATCCAAACAAAAAATAATAATAAAATGAATTTTTATTCTCATGCTTGACTTTGCTGAAAGTGTCATCTTTCACAGGTTGTAAAAGAAAATCAACACTTAAGATTTTACTAAGAGATCATTCAACTTCAAATCTGAAGCACAAGAAGTCAGCAAAATTAAATGGCTATCATTGATTTGAGAATGGATTTTCACTTACATTTTAAATTAAATTGCTAACACTACAAAGTGTTTAAGGAAAACATGAACATTTCTGTTTTACTTCAGTTGTGAAGAGACTCTAATTTCCATCTCTGTTTAGAAATTCCTAAATGTGCAAATATAGGTTCTTTGCAAGCAGAACCACCAAGTAGTCCTTGGCACACAGAATTTATAAACCTAAAGAGAATATTGAATGGAAAACTTAGAGAACAGTTGGAATGGGAGATACCATTATCCCAAGTCCAATGGTTGGTTACCAAATAGCTTTTCGATTCTCTCCAAATTAAGCTCACACCAACAGTTTTGTATTGTGAGGCAGCTGGTTCTGTTGCTTTTCCTCCCCTGCTCTGCTCCTTCTCTGTCCTTCTGTAGCTGCAAGCCTCAGGGGTTGACCCACGCAGGCTGTGCTCACTGATGTCCTTCTCTTGCTTTTGGTTGGATTTCGTCAGCAGGTGAAGCCCAGGGAGCAAAAAGAGGGAGTTGCCAGATTATTTCTACCTCCACGCCCTCCCTGCCTGTCAAGGACTGAGTCCCAGGAAGATGCCAGCTCCAGTGCTTTCCCGCTCTTGCCGTCTCAGGCCACTCTGGCTGGCCGCTGGGTCCCTCAACATCCCCTGTTGGTTCCTTTAGCCCAGCCTACACCGCTGGAAATAGGCCCTTTATGAGATTCTCTTCTAAATCCTAGAAGAGTGTACCCTCCATTTCCTGAAGAATCCTGACAAGTATGTAAACATTACTTAATAATTGTTAGGTAAAAATACTATAAATATTAAATTTATAAGTAAATAAAAATATTTAATTTTACATAAGACAAAGCTAAAAATTTCAGTTTATAATTTTTAAACATAGACAATAAATTTCCCAGAAAGAAATTGCTGACTACCAACCAAATTTTCATTTTTATTTTTTAAATGTTGGAAAAATTTTGTCAGAAAGATTCTTATCAACCAATCAAATTGTGTTAGCAGTTGTGTTAGTAGTCACAAGGAAAATAATCAGTCATATTAGTTTTCTTACTATTGTTCATATTTTGTCTTTCAAAAATAGGTGTAATGTACAAATACTTCTTAATTAGATATGCTTAAATAAAACATTTCATATTGTATTGATTTGGGTATATTGTAGAAAATAAAAAGTTCCTCTTCAAAGCTTCCCTTCTTGTTAAAGAATAAATCATAAGTGTTAGAATTAACAGTTTCTTTTAAAGACTAACTTTATGCTAGACATGCTCACAGACACGTAGTACATTCTATGTCCTCGTACTTTAACCAAGATATCTGTGCTAGACGTGCACACAGGCATGTCTCAGCTCGCAGCCTATGCCCTTTCCTTATTTGGGAATGTTTATTCCTTATTTGGAAATGTTATTACTTTTCTAAGTCCTTTCGTAAGCAACTTCATTTTTTTTCCTTTGTTTTTCTATTGCCTTTACCTGTTTAAAAAAGTTTTAAACTGTTAGCCAATCGGGTTTTAGTTTAGATTGTGAGGTCTGGCTCCAGCCAATGGAGACAGGACACAGTAGCAGGGACAAACTGGGTAAGGGATAAAAATTGCTTCGCTCCATTGTTCCGGGGTGCTCTCGCCATTGTTCCAACTGCCATAAACACCCTTTCTGCAGAAAGCAAAAATGGCCTTGCTGAGAGAATTAAATTTATGTTCGAGTGCTATTTCTTTGTGGCACTGGGGAACAAGCATTCTATTTCTAAATAAACATTTTTACGTATAACAGTACTGAATATAACCATGGACTGTTTGCAAATTATATTGGAATCATGTAGACACAGCTTTAATAATGGATAATATAATTATTACTTTTTCTAGCCAAAAATCAGGAGCAGACTATGTATACAAGTCTGGAATGGAGGACTTTCCATTCTAGAAGAAAGAGTGGCCATTTTCAACTCTTCTTCCTTTTGAGACCTCACTAAAATTAGAGGAACAGAATTTAAAAATACATTACATCTCCATGATAAAGAGAACAGGAAAGGAAATATCAACAGACAAGGGGATTTGACAGATATTTTTGGAGGGAAGAAACGGTGGAGCAGAGGTAATTAAGCCGATTGGAGAGAGGCTGTCCTGCAGACCGAGTGAGACAAGGTCCTGGCACTGGAGAGGCTGCTGCCTGGATCCCTCCCCCAACACAAGAAATCAGGAAATCACCACTCCTCTTGCCCCAGGCCAGAGACTAGGTTTCTGTAGACATGGAAGGTAGAGGCTGCGGACCTGGACCCCAGACACAGGTGAGAGGAGAGGCTTTGCGCTAAAGAGAGAGAGAGAGAGAAAAGGAGGTGGGGAAGAAGAAAGGAAAGAAAGGAGGAAGAGAGAAGGCCAGGCGCGGTGGCTCACGTCTGTAATCCCAGCACTTTGGGAGGCCGAGGCGGGCGGATCACGAGGTCAGGAGATCGAGACCATCCTGGCTAACACGGTGAAACCCCGTCTCTACTAAAAACACAAAAAATTAGCCGGGCGTGGTCGCGGGCGCCTGTAGTCCCAGCTACTCGGGAGGCTGAGGCAGGAGAACGGCGTGAACCCGGGAGGCAGAGCTTGCAGTGAGCCAAGATCGGGCCACTGCACTCCACCCTGGGTGACAGAGCGAAACAACGTCTCAGAAAAAAAGAAAGAAAGAAAGGAGGAAGAGAGAAAAGGAGCGTGGAAAGAAAAGAAAATTTCAGGAGCTTCTACATTGGTTATGCCAGCAGAAACAGTTAAGCCATGGAAACTGAGTCACATACACGCTGTTTTTCTTCTCTGGTGCATGACCTTTGCTTCTGACCTTTGTGTTGAGATGTTATGAATTAACCACCCTTCCTATTCTTCATTCAAACCTCAACTAAATGACATTGGAGATAGAGACCCTTACCTCTTTACGATGGATGTTAAGTAACTCCCATAGAGTATAGTCAATGGTGGCCAGCCAACTTGTGTGTGTGTGTTTTATATCTTATATTTAAAAAATGAAAAAAATGTTGTAATTCTGGCCAGATACGTGGCTCACAACTGCAATCCCAGCACTTTGGGAGGCCAAGGTAGGCGGATCACTTGAGGCCAGAAGTTCGAGACCAGCCTGGCCAACAGGGTAAAACTCTGTGTCTACTAAAAATACAAAAAATTAGCCAGGCGGGCATGGTGGCGCACGCCTGTTATCCCAGCTGCTCGGATGACTGAGGCTTGAGAATCCCTTGAACCTGGGAGGTGGAGTTTGCAGTGAGCCAAGATCATGCCACTGCCCTCCAGCCTGAGCAACAAAGCAAGACTTTGTCTCCGAAAAAAAAAGAGCATGTTGTAATTCTGTTCAGCACCCCTGTTTTTTGCTTATATGAATGATCTTCACCTTTCCCCGCACTGAGGAGTGATGATCACCATTCTTTGGTGTCTGCTACCCTAACACTTGGCGCTTGAATAAACTCTTTTAAGTGGAGCCTGAGCCTTTTGATTATTTTAGGTTGACAGGAGGAAGGGAGGAAGGGTGGGTTAAAATTAAATCTGCATACTAAGCAATAATATCCTTGCTGCTCTTCTTCAACTGTTTGTAGGTTATTTCTGCTCTCAGGCTTCTGTTCTACCCCTAACTCTCCTGGCTACCCAAAGGCCGGAGGTTATCTACTGGGGAAATCTCAAAAGACTGTAGAAAAAATGTCTCAAATTCTGGTTTTGGGAGTCTTCCAAAAAAAAATTTTTTTTAATTTGGCTTGCCTCTTGAATATCCTATAGAGAAGTCCCAAACTGACAAACCTGGGCTGTCCTCCCAGATGCTCTACTGAGCTGTCAGTCTCTCCCTCTGGAATGGGAATAGAGCACCAAGCATAACCTGTTATTTGAAGAAAGGCTGCTACACTACACACGGACCCAAATGAACAAATATCAGGAGAACAGAAGTTAGGGGAAACAGAAGTGATGAAGAGAACAGAATAAAAGTTTTATTTTAAAATTATTATTATTATTATTATTATTATTATTATTTGAGACCAAGTCTCACTGTGTCGCCCAGGCTGGAGTGCAATGGCATGATCTTGGCTCACTGCAAACTCTGCCTTCTGGGTTCAAGCAATTCTTGTGCCTCAGCCTCCCAAGTAGCTGGGATTACAGTTACCCGCCACCAAGCCCAGCTAATTTTTGTATTTTTAGTAGAGATGGGGTTTCACCATGTTGGCCAGACTGGTCTCAAACTCCTGACCTCAAGTAATCCACCTGCCTCAGCATCCCAAAGCACTAGGATTACAGGCATGAGCCACCGCACCTGGCCAGAATAAAACTTTTAATATCTTTTATTAACACCGCACCCAGCCAGAATAAAACTTCTAAAATCTTTTATTACTATCATCAGATAAAATAAGACATTACATTCATGAAACAGAACAGGTATTAGAATATAAGAGAGAAGAAAATCCTCAAACAAAATTGTGGCAGCTGAACTAAAAACATCAAATAAGGATTGGAGTGTAATATTAAAGAAATTTCCCAGGAAGCAGAACAAAAAGAAAGTAAAATAGAAAAGGATAATAGAGCAAGTGCAATTAATTCAGAGAATCAATCCAGAAGGCCCTGATACCTGACTGAATAGGGTTCCAGAAAGAGGAACAGAGAAAAAGGATGTGAAGAGTTGCATTGATAATAGTACTACTAACACTATTTTTTGTTCTTTGTCTTCAAGAAAACCTCTCAGAGTTGCAGTGTATGAGTCTCTGGATTGAAAGGGCTCAATAGATGCCCAGCATAACGATGAAGAGGACCCACATCTAGACATATATTGGCCTGAAATTTTCATGTATTTGGGATCAAGAGAAAATCCTGAAAGCTTGTAAATTAATGCTGTTCAATATGGTGGTCATTAGCCACGGCTGACTGTTCAGCACTGGAGATGTGGCCACTCTGAATGGAGATGTGCTGTAAGTGTAAAATAGACACTGAATTTTGGTGGGCTCAGTAGAAAAAAAAAGAGTAAAATGTCTCATTAATATTTTTCATTTTGAAAACATGTTGAAATGATTTTGTATATATATATTTTTTTTAATTAATTTTTTTTTTTTTGAGATGGAGTCTCACTCTATGGCCCAGGCTGGAGTGCAGTAGCGCAATCTTGGCTCACTGCAACCTCCACCTCCCTGGTTCAAGCAATTCTCCTGCCTCAGCCTCCTGAGTAGCTGGGACTGCAGGCATGCGCCACTATGCCCTGCTAATTTTTGTATTTTTAGTAGAGACGGAGTTTCACCATATTGGTCAGGCTGGTCTTGAACTCCTGACCTCGTGATCTACCCACCTCGGCCTCCCAAAGTGCTGGGATTACAGGCCTGAGCCACCACGCCTGGCCGAAATAATATATTTTTTAAACATTGGGCTAAATATAACATATTATTACAACTACTTCCAGTTGTTTCTTTTTATTTTAAGGTGGCTCCTGGAAAATTTTAGATGACATAGACGGTTTCTGTTCTGTGTCTGTTAGACGGTGCTCTGCAGAGAAGCAGACAGGTCATGCATAAGGACACTGAGGCCAGAATGATATCTGACCTTCAGCAGCAGCTCTAGGAAACTGAAGAAAAATGATCCCCCTATTCAGAGAGAAATAGTTTTCAACCTTAGTAGTCTACATTCTGGCAAACTTTCAGTCAACTGAAAGACAGTTAGAGACATGCAAGCACACAAAAGTTTACCTTCTTTGCTGTCTCCTTGAACGTTCCTGAAGGAAGTACCCCAGGAAATAAACTTGTAAACCAATGGCATGGAAGGCATGGGATTTAAAAGCAGGATGTCCAGTATAGGACTCGGAGCAAGTTGTGCAGCAGGTCCAGGAAGCAGACAAGCCCGTGCAGAACAGGAAGTCAGGGGGCTCAGTGGGAAGTCATGGCACCAGTGGATTTGCTGACATAGGGAGTCTTCTGGCTCATTGGAAGACACGTATGTAGACAACAAAGTTATTTTTTGAGAGGTGATAATTTAAGAAAAAAGTTGTACTCTTCCTGGCTCATGTGAACAGTATCTATATGACACAAATAATAATGTGAACTCAAAGACTGTGTGGTATGCTTACACCAGGGGAATGGGGGAGGGAGAGCAAAGTGCACTTGAGTTAGATAACATCTGTCAAGACAGGGAGAAAAAAGATAATGTCTAAAATAAATAACAGCACATGCATACTCCTTAGGAATTGGAAGGTAAATGGCAGAAGAAATGGCTTAACAATTTGTACGTGGTTTCTTGTGACTTCTTATGACTGTATAAGACCAGGGAGCAATAGGGAGGGGAGGCACAAGGGATGCTATTTTGTTTCTATTACTATTTGATTTTGTAAAACTATACACATCAATTAAAATGATAAATATTATAGTTACAGTTTTCTTGTTTTTGTTTTTATTTTTAGAAAAAACAACAACAAAAGCAAGCACAAAAAACAGCAACAGCAAAAGGCTCTATTAGACATCATTATATCCATAGTACTATGTGCGGCACTGTGGGGGATTTTTTTAAATGTAAATAACCAGCAGGCTTATATATAATGCAGCAAGTGTGAAAAGCATCACAGGTCTAATAATAATGTATGTAGATGTCAGTAAAGTATACTTTTGCTTCTAGTGCTTCACTTGCCTCATGATATCCATCAAGCTTTTGAGAAGAAAGTACAGGATCTGTTAGGTTCTTTTTTTTTTTTTTTTTGAGATAGAGTCTTGCTCTGTCTCCCAGCCTGGAGTGCAATGGCGTGGTCTTGGCTCACTGTAACCTCCGCCTCCCGGGTTGAAGCAATTCTCCTGCCTTAGCCTCCCAAGTAGCTGGGACTACAGGCACGTGCCACCATACCTGGCTAATTTTTTGTGTTTTGTGTAGAGACGGGGTTTCACCATGTTGGTCAGGCTGGTCTTGATCTCCTGATCTCAGGTGATCTGCCCACCTCGGCCTCCGAAAGTACTGGGATTACAGGCGTGAGCCACCATGCCCAGCCAAGGATCTGTTAGGTTCTTAACCTAGCAGTTTACCAGATGCATTCCTTGATCAGCCTGCATGTGTCAAACCACTGAGTACCACATGTGTCCACAAAGACACCTCTGAGAGGGGCAGGCGCTGACAAGATCCTGGAGTCAGAGGCTGGGCTGGGCTGTTGCCTGATTGACTATGCGACCCTGGATGTGCCCATCCCCATGTGCTTTGAATTCATCATGGATCACATGAGGGAGTCCACAGAGTATGCCAGATCCTTTTTGGCATCTTTCCCCAAGTCTAAATTTCTTTAGTGTCATTCATTTTTCTGATTTTGTAATTGTTTTGAGTCTATTATTGCCTTATTTTTCTGATTTTAAAGCAATATAAGCTCATTGTCAAAATTTTGTAAAATCCAGAAAAGTATGATAAAGGGAATCAGCATGCTGAGCCCTACTATTCAGCAGCAACCACCAATAACATTTTGAGATACGTATTAACCTATGAGTGTTTATAAGTGTGAATTCTAGAGAGAATATGTAGTAGCCATGAAATCATGTTTTCAACAAATATTCCAGGATATGGGAAGGCACTCATGCTTTCATTTTGAGTATAATATACATTAGTTGTAGCGTGTGTTGTGGCTATATAGTATTCTGTCTTGTGAATGAGCTGTACCATATGCTGTGAATGAACCAAATCATTATTTTGGATGTTTCCATTTGTTTTCAGTGTTTTATTATTATTGTTGCTTTTTGAGACAGGGTCTTGCTCTGTTACTCAGGCTGGAATACAGTGGTGTGATCTGGCTCACTGCAGTCTCTGCCTTCCAGTCTCAAGCAATCCTCCCACCTCAGCCTCAAGAGTAGCTGGGACCACAGGCGTGCACCACCACACCCAGTTGAATTTTTTTTTTTTTTTTTTAAGTAGAGATGGAGCTCTACCATGTTGCCCAGACTGGTCTCAAACTCCTGAGCTCAAGCAATTCCCCCTCCTTGGCCTCCCAAAGTGCTGAGATTACAGTGTGTTATTATTATAAATAACATTGTAACAAACATCACTGAGCATCAATATATTTCTGTCTACTCATTCCCTAAGGATAAATTTCCAAATTAGAATTGTCAGGTCAAAGACTCTAACTATTCTTATCTTAGTCCTTTGATGCCCATTGCCAGATTCCTCCCAGGAAAGGTGGCATCATGTCACCACCCTAATACGATGAACGGGTGTGCCTGTTTTCTGCTCTACGTATGCCAAGTGTTTTCATTTTCAAAAATTTGCACAGCTGATGGATCGAAAATGGTAGCTCTTATTTTTATTGAGATTGAGGGTTTTTGTTGTTGTTGTTTAGTTTACTTTAGTTTTGTTTTTGAGATGGGGTCTCACTCTTGCCCAGGCTAGAGTGCAGTGGCATGATTATAGCTGACTGTAGCCTCAAACTCCTGGACTCAAGCCATCCTCCCACCTTAGCCTCTCAGGTAGCTGAGACTGCAGGCATGGCTAATTTTTTTATTTTTAGCTACCATGCCTGGCTAATTTTTTTCTGTACAGATGGGGTCTTGCTATATTGCCCAGGCTGCTCTTGAACCCCTGGCCTCAAGTGATCCTCTCTTCTTGGCCTCCCACACTGTGGGCATTACAGGCATGAGCCACTGTGCCTGGCTGAGATTGAGGTTTTAATCTTTTTGGCCACATATGTGTATTTTTAAGTAAATTTCCCATTCATGTCTTTTGACACTTTTTATATTGAGGTGTTATTCTCCTATTTCAAAAAAGCTCTTTTTACATCAAGTATAATAATGCTTACCTTATATAATATGTTTTAACTATCTTTCCCAGTTTGTTGCTATCCTGTTAAAAGGATTTTTTTTTGTTTTTAATGTAGAACCTTTCTTAATTTTTATATAATCATATCAACTAAGTTTTTCCTCTATAGTTTTTTTTTTTCCTTTTATTCTTGAAGGGATATTTTTCACCTTGAGATCAGGTAAACATTTACCTATATTTTCCTCTGGTTCTTCCCTGGTGTCACTCATATTGATTAATTGATCTGGAATTTACTGTAGGTATGGTCTATCTAACTTCATTTTTTGCACCTAGTTAGCCAATGTACGAATCCTTTTACTTATTTATTTTTAAATGTTAATGTATAAAAGTAAAAGTAAAATGTTAATGTATAAAAGTAAAGAGTCTAGTGTAAGTCATTTCCACGTACCTGTCACCCAGCTTAGTAATTATCGACTTATGGCCAATTGGGATTTATCTGTGTCCCCTTCCCCTCCTACACTGGATGTTTTTAAAGCAAATTTCAGGCATCATATAATTTTCACCCACAAATATTTCAGTATGAGCTCTAAGGACTCTCTTAAATAAAGACTCTTTTAAAGGCATAACTGCACTACCATTATCATACCTAACATAATATCCGGTCATTGTTCCAATTTCTCTGATTAATACTTTATTGACTTTAAAAAATTCTTTTACCACCAAATAAAACTGAAATTCTTGCAGTAAAAACAATTTAAAACTTAGGGTGATTAAAAACAGTTGGCAACCTGGTTGATGATGGGATGGGTCAAATCAGGGGGTACAAGAACGCAGAAGGCAAACAGTTGCGTAGGATCAGAGCCAGCACAGGCAAGGACCCAGCAGGGGGCAGTAGCAGGAGGTCCATGGAGCCCAGTGGTGTCTGATCCTGCAGGGAATTGGACGCAGAAAGCAGTGGCCCAGTGTGGGGCCAGAGTCAGGGCTCACTTCTCTGAAAGCACAGTTCCAGTCCTGGAGGAACTGTGGTAATAGGAAGGACATCAGACAGGGTCCTCCTTGTGATACCAAAGCTAGTGGTCTAGTTATTAGATGTGGACTGCAGTGCTGGGGCCTGTGCACAACTGGACAAAGCCTAACTCTGTTTATCAGAACCAGATTTCAACATCAGAGTTGAATGAGAAGCAAGACTGACCTAATGCTGACTGGGTAAGCTCTTGCTCTCTTTATGGACAGGATGATCTCAGAGTTGAAATGAGCCAAATATATCAAGTAGAGATAAGCACAGAGATTTCAGTGACCTGGACACATGACCCATAAAACTTTATCTTCATTAGTATTAATGTTCAGATCATAGTAAGTAGACTAGCCACTTTTGTCGGCTGAATCGCTTCAACCTCATCTGCCATTCTTCTTACTTTGTTCCAACTACATTGGCCACATTACTATTTCTGGATTTGGCTAGGCATGGTCCTGCTGTAAGATCCTCTTATCTGGTATTTTTCCAAATAGCCAAGTGACATAACTTCTCCTCTCCTTCAGATCTTTGCTAAAATGTTGCTTTCTCAATGAGGCCCTCCTTGTCTACCCTATCAAAAATCCTAACTCATGCTTCCTACACCCTTTCTTCTTTTGCTCCACAGCAGTGATCACATGTGGGATCAAATATTTTGCTTATTTGTTATAATAGTATATATTTTGCTTGTTTGTTCTTCCCTCTCCCCTGCCCAAATATAAATTCTGAGAGGACAGGATTTTCATGTGTTATTAACTGCTTTATCATCAGTGCTTAGAACTGTGCTTGGCATATAGTTAATTATCAAAAAAATGTTTGTTGAGTGAGGAAATGAATGAATGAGTTAAATGAATGGAGGCGGTTTGGAAAAGTTCATATGCAAGTATCTTATCAGTCAGGATTCCAAGAGGAAAAAGATGGAACACTGAAATGGGGTAATTAGGCAGAATGTAGGCTAAAGCATTATTTGCAAAGGTGCGGGCAGGGTTAAGGGGTGGTGCAGCAGCATTTCCGTCCCTAGGCCTGAATAGAAAAGAAAGAATAGTTGAGAATCTTAAGGGAGCAGTGGTCAGAGGGGGTCATATGACAGGCCTCCCAAAAAGGTACACGGTCCACCCGTGTTGACCCAGCAGGGATGGAGGCAGGAGAATAAACACCCATCCTCACTCTCCTCCTGCACTCTAACCTTGTGCTAGTGCCGCCCGTTGGCAAACCTAATAGGAAAACAGAGGACAAAGAAATCCATCAGTGAAGTCCATAAAGGCCAGTAAAACTGGGGCACAGAGTAAGGTGGAAAGGGATAAGGAGAGGACCTGGAGGGAAGAGAGAAAATAAGCACAGCAAGTATTTCTAGATACCTGTTTAAGTAGAGCATTATGCTAGGCCTGGGATCTTTTTGTGGTAAAATTCTAAAATGATTATCCAAGATCTCCAATCCTAATCTCCAGGACTGTGAAAGACCCACAGCTAACACCATACTGTTTGGTGAAAGACTGAAAACTTTCCCCCTAATATTAGAAACAGGACATGGAGGCAGGCATTTGCCACTTCTACACAACATAGTGTTAGGAGTTCTAACCAGAGTGATTAGACAAGAAAAATAAATAAAAGGCACCCAAATCATAAAGAAAGAAGTTAAAATTTTCTCTGTTTGCGTGAAAAATATGTTTTAAAAAACTCTAAAGATTCCATGAAAGGCCAGGTGCAGTGGTTCACGCCTGTAATCCCAGCACTTTGGGAGGCTGAGGTGGGCGGATCACAAGGTCAAGAGATCGAGACCATCCTGGCTAACATGGTGAAAATCTGTCTCTATTAAAAAATACAAAAAAATTAGCCAGGCGTGGTGGCGGGCCCCTGTAGTCCCAGCTACTCGGGAGGCTGAGGCAGGAGAATTGCATGAACCTGGGAGGCGGAGCTTGCAGTGAGTGGAGATCATGCCACAGCACTCCAGCCTGGGCGACAGAGCTAGACTCTGTCTCAAAAAAAAAAAAATTCTGTGAAAAAAAAACTATTAGAACTAATAAATGAATTCAGCAAAGTTGAAAGATACAAAATTGATACACAGTAAATCATCTGCATTTCTATACATTAACAATAAACAATCTGTAAAGGAACTAAGAAGACAATTCCACTTACAATGGCATAAAAAAGAATACAACATTTAGGAATAAACTTAACCCAGGAATTGAAAGACTTGTACACTGAAAACTACAAAACATTGCTAACATAAATTAAAGAAGACAAAATACACGGACTTAGATCAGAAGATTTTACATTGCCAAGATAATAATATACTCAAAGTGATATATAGATTCAGTTCAGTCCCTATCAAAATACAAAGGCATTTTCTTTTGTAGAAATAATAAAACCCATTCTAAAATTCTTATGGGAATGTAAGAAAACCCAAATAGCCACAACCATCTTGAAAAAAGCAGAGCAAAGTTAGAGTGCTCACATTTCCCGATTTTGAAGCTTATTACAAGTCTTTAGTAGTCAAAACAATATGGTGCTGGCATGAGGCAGACATATGGACCAAAGGAATAGAATACAGATTCCAGAAATAAACTCTCACATACATGGTTAGTTAATTTTTGACCAGGGTGAAAAGACCATTCAGTTGGGAAAAAGAGAGTCTTTTCAACAAATGGTGCTAGGAAAGCCAGATATCCACATGCAAAAGAACGAAGTTGGACCCTTATCTACTATTACATGCAAAAAATTAACTCAAAATATATCAAAGATGTATGCATAAGAGCTAAAAACCACAAAATTCTTAGAAGAAACCATAGAGAAAAAGCTTCATGACATGGGATTTGACTGATTTCTTGGATATGGCACTAAAAGGATAAGCAACAAAAGAAAAGAGATAAATCGGCCTTCATCAAAATTAAAAACTGATTCATCAAAGGATACAATCAAAAGAATGAAAAGGCAATCTATGGAATGGGAACAAATTTGCAAAGTATATACCTGATAAAGGATTAATATCCAGCATATATAAAGAGCTCCTACAACTCATCAACAAAAAACAATTTAATCAAAATTTGGAGTTGAATAGACATTTCTCCAAAGAAGAAATACAGATGGTCAATTAGCACATGAAAAAGTGCTCAACATCATTAGTGATTAGGAAAATGCAAATCAAAACCACAATGAGATACCACTTCACACCCATTAGGGTGGCTATTATCAAAAACAAACAAACAAACAAAACAAAAAATAACAAGTGAGAAGGGGTGGAGAAATTTGAACAGTCAACACTGCTGATTGGAATGCAAAATGGTGCAGCTGCTGAAGGAAACAGTTTGGTGGTTCCTCAAAAAGTTAAACATAGAATTATCATATGATCCGGTAATTTCGTCTTCTAGATATATTCCCAAAAGATTTGAAAGCAACGATTCAAATAGATACTTGTATGCCAATGTTCATTGCAGCTTCATTCACGACAGCCAAAAGATGGAAAAAACCCAAACGTTGATCAACAGATGAATAGATAAACAAAATATGGTATGTACATAAAAAGAAATATTATTCAACAATAAAAGGGAATGAAATTCTGACACATGCTGCAATATGGATGAAAGTTGAAAACAATATGCTAAGTGAAATAAGCCTGTCACAAAAGGACAAATACTGTATGTTTGCATTTATATGAAGTACCTAGAATTGACAAATTCATAGAGAGAAAAAAATAGATCACAGTTACCAGGGGCTGGAGAAGGGGCAAATGGGTAGGTATTGTTTAATGGGTACAGAATTTTGGTCTGGAATGATAAAAGTGTTCTGGAAATGGATAGAGATGATGGTACCACAACATTGTTAATGTAATTAACATCACTGATTGTACACTTAAAAATTATTACTATGATAAATTTTATGGTGCATCTATGTATAAAATATATACCATATATATACACCAAATTATATATATATATAATCACAATAAAAAAGAAAAACACCTGAAAACAATATTGTCTCTGCTGCCCCACAGGGAGGACATTGCTTGCCCTCAACTGCAGCCACACTCCCTGTTGTTGAGGGGAAGGGTATCCACCATTCTCCTGACACAGCCTGTCTCCTCCACCAGGTTGTATGTATTCCCATTTCAGGGACCCATGATTGATGCAGCCCTCGACTGGCTGGTCTGTTACATCAGTCAAAGATGTTAAATAAACCAAAGTTGGCCTGTGTATATTGGCCCCTGGTGTTTTTATTGATTAACAATAGGCTGAGATCCATTCATTGACCTCAAATTTTACACATCCAGCTGTTTTAAATGTAGCCCAGATAAGCATATTATTAGTCATTTAGAGGTCCCCTGCTTTGCGTACCCCACAAAACCATGTCCACCACCTATTAGCCATGGATAAGATGAACTTTCAGGCTATGGGGACCCCCAGCCACTGCTGCCCTTGGGAGCTCTCTGACCCACATTCTCCCTACCGGGCTGTTGTGTGACATCACCTAGATGTGCAAGCCCCGTCTCTCACACCCTGTCCCCAGGAGCTCCCCCATCTCTCACATCCTGTCCCCAGGAGCTCCCTTCCCTTCCTCTCTTTTAGTATGGTGTTCCTCCTGGCCATCAAAGCCTCTTGACAGGCTCATGCCTGAGGGGATTCCTCCGCGTGCAGCCTTCTTAGGGCGTCTCCCAAATAAAGCATATGTGTGCTACTGTCACTTTGTGGTCATATTTTTTCCTCTTGATCAGCTCTCCAATTCCTTGAACCTGCAATACTGTCCTGACCCAGGCCTGTGTGTAGAGAGGGTTCTGTGGGACAGCAGTCTGCTGCTGCAGGTATGGAATTACACAGCCTGGCCTCCAGCTTCCCTATCCTGCTGCTGCCTGGCTGTGAGCCTGGACCATGCACTCAATTTCCGCGAGTTCTTGTCTATAAACAAGAATAATAAATGTGCCTACCACGAAGGGCTACCGTGAGGATTAAATGGACTGTGTACATAAAGAGCCTGGCCCAGAATCAGCACTCAAGAAGTAATGGATGTGGGTTTTTTGTGTGAATCAAAGGTTATGCAGTTTCCCCAAGGTTCAGCTGGGCAGGGTTTTAACATCATCTCGGATGCTTCTCAGATAGTTCTCTAGATAAATCACTTGAAAAGCCTTACACACACACACACACCACACACTCTGTTTTGTAATCTGCTTTTTTTCAACATAACAAAATACTGGGATGAAATTTCATGAAAATCACACAACTAGATCATTATTATTACTGTGATTATTATTGTCCTGTCACCCAGGCTGGAGTGCAGTGGCACCATCTTGACTCACTGCAGCCTCAACATCCCCGGCTCAAGGGATCCTCCCACTGCAGCCTCCTGAGTAGCTGGGACCACAGGCCTGTGCCACTATGCCGGCCAATTTGTATTTTTAGTAGAGATGGGGTTTCACCGTGTTGCCCAGGCTGGTCTTGAACTTTGAGGCTCAAGCAATCCGCTCACCTGGGTCCCTGAAAGTGCTGGGATTACAGGCGTGAGCCACTATGCCTGCCATAGTTTTTAAAATAGTTATATTGTATGGTGATATACAAAGAAATATTTAATGAATTGCCTGTTTTGGGACAGTTAAGTGGTTTTCCATTTTTCATTATGTAAAAATATTAGGTGGTAAATGTGTTTATTTATTTATTTTGAGACAGAATTTCAGTCTGTCACCCAGGCTGGAGTGCAATGGCGCGATCTCAGCTCACTGCAACCTCTGCCTCCAGGGTTCAAGTGATTCTCCTGCTTCAGCCTCCTGAGTAGCTGGGATTACAGGCATGTGCCACCACACCCGGCTAATTTTGTATTTTTAATAGAGATGGGGTTTCACCATGTTGGTCAGGCTGGTCTCGAACTCCTGACCTCAGATGATCCGCCCGCCTTGGCCTCCCAAAGTGCTGGAATTACAGGCGTGAGCCACTGCGCCTGGCAAAATGTGTGTGTATTTACAATATTATTGCCATGTCTGATTTTTTAGAATACATTTCTAGAAATGGAATTGCTGGATCAAAAGATATGCATATTTTAAGGTTTTGATTCCTACTAATGTTGGAACATTACTAAAGGTAATTTACCAAGGAACCAAGTTAGTAGATTTTGGAATGTATTCTCATCTAAAAAAGAATTGTGGTAAAATGCACATAACATAAAACTTACCATCTTAACCATTTAAAAATGTACAGTTCAGTGGCATTAAGCACACTCACATTGTCATGCTCCCATCACCATCATCCATCCACAGAACTATTTTCATCTTGTAAAACTGAGAATGTGTACCTATTAAAAATAACTCTCAAATAAGCTGAAAATTTATGTCAACAAATAGATCTGCATGGATGCTGATAGCAGCTTTATTGATAATTACCAAAACTTAGAAGCAACCGAGATGCACCTCAGTAGGTGAATGGATAAATAAACTGGCCTGCAAAGCCTCTTGACAGTCTGCAAAGCCTCTTACAGAACCAAGAGAATCCGTAAGTGGCCCTGTGACCCACTGGGATTTCCTCCACTGCAAACTTTGAGGAAGTCCATATAAGGGAATATTATTTGGTGTTAAAAACAAATGAGCTACCAAGTCATGAAAAGACAGAGGAACCTTAAATGCATGTTACTAAGTAAATGAAGCCAATCTGAAAAAGCTGCATACTCTATGATTTCAGCCATATGATATTCTGGAAAAGGCAAAACTATGCAGACAATAGAGCAGCGGTTGTCAGGTTGGGTGAGGGACAGAGGGATGAAGAGTTGGAGTACAGAAGATTTTTAAGGCAGTGAAAATATTCTGCCGGGCACAGTGGCTCACGCCTGTAATCCCAGCACTTTGGAATGCCAAAGCAGGCAGATCACTTGCAGTCAGGAGTTCGAGACCAGCCTGACCAACATGGTGAAACCCTGTCTCTACTGAAAATACAAAAATTAGCTGAGCGTGGTACTGCATGCCTGTAATCCCAGCTACTGGGGATGCTGAGGCAGGAGAATTGCTGGAAGCTGGATAGCAGAGGTTGCAGTTAGCTGAGATCACGCCACTGCACTCTAGCCTGGGTGACAGAGCAAGACTCCATGTCAAAAAAAAAAAAAAAATTCTCCACATGACACTGTAATAATGGATACATGTCATTATACATTTGTCCAAACCCATACAATATACAACAAGAATAAATCCTAATGTAAACTCTGGACTTTGAGTGACAATGATGTGTTAATGTAGGTTCATCGGTGGTACCAAATGTACCATTCTGGGAATGTTGATAGTCGGGGACGGTGTGCATGTGTGGTGGCAGAGGACAGATGGGAAATCTCTGTACCTTACTCTTAATTTTGCTGTAAAGTAAAAACTGCTCTAAAAATAAAGTCTTTTTTTTTTAAGTTAAGAAGAAATAAAGTCCTTCTTAGACAAGCAAAATTTAATTTGTTGCTATTAGACCTTGCAAGAATTGTTAAAAGAATTTCTTCAAACATCAGCAAAATCGTGGAATAGGTGGTCCCCAGTTTGCATTCCTCTATAGAATCATCTGGCAGCCATCCACAGATTAAAGTGCCTTTGCGAGAGCTTTGAGATCCAGGTAAACTCCAGAGAAGTCTAAGACCCAGAAGAGCTCCTTTGAGAAGGCAAACCTGTACTCCATTAGCTGGCTTGCTATATATGGTCCCAGCTGCAGACTGAAGCAGCCTCATCCCCCTAAGGACTCTGCTTCAGCCCTACTTTGCTGTGGTCCTGCAGCCCACCTTCCAAGAGAACCAGAAGGAGCCATGCCCATTCATGTCCCCAGTAACAGGCCAGCTGGCCATGAACCCAACTGTGGATCCGTAAGTGGCCCTGTGACCCAGATCCATCCCTGATCTCAGTCCGGCCTGACCAGTGACCAAGTAACACCCACTTGTGTTCCTATTAGCAGGACCAACAACCTCAGTTTTGGCTGTGGACACTGAAGTCAGTTCTGGCCATGAACCCTGTAGTGGCCTTGACACTCAGTACCAGTCTCTGCTGTGGTCTGGAGGCAGTCCTGTCCACTCAGGGAACTGATAGGAGACACAGCCACCTGAGCCCCCAGTGGTAGGCCTGCTGACTTAGGTCCCAACTGTGGACCCCGAAGCAGCCCTGTGACTCAGCTCCAGTCCTGGAGGCTGTTCTTCCCACACAGAGACCCAGTGAGAGTCACACCTGTCTGCACCCTGATAACAGGCCTGCTGCCTATGGCTTTGACTACAGACACAGAAGTGGCTCTATGACATGGCTCTAACCCCACTGGACTGATTTTCCAGAGGAAGTCCTGTCCACCTGAGGGTCTGATAGGAACCATGCCTGCCTGTACCTATGGTAACACGCCTGCCAACAACAGACCCAGCTGTGGAATTGTAAACAGCCAAATTACCTCGCTCAAGCCCAGCTCATCTGGGATCCTGGAGACAGACCTATCAGTCCAGGGACCCAGCAAGGTAAAGACCCAGGAGGTCTTTATCTGCCCAAATTAGTCTGTAAAACAGATGTGTTTGTGCCTTTAAATGCATAGACATTTGTAGCAAGGCTACAAAGAGCATGAAGAATCACGCAAATATGGCATCACCAAAAGAGACTAATATGGTTCCAGTAACTGACCCCAAAGATGGAAAACTACAAATTGACAAATTATTCAAAATAATTATTTTAAGGAAACTCCGTGAGCTACAAGAGAACACAGATAGACAACTCAACAAAATCAAGAAAAAATACATGAATAAAGCAAGAAGTAAACAAAGGGACATAAAGCATAAAAAATATTAACAGAAATTCTGAAGCTAAAGAATACAATGAATAAAATAAAAATGCAATAGAGAACATCAAGAGTAGACTTGCTCAAGCTGAAGAAAGTATCTGTAAGTTAAAGACAGGCCATTTGAAATTATCTAGGCAGAGGAGAAAAAAGAAAAAATAATGAAAAAGAGTAAAGAAAGTGTATGGGGTTCATTGGACACCATCAAGAGAACTAAAATACATGTCACAGAAGTCCCAGGAGAAGAGATAGAGAAAGGGGTGAAAAACTTACTTTTTTTTTTTTTTTTTTTGACAGAGTCTTGCTCTGTTGCCAGGCTGGAATGCACGGGTATGATCTCAGCTCACTGCAACCTCCGCCTCCCAGGTTCAAGCAATTCTCCTGCCTCAGCATCCCAAGTAGCTGGGACTACAGGTGCACGCCACCATGCCCAGCTAATTTTTGTATTTTTAGTAGAGACAAGGTTTCACCATGTTGGCCAGGATGGTCTCAATCCCTTGACCTCATGGCCCGCCTCTCTCAGCCTCCCAAAGTGCTGGGATTACAGGTGTGAGCCACCACACCCGGCCAAAGCTTACTTTTAAAATTATGGCTGAAAACTTTCCAAATGTGAGGAAAGATGTATATATCCAGATACATGAAACTCAAAGTACCCAAACAGGTTAAATTCAAAGAGGACTTCACTGAGACACATTTCTATTTCTTAATTAACTAATTAATTAATTTTTTTTGAGACTGAGTCTTGCTCTGTCACCCAGGCTGGAGTGCAGTGGCACGATCTTGGCTCACTGTAACCTCTGCCTATCAGGTTCAAGTGATTCTTCTGCCTCAGCCTCCTGAGTAGCTGGGACTACAGGCGTGTGCCACCATGCCTGGCTAATTTCTGTATTTTTAGTAGAGACAGGGTTTCACCATGTTGTCCAGGCTGGTCTCAAACTCCTGACCTCAGGAGATCTGCCCACCTCAGCCTCCCAAAGTGATAGGATTACAGATGTGAGACACCAAGCCCGGCCAATTAATTAATTTTTAAGGCTAGCCAGGGCCGGACATTGTGGCTCACACCTGTAATCCCAGCACTTTGGGAGGCCAAGGTGGGCGGGCCACCTGAGGTCAGGAGTTTGAGACCAGCCTGGCTAACATGGTGAAACCCTGTTTCTACTAAAAATACAAAAAATTAGCCGGGTGTGGTGGTATGCGCCTGTAATCCCAGCTACTCTGGAGGCTGAGGCAGGAGAATTGCTTGAACCCGGGAGGTGGAGTTTGCAGTGAGCCGAGATCACACCATTGCACTCCGCATTTCGCAACAAGGGCGAAACTCCGTCTCAAAAATAAAAATAAAAAAAGACTAGCCAAGTGCATATTGAGAAGTGGGGAAAGAGTAGAATAAGGGGTTCTATCTGTAACTGACTGTGAACCATCAATTGAGATAACTTGCTACCATTAGACCAGCCCACTAAGAAAGGTTTTAATCAAACCATTAAAATTAAAGGCAAAGAAAAATGTTTGAAAGAAGAAAGAGAAAAGTGATGTATCACAAACAAGAGAATCCCCGTAAGACTATCAGTGGCTATCTCAGCAGAAATCATGTAGACCTGGAAAAAGTAGAATGAAATATTTTAAATGCTGATAGAAAAAATAAAAGTCAACCAAGAATATTTTACCTGGCAAAGCTGTTCTCCAGATTGGAGGCAAGATACTTTCCCAGAAAGATTAAAGCTGAGGGCATTCATCACTGGATTTGCTTTACAAGAGATGCTAAAGGGAAGTGGGCAGGAGGGACCAAGATGGCCAACTGGAAACAGCTGCTGTTAAAGGTTCCCACTAAGAAGAAGAAAAACGGTGAGTGAATCCAGCACCAGCAACTGAGGTATACAGGTTCTTTTGTTGGGAATGACTAGGTGGTTGGTGTGACCCACAGAGACTGAGGAAAACAGGGTGGTGCAATAGCCTACCTGGGAGCCACACAGGGCAAGGGGAGCTCTCACCACCAGCCAAGGGAGATGGGGAGTGATTGTGCTACCCCGCCCGGGAAACCATGCTTTTTCCATAGATCTGTGCAACCCATGGATCAGGAGATCCCCCTTGTAAGCCCATGCCATCAGGGCCTTGGATGCCAAGCACAGAGCTATACAGATTCCTAGCAGCCACTCTGCTGGAGACTGCCTAAGACTACCAAGTTCCCAGGGAGAGGGGTGGCCATCATCACTGCTGCTGCCTGCTGCCTAAGATGACTGAGCTCCTAGCGGTAGGGGAGCCTTAACTGCAGCTCCAGTCTGCCGGTTTTCCCCTGCCGGAGCTGAGGACACTGGGCAGTTTGGATCCAGGAGGAATTCCCCACAGTACACCACAGCAGCTGTGGCAAATCGTGGTCAGATTTCCTCTTTAGGCCGGGCCCTGACCCATCTCTCCTCACTGAGTGGGGTCTCCTTGCAGGAATTTCAGCAACTCCAAGCAGAGGTTTATGGGCAGAACTTTGATCTCCCTGGGACAGAGCACCTGGGGGAAAGGGCAGCACAGTCTCTGCAGATCAGCAGACTTAGTCTTTCCATCTGTTGGCTCTGAGGAATCTAGGCAGTCTGGTCAAGTGGGATTCCCCACAGCGCAGCACACACCCCTCTGCCGAGGGGCAGTCAGAATGCTTCCTTAAGTAGGTCCCTGATCCCATGCCTCCTGACTAGGTGAGACCCCCGAACAGGGGTCATCAGACACCTTATACAGGTGTCCCACTGGCATAAGGTCACTGCCCCTCTGGAATGGAGCTCCCAGAGGAAGGAGGAGGCAGCCATCTTTGCTGTTCTGCGGCCTCCACTGGTGACACCACCCGGTGCAGAAGGGACTGAGGTGAATAGAGTCTGGAGTGGACCCCCAGCAAACTGCAGCAGCCCTATAGAAGGGGGGCCTGTTAAAAAAATAAATAAACAAACAAACAGAAAGCAACAACAACATCAACAAAAAAGTCCCCACAAAAACTCCATCAAAAGGTCAGAAATGCTAAAGGTAGTTCTTCAAGCTGAAATGAAAGGTTGCCAATTAGTAACATGAAAACATACAAAAGTATAAAACTAAGTGGTCAAAGTAACATATAGTCAAATTCAAATTACTCTAACACCATAATGGTGTTGTGTAAATCACTTTTAACTGTAGCATAAAAGTTAAAGATAAAAGTATTACAAATAATTATTGCTGGCCGGGCACAGTGGCTCACACCTGTAATCCCAGCACTTTGGGAGTCCGAGGTAGGCGGATCACAAGGTCAGGAGTTCAAGACCAGCCTGACCAACATGGTGAAACCCCATCTCTACTAAAAATACAAAAATTATCTGGGTGTGGTGGTGCACACCTGTAATCCCAGCTACTCAGGAGGCTGAGGCAGGGGAATCACTTGAACCCGGGAGATGGAGGTTGCAGTGAGCCAAGATCGCACCATTGCACTCCAGCCTGGGTGACAAAGCAAGACTCTATCTCAAAAAAAAATATTGCTATAATAATTTATTAACAGATACACAATATTAAAAAGATAAATATTGTGACTTCGAAAACATATGAAGTGGGGGAAAAAATAAAAGTGTAGAGTTTTTGTATGTGATCAAAGTTAAGTTGTTATCAGCTTAAAATGAGCCATTGTAACTATACAATGACTTATGTCTGCCTTATGGTAGCTGCAAAGCAAAAGCTCATAGTCAACACAAAAACCAGAAAAGAATCAAGCACGCCTCTACAGAAAATCATCAAATCAAAAAGAAAGACAGCAAGAGAGGAAGAAAGGAACAAAGATACTCTGAAACCACCAGAAAATAACAAAGTAAGTCCTTATGTATGCATAAGTACTTTAAATGAAAATGGATTAAATAAAAAGAATGACTGAATGGATTAAAAACAAGATCCAATTGTATGCTGCATACGAGTGACTCACTTCACCTTTAATGACATACAGACTGAAACTGAAGGGATGGAAAAAGTTATTCCATGCAAAAGAAAACCAAAAGAATGCAGGAGTAGCTACACTTATATCAGACAAAATAGACTTTACATCAAAACTTTAAAGTGAAACAAAGAAGGTCATTGTATCTTGACTAAAGGGCTAATTCATCAAGAGGATCTAAATAATTATACACATATATGCACCCAACATTGGATGATCTAAATATACAAAGCAAATATTAACAGAAATAAAGGGGGAGATATACTATAATGCAATAATAGAAAGGAACTTTAATACACAACATTCAACAATGCACAGATCATCTAGACAGAAAACTAATAAGGAAACTTTAGAGTTGAACATTTTCCAGGATAGAGCATACATTAGGTTACAAAACAGGTCTTAACAAATTTAAGAAAACTGAAATTACATCAAGTCTCTTTCCCTATTATAACAGAATGAAACTAGAACAATAAGGAATTTTGGAAAATTCACAAATATGTGAAAATTAAACAACACACTACTGAACAAACAATGGGTCAATCAAAAAGGAAACACAAATCTTTTGAGGCCAACAAAACAAAACAGAAAAAAGGAAACACAAAATACTGAAACCTGTGAGCTGCAACCAAAGTAGTTCTGAGAGGTGAGTTTAGAGTGATAAACACCCATATTTAAAGAAAGATCTTGTGTTAATCCATTTTCTTTGTCTATAGCAGAACACTGCAGACTAGGTAATGCATAAAGAAAAGAAATGTATTTCTCACAGTTCTGAAGAATGGTAAGTCCAAAGCATGGTGCTGGCATTTGATGAGGGTCTTCTTGTGGTGTTATCCCATGGCAGAAGAGCAAGAGAGCACATGAGACAGAGAGAGGCATCAGGGGCTGGACTCACTTTATAACAACCTACTCATGATAACTAACTTGCTCTCACAATAATGATATTAGCCATTCATAAAAACTTCACCCTTAGGACCAAGTCACTTCTCATTAGATCCCATTTCCAAACACTGTTGCATTGGAGATTATGTTTCCAACAAATGAACTTCAGAGGGATGCATTTAAACCACAACAGATCTCAAATAGTATAACTTTTCACCCCAAGGAAGTAGCAAAAAGTCAGCAGAAGAAAGGAAAGAATAAAAACTAGAGGAGAAAGAAATTAAAGACAGACTTGAAAAGATATAAAAGTCAATGAAACCAAAAGTTTGTTTTTTGAAAAGTAAACAAAATTGACAAACCTTTAGCTGTACCCACTAAGAAAAACAGAGAGAACACTCAAATAAATAAAGAAATGAAATGGGAGACATTAAATGGATACCACAGAAATGCAAAGGATCCTAAGAGACTACTATGAACAATTATACACCAACATATTGGGTAACATAGAAGGAATGTATAAATTACTAGAAACACACAATGCACCAAGACTGAATCATGAAGAAGTGAAATATCTGAAAGATCACTTTTAAGGATGTTGAAATTGTAATAAAAACTCTGTGAACAAAGAAAAGTCAATGTCCAGATGGCTTCATGGAAAATTCTGCCAGACATTTAAAGAAGAATACCAACCCATCTCAATCTCTTCCAAAAAACTGTAGAGGAGGGAACACTTCCAAACTCATTTTATGAGGCCATTATTATTGTGCAATATCCTTTGGATATTTGTCCCCTCCAAATCTCATGTTGAAATTTGATCCCCAGTGTTGGGGTTGGGGCCCAGTGAGAGGTCTTTGGGTTATAAGCCCAGGTCCCTCATGACCACCTTGGTGCACTCCTTGTGGTAATGAGTGAGTTCTCACTCTAGTAGTTCCCACAAGATCTTATTGCTAAAAAGAGCCTGGCATCTTCTTCCCTTTTGCTCTTGCACCCTCTCTTGCCATGTGACATGCTGGCTCCCCAACACCTTCTACAATGAGTGGAAGCTTCTTGAAGCCCTCACCAGAAGCAGATGCTGGTGCCATGCTTCTTGTATAGCCTGTAGAACTGCGAGCCAAATAAACCTCTTTTCTTTATAAATTACTCAGCCTCAGGTATTCCTTTATAGCAATGCAGAACAAACGAAGACATCCTGGTACAAAAGCCATAACCAGGACATCAGAAGAAAAGAATATTATAGACCTTATTCCTGATTAACATAGATGCAAAAATCCTCAGCAATATACTAGCAAGCATAATTCAACATTAAATTTAAAGGATCACACAACATGATCAAGTGGGATCATCCTTCAGAGGCAATGGTGTTTCAATGTATGCAAATCAATAAATATGATACACCACATTAACTGAATGAAGTATAAAAATCATATGGTCATCTTAATAGGTGCAGACAAAGCATTTGACAAAGTTCAACATCTTTCATGATAAAAATTATCAACAAAGTAAGTGTAGAATGAATGTACCACAATATAATAAAGGCCAGATATGACAAGCCCACAGCTAACATCATACTCAATGGTGAAAAGCTGAAAGCTTTTCCTCTAAGATCAGGAAAAAGACGAAGACCCTCACTCTTGTTACTTGTATTCAATATAGTACTGGAAGTACTACCAAGAGCAATTAGGCAAGAAAAAGACATAAAATGTATCCAAATAAGAAAGGAAGAAGTAAAATTATGGTTGTTTGCCAATAATTTGAGTATGTATAGAAAAGTCTATATACTTCACCAAAAAGTGCTAGAACTAATAAACAAATCAGTAAAGTTGAAGGATAAAAATCAACATAAAATATCAGTTGCATTTCTATACACTAACAACAAGCTATCTGAAAAAGAAATTAAGAAAAATGTCTCATTTATGATAGCCTCAAAAAGAATGAAATACTTAAGAATACATTTAACCAAGGAGCTAAAAAAATCTGTACACTAAAGGGGAAAGATATCCCATGTTTATAGATTGAAATAATTAATATTGTCAAAATGTTCATTTGACCCAAAGTGACCTACAGATTCGATGCAATCCTTCTCAAAATTCTAATGGCATTCTTCACGAAATAGGGAAAAGAATCTTAAAATTTGCTGGAAGCCACAAAAGACCCAAATAGCTAAAGTGATCTTGAGTAAGATAAAACAAGCTAGAGGAATCACACTCACTGGTTTCAAATTTTATTACAAAACTATAGTAATCAAAACAGTATGGTTCTTGCATAAAAACAGACACATAGGTCAATGGAACAGAATGGAGAGTATAGAGTTAACCTATGCATATATAGTCAACTACTATTTTACAAAGGCATCAGGATTACACAATGAGGAAAGGATAGTCTATTCAATAAATAGTGTTGGGAGAACTATATCCACATGCAAAGGAATAAAATTGAATCCTTATCTTAAATTATTTGCAAACATCAACTCAAAATGGATTTGATTTTCAGCAGAGCAAGATGGCTGATTAGAACCCTGCAGCAATCATCAGCCTCATAGGAACACCCAAATTGAACAACTATGTACACAAGAAAGCACCTTCAAAAGAACCAAAAATCAGGTGAGCAATCATAAAAAAAAAAAAAAAGAGATACTGAAGAGTGTAAGAAAGACAGTTTCGAATTGCAGGCATGGTGCAGAGAGACAATCTGTATGCTTGGGGGAGAGAAAGTGCAGTGATTGTGGGACTTTGCATTACAGGTGATTTTCTCTTGATATGTTTTAATTTCTTGCTTTTTATCTTTTGTGTATCTGTTGTAGGTTTTTTGATTTGATGTTATCATGAAGCTTGCAAATAGCATCTTATTACCCAGTATTTTAAGTTGATGACAACTTAACACTGGTTGCAAAAACAAACAAGCAAAGAGAAAACTAATGCAAACTCTACATTTTAACTTCATCCTCCTTATTTTTTTTAACTTTTTGTTGTTTATATTTATATCTTGTAATATTGTCCATGTCTAGAAAACTTGGAGTTATTATTCTGACAGGTTCATCTTTTAGTCTTTCTACTCAAGATAAGAGTCATTTACACATCATAATTATAGTGTTATAATATTCTGTGTTTGTCTGTGTACTTACTATTACCAGTGAGTTTTATATCTTCAGATGATTTCTTATAGCTCGTTAACATCCTTTGCTTTCAGATTGAAGAACTTTCTTTACCATTTCTTGTAGGACAGGTCTGGTGTTGATGAAATCCCTCAGCTTCATTTGTCTAGGAAAGTCCTTATTTTTCCTTCATATTTGAAGGATATTTCCCCTGGATATAGTATTCTAAGATAGAATAATTTTTTTTCTTTGAGCACTTTAACTATGTCATGCCAGTCTCTCCCGGCCTATAAGGTTTCCACAGAGAAGCCTGCTGCCAGATGTATTGGAGCTCCCTTGTATGTTATTTCTTTTCTCTTCTTGCTTTTAGGATCCTTTCTTTATCCTTGACCTTTGGGAATTTGCTTATTAAATGCCTTGAGGTAGTATTCTTTGGGTTAAATCTGACTGGTGTTCTATAACCAATGGAACAGAATAGATAACCCAGAAATAAATTCATACATCTACGGTGAACTCATTTTTGACAAAGGTGCCAAGAACATTGGAGAAAGGGCAGTCTCTTCAATAAATGGTGCTGGGAAAACTGGATATCCATATGAAAAAGAGTGAAACTAGACCCCTATTTCTTGCCATATACAAAAATCAAATCAAAATGGATTAAAGACTTACATCTGAAACCTCAAACTATGAAACTACTACACGGAAGCCTTGGGGAAACTCTCCAGGACATTGGTCTGGGCAAAGATTTCTTGCACTCCACAAGTACAGGCAAACAAAGCAAACGTGGGCAAATGGGATCACATCAAGTTAAAAAGCTTCTGCACGGCAAAGGAAACAATACAATGAAGAGACTACCCACAGAATGGGAAAACATATTTGCAAACTATTGATCTGAGAAGAAATTAATAACCAGAATATATAAGGAGCTCAAACAACTCTATAGGGAATAATATAATAATTTGAATTAAAAAATGAACAAAACATCTCAATAAACATTTCTCAAAACAAGGACATATAAATGGCAAACAGGCATATGGAAAGGTGCTCTGCATCACTGATCATCAGAGAAATGCAAACCAAAACTACAATGAGATATCATCTCACCCCTGTAAAAATGGCTTTATCTAAAAGACAGTCAATAATGAATGCTGGCAAGGATGTAGAGAAAAGGGAACCCTCATACACTGTTGGTGGGAATGTAAATTAGTACAGCCACCACAGAGAAGTTTGGAGGTTAATCAAAAAACTGAAAGTAGAACTACCATATGATCCAGCAATCCCACTGCTAGATACAGATCCAAAAGGAAGGAAATCAGTATATTAAAAAGATATCTGCACTCCTTGTTTATGGCAGCACTATTCACAATAGCCAAGATTTGGAATCAACGTAATTGTCCATCAGCAGATGAATGGATAAAGAATATGTGGTACAGACCAGGTGCAGTGGCTCACACCTGTAATCCTAGCACTTTGGGAGGCCAAGGCAGGAGGATTGCTTGAGCCCAGGAGTTGGAGACCAGCCTGGGCAACATAGAGAGACCCCCCCATCTCATTTTTATCTTTTTAAAAATAATAAAAATATTGTAAAAAGAGAATGTGGTACATACACACAATGGAGTACTATTCAACCATAAAAAAGAATGAAATCCTGTCACTTGCAACAACGTGGATGGAACTAGAAGCCATTATGTTAAGTGAAATAAGCCAGGCACAGAAAGACAAACCTCACATATTCTCACTCATTTGTAAGAGATAAAAATTAAAACAACTTAATTCGTGGAGATACAGAGTAGAATAATGATTACCAGAGGCTGGGAAGTGTAGTGGGGAGGCAGCAGGAGGAAAGTGAGGATGGTTAATGGGTACAGAAATATAGGTAGATAGAATGAATACGATCTAGTGTTTGATAGCACAACAGGGTGACTACAGCCAACAATAACTTATTATACATTTAAAAGGAACTAAAAAAGTATAATTAGAATGTTTGTAACACAAAGAAATGATAAAAGCTTGTGGCGATAGATATCCCATTTACCCTGATTTGATTATTATGCATTGTATGCCTGTATCAAAATATCTCACATATTCCATAAATGTGTACACCTACTATGTACCTATGGAAATCCAAATATAATGGATGAAAGGCTTAAATGTAAGATCTGAAACTTTAACACTCCTAGAAAAAAAAAAAACAGGGAAAAAGATCCATGACATTGGTCTTGACAGTTATTTGTTGGATATGATACCAAAAGCCCAGGCAACAAAAGCCAAAATAAACAAATGGGGCTAGATCAAACTATAAGGGTTCTGCACAGAAGGGAAACCATCAACAAAATGAAAAGAAAATCTATGGAATGGGAGAAAATATTTGCACAACATACACCTAATAAGGGGTTAATATTCAAAATATGTAAGGAACTCATGCAACCCAACATCAAAGATACTTAACAGCCCAATAAAAAATGGGCAAAAGACCTGAATAGACACTTTTGAAAAGGAGATATACAAATGGCCCACAGTTATATGAAAAGATGCTCGATATCACTAATCATCAGGGAAATGCAAAACAAAGTCACAATGAGATATCACCTCACACCTTTTAGGATGACGATGATCAAAAAGTAAAAAGATAAGAGATGTTGGAGAGGATGTGGAGGAAAGATAACCCTACACACTGCTCGTTAAAATGTAAATTGGTTCAGCCATCATGGAAAATAGTATAAAGTTTCCTGAAAAAATTAAAAATAGAAATTTCATATGATCCAGCAATCCCATTTCTGGGTATATATCTAAAGGAAATACAATCACTGTCTTGAAGAGATGTCTGCACCCGCATGTTCATTACAGTATTATTCACTACAGTCAAGGTGAGGAAATCACCTAAGTGTCTGTGGATAGTTAAATGGAGTTTTTAAATGCAATATCATATGTACAATGGAATATTATCTAGCCTTAAAAAAGAAAGAAATGCTCTCATTTGCAAAAACATAGATGAACCTGGAGAACATTATGCTAGGTGAAAGAAGCAAGACACTAAAAGACAAATACTGCATGATCTCATTTATAGGTGGAATCTGAAAAAGTAAACCTCATGGAAGTAGAGAGCACAAGAGTGGTTATGAGTGGCCAGGAGGTGGAATAAATGAGGGCATGATCAAAGAATACAAACTTTCCACTGTAAAGGTTCTGAACCCTAATATATAGCATGGTGACCACGGTTTATAATAATGTATTGTTTACTTGAAAAGTGCTAAGAGAATAGATCTTACATGTTCTCAACACACACACACACACACACACACACACGTGAGGTGATGGATATATTAGATTGTGGTGGTCATTTTACAATGTATACATATATCGAAATATCACACTGTATACCTTAAACATATACAATTTGTATCTGTCAATCATAGCTCAATAAAGCTGGAAAAAAATAAATAAAGCATATTTCAGAACCATGAAAAAAAGAATTTCTTCAGCGTGATATAGCTCAGAAACTCTGATCTATATAAAGAAAAAAAAGAACATTATAGAAAGAATGAATAAGGATAAAATAAACTATTTCATTTTACTTATTCCTAATTCATCTAACTAAAAACAGTTTATTCAAATCAATGACAGCAACAATGGATTCAGAGATTATGGCCTTTGGAAAAGTAGAAAGACTGACATTGATGCAGGAAGGAGGAATTTGGAATACTCTGTGTGTTGAATATTTTAGCTGTTAACTTGACTGAATTGAGGGATGCCTAGATGGCTGGTAAAGGATTGTTTCTGGGTGTGTCTGTGAGGGGATTATTCAGAGGAGACTGGCATGGGACTCAGTGGATGGAATGAGGGAAGATCTGCCCCCAGCGTGAGCAGGCGTCATTCAACCAGCTGAAGGTGCATGGAACAAAAAGGCAGAAGGAAAAGGAACACTTTCTCTCCCGCCAAGGAAGCGATTACTTCCTCTCTCTCTCCCTTTCGGAGCAGGGAAGCCCCTCTCCTCCTGCCCTTGGATGTCAGAACTCCAGGTTCTTCAGCTTTTGGACTCTGGGATTCCCACCAGCACCCCCTACCCCCAGAGCTCTCAGGCTTTTGTTTCAGACTGAGTTACACCATCAACTTCCTTGGTTCTTCAACCTTCTCATTAAGAATGAGCCGTGCTGCCAGCTTCTCTGGTAGTCTTGCAAAAAACCTATTGTGGGACTTCTTAGCCTCCATAATCATGTGAATCAATGCTGACAATAAATCCCCTCTCCTATATCTATCTATATCTATATCTATATCTATATCTATATCTATATATGCCTCTGTTTATCCTATTGGTTTTGTCTCTCTATAGAATACTGATCAATACAGTCTGTTATAAAGTACTTGTGTTAGGGAAACAGGAGCATAGGAGAGCCGGGGTGACACCATTTTAAAATCCACTCCAGTCCGAGCACGGTGGCTTACACCTATAATCCCAGCACTTTGGGAAGCCAGGTAGGTAGATCGCTTGAGTCCAGAAGTTCAAGAACAGCCTGGGCAACATGGCAACACCCTATCTCCACTAAAAAATACAAAAAATAAGCCAGGCATTGTGGTGCGTGCCTGTAGTCTCAGATACTCAAGAGGCTGAGATGAGAGGATCCCTTGAGCCCAGGAGGTGGAGGTTGCAGTGAGCCAAGATCGCACCACTGCACTCCCACCTAGGCAACAGGTAAGACCCTTTCTCAAACAAACAAACTAAGAAACAAATAAACAAACCACTCCATCTTAAAACTGGCAAGGCACATTCCTTGCCAATCATGACCCATGGTCATAAGATGTTTACAGCTTAGGAAATAGTTTAGTAATGCCTGATAGCAGAAACTCCTACCACAGCAGAATGTCCTGATGTTCCCACATCGCATAATAATGTATGCATTTTTTTTTGAGACAGACTCTTGCCCTGTCACCCAGACTAGAGTACAGTGGCACGATATTGGCTCACTGCAACCTCTGCCTCCCGGGTTCAAGCAATTCTCCTGTCTCAGCCTCCCGAGTAGCTGGGATTTCAGGCACCAGATGCCATACTCGACTAATTGTTGTATTTTTAGTAGAGACGGGGTTTCGCCCCATTCGCCAGGCTGGTCTCGAACTCCTGACCTCAGGTGATCCACCCGCCTCGGCCTCCCAAAGTGCTGGGATTACAGGCGTGAGCCACCATGCCTGGCCAACTATAACTATCTTAAAAGCACAGGCTGGGCTCAGTGGTTCACACCTGTAATCCCCAGTTCTTTGGGAGGCCAAGGTGGGTGGATCACCTGAGGTCAGGAGTTCAAGACCAGCCTGGCCAACATGGTGAAACCCTGTCTGTACTAAAAATACAAAAAAAAAAAAAGAAAGAAAGAAAGCAAATTAGCCAGGTGTGGTGGTGCATACCTGTAGTCCCAGCTACTCAGGAGGCTGAGGCAGGAGAATTGCTTGAACCCAGGAGGCAGAGGTTGCAGTGAGCCGAGATCACACACACTCCAGCCTGGGCAACACAGCAAGACTCTGTCTCAAAAAAAAAAAAAGATAGTTATAGTCATGCTTTGATGTACTTTGATGTACTTACACACTAGAATGCCAAGGATAGTTTTTTTTTTTTTAATCAGCAAAGTACTAAATTTTGCCACGCTGTCAGCTTACCTGCACGTAGACATAACTTAGCTTAACTTTTGCATAGATAAGAACGCTGTATAAAAATAGTTTAAAACAAAGCAGATTCCCCTTCTTGCCTTCTGAGGACACCCTACTCTCTGAGCTGCTTTCAATAAACTACACCCTACTCTCTGAGTCGCTTTCAATAAACTATCTCTTTTCACTGAACTCTGACTCACCTTGAATTCCTTCCTGCATGAAATCCAAGAACCCTCTCTTGGGGTCTGGATAGGATCCCTTTTTCTGGCAACACTAATACTACCCATGAAGTGATATAGTGTTATATGAAAGTCAACTTGGAATAGTTGTGAATGTAGGCAACTAGTGAAATAATTTTTAAAGGAGTATAGTTGATATAATAAGGGAGGAGGCAAAATGAAATCACATAATATGCTCTACCAAAACCAGAGAAGACAGGGAAAAGTGAAAAAGGAAAACAAAGAACAAGGGCAGCTAGTAGAAAACAGAAATGAGGCCAGGCACAGTGGTTCACACCTGTAGCCCCAGCACTTTGGGAGATTGAGGCAGGAGGATCTCTTGAGGCCAGGAGTTTGAGACCAGCCTGGGCAACACAGCAAGACCCTGTCTCTATAAAAATTAAAAATACAAAATAAGAAAAGTAGTGAATATGATCAATATTAATCCAAATATATCAATAATCAATTTAAATATTAGTAGTCTAAATACATGAAGTAAAAGGTAGCAGCTGTCTGATTGGATCCAAAACAATACATAGCTATATGTTTCTATAATAAAACCACCTTAAATGTAAAGACACAGTTAGATTAAAAATAAAGGGATGCCGGACGTGGTGGCTCACGCCTGTAATCCTAGCACTTTGGGAGGCTGAGGCGGGTGGATCACCTGAGGTTAGGAGTTAAAGACCAGCTTGGCCAACATGGTGAAATCCCGTCTCTACTGAAAATACAAAAATTAGCTGGGCAAGCTGGTGCATGCCTGTGATCCTAGCTACTAGGGAGGCTGAGGCACAAGGTGAGAATCGTTTGAATCCAGGAGGCGGAGGTTGCAGTGAGCCGAGATCGCGCCACTGCACTCTAGTCTGGGCAACAAGAGCAAAATTCCATCTCAAAAAATAAAATAAAATAAAAATAAAAGGATGGAGAAAGATATATTATGCGCTAACACTAATTCAAAGAAAGCCAGAGTGGCTATGTGACTATCAGGCAGAGTCCATTACAGAGGAGGGAAGGTTATTAAGGGTTCAGAGGGAGGTAAAGAGAGATGAAGAAGTGGATCACAGGAGACTTTAGGCAGTAAAACTATCCCATATGATACTGTAATATCTAAGACATGATTTGAATGTATTCGGGAAAACTCATTGAATTATACAACACAAAAAGTGAATCCTAATGGAAACCATGGACTTCGGTTGATAATGTTGTCTCAATATGGTTCATCAATTGTAACAAATATACCACACTAATCCAGGATGTCACTCATAGAGAAACTGTGATGGGAGGCAAAGGTATGTATGTGAACTCTCTGTACTTCCCCTTAATATTTTCATAGAACCCAAAACTGATCTATAAAATAAACTCTACCTAAACCACCAAGTAGAAACAACTCTCCTTTTGGCCTTTGACCACCTCCTTCCTGACCAACCATCTTGGTCAGAGTCTCTGTTCTCTCCATTCGTGGACGTTCCTGCAGCTTGGGCCATGGTGCCCCTCAGGACCCAAGACTGACCTGAACTGGTTCTCCTGTGTCCCCTCTGAAGCAAATATTCTGGGGATGAGTTAGACATGGAGAGTTCCAGGAAATGGGCAATGGGGTTCTGAGCTTGAGTGGGCCATAGGGATATCAGAGGGTGAGATGTAACTTAACAAAGTATAGGCATACCTCAGAGATATTGTGGGATCAGTTCTAGACCACCTCAATAAAGAGAATATTGCGATAAAGTAAGTCACAGGAATTTTTGGGTTTCCCATTGAATATAAAAGTTGTATTTATATGCTGTAGTCTATTAAGTGTGCAATAGCATTTTGTCTAAAAAAAGTACAGACTTTAATTAAAAAACCTTTATTGCTAAACAATTTTATGATCATCTGAGCCTTCAGTGAGTTGTAAACTTTCTGCTGTTGGAGGGTCTTGCCTCCATTTTGATTCTTGCTGATTGATCAGGGTAGTGGTTGCTGAAGATTGGGGCAGCTATGGGAATTTCTTAAAACAACACAGCAGTGAAGTTTGCCACCTTGATTGACACTTCCCTTCATGAAAGGTTTCTCTGTAGCATGTGATGCTGTTTGATAGCATTTTACCAATATTCCAACTTCTTTCAAAATTGGAGTCAACCTTCTTTAATGCTGCCATTGCTTTATCAACTAAGCTTATATAATATTCTAAATAACTTATTGTCATTTCAACATCTTCACCAGGAGTAGTTTCCATCTCAGAAAAACACTTTCTTTGCTCATCCATAAGAAGCAACTTCTCATACATTGAAGTTTGATCATAAGATTGCAACAATACAGTGACACCTTCAGGCTCTACTTCTAATTCAAGTTCTCTTGCTATCCCCACCACATCTGCAGTGACTTCCATCACTGAAGTATTGAACCCCTCAAAGTCATCCATGAGGATTGGGATCCACTTCCTCCAAACTCCTGTTAATGTTGATATTTTGATCTCCCATTAATCATAAATATTATTAATAACATCTAGAATGGTGAATTCATTCCAGAAGATTTTCAACTTACTTTGTCAAATCCATCAGAGGAATCACTATCTGTGACAGCTATAGGCTTAAAAAATGTATCTCTTCAATAATAAAATATAAAATTTGAAATTATTCCTTGATCCATTATGGGCTGCAGAATGGATGTTGTGTTAGCAGGCATGAAAACAATGTTTGTCTCCTTGTACATCTCAGTCAGAGCTCTTGGGTGACCAGGTGTACTGTTAGTGAGCAGTAATATTTTGAAGGAGTCTTTTTTTTCTGATCAATAGGTCTCAACAGTGGGTTTAAAATATTTAGTAAACCATGTGGTAAACAGATGTACTCTCACCTAGGCTTTGCTGTTCCATTTATAGAGCAACACATTTATAGGCAGAGTGGACTTAGCATGATTCTTAAAGGTTCTAGGATTTTCAGGATGGTTAATGAGTAGTGGCTCCAATTTAGAGTCACTAGCTGCATTGGCCCTACCAAGAGATTAAGTCTGTCCTTTGAAGCTTTGAAGTCAGGCACTGACTTCACCTCTCTAGCTATGGAAGTCCTAAAAGGTGTCTTCTCCCAACTGAAGGCTCTTTAATCTATGCTGAATATCTGTTGTTCAGTGTAGCTACATTTATCAATGACCTTAGCCAGGTCTTCTGGATAACTTGCTGCGGCTTCTCCATCAGTACTTGCTGCTTCACCCTGTACTTTTAACTCATGGAGAAGGCTTTTTTCCTTAAGCTTTGTTAGTTACAAAATTCTTTTGCTGCAGCTTCCTTATCTCAGAATTCACAGAATTGAAGAGAGTTAAGGCCTTTTCCTCTAGATTAAGTCTTGGCATAAGGAAATGTTGTGGCTGGATTGTTCTTCTATCCAGATCACTAAAACTTTCTTCATATCAGCAATTAAGCTCTTTTTTTTTAGACAGAGTTTCACTCTTGTTGCCCAGGCTGGAGTGCAATGGCACGATCTCGGCTCACCACAACCTCCACCTCCTGAGTTCAAGCAATTCTCCTGCCTCAGCCTCCCAAGTAGCTGGGATTACAGGCGTGCACCACCATGCCCAGCTAATTTTTTGTATTTTTAGTAGAGACGGGGTTTCTCCATATTGGTCAGGCTGGTCTCGAACTCCCAACCCCAGGTGATCCACCCACCTCGGCCTCCCAAAGTTCTGGGATTACAAGCGTGAGCCACCACACCTGGCCGGCTGTTTTATTTTCTTATCATTCATGTGTTCACTAGAGTAGCATTTTAAATTTTCTTCCAGAACTTTTCCTCCTTGTTAATATTTATAGCTTGGCTGTTTGGTACCAGCAGCCTAGCTTTCAAGCTGTCTTGTCTTTTGACATGCCTTCCTCACTAAGATGAATCATTTCTAGCTTTTGATGTGAAATGAGAGATGTGCAACTCTTGTTTTCACTTGAACACTTAGAGGCCACTGTGGGGTTATTAATTGACCTAATATCAATATTGTTGTGTCTGAAGGAACAGGGAGGCCTGAAAACTGGAGCAAGATGGAGAGATGGCCAGTAACAGGAACAGTCAGAACACACATAACTTTAATCAGTTAAGTCTATAGTTTTATAATGGGCATGGTTTGTTGCAGCCTAAAACAATTACTGTAGTAACACCAAAGATCACTGATCACAGATCACCATAATACATATAGTAATAGTGAAAGTTTGAAATATTGCTAAAATTGCCAAAATGTAACAGAGACACAAAGTAGGCAATGCTGTTGGAAAAATGACCCTGGTAGACATGTTCAAGGCAGTGTTGCCAAACATTTTCAATTTGTAAAAATCACAGTGTCTGCAAAGCACAATAATGCTAAGTGCAATAAAAGGAGGTATGGCTTTATAAGGTGATACACTGGGCCCAAAAAAGGACCTGCCACCCTCTGCAAAGGCGGATTTCTGAAGAGGACTATGAGAATTGAAGAGGTGAGAACTGAAGGTGCACCTAGGGAGCCTGAACTACGGATGTCTGTGCCACACAAGGGCAGGGGCCTAGGTCACTGTGTCCCCACAGAGTGGAGTCACCCCATCCAGGATGCTCAGATTGAACGGAGACACACTGGATCCAAGGAAAACTTTTTGGGGTGTAGGACCTCATTCAAATCGATTTCTCCCGAGTCCTTACACTTGAAATCGAGGTCTGTTAGTTAACACCTCTGGGGAGACCCTTCAGTCCTGTGGCCCTATGCTCCACCCTTGAACAAACACAGAGAAGGAAAGGTTTAAAACAAAGACCATTTCTAATCTATGAGCTATTATTAGAAAATAGTACAGTAAATTGGCTGGAATCAACTTTGGTTTGAAAACAATGCCCAAATAGAGTCATAAACAAGACCATTCAAAGTTCATCATATTTTGAGTAGTTTGGTTCTAGCCTTTATAGTTAATTTAGGGAGGTGCACATTTTGCCACCATTGCTTCTTATTTTGCTGCAGGCATCAGCACCCAGGGAGCCTGGGCCTTGCAGAGCAGACAAGTCAGCCTCCTGGACCAGAGCAGGCAGGAACAGGGACAGGCGCACAGGGAGCCTGGGCAGCACATGCAGCTCCACAGAGCAGAAGCGTGGGTGTCCCTGTATTCACTGGCATCTATGCAGTCAGTCAATATCCGTGAGCTTCTGCAATGTCTTCAGCACTGATGCAGGCACTTGGGAGGTGCCATGGCAAAACAGCCCCAGAAGGCCTGAGGACCACGGAGCTCACGTCCTCGTGGTGGGCAGGCAGACATCAGGGCCCAATATACATGAGATGGTAACAGGCACTCTGCAGACACCTGTGATAGGGCTGAGGGCTGACAGGGAGGGAGCACACTGGGAGGTGACTAAGCTGAGATCTGAATAGGGCAGGAGACAGCTGGAAAGGTCCAGGAGAATATTCCTGGCAGCAAAGCAGGATCAAGGCCCTGAGGGCTCAGAGGCTGTCTTGGGGGAATTGGAGAAAGATGGGGGAGGACAGTGGGCAGGGTCAGGTGCACAGGTGGGGACCTCAGTGCTGCCTGATAACCCCAGGGAGGGTTCAGGATGGGGCTGGGGTTTGGTGAGGGTCCTCACAGGTTCTCCTGGGAGCTCTGGGGGCTGCCCTGGGTGGTCGTCAGCGATGGAGAAGGAAGAATAGACTGGGCTGGCTGTGGGTGGTTGTAGGGCAGGGAAGAGGAGTGAGGGACGACACTGAAAGGTTTCCTAATGATCTAATTAAGGGGACTTCCCCCAGGGAAGTCTCTGTGGGACCTGAGGATAGGTCCTGCTGCAGAGCCCAGTGAAGTGGGTACCCCAGGGAAGACTGTGGGAAGGTACATCCGTCTTGCACTTCTGTTTGGTGTCTGCAATACCTGCCGGCCCTCATGACCAGGTGGCCTTACCTCTCGGCTGAGCCCACAGCAGGGACCCCAAGGGCAGGTGCAAGAAGGGCTTGAGGGCATGGCGAGGCCTCCCAAGTGTGAAGCATTTACACCTCTCTGGAGGCGTGAGTACAGAGAAATTTAGCCCCCAGAGCTCCTGGCCAGTGGAAGAGAAAGACTCATGAGCTGGAAATGCTCAAGAATGTGATGGAACAGTCAGGGCTGCCTCAACACCCGCTCTCTCACTATGCTGCCATGGCCTGGGAGGTGAGGATGGTCAGGGAGGGCCTCCTGGAGGAGGTGGCCCTGAGCTGAATATTTCAGGATGGGTAGGAGATATTTACAATGCTCTGAAAACTTCACGGCGCCCGGGAATCACTTGGAGGTCTTGTTGCAATGCAGACTCCCATTCCTCAGATGGTGCCTGAGACCCTGCATGGTCACAGGTCATGCCCTTGCTGGGACCAGACATGGGGTAAGCAGCACCTGGAGATGCTTCTTGGGTAGAAGTGGGGTGAAATGAAGGGGCTGGCGGGCCTGGCAGAAGGCTCACCACAGGCTGAGACACAAGGTTGCAAACATCCTGGATGGGAGTGCGGGTGGCAAGTTGGTGCAGTTGGTTTGCTGGGGCCCCGCATCAGGGAGGGAGGGCAGCACCATGTGGCAGAGCCTGTGTCCAGCTCTGCAGGGGTGCTGCTGCCAACTTCGCTCTCAAATGCCCCAGGCCCACTCACTGCTCAGCCCAGACCCCACATCCTTCCTGACTTATGCTTCTCCTCACCCTCTACATCCCATCCATCTTGCGTCCCACAGATCCTACCTTCAAACACCCTCCCTTCTCTCCTCTGCTCCACCACCATCTTCGTGCAAACCAACTTTACTTTCCATGGAGCAGTTTCTCCTGGAGCCGTGCCTCTTCCTGGGAAAGCACTTCACTCCTGCCCCTCCCATGCACCTCCACTCAGCCATGGGACCTTTAACCAAAGGCCTGAGCTTGTCAAGCCTGAGGCCAGCCCGTGGCGTGAGTGTGGTGAATGTGCAGCAGCCCCTGCCCGTGCCCGGCTCCCTGGCTCCGGGTCATGAAGGGCCTCTGGGTGTTGCCCTGCGTGGTGCCTGTGTCTGCCGTGTTATTAGGAGTTGCCCTGCCCTTTTCACTGTTAACATTTTCCAGTTAGGATGATCAATTATAGAGTCACAAAGTGATGGCTTAGCTGAGTTAGTAAAAAAAACTACATATGTTTTTAAATATAACTATTGTAGGGTCATCACCTTTCTTTTTTTAATCATCTTTTTAGTTAAGATCATTGTATTAGTCCATTCTCCCGCTGCGAATAAAGACATACCCAAGACTGGGTAATTTATAAAGGAAAAGAGGTTTAATGGACTCACAGTTCCACATGGCCGGGGAGGCCTCACAATCATGGCAGAAGATGAAGGAAGAGCAAAGGGACTTTTTGTGTGGTGGCGGGCAACAGAGAACTTGTGCAGTGGAACTCCTCTTTATACATCCATCAGATCTCGTGAGACTTACTCACTATCATGAGAACAGCTTGGGAAAGACCCACCCCCATGATCTAACCTCCCACCGGGTCCCTCCCACTACATGTGGGAACTGTGGGAGCTGTAATTCACGATGAGATTTGGGTGGAGACAAAGCCAAACCATATCACTCATTCTACCTCCTTGAAGAGCAAAGGTAGCCATTTTAGGTTTGAGCAGTTTCTAATAAAATCTAAACGATGTGCAAAAGAAGCATTACTTGGAGCCTTCTTTTTGTTAAAGTAAGGTCTCTACAATTTGTCGTGGAACTAGAAGAGACTGCACTTGAAAATCTTTTCCCAAGAGCCCATTCTTGTGCAATATTCATGTGATGCAATATCCATGTGAATCATAAAACAGATGATCCTTATATTAGATCTGATTTAAGGACTTTTTCATGGTGAGATAAAACACTGAGCCCCCAGATATACTATAAAAACAGAAGTTGTGATGCCAGGAAAAGAACTACTGAGAAGACAACGCGGAAGAAAGTACAATAGGAAACATCCACGTCTAGGGCCCTCCTTGGATGTCTCTGCTTCAGGTGATCTTAGGTGGGGCCTAGACCTCTGTATTTTTTGCAAGTTCCTCTCATAATTCTGATGCAAAGTAAAGCTGGGGAATTCCTGCAGTGGGGCATTACCTTTAGACTGATAGTGAAGAGACATGTGTCTTTCACCTACACCTAGGCATCTCATAGTCAAACTGTCAAAAATGTGAGATACAGGAAAAATCATGAAAGAAACTGCAGGGGAAGCTTATATGTAGAGAAACATCTCATTTACATCTCATTTTTCTTCACAAACCATCCAAGCAAGAAGAGTGAAGTGAATTATTTAAAGTGTTGAGAGAAAAATATCCACCAACCTAGAATTCTGTAGCTTGCAAAATTATTCTTCAAAAGTGAAGGAGACACAGAATATTCTTGGGAGATGGCAGAGTAGCAAACACCAGGGATCTCTCTCTCCACGCAGAAAATAAATGAACTGACAGAATTTGATGACAAACAATCTTGGAACTCTGAGTCTATTAATGGTTTGGAACTTCCAAGGGAAGGCTTGGATGTAAATTGCAGTTAACTTCCACTCTTGGCACAGTAGCAGCTACCCATTCTCCACCCTCAGCCCCTGGCAGGCAGCTCTACCTGCGTTCTTGGAGTGGCTTGCACCCAGCTGGTGGAAGCCAAGGTGGGAAAAAGACCTCTGTCTTCCAAATAACAAGGATCTGTGCTCTGATTGCTGACTGCTCCTTCTGATCACAGAGGTGCAAAGGGCCTGGAGGTCCTTGTGGTTGCACTTCTATCTATTGGTACAAGCTTCCCCACTACAGTTAAAGTGATGACCAGGATATTTAAAGGACCAAGTATCTTTTCTTTTCCCCCACCCCTTCATTTTTATTTTTTCTTTCTCCTTTTGGGAACCAGACATTAAAGACTAGGGCATTAAAAACAATGACATACACAGGGAAAATCAGAAAGTGACTGCACATGCCTGGGCAAAGGTGCAGGCACAGAGAGAACCTGAGAAGAACTTAAGTTTACACCTCAGACTGATCCTTGGCACAGAGATAGCCTACACAGCTAAGAAAGCAAAAACAGAGCTGGACCTGGTGGCTCATGCCTGTAATCCCAGCAATTTAGGAAGCCAAAGCAGGTGGATCACTTGATCCCAGGAGTTCGAGACCAGCCTGGATAATATAGCAAAACCCTGTCTCTACAAAAAATACAAAAATTAGCTGGGCATGCTGGTGTGTGCCTGTAGTCCCAGCTACTTGAGAGGCTGAGGCAGGAGAAGTACTTGAGCCCAAGAGGTAGAGGTTTCATTGAGCTGTGATCACACCACTGCACTCCAGCCTGGGCAACAGCGTAAGACCCTCTCTCAAAAAAAAGAAGAAGAAGGATAAGAAGAAGGAGAAGGAAAGAGAAAAGAAAAGAAAAGAAAAAATTTGAATAAAAGCAAAACCCAGCAAATTCTGAGGAGTGGAATAAATATGCTTTCCAGAGTTACCACATTAGTAAATTCAAATGTCAAATTTTCAACGAAAAAATCACAAGGCATATAAAGAAACAGGAAAGTATACCCTATTCAAAGGAAAAAAATAAATCAACAAGAACTATTCCTGAAGAAGACCAGATGACAGATCTGACAAACCAATTAGACAAAACTGAAAAATAATAGTCTTAGAGATGCTCGAAGAACGAAAGGAAGATGTAAAGAAAGTCCAGAAAACAATACATGAACACAATGGAAATATCAGTTAAAAGACAGAAGTCCTAAAAAGCAACCAATAAGAAATTCTGAATCTAAAAAATACAAAAATGAAATTAAAAATTTGTTAGAGTGATTCAAAGGCAGATTTGAGTAGGCAGAAGAAAGAATTAGTAAACTTGAAGACAGGCCAATGAAAATCATTAAGTCTGAGAAATAGAAAATGATATCGTTTGGATATGTGTTCCTACCCAAATATCATATTGAATTGTAATCCCCAGTGTTAGAGGTCGACCCCAGTGGGGGGTGATTGGCTCATGGGGCTGGATTTCTCATGAGTGGTTTACCACCAACCCTTTGGTGCTGGCCTTACGATAGTGAATGAGTTCTCATAAGGTCTGGTTATTTGAAACTGTGGCACCTCCCTGCTCTCTCTTTTCTTGCTTCTGCTTTCACCATATGACGTGCAAGCTTCCACTTGGCCTTCCATCATGATTGTAAGCTTCCGGAGGTCTCCCCAGAAGCAGTTGCTCCCAAATCTCCTGTATAGCCTGCAGAAATGTGAGACAATTAAACCTTTTTCCTTATAAATTACTCAGTCTCGGGTGTTTCTTTATAGCAATGCAAGAATGGCCTAATATAGAAAATTGATACCAAGAGTGAGGCATTACTATAAATATACTTGAAAATGTGGAAGCAGCTTTGGAATTGGGTAACAGGCAGAGGTTGGAAGAGTTTGGAGGGCTCAGAAGACAGGAAGATGAAGGAAAGTTTGGAACTTCCTAGAGACTGGTTAAATGGTTATAACAAAAATGCTGATAGTGATATGGACAGTGAAGGCCAGGCTGAGAAGTTTTCAGATGGAAATGAGGAACTTATTGGGAACTATAGCAAAGTCTTTGTATTTATGGAAGATAAATTCAAAGAGACCCACACTGAGACACATTTCAACAGACAGAAGCATCTTGAAAGCAGCAAAAGAGAAGTAACTCATTACATAAAGGTGATTCTCAATAAGATGATCATCAGATTTCTAATCAGAAATTTTGGAGGCCAGAAGGAAGTGGGCCAATATATTAAAAGTGCTAAAAGAAAAATAAAAACCATCAATATGGAATTCTATATCCAGCAAAACTCTCCTTCAAAAGTGAGGGAGAAATTAAATTCCCAGATAAACAACAGCTGAGGGAGTTTGTTACCACTAGAACTTCCCTTCAAGAAATGCTCAAGGGAATCCTGCAGGATGAAATGAAAGGACACTAGAGAGAAACTTGAAATCATGTGAAGAAATACATATCTATGAGAAAAGTACATGGGTAATTATAAAAGCTAGCACTATTGTAACAATAATAATGTTTGTACCTCCAATTTATGTTTTCTACACTATTTAAGATATGAATACCTTTAAAACAATACATTTTAGAATACATTTAAAAACAATTATCAGTCTAAAGAGTAGTATTATTGTAATTTTAGTATGTAACTCCAGATTTTCTTTTCTACAAATTTAAGAGACCAATGTACTTATTAGTTTATGTTTTTGGTCACAAAAGATATAAAAATGTAATTCTGCAACATCAACAACTGTAAGGAGGGAGAAGGAGCTGTAAAGGAGTAAAGTTTTTGTATGTCATTGAGATTAAGCTGGTATAAATTTGAATTAGTGTGTTATAACGTTTGGGTGTTAAATGTAATCCTCATGGTAACCACAAAAAATAGATATGGAAACATAGTAGTCCCCCTTTATCTGTGGGGTTTATGTTCCAAGATCCCCAGTGGGTGCTGAAGCTGCAGATAGTACCGAACCCTATAAATACCATGTTTTTTCCTATATATAAATGCATATGATAGAGTTTAATTTATAAAGTAGTCACAGTAAAAGTTTAACAACAATAACTAATAATAAAATGGAATGATTATAATGACATACTGTAATAAAAGTTATGTGAATGTGGGCTCTCCCTTTCTCTCAAAATATCTTATTGTACTCTACTGTAGGTGACTGAAACCATGGAAAGCAAAACTACGAATAAGGGAGTGTTGCTGTATACAAAAGGAAATGAGAAATGAATGCAAACATTTTACTATAAAAACTCAACACAAAAGAAGACAGTAATGCAGAAGATGAGGGACAGAAAGGAATATTAGGCAGACGCCTTGGCCGAGGTCCAGTGGTTGGAGTCAGCACCTACATAAGATATAGCCCAATGGCTGCACCGAAAACTGGGCCATACAGGAGGTGAACTAATGCAACAGGTCAATAAGTGCTGGGATCTAACCTTGCCCACACAAGATACCTGGGAGGCCTGCTGGAAGTGCCCAGCATGTGCACAGGCATACCCCAGATGGAGACAGCTGTCCAGTGTTACACAACAAGTGACGGTAGGGCAGATTCCCTTGACTAGATGGCAAATAGACTACGTCGGGCCACTGCCGAGGTTACAGGGGCATAGGCATGTGCTGACAGCTATACACATGGCCACCGGTCTGTTGCTTGCCTACCCTTGCAGGACGGCCGACCAGCAACATACCATTCAGGCCCTGCAGCACTTGTGTGCCCTATACGGTCGTCCTCTGACTGTTGAAAGGGACAAGGGAATGCATTTTACTGAACAGCAGATACAACAGTGGGCACAATGGATGGACGTAAAGTAAAGGTTCCATGTTCCACATAACCCACAAGCTGCTGGTATGACTGAGTGACATAACCGACTCCTGAAAAACAGGTTACGCTTGTATGTTACTCCCCTATCTTTGTGGGGCTGGAGTTCAAGGTTGGACCTGGTGTTGCAAACCTTGAACGAACAGCCATGGAAAGGTGGCCCAGCCCCGGTGGAGGCACTGCTACACCGGACCGCCACCCGCATCCAGCTACAGACACACACCAAGGATGACCTCCCCCGGCTGGGTATGGGGATGAACAGTAATCTGTTGTTGCCTGCCCCAACGGCCCTGAAGGCAGGGGAAGAGAAAACCTGGCTTTGGTCCTGGACCCTCCTAGCCCCACATTCCCAATGGTTGGCTATTGTAGCTCCCTGGTGGCAGGGGGATGGGGGTGGGGGGCTACAGTATGATTTACATGTCACTCCTTAGGTATTTAATATGTGGCCCCCGCGATGGACTGTTCGTAGGGGAATGGCTGGGGAAGGAACCCTCCTCCAGGGGACATACGTATTGTCTGTGTGGCCTATTATGAGCTCCCTGGTGACTTTGGCATGGATACAGGACCCAAGGAAACCATGGGGAGCTGAAAAGATGTGGTACCATCGCCCAGGGCAGAAGTCCTTGGCGGCTGCATTGTTATCCGGAGATGAAAGGTTGTTCTGTATTTTACCTGAGGGCTATGATTTACCCCTGTTAGTATCTGCACCTGCTTTGTCGCTTCAACAGTAGGTTGACATGCTCCAACAGCATTGTGGACTGGGCCCATGCCTACACTGAGGTGACCAATGCTTCCAACTGTTGGATCTGCACCACCCTTCCAGCAGCAGCTGCGGATGGCTTGCTCTGGCACATACATCCAGCTTCTGTGGAAAACTGGACATGGTTAGAGACTTGGGGTCCCGTGGCCGACATTTGGAACGCAGCATGACAAGCTTTGGATAGGGCTCCGCAAAACCCATGGCATGCCCATCCCCTGGCTGACCCATAGTGCCTACGATGGATGGGGCTGGTTAGTGGGAGAACATGTGGTGCCCCCAGCACAGGTACCACGATGTATAGAGCAACATTGGGGTAACATCACCGTGGGGCAGTTGCCCGCCATAGCCTGCATAAATATAACATGTCACCACACCAAAGGTGTGGTGGAATAGACAGCCTCATCAAGGCCGAGCCCCAATGGACTTTGTGCCCCCTGAGAGTTTATGGGTCTATAGAGACACAGTCATATGTGCCAGTTACCTGAACTGGCCACTGTACCTGGGGGTGGCCTTATGTGCCTGCCACTGTCATTCCCACATTGCCTAGATGCCCACACAACAGAGGCACTACATTCCTTGTTTTTGCAAGTTCGACGAGCCCCCTGGTGGCTCTACCCTTTAGCATTAACCATTCCTGGAACAGGTGTCATAACTGTAGAAATGCAAGTTACGGCCCTTGTGGAGCACACTGCTTGAGCCTTGAATTACACCTGAGTTGCCCTCCTTCTGCTGACAGATGAGGTTGATCAAACTAGAAAGGTGGTACTGCAGAAGTGGATGGTCCTAGACATATTAACAGCTGCCCAAGGTGGCACCTGTGCTCTTTGGGGAACTCAATGTTGTACTTTCATCCCTGACAATCAACAAAACGTAACAGCAGCTTTGCAGGGGGTTCCCCAGGAAATCAAGGCAGTTGAGAGCCTTATTGACAACCTCCTACAGACACGGTGGGTGTCTCTGGGCTCTGGCCTGTGCTGGACCCTAATAATTATAGGCAGCACCATGGGAGTATTAGTAATGAGTTGTTGCTCCCTGTATTGCTACTGTGACCTATAAGTTCAGGGTTCCTCCCTGTGGGCACATTTTCTCCCGGTCTAGAGGATGGAGTGTAAAAAGAATGGCTGTGCTTCAGTCAGGAGCAGGCCGAGGCAGACATCCAGTACAGCATGACACAGCGGGTCTAGAGCACAGGCACACAACTCTGTGCATTATGTGATCATATTTATGTAGCCATTTAAAGTAACCTGTTTGTGTGAGCTTATACCTGGCTTTGAGCCACTATTGTCTATAAGTCATATAACTGCACTGCTGACTCTGTAGGAGAGAGAGAGAATAAAGCCATGTCCCAACTGCCTACGGTCCCTCGAGTGTTCTTTCAGCTACCTGCCACCCGTCCACCCACTCCCCTCGGGCCCCAGCTCAAAGTGGAACCTGACACCTGGCATGCTCTACATGGCTGGGGGTTGCTTTAAAGAAAATGAATGTGGCCAGGAGTGGTGGCTCACGCTTGTAATCCCAGCACTTTGGTAGGCTAAGGTGGGCAGATCACTTGAGATCAGAAGTTCAAGACCAACCTGGCCAACATGGTGAAACCCCGACTCTACTAAAAAAATACAAAAATTAGCCGGGTGTGGTGGCACATGCCTGTCATCCCAGCTACTCAGGAGGCTCAGGCGGGGAGGAATACTTGAGCCCAGGAGCTTGAGGTTACAGTGACCTATGATCATGCCACTGCACTTCAGTCTGGGCCACAATTTTATTTCTATACACTAGCAATGAATAAGCTGAAAAGGAAATTTAAACAGAATCCCATTTACAGTAGCATCAAAAAGAATGAAACAGAAATAAACTTAATTAAAAAAGCAAAAGACTTGTACACTGAAAACTATAGAACATTTATGAAAGAAATTATTAAAGACACAAATAGAAGAACATCCTGTTCTCATGGGTTGGGAGATTTAATATAGTTAATATGTCTATGCTACTCAAAATGATCTAATGATCCAATGCAATCCCTATCAAAATCCCCACGGCATTTTTTATAGAAATAAAAAAATTATAAAATTCATATGGAACCACAAAATACCCCCAAACCACCAAAACAAAGAAGAACAAAGCTGGAAGCATCACACTTCCTGATTTTAAAACACATTATAAAGATACAATTATTTTAAAAGTATGGTTCTGGCATATAGACAGACATGCAGACCAATGGAATAGAAAGCCCAGAAATAAATCCATGCATACATATGGTCAACTGTTCGTCAACAGGATGCCAAGAATACACAATGGGAGAAGAGTCTCTTCAGTAAATGGTGTTGGGAAAAATGGATATCCATATGCATAAGAATGATATTGGACCCTTACCGTACACCATATGTCAAAAAAAAAGAACATCAGAATGGATTAAGAGTTTAAATATAAAATTTGAAACTGTAATATTCCAGAAGAAAACAGAGGGGAAACTCTTCATGACATTGTTCTTGGTAATGATTTTTTGGATATAATACCAAAAGCGCAGGCAGCAAAAGCAAAAATAGACAAGTGGTGTTATATCAAAATAAAAAGCTTCTGGGCCAGGCATGGTGGCTCACTCTTGTAATTCCAGCATTTTAGGAGGCCGAGGCAGGCGGATCACTTGAGGCCAGGAGTTCGAGACCAGTCTGGCTAATATGGCAAAATACTATCTCTACTAAAAAAAAAAAAAAAATTATCCGGGTGTGGTGATGTGCACCTGTAGTCCCAGCTACTTCAGAGGCTGAGGCATGAGAATTGCTTGAACACAGGAGGCAGAGATTGCAGTGAGCCGAGATCGTGCCACTGCACTCTGGCCTGGGCAACAGAGAGACCCTGTCTCACAAAAAAAAAAAAAAAAAAAGCTTCTGCACAGCAAAACAGAACAAAAAACAATCAACAAAGTGGAAAGGCAACCTATGGAATGGAAAAATATATTTGTGAATTATGCATCTGATAAGGGATTAATATCCAAAATACCTAAGAAACTCCTACAACTCAATAGCAAGCAAAACAAAACAAATAAATCAATTTAAAAATGCATAAAGAATTGGAATAGACATTTCTCCAAAGAAGACAATACAAATGGCCATTAGGTATATGAAAATATGCTCAACATCAATTATCATGATGGAAATGCAAAAAAAAACCACACCTGTTAGGATGGCCATTATTAAAAAAATAGTGTTGACAAAGATTTGGAGAAATTGGAACACTTACACACGTTGACAGGAATGTAAAATGGTGCAGCCTCTATGGAAAACAGCATGGAGTGCCTCAAAACAATTAAAAATAGAATTATTCCTATGATCTGGCAACTCCCTTTCTGGGTATTTATCCTAAGGTATTAAAATCAGTGTCTCAAATTGATATTTGCAAACTCATGTTTATTACAACATTATTCACAATAGCCAAGATGTGGAAGCAACCCAAATGTCCCTCAACAGATGAATGAATGAAGAAAATGTGCTATATACATACAGTGGAATATTACTTAGCCTTAAGAAAGAAATTTTATCATATGTGACAACATGGATGAACCTTAAGGACATTATGCTGTGTGAAATAAGCCAGGCACAGAAGGACAAATACTGCATGATTCCGTTTATATGAGGTATCTAAAGTAATCAAACACCATAGAAGTGGAAAGTAGAATGTTGATTACCAGGGGAAGGGGAAAATGAGGAATTGCTGTTCAGTGGGTATAGTTTCAGTTATGCAAGAGAAAATATTCTAGAGAGCTGCTGTATAGCATTTTGCATGTAGTTAACCATACTATACCGTATGCTTAAAAGTGTGTTAAGATTATGTGCACATAAAATAATAATAAACTAATTAATTAAAATAAAATGAAATTTGAACAGACATCTTACCAAAGAAGATATACAGATGGAAAATAAGCATATGAAAAGATGCCCAACATCATATGTCTTTACAGAATTGTAAATTAACATTTAGATACCGCTACACACCTGTTAGAATCACAAAAGTTCAAAACACTGACAACTCCAAATACTGGTGAAGATGTGGAGCAATGGGAACTCTCATTCATTATTGATGGGAATGCAAAACGGTACAGCCACTTTATTTTATTTTATTTTTTGAGACAGGGTCTCGCTCTGTCGCCCAGGCTGGAGTCCAGTGGTAGGATATCAGCTCACTGTAACCTCCTTCTCCCAGGTTCAAGTGATTCTCATGTCTCAGCCTCCCCAGTAGCTGGGATTACAGGAGTGTGCCATCATACCTGGCTACTTTTAGTATTTTTAGTAGAGACGGGGTTTTACCATGTTGGTCAGTCTGGTCTCGAACTCCTGATCTCAAGTGATCCGCCTGCCTTGGCTTCCCAAAGTGCTGGGATTACAGGCATGCACCACCAGGCCCAGCTAATTTTAGTAGAGACAGGGTTTCACCATAAGCTCAGGCTGATCTCAAACTCCTCACCTCAGGTGATCCGCCCGCCTTGGCCTCTCAAAGTGCTGGGATTACAGGCATGAGCCACTGCGCCTAGCAGGTACAGCCGCTTGGGAATACAGTTTGCCAAATGAAACTAAACATACCCTTACCGTATGATCCAGTAATTAAGCTCTTAAGTATTTGCCCAAGGCGTTGAAAACTTATGTCCACACAAAAACGTGCACACAGCTGTTTTATTCATAACTGCCAAAACTTGGAAGCAACCAAAATGTACTTCAGTAAGTGAATGAAAAAAATAAACTATGGTGCCTTCAGACAATGGGATATTGTTCAGTGTTAAAAAGCAATGAACTATTAAGCCATGAAAAAACATGGAGGAACAAATGGTTTCTAAGTGCTAGAAACCAATCTGAAAAGGCTACATACTGTATGATAACAAGTATATAACATTCTGGGAAAGGCAAAACTATGGGGACAGTAAAAAGATCAGTGATTGCCAGGTGTTAGGGAGGTGAGGAGGATGAAGAAGTGGGGCACAGAAGATTTTTTGAGTAGTAAAAGTAATCTGTATGATACTGTAATGGTGAATACATATCATTATATATTTGTGCAAACCCATAGAATGGACAATACCAAGAGTGAACCTTAATATCAAGGATGGACTTGGGTGATATTAATGGGTCAATGTATCTTCATCAGTTGTAGCAAGTGTACCTCTCTTGTGTGGAATGTTGATAGTGGGAGAGTTTGTGCATGTGTCAGTACAGGGGGTTTATGGAAACTCTGTACTTTCTGCTCAATTTTGCCATGAACCTGAAATTGCTCCAAAAAATAAAGTTGATTTTTAAAAAGACAAATATATTTTTAGACAAGCAAAGCTGACAGGAGACCTGAACTACAGGAAATGTTAAAGGATGTCTGTCCTTCAGACAGAAGGAAAATGACACCAGACAGAAATAGGGATTTACAAGAAGGAATGAAGAGCACAAAAAATAATGAATACGTGAAAAACATGGTTTTTTAGTTAAGTATCTTTAAAAGATAATTGTATTTAAGCAAAAAAAAGTAGCAATATTTTATTGTCTTCATAACACATGTATAAGTAAAATGTATGATCAGGCCTGGCACAGTGGCTCACGATTGTAATCCCAGCACTTTGGGAGGATGAAGTGGGAGAATCACCTGAGGCCAGGAGATCGAAACTAGCCTGGCCAACATGCTGAAACTCCTTCTCTACTAAAAATACAAAAATTAGCTGGGCATGGTGGCGCACACCTGTAATCCCAGCTACACAGGAGGCTAACGCAAGAGAATCACTTGAACCCGGGAGCAGAGGTTGCAATGAGCCGATATTGTGCCACTGCACTCTAGCCTGGGCAACAGAGTGAGACTGTCTCAAAAAAATAAATAAATAAATAAAAATAAATAAATACATAAAATGTATGGTCATATGTAACATAAATCTGTTGAATGACTTATCCTATTTTAATACACTTAGATGCTACTGTAAAAGATGTTTTTAAATTTTCAGTTTCCCATGATTTGATGTGATTATTAGAAATGTTTTTTTAAAAATATATAGATTGTGTTTCCTGCAACTTGTTAGTCATCTATTTGTTCTAGAAGGTTTTTTTTTGTTTTTGATTTTTTTTTTTTTTTTTTTTTTTTGAGACGGAGTCTCACTCTGTGGCCCAGGCTGGAGTGCAATGGTGCAATTTCGGCTCACTGCAACCTCCACCTCCCTGGTTCAAGCAATTCCCCTGCCTCAGCCTCCCGAGTAGTAGCTGGGATTACAGGCACACGCCACCACGCCCAGCTAATTGTTTTGTATTTTTAGTAGGGACGGGGTTTCACCATGTTGCCCAGACCGGTCTCGAACTCCTGACCTCAGGCAATCCGCCCACCTCAGGCTCCCAAAGTGCTGGGATTACAGGCGTGAGCCACTGCGCCCAGCCTAGAAGCGATTTTGTAGACTCCATTGCATGTTCTACATAGACGATTATATTGTGCAAAGAATGACTTTTTTTTTTCCTTATTCCTTATGCCTTTGTTTCTTTTTCTTCCCTGATTGTCCTGGCTATAAGCTTTACCATAATTTTGAAAATAGTGAGTAAAGCAGATATCCTTGCTTTATTTTTGGACTTAGGAAAAGAGCTTTAATCAAACACAATTAAGTTTAACGGTAGCAGTAGGTTTTCTGTACATGTTCTTTATCAGCTTGAGGAAGTTCACTTCTATTTTTAGTTGCTGAGAGTCTTTTTTCTAAATTGGGAATGGAAGTAGGATTTTATCAAATATTTTTTGTGTACCAATTGAGACTATTGTATGGTGTTTTTTAGTTTGTTGATATGGTGGATTCTACTGATTGATTTTTAAAGATTAAACCAACCCTGGGATATTATTTCTGGGATAAACCTCACTTGGTCATATATTTTTGGTTTTGATTTGCAAAAAAAAAAATTGTTAAGAATTTTTGCATCTATAGTCACAGAGGCATCAACCTGCAGTTTTCTTTTCTTTTCTTTTCTTTTTTTTAAGCCTGGTTTTGGTTTCAGGGCAATGCTTATCTTAAAGGATAAATTGGGAAATATTCCTTCATCTTCAATTTTCTGGAACAGTTTGTTAGATTTAGCATTATTTCTTCCTTAAATGTTTGGCAGAATTCACTAGTTAAGCCATAAGTCTTGAGCTTCCTTTGTTCAAGATTTTTAACTACAGAATAAACTTCTTTAGCTTAAATAGCTTCACAGATATGAAGCTATTTAGGTTATCTATTTCTTCTTGAGTAAGCACTGATAGATTGTGTCTTTAAAATAATTTGTATATCTAAATTTCCATTTGTTAGCAGAAAGGTTTTTTAAAAATAGTATCCCCTTGTTATCTTTTTATATCTGTGGAATCATTCGTGATGTTACCACTCTCATTCCTGATACTGGTAATTTGTTTCTTCTGTCTCTCCTTTTTTCTGACCAGTCTGACTTGAGATTTATCCATTTTGTTTGTCTTAAAGAATTAGCTTTGGTTTCATTGATATTCTCTGTTCTATTTCTTTTTCTCTTTCATTCATTTATGCTGTTTATTATTTTTCTTCTGCTTATTTTGCATTTGACTTATTTTTAGCTGTATAATATAGAAACAGATTATTGATTTTGCCTTTTTTTCTAATAAAGACAGTTTAGTGCTATAAATTTCCTTCTGAATACTGCTTTAGCTGATCTCATAGATTTCTAGATATTTTGTTTTTATTTTTATTGAGTTCAACTTACTCTCTAATCTCCCTTTTCATTTCTTCTTGAACTGTGAGTTATTTAGAAGTAATTTAGCTCCCACATATAAGGAGATTTCCTAGATAATTTTTTGTTATTGATTTCTAATTTAATTCCATTTATGATCTGGGAGCATACTTTGTAAAATTTAAGTCATTTTATAGTTTTGGGATTTTTTAATGGCCCAGAATATATCTTGGTAAATTTCCCATGTGCATGTGAAAATAATTTGTAGTTGCTATTTTTGAGTGTTCTATGTCAATTAGATCAGGTTAATATTGTTGTTCAAATCTTCTATAATCTTACTGATATTCTGTATACTTGTTCTATCAATTGTCAAGAGAGTGTGCTGAAATCTCTGAGTATAATTTATATTTGCCTATTTTTCCTTCCAGTTCTATCAGTTTTTGCTTCCTGTATTTTGTAGCTCCATTATTAGGTATAGAAAAATTAGAAATTATTATTTTCTCTTGATTAATTGACTCCTTTATAATTATGAAATGACCATTTTTTGTCCTGGTAACAATATTTGCACTAAATCTATTAATGTAGTTATTCTAGCTTTATTTTCATTTTTTTAACATAATATGTCTTTTTTTTACTTTTAACCTGTAACTTTCTTTTACTTTTAACCTGTGCCTTTTTAATTTATTATAGGCAGTAATTAGATGGGTCTTGCAAACTTTCCAGTCTGATAATCTTTTAAAATTAGAATGTTTAGAATATTTAGAGTTAATGTAATTGTTGACTTACTTGGGTTTAAATCCATCATCTGGCTCTTGGTTTTCTATATGTTTACCTGTCGTTTGTTTCCTTTTTTCTCTTGTATTTTTTTTAATAATTGAGCAATTTTTATGATCCTAGATTTTCCTACTTTTTGCCTTAGTAGATACAACTCCTTTGTTTCTATAAAAGTTAATTCAAGGCCCGGCACGCTGGCTCACGCCTGTAATCCCAGCACTTTGGAAGGCTGAGGCGGGCGGATCACAAGGTTAAGAGATCGAGACCATCCTGGCCAATATGGTGAAACCCCATCTCTACTAAAAAATACAAAAATTAGTGGGGCGTGGTGGCATACGCCTGTAGTCCCAGCTACTCGGGAGGCTGAGGCAGGAGAATCACTTAAACTCGGGAGGTGGAGGTTACAGTGAGCTGCGATCACGCATCCAGCCTGGTGGCAGAGCGAGGCTCTGTCTAAAAAAATAAGTTGATTCAGTGTTTATAATATGCATCTTTAGTCTATAGTAATCTATTTTGAAATAGTATCATGCCACTTTGCATATAAAAAAAGAGCCTTACAAGAGTGAATTTCCATTTCGTATCCTCTAGCTTTTGGGCTAATGCTGTCATATATTTTACGCCTACATGTTGTAGACCTCATACTGCATTGTTGTTATTATTATTATTTGAGACAGAGTCTCACTCTGTCATCCAGGCTGGAGTGCAGTGGCACGATCTCGGCACACTGCAACCTCCGCCTCCTGGGTTTAAGCAATTCTCCTGCCTCAGCCTCCAGAGTACAGGCACCTGCCACCACGCCCAGCTAAATTTTGTATTTCTAGTAGAGATGGGGTTTCATCATGTTGGCCAGACCGGTCTCGACCTCCTGACCTCTCGTGACCCGCCCACCTCAGCCTCCTGAAGTGCTGGGATTGTAGGCATGAGCCACCGCACCTGGCCGCATTGTTATTATTTTTGCTTGAAACAATCAAGTACCTTTTAAATAACATTTTAAAAGAAGGAGGGAAGTCTTTCATAGATCTTCTACCACATTGGCCACTTCTATTGCCCTTTATGACTTGGTGTGCATCCAGATTTCCTTCTGGGATCAATTTCCTTCATTTCAAAATGTAGAAAACCACATTTTTTATAGTTCAGATCTGCTGCTAATTTAGTCTTTCCATTTTTGTATGCCTTAAAAAGTCTTTATTATGTCTACGTTTTTGGAAGCTATTTTCTTTCGGTACAGAATTTTAGGATGACAGGTTTTTTTTTTTTTTTCTTTCAGTACTTTAAGGTATTGCTTCATTATGTTCAGGCTTGTGTTTTTCTGATGAAAACAAAACACAAAAATTAGAAAGACCTGATGTTCTCCTTATCTTCACTCCTCCATATGTAGTGTGTCTTTATTTATTCTGGCTGCCATTGTCACTGACATCAGTTTTTCAAGCAATTTGACTGTGATGGGCCTTGGCTTAGTTTTCTTCATGTTTCTTGTCCTTGTGATTTGTTGAGCTTTCTGGTTCTAAGAGTTTAGATTTTCATCAAATTTGAAAAGTTTTTATTTATTATGTTTTCAGTTATTGTGCCTTATCTTTCTCTAGAGACTCCAATTACATGTATATTAGGTCACTTGAAGTTGTCCCACCACTCACTGATGTTCTGTTCATTTTAGTATTTTGTATCCGTGTTTCTTTTTTTCTTTTTCTTTTCCTTTTTCTTTTTTTTTTGAGATAGAGTTTTGCCCTTGTTGCCCAGGCTGGAGTGCAACGGCATGATCTCGGCTCACTGCAACCTCCACCTCCTGAGTTCAGCGATTCTCTTGCCTCAGCCTCTCGAGTAGCTGGGATTACAGGCACCCGCCACCATGCCCGGCTAATTTTTGTATTTTTAGTAGAGATGTGGTTTCACCATTTTGGCCAGGCTGTTCTCAAACTCCTGGCCTCAGGTGATCCACCCAACTCGGCCTCCCAAAGTGCTGGGATTACAGGCATGAGCCACCGTGCCTGGTCTGTGTTTCATTTTTGATAGTGTCTATTGTCTAACTTCAAGTTCACTGTGCATTACCTCTGCAGCATCTAATTGGTTATTATTCCATTTTGTTGTAGTTTTATCTTGCTCTTTGAATTTGAGTCTTTTCAAGTCTCTTGTTTTTACATCTATCATGCCTTCATTTAACATGCTCAATCTCTCCTCTGTCTTCTTGAACATATTAAGTATGTCATATATTATATATTTAATATTATGTATAAATGCATAACTTTTTATTGTTCTTGCCTACTTTTTACTTTATTTTTTTGAGACAAGTTCTCTCTCTGTTGTCCTGCCTGGAGTGCAGTGGTGCAATCATGGCTCACTGCAGCCTCGACCTCCCAGGCTCAAGTGATCTTCCTACCTCATCCTACTGAGTAGCTGGAACTACAGGTGCATGCCACCATGTCTAGTTAATTTTTGATTTTTTGTAGAGATGGGGTCTTACTATGTTGCCCAAGCCAGTGTTGAACTCCTGGACACAAGTGATCCTCCTGCCTCTACCTCCCAAAGTGCTATGATTACAAGTGTGAGCCACCATGCCTGGCCTGTCCTTGCCTACTAATTCTATCTATTTCTGAATCTCTTTTTGTTGATTTACTTTCTCCTTATTATAGGTCATATTTTCTTGATTTTTTTCATGCCTTTCCATTCCAATTGCATGACTGCCATTGTAAATTTTGTTTGTTTGTTTGTTTGTTTGTTTGAGACGGAGTCTCTCTCGTTGCCCAGGCTATAGTGCAATGGTCCGATCTTGGCTCACTGCAACCTCTGCCTCCTGGGTTCAAGCAATTCTCCTGCCTCAGCTTCCCAAGTAGCTGGGATCATAGATGCCCACCACCATGCCTGGCTAATTTTCGTATTTTTAGTAGAGATGGGGTTTCACCATGTTGGCCAGGCTGGTCTTGAACTCCTGACTTAAGGAGATCCATCCTCCTCAGCCTCCCAAAGTGCTGGGATTACAGGCGTGAGCCACCGCGCCTGGCCCTGACATTGTGAACTTTTACCTTTGAGGTGCTCAATATTTTTGTATTCCAATAAATATGTTGAACTTTGTTCTGGGATGCAGTTAATTTACTTGGAGCAGATTGTTTTGAGGCCTGCTTTTAAGTTTAATAAGCAACAGCAGAATAGCCTTTGGTCTAGAGAAGTGATTCTCAACAGGAGCCGATTTCCTTCTTTAGGGGACTTTCTGCAATGTGTGGAGACCATTTTAGTTGTCACAAGTTGTGGAGGTGCTGCTACTGGCATCTAGTGGGTAGAGGCCAGGGCTGCTGCAAAACATCTACAATATGTAGGATAGCCTTCACAACAAAAAATTATCCAGCACCAAATGCCCACAGAGGTAAAGTTGAGAAACCCTGATGCAAGAGCTAATTTCCCTTCACTACTGTGACAATAAACTTCTGGGCACTTTATCCAATGCTTCATGAGTTATGAAGTTTTCCACTCTGGCTGGTGGGAACAGAAACTATTCCCAGCCCTGTGTGAGTGCTAAGGATTGTTTCCTGTGCTTCTTTTGGGTGGTGCTTTCTTCAATCGAAAGTAGTTTCTTCTGTGCAGGCACTGATCAGAACCCAGCTGAAGACTTGACAGGACTCCCTGCAAATCCCTGGAATTCTCTCTCTCCGTGCAGCCCTTATTCTCCATTATTTTATATCCCAAAAACTCTAACTGTGTTGCTTTCCCTAAATCTGCAGCTTTGTCTCCTTAGCTCAGGGAGATCATCAAGCTCTGTGTGAGCTATCCTTGTGCTGCAGCCTGGTAAATGTCTCCAGGCAGGAAGCTGGGGAAATCATCAGGCTCACCTCTTGTTTTTCAGGGATTATGGTCCTGTGTTGCCCCATGTCCAGTGTCTTTTGAGAACTGTTGCTTCATATATTTAGCTTGCTTTTTCAGTTGTTTCATGCAGGTAAGTTAGGCTCCTGTTACCCTACCTTGTCTGGAAGCGAAAGTTTTCTAATACTTTGTAACACTGGGCCAAGACCTTGCATGTCTTCATCATTCTGAGAAAATTAACTGCCTCTTTCTTTACACAATGTCATGCAAAATAAACACTTTATTATCAAAGTATGGGTGCATGCAGGCATCATTCATAGGAAAATAAAAAATAGAATGTTAAGTGAAAAAAAGGATATAAAACCAAATGTATATTAGGAATACAACTGTGTTGTTAAAACTATGGAAATAGAAAAGGGGATTATGCTCAAGTGGAAGAATCATTGGCTATTTAAAAATTATTTTTCGGCCGGGCGCAGTGGCTCCCGCCTGTAATCCCACACTTTGGGAGACCAATTCAGGCAGATCAGCTGAGGTCAGGGGTTCAAGACCAGCTTGACCAACATGGTAAAACCCCATCTCTACTAAAATACAAAAATTAGCCGGGTGTGGTGACGTATGCCTGTAATCCCAGCTACTCATGAGGCTGGGGCAGGAGAATCGCTTGAACTCAGGAGGCGGAGTTTGCAGTGAGCAGAGATTGTGCCACCGCATTCCATCCTGGGCGACAGAGCGAGACTCCGTCTCAAAAAATATATATATACTTTTCAAAATGTTTGTATTGTATTATATTGCTTTTATAAGTTTATAAGTGTATACATTTTAAAAGAAAAGATTATATATTCTCTAAGTGAAATAAGGCTATCACATTCTGAGAGGTGAAGTGCTTCCAGACACCAGAGCCCCAAGTAAGAGCCAAGACACTGGACAGGTTATTTGCATCTCCCTTTCAAAATGATAGATACACATTAAATATTTATTGTTAATAGCATAGAGTGACACATTGTATTTGTGAAATTATAAAAGGCATGAGGTTCAAGAGAGAAAAGATTTTAGCGCAGTGCAATACCCCTAGCATCCTCTGGGACATGAGCTAAAAGAGTGCAGCACCAATATTCCTACAGATAATTGATTTTCAATCCTATATTGTATTAAGTTGGACTGGCAATGAAGGTGAACTTATGTGACACTATCATGTCAGTTTGGTCAGATGATCTCTATTTGACAGACCTAAAGTTTCCTTTTTTCTTAAATGGCTTGCCACATATACTCTATGACAGATTAATTTTAAAGTAACATTTCAGAGAAACTGTATTCATTATTAAATCTGATAAAATATATGCAGGTTTCAAACCCTGTGACATGGGTTTGTTTCATTAGGGTAGATGGATGAAAGGAAGCACCAAGAATCCCTCTCTTCACTTTAACAACAATTGTGCTGGATGAGTCTGTCTGGTGTAATTATTTTCTGTGTGTGTGTGTGTGTATGTGTGTTTTTGAGACAGAATTTCACTCTTTTTGCCCAGGCTGGAGTGCAGTGGCACGACCTTGGCTCACTGCAACCTCTGCCTCCCAGTTCAGGCAATTCTCCTGCCTCAGCTTCCCAAGTAGCTGGGATTACAGGTATGTACCACTATGTCCAGGTAATTTTGTATTTTAGTAGAGATGGGGTTTCACCATGTTGGTCAGGCCGGTCTCGAACCCCTGACCTCAGGTGATCTGCCTGAATCGGCCTCCCAAAATGCTGGGATTATAGGCGTGAGACACCGCGCCTGGCCTGATGTAATTATTTTGAAACTCTGGAATCTATTTGAAGGGTTGCAGCTTCCAGGGGAAGACTTGGATGACATTTAAGAATTAGGACATTCCAAAGCAACCACATATATGGGGGAGTGTAGGAAGGCACCACACATGCTCTGGGAAAGACATGGGCTTAAAAAAAGACCTGAGAAAACCTGAAGTTTATAACTAAGTCTGATTCCCAGCACAGAGACATCCTACAACAATTTTTGTTAAAAAAAAAAAAAAAAAAGCAAACCTCTGGAGAAAGAAGAGTCAGATTTCTAAAGTTATCATATTATAGATTCAAATGTATAGTTTTCAATAAAAATCACAAAGCATACAAAGAAACAGAAAATTCAAAGGTACCATACAAGGTACCATAAAATTTAAAAACATTTAAAGTTATATTTGGTATACATGGAAGCTCAACAATGTGTACACATGGACATAGAGAGTGGAAGACTAGACATTAGAGATTACAAAAGGTGAGAAGGTGGGATGGGAGGGGGGTGAGGGATGAGAAATTACCTATTGGGTACAATGCGCACTATTCAGGGGATGGTTACACTAAAAAGCCCAGACTCTACCACTATGCAATCAGTATATTCATGAAACAAAAATGCACTTGCACACCCTAAGTCTATTTTAAAAATTTAAAAATCCAGAAAAATGATGTAATTTGTGATATCAATAAGTGAAAGAGGTAGGGACAGAGCTGTATAGAAGCGGACATTTTGTATGCTATTGAAGTGAAGCTGGTAAAAATTCAAATTAGAGTGTTATAACTTTAGGCTGTTAAATGCAATCCCCATGGCAACTCCACAAAGAAAATAGATATAGAACATACACAAAAGGCAATATAAAGAGAATTAAAATGTTTCACTACAAAAAAGTCAACTAAACCAAAAGAAAGCAGTAAAGCAAGAAATAAGGAACAAGAAAGCTACAAGCCTATAGAAAAAAAAGCAAAATAGCAGAAGTCCTTTCATATCAGTAATTACTTCAAATATAAATGGATTAAACTCTCCAATCTAAAGACAGAGATTTGCAGAATGAATTTTAAAAACATGATCATCTATATGCTGTCTAAAAGAAGACTTATTAGATTCAAAGACACAAACAGTTGAAGGTGAAAGGATAGAAGAAGATATTTCGTGCAAATAGTAACCAAAAAAGGACCTATACTAACATCAAATGATATTGACTTTAACTCAAAAACTGTTACAAAAGACAAAAAGGACATTATATATTGACAAAGAAGTCAACTTACCAAAAATATATAGCAACTATAAACATTTATACATATAACAGACCATTAGAATATATGAAGCAAAAATTTTTAGGATAATTTTTAGGATAATAGACGGTTCTGCAATAATAGTTGGAGACTTCAATACTCCACTTTTATAAATGAATAGGACAGCCAGACAGAAGGTGTCAGTAAATAGAGGACTTGAATACCAACTAGACAATAAACCAACTAGATCTAACAGACATATGCAGAATACTCCAAAAGACAAGAGAATCTATATTTTTCTCAAGTGCACATGGGACATTCACAAAGATAAACCATATGTTAGGCCACAAAACAAGTCTCAATAGATACAAAAAGATATACAGCATACAAATTATCTTCTCTGACCACAACAAGATGAAGTTAGAAATTAATAACAGAAGAAAACTGGTAAATTTACAAATAGGTGGAAATTAAACACACTTCTAAATGACCAATGAGTCAAAAAAGAAATCACAGGGGAAACTGGAAAAAACTTAGAGATGAATTAAAATGATAACACAACATTCAGAAACTTATGAGATGCAGTAAAAGAGATAAAAGGGAAATTTATAGCTGTAAACATATATTTAATAAGGAGAAATCTCAAATCAACAACCTAACTTTACAATTTAAGGAAGTAGAAAAGCACCAACTAAACTCAAATCTAGCAGAAAGAGGAAATGATAAAGATTAGAGCAAACATAAATAAGGAATAGGAAAAAAATAGAGAAAATAAATGAAATCCAAAGTAGGTTCTTTGAAAAGATCAACAAAATTGACAAACCTTAGGTTAGCCTGACAAGAAAAAGAGGACTCAAATTACTGAAGTCAGAAATGAAAGTGAGGACATTGCTACAGATTCTACAGATAAAAATGACTTTAAGTGAGTACTATGAACAACTGTACACCAAGAAGTTAGATGATCCAGATGAAATGGACTAATTCTTAGAAACACAAACCTACCAAGACTGAACCATGAAGTAGAAAATCTGAATAAACATATAACTAATAATAATAACAAAAACTCCCAACAAAGAAAATCCCTGCACCTGATGGCTTCACAGGTAAATTCTACCAAATATTTAAGAAGAACCACTATAAATCCTTCTCAAACACTTCCAGAAAGTTGAATCAGAAAAAACACTTTCTAAATTATTCTGTGAGGCCAGCATTATCCTGACACCAAAACTAGGCAAAGACACTACAAGAAAAGAAAACTACAGAACAATATACCTTAAGAATATTAATACAAAAATCCTCAAAAATACTAGCAAATTGAATTTAGTAACATTAAAAGTAGGATATTATACACTGTGACCAAGTGAGGTTTATTCTTGTAATGCAAGCATGGTTCAACATACAAAAATTGATTGGTACACCACATTAATAGAATGAAGGGGGAAAACAACCATAATTATCTCAAATGACGCAGAAAAAGCATTTGACAAAATTCAACATCCTTTTATGATTAAAAAAATTCAACAAACTAGGAAAAGAAGGAAGGTTCCTCAACATAATAAAGATTATATATGAAAAACCCATAGGTAACATGATAGTGATTTGTAGAGACATAAAGTAGAACAGTGGTTACTGGAGGCTTAGGGAAGAAATAATGAGGAGTTACTGTTTAATAGGTAGACAATTTCATCCTTGCACAGGGGCCATGCTAATCTTCTCTGTATCATTTCAATTTTAGTATATGTGCTGCTGAAGTGAGCACACGGTAGAGAATTTCACTTCGAGATAATAAAAAACTTTTGGAGATGGACAGTAGTGATAGTTGCACAATACAAATGCACTTAATGTCACCCAAAATAGTTAAAATGGTAAACTGTGTATTATATATATTTTTAATTTTTAAACGCCTGTGACACAAAATCTTTTAAAAATGTATTTGTGTTTTTCTGTTCCACATTTCTTTGGATATGATGTTCTAATCAGCCAGGGGCACCTGTAAAAGAACTATTTTCAAAACAAGATAAAATCATGACTCTCATACAGATATAAAATGAACATAATCTACAGATTTTATTTATTTCATCATTATGAGGAAACTGGTAAGGCATTACAACTTCACTTCAAAGGATAAACAAATGATGCACTTAAAGGTATGAGTAACAGAAGCGAAAACTTTTCCCCTATGGGGAAGAGGGACATTGACTGAAGCTCCTCCATGAGAATTCTGTGTTCAGCAACAAACAGTATTTACATAATCATGATAATGTAAACATGAACTACCATTTAAAACTCCAATTATAATAGAATTACATTGAAAACATGAGAGGAGGAGGAAGTAAACATGAGCATAAAGAAAGAGAAATTAAACCTCAAATACTCAACAGATGTCAATAGATAATGTATACAATAAATAAGTCAATCTAGCAAGATAACAAATTATTTAGAAACATATAGGTAAATACTAGAAGCAACAATTGAAAGTATTGAAAGTTGTTTCTGTGGATCTTCATACATGAGAAAACACAAGCACCAGACTTATTAAACAAAGACTTTTAAAAACTTGTCTTAAATATGCTGAAAGAGCTAAATGACAACATGGGAATAGAACTAAAAGAAATAAGAAAAAATGATATATTAAAAGTAAAGATATCAACAAAGAGAAAAATTGTAAAAATGAACAAAAAATTCTGGAGATGACATGTACATAACTAAGAGATTGTGCCACTGCACTCCAGCCTAGGTGACAGAGTAAGACTCTGTCTCAGAATAAATTAATAAATAATAAAAAATAAAAATAAATGTAAATGAATTAAACTACCCAATCAAAAGTTACAGATTGGCAGAATGGATAAAAATATGTGATCCAAATAGATTCGGTCTACAAGAGAAGCACTTCAGATCTAAGGACACACCTACATTGAAAGTGAAAGGATGCAAAAAGATACCTCGTGCAAACAGTAACCAAAAAAAAAAAAAAAAGAGAGCAGGGGTGGCTATATTAAGATGAGACAAAATAGACTTTAAATCAAAAATTGTTACAAGACACAAAAATTACATTACATATTAAAGTGTCAATTTATCAAGTTATAACAATTACAAACATATGTGCACCAACCACCAGAATTCCTAAATCTATGAAGCAAACATTGACAGAATAGAGGGAGAAATTGTTCCACAGTAATATCAAGAGACTTCAATATCCCTCTTTCAATAACAAATAGAACAACCAGATACAAGAGAAATAAGAAAATAGAAAACTTGAACAACACTATAATTTTATGTGTTAACTTGAGTAGTCATGGTACTCAGATATTTGGTCAAACACTATTCTAGATATTTCTTTGAAGGTATATTTTGGATAGGATTAACATTTACATCAGTAGACTTTGAGTAATACAGATTGCCTTTCATAATGTCAGTGGGTCTCGTCCAGTCATTGGAAGTCTTTAAGAAAAATACTGACTTCCAATGAAGAAGAGGCAATTCTGCTAGAAAACTCCATTCAGACTTGAATGGCAACTCTTCTCTAGGTCTCCAGCCTGCCAGACTTCCTTGTAGATTTGGGACTTCCCAACCTCCACATTTGGGCCAGCCAGTTCCTTTAACACATGCACACATGCACACGCATACACACACACACACACACACACACACACACACACACACTATCTCTCTCTCCCTCTCTCTTTCTCTCTCTCTCACATCTTATGTGATCTAGTCCTGTTTGCCTCCACATTCCTTTGGTGTTTTAAAACATATGGTGCTTATTAAATTGATTTTTCATTGTTGTTATACATTTACTACATCTGATTAGAAGAAGTCATAGTCATTTGTTTAAACTGAGTTTTTGTATATTTTTCCTTAACTCAGAGAACCTACCTTTTCCTGCTTGGATTCTCTGCTCTCGCTGTGCAAATGCGTAAAGTCCTTAGGGGAAAAGCCCATGTGAACCTGTTGCTTCATTCTTGTGCTTCCTTCCCTTTTGTCAGGGATTGTAGCCCCTCAAGCTCTGTCTGCATGAGATTGAGATCTCTGGTCCTTCAGTTATGTGTATGTGTGTGTGTGTGTGTGTGTGTGTGTGTGTGTGTGTGTGTGTGTGTGTGTCTATATTTTGTCCAGCTTTCTTTATTGCTGCCCAATGCAAGGCTACTCAATGAAAATGAAATATTTTACCCTGAACTGTTTTAAACCAATGAATATTTTGCCTAGAATTTCAATAGCAATAGTGAGTATTCTTCCAGCCAGAATATCTTGCCTTTCACTGTTTAGAACTACACTGAGTCTTTAATGCATTCTCTTCAAAGCCTATTAAAATATCATTGTCTTTTACATTTTGATTTTTGGTGATGGGTTTGCATAAGACACTTAAAAATACTATTATATACCCCCTTGGCCTTTCCTGTTTCTTGTATTTTAAGTAAATGTAGCAATGAGCTTTGTGGGTATCAGATTTGCTTGATGGAAGAGTAGCCTAACCCGCCCCCACATTCTGTCCCTGTGCCATGTCTCCCCCTTCCAACTCTTGACATCCATGTTGATGCTGGAGTGTGGAATGACCATAATTAAAGCACACATGCACAGCCATAGTTTCTGTGTGAATGTGTGTGTTTGTGTTCAGCAATTTTGTGTGGCCACAGGGTGCATGGCCATTTTGTAATTTGTGTGTTGGTATGTTTGGTTAATGTGTATGTGTGCTTAGAGGGTGTATGGTCAATATGGGCTCTCAGATAAAGTGCAGTCTGTGTGGGTGGTTTGAGTGTATGTATGGTCAGAGTATCAATTACTCCAATAACAAATTTTGTTTGTGGTAAGAATGTTTATGGTCATTTGAAAATTATGTACATGTGAGTGTGAGTATGTGTTGTCAGTGTTTGCCTGTGTCAGAGGGTGCTTGTTATTGTGACAAGTGTGTGTAGGATAACTATATATTATTTTATTTTATTTATTTATTTTTGAGACAGAGTCTCGCTCTGTCATCCAGGCTGGAGTGCAGTGACGCGATCTTGGCTCACTGCAACCTTTGCCTCCTGAGTTCAAGTGATTCTCCTGCCTTAGCCTCCTGAGTAGCTGGGACTACAGGTGCGTGCCACCACACCTGGCTAATTTTTAAATTTTTAGTAGAGACGGGGTTTCACCATGTTGTTCAGGCTGGTCTCGAACTCCTAACCTTGTGATCCACCCACTTCAGCCTCCCAAAGTGCTGGGATTATAGGCGTGAGCCACTGCGCCCAGCCCAACTCTCCTTTTTTCTTTATGATCTCTCACCAGAATGCCCCTTAATGTCCATATTTCTACCAATAATCTTATCAAGACAATCTAGTCTTTTCTATCAGGTGCCTCAAAACTCTTCTTTCCTCTGCCCATTGCCCAGTTCAAAAGTGACTTCCACATTTTCAGGTATTTGTTACAGCAGCACCACACTTCTCAGTACCAAAATTAGTATTGGTTTGCTAGGTTTGACATAACAAAGTACCGCAGTCTGAGTGAAACGACAGAAATTAATTTTCTCACAATTTTGGAGGCTGGAAATCTGAGACTAAGGTGTTGGAAGGTTTGGCTTCTTCTGAGGTGTCTTCACATGGTCTTCCCTATGTGTGACTCTGTGTCTAAATTTCCTGTTCGTATAGGGACACCTATTGTATTGCATCGGGGCCTATCCTAATGATCCCATTTTAACTTAATTACTTCTTCTTCAAAGTCCCTATCTCCAAATACAGCCACCTTTTGAGGTACTGGGTGGCCGGACTCCAACATATAAATGTTGGGGGACACAAATCAGCCTGTAACAGCCGGGGTCAGCAGCATCTGCACCTCCTGGGCACATGTCAAAGAGGTAGAATTGCAGGCCATGTCCCCAGCCTGTGGAATCAGAATCTGAAACTAATGAGAGCCCCAAGCAATTTGCACATTATACTGTGAGAAGTGCTGTTCTAAGTCTTTCTGGTTTATATACACATTTCAGTTTGAGAGGTGCTGGCCTGGAAGTCTTCCTGGGTCCAAAGTAGAAGTGAGAAAACCAACAAACAGAACTAATTGTTTGTTGTAGTAGGGCTGAGGTCAAAAGAGGGTGCTTAGAAATCAAGAACCATGATGAGTGTGCTAAGGCCACAAGTGGATACACAAGCAGGGGAGGCCTCTCTGAGAAGATGACATTTCAGCTGAACACTGAAGCAAGTGATTAAATGGCCATGGGAACGTCTGGGGAAACAGTAGCAAGTGCAAAGATCCTGGGGTTGGCATGTGCTTAGTGCATGTAAGAAGCACAAAGGAGGCTGGGATGGCTGAGGCTGAGAAAAGCAGGAAGCCAGTGTTGGGAAGTAGTGGGTGTGGATTGTGTTGACCCTATAGCTCATGGTAAGGACCTGAAATACATTTTTGAGTGAAATTTGAAGCCATTGGAGGGTTTCAGTTGAGCCGTCACATGATCTGATTTTTAAGAGAAATCTCTCTGGTTGATGTGCTGAGAATAGATCAGTGAAGGCAAAGCAAGAAGGTGGTATCAGAGGCAACTGCAGAAATCCTGGTGAGAGACGAATCCAGGTGGCCTGGGCTAGGGTGGGAGCAATGGAGACGAAAAGTGCCCAGAGTCTGGTCATGTTCTGAAAGCAGAACTGATAGGATTTGTAATGACGGGTGTGAGATAAGGAGAGAGAGAAAGAGAAGAATCCCCCAAGTCTGGTCTGTGCACCCCTGCAGATCAGCCTTCTCAGAAGTGACTTCATATCTTGCCTTTGGGGACTACAACTGGCACAGACAGATGTCTCTTTTAAACATGGTGGATGGAGCATATATGTTCATCTCTGTTCCTCCCCAAACCCCTAAAATGTTGATAAAAGAACAAAAGCAGGAAACCCACAGGACAAGGGCTGAAAGACGGGGCACAGTGAGCAAGTTAGAAATGACAGATCTGCCTTGATCAAATGTAGAGGAAGGGATTCAAAAGCTTAGGTACCAACAAGCACAGGCGACCAAAACAAACATGGAAAAATGGGATCACATCTAGCTAAAAAGCTTCTGCACAGCAAAGGAAACAATCAACAAAGTGAAGAGATAACCCACAGAATGGGATAAAATATTTGCAAACTACTGATCAGATAAGCAGTTAATAACCAGACTAGATAAGGAGCTCAAGCAACTCTATGGGAAAAAATCTAATAATCAGAATAAAAAATGAACAATACATCTGAATAGACATTTCTTAAAACAAGACATATCAATGGCAATCAGGTATAGGAAAAGGTACTCACCAGCACTGATCATCAGAGAAGTGCACATCAAAACCACAATGAGATATCATCTCACTCAAGTTAAAATGACTTATCCAAAAGGCAACAGCAAATTCTGGTGATGATGTGGAGAAAAGGGAATGTTTGTATGCTGTTGATGGGCATGTAAATTAATACAATTGGAGGTTCCTCAAAAAACTAACAATAGAGGTATCATATGATTCAGCAGTCCTGCTGCTAGAGATATACCCAAAATGAAGGAAGTCAGTATATTAAAGAGATATCCGCACTCCATGTTTATTGCAGCACTGTTCACAATAGGCAAGATTTGGAAGTAACCTGTGTCCATCAACAGATGAATGGATAAAGAAAATGTGGTACATATACACAATGGAGTACAGTTCAGCCACAAAAACATGAGATTCTGTCATTTGCAACAACATGGCTGGAGTCTGGGGGGTCATTATGTTAAGTGAAATAAACCAGGCACAGAAAACAAACTTCCCATGTTCTCACTTACTTATGAGCACTAAAACTTAAAACAATTGAATTCACGAAGATAGAGAGTAGAATGATGATTACAGAGGTTGAGAGGGTAGTGTTGGGAAGGGGAAGTAGGGATGGTTACTGGGTACAAAACTACAGTTAGGTAGAATGAATAAGATCTAGTATTTGATAGCACAACAGGGTGACTACAATCAATGATAACTTGTATATTTTAAAATAACTAAAAGAGGCCAGGCACGGTGGCTCACACCTGTAATCCCAGCACTTTGAGAGGGTGAGACAGATTGATCTCCTGAGGTCAGGAGTGCAAGACCAGCCTGGCCAACATGGTGAAACCCTATCTCTACTAAAAATACAAAAAAATTAGCCAGGCATGATGGTGGGCACCTGTAATCCCAACTACTCAGGAGGCTGAGGCCGGAGAATCACTTGAACCCAGGAGGCAGAGGTTGCAGTGAGCCGAGATCGTGCCATTGTACTACAGCCTGAGGAACAAGAGTAAAACTCTGTCTCAAAATAATAATAATAATACTAATAAAATAATAAGATAAAATAACTAAAAGAGTATAACTGGAGTGTTTGTAATACAAAGAATAAATGCTTGAGGTTGTGGATACCTCATTTACCCTTATGTGACTATTACACATTGCATGCCTGAATCAAAATATCTCATGTACCCCATAAACATATACACCTACCATGTACCCACAAAAGTTAAAAATTAAAAAAAAGTATAAAAAGGCTTACGGAGACTGGAATGTTAGAATAGATGTGTCAACTAAGACCTACTCTCCCACCCTGAAAGAGTCCAAAAGACACACCTTTCATGACTGTGAGAAATAAATTGGTAGCCAGGTGTGGAGGCTCATGCCTGTAATCCCAGTGCTTTTGGAGGCCAAGGTGGGAGGACTGCTTGAGGTCAGGACTTTGAGACCAGCCTGGGCAGCATAGTGAGACCCCATCTCTAAAAAAAAGTAGCTGGGTGTGATGGCATGTGCCAGTAGTCCCAGCTACTTGGGAGGCTAATGTGGGAGGATGGCTTGAGCCCAGGAGTTCCAAATTACAGTGAGCTATGATTGCACCACTGCACTCCAGCCGGGGCAGCAGAGCAAGACTCTGTCTCTAAAGTAAAAAAAGAAGAAAAAACATGTGCAGAGATCCCCAGCATTCTTGAAGAGCTCTGTGATAGCTTTTCTATATAGGCCAGAACTTACATAAGAGATGTGGTAACTGAATTGGGAAAACTATGTGCAATAGGAGTCACTGGATTCCAGGGTGACAGAGGCCAAGTGGATGCACTCAACCACCAAAGGCAAGACGGGCACAGTTACTATAAGGAACAGCAGAGGCAAAGCAGCAGTCAAAACTGTGATTCCACAAACCTACGGCATTTGTTAGTTGATCATGGTGGTCCTAGAAGTGAAACAGATAAGAAACCTACAGAATTCTTACTTCATCTGCGTTAGCATAAAAGTTCTAGGTTAAGTGAACTAAAAGTCTAACTTGACTCAAAAAAAAAAAACAGAGAGAAATAGCCCTGTATTAGGCCATTCTTGCATTGCTGTGAAGAAATACTTGAGTCTGGGTAATTTATAAGAAAAGATATTTAATTGACTCACAGTTCTGCAGGCTGTATAGGAAGCATAGTGGTGTCTGCTTCTTGGGAGGCCTCAGAAAGCCTCCAATCATGAAGGAAGGCAAAGGGGAAGCAGGCACATCACATGGTGAGAATGGGAGCAGTAAACCATGCTGTAAGTTTTTAAATGCATATAAGTAAATAGGCTGGGTGTGGTGGCTCACACCTGTAATTCCAACACTTGGGAGGCCAAGGTGGGAGGATTGCCTGAGGCCAGGCACTCAAGACCAGTCTGGGCAACATAGTAGGGCCCTGTCTCTACAAAATATTTAAAAATTAGCAAGGTATCGTGCTGGGCTATGATTGCACCACGGGACTCCAGCCTAGGTGACAAAGTGAGATGCTGTCTCTAAAAAAACAACATGGCTGGGCAGGGTGGCTCACGCCTGTAATCCCAGTACTTTGGGAGGCCAAGGTGAGTGGATCACCTGAGGTCAGGAGTTCGAGACGAGCCTGGCCAACAAGGTGAAACCCCATCTCTACTAAAAATACCAAAAATTAGCCGGGTGTGGTGGTGGGCGCCTATAATCCCAGCTACTTGGGAGGCTGAGGCAGGAGAATAGTTTGAACCCAGGAGGCAGATGTTGCAGTGAGCAGAGATCACACCACTGCACTCTAGCCTGGGCAACAGAGCAAGACTATGTCTCAAAAACAACAACAGCAACAAAACCCAGAATCCTGTCTTCATTCATTAGAGAATGCAATTAAGCCTGGGCCGGGACGCCTGCCTTCCAGGTGGTTAAGGGAGTTCAGCAATGGTGACCACTCTGTACACATCATGGTTGTGGTCCCTGAACTTGGCTTTATTAGACTTGCCATTGAGAGGGGGCAGAAGGCCCGCATGCCACAGGCATCACTGTGCTGGTGGTGGCTCATGCAGTCCTGCAGAGGTGTGGAGAAGAGTCCCTCACCTTGAGAGGACAAGGGGGGTAGAAGGCTGCCCGAGGCCAGGCTGGATGGGGAGGCAATGTTGTCCCATGCAACTCTGTAAAGAATTGGTCATTTCTCACTGAGGTGGACAGCAGAGACCAGGGTCCTGGACTGCAGGGGTCGGAGCTGCCGCCAGCTGGTTCTGCCTCCCAGTGAAGCTGTGTGGGCTGGGGCAGGAGGGCTTTGGAGCAATAGCAGTTCCTAACAGTTGATCCTTTTGAGCCCAAGCCCTCCAAATTTGATCACCAGCTCAAGGTTCTGTGAGCTGCCAGACCCATAAATCCAACTGCCTCTCCTCCTCTCCATGGAGACCCTCAAAGTCATCTTGAAGATGCTCCACGTTGTAAGACGATGTCACTCCCAAGCTTCATGGGGTCTTCCCAGATGTCCCAGTTTCCAAGGCTGGCATGACCAGTCACCCTGTTCATTCTCAGTCTAGGACTCAGACTCATCCTTGTCCTCTCATTTCCCAAATGTGGGCTGCGAACAGCCGAGTAGATGTTTTAGCTGAAATGTCCCCAAACCCCCTTCCATCCAGTGTCCTCACTGCAGCCTGCATTATCTCTTCAGAGTCAAACAATGGATGCTCCGGTCCAGCCTTCTTACCGGGCTCTGCCCCCTCCAGGTCTTTCCTGCCCTCTGCTCCCCTCATTTTGAGCCCCATCACTAGGCGGGGTCCCTTGAGCCCCAAGGGGCCCGGCTCCGTCCTCCTAGGGCCTCACAAATGCCTACTCGGCGCCTGGTCCCTGCTGCAGCTTCACTTCCCCAGGCAGCCTCCCCAACTGAAGGCCGGGTCTGCCTGATGCCCCGGTGCTCCCTTCTGAACGTGGCCTTCCCTGTGGACCTCCTGTCTCACTTCTCAGAGTGTGACGATGCACCACGGAGGCCACAGGGGATCCCATGTGTGTCCCCCTCCATCCCCCTCCAGCCTCCCCATGGCTGCCGGCCACCTGGGCACAGAAGTCCTGTTTGTTTCACTTCCTATTTCCTCCTGTTGCTATGAGGGAGGCGCTCAGCCTGATTCTGTGGAGTGAGTGAGTGGAGGCTGGGGAGAGGGAAGAGGGTGTGTGGATGGAGGAGGGGCGCGCAGGGGACTCGAGAGCAGCTGGATCCTGGGAAGGGCGAGGAACCAGGGTGAGGACACAGCCCCTCGGGAAGCTTAGGTGGAGTTGGGGGTGCCTGTGGCTGCATGGAGGGTGGTGAGAGTCAGAAGCCACAGTGGACAACGCCGGTCCCCACAGAGAGGTCTTACCTGTTCAGGCAGCACAGTGGGCTTAGGGAATGTTGACAGACATGGGTGAGGGCCGTGTGAGGCACAGATGGCAGTAGCATGTCAAGGAGGTGGGTGTAGGTCCTAGACCAGAAGCAACCAGCACATGGCACATCCCAGGCATGCTCCCAGCAGGCCTGCGGTGGTGCCTATGATCTCTGCCAAGTAATGGGGTCAGGGAAGACAAACCCATTCCACAGATGCAGAAGCTGGTGCTCGAAGTGGAGTAACTGACTGTTTGTGATGGAGCCTGGGCTAGAACACAGGCTCCCATTCCCAGGTCCTTGTCCCATGCTACTCTAACAACCTGTAAGTTTCCCATACGTTGGATGGAGCAGTGAGAGGCAGACCTTATCCGGCCTTCCCCTCCTACTTTTCTTGTTCTTGCTACAGATAGATGGATGTTGCTAACTCTCCCATCACTCTCAGACTTTAGGTTAGAGCAGCAAGGACTTCCTTGACCACAGCATCTAAAAGAGCCACCCAGCCCCACCCTACTTGCTAATCCCATGCCTGCCTTATCAGTCTCCTGGGCCTATTGTAGCAAATCACCACAAACTTGATGACTTAAACAAACAGAAATTTCTTTCAGTTCTTGAGGTAGGAAGTCTGAAATCAAAGGCACTGGGCTGAAATCAAGGAGTCTCCAGGGCCACACTCCCTCCAGACTTGTGGACCCTCCTTGCCTTCTCCAGATTTTGGAAGCACCTGGCATTTCTTGGCTTGTGGCCACATCATGCAGTCTTCAACACAAGAATGTTCACATCTCTTTCTGCTCCCTCTTCACATGGCCCTCTCCTCTACCTGTGCTGTGTCTCTCTCAGCCTCCCTTTCCTGAGACACAAGTGATTGCATTGGGGGCCCACCCAGATCATCCAGGAGAGTCTGGCCATCTCAAGAATCTTAGCTGAATCCCATAAAGTCTACCCCATTTTTTTTTTTATCACATATTATTCATGGGTTTCAGGGATTAGGATGTGAATTTCTTTGGTGAGGTCATTATTTAGCCTGCAACAACTACTTTATTTTTGTTTTTCTTCATAGTATTTATCACCATCTGTCCAAGTCCATTTTGTATTGCTATGACAATACCTCAGACTGGGTAATTGATAAGGAAGACAGGTTTATTTAGCTCACAATTCTGCAGACTGGGAAGTTCAAGGGCACAGTTCTGGCTTCTGGTGAGAGCTCTTGTGTATTGTCCTAACATGGCAAGGAAGGTCAAAGTGGAAGCAAATAAGTGCAAAGAGTCAAAACCCAAGGGGCATCATGTCATTACGACAACTCACTCTTATGGGAAGAAATACAGACTCGTGAGAACTAATCCAGTCTCTCCAGAGCAAGAACTCATTGCCAGGAGTACAGTACCAAGACATCATGGAGGATCCATTCCCATGACCAAAACACCTCCCACTAGCTCCCACCTCCGCACATCATCATGTTGGGGGTCAAATTGCAGCATGAACTTTGGTGGGAAGAAACCATATGCAGTCATAGGGCCACCCGATGAGGACACAGTGAGTGGTTTCTGTCTATACAGACTATGTCTCCATCTAGAATGTCAACTCCATGGGAGCAGGAACTTTGTCTTGTTCACCACTGTATTCCCAGTGATATGTGCCTGCACATATTAGGTACTCAATAAACACTTGTGACAATATAGAGACTGAACTGAGAATAAGAATGCACTGTGGTTATATACAATGCTGATGTGAAAACCAGTCTCCTCTGTGCACTGGTAATACACAACACCTGTTGGAGGAAAATGACACAACTTCACTTAGAGATTCACAAAGAAGACCTGAATAAAAAGAGAGGCATTCCATGCTTCTGAATCAGAAGAACTTAGTTTTTTAACAAATCAAGTTTGGGAATCAAAATCCCAAAGGAATTTTTCCTGTACCTTGGGAAAGTGACTCAAGAAAGTTTCATTTGGAAGAATAAATAGGTGAAACGAGACTAGACATTTAGGGAAAAAGGAAGAGTAATCAATAGAAATTATACTACCAGTCATTAAAGCATTTAATGAAACTATCATAATTAAAGTAATATAGCATATAATTTTGGCAGAAAATTCAAAAGAAAAATTAATGGAACAGGAAGACACTGGTTTAAACCAGACTCTAGTAATTATAAAACTTAGAATAAAATAAAGAAACATTTCAAATAATAAGTTGAGTAAATATTCCTGAAATATTGTGTAACTGTTTACGGAAAAAAAAAATGTGAGAGCTATGCCTCCACTATACATTTAGAGTGGTGACTAAGACATGAGATCTGGGTTCAGATCTCCACCTCATGGCTTACTTGCTGCACCACCTTGGACTACTCACCCCTTCAAGCCTCAAATAGGAGTTAGCAATTCCTAGTATCATTGTGAGGATTCAGAGATTGAGTGCCTAGAAAATACTAAGCACACCCTAGGTGTGTGGCTAAGCTATTTAGAGCTGATTCAATGAAAAAATGAAATGATGTAAAACCTGGAAAAAATGTAGTTTAGTGTCTATCAGAATTTCACATTGGTAGCAACAAAAACAGCAAAGAAAAGCATAAATAGAAATTTATCAGAGTTGACTACATAAAAATTCAAAGTATACGTGGTATATCACAAAAAAATCTTCAAAATTGAAAGGGAAAAATACTCTGTATAAATCAGATGCACATCTAGTTACTATTTATAAAATATACATCTTATGAATGAATTTATGTTTAATAGCACAGCAGAAAATTTGGAAATAAAGGCCAGGTGCAGTGGCTCACACCCGTAATCCCAGCACTTTGGGAGGCCAAGGTGGCTCACTTGAGGTCAGGAGTTTGAGACCAGCCTGACCAACATCATGAAACCCCATCTCTACTAAAAATACAAAAATTAGTGGGTGTGGTGGCATGTGCCTGTAATCCCAGCTACTCAGGAGGCTGAGGCAGGAGAATCACTGGAACCTGGGAGGCGGAGGTTGCAATGAGCCAAGATTGCACCACTGCACTCCAGCCTGGGTGACAGAATGAGACTTCATCTCGAAAATAAATAAATAAATAAAAGAAGGGAGAGGACCAGAAGGTAGCTATGCGTTATTGTCAATGAAGCATTTGTTTTAGGATGAGATTTAGAGGATGCTTATTATGTTGCTGAAAATATACACAGTCACATATGCAAGATCTCTGCCATGTAGAGCTCAATGGTGAGGCACCAAGGGATATAATCTATCTAATTCCAAGCAATGGAGACTCTGCTCATGTGCGCACATACACATACACAAGTTATGTAGCATTTGAAGATTAAAATGTCTTTAAAGCCTTTCAAAATAGTATCAAAAACATGGAATACCAAGGGCTTTATTGGCCCCATAAGGGAAGCTTGATTCCTTAAAGAAAAGCACACCATTCCAGTCAAAGCCTTGGTAAAATAACCGGTTTCTCCAATTGTGTCCTGTTACAAATGAAAACAAATTCTTATTTGCATTTATACAAATAACCATATTGTCATAAGTTAAGAATACTCACAAATAGTTTCCAGATTTTGTAGAAATCAGGTAAAGAGAAACAAATATGCTTCTAATTTTGTTCATAGGAGTACATTAAATTGTTAAGAGCTGTCAATATCTCAAAAGAAAAGTTTCAAGACTCTAAAAAAACAAAGGATTAGCAACATTTAAAGCAAAAGTGGAAACGGTTACTTTAGTCTTCTATCAGTTCAGTTTATGCAGTTAACTCCTGTTCTTCTTGATATTCCTGAACACTTCAGCTCTCCGTAAAAGTCCTGAAAGTTTATTTCCCTCTGTTCTAATGTCACAACCTCCAAAGTTATCAGAAACCTACATTTAAGAACACCTGTTAGAGGCCGGGAGTGGTGTCTCACACCTGTAATCCCAGCACTATGGGAGGCCGAAGGAAGGTGGATTGCTTGGGGTCAGGAGTTGGAGACCAGCCTGACAACTTGGTAAAACCCTGTCTCTACTAAAAATACAACAATTAGCCGAGCATGGTCGTGGGCACTTGTAATCCCCGCTACTCGGGAGGCTGAGGCAGGAGAATCTCTTGAACACAGGAGGCAGAGGTTGCAGTGAACCTAGATTGCACCACTGCACTCTAGCCTGGGTGACAGAGTGAGATTCTGTCTCAAAGAAAAAAATAAACAAAGAACACCTATCAGAGTTCTATAGCTTATTATAGAACCACTTTCTAAAGAGGACCAAAAGATGACAATTGTCTGTGGATGAAAAAAAGTTTTAGGGAAGCCATAATCAAAGACACAATTGACAAGGAAATTTGTTATCTCTGTGGCACACAATAACTTAACATAATAATTATAATTATTACTGACAATGTCCTCTAAGTTATATCAGAATTATAGGAGTTTCCCATAATTTTGGAACACGCACCAATAACATATTTATATAAATACAGCCCAAAGAAAATCAAATACCATTTCATATTTGACAATGCTTCCTGTATAATTTTTGTACCAAAATAAGCCAAATTATGTCATTTTTGGACTTCAGGGAACCTAATATCTTAAATGATTAATTAGGTCAGAAAAAGACATAATTTATAATTTGATTTTGGAAAGTTTGTCAAATATCAAATGTTTAAAACACTTGATATCACAAAATAAGATCACAGATCATTGTAAAATAAGTCATTCATTTAACCAAAGTGATAACTCAAGGATTTCAAAAAAAGGTGAAAACCTTCATTCTTTGAGAGAGGAGACTTAATATTTACCAAGAACAAGCTGTAATAAAAATAGCATGAGGCCAATTAAATTTGTTTTTCAAAATTTTATAAACAATCTATAAAATCTTAATCTTGACCACAAGATTCAGCTTCCATAAGCCTTTTATAATTTTTATAACCTTTATTAAGGAGTTGGTTAATGCTTCAAGAAAACCTTGTTAATCTGACAGAGGGGCCCATATACTAGTCTTGCATCAGTGTGTCTTTGACATTAATGATTAATTTATAGAGAAACTGAACTTATTTTATCTTTCAAAATCAGCCCTTACAATCTCACATGCCCACCTCTTCTGTGATACTCCTTGGGCCTTAAGGAGTATTATATAGCTTTAATTTCTTGCCCTGTGTCTCAGAAATGCAGCTTATTTTGATTAGCATCTTCTATAGGTCCTGAAGATGAGGCTCTAATTGCTGTCAGTGTTAAAGATTTAGTAGGACTTGATGTCCTTTTTAGACCCAGAGTCAAAGCCCTGTAATGTATGAATGTGGTAACATTAATTAAAAAAATTTTTTTGGCCGGGCGTGGTGGCTCATGCCTGTAATCACAGCACTTTGGGAAGCTGAGGCAGGCAGATCACAAGGTCAGGAAATTGAGACCATCCTGGCTAACATGATGAAACCCTGTCTCTACTAAAAAAACCAAAATATTAGCTGGGTATGGTGGCATGCACCTGTAGTCCCAGCTACTCAGGAGGCTGAGGCATAAGAATCACTTGAACCTGGGAGGCGGAGGTTGCAGTGAGCCGAGATTGTGCCACTGAACTCCAGCCTAGGCAACACAGCGAGACTCCGTCTCAAAATAAATCTTTTTAAAATCTCAGTGTTTATTCCTAAGCAAGCCAAAACTTAATAACAATATGACAGCCTGACCATATAAACGTTCTTGTTTGTTTGTTTTTTAATAAATCCTCTTATTGTGACTTACACTGACTGTTCATGACATTCTTGGACTTTCTAGTTTGTCCTGAACATCCCTCCTTCTTAAACAACCAGTCATTTTATTTTAGGACTAAATTTACCATACAAGATTCTTTCTCATATAAAATTATTTCTCTTTAAGCTTTCTTACTGACCTCCCGACCTCAGGTGATCTGCCCGCCTCGGCCTCCCAAAGTGCTAGGATTACAGGCGTGAGCCACTGCGCCTGGCCTATACGTAACATTTAAATGAGCTTTGAATTATACAAAACTTGTTCACCTTTTTAAAAGAGATGTATCTTTTTTTTTTTAAGCAAGAATGCTTTCCTACAATATATATTTGTTGGAAAATACCCAAATAATGAAATTTTAGATTCTAAATTATAACAAGTTTGTCTACAAGTATTTATGACATTACATTTACCCAAATAGAAACAAATAATTATAATTTACTTTAATTGTTTAGCTAGATTACTTATGGAAACTTCAATAGTCATGATTTAAAGTTATGAAACTGCCATTGCAAAATTATAACTGAGACAGTGAAGAAAATATAACCCAACTGACTCCATCTTGCTTCTAACCTCCAAGCTGTCCTTGTTCATACCTGGACTTTGGGAGGAATTTAATTTATAGTTTAGCTTTGAAACAAAGATGTTAACAGTTCTTTTCCTTTCCCAAAACAAACCTCCTTACTGCGTGTGGACTAGACTGCCTAAAGCCACAAGATTAGAAGTTATGATAATTTTACTAAATTTTTCAAGATGTAACTTTTTTTTTTTTTGAGACAGAGTCTTGCACTGTTGCCCAAGCTGGAGTGCAGTGGTGCAATCTTGGCTCACTGCAAACTCCACCTCCTGGGTTCACGTCATTCTCCTGCCTCAGCCTCCCAAGTAGCTGGCACTACAGGTGCCCGCCACTACGTCTGGCTAATTTTTTGCACTTTTAGTAGAGACGGAGTTTCACCATGTTAGCCAGGATGGTCTCGATCTCCTGACCTTGTGATCCACCCACCTCGGCCTCCCAAAGTGCTGGGATTACAGGCATAAGCCACCACGTCTGGCCCCAAGATGTAGCTATTTTTATTAAACCAATATCAATGTCTTATTTATTAAGGATTACACAAGCAAAGATCATTCTGTCTTGGGCTGGGTTTATAGTTTTGTAACCCCTATGCCAAATTTTGACACCTTTTAGTATTTGGCAGGGATAAATATGAAATTGCTTGATTAATAAATGCAAACAAAAATGTATGCTGGCAATTCTTAAGACATTTCTTATATTACTTTGCCAATAATTTTAAAGCTAGCTTACTTATTAAATATTTTAATTAAGTTACATAAACTTGAAAAAGCATTTGACTAGTCTTTTTTTACTAACTGATTTCAGCACTTTTATTTCATTTTTAAGCCAATTAACAAGCACTCTTTTATATATTAGTAGTAGTGAAATATTGTGTACACAACACATAAATACATAGACATATTAGGCATGCCGATAGAAGTACATTTTATAGATTCATAAAAACCTTTTTTTTCCTATCTTAGACTTTCAGATTCTTGATAACCTGTTTCACAACCCTGGGCAGTTGTCAGCTAAATAGCCTTGAAATTGCATATTAAAGGAAGTAACTCAGGTGAAAGTCAAATAGCAAAATTTACATTATAAGGTATGGAGAGTAAAAGTGTGGTGTGCTAAAGGGAAATTAAAACACATTTAATTGCCAATTAAACATAAAATTATAGAAATCATAAGGGCCTTTTAAATGTACACACACACACACACACACACACACACACACACACACACAAAGATCCTATAGCTTTTACTTCAGAACTTTTAGCCATGAGGTAAATACAAATTCACCAGCTTGCAAAAAGAACTTGTTGGATCTAAATGGTGGTTTTTGTCTTAATAGAAAAACAGCAGCAGATTTAAAGAAGCCAGAAAAGAGAAAAAATAGAGAAAAAGAGGACTTAGAAACTCTATAGTTTGCAGGTCGAACCTTAGGGCTCTTTTTCCTTGATGTAAATGTGCACGAAGACCATATTATTCCGATTTTACATAAACTTTCACAAGTAGAGGTGCCATAAAACCTATGGAGTGCTCAAAAGGGGGTCATTCTCCTTATTTTCTCCTCGTTCTTAGATTGTTTCCTGCTTTTTTTTTTTTCTTAAGAAGAGGAACTGAGCTGTGGCCTAGGGTTTTTGTGTGGTGGATTGATGTGTGCTGCCTGTGCACAGGACTCCACGGTGTGTCACCACTACATCATTTCCACCATCTTACATGTTTCAGTTTCTCTCTCTAGAGGTCTGTGACCTCAGAGAGGGCTCAAAACAGTGGGTGATCAGTCCTTATGAGCCATTTTTAAAATTAATTTTTGTTGGAGATTTACCTGCAGGATTGTGGCATGTCATGGCGGGGTCAACCTCCTAGACACTCCCACGAGGTCCCCCATCACCCAGGGGCACCTTTCAGCTGGGAGGAGTAAATGCTGTTTCTCTTTGGAGCTGAGAAAATTCAGTCTCTCATTAATATATGAAAACAACAGTTCAGTTCCTTATGCAAATGCACACAGACAAACTGAATTAAGATTAAATGTGAGAGAAAGAGCAGTAGAGAAGATCCTTTAGAATGCATCTCCAAACTAGAATTAGGATCCTTAAACAACTTCAGACCAGAACAAACAACAACAACAAAAAACCCAACAACAATATGATCACTGAACACTCTAATGGTAAGGAGAAATTAAGACCAGCTGGTTGTTAATCTTAACTTTAGCCAAGACAAAACTCCAGTTCAGTTACTTACCTAGGGATGGGTCTCAGACTGAAGACTGCTCTTCACAATCCTAGAAGCAGAGAAAAAATACAAACAAACACGTCTTCCCTGTGGAAGCAAGCTCAAACTTCATACAGGAGTTACCCGCCTTCCATCGTTAAGGAAGCAGGAAAACCTTGACTTCCTTGTGTGGGAAGCAAGTGAAAACCTTGACTTCCTTGTGTGGGAAGCAAGTAAAACTCCAAAAAAAGAGGAGTTGTACAGCAAAATAAACTTTAGATCTCGACCAAATTTTGGAAGATCAGAGATTCTCTGGAGACAGTGCTCTCAGACCTCAGCAAATTTTCCTATTGGTTTGAGTCATAAAGTCAGTTCATGCTGATACCAAGCATTGATAGGAGATTTGCCAAAGGTCAGGGTCATCTCCATTCAGAATCCCTCCATGGTTACCAAATGTGAACCCCCAAAATTTGAGACGGGTCTCAATTAATTTAGAAAACGTATTTTGCCAAGGTTGAGAACACATGCCCATGACACAGCCTCAGGAAGTCCTGACAACATGTACACAAGGTAGTCGTGGCACAGCTTGGTTTTATATATTTTAGGGAGACATGAGACATCAATCAATATATGTAAGAACTACATTGGTTCTGTCCAAAAACACAGGGACAACTTGAAGCAGGGAGAGGGCTTCCAGGTCACAGGTAGGTGAGAGACAAATGATTGTATTCTTTGGAGTTTCTGATAAGGCTTTCTAAAGGAGGCAATCAGAATATGCATCTATCTCAGTGAGCAGAGCGATGACTTTGAATAGCATGGGAGGCAAGTTTGCCCTGAGCAGTTCCCAGCTTGAATTTCTCCTCTAGCTTAGTGATTCTGGGGGCCCAAGATGTTTTCCTTTCACACTAGTATGCTAGATGTTACTAAAAATTAAATCTTTAATCTTTAAATAGTCTAAGAAATAAAGATCTACACTATACAGATTATGCTTTTGCAAAACTTCAGAACATGATCAAGAATTTAGTAAAGGGTTCTTTTTATCATAACACTGATTCAACTATCTGGTCAAATCACTCATTAGTCTTCTAGATAGTCTTTAAGAAAAGGAATATACATGGAATGTTCAATCTTCTTAAGTCAAATCTATACAAAGAGATTAAATCACATCAGAATTTTTAAAAAATAGAGATAGGGTTTCCCTCTGTTGCCCAGGCTGGAGTGCGGTGGTGGAATCACATCTCCCTGTAGCTTTGACCTACCTGGCTCAAGCCATCCTCCCACCTCAGCCTCCTGAGTAGCTGACTACAGGGTCACACCACCACGCTGGACTCACTTCATTTTTTGTAGACACAGGGCCTTGTCATATTGCTCAGACTTGTCTCAAGCAATCTGCCTGCCTTGGCCTCCCAAAATGTTGGAACAGGTGTGAGCCACCACACCTAGACTAGAAATGTACTTGCAGAAAGGTTCTAAAATGGCTAATCAAAGATATTGCCATACTTTAATTAGTCCAAAAGATGAAAACCTATTCTTTTAAATCAATGGATTGATGTGAGTAAGGATCACCAACCAAACAAGGAAACAACACAGATGGTAAAGCTCAGGTACCTTTTTCTTCGCCCATCCTTGTTAGATCAGCTGCAAGACACTGATGACAAGCTCTGTCATTTTACAAACTTTATGACAGCCAGCTACAAACTACAACAATTACATATTCCCCAAATTTCCTCTATTTTACTTTCACTGTTTGAGTACAGGATAATGAAATGTCAGTCCTCTTAATCATCCATTTTGCTAATGTAATGTACAAGATATATTCTACAATAAAACTTTACAGCTGCTAATATAAATAGCAGTATTCAGTTTATTCCAACTCTGAAATTAGTTCACTAAGGAAAAAAAAAGAATCAGGTACAATGTGAATGAAAATCCAGAAATAAATACCATATTCCCAGACATTATCTTACCACTAATCATGATTTTATATTTTATACTATTACTTGAATAAATTTTGCTTTTAGAATTTTGGAATTAAAAAAATTGCATTATTCTGATACCATCAGTTAATTGTTTGCTAACTACTTTTTCTTAAAGGTCAGTGAATTGTAAAAGGCATATTTCACAGAAAATGTAAGATATCATGTATTGCATTTTAAAATTTAATTTTAGAGTTAGAATTATACTATTTACTTTCTATGCTAGGTAATGTCACAATATACTTAAAAAGAGTTACATATAATACACAGTCACGAAATATAGATTATATGTATAACTACTACCCATGGGTGTGGAAAAAATACCATTCACTCCCAGTATCTTATGCAAAAAAAAGAAATGTTTACTAACCCATTTACAAGGGCACATTTGCAATCTTTCTTCTGTTGGCTCAGCCTCTTTTTAATGAATGTCCACAATCACTAAGTGATACCGTGGCAAACTCTACTCTTCCGAGACTCCCCAGAGACAATCAGCATCACATTTTAATTCCAAAGACCATAAAAAAATGTACATCGCAGGAAAAAATAACTTTCAACAAGAGCCACTTTTTCTGACCTTGTCAACCTGTGAATCAGCTGTCCTTAGAAGCACAGTCATTTAGACACGACACCATTCCTTCAGATGACGCGATCTTAAGGAATTTAGTAATTATGTGATTTACTAACTTCTGACAAACTGAAAAGGCCTTCTCACCTACTCCTGGAGTCTTCCCAGAATCCAGGCACCCAGTGTAAGAAAACAGGTGTTGAAAGCTCTGCTGTCACTTCTGTAAAAGCAAACTAAGTATGGCCTAAGAAAGACTCTGTACTTCTATATGTGGGTTCTTGTGGACAAACTGTAAGGTAGCTTAACAGGTAGACAAGATTGAAAACTTAATTTAGGAGTCTGTACCTATAACAGTAGCTGAGTCTTGACCATACTTCAACCACTCATATACTGCTAAGTGTTCAAACTGTGTTCAAATAAGGCAAATGCCAGCCTGTAACCAATCCAGCTGTTTCTCTACCTCACTGCCACTTTCTTTCTTTCTTTTTTATTTTTTTGAGACCGAGTTTTGCTCTTGTTGCCCAGGCTGTAGTGCAACGGCATGATCTCGGCTCGCTGCAACCTCTGCCTCCTGGGTTCAAGCGATTCTCCTACCTCAGCCTCCTGAGTAGCTGGGACTACAAAAGCCTGTCACCATGCCTGGCTAATTTCTGTATTTTTAGTAGAGACGGGGTTTTACCAGGTTGACCAGGATGTCTTGATCTCCTGACCTTGTGATCCACTCGCCTTGGCCAATTATATTTTTAGAAGGCCTGTACACTTGTAAAAGACTATTATAATAATTAGAAAAACTTGTCTCATTATTTATTTAGAAATGCTATATTTAAAAGTAGGCTAGGCCAGGCGTGGTGCACTTTGGGAAGCCAAGGGGGGTGGATCACCTGAGGTCAGGAGTGGGAGACCAGCCTGACCAACATGGTGAAACCCTGTCTCAACTAAAAATACAAAAATTAGTCAGGCATAGTGGCAGGTGCCTGTAATCCCAGCTACTTGGGATGCTGAAGCAGGAGAATCGCTTGAACCGGGGAGGCAGAGGTTTCAGTGAGCTGAGGTCATGCCATTGCACTTCAGCCTGGGCAACAAGAGTGAAACTCTGCCTCAAAACATAAAAGAATGAAAGTAGGCCAACAATAGGAATTTTGCAGTTGCACAACAGAGAACGTAAATGAATTAACATTCAGTGTCCATAGCATGTTACATACTGTGACTTACCCCATCTACCCTGAAGCATTTACTCCATCCATGTGGTGGCTCAAATAGAGTTCCCGTGTTAATCCCACAATGAACCTCAATAATTCTCACATCACGGTGGTTGTAAACATTTGTTAACGGAAAAAGAATGCTTTTCCTAAAACAGCTACATAACACTAAGACTACTCAAATTTCTAAATAATCCTTTTACAAGACAGCCTGGCAACTTCCTTTTTTTCATGGGTGTCCGTGTGAAGAGACCACCAAACAGGCTTTGTGTGAGCAACATGGCTGTTTATTTCACCTGGGTGCAGGCGGACTGAGTCCGAAAAGAGAGTCAGCAAAGGGAGATAAGGGTGGGGCCGTTTTATAGGATTTGGGTAGGTAAATTACAGTCAAAGGGGGTTTGTTCTCTGGCAGGAAGGAGTGGGGGTCCCAAGGTGCTCAGTGGGGGTGCTTTTTGAGCCAGGATGAGCCAGGGAAAGGACTTTCACAAGGTAATGTCATCACTTAAGGCAAGGACCGGCCATTTACACTTCTTTTGTGGTGGAATGTCATCAGTTAAGGTGGGGCAGGGCATATTCACTTCTTTTGTGATTCTTCAGTTACTTCAGGCCATCTGGGTGTATACGTGCAAGTCACAGGGGATGCGATGGCTTGGCTTGGGCTCAGAGGCCTGACATTCCTGCCTTCTTATATTAATAAGAAAAATAAAACAAAATAGTGTTGAAGTGTTGGGGTGGCGAAAATTTTTGGGGGGTTATATGGAGAGAGAATGGGCGACGTTTCTCAGGGCTGCTTCAAGCGGGATTAGGGGCGGCGTGGGAACCTAGAGTGGGAGAGATTAAGCTGAAGGGAGGTCTTGTGGTAAGGGGTGATATTGTGGGGATGTTAGAAGAAACATTTATTGTATAGAATGATTGGTGATGGCCTGGATACGGTTTTGGATGAATTGAGAAACTAAATGGAATAACAGAAGGAGAAAAACAGGTATAAAAGGTCTAAGAATTGGGACGAATCAGGATATCTGATTAGAGAGTGCCTAAGGAGATTCAGCATAGTCCTGCCAGCAAAGATTATTTATTTACTTCAAGAGTTAAGAGTGGCAGTTTGGGGATAGCACCAAGAGATATCAGCTGTGATGGCTTGGAGAAACAGTGTAAACCGGCAGTGTAAACAAGAGCAGGGCATGTATGAGTAGTTGAGAACAGTGAATAGGAGTATGACTAGACAGAAGATAATAGGGATGACAAGTATTTTTGGGGGCACAATCTAAGTTGGTCTGGTGTCTGGAATGAGACTGGGGCCTAATAAAAAGGAGCGTCTATACAGGAGCTTAAATGGGCTGTACCCTGTAGCATTCCAAGGACAGGCCTGAATTCTGAGAAGGGAAAGTGGTAAAAGTATTGTCCAGTCCTTTTTAAGTTGGTGACTGAGCTTGGTGAGGTGTGTTTTTAAAAGACCTTTAGTCCATTCTACTTTTCTTGAAGACGGAGGACCGTAAGGGATATAAAGGTTTCACTGAATACTAAGAGCCTGAAAAACTGCTTGGCTGATTTGACTAATAAAGGCTCGTCTGTTATCAGACTGTATTGAGGTGGGAAGGCTAAACTGAGGAATTATGTCTAACAGAAGGGAAGAAATGACTGCGGTGGCCTTCTCAGACCCTGTAGGAAAGGCCTCTACCTATCTAGTGAAAGTATCTACCTAGACTAAGAAGTATTTTAGTTATCTGACTCAGGGCATGTTGAGTAAAGCTAATTTGCCAGTCCTGGGTGGGGCAAATCCTCGAGCTTGATGTGTAGGGAAGGAAGGGGGCCTGAATAATCCCTGAGGAGTAGTAGAATAGCAGATGGAACACTGAGAAGTTATTTCCTTGAGGATAGATTTCCACGATGGAAAGGAAATGAGAGGTTCTAAGAGGTGGGCTAGTGGCATAACCTGCCTTTGCTGGTGTGTGGCCATTAGGCCTGGTGGAACCACCATCAATAAATCAAGCGTGATCAGAGTGAGGAACAGGAAAGAAGGAAATTTGGGGAAATGGGGTGAATGTCAGGTGGATCAGAGAGATACAGTTATGGGGGTCAGGTGTGGTATCATGAATAATGTGGGAGGCCGGATTGAAGTCTGGGCCAGGAACAACGGTAATTGTGGGAGACTCAACAAAGAGTGAGTATAGCTGAAGAAGCCAGGAAGCAGAAAGTATACGTGTCAGGTATGAGGAAGAAAATAGATTTTGGAAGTTATGAGAACTGTGGAGAGTGAGTTGAGCATAGTTTGTGATTTTGAGGGCCTCTAAAAGTATTAATGCAGTGGCAGCCGCTGCACGCAGACATGAGGGCTAGGCTAAAACAGTAAGGTCAAGTTGTTTGGACAGAAAGGCTATATAGGGTGTGGTCCTGGCTCTTGTGTAAGAATTCTGACCACGCTAACCATGTCTAGGAAGGAAAGGAGTTGTTGTTTTGTAGAAGGTGCTGGGGTTTGAGAGATCAGTAGGACACGATTGGCAGGGAGAGCACGTGTGTTTTTATGAGAATTATGCCGAGATAGGTAACAGATGAGGAAGAAATTTGGGCTTGATTGAAGTAATGGGGGCTGTCTGTGAAGCTTTGCGGCAGTACAGCCTAGGTAATTTGCTGAGCTTGATGGGTGTCAGGCTCAGTTCAAGTGAAGGTGAAGAGACGCTGGGATTAAGGGTGCAAAGGAATAGTAAAGAAAGCGTGTCTGAGATCTAGAACAGAATAATGGGTTGTAGAGGCAGGTGTTGAGGATAGGAGAGTATATGGGTTTGGCACCACGGGGTGGATAGGCAAAACAATTTGGTTGATAAGGCGCAGATCCTGAACTAACTTGTAAGGCTTGTCTGGTTTTAGGACAGGTAAAATGGGGGAATTGTAAGGAGAGTTTATAGGCTTTAAAAGGCCATGCTGTAGCAAGCGAGTGATAACAGGCTTTAATCTTTTTAAAGCGTGCTGCGGAATGGGATATTGGTGTTGAGTGGGGTAAGGGTGATTAGGTTTTAATGAGATGGTAAGGGGTGCATGATCGGTCACCAAGGAGGGAGTAGAGGTATCTTATACTTGTGGGTTAAGGTGGGGGGATACAAGAGGAGGACACAAAGGAGGCTTTGGATTGGGAAGAAGGGCGGCAATGAGATATAGCTGTAGTCCAGGAATAGTCAGGGAAGCACATAATTTAGTTAAAGTGTCTCAGCCTAATAAGGGAAATGGGCAGGTGGGGATAACTAAAAAGGAGTGCTTAAAAGAGTATTGTCTAAGTTGGCACCAGAGTTGGGGAGTTTTAAGAGGTTTAGAAGCCTGGCTGTCAATACCCACAACAGTTATGGAGGCAAGGGAAACGGGCCCTTGAAAAGAAGGTAATGTGGAGTGGGTAGCCTCCGTATTGATTAAGAAGGGGATGGGCTTACCTTCCACTGTGAGAGTTACTGGCAGCTCGGCATCCATGATGGTCTAGGGGGCTTCCAAGGCGATCGGGCAGTGTCAGTCTTCAGCCGCTAAGCCGAGAAGATCTGGGAAGGAGTCAGTCAGAGAGCCTCGGGCCAGAGTTCCAGGAGCTCTGGGAGTGGCTGCCAGGTGAGTTGAATAGTCCGATTTTCAGTGGGGTCCCACACAGATGGGACGTGGCTTAGGAGGAATCCCAGGCTGCGGGCATTCCTTGGCCCAGTGGCCAGATTTCCGGCACGTGTAGCAAGCTCCTGGGGGAGGAGGTTCTGGAGGAACGCCTGGCTGCTGCGGTTCAGGCGTTTGGAAGTTCTTGTGTGCTGGAGATGTGGCTGGGGTTTGTCTCACAGTGGAGGCAAGGAAGTGCCACTTTTTTCTATTATTGTACACCTTGAAGGCGAGGTTAATTAAATCCTGTTGTGGGGTTTGAGGGCCGGAATTTAATTTTTGGAGTTTTATTTAATGTCGGGAGCAGATTGGGTAATAAAATGTATATTGAGAATAAGATGGCCTTTTGACTTTTTAGGGTCTAGGGCTGTAAAGTGTCTCAGGGTTGCTGCCAAACGAGTCCTGAACTGGGCTGGATTTTTATATTTGATGAAAAAGAGCCTAAACGCTATCCGATTTGGGATAAAGAAAAAGGAGCATTAACCTTGACTACGCTTTTAGCTCCAGCCACCTTTTTAAGAGTAAATTGCTGGGCAGGAGGGGGAGGGCTAGTCACGGAACGAAACCGTAAGCGGGACCAGGTGTGAGGAGGGGAGGTGATAAAAAGATTATAGGGTGGAGGAGCGGAGGCTGAGGAAGAATTGGGACCTAGCTTGGCCTGGCGAGGAGCAGCCTGGGGAGGAAGGGAGAGGTCAGATGGGTCTGTAGAAAAGGAAGATTAGAAAGACTCAGCGATGCTTGGGATTGGTACTGAGGGGACAGGCGGGAGGGAAAGAAGGAAGATTTGGGACGAGTTGCACTGGGCACAGAGACTAGGAAGGGACTGACGTGTAAAAGAATGCCTGGACGTCAGGCACCTCAGACCGTTTGCCTATTTTACGACAAGAATTATTTAGATCTTGCAGGATGGAAAAATTCAAAGTGCCATTTTCTGGCTATTTGGAACTATTGTCGAGTTTGTATTGGGGTCAAGCGGCATTGCAGAAGAAAATAAGGCATTTAGGTTTTAGGTCAGGTGTGAGTTTAAGAGGTTTTAAGTTTTTGAGAACACAGGCCAAGGGAGTAGAAGGACGAATGGAGGGTGGAAGGTTGCCCATAGTGAAGGAACCAAGCCTAGAGAAAAGAGAGAGTAGAGAAACGGAGGGAAGGGGTTCGGGGGTTCTTACCTTCCAGAAAAGTGGGAAAAGGGGTTGGGGCGCAGAGATAAGAGGTCGGGGCACGGAAATAAGGGATGGGGTGCAGAAATAAGGGGTCGGGGCATGGAAATAAGGGGTCGGGGTACAGAAATAAGGGATTGGGGCGCAGAGATAAGAGGTCGGGACGTGGAAATAAGGGATTGGGGCGCAGAGATACGAGGTTGGGGTACTTGCCCCTCCTCTAGAAAAGTGGGACTTGCCGCTAAGAGTGAAGGAGAAGGGGTGGAGGGGTACTTGCCCCTCTCCCAGAAAAGCGGGACTTGCCGCTAAGGGTGAAGGACCAAGGTAGGCGTCCCTACGTGGTCTGACACCCTTGAAACGTTAGTGTATAATCAGAGAGGTGTCCCTGCAATGATTAAACACTAAGGGAAGGCTGCCTTCCCAGTCCGTGACCGGCGCTGGAGTTTTGGGTCCACGGATAAAACTTGTCTCCTTTGTCTCTACCAGAAAATGAAAGGAATTGAAATTAAGAGAAGGGAGAGATTGAAGTGTGGTGCCAAGATTGAAAGGAGAAAGAGGTTGAGGGATAGTGAGGGAGGTTGGAGAAGAGAGTAAAAAGAGGCCGCTTACCGGATTTGAAATTGGTGAGATGTTTCTTGGGCTGGTCGGTCTGAGGACCTGAGGTAGTAGGTGGATCTTTCTCACGGAGCAAAGAACAGGAGGACAGGGGATTGATCTCCTAAGGGAGGTCCCCCGATCCGAGTCATGGCACCAAATTTCATGCGCTTCTGTGTGAAGAGACCACCAAACAGGCTTTGTGTGAGCAACATGGCTGTTTATTTCACCTGGGTGCAGGTGGGCTGAGTCCGAAAAGAGAGTCAGCAAAGGGAGATAAGGGTGGGGCTGTTTTATAGGATTTGGGTAGGTAAAGGAAAATTACAGTCAAAGGGGGTTTGTTCTCTGGCGGGCAGGAGTGGGGGTCCCAAGGTGCTCAGTGGGGGGTGCTTTTTGAGCCAGGATGAGCCAGGAAAAGGACTTTCACAAGGTAATGTCATCACTTAAGGCAAGGACCGGCCATTTACACATCTTTTGTGGTGGAATGTCATCAGTTAAGGTGGGGCAGGGCATATTCACTTCTTTTGTGATTCTTCAGTTACTTCAGGCCATCTGGGTGTATACGTGCAAGTCACAGGGGATGCGATGGCTTGACTTGGGCTCAGAGGCCTGACGCTTTTCATACATTAACATGTGGAGCCCATTTTAAAAGCTCTTTAACAGTGACTGTCGAAACAGCTTCCTAGTTATTCATATAATGTTTCTTCTTTTTTTTTAAGTTTTCAAATTAGTTTTAGAAAAACTTAAACACTGATGAATTTGGGCCGCTATCAAATCCTTAAGAAGCATTTTTGCCAAATAAGATGGGCAAACGTCCTACATCTGCTAAATCTGACATGAGAGGCCATGTATTTTTGAAAAAAATGAATAAATAACGATTTCTAACAGTCGCTGAGCCTTTTTTTTCTGTTTGTTTTTCTTTTCTTTCTTTCTTTCTTTCTTTTTTTTTTTTTTTTTTTTGAGACAGTCTCCCAGGCTGGAGTGCAGTGGCGCAATCCCGGCTCACTGCATCCTCCACCTCCCGGGTTCAAACGATTCTCCTGCCTCAACCTCCTGAGTAGCTGGGACCACGCTCAACTAATTTTTGTATTTTTAGTAGAGAAGGGGTTTCACCATATTGGCCAGGCTAATCTCGAATTCCTGACCTCAAGTGATCCACCTGCCTCGGTCTTCCAAAGTTCTGGAATTACATGCGTGAAACACCGCACCCGGCCTAGCCTTTTAGTTTAAAATTATTTCAGTGTTATTTTCACACTCTATGTTTGATAATACAATTTTTTTTTTGAGGCCGTTAGGCTTAAAGTATATTTCTTAAGAGCCGACCTAGCACATAAAGCCGGCCAGTCTGTACTGCTGATGGACCCTCAGTAGATTTGGGGTGCTGACAGCAAGGGGCAGTTTCAATAAAGAACTTCACTGCGAGGAATGACATCCGAAAGAGATGGTGCTGGAAGGCAGGCGGGAGACCAGGGTGGGAGCAGAAGAGGAAGCCGCCGACGAGGGAAGGAGATGGTGTGGGACGCCGAAAGCGAAGGGCGAGCAGAGGAGCGAGGAGCGGAGCGCAGTGCGGGCAGAACCGGCGGTAAGGGCGTGGGAAAGGCCGTGTTTTCAAATGAGGCGGGCGCCGGGAGAGGCGAGCCCGGCCGGGGGAGCCACGCGCTCTGGTGGGGAAGAGCTGCCTGCAGACTGAAGCCGAGAGGAGGAAGCAGTGGATCTCCAGGCGTCCTTGCAAACTCCCGTTCCCTCCCCGCGCCCCTCGTGGCCCCCAGCCCGTTGGCGGCGGGAAGGCGCAGGATTCGGAGCTCAGAGGCCCGGGCCGCCGGCCGCCTCCCCTCCGTGGCTCTAGGGCGGAGGCGGAGGCGGGGACCGGGGTATCTCGCTCGCGCAGCCTGGAGCCCATGCTGGGCTCAGCCCGACCCTGCTTTGGCCGCTGCCCGCCGGGTCTCCAGCGCCGCCGGACCCTCACGCCGCCACCTTCTCTCCAGCCCAGCGCCGCTGCGGCCGCAGCCTCCTGCCGAGCATCTTCCAGATCCCAATCCCTGAGAATCAGTTCTGGGATGTAACAGAGCAAGCGGACATTATTCTGGGACCAGCAAGCCTCGGTCACTGCAGCCACCACACTACGTGGGTAAGTAAAGGCCTCTGGGATCAGCATGGACCATGCGGTAATCCAAAGAGGTTGAAGTATTCATTCACCATAAAATCTTACAGATTTATTCCCTTGAAACGCGATTTTCTGCAGTCATACAGCCTGAGACAGCTGAGTGCTCTAGCAAAAGGACCAAAGGACGCAGGTCCTCTAGGGCAGAAGGAGTGAAAACATGAAAGAGACCACATGGCGGCCCACACTGCCCGAGGCCAGGCCTGGCTGACAGCTGGACGGCTGGACCCACTTGGTGGCCCTTCAGTCCTACTGTGGGCGGGAGCAGAGCCCCCGGGGCCTCCTGCAGAGGAGTGGGCTCAGTAGGGGGCAGGGACGGCCTTGCGGGTTGGGGACTGACCAAGCCTGGGGACTATGACCCATAAGTGGGGCCCATTATACAAGCTGGTGATGACTTCCTTATTTTCTCCAGAGATGGTATGATACTCCACAGTGTGGAGGTGCCATATTTAGCCATGTCCCTGCTGTCAGCATCAAGAATATGTTTTTTGCTATTATTATGACTTTTGAACCCAAATGCCCATCAACGATAGACGGGATAAAGACAATGTGGTACATATACACCATGGAATATTATGCAGCCATAACAAGGAATGAGATCAGGTCAGGCATGGTGGCTCACACTTTGGGAGGCCAAGGTGGGAGGATCACTTGAGACCAGGAGTTTAAGACCTGCTTGGCCAACATGGCAAAACCCCGTCTACTGAAAACATTATACAAAAATTAGTCTGGATGGCGGCGCACACCTGTAATCCCAGCTACTCGGGAGCCTGAGGCACGAGAATCGCTTGAACCTGGGAGGCAGAGGCTGCAGTGAGCTGAGATTGTGCCAGTGCACTCCAGCCTGAGCGACAGAGCAAGACCCTGTCTTAAAAAAAAAAAAAAAAGAGGAATGAGATCATGGCCTTTGCAGGGACATGGATGGAGCTGGAAGCCATTATCCTCAGCAAACTAACACAGAAACAGAAAACCAAATACTGCATGCTGTAACTTATAAGTGTGAGCTGAACAATGAGAACATGGACACAGGGAGGGGAACAAGACACACTGGGGCCTGTCGAGGGTTGAGGTGAGGGAAGGGAGAGCATCAGGAAAAATAGCTAATGCACGCTGGGCTTAATCCCTAGGTGATGGGTTGATAGGTGCAGCAAGACACCATGGCGCATGTTTACCTATGTAACAAACCTGCACGTACTGCACATGTACCCCAGAACTTAAAATAAAAAATAACATTAAAAAAGAATTTTATTTTCACCAGGTATTCAATATTATACTTTTGCCATATTTTACTAATAACTTTAGAATTTTGACATTCCTTAAAAATGTTTTACATTAAATCCTCACTTTGTTCTATAACTTTGCTTACTAGACTTGTCCTTTCCTAGGTTTTTACTAAAGTTTTTTTTTTTGTGTGGTTGTTAGGAAAACCTGTTAATGTAACAAAAAATAGAAGGAACAGTAGAATGAGTGGTGGCATACCTACTTCAGGTTACACAAATGGCAACCTGTGCTTGAGATCATTCTTTCATAAAAAAGAGATGCATCAGGCCTAAGTCATGTACAGCTCCCTTGAACATGTTTTTATATTTTCTCACCTCATACCTATGGGATAATTAATAGCATTGCTTTGCTTTTTAATTAAAGGCTGTATTGTATATGCCAGTCTGTGCTTGCTCTTTTTGAGATGTGTCCTTGTTCATCTTTATCAGTTTTGTTGTTGTTGTGTTTGAGACAGAGTCACACTCTGTCGCCCAGGCTGTAGTGCAGTGGCACGATCTTGGCTCACTGCAGCTTCCGCTTCCTGGGTTCAAGTGATTCTCCTGCCTCAGCCTCCTGAGTAGCTGGGATTACAGGCGTGTACGCCTGGCTAATTTTTGTATATTTAGTAGAGACAGGTTTCAGCATGTTGGTCTCGAACTGCTGATCTCAAGTGATCCACCCGTCTCAGCCTCCCAATGTGCTGGGATTACAAGCATGAGCCACCATGCCCGGCCAGTTTTTATCTTTAAAGCTAACGCAGATGACGTTGATGTTAAGCCCCGGAGGCTGACAGAATAAAGGGCACCAGAGGGAAGTCAGGGCATTACTCCCGTTGAGTAGAAAGGCCACTCATCTTGCCCTTCCGGTCCACAATTCCCAAGTAGAAAATTGGATTCTCCTGCTGGTGCTGGGGGCTTTGCTTTCAGTGTCTGCTCTGTGACCTTTCGCTCTATTTTCAGTGAGTTCGTGGTAGTTAGTGTGAAGTAGGAAGTGACACAGGCTGCCTGATCGTGTGGCTGTTTTGGAAGGTCATTTTTATTTTGAACTTAAAAATCAGATGTTTTGGAAGAACCTACACCCACCTTTGAGCTATTGTCTGATTTAAAAGACTGCAGCATGTGTCTTCCCAAAGTGGATGCACTTAGGTTTATTAATGTTGTATTTGTTAATGGCATTTCGATATTTGGTTACAAATGAGGAATGTCAGTTCAGTTTACCAGTGACTTCAAAATAGAGACCTGGTAGAGTTTTCTTTTAGGTTGTGCTTTTCCAAAACCCACAAATGGACAGAAACTAATTTATCTTATTTCATCATAGACTTACAAAACACATTTCAGTGGCTAAATGGGATTTGGGATTTTTGTTTGTTTTTTTGTGTTGCTTTTGTGAGTGTGTGTAGAAACAGTCTTGATGTGTTGCCTGGCCTGGTCTGAACTGCCTCAGCCTCCCAGTGTCGGGATTGTAGTCATGAGCCACCGTAACCAGCCTTGATGAGATGTAATGTTCCTATTCTGCCTTCTTGAACTTTGCTCAGTCAGTACAAGTATTCTGTTCAAACTGATTAATTAAACCCAGGAACTGAATACATTTAGATAAAACTTGCTACTTGAGACTCGGGCACCGGGTGGATTCGAATGATGCCGTATCTCGTGATGTCTACCCTCTCACTATCCACATTCAGGGATGGGAAGGATTTGGGGAGTGAGGAATGTTTATAGAAGTTCAGCCCAGCTCCCTGCTGTAGAATGTTCTTGTATGAGCAGTCCAGCAGTCAGTAAAGCAACCCTTTTCATTGTTGAACTGCTCTCGTTCTTAGAAAGTTCTTGTTTCTGTTGACTTGAAATTTGCTTCCGTGGTTTAATTTTTCCCGCTGTTCCGAATTCTTTCACATGCCACGCAGGATGTGCCTGTTCACTGAGTTCATAATCTTACTTCTCACGGGCCTTGTACTTAGCCTTCTTCAAGCTGATCATGCCTCAGGTTTTGCCTCCTTCTGTCACCAGGCCTCCTCTTCTGGGCACCGGCCTCTGGCTCTTCCCTTGGGGTCTGGCCAACACCGCAGGCTTTGGGCCAGCATCAGCTGCCCCGGGGCTCTTAGCTCTTGGGAGTTGCTCCTCCATCCTTTGCCTCCCTGGGCACCGACCTCGTGCCTGGTCTCAGTCCAGGCTCAGCCAGCCAGACCGGCTCTACGGGGCCTCCTCTCCCTACAGGATGGCCAGACGCCGCGCCCTCCCACTGTGCTCCAAGGCCCCACCCTGCCTCTCTGGACACTGGATCTGTAGTGTAACGGGAACAGGTCACATGAGAGTTTCCTTTCTATACCTTTTTATCTTCTGTAGACTATTGAGACTTAGTAAGCATGTCTGTTTGCACATGCTTAAAATGGTTGGAAAATTTTGCCTTGTCTATGTTTGCAAGCAATGAAAATTAAAGGTGGTAGGGATTATACTGACTTATTTAATCTTGGGCTCAACATTTTCAAAGCTATATTTTTTGGGTAATATATGAAAATCATACAATGTCTGCCCGTACAGTTTTTTTTTTTTTGCCTGTGTATTTTTTTTTTGAAGACTTACTTTGTCCTCTTCTTTGTTTTGTTTAACATAACATTTCAGAATAATATGCCAAGTAATGGATGAGCGTTTGTTAGGTTGGGCTAGGAATGGGGACTGGGGTAAGGCAGACTGTAGTTCTAAGAAGAGGTTCCAGTTTAACACCATTCCTTTAAGAATTATATGTTATTTTAATTCAGAGCAAAGGCCACACAGCTGCATATAGGCATAAGTGAGTCTTTTGAGGAAGTAGGTAACTGAGCTATAAAAAGTCGAGATTGCAGCCAGGTACGGTGGCTTATGCCTGTAATCCCAGCACTTTGGGAGGCCAAGGCAGGCGGATCACCTGAGGTTGGGAGTTCGAGACCAGCCTGACCAACATGGAGAAACCCCATCTCTACTAAAAATACAAAAAGTTAGCTGGGCATGGTGGCGCATGCCTGTAACCCTAGCTAGTCAAGAGGCTGAGGCAGTAGAATCGCTTGAACCCAGGAAGCAGAGGTTGTGGTGAGCCAAGATCACGCCATTGCACTCCAGCCTGGGCAACAAGAGCAAAACTCTGTCTCAAAAAAAAAAAAAAAAAAAAAAGTTGAGACCGCACAGCTGAGGGACTGCAGTGCGTGTTTCTTTTCTCTTCATTCTGAAAGAACTTTTTACTATTTAAAAACTAATTTTAAAGTTATGAAATATTTCAAAATATAATAAACTTTTTTTGGCCTTTTTTCCTCTTTTTGCTTCTTGTATTCAGTCTGCATACTATTTTAACAAAAGCCCACCTCTCTAGTAAGTGTGAAAGGAAGAGAGTGAGAAACTGGTGGTGTGATCTCTACTCTGGAGCCCCGTGTCCCTTCTGAGAAAGATGCCTCTTGTTGTAGAGAGGACACACAGTGGTTCTGCTCAGCTGCACTTGGGCATGGAGAACAAGAACCGATATAGACGAAGGCCTGAATCCGCAGAGGCAGACCCTGGGTTAGGAGGCACTTCTGCAGCCTTCAGAAAATGCAGACAAATTAATTCACTTATTGGACTGCTTTAATAGAATAGTGACTTGCTCTGTGGATTCACAGAGGATTATTTGAGGTCAATGATTGGAATGTGATTTTAGAAAATATTCTTTCCCTGGAATTCTTTGGTTTTATGCTGTAATGTAGTTTGTTTGTTTGTTTGTTTGTTTGCTTTAGAGGAAAATTGGTGCTTTCAAGGAAGGTTTTAGGATGTAATGGCCAAAAATAGAAAAACAAAAATGATCGTCTGCACTTGAATGCTGCTGCTGCATGAGACTAGCCTTGCATTTTTACTATTACAAAGTTAGGGCTGGGCATGTGGCTCATGCCAGTAATCCCAGCACTTTGGGGGCCGAGGTGGGCAGATCGCTTGACGTCAGGAGTTCGACACCAGCCTGGCCAACATGGTGAAACCCCATCTCTACTAAAAATAAAAAAACAAATAGCTAAGTGGTGGTGCATGGCTGTAGTCCCAGCTACTCGGGAGGCTGAGACAGGAGACTCCCTTGAACCCGGGGGGTGGAGGTTGCAGTGAGCTGAGGTCATGCCATTGCACTCCAGCCTGGGCAACAGAGTGAGACTCCTTCTCAAAACAAAGTTAGGTATGTGAGGATACTCACAAGACATTATACACTAGACATTTTACATTGATTTAAATTATACTGTTAGAGCTTGAATCGACTTTGTAATATTCTCTGGACCAAATCTGGCTATGATTCAGAATCACCTGTGAATGAGTTTTTGAAATAATGGTGACTTCGATCGCATACTTAGAAGTGCAGATCTAGGTGACGTACTCTTTGATTAGGAACACCTCCTTGTGTGGTCTGTGCCATGCATGTGTGTGTGGCATGCATGCCTGTGTGTGTATGTGTGTGTGTGCCGTGCATGCAAGGGTGGGGGTGTGTTTGTGTGCACTCCTGTGTGTATCTGCTCCTGTGCATGAGTGAGTGCTTGCTTGTGCACACACATCCCTTAGAGGCATGGATCTGTGGACTTATTGTTCAGTCAGGGACATGTGTGCACGTGTGTCTGTGTGCATGTTGCGTGCAAGTGTGAGGTGTCTGTGACTACAAACATGCTGGTCTCATTATTCCTAGCTTCTCATACTGCAGTTTTCTTTGTTTAGTACAAAGCTGGAAGCTCTGCCAAGGTTTTTTCTTGGTGCGAGCCAGGATCAAAGGGCTATGGTGTTTTAGAGCTTGTAAGCTGAAAGCCCTTAGAAGGTGGGAACTTCACACAGGATCATAGTCTGTAAGATTCCTGGTCCTTCTCTGGGGGCAGTCAACAATGATCTGTACCTCACTCCTAGCCTCCGTGGGCCATGCTTGGCTCTCAGGAGGCTGGGCCCAGGACAAAGTTTGCACTCCTGGTCTCACCACCCCTAGTATCGGCTTAGGGAGCCTCTTGTGAGTGCAGCCATGGATGTTTGCTTTCAGGGAGCAGGAGCAAAGGTTTGGGGAATGTTTCTGTCCTCACCTATTTTGGCAGATAGGCAGTGTGAAAGGTGGTGGTTCGTGGGTTGTGTTCCCCGTCCCTAGTGTATTTGTCTGTTTTCATACTGCTATAAAGAACTGCCTGAGACTGGGTAATTTATAAAGGAAAGAGTTTTAATTGACTCACAGTTCAGCATGGCTGGCGAGGCCTCAGGAAACGTAACAATCATGGCAGAAGGCAAAGGGGAAGCAAGGCACCTTCTTCACAAGGCAGCAGTAAGAAGTTCCAAGTGAAAGGGGAACAGCCCCTTATAAAACCATCAGATTTTATGAGAACTCACTCCCTATCATGAGAACAGCATGGGGGAAACTGCCCCCATGATCGAATTACCTCCACCTCATCTCTGCCTTGACACGTGGGGATTATAGGCATTAATTTCAAGATGAGATTTGGGTGGGGAAACAAAGCTTAACCATATCATTCTGCCCCAGCCTCTCCCAAATCTCATGTCCCTTTCATATTTCAAAACCAATCATGCCTTCTCAACGGTCCCCCAAAGTATTAATTCATTCCAGCATTAACTCAAAAGTCCAAGTCCAAAGTCTCATCTGAGACAAGACAACCCCCCTCCTCCGCCTATGTGTCTGTAAAATCAAAAGCAAGTTAGTTACTTCCTAGATACAATGAGGGTACAGGCATTGGGTAAATATGCCCCTTCCAAATGGGAGAAATTGGCCAAAATGAAGGGGCTATAGGCCCCATGCAATTCTAAAATCCGGTGGGGCCATCAAATCTTGAAACTCCAAAATGATATCCTTTGACTCCATGTCTCACATTCAGGTCACACTGATACAAGAGGTGGGCTCCCATGGCCTTGGTCAGCTCCACCTCTGTGGCTTTGCAGGGTACAGCCTCCCTCCCGACTGCTTTCACAGGCTGATGTTGAGTATCTGTGGCTTTTCCAGGGGTGTGGTGCAAACAGTCAGTGGATCTACCATTTGGGGGTCTGTAGGACTGTGGCCCTCTTCTCATAGCTGCACTAGACAGTGCCCCAGTGGGGACTCTTTGGGGGGGCTCTGACCCCACATTTCCCTTCTGCACTGCCCTAGCAGAGGTTCTCCGTGAGGGCTCCACTCCTGCAGCAAACTTCTGCCTAGACATCCATGCATTTCCATACATCCTCTGAAGTCTAGGTGGAGTTCCCAAACCTCAGTTTTTGACTTCTGTGCACCTGCAGGCCCAATACCATGTAGAAGCCACCAAGGCTTGGGGCTTTCACACTGTAAAGCAATGGCCTGAGGCCTGAGCTGTACATTGTCCTTTTTTAACCACAGCTGAGATGCAACACACCAAGTCCCAAGACTGCAAAAAGCAGCAAGGCCCTGGGCCCGGCCCATAAAACCATTTTTTCCTCCTAGGCCTCAGGGCTTGTGATGGGAGGAGCTGCCTTGAAGACCTCTGACATGCCCTGGAGACATTTTCCCCATTGTCTTGGCTATTAACATTTGGCTCCTCATTACTTATGCAAACTTCTGCAGCCAGCTTGAATTTCTCCTCAGAAAATGGGTTTTTCTTTTCTATCCCATCATCAGGCTGCACATTTTCTAGACCTTTATGCTTGCTTTTCTTTTAAACATTAGTTCCAATTCCAAATCATCTCTGTGAATGCATAAAACTGAATGCTTTTAAGAGCACCCAAGTCACTTCTTGAACGCTTTGCTGCTTAGAAATTTCTTCCACCTGATACTCTAAATCATCTCTCTCAAGTTCAAAGTTCCACAGATCTCTAGGGCAGGGGCAAAATGCCACCAGTCTCTTTGCTGAAGCATAGCAAGAATCACCTTTGCTCCAGTTCCCAACAAGTTCTTCATCGCCATCTGAGATCACCTCATCCTGGACTTCATTGTCCATATCACTATCAGCATTTTGGTCAAAGTCTTTCAACAAGAATCTAGGAAGTTCCAAAGTTTCCTACATCTTCCTGTCTTCTTCTGAGACCTCCAAACAGTTCCAACGTGTGCCTGTTACCCAGTTCCAAAGTTGCTTCCCATTTTCAGGTATCTTTATAGCTGCACCCCACTCTTTTCAGTACCTATTTATTGTATTAGTCCATTTTCATACTAGTATAAAGAAGCTTTCCTGGGACTGTGTAATTTATAAAGGAAAGAGGTTTAGTTGACTCACAGTTCAGCATAGCTGGGGAGGCCTCAGTAAACTTATAATCCTGGCAAAAGCAAAGGAGAAGCAAGGCACTTTCTTAACAAGGTGGCACAAAGGAGAAGTGCCGAGCAAAGGGGAAAGAGCCCCTTATAAAACCATCAGATCTTGTGAGAACTCACTCACTATCACAAGAACAGCATGAGGAAACGACTCCCATGATCCAGTTACCTCCACCTGGTGTCTCCCTGACACATGGGGATTATGGGGACTATGAAGTTTATAATTAAAGATGAGATTTGGGTGGGGACATGAAGCCTAACCATATCACCTGGTGTTCAGATGAAGAGGTTGTAGAAGCATATCTACTGCTTAAAGAGGGAAATTGGAGTCAGGAAGCTCTAGGCTTGGTTTTCTTCAACATTTAAAACAAACCCAAGGAAGAGATGGTGCAGCCGTGCAAGCCCCTGGTGGATCTGTTGTGTCTCACTCAGGTTTTGTATTTTCTCTGTGTCTTCAGTAGTATGTGTCTTACCGACACCGCCTTAGGGCTCCTGGCATCCTCCAGTCCAGTTCTCAGCCTGACACATCATCGGCACTCAGCACCTAAGTGTTCTGAGAGGGAGTGCAGCTCCTAGGGGTCTGTGTCCCATGTCCTCCTGTTTCCTGCTGGTGGTGTCTGGAAGTGCTGTTGACGTTTGGGCCCCATTCGGTCCTTGTTACTGCGGGTCTTGTGCTGTCTCTGGAACAGCCCTTTATGGGCACCATCTACTCACTCATTCACTTCTTTTGGCTGACATGGCCCCTGAGCTCTCTTCCTGTCCTTAGATCCCTCAAGGCCAGATGCAGTGTTGAATGTGGAGGCTTCCAGCCCCTGCCTTCTGTCCCAGCTTCAGGCTGGCCCGGCTCCTCGTCCTGCTGTCCTGCTTCAGTTCCTCCACATGGCTTTCACTCCCCTAACAGATTTCTTCAATTTGCAACGTAGTGTGGGAATGATGACTAGCACATGGCAGCACACATCAGGCAGGTTTATGAAATTATGTTTTAAGAGAACACAGAATCACAAATTACTCGTCTTGTAATACGTGTTAAAGTGTGTAACCTAATTGCTGAACAATGAAAAACAATTCCTTTTAAATTTAAAAACTCACTAGTTAGCTGAGAACCTAATGGTAGTTGCAATGTACTTTAAATAGAAAAGTCCTCTTGCTTGACAAAGGTAAAGGAAACTGTTCGGTCCGACTTTGTTCCTTTCATGCCTGCCAGGGCTTCTGGTTTCAAGGAGACCTCAGGCTAGGAGCAGCCCTGAGCAGGGAGACTGAGTTACAGAGAATCCCCACCAAGTTGCAGGCAGAGGGACAGCCGAGGCCCTCAGGAAGTACACGAGAGCAGAACCACTATGGCAAGTTCACTGAGAAATCTGGAAAGTTAGAATCCCAGCCCGAGTCCATCAAATGGAGCATCATAAAATTAAGTTTTCCTTACTGTGAAATGGCAATTTGTAATGATTTCTGAGAAGTGGGACCCATGGTGGTGTCGATGTCTGAGCCAGGTGAGGGTGAGATCCCTGGCGCCATGGGCTGGCCCCCAGGATGCCCTGGAAAACGCATTCTGTTCACAGCTGTGTGATTCTTTTCTTTCTGTGTTGGTGAAGCAGCCAGACCCGGTCCGTTTGGAATGCCTGGGATGGTGCCGCCGCATGTTCCTCCTCAGATGCTCAACATTCCGCAGACCTCTCTGCAAGCAAAGCCCGTGGTAAGGCCTTCCCTGCGTTGGGTCGGGTGGCGGGTCTCAGACAGGGTGCGTGCATTGAATTTCAACGAATGCTAAAATAAGTTCCTAACCTCTTGAATTGATACGTGAAATAGATGCCAGTGTTTGTTGAAATAAAAATGAGCCAGGAAACGTCAGCCTGGGCCTGAGTCGGGTCCTGCTGGCCACGTGTGCGTGACCTGTGCCCTTCGCTTCAGGCCCCACAGGTGCCCAGCCCAGGGGGCGCCCCGGGCCAGGGTCCATACCCGTACAGCCTCTCTGAGCCAGCACCTCTCACTTTGGACACGAGCGGGAAGAATCTGACGGAGCAGAACAGCTACAGCAACATTCCTCACGAAGGGAAGCACACGCCGCTGTATGAGCGGTCCTTGCCCATCAACCCGGCCCAGAGCGGCAGCCCCAACCACGTGGATTCCGCCTACTTCCCTGGCTCTTCTACATCGTCATCTTCCGACAACGACGAGGGCAGCGGAGGGGCGACAAAGTGAGTGGTGCGTGGGTCGCTGGGTGCTTCCTGGCGGGTAGTGACCTGGGGAAGCTGCCTTCTGACCTGCCAGCCCAGCTGGTGTTTTGCTCAGAGATGTAGTTTATTGTAGGTGGGTGACGGTCAGTCTGTACTCAGATGGGGGCTCCTTGGACAGAGAGGAGAGAGGAAGAGTAGGTATGTTCTTGAAGTTTCCATGATTTAAAATCTGCACCATCCCAGCCCCATGGCCTGGAGCCACAGGAAACTTTCTGGGGAGGAATTTGACAAGAACTGGTTTGTGTGATGACCAAAACATGGGGGCATTTGTCCGGTGTGGTGCCACTCACACCCGTCACAGCAACCCCCTGCTGACCCCCGAAACATTAATCTTCTGGCTCCTGGATCAAGGGAGCTCTGAATTTCCACTCCTTCTCCTAAACTCAGCAGGTTACAGGACACTTTGGAAATAACACTGTTTGCCCAAGCAAAACCCTAGAAAGCTGCCTAGACCCAGGCTGGAATTGTTTCCTTAGAGGAATATTTTAAACACTGTGCGGGCTGGATGCAGTGGCACATACCTGTAATCCCAGCACTTTGGAAGGCCAAGGCAGGTGGATTACCTGAGGTTGGGAGTTCGAGACCAGCCTGGCCAACATGGCGAAACCCCGTCTGTACTAAAAATACAAAAATTGGCCGGGCGTGGTGGCATGTGCCTGTAGTCCCAGCTACTCAGGAGGCTGAGTTAGGAGGATCACTTGAACCCAGGAGACAGAGGTTGAAGTGAGCTGAGATGTCGCCAGTGCACTATGGCCTGGGTGACAGAGCGAGACTCCATCTCAAAAAATACAAACAATAATAATAATAAAAACACTGTGTGTCCCTGAGTAAATGAGTTCACAAATATATAGTTGTTTAAAATCTGATCGAAGAGGCTGGGCACGGTGGCCCATGCCTGTAATCCCAGCACTTTGGGAGGCAGTGGCAGGCGGATCACTTGAGTTCAGGAGTTCAAGACCAGCTTGGCCAACATGGTAAAACCCCATCTCTACTAAAAAATATAAAAACTAGCCAGGCGTGGTGGCGTTCACCTGTAATCCCAGCTACTCTGGAGGCTGAGGCAGGAGAATCGCTTGAACCTGGGAGTTGGAGGCTGCAGTGAGCCGAGATCACGCCACTGCACTCCAGCCTGGGTGACGGAGCAAAACTCCGACTGTGGAAAAAAAAAAATTCTGATCAAGGAAATCTTAAATTTGTACTCCTCCCCTCCCTTTAAACTAATATTTTTTTTAAAAAAAAAAGAAAGAGAAAGAAAATGTCTTTACTTTAAGTCAGTGTCTCTTTTTCCTTAGTGTGAACTCCACAGAGTAGATAACCAGGGCTGGTTGATGTTACATCTATTTCTGATGTAAGAAATCTAAGAGACGTAGTTGTTAGTTTCCATGCCAGTTCTTACCTGGTGTGTCACCTGAAGCAGGTGATCTTTCCTCTCTGTCCTCTGTCCCTCTTTAAAATGGGAACGAATGTCGGTTGACCCAGGGCAGAGGTCACTGAAGGGCTCACTGCTATCCAGGGATGCACACCCTGTTTATGGCAAAGAAGTATAAAATTAATAAATGTTGATTTGCTGTATGTGCAGAGAAGTATAAAATTAATAAATGTTTATTTGCTATGTGTGCAATGCTAAAACTCTAAAATGAAGTAAAGAGTTGCAATTGAATATTCAAAGTTTTAAATTAACCTCTAACAAGATAATATATTGAGTACCCTTTGAATCAGAATCTCTGGGTTGGGGCCCCAAAATTTGCATTTTAAATAAGCACCTCAGTCAGTCTTTTGCACACTGAAGTTTGAGAACTGCTTGATGGTCTTGGAAGCCCTTATGCACTAGAATTATAAGGCATCTGCATTTTGTTGTAAAATGTGACTCATGTCATCAAGGTCAAAGTGTCTGTACAATACAGTTTTCATCTTAGTTAAATGTTCTTTCTGAACTCTGAAACATAGGTAAGAAGTAAGACAAAAGCAAAATAAGTAAGCTTTATGACCCCAACAAGAGTTCCGTGCTAGTGATGGAGATGTGGAAACCAGGTCAAGGTGCTGACTTGGGAACATGGGTGGTGACTGGGGCACGTCTCAGTTGAGATGCTTGTTCCTCCGGCAGGGAGGGATTGAGAAGAATGCGAGTTGCCCGTCTAATTTGGCAAGTTGTCTGTATTAGTCTGTTCTCATGCTGCTAATAAAGACATTACCCAAGACTGGGTAACTTGCAAAGGAAAGAGGTTTAATTGACTCAGAGTTTCCACATGGCTGGAGAGGCGTCACAATCGTGGTGGATGGCAAAGGAGGAGCAAAGTCACGTCTTGCATGGCAGCAGGCAAGAGAGCATGTGCAGGGGAACTTACCTTTATAAAACCATCAGATCTTGTAAGATTTATTCACTGTCACAAGAATAGCACAGGAAAGACATTCAATGACCTCCCACCAGATACCTACCATGACCTGTGGGAATTATGGGAGCTGCAATTCAAGATGAGATTTGGGTGGGGACACAACCAAACCATATCATCATCTTTGTTAGGATGAGCTGAACTTGGAGTGAGTAGAACTGCCCGAACATGTCCTGTCTTTTCTGGGTATGCACCTCCTACCTGTCTGTGAAGGTTATCGTCAGCTTTTTGGAGCTCTGGGCATCTGGTCTCCCTCTGACCTCTCGCAGTGCTTATTGTCTTTGTCTCCGTTATGGCATCTTTACTGTTTTCTGGAGATGCATCTTGTTTCTGCCACTGGAATTTGACCTGCTCAGAGTCTTGTGTTTTGCCATCCTTGTAGTATGAAGTGCCATGAAGAATGCAGGGTACACCCTGTAATCAAATATTGGATTCAAGCTGTGTGTTAGGAGTAACTTAATTTCCTTGAATCTGCTTCCACTTTTATTATAATAAGGAAGAGACAGACATGTTAGACTTGAGAGGAATGAAGGCAGAGGAGACGAGGGTGTTTGTTCCTGAAGGCTTTGGGGTCAGAAACTGACATTTGACTTGGGGTCAAACCCTTGATCACGGGCATCCTTTGCTTCTGGCAGGTGCAGGGGTGTGATTTGGATTTATGTGTCCACAGCTGCCAAGTAGAGACAATGTTCATGGTTTCCTGCAAGGGTTCTAGCGTGTTGAATGCATTGAATATAGTGGAGCAGAAGCCCATGAGTAGAAACCTCCGCAGGAACCAATGTGAGTGCAAGGAAACCTAAACTGTCATTGATAGATTGTTGGAGGCTCAACATGGACAAACCTGAGAATTGAAGACTCCAGAGGGCCTGGTGATGTGGGGGTCCACATGCTTTTGTGCACTTTACCTGCTAGATCTCTACGAAATTCTCACAGTAAATATTGGAGAAAAATCCCTTGTACCTCTGGCGCGGGGAAGAAAAAGAGAATTATTTAAAAATGTGAGAGAACACTTTTTTTTTGAGACAGAGTCTTGCTCTGTCACCCAGGCTGGAGTGCAATGGCACGATCTCGGCTTACTGCAAGCTCCGCCTCCCAGGTTCAAGCGATTCTCCTGCCTCAGCCTCCCAAGTAGCTGGGATTACAGGCGTGAGCCACCACACCCAGCCAGAACACTCTGTTCTTAACAAGGCCTTCTGTCAGGAGAAACTACCTAACCAGAGCCTAACCTGCTGGGTTTCACAAGAACCTAATTAATCTGAGGGAAAGGAAACACCCAAATCTAGCTCCCCATAGCTATCCCATTCCAGCTAAGCAGGGCCAGGGACTGAGAATCACATTTGAAGATCACAGCCCAGAGACTCCTTATAAGACTCAGGCCTAATAATTGGACTATAGAACCTGTGCCCCCCTGAAAAGAGAAAAAACAAATCATATAAAGTGCTCAACTGAAACAAGAGAAAGAAGAAAAAGAATGGAAGACATGGAGAAAGAATGGAAAACAGTAACAAATATAGTAAGTAGCTCTTAATCCACATATATCAATAATTAAACATCAGTGATGTACATATGCAAATTAAAAGAAAGAGGCTGTTGGATCGAATCAAGACCCAGCTATCTGTGTCTACAAGAAACTCATATATGAAGACTCGTTCTCTTTCTGTTAACAAATGGTTACAAGTACTGTGATGTGCGAATTACTGAGGTTTATTGTGGAATGAACACAGGAACTCTATTTGAATCACTGCGTGAATGGAGACGTGGTGAATGGTTCAGGGTAGATGGTGTAAGTCACAGAATGTTCTAGTAGATGGGGAAACACGCCATGGCCACTGAGTGTTATTCATTTACTTTCTCTGTTGTGCAATTGCAAAGTTCCTATTGTTGGTCGACTTTTAAATAGAATATTTCTAAGTAAATAGTGAGACAAGTTATTCTAGTTATTATCATAGTCTTTTCCAAGTGTCAAGGCTTTTTAAAAATATAGTTGAAGTCATGGTAATTTTTTAAGGAAATGTTTTTGTAGGCCTCCCAAATGACAGTGTGTTAGAATAGAAATTTTTCTTTTTTTTTTTTGAGATGGAGTCTCACTCTGTCACCCAGACTGGAGTGCAGTGGTGCGATCTCAGCTCACTGCAAGCTCCGCCTCCTGGGTTCATGCCATTCTCCTGCCTCAGCCTCCCAAGTAGCTGGGACTACAGGGGCCCGCCACCACGCCCAGCTAATTTTTTTGTATTTTTAGTAGAGGCGGGGTTTCACCATGTTAGCCAGGATGGTCTCGATCTCCTGACCTCATGATCTGCCCGCTTTGGCCTCCCAAAGTGCTGGGATTACAGGCGTGAGCCACCGCACCTGGCCTAGAATAGACATTTTTAAATTAAGTATTTAGAACAGATTTTTTTAGTCAACAGATTTTCTTTCAGGGATAATCTTTTTTTCTGTGCTTCTTTCCCTCAATGCCTTCTTTGTCCTTATTTCTCAATGGTTGTTGTGTTTTCCCCTCTTCATTTGTTTTTACTCTCATAAAGCTTCACAACCATTTCTGCAGTGCTTCTTTTTGTTGCTGTGTGCTTAGCATGCAGTAGTATTTTTATTTGAACATTTTCATACCTTAGGTTAAGATTTTCACAGTTTCTAGTACATTATCTTTTGCATTTATTGTTGTGATTATTCTCTTTGAAGTGACAGCAGAGCTTTCAACACCTGTTTTCTTACACTGGGTGTCTGGATTCTGGGAAGACTCCAGGAGTAGGTGAGAAGACCTTTTCAGTTTGTCTGGTCGTGTCAGTAAATACTGTCTTATGTTAGTAAATCACATAATTGCTAAATTCCTTAAGATTACATCATCTGAAGGGAGGGTGTCGTGTCTAAATAGCTGCACCTCCAAGAACACCTGATACACAGGTCGGCAGCATCAGAAAAAGTGGCTTTTGCTGAAAGTTATATTTTCCTACAACGTACATTTTTTATGGTCTTTGGAATTATTCACAAAATGTGATGATCATTAGCTGTCTCTTAGCCATCTCGGAAGAGTAGAGTTTGCCACGGTATCACTTAGTGATTGTGGACATTCATTAAACAGAGGCTGAGCCAATAGCGAAAAGAATGCAAATGTGCCCTTGTAAATGGGTTAGTAAACATTTCTTTTATTGCATAAGACACTGGGAGTGAATGGTATTTTTCCACACCCATGGGTGTTAGTTATACATATAACCTGTGTTTCATGAATATTTATATGTTATATGTAACTATTTTAAAGTAGTTTGTGACATTACCTAGCATAGAAAGTAGTTAAATAGTATAATTCCAACTCCAAAATTTGATTTTTAAAGTGCAACACAAGGTGTCTTATATTTTCTGTGACATATGCCTTTCACAATTCACTGACCTTTAAGAAAAAGTAGTTGGCAAACAACTAACTGATGGTATCAGAATAATAAAAGCTTTTTTAATTCCAAAATTCTAATAGCAGAATTTATTCAATTAATAGCATAAAATACGAAATCATGATTAGTGGTAAGATAATATCTGGGAATATGGTATTTCTGGATTTTCAGTTATTCTTTACATGGTACCTGATTCTTTTTTTTTCCTTGGTGAACTAATTTCAGAATTGGAATAAACTGAATACTGCTATTTATATTAGCAGCTGTAAAGTTTTATTGTAGAACATATCTTATACATTATATTAGCAAAATGGGTGATTAAGAGGACCAACATTACACTATCCTGTACTCAAATTAAACAGTGAAGGTAAAAACAAAATTTGGGGAATTTTTTTTTTTTCAGACAGAGTCTTGCTCTGTCGCCCAGGCTGGAGTACAGTGGCGAAATCTCAGCTCACTGCAACCTCTGTTTCCCGGGTTCAAGCAGTTCTCCTACCTCAGCCTCCCAAGTAGCTGGGACTACAGGCATCTGCCACCACACTTGGCTACTTTTTTCTGTATTTTTTAATAGAGACGGGGTTTCACCATGTTGGTCAGGCTAGTTTCAATCTCCTGACCTCAAGTGATCCGCCTTCCTCAGCCTCCCAAAGTGTTGGGAATACAGGCACGAGCCCCTGTGTCTAGCCCCAGGAATATTTAATTGTTGTAGCTTGTAGTTGACAATCATGAAGTTTGTAAAATGATAGAGCTTGTCATCAGCGTCTAGCAGCTGATCCAACAAGGACAGGTGAAGAAAAAGTTACCTGAGCTTCACCATCTGTGTTGTTTCCTTGTTTGGTTGGTGATGCTTACTCACATCAATCCATTGATTTGAAAGAATAGGTTTCATCTTTTGGACTAATTTAAGTATGCCAAAATCTTTAATTAGCCATTTTAGAACCTTTCTGCAAGTAAGACATTTCTAGGCTAGGTGTGGTGGCTCACATCTGTCCGAACATTTTGGGAGGCCAAGGTAGGCAGATTGCTTGAGGCCAGGAGTTTGAGACCAGCCTGGGAAACATAGCGAGGCCCTATGTCTACGAAAAGTAAAGTGGGCCGGGCATGGTGGCTCATGCCTTGGCCACCTTTGGGAGGCCAAGGTGGGCGGATCACCTGAGGTCAGGAGTTTGAGACCAGTCTGGCCAACATGGGGAAACCCTGTCTCTACTAAAATACAAAAATTAGCAGGGCATGGTACAGGCACCTGTAACCCCAGCTACATAGGAGGCTGAGGCAGGAAGAATGGCTTGAACCCGGAGGTAGAGGTTACAGTGAGCCGAGATTGCACCACTGCACTCCAGCCTGGGTGACAGAGCAAGACTCTGTCTCAAAAAAAAAAAAAAAAATGTAAAGTGAACCCAGCGTGATGTGAGCCTATAGTCAGCTACTCAGGAGGCTGAGGCGGGAGGATGGCTTGAGCCAGGGAGGTCGAAGTTTCAGGGAGCTGTCATCTCACCACTACACTCCAGCCTGGGCAACAGAGGGAAACCCCATCTCTATTTAAAAAAAAACAAAACTCTAATGTGATTTAATATCCTTGTGTAGATTTGACTTAAGAAGATAGAACATTCCATCATACTCCTTTTCTTAAAGACTACCTAGAAGACTAATGAGTGATTTGATCACATAGTTGAATCAGTGTTATAATAAAAAGAACACTTTACTAAATTCTCGATAATGTTCTGAAGTTTTCCAAAAGTGTAGTCTATATAGATCTTTATTTTTCAGACTATTTAAATATTTTTGAGATTTAGTTTGTAGTAACATCTAGCATCCTAGGAAAACACAAATACTGTGTGACAGCTCATATACTTTTTTCTTTTTAATTTTCATTCAAATTTCAGGGTGCTTTGTTTCTCCCCTTCAATTTTAATTTTAATAGCAGCTGTAAACACTTTGCTTCAAAATTATGGTAAATCATGACACAAAAGAGGTCTCAAGCAGAGTTTTTTTCTTTTCATTTTACTATAGCTAGCTTGTGACCACATCTACATCTTGTTATTGCTTGGCATAGCACATACCTTTTATAACAATACTCTTTGTAATAACTTATTTAACTACAAGGAACTCATAGCCGACTCAACAGTAGTATTTTAAGTTGTTAGTTCATATATTAGATGTACACTTGACACGGTTTGTAACATTTAAAACACACATTATTAATTTAAAGCTTTTGATGTGCCACATAGTTTAATATTAACTTGCTGAATGTAAAATGGACTCAAAGTTTCCTTTTGGAGTATGTTGAAAGATTATCAAGGTTATAGTTATTGGTTATACATAATTATGTGGTTATAGTTATTTGTTTCTTAAAAATGAACAATCTTAAAGTTTAGAAACGTAACAGTACTTGGAACATTGTTCTGCATCCTTGTGAACAAAAGAAGATCCAGTGATACTTAGAGGAGAGAGACAAACTTTGGAAGCTGTCTGTTGACTATTAAGAGACTTGTCTTCCTCTTAGAGGTGGGACCAATGACTGGGAGTGATATAGGGAGGATAAGACCTGTCTCTAAAATTGCTGTGAATATTGTCCACGTAGAGTGCACTTTACTTCAGCATAGGTTGTGAATGAAAAGTATATTGATGTGCTAGAAAGGCTTTAACCAAAGGCCTGAGCTTGTCAAGCCTGAGGCCGGCACGTGGCGTGAGCGTGGTGAATGTGCAGCGGCCTCTGCCCGCACCCAGCTCCCCGGCTCTGGGTCATGAAGGGCCGCTGGGCGTTTCTCCGCATGGTGCCTGTGTCTCCTGCATTGTTAGGAGCTCCTGCTTCTCACTCCAGTTCCTCCTTCTCACTCCTGCTTCCTCCTCCAGTTAGGATCGTCAAATACAAAGTCACAAAAGGATGGCTTAGCCGAGTTCAATCTCTTCCTGAACTGTGCCATATGGAAGTATATGTCAACTCGTGAGCAAGGTGGACAGCGTGAGTTCAGTCTTCATCTAAATGCAGCCCTGGACAGTCAAACACTTCACTATTATGCTAATTCATCCACTGTGGACATATCACATTTTTGGTTATGATGATTCTTCATCTTTGAGGGCAATAGACACCACCTATGTTTTGAGAAGGTCCTCGCAGAAGCAATGATATGTGGAATAAACAGAACGTCAAGCCTGCCTGGGCAAAGTTCAGGTCCCTCCAGTTTACTGAGGAACCAAAAGAGACTGCAGTTGCCAGTCTCTCTCCAAAAGCTAATTCTAGTGCCAAGCTCATGGGATACCGGGCACACATGGATTCCAGACAAGCGACCCATGTATTCCACTCAGAGTCAAGGGCATGGTCGTGTTGAGTCAGACACTGAGTCTCCAGATATGCTGTGAGGACAGGACGTCGTTCTCCCAGGAAAGGAGCTACTAGGAAGACAGTGGGGGAGGAAGCGGGTGCAGCAGTAAGCATCCACCTTCAGCCTCCCTCCACCGCCCCCTCCCCTCCCCCACTCAGTGTCTTATTCAGATGCTGCTGGGTGGGGCCTGGATGTCTGTATTTTTTGCAGGTTCCTCTCAGGATTCGGATGCAGAGCAAAGCTGGGGCCCATCCGAGGGCATCGCTTGAGACTTGCGAAGGGGATGCTTATTTCCCCAGGTCCAGCCCACAGGCCCCTAGCCTCTCATGGCTCCTGACCTTGTGGTCCACGGTGTGACCAGCCTGTCCTCCCACCCCCAGGCTCTGTTGTCTGCCATCTGTTGTCTGTGGCTTAGCTGCAGGGTGTAGCTCTCACAGGCTCCTGTCCTGCCAGCTTCCTTGGGGTCCAGCCCCCGGGGAACCCCAGAAGGATAGCAGGGGCAGGGGCAGGCTGGGGCCAGGCGCTGAGCCTCCCAGCTCCTTCCTGCGAGGCCACCTCAGCTGGCTCTGTCGTGGGCTGCAGGCCGTGCTCCTCTTCCGGGGTGACTCTCACAGCTGTGTTCCTTGGGGCTCCTCCAACGTGACCCTCCTGTGGCGGCCCCAGGCCTGGAGCCGGTCATGGCTGGATGGGGACGGCCTCCGGTTCCTGCCTGCGTGTGTTTCTTGACGCTGCTCTAAGGTCTCACCACAGCCTGGCAGTCTCAAGCAGCACAAACTTATTACCCTCCTGTCCTGGAAGACAAAACTGAAAATCAGTCTTGCTGGGCGAAAGTCAAGGTCTGGGCAGGGCGGGCTCCTGCTGGGGGCTCCTCCTGCCTTCTCGGACTTCCCAGGCTGCCCAAGGCCCTGGGCTGCTGCCCGGTCCTCCCCTCCTGGTCTCCACTCAGCATCTGCTCTCCGGGTCCTGCTGCTGCTGTCACACTTCCTCCCCTGACCCCTCCCTCCTGCATGGAGGGACCCTGAGATGATGCTGCATCTGCCTGGCTCATCATGGCCTCTCCCCACCTGAAGATCCTGTCCCAAGTCCCATCAGCGAGGGTGCTGGTGCCATGTGAAGATGACATGCACAGGACCAGGCATTCACATGTGGGCCCCTTGAGGGGACATTATTCTGTCTACCAACACTGCCTTCCAGACACCCACACTTTTGGAAACAGTCCCTTGTGTATGAACCTTCCTCAAAGTCACCCAATTCCAGCACTGTCTGTTTCCCTGACAGGGTGTGCTGTCCTTGGCTCTTATTTCAAAGCAGGTCGAGAAGGGAAACCCATGCCTGTCAACATTCCCTAAGCCCACTGTGCTGCCTGAACAGGTAAGCCTGTGGGGACCGTGGCTGTCCACTGTGGCTTCTGACTCTTGTTACCCTCCACGCAGCCGCAGGCTCCTCCAGCTCCGCCTGAGCTTCCCCAGGGGCTGCGTCCTCACCTTCGTTCCTCACCCTGCCCAGGATCTGGCTGCTCTCGCGTCCCCTGCCCACCCCTCCTCCATCCACACACCCTCTTCCCTCTCCCCAGCCTCCACTCACTCACTCCACAGAATCAGGCTGAGCGCCTCCCTCATAGGAACAGGAGGAAATAGGAAGTGAAACAGACAGGACTTCTGTGCCCAGGTGGCCGGCAGCAATGGGGAGGCTGGAGGGGGATGGAAGGGGACATACATGGGATCCCCTGTGGCCTCCATGGTGCATCGTCACACTCTGAGAAGTGAGACAGGAGGTCCACAGGGAAGGCCACGTTCAGAAGGGAGCACAGGGGCATCAGGCTGACCCGGCCTTGAGTTGGAGAGGTTGCCTACGGAAGTGAGGCTGGAGCAGGGACCAGGCGCCGAGTAGGCATTTGTGAGGCCCTAGGAGGACGGAGCCGGGCCCCTCAGGGCTCAAGGGACCCCGCCTAGTGGTGGGGCTCAGAATGAGGGGAGCAGCAGGTAGGAAAGACCTGGAGAGGGCAGAGCTGGGCAAGGAGGCTGGACCAGAGCATCCATTGTTTGAAGAGATCATGCAGGCTGCAGTGAGGAGACTGGATGGAAGGGTGTTTGGGGACATTTCAGCTAAAACATCTACTCAGCTGTTCACAGCCCACATTTGGGAAATGAGGGGACAAGGATGAGTCTGAGTCCTAGACTGAGAATGAACCAGGTGACTGGTCATGCCAGCCTCGGAAACTGGGACATCTGGGAAGACCCCATGAAGCTTGGGAGTGATATCGTTTTACAACGTGGAGCATCTTCAAGATGACTTTGAGGGTCTCCATGGAGAGGGGGAGAGGCAGCTGGATTTATGGGTCTGGCAGCTCACAGAACCTTGAGCTGGTGATCAAATTTGGAGGGCTTGGGCTCAAAAGGATCAACTGTTAGGAACTGCTATTGCTCCAAAGCCCTCCTGCCCCGGCCCACACAGCCTCACTGGGAGGCAGAACCAGCTGGCGGCAGCTCCGACCCCTGCAGCCCAGGACCCTGGTCTCTGCTGTCCACCACAGTGAGAAATGAATGATTCTTCACAGAGTTGCATGGGACAACATTGTCTCCCCATCCAGCCTGGCCTCGGGCAGCCTTCGACCCCCAGTGTCCTCTCAGGGTGAGGGACTCTTCTCCACACCTCTGCAGGACTGCATGAGCCACCACCAGCACAGTGATGCCTGTGGCATGTGGGCCTTCTGCCCCCTCTCAAGGGCAAGTCTAATAAAGCCAAGTTCAGGGACCACAACCACGATGTGTACAGAGTGGTCACCATTGCTGAACTCCCTTAACCACCTGGAAGGCAGGCGTCCTGGCCCAGGCTTAATTGCATCCTCTAATGAATGAAGACAGGCTTCTTCAGGTGTTTTATTTTTGTTTTTGTTTTTTTTGTTGTTGTTTGTTTTAGAGACAGGGTCTCACTCTGTCACCCAGGCTGGAGTGCAGTGATGTGATCACGGCTCACTGCAGCCTTGACCTCTTGGCCTCAAGTGATCCTCCTGCCTCAGCCTCCCAAAGCACCGGGATTACAGGCATAGGTCACTGCGCCTAGCCTTACCAGCCCTTTAGTAATAAGCACTTTTCAGAGAATTGAAGCTGTTCAGCCTGGAGATGAGGCGCAATATCACCCTGGACACTGGAAGTCTGGTTGGATGCTGGGGTCAGCTAAAAACAAAACAACACTGGAGAGCAGAGGCTGTGGCTTGGCTGCCTTGACCCTGCAGGAGGAGCTTGGACTGGCCCCAGGTGATGCTGCCTTTGCTGTCCTAGGAGAGGCCTGGCAGGGTCCTTTCCATCCCAGAAATGCTGTGATCAGAGCCAATAAGCACCCACTGGAAGCTTCATCTGCCCAAAGGAGTCTGCCTTCATCAGCATAATTCATTGCGCGCCAGCTTCACTCAGTGACTGTTTTGGAAGGTGAAGGGCTATCAGAAACAATTTTAAGTCCCTGCTTTCAGGAAGTCAAGCATAACAAATAATATGCACCCATGAGAACTCTCCATGAGGGGCTGAGGTCTCTGGGGCTCTCGTGAGCTGTCCACCCAGACTGTGTGATAGAACCCAGAGGAGGAGAGAACCCGGGACTGGGAGGGTCAAGAATGAATCCGGAGCTGGGCGCGGTGACTCATGCCTGTAATCCCAGCACTTTGGGAGGCCGAGACAGGTGGATCACGAGGTCAGGAGATGGAGACCATCCTGGCTAACACGGTGAAACCCCGTCTCTACTAAAAATACAAAAAATTAGCCAGCCTGGTGGCAGGGCTGCCTGTAGTCCCAGCTACTCAGAAGGCCGAGGCAGGAGAATGATGGGAACCCGGGAGGCGGAGCTTGCAGTGAGCCGAGATCGCGCCACTGCACTCCAGCCTGGGCGACAGAGCGAGACTCCATCTCAAAAAAAAAAAAAAAAGAAAAAGAAAAAAAAGAATATCCGGGCCCAGCTGGCACGCTGTGCAGCAGCAGTGAAGCCTGAAGCACGGACGCGTCTAGTGGGTGAGGCTGAACACCAAGAGCCTTGGATTCTGCGGCTGAGGCTTGGGGCCTTTTCCTAGCGGCCCTGGAGGGCTGCTAGGTGGTTCTGAGCAGCAGATGAAGCTGGGATTCGGGGCCCCAGAGTCCTGGAAGTGCACTGTGCAGAATCTCCTCAGAGGGTGCTGGCTTGACCATTACCATTTCATTGACCATTGTACTACTGTTTACTACCATACTACCACCAAATTTTACCATTGACATTTATACTATTATTCACTTAAAGAAAATGATTAAAATAAATGTGCAGTTTGAAAGGCAAACTGCGGCCGGGCACGGTGGCTCAGGCCTGTAATCCTAACACTTTGGGAGGCCAAGGCGGGCGGATCACAAGGTCAGGAGTTTGAGACCAGCCTAGCCAACATGCTGAAACTCCATCTCTACTAAAAATACAAAAATTAGCCAGGTGTGATGGCGGCGCACACGTGTAATCCCAGCTACTCAGGAGGCTGAGGCAGAAGAATCACTTGAACCCAGGAGGCGGAGGTTGCAGTGAGCTGAGTTTGCATCACTGCACTCCAGCCTGGGCAACAGAGCAAGACTCGGTCTCATTAAAAAAAGAAGAAAAAAAAAAAAAAAAGAAAAGGCAAACTGCATTACTATGGTCCACAGAAAACCAGTCACATGAGCCACCAACAGAAGAGAACACAAACTAAGACCAAGGGAAGCCATGTTCCTAGCACCGTGCCATCCCTGCTCCCAGCTGAGGCTTGGAGGAGGCCTACCCTGCTGATCACACGGAGAAGAGCCAGGACTCCGAGGTCACCCGCACACAGCGGGATGGCATCTCCGACACTCCCGTGGGGAAGCAGCGTCACTGTGCCCTGAAGACTCATGTTTGAGATAGGCAGGCAGCGCTGCTCCATCAGCCGGCTGGACAGTTTTACATCTCAGGGAAGGGCACTGTGTCATGGATGTAAATGGCATGGCACAGCAATATCTGTGGTGTCTAGTGGTGATGAAGTCCAGGTGCTGTTAGTGGAGGAAATGCTAAATTGCAGTTAGACATTAATGAAAATAGAGATGCAATGCTTTTTCATTGTGATGCATGGGACCCCAAATTCTCCCTAGACCTCTGGACCCAGCATAAGGCTCCTGTGCCTGCTGGCCAGGCTAGGGTGTGGGGACCTTACCACGGCACGTTTCCTTGGTGAGGCCATGTCAACATTCCTCGTTTCTCACACTTAGGACCCCTCCCACGAGTGGGGGGTATGCAGCCCTCCAAGGAGCCAGTGGTCTCAGACCTGCCACCCCACAGCCAGAGGTTTCTGGCCCCAGGCCACTGGTGTTTTCCCTGCCAGTGCAGGTGAATTCTGGAAGGAGGGTGCCTGGGAGGTGGGTGTGGGGGTGGTGGGTGACTTCAAGCCTCCAAAGACCAGAGGGAAGGGTCTGCCTCATGGAGCTCCGTGAGCAAAGGCCAGGAGGCACCCAGGACCCCGAGTCCGTGCCAGCTGGCATCGGGGGGACTTGGAGATCAGCCTCCCCGGGGCCGCCACCTCCAGGGCCCTGCAGAGAACAGGGCTATCCTGAGCATGCCAGGGTCCTGGGAATGTCCCCCCACCCCTGTCACATCCCAGTCACCTGGCTGGCCGAGGGCCACCAGAGAGGAAATAGTTTGAAAAACCAAAGTCCTTTCTGCCCCAAAATATTTTTTATTCTTGCATTACATTTGTGTTTCCAATTGTGAATAAAAAATGCTTAGAAAGTGGTTACAAAACAGCGTGAACTGGACAGGAGGAGCAGCTGGCCCTGAGGGTCCGTCACTTCTCCACTTAGACGGCGTGAAGTGGGCCTGGCGTCTAGGCGGGGTCAGTCAGGCTTCTCACTCTCAGGATCTGGAAAACAAAACCGCGCAGCTGACTGTGGGCCCACCGCAGTGCTGGCCACTCGCCAAGGGCCAGGCCCTGACACCCTCCCAGGAGCTGCCGACGGGAAGGCTGCGCCAGCTCTGCCATGACCCACGCCCTGTGTAGATGGTCTTGTCCTCAGCACAGCCCTGGCGGCCTCTGTCACCTGGACCACCCTTCTTTGTGTGACCAGTCAGCACACTGAACGGCTGCCAGAAACCCAAACAGACGCTCTGCTCCTGTACCGTCTGGAGCATCTGGGGAGTGAGCTGCCCTCCAACACCCAAAACAGGAGGCTCTGGGATGAGTGTTCCTCCTCCCTCCATGCAGAAGCTCGAAGGCTGGCACTGCAGCTCTCTGAGGAGGTGGCCCCACAGCCAAGGCAGCCCCCACAGTGGACCGGGCAGGAGACACTGGGACCCTCAGCTTGCTCACAGTGAGGCCTGCAATGCACACGCAGGAGGGACCACAGTCAGCTCGAGGCTGTCTTTAGTGGGATGCTGGGGGGCTGGCTGCCACCATGCGCTGAGTCCCACAGGATGAGGCCCCACCCTGGATGGCCACCTTCCCTAAGGCCCCTGTGCCTACCAGAAAAGCCACTGCCCCTTGCATGATCCATGGGCAACCCCAGCCCCAAGTCCTCCTCTCAACAAGTCCAAGCTCATCTGAGGAGCTCCCACTTCCCCTGAGCTCGGCCCATCTGGAGCAAAGAGGGTGGCCCCAGGGGCTGCAGCAAGTAATGCAAACCAAGCCTCCTGGAGACAGGGGCTGCAGGTGTGTCTCGCTGACCAGGAGGCTGGCTCCCTCCATCATGGTCACAGCCCGTGGCACTGCTAAGTGTAATCAGGTGCAGAGTGGTGGGCAGCCCAGCCAGCTAACCCGACCAGCAGAGCTGACCGTGCTCGGGGCCCAGGCCACAGCTGGCGGGGGCAGTGTTGGGGGCCAGGCAGCCCTGCCAGATGCCCTGCTCTCAGACCCCTGCCGGGGACAGCCCAGCCCAGCACCCGCAGCCCCTCAGCACCCTCCTCCAGAGGTGTGGATGCAGCTGAGCCCAGAACTGGCTCCCAACTCCTGTGCTCCCTAGGAGGCTGGTTGCTTTGGATTTTATATGGATAGAGGGTAAGAAAAAGATGTTGTTTCACACTGTTTTCGAGCAAAAGTGTTTATTTTTCTCCTTCAGATATACAATCTATTGGGGATTCCGTGCCACTGACCACCATGTACAAGGAAGGGATTCACAGGCAAGGGGGACAGGTGAGGGCAGCCCCCACTTCACTCAAGGAACAGGGCAAGGGGGCCCAGTACAGAGAACAGAAATCTCTTACGACAGCATCGTGCCCTGGCAGAAGATTCTGCATAATCACCTAGAAAATTCAATTCTAACTGAATTGATGGAATAATAGATTTGAACCAAAATAATTTACCCAGTTCTAATAAGTACAGAAACTATACAATTCACAGCTGGGCAGTCCCAAGCAGTCTGCTTTCCAGTGGGAGGTGGAGGAGGCTGGGGCCTTCCCCTCCCACCAAGGGCTGTGTTGTGCCCACTGGGGACGAGTCCCACTGAAATCTCCAGGAGAAGAATGACCCCGCCCTCCGCAGAGCAGGCTTAGGGCTGGACGGGAGAGCGGTCTGCATGCCAGGGGTGAGCAGAGCCACAGGTCTCCATGGAAATCATGGAGAAGGGAGGGAAGTGGGCAGGAGAGAGGGCAGCCTCTCCAGCTGGAGGAGCTGCACTTGTCTCCACAGGGTGGGCGGGCAGCCAGGGTTTCTATGCCCAACACACACCTTATCCTCACTCACAGCAGCCCACTGGCATGGGGGGCATGTCTGCTCACCTAACGTTTTCTGGCGGATTTCTCATGGCCCAGCGCAACAACTGACATTCCCTACTGAGCAAGCAGCTCCGCCAGTGTGCCCTGCCCCAGCGTCCCGCCGTCTCTCAGCCCCTGGATGAGCCCAGGGAACCGGCACTCTACTGAGGACAAAGCAGGGCTCACCTAGCAATGGAAGCTCTTCAATACTTAAGGTAGCTAATTCAATGTTTGTAAAAGGCATTTACAACAGAAAACCAAAGATTGAACTTCAGCTTCAGATTTGTAAACCATTCACATCTCTGCAACTTAAAACAGTAAATAAAGATTATCAATGCACAAGCCAATTGCAAATGAAACCTTTTCCGATAATTTTTTTTAACATATCTTTTCATCAGGGAACGGAAAAGCTGGCATTCAAGGCACTGTACTTCTGCAGGGTGACGACAAGGTTCTAACCATCAACTCAAGTATAGGAAGTGGGTGTGGAGACGGCGCGTGGACCACAGGAACCTAGGAGCGAACAGGGTCTGAAGCCGCAAAGGAAGCAGTCTTGCTGCCCACCCGCTGTCCCCCTCGCGGCTGAGTGCTGTGCCCACAGCAGGCGGTGGGGGGGACTCGGAGGCCAAACCACACCTGGTTTCTCCGGGCGGTTCCGAGGGCGCCATCTGGCAAGGGACAGGGCAGAAGGCTACGTGATCCGCAGCCGGGGGCCAGGCATGCTGACCACAGGTGGCTGCAAGAAGACTGGCAGCACGGGCACCTGGGGGGTGTTCCAGCTGCCCTGTGCCCCCAGCTGGCCCACCTGGCCTGCCCAGGGCCCCCAGGACACTGGAGCTGGGAGCAGGCCTCTGTACTGACCCAGAGGCAGCGCACAGGGTGGGGTTGGGAGGTTGGAGAGGGCAGTACCTGGTGTGGGCACGGACAGGGTCGGGGCGGCTCCGGGAATGACCGTGGTGGACAGAGGGCCGGGCGCTGGGGGCAGACGTGGCATCCCCACTCCTGCTCGAGGTGCGGTCATCTACAAAACACAGAGACGAGAAGAGGAAGGTACACGTGGCTGCAATCAGCTGGCCTCCCTTAGTGGCCCCCAGGGTGCCACAGTTTCTCCATCCTCAGGAGGCAGCAGTCCTGGAACCTGCTGTGACAGGCACCCTCTCAGGGCTGACACCAGAATGATGGTGTGGGGCCAGGAACCATCACCCTCCCTTGTTTGCTTCCCCAAGCTGCAGCCTGATAGCCTCTAGGCCACACACCTGGGTGTCCACCAGCCAAAATGGGACTTGGAGGAGGACTAGTGGGGCCTGGACCCTGAGGGCGCATGAGTGACCCCACATGCCTCTACTCAGCCACCACAAAGCCCTCCTGCTTGGCTGGTCAGTGCCCTCACAGGAGCATGAACCACCCAGGAGCTGGCAGGAGCAGAGCCCCAGGACCTGGGCAAAGCAAGTGTGCAGGGAGGTGATGGCAAGGCAGCCCTTCCACTGTCCCAGCCCGGGGAGAAGCTGTATGCGGGGTGTGCCCCAGGAAGGCAAGGCTGCTGGCCACGGGGAGTCACTCCTCTCCACTCCAGGGAGGGCCCCACTGGGCACTCTTCACAGGTGCATGGAGGGCACTCGGTGACTTCCACAACCCTTCCTGGAAATCAAGCTCGGCAGTCAGGGGCTGGAGGGGCCTCCTTATCTGGAAGGTCCTCTATGGAACCGACAGCTGAGCCCCTGCCCACGACAAAATGCCCAATACCTCCCCAAGGTGCCTCCATGCTTCCAGTCGACACCACGGGGATCTCCAGGCGGGGAGGAAAAGGAGTCAACCGCACAGACTGGACAGAGAGAAGGAGAACTGGCCTCATGCAGATGACAAGACTGTGTATGCAGAAAACCCACAAGAATGGACAAACCAATTTCTAGAACTAATAGCAAATTTAGCACAATTGCAGGATATGGGGTACGAAAGTCAACCATAGTTTTATATTCTAGCAACAGGAAGCTGGAAAAGGAGATTTAAAGAAAAATAACATTTATAATAGCATTCCAAAACATCAGCTACCTAGGGATAAATTTAATGAAAGAGGTATAACATCTTTACACTGCAGAGAAACAAAAAAGATGCCAGTAAACGGACACTACATTCACAGGAACGCTCATGTTGTTCATATGTCAAACCTCACCCAGATAATCAACAGACTGAATCCACTCCCAGCCGAAATCCCAGTGGGCTAGCCTGCAGAAAGTGACAGGCTGTTCCTAAAACATATGGAAATATTAACGACCTGAAAAAAATCAAGAACTTCTTGAAGAAGATCAACACTGAAAGTCTTTCCTGAGCAAAGATTAAACTTCCTAGAAAACTTCAGTCATGAAGAGAGTGTGGTGTTGCCACAATGATAAGGGAATTGCTAAAGCAAACAAAATAGCAAATTCAGAAATGGACCTACACACAGACGACCACTTGACGAATGTCTGCTCAATTCAGTGCAATTCAATATGGAGAGGAAGGGGCTGGAACGATCAGATATGCAGAGAGGAAAAAAACAGATTTACCTCTGCATCAAAATATACTCAAGAGTTCATTTGAGATGGCTCATGGGATCTAAAGCAATAGCTAAAGCTGCAAAGCTTTTAGGAAAAAAAAAATTAAAATTTTTACCATTTCATGTTCACCATTAAGAAAGTGAAAACACAAACCACAGATTGGTAGACTATATCCATTATATACACACACACACACACACACACACACACACACACACACACAAGGGGTCTTCAAAAAGTTCATGGAAAAGACATACCATGAAAAAACTATGCATGACTTTCAAAAAAAATCTTTGTACCCAAATAAACTTGTACTAACTTATTGCAGCATGTCTGAAGAGGAGGTAGTCTGAGGCACTAAGAAGGAGAAGACTTCAGTTTGAAAAGAGCCCCTATCACAATAACGTGAATTCTGCCAAGCAAGAACCAACATCACATGTATGGTGAAGCTTGGGTGGAAGAATGGTGAGATCACTGATGCTTTCTGAAAAGTTTACAGGGTCCATGTCCCCAAAGAAAATAGCAGTTTACAAATGGTTGACTTGTTTTAAGAAGGGATGAGACCATGCTGAAGACGGAGCCCACAGCGGCAGGCCATCCGCATCACTTTGTGAGGAAAACACTCATCTGGTCTGAGCCGTAAGTGCAGAGGACGGGTGGTTAACAGCAGAAATAGTGGCCAACACCACAGACAGCTCAGTAGGTTGAGCTTACACAATTCTGACAGAAAAATGAAAGTTGAGCAGACTTTCCACTCAATGGGTGCCAAACCCATTGCGCCCACATCAGGCGCAGAGAAGAGCAGAGCTGTCAGTGGTAACTTTGAACAAGTGGGATGGAGATCCTGAAGCTCTCTTTGAACTATAGCGACATGAAACGTGGCTTTCCTGGTATGGTCCTGAAGACCAAGTGCAGTCAAGGCAATGGTGCTGAGGGCTGGAAGTGGTCCCATCAGAGCAAAAGTGGGCCAGTCAAGAGCACATTGTGGCAACAGCTTTTGGGATGCTTAAGGCATTCTGCTTGCTGACTTTCTGGAGGGGTAACAAGGAATGTAACATCTGCTTAGTATGAGAATGTTTAGGGAATGTTAGCCAAAGCTTCAGCAAAACCCCCCCCGGGAAAGCCTCCCCAGAGAGTCCATCTCCATCACGACAATGCTCCTGCTCGTTCCTCTCACCAAAGAAGGGTGATTTTGCAAGAGTTTCCATGGGAAATCATCAGGCATCTACCCTACAGTCCTGATTTGGCTCCCTCTGACTTCTTTTTGCTTCCTAATTTTGAAACATCTGTAAAGGGCACCCATTTTTTGTCAATTAATAATGTAAAAAAGACTCCATGGCCATGGTTAAATTCCCAGGACCATTAGGTCTTTAGGGAGGGACTAAATGGCTGGCATCATTGCTTATAAATGGCTGGCATCATTGCTTATAAATGGCTGGCATCATTGCTTATAAGTGTCTTGAACTTGATGGTGCTTGTGTTAAGAAAAAAGCGTGTATTTCTTCTTTAGTAGCTGTAACTATAGGTATGTGCCACCATGCCCAGCTGTTTTTTTTTTTTCAGACAGGGTCTTGCTCTGTCGCCAGGCTGGAGTGCAGTGGCACTATCTCGGCTCACTGCAGCCTTGACCTCCTGGGCTCAAGCGATCCTCTCACCTCAGCCTCCTTAGTAGCTGTAACTATAGGTATGCACCACCATGCCCAGCTGTTTTTTTATTTTTATTTGAGACGGACTTTTGCTCTTGTCGCCCAGGCTGGAGTGCAATGGCACAATCTCGGCTCACTGCAACCTCTGCCTCCCAGGTTCAAGCGATTCTCCTGCCTCAGCCTCCTGAGTAGCTGGGATTACAGAAGCCCACCACCATGCTGGGCTAATTTTTTTTTTTTTTTTGTACTTTTAGTAGAGACAGGGTTTCACCATGTTGGCCAGGCTAGTCTTGAACTCCTGACCTCAGGTGATCCACCCGCCTCAGCCTCCCAAAGTGCTGGGATTACAAGCGTGAGCCACTGCACCCAGCAGCCCAGCTAATTTTTATATTTTTTGTAGAGATGAGGTTTTGCCATATTGCAAAGGCTGGTCTTGAACTCCTGGACTCAATCAATCCACCTGCCTCAGCCTCCCTAAGTGCTGGGATTACAGGTGTGAGCTACCATGGCCAGCCATATATTTCTTACTTTTATCTTTTAATTCCATTTTTCTGTGAACTTTTGGAAGCCCCCTTGTATATGACAAAAGATATATGATGAACTCCCACAAATCAATAATAAAAAGTTAAACAAATCAACTTTTAAATGGTCACTATCCTTGACCAGGCACTTTTTAAAAGACGGCTGATAAGAATATGAAAATATAAGAATATGAAAATTGTTTAATTTGCTCTAAGGCAAATTAAACAATAATGAGAAACCTATTACTAGACCTCAAATTCTTTTTGCAAATACAATTTCAACTACAATGTCCTACACAGAATATTTAAAAAGTCACAAGAAAAGACAAGGCAATATAAAGAAAAACTAGGACAAAGAGCAAACAAAAACTAAAAAATATTATGTGAAGGAGATACAAGATAGAGAATTTTGGTAAAGAGTCAGAAACTTTTTTTTTTTTTTAAAGATACAGGAGATACGGTTAAAAAAAAATTCAACTGAAAAACACAATAACCCAAATTAAAAACTGAATGGATAGGTTTAACAGCAGTTTAGACACAAAGAAAAATTTAGTGACCTAAAATCTAAAGCAAATAAAACAGGAAGGTATGACTCATTCAAAGGAAAATATTTAACTGACAAAAACATGCCCAAGGAAGCCTAGACATTGGACTTAGTAAACAAAGGCTTTAAACCGACTGTCTTAAATGTGCTCGAAGAACTGAAGGAAGCCATGGACACAGAACTACAGGAAGTCAGGAAAATCACAGAGGAACACAATGAGGATATCAACAGATAGGAATTATGAAGGTGATCAAATGGAACTAGAAGAGCTGAAAATAATAACTGACACTTACAAATTCACTAGAGGGGTTCACCGGCAGATCTGAGCAGGCAGAATAAAGAATCAGCAAGCTGGAGACACTTACAATGGAAATGATCCTGTGAGGAGCAGAGGAAAAAAGTGGCAGAGTGGACAGAGCCAGAGGGTGGTCCACCATGAAGTGGATGAGTAAAACATTACGGGAGTCACAGGAGAGGAGAGCCCAGAGATGAAGGCTAACTCTTATGCTGCAGTGACTCTCCACAAGGGGGCCAAGACCATTCAAAGGGGAAAGCAGTTTTCAACAACGTCTGCTGGGAAAACTGGATATGCACATACCAGAAAAAGAAGGTGGAGCCCTGCCTTGCCTCACAAAAATCAACTCTATCCCAGCACTTTGGGAGGCCGAGGCGGGCGGATCATGAGGTCAAGGGATCGAGACCATCCTGGCCAACATGGTGAAATCTCGTCTCTACTAAAAATAAAATAAAATAATTAGCTGGGCATGGTGGTGCAAGCCTGTAGTCCCAGCTACTTGGGAGGCTGAGGCAGGAGAATTGCTTGAACCCGGGAGGCAGAGGTTGCGGTGAGCTGAGATCATGCCACTGCACTCCAGCCTGGCGACAGAGTGAGACACAATCTCAGGAAAAAAGAAAAAAAATCAACTCTAAATGGACCAAAGTTCTAAATGTGAAAGCGAAAACCAGAAAACTCTTAGTAGGAAACTTAAGGAAAAGGTTTCACAACACTGGATTTGGCAGTGATTTCTTGGGTATTTCACTAAAGGCACAGGCAACAAATGAAAAACAAGACAAATTTTAAAACTTTCGTGCATCCAAAGGCACTATCAACAGATCATATATCTGATAAGGGATTAATATCTGGATTATGCAGAAAATTCCTAAAACTCAACAATGAAAAAAACGAGCTGATTCAAACATTGGCAGAAGACTTCAATAAATACTTCTTCAAGGAAGACATAGAAACAGCCAATAAGCACATGAAAAGCCGCTCAATATCACTACTCAATTAGGAAAATGTAAAGCAAAACCACAGGATACCACTTCACACCTGAGAGGATGGCTACCATCAAAAACCAGAAAGGATGGCTGAACGCGGTGGCGCACGGTGGCTCACGCCTGTAATCCCAGCACTTTGGGAGGCCGAGGCGGGTGGATCACTTGAGGTCAGGAGTTCGAGATCAGCCTGACCAACATGGTGAAACCCCGTCTCTACTAAAAATACAAAAATTAGCTGGCCGTGGTGGCAGACGCCTGTAATCCCAGCTACTCGGGAGGCAGGAGAATTGCTTGAACCTAGAGGGTAGAGGTTACAGTGAGCCAAGATCGTGTCATTGCACTCCAGCCTGGGCAAAAGAGCAAAACTCCGTCTCAAAACACACACACACACACACACACACACAAACAAAAAAACCCAGAAAGGAAATCTTCTGTTGGCACAGATGTGGAAAAACTGGAACCTTTGTGCACTGTTAGTGGAAATGTCAAATGGTATAGCTGTTACTGAAAATAGTTCCTCGAAAAACTATCATACAATTACCATATGATCTAGCAATTCCACTTCTGGGTTTATACCCAAAAGGATAAAAGCAGGGTCTTGAAGGGATGCTTGTACACCTATGTTCACAGCAGATTAATAACAGCTAAAAGATGGAAGCCACCCAAGCGTCCACTGACAGAACTGACAGACAATCCCGTAACAGGATTCCCCTGAGAATGGATGTGGTACCAGATAAAATGAACTATCACTCAGCCTTCAAAGGAAAGGAAATTCGGACATGCTACAACATGGATGTCATCAAGGGTGCCCTTGGAGGACATTTTGCTAAGTAGAATAAGCCAGTGGAAAAAGACAGATACCGTGTGATTCCACTCTATGAGGTACATAGAGGAGTCAAAGTCAGAGAGACCAGAAGCAGAATGGAAGTTCCCAGGGGCTGGGGGAGGGACAATAGGGAGTTATTGTTTAATGGGTACAGAGTTTCACACAATAAAAAGAGATGGAGATGAACAGTGGTGGTGGCTGCACAGTATTCTGAATTTATTTATTTTTGAGACAGGATCTTTCTCTGTCACCCAGGCTGGAGTACAGTGGTACAATCATAGTTCACTGCAGCCTCCAACTCCTGGGCTCCAGCGATCCTCCCACCTCAGCCTCCCGGGTGGCTGGGACCACAGGCATGTGCAACCACGCCTGGCTGATTTTAAAAAGTTCTGATACATACTACAACATGGATGCACCTTGAAAACATTGTATCAAATGAAATAAACCATTCACCAAAGGGCACATACTGTATGATTCCATTTCTATGAGGTACTTAGAGTAGTCAAAGTCATAGAGACAGAAAGAAGGATAGAGGCTACCAGGGCCTGGGAAACCAGAGGTGCCAGAGAGGGGGCTGAGGAACTAGTGTTTAATAGGGATAGAGTTTCCCTGGGGAAGATGAAAAGGTTCAGTGGATGGATGGTGATGGTTAAACAATGCTCTGAATGTACTTCATGCCACTGAACTGTACGCTTGAAAATGTGTAAAATTGTAAATTTTGTGTTTTATATATATATATATATTTTTTTGCCATGACAAAAATAAAAGTTTAAAAAAACCCTTAACACTTAAAAGAATCCAGAACATCTGAACAACAGTTAGCACTGCTAATCCTGAATGCTGATATAGCTGGAGCCCAGGCAGCAGAGATGAGCCTGCCCAGGCTCCGGGTGCAGCCTCGCAGAGCTGTGGGACCATGTTCAGGAGTCCTGACTTTGTCCTAGAATAATGGGGTTCCACTGAGAATAAATTTGAGGACTCAGACTGGCGGAGGTGTACCTGTCAAGAGGACCCTGCAGTCATTCAGAACAGAAGTCACAGTGGCGGAGCTTGGGAGTGTGGATGTGGAGAGAAGGGAACAGATTCAGCTCCAGCATCATTGGAACAGCAACAAAGACTGACAGCCGGGTCAAGAGCCAGTCCTGGAAGATCTCCACAAACCGCAAGCACTAAGTCTGCTCTCCTACCACAGTGCAGCCACACGAAAACACACTGACAAAAGGTCATCTGAAAACTAACAACCACACTTACTTCAAATAGCAACAGAAATTATAAAATATTTTCAAACAAAGGTTAATGAAAATGCTGCACATACTTTTGGGATGCAGCTAAAACCATTAGTGGGCACTTTATAGCCTTGAATGCCTACATCACAACAGAAAGGCTAGAAATCAGTGAACATATCATAAGAAACTTTCCAGAACAACAAAATTCACCCAAAGATAGAAGGCAAGAAATAAGAAAATAAATTAATGAAACATACAATAAAGACTATCAAACACAAAATGTGTTCTTTGAATAGGCTAATAAAATGTACACCCCTAAGGAGATTGCATAAAGAGAGAGAAAGAGCGAAGGAGAGGCAGAGAGAGAGGAGGCAGAAATCACCAACATCAGGAATGAAATCAGGACATCACTGTAAATCCTGCAAATGGAAAAAATAATAGCTATTATGGATACTTTTATGGCAATTAATTTAAAATTTTAGATAAATTTAGAGGAGAGATACCAATTGTCAGAAAGGCAGAATTTAACAAAACAAAACAGAAAATCCAAATGGTGTTAAAAGTGTAGAAGAAATTGAATCCATAGTAACAACTGTACCCTCAAGGAATGAACAGGTGTGTGATAAATACAGCAAAAATATCAATTAGAGTGTACGTAGTGGGTCCTATGGATGTTCACTCTTCTGTTTGAAAAATAAATTTTAAGGTTAAAGATCATAGAGGAAAGTATCCCACGCTAAAAAATACAAAAACAAAACTCCAGCCCAGATGGATTCACAAATGACCTTTACTAAATATTTGAGATAGAAATAACACCAGTCTTCCACAAACCCCTCCAGAAAGCTGAAAAACAGCAGATGCTTCTCCAACTCGCGCTGACATCAAACAAGTTAGGTGTGAAAACCTAGGACAGCAGGTCCTCACTTCCGCCCCACATTGGCTCAGGTGCGTGTGAGCTATGGCCAGACGCTGGTGTCACTTGGGTGACATGCACACCTGCCCTGGTCTCCAGCCTGGGCACAAACAGAACTCAGGCAGAGGTGGGCCTGTCTGCCAAGACCAGGGCTACCTGCTCTGAGTGCGGGGCTTGGGCTGCCCAGGCTGGGGCTGCTGCTGTATCTGAGCTGTGGAGTCACAGCCCTGGCCTGGCCTGGCCTGGCCTGTCCTTTCCACCTGCCAGCTGCGGAGCTGTGGGTGCGTCGCTCACCTCCCAATCTGTAAAGTGGACAAGCCTAGTTCTTGGGGCTGTGGGGAGAATGAACTTGGATCATGAAAATGAAGAGCTTAACTGGACACCCCTCTGCCACACAGGGCACTAGCAAATGCTGGAGGCAAGGCTACCCCACCCCAGGAGCACCCGCCCCACCCGCCCCGCACTCACAGCCCGCGCCTCGCCAGGGGCAGCCCAGCCTGCCTGGGCCTCCATGTCTTGCAGCTTCTGGGTCTGCTTCAGCTGGTTGAGCGTGGGCTTCAGCTGCGCGGCCCCCACCGTCTTGCTCGTCCACTCGTCCACCAGCTTGTGCAGGTCGTCCGTGAAGGTACCCTTCTTGTTGTTGCTGTTGTTCACCTGCGCCTGGACGTGCAGGGCGGGCTGGGGGCCTGGCTCAGGGCCTGGGGCCAGGCTGCTGGTGGAGGACCCTGGGGAGTCACACACAGGCCAGGATTGGTGACGCCACACACGCACCCAGGCCCCCAGTGGGCTGGCCGCATTCATTCTTACGTGACAGCTGAGACAATGGTCTCACTTGGGCCAGGCAGCACCTTGCTTCAAGAGGCGGTCGGATTAAGGGGCCTGGCTGCCCAGGGTCAGACATGGTGGGGCATTTCCATGGGCTGTGCCAGGTGGCCATCACCCACCTCAGAAGCCAGGCCAGGGGACAGGACTCTGCAGCAGCCGGCAGCCTCTGCTCAGCATCCACTCTGTGCCCACCGCTGCCCATCCCCAGACTCACGTGTGAGAGAGCTCAGGAAACTCCTGGCACAGCCAGACACACTGGGCTTCGGAGTCATGGTGCCTAGAGTCAGGTTCCTCGGGCTCTCTCTGGCCTGTGCATCCTCAGCCGTAACATGAGGACGCGGGGCGGTGGAGTACCGTGTGCAGAGCGCTCAGCACACACGGCGGGCTGGCCTGCAGGCAGCCCCCTGGCCCACGGGAAAATGCCTGCCAGGGCTGCCTGACTTGCATTCCCATGAATTTTAATGGTCTGGTTGTTTGGAATTCCAGACATAGAAATTGTCCTGACCAGCGCATTCGCATTCGAGGAAGGTATTCATAAAGGGTACCCATGCCTGGGGCTGCCTGACGCGGCCCCACCAGCTCCTGCCATGGGCTGCGGCCAAACGCCCTGCTGCAGGAGGGAGCTGGGAGCCGCTCTGCTGACCATTAGCACACCAGAGCACTCGGCTGCTTCATTCAAAGTGTTTTTTAAGGGACTAAAATGAGACTTTAAAAATTTTAAATCATACCCTTTCCAGGCAACACATGTAATTTCTCGTTGGCAATTTTGAATAAGCCAATTCAAAAATTTTCTGCATAGAGAAACAATCTAATGACCATCTCTTCAAACAAGCTGTCCCAAAATGTAGTGGACTTTAGTGGCTAGCAATGAAAAAGCACAGACACAGACAATTAAAAATTAGTGATGAGATTTGACACACATGGAGCTATTCCTACATGAAAAGTTCAGCCAGAAAAGAAAAAAAATATTTTTTCGAGAGAGAGAGATGAGAGAGAGAGAGAGGTGAGTGGCCCAAGGAGACTAATACCCACTCAGTCCTGGCATCTCTCCTCGTGGGGAGGCACTCATCTTTAGGACTTCAAGGAAATACTCATTCCTACGGTTTTGGAAAAGGAGCCAATTAATGATCGGCAATTTGCGGGTGTTCCGGGGAAGGATAAGCCCGTTAGATGTGAACTGGCGAGACCGCACAAACTCTAGGCGCCACGAGACACACGGGGGAGCCGAGGACAGCGATCCCGCCAGGCAGAAGCGAAGCAGTGCCCGGCCGAGAGGCATGGAGCAGGCGCGGGGCAGGCACAGGGCAGGCCCACGCCCGCCCGGCCGCGGGAACCCTGATGTGCGCTAGCCACGAGAAAGCCCATGCGATGAGAGAGGACAAAGGGGAAAAAACCCGGATAATTACTACTGCTGTGTTCTTTGCCTAGGCAGAGACGCTTCAGGGCAGACCCTGCAAGGGAAAAAGAAACGACACAAGACCACAGGGTTAGGCAGAACAGCACACACTGGGACACGCTACCACACTAAGCAAAAGTCGTCAGTGTGCAGGGAGGGGCAGACACAGGCAGCAGTTCAGAGAGAGGGCCGACCCGGCCGGGGGAAACGGGGCAGCCCCTGGAGAGAGGGTGCAGGCTCCCACGAGCTTCGCCGAGGGGGCAGAGGTGCCAGGGCCAAGCCCCTAAGCTTCAGGGAGAAGTGTTTGTCTCTAGAAGCATATTCTAAGAAAAGTAAAAGAGAAAGAAAAAAGAAAAGAAAAAAGAAAAAAGCAAAGCACACCGCTTGGCTTTCAAACATCAGGCTTCTGGGAGCCCCACTGATGGAGGCAGGACACCCTGCTGAGTCGGCCACGGGAGCTCTGGAATGGAGCTGGGCACAGCTGGGCTTGGCCGCCGAAGCCCATCGGAGGTTTTCCAAGTGCAAAAAGATACATTGTTTTGCAGGTTGGAGGCCAAGTCTGGATCTCAGATGGCTGCCTCAGATGAGGTCAGCGGCAAGTGTTGAGTAGGGGACTCGAGGGTTTCTATCTAGGGGCTGACCTCAATGTCTGGGGACACTACCGCCTCATTAACAAGTCAGTATCCACAAGGGGTAGGGCAAGGCCTCAGCCTGGAACATTTCTGGCCTCCTTCTAACTGGGACCACCACTAAACCGACTGGTCCCAACTACCCAGAGGGCACCTGGTATACACTGAATGCAATGTCCTAGCCAGTCAGTGCCCAGCCTGGTGGGGACAAGGTCCCCAGGGCAGGCTGGGCCGGAAGGCACGGCCATCCCTGCTTATCCTATAGGCAGGCAGAGCTGGGACGGGCAAGCACAGGCTCAGACTTCCCCAAGGTCACTCGGCAAAGCCTCACTAGCACAGAGGCTCTGTCTACACTCCAGCCCACGGCCCCTTGCCAGGAGCACACTCCCTCCGCAGCAGGAACACGCTCCTCAGCGCTGTTCCCGGGAGACCTAAAAAGGAGCGACTCTGATCTTGCAGGGACTCAGAAAACCTGGCAACGTCTGCCTTCCTTCTCCAGAAGGGCTCATGCCTCCTGCCTCGGGGGACAGCGGGCAACTTGTCGTCCAGCTCCTTGGCCCAAGCTCGGCCTGAGTTGTGCATCCTGGACTTGGAAACCTAGCTCAACTATTTTTAGTCCATTCTGTCTGTTCCTGAGCTAGTGTGGGGAAAGGTGAGGTGGTGTTCTGTTGCAGACTTTACTGTTCTAATAAAAAGGAGGGAGCCCAGCGGGAGGGATCCAGACCAGTGGGCTCTGGGTGAGCAGCTCCGAAGGGCTGTTCCCTGGCTGCTCTGTTCTGAGATGAAACCCTGCCAGGAACACAGAGCTGATATCCCCTCAATGGCTCACTCAAGTTTACAGGGGAGGTATGGCTGGTTTTCTGTAGTGCAGGAGGGGCCCCTGAAGTCTGTGATGCAGGCTAGGCTAGGATCCAATATGTAGGGGCACTGGGTGAGCACCAATTTCCCTGGCAGGCTTTGTCGGGGGCTGTGGCCCATGGTCCCATGTAGACAGTCCTAAGCCAGGTGCTTCAAAAAGCTGCTCTGTGTCTATCTGGCAGCTCTTGGTGTGGCTGGAACTCTACATTCAGTGCTAATTCCTGGCTGTTGCCATGCTGGGAAGAACACCATCAAACAGGCCGGCTGCCGGCTGGGAACCACCAGAGGGAGCCTGGACCTGCGATCAGAGCTGGGACTCACTCACTGTCCTGGGAACCTGGGGTCTGGAGTGTCTGGAGGACACGGCACCTGCTCAGAGCCAGGGAGCAACCCTGGCCCACGGAGGCCTCCACGGGCCCTTCCTAAACTTGGGCCCCTCCTAAACTTGGGCCCCAGTGACCAGTGTGCAGACGGCTCCTAGACCTCCAGACAAACTGATGGGTGCCAGTCTTTCAAGGCCATGCTGTCGGACGCCACTCACTGCAGACAACTGGGCTGGGGCAGAGACCTCCCCACACTCTGGACAGCCCTGCCCGTCCTTAGGTGGCTCCTTAGTCCACCTCTCCAGAGCCTCGGCCTCGATTGGGCCCTGCCCCTCACTTGCCCACCATGCAGATGGCACCCAAAGACAGCCCCCACCTGGCCCCCTGCCACTCGCTCTGTGCCAGGAAAAGCACCCCCACCTCCTGTCCATAAGGCAGCAACGGGAGAACAAAGGAAACTTTCAGGAGGCTGCCAATTGACGCCAGGCCCACCTCGGTCTCCCTGTGGGGCTTCCATCCCCAGCCAGGCCCAGGAAGAGGCGGCGCCAAGGCCCTGGACTGCTCAGTGGTGCTGGGGCGGGGGCTTGGCAGCCTCATCCCAGCTGTTGGGGGATCCGCTGCTTTCTTCCCAGAATGTAAAAGTGGCAGCACACAGGACGACAGGAGGGCCGGCTCTTGGACTTGGCATCTCCTGCTTTTGTGCAGCCGACATCAGCTGAAGCCCCCCAGGCGCAAGTGGAGGCTCCCTCCCCACTCCAGCCATGGCACAAAAACAGCCTGCTCTTGGGTCAACGGCCCTGCCCTCTGGGTAGCCCGAGCACCTGCCCCATCCAGACCCTCAGCCTGTGGCCAAGAAGACATCTCAACCAAGAAGGATTCAAACTGAGGGTGTGTGCCTGGGACAGGGGGACTAAAAAGTGGTCAGCCCCTGAGCAATCCCCACATTCGCTTTTCACCTCACAGGGCTCAATACTGCCCAGGAGCCCACGGGACAGCTGGGGCAGCCCACCTCCCATCATGGGTGCCCTGGCGGCTTCACCTCAGTCCCCCACAACTTCCCGCGCACCCTCAGGTGGGTCAGCCCCCGCCATGGTCAGCACTGGCTCCCTTTTCTGGCACAGGAGAAAAATGGGCATCCAGGGACAAAACCCCTTTTAAGGTGTCTACGTATTGAACAACCATGTTCTTGAGCCAAAAACTGTCCACAAAGCATGCATTGGGAAGCAGGATCTGCCTTGGCTCTGCCCAGGGAGACCTGGGGCTGTTTTCATGTTGCCTTGAGCTAAATGACCCCACATTGCACTAGGCCCCATTGCACACAGGCCTGCTCCACAGACAGCCCACAGTGGTACGCAGCACTGACCACCCTGGCTGCAGAGGTCAGGGCCTGGTGGGCGCAGTGCAGGGTGGGGGCCCTCCTCTCTGGATGCCCTCCACCCCGAGGCCTCCTGAACACCTGCTGCAAAGAGCCTCGCTGAGCATGCACTCTCTCCCCACCGGGAGGGATGAAAGCATTCCACGGTGGGAGAAGGCCTAGAAGGCATCGTGCAGTGACACCGGAGGGTCCCTGAGCCAAACATGCTGCAGCCAACAGCCAATGTGGAGAAAACCCAAAGAGATACCAGCGTGCAGAGAGAAAGGCCCACAGGGTGCCAGAACATGCCCGGTCAGGTGGGAAGATCCAGAAGGACCCCAGCTTCTGACAAGCAGAACCAACAGAACCACGACCAGAGGTGCCATCTCAGCATCTGCACCTGACCCTCCTCCCTGGCTCCAAGGCCAACATCCCTTAGAATGCACTGGGCCAGGTGTGGTGGCTCCCACCTGTAATCCCAGCACTTTGGGAGGCCAACGTGGGTGGACTGCTTGAGCCCAGGAGGTCTAGACCAGCCTAGGCAACATGGTGAGACCCTGTCTCTACTAAAAATACAAAAAAGTAGCTGGGTGTGGTGGTGCAGACCTGTGGTCCCAGCTACTTGGGAGGCTGAGGTGGGAAGATTGCTTGAGTCAGGGAAGCGGAGGTTGCAGTGAGCTGAGATCTTGCCGCTGCACTCCAGTCTGGGTAACAGAGCCAGACTTTGTCTCAAAAAAAAAAAGGGAGACTGCTCTGGGGCACTGGGTCATGTGAGCTCCCCACAGCAACTGCTGACCACAAGGGGGCATCTGCAAGCTGGGTGAGAAGTCTATGCCAAGGGGCCCAGCTCACAGGGGTTCTAAGCAGGGCCTTGCACTCCCTAGGGGTCTGTCCACCTGCTGCTCCCAGCCTCCACTGCTTTATTCCCTGTCCTGCACCTTGAGTCAGCTCGGGCCTCTGGAGGTGCCTGCTGCACTGCCCTGCTCTATCCCTGGGCACAGCCACCTGGGCACCCGCAGCCCATCCTCTGGCCTGGCCTCAACCCACCCTGCCTGGGGCCGTTTCATCTTCTCTGACCTTCACAGAGGCCAGGATCCTTCTATATTTCAAAATTTAACACATTTTGTTTTCCTGGAACTGTTTCTCTTCCAGGAAGTGGGAGTGCCCCACACCAGGGCAGTGAGCTGAAAGCTCTCCCCAGGCCCTAGGGAGCAAAGGCTGGGCTGGCTGCGCCGGCTGCCCCCCACTAGCCGCACCTTGGCATCCACCCTGCTCCTCCTCTACTTGCAGCGCGACCCCCGACCCCTCGGTGTCTTCCATACACCGACCTCAGCGTCTTCCTAGCCCATCTGCTCACACTACCCCTGCCTGCAACCCTCCCTCCTGGCCTCCAAGCCTGGCGCAATCCCACAGCTTCCGCCCAAGTCCTCAGCCTCTCAGCGCTCACAGGGCTGCGCCCACCCCTGCAGTCTTTCCCCTGGAGGTGCTTGGTCTCCTCACAGACCCCACAGCTCTCCCTTCTCTTTTGGGCTGCCCTGGGGGTTTACCCATGAGCAGCAGATGTGCCAGTGGATGGCTCAACAAGAAGTCCAGCCTCCACAGCCCAGGGGCACAGAGGCAGGAGGGGCCAGTCCCAGCCACATCCCAGGAGAGTGGCAGAGACTTCGGAGGCCTGGAGCTGATCCAGACAGGGCTTGAGAGGCGCCCAGGGCAGAGGCCCACCTGGGCTCTCCCCGGCCAGCAACTTCAGAGTGTGGGGGAACTGGGGGAGACATTATGGCCCAAAAAGACTAAGACTAAGACTTGCCTGATGGGGGCTAAGCCGTGAAAACAAGCAATACCACAAAACACAGCATGGGGGTGGAAGTGGGGCCTGGGTAGGCGCCATACCTGACACTAACACCCTGCACTGAGTCTCCCAGGTGCCCTCGCCCCCAGTGACAGCCCCAGATCGAGCCGCACATGCAGGAGCCGGAAGAGGAGCAGCAAGTGAGGCACAAGGCCAGCAGGGCCGGGAACCGGCTGCGGAGAAGGAACCACAGCCGGCTGCCATAAGAGGACCCAGAGACGCAGGGGTGGGGGGGAAGGCGCCCACTCCTCCCCAGATTCAACTCAGCAACTCACCAGACACCAGGCCACCCAGACCCCCAGACCAACAGCCCAGATGACATGGTGGCCGAAACAGGGCAGCCTGTTAAACAGGCGAACGGGAAGCCCTGGGAAGGCCCTGGCATTCCTACATGGCCCTTGTGTCCTCGAATTGCCTGCCCGGAGAATGATGACCCACATGGACCTCTGATGGGGTGGGTGGATGGCAGTGGACGCCTCCCACAGGCATGGCCTCTGGCTCCCAACAAGCACAATGTATCTTTATTGTACAAGCAAAAAGTCACGTGCCCCAAACCAGCATATCCAATCCAATTGTTGAAAAAGCTTAATTTTCCTGTTAAAAAGACAAAAGCCTAAAAATCTCACAGCTTTTGGTTCACTGGCCGATCGTCCTGAGGGTTAAAAACAAACTGCGTGCTTTGGGATGGCCCCAAGCAGGCAGAGCCTTCCCTGGAGATGGAGTTCCTGGGCACTAACTGTGTTCCAGGGGATCTGAGCAAGGCTGGGACTGGGTTTTGGCTTAGTAGCAATTGGAGGAACTGCGTCATTGACTTCATCCCTGCGGTCATGGGAGGTCACAGGAAAATACAGCAAGTAAAGTGCTCCCACTGGCTGGAGGAGGAGGAGGAGCCGGCCAAGCAGGATGCATGCTCCAAAGAAGAGCTGCCCAGGTGGCCGTCACTCTCCTATTTGGGGTTGGAGACAGCAGTGGGTGAGGAGCAATGACAAAGGGGACCAGACCTGCCCTTCCAGTGGGGAGGGGCTGGGGAGGCCCGAACTGGAGCACGTTCTCTCAGCATTTCCACATGCAGGGCACAGGGCGGTGGGTGTGCAGGGTACTGGGTGCTGGGATTTGGCCCTGGTACAGAAACCACGCCCTCCAGTGACCTTTAGAACCGTATAGGCTCGCTATGTGCATGTCTTCACAGTCCAGACACGCGTGACACACACTGTGCATCTGGAGGAGGTTGGGGTTGTCTTTTTGTTGTCGCTGGAACTGGGGACAGCGGACATGTATATTTGCCACAATTGCAACAGAAAAAAAAACTACATCCAACATAAAAAAAAAAATTAAATAAATGAGGTGACGAAAAGAATGCAAAGGGCTCCAGTCCTTCTGGGCAGAGGTGCCCGGGGCGGAAGGCAGGCCAGCCGCTGCACATGCTTTCCGTGCCCAGGCACCAGCCATGAGCATGCACACACGCTGTGTGGGGCTTGGGGGTAGGCGCTGGCGGCCGCCGCTCCAGGGGACCGGCTCATGGGGTTCCACTTTGATATTAAATAGGTGACTTCGATGGGGTGGGGGAGGCATCCTATGAAATGTATGAAAGGTAATGAAGACAGGGAGGGGGTGGGGGGAGAAAACCAAGGGCCAGGAGGTGATAAAATACAAAAGAACAAATACAGACAGATGGACACAGATACGGGTCCACTGAGGAATCGAGCACGAGGTTTGCTACTAGACTTATAGGTCACTCTCTCAGACGTTGGGTGGTAAACCGTCCAGCCTGCAAATGAATATAAAGGGAAGAAAACAAAGAGACACTCATCAAGTACAGGTTGCTGCGATTCCTCCTCCACACCAACAGCCACACCAGCCTCGTCACTTAACATCCACGGCTCCATCTAGCCCAGCCCGGAGCACCAAAGCCACTGACCATGTAATGGGAAGGAGGCAGCGGGAGAGCAGAAGAGAAGCAGCCCGGAGAGGGGCGGGCAGGGTGGGGTGGGCGGGGCGGGGCGGCTTCATGGTCACCATGATTTCTCTGGACAGAGATGGTGAGGACAGGAGAGCACCTTATTGAGCAGCTGCTGCTGTCCACGCAGCGTTGACGAGAGAATTTCCTCCTCAAGGCCAAACTCCCAGCTCGAAAGCTGTGCCCTCGTCCCCCCAGCCGTCCCTCTGGACTTTGGAAGGACCCGGTGTTTAGCACCATCTGGCTCCGCTGTGGGGGTGGGGGTGGGGCAGCCAGTGCCTGGGAACTGGCGCCGGAGCACACAGCCGGATGCCAGGTCCCCTGCCCTCCCCAGTCCTAGCCACTTCCCCAAGGTCCACTCTAGCAAAGCATCACCTCCCCCTGAGCTGCTTACAAGCAAGACTTGGTGGTGGATGGGACAATTCCATTCCTTTCATCCAAAGACTACACCTTTTTTTTTTTATCCTTTTTAAAAGAAGCCTCTCAACAGCCTTTGCCACAGCTTGCAACCCCTCTACACAACACGGGCGTGCTCCTGGGGACACCACTGAGGCCCTACGTGGCTAGCACATGCTCGGAGACAGGCAAGCTGGAAATCACCTTGGCCACGCGCTCCGCCTCCATCACTGGCTAAGCCGGAGCAGATGTCCGAAGACAGGGAGGCCCGGACGGAGCAGGGCTGCTGGGTCTGCACTGCCTTCCCGCTCAGGCCCGTGCTGTCTGCAGTGAGCCCCACACTGGCTTGGGCAGGGTCCTTAGCGGGAGGGCCTCTGCTGGAGTCAGCCAAGTGACCTGGGCGGGGGGAGAAGAGGCGACAGGCACGATGAGGCGCCGCCGGGTCGGGGCCGTGTGGATTGAGTCTGTTCTGCCTGCTTATTGCTGGGTGACCTTGGGGAAGCTCACGTCTCCTGCAGACCACAGGCACATGGCCACATCTCCCACAGAGGAGTGATGGGGAAGAGCAAAGAAAGTGCCCAGTCTCTACCAGCCCCCACTGCCGTGCTGGACTTGTGTTGAGCAAATATAGTGACAGAAGACACACCCAGGCACACAGTGGCCTGTGTACTTCTCATCTCAGTCTTCCCTTAGCTCTGGGAACTGTCTCTGAATTCGTGTAATGGGTATAATTCATGGCTGTGTGCCCTGAAGGTTGTGGGCTTATAGTGAGCTTATGGTGGCTTGCCTGGCATGCTTGGGGACTTGGGCTCACAGGGGCTCCATCCCAGACTGCCAGGGCTCTCCACCAGCAAGCAGGCTGCAGTGCTGCTCAGGAGGCCTCAGGAAGCCCTGACATGCAGGGACGTGGGCTGGTGGCTGCCTGGGGCCAGGCCAGTGCCACTCAATGACTAGGTGTCACCTTTAACAAGACTGGGAGATCATCACCGTCCTCCCGTCCTCCCCCAGCCCCTAACGACAGCTGCTCGGCTGGCACACACCCAAGAAATGGGTCAAAGGAAGCAGCCACCATCCGTCCACGCAGTGCCCTGCAGAGGAGCAGGTGAGGGAGGGCAGCCTGAGCTTCCCTGGCACAGCCCACAGCCTAGAGTCTCAGGCCCAACGCTGAGCAGCCCCTGCCCACTCACGGGCCTTGCCTCTCTGCATGAGGACGGAGGACCAGGGCTGCCTTCATGCTGCAATGACTCCCCTGCTCCAGGGAAAGGAGATTCAGTAAGGAGATAACCCCGAGTGGTCTTCCAGGTCCGAGGGTGTCACACCTGCACGGAGCCTACCTCCCAGGCTCACTCGGGGGTCCCCAGCCCCGCTCCCATCCCAGCCCTGCACCCGGAGGCCGACCTGTGCTGGAGGCCACGACCTTGAGCTGCCGCACCAGGGGATTTAGCAGCTTGCCTGCCTTCAGCTTGCTCTTGCTGGTTTTTCTCCGGCGGCCAGTGGGGGGTGCCGTGTGGAAGAAGCCCACGTTGGGGGGCAGTGGCTTGCCCAGGCGGCGGTACAGAGCTTCGATCTCCTGCTTCTGCTGGCTCTGCAGCTCCGAGATCTCCTTCAGGTGCCTGCAGGAGGGGACAGGAGGGAGCGCCGATGGGCTTCCTCGGTGTTTCCAACACCGCCAGCTCCTCCAGGAGGGAGGTGGCGTGGGAGAACATGGGATGAAGGGTGGGCACCCTGCCTGTGCCTTGGCCTGGGCCACTCTAAAGCGGCACACAGGGGCTGTAAAATGACACTGTTTGTTCATATCTAAACGGGGAGGTCCCAAGGTAGTGGGCCTCTGGCATCGACGTGCCCAACAGCACGGGCCAGGCTAAGAAGCCTCAAACTTCCAAATACCCAGACTCGGAATGCTTACATTGATACTTGCAATGAAAGTCCCAAACATGAACACAGGTGAAGGGAAATCAGCAGGTGCCAGGCACTAGAGACTGCCTCCATTTATCAGGCAAATGTGTGTTATTTCCTCCACAGGGGAAACAGACAGTGGAAGGCAGCTCAGACCAATGCAACACGGCATGAAGAAGTCAGCGAGACGCTCACTGACTTCCAGGGGCCATGCCACACCATATGTGAGCCCACTGCCACAGGTCCCACATCACCCCGCAGGTGAAATGCAGGTGGCTCATTGACCATGGGCAAGGGCAGAGTCTAGAACTGCCGAGGCAAGAGGAGGATGCCCAGGGGAGGATGCAAAGGGGAGGATGCGGAGGGGTGGATGCAGAGAGGAGAATGTGGAGGGGAGGATGGGAAGGGGAGGATGGGGAGGGGATGACGCCGAGGGGAGGACGCCGAGGGGAGGACGCCAAGGGGAGGAAGCCGAGGGGAGGAAGCCGAGAAGAGGATGTGGAGGGGAAGATGCGGAGGGGAGGAAGGTGAAAGGAGGATGCTGAGGGGTGGATGGGGAGGGGAGGATGCGGAGGGGAGGAAGCCAAGGGGAGGAGGCCGAGGGGATGCAGAGGGGAGGAAACAGAGGGGAGGAAGGTCGAGGGAGGTAGAATGGGGAGGGGAGTAGGCTGAAGGGAGGATGCGGAGGGGAGGGTGCGGAGGGGAGGAAGGTGAAGGAAGGATGGAGGGGGAGGAAGATGAGGGGAGAATGGAGAGGAGAGAAAGGTGAGGGAAGGATGGAGGGGGAGGAAGGTGAGGGGAGGATGGAGAAGGGAGGATGGAGGAGGAGGAGGAAAGTGAGGGGAGGATAGAGAGGGAGGAAGGTGAGGGGAGAATGGAGAGGGGAGGAGGATGAGGGGAGGATGGGCAGGGGAGAAAGGTGAGGGGAGGATGGAAGGGAAGGAAGGTGAGGGGAGGATGGAGAGGGAATGATGGAGAAAGGAGGATGAAGGGGGAAGAAGGTAAGGGGAGGATGGAGAGGGGAGCATGGAGAGGGGAGGAGGCCAAGGGGAGGAAGGTGAGGGGAGGATGGAGGGGGAGGAGGGAGAAGGAAGGATGAAGAAGGAGGAAGGTAAGGGGAGGATGGAGAAGGAGGAAGGTGAGGGGAGGATGGAGGGGGAGGAAGGTGAGGGGAGGATGGAGGGGGAGGAAGGTGAGGGGAGGATGGTGAGGGGAGGATGGTTAAGGGAGGGTGGTGAGGGGAGGAAGGAGAGGGGAAGATGGAGGGGGAGGAAGGTGAGGGGAGGAAGGTGAGGGGAGGATGGAGGGGACGATGGAGAGGGGAGGAAGGTGAGGGGAGGATGGAAAGGGGAGGAAGGTGAGGGAAGGATGGTGAGGGGAGGGTGGTGAGGGGAGGATGGTGAGGGGAGGGTGGTGAGGGGAGGAAGGAGAGGGGACAATGGAGAGGGGAGGAAGGTGAGGGGAGGATAGAGGGGGAGGAAGGTGAGGGGAGGATAGAGGGGGAGGAAGGTGAGGGGAGGATGGAGGGGATGATGGAGAGGGGAGGAAGGTGAGGGGAGAATGGAGAGGGAAGGAAGGTGAAGGGAGGATGGTGAGGGGAGGATGGAGAGAGGAGGAAAGTGAGTTGAGGGTGGAGAGGGGAGGAAAGTGAGGGGAGGTTGGAGAGAGGAGGAAAGTGAGTTGAGGATGGAGAGGGGAGGAAGGTGAGGGGAGGATGGAGAGAGGAGGAAAGTGAGTTGAGGATGGAGAGGGGAGGAAAGTGAGGGGAAGCTGGAGAGACAAGGAAGGTGAAGGGAGGATGGAGAGGGGAGGATAGAGAGGGGAGGAAGGTGGGGGAGGAAGGTGAGGGGAGGATGGTGACGGGAGGATGGAGAGGAGAGGATGGGGAGTGGAGCTGGGCCTCCCTGTTGCATCACAGTGCTCTGAGCTTCTGCAAGGCCTAAGGCCACCCCAGGGGCCCTGGCTGGAGGCCTGTAACCCCTTGCCTTCACCCCAAGTGCCCCTCCTCTTCCTTTGATGGCAAGAAAAACAGGTAGTTTTCAAGGTCGGAAATGAGGAAGCAAGTTCTGATTTTACTCCTGAATTTCAACACCTGCCACATAGGCTTTTTGTTTTTTTTTAATGACTTCCTCTAACTACTAAACAAAATAAATAAATAAAAATAAAACTCTGAATGGCTTTCTCCCTACAAACACCAGAGAGACAGAGCATCAGATGATCTTCTGGAAGGGAGTACTATTTCAAGAGAGTGCTGACTGCCCCAGCGTTGGGGAGCGGCTGCGTGGGCAGGGGAGCGTCTTATCCAGGCTGGAGCTTATCCAGGTTGGAACTCTGCTCCGAGGCCGCACCCACATGGTCCAGCTCCCGCGGTCCCAGACTGCAATGTGGCTCCGACACAGGGGGTGCCCTGGACCACTCCAAGCTGCCCCTGGGCTGCTCACCACAGAGCCCCGCGGCCTGGGACATCTGAAAGCACAGGCTGGGCTCAGCACAGGGCTCCTGGAGCCCTAGGAAACCCCAACGCTCATGGCAGAAATGCTGCAATGAGGCACAGGCACCTCGGTATTCAGAGGGTTCAAATGAAAGCAAGGTTGGGGAGCTGCTGGCTACTGCCTATCAGATGCCAAGTCACCTCAATTCCCAGTTGAGGCTGAAAATCTTCCCCACCCTTTCCTAAAAGGTCCCCACACTTCCCTCTGGACTCCACGGCCCTCCCAGCATCCACTTCCTGTTCTTAGGCTCCTGGAAGTCTCTCCTTTGAGGTGCTTCTGGTCCTCTCCCTGCCCTTTCCCTAGACCCCACCTGCCCCTGGCTCCCAATCACTTCTGCCATTTCTAGTCCCCACCCCATTATCTCTACCCTCTGTCTCTGGCTCCTGGCCCCTGTCACCCAGGCTCTCAGAGCCTATAGCAGCTCCTCTCCCCAGTGTTCTCACATCCACACCTTCCTGCCCCCTACAAGCTTCTCTTCGTAGCAGCCACAGCTGGGGTGTGGCTTGGCAACATCTCAGCTCCCCTTTGTGCCTGCTGACCCTGACCACTGGCTCCCCAGGATGACATTCCTGCTGAGCAAATGTGCCCAGGATCTGCTGCCCTCTATCCCAAAAGGTTCTAGGTCATACCCACCTTGGGCTCCATCCACTCTCTGGCCTCCACCAAGGATCTGTTGGGCCATGTGGCCAATGGGGGCCACCTTCCTGGAGGCCTCTAAGACCAGCAGTGATTCCACCCATCCCTGCCTTCCTGCCTCTCCCAGCAGCTCCAGTTCCCTCCTCAGTTCTCCACGAACACAGAGACACTCACTATATCCTCAATGTATGGCACTGACCACCCCGCCAGCCTGGGCAGACACTCTCTTAGCCTCTGTGCATACGCTGTGCAGAGAGGGCTCGCAGGAGAGAAAGGAGATGTGCACGGCTCTTCCCACATAAGCCTGTGATTTCCAACAGGACACGACTTACAAACGTGCCTTCAGGCACTGGTGAATTTGGTGTTAGCCCTCCCATCCCGAAGGACATCCCAGTAACCCCCCAGCCGCAGCAGGACAGAATAAATATTTGCTGGATGAGGGAAAGAGACATGGAGAAAGAGAGAGGAAGAGAAAGAAGGAGGGTGGGAGAGAGAGAGACAGAGACAGAGACAAAGAAAGGAGAGACAGATAGGAAGAGAGAGTGTGCCAGAAACAGAGTGGTGGGAAGCGAGACAGGGAGAGAAGGAATGAAAGGGGAGAGAGAGAGAGAAGGAGAAAGGAAGAAAGAGGGAAGGAGACAGATGAGAGGCAGACAGGGTGAGGAAGACACATGCCTCAGTGATCCCCCAAGACATACCCCCAAGTGCAGCAGGAGGAGGCATGGCACCCAGAGAAGCCAGAAGCCAAGCAGACAGCAGGGTGGGGGCCGGCCCAGCCCAGAGGACTCTGAGTGGGAGACTGTCTACTCAAAACCACAGGGATGCTGGGCCTGGTGTCTCACACCTGAAATCTCAGAACTTTGGGAGGCCAAGGCGGGTGGATCACTTCAGGTCAGGAGTTTGAGACCAGCCTGGCCAACATGGTGAAACCCCGTCTCTACTAAAAATAGAAAAATCAACCGGGCGTGGTGGCAGGCACCTGTAGTCCCAGCTACTCGGGAGGCTGAGGGAGGAGAATCGCTTGAACCCGGGAGGTGGAGGTTGCAGCGAGCGAAGATTGCACCACTGCACTCCAGCCTGGGTGACAGAGCGAGACTGTCTCAAAAAAAAAAAAAAAAAGCCTTCATCACTCCCCTGTCCCTGCTTGGCAGCTCCAAGTGGGCGCTGCTTGGCCAGGACTTCAGCCCCGGCACCAGGGTTCCCTCACAACTGGGAAGGGGTGCCATGGCCCAGGGGCGGGGGCAACACTTCCTGCCCGCAGGACCTACTTCTCCCGCAGACTCTGCAGCTCCTTCTTTATGTCAGCATCCTCGAGCTCCGAATCATTGTCGCTGCTGATGTAGGACGACTGGGAATGGAAGGAGGTCACGCTGATCGTGGGGACCTTCATGCCCACCCTGCTGGGTGTCTCGGGGCCCAGCGAGCCGGCCCGAGAAGGCCTCTGCAGGAAGGCGGTGGCCTTCTTCACGAAGTCGCCAGCCACGCTGCCACTCACGGGCAGGGACGCCTGCTTCTGCACCGGGGGTCTCGCCCGAGGGCCCTCGTCCCCAGAGTCGCTGGACACGGGCTCGCCCACGCCGACCTCGATGGAGGAGGCCGTCTGCGCCCGCCGCACTGCCAGCTTCACGTCGGGGCTGGAGGGGGCCTCGTCCAGGTAGACGTCGGGTGGGGCAGAGTATCTCAGGCTGTGGGGGGAGGCCAGGGTCCACTCGTCCTGAGTGCTGACCACCGAGAAACGGCCCACAGTCTTGGCTGGTGAGCTGACATCCTGCTGCTCTGGACGTTTCCGAGGGGACCCCAAAGCTCGAGCGCCGAGTGTCTGGGGGTGGCTAGCCTGGCCCCCCACTGTGCCCATGTCACTCGGCGGGGGCTCTGCCGAGCTTTCTCCAGCTTCTCCACCATCCCTGTCTGTGGGCTCCACACGTGCAGGTCTCACAAAAGCAGGTACATCCTTGGGAAACAAGCGGAGATGAAGAGGTTTCATGTGAACATCAGCACAGAGCAAACCCTGCCAACCAGCCAGGGGGTCGTCAAGTCGCCCTTACCTGGGGGACGCTGGGGACCACATGGGAGTCTGAGGCCACCTGCCTTCCATCTCTGTCATAGCCTAGCATACTCCTGGGAGACGACTCTGCTATGGGAACATCAGAAACGTTACTGGGGCTGAAGGAGGAGGAAGAGGCAGAGATGGCTCACAGCTGACCCGAAGCAGCCCAAAGTGATCCCATGGGAGTGCCTCCAGACAGGCAGGACAATGGAAGTGGGTACTGGGAGGAGCCAGCTGTGTGTGCTCCTCCCAGTTTTGGAAACAGCAGTTTTGGAAACTAAAAATACTCCATGATGTCTTGGCCCCACGGCATTCTATGACAGATGCCCAATAAACCCGGGCAAGAGAAGAGGCGTCAGCCCCGGGCACCCTCATGCAGCCAGGCCTTCTCTGAGCACCTGAAGGCCAGCACCCTGTCTCATCCCATCGTCTGATGTGAGAGGGTCCCACAGCGCAGATCAATGGGGCTGGGTTCCAGCCCTGCTCCCACGGTGTCTCAAAAACTGTCACCCACTGCACCTGCAGCTATTCCGGTGCTCTCCATCTAGGGAGCTCTTTCTGACTAGCTTTTCCCAGGGTTGCCGTAAAGAGGCAACCAGAAAAGCCAAGCAAGCTGACATGGGGGCCTCGCCTGAGCTGAGACCCTCATGTGACAAAAGAAACTCGTGGGTAGGCCAGGGCATGAGCCAGACCTATGCGCCGTGGGGAAGGTGGCAGCAGCGGATGGAGCCTCTGGGGAGGTTGGGGCCGCCCGCACATGTACACGTGTCTCCTTTGCACACCCCATGTGGAAACTCACAAGGGAACAACACCCAAATCAGATTCCTAAGGAGCCCCAATCCAGTCCCTGTCACGTGTCCCCAAGCCGTATGTAACATCTGACTCCCCTCCTCATATCTCCATGCCCACCTTCAGGGCTAGGAGGTTCACTGTCAATCGCACTCTCTCTACTTCTAAATGGCTCCAACCTCCAGGAAAGGTCACTTTTGCCAAACTAGAATCTGTCTCCTTGGAGCTTCCCCCATGAGTTCCACACTCTGGAAAGAGTATGGACTTGGAGTACAAGTTATATCATTTGCAAGTTACTGAAGCTCAGTTTGCTCATCTGCCAAAGGGGCCCATGGGACGGACACATCTCAGAGCACGAAGTCAGAGTCCGTGGAGCGCCACAGGCAGCCCAGCGTGGTCAGGGCTGGCACTCCAACACAACCTCTCATTTCCACCCTTTTGGGAAGATGCTCTTGCTTCTGCCCTGTCCCTTATCTTCCTCAGGCTAAACATCACCAGTTCTCTGCGTGCACAGCTTCTGACCCCAGAGCCAGCTGCCCCGACCCCTCTTAAAGTCTGGCGTCTAGAAATAAATGTGGCCTGGGACTACGGGGTCCCGCCTGCGGCTGATGTGCGCTGAGGTTTCCGTTAGGAGGCTCAGGGGAGTCCTGATTCATAGTGTGCCCATCCCCCAAGAAATCCTGGGCTGAGAAGGAACCTCAGACCTCACAAGATCAGTCCGGCTCCCTTAGAAGGGACACTGAGGCATGCAGATAATGAAATGAGAAGCAAAGCAAAGGTGTTTCCACAGAGACGCAGTGGCAGCCAAGAGCCACAAGGGAAAGCCCCACAGCAGGTCTTCAGGGATTGCCCTGGTACCTGGCGCTCCCAGCAGTCACAGCGCCCCCCCCACCGCACTGCTCTGCTATAGCTGAAGTAAGGCTGGGTTTTTGTGGGCATCTTGTAACCTTGCTGAAGAAAAGCAAGGGCTGGGGTGGGTCCACCGGAACGTGTGCAGACCCTCAGCCACTGGAGAGTCCAGGAGCTGTGACGTGTCCCTGCAACATCCCAGCACCCACCAACTGGGGCTTTATCCATTTCCCCAGAGGACTTCATCTCTCTAGAGTGTTAGCATGTGGCTCCTTCTAGAACTCAGTAGGTTTTAATTAAGTCAGGGGCATCCAGTCTTTTGGCTTCCCTGCACCACATTGGAAGATGAAGAATTGTCTTGGGTCACACATGAGATACACTAACAATAACTGATGAGCTTTAAAAAATTGAAAAAAAAAAAAAAGCTCATAAGAAGCTTAACAATTTGTGTTGGGCCCATTCAAAGCCGTCTTGGGCCACATGCAGCTCATGGGCCAGAGGTTGGACAAGCTTGAATTAAATCATGACAGACTCCTGCTGTGTCTGGGCCCTACACTGGATGCTAAAGGATCCCTTACAGATAAAAGGATCTTTAAGAAATGCTTTTATGCCTTAACAGATGAAAGACGAGGGTGCGGATGCAGAAGGTTCTGGGGCAAGGAAGCCAGGCAGCACCTTGTGAACGCAGGGTTCAGCAGGAAGCTGTTACCTGTCATTGACGAGGACGTGCCCTGCTCCATCACGGCCCCTCGAGTGGGGGCCAGTTCTGACTTCTCCACCTGGAGAAAGAAACACAAAAAGAGAAGAGCCGTGAGACTCACAGGTCAGCATCTCAACAGCTGTATCTGCAAATCCACTCCCCTCATCTCAAGCTGCCCCTGGGCTGCCCCAGCCCCTGTGTGTGCATGGATGGGGCTGAGTCACCTGACGCTGCACAAGCATGACCCCAAACAGGGGTCACTTGTTGCAAAACATGCATGGGTGAGTCAAACACACGTGGGTGGGTCACCAAGAGAGGGACGGGCCCTGAGTGAGGGCGGCTCTGCATAGCCAAGATGCCTGCCCACCCCCGGGCCTGCGCCCGGGCTCCGGCCCCTGACCCAGGGCAGTGTCTCTGGGACAAGGCAGCTACTCACCAAGGGCTGGGGCAGCTGGACACGCCCTGAGACCGCCTCCTTAGGCACTGGGGGCAGGGCCAGGTCCCCCCCGCAGACCTCTGAGCGGGGCTGGTCCCCTCTCAGGGGCTCCAGGGTGAAGTCTCTGTCGCCCACCTCCACAGGGGTCCCAGCTGAGGCTGAGGAGGTGGGCACGTGCTCCTGGTAGAGCAGAGTCCGCAGCTTCTCGTCCAGGCTCTTGATGGTGCTGTCCACAAAGCCCACCCTGGGGGGCGGCCCTTCCCCATCCGACTCCAGGGCCGAGGGTGGCTGTGGGGGGACGGTGGGCCCCAGGGGTGGGCTTGGGAGCTGGGAGGTGGCCAGGCTGACGGCCCCCACTGCGGCAGGAAGCAGGGGAGCAGGTTGACCCAAGGCGGGCTGTGGGGTCCCGCTGTGGGGGCTGGGCTCAGGTGCAGGAGGTGGCAGGGGCTCCCTTGGGGCACTGGCGTCCCTGGTTGAGGCAGCCTCTGGAGCTGGAGTGCAAGGTGCTAGGCCCACCACGAGGGGCTGCACAGCAAGCGGGGCCTCGTGAGTCTCCGCTAGTGGCTGAGACGTCTCGAGCTCACTGGTCAGCCCCTGAGGTGTCCCTGGACCCCCTGCCTGGCTGGCAGTTCCTGACGCTGGCTCTGGCATGGTGCTGGTGGCTGGAGCTGCTCCATCTTGGGGCAGAGCAGTCACAGGAGGGGAGGAGGGGGCCAAAGGGGCTGGGGGTGCCCCAGGAGGGTTGCTGGGGCCCGCCTGGCTCAGGAGCTGCTGACTGGCTAGAAAGCTGGGTTGTTCCTTCGAGGACAGCTGGTCTTTATAGGGCGCTGAATCTAGAAGAAATGGGGAAAATGCCTTTGTACCAGGGTACTCCAGTCCTATCTACCTGTTTCTTCCTTGGCTAAAAAGATGCCTTACACAGCTGGCCATGGCCCCAGCGTGCTGGTCTTCTCTGTTTCCCGACACGCCAGGCTCCTGCCTGCCTGCAGCTCAGCCCAGCCTTGGCTGCTGCTTCCTGTAACGCCTCCCACAGGTCTCTGAGCCACCAGCTTCGCAACTCCAGGTCCCTGTTCCCATAGTGTCCCTTGTGGCTGAACCAGCACCACCCTTCCTTCTGTGTCTTCTGTAGCGTGTGACCATCAGCTGTGGCTGTTGCCTGTCTGTCATCTGTCTGTCCACACCCTCACCCGCACAGACAGCTCCAGAAAGATACGGCTCTTGTCTATCTTGCACTGGACAAAAGTTATTCAATGAAATTTCAAAATTAAAGAGTTTAAGTAGTGAGCTGTACACACTTCCATGCCCAGGAGTGAGCAGGAGCCTGAAGCCTTCAGACCCCCAGTCTTTGGTATGGTCAGAAGCGCAGCCAGGGCTGGTCAGTGACCCTGTGGGAGGAATCCAGAACCCCAGCAGTATAACCAAGTCTCCCAGTGCCTTGTGCAGGAGCTCATGGAGCCTCCACCAGGCTCACAGGGACTGCGGGCATCTGAGAGGTGGCAGGACGGTGTTTCTCAAACTTGGCCTTGGAGCCCAGTTTTCCTTACTTGAAAATGCAACCCGACCTTTCTTTTTTTTTGGAGATGGTCTGGCTCTGTCACCCAGGCTGGAGTGCAGTGGTGCAATCTCGCCTCACTGCAACCTCTGCCTCCCGGGCTCAAGCAATCCTCCCACCTCAGCCTTCCTTGTAGCTCGGACCACAGCTGGATAATTTTTGTATTTTTCATATGAGACTGGGTTTCACCATGTTGCCCAGGCTGGTCTTGTACTCCTGGGCTCAAGCAATCCGCTGGCCTCAGCCTCCCAAAGTGTTGGGATGACAGGTGTGAGCCCCCACGCCCAGCCCACTTTGTCTTTTTAAAAAACACAAAGAAAATGAACACAAAAAAAGAAAACTGTTCAAAAAATAAAAGGTGAGAATGGGGAGATTAATAGGACCCTGATGCCCTCCCTCGTGCCCCCAGACTCCCTTGGTCCCCATCCCCTGCCTGGCCCAACAAAGGTAAACTAATTTGACCAAAATTTCCTCCACTGCTCCTTTCCGGCCTTACCGTTCGTCTGTCTAAACATGATGGTCGTGCTGCACGTTCTATCAATGGAATGGTACTCTATTCTGTGGTGCCTGGCCTCTCTCACCGTGTTTGTGAGATGTGTCCTTGTTATTGTTTGCACAACTGCACCATGATGCACGCATCCATTCTGTGTTGGTACTCACTGGGCTGTGGCTGGGTGGGACCACGACTAACACTGAGGCACAGTGCGTGCAGGCCCGTGTCCTGCCAGGCACACGCCACTGGGGAGCTGCTGGTCACTGATCCCCTTTAGCTTTATGTAAGGGTGCCAAGGTGCTTCCCCAAGCAGGAGCCAATGCCCCCACCATCGGCAGCCTCTGAGCACCCCTAGGGCTGTGTGATGGCGTCTTATTGTGGCTCTTTATTGTTTTTTAATTATGGAAAAAACATTTAAGATGAGATCTGCTGTCTTAACACATTTTTAAAAGCATGATACTCTATTGTTAACTATAGGCACTATGTTGTGTGGCAAAGCTCTAGAGCTTACTCAGCTTATATAACTGAAACTTTATGCCCTCAATGGTAACTCCGTTTCCCTCTCCCTCCAGCTGCTGGCAACTTCCATTCTGCTCTCTGCTTTGACTGTTTTTGACTTTGACTGTTTTAGATACTGCATATGAGAGGAATGAATCGTGTAGTCTTTCTGTGCCTGGCTTATTTCATATAGCATAATGTCCTGTAGGTTCATCCATGTCGTCGCAAATGGTAGTTTCCTTGTTTTTGTGGTTAAACAGTACTCCACTGTGCAAACATATCACATTTTCTTTATCCATTCATCTGTGAAGACACTTAGGTTGTTTCCATATCTTGGCTATTGTGAATAACGCTGCAATGAACACAGGAGAGCAGGTATTTCTTCCAAACCTTGTTTTCAATTATCTTGAATATATACCCAGCAGTGGGATTGCTGGATCATACGGTAGTTCTATTTTAATTTTTTGAGGAAGGTCCACATTGTTTTCCATAATGGTTGTAGTAATTTACACTCACACCACACTGCACAAAGGTCCCCTCTCTCCACATCCTGGCCAATACTTGCAGTCCTTTGTTTTTGAGAGCAGTGATCTTAACAGGTGTGAGGTGATAGCTCAGTGTGGTTTTGATTTGCATTTCCCTGATAATACTTAATTCAATTGAGTACCTTCTCCTGTGTTCACTGGCCATCTGGGTATCTTCTTTTAGGACACACCTGTTCAAGTCTCTTGCCTGCTTTTCTACAGAGCTGTCATTCTTTTCTTTTTAATTTGTGGTTCTTCATGATGCTGGGTAGAGAACTGTCTGGGGGCTATCTGTACTACAGAATCTCTCGCTCCGTGACTCGCCTATGTGCTCGATTAGTGGTGTCTTTTGATAAACAATAGTTTTTTATTTTAATACAGTCAAATTTAACCAATTTTTAGCCAGTCTTTCCATTTGCATATTTTGTTGAACTTTAACGTATGTGTTCTACGTGGGGGCCATAATGATACTGCCTCTTATTACTTCTAGGAACTTTACTGTTTTCCCTTTTACATTGAGATTCACAAGCGACTTGTTACTGAGTTTTGTGTGTGGTATGAGGATCATCTCCCTGTGTGGACAGCCTACTATCCCAACTCTTTCTGTTGAGAAGACCACCCGGTCTCCACTGTTTGACAATCGGACCTTTCTTGTCAACCACGTGTCCAAAGATGTGGGCCTGCTTCTGAGCTGGCTTGACTCCATTGCTCAATTTCTCTACCCTTGTTCTAGGACCAGATTGTCTCTGTGACTCCAGGTTTATATGAGTCACAACATCTGGGAGAATGGTATCCTTCCCCTAGAAGCTGTCTTGGTTTTTACTGGTTTTTGCATTTCTGTAAAGAGTATATAATCAGTGTGTTGATGCTCATTTAGAAATTGTTAGAATCTGAATCTGCAGATCTGTTTGGGAAGAAGTGTTTATAATACTGAATCTTCCAGTCCATGAATATGGTACATATCTTCCTACTCATTTCTTTTTAAAATTTCTCTCAATGTTTTGTAGTTTTTGGTATACAGATGTTACATACTTTTCGTTAGATTCATACACTGGTGTTTGGCATTTTTGTGTTACTATAAATTGAATTTTTCAATATTCTTTATTTTCTGATTGTTGTTGGTATACAGAAAGATAACTGCAGTCTGTAGCTACTTTGCTAACTTATTAATTCCAATTTATCTGTAAATTTAAATCTCTATGTATATAATCATGTTATCAGCCAACAGTGGTAGTTTTATTTCTTCCTTTCCAATCCTTATCACTTTTTAAAACAGTAATTGTTTTAATACCATTAGATATTGAGGCAAAATGATAAAATTATAGTGTTACCAAAAGGCCACGATTATTTCTACTTCAAAATAGAAAGAGTTTTAGCAAATGTATTCCTTGGAAATAACTGCTATTTAGCCCAGTAATTTTATAGGTAGAGCTTCTGAGTCAAAGAAGTTATCTTGCTTTGTCCAAATTCTTAACAAAAAATAGTAATGCTAAAAGGAATATTACCTTTTATGTAACATTATATAGAATTATATTGATCAGAACAATCATTCAGCTCTGCGTGTCTACTATGTGACATGCATTATGTATTTATTTCCATTTACAGAGTGGTTGATATTGGAGTAGATAATAGAAAAACACCAACCTCAAGTTGGTATCAACTCAAATAAGCAAACATTTTCTTTGGAAGACCTTGTTTAGAAATCAATGGCATTTTCTTCAAATGAAAAATAAAGTGTTTGTGACACCACCATGACACTTCCTTATACATATTTACAAAAAGTGGTCAGGGCATTGGCTCTTAAACTGGGCTGCAGGTTGGGTCCTACCCCCAGAAATCCAGATTTACCTGCATGAAGCAGGGCGTGAGCTTCTTCAGTCCCACTGCTTTCCCTTCTTTTTCTTTCTCCCTTTTTACCTCTCCCCCTTCCCTTCCTTTCCTGCCCACCCCCCGCTCCCCTGCAATATCTAGGACACAGGATACTTAATAGAAGTGCTGAGAATAGGCATCCTTATCTTGTTCCCCATCTCAAAGAGAAAGCATTCCACATTTCACCATTAAGAATATTTGCTGGTTTTGTTTTGTTTGTTTTTTGTAAAAACAGAATTTCCCATCTATTGGGATATAGTGAATAAATTTATTCGAATTAAGTTAAACCAACCTTGCATTCTGAAATCACTGCAACTTAGTAACTTGTCATACATACTCTTTTCATGTATCACTAGATTTAATTTGCTACTATTTTGTTTAGTATTTTGCAAGTGTTGATGGGAGAGGAAGAGATTGACCTGTTATCTTCCTATTTTATAATGTTCTCAGTCAGATTTTTGTGTCAAAGTTACGCTAGTTTGATAAAACAAGCTTCTTTGTTCTCTGGACGAGTTGGGTTAGATCAGAATTATTTCTCACTTAAGTATCTGTGGTAAAGCCATCAAGCTGAAACTTTTCCTTATAGGAAGGGTTTTTCCCCCTTATACACACCTCTGTGTGTTGACACTCACTGAGATGGAGGCCAAGAGGTCCAAACATATGTGCCTGATTTCTTTCTCACTGCCTTTTCTTCAACTATGATTTCTCTTTCCCTAACATTTGAGTGAGTCCATCTTTCTCATTATCGTGAACACTTCTTGGTTTTTTAACTATGCAGCATCCATTTGCTTCCTTGTTGGGTAGTGGCACTCCAAATTTCCTCTTGGGAACAACTGTCCCCTACTTTAACTCCAGGGCTATGCCTGCAATTTGGGCACAAGTCAGTGTACATTCCAGCCACCAGCCACAACTGCTTTAGAGAATGTGTCCTTGTTCTGCATAATGGGAGTCAGGGCCAGATGTATGAAACCTTTCAAAAAGGGTCTCTATTTTCTACCTGAAAGACTATACACACTGAGTTGTTCCAGCAATCTTGTCACCATGAAGGGTAGACATGAGAAGGCTTCTAATGACTGATTTGACTTTTTAATGTTTATAGCACCTTTCAGATTTTCTATTTCTTCTTAAGTTTGGTAAGTTGTAGTTCCCTAAGACATAATCCAAAGAAATTTTCAAATTCTTATATTTGTCTTAATGTTTGTAGGACTGTAGCAGTGTCTCCCCCTTTTCATCCCTAATATTGATTACTTATGTCTTTCTCTCTCCTTTAGTCAGTCTCATCACAGGGGGCTTACTAATGCTATGAGCCATTTCAAAGAACCGTTGCTAAGCTCTGTTGATACCCTATTGTATATTTGTTTACTATTTCATTAATTTATGTTCTTATCTATTTTACTTTCTCCTTTCTTTATTTGGGTTCCATTTTCTCTTATGCTAACTTTTTGCACTACATACTTTTATTACTATCAGACTTTTCTCCTGTCCAATATATGCATTTAAAGGCTACAAAGTTTCTGCTCAATATGCTGTTAACTGCATTTCACAAATTTTGATACGTAATATTTTCATTAGCATGATGTTCATATCATCATTCAGAATGTTTTATTAGTTTCCATTGTAATTTCTTCTTTGCCGAATGAGATATTTATAAATGCACTGCTTAACTATCAAATGTGGATATTTTCTAGTTATCTTCTAGTTAATGAGCTTGGGTTTACTTCCAACTTTAATCAAAAGCATGCATCAAGTGATTTTGATTCTTTGAAACTTGTTGAGATTTGTTTTGGGTCTGCGTAAAGTTAAATTAAAAATATTCTGTGTGCATGAAAAAACAGTGCATTCTTCAGCTACTGAGTACAGTGTCCTGTATATATAAGATACTAATTCTGTGGTTGAAATTTTCTCTATCCCTACTGAGTGTCTCCTATTCCAAAAGCTGAAATCTCCCATGATTGTAAATTGCTCCATTTGTTTTAGTTGTGTTAATTTTTATTTTATGCATTTTGAGGGCTTATTACTAAATATAAGCAAACATTAAATTATTATATCTTCCTGGCCAGTTGAATCTTTCACCATTATGTTTTTGCCTTAAAATCTACATTGATATAAAAATATAGACATTAGCTTCCTCTAGGTGAGTATTAGTGTGCTCTTTTTCCATTTTTGTTTTTTACTCTTAATCTTTTTATAATCTTATGTCTTTGTTCTGTTTTTTTTTTTTCACTTTTGAGAATCTTTGAGATTTAGTCCATTTACATTTAATTACTGATCTACTTGGGTTAAAACTAGCATCTTACTAAAGATTTCTATGTGTTCTCCATGTTCAGTGTTGCTGTTTCTTTCCTTCTTTGCCATATTTTAAAAAATTCCTTCCCCACCTGCCCCCTCCACAAGTGTGGAGGTTATCTGCTATTCTACGAGTCTCACAGGGGTTATTCTAGAGACTATCATTTGCATTCTTGATTTGGCTCTCTGCCTAGGCAACATGGAATCCTGGAGCCCTTTAAATGCATTTCCTGCCTCCTGATAAATATGCCCCATTTTCATGCATTTTAACATGCCAAACATTTTAAACCTCAAGACATTATTTTTTCATCCAGTCAAAATTCACTTAGATCTACTCATACATTTATAATTCCATCAGTTTTTGTTCCTACCTGCATTCTGGCCTTTCATCTGCAGTCATTGTTCTTCTGTCTAAAAATATTCCCTTTAGTATTTCTTTAATTGAGCTGTGAAGGTGATGACTGCTTTTCTCTTCATTTCATCTTCATGGAAGTCAGATCCTTTTACCGATATTTGAGGTTGGGGCTTATTTCCTTCAGCACTGCGAGGACAGCACTATTCCTTGTCCACTGGCATATGTTATCTGTACTGAGACAGGGGCTTCCAAACCTTTAAAGGACCTGTTTTTTCTTGGGCATCCTTTAAATTTTCCCATGTGCCTTTGATTTTCAGCACTTTATGATATATGTAAGTGCAGATTTCTTTTTTAACTTACAGAGTTTGGAAGTTTCTTGAATTAGTGGCTTCATGCCTTCCAATTCTCTGCATTATCTCTTCAAACTTGTTTTTGCTGCATTCTCTTGTTTTCTGGGACTCCAATTACATGATGTTTGACCATCTCACTGTAATCTCTATATTTCTTAGCACCTCTTTTCTATTTTCTACTGTTTTCATTATCCTTATTTTACTTTAGTTTCTTTAGAGCTTGCCGATTCTCTCTCTGGCAGTGTACAATCCATCCTCTGATGTCTTAATTTTAACTAATGTATTTTTCAGTTCTACAACTTCCATTTAGCTTTTTTTTTGGCATAGTTTCTAATTCTTTGACAAAAATTTCAATCTAGTCATTTGTTTCTTTTAATGCAGTAGGCAAACTTAGTTCTCAGTCTGATAACTCCACCATTGGGAACCTCTGCTGACATGCTCTGTTACTGCTGTTTGGATCTTAATAGCTTTATTTAGGTATAACTGCTACAATAAGTTGCACATATCTAAGTTTTGACACAGGCATATAAGTAAAATCATCACAATCTAATGAACATAGTCATCACCCTCCTGGATGTTTCCTTGTGAACCTTGTGTCTGTTCTTCCCTCTCCTTTCCTGCCACGCCTTTGTTCCCAACTACTGATCTGCTTTCAGCCACCACAAATAACTGCATTTTCTAGAATTTTATATATGTCCAGTCACATGGCAAGCATTCTTCCTTGTGTCTTTTCATTCAGCATAATTATTCTGAAAATCATCCATGCTGCAATGTGTATCAACAATTGATTCCTTTTTACTGCAGAGTAGCATTATAGTGTATGGGTAGACCACAAAGTGTTTCACAAAAGCATGTGGAAAAATTCAAAGAATGTTAGAGAAAAAACAGGTTCTTTAAAAGTTTGGAAGCTTCTGCCACAGTACAGACAACATATGCCAGTAGACAAGGAATAGTGCTGTCCTCACAGTGCTGAAGAAAATAAGCCCCAGCCTCAAATCCTGGGGAAAGGATCTGACTTCAATGAAGATGAAATTAACACAAAAGCATTCATGAGCTGCACATTTCAACTCAAGAAATGTGAAGGATAGACACCTAAGCCGTTTCCAGGTCTTGGCTATTATCAATAACGCTGCTATGAACATTCCTTTGCAGTGTATAGGCATCTGTTTTAACTAATTTTGGTTAAGTACACAGAAGTAAAATGGGTGGATCACATGGTATCTGCACATTTACTTTTTAAAGAAATTAACAAACTGTTTTCCAAAGTGGCTGTACCATTTCATACAGTGCCTAAGAGTTCCAGCTCCTCCATGGCCTCGCCAACACATGATCTGTTAAAGTTTAGTTATTTTAATAGTGTACGGTGGTGTCTCATTGTGGTATTAATTTGCATTTCCCTACTGAATAACCATCTTTTCATACACCCCTTTGGCATCCACATATCTTTGGTGAAGCATCTGTACCAACCTTTTCAATAGATCGTTTATTTTCTTACTACTGTCTTTTGAGAGTTCCTGATATCTGGATACAAGACCTTTATCACATATGTGCTTGGAAAATATCTTCTCCTAGTCTCTAGCTTATGTTTTCATTCATTTTGTGTCTGTCAAGGAGTAGACAGTTTAAACTTTGACGAATTCAGTTTACTAATTTTTTGTTTTACAGATCATGCTTTGATGTTGTATCTTAGAAATCTCTGCTGACCCAAGGTTACATAAATTTTCTCCTAGGTTTTCTACCATAAGTTTCATAGTTTTCAGTGTTACATTTAGGTCTGCATTCTATTTTGAGTGGATTTTTGTATATAGTATGCAGTATGAATAAACATCCTTTTTTGTGTGTGTGTATAAGGATGATCAACTGTTACAAAGCTGAAAAGACTGTCCTCACTTTCCTGAAAGTCATTTAAATGTTTATCAAAAACCAAACATCTGTAGGTTGTGTGGGTTGATTTCCAGACTATTTCATTTTGTTGATCTATCTGTCTGTCTTTGCATCAATACCACATTGTCTTGATTACTGTAGTTTTATAATAATTATTGAAATCTGGTATTGTTAGTTCTCTGATTTAGTTCTGTTTCCAATTTTCCATGCCCTTTGTGTTTTCATGTGAAATTCAGAGTTGGCTTCTCAGTTTCTACAAAGACTGCTGGTCTTCTGACTGCAGCTCATTGGCTCTGTCGGTCAATTTAGGGAGAATTAGCACTGTAACAATACTGTGTCTTCTGACCCATGAACAGGGCGCTTGTTTGGATCTTCTTTAATTTCCATGAGCATTGTTCTGCTGTTTTCACTGTACAGATCTTGCACATATTCTGTCAGGTTTAACCCTAAATAATCCATACAAAAATAATTTTCAGAATTTCAATCTTTGATTGTTGTTAGCATACAGAAATACAACAGCTTTTCATATATTGATCATGTATCTTACTACCCAGCTCACTTATTGATTCTAGTTGTGTTGGGGATTCCATTTGTTTTTCTACACAAACATGTTTTCTGCAAATAAAGATGGGTTCAGTTTTTCCTTTTCAATCTGGATGTGTTTTATGCCCTTTCCTTATGAACTGCCCAGAAGCTCCAGTAAAATGAGGAAGAGAGGTGGAAGAACAGACATCCTCACCTAGTTCCCAATCTTTGGGGGATGCTTTTCGGCTGTTCACCATTAAGTATGATGTTGCCTGTAGGATTTTGTATATTCCCTTCATCAGGGTGAGGAAGTTCCTTTCGATTCCAAGTCTTCTGAAGATGTTTATAATTGTTGGGTTTTGTCAACCGCTTTTTCTACATTTATTGAGACAACCATATGAATTGTTTTTCTTTGTTTTCTAGTTGATCAATATGGTGAATTACACTTCTATAGCTTTTTGAACATATGAACTACAGTTATAGTAACTGTCTTAATGTACTTAATCTGCTCATCCTAATGTCTGTATCAGTTATGGTTTGGTTTAGAAGGTAGGGTTTTTCTTATGTTGTCCTGTCTCATAATTTGGATTGGATGCCAGATAATGTAAAATTTAACATATTGGGTGCTGGATGAATTTGTATTCCTATAAACATTCTTGAAGTGTGTTGTGGGATGCAGTTAAGTTACCTTGAAACAATTGGATCTTCTCAGATCCTGCTCTTAAGATCTGACAGGTGAGGTAAGAGAAGCACTTAGTCTAGGGCTAATTATCCTCCAGGACTGAGGCAAGCGCCTTTTTTGTACTGTACCCAAAACCCCTTGAATTATAAGGCTTTCCAGCTGGCTGGCAGGAACAGACATTCCCAGGCCTGTGTGAGTTCCCGGGTCCACTCCCTCTGATCCTTCGTGGTGGGTCATTCCTCAGCCTGGGTGAGTTTCCTCACACACAGTGCTCTGCGAAATCATCCAGGGGAATCACCCGTTATCTTCAGACTCTTCTCTCCGCAGCTCTCTCCTCTCCAGAACTCCGCCTTGGAAATTCTTGACATTTGGGTCTCTCCACACTCTCAGCTTGGTCTCCTCACTCCACAATCTCCCAAGCTCTGCCTGGGCTCTTCCTTCCCTGCTCTGGAATAGAAACTTTTTCAAGGCAGTAGGCTGAGATAACTGTAGTGACTTTTTTTCAGTCTTGCAGGGTCCTTCACTGACTGATGTTCGAAGCCTTGAAAAAAACATTGTTATATAAATTTTGAATGCTTTTTAAGTTGTTTTCTGAAGGAAAACAAATCTAGAGACTATTATTCCATCTTGGCCTAAAGCAGAAGTACAAGGGCCCTTTTTATTGTTGGTGGTTTCTGCTGCTTCTCTTTTATGCTATCTTATTTCTGTCTCATTATCTGCCTGGTCATCTTTTTTCAACACAGGTAAACTTAAAAGAACTTTAAAACTTACCATACAGTAAAATTAACTTTTTCTTTAGGGGTAGAGTTCCATGAGTTTTGACACACATGTATCCATTTAGTTACCACCACAATCAGGATAGAAAACAATTCCATCACCCCAAAACACCTCCTTGCATGTTCCCTATATAGGAACATTCTCCTAGTCTCTGGCAAGCACTGACCCTGTTCCTTATCATTATAGTTTAGCATTTTAGAATGTCATTATAAATGGAATTATACAGTATGAAGCCTTTTGAGATTGGCTTCTTTCACTCAGCTTAATGCCTTTGAGGTTCACCCATGTTGATCAATTTACCAATGATATATTTCTTTTTCAAAGTACCATAGTTTTTATCTATTCACCCACTGCAGGAAAACTGGTTTGTTTCCAGTTTTGGCAATTGGGTAATTATGAGTAAAACTACAATCATTCATACATAGATGTTTAAGTGAACATAAGTTTTCATTTTTCTAGGGTAAAAACTGAGTAAAATTGCTATGACATATAGCAAGTATATCTTTTATAATAAACTGCCTCACTGTCTTCCAGAATGGCTATACCATTTTACATACCCCCAGAAATGTATGAGTTCCAGCTGTTCCACAGCCACACCCAGATTTGATGCAGTCAGTCTAGTCATTCTAACAGGTGTGCAGTGATGCCTCCCTGTGGCTGCTTTAATTTGCATTTCCCCAGTAGTCAATAATATTGAACAACTCTTCATGTACTTAATTACCATCCTTATATCCTGTTTGGTGAAGTATCTGCTCATCTGCTCAAGTGAGTTGCTCATTTTTTTTTTTTTTGAGACGGAGTCTAGCTCGTTCGCCCAGGCTTGAGTGCAGTGGCGCGATCTCAGCTCACTGCAACCTCTGCCTCCTGGGTTCAAGCAATTCTCTGCCTCAGCCTCCTGAGTAGCTGGGATTACAGGTGCCCGCCACCACGGCCGGCTAATTTTTGTATTTTTAGTAGAGATGGGGTTTCACCATCTTGGCCAGGCTGGTCTTGAACTCCTGACCTCATGATCCACCCGCCTTGGCCTCCCAAAGTGCTGGGATTACAGGTGTGAGCCACTGCACTCAGCCAAGTTGCTCATTTTTTATGCTCATTTTACTGTTGAGTTTTGAGAATTCTTTAAATATTCCTAGCACAGACACTATGTTGGATATGTGATTTGCCATTATTGGCTACCAGTCTGTAGCTTGTCTTTTCATTCTCTTAACAGTAGTTTTCACAGAGCAAAAGATTTTGACATTGTCTAATGTATCCATTTTTTCTTTTATACATCATACTTTTGGTGTCAGGTCTAAGAACTCCTGCCTGGCACAGATCAAAAATGATTTTTCTCCAATGTTTCCTTATAAAACTTACACAGTTTTTGCATTTTACATTTGATCCACTTTGAATTAAGTTTTGAGTAAAATGTGAGGCTTAGGGTAAAGGTTCATTTTTCTGCATAAGGATGACCGACTGTTCCAACATCTATTGAAAAGATTATCTCTTCTTGGATTGCTTTTGCATCTTTGTCAAAATCAAATGGTCATATTTGTGTGGGTCTATTTCTGGGCTCATTCTGTTCCACCGATGTGTGTACCAATCCCTTTGCCAATATTATACTGTCTAGATTACTGTAACTTTATAGTAAGCTTAATATTCAGTAATGTGATCCCTCTAACTTGATTCTCCATTTTCAAAATGATTTTAGCCATTTCTATTTCCTTTGTACTTCCATATAAATTTTAGAATGTCAATATCTACAAAAAGTAATCTGCTTTAACTTTTGTTACTGCAATGCATCTACAGATCCATTTGGGTAGAAGTGACATTTTTACTATGTTGAGTCTTCCAATCCATGAACACAGTATGCTTCTCTATTTAGTTAGGTAACCTTTGATTCATTTCATCGGTACTTTGTAGTTTTCAGCATACAGATTCTGCATGTTTTATTAAACTTGGATCTATGTAAATCCTTTTGGGGGAGCTCCTATAAATGGTATAGCCTTCAAATTTTGGGTTTTCAATTGTTCACTGCCAGTATATACAAATATTGAGGTATTTTTGTATGATGACTGCGTATCCTATGGTATTGCTAAACTCACTTATTAGTTCTAGAAGTTGTTGCTGTAGAATCCATGTCATCATCTACATATGAAATCATGTTATCTGCAAATAAGATAGTTTTATTTCTTTCTTTTTAATCCACATGCCTTTCACTTCTGTTTCTTGCTTGTCTTTAAATCTGGCTAAGACAGTTCAATGCTGAATAAGATAGGTGAAAACATATTCTTGCCTTGTTTCTCAATCTTAGGGAGAACACATTTGGTCTAAATATGCTGGAAACGGTGGGTTTTTATGTTGTGTGTATGTATGTGTGTTTTAAATTAATCAGACTGAAGAAGTACCCTTATTTTCCTAGTTTGCTAAGAATTATTACTTTTTTTTTTTAAGATACCTGGGTCTTGCTATGTTGCCCAGGCTGGAATGCAGTGGCCATTCACAGGCACAGTCTTAGCACACTGCAGCCTCAAACTCCTGGCCTCAAGTGATCCTCCTGCCTCAGCCTCCCAAGTAGCTACAACTATAGGCATGTGCAATTGTGCCTGGCTTGTTTGCCAAGGATTTTTGTCATGAATGGATGTTGTATTTAGTCAACTGATTCTGCTGTGTCAACTGTTATGATCATATGTTTCTTCCTTCTTTAGACTATTAATATGGTGGACTGACTCTTCAATATTGCTCTCCCAGCATATACCCACTTTCTCATGGCACACTGTCCTTTTAATATAGTGCTGAATTTGACTTGCTAATATTTTGAGAATATTTGCCCTCTATGTTCATGAGACTTATTGGTCTATCATTCTCTTTTTTGGTACTGTCTTTGGCTGGTCCTAAAATCAGGGCAGTGCTGGCCTCGTAAAATGATTTGGGAAGTGTTCTTTCCTCCTCTATTTTCTGGAAGAGATTTTGTGGAAGTGGTATTGGTGTTGAATCTCTTTTAAATGTCTGGCAGAGTTCACCAGTGCAACTATTTTGGCCTGGAGAATTCTTTTTGGGGAGATTTTTAACAACAAATTCATTATTAAAAGAATGAATTTAAAAACAGGTACAGGGCTATTCAGATTATTCTATCTTAGATGAATTTTAGTAGTTTATGGCTTTTGAGGAATTAGTCTCTTTCACCTAAATTGTTTAATTTCTGTCTGTAAGCTTGTTCAGACTATTGCAGTATTATCCTTTTATCCTTTATCTACAGTAATATACCTCTTTTATTCCTGATATTGGTCTTTTATGTGTTTTTTTTCTTTTTTTTTTTTTTTTTTTTTTTGGTTGAGACGGAGCCTTGCACTGTTGCCCGGGCTGGAGTGCAGTGGCACGATCTCGACTCACGGCAAGCTCCACCTCCTGGGTTCACGCCATTCTCCTGCCTCAGCCTCCTGAGTAGCTGGGACTACAGGCACCCGCCACCATGCCCAGCTAATTTTTTGTACTTTTAGTAGAGACGGGGTTTCACCGTGTTAGCCAGGATGGTCTCGATCTCCTGACGTCGTGATCCACCCGCCAAAGTGCTGGGATTACAGGCGTGAGCCACTGCACCCGGCCTTATGTGCTTTCTTTAGTATTGGTATTTTGTTTTGTCCTTGCAGTCTTGCTAGAGGTTTATCATTTTACTAACGTTTTTAAAAATAAGTTTGTTTCATTGGTTTTTGCCTGTGATTTTTGTTTTAGATATCACAGCTTTCTGCTCTTGTCTTTATTTTCTTCATTATGCTTGCTTCGGATTTATTTTGCTATAGGTTTTCCTTGTTTCTTAAGGTAGAAGGTTGAGTCATTGACTTGAGACCTCTTTTCTCATCTAAGCATTTTAGTACTATAAATTTCCCTCTAAGTACTGCTTTAACTACATCCCACAAATTTATTATGCTGTATTTTCACTCTTGTTCATTTCAAATTGTTTTCTAATATTCCTTCCAACTTTTTCTCTTACTGTAAATTATTTAGAAGTGTTATTTAATTTTATATTACACTGTATCGGAGAACATACTTGACATAATTTCAATACTTTTAAATTTGTTAAGTTTTGTTTTATAACTCAGGATATATTAATTGTTCCATACGTACTTGAAAAATGTATTGTTTTTGAGTGGAGTGTTCTATAAATGTCAATTAGGTCAAGTTAGTTGATAGTGTTTTCAGATCTTCTATATTCTTGATAATTTTCTGTCTACTAGTTCTATCTATCGAGAGTGTTGGAGTCTCCAACTACAGTTGTGGATTTGTCTATTTCTGCTTTCAGTTCTGTTAGTTTTGAAGCTCTGCTTTTAGATGTATACACATTTAGGGCTGTTATGTCCTTTGAGGAATTTACTCTTTATAAATACGTAATGTCAGCCGGGCACAGTGGCTCACGCCTGTAATCCCAGCACTTTGGGAGGCCGAGGCGGGTGGATCATGAGGTCAAGAGTCGAGACCATCCTGGCCAACATGGTGAAACCCTGTCTCTACTAAAAATACAAAATTAGTTGGGCACAGTGGTGTGTGCCTGCAGTCCTAGCTACTCGGGAGGCTGAGGCAGGAGAATCGCCTGAATCTAAGAGGCAGAGGTTGCAATGAGCCAAGATCGTGCCACTGCACTCCAGCCTGTCAACAGAGCAAGACTCCATCTCAAAAACTAACTAACTAAATAAGTAAATAAATAAAGTCTCTTTTTAACCCTGGTAATTTCTTTGCTCTGAAGTCTATTTTGTCAGAAATTAAAACAGGCAACCCAGCATTCTTTTGATTTGTGTTTGCATGGTCTGTCTTTCACCATCCTTTTTCTTTTGACCTTTCAGTTCATCAGTATTGTTGTACTTGAAGTTTCTAATAGATAGCATGTACTTAGCTCAAGTTGTTTGGTTTTTAAATTTAATCCATTCTCATAATCATTTTTTAATTGACGTGTTAAAACTGTTAACTTGAGGTTAATTATCAGTATGCTTAGATTAAGGTCTACCATTTTACTGTTTGCTTTCGTTTTTTTCTCTCTGTTTTTTAATTAAAAATATTTTATTTCTCTTCTCATTTCCTCTTCCGGGTTATTTGAATTTTTTTTTTTTTTTTTTGAGACGGAGTTTCGCTCTTGTTGCCCAGGCTGGAGTGCAATGGCGCGATCTCGGCTTACTGCAACTGCCGCCTCTCGGGTTCAAGTGATTCTCCTGCCTCAGCCTCCTGAGTAGCTGGGACTACAGGCATGTGCCACCATACCCAGTTAATTTTGTATTTTTAGTAGAGACGAGGTTTCTCCATGTTGGTCAGGCTGGTCTCAAACTCCTGACCTCAGGTGATCCCCCCGAACTTGGGCTCCCAAAGTGCTGGGATTACAGTCATGAGCCACCATGCTCGGCCTTTGAATTTTTTTAGTTCATCTTATCTACTATGATTTTGCCTATACACATCTTTTTGTATAATTCTTTCAGTGGTTGCTCTAGGAATTCCAAAATATATACTTAACTTTTCACAGTCTACATGGAATTAGTAGTTTACCTTCCATTTGCCACACTGGTGGAATGGAAGGTTAAATTGTTATAATCTTTTTTTTACTTCAATTGTCAGAAATGTTTTAAAGAACTCGAGGAGAAGAATAGTCTATTATATTTACAACTTCTGTTGCTCTTCCTTCAGCCCGGATGTTCCAGGTTATCTTCTAGTCTCATTTCCTTTCTGTCTGAAGATCTTTAACAATTCTAATTTTAGAGTAGGTGTGCAGCCCATGAATTCCCTTAGTTTTCTTTATTTGAGAATGGCCTTACTTCAGCTTCATTCTTGAAGGGTATTTTCCCTGGAAACAGAATTCTAGATGGACAGTTTTTTCTTTCAACACTTTAAAAATGCCCTGCTGCTTTCTTCTGTACACCACACTTTCTGGCGAGAAATCTATAGTCACTCAAATCACTGTTCCAATCTAGGTAATGCATAATTTTTGTCTGGCTGTCTTTACTTTTCAGCAGATTGATTTGCATTTAACCTATTTGGGGTCTGCTTAGCTTCTAGAATCTGTAGACTTACGTCTTTCACCAAACTTGGGAAATTTTTAGCATTATTTCTTCAAATGTGTTTTCAGCACTGCATTCTTTCTCTTTCCCTTTTGAGACTCTAATGACACACAAGTTAGCCCTTTAGTTATTGTTCCGCAGTTCCCTGAAGCTCTGTTTATTTTTCTCTATCTTTCTCCCCTGTTTTCCAGTGGGACAATTTCAGGTATTTTAACTTTCAATGTTAAAAATTCCATTTGTTTCTTCTTTGCATCTTCTGTTTCTTTGCAGATACTACTTTATCATTTGTTTCAAGAATGTTTGTCATTGCTTTTTCAGTTATATTTATAACAGTTGCTTTAAAGTTTTTGTCAGATCATCCCAAAATCTACATCGTCTTGTCACTGGCACCATGGCTACCTTTTTCCATGCAAGTTAACATTTTCATGGCTTTTCATTTGATAAATTATTTTGAATTCTATTCTGAACATTTTCAATGACATTAGGAAATCCTGAGACTTGTTTAAACCTTATGATGAATGTTAATATTTTTGCTTCAGTAGGCAATCAACCTAGTTAGGTTCAGACTGCGAGTTGCAACCCGCCTTCTATGGGCTGTGGTTACATGTCAGTTCCACTTTCAATGCCTTCCCAGTACTAATCTCATCTGAAACAGGTGTACTGGAACCTGGGCGAGGTCTACTCATTAGCTCAGTTGCCCAAGTTTCTTATATGCTATTAGGGTCAGATGCATGCATGCACAGGTTGGGGGTGAGCCCAGGAGTCCATAAACAACTTTATAGGGTTACTTTCCCAAACTCCTTTTCTGTGCTCTCCATGATACTTCCTGGTTCCCTAGGACTCACCTTTCCAAACCTTCGAACAGAAACCACCCAATTCTGCGGCTGTGCCATGAATGACAAGGTGGCAAGAGGACAGAGAAAAAAAATGTGACAGGTTTTGGTTTTGTGCTCCTAGAGTCCTGGCTTCCTCAAATAAAGAATGGTTCTCTGCTCTCACTGTTTTGGCTCCTGCATGTTCCTGTTACCTGCTGCTCCTGTTACCTCCAGAACTGTCGGCGTGCTGGTGCAAGAGAAGGGGGGTGAGCAATGGGGAGGGGTTCTCTCTCTTCTCTGAGCTTTAGGAGTTGCCTTTCCTGGTCTGGGAGATGGAACTACAGGATCTCTCCTGGAGGCTTTCCTGCCTGCACCAAAGCATTTGCTTCTGCTCCTTGGGCTGTACTTCAGTCAGACCAGGAAATATCAGAGGAAATCATTCAACTCACCACCAGCTCAGTAGCACTTTGAATTCTGGGGTGCATCCCCAATCTTCCCACTGCTAAAATTTTCCCAAGTACTCAGACAGCTGTGTCACACATCAATCCAGGATTTACAGTGCATTTCAGTGGAAAGAAAAATGGATGTGTGTGCTTTCTCTACCTTACCCAGCACCCAACTCTTTGGTCATTTTATTATGTGCCAGATATTGTATTCACAAAATTGGTCATACAAGTCATGTGAGGCCCAGAATAATATTCCTTCCTGCAGAAAGGCCTTCCGTGCACATGCCTGAACCCACGGCACTCCAAGACCGTCCTAATGAGGGGCTGAGATGCTCTGAGGTGGGCTCCTCTCTCTGCAGGCCTATCTCCTTCCAGCTAGTCCTTCCTTCTCCAGTACAGCGCTTCAGCAGGACCACCCTCAGGGCCCTGGACTCTATAAGCTCATTTTCTCTAGCCTGATGAAGCTGCTGAAGCCACAAGGCCTCTCAGCCACCCCTGCAGGAATGGGAGATGCTCCCTGGGGAAAAGGAGCCAAAACTAGGTTCACATCCCTATGTCTCCATCCTTCCCAGGACCCCAGCCTAATAATTCTCCACTATGATCAGATTTCAAATGCCTTCACACAGATGACTTTTATCATTTTTTGGTTATTCTCAGTGGATGGTTTATCTAAATTAACAGATCTGCCACCAATTTTTCCTTTTTTTTAAATAGAAAAAAGACCAGCTCAAAAAGGTTTCCTGAGGTCACTCAGTGCATAGATGAAGGAAAGAGGGTTTAATTTCATTCTATTAACCGTACTGTCCCCTAAACTTACACCACAGTGTCCCCTGCACCCCTACATCACAGGAAAAATTAGCTCTTAGGAGGGTTTTTCTTATAATTGGGTGTGTATGTATTAAAATCCAGAAGTAATATACGAACATATACTTATTTAAAAATTCAATCTTGTAGGCAAGGCTGCTTCTCTCTGATTTCTCAGCCCAGGCTGAGGCCAAGCCCTTTACCTGAGATCACCTTGTTTCAGCTCGTTGCTTTGTTTGGATTTCGTTATTAGGCTGACCTGTCCCCCATGGGAACGAATCTCCAAAAGATAATGGGAGTCACTGGAAGCACATGACATAAAATTAAAAATGATTTACAGATATTTTTCATGAATGTGCCATAAGGTTATGTCAAGTTATAGAATCAGTAACTTTCCCCTGCCAACTGGTAAGGAATTAAACCTTAAATTTGTTCAAGTGACTATTTTCAGCCTCCCAAAGGACCAACAAGATTTAACTGACAGCCCAAAGCACGGGCTTGTTGGCATCTGTACAGGCAGGTGCAGGTGCAGATCAATGCACAGTGATAAATGTCTGTGTGAACACTTTAAAATCAGAGTCTCAGCACCAACAGGGACTTTCCCACCCCACCCCCCAAAGCAAGCAGAACCAGCAGAGGCGTGTCTGCTGCAGGTGTGCGGCACAGAGGAAAGGGACAGGAGCAAGGAGTTGCCAGGTTAACACTGTGAAGGAAGGACAGCGGAGCTCTTCAACACACACCTATATGGCCATGCGAGCCACCTACTTGGTGGGGTAACAGGGCAGACTCAAACCTGGAGGCTGCTTTGACTGAGCTGATTCAGCAGAAAACAAGGATAGGAACACAGCCCCACAGGCTGCTCTGCGCCATGGGAGACAGGGCAGGGTGAGCCCCCTGCATGGACCTGGGCACGGGGCACATACCGGCTGGGTCATGCACAGAAGGAGGCCTGTACATGAAACAGGGAGGGGCTTGTGTGGGCGCCTGCTGCTCATACCTTGGCTGGCTTCTGGCGGCAGGGAGCTTAGAGGAAGTGGGGGCGAAGATTCAGGGGCCTCGGGGGCGGGGTGCTCAGCCACCGGACAGATGATGAACCACCTCTTCCCGGTGTGCAGGACTGAAGGGCAGAACAGAAACAGCACGCTGAGTGAGTGAGCGCCTTTCCAGGCCAGTGTGACCCCCATCACCTGCACCAGACTTGCCACAGTGGGTCTGTGAACTCCTTTACACCTATGGGATTTTCTCCAGGAAGGGTGTGGGCAGAGAACACTGTTCCCAGTCATTAATCCCCAACGCTTCCCTCCACGAAGCAGGTGGTTCCCCAGGCTCCTTGGTAAAGAGGCCCTGGTGATGGGCTTCTGCCTGCTCTTCCCTCACACCAGAGGGCAAGGGGTGCACAGCAGAACCTGGGGTGCCTCACTGGCAGCCCCCGAAGCTCCCGAGAGGACCCCTCGCGTAGGCTTGGTTCCTGGGATGCCCAAGGCACCATCCATGAAGGCCGTGATGCCGGTTGCAGGTGACAGCTCCTCGGACAGGGCAGCTGTCCCCAGACTGGGGCCCCTGGTCACCACATGCTTCCATAATCCCCCCAAGCAATGGCCAAACCCCTGGTAATATGCTGAGTGGGGACTTTCATCAAACGCCTGCTTAAAAGCAGGGAGGGAAGTTGCAGACTCACCGTTCTGCTGATACACGGGGGCGTTGGCTTGGGATTGTCGGCTCTCCTGAATGAGGTGGAGGGTCAGAAATGAGCCCACTGAGCTGCAGCGCCCACCTGCCCAGCCACTGCACTCTCACCACCTCCCACCCCGGATTTCACAACCTCACCTCCCCGGTGCCCAGGCCGCAGGTGCTGAGGTGTGGCGGGCTGGTCCCTGGGTCGGAGCCACGGTCGGCGTCTGTGTCCTCGCTGAGCATGTCCTCTGCCTTGTCCATGACATCCTTCATCTGCTCGATGAACGTTTCCCGCTCGGCCTGCAGGATAAAGTCATGCTCCACCTGCAAAGGGACATACTGCCAGTGAGGACCAGCTGCAAGGCCAAGACCACCCTAGGTCTTCATCTGGATTGACGGATGTCTACCCTGTACCAGGCCCCAAGGGAAGAATGGTGAAAGGGTGCAGTCCCCAAGACAGGGGCTGGACAGCTCAGCAAGTGACATGGATGGCCCCAGGATGGGAGGAGAGCAGCCTCATCTTGAGAAGCAACTCCCTCCTCCAAGCATGGGACCTGGGCCAGCAATGCCCTGCCCCAGCTGGAGCTGGTTACAGACCCTGAGGCCGGTCCAGCCATCTTCAGAACAGGTAAGTGCATAGGATGCAGGGGGCCGAGGACGGGGACTGGGAAGAGGGGAGGGGGTCCATCTGGGCACAGGTGCCCAGGCAGTCATGACAGACAAGAAGGATGGATTTGAAGGCAAAGGTTCCAGCCAGCAGGAGGTTGTGGGGGACAGAAAGCAACAGGGGGACGGGAAGGTTATAGCAGGATGGCCATATGTCACCTGTCGGTCTGCGCACCCCCTGCTCTCCCAGCCTCAGGCTTTGACCTTCAACTATGGCCCGGGCACACAGGCAAGCGTGGCCTGATGTCCAACGAGCAGCTCCTGTCATGGCTGAGGGGAGGTCCCACACCACAGCCTGAATGCCACGAAGCCTCCAGACCAGGGGCTCAGGAGATGTCCACAGTCTCCAACTTTCACAGTGGGCATGTGGCCCTGGGCTCACACCGGCTCTGGCTAAATCCTCGGCCATTCAGGCAGAGAAAATGCTGTGCATCTCATAAAACCATAACCAATGGAAGAGGTCAGCCTGTGCCACCACCCAGTGGGGTCCAGACCCTGCCCCTTTCCTGCCATGGCACCTCCTCCCAGGCAGACACCTCTGCAGTCACCGAGATGCTCTAGGCCCTGCCTGGGGCATCTGTGGTCTCAGATCCCTTCTAGGATGGGCACATCTGCCCTACTATAAACAGCTGGCTGAAAAGCAGAGCTCCTCTGCGCTCCACACTCCCCTGGCACCCCAGACCCCAACCCCAGGAGCACCACCTGCATACACCTCCAGACAAAGTGCTGGCTTGTGCTGTGTTCCGTGATTCACCACTTAATTTAGTGTAACATGTGACTGCAATGTTGTCTAAGAGGAGTACACTGTGGCCAAAGTTGGAACATCCAGCCAGCTGTGACTGGAGTGCCACATACGAGAATTTAAGCAACGTTCCAATTTTGTGAAATTTTCACTAAACAAAACTGAACTAGAACCCCTTTGCAACTAGAAAATGTTTTCCTATTATGTTTCTTTTCAAGTATGTTGAGAATAAAATTAACTTGAAAACAAAATAAAAATCTAAAAATACAAGGTCCAGGTAAAACCTGGCATTAGAATCCACGCCAATTAAATGAAACTTCTGCAGTTCCACCTTTACTAAGGGGCTGGCAAGGTCGTCATGGTCAGAATGATGAACCCAAGGCCTGCCGACCTCTAACCACTGATGGGACATTCAGGGACAGCTGGTACCTCACACTCACAGAAAGACAGTCCACAGGGCGGGCAGAAGCTTGTCTAAACAGCGCCTGTCCCACAGGCCACACACCCACCCTTCAACTCGAACCTCTGGAGCCAGTCTGTCCCTGGGATAGGAATGGGCTGTGAGGAGGAGGGCTGCTGGGCTGTTTTTATGGACCAAATTTGTATATCTGTAGCATGCTTACTTCACACAGGTATGTTAGGTGACTTGGTTTACTAAGATGGCAGAAAAAGCAATAAAATGAGAGGAGTATCCGAGTGCTGAGTGAAAAAAACAAGGCTGAGAAGATGCTATTTTTACAAAGCACACAGCTAAAGATAGCCCCATTGCTTACTGTGCAGGACTTACATGTGTGCAGCTCACAAAGACTCACACACAGAGACACACAAGAAGACTGAAAACCAGGGGGCCAGTGGACACGACACAGGCTGATGTGGCTGATGTCGCATGTGTGGCTTCCTGCTCGGGCAGGCAAGCACTGGAAGCGTCAGCCGCACATGCAGCATCAGCTGGTGGCTGAGTGATAACTTCACGGGTGTTCACTTTATTATTATGCTTTATCATGTTTGAAACACATGTGTATAAAGTAATACAAGACACAGGTTTAAAACACAGTAAGATGAGAGAAGAAATGTTCTCCAGTTTCAGTGGCCCAGTGAGGACCTGGTGTTTGTGCTGCGCTGACGAACCAGCTGCTTGCTGCTGACAAAGACTCCTCCCTGACCAAAGCGCAGCTCACGCCTCTGACCCTCCAACTAGGCTTGACTAGGCCCCATCATGTCTTCAGCCTAAGCCAGTTGTAGAAAGAATTCCCAGCCTTTGTATCTGACCATATTCCTCATCTCCCACCTTTGAGGTTGAACAAAGCCTCTCACCCACCCCCAGCAAGGATCCTGTTACGAGGGTTTCTCCAGAATCCCTGACCTTGATGTCTCCTCTTAGCTATTTTCCAGCCACCCATCACCACACTGCTCCTCTGCTACCAATCCCCTGTGGTCTCTGCTGCATTTGGAGTTAAACTCATTCTCTCTCGCTTATTGCCACAGTCCTGAATAAAGTCTTCCCGACCACTGTAGCAAGCGTCAGAAGAATTTCTCTAATGCTGCGGGGGATTATGCTCTGGACCTGGGATCTGGGAGGGCTTTGTCCAAGGTGTCTCTGCAAAGCAGACACTAAGGCAGGGACTTGCTCCCTAGGAGCAGAAAGCCAGGGGCTTCCCCCTGCAAAGCCCACATGAGGCTTTCACGAAGCCAGGGCAGGGGTGGCCAGGGGGATGCAGCCCAAGGGGGCAGCTTTCTGATGATGTGCAATGCAGCAGCCGCAGGCAGGCACGTGGGGCAATCTATGATATTAACTTGAGTGGTATATTCTATTCCCTACTCATGCCGGCCTACTCCAGGCACTTGGTGGCCATCTGGAGTGAGCGCTACAACACTGTCCAGTGTGCTGCTGGCCCCTTTAGGACCTGGCTCCCTAAACCTCACTGATGCAGGAATAATGGTCTGGGGAGAATGTTCTCCTGGGAGGCAGTCACGGATGCACCAGGAAATTTGAGGACCACATGTACATCCTTTCCATGTTTCTTCGTGCGTGCTTTCAGCTGGAGAGTTTCTGAGGGCCCGAAAACGATCCCCACTCCTAGCCTGGCTCAGGTGCTGGGGACCACAGGTGTGGGGCTGTGAAGGCCTACAAGGTGCTCATGGACTCAGGTTGGTCTGCACAGGCAGGGAGGGGTGGCTCCAGAGGGAGATGCAGGCAGAGCTGGGTGGGCACATGGGACATGGGTCAGGGCTCAGAGCCCGCACTCCAGCTGGGGAGGCTGGAGGAAGCTCTAAGCAAGGACCACAGGACATCAGACTCCGGGATGCCCTCCCGTGCCTCACTCAAGGAACCTACCCACAAGGCTTCCTTTTATTTGGAGGAAGGGCTCAGATGCTCCAGAAGCCCTCAGGGAGCAGCATCTTAGAATGGTTAGAACATCCTTCAAGCTGTTCTTCCAAACCCAAGGGGTTTCCGCCCAGTGTGGGGAAGAGCCCGAGGCGTAAAAGGTCAGCACTGTCCCGAAAAGCCCCTGGGCCAACCGACACCTCCACACAAGGCCAGGCTCGACATGTGACCTGTGGCGCTCTGCTCAGGCCCACACGTGTCCAAGAAACACCGGGAGCCAAGCCACCCAGACCCAGCCTCACCATATACGTGGCAATTTCATCGGGTGCGTCCCCGTCCAAGTCGAACTTGAAGGTCACCATCTTGTGGTTGTGCGTCTCCAGCTGGCACTCCACCATCTTGTCCCCAGTGTTGCACACCTGGAAGGGGCAGCATCAGCACCCACCACGGGCGTACCCACACGTGCACCCGCCACACCCCCACACACCCCCAAGTACCCCTCCCCCCCACCCCCACCACACCCCCGCCACGGCCCCACCCCCACCACACCCCCACCATGCCCCCACCCCCACCACACCCCCGCCACGCCCCGCCCACTCACGTTCAAGATGGTAAGCCGGGGCCGGCTGGCCCTCTCCTGCCGGGAGCGCGCACGCGTGGACCTGCGGTGGTGTTTTCGGGCTGCCCTGCCCTCCAGCCTGCCCCCTCCAAAGGCGCCTTCACAGCTGTCACTCAGCTCTTTTCCAGAAGTGACATCAGAACCTCCATAGCTGAGCAAAACCCAAGAACATTAATGGCACCAAAGGACAACCAGCACGTCGGCAATGGCGGGGAAAGTCAGCTTATCTGGAACAGTCTGGAGTCTCCAGGGCCCAAATCTGTGACCTACAGAGGCAGCCCGTCCTGTGCGAATACCCCAAGCCTGCTTCTGGGCCCTCACCCAGCTCCCTGCTGCACCCAAGTGGCACGGGCAGAAGGAAGCACAGGCTTCCTAGCTACTAGCTGCGTTACCTTGATCCTCTCAGTCTCCTGACCTGCGAATCAGCCCCTGTGCCTCAGTTTCCCCATCTGTGCTACAGCAACAGAAACACACCCACCACTGTTGTGAGGCCAATCCGTTTTGCAGTTTGCAAAATGCCAAGCCCAGGCAGTGCCCAGCACCCCAGGAGGGTGGAACAAATGGTCACAGTTCAAATAAGGACACGGTTCATTTCCTGAAACACCTGTGTCCACAGCCCAGGAGGCCAGGAAACCCAGGATCGGGGCTGGATTCAGCCCTGTACACAGGGGGCCACCCTCCCAGCCCCCTCCTAGTCTCTGGGCACTGCCAACTCCGCCCATAGCCTCTCCGTTCTGGAACATTCTCAGCACTGCAAACCAGAGCAGAGACCCAGAGCCCAGCCAGGGGCCTCTGGCTACCAAACTCCAACAACAGCTGGCAAGACCCAGAGAGGAGGGCCCTGAGGCTCCACCAGGTCAGGTTTGAAAAACCCCTAATGGCATCAGGGCAAACTATAGTGGGTTCCAGGGGAAGCAGCAGCAGGAGCCAGGCTGAGTGGCTGTACAGGCCTGCGCCCCTACACCCGTCCTGCGAGGTCGAGGCTGGGCCACACTACCTCTCACAGCTCTGCGGGAGGCCGGGCGGCTTGTCCTGTGAGGCCTGCTCCTGAAATAAACACCCGGAGAAAAGAGAACAGGTCATGCGGACTCCCGCCTCCCTGTGGGCACAGCCACGCATAGTCAGCTCTCCCTCCCCACTTCCTCAGCCCAGCCTGCCCCGCTGCGTTCTCCTGCTCTCTTCTGCAGCCAGGTGGGTACGACCCAGGGGGCGTCACAATGGGAGCAGGCATAGAGGTTTTTATCTTGTTGAAACGCTTGGACCCGAGTGTATTCATAAAAGCTGGGAGCCACTTCCTTTCCAAAAATGTTAACCCACTTTGATCATCCCTCAAAGAGGACACACTGGTGCTATGAAAGCTTTTCACAGTCTCTTGCATCCTGTCCCAGGGAAAGCATCCTCTAAACCTGTATCTATAAAAATCACACCCTCTGTCTTGATGTGGCTTACAGAAAGTGTGAAATCTAGGGAGAGGTGAGAACAGAACCTGGGTGGCTGTCCCAGAGCTAAGCAACCCCGACCTCTAGGACTAAGACCCCAGGTCACTATGCAGATCCCCGGTGGCCGCAACTGCCCAGTCATGGGACAGGCTGGGGGGAGGGGCACACACCTCTTGGACTGGTTCCACCGTCAGCTGGACAGTTGGGCAAGGGCTGGCGATCCCGGGCCCGCCAGGCAGCGGTGGGTTTGCTGGTGGCAGAAGTGTGGCAGTCTGGGTGGGCACACTCTGCACAGAGGCAGACACCGTGGCCAGGGAGCTGGGGAACTGAGGCAGGAGCTCAGGGGCGGCAGGCAGCAGCACTTCCGGCAGAGGCGGCGAGAGGACCGCAGCCGGTGGCACAGGCACGGTGGGGACCTGAGCGGCGACGTCCACAGCATAGGGAGCTGGGTGGCCAAGCAGAATCTGGGGGCACAGGGGACAAGGTGCAAGTCAGGGCCGGCGCTGCCTTCACTGAGGGGGCCGTGCCCAGGTGTGTCTGGGAATACCCAGGCCGAGATGGGAACACCCCTCTCCAGACCACACCCTCCCCAAGGGGAGTCCCTGTCTCAGAGCACATTTAGCAGATGGAGTGAGCAGAAACAAACAGGAATGGTCATTCTCACACCCCTTTCTGTGGAAGAGTCTACTTGTGTGCAAAGGCCAGGAACGGGGCTCCGTCTATGAACCTGCCAAGCTTGGTTGAAGGGTCAGAGAACAGGACACACAGCATCAAAGCCAGGCCCCCACCACCCACTGGGGCCTGCGGCAGCCTGCCCCATCTGGCCCCCGGTCAGAGTGTGCATAGGGCCTCAGAGCGCGCACTGACACCTGCCGCCTCCTGGAGGGCGACTGCGGCTTAGGCTTGGCTTTCTCACTGTTCTCGTCTCTCTCTAAAAGCTCCTTGGCAGTAAAAGGTAAGACAAGTGGGGAAGGAGGAACCATGGATTGGAAAGTGCAAGTACCCTCTGTCTTCTGCCCCCATTTTGGAGTTGAGAAGGCTGAAATTTTAGAGAAACTTCTCACCTCTCAGGGCTGGAAGGAACAGCCACATTCACTGGGCCTGCTGGCCCTGAGACCCTCTGTTGGCAGCCAGTGGCAGGGTCAGAAATACCAAGCCCCAGCCTAGCAGGTAACCACTTCCCTCCCGGACAGACAAGACACCCCAGCTGCTGCATTCAGGGTACCCCATGGGGTGGCCAGCCCAGCTCATCAACAGACTTCTGGACCCTTCCCCAGCCAAACAGCAGGGACAGCCACTGAGTCTGGCAGTGACCCTCACATGTCACAAGGCACCCCTCTGTAGCCACTAACTGTGCCCAGAAAGGCTCTTCAGGTAGGAAAGCCCAGACAGCAAGGTCCCCCTCCTGCTCCCTGGTGTGGCCCTCGGCCTTCTGATAAACAGACCTGACTGCAAACCAGCGGGCTCTGAGCTGCCGCTGAAACCTGCTGGGACCAACAGCACTTACTCGGGTGGGCCACAGGACGGATGCGATTCTTCCCACTCACTGTCTAATCAAACACCACCCTGCTATCCAATATGTACCATCCCTTCCTTCTCTATGCACAAAGCCCTCTGGAGATAAGACAGCAAGAAGTGATGGCCAGGAGGAACGGCTCACGGTGGGGCAGCTTACTCCAGTCTGGATTCAGCACTAACGGAGCTGGGGGGCACCTGGCACCAGGGATGCTCCACCCCAGGCCCCTTCACATTAGGACCATGCCAGCTGCTTTCCTGCGGAGGCTGAGGCTCAAAAGGCAGGGCTGTGCCACAGTTACAGGGCTGACAGGGCTCAGAGCTGGGGTAAGGCCAGGTAGGAGGAGGTCAGGTAAGGAGGCCCAGGTGGGAAAATGCCAGGAAGGATGGGACCCAGATAAGGAGGCCCAAGTGCGAGAGTGCCCAGGTGGGAAGGCTCCCATACTAGCCCCTCTCACCTCACTCGAGTTTGAACAGAATAGTCTGCAAGCCCCAAAACATGAGTGGACTGTGTAGGGGTGTGGATCCCTGTGGGAAGGCCTCCCACCAGCAGGGCACATATCATGTGTTCCAGAGCGCCCCTTCACAGCCAGCCAGCATGCTGCCACGAGGTATCCGCCTGACCTGACATCAGGACATGGCCCCGGGTCCCACCATAACCACCCTTGCAGCCAGCAGTGCCATCTGCCCCCAGCCCCTGCCCCGCTATCGGCCTCACTTCCTTGCCCTCCCTAAGATGGGGTTGTCACCCTGCCTCATCCTGACAAGATGCTCTTTGAAGGGTGGACCTCAGACAGACAACCTGTGCCCCAACGCAAGCCACACCAAGGCTGCCAGACCAGGCCTGGGTGAGGGCAGGTACAAAGATACCACAAGAGCAGGGGCCACAGAGCCATGGGAAGGTAGGGACACAGAACCTATCAGGCACGGACTCCTGCATCTCCTGACCCATTCGGAAAACGGAAGAGATGCAGATGCCTCGCGCTGGCGCCAGCCCCCGCCTCCCTCAGCCTCACACACATCTCTTCCTGAGAGGGGCGACCCCAGGCAGGGCTGCCTCCTTGCCTGCCTCTGTCCTCCTTTGCATCTCTGGGTCCTGAGGGTCCCCAGACGCTGGGAGGGTGAGCCCCTGCCCAGCAGGTGATTACCTGGCTCCCTGGTGTAGCAGCTGGAGCAGCTTGTTCAGGAAGGTGGGGCTGGAGGGGCTCAGGGCGCACAGGCAGTGCCGGCTGCGGGGGCAGCACAGGTTGTGGGGGCAGCATGGGTTGCGGGGGCAGCACAGGTTGAGGGGGCCGTGTGGGTTGCGGGGGCAACACAGGTTGAGGGGGCAGCGTGGGTTGCGGGGGCAGCACGGGTTGTGGGGGCAGTGTGGGTTGTGGAGGCAGTGCCGGCTGTGGAGGGGTGGCCCTCATATTCTGCACCGTGTGATGGGGGGAAGGAGGGACGTCAGTAGGCGCCATCTGTGGGAAGGCCGCTGGGTACACAGGTTGGCCTGGGAGCTGGGCCACGGCAGAATGAATGGACAGGGCAGCCACGCCCGGTGGGGCTACGGCCAGCAGGGGGATAGTGGCCGGTGCATTTGGCACAATGGTCCGGCAGGGCATGGCCAGGGGCGCCCCAGGGGGGTGGGGCAGCTTCACAGCCTGCAGAGGCAAGGCTGGGGACGCAGGGGGGAGTGGGGCAGCGAGGCTCGGCAAGATCACGGCTGGAGAGAAATACTGAGGTGGTGGCACGGGAGGCACAGTCGCGGTCGGCAGGTCTGGGAGGGCCGGAGGGAGGCCGTCGATTCCCGCCAGGGGCGTGATGGGGGGCACAACAGGAATCGGGGGCATCTGAAAGAGACACAGGAGTGTGTCAGTGTGGGCCCCAACCAGGGTCCCTGCCCACAGCACTTGCATGCAAGGACAGCCACAGTCATTGGGGACGAGGGGACACGGGATGAAGACAGCATGACCCTTTCCCTCCGAGACACCTTTGTGTAGCTGCTGTTGAAGGGAACCCAAAGATAAACCCAACAGGTGCAGAAATCTCAACCATGTAAAGCTCTTCAAATAGAAAAGGAAAGTTGGCAGGCTGGGAATGACCTGCTCGATCACCCCTGGTCCAGCGCAGGGAGGCCTCCCTGTGTCCACACTCACGACAGCCATGCTGGGGGCTCTGAGGGAGTCAGGGGCAGCTCACATAGTGTGAGCAGCAGGAGCAGTGACCACAGGTCATAGAGGAGTGACTTCAGAGCCCTGGAGCATTTTCATTCAGAATGGCTGGGACTGTCAGAGCCACCAGACTGGCCCTGAGCATCTGAAATCACCTTAGCCTGATCCCTGCAACATGCACAAATTCAAGTTGAAACCTGACTTTTCAGAGGGTTCTCAGAGAAAGCAAATCTTTGAGCCACCTTGGCTGGCTCAGGGGACACCCCTATCCTGTCCAGCCTTGCCACACCAGGAACTCCCGAAACCTTGCCTGTATCTTCTCTTCTCAGCATTACATGTGCCTCCTGGGGGTGGCTGACACCCGGCCACATGGACATAGCACTTCCATCTTTGACAGCCTTCTCGTGCATGCTGGTGTGTGTCACCTGGCCTACACCTCCATGTAATCAAGAGGCAGCAAAAATGCACATGGACTCCTGTCTGTCTGAACGAGCAAGATAACGATTTCACTAGACCCTGAAGCTGCCTAACGTCCTATGGTGACATCTGGGCCTGAGCAGGGTGAGACAACACAAAAGAATCTTCCAGGTGGGGCTCGTGAATCACAGGAACACTCACTTGCCCCATCTTTAGAGTGAAGCACACTTCCAGTCTTATCACTGATCAGCCTGTCCGGGTCACCGAAGCCCTCGGGAGTACCTAGAATCCTCCATGCCATTTACCTGGGCAATGGTGCCCTGGCCCCGGCTACATTCTGCACCAGTTACATGCAGTCAGGTCCCTCGAGTGAAAGACAGTGTACCCAGAGAAAGACAGCAGAAGTCACTTCAGCTGTGTGAGTCGAGCCTTGCTGGCTGGGCTTTCCTGCAGTCAGCAATGCCACAGGCTGGCTTTGGAACTCCGAGGAGCCACATGCCACACGGCCCTGGAGGAGCTCCACAGGAAGAACGCTCCTCTGAGGCAAACCTACCTGCTTTCTGTGCCAACCCAGCAACCACTTCAAGGACTGTCCACGACCTTGGACTAACAAACCTTTTCCTATCCTGGATGAGCCTGGGCACATGGGTAAGCTGAGGGCAGATGGGCACCTTGCTGGGAGGGTGCCAGGTGATGGGGTACTGGGCTGCCCGCCCTCCCTGAAGGACCCCAGGGAGGTCATGGCCTGGAAGGACCAAGAGCAGCCTGCCAGGTTGGTAGAGAAGGTGAGGCTGGAGGGCAGGAGACAGCAGCCAAGCCAGCCACCAAGGGACAAGTGGCTGGTTGTGTGGGACCCTGGAGCGTTCCTGGTGCATATGACTGTGCACACTGCCCAGCCCGGACTCCCCAGCCCAGCCCCAACTCCCTGGCCAGCCCAACCCCAGGTCACAGGTCACATGCACAGACAACCCCCTCTGTGGGTGTCCTAGTGCACCAGCCAGGGCCTGGCAAAGCGTGCGCCACCACTGACGGCAGCCATCAACCTAGAATTACCTGCGGAGGGACTTGAGCAAGCGGCTGCAGGGGCGCCTGTGGCATCTGGAGGGGCTTCAGCTGAGCGGGGGCCCCCACCTGGGAGGCTGGAGCCAGGTACGGTGGCAGGTGGGGGGGAACCGGCTGGAGGGGGACCACGGGCTGTGGGGCCAGGACCTGCGGCAGGGGTGTCGGCTGGGCCAGCGGAGGAGGCTAGAGGGAGAGAAGGTAGCTCCCCTTAGACCACCAATCTGCCCAGACAAGCGCACCCCACTGGTTACACATGACAGGATATCAACCCTCACCCTCACATGCACACGCACATGCTCACATTCACACATGCCTGCACACACACACTTGCACAGTCACACGTATACACATTCAGACACACAGATCACCAAACTCCAGCCAGCCTGGAGCCAGGGCACAGCAGATCTTGCAGAAATGTTCTGAGTGAGCAGAGCCTTCCATGTGCAGGGCACTGCGAACACTATGCACGCACACAAACACACACACACACGTACACACACAAACACATGCACATACGAGAGTCACTCCCATCCCTCAGGCACACCAAAGACCTGGGGGAACCACAGAGAATTTGAGCGAAGGGTCTGTGGGAGGTGCTCATAGACCTGGGCCCAGGGGCCAGCACAGGTGACTGCCTGCCTGGAGGGACAGTGGCCACAGGAGGTGCCACACTCACCTGCTGGCCGGGGGGTGCTGGCTGGCCTGGGCCCGTGGGCATGGGGGTGCTGGGCGGCGGCAGCACGGGGGCGAAGCTCATGGCCGGATCCGGGAAGTGCTGCTGGAGGGACGGAGGGCAGGCGGGGGCCGGGACAGAGCCCACCGGCAAGCCAGGCTGCAGAGAGCACCAGGGCCACACTCAGCAGCAGCTCTCGGCCACCAGGCCCCCTCCTGGGCAGGGGCAGGGTAGCCTCATGTCATCCCTGTGCCTGGTCCCTACCAGGGTCCCTCTTCCCAGGAACATGACAGCAGAAGCAGTGAGGGAGCCCTGGGCATCATTCACAACAGTGAAGGGCCAGGAACAGCACAGCCCCCAGCCCAGGGGTGCCCGGGCACATCAGCCCCACAGAACATTACACAACCACAAAAAAGGCCAGCACAGAGGCTCTGCAGAACCATACAGAAAGGCTCCCGAGGACATTAAACTGGGGAAGCTCACGGTCCATATGACTGTGACCATGTAAGATGAAAACTTATACATAACTCACAGACGATATGGAGAGAAACGGGCCCTGGAACAGCATGTGAGCACTCCAGCGGCGGAGTGAACACAGACCTCAAAAGAATGGGAAATCTAAGCTCTCAGAATGGGTATTTGCTGCCATTGAGGAATTGCTGCGAATTTGTTAATTTGTTGGTGTACTAATGGAATTGGGCTTTGTTCTCTGAGAGTCCTTATTGTGCAGAGCCAGAGGCTGAATCATTTACAGGGGAAGTGTCTTGCTGTCTAGGATTTATTTCAAAACAACGAGAATGTGAGGAGCAGGCAGGGCTACAGAGGATCATGGCTCTTCCACCCTGCCATGAACGTTCTCTCCCGTGGGGTTCTCTGGATCACGTGAGTGATGGCATGCCCAAAACTGCCCTCCTCACTTGTCTTTCGCGGTGGGTGCTTTATGAAAGGCAGCATGGTGTGAGTGGTTGGAGCAAGTGTATCTGGGATCAAGCTGGGCTTCTGGATTCACCTGAAGCCAGGGAGTGGAGGATGGGCCTGACTGGGCCGGACCATCCGTCTACCAGCTCTGGGCACTGTACACAGCCCAGGAGCTCGGGCAGGGCCTGGCAGCCTGGAGCAAGTGGCCTCGTGCTCCAGACAGCCTCCAGGGCAGCCTGGCAGCCCCACGGCAGCTGCTCCTCCTTGGCTGTTTCTCCTCCTTCACTGGGCGCTGCAGACACATCACCATGGCAACCATCCCAGGAAAGGCACGGAGGGGTAGGGAGAGCCCTCAGCACACCTGGGGACTCCTTCCAGGCCTCATCCTTTTTGAGTAAGTTGTCTCTGTGTCACTAGGTAGGAAGACTGAGACTCAGGCCCCTGGTCCAAGGTGACTGTACCTGTGATGTCCCTGCTCAGGTGTGCTGGTTTCCACACTGATGCTGAGACCAGCAGCATCACCAAGGCCACAGGAGAGGGACTTGGCCCAGTGGGAGCCCAGGCCAGGAGTGCCTCATGTGGTATCACATGGCATGGGAAGCCCTAACCTAGGCTGAGGAGGGATGAGAGCCAGGCAGAACATTCCAGTCCAGCCTCAGTTCAGCCAATCCTCAAAGCCAAGAACCACCACTCTGGAGCAGCAAGTAGCCTTTTCTTTTCTTTTTTTTTTAAATTTGTTGTAGAGACAGGGTCTTGCTTTTTTGCCCAGGCTGGCCTGGAACTCTTGGGCTCAAGTGATCTTCCTGCCTTCGGCTCCCAAAATGCTAGGATTACAGGCATGAGCCACCACGTTCAGCCTCGCCTTTCCTTAAATGAGTTCTGCTGTTTAAAATTGTATTTCACTTCATTTTGTGAAATGAAGAAAACTGCAAATGCAAATTGCAAATGAGTCCTGGGGCTGCAGTCAGCAAAGGCAGACTCGGCAAACAGCTTCCACTGCTTTTCCAAAGGGCCTTTCTGGACCCTTCCGACTGAGCAGGCCTGGGAAGGCTGGTCCCGCATGCAAGGGTGCAGCAGGGCAGCCAGCAGGACAGAGGAGGCCAGAACAGCCCATGTGCCCACGCTCAGCCGACATCAAGAAGACGGGCCACAGCGCTGAGTGTGCGAGTGACAACCAGCACAGCCAAAGCGCCAGGCAGGAGCTGCTCACGAGGGAAGAAGGAGCTTGGCCCGGAGTACACAGTGGCTGCACCTGTGATGTCCTTGCTTGGGTTTCCTGGCTCACACAGTAGGTGAGAGCCCACCCCATAAACCACCCTCTGAGGCTGGGTGCAGTGACTCACGCTTGTAATCTCAGCACTTTGGGAGGCTGAGGAGGGAGGATCACCTGAGGTCCGGAGTTCGAGACCAGGCTGGCCAACATGGTGAAACCTGGTGTCTACTAAAAACACAAAAATTAGCTGGGCGTGGTGGCGCGTGCCTATAATCCCAGCTACTCAGGAGGCTGAGGCAGAGGAGTCGCTTGAACCCAGGAGGCAGAGGTTACAGTGAGCTGAGATCACGCCACTGCACTCCAGCCTGGGCAACAGAGCAAGACTCCATCTCAAATAAACAAATAAATAAACAAACTACGCTCTGAGGGTACCAATCTACTGCCTGGGGCTCATGGGCAACCCCTCTGTGGCTGGGCACTTGGGACTGCGAGGAGCAATTGTTTTGCTTTCTAAAGTGTTTTTTAAAAATCAAAATAAAAAAATAAGTGCCAAATGTGACCCCACTCATCTTAGTCTTTCCCGTGGGAATCAACCCACACGTGTCGTCACAGCCCGAGGTTCCATCACTCCTTTGCCACACGTGCTCCCTGAAAGTGTTCCCCTCATCCCCGCCCTATTTTCATAGCTCTGACTTTAACCGCTACACAATATCTGGGAGAGAAGTGCCAGGAGCCCCTCAGGAGGCTGGGCAGCTAGATCGAATCTCAGGTTTCCTTCGTACAAATGATGCTTTTCTGTGATCTATGGAACAGTCTGGGATAATGTCCCAGGCCCAGGGCACTGTCAGTGGGTATCATGATTGTGGCTGTGGGTTGTCACCATTATCACTGTGCCCGCTCCCCAGGGGGAACCACTCAGCTCTACCATAGCCTCCCAAATTCTGGGTGCCCTGGGGTCTGTTTTCCAATAGGGTGTCTTTCCTATCTAGTAGGTCTTTACAGGAATGTCAGGGCTACTCGGCCAGCAGTTCCGCAGCTGACAGCAAGGACGGGGCTTTCCTCTGGGCCTGGCTTTTGAATGTCTCCCCAGGGGAAGTGTGGCTGGACACTGACCACAGGCCACTTTTAATGCTGACCACAATGCAGTGCAGCCTGGACAGCCCATCACAGAATTTAGAGCCCTCAGGGCCCTCAGACCAGGTAATGGGGATGGGGAAGGGGGTGGGAGTGATGCTCTGACTCACTGCAGCCGTGGGCTGCTGGTAGGCCCCCAGCGAGGGCAGGCTCTGCGGCAGGACGGGCCCCTCGCTCACAGGGGGGCTGCACACACACTGGGCCGGGGACGGCGCTGCGTCGGCAAGGGAGCCAAGCATCACGCTCTGCTGGCTGCTCTGCGAGTCTGAGTACACGGTAGAGCCCTGGCCGCTGTCGAAGGTGCTGTCCGCTGGGGAGGACAAAAGCAGGACTTAGAGTGGACATCTCCAAATGTCACATGAACAAACATTGGCTCATCTGCATATTTTCTTCTGCAAAATAAAGGCTTGTTTCTCCAGATCACATAAATAACCCGCACATATTGTTTAAACAATTGGCTGCTACAGAACCATACTGGGGATGCTGTCACGGTGCCCCACTCCAACACTGCCCATGTCTGGCCAGCATGATGTCAGGGCGGGTACATCGTGCCAATCCTCCCACAAGGCAGGTACCCACAACCAGCCCGCCGTGGCCTGGGCACCAAGCACACATTCCAGCTCTTAAAGGCACAAGGGACTTGGGAGGCCAAAGGAATGTCTGAGGTAAGAAAAAACTGATGTCTTCACTGTGGAGATAAATATCACCTGTGTTTTATAAGAGGCGAGGGTGTCTCAGCACTCTGACCACCTTCAACACACCATGGCAAAGGGCCCAAACATGTCAAGGTGCCCTCAACACCCGCAGAGAGGCCTTGAGAGGGAAATGCACCCACTATTCCCCTGTGTGGTGGATGCGGTGGCAGGGGTGACACCAAGCGCCCATGGCCTGAGCTCCCCCAGAGGCCTCGCATGGCTCAGGCTGGCCTGGTCCCCATCAAACCCAAACAGACCTGCCTGCTCATGGGGGCACAGACAGGACCCCAGAGCCCACGGGCTTCTCATACTACGGTGTGCCTGGGAACATCTTCAGCCTGTGGGGTCATGCCAGCAGAGGGGAAAACGAAAACCTGTCTGAAATGGTACTTTGGGCTTACTGCTTCCAGATGCCAAAAGCTACAGAAACTTTAGAATTTACCACTTACAAACGCCACACTATTTTCGCGAGGGGCTGCATTTCAGAATACTGTGTCTGTTTATAATTTAAACAAAAGGGAAATCCTGTTGGCTTGGCGTTAAAATAACTTTTCCCAGGAATGGACTGAACCTACTGTAACCTAGGAAGACATAAGAAATGCTGAGGTTTAATTGTGCAAAACCAATCAGACAGGCAGCTCTGATTTTTAATGAGCCGAGTGGTCACATCCACTTAGAGAAGAGAGGGGAGAGGAGGATGGGGAGGAAGGGGAGAACGTGTATAGACCTGACAAGTTTCAAGTAGAGCAATTCTAACCATATGTGTAGCATTTTATTTATTTATTTTTTTGAGACAAGGTCTCACTGTCATCTGGACTGGAGTGCAGTGGTGTGATCACGGCTCACTACAGCCTTGACCTCCCAGGCTCAAGCAATTCTCCTGCTTCAGCCTCCTGAGTAGCTAGAACTACAGGCATACACCACCACACCTGGCTAATTTTTCTATCTTTTGTAGAGATGAGGTTTCGCCACGTTGCCCAGACTGGTCTCGAACCCCTGGGCTCAAGTGACCCACGCACCTTTGACTCCCAAAAGGAGCCACCATGCCCGGCCCACATTTTACATATTTAAAGTGAATATGTGCCGGGCATGGTGGCTCATGCCTGTAATCCCAGCATTTTGGGAGGCTGAGGCAGGCAGATCACGAGGTCAGGGGTTTGAGACCAGCCTGGCCAACATAGTGAAACCCCACCTCTACTAAAAATACGAAAAAAATCAGCTGGGCATGGTGGCACACACCTGTAGTCCCAGCTACTCAGGAGGCTGAGGCAGGAGAATAGCTTGAACCCAGGAGATGGTGGTTGCAGTGAGCCAAGATCCTGCCACTGCACTCCAGCCTGGGTGACAGAGCGAGACCCTGTCTCAAAAAATAATAAAAAAATTTTTAAAAATTAAAAATAAAGTGAATATGGGCCAGGCACAGTGGCTCATGCCTGTAATCCCAGCACCTTGAGAGGCTGAGGCGGGCAGATAACTTGAGGTCAGGAGTTCAAGGCCAACCCTGGCCAGCAGGGCAAAACCCCGTCTCTACTAAAAATACAAAAATTAGCCAAGGCATGGTGGCACATGCCTGTAATCCCAGCTACTAGGGAGGCTGATGCAGAAGAATCACTTGAACCTGGGAGGCAGAGGTTGCAGTGAGCCGAGATTGCGCCACCACACTCCAGACTGGGTGACAGAGCGAGACTCCGTCTCAAAAAAAAAAAAAAAAAAAAGTGAATGAGTTCATTAATTACACAATTAAACATTTTAGAAGACATTTTTGAAACTATTGGTAAATGTGCTACTACAGTCACCAGCTGCTTAAATAGAGTCACCAAGGAAGCCCCCGCTTGGTCAGGACACTTGGTGGGCAGTTTAAGAAAACACAACAAGGGAAAACCATAAAAACTGACATACTGTTGCATCTTCCAATACAATAATGTGTGTCTGTTTGCCAATCTTGTTACACAGACCAGGTTCTTCTTGGATTATGGGGTTCCTGCTCTTACCCAGCATATCCCAGAGCAAGGTGCAGAAGGCTATGCGGGGTGCTATCCATTATGAAACAGAAGGGGATAAGGGTGTACATGTGTGCACACATGTGGATGTCAGTGTGCATGTGCATATTCATGTATGAATGCAGACATGTGTGCATGTATGTGTGCAGGTGAATGTGTTCACATTTGTGGGGGTGTTCACATGTGTACATATGTGTCCATTTGCATGCAGGCTGGGCGTGCCTGTGTACACACACGTGGGGCATGCATGTCTGTGTGCAGGTGTTCACGTGTGGTAGCCATGTGTATGTGCATGTGTAGATGTGCCTATGTATTTGTGTGTGTGTTCTATGTGTGCCTATGGGTGTTCTATGTGTGTGGTAGGCTACATGTTTTATTATTGTTTTGTATTATTATTTTTGTATTAAAATACAAAAATTAGCTGGGCGTGGTGGCACATGCCTATAGTCCCAGCTACTCAGGAGGCTGAAGCAGAAGAATCACTTGAACCCAGGAGGCAGAGGTTGCAGGGAGCCAACATCGCACCAGTGCACTCCAGCCTGGAGACAGAGCGAGACTGTCTTTAAAAAAAAAAAAAAAAAAAAAAAAAATTGGTAGCATCTGTTGCCTCTAGGGAGGACAATGAAGTGATTTGCTACCTCCCGGCCTTTTTGAATTTGACACCATGTGGCTATATTACCTACTTTAAAGAAACCGCAATGAACAAGTAAAAGTGTTTTTGAGGGGCTGGTTGCGGTGGCTCACACCTGTAATCCCAGCACTTTCAGAGGCTGAGGCGGGCGGATCACGAGGTCAGGAGATTGAGACCATCCTGGCTAACACGGTGAAACCCTGTCTCTACTAAAAATACAAAAAAATTAGCTGGGCGTGATAGCAGGTGCCTGTAATCCCAGCTACTCAAGGGGCTGAGGCAGGAGAATGGCATGAACCTGGTAGGCGGAGCTTGCAGTGAGCCGAGATCGCGCCACTGCACTCCAGCCTGGGCAACAGAGCAAGACTCCGTCTCAAAAAAAACAACAAAAAAAGTGTTTTTGAGAAGCATGGCCATGGCCTCTGCACAAAGCACACAGAATCCTCAGTTGGTCTGGAAGTGGGCCTGTCTGCAGAGAGAACACCCACACCTGAATTGCAATCATCAGTCAGTCGATGTCTCCATCTGATTTTCCCACAGTGGATCAAACCTGAATTATATTATCTGACCACAAGCTAAACATATAGAAATATCCTCAAACTATGTCTTTTCAAAGTTTGAAAAAAGGAGATTTTTAAACTCCCATCCTAGGAATTATTTAACCCACAATTACGATTTAAAAGTGCGTAGTGCTGTGTCAGATGTGAAGAATTTCTTCTTACAAAAAGTCTGTGCTCTTTAATTTTTTAGATGTATCAGAAAATGGAGCAATAATGTACCAATTTTATTCTCCAAAGCAAATCTGCGCAGGTTCGAGTGACATAAATAGTAGGCAAACCATCTCAACATGATGACTGCTTGTTTGAATTTAAATAGCCTACTTTAAAGAACTAGCCATTTCAATGATAAATGAAGGATGTGCATATTAAATAAATTAAACAGACTATTTCAGTCTTTGCACATGAATGATCTGAAATATTGGCCCGGGCAGGTCCCTTGGCTCTGTCATTCTATCCCATGCATATTCACAGAATGAACAATGCCATGTTCCTCAGTCCTCAGCTCACTGCTGAATTCTTAGGATGTTGAGGGCACAGACAGAAACTTTTCTGCCTGTATGTGCAGAAGATACTAGGTTTTCCCTAAATGGTCTTAGATGAAACCTGATCCAAAGTGATTCCTGCCAATTCATCAGTAACACCCTACTGAAAATGTACAAAAGGTCCCAAAGGTTCTGCCTTAGAAGGGAGATACTACGGGGGATGGGAGGTCCCCACGGCAACACCACAAGCCAAGCCAGCAAGCAGCACACTCTGTTCCTAGGACAGATGTCCCACCAAGCAGCCACTGCCACCACCTCACCTGGCCTTCACATTCCCCCCAAGGGGCCAGAACTGTCATTCTCAGACAGGTTAAGGAACCTGCCCTAAATCCACAGATCCATAGCACAGAGTGGGACTGAACTGGCTCCACCAGACCCTGCTGGCTCACGGCCCATTTGTCCCCATCTGTCCTGAGAACATGAACTTCATTGAGCCTTAATCTCCTGGTTACAGATCACCGGGAAATGCTGAGAAAGCCCCAATCCCTTCACTGAAACAAGGCTCACCCATACCTAGGGTCCACACCCTGCATGGTGGGCTGGGGGGACAGGGCCCAGGCTGGTCACAGAATCAGGCCCTGCACATCCCAGTGCTTGGGTCTGCTGGCCCCACCACCCTGGAAGTTGCTCTCTTATGAAGTTCCCGACATGCCCTGGCACCAAAGGTGCTGGCAGAAGGCGAGCCTGTCACGGGGCATAGGTGCCCAGCCAGGACTCCCGGAAACTACCTACAGCTAAAGCAATCACCCACGCTACGTGAGGACAGCTCAGAGCTACACGATGTCTCCTCCGAGGGGATGCCATGCGGACCCCCTTCCTCACAAAGCATTCCAATAAAGGGAGAGGACTTCATTTTTCTTTGCCCAATAGCTGGTTTTTGCAGGGTAGGTGGGAGGGGTGCCCATGGCCATCCCACCCCTGAGCACTCACAGGCCAGGGAGGTGGCGCTGGTCGGCAACGTAGGTGGCAGGAGGTGCTGGTCGGCCTCCGGCTCCTCGGGCTCTGGTGGCCCGGGCTGCCCAGCCTGTGCATGGTAGGTCACCTGGACCTGCAGGGGCACCGGCGGACCCCTGGCCTTGTCCGGGCTGCCCACATCCTGCTGCTCCTTGGGCTGCAGCGCGGGCCAGATCCTCTCCCGCCGCCACTGGATCAAGGCCACGCGGTCACGGATGGACTTGGCCACGATCTTGACGTCACTCTCGTGGAAGAATCCAGACTCAATCTGTAAAGGCAGTCATGTTGTCAGCATCGCTGGGGATCAGCCCTCACCGGCCCACACCCCTTACCTAAAGTGCTTTCCCATCACTGGCTCATCCACGCAGGACACGCTCGCCATCCCACTGCCACTGAATGTAAAATCCGCGGGGACAGCTCAGAGATGGCATGGCAGGGGTTTGCCAGGCAAGGCAAAGAAAGACCACCACCACGCAGGCCTGACCTGCATCCCGCAGAGTCCACAGCAAGAGCAAAGCAGACCAGCCCCTCAACCGGACCCAAGGGCTCCCTGAGCTCCCAGCGCCCCCGGGGCTGGTGGCAGACGGGAAGGGGCTCCTGATTGTCTCCATACTCAGAAGTGGTGACAAGGAGCTTTGGAGCTAGCATTTTCCTGAAACGTCTCTGAGTCTGGGGCTGCCCAAAGATGGGGAACGGGGCCACACCCGAGTTGCAGATGGAGGAAGGACATGCGTTTTGTAATTAGGGACCAGTAAGGTATGCACTGATGCCTGGCAAATTTTAAAACTGATTTACCAAGCACAGCCTTGAGAGCATTTGTAAGAGAGCCCGAAGGTCTCCAGGAAACATCATGAGCTCGCCAAGAATATTCACGGAATAACTACCTTCTTTCTTCTGATAAAAGAGATCCCTTTTGAAGGGGCTGCTCTTGCTAGGCTGCAGTTGTAGTGACCACAAACACATGAAAACATGGGAGAACAAAGATTCCAGATCCACCCGCACTTCCCCTCCCTTCCTGAGCACCTCAGTCCTAAAGGCTCTAGGTCAGGCTGGACCAGCCAGGCCTCTGCAGTAGGGCGGAGGTGCCCGTGCAAGAGGGCATCCTGGCTTCGGGGCAGTGCCAGGCACAGAGGGAGTCATAGCTATCGGGGAGGGGAGGTGGTGACAGCACCAATGGAGGCTGGCGACCCCACAAAAGTGACCAAACAAGAAAATATATTAGGGATAGTGGACGCCAGGCTCCTCAGGTGTGGAGAGGCAGAAATTTTCAACAGGAACCTTTTTGCTGGGTGGGAATTGGAGCTGTTGGTGTGAAGCGCACAACAGAAGTGAATAAACACAGACAGACTGCACAGGCAGGCTCCCGACACCTTCGCGGTGTAAATGCACAGACACATGCGTACTTGTGAACTGAGTTCACCAGGAGGGCCTGGGAGCAACAACACCCACAGCAAGGAGCATGCAGAGCTCGGCCAGGACAGGAATGCAGCGCGGCTCTAAGAGGCGGCAGCTCAAGGCTGGGCAGGAGAAGGACAGGATGAGCTTGACAGTGAGGACGTGCTCAGAGTGACAGGGACGTGCAAAACGGCACGGGAGCCAGTGCTGAGGGCCTCCCGCTGGCAAATCTGGGGCATTTTGAGCATCAAAATGAACAGTAACACAATGATGGTTTGAAGGACATGTCCACAGACTCTGACATGCATTTTGCATATGGGGGTGGCAGGAGGGGTGAAGTGTCACTGCTGGTATCAGGTGGGGGGCGGCAGGTAGGTGTGGCCTCTCTATCCCCATCTCTCCCTCCGTTTCTCCTCTGTGGCTCCCTCACCCAGTCTCTTTGCCTCCCTTTCCTGTGGATCATCTGCTCTAGGGGAAGCCATGTCACAAATGACCCTATGCAGAGGCCCTCCTGGCAGGGAACTGAGTTCTGAGGCAGGGTCTGAGACTGCAGCCCAGGCCAACACCTGATCCCATCTCACTAGGGCCCTGAGCCAAGGCACCTGATCCCTGACCTCTAAGGCTGGAGCCAGGGCATTTCAAGTGACTCACTAGGCAGCAATGGGACAGTTCATCTGTGGAGCAGGACCCATTGAGTAAAACAGAAAACCATGAGGCCACAGAGAGATAAAGAAATAAGTGAGAAGATTGGTGACAAACAAGATATTTACAGTGTCCAAACATTCTCCATGAGACACGTACAGTTGCAAAAGGTGAGAGGAGCTCAACTTAGAGAAGCCACAGGCGCCGTGCACCAAGCTCAGAGCCAGCATCTGCCTAACTGGCGGGTGAAGCTGTGCACCCCGGGGAAACACATGCAAACTCAGCCCCTTCCATGAGATTCCTGTGGAGATGCAAGACCTGACTGTGACCCACCCACAGAGGGCCACCTGAGCCCGTCCCGAGGGACAGGACATGGAAGTCAGGCGAGGAAAGGGGCCCAGAGGACTTGTGATGGTGTCACTGGGACAACTGGGGACCTGAGTGGCCCGAGGATAGGAGGATGGGCCTGAGGATTGACGGTATTTCCGGATGCAAGAAAGTGCCCTAGTTTCAGGAAGCAGACACGAAAGTATTCAGGGCTTCAGGGGAATCAGGTCAGCCACTTAGTCTCAAATGGTTCGTGGAAAATAAATGGTTCTTTGTAGTGTCCTTGCAATTTTTCAGTAAGTTTGTGATTATTCAAAAGTCTTTGTTTCAAAAGACAATTTTTTTCCACAGAATGATGTTCCCTAACAGAAACAGCCCTGGTCAGTCTCCCCTGATTCAGAAGAGACATAAGTGGGGCGGGGGAGGGGGGACCAGTGAGGTGGGACAGAAGCTTACGGCTCAGTCAGTGGGACCCGTCTACACTCAGGGTTGCCGCTGGCCCCAAACCAGCCCCAAGGCCACTCAGCAGCAGGGCAGCCCAGCTGGGAAGGAGGAGAAACCAGGCACCAGGTTCCCTTCTGGCTCAGAGTCCAGAGCAGACTTTTTTCTAGGGAGCCTCAGAGAACGGGCTCCAACCCTAGGGGGTCTCACAGGGAGGCCGAGGCAGGTGTCCCTGTCACTGGCACCTGGGCGCAGGTATGCACAGCCAGCCAGACCTGCTTGGCCCGGGCCTCTGCTCCTAGTGAGCATGTGGGTGAGGCCATTCCTAAGGCTCCACGTGGCCTCGGGGTCATATCCAGGGCGTGGCCCCACCCTTGCCCACCTCGGCCCAGATACGTGACCAGAGGCTGCCAAGGCCACGTCCTCCTGCTGCCATTACTATTTGCTGCTGGCGCCACAGCCCGCAGCCCATTTTCCCTTGAGACTGTCTTCATCATCACCCCCAGCCTTCCTCTCTAAAGTGTTTCTTCTATTTTTTTTCCCAAACAGGAAAACATTTAGCCATGGTGAGTGCCACACAGGCGCATTGCATTATCAGGAGAGTATGAAGGTGGAGGGGAGGGCTGGCTGGGAATCCCCTTGGGGGTCGACTCCCAGAGTCCCTTCCAGATTGAAGCTGGCCCAGGCCCCACAGAGCCCGCTATTTCATCTCTGTCTCTCTCTGGGGAGCTCCATCTGGCCTCTTCCATCTGCCGAGTGGAACTTGCTGAGAGGTGACTTCAGGGGAAGGAGAGCTCTGCCACATCTGCATTCTCTCCCACCCTCGGGGTCCTTCCAGAAAGAGGTCTCATCTGGATTCCAGAACACCTCTAAGACCTAACATCTGCTAATCTCAGGGACTTTTGTTTGTTTGAGACAGGGTCTCGCTCTGCCACCCAGGCTGGAAATCATGCAGCAGGATACAGCTCACAGCAAAGGCCTCCTAAGCTCAAGCAATCCTCCTGCCTTGGCCTCCCAAAGTGCTGGGATGACAGGCATGAGTGACTGCACCCGGCCTAATCTCAGATTTTAGGAAGAAGAGCAGCCTCAGAGCCAGGTGCTAGTGTCTCTCTAGCCTCAGCAGATGCACCAACATCAAGCTGTTTTCATTGCATCACGGCGAAGCCCCTCCAGTCTAGGGTCCATGGCAGGGCTGTTGTCAGGACCCCAGGGAGGCCAGTGACGGACTCTGGTGTCTGAAGCGGGTGGGAAGGAGGAGTGTGAGGTTAGAACCTGGAAAGGCCCCATAGGGACCCAGCGTCAACCTGCCGGGGCACACAAGCTGTTCCCGGGGAGTGAGCCCCAAGGTAGGAGTATGTTGCTTCCAGCTGCTGCCAGGCGGCTCTTGAGGTCCTGCCTTCCCTGTTCTTAGCAGAGTGGGGCGGGTGCTGTTTATTGTTGTGCTTTAGCTGAGCACAGGTCATGTCCCTTCTTCTTGGATGCTCTATTTCACGGGTGATGTGTCTCACAATGAAAAAAATGCAAAAGATGCAGAAGCGGGGGTGAAGGTGCTCGGGCCAAGGGGCCTCTGCTGTGAACTGATGCAGGAACACAGCCGCAGAGTTCAGCCAACTGCCAGGGACGGGGACTTGTGTGGTGATGGGCACAGGAGGCTGTAGGTTGAAGGGACAGCTGCATCCACAATGACCCTGCAGGAGGGCGGGGGCAGGGAGGCCAAGTCTCCGTGTGGATGAAAAGCAGGGAGGAGTCGCAGTCTTGGGAGGCTCCTCCAACTTGCCTGTCTTCGGAGCAGCTAGAAAGGCCCAGGGCAGGTTCTGGGCTTTGCCACCTTAGGACAGAACCCAAGACAGGCAAGGAGCCCACGAGGTCTGGTGGAGGCAGCAACACTGCTCTTGTAGAATCCTGGGGCCCTCCCCAGGCTGCACCACCCATGTTGGAATCAGTGCTGAGAGGGCTCTGATGTCCCCTCTGCCGCTCAGCCGTCGCTGTAGCACTTGGCCTCCTGACACAGCTCCCTGGTCCCTCGTACCCTGTCCCCCCAGCACTGACCAAGCATAACCACATTCATGGAAGGAACAAGAGCGCCTCATTCTCCTGCCCTTCCTGAGGCTGTCACCACATCAAAACCAGGTCATCCAAATGTCCTCCTATCCTTGCCCTTGGCCCAGACCTCAGCACCAGGATAGAGGTAACTCCCTGCAAGGTCAGAGCCAGCACAGCTGCCCCAGGACCTTCCTCATCCTCATTTGTGCGTGAGACTCCCACAGGTCATCCTCATCCTCCCTCGAGGCCATCTTCTGTCCTCTCAAAACCTCAGCCATCCCACTGAGCGGCCAGCCAGGTGCCTCCAGAGAGATGTTCTTGGCCTGCAGCCACCATCCCAATCCTCAGCTTACACGCTGTACATAGCCTATGCAGCATCTCACTCGGCACTTGCTATTTGCAATGAATGTGTGAACGGACAGCTGTATTACATCGGCAGAGAAATGGTGCACCTGAAGTCACAGGACAGATGTGCTGGTAATTATCTGAATGTAATTCACAGCAAACTTGTAGCAATTCAATTTGAAAAAATGTACCTCTGTGCACCACATGGTCATGGAGAGCAAGGAAAGATCCTCCAGGAAGCACAGAGCTCATCAACCCCATTAGATCTGCTCATAGCAGAGGCTTCTGTGTCTGGGTCAGGGATGTGAGCAGAGACAAGCCAGATGAGAATGGGCCAGGTGGGGACACAGGTGGCCACTTTGCAGCATCTGCGGTGATAGTGCAGCCAGCTTGCAGGAGCCCCACAGAGAAGCCAGCCTGGGCGCCACCCCACAGTGGGAGCTGTAGCCATCCTCACTGTGCTATCACAGCCCAGGACATGGGCCACTGTGCAGGGGAAGGCAGAGCCCTGGCCCAAGGCACTGGCAGCCTGAGGAGGTGTCTCCTCCAGTCCAAGTCCCAGTCACTGAGGCCCTGCACTCAGGTCCACACCAGGAACACCCCATCCTACAGCTGTGGTGAGGTTAGGAGCAGCAGGAAGCGTGCCAAGACCCCAGCAGGACCTTAGCTCAAGTAGCCCAAAGTCCTCAGCCACACAGCCAGCCCCAGGAGCAGTCCAGTTCCACCTGCTTCCTTCCTCAGGGGTCGCGGCTGCAGGAAGTCCAGCTGAGAGACTGCTGCTCCCTGCACTGACCTCACGGCGTAACCTACACCATGTGGCCCACTGAATCCCTCATGTACCACATACCAGTGCCCCCATGGACAAGGAGCTGCCAGGAGGAGCAGAGTCTGTGACAAACACGCAGCTCACTGGCACCCCAGCATTCCTGGCTCCAAGGGCCCAAGCACCTTCCATGGTATCACCAAGCCTCAGTTTCCACACCCGAGTCAGACCTCCGCAGGAACCTTCCAGAGCAGCCGCCCCTCCCACCTCTCTGCAACCCCCTCCACTTCTTTTTACTGAGACCCAGCCCGGCCTGGAGAAGTGAAGCTTGGGAAGAATCATCAGCCTGGAACTGGTGACTGATGGACATTTTCAACAGACGTGATGTATTCAGTAAAAAGCTTATTCAAAAGAAAGAAAAAACAGCGAGCACCTCTGTGGTCAGGACACATGAGCCGAGGGCTATCATGAGCACACCGGATTTATTTCTGCTCAGGTGTTCACTGCAAATGCGCAACTTTCTTACCATGCAATACTAACTGCCTTCTTCCTAGCCTCTCGTTCCCACTGGTCTTCCCCGTTGTGACTTTGTTTTCACCTGTTCCGGTGCAGACATTCCTGTCCTTCGTATCAAGTTGTCTGACTTAATGTCAACGTTTGTTCATGTTTTGTAACCAACAACAAAGACGTCTCTGTCTGTCTCTAGGCCCTGCACTAGGGTTCTCAGGCAGCAGTGTTGGCCCTGGGGCCCTCCCAGGCCAGGTTCCCACCACTGTCCCTCTCTGGCGTCCACTGCCCAATGCCCAGCAAACATGCCCTATCCCTGCAGGGGTGTGACCAAAGTCTGCTTGTCCAAGAACTTCTAACAGCCCCCGGCCCAGGGCAGCAGTGCCCCACAGAACATTCCAGGCCAGAAACGTCCTGCATTGTTCAAGACAAGAACCACTAACCACACTTGGCACAGAGCACTTGAAATGTGGCCAGTAGGACTGAGAAAGTGGATTTTAAATTTTAATTAATTTATATTTTAATAGCACATGTGGGCAGTGGCGATTTTACTGGATGGCACAGACCTGAGAATCAAGTCAGAATAATCTAGATCTGTCCCACCTGCTGCACCTGTCCCCACATCCCACACAATTCCCATTCCACCGCTGACCCCCTGGCATCGTCAGCGTGGCCTCTCCTCCTACCACTGCACCTGGACCACTCCCACTCCTTTCTGCCTGTGCCTGTGGCCCTGTCTCTTCTGCCTCTCATTCCAGTCGGCTCAGCGCCCCCTCCAATGAGGCCTCGATGACACCCCAGCACAAAGCGGCACTTCTGCTGCCAGCCCCAACCCACTCCTCATCCACAGAGCTGAAGATGATGAGAGGAGCAGGAGGAAGAGAAGAGGCGGAAAGGTACCCCCAACCCGCCTTTCTAGGTGGAAAAGTCCCAAGTCCCAGAAACCCAATGTAACAGTGCTCCCAAACAAAAGGAAAGGCGAAGATCCCAAACCCAAAGCCACCACACTGACACAAAGTCAGCAAGAGTCCGGCAAAGCAAGCGAGGCCTTTCTGACAAGTCAGAGGTCCTGGGTTGCTCTCTGCACACCCACCCTGAATTCCCGCACTGCACTGGCTCGGAGCTGCTAATCCCCTGGGTGCTGTGTTTTTGAGGGGACTCCCACTTAGGCCACCCCTGTGCAGACCCTAGGCAGACGTGGCCAGGCTGTGAGACCTCAGCTGCCCACACCTGCCTGGATGGCACCGCCACACCCACTGGCCTTGCAGTCCCCTCCGGAGCAAGCCCCCTCAGCCCACTTTTGTTCTCATCCTTGGAAACCACGAGCTGCCAACACCTGCACCCACCTCACCCCATCTGAGTCCTGCTTACCATCTCTTGGGCCACCTCATCCGGCGTCTCCTTCTCCAGGTCGAAGGTGAACTCTATGGCTCCATTGTCCTTGGGCTTTCCCTTCAGTTTCTTGGGGTCTTCCACCCAGAGCCTCAGGGCGATGGTGGACTTCCTGCCGTGGTCCTCCTCCGCGAGCTCCACCCTCACGCCTGTGTCCTCTGCGAAGAAGGCGTGGCTCAGCAGGTCTTTGATCTCGTACCTGGAGGGAGAGCAGCTGACAGGCAGGGGCACGGGCGCCAGGGCCTCCATGCCCAGGCTCCTGTGTCCATGCGCACCAGGACAAGGACAGGCACACCTGCAGGAGCCTGAGGCCAGGCCTCATGTCTCAGCACTCCCAGGGGTAAAGAAAAGATTTCAGTGAATCCAGTCTTACTATTAACACATAGTGTTTTAAGACTTCCTTTATTCCCCCTCATTATAAAAAAAAAAAACATGCTCATAAAAGATTCAATGATACAAAAGAGGATTTGGAAAAACATTAGGCCTCCCATTATGCAAATACAGCCCCTGTGGATGTGCTAGCCAGCTTTCAATTGTCAGAAGACACAACTGAAACATTTTAGTGTTTAGTCCTGGGTAGGTCTAAAATGGACACAGAGGCGGAGCCCCCCACGCTCTGAGCTCCCTGTGCCCAGTGCCATGAAGCAGTGACCTTTTCAAGGGGGCTTCCTTCAGGATGCTGGCCAGATGACAGAGAGCAGAGCAGAGGGTGAGCTGGAGGAGAGTGAGGACCTGCAGAACTGGGGGGGCCCCAGCCAGACCCAGCCTCGAAGGCTCTTTGCAGGGATCCGGGAGGGCGGGCCACAGGGTGTTGCCATGGTGACCACTTCGGGGCTCTGCAGGGCTTGGCCACCCAAAGAAGCCTCCCTAACCACTAACCTATAACCCCCTTTACCCTATAAATGGAACCACACAGCACGCACTCTTTGGGGCCTGGCTTCCTCTGTGTGTGCTCCAGAGTCACCTGTGTAGTTTCGAGTATCCACAATCCATCCCTGCTTACTGCTGAGGGGTGTCACGTCAGATGGTGGGTGTACTCCAGTGTGAGGGGGAGGGAAGGCTGAGGAAGCACCCCCAGCCTTCCACCTGACCAACAGGGAAGGACAGGCCCTGCTTGGAGGTGGGGAGCCGGCTTTGTGGAGCGGTTCCAGGCCTGCTATTTTTGAGAAGGGCCAAACAACCCAGTCCATGAAATACACGTCAGGGCTCCAAATGGAGGCCCACACCTAGAGCCACTGGCGTGGGGATGTTCTTCAAGGCATGGGAGTCATGCAGAGAGGAGCAGAGAGGCTGGAGAGAAGCCCCAGGTGCTCAGATGCTACAGGCTGGGTCCTGGAGGAGCAGTCAGCCAAGGACAGGACTGTCCTCAAAGCCAAGGAGGGGGCTGTCCCCAAAGCCAAGGAGAGGGTTTCCAGATGGCCAACAAGGACGTGAGGGCCTGGCCTCCTGGCCTGGTGTCACCCACACGCACTCAGGGCCGACATGCTCACCAGCCCCTGCTAACGTGCCCCAGACACCCTGGCCTGAGCCTGCCTGTCTTGAAGTCCCCTCATCAAGAACACAGCTCTCAATGCAAGCTGGAATGAGTTCAGCTGGAGATGGACCCCAGAACCCAGCCCTTCAGGGGAACTCACCTTTCCTCCTTGTTTTTGCAGATACACTCCCCAATAATCTCCTTGATTTCAGGATCGTGCACTTTCTCAAAGCTGGCCGGCTTGATACCCTGACAGGGAGAGAGCAGAGTTACCTGACCCGATCGGCTGCCGGAAGGCGAGGCCTCCACCACAGTGGGAGGAACTCCCACTCCCAGCCACGGCAGGACACGGGCACTGGACTTAACCTGCACAAACTACTAGAAAACTGGGCAAAATATGTGAAACGGATGACAGGGCAGAGCCAAATGCGGGCTCTGGGAGAAAGGGACACAATCTCCCATGGCCCCAGCTCACTGCCCAGAGCAGTTCCCAGACAAGGCACCGTAAACCAGCAGAGCCCTGTGGCCCCACTGAGTTGAGGGGTAGAGCTGAGTTCAGGAAGGCTGAGGAGGCCACAGGCAGAGTTCCAGAAAGAAGAGAACATACAGCAAAAAAAAAAAAAAGAGCCCCAAGTATCTGCACCTTGGTCCCCTCCAGCCTTTGCTGAGGACCAGACCACAAAACCACATGTGCATTGTCAATGCCACAGGGCCGGGTGAAGAACCACAGGGAGCTGCAGGCAGGGCAATTCACAGAGTTCACACAGGTCAGGATGTGTACAATGTACAGCATCCAATCAAAAATTACTAGAAATGCTGAGATGCAAGAAAATGTGACCCACGACCTTGCAGAAAAGCCAGCCAACAGAAAGAGACCTACAAGTGAGAGGGGCTGCAACTTGTAGGCAAGCAGGTTAAAACTCTTTACAGATACATACAAGCAGTAAAGGAAAATGAACATAAAAAATGAGAGATAAAAACAGAACCAAATAGAACTCGAGATGAAAAGCCCATCTGAATCGAACACTTCACCGCAGCAGACTGACAGCAGATTACACACTGCAGAAAAAAGACGAGTGAACCTGAAGATGTGATGCAGCAGAGAAAGATGGTCACTGAGGCTCTATTCTGCTCATTTCAGAATCTGAAATGCTACCAAGGTCACATATGCACATGACATTCATAAAACTGGAATCCCAAAAAAGATAAGGGGACATAAAAAAAGACTTGAAGAAATAATGGCTGAAAATTTCACAACTTTGATGGAAACTCTAAGCCCATAGATGAAGCGAGATAAAGCCGAGCTGGGAATAAATTGAAGAATTCTGTGAAACCGCTGCAATTCCCTTCCAAATCTCCCCTCCCCACTGCTTGAAGCCAGGAGCCTGGTCTCCTACCATTCAGAACCTTCTTGGGTCACCCTACTTCTGTCAAAGCCACCATCACCCCGGCCACAACACACTGCACACCTCCACCTCAGCTGCAGAATTTGATACTGGGGTTAACACCTCAAATGCAGCAGTCAGTCTCTGGAAAGGTGTTGATCAGAGCTTCACCGAGCCTCCCAAGTAGGGCCACGAGGGCCCCTGTTCCAGGAGGCTAGTAGAGGCAGCGCCATGATGCGGTGGATGGGATGCCTCCTACAGAGCCGGGCCTTTCTAACCACACCTGGGCTTCCTCCCCACACCTCCTCCTTGAGGGTGCAGGAGCACTATTTGTGGTCACTGCTGCTGGCCAAGGGCCAGGCCATGCGGCTTTGTTGCGGGGGGGTGCGGGTGGCAGCCTGAGGGACAGTGGCTCCTCACCCAGCTGATGGCTGTGCATGAAGGGAGCAGAGGGCAAGCCCTGCAACCGGACTCAGAAGCAGCAGGGCGGGGCCAGGTGCTGCTTGCAATCTGCTAGGTTGTTTTGTGTTGGAAGTGGAGTAAGACGGTGTATGAGCAACTAATTTTAAAAAATTTTAAACACAATGAGGGTACCAACTATCACGTTCTTTCTCCTTCAACACGATTTAGCCTTCAAAAGCTTCACCTGACTCTTAATATAGAGAACATAAAGCATAAATTTTCCCAAGGTCAGGGAGGAGGGTGGGGGCACGCCCACCTGCCCTGGGTGCTGGAGCCCCCAGCCTGGGGCAGACACAGGAGTGAAGAACCTAAGGGCTCTGCCCAGTAGTGTACACCCCCAGGGTCGAGGAGCACCACCAGCCCCTGGGACAGCTTCAGGACAGACCACCATCCACCCTCCACAGTGAACCCAGGGGCCCTCCCATCCCACACCAGCACCCCAAGGCCTGGCAAATGGAGCTCTTAATCTCTGGAGCGCCCCACTTCCTCCTGCTGCAGACCATCCCTGCCTCCCTGGAGGGCCGCTGCACACAGCCAGCAGGTCCTGACACTCCTTCCAGTACCCACGGAAAACTGTGCACCTGTCTGTGAAGTTTCTGACCCAGGCCCACAGGTGAGTCAAGGACTCTGTCTGCCCTCCCACTTCCTCAGGGGCACACAGGAGGGGCTCAGAACAACCAAGTGACCGATGATTTACAACAACCAAGGGACAGAAATGCAGGTAATCTGCAAGGAGGGCTCGGGATGGAGGGATGGGTCAGAGTGAGGCTGTGCAGCTGCTGAGGACCACAGCCCCTGGTGCACCTGCAGAAGCAGCCATGGCCCCGCAGAGCAGCACTGAGGGGCAGCGCGGCCCCACCCAGTCAGGTGGCATGTGGAGACAGCAGGGACTGCAGGGATCAGGGCAGCCTGGGCCCTCAGTGCAGACGCCGCATGTCAGGGACAGCTCTGCAGGCCCCTGGGCTTCACAACAAGACGGGTGGTGCAGAAAACAGGCACAGAAAGCCTTGGCCTGGCCATTCCATTTCCAGATGTTCTGTTTGCATTCCCTCCACCCAGTGGGGCCACCACAGAGGGAGGACAAGACAGATCTGTTTATGCAGCTGAAGCCGTCCGATTAAAGAAAAAAATCACAGCGACAGCAAAACAGGGATTAACGTTCCCAGCTGCCTGGCGCTGACGACTGCCTAGAGACACACTTGGTGTAGGAGTGACTGGTTTAGCTGAAAAAGAAATCAAACCATTGTTTCAAAATGAAGAAGATAGGAAAGCAGGCAGCCATGGGCGGCCCAGAGTGTGAGCACTGGGGATGGGTGGCCTAGGCACGCCTCCAGGCAGGGGGCTATGGTGAAGCTCCAGCCTCTCTGAGCCTCAGTCTCCCCACCATCCCTGCTGTGAGAGCGACAGCCTCCATGGGTAAGCACTGCCCACAGCACCCCATGCACCACCATCCCTTCAGGTAGGAGACCTTGAGTAACCACCCCGCTACTAAGCCTCAGTTTCCCCCTCTGTAAAATGGCCAATCTCCTCAGTTTCCCCCTCTGCAAAATGGCCAAGCTCCTTACACAGCTGCCAGGATGGCTTTACAGAGCCACATGGAGCCCAGCCCAGGGTACGGCCCAAGGCCTCTGTGTCCTTATTAATTAACCAAGGGGCCAGGTGGACTCACACAGGTGACCTTGCGGTAGATCTGGGCCGCATTCTGGCACTCCGAGTAGGGGTACTCCGAGGTGGCCATCTCCAGCATGCACATCCCAAAGGCATAGACGTCCACGGACTCATCGTAGTGCTCCTCGTACATCTCGGGCGCCATGAACTCGGGAGTACCTGTGCCCGGAAGCAACAGACGCAGCTGTCAGCTGGCCACGGGCCCAGGAAGAGCTGGAGCCAGTGTCCCGGGAGCTTTGGCTGCCCAGAACCCCATGTCCCCTCCACATCCCATGGCACACTCAGAACACCTGGACCCCAGGGCCAGCCCTGCCCCTCACTTGGGACACAGGTGTGCTTTACAGACAGGGTTCCAAAAGTTCCACCTGGAACCACAGGAGTCCAGGGTTAGAAATCAGGTGACAGAGCCATCCCCTGCTCATAAGCTGGGAGACTATGACTTCCCAGGGGACGGGGTCCGAGCCTGGAAGGAGGCAAAACCCTGAGTACGCCCTCGCCTGTGGACACTATGATCCTGCCACAGGCTCGGCCGCAGCCACGTTCAGAAACCCTGGAGCAGAAAGAACTTGGGTTGCTACGGAGCTACCTAAAGCCACAAAACCCCTAAATGTCCCAAAGTGGGGAAAGGCTGGGTACACTCAGCCCACCCCTACAAGTGTCACGCAGCATGTACAACAGTCAGCATCACTGAAGACAGTGTCCCTGAATGAGGGTGGGGTAGAAAATGGTACCCACCTGACAGAACCACAGAGTTGCTAAGATGGGAACTGTATGTGGCTCCTAAACACAAGAGATGCAAAAACAGTGTCTTCACTGAATTTTTAAGGACATGGCAAAGTTATGATAGGCTGAGCAAAATGAGCATGAGGCTAGACGTGCTGGCTGGCCTCACCTATGCAAAACCAAACCCCCAGGGCAAGATGATGTCTGCAGGGGGCGAGGGCTGATTTTTATTTTACTTATATTGGTCTGGGGTTTCTCTATTCTCTATAATAAGCTTTAGCTTTCATAATACAGCAACTGTAAAGGCCTTTTTAATAAAATAAGTCCGGTTGCATGTCTGTCGCGCTGAATGCAAAGAAAGGGACTAGAGACTTCAGTACAGCTGCTTTTAACGTCTGGATGTTTGTTGACTTTGGAAGGTCTTCAAAATTTCTAGTTTCTTTTTAAAAGCTCAAGCTAACTAATTAGTGCATTTTAAAAGCACGTTTTGTTTACCCGTCATTTCAATTTAAAATGTGTTACTTTTTTTTTTTTTTTTTTTTGAGACGGAATCTCACTCTGTCCCCCAGGCTGGAGTGCAATGGTGCAATCTTGGCTCACTGCAACCTCCATCTCCCACCCAGGTTCAAGCAATTCTCCTGCTTCAGCCTCCCAAGTAGCTGGGACTACAGGCGTCTGCCGCCATGCCTGGCTAATTTATTTGTATTTTTGGTAGAGACAGGATTTCACCATGTTGGTCAGGCTGTTCTCGAACTTCTGACCTCAAATGATCCGCCCGCCTCAGCCTCCCAAAGTACTGGGATTAGAGGTGTGAGTCACTGTGCCTGGCCACTCTTTTTTAAAGTTAACATTTTGGATAAAAATTGGGACAAGAATATGGTTTAGATTTCAGTCTTAGGCACACAGAACTCTGGAAGAACCCATGAGAAACAACAGGAGCTGAGTGGAGGGGCCTGACGCCGGGAACTTTTATTCTTTTGGGTTTTTTAACCACATGATTATACTGAAAATTTGCTGCACTAGCAATTTTTTTTTTTTTTTTTTTTGAGACTGGATCGTGCCCTGTCGCCCAGGCTCGAGTGCAGTGGCATGAACACAGCTCACTGCAACCTCGACCTCCCAGTCTCAAGCAATCCTCCCACCTCAGCCTCCCAAGTAGCTGGGACTACAGGTGTTCACCATGCCGGGCCAATTTCTTTTTCTTTCTCTTTCTTTTCTTTCTTTCTTTATTTCTCTCTCTTTCCTTCCTTCCCCCGCCTTTTTTTTTTTTTTTTTTTTTGTAGAGACAGGGATCTCACTACATTGCCTAGACTAGCCTCGAACCCCTGAGCTTAAGCAATTCTCCTGCTTCAGCCTCATTCTCTAGGAGACTGAGCAGCTGAGGACACTCCTGGTTGTGGCCTCTCTAACCAAAGCTTCCTGGACTCCAGCTGAGCAAAAGCTGGGTTGACGAGGGACAGCCCACAGAGCTGGGCAACCATGCGGGTCACAAGGTCTCCCCACTGTGCCTGCTGGAAACACCTGGCCTTCATCTCAACCTGATCCAGCAACTCGAAACTTCGTTTCCAAGAGGGCAAAGAGCCGCCCAGCCAGAGGAAGACGAGGGGCTCTGCCGGGGCTGCCGCTTCACAGTGGGCTGTGCTTCTTCCTCCAGGAGTGTTCACTCCTGAGTAGGAGATCACAAGCCTCCCTCCTGCCACCTGACTGCGCCCGGGGTTTGAGACCTGGGTTCCTACCACTTCTGAAGCCAAATTTGCAAAATCTGCCCAGAAAGTGCACAGAGCTCAAAGCCCTGGGCATGGGCTCTCCACGGTCCTGGGCCCCTGCTCTCAGCCCCTCCAGGAGGGAGTGGAGACCCTCACCTATATACCCATTTCACAGATGGGGAAACTGAACCCTGGGTCAGCCCCTACGCTCCACCACTCAGCTCCCCCAGAATGCCAGAGGCTTTGTGTACACAGGGCCACCCCCGGGCAGCCACCTTGCCCCAGATGTCACATTCTGAACAGACTTCCCAAACCAAAGCAGCTCTGGAGTCTCATTTTCCCCACACCTGCCAAGTTCTGTCCCCAAACATGCAGCAGAACTAAGAATTCACAAAGCCCCAAGATCGACTGCTCACTGTCCTGCCCTCACATTGGGGGCATGCTGGGTCTTCATTAACATGGGGGAGCCTCTCCCAATCTGATCCGATTGGGTGCCATCTGGGCTTCCTGAGCCCCGACCCACGCTGCTTGCCCTGCACATGTTGCAGCTTTCCCATCATCCTGGCCCCAGAAACAGCTGCTCCACAGCCACCCAGGCATTCTTTTCAAAGTCCGTGGAGGCCCCCACCCAGGACCAGTGGACACTTCACACCCACTGTGCCAGGAGCACACCTGGGGCCAGGTACATGGCACAACGCAGACCCCTGGTCTCTGCAAAGAAGCTCCGGGCCAGCTGCCCCTAGGGGCGACGGCATCTCGCCCCAAAAGAAGGCTGGGAAGGCTTCTCACAGGAGGGCGTCTGTACTGAGGCCTGAAATGCCCAAGAAGCTGAATTAATTCCTTGGCGCCCTGCTCCTATCCTGTGCACAACGCCTGCTCTGTGCCCCGCCCCGCAGGTATGTGGATTCCCCAGATACTCCAAGTTCTCACTTCCTTGGGCCTCACAGCCCGGGTGACACTGGGAGCTCCAGCGTCACTGGCCACAAACCTCCCAAGTTCCTCTGTGGTCAGGGCAGCTTCCCTCTCCCGAGTGCCCACAGTGCCCACACACACCACGAGCATCGGCACCCAGCCCACCTCCCCTGCTAGACAATCAGAGCTGGCACCCAAGCCACAGCCACGGAGGGAAACACAAAGACCATCTGGGGCCAGAGTCGGACAAGGCAGGGGCAGCAGGGGAGGGAGGCAGCCAAGTCAGCTATCCCAGCCCAAGTGGTCTGGGAATCCAACGAGTGGGCAGGCCCTCCAGCTGAGCTACAAAAGGCTTGGTGGGGTAGCCCAGACACCCTGGCCCGAGGCTCCCGTGCCCAGACGCTCCTCCCACTGGGTCTCCTGCACCAGGTCTGAACAAAACTGGATGCTCGCCAGCACTCACTGCTGCCCAGCTTCTCATGGGCTCCAAGGGCCTGGGGAGGAGAAGCAGGTTTACCTATCACACTTTTGGCAAATGACGCTCTTTTCAGAGTGGCCAGGCCCAAGTCGCCAATCTTCACAGACCCAGTTGGTCCGGTGATGAAAATATTGTCACATTTCAGGTCTCGGTGGATGATGGGTGGCGTCCTTGTGTGCAGGAACAGCAGGCCCTTCAGGATCTGCCGGCACCAGCTGCGGAGAACCTTGGGCTTCATCACCTTGAACCGCTTCAGGTATCTGCAGGGGTTCACGGGCACAGCTCACCAAGCAGCTCGCCGGCAGCGGCCCCCTAGCAAAGCCCCCACCTAACACTGCTTAGGCCTGGTACAAAGTCCATTCCCGTGCACACGGCACATACCCGTGACAGGTAGTGAAGGTGAGACGGGAGGGCCGGACAGTTCCGCCCTGGAGCCAGGCCCCTGAGCAGCCAGCTGGGTGGGCTCACAACCCTCTTGCTCCCCTCATGCCAAGGACCTGGCTACTAAAGCTCATACTAAGCTCCATCTTGACCTCACTGGGAGATGGTGCCAGGCTGACTTGTAAGTTGCCCAAGGCAGGACGGAGTACCAGCCAGCAGATGCTCAGGTGAGGGGGTGAGGGTTACGAAAGGCCAGGGCCTGTGAGAACCACAGGGGCCAGCTGGGGCTCTCTCTGCCACTGGCCACCTGTGTGGCCTGCCCTGAGCTGTGCCCTGGGAGGAGGTGGGTGGGTGAAGCTAAGAAAAGGGCTCTCCTCTTGCAGCGCATCCACCTATGACGGAAACTGCCCGGCTGAGGGGCACTGAGGCCCTGCCCAAGGCTGCAGGGTCCAGTGGTTCAGATGGACCCAGGATACAGCACCAGGCAGCACCTCATCCCCACAGTACAGACTGGGACCTTAGTGAGCAGCAACAGGCTGCCGTGGCCACCCCACTCCCCACTCCCCAGCCCTCACTAACCACCTCCACATCCTCAGAATCCCACAGTCCCCACTGTGCACCCCGCCCAGCCTGCGTCCTGAGCCTGAGTATGTGCCGGGCTGGCTCCCAGGCAGAAACAGAACCCCAGCCAGAAACAAGTCCCAGACACCATAGACAGATCAACCATCTCCCTGGGAAGTAAACCACCTCCTGGCATCCCATGCAGGAGAGGAAAGAGGAGACAGCCTCCCACAGGCACCAGCCAGGACCACCCCAGCAGCCCAAGACCTCACCCTCAGCTATGGTAGCCCTGCACCCATGCCAGGACCCGCCCCAGCCCTCAGGAAGCGGAGCTTACGTCTTCAGCGTCCCTGAGGTCATCAGCTCCGTCACCAGCACAATGCACCGCTTGCCCTTGGCGCTGGACTCCCAGAAGTCGTAGAAGCGCACGATGTTGGGGTGCTGCAGGCCTTTCAGCATCTCAGCCTCTTCCTTGAACCGCTGCCGCTCCAGCTTGGTGAGCTTCCGGTCCTACAGGGCAAGAGACATGCTAAGTGGGCAAGAGATGGGACACAGAAGGGGACACGGTGGCGTCACATCCCAGCAGCGCCACACAGTAGGACCAGCCCTTCCCATACCCACAGGCAGCTAAGCGGCTATGATAGAAGGGCATGCAGACACTGGCACCACAACTGCTGACTCCTTAGTCCCCACAACCCTGGACACAGCCCCCAAAAAGGGACCTCAGCAAAAAGACATCCTAGGAAGCCGAAGAGGTCTCGCAAATCCACACGGCCACACTTGAGCACTTTTTCCAAAAATACACCTCTGAGGCCTTTGCCTCCTCCACAATCACTCACTTTCTGTGTGTTTGTGAAAAGAATGGATCATCAGTTTACTTCTAACGTATACACAACTCAGAAGAAGTACTCAGGGCCCAGTGGATTAGAACAGAGGAGACGTGGACAGGTGACTGAGATAAGAGCTGAGAATGGAGGGAAGAGAAAAGCCCTAGCAGAGCCAAACTGACCAGTCAGCAGCCCAGAGGGCAGCCCAGGCCCTCCTGTGCAGGAGGACACAGCAGACACCTCCCCAGACCCTTGGGCCACTGTGTCTGCACAAGCCAGCAGAACCAATCACTGACCTAAGTTTAAATAGAAAACAGCAAACAAACGCCACCATCATCACCCGGGAACCCTGGTCAGGTGCATGCACCACATGCCCGCTCTGCCCACCATCCCACAAGGGAACCACCAACCCCAGGCACCACATTCAAACACCACTCAGCACTGGCCACCCTCCCGCCGCCTGCCCAATCTCCACCTCTCCCCTCTGACTCCCACCACCCTGTCTGAGCTCACCCATCCCTCGCCACGCTCTCTCCCACCTCATCCCTCACTATAGTCCCCCTGGATCCTGGCCCTTCCCTTCCCCCAAATACTTCAATAGATTCTCTCCACAGAGGGCTCAGAATAAATCCAGGGAGCCTGCATGGCCCCGAAGGCTCCATGTGCTTCCAACTTCCCCTCACGAGGTGACAGCCATGTCCAAAGGCCCAGCCAAGGCCTCTCCTGCTGCACACGTGCCACGCCCTTCTCACCTCCACCTGAGGTCCTGCCCCCAGGATCACCTCCTCATCTTGGTCCAATGAGCCCACAGAGCAATGCCTGCCTCTGTTGCACCAATTCCCATGGGAATGTCAGAAAAGAAACGTGTATTTTCCGAAGGAAACCAGAAACATAACTAAACACAGAAGAGCAAAATTCCGGGGACTTCTAAACAGACAGAAAGCAGGTAAATCTGGACAGATAAGGGGAGAGATCAGAGTGAAAGTAAATGCAAGCCAAGACCCCTGGATCCTTCCGGAAAGGCCCAAAGAACATCAAGCCAGACTCCAAAGCAGAGAGGAGAAGCAGGCGGCAGGATCGTGACAAGGGTCATCTTGGTAAAAAAAATTACATCCCAAATGCAGCCGCGCCCATGAGACCCTTCTTCCTCCATCAACCCGCCAGACCCCTCCCCACAGCACACACCCTCATGGGCCCCTTCATTGCAGTGTGGGACTGTGCAGTGACTATCACCACAGGGCCAGGCAATACCCAGAGAAGCCATTGTCATGATGGGGCCAACCCAGAAAACAAATAATTCAGAGACCAACGGCAACTCCCAAAAAAATCTAATTAATGTTCCCATAAAGATTCAATAAGTTGACACAAGTAAGTAAAATCAAGCTTCTATTTAGAAAGGAACATTCGAGAAAGAGCTCTTGCAAATTATCACAGGGATGGGGACTGCCCTTCCTAACCAGCTCAGTGTTTTAGAAATAAGATATTCCATAATCCAATGAAACATTAAGTACAAAAAAGTTAATGTTTAATCCAGACAATAAAATGGAAACATGTTCTACTCATCAAAAACGATTCTTTAAGCCAGGTGCGGTGGCTCACACCTGTAGTCCCAGCTACTCGGGAGGCTGAGGCAGAGGATGGCTGGAGCCCAGAAGCTCAAGACCAGCATGGGTAACACAGCAGGACCCCATCTCCAAAAAAATGGTTATTTATTTAAGTCAAGTCACAAACTGGGAAAAACTATTCTTAATACATATATCTGACAAAGGACTCAGATCCAAAATGTATAGAGAACTCCTGTAATTTAATAATAAACACATGAACAGATACTTCACCAAAGACACAGAAATGGCCAACAGCACACGGAAAGAGGCTGAGCATCATCAGTCGCTGGGAAAATGCCAACAAAGACCACACTGAGATACATCCCATACCTACCAGAAGGGCTAAATTAAAAGATGGATACGGCCGGGTGCGGTGGCTCACACCTGTAATCCCAGCACTTTGGGAGGCCGAGGCGGGCGGATCACGAACTCAGGAGATCGAGACCATCCTGGCTAACATGGTGAAACCCCGTCTCTACTAAAAATACAAAAAATTAGCTGGGCGTGGTGGCGGGCGCCTGTAGTCCCAGCTACTCGGGAGGCTGAGGTAGGAGAATGGCATGAACCCAGGAGGTGCAGCTTGCAGTGAGCCGAGATTGTGCCACTGCACTCCAGCCTGGGCAAGAGTGAGACTCTGTCTCAAAAAAAAAAAAAAAAGGTGGATACTTCCAGCTGCTGGGAGGCTGGGGAACAGTGGGCCCCACCTGGCACACTGCTACCAGGAGTTCAGGTGGCGCAGCCCTCAGAGGAGGGCTTGGCAGGGTTCACACCTGCTCTGTGTCCAGCCACTCCCCTCCCGGGATCCATCTGGGAGGAAGGAAAACATAAGTCCATAAAAGATGGACTTGGATATTGGAAGCAGCATAATTCATCATAGACCCACCTGGAAACCACCGAAACATTTGGGGCCAGGTGAATGAACCATGCCGCACCCATCCAAATGGGACCATGGCTCAGCAGCAAAAAGGAGCATGCTCCTGCCTCTCAGTAGCACAGGTGAAGGCCAAAAGCATAGGACTGAACAAAAGAAGCCAAACAAAAGAATATGTCTGGTAGGACCCCCATCTTCATGTGAAACCCTGGAAAAGGCAGACTAATATCTGGGGGATGCCATCAGAATAATGGTTACCTCTGGGGTGGGTAGAAGTGGGAGCCAAGAGATCTTGGGGTGGAGGGTGATGGAGAAATGTTCCACATCATAACAGAGCACGTGGGCTCCACCTCTATGTGCATTTGTCAGAGCTCAACTTGCACACTTAAGTTGTGTGTTTCATTATATGTAAATCACCCTTCAATTTTTCATATGTAAAAACAAAAAAAAAGGAAAAAAATCCAAAGACCAAATGAGAGAAGTAGAAGAAAGAAAATAGAAGAGAAACATTAAGAGACATGGAAGAACTGCCTGGAAGTCAAACTATGTCAAAAGGGTTCTAAGAACAGACACCATGAAGTATAAACAAATAGTAGAATAGCATTTCCCTGAGCTGGAAGGAGAACGATTTAGAAGAAAATGGCCCACCAAGGCCAGGTCAGAGTAAATGAACACCCCACCTCCAGGGCTGTTCTAGTGTAATGTCAGAACCCCGAGCAAGTCTTATCTGCAAAGGAACGGCCCAGGTGGGCGGTGAGTCTCACCAGAGACACTGGGCGCAGGTGGCAGGGACAGTGTCCTCAAAGTGCTAACTCAGAATTCTACACGCTGTCAAACGGACACCAAGCCAGGCGGTCCAGACTCGTTTTCAGACATGCAGGAGCTGAAAGTTAACTTCCCATGCAGTCTAGGTGGAACAAGTTACTGGAAGAAATGTTTCCACAACACACAATACAACACAACACAACACAACACAACACAACACAACATAACACAACAGAAAGACATGCACCCAGGGTGACCCTCGAGGTCCCTGGGGGTGAAGGAAGCTGGAGAGGAGATGGCAGTGCTCAGCTAGGCCAGTTCGCCCAGGAAGCCTTCTCTGGGAAACAGCATGTCAGTTTACAATTCCCTTTCTGTGCGCCTAGTCCTTAATTCTAGAGGAAACTCACAGGATCATTTATAGCACAAGTTATTTTTGCCAGTATTTTAGCACCAACAGTAACGTGTAAAAGATTTCATTGTAGTTTCAGAGCAAAATGTTCACGTTCTAAATGACTAAGAAAAAACGGGAAGTAGGGGGGCGTACCCTGCATGCACTACAGTCTTCATTTTTAACAGCAGTTACCTACTGAAGTTGATACATGTAAGACACGAAAGTCAGAAATGGTTAACAATGGTGCCTCTTAGAGGTGGGCTTGGAAGGGAAGAGGATCTCATTTTATATTCTACACCACACGACTATTTTAATCAATGTAACACATTGCTTGGTAATTTTTACAGTAGGGGAGACAGGGTCTCACTCTGTCACCCAGGCTGGAGTGCCGTGGTGTGATCATAGCTCACTGCAGCCTCAATTTCCTGGGCTCAGGTGACCCTCCCACCTCAGCCTCTTGAGTAGCAGGGACTACAGGCACATGCTACCACGCTGGCTAATTTTATTTTTTTAGAGATGGTAGTCTCACCATGTTGCCCAGGCTGATCTTGAACTCCTGGGCTCAACAGATCCTCCTGCCTTGGCCTCCCAAAAGTGCTGGCATTACAGGTGTGAGCCACCATGCCCAGCCTGCTTGGTACTTTAACAGTCGGTTAGTGTGTCCCCCTCTGAGCCCTGCCCAGAGCCCACCTACAGGGTATGCTGCCCCCACAGAGCCTGTCCACATCCTCATCACCTGTTTGCTGACATCGGGTTGGCCTGCATTACAGGAGCAACTCCATGAACACCTGTGGACTGAATTCATTCATTAACCTATTAGGAAGGCTCACAGTCAACAAGCCAGGGCAGGAAGAATGCACCTGATCCCTAAGTGATTTCCAAATCCTGCCAGACTCACACGGTGCTTAAAGGTTTGGTGTTGAGTCAGAGGCGGGGGCCTCCTGGCTGCTCACTCAATGTGATGCCCCTCCCTCCCAGACACTGGAGGGTAAGGTCAATCAGCACCAATCTTCCTCCTACCAAGTCCCCAGTGCTATGCAAATTCATGGCTCTTGTTCCCTCATAGTGGTGAAAGTCAATCAGATGACAAAAGACTTAAGGCATTCTGGGACAATGCCAGCTCTTATTTGCTCTAGGAAAAAGGTCCTGTGGGTCACACACAGGCAAGGCAGGACAGCACCCTCCAAGCCGGGCAGCAAAGCCCCTCAAGGGCTGCACGAGTCACACAGCCAGGGTGGTCAGAAGATTCTTGGTCCCAACGGCCCTTCCCAGCACCCCCAGGACACCTGGGAAACACATCAGGGGTTGCCTTCGATGTTGACTGAGAGCATCAGAGGTTCCTGCCCTGAACATGGCAGGGTGTCTGCAGGCAGCCCCCTCCTATGACACTTCAGGGCCACCTGCTCTGCCAGAACAGTCCCCAGTGGGCAACGGTTGGAGATGTCAGACCTACTAGGGGCACACTTGGGATTCCGTGGCATCTTCCTTTCAGCTAGGCAGGACCCCAAAATCCAACCCCTTGAAGGGGCAGAACTGGGTCCCACCAGGAGGTGAGCCCCACGCACACTCGGGCAGAGGAGAGTGCCCAGAACCAGTGAGGCTGAGCCCCGAGAGATAAGCCTGCTGCAGGGCCTCGCTCCAGTTCCGTGGGGCCGTAAATCAAAACCAAAGGAAGCCTGGAGCTTCTCTGTCCACAATAGTCCCATGCACAGAGAACTGGCCCAGGACAGAGGCCCCAGGTGCAGGATGGGAGGGCATCAGGTCTCTGGTAGAGCTCAGGCCTAACCAAGGACTTATCTCCCTGTCACTTAAGTGCTCACACCCAAAAGCCATGATATCCACAGGGACACACTGGGAAGACAGCATGAGACTTCCACCATATATGTGTCCCCTTCTGTTCCCTCCACCCCCGGGAGGGTGTCCCCACTGCTCTAGGAGGCTTGGCATCCCCACACACTCCACGCCCTCCTGGTGGGAAGAGCCTCCCTGCTACTCCCAGGTCTGGAAGATTTGAACCAGTCGACCCAAGCTGGGGGCCAGCAGGCTCCTGCCTGCCCTTTCACCACAAAGTGGAGAGAGGGTCTGGGTCTGGTTCCAGGAGGACAGGGTTTGGCAAGTGCACAGGAATGGCTGGTGCAGAGCAAGCCACACCATCCCCCATGCTCTGTCTGGAGTCGCTCAGTCACGGAGGCTCTGGGTGTGCGGAAAGGGCTGTTCACAACCCCATGGGAACGCAGCCAACAGATGAGAAAACCAATAAATATGCAACTACACACTGTGCCAAAAATTACCAGTCAGGGCACCCCTGCCCCCGAAGAAAAGCTCCAGTTTCAGGCAGCCTGGGGAAGAAGGCATTCCCCACCCCACCTAAGGCACGGGCAGGTCTGAGGTCCCTGGAGGAAGTGGCCTCTGTGCAGGCATGATGTTTGAGCAGTGGGTGGTTTATGTCACTACAGGGCCAGGCAACGGGGCGCCACTTGGACAAGAGGCAGGCACTGGGCCTGCTCTGCAGTGAGTGGTCAGTGGGCTCAGTGGAGCCATTTTGATGTCCACACCAGGCATCTGCCACTGACCAGCAAAGGGGAGGCCTGACAGAGCTCTTCCACCTGCTGCCTCCAACATTCTCTGCTGGTCTTAAAACAAACTCACTTCCTTTAAATCCAAGTTCCCTCTTTAACCTCATCTTGAGCAACAAAATACACAACCGCATTGACAGGTGAGCCAGTGTGTGTTTTTTCTAATTCATGATTTTAAAAAGAACATCACGGCTGGGCACGGTGGCTCACACCGGTAATCCCAGCACTTTGGAAGGCCGACGCGGGCAGATCACCTGAGGTCAGGAGTTTGAGACCAGCCTGGCCAATGTGGTGAAACCTCATCTCTATTAAAAATACAAAATTAGCCAGGTGTGGTGGCAGGCGCCTGTAATCCCAGCTACTCGGGAGGCTGAGGCAGGAGAATCGCTTGAACCCGGGAGGTGGAGGTTGTAGTGAGCCGAGATCACACCATTGCACTCCAGCCTAGGCAACAAGACTGAAACTCTGTCTCAAAAAAAAAGGACATCATTATAAAGATGAACATTTTTCCCGACACCACCAAATAAAAGTGGCCAAGGAGTGTGAGGAGTCACAGACGGAGGCTGATGTGCCCCTAGACTTCTTTGCAGAAAAGGGACCCTGACGCCGGTGACCTGTCCCAGATGCTGCCCTCCATCTGGATGAGTGCAGCCAGGGAAGGAGGTGCTCAGTTGGGGGTGAGTCGGCGGCACTGGACTCTTCCCACATTCAGTCTTCTTTGTCAAGGGCTCCAAGAAGTTTACAATTCTCTGAGGCAAAAACCTGAACTTGAATATCTGGCCCCTGGTTGCTTTTGTAAATCATACTATTTTATTTAAAAAGGGAGGGAGGAATTATTAGCTGGGTGTGGTGGCACACGCCTGGTGTCTCAGTTACTTGGGAGGCTGAGATGGGAGAATCACCTGAGCCTGGAAGCAGAGGTTGCAGCTGAGCCAAGATCCTGCCACTGCACTCCAGCCTGGGCCACAGAGCAAGACCCTGCCTCAAAAAAAGGGGGTGGGAAGGGGCAGAGGGAGCAGGGGAAGGTGCCAAGTGAGCTTTACTCTCTTAAAGGCCACCTGGGACCCTGCCGCCCGCACATACACACCGGTACTCACCCTGTCACCCACACACAGAAGGAAGTAGGTGCCTGCCTGCCCCAGGGGTAAGTTGGGATGTAAAATGTGTCATCATAGGGTCAAACAGTTGTAAAAGATGCCATTTCCAGCATTTTATAAATACTGACTTTTTAAAAATGTTCTTTGAAATGTTTCCCGTGGAACCCAAATGTCGGCAATCTGATGCCCTCCACCAGCTGTTTCTAAACACGGGAATAAACACGTCTCCAGCTCCAACCAGGACGCAACCTCCATTCCCACGGAGGTGATGGACACGACGCGGCTCTTCCCGAAAGCCTCTCACTGACTGCCCTGCCACACTTCCCTGCCATCACATCATTCCTATCGGAATCTAGCTTTCCTTAGTTTCCTGCGAACGTAAGACTCTAAGGACCAAAGGATTTTCTTCAGAACTGAATCACTATCATAAATTAGCAGTGCATAGTTGACCAAAGCAAAGGGATAACTAATTTTGTTGAAAGTGCCTCCGTTACTGAGCCAGATGGAGCTCTTGTGCCAATTACTTGGGGTGTCCATGGGTGACTGTAAATCATATGTAGAAGGAGGCAGGCCCAGCATCGTTCTGTCCACCTTCTGGTGTGCGGATGTTGAACTTTGAGAAAGCCTGATCCTGTCAGCCAGTAGACGGGTGGAGAGAGTCTGTCATGGCCTTGTCACAAACTCTCCATGCTCCCTTGAGCACGTACAAAACTTCAGCTGTCCTTCCCCGGGACAAGCTGGCAGCCATGCCAGGGACTCCTCTAGGTTCTACTGAACACATGCAATGGGGGTGGTGCCCGGTCCATACTGGCTTCCCATGCCAGCACCCAGCATAAGAGCCAGCAGCAAGGGGAGGTCCAGGGAAGGTCGGGGGTCCCCACCCACCTGCCTGTTAGGAAGCCCCCATGCCCAGCATGAGCACGGCAGGTCAGTTTTGGGACTGGCCCTCTGTGCTGGGCCCCGCCCTCCCCACCGCAGGGCTCCGGTCACAGGGCAGGCTGCAGGAGCCCTCCCCACCCCAGGCCCACCCAATACCCTCCATCGTGGGCAAAGACAGGGCCACCATGGGATGCTAGTGGAGCTGTCACCACGTGGCAGGGATGGGTGGGCAGCCCAGGAGGAGGGCAGGACCACAGAATGGAGCCATGAAGGCCAAGATAAAGAAGAGGACCAAAGGGGGACCCAGGCTGGGTCAGGCACCCCTGAGGCAATGAACCATGACAGGGTGCAGCTGACAGGACTGTGGACCACCTGGGGTCTGATGCTGGGGCAGCACGGGCAGGCAGGAGCCTTCCCAAGGTGCCCACTCCCCGGGCCCACCACACCCACAAAGCCTCTCCCGGGACCTGAAGCCTCACAGTCCACAGACCAGATGTGGTCCTTCCTTCCAACAGGAACCTCACCAGGGCTGGACAGCCCCCAGCCCCCTCCTCAGGCCACCCCATGGAGGTCTCCCCAGCTAGGGCCTCAGGGAGACCCAACCCTCTGCCCAACAACAGCAGTGACACGCCATCCAGTTAGTCTCTCTGCCCATCAGCTCCTGGCTGGGCTGCAGGGTCATCAACTCTACCTCACTGGGCCCCATCCCCCTTCACAAAACAGGAAAGGTCGGAGGTCTCCTCAGGGTTAGTGCACGGCTGTGCTGACAGGTAGAGTTGCCCAGAACCGCAGCTGGCACAGCCAACCTCACCCTCGGCCCCTTCCTACCATGTCCCGTCCTGCACTGGTGTTGGGCAGCATGGACAGAACAGGAAAAGCTATTCCAATCAGAGAGACGGGGTGGAACCTAGGCTCAGACACTAACCCTGCCTCTGAGCTCAGCTCCCCATCTGTGTAGTGGGCAGATAGCAGCACCCATCCCCCACAGTGTCCAGCCCTCAGCAAGTAATATGCACCCTGTGTACACCCTCGTGGGCTCTGGGTGGTACACCTGCCTCCAGAGGAGGCCTGGCCCACTGCAGATCAAGCAGACAGGACCTATGCTCATTCACACCCTGGGGGAACCACTTTAAACAACCAAGACTCCCTCCCCAACAACCCTGCAGCCAGGGAACCCTGTCCTGGAGGAAGAGAGGATCCCCTTTGGTCCCCAGGCCTCCAACACCAGGTGATGTCCCAGCCAGGAGGAGCCCGGCGCTAAGCAGGGTGGGGCCTGGATGCGCCTGCACTCTCCAGGCTTCCAGGGCAGGGCACCAAGGCCAGTGCCACCATCTGCACCTGCACTCACCTGGATCAGAAATGACAGAGCCCAAGCGAGGAAGCAGGTGGGCAAGCTGGTGGCAACAGGTGGAGCTGGGCACATGGCATACGGGTGTTTTATTTCCAAATAAATGTTTTAAAGCTTGCAGGGCTGACCTAGAGCTCCATAAAAGCAAAGGAGCCCCCACATAGCCTCTTCCACCTGAGCGACCCCACTCTCAGCACTGCGTGTCCCAGATGGGCTAAGCCTCGGCCCACACTACCCTGAGTAGGCGCCTGCCCAGCCCTCTGTGGACAGGGGTCTCCCCAAGGACCAGCATCCTTAAATGAAGACCACCAGCTAAAAGCCAATGACAAACTTGGAAACAATCCACACTTAATCCTTAACACTAGGGGTCTCTGAGGGGAAAGGGAAAGGGCTTCCTCCCTAGGATCCATATCCACACTTTTGGATGCAGGTATCCCTACTGTGGTCAGAAGAACTGATGAGCATTTGTCCTTGTGTGCACTTTTTGAAAGAGAGGAGCAGGAGGGACTCAAGCCGGGCATCACCCAGGGCTGCCACAGGCCCTCCAGGACAGTGGCCAGCCCCGCCCACGGCATGTTGACCAATGGGACTGGGGGTGTTGGTAGATACAGACCATTCACATTTAGGGGAAACGGCTCAGAAAGCTACCTTGTCAGAGGGCCACCTCGTGCCAAGGCACCTGCCATCAGGCTGGAGGGAGGAAGAGAGCTTGAACCCATGCCCCTCCCCTCCAGGGACATCCAGGTGCCCTCCTCTCCTGTCTACAGGTGGGCTTAACACGGGCAGCTGAGGGGCAGAGGGACACAGGCCTGGCCCCGGTCTCAGCCACAAGTCCTGGTGCCATGTCACTGGGTGGCCACCCTCCTCTCCAAGGCCAGAGGTCAGCAGGCTGCCCTGGCCCTGCATGAGTCCTGAGAGCCAACCTGTCACATCCAGGCTCCCCACGCCCGTCTGTTCTCCTTCGGAGGCAGGGGGAAGAGGGAGAGCCAGGCAAGGGGTCCCTGGGGCAGAGGGGTGCAGCCAACTCAGGACAACCAAACCCCAGGAAGCCGGGGCAGCCCTGGCCCTGACAGCCAGACAACCCAGACACACACCCCCAACATGGACAGGCAGCTGTGCAGGCAGCAGACACTGCAGGGCCAGCCCCAAAGGAGGAGGCCTTTCCTGTTCTCAAGGGAACACTGATGTTACTTCCTGACGGGGAAATGTCTGCTCGAACCCTCGGCCCTGGACCAGAGCAGTGGTTCGACCACCCCAGGATGAAATGAAAATGGGGCCCTCCCAGTGGGCACACAAGTGAGGAAGAGAAATCCCCATGGGGCCATCCCACCACAAAAACTTTCCTGATTGCAGGCCTGGCTCCTCCCCAGGAGAACACATCGGCACTCACCCAAGGTAACTGGGAGCCCGGCGGGCACAGGCCAGGCGGCCACCCCTGCATCTGACCACATCATGTATCTGGTTTCTAGAAAGGGCCAGCCCCACCCCATGGCCACTTCCCGCAGGGACACCTAAAGATAGATTTGGATAGCACCAGGGACACAGGTCAGCAGGGTTAGCAGCTCCACCATCAAGAACAGCTCCTGTGGGGTGGGGCAGGCGGGGCACCCCAGGGCAAGGCCTGTGGAATCCTGTGGAGTTCCACAGAATTCTGAGGAGACAGCTGTAGAGGCCAAGCTACTGGGGTCTTCCTGCGGCTGCCCTGCCCCCACACAGGGTTCAAAGGCTCAGGGCACCCCAAGGTGGCAGTGGGTGAGGGTCTAACAGTCTGTGGAATATTGTGGCCCCTCGAAGGCAGGCCCTTCCCCCCACCCCACCCCCCCAACGTAGGGAAATACCCAGACCTGTAGCTCTGGGCAATGAGGAAGGGCTGGGCATTCTGGTGCCTGCTACTGTACAAGGCCCTGGTTCTGGCTTGGTCTTCTACGCCTACGCCCAGAATGAAGTCACCTAGGCCTCACTTCCTTTCCTCCCCAGAGGCCCTAGGTGGCCCAAGCTATCACCAAGAGCTAAGATGACCTTGAAGGCCAGGCTACTAGGATTCAAGGCCGGTGTTGGCCTCAGGTCAAGATGTCCACTGAATAAACATGTGCCCAGGCACAAACATCTGTGGTGTCCCTCTAAGCCAGGAATGGCACCAGGCTGCTTGGCAGGGGAGTGGGGGCACCAACAGATGGCCCCAGCAGCATGAGATCAGGGCCACAGGAGGACCATGGAAGGGTAAAGCAGCATGGGGGTGAGGTTAGGCCCCCCTGCCCACATCTGCACCCCAATCCCATTAACTGACTCCTCAGTACCTCCCAGAACTGGCGGCAAGAGCCTTGGGGACCACAACCGAGACGGCAGGTACACAGCACACATATACCTGAAATAAACCTCAGCACCATTCATCCTCATGCCACCATTCTGACTCTTCTGGAGAAAAGGAAACCCCACACTCAGCACTGCTTCTCCCACTAAAGTTGTGCGGCCCAAAACAGTAGCTACACATGTGGCTAATGAGCACTTGAAATCAGGCCAGTACAGGTTGAGATGTTCTGTAAGTGCACAGTACGTGGCAGCGGCGTAGTATCTTCTTAAAAGATTTTTTGGGCTGGGCACGGTGGCTTTCGCCTGTAATCCCAGCACTTTGGGAGGCCGAGGCAGGCGGATCACGAGGTCAAGAAATCAAGACCATCCTGGCCAACATGGTGAAACCCCATCTCTACTAAAAATACAAAAATTAGCTAGGCGTGGTGGTGCACGTCTGTAGTCTCAGCTACTTGGGAGGCTGAGGCAGGACAATCGCTTGAACCTGGGAGGCAGAGGTTGCAGTGAGCCGAGATCTCGCCACTGCACTCCAGCCTGGCAACAGAGCAAGACTTCGTCTCAAAAAAAAAAAGATTTTTTTGAATCTTATTGATAATTTTATATTGATTCACATCAAAAACATAATATTTTAGATATACTAAATTCCATCTGTTAAAATTAATTCCACCTGGTTTTTTTTTAGTTCTTTTTGTTTTGTTTGTTTGTTTGTTTGTTGTTGTTGTTGTTTTGAGACCGAGTCTCACTCTGTCACCCAGGCTGGAGCGCAGTGGTGCAGTGGTGCAGTGGTGCGATCTTGGTTTACTGCAACCTTTGTCTCCCAGGTTCAAGCGATTTTCCTGCCTCAGCCTCCCGAGCAGCTGATACCACAGGTGCTCGCTACCACGCCTGGCTAATTTTTGTTTCTTGTTTTTTGATACAGGATCTCACTCTGTCACCTAGGCTGGAGTGCAGTGGTGTGATCATGGCTCACTGCAGCCTCGACCTCCCAGGCTCAAGCAATCCTCCCACCTTGGCCTCCCCAGTAGCATCACACCCAGCTAATTTTAGTATTTTTTGTAGAGATGGGGTTTTGCCATGTTGCCCAGGCTGGTCTCAAACTCCTGGGCTCAAGCGATCCACCCACCTCAGCCTCCGAAAATGCTGGGACTACAGATGTGACCTACCATGCCTGGCTTCCACTTGTTCCTTTTATACTTTTAAAGTGACTGCTAAGCTGAAAATTGCACATATGGCTCACATTTGTGGCTCACATTACATTTCTATAGGACAGGAATGCCTTGGAGCATTACCACTAAGCAGTAGACTAAAAGCAGAGAAGCAAGGCAGAACTTCAGCAGTCTAACAGGGCTGGGAAGATGGCAATCAGAGCCCAGAGTCTGGCAAGGAAGAGAGGCCTTGGTAGACGTGCAGGCTTTCAGATTAGCCCTTCCAGAAGGGCTGTATACTAGAAGTCTGGATAAAACAGAACAGACCAACCAGCCCTCACAGGGGCTGAAACACAGCTTTGAATCAGTTCAATTCCAGACGGGGTTAATATGATTTGCTCTTATTCTGCTGCCTACTAGAGGCGGTAAAAAGTAAATCTCTAGTGAAAGACAAAATCACCCAGAGCCTCAAATATGTCCATAATTTCTAAACACAGCAATAAAAAATGACCAAGAAGATCAGGAGACAAGACCAAAATGATGAAAAATAAAAATAAAAGAAGAAAAACGAGACGATAACAACAAATTCCCAGGGGATCCAAATATTGCAGTTATCAGACACAGACTTTAAAATTTGTGTGAAATTAAAATTAGTGTAAAATTAGTATGGTCCAAAAAATAGCAGGACAAATAATTTCACCAGAACTAAAATCTATGAAGTCAGAAACAAATAGAAATCTAGAACTAAAAAGTAAAATTAAACCCATCTATTGAGTTCAACAGCAGATTAGACATAGGTGAGAAGAGGATTAGCAAACTGGAAGGCAGCAGAAAATAAACGAACTGAAACATGGACAAATGCATATGAAAAAGAAAATTTAAAACTTATAGAAGACAAAGGGGAAGGTCCAACCTATGTGTAAATGGGGTTCTGGAAAAGAGGGTATAAATAATGAAATCAAAACATTATTTTAAAAATAAGGCCAGGTGCAGTGGCTCATGCGCCTGTAATCCCAGCACTATGGGAGGCCGAGGTGGGTGGATCACCTGAGGTCAGGAGTTCGAGACCAGCCTGGCCAACATGACGAAACTGTCTCTACTAAATATGCAAAAATCAGCTGGGCATGGTGGCTAGCACCTGTAATCTTAGCTACAGTCAGGGAGAATTGCTTGAACCCAGGAGGCAGAGTTTGCAGTGAGCCGAGATCGCGCCACTGCACTCCAGCCTGGGCAACAGAGCAAGACTCCATCTCAAAAAATAATAATAATAAATAAAAATAATACCCCAGTTTGTGACCAGCTTGGGCAACATAGTGAGACCCCATCTCTACAAAAAAATTAAAACAGCCAGGCATAGTGGCACATGCCTGCAGTTCCAGCTACTCAGGAGGCTGAGATCAGAAGATCACAGGACCCCAGGGGTCCTAGGCTGTAGTGAGCTATGATTATACCACTGCACTCCAGCCTGGGTGACAGAGCAAGGCCTCATCTCTAAAATAATAATAATAATAATAATGCCACCACATTTTCTAAAATTGAAGCAAGACACCCATAGATTCAAGAAGTGCTAAAAGCCCCAAGCAGATTAGATACAAAGAAAGCCACACCTGGGCATATTACAGTATAAAACTCCTAAAAATCAAACACAAAGAGAATATCTTAAACTCAGCAAAGAGAGGGCGGGGGGGGGGGGGGCACTACCTTCAAAGGGGCAGCAAGTAGACTGACAGCTGACCTCAACAGAAACCATGTAAAATGACTATGCAATAACATCTCAAAGTGATGAAGAGGCCAGGCGTGGTGGCTCATGCCTGTAACCCCAGCACTTTGGGAGGCTGAGGCAGGCAGATCACTTAAGGTCAGGAGTTTGAGACCACCCTGGCCAACATGGTGAAACCCCGTCTCTACTAAAAATATAAAAATTAGCCAGGCATGGTGGCATGCACCTGTAATCCCAGCTACTTGGGAAGCTGAGGCAGAAGAATCACTTGAACCCAGGAGGCAGAGGTTGCTGTGAGCCGAGATCATGCCACTGCATTCCAGCCTGGGCCACAGAGCAAGACTCCGTCTCAAAATAAATAAATAAATAAATATATAAAAATAAAAAATAATAAAGTGATGATGAAGAAAAAAACTATTAATCTCAAATTCTGTATCCAGCAAAATTATTCTTTAAATAAGAATAGGGACTCTTTAGACAGAGACAGCAGTGGCAGCAAATGGGTACTAAATGGAATACAAAGGGGAAAACTTCAGGTAAAGGGAAAGTGCTGTGAGACGTTTGGAAACGCAAGAAAGAACAGAAAGCAATGGAAAGGATAAATGCATCAGTCATTGTCACTCTCTGCTAGTATTAACTGTACAAAAGAACAATTTAATAATGTCATATGGGATATAAAAGACAGGGAGGGCTAAATTATATAACAGTACACAAAAAGCAGGGGTGGGTAAGAAGAGTGGGTAAATGGAGTTCAAATGTCTTAAGATGCTTATACTGCCCACGATGTGGTAAAGTGCTAGTTTATATTAAACTTCAAACTTTGGATACATGTTGTAATCTCCAGCATAACCACTAACTTTTTGTTTTGTTTTGTTTTGTTTTTGAGATGGAGTTTTGCTCTTGTTGCCCAGGCTGGAGTGCAATGGTGTGATCTCGGCTTACTGCAACCTCTGCCTCCTGGGTTCAAGCGATTCTCCTGCCTCAGCCTCCCGAGTAGCTGGGATTACAGGCATGCGCCACCATGCCCGGCTAATTTTGTATTTTTAGTCGAGACAGGGTTTCTCCATGTTGGTTGGGCTGGTCTTTAACTCCCAATCTCAGGTGATCCACCAGTCTCGGCTTCCCAAAGTGCTGGGATTACAGGTGTGAGCCACCATGCCCGGCCAAGACTAAAAATTTATAAATGAATCTATAACGAATTTGTAAGTGCAAACTCAAAATTGCCCAAAGATTCATGAATAGCTCATCTAGTTACAGGGCAGCCACATCTGAGAATACACATTGGTTGTTAAAATTACCATTACATGGATACATTAGTATGTGATAAAATAATGACCAAAAAATATGAATGAAGTAAAGTGAAATAAAATGACAGGTGGAATGAGCACAACTCAGAGCCCACCACCCCTGCCCTCTTGTCACCTGCTACCCTGCCCTCCTCAACTGTCCAGCTTCAGAGCCCGGGGTTCCCAGGATGTGCCCATTGCAGAAGCACAACCATCCTTGTTGCTCCAATCTACTCTGGGAAGACGGCTCTTATATCCCTTCCCAAGATCAGAAGAGGATCCCAAGTACAACACAGAGCTCAGGGCTCAATCGGTGCCCCCTCCCTGGAAGTAGGCTGATACACAAATGAGGGAAAAGCCATCTCTCCTCCTTGACTGAGACTAGAAAAGCTCAGGTCTGGTGCCCACGGGGACTTCTCCACCTCCACCTATGACGTTTCACATTCAAAAGGTGGGAACAGCCCCAAGGCGGAGTCCAAAATTCTGAGTCCAAGCATCCCAACACACACCCTGGAGAGCCCAAGTTTGAAGAGTCTTTTTCTCACTCACACCCAGAGATGAAGAAACACCCCTTCCTCCACACCTTCCTCTCTCTTTTAAACAAACATCTGCCATTGGTTATGACCTACTGGGCAGCCACACACTGGGCCCATGAAGGTGACCTTGAGACAGGACTTCTACCCTGAGGGCTCAGTCCTATGAGCCCTGCATGTCGATGCTGCTCCCATTTTACAGAGAGGGAAGTGGAGACACAGACAGGCTCAGCAGCTTAGCAAGGGGCCGGCCGGACCTTGAACCTCGGCAGCCTGACTGTGGCTGCCTCCCCATCATGTGCCCCGACCACAGGCCACTCTGGGGGCCATAGGGAGGGAGAGGAGGGCCTGGCAGAAACAACATAGCCAGGGTTTATCCTGGAAGGCTCAAGATAAGAGCCTCTGAGCAGGCAGGGTGAGTAGTCATCTGTCAGCCAGACAGATGGGGCTGGGGCCAGCCTCTCTGGGATGCTGTCCTGCTGGGGGGCCACACACTGTGACTCCATCAGGCAGTCAAGCCACACCAAGCCCGGCAACAGAATCCACTCTATGCATGACTAACCTATCCTTATCCCAACATCTGGCTGCTGGCTTTGCTGAAACCTAGAGTAGCCTGGGAAGAAAGGGAATGAAATCTCTCCATTTTGTAATTTCCTGCAGGGTCTGGGGGCACCTCCCACAATTGAAGAGTTAAAATTAGGTGAATGAATTAATAAGCCAGTGAATAAACAACTAATGAATGAGGAATGATGAGTGAGGGAACCGATGATGAATGAGTAGATGAATAACTGAATGGTGAGCAAAAGAGTGAATGAGTAAATGAGTGAGTGAATGTGTGAGTGTGTGAATGAGTGCGTGAATGGGGCAGATGAGTGGATGAGTGAGTGAGTGAATGTATGAGTGAGTGGATGAGTGAGTGAATGAGTAGATGAGTGAGTGAGTGGATGGGAGTGAATGAGTAAATGTGTGAGTGTGTGAATGAGTGAATGTATGAGTGAGGGAATGTGTGAGTGAGCGAGGAGTAGATGAGTGAGTGAATAAGTGGACCAAAAAGTGACTGAGTGGATGAGAGTGAATGAGTAAGTGGACGAGTGAGTGAGTGAATGTATGAGTGACTGGATGAGTAAGTGAATGAGTAGATGAATGGTGAATGAGTAGATGAGTGAGTGAGTGAATAGGAGTGAATGAGTGAGTGAATGAGTGGGTGGGTGAGTGGATGAGTGGGTGGGTGAGTGAATGAGTGGGTGAGTGAGTGGATGAGTGAGTAAATGAGTGAGTGAATGTGTGAGTGGATGAGTGAGTGAGTGAATGGATGAGTGAGTGAGTGAATGTATGAGTGAGTGGATGAGTGAATGAATGAGTGGATGAGTGAGTGAGTGGATGGGAGTGAATGAGTGGGTGGGTGAGTGGATGAGTGGGTGGGTGAGTGAATGAGTGGTGGGTAAGTGGATGAGTGAGTATATGAGTGAGTGAATGTGTGAGTGAGTGATGAGTGAGTAGATGAGTGAATGAGTAGACCAAAGAGTGACTGAGTGGATGAGTGAGTGAATGAGTGACTGAGTGTATGAGTGAGTGGATGAGTGAGTGAATGAGTGAATGAGTGAGTGAGTGAATGAGTGAGTGAGTGAGTGGATGAGTGATTGAATGAGTAAATGTGTGAGTGTGTGAATGAGTGGATGTATGAGTGAGGGAATCTGTGAGTGAATAAGTGAGTGGATGAGTAAGTGAGGGGATGAGTGAGTGAGTGGATGAGTGAGTGAATGAGTAAATGTGTGAGTGTGTGAATGAGTGAATGTATGAGTGAGGGAATGTGTGAGTGAATGTATAGTGAGTGAATGAGTGAATGTGAGTGAGTGAATGAATGAGTCAGTGAAGAAGGGAGGGAGTGAATGAGTGAATGATATGAGCGCATGAGGGTAGACATCCTCTGGGACGTGTTCTCCTGGAAGCCACTGAAGTCCCTGGGGCTCCCATAGCGGCCCTGGACACACCCTTGAGACCCAAAGGAGGGCCGGTCTATGTCTGTGCTGGCCTCACACAGCCTGGGACATAAAAGAGACAATGAGCATCTGGAGAACAAATGACCATGATGGTGCCCTGGACCCTGAAGCGGGAGAAACCAGCCCTCAGGCAGCAGGCCTGCCCATCTTTCCCTCTACTCAGAGGCCTAGAAGGGCAAAGAGCCCTCACCTGCTCAGGGATGCAGAGTGGAGCCTGCGGGCTCACAAGGAAAGGGCCTGGTATGATCTCAGCAGGCTCAGGAGGTGGACAGATCTGAGTGAGAGCAAAGGTCACGAGGCTGATGTGCGGCAGGCTTGAGTGCCCCAGCACCCACGCGCACAGGAAGGCGAGTTCCCCAGCACCTGGGTTCAATGGGCCCAGAGGCAGCTGCAGACAGTGTGGTCCCACTCGCTCCCCTGACAGCCGCCCTGACCCAACTCCACAGCCTGGCAGCCAGTGGTCTGCCCCAGGCTCACACTGTGGCCAGCGCTCCTAGTCATCCAGCAAGGGCCCAACAGTGAGCAACGCCCCAGTCCCCCATCCCTGCCCACCCTGCCCATCCCTCACCCCTCCATCAGCACGAATAGCCCCACCTCCCTCGACACCCCACTGTCCTCCCCAAATCTCAGGAGCACCACAGCCCACATCCCTGGGGTGGGAACGCTTACTGCAGAGAGGCAGGGAAGTCACTCACGTGGGGACAGTGCATGAGGCCGTCGGCAGATCAGCCACACCAGCCATGGGCCCTGCTCACCCAAGTGGGCAGGGTCAGGCTGTGGGACTGCTGCCCAACCCCACCATCCTCACAGTGGGGCCCCAAAGAGGGGAACCCCCAACTCCCCACCACAGCATGGAAATGCATCTTCCATCTCTCCCAGGCCACAGAGAGGTCATGATCTTGGTGCCCACAGGCGTGGGGCTCCTCCCTGGCCATGCTCTGGGGGTGTCCCACCAATCCCCCAGTCAGAGTGGGGGCACAGGCACCATGATAGACCAGCCCCACTCGCTTCCTGGAGGATGACATGGAGAATCTCCCCTGGGATCCTGGGGGAAGGGCGGGCTTCGACCATCAGCAATGGTGACTTTCAGCACGCACTCCACCCTGCCTTGAGGCACCCAGAGAGGCCACACAGCCAGTGCCACCAGCAGGCCTGGCTCAGAGGTCCTAGTCCCCTTCCACCACATTGCAGCCTTGTTCCTTCCACCCAAGCACAGCCCTGGGAGCTGCCCCTTCTACTTTAAGCTGTTTCTCCTCAACCGCACCCCAAAACCCTACAGAACCCCCTCTGAAGTGGTAAGAACAAACCAAGACCAGAAGAATCCCAGATGTTCCAAATTAAGGTTCCTGAGGCCTCAGCCAGGGTCTTGGACGTGAGGGAGAGGGGACTGAGGTCCACCTCAGGCTGCAAGACCTGTCCCGTCTCAAAGGCACACAAGGGCTGAGGTGTTCCATGTGTCACCCCAATGGAGAGCAAGCAGCCCCAGCCCACAGCTGTCCTGCCACACACGTGGTGGGTGGAGATGGGGAGCAGGCACAGAGACCAGAATGTCCCGGCCTTGCGCCAGTGTGCCTTGAGGTGCCACAGGCCTGTCCTGTGGCGTACAGCCCCAGGAGATCGCCATGGACTCTGTACCCTAGGGAGGCCGCCAGGTGCTCGCACCTACCTGGGGTGGAGCTGGCCCCACCACCACATTCCCCTGCTCAAAGGTCTATGTCCTTCTGCTCAACTGTTTTTTTTCCAGGAAATCATTTGGAAGAAAAAAAGCTATTCCCAAGGGTCTTCAAGGCCACAGTTTCATAGGAGAGCTGCAACCTCTTGGTCCGATCATAAAGGAAAATCTCAACAATGAGGCTGCTCTGCCAGGGCACCAAGCACCCCCGGAGCTGTGGTCACCAAGGCACCATCAGAGGGAGGGGCTCTGCTGCACGAATGTGAATGCACAAAGAACACACACAACTTGTAGAACATGCATACTCACAGAACCTGTACACACGGAAGACACATGCATTCACAGAACACACACGAAGAACATGCACATACACAGAACACACATGCAGAGCACACACAGCCGCAGAACACACACACGGAGGACATGCGCACACACATGAACACACACAGAACACGCACGAAGAGCATACACAGAACACGCAGACACACAGAACACATGCACACATGAAGAACACACAGAATACATGCACACACAGAACATGTGCACATGGAGAACACGTACATGTGCAGAACACACAGGACACGAATACATGAAGAACACACCAAATACACACGTGTGCAAAACACGTGCACACAGCACATGCACACACACAGAATACACATAACATGTACACGTGGAGAACACACATGCACACAGAGAACACATGCACATGGAGAACATGCAAACATGGTGACACATGCACACAGAAAACGTGCACACAGAGAAACCAGCCAAATGGCAGGACACACAAAAATGAGGCCTCCCTTTCAGCCTTGGCGACAAGGGTGTGGGTGGTTCTCCTTTCTCTACAAAAACGTGTTACCTCTATTGTTTTCAAAATATTTCTCAGAAGAATATAAAGTGAGAGGGCGGCAGATAACATGAACACAAAAACTCCACTTTCAGTGGAAACGTCCAGTTCCAGCACGGTGGTGTAACAAGGGACACCCATCTCCAAAGCCAGTAATTTGGACCTGGGGACGTCCCCTGCTCCAGGCTCCGCCACAGTGAAACCAACCAAAACTGAGATGTTTGTGTGTTCTGTCTGGGAATCGTCACTGCAGCATTATTTATAATAGCAAGAAAAGCCAGGCACCGGAGGCAGGGCCTGGGGAGGAGATGAAGGTCCTCAGGGCAGTCACAAAGCCCCTGGACAAGGAGGAAGGGAGCAGGCATCAAGGTGCCACGTGGAAGGGGTGGGACACGAAGCTGTCCCCCTAAAGTCCACAGGCACGAGAACGGAACTGTGAACGAGAACGGTGGCTGTGTTCTCTCCGAACCCACAGGAATTCTTTTTTTTCCTTTCCTGTATTTCCCAAATTCTTTGCAATCTACTGAACTTCGCAAAACTAAAAACAGCGCCTGGAGAGGGCGTGGGTGCCGGCAGCAAGCGAGCCTCCCTGTTGCAGGCACTGCAATCCTGGCCCGTGACTTAGGCCAGCAGCAGAGCACTGACAGTGAGGCTATTTTCATTTCCACAGTGAGGTTACCATGGAGTTTAATTTCCTCAAGTGCTCCCTCTGGCATCTGTTCTATAAATGGCTCTGGGGTTTGCACCAAATACACTCACTGGAGACAGAATTACCAATTCTGTAAAGCTCGCAAACCAACCAGCCTGTTGGGCTCCTCCTGAAGGGTCCAAAAAAGGAGGGGCTGGCCTGATCACCCTGGGCGTGCACTGGACACCTACTGCATGCTGACCGGGAGATCATGAATGACAGATGCTCACCCTCCTCAGGAGCTGGTGGGGAGCTGAAGGTCTGCTGCCTGTAGGGGAATGGTGGACAAGGCCCCCCCACCAGAGATCTGGGGCAGGTCAAACCCACGGCTCTGCAACTTAGGAGTGCTATCCGAGCCTGAGTATTTTAGAACAAGGTAAAGGATATATGGGAGATCCTGATAACTAACTGGGGTTGGGACTTAAGGTTTGTCAGGCATCCTCTACTTTCTGGTCTGCTTGCAAGTTCCCATGATAACGGGTTAACAATAATGCCTGAGGGTTCTGGCCTCAGCCTCCTGCACAGCTGGCCTGGCCTCTCATCTGGATGCCCCAGGATATTACCCTCTGGGGGCAGCCTCTCTGCTCTCCAAGGAAGCCTGGCAGGAGTGGGCATCACAAACAGCCCCAAGGCACCCCTCCAAGCTGGGAGCTGTCCTCCTCACTCAGCAGATAAAGAGACAGGGCCAGGGAGTCCTCTACATTCCCAGGGGGTGGCAGAGCCAGAACAAAACACACTGCCTCCCCTCTCCATGTCCAGCCCTCAGTAACCCCAGCTGCTGCACATCCAGCCGCTGCCACAGTGTATCCCCAGAAAAACCTACAAACACGAGGCAAGAGCTGCCTCGGGGAAGCAGGTGTCACTCTAGGCCTGGATTCTGGCTGCCCTCCCCAAGAGGGCACAGCCTCCTCCTGTCCATCCCCCAAACTCGGGGCCCTGATGGCAGCAGAAGCATTGGGGCCCATGGTCAACACTCATTCTGCAAGGGAGGGCCAAGCACACGTCTGCCCGGTGCTGGCTCCTGGGACAGGCCCTCCCACCTCCCCCAGTCACGCAGCCACCACCCTCCATGGTGTTGTCCCATCCAAGGACACTAAATATGGCTGCCTAGAAATCCACCCCCACCCCCAGTCAGAACTCCCCGGTGCATCCAGGGCTAAGGTGGGGCAAGCCACGTGCTTCTCAGGGTCTCCTGGGTCCCCAGGCAGGGACTGGAGCCAGGGCAAGTGCATGCCAAATGCTGTGCCCTCAGCCACCAAGGCCAGGGCGGTGAAGGGGTGGGGGTTTCCCCCAGCACCCTAGGTCCACGTGCCCAGGTCACTGCAGGCGACCCTTGGCAACTCCCTGTACCCACCTCAGCCTGTCCACCAGCACCAGAGGGCTCAAAAGGGGCAGCCCCAAGCCCCAAAGAAATGGGGCCCTACATGTTAGGAAAAAGACACGCACTCCAGACAGATCACACTGTCCACATGGGCCTTGGCAGGGAGGACAGGAGACATCAGTGATGCCCTGTACCCCGCATGCCCCTCAGGCACCACCCTCTGCAGCATCAGTTTCCTCATCTATAAAATGGGCCGTGGGCAGGAGGATCCCATAAAATTGTGCCCCGAGGCTCCGCACGGGGTCTAGGCTACAGCCAGCACTCAACAACAATTGCCTCCAGGGGTGTCCCCACCAAACTGGTGGCTTTACCTGAGGCTCAAACCCACCCCTGATTTTCCTCTTGCCATCCAAAGCCCCCAGTACGTCTGGAGCCTGAGACCCACTGGCCCAGAGGCTGCCAGAAGGCACTGGCGTCACACAGAGCCAGTGTCCCCAGCAGCAAGACATTCGGAGGACCCTGCACTCAAGGGGCCACGAAGAAAGGCCTTTAACACCACGTCCCCCAGAGAGAAGCTTCTCAAAGGCTGCCCCCAGCTTCGTCTGTGTCACTCAAAGAGTAAAAGTCAACACCAAAGATAAAATAAAATCCCTCAGCAGTGCCAAAAATACCTCCCCACGGGATGAGGCTGAGCGGGCGCCAGCTTCCACAGCAGCAACTGTTGCTATGGAGACCAGGCTCCAGACAGCCGGCCGCGGGGCGGGCCGAAGGACAGAGTGGGGGCCAGGCACAGGGTGCAGGGACGGACAGGGGCTGACCAGCAGGATGGGGGAGATGACAGAGGCTGGCCAGCAGGGTGGGCCCCCAGGAACAAGGGGGCCCAGGATAGGGCTAAGCCTGAGTGCCAGCCTCCACCCACTGGGGCCAATGGCCTCTCCAGACCTGGGGGGTCCAGGGGCTCCCACCTGCACATAGGCTGCCCACTCCCCATGAAGGCTGGTGCTGGCCTTCCCACACAGTGGCCGTCTGCTCACTGACACATCTGTGCTGACAGATGCCCTGAACTCAGGAAGTGGGTAAGGTGCTACCAAAGTGCACAGTCCCAGCCCAGTGCTCCTCAAGCCTCCCCAGTCACCGGTAACATTGGTCTACAAATGAAGGGGTGAGGAGGAGGTAGTATGCTCAACTGGAAAATCTGTACCAGAATGGATGGAGGAAAGCAGGACCTCCCACAGACGTTAACACAGCTCTGATCTGAGCCCAATATGTTCAACATATTATAGAGTGCCTAACTCCAATATCCACTGGCCTCCCCTGACCTGAAGCTGTCCCCTGCAAGCTCAGTTCACTTCTTGGCCTGTGGCTTCCAGCATGATGAGCTCTTCAGCCCTGCTGGCCTCTGGCCTCCTCTGTCCTCACCCAGGGCCAGGCAGGACAGGGTCAGTCCAAGGCCACCAAACACACAGCCCCAAGGCTCTGCCCAGCTTGGGGTCCCCATACCCCCACCAGACACCCATGTTCCTCCCTGGTGTCCTCGGGCATCCCTCACTTTCTGAGCCTCCCTGAGCCCCAAACAGTGCTGACAATCTGCTATGACATTCACATCAGGGCCAGGCAGGACAGTGAATGTCAGCCCGTGTCACAGAGCCTGCAAACACCCACTCTGTCCCATCCTGTCACACACCTAGCCCGTGATGGCTCAGAGTCAGCACCCTTCCCCACCCCTGCCCCTCAGTGGGAGCCAGCAGCTTGTTCCTGCAGCATCCCCCATGCCAGGCACCTTGGGTACCCGACAACAGTTTGCTGGGGGAAAGTGGGGCTTCCCAGCACATTTAGAACCCTGAGTCCTCCTGGGGCCCACAGCCCCGAGGGCTGGCCCCGCCTTTCTGGCCCCCATTCCAAACCTGGGCAGTTCTACCTGCAGGTGCTTGGGCCTCCCTGACTCTTGGAAGCCGTAACCTAATATACTTTCTCCATTCCATGCGGCTGACAGAGGCCATCAGTTCTTCTGCCCGCCCTCGTCTGCCTCCCCAGCAGAAATGTTGAGCACCCAGGCTGTCCTTGCCTCTGCTTCTCCCACTCCCAGCACCTCACAGACAGCTGTGAAGCCCATATCTCTGAACGGTTTTCATATACTCTCCCCCAGGAGCCTTCAGTGGCTCCCTAGTACCCACTGACCAAGCAGGCAGTTAAAACACCTCCTCAGTGTGGCCTTATGTCAGCCCTCTCCTCTCCAGCACTTACCAGAATACAGCCCCCACACCCCCACCACACACACACACACCAGCCAGCCTTCCCTGACACCCGTTCCCAAGGATGCCATCCCGCAGCCCCATCAATGTCTCCAGGCCCTGCTCAGGGAGCTTTGTCTAGGAAGCCCTCGGGACATCCCTCCCACAGGGCTCCTGGCTGGCCCCAACTGCACCATGTCCACAGGGCTGCGTGGGTAACCAGTGGGGACAGTGACCAGGCTGCAGCAGCCTCCCCCGGCTTCAATCACCACACACAGGGCTTCCAACACCACCTGTATTCTCTCACAGTTCGAGATGCCTCGTTCCCTGTCCCACGGTCCCTTCCTCCCTCTTCCACACCCACATCCCCTTCTCTGTCTCAGAAGCTCCTGCCTCCCACTTAGGACAGCCTGAAGATGACATCTGGCCAACTCTGACAGCCCAGGACAATCTCCCAGTCTCAAGATACTTAACTTAATCCCATCTGCAAAGTCACCTCTGCCGAGTGCAGTGGCACGTCCACAGACTGCAGGGGACTAGGCCTTCAACGACCAGCCCCTGTGCCCCCGGCCTGGACCCCGCAGCCACTCCCACAGGCTCCCTCCCAACCTGCTCTGTGGCCAGGGTCTCCCGGCTCCCCAGAGCTGCCTGTTCTCATTCGCTTTTTCTTTCTTTCAGTGAAAATCTGAAACCTCCTCACTCAGCAGGCGCCTCCCCAGCCTGGGTGGCTGCTCCTCTGCATCCTCTGCTACCACCCGCCACCAATGCCCCCAACTCAGACCACTGTCCACTCCAGCCATGGTCCTGACTGCCATACCTTTCCCTGGGCCAAACCCCTGGCCCACCAGGCCCCAGGGGGCCTCATTGCAGCTCAAGGTCCTCAGCTGAGTTCAGCAAAGGGTACTTGGGGTTCCCCTACTGGGGTCATACTTGCAGCCCCCAGGAAGGACCTTCCCAGCGCCCCCCGAAAAGCTCTGGGCCCCACCCCTCCAGCAGAAGCATCACTGCCCCACCCCACAAGGCCTGTGGGGCTCTGAGCATCCCATGCCCCCCATCCTCCACTGCCACCCACTTGGACACAGACCTCAGAGGGCCCCTCTCCTCCAATGGTTGCCACGTGGAAACCAGCCTGGGTGCCTCGCAAATGGCCTTAGATGTGGTCCTTGCAGGAAAAAGGGTGAGGTCTACCCTAGCAAGAACCCCCACCCCCACAAAGGCAGCCTAGCCCTTCCAAGCCGGCCTTCCAGCCAGAAGTGTCCAGCAAGCACAACCTATGTGTGCCTCAGTGTCCCTGCCCCAGGGAAAAGCTCCTCAGGGGCTTCAGGGAGGCTTCAGTGAGGGAGGAGCATTTAGCCCCGGCTGCAGTGGTGTCCAGTATCACGCTGGAGACTAAGGCCTTTCCAACCCTCCTGATTCGGCCCCCACCATGCCACCTGCCCCAGCCCCACCCCATGTAATTTTCCCTCCCCCAAAGAGAAAACACAGCGGAACCCTTTTGTGGAAAGGCCATCAGCCGTGCAAATACCCACCCCTCCCTGAGAGCTGTGGCTCCCAGCAGTTCCCGCCCCTCCCAAGCAGAAAGTGTCCTCTCCCCTGGTAGGGCCGGGCTGACCGCCCACGGGACAGGTGGCCCCTCGGTGAGGTCAACTCAAAGGGCTCCTCATTCCCACGGAAGCGCCGGAGGGGCAGGCCATTCCCTGGCAAACGAGCCAAAGACGAGACATACACACACACACACACACACACACACACACACACACACACACGTGCACACGGAGCCCAGCAGAGGCCCTGAGAAGCATACCAGGTCCCCACACGCAGCAGGGCTGGGAGCTTGGGGTCAGCCATGGAGTGGGGCATGGGTAGGAGTGGCCTGCACTGTGCTGAGCGGCCACCCCACTAGGGCCCAGTGGTGTCTGGACACAGAGCCATCTTGTATGGTCAGGGTCCCACACCAAACCTCAGTCACCCCTCACTTCCCCAAGCCTACCTGGAGGCCAGGAACTACGTATGTCCCAGGTAGCATCAGAGTGTGAGACCCCCCTGTGACCTCCAGCGCAGCCAGCAACCCTCACCGGCCCAGCCTGGTTTCCAGGTGGAAAGTTGGCAGCTGCCTCTGCTTAGCCTTGCCAGGCCCCAAGGAGCTCCACTCTGGCCTGCAGTGAGTGGGAGCGCGGGCACAAAGGGCCTGCCTGAAACCCATCCATAAACAGTTCAGGAAGCGGCCGGCAGGGCTGGAACGTTCCAATGTCACCATCTCGCTCCCCTCGGGGAACAGAGCATGCCTTTGTCTTTTTATCATTGCCTTCATCAAATATTTACAGAGGCTGACAGGCCATTTCAGACAGGCCAGATATGAGCCAAAAGGGCTCTTTCTCAGGACACGGGGGAGACACGGGTCCTGGGCACTTGGGAAGCACATGGTCCAGCATGTAGCCCTGGGCAGGGAAGGGAAGGGAGGGCCTCCTGCAGGGCAGGACCTGTCCATAGCCCTCAGACACATCCAACCTGGGGCTTAGGTACTAGTTTTCTGCACACAGTGCCCAGGGCTAGCAATAGGCCAGGCCAGGCTGACACCCCAGCCCTGCTCCCACAAGCTCTACAGCAGGAAGAATGAGCCTCATGGCCAGGCATGTGTTCTCCACGTTCCACCTCCCGGGCTGCCAAGAGCATGCAGCGTGAGCACCCCAACCAGGAAGGCACGCAGGGGCCTCAAGCTGTGAAGGCTGGGGTCAGCAGCCCACCTGGACCCATCCCCACTCCCCCTGCTCCTCCAGCCCAGTGTGAATGCTGGGCAGCCTTGCTCGGAACAGTCTCAGCCCAGACAGCCCCAGTGTCCACAGATGGCGACAGATAAGCAGACAGTGAAACGCACTCGGCCACACAGAGGGGCTGTTAAGAGCCAGGGCCACACAGACTCATCCCAAGCAGGACCCTAAAGCAGGCAGAGAACAGCCACAGGATGGAAAGGATGGGTGGTACCAGGACCCTCTGCTGGGAGGGGACGCCTAGGTCCTCACTGGGGAGGGGCTGCACACATACTAACTGTCCCTAAAAATCCATCCCAGTAAAAGAAAGGCCCCTTGCTGTTAGCATTTTATTTTCCTTTACCTTTAAAAAATATCATCGGTCCCTTTCTATCTTAAGATCTATTTCCATATATTTTTTCATCTTCTTCTGTTTCATTTGTTTCTAGCGGTTTTAAAGGTTTTTGCCCTTTTCCCCAAGCTAACCCTATTTCATCCTTCTCATAAATGCGCCTAGCCAAGTTTATTCACTTTCATGCCTCCCTTTTAAACCCTCTTTTTACAAATGGCGCAGGTGGCCGTCTGTACAGAACCCACCTGCAACCACCACACCCTGAGCCCATGTGGCCGTCTCACCTCTAAGTCACCCAATCCAGAGGCCCAACAGGTACCAAGAGCAGCAGGGCCATGCTCCGGCATCCTCTGGGCTCAGTTTTCCCCAAGCTCAGCCGCAAACGAGGGTGCCAAGTTCACTGCGTCCAACCACACCAAGCCAAGGGCACCAGAGCGACTGACAGGCTGAGGAACTGGGCAATGGCAGCCCAGGGTAGGCGTCGAATTGCCGAGAGGCTGAAGGGGACAACAGGCCATCACTGTCCAGCCAGCAACTGGGCTCCCCAACACTGTGGTTCTCCCACCACCGCTGGCTCTTGAGGGAACATGCAGAACGTGCCCTCCTCTGGGCAGACACAGACAGCCTCGGGTCTCCCTCCTGTAAAGATCACCCAGCCATATCCAGCTGACCCAGGACCTGCTGCAGTGACAGACAAAGTCTGGATAGCCCATCAGACAAACCTGCCCTGGACCTCTGGCTCAAGGGGCCAGAGCAAGGCCAGGCCTCGAGGAGGCCCCCCGATAAGCCATCCATGTCCCCAGGGGTGTCAGGGCCAATAATTCCACTCAATGGACCTTCCCCACCCCTCAGCACCTTAACTCCTGCAACCCCCCATGGTGTGCACTCCCAGGTGGGGACTAGGGCAGGGGAGGCTGAGACTAAGCCAGGCAGCATCCCCACGCAACGCCTGCTCAGCATGGCCTGCCACTTGCCCTCCTTGAGGGGATGGAGCACCAGGCTGGGGCTGCCCTGGACACACACAGGACCTGCCCAACCGCTGCCCCCCCATCCTAGCTCTTCTCCACAGCTTTGTGTTTTCTTTTTTTTTTTTGAGACAAAGAGTCTTGCTCTGTCGCCCAGGCTGGAGTGCAGTGGCACTATCTGGCTCACTGCAAGCTCTGCCTCCCAGGTTCACGCCATTCTCCTGCCTCAGCTGCCCAAGTAGCTGGGACTACAGGTGCTTGCCACCAGGCCCAGCTAATTTTTTTGTATTTTTAGTAGAGACGGGGTTTCACCGAGTTAGCCAGGATGGTCTCGATCTCCTGACCTCGTGATCCACCCGCCTCGGCCTCCCAAAGTGTTGGGATTACAGGCCTGAGCCACCGCACCCGGCCCACAGCTTTGTGTTTTCAATGCTTCTTCCAAAACACAAATTCACTACGCTGCTCGAACCTCTTAATTAAAGACAAGAAATTCCAAGAGACCTGTCCGGGCAGATGTCAACAGCCTTGCAGCTGGCTGACCCAGGAAGATGGTTGCCTAACTTGAAGACACAGGACAGGGCCAGATAGGAGGCCTAGGGCATCTCCCACCACCTGACGCCAAGCCCAGCCGCCAGCAGGTGGAGGAAGGTAGCCTAGAGTCACCAACCTGGGCAGGGCTAAGGTAGGAGGTCACCAGGTCCAGAGCCCAGGACTATCCTTGACATTGGGGGAAGCCTGAAAACAAGAAAATCAGGGGCAAGCATCTCGGCTCAGTCCTGGTGCCACCAGAATGGGAGAGAGGTGGCCCACTGAGACCCCAGGCATCGGTCATCTTCCTTCTGGGAGGCCTGTGTGACCCCAGCACAGCCAGGCTGAGAAGCCGCACCCCACAGAGGGCAAGGGGACTTGCTCACACGTCTCAGGCCCACACAAGGACCTCCAGTCACAGGGGACAGCATGGAGGCATGCAGGGTGTGTGGGAACCTGGGTCCAGCTGGAGGGGGCCAGGCTGGGACTGAGCAGGCCTCCACCCACCCCGAACCGAGCCAGCGAGAGGATGACAAGTGGGTCTGACCCAGGCCTGACTCACACCCGAGGAGGCCCCGAGCTCGAGACTGCACCAAAGCTGCCCAGCTCAACTGCAGGTCTTGGGCAGCAAGGCCAGGGGTAGAAGGACAATGGGGCAAGAGGGCAGGGCTGGAAAAGGGGGCAGCAGGGCCAGAGCTGGGCAGGGAGTGGGGGCCCAGAGGCAGTCTGGGCTATTCACTGTCACTGCACATATCAGCGCAGACGCTATGATCATGACTTAGCAAAAATGCCCAAGAGTATAAAAAACAAGCTAAGAAGGGCATATACCAAAGTGAAAACTGCCACATCAGAGGATGGAGGCTGTGGACAGCTCCTCCTCTGTCAGGCTTCCATGTCCATCATGTCATCTTCCCCAGGAAGCATCCCCTCCACAGTGGCCATCCCCATGAAACCCAATGCCCGGGCACACTCCCCCAACTCAACAAGGCTGGTCCAGGGCTGGCAGGTAGGAGGAACAACATAGCCCTGCCCCTACGCCCTACCGGGGTAAGCAGGGCTCCCTGTGAGGCCTGAGGAGGGGCCCCACCCAAAGCAGCTGGATGGGCAACAGGTGGGTCCCCATCAGCCTCCTCCTGCCAGCAAGCCCCGCCTGCCTGGGGAAACTGCAGCCGCTCAGCTCCCTCAAGGCTGACAGCAAGTCCTGTTAGCATCAACCACTCAACCTAACTCAGAGGCGGGGCAGTTCCAGCTCAGGTGCCTCAGGCACCCAAAGGGAGGAGGGAGCTGGGCGATCCTGAGGCCCAGAACCACCGGAGCCTGCAGTCCACCCTCCTCAAGCTGCACCACAACCCCTTAGGCTATGCAGGTCCCCACTCAGCCCCTGGCTGCCTGGGTGTACAGGACAACATCTTGTATTTTCCTGTACCTCAGTTTCCTCCTTAGTAAACTGGGAAACTTTACTGAGGGGGGAATCACAGCACCTCCCTCTCAGGAAGCCAATATGCCTCTAGAGTATACAGTGGTGCCCCACTGACGTGAGCATGGTCATTTCTTAATAACAGCACTCTGACTTCCTCTAGGGCCCCCACAGGGACCAGCCTAGCCGGATCTGACCTACACATGCAGCACCCGAGCCAGGAATGCACGACCTCACACGGTCGTACAGAAACACCACACAGGGCCGGGCAGTGGCTCATGCCTATAATCCTAGCACTTTGGGAGGCCGAGGCAGGCAGATCACCTGAGGTCAGGAGTTCAAGACCAACTTGGGCAAGATGGTGAAACCCCGTCTCTACTACAAATACAAAACTTAGCTGGGCATGGTGGTGTACACCTATAAATCCCAGCTACTCGGGAGGCTGAGGCAGGAGAATCGCTTGAACCCAAGAGGGTTCCAGTGAGCCAAGATCACACCACTGCACTCCAGTCTAGGAGACAGAGCAAGACTCCCTCAAGAAAAAAAAGAAACACCACACAGATCCAGATGGAGTCTCCATGCAAGACCACTGGCCCTAAACCTTCAGAAGACAATGCTGACAGATTTAAGAACAGTAATAATAAAAGGCAGAGGGACTGTTCTGGATTGAAATTGACATGACAACCAGACACAACACGTGATCCTTGACTGGCTCCTGGATCCCTTCCCTAGGAAGTGCAGTCCACCCATCTGAGACCTCACTGAGTGCCTCAGGTCCTATCCTGGAGTGCCTGGAGCACGGCAGGGGGTGGAGGTGATGTGGGAGCATCCTCGTTCCTATCAAGAGACACAGGCTGAAGTACTCAGGGGTGAACTGCAAATGGGTCAGGAAATCACAGACACAGATATACAGGAGAGTGGTAAACACTAACAACTGGTAACTCCAACTTCTCTGTTGGTTTTTCCAAAGTTTTCCAAAATAAAATGTTGGGGCTAAATGAAAACTGGATTGTTGGCAGAGAGGAAAAAGCTTTGCCAGGGTTGGCACAGAGGGTAGGGAGCTGGGGTGGCCACACAGGAGGGAAGGAAAATCATCAGGGCCCACAGATGCCTGGGTGTGGGAGCTGTGGACAGGGAGGAGCCTGCAGATGCAGCGGGCATGTGTGCTGTGCTGTTCTCTGCAGGCCCAGGCAGAGGAGGGCTCTAGCACACACAGACACTGACAGTCTTGGAGGGACAAGGTAACCAAGACAGACACAGCAGGCACGCTCCACCCACAGCCCGCCACCCCTCCTGACCAACAGAAACCCAGAAACTCACTATGCCCAGCCCCAGAGAACAGATCATAACCTGCTACACCAATCAAGCTTTTCCCAGATACAAGCACAGTTACAGTTGGCCACACAAACACATGCTAACCAAGGAGACCAGAGAATCCCTGGTAAATATTTCTCTTTATGGATTAAAATATGAACAAAGCCACTTGAAAAATGGACCTTCTGGCTGCTTGGCCCCCACCTAACCACCCATTTGTTTCCCACCATCAAATGTGGTTGTGATGCCTGGAGCTGTGGCAGCCCTACTGTAGCCATGAGGCCAAGCAAGACTAGGGACAAAATGCCAACATGGATGAGGACAGAAGAAACAGAGAGAAAACCCCATGTCCCAGCTGATGTTGCTGAGCCACCTCCAGGGCTGTCACATGGCCATCTCCAGATTCCAGATTCTGAGTAGGATCAAAGGTCAGCATTGCTTCCCACAGTCGGCTCACAGCTGAGAATTGTCCCATCTCCCCCACCGGAGAGCAAGCACGCACAGTGCCCAGAAAGCAGGGGTGAGGGGCGGATTGGGGAGAGTGAATACCAGAGGGAGCCCGTGACCCTCCACTAACAGTCAGCCTGTTAACGCCCCTCCCCAGAGCCAGTCCTGGCTTATAAGATAACTGTAAAATGAAAGAAAAAAAGGAGGTGGCCCAACACCTTCCCCCTCGCACCCTTCAAGAGCTTCACAACACAGTGGGCATCGTAAAGGCTCTGAGAAGTTCCTCAACAGCAATGCCTGTCTGACCCACCACTCCCCAAACACATCTAATGATAGCACCTCTTCTGCAGCCACCCTCAGCAAAGGGTTCAAAATAGCACCAAGACCAGGAACAAACCTCAGAACCATGGCCTCTTGCAAAACAATAGCTTTAAAGACACTCCAGAGACAGATTCTAGAAGTCGTGACACCCTGAACTGCAGCTGTATTTTTAAATGCTATACATGTGCAAACAAGACCTAGAAGGTCCTATTCAAAAATAAAAGCAGTTGTGTTCACCTGGTTGGATTATGGTTGATATTTTTTTTCAGCAACATCTTTTTTTTTTTTTTTTTTTTTTTTTGAGACAAAGTCTTTACTCTGTTGCCCAGGCTGGAGTGCAGTGGCACGATCTTGGCTCACTGCAACCTCCACCTCCTGGGTTCAAGCGATTCTAATGCCTCAGCCTCCCAAGTAGCTGGGATTATAGGCGCCCGCCACCACGCCCAGCTAATTTTTGTATTTTTAGTAGAGACAGGTTTTCACCATGTTGGCCAGGCTGGTCTCAAACTCCTGACCTCAAGTGATCCACCTGCCTCGGCCTCCCAAAGTGCTGGGATTATAGGTGTGAGCCACCGCGCCTGGCCCATTTCTGCAAACATCTTTAATGTAGCTGTTGCATTTTTAAAATTAATCAACTATTTTTAGAGACATTCTAGATTTATGGGAAAATTGAGCAAAAAGTAGAGTTCCCATACACTCCCTCACACCCACACACAGGTTCCCCTATTATTAACATCTTGCATTAGTGTGGTACACTTGTTATAACTGATGAACCAATATTGATGATTAACTAAAATCCAACATTTACACTTGGGTTCACTCTGGGTGCTGTACATGCTATGGGTTTTGACAAATGTATAATGACATGTATTCACCAGTAAAGTATCATACAAAATAGTTTCACTGCCCCACAAATCTGCCTCTTCATCCCTCCTTTCCTCTAATCCCTGGCAACCACTGAACTTTTTTTTTTTTTTTAACTGTCTTCATGGTTTCTCGTCTTTTCCAGAATGTCATCTAGTTGGAATCATACAATATGCAGCCTTCTCAGATTGGCTTATTTCACTTAAATATTCATTTCTGGCTCCTCTCTGTGTTTTCATGTCTTCATAGCTCATTTCTTTTAGCACTAAATAAGATTGCATTGTCTGCATGTGCCACAGTTTGTTTATCCATTCACCTGCTGAAGGACATCTGGGTTGCTTCCAAGTTCTGGCAATTATGAATAAAGCTGCTATAAACATCCGTGTGCAGGTTTTTGTGTGGACCTAAGTTTTTAACTCCTTTGGGTAAATACCAAGGAACGCAGTTGCTGGATTGCATAGTAAGAGTGTGTTTAGTTTTATAAGAAACTACCAAAAGACCTTCCAAAATAGCTGTACCATTTTGCAATCCTACCAGTAATGAATAAGAGTTCCTGTCACTCCACATCCTCACCAGTATTTGGTGTTAGTGTTCTAGATTTTGACCATTCTAGTAGGTGTGCAGTGGGAGCTCATTGTTTTAATTTGCAATTCCCTGATGACTTACGATGGGCAACATCTTTTCATATGCTTATTTGCCATCTGTGTGTCTTCCTTGGTGAGGTATCTGTTAAGCTCTTTGGCCTATTTTTTTAGCTGATTGTTTTCTTATTGTTGAGTTTTAAGAATTCTCTGTAAATTTTGGATAACAGTCCTTAAGCAGATGGGTCATTTGCAAATATTTTCTCCCCAGCTGTGGCCTGTCTTCTCATTGTCTTGACAGTGTCTTTCACAGAACAGAAGCATTTAATTTTAATCAAGTCCAGCTTATCATTATTTTCTTTCAAGCACTGTGCCTTTGGTGTTATATCTAAAGTCACTGCCAAAGCTAGGTTTATAATTTTGGATTTTACATTTAGGCATATGGCCAATTTTATTTTTTGTGAGGGGTGTAAGGTCTGCGTCTGGAATCATTTATCTGCATGTGGATGTGCAGTTGTTCCAGCGCCATTTGTTGAAAAGATGATCTTGTCTCTATTTTATTGCCTTTGCTCCTTTGTCAGAGATCAGTTGACTTTATTCATGAGGGTCTATTTCCGGGCTTGCTATTCTATTCCATTGATCAACTCATCTGTTCTTTTACCAATACTGCACTGCCTTGACCACTTTTCTTTCATTCTTTTTAAAAAATGTTAATATAATTTAATGAGAGCCAATTTAAATAAGAAGTCGTAATCAAGTATTCTGGGAAATGCTTAGAATTCAATGCTCCAGGGAAGAGAATTGGATGTGAAAACTCTCAGAAGCAGGAAAACTTACAGACAGTGTTCAGGTTGCCAACCTCCAGCGTCCCCACTCAGTCCTCTCCACCCAGCTGGGATTCCCCAAAACACAGCCCTGAATTGTCTATGGTCAGAGGCAGATCCTAGCTTGCTTTTCAAAAATCCCAGCTGCTGCCGTTCACACCCTTTTCCTTATCTGCAGCTCAAGCACTAAGGCAACAGCGGCACAGGTGCCCACAGCTCCCGGGCGGGGAGACAGGCAGCCTCGGGAACCAGCCTCCACCTGCTGGCTCGGCTTGCTCTCCACATCTCTACTGGAGACAACTGTTTATTTTGCAGGGGGAGCAAGACGGGTGAAAAGAGGTTGACCTGAGGCCCCTGTGTGCTCAGGTGAAACACATTTCTCTCAATAGAGCCCCCAGCCATGAAGGGCAGCTAACACCATCCACACTGCACAAAAGGGTAAACCGAGGCTCGCAGAAACAGGTGCCCTCCCATGGCCACGCACTGGGAACATGGCAGGGCCCTCCTACCCCTGGGGTATTTTGTATGCACCAGGGCAGTGCGGCTGGGACCTTTGGGGCGACGTCCTTCCTGGCTTTGAGGCTCCCAAACCCCCCTTCCCACCACAGCAAGCAGATGCTGATGCCCCATCACGGCTGCACAGCCAGGACGGACCACAAGGGAGACCCAGACACACGGCCCAAACCCCTGCTGGGCCAGGTCAAGTTCTTCTCCATCAACGAGGTGACCTAAAGCTCCATGCCATCACCTTGGGTGTCTTCCAGCTGCAGCCTGAAGCCAGACCCAAGCCACAGGCCCTGAGAGACACCTACAAGATGACTATGGGCATAGAAGGGCTGCAGCTCCCAGCTGTCCTGGAAGGTGAGGGGCAAGTCCAGCCAGCCCAGGACCACTGGCCAGCTCCACCCAAACCGTGGACTCATGGTGGCCAGCAGGGCCCAGGGGTGGGAAGAAGGGTAACTCCCAAGGGAAGGGACAGTTGTCTTTAAGGTGCAGCACAGTTCCCAATTTTGTCTTAGCACCTAAAACTCGGAATCTGCTGCCCATTGTATGAATCATGTTTTGAAACAGTTCTGGCATCCTGGAGCACCCTCCTGTCCTGGGCAGCCCCTCTGGGCAGGGTAATGAGCTCCTCCCTCTTGGCCCCCCGAGACACAGTCCTGGCCCATCCCTGCACTCCTGGGGTGCCTACCCAGGCTCCCAACTCAGGATCAGCCTGGGAGATCCCACTCCACCCGAGGACCACCCTTGGCCACCTACAAAGCACTCAGATTAAGCATGTCCCAAGCCAAGGCCTGCCCTTCCCCTAAATCCACATTTCCCCCTCCCCCTCAGAGGACAGCAGCCACATCCTGCCAGGCCCAAAGCTGCTGCCACACCATGATTCCTACCTTCTCTCTCTCTCTTTTTTTTTTTTCTTGAGACGGAGTCTCGCTCTGTCGCCGGGCTGGAGTGCAGTGGTGCGATCTCGGCTCACTCAACCTCCGCCTCCTGGGTTCAAGCGATTCTCTTGCCTCAGCCTCCCGAGTAGCTGGGACTACAGGTGCCTGCCACCACGCCCAGCTAATTTTTGTATTTTTAGTACAGACGGGGTTTCACCATGTTGGCCAGGATGGCCTCAATCTCTTGACCTCGTGTTCCGCCCACCTCGGCCTCCCAAAGTGCTGGGATTACAGGCATGAGCCACCACGCCTGGCCTTTTTTTTTTGAGACGGAGTCTTGCTCTGTCGCCAGGTTGGAGTGCAGTGGCACGATCTCAGCTCACTGCAACCTGTCTCCTGGGTTCAAGCGATTCTTCTGCCTCAGCCCTACAAGTAGCTGGGATTACAGGTGCCCGCCACCATACTTGGCTAATTTTTTTGTATTTTTAGTAGAGACGAGGTTTCACCATGTTGGCCAGGCTGGTTTCAAACTCTTGACCTCAAATGATCCACCCGTCTCAACCTAAGTGCTGGGATTACAGGCGTGAGTCACCATGCCTGGACGATTCCTACCTTCTCTACCTTCAGATCTGATGTAAATCCTGTGCTCTCCACCTTCAAATGCACCCAGAATCTGATGCTTCTCCCCTCCCCGCCTCTATCCCACCCAGTACCAGCCCTGTAATCTCTCACCTAGACAGTGGCAGTCACCTCCCTGCTGGTCCCCTGCCTCTACCCTCATCCCCAACTGTCCCCAAGGTGGCCAGAGAGATCCTGTCAAAACCTCACTCCACTCCCGCCCCTCCTCCAGCCTCGCTCAGAACTCCCCAACCTGCCCAATACATTTCCAGGTCTCACAGGCTCTGTCTCCCAGGGCGGTGACCTGTCCTGCTCACTATGGTACCCCAGGTCTAGAACCAGGACACACGTTCAACAAATGCTCACTGAGTCAACATACACACAAGCCTGCACTGTTGAGACCCAAGCACAGGCCTCTGGAACCTTCAGGAACATCCGCTCCCTCCCCTTCTCTTGATGCTATCTTTTGGCTAGCTGTCCATCAATAAAGCTTTACGCAACCTCAGAGTAAGCCCCCAGCTGTCCCCGGAAATGACAGGACAGGGTGGGGGGATGCAACTCTCAGGGCCCACGAGATCTTCCCGCTGACCTGGAGCTTGTCTTGGACTTGGTGGCCACTTGCTTCCCAGAGCCTGACACAGTCGTGGCACTGCCACCAAGTCTAGGTTCTCATAGTCCAATCCAATCCAGTCCTCCGTGGGGGTCTCCAGCGCAGGCCCCATCTTGCACCTCCTTGGCCTCTTCCAGCCCTGATGTGTCCCGGCCCCTTTGTCTCCCTTGCTGTAAGATGGTCTATAGACTGTCCCCATCTGGGTCTGTCTGGTGTCCCAGTGGCCACCTCTAGGTCACCTGGGTCTGTTATATCCTCTGGAAAAGCAGCCGCCTAGAGGAGGGCCCAAGATCAAGCCTGGAGACGCGGGTGACCCGTGAAGCAGCCAGGGCACGTGTGGACATTTGCGTCCACGTTTAATGTGAGGAAAAATAAGAACACTGACCCTCAGCTGCCCCAGCCACATCCCAGGCACTCCGCAGGGCCTGTGGACACAAATGCAGAGGCAGGATGTTTCTGCCACCACGGAAGGTTCCAGTGCTGCGGGAGGGCATGTCCAGCTGCCCTGGCAGACCTCCTAACATGCTGACGAGGAATGAGAAAACACAAGCTTTGGCAATGGCAAATCAAATCATTTGCAATGGCAAATGGCATGTGGGGGCTGGCCCTCCACACATCTGAGCCAGTGCTGGGGTCCTCCCTCTGGGGCTCAGAAAGCAGCACAGGTACGCTCGAGTCCCATGGTGGCCTGGTCCTGATTCAGCTCAGCCAGGCGCCCACACGGCACCACTGAGCCACAGGAGCACCTGCTTCTAGTAGAAAACAAGCTGTGGTGCCTCAGCCTCAATGTGTCCCCCATGACGGTGACCTGCACAGGCTGCTGTCTGTCATCGCTGCTGACACACACCTCGCCACCACCACTCGGGGGGCAGAAGCACCACTGAGAGCTTGGCGCCCACATTTCTGCCCCGGTGGGAGGGAGGGAAAGTCCGTCTGCACAGGCCTTTCAGGGAGCTAGCGCCAGCCTTTTTTGCCAGCTAAACCAAAACCATGGTCAGCATGGTGCAGAAAACATCTCGCCCAGGAAAGCAAATTCAGTGCTGGCATCCAACTGATTTCAAATTACAACTCTCCCAATAAAATTAAGCACTTCAGAGAATTTTTAAAAGGGGTGACCACCAGCCAAATCGGGTCAAGCCTTCTGATTGTCTTGCCCCAGTAAGTGAGTGCCATGCACCTCCTCTGTGCCCGGCACTGGCTCGTCCCCTCGTCTCCTCTTCTCCCCATTTCAGCTGGGTCAGGGCTAAAAGCAGGTGAGGCTGGCAGCCGGGCCTCTAACGAGAGGCCATCGGGGCAAAGCACGCAGGCTCTCCAGTCCCCCAAACCCTGGCCTAAGGCTGCGTGGCCCATGACATGCAGAACGCCTGCCTAGAAAGGTGATAAGGATCCCACCTGCACGGGATGACGGGCCAGCTCAGCACTGGCACTGGCGGGGCTGCCAGCGGCTGGGAGAGAGGCTGTCGGGTGGCTGGGCTGTCCTTGGAGGATGGTGGGGGGACCACCCACTTGGCACAGGCCATACTCAGCGAGTCTCCTCTGGCATCATCCACTCCCAGACCCAGGAAGATGGACAGGACACTGAGACACCCGGCTGGGGCAGGACACATCGTTCCTTGAGCCCTGCCCCCTCTGGGTGGCACCAAGCAGCAGCAAGACCTACTTTGTAACTTTCTGGAACTAGAAGCAGCGCCCCCACCCTTAGTCCTCTTTAGGACTCCACCGCTCTCCCAGGGCCCAGCAAGTGCTCTGAGCTGAGGATCAAGGAATGTACGTCTCTATGAAGTAGAAAGACCCCATGCTGGGTGCAGGCCCCAGCACCATCTTGGGAAACTCAGGTTCCAGCCCTGCCACAGCAGCTCAGAGGCAGTGGCACTGAGATCCTAAGATCCTGTGTCCCCTAAAGTAGGGAGTTGCTGACAGGGAGGCGTCAGTGTTGTTAAAGGGGGTGAAAACCAAGCTTACTCCAGGTCCCCAAGGGAGACACAGCAGAAACAGGAAGGTCCGGGAAAGGCAAACAGGCTGCCTCCCTGGGTCTGAGTTGGCTATGTTTTCTCAACCTGGGGACCTGTCGCCAGCTCAAAGGTGGCAGCAAGTGAGAGTGGGAGCCCTGAGCCACATGGAACAGTGTTGGTCCAGCAACGTGGGTAGCCAAGAAGGGCAAGGAAGTCACAAAAGCTCAACACCAAAAGGAGAAGGGAACAAGATTGTGCTGACCCAACAGAAGGTGGCAGAGCAAGGGGTGGCCACAGCACCACGCCAGGCACCTCCCCGTTGCTGTATTGTGGCCTCACCACCCCCTAGAGGAGGGTCTTGTAGAAGGTCAGGCCAGTGACCCAGATCAGCACCCCCAGGGTAGCTGGGCCGGCTATGGCAGGTGGCAGACGCTCCCAGAGCCGACACGGAGCCCCAGGCTACCCCGCACCCTGTCTGACAGTACAGGGGTCTGTGGGGGAACCAGGGCTGGCCAAAGATGACCACAGGAACACAGGACATGTGGGCAAGGAGGAAGGCGGTGGGATTCTGGTGTTTTACTTCCTTGTTACCATAATGTGTTCTGCTGCCAAGAATAAAAGTTTATTCAAGAGAAGAATGACAGGGAGGTATTTTAAAATGGCTTCCCCCACAAAAAACAGTGCAGGTTCCAGCTTTGCACATCTGGAGAATTCAGAAGGTGAAACACCTCACTGCCCTTCGATGTGAGATAAATAAATATTACCCTCTCTACAGAGTTCTTTCAACACTAATTTATCAAAGGAAATCAGATGTCCTCTAAGCCAGGCTTACTAGGTCCACATGAAGGCGTTTCTCCCGTCTGGCAGGGAACCCTGAAAAACACAAGTGAGCCCCACTGGCGCCTCTCAGTTCTCCAGGGAGGCCCCCCAGCCTGTGGAGGGCAGAAAGGGGAACACAGCCCAGGCACCTGGACAGACTGCAGGTGCTGCGGGAGTAGGGGAAGAAAGGGATAGAGGCCAAGAGCAATTCCAAGAAGGGCTCCTGGCTGAAGGCAACATCCCCCTAGACCCTCCCTCTACAGTGTAAAGCGTGACTCCCAGGAACCCTCCCCATGCCCAGAATGCTAGCGGTCATGTGCAGGATGGCATCTCCACACTGTGGACTAAGAGAGCCCCTCACGACACAAAGCCAACACACCTAGAGAAGGAGCACCCACCTGTCACCCTTCCCTGCTCAGTGAGACCTGACCCCACATCCCACCCAGGAGCACACTCCCCTCGCAGAGTCCAACGCCCCTCCCACAGCCCCTGATCTCCCTGCAGCCCTACACCCCACCCTCTTCCGTTCCACACGCCCAGCAGCCCCTGGCCCATACCCAGGACATCACACAGGCAGTCCCATCAGTCCTTCCAATAGCTCTGCACAAAGTCAGCCTACACCACTCTACACACAGGCAGGGGCCCTCCTCCCCTGATCCCACAATGCCCTGCCATCTCCTCACTGGTGACCTTGGGGGTTGTTCCCCTCAGTCCTCACAGTTTGTGATGACGAGACTTCCAGCACAGCCCCAACACACACCAAGTTCTCAGCAAAGGGGGCTATTCTAAGCAGGTCCAGACTCCCTCTCATGGAAAACCCTCTCAGATCAGCACAGAGAGAGCTGATCCCAAATGACACACATCGACTAGGGACAAATGTTGGAGGTACTTCTTTTGGGGGAGATGCAGGGAAACCACAAGTTTGGGGCACCAGTAACATCCTGGCAAGGAACATCAACATATAGACAAAAAGCATATAGACCAGAAGCACCTCTCGGTTGCTGTTCCCACCTAGAGTCAAGGAGCAAGAGACCCCTGGACAGAGGCCAGGCTCCACCCCATGCCTGCAGGGGACAGACCCAGAGACAGAATCGCCTGCGTTTCCTTAAAGGGAATGGGAACTAACAAGCTCCAAGAGTCACATGCGCCTGCGATGCCTCAGCCAGATCAGCAGGCTCTGGCTGCCGAGGTCTAACTCAAATCCAGCCTACTGCAGCACCCCTGTTCCATCCACCACCCTGCAGAGGCAGCACCTGAGGGTGCTCCGGTCAGAAGGGCAAGAGCAGGAAGACCGCTCGCCAGAATCAAGAGTCGTCTCCCCTTTCAGGCCCTCTCTTCTCTCTGCTTTCCCTTGCAGCAGGAATGCCCAGCACACCCCAGGACCCCCAGATCACAGCCCCCTGCCCCACCCACTGCCTTTCCTGTACCATCAGAACCTACAGGACCATGAGGGAGGGGAGCTGTTCAGTCCCTCCTAAGGACCTCACACAATGCCACTGACCCCTAACTTGAAAAGCCACATCTCCAAGGCAGAACCAAGGGGTGGTGGAGAGGCAGGTCTCTGGAGCTCTTTGTCTTGGGAGAAAGGCTGACGACAGGTCGACACCCACCGAATTATCCAGGCTTGCACACACACGCAGGCCACCCTGTCGGGGCCGGAGGATATAGCAATTGAATCCCACTTCTGAGTCAAAAATGCAAGAGTCCCGCAGTGTGGCCAGCGGCCCCAGAACACAGCTTGCCCCAGCTAGCCCCAGCCCCGTTTCAGGCCTGGACTGGACAGCCAGCTAACTTTACAGGCCAACAGAGTACACTTACACCTCCAGCCGGCACTCTCCCAGACTGGCTCACGCCTGACAGCTGCCCACCTCCAAGGAGGGAGGCCTGTAAACACCCCCTGGACAGGCATGGCCTCTGCTTCCTAGGCTGTCCCAGGACAGCTAAGGTGGCTGTTTATATAATCTTGCAGGGCTGGGGCTGACACCACGGTGATGGCAGGATTATGAAAAATGCATGCCCAGAGCCTCTGCAGCCAAGAAAAACCCCCACACGCATTCTGCATGACTCGGTTTTAAGACCTCTCACACGTCCATTTTGTGAACAAATGGAGCTCTCAGAGCAGCAGAGGCGACTAACCACACTTCCAGGCCTTGCCCAGCTGTCCCCAGAGCTCTACCAGGCACCACCTCTGGGTCACAGGCCCTGGGTCAGAAGAAGTCTCTGCAGGTATCCCTGCTGGGGCAGCCACGGCTTGCTGGACACAGGAAAGTACTAATTTATGGGCAGCCCAGAGCCCCCAAAACACTCTGACTGCACACACCGGGCCTTGAAGCCTCCACACTGTTTTGCAAAGACACAACAGTCCAGACTCCCTGGGTCATTAAAGTAGGTCATCGGGACTGGAGAAGCAGCAGCCTAAGAGACACAGCCTCCGAGGCCCACTCTCCAGGACCCTCTCTACGCCCACAGCGTGCACACTTACACCAAACGCACAACAGAGGCCTGCCCTCGCCACCAGCTGACTCACAAACCGCAACCTGCGCACGGACACAGCCAGGCCCCACATGCCGTCCGCACACCTGGTATGCATCCTGCCAGCCATCCACACAGAGGGTGACACACATGGAGCCCCGCCGCCCCCAGGGCTTCTTAAGGCCAGGCGCAGGAGCAAGGACAGGCCCAAGGACGCACTCGCGGACAGACCCTGCGGAAAGCCCCCTGCGGGCTGGGGCACCCTCACCTGCAGCTCACACCAGGCCACCTCCACCCAGGTCTCCGTGTCCAGCCCCTTGTAGACCGTCTTGAAGGAACCGCGGCCCAGCTCGATGTCGAACTTGAGGAAGCGGCCGTCCAGAGAGGTGGCCACGGCCTTGAGGTCGTCCTCGTCGTCCTCCTCCTCTTCGGGCTCGTCCCGGCGAGTGCGCCCGGGCTCAGGCTTCGCCTCGGCCGCCCCCTCATCCTCCTTCCTCACGGTCGCCGCCGCCTCCTCCCTGGGGCCGCCGTCGGGGGCAGGCGCGGTTTCGACAGCGGCTGCGATGGGGTCCGGGCCGGGCTCCTGCGTGCCCACGGGCTCGGGGCCGGCGTCCGCGGGGGCTCCGGGGGCTCCCGGCTGCGCTACCAGCGCTGCGGGCGCGGGGGCGGCGGGGCGTCCGCGGGCGCGCTCCGCGATGAGGCGGCGCGTCTTGCAGAGCAGAAGCACCCGGCGCTGCAGGGGCTGCGGGGGCTGCGGGCCCGGCGCCTCGGCTGCCTCCAAGCCCGGCGGCTCCTCCTGGTCCGACTCTACCACGCTGCGCCGCAGAAAGCGCTGGGGCCCCGGCCGCGCCGCCTTCGCCCGAGGCTCCGCCATGCCCGCGGGCCCCGCGCCGCGCCCGGGCTCCATCAGCGTGCCGGGGACGTCTCGGCGGCCGCCATCGCCGTCCATCTCTGTGGGCCAAGGACACACAGGCCCGCGTGAGCGCCGGCCCTGCCGCACCTGCCCAGGCCGCCGGATGAGACAACGCCGCCCTAAGCCCGCAACCTGCCCAGCCCCGGCCGCGGAGAGAGCCTGCGGGGGCCGTCTCTGGGGGCCCTGGGAAAGGGGGGCTGCAGACGGGACCAGAGGCTTGGGTTGGGGAGGAGGGGTCCGTGCCCTGCTCAGCCCCAGGCTGCGGAGAGGGACGGGCCTGTGGTGTCCCTGGAACCCTGGGAGAGAGGACCTGCTAGGGTGTCCCTGAGGGCCCCGGAGGCCGGCAGAGGGATCTCGCGCCCTGCCCAGCCCTGGCCCAGGAGGGTTCTGCTAGGCTGTCCCGGAGGCAGCTGTAAAGGGGATAGGGAAGCCCGGGGGTGGGAGGAAGGCAGTGGCCCGGCGGCGGCTCCACAAAGGACGCGGGCCCGGGGCGCGGGAGGGGCGCGCGGGGAGGGGGCTGCAGCGCCGCGGCGCGCACACAAAGGCGGCGAGCGGCGTTGAGGGGAGGCTCGGCACTCACAGGGCGAGCGGACGCCGTCCATGCCCGCGGCCCGGCGGCCAGGGCGTGCGAGGCGGGAGAGATCACGCTTCGAGGACGGGGTCCGAGTTCCGGGCGAGGTCCGCGCTGGGGTGGGGGCCGTGGCGCCGCTCCAGCTCCTGCGCGCTGCTCTCTCGGGCCGGGCCACTGCGGGGCCGCGCTCCCGCGTGCTCCTGCCGGCTTCGCGCGGCTCCGCTCCCGCACCGGCTCCGACCCGGCGCGCGGGGAGGGCGGGGCTCCGTTCGCCCCGCCCCGGACCGGCGCAGGGGGCTGGGCCTGGCACGCCCACCTGGCTGCGGACGGGCTGGCTGACTGGCAGGCGCGCGCGGCCACCTGCGGGCCGGCTACCTGGGCTCCCACCCGCGGTTCTTTGCTCGAGGTAGCGCTCCTGTCCTCTGAAGTTCTTTGGAACGCCCCGCAGGGCTGTCAGCTGCGGAGGACCCCGTTTCTTCCTGAGAGGAGGCAGCAGGCTCAACGCCTCAGCACGCCGCAGCCCGGCGCGCTAGACCTCAAGGCCCTGTGCCAGGACAGAATGGGCAGGCTAGGAAGAAAAGGACCAGGGGTACCGCCGCCCTCGGGAGCCCAGCCTGGGGCTAAGCCTGGTGGGGCTCAGCGTGTCCTTTCCTGCCCTCACTTCACCACCAGGAACCATGAGGACCTCATCATCACCCAGGGAGGCACTGGTGATCATTATGCCCATTTCACAGTCTAGAGCAAACTGAGGCGCCAAAGGCAGAAGTTATATGCTCTAAATCCCAGAACTTTCAAGACCGAAGCTGAGCTGGAATGCCTTGGATGGGATATGGAGAGGCTTCCAGAAGCCCCTTGACCCAAAGTGTTCTTCCTTCCCACCTCTGCCAGATGCCACCTCTCCCGAGAAGTCTTCCATGATCTCTAGCTCCTTCCTCCTCTAGACCCCCACGGACAAGCCCTCTCTTGGGCGTCTCTGGCCCTAATGCAGCAGGTGACCTGTGTCAGTAACCATACTGCTAAGTTCTGAGCCCTGCTCCAGGCAATGCCCTGAGCTAACACTTCACCCTTACCCCAGCCTCCATGATCCTAGGTGAGGAAACTGAGGCACAAGGGAGATACCAGAGTATTCTCATCTCAGTCCCCATCCCACTGGGCTGGCACCCCCATCAGATACACACACACTTCCAGAGATGAAAAGATGCTTGTGGGCCTGTAGGCCTTGGAGCCCCTGGCACAAAATAACTCATGTGGCATAAAAGCCAGCAGAGGCGATATCTCACCTTCACAATGTAGAGGGAAGAATATGCCAGGCCAACTGTTACCCAGAGAAGCAGGACTTCCTGGAGCCCCGCTGGGCACTGGCACTGGCTGAAACTAATTTGTGAGGGGCAACAGTGAACATCCCTTCCCAGCTCTGGGTTCAGCAATGCCACCCTGTAGCCTGAAGTCAGCAATGCTGGGAGTATTTACACTGCGGAAATTGGCAAACACCTCAAATCAGGACTTTTCTCCCCAGAGAGCCAGTGGTTAAATAGTGTGCTAGGTGTAGGGCTATGCATTTGGCACTTGCCTGTTATTTATATAATCTAATCTACCGTGTGAGACAGGCATTCATTCCGGGGCTCAAGTCCGCTGGCATGAGCCCAGAGCTCACACGAGGAGGAGGCCAAACAGCAGACGCCAGCTCTGCAGGACAGAGAGGCCTGAGGGACAGGGATCTAAGTTGCATCTCCTGGGGCAGGAGTCTTCCAGGTAGAGGTCAGGGGTGGAAAAGGATCTTTTCTGTCTTCCCTTTGGAGGCTAAAGACCCCCCAACCTTGCCCCTAACCAGCTGAGTGAACTTGGGCAAGTCCTGGTCCTTCCTGAGCCTCAGTATCTGGCCCTGCAGAGTGGGCTGATCATCCTGACTTGCCCACCTTAAAAGGCTGCCAATTCCTTGTAGATTCAGTCAATCTAGGAAGGGCACCAAGTCCACAGACCTGTTCATGATGGGTGTGTTCAAGCCTATCCAAGGGAAAACCAGGATGGGACAGAGCTAAGCGTGTTCTGAGACCAGCACACACCTATCTGGCCTCCTCCTGCTCCCAACAGGCCACACTGGCAGTGTGTGGGCAAAATACCTGCCAGCATCGGAGAAGGTTCATCAGCACCCATGGCTGCTGCCCACCCACACTTGTACACATGCGTGGGAAAGGATGGCTACACCCACAAATCAGCAGGGAGCAGCCCAGGCTGTGGGGAGTGGGGGACAGCCTGTCCCTGAGAGAGTACTGTGTGCTCTCTGAGCCCTTGGGGTGAATTCACGCATCTCTGCTTACACACCTCCCATGGTGGAGAGCTCATTCTCTCTGCCAACCCATGACCATTAGGGTACACAGCTAAGTCAGTAGTGGACAGGTCACAGTTTCCTCTGCAAGGAATCTCAGGCTGGGCTCAGGAGCAGCTCCTGGGATCCTGGCAGATGGAGCCTGAGGGATCCTTGGACAGACCTTGGAAGTCAGGACTTCACAGCACTGGCTATATGCCCTTTGGCAGGTCACTGGATATCTCTGAGCTTCCATCTCCCTGCTGCTAAGACGGGGAGTATAAATACTGTAGTCTGCTTTACTGGGTGTCCTGAGGCTGCATGATCCAGGGTCATGATGCCAGCATTTGTCTTTTGGAGGTTTGTTTTTTGTTTTCTGCTTTTGTTTTTGTTTTTTTGAGATGGAGTTTCACTTTGTTGCCCAGGCTGGAGTGCAGTGACGGGATCTCAGCTCAGCTCACTGCAACCTCTGCCTCCCAGGATCAAGCAATTCTCCTGCCTCAGCCTCCTGAGTAGCTGGGATTACAGGCGCCCACCACCACGCCCAGCTAATTTTGTATTTTTAGTAGAGATGAGGTTTCACCATGTTGGCCGGGCTGGTATCGGACTCCTGACCTCAAGTGATCCAACCACCTCAGCCTCCCAAAGTGCTGGGATTACGGGGCAGCATTTGTCTTCGATGTTTAGAACAGATGAGTACATTGAGGTCTTGCCCAGAGATTTTTCAACTTTAAGTAACTTTCTCAAGGCCTCAGAGTGGAGACAGTGACCTCTACCCACAGCTATCACCTTAGCTTCCACAATGCCAGGGAGCCCCTTTGGTGAAAAAAGTTTCTCCCAAGTCCAGGCTATGCTCCAGCCTACCCAGCCAGTAGGCACGTGCAGGCACACACCTGCTCCATGCAGATGCAGTTCCAGGAGCTGGGCCTCAGCAAGCAACAGGACCATGGTTTCAGTTTGCTCATCTGTGAGATGGGCATAATGGTCATGCTCAACAGTCTTGGCAACAAAAGGCATTCAACAAATGCTCATGAAAGAAGGGAGGAAAGGAGATGGGGCTAGCTCCACTGCCTCTGCTCACATCAGGGCCCATTGAGGGTCACTGGCTAGAAGGAAGAGCAGGGTCTAGCCATGCCCAGCTGGAGCTCAGTCCACAATTGCCCCGTGGGGCAGGTTCTGCCTCTGAGTGGAGTCAGGCAACCTATCTAGTGCTCAGGTCCAGTGTGGCCAGGCCACTTGCCTGAGTGCCCCCCGGGTCACACCATGGGGAGAATACCCTGGCAGGGGCATCAGATGGGGAGGACAGTGCTGGAAAAGCAGAGCCCAGAGAGGCCAGGCAAGTGGCTTGGGGGAATGCAGGAAGACCTGTGACCTGAGGAAGGGCGTGGGGACAGGATGAAGGCCTGACAGTGTGTGGTGGCAGGAAGGTGGCAGTAGGTGGGAGCAGGTGGGCTGTGGAAGCTCGGGCCCCTACTCCTGGAAGATGATGTCAGAGGATGGGAAGGGCATGACCAGGCTGCAGTGTCTTCCTGCTGTGGGTCATAGAGCCTCAGGACAACCAGCAGGATGGAAGCTCCCCGTGGGTAGGGCCTGAGGTAGGCAGGTCGGGTGGTACAGGATGACACAACGCTTCTGACTCAGCTGTGATGGATGAATGGTTGAAGAACTTGTTTCCTTCCAACAGCAGGGTTCCATTAGAAATGTTCCGAAGTATGACACACAAATCAGAAAACGATCCCGTTTCCTAAGTCAACACTTCACTGTGTAGGACTTTATTTGCGATTCTAGTGGAGAGGTGAGATTTGGGGTGACGCTCAGTTCTGGTAAGGCAGATCATACAGCTAAAAGTAGGCCAGGTGCTGTGGCTCACGCTTGTATTCCCAGCACTTTGGGAGGCCGAACGGGTGGATCACCTGAGGTCAGGAGATCGAGACCAGCCTGGCCAACATGGTGAAACCCTGTCCCTACTAAAAATACAAAAAAATTAGCTGGGTGTGGTGGTGTGCACCTGTAATCCCAGTTACTCAGGAGGCTGAGGCAGGAGAATCACTTGAACTTGGGAGGCAGAGGTTACATGAACCAAGATTGCGCCACTGCATTCCAGCCAGGGCAACAGAGTGAGACTCTGTCTCACGACAACAACAAAAACAAACAAACAAAAACAAAAACAAGAAAGGCCGGGCACAGTGGCATGCACCTGTAATCCCAGCTACTCGGGAGGCTGAGGCAGGAGAATCGCTTGAATCTGGGAGGCAGAGGTTGCAGTGAGCCAAGATCATGCCATTGAACTCCAGCCTGGGCAACAAGAGTGAAACTCCGTCTCAAAAAAAAAAAAAAGGTAAAACTGCAAGTACAGGGAAAAAGAGAGTGCATGGATGTGGGAGGAAGGCAGAGTCACCCTGACCTCCCCCGCAGCTCCTCTGGCCTCAGTTTCTCTATCTGTAGTGTGGGACCCGCTGGGCCATCTCAGCTGCTGGTAGGAGTCACCGTCGGACCTGCATGACCCTGTCTCACGCCCTCTAGCCCAGTGAGTCTTACACACAGCTGCCCTGCAGCATCTCCAAGGCCTGAGATGCCGCCTCCGCAACCGGAGATTCTGCTGTGTGGGATGGGGTGGGCCTGGCCTCAGGTGTTTGAAAGCTTCCAGGTGGTCCTGCGGAGACTCCACGTGCTGCGAGGGTCTGGCACACAATGGCACTCAATAAAAGCTGCCTGCGTGGGGGGTGCACTTGCATGGAAAGAGCAACAGAGCTGACCCTCCATTCCACTCTCTGGCCGCAAATCTTGTTTTGCTGTGCTCCCCGAGAGCAGCCTCATGCCATGTGCCTCTCAGGGTTGCTTGTTTCTCTCAGGGGAGGAATCAAAGTTCAGCTTCTGGAGCCCCACAGCTTCCCTGACTTGGACGCTGACACCCGGCTCCCAGGTGGCCCTGAGGGGCAGACAGGTACCTGTTGCCCCTGGAAAAGACCTCAGGTCCTGCTCACCAAGGCTTTTATTTCATTTTTGTGGGTCAGGCCGGCTAAGCCAGCTCATGTGGCTTAAAGGGCAGATGATGGGGGCCTTGCTGCTCTGGTCTCCTGGCGGAGGCTCCACGGCAGGGTGGAAAGGCTGCAGAGTACCCACTATTTAAAGAACCCTGTGGCCGGGTGAAGTGGCTCATGCCTGTAGTCCCAGCACTTTGGGAGGCTGAGACAGGTGGATCACTTGAAGTCAGGAGTTCGAGACCAGCCTGGCTAACATGGTGAAACCCCATTTCTACTAAAAATACAAAAATTAGCTGGGCATGGTGGCTCACACCTGTAATTCCAGCTACTCAGAAGTCTGAGGCAAGAGAGTCACTTGAACCCAGAAGGCGGAGAGGTTGCAGTGAGCTGAGATTGCACTCTGTCAAGAAGAAACAAAGAAGGAAAGAAAGAGAGAGGGAGGGAGGGAAGGAAGGGAGGGAAGGAAAGAAAAGAAGGAAAGAAAGAAAAAAATAAAACAGAAAATAAAGAATCCTGTTCCTCTGTTCTTGGAGGTGCAGGGTCCAGCAGGGCCTCAAGGGGTTCCGGGTTGACTAAACGGTTCATGGAGGGAGGGGATCCATGCCCCCAGGAGGAAATAAGCAATGCAGTCCTTTAGCCCCAGGGCAGCGGCCACCTGAGGCACCAGGACACACCCCTAGCCTGTCTGATGGTGCAGGACTGGGTGGCACCAGTCCCCCAGAGAAAGAGGACAGAGACCTGAGAAAAGCTAAGGGGCATAGCGGGCCAACAACTGACATCCCATGATTGCTGAGTTGACACCGGCCCATTCATGGTGGAAAACCAGCAGCATCCTCCGTTGTGACATATTCCCAGTGGCCACAACAAATCATCGGGCACAGCTGGCAAGAATTGGAAATGAGGCTGTGTTAGCAGGAAGTTGAGGCTGACATTTTCAAGGAAATACCCAAGGTTGGATTCGCTGGGGACCAGAACCAGCCAGGGTGACACTGGCTTTCGGCTTATGTCCAGAGCAGAGCGTGTCATGTGAAGGGCAAGCCAGGGAAGTGTCAGGATTTTGCTTTCTTCAGGGTATGACCTTCCCAGGGGTAATCTGGCCACATCTCCTTGATTGACCCCAAGCCTAGGCTACCACATGTTCCCCATGGGCCCACAGGGGAGAGTGACATCTGGGCCTAGAGAGATGGGGGAGAATGTGGAGCCACTGGGGAAGGTCAGAGGGAGCTCCGGAGCGGGCGTGCTGTGGGAGGGGATGGTGAACTTGGCTTGGCCTGCTTCCCTGCTGCTGCTAGGGACATCTGGCCGCCAGAGCCAGAGATGGGGGTCTGGAGTGCAGAGGGAGGAGGCGCAATGTTCTAGAACACAGTCCTTATTTCTCTGTTTTTAGTAATTTAAAAAATTATGTAACATTTCGTTTACTCCCAAATATCAAAACACTTTGATTTTTAAATAACAGCTTTATTTAGATATAATTAATGTACCTACCATAAAGCTCATTCTCGTAAAGTGTGCGATTAGGAGGTTTTTAGTACATTCAGTGTTGTGCAACCATCACCTCTATCTGATTCCAGAACATTTTCATCACGTCAGAAAGAATCCCTGTCCCCACTAGCAGACGACGTTCCCCATTTCCTCCTCCCCTCAGCCCCTAGCACCCACTGGTCCACTTTCTGTCTTTATGGATTTGCCTATTCTGGACATTTCACATAAATGGAATCCTACAATATGTGACCTTTTGTGTATTATTTCACTAAGCATCATGTTTTCAAGGTTCATTCATATTCTGTAGCATGCATCAGAATTTCATTTCTTTGGTTTCTTTTCTCTTTTTCTTTTTCTTTTTCTTTTTTTTTTTTTAGATGGAGTCTCACTCTGTTGCCAGGCTGGAGTGCAATGGTGCAATTCTTTTTTTTTTTTCTTAAGACAGAGTCTCCCTCTGTTGCCCAGGCTGGAGTGCAGTGGTGCGGCCTCGGTTCACTGCAGCCTCTGCCTCCCGGGTTCAAGCAATTCTCCTGCCTCAGCCTCTAGAGCAGCTGGGACTACAGGCACATGCCACCACACCCGGCTAATTTTTGTATTTTTTTTAGTAGAGATGGGGTTTTGCCATGTTGGCCAGTCTGGTTTCAAACTCCTGACCTCAGGTAATCCACCCGCCTCAGCCTCCCAAAGTTCTGGGATTACAGGTGTGATCCACCACCCCCGCCGCGATTCTTTTTTTAGGCCCAAATAACATTCCATTGTTTGGATATATGGACTGATGTTTCTTGTTTTTTTTTTTTTTTCGAGACAGAGTCTCACTTTTGTTGCCCAGGCTGGAGTGCAGTGATGCAATTTTGGCCCACTGCAACTCTGCCTCCTAGGATCAAGGCATCCCCTGCCCCAGCTTCCCAGCTGGGATTACAGCCACCTGCCACCATGCCAGGCTAATTTTTTATATTTTTAGTAGAGACGGGGTTTAATCATGTTGGTCAGGCTGTTCTTGAATTCCTGACCTCAGGTAGATGATCCACCCACCTCAGCCTCCCAAAGTGCTGGGATTACAGGCATAAGCCACCGTACCCGGCCTGGATTGATTTTTTTAAGAGCACAAATTCATTATAAAAAAATTTATAAAACCAGGTGTGGTGGCTCACACCTGTAATCCCAGCACTTTGGGAGGCCGAGGTGGGCGGATCACCTGAGGTCATGAGTTTGAAACCAGCCTGGCCAACATGGTGAAACCCTGTCTCTACTTAAAATACAAAAAAATTAGCCGAGCGTGGTGGTGCACCTCTGTAATCTGAACTTCTCGAGAGGCTGAGGCAGGAGAATCACTTGAACCCGGGTGGCAGAGGTTGTAGTGAGCCGAGATCGCACCACTGCAACCAAGCCTGGGCAACAGAGCAAGACTCCGTCTCAAAAAATATATATATATATATGAAACAGAAAAAGCAGAAATAAAAGTGTTTAGGCCAGGCATGGTGACTTACACCTGTAATCCCAGCACTTTGGGAGGCCGAGGTGGGTGGGTTGCCTGAGGTCAGGAGTTCGAGAGCAGCCTGGTCAACATTATGAAACCCCGTCTCTACTAAAAATACAAAAAATTAGCTGGTTCTGATGGCAGGCGCCAATAATCCCAGCTACTTGGGAGGCTGAGGCAGGAGAATCGCTTGAACCTGGGAGGTGGGGGTTGCAGTGAGCTGAGATCGCACCACTGCACTCCAGCCTGGGAAACAAGAGCGAAACTCCATCTCAAGAGAAAAAAATGGTGTTTTAAGTTGTGCACAATGTCACTACCTCAACATGATCCCCACCACAGCCCCTGTGGCAGGCACACAGCTATCACTGTGCAGCTGTCCACACGAGAGGGCAGATCAAATAAATGAATGTGATTGAACATTTTTCTTCTAACTACAGGGTTATTATTTAATTTTACTTGATTAGGCTCACACCAGATAAAAGGTCATATTTTCTGTTTTGCTTTAGACCTCAAACGTCCTGGGATTGCAGGTATTTGAGATCCCCACCAGGACTCCTGCTGAAGCAGGGCCAGCCCCCAGGCATGGAGAACATCATTGCCCCCCAGCCTCCTCTGATCAGACCACTGCCAAGCTGCACCAGTAACAGGAACCAGGAATCTTGAGAAGCTGGAGGTGAACTGTTGAGCCCAGTAAGTTGTGAAACCTCAGTTAAGTCTTACAGCTGAAATAATGATAATAATGGCCACCATTACTGGGCACTCAGTGTGTGCTAGGTGCTGAGCTAATGCTTTGCAAAAGTACTCTCGTTTCACCCTCAGGACCCCCTGGATGTGGCAGCATTCACAGATGAAAATGCAGCATGGAGAGGGGACCCATCATGACCGAGCTCCACACCCAGCAGGTGGTGCAGCCTGGAGGTGAGCCCAGGAGGACTTGCCCAAGACTCCATCCTGCAGCTGCCATCCAGCTTGTCCCCAGGCCTCTGTGGCAAGTCCTAGGTTCCCTTGAGGCTTCTCTCTTGGGACTCCTCTCTTATGAACAGAAAGTTGAGTCATGACCCTCCTTTAATTCTACGTTGACCCCAGGCCCAACCCTGTGTGCTGACTGTCCTCTAGCATAACCACTGCCTGCCACAGCCCTGAATTTGACCTTCCCCCTTGGCCCTGATGGTTCATGCCAGCCCCACCTCAGCCTACAACCGCTATCTTATACCTGCTATCTTTTTTTTTTTTTTTTTTTTTTTTGAGACAGTCTCGCTCTGTGCCCAGGTTGGAGTGCAATGGCACGATCTTGGCTCACTGCAACCTCCACCTCCCAGGTTAAAGGGATTCTCCTGCCTCAGCCTCCTGAGTAGCTGGGACTACAGGTGCGTGCCACCACGCCAGCTAATTTTTGTATTTTTAGTAGAGACGGGGTTTCACCATGTTGGCCAGGATGGTCTCAAACTCCTGACCTCGTGATCCGCCCGCCTCGGCCTCCCAAAGTGCTGGGATTACAGGCATGAGCCACCGCACCTGGCCCCTGCTGCCTTTAAATGGAGTCACCTGTGTAGACTGATACAGGCTTTCTGAAAGCAATTTGTGACTGGAGCAAGAGCCTAAAAATTGTTCTGACCCTTTAAGTTAGTAATTCTCTTTTGGAGAATTTACACTAACAAAGTGACCAGCAACGCAGATAGTGTTGTATAAAGATGTTCACTGAAGGATTATTTGTAATAAAACATTATGAATAATATAAATAGTTAAGGAAACAGTCCTATTCCTACATAATCAAATATGGTCAAGCCGGGTGCGGTGGCTCACACTTGTAATACCAGCACTTTGGGAGGCCGAGGCAGGCAGATCACTTGAGGCCAGGAGTTCAAGACCAGCCTAGCCAACATGGTGAAACCCTGTCTCTACTAAAAATACAAAAATTAGCCAGGCATGGTAGTGGGCGCCTGTAATCCCAGCTACTCGAAAGCCTGAGGCAGGAGAATCGCTTGAACCCGGGAAGTAGATGTTTCAGTGAGCTGAGATCATGCCACTGCACTCCAGCTCCAGCCTGGGCGACAGAGCAAGACTCTGTCTAAAAAAAAGGCTGAGCCATTTAAATGCTCTTCATGGAGTTGTGTAATGATTAGAGATACTGTGAAGTGACAACGCACAGGAAGAAATGCCGGAAGGAAATACACCAAAGCACTGCCAGTGAATGCTTCTGCTCTTGTGCATACGTCTGCATGTCAGACAAGAGGCAGTTTCGCCTGTGTCTTTAGACAGGGAGTGCTGACAGACCCCCAATGAGGCCATGAGATGAAGGAGGGGGCTCAGCAGAGAGTGTCGAATGCAGCTCAAATCTTGGGTCTGGAGGCTCCTGGCTCTGATTTAAGCCTTGGCGACGCCCTCTGGCCATGACCTTCGACTGGCTTGTTAATTTATCTGAATGTCAGTTTCCTCATTAGTCAAAGGGGCAATGGAGGTGCCTCTTTCCTGGTTGTGAGAGAGTCCTGGGGAAGGTCTTAGCAGCCCTGGAAGGAGGCAGATGTGTTGGCTTTTGCAGGCTGCAGAGATGGCCATCAGGTGTGCTGGGGCAGCTTGGGGAAACTGGCTACTGCTGTCCTCTTGACACTGGGCAAACTCAGGCTGGGAACCCCCAGCTTCCTTATCATCGCTTCGCCAGCAATGCCTGCCCACAGAGGGAGAAATGGCCACCCGTTCCAATCTGCCTGGGCACATGTCCTCACCTCCATTTCCACAGGGGGACACGGAGTTTCAGGGGACACAGCAACAGGTGTGTCAGGACCACAGAGCCAGCGGGGGTCTGTGTGGACAGAGCAGAAAGAAGGAACCGGGAAGCCACAAGTTTCGGCCCCCACCCAATGGGCTTGGTGGGGTCCTCGGACCAGAGTCTATGCCTGCTGTCCAGGCAGGTTCTGACCGTGGCCAAGGCCGGGTTGTCCTCCCAGCTGGGCGACCTGACTCAGGCCTGGGGCTGGCAGGGGTCTCTCCTGCCCAGAGTTTCCAATTTGCACTCAGTGGGGCCCCAGGCAGCCTGGCAATTGGAGCCGACCAAGTCCCCTTGAGAACCCCCAAAGGGGCCGCATCATTCTCCATGTGAATATAGAAGAGGGTTTTTTCCACTTATTGATGAACTTGCCTGCCAGATTTCTGTTTTTTTCCAGCAGACTCAGTCCAAGTTGCTTGTGCCTGTCCCTGGAAGTGCCTGGCTCATTCAGACTGAAGGTGTGCCCGGGGAAGACGTGAGGCCGCTAGCAAACGGCCTGCTGTGCACATGGCCCAGTGCTCGCCTTGGAAAATGACTGTAGCATGTGACAGACCATGTGGGAGGCATCATCCACCCGGGATAGCCGGGAAGCTGCCCAGACGAGGGGCACGGAGCCCAGGATTAGGAGACGAAGAAGAAGATGATGAGACAAAGTCATTTCCTAGAGGATCCAAGCGGGAGGGCTTTCTAAGAATGCCACACAATCCAGGAGCTAGATCTACGGCTTATACAGTCGATTCTTGGATCTGGGGGAGTCATGCTTTGTAGTCTCTTCGAACACTGAATTAGCGAATCCCAAACCATTGTGTCCCAGCAAAACACAACACACTTTCCAATCAGCTCCATGTACAGATCGGCACACTTCCTCTCCTCTTTCTGGATGGGCAGTTGATTCGTTAACAGGGAACCTCAGTCAACAGCACCATAACTCACATGTGATGGAAGCTTCTCTAATACACATTTTCTCCCCTAGGCACATCACAGCTTCTCTATGCTTAAGAACACAGGGCAGCTCTTCAGCATGGTGCCTGCAGCCATTTGAAACAACAAAATCACCAAAAAAAAACCCAGAAAGTGTGGCACTAAATAGAATGCAGGACTGACAACCCAGGAAATAAAGGGACAAATGTAAGTAGAGAATTAACAGGAAAACAATACAAATGGGGTGTAGTGGCTCACACCTCTAATCCCAGCACTTTGGGAGGCCAAGGCAGGTGGGTTGCCTGAGCTCAGGAGTTCGAGACCAGCCTGGGCAACACAGTGAAACCCCGTCTCTACTAAAATACCAAAAAATAAAAAATAAAAATATTTAAAAATAAGCCAGGTGTGGTGGCGTGCACCTGTAATCCCAACTACTCCGGAGGCTGAGGTAGGAGAATTGCTTGAACCTGGGAGGCAGAGGTGCAGTGAGCCAAGATCACGCCACAGCACTCCAGCCTGGGTGACAGAGCGAGACTCTATCTCAAAAAAAATAAAACAGACACACAAAAACAATAAAAATGGCTCCTAGATAGGAAAAAGTGCAACTTTGCTCATGAAAAGAAAATTGCCAATTGAAACCACAGAGAGCCCTCATGACGCCAGGTTCTACCTATTGGTCTAGCATAAACGAGGAAGCATGAAAGTGCACTGAGAGGCTTGGCCTTGGGGACAGACCCTCCCATGCTTTGCTGGGGGCAGCCATCCACTGTTTGTGTCAAGGAAAGTCACAAATGAGTGGGGTCTCCAAGGCGGGGTCCTTCCCCAGGAGCTTGCGCTGGAATATGCACCTGAGCATTCCCATGTATAGGCTCAAGGACAGACTTTTTCATTATGAGTGACTTGCCTTTTGTCTCTCCCTCATATTGCTGTAGGGCTTATCTTATTCTTTCAGTTGTGTGTGCAGGGGTTGCATTATCTTCACATCTCATTTTCAGTGGTCTAAGGAGTAAGGCCCCAGGCATTCAACATGTAGGGTGGGTGAGCAGGACTGCAGCCTTTCCTGGAGCCAGTACGTTGGCCTCAGGCAGCCCCTACAGGGGGTCTCTGACAGGATCACCAGTCCCAGCCACAGGGCAGTGGCCTAGAGGGGACCACAGCACGGGTGCTGGGGGCTGGGCAGGGGTGGGTCCTAGATTTGAGCCTTCTTGTTGTGAGCCCATTCTGCTGAGGCCTGGGTGGGGCATGCCCCCTCCCACCTCCTACCCAGTTCTGGCATATTACAGACCCTATGTGGGGTATGGACCACAGAGGGTCCACATAGATCAGACACACAGGTAACTTTTGCGCCACCCAGCCTGATGGTCTGGGGCAGACCCAGGGTGGTCACCCAGTCACGGGACATGCCCCTCCAACACTCCATAGTAATAACTGTCACCCTCTGGAACAGCTTGGTCCAGACCCGATGTACACGTGCTGTTTTAAGGTCCCACAATGACCCTATAAAGTAGGAACGGTGATTCTGCTCAGAAAAATAATACAAACAGCTTCTAGATATGAAAACGTGCAACTTTGCTCATGAAGAGAAAATTGCCAATTGAAACCACAATGACAGCCCTCATGATGCCAGGTTCTACCTCTTGGGTTGGCAAAAATGACAAAGTGTGAAAGTGCGCTGAGAAAGATCTCCAACAGAGTTAGGTTTACAGATGAGCCAGGCTCTTAGACACTAAGTCGAAGTCACCCGCCTAAGGTCACGTGCTGGTACCTGGGGAGTGTATGCAAACTGAGGCAGTTGGTCCTGAGCCAGGCCTCACTGGTCAGGAGGCCGAGCTCCAAGAATCAAGGGTGCCCAGCAGGGTGAGGCAGAGCTCCCGACACCACACCTCCTGAAATTCCCCATTGTCAGCCAGAATGAGATTGGCAGCAGAGCTGTTTTTGCTTACTAAACTTTTCATTTTTTTTTTAATTTTAAGAGGGGGTCAGCCGGGTGCAGTAGATCATACCTGTAATCCCAGCACTTTGGGAGGCCGAGGCTGGTAGATCACGAAGTCAGAAGATGAAGACCATCCTGGCCAACATGGTGAAACCCCATCTCTACTAAAAATACAAAAATTAGTTGGGCATGGTGGTGTGCACCTGTAATCCCAGCTACTCCAGAGGCTGAGGCAGGAGAATTGTTTGAACCAGAGAGTCAGAGGTTGCAGTGAGCCGAGATCGTGCCATTGCTCTCTAGCCTGGCGACAGAGCGAGACACCATCTCAAAAAAAATAAATAAATAAAGAGGGGGGTCACTATGTCACCCAGGCTGGAGTGCAGTGACTCTTCATAGGCGCAATCATAGCACACTACAGCCTCCAATTCCTGAGCCCAAGTGATCCTCCTGTCTCAGCCTCCCAAGTAGCTGGGACTACAGATGTGTGCCACCTTGCCTGGCTCAACTTTTATTTTGAAGAGTTTCAAACCCACAAGAAAAACTGTGAGATTTTGCACTTGCTTTTTGCTTTCTCTCCCTGCTGCTTGCATTGACTGCCTTCAGGTGCCACTGCCTCTGCCTCCATGTGTCCCTAGCTGTCCTTTGGGCTGTTCCCCTAATGAGTGACCTGCACAGAGCTGCAGGCCAGCCTCTCTCTGCTCAAAAACTCTGAGCTCAAATGTGGAGACGCTGCTGATTCTAGTATGTGTCCTTCCTCTAGTGCACAACTCAACATTTTTGCTTGCAAGTGACAAAATGCTAGCTCAAACTGGCTTAAGCCAAAAAGGAAATTCATTGACTCCTAGAGTGGAAAATCTGGTAAGCAGTAATAGTTTCAGGTATGGCTTGATCCAGGCACACAAGTGCTTCCTTTCCCTCTTTCAGCTCCACTTCCTTTCATGAAGGTGTCATGCCTGGTCCAACTCCCCCTAGGTACCCATGATGACAGCAGCTCCCACATGACCTTCTTGGCCTGGCCTCTGCTGCCAAGGAAAAGCCTTGGGTTGGAATCTTATTGGCTGACTTGAGGATTTGCTCATCCCTAAACCAATCACCATGAACAGGGCTGGAGTGCTCTGATTTGGCAGACTGGGTCACATTCACCTGGAGTCAGAGGGCAGGTTGCTGGAATAGGGATTGATCCCAGAAGAAGGGGGAAGGTTAGCTGTCCCATCTTCCCATGACCTTGATCTTGGGAAGGCTGGCTTGGCTCACCTTGAAGGTCTCCACTAATTCCCAGGGGTTCCCAAGCATGGCTCTTACTCTCTTGGCCTCAGTTTGCTGGTCTGTTAAATAGCTCAGTAAATAGGGCTGTGGAGGGGTCGTGGGAGGACCCCCAGATGACCTGGCACACAGAAGGTGCCCATCAAATGCCAGCCCTGTCCTCCCAGGCTCCGTGCTCAGCACATGCCTGCGAGGGAGTCACAGTCTCTTGGGGCCTTTGGAATGGGAACCTATGTTTCTCTAAAACGCTTTATGTGAACTGCTCAAGGAAGTCACTGATCAATAAACCACAGCAGTGACCCTTTTGATGAACAAATACATATTGATCTTAGAAAAGAATTGCTGTTTTGCAAGATAATTGGTTCAGTGAGACCAGAAGGCTTCCTTGTTTTAAATAAAGACCTGATAAAGAGTGATGTCTGCAGGGCAGGAGCAGGTTACTCCCCAGCTGCCTGGGACCGTGAGTGTTTTCCCACAGGGTCATCACAGGCCAGGCTGGAGCAGAGCCCTGGAGCCTACAAGGCTACGGAACATGGGGCGGCTTATGCTTCGCTTGTGCTTTGTGGGGCTTGAAGAGGGCTTTGGTTCCGTGTCTTTGATAATGTGGGGTTGGAGGTTGGGGGGGAAAGGAGGTCTTGGATCTGAAGCTGAGGAGTGGACATCAGGCCAGGCCAGAGGTCAGACCAGTCCAGGTGTCAGAAAGAGAAAGCCAATGGGTGTTCTGGCTGCAGAGGTGAGAGGCAGCAAGAAGCCCTCGGCCTCTCCCAGGGCTCTCCTCAAACGCCTGGGCTGGACATTCTACTTTTTTGACAGGTGGAGAAACCAAGGCCCAGAGAGGAAAAGAGAGCTGCCCAAGGGCCCCTAGCAAGCAGGTCACCAAAGAGCCAGGACTCTAGGCTGCTGGGCGACCAGCCCAGAGGGAGTTAGTTATCTGTGAGCATCGGCCAGATTTGGGGAGTGTCTCTAAACACAAGAGCAATGGGGGTAGGATGGGAGAGATTTTAAAAGGAAAAGGTACATCTGACCTATTTAAAAAATATTAAGAAATGGGATTAAAAGGTAGCCATCTATTTGAGAACACGACATGAAACATAAGAGGGCATTTTTAATATAAAAGAAGCTCATGCGGGTCAGTACAGTAAAGACCAAACTCCCAAAAGAAAGGAGGAGCCACAAAAGGTCACAAACCCAGAAGACAACAGTGTGGTCTCTTCGGGAACAGTTGTGAGGCAATGAAGGCAAACAGATGTCTTCACACATGAGTTTAGCTGTTCTTGTTCCAATAAGGTCCAGAGTTGGCAGAGGACTGGCAAGACCGGTGCCCTCCATGTCACTGTGGGCAGGCCAGTCAGCAGAATCCTTTAGGAAAGCAATTTGGCAAAAAGTCTCCCACATTTTCCCACTCTTTCATCTACTTCTAGGAATTTACCCTAAGGAAAGCAGAGACTGAAGGATACAGTTGTTTATCTAAGAGTTATTCAAAAGGCCAAAAGAGGCTGGGCGCAGTGGCTCACTTTGGGAGGCCGAGGTGGGCGGATCACTTGAGGTCAAGAGCTCTAGGCTGGGCACGGTGGCTCAGGCCTGTAATCCCAGCACTTTGGGAGGCTGAGGTGGGTGAATCACAAGGTCAAGAGATCAAGACCAGCCTGGTCAACATGGTGAAACCCTGTCTCTACTAAAAACACAAAAATTAGCTGGGCATGGTGGCGCACACATGTAGTCCCAGCTACTCAGCAGGCTGAGGCAGGAGAATCGCTTGAACCTGGGAGGCGGAGGTGGCAATGAGCTGAGATCATGCCATTGCACTCCAGCCTGGGGCGACAGAGTGAGACTCCATTTAAAAAAAAAAAAAGGCCAAAAGATTGGAAGCAGTCACAGGTTCTGGCCAGAGGGCCTGGGGCTGAGAACAGGACATGTCCTATTCCATATCAGATGGAATCGCTGGCTGAGGATGGTTGTAAGGAAATTGTGAAAGGCGTGGGGAAATGCTTGTAAAACAATGCCACTTTTTTATTTGGAAGAGGTGCTACATTTATTAATTTTTGCTCCCTGAGGTAGGTCATAATGTTGTTGCCATTCATTTGTCCCCTCCACTGTAGGGAGATTATTCCTCCTTGTCATGTGTCCTCAGCTGTTCCTGCCTGGGGCAGATGCTCCCCAGCTCACCCACTGAAAGGAGCAGCAAGGAGACTGTCTCTGCTCAGAATCTCAAGTGCAGGAGGCTGTGCACCAGCACCGGCAGCAACTTCAGATAAGATTTCAGTTTCTCTTGGCCCCTGTGTTCCTCCAGATGGTGACTGCTCCTTGCCCAGCCCGGCTGTGGGATGGGAAGGTACAGGGAACAAAGTGTAGCTGTCACAAAGCCCTCACATAAACTGAACGAAAGGTCAATCTTTGTTACCCTAAGCGCCTGGGGTTTTGAGATTGTTTATTACTGCAGCAAAAGTTCACTGATACACTCAGCACTGGGTTCCTGGCACTGCAAGAGTTTGGTGTATCATAGAAACTCGATGAACAACTATTAAAAGATCAAACAGGCCGGGCGTGGTGGCTCATGCCTGTAATCCCAGCACTTTGGGAGGCCAAGGCGGGCGGATCACGAGGTCAGGAGATAGAGACCATCCTGACTAACACAGTGAAACCCCATCTCTACTAAAAATACAAAAAATTATCCAGGCATGGTGGCGGGTGCCTATAGTCCCAGCTGCTCAGGAAGCTAAGGCAGGAGAATCACTTGAACCTGGGAGGTGGAGGTTGCAGTGAGCCGAGGTTGTGCCATTGCTGGGCAACAAGTGTAAAACTCCGTCTCAAAAAGAAAAAAAAAAAAGATCAAATAAAGAAATAATCTCAGAGAAAGTACTGTAAGAAACTATACCGAATATTATCTGTGGTTATTTCTTTTTTTTCTTGGTGCTTTTCTGGTATTTTCAGACGGACAGCTACAGCTGTACCATGTGACTTTAGCAATGACAAACAAATAAATGTTAAAGGTTTTGTTTTTTTTTTTAAATAAGGATAACAAAAGCAATGTATTGTATTGGACACCTGCTATAAAACTTTCCCAAGGCCAGGCTCGGTGGCTCACGCCTGTAATCCCAAAACTTTGGGAGGCCGAGGTGGGCAGATCACCTGAGGTCAGGAGTTCGAGACCAGCCTGGCCAACATGGTGAAACCCCCATCTCTACTAAAAATACAAAAATTATCCAGGCATGGTGGCGGATGCCTGTAGTCCCAGCTACTTGGGTGGCTGAGGCATGAGAATTACTTGAGCCCAGGAGGCAGAGGTTGAGATCGTGCCACTGCACTCTAGCCTGGGGAATAGAACGAAACTCAGTCTCAAAAAAAACTTTCCCAAGACCCAAGAGAGGCTGTGAGAAATCTTTTAATTATTATTGTCTTAGAAAGGTATGGCCAGGCACAGTGGCTCACACCTGTAATCCCAGCACTTTGGGAGGCCGAGGCAGGTGAATCACTTTGAGGCCAGCCTGGCCAACATGGAGAAACCCATCTCTACTAAAAATTTAAAATTTAAAAAAAAAATGTGAGGTGGCACATGTCTATAATCTCAGCTACTCAGGAGGCTGAGAGAAGAGAATCACTTGAACCTGGGAGGCAGAGGCTGCAGTGAGCCAAAACTATGCCACTGCACTCCAGCCTGAGAGACAGAGTGAGACTCTGTCTCAAAGAAAAAAAAAAAGTATAAACAGGTATAAAAGATAAAGCCTCTCTCACACCCCTTACCTGATTCCCCACCACACATCCACTTACAGACAACCCCATCTCTCATTTCTGGAGTTTACACACAAACAAGAGTGCAGGTGCTTAATTTTCCTCGTTTGTTCACACCGGAAGAGCGTGCGGAAGCCGCCGCTCAGTACTTCCTTCTCAGCCTAACACTATGCTTCAGAGATCTTCTACACAGTCTACATGAGGGGTCCTTGTTCTTTTTGACAGCTGTGTAGCATTCCCCCTGGCCAGAGGGATCATGGTTTATGTAACCAGCCCATTCTGCTTTTGCAAATAAGGCTGCAATGAGCCTGTGACTTGCTCATGTCATGCCCCTCTGTAGGATGAATTCCTAGAAGTGAAGTTACTGGGTCAAAAAGTTTATGCATTTGTAATTTTGATAGCTTTTGTCAGATTGCACTCAAGAGAGACTGTACCAATTCACACTCCCTGCAGCTGAGGCAGGGGAGTGTCCATTCTGCAGCCTCTCCTATGGAGAGTGTTAATTGACTTTGAGATTAGGAGAAGACCAGTAATTTCCATGTCTCTTGTTACAAGGGAGGCTCAGCAGTCTTCCCACGGGTCAGGGGCCATTCTTTTTTTTATTTTATTTTATTTTTTTTGAGATGGAGTCTCACTCTCGTCGCCCAGGCTGGAGCACAGTGGTGCTATCTTGGCTCACTGCAACCTCCGCCTCCTGGGTTCAAGTGATCCTCCTGCCCCAGCCTCCCAAGTAGCTGGGATTACAGGCAACCACCACCAAGCCTGGCTAATTTTCTGTATTTTTAGTAGAGACAGGGTTTCACCATGTTGGTCAGGCTGGTCTTGAACTCCTGACCTCAGGTGATCCACCCGCCTCAGCTTCCCAAAGTGCTGGGATTACAGGAGTGAGCCACCGCAACTGGCCGGGTCAGGGGTCATTCTTATTGCTTTTCTGCCAACTGCCCACACCGGGGCTGGCGTCTTCCTGCCCCACCGTAAGGGCCCAGGGCTCCAACATGAGTCCTGAGTGTGGGGACACCTGAATGATGGCATGGCTGTCAGGACAAGGCCTCCCAGCCTCCAAATGTCTGGCCGTGGGAAGGGGAGAGCCTCAGCCGCAACACGAGCCTGCTCTCAGCTCATGTGTGGCATGGTGTGGACATGGCACCTTCCCATAGCCAAGACAGCTAGGCTCCCTGCCCACCACTGAGCTCAAACCTGGGCTCCGCCATCTCCGTAACTGGAAAGCAGAAACAACACCGGCACCTCCTCCTGGGGATGTAGGGAAGAGTCAGTGTCCGGTGGCTCCCGGCGGCGGAAATTTGTCCCATCATCGCGGCTTACCAAGGGGAAGGTGAGCCTCTGTGGTGTAAAAGGCTTGTCCCAGCCCTGGCCATTCCACGACTCAGTTGGGCCCATTTCCCTGTCTCCACTGCCCTATCACCAGAGTGTCCAGGGAGAAGCTGGATGGCAGGGCAGGGCACCGAGGACCCCAGGAGCCCAGCCGTGGACTTTGGATCTATCTCCCTCCCTGCTCCCGACACCCTTGTCCTCAGTACTCAATTGTGGGTTCTGCCTCCTCAATCAGATCCCAACTAAAAAGTCACCTCTGCAGAGAGAAGAGGTTCCTGCAGGGCTCTCTGGTGACCTTCATCTGTGCTTGCAGCCCTGCCTGAATCACCCTCCAATTTTATTTTATTTTTATTTTTATTTATTTATTTATTTATTTATTTATTTATTTATTTGACACAGAGTCTCGCTCTGTCACCAGGCTGGAGTGCAGTGGTGCAATCTCGGCTCACTGCAAGCTCCATCTCCTGGGTTCAAGCCATTCTCCTGCCTCTGCCTCCCAAGTAGCTGGGACTACAGGCACCCACCACTGTGCCCAGCTAGTTTTTTGTATTTTTAGTGGGGATGGGGTTTCACCATGTTAGCCAGGATGGTCTCGATCTCCTTACCTCGTGATCTGCCCGCCTCGGCCTCCCAAAGTGCTGGGATTACAGGTGTGTGCCACCACGCCTGGCCCATCGCCCTTCAATTAAAGTGTCACCATCTCCCTTGCCAGCAGGTCTTAGCATGAGAACTGTGTCCAGCTGACCCTGGGCGCCTCCCCAGTCCTCAGCAGAGCCTGAGCCGCTGGAGGTGAATCATGATGGGATTTCAATGAGCAAGGCCTCCACTAGGCTCTGAAGGCAACCCCTGAGCCCAAGACGAGTGCTGGGGCTGTGGCCACTGGAAGTGTGACCCCGGGGGCCTGATGGCCTCCATTCAAGTCCTACCCAAGGCCACCCCAGGCCACACCTGCCTGAGGAAGAGATGCTCTAGTCTGGGGGCACTGCCACAACCTCACCTCCTGGGCCTCAGTTTCCTGTCTACAAATGGTGTCATGGCACTGCTGGTCCCACAAGGCCACTGAGGGGGCAGAGTGGATATCTGCAGGGCTTGGAGCTGGTGGCCCAGGCTGTATCAGCTACTGTAGTTCTATGCACCCAAGACCCCAAACTCCTGAGTCCACCCTTCCTAAACCCTGGACAGTGAGGGATGCTGGGACCGGGTTGGCATATTACCACTGCCCAAGGTCCCTGTCCTCACTGTGCCACATGAGGGGAGGCTGCTGGAATGACTTGGCACTTAGTTCATACCTGGGTTCCTGCCAGTCACAACCCCATCTCACAGGTCACCAGGCAACCTCCCGAGAGGCCCAACTCCAGGCAGGGATCAGCAGAAACCCCCAGGCCTGCCCATGCCCCTCCTCATGGCCCTCAGGCCTGCCAGCAGCTCACTGAAAGGGACACAGCTTTGGATGGTTCTGCAGCAGGGCCACTTGTAACACAACATTAATTTGTCATTCTGTTGAATATGTTAATTTACTCAGAGATATTGTTTGTAACTTTGGAATTGTTTTGAAAATGTGCATAAGTTGTACATGACACAAAAAGTCAGGATGGTCAGGTCTAACCTCCAGTGGATGCAGGAAGCCCCTCCCAAGTCCCTGACAGGTGTCTGCCCAGAGGTGCCTTACTGCATTCACATCTGTCATGTCACTGCCCTGGGACAGTGAATAGCCCTGCCTCTGCCTGCACCGCCCGGCCCCTCAGCTCTGCCTCGCTGGACACACTGCCGACCACCAGATCGGCCATTACATTCCAGCCCAGAGAAAGAATCATGGGGTGAATGAATGAGAACATGAATTAGAAAGGTCAAAAGTTCTGGAAATTGGGCAGAAATGCGTAACAACATCCTGGAGGTTGCCAAGAGGCCAGCATTGCAGGGAAATGCCCAACCATCCGCTACAAAATTCTCAAGCTGAACAGCACAGTTTACCGAGATATAATTCACATAGCATAAGTTTCATCCTTTTAAAGTATATAATTCAGTGTGATTTAGTATACTCACAAAGTTGTGCGACCATCACCACTAAGTCCATAAGATTTTCATCACCTCTAAAAACCCTGTACTCATTAGCAGTCACTTCCCATCATCCCCTCACCAGCCCCTGGCAACCACTAATCTACTGCCTGTCTATAGACTTGCCAATTTGGCACATCTCATATAAATGGAATCATACAGTATGTGGCCTTCAGTGTCTGGCTTCTTTCGTCTGAGCTGCTTCCAAGTCATCTGTGTTTAGCCTGCATCAGCACTTCATTGCTTCTTGTAGCTGAATAATATTCCACTGAATGGATAAATCACATTTTGTTCATCCATTCACCAGCTGGTAGACATTTCAGTTGTCTCCACTTTTTGGTGATTGCGAACAGTGCTGCAATAAACACTCATCTACTGTGTTTTTGTACATGTCTAAGTGGAATTACTGGGTCAAAAGGTAATTCTTTTTTTTTTTTTGAGATGGAATCTCACTCTGTCACCCAGGCTGGAGTGTGCAGTGGCATGATCTCGGCTCACTGCAACCTCCACCTCCCGGGTTCAAGCGATTCTCCTGCCTCAGCCTCCCGGGTAGCTGGGATTACAGGCGTGCACCACCACCACACCTGGCTAATTTTTGTATTTTTAGTAGAGACGGGTTTCACCATGTTGCCTAGGCTGGTCTCGAACTCCTGACCTCAGGTGATCCACCTACCTCGGCCTCCCAAAGTGCTGAGATTATAGGTGTGAGCCACCGTGCCCAGCCGTCAAAAGATCATTCTATGTTTAACCTTTTGAGAAACCTCCAAAATGGTTTTCCACTGTGGCAGCACCATTTTACATTCCCACCAGCAATGTGTGAGGTTCCAGCTTCTGCAGGTCCTCGCCAACACTTGCCCTCTGCCTGTTGGTTTTGGTTTTAATGCCGGCACACTGGAGGATGTCACCTGCCCTATGCCTGTTTTTTTGTTTTGTTTTGTTTTAGACAGAGTCTCGCTCTGTTGTCCAGGCTGCAGTACAGTGTCACAATCTCAGCTCACTGCAACCTCCGCCTCCCAGGTTCAAGCGATTCTCCCGCCTCAGCCTCCTGAGTAGCTGGGACTACAGGCACCTGCCACCACACTCGGCTAATTTTTGTATTCTTAATAGAGACGGGGTTTCACCATATTGGCCAGGTTGGTATTGAACTCCTGACCTTGTGATCTGCCGACCTTGTGATCTGCCCGCCTTGGCCTCCCAAAGTGCTGGGATTACAGGCATGAGCCAACGCACCCGGCCTGCCTGTTGGTTTTAATGTCGGCATACTGGAGGGTGTGGGCAGTATTGTGCTGTGGCTTTGGTATGCTTTTCTTAGGTGACTGATGATGTCAAGCAGCTTCCTCATATTCGTTCTCCATTTGTATCTCTCCTTTGGAGAAATGTCTATTCAGATTATTTGCCCAGTTGTGAGTTGGGTTGTTTGTCTTTCTGTTGTTGAGTTTTAAGAGTTCTTTATGGGCTGGACACAGTGGTTTACGCCTGTTATCCCAGCACTCTGGGAGGCCGAGGCGGGTGGATCACCTGAGGTCAGAAGTTCGAGACCAGCCTGGCCAACATGGTGAAACCCCGTCTCCAATAAAAATATGAAAAAAATTGGCCAGGCATGGTGGCGGGCGCCTGTAATCCCAGCTACTCGTGAGGCTGGGGCAGGAGAATCGCTTGAACTCAGGAGACAGAGGTTGCAGTGAGGCGAGATCGCGCCACTGCAATCCAGCCTGGGCAACAGGAGCGAAACTCCGTCTCAAAAAAAAAAAAGAGTTCTTTATATTCTGGATACTGGTCACCTATCAGATATAAGATCCTTGCAAATATTTTTTCCCATTCTGTGGGTTGTCTTCTCAAAAGTTTTTAATTTTGATGAAATCCAGTTGATCTATTTTTTTTTCTTTGGCTGCTTGTGCCATCAATCTTTTGGCCAGACCGCCACACTCTGGCCGAGGCCCTGCCCCTCCCCTCTGGGCCCCTGGTCACCTCCTTTCCCCTCCCACACCAGGCCTGCTCTCAGAGCCCAGGTGCGCTGCGGCCCCTGCTGGCGGCTGTAGGCATCGCCAACCCTGTCGTCCCAGTCCTGGGACGCGCCTGCTGCCCTCCCTCCCTGTCCGCGCGGGCTGGTTATCAAGGCTGACTGGCTTAATGAGGGGCTCTGAGAACATGGGAGTTAGAAATGATAAACTTGACAGACCAGCATCTGTGCTCAAGGCTACTGTCATTTTCCCAGGAAGGGAAGGAAAGGAAAACATTTCCCCTTCCCTGGTCCAGGTCCAGCACTAGACCACAGCCATTCCTCATTTCATGCTACCCCCACCCTGTGAGGTCAAGATTCTCATCCCCATTCAACAGAAAAAACCAAGGCTCAGGGAAATGTAGTGAGTGCTCAAAGTTCTAGGGTTACTAAACTCTAGAACAGGGACTGACTGACTGACTCACTCATTCATTCAACAAACATTTGTGAGGATGTGCCTCATACAGACCCCCTGCTGAGCCCAGGCACGTGGCAATAAAGAGAAACAGAGACCATGTTCTGGCGAGCTCACAGTCTTGGGAGACAGACAGCAAATAAGAGCCATAGGGGAAGTTCGGCGCGGTCGCTCACGCCTGTAATCCCAGCACTTTGGGAGGCTGAGACGGGTGGATCACTTGAGGTCAGGAGTTCGAGACTAGCCTGGGCAACAGGGTGAAACCCCATCTCTACTAAAAATACAAAAATTAGCCAGGTGTAGTAGTGCATGCCTCTAATCCCAGCTGCTTGGGAAGCTGAAGCAGGAGAATCGCTTGAACCCGGGAGGTGGAGGTTGCAGTGAGCCGAGATGGCGCCACTGTACTCTAGCCTGGGTCACAGAGTGAGACCCAGAGGTCACAGAGTGAGACCTATCTCAAATAAAATAAAATAGCCATAGGGAAGTCCAGGCAGGACCCCCAGGAGCCAGGAGCCAGGTTCTGGAGTTTAGAGTCGGGGATCTGTTGGGGGAGTATGGGAGAAGGAATGTCACTCTCCTGGAGCCCACAGCCCCATGCTGACGTCTGACTGTAAGGACTGGAAGCTTCGTGGTCCTGCTCCTGCTGCAAGCAGAACCTATTGCCCAAGATGCCCCCCGACCCTCCAGGGGCCTGCCTAGTGGTTCTGTTACCAAACAGAAGAGTCACAGACAGAAGCAAAGTGCGGGACTGAGAGAAGGCCCCTACCCTTGTCCATCCGTGTGGATAGACAGCCTATGTTTGTGTTTGCTTCACACATCTACAAAAAGACATTCTGGAAGGAAACAGAAGACCTAAATACATAAATAACCATGGCTGCCTGGGTGGGGCAGTGGGGACAGGCATGGCTGGGAGGCCTTTTGAAAATGTAAACAGTTAAACATCAGTATTCAAAATTTAAAAATAGAAAGCGGCCAGGTGTGGTGGCTCACACCTGTAATCCCAGCACTTTGGGAGGCCAAGGAGGGCAGATCACCTGAGATCAGCAGTTCGAGAGCAGCCTGGACAACATGGTGAAACCCCATCTCTACTACAAATACAAAAATTAGCCAGGCATGGTGGTGCACACCTGTAGTCCCAGCTACTCGGGAGGCTGAGGCAGAAGAATTGCTTGAACCCGGGAGTCAGAGGCTGCCGTGAGCCAAGATCACGCCACTGAACTCCAGCCTGGGTGACAGAGCAAAACTCTGTCTCGAAAAAAATAAATAAATAAATAGGAATGATGAAAATGTTCTAAAATTGTGGTGATAGATGTACCACTCTGTGAATATACTAGAAAGTACTGAATCATACACTTTAAACGGGTGCATTGTATGGTATGTGAATTATATCTTACTAAAGCTGTTTAAAAAGGAAGTGGGGGCCAGCTGCAGTGGCTCACGCTTGTAATCCCAGCACTTTGGGAGGCCGAGGCAGGTGGATCACTTGAGCCAGGAGTTTGAGACCAGCCTGGCCAACATGGGGAAACCCCGTATCTACTAAACATACAAAAATTAGCCAGGCGTGGTGATGTGTGCCTATAGTCCCAGCTACTTGGGAGGCTGAAGTAGGAGGATCCCTTGAGCCCAGGAGGTTGAGGCTGCAGTAAGCCATGATCACACCACTGCACTCCAGCCTGGGTGGAAAAAGTGAGACCCTGTCTCAAAAAATATAAATAAATAAATAAATAGGAAGGGGAAGGCCGGGCATGGTGGCTCACACCTGTGATCCCAGCACTTTGGGAGGCCAAGAGGGGGCGGATCACCTGGGGGCGGATCACCTGAGGTCAGGAGTTCGAGACCAGCCTGACCAACATGGTGAAACCCAGTCTGTACTAAAAATACAAAATTAGCCAGGCGTGGTGGCGGGCGCCTGTAGTCCCAGCTACTCAGGAGGCTGAGGCACGAGAATCTGTTGAACCCAGGAGGTGGAGATTGCAGTGAGCTGAGATCCTGCCACTGCACTATACCCTGGGCAGCAAAGTGAAACTCCATCTCAAAAAATAAAATAAAATAAAAATAAATAAATAAACGAATAGAAAGGGGAAAACTAACAGTGCTGAAAGTTGTTCACTGAAATGTGAGAGTGGTGCAGATGGGGGCCAGGGAGACCTACAGATAGATGTATCAGCCTGATTTCGCACAACCCGGGGATGGTCAGCAGGCATCAGAGCCCCCAGCAGGCTTGCTAAAATATAGACTCCTGGCCTCACCCTCAGACCTTCTAAATCAGTGGGGTGGAAGAGGCCAGGGCCTGAGAATCTGCATTTCCAACACGTTTCCAAGGATGCTGGCACTGTGGTCCTGGGATCCTCTTTGAGGGCTGCTGGCCTAGATGGCCTTTGGTAGCACTGGGCACCTTGGGGATAGGAGAGGGAAGGAAAGGTTAACCATACACCATTTTGAATTTCATACTGTGTGATTAGTCTATAACAAAAATATATAAATAAGGTTTAAACGTTTAAATATTACTAGAACTTATAGAAATTAGGTGTGTGTAGCTGAGATGGCTAAGTGTCCTCCGCTATTCATTCTCTTTTTCTTCCTTAGGCATAGAAACCCTGAACTTTAGTTGAGAACATGGTTGCCTGGAGTAGAAACTACATCTCCCAGCTTCCGTTGTAGCTAGGTATGGCCACTTGGTGAAGTTCTGGCCACGACACATGAGTGAAAGTGTCCAGAAAGCTCTGAGAAGTGTCTTGGAGGGTCAGAGCGCACCTTTCTTCCTCCCTTCCTCCTTCCTGCTGGCTGGGATGCAAGCTTGATGACTGGAACTCAAGCAGCTATCTTAGGTCATGAGGTGGAGGCTACACGTGGAGAAAGCCAGGGCAGGAAGCTGGGAGGAAATGGGTGTCTGAGAATGTGGAGCTGCCACCGCAGCCATGTACAGCATGCCTCCAGACATCATTTGTGTAGTAAAGAAATGACTGTCTTGTTTAAGCAACTGGTACTTTGCCGTTTGTGTCACTCATAGCGACACTTAGCCCTGAGTGACAAAGCATATAGAGCCCCTGGCGCAGGGCCTGGCTCACGGCAGGTGCTCCAGCTGAGCATCCCCCAGTAACCCCGTACCTGCAGCAGGGAGAAGGGAACCCAGGCCTGAAGCCTAGGGACTCCCGTGAGCCTAGGAGAGAAGCTGACCCAGAGGAGGACATAAACTCCCACCAGCCCCGGCCTGCCCAGCTGTTGGTTGTAGGTCATTGGCCTTCGAAGGCCACACCACCCACGGTTTCTAGCACTTACTGTCCCACTGGCAGAGGGCATTGCCCTAAGAAGATGACATGTGTCCAGCCACATGCTTCCCTGACTGCAGATTCTACCAATTGAATTAGATTTTCCTCTGGTTGATGTTAGTGTGAGTCTTCATTTCCTGACCATCTGCTGTTTGGGTGTCAGGAAAGCCCTCTGGGTGCCAAAGGGATGGCAGCCCAGAATGGAAAAGGCTCCACAGATGCCAGTGAACAAAGAGGCTGAAGTGACGTTCTGCGGAGGCCCCACACTGGGCTGCCCCCTCTGCGCAGGCAGCGGTCCCACACACGGGGTTGGGCGCTCAGCCGCTTCCGAGCCCAGTGCCTGAGCCTTAACTTAGTCAAGAGCCCTTCTCACACTGAACACTTGTGAAAATAGGTTTATAGTCAACTAAGAGGGGAGGGGCGTGTGAGAGAAAGTGTGGAGGGGAGGCAGGGAGGCGGATAGCACAGTACCAATGCCTCTTGGGTCCCAGCATGACCAGCGCAGAAAAAGCACAGCCTCAGGCCACGCTGCACTTGTTTGCTTGTCTTCTAAATCCTAAACACCATGTGCTGGCTTTGGATGGCTCCATTGACACCCTTCCCCCATCACCTCCCGGAGCCTCACTGCCCCGTGTTAGCACTGAGCAGGCACTGGGAAGTCATCTCCTTATTGCTACCTGCCGCATTCACTGACACATTTTCTTCTATCTGCACACCCAGGTTCACAGCAGCATTATCCACAGAGCCAGGATACGGAAGCAACACAAGTGTCCAGCAACAGATGAGCAGATAAACAAAATGTGGTGTCTCCATATGATGGAATGTTATTCAGTCTCAACAAGAAGGACATTCTGGCACATGCTACACACGGATGAACCTTGAGGCCACTATGCTAAATGAAATAACTTGATCACAAAAGGACACATACTGCATGATTCCACGTATATGTGATACCCAGAGGAGTTGCATTCATAGAAACAGAGAGTCGGATGGCGGCTGCTAGGGCCTGGGGGAGGGAGGAATGGGGAGTCAGCATTGAATGGGGACAGAGTTTCAGTTTGGGATAATGAAAAAGCTCTAGAGGTCTGTTTCATAAATCTGGATATATTTACACTACTGAACTATACACTTAACATGGTTAAGGCCAGGCGCGGTGGCTCATGCCTGTAATCCTAGCACTTTGGGAGGCCAAGGCGGGTGGATCACCTGGGGTCAGGAGTTCAAGGCCAGCCTGGCCAACATAGCGAAACCCCATCTCTACTAAAAATACAAAAATTATCTCGGCGTGGTGGCACGTGCCTGTAGACCCAGCTACTCAGGAGGAGTAGCTACTCAGACAGGAGAATCGCTTTAACCCGGGAGGCAGAGGTTGCAGCGAGCCAAGATCACATCATTGCACTCCAGCCTGGGCGACAGAGCGAGACTCTGTCTCAAAAAAAAAAAAAAAAACATAGTTAAGATGGCAAAAGAAAAATCATGTCACATTGATCACAGACCTAAAGCTTCCAGAGGAAGACATAGAGGAGTATCTCTGTGGCTGTGTCATCAGGGATAGGAAACACACTGAGAAGATGTAAGAAAACTCAGGTGCTCGAGGGCCGAGCGAGGCACCAGGAAGGCCCATGTGGAAGGAGTGAGGCCTCCACAGAGAAGGTGTATTTGAGGCCCTCTAGATGTGCTTTTGTCTGCTGCTAAGTCCACGGGTTTGCCTGGCCCGGGCTAGTCTGCAGCCGCTGCTGGTGGGGTGCAGGCACTGTGGAACTGGGGCCCCGCCGGCCAGGTATGCAGCGAGTCTGGGTGTAGGCAGGCCTGGAGCATGTGGAATTCCAGATCAAGAGGGGATGGAAAGGTAGTCACCAGCCAGGGTCGAAAGGGGACGCGCATTTGGAGTACATGGCCAGCACCCCACACCATGGACCTGCCCTGCAGCTGTGGGAGTCCACAGAAGAGCCCCTTCCTCCTCCTACAGTGCCCCCAGCGCCCTCTATTGCCAAAAGGCTGGCACTGCACTCACTGGGAGGGAGAAATGTTATCCCAGAGCAGGAACTGAAGGGTGACTTGGAGCTCAGAGGTAGTGAACTGATGCAGTGACCCTAGGGGAAAAAAGAGACCTCTTGGACAGGATGCCAAAAGAAATAACCGTAAAATTTGGCCAGGTGGGCTTCAAAAATTTAAACCTTCTGCTTATCAAAAGACACTATTAAGAAAATAATAGACAAGACATAGAACTGGAAAAAATATTTACAACTATATCTGAAAAAGAACATGTATCCAGGCCCAGCACGGTGGCTCATGCCTGTAATCCCAGCACTTTGGGAGGCTGAGGGGGGTGGATCACCTGAAGTCAGGAGTTCGAGACCAGCCTGGCCAACATGGTGAAACCCGTGTCTACTAAAAATACAAAAATTAGCCGGGCGTGGTGGTGCACATCTGTAGTCCCAGCTACTCAGGAGGCTGAGGCAGGAGAATCGCTTGAACCCAGGAGACAGAGGTTACAGTGAGCCGAGATCGGATCACCGCACTCCAGCCTGGGTGACAGAGTGAGACTCCATCTCAAAAAAAAAAAAAAACCACATATCCATAATATATAAAGAACTCCTTTTAAAAGTCAATGCTAAAAAATGAATAACCTGGATTTTATTATTATTTTTTAGAGATGCAATCTTTCTCTGTTGCCCAGGCTAGAGTGCAGAGGTACAATCACAGCTCACGGCATGCAGCCTTGACCTCCTGGGCTCAAGGAATCCTCCCATCTCAGCCTCCTGAGTACCTGGGACTACAGACATGCATCACCATGCCCAGCTAATTAAAACAAAAATTTTTTTAGATGGACCTGAATTTTAAAATGAGCCAAAGACCTGAACAGACCCTTCACAAAAGAAAATATATGAAGAGCTGGCTGGGCGCAGTGAATCATGCCTGTAATCCCAGCACTTTGGGAGGCTGAGGCAGGCGGATCACGAGGTCAGGAGATCGAGACCATCCTGGCTAACATGGTGAAACCCCGTCTCTACTAAAAATACAAAAAGTTAGCCGGGCGTGGTGGCAGGCGCCTGTAGTCCCAGCTACTCAGGAGGCTGAGGCAGGAGAATGGTGTGAACCTGGGGAGGCGGAGCTTGCAGTGAGCCGAGATTGCACCACTGCACTCCAACCTGGGCAACAGAGCGAGACTCCATTTCAAAAAAAAGAAAAGAAAATATATGAAGAGCTAATGAACACGAATTTGTGTGCAATACCATTAGTCACCAGGGAACGGATAACTAAAACCTCAGTGAGTTACTACTTCAAACACATTATAATGGCTAAAATCTCAAAACCCGGAAAATATCAAGTGTTAGGACACGGAGCAAATGGAACACACAGCCACTCTGGAAAATGGTCTGTCAGTTTCTTATAAAACTAAACATACATTTACTATATAATGTGGAAATTTAATTCTGTTTACTCAGGAGAAGTACTTGTTTGAGTAAACAAGTACTTACACACCAGTGTCTTAAGGAATAGATTTATTTGTAACAACTAAAGCTGAACAACCCAAACGTCTATTCCCCAGGTACATGGATAAACACACTGGGGTGCATCCCAACAGTGGCGTGCTGGTTAGCAGGGAGAAGGACTTCAGAATTGCTGATCCAGGTAGCAATATGGATGAGCCTCAAAAACATTTTGTGGTGGGGCAAGGTGGCTCATGCCTGTAATCCCAGCACTCTGGGTAGGACTTCAGGTAGCACTGCTACCTGCAGTCAGGAGTTCGAGACCAGCCTGGCCAACATGGTGAAACTACTAAAAATACAGTCTTTACTAAAAATACAAAAATTAGCTAGGCGTCATGGTGGGCGCCTGTAATCCCAGCTACTCAGGAGGCTGAGGCAGGAGAATCGCTTGAACCTGGGATGCAGAGGTTGCGGTGAGCTGAGATCGTGCTATTGCACTCCAGCCTGGGCAACAAGAGCAAAACTCCATCTCAAAAAGAAAAAAAAGAATGAAAGAATGGATACTGGATATATCCATTCTCTGCCCCAGGGGACAGCATATTCAGTCCAGGTGACAGGTCAAGATGTGGCCAATTCAGTTCCGTATTTCCCAGCCTTCCTCAAAGATAAGGGTGGCCCTGAAACTTAAGGTGCAGTCTACCGGGGAAATTTAGGGCCTTTGCTTTTAAGAGAAAAGGGGGCCCATGTGGCTTGTGATCTCCTCCCTGTTTCTCCCTGGACTTCACACAGACATGCTGTCTGGACCTCAAGCAGCCCTATTGTGACCAGGAGGCAGCAACCCTGAGGAGAAGGCCAACAGCATCCCAGAGATGAGGCCCAACTCTGGCAGCGTGCCCAAGGATGAATTCTCTGGCCACCATCTCCCAAGGTCAGGCTGGACACCAGAGGGAGGACACACATTTGGTGATAAGTTGTGATGCTGCCTTTAAAACATTCACTCTCACCTGACCTGGAGATGAAGTACAAGCATTTCACCTACCTCCGTATCTCCACGACCAGAGGCCTCATGTTGCTTCTGGAATCCATCTTGGGAAGAATGGGTGCCTCCCTCATTCCCAAGCGGGCCAGCACATGAGCCCAGTATGGAGAGAAGGAAGAAAAATGATAATCGGAGTCCACTTTAATTGACATTTATGTTTAAAGCAAATTCACAGAAACAAGGGGAAAAAAGGAGGGAAATAAATGCTGCTATTTTCTACTATGTTTAGAATTTTTAACAGAGAAAAGAGCTTCTGACTCCTCTGTCCTACAGTCTTGTGGACACCAGGGTTAAGGGCAGACACTGTAAGCAGATCCTAGTGACAGTAATTGCTCCCTGTCTTTCACCACACCCCAAGGACAGCAATGAGTCCCAGGGAGTGAGGGCAGCTGTTAGAACCCGCTGGGGCAAGCATTGCCACCTGACCCCAAGGCCTCTGCGAGCTGGTGCCTCACCCCAGGGGTGGCCCCCACCTCAAACTCTGAGTGCAGGGATGGGTGATGGTTGTGGTTACTGGCCTTTGGTGATGATGTGTCCTATACCAAAGCCAGAACTGCCACCCTAGTTGGGGAGCTGGACACTCATGTCCAACGGCCACTGGGAGAGTGGAAAGGGGCCAATCCTGGCCAAGGATACCTGTTGCAAGGCTGCGGGAAGCAAGCCCTCATGTCACAAGGGCCCAAGCCAATCACTGCAGATGGGGGCGCACTGGTCGTGGACAGCTCTACTTGCTAGAGGGAGCTCATGGTCACCGTAGCCCTAGCAAAGTCAGCAAGAAGGTGGGCAGCGGCCTCAGGGGACAACCAGACCATGCAGGTGTGCTGGGGTCGGGGAGCAATGGGAGAGGCTCGGTCCCCATCACCCCTTTTCCTCCCTCCCTCTCCCTACTCCCTTCTTTCTCTCTCTCCACACTCTCTCTTATTTTTGTCCTCCTCTGTGAAGCTTTCCAAGAACTCTATGTTCTTCAGTCTTTTCCGTACTCAGACCCCACGGTCCTGACCCATCATGGCACAACTGTGAGGCCCCACTATTACTGCCTCACCTGCTTCATTTGCAATCCAGGACACTGAGTCAAAAGGAACCTCTGTGCTGGGCGCAGTGGCTCATGCCTGTAATCCCAGCACTTTGGGAGGCTGAGGCAGGTGGATCACCTGAGGTCAGGAGTTCAACCTCACCAACATGGTGAAACCCCGTCTCTACAAAATTAGCCGGGCGTGGTGGCGGGTGTCTGTAGTCCCAGCTACTTGGGAGGCTGAGGCAGGAGACTCACTTGAGCCCAGGAGGTGGAGGTTGCAGTGAGCCGAGATCGCACCACTGCACTCCAGCCTGGGCAACAGAGTGAGACTCATCTCAAAATAATAATAATGATAATAATGTAGGAAGTACACATGGCACTGCACCAGAGGCAAGTCCTCTGAAGAAGGGCATTTTTGTTATCTAACAAATAAACAGATGGACAGGGAAAGACCAGCAGGGCTACAAATGTGCCATGTGCCCCCTGGGGGAACTGGGAAAGGACGGCAAGGGCACAGAGGAAGCAAATCTCATCCCATCACCCAGAGGACACCACTGGTAACATTTCAATGTTTATTTCCTATGTATCTGCATTTACATCATTGCTGATTATTCAGCTCTGCAGTCTTTTCCAAGAAAGGCTGTAGAGTCAGCTTTGACGGGCTCCACTGTACTTCCTGTAATGCTTGCACATATTCTATCATATGGCGGTACCGTAATTTATCTTTTCTCTGGCATACATCTAAGTTGCCTACAACTTTTCCTTATTACATATAATGCCATGGTGAATTATGCATAAAGCTTTTATCTTATTAAAAAATATCTCCCTGGCTGGGCGCAGTGGCTCACGCCTGTAATCCCAACACTTTGGGAGGCCGAGGCAGGGGGATCACGAGGTCAGGAGATAGAGACCATCCTGGCTAACACAGTGAAACCTCATCTCTACTAAAAATACAAAAAATTAGCCAGGCGTGGTGGCGGGCGCCTGTAGTCCCAGCTACTCAAGAGGCTGAGGCAGGAGAATGGTGTGAACCTGGGAGGCGGAGCTTGCAGCAAGCCGAGATTGCACCACTGCATTCCAGCCTGGGTGACATGCAAGACTCCGTCTCAAAAAAAAAAAAAAAAAAAAAAATATATATATATATATATATATATATATCTCCCTATAATAGATTCCCAGAAGCAAAATTATTTGGGTCAAGGAATATAAATATTTTAAAGGCTGTGGATAAATCTTGCAACTTTATCATCTGGAAAAGTCAAGCCTATTCTTATTCCTACCAGCTGTATATGGAAGTGTTTATCCTGTAGCAATTGTGGAAGTTTGGATATTCTCAGATTTCAAAAAGGGAGTTTTGTTTATTCCACAGGAAGTGAAAAATCATGAATCAGTTTCAATATGCATTTCTGTACTTCTGGGAATTTTTACTTTTCAAATACATAGTAGTCACTTTCATTTCTCTTGATTCACTGTGGCAGAGGCAATACTAAACGTTTATTTAGTTATATTCTGGGGCATACAACTAAACTATGTTTCTTGGCTCCATGCTCCTGGGTGTGATAACACAGCTTTCTCACCACCTGAATGTGAGAAGAAGTGACCTGCTTCTAGGTGAAAATACTCTGCATCCCTGGGACTTGCGTGCCAAGCAGGAGAGCCCTCCTACCCACATCAGGTGTAAGTGAGTATGAAATAAACCTTATTGTATTAGCCATCAAGTGTGGTTTATTTGATACTGTAGCAGAGCCTGGCCTCTTTTGACCAAAATAGTCACCATTTAAGTTATCATTCCTGCTGTGTAATAAATTAACCTAAAACTTAGTGGTTTAAAAAACAAGAATAATTTACTATCACTAGCAATTTCTATGGGCCAAGAATTCAAGAGAGACTCAACAGGATGGTTCTCTGGGTCTCTCATGAGGCTGCAGTCAGGTGTTGGCCAGAGCTGTGGTCTCATCTGAAGGCTTGGCTGGGACAGCAGATCCACTTTCAAGGTGACTAACTCACACATGGGCAAGTTGGTATTGGCTGCTGACTGGGGGCCGAGTTCCTCCCCAAGGGATTGGTTCTCCTCAGGGCTGCTTTGTCCTTATGACATGGTGGCTGGCTTCCCCTAAAATGAGCAGTCCAGAAGGGAAAGTCTGAAGCCACAGTGTGCTTTATGACCCAGCCTTAGACGTCACACACCATCTACCTCTGCTGGAATTTACTGGCCACATGCAGTCTCCCTGATTTACTGGGAAGGGAGACTATGCTGGTTATGAATACGGAAGCAAGGATCATTGGGGGCCATCCTGAGGCTGGCAATTAATTCTTAAATCACTCAAGTATGTGTGCAGAGATTTATATACCAGGAGAGGATGGCCATTATAGTGTTGTTTTCAGAAGAAAAAAAGAAGGATGCCAGGCACAGTGGCTCACACCTGTAATCCCGGCACTTTGGGAGGCCGAGGCAGGTGGATCACCTGAAGTCAGGAGTTCGAGGCCAGCATGGTGAAACCCGTCTCTACTAAAAATACACAAATTAGCTGGGCGTGGTGGTGGGCACCTGTAATCCCAGCTACTCGGGAGGCTGAGGCAGGAGAATCGCTTGAACCCAGGAGGTGGAGGTTGCAGTGAGCCGCGATGGTGCCATTGCACTCCAGCCTGGGTGACAAGAGGGAAAATCCATCTTAGTAAATAACTAAATAAATAAATAAATAAAGGAAAAGATAAATGTCCATCAGGTTGAATAAATCATGATATGACCACAAAATAGAATTGCAAGCAGTCACATGTTGCAGAAGAATTTTTATGACATAAAAAGATGTAGTCATACATATAACTGAGTGGCAAAACAATATGTAGAGTGATTCTGATTGGTAAAGAGTGTCTTTATTTAAAAAAGCATAGGAAAAGTGTGAAAGGGTATATACCTGGGATATTTTGGTCATCAATCAGCAAGTGGCAAGTGTCCACACCCCTCACCTCCCACTGTGGGTGAGGGACCCTTTCCCACAACGTTGGACTTGCTTTGGTCAATGGAAAGTGGAGAGCAGTATTCATGGTCAGTTCTGAGACTATGCCATCAGTTGTCTTGCATGCTCCACTTGCCTCTCTGGCAGCTTCTGACTTTCCATATGGGAGGAACATTTCCTGAGAACCAGGTGGGCCCAGGAGAATGAGAGACACACAGAGCAAGGCCACAGTTGGGACCAAGTCCACCAAGATCAGCCAAATGCCAACCAACCCACAGGTGCAAGAGCAAGACATAAATACTCACCCTTGGCTGCCTCTGAGGTTCACGGTTGCTGTTACTGAGGATACAATATCAAAACATGGACAGTTTTTATTTCTGGGCAACAGAATTATTTTTTTTCTTACCTTTGTTTTCTAAACTTTTTACAATGAACTTACTTTTTAAAATAAGAAAAATGTTATTTGGCTGGGCATGGTGGCTCATGTCTGTAATCCCAGCACTTTGGGAGGCCGAGGCAGGTGGATCACTTGAGGTCAGATGTTCAAGACCAGCCTGGCCAACATGATGAAACCCCATCTCTATTAAAAATACAAAAAGTTAGCTGGGCTTGGAGGCGGGTGCCTGTAATCCCAGCTATTCAGGAGGCTGAGGCAGGAGAATCACTTGAACCCGGGAGGCGGAGGTTGCAGTGAGCTGAGATTGTGCCACTGCACTCCAGCCTGGGCAATAAGAGTGAAACTATCTCTCAAAAAAAAATTATTTAAGCCTACATGTATGTAAAGCAAGCTTTTGGGAAGTTTAAAAAGAAAACCTTGCCCACAAACTCACCTTATGTCTCTGTTCTGCTCCTCACCCAGATGTATGGTAATCTAATGATAATTCCAGTATGCATACTTGGATAGTCCATCTTTTCTCTAAAGATACATTGTAAACACTCTTCCATGTTGGTACACATCCTCCATGACTAACATTTACAGTGTGTAGTGTGTATTAGTCAGTTTTCATGCTGCTATAAAGACATACTGGAGACTGGGCAATTTACAAAAGAAAGAGATTTAACCGACTCACAGTTCCATGTGGCTGGGGAGGCCTCACAATCATGATGGAAGGCGAAAGGCACGTCTCACATGGTGGCAGACATGAGAAGAATGACAGCGAAGAGACAGGGGTTTCCCCATATTAAACCATCAGATCTCATGATCCTTATTCACTACCACGAGAACAGTATGGGGGAAACCGCCCCCATGATTCATTTATCTCCCACTGGGTCCCTCCCACAACACAAGGGAATTATGGGAGCTACAATTCAAGATGAGATTTGGGTGGGGACACAGCCAAACCATATCACAGTGACTGACGGAACATTCCACCAAGTGAATTTCAGAACATAGCATGCTTGTGTTTTTCCCACTGTTGGAAATTTCAGTTGTTTCTGACTTGTCATGCTTAACAATCAGGGGGCAATGGATATCTTCATGCATGTGCTTCTCCACCTTTCTTTGGGTTTCCCAAACATAAAGTCACACACTTGAGACTACATGAGAGGAAATGAATATTTGAATCACTCTTGGCATATATTTTAAAATTTGCCACCCAGAAGAATCAGCCACTGCCCCTCTCCACCAGCTGTATTTACAGGTGCTGGCCTGAGGCAGACAATGCAGATAACCCAGCTGTGTTCCGCAGGAAATGAGCTCTGATTTTATTCTGAGGGACACTGTACCTAGCCTACCTTGTAAATAGTGGTAGCAATGAAATGTAAGAAGAATTAATTGAGTGGGTCATCTGGAAAGCTCCATAAGAGGGGACAACTGGAAATGAGCCCTGCTGTGCTCCCAACATCTGCTTCCTGCTGTGATGGTTGGCTAGCCAGCAGCCCTCATGGACCATGAGGCTACTTTGAGGATGGAATTTATACACTTTGCAAAGCAGAAAAGAAAGATCCCCAGTAACATTATGGGGGCCAAGCATGGTGGCTCACGCCTGTAATCCCAGCACTTTGGGTGGCCAAGGAGGGCAAATCACTTGAGGTCAGGAGTTCGAGACCAGCCTCACCCACAGGGTGAAACCCCGTCTACTAAAAATACAAAAATTAGCCAGGCATGGTAGTGGGCACCTGTAATCCCAGCTACTCAGGAGGCTGAAGCAAGAGAATTGCTTGAACCCAGGAGGCAGAGGTTGCAGTGAGCCGAGATTGCCCCACTGCACTCCAGCCTGGGAGACAGAGCAAGACTCTGTCTCAAAACACAAAAACAGAAACAAAAGAAACAGGCCACACGGCTGGGCATGGTGGCTCACGCCTGTAATCCCAGCACTTTGGGAGGTCGAGGCGGGTGGATCATGAGGTCAGGGGATCGAGACCATTCTGGCTAATACGGTGAAACCCCGTTCTCTACTAAAAAATACAAAAAATTAGCTGGGTGTGGTGGCGGGCACCTGTAGTCCCAGCTACTCAGGAGGCTGAGGCAGGAGAATGGTGTGAACCCGGAAGGCGGAGCTTACAGTGAGCCAAGATCACACCACTGCACTCCAGACTGGGCGACAGAGTGAGACTCCGTCTCAAAAAAAAAAAAAAAAAAAGAAACAGGCCAGGCACGGTGGCTCAGGCCTGTAATCCCAGCACTATGGGAGGCCAAGGTGGCTGGATCACTTGAGGTCAGGAGGTCGAGACCAACCTGGCCAACATGATGGAAACCTGTCTTTACTAAAAATACAAAAAAAAAAAAAATAGCTGGGTGGGGCAGCAGGCACCTGTAATCCCAACTACCTGGGAGGCTGAGAAAGGAGAATCACTTGAACCCGGGGGCAGAGGTTGCAGTGAGCTGAGATTGCACCATTGCACTCCAGCCTGAGTGAAACTCCATCTCAAAAAAAAAAAAATTACGGGGGTACCATGCTGGCCTTAGATTGCCTATATCCAGGCTTTTTTCATGTGAGAGAAAAACACATCCTAATTAGTGAAGCCTTTGAATCTTCAATCTCTGTACTGGCAACGAGACTGCTTTTTACCTCTCCAAAACCTTACTATCATTGGTTTTTAGTATATTACAATGATAGAAATTATTTATAGGTATCAAAAGGGGCTTAATTCTTTTGCAATCTGGATATTTTGAGAGTCATTATAGGCAGAAGAAATAACACAAGCAAAGTTGTACAAGCTGGGAAAGACAGGCATTTTCAGGGACACATCAGTTACTTCCTGGAGTGTCTGCCTGTCTGCTCTCGCCTTACTAAGAGAAAGAAGGTGAAGTCATATTGTGGAGACCCTTGCTGCCAGGTGAGACATGAATTCCATTCCCATCATGGAGAACCATGGAGGCAGGGTGTCACAGTGGAGACAATCTATGTTTCCATCTCCCTCCCTCTCTCTCTCTCATTTCTTCCATCCCTCCTTCTGTCTGTCTCCATCTGTCTCCCTTCTTCCTTCTCCCTGCAAGTCTTCCCCTTTCCCCTCCCTGCCTCTCTCCCTCCAGTTGCAGCAGGAGCGTTCTCAGGGAATGCCCTGTCTGGGACAGAACAACTCACAGGGGAACATGGACGGGTCGCACAGCTTGGAGAAGGAGTTGGAAAGCCGACACCCTCCACAGCAGGCGAGCCCAGCCCTGCTGGCACTCTGTGAAAGGCTATTTCTGTGTTTCCTGTGTTCAGACCAAGACATGCCATCCCTGCCTGATAAATGCCCCTTTGTGCTGGAAGGGTTCTCATAAACCCATGAGATGCTCTCAGCCAGACCCAACTGCACGTGGCCCTGAGCTCTGCCCGGCAACAGTACTGCTGGGGCCGGGACCCCTGCCAGCCTAGACGCCATCAGAGCCAGAGACAGGAAATGTGGCATTCTGGGGAGCCGCCCCGGAGGCTATGTGGCTTCTACACAGCACAGGCAACATCCACAGGTGGGACAGGCAGCCATGCCACAGTGAGGCCCCAGGTCACATGCAGAGGCCTGGCTCATGGCCAGACCTGCCTTAAATGTGGAGCTGGGAACTGAGGGGTCTGGCGACTCTGCTCCTTGGGATCCACTTCCTGAGCAGCAGTGGCCACAGGACGAGTCCCTGTGGTTGTTTGGCCCCACCCACCCCATGTCCGGCCATGAGGACACACCTCACATCCTACCTGATCTGTGTGTGTGTGTGTGTCTGTGTGTGTGTGTGTGTGTGTGTAGACAGAGTCTCGCTCTGTCGCCCAGGCTGGAGTGCAGTGGTGCGATCTCAGCTCACTGCAACCTCTGCCTCCTGGGTTCAAGCTATTCTCCTGCCTCAGCCTCCTGAATACCTGGGATTATAGGCGCCTGCCACCACGCCCAGCTAATTTTTGTATTTTTAGTAGAGACGGGGTTTCACCATGTTGGTCAGCTGGTCTTGAACTCCTGACCTTAGGTGATCCACTCTCCTTGACCTCCCAAAGTGCTGGGATTATAGGCGTGAGCCACCGCGCCCAGCCCCTACCTGCTCTTGACAGGAACCAGGGGGTCCCAGGGGCGGTCCCCTGCACAGTGCCACTTCCCTGGCAGCACCCCCACCCTCAGAACTCCACGTCCACCTTCCTTGGACTGGCATATTTCAACTTCCAAATTTTTCCTATAGGCTTCAGTTAAAAGGAAGGAATAGAACCAGAGGTTCGCCACCAAAGCAAGACTCCAGGGAAATTTGGAAGGAGAAGCAGCTGTGGAAACCAGCGTTTTCAGACCGTGAGGCACAGGTGGCCTTCAGATGAGGCCGACAGTGGCCGGGGCAAAGAGCAGAGGACAGAGAGCGAAGGGCATGCCCCCCTGCTTGCCGTCTGCAGTCGCATTCTCTGCAAATAAGGTCGTCTGGGACCCCTGCTTTTCAAGGTTATTGTCCCAGATGATGTATCTTTTTTTTTTTTTCTTTGAGACAGGGTCTCACTCTGTCACCCAGGCTGGAGTGCAGTGGCAAAATTTCCACCCGCTGCAACCTCCAACCCCTGGTTCAGGCAATTCTCGTGCCTCAGCCTCCCGAGTAGCTGGGATTACAGGCATGCACCACCACGCTAGCTAATTTTTGTATTTTCAGTAGACATGGGGTGTTGTCATGTTGGCCAGGCTGGTCTCGAACTCCTGACCTCAAGTGATCCGCCTGCCTTGGCCTCCCAAAGTGCTGGGATTACAGGTGTGAGCCACCACACCTGGCCCCTGATGACATATCCTTGACCAAAATGAAGGCGACACTCGCTTACCTGCTGGCCTGAATGTGCTCACCAACCCTCTACTTGACCCAGTGAGGACATCCCCAGCCTGAACACAATGATCCCAACCAGCATGAAAACATGTGGGCTGACTCTCTCGGGCTTGGGACGGAGTCCTCTTTAGGCCTCGTCCCTTCACGGATTTATGCAAGGAAAATAACTAAAAATGGTATGTTTATAGTATGTTTGTTTCCAACATGCCACACTGATGACTCCTGACTTTTCCACAGTGGAGGGACACCTGCCTCATGCTGAGGGACAGTGGGAGGGCTTGTGGGAGGCACTGGGCCCCAGACTTACAGGGGGCAGCTTCTCAGAAGCAGGCTCTCCCCTACCTGTGCCCCTGCGTCAATCCTCAGCTTGGCCCACATCCCTGCCTCAGAACTTGCAGGGACAGCTGTGCCCGGTGGCTTGGAGTAGGGTTCCTGGGCCAGCAGCATCAGCCCCTCTGGGCTGGTCCCAGTGAGCTGTGTTCTCACAGAGTTCTGATGCATGTCCAAGTTTGAAAACCGCAGGCCCAACCAGAAACAGGACCAGACAACTCCCTCTAGGCCGGGAGTGATGGTGTTCTACTGGTGTGAGCTCATGCTCAGAAGTCGCAGGCTGACCCCTGTCCCCTCCCTGCCACAGGACAGGGAGGGAGTGGGGACAGGAGGCTTCCACAGCCTGAGCCTGAAGCCCCCACCCCACTGCAGGCTCTTGTGACATTCACAGAGGTCTCCCCCAAGGAAGCTACGGGTAGCCTTGGGCCTGAGGTGGGCTGAGATTCCCTAGGCAGGACAGGAAAGGGCTTTGGCTTGGCTGCGAGGTAGCTCCTGGCACCCAGCCACAGTAGGCAGAGGGTGCAGTGTGGACTCAGGCAATCTGGGTTTGAATCTCAGCTCTCAGAGCCCCAGTTTCCCCGTCTGTAGAAAGGACACAACAACACCATAATGAGATCATGCACACCCCACCTGGGCTACAGTGTGCTCAGCAGTGACTGCTGTTGAAATCCAACCAATAGTCCCATAGACAGTCTTTCTTTTCTTTTCTATACATATATATTTTTTTTTCTTGAGATGGAGTCTTCCTCTGTCATCCAGGCTGGAGTGCAATGGTGAGTTCTTGGCCCACTGCAACCTCTGCCTCCCAGGTTCAAACAATTTTACTGCCTCAGCCTCCCAAGTAGCTGGGACTACCAGCGCCCGCCACCACGCCCAGCTAATTTTTTTTTTTTTTTTTTTTTTTGAGATGGAGTTTCACTCTCGTTGCCCAGGCTGGAGTGCAATGGCACAATCTCAGCTCACTGCAACCTCAACCTCCAGGTTCAAGCGATTCTCCTACCCCAGCCTCCTGAGTAGCTGGGATTACAGACATGCACCAACACGCCCGGCTAATTTTGTATTTTTAGTAGAGATGGGTTTTACCATGTTGGTCAGGCTGGTCTCAAATTCCTGACCTCAGGTAATCTGCCCGCCTTGGCTTCCTAAAGTGCTGAGATTACAGGCATGAGCCACCACACCCTGACCTATTTTAATTTTTTTAGTAGAGATGGGGTTTCACCGTGTTCTCCAGGCTGGTCTCGAACTCCTGACCTCAAGTGATCCACCTGCCTCGGCCTCCCAAAGTGCTGGGATTACAGGTGTGAGCCACTGCCCCCACCTTCTTTTTATTTTTTTGAATAAATCACCGCAACCAGACAATGAGATGGCTGACCCCTGATTCACCATGACCCTTTCTTGCCCCTCTCTAGTTCCTGTTTTCTTACACATTGTTACTTTTTTTCCCTGCTCTATAAACCCCTAGTTCTAGTCAGTCAGGGAGATGGACTTGAGACTGAGCTCCGGTCTCCTCAGCTGCAGCACCTGATTAAAGCTTCTTCCTTGGCAATGCTTGTCTCAGTGACTAGCTTTGTATGCGGTGAGAAGCAGGACCTAGACAGAACTCTGGTGTTTTGGTAACAATTCCATACTCAGCCTCTCAGTGGTGGTGGTGTCACCACGTTTTCAAAAAAAAAATTTTTTTTGAGATGGAGTCTCACTCTGTTGCCCAGGCTGGCGTGTAGTGGCACGATCTTGCCTCACTGCAACCTCTGCCTCCCGGGTTCAGGCGATTATCCTGCCTCAGCCTCCCAAGTAGCTGGAATTACAGGCACCAGCCACTATGCCTAGCTAGTTTTTGTATTTTTAGTAGAGACAGGGTTTCGCCATGTTGGCCAGGCTGGTCTCCAACTCCTGACCTCAAGTGATTCGCCTACCTCGGCCTCCCAAAGTGCTGGGATTACAGGCATGAGCCACCGTGCCCGGCCCTCAAATTTTTTAGGAAAACAGCCATAACTCATAGCTCTGGACACCCCAACAGCCTGGGATGGGTGGGAAAATGTCTTCGAGGCTGTCAGGTGCTAACAGAGGGAAACAGCTCCCGTTCAGCCCTCTGAACTTCCTGGGTTCCATCGAGGGGGCTGAGGGTGGGAAGGGGAAGCCTGTGGGCCCCAGTGGACCTAGTGAGGAGGCATGTTTGTGCAGAGAGGATGCCTTCAGGGGCATCTGGGGGTTTCTTGGAGGAGGTGCCCCAGACTTGGAGAAGGAGGACTTTGGTCCCGGGCAGAGGAGGCAGGAGAGACAGGGCCTGCTGGCTGGGTGCACAAGCCCCACCACCATCTGATGCAAGCTCACACTGGCCCGTTAATGGCTGTGCACTGAGCCCTGGGCCAGGTACTGAGCTTTGAGACCCAGTTGACTAAGGAGATGTTACCTAATTGTAGCCCCAGGGTTGGGCCTTCAGCCCAGCTGGCTCCCTGGATGGGCCAAGGCCAGCAGATGAGGCTGCGCTGGGAGCTCGGCCTGGGATCTTGGGAGAGGAAGGGGGAGGCACCCAGGCTGAATCTGACTCGCAGGTGGATGTCTGTTCGCCAAACCACAGACCACCTGCCCCGCCAGAGGCCCATCCTTGCTCCCACCCTCTCTGGCCCCATGGCTTTGTGGCCTGAGTCAGCGGTTGATGTCAGGACCAAGAATAAGAAGCCTGGGTGGCCCCTGTCATTAGTGGTTTGCTGGGCATGGGCTAGGCCGAGCAGGCTGGACAGAAGGACGCCTGGGAACTGCGTCTGGAGGCTGGCAAAGAGAACGTGGCCAGGCCATGCCCCGGGCAACCACCTGGGTGGTGGGCAGACAGTCAGCAGCACCTGGGGGCTTTGAGGTAGATTTCCCTCCCTCTGGGTCCACCGCCACTGAGATGCTGGCCTTTTGGGGAGAAGGGCAGACAACACTCACACAAACACTGGCACTGACCCAGTGCAGACACGTGGTCTGCACTCAGGTGACGATGGGAAGGAGCCAGTCATGTGGCTATCTGGTGCAGGATATTCAGGTGGAGGAAATGGGGAGGACAAAGACCCTGAGGTAGAGAAAAGTCGACAGAACAAAAGAAGGGGATGGCCAGCATGGAGTGGGTGAGGGGAGGGCAAGGAGTGGGGCGATGTGGGGGCTCAGGTATGCAGGGGCCAGGAGTGAGGATGGTCACGGGGAGTCTTCAGGGAGATTTAAGCTGTTCAGTGACATAATCTAACTCACTTTTCCAAAGTAGAATTGACATCAGCTCTATTAGAAAAAAACTAAATTGGCCGGGCGCGGTGGCTCACGCCTGTAATCCTAGTACTTTGGGAGGCCAAGGCGGGCGGATCACAAGGTCAGAAGATCAAGACCATCCTGGCTAACATGGTGAAACCCCGTCTCTACTAAAAATACAAAAAATTAGCTGGGCGAGGTGGTGGGCACCTGTAGTCCCAGCTACTTGGGAGGCTGAGGCAGGAGAATGGCGTGAACCCAGGAGGCGGAGCTTGCAGTGAGCCGAGATCACGCCACTGCACTCCAGCCTGGGCGACAGAGTGAGACTCTGTCTCAAAAAAAAAAAAAAAAGTAAAAAACTAAATTATAGCAGCCTCTGAACAGGATAGTTGTTTTTTTGTTTGTTTGTTTGTTTTTCCTTACTCACACCTAAGAAGTCTGGAGGTGGGCAGCCCAGGGAGGCCTGTGCTGCAGGCATTGTGGATGCAGGTTGCTTCTGTCTTCAGCTCCACTATTTGAGGCTCCCATGGCCAAGGTCTCCTCACGGTCCAATACGGCTGTTGGAGCTCCAGCCATTACATCCACTTTCCAGCCAGCAAGATAGAGGAAGTAATAAAGAATGGCACACCCCTTCTGTTTAGGGTTCCTTCCCTGATGTTGCACACAACATTTTCATTGCCAGAATGTAGCCATAAGGGTACCTCTAGCTGCAGGGGAGAGAGAAATGCAGCTCTGATTCTGGGAAGCCACTGGTGCAGCTCAAAGTCAGCAGCCTGTGACTGAGCAGGAAGAAGAGAACAGATAGTGGGGGATGACTACTCTCTCTGCCACTTTGCTGTGGCAGCTGGGGACAAGAGCTTTGCTAGGCACAGATGTCCATAAATGCAAAGTGGCATCAGCCCCAGCCTGGCCCCTGGGAGCCCCAGTGGGAGAGACGGATGCACAAACAGGAAGGAACAGAGCAGTGTGTCAGGGTGCAGCAGAGGAAGCAGGGGCCAGCCTCCTGCTCCTGCCTGTTCTCTGCCCGCAGTGCAGCTGGACCCCTCCACATCCGCTGGCCTGGCCTCGCTTGCTCTGTAGACGATGGCATCCCACTCCCGAATGCAGATGGCCATAATCCACTTAGCCACTCCCTTGTGGTGGACGTCCACTTTGTTTCTGTTGTTCTGTGGCCTTCTAGGGCCAGCTGTGCCTCGCTGTGCAGCCTGGACACATTGCTTCTCTGTGGTGGACAGCATGAGAGGCTCTCATACCTGCGTGGTGCTCATCTCCCATCACCTCGCCCCTTATCATCCTTGACCTGGCTGTGCCTCCCCTCCCACTGAGCCCTGCCTGGTGACCTTGGCAAGTCCCTCGGCTCTCTGAGCCTCTGCCATCCCATCTTTAGTGTGGGGATGATGGCATGGCACCTCCTCACAGGCCTGGGCTTCCTTCCTCTGTCCTTCTGGAAATGGGGTGGCCACGCTACACACCCGCCTCCCTTACCTCCCTGCTCTGTACACTGACCCAGTGAGAGCTGTGGTCCCTGGGGACCGCCTGATAGAAATGCAGACTCCTGGGCCCACCCTGATGCCAGGTAACAGCTCCTTCAGGTGGGTGGGGAATGGATGGGCCACGCCTGGTGCTGGCAATACCACAGGCTTCCAGGGAGTTGCCATTGCCCTGGGCCGACTGCCAGCCCCGTCCTCCTCCCGCTCATGTTAGCAAGAGCATGTGCAGGCGGGCAGGTGGGCATGCAGAGCTGGGTCACCTCGGGCATGCTGCGCCACCTTGCCAGACTCGCTTTCTCCCTTGGTGATGTGGAAACGGCATACCTGCCTGCAAGCCTCTCCGAGGTGGAGGAGGCCAGGGACTGGCTGCTTCTGAAGGCTTTCTGTAGGTGAAAACATGGTCCATCTGACCCATGGACCTTTCAACAGCTTGGTGCTTTCACCGCATGTTCCCCCAGGTCTGAGAGACACAACTGTACTCCCCATAGTACGCGGTGGGGGTCGCTTAGACCGTGCTTAGTCCCAGCTCCTAGGACAGTGGGTGAGTAGAAGGTCCAAGCCTCCGGTGTGCCTGTTCTCTGCCCCACTGGGGTCTCATTCTTGGTCAGCGGGATGGAGCCACCTGCTTGAGGTGGCACTGTGAGGAGCACGCTGGGGTGACACCTCCATGGTCCTCACATGCCATCTTGCCTTATACCCACTTTACATATGAGGAAGCACATCCCAAGCCAGAAGGGGCAGATCTGAACTCAACACAACGCCAGCCCCAGAAGAATCCACTAGAGTCTTTGATGGGGGAGAGGGATGCACCAAGCCTCCCTGGGCACCAGAGAGGCATCCTGAGATACCCTGTGGGCTCCTCCACAGAGGCCTGGGGCCCTCGTACATATACAGTGTTTGTGTGTGCACACCCACCCACACATAGGGCTGCTCTGCTGGGGCATCTGCCAGCCCGTTCCTCCCAGCCACACCCCTCCTCTGTGTCTCTCCTGGGGACATGTCCCTCAGCTCAGGGTCAGCGTCTAGAAACTGGTCTTGGACAGCTCATGCACTCATGGTCTCCAGGAGAACTTGAAAGTAGGTGGTTGGGCCCGGTGCAGTGGCTCACGCCTGTAATCCTTTCACTTTGGGAGGCTGAGGTAGGCAGATCACAAGGTCAGGAGATCGAGACCATCCTGGCTAACATGGTGAAACCCCGTCTCTACTAAAAATACAAAAAATTAGCCAGGCGTGGTGGCGGGCGCCTGTAGTCCCAGCTACTCGAGAGCCTGAGGCAGGAGAATCGCTTGAACCTGGGAGGCGGAGCTTGCAGTGAGCCAAAATCGCGCCACTGCACTCCAGCCTGAGCAATAGAACGAGACTCCATCTCAAAAAAAAGAAAAAAAAAAGGTAGATGGAGGTGACACGGGGTACACTGTGCCTTTAAGACTTGTCCTGGGTTGGATCCAGCAGAGAACAGTTGGGTAAACAGCATTGAGCACAGTGGGGAAAACAGACACTACATACTCAAATGAGGATGACGGAGCAGACGAGGGAACTCCAGCGCTGCAGCCTGCCTGAGCCCTGACACCCACACGTCCTGCCAGCAGCCCCAGGAGCTGAGGAAACTGAGGCTGGGAGAGGGTCTCAGACGGCCAGCACAGAGCAGGTTTACAAACCCCGAGGCTGATGTCCCAACTGTCACTGGTGCTGCGACCCTCCCGGCTTCCTCTTAGAAGGTGGGAATGGGGCCAGGCGCAGTGGCTCATGCCTGTAATCCTAGCACTTTAGGAGGCTGAGGCGGGCAGATCACCTGAGGTCAGGAGGTGATCTGGCCAACATGGTGAAATTCTGTCTCTACCAAAAATACAAAAATTAGCCGGGCGTGGTGGCGCACACCTGTAGTCCCAGCTACTCAGGAGGCTGAGGCAGGAGAACGGTGTGAACCCGGGAGGTGGAGCTTGCAGTGAGCCAAGATCGCACCACTACACTCTAGCATGGGCGACAGAGCAAGACTCCATCTCAAAAAAAAAAAAAAAAAAGGATGGGAATGATGAACCACACTGCAGGAGCTCCCACATGGCACAAAGGAAAGAATACTCTCAGGACGGGGTCTCCACCTGCCAAGCCCTCCTACTTCGGGGCCTCTCTACACGCCCTTGGCCTTCCAAGGTCTCAGGGCTCCCCTGCAGCTCCCAGGGCCCTTTCTGGGTGTGACGTATTTTCTCTGTGGTCCCACACCTCCTGCCCCTCCAGGAATTGAGCCCTCGTGGGCAGGCACTATCCCCCAGAATAGGGATTTGTCCCATACTGTGAGAGAGTTTTTTGTGTGAATGGTGCTGGATTTCCAGCTGCTGGTGAACACTCAGGTGTGCCAACAGTGCCCTGATTATGCGAGGACAACAGCAACCATCCCCGTCGTGGGCCACCGTGCCAGACCCTGTCCTGCAGATCCCCTCTGAGGCAGAGCTGGGGCAGTGACAGCCTGAGCCTCAGTTTCTCTGCTGTGAAGTGGGCCCACGACAGCTCCTCCTTCATGGGATGACCCCGTTTGGAGGATCAGGGCAAGCGCAATCCTGCTGCCCTGCCCATGCCCACTCACTCCTACCTCCTGTCCCGGTGGCAGCCTGACTGGACAGAGCCTGGGGTCTGAGCTGGCCTTCCTTCCACTGCCCTTCTGGAAATAGAGTGGCCATACTGCCGCAAGCTGACTATGCTGTGGTCAGGATGAACTCCCCTGGCCTCCCAGGGTGGCCGCCACATGCTCTCGACCCCCAGGCCCCCAGATGGGCAAAGTGCTGAGGAATGAACATATGGAGAAACAGAGACCAAACAACCACTTCAATCATACAACAGGTGGGGGCCCGCCTAGCATCTGGCCAGGGCTCTGGGCACTGTGCTGCCCCCAGCCCACCCCCTGCCACAGGTGGCACAGATGGGCCCATGAGTCAGCGCACGTTCATCCCCTTTGTGCCTCCCCCAGCCCCTCCAGCAGTCTGTGCCCTCATAACCCCCATTTCCCAGGCAGGAAAACCTAAGGTCAGGGAGTGGGAAGCCCTGTGTCAGCGTGGCCCGCAATCAGGGGAACCCCGGACTCTCTGACGCTGTTACTAGGGGCGCAGCAGGCGCTGTGCTGGAGCGATCTGCGGTTCCCAGGGCGAACCCCGCCTGGGAAAAACCCAGCGTGGGCGCCAGCGGCAACGCCCGCTCGCTTTCATGCAGTTTGCCTGGTGGCCAGGGAAAGGTCGTTCTTGGCCTCATTTTGTGGATTAAAAGTGTCCGCGACGGAGGTTCAGAGCAAGACGCAGCGCAGGGTCCTCTGGGGCCATCGGCGTCGCGCCCCCTCCCTTGTGGGGCCCCGCGGGACCGTCTCAGGCCCGAGGGGTTGGGGTCGCCCCAAACTGCGCGCTCTCAGCGTACAGCCTCCAGGCCCCGGGCCCGCCCCGGGTGGAGGCGGAGTCTGGGGCAGCAGCTCGCCGCCGGGCGGGCCGGGGGCGGGCCGGGGGCGGGCGCGCAGCTGGAGCCTGCGGCTGAGGCTCGGGCGCGCTCAGGCCCGGATCCTGGCGGCCTGGGCGGCCGCACCATGGACTCGGGAACCGAGGAGTACGAGCTCAACGGCGGCCTGCCTCCGGGCACACCCGGCTCCCCGGACGCCTCGGTAAGACCTTCCCCCCACCGCTGCATGATCTTGCCAGGCCCTGTCCTTTCGGGGCGCCGCGGCTCCCCGGGCACCTGTGTGCGCCGCGTCCGCACTGCAGAGTGTTGGGGGACGTCCCGCTCTAGGCCAAGTCCTTCCCGCCCCATCAGGGTCAGAACGATGCCCCCGGGAGCTCCAGCCACCCCCGGCAAGTGGGCGGGACGAGGGGGCGTGGGGGCGCAGGGCGGGCTGGCGTCCCCAGCCCCACTAAGCAGCGCCCGCGCTTGGCTGCACGGCGGAGGGGGCCTCGGCGCAGCTCCTCGGGCTAAGGACTGCCGGCGCCCGGCTTTCCCGACCTCCCCCCCACTCTCGCGCGGGCCTCTCTAACTTCAGCCTCGCCGTGCCGGCTCCTCCGCGCACTTTGCCCGGAGGCGGGCGGAGGGGAGTCACAGCCTCCGGGCTCCAGACCAGCTGCATGCAGACAGTTACGTCACCCCACGCTGACCACACAATCTGATGCGTGCCTTGATGGGGGAACTTGGGGCCCGCTGTGGTCCCTATTCCACTCACCTGCCTTGAGAAATAGAAACGTCACACAGCCTTCAGTGTATGCCGCCACCGGCCCTCCAGAACTTGCCCTGCCCGGCCTGGGAGGGCTGTGGGCAGGGGGCAGGCCCTGGTAGTGGTCCCGCTTCAGAATTCTTCATCCCAGGACTCAGCACTTACTGAGCACCTTGTGTTTGTTGCAAGGTCCTGGCATGGCCCTCTGGTGACTTGTTTACTTTGAACATTCTTTCCTTTTCTAACCCCCTCAGGGATGGGGGCAGGGAACAGCAGCCTGTTGGGTTTTTCCAGGCCTCTCCATGGCGTGGACCAGACTGGGGCAAAGACACTCTGCCCACTCGCTGGTGAACAGTCCTAGGCCGGTGCTGTGGGGACAGGACATGTTCGGGGAGGCGGGGCCCCATGAGCCACGGGATAGGATGGCCCTGGGGCTGCATGGACACTTGTTCCTAGGTTAGAGAGGAGCTGTCGCACTGCAGGACTTGACCGGTGTGCGGGACCCCAGCGACCTGGCCCTGCCCCAGTGTGTGAGCACTTTGGAGCAATAGGCAGGGGGCTCCTCCGGCTGTGTGTCCTTGGGAAGTTGCCACACCTCGCTGGGCCTTTTAGACATGGTCTTATAAAGAGAGAACAAAGGGTCTCTCCTGCCTTCAGGGAAGTGGGGAAAGCAAGTCAGGTAATAAACAGGTCAGTGGCTTGGAAGCGCCTTGGAAAGGAAGGGATACTGCTCCTCCCCCAACCCTGACCTTGCCCGGGCAATGCCCTCCACTCAGAGCAGTCTCTGCTCACTTCTGCGGGCGGCAGGATAGGCTGTGCCTCCTGAGATGGGTGCATCTCAAGCCCAGAGGAGATTGGGTTGGATTTGTTCCCGGATCACTGTCTTGGCTCTGGGCACCAGAGGGAGAGAGACACAGCCCCGCCCCACCAAGCCGCGGTTGGAGAGCAGCCCAGCCCAGACAGGGCAGGAGAGGCCAGGGCAAAGCAGGGGGTTCCCTGGGGGCTGGGAGCCCATCGTGGGGGGCGGGGCATGGTGGTCAGGGAAGGCTTTCTGTGGAGGTGGGGACATTGGCTCTGAGCCCTGGAGGGCAGGGAAGGTGGGTGAGCAGATCTGGCTCTCTGAGATGTGTGGAAGGGCATCTAGGCAGAGGGAACAGTGGGAGCAAAGGCTCAGAGGCTGGACCACAGAGCACATGAGGGCCAGGTAGGAGGTGGGGGGATGGGAAGCCAGGCCGATGGGAGGGGCCTTGCAGGCCTGATCACGGTCTGGTGTCCAGGGAGCTGTGGAAAGGCTATGAGCCAGTGTGAGGATGAGCACATTTCCCCTTGAGGGGTAGAAAACTTCGAGGGCCGCTCTGCTCACCCAGCCTGGGGGCCCAGGACCACCCAACACACCTGTTCCTCTTCCCAACCTCAAGACCTTGCTTCTCCGTTTCTTGGGCACATCATGTCAGCACTCTGTGCCTCAGTTTCTCATCTGTGAAATGGGTGTGGTCGCGGTGCCTGCCATAGAGAGTGGTGAGGACTCAGTAGCTGATGTATATGAAGTGCTTAGAGCCAGGCCAGCACTCAGCGCCCTCATCCTTCTGCCTGCCACGGAGACCCTCTCCCACTGGTGACCCCTGGCAGTGGTTTGGAGAGGGCAGCGCTTTGCCCAGCTCCCTCAGTTTCCTTTTCTGTAAAATGGAGAGTCTCAGTTTCCTTTTCTGTAAAATGGGGCACAACTGCTCACCTCCCAGGGTGGACAAGGCTCAGGGAGGAGCCACACGTGGAACTCCAACCTGGGTGGGCTCTGTTGGGCCACGGCCGTGGGAAGCTCTCAGGTCTCCCCTACCCCGTGTGCCCTGCGCCCCTGTGGCCCTTCATGTGAGGGCCCCCATCAGTGTCCAGGGATTGAGTCAGCTCACTTGTGGCTGTCAGCAGAAGGAATAGTAAACAACAATGTTAATGTGAAAATGGCCTGAATCTGTTATCCCCAGGGTGTCTCAAGGCAGGGAGGTGGTGGGGATGGGGTTAGGACACGGCCATCTGGTGCCAGCCACACCTTCCTGCCCCTCACAGCCCGCAGGTTGAAGGTTCCTGGGGCCACATCTGGGCCGAGAGGCATGGTCCTTGGAGGTAGGTAGCTGTGCCCTGTATACCTGCCGTCTGGGCCGTGCATGGCCTCAGCTGCCCAGGAGGAGGTTTGCTCGTTTCCTCATTTCCGCTTTCCTGGCAGATCCTGAGGCCGGCAGGGTCTGGGCCAAGTTCTAAAAGGCAACCCTAACATGGTCTCAGGGCCACTCGTGGCCAGTGCTGAGTCCGCGGGAAGTGGGTCTGCCTGGCCCAGCTGTGGTGGGAACCCCGCCTTCCAGCACTTCCTGCTGTCTTGCTGGGGTTTCCTGCCAGGAACACAGACATGGAGCTGGGAGACCCTCTCAGGGCCTGCTTCCTGGGCTGGCCGGTAGGAGACGGTGCAGGGCTCCAGTGCCAGGCCCTGCCTGTCTGTGTGGCATCTGGGGAATGGGCACAGCAGCTCATGCCCACACTGGTGGGTCAGACAAGGGATGCCGGAAGCCCCAGGCAGGTCCTAGCATATGGTGGGGTAGAAGAGGGGTGCCTGATTTTCAGGTCGCCCCACCATCTGCCAATGCCTGCTGAGTCCAAGGGTTAGGGCCAGTGAGCAGGACAGGCTGCGAGCAGCCAAGGTGTAGACTGGGACCCCCCAGGCACCCAGGGCAGGCACCTCGTCCCTGTTGTCCCCCTGGGTCCTGCTCAGCACAGGAGAACCTGTGCCCCAGGCTGTCCTTTCTTTGCTGTGTGACTGTTTTGTGAGCCTGTTCAGCTGCTTTTGAGTCAGTGGAGTTGGTCGGGGAGGCAGAGTCTTTCAAAACAGTGAGAGCCAGGCATCAAGGAAAACAGCCCTGCCACCCACTGCCATGCGCTCCACCAGCCACGGGGCATCTGAGACCACCCCATTCAGTCCCCTCCACATCCTTGTCTACCCATTTTACAAATGAGGAAACTGAGGCATAGAGTGGTCAGTGTTGAGGCAGGACTCGGGGGGTAAAGGAGGTGCTGTGGCAGCTTCCAGCCCTACTCCTCACAGGCCCCTGGAAAGGGCGACTGATATGCATCACCACATTTGTGGGCCCACAGCCCCGACCCTGTCTCCTCCCATCCAAGCCCTGGGTGAGCCAGAACACCCATTATGCTATGGCCAGAGCCAGGCCGGTGGATGCAGCAAGCCTGGTTCATATCCCACTTCTGTGCCAGCCCCTCCTGCCTGAGCTGAGGATGCTCACTGAAGTGGCCCTAGGACCGACCGTGTGGCCCAGCCCCAACATGTGCAGCCTGCAGTGGGGAGGCCGACCGTCCACAGAAGGTTGCATGAGGAGCCAGCCACGCCCCTACACAGAGCTGACCTCCTCACCAAGCCTCCCTCCTAGCTTTCAGAGGAAATATATCTGGCCTGGCCCCAGGCCCCGAGTGCTGCTGAGGTTCTGGGAATCTATTAACCAGGGTGTTTATTCCCTGCCCTGCCCAAGCCATGGGCACTGGTCTCAGCAGGGCTTAGCTCCTGGCAGCTCCTGCTGGCTGGTCAGGACCACAGGGCTCCCTCACCTGTGGTAGCTGGGTCCCCCGGCCACCCTCAGGCCCATCCCAAGATAGAGGCAAGTGCCCAGGACTGGGGGAGAGTGGGATCGTCCTCCCTGGGACCCTCCTGTGTGGTGGTCAGCTCAGGGCTCCAAGGCCCAGAGTACCAAGGTTAGGGACAGGGAAGCAGACTGTCCCTGCTGCCCTCCCCTCCACATGATGCTCCCAATGTGGCCTGCTGCCTGGGGTGGTTGCCAGCTATGCTGTATCCTGGGGCAGCCCTATGCTTTGGGACACACAGTCCTGGGAGATGGCTCTGGGAAAACCTCCTCTGAGCTGCAATCTGCTGGTCTGTAGAATGGGAGAGGAACACAGCCTCTCCCTTGGTAAGCAGGAGTTTCCCAGGTGCAACCCTAGATATACGGAGGGGGAGACTGAGGCCAACGGAGGGGGAGCTTGCGTCAGGGCCACGGGCTGGGCTGTGGTGAGCCAGGGCTTGACCTGCATGCAGAAGCTTCCCTAGCTGCAGGTTGGACAGGAAGCAGATGGCCGGATGGGCTGGAAGTGCCCTTCACCAGCAGGGGTGCATGGTCAGGGCATTTGCTGGCCACTCGGGGCTCAGAGGCCATCCTGGGGCATCTGCTCCACAGCCTCGTGGTACACATGGAAGACTGAGGCACAAAGTGGGGCTAGTTGTCCGGACACAGCTGGAGCCTGAAGCAGGGAGCCATTGAGAGTTCAGCCCCTAAGGGACAATGGCATCAGCTACCAGAGCTTCTGAGCCCCGGGGCCTGGGTTCAAATCCTAGCCAAGCCCTCACTTGCTATGTGGCTTTGGGTAAGGAACCGCCTTTGCTGGGCTTCAGTTTACCCACCTTAAGTGGGCATGAGGACAGCAGGGGCACAGGCTCCTCGTGGCTGGGGGTGCTGAGAGCTGAGGCTTGGGGAGCTGGAGGCTCTGCGCGGATGGTGCTTTTTAATGGATCTGAGTGTTCCTCGTGACTGCATGGCTGTGAAATATTTAAATGGTTCTGCAGAGCTCAGAAAAAAAGGGAATTCTTCCTCCTGCCCAGAGGCCAACACAGTTAGCCTGGGCTTGTGTGTCTGTTTATGTACGTGTGCATATGTATGTATGTGCATGTGTATTTGTGTGTGCGTATTGTGTGCACATGTGTGTCTCACGTCTATGTGTGTCTTTCTGGGGGATGTGTGTTTCTGTGCTTTTGTGACTAGGAACACGCACATATATGTGTAGATGCCCCCAGAAGGTGGAAATCCTCACGGGGTCTGCACTTGGCCTTCTCCCAGCACCAAGTCCTGGGATGGAGACCCGAATGAGCATAAGGGTGGCCTTGAAGGAAGGCACTTTGGCACTTGAGGTTTGTGAAACTTAGGAGCACATGCCCACTGTGGCCAGCAGCCCCTGGGACACTGCACCTTGCGGAGCACACGTGTGATGGGGTGTGGCCCACTGGGCAGCTTCGCAAGAGCAGAACTGGAGACGACCTCAGTGCCAGGCACAGGCCCTTGTGTCCGGGCTGTCCTCACCCAGACCCTGGGCAGCCTGGGAGGAAGCCCCTAAGTGGACAGTGGTGGGACAGGGACACACAGTCCTGGGAGGTGGCTCTGGGCAAACCTCCTCCAAGCTGCAATCTGCTGGTCTGTAGAATGGGAGAGGAACACAGCCTCTCACTTGGTGAGTGCCCTGGCTGTGCTGGGGCCTGGGGGAATCCCAGGGAGTGCAGCGTCAGGCCCAGGGTGGGAGAGGCAAAGTAGACACCCCATAGAGGCTTCGGGGTATGCATGGAGTGACCCGAGAGCACACCAGGGCCCCAGGGACAGCGCTGCTGGGTGGCCCAGGTAAAGGCGGCTGTCCCTGTGCGCACATGTGTCCACGTGAACTTGCTACTTAGAGAGCAGCTGATGCTGAAGGCAGGTTGTTGGAATTCCCAGGCCCAGGTGTAAGCAGCAGAGCCCACCAGTGTCCCCTGACGCCCACTCTCTTCCTCCTGGGCACATAATTTTAGATGAAACTGAAAAACACGCAGCATGAAAGCAAGGCCCCTGCCCTCTGCTGGTTCTGTATTGGCTGCCTCGTGTATTTTTCCAGCCTGCAGAAAGTCGAGGCCTGGATGGATACCATGTCCGCCCCTCCCTGTGGCCCTGCGGCACCCCGGCCTCCCGGCCTGCATCTTTCATGAGTCTGGAAACAGGATCTCCCAGAGAGGGCCCCAGGAGGTTGGCTGCCAGCAGTGGGTTCTCACAGCTGCCTCCAAGCAGGTGACCAGTCCTGGGAGGCTGTGGTCTAGGGCCTGGCAACTCAGGGGCGCCTGTGGACAAAGGGCCGGGCCAAGGGGCTGGCAGGTTTGTCCTGAGTGACTGAAGAGGGCCCCACCAGGGCAGCTTGAGAGGGGCAGACTCTTGCTCCAGAGAAAGAGGAAGTTTGGTACTTAGCTTGGAATGAAGGGCCAGCCCTAGAGAGGACCTTCCTGTGGCAGGAGAGAGGGCCATGTCCTGCCAGGGGAAGTCCTGGGAGGCTTCCTGGAAGCAGTGGCCTCTGTGTGGGGCCTTGGAGCTTGAGAGTGTCTGGCACCAGGGAAAGGCATTGGGGGCTTCGAGAGAACTGCAGGGGGCCCTGACCAGATAGGCCCCTAAGGCAAAGAGGATTCCATCAGAACTCGCATTCCCATTTTATTACTCTGGGAAGTAATGTGGAAGCTAAGCTCCACTGTATGTCGTATGCTGAGGCATCTGTTGAGCCTCTGCTGTGTCGGGGCCGGGCTCTGGGTGGCCCACCTCAGTGAAGTCTTGCTGCTAATGGCCGAATAGTTCTGCAAGGCCTGTGCTGAGGCCTGGAGGCGAGTGGCCTGTTGGGCCCCAAGGCTGGGAGGTTGGGAGGTGGCAGGGGCGATCTCTGCCCTTAGGTCCGGCCCAGGAGGACTTGCTTCTTGCCTGGGCCGGTGTGCACAGATCTGTCCGCCCACACGTCACTTCCTTTCCTGGCATCAGGAGCTCAGACTCTGAGGGGAGGGGGAGAGGAGGCCGGGGGCACAGACCGGTAGGGGCAGGCAGGGAGGAGCAGCCCCGCCTATGGCAGGAGTGGGAGGATCGGGCAATGCTTTCCAGTGGAAAATCAGAGTGCGTGTGCTAAGGTTGCTATGTCGTTTCCTTTCTCTCCAGGACCGTATTCCTAGGGGAGGTTTTATAAAGGCTGAGCACATGCTCGCAGCCTCTCCTTAGGGTAATAAGCACTTCTGTCTGAGCACTTACCAGGGGTGGGGGCAAGGGAAGCCCTCACCTGCAGGGCCCGGTGACCCCCAGAGCCCGACTCAGGCACAGCCCTTGCCCCCCTCCCCCACCCGCCTTGCTGACCATTCCCCTCCCTGCAGCCGGCCCGCTGGGGCTGGAGGCACGGGCCCATCAACGTGAACCATTACGCCAGCAAGAAGAGCGCAGCCGAGAGCATGCTGGACATCGCGCTGCTGATGGCCAACGCGTCCCAGCTGAAGGCCGTCGTGGAACAGGGCCCCAGCTTCGCCTTCTATGTGCCCCTGGTGGTCCTCATCTCCATCTCCCTTGTGCTGCAGATCGGCGTGGGGGTGCTGCTCATCTTCCTTGGTAGGTCCCCAGGTGGGGGCAGCCAGGCCACCTGCTCACCTTGCTGGCATCTGCTCGCATCGCCTGGGACAGGTGCCCACCACCTTGCACACTTGGCTCTCAAGGAGCTGCCGAGTTCCTGGCCCTCATCACCCAGACATGCAGTCCAGGAAGTGGCACCCCCCCTCCCCCCACCCTGCACTTTGGTTTTTGTTTTGTTTTGTTTTGTTTTTTGAAACAAGGTCCCCCTCTGTCACCCAGGCTGGAATGCAGTGGCGCAGTCTCGGCTCACTGCAAGCTGCATCTCCTGGGCTCAAGCGATCCTCCCACCTCAGCCCCCAAAGTAACTGGGATTACAGGCGCTCATCACCATGCCCGGCTAATTTTTGTATTTTTTGTAGAGATGAGGTTACGCCATGTTGCCCAGTCGAATTTTTGAGCTCAAGTGATCCAACAGCCTCAGTCTCCCAAAATACTGGGATTACAGGCATGAGTCACCACGCTCAGCCTTGTTTTGTTTTGTTTTGTTTTGTTTTTGAAACCGGGTCTTGCTGTGTCTTGATCACAGCTCACTGCAGTCTCAACCTCCCAGGCTCAAGCGAGCCTTCTGCCTCAGCCTCCCAGGTAGGCTGGACCACAGCTATATGCCATCATGCCAGCTAATTTTTTTATTTTTGGTAGACACGGGGTCTTGCTATGCTGCCCAGGCTGGTCTCAAACTCCTGGGCTCACGTGATCCTCCTGTCTCGGCCTCCCAAAGTGCTGGGATTACAGGTATGAACCACTGTGCCTGGCCCCACCCTGCACTTTGAAAGAGCACAGAGTGGGGTCAGGGCCTGGCCTGTGGGCATTAGGGCAGGTGTTTCACCGGGTTCTTGTTGACCCATGCCATGAGATGGCCTCAGTCATGCCAGTCCTACCTTCTGGGCCCAGGGTCCCCTTCATGGCTGCGTAACCTTGGGCAAGTGGCTGAACCTCCCGGGCCTCACTTATAAAACAGGCATCATAATAGAACTGCAGCTTGTGGCAGGAATCACTAGATTAAGGCACGCAAAGGGCTCAGTGCATTTGCCCAAACCTGGCCTTTGGTTGACGTCCATAGCTTCAATTCGTATAAGGAAAATATGGGGGCTACAGAAGGTGGGGTCATAGACCGTGGGGTTGCCCAAGCCAGGGGCGCTGTTGTCCATGTTTCAGCAAAACAGATGTATTTTTCTCTGGGCGACAAAACTCATCCTAAATGCGACTGAGAGCCCTGTAATGTCCCAGGACAGCTTGACCGCTGGGGTGGGTCCCCTTCCACTGTCCCAGGCTGGGGCGCTGCGTCTGGGCTGCCCTTGGCACCATCCACTCCTCTCTCGCCCACAGTCAAGTACGACCTTAACAACCCGGCCAAGCACGCCAAGCTGGACTTCCTCAACAACCTGGCCACGGGCCTGGTGTTCATCATCGTGGTAGTCAACATCTTCATCACGGCCTTCGGGGTCCAGAAGCCCTTGATGGACATGGCACCCCAGCAGTAGGACACCCAGGTGAGCTGGGAGATGGGGCGCGAGGCCTGCAGTCCTGGGGTTGCTCGCTGTTGGAGGCTCTTGCAGTGTGGTGAGTCCCTGGCCGGCCAGCCTTGGACACCTTCCTAGGCCATGGGCATCCTCGTCCACACCTACAAGGCCAATGCCTGGCCACTGCCTTGAGGCCAGCCCTGCCACTGGTGCTGGCCACCTGGGGTCCTGTGGTCACAGTGTTTAGATGGAATGTGTGTAGGAGCCACCATTTGAACATCCTGGAGAACTCACTTAAACGTAAGATTTCTATACATTCAGAATGTCTGTCCGATAAAAAAAAAAAGATTTCTGGGTCAGGCGCGGTGGCTCATGCCGGTAATCCCAGCACTTTGGGAGGCTGAGGCGGGCAGATCACTTGAGGTCAGGAGTTCGAGACCAGCCTCGCCAACAGGGTGAAACCCCGTCTCTACTAAAAATACAAAAAGTGGCCAGGCATGGTGGCACATCCCTGTAGTCCCAGCTACTCAGGAGGCTGAGGCAGGAGAATCGCTTGAACCCAGGAGGCAGAGGTTGCAGTGAGCTAAGATCGTACTACTGCACTCCAGCCTGAGCGACAGAGTGAGACTCTGTCTCAAAAAACACCCAAAACCCAAAGATTTCCGGCTTCTCTTGATAAGTCAGGGGCTCTGCACCCCTTATCAGCTCCACTTAGCAGGTGAAGCTTCCTCCCAGCCCTCGTCTGAGAAAAAGGGACCTTGGTATGACCGCCTGCCTGACATGCCCACCTCACTGTGCCACTCTGACCAGGACGGTGGGATTCAGGATCTTGTCACGTGGAGCCCTTGTGACTCTTCAAGTCTGCCCCTTGCCGGGCCTCGCAGAATCTGTTAGCTGCCTGCCTTAGGCTGGACCCTGGCTGTGTGCAGGATGCAGACTGAGGCTGTCTCTACAGGACGAGGCACCCAGTGTAGGAAGACTTCTCACACCACATACAGCCTCTCCCTGTGTCCTTGCTCAGAGAGGGTGAGCGTCTGCCCAGTGACACAGCCTGGGAGCAGGATCCACAGGAAGGCCTGGGATGCAGCCATGGCCAGGGCCACATGGTGCACACACTACAGTCCATGCAGCCAGGCCAGGGCCACACACCACAGTCCCCGCGACCTTAGGCCTAGGGGTCACCCCTCCGGTTTGTAGCAGAGGTGGAGGTGAGTTGCTAAGGGAGGGGTGGGCACTCCTGGCAGGTGGCCATCTCTCCACCAGTGGTGGCCCATGGCAGAGTAGACAGGAGCAGTGCTCTTGGGGCAGAGCGCCTGTGTGTCAAGGATATATAAAAATTTCCCCAGGCCAGGCACGGTGGCTCACACCTGTAATCCCAGCACTTTGGGTGGCTGAGGCAAGCGGATCACCTGAGGTCGGGAGCTTGAGACCAGCCTGACCAACATGGAGATACCGTGTCTCTGCTAAAAATACAAAATTAGCCAGGCGTGATGGCGCATGCCTGTAATCCCAGCTACTCAGGAGGGTGAGGCAGGAGAATCGCTTGAACCTGGAAGGTGGAGATTGCAGTGAACTGAGATCACGCCATTGCACTCCAGCCTGGGCAACAGTATGAGACTCCATCTCGGGAAAAAAAAAAAATTCCCCAAGAGGGCATAGTGAGGATGAGGTGGGGCGCTGGGGCCAGCAGCTGGGTTGGGAGCACCCTGCATCCACCTGGCCTCACCCCTCCCCACACGGGGGCCAACGAGTGACCGCTGCTCGTAGTGGCCCATGGCCTCTCAAGCTCCCCTACCACACCCAAGGCCATTCCCCCAGTGGGATCACGCCAGCCCCCAATGTCCCGGCCGTGGAGCCTGAAGTCACCCTCCTGAAAGGACCTGGATCTGGGCGGCCCCATGTGGGGTCCGAGTCACTGTCCAGATGCTGCCTCCAGTTTGTAGTTAAGTTGTCCTCTTCCAGAACACCTAGATGTCAGCTGCTCCCTGGCTTGGGCATGTGGCCAGGCCATTTATTAATCACCTGCTGTGTGTGCTGAATGCAGTCCCTAACTCTCCCAAGCATGAGTTATCTGCCTGCCGGGAAGAGGGTGCTGCGTCTGTGGGCCACGTGGGGACCCAGCAGTGGACCTTAAAGCTGTCCTCAGAGGCTCGGAGGCCAAAGCTGCTGTGTGTCCTGCGTGGAGCAGTCAGAGAGGTCTCAGGCTTCGTGGGTGGCTATGGTCACAGCTGCCCAACCCGAGCCCCCCATGCTGGGCCAGGCCTCTAAGTCCTGGCAGTAACCCAGCCATGCTATATTCATTCCATTTTCAGAGGGGAAACTGAGGCATGGAGTACTTTGACACCTCTCATGTCAGAATCAGGCTCTTCTCCTTCCTGAGTCCGGGTGTGCAAATGGCCCTGACACTCGGGGCTTGTCACAGCCTGGCTCAGAGCCTCTCCTCTCCCTCCTTCCAGGCTCAGAGCCTCTCCTCTCCCTCCTTCCAGGCTCAGAGCCTCTCCTCTCCCCCCTTCCCAGGCTCAGACCCTCTCCTCTTCCTCCTTCCAGGCTCAGACCCTCTCCTCTCCCTCCTTCCAGGCTCAGACCCTCTCCTCTCCCTCCTTCCAGGCTCAGACCCTCTCCTCTCCCTCCTTCCAGGCTCAGAGCCTCTCCTCTCCCTCCTTCCAGGCTCAGAGCCTCTCCTCTGTCTCCTTTCCAGGACCCTGGATGTTGCCTGCCCTGCAACTCAGCTGCCCGACCCCAGGAGTCGCCATACCTGTGAGGTGTCCACCTCCCTGCACATGGCACTACCCAGACTGCCAGAGCCCAGGCTGGCCTCATCTGCACCATGTCCCCGGACCAGCCCTTGCTCTGACTGCGGCCAAGCACCACGCAGGAGGCCACTCTTGTCTCTCAGCAGCTGTTCCCAGGAGGCAGCTCCCTCCTGGCACATGGGGGCTGGCCACAATAGCCCAGAGGGTCAGAACTGGACAGCTGCAGAGACCTGTGCCCAGAGAAGGGTCTCGACCCACTCAAGGACACACAGCAGGTCCGTGGATGGGCTGGATGAGTGACCAGGGCCAGCCTCTGTCTCAGGACATTCCAGAAGGACAAGGAGATGTCTCTCCCTCTCCCAAAGCACCAGCGTCCCTGCCTCCCGTGGGCCCTGTCCGGGTTGCCCTGGTGACCCCAGCCTCTGTCCACTTCCTAACCCAGGGACCCTGCACAGCCAGAACTGCCTTTGGCCCTACGGATGGCCACTGGCTCTGGTCTTAAGTGCCTGGGCTTGGTGGCCATCAAGAGGGAGCCAGTCAGGCCTGTGAGGGCCGTAGACCTTGTATATACCCTGCACCAGCAGTGACCGGGCAGAGCCCAACCCCCTCCACGGGGGTCCCAGCACCCACTTTTCTAATCATGAATGAACAATAAAGCCCACGCTCTTTGTCAGGCTCCACATGCCATCTCCCTGTTCCCGGGGCTGGACCGGCCTTGGCTTCCCTGTCCCCTTTCCAGCTGCCCTGCAGGGGCGTCAGAAGCACACGGTTCTGGCCAGGGCCGCCTTCTCCAGAATCTTGGCTTGGGGAGCTCTTTGGCTCCTGACATCTCCTGGGGTGAGGTTTGGAGGCACAGAGGTGGAAGTCTGAGGTCACTGGCATCAGCAGCCCCTAGTGACCTCTGACCCAGGCAGGGTCAGGTGGGGAGCGGCGTCGTTTTCCCCCTCACATGTTTCCAGCACTGTTTTCCTGCCCCCGCCTGTGGACAGGCCTTGAGGTGCTGCCCCTGAGTCTCTCCTCTACCAAGTTTGAAGTTGCTGCTTCCCCGCAGTGGTGTCCAGTGATGCCTGTGGTCAGCGGGGACATTCTCTGGGCACAGGGGAGCTGGGAGCCATGCCGGGACCAGGCCCTGGACTCTCAGGGCCCACCTGCCCCACAGGACCCCTCACCCAGTGGAAACCTGGCTCCCGGGCCGCCAGTGTCTGGCGTTTCACTCTCTTCTCCTTGGTCCCCCATCCTTCCCCAACCCCCCACTACCCATTCTGTTCTCCCCACCGCCCCTCCCAGCCCCAGCCCCTCATCTCCCTGGATGTGGAGCATCTGGTGGCCTGAGGTGGGAGTGGGGTCAGCCTGCCCCGTCCTCCATCCCGCACTGCCTCTGTGTCCCCGCTGTGGGTCCCCCGACCTGGCCCCTCCAGCTGAGGTACCTGTGCATCTCCTGCCAGCCTCTGCCCTTTCCTCCTCCAAGCAGCCTTCCAGGGGCACAGGGGAGGGGGCAAGGCCTCCAGCACTACTGAGGCCCCCACTTACTTCCTCATCACTTTTCTTCTGTCCCCACCTGGGCTGAGCCCCGTGACTTGGGGTGGCTCCAGCTCCCGTTCCTCGGATGGATGAGTGGCCCCCACCTGCAGTCCTGTGTCTGGGCTGACATCAGGTCTGCATAGCCCCATTGCTGAAGTGACAGAAAGCAGAAGCACTCCTGAGTGAGGGGGTCTAACTGGGCTCTGCTCTAAAGCACTCCCGGGGGAAAACAACAGCAACTACTGAGTAGGTGGACCGCGTGGATGCCGAGAAGCTGAGCTCGTGGCACTGCTCTCTCCACTTTTGTGTTTGTCCCATAGAGGGTTTGAAAAGTAGTTGATATGGGAATGAGTTCTGAGATGTGCTGAGTTGAAAAGGAAGCTGCGAAGGTATACGGTGGGTGCGAAATGTGCTCCTGACAGGAGGCAATGTAGCATTGGCCGCAGGTTGCGTGGCCAGCGCTGACTCAGATGCATGCCGCCCAGCGCTTGGTCCCTGATTTGGCCATGGCCTGCAGTGTGGGCTGGCTGGCAGCCAGGCAGGAGGGAGGGCCCCCTGTGTGCCTGGCCTCACACACCAGCAGCCGGATGTTGGCCAACACATGTCTTAGCTCCTCCTTTGGCCAGGAGAGGAAGTTCACTGGGACCGAGTCGGAGGGGTGAACCCAGATGACTGTGCTGGGCCCTGGGCCATCCCCAGTTGGATGTGTGTGCCCTGACCCCCTGCAGTCCCAATGCCCAGGTGGCCTCCCCTACTCAGACGCCCATGCTGGCCGCCCCCAACCTCCCTGCCCACCAACTCCCAGGCTTATTCACCAACCACTCCACCAGCTCTGACCCTGACTTCTGGGGTTCCCATCTCAGTCCTCAGCCTGTGCTGCTGCCCCCTGAAGAGCATCCTTCCAGGCCCCCGTCGGCTGGCCGGGGCTTAGCTCTAAGGTTACTCCAGAGGCCGTCCTGACCAGTCTGATGCCGCCCCTCCCTGATCACTGTCTTGGCCCCATTACAATTTATGCTCTGGTGCCTTGGGATGGAGTCACTGTCCATGTTGCCAGAGACAGTGCGGCCAGGTGGACTCTCCCCTGGAGCTGGAGTCTGAGTCCAGCCCAAGTCCAGGGCAGGCACTCCGAGAATGAGTGTTCTGCCTGCTGGGTCTCCTGAGGGCCAAGGGGCTCTGCTGGAGCTGGGGGCATGGCTTGGCACCCGCATCCCTGTCTGTGCTTCTCCTACTTAAGGATCCTTTGTCTGACCTGGCTCTCCTACCAGATGCCATCACCTATCTGCAGCCTGTGTCCTCAGCACTGTCCAGCATATAGTAGGTGCTCAGTAAATGTCTGGGGCAGAACCCACTCACTTGCCTGTATGTGCTAGGCCCTGTGCATGTGTCACAGCAGCCAAGGGACAGACAAAAAACAGGCCCAGGAGCTGCTCAGAGCCAAGCTACCTTCTGGGAAGGTTTGACAGCGCCTATGGGGTCCTGGGACCTGATGTATCCACTCCAGCCAGTCCTGCCCGTGGATTCAGCTCTGTTCTCACGGGGGACCTGGAAAGTGAACAAGATGCACCCACGAAGTTGGGTGGTGGGGGGGGACATGGAGGGACACACAGGGAGCTCAGGAGGAATGGGCAGGGAGGTCAGTAGGTGACCTGGGATGATGGCGAGGGGCCATGCAGAAGTCTGGGAAGAAGGTTTGAGGGCAAGGAAGCCTTTGCACAAGTCCTGTGAGCTGGGCTGGTGTTGGGGAAGCAGTGAGGTGCGGGGGCAGGTAGGGGCAGTCGCATAGAGCTGGAGATGACCAACTGGGCAGAGTGTGATGGGAGGGTTTCCTAACCTCTTTCCTATAACAGAGAGATTATTAGATAGATTGATAGATGGTAGATACGTGGGTGGATGGATGGATGGATGAACAGACGGACGGACGGATGATGGATGGATGGTCAGATAGATTAGATGATTAGATAGATTAGATAGATAATAGATGATAGATGCTGGATGGTCAGATGGATGATTAGATAGAGATGATTGATAGAAGCTGTTGTATTTGATGGAAAAGAGTAAAAGATGAAAAGATTGACTGATAGATGAGAAATAGATGACATATGGATAGCTTGATAGATGACGGATAGAAGATAGATGTGAAGGCAGGCATAGATCTCAGTGGGTTGTTCCAAGGTGAAGAGGTACCGCTGTGCCAGCCCGAAGCCCAGTCTCGGCCCCTCACTCCCTTACAGGGATCCCTTGCTCAGGTCTCTTCATGGCTTAGGTGCCCTGTGCGTGTCCTTGACACTGCTTATTCCTGCCCACCTAAAAGCACTGGAAGTGTCTTCTAAGTCTTGTTGGATCTACAGGCTCCCTCTCCCAGGGCAGTGCTTTCTATCTGGTTCATCCTTGAAGGACCTGGCCCATTCATTCCCATGTGCAGAGTAAGGATGAGGGCAGCTCATGTCAGATGAGTGGGGAGGCAACTGGACCTCCATTCAAGGTGCTGGGCCCAGGCCTGGTACGGCCAGGCAGGGAGGAGCACCTGATTCTGGGTGTATTGGCCATTTGTGACAGAACCCACGCCACACCCTACGCCCAGCCCTCCCCTCCATTTCCTAGGGCCTCCTCTTCCACCTGTGTTCAATCAGAGTGGAGTGCCTGTTTCTTCACTGCATTATTCTTTTTTTTTTTTTTTTTTTGGCACTGCATTATTCTTAACAATCATAGGACTGGGCCCAGCATGGTGGCTCACGCCTGTAATCCTAGCACTTTGGGATGCCTAGACAGGTGGATCACCTGAGCTCAGGAGTTCATGACCAGCCTGGACAACATGGCAAAACCCTGTCTCTACTAAAACTACAAAAAAATTAGCTGGGCACGGTGGCACATGCCTGTAATCCCAGCTACTCAGGAGGCTGAGGCACGAGAATTGCTTGAACCCGGGAGGTGCAGGTTGCAGCAAACTGAGATCGCACCACTGCACTGCAGCCTTGGCAACAGAGTGAGAGATTTCTGTATCAAAAAAAAAAAAAAAAAGGTCAGGCACGGTGGCTCATGCCTGTAATCCCAGCACTTTGGGACGCCAAAGTGGGCAGATCACGAGGTCAGGAGTTCGAGACCAGCCTCGCCAACATGGTGAAACCCCTGTCTCTATTAAAATACAAAAATAAGCCGGGTGTGGTGGTGGGCGCCTGTAATCCCAGCTACTCAGGAAGCGGAGGCAGGAGAATCATTTGAACCTGGGAGGTGAAGGTTGCAGTGAGCCAAGATCGCACCACTGCACTCCAGCCTGGGAGACAGGGCAAGACTCAAAAAAAAAAAGGGGCCGGGTGCAGTGGCTCATGCCTGTAATCCCACCATTTTGGGAGGCTGAGACGCGCGGATCACTAGGTCAGGAGATCGAGACCATCCTGGCTAACACAGTGAAACCCCTTCTTTACTAAAAATACAAAAAAAAAAAAAATTAGCTGGCCGTGGTGGCAGGTGCCTGTAGTCCCAGCTACTCGGGAGGCTGAGGCAGGAGAATGGCGTGAACCTGGGAGGCGGAGCTTGCATGAGCCAAGATCGCCCCACTGTACTCCAGCCTGGGCGACAAGAGCCAGACTCCGTCTCAAAAAATAATAATAATAAATTAGAGGTCTGAATGCTTTCATATTTTTCTTCTCTTTCTCTCAAATACTTTACTTTAGAGGAAACACTAACTCCAGGTGCTGTTGACCTGTTGTGACCGCAGGAAGCTGCCCCACCAGCTGCAGCCTCTGTGGCCCCCAGCCCAGCACGTCCTCGTCCTTCCAGCCAGTGAACAGCCGGGTTCTCCCACCAGCTGTCTTCAGGCCAGTTTTAGGCCAGTGTAGCCCACTCCCTCCAAACCTGTGGCTGCAGTAGGGTCTGTGGAGACCCACCCCTGGTCCCTCACCCCCCTGCAAGGTAGTGCTAGGGTCCCCTCCCCAGATCTGATCAAGATTTGGGGTCCCACTGCAACCCCCATCCAGCACTTGCCCAGCCAGGCTGCGGGAGGGTGGGTGTTCCTCGACTGCCAGAGTCCCCATTCTCATGCTAACGTTACAGCTGGGGGGACCAAGGCTCTGAGCTGTGACATGACCCCAGCAGGCCGTGGTGACAACAGCATGCCCCCAGTACTCTGTCTCCCGAGTGCCCCTCAGGTGTGGGGGACAGTAGGGCGCACAAGAGGCTGGACCCCCTCCCAGATTCTGAACCTGTCTGCATGAGGGTGGGTGTCCAGGCTCACCCAAGGAAGGCCAGAACCCTGTGGCTGCTGAGACCCAGGGTTTGTGCAGAGGTGTGAGAGGCACTGAGTGGGCAGGACCCCTGTGAGCCCTCTATGGAGGAGCCACCGGCCCCGGTCACAAGGCACTGAGCCGGCAGAACTGGAAGCAGCAGCACAACAAAGCTGCGTCAGCACCCCCAAAACCCAGCCTGTGTTTGTAGTCAGCAGGGTCATTTCTCCCAGACCGGTACCGTGGATTGTGCAAGACCAGCTATACTTCCGGCCTCTGAGCTCAAGTGCCCTGTGTCCTTGCTGACCTGTGACAAATATACTCCTGGGTTCCATACTAGGTCCCCCAACACCCCTCCCTCACCCCTTCCTCACCCCCACCCTCACCCCTCCCTCCCTCCCTCCTCCCTCAATTCCTTCCCTCACCTCTCCCTCACCCCGTCACCTCCCTCCTTCACCCCTCCCTCACCCCCCCATGCCCTCCTTCACTCTCCTTCACCCTCTCCTTCACTCTCTCTCTCCTCCCTCAACTCCTTCCCTCACCTCTCCCTCACCCACTTCCACCTCCCTCCTTCACCCGTCTCTCACCCCCACCCCTCCCTCACCCCCTCCCTCCTTCACCCGTCTCTCACCCCCTCAACCCTCCCTCACCCCCTCCCTCACCCCTCCCTCACTCCTCCTTCACCCCCTCTCTCACCCCTCCCTTATCCCCTCCCTCACTCCTCCCTCATCCCCTCCCTCACTCCTCCCTCATCACCTCCCTTACCTCCTCCCTCACCCCCTCCCTTACCCCTCCCTTACCTCTCCCTAACCCTCTCTCACCCCTCCTCACCTTCTCCCTCACTCCCTCTCTCACCCCTCCCTCCCCCCAACTCCTTCCCTCACCTCTCCCTCACACCCTTTCACCTACCTCCTTCACCCCCCTCACCCCTCCCTCACCTCTCCCTCACCCCTCCCTCACCCCTCCCTCACCCCTCATTCACCCCCCTCCCTCACCCCTACCTCACCCCCTCCCTCATCTCCTTCCTCACCTACCTCACACACCCCCTCATTCCCCTTCCTTCATCTCCCTCCCTCATCCACACCCCCTTCCTCACTACCCCTCTTTCCTTCACTCACTCTCCCTCACAACCCTCTGCATTTCACCTCCAGCTCTCCCACAACCCCTCCCTCACACCAAAGCTTTGGTAATGGGAGTTCCCTCGACCCCAGCATCTCCTACCAGCTCCTGCACAGTTCTGGATGTCAGAACAGCATCCCATGTTCAGGTGTGGTAGCTTGGAGGAAACTGCTCTTCTTACTGGGGTATCATGAGGGCTTCCTGGAGGAAGTGGCATTCCTGAAGGATGAGTTGATGAGAGGGGCTGGTAAGGAGTCCCAAGCCGAGGGAGCAGCACGGTTTTTGCCTGAACACCTGCAGCACAGGTGTGGAGGCGCAGGACACGGCCATCTGTGGGTGTAGTGTGGAAGCGGGGACTCAGGGCAGCCAGGAGGGCCTCACGTGCCCAAGGGTGCCTTCCCCTCCCCTGGGGACCTAGTTCACTGCTGGTCACAGGAACTGGTTGGCCCGGTGGTTAGCAGAGCTGGGCCTGATGGGCGGCTGAGGCACAGACATGGGCGCTTATCATTCTCCCTCCTCCAGGTTCCAGCCTCAAAGGGTGGGGCAACCACCAGGCGGGAGGCGGCAGATGCAAGAGTAGGCCTGGCTGGTGGTCGAGGATGTCACAGACTCAGCCCCAGGCTTGAGTCCAGTTGGTCAGGGATGGAGCTGGGGGTAGCTGGGCGCTGGGAGGGCAGTCCAAGGACAGTGGGGCTCAGGACCTGGCTGACATGGGCCTCGGGGGAGGGCGGTGGGTGCACACAGATGGACAGGGGAGTCAGCAGTCCTCGGGCCAGGCAGCCCCTCACTGAGGAATGACACCCTGCCCAAGCGGCCTGGGGAGTCAGGGCCTCAGGTCATGTCAGGCAGCCCTGAGGAGGTGCGTGTGTCCTCCACGGCCTCAGGTGGGGCCACCTAGGACTTGCCCAGGCCACACACTGGCCTGTGCCCTGCCTGCCTCGGAGGTTTCCTACCTTCAGCTGACGCAGTCATAGAATGTTACTGTCCCTGGAGACCCCTCCTTCACCCTCCAGGGGCAAGTCACACCTGTCTACACCCTTCACCCAGACACCTGTCACCTTCACTAAGTGTGTCTCCTTTACCCAGGCATTAAAGGCATCTGTAGCAAGGTGGTAAATTCCTAAAAGGATTTCTGAGGGGGAGGGGGTGCTGTGACAGAGCGCAGGCTCAAGGAGGAGTCCCGAGGGAGGGATCCCATTTCACAGGTGGGCAAAGGGGCTGAGACTGGAGCACAGGCCCTGGCCCCATGGCTCAGGGTGGAGGAGGGAGAGGGCAGCTAGGGCTGTCCCCCGGCCACCCCACTCAGTGGGCGCATGGCAGCCTGGCAGGTGGGAGGGCTCTGAGGCACTGGCTTTCCTTGCCCCTGGCCCTCAGTTCCCTGAAGGGGCAGGCACTGTGATGACCCAAGCAGCAGGGCTGCATGGTAATGGGATGTCATGTCCTGGAGCTCCATACTCCACCGGCAGCCTGGTTCCCACTGTCATGTGCGCTGGGACCCTGCGACTGAGCAGGGTCCCTCCAGGAGCTGCGCCCATAGCCTCGCCCTGCCAGTGGCATCGCCCCAGCATTAGGGGTTCCCAGCACCTTCTGGGGCAAAGCCTGGGTGCCTCCAGAAACCCCCTGGAAAATGCAAACTCATGATGATTCTGTGGGTTGACAAATATTCTCGTTTCCCCACAAAAAGGCTTGGGGGAGGAGCTGACAAGGGGAGGGAATCAGGTGTCCGGTCCAGGCTCAGCAGCTGGGGTGGGGGGAGTGGGTGTGTGTGTGTGTGTGTGTGTGTGTGTGTGTGTGTGTGTGTGTGGCACATGAGGTGTGAGGAGGGGGCAGTGTGGGGAACATCTGAGGTGGGGAGGCAGTGCCTGGCGGCTTATCCGAGGCAGGTGAGTCCATGTGGAGGGCGTCCTGTCTGGGGGGTCTGTGCCAGCAGCTGGATGTGGGGATGCTGGGAATACCAGGGCCAGCCCCAGCTGGAGCAGCCATAGCTGCAGTCATCTCTGAAACACCCCTGAGACTGAGGAACGAGGCAGGCTGAGAGAACCTGAACATTTAATATGGTCAGCACCTTGTAAGGTGAAGGTGTGTTTTTTACACAAATTATAAATAATGAAAAATATGCATTTAGAAAAAGAAGCAGCAGTCCCCTTGGCGGGCCGGCTCGAGGACTCTTTGGTTGAGTGGCAGGTGAGGCCCTGGGTCCAGGGTCTGTCAGAGCCCCCCTAGGTCATCTGCCAGGAAGGCCAGCAGGTAGCGGCTGACATGTCTGTCGATGATGACAGGCGAGAAACCGAGGACGCGCCGGGTCCCTGGCAGGCCCTTGGGGTCTAGAAGACAAAAGGGGAGGCAAAAGCTCAAGAACCAGTCCCAGAGGTGAATTCTGTGTTTCCATCCCTCCTGCGGGGGTGGGTGGGAACAGGCACTGGGACAGGGTGCTCCCTCCCGGTCATGGTCTCGGCTTGAGTTGAAAAGACAAGAATTAGGGCAGATTCCAGAGCCCCCAGCTCCCACCCGAGTGACCCACGGGCCTTTGAGTCCTGCCATGTGTGCCTGTGTCCCCTCACCCAGTAAGCCTCCCAGCACGACAAACTCAGGCATCACAGAAAAGGGAGACGGGGCAGGCCAGGCTGGGTGCCAGTAGAGGGGCCCTGGAAGGTTCCTGTGCATCAGGCCTGTGGCTGCTGGAGAGACCCAAGGCCCTGGGGCACGTGACCTGCTCAAGGGCCCCACATGGTTCAAGGTCACAGATGTGGCAGGGCTTTGTAACACCCAGAGTCCTGGCTGCACCCCTCCTCCCGCTAGAGGTCATCATTCTCTGGTTCCCAAGGGTGGCAGGGGCCAGTGGACGCTGGGAGCCTCCTCACATCCCCTTTCTCAGGAGCCCTGCGAGGTGACACCATCCCACTGCACAAGTGTGGACACCGAGGTACGAAGAGGCCAAGGGGTCCCAAATTGGGCAGGGTCTGGGGCCCTGGCTTGGTGGCAGAGGGGAGGCAGGCCCAGCCCCATGAGGATCCGCTTGCACCCACCTGGCGGATAGCAGTACAGGAGCAGGGCCAGTCCCACAGCAAGGCCCAGGCCAGCCAGGAAGCTCATGGGTCCTGGGGAGAAACCAGCGTGAACAGGGCTCCCCTGGGCCTCAGAGGGGTGGGGTCCTGAGGCCTGGGGGCTGCGCAGGGGAGTGGGGGTGCCAGGCTGAGGTGCTGCCTGAAGAGCCCCCAAACGAGCACCTTAGGGGGGGGGTCTGTCACCAACAGAAGGCCAGGAATGGAGCCAGACTTGGGGTGGAGAAGCCCCTGAGGCGGAGATGGAGCCCTGGGGAGGGTAAAGAGAGAGGGAGAGAGAGGGAGAGAGAGGGAGGGGCAGCAGGGAGGTGTTACCCCTGTTACTCAGCTCGCCGCTCTGGCTGCCCGAGTCTAGCTCTGTGCAATCTGAGTTCTCTGGAAACAAAACCACAGAGCATAGTTAGTCAACGGGCAGGGCCGGAGGGCAAGGTAGTCACCCCGCAGGAAGCCCAAGGTTGCTGCTGCCTCCTGGGGCCGCCAGGCCGAACCAGGCTGTGGCACCTGAGGCTAGCCCTCCTCAGGGAACTATGCACAGTCTGGGTCTTCTCCTCTGCTCCAACTCCTGGACGGGCCTAAAGGCACCCGGGAGCCACAGAAGGTGCTCTACCTCCAGTGGGGCCAAGGCTTGGCCCTGCCTGGTTTTGAAAGCCCCCTGTGGCATACTCGTGGCTGGGGAGGGAGAGCCAGTCCCACCTGCAGGGCTGGGCCTCCCCTCGAGCTCTCCCCGCCCACCGTCTGCACTGTGTTCTGTGAGGCGTGGGGAGGCCTCCAGGGGGTCAGAGACCACAGCCCAGTAGCCTGGGACAAGCCGCCCAGTCCCTCTGGTCTCTGTCCTGTTGTCTAAGGGCCAAGGGGCAGTAGCCCCTCCTCCAGGGGCCCTGAGCACAGAGGCGTCAGATCAGAGTTGCCATCTTCAACTTGATATGCCCCCCACATCCCAGCAGCTCTGTGGGCCCAGGCTACTGGCATCCACATGACTCCCAGGGCCTGAGTCCACACTGCCTGAGGACAGGAGCCTCAAAACTGAAATGCACGTGCTTCGGACCAGCCATCCGTGCCTGACAATGTCCTATGGAAACACCCACACGTGTGCAGATCGCTGCAATGAAAGGGTCCGTCATGGGGTTGGGTAATTCCAGCTGGGACCGCCTAGGAGCGCCATGCAGCTGTGGGAACAAGGTTGCTGTCCACACAGACATGAAGGGATCCCCGTGGAATGAGGTTAGAAAAGGAAGGGCAAGAGTGGACGTATAAGATGCCCCATGCTGTGTGAAAACTGCCATGAGAGAGAGACGGAGGAAGGGGGAGAAAGTGGGAGACAGAGACCAACATCTGCACTGCCTGTGCCTGCCACACTCTCCCCTCGGGGCCAGAGGGTGGCCTCTGGGGAGGGGCTGAGGCGAGAGGGGATGCCAGGCCTGGGCTGCAGCAGACTTGGGTGGTCATGGAGGACATCCATGCCATCAACGGCAGGCTGGGGTGCCCTCCCCGGGCCAGCACCAAGCATGCATGGTTGGTGATGTGGAACTTACGCAGAGCGTGGCGGCTGGGCAGGCGGCTGTGCAGGGGCTGGGCATGGATATACAGGGCTCGGTAGAACTCCTGGCAGTCCCGCTCACCGCTCCGCTGCAGGTGGCTCAGGAGGTCACAGAGCCGCACACGCAAGGATGCCTTGGGGTTCCGGAACTGAGGGTACAAGGGGGTGCCAGGGAAGATCAGGCCAGGGGGGCTGGCTGTGGGTCAGGGCAGGGCACCAAGGTCAGGCCCCCAGCCTCAGCTTCCCTGTTGGGTGTCAGGACACCTGCTGGATGGCAGCTCCTGTGACAACCTGCCCCTTACCCACACCACATAGTGCCTGGCATTGCCTCTGTCACAGGCATCACTGCTACTCCTCATACTCCCTGTGGGGTGGGAGGTTGGGAAACAGGCTGGGAGTGGTCACAAAGAAAGCATGGGGCTGGCAAGGTGCGGTGGCTCATGCCTGTAATCCCAGCACTTTGGGAGGCTGAGGCAGGCAGATCACGAGGTCAGGAGATCGAGACCATCCTGGCTAATACGGTGAAACCCCCGACTCTATTAAAAATACAAAAAACTTAGCCGGGTGTGGTGGTGGGCACCTGTAGTCCCAGCTACTCGGGAGGCTGAGGCAGGAGAATGGTGTGAACCCGGGAGGCGGAGCTTGCAGTGAGCTAAGATCGTGCCACTGCACTCCAGCCTGGGCGACAGAGCAAGACTCCATCTCGAAAAAAAGAAAGCACAGGGCTGGTGACATCATTCCAAGTGTTGGGACATAGTGTGGCTTCCTGTGTGACCTTAGCCAGCTACTCCACCCCTCAGAGACTTGGTTTCTTCATTTGTAAAAAAGGGATAATGAACCCTCATGGTAGGCTGTGACAGGGAATTAATGAAGTGATGGTATAAGTGCTAACTTCTGTTATTTTTCAGTCTACAGAATGTGATTCAAGTTTTAAAAAAGTAAGTTGAAGCCAGGCACAATGGCTCATGCCTATAATCCCAGCACTTTGGGAGGCTGAGGCAGGCGGATCAGGAGTTCCAGGTCAGGAGTTTGACACCAGCCTGGCCAACACGGTGAAACCCCATCTCTACTAAAAGTACAAAAAATTGACTGGGCATGATGGTGCATGTTTAATCCCAGCTTCTTGGGAGGCTGAGGCCAGAGGATTGCTTGAAACTGGGAGGCAGAGGTTGCACTGAGCCGAGATCATGCCACTGCACTCCAGCCTGGGCGACAGAGACTCCATCTCAAAGAAAAAAAAAAAAAGACAGAAGTATTGGCTCTTTTGATGTGTATGACAGAGAAATGTGTGGTTCTCAAGGTCAGTGGACAGGCCACTGGGCCTTGACCTCCAGGACCTGGAGTCTGTGGCCTGGTGCTGCCACCTGGTGGCAGCATATCATTCTACATGGCCACAGGGAACTGGAGTTAAACCATGGCAGTGTGAAAATGGCAGGCAGATGGGTGGCAGGAGCTGTGGTGTCTGTGAGGAAGGAATATGTGCTTTTTCTTGTATAAACGTCTTAAACTTTCTAAACTTTTTAAAAGTGAACATGCATTAGACTTCAATTGCAATAATAAGAGATTTGGATTTGAGCTCCTAACTTTTAAAATTACTGTACCACCTTCAAAACGGAAGAAGCACCTGAGCCAGTAGCAGGGCCCGTGTTGACTCCTGTTCTGTTGTGGGCCAACCTCATTGTTCCAGGAGATGCCCCAACCCTCAGGATAGCCCTGCACGTGGCACCTGTCAAGGAACAGGTGGCTCAGTGGGGGCGCCAGAGCCACAGATGTGGGTAGGGTCGGCAGGGTGTGGCTAACTCTCTCATCCAATGTCCCCTCAGGGCCACCTGGCACTGGGGTGATGGAGCAGAACAGACCTCCCAAGACAGAGCCCAGGAATTGCATCTTAAATGCCATCTCCAGCAGAGCCACCCTGGTGTGCCCAGCTCTGCAGCTCTGAGAGGCCAGGGCCATGTGACAGAGTGACAGCCACTGGCCCTGGGCACTTTCCCAAATAATAGGATGAACTCAAGATGTGGCCTGACACTCCTGAAATGAGTGGCCCTGGGCAAGTGGCTGCCTCTTGAGCCTTCGGACCACCTCTGTGAGATGGGGTGATGAGCGTGGCTGCCCACAGGGCTGCAGGGCCATCTGGCGACAAGGGCTCTCGGGCAGGCGTTTACCCGGCTCAGCTCAGTCAGTCCTCACCACACCTGCCAGGCAGGGGCTCTCGGTGTCCACTCCACACATGGGGGAGGCTGGGGTTCTGAGGGGACCAGCCCGCTCAGCACTGCTGAGAGGGGCAGACTGGGGCGCGGCTGTGGGGTGAGTCAGCATCTGCCTTCCTAGAAGCTCAGCTGCCTACCTGTGACATGCTGGGCTTTCCAGCCTCGTACAGTAATATAGAAATTAGAGAAAAGGAAGCAATTGTTTGCCCGCTTTGAACCTTCGGAAGATGCAGAGTGCAAAGCCCTGTGGCACTGGGGTGGGCCGGGCCCATTATCTGTTCCCCATCCCACTTCGGCTCTCCCTCTGCCTCCTCCCTCCTCACCCCTCCCTCCTGCCCTCTTTCTCGCCTCCCTCCGTATCTTATACTGTTGTGTGCTTCATGTATTGTCACATGTTATCTCCTGTAACCTCCCAGCAACTCGGGAAGGGGACAGCAGACCCAATGACATATGAAGAAACCGAGGCACAGAGAGCTGATGTTCCGAGCCTGGTTGGGCTCACCCCAAAGGGCCAGTTTGTAGCTCAGGCAGCCTTAGTAGCCAGGTCCAGATGTGTCACCTCTGAATCCTGACATACCTAGTGTGTCATCCCATGAGAGAATGACCCAGGGCTGGTCACCAGCTTCTCCCAGCCCAGAAAGGAAGGGAAACTGAGCAGTGTCTCGGGTACCCCCCTCACCTCCTCAGCACCTTTTCCGCCTCCTTGTTGGTAAGGATCTGTGGGTAGTAACGGTTCAGCTGGAGGATGATCCTGTCCACCTGCTGCTCACTCAAGCGCCCATGGCCTGTCAGGAAAGGCGTGTCCTGCACCAGGCGGTCACAATAGGTCTGATCTAAAACAGATAGCACAGGGTCATGAGCCAGCACAGCCCAAGGGGACCAGAGACGACAGCCTCGTACTGACACTGACCACAGGAAGGCATCACCCCCAAGGTGGGTTCCCACCAGGAGGGTGAACCTGCAGAATCACAGCCATCCCAGCCTGTGTGGTGCGCATTGCCCAGCTGAGAGCTGCCCCTGGCCTGCCAACCTGCCTCTCCAGAAGATGGAAGTGAGGGGTTGCGGTGGAAACCCACTTTCACAGAGCTTATCACAGAAAACAAACTCAGAGGGGCGAAGAATCTACTTTTCATGGGCCACCTGCAGGGCCATCAGGAAATAGCTCAGTTCTGGGGAAGGTACAGGTGGCACAGGTGGCTCAGAATGCCCAGGGCCAGGCACGGTGGCTCAGACCAGTTGTGATGGCTCACACCCGTAATACCAACATTTTGGGAGGCTGAGGTGGGTGGATCACTTGAGCTCAGGAGTTCGAGATCAAGAATGCCCAGATGTGCGCTCTGCAGATCTTCACAGTGGCACAGATACAGGGACACAGGGCTCAGGGTGGCCTGTGCTGGGATCACCATGGGACACAGTGTGTCTGCAAGGCCTTAAGAAGCTTCTACCAACAATAAACCAGTGAGTTCTCCCAGAGGGCTAGAAATGCTTTTCATTTGCCTTTTTTTTTTCCAGAATCACCATTAAAATATCATTTTACCACCTTTTCCATTAAGAATGTTTCTTAGAATGGCAGATGTTTAAGGCTGAGCGGTGGAGTGATGACGGAAGGGCATGGAGAGGATGGGGCACAGGACCCCCACAGGGACTGAACAAGTGCATCACCCTACATACTTGTGGCAGCTTGTCCTGTTTCCCCATGTACACAAAGAAAATATTTATAGAATATAACACAAAAGAAACTGAGAAGGGACTCTAAATGTGTTACTATAAAATATCAACAAAACACAAAAGAAGGCAGTAATAGAATAAATGAGGGTCAAAAAAGCTACAAGACATACAGGAAACAAATAGCAAAATGGCAGTAGTAATACATTCCTTATCAGCAATTACTTCAAATGCAAATAGGTTAAACTTTGTTTTTTTTTTTTTGTTTTTTTTTGAGATAGAGTCTTGCTCTGTCACCCAAGCTGGAGTGCAGTGGCCCAATCTCGGCTCACTGCAACCTCTGCCTCCTGGGTTCAAGCAATTCTTCCTGGGATTACAGGCATGTGCCACAACACCCAGCTGGTTTTTGTATTTTTTTTTTTTTTTTAGTAGAGACAGGGTTTCACCATGTTGGCCAGGCTGGTGTCAAACTCCTGACCTCAGGTGATCTGCCTACCTCAGCCTCCCAAAGTGCTGGGAATACAGGTGTAAGCCACCACACCCAGCCAAATTTTCCTATCAAAAGGCATAGATTGGCAGAGTGGATTTTTAAAATATGATACAACTAAGTGCTGTCTACAAAAGACTCACTTTAGATCTAAAGACACAAAGAAGTTGAAAATGAAAGGATGTAAAAAAAACCCATACAAATAGTAAACAAAAGAGAGATGAGGTAACTATACTAATATCAGACAAAATAGACTATAAGTCAAAAACGATTAGAAGAGATTAAAAAGTACATTATGTATTAATAAAAGGATAAATTCATCAATAATATGTAACAGTTATAAACATATATGCACCAAATATCAGAGCTTCAAAATATATGAAGCAAACACTGGCAGAATTGAAGGGAGAAATAGATATCTCTATAATAATATTTGGAGACTTCAAAACACCACTTTCAGTAAGAGACAGAACCACTAGACAGAAGATAAATGAGGAAACAGGACTTCAACAACACCGTAAGCCAATTATACCTGGCAGACATACACAGAACACTCCATACCACAATAAAGAAGAGATATTTTTATCAAGTGCACATGAAACATTCCCCAAGATAGGCCACAAAACAAGTTTGTAGCCACAAAATAAGCTTTAATATATTCAAAAAGGTTGAAATCATATAAAAAATATTTTCTGATCACATAGAATGAAACCAGAAATCAATAATAGAAAACTAAAAAAACTCACAAATATGTGAAAATTAAACAGCCAATGGGGCCAGGCATGGTGGCTCACACCTGTAATCACAGCACTTTGGGAAGCTAAGGCAGGCAGATCACTTGAGGCCAGAAGTTTGAGACCAGCCTGGCCAACATGGCAAAACCCCATCTCTACTAAAAATACAAAACTTAGCCGGGCATGTTGGCGCACGCTTGTAATCCCAGCTACCTGGGAGGCTGAGGCACGAGAAATCCTTGAACCTGGGAGGTGGAGGTTGTAGTGAGCTGAATTTGTGCCACTGCACTCCAGCATGGGTGACAGAGCAAGACTCTGTCTCAAACAAACAAACAAAAAACCAATGGGTCAAAAGAGAAATCATGAGGTAAATTAGGAGGTAACATGAGAAAGGCAGAAACACACACACACACACACACACACGCACACACACACGCGCGTGCACACACACACACACACCTTACACCGCGCTAAAACCTAAGGGATGCAGCAAAAACAATGCTGAGAGGGAAAATTATAGTTGCAAATGCATATATTAAAAAAATCTTAAATCAGTAACCTAACATTACACCTTAAGGAATGAGAAAAGGAAAAAGTAAAGACCAGAGAGCTTGAAGAGCAAACTAAACCCAAAGCTCACAGAAGGAAGGATATAATCAAGATTAGAGTGAAGACAAATGAAATAGAGAATCGAAAAACAGTGGAGAAAAATCAAGAAAACCAAAGTTGATTCTTTGATAACATCAATAAAACTGACAAAACTAGCTAGACTGACAAAGAAAAAGAAGACTCAAATTACTAGTATCAGGAATAAAAGTAGGACATTACCATGAACTTTACAGAAATAAAAAGGAATATAAGAGAATACTATGAACATTTGTATACCAATAAATTGGATAACGTAAATAAAATGAAAACATTCCTAAAAACACAATCTACCAAAACGGAACTGTGAAGAAATAGAAAATCTGACCAATAACTAGTAAGATTAAATCAGTAATCAAAAATGTCCCAAGAAAGAAAAGCTCAGGACCAGATAGCTTTGCTGGTTAATTCTACCATATATTTAAAGAAGAACTAATATAGCTTTGCTGGTTAATTCTACCATACATTTAAAGAAGAACTAATACCAATCCTTCTCAAACTTACAAAAAAAACTGAAGACGAGAGAACACTTCATAACTAATTCTATGAGGTCAGCTTTACCCTGATACCAAAATCAGACAAAGTCACTTCAAGAAAAGAAAACCACTTTGGGAGACAGAGGCAGAAGAGTCACTTGATGCCAGGAATTCAAGACCACACTTGGGCAATACAGCAAGACCTTGTCTCTGTGAAAAAAGAAAAATGGAAAAGAACACTACAGACCAATACTCTTTATGAATATTGATGGAAAAATTAATAAAATCCAGCAAATCAAATTCAGCAGCATATTAAAAGAAGTATACATTGATTTATTCCTGGAATACAAGGATGGTTTAACATGTACAAATCAAAAATCAATCAATGAAATATACCACATTAATAGAATGAAGGAAAAAATACATGGCCATTTCAGTTGACATAGAAAAAGCATTTGATAAATGTCATCATTCTTTCTTGATATAAATATTCAATTAATTAGGTCTAGAAGATGCTATGGTTTGAATGTGTCAACAAGCATGTATTGGAAACCTAATCCTCAAAGTAACAGTACTGAGAGATAGAACCTAATGGGAGGTATGTAGGTCATGAGGGCTCTACTGTCTTGAAGGGATTAATGCCAATTATAAAAGGGCTTGAAGTTTCAAATTTGTTTTCTTCCTCTCTTGCTCCCTCTCATTCTCTCTAGCCCTTCTGCCTTCCACCATGGGATAACACAGCAAGAAGACCCTCACCAGATGCTAGCTCCCTGATCTTGGACTTCCAAAACTCTAGAAGCATGAGCCTATAAATTTCTGCTCATTATAAATTCCCCAGTTTCAAGTGTTCTGTTATAGCAGCACAAAATGGACTAATACAGAAGGAAATTTCATCAACATGATAAAGGCCATAGAGTTGGCACTCTATCTCTGCAGTTTCCATATCCAGGGATTAAATCAACAGCAGATATAAAATATTTGGGGAAAAGCAATACAAAATAACAATACAACCAAAAAAATACAAGTTTTAAAAATACAGTACAACAACGATTTACATAGCATTTACATTGTGTTAGGTATTATAAGTAACCTAGAGATAATTTAAAATATATGGAAGGATGTGTATAGGTGCAAATATTATAGCACTTTATATAAGGGATTTGAACATCCTCAGATTATTTTGAGGGGATTCCTGGAACCATCCCACCTCATATATTGAAGGACATTTTTATATGAAAAGCCCACAGCTAACATCATACCTTAACGGTGAAAGACCGAAAGCTTCTTAAGATCAGGAACAAGATAAAGATGTCTGCTCTTACCACTTCTATTCAACATAGTACTAGCAGTCCTAACTAGAGCAATTAGGCAAAAAAAGGAAAAGGGAATAAAAGGCATCCAAATTGTAAAGGAAGAAGTAAAATTTTCTCTGTTCACAGATGACATGATTTTATATATAGAAAACCCTAAAATCTTTTTCTTTAAAGTTAGAGCTAATTAAAAGCATGCAGCAAGGTTGCAAGATATAAAATCAACACACAAAAATATTTCATCTCTACATACTAACAATGAACAATCCAAAAATTAAGAAAACAACTCAATTTATAATAGCATTGAAAAGAATAAAATACTTAGGAAAAAATTTAATCAAGAAGGCAAAAATCTTGTACACTGAAAGCCACAAAACATTGCTGCAAGCACTACCCAGAGCAATCTACAGATTCGATGCAATCCCTATCAAAATCTTAAGTGTTTTTTGCAGAAATAGAAAAACCCACCCCAAAACTCATATAGAATTTCAAGATACCTGTATAGCCAACAACAAAAATCTTAAAAAAAAAAAAAAACAACAACAGGGTTGGAGGATTCATATTTCCTGCTTTCCAAACTTAGTGTAAAAATATACAATAATGAAAACAATGTGGTACTATCATAAAGACACACATATGGGTCACTGGCATAGAATAAGAGAGTCTAGAATTAAACCCTATTTTTAATTAAAAGAGTGGAAAAAAAGAAAGTGAAAAAACAGTTCACATAAATGGAAGAAATATTTGCAATGCATATATCTCATAAGGGATTAGTATCCTTACTCCATAAAGAACTCCTACAACTGAACAGCAAAAGACACAGAGAACCCAATTCAAAAATAGGCAAAGAACTTGAATAGACATTTCTCTAAAGAAAATATACAACTAGCCATCAAGCACACAAAAAAATGCTCATCAGGCCAGGTGCAGTGGCTCACACCTGTAATCCCAGCACTTTGGGAGGCTAAGGGGAGCAGATGACCTGAGGTCACCTAAGGTCAGGGGTTCGAGACCAGCCTGGCCAACATGGAGAAACCCTGTCTCTACTAAAAATACAAAAATTAGTCGGGCATGGTGGTGCGTGCCTGTAATCCCAACTACTTGGGAGGCTGAGGCAGGAGAATTGCTTGAACCCAGGAGGTGGAAGTTGCAGTTAGCCGAGATGGCGCCACTGCACTCCAGTCTGGGAAACAGAGCGAGACTTGGTCTCAAATTAAAAAAAAAAAAAAAATGCTCATCATTAGTCATTAAGGAAATTCAAATAAAAACCACAATGAGATATCACTTCGTACTCATTAGGATAGCTATATATTAATATAACAAATGTTGGTGAGGATATGGAGAAATTCAAACTCTTTGGCATTAGTGGTGAAAATGTAAAATAGTGCAGCCACTGTGGAAAAAAACAGTATGGCAGGTCCTCAAAAATCTAAACATAGAATTATCCTGTGATGGCCGGCACGGTGGCTCACACCTGTAATCCCAGCACTTTGGGAGGCAGAGGCAGGCAGATCATGCAGTCAGGAGATCGAGACCATCCTGACTAACATGGTGAAACACAGTCTCTACTAAAAATACAAAAATTAGCTGGGTGTGATGGCGGGTACCTGTAATCCCAGCTACTTGGGAGGCTGAGGCAGGAGAATCGCTTCAACCCGGACGGTAGAGGTTGCAGTGAGCCAAGATCATGCCACTGCACTCCAGCCTGGGCGACAGTGAGACTCCGTCTCAAAAAAAAAAAAAAGAATTACCGTGTGATCCAGAAATTCTACTTCTAGGTATGTACCCTAGAAAACAAAAAGCAGGAACTCAGTCGAGGGTGGTGGCTCACACCTGTCATCCCAGCACTTTGGGAGGCTGAGGTGGGCAGATCGCTTGGGGTCAGAAGCTCAAGACCAGCATGGCCAACATGGCGAAGCCCCGTCTCTACTAAAAATACAAAAAGCTAGCCAGGCGTGGTGGCACTCGCCTGTAGTGCCAGCTACTCAGGGGGCTGAGGCACGAGAATCACTTGAACCCAGGAGGCGGAGGTTGCACTAAGCCAAGATCACACCACTGTACTCCAGCCTGGGCAACAAAGTGAGACTCTGTCTCAAATAAATAAATAAATAAATAAATAAATGCAGGAACTCAAATGGATACTTGCACACTGGTTTTCATAGCAGCACTATTCAAAATAGCCAAAAGATGGAAATAGTGCAAATGTTCACCAAAAGACGAATGAATTATCAAAATGTGGTATATACCTATGTACAATGGAATATTACTCAGCCCTAAAAAGGAAGGAAATTATGATACGTGGATGTTACAACATGGACGAACCTTGAAAACATTATGCTAAGTGCAATAAACAAGGCACAAACGGACAAATATTATATGATTCCAATTATATGAAGTACTTAGAGGGGTCAAATTCATAGAGACAGAAAATAGAATACAGATTACCAGGAGGTGTGGGCAGAAGGAGAAAGGGGAGTTATTGTTTAACGGGTACAAAATTTCTGTTTGGGATGATAAAGAAGTTCTGGAAATGGCCAGTGGTGATGACTACACAACACTGTGAGTGTATTTAGTATCACTGAAGTGTACACTGAAAAAATGGGTAAGAAGGTAAATGTTATGTTTCCATATATTTTCTCACAAAAAATGTAAATGGATAAATAAACTCTGGTTTATCCATACAACGAATATTATTCAGTGCTAAAAAGAAATGAAGGCTGGGCGCGGTGGCTCACGCCTGTCATCCCAGCACTTTGGGAGGCCAAGGCAGGTGAATCGTTTAACCTGGGAGGCGGAGGTTGCAGTGAGCCGAGAGTGCGCCACTGCACTCCAGCCCAGGCAACAGTGAGACTCTGTCTCAAAGAAAAAACCAAAAACAAAAACAAAAACAGTGTCATCATGTTGAACACAGTGGGGCCCCCTCTTGGGTTCACTCCTTGAGGCACAGACTCAACAGACTGTTTTACTTTGTCATGTCTCTTTCCAGTTGCCACTTCCTCCTGGCTGGTCTTTCTGTACCCCAGAATGTGGACCCACCCCAAAAGCAGCCATGCTCCGTGGGGCCCTGTGCAGACCCTACAGACTGAGGCCCAGGTGAGAACAGCCCGTCTCAGTACGCTCGCCCTGTGCGGGGCTGGGGACCACGGTGATGGGCAGATCCATCCTCCAGGGGCTCACAGTGTAGGGGTGCGGGCTGGCATTCACCAAGCAAACCCACAAACGTATCCTTAACCCCAGAGATACCTGCCCTCCAGAGAACAATAGGGGGGCCATCCTGGTTCACAGGGCCCCTGATGATGCCCACATTGAGGCCATCAGCCACTCCATCATCTGGCTGAAGCCACTCACCGTGGGCCGCGCAGGGAGGCAGATGGCTGGGGGCTGGAAAGGCTGGCTCAGCCCTCACCTGCACTGAGTCCCACAGCAGCCTATGCGGACTTGCCAGCAGCCCCATCATGGTGAGGAAGCTGAGCACAGGGACGTCAAGTGACCTGCCAAGGCCACATGGACAGGCCCAGCTGGGCAGTCTGGGTCCAGCGCCTGCAGCCCTCTCGTTAAAGAACTAAGATGAATTAGCCAAAATTCACAGAGCAATCCCATATGTCTGGCACTCTGTGAGCCCTACGTCACCTACAACCTTCATCCTTCCAACAGCTTTGCAACATAAGGACAACCACCAGCCCCATTTTCAGGTAGGGAAACTAAGGCACAGTGAGAAGATAAGGTACCTGCCCAAGACTGCAACCAGATATGAAGTGACAGATCAAGATCCAGGCCCAGGCACAGCCATGTTGAGGACCACCTCTTGATATTCAGACGTTCTGCCTCTCTAATTAACATGGAAATTCACTGTAATCAGCTACAGCAGTCTACTCCCTGCCAGTCCAAAAGCACGCCCAAGGCTGTCCTCTCCAGCATTGCCCACTTGGCTGAGCACCCAGTAGGTGCTCACTAAAGAGTTCTGCAGGCCGGACGCGGTGGCTCACGCCTATAATCCCAGCACTTTGGGAGGCCGAGGCAGATGGATCATGAGGTCAGGAGTTCAAGACCAGCCTGGGCAACATGGTGAAACCCCATCTCTACTAAAAATACAAAAAAAATTAGCTGGTCATGCTGGCACACGCCTGTATTCCCAGCTACTCAGAAGGCTGAGCCAGCTACTCAGGAGGCTAAGGCAGAAGAATTCCTTGAACCCAGGAGGCAGAGGTTGCAGTGAGCCAAGATTGCACCACTGCACTCCAGCTTGGGTGACAGAATGAGACTCTGTCTCAAAAAAAAAAAAAAAAAAAGAGTTCTGCAATGTATGGTCCAAGACCCAGGGGCAAGGGCTGTAGGTGGACCGTGGCCAGCATCCTGTAGTGGCTTCCTCCTGCCCTGCAAGCCGCTAACCAGGCAGAGCCTCCGCTGCTGCAGAGCCATGAGTCACCATGAGCCGTGAGTCAGCTGGCACAGGCCGCACGGTCCGGAGGCTGAAGCCAGGCTCTGCGGCTTGGGGGTCCTGTGCTTCCTGTGGTTGCGAGTTGTGCACACAAACAGGCAGCACTTGGAAGCCAGAAAAGGCACAAGAAGGGAAACCATCTCAGTGCCAGCTCCCGATAAACAAGTCCCTGAACTGTTTTTACAGGACAAAGGAAGATGGCTCGCTCTGGCACAGACCTGGCAAGCCTTCACCACGCCCTACATCCCCTTCCTTCTTGCCAGGCTGGCACCAGGACTATGGACCCCCATTCAAACACCCCAATATGAACCTTCTTATCAGCCCAGACTGATGCCCTCAGCCTGGCATTCAAGGCCCCGTGGGAGCTGGCCCCACCCACTCTCACCGGGCCCTCTAGGCCCACAAGACATCTCAGCCCAGGCTGAGAATACCTGTTCCTTGGTTTCCACCTGGTTAATTCATGTTCACCTTGCTGTTCTACGTGCAAAAGGCCTTCCTGAGTTCCTGTCATCCCCAACCAACTGGAGTCCAGACACTTGGGCATCAACCTCCTCTCCCGAATTTCTTCCAGGAAACCCCTTCTCTCAGTGCTCAGCCCAACTAAAACTGCTCACTCCCCGGCACAGCCCAGGGGGTAACTTGTCAAGCACCTGCCCCACGCAGACACCTCCTCAGCGTTCTGCAGGCACTGGCTCACATGCGCTGCTCACAGCGAGGGCTGGCGCAAGGCAGGACCCCAGTTGGTGCATGGAGGCAGTGAGCCTGGGACTATGGGTCTGCAGCCTCGCAGGGCTGTCCATATGACCCTCCCAGAGCTGTGCTCCATGGGCCTTGGTTCCCCATCCCAAAAACTAAGGGTTGTGAGGGAATGTCTCCAGGCCCAGTGAGTAGACATAGCAGGTAGGAAGCATACACTGGACAAGGTGAGGCCTATAGTCAGAGCCTTCAGGGACCCCTGCCTGATGTGGTTTCCCAGCTCCAGGGTCCCCTTATGCAAGGAAGCTTCCCTGACAGGCAGAAAGGGACAAAGTCCCTTTGTGCAGGAAGGCTCCTTAATGGACAGCAAGGCCTCAGGCTCTGCCAACACCCAGTCCCTGGGACAGGGCTCCCTGGAGACCAACACAGCTCTGAGTTGTGTCCCACGCATTCTGATGAACTCACTAAGGGAATTACGGAATCCCAGCCTGGGCAGGGCACAATTTAAGACTTTGTTTCCCCATCTGTACACAGACGAGATATTCCAGGTGTCCCCATCTGATCATTTTCAAACAGGAATCACCCAACACAGGGTCCAATGCACAGTAAGTGCTCAGAAATGAGAGCCACAAATAAGAAGAGTTAGAAGGGAGGACAAAGGGGAGCAGGTGGCAGCTGGGGTCTCTTGTGGCCTAGGCTGGAAGTCTCTTCTGGCCTGGTGTCCTGGAAGTCATCAGTTTCCAGCCCATGAGATCCTATTTGTGGGCAGGACCTAGGCTGAGACTCAAGAGAGCGAGCACCGAGAGAGGACTAGGGACTTCTGGGGCTACCCTGAGCCCCTGAGCCAATTCTGCTCCATGAAACAGAACAGTAAGAATGAAGTGTAGCTTCTGGGAACCCCCATACTCCCTGGCCGGGCTGCCATGGGGTCCCTTACCAGCCCATCACCCTCATGGGGCTTCTCCAACAGGGGAAGGTCCACAGGGCAGAGTCACCCTGTTTGGGATCAGGAGGATGGTGGGCAGGTCCCCAGACCAGAGAGGCCCTGGGGAGGAAGGCTGGGCTGGGGCCACTAGCGTGGAGCACAACAACCTTGGGGGGTCCAGTCGCTGTCCCCGATTCTCTTAGAACTAAACAGGGGCAAGAGCGTCGTGGACCACCGAAGGAGTCTGGGAGACTCCAAGAGTCCCACAGGAATCACATGCCGCCGAGGAACGCATCGCCTGTCCCGCGACCTCGCTGGGGTGGTTGTAAGGATGGAGCGTTGTTTCCGTGGCCAGAATCACAGCAGGACCGCTGTGAATTCTCTCCGGTGTCATTTCTACCACCTCCTACTCTTTCAGACCAAATTCCCCACCACGGGACACACACACATTGGCAGTGGCTGAGCCCAGACCGCGGCTGTGCAGCCCCACCCTGGAGCTGCCTTGTAGCCCCCGCCCTCTTCGGGCCCCGCACCTGGCCACCACCCATCATGCCCGGCACCGCCTCGGCTGGCACGGCCCCGCCGGGTAGAAGCCCCGGGACACCCACCACTTCGCGGGGGTGCACTCGCGCACCACCGACAGCTGACGGGCCAAGGTCACTCGGCCCCCGCTGCCCAGGCGCGGCCTGCAGGCGACTCGCAAGGCAGCCGGACCCCCGGGCCGGGCCACCCATCCAGGGCGCCCGCATCCCTGCCGCCCAGCCGACCCCGTGCCCACCTGTCATGGCGACGGACACAGCGCCGCCCGCAGTCCCCAGCGGTCTGCCCCGCCGCGCGTCCGCCCCTCGGTCAGCCGCCCGGTCCACCAGCTCCAGCGAACGCCGCCCGCGGGCCGTGCTCGCCCGCCCCTTTTGGCTAGGCCAGCCCCCCGGCTTTGGCTGTGTAGCCTCGGGGACTCTAAACCCCGCCCTTTGACGAGCCCCGCCCCCTACCGTTAGGCCCCGCCCCTTCCGCGCCCGCTACGGCTCCCCCAGGGCTCTAAACTCCGCCCCTCTCACTCGAGTCCCGCCCCCTTGCCGTCCTGGGATAGGCCGCTGCGAGGATCCTGGAGCCTTGCCCCTCACTCGAGCCCCGCCCCCTCCGGCGTCGGCTTCCGCCTCTCCCGGAGTTCTGAGCCCCGCCCTGCACCTGAACCCCGCCCCCTCCGACGACGGCTTCCGAGCCTCAAGGAACCCCCCACCGGGCCCCGCCCCTTACTCGAGCCCCGCCCCCCTCCGTCGTCGGCCTCCGCGCCTCCAGGGGCCCTGAGCCCCGCCCCTTCCTGCTCTGCCATGCGACTGCGGGCGTGGGCGGGCGACTGCGGGCGTGGGCGGGCGCCACCGGACTCCCGCCCCTCCCAGCGTCAGTTAAGACGCCGCGAGGGGCCCAGAGTCCCTCCCCTCGCTGGGCCCCGGTCCCGCCGGCGTCTATAACGCCGTCGCAGCGGCCTTTAACCCCGCCTCTCACTCGAGCCCTGCCCGCGTCCAAGTCCCGCCCTCAAGGCGGCCTCAGCTACGACCGCCGCGCGCCTCCCTGGAGGCGCCCGCTCCTGCCCGGAGCCCTGCCCGTCTTGGGCCCGCCCTTCCGGGCCCTGCCGCGTTGAGTGGCGGAGTCGGGATCCAGGTGGCCCGCCGGCCGGCTCAGTCCACCTCCCCGCTCCCGGCCTCGCGCCCCACCCCTTGGATGAGAAAACTGAAACTGAGAGGGGACGTGACTGATCCAACGTCATACAGAAAGTCAGGCCCTGGGGAGTACAGGGCCAGGCCTGGGGCAAAAGGCCGGTGGGCGTCCAGTACGCCACAGGGACCAGCCAAAGGAGGCAGTGCCCAGTGATGCTTTCCCAAATCCAGGGGAGAAGGACTCAACGGTGTGACCTCGCTCGGCGGGGTGGGGGGGGGACACCTTCTTGGGGGACCCCAGTCCCCCACCTTCAAAAGAAGACACTAGCTTGACAGTGTGACCCGAACTAGAGAGGTCACTTAACCTGCCTGAGCCTCAGTTTCCTGGACTGTAAAATGAGTGACCTTGGGCCAACTCCACTTCCCTCCCGCTTTCCTTCCTGCTTTCCCTCTCGTAGGCCTGGCATTTCCAGCTCCGGAGCCCGCCACAAGAAGCTCCTAGCCCCACATGATGTGAATGCACTGGGCCCCAGCCAGGAAGTGGAGACCCGTGAAGGAAGGAATAGCAGCACTCTCCCAGCCAGCAGCAGCAGTTTCCCTTCCTCTTTCCTTCCCTGCCTGTGTGGGCCGTTCCCCCATAGCAGCTCTAATTTGAGATGCCAGAGCCTGACCCGGAATGGGGGCCCAACTCAGTGTCCCCTTCTCGGACAGCACAGTGGTCCCTGCAGTCCATGCGCCATCTGTCTCTTTGCCTCAGTTCTCCCCTGTGCCATGACCTCCCATCAGGGCCGGCATAGGGGGCATCAGGAGAATGGGTGCAGTTGTCACCTGGAAACCTCAAAATTCTTGGGGCCCAGTCATGGTCACTATACAGCAGCCACCCCTGTCCCCAAACACTGAAGGTGAGCCCCGTCCATGCTCCCCAGGAGGCCAGGCTGCCATCAGACCCAGCCTGCCCCAGGCCCATGTACAGGGCCGTCCCAGGGCAGGAGGGTAGTGGACCAGCCTGTGGGTCCCTGCAGGCCTCTCATCTGCTTGTGTGCCTGGGTGAGTCCAGGCTGGCTCTGGCCTCCAGGTGCTCCCCTGGAGGACCCAGAGGGGGCTTCCCCAGAGGGCCTCTTTTGCCCCAGTGGGATGCAGCCTGACCCCAATTCTTCTGCATCCATCACACTGTTATGACGTGTAGTACTTACTTCTCTGGGTTTATTTTGCACACACTCCTGCCCCTGAGTGATGTCAGAGCCATAAGGGTGGCGACGGAGTGGAAGGGGGACACAGTGGGGACTGCAGGGGCTCCAGGCACTGCCCACCTTCAGGGAACCTTGACCCCAGCCCCTTTTGGGAAAGGTAGCATCCCACCTTCACATCCACTTCTGCGCCCTCAGGACTGCCCCTGGCCATGTGATGAACAGGGAAACTGAGGTTTGGAGCATGAAGCCCCTTGCCCAAAATCTAGCAGCCAGATGTGGCCTCCCAAGTACAGGTCGCTGTTCCTCAGCCACCTGAGGGTTTGAAAAGGATTTACTTAAAGGAACCCAAGCCTGCATGCAGGGACTGAAAGCCCTGTGCCCTCTGGGATGTGCCCTCCAACCCTATGAGATGGAAGGCCGCGGCAGAAAGCAGGACAGCTGCTGGTGCAGCCAGGGGTGTACAGCCTGGATGCCCACCACGGGGGCTGCAAGCAGGCACGGGCACCCCATGGTCAAATGGCAGATCCTGGGCATTCCCCCTCCCCCAGGCATAGCACACGCATCCTCCCTCCGGGCTAGCTCTTGCCAGCTGTGGCTGCCTGGACCCCAAATGGAAAGTGAGTTCTTGGGAAGGTGGAGGGGCCCCTTAGAAGGAGTGAAGTGAGGTGTGACAGGAAGCCCCGCCCTTGGACACTGTCAAAGAAAAACCAGAGCTGGACTGTGGTTACAGATGTAGAAACAGATTTTTATTCGGGACTCTTGTGATAGGGGAAGAGAGACATCAGCAGAGAACTGGGCTCAATTCCAAATACAGCAAGGACACTTGGGACAGGAGGGGACTTTGAGGATGGAAAATTAGGAAGAGGAAACATCAGGGTGAAGGGGATTCCGGCTGACAGAATTCTTGCAAAGACAGCCTGGGCTTACGAGACCTCACCCAGGGGATGGTGGGGGTAAGCACCCTGATTGGGTATCAAGGGTGATCAAGTATCCAGGGTGGGGAGTTCTTGCCAAACTCATTAGGAGGATTCTTTGTTGAAACTGGATTTTACAAGGAAGTTCACAGATGGGCCAAGGAGAAAGTTCAGGACCCTGGCTAAAGTTTGTCAAGCACAGAATCTTTGTCAACGTCACAGAAGCCAGAGCCCTGACACACACACACCCCCACTCCTCTGAACGGCCTCCACCTTACTATTTGCTTCTTTCAGATTTTCTTGCCATCACATGCTTGATCTCATTAGAAAGCAGGCACAATTTTAAAATTATACAGGCAAAGCTAATTTCCACAGGGGTTCTTTGCACTGGGTTGGGTGGGGGCACTCCCCCTGGTTTTCATAGGGCCAGCCATTCCTCAGGCCTCTGCTCACCTGCACCCTGACCCTGTGGGCTCTGCCTTCCAAGCCCAGCCCTGCTCCCACCTCAGTGACCGCCATCCCTGTTATGTCTTGCCTGGAAGGTGGCAGCCGCCTTCTCACATCTCACTGGTTCCCTGCCCCATCCTTGTCCCCATGGCCCAGTACCCACATAGTGGCCACAGGGGTCATAACACTGAGTCTGACCATCCTCCTCCCTCACCCGGGCTCACAGCCTTCCAGTTCCTCCAGCAGCCACCTCTGCCATTTACAAATCTTCATGTGTGCTGTGACCACCCAGAATGCTCTTCCCAGCTCTGTGTCTAGCATCCTCACCCCCACTTGGAGTCTGGCCCTTCTGGACCACGTCACTCGCCACTGCACCCCACCCCCCATCTCTGTTCTTCAGAGCACTAGTCTTGCCCTATGATGGCTTCTCCACTGACCATCATCTGTGCTGCAGTGTTCACTCCACAAAGGCTGGCATGCAGGAGGCACTTAATGAATGCACACAGATAGTTCTGTTGATGATTAGGGTTAAGGATAGGAGGGCAAGGACAGATGCTATAAAGATGACAGGGTGGCCTCCCCGAGAGGCTGATGCTGAAGAACGGGTGTTCCTAGGCCAGGGCAGGAGGCATGAGGCCCCCATGGGCTGTGGGAGACCTTCATGGCTGAAGCTGACTGTAACCAGGCCAAGAGGTGATGGTAGGTGATGAAGGGCCTGAACACCAAGGAGCAAGGACATTCTCCTCCCACATTCTCACATGGCCAGGGAGCATCATTTATCCATTCAGTCACTCATTAATTCATTCAACAAATATCTCCTAAACATAGGCCCAACCCAGAGCTGGATCACAAGGAAGACTGGAAGCTCCACTCCCCCATGGAGCTTCCCTGTTACCAGAGGACACAAACACACATCTGCATGTTGATCTGGTAAGAGCTAGGGAGATGAGTCAGGCAAAGAAAGAGGCGGAGGATGCCTATGAGGTTGCCAGCCTCCAAGGTGGCCCCAGCAATCCTCACATTCCAGGTCATGCCCTTGTGTAGTCTCCTCCCACAGTCAATCAGGCTGGTCTGTGTGGCCAGTGAAGTGTGGCAGGGGTGACAGTGTGACTTCTGAGGCTGGGTCACAGAGGCATCATGGCTTCAGCCTTTGCATCTTCAGATAGCTTGTTCTGGGGCGAATCAGCTACTATATTGTAAGGATGCTCAACCTGCCTTGCAGAGAGCCCTGTGTGGAGAGGAACTAGGCCCCCAGCCAACAACCAGCAGTGACTCACTGTGAGAGAGTGAATCATCTTGGAAGTGGATCCTAAGCCCCAATAGAGACTTCAGATGAAACTGCAACCCTGGCTGACATCTGACTGCAGTGGCATAAGAAACCCTTATGTCAGAATCACCCTGCAAAGCCCAAATTCTTGACCCACCAAGTGAAAGAGAATAAATGACGATTGTTGTGTTTGAACTCCCATGTTTTTGGGTAATCAGTTCCACGGCAATAAATAACTAATGTACTAGACATCTGAGCAGAGGCCTTGCTGCACTGCGGAAGCTAGATGATAGCTGGGGAAGTGTTCCAGATGAAACAGGGCAGGCAGGAGCCCCGAGGCAGAAATGAACTTGCTGTGCCTGAGAGACAACCATTGTGATATTGTGGCTGGAGTGGAGTAAGGGGAACAGTAACAGGGAGTGACTGGGCGTATTAGGCAGGGTCATGCAGGCCAGGTGGCTGGGAGCCCATGGTTTGGGGGCTGTAAGCTGGGGGAAGGGCATGGTGATTTGCTCTGATTTACATATTTTAACAACCCTCTATATACACAAAATAACTAAAAGCAAGGTCTCAAAAGAGGTTATCTGTACACTGATTCACAGTAGCCAAGAGGTGGATACAACCCAAGTGTCCATCAAGAGATGAATGGATAGGCTGGGTGAAGTGGCTCATGTCTGTAATCCCAGCACTTTGGGAGGCCGAGGTGAGTGGATCGCTTGAGGTCAGGAGTTTGAGACCAGCCTGGCCAACATGGTGAAACCCCATCTCTAGTAAAAATACAAAAACTAGCCAGGCGTGGTGGCAGGTGCCTGTAGTCCCAGCTATTCAGGAGGCTGAGGAAGGAGGATCACTTGAACCTGGGAGGCAGAGGTTGCAGTGAGCCAAGATCATGCCACTGCACTCAAGCCTGGGCGATGGAGTGAGACTCCATCTCAAAAAAAAAAAAAAAAACAGGTGAAAGGATACACAAAATGTGGCCTTAATCAGCCTTAAAAAGGAAGGAAATTCTGACCCATTCTACAACAAGGGTGAACCCTGAGGACATCATGCAAAGTGAAATAGTCTAGTTACAAAAAGACAAATACCGCGGGACTCCACCTATGTGAGGTATCTAAATTAGTCAAATTCATAGAAACAGAAGGCTGGATGGTGGCTGCCAGGCACTGGAGGGAGGAGGGAATGGGGAATTAGTGTTCCATGGGGACAGAGTTTCAGTCTGGGAAGATGAAAAAGTTCTAGAGATCGACGGTGGTGACAGTTGCATAGCAACGCGAATGCACTTAATGCCGCTGACCTGTTTACCTAAAATGATTACAATGATAATCAAACCTGTAACCTCAGCACTGTGCAAGGTCAAAGCAGGAGGTTCACTTGAGGCCAGGAGTTCAAGATCAGCCTGGGCAACATAGTGAGACCCTGTCTGTACCAAAAAAAAAAAAAAAAGTAAAAAAGTTAGCTGGGCGTGGTGGCACTTGTCTGTAGTCCTAGCTACTTGGGAGGCTGAGGTGGGATCCCTTGAGCCATGGAGGTCAAGGTGGCAGTGAGCTATGATCATGCTACTGTACTCCAGCCTGAGTGACAGAGCAAGACTGTCTCAAAGGAAAAGGTGAACTTTTTGTGTATTTTGCCATAATTTACAAAACAAACCTTCTGGCAGCTGTGTGTAAGTTGACTCTGGTCGGGGGCTTGACTGGAGGGAGACCATGAGGAGGCTACTTTCACGGTCCAGGTGAGAGGCCTGAACCGGGGCGAGGGTGCTTCTCCCTCCCACAGCTCTGAGGTAGGGAGGAGGTGCGGATTCTGGATGAAGTTTGAGGATGCGCCAAAGGACTTGCCGGAGGATTGGCTGTGGGGCCTGAGAAAGGGAAGGGCTCTGGCCTGGGGGCAGGGAAGGAGGGAGGAAAACTGAGTTCTCCTCTGTCCATGCTGAGTGTGAGATGTCTAGGGGCATCCAAATCTGAGCTCTGGGAGTGCCTGACCAATAGAACATCGTGTTAGGCCCAGGCCTTAAGGAGCCGGCAGCTCCTACTTGCTGTCTCTTGGGGTGCTTACTCTTGAAACCCAGTGAGTGAACACGCGTCTGGGAGATTCTGCCTTGGCCACTTTCTGACTGCAACCGCATGTGAGAGGCACAAGCCAGAACCACCTACTAAGGAGAAAGCAAGCCCACAGAATCGGGAGCAAGCAGGATAACATGGCGGCGGCTGCCGCTTTAAGCCAGAGTTTTGTAGTGATTCACTATACAGCGATAGAAAAATGAAACACATAGGTAACCAAGTTGCTCAGGAATTGGTTCAGGAGACACGATTTTTTTCCCCAATCACTTACATTCTACTGAATAAAGATGTCTCCTTTTGACACCTTAAGCCAATTCTCTAACTTTTCAGCCACTTCTGGTTATCAGAATGGCACTATTCCTGTATTTAAGGCTGACTCATGTTTCTTTGATAACTTAGCTTTCATCTCAACTGGAAAACATGGGTCTCACCAACACCGAATTTGAAAGACAGCTGAACCAGGCTTCAGTGGTCTTGAAGCGACAAGAAGGATGCCATCGTAGTCTGGATGTTGCTCATGGCTGTTTCCCCACTCCTTTACCACCCCTGGAGAGTGAACCCCTGGTGACTTTGTGGTGTGGTTTAGTCTGATCAACACATTATGAACAGAAGTGATGTGTGCTCCCTCCAGGCCAGAGCATTTTATTGCTGGTGCAAGCACCCCCTACCCTTGTATCCTCTTCCATCCTGGGCCTAGCACAGAGGCCATGAGACTGTGGATTGTATCCTCTTCCCCTGCCACGAGACTGTGGACTCCCATGCTGGAATGGGGGCTTCTCCACCAGCCGGGGTCCCTGGTGACCAAGGAAATAAACTTGGTGGTCTGACCCCCGAGATTCAGGGGATTGTTCGTTTCAGTAGCATAACCTCACTAGTCCTGATGGACAGAAGTTACTGGTTTTTGAGCTGAGAAGGTGAGTGTGGGAATGTGCCATGTGGCCAGCAAGGGCCAAGCATTCCAGGCAGAGGGAACAGCGTGTGCTAAGGCCTTCAGTGGGAGTGAGCTGGGTGTGTCCGGGAAATTCAGAGCGGTTGGTGGTCCCTTTTCTTTGTTCCCAGTACTAGTGGGAATTGGGCCTCTAGGGTTTTTTGGGGAGATTTGGGGCCAGCTCCTTGCCTTGGGAGCAAGGTGAAGGGGGAGCTGGCCCCAAATCTCCCCAGAAAAATCCTAGAGGCCCAGAGAGCCGAGTCCTCTTACACGCATTGTCAGACCATGCCTGCGGGACTACTCGGCTCTCTGCTCCCTAGCTGTACCATCTCTTGGTCCAGCTGAGACCCCTAGGCCATGGCGCAGACGTGGGGGGATCCAGCATGCTGCACTGTGAGGGGCTTATGCCCCACAGCTCTCCTGGGCAATGGCTGTGCCCTGCCACGCCCCATATCATTTCCTCCCCTCTGGCCCCCCTGCCCAGTGCAGCCCCTCCATGGCCATCCGGACACCCATTTCTGTAACTGTCAGCTACTGGGAGCTGGAGCCCTTCACCCCAGTTCTCCTGTTCTGTGCTCCAGTAGCCCAGGGTCAGCCACCTGGGCACAAAACACCCATTTCCTTTGCAGGCCCTTCAAATTTCAAGGGGGCCTCTGGGCTCCCCTTAGCTCCAGCCACCTGGCCTGTCCCGTCCTGCATGGTGGTGATCTACAGCCTCCACCTACCTGGTCCCGCTTCACAATGGGGGTTAGTGGTAGAAAGGGCTGAATGGGGACTAGAACTTAGAACAGGAGAGCCCGGAGCCTTTTGTCAACAGCACCAAACCTTGGTGCTGCTTAAGTCCTATAAGGAGCTAGAAGTGATTCAATATCCCTGGTATCCAGATAAGCAGTGGCACGCTGGGCTTGTGGGCAAGCATGCCACCCCAGGCCCTGACCCTGACCTGCTGCTTAGCCTACAGGTCCCCTGAGGCATGCAGCCAAGGGACACCACGTCCCACTCCCATAAAAGCCAAGGAAAGGCCAGGCGGGGTGGCTCACGCCTGTAATCCCAGCACTTTGGGAGGCTGAGGTGGGCGGATCACGAGGTCAGGAGATCGAGACCATCCTGGCTAACATGGTGAAACCCAGTCTCTAATAAAAATACAAAAAAATTAGCCGGGCGTGGTGGCGGGCGCCTGTAGTCCCAGCTATTCGGGAGGCTGAGGCAGGGGAATGGCGTGAACCCGGGAGGCGGAGCTTGTAGTGAGCTGAGATCACACCACTGCACTCCAGCTTGGGCGACAGAGCGACTCCATCTCAAAAAACAAAACAAAACAAAACAAAAAAAAAGCCAAGGAGAGCTCTCCTGAGCCTGTCAGGAGCCCCAGCAGAGGAAAGCTGCACTGGCCTGGTGAGGGCTGGATCTGCACTTCCCCTGCCTCAGTGTCCCTGTGTGCCCACAGAAGCCCTGAGATACTCCAGCACTTGACAGGAAACCACCAGGCACACTCTCTGGCCTCACAGTCCCACTCCAGAAATCCACCCAAAGGAAATGGCATCCCAGTATCAAGGTGTCTAGAAATGTGAAGGCCAGAAATGTGAAACCACCCAAGCATCCCTTGGCTGGGGATGTGTCACATAAATCATGGGACACCTGTCAGATGGACGACTCTGAGTAGCGTGAATCACGAAAGTATCTGGTTCTAAGGGACATGACAAGTGTGGCTTCAGCCCACAAGGAGCCATATAGTGTAAGGGCTTCTTCCTCCTGACCTTCGGCTTCTCTTCCTCATGGCCCCAACATGGCTGCTGGGCTCCAGGCAGGAAGCAGGGGAGGTCAAAGGGCAAACCCAGTGGCTTTTCTCAATGGCCAGAGACAGGTCACACCCCAAATTATGGGAGGCTGAAGGTGTAGTTTTAACTGGCCCAGGACAAATGTGGGGCTCAGAGTTGAAAGAGAGGGTAGGGCAGAGAGCTACAGAATGAGCTCCGAGTTCATTTTAAGTAGAAGCAAACAAGAGGTACAGCAGCAGGTAGAAATGTCTAAAACCACACCTGCAGTAGGCATGGCTATGTACACACAGGCCTGCAGTACAAATAACCCCTCTGGGAGTGAAGCTGGGAGAATAAGAAATTAGTCTTTTTTTTTTTTTTTTTGAGACAGAGTTTCATTCTTGTTGCCCAGGCTGGAGTGCAATGGCGCCATCTCAGCTCACTGCAACCTCCGCCTCCCGGGTTCAAGCGATTCTCCTGTTTCAGCCTCCCAAGAAGCTGGGATTACAGGTGCATGCCTCCATGCCCAGCTAATCTTTGTACTTTTAGTAGAGACATGGTTTCATCATTGGTCAGGCTGGTTTCACACTCCTTACCTCAGGTGATCAGCCTGCCTTGGCCTCCCAAAGCGCTGGGATTACAGGCGTGAGCCACTGTGCCCGACCAAAATTAGTCACCTTTTATAAAATTGCTTTGACAAGTGATTGGGTTAAAGGTGACTGTGATGCTTGAACCCAGGAGGCGGAGGTTGCAGTGAGCCCAGATCGCACCACTGCACTCCAGCCTGGGCGATAGAGTAAGACCTTGTCTCAGAAAAAAAAAAAAAAGGTGACTGTGATGGTCGTAAAGTGTGTCTGCCAATTCTCTTCTCACCAGTCAACACTCTTCCCACCTAGCAGTGGAGTCCAACTCTCTGCCCCTTGATTAGAAGGCAGCCTTGACTCCCAGTGAACAGACACAGCATGACTTCCGAGGCTGGGATCTGAAAGGCAAAATGGCCTCCACCTGGTGCTCACATTGCAACTCCACCTTGAACGCCGGCTGCCATGTTGTGAGGAAGCCCAGGCCACATGAGGCTGCCATGTGGGGGTGCTATGGCTGTGAAATAAAATCTTAAGCCCCACTGACTGACTGAATGGACCTGTCTTGGCCAAGGAGAACTGCCCATGACTAAGACAGGTCAGTCATGCCTCAGTACACTCCTTCCTTGCTAACCAATACCAGATTTTTTTCTTCAGAGTTAAACAGAAACTAGCTCTGAAAACAAACAAACAAACAAACAAAAAAAGGGAAGTCTCCTCTGCTGACTCTAACATCAACCAACCACTGTTACCTTTGTATTTTTCAGTATTAGAAATAATTATTTAGCTGGGCACGGTGGCTCACGCCTGTAATCCCTGCACTTTGGGAGGCCGAAGCAGGTGGATCACAAGGTCAGGAGATCGAGACATCCTGGCTAACACGGTGAAACCCCATCTCTACTAAAAATACAAAAAATTAGGTGGGCGTGGTGGTGGGCACCTGTAGTCCCAGCTACTCAGGAGGCTGAGGCAGGAGAATCGCTTGAACCTGGAAGCGGAGCTTGCAGTGAGCAGAGATTGCACCACTGCACTCCAACCTGGGCGACAGAGTGAGACTCTGTCTCAAAAAAAAAAGAAATAATTATTTAGTTTTACTTCATACCCCTCAACTGCACTTTTACAGACAACAGATGCAGAACCCTCCATGGGTCCTTGCTTGGAAGCAGTACATCCTGTGGAGGAAGATGCTGAGGTAGTTTTCTGTAGTTGCTGAAAAGAAGTTTATTGCTATTTTCTTATTTTATTATACAAAACTAGATTTGCTTAAAACATTTCCCAGTCTCTTTAAAGGAATGCTAGTTAGTGGGAGGCCACAGCTAGTAAATTACCCTCAGTAGTGGTTTCAAGTAGTCCATAACTATAAAAATCGTTACGGCCAGGATATGCCGGAACAGAACACTCCCCACTGGGGTCCTCAGCCTTGGATGTCAGCTCGGCCCCTCAAGGGGTCCCTACACCTGGAAGCTGATTCCACTCATCAGTCTCGAGCTGGGCGCATGTGGAGTTGATGTGGAGTTGTAGCTGACTGGCTGGTGGGGTCAGCCTGGCCTCCCAGTGTGGAGCATGGGCACCAGCCTCACTGCGTGGTCACCCTAGGGCATATGCTGCGGGCTGTTGTGGCATTCCTGTGGCCAGCCCAGAGGCAGGCAGGGGCTGTCTGGGGTTTGCCATGTGCACCATCACCTGGGCTTGGGGTGAGCTGGAGGAGCCACTGAGGCTTAGAGCTCTGGGGATCCCAGGGTCCTTGTCCACGCTGCGGGTCACACTGGCCAGCTTGCTGGTGCTCTCACCATGGTCTCTGTGGAGAGAGGAGGCATGAGTTGGCAAAAGAGTGTGGATAGGGTTTAATCCCCAACTCCATACCTTCCCAGGTACCCAGGCCCTCCAGTGGGCCTGGGGCAACTGCTGCCCTGAGCACTGGGGAGCCCGTTTCCTCCTGCTGGGAGCTGCCCTGCACCCTAAGGTGCACAGAGGTCACTCCATCTCCCTGCCGGGCCCTGTTGGCAAGTGGGTCCTTCATCTACACAACCAGGGCGTGGCCCAGGAGTCAGACACTTGCCCCCCTAAGGTGTGGGAAGGGACTTCCTGGGGCTCATTCAGAGTGTGCAGAAACCACCAGGAACCCAGCTGTCTGGCCAGGGCCTGGGATGTCCCAGGCAGAGAAGGGATGCTGGGGAGCAGGAGGTCAAGGGGAGGACATCTTCCCTCCTGCCAGGCCTGCCTCTTTGGTAGCCAGGAGCTGGATCACCCACCTGCTCCACCCTCAGTACTCTTGTGGCTCTCTACTCCCCCAGATACAAACCAAGCCATTCCCCAGGCTGACCAGACCCTGGCCCTGTCCCATCTCCAGCCTCCACACACACACTGGCCTCTGCTCCATGTGGGCTGCCTGGCGGCTCCCACCTCCAGCCCTTTGCATGTCCTCTCCTCCCCTCAGAGGCTGTCTCTCTCCCCTCCCAAAGCAGGCTCTCTTAGTCCTTTCACTTCCGGCATCACCTCTTCCAGGAAGCCTTCCTGGATCACGGCTCCCACCCACAACTAATTCTCAGAAAAACTCTAGTAAGTAGTAGGAATTAAGAAATGATCTGCTTATGCAATGAGTAAGTGAAAGCATCAATAACTGGTGGAGACGAAAGGCAGCTTCGGGGAGGCAGGAGCCAGACTGACTCCACCCAGCCTCACTTACTGGTTGTGTGGGAGTCTACACAAGTTTCTTAACCTGCCTAGTTCTTCACCTGGAAAACGGGATAAAAGTAGTACCCACCCCTAGGTGAAAAGAGTTAATATTTGGAAGAGTTCAGAACAGTGCCTGGCACATTGCAAGTGCTGAGAAGTACTTATGAAATAAAAACAAGGTCAAGAGGCAAACCTCACCTTGCTAAAGGCAATTTACCACCTATGGAGGCAGCCTGGGCCCTGCCTGAGGGGTGGGCAGCCCCAGCACAGGCATATCCCGAGGATCCTGCCTGGGAGCCCGGGGCCCAGGGCTGGGGACTCAGGGAACTCTGCCTCCATCGGCTTTGTAGCCCTGGGCAGGACCCGCCTTCTCTGAGTCCCCATGAAGCTGGGCTGAGTGCTCGAGGTCTCCATGTGTGAGAGAGCTCCGGGAAGGGGCTCTGCCCTAAGGGTCCCCCTCCCAATCCCCCTCAGCCTCACCACCACTTCCTGCCTCTTGAGCTGACTGTCAGAGTGGCCCCTAAGCCGGCCTCCTCCAGCCTCTCACGGCCCTGTCAGGGTGCCTCCCTCCCGCCCTGGCTCTCTCACTCCCCAGAGGGGGTGAACACAGCCCTGTACACAGATCTGTGGCCACTCTTGGACGGGACGCACACGTCCGACCACACACTGCACAAGTTCCCGCAGTGTAAGAGGCAGGGTCTGTGGCGCTGGGACCAGGCAGAAGTGTGGCCCCAAACAGCACCCCTGGGAGCCCCTCGGCATCATGCTCTGGCCAGCAAAGCCCCTGCGGCAGCGGCAGCAGCTGTGGCTGCCATCATCCTGGACACCATGTTGCCTTGAGAGGCAATTGTTCCTTCCCCCATTCCATGGGCACTTTCCCAGTTATGACACAGGATGATCTGGTCCCAGTGCTGTAATGGGGAGTGGGGATCACAGGTGGGGCAATGGAGGAGCTCTGAAAGTGGCTTTGGATATCTCACTACCCAAAAGGAAAGGCATTAGCCACCATGGCCCCAACAAAACTAAAATAAAAAGGAAAGGGGGTCAGGCACGGTGGCTCACGCCTGTAATCCCAGCACTTTGGGAGGCCGAGGTGGGCAGATCACGAGGTGAGGAGATCGAGACCATCCTGGCTAACACAGTGAAACCCTGTCTCTACTAAAAATACAAAAAATTAGCTGGGCATGGTGGCGGACACCTGTGGTCCCAGCTACTTGGGAGGCTGAGGCAGGAGAATGGTGTGAACCCGGGAGGCGGAGCTTGCAGTGAGCCGAGATCGCGCCACTGAACTCCAGCCTGGACGACAGAGCAAGACTCCGCCTCAAAAAAAAAAAAAAAAAAAAAAAAAGGAAAGAGGCCTAAAAAATGTACAGCCAATTGATGGGTCAGGTGCCCTCCCACAACACATGGAGCAAAACATTTGGAGGTAATTCAGCAGAGAAAACAGAAAATGACTCATGCCAGCAATGGCACTGGTGAGCCAAGGCTGGAGAAAACATTCTTCCTCGACATTCATCAAAGAAATGCTGACGGAAACTACCCACACAACTTGTAGCTACTGTAAGAAACAAATGATAAACAAATGGTCAGCACTCAGTGATGATGCAGTTACCAGAAAAATATGGCCACATTCACTTGTACCAGAGCTCCCAGGGAAAGAATGTGGTCATAAAATATTCAGACTGTTGGGCCTAAACAATCGATTCCTAGGATCAGCCCCAAGAGTTGTGGTCTTGAAAAAGAAAAACAGCACTAAGCAAAAAGACACTGACCACGCCTGACCACTCAACAGGGGAGGGTCTAGCAGATATTGGAAGCTTTGGAATAATGGGCTGCTGTAAGGAATGATAGCCTGGAGGCCTCAGACCACCATGGTGACCTGGAACGTGTTGCTAAGTGCAGAAGTATCAATGGCAGCATTTCGGCTACATCCTTGTTGATGTAATACACACTTGAAGCGTCAGGAAAGGAGACAGAAAGGTGAATTCCTTCCCTGCAGGTGTTGGCCAGACCCAGCACGGTGTGTGTAACCCAGGGCCACAGAGACCACCATCTCCTGTGCCTCAGTTTCCCCATCTGCATAAGGTCGTAAGAGTGGCAACGACAGTAACAGCCAGTATTCAATGAGCTCTCACCCTGGGCCTGGCGAGAGAGGCACACACCCGGACTCAGGTAACCTCAACAACTTGAAAGGGTGAGCGCTACTGCAATCCTCACTTTACAGGTGAGGAAACCGAGGCATGGAGCTGTTAGTCATACAGTGAGGCCATGAGGGCTGGGACCAAGTGCACTGCAGCCTCGAAAGACTCCAGCAGGAGGGCCTGAAGGAAGGGAACACAAGCTCAATGATGTCGTCTGGATGCCCGCCCAGACCCCGGTGTCTAAGCGCTGTTCTCCACCCACAGAAACAGGGCTCCCAGAGCAGTGGCCAACCGCAGAGATGGGCACAGAAAGCATGAGATGGGCCTGGAACATCTTGTGCAAGGCAGGAAGCACTCACAGACTGATGGGGATGGATCAGAAGGACACAGGCCATGGCTTGGCAGAGCTCCTACTGCCAAGAACTGGAGCCCACAAAAAGTGTGCTTGAAAATAATGTGGGGGAAGGGGCATGAATGAGGTTGCCTGGCTTAGCTGGTGACCATGAGAATGGGAGGCAGGGACAGGAGATCTGTGACAATATTCTACTTTTGTGTATTTGTGAACTTTTCCCAAAATAAAAGTTTCAGAAAAGAATATTCATGAGTTCATGTGATGCTAAAACAACAAAACAAAATCAAAAGAAAGGAAAGAAAAAAACAGCTCATCCTCATCCCTGATAGAAGGAATGTCAGAAGTGCAACAGAATTAACAAAGTCACCATTCTGTAATGCCCAAGGCAAGAGCGGATCTGGCAGGATCAGCCTTGCACGCTGAGACCACAAGTCAGAGGCCGCTGAGACAGTGGAGGGACACTTGCAGAGCCCCTTCCTCAGGCTCTGACAGTGGAGGGACCTGGGGGGCTTCGCCTCAGCCAAGAGACCCCATTCCATGTGGCCCGTGGGGGCAGCCTGGCCCATGTCTGTGATCTGCACATGTAGCCCTGCACCAGAAATGCAGAGCCGGGCCTGGTCACACAGAAACACCAGACAGACGCAGACAGGAGCCTCTGCATGCGACCACTGGCCTGGAACCCTCAGAAGACTATGCCATGAAAAACTGAAGGCCCATACCAGTTTAAGGAGCCCAGAGACCTGGTGGCTGAGTGCTGCGTGTGATTATGGACATTCTCCACTCAACAGGCCACGTGCAATCAATATTAGATTTCTGTTAGTTTTGTTTTTTTTTTTTTTTTTTTTTTGAGACGGAGTCTCGCTCTGTCGCCCAGGCTGGAGTGCGGTGGCACAACCTTGGCTCACTACAAGCTCCGCCTCCTGGGTTCAAGTGATTCTCCTGTCTCTGCCTCCCAAGTAGCTGGGATTAAAGGCACACTCCGCCACACCCAGGTAATGTTTGTGTTTTTAGTAGAGACGGGATTTCACCATGTTGGCCTCGAACTCCTGACCTCAGGTGATCCTCCCACCTCAGCCTCCCAAACTGCTGGGATTACAGGTGTGAGCCACCAAGCCTGGCCAATCAGTATTAAATTTCTGGACTCAGAAAAAGAATGTCCTTATATTGGTTCAGGGCAAAAAAATGTATGTGTGTATTAAGAGAGAGAGAAAGGAGAGGGACAGAGCACGGGAGGGAGAGCAAGTGACTGCAGCTCAGTGCAGAGCCCTGCTGGGTGTAGGTGGAGGGAACACAGGTGTGTAGAAGCTTCAGCTTCCCTGGAGGGTGGACCCTCCAGATGAAAACACTGCTGGGGGCAGTTCTGAGTCCTAGAATGTCAGAGTCAGGACAGAGTGCTACAAGGACCACCAGCCTCTTGTTTTAGAGATGGGAGTTAAGGTTCTGGGTGGGCTAGGCGTGTGGGAGCAGCAGGCTCTCAGCGTGTGGGAGCAGCAGGTGGCCCGGGGCCTGACCAAGCTGGACCCCTTGTCCCCCAGCATGTCCCCTACCCAGACCCGGGCTCACGTGGTGAAGCTGTGGTTGTCGTGCGCCTGGCTGGGCCCGCTCACGGGTTTGTTGAAGTGCTTGAGGCCAAGGTATGCGGCCTGCACCGTCTCCAAGTCCTCATCTTTCAGCTGGGACCACAGCTGGGCTGACCTGGAGGAGAGTTTGGGAGGAAGGACTCTGAGCATGCAGGTGTATCCCTGACGGTGGTGGAAACAGGCTCCATGTAGGCCCAGGGCACCGTCTGCAGGACCAGTGCAGGCTGGCAAACCTCTCAAAGAGCTGGGCAGTGGATGTTTTTGGTGTGGTGAGACACATGATTTCTCCCACAGCTAAACTCTGCAATTGCAGCCCAAAAGTAGCCACACACCAGTAGACAATGAACATGGCTGTGTTCCAATAAAACTTTACTTACAAATACAGGTGGTGGAAAGTTCTAGGGCTGGACAGTGCTAATGGCTGCACTACATCGTGAACATACTTAATGCTACTGAACTGTAGACGTTAAAAAGGTTAAGTTTTGGCCAGGCGCAGTGGCTCATGCCTGTAATCCCAGCACTTTGGGAGGCCGTGGCAGGTGGATCATGAGGTCAGGAGCTCGAGACCATCCTGGCTAACACGGTGAAACCCCGTCTGTACTAAAAATACAAAAAAAAATTAGCTGAGCATGGTGGCGGGCGCTTGTAGTCCCAGCTACTCGGGAGGCTGAGGCAGGAGAATGGCGTGATCCCAGGAGGTGGAGCTTGCAGTGAGCTGAGATGGAGCCACTGCACTCCAGCCTGGGCGACAGAGTGAGACTCCGTCTCAAAAAAAAAAAGGTTAAGTTTTATGTATTGATATTTTACCACAATAAAAAATAAAAACAAAAAATAATAATAAATTACCATGGGGAAAAAACCTGACAGACAGCCGGACTTCGCTGGTGGGCTGTGGTTAACCAGCCCTCCATCTGCAGTGACAGTGACTCCCTCTCAAGGTTTAGGGGGCGTGTGTGGCAGCCCTGCAGGCCGTTAACACAGCAGAGTACATACTGCATATGTGTGCAGGTTTAAGAATAAAACGGGCCGGGCGCGGTGGCTCACGCCTGTAATCCCAGCACTTTGGGAGGCAGATCACTGGGCGGATCACCAGAGGTCAGGAGTTTGAGACCAGCCTGGCCAATATGGTGAAACCCCATCTCCACTAAAAATACAAAAAATTAGCCGAGTGTGGTGGTACATACCTATAATCCCAGCTTCTAGGAAGGCTGAGGCAGGAGAATTGCTTTAACCCAGGAGGCGGAGGTTGCAGTGAGCTGAGATCACGCTACTGTACTCTGTCGCCTGGGTGACAGAGCAAGACTCCGTCTCAAAAAAAATAAATAAATAAAATAATCCCCCGTGAACCCATAGCCTGGCCTAAGAGCAGGGCCTTGGGGGCCCACATGTCCCCCAGCTGTGATGCTGCCCCTGGCTGCTGCGTGGGCCGGGAGCAGCACTTGGGGGGGAGACGCAGGCCCAGAGCAGCAGTGGTAGGAACGGGTGCCCTGAGGGCAGTGCCGGGGTTCCCTTGAAACACTCTGTCCTTTCCTCCTCCCATGGTGCCAAGAGGCGCCTCCCGGGAGGACCCTGAGATCATGAGGCCACCGTACCTGTTGGAGCGCCGCCGCTTGCTCTTCTTCACGCACTTGAGGAGGCAGCAGGTGAGGAAGGCCATGGACATGAGCAGGATGATGGCACAGCTCACAATGGAGGCGATCACGGCCACCTTGAAGCCAAAGGTCTCGTGTGGTGGCACCACTGTGTGGGAGACAACCACCAGCTCCTGGGCGAGGTTTGCCCAGATTTGCTTGGCCCAGGGGTTGGGGGTCTCAGGGGTGGTACGGGTAGGGCCTGGGTGTAGACAGGGCCTGGGCAGCCCTCAGTGAGCCCTGTTTGCATGGTAAGGGGGCAGTGAGGTGCTGGGGGCTGAGGCAAAGATCTGTGCAAACTATATTTGGAGGTGGGACTATCAGAGAAGACTCTCCCCAAGAAGCAGGTTATTTGAGCAGGGTGTGTAGGAGTATGCAGAGTGGCTATTTAAAGGGGGTATTTAAGCAGGGTTTTCCAGGGTGTGTAGGAGTGTGCAGAGTGGCTAACTGAAGAGGGTATTTGAGCAGGGTTTTGTAGGGTATGTAGAAGTCTGCAGAGTGGTCAATTACAGAAGTTCTGGCAGGGAGTTCAGAGTGATGGCCTCCTTGGCTCCTACCCACTGAAGTCCTGCCTGAGGAATGAAGGAAGGGTGGGCCACAGAGAGGAGGTGACAATAGACAGTACTGAGGAGGCCTTGCCCAGCCCATGGTCTGGGTTTTCACAATGCCCCAAGGTGGCAACATTCTTCAGGGGGCCTACATGCCTTCTCAGGTCACTTTCCAGGAAGGTCCAAAATACTATGTATCTGCTGTGTGACCTCAGCTATGCTCCAAAAACTAGTTCCATCAGATTCTACTGGATGTTCTGGCTAAAAAAGGCCTCGGAATCCTAATTTGAGCAACACCGTTTACTCCCCCACGTAGAGAACATGGCCCTGTCCCCTGCCCCATTTCCCATGCTCCCTAGTGGATCCTGGCCACCCAAAATGGAGACTACATTTCCCAGTGGTCACAGGACCATGTTCTGGCCAGTGGAAGATAAGAAGTGATGTGGGGCAACTTCTAAGAACCTTCCCTGAGACACTGGGGCCTGCTCTTTGGCCCCAGGGCCCCTCACCCCATAACAGCTGCCTGGAACATAGCTGCTGCCATCTTGAATCATGAGGCTGAGGCCATGCCCAGCAGAGCCATGCCAGGGAAGGGGCCTGGCTCCCACTGCCATGGAGCCTATACAGATCTGCCTGCCCACCCTGAAGGTTGAGCTCCATCATAGTTAATCCTAGTATTTTGGGTTTTCTGCCTTTCAGAATCTAATCCTAACACTCGCATCCTCAGAGAATCACCTAGCACGTGAACATTTTAAAGGCTCTGAGAAGTTCTGCAGCATAAAAACCCAGAATCTGCCAAACTATTTTGACTCTGAGCCCTTTTTATGCACAAAACACATGAACATAACACACATAGCTTCATTTTGGAAATGTCATGCTGGGCACTGAAAAGGGACTATCTTGTGGACCTTTCAACACCTGTACAAGAAATACAACCAGAAAACCATTGCCTCCCACAGACTGGGAGCTCCAGGGCCAGGCACGTTATGACCTTCCGTGTTGCCAGTACTTAAGATTCCTGATACGTGAAATATCCTATTAAAGTTGGCCATGTGCACCTGTACATGAATGAATGAATGAATGAATGAATGAATGAACAAACATAGTTTCCTGCTTAACAGATGAAAACGTGCTGGCTCAGAGAGCATGCACAGCCTCTTGGCGGTGAGGGGCTGAGTCGGTAGCAGAGCCAGGATTGGAGGCCCGCTACTAGGTTTTCGGTCCGTGCTGCCAACATGGCACTGGGAGGGCTGAGGGCCTACAGCCGGCTGCTGACATGTAAGCAAGCTGTCAGTGTTGGGAATGGGACCCTACACACTGGCCTAGCTGCTTGTGAGTAGACACCCACGCCATCCCCACCCACACCATCCCCATGACAGGATTTGGGGCCATCCCCCACCCCCAGAGCCACCGAGCTGAGAGAGGGGTCCTTACGTTTGCACACTGGGGACCCTGAAGACCACTCAGCGATGCTCCCCTTCCAGGTGCAGGTGAGGAGCCCAGACCCCACCATCTGGTGGTTGGAGGGGCAGCGGAACATGAGCACGGTCCCCACGGAAGCACCATTGCCACGAAGGACTTGGAAGGTTGCTTGCGGGGGTAGCCGCAGCTTAGCGCACGTGCCTGGGGAGACAGGCAGGTATGAGGCATGGCGGGGGGGGGGGGGTGGGCACGCAGGGCAGGGCTGGGCAGGACCCTGGAGTGAGGAGCTGGCACAGCATTGGGGAGCACAGGGGTGGGGTGCAGCTCCAAAGGCCATTGGATGCTCTAGAGGTCACATGGGGTCATCCAGACCGGGGGACAACGCAGAGCTGGATCCCTCCATGAAGTACACTCTAGATGTTGAGGATTGGAGCATTAAAAAAAGAAATAAGTGTTAGAAGACAATAAAAGCAAACATACCTTCCCTGAGACACTGAGGCATGGCCTTTGATTATGACCTAAACACGGCTCCAAAGGCAGAAATCAGAACAAAAAAAAAAAAAAAAAAAAAAAGAGGGACAGAGAGAGATCAGCAGATTTGACTGCATACAAAGCAGAAAGCAAAAGCTTCTGAGGCTCCCTAATAATGGAAAACAACCAACTCAGGTGAAAAATTCGGGAAAGGATATTTGGAAAGCATAGGTCAAAGGTTGGTTCGGTAGTCTTAATCTATGAAGAGGTCTTACACATCAATGAAAACTGAATATTCAGTTTAAAAAAAACCAACAAGTTCTAATGTGTGAACAAGCAATTCACAAGGATACCAGTGGCCCACAGTCATGAAAAATGCAGACCCACAGGCAATTGAGGAAATGTTGATTCAAGGGAGAGCTCATTTTTCCTGCGTCGGTGAGGTAAAGGCAAAAAGAAAACAATGTGCAAGTTGGCAGGGCCTGGGAAGCCCTGTACCCGGGCTGGGGTACAGATCCAACCTTTCTGCAGAGCATTTGGTAAATGCAATAAGCACCCTATGTTGCATATGAACCTTTAGCCACAGGAAATAAGAATCTGCTGGCCAGGCATGGTGGCTCATGCTTGTAATCCCAGCACTTTGGGAGGCCGAGGCAGGTGGATCATGAGGTCGGGGATTGAGACCATCCTGGCCAACATGGTGAAACCCCATCTCTACTAAAAATACAAAAATTAGCTGGGCATGGTGGCATGTGCCTGTAATTCCAGCTACTCAGGAGGCTGAGGCAGGAGAATCGATTGAACCAGGGAGTCAGAGGTTGCAGTGAGCCAAGATCACTGCACTCCAGCCTGGCAACAGAGTGAGACTGCATCTCAAAAAAAAAAAAAAAAAAAAAAGAATCTGCTGCCAAGATTTCTCTATGGGGAAGCCCACCTCAGAACCATACATAATAGTGAAAGGCTGAAACAACCCACGCCTCCAGCAGGAGGGAATGATTCCCTTACCCAGGGCCATCCAGACATTAAAATACCAGAGAGCACTTACAGTGATGTTCTTTTTTTTTTTTTTTTTTTTTTTTTTTGAGTCAGAGTCTTGCCCTGTCGCCCAGGCTGGAGTGTGCAATGGCGTGATCTCAGCTCACAGCAACCTCCACCTCCTGGGTTCAAGCAATTCTCCTGCCTCACCCTCCCGAGTAGCTGGGATTACAGGCATGTGCGACCACACCTGGCTGATTTTTTGTATTTTTAGTAGAGACGGGGTTTCACCATGTTGGCCATGATGACCTCGTGATCCGGCCGCCTTGGCCTCCCAAAGTGCTGGGATTACAGACGTGAGCCACCACACCCGGCCAGTGATGTTCTTAAATAAGGACACAGAGATGCTCTGGATGCAACAGCAATCAAGAATTTTTATAAAATTATAACGACAACAGCTGGGACTGAGAAGATTACTGTGGCTGGATGCCATTGCACCTGCCTTACATGTGCCATCATCTATCGGCATAGCAGCCTACCCAGGGAGAACCATCATTATCCCCATCGACAGATGAGCAAACTGGGCAGAGGGTCTTACCACACTTTTTGCAGTCACACGGCTCTTATGCTGCAGGGAAGACTCAGAACCAGACAAGGAGGCTCTGGTCTAACTTCACACACGTTCATACACACACAGACACACACACAAAATGCATCTGAGTCGTTGTGCTATGCATATATCAGCAGCTGGTTACTTTTCACAGCAGTGAAGTGTTCCATTGTGCAGATGGGCCTCAGTGTGTGTCCCTGTTCCCTGCATCTGAGTTGTCTCTGGGGTTCAAGGACGTTCAGTGAAACTGCTAAGGACATCCCCAAGCAGGTCTCCTGGTGTCCAAATCCAGGAGGCTCTTCCTCCTGCTTATCTGGTATTTCCTGATTTTTGGGCATTGACAGTGGACCGCTGGTGCATCACAGGTAAAGAACAGGGACAGGACGGGCACGGTGGCTCACGCCTGTAATCCCAGCACTTTGGGAGGCCGAGGCGGGCGGATCACGAGGGCAGGAGATTGAGACCATCCTGGCTAACACGGTGAAACCCCGTCTTTACTAAAAATAGAAAAATAATTAGCCAGGTGTGGTGGCGGGCGCCTGAAGTCCCAGCTACTTGGGAGGCTGAGGCAGGAGAATGGTGTGAACCCAGGAGGCAGAGCTTGCAGTGAGCCGAGATTGCACCACTGCACTCCAGCCTGGGCGACAGAGCGAGACTCCGTCTCAAAAAAAAAAAAAAAAAAAAGAACAGGGACAGCAGGCCGTGCTGATGCATGGTGTGTGCAGAGGCAGAGACTGACCGGAGGCAGCAGTGGTGAAGGGCCACCTGAGCATCTCTGTGCCTGTCTCCCTCGGCACAGGCAGGGACTGACACCCAGAGATGGGGGTGATGGCAGGGACAAAAACTGGGGCATGCAGAGTCTGAGGGACCCCATTATTCCACACTGACCTGCTACGACCTTCCTCTGTCCTCTGTGTGCTACATCTCCAGCCAGGACCATGCCCTGGGTGCCAGGAATGGAAGTCCTACTGCCCACCGAGCCTGAGATGAGACATAGCCAAGCTTCTGAGCTCCCCAAACCTGCTCACCATGTAGCTTCTCCTCTTATAACTTTAATTTAAATCAGCAGTCCCTCCATCCTTCAGTTGCTTGGGCCCTAAACCTTGAAACCTACTTTCTCAATCCACAACCAATTGGCCAGCAAACTCTGTGGACTCTAATTTTAAAATGTTTACCAAAGACATCTGCGGTAGGCTGCATACCATCCCCCAGATTTATTCACATCTGCCCAGGAGCAGTCACGTGGGCTGGCTGTGTGCCCAGGCAAGGTCTTTATCTGCGAGACATATCACTCCATTTCTTACCCCACATCTCAATTCACAAGCCCATCTGGGGGGAAACTGAGGCTCAGAGAGGTCACACCACCCCTTGCCCCAGCCATGTGTGCCACGGCTATTAATGGGCATCAGCAGAGCTGGGCTTCAGGCCAGGCTCCGAAGTCTGGTCTGGGATCTGGCAAAAGTGGAGGCTACCAGAGGCTCTGTGCCATGGTAGTGACAGTGAAGGATGGCATTTGGCTGCAGCTGGCCAGGTCACATTGACCCACTCCCCAGCAGCACCCAGTGGTCCCCCTGCCCCTGGCCTCTGCATGACTGAGGACCCCAGGGCCTTAACAAGCTGAGATGCTGAGGGCGAGAGTGCAGAGGCAGGGGTGGCCCTCAGGAGGGGTTGAGGCAGACATGCCCCACCGCTTTGGGAGGGTCAGGCTACACTGCTTCTGCCTTGAGGATACTTGCTAGCAAGGGAAGAGGGGTGGGAGGGGCTTATGGTTTGTGTACTTTTCTGGGAGGGATGGGGGAGGGACTGATCTAACACAGACAACACTGGGGGCCTAATGGGTGCTGTACTGCATTATAGCCCTATGAGGAGGGTGGTCTACCCCTACCTTACAGATGGGGAAACTGAGGCACAGCAAAGCTCAATGGCATGCCCAAGGTCACTCAGTGGGAAGGTGGTAGGGATGGAACTGAGACCCAGCACACTGTTTCGGGAGCCCCACCTGATGGCCAAGCCCAGTGGGTGGAATCTGCCCCATCTCACCTCATCCTGGGCAGCTGCAACTCTAGTTCCCACCCCTGGCTGCGGTTGCCTCTAGTATCCCTTCTCCCCATCCCAGAGTTGCAGCTGGAAATGTGATCACCACTGAAAACTACATTTCCCAACCTGCCCTCCAGGGAGCAGTCACGTGACTGAACCTGGCCAATGAGGTGTGAGCATAGATGCTGTGTCACTTCTGCATTGGGGAGTGTGATGGTTAATATTGAGTGTCAACTTGATTGAATTGAAGGACGCAATGTATCGTCACTGGGTGTGTCTGTGAGGGTGTTGCCAAAGGAGATTAACATTTGCGTCGGTGGACTGGGAGAAGCAGACCCACCCTTAATCTGGTGGGCACCATCTAATCAGCTGCCAGTGAGGCTAGAATAAAAGCAGGCAGAGGAACGTGGAAGGACTAGATTGGCTGAATCTTCTGACCTTCATCTTTCTCCCATGCTGGATGCTTCCTGCCTTTGAACATCAGACTCCAAGTTCTTCAGCTTTTGGATTCTTGGACTTACACCAGTGGCTTGCCAACGGCTGTCGGGCCTTCTGCCACAGACTGAAGGCTGCACTGTCTTCCCTACTTTTGAGGTTTTAGGACTCAGACTGGCTTCCTTGCTCCTTAGCTTGCAGGCAGCCTATTGTGGGACTTCACCTTGTTATCGTGTGAGTCAATACTCCTTAATAAACTCCCCTTTATATATACATCTATGCTATTAGTCCAGTCCCTCTAGAGAACCCTGACTAATACAGGGAGCAAAGATGGTAGACATGTGAAAGGACAGACCAACCTCTCGGATCCTAAGAAGAGACAGCAATAAACTCCAGCTGGAGTTAGGCCACTGTTTTCTTGTGGATTTGTTAAGTGGACTGGCTCAAATCTGATACAAAGCTTCAGCAACACGTCTCAGCCCAGTGCCCTATTTAGCGCTTGGGATTCTGGCTGGTCCACTTGGGGCCCCAAGGTGACAATAACAAAAGTAGGAATATCAGCAACAATAATAATAGAAGGAAGAATAATGCCCAGGCTCTACTCTGTGCTGAGCGCTTCAGCAGCTGTTGGGTGACAGTACAGAAACGAACACACGGGTTCCAGCCTGTGGGGCTCCTAGTCCACCTCCACCACACACATTTGGGGGCCCAGGCAAGGGAGCCTGCCCCGGCCTCAAAGTCAGCACAGCTGTTGTGCCCACCTTGGACTGGGGTGCTGAGGAAATGAGGTGTAATGCCAAGGCATCTGGAAGGTGGTTGTGCCTGGTACACATGAGGGCAGGAGCCATGATGTCCTTGGAAGAACTGTCTCCCCCATTCTGCAGCCCCAGAAACCATGGCTCAGGGACACTGAGGTCACACAGCCAGTTTGTGGTTCCGCCAGGGTCAACCGCAGGCACCTGGCTCTTTATCCCCGGGCTGCCCCCATCCTTTCTGCCCCTTCAGTATCTGGGGAAGGCCAGCCTCTGGCCTGGGCAGGGCCATTCTGACTGCTCCCTGTCTATGGATCCTCAGCATTTGCACAGCCACTAACAATAACAATGCATGTATGGATAGAATATTCTGTTCAAGAGCACCCCACATTCTTTATCTGTATTATTACAGATAAGGCTCAGAGAGGTGGATTCACCTGCCCAAATGCCCACTGATAGCAGGGAGGGAGCCACCACTAGATGCGGTGTCTAAGATTCTTATATTTGTAACATATATGTAATAGGAGATTTGTATCTTCTCTACATAAACAGCACTTATATATTAATAAGCCAATGACAAAAATCACAGCAAAATGTGTAAGTTAGAAAAGAAAAACAAATGGCTCGGCCAGGCATGGTGGCTCATGCCTGTAATCCCAGCACTTTGGGAGGCCGAGGCAGGTGGATCACTTGAGGTCAGGAGTTCAAGACCAGCCTGGCCAACATGGTGAAACCCTATCTGTACTAAAATCAAAAATTAACCGGGTGTGGGTGGCACATGTCTGTAATCCCAGCTACTTGGGAGGCTGAGGCAGGAGAATCGCCTGATCCCAGGAAGCAGAGGTTGCAGTGAGCCAAAATCGTACCACTGCACTCCAGCCTGGGCAACAAAGTGAGACTCCATCTCAAAAAAAAAGAAAAAAAAAAGGAAGAAGTAAAACAATCTCCATTAGATGACATGATTTCGTATATATGTAGAAAAGCCTCAGAAATCCACTAAAAGCTATTATAAATAGAAATTAGTTCAGCAAGGTTGTAGAATACCAGGTCAACATACAGAAGTCAATGTATTTCTGTACAGTAGCAGTGAGCAAATTGAAAATTAAGAAAAACATTTTATACAACAGCATCAAAAAGAATAAATTAGTTATAAATTTAATAACAGAAGTGCAAAACACATACTCTGAAAACTACAAAACGTTGTTGAAAGAAATTAAAGACCTAAATAAATGGGAAAACATCCTATGCTCATGGATCAGAAGACTTAATATTGTTACGATGGCAACATATTATGGTAGTCCGTCCTTATCCTTGTTTTCACTTTCCATGGTTTCAGTTACCGGTGGTTCCACAATCAGAAAATAGTACCTCACAACAGTTGTGTTTTGGGCCATTATTAAGTGAAATGAGAGTTGCCTGAACACAAGCACTGCAGTATCAGGGGGTCTGATAACCCAGAGGGCTACTAAGTGACTGACAGCAATCCCAGGCGGGGTGGAGCGGGATGGGTGAGATTTCATCACAACACTCAGAGTGGCTCACAGTGTAAAACTTACAAATTATCTCTGGAATTTCCCATTCCATCACAAGGCCTATGTTTTTCATCTCACTTCATCTCATCATGTAGGCATTTTATCATCTCACATCATCGCAAGAAGGGTGAGTACCGTCTATTAAGATATTTAGAGAGAGAGAGACCACATTCACATTACTCTTATTATAATATATTGTTATAATTGGTATAACTTATTACTGGTTATCATTAATCTTTCACTCTGTTCAATTTATAAATTAAACTTATCATAGGTACATGTGTTTAGGGAAAAAACAACATATATAGTATCTGAAGTTTCAGGCATGCACTGAGGGGTCCTGGAATGTATCCCCCTTGGATACATTGTATCTACTATATTCACTGTATCTACTGTATTCATTGAATCTACTGTATTCTCCAAACTGATATACAGATTCAACAAAATCTCTATCAGAATCCAGCTGCTTTCTTTCCAGAAATCAACAAGCTGATCTTAAAGCTCATATGGAAATGCAAAAGACCTAGAATAGCCAAAACACTCTTGAAAAAGAACAAAGTTGGAGAGTTCACACTTGCCAATTTCAAAATGTATTACAAAGCTAGAGTAATCAAAACAGTGTGGTACTATCATGAGGACAGACATAAAGGCCAACAGAATAGAACTGAGAGTGCAGAGGTAAACCCTTACATTTATAGTCAAATGATTTTCAACAAGGGTACCAAGACAATTCAATGGGAAAGGAATAGTTTTTCAACAAACTGATGCTGGGACAACTGAAGCTGGACCCCTAGCTCATACCATATGCTAAAATTAACATGAATCAAAGACCTAAAAGTAAGAGCTAAAACTATGAAACTCTTAGAAGAAAACATAGGGAAAATCTTTGTAAACTTAGGCAATGGTTTCTTAGATCTAACACCAAAGACAAACACCAAAAGAAAAATAAAAACAGGACTTCATCAAAATGAAAAATGTTTGTGCTTTAAAGGACATTCAATAAAGTGAAAAGACAACTTACCAATAGGGAGAAAATACTTGCAAATCATGTATCTGATAAGAGGCATGTGTCTAGAACATATAAAGAATTATTACAATTCAATTAGAAGACAACAAAATTGAAAAATGGCCAAAGGATCTGAACAGACATTTCTCTGAAAAAGATAAGTTAGCAGCCAATAAGCACAAGAAGATTCTCAAAATTATTAACCTTCAGGGAAATACAAATCAAAACCACAAGGAAGTCTGTCAAAAAGATAGGCAATACCAATAGCTGGCTGGGCGCAGTGGCTCACGCCTGTAATCCCAGGACTTTGGGAGGCCGAGGTGGCTGGATCACTTGAGGTTAGGAGTTTGAGACCACCCTGGCCAACAGGGTGAAACTCTGTCTCGACTAAAACTACAAAAATTAGCCAGGCGTAGTGGTGGGCCCCTGTAATCCCAGCTACTTGAGAGGCTGAGGCAGGAGTATCACTTGAACCTGGGAGGCGGAGGTTGCAGTCAGCCGAGATCAGGCTACCGCACTCCAGCCTGGGACAGAGCAAGACTTCGTTTCAAGAAAAAAAAAAAAAAAAGACAGACAATACGAAGTGTTAGGAAAAATGTGGAGAAACTGGCACCTCAGAAGCTACTAGTTTGGGAACAGAATGGTGCAACAGCTTTGGAAAACTGTCCGGTGGTTTTTCACACAGTTAAGCACAGAATTACCACATGATCCAGTAATTCCACTGCTAGGTAATCAGCCAAGAGAAATGAAAATACCTGTCTACACAAAAATGGGTACACGAATGTTCACAGCAGCATTATTTGTAATGGCCAGAGAGCTGAAACACCTAAATGTCTGTCAACCAATAAGTGAATAAACAAAATGTGGTTTATCCACACCACAGAGTACTATTAAATCATCAAAAGGCATGAAGTGCTGATCCATGTTACAACATGGATAAACCTTGAAAACACTGTGTTAAGTGAAAGAAGTCAGACACAAAAGGTCACATGTCATATGATGACACTCATATGAAATGTCCAGAACAGGCAAATCCAGAGACAGAAAGCAGATTAGTGGCTGTCAGAAGCTGGGGGAAAGGGAAAACTGGGAGATGGCTGCTAAGGGGTATGGGATCTTCTTATGCAGTGATTAAAAACATTATAAAATTGACTGGAGTGGCTGGGTATGGTGGCTCACACCTGTAATCCCAGCACTTTGGGAGGCCAAGGCGGTCAGATCACCTGAGGTCAGGAGTTCCAGACCAGCCTGGCCAACACGGTGAAACCCCATCTCTACTAAGAATACAAAAATTAGCTGGGTGTGGTGGTGCACGCCTGTAATCCAGCTACTCAGGAGGCTGAGGCAGGGGAATCGCTTGAACCCGGGAGGCGGAGGTTGCAGTGAGCCAAGATTGTGCCACTGCACTCCAGCCAGGGCAACAGAGTGACTCCGTCTCAAAAAATAAAATAAAATAAAATAAAATTGACTGGAGTGATGGTAGCACATATCTGTGAATGTACAAAAGCTACTGAGTTCTATGATTTAAAAAGGTAAATTGTATGGTATGTGAATTATGGCCCAGTAAAGCTGTTTAAAAAATCAGGGGGAAAATATGTCAATTAAAGAAATACACATTTAAAACTGAAGATACTTGGCCGAGCACGGTGGCTCATACCTGTAATCCCAGCACTTTGGGAGGCTGAGGCAGGCGGATCATGAGGTCAGCAGTTTGAGACCCGCCTGACCAATATGGTGAAAACCTGTCTCTACTAAAAATACAAAAATTAGCTGGGCGTGGTGGCGTGCGCCTGTAGTTCCAGCTACTCAAGAGGCTGAGACAGAAGAATCCCTTGAACCTGGGAGGTGGAGGTTGCAGTGAACTGAGATCATGCCACTGCACTCCAACATGGGCGACAGAGGGAGACTCCATCTCCAAAAAAAGAAAAAGCAACTGAAGATACTTTTTTTGCTTCTTATCTCTGTCAGGGTTAAAAAGATCAGCCCTTCAGATTGAGGAGGCTGCAGAGGAGGGGTGCACAATTTCTAGGGGCGGTACACAGAGTGGGGAGGGCCTGAGGAGCTGCCCTGCCCTTCAGGGGGATGGAGGGCATGGTGGGCAGGACTGAGATCAGCAGGAGGCAGAACCTCCCAGGGATGCTGGGCGGATGACAGCTGACGCTGAGCATACCTGTGTGCCAGGTACAGCTCTAACCCCTGGCCTGGGCTATTTCCTATAACCCTGGGCTGACTCTCGCTGGCCTTGGGTCACCTAGCTCCCAGTGGCACAGCTAGGACTTGAATTCTGTCTCCAGGGTTGGGCTCTCCGTCAACTACCAAGCTCCATATCTGGAGACATCAGTGCAGGAATGAGTGAATGAATGAATGCAAGAACAAAGGAATGGAGGACTGGCAGCCTCACCTCACAGGCAAGAGTCGTGATCAGCACTCCCCAAGGGCCAGGGACCACTTTGCTTTTTCAGGATCTTGGGATCTGTATATGCACTGTCCTTCTGGCCAAGGAGGTGGCTATGGGATTCTGGAGCCCTGGCAGACACAGCAGGGCAGCCACGGGCTGGCCACGTGGCCCCCTCCCCAGGGCCGCCAGGCAGCCAACACTTCCCAGTCCTTAATTTAGAGCTGCGACTTCTGCATTCCTCTGTGGCTTCCCAGCCCACTGCGGCCCTTGCAGAGAGGAGGCCCCACCAGCCAGAGGTTTGGGAGTAGCCGTTGGCGGATGGGAGGAGAGGTTGGCGAGGGTGAGTGTGTCCAGCACCCACAACAGCGCCTGGTTGAGTGTCTGCCCAGTGAGAGGATGAATGGATGAACGTGAATTCATTCTTTAAAAATAAAACTAGAACTTCATTAGAATAATGAGATGCCTGGAGGGGTGGACCAAGGGATGGAGACAGATGTGAGAAAGCAGGCACAGCGAAATGCGAAGGGTGGAATCAAGCTGGTGCGTGTCCAGGCATAAAATTCTTTCAACTCTGCTGCACGTTCAAAAGAAAAATGCTGGCGGAAGACCTTGAGCATCCCCACTGCTGACATGTAACTGATCCCCTGGGCACATCCCCTTCCCACCCACCAGGGTCCCAGGGAAGGGGTGGCCATACCACTCCCCATCCAGGACCCAGACATTTAACCACTGCTGAGCGGTCTGGGCACTGGGCTGATCCCTAGGACTTATTCTACTGAGACTGTGTGTCACCGCGGGGACATAGCTTTCTCTCAAACAAGACGGATGTGACCGCCAGGGCCTCCCATGCACTCAAGGCAGCCAGGACCAGCTCTGGAGCCAGAGGACCTGGGTTTGAGGGTAGGCCCGGCCTTTCCAGAAGACCCCAGTCACTTCTCCACCCTGGGCCTGTGTCTCCACCTACAAATACCACAACAGGCAGGGTGGGGCGAGGACTGGATGAAATGATGATCATCCCAGCAAGGCCACCTCCACAGCTGACTTCCTCTAAGTGTGTTTTAGAAGGAGCAGCTCCTCCCCCTGCCCGCCCGTGTGTTGTGCTGAGCCCTGTGGGGAGCTCATGACTAGCCATGTCTGAGGTTGACCAGTCGGCTCTCACCTAGCTATGTCTGAGGTCGACCAAGGTCTTGTCTTGGTTCACACTTCATCTGCCAAAAGCCACATCCTGTGTTCTCAGCCGCCAGGTTCTGCTATAGTGAGGGCTCTTGTCCTCAGACAGCAACTGCAGGTGGTGGATTACATGTCACAGTGACAGGCATCAACAGCAGGCAAGCTGTTCCCAGCATCCCCTTCCCAGCATCCCCAGAGCCTGTCCTGCCTGCATCATTGAGCCTCACAGACGTGGGGGATAAAGGGTGAAGTCGGCTGGGTGCGGTGGCTCACGCCTGTACTCCCAGCACTTTGGGAGGCCAAGGTGGGCAGATCACAAGGTCAGGAGATCAAGACCATCCTGGCCAACATGGTGAAACCCTGTCTCTATTAAAAATACAAAAAGTAGCTAGGCGTGGCGGTGTGCACCTGTAGTCCCAGCTACTTAGGAGGCTGAGGCAGGAGAATTGCTTGAACCAGGAGGCAGAAGCCGCAGTGAGCCAAGATCACGGCACTGTACTCTAGCCTGGTTGACAAAGTGAGACTCTGTCTCAAAAAAAAAGGTGAAGTCACCACCCACAACCAAAGAAAGGGGACCAGCCAGCGAGGTAACACTGACCTACAAGAAGTCCGGGATGCGCCGTCAAATTAAAAACTCAAATAAAAGTATAGAACGATTTGGAATACAAGCCCAGTAAAACTGATGCCAGCCCAACTGTCCATGAGCAGAGAAGGATGGTGCCTGGTGGGGCTGGGGGGCCTTAAACGCAGTCCTGGCCTCAGACCCTGCATTTGTAGCCAGCTGACCAGAAGAAGGGTCTCATGCCCAGGTCCTAATGTAAGTGCACTGCTGGAATGGCTTTCCTTTATAAGTCAAGCAGAGGGTCTGGGGGAAGTAACTGGTAGGAGGGAGGGTAGGGTGAGTCCTTGCTCAAGGCTCACAGCCCTGACCTGCCTCCTCAGGGTGGCCAAGAGGTCCAACCTCCTTTAAGCCCTCAGCCAAGGGGGCACAGGGAGGCAAAGTCATGTTCCTGTGGCCTCTCTTGCTGCAGGGGCCACAGAAAGAGAAGCCACTGACCGGCAATGCCCCCTCTTAGCCCCCAGTTGGGTGGGCAGGCTTCCTGGAGGGCTAACCAGTAGGTTCCTGGGGTCTGATCCTGACAAGACCCATCCCAGCAGCAGGTCTTGGACCTGAATTTCTCACCTGGCTCAGCCTCAACTTCCCCGTCTGCAAAACTGGTGACTTGCCCGCCTGGGGTCTGGGAAGAGCAGGACTGCCCTATGGAGATCTTGGAGCAGGATCTGGTGCACAGGATCACTCCCTAGGTCAGGGCTTGAGCAGCCCAGGACATGAGCCCTACTGGGGCCCTGGGCCTCAATCCCCAAGGTCCATGGAACACAGGGAAACTTCAGCCCTTAGCCCTTGATCCCCAAGGTCTGCAGCATACAGGGGACCTTCAACCCTCCAGGCCCCAGTGGGGTCTCCTGTACTCCTTTCCTGAGCCTGGGAGGCCAGGAAACACTTTCTCTGGGCTGGCTCCATTTTCCAGATGAGGAAACTGAGGCCCACAAACCTGCCCAAGGCCCCTGGCTGCATGATGGCAGTGCCAAGAGTAGGAGGCTGGACTCCTGTCCCCTTGGGGTAGCCCTTTCCATAGGATTCACAGCGAACTCACAGCCAGGATTCCGTAGGATTCACAGCGAACTCACAGCCAGGATGGGGCAGGCAGGCAGCACAGTGCCAGGAGCTATGGTCTACAAAGTCTCTACCTGCACCCAACTCCCAGGGACATTCCAAGAAATCACCAAGGCATGAGGATGGAGCTGGTGGATCACCCTTGTCTCTAACCACCGCACAGCCAAGTCCTGCTCACACAGAGACTCCCGGACTCCCAGGGGACCCAGGGCCACCCCTCACTGACCTCCTGAGCCCCTCCCCATGCCTGATGCATGAGAGGCAGATCCCATCTGTCCCCTGTCCCCTCCCCTGCTTCAAATACTCATGAACTCCCAGCTGCCTGCAGATGGCCCTCCTGTGCCTCACCCCTGCAGAGGACCCCACACCCCAGCTGTCTTTGAGGATGTCTGTTCCCTAAAGCTGGAGGCAGAGGCCTTGCCTCTCTGGATCCGTCCTGCCCTCCAGCCCCATCCTACCCACCTGCTGTTCCCCAGCCCATGGTTGTGGCTGCCCTTGGTCTGCCAGCCTAGTGCTGGGGCATTTCTTACCTGGCACCCTTTAGATCCCTTTGCATGTAAATCTTAAAGAAGAGGGAAAAACAACAGAAAACGGATTTGATGCAAACAAGATACAAAATAAAAACACACGAGGCCCTGCCTGGCCCTCCCACGGCTCAGGGGCAGGTGGAGAGGACCAATGGGTACCTCAGGGCCACACCTGTGTGATGCCTGAGCGGCCCTCAGCCCACATGCCGCGCCTGCGCCTCTGCCTGGCCACCTGCTGCAGCTGCGCTTCCTCCCTCCCTGGCCTTATGTACGGAGGGGGCCAAGCCTGACCGGGTGGATTCTCATCCTCCCAGCCTGTGAGGCCAGCCGGGCGTCTGAGAACAATCCGTACTTGTTAATCTTTTATCTGGAACCTTGGACCTCAGGTCGGCCCCTCCATCCTCCCTCCTGGGATTCGCCACACAGCCCCTATAACCTGACCTCGCCTGCTGTGGGATTAAGTAACTATGTTCCCTTTTATGCTGGCTGAGGCTGTGGGAGAGAGTGACAGAGGCAGGCTGCTGAACCCAGTCTCACCTAGACTCGATCCCCACCTGCCAGTGAGTCCCTGTGTGACCTCAATCTGGGTCTCAGTTCCCCCAAATGTGAAACAGGAACCTTCAGGAGGAATTTCTCAGAGTTTAAAGGGGGTGACTTTTGCACACAGAGGTGCTTTGAGAACAGGACCCCCAAGACCCTGGCAGTGGGGACAGGCCTGGCCCCAACACTACATGTGGGTGTCCCACAGCCCTGGCTGTGTGTCTTCAGGTAAGTCACTTGCCCTCTCTGAGCCCATCTCCACATGGAGGGTGAGCACAGGCTTCAGAGCCACTTCTGCCTTCCATCTCCAGGCTGAGCAGCAGGGTGGCCTCAGGATGTGGAAAGCACACAATCCTCCATAAAAGAGCTGGGCTAATTCCAAATGAGGAACATGTACTCCCACATCCCTGGTGGAAAACCGAGGGTCCGGGAACCTATGCCTTCTACCAGCAGCTCTTTCGATGCCAATGGGTGGCAGGAGGCCATAGCCAGGCATCACAGGGTGTGTCTGCCTTGCTTTGATTTACACATGCATTCACGGGGTCTCAGTTTCTCCTCTGTAAAATGGACACAGTCCAGTTCTGGGGCAGGAGTTCAGGGGTGAAGCCAAGAAGGCACCAGCAGAGCATGCCTCCTGCTACCCCCTCTCCAGGCCCTTCCTCCAAGGCCCTTCCACGGATGCCAGGGGGGTTACCTACAGCCACTGGAACCCTGCTTTCCTGGACAATCTCCCAGATCAGGGAGTGCTGGGGCTGACCTGGGAGCAGGGCCAGGGGCCAGTCATACAACAAACATGATAAACTCCTACTCTGAGCTAGTCTCCCCCGCGCCCTGCCCTTCTCCCAGGGCGCTCATGGGAGATGAGGGAAGACCACTTCCTGCCTCTCAGGAAGATCAGTCTGTCCACACTACTGTGCTCTTCATATCTACTCTAGGAAAACCAGTGGTAATGGCCCCATTTTAAAGATGGTGGGAAAAACACACATCCCCGTGCTATGTTTTTGGTTTTTGTTTTGTTTTGAGACAGAATCTCGCTCTGTTGCCCAGGGTGGAGTGCAGTGAGGTGATCACAGCTCACTGTAGCCTCGAACTCTGGACGAAAGCAATCCTTCCACCTTTCAGCCTCCCGAATAGCTGGGACTACAGGCGCATGCCACCATGCTCAGCTAATTTTTTTTTTGCATTTTTTGTAGATACGGGGTCTTGCTATGTTACCCAGGTTGGTTTCGAGCTCCTGGACTCAAGCAATCCGCCCACCTCAGCCTCCCAAAGTGTGGGATTAGAGGCATGAGCCACCACTCCTGGTCAGTGGTGTTTTAGTGTCAAATCCTCTCCAAAGGCTCCCAACCCCCCAGCCTCTAACTTCACAGCACATTTCACAGAGCAAGAAACTGAGGTCACATGGCAGGGGAGTGATGGAGTCCAGATGATGGCATCATCCCTGCACCAGAACAAGTACCCTCCCTGGGCTCCACTGGGCCTGTCCACAAGCTTGGGGGCAGGTATACAGTGGGGAAACTGGGGCACATGGGGAAACTGAGGCACAGAGGTACAGCGACTCACCCCAGGTCACAGGGGGGATCCTAACCCAAAACTCCAACAAGGGGGCCAGTGCCTGGGAAGTGGTCATGGTGGTCAGAGGCAGAGCCAGGGCCAGGCAGGATGAACAAGAGCACAGGGTGCCAGACTAAGCTCCATTCCCAGCACAAATTCCAAGGCAAACAGCCTTTTGTATGCAAATATGCCAGAGCCTCCAGATACTCCCTGGCCTTGGGCTGACCTTGGGCAAGTCAAGGCTATCCAAAGGGCACTGGCACCCACGCCCCCAGGCTGTTGTGCCAGTAGAAGGGGCTCCTCAGGTAGTACCAGGCCCTGGGCAGGCCTTGCTCAAACACAGGAGCAAAAGTGCTCATCACCCCAACACCAAATTAGGGACTCTGGACATTAGGCTGCCAGAGTCAAACTAAATAAACCAAATCCACCAGCGCCAGGAACAAGTCTCAGCGCCCACTTTGCTGAGCTGCGGACCTCTGCTCGGTGAATTAGCTCCCTGAGCCGCAGTTTCCCCAACTGTGAGAGGAAGCCATTCTCCTGCCACCTTCCTGCCAGTTCCCTGGGGCTGCAGGCTGACAGTGTGACCTGGTCCAGCCCACCCCACTCCGGGCCTCAGCTTCCTCCTGCGCAGAGCCTTAGCCCCGCAACGCCTGAGACGCCCAGAACCCTCAGGCCTAACGTTCGTGGGCAGTGGCCGCGGAAGTAAGCTTTTGGGATATCTGAGACCCAGAGTTCCGGTTTGGTTCCGTTTCTAAAAGGGTTAGACTTTAGAATCATTCAAGGAGCAAGGCCAGCATTCGAACCCCGGAGCCTTGGGCACGGGAGCAGACAACTCTTTAAGCACATTCTTGAATTCAAACACTTAAAAGTAAAATAAAAAGCAGCTTCTCTTCCTTCCAAAGGCCTCTGAGCCTCCTCCGAGACAGCCGAGGCGATCCCAAGCCTGGCTACAGGGTGACCTCGGACAGCCACTCCCCTCTCGCAGGCTCAGTTTCTCCATCTGTAAAGTGGAGCTGCGCTGGTCACCAAGGAATCGTGAAGATGACACCTCCCTCAGGCGCAGAGAGGGCTCCCGGCTCCCCCCTCCCGCCCCCGCGCCACCCGCCCGCCAGGTGAGGCCGGTTTCGACTTCCCCGGGAGGGGCGCGGAGGGGCCCGGAGCCTGCGGCGTGGAGAGGCTTGGCCGGCCGCGCTGTCCGCAGACGCCCGGGACCAAGGCGCTGCGGCCACTCGGGAACGGGCGCGCGGGCTGCTGCGTGCAGCCGCCTGGTTTCGAACTGCTCGCTGCCAGGCTTCGGCTCCGCTAGGGCGCCTGCTGGGCCGGCGGAGGGTCGAGGAGGTTCGTCCTCGGGGCAGATCGTTGCTGTGGCCCCCACCCACGGCTGTGCGGCCCCGCGACCCCCTCCCCTCGGCTTTCCCGTCTGTGAAATGGGCGCAGAGCCCCGCACGCGGCCACTCGGCCCCAGCCCTCACCTGTGCGGTTCCCTGGGGCAGGCGTGGTGACCCCGGCCCGCCCCCGGGGCCTCGCCTTGCCACGGAGGGTGGCGGCCGCCCAGCGCATCCTGCGCGCTCCGAGGCGCTTGGCGGGGTCTGCCAGGGGAGTGAGCCCGGCTTGTGGGGGCGGGGCCTGGGCCTGGGCCTGGGTGAGGGGCGGGGAGGCCCCGCCCTCCACGCCCGCCCAGGGGCGGTTCCATGCAACTTACAGACCACGCCCACACGTTGGACTGGGGCCGAGGTCCGGCCGGGGGCTGTGGGCGGGGGCCCTTGGGGAGACCAAATACCCAGCGGGCCAAGGCAGCCGGCTGAGCGGAAAGTGTTGCTACTCCGGGGCGTTGCACGCGTGGCTACCTCTGCCCAACACCCTTCCCCCATCCCTTCCTGTTCTCACCTTCACTCCTAGTGTGGTTTTTCCATGTGCTTCTGTGTTTTTATTTTTTGAGCAGGATTTTGCCTTCTCAGGGTGCCGGATTCGGCCGGTACCAAAGGGCAAACAGCAAAACGCCTCCCCGGCCCGCCCCTCCCGTAACCCACTCACCCCCAGAGTCCTGTGTGGACCCAGCCTTCTTTCCCTGTCTCTCACTGGGCCAGGCCGTCTGAGGCACACTGAGGTCTGGGTGCCCTTGTTGTCTTCGGTTCTCACTGAGGGGCCCCCGGCTGGGGGAAACAGGATGGAAAGCCCTGGGGTCTGTCTGCAGGGCCCACCACACCTGGAGGCCTCCCTTCTCCTGGCTTCCCCTTCCCACCCAGCTCCACTTGCAGCAGGCCCAGAGCTGTGATCCGGGCTCTTTCTCTCCCTCTGACCCCACCCAACCCAGGCTTAGCCCCCTGCCCAGGCAGCCACCAAAGGGTTGGGTGTGGTGTCAGGCCTCAGACATCCTGGATCTTGGGCTGCTTGTGGGAGACCACCTGAGCCATGCCTATTCCTGTGGAGCTGGCAAAGGCAATCCTGGCAGAGGGAACAGCAGGTGCAAAGGCCCTGGTTTGGCAATGTGTGGCAGCAGAAGCCCAGTGCGGCTGGCTTAGGCATGCCTCCAGGAGCGCAGAAGGTGGCCCAGGTGGGCCAGGCTGGCTCTAGAGTGCCTGGCAGGTGACCGTGAAGAGTGTGGATGTTCAGGTGGACCATGAAGCAGGGTTCCAGCAGGGCAGCCCCTCCCCGTCTCTGCTTTCCGAGCCCTCCAAAGCTGAGGTTCAGTGTGAAACGTGAGGGGCCCTCCCCCTTTCGCCATCAGGGTTGGCGTCACCCCTGATATGTTCTTCCCACTTGGACTTGTGGGTCACACACGATGGCTTACTTCAATCTCCTTTATTCAAAATCAAGCATGTGTATTCTTTCTGCCATGTCGGGAAGGGCAGGGCCATCAGCAGTGCCCACTCCAGACCACACTCTGGGACCCCAGAATGTCTTGCCAAGTGGCCCCTAGCCCACCTCTCAGGCCTGTGTGGTCCCTTCCCTGGTTTTGCCCACCATGCACCACCAGGCAGAAGGCCACTGCCTGTAGGTGCATGGACAGGGCTGGGAGGGAGGTCTGGGGCAGCCCTCCAATAGCTGGGTGGAGCTAGGTGGGGATGGAAAACACCAGGCTGCCTGCAGCTCCCTAAGCCACCACGCTGTGACCCAGGCCTTCAGGAGCCTTCAAATGCTAAACACCTGGCCATTTAGGAAGTGTGTTTCCTAGAGCTGTGTAACATAGTACCCCAGACTGGGTGCCTGAGAACAACAGAAATTTATTGTCTTATGGTTCAGGAGGCCAGAAGTCTGAGATCAGGGTGTCGGCAGGCCTGCAGTCCCTCCAAAAACTCCAGGAGAACAGCCTTCCTTGTATCATCCAGCTTCTGGCAGTTCCTTGGCCGGTGGCAACTTAACTCCTGTCTACACATGGTGCTCTCCCTGTGTCTCTCTGTGTTCAAATCTCTCTTCTAAGGACACCAGTCATATTAGATTAGAGCCCACCGTAATGTCCTCATCTTAACTTAAGACCCTATAAAGAGTCTGTAAAGACCGGCCAGGCTCAGTGGCTCACGCCTGTAATCCCAGCACATTGGGAGGCAGAGGCAGGTGGATCATAAGGTCAGGAGTTTGCGACCAGCCTGGCCAACATGGTGAAACCCTGTCTCTACTAAAAATACAAAAATTAGCTGGGCATGGTGGCGCGTGCCTGTAGTCCCAGTTACTTGGGAAGCTGAGGCAGGAGAATCACTTGAACCCGGGAGGCGGAGGTTGTGGTGAGCTGAGATTGTGCCACTGCACTCCAGCCTGGGCAACAGAGCAAGACACCATCTCAAGAAAAAAAAAAAAAAAAAGAAGAGTCTGTAAAGACCTTGTCTCCAAATAAGGTCATATTTGGAGGTACTGAGGGTTAGGACTTAAACATATAGATTTTGGGGGACACAGTTCAGCCCCTGACAGGTGGGATCAAGGAGGAAAGAGCATGTTTTTCTGAGCAGTCTGTCGCTTGGTTGGGTTGTGGACATTCAGGCTTGTGGCGCTGGGCCTCCATTTGTACTGTTAGGGGACCTGGAGGTGGCCTAAGGACCTCTGTCATGTCGTTTCCACAGGGAACTGTATGCCTTGCTGTGGCTCAGAACACCCATTTGCTGCCAAAAGGCCATCTTCAGGAGCTATGGGAGGGATCTGAGGCTGGTTCTGGAGGTGGGCCTGTCACCTATTTGAACACTGATCAGGGCCATCTTGTCCACCTTTTCCCAGGCCCTTGGAATGGTTTGCTCCTAGAAAGCCCAGCTATTCTAGCCATGCACGTGGGCGAAACTGAGGCATGTGAAAAGAACGGCACTGGCCCACTAGGGACAACCGCCTGGGGTGCCCCCTTCCATGGTGAGAACCATGGCTCTCTGACAGGCTTCCCTGATCCCTGGGGCAGGGGTGGGCACCCTTGCACTGAGTCTTCGTGTTCTCATCTGAGGGGTGGACATTGTCCTGCCACCCTCTCAAGGCAAGTGAGAGACTGTGATGTGCTCAGGATGGAGTGGTGGCCTCTAAGCTGGACTGTGAAGGCCCGTCAGCTTTTGAGCTTGGCCCACCCGCTCAGCTGTCCTAGTTGCCTGGTTTCCCAGACTCTCCAAGTCTAGGCACAAACTGGGAGCAGTGCTTAGGCTCTGCCTGCTTGGGTGTGTCTCCTTGCCTTCCTCACCCTCCTTCTCCATGGAGCCCTCCCTGATGGCACTCCCTGTCAGAGCCATTTCGTGCTGCCTGTCCTTAAGGCCTGCTCAGCCTGTGTCACGTCTCTGAAATGAAGAGGACATGTGGCCAGGTGTGGAGCTATGGACATGTGGCCGGATATGGCCGAGAGGATCACTTGAGGTCAGACACACCTGTAATCCCAGCTACTTGGGAGGCCGAGGCACGAGAATTGCTTGAACCTAGGAGGCGGAGGTTGCAGTGATCTGAGATTGCACCACTGCACTCCAGCCTGGGTGACAAAGGGAAACTGTGTCTCAAAAAAAAAAAAAAAAAAAAAAAAAACGCAAAACATATGGGCTTCCCTGCTGGAGGAGGCAGGGGAGGAGGCTAGGAGGAACGGATGGGCTGCTGGCTGCTGGTGAGGCAGGCCGGGAGAAGGAAGCAGAGTCAGGCACAGCCTGAGGAACTGACCAAAGCCACAGCCTCTTCCCAGCTCCATTTGCAACTGGGAGCACACAGTGCACTGTCAGTGGACACTTGTTGGATGGAACCTGGGAGGCAGGGGAGGCCTGCCAGCCCTGGGGCTCAGTGTTCCACTCTGTAACATGGGGGTCTTGTGCGCTGCCAGAGGTTTCCAGAGGAAGGTGAGGGTCTGGCTTGGGAGTTTCCTCTTTCCTCAGACCTTAGCTGAGGTGTTGCCACCCCCAGGAAGCCTTCCTCAACCCTTGATTTGCCTGACTCAGCACCCATGGGCCATGGTGGCCTGGGAGGGGACCCATGCAGAAGTCTGGTGGTGGCAGAGTTCTTGGCTTGGTGAGTTTTTCTAAAATTAGATAATAATTGTGGAAATCTAAAACAGTTTGTTTTGCCTTTTTTTTTTTTTTTTGACAAAGTCTTGCTCTGTCACCCAGGCTGGATTGCAGTGGCATGAGTTCAGCTCACTGCAACCTCCACCTCCTGGGTACATGCAATTCTCCTGCCTCAGACTTCCAAGTAGCTGGGATTACAGGCATGCACCACCACGCCCAGTTAATTTTTGTATTTTTAGTAGAAACAGGGTTTCACCATGTTGGTCAGAGTGGTCTTGAGCTCCTGACCTCAGGTGATGCACCCTCCCTGGCCTCTCAAAGTGCTGGGATTACAAGTGTGAGCCACTGCGCCCAGCCTGTTTTGCTTTATTCTTGATTTTAGTTTTTACTCAATAGAAAAATGAGATTTTTGTTCTGAAAACCTCTCACAATAGACCACGTCCAGAAAGTTCTTTTGCAAAAGGTAAGAGTCAGGGAAGCATTGGTGGCCTCATGGGTGTCCTCTCTTTTTAAAAACTGTATTACCTTTTAAAAACTAAAAGCAAAAAAAGAAAAAAAAAAAGTAACCTGACCTTGAAGCTCTAGCAGGCCAGATGTTTGCAGAGAAAACAATTTTCCCAAAAATGTTTTCTGCTGGGCCATCTGGAGCCCTCAACACCCACCACTTATCCTCCTAAAGCAAGGCAAGAGCCCTGTCCCCACTGTGCAGAGCGACAAAGGCCCCTCCCCGGGGGTACTCCCCTGCTGGGGCCTGAGCTGTGACCACCAGACTGTCCTACCTGGCTGCAGCCTGCACAAGCAGATCAGTCAGCCTGGGTGACATGACATCGAGCTGCCGCCCTCAGGTTCAGAAATGGTGATGCAGAGACACAAAGCAAGGCGCCCAGAGGGCAGAAGGAATGACAGATTCATGGAACAGCTACTACCAAACACCTACTGCATGCCAGGCCAGTTTAGAAGCTGGGATACAGCTGGGCCTAGGAGGGACAAACTCTGGCCAGGGGCTGCTCCCCCCATGCTCATCCTGCACACCAAGGCCTTTACCTGGCCACCACTGGGCTGGCAGATAGCAGGTCATCTTTTTTCCCACCCCTCAACTCTTTTTGTACTTTCTGAATTTTCCACAATGAGCATGTATCTATTCTCTGATAAGAAACAAGGATTTTAAATGCTTTGTAAATGTAAACTATTGCAAAATTTCCCACGGCCATTCTGATGTTCACTTGTCGGGAAAGATGTGGACTGACCTGGGTCCTCGGCTGCTAGGATTACACGGCATTACCATGCTCTAAGGAGTTACAACCAAGCATAGGATTTCAGGTGGGGGGTTGTGCTTTCATTGGCCTGGAGCTGTTCCCAGTTAAGCTGGCAGGTCAGGGGGTGCACAGGTGGGTCAAGGGCAGCCCGAGGCTTAATGCTGAAGAGCCAGTTAAGCTTCTTTGATGCCCGGCACCTGCGTAGCGAGCAGCGTGGGCCGCCAAGTGCCTGGTCACTGGAGAAGGGTGAGAGCCTCGCCTCCTCCCTCCCCACAGGCTTCCTGCCAGCTCCCACCCTGCCCCCGAAAGAGCAGTGGCTGCTCTGCCCTCACCAGCCCCCAGGCTCAGCGTGTTTTCATCCTGCCTCTTCACCAGCCCTCTGGTGGCCTCAGGTAAGCCCACACCCCCTGGGCTCCAGTTTCCCCACCTCCTCTCAAAAAGGGCTGAATCAGAGGGTCCTGACAGCCTGGGGCAGGTGCAGTGTGTCTGGCAGCCATGCCGCTGAATCTCAGAGTCTCTGCTCAGGCTGCTGAGGTTCCCTGGCTTATACCTTTGGAGAAGGCATTCCTGCCCGCCCCCCCGCCAGGGGGTATGGGGGTTACATCTGGATATGGCCCTCGGGTGGCCTCTCAGTGGCCTGTAAGGCTGGCTGAGACTCATCCATACAGAGACATCAGAGAGACTCAGCCTTAGGAAGCTCCTTGGAAGTCTCCTGTTTTACAGATGGGGAGACTGAGGCCTGCGGCGAGGGGAGAGTCTCCCTACAAACCAGGCTTTGGAGCCTGTCTGGGGTCAGCCTGTGGGACCTGGGCATGTGACTTGGGCTCTCCTTGCCTCAGTTTCCTCCCACTCCCCCACACAAAATGGGCATGCTAGGACTCCTGTCCCAGGGCCAAGGGTGGAGCCTGTGATAGATGGAGCTTTGCTGCATCTTTGGAGGAAAGTGGAGAGCAGGAAGGGCTGCTGGCGGCTCCCTGTCTACACTTGCCTCTCCCTCTGCCTGCGCTGGCAGCTCCAGTTTTCTAATAATCACCCAGTTACGTTGATGAGGGCTTCACCATCCCCATTTTACAGATGGGAAACTGAGGCTTAAGCTTGTGAGTCACATATTTGCTAAGTGGCTGCCTTAGTTGCAAAGGACAAAAACCCAAGTTAAACCCATGGATGAATAAGGAGGCAGGTTGTGGGTGATGGGGAAATGTGTCTGCAGGGCTCCATCTGTCTCTCCATCGCTCAGCATGCATTTCTCTGTCTATCGGCCTTATTCCACCCCACCATGGATGCTGCAGCTTTGGGGTTCTGAGCAAAGACCTCGCAGCTCACAGTCCTAGAGGCAGAGCAAGGCTCTCTCCCAGGATCCTAACATCTCATCCCAGGATGGATCACCCTCATCACTGTGGCCAGGTAGAGGCACTTGGCTGGGCAAGGGTTCCAGTACCTCTGTACCTGTCACTGGATAACCACAGATACTTCTTAGAATGGCAATAATCCTTTCCTTTGCTCACAAACCTACAATTTAGGCAGGACCCAGCATCTGGTCTCTGCTCCACGGGGAGGTTCAGCTGGAGCACAGATCCATTCCCAGGCCGGCTCATCACAGGCCGACACTCTGGTGCAGGCTGTTGACTACTCTCCCTAGGGCGGCTTGAGCTTTCTCACAGCCTACTGGCTGGCTTTCCAGGAGCAAGCATTCCAGAGGACAGGAAGTGGAAGCTGCCAGTTTCTCAAGGCCTCAGCCCAGAAACGACACTGCTGTTATATTATTTTCACCAAAAATAGAGCTCAGAGTCAAAGACCTCACTTTCAATGGGAGTGTCAACAAATTGAAGTGCCACTGTGCTTTGGATACGAGCACCAGACCAGGTTGTTCTCAACCACTTCTTGAGTATCTGCTGTGCACCTGAGCTCCAGAAGCCTGCTCCACATTAGAACACCAAGATCAAGCTGAGACCCAAAATGTAAGCATGATCCCATGACTTTTATTTTTTTCCCTTTTTTTTTTTTTTTTGAGATGGAGTCTCGCTCTGTTGCCCAGGCTGGAGTGCAGTGGCACGATCTCGGCTCACTGCAAGCTCCGCCTCCCAGGTTCACACCATTCTTCTGCCTCAGCCTCCCGAGTAGCTGGGACTACAGGCGCCCACCACCACGCCTGGCTATTTTTTTGTATTTTTAGTAGATACAGGGTTTCACCGTGTTAGTCAGGATGGTCTCGATCTCCTGACCTCATGATCCGCCCGCCTCGGCCTCCCAAAGTGCTGGGATTACAGGCGTGAGCCACCGCACCCAGCCCCCATTTTTTTTTGATAAAACACAGACACACACATATACAGACAGATCCAAACACAGGGAGTGGCTGGAGGGTGCTAAGTGTGTGGTGGTAATACCGGGTGGAGATACAGGTGAGGTGCTTGTTCTTAGTGCCTACCCGTATTTGCTAAACTGTTTAGCGGAATGTCCCATTTCATTTGTCTGTACTTCTGAGCTGTAAGGATGCTGTCTTAGGAGGCAGGCGGGTGCAGCCCATTACCAGAGACAAGACCATCTTTCGTAGTCAGTCATGAGCGCATATGAATCTGATGATGGTGTGCAGTTTGTTTTTTCCCTTAGGCCTGGCTTAACCCAGGTGGGTCCAAGCTCACGGGGCCATCCAGGGTCTCCCTGCGCTTTTTTCTTCTCTATTTTTTTGAGACAGAGTCTTACTCTGTTGCCGAGGCTGGAGTGCAGAGGCACGATCTCAGCTCACTGCAATCTCTGCCTCCCAGGTTCAAGCGATTCTCCTGGCTCAGCCTCCCCGGTAGCTGGGATTACAGGCACGTACCACCACACCCAGCTAATTTTTGTATTTTAGTAGAAACAGGCTTTCACCATGTTGGCCAGGCTGGTCTCAAACTCCTGACCTCAAGTGATCCGCCTGCCTCAGCTTCCCAAAGTGCTGAGATTACAGGCGTCAGCCACCGCCCCCAGCCCCCTGCGCTCTTTTCTTTATTGTCTCCTTGAACCCCCATGGTCCTGAGCCCTCCTGGAAACCACCTCATTCTCGGCTCCTCAGAGAGAATTACAGAGGGCAAGGAGAGGGCCAAAGCTAGCCCATTTGGTGACTTTGTACAAATTTGGAGGAGGCCACATCCCTGAGGGTGGTACATGGGCTGGATCTCAGTGTATGTACATATTCATTAGTGCCTCTGTGCAGTGGATGACCTGCTTAACTGAACATGGCGATCCTAGGTGGGGATCATGTCACTGCAGCCTTCAGGGGGCTAAGAGCTCACTGGTCCTGCACTACAGACCACTTTCTGTAGTGCAAATGGCCACTGCCTCTGGAAGCCAGACTTCAAGAAATGGTTATGCAAACAGGCCCCTGCCCGGCTCTTCCATGGAGTCAAAAGTCCTTCCCCTTGCTTCCCGTTTTTTTTTTTTTTTTTTTTTTTGAGATGGAGTCTCGCTCTGTTGCCAGGCTTGAGTGCAGTGACGTGATCTCGGCTCACTGCAACCGCTGCCTCCCGGGTTCAAGCAATTCTCCTGCCTCAGCCTCCCGAGTAGCTGGGACTACAGGTGCGCACCACCATGCCCAGCTAATTTTTGTATTTTTAGTAGAGACCTCACCATGTTGGCGAGGATGGTCTGGATCTCTTGACCTCGTAATCCACCTGCCTTGGCCTCCCAAAGTGCTGGGATTACAGGCATGAGCCACTGCGCCCAGCTGCTTCCCAATTTTATTCCATCCACTCATTAATACTGACAGGCTCTGCCTGTCTCTGTGCTCCACGCTGCTGGCCCTGGAGATCTCCCAAATCCACAGGGCCCAGGAGCAAAGTCCTCACTCCCCAGTGGAGCAGGAGACACCCTCCCCCAGCCTGTCCCTACAGTGTTCCAGCTGCAGTGACTTTCCTCCCCCAGCCTGTCCGTACAGTGTTCCAGCTACAGTGACTTCCCTGCCCCAGCCCTGTCCCCACTGTGTTCCAGCTGCAGTGACTTTCCTGCCCGCTCTGCTCAGCTCTGTGGCCCTGCTGGTGCTTCAGCACTCAGCTCGGGCACCACCTTCTTCAGCAAGGATTCTCTAGCCATCCAGGGTTGGGCTGGACCACAGGTTTGCTCCCTCCTCAAATCCCCTGCAGACAAATCATACCTCAAGGGCAGGAACCATGCCTGGCTCATCTCTGTGGCCCCAGAGCCCAGCATGGGGCCAGGCACAGAGCAGGCACTGGTGATGGTCTGCAGAACATGCAAGTGAGACACAGTCCGAATAGGTAATGTGGTCAATGACGCTGGAAAACACCTGTTGTTCTTTTCTCTCCTCTCACCAAACCGAGCTATAGTTCAGAATGTGGAATTTGGCATCAGGCTGCCCTGAGCTGAAACCCTGGTCCTGAGCCAGCTGACTTTGGTCTGGTCACCTGTAGCAGATGCCGTCTGTGCCTGCCATGTCTCCTCAGCCATGCCCACTCGGGGGCCTCAGCCCAACTTCTAGCGGCTGGAGACTCCCTCTGGGGGCCCATATTAATCATATTTTTTTATTTTCTGTATTCTGATGCTTTGACATCTTGGGGACTTGCTGACCTGGAGTGACAGCCCCTCCCAGGGATAGCCAGTCCCTAGAGAGTAAAGGACTTGCCTGTGATCATGCCTTTCAAGTGCAAACCAACCAACCCAGAGCCCACATCCTACACCTCCTCTCCAGGGCTACCACACTCTGGGCCACCATCCCCCTGCACTCCTCACCCTGAGGCAGGTACCAGACACTCAGCAAGAGCCTCTGTGCCCCAGAGCCCACTGAAATGATTCACACCAGCCAGTACTCAGCCTGCTTGCCCTGCTTGCCCATGCCTTCCTTCAAAACCACAGTAAAGGCTCCGGCCCACACTTCCCCCATTCCCTCTGCCTCCTGACCAACCCTGGTGCTTCCCTGTGTGGCCCTTCAAGGGTGGAGGCCTCTTCCACTTGGGATCTGTGATAGCAAGCTATCTTCTCAATGGTAGTTGTCTACTGATCTGCTGGCCTCACCATACCTGAATAATAATCAAGCCGGAATCATTGTCAGACAGGTCCAGGCCAGGCGCGGTGGCTCACGCCTGTGATCCCAGCACTTTGGGAGGCCGAGGTGGGCGGATCACGAGGTCAGGAGATCGAGACCATCCTGGCTAACACAGTGAAACCCCATCTCTACTAAAAATACAAAAAATTAGCCGGACATGGTGGCGGGTGCCTGTAGTCCCAGCTACTTGGGAGGCTGAGGCAGGAGAATGGCGTGAACCCGGGAGGCAGAGCTTGCAGTGAGCCAAGATCACGCCATTGCACTCCAGCCTGGGGGACAGTGAGACTCCATCTCAAAAACAACAACAACAAAAAAAAACAAAACAAAACAAGTCCAAAGCCCCTCTGCTCATGCAGGGCAGGCCAGAAATGTAGGGGAATGAATTAGTGGTCCCAAGAGCAGCCCTCAACCAGTGTCTCCAAGTGTCTCCTGGTGTCTCCCAGGTGTTGGAGGGTAAATGCCCAGCTGGATGGTACCGGGGTGACTGTCTACCCTGTGAGAAGCCAGAACTGAGCTGGCATTCACAGCTCCCGTTGAACATAAACAGTCTCACAGGGCATCAATATCAGACAAGACCACTTCAACATCTTGTCTTGGCACAGAAAAAGCAAAGTCACAGGCCAAGTGTGGAGGCTCACGCCTGTAATCCCACCACTTTGGGAGGCTGACGCAGATGGATAACCTTGAGCCCAGGAGTTCAAGACCAGCCTGGCTAACATGGCGAAACTCAATCTCTACTAAAAAAATACAAAAATTAGCTGGGCATGGTAGTAGGCACCTGTAATCCCAGCTACGTGAGAGGCTGAGGCAGGAGAATCGTTTGAACCCGGGAGGCAGAGGTTGCAGTGAGCCGAGATCATGCCATTGCACTCCACCTGGGTGACAGAGAAAGACTCAGTCTCAAAAAAAAAAAAAAAAAAAAAAAAAGGAAAAAAGTCCCTGGAAAGACAATACCAATATCCTGGGTGATACGAGTGGCTGCTGTTTCATACCAATTGCAGCTTGAGCCTCATTTCATTCCTCTGCTTTCTGATGGAATGTATTAAAATACCCAAGCATAGAATTGCTCCCGATAGCATCCAGTGCAGACTGGCTTTTGAACCCCCTTCAAAACCACCTAACACAGCCCAAATCCTACTCTACGTCCTCCCTACAAGCATCCCATTGCAATGCCCTAGGCTTTCCCAACACATGTGCTCCCGCTCATTGCAGCAAGTCTGCAAATCCAACTTTGTTCATCAGCAGATGTGTTCTGGGGCTCTTAACTGGAGGATGGAGTAGTAGCTACCAGACTCCCCAGCAGACTAAGTTCCAGTTGCCTCCAGACCTAATAGCTTAATTACCCACCCTGTGTGTTAGTGTCCCACGGTCACTGCAACAAAGTACCACAAATCGGGGCCTCAAAACAAAGGCATTCTTGGTACTCCTTGGCTTGTAGCTGCACCACTCCAATCTCTACCTCCACCACCACATCTCTGTGTCTTTTCTTCTTATTGGGACACTAGTTATTGGATTTATGGCCCATCCTAATCCAGTATGACTTCTATATCTAACTATATCTGCAAAGATCTTATTTCCAAATAAGATCACATTCTGACGTTCCAGGCAGACATAAATTTGCAGGTACACTATTGAACCCACTACAGTTGGAACTCCCAAAGGTTACTGTGGTCCCATGTTCAAAACACATTCACCTCATCCCAATATCCTCCAAAGTCTGAGCGCCTTCCAAAAGGGAGAAAAGGGGCCAGGCACGGTGGCTCATGCCTGTAATCCCAGCACTTTGGGAGGCTGAGGCGGGTGGATCACAAGGTCAGGAGATTGAGACCACCCTGGCTAACGAAACTCTATCTTTACTAAAAATACAAAAAATTAGCCAGGCATGGTGGCGGGTGCCTGTAGTCCCAGCTACTCAGGAGGCTGAGGCAAGAGAATGGCATGAACCTGGGAGCCAGAGTTTGCAGTGAGCGGAGATCGCACCACTGCACTCCAGCCTGGGCAACAGAACGAGACTCCATCTCAAAAAACAAACAAACAACCACAACAAAAAACAAAAGGGAGAAAAGGGAAGAAACGAAAGGATCACTTGGTCCTAAGCAAGTCTGAGGCCCAGCAGGCAGCCACCCTCCTGCCACACCCCCCCACCCCACCCCTAGCCTGTCTCTGCACCCATGTCTGCTGTCCTCCAAGACATTCTTCCTTCATTTCATCCCATCCCCACGCCTTTTTCTTTTTCTTTTTTTTTTTTAGACGGAGTCTCGCTCTGTTGCCCAGGCTGGAGTGCAGTGGTGCGGTCTCAGCTCACTGCAAGCTCTGCCTCCCAGGTTCACGCCATTCTCCTGCCTCAGCCTCCCAAGTAACTGGGACTACAGGCGCCTGCCACCACACCTGGCTAATTTTTTTTGTATTTTTTTTTTAGTATAGACGGGGTTTTCACCGTGTTATCCAGGATGGTCTCCATCTCCTGACCTCGTGATCCACCCACCTCGGCCTCCCAAAGTGCTGAGATTGCAGGCATGAGCCACCATGCCTAGCACCCCCATGCCTTTCAATCCAGGCTGGCAGCATTTCTGCTGGTGTAACATTCTCAGAAATCTTGTTGGTCTCCTGTGTAGTTTACAGGGACCCATGCCATCAGACAAGAGGCTCTATCCACAGATCATTCCTGGATAACCTCATCTCTATTCCTCAATTCCACTGAGATGGTTGATTGGATCCACGAGTCACATTCATAATGTCTTCAACAAAATGTCCAACAACACCCTTGGTGTTCTCTTCACACTTTCTCTCCACATTTTCTCAATAGTGAATTTGCTAATTTAGCAATCTGGACAGGCTAAGGGCTTCCTAGATTACCAAGTACAGTTCCTTTTTGCTTAACAGTTCCTTCCTCAATTTATCTCTTTTCTCTTAAAAGAGATAAATTGCTACAAGCAGCAAAGACAAACCAGGCCATACCTTCTACACTGTTTGGAAATCTACTTTCTTTTTTTTTTTTTTTTTTGAGACGGAGTCTTGTTCTGTCACCCAGGCTGGAGTGCAGTGGTGCGATCTCGGCTCACTGCAAGCTCCGCCTCCTGGGTTCATGCCATTCTCCTCCCTCAGCCTCCTGAGTAGCTGAGACTACAGGCGCCTGCCACCATGCCCGGCTAATTTTTTTTTGTATTTTTAGTAGAGATGGGGTTTCACCGTGTTAGCCAGGATGGTCTCGATCTCCTGACCTCGTGATCTGCCCGCCTCGGCCTCCCAAAGTGCCAGGATTACAGGCGTGAGCCAACACGCCCAGCTGGAAGTCTCCTACTTTCTACCCAACACTAGAATGTAGTTCAGCCAACTTCTCTACCACTCTATAACAAAGATCACTTTTCCTCCTCTTTCCAATAGCATGTTCCTTACTCTCTTCTAAGGCCTCACCAGAAGCACCTGTGATGTTCCTATTTCTACCAACATTCTGTTCTTTTTTTTTTTTCTTTTTTTGAGATGAAGTCTCGTTCTGCCGCCCAGGCTAGAGTGCAGTGGTGCGACCTCAGCTCACTGCAACCTCCATCTCCTGGGTTTAAGTGATTCTCCTGCCTCAGCCTCCCCAGTAGCTGGGACTACAGGCGTGTGCCACCACACCCAACTAATTTTTGTATTTTTAGTAGAGACAGGGTTTCACCATATTGGTCAAGCTAGTCTTTTTTTTTTTTTTAATTTATTATTATTATTTTTTGAGATGGAGTCTCACTCTGTCGCCCAGGCTGGAGTGCAGTGGCACGATCTCGGCTCACTGCAAGCTCCGCCTCCTGGGTTCACACCATTCTCCTGCCTCAGCCTCCCGAGTAGCTGAGACTACAGACGCCCGCCACCATGCCCAGCTAATTTTTTGTATTTTTAGTAAAGACAGGGTTTCACCGCGTTAGCCAGGATGGTCTCGATCTCCTGACCTCATGATCCGCCTGCCTCAGCCTCCCAAAGTGCTGGGATTGCAGGTGTGAGCCACCGCACCTGGCCTGTTCTTGATGATATATATATTCTTTAAGATGACAGATTTCGGTTGGGCATGGTGTCTTATGCCTCTAATTCCAGCACTTTGGGAGGCCAAGGCAGGTGGATCACCTGAGGTCAGAAGTTTGAGACCAGCCTGACTAACATGGTGAAACCCCCATCTCTACTAAAAATACAAAAAATTAGCCAGGCGTGGTGGCAGGTGCCTGTAATCCCAGCTACTCGGGAGGCTTAGGCAGGAGAATTGTTTGAACCCAGGAGGCAAAGGTTGCAGTGAGCTGAGATCACGTCATTTGCACTCCACCCTGGGCAACAAGAGTGAGACTCTGTCTCAAAAAAAAAACGATAGATTTCTCTACGTTTTTCTTTGATTTTAAGCCTCATGAGGAACACCTTAAATAAATGTCCACTTTTCTACCAACAAGCACTTGAAGGCCATCTAGGCTTTTTCTATCAAGCACCTCAAAACTCTTCCAGGTTCTACCCATTATTCAACTTGAAAGCTACTTTTGTATTTTCAAAAATTTGTCACAGCAGCACCTCACTTCCTGGTACAAAATCTGTATTAGTTTTCTAGGGCTACTGTACAAATTAATTCTCTCACAGTTCTGGAGGCCAGGAGTCTAAAATCAAGGTGTTGGTAGGGCCAAGACCGTTTTGAATGCTCTAGGGGAGGAGGATCCTTCCTTGCCTCTTCCTAGTCTCTGGTGACTCCCAGAAATCCTTGATATTCTTTGGCTTGTAGAGGCATCACTCTACTCTCTGCCTCTGCTGTCCCATGGCCTTCTTCCCTGAGTGTATCTCTCCTCTTCTTTTTTTTTTTTTTTTTTTTTGAGACAGAGTCTTGCTCTGTTGCCCAGGCTGGAGTGCAGTGGTGCAATCTTGGCTCATTGCAACCTCCACTTCCTGGGTTCAAACGATTCTCTTGCCTCAGCCTCCCGAGTAGCTGGGACTACAGCCATGCACCACCACACCAGTTAATTTTTGTATTTTTAGTACAGATGGGGTTTCACCATGCTGGGCAGGCTGGTCTCGATCTCCTGACCTCATGATCCACCCCACCCCCCCCGGCCTCCCAAAGTGCTGGGATTACAGGTGTGAACCACTGCACCCGGCCCTCTCCTCTTCTTATAGGGGCAAAAATCATTGGATTTAGGGCCTTTCCTAATCCAATATGGCTGTTATAACTCTCATTCATATTAATGCTGCCTCAGCATCCATCTTGTCCTGTCCCTGGCTTGTCACACCTGACGTACATATTTTGACACAGTCTCCATGCAGTTCCTGTTTTTGCATTTTGGATAGATAAGGTCTCATACTTTGTACTGCAGGGTCACCTTACTTCTGCTTTAAGTCTGGTGAACTTGACAGTGTAGCCAAGTTCCAGTGCTTACCCTCACACTCCCTTTAAATCAACCAATGAGCCCCTGACTCGGGAAACGCACGTAGGTAACACCCTGGACCCCAGTAAAGACTTTGGCCCCCAGATCCCTCTCTTTTTCTCCTTACCTGCTGCTGAGCACATATGTCCCAGACGTCCCCTCCCCTTCCCATGGGCCTTGTGAACCATGCTGCCCTCTGCTCCCTGGGCTTTGTGAATTAGAAACTCAATCCTTTTGCCATTTTGGTCTGAGGTCCCCCACTGACTAAACCGAACCTAACCTAAATGCCTCACTTAAGTCACAAACAGTGACCTCATCTTAATTTAATGAATTGCATCTTATTTCCAAATCAGGCCATGTGCTGAGGTTCTGGATGGACATGAATTTGGAGGTGACATTATTCAACACACTGTACCTTGAAAGGCTTTCAGCCTTTCTCTGCCTCAATCTCCACTCCCCTATTCGGTTTCCTAGATCACTTCCCAAATAAACTCCTTGCATTGAAATCTACATAGCAGGGCCTGCTACTAGGAGAACACGCCTAAGGCATGGCCTCCCCATGCTGAGCTGCACGGTCCTTCTCTCCATGCAGGTGAGGGCAGTAGCCCTTTCCTGTGAGGTTTTGTTGAGGGCAGAGGAGAGAATCCTGTTGTCTCACAGAGCAAAATATTCATTTCATGACTCCGGGAAGAGGGGTGCTTTGAGACTATACCCCAATATAATTTTTCTTTTCTTGTTTTTTTTTTTTTGTTTGTTTTTTTTTTTTTTTGAGACGGAGTCTTACTCTGTCGCCAGGCTGGAGTGCAGTGGTGTGATCTCGGCTAACTGCAACCTCTGCCTCCCAGGTTCAAGTGATTCTCCTGCCTCAGCCTCTTGAGTAGCTGGGACTACAGGCGCATGCCATCATACCCAGCTAATTTTTGTATTTTTAGTAGAGATGAGGTTGTTTCACCATGTTGGCCAGAATGGTGTTGATTTCTTGACCTCATGATCCGCCTGCCTTGGCCTCCCAAAGTGCTTTACAGGCGTGAGCCACCGCACCCGGCCATGATTTTTCTTAAATGTGAATGGGCTATTCAGGTGTCAGCAGTTTTTCAATGTCTCTTTGGGACAGATGTTGTTGGAAGGGGTGGATCTTTTTTTTTTTTTTTTCTGAGATGGAGTCTTGCTTTGTTGCCCAGACTGGAGTGCAGTGGTGCAATCTCGGCTCACTGCAACCTCCACCTCCTGTGTTCAAGCAATTCTCCTGCCTCGGCCTCCTGAGTAGCTGGGATTATAGGCATCCACCACCACGCCTGGATGATGTTTTTGTGTTTTTAGTAGAGATGAGATTTCACCACGTTGGCCAGGCTGGTCTCAAACTCCTGACCTCAGGTGATCCGCCTGCCTTGGCCTCCCAAAGTGCTGGGATTACAGGCGTGAGCCACCATGCCTGGCTGGGGGTGAATAATTTACGTGAGTTTTGATAAGGTAAAGGGAAAGCCAAGCTTCCTTTCTGAGATGGAGATTCATGAGGAAGTTTTGTGTAGAATTTATAGTGGACAGCACTGGGGCACTGAAGACTGAGCTCTCCAAGGGGGCCAGGCCTGGCCCCGGCAGAAAAGAGGAAGAGATGCTATAAGCCTGGATGCTGGGTGGGGGAAATATGGCCAAGGCAGGAATTTTGGAGAGCAGAGGCTGATCCCTGCAACACAGTGGCTGGGTGGACAAGGACAGCAGTTGGCAGAAAACCTGACTCCACGTGAAATTTATTGACTCATGTAACTACTCTAGATGAAACCAGAGATCTGACTTCCTCCAACCTCTGTTTGGGCCTCATTGGGAGGCTCTTCCAGTTCCAAGATGGCTGCCCAAGCTCAGCAGCCAGGCTCCCTCCTGCCATCAAGGGGTGGGGAGGCCATCTTGGGTCATGTGACCATGCAGACCAATCACTGTGGCCAAGGGAATGAGGATGCTGATTGGCTTGGGTCAAGTCACGGGATCCCAAGAGGTGGAGTCTGCTTCCTGAAACACCTTGACTTTCCAGAAATTCGGGGCTCAGCTGACACACACCCAGCCTCTAGCTCTTTCTCTCTTAGGTGATGATACCCATTGCTGTCCCCAAGCCTCCAGGGCACAGCCTTGTGTTTGCCCCACCCTGGCTAGACAGGGAGGGTTGAGTCCAGCCTGGGGCCAGTACTGGGCATCCGTCAACCAGGGTGGGAGGAGGCCCCAAGGGAGCAAGGACAGACGCGTGGAAGTGGGCAGGCTGCTGCCGTCAGGGACCCCGGGAACACTCACGTCCAAGGCAGCACTAAGGCCTGCACCTCCTGTGGCCCAGCTGGAAGGGGCCTTAGTACACAAGGGGTTCAAGGGCCATGGAGCCTGACAGCTGGGAGATGGCATGTAGCTGCTGTCCGACCACACAGTTGTCATCCTGGCTAAGCTGCAGCCTTCTGGAGGCTTGTGGGAGCCTCTGTCAGAGCTTCCCACCTAGGAGCAGGGCACCAAGCCCAGAAATCCACCAAGGCAGTGTGAGGAGAGCAGGGTAGGCCCTGGGGCTGGGCGGCCCAAGCGGCTGCTTTCCAGGATAGAATGTATAGAATGTGGGGTGCGGGCCTGGCTGCTCCCCGACGGCCTGCCCTGCCTCCCTTTTTGGCCCACCCAGACCTCCAGGTTTATCTAACAACCCTGGAACTGAGGGAGGAACCCTGGAGGTAGACTGGAGGTACACTGGAGCCCGTGGCTTCCAGTGGCTCCCTTTCCCCAACCTCAGTTTTCTCCCCAGTAAATGGAGAGGAATCCTTCACCCATAGTAACGATGTGAATGATGTTGTGGGCAGGGAGCAGCCTGGCCTCTTGTCGCAGCCAGCTGCTGCAGGGACCACCAGGTGCCCCTGGGGAACCATGACTGCTTCAATCTGGCGCGAGAGGGAGGTCCTGAGGGGAAGGGTGGAGGGGCCTGGACCATACCTGCCCAGTGCCAGGCGCTGCCTGCATGGACATAGTGTTTCAGCTTCAGAGCCAACCGCCGCTGGCCCTGCCTACTGAGGCCCAGAAAGTACGGTGTCTTGGGGTGGGTGCCTGAAGGAATGGGCTGTGGGGTCATGATGCAGCCACCCCCAGGCACCGGCTGGGCCCAAAGCTCTCCCTGGATGTCCCTGGAGGGATCGTCCAGAGGGAGTTTGTTGGCAGAAACAGAGCAAGCAACCCCGAGGGGAGGTGAGCCCACCCTTCTTCCTGCACACTCACTGCCAGAACTGGCTGCTCAGAGGGGCTTGGATTCTGGGAAGTGGGAGATGCTCCTGGGGCAGCTGGTGATAAGACAGAGTTCTGGAGGCCCCCATGGCTGCAGGGAGGGCAGGGCTGGGACCACCCGAAGGCCTGGGCTCTGGCCTCTGGGGTAAGTCGCCCTCTTAGGCTGGGGCTTGTGGGGGCTAGTGGCTTTTCAGAGGCCCTGTCCTACTGCAGATCCTGCTGCCTCCGTGGGACGGTGGGAGGCAGGCACAGCGGGAATTGGACTGACCTGCATCCCAGTCTCCCTCTGCCCATGTCCTGGGGGCATGGAAGCTTGTCTGGGTCTTAGTGTGCCCATCTTTACAACAGGACCAACTATCTGAGAAGGAGCTGACTCTGATGTCCCCGAGACCCAGGATGGTGAGTGAGGCAAGGGAGCACTGAGCCTTTATGACCTCAGGCAGCCTCTACTTTCCCATCTATAAAATGAGGATTCCAGACCCAAAGTGCTCAGGGCCCCTATGGCAAGGCAGGAGTCACTGAGCCTTTCCAAGGCTATGGACAGGTATTCACTGAGCACCTACTGTGGGCCAGGCACTGCTAAAGGGGCTGCTTCCTGCCCTCTCGGAGCTTCTATTCTATGTGGGAAAAGAGAGGTTAAACAAGAGAGCAAATGGATAAACAAAAAAGTGGAAAGGCTGGAGGGCTGTCTGCAGAGGCGGTGTCTGAGCACAGTAAGCGTTGAGGAGGTGGCCCACAAAGCCCTGCAGGAAGAGCCCCCGGGCCCAGGGAACAGCATGTGCCAAGGCCCCAGGGGGAAAGGAGGCTGGCGGTTCTGAAGGCCAGGTAGCTGCAGCCTGGTGATGGGGCTGAAAGTGTGACTCTGGCTGGGGCTACAGGTGGTGTTTTGTCCCGTCCCAGAAATCCAAATGATGCTCAGTGCACTTGCTTCCCTATGGGATGGACACTTGGGAGGCCCACCTCCCCTATGTGGTGGCCCAGGCTGAGCCCCCAGAGAGTCTGCTAGCAGCACCTGGTGCATGAGCAAACGGAAGAAAAGTAAATTAGGGGCTGGACGCAGTGGTTCATGCCTGTAATCCTAGCACTTTGGGAGGCTGAAGTGGGTAGATCACCTGAGGTCAGGAGTTCCGGACCAGCCTGGCCAACATGGTGAAACCCCGTCTCTACTAAAAATACAAAAATTAGCTAGGTGTGGTGTGGTGGTGCACACCTGTAATCCCAATTACTCAGGAGGCTGAGGCGGAGGGTGCACTGAGCTGAGATCGCACCACTGCACTCCAAGGCTGGGTGACAGAGTGAGACTCCGTCTCAAAAAAAAAAAAAAAAGTGAACGAGGGAATCCTGAACAGTCCCCAACTCACTGTATGACCTTGGGAAAGTGCACTTCCTTCTCTGGGTCTGTTTCACTATTGCCAAGACGCCTTCTCAGTCATAATTCTCCTCTCAGGCAGCTGGGGAGTACTGGGCTTGCAGCAGGCCCTCCTGGAGGCTCATTCATCTTCTCCAGGTCTGCCAGGCTGCAGCCAGCACCCTGCTCTGGGCCTAGAGAGGTGGGGTGTGCCGGGTGGGGAACCTGCCCATGGCAGAAGCACACTCCCTCCCCTCCGCCCTGGTTTGCTCTCTCCTCCCCGCCCCCGCTCTTGCACCTGTGAAAGCCTTTCTGCTCTGGTGTCCAGTGTGCTCCAACCTCAGGCCCTAGGCTGGTACCAGGAGCCCCCATCCTGCAGGCTGTGGTGCAGGGGAGCCTCGGAAGGGCCCCCAGCCCAGTCCCTCCCTGACACCCATGGTAATCCCAGGTGTGGTAATCCCACACCCCAGACTCTGTGCTGCCCCATTCGACGTTCTTCAGGCCCGAGACCCCGGGAGCCACCTCCTACTCAGCCACAGGCCTCCCTTCCCCCCACCCAGGGGGTGGTCTCCTATGCCTCTGGAGGGGGGTGGCCTTGGGGAGAAAGGGGAGGGAGGATGGTAAAGAGGCCAAAAGCCAGCATGCGACCAGCCAGCATGTGTCCAGGCTCTGCCACTCCATGGACGGGCAGTGGAGTGTGCCCAGGCCCTGGGCTGTGGGATGGGAGGGCTGGAGCTGGGGGCGGGGCAGTGTGTGGCGAGAGGCCAGGCCCAGGCAGCCAGCTCCCCAGCAGCATCCTTGCTGGGGTGTCCCGCAGGAGGGGTCTCTGGGAACAGACCCTAGGAAGGCCAGCTCTGTAAGGGCACAGCACGCAGGCTCTGCATGCTGGAGGCCTCTCACTGCCCCTGTCTGAGCCTCAGCTTCCTCTTTTGGAAAAAGTGGGAACAGACTACAGCCACCAGTATGACAGCAAACAAGCTCCCATCAGCACTGGCCTCGCAGCAGGCGGCAGAGTCTGGGGGCACGCCCTGCCCCCAGGCCTGCGGTGACAGACCTTGTCTCTGCCTCCCAGCGGACTAGCCAGGTTGGTGGGTGCAAGAGAGAGGGCTCGAGGCTAGGGGACTCTCCATGGCGACCCCACAGCACAGTCTTTGGCCCCAGCAGACACCTGCCCTGCTGGATTCACCATGGCCGGCAGGCCAATTCCAGGTGCCTGCTCGGTTCCGGAGCTGTGGGGCTCTGGGGGTGGCCTCTCTATGACTCAGTTTCCTCAGCTGTCAAGTGGGGATTTCCTGGGGTTGTGGTGAGATGGCAGAAATAGAACTACTGAAGCAGGCAGAGGACGGAGTCCTGACCCTTCAAAGAAGGGCCTCATTAGGGCTGCAGCCGATGCTTAGTAGACGTGTGTGAGGGAGCGGCTCCGGCACTGCTCTGTAGGGGATGAATGTGAGTCAGAGCTCAGCTCTGCAGGGGAGAAGGCAGGGCCAACGGGCTGGGGTCCCCTCGAGGCCTCCTCCACCCCGTCCCTGCTCCAGCCTGAGCTGGGTGAGGGGCTTTGCTGCTTCCTTGGGCAGCAGCTGGAGCCGATTGAGACGCTGCTGTGCAGCTGAAAGGGTCTGATTCCATCTCCCCCTGGTGGGCACTGTCCAATGTGGAAGTATGCAGGTTGTTTAGCATCCCTGAGCCTCAGTTTCCTTAGTGTGAAGTGGGACCAGAACATCCAGCATAGCATGGGAAGCTGTGGCAGAGGCCCAGGTAGCCAGCAGGGGCTCCGTGTGCAGTGGCTGCAGCAGCATCCCAAGCGTGGCCCAGCTAGAGCTCGTGGGAGCTCACCTGTGCCCTCACCTGTGCCCCCATCTCAGCTGTCTCCGCCTCACCTGTGTTCTCATCTCACCTGTCCCCCCCATCACCTGTGACCAGTCTCCCATTTCTGGCTCTTCCTCCTGCCCTCTCAGTCCCCCAGGTAGGTGCCCTGCTTGTCTTCCCAGGTGTCTCCACATGGTGCTATATGGATATTAGAGGGGCGGGGGTCCTGACCAGTGAGCACCCCCAATCACTGGTCCCTAAATTCCCCCACTCTCTCCCAGAGGCCCTCAGGGCTCTGATGCAAACAGCACCCCCACCCCAAGTAGCCTTTGCAAGGTCCCCACTGGCACCATCTTGAGTGCCCTGCACCCCACCCTCCCCATCTCTGAGCCTGGCCATCTTCACCTGCCACCTGCCCACCCCCTGGCAGGACAACAGATGCAGAACTGCTTTCCAGGTGGTGTGTGGCCGATGTGATTCCATCACCCTTGTCCCTCAACCCTTTATCAGCCAGCCCACCTTGTGGGGGGACGCTGCTGAGGGGCTGGGGAGAGATCACCGAGGCTGCGCCCACTGCTGGTGGCCAGTGTTTATTTATGCAGATAAGCACTGTGTGCCACTAGCATCAGGAACAGCCACAAATCTCATGCGCCTGCCACTCAGTGGCTGGGGTAAGTCCTAGCAGAGCTTCTGAGCGTGGTTATTTAGGAACCATGAGTCCAGCTAGGATGGGGCAGGCCCACCTCCTGGGGGCTGCAGGCAGAACCTCAGGAGAGGACAGAGAAAGGAGGTGGGAAGCAAGTCACGATTCAGCTCACACGGTGTAGACAGGCTGGGCAGAGGCGGGGTGGACCACGCTGCAGACCAGCAGGATGTGGCTGTCCCTGGCAGTGCCCATGCTGCCTCTTTCTGCCTTCCGGGCCAGCATCACCACACGGCCCATATGGATGATGGTTACTTTGGCAGTCGGCCCCTGCTCTGGGCCACACTGCTGGGGCTGGAGGCCAGGCTCTTAGCCAAAACTTGCTGGGTGACCCTTGGCCAGTGGTTGCCCCTCTCTGGGCCTCAGTTTCCTTCCCCCCAAAGCCAAGTGTCCTGAGCTCTGGGCTGTTGGCCCACCCTCAGCAGTCCAGGGCGCTCTTCATGGGGCCTCCAACACCACCTCCCAGGACAGCACAGGTCCAATGTGGTGGTGTGCAGGGCAGTGGGAGACTCAGCTCACGGAGCAGCTGCGCCCATAGGGACCTGAAGCTGCAGGGCCCCCGGGCTGTCCTGGGCCGTGTCCCCATGGGCAGCAGTGCTTAGGGTTTCCAGCCACTGCTGCTGCAGCTCTGCGGAGGAGGCGCTCAGGTACCAGGACTGCTTGGCCCACTGCAGCTTCCACACATGCCCCGAGTCCAGCCTCTCCTCAGGGTCCGGCACACTCAGTTTGCAGCTGGGGAGAGGGATGGTGCGGGGCAGCCGGCCGTCCTGCAGCAGAGGAGCAGATGGTCAGCGGGGCCACAGCTTCCCGGCCTCGGGCTCACCTCAGTGATGGGGGCCTCTCCCAGGAGGCCACTCCCAGACCCTTGCAACGCAAGGCAGGTGCTGAGCCCGAGGGGTCTGGTGGCTGTGCCTGCACTGCCTTTTGTCAACAGGAGGACGGTCGGTGGGGGCATCCACTGGTTCTTCCCGAGGGAGATATAGGGAGGGGGATGCCTTGCCCACCTCACCAGACCCCCAGACTCCATGGCCTTCTTTGGGCTGTCTGGCCCCTGGGGAGGCGAGGCAGGACAGGCCAGCCCCTGTGACAGAGTAGCAACTGGGGCTCCAAGGGGCCGGGCCAGGGCTGTGTGGGTTCCTGAGTCTCCCCTGACAGGTTCTGTGGCTCCTGGCCACCCTTTGTGCCCCCTTGGCCCACCCCTCCTTGCACCCTGGCTGGCTCTGGGGTCCACCCAGGTGCCAGTAGGTTCTGTCTCCTGTGACTGGCAAGCAGAGGGAATCCTGCGCTGCCGGGGAAACTGAGGCCCCAGGTAACACTGCTCAAGCAGGTGGACCCCAGCTGGTGGCACAGGCCTGCTGTGGGTGCCTCAGGCCTGAGGCTCTGGGCTGCTGGCCTGAGGGCCTGGTGGGGTGGGGACACGTACCTGGCTGCCTCCCTGCAGGTGCAGCACCTGGGGATCTGACATGGGGATGGCGGCCCACACCTCGCTCCAGGTCTCACCGCTCTCTGACAGCCGCAGGGGGCCGCAGAGCAGGCTGGGCTGGGGGTCTGCAGTGGGTGTCTTCTGGGGACACAAAGACACAGGTTAGGGGCAGTCTCCCCTGCAGTGGTCACCCCTGTTCTGAGGAGGCTGGGGTAGGGCCAGGGCCACTGCTTGGGGGGAGCTGGCTGTGGAGACATGGCCAAGATCTGCACAGAGACTGGGACCAGCCTCACCCGGCTTGCAAGGGTCACTAGAAGCCTGCAGGACATAGGCATGTGTGGTATCAGATGGGGTTTGCAGGCTGGGCCCTCCAAGGGGAGGGCATCCATATGCTGGGTCAGGACACATCAAAATCATAGGAAAACCCAACAGCAAGTACCTGAGGGTGGGTCACGGGACAGGGACTTCAAGCGTGTCAGTTCTACACACACCATATACATGCACGTGCGTGCACACACAGCACACACACACACACCACACACACAGGCCCTCCCTCTGTCATGTCACTGTTGGAGCTACTGTCCACCATTTGGACGTGGCTTAGACACCCCCTGCCAGAGCTGGACCCCTCAGACCTGGGCCCCCCTTCGAGGCCAGAGTCCACCTTACAGGGCCCTGGAGGCCCGTGCCCCAAGGACCTGGGGCTCTCAGAACACACCTCGGTATTTAAATTGCAGGCATGAGGGAGCTCGGTAGGCAGTGCAAGGTCCTTCTTCACCATCAAGACCATTCAACACTCAGTCCTAATAGACTTACATCCTTGACTTCTTAGACCAAGGACCTAGGTCAGGGCTCCAACCACAGCTGTAAGTCAGAGCAGCTGGGACTCTGAAAACACACTGACCCCCCGATCACCTCACTGAGCCTCTAGGAGGGAGATCAACACTAGAAGCTTCCCAGGAGACTCCAACGTGCAGCTGGCACTGCAAACCGCAGGCTGTGTCGAGTGGAGAGAAAGGGCGATGTGCTTTTCTGGAAACTCACGTTTTCTTTTTCAGCTGTCCTGCAACCCCCCAGAATAGACTGTATTCTTGAGGAAGGAAGTCAGGGAAAGCAGCAGCTACTCTCAGAAAGAGGAGTGGAGGAGGAAAAGAGGAAGAGAAAGAGAGGAGGAGAAGGGGAGGGGGAGGAGGAGGGAGAGAAAGGAGGAGGAGAAGGAGAGGGAAGAGTAGAAAAAGGGTACGGGGAGGAGAAGGAGCAGGAGGAGGAGGGAGAGGAGAAGGAGAAAGACAGCGAGGCGGAGGGAGAGGAAGGAGGGAGAGGAAGAGGAGAAGGGGACGGGGAGGAGGAGGAGAAGGGGACGGGGAGGAGGAGGAGAAGGGGACGGGGAGGAGGAGGAGGGGGTGCCTGCCTCCAGGGCCCTGCTCACCCTCTGACAGCTGGAGGTGAGGCAGGCAGAGAGAAGGGCAGTATCTCCCCTCAGGTGGGCCTCAAGGCCTGGACTTGAGGGCAGCTTCAATCCATGCCCTCCAACCAGGTGACCAGGAGTGACACTTGTTCCCATCTAACTCCTGGATGCAAATGGTTCCCAAGCCTTGGCCCTGGCTGGTCCCGAGAAGCCAGCGTGCACACACGGGATCTTCCGAGTGTGTTCCCAGCCTGGGGGCCCCACTGAGACACACCCACATCTATCCTGGTCCCAGGGACACTCCGAAAGCAGAGGCAGCTGGAGCTGCTGGGGCACAGGAGCAGGTGTCTGGAGGCTCTGCCGCGCCACCAGGAGGGGAGCAGGAGCTGGGAGCACCCACCTCTGTGCTCTCAGGGGCCACTGGCTGTGTCAGGAAACAATCTCTGCAGACACGGCTCTGCCGGCTGTTCTCGGCCTTGAACTCGGAGCACTTCCCACAGATGACCTGCCAAACAGAGGGCACGTGTGACCCCAGCACCCTGGGACAGAGGATTATCCAGGAAGATGCCAGAGGAGGTAGAGTGGGCGGGAGGTGGAGTGGGCGGGAGGAGACTTAACACAGTGTGGCGTGTGGCGAGGGATAAGAGCTTCTCCTTGAGGGGAGCCCTGTCTGAGGGCAGAGAGCAAGGCTGGCCCTGCTGGGCGTCTGGTACCCACCCTTCTGTCCTGGAGGGTCCAGAGTCCAGGAGTCTTGTGTGCGTGGGAGGAAGAGTGTGAAGAGCCACCAAGCACAGGGGAAGATGCCCCATCACTGGCCATCAGGGAAACGCAAATCAAATTCATAACCAGAAACCACCTCTCACCCCTCAGCATGGCTATTTTCCAGACAAACAATGACAACAGCGACAAAAAGAAAATAGTGTTGGCACGGATGTGGAGAAATTGGAATCCTTGCACTGTTGGTGGGAAGTAAACTGGTACAGCCTCTGTGGGAAGCAGTAGGGTGGTTCCTCAAAATGTTAAACACAGAGTTACCATATGATGCCACAGTTCCACTCGGGGTATGTACCCACAAGAACTGAAAGGAGGATCTGAAGGGATGTTTGTACATTCATGTCCATAGCAGCGTTATTCACAATAGCCAAAAGCTGGAAGCAACCCGTGTCCATCGGCAGATGAATGGATGAAGTTGTCATGGTCTGTCTGTACAGTGGAATGTGATTCAGATGCATGGGTGGAGCATGGGAATTTAGCCAAGGAGTGCTCCTCAGTGACTTTTCCAGAGCTTTTCCTACCCTGGACACTCCCAGCAGGCCCCTTTGTGCCCCCTCCTCTGGCCCCTGCAGCTGCATCCCATCGGTGGTCCTGTCTCTCTCTGCCTCGGTCTCCCTCCCTCTGCTGGATCCTTTTCCCAGCACAAAGAGGCTCCTGCTGTCTCAGGGCCACCCACACCCACTTCTGCATCTGCTTCTCCTGTTCCATCCTGCCCCACGTACTGAATGTTGCAGAGGACTTGGAGGTCCTTGTTCAAACCTTGGGAAATTCTAGTTTGAACCTAAACCTGCAGGCACTGGCTGCTAAGGGACCATGGCACTCAAACACTGAGCTCATATCGCAGGTCTCAGGAGCCACAGCAGAGGGGAGATTGCTCTTTTCAAGTAGATGGAAGGCACCCTCTTCTGGAGTCCTCCTTTTATGAGCATTTTATTTTTGGAATTTCTCTTTTCTCTATCACTTCTTGTGTGAGGAAGCAGGAATACCGGGCAAACCAAGGCAATGAAAGCCAAGCTAAGCCCCAGCAGGCTGACACGGAGATGCAGTGATGTCACTGAGGGCACCGAGCCACCTCTGCTGGGGAAGTCCAGGTTGGCCATGAGGACGCTCACTCCAAGGAAGATTAATGGAGGCTGCAGCTTCTGATCCTGAGTAGTCACAAAGCCTGAAGCCTGGAGCTGAGCAGGGACCTGGGCATGTATTCTGAGGATGGCTCTTAAAGCAACAGATTCTCTCCTCAGGTCTGATGGGGAAACCAGGTTTGAGTTAAATCCCCCAATTCTAGAGTACAAACTGGGTCCCAAACTGAGAGTTCTTTAAGAGGCACAGATCACATTTCCCACTTGCCTGCCCATCCATCCTCTACCATACATTCATCCATCCATCATCCATCCATCCATCATCCCTTCATCCACCCATCCATCCATCCATCCACCCATTCATTATCCACTCATTCATTCATCCATCCATCCAACCATTCATCTATCCACCCATACTTCCGTATGCCATCCAACTATTCGTCTGTTCATCCATCCATCCATCCATCAATTCTCCAGTCATCCATTTATACTTCCTATATATCCACTTCCATTCATACTTCCATATGCCATTTATCTAACTACCCACCTATCCATCCATCCCCTCATCCATCCATCCACGCATCCATCTACCTATTGATACACCCACCTCTCCAACCACTCATCCATTCATCCATCCTTCTACCCACCCACCCATCCATCATCCATCCTTCCAAGGACTCATCTACTTATTCCCCCCCCCCTGCTGCCCCCCCGCCATGTGGCAAAGGTATGACAAGCAACATCAACCGCTTCAGGCACAGGTTGCTGGTGCCCTTTGGAAAAACACCTCCAAAGCATTCTGTGCTGAGATCCAGTTGCTAACACAGATTCAACTTTAATCTCTTAACCTAAAGATACTTAAATGATCAGTTCCTTCCTCAGGGATACTTTTACATTCAACATTAAGCATTGAATTTTCTCCATTCTCAGGAGAAAGGGCTTTGGAGTGAGGGGAATGGAGATGGTGTGCAGCTGGGGCGCCAGTCGGAGGCATTGCCTCATCACATGGGCCCACCAGGCCTTCAGCACCACTGGAGCGCTGGGGCAAAGGCCAGCAGTAGGAGCTTCCAGCACAGCCACACCCTTCACCCGTCTCCAATACACCTTGCAAGGAATGAGGACTATCATCTCCTTGTTCTCAAGGTCACCCAGCTAGGGGTTCTCTGGTTCCAAATCCAGCACTTTTTCAACCACAAGTAGTGTTTGTTGAACACCAGAGCTGACCAGAGAAAAGTGATTTGATTCTACTTCGGACAGGACAGTTTTGCACTCAAGGGTATCTATATCCATGAGCCAGGATCAGGAAGCCCTTCCGTGCAGGGCTGGTGTGCATGGCTGGTGTGCTGCTGGTGAGGACTCAGCTGCTCTGTCAGAGCAGAGGACAGGGTGGCCTCCTGTCCCTGTCCCCCTCTCCCGGGACTCACCGCCCCACACAGCTTGCAGTGATGCCTCCTCTTGGTGATGGAGTTGAAGGTCTCACCACAGCTCTTACAGCTCTGCTTCTCCTTGTCACGTCTGGTCTTAGAGGATAGTTTTCTGGGCTCGAGCTATAAGGAGGCAAATAGATGCCATCAGCTTCTGAATCATGTGTGCACCCTACCCCACACGGCAGTGGAGTGGCAGCTCTCGTGACTGTAAAAGCCACACAGGCTCAAGGCAAAAAGTGGAACATGCAGAAGGGAATGAAGTGAAGAGCCAAGTCAGCCACGTCTCTCTTCCCTCCCTCACCTCCCAGCGGCTGCCTGTGCCCATGGCACCGAGTAAAGATTTTAAGTGGATCAAGATCTTCATGTTTGGAACAACTTGGCCAATGACTTTATCTGGTGCATCTGAGAAACTATTGAAAGGAGCCACAGCTGGAGGAACACAGCACTTACTAGGGTGGGCAGTGGGCAGCACAGCCATGGCCTGCAGCCCTGGGGACGGGGGCATCCCTGTCTGCAACTGGAGCCGTGTGGCCATGCGCCTGCTCTATACTGGGCACCGCGGGCCACACCCTCCAGGCACGCCACATGGATGAATATAGGTGTGCACCCACATGCCTGAGTGTGCAGACAAGCATGGCAACATTTTAGGGGGAGGCTGGACGCAGTGGCTCATGCCTGTAATCCCAGCACTTTGGGAGGCTGAGGTGGGCAGATCACTTGAGGTCAGGAGTTTGAGACCAGCCTGGCCAACATGGTGAAACTCCACCTCTACTAAAAAATATACAAAAAATAGCCGGGCATGGTAGTGGTAGTGGGTGCCTGTAATCCCAGCTACTCGGGAGGCTGAGGCAGGAGAATTGCTTCAACCCAGGAGGCGGAGGTTGGTTGCAGTGATGCAGTGAACTGAGATCCCGCCATTGCACCCCAGCCTGGGCTATAGAGCGAGATTCTGTCTCAAAAAAAAAAAAAAAAAAAAAAAAAAAAAAAAAAAAAAAAAACTGTGAGGACATGTGAGGAAGCCATGAAGAGCTGAGGCCAGGGTCAGGGGCTGTACCCTCCTCTGTCTCCTGTGCCTGAACTGCCTACAGAGGAGGGTGGTGTGGAGGCTGGAGCAGGTGTAGCCTGGGGCTGCCCAGTCCAGCCTTGGTTTCCCTGTCTGATTATGAACAGTGCCAGGTGGAGAGACCCCAGTCTCCTGCCTCCTGTCAGCCCTGCAACCCTGGATGACTCACCTCTCCTTTCTGAGCCTCAGTTTCCTCACCTGTAAAATGGGATGGGTGACTGGTCCCTGGGTCGTAAGCCTCATCACAGTACATAAAACCCCGACTGCGTTTGGCAAGTTGCTAATTACCGTTTCCTGTTACAATAGCCTGCAACCCCTGGAAAGGCCCCATCATTTGATGAAATAACTTCCTGGGCTTTTGAAGCTTGGTCCACACCCAGCATTTCCTCTCTGGGGAGGAGGTGCCTCCCTTGAGACACTTTGTTATGGGTGCCGAAACCACTGTTAAGAAGACTTTAGGAAAAGGCAAAGATATGTATCGAGTTCCCCAGGATGTCAGAGCTGGAACTGCCACTAGAAATGTTTATCTCAACCTCTCCAGTCAGGGAAACTGAAGCCTGCAGGTGTTTTTCTTTCTTTTTTTTTTTTTTTCCTGTTTAAAAGAAAACTACCTAAAATAAGCTTACCATTACTGTAGCTGAGCAGAATAAAAAGAGGTCTGGGATATGCTTTAAAATATTACAGAAAATTGGGGTGTGTGTGTGTGTGTGTGCGTGTGTGTGTGTGTGTGTGTCGGGGCTAGGGGCTGAGGGGCCATAAGAACAGCACCAGGCTGAGGTTTCTGGAGCTGGGGAGGGATACTCATTGCGGTTATCCCCACTTGTATGGGTCCAAAACTGCCTTAGGAAAATGCTAAACAACATACGCTTAAAAAAAGTTTAACATAAACTCTTCAGGTTTAAGGAGAAGGAGGCCCAGGCGCAGTGGCTCGCACATGTAATTCCAGCACTTTGGGAGGCTGAGGCGGGAGGGTTGCTTGAGGCCAGAAGTTCGAGACCAATCTGGGCGACATAGTGAGACCCCGTCTCAACAAAAATCCAAAAAATTAGCTGATGTGGTGGCACGTGCCTGTAGTCCCAGATATTTGGGGGGCTTAGGTAGGAGGATCGCTTGAGCCTGGGAGGTCAAGGCTACAGTGAGTTGTGATCACACCATTGCACTCCAGCCTGGAGAGCACAGCAAGATCCCAACTCAAAAAAAAAAAAAAAAAAAAAAGAAAGAAAGAAAAAGATGAACTGAACTGGTTGGGGGTGAAGAAGCAAGAAAGGGGTGGCTCAGATTGGGCATAAGCATTGGAGGCTGTGATGGGCTGAACTATGTCCCCCCAAATTCGTATGTTGAAAATATAATTCCCAGTAACTCTGAATGTGACTATATTTGGAGACAGGGCCTTTAAAGAGACATTAAGTTAAAATGAGGTCTCAGGTTGGGCCCTGATTCAATCTTACTGGTGTCTTTATAAGAAGAGATGAGGACACAGAGACACAGAGGGAAGACCATGTGTGGAAACAAGGAGGAAACTGACATCTCCAAGCCAAGGTGAGGCCTCAGGATAAACCAACCCTACCCACACCTTGATCTCAGACTTCAGCCTCAGGTAGTATTTTGTTCTGGCAGCCCCAACAAACTGACACCAGTGCCTCTGTGCAAATTCTGGCCGGGCACTTCCAGCTGTGTGGCCTGGTTTGTGGTCCCCGTTCATTGGCCCACCTGCAGGTCCCCCCAGCACCTGTCCTGCTTGGCACAGGAGCCCAAGGGCAGGGCTGGCTTGAGGGTGACAGGGACTCTCACTCGCTGTGCTGCAGCCCCCGGCACCTCTGTTGAATGGGCCTTGCTCCAAAGACACAGGTGAGGCGGCCTGGGCTCCCTCTGCAGTTTCTCTCACACCCAAGACCACAGTGGGGGCTCCAAGCACACTAGGTGGGGAATGGGCATCACTGACCTGGCGGCAAAAACCTCTTCTCCAGGTGGGCACCCAGAGAGGCTGGGAAGTGGGAGTGATTAGTGGAAGGGCAGCCCCGATGTGCACCTCAGCCCAGAACTGCCTGCTCTTGACCCCGGAAGGGGGACCCTGGCCACGGCACCCAGGGGCAGCACTGCATGGTAGCTGAGAACAACACAGGGCGTGCCCATGGGGCAGGGGGCAGCAGGGGCTGAAGGAGCAAAGAACAACCATGTGGGAGGACAGGTACCTGCGGGGCTGGGTGCACAGCAAGAGCTTGGCCTCTGAGGACCAGTGGGACCGGGTCCCAGTGAAGGGACAGAGGACAATTCTGGAAGCAGTGAGTGTGGCTCAGGGCTGAGGCAGTGCCGGGAGTCCCACTGGCTTCCTTTATCTGGCAAATCTTCCCAGCTATGGAACTGAGCTGAGCACTTGGGGTGGGTCCTGGCCCTGCACCAGCTCCCATGGAGCTGAGGTCCGCAGCCCGTCGAGGCCAACCCTCCAGCTCCCATCATCAAGGTGTGGCTGAATTTGTAGGCATGACGCAGTAGCTGAGAGGCAAGAGGCCCACCTGAGTAGCGAGGGATGCTCTCTCGGCCATGCACACGCCCCTTTGTGAATGAAGTTACCACGCAGGTTGACCCAAAAAAGGGAGCTCAGGTTTTCGTTGTGGATGTCGGGATATCAGAAAAGCTGGGCCCAAGTCTCTCCAGGAACATGGAGAACTGTGGCTTCCTCAGTATCTGACCGAGTGACTTCACCCCCAAAGCGCCCAAAACACACCAGCGTTGACCCAGAAAGTGGTCTCCACCAAGGGCCAACGGGGCTGCCCCCTCCAGCATTTTTTCTTGAGCAAATTGAGCTGCACATCCAGGAACGGGGGGCACAGCTGAGTTACACAGAATTGGAGCCCAGTAAGAGGCCCTGATGAAACCGAGTCAGTTTCATCAGCTGCTTGAAATGACCCAGCAGGGGACACAGGCTGTGAGGCGCAGGCACTGCCTGGGGCTATTCCAACAGGAGGGTGGCCAGGCTGAGGCCTGATGCCTCTGCTCCAGCCCTGCCCTGGAGCCCCGAGGGTGGACACAGGGCGTGGCCTCGTCCCAGGAGGGGCAGTGCCTGAGAAGAGGCCCTGGCACTGGCCTGTCAAGGGTGCCCTTAGATGCCTCGCTGGCTCCTTGGAGGGGTTCGTGTGTCACCCATGGTGGGTCTGAGGCCCTAAGAGACCTTTTGGATTCTGACATTTTGTGTTTCTGTTAAGAGCAACTCCACGCTTGCCCATCAGGGAAGGCTTTGAATTCTGCAAGGCCCCTTGCAAAACTTCCTGGCTTGGGTGTAGCTTCTCCTAGGAAAGGGGCTTACAGGGACTATACCACTGAAGAAATTGGGCTCAGGAAGTAAGTTGAAGTTTGGTATACTGTAGCAAAAATCACTGTTGTTGATGAGAGAATGAACTTGCTTTTGAGTGCTTTGTAAAACGCACACTGAGCTCACCTCCATCACACCACATTCACCCTGTGCAGCTTGACACAGACACTGAGCTGTCCCAGCTCCTACCCTAGTCTCAACTCTGCTGTTTTTGCTCACAGGAAGACACCAGTGAGGAACACAGGGCCAGGCCAGGCCACATCCACTGTTCGTAGGGAGGCCCTGGGCTGGAGCTGAGGTCTGTGGTTGTTTGGTGGTCTGTCGTGGGCCCAGCTCTGGCTTGGTGTGGGTAAGGGACAGAGACAAGAGACCAGAACTGGAATTGTGACCCTGAGTACCTGGCTCCCCAGGCTGCTGCAGAACCTGAGGCAGCTGAACCCTGGGCCAGGGGAAGTAAAGGGAGTGGGGCAGGCGGTGCTGTCCACCCAGCTGGGCGCACCCATCGAGGCACAGCGGGTCTGCTGGCCACAGCCTGGTCCAGCAGATGCCCGGACACTGACTGAGGCCCTGAGCCCCAATTACCTTCTCGCCTGTGACGGAGGCAGGCGGCCAATAGGGGCATTGCCTGTGTGGCCAGCAGCGCCTGACAGCTTCTCTGATCTCTCTGCCCAGAGCCAAGTGAGGCTCAAGAGGCGGCATTTGCTCAAAGCCCTGCTCCAAGGCCATCTCCAAGCTGTGTCTTCCCACAAGTTAAAACATTTTAAACAATGGCCTTGCAGGTTCTTCCAGCTAGAACATTCTCCTGTCAGGGCACCAACCCGGGGGTTAGACTCCCCAGGACCCTGTCCCACACTCAGACGCCCTGTGTGGATCCCCTCAGCCAGGCCTGGGCTCCTGCTGTTCCTACAACCCGCCCAGGTCCTGCCCACCCAGGGCATCCCTCAGCACGTGGCCTCCACCCACTTCTGCTTCCTTGCCTACCCAAGACACTGAAGGTGCCTCTCCATGTCGTATGGGCTCACACCAAGGACAGACGCATTCACAAACGACAGGTGGCTCTCACTGAGCCTTGATGCCTCTGCGGCAGGACTGTGACCACGGATGTCTCCATAAGCCTGGCCCAGGGCCCGGGGCTGGACATGGAGGGTCATCAGGCAGAGGCCAGCCAAGTTCATACCTTATGTGAGCTGTGTGTGTGGGAGGCAGTGCTCTGTGCCAGGGCATCACCATGGAAACTGTCAGGGATGTCTGCCCTGGCTGTGGGATTCCAGGCAGTGGGGCTGATCAGGCAGTGCCTCATATGCATGGGTGTGGGCTGTCACGTCCCCACTGTGACCCTGCGATTGTGTGTCCACTGTGGGCAGCTCAAGCTTCTGTGGCTGCACTCACACTATGAGTACACATTGCTTTTCATAACTTTCCTAAATGCTCCAGAAAAGGGCCTAAAGAGCTCTGTGAGTCTGGGGCACAGCCAGCCTCACACTTACTGTTTGGCAATACAAAAAGTTGCTGACGGGCGGATTCCCATCATAGGCTGGGCATGGTGGCTCACGCCTGTAATCCCAGCTGAGGCGGGCGGATCACAAGGTCAAGAGATTGAGACCATCCTGGCCAACATGGTGAAACCCCGTCTCTACTAAAAATACAAAAAATTAGCTGGGCATGGTTGCACGTGCCTGTAGTCCCAGCTACTGGGGAGGCTGAGGCAGGAGGATCACTTGAACCTGGGAAGTGGAGGTTGCAGTGAGCTGAGATTGTGCCACCGCACTCCGGCCTGGGCGACAGAGCGACTCCGTCTCAAAAAAAAAAAAAAAAAAAAAAAAAAGTTGCTGATGGGCGGGTTCCTGTCATTGAGACATTTTTATCAGGGTCCCCCGGGGCAGGCTACAGGGCTTCATAGACTTGGACAGAGCAAACAGCAGGTGTCAAGGCCCTGGGGCCTAGCAGGGCAAGGGGAACCCAGGGCATCTCAGGGGAGGGTGGCCAGGAAGCTGGGTGAGGCCAGACACAAGAAGAGACAAGTGAGAGGAGATTCTCTCCTAGGAGGCCAGGGCACCACTTTCCCCCAAGCTGCCCACCCCGTGTCAGACTTCCTCGTTTCAGTGTTAATAAGATGTCCCTGCAGGGTGCCTGTCTGCTCTGCAGAGGCCAGGTGGCTGCGCTTTGTGAATCTGGGGTCTCTCCTCTTGCCCGTTGGGATGTATGTGCAAGCCCCCCACGCCTCCACACTCCGTCGTGCCCCTGAAGCACTACATCTTTCCCGAGGCCTCCTGAGTTTCTTCATGGTTTCCCAGTGCCCGGCCAGCCCAGATCATGATGGGTGGGGCCTGGTAAAGCTCAGGTCATGGGAGGGGGCAGCCAGCGGCCAGCCCACCTGGAAAGACCCGTCTTGGATGGGGCTAGGGCAGCCATCTGGGGCCATGTCATTCCTGGGCCTGCACAGCATGGGGTGAGGCGAGGCACCTGGAGAATCACCCTCCTGCATCTGGGCACAGCAGCCACATCGGGGTGCTCCACGGTGATGTTGCTGTCAGCGTTGGTGAGTGCCAGGCCTGGGCACCAATGATGATGGCTCCAGGTACAGATGCTCTTGGCCCTCATCCTCTTTAACTTCCCAGATTAAACGGAGGGAGGCAGGCCTTATCCCAGTTCCCTATCCCCTGGCAGGCGGGCGCGTGGACACAGTCTGCCTGGCCGGAGCAGCACCCTTGTGGGCTGGCTGCCATAAGGCACACGAGAACACAGACGGGGAGAGGCAGGGAGGCTTAGGCCTCCCTGGCCGCTGCTTGGGGTGAAGAACTAAGCAGTCCTCTGCATTACCGAGCCTCCTAAGGACCTTGCACTGTTAATACATGCTTTATGGGACGATTCACACATGTTAAGAGCATAAATGTTCACTTGGAGCTCAGAAGATTCTCACATGTGTGCCCAGCTGTGTGACCACCTCCAACCAGGTAATGGACATCCCCACACTGACAGGCCTCTGCGTGCCCACCTTACAGAGTCCCCTGCAGTGACCACACAATTCATCAGTGCCTGGACTCAGACATAGCTTCACCTCCGCACACCCAGGCCCCCAGTCACAGTGAGCAGGGCAGACTGGCCCCTCAGCCCTCCGCCTCCAGGAGGCCCTGGTCTGACCCTCCCTCTCCATCTTCCCTATAGGTCATCCTGGTCTGACCCCCTGCTCTGCCTTTCACCCCTGCTGACCGCTGAGCATGGGGCACTTACCCCTGCTGCACCCGAACTGCCTTCGGTGGTCACCACAGGCTCCACAGGGCTGGTGCTCGTGATCTAGAAGGGACACAGAGGCCGAGTGAGAGGAGATTCCAGGGCCACGCAGCCACTGTGCAGCGGGGGGACAGTTCCTGAAGCCCCCAGCACCTCTGTGCATTGAGGGCAGGCTCGGGAGCAGGATTTCCCAGGCCTAGGATTTGCTGTGCCTCTGGGGAAGCTGCTCCCTCCCTGGGCCTGGCCTGAGCTGGAGGCCTCTCCTAGAAGGAGCATCTCCCAGTGAGGTGGGTGGCTGGTGGGTGATGCCTCCCTCTGGCCCGCCCTATTCAGGGGCTCTAATTTACACCAAGTCACCCAGTGAGTAAGGAGGGTCCCTTTGGGTTCTCTCTCATCCTCCAGGGTTCCTTGTGGAGTCTCTGCAGCTCCCCGACTTTCTCAGCACAGTGAGGCTCCGGGCTCAGCCTCTGAACAGAAAGGGCTTGGCCAGACTTAAGGACAGCCAGGCTCAGTGTCTCACATTCCCAGGTCACCTCCACTCAAGGCAGTCCCAGGACTCTTTCTTTCTGGATGGTGCAAAGTTCTTGCAAAGTAAATGCAGAAAGCAGAAAAAACCTAGCGGACTTGATACAAATATGAAGTGGATATGGGGGAGGTGGGCTGTGCCAGGCAGACCCCTGGAGGTGGTAGGGAGGGCAGAACCAGCCTGGAGTTGGGATTCAGGCCTGCGGGGTCTGGGTCAGGCGGCGAGAGTTGGGGCACCCTCACTCTGAGTCATGCCTGGTGCCCCCGTGAAGGCTGGAGCAGAGGGCCTGGCATAGGGTTCAGGGCACCGTCTCTCCTGGGTGCCTCCCTGGATATGTCCTTGCTACACTTCCAACCCCTATGCCTTGTCCAGGGCCAGTGACTCCAGGGCCTTCCTCGCAGCGGGCAGAGATCGGCCTCCTCACCCAATCCTCTCTCCCTGACTCCAGGGAAGCCCCGGGAGGAGAAATGGCCGGGGATTGGCCCTGGGGCTGCAGCCCTGACTCCCTGGCCAGGCTTCTCGGCAAGGACCCTGCAGCCCCGCCTCTTTCCCAGCCTAAGTCTCCATGTGAAATCCCCCTGGGCCCTTGGGGCAGCTCCACGTGAGGATGGGGAGTGAGATGCTCCTATTGCTTCCCTCAAGGGGCTCTGAGCCACCATCTCCCAGGGCACGGGGGCACTGGGAGGGAAATACAAACACAGAAAGGTGTCTGCAGTCATAGGCTGTGCTAGACCAGACAGAGTGGTACGCGGGCAGCGCACCACAGCCCTGTGATGCCAGTTCCACCACCCATGGCCTGGGGACGTCACAGAGCTCCTCAGACTCAGTTTCTGTGGGGATGATGTAACATACCTTTGTGTGTAGGATGCTGTGCAGAAGGCACCAGACAACCAAACAGGTCATGAAGGAGCGCTTCCTCCACGCCCACATCCTGCTTTCCCGCCCAGCTGGGCGCTGACCACGGGCCTGGGGCCCAGCAGGCTGCAGCGGCACTTAGTGGAGGGTGGGTAGGGGTGAAATTAAGTTCAGCCTAAAGCTGCCATGGAAAGGTGGCCGACTGTTCAAACCATGTTCAAATAAGGCAAACGCGGAACTGTAACCAACCCAGCTGTTTCTGTGCCTCACTTTCCTTTTTCTGTCCATAAATCCTCTCCAACCACACAGCAGCACAGGAGGCTCTCTGGACCTATTCTGGTCTCAGGGGTTGTAGGGGGTGGGTGTTATCCCATCCACAAATAGTTGTTTGCTCAATTAAATTGTTAAATTTAATTTGTCTTAAGTTTTTATTTTAACACAAGGGAGTGCCCGCTGTCCTGGTCCCTGGTGTAGCAGGAGGAAAGCCTGGAGGTCAAGCTGCCCACCCAGACGCCAGTGCCTTCTGCTCTCCACAGGTAGCCCGTCCCCTGGAGGTCTCTCTGCACCCCGGGCCACTGACTCACAGGCATGTCTGGAGAGAGGCTGGGGTCCTCATCCTGGCTGAAGGCGCCACCAAAAGCCTTGAAGGTTTCGCTGTTCTGTTTGTGCTTCTCGATGGTGGCCTGGATGATCTGGACACAGCAACACAACAGTGAGGACTATAAAGGGGCATGGGAGGATGCTACCCACAGGAGGGACGCGCCTGCCTCTGTCCCGAGGACGGGCCTTGGCGTTCCCAGAACAATGCCCAGGCCACTGGCCATCTCCCTTCCCCCCTACCAATGATGTGGTCTCCCCTTGGAGCTGTCCAGATTGAGGAGATCCACCCTGAGCGGGGAACCTGGCCTGTGACTCCACCAGGCCCGCTCATGTTTATTTGGGGGCCCTCAAAGAAATGAATGGGTTGAAGGGCTTGTGGCATCTGAAGCTGCTTATGAAGGCACAGTGTGGTCACTGCATCCCTGCAGGGTACAGCACAGGGCCAGCAGTCCCGGAGGCCAGGGCCCCCACCCTCTGAACCAACATGAATGGCCTTACTGCTCAATCACTTGGTCATTTGGTTACTTTACAACTTTAGAAGCTTCACCTGAATCCATTCTTTCTTCTCTTCCTCTGTCCTAAAAAACCAAAACGGTCTTGTATTAATCCAGTCTTGGATACTGACTCTAAATGACCAGCCCTCTCTCAACCCTGCAGCACACCCGAGCCACGCACTGGCTTGTCAACGCAGCTCAAGGATTGGAAGATTGGCCCCAAGGGCCTCAAAACACTCGTGGCCTGGTGGGGCCAGGTGAGCCATGTGGAGCCCTCTGCAGTGGCTGTAATTCAATGCCTCCTTGGACCATAATGGGTCATTATGAAGATCCCACTGTTGGTGGGGTGTGGGAGAACAGAACTCCCATGTATGGCTAGTCAGAGCACAGCCTGACATCACCTTAAAGGGTAGTGTGACAACAGCCACCAACATTTCAAACAGATGCACTACCCTGTGACCAGCAAATCTATGTCAGCAATCTGACGGCTACAATTACACATATGCAGAAACACCTAAAAACAAGGACACTGCTTGCAGCCGCATTTGTGATGGCCAGGTTCGGGAGGAGCGCAGGTCCTCGTCAGTGGGAACTAGCTAATGATCATAATGGAAAATTGTGTTGCTTTAGGAATGGTGTGCAGATATGGGATGATTCTTGACAAATTAAGTGAAAAAGCAAGGTGCAGGACAGGTTATACAGTAAACAGCCATCTGTGATTTAAAACATAGATATATGTGCATGTGCATAGAAAATCCTAGAAGGGGCTGGGCACGGTGGCTCACACCTGTAATCCCAGCACTTTGGGAGGCCGAGGGGGTGTGGATCACCTGAGGTCAAGAGTTCGAGACCAGCCTGGGCAACATGGTGAAACCCCGTTGGGTTTTCACTCAAACAAAAAATTAGCCTGGCGTGGTGGCGGGTGCCTGTAATCCCAACTACCCAGGAGGCTGAGGCAGGAGAATCACTTGAACCTGGGAGGTGGAGGTTGCAGTGAGCCGAGATTGTGCCACTGCACTCCAGCCTGGGAGCGAAACTCCGTCTCAAAAAAAAGAAAAGAAAATCGTAGGATACTCAAGAGAGGACTAAGAACGTGCTGGGCCTGCTGAACAGGAGGTGGGCAGAGGCTTAATTTTCATCAACTTCCCTTGGTACTAAAACCGCCCCGAGTCCCATAGATAGTTTATCTGATAAACATACAAATTGACCCTTCTGGTCTTAAAGCTTGAAAGTTAACATTTGTTTTATCTGAGTTCCTTCCTCAGAAAACACCTTCAGGCCTCTCAAAAAAACCATCAAGGGACTGAAACTCACCAGGTCACCACATCCAGACAATGAGATGCCCAGACCCTTTATTCATCATGATTGCTTCCTTGCCCCTCCCTAGTTCCTGTTTTCTTACACATTGTTACATTTATTCCCTGCTGTGTATGCCCCTAGTTTTAGTTGGTCAGGGAGATGGATTTGAGACTGAGTTCCCATCTCCTCGGCCAATTAAAGCTTCTTCCTTGGCAATAATCATCTCAGTGATTGGCTTTCTGTGCAGCAAGCGCAGGACATAGACGGAACCCTGGTGCTTCAGTAACAGTACTTTTAAATTTTAAGCCATGCATAAATAAAAATATATTACAAGGTTAACCAGTTTAGAAAAAGAAGACATGAGGTCAAAGACATTCACTAGAAACAGCCCGTTCCATACCGCGTCTGCAGCTCCAGGGACCTTTTTCTTCCTGTTATGATGAATGTATGTGCTGTGTTTGGCTTGACGATATCCTGCACCTGAAGGGGCAAGAACAAAGAACAAAGCAAACCCAAGCTGGTCATTTTAGCTCCAGCCTCATGTTTTCTGACTTAGAAGTGTTTCCCCAAGGAGGTAACAGAGGTGAGCCTGCAGCCCCACAGTTCTGCAGGGAGAGGGGTGCAGAGGCTTAGGTCAGCGTGGCTGCTACATGAGCTGGTCCATCAGGGACAGCGGGCCTCCCATCCTGCTCAGACACAGCTATGACCGCTCATCTTCTGTGCTTGGAACTCTGCTGACCAAACCCACCCCCCCGACACCCAGCCCGTCAGGCATCCTCCCCATGTCGCCCCATCCATCCTCCTTAAAGCCAAGCCATTCCCCACAGGCACCACTGGGCACTGCCCGCCACAGCAGCCACGTCCCCTTAGGATGGAAAGGGATCTGATGAGAAGAGCAAGGATGGCCTTAGCCACCCTGCAGAGTCTGAGCCCCTGAGCAGGTGCGCCCTGAGATTAGACATGTAAATAGGACAATGTGTGCCCAGAACTAATGAAAATGGGGTCACTTCTTCATAGAACCGCAGCCACAGATTCCATCCTCTTCCATCAGGATAAGACCACAGAGACCATGGCCGGGCGCAGTAGCTCACGCCTGTTCCATGTCTCATTGCAGTGGGGTAGTTGGGGGACTGGAATGGGTCCCTGTCCCCTGTCGGGAGGGCTTTGAATTAATGGGTGCTCCAAAAATATTTGCTAAATCAAAATATGTAATCATTTGCTTAATGCCACCAAAAATCCCTTCTTACCTTGAAATTCTCTGAATTCAGGTTAAGAAAAAAAACACTAACTAGAGAAAATACCTTTTTTTAAGGTTGTTTCATTATTATTTTTAAAATTATTTTTGAGACAGGGTCTTGTCCTGTCAGCCAAGCTGGAGCACTGTGAGTGGCACAATCATAGCTCACTGCAGCCTTGACCTCCTGGGCTCAAGCAATTCTCCCACCTCAGCCTCCCAAGTAGCTGGGAATAGAGATGTGCGCCACCATGCCTGGCTAATTTTTTATTTTTTATAGAGACACGGTTTCACTACATTGCCCAGGCTGGTCCCGAACTCCTGGGTTCAAGTGATCCTCCTACCTCAGCCTCCCAAAGTACTAGGATTGTAGGCGTGAGCCAGCGAAACTACGTGCCCAGCTTTTTATAGTAGTTAGAAGAAACCACTTTTCTAGTGTTTCTCTACAAAAAATCGGTCATGGCTGGGCACGGTGGCTGATGCCTGTAATCCCAGCACTTTGGGAGGCCGAGGCAGGTGGATCACGAGGTCAGGAGTTTGAGACCAGCCTGACCACATGGTGAAACCCCGTCTCTACTAAAAATACAAAAATTAGCTGGGCGTGGTGGCGCGCACCTGTAATCACAGCTATTCTGGAGGGTGAAGCAGGAGAATCCCTTGAACCTAGGAGGTGGAGGTCGCAGTGAGCCGAGATCACACCATTGCACTCCAGGTTAAGAAATACCATTAAAAATAATGACTGACTAGGCTGGGTGCGGTGGCTCATGCCTGTAATCCCAGCACTTTGGGAGGCCAAGGCGGGTGGATCACGAAGTCAGGAGTTCGAGACCAGCCTGGCAAACATGGCAAAACCCCTTCTCTACTAAAAATACAAAAATTAGCTGGGTGTGGTGGCACACACCTGTAATCGCAGCTACACAGGAGGGTGAGGCAGGAGAATCCCTTGAACCCAGGAGGTGGAGGTTGCAGTGAGCCACGATCATGCCATTGCACTCCAGCCTGGGTGACAGCGAGACTCCGTCTCAAAAAAAAAAAAAAAAAAAAAAGAAGGTCATTCTGGACCATGCTACAGATCTGCCTGGAACCCTCCCCCCGGCTCCGGTGCAGGAGGACAGGAAAGAGCTCAGGACCCAGGAACCAGACAAGGGAAGCCGGCCCCCGCCCCAGCCAGGATTGCTCCCTGCAACCCTGGGCTTCATGTTTGGGTTTGTAAATAGGGCCCCGAGTCCCAGTCTCACAGGTGACAGGATTCAGTCCAGGTCCTGGTGCCATCCCTACTGCCCCCTGCATCCTCCAAGGCTCTGCAGAAAGGGGAGTTGGCAGCAACGTGGCAGGTGGGCCAAGCAGAGAAGGGTGGAATCCTGCCCTTCCAGCCTGGGGCACCAGGACTGAGACAATGCCTTGGTCACAGATAGGGTCTATGGCTTGGAAAAGCAGGTAGGGGTGCCAGGCTGCACAGAGGTGAGTGCCTCAGCGGCCAGAGCCTGGTGTCCCCAGTCCTGCTCAGTGCCCCTTCCAGGGGGACAGGTTTGAGATGGAGGAGCTCACCCACCTGGAGGCCTGAGATGTCCATCTTCTCCCGGACGCTGAACTTCTGGCCCATGAGCCGCAGCTTGGGCACACAGTAAAGGATCATGCTGTTGAACTGCAAGAGGGATGGCACAGGTGAGGAACGAGAGCTGCCCGCAGGTCCCCCCAGGGGCCCCAGTGAGCTTCTCACATGGGATCCTTTTCATTTTTTTTTAATGTTATAAAGTGAAAAATATTTTTAAAAGATATGTGCAGTAATTTTAACTATGGTTACATCTTTGAGTGAGGAGACTCTAGTCGCTAGCTTTATTTTTGTTCATTTCTATTTTTAAATTTTTAAACCATGAACATGAGCTAATTGTATAATTTAAAAAAAAACCTTTTTTTATTTTTTTGAGATGGAGTCTTGCTCTCGTTGCCCAGTCTGAAGTGCAATGGCGCAATCTTGGCTCACTGCAAACTCCGTCTCCCGTGTTTAAGAGCTTCTCCTGCCTCAGCCTCCCGAGTAGCTGGAATTACAGGCGGGTGCTACCACGCCCAGCTAATTTTTGCATTTTTAGTAGAGATGGGGTTTCGCCATGTTGGCCAGGCTGGTCTCAAAGTCCTGACCTCAGGTGATCCGCCCACCTCAGCCTCCCAAAGTGCTGGGATTACAGGTATGAGCCACCACGTCCAGCCAAACCAAATCTTTTGAATGAGCTACTGATACATTCACCAACATGGATGAATCTCTCAAACCCACATGGTGAGCTAAAGGAGCCAGACTCATCTCATGGCATTGATGTGACATTTGGGAAAGGCAAAATTCTAGAAACAGAGAAGAGATCCATGGTTGCCAGGGCAGGCGAGCGCTTGCTCACAAAGGGGTGGGACAAGGGAACTGGGGGGGTGGGCGGGGGCAGTGATCAAATTGTAACTTGGCCAGGTGAGGTGGCTCACGCCTGTAATCCCAGCACTTTGGGTGGGTGGATCACCTGAGGTCAGGAGCTCGAGACCAGACTGATAAACATGGTGAAACCCCATCTCTACTAAAAATACAAAAATTAGCCGGGCGTGGTGGCGCACGCCTGTAATCCCAGCTACTCAGGAGGCTGAGGCAGGACAATTGCTTGAACCTGGGAGGTGGAGGTTACAGTGAGCCGAGATTGAGCCACTGTACTCCAGCCTGGGTGACAGAGCGAGACTCTGTCTTAAAAACAAAAACAAAAACAAACAAAAAAAACTTGTTCTGTAACTTGATTGTGGTCACAACTGTATTAGTCAAAACTCAGAACTGTAAAGCAAAAATGAGTTTTAGTTAACGTAATTTTTAAAAACTTAAAAAAAAACCTTTCAAAGAAATAATTGTTTATTCAAGGAGAATCAGAAGCTAGAGGAAAATGGAGGAGGAAAGAAGAACCACATCTGTTTCTACCGCGCCATGGCACCCGGGGGGGTCTCGAATTACACTTCCATCCCACCTTCCCCCTCCCTCCCGGCCAGGGTTTGGCTCAGGAATAGTTGAAACTGTGATTCACTGCTACAGTTCTCTGTGCTGTCCTGGTTGCTACAAGCTGAAGTCTGCTCAGTTCTGGGGACGAAAGAGGTATGGGCTACGAGGGATTAAAAAATGAGATATTTGCAGCAAATGGGGAAGAGCCACTGGCAAAAGTTTGGTGTCTGGATGTGGAGGAGGGAGGCTCCCTATGGCTGGGGGAGGGATGCTGAGGGTCTCAGAGGGAGCCACAGTCCCAGTAGGAGAGGCCACAGAAGAGCCATGTCCTTGGGCAGCCAGAGCCCTCCTGGCACTGCCCTGGGCTTGAGGCAAATGGCAAGGGAGGCTCTGCGGCTGGGCTGGCAGGGGCCAGGCTCACCAGGAAGAGGTGGCGGTCCTGGGGGGTGCCGTTCTTGGCTGACAGTTTCTGGATTTGGCCCTCCTTGATCAGTTCATTGGCCGGGTTGACAATGTCTTCTTCCCCACCCAGCTGCTCGTACACCTCCAAGAGCTTGTGCATTTTCTCCTGCAAGAGACATGGGACTCAGGCACCAAAGGTCTGTGAGAGTGGCTGGTGACCTAGAGATGCACGGAGTCCTTCCCTGCAACCGTGGCCCAGAATCCAGAGAGGGCAATGAGCTACTGACAAGGGTGGGAGGGAAAACAGAGTGATGTTTGAGTTGGGTATTGAAGGATGAATAGGAGTTCACCATGCAGAGCATAAAAACAACGATAAACAGGAACAGAGCTAACCATTGCTGTGAGCCATGTGCTGTTCTACATGATACATGTTTTAACTCACCTAGTGAGGTGAGTGCCATTGTTATCTTCATTTTACAGACAAGGAAACTGAGGCACAGAGCGGTCAGTTGAGTATCTGAGACCCAGACTCGGACAATCCATATGTCACCTTCCCCTGACCATGGTGACTGGTGGGGTGGTCACATGGGTAACCAGCACCCAGAAGTGCGATGGGACAGCGTCAAAGCTCATGCTTCAGCTCTGAGCCAGACGCCAGTGTAGCAGAACGCAGAGGTGAGCCTGCGGCAACCTCGACAACAGCCACATGTCTGAGTCTGTACCTGCTGTGCCTTGGAAGCCCCGTCCTTGGACCTGAGTGATCTCAGCCTGTACATCCTGGAGGCGGCTGGGTTTGGCTGACCCTTCCGTCTCTGGCACCAATGCAGGTAGGTGCAAGTGGGCACAGGGTGTGGGGGGCACCAGAGGAGCCAGCAGCAGAGAGCTTAGAGGAGCAGACTAGGGTAGGGGTGAGGGTCTTTTGAGAACTGGGGGAATGGGCAGGTACCTGGTATATACACAGGGGAGCTGGGTGTGCACCTGCCCACTACTGGGGGCTGGGTGTGCAGTTGGTGTGTACCAGGGGGGCTGGGTGTGAACCTGGTATGTACTGGGGAGCTGCGTGTGCAGCTGGTGTCTAATAGTGGAGAAATGCATGCACCTGGAATGTACTGGGAGGGCTGGGCAAGCACCTGGTGTGCACTAAGAGGGCTGGGTGTGCACCTGTCATGTCCCAGGGGGCTGGGTGAGCACAGAGCCAGTCCATGAAGGGACTAATGCAGCTTTAGTGAGTGAATGAATGACAATAACACTGAGCATTGACACTTCCTGCACCAGGCAGGTCCTGTTCTGAGCATTCTATGTAGATTGATTCTTCCCCCCCCCACACCCCGCCACCGCCCACACCTGGTGGCTCACAGGTGTGAGCCACCACACCTGGCTAATTTTTGTATTTTTAGTAGAGACAGGGTTTCACCATGTTGGCCATGCTGGTCTTGAACTCCTGACCTCAAGTAATTCGCCCACCTCGGCCTTCCAAAGTGCTGGGATTACAGCCATGAGCCACCACGCCTGGCCTTGCTGAGGCTTTTGAACACAAAGTTGCCATGGGCTCAGGCCATTTAGGGCTGAGTTCCATGGTAACACATGGCTGACACTTTCCGGGGCAGGCCGGGGACCACTTTGTGGGGCAGGACTTGGGGCTGACCCTGGACATGTTGCAGCTCTCACTCTCCTTAGTGTTTTAGGAGTCATGAAACAGCTGTTCTCTGAGAGGTGTGTGAGTTTTGGGTGAAAAGACTTGGATTTGTATAATTAAATGAAACTGCCTAGGGAAAGTACCTGGAACATAATGGATACTTAGAAAACAAAGGAAATTCCTTTTTTTCCCCCTGGTTTTTGTTATACATTTTTTTTTTTTTTTTTTGAGACAGAGTCTTGCTCTGTTGCCCAGGCTGGAGTGCAGTGGCGCGATCTCGGCTCACTGCAAGCTCCGCCTCCCAGGTTCATGCCATTCTCCTGCCTCAGCCTCCTGAGTAGCTGGGACTACAGTCGCCTGCCACCATGCCCAATTTTTTGTATTTTTAGTAGAGATGGGGTTTCACCATATTAGCCAGGATGGTCTCCATCTCCTGACCTCATGATCCACCCGCCTCGGCCTCCCAAATTGCTGGGATTACAGGCGTGAGCCACCGCGCCTGGCCTAGAGTGATTCTTTTTTTTTTGAGACGGAGTCTCACTCTGTTGCACAGGCTGGAGTGCAGTGGCACGATCTCGGCTCACTGCAACCTCTGCCTCCTAGGTTCAAGCGATTCTTCTGCCTCAGCCTCCCAAGTAACTGGGACTACAGGCATACACCACTACGCCCAGCTAATTTTTGTATTTTTAGTAGAGACGGGGTTTCACCATATTGGCCAGGCTGGTCTCCAACTCCTGACCTCATGATCCGCCCGCCTCGGCCTCCCAAAGTGCTGGGATTATAGGAATGAGCAACCGCGCCCGGCCCATAGAGTGATTCTTTTACTCTCCACAGATGCCCAGTGAGACAGGCTCTGTCGGGGCTCCCATTTTATAGATGGGGAAACTAAGGCATAGAGTGCTAAATAACTCACCAAGGACACAGGTCTATTATAGCAAGGGGCGGGGCTGTCCAGCTGACCCCCCTGGGGATGGGGGTGGAAGGAGGTATAAAAGAGTCACTTGTGGAGCCCCCCAAAGGATAGCGGCAAAGGGGCTGGCCCACAAGGGCCCCTGGCCCTCACTCTTGCTGCACCACCCTGCCGGTCGCCACTGGAGCCCCACACTCACCACTTTCCGAATGGCAGCATTGGAGTGGTTGGCGGCTGTGGAGATGAGCTCCAAGGACCCTGCAGGAAGAAGACTGTGTTCAGCCTGGGGCCACGGTGGCTCCGTTTTTGCTTGCCTGAGGGGCTCCAGGGCAGCTGCCTCCAGAGAGAGGATCTGTCTCTGCCCTCAGCCTTTCCCAGGGTGCCTGGGCTACTCTAGAGGACTGGCCCAGAGGAAGGGGGTGACCCTGCCTCTGACCCTGCAGACACATCCCTTCTGGGGCCAATACCAGGCAGGGGGCTCCCACGATTCTGCACAGACGCCTGTCCGGGCTGCCTGCCAGCCACACCAGTTGCTGCCCTTGGACCAGGAGCAGCCCCCACCAGCCCTATGAGGCCCATTCCTGGGGCCTAAGCTCTGAACAGGGCCAGCATTTAGTAGCACCTTCCCCAGACCAATGTCCACCCGCATACTTCAAGCAGGGGAGATTTTTCTCTGCCCTCAAAGATGCTAAGTCCCTTCCTGGGCTGCTAGGGGGCTCACTTGTTCTCTCTCTTTCTCTCTCTCTCCCCCTCCTTCCTCTGTCTCTGTGTGTCTCTCTCTCCTCCCCTCTGTCTGTTTCTCCATCCCTCTCTCTCCCCCTCCTTCCTCTGTCTCTGTGTGTCTCTCTCTCCTCCCCTCTGTTTCTCCCTCCCTCTCCCTCTCTTTCCCTGACATCTCCCTATCTCTCTCCCTGTCTCCATCTCTCTCCCTCCCCTGCCTCTGTCTCTGTCTCTTTCCCTCTGGTCTCTCTGTTTCTCTCTCCCCTACCCCCATGACCCCACGACTCTCTCTCTCCCTCTCTCCCCACCCCCAGAGTTCTTGGCAGGTGCCCCTGCACCCTCCTGGGAGCCCTTGGCCCCAGCTCACTCTCCGCATCCTTCCGGTCTGGGGCGTCCTGCGGGAGCCTCTTCAGATAGTCCTTGAGCAGCAGCTCGTACCGGGGGACCCTCTGCACGGGCTCCAGCATGTGGTGCTGCAGCGTCAGGTTCCCGCATACCTCCTGCTTCTGTGGGGACAGAGGGAGCATTGGGCACTCCAAGGACACGTGTGTGGATGCCAGCCCCACCGGCTTCTGGCCACCACAGCCCCAGGAAGCTGCCCGGAACTGGCTGCCCAGAACTGACTGTCCTTCAAGACATGGCTGACACAGACCACACTTTACAACGAGGGAAACTGAGGCTCAGAGAGACTGACCAATGGAGCAAGAACTGGAACCCCAGGCAGGCTGGCCCTTGGCCCAGAGCTGGCTCTCTTATACGCATCCTCGGTGGAGAAAATAAATGCCTGGACAGGACTGTCTCCTCCTGTCAAGAGTGGCTTTTCCCCACTCTCACCCACCCGTGGGCCTAAGCAGGGCTCCTTCGACCCCTCTGCTGAGAAATCAGGCAGAGCTTCGCCCAACCATCCCCACTGGGTATCGGGCCAGGGCTTGTCCTTATGCCTAGAAGCAGCTCGGGGAGTCCTTCTGCAGATCGCTCTCGATATAAACGCACCAGTATTCCAATCAGGTGCTGAGACCCTCGCGCTCCACGTGTACCCAGCTCTGCTCACCGGCTCCCTGTGCCTCCCCTCGCACCCTGCAGCACCTCCTTGCTGCCATGTCTCCATCTGGCATCTGAACCCCAGACACGTGTGCTGAATGCTGCCCACCTGTCGCCTCTGTGCTCCCCAATCGGGTCCTCCTGCCCAGGCCACTTTGCCTCTGCCTCCCCTGATGATGCCCACTGGGCAGCCTGTGAGGGCCTGCTGACTTTGTCGTCCTGTCCACCAGCTTCCCCACCCACCTGCCAGCAACTCAAGGGCCTCAACCACCCTCACCTGGCTCAGGGCCCAGAACAGAACGGCTTCCAGCTCAGATGAGCTCAAAAATGCCTGGGATACAACAGGGTGAGAGAAACCCAAGTCGACAATCTTCATAAAAACAACTGTTTCTGTCAAGATATTCACATAATCTCCAAGTATCTCCCTACAAGAAACTTTTTTTTTTTTGAGACGGAGTCTCGCTCTGTTGCCTGGGCTGGAGTGCAATGGCGCGATCTCGGCTCACTGCAACCTCCGCCTCCCAGGTTCAAGCAATTCTCCTGCCTCAGCCTCCTAAGTAACTGGGATTACAGGTGCACACCACCACACCTGGCTAATTTTTGTATTTTTAGTAGAGATGGGGTTTCACTATATTGGTCAGGCTGGTCTCGAACTCCTGACCTTGTGATCTGCCTACCTCGGTCTCCCAAAGTGCTAGGATTACAAGCGTGAGCCATCGCGCCTGGCCAAAACTTTTTTTTTTTTTTTGATGGAGTCTTGCTCTGTTGCCCAGCCTGGAGTGTAGTGGAGTGATCTTGGCTCACTACAGCCTCCGCCTCCCCGGCTCAAGCAATTCTGTCTCAGCCTCCCAAGTAGCTGGGATTACAGGTATGAGTGTGCCACCACACCCAGCTAATTTTTGTATTTTTAGTAGAGATAGGGTTTCACTATGTTGCCCAGACTGGTCTCGCACTTCTGACCTCAGGTGATCCGCCCACCTGGGCCTCCCAAAGTGCTGGGATTAGAGGCGTGAGCTACCACAAGCGGCCAAGAAACTTAATAGGGGAAAAAACCCAACTTCACCTGAAGAGTCCTGACAGACACGCCCTTTATCAAGTGAATATCCCCAGGAATGGGATGCAGAGACTGCGTCACCGGGCAGGACGCAGGGAGAAGAGCACAGCCTCACTCCAGGAAAAGGCACAGCCTCAATCAAACTGTGGACAAACAGCAGAAAAACCCAAGCAGGCAGTCTACAAGTAACTAGGCTGCACCCCTCAAAAAGACAAGGACAGAGGCCTGTTCCAGACCCAAGAGGACAAATACAATAATGAGCGCAATGTGTGGCCCTGGGTTGGGTTATGGATCAGAAAACAAGAATGTTATTGGGACAATCGGTGACATCTGAGTGTGGGCTGCGGAGTAGATAGCACCAGGACATCAGTGTAAAATCCCCGATTTTGATCACTGTGCTGGGAGTACGCAAGAGAATATCCTTGTTCACATGTTTAGTGATAAAGGGTTACGGTGTCTGCAACTTAGTTTCAAAACGCTCAAAAGTCATCATCATCTGTATGAGTTTAGAGGGAATAATAAAGTAAGCCAGACAAAATGTTAATAATGCATAACAATGTCATTTTTGCAACTTTCCTGTAAAGGTTTAAAGTTATTTCAAAATAAAAGTTTAACGTTTAAAATATCCTTTGATTAAAGGAAGGAAACCTGCAAAAGGCCATGGGCAACTTGACTGTCATGCGATCCTGTTTTTTCCACACCAGGTCTTCTCAGCCTGGGCACTATGGACCTTCGGGTTGGAGAATTCTCTGCGGTGGGCCATGCTGTCTGCTGCAACGTGTTTTGCAGCATCCCCAGACCCCACCCACCAGATGCTGGGTGCACCCAATGTGTGAAGATATGGCCTGGGATCCCCGGGGGGCAAAGTCACCTTCAGGGAATGGCTGGATGGTACTGAGTCCAGGCGGAGAGCCCTCCCCACAGCCTGCCTGGCCCTGTGCCCAATCTGCCTAGGATGAGGGGATGCACAGACCAGTGGCTAGCCTGCAACCGGGGCTGTGTCTGCCTCGAGTGTCCCCAGGCAGATGTCATCCAGGACATGGCAGGCGCGATCTCAGCTCACTGCAACCTCTGCCTCTCGGTTCAAGCAATTCTCCTGAATCAGCCTTCAGAGTAACTGGGACTATAGGCATGTCACGCCCAGCTAATTTTTGTATTTTTAGTAGAGATGGGGTTATATAGTCTTGGGTAGTGGGAAATGCATTTGAAAATAAGCTTTACATTTTAAGAAGTGGTGAATGGAGTTACTTAAAAATAAAAAATTCTGGGCCAGGCGCGGTGGCTCACGCCTGTAATCCTAGCACTTTGGGAGGCCGAGGTGGGTGGATCACAAGGTCAGGAAATCGAGACATCCTGGCTAACATGGTGAAACCCCGTCTCTACTAAAAAATATAAAAAATTAGCCGGGCGTGGTGGCGGGCGCCTGTAGTCCCAGCTACTCAGGAGGCTGAGGCAGGAGAATGGCGTGAACCTGGGAGGCGGAGCTTACAGTGAACTGAGATCGCGCCACTGCACTCCAGCCTGGGCTACAGAGTGAGACTCTGTTTCAAAAAAAATTAAAAAATAAATGAATAAAAATAAAAAATAAAAAATTCTGTATGGCAAACACCACCATAAAGTTAAAAGATCAGGCGGGGCGCGGTGGCTCACGCCTGTAATCCCAGCACTTTGAGAGGCCAAGGAGGGCGGATCATGAGGTCAGGAGATCGAGACCATCCTGGCTAACACAGTGAAACCCCATCTCTCCTAAAAATACAAAAAAATTAGCTGGGCGTGGTGGTGGGCGCCTGTATTCCCAGCTACTCGGGAGGCTGAGGCAGGAGAATGGTGTAAACCCTGGAGGCAGAGGTTGCAGTGAGCCGAGATCGTGCCACTACACTCCAGCCTGGGCAACAGAGTGAGACTCTGTCTCAAAAAAAAAAATAAAATAAAAAAATAAAAGATCAATGGGGGAAAATAATCTGTGACATGCATGACAGAAAGAAGTTGATGTTCTTAGCATATAAAAGCCTTGTGAATCAAGAAGAAAGAGACCAGCCCTATAGGAGACAAGAGAAGCCAGGGCTGTGAGGAGGCTCTTAGCAGAAAGCGAAAAACAAAAAAGCAATGTAACATTTAAACAAAAATGCCTGCACTAGATATCGAGGGACACTGTGCAATCAGAGACTGTCCTTTGAATTCAGGTTCCATCAGATAATAGCTCGTGATGCTGTAGCTTGCACAGCCTCTTGAGCCACGATTTTCCGATGGGAATGCTGATTCATCTCTGGGAGTTATTGTAAGGCTCAAAGCATCAACAGAACATCTGGGCACATCCCATAATTTTCCTAATTTTCTCTATGTTCCAAAATTTTAGTAATGTCATGTTACTTTTTGGAGTAAAATATACATATATACATATGTTTTTAAAAAATAAAACACCAGGCTCTGTGCATCTTGAGAACATCTGTGTCCACACTCCCACTGCCGGCCTTACCTGGATGCTGTGGACGACGTCTTTAAACAGTGGGGAGCGCTGGGTCCACGTGCTCACCAGCCCTACGGCTCGGTCAAAGTTCTTGACATACTCGCCGTACATCTTCAGGAATGGGGCCAGCTTCTGCAGGATGTCCCCGAGCCGTGGGTTTGTGTCCCTTCGTGGAGAAATGAATCATCAGAGAAATAGCTGGGTGCAATGGGGACTCTGAGGTTAGTGGACATGAACTCCACCAGGGGGGTGTGGGGTGGAGGCCAGCTCTGTGTGATGGTGAGCAAATTGGTCACCCTCTCTGAGCCTTAGCTTCCTCCCCTATGTCATGTAGAGTAGAAAATAGTAACTGGGCAATTAAATGAAAGATGCCTGTAAAACAGTTAAAAGTCCAAGCTGCAAGCTTAGAACCAGTGACCCAGACACAGGAGATAGCAGTAGTAGCAGAATCGCTTGAATGATGAACCACAGTTATCAAAGAGAACCAACAAAATACCATTATGCTCCTTTTAAATGGGCAAAGATTAGAAACAATGGTTCTATCCAATGCTGGTGAAGTCCTGGGGAAAGTAGCTCTTTGTAGTACTGATAATGAAAAAAGCTGCTTTGGACAGAGATTTGCAAATAATTTTCAAGAAACAGAAAAATATACTAATCGTCTTTGACCTTAGGACTGTTTCAAAAAGAAAGAAAAAAGCCACAGGCACAAAGCCATCACTAAGGCATGACTGTGAACTGCACTTATACATTTAATTTAAAGGTCCAGGCTGGGTGTGGTGGCTCATGCCTGTAATCCAGCACTTGGGAGGCTGAGATGGGCAGATCACAAGGTCAGGAGATCGAGACCATCCTGGCCAACACGGTGAAACCCCGTCTCTACTTAAAAAAAAATACAAATAATTAGCCGGGTGTGGTGGCGGGCGCCTGCAGTCCCAGCTACTTGGGAGGCTGAGGCAGGGGAATGGTGTGAACCCAGGAGGCAGAGCTTGCAGTGAGCTGAGATCACGCCACTGCACTCCAGCCTGGGCAACAGAGTGAGACTCTGTTTAAAAAAAAAAAATGTCCAAAGGGCAGGGTGGCTAAGTCATTGGACCCCTGTGCTGTTATAAAAGTTGCAGAGGAGGTCACACATGCACTCATGAGTTAGCAGTCTCCAGGGCCTTGCAGGAGAAAACCTGTCTCTACCAAGCATGGATTTTTGTCAGCCAGAAGGCTGCATCCAGTCCTGACTGCCTCGGGGACACAATGTAAACCTGTTCGGCAGCTGGACCATGTCCTTGTACAGATTTATAAATTGACATAGCCCCTCCCTGAGCAACAGGTGAAGGGACTCCCCCTGGCCTCCCATTCCAGTCAAGCCTCTGTGGTCTCCTGGGTTGCAGCTTGGAGAACGGGCTGGTGGGACACAGAAGGGCCAGGCTCCTGATGCAGAGGGAAGCCGGGCCTGCGAAGGGCACAGGCAGTAGAGACCCTAAGTCAAACAGCAGCGGCACCCAGAATGAGGGGAAACGCAACACGCAACGTGGGGAACTGATGAGTCTGGGGGCCAGCCTGGGATGTTTCATGAATTGTGACTTGCACTGAGCTGTCCCTCTGCTAATGAACAGAAGCAGCAGTGGGACAGAGGGACAGGCCACAGGGACAGCAGGAGGAGGATCTGAGGTCCACTGTTGAGAGGGAAAAACAGCATTTTTAAAACAAAGGTGGAGTATAAGCTAGGAGGGAAAAGAAAACCAACTAGCACTATCCACTGTGTGGTGTTTCCAGATGTCAAACCTCATTTTAGTTTCAGAGCCCCAAGTGGGGCGTTAAAAGCCCTTCATTCCGCATCATCTGCTTTCTCAGGAACTAAGCCTTGGAGACCGTAAGTGGCTGGTCAAGGTCACCAACCAGGAAGGGGTGGAGTCTGGATCGGACCCAGGACCGTGCAGAGAAGGGAGGCGCCCAGCCACCATGAGACAGTCCCCCAGCACTTGCCTCGCTCTCAGGCACATGAACCCTGGTCTAGAGAACACTTGAGGGGCCCCATGGGCATGCGCAGATGGTACTCACCACTCCTCCGTGATCCGCGTCTTCAGCTCCGGCAGCAGGAACTGCCCGTGGAAGCGGTGGATGGAGGAGATGTTAGAGAATATGCCCATGATGACTTCTGGAGGGATCCCCGCATCCGTCAGCCTGGTGCAGAAAACCTGAGCATAGAGAAGCCCACGTGTGGCCAGTGAGCCTCTTCCACTGAGCACAGTTGCCGCCCCGCTTCGGCCACAGGTGAGGGCGCTCGGGAGGGGCCGCTGCTGCCACCTTGTGTTTTCTTAATGAATTTCAGAATTATTGTCCTCCCTTTTCATCCAACTGGTTCAGACAACCTCATGGTCTTAATGCAAGCTCACTTATGACTTACGAATGTGGGTGAGGCAGGGACAGTCGCCTGAGGACAGGGAATGACATCTTTCCTCAGCCACCTCTCATGCGAAATGGAAGGTTCAGACTTCCTTTTCTTTCTCGTGAGATAAAAACAGCAGCAGCACTGTCTGTCAAAACCCCAGCTTCCATGGGTGCTTTATTTCCTGTGCTCATAAACCCCACGTTGTCATGTGGATAGAGATGAGTGGCAAACCCTGTCCCAAGTACTTATGCAGAAAAACATCCAGAAGCCATTTACATGCTCAGATCATGCAGCTGCCAAGAAGAAATGTCCCACAGGTGACTTGGCAAAGCCTTCTCCTCAGAGCTACAAGCACTGAAAACAAAAAATAAGTTTCTAGGACGGGCGTGGTGGCTCACGCCTGTAATCCCAGGACTTTGGGAGGCCGAGGCTGGTGGATCACCTGAGGTCAGGAGTTCAAGACCAGCCTGACAAATATGGTGAAACCCCGTCTCTACTATAAATACAAAAATTAGCTGGGCGTGGTGGCATGTGCCTGTAGTCCCAGCTACTCGGGAGGCTGAGACAGGAGAATTGCTTGAACTGGAGAGGCGGAGGTTGCAGTGAGCCAAGATCGCGCCACTGCACTCCAGCTTGGGTGACAGAGTGAGACTTTGTCTCAAAAAAAAAAAAAAGTTTGTAGACCAGACTTAAATTTGTCTGAGTTTTAGTATTTAAGTCATTCACACTGCACCTATAATGCCCAGCCAATGCTAAGAGATACTGAAACTGCCCCCAAGCCATGTGGGCTACCTGGTCCAGCAGGTGCAGCCGCTTCACATAGGTCTCCTCGGTGTGCAGGAGCTCCTGGGCAATGTGGAGAAGCTTCTGGGGGCCAGAGTGCTGCGGAGAGAAGAGATGCAGCTCACCTGGGGAAGATGAGCCTTGGGGAATCGGCACCTAACGGGCTGCCACTGTGTGCAGGAGAACCAGGGGCCACAGGGGTGGCAGGAGGCCACTGGGGCAAGAGAAGGGGCAGGAGGGGCCACTGTGATGGCGATGTGGTGCTCAGTTCTCATAGATGGGCCTTTGACTACAGAGCAGTTGCAGCGACCACGTCAAAATATATTGCACAGTGATGTCAGCAAGATGATGGACTAAACAGCTCTCGGCCCTCCTTCTGCTCAGAGACATAAGGTTAACAACAATATATGGGCCAGAGCACCTGTGTGAGAATTCCAGAGACCAGCCGAGAAGCTACAGCACCCAAGCCATTATAAAGCCAAGAAAAGATTTCAGTAAAAGGTGTAGGGAAATTGGTGATGTTTGGCAAGCTTGTCTTAGTCCATTTTACCTGCTCTACATGCGTACCACCATGTCCAGCTAGTTTTTTTCTATTTTCGTTTTGTAGAGATGAGGTTTTGCCATGTTGCCCAGGCTGGTCTTGAACTCCTGGACTCAACCTATCTGCCCGCCTCAGCCTCCCAAAATGCTGGGATTACAGGTGTGAGCCACCGTGCCTGGCCTCCTCCTGTTTTTGACATTGGGCAGGCTAACAAACCTCTGTAAGTTTCAGTGACCCCAAATGCAAAGCAGCAGCGTCACCACCTAGTACCTACATCACAGGGATGTTATGAGGATGGAGTGGAACAACACATATGAAACACTTCATGCAGGACAGGGCACAGAGTATGAGCTAATTAAAGCTGGAAATCATCACTATGGAAGTTTTCACTGAAAATGCCTGAGACTGGGTAATTTCTAAACAAAAGAAGTTTATTTCTCACACTTCTGAGGGTTGATCTCTGCTTCCAAGATGGTGGCCTGAACACTATCCCCTCACATAGTGGAAGCAGTAGAAGAGAAAAAGGGAGATGAAGGCTGTGTCTTCACATGGTGGAAGAGCAGAGAGCAAACCCATGAACTTTCTCTTTTATAAAGGCCCTAATGCTATTCATGATGGCTCTGACTTCATTACTTAATCACCTCCTGAAGGCCCTATTGTGGCAGGCCAATTCTCCCTGACAATCACATAGACAGGCCTGCATGACAGTCACACAGACAGATTTCCACAGCATGGCCTTAACATGGAGCAAGTAGTTAAACCTAGGGAAATCAGTGCCCAGACATCAAAGCTAGAAATAAAACACAGTCAGTAGGAGCCTTGCATAATCTTCTCCCTAACCTGGAGCAAGTCAAAATAATGGAAGCAGTCTTATATTCCTAGTGCCAGGACCCATCTTGGGTCAACGGAATCTGAGACAAGTCAAGGTAACAGAGGCAGCTATTTGAATAGATTCATTGGAGAGTCTAAGGCAGCTCTCCAGACCAAGCTGTAAAGAAGATAAGATAGAAATAATCACTCCAGTACCACAGTAGACAGGCCTTGAAGGTACTGGGGCTCTTTTAATCAGACTTAGCAAGCATTTTTTGCTTCTGACCTTCTAGATGAAACAAAATTAGCTACAAAGAAACAGAAAAATGTAGCCCAATCAAAGGAACAAAATAAAAAACTTCAAAACTGATCTTAAGGAAACACAGATCTATGAGCTGCTTGAGAAAAAACATCGAAATAGTTGTCATAAAGATGCTCAATGAGATAAAAGAGAACAGATAGATGACTTTAAAAAAAAATCAGGAAATGATGCATGAACAAAGTGAGAATATCAACAAAGAGATAGAAACTATTAAAAAGGACAAACCAGACATTCTGGAGCTGAAATACACTTTAATTGAACCGACAAATTTTTAAGAGGGGTTTGACAGCAGACTTGATCAGGCAGAAGAAAAACTGGGCAAACCTGAAGAGAGGTCATTTGAAATCATAGAGTCAGATAAGAAAAAAAAAAGAAAGAAGAGCAAGGAGAGCCTAAGGGATGTATGGGCCACTATCAAGTAGATCAATATATGCACTTGTAAGTTCCAAAAGAGAAGAGAGAGAAAGGGGCAAAGAGTTTATTTACAGAAATAATGGCTGAACATTTCCCAAATTTGAGGAAAGCAATGGACTTAAAAATTCAAGAATCTCAAAGACCTCCAACTGGGGTAAATCAACAGAGAACCATACCAAGACATATTATAATTATATAACTGTCTAAAGTCAAATACAAAGAAAATCTTGAAAGCAGCGAGAGAAAAATAATTTGTCTCATGTAAGGGGTCTTCCATAAGATTATGAGAGGATCTGTCAGTGGTAACTTTGCAGACCAGAAGGCAGAGGGAGGATACATTCAAAGTGCTGAAAGAAAAAAAAACTGTCAACAAAGAATATTGTATTTGATAAAACTGTTATTCAAAAATGGAGAAATAAACACTTTTCCAGTTAAACAAAAACTGAGGGAGTTCTTTGCCATTAAATGTGCTCTAAAATAAAAAAGATTAAGGAGTACTTTATGTTAAAACAAAAGGATAGTAAAAAGCAACACAAAACCACAGGATAATATAAAGTTCTTCAGTGAAGGTGAACACATGGATAAATACAATAATTTGTACTATTATCCTTTTGGTGCATAGAATTCAAATCACAAAAACATTTAAACATTTAAATCTATATGAATAAATAAAGATGAATTCATGACATCAATCAGAGCAGGGAGAGGGAGGTGGAATTGTAAAAGAGTAGAGTTTTTGCATGTGATTGAAGTTGTTATTAGTTTAAAATAGAATGCTATAACTTTAAAATGTTTTATGTAATTGCAATGGTAACCACAAATAAAATATCTATAGATAAAAAAGGAAATGAGAAAGAAATAAAAGCATATCACTACAAAAAAAAATCAATTAAACACAAAGAAAGATAGTAAGAGAGTAAAGGAGGGACACAAAAAACCTATAAGACATCCAGAAAACAACCAAATGGCAGTAGTAGGTCCTTTCCTATCAGTAACTACTTTAAATGTAAATGGATTAAACTTCCCAATCAAAAGACATATTGGCAGCCAGGCGTGGTGGCTCACACCTGTAATCCCAGCACTTTGAGAGGACAAGGCAGGGAGATCATGAAGTCAGGAGTTTGAAACGAGCCTGACCAACATGGTAAAACCCCATCTCAACTAAAAATACAAAAATTAGCTGGGCGTGATAGTAGGCACCTGTAATCCCAGCTACTCAGGAGGCTGAGGCAGGAGAATCGCTTGAACCCGGGAGGCGGAGGTTACAGCGAGCTGAGATTGTGCCACTGCACTCCAGCCTGGGAAACAGACCAAGACTCTGTCTTTAAAAAAAAAAAAAAAAAAAAAGGTTCCAAGATGGCTGAATAGGAAAAGCTCCAGTCTGCAGCTCCCAGCATAAGCGACGCATTAGACGGATGATTTCTGCATTTCCGATTGAGGTACCAGGTTGATCTCACTGGGGCTTGTCAGACAGTGGGTGCAGCCCATGGAGCAGGGTGGGGCATTGCCACACCCGGGAAGCACAAGGGGTTGGGGAATTCCCTTTCCTAGCAAAGGGAAGCCGTGACAGACGGTACCTGGAAAATCGAGACACTCCCACCCTAATACTGTGCTTTTCCAATGGCCTTAGCAAACGGCACACCAGGAGATTATATCCCTCGCCTGGCTCAGAGGGTCCCACGCCCACGGAGCCTTGCTCACTGCTTGCACAGCAGTCTGAGATTGAACTGCAAGGCAGCAGCGAGGCTGGGGGAGGGGCGTCCACCATTGCTGAGGCTTGAGTAGGTAAACAAAGCCGCCGGGAAACTCGAACTGAGTGGAGCCCACCACAGCTCAAGGAAGCCTGCCTGCCTCTGTAGACTCCACCTCTGGGGGTAGGGCATAGCTGAACAAAAGGCAGCAGAAACTTCTGCAGAGTTAAACGTCCCTGTCTGACAGCTTTGAAGAGAGTAGTGCTTCTCCCAGCACAGAGTTTGAGATCTGAGAATGGACAGACTGCCTCCTCAAGTGGGTCCCTGACCCCCGAGTAGCCTAACTGGGAGACACTTCCCAGTAGGGGCCGACTGACACCCCATACAGCCGGGTGCCCCTCTGAGACAAAGCTTCCAGAAGAAGGATCAGACAGCAACATTTGCTGTTCTGCAATATTTGCTGTTCTGCAGCCTCCACTTGTGATACCCAGGCAAACAGGGAGTGGACCTCCAGCAAACTCCAACAGACCTGCAGCTGAGGGTCCTGACTGTTAGACAGAAAACTAACAAACAGAAAGGACATCCACACCAAAATCCCATCTGTATGTCACCATCATCAACGACCAAAGGTAGATAAAACCACAAAGATGGGGAGAAACCAGAGCAGAAAAGCTGAAAATTCTAAAAATCAGAGCACCTCTTCTCCTCCAAAGGAACACAGCTCCTTGCCAGCAACGGAACAAAGCTGGAAGGAGAATGACTTTGGTGAGTTGACGAAAGTAAGCTTCAGATGATTGGTAATAACAAACTTCTCCAAGCTAAAGGAGGATGTTTGAACCCATCGCAAAGAAGCTAAAAACCTTGAAAAAAGGTTAGACGAATAGCTAACTAGAATAACCAGTGTAGAGAAGTCCTTAAATGACCTGATGGAGCTGAAAACCATGGCAGGAGAACTACGTGACGCATGCACAAGCTTCAGTAGCTGATTTGATCAAGTGGAAGAAAGGGTATCAGTGATTGAAGATCAAATGAATGAAATGAAGTGAGAAGAGAAGTTTAGAGAAAAAAGAGTAAAAAGAAACAAACAAAGCCTCCAAGAAATATGAGACTATGTGAAAAGACCAAACCTCTGTCTGATTGGTGTACCTGAAAGTGACGGGGAGAATGGAACCAAGTTGGAAAACACTCTGCAGGATATTATCCAGGAGAACTTCGCCAACCTAGTGAGGCAGGCCAACATTCAAATTCAGGAAATACAGAGAATGCCACAAAGATACTCCTTGAGAAGAGCAACTCCAAGACACATAATTGTCAGATTCACCAAAGTTGAAATGAAGGAAAAAATGTTAAGGGCAGCCAGAGAGAAAGGTTGGGTTATCCACAAAGGGAAGCCCATCAGACTAACAGTGGATCTCTCGGCAGAAACTCTACAAGCCAGAAGAGAGTGGGGGCCAATATTCAACATTCTTAAAGTATTTTCAACCCAGAATTTCATATCCAGCCAAACTAAGCTTCACAAGTGAAGGAGAAATAAAATCCTTTACAGACAAACAAATGCTGAGAGGTTTTGTTACCACCAGGCCTGCCTTACAAGAGGTCCTGAAGGAAGCACTAAATATGGAAAGGAACAACCGGTACCAGCCACTGCAAAAACGTGCCAAATTATAAAGACCATCAATGCTAGGAAGAAACTGCATCAACTAACGAGCAAAATAACCAGCTAACATCATAATGACAGGATCAAATTCACACATAAGAATATTAAACTTAAATGTAAATGGGCTAAATGCTCCAATTAAAAGACACAGACTGGCAAATTGGATAAAGAGTCAAGACCCATCAATGTGCTGTATTCAAGAGACCCGTCTCACGTGCAGAGACACACATAGGCTCAAAATAAAGGGATGGAGGAAGATCTATCAAGCAAATGGAAAACAAAAAAGCAGGGGTTGCAATCCTAGTCTCTGATAAAACAGTCTTTAAACCAACAAAGATCAAAAGAGACAAAGAAGGCCATTGCATAATGGTAAAGGGACCAATTCAACAAGAAGAGCTAACTATCCTAAATATATATGCACCCAATACAGGAGCACCCATATTCATAAAGCAAGTCCTTAGAGACCTACAAAGAGACTTAGACTCCCACACAAAAATAATGGGAGACTTTAACACCCCACTGTCAACATTAGACAGATCAACAAGACAAAGTTAACAAGGATATCCAGGAATTGAACTCAGCTCTGCACCAAGTGGACCTAATAGACATCTACAGAACTCTACACCCCAGATCAACAGAATATAAATTCTTCTCAGCACCACATCACACTTATTCCAAAATGGACCACATAGTTGGAAGTAAAGCACTCTTCAGCAAAGGTAAAAGAACAAAAACTATAACAAACTGTCTCTCAGACCACAGTGCAATCAAACTAGAACTCAGGATTAAGAAACTCACTCAAAACCGCTCAACTACATGGAAACTGAACAACCTGCTCCTGAATGACTACTGGGTACATAACGAAATGAAGGAAGAAATAAAGATGTTCTTTGAAACCAATGAGAACAAAGACACAACATACCAGAATCTCTGGGACACATTTAAAGCAGGGTGTAGAGCGAAATTTATAGCACTAAATGCTCACAAGAGAAAGCAGGAAAGATCTAAAATGGACACCCTAACATCACAATTAAAAGAACTAGAGAAGCAAGAGCAAACACATTCAAAAGCTAGCAGAAGGCAAGAAATAACTAAGATCAGAGCAGAACTGAAGGAGACAGAGACACAAAAAACCCTTCAAAAAAATCAATGAATCCAGGAGCTGGTTTTTTGAAAAGATCAACAAAATGGATAGACCATTAGCAAGACTAATAAAGAAGAAAAGAGAGAAAAATCAAATAGCAATAAAAAATGATAAAGAGGATATCACCACCGATCCCACAGAAATACAAACTACCATCAGCAAATACTATAAACACCTTTATGCAAATAAACTAGAAAATCTAGAAGAAATGGATAAATTCCTGGACACATAACACCCTCCCAAGACTAAACCAGGAAGAAGTTGAATCCCTGAATAGACCAATAACAGGTTCTGAAATTGAGGCAATAATTAATAGCCTACCAACCAAAAAAAGTCCAGGACCAGAAGGATTCACAGCCGAATTCTACCAGAGGTACAAAGAGGAGCTGGTACCATTCCTTCTGAAACTATTCCAATCAATAGAAAAAGAGGTTATCTTCCCTATTTCATTTTATGAGGCCAACAACATCCTGATACCAAAGCCTGGCAGAGACACAACAAAAAAAAAGAGAATTTTAGACCAATATCCCTGATGAACATCGATACCAAAATCCTCAATAAAATACTGGCAAACTGAATCCAGCAGCACATCAAAAGGCTTATCCATCACCATCAAGTTGGCCTCATCCCTGGGATGCAAGGCTGGTTCAACATACACAAATCAATAAATGTAATCCATCATATAAACAGAACCAAAGACAAAAACCACATGATTATCTCAATAGATGCAGAAAAGGCCTTCAACAAAATTCAACAGCCTTTCATGCTAAAAACTCTTGATAAACTAGATATTGATGGGACATATCTCAAAATAATAAGAGCTATTTATGACAAACCCACAGCCAATATCATACTGAATGAGCAAAAACTGGAAGCATTCCCTTTGAAAACTGGCATAAAACAGGGATGCCCTCTCTCACCACTCCTATTCAACGTAGTGTTGGAAGTTCTGGCCAGGGCAATCAGGCAAGAGAAAGAAATAAAGCATATTCAATTAGGAAAAGAGGAAGTCAAATTGTCCCTGTTTGCAGATGACATGATTGTATATTTAGAAAACCCCATCATCTCAGCCCAAAATCTCCTTAAGCTGATAAGCAACTTCACCAAAGTCTCAGGATACGAAATCAATTTGCAAAAATCACAAGCATTCCTTTACACCAATAACAGACAAACAGAGAGCCAAATCATGAGTGAACTCCCATTCACAATTGCTTCAAAGGGAATAAAATACCTAGGAATCCAACTTACAAGGGATGTGAAGGACCTCTTCAAGGAGAACTACAAACCACTGCTCAACGAAATAAAAGAGGACACAAACAAATGGAAGAACATTCCATGTTCATGGATAGGAAGAATCAATATTGTGAAAATGGCCATACTGACCAAGGTAATTTATAGATTCAATGCCATCCCCATCAAGCTACCAATGACTTTCTTCACAGAATTGGAAAAAACTACTTTAAAGTTCATATGGAACCAAAAAAGAGCCCGCATTGCCAAGACAATCCTAAGCCAAAAGAACAAAGCTGGAGGCATCATGCTACCCGACTTCAAACTATATTACAAGGCTACAGTAACCAAAACAGCATGGTACTGGTACCAAAACAGAGATATAGACCAATGGAACAGAATAGAGCCCCCGGAAATAATACCACACATCTACAACAATCTGATCTTTGACACACCTGACTAAAACAAGCAATGGGGAAAGGATTCCCTATTTAATAAATGGTACTGGGAAAACTGGCTAGCCATATGTAGAAAGCTGAAACTGGACCCCTTCCTTACATCTTATACAAAAATTAATTCAAGATGGATTAAAGACTTAAACGTTAGACCTAAAACCATAAAAACCCTGGAAGAAAAGCTAGGCAATACCATTCAGGCCATAAGCATGGGCAAGGACTTCATGACTAAAACACCAAAAGCAATTGCAATGGCAACAAAAGCCAAAATTGACAAATGGGATCTAATTAAACTAAAGAGCTTCTGCACAGCAAAAGAAACTACCATCAGAGTGAACAGGCAACCTACAGAATGGGAGAAAATTTTTGCAATCTACCCATCTGACAAAGGGCTAATATCCAGAATCTACAATGAACTTAAACAAATTTACAAGAAAAAAATCAAACAACCCCATCAAAAAGTGGGCAAAGGATATGAACAGACACTTCTCAAAAGAAGACATTCATGCAGCCAACATACACATGAAAAAATGCTCATCATCACTGGCCATCAGAGAAATGCAAATCAAAACCACCGTGAGATACCATCTAACACCAGTTAGAATGGCAATCATTAAAAAGTCAGGAAAGAACAGGTGCTGGAGAGGATGTGGAGAAATAGGAACGCTTTTACACTGTTGGTGGGACTGTAAACTAGTTCAACCATTGTGGAAGACAGTGTGGCGATTCCTCAAGGATCTAGAACTAGAAATATTATTTGACCCAGCCATCCCATTACTGGGCATATACCCAAAGGATTATAAATCACGCTGCTATAAAGACACATGCACATGTATGTTTATTGCAGCACTATTCACAATAGCAAAGACTTGGAACCAACCCAAATGTCCATCAATAATAGACTGGATTAAGAAAATGTGGCACATATACACCATGGAATACTATGCAGCCATAAAAAATGATGAGTTCATGTCCTTTGTAGGGACATGGATGAAGCTGGAAACCATCATTCTGAGCAAACTATCGCAAGGACGGAAAACCAAACACCGCATGTTCTCACTCATAGATGGGAATTGAACAATGAGAACACTTGGACACAGAGTGAGGAATATCACAAACTAGGGCCTGTCATGGGGTAAGGGGAGGGAGGAGGGATAGCATTAGGAGATTTACCTAATGTAAATGATGAGTTAACGGGTGCAGCACACCAACATGGCACATGTATACATATGTAACAAACCTGCACATTGTGCACATGTACCTTAGAACTTGAAGTATAATAATAATAAAAAAGAAAAAGACATATTGGCTGAATGGATTAAAAATAACAGCATCCAACTATATGCTGTTGAGAAGAGACTCACTTTAGATATAAGGACACACATAGGCTGAAAGTGACAGGATGGAAAAAGATACTTCATTCAAATGGTAACCAGAAGACAGCAGGAGTGGCCATAGTTAGATAAAATAGACTTTATAGCAAAAACTGTTACAAGGCTGGATGCAATGGTGTACACCTACAGTCCCCCCTACTCAGGAGGTTGAGGTAGGTCACTTAAGCCCAGGAGTTTGAGGCTATCCTGGGCAACATAGTGAGACCTTGTACCAAAAAAAAGAAGGAGAGTGATATCAGTAAGATGGCTGACTAGAAACACCTGGCATTCCTCCCCTCATCCCAAGAAAAGACTAAGGCACAAACAACTAAGATTTGGCTGGCGGTGGAGTGAGTGGTGGAGTAGAGATGCACCTGTGATGATTGAGAGAGCAGTGTGGAGGCACCCAGCCTCTAGTGGTCCCATCTCCCTCCAACCAGATAGCATCTATCCAGAGTCAGGAGGGACTTCCCTTTTCAGGGAAAAAGTATAACACAAGAGAATCCCACAGTCCTCGCAAGCCCCAAGCCCAGTTTGGAGAGTTGTGAGAATTTGCATAGCTACATCACCCGGATTAGGATCACAAAGTGTACACACCCCACCCCCCAACCACCCACTGTGAACGAGGCTGCTGTGGCATGGCACCATCCTGAGACCAGAGCAACCTCCAGAATGCTCCAGGCAGTAGCTACTGTACCTCTCTAGCACTGGGCTCCGTCTGCATTCCACCAAGACCACATGAGTGCTTGAATGCCACAACCCCAGATGCATAGAGCTTGGGCCCAGGATCAGCTGTGATTCTGTTCCTGCACAGCAGGGAAACCAACCCTCACTGCCACACTTTCAGCTAAAAGAACAGTCTGCCACTCCAACCCAGGAGCTCAAGCAATCCTCCCAGCTATTCTTCAGAAAGGAATGAGGAATAAAATCTTTAACCAACAAGCAAAATCTAAGGGAATTCATCACCACTAGACCAGTCTTATAAGAAATGCTCAAGACAGTCTTATATCTGGAAGTGAAAAGACAATAAACACCATCTTGAAAACATGTAAAACTATAAAACTCACTGGTAAAGCTGATACACAAATGATAAAAGAAATGAATCAAACCTTATCACTGCAGAAAACCACCCAACTACAAAAATAAATAATGAGAAGAAGTAACAAAGGATATACAAAACAACCAGAACACAATCAATAAAATGATAGGAGTAAGTTCTCACCAATCAATAATAATCTTGAATGTAAATAGATTAAATTCCCCTGTTTAAAAGATAAACTAGCTGAATGGATTAACAAACCAAGACCCAACTATATGCTGTCCACAAGAAACTCCCCTTACCTGTAAAGACACACATAAACTGAAAGTTAAGGATGAAAAAAGATAGTCCATGTAAACAGAAACCCAAAACAAGGAGGAGTAGCTATACTTATATCAGACGAAGAAGACTTCAAGTCAAAAACTATAAAAAGAAACAAAGAAAGACATTACATAATAATAAAGGGATTAATTCAGGAGGAGAATATAATTGCAAATATATATGCACCAAATACTAGAGCACCTAGATATAGAAAGCAAATATTATTAAATATAAAGGGAAAGATAGACCTCCAATACAATAGTGGTTGGAGACTTCAACACCCCACTCTCAGTATTAGATAGATCATCTAGACAGAAAATCAAAGACACATCAGATTTAAACTACACCATAGAACAAATGGACCTAACAGACATTTACAGAACATTTCACCCAACGGCTGCAGAATACACATTCTTCTCATGTACCCATGGAATATTCTCCAGGACTGACAATATGTTAGGACACAAAACAAGCCTCAGAATTTTTTTTAAATCAAAATTATATTAGGTATCTTATCTTACCACAATGGAATAAAACTAGACATCAACAACAAGAGAAACATTCAAAGCTATATCAATATATGGAAATTAAATAACATGCTCCTGAATGATGAATGGATGAAGGAAGAAATTAAGAATGAAATTTAAGGGCCGGGTGCAATGGCTCACACCTGTAATCCCAGCACTTTGTGAGGCCAAGGCTGGCATACTGCTTGAGCCTAGGAGTTTGAAACCAGCCTGGGAAACATGGTGAAACCCATCTCTACAAAAAAATATAAAAATTAGCTGGGTGTGGTGGTGGGTGACTGTAATCCCAGCTCCTCAGGAGGCTGAGGCAAGAGAATAGCTTGAGCTAGGGAGGCAGAGGTTGCAGGGAGCCAAGATTGCGCCACTGCACTCCAGCCTGGGTGACAGGGTGAGACTCTCTCAAAAACAAACAAACAAACAAACAAACAAACAAATCTCCAAACAAAAAAAGTCCAGGACCCAGTGGGTTCACCACTGAATTCTACTGAACCTATAAAGAACAATTGATACCAATTATCAAACTATTCCAAAAAATTGAATCGGAGGAAATTCTTCCTAACTCATTTTACAAGGTCATCATAACCTTGATACCAAAACCAGGAAAAGACACAACAAAAAAGAAAACTACAGGCCAATATCCCTGATGAACATAGATGAAAAAATCCTCAACAAAATACCCGCAAACCAAATCCAACAGCACATGAAAAAGATAACAAACCACAATCGAGTGGGATTTATCCCAGGATGCAAGGATTGTTCCATATACACAAATCAATAAATGTGATACATCACATTCACAGAACTAAGAACAAAAACCATATGATCATTTTAATATATGCTGAGACAGCATTTGATAAAATTCAGCATCCCTTTATTATAAACGCCCTCAACAAACTAGGTATAGAAGGAATATACCTCAAAATAATAAAGCCCATATGTGAGAAACCCACAGCTAACATCTTACTGAATGCAGAAAAGCTGAAAGCTTCTCCTCTAAGAATTGGAACAAGACAAGGATGCCCACTTTCCCCACTATTATTCAACATAGTACTGGAAGTTTTAGCCAGAAGAGTTAGGCAAGAGAAAGAAATAAAAGGCATCCAAATGGGAATAGAGGAAGTCAAATTGTCCCTGTTTGCAGATTATATAATCTTTTTTGTTTTTTTGATACAGGATCTCACTTGTTGCCCGCACCACCATACCCAGCTAACTTTTTAATTTTTTTGTATAGACAAGGTCTCACTATGTTGCTCAAGCTGGTCTTGAATTCCTTGGCTCAAGCAGTCCTCCCACCTCAGCCTCCCAAAGTTCTGGGATTACAGGTGTGAGCCACTAAACCTAGCTGATGTGATCTTATATATAGAAAACCTATATTGTATCACAAAACTCTTAGAACTGATAAAAAAAAATTTCATAAAGTTGAAGGGCACAAAATCAATATACGAACAACAGTAGTGTTTCTATACACAAACAACAAACTAGCTGAAAAAGAAATCAAGAAGGCAATCTCATATACAATAACTGCAAAATAAATACCTAGGAATACATTTAATGAAAAAGGTAAAAAAAAAAAAAAAAAACCTCTACAAGGTGTGAAAGGAAAAAAAAAACACAGGACCCCAATTCATAATGCCAAAAGAAAAAAATTAAGCTGAAAGCTGAGTCATGCAAGAAACTGCCTTTCCTTTTGTTCCTAAGCAGACAGCTATAGATGAAAGGTTAAATATCTCCACAGGTGGCTGCCCTATGTTTACCTCATCTTATGTAAAGTGCCGATTTACTGAGAACCAGATGAATACATAATTGACTATTCGCCTACCGGCTCCTTTTCTCTTGCAACATGTGGATTAACATACCTTCCCTTTCTCCCCTCCAGCCCACTTTTCCCCTTTAAATACTGAAGACTTCAAAGTCCTCTTTGGAGAAAGGCACAGGCCACAGACTGTTTTTCTATGATTCCATGTTTATTTCTTCCAAGCATGACCTCAACCTTGGCAAAATAAACTTCTAAATTGATTGAAACCAGTATCAGATACTTTTTGGTTTACAAAAGAAAACTAAAAAACACTGATGAGGCCAGGTGCGGTGGCTCACGCCTGTAATTCCATCACTTTGGGAGGCCAAGGTGGGCGGATGAAGAGGTCAGGGGTTGGCCAGGCGCGGTGGATCACGCCTGTAATCCCAGCACTTTGGGAGGCTGAGGCGGGTGGATCTCGAGGTCAGGAGATCAAGACCATCCTGGCTAACATGGTGAAACCCCGTCTCTACTAAAAACACAAAAATTATCCAGGTGTGGTGGCACGCATCTGTAGTCCCAGCTACTCAGGAGGCTGAGGCAGGAGAATCACTTGAACCTGGGAGGCAGAGGTTGCAGTGAGCCTAGACTGCGCCATTGCACTCCAGCCTGGGTGACAGAGCAAGACTCCATCTCAAAAACAAAACAAAACAAAACAAAAAAACACTGATGAAAGAAATTGAAGAGGATAATGTTTCATGAAAGGGCTGTGCTTGCAGAGACCCCTAAATGCTGAAGGAGTTGAGGAACCAAAGAACAAGGCAGACTAATGTAGTTTCTCAGCAGAGGGTGATTTATTGGGGAACTTACAGACAAGAGCATGGTCTTGGGTGGCCACAAAACAGGTAGATCTTCATGCTGTCAACCCCCAAACCCAGGACTTACATGCCATAGGGAAAGGGTATACAGTGCTTCAGAAGGAGTGTGTAGGACATTGAAATCAACCCCTCAGGGAAAGGCAAGAATGTTGTATTTATCATAGCCTAAGGGCAGGTTTTATGGTAAATATGTGTTTATGGTAACATCAAGGTTGTCATGACCTAAGATTAAGATTTACAGTAAGTACTTGCTCTTATATAAGGAACAGTAATAAGATAGAAATCTTAGAGGCATTCCTGGAACTATGATTAATCAGAAGTCAACATGGCAGATTAGTGTAAGGTAGGTAGCCAGGCAGACATGAGCAGGGGAGCAGGGGCCCCGCCACACCAGGAATATCAGGTGACCATCATCAGGTGATGGTCTTGATAGATGCAGGAGGCAGATAAGAAAGGGTCCCTGGAGAATCTCCAGCCTGCCCCACAAGCATTTATGCCAGATGTTTTTGTGTAGGTAAGGGAACCTGTGCAGGGTCTTGCCTGGGCATGCCCACAATGGACTGGAGGCCCACAGGTACTGGGGAAATGGGGTGGAGCTACCAGGAATGGTGGTAGCTTGGAGCCTTATGCAGGGTGGAGCCTTATGCAGGGGAGAAGCCTGGCCTCTTCAACTAGTGTGTGGTGGCCTGGTATTCAATCTGTGAGGTGGGAGCCTGTTGGCAGGACCCCTCTTTCTTTGCTGAGAGCTTTCTTTTTGTCTAATAAATCCGCCCTCCTCACCCTTCAATGTGTCCTTGTGCCTAATTTTTCCTGGTAATGAGACAAGAACCCGGATTTTAGCTGAACTAAGGAGCAAAAAATCCTGCATTGGTCAGGTGGTTGCTAAACAGCCTCTTTAAAATAATAACTGGTTGCAGCCAGCACCAGGGAAATGCAGTCTCCCAATAGATAGAAAAACCTGAAACAGATAATCAGCTTCCTGATAAGATCTCAAGAGTTGGATAAATGGACTCATGCATGCGCGCTAAGGGGCGAAATGGTGAAGTGTAATTGGTATATGACCGTCTAGGAACACTTGACAGGTACAGGAAGAATGGCTCAAGTGAGCATGCTCACAACTCCAGTAAACACACTACACATACGGCCCCTCCCAAGTGCTGGTGGGCCACTGGGCATGCAGACAGCCCACCACACGAAAGAATCAGGGGCGAAGGGATGTAACTCCCTGGAAGCATGCCAGTGCAGAATACCCCAAGTCAAAGGATAAACGGAGCACATGAATCTCTCAAGTCAGAGAGGAGGGACCTTGGAGTCTGCACTGAGTAGAACTGAGGCACCCATGGCCCTCCTAGACAGGAGGCTCATGAGAGTGGTAGGGCTAAAACCTAACACCATGCAATGTCTGTTGTTTCCTCTGCTTTTTCTTTTTTTTCTTTCTTTCTTTTTTTTTTTTTTGAGACAGAGTCTCGCTCTGTCGTCCAGGCTGGAGTGCAGTGGCACTATCTCGGCTCTCTGCAAGCTCCGCCTCCTGGGTTCACACCATTCTTCTGCCTCAGCCTCCCAAGTAGCTGGGATTACAGGCACCCACCACCACACTTAGCTATTTTTTTGTATTTTTAGTAGAGATGGGGTTTTACCGTGTTAGCCAGGATGGTCTCGATCTCCTGACCTCATGATCTGCCCACCTCAGCCTCCCAAAGTGCTGGCATTACAGGCGTGAGCCACTGCACACAGCCTCCTCTGCTTTTTCAACTAAAATTGGTTGTTTTCCAAAAACCCATACTGCCTATTCTCCTGTTTTCTCTGTGTGTGTTCTGAAATGGCTTGTGCACTCACTGGACTGTCTACCTCGGAGGCAAGTCTGCCTCTTTGTTTTCACTTTGTATGTCACTTGACTTCTTAAACACACACTCCCTGTTATTCATGCACTCATGGCTCTTGCTGAATTTGTGTGGCAGCAAAGACACAGGCTCCCTTGGGGATACGCCATGAGATTTATACTTGTTTTTACCCTACCAGCTCGGATGACCTCTAACCCTTCCCCTGACTACTGGCACATGGCCAGGACAGACACTAATTGGAACCCTGGCTCTGCCAGCTCCTTCTGACTTACCATGTGCTTTTCATTCCTGTTATGCCCCAGGGCCAAGTTTTCCAGTGGCTTTTGAAGCAGTTTGTCTGCGGGCACAGGGCCTCACTCTGTGGTCCTTTAAGGACCCTGCCTACTTGCTTTTTTGAGTTAGTACCTTTTTGGGATAAGGGAACATTCTTCCTTTGCCATTGCAAGTTCTTACCCCAAGCCCCAAGTCCTCCAGAGGTTCTTCTTTTATGTCAAGAGGGAAAATAAACATCGCCCTCTCAAATGGAAGGGCTGCTATTTTTGTAAGCATATAAAGGCTTTCCATGAATATTCCTCTCACCTCCTCCCACTTCCTCCTGTAGCCTCCATTTCTCTAATCACTTCCACACCCCTCTCAACATGCATCAAGACCTTCAAGGTCATATTCAAAGGCAGGGGAGTCAGCCCCCTTGTGGCAGTTAGCTGAAAAACAGGCTTCTCATCTACTTAAAGAACATGAGAGATGGGACTCTGAGAAAAGAGATCATCATTTTGTTGCTCAGAATGCTCCGAGCAAGTCACTATAAGGTCATGGAGATAAGGATATAGGCTGGCTGAAGTCCATAGGCACAAGAGACCCATAGGACAGAGATAAAGGCTGATAGATTATCATTAAAACAGAGATGAAGGCAAGGTTAAGGGTACATGGTAAGACTGGTTCATTCCAGAACCCCAAGGATGAGCAGGGGGCCCACTGTTCACTCTGGTATTTCCTCTGTTGTCAAGTGGGTAATTGTGATGAAATGGGACCAAGGTTAAGGGTACACAGTAAGACTGGTTCATTCTGGAACCCTAAGGATGAATGGGGGATGCCCTATTCAAGATAATAGGAAAGTAAGAAGGGACACATTTTACCTTTTTCCTTTTTTTCTCCACTGTTCTTTCTTCACAGATGGGTAATCACATCTCCATACCACAGGACACACCCCTCAGATGTATTCCCAAAAAGTGGGAAAAGTTTGATCCCCTAAACCTTAAAACAGAAAAATGGGCCAGGTGCGGTGGTTCATGCTTGTAATCCTAGCACTTTGGGAGGTTGAGGTGGGTGGATCACCTGAGGTGAGGAGTTTGAGACCAGCCTGACCAACATGGTGAAACCCCATCTCTACTAAATACAAAAAATTAGCCAGGAATGATGGCTGACACCCGTAATCCCAGATACTTGGGAGGCTGAGGCAGGAGAATCACTTGAACTCGGGAGGCAGAGGTTACAGTGAGCTAAGATTGTGCCACTGCACTCCAGCCTGGGCAACAAGAGCAAAACTCTGTCAAAAAACAAACAAATAAACAAACAAACAAAAATAGAAAAACTAGGTTTTCTTTGTAATACTGTTTTTCCTCAAAATTAACTGGGAAGAAATAACAAAAGTCAGCCTCAGAACCCAGTGCCTCTATGCAGGAAATCCTCAAAGTCACCTCCTCAGTCTTTTATAACTGGGAGTAGAATCAGGAGGACAGGGCTAAGGAAAAAGAGAAGTGCAGGGACCAGAGGCAGGCTTAACTACTGGCTGCTCTGCAAGCCCACCAGCCTCCTCCAGGTTTCCCTAAGGACACTCCTCCAGGTAACTGCCATTGGCGTGGGAAGCCAGGCCACTGGAAGGCAAACTGCCCCAGTGGGACAAACGGGAGGAAACCTCACATGGTTTCCCCTCTCTGCCAAAAGCTTGGCCACTGGAAACGGGACTGCTTTGAAGGCTGAAGGGCCCCCAGGACAGAATCCCAACCCCTGATGGCCTTGAGCTGGAGAGCTCTCTGCTCTAGCTGGCTTCCAAATCAGACATTGGCACTAGCAGGACAAAGCCAAGGGTGACTCTGGAGGCAGCAAATAAAATTATAAATTTCCCTTTGGGTTCAAGAGCTGCCTACTCTGTGCTAATCTCCTCTGAGCAATTCTTCTCCAAATGCAGTCAGGTAATGTGGGCAAATAGCACTCCCTCCCTCCAAAAAAAAAAAAAAGAAAAAAAAGATTCACACCCCTTTACATTATTTAAGAGACCAATTACCACTTTCCCACCAGTCCCTGGTAGTGTCTAAATACCCTACACCTCTTTGGGGCAAAAATATACTTTCCTAGATGGGTGTTTGCTTAATATTTACCTGACCTCTGAATTCATCTTTATCTCTAAGAGCTCTATTTCTCCTGGGAAAGCCACCTAAATCTTTAACCAATAACTTTAACCTGGACAGGCTAACCTCAGGGATTTAGAAATAGCCCACACTTATTTGGACAAACCCTAGCAAAAATCTAACCAAGGCATCTCTCAAGGGGGGATAACTTCTACAGTATGTAGATAACCTCTTTGTCTGCTCCCCCTTCACAGGACCCATACAGCAACATGTAGTATAAACCATAACTTCCTAACAGAAGGAAAATTAATTTGTCTAATTCAAAAGTTATAAAGGTAAAGGTATTGTTGGTAAGGAAGGTTATAAAGAAAAGTGATTTTGCATGAAAAGGATTTTGTATGGTAAATTCTTGTCCCAAAGTAAAATAACTGGTTGTTTAAAAGAGGGATGTTTAGGTCAAGTCAGAAAGTCCAAGCATGCCGTAGATGGTCAGTGCAAGTTGTAAAATGCTTTATAAACTGCGATCATGACTCTTAACTGTACAATTTGCCTGCTTTACAGCTAGGTAAGGCCTGGGGACATACAGAGCTAGCTGTATCCCCTCATCTATGCTGGAAAGAGTCAAATCTTATCTGCATTTCTGTTGGATGTCCTAGGCTCCAAACCTAGTGCATAATTAGAATTGCTTACTTACCAGGTTTTTCACCAAAAGTAAAAGTTGCTAAGAGTTAACAGTGTAACGTGTACTTGACACTACTGGAAAAACAGTTTACATGCAAGATGTGTAGGGAAAGCAGAATGTGCTTTTGGTAAAAGATTATAAGAAGGCATGGAAATGTGGATATTTTTGCCTAGTTTAGAGGGTTAAAGGATTGTTTTAAATTATATATGATAAAGATAAAGGTTAAAGCAAGTTGTGGAAGGTTTGTAAAAATTAATCTTGTAAAAGAAATTCTGTATGTGACCATATTGGCTAGAGTTAAAGGAGTATTCAGTTTTTCCATAAATTGAACATTGGAATAAAAGCACAACAGAGTTTTATTAAAGCATTATTCTGCTCCTTATAAATGTGTTATTGGTACATGTTCCAAAATTATGCAAAACTTCTATAATTATGACATAACTTACTATGTTATCACTAATAATGATAACTGTTTTTCGTTTTTTGGTTTTTTTGAGATGGAGTCTCGCTCTGTTGCCCAGGCTGGAGTGCAGTGGTGTGATCTCGGCTCACTGAAAGCTCTGCCTCCCGGGTGCACGCCGTTCTCCTGCCTCAGCCTCCCGAGTAGCTGGGACTACAGGTGCCCGCCACCTCGCCTGGCTAATTTTTTTTTGTATTTTTAGTAGAGACGGGGTTTCACCATATTAGTCAGGATGGTCTTGATCTCCTGACCTCATGATCCACCCGCCTCAGCCTCCCAAAGTGCTGGGATTACAGGAGTGAGCCACCATGCCCAACCAATAATGATAATTGTTATGTTAAATTAGTGTGCCACAGAGATAACAAATTTCTTTTTCAATTGTGTCTTTGACTGTGGCACCATAAGACTTTTTGTCATCCACAGACAATTGTTGACTTGTTTTAATCCTTTTTAAAAGGTGAATTTTTTTTTTTTAGACAGAGTCTCACTCTGTTGCTCAGGTTGGGGTACAGTGGTACGATCTCAGCTCACTGTGACCTCTGCCTCCCAGGTTCAAGCAATTCTCCTGCCTCAGCCTCCCAAGTAGCTGGGATTATAGGCAAGCACCACCATGCCCAGCTAATTTTTGTATTTTTAGTAGAGACAGGGTTTGGCCATGTTGGCCAGGCTGGTCTTGAACTCCTGACCTCAGGTGATCCATTTGCCTCAGCCTCTCAAAGTGCTGGGATTACAGGCATGAGCCACCGTCCCTGGCCAAAAGGTGGTTTTTATAGTCAGCTATAGGACTCTAACAGGTGCTCCTAAATGCAGGTTTCTGATAACGTTGGAGATTGTGATATTAGAATAGAGGAAAAACTTTCAGGACTCTTATGGAGAGCTGAAATGTTCATGAATATCAAGCAGAACAGGAGCGAACTGCATGAACGGTGATCTTGCCGTTGCACTCTAGCCTGGGTGACAGAGCAAGACTCTGTCTCCAAAAAAAAAAAATGAATGAATACATTCTTTTTAAAAAGAAAAACCATAGAACTACCATATGATCCAGCAATCACACGACTGGACATTTATCCAAAGGAAGGGAACTCAGTATATTGAAGGGACAGCTGCACCTCCATGTTTATTGCAGCACTATTCACAGCAGCCAAGATATGGAATCAACCTGGGTGTCCAACAACAGATGAGTGAATAAGGAAAATGTGGTATATATAGACAATGTCATACTACTGAGTCATAAAAATATGAAATCCTGTCATTTGTGGCAACATGGATGGAACTAGACAACATTTAGTTAAGCAAAATAAGCCAGGAACAGAAAGTTAAACACCACATATTCTTACTCATACATGGAAGCTAAAAAAAGTTGATCTCACAGAAGTAAAAAGTACAGCAGAGAATACTAGAGACTAGGAAGCGTAGGAGGAAGAGAGGGATAGGGAGAGATTTGTTAAAGGATATAAAATTGCAGATAGATAAAAGGAGTAATTTCCAGTGTTCTATGACACTGTAGAAGGACTATTGTTAACAATCGTATAGTATATAGTTTCAATAGCTAGAAGGAGGGTATTGAGTGTTCCCAACACAAAGAAATGATAAATGTTTCAAATGATGGCTATGTTAATTGCCATGATCTAATCACTATATATTCTATGTATCAAAACATCACTATGTAACTCAGGTATATGTACAGCTAGTATCTGTCACTTTAAAAAAAAAGAATCACTGCTGCCAACTGGAAAAAAAATAACTGTTACAAGAAGCAAAGAATGACATTATATAGTTATAAAAAGGTCAAGTCACCAAAAAGATGTGACAGTTATAAATATTTATGCACCAAACCTCAGCGCTCCTAAATATATGAAGGAAACTTTGGCAAAATTGAAGGAAAAAATAGAGATCGGCAAAATAATATTAGGAGACTTTAATATCTCACTTTCAATAAACCAATAAAATAAACAGACAGAAGATCAATAAGGAAATAGAGAACTTGAACAACTCTACAGACAGTTGAACCAAACAGACAATTACAGAACACGCTGCCCAAAAACAGCACAATATATGTTCTTCTCAAGTGTACATGAAACATTCTCCAGGATAGACCATATATTAGGCATAAAACAAGTCTCAACAAACACACAAAGACTGAAATTATACAAACTTTTTCTTTCTTTTTTTTCTTTTTTTTTTTTTTTTGGAGATGGAATCTCGCTCTGTCACCCAGGCTGGAGTGCAGTGGCGCGATATCAGGTCACTGCAAGCTCCGCCTCCCAGGTTCATGCCATTCTCTTGCCTCAGCCTCCCGAGTAGCTGGGACTACAGGTGCCCACCACCACGCCTGGCTAATTTTTTGTATTTTTAATAGAGACAGGTTTTCACCATGTTAGCCAGGATGGTCTCGATCTCCTGACCTCATGATCCGACTGCCTCGGCCTCCCAAAGTGCTGGGATTACAGGCGTGAGCCACCATGCCTGGCCCAAACCATCTTTTTCAATCACAATGGAATGAAACTAGAATTCAATAACACAATGAAAATCCACAGACATGTGCAAATTAAACAACACATTTTTTTTCTTTTTTCTTTTTTTTTTTTGAGATGGAGTCTTGCTCTGTCGCCCAGCCTAGAGCACAGTGGCGGGATCTAGGCTCACTGCAACCTCCACTTCCCCAGTTCAAGCAATTCTCCTGCCTCAGCCTCCCGAGTAGCTGGGATTACAAGTGCCCACCACCACGCCTGGCTAATTTTTGTATTTTTAGTAGAGACAGGGTTTCACCATGTTGGTCAGGCTAGTCTCAAACTCCTGACTCAGGCAATCCACCTGCCTCAGCCTCCCAAAGTGCTGGAATTACAGGAGTGAGCCACCGCACCTGGCCTAAACAACACATTCTTAAACAACCAATGGATAAAAGAAAAAAATGAAATCATCATACTTATGGAATGCAGTAAAAGCAGTGCTAAGAGGGAATTTTACAGCTATAAATACGTACATTAAAAAAAAAAAATCTTGAATCAACAACCTAACTCTGCACATCAAGAAACTCAAAAGAGAAGAGTAAACTGAAACTGAAGCTAGCAGGAGGAAGGAAGTAATAAAGATCAGACCTATAGAGATATCTATATACATTAGGTATCTGCAATAGAGAATAGAAAGACAATAGGAAAACCAACAACATGAAAAGTTGGTTTTTTGAAAAGAGCAAAAAAATTGACAAACATTTAGCTAGGTTAACTAAGAAAAAAGGAGGCTGGGAATGGTGACTCACACCTGTAATCCCAGCACTTGGGAGGCCAAGGCAGGTGAGTCACTTGAGGCCAGGAATTTGAGATCACCCTGGCCAAAACGGTGAAACTTCATCTCTACTAGAAATACAAAAATTAGCTGGGCGTGGTGGCACACGCCTGTAGTCTCAGCTACTCGGGAGGCTGGGGCGGGAGAATTGCTTGAACCCAGGAGGTGGAGGTTGCAGTTAGCACCACTATACTCCACCTTGGGCAACAGAGTGAGTGAGACTCCATCTAAAAAAAAAAAAAATCTATTCTATTGTCTAAATGTATAGATTTTTTTCTAAATGTTGTGATTTTTAAATAGACTGCCTCAAAAAAAAAAAGAGAGAGAGAGAAGACTCAACTAAAATGAAAGAGGGGACATTACAAGAGGTGCCACAGAAATAAAAAGACTAAAAGAGAATACTATGAACAGTAATGGGTAAATTCCTAGAAACACACAACCTGGGAAGACTGAATCATGAAGAAATAGAAAATTTGAAAGAGCAATAATGAGTATGCAGATTGAATTAGTAATAAAGATCCTCCAAACAAACAAATGTCCAGGACCAGATGGCTTCACTGATGGATTCTATAAACATTTTAAAAAGAAATAAAACCAATCCTCCTGAAATTCTTCCAAAACAATTGAAGAGGAGGGCATACTTCCAGCTCATTCAATAAGGCCAGCATTATCCTGATACCAAGGCCATATAAAGACGATACAGGAAAATAAAACTACGGGCCAATATCCCTGATGACTATTGATGCAAAAGACCTCAACAAAATACTAGGAAATGAAATTCAACAGTACATTGAAAGGATTAATCACCATGACCAAGTTTATTCCTGGAATGCAACTCTGGTTCAACATAACAAAAATCAATTAATGTAATACACCACATTAACAGAATGAGGGACAAAAGCCACATGATCATCTCAATTGATGCAGAAAAAGCATTTGAAAGGATTCAACATCCTTTCATGATAAAAAACACTCAACAAACTAGGAACAGAATGAAACTACCTCAATATAATAAAGCTCATATATGAGAAGCCCACAGCTAACATCATATTCAATGGTGAAAGACTAAAACTTTTCCTCTAAGATTAGAAATAAGACAAGGATGCCCACTCTCACCACTTCTATTCAATATAGTATGGGAAGTCCTAGCCAGAGCAATTAGGAGAGAAAAAGGAAGAAAAGTCATCCAAATTGGAAAGGAAAAAGTAAAATTAGTTCTGTTCACAGATGACATGATTTTATACTAAAAAATCCTTAAGATTCCATTAAAAACTGTTAGGACTAACGAACCAGTTCAGTAAGGTTACAGAATACAAAATGAACACAAAAAAATCAGTTGGTGCTTGGCATGGTGGCTCACAGCTATAATCCTGACAACTTGGGAAGCCAAGGCAGGAGGATCACTTGAGGCCAGAAGTTTGAGATGAGCCTGGGCAATATAATGAGATTCTGTCTCAAGGAAAGGGAAGGGAAGGAGAGGGGAGGGGAGGGGAGGGGAGGGGAGGGGCAGAGAGGAGTGGAGGGGGGATGGGGGAGGGGAGGGGAGGGGGGTGGAGGAAGGCGAATGGGGGAAGGGAGGGGAGGGGAAGGAAGAGGGGGGAGGGGAGGGGAGGGTGCGTGTAACATGCAATTCATGTTCACCTTGGGGTGGAGCCTTAACATTTAAATGTATTACAGTCAGGCTCTGTATGCCAAAAGGTCTTTTCAGGACACAAATGCACGCAAGTGTGCAGCCTCTGCAAACTGGCCAGAGCCAGTCCATACAGAGTCAGTGATCTTCTCATTGAAAGAAAGTTAATCAGTCTCTTGTCCAATCAAAGCTGCAGTTATGGCTGGTGGAATGGGGGTGGGGTGGGGGGGTGGGCGGTGGGAGTGTCAGTCAGCATCTGGTGGAGCTATAGTTGTTTTAATATTGCTTATTGCTTGTTTAGCTGCTAAAGAAAAAGAATGTGGCTATTAGAATATAGTTTATTCTTTTTTTTTTTTTTTTTGAGATGGAGTTTCTTTCTTGCTGCCCAGGCTGGAGTGCAATGGTGTGATATCGGCTCACCGCAACCTCCGCCTCCTGGGTTCAAGTGATTCTCCTGCCTCAGCCTCCCAATTAGCTGGGATTACAGGCATGTGCCACCACACCCAGCTAATTTTGTATTTTTAGTAGAGACAGGTTTTCTCCGTGTTGGTCAGGCTGGTCTCAAACTCCCGACCTCAGGTGATCCACCCACCTCGGCCTCCCAAAGTGCTAGGATTATAGGCGTGAGCCACCGCGCCCAGCCAGAATATAGTTTATTCTTTAAGTGTATGGTGTGTACACTTGCCTGGTCCTGTTTATAATTTGGTATCTTATTGCCACAGAGTCTATTCTGTCAGTCTTCTGATCTCTATTTTAAGATTAATGCTGGTCAGTTGTGTGTAAACTACAAAAGTGAGGGAGTAGAATCAGGTGTGTCTGACCTCCCATTCCCATCATGGCTGGGAACTCAAGTTTCCCGCAGAAACCACATTACCGTCTCAGGCCCACAGTTCCCCCTCGAACCCTCTGCCTTCTGACTGACCCTGGGCTTCCCTGTGGCCTCACGGTGTGGTGTGACATGCCCCTTTCTCTTGGAAACTGAGGATGACAAACCATCTTGTCAATGGCAGTGGTCTGATCCTTCCTACACCTGAGTGATAATAAAGCCTCCATTGAACACAGCCCTGGCCTCGTCTCCGCCAAGCCAGCTCACAGTGGTCCAGGCACCGGACTGCCCTTCACCTGCCCAGCCCGTCTCCCGATGGTCCCCGTGTCAGCCAGCAACGTCCCCACCTAGGAGCCAGCAAGCCTGACCCGCAAAGCGCTCCCAGGACCTGGTCACTTGGCAACTTACCCAAGCTGTGCCCCCCATACCCACAGTTTCTCTGAGGCTGAGGCCATCTGCTGCCTCTCCATCTCCCCAAGATCCCAGCACCGAGCCAAGAGCCCCATAAACGCTAATGAGAACGCAAACAAACTCCCTCCATGCAGCCCCATCGTGTTGTGGGAACTGTCTGCTCTGGTCTCCACACTGCACTGCGGGCCTCACAGGTCCTGCCCCACCATGTCCTGAAGAGCACAGGGCACCCAGCCTGTGCCACACCCCATAGGTGACGCTGGCCAGGTACCATGCCCTCTGTGCCTCAGTTTCCCATTGAGGAAAACAGTTTCCCCACTCACATCGTCTCCTCCCAGGAGTTTCATAAAGTCAGCAGTGAGCACTGTGCAAAGGGCAGCTTTGGCAGCACCACCAGTAGGACTGACCATCATACCTTCCCAGGGTCGGGAGGTGCCCACTGTGCAGTTGTGGAAACTGAGACTCAGGACTGAGGTCACTGCTCAAGGTGTCAGGTGGGCTTGGCCTGGCCTGCATGGATTTTTCCCTCAGGCTTTTCTAGGGCAGACTGCATCCCAGGACCTCCCCTTGCACACAGCACGAGCCTGTGTGCCACATTCCTGGAAACAAGGTGTGGGATGACGCCCACTGAAAATCTCAAACCCCTCCTAAGGAAAGGCCTGCAGCCCGCAGCGGGGACAGAGAAGGGGAAGCCTACCTGGGCCAGGCCGGCATCCTTGTCAGCCTTCTGGGGGGTGTTCTCAGAGTCAGGTTCCTCACCCACGTCGCTGTCCGCCTCCTCCTGGGGGGTGACCTTCGGGACCTGGCTGTCCAGGGCCATCTCTGCGTGCGCCCCCAGTACAGTGGGGCTTGGGCCAGCCTCCAAGCCCTCCTCGCAGGGAAAGTTCTCTCCAGCCACACTGGAGGAGGGACTGTCGATCCCGCTGTCCCGGTTGGGGATCTTTAAGCTACCACTCAGCTCTCCCGTGGGGCCTATGTCTGGAGAGCCGTCCCCTGCTGCAGCCAGGCTGACAGGGTCCCCACAGTGGGCTCTGGGCCCAACAGGGAGCGCCTGAAGCTTCCCTAGGGAGGAACTGCCAGGCCCAGTGTCTGGCATCCCTAGGGCAGCAATGGGTCCTGGAGGGGTTGAGGACCCCCTGCCTGACTCCATCCTTAAAGCTGAGCTCACTGGGCTCAGGTGGAGGCTGGCCAGGGGCTTCCTGTAGGGGAGAAACAAGCCAGAGTCAGTGCTAGCCAGGCATGGACCAGCACCCTCAGGTGCAACCCCCAAATGCAGCTCCCAGGCAGTACCCTCCGCCCCCCACCGAAAGCCTGGAGCAGGTGGGCTGGGGGTTGTGTGTGAAGTGTGAATGCCCTGGTCAGCTTCAGCTGGGTCTTGTACAGACAGGCTTTTAAAGAACAGAAAATGGAAAATGTTTTGTTTTAAAATTGTTTGTTCCGCATAAAAAAAATTAACCCTGTGGTGTGAAGCTATCTGCTGTTCAATAAATTCAAAATAGATGCTCAAGGTAGTGACCATAACCAAAAGGAACACAGTGGCTTCTGTTTATAGCGCATCCGTGGTGCTTTTTCAATCCTCTGATACTCCCAGGACATGAGGCCGGTGTCCTCCTCCTCCTCCTCCTCACCACTGCCTGCTGGACAGGTCAGAAAACAGCCCCCAGGGGTCCAGGGTCCCAGCTGTCTCTACTATCTCCCTCAGGGGAGGGCTGGGGCAGGAGGTGCGTCTTGCCAGAGGATGTGGACCAAGGTCTTTGCCCCAAAACTCCTCCTCCCTCCTGTGCACTGGAGCCACCTCACACTGGCCCACCATGCCTCTCATGGACCAAATTCAAGTGTCAATTATAAGTGCACAGAAAATTCACCGGGCGCCTCTGAGGAGGAGCAAAGGTGAGACGGGCCTAGAGGGAGACTGTCATCCCTCAAAATCATCCTCTTGAACCGAAGACGCAGCTGCCGAGGAGCCTAGGGGCTGCAAGTGGCGGTCACTTATCCCCATACCTGATGCCACCAGCCTTTCTGAGGAGGATGCTGAGGGTCGGCGGGCACAGGCGCCTGGCTCCGTGCTGGGGTCTGGGGTTGGCCGGCAGGAGCTTGCACACGGTAGATGGTTTCCTTGAAAATCTCTTCCTTGCCCAGCAGGTTCAAAGTAGAGCCATTTAGGAGGTACTGAAAAGACATTAGTAGAGAAAGAAAACCACCTTCTCCAACTGGCATTTGGAGCAGCCAGAGGCCCCGGCTCTGCGGGGGTGCGGAGGAGGGAAGCTCCATGCCACCACCCAGCATGGTGGACTCCAGGATTGGGGCATGGCCATCTGCACAGTCATATCCTCAGCCCCCAGGCTGGCACACAATGCCTCCAAAAGGGTGGGGCCTGCACCAGCAGCCATGCACTGTAGGGTGGGCAGTGTCTTGCTCGGCTGGAAACTCTGGGGCCAGGGCTGAGCTTGTCCCTTGCCATGCAGCATCCTGCGGCCCAGGGGAAGGGTCATCTTGAACATGCAGGCACTGTCCAGTGTGAGGTGAGCCGGTGGGCATCGCCAGGCCCCTCCCTAGCCCACACCTCACACCCTCCCCCAGGCACATACAGAGAGGCTCTCTCAAACATTCACACTGACGGGCTGGCTCACACTCACAGTCACACACGCACTCACACTCACAATTAGATATTCCTCTGCCAGCAGCTTTACATGCTCCTGCCTCACTTGCTAAGCGAAATAAAGAAGAAGCAGGCTTCACACAGTGACAGGCACACAGTGAGCTGGCCCTGGCTGCCTTGAGCCTGCCCTGGTTGCCTTGAGCAGGCAGGTGTGCCTCTGGGCAGGGCGTGGCGCAGGCCTGGGCTCTGGCAGCGTCCTGGTGGCTGTGGATGCCGACCAGCTCTATGGTGGAGCACCCCCACCACACACAGTCTCCTGAGTGCTCACTGTCTTGGGGCAAAACCCCTTTTGAGTGGACGTTTCTTTAAATGACTCCAGAATCGCTCAGGTGGGCATTTATGATTGGCTACTGCCGCATTCCTAACGAGTTCAATGGGGGGCAATATTAAGATTTCTAAACAGAAAATACATGTTTTGCTGCATTCTTCTCATAGCACAAGAGATAAACTCAGGTTTCCAGAGGTCAAACATGGCAGAGCAATAAAAATACACCAGATGGAATGTGAGCTGTGCTCAGCCTCGGTGTGTTCAAAGGTAGCTGTCTGGCAAGACAGAGCCTGGTTCAACCCCATCTCGGGGGAATTATGCTTCTGGTCAGGATGGAGTAATAGAAACCAGATTTACTCTCACCTGGAACAACAACAAAAATGGACAAAACCTACGAAACAAGTTTGCAAGGCTCTACACCAAGCGGTAAAACACTGTGGTCCCTGAGAGACGGGAATGAATGAGGTGAGCCCTCCTATTGCCCCAGCTCACTGCCCAGAGACCATTTCTGGGCCATGGATCAGGGAAGGGAAGCCCTGTGGGGCCCAGTGGACTCTCTAAGTTGAGAAGACAAAACTGGGAGGCCCAGAAGACTAAGGTGGCCAGAGTCCACAGCATGGAGCCCTGAAGATGAGAGAGCTGCAGAGAGAGAGAGAACCCAGAGATCTCAGAGGGGCTCCTCGAGGACCGTTCAGCATGTGTGCGGTGGGGAGAGCACATGAGGCCAGAGAAAGAACCACCTGTGAGGACCACAGGGAGCTTTCACAGGGCAGGGACACGCCTATGCCCACCAGCCAGCCCTAAAAGCCCCACAGGTCACGGGGCATTGCGTTGAATACTCAGAGGGTCTTGCTTCAGGAATGATGGATAATTAGCCCTGCAGTGATCACTGCTCTGGTCCCACCTAGCAAATATTAACAAAACTTAACAGGAAGAAGTCCATATGTTTACCCAACTGCATCCTTGAACAAAGCTAAAAAATATTTATAGAACTACAAAAATATCTAGTGCATGGCAAGGTAAAATTCCCATAGTCTGGCATCCAATCAAAAATCACCAGGCAGAGGCCGGGCACAGTGGCTCACGCCTGTAATCCCAGCACTTTAGGAGGCCAAGGCAGATGGATCACTTGAGGGCAGGAGTTCGAGACCAGCCTGGCCAACATGGAGAAACCCTATCTCTACTAAAAATACAAAAATTAGCCAGGCATGGTGGTGCGTGCCTGTAATCCCAGCTGCTTAGGAGGCTGAGGCAGGAGAACTGCTTGAACTCAGGAGGCGGATGTTGCGGTGAGCTGAAATTGCACAACTGCACTCCAGCCTGGGCGACAGAGCAAAACTCTGTCTCAAAAAAAAAAAAAAAAAAAAAAAAAATTACCAGGCATAAAAGGGACTATAACTAATGAAGAGAAAAAATTCAATATAAACTGACCCATAACTAACACAGATGTTGGAATTAGCAAAAAGGGACATTAAAAACTACTATCATGTCTGTGTCATCCTATGTTCTAAAATCCAGTAGAGACGTGGAGAATGTAAGAAGGCCCACATTAAACTTCCAGAGATGAAAACTACGAAGTGTGAGACCAAAAACACACTGGAAGGAATTAACAACCAATTAGACATTGCAGAAGAAAAACTAGTGAATTTGAAGAGACAGGAACAGAAACTACCCAAAATGAAACACACACACACACACAGAGAAACTGAGCAACAGTGAAATGTGGGAAAACTTCAAGTAGTGTAATACATGTGTGATCAGAGTCTCAAAAAGGGGTGGACAAAAAAAATATTTGAGGAAATAATGACAAGTTTTCTAGATTTGATGGAAACTATAAATCTACACATCTAAGAAGCTCAATGTAAAACAAGCACAAGAAATCCTTGTAGTTAAAACTTTTCCCACATGGAGAACTTCAGGCACAGAGATCTTCACTGGTGAATTCTACAAACATTTCAGGAAAATAATGATGCTAATTCTATACCTACATCTAATGATCTTTCAGACCTTTTTTTTTTTTTTTTTTTGAGATGGAGTCTCGCTCTGTCACACAGACTGGAGTTCAGTGGCCACAATCTAGGTTCACTGCAACCTCCGCCTCCTGGGTTCAAGTGATTCTCCCACCTCAGCCTCCTGAGTAGCTGGGATTACAGGCACCCACCACCACGCCTGGCTAATTTTTGTATTTTTTTTAGTAGAGATGGGTTTTCACCATGTTGGCCAGACTGGTCTCGAACTCCTGACCTCAAGTGATCCTCCCACCTCAGCCTCCCAAAGTGCTGGGATTACAGGCATGAGCTACCACATCCAGCCAGATCTTTCAGACCATTTTTAAAAAGGGAATAGAATACAGATGAATCTAGAAATAATTATGCTGAACAAAAGGAGCCACAGAAGACCTACTGTGTTTTCTCATTACTACAGAATTCTAGGAAGTGCAAAGTAGCCTATGGTGCTAGGAAGCAGATCAGCTGGGTGCCTGGAAGGAATGGGAGGGGCTGTGGGGTTGGTGTGGGGGAGGGGGGTGGATGGGTGGAGGGGGCTGGGGAGGTGGGGAGTGCTTACAAAGGAGCACAAGAGCTTTGTGGGATGTTGCACACATATTCATTACCTTGATTGTGGTGATAATTTCATGAGCACACCCCATGTCAAAGTTTATCCAACTGTACACTTTAAACATTATGCATCAATGGTACGCCAAGTATACCTCACAGGGCTGATCAAGAAAAATCCCACCCTAGCCAGGTGTGGTGGTGGGCTCCTGTAATCCCAGCTACTCGAAAGGCTGAGGCAGGAGAAATGCTTGAACCCTGGAGGCGGAGGTTGCAGTGAGCAGAGATATCACCACTGCACTCCAGCCTAGGGGAAAGAGCCAGATTCTGTCTCAAAAAAAAAAAAAAAAAAAAAAAAAAAGAAAAGAAAAGAAAAGAAAAGAAAAATCCCACCCTTATCGCCTTTGAACTGTACAAACTTCGTGAGTTTCAGACATTCCTAAGCATCATTTTCCTTACCACAGAAGGGAGGATGGATCATGATGGATCATGAGGAGAGGTGAGGAGGTGTGTGGTTGCAGCCTAGGAGGCCCAAGCAGCCCGGGTCCCCAGACATCCTGTCCAGAGGAGAGGGATGCACTGTGCTCATCGGAGGCCCTCAAATCACTCCCATCTTGGAAGGGCTTTTGTCCAAGAGCAGATGAACCAAAACAAATGAAGGACACTCACCTCCAGCTTTGCGTTTGCAACTCTGTATTGCAAACACCTGTGTTATGGATCCTGTCGGTACCCCCCAATTCACACACTGAAGTCCTAGCCCCCAGTACCTCAAAATGAAGGCATGTTTGGAGACAGGGTCTTTACAAAGGCAATCAAATTAAAAGTGAGGTTTTTAGGGTGCCCTTGGTGGGGGCAACCTGGGTTGAGGAGCCCCTAATTGTCACTTCACTTCCTTCTATTCTGTTGCAAGGACTTTTTACAGAGTATGCGTTGTTTTAAAATAAAAAAGGTAATGAGAACAGAAAACAAAGAGAGCTGGATAGAGGGGCAGGAGAGGGATGAGCTACTTTGGGAAGTGTAGCCGGGCAGAGCCCCTCTGCGGCCAAAGGCTTTTGCCAGCAGCAACCCTCCTGGGCTGGTGTGGCCACTGCCTGGCCTTCAAGGCACAGGTGCATGCACACATGCATAAACAAACGCACATGTGCACATACATACACATGTGTGCACACGTATGCTGAAAAATAAAAAGGCCTGTGTCTGAGGAATGCCAGCCCCTTTATATAATCAGGCATTGAGAGGCACTGGAATGCAACACAGTCATGTGTCACTCCCCATCGAGCAAAATAGGTCCCTCCTGAAACCACTTGCTATGCAGGCTTGAGACTAACAGATGCCAAGTAGCCCTAAAATGCCACATTCCCTGTAGTTCAACAGTGGCTGGCCAATCACTAGCCAGTGTTATTTCTGTGAACCAATGAGAGTTCCTGATGAACAATGGTCACCACCCCCTCTCCTGATTCATCCTTTCTTTTCTTTAAACACTTGAGCCTCTCTTTTGTTCTCCAGACATTCCTTGAGGCAACTTGGAAGTGTCTCCCTGGCTGCAGTCCTCAACCTTGTGCTTGAATAAACTCTCTTTAGACTATATTCTGATTCTCTTGATTATTTTAGGTTGACAATGCATACACACATATAAGGCAAGTACACCCATGCACACCCATGCCCAGGGTCAGTGCTGAGCCCTTTCTCACATTCGCAGGGGACGTTTCTGTCCTTCATATGAGGACGCCGAGGCTCAGAGAGGCTGGCCCTGGGACACAGGTGCTGGAAGCCCCCGGGCTTGGGTCACTCTGGTCCGCCCAGGGCTATGCCTATGTTTCCACAGGGGCATTGAGGAAGCCGAGGTCAGTTCTCTGTATGCAGCCACCTCAGCTTTCCCTTTAAGAAGCCCTGAGCCGCCTGAGGTGAGCAAGGCTGGAGCTGCTGACCCAGATGAGCCGTGCCCACTGTGGACTCAGCCAGGGAACAGGTCCCAGACACTCAGGGCTGCCACCTTGTAGCACGAGGAAATCCACAAACCTGAAGAAATTTAGAATGCCCCAGAATCCAGGGTGTCCTAGAACTGTTCATGTGTCTCCATCACAGCAGCCAGTGAGCAGGGGGATGAAGTGCTCTGGCCCCCGCCCCGTGTCCCTCCACAGTGCAGCGGTCCCCCAGATAGGCAGGGCTGGTCCCACAGATGGGCCACCAGTCTGCCTACCACCCAGCTCTATCTGCCACCAGATGTCCCTTCCCGGGAGGCCGTGCGGGAGTCCCCCCCCATCTGAAAGAAACCCACCACGGCACCTGTCCACTGTGCTGCCTGGAACCTAGTAGGCAGGGACCTCCCTTGTCCTGTCGCTGGAGTGGCCCAGTGGCCCCCGGCACACAGGAGGCTCCATAACAATGGCATGTTATGTAGGGGGAGCAACAAACGCGTTAGTGGTGGTTTTTAAACTGCCCGTATATTCTTTGATGCCACTTCAATCTAAAAGCGGACTCTGACATCCCTCCCCTAAATACAGAGCCCCTAAGAGACTCGCTGTAACTAGAGAGGGCAGCATGTGGGAGGCCAGGTCAGGAGGGAAGACAGCTCTGGGCTCTCACACTTGGAAGCCAGCACCTCACTGTGAGGGAGGCTTAGCCACTCAGAGAGGCATGCGGGGGCATCCCCGCCGACAGCAGGTGGCAGCCAGGCCTGAAGCCTTTGGGGGAAGCCTTATGCAATGGGTCCCAGCCCTGTGGGCAAGAGCCGCCCGCTGCACCCGGGTGGCCCAGAATCATGAGGGATGATGACGACAAGATCTCCCTTGTGGGTTACCCTGTGATAGAGAATCCAGGCAATACTGTAAGTGCCTCTAGGTGATACAATAAACCATGTGAACTGCCTATATCCGCTGGTCCCCATATGGCTTCTCACTGGCTTAACTTTGGTGCCTTGAGGTCCCAAACCCACTGAGGCCACCCACAGTGAGCAAGGCCCAGGGCACCCTGGCCATGCCCAGATGTAATGCCCAATGGCAGTCAATTAAAGCCACCAGGCTGGGCGCAGTGGCTTACACCTGCAATCCCAGCACTTTGGGAGGCTAAGGCACTTTGGCAGACCTCCACCTGAGGTCAGGAGTTCGAGACCAGCCTGATGAATATGGTGAAACCCCATCTCTACTAAAAATACAAAAATTAGCCAGGCGTGATGGCTTGCATCTGTAGTCCCAGCTATTCTGGAGGCTGAGACAGGAGAATTGCTTGTACCCATGAGGCGGAGGTTGCAGTGAGGAGATCACACCACTGCACTCCAGCCTGGGCCACAGAGTGAGACTCCGTGTCAAAAAAAAAAAAAAGAAAGAAAGAAAAAAGAAAAGAAAACAAAAATTAAAGCCACCTTGTGACCTAGCGGTGCCTGGAAGCCCAGAGTAATTACCTTGGGGTCTCAGCCTGGGAAATGCCCTGTCTGCTGTGGGAGTGGATGGAGGAGGGGTCTCCATCATCTCTGCTGAGAACTCAGTGAGGTGCTACATGCTCCTGAATTGGGATGGGGGTCAGAGGGGCCTCGGAGAGGGCAGGAAGTGAGGGCAAGCTGAGCAGGGAGAAGAGGAGGCAGATCAACGCAGCACCTCCCCGTTTGTAGTCATGCCATGAGCAGACACTCACAAATATGGCTCACACCGCCACCTTAACAAGTTACTTCTACTGTTTAAGACTGTATGAGTCTTCATGACCCATAGCCCTGGCATGACGCTGTGACTGTGGACTGGGAGAAGAGGCTGGACAGCCTGGAATCGGGGGCTGGTGGGCGGGGGGTATCTACCTCTCCCAAGGATGCGGCAGCTTTTCTTAGGGCAGCCACATTTAAACCAACACCAGTTTCCCATGTGAGTCCATCTAGTCAAGAATGTTTCTCCCAAAAGGTTTGAAAGCAGGGTCTTAAACAGGTACTTGTACACCCACATACATAGCAGCATTCCCTACAACAGCCAAAGGGTGGAAGCCCCTCAAGTGTCCATCCCTAGAAACCTGGATAAAGAAAAGGTGGCCTCTCCATAGAACAGAATCATGTTCAGCCTTAAACAGAAGGAGGCCGGGCGCAGTGGCTCATGCCTGTAATCCCAGCATCTTGGGAGGCCGAGGCGGGCGGATCACGAGGTCAAGAGATTGAGACCAGCCTGGTCAACATGATGAAACCCTGTCTCTACTAAAAATACAAAAATTAGCTGGGCATGGTGGTGCATGCCTGTAGTCTCAGCTACTTGGGAGGCTGAGGCAGGAGAATAGCTTGAACCTGGAAGGCAGAGGTAGCAGTGAGCTGAGATCGCGCCACTGCACTCCAGCCTGGTGACAGAGTGAGACTCCATCTCATAAGTAAATAAATAAACCGGAAGGAAATTCTGACCCATGCCACAACAGGGGTGGACCCTGAGGACATTATGCTAAGTGAAATAAGCTAGTCACAAAGGGACAAATCCTGTGTGATTCCACCTACGTTAGGTCCTAGAGGAGTCAAATTCACAGAGACAGAAACCAGAATGGTGGCTGCCAGGGCCAGGGGAGGGAATGGAGAGGGTTTAACAGGGACAGAGTTTCAGATTGGGAAGGTGAAGACGCTCTGGAGATGGATGGCAGTGATGGTTGCACAGCAATATGAATGTGCTGAGGGCACTGTACTGATCACTTAAAAACGATGAAGGAGGCTGGGCACGGTGGCTCACGCCTGTAATTCCAGCACTTTGGGAGGCCAAGGCAGATGGATCACCTGAGGTCAGGAGTTCAAGACCAGCCTGACCAATATGGTAAAACCCCCTCTCTACTAAAAATACAAGAAATTAGCTGGGCTTGGTGGTGGGCGCCTGTAATCCCAGCTACTTGGGAGGCTGAAGCAGGAGAATCGCTTGAACCTGGGAGATGGAGGTTGCAGTGAACCGAGATGGCTCCATTGCACTCCAGCCTGGGAGACAGAGTGAGACTCCATCCCCCCCCAAAAAAAAAAAAAAGAAAAAAGATGAAAGTGCTATGTTTTAGGTTATGTGTATTTTACTGCCATTTTTAAAAAGAAAACTTTTTTTAAACATATGCAGAAGATTCTCATGAGAAGTTTTTTGAATTTGCACCAAAATGACAAGGTGCGAAGGGCAAGGCCCTGTACCAGGCCAGCCTCCTTGTCAACCTCCCTGCCCAGCTGGGGGTGTCCAGGGGAGGCGGGATCCTTAGTGTCCCTTTCTGAGGCTGCGGAGCTCAGCCCTCATTCACACACTCTTGCCCTCCTTCCTTGGTCCACATGCACAGCCACCGCTGCTCCTCAGAAGACTGGCACCCTGGGCAGAGGCCTCATACAGACTCCCAGGTGGGGTGGGCCCCGGGCAGGGCCCACAGGTGCAGCCTCCAGGCCTGAGTCTGCGGTGCCCCCACCTGGAGGGTGGGGCTGGGGGACAGCACACCTTGTGGCACAGAGCAGGGGGTCCTGGAGGGCTGAGATTATTGTTAGGGGTTCAATACTTGCTTTTGGGAAAATGCAGCAACCATTTGCCTGTGGGTTACTTTCCTGAGACCAGGGACACTCACCGGCAGGCAGCAAGCTCAGAAGGAGGGAGTGGGGAAGCTCACGTGTGGGGACGGAGGCACCACGGGCACAGGTTCGTGTCACTAGGCAGCAGGCAGCTTGTCCCCAGACCCAGATGTGGCTGCCCCCATTTCACACAGGGCCTGCCCTGCACTGTCCTTGCAGCTAGCCAGATGAAACCGTGGCAGGCTCATGTCCCTGTCTCCCTCCTCAGACAATGGGCCCCTTGTCACCTACAAGGACCCACAATATCTGCAGAGAAGAAGGCAGGACACGGGGAGAAATGTAAGGGATGAATGAAGGTCCTCATATCCTGTTTCCTTCCCGACCGGCTCAGCCCCGACAGCTGACGGTCGTCCCGCCTAGGGACAGGCAGGCACCACAGTGCCCGGCTCTGCTCTTCCTCCTGTCCTTGTTCATTGTTTTCGGCACATGCTTGCCTCCGAGCCTCCTTGTTCCACAAGCCCAGTCTCATCCTTGTCTAGGTTTCACACCTGCCCAGCACTGCCCTTACTGAGGGGCCTCAGTTTCCTTATCTGTAAACCAGGCTCCTGATAGACCTATCGGGGCAGGTGGGGAGGATGCTTTGGGAGCTCCCAGCACATGCACCAGTGACTCCCAGGTCACTCTTCTAGCCCAGGGACTAACCTGGGAGTCCTCAAGGGGCACAGGCCAGGAAGGTCAGGCCCATCCTCGGACAGTGGTGAGGCTTCTCAGGAAAAGGTCATTTCAGCTCTAACCTCTGTACAACACGGCTGCAGGCCTCTGTGTGCAGGGCACTCGGCCTCGTGTCATTCCAAGGGGTCTTGCACACTGCATGGTGCTGGTTTTTGTGTAGACGTGGACCTCCGCCCCCTGAGGAGTGGAACCGGGGCCTCCTCTGGCCTCCTGTAACAGCCCAGCTGGGGACAAACCACTTCCTCCCTTTCACACCCAGCTGGTCAGCCCCACCCGGCTCTGGGGCCACTGAGCAAGTTGTGAAGATTTGTACTGGGGCTCAGTCAGACACTTTGCAGGCTGGGGGGCCCAGGGCAAGTCAGCTGTGTGCCTTGGTTTCCTCCCCTGCAAGAATGGCTGACCAGCATCCGCCCTGGGTGTTGGCAAGCACCGATCTGAATGGCAGTGGCACCTGCTAAGCACGTCCAGCCCCGAACTACAGTGAGCCTGGCACGACTCAGTCACCACTTTACAGATGAGTGTGGCCATGCTGTGTGACCCGAACATGCCTCTGCCCCTCGGGCCCCCTCTGCACAGTGGGCACAATCACGGTGGCATCGGGTTGTGCCGCCACTGCCGCTGGGACCCTGCCATCAGTCCATGCACCTCTTGAGGTGGCCCCGCCACTGTCCCACACTGCCAGGCACAGCACGGGGTGCTGAGGAGGCTTTGGTGGGCGCAGCACTCCTTCCTCACAGCCCCATGCTACACAGGCCCGCATCTGCTAATATCTAACCTGCAGAGTGCAGAGGAAGCTTCTGGAGACACACTGTGTGGGAAAGCCTAGCCCCCAGGACACGTCTGGGACCACCCTCCTCTGTTCAGGCAGAGGAAGGCTCGCGCTACCCCCCGCCCCCCAGGCCTGGGTGACATGAGAGGGGCTGGCCGTGGTCTCGATGCCCTGGCTGGTGCGCTGCCAGCCGATGGAAAAAGGCTCCCTGCATCTGGTCAGCCTCGGACCCAGGCCCCTGCCAGCCTTCGATGGGGACACGGGCAGGCACCGTTCATCTTGTGAGAGCCTAAGCCACCCCCAGACGATAGGCAACACTGTCCCAGCACTCAGCAGTTTACAAAGGCTTTTCACACTTGCCATTCGAGGCCCACAATAACTCTGAATTTTTACACATCATGCTACAGGAACCCAGAGAAAGACAACAGAACAAAAACAAGACACCATTCCGTGCCACCACAGCCACTTCCTGCCTTGAAAACATCCGTCTCCCTCAAATGGCTCCTGCCCTGAATGTTCCTACCACCCCAAAGTTCCACAAAAGCAGTTAGGATCTCAGGGCTCGGCCAACACCTCAGGACCAAGCCCACTCACCTGTCTTCTGAAGGCGAGCGAGTTTCTCCTCTGGGCTGAACTTCGTGCAATAGCGAAACACAACTTCCTTTTTTCTAATTTTCGCAATATGGGTCACAACATGATGGTGCATTTGCATTTCCGCATCATTACGCTGGGTGAGAGGAGCTTGGCTTGCTGATTCTAGAAGGTGCAACTTGCAGGGTGGCGGGGGCAATGGCAAACAAACATGCAATCCACAGCTCTCCACTGATCAGGTGCTAGGCTCACAGCTGCGGCGGCCGTGCTGGTTTAAAGGTTAACAGGGCTGCTCACAGAGGACCCACAACCACCATCCTCCTGCTTCTGCTGGGTGGACTTTTGTGAGTAGATCTGCTGTGTAGATCTTCAGGGAGGAGGGGCCCAGCAGGGAATGAGGGGGCCGGCCCTAGACCAGACAAGCCCAGAGTGAGCCCAGAAACACACCATCAGAGGCTTCCTCAGACCCTCTTGGTTGGGAACAATGAAATGGCCACAAGTTAGAAGGTGAAGAGGCCCCCTGCAAACAGATATTTCAAGATGCTTCCTGGGAGACCTGACCCACGAGGGCTGCTCCAGCAGGCCCAGCACCTGCCCCGCTGAGCAGCCCCACCAGGAGGGCACCCTCATTGTTTTAGGGAGAGAATCAATAAATAATAACACCAGGTCCTGAAGGGCTTAGAGTGCAAAGTCTGACTCAATTTTAATAATGCTTGTTAATCCAGGCTTATATTCATTTTTTTTAAAGCAATTTCTCACCTGGGCATGGTGGCTCATGCCTGAAATCCCAGCACTTTGGGAGGCCAAGGAGGGAGGATCACTTGAGGTCAGGAGTTTGAGACCAGTCTGGCCAACTTGGTGAAACCCTGTCTCTACTAAAAATACAAAAATCAGCTGGGCATTGTGACGCATGCTTGTAATCCCAGCTACTAAGGAGGCTGAGGTGGGAGGACCGCTCGAACCCCAGAGGTGGAGGTTGCAGTGAACTGAGATTGCGCCACTGCACTCCAGCCTGGGGGACAGAAAGAGACTGTCTCAATAAAAATAAAATAATAAATAAATAAATAAAAGCAATTTCTCTGGGCCTCAGTTTCCCTGTGCCAGGTGCTGCCGCAGGTGCCCTGTGAATGGTTACTCATTGGGCCCCTTCATGCCCCTGTGAAGTATGGTTATCCCCGTCTGACAACAGGGAAACTGAGGCTCAGGACACAGTGGTGTGCCCCTCCCTCCCAAAAGCTAAAGGCTGAGGTGATGTGGAGTTTGTCCCTAAGTTCCCTGCCTGTGTGAGGATGCAGAGCTACACCCAGCCGTGACAAGGATGGGGTGGACAGTGTCACCTGAGCTCGGACGCATGGGTGCTGTGGCCTCAGCCATATTGCTGAACTTAATCTTTTCTTTTCTTTTTTTTTTTTTTTTTGAGACGGAGCCTCACTCTGTTGCCCAGGCTGGAGTGCAGTGGCGCAAAGTCAGCTCACTTCAACCTCCACCTTCTGGTTTCAAAGATTCTCCTGCCTCATCCTTCCAAGTAGCTGGGATTATAGGTGCCCACCACAATGCCCAGCTAATTTTTTGTATTTTTAATAGAGACTGGGTTTCACCATGTTAGCCAGGCTGGTCTCAACTCCTGACCTCAGGTGATCTGTCTGCCTCGGCCTCCTAAAGTGCTGGGATTACAGGCATGAGCCACCATGCCCGGACACTGATGAACTTCTTGAAGACTCCATTCTTCCTCCATGAAATGGAGAAAATGTGGGATGCATGTGGTGGAGTTTTTGTGAGAAATGAGGGCTTTGCCTATGGTAGGTACTCAAGGGATCCCAGCCACCAACATCTGAATCACCGTTGCTGTGCTGTCAATGCCGGGGCCCTGGAGTCTTGGCTCCTGCCCCCTGAGGAGGCAGCCCTGGACCATCCAGATGCTTCCAGCCCAGGCCAGGAAGGACAGCAGTGCCTGCCACCACCACCTGGTTCAGCCTTCTCCTCTACAGAGGTCCCCTGTGCCAGAAGGCCAGCAGTGGGGTCCCATTAGGACCAGGGACACAAACCCAGGTACACTAGGAATACACAACTGTCGTCCTAAGAGGGTCATGATAAATTCTGGCAGCACAGCAGCAGGCTGGCTGTGGTGACCTGAAAGGTGAGGGGTTGTGGTAGGTAAGGAACAAAAAGAGGATGGGGAGGGGTTTGTGGCTTGAAAGTAGAACTGAGGCCAAGTGTCCTGTCGTCCCTGGTTGGGGTGAGTGGGAGGAAGTGGTGCCTCCACCTGGGAGTGACATCATTCAAAAAGAAACATGTTTTTGGCAGCCTGCCCCCCAATGGCCCAGTGATCATCAAATGCTGGTTATCTGCCTCTCCCACTGTGAATAGAGCTGACCTGTGGACACTACTGTACAATAGGACATTACAGAAATGATGAAGGTGACTTCCAAGGCCAGGCCATACATAACACTGCAGCTTTTGCCTTTCCTTGCTGAATCACTCACTGTGGGGGAGCTGGCTGCCATGTTATGAGGATGCTCAAGCAGCCCTGCAGAGAGGCCCATGCGGAGAGGAACTAAGGCCCCAGGCCAACAGCCAGCAACAACTTGTGATGTGTGAATGAGTCACCTTGAAAATGATCCTCAGTTTCAGTCAGGCCTTCAGATGACACTGCAGCCCCAGCCACCATCTGTAGCCTCATGAGAGGTCCCCAAGCCATAGCCAAGCCACACCCCAATACTGACCCATCAAAACTAAAGAGTTAAGTGTTTCCTATTGTTTTAAAGTGATGTAGTATTTTCATCATGAAAAAGGGCAAGGGTGACCTGAAGTTGGGGAATGGTGGGATCAGCCCACAGTGGAGAAGCAACCACCAGGAAGTATCAACACATATTCCAATTTCTCTGACCAATTATTTCACTCATGTTCCAATGGCTCAAATGAGTCCTCTACCCCGGAGGACTCCTGGTGACCATGGAGGGCTCCTGGGGACCACAGTGACAATCCATTGGTGCTATTCAATCTCAAAGCCCTTGAATAACTTTGTGGAGTCAGAGGCTCTGCAGAGAAGGCCCTGTGCCTCCAGTGTCCCTTAGCCTGTCCCTCAAGGGTGCTGCTCATCCTCCCCCAGGTGGCTCACTTCATGAGGGGTGGGTGCCTCTGATGAGAAAGGGGGTTTCCCCAGGACTCCTGCTTTGTCCCAGGGACCCCCAGTCCTGTCTTCCAGGAAAGCTGGCCATGGCCAGGGAGAGGAGCTCTGAAGTCCAGGACCCAGAGGGGCCTGTGTGGGACCACAGAGGCCAGGATGGAGAGAGCCTATGGGCAGAGAACTGTCAGCCAGGGGGAGTGCCCGCCCACCAGGAGAGAGGCCCAGGGGGAGCACCCCACTAGGAGAGAGGCCTGGAAGAGCACCCACTCACCAGGAGAGAGCCCCAGGGGGAGCACCCAATCACCAGGAGAGAGGCCTGGGTGGAGGGCCCACCCACCAGGAGAGAGGCCCGGGGGGATCACCCACTGGGAGAGAGGCCAAGGGGGAACACCCACTTACCAGGAGGGAAGCCCAGGGGCTCTACCCTGTTCAGCAGCCCCTGGCCTAATTTCTCTCAGCTGGCCTAGGGGCTCTTCCCTGGTGGATGAGTGCTCTCCCTGGGCCTCTGTCCTGGTGGGTGAGTGCTCCCCATCTGACTACAAGGAACAGAGCCCCCACAACTCTCCCATTGCCAGCACTGCACTATGACTAAGCCTGGGACTGTTACGGCACCCAGCTGGCCCTGGCTGTTACACCCCATTCCTTCCCAGGGTTGCTACCAGTTTATCCGCTGTGGGGGAAAGTGTCCATCTGACGTCTAGTAGTGACACCTGGGGTGCATTTTTTCAGGGAAGCCATCTTACCCATGGTTATTCTGCAGCCTTTGAATGGAAGGTTTAAGGAGGAAGGCAGCTCATATTTACCAAGCACACAGCATAAGGCAAACTCTGCTCTGGGCTGGTTTATGGGTGACATGAGGACGTGGGGATAGGAGGGGTCCTCATGGGGGAATGAGGACATGGGGATGGGGGACTTGGGGACACGAGGGATATGGAGACATGCAGACATGCAGACATGACAACAGGACGTAGAGGACATGAGGATATGGGCATTTTGGGACATGAGAGCATGGGAAGTGGAGGTCATGGAGACATGGGGATGTGAGGATAAGTGGACATGGGAACCTGAAGACATAGGGACATGAAGACATGAAGACACAGGGACATGACATGAGAAAATGGGGAAAGAGGACATGGAAACATGAAGAATATGGAGATATGGGGCATGAGGACATGGAGACATGGGGATATGGAGACATGGGAACACAGGGACTCGGGGACGTGAGGGATACGGGGACATGAAGAATATGGAGATGTGGAGGTTATGGGGACATGAGGAATGAGAACACGCAGACATGAGGAATGTGGAGCCACATGGACATAGAGAAATGAGGGCATGGGGGTACAGGGGACGTGGGGACGTGTGGTCTTGGAAACATGGGGGCATGGGGACACAAGGACATGGGACATGCAGACATAAGGGACACTCGCTTCAGCCATCGACCTTCCAAAACACCCACACAAATGAGCAAGGACATTTTATACAGTCTTATTAGGGCTGATTTTTTTTTTTTTTTTTTTTTTGAGACTGAGTTTCCCTCTGTTGCCCAGGCTGAAATGCACTGGACCGATCATGACTCACTGTAGCCTCGACCTCCTGTGCTCGAGGGATCCTCCCATCTCAGCCTCCTGAGTATCTGGGACCACAGGTGTGTGGCACTATGCCTGGCTAAGTTTTTATTATTTGCAGAGACGGACTCTGGCTATGTTTCCCAGGCTGACCTTGAACTCCCAGGCTCAAGCGATCCTTCTACCTCAGCCCTGCAAAGTGCTGGGATTTACAGGCATGAGCCACCCACCGAGCCTTGCCCAATGTCAGAGATGTGCTGAAGGTCCAACAACAGAGAACTAGTTCAACCAATTACCCTATTTCAAGACTTACTATAGTAATTATATTTTATTAACTAAAATAATTTTATTATAGTAATTATTTTCATTAATAAAATAATTACTATAATACAATAAATTTTGACTGGGCGCAGTGGTTCACGCATATAATCCCAGCACTTTGGGAGGCCAAGGTGGGCGGATTGCCTGAGGTCAGGAGTTCACGACCAGCCTGGGCAGCACGGTGAAACCCCGTCTCCACTAAAAATACAAAAAATTAGCCAGGCATGGCGGCAGGCACCTGTAGTCCCAGCTACTGGAGAGGCTAAGGCAGGAGAATTGCTTGAACCTGGGAGGTGGAGGTTGCAGTGAGCCAAGATCATGCCACTGCACTCCAGCCTGGGCGACAGAGCGAGACTCCATTTCAAAACTAAATAAATAATAAAATAAAATAAATTTCAAAAGCAAGACAATGTGGTATTGACATAAGGATAAATCAATGGAAATCAATGAACTAATAGATTTTCATTCATTTGTTCAATTGATTTTCAATGAAGGTGCCAGTACATATCAATAGGGAAAGATACGTCCTTTCAACAAATAGTAATGGAACATTTAGATAGCCGTACCAAAATACAAACCTTGACTGCTTACTCACACTATACACAGAAAATAGCTAGAAATGAATCCAAACCTTAATTGTGAATGCTAAAACTGTAAAGCTTCTAAAAACACATAGGTGAAAATATTCATGAATTTGTGGTTGGTAATGATTTCTTAGAGTATAAAAGGCACTAAGCCACACACAAAAAAAACTTTATAAACAACTTCTTCAACCTGAAAATATGTTTCATCAACATAGAAAACTTCTGCTTATCAAAAGGCACCATTAGGAACGTGAAAAGGCCAGCCACATATAGACTCCAAGTGATAATGATGTGTCAGTGCAGGTTCATCAATTGTAACAAATGTCTCCTCTGGGGAGGATGTTGATAAAGAGAGTGTCTCTGAATATGTGGGGTCAGGGAATATATGGGAAATCTCTGTACTTTTCTCTCAATTTTCCTGTGAATGTAAAACTGCTATAAAAAAATTAAGTCTTTAAGGCCGGGCAAGGTGGCTCATGCCTGTAATCTCAGCACTTTGGAAGGCCAAGGAGGGTGGGTCACCTGAAGTCAGGAGTTGGAGACCAGCCTGGCCAATATAGAGAAACCCTGTCTCTACTAAAAATACAAAAATTACCTGGGCATGGTGGTGCGCACCTGTAATCCCAGCTACTCGGGAGACTGAGACAGGAGAATCACTTGAACCTGGGAGGTGGAGGTTGCAGTGAGCCGAGATCATGCCACTGCACTCCAGCCTGGGTGGCAGAATGAGACCCTGTCTCAAAAAAAAAAAAAATTAAATATTTTTTAAAAATTTCAAAGGCGGCCGGGTGCAGTGGCCTGTATTCCCACTACTTTGGGAGGCTGAGGTGGGCAGATCACCTGAGGTCGGGAGTTCAAGACCAGGCTGGCCTACATAGTGAAACTTCATCTCTACAAAAATACAAAAATTAGCTGGGCATAGTGGTGCACGCCTGTACTCCCAACTACTCTGGAGGCTGAGGCAGGAGAATCACTTGAACCTGGGAAGTGGAGGCTGCAGTGAGCAGAGATCATGCTACTGCTGCACTCCAGCCTGGGCAACAGAGCGAGACTCTGTCTCAAAAAAAAAAAAAAAAAAAGAAAAGAAAATTTCAAAGACAAATCACAGATTGGGAGAAAACATTTGCAATACATATATCTGATAAAAGATTTGTGTCCAGAATACAAAAAGATTCCTACAAATCAATGAAAAAAAAAGACAAACGATTCCATTTTTAAAATGAGAAAAAAAAACTGGAACATATACTTGACTTAAGTTACCTAAATAGACAATAAGTATATGAGCTGGTGGGCAACACTGCCTGCCATCAGGGAAACTAAAAACCACACTGAGGAATGATTACAGCCCCATCTGAACCGCTACAGTGAAAAAGACTGACAATGCCACCTGCTGGCAAGGATGTGGAGCAAACGTAACTCTCAGTGTGAAACTCTCATGCTGGTGGAAGCAGAAAATTGTACAACCACTTTGGAAAACTGTTTGGCATTTTCTCACAAAGTTAAATATACACCTTCTCTATGACCCAGCAATTGCACTTCTAGGTATCTACCCAAGAGGAAAGAAAACATCTGTCCACACAAAGACCTGTACACAAATGTGCAGAACAGCTGTATTCATAACTCAAAGCTGGAAACAATTTCAAGTGTCTGACAACTGGAGAATGCGTAATAAGCAAAGTGTGGTGCAGCCATAATATGGATGGAACAGGATCCAGCAATAAAAAGGAGTAAGCCACTGATATAACAATGATGTAGAGCTGGGTATGGTGGCATGTGCCTGTAGTCCCAACTACTCAGAGGCTGAGGCAGGAGACTGCTTGAGCCCCGGAGGTCAAGGTTGCAGTGAGCTATCATTGCACCACTGCACTCCAGACTGGGAGACAGAGCAAGGCTCTGTCTTCAAAAAAAAAAAAAAAAAGAAAGAAAGCAATTATATGGATGGATCTCAAAGCCAGACACAAAAGACTGTTAGATGAAGTTCAAAGACAGGCAGAACTAGTTTCTGAAGTCAGAACAGAGGTGCCCTGTGGTACTCTGGAAGGCAGTGTCTTAGTTTATCCTGGTTATTATAACAAAGTCCCACTGGCTAGGTGGCTGAAAAGTCAAAAATTTACTTTCTCACATTCCAGGAGGCTGGAACTCTGAGATCAAGGTGTTGGCAGGGTTGGTTTCTCCTGAGGCCTCTCTCCCTGGCTTGTAGGCAGCCATCATATCCTTGTGTCCTCACGTGGTTGTCCCTCTGTGAGTCCTCAGCTCTTCTTTTTGGACACCAGTCATGACAGATCAGCACCCACTCTCAGCACCTCATTTTAACTTTGTTACCTCTTTAAAGGCCCTGTCTCCAACACAGTTACATTCGGAGGTACTGGGGATTAGGGCTTCAACATGTATTTTGCAGGGACATAGTCAGGCCCATAATAGTCCCCCAAAGTGAGAACAAGGCAAGGATGCCTGCTGTCACCACTCTTATTCAACACAGTGGAGAAGGTTCTAGCCAGTGCAATAAAACAAGAACAGAAACGAAAATGCATGCTGAGCAGAAAGGAAGAAATAAAATTGTCCATGTTTGCAAATGACATGACTGTCTACAAAGAAAATGCCAAGAAGCGAAAACAAACAAACAAACAAACAAACAAAACTCCCAGAACTAGTATGTGAATTTAGCAAGGTCAGGGATACAAAATCAAGTCACAAAAATCACTTTAATTTGTATATACTGGCAATGAACATGCAGACATGGAAATGAAAACTATGTTGTCATTTACACATTAACTGTGGTACATCCATGCCACACAACAGCACTCAGCAATAACAAGGAAACACTATTGACACACACAGCAGCCTAGATGTGTGATGATTCCCCTGCATGAATTCCCTTAGAGGAATCCCAAGGGATTATGCTGGTGGAAGAAAGATAATTTCAAAAGATTACATGCTATATGACTCCGTTTATATAACATTCTCAAAATGACAAAATTGTAGAAACAGAGAACAGATTGGCTGCTGTCAGGGGCAGGCAGGGAGCAGGTGGACATCAAAGGGCCACAGGAGGCTCCCTGTGCTGGTGCTGCTCTGTGTCTTGACTGTACCAGTGTCAAGGTCCGAGCTATGATATGGTCCTATATCGTTTTGCAAGCTGTTACCACTGGGAAATCCCGGGTAAAGGCCCACAGTATCTCTGCATTATCTCTTATGTGTCTATACAGTCATTTCAAAATAAAAAGTTTAATTAAACAACTAGCTAGTGGCATCCCTTGGCTCTATTTATTTTTATTTTTATTTTTGAGAGGGAGTTTTGCTCTCTTTGCCCAGGCTGCCTCAGCCTCCCGGGTAGCTGGGATTACAGGCATGCACCACCATGCCTGGCTAATTTTGTATTTTTTTAGTAGAGATGGGGTTTCTCCATGTTGGTCAGGCTGGTCTCGAACTCCTGACCTCAGGTGATCCGCCCACCTCAGCCTCCCAAAGTGCTGGGATTACAGGTGTGAGCCACCGTGCCTGGCCATCCCTTGCCTCTTAAGAGAAGCAGTGAGCCTACAAGTGACTCACAGTAAAGCTGGAATCCTCAGCGTCATCTCAGAGTTGGCCCGGCTGGAACCTGGCCCTTGCAGCCTCCCAGCCTCATTCCTGGCCTCTACAATGATTGGGAGCACCTCTCCCTACCCTCACGGGCCTTGCCTCTCACGTCTGTTCCCTCTGCTCCTTGGCCACCTGACCACACCAGCTTTAGAGCTTCCCTCTGGGTGCAGCTGGCTCTCGGACACATAGACACCATATCGCCATCACTCTCCAGGCAGACCGTGAGTTCCATGAATGCAGGCAACGATGCTCCAAGCATCCTCTAATTTCTCCTTTTCCAGAAGACAAAGCTGTGGTTCAGAGAGGTGGAGGAAATGTCAAGGCCACGATACTCAGAGCCTAGCAAGATGCAGCTGAGGTGGCTGGTCTCTAGGACACAGCCCAAGGTGCAGGACAAAGGGGAACCAGGAGGCCAGGGCTCAGGGGAGTAAAGAGCTTGGAAGTAAGAGTCCCATTCAATGACCAGGACACTGAGGTTCAGAGAGGCCAAAGTGCGGTCACTCAGTCAGTCAACAACCATTTGCTGAGCGGCTCCTAGGACACAAGAATCCTTGGGAGATGGCCCCTGAGGAAGGAGCAGCTCTGGCCTGCAGAGACCCTCATGGCTGCCACTTCCTGTGCAAGGTGACCCCGGCCCCTGCCCTTCTGCTCACTTATTAGGGTCACAGCCAGTCACTTGGGCCACACGGGCACAGGACTCAGAGCCCGGCTGCTTCTCCAATCACCTGCCTGCTTTTGGGAACCGAGAACCACAGCTCTTGGATCCTTCCCAGAACCCTTGAGACCCAAGGATTGGACAAAGTGCCCATGTTGAGTTACTCTCATTCTTCTGACAAGACAGGGGAAAGCCACAAAAATACCACACTAGCTAGGGCAGGAAGTGGGTGGGACCAGAGTAGTCATTCCTGTGTGGCTTTGGATGGGGTCCAAGGGTGGTGCACCTTTGTCAGCGTTCAGGCTCCAAGACAAATCCTACTCAACATGTGACCTAACAATAGACAAGACCCAAGGAAATGAAAGCTCCTGGCAGAGAGGCTGTGTGAAACCCTGAGAGTGACCGTCTCTGGGTGGTGAGCTTCCGGGAATTTTCATTTGCTTCTTGATGCTTCTCAGTAACATATAAATTTCTACGTAGAACATTATATTTGCATTTGGGAGGAAAGCCAACCTGTTTAAAAATACAAGAATCGAAGTTGTTCATTGGAGATTCCCAGCCGGGAACTATTGCCCAGTGAAAGCCAGCTGTCTCCATGTCTGTTTACATATGGAAAATTTAATTTCTACTTAGCTGTCCTAAATCTCTCTAATGAAAGATGTGGTTGAGAAACCAAAAAAAGAAGGGATACTGAGTGTAATTCTGCTTTCTGAAAACACATTTTTTGCAAAACATTTTCTAGGTTACTTTAAATTGAAATTACATTTGGTCCAAAGGCAGACAATATTTCCTAAACCTTGGCACTGCCCTTAACTTTACCTGCCTTCCTCCCAGGCAGGCAGCTGGGAGAGTGGACAAGCCCAGATCTGGAACTGTGAGGCCCGTGTGCAGGTGACATTGTGTGAGCCCCTTCACCCCAACATGGGGAAAATATCCCTGGACACCAAGTTCCTGGGGGCTCCCTGGGAAAATGTGTGTAAAATGCTACAGTGTGAGCAGCGAGAAGCTGGCTAGTCATCACTCACTATACCTCATTTCTTAAAAGTTGCTTTAAAAATATGTGATGCTTTAGTCATCTTGGCCAAAGTGGAGAGGCAAGCCCAGCTTCAAACTCTTAGACCAAGTGGCATTTTGAGAGCTTTCCACTCAGGAGACGTAATTACAGAGCGGCTCTGGCAGTTGGCTATGATAACATTAGAGCCTGAAGTGGAAGCGATTGTTTCTTATCCTTAACAAAGAGCCCTGATGTGTCTATACTTACACAAAAGTGCTGCATCTGGTGCATTTTTTTTTTACCCTGTAGGAAAAAATTATCAATGTGTAAATAGAGAATGATATACATTAAAAAATAAGGCAATAAAGGGGTGGCCACGCCCCCACTCAATCAGGCCCTGAATAAAGGATAATTCCAGCATTGTTATGCGGCAGCTGCACAGCGTCAACCAGAAACACTCATATGCCCAGGGAGGTGCGGGTCCTTTCCTATGCACTCCATGTCCAATCCAGACATCACATTCTGCCAAGTGGTATTCTCACAATCACTTGGATCCACCGTTTACTATTCAATCCTTAGTCTAAGCTCCTGATCAACCAGAGGCTATTCAGAATGCAACAACACATGTTTATTTAGGTTTCCTTTAAGGGCAGATGCTGAGCTGGAGGACCTCGGGGGAAGAAGTAATCAGAAAGCTTAGAACTGGAGGCACCTAAGGGTGATCACAGCAGCACTATTCTAAAGAAGAAAAAAGGGAAAGAATGAAGGAAGGAGGAAAAAAGGGAAGGAAAGAGAAAAGGAAGGAAGGAGAGAAAGAAGGAAAGAGAGAAAGAAGGGAGGGAGTGAGGAAGGAAGAGAAGGAGAAAGAGGGGGAAGGAGGGAGAGATTTGAGCCACACTTGCTCAACCTTCATAATGTTAAGGAGGGCCTTAGGATTGGAGGGTAGAGGATGGGATGGGGGGGCCTTCAGCTTTAAAACAGTTTGATTTTCGGGCCGGGCGCGGTGGCTCACACCTGTAATCCCAGCACTTTGGAAGGGCGAGGCAGGCGGATCACGAGGTCAGGAGATCAAGACCATCCTGGCTAACACGGTGAAACCCCGTCTCTACTAAAAAATACAAAAAATTAGCCGGGCGTGGTGGCGGGTGCCTGTAGTCCCAGCTACTTGGGAGGTTGAGGCAGGAGAATGGGGTGAAGCCAGGAAGCGGAGCTTGCAGTGAGCCGAGATCGTGCCACTGCACTCCAGCCCGGGCGACAGAGCAAGACTCTATCTCCAAAAAAAAAAAAAAAAAAAATTGACTTTCAACAATGATATGTGTATATATCCTTTGCATACTTGAAAATAAACAGAGATGTGCTCTGGTCACCCCCTGCATTGACTCACATGAGTTGGAAACCAGGGATATTAAGAAGCCCTTGGGGAGTCAAGTGTGGTCTCTAATGGATGAATTAGGGCCACGAATTATTCCTTATGCAGCATAGTTTGTTTTGCAGACAAAATATTTTGGAACTTGTTTAAAAGCAAGATCAGGGAGAGGGTCAAAAAACCAGATGCCCCTTTTGCCACTGAAGATCTTAGACCCTCAGATTTTGTCTGCCCTGGAGCTGGGGGACAGAGGCATCCTCTCTGCAGCCGTAAAGTCAGGGTCTTCTGACTGAGATCCCCCCAAGCCTACTTTACACCTATTTTGCATGGTCAAAGACCAGCAGTTTTATTCATTCAGTTTACCACCTCCGCAGCTACATGAATCCTTCAGGCACCAGTGTTTCAAGGACCAAGAACATGAGTGTGCTCAGACACAACCCTACATCTGGCAAAATCTACACAACTTTCATTAATTAATTAATTTTTTTGAGACAGGGTCTCGCTCTGTCACCCAGGCTAGAGTGCAGTGGCACAATCACAGCTCACTGCAGCCTCAACCTCTGGGTTCAAGCAATCCTCCCACCTCAGTCTCCCGAGTAGCTGGGACTACAGGCGCATGCCACCACACCTGGCTTATTTGTGTATTTTTTGCAGACAAGGATTTCACAATGTTGCCCAGCCTGGTCTTGAACTCCTGGACTCAAGCCATCCACCCATCTCGGCCTCTCAAAGTGTTGGGATTATAGGCATGAGCCATCCTGTTTGGCTACACAACTTTATTTTAGGAAGTTACAAGTTCCACGTAAGACACATTTCAATGAAAAATTCTACCTTATGGGTTGTGTCTAGCTGGCATATTCTGAGAAGCAAAGTAATTTACCCAGAGAAGACAAGCTAGGAATACTTAGAATTACTGGATATCAGTAACTAGAAAAATAAAAGGCCTTCTTCATGTATTCATTCAACAAGCACATATTAGTATGCTATATACCATTTTCCTTCTAAAAGCCCCACATTCCTTAAAGGCCGGTTGGAATTCCCTCATGAACACACTAGACCTAGAGCGGGACCCCCAGAGCAACTTGGTGTCTCAGCAGCCCCTGGCCACAACCCTCAGCCTGCAGGGCTCCCACCACCTCTACCACCTTTCTCCTAGGCACCCTTGCCTCTCCTCATTCTCTTCAGGGCCCAAGCAGGCCAGGGGCAGCCAGATCTTGGGGAGAAGCCAATCTCCAGTGCTGGACGCAGGGGACGTGGCACAACAAGGACCCTGGCTCCATTTCCATCTGCCTAGGCAGAAAGGGCAGCACTGTCCCTGAGCCGTCCCCAGGTCACTTAGGGGCTGTCGTCCACAGATTCCTCCTGGGTGGACTCATCTGCACTGGATTTAATTCTTTAGACCAAATGTCACCAGGCACCCTAGCCACAGACTACCACAGCCTCCACAGTTCATGAGGGCCCTACCAGGGGTCAGAAGGGACTCGGGCTACATTTGCCAGCCTTGAATGAACCCCTCCTGCCCCCTTCTTTCCCCACCATCAGTCAGGGACCCAGGAGTTTTGGTCCAAGTCCAGAATCCGCACGGAACAGTCCTGGCCTCTGTGAGCAAGGACTGCCAAGCTGCGTGGGGCTGGAGCCTCCCCAGTGTCCTCAGACTTCGTCATCCCCATGACAAGTTCTGTCTGGCAAATCCAACCTGCTCTTCCTGCTCTTACTTTTTACCCATTTGCTTTTTTTTTTTTTTGAGATGGAATCTTGCTCTGTCGCCCAGGCTGGAGTGTGTAGTGGCCCGATCTCAGCTCACTGCAACCTCTGCCTCCCGGGTTCAAGCCATTCTCCTGCCTCAGCCTCCTGAGTAGCTGGGACTACAAGCACCCGCCACCATGCCCGGCTAATTTTTTGTATTTTTAGTAGAGGCGGGTTTTCACCGTCTTAGCCAGGATGGTCTCGATCTCCTGACCTCGTGATCCACCTGCCTCAGCCTCCCAAAGTGCTGGGATTACAGGCGTAAGCCACTGTGCCTGGCCCCACCTGCTTCTTTTTATCCTTTGCACTCTATGCTGAACCAGATCCTTCCTGGAATAACAGGTGAACAGATGAAGGGAGGAGAAAAAGAAAAAAAAAAAGAGGAAGGAAAGAAGGGAGGGGGGAAGGAAGGGAGGAAAAGGAGGGAGTAGGAGGAAAAGGAGAAAACAGAGAAGAGAAAGGGAGTTGATGAATTAGCTGGTTGGTTAGTTGGTCAGCTGTTGGTTAGTTGGTTGGTTAGTTGAGCCTCTGCCGGTAGGCACAGGGCTCCTTGGCCAGCAGGACAGGGAGAGCTCCTCAGAGGGTTGTGGTGGGAGAAGGGAGCCCCACCCCTCACTGGCACACTCGAACAGGGGTGTTGTGGAGGAAGCCTGAGTCTCCCCTGTCCTTCCTGGCACATTTCTGCACACACAAGCACCTCGCCTCTTCTTGGACCACACAGATACACTCAGGGCCAAGAGCCGCTGCCTGGTGGCCCTGGGCAACCTGAGACTGTGGAGCTATGGCTACCACCCAAACCCATCCTGTCCCTGAGGGTGGGACCCTCAAGGAAGGCTGCTGGATATCCCTCGTTGGGATGTCCTGGAGAATGACGACACCCCAAGACTGAACTGATGCTGCAGGACTGAGTCAGCACTGTTGCTCATGAGCTTGGGAAGGGACACGCAGGGATGATGAGGAAATGGGCCCACATGTCCCCATAGCCAGAGTGGACGGACGCCCCGCTGCAGACTGGCAGGCGCTTGTCAGACACTGTCATGGATGACAGGCTTCCATATAGGTCACACACAGCAAAAATGCAGTCCTCAGCTCTTTCACCCAACAGCAAGCCACCAGTGGGTGACACATAGCCCCATTTACAAATGGAGAAACTGAGGCACTGGTCCACGGGATGAGGCCAGATTTCCTTCCACACTGCTCCCCTTTCCAGGCACCAGTCCCTCAGCACATGTGCTTCATGGTGACAGGAGGATGCATCCTGCTCTGACCTCCCCCAGATCATGTGTGACCCCCTCTCTGGGGTGTCCAGAGAAAAGCCAGTACCACGATGGGCTTGAAGAAGCCTGCAGTCCCCTAGGAGCCCAACTAAAGGCCCAAGGGATGAGCTGTCATAACCCTCATTTTGCGGATAAGGAAACTGAGGCCTCCAGTCCCAGCCCAACCTCTGCCCAGTGAGTCCTGAGGTTTGAGGATGAGGAGGGATACTTGGGACACAGCCCAATCCCAGAACAGATGGTGTGAGCTGCTAACTCTCAGTGAATGAGCTGGGACCCTGGGCACAACACAGAGAAGGCGTTGTGTCCAAAGCCAGCTGGCCTTCAGCTGACCACCCCTGCCCCAACACAAGGGCCTGGGAAGAAGAGCTATGGACAGTGGCCAGAAAGCAGCCAGGTTTCCCTGCTGTTGAGAAATGTTTAACCTTTCTGCACAATATGAAAAAGAGGGTCAACCTCACTGGGGCTGGAGTTTGCTGTCATCCTAATAGTTCACAACATTAAATCCTGTGCACACACATACATAGATGTAACACACACACACGCACTCATTGTTTACACTTCAAACTGATTTTAGGCAATGATACCTGTATTTCCCAGCCATCCCAGAAAATGACAACATTCTAACTGCCCTAATTCACAGACACAGAGCATAGGAAACATGCAGTCAAAGAGCCGGGACAACATGGATCCCCAAGGACCAGAGGCACGAACTACAAAAAGGGACACGGCCAGCCTTGCGGCCTCTTTCGGCCCATGTCTATCCGAAGAACTGGAGGTCTTAATGAACCTCAAACTTCTGCCTAGCAGCTCCAAAGCACCCGCTTTCGCCCTGGTTTTATATTCTCCCTTATGAGAAGTGACACTTAGGGGAAATGCCGAGTGGCAAGAATAAGGTAACAAAAAGAAAAGACAATCTCAGCATCCGACATGGGGTCCCCGTTGCCATGGCAATCGCCCAGGCAATGATATGTGTTCTTTTTTTCAAGCAGACTATTTTCCTTTCCCATCCATTTGAAAAGAAATGGGAAGAATGGGGAAGGGTGGAGAAGTCCAGAAATAAAACAGGTCTCATCACAGTCCAGCCCAGCACTTAATCATTCAGTAGGTATCCTGGAGAATCCTGTTCCCGAGCCGGGGGTCCCAGGACCCACCGCGAGGACTGCCAAGGTGGTTTTCTTCAGCTCAGTCTCCACTGGGCTGTGCTCAGGAGGGGGCAGAAAGCTGATTAAAACCCCTCTTCAAAGTATACACCAGGCAGTCACCTCCTCCTTCTGCAGAAGGGTCTCACCAGCCCGCCCCCTGGAGAAGCCCTGCTCAGCCGCAGACACCCAGAAAAATGAGCCCACACAGGATCTCAAAGCCACCTGAAACAAGCGAAAATTGCCACCTTTTCCAATGTAACCTACTCACCGCCTTCCTCTGGGGACGAAAATAATTAACAAAGCAAACAGGAAAGCCGGAGGCTCCCCCAGCTCCGCACAGGCAAACTCGATACTTGCCGGAGCCGCTTCCAGAGGAGCCCCGGGGAGGTCGCTCACAGTGGGCAGCAGGAGGCTGGGGTCTCCTTGGGGACCTGGAGGGCCGGGCTGTGCTTCCCGCGCCAATCAGCCCAGGACTGAAGCCCCTGGGGTTCTGAGGAGCGGTCCCGCCTCCCTGGCCCGCCCCGAAGGTCCGCGGCACCCACAGGCAGCCGCCCTGTCTCCTCCTCTCCCGGCAGCTGCAGGGACGCTGAGCCCTGACAAAGCCGCCTGCGGAGAGCCAGTGGGAGGGCTAGGGGCGCCGGCTCGGGTGCACAGGCCGCTCTCCATGACAACAAGGGCTGGGGGCTGAGGGCGGAGCGGGTCCCTTAGGCCAAGGGGGAAATGCTGTTTATTTTTCCTGACACCTCTGCCCGGAGCCATTACCTCTGCCAGACTTTCTAGAGGGTCCTGGGGCAGCAGTAACTTTCTTTGCTCCTTCACCACAAGGAAACCCCTTTTTAGGTGTGTGCACTTTCCTCCAGGCTTAGAGAGGGTGGAGTGGAAAATAGGCACTTGCTTAAAGAGGTGTTGGTGCAGAGGCTGTGCGTGCATGTGCGTGTGTGTGCCGTGTGTGTGTGTGTGCTGTGCATGCTTGTGTGTGCGGTGTGTGTGCAGCGTGTGGCATGTATATGTGGTGTGTGTATGTGTGGTAGGCTGTGTATAGTGTATCTGATGTATGGTGTGTGTAATGCGCTTTGTGGTGTATGTGTGTTGTGTGTATGTGTTGTATGTGGGATGTGATGTGTGTATGGTATGTTTTGTGGTTTTTGTGTGGTGTGGTATGTGTTGTGTTGTATATGTGGTATGTTGTGTGTTGTGTGTGTGATATGGGGGTGTGTGTGCAATGTGTAGTGTGTGTTGTATGCATGGTGCGTGTATGGTTTATGTGTGCATGTTGTGTTGTGGTATGTATTGGGACTAGGCCCCCAAATTGGGCCATAAACTGGCCCCAAGACTAGCCATAAACAAAATCTCTGCAGCACTGTGACATGTTCATGATGGCCACGACGCCCATGCTGAAGGTTGTGGGTTTACCAGAATGAGGGCAAGTAACACCTGGCCCACCCAGGGCAGAAAACCGCTTAAAGGCGTTCTTAAACCACAAACAATAGCATGAGCGATCTGTGCCTTAAGGACATGCTGCTGCTGCAGATAACTATCCATTCCTTTATTTCCCATAAGGAATACTTTTAGTTAATCTATAATCTATGGAAACAATGCTTATCACTGGCTTGCTGTCAATAAATATGTGGGTAAATCTCTGTTCGAGGCTTTCAGCTCTGAAGGCTGTGAGACCCCCTGATTTCCCACTCCACACTCTATATTTCTGTGTGTGTGTCTTTAATTCCTCCAGTGCCGCTGGGTTAGGGTCTCCCGGACAGAGCTGGTCTCAGCAGTATGTGTATGATGTTCAAATCGCTTGAACCCAGGAGGCAGAGGTTGGAGTGAGCCGAGATTGTACCACCGCACTCCATCCAGCCTGGGTGACAGAGAGACTCTGCCTCAAAAAAAAAAAAAAAAAAAAAAGCAATGAAGAGAAAACATTTTGAAGGAAAAGGATGTCCCTAAGTGCCAAAACCGAGGTCCGAGCCTCGGCCCACACCTCAAGCGAGGGGCCTTGTTACCCTCAGCTGTAAAGTGGACATCTACATCTAGCCGGGCCTCCTTCAGCATTGCCAGAGAATTCCATGGGACACAAATGCACACACAGCCCAGCTCCCGCTCATTGCTCTGTTCATGCCAGCTGGTACCATTCTACTACTCCAGTATTTACATGTGCTTTTTATTTTTTAATCAGACTCTACCAGGCCTGTTATTTTAGGTGTGTTTTTCTCACCCTGAAACATATTGCAACATTTTTGCTTTTAATAAATGTTCTCCTATGGCCATGGGATTCTTCCCACCCTGTCCTTCCTGGGTCCCAGCCAGTTCTTTGCTGGTGCTTCTCTACTCTTTGCCCTTGCGGTCCCTGACAGGAGGTAGACATGGGTGGAAATCAGCAATCGAGCGCTTTTTCCCTTCTCCGATGGGGGCCTCTCTCTCACCAAGCCCTGAGCCACAGACCCTACTCTGCCCAGATAGTCTCAAGGCACCATGAACAATGGCTCATTTTTACACTCTCACACGCCTATCTTACAGAGGGACAGAGAAATTCCTGCAAACCCAGGACACCACATACCACCCAGAGCATGTGGACCCAAGACCCTCCAGACCCATTGTTCTTTTTTTTTTATTATTATTATTCTTGAGATGGAGTCTCACTCTGTCGCCCAGGCTGGAGTGCAATGGCGTGATCTTGGCTCACTGCCATCTCTGCCTCCCAGGTTCAAATGATTCTCCTGCCTCAGCCTCCAGAGTAGCTGGGATTATAGGCGTAAGCCACCACACCCGGCCCAGACCCCTTGTTCTTACAAGGGGAGCGCAGGTCTGTCAAGCTGAGGACCTCCTGTGGGTCCGCATTTCTGGTTTGTTCTTGGGACTTGTGTTGGGCAAGAACCAGCAGTGTGGCAGGCAGCCTGCACCCCAGTCCCACAGGGTCAGCCTCACGGGGCTGCCAATTGGTCACTACATTCCCACATGGCAGGTGACTTCCCACGCAGTGTCTGGACCAAAAGGCAATGCCCGGGGATAGCTCTCGGGACCCAGGTAATCCTGTGCTTCTCATCCCTTCCTGTGGAGACAGCTCTGGGTTCCACACTCTAGCTGTCCTGATCTGGCCTTCGCTATGCCGGGAAAAATCCCACAAATAAAAACATAGACTCGTGGTCTAGGAAAAATGCTGTTGTCTCACTAAATGGTTTTTTGCTCCTGAAGAGCTGATGCACAAAATACCATGTGGCTGTTAAAATAATCAGGAGTGTTATGTGGCAACATGGGAAAACACTGCAAACAATGAAAACAGAATCATGAAAGCTGCAATTACCACCTGGTCAAAACTATTTCTGCACATGTGGAGGGGACAGAGTACATGGTGGGACTCTGTGCAAATATTCTTCTTGTTTTCTTTTGTTGTGATGAGAAATGTATAATAGGCCGGGTGCAGTGGCTCACGCCTGTAATCCCAGCACTTTGGGAGGCCGAGGCAGGCAGATCACATGGTCAGGAAATTGAGACCATCCTGGCTAACACGGTGAAACCCCGTCTCTACTAAAAATACAAAAAATTAGCTGGGCATGGTGGTGGGCGCCTGTAGTCCCAGCTACTCAGGAGGCTGAGGCAGGAGAATGGCGTGAACCCAGGAGGCGGAGCTGGCAGTGAGCCGAGATTGTGCCACTGCACTCCAGCCTGGGCAACAGAGCAAGACTCTGTCTCAAAAAAAAAAAAAAAAAGTAATATATAATAAACTAAAACCGGGGGGGAAAAAAAGGAATTTCCTTTGTTTTCTAAGTATCCATTATGTTCCAGGTACTTTCCCTAGGCAGTGTCATTTAATTATCCAAATCTGGGTCTTCTCACCCAAAACTCACACACCTCTCAGAGAACAGCTGTTTCATGACTCCTAAAACACTAAGGAGAGTGACAGCTGCAATATGTCCAGGGTCAGCCCCAAGTCCTGCCCCACAACGTGGTCCCTGGCCTGCCCGGAAAGTGTTGGCCACGTGTTACCATGGAACTCAGCCCTAAATGGCCTGAGCCCATGGCAACTTTTGTGTTCAAAAGCCTCAGCAAGGACAGGCGTGGTGGTTTATGACTGTAATCCCAGCACTTTGGGAGGCCGAGGTGGGCAAATCACTTGAGGTCAGGAACTTGAGCCCAGCCTGGCCAACATGGTGAAACCCCGTCTCTACTAAAAATACAAAAATTAGCCCAGTGTGGTGGCTCACACCTGTAATCCCAGCTACTGGGGAGGCTGAGGCAGGATAATCACTTGAACCTGGGAGACAGAGGTTGCAGTGGGCTGAGATCGCGCCATTGCACTCCAGCCTGCGCAACAGAGTGAGACTCCATCTCAAAAAAAAAAAAAAGCCTCACCAAAGAAAAGGTGTCTTCACTTGAGGTTTGAGCAATGTGGATTTCCCCCAGAAAAATGAAGAAACACTTCAATTCCAAGCTTTATTTGTTGGGTTTTTAAATATCCAAGCGGCTGCCCACACCAATAAGATAGTCCTCCTTTGCTACCTAGGAGCACAAAGGTGTGAGTGCCTCATCCCAGAGGGCTGGACATGCTCTCCATTCTTTGCAACTTTCAGCCATGAGCTTGTGACATTTCACAGGAGAAGCATCAATTGCAGCTTCCTGTCACTCCAGCGGATGGTCTCACACCCGCTCCTGCTAGCCTCCACCCTCCGGTCTGATTCTGGAGGAGAAGGAACAGGTGGTGGCACCAACTGTTTCCAAACTGCTGAGCCAGGAACAAGCTTCAGCATCTGGGCACGTGGCCACAGGGCACTGGCTGTGTTTGACCTGCCAGGGCCCAGCAGCCTAGGAATGGCAGCCTCCCTCTGAGAGCCTACATAGACATATAACACACTGTGCTGTGTTATATGTTATATAACATATAACACACCAATCAGTGGCCTGAGGTGAAAGCCCACCACAAAACAGAATTTGCTTTCTGTAGCAACTGGTCAAAAGGAAGGAGTAAAGTATTACATATTAAATTGGAATTAAATAAGAACTCTTTATGAAATAACTGCATATCCATCTGTACATGGAATATATGATGAATACATAGTTCTAAATACTTTGTACGTGCCAGGCCCTCACACAAGGATATCATTTGCTCCTGGGTGGTCCATCATTAATTCTGTTCCACAGAAGAGGAAACTGAGACTCAGAGGAGGGTGTGGCTCAGACAAGGCCCCACAGCTGGCCATCAGGGGCGCCCCACAGCAGCCCTTCTATTCCAGTCATGGAGACTGCTTGTCCCACTTGGCTCATCTCCGTCAGCGATGTGTAAAATCCTTCGGGAGCAGCAGTTCTGGGTGAGGGTGGGCAGTGAGTGTCCCTGGACATGGGAGCTCCAAGATTCTCCTTCCTGGACTCCTGGGCTCTCTGACCTCAGTGCCAGCCCTGGTAGGCTCTGGAGCTGAATCGGTGGAGCCCTGTCAGCCCCTGGGGACACCAGGGTCCCTGAAAGAGAATGCTCTTCCCCAGGTGGCCTCAAGAAGCACCCCGCTACCTAGTCCAGTTTGCCCCTCCTGCCCTCTGGACTGCATCTGGAGGGGATGGCAGTTTTAATTTTCAGTGGCGATGGCTCTTGGAATACAGCACTGAGACCTGAAGATGCTGGCAGGTCAGAGTGCTGGTGGCCGCCACAGCCAGGTAAGGGACACCAGGGAGGGTAGACCTGCCAGGCATCCAGAATGTGGGAAAGATGCTTTACTGACACCTGCGCTGCTCCAGAAACTCCCTCGGGGGGACCTCACTTGCAAAATGATGAAATGATGTCTCCTTGCCACCAGGGCCCTCCCTGTCAGGGCCTCACTGCCTCCCTACTCTGTCCCTGCAGCTCCACTTTCCAGCTCCACCCAAGGCTCCAGCACTCCGGGATGATGCATCCCAGATCCCCAATCCTATCATTACCAGCTGTGCAAACCCACGGGAACTAAACACAGGGAAACACACAGTGTTTCCACCCGGCTGAGGCAGGCTGCCTGCCCACAGCTGCTGGTCTGTGTATAGGCCCATGGCAGAATGATGGTAAGGGCAGCATCCGCCTGTCAATGTTCTGGGAATATGCTGTTTAAGACCAGTGCCAACTCAGCCTTGGTAAATGGCGTGTTACAAAACCTCAACTTAGACACTTTTTCCACTTTGCATCAGGGGACCCAGAAGCCCAGTCAAGTCCCCGGCCTGGTGTCCTCTTAGCTTTGACATCTGGACTTTGTGGGAGAGAAGACTCCAGGCCCCAAGCCATGAGGGCAGCTGACAAGGTTCTCTCCTTAACTAGACTCTACTCAGGCTCCACTGAACTCTCTTTCAACCAAGCCCTGATTTGGGGATTTCTATGTTTGTCTCTGCGTTGTCCAATTTTTTTTTTTTTTTTTTTGAGATGGAGTTTCCCTCTGTTGCCCAGACTGGAGTGCAGTGGTGCGATCTCGGCTCACTGCAACCTCCACCTCCAGGGTTCAAGCAATTATCCTGCCTCAGCCTCCCAAGTAGCTGGGATTACAGGCACCTGCCACCATGCCTGGCTAATTTTTGTATTTTTAGTAGAGAGGGGGTTTCACCATGTTGGCCAGGCTGGTCTCGAACTCCTGATCTCAGGTGATCCGCCCGCCTCAGCCTCCCAAAGTGCTGGGATTACAGGCGTGAGCCACAGCACCTGGCCTCCATTGTCCAATTTTATCAAGGATCCTACTAAATCAATTTAGCCAGAATACCCCATCCTCAGTCATCTGGTCACCTTCACTAACTGGCCAGACTCCCCATCCCCTACCACACCCTGGGTGCTGTCTGGTCGCTGTGGCCAGCTTTCAGCAACAATCCTGTTAGGCGGCTTGAGCCAGAATGGCCCTTCCCCCTGCTGTTTTCCCTCCGTCATTCTCCATCCGGCAACCCCCAACCTGCTCTTGGCTCTCAATCCCCAGTTGTCCATGCTGTGTTTGGAACTGAGCCAAATATCTCTCTCCCACTACAAGACCCTGTACCTATCTCAATGGGCCTGAACAAAGTTGGCCTTATGGGGTTTTAAAAAGCACCAGGAATATTTTTTCTTTAACACAGCTGATCCCAACATCCTCCAGCTCTCTGCTCCACCTCTGCAGCCCAACACTACCCTAACCCAGTGTGGATCTCCACAACTACCCCCTCTTTGACCCTGGGGACAACATGGACCTCACCCCTCCTTGTCCTGGAGGATGCTCTGATGTTCACATTCAGGTACTGGCCAGAGTGAAGGTCCCCACCACAGTTCCCTGTGCTGTGTGAACTCCATGCTCCAACCCTCTCCCAAGAGTCTGGCGTGCATGCTGGCATCAGCCCTACAGTAGCTCTTCGAGGGGCTGCTGCCATTGCTCCTGCACCTTAGGGAGACCACAGGCCTGGCCAAGGGCCCAGTGGAGGGTGATGGTGGTGACAGCACACTGGACCACTGGATCTTGCTATGTGCTACGTCTTGGGCCTGGAAGACCTCAAGGATCCTGCCCTCCACATTCATCTAGCACAAGCTCAAGTTCCATCCAAGAGGGAATTGGGGCCCAGAAAAACTTCCAGGTTCCCCACACTGTGTGGTGGGTCAGGTCCAGGTCCCTCTGCCACCCTCACTGAGGGGGTGCCACTGCCACTCTTGCTTAGTGGGCTTCCTTCAACCAACCAGCCTGGTTGGGGCTTGGTTGGGGCTTCCTTCATCTGCAACCCAGCAGCTTCCATTAGCAAGACACCAGGTAGAATATCATTGCTGCACCAGGGCCACACAGGACCCTGCACACAGGAGATCTCAGACAACTGACAAAATTTAAATGGGCTCTGCTCATCAGAGCAGCCAAACAATGACACCCTATAACAATGAGCATGCTTTGTGCCCAGAGCTTGGTCCCTAAGCTCCAATTTCCAGTAATAGAAATCAGGGTTCTCAGGGGAAGTGACTGACTCCAGGGCTGGGGCAGAGAACATAGAAGACGAGCCTGGAGCATCTTGTATACCAGAAAGTGAAGAGGTAGTAACAGAAAGAAGGAAAGGAGGGGAGGGAGGGAGGAAGGGAGGGAGGAAGGAAGGGAGGGAGGGAGGAAGGAAGAAAGGAAGGAAGGGAGGAAGGAGAAAAGAAGGAAGGAAAGAAGGAAGGGAGGGAGGAAGGAAGGAAGGAAGGAATTTGTCCAAACAGGACCCAACCTGAAGGAGCTCCTAATTGCCAAGGATGGAATAATTTGAGCAACAAAATAAAGGATGATATTAGATTTTAACCCACAGAATAGAATATCCATCATGCTGATATTAGTAATGGCAAAAATCAATAAACAAATGGAGAAGAGATGATGCTTCTTCACAGAATTCCAATGAAGAAATGAAGATAGAAACATTGCCAACAGGCAAACACCAGGAATAAAGGCTGCAGACACAATCCCACAGTAGAGGCAAAAATTAGTGGGTGAAATTTTGGGGGGAATGGAATGTACATAGTCTCCCCCAAGATACTGAACTACAACAAGAAAGACGGTAACTATAAAGTGGAGAAATTTCATCAAAGTGTACAGTGTAGAAATTTCATCAACTTAACCCAGTGGTCAAGGTTCACATGGCGAGTATCAGACACACAGACATTCTGGGCCTCTCAGTAGGATGCACCAAAAAGGGCATATCGTTTCCGTGGTATTCAGATCAAGACCATCCTGGCTAACACGGTAAAACCCTGTCTCTACTTAAAACTACAAAAAAATTAGCCGGGTGTGGTGGCAGGCAGCTGTAGTCCCAGCTACTCGGGAGGCTGAGGCAGAGGAATTGCATGAACCTGGGAGGTGGAGCTTGCAGTGAGACGAGATCGCGCCACTGCACTCCAGCCTGGGCGACAGAGTGAGACTCCGTCTCAAAAAAAAAAAAAAATGCATACACATAGACGTAGAGTGTGGACTGATGGACAATAGAGAGTTGGAAGCATGAGAGAGTGGAAGGGAGTGGATGATGAGAACTTACTTAATGAGTGCAATGTACTTTATACAGGTGATGGATACTCTAAAATCCCTGACTTAACCACTATGTAATCTATGCACGTAACAAAATTGCACTAGTACCCTACAAATTCACACAAATATAAATAAATAATGCTAGAGATGAGTGAGCAAGAGGAAGAAGGGGAAAGGGGTACAGACAAAGGGGAATGAGGAGTGACATGTTTTGTCACTCCAGGGTTGCTGCCTGGAGATAAAGTTGACAGGAACGTTATCTTCTGACTTTCCCCATTAGGTGCAATCCCACAGGCAAGTGGGCTTGCCAAAGAAGAGTCCTGCTCCTGACGCCCAAACAGAGATGAGCCTCTCCCTCTCCTTTCCTGAAAAGTCTCTTCTCCATGGCTTGGACAAACTGTTACTGCTTCTCTAGAGGGAGACCCTATACAAGAAAAAGAAGGAATAACTTCCCTCCAGTCCTCCTCCTTACCATGAGGCAATAATCAGAATGGGATTTCAACATTCATGGGGTAAAATGTAAAATCAGATTCTGAAAGTGGAAGTTTGCATATTGACAGCATTTGAGATATTTGTTTATTAACGTCAACACAATTCCGAGGACTCTTTTGGAAAGTGGATTTTGAGGGTGATCCACCAAGTGGGAGGAACATTATTTTACCTTAGGCTGAATTTCTCCACATGGGTAGATTTAACAGAGATTATGCATTCAGAGTATTGTTTTGTACATCTGGATGTGATTCTACTAGTTTACTGAATTGGACAATAAATTACCCAATAGAGTTTTAGATGATGCAAAAGAAGTTTAGATGCCATAAAGCTCTTGACATCTTGCACAGACTTGGAAACATAAGAATGCTGGACTGTGCATCACGTATGCCCCATCCACACCCTGTGTCCCTTAAGAGTACTGGGAAGATTCAGCCTGCACCAGGAGTGGTCCCCAATCTTTTTGGCACCTGGGAGAGTTTTCATGGAAGACAGTTTTTCCATGGATGGGGAGGGGATGAGGAGGCTGGTTTCAGGGTGAAATTTTTCCACCTCAGATCATCAGGCAATAAGTTAGATTTTCATAAGGAACACGCAACATAGATCCCTCCCATGCATAGTTTGCAATAGGGTTTGTGCTCCTATGAGACTCTAATGTCGCTGCTGACCTGACGGAGGTGGAGCTCAGGCAGTAAAGCTGCTTCACCAGCGCTCAACTTCTGCTGTGCTGCCTGCTTCCTAACAGGCCATCAACCAGAGGTGCCTGGGGGCTGGGGACCGCTGCTCACCAGGCTTGAGAAACATATCGATATGAGAAGCAGCAGTTCTTTTAAATGAGTTTTACCAGCTCTTCTAAGAAATTAAATATGTTACACAAGAAGACAAATGAGGGTTGCACAATGACCATGGGTTTTATTTTCTGTGTTCAGTGATTTTTTAATTTCACTAGTGGCCTCTGCATACAGTAAAATTACTCACTCAATTATCTGAATTTTGATTTAGATTATGGTCCCTAAACAATTAAGAAATTTAGAAAGTGCCCTATGTTAATACCATAGAACACAATCACTATTGAAAATAAGCACTGATTGTGACACTGCACTCCAGTGTGGGCAACAGAGTGAGACTGTCTCAATACAAAAAACAAACAACAACAACAAAAAAAAAAGGAAAGAAAAAGAGAAAATAAGCATTTGTCAGAAAAATATGACATCTTGAAACTTTTTATCTTAACTCTGTAGATACAAATATTTTTCCATTTTATCTGATACAAGAACCAGTTTATAAAGCAAATTTAGGAAGTTACAATTACTTTGCCGTTTAAAAAAATCTATATCCTTGCATGAGCTAAAATATCATTTTGCATTTCTATTTCTCACTGGGGAAAATCTCCAGATTTTCACACCACAAAGAGCCATCTTTTACCCAAAATGTACCCCCCAAATTTAATCAATCGGAGAGTTTGCCTTGATTTGGAATACAGAGTTATTAAAATATACTTCTCTCATTTTTCTCTTACTGAGTACTATTACACTCATCTATATCTTGATTAAAAGTCTAAAATACAGGCCAGGCGCAGTGGCTCACACCTGTAATCCCAGTACTTTGGGAGCCTGAGGCAGGCGGATCACCAGGGCAGGAGATCAAGACCATCCTGGCTAACACGGTGAAACCCCATCTCTACTAAAAATACAAAAAATTAGTCGGGCATGGTGGTGGGCGCCTGTAGTCCTAGCTACTTGGGAGGCTGAGGCAGGAGAATGGTGTGAACCTGGGAGGCGGAGCTTGCAGTGAGCCGAGATCACACCACTGCATTCCAGCCTGGGTGACAAAGGGAGACTCCGTCTCAAAAGAAAAAAAAAAGTCTAAATATAAAGTGTTCTTTAAAGATTTTTGGCTGAGCACAATAACTCATGCCTGCAATCCAAAGGCTATGGGAGACTGAGGTGGGAAGATCACTTGAAACCAGGAGTTCCAGACCAGCCTATGCAACAAAGTGAGTCTCCTATCTCTACAAAAAGTAAAATACAGATTTGTTGAGGCACACCTGTAGTCTTAGCTGCTCGGGAAGCTGAGGCAGGGGGATCCCTTGAGCCCAGGAGTTTGAGGGTGCACTGAGCTGGGATTCCACCACTGCACTCCAATCTGGGCGACCGAGTGAGACACTGTCTCCTAATAAGTAAATAAATAAATAAATAAAAACATTTTAAGATTTTTTATGGCTAGGTATTGTGGCTCACACCTCTAATCTTAGCACTTTATGAGACCAAGGCAGGCAGATCGCTTGAGCCCAGGAGTTTAAGACCAGCCTGGGCAACATGGAAGGATCCCATCTTAAAAAAATAAAATTTAAAAAATAAGAGTTTTTATGACCACTAATTGTTGGCATGATATAAATTCACATGTTTGTTCTTTAGCTTATAATTCAGCAGAAATGATTAGAATTTTCCTTTCACTCATCCAAAAGCTTTTGAGAGATAGAATGTTTTTAAAAATAAGAATACTGCGGCCAGGCGCGGTGGCTCACGCCTGTAATCCCAGCACTTTGGGAGGCCGAGGTGCGCAGATCACGAGGTCAGGAGATCGGGACTATCCTGGCTAACACGGTAAAACCGCGTCTCTACTTAAAAATACAAAAAAATTAGCGGGGCATGGTGGTGGGCGCCTATAGTCCCAGCTACTCGGGAGGCTGAGGCAGAAGAACGGCTTGAACCCCTGAGGCGGAGCTTGCAGTGAGCCGAGATTGCGCCACTGCACTCAGCCTGGGCGACAGAGCAAGTCTCCATTTCAAAAAATAAACAAATAAATAAATAAGAATACTGATTACATTTTTATTAATAAATTTGTATTAATTTGTTTTGCATAGTTATATGGATTTCATTTTTCCTTATCAGAACGTAATATTTATCTTTTAATTAAATGTCATATAACTTAATTCAGTGATATTTTTTCACTTAAAAATATCCTTTTTCAACATGAAAACCATAAGATTCTGTCCCTTCAAGACTAATTCAATTAAGCTATGTAATATATTTCTGAAAGATAATAAGTATAATTAGTGACTTGGCTCTCTTTTCAAACACTGAAGTTTTAAGATGTCTTTTTTTTTTTGAGATGGCGTCTCCTCTGCCGCCCAGGCTGGAGTGCAGTGGCGCGATCTTGGCTCACTGCAAGAAGCTCCGCCTTCCGGGTTCACGCCATTCTCCTGCCTCAGCCTCCCGAGAAGCTGGGACTACATGCGCCCGCCACCACGGCCGGCTAATTTTGTTGTTGTATTTTTAGTAGAGACAGGGTTTTACCGTGTTAGCCAGGATGGTCTCGATTTCCTGACCTCATGATCCGCCCACCTCGGCCTCCCAAAGTGCTGGGATTACAGGCGTGAGCCACCAGGCCCGGCCAAGACGTCATTTTTTTTTTCTGACAATTATTACCTTTTCACCTGGCGTAGAGAGAATCTTTCTTAAAGATCATTATATGTAAAACATTATCAGTTTTGTTTTTAATTTTACTTAACTTCTCCCTACACCCATAAAGCAGTCTTTGATATTTTTTATTTTAGGTTTTTATAAGCACTTACCAATTTCTTGGATTTAAACAAAATAGAAACTATCTAATTTGAAATATCTTACAACCTTTATTTTCTAACACCTCCAATTCAAAGATGCTGTCTGAAGGAAATTATTTTTCTTTGTCATCCATGGAGTATACATAGCACTAATCCTTGGGGGAATTAACAACTTTGGCAAGCATACTATTCATTACTAGAAAGGCTGGAGTCTCTACTAGGGTCTTTGAATTCTCTTAGAATTTCAATTCTCAATTCATATGGGTTTGGACTTAAGAAAAAAATATATTCAAACAATGAAAAAATATTAAATTTGGTGGCAAGTTGGAGATAATATGGAATCTCTTCTTTCATGGAAAGGAAAGGGGTAACAGAAACTGCTATCTGTCCTTCACTATCCATTCTATCCTTATCCCATACAACTGAAAGTATAGCCTGTCACATGACTAGCCAGCTACACCATATTTCCCAGCATCCTTTGCAGTTAGATATGGCCACGTGACTTGGTCTTTTCAGTAAAATGCAAGCAGATGTGATGTCTGCCACTTGTAGTTCAACACCCTAAGACCAGACTGTGTCCCCTCCATTTGCTCTTCCTCATTCCTGCTGGTTACAACCCAGTTTTAATAAAAAAGATGAGTATAATACACTAGAGGGGAAGAAAGACAAGATGAAAAGAACCTGGGCTCTTGAATTGTGGAGTAGAGTTCTTCACTGACTTCTGTTCTAGCTACTTCATGTTTGGGAGCTCTCCATCATGGCAGTTTAACCTACTCTAAGCCCTAATGTTAGATTTTTCTCAGCAAGATAGAGCTTTAACAGTGTTCCCTGCTGGTTAGAAACACGTGGCAGAGGCAGGTGAGACTCCTGACTGATAATCAATCGTAGTAAAACTTAATTCCTTTCATTGCCTCATACATTGGCTCATACTATCCTTAGTGCTCTACTTTCAGCTCAGTTTATCCAAATCACATCACAGCCTCAGCTGTTCATTTCAATGAGGCAAGACTGTAAATCTTTGATTAAATAAGAAATCTAGCCCAAGTCTTATTTTTTCTTACTTCACGCATGGAGGAGAAGGGAGAAGTGTCCATGACCCTTTTTGTATTCACAAGTATTTATACGTTTTGAAAAACACAAATGTCCATTTAAATATTTTTGCCAGAACAATATGCTATTAATTAAATCAACCAATCAGAACTTACAAATCTTCTAGAGGTTAAGGAACACTTTCACAGGATATAGCAATAGTATCTAAGTTCTAGTGACTTTTCAGACTACCTAGTTAAACAGAACATATACAGAAACAGTTTTATCATGCAGGATTCCATCTGCCTTTCTCTACAACAATAAGGGAAGGAGGAATATTTTCTCTTATGTTATAGAGACTTTTTGTACCAACAGTTAGAAGAGCCTAGAGTTTCAAAGTCATGCAGTAAAGTTCCATTAGTAAACTTGGCCTGGGGAGACCAAAATTTACAATAGATAAGACAGAATAGGATTATTAGCAAGTGGAATACATAGCATGTAATATTTTACATCTATTTATCAATAGTTGATATAGGGTTGCTACTACAGGATGGATTTGAAAGGAAACTCGTTATAAGGATTACATGAAAGAGAAGAAATATTCAGGGAAAAGGCCAGGCGCAGTGGCTCACACCTGTAATCCCAGCACTTTGGGAGGCCAAGGCGGGCGGATCACGAGGTCAGGAGTTCAAGACCAGCCCGGCCAACACTGTGAAACCCTGTCTCTACTAAAAATACAAAATTAGCCGGGCGTGGTGGTGGGCACCTGTAATCCCAGCTACTTGGGAGGCTGAGGCAGGAGAATCACTTGAACCTGGGAGGCAGAGGTTGCAGTGAGCCGAGATCGCGCCATTGCACTCCAGCCTGGGCAACAAGAACAAAACTCCATCAAAAAAATATATATATATATTTGGGGAAATTATGAAAAATTGATATCAAAATATAGATAAATGCAGAGCACTATTGACATAAGAGGCAAACATCAGTAAAGCAATAGAATATAGGAAAAAAGAGAGAAATTTAGACTATGATACAGGAAGTTTCAAATTTGTGGAGAATGAGTGAACCATAAAATAAGAGAACTTGGGACATTTGGCAATCCACTATTTTCATAAGGTTAGTTCCTACCTAACGCCATACCCCAAAGTAAATTCCATGTGAATTTTAAAAACATCAAAAGAGAGTAAATTATTACAAGAAAATATAAAGGTACCACTTTTATACTTCCAGCAGTACAACAAACTAGGTACTTCGAAGTACTCTCCACTACAGTAAACAAACATGTTGCTACTACAATACCATCTGCAATACCAAAAAGTAAGGGAAGTCAGTAAGTATTGGTGACAAAGTAAGTAAGGAACTAAGTATAAGGAACTAAGTGTGAATGGTCCCAGTAAGCCAATGATCAAGAAGACCTTTCATGGACCAAATAAATGCCTGTTCTAGAGCTAGAACATACAGACTAAGCCCAGGACCATCTGCTAGACTGAGGCATCGAACTCCAGACTTGGCATTGGCTAGGGTCCCTTTAGCTAGAGCTAAGGTCATCTTAGGTGAGACGCACCCACCTTGACTCCTGGAATAAGCAAACTACAAATTATCTATGGGGAACAGCCATCCCAGTTGAGGCCCTCAAAGTTCCCACAGATTAACTTCCATCAGGTATAAGTTCACAATCAGAAACCATTTCACTCAGAAGAAAACAAACACACCATGAGTGAGAACCAGCAGAAAGAATGACTGCAGATTTAGTTACCCGGGGATTTCATATACTGGACTTAGATACGGAAATCAAAATAACTATCTGTCAAAGCTTAAAAAAAATGAAAGATGGAATCCAAAAAAATCAATAAAGAACAAGAGATTTAATTCCCAAGAAGTTTCAAAAAGAACTCAACAGAACTTTTAGATATAAAAATTGAATAGAATTCCACTTCTGGCCGTGACAAAGTAACTATTATCAGACCAGCCCTCCTGCTATAAACAACTTAAAAAATGAAACAAAATATGGAAGGACTGTGTTCAGACATTGTATCACAGCCATCAGAGGACTGTGGCCCCTGAAAAGGGGTAAGCCAGTGAAATGAGCCCTACAACCACCCCAGCCTTCTTCCCAGAGGCAGTTTCTAGACCGCAGAGCAGAAGAGGGGACACGAGCAGAGCACAGTGACTTCATTGTGCTTGGGAGAAACAAAACCAAGTCCAGGAAAGGGAAGGGGACTGAAATATACAGGAAGAAGTGTGAGAGAGAAGGCAGCATGCGGAGCAAAGGCTCCAGAAATGTGCATAGGGGATTTGTACATGTTTCCTATTGCTGCTGTGTCAAGTCACCACAAACTCAATAACAACATAAGTTTATTATATCATAGTTCCGGAGGTCAGAAGTCCAACCTCCATGGACTAAAGTAAAAGTCTCAGCAGGACTGGTTCCTTCTGGAGGCTTTGGGGGTTCATCTATTCCTTGCCTCTTCAGCTTCTAGCAGCTTCTGGCATTCCTTGGCTCATGACTGCATCACTAAAACCTCTATTCCTGTTACCACATTGCTTTCTCCAGCTTTGACCTTCTTGTCTCTTATCACAAGGAGCTTGTGATTACATTGAGCCCATCCAGATGATCTAAGATCATCTCCCCATTTTAAGATTCTTTTTTTTTTTTGAGACAGAGTCTTGCTCTGTCACCCAGGCTGGAGTGCAATGGCATGATCTCGGCTCACTGCAACCTCTGCTTCCCGGGTTCAAGTGATTCTCCTGCCTCAGCCTCCCTAGTAGCTCGGATTACAGGCACGTGCCACCATGCCTGGCTAATTTTTGTATTTTTAGTAGAGACGGGGTTTCACCATGTTGGCCAGGCTGACCTTGAACTCCTGACCTCAAGTGATCTGCCCACCTCAGCCTCCCAAAGTGCTGGGATTACAGGCCTGAGCCACCGCACCTGGCCATTTTAAGATTCTTAATAACTTCTGCAAAGTTGCTTTTGCTATGTAAAGTAATATATTCAAAAGTTCTGGGGATTAAGATGTGAATATCTTTCAGGAACCATTATTCTGTCCTCTGCAGGGTTCCTTGAGTCTCTGTCTGAATACTAAGCTCCACAGCACAAGGTAAGACTCAAGGAATCAAAGAAAAGTGCAGTTTATGGCAAACTATAAGCTTATAAAGTGAACCAAGCTCTCACAGGACTTTAGAGACAATCTAGTTCCCATTAGCCAGAGTGAAGAAACCTTGTTGAATACCTAGGCAATTTAGCAGAAACCCCAGAAAGGCAACACCTGAGGAATATGATGAAGCAAGCCCTAAACGAACCTTGAAAGGCTGAAGCTGCATAACAGAACAATACCTGACTTTTTTTTTTTTTTTGAGACGGAGTCTTGCTCTGTCACACAGGCTGGAGTGCAGTGGCACGATCTTGGCTCACAGCAAGCTCTGCCTCCTGAGTTCACACCATTCTCCTGCCTCAGCCTCCCAAATAGCTGGGACTACAGGTGCCCACCACCATGCCTGACTAATTTTTTGCATTTTTAGTAGAGACGGTTTCACCATGTTAGCCAGGATGGTCTCGATCTCCTGACCTTGTGATCTGCCTGCCTTGGCCTCCCAAAGTGTTGGGATTACAGGCGTGAGCCACCATGCCCGGACAATACCTGATATTCTTTAAAGAAGACCAAAAAATCCTACTCAACAAGATACATCCATAATGTCTAGTGTCCAGTTAAAAATTACTAGACATGACAGAGCAAAAAAAAAAGTGACCCATAACTTGTAGAAAAAAATACTCAGCAAAACAGCCTCAGAAATGATAAAGATAATGGGATTTATATATAAGGACTTTAAAATAGTTAAAAGTATATATACTTTTTACTTATTTATTAAATAATAAATAGTTATGTTTGCATCCATAATAGAATGACTTATCCTCCCACTATAAACAACCAGAAAAACAGGACAAATATATGAGACAATTGTTTTAAGACATTTAATAGCAGGCAAATTAGGGCTGTAATCATGGAGGAAAAGAAAATAAATTAGATAAGTTTATGATAAGGTTTCTGCCTGAAGGCAACTGGGAGCCCAGGAACAAGGGACCCAAATAGCCCCCAGTGGACTCTCTGAATTGAGGAGACAGAAATCAGGATATAGGGAGGCTGAGACAGCTACAAGTTACTGCACAGAGTTCTAGAGAGGTGGGACCAGTGCAGAAAAAATATTTCAAGTAATCTGCATATGGGCTGTGCGAGGTGGTTCACATCTGTAATCCCATCACTTTGAGAGGCTGAGGCAGGCGGATCACTTGACAAGGTCAGGAGTTTGAGACCAGCCTGTCCAACATGGTGAAACCCCATCTTTTCTAAAAATACAAAAATTAGCCAGGCATGGTGGCAGGCGCCTGTAATCCCATTCACTTGGGAGGCTGAGACAGGATAATCTCTTGAACCCGGGAGGCAGAGGTCGCAGTGAGCCAAGATTGTGCCACTGCACTCCAGCCTGGGTGACAGAGCGAGACTCTGTCTCAAAAAAAAAAAAAAAAAAATCTGCATATGGATGTCCTTGAGTCATTGAAGAGTACTGGCTGGAGGCAAGGGAAACAGGGTGAAACTCCATGAGGACAGGCAGGCACTGGAGAGCTGAACAAGTCTCAGACCTCCCAAAGCAGGAAGATATTTGAGTTCTAATCACCCTAAGTAAAAAAGTGCTCAGTGATCAGTCTTTCAGTAGAGAGCACAGAACAGTTGCACGTTGGCAGTAGTGCTGACCTATCCCCTTATTGAAAGCATTTGTTAATGCCATTCCAACAATACTTAAAAACAGGCTGAAAGATGAAAGTGATTTACCAACAACTTAACTCCTTACCATGCTTGCACCAATTTAGAGGAAGACAAACAAACAACAAAATTCAAGCAGTCCACAACATAATATTCCCAATATTAGGCATCTAATTAAAATTTACGAGATTAAAACAGACATTATAACCATATTGAAGTATTTATAGGAAAACATAATGAGGGGAGAGTGGAAGATACTAAAAAAAGGGGCAAATGAAATACCTAGAGATTTTATTAAAACAATATTTGTTTCATCTGTCATAGTTGCAAAAAAAATCTGAAATAAAAATTCTACTGAACGTGATTAATAGCAGATTAGACATTGCAAAAAAAAGGATGAGTAAGCTTAAAGACATAGCAACAAAGTCTTTTCAAATGAATCATACAGAAGAAAGTCCTACACAGAACCTTGATGGCCTGCAGAACAATATCAAACAGCCTAACACAGATATAATGTGAGTCTCAGAAGAACAGGGAAGTGGGACAGAAATTTTTGAAAACATAATACTTGAAAAATTTCCAAGTTTGATGAAGACTAAAAATTCACAGATCCATAGAGCTCAATAAACCCAAGGCAGGATAAACACACACACACACACACACACACACACACACACACACACCCCTGACACAAAGGCACATCAAAATCAAATTGTAGCAAACCAGTGATAGAAATGAACCTTAAAATCACTCAAAGAAAAGATACATTATGTACCATGTAATAAAGATTAAAATGTACCACATATGAAACAAAAATAACTCAAAATGGATTACAGACCTAAATGTAAATCCTAAAACTATAAAATTTCTATAAGGAAATACAGGAGACAATCTTTTGCTTGGAGTAGACGAAGATTTATTATACAGAACCGAAAAAGCATGAAACAATTTTTAAAATTGTTAAATTGGATTTCATCAAAATTTAAAACTTTTGCTCTTCAGAAGACATTAAGAAAAAGAAAAGGCAAATTTGAAGATAATATTTGCAACACACGTGTCAGTCAAGGGATTTGTATATAGAATATATAAAGAACTCTTACTACTGAATTAAAAATGAGATAAGTTACCCAATTTAAAATAGGAAAAAGATTTGAACGGATATTTTACACAAGAATATATTATAATGGTAATAAACACATGCAAAGATGCTCAACATCATTAGTCCTTACACAGCCATAATTGGCCAAAACTAAAAAGATTCACCATCCCAAGCATAGGCAAGGGTGTGGAACAACTGGAACTCTCTTTTTTGTTTGTTTGTTTTTGAGACGGAGTCACGTTCTTGTTGCCTCGGCTGGAGTGCAATGGTGCAGTCTCGGCTCACTGCAACCTCCGCCTCCCAGGTTCAAGCGATTCTCCTGCCTCAGCTTCCCAGTTAGCTGGGATTACAGGTGCCCACCACCACACCTGGCTAATTTTTTTGTATTTTTAGTAGAGACAGGGTTTCACCATGTTGGCCAGGCTGGTCTCAAACTCTTGACTTCAGGTGATCTGCCCCGCTTGGCCTCCCAAAGTGCTGGGATTACAGGTGTGAGCATCCGCTCCCGGCAACAACGGGAACTCTCATACACTGCAGGTGGGAATATAAAATGGTACAACCACTTTGGAAAACTGGCAGTTTCTTAAAAAGTTAAGCATCTACTGCCATACAACCCAACCATTCCACTTCTAGGTATTTACCCAAAAGAAATGAAAAAATATATATCCACGTAAAAATTTGTATATGAAGCTTAATTTGTATGTATTAGCTTTATCTGTAATAGCTAAAATCTAGAAAATAACCCAACTATGTTCCATTTTTAAATTGGGTTATCGTACAGTGAACAGATACACAGATTGTGGGATTTCTGTGCAAAGGAATACTACTCAGCAATAAAAAGAAACCGCAATGTGCAATGAAATGGATGACTCTCAAGCTCATGGTGCTAAGTGACAGCAGCCAGACCAAAGAGTAGACATTGTATCATTCCATTCCTACAAAATACTGTAGTGTGCAAATTAATTTATCATAGAAAGCAGGTGATTGGTAGTCTGGGAATCAGGGTAAAGAGAGTAATGAATTGCCAAAGGACACAAAGAATCTTCCAGGGATGCTGGAAATGTTTATTATCTTGATTGTGGTAATGGTTTCATGGGCATAGACATATGTCCAAAAATAATAAAACTACATATTTTAATTATGTGCAGTTTATTGTACTTTAATTCAATAAAGTTATACCTAAAGAAGGAAGAAGTTCCAAAGAAGAGAAACTAAAGCTGCCTCTACCTACACTCCTGACGTATAGTTAAATGTATCTTAACATGTAATAACATGCAATGTAATAATACCTTGCATTATAGTTGATGTCCTTTGGGAGAGAGCCAGCCACAGAGAAATAGTAGGCTATGAAGGCCAAAATAGACATATCTACAGAAGAATATAGATGTCTACTTTAAAAAGCCCTGGTAGTTATCACTGGATTACTGTATCTATGATTGAGTGTCACATTAATGTACCATGAGCTGTTAGATATCAAAACTGTTCAGCAGAGCTTCTCTGAGACCTGAAAGGGGTTCCTTTAGAGTAAAAAACATTTTTTTAACTGAGTGTCAGAATTACTTGCAAGCAGAGTAAAGGATGAGAAGAGCTGCTTTAGTCTATGTTTTTAAAAATTAATAATGTCTTTTTTTAAATTAAAGGAAATGCTGGGAGACACGTAAGTGCTTCTGGGGTGCTGGTAATGTTTTCTTTCTTGCCCTAGGCTGTTGCTACATGATTGTCCTCTTGGTGATGACCTTTTGAGCAGTACATTACATTTTATGTGTGTGCGTGTGAATTTTTAAACTTTAGGATAAAAAAATCTTTTGCCCACAACTGCCTACATCCAAGGAATCATCCTTTCCTGCTCCTCCACACCTAATCTTTCTGATATCTTTTTTTTTTTTTTTTTGAGACGGAGTCTCACTCTGTCGCCCAGGCTGGAGTGCAGTGGCGACATCTCGGCTCACTGCAAGCTCCGCCTCCTGAGATGGTCTCCATCTCCTGACCTCGTGATCCGCCCACCGTGGACTCCCAAAGTGCTGGGATTACAGGCCTGAGCCACCGCGCCCAGCCTCTGATATCTAAAGGGTGACCAAGTCCTTTATTCTGTCTTTATAGTATTTCTCATATCTTTTCTCTCCATTCTCATAGACACCCCCTGCCCGCAAGGTCACATTCTCAATAACTCATGACCGAGATCCACATGGAAAGGAACAGGTGGTTCAAGGAGGAAGGGTGCTCTATGGCATGGAGTGGTTAGAGTTTGAGAAGGCTCCTGGAGGTCAGGCCTGCTCTGGGCTTTAAAAAACTGATGTCAACACTTTTCCAGCCATGACCTCTCCAATGCACGATTCCCTTTAACCTCGGGCACAAGGACACACCTTTCTGTTTCCCTGAATATACTATCCACGAACAACCTACAGTATGACTTAAACAGCATTTACCAGTATCTGGCTTCAGCTATTCCCATCCCTGTTCCCATTCCCACCTCCAAGCCTCGCTGCTCACTTTGGGTTCCCCGCCAAGAATACCCTCCACGTATTTACACCAAACTCATCTTTTTTTTCTTTTTTTTTTTTTAGATGAAACCTCACTCTGTCGTCCAGACTGGAGTACAGTGGCAGGGTCTTGGCTCACTGCAACCTCTGCCTCCTGGGTTCAAGTGATTCTCCTGCCTCAGCCTCCTGAGTAGCTGGGATTACAGGAACATGCCACCATGCCCAGCTAATTTTTGTATTTTGAGTAGCTGGGACTATAGGTGCGTGCCACCATGCCCAGCTAATTTTTGTATTTTTAGTAGAGATGGGGTTTCGCCATATTGGCCAGGCTGGTCTCGAACTCCTGAACTTGTGATCTGCCGGCCTAGGCCTCCCAAAGTGCTGGGATTACAGGCGTGAGCCACCGCACCTGGCCCAAACTCATCTTTAAAGGACAGGGTAAGTATGGCTGAGAAATAGGTCACAGAGCAGAATCCAGGCAGCTGGGCTCACTCAGGCCTGCACCCCATTCCTCTGTCCATGGCAAAAGAGCAGGCAGTGATCCAGCAGTTCTGATGCATGGGAACAGGAAGGTAAAAATCCTACACTCTGTCATTCAGCCTTGGCTGGAAATTGTAACCAAAGACAGAGGTGCCCATTCCCAATAGGCAGATAAAGAGGAACCTTGGAAAGAATGCAAGGGCTTAACAAAAGGACTTTGAGAGAACTATGCACCGACCAGCAATTATGCTTTGCTAGATAAAAGTAAAATCTAAAGAATATTTGCAAACTTTTACCTTGAAAACACTGAGAATATAAACACTAACCAGGCTGGGATGAAGGCTCCTTCTTGAAATTGTGTACTGGAGGCTTGTTTGCAAGAATTTCCCTTAAGCGATTCTGACAAAAGTTTATTGTTATCTTCCATGTTCTACCACCCATCACCTTGAGGCTATGCTTCCTATGGTTTTCAATAACTTACTATAATTTCCATTTATTGGCTACCTATTTGTCATAAGAAAATATATTTGTTAGAATAAGTCTATTGTAAGAAATTGAGGCCGGGCACGGTGGCTTATGCCTGTAATCCCAGCACTTTGGGAGGCCGAGGCGGGTGGATCACCTGAGGTCAGGAATTCAAGACCAGCCTGGCCAACATGGTGAAACGCCGTCTCTACTAAAAATACAAAAATTAGCCAGGCGTAGTGGTGGGTGCCTGTAATCCCAGCTATTCAGGAGGCTGGGGCAGGGAGAATTGTTTGAACCTGGGAGGTGGAGGTTGCAGTGAGCCAATGTCGCACCACTGCACTCCAGCGTAGGTGACAGAGTGGGACTCTATCTCAAAGAGAAAAAAAAAAAGAAATTGAATGTACTCATCAAAAATCATGTAGCTCACTATCTGTCACCTGACTTTTTATTCTGGAACTTCACTGGAAGGGAAGGGCCATGGCTTCATGTGTTAGAGAACCTGAAGAGCATGTGTCTTAGTTTTCCCCGTGCAAGTCTGTCTGTAATAAACCTGAGGCTCTAAAAGATTTGTTTCCAGAAAACAATGAGAGTTGAAATTTTCTCTGTCAGGGACTGAGGAGAAAGTCTGTTGCAATGAATGTACTGAACAAGGAACCAGGAAAGAGGTTGTGGCCCCCAAGGAAAAGAGGGTGTGACCCCGAAGAGAGGTGCGTGGCCTGTAAAAAGGGTGTGGGCTCCAAGAAGAAGGAGGTGCCTCTGCGAGTTTGTCTTCCAGGACCCTAAACATGCTCTTACTTAAAACCTTTCCATGGCTGTTTCCCAAAGGTCAAGTCTAATCACCTGACATCATGAAACAAACTCTTCCCCGCTTTGCCACAAGACCTCTCGTAGGCCCTGCGCCCCACCGCATCACTCCCCAGGCTGGATTACTGTTTCGTTTCTGGTGTGGAGATCCTACCACACTCTCTTGCCTCTCTGCAGATTCTCCTAGATTCCAGTGTTAAACTCTGCCCCCACCTCTCTACTATTCATTTCCAATTCCTCCTTCAAGAATCAGACCAGACAGGCACAGTGGCTCATGCCTACAGTGCCAGCACTTTGGGATGCCAAGACAGGAGGATCGCTTGAGCCCAGGAGTTTGAGACCAGCCTGGGGAGACCCCATCTCTACAAACATTTAATTAAAAAAAATTAGCCAGGTATGATGGCATGTGCCTGTGGTTCTAGCTACTTGGGAGGCTGAGGTGAGAGGATCGCCTGAGCCTGGGAGGTTAAGGCTGCAGCGAGCCATGGTCATGCCTGTACCCCAGCCTGGGCAACAGAGCAAGACCTTGTCTCAAACAAACAAACAAACAAAATAATAAGACCAACATTCCTGCAATCCCAGCACTTTGGAAGGCCAAGGCAGGAGGATTGCTTGAGCCCAGGAGTTCCAGGCTGCCGTGAACTATGATTGGGCCACAGCACTCCAGCCGGGGTGACTAAGTGAGACTGTTTCTTTTTAGAAAAAAAAAAAAAGCAGACCAAGCATCACCAGTATGTCTTCTGTGGAATTAAATAGAATCAGAGGCAAGAAGCATCTTTATTGTATTATAAAGGGAACACTTTTGGTTTGTGTGTACTCTTAGTTTCTGTTTTAAAATACCCACAGATTATCATATTAAGAAATAAAACTTCCAAGTTTATTTTCCCAAAATCTTAATGAAATACAGAAGTTAGAGTTCATTGAATGCCTTGTTGTACTCATTTTGGTAATAATGAAATTTTTAGTCTTTTTCCACTTAATGTTATTAATTGGGAGCTTCCCAGCTGGTGAACTGCAGAGGGGTTAAGGTATGGATGCATGAGGCTGAAGTTCTGATGCCGAGTATCTCCAGCCAGGAGCAGCTTCTTCAGTTCAACCAGCTGACTTTCCTTCAGTATTTTCTAAGTGAGCCATTACATGAAAATCTTGAGTCAAAAATTCTTGGGACTCACTGTCTTAATGGTTTGCTTTGTAGTGTGTCTGGCTTCAGGACACAAGTTAGATCCTATATAGTTAGAAAGAGAATTTTTTTATTTGTATTTATTTATTTATGTATTTATTTATTTGAGACAGAGTCTCACTCTGTCACCCAGGCTGGAGTGCAGTGGTGTGATCTTGGTTTACTGCAAGCTCCGCCTCCTGGGTTCATGCCATTCTCCTGCCTCAGCCTCCCGAGTAGCTGAGACTACAGGTGCCTGCCACCATGCCCAGCTAACTTTTGGTATTTTTAGTAGAGACGGGGTTCCACCGTGTTAGCCAAGATGGTCTCGATCTCCTGATCTCGTGATCCACCCGCCTTGGCCTCCCAAAGTGCTGGGATTACAGGCGTGAGCCACCGCACCCAGCCAATTTTTTTTTAATTTTTAAAAACTTTTGTATTCTTTACCACATCAAGCATGTGAACCCAGATAAATGTTTTTGATGCTCTATATTCTTTTGCCAATATTTTATCTAAAATAATTCAGTTCTAGTTCTTTTCTATCATTAGTCTAAAATATCTTTTTGTTATTGTTAAACTGAATTTGGGTTCAAAATCATATTTCCAGCCCAGGCAACATAGTGAGACCTGTCTCTACAAAAAAAATATTAGCTGGGCATGGTGGCATGAGCCTGTAGTCCCAGCTACTCAGGAGGTTGAGGCTGAGGTGGGAGGATCACTTGAGCCCAGGAGGTTGAGGCTGTAGTGAGCTAAGGTGATGGCACCACTGCACTCCAGCCTGGACAACAGAGTGACACCCTGTCTCAAAAAAAATCACATATGATTCATAAAAGGTGTGGAATAATATGTATTATCTCCCTATTCGATCCTTGAAATGGTTTATATAATTGTGGCTGTTATTTGCCCTATAGATCTGAAGAAGGAGGAAGACAGGGAGGAAGGAATATATAGGAAAGGAGGGAGGGAGGAGGGAGGAATAAGGCCCCAGGTGCTGCCTCTAGAGTAAAATGTGTTCACTGGGTGCAGAGACCATGAAAAGGTGTCCCTTTAGGGAGGGTGGGACATGAGAAAAGTGTGGGGCTTGGGAGGGTAGGACTGAAACCACCTGGGGGTAGAACTGTGGCTTGGGTGGAGGGCGACTGAAATAACCAAAGGCTGGTGACACTCAGATAGCCACACTGTTTTCCACCAGGCTGGGCCGCAGGTATTCATAGGGCATGTCCCGTGTAGCATTCCAGATCTCAGTTCCTCATCCAGGGCAGCCAGCTCCTCCCTGAACTTCTTCAGCACAGCCTTAGGCCGAGGGCCCGAAAAATACTCCTTCTTATGCTGGCTCACAGCCACCTGGGATGGAGAGGAAAAAACAGCTGAGAGCCTTATGACCCCCAGTTTGGGGTGCCACATGTCCCCACAGCTGCCTCCTTCCTTAGGGCCCTGGGCACTTTGCTGTCACCATAATGGGCTGGTGTCTGCTCAGCTGCCAACTGATGGACATCTGGAGAGGACATCTGGAAAGTTGGGCAGTGTTGCCATCACTGTCTCCAGCGTTGCATCCTTGGTGGTTGGCAGCCACATCGTGCAGGGTGCATTAGGGACCCAAATGTACCAATCCAGCTAAGGAAAGTCAGGAATCTATAGTCAATGTCTGCTAAGCATGAAAACCCTGTGACCCACCTGCATACAGACTCCTCCGTCACCCAGGCCCCAAATTCCCAGCTGCCCATTTCTGGTAACTACCTGGTCCAGGTGGACGAAGGAGTGTCGGCCAGTGCAGGCAAAGATACATGTGGTGACAAAGTGGCAAATCTGGTCCTGAGACTGTAAAGAGACAGGAAACCCTTCAAGGGGTGAGGAGAGTTAGAAGCTGTGAGGCCAGGAGTAGAGCAGAGCTCAGAGGCCAAGGCCAAGAGAGGAGAACAAGAAGGGTGAGAAAGAGCAGAAGGAATGCTCAGTAACTCTTGTGGGAATTACCATGACAGCAGGCTTGGGTGGGGGAGTGGGGAGCTGACTGGGAGGGTCCCACTCAGTGGGGCACTGGTGCTGACTCATACTGGCTCACAAGAGTCAGTCAATGATGTTAAGGTTTTTAGTGAGCTGGCCAACATCACCTTGGTAGCCACAGTAGGAATATTTGTGCCATGGAAATGTGCAAATGTTACAAATTGGGACCTTTTTTTTCCCTGAGAGTCAGTTATTAAACATTTATGAGCAACCACTGGTTCCGCTGCATCTGGCATCTAAGGGGTTCTCAATGCATAGGATGGGGACCTGTCTCCAGCTGGGAGGGAATAGAATCTGAGAAGGCCTTTGGAGTTTTCATAGGTATTGGAAATGCTTCTGGAAGATTTCATAGAAGCACAGAGGATTCTGGGGAGGTCTCTTGCAGTTTTGTGTCTGAGATTTCAGGGCAGGAGCTCCTCTTACCTCGGTCCTGGGCAGCCGGATTTCAATGATCTCTCGACACCAGGTCTGCAGCTCTGGGTCACTGTTCACAGCCACGTCTGTCTTACAGTGGAGACTCACGATTCCTTCCACATACTGGCCAGCCAATGGGGCAGGGCCAGGGTGTTGAAGCCAGCTCTGCCCCTGTTCACATGGCCATGTCAGGGCCCCAGGCCCACAACCAGACACAGACCTCCTGCTCTCCTAGATTTCTTCTCCACCCCCACTGGCCTTCCCGCTTGCCTCACCGAGAGATGATTTCCCGGAGCTGCAGTGCATCTTGGCAAAGAAGGAAGACTTGACTCCCAGGAGGCCCTGGACAGCCAAGTCATCAGGGGAACAGAAGGAGCTATAGGTTAGAAAGGCTCCAGCTCGCTTGAGCAGCTCCACATGGCTTCCCCACCAGTGCTCACCACCTGAGAAGCAAGGATGGGCAGGGTCAGGCGAATTGACCAGCCCTGAGTCCAGAGTCAGAAAGAAGAGTGACCCAGAATCTCCCTTTCTCTCCCCATACCTGGTTGAAAACTTCCTGTTGGAGACCAGCCCAGTTCTGGCCCAGATGTTAATTTCCATGGTGTATTGCAGGTGGGGAATTATAAGCTAGAGGCAAAAAAAGCAGGGAAGGGCAAAGTCAGAAGACAGCTGCACAGGTCCCTGCAGGAAATAGGGGCTGACAAACAGGAAAGATACCAGGTCTTCAGAAAAATCACAGACTTAAAGTTCAGTGACCTCTCAACAGTGAGTTTTCAGAAGTACCATTTGACCCAGCAATCCCACTACTGGATATATACCCAAATGAATAGAAATTGTTCTACCATAAAGACACATGCATGTGTATGTTCATCACAGCACTATTCACAACAGCAAAGACATGGAATCAAATCTAAATGCCTATCTACAATAGACTGCGTAAAGAAAATGTGGTGCGTATACACCATGGAACACTATGCAGCCATAGAAAAGAACAAGCAATATGGATGGAGGTGGAGGCCATCATCCTAAATGGACTGACACAGGAACAGAAAGCCAAATATGGCATGTTCTCACTTATAAGTGGGAGCTAAACATTGAATACACATGGACATAAAGAAGGGAACAACAGACACTAGCATCTATCTGAAGGTGGAGGGTGGGAGGAGGGAAGGATCCCAAAACTACCTATCGGGTACCATGCTTATTACCTGCGTAACAAAATAATCTGTACACCAAACTCCTGTGACACATAATTTACTGATATAACAAACTGCACATGTACCCCGAACCTAAAAGTTAAAAATAAGTACATAAATATAAATAAAAATAAACGACCAAGTTTTCAGTTGATTTGCACTGACTAACGTGTTCCACAAACCACTGACTTAGTGCTTTATGATAATTGAAAGAAATCATTCTCCTTTGCTTTTCATATTTTTTTCCACAGGTCTAGACCAAAGTTTCTCAACTTTTTTTTCATTATCATTCTGTAAGTAGTCTTTTTTTTTTTTTTTTTAGATGGAGTCTCGCTGTTGTTGCCCAGGCTGGAGTGCAAAGGTACGATCTCAGCTCACTGCAACTTCCACCTCCTGGTTTCAAGTTATCCTCACCTTCTTCAGCCGCTGGTCTCCAACACAGAAGTTTTCGATGAGGTATGGGGAGAGTAAGGGAGATTCTGCGTCACTCTTCTTTCTGACTGTGGAGGCAGGGCAGGTTGATTTGCCTGACCTTACCCATCCTTCAAAGAACCAAAAGAAGCCGAGTTCATTCCCACCTCGATCCTGCACAAGCTGTTGCCTCTGCTTGGAACACTGTGCCCCTTTGATCATTTCAAGGTTAGCTTCTGACAGTCGCATTCTCGATGTCATCTCCTTCAAGGGAGCCTTTTCTGACCACCCAATCTAAACTTGCCATCACGTCACTCTGCTTTGATTCTCTGCATCGTACCTACCACAGCTGATATGTTACAATACAGTCTGTGTTGCCTGTTTGCCCTTGCTGGAAATGAAAGTCTCAAAAGATCAGGACTTTGACTATCTTGCTTACTGCTAGCGTCTAGAATGGTTCTTGTCACACAGGAGGCTCCCAATACATATTTTTAATAAGTAAATACTTCGCTCTAATGGTCTGTAATAAACCAGGTGACTGTTGTTTTCTGAGCCCCTCTAACTGGCCAGTATCACTATTTTAGAACTGATAAATGACTGGCTGGAAAAAAGTCTTTGTATATTATTTGCATAGTTTCTTCTTATTGGATGGAATCCTTGGTCATTTGCATGTACTGTTTATGTACTGTACCAATATCTGTGCTTTGCACATAAAAAGAGTAAGATTTTTTTCCCTACTTTCCCCAAGAATGATTTTACCCCTCCCCTCAAGAAAGGTGCTATGCACGGCCAGCCATGCTTGCACTCTTTTGCTCTCACATCTTCTATTCCTTGATTCTCTCCAAACTCTGAAACTCCACAGAGAGGGAGCCTCCAGAGGTGGGAATGTGGCCTGGGGCAGAGATAGAGGCCTGCAGGAGGGAAGGGAATAAGGTGTTACCTTGAAGACAGGATGTATTGAAAGCACCTCATGGTGGCCACAAAAGTGACCTCAGCCATCAAGTGTCCCCTCAGAGGATGAGGCTGCAGCTCACGGAGCTGGAAGTCAGAGCTATGGACCCAGCATTTGGCCAGAAGCCAGACCATTGCAGGATCCATGGGCAAGAAAAGGGGAAGTGGCTGGGATCCTACGTTGGAGCTGGAGCAGGAACAAGGTGTAGGGAGAGAAGGGGTGAGTGCCAGGTGCTCAGCAACCCCCCTCCCTTGCATGTTTAACCTCTCCCTTCATCCTCCAAATGTGTTTCACTTGCTCCATGTCACTGCTGCCACTCCCTACAGCTACCCCTCCCTTTCCTATCCACTTGGTGCATTAGCACCCTGCAAGCTGCTCTGCCTCCAACATTCTGTAGAAACTGCTCTTCTAGTGCCTTCTCCAGCCTCCACTTCCCCTTTCAGTCCCTGCAGTGTGGACAAGATTCAAACTGCCTGCTTCCTTCATCCCACACTCCTTTTTCAAAATCTCATCTTTCAGCCCCATCTTTACCCAAATGACTAAATCTCTAGTTCTCAGTTGCCTGCCAGACAATTTAAATGTCTTCCGGTAATCTCAACATTGGCCAGGCGGAAGCCTATGTGAGCACCCTGTCCTCTTTATTCATGCTATTTCTGCAGGCACCTGGCCTGGCTTCCCTTTCCTTCCTCCTTGATCTCCTTCTAACCTCACATCCATCTGTCCTCTTCATCCTGATGGTCACTACCCACATCTGAGCCCACCTCCTCCTGGGGCAAGTGCTGGAGCATGTCACCCTAATACCTGTTTCTAGCATCTCCCCTCTCCAACCCATCCTAAACACAACCGCCTATACAGTGTGCCCACAGCATATTTCTGTCTTTTTTTTTTTTTCTGAGATGTAGTTTTTGTTCTGTTGCCCAGGCTGGAGTGCAGTAGCACAATCTTGGCTCACTGCAACCTCCACCTCCCAGGTTCTCCTGCCTCAGCCTTCCGAGTAGCTGGAATTACAGGCATGTGCCACCACACCTGGCTAATTTTGTATTTTTGGTAGAGACGGGGTTTCACCATGTTGACCAGGCTGGACTTGAACTCCTGACCTCAGGTGATCCATCCGCCTCGGCCTCCCAAAGTCCACAGCACATTTCATCACAGCCTTCTCCAGCTTCCCACATCACACTCCTTAGCCTGGCGTAGTCTGGCCCCCAGTCCAACTGTCCCCTAGGAATCTCCTGACTCCTCTGCCTCAGCCTCTCTGCCCAGACCGTCTTGCCCCTGAGGACAGGTCCTTTCCTTCCCTCCTGCTTGTCTGAGCCCTGGCCCTCCTTCAAGGCTCATGATACCCCACCTCCCCTGATCCCTCCTGGGCTGTCCTGTCCTCAGGGACTTCCTCAGTACCAGAGCTTCTTCAGACTGGCCCAGTCTGTCTCTCCAGCTATACTTCAAGGTGTTCGAATCACAGACTTTGCCCATTTCCTCCTTTAAGATGCAGATAGTGGGTGCCCAGTGAATTTCGATAAGGGCTGAGCTGAGAAGGCTGGATACTGGGAGCAGAAATCTCAAGTCCTCTCACCTGGATGACCATGGGCAAGAGTTTCCCAACAGACTGCAGCTTCAGCATGACTAGAGGGGCAGCCAGATGCTGCTGGCTACACAGAATGATGTTGGCCTTGATCCCATCTAGCAAGGAGAAGTCAGCTTCAAACAGTGTGCTCCCCTGGATGGGAGAAGAGGTAAAGGGCTGCTATCAGCATAAGGCATCTTCTTTCTTACTCTGATTCTTCCAGGGGAGAAGAGAGAGAAGGGAACTAACTTGTCTCCATCACCGACTTTGTACCAAGTAGGGAATCATGTGATTATTGAGATATATATATACATATATATATATCTTACTCTATATACTGAGATATATATATATATATCTATATCTTACTCTATATACTGAGATATGTATATATATATATATCTTACTCTATTGCCCAGGCTGGAGTGCAGCAGCAGGATCACCATGGCTCACTGCAGCCTTGACTTCCTTGGGCCCAGATGATCTTCGCACCTCAGCCTAGCTGGGACTATAGGTGTATGCCACCACACCAAAACTTACAGACACTAATTTTTGCATTTTTTATGGAAATAGGGTTCCACCGTGTTGACCAGGCTGGTCTTGAACTCCTGGCCTCAGGCGATCATCTCACCTCAGCCTCCCAAAGTGCTGGGATTACAGGCATGAGCCACTGTGCCTGGGCTTATAATTCTTATACATAGTTGAATGAGCCTCAGTTTCACAGAGGAGGAAACAGATAATCGGAGAGGTTGGGTATTTTGCCTGAGGTCACAGAGCTTACAAATAGCAGAACCAGGGTTCACATCCAAGCCTATCTGCCCTGTAATCCCATGCACTTCCTGTCTGTTGTTCTATATTGACTCCTGATTAACAGCCACAGCACTCTGACCTTGATTCCCTTACTCTGCACACTCCCTGAATCCCTAGCATCAAGGCCCAGTCATGTTTCTTCATTTGACCCTGTCCTATCAACCATTCCACCTTGCACACCCTCCCTCCACAGCATGTGGGGAGGAGGCTGTGCAGCTGAGCTTCTCCAGGATCCCCCAGGACTTCTGCAGAATCCCTCCTTGTTGACTGGCAGCAAGCCAGGCCCACAGTGGGTCCCGCAGCAGTACCGGTGAGGCTAGCCCAACTCATTTCACTGTTGGGCCTCCCTGGGGCTCTGATGTCCATACCTCCAGCTCCTTCTCCAGCTGGGCCTGCAGTTCCTCCATCCCTGGAGGGAACACGAGGTGGGTAGGAAGGTGAATGGAGAGCCTCAGCCCCATGGGGTTGGCACCATTAAGAAACTGGTACCCAAATAAGGCATCCTCCTTTCAGAAGTCCCACACATTCTCTGGGGAAGGCAGTTGTTGAGCAAGTTGTGGGATCTGAGTTCTTGGTCCTTCCAACCCCCACCAACCATGCCCACTTGACTCTAGCCCACCAGAGGGACCCAAGTCTCTGGTCTCCCCACCCTGGTTCTTTCAATTCCCCTGGATTGGGTGGGAGCTGGAGTAAGAGTCCTGGGAGGAGTATTGGGGTAGGGGGTCTGATCAGCTAGCTTGCCCTGGCCACACTAGAAAATCCGGTTGAAGTCATCCAGATTGTTCCAACAAGTCAGAACATTTAGAGTCTTTGATAGCGAGGTCGGCCAGGCTTCAAGGAAGGTTGGGGCAAAGGGTTTGAGCATATTTTGAGACTCCAACATTACAACCACAGGCACCTATCTTGGGCTGATCCAGCACAGTGCAGCCTATAAGCCCCTTGGCTTCCACTAGACCAGAGCACCCCCCTCCCACCCAGCCTCCCCTTGCTGTCACCCATTGGCCAGCAAAGCCTCAAAGTCAACTCTCTTGTCTTCCAGAAATCGCTCATGCACAGGAGATCACATAGTTTGGCCCCAGCCACATTCAGAATTAACCCATCCTTCCAGTTTCCCCACCAGTGGGGAAGAATGAAATCAGACACGGGTGCTGGAAGCAGCAGTTCACATGGGGTCTGGGGAGTAGGGGGTCACCGGTACAGCTTCCTTCTCTCTTCCAGCTCCTCTTCCCTGTGTTTCTTTCTTTATTTTCTTTTCTTTTCTTTTTTTTTTTTTGAGATGGAGTCTTGCTCAGTCGCCCAGGCTAGGGTGCAGTGGCACGATCTCGGCTCACTGCAAGCTCTGCCTCCTGGGTTCACACCATTCTCCTGCCTCAGCCTCCCAAGTAGCTGGGACTACAGGTGCCCGCCACCGCACCCGGCTAATTTTTTTGTATTTTTAGTAGAGACGGGGTTTCACTGTGTTAGCCAAGATGGTCTCGATCTCCTGACCTTTTGATCCGCTCGTCTGGGCCTCCCAAAGTGCTGGGATTACAGTTGTGAGCCACCGCGCCCGGCCTTCCCTGTGTTTCTTGAACAGGCCTTGAGAGTCCTCGGCCACAGTGCAGCCTAGAGTAGAGTGCAGTAGAGAGGAGGGATTGGGCAATGGCTTTTTCTGAGAGCCTCTTCTCGTCCCTGCCAAGAGAGCTTCATCACCCTGTCCTTCTGTGTGGCCCCTGCCCCTTCGGCACCACGCCCCACCCCCAGCCTCCACGCCACTCTGTGCCAGCTCCCGCAACCGCTTCTTCAACAACCTCCAAAGACCCCTGCGCTCCAGGTTCCAGCACCCCCATCCTCCACATCCGCATGCACCCCAGCTTCTCTTGCACTCCAGACGCCTCTTCACACTTTCACGCTTTCAGCCCCGCTCTCACCAGTGCCTTCCGGTACGCTCAGGACGCCGTTGCCCTCCACCCAGAGGTAACAAGGGAACTTCACTTCCTCACCGGATCCGGGGCCCTGCACGGAGATCCAGTTGCAGAACCAGGAGGCGTCCAGAAGGAGATGCCGTTTGCGCAGTTTCCCAAACAGCAGCGGCCCCAGGTGCTCCGGTACTTGAACCTTGAATTCTACTTCCCGCGGGAGACAGAGGAGGCTCAGCCACCGTGGGGCCACAGCTGCACCTAGTTGTTGGAGCTGGCACAGGGTGAGGCCCCGGTGGACACCCGGACGCAGTAGAGACCAATCTTGCTCAAAGACGTTTCGCTCCTTCTGGTGGGGAAGAAGGGTGGACGAGCTAACTCGCTGAGCCTGAGACCCTGCCCTCTCAGAATTCGCTTGGGGTCAGAAAGTGGGTGGCAGGTCTCCAACCAACTCCGCCTGGCTACCCGCTGGGGCTTCCAGGAGCTACCCGCTGGAGCTCCAAGGAGCAGAACTCAGCCCCATGCCAAAAAGGAGTCCCGGCGGAAGCAGGGAGTGGAAACCATTACTTTGATTGGTGGGAGAAGCAGAAAAGGATTTGGACAGAAAATACGCAGGAAGAAGGAATCAACGCCTCGTACAGGAGGCAGGTGAGGTGGGGGCAGGAGTTATGCACCAGTGTAAGATGGAGTTTCAGGCAAGCCTGGATGGCTAGGAAATCCCCCTCCATCTAAACGTGCGCGTGTGCGCGCGCGTCTCACAAGTTGGGCTACAGGAGGGGGTGAAGTGGGAGAGGAGACCCAGTCTTCAGTGACATTTGAGGAAGACACATTAAGGCCACTGAATTCATTGGACCAACTTTGCTTACTTGCCTTCCCTGTGCCAGGCTCTGGGATTCATTCCTTTTGAATGTAAACGCCTCTGCCTCCCTATTGCCTGCGGAATAAAAATCCAAATTTGGGGGCATTCAATGCCCTTGCTAACCCGACCAGACCTCCTTGCCCCTCATCCCACTGCACCAGGGCATCTTCTGCTGCTTCACTTTGGGCTGGAGCCATGTGTTCCCTGGAACCCACGCGTCTTTCCCTCAAAGAACCTGCTCCTGGGTAAGCCTATTCATCCTTCTAAACCCTGATTCCAGTTTTTCAGCTAAGTCTTTCCTGGTTATTCCACCCCTGTCACCTCACCAGAGCTGGTCAGCTTTCCTTTCTACCACTTTTCTCTTTGTGCACACTTCTATTGTTGCACACTTAATCCTGCGCTGTGATCTTTTGTTTGTATGTCTGTATCCCCCACTAATGCGAGTTTGTCCTAGGCAGGGACTACACACCCAGCAGGACTCTCACTTTTGTTTCCCCTGGATTTAGCACAGTATCAGGGCTTGTGGGTGTCAATCAGTGTTTGCCAAAACACATTGAGCTGAAAACTTCATGATAAATAAATCCTTCCCTTGGGAGAGACACAGCTAAACAAATAACTCTCCGGCAATGTAAACAATAGGGGAATAGTAAAATAAACTCCAAGGCATGGACTGCAGTCAGCCTGGTAAGACAAATAAAGTTTATGAAAATATGTGTCTGATGCACTTTTTCTGGTTTGCATAATTTTTTTAGTAGGAAGTACATCACATGATTCAAAATTCAGAAGATACAACGTGGTATTCACTAGTTTCTCCCTCCTCTTGGCCCCAAGCCACCCAGTTTCTCCACCCCTAGCAATCACTGTTACCAGTCTTCTCTGTGCACTACTATTACTGAGCAAACACTGCCTATTTTTGGTCCTTTTCCTGCACATTTTAGCATATTCCTTACACATTCTTCTGCACCTTACTTTTTCCATATTGCAACATAAGTCAGGTCATTCCATACCCGCACATAAAGAGCTTCCTTGTTCTTCGTTAAGGCTGCCATCGTTTTGCTGTAGCGTAATAAATTCTACTAATCTGTTGTAAGTGGACACTTACGTTCTTAGCAATCTTTTGTAACTATGAAAAAATGCTGAAAGAAATAAACCAGTGTATACAGCATTTCTCATATGAAAGCATATCTGTAGAACAAAATCCTAGAGATGGAATTTCTGGACCAAAAGCATATCTAATTTTGGCAGAAATTGCCCTCCACAGGAAGTTGTACCAGTTTATACTTCAGTAGTGGACTGTGTATGAGAATGCCTGTTCTTTCTCACTCTTGCCAATGGTGTGTTAATAACCATTATTACCTTAGCCAATCAAATAGGTGAAAAGTGGTACCCTGGTTTTAATTTTAATTTGCACTGCCCTTATTATAAGTAAGATTGAGCATCTTTTTATATTGTAGGAAATTTGTATTTCCTTCTGTGTGAACTGGCTATTCCATTTATCCATTGGGCTTTGGGCATTTTCTTTTTCTTTTTCTTCTTTTTTTTTGAGACAAGATCTTGCCGTGTCACTGGAGTGCAGGGGTACAATTATAGCTCAAACTCCTGGGTTCAAGTGATCCTCCTCCTTCAGCCTCCCAAGTAGCAAGGACTACAGATGTATATGCCACCATACCTAGCTAATTACAAAATTTTTTTTTAGTAGAGACAGGGTCTTGCTCTGTTGAGCAGGATGGTCTTGAATCCCTGACCTTAAACAATCCTCCTGCCTCAGCCTCCCAAAGCACTGGAATTACAGGTATGGGCCACCACATCCGGCCTTGGTCATCTTCTTATTTATTTGTAGGAACTATTTATATAGTAGGAACATTAGCCCTCTTACAGCTCTATCACTACTAAGAGGTGCCCAATAGCAACAAGGTCCTTTTTATCATCGTCAATTCCTTAGAGCCTAGATTTTGGTCTATAATATAATTCTCCACTAAAAAAAAAAACCTGGGCTCTTGGAGGGTGGCTGATTCTGTGTTTGGGGGCAGGTAAAACACAAGATAAGCCCGGAACATACCGATGTTGCTAAAAAGTAAGGGTGCTGAGGTAGCACAATCTTATAAAAAAAGATAGCTCTTTGAGAGAAACTACAAGCATCAGAGCCCCAACCCCGAAGTAATCTGCTGAGAAGCCCAAGTCTATAGCCTTGGTTGATCTGAGGATTGAGGATATTAGGTGATTTGGGTGGGGGTAGGGTCTGATAAGATTTTAGTAACACAAGGAAACATCAAAAGAAATAGTTTAGCAAATAAGAAAGTATCTTATACCTAGGGAAAAACACAAATAAAAACCAATGAAGTAATAAATCCATCATGTTGGTGTTTTAAGATAGATATAAGGATAATTATAGTAAGTCCTGTAATCATTGCATTTGTGTTTATTTTGTGTACTTTAAAAAGTATATTCAGGCTGGGCGCGGTGGCTCACGCCTGTAATCCCAGCACTTTGGGAGAATAAGGCGGGCGGATCACGAGGTCAGGAGATGGAGACCATCCTGGCTAACACGGTGAAACCCCGTCTCTACTGAAAATACAAAAAATTAGCCAGGCATGGTGGCAGACACCTGTAGTCCCGACTACTTGGGAGGCTGAGGCAGGAGAATGGCATGAACCCGGAAGGTGGAGCTTGCAGTAAGCCGAGATCGCACCACTGCACTCCAGCCTGGGCGACTGAGCAAGACTCCGTCTCAAAAACAAAAAAAAAAAGTACATTCAAAAGAATCATATTAAATTTGTAATTACAGTTTAAATGGAAAGGAATTTAATGAAGTTTGTAATCAATCTTTGAATATTAAAAAAGTTTCAAAATGTTGTATACAGTATATGTTTAATAAATTGAGCATTAAACAAAACATGAATATTTGTGGGGTGTTCTCTCCATAGACAAAAATATCCTCAAACATTAAAAACTTTTTCAACAGTGAGCATGATCTCTGTCAACAATAAGGATAGGTAAATACTTGAAAATGTGTACACTCAAGTATTAGCAATGATTATCTCTAGAGAGTGGAGAGGAAGTATGGAAGGGATTTTCATGTTTGATATATTTTGGAATTTTAAAACATTTTTAAAGAAGCATGACTTATTTGGGTAATCTCAAAAACTTTATCTTGAATAAAATACAAGGCTATAAATGCTATTATGAAAACATTCACTATAATCAAGTGTGGTTATATGGGAAGCCCCAACATTCAAGTGCAAGTTTTCTTTTATAAATGAAATTCAGAAAAATCAAAATGTAATGTATAAAATTCATCTTCTATAGAAACGGCACAAACCCAATAATTTTCTTACAGATTAAAAATGTGATTGAAGAGTTGGGAAGACCTCCAAAAGTAATTCACAGTAACTTGTGCTTTGGCACTCCACTGATGGGAGTGAGAGGTGGGAGGTGGGGAGGGGGCTGGCAGATGGGGATGGTTTTGGGATGAAACTGTTCCACCTCAGGGGCCAGGCATGGTGGCTAATGCCTGTAATCCCAGCACTTTGGGAGGCTGAGGCAGGTGGATCATTTGAGGTCAGGAATTTGAGACCAGCCTGGCCAACATGGTGAAACTCTGTCTCTACTAAAAATAAAAAAATTAGCTGGGCGTGGTGGCACGTGCCTAGTGGCAGCTACTCGGGAGGTTGAGGCAGATGGGGTTATTTCTAAACAGAACTTGTCTCTAATTCGAATGTAACAGAAATGTATTTGATAATCAGTATATATATTTTTTTGCTCTGTCTATAAAGTAGCCATTCTTTATCTCTTTACTTTCTTAATAAACTTGTTTTCACTTTACTCCATGAACTCACCCTGAATTACTTCTTGTGAGAGATCCAAGAACCCTCTCTTGGGGTCTGGATCAGGACCCCTTTCTGGTAACATCTTCCTGGCAACCATGAAGGGATGATACTGTGGAGACACCTCACCCAAAGGAAATAGACTGCAGCACTGATTGGATGACTTTGGGTAAGTGGTGGGGTACCTGGGTAAAGGATGGGATTGGGTTACAGGCTCGATTTAGGACAAATTCTCTCCTAAGACAGAGTGGGTAAAAGACCCCTCTTAATAAAAGGCAAGGGCGCTTGGCCAAACTTGGGTTCGAAGCCCAACTTAGGAGGGTTAGAGTCCTTCCTAAGATTTAGGGGGTTAGAGGCCCCTCTCAGTAAAGTCCCTCTTGGTTAAAAATGGATTTGGCATTATGGGATATTAACCACTATTCTTTTTTGATTAATCTGTCTTGTACTCTTTGTTGACTGCTATGGGTGACAGGATTAGGCATGTACAGGATCACTGGACACGGGAACCTTTTTTTTTTTTATCCCTAAAAGGGGAAACCTGAATGCTGATAGGACTGCTGGAAAGATCCCCTCACTACCGACCAGCAACCGCCTGAGCTTTTGATTCAGGGTCTCTGCAATGGATAGGTCTTTCTCTGGCCTCCCTGAGCTCCTCACCTTCCCTTCCCTGCTGTAGGCAATGCTTTTCTCCCTTTCTCTCTCCTTCCTTCCCTCCCTCCCTCTTTCCTGCCTTCCTGCCTTTCTCTCTCTCTCTCTCTTTCTGTCTTTCTCTCTTTCTTTATCTTTCGACAGAGTCTTCCTCTGTCACCCAGGCTGGAGTGCAGTGCTGTGATTTCTGCTCACTGCAACCTCCGCCTCCCAGGTTCAAGCAATTCTCCAGCCTCAACCTCCCAGGTAGCTGGATTACATGTGTGTGCCACCACATCCGGCTAATTTTTGTATTTTTAGTAAGATGGGGTTTCACCATGTTGGCCAGGCTGGTATGAACTCCTGATTTCAAGTGAGCTGCCTGCCTTGGCCTCCCAAAGTGCTGGTATTACAGGCGTGAGCCACTGCGCCTGGCCTCCTTTCCCTTACTTATCCTTTCTGTTACTTAGGGCGACTACCTTGCCCAGAGACCACATATTGGAACTCCTTCAATCCACTTTGAGTGGATCAGAGATGACAGGGTCCAACTGGAGGCAAGTTTGAGCCTTGCCAGGTTGACAATGGGTGCTAAGCAGAGTGGCTAATGCCTATGTTTTGTGGGTTTTGATTAGTGGGAAAAAGGATTCATGAGACTAGTCTGAGGCTGTAGAAAATCTGATGTACTTCGTGCTATGAATTGTATTTCTGTGTTGTTCTATAAGGGAGAACGGTACCTTAGGATAGAATACAGGCCTAGGATCCTATAAGCCCTCTGTTCAAGATGGCCCAGCAAGCTGGTCAGTAACAAACTTTGCTACAGGTCCCTGAAACAACAACAAAAAAAACTGGATGAAGTTTTCCTCTCATCTTGTTTTATGTCCTTGGGAGCTTGACCTTGTAACCACGTGCTGGTACTTCCTTTTGGTCTTTGCCTTCCAGGGAACAGAAATTTTGGGGTTCATGTCATAGCCCTAAAAATTATCTTGAGCCATTAAAAGCCTTTACAAGCTCAAAATTAGCTGCCCTAGGCTCCTTCTGGGGAGAGCTATGGAGACTGCCCAATGCATTAGCTTAGGAGGTAAGGCTTATTGGTTTCACCTGTGAGGGTAATTTTATTAACGTTTAAAAGGCAGAAATATCTGCCATTTGGCCTGGGTAAAGAAGAATAATAAGAGATTTAGAGGGATTTTTTTTTTTTTTAAAGACCACTATGGTTAAAAGTCAGCTTAATTGAAAGCAGATATTCAAGCTCTAACAGCCTGGGACACCTTGGGAAAAACAGAGGAGGCGCCACAGGCCCCATTTAGGGAAAAACCTCCATTTTCCTTATGGAACTCCGGGAATTGAAAGTGAATAGATCCCTCTCAAAATCTAAGGCTCTTTTCTGTTTTGCATTGCATTATCTGACATTTTTTACTTTCCGGGGTATCAGAAATTACTTCGCATTATGATAGAGCTTTGGCGTATAATAACTAGGTAGGAAATAGAGTTTTGGAGCTAGATAATGGCAGTTATGGGGAGATACTCAGCTCTTTGCATGTTTGGATCACAGGGGCATGCTCTTGGCCATCTAGAAAGTATGGAAATGACCCACCCCCACTGAGAGATAAACTCCCATGGGAGATGAGCTGATACCCCCTTTTTTTGGGGACCCAGGATTCAGTATAAAAATGGAACCCTTGGCCAGGCACAGTGGCTCACGCCTGTAATCCCAGCACTTTGGGAGGCCGAGGTGGATGGATCACCTGAGGTCAGGAGTTCGAGACCAGCCTGGCCAACATGGTGAAACCCTGTCTCTCCTAAAAAAAAAAAAAAAAATTATCCGAGCATGGTGGTGGACGCCTATAATCAATCCCAGCTACTCAGGAGGCTGAGGCAGAAGAATTGCTTGAATCTGGGAGGCAGAGGTTGTGGTGAGCCGAGATGGCGCCACTGCACTCCAGCCTGGGCAACAGAGTAAGACTCAATCTCAAAAAACAAACACCCAAAAAAATGAAACCTTTAATTTTGGTGGATCTGTTTTGCCTGCCAGTTGCCCTGCTTATTAAACCATAGAAACTGCATGCTTTAAAGAGAAACTTAAAAACTCGCAAATAAAAAAATCTTGAGCCAAGATGGCCAAATAGGAACAGCTCTGGTCTACAGCTCCCAGCGTGAGCGACGCAGAAGACGGGTGATTTCTGCATTTCCATCTGAGGTACTGGGTTCATCTCACTAGGGAGTGCCAGTCAGTGGGCGCAGGACAGTGGGTGCAGCACACCGTGTGTGAGCCAAAGCAGGGCGAGGCATTGCCTCACTCGGGAAGCACAAGGGGTCAGGGAGTTCCCTTTCCTAGTCAAAGAAAGGGGTGACAGACGGCATCTGGAAAATCGGGTCACTCCCACCCCAATACTGCACTTTTCCGATGGGCTTAAAAAACGGTGCACCACGAGATTATATCCCGCACCTGGCTCGGAGGGTCCTACGCCCACGGAGTCTCGCTGATTGCTAGCACAGCAGTCTGAGATCAAACTGCAAGGCGGCAGCGAGGCTGGGGGAGGGGCGCCCGCCATTGCCCAGGCTTGCTTAGGTAAACAAAGCAGCTGGGAAGCTTGAACTGGGTGGAGCCCACCACAGCTCAAGGAGGCCTGTCTGCCTCTGTAGGATCCACCTCTGGGGGCAGGGCACAGACAAACAAAAAGACAGCAGTAACCTCTGCAGACTTAAATGTCCCTGTCTGACAGCTTTGAAGAGAGCAGTGGTTCTCCCAGCATGCAGCTGGAGATCTGAGAACCAGCAGACTGCCTCCTCAAGTGGGTCCCTGACCCCTGACCCCTGAACAGCCTAACTGGGAGGCACCCCCCAGTAGGGGCAGACTAACACCTCACACGGCCGGGTACTCCTCTGAGACAAAACATCCAGAGAAACGATCAGACAGCAGCATTCGCGGTTCACAAAAATCCGCTGTTCTGCAGCCACTGCTGCTGGTACCCAGGCAAACAGGGTCTGGAGTGGACCTGTAGCAAACTCCAACAGACCTGCAGCTGAGGGTCCTGTCTGTTAGAAGGAAAACTAACAAACAGAAAGGACATCCACACCAAAAACCCATCTGTATATCACCATCATCAAAGACCAAAAGTAGATAAAACCACAAAGATGGGGAAAAAACAGAGCAGAAAAACTGGAAACTCTAAAAAGCAGAGTGCCTCTCCTCCTCCAAAGGAATGCAGCTCCTCACCAGCAACAGAACAAAGCTGGATGGAGAATGACTTTGACGAGTTGAGAGAAGAAGGCTTCAGACGATCAAACTACTCCGAGCTACAGGAGGAAATTCAAACCAAAGGCAAAGAAGTTAAAAACTTTGAAAAAAATTTAGACGGATGTATAACTAGAATAACCAATACAGAGAAGTGCTTAAAGGAGCTGATGGAGCTGAAAGCCAAGGCTCGAGAACTATGTGAAGAATGCAGAAGCCTCAGGAGCCAATGCGATCAACTGGAAGAAAGGGTATCAGTGATGGAAGATGAAATGAATGAAATGAAGCAAGAAGGGAAGTTTAGAGAAAAAAGAATAAAAAGAAACGAACAAAGCCTCCAAGAAATATGGGGCTATGTGAAAAGACCAAATCTACGTCTGATTGGTGTACCTGAAAGTGACGGGGAGAATGGAACCAAGTTGGAAAACACTCTGCAGGACATTATCCAGGAGAACTTCCCCAATCTAGCGAGGCAGGCCAACATTCAGATTCAGGAAATACAGAAAACGCCACAAAGATACTCCTCGAGAAGAGCAACTCCAAGACACATAATTGTCAGATTCACCAAAGTTGAAATGAAGGAAAAAATGTTAAGGGCAGCCAGAGAGAAAGGACGGGTTACCCACAAAGGGAAGCCCATCAGACTAACAGCGGATCTCTCAGCAGAAACTCTACAAGCCAGAAGAGAGTGGGGGCCGATATTCGACATTCATAAAGAAAAGAATTTTCAACCCAGAATTTCATATCCAGCCAAACTAAGCTTCATAAGTGAAAGAGAAATAAAATACTTTACAGACAAGCAAATGCTGAGAGATTTTGTCACCACCAGGCCTGCCCTAAAAGAGCTCCTGCAGGAAGCACTAAACATGGAAAGGAACAACCGGTACCAGCCAAATCATGCCAAATTGTAAAGACCATCGAGGCTAGGAAGAAACTGCGTCAACTAATGAGCAAAATAACCAGCTAACATCATAATGACAGGATCAAATTCACACATAACAATATTAACTTTAAATGTAAATGGACTAAATGCTCCAATTAAAAGACACAGACTGGCAAATTGGATAAAGAGTCAAGACCCATCAGTGTGCTGTATTCAGGAAACCCATCTCACATGCAGAGACACACATAGGCTCAAAATAAAAAGATGGAGGAAGATCTACCAAGCAAATGGAAAACAAAAAAAGGCAGGGGTTGCAATCCTAGTCTCTGATAAAACAGACTTTAAACCAACAAAGATCAAAAAAGACAAGGCCATTACATAATGGTAAAGGGATCAATTCAACAAGAAGAGCTAACTATCCTAAATATATATGCACCCAATACAGGAGCACCCAGATTCATAAAGCAAGTCCTGAGTGACCTGCAAAGAGACTTAGACTCCCACACAATAATAATGGGAGACTTTAACACCCCACTGTCAACATTAGACAGATCAATGAGACAGAAAGTTAACAAGGATACCCAGGAATTGGACTCAGCTCTGCATCAAGTGGACGTAATAGACATCTACAGAACTCTCCACCCCAAAGCAACAGAATATACATTTTTTTCAGCACCACACCACACCTATTCCAAAATTGACCACATAGTTGGAAGTAAAGCTCTCCTCAGCAAATGTAAAAGATCAGAAATTATAACAAACTGTCTCTCAGACCACAGTGCAATCAAACTAGAACTCAGGATTAAGAAACTCACTCAGAACTGCTCAACTACATGGAAACTGAACAACCTGCTCCTGAATGACTAATGGGTACATAACGAAATGAAGGCCGAAATAAAGATGTTCTTTGAAACCAATGAGAACAAAGACACAACATACCAGAATCTCTGGGATGCATTCAAAGCAGTGTGTAGAGGGAAATTTATAGCACTAAATGCCCACAAGAGAAAGCAGGAAAGATCCAAAATTGACACCCTAACATCACAATTAAAAGAACTAGAAAAGCAAGAGCAAACACATTCAAAAGCTAGCAGAAGGCAAGAAATAACTAAAATCAGAGCAGAACTGAAGGAAATAGAGACACAAAAAACCATTCAAAAAATTAATGAATCCAGGAGCTGGTTTTTTGAAAGGATCAACAAAATTGATAGACCGCTAGCAAGACTAATAAAGAAGAAAAGAGAGAAGAATCAAATAGACGCAATAAAAAATGATAAAGGGAATATCACCACCGATCCCACAGAAATACAAACTACCATCAGAGAATACTACAAACACCTCTATGCAAATAAACTAGAAAATCTAGAAGAAATGGATAAATTCCTTGACATATACACCCTCCCAAGACTAAACCAGGAAGTAGTTGACTCTGAATAGAACAATAACAGGCTCTGAAATTGTGGCAATAATCAATAGCTTACCAACCAAAAAGAGTCCAGGACCAGATGGATTCACAGCCGAATTCTACCAGAGGTACAAGGAGGAACTGGTACCATTCCTTCTAAAACTATTCCAATCAATAGAAAAAGAGGGAATCCTCCCTAACTCATTTTATGAGGCCAGCATCATCCTGATACCAAAGCCTGGCAGAGACACAACCAAAAAAGAGAATTTTAGACCAATATCCTTGATGAACATTGATGCAAAAATCCTCAATAAAATACTGGCAAACCGAATCCAGCAGCACATTAAAAAGCTTATCCACCATGATCAAGTGGGCTTCATCCCTGGGATGCAAGGCTGGTTCAATATACGCAAATCAATAAATGTAATCCAGCATATAAACAGAACCAAAGACAAAAACCACATGATTATCTCAATAGATGCAGAAAAGGCCTTTGACAAAATTCAACAACCCTTCATGCTAAAAACTCTCAATAAATTAGGTATTGATGGGACATATCTCAATAATAAGAGCTATCTATGACAAACCCACAGCCAATATCATACTGAATGGGCAAAAACTGGAAGCATTCCCTTTGAAAAGTGGCACAAGACAGGGATGCCCTCTCTCACCGCTCCTATTCAACATAGTGTTGGAAGTTCTGGCCAGGGCAATTAGGCAGGAGAAGGAAATAAAGGGTATTCAATTAGGAAAAGAGGAAGTCAAATTGTCCCTGTTTGCAGATGACATGATTGTATATCTAGAAAACCCCATTGTCTCAGCCAAAATCTCCTTAAGCTGATAAGCAACTTCAGCAAAGTGTCAGGATACAAAATCAATGTACAAAAATCACAAGCATTCTTATACACCAATAACAGACAAACAGAGAGCCAAATCATGAGTGAACTCCCATTCACAATTGCTTCAAAGAGAATAAAATACCTAGGAATCCAACTTACAAGGGATGTGAAGGACCTCTTCAAGGAGAACTACAAACCACTGCTCAATGAAATAAAAGAGGATACAAAGAAATGGAAGAACATTCCACGCTCATGGGTAGGAAGAATCAATATCATGAAAATGGCCATACTGCCCAAGGTAATTTGTAGATTCAATGCCATCCCCATCAAGCTACCAATGACTTTCTTCACAGAATTGGAAAAAACTACTTTAAAGTTCATATGGAACCAAAAAAGAGCCCACATCACCAAGTCAATCCTAAGCCAAAAGAACAAAGCTGGAGGCATCACGCTACCTGACTTCAAACTATACTACAAGGCTACAGTAACCAAAACAGCATGGTACTGGTACCAAAACAGAGATATAGATCAATGGAACAGAACAGAGCCCTCAGAAATAACGCCACATATCTACAACTATCTGATCTTTGACAAACCTGAGAAAAACAAGCAATGGGGAAAGGATTCCCTATTTAATAAATGGTGCTGGGAAAACTGGCTAGCCATATGTAGAAAGCTGAAACTGGATCCCTTCCTTACACCTTATACAAAAATTAATTCAAGATGGATTAAAGACTTAAACGTTAGAACTCAAGCCATAAAAACCCTAGAAGAAAACCTAGGCATTACCATTCAGGACATAGGCATGGGCAAGGACTTCATGTCTAAAACCCCAAAAGTAATGGCAACAAATGCCAAAATTGACAAATGGGATCTAATTAAACTAAAGAGCTTCTGCACAGCAAAAGAAACTGCCATCAGAGTGAACAGGCAACCTACAAAATGGGAGAAAATTTTTGCAACCTACTCATCTGACAAAGGGCTAATATCCAGAATCTACAATGAACTCAAACAAATTTCCAAGAAAAAACAACCCCATCAAAAAGTGGGCAAAGGACATGAACAGACACTTCTCAAAAGAAGACATTTATGCAGCCAAAAAACACATGAAAAAATGCTCAGCATCACTGGTCATCAGAGAAATGCAAATCAAAACCACAATGAGATACCATCTCACACCAGTTAGAATGGCAATCATCAAAAAGTCAGGAAACAACAGGTGCTGGAGAGGATGTGGAGAAATAGGAACACTTTTACACTGTTGGTGGGACTGTAAACTAGTTCAACCATTGTGGAAGTCAGTGCGGCGATTCCTCAGGGATCTAGAACTAGAAATACCATTGACCCAGCCATCCCATTACTGGGTATATACCCAAAGGACTATAAATTATGCTGCTATAAAGACACATGCACACGTATGTTTATTGCAGCACTATTCACAATAGCAAAGACTTGGAACCAACCCAAATGTCCAACAATGATAGACTGGATTAAGAAAATGTGGCACATATACACCATGGAATACTATGCAGCCATAAAAAGTGATGAGTTCATGTCCTTTGTAGGGACATGGATGAAATTGGAAATCATCATTCTCAGTAAACTATCACAAGAACAAAAAACCAAACACTGTATATTCTCACTCATAGGTGGGAATTGAACATTGAGAACACATGGACACAGGAAGGGAAACATCACACTCTGGGGACTGAAAATTAGCTAATTTTTGTAGTTTTAGTAGAGTCAAGGTTTCACCATGTTGGTCAGGATGGTCTTGATCTCTTGAACTCATGATCTGCCCACCTTGGCCTCCCAAAGTCATGGGATTACAGGCATGAGCCACTGTGCCCAGCCATTGTTTAACCTTTGTACCAATAAAACACCACTTTTCTAAAATTATGTATATCCAATGGACCAATATTATCTATTTTTATCAGATTACTCTAAATAGCATTACACAGATACATCCTCTATTATCTAAACTTAAAATAAGTAGGAATTTTACTTTATTTATGTGATTATTTTTGTTTTTAAGCAAACTTCATGTTATGTCTAGTCCCTAAAAATACTAAAGGCCACATTTTGTAAGTGGTGTATTATTCTCATGATAATGTCTCTTGTTTAACTTGAACATTATTTTTTTAATGTATTTTAGATGGAGCCAGACTGTGTAGAACAAATAATTACAGAAACAAAGAAAAGTATGTTTCCAAAATTTATTAATTAAATTTAGGTTTATTTTAGTAATAAAGTGTAAATAGCAAATGGCATTCCTTTTCATTATTGGGTTAGTAGATACTACGTTCAGTATCTTTTTCTTACACACATCTAATGAAAGATGTGAAAACAAAAACTTTCACAGTGAAGAGTATACTCATGCACCATTAATTCATCATGTCCCATAGCTTAAAAAATTCCCAAGAAGTGTATCCATCTCTTTTTTACTGGCGCTACAATTTCTTCACTTTTGCCATCCTCATGGAACTGTCAGCCAGCACACTGGAAGGATTCTCTGAAAACAAAGGCATCATCAAGTTCTCTGGGTTTTGGTAGAGATTGAAGGCCAACAGACCTCAGACTCATTTAGAAATATTTAGTTGAGGAATAACCCTTCATAAGCAGTCACTTGACAGGTGACATTTTAAATCTCCTGTCATTTACTGTGTCATTGGCTTACATCTGTTCTCAGGAAAAGTTCCAAAATTTTCACCATGAAATAAAAACACCCATGTCAATGTAATTCTTGTCAAGTTACTCAGCCTTATCTCTTGCCACTTACCTCACTCTGCCCTTTGCTCTAGCACAAAAGTGGATGGAGTAGAACTCTGTAGGGCTCTTCCTCACCTCAGGTTCTTTGCCTTCGCCTCGTCTCTCTATCTGGCAAGCTTTTCTTTGTCCTTCAGGTATCAACCTATGTATCTCCTCCACCACAAAGCCCATGATATTGACACAAAAGTGGGAGAGATGTCCCTTCTGTGTGTTCCAGTAGTGCCCTGCTTTATACCTGTCATAGTGTCTATGACTCTATATAGACATTGCCTGCCTGTCTGTTGTTTTAGGTTATAGCATATGACTGTTGAGAGGTGGACAATGCCATCTTCATCTTGTAATTCCAGTACTGATCCTAGTGCCTTAGCACGTGGGTGTTGAGTACGCGAATGAAGAATGAAAAAGCTGCGATATTTAACCACAATTAGAATTAATGCCATGTGTTAATTATTTAATAGTAATTTTGTATTGTAATTGTACGTACATATTTCTCATTCTTAATAACTCTGATAACGTTCTCTTTAGATTTTAAACTCACACTTAGTTAACTGAAATGTTTTGGGTAGAGAACATAATCCTTTCTTTTTCTTTCCAGCTTTTGCTGTGTTGGGCACTTGCTCCTGTCTACTTTCTTCTCTAGAATCCACTGGTAAGCCACATCTAATAAAGAGAATATTTAACCATAAAATCTTAAGGAAAAGTTGTGTGATTTAAAAGGTCATAAAACTTTATTACTGGGCTATTTACATGAAGTTTTAATTATTTCTTATAAAATATATAACATCACAATCTTTACTAAAGTAGAATATTTTCATATCATATGTATGATGAAAATTTATATGGTATTTTAAATGATGTTTTTTAGCCTCCTTAAGTTTTAAGTGGATCTTGCAAATGAACACCAGTATTATGGAGTTTGACATACTCAAATTGCCCGAATGTCAGCTGTTTAATAAGCCAAACAACCAAGTCATCCTTGATACTTTAGTAAAGGTCGTCGAAGGCTTCTTTGCATTTTGCAGGTTTTATTACTATATATAGTAGGATACTTAAGGAGTACCTGCCAGGTTTGTCCATACTAATGTTATGAATTTCTTTTTGTAGGTTAACCGTATTTTGTGTGGAGATACTTTGAGGCTCTGTAAATATCTGGTTACTCCTAAAAACCCACTAGATTTAGCATTTCATTGATATCTTGTCTTTGAACAAGTATTACTGTGATGGTTGCCAGATGATTATTTTCATATTCTCTTCTTTGTTCTACATGGAGAAATAAAACCAATAAATAAAGGAGAAGGGAAAGCTCATGATTCTGGTGCTCCAATTCCCCAAGATCAGGCCAGTGGTAGACATTTCTTTGTGTCTGACTTTATGTCTTTTTTATTTGTCTCTGTTACTCTTGTCAGCACCTTTTTACTTTCTGGCACAAGATGTTCTAAACTAATCTTGTATTTTCTCTGTCCCAGTCCTAGAATGAGTAATTTTTCTTAGAAGCAGAGTTGGAACCACCGAGGAAGCAGAGGTGAGCCTTCCCCAGCACACACTCACTAGTCCCCAACAGAAGAACTGTTGCTGCATCCACTGAGGTACCAAGAAACTAGCAAAGGGCCTTCTAGCTGTCTGGGGACAGTCCTCTTGTGGTCCCTGGCTCAGCCTCAAGGGTTCTGGATTAGTTTCCCTGCAGCCTCTGTGCTGTGTCTCTGGATCGGGGCTCTGCGGGAAGGGCCCTGGGAGACCCAGCAGCACAGGGTGTCTCGTCTACCAAATGTCCCTCCCTTCCTCCCACTCTGACACTCAGGAATAGGGTAGATGGCATGTCCAGGCAGTGCCAGGCCACCTCATTGTCTCCTTTGAGATGGGCCCAGAGGGCCTTGGGGGGTGAGTGTGAAGCTGGGTACCTGAAGCCTGAGGCTGACTGTCCCTCCCTGTGTCTTGGAGGAGAGGCCTTGGGGCCCAAGAAAACCCCCAGGGCCTGATCTCTGGGCACACATGCAGGGAGGGAGGGTCTGTGGGCTGATTGGGGCATTGTAATGAGACGTTGAGCACCGCTGCACAGGGGCCTCATCAGTGGACCATGGTCAGAGATGACCTAGTTAGCAGGACCTGGTCAGTTGGGACTTGATCAGCAGGGACCTGGCTAGAGGGTGGCCTCCTCAGTGAAGGCCTCACCAATGGGGACCTGGTGACCTAGTCATTGGAAGCCTAGTCAGTGGGGACCTGGTCAGTGGTGGCCTTATTAGTGGGGCCTGATCGGTTGGAACATAAACAATAAAAAACTGGTCGGTGGGGTCTATTCAGTATATTAGGGGTCTGGTCAGTGTGGGGCCTTAGTGGCTTGGAGCCTGGTCAGTGATGGCCTGGTCAGAGGGGGCTCAGTCAGCTGGGGACTGATCCATGGAGAATTGTTCAGTGGGGGTGAGGTGAGGGGCAACCTGGTAAATTGTGGTCTTGTCAGTGGGAACCCAGTCAGTGGGGTCTGGTCCATGAGGCCTATTAATAGGGGCCTCTTCCTGGTTATGGAGATATGGTCAGTGGGGACTTGGCCAGTGGGACCTGGTCAATGGAGGAGTGGTCATTAGGGGCCTTGTCAGTGGGACCTGGTTGGGGGATGCCTGGTCAGTAGGAACCTGGCCAGTTGGCTGCTATGTGACCTTAGGCAGGGGGTTTGTCTGTGGAGCCTCCCTGCCTCCATCTGTAGGGAAGGTGAGTCAGGGCACCCTGGAGGGTTGCTGGAAAGGGAAAGTGAGAAGATGTGTTGAATCCAGCACTGCTTGGCAGACCTCCAACTTTACACATGACCTGGGTTCCACCTGGAGAGGGTGCCAGCCCTCTCTGCTCTGCTCAGCGCCCCTCCTCTGTCTGCATCCCCAGGACCACCCCCTGTGGGGAGGGCAGAGATTGGGGAAGCACCTGTGGAGGCTCTAATCCTGGCCCTGGGCCCTGGTGGTGATAGTGATGAGGACCTGGGTGCACCTGTGAGTGAGCAGCTAGGTCAGGCCAGAGAAGCAAGACAAACACACCCATATGTGCATACACACACACATACACACATGCATGCATAAACACATTGCATGCACACATGTGAGTTCAGGGGATACAGGATACTGATTCTGGGCCCTCTTGACCCAAGCAGGCTCCTGTTGTGGTGCATTGTGTCACCCCACGATGTCACTGTTGCTGAGCCCCCATCGCCTTTGTGTTGTGGAGCAGTTAGAGACACACAGCAGTGTCTGTGAGTGGCTCTGCATGAAGGACCGTTTTCTAGGTGAGAGGCACATCTCAGCACAGCTCACTGATCAGACTTAAGTGAGTGGAACCTGCTGTCTTCTCTTCCTCCTGGTTTAGGGACAGTCGCTATCAGGTGGGTGGTTTTGGCCTCTGGGCAGCTACTGAGGGTAAACCCTGAGCACTCACCAGGTGCCTGTTCTGTGCTGACAGTCATCTGATTCATCCTGGCAGCAATTCCATTCTGCATCTCCTCTGGACACCCACAGGACCACCAGGACAACCCCATCATGGCCCTGTCACCAGGCCCACCCCATCATGGCCCTGTCACCAGGCCCAGTCTGGCTTCATGATAACCAAGATGCAGGTCCAGAGACAACTGCCCTACTTGGTGCCTGCATCTGACCCCCCTTGGTGGGTAGTGATGAACACAACATGGAAGAAGCCAGGGCAGCATGTGGCCAGCTGCCCGGCAGCCCCACATGGCTCCTGGGCCTTGGGAAGTCATTCTCAAAGGGGAAGCTGGAAACTTTGATGTCCCTGGAGGGGAGGGTGAACGTGGCATCCTGACAACCCTGGCAGCCAGCAGCATGGCATACATCTTCTCACCCAACCTGTGGGACAGAGGCCCCCTCCTGGGAAACAAGATCCATACCTAAAGTGTCCTGGCCCAGCTGGGCCTCATCCTGGGCCCTAGGAGGGGAGGGGCACCATGGGCCCTCCAGCAGCAGTCAGGATTACCACCCAGGGGACTCAGCCTTCTGTGGCTCTGGCCAGACTTAGAATTTGGCCCAAGACAGGACAAGCTCGCTCAGAGCAGCATGTCAGTACCCAGAGCCTGTGCATGCCAGGCAAGGCCATGCTGGCTCAAAGAGCAACAAGCCACCTCTGCAAGGGTGTGCCTGGAGCAGGTGGACCAGCCACGAGCCTCACCCACTCAAGGAAACAGGGGTGGCCAGGTTCCCACAGCCTGAGTGGCTGCCACCTGATGACTGATGGAGAGGAGGCCTAAGGAAAAGCAGATGGCACTGGGGACCTACCTCCAGGGCAGAATAACTAATTTACCCTGACTGGCAGCGAGTGAGGTTCGTGGCTGGTCCACCTGCTCCTGGCACACCCTTGCAGAGGTGGCTGTTTGTTCTTTGAGCCAGCTTGGCCTTGCCTGGCATGCACAGGCCTCAGTGCAACAACTGTGCTACAAATGGAGCCACATAGAGGAAATGAGCAGCAGGCTCAGGAGCAGGGTGTGCGCTGCCTTTGGGGTTCCAGTCCATGCATCAGGGCTCCTACAGCACTGTGGGCTTCTTGGGTGCCAAGAGGCAGACCACAGGCCATCTTGAGGAGGACTCTATGTTCAAGTGCAGAAAGGGCCCAATCTGGTGGATGAACCACACGGCCAGCTTCTGGGTGCAGGCACAGTGCCACATCTTCTGTCACTTCCTGATGTGCCCCACCAGCGCTGAAAAGACAGCCTGGAGACAGGGCAAGAGGAAGGCTGAGAAGGATGAGGTGGTGAGTTCCAGCTTCTTCCTGACTCTGAGCCCACCCCCAGGGTGGCCCTCAACCTTTAGAAGTGGGAGAGCAAAATTGAAGGCTTCGAGTGCTTCATCAAGAAGATGGACAACAGGGCACTCAGCTCAACTTCACAGCCAATGAGTTGACATGCAAGTTGATGATGGTCAGAGGCTTTAAGAAAGAGCAGCAGAAGGCAGCCAGTTCTTCTTCCGCCTTAGCCAGGTCTTGGATCTGGAACAGGCCATCACTTCACCAGAGATGCCTTCAACACCGTCTGTGAGCTCTTTGCCAATGAACCCAGCCAGGAAGTGGACTCAGTCATGGACCTGTTAGTGCTGTCTCAGGGACACCAGACCAACATCCTGGACATCATCCACATACACAAGGAAGCTCTTACCAAAGTCATGGAGAGTAGGCAACATGTGGCAGAAGGGAGGACAGAGGTGCAGAGGCTGATAACGTCAGAATCACAGGAACAGGATTTTTTGGGACACTTTGGCTGAAATTCACCACTTCCATCCAATTTGAGTGAGAGATATGAACTCACAGATGCAGGATTTCTTGCAACTAGAGATACTATTTTTTCAAAAAGTCACCCAGGAATTGATAGTGTTGAATGAATAGATACTCCCCTGTGGACTATTTCCAGTTCAAGGATACTTTCTGCAGCAGAATAATAACACTAGCAAAGAGCTAGTGCTAGCTATTGGTGGTAGGACAAGGATGGTTTTGCTCTCAACTGAAACTCAGCTGAATGTAGAATTGTGTAGGAAACAGTTAATATGGTGATAGAATAGAAAGAGTAGCAAACATGAACTAAATCATGCTATGAATGCCTACACTACCATTGTAACTTTTGGAAGAATGATACCACTTATTTTATTGCTTTTTGAAGGATGAATATTTTAGTATATATGCTGTAGACCTCAAACCCTGTGAAGAGTCTCAAAGAAGCTGGCTGGATAAAGCCTGCTGTGGATGTCTTTATATTCAAAGATTGATGATGCAATTTGAATATGTATCCCCACCAAATCTCATGTTGAATTATATTTCCTAATGTGGAAGGTGGATCCTGGTCTAAGGTGATTGAATCCTGAAGGCAAATTTCTCATGAATGGTTTAGCACAATCCTCTTGCTACTGTCCTCACAATCATGAGTGACTTCTCATGAGACTTGGTCATTGAAAACTCTATGTCACCTCCCTACTCTGCGTGTTTTCCTCTTGCCATGTGAGACAACTCTCTCTCTCTTCACCTTGCACAAAGATTGAAAGATTTCTGAGAACTCCCAGAAGCAGAAGCCAATGCTTCTGTCTACCCTGTCTACCCTGCAGAACCATGAGCCAATTAAACCTCTTTTTCAAAATGAATCATACAGAAAATGGCAAATGAGGACTGGAGCATTGCTATAAAGATACCTGAAAATGTGGAAGCAGCTTTGGAACTAGGTAATGGACAGAGGTTGGAAGAGTTTGTAGGGCTCAAAAGAAGACAGATAGATGAGAAAATGTTTGGACCATCTTAGATTGGTTAAATGGTTGTGACAAAAGTCCTGACAGAAACATGGACATTGAAGGCCAGGCTGAGGAGGTCTCAGATAGAAATAAGAAGCTTTCTGGGAAATGTCTTCCTTTTGGATATGGAAAGCTTACACAATGCCTGTACCATCATTGTACCTTAGAAGCAGTGAACTTGCTTTTTATTTCAGAGGCTCATAGGAAAAAGAGACTGTAGCCTTGACTCAGATGAGACTTTGGACTTTGTAACTTTTAGTTAATGCTGAAACGAGTTAAGACTCCTGCTGGCAAGGCATGATTGTATTTTGCAATGTGAGAAGGACATGATGTTTGTGGGGTCAGGGATAGAATAATAGGGTTTGTCTCTATGTCCCTATCAAAACTCATGTGGAACTATACTCCCTAACATTAGAGGTGGGGCCTAGGTAGAAAAAAATTTAGTCATAAAATGGTGCGGGAAGATCCTTCACGAATGATAAAGCACTGGGAGTGGGGAGTCGCCTGCTGCAGAGGCACAGCCCCATGGACAACCTCTACTAGGGCAGTGCACCTGTGGCTTTGCAAGTTTTAGCCCCACGGCTGCTCTCATGGACTGGGCTAGTGTTGAGTGCCTGTAGCTTTTCCACACTGAGGGTGCAAGCTGTTGGTGGGTCTATGAATCTGGCTCTGCCTCTGCAGCAGGCTTCTGCCTGGAAACGGTGGGAGGTGGAGGTGGGTGTGGGGGGGCGGATCCTTCACCAGTGGTTAAGCACCATCTTTTTGATGCTGACCTTGTGATACAGAGTTCTGATGAGATCTGGTTGTATAACAGGGTGTGGGACCTCTTTCCTTTCTCAGTCTTGCTTCTACTCCTGCCATATGAAGCATCTCCTTGCCCGTTGGACTTCTGGTATGATTGGGAGGCTTCCTGAGTCCTCCTAGAAGCAGAAGCCAGTATGCTTCCTTTACAGCCTGCAGAACTGTGAGCCAATTACACCTCTTTTCTTTATGATTATACACAAAATTAGTGCTGTGAAGTGGAGCTATGAAATGCCTTCAAGGCCTTTTCCCCATCGTCTTAGCAATCAACACTCAGCTTCTTTTCATGCAAATATCTGAAGCCTTCATGAATTTTCCCCCTGAAAATGGACTTTTCTTCTTTTACCACATTACCAGGCTGTGACAAAGATATCTTGAGAATGTAGAAGCAGGTTCAGAAGTGGGTAAAAGACAGAGGTTGGGAGAGTTGAGAACGCTTAGAAAACAGCAAGATGAGGAAAAGTTTGGACCACTGAAAAGAATTGTTAAATACTTGTGATCAGAAGGCTGACAGAAAGATGGACAGTGAAGGCCAGACTTAAAAGGTCTCAGATGAAAATGAGGAATTTCCTGTGAACAGGAGCCACAGTTACATTTGATTGGCCTTAACAAAGAACGTGGCTGCATGGTGACCCTGCCCTGGAGATCTGTGAAACTATGAACTTGGGGGTGATAATTTAGGATGTATCTGATGGAATGAACATGTAGGCAGCATAGCTCCAGAGGTGTCCTGTCCGCGTTGAACAGCCTGTGTTCTTATGTGCGACCTAAGAAATGACCTCAAGTTGCAACTTCTATTTAAATGAGAAGCAGAGCTCAAAAATTTAAAAAATTTGCAGCCTAGCCAAATGGTCAAAAAGAAAAGCTGATTTTCAGGAGGAAAATTAGGGAACATTTAGAGTATTTGCATAAAAAAGAGCCCAGTGCAAATAGCCAAGTCAATGGGGAAAAGGCCTTGAAGGCATTTCAGAGACCTTTGCAGCAACTCTTGCTGTCACAGGCCCTGCGGCCTAGAAGAGAAAAATGGTTTCCTGGGCCAGCTCCATGGCCTCCCTGCTGTGTGCATCCTCAGGACACTGCTGCCTGCATCCGTGCAGCTCCAGCTCCAGCCATGGCTGAAAGATGCACAGGTACAGCTTGGGTCACTGCTTCAGAAGTGGCTCCAAGCTTTGATGGCTTCCACATAGTGTTAAGCCAGCAAGTGCACAGAGCAAGAGACTAGAGGCTTGGGAGCCTGCGTCTAGACTCCAGAGGATGTACAGAAAAGCCTGGGTGTCCAGGCGGAAGCCTTTCCAAGAGGTAGAGCCTCATGGAAAGTTTTACTAAGGCAGCAAAGAATGGACATATTGGATTGAAGCCCTCACACAGGGAGGCACCATCCTCCAAACCCCAGATTCATAGACCCACCAACAGCTTACCCCCTCTCTGTGGAAAAGCTACAGGCACTCAACACCAGCGCTGTCCATGAGGGCAGCAGTGGGGACTGATCACTGCAAACCCACAGGTGCATATCTGCCCAAAGCCTTGGGAACCCAGCCCTCACACCCCTGTGCCATGGATGTGGGACAAGGATTCCAAAAGGATGATTTTGGAGCTGTAGGATTGAATGACTGGCCTGCTGCATTTTGGACGTTCATGTATCCTGTGAGTCCCATCAGTGTTTGTTTTTCTTTCAGGCAATTTTTCTTCTATTGGCTGGGAATGCTTACCCATTGCCTGTACAATCATTGTACCTTGGAAGTAGTTAACTTGCTTTATAATTCAGAGGCTTATGGGCAGAAGGGACTGTATCCTTGTCTCAGATAAAACTTTGGGCTTTGGACATTTGCTGGAATGAGTTAAGATTTGGGGGACTGTAGGGAAGGCACCATTGTATTTTGCAATGTGAGAAAGACATGAGATTTGAGTGGGCAGGGACAGAATAATATGACTTGGCTCTGTGTCCCACTAATGTGGAACTATAACGGGAAATGTTAAAGGTGGGGGCTGGTGGAAGGTGATTTAATCATGGTGGAGAGTGGAGGTTGGAAGGTGGGGGTGTCAGGGAGAATTGGGGGGAATTATGGTGGCATTGGGGGTGAAAGACAGGGGTGGGGGCAGATCCTTCACAAATGGTTAAATACCATCTCCTTAATGCTGTCCTTCTGATAGTTCTCGTCATAATTTCGTAGCTGTGAGATTGAATACTGGTCTGCTGGGTTTTGGATGTGCATTGGGCCTGTGGTCCCATTTGTGTTATTTTTCTGGGAAATTTCTTCCCTTTGGATTAAGAAAGCTTACCCAATGTCTGTACCATCGTTGTACCTTGAAAGAAAAGAACTCCGTTTTAACTTCAGGGACTCATAGGCAGAAGATACTGTAGCCTTGTCTCGGATGAGACTTTGAACTTTTTATAGTTGAGTTAGTGCTGGAATGAGTTAAGGCTTTTGGAAACTTTTGAAAAGGCATGATTGTATTTTACCCTGTGAGAAGAACCTGAGATTCAGAAGGGTCAAGGTCGGAATAATATGGTTTGGCTGTGTTTTGCTAGAAAAACTCATGTGAAATTGTAATCCCAAATTTGGGTGGTGAAGCCTGGTGGGAGGTGATTTAATCATGAATGGGAGGAGGGTGGGGGTGTAAGGAGAAAGGGGTGGGGAGGGTGGGGAGGAGTAGCCTGGCCGTAGTGTGGTGGGAGGCTGGTGGGTAGTAGGAAGGGGGAGTAACCTGCTGCAGAGGCAGAGGCTCATGGGAAACCTCTACTAGAACAGTGCACCTGTGGCTTTGCCGGCTTTAGCCCTCATGGATGCTTTCATGGGCTGGGCTGGTGTTAAGTGCCTGTACCTTTTCCATACTGAGGGTGTGGGTTGTTGGTGGGTCTATGTCTCTAGGATGATGGCCTGCTGCATGGGGCCTTCAAGCCCATATGTTCCTTCTGCACTGCCCTAGTAGAGGTATTCCAAGTGGCTCTGCCTCTGCATCAGTTTTCTGCCTGGAAACAGTTGGGGGTGGAGGTGAGTGGGGTGGTGGATCATTCACCAATGGTTAAGCACCTTCTTCTTGATGCTGACCTTGTGATACTGAGTTCTCATGAGATCTGGTTGTATAACAGGGTATGATATCTCTTTCCTCTCTGTCTTGCTCCTACTCCTGCCATATGAAACATTTTATTGCTGCTTGTCCTTCTGGTATGATGGGGAGGCTTCCTGAGTTAGTTAGCCTAGCCAACTAAATCCCTTTTGTTATGATCATACAGAAAATTAGTACTGCGAAGTGAAGCTATGAAATGCCTTCAATGACTTTTCCCCACCGTGTTCTCTGTTAACACTGGTCTTCTTTTTAATGCAAATATCTGAAGTCTTCTTGAAGTTTGCTCTGAAAATGGCCTTTTTTCCTTCTACATTGCCAGGCTGTGACAAAGATAGCTGAAAATATAAAAGCAGGTTCAGAAGTGGCTAACAGCCAGAGGGTGGAGAGTTTGGAGGACTTGGAAGAAGACAGGAAGATGAGGGAAAGTTTGGACCATTGTAGAGACTTGTTAAACAGTTGTGATTAAAATGCTGACAGAAAGAGGGACAGTGAAGGCCCTCATTGTTGCACCGGACACTTTTCAAGGTCTGTTGATCAATTTCTCTGTCTCTGATGGGACAACTCTGGCTCTTGAGGGTGGCTTGCTGACTGCTGGCTGCATAGCTCAGCATTCTGCTGTGTTCTGAGTAGAAGGGGTGCCTGTGGTTGCAGGGAAATCCACAGACTGGGGCTTGAAACTGCTGTTGGTGCTGATTTACCTTCGAGGCATGGCGCACATGGCAAAGTGGTATTTTCTCCTCCAGTATCTGTCCAACTGCTGTCATGAGCCGCTGAGCTTCAGCACTGCTGCTGTACATGCATGATCAGTTTTTTACTGGCTTTTGGCTCTCAGCAGTGACTGGTGCTGGCTTGCTTTTTTTCTCTGATAAAAACCTCTGAAAAAATTGCTTGATGTTTTCTCCAAAGTGGCTTATTGAAGGAGGCTGTTTCTTTGATGGCAGTAGCTGGATGCCTTCATTCTGATGGGTGTGTTCTGTCTTCCGTCTTCCTGCCCGGGGTAAGTTGAGGAGTCCTCAGTCCTTGAAACATTTCTTCATGTTTTTCTAAGTTGGGCTTCCTAGGGTTCTCCCTCTTGTGAGTAGGGGGAAACATTGGCCTTTGGCTCTGGCATGAACCTTGACAGTTTGGGTTCCTGGGCTCCTTGTGCCCCTGCCCCGGGTTGCTCCTTCTGGCTGCCATGAGGTCACGTAGCTCCTGGGAAGCCCGCATGTTCCCAGTAGGCGTGCTCTGGAGATGGCTCTGGGGCACTTGAGAAGCCAAATTCTCTGAAGCATGGGGCACAACAGATGCTTGCCCATCTGGAAGGAACACAACAGCGGCAGAAACTTGAGGCTGGGTCTCTGACTTCGTGGCCATTCCAGGCTCAAATTCACTAACAACCTCCTCCCTAAGACACAGCTTTCTTGGATCTTGGGAGACAGACATTCTAGGGAGGAGAGAGCTTTTGCTGGCCCCTGGAGCCTCGAAACCACGCACATCCTCACTTGTGGTTTGGATGTTTGCCAACATACAGGTTGCCAAGGGGACTCTGGGTTGTGGCACTGCCTCCCTGGTCTCTCCCGCCCTTGAAGATTGGGCTCCTAAGCTCCTGCTCTGCTGGGTGCTGCCTGTGAGGCTGTATGTGAGGGGCTTAGATGGCCACCTGCCCTCCTGTCCAGCTGTAGGAGCCTTCAAGGACCCATGATCATTCCAAGATGGGATCCTTCGTGGGGCCCTCTGGAACTGCTTACATGCAGGTGAGGAGGCCTGAAGCCTCTCTGGCATGTGAACAGATGCTTTGGTCAGCACCTGCTTTCTCAGACTTGCCATTGGTGGCTTTCTAAGGAACGTGGCCACCTCAACTTTTGAGCCAGCCCCAGATTCACAGGTGGCTGAGGAGGGACCGGCAAGCTGTGTATTGCACAAGGATGAAACCAGTTTAAAGCACTGAATGGGCTTGAGGACCCTGAGGGGTGGACCCCACCTGTGTTTGGCCCAAAACCTCAAAATGTGGGCTCCCAGCACCTGTTGAGTACATGGCTCAAGGAAGGAAAGCACCTGGGCTGTGTTCACACAGGCTTTCCCACTTTTGGGGGGTGCTAGATTGCTGGTTTTCATGTGGGTGTTGGACACGGGAAGAGCCTGGTTGACAGCAAGCCAGGATCGATGCATACTCACGGGGATCAAGCCCTCGTTGGTCTGGCCCAACCTCTTACCCATGTGGGCTTTCAGGATGTTTTCTATATGATTCCTGTCCGTGAGTCTTAATAAATCCCTACCGAGTCACTCCTCAAGGGCTTCCTCAAGTTCCTTTCTGACTCTTCAGAGGTCACCCCCAGAGTCTTCCCTGGGAAGCTTTCTATGCCCCTGGATAGATTTTGCGGGGCCTCACCCAGAATTTGCCCCAGATGTGGGCACAGGTCCCTCTCTAGCTGGAACTTCACCTTCTGTGCCTCCTTGCTGCTTTCACCTGTGGACATGGAGGACTGCCAGGACCTGGGTTTGCCCTTCGCCTGACTTTTCCCTGGCAATTCATCCCAAAGCTGCATCAGATCCAGAGACTCTTGAATCTTGCCCTGGTGTTGAATGAACCACTTTTCAATATGTTGCTCTGGAGTTCAGGACTGACTGGAAAGTTCTCAGGCAGAATGGGTGTCCCCTTTCCTGGGGAAGGTTAGGAGTGGAGACACTAAAGATGTCCTGAGATTTTTGGACCCTAGGGGGTAAAGCCAACCCACCTTATAGTTGTTTCCTCAACAAAGGCCATTCAGGGTGCTGAGTTTCAGGTAGGGAGAGAGCTTGCACTTTATTCTGCGACGCAGGGCAAGCTACTCCAGTGTTCTTCATCGGGGATGGAAAAGCAGGAGATAGGACTGGGAAAGAGGATTGAAGATGGGCCTGAGCCATAGGTGTGGGCCGGAATTGGGGTGTGGATGAAATAAAGGGTTGGGACTCAGGCCCCAGATGGGACAGGGGCTGGGCCTGGAAAAGCAGTGGGGACATTGTAGTCTCCCTTTGAATTGGGCAGACATTGGACATTTCATTGATGTAAGGATGTAAGACCCTTACATACAGTCAGTGACCCAGGCATTAGCCACCAGAGATTCACTGTGCAGAGAGGGGAGGCCCCAGAAAAGCTGGCTATAATTCTTCTGAAAACTTTCCTGCAAGAGCCTAGGATCTGAGAGCTTCTGAGGACTGGGCAGCTATTTTGAGTTCTCTCCCATGTTCCAGAAGGGTTTTGGGCTTGTGGTGTCCTGCTCAGCATCCAGTGATTTAACCAAATTCCCCAAAGCATTCAAGTGCTTTTGTGGGCTGTTTTGGAAATCGTCCATCATTTTCTTTTTCCTCTCAAATGTTGATTTCTGTGACTTGTATCCCCACGACATCCTGGCCATCAGAGCTGAGCAAAAATGGTCTACCAGCTTCCATCTGACAGGTCTCTGGTGGGTGGCGGGAAAGATGATCTTGCTGGACTGACGAATTGAAGACGCACCAGGTTCTGGTAGTCTCCTGCCACCAGGAGAAGGCAGAAACTTGACTATTTGAGCCGCCAAGACCTGAGATGGCTGGGACAGAAGCTGCCAAATCCTCACGTGGAGTCAAGCTTTGAGGGACAGTGTCCAGTGGAAGTGCCACTGAGTCACAGTTAGATGGAGTTATCAGAGTGGAGTCCCACAGGGGAGGAGCAGTGAAGCCTTTTGGAGGAGGCGGAGAGCAGGCCAGAGGATCAGGAGTGCGTGGTGGGTGAGGGAAAAGTGCAGGTGGCTCGGGTGAGGGATGTTCTAGGAGAAGGGAAGGTTCTGGTGGCTGGGAGGCACTTAGGGAGGAGACTGAGGTGGTCATTGGGCCTGGTGGTGGGGTGGAGGCCAGATCCTGAGGATGCTTGGTTCAAGGATCCGGGGAAGCTAACAGGGAGAGAATGGGAGCAGCATCTTCTATAGGCTCATGAGAGGACCGGGAGGCTCCATCAGGTGCTCTTTTGCCCACCTCACCTGGGGAGTCTGGACCGGAGAGCTGACCAAAGTCACCTTTTTCAAGGTGTGGCCCTAGGAGGCTGCAGGAGACAGGAGGCACAAGCTGCAGCCAGGAGCAGGTGGATTCGGAGGTCAGAGTGGGCGCTCGGGCCACAGCCCCTCCACCACCCCACACCCTGACTGCCCAATTCTCCTGCTACCCCTTGCCCCAGGCCTTTACTCTCATCCTCTGTCCCCCTGGTCTCCCCATCCCAGGTCAGCTCCAGGCTGCCTATGGCCCTGAGGTCGCATCCCAGCCCTGGTAGGAAGGATGCAGGGAAGGGGAAGTGCCTCACCTCTGCAGTTGTGAAAGCAGGTCCCAAGTCTCCTCCAGGCCTCTCAGGCACTCTCTACAAGCTGGAAATCAGACCGGGTTAGGGCAGTGAGGGAGGGGCCTGGGATCTCACAGGAGGCTGAGTGTATGTTTCTTCAGGGAAGACCATGGGGAATTAGACCCTGGAACCCACCCATCTGTGTCCAAAGCCACATGGCCCCGATGGTAATAGCAAGGCATGGAGGACAGGGCTTTGTCATTCACAAAGGGCTTCCACAAACAGGCCCCCCACCCCCATAGTCCTCACAACTGCCCTGTGTGGAGAAAGGACTGGGGTGGTCTCAAAGAGGAATCAGCCTTAGCAGAGTTGAACAGCTGTTCCCAGGGAGCGGGAGGCCCCCTCAACCCCCTCCGCATCCAGGCAGGCATTGGTCTCCCCAGAACACACACACTGCCCCCTGCTGGGTAACGCTCAGTCCCTGGCCCACCATGGCTTCATTCCGGCATGGAATCTGAGAAGGACCCGGGGTTCTGATTTCCTTCCTAGGAGCCCCCACCTCAGGCTTCTTCAACTGACTTCTTCAGAGTCAGTTCCCTCAGGGACAGACGAGATCAAATTAACTCTAGTGTGCCCTGGCAGAGCCTTACCTCTGAAGACTGTGGTTTTTCATCCTGCCTCTGGGCATCCCCCTCTGCCCTACTGGACACTGGGAGACAAGATGACGCGAGGAGACAAGATGACACTGGGAGACAAGAAATGGCGAGGAGCTAGGACCGGCTCTCCCTCTCCACCCCCAGCCCAGCCGCAGCACTCTGCACTCATGAACCGCATGGCTCTCTCTGTCTTGCTCAGGGAGCTCTGTGTGCTTCCTCCCATTCATGTTTAAATGGATGATAAACTGCTTTTCTTCTTAGAAAAACAGGAAGAGGGGGCCAGGCACGGTGGCTCATGCCTATAATCCGAGCACTTTGTGAGGCCGAGGTGGGTGGATCACCTGAGGTCAGGAGTTTGAGACCAGCCTGGCCATGGTGGAACCCTGTCTCTACTAAAAATACAAAAACTAGCCAGGTGTGGTGGCGGGCACCTGTAATCCCCAGCTACTCAGGACGCTAAGACAGGAGAATAGCTTGAACTCTGGAAGCAAAGGTTGCAGTGAGCAGATATCGCTCCATTTCACTGCAGCCTGCGCAACAGAGTGAGACTCCATCTCAAAAAATAAAATAAAATAAAATAAATAAAAATAACACACACACACACACAGACACACACAGAGGGATTTTCAATATGAGGTCCACCATGGACGCCATCAGTCCCTGTTCCTCTGCTCCTGGAACACCCAGGCTCAGGCCCACAGGCACCACTGAGCTGTCAGGTAGGATTCTGCTTCCCAGGAGACAAGAGGAGATGCCAGGCCCCGGTGGGAGGCCCTTGGGGGCCCAGCACAGGCCCCATATCACCCCACACAGAGGAGGTTGGGCCCCAAGCCACCTGCCCCAGGAAGGGGCTGATGAGCCAGGGCTTAGGGCCTGGCCTCGGACAGAGACCTCCCCTGTCTCATGACCAGAGACCTCCCCCGTCTCATGACCATTCCTGGCCGCTGAGCCCACGGGTTTGATTTTGCCTTCACGCCTCCTGCGCTCCCCAACAGATGGACTGAGGGCTTGGGATGGAAATCCCTGTACACAATCTACCCCTACCAACCCCTGGCTGCCCTGCCTCTCCCTGGAAGCATGATGTTCCGGTCTCTCCTGAGACTTCCCATCGCAGAAGTCCCTCCACTGGATTTGGAAAAGTGGAACTAATAATAAAAAGGAAGGAGAGAATCAAGCTCTGTGGGTCTGGACTGAGGGCTCCTTACCTTTCTCTTCCCAGGCGATGGTGAGGGTGGATCGTCACAATGGAGGTAAGATAAGTAGGGGAGTAATAGGAAGAAGAACCCCAGGGCAAACACCAAGGTGAGGAAGATATCCAACACCCATGGTGTGGAGCTGGGGGTGTTTAGCGATGAGGGACTAAGTAATTTTAGAGGAAAGGGAAGATTCTCCATGTGAATAGGTGCATTGCTTTCAAGCAACTGAGCTCTGGGCATCCCCGTGGAGGCTAGGGACTGGGGCCCAGGCCTGCATCACAGAGCTGGGCCTTCACATCACAAAGGGCTCCTTTGTTGGGGAGGGGCAGTAGGAGGGGGAGACCGAAGCACAGCCCCTCCCCACCCCCCAAGCCGGGGATCCCTCCACCTTCCCACCTTCCAGATCTCTCCTTCCCGCTAAGTTTTGTCAGTGATAGAACTCAGCCAATTTTCTATTCTTTCTCCCTGGAACACATATTACCTGGTTCCTTTTATCTGTTGGAGTTGGTGGCTTGAGGTTACCTATTTTATGGCCCTTGAAAATCTGAAGTTGACTCTGAAATTTTGGCTATGTACCAGGGATTTTTATTCTCAGAATCTCATTTGTCCTCAACTCCAGCTTTCCCACACAATGTTTTTGTCTTATATCAATCCAGGGACAAAATGTAAAGTTCTTTTACTCTTATTTAGTTTTGCAAATTTTGAATAGTAAGTTTTAAAAAAATTATTTCTATCTCACTTTCCTTTTTTTTTTTTTTTTTTTTTTTTTTTGAGGAGTCTCTCTCTGTCGCCCAGGCTGGAGTGCAGTGGCCTGATCTCGGCTCACTGCAAGCTCCACATCCCGGGTTCAAGCCATTCTCCTGTCTCAGCCTTCTGAGTAGCTGGGACTACAGGCGTCCGCCGCCACCACGCCTGACTAATTTCTTTTTGTATTTTTAGTAGAGACGGGGTTTCCCCGTGTTAGCCAGGATGGTCTTGATCTCCTGACCTCGTGATCCGCCCGCCTCTGCCTCCCAAAGTGCTGGGATTACAGGCGTGAGCCACTGCGCCCAGCCTTCTATCTCACTTTCAATCAAAGGGACCTACCCACATACAATTAAGATTTTTTTAAATTCTATTTATGTACTTATGTGTTTATTTTAAGTTCAGGGGTACATGTGCAGGACATGCAGTTTTCCTTTTTTTTTTTTGAGACAGAGTCTCACTCTGTCGCCCAGGCTGGAGTGCAGTGGCGCGCTCTTGGCTCACTGCAAGCTCTGCCTCCTGGGTTCACGCCATTCTCCTGCCTCAGCCTCCGGAGTAGCTGGGACTACAGGCATCTGCCACCGTGCCTGGCTAATTTTTTGTATTTTTAGTAGAAACGGGGTTTCACCGTGTTAGCCAGGATGGTCTGGATCTCCTGACCTCGTGATCCGCCCGCCTTGGCCTCCTAAAGTGCTGAGATTACAGGCATGAGCCACCGCATGGGGCCTGCTGTCTTATTTTAACGTCTCTCTGGGCTTGATAATTTAAAAGGACTGACATTCCTCTGATAAAAGTTATTTTATTTTCTCATTTTCCATCAATATATCCTGTTCAGTGAAATATCTGTTCATGCCTTTAGCCCATTTTCTAATTGGATTGTTTTTCCTTGTTGTTGTTGTTGACTTTTGAAAACTTTAAACAATATTCTAGATATGACCTCTTTGTCAGATATGGTTTATCAGGTGTGGTTTGCAGTTTTCTCCCAGTTTTTACCTTGTCTTTTTATTAACAGGCTCTTATGCAGGGCAAAAGTTTTAAATTTTGATAACATCCAATTAATAAATTCTTATAATTAATTGTGCTTTTCTGGTGTCATGTCTAATAATTATTCATCAAGTCCTAGGACCTGAAGAATTTATCATTAAATTTCATATTTTTACATTGAGATCTATGATCTTTTTTTTTCTTTTTTTGAGAGGGAGTCTCTCTCTGTCACCCAGGCTGGAGTGCAGTGGCACCATCTCAGCTCACTGCAAGCTCCACCTCCTGGGCTCACGCCATTCTCCTCTCTCAGCCTCCCCAGTAGCTGGGACTACAGGCACCTGCCACCACGCCCAGTTAATTTTTTTGTATTTTTAGTAGAGACGGGGTTTCACCTTGTTAGCCAGGATGGTCTCGATCTCCTGACCTCGTGATCCACCCGCCTTGGCCTCCCAAAGTGCTGGGATTACAGGCGTGAGCCACCACGCCTGGCTGATCCTTTTTTTTTTAAATAAAGACATGAGGTTAGATTGAGGTTCATTGTTTTGTCTATGGTATCTAACTGCTCCAGAACCACTGTACCATTGAATTGATATTGCATCTTTTTCAAAAGTCAGTTGGTTGTACTTGTATGGAAATATTTCTGAGTTCTCAATTCTGTTTTATTGAACTGTCTATACCCCTGCCAATACCACACTGTCTTGATTTCTGTAGCTACGTAAAAAGTTAAAAAATTGGGTAGAATAATTCCTCCCACTTTATTCTTCTATTTCAGACTTGTTTTGTTGAGCTGTATCATAGAAAAAACTATTCGTGACACCTGTTAAAAAATAGTAAGACAAACTTTATTCAGAGGGATTATTGCAATAGATATAGAGATTACTGCAATAGGGTCTTGCAGTAATCTCCAGTTTCCATATATTCAGGTTTCCCTCTGAATAGAAATTTTATAGCCACAGAGCAGGGTGGAGGGGTGGTAGTGTACGGAAAATTACTAATAGGAGGGAATCTGGCTAAACTGACCTCACAGAATTCTTGCTGAAGCCATGCCAGAGTGATCAGATATCACCTGGGGATAGTAGACAATAAGAAAACCAATTAGATATCAATGGTGATCAGATACGAAGATGGAGGATTCTGACTAAATTGCCTTGCTAGGATTCTTACTAATATTGGGCAATTCACAGACAACACAAAAGCCCAAAAGCCAGGGTTTAGTTGACAAGAGAGTTCAAAGGAGCATGGCTAGAGTCTGGTTATGGAGAGAATTTTTGTCAGCTGACTGGGTCTTCCAGAACTGTGTAGAATAAAAATGATGAGCACAGACATATTTTCCTTCTTCCCAAACTGAACAGGAAAGCATTCAGTCTTTTTCATCTTTTAGTTTGACATTAGCTGTAGATTTTTTTCTAACTTAAAAGTTAGAAAGTTTACCTCTGTTCCTAATTCCTGAAAGTTTTTTTTTCATTATAAATGGGTGTTGAATTTTCTCAAATTCTTTTCCTGCATTGATATAATCATGTAATATGCTTATCTTTAGCTTGCTAATGTGGGGGGTTACACAAATTGATTTTTGAATACCAAAACAGCTTTTTATTCCTGGAATAAATATCACTTGTTCATGGTTTGTAGTTATTTTTATATATTGTTGAATTATTTTTGCTATTATTTGGTTGAGAATTTTTCCATCTATATTCATGAAGAATACTGATTTCTTCTTCTTCTGTCTTTAGCTCTGATATCAGAGTAACACTGGCCTCATGAGTTGGAATATCTTTCTATTGTCTTCTTTCTATTCTTTTTTTATTCTGGAAGAGACTGGATATAATTCGTGTTAACCTTTAAATGTTTGTTAGAATTCTCTGATCTAGCTATCCAGGCCTTAAGATTTCTTTTTCAGATATTTCAAATTATGACTTCAGTTCTAGGGCTATTCAACATAACTATTTCATGTAAGAGAGAATTTGTGCTTTTTCAAGAATTAGTGCATTTCATCTATGTTGTGAAATTTATGTTTGTAGAGTTGTTTGTAGTATTCTCTTTATTCTTTTGATTTCGTCATGGTCTACAGTGGTATCTCCTGTTTCATTCTGGATATTGATATTTTGTGTCTCCTCTACAGATTTGTCAATTTTATTAACATTTACAGAACCAGCTTTTGTTTAATCGGTTTTTCTCTATTTTTCTTTTTACATTTTATTGAGTCATCTTCTTATCCTTATTATTTCCTTTCTTTCACTTGCCTTCGGTTTATTTTGCTCTTCTTTTTCTAGTATGTGAGGGAGCTTGGTTATTGCTTTGAAATTTTTTTCTTTTCTAATGTAAGCCCTTAGTGGTATATACATTTTTCTCTCACCACTGATTTAGCCACATCCCACAAATTTTGATATGTTGTGTTTCACTGTCATTCATTTCAATGTATTTTAAAAATTCATTCACTTTCACTTTCATTCATTTCAATGTATTTTAAAAATTTGAGACTTTCTCTCTGAACAATGGATTATTTAGCATGTGTTTTCACGTGTTTGGAGATTTTCCTTTTATCTTCCTGTTATTGATTTCTAGTTTAATTCTATTGTGTTCAGAGAACAAACTGTATGATTTCAGTTGTTTCAAATTTGCTGAGATTTGTTTTATGACCCAGGTTACTTCATATCTTGCTAAATGTCCCATCGACACGAATAAAATGTGTATTCGGCTGCGTTTGCGGTGTTACATAAATGCTGATTAGTTCCTGTTGATTAACAGTGTTGTTGTGTCCACAGAAGCATTGGAGAAAGACTGTAACCTGAGGTGATAGGCTTTGATTGTGTCCTGGCTTAGTATGATGGGACACACCTCTGCTTGCTTCCTTTCCTTTGGACAACCCTCAGCCTCTCAGTCTCTACATGACCTCAACATGGCCGCCCACAGGCCAGAGTGTCTACATGGGCGCCGCCATACTGGCGCCCAGCCTAAGCCGCTGAAACGGGAGCGTGTTTGGCAAAGCGCCATGTTGATTACTGGCAACCTTCAGGCCATGAAGACTGCTGAGCATGCGCAAACCCAGGCAGCGCTGTAAGAAGTACCTCTAGGCCTGGGAGGCATTGAGAAAAAGGAAGTGGGTCCTGTTCTGGTTCTTGCGACTATAGTCACCTCCCGAGGCAAATGACCACTGTCCTGAGAGGACGTGGGTGAGGGGCAGGTGAGTAGAGGGATGGCAGCATCTGTGGACTGAGCAAGAAGAATCTCTGATGTCTGTCCTGAGCCTTCCGGTCAGTGATGGGGTCGGTCAGTGGATGGAATAGTGGAAGTCGGAGCGATCTCTGATGGTGGATCTGAGGGAGGAGTGAGGGGGCACTGAGGGGTCTCTGGTGGTGGATCTGCAGGCGGAGTGAGGACGGACTGGGGGTCTCTGTCTGGTGGTGGATCTGAGGGCGGAGTGAGGGCGGACTGTGGGGTTGTGGGGGAGGATGACTATGGGAACTAAGGAGGGATCTGAGGAGTGTGAATGATGCACATCTTAATTAGTTTCCTCTCTTTTATACGTACCGATCTGTTTATATTTTCGTTTCTGTTTCATTATAATGATATATTTTGCTAAAGATTTAAAGAATATATTACATAGAATTGCATGTTTCCATTTCCATTTTGTTCTCTTTCATATCCAGACTAGTAGCTCCTTTATCATTACGGTTATTATATTTATATATCATTCATTCTTTCTCTATTTAAAAAGAATCAAGCGTCTGAAAGGTTTATCTGTTTCATTGGACATTTTGAAATGTCCAATAAAATACTCCCTACTCTTTTAATATTAATTTTTTTCTCTTTTTCTTTTTAGGTACTTTCTCTTTTTCCCACTTTTTGATGTAATTTGTTGTTCTTTCCCTTATTTTCTTAAGTTTTATGCGGGATACATTTAGGGTTGTAAAGTTTCTTTAAGTACATCTTTATGAAATGCATAAGTTCATTTTGATGTTTCCCTTTGAATCTTAGTTATTTAGGAGAGTTTATTCATTCCCAAATTATTAAAGTATGTTTTAGCTGTTTTTTATTTTATTGTATTGTCAGAAAATGCAGACTATCAAGTCTCAACTTTTAACAATTTATCAAGATTTTCCTTGAAGCCAAGTTACTCAATGAACTTTGTTCAACAGATATAAAAGAAAAATTATATTTTGTTGTATGGACCAAAATTCTCTTTAATTAAGTCTTGCTTGTTGGTATTTTTCAAATCTTTATCTTTCCTAATTTTGATCTACTTGTTTCATATTCTGGAGGAGATACAATAAAAATCACTTTTAATAGTTCATTTTGCAGTTATATGTGCTTTTTTGCTAATTTTATTTGTGCATCTGAGGGATGGGCATACATACACTTAATGGTTAGTGCATTTTTTATCCTTTTTCATGTATTAAGTGGTATTATTATAGGATCCCTTTTTTCAACCAAAAAGAAAAAAGAAAAACACTTTTTAACATCGAATTCCAAGAAAAACACTTTTTAACATCGAATTCCACGTTGATACTCACATTGCCACCCTTGTTTTTACTTTCATTGCATTTGGATGATGTCTTTGCCCAGAGCTTTATTTTGTATCCTATTTGTCTCTGTGTCAGATTACCTATTTGTTTACAATAGATACTTTTGCTTTTTTCAAATCCAATTTATAGTCTCTGTTGATAGAATTTTACATCTCAGTTTAGTGTGATAATGATTTATCTGATTTTATGCCTTCCATTTGATGTTTACTATTTAGCTCTTTTTATTTTCTGCCTTTTCTTTACATAATATTTTCATTGGATTGATGAAATTTCTGCTCATTGTTTCCATTCTGCACCCCATTTTTTCTGTTTTTTTCCTGAGATTATTAGGAATGTTTTATCATAGGGTATTATTAATTTTCTCTTTAGTGGCCTCTTTATCACATTGTCACATTGTCCTTTTTTATAATTATATATCTTTTGCAAGAATTATTGCTAAACAATATTTTCCTATTCAAGATTTATTGTGTGGTTCATTTTACATTTATTTGGACTTCTTCCAGTGTTTCTCTCAAAGATAGAGATACTCTGCAAGTGCTTTTATTTCTGAAAATGTCTCTCTGGCCCTGACAGAGAAGTGGTCTTTTAGATGCTATTTCCGACATCATTTAGCTTTCAGTACTGCAGATGAAGAGTTTTCTTATTTCCTTCATTTTTCCTCTGTAAATAGTCTGGTTTTTCACAATTAGATTTAGAAGTGTTTTCTATTTATAAATTTATTCTATACATGCAAGAATTTCCCCTGATTTGTTCATTGATTGAGTTCCTGTTTGTGTATGTGGAGGAGCTTATAGCCTAGTTGTGTCAGTGGTGGGAGATGTGTATGTGTGCTAAGGCCCCAGTGCAGAAACAGGTGTGCCTAGGATTGGGACTCTTGGGATGGCTGATGGAGATGCATGATCGGTAGTCATACAGGCATAGAGGCCAGTCATGGGGATGTGGGATTGATTGGTAGAGAGCCAGGACCATTAGGGTAGAGGAATTGAAGACTCTGTGATCAGGTATTGTAGGATGAGTGATGCAGGCCTGGCTCAGGGGCAGCAAGGCATGGAAATCAGTGAATCTGAGGTTTCAGTAATGGCTTCTGGGAGTAGTCTCTGGGCACCAATTGACACTTAGAGCAGATTGAAGAGTGGTAGTGAGGAGTTAGGTACCAGGGTTGATGATAACTTGAAGGGCCTGTGAAATCAGATAGTATAATAACGTAATAGAACAGTATATCCTTTGGATATTTTATAAAGTATTTAAGCAATCCACAATTATTGAATATCTAAACATTTCTAATCTTTCTTTTTTATTAACCATGTTATGGTAAAACTTTTGCACTTAAATCTTTGTACAATATGGGATGGGATGATATTTTAATGTGGTAGTTCCAGAAATAAATTTTTGAGTAAGGTGCAAGGGCACTAAATGATGTATGTGTCCATGTGTGACATTGGCACAGTTCCTTCTCTCATGGGTACCTCTACCCATCTGTTTTCTCAGATTTCTGCCCCTTTGTCCGAAGAGCCAAAAATGACCAAGTCCCTGGTGAGTTCTTATTTGTTCATCTGTTTATTTGTTGCTTTCTTTTACTTTTAGTGGATTTTAGGAGACATCTAACAATCCCTATAGTAAGATGACAAGACTAAATAAATAAAAACTAAGATCAGATAAAATGAAGAAGAGACTGTCAGCCCCAAGTCAAGTTTAGAATATATGGTCTTACACAGTCATGAACTTTGAACTGTTAAATTGTCTCTGATCTTCCTGAAAGACATAGCAATAATGGAAATTGGATACATGGTTTATATTAATAAAATTAACAAGTAATTTATTTCATCTGTAGTAAAGATGTCATGGTTCTTGATGTTTGAGGAATTTTTTGATAGATCTTCAGATGGTTAATGACAGAGCAGTCTTCAACAACAACCCTACTGAAAGTGCACTAACAGGCCAGGCGCGGTGGCTCACACCTGTAGTCCCAGCACTTTGGGAGGTCGAGGCAGGTGGATCACATGAGATCAGGAGTTCCAGACCAACCTGGCCAACAAGGTGAAACCCCGTCTGCACTAAAAATACAAAAATTAGCCAGGTGTGGTGGCGGGCGCCTGTAATCCCAGCTACCCAGGAGGCTGAGGCAGGAGAATTGCTTTAACCCAGGAGGCAGAGGTTGCAGTAAGCCGAGATTGCGCCTTTGCACTCCAGCCTGGGCAACAAGAGCGAAACTCTGTCTCAAAAAAAAAAAAAAAAAAGAAAGAAAGAAAGAACGTGCACTAACAGTTTTTCTGTTGCTGTCTTATAGAACAGTGCTTCTGACACTTTACTTGCATTTGAATTCAGATTCTGATTTAGTAGCTATGGGATGGGATATGAGAATTTTTATTTCTCACAAATTTCCACAGAACATCAATGCTCCTTGTCCAAGGACCACCTTCTGAAACAACCTTGAGGTTTTATCGTGAATGGGAGTTGAATTTTGTTAAATGCTATTTCTGTACCAATTGACATGATCATGTGATTTTACTTCTTGAGTCTGTTGGTATGGTAGATTACATTGATTGATTTTTTAATATTGAACCAGCGTTGCATCCATGGAATAAACTCCACTTGGTTGTGGTATATACTTTTTAAATTATTTGTATTTGCTAATATTTTGTTAAGGGTTTTTGTATCATATTTATGAAGGATATCGCTTTTTTTTTTCTTTCTGTCTCTCTTTCTGTTTTTTCTTTTGGTACTATTTCTGGTTTAGGTATCACGATAACCCTGACCTCATAAAATAAGTTGGAATGTGTTCCTTTGTATTGATTATTCTGCCAGAGATTGTGTATAGTTTGTGTTTTCTTTTTCTATACTTTGTCCAGTTTTTGTGTCAGGGAAATCATAGCCTCACACAATAAACTGGGAAGTATGCCCTTCTCTTCTGTTTTCTGGAAAAAACTGTGTAGAATTTATGTTAATTATGTTAATTCTTCAAATATTTGGTAGAATTCTCCAGAGAAACTGTCTGGGCCTAGAGATTTCTTTTTTGGAAGTTTTAAGATTACAAACTCAGTTTCTTTAAGTGTTACAGGGCTATTCACATTGTCTATTTAATATTGAGAGGGTTGTGGTAGTTTGTGTGTTTTTCAGGAACTGGTCCCTTTCATCTAAGTTGTCAAATTTATGTGTGCAGAGCTGTTAGTAGTTGTCTTAGTCAGCTCAGGCTGCCATAACAAAGTACCATAGACTGGGTGGAATAAACAACAAAAATTTATTTTCTCACAGTTCTGGGAGGCTGGAACTGAGAGATCAGGGTGCAAGTATGGTCAGGTTCTGATGAGGGTTCTCTTCTTGGCTTGTAGACGAAAACCAGATTCTCACTATGTGCTCACAGGCCATTCCCTAGTGACCGCCTGCCTGCCTGCCTGCCTGCCTATGGAGAGAGAATCTCTCTCTGTAAGGCCACCTGTCTTATCAGATTAGGACCCCTACCTTGTTTAACCGTAATTACCTCTTAAAAGCCCTATCTCCAAATACAGTTACATTAGGGGTTACAGCCTAAACATACGAATTTTTGGAGGACTGAGAATGTCTTGATTTCCACATTCTCCTGAAGGATATTTTTGCCTGATCCAAAATTCTAAGTTGATAGTTCTTTTGTTTTTTTTTTTAGCACTTGAAAAATGTGCTACTTCCTTCTGGCCTCCAAAGTTTCTGATGAGATATTAGTTAAAACTGCATGTTAATTTTCTATTGCTGCTGAAATAAATTCAAAAATTTAGTTGCTTAAAAATAACTTTTTTTTTTTTACAGTTCTATATTTTAGAAGGCCAACATGGGTCTCACTGAACTAAAACCAAGGTGTCAAGAGGGCAGTATTCCTTTCTACAGGCTGTAAGAAAGAATCTGTTTCTATTTTCTATGACTTTTCTAGCTTCTAGTGGGTGCCCACATTTCACAATTTGTAGCCCTTTCCTCCAACTTCAAAGCCATCAACATTGTATCTCTCTGACCACTCTTTTGTAGTCTCATCTTTCTCTGACTCTCTTTTATTGCCTCTCCTTTAACTTTTTTTTTTTTTTTTTTTTTTGAGGCAGAGATTTGCTCTTGTTGCCCAGGCTGGAGTGCAATGGCGCGATCTCGGCTCACCGCAACCTGAAAGAATCTGTTTCTATTTTCTGACTTTTCTAGCTTCTAGTGGGTGCTCACATTTCAGTTTGTGGCCCTTTCCTCCAACTTCAAAGCCATCAACATTGTATCTCTCTGACCACTCTTTTGTAGTCGCATCTTTCTCTGACTCTCTTTTATTGCCTCTGCTTTAACTTTTTTTTTTTTTTTTTTTTTTTTTTGAGGCAGAGATTTGCTCTTGTTGCCCAGGCTGTAGTGCAATGGCGCGATCTTGGCTCACTGCAACCTCCGCCTTCCGGGTTCCAGCGATTCTCCTGCCTCACCTTTCCGAGTAGCTGGTATTACAGGCATGTGCCACCACGCCCTGCTAATTTTGTATGTTTTAGTAGAGACGGGGTTTCTCCATGTTGGTCAGGCTGGTCTCAAACTCCCAACCTCAGGCGATCCGCCCGCATTGGCCCTCCCAAAGTATTGGGATTACAGGCATGAGCCACCGCGCCTGGCCCTCCTGCTTTAACTTTTAAGCAAATTTGTGATTATATTCAGCCCACCCAGATAATCTAAGATAATTAATCTTCCTATTTTAAGGACAGCCGATTTAGCCACCTAGATTTGATCTGAAACCTGAATTCCCTTTTGCCATGCAACCTAACATATTCACAATTTCTGGGAATTAGGATGTGAACATCTTTGGGGAGCCATGGTTCTTAGTATCTCACATTGTCATTCAAATTGTTTTTCTCCTGTGGGTAATGTGTAGTTTCTCTCTGAATGCTTTCAGCATTCTTTCTTTGTCTGTATTTTTCACAAGTTTCACTATAATTCTTCCTTAGTGTGAATTTCTTTGGTTTTATCCTTTTTGAGATTTGCCCAGCTTCTATCTGTAAGTGTATATCTTTCGGGAAGTTTCAGAAATTTTCATTCATTATTTCTTCAAATACTTGTTCAGCCCCCATCCCTTTCTCTTCTTTTTCTCTTTCTGGAACTCCAATGACACAAATGTTAGATTTTTTGTTATTGTCCCACATGTCTCTGAGGTTCTGTTCCTTTTTTTCTCAGTCTGTTTTCTCTCCATTCTTTAGATTAGATCATTTCTACTTTATTTTCAGGTACTCAGAATATTTCTTCTGTTGCCTCCATTCTTTTGAGCCCATCTATTGAGTTTTTAATATTGGTTATTTTTTAATTCTAAAATTTTCATTTGGTTTTTTCATCTCTTCTCTATTTCTTTGTTGAAGTTTTTTTGTTTCAAGTGTGTTCATATGCTTGTTAAAACATTTTTATGAGGACTACTTTAAAATCCTTATGAAATAATTCTGATAACATACATCACTTCAGTTTTAGTATCGGTTGATTGGTTGTTTCCTTATTCAAGTTGAGATTTTCCTGGTTCTTGGTTTTACAAATGATTTTGTAATGTATTGTGGAAACCTTGGGCATTATGAGACTCTAGATCTTATTTGAGTCCTCTTTTTTAGCAGGCGTCCTCTGGGCCAGTGTGGGAATTGGGGGGCCTTGCTGTACTACTGCCAGGTGGATGTGAATTTGCAGGTTCCCTACTTGAACTCTGTTGACAGTCTGTGGGGAGAGAGACACCTCATTACTGCTAGTTGGGGTTGGCAGTTCAGGCTCCCCAGTAGACCTCTGGTGACATCACCTTGTCTGAAAGGAGAGGGTACCTTGTTTCTGCTCTTCATGCTGTCTTCTCTGATATTGTTAGGTTGGATAGGGCCTCATTACCTCTCAGAGTGATGAAGGTCTTGGGTTTTCATTTGACATCCTCTCACACCACACCTGTCGTGATGGGAAGAGTGTCGCATTACTGCTAGGTAGGAATGGAAGTCCAGCCCTGAGGTGGCTCCCACTGGCATGGCAAGAAAGCTACCCATTACCACTGTGCAGAGATGAAAGTCCCAGCTCCCCAGTTGGCTTTTCTCATACTACCCTATTGCAGTGGAGGGGCATCCCCAGGCAGCCAGGCAAATACAGGAGTCTAGGCTACCCACTGAGTCTTTGCTGATGAGAGATGAATCAAGCCCACAGTTTTTTGTTGTTTTATAATCTGTGGTATTTGGTTGGAGTAGGTTTTGTCTAAAAGTTTTTTATTTTTCTCTGTTGCCCCTTTCCTGGTCTTTTAGCTAGAGAAAACACTTTTTTCCAGGCCTTTTTGTATGCACTTGTTGATGTTTCTGGATTGTAGGTTTTTCGAACACCTGGTCAGAGCTATCTATATGAGGCCGAAAGACACAGAGAGCTTATTACTGTTTACTTCCCTGGTTCCTGAGGCCCCTAGCCAGGGTGCCTATTTTTCTTTACCTTTCAGAGTCTGTATGTTGGTTTGATGGATAATGTCTATGGTTTGTAGATGAACTTAACAGGATGAATAGAGACAAGTGCATCTACTGTATCTTTCCAGGAGTGGAATCCAGTTTATTGAGTTTGAACAGAGGACTTCATATATTAAGCATAGTCTTATACGTTTTGGTCAGTTATAACTGCCTCTTTGTCCTTTGCATTTGAACTTTTAAAAATAAGTATTTCATTTTGAATGTCATGAAAGTTTTACCTATATTTACTTAGTCAAATTGTTCTTTGTGGTTTCTTAGAATAAAACAGTTGTCATCTGCTCTATTCCTCTTCAAATTTCAGCTTCTCAAAGGTAATCACTTTGAACTCAGTTTAGTTATCTTTTGCTGTTTACTTTCATATGTCTAAATAACATGTTTGTATTGGTATTTCTAGGCTTTCAGTTTTAAGCAGTTATCTACAGACAACACAATGGAAAGAAGGAATTAGCTCTCTTTCAGACACTCAGGCCCTTGACACTCACGTACACATTTCTCATGTACCCTCCATCTAATATGGGTATTTTGTTTATTTATTTATTTATTTAGTAGAGATGGGGTTTCACCATGTTGCCCAGGCTGATCTTTGAACTCCTGGGCTCAAGCGATCTGCCCACCTTAGCCTCCCAAAGTGCTGGAATTATAGGCGTGAGCCACTGCGCCCAGCCTAATATGGGTATATCATAATTTGGGGTAAATCAATAGGCTGCATTTTATTATGATGATTATTTTAACAATATTCACAAGTGAGCCATTTACTTTTTATGCAGTGCTTTTTGTTTTACCTGAAATTATAAGTGTCTGGCTTAATCATTTGTTTTGTTTTCCATACATACATGTACAATATATATTATACATATCAGTAATTCATCGCTAGTCTTCCCAGGTATATAAATACCTTCTCAATATATTAAAATATACTAAATAATAACAGTAATATAATATAAACATTAATATAGTGCTTACTATATACCAGGCACTATAAGCATTCTCTATTAACTAATTCAGTCACAACCCCTACGAGTTATTGCTATGGTTTGGATATTTATCCTCTCCAAATCTCATGCTGAAATTTGATCCCCCAACCCAGGCGCGGTGGCTTGTGTGTAATCCCAGCTATTCAGGAAGCCAAGGTAGGAGGATCACTTGAGGCCAGGAATTTGAGATCAGCCTAGGTAATATGGCGAGACCCTGTTTCTTACAAAAATAAATAAATAAAAAGAAATTTTAAAAATAAAAGAGAAGTTTGATCCCAGTGTAGGAGGTGGTAGGGCATAATGGGAAGTGTTTGGGTCATGGGGACAGATCCCTCATGAATAGATTAATGCCCTCTCTGGGGAGGTGGTGAGTTCTCAATCTTATGAGTTCCGTGAGAGTTGGTTGTTGAGAAGAGCTTGCTACCTCCCATTCGCTCTCTCTTTCTTCCTCTTTTGCCATATGATCTCTGCACACACCGGCTTCTCTTCCCCTTCTGCCATGAATGGAAGCAGCTTGAAGGCCCTCCCCAGATGCAGATGCTGATGCCATGCTTCTTGTACAGCCTGCAGAACCATGGGCCAAATAAATGTCTTTTCTTTATAAATTACCCAGGCTCAGGTGTTCTTTTATAGTAACAGTAAACAAAGACAGCTATCTATAATCATTATTCTCATTTTACAGAGGAGGAAAACTGTTACACAGAGAAGGAATTTGCCCAAGATCATACAGCTCCTGAATGATGAAGCCAGGAAAATAAGACCCAGGCCGTTGGCTCTAGATTACATGCTATTCATTTCAGCTCTTTAAAGAAACTCCTCTTGGAGTTGTCGACCTGCTCATAGTTACTCTCTATCCGATACTCAGCTACTGGCATGGGCTGTCCCTTCCACATGATACTAGGAATTGTCCTCATGTTTCTCAAATGTTAGATCTCTTGAGTCTCAAGAAGCTGGGTAAGACATAGAAATGGATTGTCCTGTAGAGTCTCCAGAAGGAGTGCAGCCCAGCAGGACCTATTTTGGACATATGACCTCCAGAATAGTGACAAGTTTGTGTTGTTTTAAGGCCAAAGAATACAGGTGGCCTCTAGAAGCTAGAAAAATCAAGGAAATTGATATTCCTTTAGAACCTCCAGAAGGAATACAGCCCTATTGACACTCAGATACAAGCCCAAGTAAAATTATTTAGGCGTCTCTAAGACTACCCTCACTTATGACAGAAACTGCAAGCTCAGGAGTCTCCAAGACCACCCTCAGTTTCAATAATTCACGAGAAGGACTTACACAACTCAGGAAAGCCATTATACTCATGCTTATAGTTCATTACAGAAAGAGGACGTGGATTAAAATCAGCCAGAGAAGATGTGCTCAGTGCAGTATCATGGAAAGTTTCAGGTTACTGAGTTTCTCATTAATATTGTATTTTTAATTTTAAGGACTCTTTTCTTCACTTCTGAATGATCTTTCTAATATTCATGGGTGCAATATTTTCTTTTTTTAAAATTTTACTTTAAGTTCCAGGATACATGTGCAGAATGTGCAGGTTTGTTACATAGGTATATGCGTGCCATGGTGGTTTGCTGCATCTATCAACCTGTCATCTAGGTTTGTTTTTTTGTTGTTGTTGTTTTGTTTTGCTTTGTTTTTTGAGATGGAGTTTCGCTCTTGTTGCCCAGGCTGGAGTGCAATGGCGCAATCTCAGCTCACCACAACCTCCGCCTCCCGGGTTCAAGGGATTCTTCTGCCTCAGCCTCCCAAGTAGCTGGGACTACAGGCGCCTGCCACCAGGCCTGGCTAATTTTCTTTAAATTTTTTTAGTAGAGACGGGGTTTCACTGTGTTAGCCAGGAGGTTCTCGATCTCCTGACCTCGTGATCCACCCGCCTCAGCCTCCCAAAGTGATGAGATTACAGGCTTGAGCCACTGTGCCCGGCTAATTTTGTATTTCTAGTAGAGACAGGGTTTCTCCAGTCAGGCTGGTCTCGAACTCCCGACCTCAGGTGATCCACCCACCTTGGCCTCCCAAAGTGCTGGGATTACAGGTGTGAGCCACCATGCCCGGCCCCCATCATCTAGGTTTTAAGCCTGCATGCATTTGCTATTTGTCCTAATGCTCTCTCTCCCCTTATCCCCCCACCCCTTGATAGGCCCTGGTGTGGCTTGTTCCCTGCCCTGTGTCTGTGTGTTCTCATTGTTCAACTCCCACTTATGAGTGAGAACATGCAGTGTTCGGATTTCTGTTCCTGTGTTAGTTTGCTGAGAATGATGGTTTCCAGCTTCATCCATGTCCCTGCAAAGGATGTGATCTGATTCCTTTTTATGGCTGCATACTATTCCATGTTGTACATGTACCACATTTTCTTTATCTAGTCTATCATTGCTGGGCATTTGGGTTGGTTCTGTGTCTTTGCTATTGTAAATAGTGCTGCAGTAAACATACGTGTGCATGTGTCTTTATAGTAGAATGATTTATATTCCTTTGGGTATATACCCAGTAATGGGATGGCTGGGTCAACTGGTATTTCTGGTTCTAGATCCTTGAGGAATTGCCACACTGTCTTCCACAATGGTTGAACTAATTTACATTCCCACCAACAGTGTAAAGGTGTTCCTATTTCTCCACAGCCTCGCCAGCATCTATTGTTTCTTGACTTTTTAATAATAGCCATTCTGACTGGCATGAGATGGTATCTCATTGTGGTTTTGATTTGTATTTCTCTAATGATCAGTGATGTTGAGCTTTTTTTCGTATGATTGTTGGCCACATAAATGTCTTCTTTTGAGAAGTGTCTGTTCATATCCTTCACCCACTTTTTGATGGGGTTGTTTTTTTCTTGTAAATGTGTTTTTAAGTTCCCTGTAGAATCTGGATATTAGACCTTTGTCAGATGAGTATTTTGAATAGGTAATACATGCATATGATTTAAAAGTAAGAAAATAAGTACATAGTGAAAAATCTCCCTCTTTCTTTTCCTATCAGCCCATGTCCTCAATCTGGATAACTAATTTTTTTTAGTGTGTGTTCAAAGTGTCATTATATAGACAAAAACAAATAGGAAAAGTATTATGTTCTTTCCACAGAAGATGGTATACCATATGCATTTCTGTACCATTATGATTTTATTTTCATTTATTTTTAAGCCTTTACTATGGAGAAATATAAAATGCATTACGAAATATGCTCTTGTGAACATTTCTTTCAGAAGTTATTTCTATCCAAAGGCAAGGTCTTGCTCTGTCACCCAAGCTGAGTGGAGTGCAATGCTGTGATCCCAGCTCACTACAGCCTCAACTTTCAGGGCTCAAGTGATCCTGCTTCCCCTGCCTCCCAAGTAGCTGGGACTATAGACGCATGCCACCATGCCTGGCTAATTTTTTTTTTCTTTTTGTAGAGACGGCGTCTTGCTATGTTGCGCAGGCTAGTCTTGAACTCCTGCTCTCAAGCAATCCTCCTGCCTCGGCCTCCTAAAGTGCTAGGATTACAGGCCTGAGCCACTGCACCTGGCCCCTCTCCAACTTTAGTATATGATGTCATACAGCTTTGCAAAGTTTGTTACGCCAATTTGTATTCCTACCAGTAGTGTGCAGATATGTTTACTACTTTGTATCTTTACCAGTACTTGGTGTTTTCAATCTTTACAATTTTAGCCATCTTGGGAGTTTGCAGAGGTATCTCATTTTGGATTTAATTAGCATTTCCCTGGTTACTAATGTGATTGAACAGTTTTTCAGAATTTCATTGTCATGTACACTTCTTTTGAGAATTGCTTGATTCATTCCTCCCCCTTTTTTTTAAACTGAGTTGTCTGTAGTTTGTATTGCTTTTTGTTGTTGTTGTTTTTGTTTTGATTTTTTATAGAGACAAGTTCTCACTATGTTGCCCAGGCTGGTCTCAAACTCGTGGACTCAAGCAATCCTCCTGCCTTGGCCTCCCAAAGTACTGGGATTACAGGCATGTGCCACTGCACCCAGCCTGTTGTTACATTTATGTTCTTTTTACATTTTGTGTACTATCACACTGTCATTCATGTATGGTCCCCTAATATAATGATGAATATACTCTTTCTCTCTCGTTCTCTCTCTCTCTCTTTCTCTCTCTCTCTGTGTGTGTGTGTGTGATTTCTGTCTACATCACAAACAGCTTATTTGTGTTGTTCAGATCTTCTGTATAATCCTTATTTTTTGACTATTGCATATTTGTTTTATGTGTGAGATCTCATCTCCTTTGTAACTGGCTTGTCAATTTTCTTGCAGAAATTTTCCTATATGTGCCAAATTTTTGTTGCTATATCTAGTGATTAATGAATGTAATCTGGTTAAAATCTCTCAGAGTAGGGAGGGGGAGTTGGGAAGTCTCCCATGCGTGTGTAGGTTTATCAATTTCTCCATGTAATTTTGTCAACTTTTGTTTTATGTATTTTAGATTGTCATTCAAAATATGAATTATATTTTCCTGAAGTACTGATCTTTTTGCTATTACGTGGTACTGAATTTTTTGCTTAAAAGCTTAAGAGTCTGTAATTGCAACCCAGTTTCTATCTATTTTATTAGAATTGTCTGGCAAAATGCATTTTAGTATAACAGAAATCTAAGAATTACGGGCTTAAACACAAAAGAAGCAAAAGAAGTCTGAAAGTATTCATTCAGGGCCTGATGTCTTCACAAATTTATACACCTTTTTTTTTTGTTGTTGTTCTCTATGTCATTCTCATTTTGTGATTTTCAACCTCACGTCACTTGATAGTTCCCGAGATTTGCTGGGGTTGCATTAACTGAGTCAGCGTTCCAGGCCAGCAGCATGGTGAGGTTGGGGAGGAAAGGGGCACTCACACCTTCTCCTTTAAAAACTGACATCTCAGAAGTATCGCCTGTATCTCTGTGGCCAAAGTATAGTTTCCTGGTTACATTTAAGGTGGGCTGGGAAAAGAAAGTCTTACTCAGAGTAGCCAGCTAAGAATTCATGTTCTGTTATTAGGGAAGAAAGGATGAGTGAATGTTGGAAGACAACTAGCTATCACTGTCACATCTCCTAAATACAAAAGCCAGAATTTATCTGTCTTTTGCTTTTTTCATCCATCTTGGCATTCAACCCCATCAACTAATCCCCACATACATTCTAAGACGTTACTCTCTCCTGGCTCTGTCCGATTTCTCAGTTTTTATTGCTGACACCTCTTCTTCAATGCTGGTAACTTTTTCAGATTCTTTCCTTTACATTCTCCTTTATCAGGTGTCCTCTCAAGCAGTCTCATTTACTCAGATGATTTTAGTTATTAATTATCTACTGGTGACTCCCAAATCTTTATCTCCACTCTAGGCCTCTGCCTAACGTCCTATAATATGCCTGCCTACATGTTTAATCCCTGTAATCTCAATATGTGCAAAACATAAGTGATTTCATCTGGTTCCCTTTCTCCAACCTTTTCCATTCATCAATCTCTACTTCAGTATATGACACTATAATCTCAGAGTATACAAAACGAATAATTGAGAATTTCACTTTAGTTCCTCCTTTTTCTTACTCCATCTATCAATTCTAATTACCTACTATCTACACCAATTTCTTTTTCTATATTCCTGTTAAATAATATTTTCTCCCTAACTAAGGTGTTTTAATTCTTTCACATGAAATATTGCCTAGACTTCCACTCTTGCTCATTCAAATGTATTCTCCCTGCTGTTTCTTGATAGTCTTTTTTTATTTTTTATTTTAAGTTCTAGGGTACATGTGCAGGATGTGCAGGTTTGTTGCATAGGTAAATGTGTGTCATGATGGTTTGCTGCACCTATCAAGCCATCACCTAGGTATTAAGCCCAGCATGCATTAGCTTTTTTCCCTAATGCTCTCCCACCCCCCACCCTTCCCCAACAGGCCCCAGTGAGTGTTGTTCCCTTCCCTGTGTCCATGTGTTCACATTGTTCAGCTCCCACTTATAAGTAAGAACATGTAGCGTTTGGTTTTCTGTTCCTGCATTAGTTTGCTGAGGATAATGGCTTCCAGCTCCCTGCATGTCCCTGCAAAGGATATGATCTCATTCCTTTTTATGGCTGCATAGTATTCCATGATGTATATGTGCCACATTTTCTTTAGCCAGTCTATCACTGATGGGCATTTGGGTTGATTCCATGTCTTTGCTATTGTGAATAGTGCCACAATGAACATATGCATGCGTGTATCTTTATAACAGAATGATTTATATTCCTTTGGGTATATAACCAGTAATGGGATTGCTGGGTCAAATGGTATTTCCACTTCTAAATCTTTGAGGAATCACCACACTGTCTTCCACAATGGTTGAACAAATTTACATTCCCACTAACAGTGTAAAAGCGTTCCTATTTCTCCACAACCTGGCCAGCATCTTCTTGGCAGTTGTAAACATAAATCTAATAATCTTTTCTCTATATATAAATTACTTTAATGGCAGTCCATTATGTATTGGAGGAAAAATAGTTGCATGATCTCATGCCAGCATACCTCTACTGAAATTTCCTCATAAACACCTTTCCTTCACTGCATACAGACTTCTCATTATGCAGACTAATTTGTGGTTCCCTGAATTTATCATGTATTTTCCTGTCTTTATACCTTTGCTCATGCTGCTCCCTTCTAAAAATCACTTTGCCCTACTCTGCTTGCATTAAACATGGCATCTCCCAAGACTAAGCTTAAGTTTCATCAACTCTACAGAACTTAGTCTTACACTCCATGTAGAATTTTCTTCTCTCTATTTGGGGTCATGCTATGCTTTGCACATCTCTTATGCCCTTTATAATATCTTAGAAAGTTGTTGTAAGTTCTTTGATGTCTTGAAGCATATTGTGTAAAGTTGTGAAGATGTTCACAACATAAAGTTCTCAACATCTTGCTTAGTAAATATATGGCAGGTAATTCCTAAGAATTACCTAAGTAATTATGCTTAATAAATGTATGGCAGTTAATTCTTTTTTTATTTTTTTTTTCAGACTTCTTTCTCAACTACCAATGGCAGGTAATTCCTCAGAATTAAGTTTAAGAGAATTTAAACAGAGCCTATTTTATTTTCACTGGATATTGAATTCAATATTGACAGCTCTTTCTCTTCAGCACTTGAAAAATATGGTCCCACTTCCTTTTGACATCTGTGGTTTTTAATGAGAAAGTCATTCTTGTTCAAATTGCCCTTTCCCTACATGTAATGTGTCATTTCTCTCTGACTGTTTTCAGGTTCTATTCTTAAATTTGGATTTTATAAATCTTACAATGTATCTAGACATGGATTTATTTGAGGTTTTCCTTTTGGAGATTTGGTCAGCGACTTGAATCTGTACATTTATGCCTTTTACCAGATTTGGGAGGTTTTCAGCTATTATTTCTTCATATCTTTTTCCAGTCTCCCGTCCTACTTTTTCATTCCTTCTAGGACTGCTGAAATGATTGTTGGCTGTTCTGTTATTGTCCCGCTGGGTCCCTTAGGCTGAATACAGCCTGAGGGAATTGATGAAACAATCATTTCATCAATTATTTTTTCTATTGTTCAGACTGGATAATTTCTGTTTATCTATCTTACAGGTAACTGAGGTAACTGATTCTTTCCTTTGGATCTCCATTCTGCTGTTGAGATCATCCAGTGAGGTTTTTAATTTCACTTACTGTATTTTTTGGTTCTAAAATTTTCATTTTGTTCCTCCTCATACCTTCTATTTCTTTGCTGAGAATTTATATATTTCCACTTGATTCAACACTATTTACAGCTGCTTGTTGCAACACTTTTAGTTAGCTACTTTAAATCCTTGTCAAATAATTCCAACATCTGATTCATCTGAGTGTTGCTATCTGTTGATGCTCTTTTCTCATTTGATTTCAGATTTTCTTGGTTCTTAAGATGATGAATAATTTTGGCTTTATTCAGGACATTCTGAATATCATGTTATGAGATTCTGTTTTCTCTTCAAATCCTCTATTTTAGCAGTTGTCAACACATTTAGGTTTAGAGTGCATGTCTTGGTCTATTTTTATGGGCTGTATTTCAAATTCAACTTAGTTTTGAAAGTCTTTGCAGTTCTATTTTGGTCTCCCTCATTTTTGTGCTACCCAGAAGCTAATTTGAAACCTGGACAGTATCCCACACCCTAGTTCAGCCCTGAAAGCTTTTTCTATGTTGATTCTGATTCATTTTATATCTGGGCTGCTCGTAGGTGTGCCCAGGTCATCATACATGTATTTAAAGAACCCCTTTTTATAACTTTCTCCATAATCCATCCTCCACTCTCTATTGGAAGAAGGTAGCTACTTCTTCTTTGCTGTCATTCACTTAATTTGGGGTAGGGTTAGCCAATACAGTCTATATAATGCCTGCTGGAGAGGCAAGAGGGGTGCTACCTCTCTTTGAGCTAATGCAGTTGGGATGATTGAGAGAGCTCCACCCCACCATCTTTGGAGTCACATTGTTTGTGAAGAAGGCAAAGGATGCATCTTTTGTAGTTTTCACCTCAAGTATACTGGTTTTTTTTTGTTTGTTTTGTTTTGTTGTTTTTTTTTTTTTTTTGAGATGGAGTCTCGCTCTGTCGCCCAGGCTGGAGTGCACTGGTGTGATCTCAGCTCACTGCAAGCTCCGCCTCCCGGGTTCACGCCATTCTCCTGCCTCAGCCTCTCAAGTAGCTGGGACTACAGGCGCCCGCCACCATGCCCGGCTAATTTTTTGTATTTTTTTAGTAGAGATGGGGTTTCACCATGTTAGCCAGGATGGTCTCGATCTCCTGACCTCGTGATCCACCTGCCTCGGCCTCCCAAAGTGCTGGGATTACAGGCGTGAGCCACCGCGCCTGGCCTCAAGTATATTGTTGTGCAGTAAAGGATTAACTTTGCCCAAAGAGAGGTTTGGCCTTTGCACTCAGCTCCTGGGAGGTAACCTCTAAATCTTTGGAATGTCCTGCAGGCCTTGCTTAGGCCATGCAAGATAGTATATAATGACAGTGTGATTTATGGTGGGAGCTTTGGGCCACACTGAATATTCTATGCCAACATGTGGTTTATAGTGGGGTACCTTTGGCCATGCAATATCAGCTCTGGAGGGGCTGGAGACTAAGATCAGCCACAGTGGGAGTCATTCATGTCCACATGATCAAGTCTCAGTAAAAACTCTGGACATCAAGGCTCAAGTGAACTTCCCCAGTTGGCAATACTCCATGCGTATTATCATCACACATCATTGCTGGGAGAAGTAAGTGCTGTCCATATGACTCCACTGGGAGAAAACCACTGGAAGCTCACACCTGGAACTCTCATTGACACTGCACTAAGCACATCTTCCCTTGGCTGATTTTGATCTGTATCCTTTCATTGTAAAGCCACTATATAACACCATAGCCATGAGTATTATGGCTTTTCTAATTTCTGTGAGTTCTTCTGTGAATTGTGGAACCTGAGGGTGGTCCTGGGGACCCCTGACTTGGAATTGGTGTCAGAAGTACAGGTGATCCTGGGAAATCCCTCTGCTTGCAGTAGGTGTCAGAAGTGAGGGTGTTCTTGGGTACTTCTGAACTTTGTAGGTATGTGTAGTCAAAAGGTCCCATCCTGCATTGCTGCCCTATTTCAAATTATTTGGCTGGAAAATGTATGCTTTGGGGAGGCCTTTTTTGTCTGTGCTCATTGGTTCTTCCAGGTTGCAAGCTCCTCTAGTACTCATTTTGCAATATGTAGGAGCTCCCTCTCTCCCTCTAAGTTCCCTCTAGGGAACTAACTCACTACTGTGTTGTTTTTTAAGTCCTTAGGTTCTACTTTCTTTTCTCCACCAGTGAGTCTTCTGACAGATGCTTTATGTATTTTTCTAGATTTTTAGGTAATTAGCAGGAGGAATTGGGTGGAATGCACTCTTTTTTTTGTTTTGTTTTTTAGAACCAGAAGTCTCAATCCTTGCTTTTAACTTGGATGTTTAATGCATTTACACTTAATGTAATTACTGATATACTTGAATTTATATATACCACCTTACTATTAGTTTTTATTTTATTTTATTTTATTTTTGAGATGGAGTCTTGCTCTGTTGCCCAGGCTGGTGTGCAGTGGTGCAGTCTTGGCTCACTGCAACCTCCACCTCCTGGGTTCACACCATTCTCCTGCCTCAGCCTCCTGAGTAGCTGGGACTACAGGTGCCCACCACCACACCCAGCTAATTTTTTTATATTTTTAGTAGAGACCGGGTTTCACCGTGTTAGCCAGGATGGTCTCGATCTCCTGACCTCATGATCCGCCTGCCTCAGCCTCCCAAAGTGCTGGGATTACAGGTGTGAGCCACCACGCCCGGCCTAGTTTTTATTTGAACTACCTATTTTTTCATTCCTTTCTTGACTTTTTATATTACATAATTTTTTTACTCTTTAATTTTTTCCTTTGTTTACTTGTTATAATTCTTTTACTGTTTGTTACCCCAGATATTAAAACATTCATCTTGAACTTACTATTTTATCTCCTTAATAATGCTAGGATACTTTATAAAACACTTTAATTCTATTTACTGCCTCCCATTTTTGCATTATTATTTCCATTATTTTAAATTTTGCATACATTTTAAACCTCCCAGAATAGTACTGTTACTGTTTTGCATAGTCAATACTTGCAGTTTTGTAAAGAGGTATTTGAAGAGCTTCTTGAATCCTAAGGGTTGATGACATTCATAGCCATTACTTCTTCAAATATTGCTTTTTCCCTGCACTCTCCTCTTTAACTTCTCAGACTCTGATAGGTTATACCTTTTTTACTATGTCACACATATTCCTAATGCTCCTATGTTTTTTTCTTTAAAAAAAAAATCTCTGCTTCAGTTTGGATATTTTCTATTTACTTGTCTTCCATTTCAGAAATTCTGTATTTTGCTGTTAAACCTGCATAAGGACTTCTTAATTTTAGATTTTAGATTTTTCAATTTTTGAACTTTCATTTGATTCTTTATTATAAGAACCAACTCTCTAAAGATAGTCCTCTTTTCATCTAACTCCAATTCTCTGTGTGACTGTTTCTATTGAATTTTTTCCTTCTCTGATTTTGGATATGTGGTCCTATCTTTTTGGATGTGTAGGATTTTTTTGTTTGTTTTAAACACTGTGTATAATAAGTTGTAGGCAGGGCTCATACCTGGGAGGCTGAGGGGGACAGATCACTTGAGCTCAGGAGTCCCAGACCAGCCTGGGCAACATGGCAAAACCCATCTCTACAAAAGATAGACAAATTAGCTGGGCATGGTAGCATGTGCCTGTAGTCCCAGCTACTTGTGGGGCTGAGACAGGAGGATTGCTTGAGCCCAGGTCGAGGCTGCAGTGAGTCGTGTTTGTGCCACTGCACTCCAGCCTGGATGACAGAGCAAGACCCTGTCTCAGAAGAAAAGAAAAAAAAAATCTTTCTCCACAGAGGATTCATCTTTCCTTATGTTAGCAAATGGAGGGAAGGGAGAACACGTACATCCAGTCAGGCACTGTTGATGTTGAAATAAGGCCGGGTTGAAGCTCTGCTAAGACTCACTTTACCTCTGGATCACCCTGGCTCCTGAGAATTTTCAGCTGAGAGCCCTTTTGTCCTCTAAAGACCCTCTTCCTGATAGATGCCCAACTATTTTCTTAACAGATACTAGACTTTTGCTCTGTTCTTCAAAGGCTGTTTGCTTACATTTTTAGTCTACTGCCCTATATACCCTAGAATTCAGCAAATATCCTGAGGGGAAAATGGCCATGTGTTTGAGTTATGTTGGTTTCTCTGTCACCCAGCTGCAGCCTTCTACTGCATTCTCCAGTAGACAGGACAAAATGAGAATCCAGGACAAAAGCTGGATTCTCAGCTTTTGTCCACAGCCAGAATTGGTAAATGCTCCCACTGTCAGAGTGACTGAATAAGTCAGCTTCAATCTTTAATATTCTCTCCTCTCCAGTCTTAGCCCCTATATTTCTTGCTACCTCAGCAGCTTTCCAGTGCTTTGAAACAGATGATTTCAAGTATTGCGTCTGGCATTTACAGTTCATTGTTGAAGGAAGCACTGGACTGCCAAGCTACTGCATCTCATCTGGAAATGGCAGTGCTGAAAAAGAGCCCTCTCCTTCATACACCACACAGTTTACCATTTAAAGTGTACCATATTAGGCTGGGTGTCGTGGCTCATGCCTGTAATCCCAGCACTTTGGGAGGCTGAGGCGGGCGGATCACGAGGTCAGGAGATCGAGACCATCCTGGCTAACACGGTGAAACCCCGTCTCTACTAAAAAAATTTTTAAAAATTAGCTGGGCGTGGTGGCGGGCGCCTGTAGTCCCAGCTACTCAGGAGGCTGAGGCAGGAGAATGGCGTGAACCCAGGAGGCAGAGCTTGCGGTGAGTGGAGATCGAGCCACTGCACTCCAGCCTGGGCGACTGAGCGAGACTCTGTCTCAAAAAAAAAGTGTACCATGTATTGATTTTTAGTGTATTCACTCAGTTGTACAGCCATCATTATAATCAATTTTAGACATTTTCTTTATCATCCAGATGGGTGTGAGGTAATATCTTGTAGTTTTAATTTGCATTTCCCTAGTGATTAATGACGTTGAGCATCTTTACATGTGCTTGTTAAATATTTGTATATCTTCCTTGCAGAAATGTCTATTTAAGCTTTTTACCCATTTTTAAAATTATTTTGTTCGTTGTCGTTGAATTGTAGAAGTTCTTTATAGTATATTGTATCACATTAAAAATAAGGTCCTATCTTGTTTCCATTCTGTAATCTCGATCCTTCACATTGAAAGGTTTTTTTTTTTGAATTCAAATATATTCTTTAAAAAATTATTTTAAAGTTTGTTTTTTTTTTTTAACAGGAATCAGTGTCATTCAAGGACGTAACTGTAGACTTCAGTAGGGATGAGTGGCAACAATTAGACCTTGCTCAGAAAAGCCTGTACAGAGAAGTGATGCTGGAAAACTATTTCAACTTGATCTCAGTGGGTAAGCACGGCTCTGCTGGGTATAGAGTAGGCTGCACCTAATTGAGTATATTTTTCTTCTCAGTAGAATTGCTGAAGTCTGTGTTTTCTGAGGTATGTGGGACTTCTAAAGACTGCAGGACATCTAAAGTGTGTAATGGTTTTGTCCTTATTTTGTCCCATGTTCTTAATAATCTCTTTCGGGTAGTGTGAATATTCCTCTGTTCCCAGTGAACTTTTTTGGGAAAAAAATGGAATGCTTCATTGTATGGCCTCTGAAATCAAGTCCTCTATCATCCCCTGTTAACAGGATGTCAAGTTCCCAAACCAGAAGTCATCTTCAGCTTGGAACAAGAAGAGCCATGTATGTTGGATGGTGAGATCCCCAGTCAGAGCCGTCCAGGTGAGAAGGGAACCAAGAGCATGGTAGACAGTATGACTCAGCTGCATTTGTACTGGGAGAAGCTGTGCCCAACTTTGCCCAACTTTGATGTGTCATTAATAATGACTTTTAGAACTGCTTGGAAGAGCAGTTATTAGACAAGGACCCTTGGATAGCTAAATGCTAACCCCACTTAAGATCCCTTCTCATATCAATGCCTTCTTCTTTGCTTGGCTTTTTAGGAGGGAATATGCTACAATTACTGGTTCTTTGGATCATGTCACACTCTACTTTCTAGGGTCCTGTTTTCTTGCTTTTTTCTCTCTTTCCCTAGAAAAGTTTTATTCTTTCTACCTCCATCAAGGTCTTAGATCATTTCCTTATGCATTCAAATACTCATAGATCTACCTTCTGAAAACATTACTATGCATTACAACTTCAGCTCCTGCTGTTTCTTCTCATTTTGTCTCTTTCCCCTTAGTGCCTCACAATTGTCATCTAGAGATGGGCTTGTCTGAAGTCCCCCCATGCCTCTTCTCTGATTGTTGACTTTGAGAGTACCATTGACATTTTCTTCCTACTTGGCTAGTGCAACGCAACACTGACTTGATCTTTCTAATTTATTTATTTTCATATCTTACACAAAGTTTTTTATCTAGTGTACAGGTATATCCTGTACAGAAGATTGAGTTAATAATTATAGCCTTAGTTTTTAGTCAATATCATCATCAATGTGTTTAAGGCTCCCCTCTTATTTATTCTTTTTAATCCTCAGTCTCCATACTCATTTTTATCCTTCCAAGAGGCAACTGTTCTAATATATTTGACATGTTATGCCATTTATCCTTGAATTTCTGGGATATTTATAAAATCTGAGTTGTTGGCATTGTTAATTTGTAGAAATGGTACTGTATTATATATCCTACTCAAGTTTTTTTTTCTCAAATTGGTCCATGTTGCAGTGCATTATTCTAATTTCTACATATCATTCTGTAGTGCACATATATACCCCATTTTACTTGTCCAGTTTTTCAGCTACTACAAACAGTACTGCAATACATTTCTTCATGAATTATTCTTACTGGAAATGATAATTTATTTATTTATTTTTTTCTGAGATGGAGTTTCGCTCTGTCCCCCAGGCTGGAGTGCAGTGGCATGATCTCAGCTCACTGCAAGCTCCACCTCCCAGGTTCACGCCATTCTCCTGCCTCAGCCTCCCCGGTAGCTGGGACTACAGGCGCCCGCCACTGCACCCAGCTAATTTTTTGTATGTTTAGTAGAGACGGGGTTTCACCATGTTAGCCAGGATGGTCTCGATCTCCTGACCTCGTGATCCACCCGCCTTGGACTCCCAAAGTGCTGAGATTATAGGCGGGAGCCACCACGCCCAGCCGGAAATGAGAATTTCTTAAGGAAGAGGAGTGGGATTGCTTTATCATTGGGCATACTAATATTGAATATGATGAGGTATAAGCACATTATTTTCCAGATTGGCTGTGTCACTCTACGGTCCCTGGAACTTTGTACAAGGGTATTAGTTCCCCACATCCCTACCCATACCTAGTATTATCCAAATTTTTAATATTTTGGCTAATCTGATGGGTTTTAATTTCTAATTATTATTTAATTTGTATTTCCCTAATAAAATACTTTGAACATCTCATTCTGTATCCTTCATTTTTGATGTTCAACTGCTGATGTTTTCTAAGCCTCATCTCTCTCTCTTTTTTTCCTGGACAAACTGAGAAAAAAGCCCATGAGTTCCCTCCATTGTTGCTGGGAAATTCCAACTACATAAGGGAATAGTTAGCCCAGCCCCACCCGCCCCTGCCATAAACTCCCAAGACAGTCCTTTCCTTGCTCACTCTAGCCCCATCTGGACCTGCTTGGAGCTGTCCCCAGAAAGCCTCATTATGTGAGTAACAAATCTTTTTACACCCTCTTATTGTGTGTGTCTCATCGTCACTCTTGACATCTGAACCAAGTTTGGGGTGGGGTCCATTTCTCCTTGCAGGTCATTTACAGCTGGGGCAATAAGCAGGATGTCAAGGCAATGACCACCCCCACAGGGGTCTTTCTCCTCTTCCCAACTGGTTATACTGCCTGCTGGCAAGTATGCACTTTGCCTCTGTCCTATACATAACTAACCTACATTAGAAGTTATCATGGACATTTAGAGGCAGGTGTAAGGGCTTTGGGCCCTCCTTAAAGTTGCCCAGGTCCATGTGTCTCAGCCCAGCATAATCTGTGTCTTAGATTATGTGTCTCAGCTGCAGCATAAGCTCTGAGTGATAATTGGCTCATGGGAACAACTTTTACTCTGTGACTGTTATTTGTGTGTCTCAGTCAGGCATTGGCCCTATTGTATACAGCACTCAGGGGAAAGACCAATACTGTTTGCATTTAAGGGTCTGGCTGTTTGTGTGAAGGAAGACAAGATACAATGTAGCATGTAAAAGCAGGTGGCTTGCCTTTCAAAATGTTGTCATCTTCTCTTGGAGTTTTTTTACTTTTCCCTCTAATCCATCTTCTCAGATAATTCATTCTGCTTTTCTACTTATTTTTCTCATTTACAAAAGCCTCTTTCTTACCTCCCAGTCATATCACCTACAACCATGTCTGTGTTTTCTCATGCCTAGATTATTCTAATCCTATTTGTATGTGATAATCCCATTCTTTCTTTTTCACTATTTCATCTCAGATGCTGCTGATAGATTTCACTACTTAAAACATTGTGTGCTGTGTTTATCCTGTCATAGCTACATGGAAGAAAACTAAAGTTACTACTTAATATCTAACATGTGACAGATTCTCCTCTCAGTAGGTTTGTAAGCTAGAGAAAGAATATGGCCTCATATTTGCAATTCACATTTGTCCCTGTTTTCTATAACCATTTCTATCCTATTTTAAGATTTTCTTTAATTCTCCCTTTTCATCGAGCCCTTTGATTATTATGTTATCTATCTGCGTATTCAAATAATACACATATTTTGGCTGGGCACAGTGGCTCACGCCTGTAATCCCACCACTTTGGGAGGCTGAGGTGGGTGGATTACCTGAGGTCAGGAGTTTGAGACTAGCCTGGCCAACATGGCGAAACCCCATCTCTACTAAAAGTATGAAAATTAGCCAGGCGAGGTGGCAGGGGCCTGTAATCCCAGCTACTCAGGAGGCTGAGGCAGGAGAATCACTTGATCCCAGGAGGTGGAGGTTGCAGTGAGCTGAGACCGCGCCACTGTACTCCAGCCTGGGTGACAAGAACGACACTCCGTCTCAAAAAAAAAAAAAAAAAAAAAAAAGGCTGGGCGTGGTGGCTCACGCCTGTAATCCCAGCACTTTAGGCTGAGGCAGGTGGATCACAAGGTCAATTAGCCAGGCATAGTGGCAGGCGCCTGTAGTCCCAGCTACTTGGGAGGCTGAGGCAGGAGAATGGTGTGAACCCAGGAGGCGGAGCTTGCAGTGAGCCGAGATCGTGCCACTGCACTCCAGCCTGGGCAACAAAGTGAGACTCTATCTCAGAAAACAAAAACAAAAACAAAAACAAACAAAAAACCAAATAATACACATATTTTGTGCTCAGCTTTCACTTACTCCTTGAATTTGACCTATTGCAGCATACAACCTCCAGAAATTCAGAGAAACCTACATTAAATTACATGATAACTGAGGCTTTTACTCTTGTACATTAAAATGCAAAGTTTCTGTAGAAAATAGTGAAATTAAATTCCTGAATTTGTGTTATAAGCAGAGGAGGTCGTTTTGCTCTATTTCAGAAAGATTTTAAAATTTTTCTTTTAGGAGCAATTCAAAGGGCTAGAAAAACTAATTGGAAAGAGGATAACTGCATGAAATCTTGAAAATTTCAGTCTTTGTGCATTACACTTTTGTTAACGTGCACATCTATGCCAATTCAAATATAAATATGAGTGGTTCAGAGTACCTTTTTGTTGTTTGTTTTTAAGTTAAAAGAGAGCCTCTCTAGAGTTGTGGTGAAATTTGAAATTAGCTTTTAAAGCAGAGAACCCCAAATGATTAATGAAGAACAATGAATTTTTGATAGAAACAAAAGATCAGAAAAAGGAAGCTTAAATGGAGAAAATGAAAAGACTGTATGTTTGGGTTCATTGATAAAATAGACTGCAGTGACTAATGGAAAGATGTGTGTTAGTCCCTTTTCGATGGCCATAACACCGGGCAACTCTGTTTCCATGGCCGTTCAGGGACAAAGTTTCTAGAAAGTCATTGTACCACCATCCCCTAGGGCAAGGGCTGACAAATTTTTTGTAAAGGCACAAAAGTAAATAGGCTTTGTGGACCATATGGCTACTGTCACAACTGCTTATTTCTGCAGTTGTAGCCCCAAAGCAGCTATAGACAATACATCAATGTATGGGTGTGGCTGTGTTCCAATAAAAACTTTATGGACACTGAAATTTGAATTTCATATAATTTTCATATGTCGTGAAGTAGTATTCTTCTTTTAATTTTTTGACCATTTAAAAATGTAAAATACATTGTTAGCTTTTGGATAGAGGCCTGGATTTGGCCCAAGGGCTTCAGTTTTCTGACCCCTGCCCTAGGGCATTGCCAGCTTCATAGAACTGGGTGCTGCCAAGTTGGAATATACTGGTGGGAAAAGAAGAGGTTTGTAGGAGACAAACCCACTTTCTTAAGACATTGGCCTTATCACTTCCACTGATGAGTGAAAAAGAGTTACTCAGTGCCACCTAGTGACAAATGAAGCTGAACAAACCTAGTGTTGTGAAGCAGCCATGTGCTTGGCTACAAGCTTAATATTGTGAAGGAAGGGCACAGGTTTGATGAACAACTTTCAGTCTTCTCTTCTGATGTCTAGTTCTTTCCTGTTATGTCTTCTACCAGATGCATTTATCACATCAGTACCCCAAACCAGGGATGAAGAATTGAACCATAGGCCAGACACGGTGGCTCACACCTGTAATCCCAGCACTTTGGGAGGCTGAGGCAGGCAGATCACTTGAGGTCAGGAGTTTGAGACCAGCCTGGCCAACATGGTGAAACCCCATCTCTACTAAAAATACAAAAATTTGTATTTTTACAAATACATGTATGGCGGCACATGTCTGTAGTCCCACCTGCTCATGTGGCTAAGGCAGGAGAATTGCTTGAACCCGGGAGGCGGAGGTTGCAGTGAGCCGAGATCGCGCCATTGCACTCCAGCCACTCCAGCCTGGGTGATAGAGTGAGGCTCCATCTCAAAAGAAAATAGACCAATTGTTACATAGAGTTGATTCAAGGAAAACACAGATAAATGAGAGAGGCTATATAAATATAACAAATGTATATAAATTTTTCTGTTTGGCCAAGTTAGGATGACTAAGATATCGTAATTTTACTGTAAACATAAATACATTGGTATTTAGGGCACAGTGGATCATAGGGAGAAGAGAAAACAGGAAGATTGTGAGGATTTACAGATTAAGGAAAAGAATCTAGACTCAGAAATACTTCTTTTCACAGAGTTTATCACTTTGTTCTTCTGACACCTCACTCACCATGTAGTTCTACTACATTTGCACTGAATTGCAATCTCTTCTTCCCCAATTACTAAACATTTGATTTGGGCAAATTTAACTAAACTCTTCTGTGGCTCAGTTTCCTCATCTGTAAACTAGAAACAATAATAATACCAACAGCAAAGGGTTACAATAAAGTGCTTTTTGTTTTTGTTTTTAAGAGACAGGGTCTTGGCTGGGCTTGCTGGCTTACGCCTGTAATCCCAACATTTTGGGAGGCCGAGGCGGACAGATACTTGAAGTCAGGAGTTTGAGACCAGCCTGGCCAACATGGTGAATCCCCGTCTCTACTAAAAATACAAAAATTAGCCAGTTGTGGTGGCATATGCCTGTAGTTCCAGCCACTCATGAGGCTGAGGCACAAGAATCCCTTGAACTCAGGAGGTGGAGGTTGCAGTGAGCTCTGATCATGCCATTACACTCTAGCCTGAGCAACAGAGTGAGACCCTGTCTTAAAAAAGAAAAAAAAAAAAGAGAGAGAGAGAGACAGAGTCTCACTCTGTCACCCAGGCTGGAGTGTAATGGTGCGATCAGAGCTCACTGCAGCTTCAAACACCTGGGCTCAAGTGATCCTCCTGCTTCAGCCTCCTAAGTAGCTGGGACTATAGGCATGTGCCACTAGGCCCAGCTAATTGTTTTTTCATTTTTCTGTAGAGATGGGGGTCTCACTATGTTTCCCAGGCTGGTCTCAAACTCCTGGGCTCAAGCAATCCTCTCATCTCAGCCTCCCACAGTGCTGGGATTACAGGCATGAACCACCACACCGGGCCGTGATAAAGTTTAAGTGAATTAATATAGAACTTAGAACAGCACATCTAAATGATATTGTTTATCATGTTATAAATGTTAGTATTAATATTATTACTCTACATCATTGTATTACATATTATATATAAATGAGTTATTATACCTATATATTTATGTATATTTAAAATACTTATGTACATTTGTTATATTTATATAGTCTCTCTCATATCTCTGTGTCTGCCTTGAATCAACTCTTTTTTTTTTGGAGATAGAGTTTCGCTCTTGTTGCCCAGGCTGGAGTGCAATGGCAAGATCTCGGCTCACCGCAACCTCTGCCTCCTGGGTTCAAGTGATTCTCCTGCCTCAGCCTCCTGAGTAGCTAGGATTACAGGCATGCACCACCATGTCCGGCTAATTTTGTATTTTTAGTAGAGATGAGGTTTCTCCATGTTGGCCAGGCTGGTCTTCAACTCCTGACCTCAGGTGATCCGCCTGCCTCAGCCTCCCAAAGTGCTGGGCTTACAGGCGTGAGCCACCACACCCGGCCTGAATCAAAGGTCTATTGTATTTTTATTTATTTATTTATTTATTTATTTATTTATTTATTTATTTATTTTGGAGACAGAGTCTTGCTCTGTCACCCAGACTAGAGTGCAATGGCGCAATTTCAGCTCACTGCAACCTCTGCCTTCAAGCCATCAAGCCATTCTCTTGCCTCAGCCACTTGAGTAGCTGGAATTACAGGCATGTACCACCACGCCTGGCTAATTTTTAGTAGAGACAATATTTTGAGTGTTTTTTAGCAGAGACAGAGTTTTGCTATGCTGGCCAGGCTGGTCTCAAACTCCTGGCCTCAAGTGATCTGCCCACCTCAGCCTCCCAAAGTGCTAGGATTACAGGCATGAGCCACCGCACCTGGCCTTATTTTCTGTTAATTGTTCTTTTTGTCAGTCTTATCTTTTCTTTCTTTTTTAGATGGGGACATTGGTTTTGGACCTTTACAACAGAGGATGTCTGAAGAAGTTTCTTTCCAGTCTGAGATTAATATTAATCTCTTCACAAGAGATGACCCATATTCCATTTTAGAAGAATTGTGGAAAGACGATGAACACACAAGAAAATGTGGAGAAAACCAGAACAAACCTTTAAGTCGTGTTGTCTTCATTAACAAGAAAACACTAGCTAATGACAGCATCTTTGAATATAAGGACATTGGGGAAATAGTTCATGTAAACACACACCTGGTTTCCTCAAGAAAAAGACCCCATAACTGTAACTCGTGTGGAAAGAATTTGGAGCCTATCATAACCTTATATAATAGAAACAATGCAACAGAAAATTCTGATAAGACTATTGGAGATGGTGATATTTTCACTCATTTGAATTCTCATACAGAAGTGACTGCTTGTGAATGTAACCAATGTGGGAAACCTCTGCATCATAAGCAAGCTCTCATTCAACAACAGAAAATTCATACTAGAGAGAGCCTCTATTTGTTTTCTGACTACGTAAATGTTTTCTCCCCGAAGTCACATGCCTTTGCACATGAGAGTATTTGTGCTGAAGAAAAGCAGCATGAATGCCATGAATGTGAGGCAGTCTTCACTCAGAAGTCCCAGCTTGATGGCAGTCAGAGGGTTTATGCAGGAATATGCACTGAATATGAGAAGGATTTTTCCCTCAAGTCAAACCGTCAGAAAACTCCTTATGAGGGGAATTACTATAAATGCAGTGACTATGGAAGAGCCTTTATCCAGAAGTCAGATCTGTTCAGATGCCAGAGAATTCATTCTGGAGAAAAACCTTATGAGTACAGTGAATGTGAGAAAAACCTCCCTCAGAATTCAAACCTTAATATACATAAAAAAATTCATACTGGAGGGAAACACTTTGAATGTACTGAATGTGGAAAAGCTTTCACAAGGAAATCAACACTAAGTATGCATCAGAAAATCCATACAGGAGAAAAACCTTATGTATGTACTGAATGTGGGAAGGCCTTTATCCGGAAGTCACATTTTATCACACATGAAAGAATTCATACTGGAGAAAAACCCTATGAATGCAGTGACTGTGGGAAATCCTTTATTAAAAAATCACAACTCCATGTGCATCAGCGAATTCACACAGGAGAGAATCCCTTTATATGTTCAGAATGTGGGAAGGTCTTCACTCACAAGACAAATCTCATTATACACCAGAAAATTCATACAGGAGAAAGACCCTATATATGTACTGTGTGTGGTAAGGCCTTTACTGACAGGTCAAATCTCATTAAGCACCAAAAAATTCATACTGGAGAGAAACCTTATAAATGCAGCGACTGTGGAAAATCATTCACCTGGAAGTCTCGGCTCAGGATACATCAGAAGTGTCATACTGGAGAGAGACATTATGAATGCAGTGAATGTGGGAAAGCATTCATTCAGAAGTCAACATTAAGTATGCACCAGAGAATTCATAGAGGGGAAAAACCATATGTTTGCACTGAATGTGGTAAGGCCTTCTTCCACAAATCCCATTTTATTACACATGAGAGAATTCATACTGGAGAGAAACCCTATGAATGCAGTATTTGTGGGAAATCCTTCACTAAGAAATCACAGCTCCACGTACATCAGCAGATTCACACAGGAGAGAAACCCTATAGGTGTGCTGAATGTGGAAAGGCTTTTACTGACAGATCAAATCTCTTTACACACCAGAAAATTCACACTGGAGAGAAACCTTATAAATGTAGTGACTGTGGGAAAGCCTTCACTAGGAAGTCAGGTCTCCATATACATCAGCAATCCCATACTGGAGAAAGGCATTATGAGTGCAGTGAATGTGGGAAAGCCTTTGCAAGAAAATCAACACTAATTATGCATCAGAGAATTCATACAGGAGAGAAACCCTATATTTGTAATGAATGTGGGAAATCCTTCATCCAGAAGTCACACTTAAATAGACACAGGAGAATTCATACTGGAGAGAAACCCTATGAATGCAGTGACTGTGGCAAGTCTTTCATTAAGAAATCACAACTCCATGAGCATCATCGAATTCACACAGGAGAGAAACCATATATATGTGCTGAGTGTGGAAAGGCCTTCACCATCAGATCAAATCTTATTAAACACCAGAAAATTCATACTAAACAGAAACCCTATAAGTGCAGTGACTTGGGGAAAGCCTTAAACTGGAAGCCACAACTCAGTATGCCTCAGAAATCTGACAATGGGGAAGTAGAGTGCTCCATGCCACAATTATGGTGTGGGGACTCAGAAGGTGACCAAGGCCAACTTTCTTCTATCTAGTTAGAATTATGAACATCTGGATCATATAGCTGATGTGTAGTTACACATATGGGGAGACACTTTTGAGAGTGTTTAAGCAATGTATAGTGGCCATCTTTGGTTACTTGATATTGGTGTTGTCAAGCTCCTGCAAATAATAGTAAATGTGCAAGGAGATGATTGGCAGTCTTTCTTGTTTCACTTTTTGGGCAAACAGTTTTATAAATTCATGGCTGTTGAGTTTTTCATGTTCTGGGTACCACAACTATTCAATATTGACCCGCAAAAATTCATAATGAGTAGTATGATGAGATAATTTTACATTGTCTAAGCAGCCTAAGGACACTGAGATCAAGGCAAAGAGAGGGCAATTTAGGTCTATAATGAAAGTGAATCAGCAGTTTTTGTGAAAACACTAAAGACAGAAAGAAAGGACTCTACTTTTTTTAAAATTTTCTTTGGGAAGTCACCATTATTTATTGTTATATCTGTTGGCGTATGCTGGGGCAGCAGTTAGCCAAGAGGTCTGAAATTGCTCTTTGCCTATTTCTCAAAAGTCTATATTATTACCTTAGAACTGGCCCTACGATCATGGAACTTAGATACAGGGACCCAGGTCTAGATAGCAGCACTTTAGATCCTCAGCTTTCACCACAGAAACCTGCACTTTTTTGATGTTGTTGTTACCAACTCCTGTTTGAAAAATAGGACAAATTAAGAAAATGGATATCAAATCCTAAAATTTTTTCCCACTAATTTTGTTAGTACATTCTCTACATGTTCGTTACTTGCTAGATTACCATGAGACACAAGCATCTTGAATTTTAGTTTGTGTCCTTAGAAGATAAAATGTAGTTGAACATTTGGAAGACTTCTCCTTTTATCTCCTCACAATCTCTACAAACTAATCTTAATTAATTTTGTTTTTCAAATTCTCTGTATTTGAATAGACTTTTTTGTCTTTTCTTCTATCAAATACTGAAAGAACTGTGTTGTAATTTTACAAATAATTGTGAATTTGTCTCCTTTAGAGCTACTAATTTTTGCTTTATATATTTTGTCTTTGATTTTACATACAATTTAGAATTGTTGTAATCTTCCTGGTTAATTGACACATTATCATTATTAGATGTTTCTTTTTATCTCTAGTAATTTTTTGCCTTAAATGTACTATGTCAGATACTAATATACATATGGATTAAAAGCTAATGTAAATTAGTACTAACATTTCTGGACAAGGGGAGAAGTTATAACATTATAATTTCATTTATTTGTCTCTTATATGGTATTAATTTTGTATATTTGGATTCTGTACATGGTGAACATAGCCAATCATTATTTGAGTCAATATCCATTTAAATTAACCCACATATTTATCATTTTAATTACTTTTTTATTCCTTCCTGTCCTTTAAGTTTTCCTCTAGAATTATTTTGCTTCTTACTGAGGAACACCCTTTAGTATTTCTTTTACTGTGAGTTTGGTGGTGACAAATTGTTCTTCATTTGTTGGCAGTGTTTTATTTTGCCTTCATTTTTGAAGGATACTTTTACTGAATATAGAATTCTAAGTTGAAAGTTGTTTTCTATTAGTATTTTGATGATATTTTATTTTGGTTTGTCTTTTATTGTTTTATTGAGAAGCTTTATATAATTACCTTTGCAGGCAATCTGCTTTTCTGTCTCCTTTGAAATTTATCTATTTGTCTTTGTTTTTTAACTGTTGCACATTGATATGCCTAGGTGTAATTTTTCCATGTATTTATCCTCCTTGGAGTTTATAATGTTTTTTAAATCTGTGGTTTAGTGGTTTTGGGGTGTGTGTGTGCACGTGTGCGTGTACGTGTGTGCACATGTGCATTTGGGGAAATTCCTAGCTATTATCTATTCAAATTATGCATCTGCCTCATTCTCCTTCTCTGTTTCTTTTAGGGATAACCTTATTACCCAGTTCTGTTGGCCTGTTTTCTAATGGTTATTTTTCTTGAATTTTGCTGATGTCCTATCTCCTCATATGGTGATTTTTATATCACTTGCCAGACAATATATATTAAAATTTTAGAGGTAATAAGATGGTCTGGATAATATCTTCTTCCAGAGAGGATTTGCCATAGCTTCTAACATAGCTTCTTAGGCTATGATCACTAGTAATCCCTGATTGCCTTTATCCAGTCATGTATTAAGATAATTTGAAACTGGGCTTGAGTCTCTAGAAGACTCATCTTATTTTATTATATGTTCAGAATGTGAACATCTAAACCTTATTTCTAGGATACTTTTAGGACTTAGGAGTTCGGGAGGTACATCAGGCCCCTCCTCTTTGGAAAGACTTGAATTCTAGTATTTCTCCTTCGGTCACTTGAATTTGTCAAAAATTCTCTCCAGCCTCTCTTGCCCAGTATTTGCTGTCAGAATTAGCAAATACCTCTTAGTAATAAACAGTTTCAGACATTATGTCCCAAATATGAGACTTTATGTCTTGTCTCCAATTTTATTCCTGCAGTTTCTCACTGCCGTGGTAGCTTTCTTATGCCTTCAAAAAATTAAATATGTTTAATATTTTCATTCACCTTTTTTAGTTCCCAAAGGAAGTACTAGTCTGTACCACCTACTCTGCCACTGGCAGATGTTTTTAATTCGTTGAGATAGCTACTTGTATTTAAGAAGTATCAAGACCAAAAATATATTTTCTTAATTTCCAAAATTACTGACTTGTAAATGAAAATGCTTAGATTTGCAGCATTACTTTATTCCAATCTTTTGTTGCTAAAAGTCTTAAGGCATTCACCCATTTGTTAAAACCTTTACAGCCAGGCGCGGTGGCTCACTCCTGTAATCCCAGCACTTTGGGAGGCCGAGGCGGGTGGATCATGAGGTCAGGAGATCGAGACCATCCCGGCTAACACGGTGAAAACCTGTCTCTACTAAAAATACAAAAAATCAGCCGGGCGTGATGGTGGGCACCTGTAGTCCCAGCTACTCGGGAGGCTGAGGCAGGAGAATGGCGTTAATCCAGGAGGCGGAGCTTGCAGTGAGCCAAAATCGCAGCACTGCACTCCAGCCTGGGCGACAGAGCGAGACTCCATCTCAAAAAAAAAAAAAAAAAAAAAAAAACCTTTACAAACTTTGATACGTAAGAGAAAATTACCTCTGGTGGTTTCAGATTTTATTGTGGTAGCTGCCAAATTTAGCAAATGGAAGAGATTCACTAAAAGCTTCTCAGATGTCTTTTTTAATACTATGGCTTTTCCTTTGTACAATTAATAGAAAATGGGGTTAATGAAGACTGGTATAGAGTCCCAGGGTTTGAAAAATTAACTTAGTAGGATAACTGAGATAGTGATTCTCAACCTTTATTCTCAGGCACATTTTAAAAAATAGAATGTTATACTCCCAAGAAAAAGAAGAAACTATAAAAGAGCTACTTGACCTTTTGTCAACACAGTATTAATCTCTAGAAGAAAGAAAGACTTTCTTCTGTGAGATTTCTTGCGTCTCAAGGGGCACTTGTGAACTGATTGAGGAATAAATGGTGGAAAACTATAAGTGAATTGGGAGAGCTAAATGTTAAGTAGAACTCAAAGGTCAGTATAGATTGGAAGCATGTGGAATATAGACTTTACTAGGGAAAACACTGTAGGTTAGCCGTATCTTTTTTATTTATTTATTTTTTTTTTTTGAGACAGAGTCTTGCTCTGTCACCCAGGCTGGAGTGCAATGGCGGGCAATCTTGGCTCACTGCAACCTCCACCTCCTGGGTTCAAGTGATTCTCATGCCTCAGCCTCCCAAGTAGCTGGGATTACAGGCATGCACCACAACGCCCAGCGAATTTTTGTATTTTTAGGAGAGACAGGGTCTCGCCATGTTGGCCAGGCTGGTCTCGAACTCCTGGCCTCAAGTGATCCACCCACCTCATCCTCCCAAAGTTCTGGGATTACAGGCATGGCCCAGCCAGCCATATCTTTTTATGCCAGCACTCTATTATAGTTCATTTACAGCAAACTATTTTAAGACAGTTTTACAGTTTAAATATTTTAATAAAAATGCATTTTATTCTATTTTATTAATTTTAATTTTTTTTTTTTAGTGACAGGGTCTCACTCTGTCACCCCGGGTGGAGTGGTATGATCATAGTTCACTGTAGCCTTGAACTCCTTGGCTCAAGCAACCTTCCTGCCTTATCCTTCCAAGTAGCTTGGACCACAGGCATGTGCCACTACACCTGGCTTTTTTTTTTCTTGAGACAGAGTTTCCGCTCTTGTTGCCCAGGCTGGAGTGCAATGGTGCAACCTTGGCTCACTGCAACCTCTGCCTCCCGGGTTCAGGCGATTCTCCTGCCTCAGCCTCCCAAGTAGTGAGGACTACAGGCATACACCACTACGCCCTGCTAATTTTTTTTGTATTTTTAGTAGAGACAGGGTTTCACCATGTTGGTCAGGCTGGTCTCGAACTCCTGACTTCAGGTGATCCACCCGCCTCAGCCTCCCAAAGTGCTAGGATTACAGGCGTGAGCCACTGTGCCCAGCCCTTTTTGTTTTGTTTTGTTTTTTTGTTAGAGATGAGGCCTCACTTTGTTCCCCAGGCTGGTCTCAAACTCCTGGTTTCAAGCAGTCCTCCCATCTTGGCCTCCCAAAGTGCTGGGATTACAGATGTGAGCCACAGCACCTAGCCAAAAATGCATTTTAAATTAATTTTTAAAAAGTGAATCATACTGTGTATTCAGAAAATATACGAAAACATACACTCAAACATTTACGTATGCATCAGATAATTCATAAGGGAGAGTAATTTTCTGTTTGTACTGAATGTGGGTAGGGTTTTCTTTACAAGTCATACCTCATTACATATCAGAAAATTCATGCTGGAGAGAAACTTTATGAATATGATGACTAGGAAATCTTCCACTGAAAAGTTAATGACCTGAACATAGTAAATTCACACATGAGAAAAAATAATTCAAATCCCATTATACACTAAAAACACAATTTGGAGAACAAAGCCTATAAGAACAGTGACTGGAAAACACTTCACTTGGAATATATCAGAAAGTTTCTACCAGAAGGAGACAGGGTTAAGAGCAAATGTGGCAGTAGCTTCACACAGAAATCAGGTTTTAGTATTCTTCAGTATTTACACGAGTGAAATTGTATTTCTTGAAAGTGAGAAAGTCTTTTCACAGAAGTCAGAACCAGTTTTAAATTATTCATACTACAGAGAAGCCCTGTGATTACTGTACATTATATATTGTATATGGAAAAATCTTCATCTGTGAGTCACAGCTTACTGTATACCAGACAAGTAATTGTTAAGAATAGGTTTTGTAAGAATATATCGTCTTATTAAATGCCATAAAATTCAAATAGAGAAGAAGCTCTATTTGATACATTGGAAAAGGTCTTCCTATAGAAGCAGATTTCATAATAAACATAGTTCATTTTGTTTACTGATTTAACTTCAAGCCCATGTCTCAAACCAGTGGAGAAAAACAGACCATCCAACACTTTCCTTTCTATTAAAATAAATATTTACGTACACACACACATGCATACATATATAACTTGGCATAAATGTGACTTTATTTATTTACTTTAGAGACAGGATTTCAATCTGTCGCCCAGGCACCCAGATGGGAGTCCAGTGGCACAATCCTGGCTCACTGCAGCCTCGACCCCTGGGCTCAAGTGATCCTCCTGTCCTAGCCTATAGAGTAGCTGGGACTACAGGCACACGCCACCACACCTGCTAATTTTTTTAGTTTTTTAGAGACAGGGTCTTGCTATTTTTCCCAGGTCAGTCTCAAACTCCTGGCCTCAAGCAGTCCTCCTGCCTCAGCCTCCCAAATTGCTGAGATTATAGGCATGAGCCACCACACCTGGCCTAACTGTAACTTTTATAATGTATTTTATGTCTTCTTGATTTTTGAACTTCCATTCATAGCAATTCCAACCACTCCAACAGTCTGTCAACAGATAATCAATTGGACAAGGACAATCATGCCCTTAAGTACTAGAGATTATTTTTTTCTGTAGCATATGCTTGTAGGAGTGGGACTGATCAAATGGTATGTGTTATTTTATTTTAACAGATGTTGCCAGATTTCTTTGTCCTAAGACTGTAGCTTTTTATGTTTCCAATATTAGTGTATAAATATACCTCTCCCGCACTACAAGTAGCTGTTACTCTTTTTTTTTTTTTTTTTTCTGAGACTGAGTCTTGCTCTATCGCCCAGACTGGAGTGCAGAGGCACAATTTTGGCTCACTGCATCCTCTCCCTCCTGGGTTCAAGCGATTCTCGTGCCTCAGCTTCCCAAGTGGCTGGGATTACAGGCGCCTGCCACCATGCCCAGCTAATTTTTGTATTTTTAGTAGAGACAGGGATTCATTACGTTGGCCAGGATGGTCTCAAACTCCTGACCTCAAATGATTCACCTGCCTCGGCCTCCCAAAGTGCTGGGATTACAGGCGTGAGCCACCGTGCCCAGCTGCTGTTACTCTAACCTTGAGAAATTTTACAAGTTCCAAGTGATAACTAATTATAATTTGTATATAAATATGACTCCAAATGTGTCTTGGCCATTTGAATTTGCTATTCTGCAAATTGCCTTTATAAAGCATTTATTTATACATTTCTCTTTTTGGATTGTTTATCTTATTAATTTAAAACAGCTGTTTATGTTAAAGGGAGTAACTCCTTTTTTAAAAAACATCCATTCCTTGTCTCGACTTTGCATGTGATATTATCCCATTCACATAATTTTATTTTCTACATGTTTAAATGTGTATTCTTTTACAGTTTCTGAATTTTTAATCTTAAAACTTAAACTTCACATATAATATTTTAAAGTGGTCTTCTGTATAGTTTGTGTATCTTTTGGGAAAATGTTGCTTTGCTGAACCAGCGTGCAATCCCCAAACTCCTCTCTCACTGCTTTATCTTTTTTTTTTTTTTTTGAGACGGAGTCTCACTCTGTCGCCAGGCTGGAGTGCAGTGGCGCAATCTCGGCACACTGCAACCTCTGCCTCCCGGGTTCAAGTGATTCTCCTGCCTCAGCCTCCTGAGTAGCTGGGACTACAGGCACCCTCCACCACGCCCGGCTAATTTTTTGTATTTTTAGTAGAGACGGGGTTTCACCATGTTGGCCAGGATGGTCTTGATCTCTTGACCTTGTGATCCACCCGTCTTGGCCTCCCAAAGTGCTGGGATTACAGGCATGAGCCACCGTGCCCGGCTTACTTTATCTTTTTTTAAATTTAACTTTTATTTTAAGTTCAGTAGTACCTGTGCAGGTTTGTTACACAGGTAAACCCATATCATGGGGGCTTGTTGTACATATTATTTCATCACCCAGAACCCATTAGTTATTTTTCCTGATCCTCTCCTTCTTCCCACTCTTCACCCTCCAGTAGGCCCCTGTGTGTGTTGTTTCTCTGTATGTGTCCATGTGTTCTCATCACTTAGCTTCCATTTATAAGTGAGAACATGTGGTGTTTGGTTATAAGTGAGAATATGTGATGTTTGGTTTTCTGTTCCTGCGTTAGTTTGCTAAGGATAATGGCCTTCAGCTCCATCCATATCCCTGCAAAGGACATGATCTCATTCTTTTTAATGGCTGCATAGTATTCCATGATGTATATGTACCACATTTTCTTTATGCAGTCTACTATTGATGAGCATTTAGGTTGATTCCATGTCTTTGCTATTGTGAATAGTGCTGTAACATCATCATCTTCTGAAACTGGTAGTGGCCAAATGACCTGCCTCAGCCCAAGAGAAGCAAAACACTTAAATGTATCCTAGGAAAACCTTTATTTCCTAAGAAAAAAGACAGACTTAGCTGTCACCATCAATTCCATCCCTTTTCCTGCCTTGTACATTATGCCTCCAGCAGTGGTGATCTTCTTTCAAGCATTGGGGAAAGGCCAAAAGATTCACCAACACTGGTCTTGATGTTATTGACTCAAAAGTAGCAGCAACTTAACTACAGACTTTAGCTGTGTGATAAAAATAAACATGTTTGGCATAAAGCATTCCATTTTATCTCTTTCTTATTGTACCCGAAACCATACCTAAACTTATTCAGGCAATGAAATTTATAAAATAATCCGTCCTTTTCCTACTAAAATGAATATGAAAATATTTTAAAACCTTAGTAAACTAAATACCTCACATAAACCCGAGTAAGGTAAAGAGATAAGAGAGAGCAAAATTATGTAAGATTTGTAATGAGTAAAAGGAGACATGGATATTGAATCATTTCATATCTACCTACATGTAAATGTAGGTAGATATGAAATGTAGTAGGAATGATATGAAATGTAGTAGGTAGATATGAAATATAGTAGGAAGAGAATACTACCTACAGTAAATGGGTGATCTCCTAGTAAGATACAATTGATCAAAATTAATGAAAAACTAAAAAAAAAAATAACCATAACTTATAAATATCATTTATAGAGCTATCATTTAAAATTTACCAAGACTATAGGAAAAGATTTTTAAGGTAGTACCCTTTCCTCAGGTGTCCCGCGTCCGCCGATTCCTCCTCCCTGGTCGTCGCGTCCTTGGCAGGCGTCAGAAAAATGGCTACAAACTTCCTAGTACATGAGAAGATCTGGTTCGACAAGTTCAAATATGACGACGCAGAAAGGAGATTCTACGAGCAGATGAATGGGCCTGTGGCCGGTGCCTCCCGCCAAGAGAACGACGCCAGCGTGATCCTCCGTGACATCGCGAGAGCCAGAGAGAACATCCAGAAATCCCTGGCCGGAAACTCAGGCCCCGGGGCCTCCAGCGGCCCCAGCGGAGACCACAGCGAGCTCGTCGTCCGGATCACCAGTCTGAAAGTGGAGAACCAGAGCCTGCGCAGTGTGGTACAGGAGCTGCAGCAGGTCATCTCCAAGCTGGAGGCCCGGCTGAACGTGCTGGAGAAGAACTCGCCTGGCCACCGGGCCACGGCCCCACAGACCCAGCACATGTCTCCCATGCGCCAAGTGGAGCCCCTGGCCAAGAAGCCATTCACACCAGCAGAGGATGACGACGATGATGACACTGACCTGTTTGGCAGCGACAATGAGGAGGAGGACAAGAAGGCGGCACAGCTGCAGGAGGAGCGGCTGCAGCAGTACGCGGAGAAGAAGGCCAAGAAGCCTGAACTGGTGGCCAAGTCCTCCATCCTGCTGGATTTCAAGCCTTGGGACGATGAGACTGACATGGCCCAGCTGGAGGCCTGTGTGTGCTCCATCCAGCTGGAAGAGCTGGTCTAGGGGGCCTCCAAGCTGGTGCCCATGGGCTACGGTATCCGGAAGCTACAGATTCAGTGTGTGGTGGAGGACGACAAGGTGGGGACAGACTTGCTGGAGGAGATCACCAAGTTTGAGGAGCACGTGCAGAGTGTCGATATCGCAGCTTTCAACAAGATCTGAATCCTGAGTGTGTGTGTGTGCGCCCGTGAATCCCTGCCAGGATTAAAGACTGAGACCGGCAAAAAAAAAGAAAAAAAAGAAAAAAAAAGATTTTTAAGTTAGTACACATAAATAATGAACTATAAAAACAGAAATCATAACTTTGAATTTTCAAAATTAAAAACTCTTGTCCTTTGAAAGCACTTAAGAAGGTGAGAAGGAAAGACTCAGAAGGGGAAGAAATAGTTGCAATAAATTTCTGACAAAAGATTTGTTTCCTGAAAATGTAAAGAAATTTATAACCCAATTGTAAAAGGACAACTCAATAAAAATGACAATATACTTCAATAGAGATAATTCATAAAATAAGATATGAAATGGTCAATGGGGACAAGAAAGGATTTCAACATAAGCCACCAGGGAAATACAAATCAAAACCATAATGAGACACTTTTACACACTCATTAAAATTAATGAAATTAAAATGATCAACAGTACCAAGTGTTGGAAGATGTTGAGCAACTGGAACTCATGCGTGGCAGGTAGGGATGTAAAATGGCACAAAGACTTTGTAAAATACTTTGGCAAATTCTTAAAAAGTTAAACACATAGCTACCATACAACCCAGCCATTCCACTCCAGTATTTAACCCAGGTGAAATGAAAACTTATGTCCAAACAAAGACTTGTACATGAATGTTGACAAGACTTTTATTCACAATAGCCTCAAACTGGAAGCAACCTACATGTTTATCATCAAAGTGAATAGATATAATGTGGTGTATCCATAACTAGAAAACTACTCAGCAATAAAAAGGAACAGACTAATGATACATGTGACAACATGGATGAATTTCAGTCATTTTGAGTAAAAGATGCCAGACATGAAAGAGTATTATGTACCATATGGTTGTATTCATATAAAATTCTAGAAATGCAAACTAATAGTGAAGTAACAAAATTCAGATTAGCAGTTGCCTGAAGCTAGGCCAGAGACAGGGATGGCCAGCAAAGGGGCACAAGGAATCTTTTAGAGTTGATAAAAATGTTCTGTATTTTTATTGTGTTGGTGGTTTCATGGGTGCACACACTGTCAAAATGAACACTGAATAGATACAATTATTGTATGTAAATAATATCTTGCTAAAGTTGATTTTTTAAAATACAGAAGATAGATCCATATCTGAATATAGTTCATGTTTAAAGATCAGATCATTTTATTAATTGAAATCATTTCAAGTTATAGAGAAGTATATACCAATATTTTATTTCTTGTAATTGCTTCATTGCAACTTTAAAATACATCATCACTCTTAGACCATCATAGTAAGTACAGGAAAAAAAAAAAACCAAGAAATTATTGACTCAGGTCATTTATACCCACAGATGCAAAAATTCTAAATAACATTGTGGTGAATAGAATATTGAAGTATATTTGAAAATTAGTAATGATTTTAATTCTAAAATTCAAAAGTGATAGACTATCAAGAAATTGAGGTTGGCCGGGCGTGGTGGCTCACGCCTGTAATCCCAGCACTTTGGGAGGCCGAGGTGGGCGGATCACGAGGCCAGGGGATTGAGACCATCCTGGCTAACATGGTGAAACCCCATCTCTACTAAAAATACAAAAAATTAGCCGAGTGTGGTGGCGGGCACCTGTAGTCCCAGCTACTCAGGAGGCTGAGGCAGGAGAATGGCGTGAACCTGGGAGGTGGAGCTTGCAGTGAGCCAAGATCATGTCATTGCACTCCAGCCTGGGCAACAGAGCGAGACTCCATCTCAAAAAAAAAAAAAAAAAGAAAAAGAAATTGAAATAATTTACTACTATAAATTAAAAGAGAAGGTAATATATTTATAGCAGTAATCACTGAAAGGTATTTTATTAATTCAGCATTTTTAATAAAATAGGCCTGGTAGAAGGTTACCTAAATATAATTATTTAACTAAATGCAACAGCAATTTTTTTTTGAATTTTTTTAAATTGATGAATGACATTTGTACATATTTATGGGGTACATGTGATACTTTGTTAAATACATAGACTGTGTAATGATAAAGTCAGGGTATTTAGGGAATCCCTCACCTTGAGTATTTATCATTTCTATGTATTGGGAACATATTAATACATGTTCTCTTCTAGCAATTTTGAAATATGCAATAAATTGTTGTTAAATATAGTCACTCTACTCTGCTATTGAACGTTAGAACTTATTCCTTTTAACTATATGTTTGCACTCATTAAACAACCTCCCTTCGTACCTCCCCCAACCCACATGCCCTTCCCAGCCTCTAGTATCTACAATTCACTCTCTACCTCATGAGATCAACTTTTTTTAGCTCCTACATATGAGTGAGTATATGTGATATTTGTCTTTCTGTGTCTGGCTCATTTTTCTTAACATAATGACCTCTAGTTCCATCCATGTTGCTGCAAATGGCATGATTTCATTCTTTCTTATGGCCAAATAGTATTTCATTGTGAATATATACATTTTCTTTATCCATTTATCCATTAATGGACACTTAGGTTGATTCCATAACTTTGCTACTGTGAGTAGTGCTGCAATAAACATGAGGATGCAGGTATACTTTTGATATGCTGATTTCTTTTCCTTTGAATAAAACCCCATTAGTGAAACTGCAGGATGTGGGAGTCTGTCCTCCAGACCCTGACCCAACGACGGATGAATAAAGTACACTGACACACAGATGTTCTGCTTTGCCAGTCCAGCCTAGCGTCCAGGCCACTTAGTCACAGCCACGGCCTTGATCAGTCAGCAAGACTTGCATTTATTCAGTAAAGATTAATTGACAAAGGTTGTGAGTAAACACAACTAGAGGGTAATTGACATTGCAGACTTCCCGGACTTCCTGAGTAGAAAGCAATTAAGCACCTGTGGTAGATCAAAGGTTAGTCTTAGGACCACATGAGTAAACAAACTAGTCAGGTAAACTACTCTACCTTCCTTTGTACCCACTTTAAGCTATTTACTCAAGGTATGGATTAGGTTGCCTTCAGACATAACCTTATCCTGAGACTTTTGCAAAACCCTTCAGGCCTTCCAAGAAGGTTTGTGGCTTATAATTTTCCCCACCATCCTGACTAAACCCCTACAGCAGGACCGAATGGTAATTCTATTTCAGTTTGCTTTAGAAATCATACCGTTTTCCACAGTGGCTGTACTATTCTTTTTCTCCACATCCTTGCCACATCTGCTATTTTTTGTCTTTTTAATAATAGCCATTCTGATTGGGGTAAGATGATACCTTATTGTGGTTTTGATTTGTATTTCCCAGATGATTAATGGTGTTGAGCTTTTTTTTTTTGAGACAGAGTCTCACTCTGTCACCCAGGCTGGAGTGCAGTGGCACGATCTCAGCTCACTGCAACCTCTACCTCCTGGGTTCAAGCGATTCTCCTGCCTCAGCCTCCTGAGTAGCTGGAATTACAGGCATGCACCACCACACCAGGCTAATTTTTGTATTTTTAGTAGAGATGGGGTTTCACCACGTTTGCCAGGCTGGTCTCAAACTCCTGACCTCATGTGATTCGCCCGCCTTGACCTCCCAAAGTGCTTGGATTACAGGCATGAGCCACCATGCCTGGAGCATTTTTAAATATCCCTTTCCTTTGCCCACTTTTTAATGAGGTTATTTGGGGGCAGGGGTTGTTTGTTTACTGTTGAGCTGTTTCAGTTCATTGTATATTCTGGATATTAGTCTCTTATGAGATAAATAGTTTGCAAATATTTTCTCCCATTCAACTGGTTGTCTCTTTACTCTGTTGATTGTTTTCTTTGCTGTGGAGAAGGTTTTAGTTTAATATAATCACATTTGTCTATTTTTGTTTTCGTTGCCTGTACTTTGAAGTCTTTGCCATTAAGTATTTGCCTAGGCCAATGTCCTGAAGTTTTTCTCCTACGTTTTTTCTAGTAGTTTTACAGTTTCAGTTCTTAGACCCCCTTAAGTCTTTAATCCATTTTGATTTGATTTTTGTGTATGGTGAGAGATAGGGTCTAGTTTCATTCTTCTCCATATAGTTATTCAGTTTTTGAAGATACTCTCCTTTCCCCCATGTATGTTCTTGGAGCGTTTCTTGAAAATCAGTTGGCTATGAATATGAGGATTTATTTCTGGGTTCTTCTATTCTATTCCATTGATCTTTGTGTCTGCTTTTGTATCAATACCATGCTATTTTGGTTACTACAGCATTGTAATGCTTTGAAGGTAAGTAGTGTGATGCCTCCAGCTTTGTTCTTTTTGCACAAAATTGCTTTGGCTATTTGGGCTTTTTATTGGTTTCATATAAATTTTAGTAATTTTTCTATTTTGGTGAAAAAAAGACATTAAAATTTTTATAGAAATTGCATTGAGCTCCCTCTCCCTCTCCCTCTCTTTCCACGGTCTCCCTCTGATGCCGAGCCGAAACTGGACGGTACTGCTGCCATCTTGGCTCACTGCAACCTCCCTGCCTGATTCTCCTGCCTCAGCTTGCCGAGTGCCTGCGATTGCAGGCGCGCGCCGCCACGCCTGACTGGTTTTCATATTTTTTTGGTGGAGACAGGGATTCGCTGTGTTGGCCGGGCTGGTCTCCAGCTCCTAACCGCGAGTGATCCGCCAGCCTCGGCCTCCCGAGGTGCCGGGATTGCAGACGGAGTCTCGTTCACTCAGTGCTCAATGGCGCCCAGGCTGGAGTGCAGTGGCGTGATCTCGGCTCGCTACAACCTCCACCTCCCAGCAGCCTGCCTTGGCCTCCCAAAGTGCCGAGATTGCAGCCTCTGCCCGGCCGCCACCCCGTCTGGGAAGTGAGGTGCGTCTCCGCCTGGCTGCCCACCGTCTGGGATGTGAGGAGCCCCTCTGCCTGGCTGCCCAGTCTGGAAAGTGAGGAGCGTCTCTGCCCGGCCGCCATCCCATCTAGGAAGTGAGGAGCGCCTCTTCCCAGCCGCCATCACATCTGGGAAGTGAGGAGCGTCTCTGCCCGGCCGCCCATCGTCTGAGATGTGGGGAGCACCTCTGCCCTGCCGCCCCGTCCGGGATGTGAGGAGCGTCTCTGCCCAGACGCCCCGTCTGAGAAGTGAGGAGACCCTCTGCCTGGCAACCGCCCCGTCTGAGAAGTGAGGAGCCCCTCCGCCCGGCAGCCGCCCCGTCTGAGAAGTGAGGAGCCCCTCCGCCCAGCAGCCACCCCGTCTGGGAAGTGAGGAGCGTCTCCGCCCGGCAGCCACCTCGTCCGGTCCGGGAGGGAGGTGGGGGGGGTCAGCCCCCCGCCCGGCCAGCCACCCCGTCCGGGAGGGAGGTGGGGGGATCAGCCCCTGGCCCGGCCAGCCGCCCCATCCGCGAGGGAGGTGGGGGGATCAGCCCCCCGCCCGGCCAGCCGCCCCGTCCGGCAGTTGAGGGGTGCCTCTGCCCGGCCGCCCCTACTGGGAACTGAGGAGCCCCTCTGCCCGGCCAGCCGCCCCGTCCGGGAGGGAGGTGGGGGGGTCAGCCCCCCGCCCGGCCAGCCGCCCCGTCCGGCAGTTGAGGGGTGCCTCTGCCCGGCCGCCCCTACTGGGAACTGAGGAGCCCCTCTGCCCGGCCAGCCGCCCTGTCCGGGAGGGAGGTGGGGGGGTCAGCCCCCCGCCCGGCCAGCCGCCCCGTCCGGGAGGGAGGTGGGGGGGTCAGCCCCCCCGCCTGGCCAGCCACCCCGTCCGGGAGGTGAGGGGCGCCTCTGCCCGGCCAGCTGCCCGTCCGGGAGGGAGGTGGGGGGGTCAGCCCCCCGCCCGGCCAGCCGCCCCGTCCGGGAGGGAGGTGGGGGGGTCAGCCCCCCCGCCTGGCCAGCCACCCCGTCCGGGAGGTGAGGGGCGCCTCTGCCCGGCCAGCTGCCCGTCCGGGAGGGAGGTGGGGGGGTCAGCCCCCCGGCCCGGCCAGCCGCCCCATCCGGGAGGGAGGTGGGGGGGTCAGCCCCCCGCCTGGCCAGCCGCCCCGTCCGGGAGGTGAGGGGCGCCTCTGCCCGGCCAGCCGCCCGTCCGGGAGGGAGGTGGGGGGGTCAGCCCCCCGCCCAGCCAGCCGCCCCGTCCGGGAGGTGAGGGGCGCCTCTGCCCGGCCGCCCCTACTGGGAAGTGAGGAGCCCCTCTGCCCGGCCAGCCGCCCCGTCCAGGAGGGAGGTGGGGGGGGTCAGCCCCCCGTCCGGCCAGCCGCCCCGTCTGGGAGGTGAGGGGCGCCTCTGCCCGGCCGCGCCTACTGGGAAGTGAGGAGCCCCTCTGCCTGGCCACCACCCCGTCTGGGAGGTGTACCCAACAGCTCATTGAGAACGGGCCATGATGACAATGGCGGTTTTGTGGAATAGAAAGCGGGGAAAGGCGGGGAAAAGATTGAGAAATCGGATGGTTGCCGTGTCTGTGTAGAAAGAGGTAGACATGGGAGACTTTTCATTTTGTTCTGTACTAAGAAAAATTCTTCTGCCTTGGGATCCTGTTGATCGGTGACCTTACCCCCAACCCTGTGCTCTCTGAAACATGTGCTGTATCCACTCAGGGTTGAATGGATTAAGGGCGGTGCAAGATGTGCTTTGTTAAACAGATGCTTGAAGGCAGCATGCTCGTTAAGAGTCATCACCACTCCCTAATCTCAAGTACCCAGGGACACAAACACTGCGGAAGGCCGCAGGGTCCTCTGCCTAGGAAAACCAGAGACCTTTGTTCACTTGTTTATCTGCTGACCTTCCCTCCACTATTGTCCTGTGACCCTGCCAAATCCCCCTCTGCGAGAAACACCCAAGAATGATCAATTAAAAAAAATAATAATAATAATTAAAAAAAAAAAGAAAAGAAATTGCATTGAATTTGTAGATTGCTTTGGGCAGTACAGTCATTGTAATAATATTAGTTCTTCCAATCCATGAGCATGGGATGTCTTTCCACTTGTTTGTGTCCCTTCAATTTATTTCATCAGTGTCTTGTAGTTTTCCTTGTAGAGTCTTTAACCTTGTTGGTTAAACTTATTCCTAGGTATTTCGTTTTTTGTAGCTATTTGAAATGGGATTGGCTTCTTGATTTATTTCTCATCTATTTCATTATTGGTGTATAGAAAGGCAACTGGTTTTTGTATGTTAATTTTGTCTCCTGCAACTTTACTAAATTTACTGATGGGAGATTTTTGGTGAAGTCTTTAGATTTTTCTAAATATAAGATCATATTATCTGCAAAAAAGGACAATTTGACTTCCTCATTTCTTTTCAGTGGCAGCAACTGTAAGCAGGTGGCTGGGGGACGTATGTGTCAGCTCTAGGTGGTGGCTGCAGGTGGGGTAGCCAGCAGGGCACTTGTAAATGTGTGGTGGTCCTGCTGCTTGGGAGTGTCAGGATTGCTGCCAGTGGCTCGCACTTCAGCTCTGATGGCAGTAGCCAGCAGTAGTAATGGCTGTAGATATGGGAAGTCAATAGATCTCTAGAGATGTGAAAATGTAGGGACTGCTGGGCTCCAGAGCAGGATGCAGTCTGGTGATGGCTGGACTCTCAAAATGGCTCCTTAGAGCTCAGGAGATGTATGCAATGCAGCATAGGCTCCCTCTCTGGAGCAATGCCATCACACAGTTTCCAGGCAGCTCCCTGTGTAAGTCTTAGGGCCCACGAGTGTCAAGGTGCTCTCCTGTGGCTAGAATTGCAGGAGTTTGTGGTGGGAGTGTAGACCAATGGGGGTCTCTTACTTACCTTTTTCCCACATTGTGGAGCCTCTTTGAGGTTCCCAGCCAACCCTAGCCAGGCAGGCTGCCTCTCTTCCCTCTCTTTCCTTGCGTTAGGTGTTTCCTGTTACTTCTCTGTTGAATTCCAGTATTCTTTTTTAGATTATCTATTAGAAGTGTGATCACTCACTATTTTGGTTCTTCTTTGTGGAGGAGGCAAATGCTAGATGCCTCTAGTCAGACGTCTTGAATCCCTTCATCACAAGAGCACATATTTTACATGGAAATAATGAAGATAATTAAGATCACTAATTAGGAGCTAGCTGCAGTGACTCATGCCTGTACTCCCAATGCTCTGAGAGGCCAACATGGCAGGATTGCTTGAGGACAGGAGTTCAAGACCTGCCTGGGCAACATAGGGAGACCCTGTCATCACAAAAACATTTTTTTAAAGAATTAGGCAGGTGTGGGTGGCACACACCTGTAGTCCCAGCTACTCAGGAGGCTGAGGTGGGAGTATTGCTTGAGCCAAGGAGTTCAAGGTTGTGGTGAGCTGTAATCACACCACTGCATTCTAGCCTGGGTGACAGAGTGAGATCCTGTTTTTTATTTTTTTTAAATCAGTAATTAGAGTATCCCATTGGAACTGTAACTATTTAACTCAATATTGGAAAATATGGTATATAAAGTACTATGAAAGGTACAAGTATTAATATAAATATTGAGAGTAAATAATTAAAAGTAGACTATGTTAACAGGAGGTTTTAAAATAGGCATTAAATTTTGTGAAAAGTTTGGTTCATCTTTTATTGATAATATATATGCTTGATTAAAATATTTAAAGCATTACAAAGAAATATGCAGTAAATGCTATCTTTCTATCACCACTATCTGACAGTTCCCACATTCCTCTGTCAATTATAAGCTTTCAAAAATTAGCAGAAAATAGGCATGGGAAGTTGTGTAGATATATATTTACACACATACATCTTTGTTTTTTCACCTAGCATACCTTGGTAACTAGTCTATATTAGTACACATATATCTGTGTCACTTATTTTGTAAGTGTTATTTGTAGATATATTATATGAATTGATAATGGATGTGCCATCATTTACCCAAGCCCCTACTGATGGCCATTTATTTTTAGCTAGTATTCTTACATTTCAAAGTGCATAGTATTTATAACCGGGATTTTTGCATTGGAGAAATTTTAATTTTATACATCAAAGACATTAAAGGGCTCTTACTTTTCTGGCAGCTGGATAACTGAAAAGACTAATTATATATACATATATTTAACTATATTCTAATATGGTTGTGGTAGAGTTTTCTGCGTGAGTGCTTTAGAAGCCATTTTTGTTTATGGTGAATTGTCTTCTTGTTTTCTTTTCCTATTGCTTTACTGTTCTATCTTTTCTTTGTTGATTTCATATATTTATGAAATAATCCCTTTGTCATGTGCCTTACACATATTTCTTATGAATCTGTCATTTATCTATTGATTTTTGTTGTGATTTACTTAACTGTGCATTTTTTCTTTTAAATTTGTATTCTGACATAATTTCAGTCTTAAATTTATGAGAACATTACAAAATTCCCATATATCCTTCACACAGATTCCCCAAATGTTAACATTTTTACTACATTTGCTTCCACTCTCTGCCCATTAACATAAGTGCATTTACACACACTCAAACACACATTACTTTTTTCTGAGCCTTTGAGGGTGAGTTGCAAACGTTATTCTCCTTGACCTCAGATTCTTCCTTTCGTATTTTCTAATAATGAAGACATTCTCCTATATAACCATGTAAAATTATGAAAGCAGGGATTAACATTGATTTAGTGCTATTACCTAATTGACCTTCCCAGAGTGTATGTATTTGTCTACTTGAGAGGGATGATGATGGGGCATCACCAGCAGCTCAGTAATGCCAGAAAAAGGAGCAGACAGAGAAAGGGCTGCAGATGGAGATTTGGGCAGAAGCCAGTTTCTGAAAGCCTTATATAAACCAACTATTATTGTCATTTCTTAAGTTTATAAAAAAAAGCAAAACAAATTAGAAAAGCATAATTCCAAGAAAAAAACCAACATTTTATTTTATTGTATCTTGTCTTATTTGACTTGATTTTTCTTAGAGATGGGTTCTCACTCTGCCACCCAGGCCACACTGTAATGTTGCTATCATAGCTAACTGCAGGCTCAAACTTCTAGGCTCAAGTAATTCTCCTGCTTCAGCCTCCCAAGTAGCTGGGATCACAGGTGCAGAACACCACACCCAGCTACAGTGTTTGAAAAAATAGACACGGGGTCTGGTGATGTTGCCCAGGCTGCTGGACCTCCTAGACTCAAGGGATGCTTCTATCTCAGCCTCCAACACTGACGAGATTACAGGCAGGAACCACCATCCCCGGCAATACCAATATTTTCAAATGAACAAACTGGAGCGCCATCATTTTATTTTATCATGGATGGGTGAAAACTTTGTAATAGACTCATGTACTCCATGGATTTGTGACAAGGAATCTATAGCATTAACTATGGCTGAAGCTTCCCTTGTCTCCCAGCCTCTTTACGTGGTTAAGAGTAGAAACACTCAAATGTCTTACCTTTTGCACCTTCTTGTCTTTTTTTCAAAATTCAAGGCTTCATAGCTGCTGTTTCTGTCAAACATGCAAGCTTGTTAGATATTCCTTCTGGAAAACATCATCCCTCTGCCTCTTTACCTGGCAAAGCTTCACTAACTCTGCGTGCTTCCCCTAAATCCTACCCATTTTTTTAGAAGCTTGCAGTCATCACCACAAATTTAAAAGTGCATGGCATCTAATGAACATAATAAACACCTAGTAAATAATAACTACATGCTCCCAGGTGACATCTATCCTCCATCTACCCTCTACATAATGGGTCAGCACACTGTAGACCACAGGCCAAATCCTGCCTACCATGTTTTTTCTCAGTGAAGTTTTATGAGAGTACAGTCATGCCTATTCACTGACTTGCCACCTATGACTGCTTTCACACTACAATGGCAGGGTTGAGTAGCTACGACAGAGCTACTTAAGGCCATTTAAGCATGGCCTTCAGCTGCTTAAATCATTTTTGAAAGAGAGAGAGAGACCACATGGCCTAAAATATTTCCTATTTGGCCCTTTACAGAAAAAGCTTGCCAATCCCTGCCTTATACCCTGAACAGAATGCCCTAATTCTCAAATCGAATCTAATGCCTCCCCTGCTCACAATTTTCCAATGAATTTCTAGAGCAAATACAGCTGGCTCCCTACCCAAGAGCAGTTCCTTGTTGTTTCTTGCTGGAGAATCACAAATTTATTTGGGTATTTATTATCCCAATACCCCTCCCCAGCTTCAAAGGATAAGTGATTATTCTAAGCTAATCAGATAACTACATTTGCTTTCCCAGTGCCTGGTTTAGGAAGGAGCATGTGGTGTGACCCAGCTAATAAAATATTACAAAAAGGGTTGAGCACGGTGGCTCATGCCTGTAATCCCAGCACTTTGGGAGGCCGAGGCAGGCAGATCACGAGCTCAAGAGACCGAGACCATCCTGGCCAACATGGTGAAACCCCGTCCCTACTAAAAATACAAAAATGACCTGGGCGTGGTCGCAAGTGCCTGTTGTCCCAGCTCCTCGGGAGGCTGGGGTAGGAGAATTGCTTGAACTTAGGAGGTGGAGGCTACAGTGAGCCAAGATCGTGCCACTGGACTCCAGACTGGTGATAGAGTGAGACTACATCCCCGGAAAAAAAAAAAAATTACAAAAAGTCCCCTGCATGCTTCTGAGTTTTCTCCCAATTTAAAAGACACATGTGAAGAAAAGCAGCCCTTCCAGCCTTTAGATACTGTCTTGTGATAACATGATGTTTGGAGCTGTTGCTAAGTAGCCAACCATGAAAGGAGACATGAACAAGACACTGCCAACAGCATAGCTGAAAGAGGAACAAGTGGGATCCAATAATATCGCTGGACAACCAAAACAAGTCTGGTTCTTATAGTTTTGGCCACTGTTAGGTCTTCTAGAATTTGCAGCTGAAAGCATTCTACCTCAGAAGTTTCCCCTGGCCTACAGGATAAGATCTACTCATTTCTATACTATTAAAGGTCTTTCATTGAACTTGTTTCTAGAAACAGGTAAAACAACAACAAAGTCTTTCCTAAGCTTGCCTTCACTGACACATACTAAACATAATAAATACATAATAAATAATAACTATAAGCTATTTTCACCTCATTACCAAGCACTCCATATATATTTTTTTGCACTAGCAAATTTGAACTGCTCATAAACTCTACAAAGTTCACTCAGATGTCCTATCTTTTGAACTTGCTCCTTGTGTTTTAAAATTTTCATTCTTCATGGCTGCTGCTTCTGTCAAACATGCAAGCTTGTTAGATACTCCTTCTGCCAAGCATCATCCCTCTGCCTCCTTACCTGGCAAAGTTCCACTCACTCTGCACGCTTACCCTAAATCCTACCCACATTTTAGAAGCTTGCATTCATTACCACAAATGTAAACATGCCTGGCACATACTGAACATGATACATACATAATAAATAATAACTATAAGCTCCCAGATGACATTGGACACACAGTAAGCACTACTTAAGGTAGTAAATAAAATAAATAACAGTGGTAATAACAATCTCCTAACTATTTTTTAAATGTATTTTGTAACATTGGAAAAATGCTTAGTCTATAAAAGATACATGATGGTTATTTTTTAAGTGGATAAGTATATGAATGAATTAAAATATTTTTCTTAAAAATTCTGTTGAAAAAAACACAAAAATTAAACAGTTATCTATATTCTATTATGAGCATCTTAAAGACAAAAACTATGTCAATTCCATCTTTGTCTCCTACAATTTGCCAAACCTAACTTATAGAAGTGGTTTGATAATTATTTACTAAATTAACGGTGTCTTTATACGGTTCAGACTGTACAATGCATTAGGTGTCATGTTTTTGTTATTGTGAACCATTTTTATAATTTTATTATAATTTTTTTCATTTTTTGAGCCTAGAGTTTGGCTATTAGAATATTTATTATGATCATATCTTGCCTAATGGTAACAGAGTATCTTTTTTTTTTTTTTTTGAGATGGAATCTTGCTCTGTCACCCAGGCTGGAGTGCAGTGGCGCATTCTCGGCTCACTGCAATCTACACCTCGCGGGTTCAAGCAATTCCCCTGCCTCAGTCTTCCGAGTAGTTGGGAATACAGGTGACCACCCTCATGCCTGGCTAATTTTTGTACTTTTAGTAGAGATAGGGTTTCACCATGTTGGCCAGGCTGGTCTCAAACACCTCACCTCAAGTGATCTGCCTTCCTTGGCCTCTCATGTGCTGGGATTACATGCATGAGCCACCACACCCAGCCTGGTAACAGATTATCTTCTTCCAGCAAAATTACTATTATTATGATAATTATCCAGCACATAAAAACACACAGCTTGTTCTAAGAAGTGAATATATCTCATGAGCTTCCAACTTATGGTGAATAAATTACAAATAGACCTTGTTTGTATAGGAATACATAACATAACTTCTGCTTCTTGGGAAGGAATTACTTTTCTGTCTTCTGCATTCAGTAGGTATCTTCAAAAATAATCTCCTATTTGTATGGGTGCACACTGGCTCAGTTTTATGGTTCTTATTGCCATTTGTTTATGGTATCAGAAAGGGATTGTTGAATTCCTAGTTCTAAAGACAGTTACTTTCTTAGTGACACAGATTCCTGTGTAATACAGTTGACCCTTGAACAACAAGAGTTTGAACTGCAGGGGTCCACTTATATGCAGATTTTTCTTCTGCTTCTGCAACGCAGAGACAGCAAAACCAACCGTTTTCTTCCTCCTCAGCCTAATCAACCTGAAGATGATAAAGATGAAGACCTTTGGGAGGATTCACTTATGTTTATGAATAGTAAGTATATTTTTTCTTTTCGATGATTTTCTTTATAACAGTTCATTTCTCTAGCTTACTTTATTTTAAAAGCATAGTATATAATAATGCAACACATACCAATTATGTGTTCATCGACTGTTTATATTATCAGTAAAGTTTCCAGTCAACAGTAGGCTATTAGTAGTTACGTTTGGAAGGAGTCAAAGTTATACTCAGATTTTCAACTGCACAGGGATCAGAGTCCCTAACCCCCACGATATTCAAGAATCAACTGTAATTAACTTTATTTACTAAATATAAACCATTTACTATAAAAATTAAATAGAAGATCCATTTGCAATAACAAGTCCAATTTGTAACAATGTAATTATAGAAGAAAATGCAACATATTAACTTAAAAATCTAATTTCTTATTTCTATTAATACAAAAATATCATGTAGAATTTCAGGGATCATAAGTAGGTAAATGAATTTTTTTCAGACAATACTGTTTGAGATTGAGAATTAGCTACAACTAACTTCTTAACTGAATTCTAAAGAAATTAAATTAAAAAAATTAATTTATATATAAATATATATATTTTAAACTGCTCTTTTATGATTAAAAATATGTAATCTTACTTTTTTTTGTTTTTTTTGGAGATAGAGTCTTGCTCTTTCATCCAGGTTGGAGTACAGTGGTGCCATCTCAGCTCACTGCAATCACCTGGGTTCAAGTGATTCTCCTGCCTCAGCCTCCTGAGTAGCTGGGATTACAGGTGTCCGCCACCATGCCCAGCTAATTTTTGTATTTTTAGTAGAGATGGGGTTTCACCATGTTAGCCAGGCTTGTCTCAAAATCCTGACCTCAGGTGATCCACCCGCCTCACCTTCCCGAAGTGCTGGGATTACAGGTGTGAGCCACCATGCCTGGCCTGTAATTTTGCCTTTTAAAATCAGTAAGATCACCAAGAGAAATGAGAAATTTACTATCAGAAGTCTTACCTTGATTATCATTTCAAAGATGACTTTTAAGTATCTTATTTTTATGTTCCAAAATTTGTTGTTGAATGCTATGCATAATAAATGTAATAAATAAAATTAGTATTTTAATAGTGATATGAAAAATATTTACCAAACATATTAAATTCTTAAAGCATTTCAGACAATATCAGAGCTAATATCGGAACTCTAATGTCCCATACACTTTAAAATTTTAAGCTCTATAAACTTATTAAGCTTCTAATTAAAGAAGAAAAACAGGGAGTACTCATAAACCGAGAAAAGCATAGCTCAGTAAATTAATTCTAGTTAGCTAGCTTAACAGCTTGGAAACTGTCCTGCACTCAGAGTAAGTCCTCGCTCTGTAACTAATAGGTATTTTGTTTTCAGATGAGTTGCTTCTCTTAGGCTCCATGGCTTCTTCTAAAAAGTAGAGATTTTACTATTTGACTTCACTAGGTTGTCAGGAGGATGTAATGAGATAACATGTTCAAATGTTCAGAGAAATCGTAAAGCAATGGAAAAATTTACTCTTGAACTGTATTGCTGAAACCATTTTGGAATCTCAAACAAAATCTGATGGGTGTTTTTTCATAGGTTCTAATATTTGGATGTCACAGTTTTCAGAGAATGTTACTAAGTGCTAATTTTGGTTATTAGTTCTGTTCATTGTGGCTTGTAGTTCACAGCATTTTAGCTAGTTCATAACTTGTAACCAAATTTATACATAAATATATTATTATCTCATTAAAACATATAACCTAATTGTCCCCTATTACTGAGCACATCAGTCACACCAAGGGCAGAAAACTAATAGGTGTCAAAACCCGGCTGGGACAACTACCATTCCTTCTCTACCTCCTCAAACTCGGAGCCAGCAGGTCTGTGTTAGAGGCTGCATCTTCTGGGTCCTCTCTGACTGACATACAAGACAAAGCCCTGCTTGTATTGTTTTTTGGTTCCATGAAAGAGATGCAAGTTTATGTTTCCTCATTTCCAAGTCATGGACTAACAACATATTTGCATGTGACATCCCATATGCTACTCAGCTCTGTTCTCATTTCACAGATCACCTTATATGAATACTTTCATAATGATCATAATAACAATTTCCATATCGGGTGTCTCCTGTTTTGGTTTGACTCACATTGTTTCCTTGAAGCTAGTTAACAAATAGTCAAACGACCTTCTGGGTACTGTGCAACATGTGGAATGCTTTCTGAATTTGTGTGCCATCGTTAGGCAGCAGGCATGCTTATCTGTTCTGTATTGATCCAATTTTAGAATATGTGCTGCTAGGGCAAGTATAAAGCCCTGTTTTATACATGGATACTCATAAGTCATGGATGAGGCTTAGCTCTGTGAAATACAAATTACTTACTTTAGATACAGAGAATTCTATCAAATGACTTCCTGTGAAGTAGAATTTTAAAATGTTCTCACTCATAGGTGGGAATTGAACAATGAGAACACATGGACACAGGAAGGGGAACATCATACACCGCGGCCTGTTGTGGGGTGGGGGGAAAGGGGAAGGATAGCATTAGGAGATATACCTAATGTTAAATGATGAGTTAATGGGCGCAGCACACCAACATGGCACATGTATACATATGTAACTAACCTGCATGTTGTGCACATGTACCCTAAAACTTAAAGTATAATTAAAAAAAAAAACTTGAGGTAGAGATGCAAGTAGCCTTAGAGATTTTCATTACTGTGGAAACACATTACTTGAGGGGCCAACGGCAAGTTGGTGCCCACTATCTATTGAAGGATAATGTGGAACCTTTTGCTATCTAACAAAAGCTGCTACACAGGACAGAAAAAAGCCTCAAGGTACAGATGTGATAACAAAAGGCAAAGGGACCTCTTCTCTCTTCCTGCAACATTATTTGAACATCCCTGACTGTTGAGTACAATCCCAACTAATATTTGCTAGAGAAAAGATGGACACTGGCCTCAAAGGATTACTTACCATGAAGGACTAGGGTAAGCCTAGCTAAGACGTGGGCTACAAATAAGGTTTTTAGTGTTGGGGAAAGGTCAATTTACTCACTATGTGTGTGGGTAAAGCCAGGAGGCCTTGCTGCCAGAGCAGGGTGCTGGGAACAATGGCTGAGCCTATGTACATGAACTAAAAAACATTGCAGCTGTGGACTCTGTGTATAAGTCACCATGAAGAGTGAGGGATCTGAATCAGTAACAGCATCCTGGTGGCAAAAGTTAATCATTACCAGATTGCAGGACCAGTTACAATGGCAGCAATACAGCAAGTGAATCAATGGAAACAACAGAATGACTAGAATGGCCTTTTCCCCCCTTCTTCTGACTTGTAAAGTAAGATTGTCTTCCTTGGACTTAGAGAACCCCTTAGCTTTTTGAAAAATTCAAAGGAGGAAGGCATAGGAGGTAGCCCCAGGGGACAATACAAGATTTTCTGCTAAACTGGATATTTCAAGACCCAATAACTAATTAGAAAAGTCAGGCCAGGCATGGTGGCTAGCAGTTTGTGAGGCCGAGGCAGGAGAATCACTTGAGCTCAGGGACATGGGCAACATAGTGAGACCTTGTTTCAAAACAAAAGAAAGAAGAAAAAAAGTAAAAGATGTGACGTTATTTATATCTCACATATGAGGGTTATACTTGGAATAAAATGAACAACACTGAGATCCCTAGGGATAAAGGTCTTTAAAAGTCCTGAAAGAATCTTGCATTCATTGCTACTTCTAACTAATCTAGCTTTCTGTTTGATTTCTGGCTAAAAAGTGGACTAACTTGTTGCCATTCCAAACTACCTCAAACAAACTATGAACTGTCACCTAATGTATAAGATGCAATATTTGTAATTATTTTAAACCTTAATTTAGTATTAACTGGTCTTTTAATATAAGCACATACCTTCTGAAATTATAACAAACAGCATAATCCTCGGCAGTCTGGCCAAACAGGTCTTGAGAAAAGATATTTATATTTTGTTGAAGGAGGAGGCTGACGATACTTGATGAGTTATGCTGTACTGCAAGCATGAGGGCTGTTCTAAAATAATAAAGAAATAACAGCACTCAAGAACTTTAATAAAGATATTTCATTAGCAAATTGGATACACTTCACCAATTTCGTATCTTGCCTGTCAGGATAGACATAATAACCATATACATGTACTAGCTTATGTGTATAAGCATCTTGGGTGCTAAAGTGTTCATCTGGGTAAATTACCACCAAGACTAAAAGGCAGGGACAACAAGCAAGCTTCATGTTCCATTGGGATATGACATAATACAAGTTGCTAATTTATAGTCCTTTGATGGCCAAGAAACTGTGCTGAGGTCACTTATCTAAAGTAGGCAAAGATTTAGATGAAGATTTCCCCATTGCTTTCCTAGTCTGATACAGTGTAATTCAAAATCAGCTAGGGATCAAATAAGTAAGAGCTATCTGCAGGCTTAAAACAACAGCAATAATAATAATAATAATAATAGTAATAATAATAATAATAATGGTAATAGTAGTAGTTGTAAACTGAAAGTTAAAGTCTACGCTTTATAAAATTAATAAAATACAAAACCCCTTTAGCTAATATAAGATTACAGGACCAAAAATATCAGATTACAAGTAACGGTCTATAAGAGAAGATGAATCCTACTATATACTGTTTTTTATGTTTCTCAGTCCAAATAACTGCTTTTCTACCTAACTGATTATTCATGTTATTTTTTACTATATGCCAATAGTTATAAGTTAATCTTATTAACATTTCTGACTTGAGTGACTGTTACCACTCTAGAACATTCAGGTTTTTAGGAAAAAAAAAAAACAAAAAACAAACAAACAAAAAAACCAAAAACTATTGCACCTTCTGAAATTGTCAATGGCATGTAAATTTGCCTGGTTCTTCAACAGAAATTCCACAATTTGCTGTCTCCTAGAATTTATAGCAAACAAAAGTGGAGTGTTTCCCTCCTGTAAAAAGCAAAAACAATTTATAATTCACAAAATTACGTATTTCTTAACTGAACTAAAAATCTTCTATAAGATGCTATGAACTTAAACATGCAATATAGAGAGAAAGTAAATGCAAAGCAGTCCCGTCCTTTTCACTCCTCTGTGCTTTCCCACACACTGCCTTGAAACACCCCTCCTCTGCCTCCCCACGTTAACTTCGGTCATCTCCAAAACTCACTATGTTTACCAATCCCCAAAATCCTTGCTTCTATCTCAGCATTTAGCACAGTACATTGTAATTATTTCATTGTTTCCCACTGAAACCAAGAACTTCTTGAGGGCAAGGGCTGTATCTTTTTTCTCTATAACCCTAAAACTTAAGACATAGTAGCGAATGCTTTACGTTTTTAAAATAAATTAATGATCTAAATTATTATCTTTAGAGCAGTGTTTCTTAAACTATATTTCAAAGAATATTTGTTTTACCAGAAGAACTGTACCCCAACAAAAAGATTCCACGATCATCTGCATTTGAGAAGTATTACAAAACTGTATTACATGGCCAACAATCTAGAAATCCCTTGAACTTTGCCTAATCTCAATTTGACAATACTTTTTGTGGCAAACATTAACATTTTAGGAACTAGAGTTTCAGGGATCCTGTTGCCAGAGCTTCCCAGTACAAGTGGAGGTTTCCTCTGGGTGGCACAAACTTGCTTGATTCACTTCTATCAATGGTGTCAGGATGCCAATGTCAGGCACTCCTGGTCCAAAGGGGCCACTAAGGAAATGAGCTGTGAATTAAGAGAGATTGGCTTCAAATGCACTTATTTTCCTTATTATTAAATAGTCCATGGGATTTTTCCTAATACAAGAGGATAGATTTTTATCTTAACTATTAGAAAGTTCAGTATGTTCTGTGTAAGAGAGACCAGTTAAAAATTTTTGAAAATAAATATTAAAAAGCAAAGCTCAGTAAGAAATTTTATTCTCAATTATAATGATAATCCTGGGATGCTAATGCAACTTTACTTTTTAAATCCATTTGTATTGGTTTCCATTTAAATTGCTATTTAACTTTTTTTTACTTCAGGCAAAATATAAATCAGAAATAAAAATACAATGGCTTATCAATAAAAGTTCTAATACTGATGTATAGGGCTTATTTCTAGCATAATAAAAGCCAATAAGTCACTTGAATTTTTTTTTTGAGACGGAGTCTCACACTGTCTCCCAGGCTGGAGTGCAGTGGCATGATCTCCGCTCACGGCAAGCTCCGCCTCCCGGGTTCACGCCGTTGTCCTGCCTCAGCCTCCCAAGTATCTGGGACTACAGGTGCCTGCCACCATGCCCGGCTAAATTTTTGTATTTTTAGTAGAGACAGGGTTTCACCGTCTTAGCCAGGATGGTCTCGATCTCCTGACCTCATGATCCACCCATCTCAGCCTCCCAAAGTGCTGGGATTACAGGCGTGAGCTACCGTGCCCAGCCGTCACTTGCATTTTTAAGGGAAACTGCTGAGAAGAAAGATATAATCCTGCAATATTCATAATCTATCCACTTCCCAGCAGGAATAACCTAAAAAGGCTTCTAGGCATTCCTATAAGCAGATGACTATTTATGGTATAGATATAAAAAAACAGTTAAAAAAAAAACTTCTGAATTCTAAAATTCAACTTTATAATTGAGGGATTTATATAAACTATAGACTATATATTATGAACCAATATATGCTGTCTTGAAAACCTTGAAATCTTTATGAAAACATACTATAAAAAAGGAGTTGTAAGCTCCAATACTTATAAGGATGAAGGAGGTTACCTAAGTAAGTGAAGTACTCAGGTGGGCACAGTAGCATACTGGAGAATATGTGCCTCCTACACAGGGCAACCTCTGCACAGCAGACCAAGAAGTGATGCGGTCCAGGGGACACTAGATTTGATTCTTAAGACAAGCCTGAGGTCCAGATATCTGCATGAGTCTACTAAATTTTACATGTTGACTCAATTTAAAGAGGCAAAGAACAAATCTATATGCCACACTTAGACTATAGCCCTTGTATTTTTATATTTGCTATGAATGTGTTGCTAAATGATTGTGTATAAACCAAGTATTTGCATGTGGAACCTTTTCTTTCTGTAGTAGCATATGTTTAATAAAAAAACTCAGGCTCTGATATATACATAATAAAAATTGCTGTTAAGACTCATAGTATCCACCTCAAGAATTTTCCCAATATTTATTCGTTTGCAATCTATGTTTATATAGTTTTCCCAGATTGTTAACCAAATAGATAATTAGTTCATAGGAATGCTGAAACTAAATTACTAAAAGAATTCCTATTGTATTCTCACTGACTTCAAGGATTTCAGTGTTTAAAACTGACATCCTGATTATGCCAAAGCTCTATAAACTTAACAGACATACTGAGATAGTCCCTAATACAACTTCAACTGAAAAAAAAAAAAGGTTCAGGATTTGCTGCTAATGTAATTGAGAAAATCTCACTTGTAATGAACATTTGTTGACACATAATCACTTGAATGGTGACAAAGGAACATGAAATTGTGAAAGGGTCAGCCTCTACTTATTGAAAGATTACCCACAAGTAAATTGCTAAAGACTTTCTGAATGGCAGTGAATGATTCCTGGTGGGAAGCAAAAGGTGTTATTCTGTCAGCTGAGAGATATTGCCTATGATACTTCCTTTCACTTCCCAGTCACAAATATAGAGAAAGACAGATAAGTCAGGCTAATGTTATTGGAAAGGAGAACTTTGAAGAAAGTAGTACCTATCAAATGCCAACTCTTTCAGAGATTTCTTATGTCTTTGAGATATGGGAATTTATATACTGCACTTATCTATTCTGTGCTTCTTAATCAGGAGTGTATTCGAATGCTGAGGTATTATTATTATTATTATTTTTCGCTCTTGTTGTTGTAAGAGACAAGAATCTTACTATGTTTCTCAGGCTGGACTCAAACTCCTAGGCTCAAGCAATCCTCCCACCTCAGCCTCCTGAGTAGCTGGGACTACAGGAACATGCCACTGTGCATGGCTTCAAGAAAATATTTTTAACCATACATGTTCAGAACTTATGATCTATTACATCAAAATCCTCAGGGGAAAGCCCACACTTGTAGACTTTTAACAAAATTTCCCCAGGTCACTGTAATGCACAATTCTAGCTGAGAATTACTGTGGCAGACGATCGCTTCAGTTTCATCTCTCACCCACATGGCCAATATCCTTTATCAGCTTGGGATGTGGCCAGAAAGAGAAAAGAGTATGAGATAGAGTTATTTATTAAAACGCCAGTGAATTTTCCTGGGTGTGGTTATAACAGGGATAAGTAAACTCAAAATCCCAGTTGATTTTGCTATTTATAAGCTCCTTATCTCCCACCTTCCCACCAAGACATTCTAGATTTGAAAGGAGAGTTTAGACTCTTATCTAAGTGGCTGTTTTTGCCAGGATGGGTAATAAGTCAGTTACTAATTTGTTCCACCCTTTGCTGAAGTGTTTCTCACTTCATCACCATATATTCACTGCCAATCTGGTTTCCTCAGAGTCCTCTAAAAATTAATCTTTAGGCAAGTTTCAATCCCTCTTTTACCAAACCAAAAATGATTACCCCAAAGCTGAAGAGTGCTTTGTCTCAATACATAAACTGGAAAAACAACAAACTAAAAAACAAAACCTCTTCTTGGTATTTTCTCTCATTACCTAATTTTCAACTGACCTGCATGTTTTTGATTGCTTCCCTTTTCCCTTCCCATTTTTCCCTCTTAAACCTTGCCAATGAAAGATACATCCCTTTTGTTAGAAAACCGTCAGCAGCAGCAAGACTTCCATTTATTTTAAGTTGCTGTTTTGGATAGAATGAGCTTGATGTTTGGATTCAGTTAAACTAGGGCTTGAGTTCTACTTTGGACTCGGTCACGTACCAGCTATTGCTGGTTTTAAGATAAAGCCTATTTCCAGGGTAACTTTTTTCCTGTGATTTTTTTTAATACTAATTAGAAAAATAATTAGTATTTTCCTACACCTGGGGTAGGAAACAAATACTTGAAGAAGTTTTAGCTTAACAAATTCACAAATATTTCCCATAAGTGCACTAAAAAAGCTTCTTTAAAAGTATCAATATTTAAGGTAAAATTTTAGACAATTAATTTATTTCAAAATATTTTTATTCGGGAACACTTGAGTTCCAAATATGAAAAACTGACTCTTACCTATGTCAATGTTAAAACAAGTATTTTGAAAAGAAAGTTGATTGATCTGTACCTCGTTTAGTGCTTCAATATTTGCATGGTGGGAAAGCAGTTTTTCTGCCAGTGAAGTCCCCTTATTATACACAGCATAATGGAGAGCAGTGTTGCTGTAGATATCCTTAATGTTTGGATTGGCGCCATGTTCCAGGAGAATAATGGCACAAGCCTCTTCCTGGCAGTGTACAGCCTATTAGTGTCAGATGAAAAAACTAGACTATAAATTCTAAGAATTCAAAATACATATTCCACAGGTTTCACCAACTAGTTATATTTAAATGAGATAAATTCATTTTAATTCTATGTATTTAAATCAAATCCATTTCATGCTGAAAAAGTTGGCTACTATATACCTTCATTAAAGGTGTCCTGTTTAGTCTATCATATATGTTGATCTGGCATCTTCTGCTCAGCAAGAGGGTGACCACTTCCACACGGCCATGGGCACAGGTCAAATGTAGAACAGTCCTAGGAGGGCGAGAGGAGTTGTCAGGAAATGGTAGTGCAGTATCTCAAAACCTACAATGGTTCATGTAATTGTAAACAGTGAATAGCAAGTTATTCCTCTGCCTTCAAAACAAATAATTTTCTTTTGAAGAAAGTACAATATTTATTAGCTCTTATTGCCCCCTACCTTAATGAAACAGCAGCCTATTTGGACAGAATGAGCTTGGTGTTTACATTCAGTTCAACTAGGGTTTGAGTTCTACTTTGAACTCGGTCAGGTACCAGCTATTGCTTAGCCTTTCTGTGCCTCAGTTTCCTCATTAATAAAATAAAGATGACAACAACAGCTAGCTCACGGGACACCACTGTGATGCTTAAATGAAAATCTATGTAAATCATTTAGAACCATCTCCAGAACAAGCAACAGCTCAATAACTGTTAAATTTTTGTTTGTTGGGACAGGGTCTTGCTCTGTTGCCCAGGCTGGAGTGCAATGGTGTTTATACTTCATTGCAGCCTGGAACTCATAGGCTCAAGCAATCCTCCTGCCCCAGCCTCCTGAGTAGCTGGGACCACAGGAGTGCACCAGCATGATCAGCTAATTTTAAAAAAATTTTTGTAGAGTAGGAATGTCACTTTGTTGCCCAGGCTGGTTTCAAACTCCTAGCATCATGGGAACTTCCCACCTCAGCTTTCCAAAGTTCTGGAATGACAGGCGTGAGCCACACACCCAGCCAGATGTTACAATTATTACTATTACTACTACTTAACAAAAACATTTTAATTAAGTAAAATGATACAATTATTGCCATTTTGCAGGATGATTTAAAGATTAGGTCACATTTTAGTATATCTGATATTGGAATGGCATTTATAATTCATAATTTTTTATAACTACAATTGGTAGCGTTTAAAAAATCATCTTATTAATATAGAAAACAGTAGGGTATCACACAATCCATGAGGCCTTACATTAAGCAAATACGGTATAGACAGCAGGTCTAGGGCAGTTCTAGGCATCTAATTGACACTTAAATACATTTTAATTCCTAAAAGTACCATGGGGAAAGAGCACTGAAATAACAACATATTTTTTAAACAAATTACTTCTTTGATTTTTAAAAATATGAAGCTAAAGGAAACTAATGATTGAGATGAACAGGTATGGCTCATTTTAGTCAACACTTAGATTTACAGAATATATGCAAATCAGACTTTCCAATTATTCATATTAGTATTTAAGACTGACAGATTTTCAAAAGGGCAGTTAAAGGTTATCTCTTACTGTTTTCTACCTTCAGAAATGCTTTTGCTTGAAAGGTGGGAGGAAAAGCTTCAAGGAGATTAAGTCCTACTATTCCCATTTTAAATCTCTCATCTTGCTCAGGCAGAACAGGTAAACAAAGTTTTTAAGTATGGAAGGGTCCTGAGAGATAGTGCAAAATGTTTGCTACATAACAGGTAAAATGTTTGCTACATAACAGGTATTCAGGTTATGTTTGATGAATAAATGGATTGATAGAATACAGTTGGGGAGCTCAATATTTTTAAATACAACTTTTATAAACCAGTATTTTTGTGATAGTAATACTATTTGCTATTTGTTATTTTTATAAGACTACAACTATAATGAAATGATTAATCTATCATTGCATATATGTAATGAATCTATACATAAGAAAAACATATATACATAATATGTACATAATAAAATCTGCAAGCACAGGTAAAAAGATTCCCTTTTTACTTCTGAAGAAGCTAAAAGTTCAAACGAGATAACAACCCTCAATAATAATGATAAAAAAAGTGAGAAATTATTTTTATCTGTACAAGATTCATATTTCTCTCTTCCCAAAAATTATTCCATTAATAATAAATTTTTACTAGAAGTTTTAGAAATGCTCACTTCAGAAATCAAAGGTAAGAAAAAAGAACAAAAGACTTGAAAATACAAATGCTCAGAAGTTACTAATTTTATGCTCTTTTGTACATAGTTTTGGCTAACACAAGACCACAGTATGTTTGTGTGTATGTGCAAACAAATTGATTTTTTTTCCTCACTGGCTATAACAATACATCCTCACACACCAACATACTTCTCCACCTATTGCCACCTTCAATGGCCACATATCCATTCTATGGGTTCTTGTTAACATAAATGCTGAGAAAAACAAAGTGCATGTATCTCTATTTTCTGAAGGTATTTTAATACAATGGAATTGGTGGGTAAAGGGCATATGCATTTTTAAAATGTGGTAATTATCTCCAAATTATCTACTTGAAAAGTCATCAGCAACTTAAACGTCAAGCAGCAGTGTAAGTACCACTGCTCTTCATTCTCACAAACACTGTGGATAGAACACAGTCTCATTCCTCTTTTAACTTAAATTCTCTTATGAGAAACACTAAGGATTTTTTCATATGTACATAAGTAACTTGTGGATCTGCAAAAAAGTACTTTGCTCACTTTTAGAGTTCTTTTCTTGTGGATTTGATTGGAAAGAATTCCCTGTAAAATAAAGATGTGCTTTTTATCTGTATATATATAACTGATATACATATAACATATTATATTAGTAATATATACAATTTGTTATATATATAATCAGTAATATATATCATATTATATATGATAAAGAATAACTTCCCTGTAGGATGAAGATACACTTTTCATCTGAATATATATTTTTATATATTAGTAAAAATATATATTGTAAATATTTTTCAAGTGTGTTACCTTTTGTTAATTTTTTTCTGATACACAGGGGATTTTAATTTTTAGTTTGCTAAATCAACTTTCAGAATGCCTGCTTGCGAGGTCATTCTTAGGAAGGCCTTTATTAACATAAAATGTACCTGTATATATAAGTCTTTGTATTTTCTTCTGGTACTTTTCTCATTTTGCATATGTAAAAATTTCAGTCTAAATTCCATCAGGAACTCATTTTTGCGACATAAAATTCCATTAGTTTTCTTCACACAGCAGGCATGTTATTAATAACTCATCCTTTCCTACTCATCTGAAATGTTACCATTATCAATCCCTATGTATATATCTTACATATATTTCAGTGTTTTTGGATTTCCTATTCTGTTGCATTTATTTATCTGTGTTTTCAGCTGTTAGTAAATAATTAATTGTGAGAATTAATAGCACATTTTGATATCTAGAGGAGCAAGTCTTTTTTCACTCCATTATGAACATTTTTAAATATCATCACAATAGTAAGATAGACAGTGTCATGCAAAAATGATAAAACCTTGATATTTTTATTTGGTTTATGTAAATCTGATAAACATAGAGCTCACATTTTGAGAAAAATGAGTCTTCTCATTCAAGGAACCCACGTCCCATTTCCAAGTGTCCCTCTAAGAAGCCCCAGTAAAGAACCTATCTACCTAGGTGGATTCGGATTTAAAACTGACACAGGGTTTAATTTGAGAACTCTTCGCCTACTGAAAATGGCTCATGGTATTTTTGACATGGGAATGAGTTCTCATTAGGCACCTCCCTATCATGTATATGGCCCCATGTTTTAAACGTGTATATGCTTAACTTTGTGAGTTAAATCAAATTATCCACCAAGTGCTACAGACGGGGAATTGCCAGCGATGGAAAGCAGTCTGAGGCTCCATTTGGCTCCGCGGCTCCGAGGGTGCCCGGGGCCCTCCAAGGCCCCCGCCCCAGGGGCTGCAGGGAAGCCGGGCCTGGGGCCCCCTCCCACCGCAGGCTGAGCCCCCGATACCTGTCTTTTCTGTCGCGGGCGTCCAAGTCCCGGAACCTGCGCGTCAGGCAGTGCTCCACCTCCGCGGCGTCGCCCTTGATGGCAGCCCTGTGGATCTTCCGCAGTTCCCAGTCCCGGATGTGGTACCCCCGACCAGCGTACTCTTGGTCCATGGAGTCCAGGAGCGCCTGGCCCAGGCGTCTCCCGAAGCTGAAGAGCTTCCTCATGGTGGCGACTTTTCAGACGCCCACCACCCGCTCCTGAGCCGCCGCGGCTCCTCGTGGCCTTTCCACCCCCACCCAGCCCCAAATCCGCCATCCCCCCCACAACCCGCGATCCACCCCCAAATCCAAGATCCACCCCCAAACCCGCGATCCACCCCCAAATCCAAGATCCACCACCAAACCCGCGATGTAGCTCAGAATCCGCGATCCAGCCTGGTCCACCACAGCCTTCAGCAGCGACACTCGCAGCCTCCGACCTCTCAGACCGAGTGAGCTCCACGAAGCCGTTAAGCGCGTGCCTGTAGCTGAACGCTCCGATCTCTCAGACAGCGTGGGCCCCGGCTAAGCCTTTAGGCTCGCGCCTGCAGCTCAGCGCCAGCTCGGACTCCGGAAACCGCTCCCGAGCCCGCGTGGCCTGCAGGGGGCTGCTGCAGCTCGGGCGCAGGCGCTGCTGGCTTGCGGGTTCTCCTGGGCTCGCGCGGGACGTCTCGGAATCGCAGACGTGCATCCCTTCCGGCCTGAGGGCCCTCCTGGCCGTGACTCCCGCCCCGCTCCTCCTCCAAAGAGAGATCGGGGCCGCTGACAGGGGCCCTCCGTAGCCATGGGGGATGGGACTGGGGGGTCGGTTCCAGCCACGGTGCAGCCGCCGCCGGGCAGACCGCCGGGCTTGGCCGCAGCCACGGCGACATCTAGCCCCGGTTCTGCGAGGCTTGGGAGCGCCAGCCAGCTTGGGAGTGGCCAGGCAGCTGTTGCCAGCAGGTAGAGGGCGCCTGCAGCTTGGGCGCCCAGGTGGTGGAGAATGGCCTGGGCTGCCTCTAGATCGCGAGTGCACCTGGCCTGAGAGCCCGCCAGGCCCTGCCCCCGCCCAGCTCCTCCTCTGCTGGAGCTGGGGACCTCTAGCCAGTGGCCCTCTGCAGCCACCGGGGTTGGGTCTGAGGGCCGGTTCCTGCCCCTGTGCAGCCGCCGCAGGGCAGACCGCCTGGCTTGGCCGCAGCTACAGGGACCTCTAGCCCCGGTTTTGAGATGCGGGGAGTGCGGGCGGGCTCGGGGATTGCCTGGAGGCTGCTGTCTGCGCACAGAAGGCGGCTGCAGCTTGGGTGCCCAGGCGGACTGGAGGTGCATGACCTGGTCGGCCTCGGGATCGCCAGCGCGCCCAGCCTGAGGCCCCCAGGCCGTGTCTCCCCCCACTCCTCCACCGGAGGGAGATCGGGGCCGCTGGCATAGGCATTTGGCAGTCACCCCGGATGGGGTTGAGCAGGGGTTCTCAGTTCTCGTCCCTGTGCAGCCGCCGCGGGGCAGAATGCCTGGCGTGGCCGCAGCCACTGGGACACCACGCGGGCCGGGCAGGCCAGGGGGTGAAAGCGCTGGGAGACGGGTGCCTTCTCGCCCTGAGGCGCCTCTGAGCCCCACGGCTTGTCGGCCTCCGGCGCGCAGGGCTCCCCAGCATCCTGGGCGCCGGCCCGCTGCCCGCACGAAGTCAACTCAGAGAGGATGAACTTCGGTTGCCTTGTCTGGCTGGGCTGCCAGGCGGGGCAGCTGACCTGTTGATCGGGTGGCTTTTTTCATCTTCTTGCTCACAGGACAGCGCGCTGGGAAGCCAGGGGCCGCGGGGACCTGGGGCTGGAAACCACATCTGCCCACAGCCACAGTCTCCTGCACCTGTCATCCTGGCGGCGCCCTGGCGTCGGAGAAGCAGCAGACGCGGAGCTCCTGCAGCTGGCACCGCTGCAGCAACCGGTCCCGGTGCAGGCGTCAGTGGAAGGCGGCCTCCTCGCGCGGCTCCCGTGGCCTCAGGACCAGGGGTGCGGCCAGCACCGCCCTCACGCCCCGCACCTCGTCTACATTGTCCTCCCTGGAGGCGGCTGGACCTGAGTAAGGCTCACAGCGATCGGCCCCCGCAAGGACTGGCATGCAGGGCTCAGGATCCCGCACTCTGGCCCTGCGGCACCGCACCTTTCAGCAGCAGCTGGAACTCCTGCAGCAGCGCCTTGGGTGGGATGCTGGGGCCCGGGGTTCCTGGCAGGCCGAACTTCAGCTTCTTGTCTTGGCCCCTGATCCTCTTCCTGTTGTTGAACCTTTGTCACTCTGCAACGAAAAGCATCCAGGCGTCCTTGATTTCGGCACTGCGTGCACGCTCAGCCGAGCTCATCGGACGGGCGGTTCTCCCCAGGCCCGCTGGCAGCTTGTTCCCTGGGGGCGGCTCCTGGACGCAGCTCTTTGCAGGCCCACCAGGCTCAGGGGAGCCAAGGCCCGCCGCGGCCAACAGGCCTGTGGAGAGTAAGAGTAAGGTGGGCTCTGCAGGGCAGCGGCCCGGAACCATGAGAGAAGCGCGTCAGTCTGGGCTCCAAGCGCAGCCTCTCGGGATTCTCCGGGACCCACGGCTTATAATGCGCTTAAATCCCACGCCTCGCACGAGAGACAGCAAGTCACCGTCACCGCCTACCGCCCCTGACCCGCTCCCACTCTCGCTGCAGCGGAGGGTGTGTGGGAGAGAGAGGGACGCAGGGAGGGAAAAGCGCGGGGAGGGCGAACATCTTTTCATAAGCTTTCCGCCTTCTATATGCCATCTCTGATGGGAGCCTCTTTAGATCTTTTGTCCATTTACTAATTGGGTGGCTTGAATTCTTATTGTTGAGTTGTAAGTGGTTTTTAATGGTCTGGATGCAAGACAGGTGTTTTACAAATATTTTCTTCCTGTCTGTGGCTTGTTTCTTCATTCTCTTAATATTTCCTTTCCCAGAGCAAAAGTTTTTAATTGTAACGAAGTCACAGATGTGACTCACAGATGTGAGCCACCGCACCCAGCCAAAATTGATACATTTAAAATATACTATTTTTAATATAAATGGAAGATGGAGAATCACTATGAGTATTTCATTAATATTTTGTGGGAAGCCTAATAAAAATAAAATTTCCTGTGAGTATACCTCACCCCTCCAAATGTTGAGGCACTTCTCCAAGGAACAGTTCTTTGGCTGATTTTTGGTGTTTTATCTTCCACCAGTAGTAAAATGAATGACATGACTTATGGCCCAAGGCTTTACTCAGAAGCTTGGTGCCTGTTACCAGCGCTGCTGGGAGCTCCTGAGGTAGACACAAAGGCCAGGTGTCAGGGAGACTACCCAAGAGCAAAGAGCCGGAGAGGGGAGGCAGGTGCTGTTGGACAAAATTGCCATCACTAGGCAGGTGCTGTGAATACAACATAGATCTGAGTCAGATTCCATATGCAGGGTCCGGGGTGAGTGCCTCGGATCACTGTCTGGCTGGAATTCTCCAGAAACCTGGTTTATACAGTGTAATTGAAACTTGAAGCAGCATCTGATGCACTTGGGGCAAGGCCGATTAGAACTAGGTGATTGGAACACGGTCTGGCTAGGAAGGAAGGGACCATGCGCATCAGGGCAGAAACCGCAGGCGGGCAGATGGCCATTACAGCCCAGCGGGCTGCCCATTACTCTCCTCCAGGCCCAGGAGACTAAACACACTTGAGTCGCAACTGCCTCTGGACGTGGGAACTGTGGTCTTGTTTCCAGTCACCTATCTCAGCAAGAAGGAGCTTCCGTTGTGCTTGCAGACTTGACCCTACTAGTCTGGGCTGGGGAGTTCTGTGTCTGCCCATGGCTGGTCATTATTGTCTACAAAACCTACTGTGTGATCTGTAAGAATTTTTATGACTAGCTAGCTCAAGGGCATGATGACATGCCTATGCTATTGCTGAGGGAATATCTCTGTTTTCAGGTGAAGGTTTTTTCTAATTTTATGTTCAGAATTACATACAAGAGGCACAGTGGAGGTATATAAATGAAGATGAATCCACCAGCATTCTTTCAAAATACTGAACCACACTTTCTGGTAGACATTGGGGTGGAGTGGCTGCAAGCAGAGTGTCTGGGTTGGAATTCTCATTCCACAGCTTCATGCTATGCGATAGTGAGTAACTTACTTTTCCTCTCTGTGTCACAGTTTCCTAGTCTCTAAAAACAGATAATAGTGACCTACCTTATAGACTGTTATGAAGATTAAATTAATTTATATATGTAAATAAGACTTGGAACATAGATTTTCTGTAAATGTTAGCCATTGTTATTGCTCCTATTGACCTGAAGTATAAAAACAGAAATGTGACCCTGGTCCTTGACCTTGGGTGGCATCACCAGATAAGCAATAGTTTAGGGAAAAATGTTTGTACTGGGTATTTTCATTATTCAAAATATTATTAATAATGTGCTATTAAGATAATGTTACAAAATAAAAATATTAAAAAAGAAGCCTATGGTACAGAATCAGAAAGTCTTATTGTGCATGTGTGTATTTTGACTTTCTATAATTCCTCCGTCAATCATAAGCTTTGCAGATTTCAGTTACTTGGGTCAACTTGCCAGTAATAACTGCTTTGGTCTCCCCGTCTCTAATGCACCTCATGATCTATTTGCTGTCCTGCTGCTACGGTAACCTTGCTACAGTTCTCTTACCTGATGATCTTCCTTTCCCAGCAAAACATTTCACACTTTCCCTCACAACACATCTACACACACACACACACACACACCATAAACAGCCCCCATACACTCACACACCACACACCAAAAACTCACACATTCCACACACATCACACACATGAACGCCCCAGTACACACATATTCATACCACAAATACCACACCCACACCACACACGCATCACACCCACAACCTACACTAACATACATACCACACACGCCACACATTCCACACACACACTATGAACACCCCAATACGTGCACACTCATACCACATGCATACCACACACATCACACAAACTCACACACTGTAAACACTCACTTCCTACATCCATGCACACCACATGCATCACACACACACCACAAACACTCCCGCATACATTCACACTCACGTATCACACAATACCATGCACTGACACATTCCACACACACACCATAGACACCCCAATAGACACATACTCATACCATACATACCACACATACCACCCCCACACACACCACATGCACATCACACATACTCTCACAAATACAACACTCACCACCTCCACTCACACACATACCACATACACACAAACCATACACACCACATGCATAAAACACACACCAAAAACACTCCCCATAAACTCACACTCACATACCACACATAGAACACACACACATTCCACACACACACCGTGAACACACACTCATCACACACACCACACACATCACACAAACTCTCAAACACACACCACTCACACACACACGCCACATACACAGACACCACACACACCACCGCCATGCCTCATACACTTACACTCACATACCACAAACACACCACACATAACTTCCACACACACACACCACACATCCTCATACCACACTCATCTCATGTACCACTCACATACACCACACACACATCACACACTTACACCACACATGGCACTCACCATCTACTCACATACATTTCACACACACACACCACAAACATCCCCCATACACCCACATACCACACACACATCATACACTCCACACACACACCATGGATACCCCATATATACACTGATACCACACTCACACACCAAGCCCACTACACTCCATATATACTCACATATGCCACATAAACACAAACCACCCATATCCACACTCACATCACACACACCACAGTCTCTCACACACTCTCACACACACACATAAACTCATGCTCACACACACCCACACCCACATTCACATCACACACACCACAGTCTCTCACACACTCACACACACACAAATTCAAACTCTCACAAACACACACCCACATCCACACTCACACACACACTCCTTGAAATGCTTCTCTTCACTCACTGATCCCCTCCTGACCCTAATCCACACCCACCGGGCTCCCCGGGCTTTCTTCCACCAGGACCTCCATAGCCCCTCCCTCCAGGGGCTTCTCTCCACTCTGGGCTCCCTATGGAGCCTCTGTTCCTTCTGCAGCTCTCGCTCTCCACCTCCCCATGCATTTGCCTCACTGATTGCGCTGGACCATGTTGGTGGTTTTTCCAGTGTGTCCCCCATGATAGGTCTCCTCACATACACCGAAGGCACCTTTTGACAAGCCCAGATCCTGGCACCGGCAGTTCCTTGGGCATTGTACATCCCTGCACGTAGGACCGCATCTGGCACACAGTGTGCGCTCAGCTATAATTTCAGAGCATGAATGCTCACAGGTATTAGGATCAACGTTCAGAAGGTGCTTTCCTTTTTACTGAACCTGTGGCCTACTTGATTTACCTGATAGCTTGTAATTCAGTTCATAAAATTTCTGTTAAAATATTAATACACCAGGTGAATCTCAATATCATTGCTGCAAATTATGTTTTCATTAAGATGGACAAAGATGGACAAAGATGGCCGGACGCGGTGGCTCACGACTGTAATCCCAGCACTTTGGGAGGCTGAAGCGGGCGGATCACGAGGTCCGGAGATCGAAACCATCCTGGCGAAGATGGTTGAACCCCGTCTCTACTAAAAATACAAAAAATTAGCCGGCGCTGTGGCGGGCGCCTGTAGTCTCAGCTACTCGGGAGGCTGAGGCAGGAGAATGGCGTGAACCCGGGAGGCGGAGCTTGCAGTGAGCCGAGATCGCGCCACTGCACTCCAGCCTGGGCGACAGAGCGAGACTCCGTCTCAAAACAAAAAAAAATAAATAAAAATAAAATAAATCCTTAACTGCACCGAGTCAAGGTATGTGAACAGATGGATGCCAGATCCTTGCTATTGATTATTCTCAAAAATAAAAATAAAAATAAAAATAAATCATTAACTGCACCGAATCAAGGTATGTAAACAGATGGATGCCAGATCCTTGCTATTGATTAATCAGAGAATTCACTCCTATCGGAGGGAAAGGGATAGCCAGGATTACACTAGGGAAGCGTCCACATGGAAAACAGGAGGACAGGGAAAGAAAGTTTGCTCTAACATCTTCTGAGTTCTTCAAAGTGCTTTTCGTCTGTGATTTCGTTTACTCCTCTTACTAAGAGGAGTAAATATTTAACATGAGCAGGAAGTCTGAGACCCAGGGCTAGGAGGATTATTTAGCATCACATACAGAATAGGGCTCAATAGATTCATGTGTATGTAAGAACAACAATGATATCTCATGGGGAACCAATGGAAAAGGTAAAGTAACTTGCACCTATTTATGGAAAGCTCACATTAACACTCAAATGCTAATTAGAGAAAAATGTGACCAAAATGTTAACCCAAATCTGTTGAAATGAAAAATAATATGTGTTACTACCTTTCATTCCATATTATTAGTAAATCCATGTGATTTATTTTTGGTAGGAAAGTATTTTAAATGTCATTTTATATATAAGATAATTTCCAGACTCCAAATACTTACTAAATTCCATGCTCACTAATGCATTTTCTAATAAGCATTCTTAATTCATTAGGATGGAATAATTGCTTTTTCTTAGATTTTAACTGACATAGAGGACAGAAACCACTGGAACAAAACTAATGGAATTTTTTTCTCCAGATCCAGTTTACCACATCTGTACCTCTGTCTTGGACTTGGAGAAATAATCAGAACAGGCTGTTTTCCTACCTCATGGAAACTCCTTTAAGCTGCAGGCTTGGCTATGGGTAGGCAAAAACATAAAGTGTTATGATGGACATTGGAGACTCAGAAGCAGGAACGGTGGGAGAGGGATGTGGGATTAAAAAAACTACATATTGGGTACAATTAACACTACTTGGGTGACTCGTGCACTAAAATCTTAGACTTCACCACTATACCATTCATCCATGTAGCCAAAACCCACTTGTACTCCATAAAGCTACTGAAATAATAATAATTTTAAAAAGATGCACACTTGGGAACAGGACAATGATGAAATTCCCCCTCTACCCCCATAACACCACGACATACATTTTGATCATTTCTTTAAAAAGCATTTTAAACAATAATTAAGTTCTGCTGGGTTGATCTACTAAATAAGGCATCAGTAACAAAAAAATTCACATATAGCTGGAAAGTTTGCTCTGAACCCAATCACTCCAAATTCACAAAATGTTGGCTTTTGGCAGTAAAGCATTGGAGAAGTGTGAAGGCATTTATATAGGCAAGATTTTGTGGATCTTTATCAGGCAATTAGCCTGTATGGGCCTAATTGGGTTCTTAATGGGTTCTTATTTCCAAAGAAAAGTTTAATTTCCAGGTGCATTTCTTGACCTATAACTACCTTTTTATAAATAAAATTATCTCACTATTATGGGATGAATTGTGTCCTACCCCAAAATTCATTTGTTGAAACCCTTACCTGCAGTACCCTAGACTATGACTGTATTTGGTGATAAGGTCTTTCAAGGGGTAATTAAGTTAAAATGAGGTCATGTGGTGAGCCTTAATCCAATTGGACTGGTGTCCTACTAAGAAAAGATTAGGATACAGACATGCTGAGAGGGAAGCTGGTGTGAAGACACAGGGGGAAGATGGCACCTGCCAGCCAAGGAGAGGCCTCAGGAGAAACCATCCTTGCTGACATCATGGTCTCAGACTTCTGGCCTCCAGAATCATGTGAGAATAAATTCCTGATGTTTAGGTCACTCTGTGGTACTTTGTTAAGGTGGCCCAACAGACAAACACAGCTACTTTAATAAAGAAGATTTTCCACTGTGCCTTTGTCACTGGAGTGTGAATAAACAAGAGGACCCACAAATCACTGTCGAACTACTTCTCCAGCCTAGTGCCCTGGGCCTGTGCATGAAGGAGCACCTAAGCAGCCTCAGAAAGTGTGTTTCTCAGCCAGGCGCGGTGGCTCAACGCCTGTAATCCTAGCACTTTGGGAAGCTGAGGTTGGGGGATCACCAGGTCAGGAGATCGAAACCATCCTGGCCAACATGGTGAAACCCCGTCTCTACTAAAATACAAAAAATCAGCCAGGCGTAGTGGCGTGCACCTGCAATCCCAGCCACTTGGGAGGCTGAGGTAGGAGAATCACTTGAACCTGGGAGGTGGAGTTTGCAGTGAGCCAAGATCGCGCCACTGTACTCCAGCCTGGGCGACAGAGTGAGACTCTGTCACAAAAAATAAAGAAAAAAAAAAGAAAAAAGAAAAAAAAGAAAGTGCTTTTCTCTTTCAGGTGTATCACACATGGATTCAGTTCCTCAACACTTGTTAAGCTGCCACAGGGCTTTGCCTGGGCATGTCCCTGCCTGCTCCTGTCTTCTGCCCTTCTGAGTCCCCCTGCTCTCCTTTGGTTATGCAGCTTTGAAATTACTCCGAACATTTACATAGTTTGCTACCTGAATGATACATTTGTGAAGGTTGATCATACAAATTGGGTTATTCTTTTTTTGTTTGTTTGTTTGTTTGTTTCTAGATGCTCTGAGACCAGTTACTAGCTTTCTCCTTTTTTAATTTTACTTTAAGTTCTGGGATAAATGTGCAGAACATGCAGGTTTGTTACATGTGCCATGGTGGTTTGCTGCACCTATCAACCCATCATCTAGGTTTTAAGCCCCGTATACATTAAGTATTTGTCCTAATGCTCCCCCTTCCCTTGCCCCCCACCACCTGACAGGCCCCAGTGTGTGACGTTCCCCTCCCTGTGTCCATGTGTTCTCATTGTTCAACTCCCACTTATGGGTGAGAACATGTGGTGTTTGGTTTTCTCTTCCTGTGTTAGTTTGCTGAGAATGATGGTTTCCAGCTACATCCATGTCCCTGCAAAGGACATGAACCCATTTTTTTATGGCTGCATAGTATTTCATGGTGCATATGTGCCACATTTTCTTTATCCAGTCTATCATTGGTGGGCATTTGGGTTGGTCCCAAGTCTTTGCTATCATACATAGTGCTGCAAAAATGTACATATTCATGTCATTCTTATCACATCCAACTAAAACAGAGTTGAGAAGCCAGAGGATAAAGCACTCATGGTACAAAACATTGCTCCAAAAATGTAATTCTCTGCAAGCCTGACTGCTGGAACTGCTTGTTGCCACCTGAGACCAGTTTTATCCTTAGCTTCTGAGATAACTTGCTACAACTCTGTGACTAATTTTTCCCACCACCTTTGCTCATCATTCAGAGCTTGCCAGCTCCCCAAACCCTTCCTAGTGCCAATGAACTTACTCAAAGAGGAATACATAACATTTCTCCTTGTTATAAAACCTCTAATCTTCTCTTTGTTCTTCAAAGAGAGCACTTTCGGTTCTTACCAGAGATGATCTCTCCCTGGTTTGCAAACTGATATTGCCAATAAAACTCTGTTTTCTACTCTCTAGCCATTCTGGTGGTCCTTTGGATAACATATGCCTTGCTGCAGTAAGGACTGGAAGTGTATTTCCCCCTCCCATGGAGAACAAGACCTCATACATGAGAACTTGGAGCTACTCCTCCTCTCATCGGGAATGTGACATCACAGCTTATCAGACCCCGTATGGGTTACTGAGCTCGACTACTGGACTCCCAAGTCCAATAAACCTAAGAGTTTGACAGACATTTTAAGAGCTTAGGTCATGGCAGGGTTTACTCTGTCAGCCATTCTCCGATGACCAGGAGCTTGTGCTGTGAGAGGGCTGCACTGTCCACCACTTCTCCCCAACTTCCCTCTAGTATCCAGGGACCACCCCGGCCTTCTCCAGTCTCCACTGTGATGGCCAAGCCAGTTTCCCTCAAGAACTGCTAATATAAAGGAACACCTCAAGCTTTAATTAGAAGTTACTTCCCACAGAGACTTTCATCCTAACGGAGCAACTAGACTTTAATAATTGAGGACCTCACTGATCTGTGGTCAGTGTGCCTCATCTCTCAAGTGGATTCCCTGGGAGATTTGTTCACCATGTTATCTTCTTTAAGCGTTCTGAACCTAAGAAAAAAATTCTCTTTGCATGGGGATGAACCACAGATCCATGAAATCATATTTCGATCATCTCTTTGTTTTAACCATGCAAAAACACCTTTGCGGTTCCTTCCCCTACTGGCTTGAGCCTTGGCTTTTTTCTGTTTTTCAACAAGTGGAGGCTCAGAAGTCCCCGAGCAGGAAGGTGCCCATAGCCCGCCGCATGCCCAGCCTCACTGTGCTCTGCCCCAGGGCTGCACCTCCTCTGCTTCGCCCAGCACCTGGAATGTCCCTCCTTCTGAACAACGCCAAGGCTGTGTCTGTGCAGCTGCCCCGCCCGCTGCCCCTAAGGGCTCCTATAAGGCCTGTGCATCCCTCTGCCCTGGCGCTGGGGCACCGCCTTGCGTCAAACCCCATATTGTCTTCTCTCCCTCTAGAGAGTTAGCTTTCAGGGAGGACAGAAAGATGGAAAGGTAAAAATATTGCTGTTTGCTGTAAATAGTACATTGTGAAGGAACAAAAACATGCCTTACAAAAAACACAATTGTACCAAAACAGAGACAAAAGGTGGGCTGGATTGTTTCCCAAGGATCCTTTCATTTTTAATGTTCATTGTTTCACTCTTAGATGCACTGCTAGTTATATCACAGTTCAACATGCACTTTATAAAGCTGGTTTTTTTGTCATTGAACATGTTTTGAAAAATGTACAATGATCACAGACACCCTTTTGCTGGAGGCTCTCTCTAGGGTCTTATTCCATGTTTCTTTGTAGATAATGATAGTACAGTATGTTTATTTCTCATGGGTTGTGAGGAGACTAAATGATTAAATATATGTAAGTGCCTGGGACAAAATTTGGCACCTGCATGCCCTAAATAAAAGCTTATTAACTAAATACATGGATTTGGAATTATTGGCTCCATTCTATGTAATTATTCCTGACCCAGAATGTCTTAAGAAATATAGTCCCTGGACCTACCTCTGGCAACCACTGCCGCTCATCACTCATCCCTTTTGTCTGCCTCATTTTAGTTACTAATGGGTGCACCTGGGTTTGGGGATCAGGGAAGACAGTGGACATGGACTCGTACCAATACCTGGACTCTTCACACACCAAATCCTGGGGGCCAGGCACTGTTGTAGGTGCCAGATATTTAATTCACATCACAGATGTGCCATGTAAGTACAACTATTTCCCCTATTTTATGACAAGGAAATTCAGACCCAGGCAGCTTAAATAACTTTCCTAAGTTATTCCCCTACCACTGCCACCCACCCCCAACGAACCCCAGCTCAAGCCTAGGCTGTCAGGGTTTGTGTTATTAACTGTGTGCTTGAATCCAAGAAGCCCAGGGGTCCTGCCTGTGTCAACAGCCTGGGAGCACAGCGACATGAGCTCAGAACCAGGAATCATCATCAAGTCTGTGTTCCTTTTTCCCAGGCATCTGACACATGGTCAGTTGGGCCAGAGACAGGAGAGGAACTTCTAGAGTTACTTAGCAGAACGGAGGCTGGAGACAGGTTGGCCCTGACATCACAGGGGCTGTTCTCTTTCCTACTGGTGTCTCCCTCCTGGGAAAATTGTGGGTGACAGTCATGGTGACAGTACCTGGGATCTTAGTCAAGCGTCCTATATGGAGTTCTGAGTCTCCTTTGACAGAGTGTCCCGGCATCCTTCATCTGTGATCATGGTGACAGAGTCCCACTCTTTTGTCTCACGGATACTGCTCCTGTGCAGAGGGCGTCACAAAGCTCACTCTGTTGTACATACAGCTGGATGATAGAGAATTTCATTAGTTTGTTTCTAAAGAAATACTAGAAAACAGATTGAATTAGAAAAAATTGGAAGTGGAAAGAGGATTTTTCTAGAGTTGACATTTTTACAAGAATCTAAGCATTGGTATCTAGGGGGGAGAAAGCCCAGAGTAATAACTTACTTAACTGTTGCAAATTGGAATAATGCTAATTAGATTTCATGTGTTGCTCATGATGTTTATTGCTGAAACGTCCATTACCCTGCTGATTCTGGCAGTGAAATAAACATTAGAATTTTTCAACAGCTGTAGTGTAAAATTTTAGAAATTGGACTATGAGTAGCACAATTGGGGTTTACTGTTTTGGATTACCAAAGTGTTTAGCCTTTGCCATTCAGGGTGATTGTGTGGAAGCAGAGGCTGTGTGGGTGGAAGTCACGGCAGACGCTTCCCTGTGGGGCTGGAACCTGGAGGCTGCTCTGCAGGGGGCTGTGAGCATCCCTCCTCGTGAAGCCATGGGTGGCTATTAGGTAATGCAGCAGTTGCAAATAAGAGCCAGGGTGTCCTGGTGACTGCTGCACCTTGCCCCTAGTAGGAAATGCTGCTGCCTCTGAGCAGGGCTCAGGGGCTGTGAGCAGTGATTGGCAGCGGCAGGGCTGTGCAGCCTGAGCTCCTGATTCCTCGGACCCACGTGCACACCTGGAGAATGGCGTGCGCTTCACCTCCTGAGCACCAAGGCCCCTCCTTCGTAAGGATTTACCCCATTCATGTGAGCCCCAGGAAGAGTGATGCATTTTCAGATGTTTTTAGAGAGAGGGCTCGTGGAGCACTAATCAGAGCTGTCTATGTTTGAGGATGTTGTTATGGATACATTCATTTTTCAGGATGAAAGTCCACGCTTTCCTCACACAGCAGTCCCTGATGGTTCTCCCTCTGTTCAGGGCCTTCATTACCATGTCTGGCACGACCCTGATGCAAATGAAACATTTCCAAGAACAAGGAGCTATAACAGGAACTCAAATGTTGCATTTATAATGATTCCCACTTCGGCTTTTTGACTTTAGAGTGCAAAGAAAAATGTGCAATTTCTTATTTGGGCAAAAACAAAATAAAATAAACAATGAATGCAAATTCCAAATCAGAGTCTGTTACTGTGAAGTATAGGGCTCTTAAAGGAAACAATCTAACTCTAAAAATGGAACAAACCAGAGCAGCTGCCCTGAAGAATCAAGGTGGTTTCCACCCAAGCTCCACCTGACGCTTGTGAATGGAGAAACCAACGACACCCGTGAGCACAGACCTGCTCTCAGGGAGGGATTTTACCTTCATCTGCACAAAGCACACTGCGTAGATCCATGGGGGCTCATTGGCACTAAATAGAAAAATAGATCCCTTCTGCCTCGTTCCAGTTCACACCCATGTAGCCACAGAGCTGGCAAGAAGAATAAAAGAAAGTTTTAATCTATCCCATTCTCAGTCTCACTGCATTGACATTTATTAACCAACTCCATTACTAAGTATACACTCCAACATTTGCAAAATGCTGACTACATTATGTGCTCTACAGTGCCAGAAGTTAGTTCATTAAAATCTGAATTTAAATTCTATGTCCATTTAGAAACTATTTGTATTATATTCTTCTGTAATTGGTTAATACTTATGAGTCTAAACGCAGGAATATGGATTTTTCAATGAACTTTAAATAACCTTATTGATTAAAGTCAAAGTAATGTTTGCTTAGAAATTACAGGATTAGATTTCATTATTATTTAATTTACTTATTTTTAACTCCTGGCTTGTCAGGAAGATGGCAAAAGTTGATGTGTTCCCTTTTTCCTATACTATGCTATGAAACATGGAATGTGTCATTCTTATCTTACTAAAAATGCAGTGTTGCATCACACTGCAGTATGGTCATGGCACAATTTAGCTTCATCACAGAATAAATCAGTCATAATTTAAGTGCCATTTGCTATGCCTTTCCAATAGAATCCGCCGGTGTTCACATGGCAGATATTATTATGACCAGGCATCATTACAACTGGCCATGACAGGCCAGGCGTGGTGGCTCACGCCTGCAATCCCAGCACTTTGGGAGGCCAAGGTGGGCGGATCATGAGGTCAGGAGTTCAAGACCAGCCTGGCCAATATGGTGAAACCCCATCTGTACTAAAAAATACAAAAATTAGCCGGGCATGGTGGTGAGCGCCTGTAGTCCCAGCTACTCGGGAGGCTAAGGCAGAAGAATCTCTTGGACCTGGGAGGTGGAGGCTGCAGTGAGCGGAGATCATGCCACTGCACTCCAGCCTGGGAGACAGGGCAAGACTCCATCTCAAAAAAAAAAAAAAAACGATTGACCATGACTCGGTAATTCCTGGGCTTCAAAGTCAGTCGCCTTGTCTTAGTTCACAGGCTTGTATTGCAGGACTGGCTTCTGTTATATAGCAGGGCTCACATACTCTCTCCTACAGGGATGTAGGTGGTATTCAGACTAGTTCCTTTTCCTGCTGATTATACTACAGGATGTGGGTTATCCAGAGCAGAGTGCATTGGTCGAAGTTGCAAGAGCTCTCAGAGAGCTTCCATAGGTTTGGAGACCCATACGATTCCCACAGGTGGGCCCCTTGAGCCTCAGCAACCAGGACAGAGGGCCACTGCCCCACGGCCACTTTGGCCTCCATCTGTAACAAAATAGTCAAGTAACCCTGTTGGATCTAGGGAGAAGCCCTTTCCCAACACTGGGTGCTAGCTTTACCCAACGTTACCCAACCCACTTCACCGAAGCCTCATTGTCCTCCCAGGCTGACTCCCACCCCTTGCTCCCTTTAATCTGCTTATTTTTTTCAATAAATTTTTCCCCACTGAGTGCTACTCTTCATCAAAAGCAAATTCAGGCCGGGTGCGGTGGCTCACACTTGGAATCCCAGCACTTTGGGAGGCCAAGGTGGGCGGATCATTTGAGGTCAGGAGTTTGAGACCAGCCTGACCAACATGGTGAAACCCCATCGCTACTAAATACAAAAATTATCTGGGCGTGATGGCGGGTGTCTGTAATCCCAGCTACTCGGGAGGCTGAGGCAGGAGAATAGCTTGAACCCAGGAGGCAGAGGTTGCAGACAGCCAAGATTGCGCCACTGCACTCCAGCCTGGGCAACAAGAGTGAGATTCCCCCTCAAAAAAAAAAAAAAAAAGCAAATTCAGCTCATCCCATGAAGCCGAGGCCAGCACCCGTCTCCCCTAAGGCCCTTTTCTGTCTGGTGGGCCAGTGTTCAGGCCACCATGCATGCTGTTGCCACTGTGTCCTCGTGGCTGAGCGCAGTTAGGATACATGTTTCATTACTCAAAAGTATTGGGTTTCCCCATACTTGCATTTTGTAAGTCGTGGTCACACCTCATTGTCATTTAGTCTGAATATGTCATAGAGGTTTCCATTGTCTTACTTGTGCATGGAGGGGCTGCTCCCTTGGGGAATTTGGACCCACCGGGTGATGCCTACTGCTTTAGTTCCATCACCATCCCAGTGGTTTTTCCTGGTTTGTGTAAGAGCTTTCCATTCACAGAACAGGGTGGTTTGTGTCTGTGCACAACACACTGTGGCATGTTGGACAGGCCACCATTCTATGTCGTCCAAGATAACCAGGGAGAACTTTGTAAGCCTCTGATCACCTGGGTTTATAGTTACACAGGAGTCAGTCAACCAGCAATCATACACTACACAGTCTGATGCCCCAATAGGGAGTAGTTCCCAAAAAACCCTTCCCAAAAGATACCCTTTGTTGTAGATGTACCCTGAAAAGTCAGAGTTGAAAGATGCTAGAGTTCCACTTGGTCATCGTCGTGTGACCACAGTGTCTCTGACAGTGATGTCACTAGGTTTGCAGGTTGCTATTCGACCTTGTCAGATTCCTAAAACAGGGATGGTTTGACAAACACACAAGTTTACCCTTTCAGGCATCTGGTATAACTGTGCTAAGAGACAATATAATTCCCTTGCTCTGAGCTTACCTCGAGGCACCAATATATTGTTGGGTTTCTCTCATTGCATAACCCATTTATTCATTCCTTTGCCCTCAGCTACTATTTCTCCTTCTCTCCATTTGTCATTGATTTTCACCCAACTTTCACACCTTTAGAAAGGATGAAGGGATGTTAGGTTCATCCACTGTGTAGGCCCAGATGGCCAGCAGTGTAGGCCCAGATGGCCAGCAGCAATACCACTTCAGCAGGTGCCTCCCGCAGGGCCATTTCCAGTCATGTAAGGTAGGGCTGCAAAGAGACGAACTGTGAGGCTGCCCTGACCACCAGGAGATACAGCTGCACTCACTGTCCACCTCTGATTTGCCAGATGCAGTGGAGGCACAGCTATCCCATCAGACCTTTAGGATTTCTGACACAAATGTTAAAAGATATAACAACTGTTTCTCACTTAAGAATCATTCCTGCCTCTGGCCGGGTGCGGTGGCTCATGCCTGTAATCCCAGCACTTTGGGAGGCCAAGGCCGGCGGATCACAAGATCAGGAGTTCGAGACCAGTCTGACCAACATGGTGAAACCCTGTCTCTACTAAAAATACAAAAATTAGCTAGGTGTGGTAGTGTGAGCTTTACCTACCCAGTGGCAGATGCTTCCAACACTTGCAGCTGTGGGCCTGATCTCAGGCTCTTTTCAGCAGGTAGGAGACAAGAAAGTTGAGGTGCTGTTGTGAAGAACTGCATAGTCGTAGCAGCATCCTTCCCGGCCATCTTCCCCAGATCACCCCAAGAGTGGAGGGATCTATCTAGTGGGGATCCTCCTTGACCACCACATGTTAAGTGTGAGCACACATGCATGGAGGTGTGTAAGCCTTCACGCTTTTATCTCTCCCCATGTAAGATAACAAACATTTCCATTGCCCATTTCAATTCTCTCACAAACTACTCTGAGGATAATGTGCAGCATGATATACCCATTTGATGGGATGTCTCCTTGCCCTGTGTAGGTTGTAAAGTGTGTTCCTTGGTCCGAAGGTATGTAACTTAGTGACACACATTGATACAGTGACTTCTGCTCAGTACTTTTATAGTATCTTGAGCATTTGCATCTGCCACTGGGTAGGTAAAGCTCAGTCCAGAGTAAGTGTCTATTCCTGCCAGAACCCATTTATAAACTCCCTCCAGGGCTACCAGCAGGGGTCCCGTACAGTCCACCTGCCAGCTGCATGTGCGGTGTTCTCCCTCTGGGGAATCTGCCCCTTAGCCACCTGTGGTCTCCATCTTCTTGTTGTCAAGGCATTTCTTGTTGGCATTTGTGTCTCTGAGGGTGCAGGAGGGACATGTTTCTGAGCAGCCCATCCCTGCACTGTCACCCACTCCTTTGTTGAACCTAGGTGGCCACCTCAAGTTTGTTCACCAGGATATCCACCTACCGGATCTGATCACAGATCCTGGGAGGGATTCTTCAGGTGGGCATTGATATGACCTACTTTAATGTGCCCCTTAAATTCCTGCAGTGCTGTGCTCCATGTTGGCATCCCTTCACAGCCCAGTTTGCCATTGCCCCTCTGCCTGGTCACATGGCCAGGCCATTGGCCACTGCCCATGAGTCAGTAAAAACCCAAACACGAGCTCTTATGATTGTTCCATTCTTTCATCGCAGCAAGAAACGCAGCATGCAGTTCATCTAGCTGGGCTGATTTGTTCTTGCCTTTTTCAATATGAGTTTTCCCATTATTGCTCATGATGTGGTGGCCTTCAGATCTGGATGTTGTCCATCCACCTTGAAACTGCCAACCACAAACCAAATAGCTCTTTGTTGTCCATTGAGAGCTGTTCATGGGGCACCATCCATGATGCCATAGACCTGGCAGATCCTCAGCTGGTTCCGAAACCGGCCAGAGGGGAAAAGCCCTCCTTGCATTCCTCTGTATCATGCTCCTGTAGAAACCATTTCCGTTTTATTATGGAACTCTTCTGAGCAGTGCCTTCCTTATTGAACTGTATCTCTGCCATCCCCCAAGACAACATGTGTATTTCAGGCTTTAAGATGAGAGTATGTCCTTCAGTCTTAGGGGCAGTTTCAATTAATGCCCAATCGCAAGCTACTACCTACCAGGTCTGGGGATTTCCTGGTCCAAAATCCCAGTGGTCACCACTGGGTGGCACTCATGCATAATGTTATTGCACAGAGACCACAGTACCAGGATTCCAGCCTCCAACAGGTTATTAAAGTGAAAGTCTCTTTGCCCACCAAGCATTTTACACTTTTTCAAATTAACAACCTGTCTGGGCTCAGGCCCGTGGGTTCCCATTTAGCGTGTCCAATTAATATGGGCCAAAGGGCAAACGTCCGTGCCTTCTGCTTCACAATACTAGATACAGACCTGTTCCCCAGTCGGACATAATACCCATCCTGTTAACACATTCAGGTAAAGGAGGTGCAACCACTTCACATAAAGTCCATTCAAAATTCCTATTTTCTTCCATATTTTCACCTTAATTACATCAACCCATCAACCATTGAGATCGTGAGAGTAGGGCCTTAATGATGATGTGGAGGTTCACACCTGTAATCCCAGCACTTTGGGAGACAGAGGTGGGTGGATCACTTGAGGCCAGGAGTTTGAGACCAGCCTGGCCAACATGGCAAAATCCCGTCTTTACTAAAAATACAGGCCGGGCACAGTGGCTCAAGCCTGTAATCCCAGCACTTTGGGAGGCCCAGGTGGGTGGACCAAGAGGTCAGGAGATCAAGACCATCCTGGCTAACACAGTGAAACCCCATCTCTACTAAAAATACAAAAAAATTAGTCGGGCATGGTGGCAGGCACCTGTAGTCCTAGCTACTCGGGAGGCTGAGGCAGGAGTGTGGTGTGAACCCCAGAGGTGGAGCTTGCAGTGAGGCTAGATCATGCCACTGTGCTCCAGCCTGGGCAACAGAGAGAGACTCTATCAAAAAAAAAACAGAAAACAAAAATTAGCCAGGTGTGGTGGTGCACACCTGTAATTCCAGCTACTTGGGAGGCTGAGGCACAAGAATTGCTTGAGCCAAGGAGGCATAGGTTGCGGTGAGCTGAGATCATGCCACTGCACTCCAGCGGGACACAGAGTGAGACTCTGTCTCACTAAATAAATAAATAATGATTTTTTTTTAAACGAGGGGATTAGTGTCCTTATAAGAAGAGCGACACACCTGAGAGCTAGCATGCTGGTGCCCGAGCTCTCTCTCACTCAACCCATTGTGAAGACACAGTGAGAAAGCTGCCACTACAAGCCAAGCAGAGAGCCCTCACCAGAACCCGACCTTGCTGGCACCTTGATCTTGAACTTCCATCCTCCAGAACTGCAAGGGAGTAAATTTCTTTTGTTTAAGCGCAGCATGTGGTATTTTGTTATAGCAGCCTCAACTGATGACACATGTTTACACCATCTGACCTAGGTTTGGGTTGACCCCAGAAGACCAAATTCGACTGGCTGGGACTGAGAAGGGAAGAGAGCAAAGTCCAGTATGAAACCTAAATTCTAAGATGACTTTAACTCTTAACAGTTTACTTCATTACTTAATAGGAAAAACGTAAACTCCTAAAGTTGTCTTACATCTGAATTTTGGGAGATGGAATGACATGTAGTGAAGGTGAGGGATCCTCCCGTTTCTACTTAAAACATTAAGGCCATTCAGTGGCTTTAATGAAAAGACTAGGCAAGCTTTCAACTTAGACACTGTCTTTCTCACAAGTTCTGCTAAAATTTCCTATTAATATGTTCAGTGTCTGAATTGAATTTTGTGTTAGCCCACATGGTACCTTCTCATTGTTTTCAGTATTCAGCAAGTGGCCCACTTGACAGCTTCTTTCCATCTAGAAGCTTCACTTTCTCTCTACTTTCCAAAATCTAGACAGGAAAGTTAACTCATAAAATCTAAAAATGATTTTAAAATCTTGTCACTGGTAGACAGAGAGAGCACTACCTACCATCCTAAAATGGTACAAAGACTGCTCCTTTTAGTTTTTCTTTGTAAATATCTGTGGTCTTCAAAAATAGATCATATTTCAGCTACACATATTAACACCCACACAAAAACATTACATTTTATTTTAGCTTAAAAGTGAGCATACTATATGGACTTTTAAAATAATACAGCATGAAGTCTTACTTTTCCCCACCATGATCCACTTCAAAGCCATCTGTAATGTGTCAGCCACTTCTGTGAGGTCAGCCATATGTGCATTACATGAAACATGCTTATGGAAATATTAAAAATTAGAAATCATTTAAAAGTGCATCTCAGGAAGCAGGTGCACACTCTTACAGAATGTATTTGTAATTCTTTTTTATTTTATTTTATTTTATTTTATTTTATTTTATTTTATTTTTCTTGAGACAGAGTCTTGCTCTGTCTCCAGGCTGGAGTGCAGTGGCACGATTTCGGCTCACTGCAACCTCTGCCTCCTGGGTTCAAGCAATTCTCCTGCCTCAGCCTCCCCACTAGCTGGGATTACAGGCATGCAACACCACGCTGGCTAATTTTTGTATGTTTAGTAGAGACGGGGTTTCACCATGTTGGCCAGGATGGTCTTGATCTCTTGACCTCGTGATCCACCCATCTTGGCCTCCCAAAATGCTGGGATTACAGGCGTGAGCCACCACGCCTGGCCTATAATTCTTTTATAAACATTATGTGTTGAAAATGGGACATATTAATCTGTAGAAAGATAACTGTACAACCTAAGAATACTCACAATTTATTTCCTATACTAAGATACATCAAATCCTAATTAGATACTCCCTTCTTGCTGTTTTTAAGCATTTAAACAAAAATGTTAAAGCTGCCAGATTTTTTAAACTGTAAATAACTTTTAAACTGTGCTCAGAGTTAGATCTCAATAGACTTTTTTTTTTTTTTTTTCAGATGGAGTCTCACCCTGTCGCCCAGGCTGGAGTGCAGTGGCGCGATCTCGGCTCACTGCAAGCTCTGCCTCCTGGGTTCATGCCATTCTCCTGCCTCAGTCTCCCGAGTAGCTGGGACTAGGCACCCGCCACCATGCCCGGCTAATTTTTTTTCTTTTTTTTTTTTTTTTGTATTTTTAGTAGAGACGGGGTTTCACCATGTTAGCCAGGATGGTCTCGATCTCCTGACCTCATGATACGCCCGCCTCGGCCTCCCAAAGTGCTGGGATTACAGGCGTGAGCCACCGCGCCCAGCCCTCTATAGACATTTTAAAAATAGAAACAGAAAACACTTTTTTAAAAAGATATAAAAATTAAAGTTAACATGAAAATTAAGCATTTAAAGAATGATTTTATGCTTTCAATATGGAATAACAGGGATCAGATTTGCCTTTAAGCCTGTAACAAATAAACAGAAACAGATGAAGCCTATGAAACAATTCTTTTCCGACACTGGCCCTTGGAGGGTGGTGAACAGTGTCCTGGGAGGGGAGACTTACAACTGCCCCCAGCTCATGGCCTGGAGACAGTATTCAGGGTGCGGGTCCAGGAAGAGACTCTAGGGAGAGCTGGTGGTCCGCTGGCATTGAGAACAGGGAGTTGGGAGCCTGGGGAGGCCAAGGAGAGAGAGTTCCCAGGGCAGGGTACCTAAGAGGAGAAAGCTGTGCAGATGAAGAGAAAGCTCTGAACGATTTCAGAGGGTCCCTTTTGAGTCCTCAGCTGAGTGCTAAGCAGTGTACTTAGTATGAGGGAAACCACCTGAGGCTGGGGAAAGACCCACCAGAAAGAAGCAGAGAGGCTGCGCTCAGTGGCTCACGCCAGTAATTCCAGCACTTTGGGAGGCCAAGGTGGGAGGATCACCTGAGTTCAGGAGTTCGAGACCAACCTGACCAACATCGCGAAACCCAGGCTCTGCTAAAAATACAAAAAAAGTAAGCCGGGTGTGGTGGTGGGCACATGTAATCCCAGCTACCCGGGAGGCTGAGGTGGGAAGATGGCTTGAGCCTGGGAGGTGCAGGTTGCAGTGAGCCAAGATCACAGCACTGCACTCCAGCCTGGGTGACAGAGAGAGACTCTGTCTCAAAAAAAAAAAAAAAAAAAGAAAAAGAAAAAGAAAAAAAGGAACAGAGAGAACAAACGTCAGAAATCCACAGGACAGGAATAGTTCCCGCTGCTCCCACCAGCCAGAGAAGAAAACCTCTTACTTCATCAGAGAGGGCATCAGATAGGGTACTCAGAAGTGGTGAAATTAGTCCCTGAATAAAGATTGCTCTGGTCTCACATTACATAGCTTAAGAGCATAACAGTTGGGAAGATCAAGCTGTTTACAAGTAACTTAACTGCATCCTTGAACACTGTTCAATAATATTCATAGGAATTCAAAAGGAACCAGCACCAGCAAGGCAAAATCCATGATGTTTGGCACACAAAGGAATAGGAAACTAAGACTCATAATGAGAAGAAACATCTATTAATATAAATAGACCCAGAAATGACCCAGATATTGGAATTAGCAGATAAAGACACTGAAATAATTATCATAACTGTATTCCATATGTTCAACAAAAATCAAACATGTTAGCAGGAATATAGGAAATTTTAAAAAGATCCACATCAAACTATTTGAGGTGAAAACATTATGTCTGAGCTGAAAAATACACTAGATAGGATTAACAGAAGATTAGACAATGCAGAAGAAAAGACTGGTGAATTTGAAGAAATAGTAATAGAAACTGTCTAAAATGAAACACTAAAAAGACTTAAGAAAATTAATGGAGCATCAGTGAGTCGTTAGACAAATTCAATCAGACTAATGCACATGTAGTTGGAACTCCTGCAAGAGAGAATAGAGAAAGGGAACATTATTGAAGAAACAGCCCCAAATTTTCCAAACCTGATCTAAAAAACTCTAAACCAGTGGTTCTCAACTGGGGGTTATTTTCCCCCTGAGAACATTTGGCAATGTCCAGAGTCATTTTTGGTTGTCACAACTACCCGCCTTTTGTAGGCAGAGACCAGGAATGCAACTAAATTTCCTATAGTGCACAGGACAGTCTCCCCAGGCCCCATAGGGCTGAGGTTGAGAAACCCTGCTCAACCAAGAAGCTCAATCAACCAAGAAGCTCAATCCAAGAAGCTCAATCAACTTCAAGTGCAACATAAAATAGAGGAAAACAGCACCAAACACATCATAATCAAATTGCTGCTTAAAACCAGTGATAAAGAGAAAAATCTTAAGAGCAGCCAGAGAAGGCCAGGCATGGTGGCTCATACCTGTAATCCCAGCTCTTTGGGAAGCCAAGGCAGGTGGATCACCTGAGGTCAGGAGTTCGAGACCAGCCTGGCCAACATGGCGAAACCCAGTCTCTACTAAAAATACAAAAAATTAGCCGGGTGTGGTGGCAAGTGCCTGTAATCTCAGCTACAGGCTGAGGCAGGAGAATCACTTGAACCTGGGAGATGGAGGTTGTAGTGAGCTGAGATCATACCACTGCACTCCAGCCTGGGCAACAGAACAAGACTCTGTCTCAAAAAAAAAAAAAAAAAAGGAGCAACCAGAGGAAAAAGATATAGTATTACAGAACAACAAAAATAAGAAACAGCAAATTTTTCCTCAGAAACAATGCAAGACAGAAGAGAGTGCAGCAACATCTTTGATGTACTGGGGGCTAAGGATGGGGTTATCAACCTTCAATCAACCTTCAATAAGCAACTAAAATATTATTTAAAATAAGGCAAAATGGTCTGGGCGCGGTGGCTGAGGGAGACCGCTACAGAGGGAGACCCTAAAAAGAAAAAGAAAAGGCAAAATAAAGACTTTTTCAGACATGGTGAAAGTCAAGAAATTCATCACCAGCAAACTTGTAGTATAGGAAAATTTTTTTTGTTGTTGAGACAGAGTCTCGCTCTGTCGCCCAGGCTGGAGTGCAGTGGTGCGATCTCCGCTCGCTGCAAGCTCCGCCTCCCGGGTTCACCCCATTCTCCTGCCTCAGCCTCCCGAGTAGCTGGGACTACAGGCACCTGCCACCACGCCCGGCTAATTTTTTGTATTTTTAGTAGAGACGGGGTTTCACCGTGTTACCATGTTAGCCAGGTTGGTCTTGATCTCCTGACCTCGTGATCCACCCACCTCGGCCTCCCAAAGTGCTGGGATTACAAGTGTGAGCCACTGCACCCGACCAGAAATTTTTTTAAAAAGTCCTTCAGGCAGATGAAAATGATATCATTTGAAATCTGCAAGGAGAAATAGAAAAATCCACAATAATAATCAGAGATTCCAACATCCCTCTCTCAACAATTAAAAGAATGAATAGATAGAAAAAAATCAGCAAGGACATAGAAGACTTGAATGATATTATCAATCAACTTGATCTAATTAACATTAATGAAATACCCCGCCCAACAGCAGTAGGAATGCTTTTTTTTTTTTTTTTTTTTGAGACGGAGTCTCACTCTGTCGCCCAGGTTGGAGTGCAGTGGCGCGATCTCGGCTCGCTGCAAGCTCCGCCTCCCAGGTTCCGCCATTCTGCTGCCTCAGCCTCCTGAGTAGCTGAGACTACAGGCGCCCGCCACCACGCCCGGCTAATTTTTTGTATTTTTAGTAGAGATGGGGTTTCACCGTGTTAGTCAGGATGGTCTGGATCTGACCTCGTGATCCGCCCGCCTTGGCCTTCCAAAGTGCTGGGATTACAGGCGTGAGCCACCATGCCCGGCGTTTTTTTTTTTTTTTTTGAGACGGAGTTATGCTCTTGTTGCCCAGGCTGGACTGGAGTGCAATGGCGCAATCTCGGTTTACTGCAACCTCTGCTTCCCGGGTTCAAGCGATTCTCCTGCCTCAGCCTCTCAAGTAGCTGGAACTACAAGTGTGCACCACCATGCCCGGCTAATTTTTGTACTTTTTAGTAGATACAGAGTTTCATCATGTTGGCCAGGCTGGTCTTGAACTCCTGACCTCAAATGATCTGCCAGCCTCGGCCTCCCAAAGTGCTGGGATTACAGACGTGAGCCACCGCACCAGGTCAGAATGCATTATTTTTAAGTGACCATGGAACATTTACCAAAATAGACCATATTCTGAGCCATAAAACAAGTTTTAATAAATTTAAAATAATTTAAATCATACAAAATGTATTCTCTAATCACCATGGAATTACATAAAAGTAAATTAGAAAGCCCCCTGGCATTCCATCCCAGGCTTTCTGTTATAGTTTGCGCTTGTTAAATGGTCATAGGCCGGGCACTGTGGCTCACGCCTGTAATCCCAACACTTTAAGAGGCTGAGGTAGGCGGATCACTTGAGGTTAGGAGTTCAAAACCAGCCTGACCAACATGGTGAAACCCTGTCTCTACTAAAAATAAAAAAATAAAAAAAATTAGCCAGGTGTGGTTGCATGCGCCCATAGTCCCAGCTGCTCAGGAGCTGAGGCAGGACAATTGCTTGAGCCTAGGAGGTAGAGGTCGCAGTGAGCCGGGGTCGTGCCACTGTACTCCAGCCTGGGAGTGTGAGGGACACCAGATGAGGGAGGCCTCATTCACCATGATCACTTCCTGGCCCTTCCCAAGTTTCTGTTTTCTTACACATTGTTACATTTCTTGCCTGCTATATAAACCCCTGGTTTTAGTCAGTCAGGAAGATGGATTTGAGACTGAGTGCCCATCTACTCGGCTGCAGCACCCAATTAAAGCCTTCTTCCTTGGCAATACTTGTCTCAGTGGTTGGCTTCCTGTGTGGTGAGCAACAGGACCTAGACTGAACCCTGGCGTTTCTGTAACAATAGCAATTGTCCTAAGTCATAAGTACCATTTGGTTATCAAAACATTACTGTCAGCAGAGCCCTGCCCACAATGTACCAAGATCCCTTAGGGTGGAAGACAAGGCCACATGATAGAAGAGTATGGAAAAGCTGTCCCAGTGATGACCATTAGAGACTTTCTGCACAAGACCCCTTAGACCTAGGCAGGCGTCACCAGAAGCAGAGAGGGACATAGAGCTGGAGAGGTAATATGCCCTGAGGTAGCATAGTGAAGGTGTATTTCTGGCCTTGCCAACTGAAAACAAACTGCTTCTGGTGGTCTTTGTGAGCAGCTATTGAGGGAAAAAACACACATTTGACAGATCAATAGCTGCCTACCAAGTACCAGGGGTTGTGTTAATTTGCTCAAGCAACAAAAACACGTCGGAACAACAGCTGCAATTAGAGTTAATAACCAGTTAAACTTAAGATAATCCACTGTCATTCTTCAAGCCCCATCTGTCTTCTACAGTGGCCAAAGAAGTGATTTGAATGGGGGATGATAGGGGAATCACTAACCCTGCATCTTTCAAGTCCTTAGTGGTGGCATTAATCTCTGCAATCCCTCCAGGGATACAGTACACTTTTGGCTTACTATTTTCCTAGTTAGAGATAATTCTAGTGACTTCCACCTGGCCTTTCCCACCATAGTGGCCCTCACTCCACAGGTGAGAGAATCAATATGGGAAATCTGCCAGTTGCTGTGCATGTCTATTCCAATGTTATGCATACTAGAACTGGAGAAATAACCACAGGATGAGTTCAGTGGCCCGCTGGACCCACTATGAGAAGGACCTGAGCCAAAACTCCATTGATCACCTAACCTCCATAAAACTCTGCTCAGACTAATGGGTGACAGTGACATTTTAGTTCCCCTGGAATTCATGTCACGTCAGAGCTAGTGCCCAGCAATCCCCAAAAAGTCTGATTATTTCCCTTCCCATAATGCAGTCACCCTGATGAAAAGCTGTGGGTCCCTTTAGGGAAGGCTGTAAGAAAGATAAACCATTTTAAATTTTTGACAATGTAGCACAGTCCTTCTTCAAGGTGACCTGGATTCTCCATTCAAAGGGTTCAGAGTCTGGGCATTAGTTGAGGGACCATGACTCTGCTCTGGTAATTCAAGTTAGACTTCCATTTACCTGACCTAGAACTCTTTTGCTTACGCAGATCAAATAAGAATGTAGTAGGCTTCCTGTCTGTTTCACCTCTAGCAACACAATCATCAACTAGTCAACTTCATAGGTCTGAGTGAGTCAGACTATTCTGATTGCTGCTTTGATTCTGCTGTTCATTATAGCAACCCCACCCACCTTGCCTTTGGCAATTAAGTGCCTCCCCTTGGCTTCTGCCACCTTGGGATCCAATTACCTAAGTGGATTTAGGTTTCCCAACTCAGTGGCAGCAGTTCTCACTGTAATTTTTACCTACAGATAAAAGCAACCACACAGGTTTTCAAAGATGCCGGGACTCCCTCACAAATTTATTTCTCACAATCATGGTGAAAGGTATGTTCTCTGAACCCACCAGGGGCAGAGAAGCCAGTCTTGCATAAGAAATCCACTCTACCATTCCAGTCTCCCTAAGCCTCTGGATACCTTCTACTAGAATACACCAAGGCAGTTCTGACACTTCAACTTCATTTAGTGCAGGCCACCTTTTGGTTCATGTTTCAGCCAACTAACCAACCAAACAGTTAGAGTTCTTTCCATCCATCTGAGCCACAACACTGAGTCTAGAATCTCTGCTTTGTGACAATACATATTCTCCATATTTCTATCTGTATAAACTGGAAAAATCATGCAGTTCGTTTGAAGTGTAACGCATCTCCTTGTGGGTCATACTTTGTGCCTCATCTTTCAAGGCCTGCTTAGAGTAATTCTAGTTGTCGGTATAGATGCAAAGACAGGTGGTGATGGGTGGATGAGTGGGTCCTGAGGAAAATTAGCAATGTTTTGTAAGACAATTTTCTCAGGGAGCCATTACAGTTTCCTCAAACAAAGCAGAATTAATCTCCTCAGATGTGGGTGGAACAGCTTCTACTGGCAAAGAAAACACATCTGAATTTAGAAATTTAATGTTCCCAGCTTCATCCAGATCTCCCCATGTGTCTCCATCTGTCTTAGAACATTTAGTGTTGCTATAAAGGAATACCTGAAGCTAGGTAATTTATAAAGAAAAAAGGTTTATTTGGCTCATAGTTCTGATGGTTGGAAAGTTCAAGATTTGGCATCATCTTCTGCCAATGGGTCTCAGGCTGCTCAGGCTTCTTCCACTCATAGCAGAAGGCAAAGGGAAGCCCATGAGTGCAGACACCACATGGCAAAAGAAGAGGAAAGAGAGGACAAAGGGGTTTCAGTCTCTTTTTAACAACCAGCTCTTGCAGGAACTAATAGAGAGAGAACTCACTCACCCACAAGGGAGGGCATTACTCTATTCATGAGACATTCACCCCCATGACCCAAACACCTCCCATTAGGCCCCACTTCCAACATTTTGGTCAAATTTTATCATGAGATTTGGAAGGGACAAACATCCAAACCATAGCACCATCTCAATTTTCAGGATCCCATTCCTTCCCAATCAATGTTTTCACTTTAGCATCAGACACCATGGAGGATTGGAAAATCAGTTTGCTTTGTAACTCAGCTGATTATAGGATGAGACTCTGGGTTTGACTCTTAGCAATCTCATCTCTGTGGCTACCGAAGATAAGGGTTTTTGCCAGAGCAGACATTGAAGCTTTCAGGTCATTTATACAGAGCTTGAGTTGGGAATTCAGATCCCTAGGGTCCTTTATCTGTTTCCCCACTTTTCCCATGCAATTAGGAGCAACCAGCCAATGTCATTATATTTGCTAGTGTTTTTGTCCATTTTGTGCTGCTATAATGTAATACCTGAGACTGAGTAATTTATAATAACAGAAATGTATTGGCTCATGGTTCTGAGCTGGGAAGTTCCAGATCTAGCAGTTGGCATCTGACAAGGACCTTCTTGCTGCATCATCTTCTCATGGCAGAAAGCAGAAGAGGAAGAGAGAGAATAAATGACAGCTGAACTCCCTCTTTTACAACAAATCCTCCCCTGGGATAACAGCATTAATTCATTCACTTTGCCCTCATGGCCTAATCACCTCTCATTAGACCCTACCTCCTGACAATGCCAGATTGGGGATCAAGTTTCCAATCATGAACAATAGGGGATACATCAAATTGCAGCAGTTAGTCTGACTAAAATGTTCCAAGATATAAAATACATGGTCACCCAGAAACTTACCTCCAATAAATATTTGATTAGGAGTATCAAAGGGTGATATTTTTATATATGTATTGCCAGATCATGCCATGGATTATCAGTGTTGTCTTTACTGCCAGAAATAGAGTCATCAGTGTCTTCAAATATAATCAAATTGAGAACCAATTCCAGAAACCCTAGAGCTAATTAAGAAAGCTCATCCTTAAGGCCGGGCACAGTGGCTCATGCCTGTAATCCCAGCACTTTGGGAAGCCAAGGCAGGTGGATCACTGAACGTCAGGAGTTTGAGACCAGCCTGGCCAACATGATGAAACCCCTGTCTCTGCTAAAAATACAAAAATTAGCCAGGCATGGTAGCATGCACCTATATAGTCCCGGCTACTCGGGAGCCTGAGACAGGAGAATCACTTGAACCTGGGAGGTGGAGGTTGCAGTGAGCCAAGATTGTGCCACTGCAGTCCAGCCTGGGTGACAGAGTGAGACTCTATCTAAAAAAAGAAAAAAAAAAGGAAAGAAAGAAAGCTCATCCTTAATATTCTGTTCCTCTAGATACCTCTAGATACACTCTTGGTACCAAAATCTATATCAGTCAGAATTCTCCAGAGAAAGAGAACCGGTAGGATAGATAAGATAGGTAAATAAGTAGACGGTAGACAGATAGACAGACAGATAGATAAAAAGATAGATAAAGATATTTACTTCATAGAATTGGCTTTTGCTACTGACTTAGGCTGAATTTTGTAGGGCAGCCTGGAAAATCTTGGGCAAGAGTTGATGCTGTGGTCTTATAGCAGAATTTCTTCTTCACGGAAACAAATTTTGCTTTTAAGACCTTTCAGTTGGTTAGATGACACTCACCCACAGTATGCAGGATAATCTCCTTTACTTAATGTCAACTGGTTGTAGGTATTAACCATATCTACAAAGTACCATCACAGCAACACCTAAATTAGTGTTTGATTGAATAACTGGGTACTATAACCTAGCCAAGTTGACACACAAAACTAACCATCACAGTGGTCAAGTAATGATTTGACAGATTGTTCTGTAAATGCCTGGAACCAGTAAGTCTCCAAGTCTTTGCCAGGAGGCTTTATATGTGCACTAGGGAATGCCTTTGCCACTCAGCCAGGTGGCGTAAGCTCTGCCTTAGCCTTCACTTCCTGCTTGTGCATATCCTCTCGGTCAGTCAGAGGTGAGACCTTCTCATGTCTTTCCTGAGCATGCACACTGCAGCATACAGCCCTGGGCATGCACATGGCCTCCCAGATCTTCAGGAATATGTTTGTGCTTTTCTTTTCTTTTTTTTTTTTTGACAGGGTCTCACTCTGTCACCCAGGCTGGAGTGCAATGGCGTGATCTCAGCTCACTGCAACCTCCGCCTCCTGGGTTCAAGCCATTCTCCTGCCTCAGCCTCCCGAGTAGCTGGGACTACAGGCACCCACCACCACACCCAGCTAATTTTTTGTATTTTTAGTAGAGATGGGGTTTCACCGTGTTAGCCAGGATGGTCTTGATCTCCTGACCTCATGATCCGCCCGCCTCGGCCTCCCAAAGTGCTGGGATTACAGGTGTAAGCCACCGTGCCCGGCCAGCAATTCCCTGTTTTAAAACATTTTTATGTCCAGGAGCGGTGGCTCATGCCTGTAATCCCAGCACTTTGGGAGGCCGAGGCGGTCAGATCACCTGAGGTCGGGAGTTCGAGACCAGCCTGACCAACATGGAGAAACTCTGTCTCTACTAAAAATTCAAAATTAGCTGGGCATGGTGGTGCATGCCTGTAATCCCAGCTACTCAGGAGGCTGAGGCAGGAGAATGGCTTGAACCTGGGAGGCGGAGTTTGCAGTGAGCTGAGATCGAGCCACTGTACTCCAATCTGGGCAACAAGAGTGAAACTCCGTTTCAAAAAAAAAAAAAAAAAATTAAAACATTTTCATTACCTCCAAAAGTTTGTTTAAGCCCTGTTTGCTGTAAGTCCTCACTTCCATCCTCAGCCCTAGGCAACCACTGTCTTTACAATTTTTACGGGCCTGGCATGGTGGCTCCGCCTGTAATCCCAGCACTTTGGGAGGCTGAGGAGGGTGGATCACAAGGTCAGGAGATCAAGACCATCCTGGCTAACACAGTGAAACCCCATCTCTACTTAAAATACAAAAAATTAGCCAGGCGTGGTGGCAGGTGCCTGTAGTCCCAGCTACTGGGGAGGCTGAGACAGGAGAATGGCATGAACCCAGGAGGTGGAGCTTGCAGTGAGCCGAGATTGTGCCACTGCACTCCAGCCTGGGCGACAGAGAGAGACTCTGTCTCAAAATAAATAAATAAATAAAATAAAATAAAATTTTTACTTTTCTGGGAATTTCATATAAATAGAATTATGAAAGAGATGGTCTTTTCTTCTTCCATGTCATAATGTTTTTTAGGTTTTTTACATATTGTGGAATGATCGGTATTTAATTTCTTTTCTTTTTTTTTTTTTTTGCCAAAGTACTCCTATATAGGAACATACATACCACATTTTGTTTATCCATTCTGTAGTTAATAAGCATTTGGATTTGTTCACATTTTGGCTATTTCGAATAATGCTGTTATGAACATTCTCATACCAATCTTTATATGGACATGTGTTTTCATATCTCTTGGGTAGAATCATAGAGGTAAAATTGCTGAGTCTTATGCTAAGTTTATATTTAGCCCTTTGAGAAACTGCCAAACTGATATGTAAAGAGAATGTACCTTTTTATACTCCAATCAGCAATTTATCACAAGGATTTCTCTCAAAATAAATAAAGAGAATGTACCTTTTTATACTCCAATCAGCAATTTATCACAAGGATTTCTCTCAAAATAAATAAAGAGAATGTACCTTTTTGTACTCCAATCAGCAATTTATGAAGGTTCCACTTGCTAAGCATGTTTATCAGCATTTGGAATTATCAGTCTTAATTTTAACCATTCTGATTGGTGTGTATTGGTATTGCATGGTGGCTTTAATTTGCTTTTCCTAATTACTTGTGATGTTGAGCACTTTTTCATGTGATTATGAGCCATTTGTATGTTTTCTTCGTTGAAATGTCTATTCAGGTCTCTTGCCCAATTTTAAATTGGGTTGTCCTCTTGTTATTGAGCTCTTCTTTTTATATTTTGTATAAAAGTTCTATATCAAATATAAGATCTGCAAATATTTTCTCCCAATTTATGCTTTATGCTTTGTCTTTTTGTTTTCTTCAAGGTTTTTTTTTTTTTTTTTTTTTGAGACGGAGTCTTGCTCTTTCGCCCATGCCGGAGTACAGTGGCGCTATCTCAGCTCACTGCAAGCTCCGCCTCCCGGGTTCACGCCATTCTCCTGCCTCAGCCTCCCAAGTAGCTGGGACGACTACAGGCGCCCGCCACCGCGGCCGGCTAATTTTTTGTATTTCCCCGTGTTAGCCAGGATGGTCTTCATCTCCTGACTTCGTGACCCACCCGCTTCGGCCTCCCAAAGTGCTGGGATTACAGGAGTGAGCCACCGCGCCCGGCCATGGAATGAAGTTTAATTGGCTGGGCTGGTGGGGAGCGTGGAGTTCACCCCTGTAGTCCCAGCACTTTGGAAGACCAAGGTGGGGGGATCCCTTGAGCCCAGGAGTCTGGGCAACATGGTAAAACCCTGTCTGTACAAAAAAATACTATTTGGAGTTTGACATGATGAAGTTAGCAGATCCACAAATCTCCCCACAAAGCACCTATGATCTGTAGAAAACCATCAAGGCGGCCGGGCGCAGTGGCTCACGCCTGTAATCCCAGCACTTTGGGAGGCCAAGGCGGGTGGATCACGAGGTCAGGAGATCGAGACCATCCTGGCTAACACGGTGAAACCCTGTCTCTACTAAAAATACAAAAAATTAGCCGGGCGTGGTGGCGGGTGCCTGTAGTACCAGCTACTCAGGAGGCTGAGGCAGCAGAATGGCGTGAACCCAGGAGGCGGAGCTTGCAGTGAGCCAAGATCGCGCCACTGCACTCCAGCCTGGGCAACAGAGGGAGACTCCGTCTCAAAAAAAAAAAAAGAAAAGAAAAAAAAAAGAAAACCATCAAGGCAGCTAAAAAAAAGTTTCAGTGCTCTGGAAATTTGCCAAATGTGTATATAAAACTGAGAAGTGTTCATTCATGAAAATTTCTTAGGCTGGACGCAGTGGCTCATGCCTGTAATCCCAATACGTTGGGAGGGCTAGGTGGGCAGATTGCTTGAGCTCAGGAGTTGAAGACCAGCTGGGGCAGCATGGTGAAACCCTGTCTCTACAAAAAATACATAAATTAGCCGGGTCTGGTGGTGCGTACCTGTAGTTGCAGCTACTTGGGAGACTGAGGCTGGAGAATCACTTGAGCCCAGGAGGTGGAGGTTACAGTCAGCCAATATCATGCCACTGCACTCCAGCCTGGGCAAAAGAGTGAAACTCTGTCGCAAAGCAAAGCAAGAAAAAAGGAAGGAAGGGAGGGAGGGAGGAAGGAAGGAAGAATTGCTTAACTGTGGGTGCAAATAGCGAAAGTCTGTGATGTTCCTACCTGGGGAAACTGTCATAACTTCCCAACACTGTTTAATTTGATGAATGTGGGGGCAGATAAAGAAACTATTACCTTTGATTACACTACCAGAGGGATGTCGGTTGATTTTTTTTTAATTTTATTTTTTTTAGAGATGGAGTCTTGCTCTGTCGCCCAGGCTGGAGTGCAGTGGCGTGATCTTGGCTCACTGGCTCACTGCAAGCTCTGCCTCCTGGGTTCACCAGCCATGCTCCTGCCTCAGCCTCCCAAGTAGCTGGGACTACAGGCGCTCGCCACCACGCCCAGGTTTCATCATGTTAGCCAGGATGGTCTCGATCTCCTGACCTCGTGATCCACCCGCCTTGGCCTCCCAAAGTGCTGGGATTACAGGCGTGAGCCACCGCACCCGGCCAACTTGATTTAAATACTGTCAGCTAAGTTGGATCTCACTGACAAGTGATCAGGGATGTCCAGCAGCTCTGCTAACCTGAAGTGTGACCTTTTCTGTTTTGTTTGTTTGTTTGCTTGAGACGCAGTCTCACTTTGCTGCCCAGGCTGGAGTGCAGTGGTGCCATCTCTACTCACTGCAACCTCCACCTCCCAGGTTCAAGCAATTCTGTCTCAGCCTCTCCAGTAGCTGGGATTACAGGCATGCACCATCACACCCAGTTAATTTTTGTATTTTTAGTAGAGACAGGGTTTTGCCATATTGGCCAGGCTGGTCTCGATCTCTTGACTTTAAGTAACCTGCCCACCTCAGCATCCCAAAGTGCTGGGATTACAGGCATGAGCCGCTGTACCTGGCCTAAACTCAGATCTTTTTGGAACAAGAAATGGAACAAAATGATAGATAAGCTTTTGCTAAGGAGGCCCAGGTGGTGAGACAGCAATAGGGGGCTTGATAAACTCTCACATATGCCACATTGAGCAGAGGATGAGCACATCTGTAACAAAGATTGGATTGAGCTGAAGCCACTCATGCATCTCTGGCCAACTGAATATGACTATTTATGCAGAGAAGATGCAAGAGATCCTAGTGGAATCTAACAGCTAGAGTAGACTTGAATGTGGCCTGTGGTTAGAAGGTGCTCCGCTGCCAAATTGCAGATCCATCAGCACAGTGTGGGAGCCTAATTGGCTGTAAGCATAGTCTGACTAATGCTTACATTAGCTGAATGCTAATGTATGAAGTCACAGTGGCAAAACCTAGGAAGCAGGGCTTAAACATAAAATAAGAAGAAAGCAGCCACATATTGCTGAGGAGACAGAGTTCACAAACAAACAAAACAAAAACAATAGTGCACAAGAGGGGGAATTGGAATCCAGAGTTGCTTCAATACATTATCTCAAATGTCAAGTATTCAATAAAACATTATAAGACACACAAAGACCTATCCTCAGGAAAAAGAGAATTCAATAGAAATTGTGTCTGATTGTCCTCAGATATTGGATTTAGCAGACAGAGGCTTCAAAGCAAAGCAGCTATTACAAATAAGTTCAAAAAGTTAAAGAAATCCCTATTTAAATAAGCAAAAGAATGGATTATGGCAATGAATCAACAAACAGAAAACCCCAGTAAAGACAGAGGTTGTGAAAAGTACCCTTCATCCAGTTTCCCACACATTTTCTTCAAAGAAGAAACACAAACGGCAAATAAGCACCTGAAAAGATACTCAATATCAGTTGATCATTAGGGAAATGTAATGATTCCAAACCATACAAATCAAAACCATAATGAGATACCACTTCTCACCCACTGGGACGGTTTTTTTGTTTGTTTGTTTGTTTGTTTTTTTGAGACGGAGTCTCGCTCTATCGCCCAGGCTGGAGTGCAGTGGCACTATCTCCGCTTACTGCAAGCTCCACCTCCCAGGTTCACGTCATTCTCCTGCCTCAGCCTCCCAAGTAGCTGGGACTACAGGCATGCACCACCACACCTGGCTAATTTTTTGTATTTTTAGTAGAGACAGGGTTTCACCATGGTAGCCAGGATGGTCTCGATCTCCTGACCTCGTGATCCACCCGCCTCGGCCTCCCAAAGTGCTGGGATTACAAGCATAAGCCACCGTGCCTGGCTTGGGACAGTTATTTTAAAAATGGAAGTAACAAGTACTGATGAGAATTTGGAGAAATTGGAACCCTTGTGCCTTGCTGGTGGCAATGTAAAATGGTGCGGCTGCTATAAAAAACATGGCGATTCTGCAAAAAGCCAAACAAAATTACTACATGACCCAGCAATTCCACTTCTAGGTACATCCTCAAAAGAATTGAAAGCAGAGCCTCAAGCAGATACTTGTATAGCCATTTTCACAATAGCATTCAAAATAGTCAAAGGGGGCCAGTTGCGGTGGCTCACACCTGTAATCCCAGCACTTTGGGAGGCCGAGGCGGGGGGATCATGAGGTCAGGAGATTGAGACCATCCTGGCTGACATTGTGAAATCCTGTCTCCACTAAAAATACAAAAAATTAGCTGGGTGTGGTGGCAGGTGCCTGTAGTCCCAGTTACTCAGGAGGCTGAGGCAGGAGAATGGTGTGAACCCGGGAGGCAGAGCTTGCAGTGAGCCGAGATTGGGCCACTGCACTCCAGCCTGGGTGACAGAGTGACTCTGTCTCAAAAAAAAAAAAAAAAAAATAGTCGAAGGGGTAGAAACAACCAGCCTATACTAACAGACAAATGGATTAAGAAAATGTGCTACATTCATACAAATGGAACAATATTCAGCCACAAATGGAATGAATTTCTGATACAACATGGCTGAGCCTTGAAAACACTATGCTAAGATGTAACAATCGCTTCTCCTGAACCTGTCTGCGCTGAGCCAACTGCAGCCCCACACAGCATGGAGCTGCAGGGCTGTGAGACACCAGCAGCTCTTTCTCACCTCTCCATGCAAGTGTGCATGTGTGTGTGTGTGCAGACACACACACTCACACACACACTCCGTCTTGCTCCTCTTCCCTGAATTTACCCCCGGGCCACACTCATCCATGATTCCACATCTTTGTGTCTCTGGGGCCTTCTCTCTGGAGCATATTTTCCACGACTGGCAAAAACCTGCTCTCTCGAGATGCAACCCACTGTCACCCATTCTGTGCCATCTTCTGAGTCCTGCAGATGGAGTGTTGCCTCTCCCAGCCTCCCGAGTGCAGCAGAGTCAGCCACTGAAGTCTGTTCTATCTGCAACATGAACCTCCGAGGGCTGGGCTGTGTCCTGCTGCACCCAGGGAAGGCTGGTGGGCAGGGAGCTGGGATCTGGAGTCACATGGACCAGGGTTCAGATCCTGGGCTTCTCCAGTTATACCCTATGATATCTTGGACAAGTCATCCACCTTATTGTGCTCCAGTTTCCTGGTCTATAAAATGAAAACAGTGGTACCTGCTTTGTAACCTGTTTGTGAGGCTTAAGAAAGATAGTGAATATTTGCAATGTGCTAGACATAGGGCTTGGAGCAGGGTAAATGCTCAGCACATATTTTGGGGTCTTCACCACTATCATTGTTCCTGGACTGAACCGAGGGTGGGGCTGCTTGTTCTCCTGGTCCAGTAATGAGATGCAGATGACCTGGGAAAGAAGAGTTTATTTCTGTAAACAGTTACAGGGAGAAGGGCAGGGGCAATTCACCAGACCAACTCAAAGTTACAAAGCTTTTCCAGTGCTTACACACCTTCTAAGCTATATGTCTACTTGCTAGTGTGCACTCATCTAAAGACCCAAGTGATGGATTCCATGTAATCTATAACTAAGGTGTGGGTCAACCGGGCACAGTGGCTTAGGCCTATAATCCCAGCACTTTGGGAGGCTGAGGTGGGTGGATCACCTGAGGTCAGGAGTTCGAGATCAGCCTGACCAATATGGTGAAACCCCGTCTCTACTAAAAATACAAAAATTAGCTAGACGTGGTGGCGTGTGCCTGTAGTCCCAGCTACTCTGGAGGCTGAGATAGTCATTACCCTTATCTTGTCTCCAGCTAAGGTATGGAGGTCTGGGGAATTTCTTTAGACCCCTAATAAAACTTGCTTAATCCTAAACAGGTCCTGGTATGAGGAATGTAAGAATTCCTTCATTGTCTTGACATGTTTCAAGGCCCAGGAGAGGCCCGGGCAAGACTCTTGGAGGGCGTCTGTTACATTCTAGCCATTGTGTATGCGCACTGGCTCTTTCAGCCTTTACTATCTAACCATTCAGTCAGTGCTGAAGCAGTTGTTATGGAGGCCTACCTGTTCAACTGTTAGTGAGACCTGGCCTGCCACATCATCATTACTGTCTAAATTCCTAGCACAGAGGAGTTTATCAAATGCGTGATATCTGGGCCAAAGATCTTTTTTTTTTTCTTTGAGACAGAGTCTTCCTCTGTCGCCCAGGCTGGAGTGCTGGCGAGATCTCAGCTCACTGCAATCTCTGCCTTCCAGGTTCAAGTGATTCTCCTGCCTCAGCCTAGCTGGGAATAGTCCCAGAGTAGCTGGGACTACAGGTGCCCGCCACCACGCCCAGCTCATTTTTGTATTTTAGTAGAGACAGGGCTTCACCATGTTGGCCAGGCTGGCCTTGAACCCCTGACCTCAGGTGATTCACCTGCCTTGGTGTCTCAAAATGCTGGGATTACAGGCGTGAGCCACCATGCCCAACCTGGGCCAAAGATCCTTTGACGTCATACAGCATGAAAGTGTGGGGGCTGCCATGTGACTCACCATGCGGGTGGCCCAAGCCACATACACCTGGCAGGCCATCACCTGTTGGGGAGATGGCTTTACTCCTCAGCCAGTGAGGGGCAGAGAGGAGACAGGGGAAGGTGCTTACGTGGGTAGGCAGAGCTCTCCAGGGAACAGTGAGGAAGGAGGGGAGGCTGAGCTGCCAGAGTGACTACACACCAGGTTAGGTTTGAGCCTGGGCATGTCTGTGTGTGAGGACACTGCCAGCCTTTGCCTGGGCCCCTGGGGAGTCTTTGTTTATGTGCAAAGGCAGAGCAGCTTGGTTGGGAGAACATCACTTCCTGTTTTGTTGCCAGGCCCCAGCTAAGCGGTCCAGTTCTCCTAGAGGGAGCCACCCAGCTGTTCCCTGACACCCCTCAAGCCCCTCTCCCTCCCACCTCTGCTGAGGCCGCCTCCCTTATCTTATGTATCCTGCCTTCCTGGTGGAGGGCGCTTGTGTCCAGGAAGTGGTGCATGGTGAGCCCAGCCTGGTCTGTATCCGCTGAGCCCTGACCCCTAAGGGACCTTGGTTGGTGTCCCTGATATGGGTCCCAAGACTCACTAGGCCTCATCAAAGCTCCTGCCCTCCTAGAGCTAACATTCTAGGGGGACATAAGTGCACAAAGGTGAATATGCACAACATACAGTATGCAACAGAGGGAGGGAAATAGAACCAGGGAAGGGAGTCTGCAGCCTACAGCCGTGAGGGTGTAACCAAAAATAAAATTTGAAGGCACGCCCAACCATCTGAATGAACCTCCTCCTCAGCCAGGGCATTCTAAAATTTAACTTGAAAGACTAACCTGTTCAGGCCATGACATGAAGTGGGGGTTGGACATGCCCAGGGTTTATTTTACATCAACACAAACTTTAAGTCTGATAAGAAACATTTACAGTCTAGTATATCTAAAGCCTGCTATTTAAAGGTTTCATATGCATGATAAAACCTCAGCCTTTACAACCCCTGATGATAAACCAGACATTCCTTTCTACTGATAATAAATAACTTTTTCAACCAATTGCAGTCAGAATATGTTTAAATCTACCTAAGACCTGGAAGACCCCCCACCCCTTGTACACTTCAAGTTGTCCCGCCCTTCTAGATGGAACCAATGTAAATCTTACATGTATTGATTGATGTATCACTGTTACTGGAAAGGGGTTCTGATCCAGACCCCAAAAGAGGGTTCCTGGACTTCGTGCAAAAAAGAATTCTGGGTGACTCCATAGAGTAAAGTGAAAGCAAGTTTATTAGGAAAGTAAAGGAATAAAGAGTGGCTACTCCATAGGCAGAGCAGCATCATGGGCTGCTTGACTAAGGATACTTATAGTCATTTCTTGATGATATGCTAAAGAAGGGTGGATTATTCATGAGTTTTCTGGGGAAGTGGTAGGCACTTTGCAGAACTGAGGGTTCATCCCCTTGTTAGACCATATAGGGTAACTTCCTGACATTGGCATGGCATTTGTAAACTGTCACGGCGCTGGTGTGAGTGTCTTAGCATGCTAATGCATTATAACTAGCACATTATGAGCAGTGAGAATGACTAGAGGTCACTTTTATTGCCATCTTGGTTTTGGTGGGTTTTGTCTGCCTTCTTTTTTTTTTTTGAGGCAGAGTCTCGTTCTGTCACCCAGGCTGGAGTGTGGTGGCGTGATCTTGGCTCACTGCAAACTCTGCCTCTCGGGTTCAAGCAATTCTCCTGCCTCAGCCTCCCGAGTAGCTGGGATTACAGGCACCCGCCACCACTCCCGGCTAATTTTTGTATTTTTTTAGTAGAGACGGGGTTTCACCATGGTGGCCAGGTTGGTCTCGCATTCCTGACCTCAGGTCATCTGCCCGCCTCAGCCTCCCAAAGTGCTCGGATTAAAGGCGTGAGCCACCGTGCCCAGCCTTGTCTGGCTTCTTTACTGCAACCTGTTTTATCAGCACGGTCTTTGTGACCTTTATCTTGTGCCAACCTCCTATCTCATCCTGTGAGTTAGAATGCCTAACTTCCTGGGAATGCTGCCCAGTAGGTCTCAGCCTTATTTTACTCAGCCCCTATTTGAGATGGAGTTGCTCTGGTTCAAATGTCTCTGACATTATGTCTCCCAAAAATGTATAAAAGCAAGCTGTACCTTGACCACCTTGGGCACATGTCATTAGGATCTCCTAAGGCTGTGTCATGGATGCATCCTTAACCTTGGCAAAATAAACTTTCTGAGTTGATTAAGATTTGTCTCAGATACTTTTTGGTTTACAAGAGCTACACAAGAGGAGAGGGGAAGGAAGAGGTTGAGGAAGGGCCACACTTGAGCGTGCAGGGCCTTGGAGGTAGCTGTGATGATGGGGCTTTGACTTTGGTTGGGTTTTGAGCAGAGTGGGAATGGGACCTGACTTGGGTCTAAGGAAACTCTTGGCTGCCCTGCTGTGAGAGAAGCCTAGGGGAAGGAGGAGGCAAGGAGGCAGTGAGAGGGTGACGGTAATGGTCCAGGTGATAGGGACTGGGGCAGAGAAATTCCAGGTAGAAAAGGGCGGGTCCCTGGTGAAGCCTCACCGTCAAGCTGAAAGGCCTGAAACCGCAGCCCAAAATAAGAACTTATATCCCTGTTTCCCACTCAAATGTCGCTGTTTCCTAAACTACCCATGGCCCCGCCCTGCCCCATCCTTTGCCTATAAGGACCCCAGGCTCAGCCAGCAGACAGGAGAAGCAGCTGGATGTCGGGGACTATGGCTGGATGTTGGAGAGAAGCGGCTTGACTTCAGAGTGACAGCTTGATGGTGTAACTTTGGAGAAGAGTCTGGCCAGAGACAGAGAGACTTGAGGAGAAGAAGGTGGCATCATTTCTACCCCTCAGGGTATTGTGAAGATTGAATGAGAAGATGTATGTCACGTACCTGGCAATGTTGGGAACACATGCAGAGCTCAGTAAGAGGTGGCTCATTATCTGCTGCCAGGATCACCCTGCTTCTCTTATCTTTGCAAGCCCCCTATTCCTGCAGCCTTGGGCTGGCCAGTTCCTGTGCATCCTCTGGGTCTCCCTCAGGTGTCTTCTCAGGGAAGCCTTTCCCGATCCACCCCACCCCATCACACATTGCCACTCGCACCCAGAGCTGTCCCTCCTGCCAGAAGGAAGACCACAAGGGTAGTGACAGACCCTCTGCCCCCAGCACCTAGGAGAGTCCCTACCTGTAACAGAATGTTCCTGAAACCTTCCCTGGCCTCCCTTCCACCACCACCTGTTTCCAAGTTCAAAGCGCCATGGTCAGTCCCTGCGTGGGACTCCCATGGTCTTTCTCCCTCCCTCCTCAGACCTGCCCCACAGCAAGGTATGGCGGGGGGTGGGGAGGTTCGAGTCAGATCAGCCTGGATCAGGTGCAGGTGTTGCCCTGAGGCTGTGTGACCTTGGGCAAGTCACTGTGGGGCATCAGTCCCTCCCTTGCTAAGTACACACTCAAACAAGTCTTGTTCCTTCTTTACACTGGGAGCTCTCCCACTTACAGTTAACAATTTGCCCAGCCCAAGACAGTCCCAGGTAAGCCAGGAAGGTTGGTCTTCCTATTCCTACTACAACTGAACTCCTTAAAATTAGTTAATTTCACAAGCCAATCTATGACACATTCTCCTCAGACAAACAAAACACTAAAAAGAATCAGGGCTCCTTGGGGAAATGACTGATTTCAGGTCTGGGACATGGAGAGCACAAGATGATCTTGGAACAATTTGCATCAGACATCAAGGAAGTAATAACAATAATAACAAATTACGATGTTTTGAAGACATGGAGCCAGCTTGGAGGAGCTCCCACGGGCCAAATCTGCTACCATTTGAGCATCAAAGCAAGTAAGGAAAGTAATGGATTGTAACCCACGGAGTAAAATAAGAATCCATGGATCCATACTGCTAATGAATGAGAGAGAAGGGAATAGATGAGAAGGTATAGGTGCCTCACAGTACAAAGGCAACTCATAAATGGAGAAGGACTAATGGAAATAGAAAAGCAGCCAGTATGGCTGGTCGCGGTCGCTCACGCCTGTAATCTTAACACTTTGGGAGGCCGAGGCAGGCAGATCACGAGGTCAAGAGATCGAGACCATCCTGGCCAACATGGTGAAACCCACTCTCTACTAAAAAAAAAAAAAAAAAAAAAAAAATTAGCTGGGCATGGTGGCATGCGCCTGTAGTCCCAGCTACTCGGGAGGCTGAGGCAGAATCACTTGAACCCGGGAAGCAGAGGTTGCAGTGAGCCGAAATTGCATCTCTGCCCTCCAGCCTGGGGACAGAGCGAGACTCTGTCTCAAAAAAAAAAAAAAAAAAAAAAAAAAAAAAGCAGACAGTATGGTAATAATTATTTCAGGCAAGAAGTAGTCATGAATGCCAAAACCAGTGGGTCAAGGTTTGAGGAGTCATAGGCTATATCTATGGTTGCAAAGTCTTCACTCATGACACTAATTACCAAAGAAAAACCCAGCATCAATCAGAGAAATGCAAATCGACATCACATACCTCCCGGCTGGTGCTCTGAAAACTCAGCAACACCTCAGTGACAGTCCTGCCAGAAACGCATCACCTCATCACCCCATGAGCATATACCAGTGTGCACTGCACTCCTCAGAAAGGTCAATCAAAGGAGACTCAGGAAACCTGACGACTGAATGCAACTGGATCCTGGACCACAAAAACAATACTGAAACTCTCCAGTATGGTGTTGGGCCCTCGTGCAATTAGAGTGTGGACTGTGCATTAGATAGTGTCAGTACCCTGTGTGCTGTGATTTCTGCTGTCATGGCTTCTTTCTAATTTGGTCTTGAGGGAGAGTGACCATAAGCCAAGATAGCCACTCTCTAGGAGAACCGAATGGGTGTGGGGTTCAGGTGAGATACAATGAGAAAGTAAAATTAAAAGGTACAAAACAGAAGGAATTTATTATTCTTAGGTTCCGGAGAGGTTAGGGATGCCTAAGAGAGGCGGACAAGCAGATGGAGAGGGGCAGTGAGAGACGGTGGGAAGGAAGGGACTATGGCTGTGCTAGGGTCCATGGAAATCATCCTTTAGGATTTCCCTTGGGGCCTGTGGACTGGCTAAAGAAAATACGAGGGAAGGGTGAACTCATCTGCACTGATACTGGCCATTAGGTGCTATGGCGGTCAGCGGCTGTGGGGTGTGTTGCGCTTTAGGTCAATGAGATAAAGAATAAACGAGTTATCTCACACACCACCATATACGGAGAAGTGTTACCTACGCCAAGGCGAAGGGTACGACTGGCTTTCAAACAACTTAAGTCAGGCCTAAAAATAGATGCGGAGACAACAATTATATTTACCACGTTTATGACCCTGTATTAATGGAAATGTCTTTATTCCCAAGAAATAGACCTTGAAGGACTGAGGGGCGGTGCTGAGGTTCCCGCTGGCCCCTGGGCGCCCCCTGCTGGCCCGTCCTCCTCCCGCCCCCAGACGTCTGCACAGAGCATGCGTCACACCGTCCACGGGTTTCCAGCAGCAGCCGTTCACCCGCGCTCTCGGATGCGCTTCTAGCTCGTGGCCTCCCGGGCTCTGTCCGCGTTGTTCGTCCCACGGTCGGGAGCCCAGTCCTGCCGCCCCGCACCCGCCTCCCCCTGGGGGTTCTCCCGGCAGCCGTCTTGCCACCCCGCGTGGCCGCCGGCTGCCAGAGGCACAGGGGAGCGCGAGGCCCGGCGACCGAGCAGTGTCCCCGGCTCTGAGTGTGGGGAAGGCCGCGGGGCCGCGCCCACTCGACCGCCGTCCAGGGGACTGCAAGGCGCCGGTACATCCGGCTCGACGCTGGCGGCGCAGGCCAATCACGGACGGGGACGGGTGGGCGCGGGGCTGGACGGGTTTTGTAGTCGGTGCGCTAGCGGGACTACTGTCCCCACAGCCCCCTGGGCCACATTGGCGTCAGTGGCTGCGCCCGAGGGCCCGCCCCTCACAGAGCATGGGCCAATCATAGCCGGGGGCCGGGCGGGCGCCGGGCATGATGGACCTTGTGGTCGGAGCGCAGGCAGGACTCCAGCCCCCAGCGGGCCCCGCGCGCCGGAGGGGAGGAGCCGTGCGGCGGCGCGGGCGGGCGGGCGGCCGTCGGGGCAGGGCGGCGGCGGCGGCGGCAGCGGCGGCGGCTGAGGAGGGCCCGGCCTGCGAGAGCCTCAGTGGGAGCCGGCTCAGCCCTCGGCCACCATGTCGGCGCCGTCGGAGGAGGAGGAGTACGCGCGGCTGGTGATGGAGGCGCAGCCGGAGTGGCTGCGCGCCGAGGTGAAGCGGCTGTCCCACGAGCTGGCCGAGACCACGCGTGAGAAGATCCAGGCGGCCGAGTACGGGCTGGCGGTGCTCGAGGAGAAGCACCAGCTCAAGCTGCAGTTCGAGGAGCTCGAGGTGGACTATGAGGCTATCCGCAGCGAGATGGAGCAGCTCAAGGAGGTGAGCCGAGCCGCCCTGCCCTGCGACCCCCGCCCGGCGCCGGGGCCTGTGGGCGTCGTCCCTGGCACCAGGGCGGCCAAGGTCAGCTTGCCAAGCGGGGGCCGGCAGGGGTGGGCCGCCGGGGCGGAGGGGGCACGGGCAGTATGTGGGAGTGGGCCCGGCCTTGGCTAGCAGGCCGGTGCCGCGGCCGTTGCAGACGCCGCTAATGCAGGGGTCCGGGCGCCTTGTCGCCTCCTGCAGCTGCCCGCCTGCTTCTGTGCGGACCTGGGCGGCCCCGGCGGGGCGGGGCTTCGTAAGGGCTGATGCTTTGCGGTGGTCGCTGTTCCGGGTGTGTCTGAGTGTGGGGTGGGGTTGGGAGGGCAGTGGCTGAGCCGGGAGCTGAGGCCACGGATGCTGGTGACCCGCTGGGAGAGGCCGAGGGTGGGCCTGGGTCTGGGTGGCTGCGGCTCTGTCACCTTCAGAGAAAGCACTTCCCCTCTCTGGGCGCAGCTACTTTCGGAGCGTTTCTGCTTCTTTCATGAGTGCCTCCGAGGTGGGGAAAGGTCGTGGACAGCGGCCTAAGTGAGTAGGGGCTCGGGGTTGCACGTGGAGGTTGCCCCTGGCATGGGTCCCCCAGTACCCTTGCCCCAGGCCCAGCGCTGTGTCCTCATGGCCGGGATTGCGCTCCCACCAGCTAGCATGACTTCCCTGGCCCACTTCCTGTCCAGCCCCGCTTCTCGGGCCCTTCCCCTCGCTGTGGCTTGCTGTGTTCCTCTTGGACGGAGACCTCAGTGGTCTGTGTCATTCCCACTGGGGGGAGAGTAGGTTAGACCACCAGGCTGGTCGAGGGTCTCCAGGCGGCAGGGCAGCGGGAGTCTTGGACAGTCCTTCCCCAGCTTCTCTTCTCCCGTTCCCTGACTCCATAGCGTTGTTTGCAGGAATTGCTTTCTGGGAGGATACACCAGGGTTTGGATCCAGGCTGTGCCCCTTGCTAGTGATGTGGCTTTGGGTAGAGGCCCTCCGTGAGTCTTAGTTTCCCCCTCTGCAAAATGGGAGTGCAGTACTGCGTGCCCAGAAAGGATTGTTGTGAGGGTCATGTATTTGGAAAGGACTGGTGTGCGGTCAGGAGTATAGCTTGGTGGTGTGCTCCCTTCCCCCACTTGAGTGTGTCCTGGTGAGCCCTTGGCTCTTGGTTTCCAGGCTTATCACCTGGCACCTCTGCTCCCAGTCAGCCCAGACAGGTGCCTAAATCATTTGCAGCCTTCCTTGCCTCCCCCGTGTCTGAGGAGACCCGTCTGTGGAGAGCAGAGAATGAATCCAAGCAGATGCTTGGATGTCTGGGCAGAGCAGGTGCTCAGTTAGTACCAGTCAATGGCTGACCCTGGGCCAGCAGGAGCTGGGTCCTCCCCCATCGCCCTCAGGACTCGATTCTGTTGTCTGTCAGCAGGTATTGGCACCTTCTGCAATGCATGCTCCAGTGGCGCTGGAGCTACAAGAGGGGTGAGATGCAGCTGCTCTTGCAAGAGTCCCCATCTTAGGGTGGGGCGTGTGATAGGGAGGCAGGGGGCTCTGAGAATATGGAGTGGGAGTGGACTCGGCCAGTTTCTGGTCTCCTGTAGCGGGGCTCACCCTCTCCAGCAGGCAGCACTATCTGTTAGGGCGCTTTTCCCTCTGCACACAGTGAAGCAGCCCTCTTCCTCCTACCAAGTGCATCGTGAGCCGCTCCTGGGCAGCCTCTACAGTCCCTGTCTCTGTCCACAGCTTGGGTTTGGCAGTGTCCTCTGTGAGAAGGAATTGTCGCTGACTTAACTTGTCCCCGCTTTGGTGCCCTTCATTTGTCAGGTCTTTGCTATTCTGACACAAACGTTTTGGCACAGTGAAGAATCTTGGCATTTTCGTGGCATGTATCTGGAGGGTGAGTCCCTAGCAGAATCAGGAAGAGGGTATACCTGTTTCTGTGGGTACTCTTTAGGCGTCTGCTTGCTTGTTTTTTGTCACCACCTGGCTTCCATGTACTGGCCACATGGCCTTGGACAAATTACTGCTCTGTTCTGAATCTAGTTCTCCTTTGTAAGGTGGGATAAGAATGTTTCTGCTCGGTCTCTAGCAGAGTCTAGAGGAATGTGCATCAGCGTTTCAGTTTCAGTAGATGTTGCCAGAAAGTTTGTACCAGTTCACCCCCCATCAACAGCATGCGTGTTCCTCACACCCATGCCAACACAGGCTCTTGCTAACCTATTTAATTATGGCCAGTATTATAGTTGAAAATATTAACTCTTCATTTAAAAAAAACCACAAGATTTAAGGAGTCAATAATTGTGGGGTTTTTTTTCTCCTGTAGAGCGGTGTACCGCCTTAATTCTTTAGAAAACTTTATTTCTTGAACTAAAGTGCATTTAGTTACTAATAAATTGTGCTCCAAATGGAGTTGCTTGTACTTCTGCCCTGCATTTGTAGATAATAGGATCGTTGAGGGAAGGACGCTGGCCTGCTGGTCCCAGTGTGTGGGTTTCTGATCAGAGCTGAGGAGGGTCTTGTGGTGATGAATGGGAGACAGTGCCAGTCCTGTTGCCTTTCTCATGGGATGGGGGAAGTGTCTGTGTCCTGCTGACAACATAGCACGGTGCTGGCTGAGACCACAAGTGAGGTGGGTGCCCCCTGGTTGATTTTGCCTAATCATTCTGCTAGTGATTTCTTGAGCCTGACTCAGTTAAGACCATATCTGTCCCCGTTCCCACTGTGCCCTTTCCCTTCCTCTCCCTGGAATGGTGGGGAAGAGAATTAGATGGGCTTTGGTCAGCAACCTGGTGTTCCTGGTCCTGCGTGGCCGTGAGACACTTTGTTCTGTGTTCTTAGCTGTAGCTTTAAGAGGACAGGTGTGCTGAGGTGGCAGCTCCTGCCTTCAGGGCACAGGCAGGGACTGTAGCTAGGTGGGCTAAGGCTAGGTGCCCATGTGGTCCTCATGGTCAGGGGAGGGTAATGGGGGAGGTCTGAGAACAGTCTTGACTCCACCTGAGCTCAGGCTCAGAGAGGAGGTCTGGACACCCTCACTGCCTTGGTGTGCCACCTTGGTGTCATAGTGTCAAGCTCTGGAGCACCATTGTCCTTGTCTGAGAGGTGCACGTGGGTGGAATTGGGTGTTGGACTGGGCACAGCACCCAACACGCAGCAAGTGCTTCGTAGGTCTTCTGCGGACTGAATCTCATGCCTCACTCAGGTCTCTGTCTCCTTGCTGCTGCACCTGCAGCTTCTCCCCGTTCTTATCCTTGTCCCTGCTCAGTCTCAAGTGGCTTCCATTGCCACCTCCCAAGGGCTGCCCTAAGCATTGTCTCAGGCCCCTACAGCCTGGCTTGGGACTGCCCTACCTCTCCTGTGCCCACATTCACCCTTTGTCTTAGAAGTCCCACCTGCCCTTCAAGCTTGGGTGTCTCTAAAATTCCCCTGCCTGCTGCCTTCTGGACTTGCTGAGCCCTGTTCCCAGCACCTGGGCAGCTGCAGGAAGTGGGGGCAATAGGGTGATTGGCAGAGGACCCTCCAGGAGGTTCCTCTGCAGAGTTACTGGGGGTGAGGCCCAGCCTCTTTGATTGTTTGCTTCCAGAGCAGGAAAAGTCCTGGTCTTGGTTAAAGCAAGTGTGGGATTCTCCCATTCGTCTGATAACCCCTGAGAACATTGTTGTGTCCATTTCTGAACAGAAGGCTGTTGGGAGCAAGGAGGCTCTGGGAGACCCAAGGGCCTTTCAGGGGGCTGGGTGGTGGCAGTGGTCTGCTGTTGGTATGAGGAAGCCTGGCTTGGGTGGGAGCTGGGGCCCTGTGAATACCTGAAGCACAGATGGGTCTGACAGTTGGGGAGAGGCAGCTATAGGCATCCAAAGATGATGACCATGTGGCTACACTGTTGTCACTAATTGTTGGGCAATTCTCTCCCCGCTGGGCCTCTCTTTCCCCACTTTTAGAATATGGGGCAGGGGGTCATGAAGGAATCTTTAGGGACCCTTACACTTTTAAAAATGTCTGAAACTCCCACATCGAGCCCTGGTGCTGTTTCTTCCTGTAGGGCCTGGCGACTGGGCACTTGTGTATCTCAATCATCCTGGGACCTGGCCAGGGAATCTGCCCAGCCCTAGGCATGCGGATGGTGTGCTCCAGGCCAGCCCTGCCAGCATGTGGAGGCGTGGACCTGGCCACCCTCCATGGGATTCAAGGCAGGCACAGCTGTGATGGAGCAGCTCGTCTTTGGGGATGCCAAGCGAGCATGCTTTGTGGCTTAGCAGGTGGATCCAGAGGAAGGCCAGGCCCAGTGCTGGGAGCCCCTGGGCCCCTGGGGGTGCCTGGCACCACCTGAGCAGGACCGACTGTATATGATGTCTGTCCCTGTGAACTCCATACTGACTCCACAGGGGGAGTCTGGGCCCTGCCTGGTCTCCCAGGAGCTTGCGGCCCTGGATGAGCCGCTGCCTGTCTGGGCCGTGATAGGTTAATGATGATGCCTGTTACCTTGGCCCAGTGCTCTGTGAGCCCCCAAGGTCAGGGAGTGGTGTCCCTGTGCCCTTGTGTCTGAGCATCCGGCCCAGGTCCATATAGGATTCCTGCTAGGTCTCCCCTGTCACTTAGGGACCACAGTCCCTTCCTTTGAGGGAGGAGATCAGTTTCTTCTTTGTCAGTTTTGGGCATCCCCCAGTCAGTCAGACCTGCTTCCCCACATAGGTGGACCAGATGAAACTGTTACACACATCGGGGGTAAGAAAGATTTGGTTTCTTCTCAGACAGTACACCAGCTGTTTGAGGTGGTGGTGGCTGGTGGCCAGGGCTGGCCAGGACTATGCAGGCTTTGACAGGTAAAGCATTGGCCTTAGACCCTGTGTTGTCCAGTGTTCAGAGTGTGGCCTCTGAAGCCGAACTCTGGAGCAGGAGAGGGCCCAATGTGGCTGCCTAGCTGCCTCCTTGGGCTCAAACCCTGCTGTCCCAAGCTGGGCTCTGCTCTGCTGTGGGAGGTGGATGGAGAGATGGGGACTGAGTGGCAGGCAGGCTCCCCTTGCCACCCTCAGAGCATTGCAGGCCAGGGTTAGGGTTAGGAGGAGGTCACTGGGGGCCCAGCTTCTTTTTTAGAAGCTACTGTGTTTTAAAAAATCATACATTCACTTTAAGAACAGCAGAAAGTGGAGAGAACAGTGTCAATAGGACCTGTGTAGATGGCGCAGGACAAATGTGGGGAGCACTGGGTGTTTCTCTCTGCCAGCTCTTCTTCCCTTGTGAGTGTGTGATGTGTACAAGACACCATCAAACACAGGGGAAAGGCTTTGTGCATCTGTAATAGTTGTTTTTTGTTAAAGTTAGTTTGTTGCTACTCTGAGATACATAAAAGCAGGTTTAATTCAAGTAGATAAAGACAGGAAGGTTTCTGTGGATCCAGAGGTTCTGTGGTACTTCTAACTTATACTGTTGTGTTACTATATGAAATAATTGTCATGGTTTGCTTTTTATAGTTGGCTTTTTACTTTTTAATTTATTATTATTATTATTTATTTATTTTGGTAGAGTCAGGGTCTCACTGTGTTGCCCAGGCTGCTCTTGAACTCCTGGGCTTGAGCGATCCTCCCGCCTTGGCCTGCAAAGTGTTGGGATTAGAGATGTGAGCTACCACGCCTGATCTATAGTTTGCTTTTTTTTTTTTGAGACGGAGTTTCGCTTTTGTTGCCCAGGCTGGAGTGCAATGGCGCGATCTTGGCTCACCACAACCTCCGCCTCCCAGGTTCCAGCGATTCTCCTGCCTCAGCCTCCCTAGTAGCTGGGATTATAGGCATGTGCCACCATGCCCGGCTAATTTTTTTTGTATTTTTAGTAGAGATGGGGTTTCTCCATGTTGGTCAGGCTGGTCTCGAACTCCTGACCTCAGGTGATCCGCCTGCCTTGGCCTCCCAAAGTGCTGGGATTACAGGCATGAGCCACCACGCCCAGCCTTTTTTTTTTTTTTTTTGAGACGGAGTCTTGTTATGTTGCCCAGGCTGGAGTACAGTAGCTCGATCTTGGCTCACTGTAACCTCTGCTTCCCGAGTTCAAGTGATTCTCATGCCTCAGCCTCCTGAGTAGCTGGGATTACAGGTGCGCGCCACCACACCTGGCTAATTTTTGTATTTTTAGTAGAGACGAGGTTTCTCCATGTTAGCCAGGCTGGTCTCGAACTCCTGACCTCGGGTGATCTGCCTGCCTCAGCCTCCCAAAGTGCTGGGATTACAGGCGTGAGCCACTGCGCCTGGCTGCTTTACTCATTATTTACTTATTTATTTATTTATTCATATTATTATTATTATTATTATTATTATTTGAGACAGAGTCTAGCTCTGTTGCCCAGCGTGGAGTGCAGTGGCACGATCTCGACTCACTGCAAACTCTGCCTTCCAGGTTCAAGCAATTCTCCTGCCTCAGCCTCCCGAGTAGCTGGGATTACAGGAGCCCACCACCACGCCCGGCTAATTTTTGTATTTTTAGTAGAGATGAGGTTTCACCATGTTGGTCAGACTGGTCTCAAACTGTTGACCTCAGATGATCCACTCGCCTCAGCCTCCCAAAGTGCTGGGATTACAGGCGTGAGCCACCGCGCCCAGCCTTTACTCATTTTTTAAAGCCACCTTCTTTGTTGGATGTTTCCACATAATCAAAGGTGGAGAGAGTAATAGAGTGAGTCCATGTATGCTCCTGCCCTGCACCTGCAGTTTGCAGCTGTGGCCGGTCTTGTTTCTACCGCAGTTCATCCTGTGTAGCTGTGTCTGTAAGTATATCAGTTGTTTTGCTAAGAAAATAGAATCTTTTCTTTTTTTTTTTGAGATGGAGTCTCACTCTGTCACCCAGGCTGGAGTACAATGGCGCGATCTCGGCTTACTGCAAGCTCCGCCTCCTGGGTTCACACCATTCTCCTGCCTCAGCTCCCCCCCGCCCCCCCGCAGTAGCTGGGACTATAGGCGCCTGCCACCATGCCCAGCTAATAGAAAATAGAATCTTTTCTTACAAAACTTAACCATTGTTGAACTTTCACACCTAAGAAACTAACAAAAATTCTTTAGTGTCATCTGTTGTCCAGTCAGTGTTTGGATTTCCCCAGTTTGGCTCATAAATTTCATTTTACAGTTACTTTGTTTCTTCAGAAGCCAAGCAGGATCTGCAGGTTGCATTTGGTTGAAGGCCTTCTCAATTTTTTTTTTTTTTTTTTTTTTTTTTTGGAGACAGTCTCGTTCTGTCGCCCAGGCTGGAGTGCAGTGGCGTGATCTTGGCTCACTGCAATCTCTGCCTCCTGTGTTCAAGCAACTCTCCTACCTCAGCCTCCAAAGTAGCTGGGACCATAGGTGCACACTGCCACACCTGGCTAATTTTTTGTATTTTAGTAGAGGCGGGGTTTCACCATGTTGCCCGGGCTGGTCTTGAATTCCTGAGTTCAGGCAATCAGTCTGCCTCGGCCCAGCAAGGTGCTAGGATTACAGACCTTGTCATTTTAAAGACAGCGCCATGTGTGGCCTGTCCTGTCCCCTTTCATACTGCACTGGCATTAGCCCTGGCTACTCTATTTTTATGCTGTGGAGGGTGCCGGTAGGCGGAGATTCCCACTTTATCTGCCCCTGCCAGACACCTTACTCTTGTCTTTCTCTTTTATTTCCTTTTTTTTTTTTTGAGACGGAGTCTCACTCTGTTGCCCAGGCTGTAGTGCAGTGGCGCGATGTCTGCTCACTGCAACCTCTGCCTCCCGGGTTCAAGCGATTCTCCTGCCTGAGCCTCCTGAGTAGCTGGGATTACAGGCGTGCACCACCACGTCTGGCTAACTTTTGTATTTTTAGTAGAGACAGGGTTTCATCCTGTTAGGCAGGTCTTGAACTCCTGACCTCATGATCTGCCTGCCTCGGCCTCCCAAAGTGCTGGGATTACAGGCGTGAGCCACTGTGCCTGGCCTCTCTTTTCTTTTTTAAAATATTAGCCAGGGGCCGGGCGCAGTGGCTCACGCCTGTAATCCCAGCACTTTGGGAGGCTGAGGCAGGCGGATCACGAGGTCAGCAGATCGAGACCATCCTGGCTAACACGGTGAAACCCCGTCTCTACTAAAAATACAAAAAATTAGCCGGGCTTGGTGGCAGGCACCTGTAGTCCCAGCTACTTGGGAGGCTGAGGCAGGAGAATGGCATGAACCCGGGAGGCGGAGCTTGCAGTGAGCCGAGATCGTGCCACTGCACTCCAGCCTGGGCAACAGAGCGAGACTCCGTCTCAGACAAAAAAAAAAAAAAAGTAGCCAGGGTGCCTCCTTCAGCTGATGCATCATGGCTTGGCTCTTGCATTGCTGCATTGTCATCACCTATTCTGGTTCATCTGTCGCCCCAGCCTTTACTGTGGAGCTCTGCCCACCTGAGGTGATGTTGTCATCTAGTGGGTGTAGATGCCAAGCCCTTCTAAACCAGAAGGGAGGAACTAGTATTGTCACTGTCCTACCATTGAGGGTGCTGAGGTCATAGTGAGGACCACTCATACTCTTACTAGCATGGCAGTGGACTCAGCCATTCTTGGCTTGACTTCTGTGACCTGGAGCCAGTCTCTCCCCTCTCTGGGCCTCAGTTTCCTTGTTTTAGGCCAGTGCATTCCTGACGCCCTTGGAGGTGGATCAATTTCTCCCTCTAGTGACAGCATCATGGCGGGCTCAGGCCCAGGACGCAGCTGCTTTGCAGGCATGTGTTGCCTGCTGCCTGGGCTCCCCATCTGCTTTGCTCTGCCCTTCTTCCTCACACCCATGTTCCCTCAGTACCACCCTCACAACATGCTGGGGTGTAAGGGCTGGTTGATGACAAGCATGTCCATAAGCCTAGGGGATTCCTTGGGTGTCCTAAAATGTGACCTAAGATAATTATCGGGGAACATGCCCCGATATTCACGTAAGTTCTTTTCATTTTCCTTAAGTGTCGGCCAGCTTGAGAAATAAAGGGACAGAGTACAAAAGAGAGAAATTTTAAAGCTGGGCATCCGGGGGAGACATCACATGTCGGTAGGTTCCGTGATGCCCCACAAGCCGCAAAAACCAGCAAGTTTTTATTAGGGAGTTTCAAAAGGGGAGGGAGTGTGCGAATAGGTGTGGGTCACAGACATCAAGTACTTTACAAGGTAATAGAATATCATGAGGCAAGTGGAGGCAGGGCAAGATCACAGGACCACAGGACCGAGGCGAAATTAAAATTGCTAATGAAGTTTCGGGCACCATTGTTATTGATAACATCTTATCAGGAGACAGGGTTTTGAGATCAACTGGTCTGACCAAAATTTATTAGGCGGGAATTTCCTCTTCCTAATAAGCCTGGGAGCGCTATGGGAAACTGGAGTCTATCTCACCTCTGCAATCTCGACCATAAGAGACAGGTATGCCCCAGGGGGGCCAGTTCAGAGACCTACCCCTAGGTGTGCATTCTCTTTCTCAGGGACGTTCCATGCTGAGAAAAAGAATTCAGTGATATTTCTCCCATTTGCTTTTGAAAGAAGAGAAATATGGCTCTGTTCTGCCCGGCTCACCAGTGGTCAGAGTTTAAGGTTATCTCTCTTGTTCCCTGAACAATTGCTGTTATCCTGTTCTTTTTTTCAAGGTGCCCACATTTCATATTGCTCAAACACACATGCTGTACAATTTGTGCAGTTAATGCAATTATTACAGGGTCCTGAGGTGACATACATCCTTCTCAGCTGACAGGATTAAGAGATTAAAGTAAAGACAGGCATAGGAAATCACAAGGGTATTGATTGGGGAAGTGATAAGTGTACATGAAATCTTCACAATTTATGTTTAGAGATTGCAGTAAAGACAGGCATAAGAAATTACAAAAGTATTAATTTGGGGAACTAATAAATGTCCATGAAATCTTCACAATCCACGTTCTTCTGCCATGGCTTCAGCCGGTCTCTCTGTTTGGGGTCCCTGACTTCCCATAACAGATAATGGCATCTCATTGTGGTTTAAGTTGCACTTCCCTGTTCACTGATTGGATCAGGCCAATTTTATTACTTCTGTGAAGCACAGTTCTGCTATAACGTGTCTTTTGAAAATGTAAATTTGTTCCAGACTGATTGATATATGAGGGAACAGTTTGAACACGATGAGAATTTTGTATTTGCCTACGTACAGTTTTCTCCTCAAAAAACACTAGTGTACACAGAGCCCTGCACCCGGCCTACCTGAGCTATGTGAGGATACACAGGATACACGCACCTACAGCTTCCCATTCCATTTCAGAACACCCACCTTCTACCACCTCAGGTAGCTGATGAGTTGCCAGCCGTGACATCACACCCACTGGCAAACCTCAGGGCTTCTTAAGATAAAGTGTCATGTGTATTGTAGCACTTATGTGTCTTTTTTTTTTTTTTTGAGATGTAGTCTTGCTCTCTCGCCCAGGCTGGAGTGCAGTGGCGCGATCTTGGCTTACTGCAAGCTCCGCCTCCCGGGTTCACGCCATTCTCCTGCCTCAGCCTCCCGAGTAGCTCCGACTACAGGCACCCGCCACCATGCCCGGCTAATTTTTTTGTATTTTTAGTAGTGACGGGGTTTCACGGTGTTAGCTGGGATGGTCTTGATCTCCTGACCTCGTGATCCGCCTGTCTCAGCCTCCCAAGGTGCTGGAATTACAGACTTATGTGTCTTTAAGCCATTGAACGTGTATAAAACTGTGCTACCGGCCGGGCACGGTGGCTCACGCCTGTAATCCCAGCACTTTGGGAGGACGAGGCAGGCGGATCATGAGGTCAGGAGATCGAGACCATCCTGGCTAACACGGTGAAACCCCATCTCTACTAAAAATACAAAAAAATTAGCCGGCCTTGGTGGCGGGTGCCTGTAGTCCCAGCTACTCAGGAGGCTGAGGCAGGAGAATGATGTGAACCCGGAAGGCGGAGCTTGTGGTGAGCTGAGATTGCGCCACTGCACTCCAGCCTGGGCGACAGAGCAAGACTCCGTCTCAAAAAAAATAAAATAAAATAAAAAACTGTGCTGCCCTTTTATCATTAATTTTAAAAAATGAACTACTTTAGAAAATTTTTAGATTTATAGAAAAATTTGAAAAATAGTACAGAGTTGCTGTATACCCCACACCCAGCTGCCTCCTTATTATAACATTGTACATTAGTGTGGTATATTTGTTACAATGGATGAACCAATATCATGGCATTATTATGAATACTTTATTCAGATTGCCTTAGTTTTTACCTGATGTCCTTTTTCTGTCCCAAGTATTGTCTAGGATATCACATTACATTTAGTTGTTGTGTCTCCTTAGGCTCCAGTTGACTGTGACAGTTTCTCAGACCTTCCCTGTTCTTGATGACCTTGACAGTTTTCAAGAAGATTGATCAGGTGTTTAGTAGAATGTTTTTCACTTGGAATTTGTCTGATGTTTTTTCTCGTGGTTAGATTGGGATTATGGGTTTGGGGGAGGAAGATCACAGAAGTAAATGCCCTTCTCATCACATATCAAGAGTGTGTATTGTCAGCATGACCTGTCACTGCTGCTGTTGACCTTGATCACCTGACCGCCACTCTAAAGTTATTCTTTCTCTTCCTGTCCATACTGTATTCTCGGGAAGGAAATTACTGTGCATAACCCATACTTGAGTAGGGAGTTTGCTCCACCTCTTTGAGGGCAGGGTGCTATCTACATAAATTATTTGCGATTTTTCTGCATGGCAGACTTTTCCCTCCCTCCCACTCTTGTTTATTATATCAATGTAGACTCATGAAAGTTCATTTTATTTATTTTATTTGGGACAGGGTCTCACTCTGTCGCCCAGGCTGGAGTGGAGTGGTGTGATCGTGACTCACTGCAACTTTGACCTCCTGGGCTCAAGTGATCTTTCCACCTCAGTCTCCCCAGTAGCATGTGCCACCACCCCTAGCTAATTTTTTGATTTTTTTAGTAGGTACATGGTCTCATTATGTTGCCCAGGCTCGTCTTTAATTCCTTGGCTTATGTACTTCTCCTATCTTGGCCTTCTAAAGTGCTGGGATTCCAGGCATGAGCCACTGTGCCCAGCCCATGAAAGTTTATTTTATACTTTGGGTTATAATCCAACATTACCTCATTTTGTTGCTCAAATTGCTCCAGCTTTGGCTCTTGAGAGCTCTTTCAGATGGCTCTTATACCCCCTTTAACATACCACATCATGGTGCCTCTTTTTTTTTTTTTAAAGTGCTTCCTTCCTTTCTGGCACTACAAGATGTTGCAGGCTTATCTGTTTCCTCCCTCAGTCCTAGAATCAGCTATTTACCCCAAGAAGCCCTGGTTTCTTTAGTTGAGAAAGATGTTAGAAACCAAGATCTGGTTGCTATGTGTGCTCATTGCTATTAGGGTGTCTTTGATTTAAGGCCTGTCAGCAACAGAACAAGGAGATTGTTTTGAACATGCAGTTAGTTAGTGGCTGGGCGCAGTGGCTCATGCCTGTAATCCCAGCACTTTGGGAGGCCGAGGCGGGTGGATCACGTGAGGTTAGGAGTTCGAGACCAGCCTGGCCAACATGGGGAAACCTCGTCTCTACTAAAAATACAAAAATTAGCTGTTCGTGGTGGTGGGCGCCTGTAATCCCAGCTACCCAGGAGGCTGAGGCAGGAGAATTACTTGAACCCAGGAGGCGGAGGTTGCAGTGTGCCAAGATCGCATCATTACACTCCAGCCTGGGCGACAGGAGCAAAACTCCATCTCAAAAAAAAAAAAAAATGCAGTTAGTGTATACTAACCCATGTATATACATATGTCAATAAATACACCTGTATGTATATTTAGTTAACCATGAGTTCATACTGATGTAAGAACTGTAATCCATTACCACGTAGATCGTTCTTACCACCTTCCCTTGCTTATCTGTAACCTCCCACTCCAACAGTGAGACACCTGGCTCCCACCATCCACCATCCAGTAACTTAATTGTTTCATTCCAGTTCACATGTACAGCAGTAACAGAATTGTTAACCTGGGTCCCCATGGGAAACAATTTTATCAACTAGAGTTACAGTGCTTTTGTGTAATTCTTTTGCCTTTAGTCTTATAGACTCTACTTATTTCCAAAGTTACTTAAGTTAGGGCTGGGCTCAGTGGCTCACACCTGTAATCCTAGCACTTTGGGAGGCCAAGGAGGATAGATCACCTGAGGTCAGGAGCCAGCCTGGCCAACATGACGAAAACCCGTCTCTACTAAAAATGCAAAAATTAGCCGGGCGTGGTCCCAGGTGTCTGCAGTCCCAGCTACTTGGAAGACTGAGGCAGGAGAATCACTTGAACCCAGGAAGCCGAGGTTGCAGTGAGCCGAGATTGTACCACTGCATTCCAACCTGGGGGACAGAGTAAGACTCTGTCTCAAAACAACAACAACAACAACAACAACAACAACAAAAAACCAACCACCCTGGCCAACATGGTGAAACCTCATCTCTACTAAAAATACAAAAATTAGCCAGGCTTGGTGGTGTGTGCCTGTAGTCCCACCTTCTTGGGAGGCTGAGGCAGGAGAATTGCTTGAACCCAAGAGGCAGAGGTTGCAGTGAGCTGAGATCTCGCCACTGCACTCCAGCCTGGGCAACAGAGCGACTCTATCTCAAAAAAAACAAATAAAAAGAAAAAGTTACTTAAGTTAGTACTTTATTCCCCCATCCCCTTCAGTGAGGTTGTTTGATACATTTGTAATACAATTAGATTATTTTGTCACATTCTACATTCCAGCCCAGGATCCCTTGATCTCCCAAATGAATTTTTAAAACAATTCACATACTAATATTAAGGTTCACTTTTTGTTTTTATAAATGCAGTGGCATTTATCTACCATTACAGGATCATACAGAATAGTTTCACTGCCTTAAAAAAAAAACCCTATGCTTCACCTGTTTAAATCCACCCCCGTCAACCTCTGGCAACCACTGATCTTTTTACCATCATTACGGTTTTGCCTTTTCCAGAATGTCACATAATTGGAATCATACAGTATGTAGCCCTTTTCAGACTGGCTTCTTTCACTTAGCAATATGCACTTAAGATTTATCCATGTTTTTTCATGGCTTGATTGCTCTTTTTTTTTTTCTTAAATCACAATAATATGGGTGAACCACAATTTATCTGTTCACCTATTGAAAGACATCTTAGTTGCTTCTACTTTTTGGCAAATATGAATAAAGCTGCTTTAAACATTCACGTACAAGTTCTAGTGCAGGTAATTACCATTTGGGTAATTACCTGAAGAGTCTGATCGCTGGATTGTATGATAAGACTGTATTTAGCTTTGTGAGAAACTGCCAGACTCTTCCAAATGCGAATACCATTTTGTATTTCCGCCAGCATTGAACAAGAGTTCCCTCTCCTCAGGCTCCACCCTCATAGTTCATCCTGTGGTGGGAAGAACTCTGGGGATTGCGAGGAGATGGCGTAAGATTCTCCTGCCACTTGCTGACTGTGAACCTTACTGGTGTCTCTTTCTAAAACAGTGCTAATAAGGTGAAGAAGTGTGATGAGGGTTTGAGATGAAGTCAGGAGAAAACCCGGGCTGCAGCCATGCTCTCCTGTGGCTTTCAGCCCAGCCTGGCCCAGACTGCTGTGCCCACTGTGCCATCCTCCCCTCGTTTGGAACAGATGCCGTCTGGACAGCTGCGTGGCAGGGCCCCCAAGCTGTCCCCTCTTGCCCTGACTACAAGCTGTTGAATGGAGATTTGTGTCAGGGCAGCCAGCTGCCATGGAAGATGAGGGCTGGTCCCCAGGCCCCAGGACTGGCTTCTGTGTCTTGGGCGGGGTAGCTAGGGTCTGTGGGGACCTTTGCCAGCCCTGGGTGCAGCTGGCCAGAAGCCTGTCTGCTGACACTGGGGCAATTAGGGTGTAATCTTCTCTAAATGGCACCCAATTCTGGCTAAATCCCTCCTGCCCAGGGATGAATTCCCAGTTTTCTAAAAGCAGCTTAGCATTTGGACGTTGCCCAGGGCAGCTGGGGTTCACGGTTGGTGATGGGATGGCTGCTTCCGATTGATGTGGGCCTCACAGAGGAGGGGCCATGGGTGGGCAGAGGCTGGTGACAAGCACCACAGCCCTACAGTGTTCCCTGTGTGGGTGCCTCTCAGCCCTGAGTCCTAGCGATCCCCGCATCCACAAGTGTAAGTCCTCCTTGGGGAAATGCAGTTCCAAAGCCACCCAGTAGGAAGGGTGGGCCAGTGCCCCTCAGCCTCCTGTGGTGTGAGGGACAGATGGGCCTGCAGAGGGGCTTGGGCCTGGGCTGGTCCTGCAGCGTACAGCTTGATAGATATAGGCTGGCAGAGGTGGGCGGGCGCTGCCTCCTGGCCTGGACCCCAGTTCCCAGGAGGCCCCACCCTCTTTTCCTGGCCTGGACCCCAGTCCTCAAGAGGCCCCACCCTGTCTTGCAGGGACTCCTGCAGCCTTCCCAGGCTCCTGCTTGAGTGCTCCTGGGCCTCCTCCCTCCTCCCTGTCTACCTGCCAGGTGAGGCTGTCTGAGTTCCTCAGGGACCAACTCCACCTCCTGCCCCCTCTCCTGTTACCCCCTTGCCCCTCCCTGTACCATCTCCTCTGGGAACCACCCTGCTGCAAAGAAGAAAAATGGATTTTGGAGTGAGAAGCCTTATGGTCCCACTCAGATGAATCATCTCACCTTGTTGATCCTCAGTTTGTTCACCCATGAAAGGGAACAATAAAAGTTTTTACTTTGCAGGGCTTGTGTGAAGACACATGATTCACACCCACCTCTGTCCGCTCCTGGGGGCCCTGGACCCCACATCCTTTGTTGCCTGTATCTGCTTAGGAAGTACCTTTTGAATAAAGAGAGGAGGGAGTTGGTTTAGTGATGCTGGAGCATCCCCACCCAGCTGGGGATGGATGGGAAGAGCTGGCTGAGGGGATGGTGAGGTAGGGTCTCCCATATAACACCCATGGGATCCCACTGGGTGGGTCATTGTGTCTGTGAGGGGCCCAGGTAGTCAACAGGTCTATTTCTGGCTTCTTAGCTGACTTGGGTTCCAGTAGAAGCATGTGGAGCTGACTAGTCTGCTTGTACCCCAGGGTCACTGGGGGACTTTCAAAAATTCTAAAGCTCAGGGGCCACACTCAGACCTATTAAATCAGTCTCAGGAGTGTTTACACTTCCAGAATGATCCCAGGGGAAAGATGAGTGTGGGAGCACTATCCTGTCATTGCAGTTTACACCCGGGGGTTTGAATCCTCCCTGCTGTGCACATCGTGCGTGATTCAGCCCTGGAGAGGGGTACAACCCCCCAAGTGGAGAACCTGGGATGCCTCTCTGTACCTCTCTGGAGTGTGCATGAGCTAAGGGGAAGACCCAGGACAGGGGCAAGCCTGGGAGCCATTCCTGCTGCTGAGTCACGGGGGTGTGTCCCCTCCACTGGCTGGAGAGAGAGGGATGAAAGAGGAGATGTCCCAAAAGAACCTGCAATGCCTGCCCACCCTGTACCCCTGGAGTTCCCTGCAGTCCTAGCCTCACTCAGCCGTATTCATACATATGGCATACATATTCATACATATGCAGCCATATTCATATTCTGCACTCTCAGCACCCCAGCATCTGGCTATGCCCTTGACCTGCCATGCTGTCAGCCCACTTCGGGTGTGGGGCCTGTCACCTCCCAGCTGTGTGCATAGGTTCCCCCTGTCTGTCTTCCATTCATGCCACAGATGCTTCCTGAGCCTTGCCACTTGCTGGGCTTGGGCTCCTCACTCCGTTCCTGCACTCACCAAGGAGGTGCAGATGTGTGGTGGACGTGGGCGTCCATCTGCCCACAAGGACAGGCCTGAACCCTTCCCGTGTGAGAGGCCTTGCCCCACCCACACTGTGTGTATATCTGGATGGTCGGCCCTGCCTTCTGCCTGAGCTATTTCTCAGCATCAGTGAGCTAAAGTGATGGGGGTGCTGGCTGAAGTGAGGGTAATGTTAGGCTGGAGGGAATTCTGCTGTCCTGGGACAGCTGCTGGACTTTTCCATCCTGCCCGGTGAGTCTGGCCCTCCCTACTGACTCCCTGGTGACCCCCCTGTCCTGAGCCATATCCCTGGAGCTGTTGCCTACACTTGTGGCGATGAAAGAGATGCAGGTCAGGACCTCACCCAGGAGCCTGGCGGGGACTTTGGAAGAAAGCATACCAGCATGCAGACCTGCTTCCCAGTGTAGCCAGGGGCCTGGGCAAAGTGCTTCTCCACAGAGCTGCCCAGCCTCTCGCACTAGGCCGAGATGGCAAGGGTCAGCACCTAAGAGGGGGTCAGGCCTGTGGCTGCTGTTGTTGATGGTGCAGATGGTGGACAGGTCCATTTACCCTCTTGGCCCCCGGTGACATACTGGCTCTGAGATTTGGCCTACTGGGGACCCACCAGGGAAGTCATCCAGAAGGTCTGTGTGGGAGCTTGGTGGGCCACCAGTTTGGTGGCCTTTCCCTAGAAGCTGCTGGGAGACCTCTGCCACCCACCTTCCATATTGGTGTGGTTCACTGTGAGACAGAGCTGAGCCCCATTTCAGTCCAGGCTGCATTTTTTAGGGCGGCCTTTGACCTCAACAGTCAGACATTTCCGGAGCAGCTCTGGCTGCTGACTAGTTGATTGTTTTGTGCAGCTCTCATTTTTAAATTGAGGTATGATTTGCCTGTAAGACCACACGCAGTTGTGCAGTTGTGTGCTCTCGTGTGGCTGCCCCATGGTGAAGGTTACCCTGAAGTGCTCAGACTCTTCCTGTCCACCCAGCAGCGTACTGCCTGCCTTCTACAGTGATTAGGTTTCTTCATACTTGGTGTGTGGTCTTTTGGGTCTGGCTTCTCTAAGAGCCATCACGACGGTTACTTGTATGAGGAGTGAGTTTTCTTGCTGCTGAGCATCATCCACTGTGTCATCATACTAGAGTTACTGCCGTCCACCTGTTGTTGGGTGCTGGGCATTGTGAATGTACCATACTTGGCGTGGACATGTGGCATGTGCTTCCATGTTTCTTTCTTTTTTTTTTTTTTTTTGGAGACGGAGTCTCACTCTGTCGCCCAGGCTGGAGTGCAGTGGTGTGATCTTGGCTCACTGCAACCTCTGCTCCCGGGTTCAAGCAATTTTTCTTGCCTCAGCCTCCCAAGTAGTTGAGATTACAGGCCCCTGCCACCATGCCCAGCTAATTTTTTATTGTTTAGTAGAGACAGGATTTCGCCATGTTGGCCAGGCTGGTCTTGAACTCCTGACCTCAGGTGATCTGCCTGCCTCAGCCTCCCAAAGTGCTGGGATTACAGGCGTGAGCCACCATGCCCGGCCAATGCTTCCATCTTTCTTGGGTGGTGCCTGCAGCAAGCCCCTCTCCCCACTGTATTCACATATCAACATGTCCGAGCAGGAGGGCCAGTCCTTTCACTCGTGCTTTGCCACCACAGGTAACCTTCTAGGGAGGGAGGGACCATGTGTCAGGAGGGAAATGATCTCCATAAATTGTGGGAAGTGGGGCCCAGGGACCACCATGACTGGCTTTAGCCAGATCTCAGTTGTTAGGCAGTCCCCACATTGAGTCCAAGCTTTCTAGGTTCCAGGCCAAGACCAGGAAGGGCCGAGTCCCAGATGTTCATGCACCTGGGAATGGGAGTTTGCAGTTCTCCAGGTGATTTTGAGGAGCAGGCGTGGTTGGGGCACTGGTCAGACAATTGAGCACTGTGGGCCAGGGTCTAGGCCCAGGCCCAGCCACTTCTGGATCATCAGCCTCTCTTTCTTGCTTTCTCTTCAGACCCTCTTGGGGAAACGTTTATGGAGATGTGTGTTCTCGGAGTTCAGTTTCTCACCTGTGAGAGGAGCTAATACCTCCTGTGAGAGAAGCTAATGAGCTTACATTGGTGCAAACTGTGAAGTGCAGCGATGCCTTGGGGTAATTGCCCTCCCTCCCCTGGGCACCCAGAGTCTTCTTGCTTATCTGTTAACAGCTGTGTTGTCCTCTGTCTTCCTCCCTCTGGGCCCACATCAAAGCTGGAGGGGTGCTGACGGCAGCCCAAGGCTGGGAAAACCTGGGGGTGGAGAGGGATCATCTGGACAGAGCAGGCCCAGTGAAGATGCCTCAGGACAGGGGACCCCCCTCCCCTGTCCCCACCCTTAGTTAGGTGGATCCCCTTCTCCCCTCACCGCACTGCCTCTACACCGTTCTTGGATCTGGGTCATTACTGGGCTGAACAGTAGGCAGAGGTTCCAGCTCATCTCACATCCATCTCCCAACTATACCTCCCTCCTGGCCCTGGAACCCTCCCATCCCCCATCCCAGTGTGCCCTGCGACTCTGTTTCTGCTGGTGTTTGTAGCTACTGTAAGTTGTTTTCCTGAATTGCTAGCAAGGCTGTACATCTGTTTGTGGGGTGATCTGAAGCATCTGGCCCTGTGTAAATCTGAAGTCCATTTCTTGCCACCATTTCCTGACCTGACCCTGTGTTCTTATATCAGGTTTTTGCTGAAGTTCATTTATGAAAATTTGATCTTTCATCTTGTTTCTGATATTATCCATTTTATGAATAACAAGCAATTTAACTCCCTGTGATATGTTTGGTTTGGGGTTTTATTAATCTTTTAAACTAGAATTACATATAGTAAAATGTATAGATTTTAAGTGCATGTGTGTATGTTGGCAAATATGTCATCCCTTGGGTACATTTGCTATTCTGCAGCTTTTCCTTTTTTTTCTTTTTTTTTTCTGAGACGGAGTCTCGCTCTGTCATCCAGGCTGGAGTGCAGTGACACAATCTTGGCTCACTGCTACCTCCACCTCCTGGGTTCAAGTGATTCTCCTGCCTCAGCCTCCTGAGTAGCTGGGTCTACAGGCGCGTGCCACCACACCTGGCTAATTTTTTGTATTTTTAGTAGAGGAGGGGTTTCACCATGTTAGCCAGGATGGTCTTCATCTCTTGACCTCATGATCCGCCCGCCTCGGCCTCCCAAAGTGCTGGGATTACAGGCTTGAGCCACCACGCCTGGCCCAATAGTTTTCATATTACACTAGTTTTTAATAAAAATAAGCTTTTACTGGAGTGTAAGGTAAATATGGAAACTATAAAAATCATAATTGTATAGTTTGATAAATTATCAAAGTAAGTACACCCATGTAACTACCAACAGATCAAGAAGTTGCATGTAGTCAGCTTCCCAGAGCTGCTCTCTGAGCCCTGTCAAGGTGTGATCATTCTGGCTTTTGACACCAAAGATTATATCTTGCCTGGTTTTGACTTCTTATAGATGGAGTTGCACCGTACTTTTTTTGTGTGTTCACTCAGCATCGTGAGACTGGTCCTCATTGCTGCTTGTATTTGTAGGTTATTGGCACTCGTTGCCACATGGGATTCATTTGTGTGGATATACCACGCCTTCCTCACCCACTGTCAGGTAGACCGACCCTGGGGTTGTTTTCAGCTTGGAGCTGTTAGAACGCTCATGGGGTGGCTGTTGCCTGTGTCTGTTGGATGGACTGGCTAGGGTGACATAGGGCAGGCTTTCTTCTAGAGGAGCACAGCAGTGTGTGGCGAGCTCCTGTCCTCTCCATCCTCACCACGGGCACTTGATGTGTTACTGATTTATGTACTAGCCATTCTGATCAGTATGTCACAGTAGCTCTTTCTGGTGTAAGTTGCATTCCCCATGGACCTTTTCCTGTGTTTACTGGCCACTTGGAGAGCCTCTTTTATAAAGAGCCTTTTCAAGACCTTCTTCCAATGTTCTTCTTGGGTGTCTGTCTTTTTCTCATGTACGTGTAGGAGATCTTTATATATTCAGGATATGGAGCCCTTTGCCATCAGGCAGTAGTTCTGACCCAGCGATGCAGCAGAAGGACCCAGCATGGAGCAGGCAGAGATGGCTCTCTTCCATCTGTGCTTCTGCCCTGTCACAATTTTGGCCTTTTGGAGCCTTAGTTTCTTCCTCCATAAAATGGGAACATGGGTTCTCCTGAGAACTTTGAGATAGGCGTTAAGTGAAATAATATACTTAAGGAGACTTATAGAGTGGTGGCTATTATTGTTACTAATACTTTTTTAAATAAAATGGAAAGAGGCTGAACACGGTATCTTGTGCGTATAATCCCAGCACTTTTGGAGGCCAAAGTGGGGGCTCACTTGAGCCCAGGAGTTCAAGACTAGCATGGGCAACATAGTGAGACCCCATCTCTTAAAAAAAAAAAAAAAAAAAAAAGCTGGCATGGTGGCACGTGCCTGTAGTCCCAGCCACTCAGGAGGCTGAGGCAGGAGGATTGCTTGGGCCCAGGAGGTTAAGGCTGAAGGGAGCTGTGATCTCACCACTACACTCCAGTCTGGGTGACAGAGTGAGACCCTGTCTTCCAAAAAAAGAAAGAAAATGGGAAGAGATCTCATATCCACTGGGATGGCTGTAACCAAAAAATAGACAATAAGAAGTCCTGGAGAGGAGTGGGAAAATTGGAATCCTCCTATGTTGCAAGTGGGAACATATAAAATGGGATAGCCCTTGTGGAAAATTTGGCAGTTCCTCAAAAAAAGTTGAAGATACCACATGACCTAGCAGTTCCACTTATAATAGCCTAAAAGTGGAAACAACCCAAGTGTCTGTCAAATGATGAATGGATAAACAAATGTGATCTGTTCATACAATGGAATATTATTTGACCATGAAAGGGAAGGGAATTCTTATACATACTACAACATGGGCGAACCTTGAAAACATTATGCTTAGTGAAGAGGCCAGTCACAAAAGACTGAAATGTCCAGAATAGACACATTCATAGAGATGGAAAATAGATTGGTTTTCAGGATGGCAGTGGGGAGAGCTGAAGAGTGACTGCTAATGGGGACAGAGTTTCTTTGGGGGGGGTGATAGAAATGTGGAATTAGGCCGGGCACAGTGGCTCACGCCTGTAATCCCAGCACTTTGGGAGGTCGAGGTGGGCGGATCACGAGGTCAGGAGATCGGACCATCCTGGCCAACATGGTGAAACCCCATCTCTACTAAACATACAAAAAATTAGCCAGGCATGGTGGCAGGTGCCTGTAGTCCCAGCTACTCGGGAGGCCGAGGCAGGAGAATATCGTGAACCTGGGAGGTGGAGCTTGCAGTGAGCCAAGATCGCGCCACTGCACTCCAGGCTGGGCAACAGAGCGAGACTCCATCTCAAAAAAAAAGAAAAAAAAAAAAAAGAAATGTGGAATTAATGGTGATGTTCACCCAACTCTGTGAATGTACTAAAAACCACTGAATGGTACACTTTAAAAGGGTGAATATTATGACGTGGATTATGTCTTTTTAACATTTTTTGGTGGAGGTAAGCAGGAGAGTCTTTTTGCTTGCTAAATCTTTGAGATAAATTTCACTATTATTCTGAAGTAATCCCCAGAAGATTTGAGGCAGCTTCCTTCCAGGTCTGTAGCTGTGGTACCCATATCACATGAATCTACATGACAACTCAAGGAATCTTACCTTCCAACTTACATTCTGTCTTTCTCATTAGTATTTTTATAATTTTCTCATTAGTATTTTTATAATTTTCTTTGGATAAATCTTATGTTTCTAGTTAAGTTAATATCTGGGGGTTAATTTTTTAGGTCAAGATTATGAATGTAATTGCTCTTTTTTGTGTTCATAACTCAACAGTTTAATTTGGGAGGATTTTATGGGTATCTTGGTATATTTGAAATCTCTGACCTTTTTGAGGATGTTTCTTGGTGCATTTTCTAGACAAAATCATCACCTGCAAAAAATAGGAATTTAGCAGTACGCTTTTTTCTCTTCTGATGTCTTTTAAGTGTGGTGAGAGTGTAGTCCTGCCTTCTCCTTTTAAGGGGAGAGTGGGTAACTCAAATGCATCTTCATTTACCAATGCTTCTCCATTATTTATTAATGCATTCCATTATTTGTTATGTTTGCTTTTGTTTTAAATCTATCCAGGTAAGATTTACTCTATTGATGCTCTTTTTATGACATAAAGAAAAAAAAGAAAATTACCACATCCACTTTTCAAGTGCTTCAGTTGAGAAGAGTTCAGGCTAAATTATGGTGAAAGCATCTTAGCATAGATGACATTTTAAATTCCTTTAAAAATATTAGTTTGTGGCAGAAATATTGGTAGTTTGCCTCAGGCAATCTATATGGTTTACTTACTTGTTGGCTTATCTTGTTTCATAGCAGATGCTGAATATAGATTTTAAAAATTGAATTGGTTTACCCTGGTTTTATGTTCCTGGGCAAGGTCTTCTGATCACAGTGAATAACTCTTAAGGTAAATGGTTACTTCTGTTTGCTGAGATTTTGTCAGGTTTTTGCATCTGTGTTGGGCGTGGAGTTGGTCCATGAGTCCCTGCCCTTTGGAAGGGAAGATCTGTTGAAACCAGCAGATAAGTTCATGACATACCTGCTGAACATTCCCGTTGAGTTTGTAATGTCTTTTCTTCTCCCTTAGAGAGGACATTACAAACTCAGCAAACTGAACAGGAGTGTTCAACAGATACATCAGGAACTGATAGGGCATGTCTTTCTGTTTTCCTTTCTCATTATTTGTTTGAGTGGATATGGTTGTGGACAGGGACACTTTAGGCCGAGACCTGAGCTCAAGACCTGCTGTGCTACACAGCACCCAGACTCCCTCCTGGGCATGCACTCCCTGGGTCAGTTCTCCTGTGAGGCAGGCCTGCTGGTGCCGATGCCCATCTTGCCAATGGCTGTGGGGTGGAACCAGCAATGCAGTAGCTCAGTCCTCACGTTGCCTGTGGGGACTGGACAGGTTGGTAAGTGTTCAGTTCCCTGGTTTTGGGGTATGTACTTTGCACAGACTTGCCAACCTGAATACAGTCATTAGCTGGTTAAAAAAATACACAAACATGGTTGCTTTGTTTTTTCTTTTGTTTCTGGGTTTTTGTTATATCACTTCCCCTTTGTGAGACTTCTGCTTGTTACTTTATTCAGTTTTTGCAATCCCCGTCTAGAGAGACTGTTTCTTTTTATCATTATTTATTTTTAGTGCAATCCACCACAACGCCCCCCCTCCCCGCCCCAGCACAGTACTGCTTTGGCCGTGATCCTGAAGTTTTGATATGATTTGTTTCTATTTTTTGTTTATTTGATTTCCCGTTGTTTTGTTCTGTATACCTTCTCTAATACAGATATATTTAAGAGATCATTTTTCAATTTTCACATGTTTGAGTGTATGCTAACATTTTTACAGCATATATTTTTTAGAACAGTTTCAGATTTACAGAAAACTTATGTGAAATACTGTCTTTTACTTTGTTCCGTGGTACACCAACACATAAATGGAATTTCTTCCTTTTTTAGATTGCTCTGATGTCATTCTGCATCCTCTTGTGATATCATTTCCTTATGCCCTGAGTCCTGGTATGGAGACTTCATGTCTCTGCCAGTTCTGATTTGCTGGCTATTGCAGAGCCCCCCATCTCTCTCTCTGCGTGGTTGACACTTTGATGTATTTTGTACTAGGCTGTTTGGGTCACGATAGGTTTGATTAACCTATGAGTGAGTTTAATGTCATAATGCTGTAAATTCTTTATCTCATAATAATATTGTTGAGCTTGTATTTATGTCAGCTTAATAGGCCTGAGAACCCTGGTGACTGTAATAAGGCTTGATGCCACTTGGTCTCCTGCGGAGTCCTGGCTATGCAGGGCAGGACCCTGAACAGCACATGCAGACCTTCCCGGAGTGGAGCAAGGTGTCTGAGGCCTCCAGGTCCTCTCCTGTCCTGCAGACCACCCCAGCTCCTTTTAAGGCCTCGGAAACACCTGATTTCCCTTTGACTCCATCAAGTGTTGAAACCCTGTGGCTTGTGGCAGTTTTGGGGGGGCAAGTCTGCCATTTGATCAGTGTTTACTGACCGCATGATTGTGAAGGAGGTGGGTGCTGGACTTGAATTGCTGTTTCCTGGCTCTGCAGATTTCTTTGCCTATTACCCCTCTCAAGGAGTAAAATCGTGGTCGGGGGTCGGGTCTTGCTCCAAAGGCTTTGCCTCCCTGCCTGCCAAGTGTGAACTTCTGATAGGAATACTGCTTCAAAACAGTAAAGTGTTGACCGAGCCTTCACGGGCTCCTCACTGTGGTTGTGGGGAATAGAGAGCCTGGGATACTGACAATCCGTAATCAAGTGAGTTTTATCATCCTGTGATTCCCCAGGATGGGAGGATTTGTGGTCTCAGCTGACTGTCTGGGCTACAGGCCCTCGGACTTGGGTCTTGGGAGGCCTGATAGTCTGTTGTCCTGGTATCATTGGTACCTACCAGAGACCAGGCATGCAGTAAGCGCTAATAAGTGCTGTTAGTAAACATTGAGGGGATGGTAAAGCCAGTCCCTGGGATTTTTCAACAAGCCTGGGTGGAAAGGTGGGTGCTGAGCAGAAGGTATTCACAGCCCGTCGAGTGGATGAGGATCAGACCTTCCCCCTGCTTGGACCAGCCCTGACAAGGAGCCCAGCAGTGTCTCCACCTTAGCAGGTGGTGGGAGGGCCCAACCGAGGCAGCCAGGCTAGGACTAGTGGGATTCCTGGGATGCCCAGGCCCGCCGTTCCCAGGAGGCTGGGCCCACCCTGGGGCAGGCATCATGGCCCTTCAGGGACAAGTGTGGGACCAGCTGGCTATGAGTGGGTGGTGCTGGATCAGCCTAGCAGATGAAGGAATTGAGGCTCCCAGTTTTGTTGTGGAAACTGCATCCTGGAACAAGTCCTGCCTCATTGGAATGCTGCGGCTGGCTCTCCTGGCTTGGCAAGTGTTGTTCCTGTTGTATCAGATGGCCAAACTGGTTTAGGATGAAAGAGAATTCCCTGGGACAGCCCTGCCTGGAGGCCTGGTTCCCCTGCCCTGGTGGTGTAGGCCTTCTCCAGGGAGCCAGAGCCCAGTGGAAGGTCGGCAAGTGGGGTTGGTTCTCAGTCTCCTGTGCAGACCTGTTTCAACTCCCTGTACAGGTTTGTCCGGAGACTGAAGGGGCAACCTCTACTAGCTAGGGCTGATGGCCAGCTCTTATTGTGGAGATATCCACATTCTCTCTTGAGAGTGGGGAGGGAGGGGGGTGACTTTCCTTTGTAGCTGAGGAAACTGTAATTAGGTAGTTGCCACAGAGCCAGGCAGCCCCACTAGCTGGCTACAGAGTAAGGACATCTTCCATATGCAGAAGGACAGTGAGGCCACTTTGGAACCAGCACCTAGCCTTGGGGGGACCATCAGGGACCAATCTTGTGGCAGCAGGTGGGAGGGTGCAGGCACTGGCCTGGGGCTGCTCTTCAAGCCCTGCCACTTCTCATAAATGGGCTGATTGTGGATGACCCTGACCTGGTGCCCATGCTGCCTAAGCATCAGGGTGGGCTTACACACGCCCAACCATGGGAACTTGGCCCCGTAGCCCCATTGACAGGCACAGTGAGGGCGGAGCTCACCAAGTCATAGCTGACCAGTGGCAGAGCCAGGACGTGGGCCCAGGCAGCCTGGCTTCAGGTGTGCACATACCCGTTGGCTCTCCTGCTGTGCCGCCGGGAAGTGGGCAGGGCAGTGGGTGCCTCTTGCACAGTGGGGCACCTCGGCGAAGCAGGAGGCCTATGTGGCTGAGGAGGGAGGGAAAGAGATTCTTGTCCAGGGGTTCAGAGGCCCTGGTGTGAGGACCTAGTTCTCCTTCTGGCCCCACCTTGTCCTACCTTTTGCTTTGCTGTTCCTTCCACCTGGCGCACTTCCCCATCCTCCCAGGCTCTGATCACCTGCCACTGTTTCCTCCTCTGCACTAGGCACAGGTCAGGGTTTCAGCCCTTCCAGCCTATATGTATAGTTTTACTTTCACAGAAAGTAACACTTGAAGAGTTGTTCTAAGGTGGTGGGTGTGCCCAGGTGATAACTGGGAGCTTTGCTGGTACTGGCGTCAGGAAAGAATGAAAACCGCAAAGGTAACTGTAACCTGTTGTTGGTCGTAATCTTTTACTCTTCCTTCATCGTCCAGCTTCTGTTTCTGGATCTCAGCCTCTATTTGGGGTGATGAGGGCCTAAGCGTCTGGTATGGGCTCATTCTAAAGCCACCCAGTCTCCCACGCGCTGCCCCACACTGGGGTTGTCAGGATCTCAGCATGTTAACACTGGTCCATTGACAATAGCCTCAACCACATCCTGAGTCAGAGATATGCTGACTCTGGAGGAGTTGCCTCCTTCTTGGGCATCCGAAAGGCAGTGGGATGCCTGGAGAGGAGAACAAGGAGTAACTCCCTGAACCTGTATTTTAAAGCTCCTATCGTCAGGGGGTGGGTGGAGTAGGAGGCCACATAGGCTCTGGTAAGTGAATTATGTTAACTGACTAAATCCCCATAGCACTAAGCTCAGATTGGTGACATTATTAACCCAGGTTTCACATGAGGAAATCGAGGCACATTGTGATTGGCGCCCACCACAGTCACATAGCCCTGCCCCTGCAGCTTATTTCAGAGGTGCTAGCAGGGGATGTTGGCTGTGCTTCCCTGAGATGGGGGTGGTGGGCACAGATGGGCCCGTGCTCACAGGTACCCCTGGGACCTGGCCTGCCTTCTCTATCTCCTAGGGGTTTGGGTGGGGTGGGGCACTGGGCTCATCTGTTGGACAGGATCCTTACTGCCCTGTTTTCCATCCTGAGGCCTATTCTGCCAGCCTTCTGTCTCCAGCCCTGCACCATCCCACGCTACAGCCAGACTGTGCACCCTTGGCAAGCATTGAGCTCTGTTGTGCCTCAGTTTCTCTGTGTGTGTGTGTAAAGGGGGAACATGTTCAGGGCTCCGGTCATGGAGCTGCTAAAACAATCTAACACACAGGGTGTGCTCAGTTCGAGGCAGCTGAAGATATTACTGGAAAGTGGTGCTGATCCAGATCCCAAGAGAGGGTTCTTGAATCTCACGCAAGAAAGAATTCAAGGCGAGTCCATAGAGTAAAGCGAAAGCAAGTTTATTAAGAAAGTAAAGGAATAAAGAATTGCTACTCCATAGGCAGAACAGTGACTTGAGCTGCTGGCTTAAGGATACTTATAGTTATTTCTTGATTATATGCTAAACAAGGGATGGATTATTCACAAGTTTTCTGGGAAAGGGGTGTACAGTTCCCAGAGCTGAGGGTCCCTCCCATTTTTTAGACCATGTAGGTAACTTCCAGACATTACACAGTGGGTACCTCGGGCTGTGGCATCTGTAAACTGGGGCCATCACAGGGCCATGGCATCTGTAAACTGTCATGGTCCTGATGGGAGTGTCTTTTAACATGCTAATGTATTATAATTAGCATATAATGAGCAGTGAGGACAACCGGAGATCACTCTCCTTGCCATCTTGGTTTTGTTGGGTTTTGGTGGGTTTGTAGTAATTACTGCAACCTGTTTTATCAGCAGTTAGTGTTTTATCAGTAATTACTGCAGCCTGTTTTATGTCTTTATGACCTGTATCTTGTGCCAACCTCCTATCACATCCTGTGACTAAGAATGCCTGTCTTCCTGGAATGTAGCCCAGTAGATCTCAGCCTCATTTTACCCAGTCCCTATTCAAGATGGAGTTGTTCTGGTTCAAACGCCTCTGACAGAGTCACATGATCAGTTCCACAGCTAATGGGTGCTGCTGTCCTTTAAGGATGGAGTCTGGATGTGGGCAGTTCACCTGAGCCCTTACGGTGAATGAAGAGGGGCCACCCAGAGCCTGCACTGCCCTGACAGGGACCGGCAGCCTCTTGTCCCCATGGGACTCTTAGAATGAGACTTAGGGCCTGAGTGAGCAAGGTCCCAGTGACTCCAGACCCAGTGTGCTGTGTGCCCGTGAACAGCAGGCCATTACTGTTTCTGCCATGCTCGTGGATGAGGACAGGGAGATAACAGAGATGAGGCACTCGCAGAGGTCAGGTGCTGTTTGCTTCACAGGCCCCCAGGCCTGCCCCTCCCTGCCCCGACTTGCCCTCAACTCCCCATTTCGTCCTCTGCTTGACAAAGCCCTGGGGTCTGGTTGCAGCTGCCCTTCCTCCCCAAGCCCTCTCCATTGTCTTCAAACTCCCCACTGACCTCAGGGTGGCTCCTAATGCTTCACAGAGAGTCCCTGGGACCTCCTGCCCCCATGTCATTGCTCGTGCTATTCCCTCAGATGAGGCTGGCCTTCCCACCCCATGTGGTTTTTGAAATCCCTTCCCTGAGCCCCTGTGATTTCTCCCTCCTGGCCAGAGCTTACCCCGCCCATCCCCACTTTTGATAGACCCAGCGTCTGTCCTGCAGCCTGTCCCGAGGCCATGCCACTGTGCAGGACCTGGCCTCCCTAATGGTGTCTGGTCCTGGCTCCCCTTAGGCACAGATGATTGTGCTATAGTCACATGGGTGTGGACAAACCTGAAGACAGCATTCTTGGCGGTCATGTGTTGGCCAAAAGCAAGGATTCTCCCCAAGGCGCCTGGCTGGTGGTGACCTCACACCCAGGCTCACCCAGTGTGTTAGATCCTGCTGGGCCTAGGCAGCTTCAGAGCAGTGGGTAGAGAGTGAGCCGGGAGCTTGTGTCAAGCACAGTGTTCGCCCATAGCCAGGGCAGCCCCTTGGGGGTTATCACCAAGGTGCTGCTTCCTCCTCAAAGCCCAGATGAGCCTAGTCTTATGGGCCAGGAGGGTAGGAACTTGGGCCTTCCACCTGTGTGTCCCTTTTGTTCCCCAGAGCAGCTGGAGAAGTTGTGGGCACGGGTGGGATGGAGGGCACATCTGGGATCCCCTTCCCAGACTGGATCCTGATGGTAGGTTGGGCAGAGAGCCCTCCTGTGGGTGGGCAGGGGATCATACCCTGCAGGGCACCAGCCTAGGAGGCCCACAGTGAGGCAGGGGAAGGAAGCTGCAAGGACAAGCCCACGGCTGGCGACCCCTTAATCAGATGGTGAACTCCAGTGCTCTTCTTAGTGCTTAATTGCACTCCTGGACCAGTGCTTCCTCCTGAGGAGACAAGATGGGGCAAACAGCCTGTGGGAGGGGGAGGAGGGAGTAACTCCAGCTGTCCTGGGTTGGGGGTGGGGGAGGTGGATTTTGTCTTCTCTCTTTTTTTTTTTTTTTTTTGAGACAGGGTCTAGCTCTATCACCCAGGCTGGAGTACAGTGGTGCGATCATGACTCACTGGAACCTCCGCTTCCCAGGTTCAAAGGATTCTTGTGCATCAGCCTCCCAAGTAGCTTGGGAATTACAGGTGCATGCCACCACACCTGGCTAATTTTTGTATTTTTAGTAGAGACGGGTTTTCACCATGTTGGCCAGGATGGTCTCGAACTCCTGGCCTCAAGTGATCTGCTTGCCTTGGCCTCCCACATTGCTGGGATTACAGGCATGAGCCACTGTGCCCAGCTGCCAACTATGCTAACTTCTAACAGCATAGATTAACTTCACTTATTCATGGAAGTTTATATATAAACAGAATCGCACAACATATACTCTTTTGTGTGTGGCTTTTTTCACTCAACATTGTTAGATTCATCTCTGTTATCTGTATAGCAGTAGTTTATTCATTTTTCATTTCTATATAGTATTATGTAAATAGTTACATAGTCACTGTTTATCTTTCTCCTGATGACAGATACTTGGGAACTCTGGTTTGAGCTTTTTTTTTTTTAAGACGGAGTCTTGCTCTGTTGCCCAGGCTGGAGTGCAGTGGCACGATCTCAGCTCACTGCAAGCTCCGCCTCCCGGGTTCACGCCATTCTCCTGCCTCAGCCTCCCCAGTAGCTGGGACTACGGGCGCCCGCCGCCACGCCTGGCTAATTTTTTGTATTTTTAGTAGAGACGGGGTTTCACTGTGTTAGCCAGGATGGTCTCGATCTCCTGACCTCGTGATCTGCCCGCCTCGGCCTCCCGAAGTGCTGGGATTACAAGCATGAGCCACCGCACCCAGCCTATCTTCTGAAAGTTTTATAGTTTTAGTTCTTATATTTAGGTATTTGATTCATTTTGAGTTAATTTTTGTGTATAATGTGAGGTAGGGGTTCAGCTTCATTATTTTGCATATATGTATCTACTTGCCCCAGCATCATTTGTTGAAAAACTTTTTTTTTTTTCCTCTGTCGTCCAGGTTGGAATACAGTGGCGTGATCTCGGTTCACTGCAACCTCTGCCTCCTGGGTTCAAACCATTCTCCTGCCTCAGCCTCCCAAGAAGCTGGGATTACAGGCACCCGCCACCACGCCCAGCTAATTTTTTTTTATTTTTAGTAGAGACGAGGTTTCACTATGTTGGCCAGGCTGGTCTCGAACTCCTGACCTCGTGATCTGCCCGCCTCGACCTTCCAAAGTGCTGGGATTACAAGCATGAGCCACCGTGCCTGGCCGAAAAACTATTCTTTGACATCAAATTATTTTTGTACCCTTGCCAAAAATCAATTGACCATATATATGAGGTTTTATTTCTGGACTCTATTCTATCCCGTTGGTCTCTGTATCTATCTTTACACTAGTACCACATTGTTTTGATCACTGTAGCTTTGTATTAAGTTTTGAAATTGTGAGTTCTCTCACGTTGTTATTCCCTTTCAATATTGTTTTAGCTCTTCTAGGCCCTTTGCAATTCCATATGAATTTGAAAATCACCTTTTCCATTTCTGCTAAAAAGGCTTTGGAATTTTGGTAGGGATTGCATTGAATTTCAAGTTAATTATCTTTTAAAGAGATTTAAATAAGAAAAATAAGTACTTTATATTTGCCTATTTAATTATCATTTCTTCCATGTAGATAAAGATTTCCATATGGTATTATTTTTCTTCTGCCTGAAGGATTTTATTTAGCATATCTTTAAATACCAATGCATATCTGCTGTTGATAAATTCTTTCAGCTTTTGTATCTCTAAAGTATTTCACCTCTATTTGTGAACAGTTTTCAGTGAGTATAGCATTCTAGTTAAGTTTTTTTGTTTTGTTGTTTAAAAGATGTTGTTCCACTATCTCCTGGCTTGTTAGAGAAATCAGCTGTCATTTATCTTTGCTCCTCTTGAGTCATGTATCCTTTTTCTTCTGGCTGATTTAAATATTTTTATTATATAATTGGTTTTAAACAATTTTATATTATGCCTTGGTGTAGTTTGCTTCATATTTCTTGTGCTTGGTGTTGACAAGCTGCTGATATCTGTGGGTTTATAATTTTCATCAAATTTGGAAAATTTTCAGCTATGATTTATTTCTTCAATTACTTTTTCTATTTTCCCCTTTTTCTCCTTTGGGTACTCCAATTACTCCTTACATAAGGCTTCTTGAAATTGTGTCATACTTCATACTTCACCAATGCTCTGTTTGAGTCTTGCTTTTGTCTTTTAGCCTTTTTTTCTCTGTGTTTCATTTTGGATAGTTTGCTGTGGTTTTTCAAGTTGACTGATCTTTTCTTCTGCATTGTTTTATCTGCTGTGAATCCCATCCACTGTACTTTTCGTCTCTAGAAGTTCTATCTGGATCTTTTTCTGTCTTCCTCATTTGTGCGCCTTTGCCTGCTCAGTGGTAAGTGACGGGATGCCAGCCAGTGGACCTCACCTGTTGGGAGATGGATGTTTTTGTATTCCTTCATGTGTTCTTGAGCTTTGTTCTGGGATGTAGTTAAGTGACTTGGAATCAGATTGATCCTTTCAGGTTTTGTCTTTATGCTTTGCTCTGTGGTATCAGAGCAGATTTAATCCAGACTAATTTTTTCAGGCCCTGGGAGTGCTCCCCAGCTGCCTGTGCATCAGGAGGGCTCTCCTCTGCTGTTGGGAGCAGGTACTGTTTTTGGCTGGTATAAATGGTGGGGATTGCTTTCTCTGCCCCCTCAGTGGTCCTTCAGTGACTTCTTCAGCTCTGTGCTCCCTGGTCCTCAGTGGAGATTCTGGCCCTGTGTGCAGGTCTGCCTAGCTTGGCTGCCCTGCTGCCATCTTCCGCCATCTTCCAGTCCCTCCTTGACAGGGTCTGCCACGCCTTGCCTCAGTCTCCCATTTTTCCATGGCTGGGAAGTTCTTTTGGTGGAGGGGGCTCCTGGAACTCCCCTCCTCCTGTCTCTCACTATCTAGTGCCCATGATGTGAAAACCACTGCTTATTATTTATTTATATTCTATCATTGCCTGGTTTTTTTCTTTTTCTTTTTTTTTTTTAAGTTTTCACACAGAAGGTAGTTCTAATTTCTGCAACAATCTCATCTTGGCTGTACGCGGAAGTCTGTATCTCAGTGTGTTTGAAAAGCTGCCCAGGAGTGTTTTGGGCCCCAGGCTGGGAGCTTAAGCAGAGGAAAAGATCCAGGGCTCAGGCCAGGAGGCTAGGACTTGAATGTCGTGTCATGGCATTTAGCTGTCATACCTGGAGGAAGCTTCTGAGGTGATGTCTGCATCCCCAGCTCCAGGCTCGTGGGTGTGTTCTGAGCAGCCATGTGTGCTGGACCCTTCATTTGGGTCCCTCCTGCTTGTCAGGAGGCCCAGATGGTCTGGCGCTGCCCATGCCGCCTGCAGCCGGCGGGCCCTTCACCCAATGAGGGACTTGGGGCCTGGCTGCCACTTGGGTGGGGAGCCTGCAGCTGGGGCCAATTCCATGTCCGGTTTCCCTTCTTGTGGCCCGGGGTGGCTGGCCAGGGTGGATGAGGTGCTGTGTAGACATTATGATTTGGACCTTCCTTGGGACTAGGATAAGGAAGAACAGAGCAGAAATCACAGAGCTGACCCGATTGCCTTGAAGAAAAGCGGACATCTTCCACGTAGTGGGTGTTGTGTTGATGGGTGGGGGCAGGTGAGCAAGACCCAGCCTCCTCAGGAGTGTGGGTGCCATAGACATCTGTGCATCCGCAGCAGGAGTGTCCATGTCAATCCCGAGTCCCCCCGTGCAGTCCCATTGCCAGCACCAGTCTTCCTGCTGGGCTGTGTTGTCCTGTTAGCCTTGTTTAGGGGTGTCCCCCGCAACACCACGAGACACACACACACAACACATACATCACAGCACATGTCACCACACCTGCCATAGCACATGTGTGCTCTTCCAGGCAGGATCCTGTGATCCTCACAGTGCTGTAAGATCAATCAGTCTGTCTTCCCCTTGAGTCCCCTGTTGGTCCCATGAGAGTCTATACTCAGACTAGACCCTGGTTTCTTTTACCAGTCTCCTGTTGGGACGAAATGAGTTACTCTTTGTTTTGATTTCTTGAAATTAGAAACTGTCCTGCTCAGTAACATCCTTATTCATGGTTTTTTACATTTTCCCTATTTTCTTGGACTGAATTCTTAGATTTAATATTAAATAGTAAATGAGTGAAAAATGCTCCTTTTTCTCTTTTAGGAAAACAAAGCCATCCGCTTTCAGTCACCTCTCTCTTGATCTTGTTTTCTGCCATGAGCCAGGATTAATGTAAAAAGATAAGGTCTTCTGCAAGAGCTCTGTGGTGGAGTGGCCAGTGAGACGGGCTGCTGGGGGTGACACACTGCGGCCCGTCTGCCCTCTACCCATGGAAGCCCTGTCCTGCCACGCCAGCTATGTGGGGGTAGTGGGCAGTGGGAGGGAAGGAGAGGGATGGCACCTGCTTGGAGGCTGGGCCACTCGCCTGGGGTGTACACGATGGGAGGCTGGCTGGCCTGGATTTTGGGGCATGGACATGACACAGCTGTCGACTCTCAGGTGCGTGGGCAGGTGGGCGTCCTGGGCTAGGTGAGCACCCCTTTCTGGTTGATCTCACCCATAAGGTCTCCTCCCTGAGCCCCAAGGCCCTGCACTTCTTTGCCACGTGCAGCCCCCGCGCCCCTTGTTCCTCACCCCTCTGGAACATGCTGGTATCTTGGCTTCTGAGCCAGGAACTGGGCAGAGTGGGTGGTACACTGTGCTGGCCTCTGTCTAGTTCTTACCATCACTGCCATCCTCGGGCCTGGGGCTCTGACTGCTCAGCCCAGGTCTCTCCCAGAAGGAGTGAAGGATGAGCCAGCATCAGGCAGCAGGATGGACAGACTCCCTCTGCCTTTCATATGTGGTGGCCGGCGTGCCATCTGGAGTGGGGAGAAGGTGGGGGCTGTGTGGGAGCTCCCTCTGCCGGCCCCCAGCTGCTGTCACACATGCCCACTGTAGCTCCCTGACTCCAGCACTTGTCTTGCCAGTGCAGACACTGTTCCTCAGAGACCAGGCTTTCTCTTATTTTGGTGAAGCAGATGAACCTTGGGTGCAGCTTGTTGCATTTGCATATGTGCACACCACAGTGCACGCCACAGATGCACCTCCCAGGTCAGGGGGCCTCCCTTCAGGCCCACAGTCCCCGTTGTTGTTGCTGTTGTTCTGCAGCATGAATGTCGCCTGTGAGCTGGGTCTCTATCCTTCGGCGCCCCTGGGAGGCCCACCTCACGAGTGTCTTGTCTTCTGATGCAGGCCTTTGGACAAGCACACACAAACCACAAGAAGGTGGCTGCTGACGGAGAGAGCCGGGAGGAGAGCCTGATCCAGGAGTCGGCCTCCAAGGAGCAGTACTACGTGCGGAAGGTGCTAGAGCTGCAGACGGAGCTGAAGCAGTTGCGCAATGTCCTCACCAACACGCAGTCGGAGAATGAGCGCCTGGCCTCTGTGGCCCAGGAGCTGAAGGAGGTGAGGGGGTGAGGAGGGGCCTAGTCTGTGGCTGCAGCAGTGCCACCAGTGTCACATAGCAGGTGTGCCTGGTGGGTGGCTGGGCTGGGCTGGCCTCTGGGGACGCTGCAGCTGGCTGGTCTGTCTTGCTTTCCTGGTCTCATCCTCCACTGCACTCCACTGCCACTGTCCTCCACGTGGCAGAAGGGAGAGAGATGGACCCACAAGTTCCACTGCCTCTGGCTTGCTTCTGTCTCACTCATGAAGCGAGTCCCATGAGCAAGTCCAGAGCAGAGGAGTGGTCAGTCAGGGAGGGGTGCAGTTAGCCCCTTGTGGAGGCTAAGGGCTGATGCCCATGGGGCACTCCTCGTCATTGGACTCCCCCCTGCCCTGGGAATGTTTTGTGTCACTCAGGGCCTGCACTGTGCCCAGCTGTAATAAGAACACAAACCCCAAATATTCCATGGAGACTCGAGGTAGGGTGTGCGTGTCTGAGAATTAGGGGTGGAGACCACCGCCAGTAGCCCCAGCTGCCACACCCCTGCCTTGTTCACAGCAGAGTGCCCGCAGGGAGGGTCTGGGTGGGTGGTCCCTGGCACCAGAGCCTGTTGGAGTCCTGGGTACCCATGGACAGCCATTGGTACATGGCACAGGCTCTACATCTGGAAATGGGACTGTGGTGTCCGTCCATGAATCCGTCCAAGTCCGTGCATGACTTGTGAACATGAAGTCAGAGGAACCAGCTTGGCTCTTGGGCCCTGATAGGGGCAAAGGCCACAGGACCAGCTGCTCATGGCCCTGACACTAAGGCCCTGGAGTTGTGGAGGACTGGGGAGCCCAGGGGAACGATGTGGCCAAAGCAGGATTTGGGAAGGTTGCTGTGGTGCCTGGAACCTGTGTAGTTTGAGCCCAGCAGGAGGAGGAGAGCCAGGAGTCTCCATCCACTGGGGCAGGTGGGAGGAGAGTCTCGCTGGCTTGAACAGGAGGCTCAGGGAAGGTTGAGTGAGCACCTGAGTGTCTTTTCTCACTGACTGGCACATATTTTAATTGAGCCCTGCCAGGGCCTCGGTGTCTGTGGAACCTGAGGAAACAGTGTGAGCAAAGCCTCATTCTCCTAGAAGGCATGTGGCAGATATCAGGGGAGAGCAGTACCCCGTGCCTGTCCCTGGGGCAGGGGCATGTTCACTGTGGTGCTGAGCCAAGGGCAGGAGGAGTGTCAGGAGAGTCCTGCAGGCCTGGGTGGGGCCCTGAAGGAGGCAGGGTCCAGCTTGGGTTTGGTGGCTACACGGGGAGTGGGCTGTGGGGACAAAAGTGAGGCTGAGACGACTGTCTTGGGGGCAAGAGGGGCCAGTGCCTTCTGAGGAAGGATGAGGCCCCATCACCAAGATGGAGGTGGGATGGTCCCTGGGGACTGCAAGTGGAGCTGGAAGTTGGCACGTGAGCTGCAGTCCTCCTGGCCGTGGCCTTTGAGGGTCAGCCCCAGGTTCTCATTGGGAATGGCTGGAGGAGTGGAGCATGGGTCGGTTGAGAATGGGCTGATACTGGCTTTGCCTTTCACTGAGCCTTGGGGCCTGGGCAAGGCCTTATCTTTAGTCCTGGCCTCAGTTTCCCCATCTGTAAACCGGCAGTCTCTGAAGCCCGTTGTAGAGGATGCCCCACAGGTCTTTCACCCCACATTGTGGGAGCACTTATGGACCCTTGTTCCTGACACAGGAGCACCACCCTCTGCAGCAGATAATCTTACGGGAGGTCAGCAGGGCATAGGCCCTGAGGGTATGCAGTGATTAGGGCTGCTGCTGTTGGCTTAGCATTCCAGTACTGAAGGATGCTGCCCTCGGGGTCAGCAGCGGAGTGAGGGGTCAGAGATCGCTGAGGCCCTAGGGGCCCAGGGAGGAGCTTGGCTTAGACTCAGGGTGGGGAGTCTCAGATCCTGAAGCGGCAGTACATGATCTCATTTCCTCTCACAAGGAGCCCTCTGGTCGGTGGGAGGAGGGGCTGTGTGTATGGAGAGATGTATCCTTGGCTGCCCCAGCTGCCATCTGTCTGGCCCGTCTATTCCTGAAAAGCGTGTGCAGGTGCTGTCTCCCCAGCCCAGCACATTCTGCCCCTTCTCTCTTCCAAGAGGCCTATCTCTGGTGGCAGAGGCCAAAGAGGGCTGGGTGACCCTGCTGGCTTCAGGTAAGACTGGAAATGAGCACAGCAAGTTAAAGATGCTGCAGGTCTTGTGGGGAAGAGAGGATTTCTGTGGTTCCTGTTTGTGCTTCAGGAGGAAATCCTGAGACTCCCTGCACACCCCTCAGCCTTCCCTGTCTCTCCTGAGGGTCCCCACCTTGGTCCCTGGGTCTGCTGTGTCCCCCATGACTGTGTCCCTGCCCTGGGTTGCTGCAGAGCTGTGGGAACCATCCCAGGTCTTCGCCTTGGGTACCTGGTTCGGGTGGAGCATCTCTAGGACTGACCTTGTCTCACCACCACCAGTCCCAGTCATGCATAGCTCTTGTCTTCTGCTGCCTGCTGTTCTGCTGGTCTGAGCCACTGTGCCAAGCTTCTCTGTGCCCACCCCCAGCGTGGCTTTCCCCAGTCACTGCCCAAGGCTCACACCCCATGGGTCAGAAAGGGTACATTTGACGATAAAACAGCCTTCATTGTATCCTTTGACCCACCACCCTGCTACCCACAACAGCCCCTCCCCTTTTTTCCTCCCTTGGGTCAACTGGTTGTCTGTCCCCCTCCACACCCCAACACACCATGAGGACCTGTGAAGCTTTACAGTAACAAACATATTTGGCATGTGTTGGACAGTTCTGATTGCCTCAGACCTGGTCCTTCTGGTGACCCTACTGGTATCTCGTCAGATGTGAAGAAACAGAGGTTTGCAAGGTTCCATCATGTGCCTAAGGTGTCCTGGCTGGTAGGGGGTGAGGTGCTTCTCAGATCCTGACTCTAACCGCTGTGTATGTGTGGGCCCTACATGTGGGCAGCCCCTCCAGCTTCTCTCCTGCTAGTGAGAGCATCTTTCCTGCCTGGGCCCCTGGGAGGTGGGTAAGCTTCTGAGGACTGGCCTGGATTGGGCCTTGGTGGGGATGTGGCTCCATTTCCCAGATGGGGAATCAGAGGCCCAGAGAGCCACAGGAGGCCTGGGGTCAGAGCTGGGTCTCATACACACACCAAGATCTTTCTTCATATTTGCCCCAAGAAGGAGTAGGGTGAAGGGGCTGGCCTAGGCCATCAAGGCAGAGATGAGAGTTTCCTGGTGTTGAGGTTGTCTGGTGGGGACAGGAGAGAGGGCAGCCGACCCCCTGCACAGTGGCTCCTTGAAACAGGCAATTGTCACACCCTGCTTGCTGATGAGCAGTCTGAGGTGTGGGGATCCCACAAAGGGGAGTTGAGATGGGACCCTGGTGGTCAGCTACAGGCCTGTGCTCCCACCTCCTTCATTTGGGCTGCCCAGTCACACGCAGCAGAGCTTGTCCCCTGTACTTCTTTGGGCTGACATCAGACAGGCTCACTGGGAGAAGGTGCTTACTTGAGGGAAAACTAAACCCCATGGCGACCAGTCAGCCTGTTTGAGCCCTTGGCAATTGGCCGTGTGCTGGATGGAGGTGCTAGGTGGCAGGCCACATGAGCCTGGCTGCCTACGCCCAGTAGTGTGGGCATGGAAGCACAGTGTTTGCGTCCTACTACAGCATCAGCAGAGATGGTGCCATCATCACCCATGACATGGTATGGCCAGGCCAGCATTTGACCTGGGTGTGCCTCTGTGTTCTGGGTTTGGCAGTGGTGCAAGGACAGAACTCCTAGTACACCTTGCCTGGGCCAGGTGATGAAGGACCCTGAGGACTCACATGAGCACTGCCAAGGGAACAGCAGTCTCGTGTGTGCCTCTGGGGGACCCTAATGGTATGAGGCATCTGGCCAGGCTCTCTGCTTCAGTCTTTAGTTGGGCATGTCACTATCTCCCTGCCCAGGCACATGGAAGCTTCTGGGCTCTCACTTCCCACTGCCTGGAGCACCTTCTAGGTTTGTTGATCTTGACTGGCAGGCCTGGGAGAGTTGGTGGGACTCAGACCTTCCCCTCAGCTTCCACTCCGCCTGAGGAGCCGGCTGGGTGGCCGCGTTGAATCAAGTGGCACATGTTTGCACACCTGCTGCAGACCACTTGCTTGCCAGTTAGCAAGGAAAAAGCAGGAACTGGGCAAACCTTTCTGGCAGAGAGGTACCCAAGTCTCCAGCTGGGGTGTGGAGAGCCTGGGTGTGACTTGGCTTGTGCAGCTCCCCTAAGCACACTCCTGGGGGGTGCTGCACTCTCACTAGCAGGAGAGAGGCTGGAGAGCCTGCCCACTCCCTATCCACCCCCCGTGTAGCCACTGTGGGGCCCGGCCCTGGTGATGGCTGTGCTGGTGCTGCTTTCTCCCGCTTCGTCCCAGCATGCACCTCGCTCACTTTCTCCTCTGGTACAAGGCTTTGCCAGGCCTTCTCTTCCTCCCTGTGTGGTATCTCTGTTTCTTTTGGTGTCAGCTTTCTGTCACTTCCTTGGGTCACTTATAATGAGAGGGCCATGTCTGCGTCCATTTGCTGTAGGTTTTAAATGTAATCTTCATTGTAAATAGTAAGCATTTGTCAGTAGTACTTGCTGTATATTGTTGACTCTCCTCCCCTCTCTGTTGCATTCCTTTTTTCCTTTGTTTTGGGAGGGATGTCCTATTTCATTTTGCCAGTATGATCGTTTTGTGTGTACTTGCATGGGATCTTGGAATCTTGTCTATAAAGTATGTTCCATTCAGATGAGTGCACACATGTGACCAGGAGAAACCATAGCATAAGCCAAGAGAACAGTGTGAGAGGTGGGCGAAGCTATGGGGCCCGCAAGATGGACAGGGCTTCTGGCCGAGAGTCCAAGAGGGCTTTGGAGCAGGGGTGGTGATGGTCTGGGGAGCCAGGCCTTTGCAGATACACAGGGAGGCAGCTGGGTCAGCAGAGTACAGGGAGGGGATAGAGAGTTTGTCAAGGGGATGATTTTGCCCCTGGGGGACATTGGCAACGTCTGGAGAGATTTTTCAGTTGTCACAATGGAGGAGGCAGCCGTGTCTGGTGGCCAGAGGTCAGGGAGCTGCTAGACATATGATGTACAGGCCGGCTCCCACCACAAAGAAGAAACGTCCCTGAATGTTGCTAGGGCTGCGGCTGAGGGGCCCAGGTCCCTGGCACATGGCAGCAAGTTGGAAATTCTGTCTTGATTGCATCCTGTTTGCCCCAACCCTGCACTAGCCTCTCCCATGACATCTCTTGGCTCCTTATGGGCAACTTAGAGCCTGAACTAATTTTTAACAGCTTTATTCAGGTGATTTACATCTCATATAGTTCACCCACATAAGGTGTACAACTCAGTGTATTTTATGATAGTCACATATATGTGCCCCATTCCACAATCTTAGAACAGTTCATTGCTCCAAAAAGAAAACCCATTTCAGTCACTCCCCATCCCCCTCCCCAGCTCCTGGCAGCCACTAACCTACTTTGTGTCTCTATGAATTTGCCTATTCTGGATATTTCATGGAAATGGAATCATATAATGCATGGCCTCTCGTGACAGGCCTTCTTTCACTCAGCAGAATGTGTTCACGGGTCATTCATGTTGTAGCATGTGTCAGTACGTCATTCCTTATTGTGGCTGAACAACATTCCATTGTGTGGAGAGACCACATTTTGTTTATTCATTCATCAGTCAATGGGCACTTGGGCTGCTTCCACCTTTTGGCAAAATGAACGCTGCTGCTGTGAACATGTGTGGACCGGTTTCTGTGTGGGCATGTGTACATTTCTCTGGGGTAGACCCTCTGTGTTTAACAGTTGCAGCACCTGCAGGCTGTTTGCCAGAGCACTATACCATTTATATGCCCACCTGCGCACTACTGTGTACATGCCCAATAATAGAAGGCAGGAACTACTTTTAACCCCATTTTAATTTAAAGATGAAGAAACCAAGGGTCGGAGCAGGCAGTCACGGGTTCCCAGGTGAGAAGGGCTGAGGGAATTTACTCTGGAACCTCTGCAGTCCGCTGTGCACTCTGGCATACTGCTCTGGGCTCCCTCTCCTCTCCAGGCAGTCACACTGGCACCTGCAGGCCAGGGCTCTTGAGTTCTGGCTGTATGGCTGGCCATGGCGTGCCTGGCTGCACTGAGCCCCTCTCGTGCCCTGTGGAGGCTGCTCATACCTGCCTTTCCCTCTCCCCCAACAGATCAACCAGAATGTGGAGATCCAGCGTGGCCGCCTGCGGGATGACATCAAGGAGTACAAATTCCGGGAAGCTCGTCTGCTGCAGGACTACTCGGAACTGGAGGAGGAGAACATCAGCCTGCAGAAGCAAGTGTCTGTGCTCAGACAGAACCAGGTGAGTCTTGGGCCTGTGGGGTGGAGGTGGCACGTGGGTTAACTGGGCCTTGAGGACCTCTTGCTCAGCCCCTCTCCCTGTTGGGAAGGGGTTCCTGTCTTATTCCACACACCCGAGGCCCAGGGCCAGCTTTACCACTGTGGAGGCAGGGGTATACTTGGTGGGACCCAGACTCTCCAAAAGATGAAACTCTGGCTGCAGTGTTTGCTGACATTGGCCAGGCTGAGGTGTCCCAGCCAACAAAAATGAAAACAAAAATCTGAGAGGTAATGAAGAGGTTACACCAGAAAACCCCAGATTGGACTTTGAGACTCCCCCATCAGGTGCTGACCATGAGGCCTGCAATATTCCTGTGTCTCTGCCTGTGACAGGGACAAGGAAGGTCCTCTCTGTCTGTGACGGGGATGAACAGGAACCCCTCTGTCTCTAATGGGGTCTCAGAGGGACCCCTGACAGGGACGAGTAGGGTCTCTGCCTGTGACAGAGATGAATAAGGAGGGTCCCTTCTCTTTGTGATGTGACTAAATTGTCATGTGCTCTGCTGTTCTGCCACTCAAGGCCTGAACTTGCTCTTCTCTCTGCAAGAGCCACACTCCTGCATGGTGGGGAATGGGAGTCTTTTCTCTCCCAAAACTTTCCCCAGAATGCCATGGATGTCTTCCTTGCTTTCCTCAAATCCTCTACCACCAAAATCCTCTGAGTCTCACCATCAGGGAATGTGGTATTTATGCCCGGAGGAGGAAGCTCATGTGTTTATGCAGAGCTCCTAGCCTGGTCCTTCTGTGACAGCTCGAGCTCATTAACAGTCTTAGCCACTGTCTACATTGTAAGTACCATTTGGTCATTGGTGCTGCTGTTGGCAGAGCCCAGCGCATGGTGGCCTTAGGAGAAGGGAAACTGAGGCTTGAGGCGACCCTGTCCTCAGGTTGGCGCTTAGTGGAGTCTGACTCTCTCTCCCTCTCTGGGATTCCTCACCTCCGCATTTGTGGTGCTGGGACTGAGGGCTCCATGCCCACCTCCTGTGAGCACACCTTGGATGTGGTAATGGGTGTCCCTTCCGACCCAAGACCCACAGAGATGTGCTCAGCACTTCCTGTTACTGGTTTGTTTCTTATTTTTTTCTCCAAATATTACAGAAAAATAAGAAATAGTTTTAGCAATTGCCCACAAATTCTGAGCCTCCACATCAGGCATCAGTTTCTATCTGCTTTTTCCTTGCCCACCTGCAGATACAATTTTCATGTAGACAAGACTTTGATGTTGCTTTTCCCACCTACCTTCGAGCTCCTCCAGGTCTGGGTGTCATGTGCATGTGGAGGTTTAGTGGTTGAGATGTTCTGCCTTGCGGGGAGTTTCTGTTCCTTCATTTTGAACTATGATTAGAAGTCATGATCATAGCACACATTGAAATATATTTTTATGTATCTTAAGATATTTAGTTAACTGTTAATGTTAATTAAATAACTTTATAGAATTTTTAATCAGCATGCACTTGGTAATATTTGTGAATGACTTAATACAAGGTTGGCAGCCTTCTATGGATGGATGTGTGTTGTTCTTGGTGCATCTCCACACGTACAGTCCTGGCTTGGGGCCACCTCAGACATTTGTGCTCCCCTTGCTGTGTCTGCTGGTCCCAGCGGTGGGTGGGCTGGGCTGAGCATTTCATTGCATTCGCATCTCATGCCCTGGAACCTTCTTAGCATCCACATCTCTGAGCAGAGGAAGCAGTCTTGGCCTGGACGGGCTGCCACCCTTCCCAGGATGGCACCTCACCTGGCGCTTCATCTTTTGCTTCATAGTGGCCGGAGTTGGTGTGCTGGTGTGTTTTCTTCATTTATGGGGCCTGAAAGGAGCTTCCACATTGCATTGATGCAAGAGCGTTGACTTCTCTTCCCAGGTGGAGTTTGAGGGCCTCAAGCATGAGATCAAGCGTCTGGAGGAGGAGACCGAGTACCTCAACAGCCAGCTGGAGGATGCCATCCGCCTCAAGGAGATCTCAGAGCGGCAGCTGGAGGAGGCGCTGGAGACCCTGAAGACGGAGCGCGAACAGAAGAACAGCCTGCGCAAGGAGCTGTCACACTACATGAGCATCAATGACTCCTTCTACACCAGCCACCTGCATGTCTCGCTGGATGGCCTCAAGTTCAGTGACGATGCTGCCGAGCCCAACAACGATGCCGAGGCCCTGGTCAATGGCTTTGAGCACGGCGGCCTGGCCAAGCTGCCACTGGACAACAAGACCTCCACGCCCAAGAAGGAGGGCCTCGCACCGCCCTCCCCCAGCCTCGTCTCCGACCTACTCAGTGAGCTCAACATCTCTGAGATCCAGAAGCTGAAGCAGCAGCTGATGCAGGTGAGCAGGCAGTGGGGCCTTCGGCACGCTGTCCCCACTCCAGGTCTGCAGGGCTCCCCGAGCAGTGCTTACCTGACACTCTGCTGATGTTAACTTTCCCTTTTCCTTACGTTGATTTTATCTCCTGCATCATTACGGTAAATGGAACTCCAGGAGCACACATAGAGGAGTCTCAGAGAAGTGGTTTCCTGGCACTGCAGCACCCACATTGCTCCCCTGTTAACTACGTGGTGTCAGGGTGAAGTGATGAGACACTGGCCCACATGTGATCCCTGCACGCAGGCCAGGTGTCAGGGGCCCACCATGGTCATGCTTGGGCTCATCCCCTGGGACATGGATCCCTGTTGATCCAAGGCAACAGAGTCCTGTCCTCCGAAGCAGAGGGCTAGGGTGCTAATATTCCCGACTACACACCCAGCCAGCCTAGAGCTCCACTTTCTTAGCCCAGATCCCCTGTAGCATGGTTGGGGAAAGAGCCTGCGTTGAGGGTGACCACCATTACTGGTGACGGTTAGTGTTCTGAGGGCCCAGCATGAATTCCATTCTTTCCACACCCTGTGTGTCTTTGTCCACCTCACTGACAGCATGGCCAAGGAACCTGGGGCTGACAGCCTGCCCTGACATGGGGTGGGATGTCACTAGGCCATCTTGGGGGTCCTCCAAGCTCTCGGGGTCCATAGCAACTGACATGGTGTCCTGCTGCCTGTGCCTTTGCAGATGGAGCGGGAAAAGGCGGGCCTGCTGGCAACGCTGCAGGACACACAGAAGCAGCTGGAGCACACGCGGGGCTCCCTGTCAGAACAGCAGGAGAAGGTGACCCGCCTCACAGAGAATCTGAGTGCCCTGCGGCGCCTGCAGGCCAGCAAGGAGCGGCAGACAGCCCTGGACAACGAGAAGGACCGTGACAGCCATGAGGATGGGGACTACTACGAGGTGGACATCAACGGGCCTGAGATCTTGGCCTGCAAGTACCATGTGGCTGTGGCTGAGGCTGGCGAGCTCCGCGAGCAGCTCAAGGCACTGCGCAGCACGCACGAGGCTCGTGAGGCCCAGCACGCCGAGGAGAAGGGCCGCTATGAGGCTGAGGGCCAGGCACTCACGGAGAAGGTCTCCCTGCTAGAGAAGGCCAGCCGCCAGGACCGCGAGCTGCTGGCCCGGCTGGAGAAGGAGCTAAAGAAGGTGAGCGACGTCGCCGGCGAGACACAGGGCAGCCTGAGTGTGGCCCAGGATGAGCTGGTGACCTTCAGTGAGGAGCTGGCCAATCTCTACCACCACGTGTGCATGTGCAACAATGAGACACCCAACCGTGTCATGCTGGACTACTACCGCGAGGGCCAGGGCGGGGCCGGCCGCACCAGTCCCGGGGGCCGCACCAGCCCCGAGGCGCGTGGCCGGCGCTCACCCATCCTCCTACCCAAGGGGCTGCTGGCTCCTGAGGCGGGCCGAGCAGATGGTGGGACGGGGGACAGCAGCCCCTCGCCTGGCTCCTCACTGCCATCACCCCTGAGTGACCCACGCCGGGAGCCCATGAACATCTACAACCTGATCGCTATCATCCGTGACCAGATCAAGCACCTGCAGGCAGCCGTGGACCGCACCACGGAGCTGTCACGCCAGCGCATTGCCTCTCAGGAGCTGGGCCCCGCCGTGGACAAGGACAAGGAAGCGCTTATGGAGGAGATCCTCAAGCTGAAGTCGCTGCTCAGCACCAAGCGGGAGCAGATCACCACGCTGCGCACTGTGCTCAAGGCCAACAAGCAGGTGAGGTGCCAGGCAGCAGGGGCACATGTCACCTACTACTGGCCTAAGGGTGTTTCCCCCTTGGCCTCCTTCCTCCCCCTGCCACGGGGCCCCCCCAGGCCTGCGTCACCACCAGACAGAGCCAGCCCCATAGTAGCTCGACTGCCTACCCTCCCCTGCTCAGGGCCCCCAGCTGGGAGGGTGGAGCAGGCAGGTGGGTGTGAGGGCCCCTCAGCAGAGCTGCTCAGCCAGTGAGAAATGCCGCTGCCCTTGACTCACTGTGACTGCCTCGTAGTGCTTCCTGATACTGGAGGGAAAACATGTGAGAGCCATAGTCTGAGCTGTGGAGAGCAATTGTGGGGCTTCGTGGAGGTCCTGTTGGCAGGTTTAGGGGCAGTCCCTCCTCTGCCAGTCAGAATCAGCAGGTGGGACTCCCCATGGCGTAGCTGCTGGAGTCCATCCCCAGGGTTTGTCACAGGGAGGGGCCTCCCAGGAGCTTTCTTCCCAGGCACTGCCACCACTTCAGACCGGGGCTCCCGATCCTGCTCCCAGAGCACCTCTAGGCTGACTTCACGCCTTTCACTTTTCCACCCTACACATCTGTCCCCCAGACGGCCGAGGTGGCCCTTGCCAACCTGAAGAGCAAGTATGAGAATGAGAAGGCCATGGTTACCGAGACCATGATGAAGCTGCGCAATGAGCTCAAGGCCCTCAAGGAGGACGCAGCCACCTTCTCCTCGCTGCGTGCTATGTTTGCCACCAGGTAACCGTGCTGCTGTCGGGCCCTCCCCTTCCACAAGGCCAGCTGTCCTCAGCACTTGCCTCTGGAACCCTTAGCCTCTCACTGCCTCATGCTGAGGCCTGCAGCCCTGACTAGTCAGTGGCTGTGCCCAGCTCCATCAGGGCCAGCATGGTACGAGGTTGGGGAAGCATGGCCCCTGGCACATCTCTGGCACACTGGTGCTCAAGTTGGTGACAAGAAAGGGTGAGGCGATATGGGGGCCACATGGGGTTGGGGGCCCCTAGCTGCTGCACCTCAGCTTCCTCCGAGGTCACGCAAGCAGTTGCTGGAGCATAGGGCATGCCTGGCAGGTGCCCACATGTGGCCGGGGATAGCAGAGCGTGTGTGATCCTTTTAATGTTCCTTTTGCACCTAGCCCAGCCCCCAGGAGCCTGGTTCTGTGGCGCCGGTTCCATTTTGCTGTGAATGAAACCGCAGCAGGCCCAGGCTTGTCTCTGCTTTGCATATATGGAGACTGAGGGCAGAAGGGCTGAGGAGAGCAGATCCTGGAGTGGATGGGCCAGAGTTGCATAGCTTCAGGGGATGCTTGGGCTCCCACCCCTTGAATCCAACATTTACAGGGACTTAACTTGGGGCCAACAGGTGACAGAGGAGTCCTGGCCTTTCCTCTCATGAGGTATTTGCCCCCAAGAACTTGGCCATATGGCACAAGTGTGTATTTATGTTTGTAGATTCAGAAGGAAGATTATCCTCCTGGCTGGAGCAGGTCACTGCTGGGGTCCACAGTTCGGGTCCCACCTCTGTGCATAGCCCTGTACCTCTGCGTCATTGTGACCGCTGGGTACTCACCTCCCATCCTCTACTTTGCCAATCTGGGGAGGGTGAGGAGAGGGCCGGGGCTTGGAGGAGACCAGCTTTCTTTCTTCCTCTGTGGAGGGCTCTTAGTAATGGGCTCTGAGGTGGGCTGCCCCTGGTGGGTGCACACCCCTCCCTGGCTGGGACTCAGACCCCAAGGCTGGGAATCGAGGCTCCCTAAGTGTTCACAGGCCTCTGTGGGGCAGGTCCTGGTTTCAGCATCTTCCCAGGTGCCCCCTGACAGGTACCGCTGTCTTTCACTTTCCAAAGATGGGTAGCGCCACCTGCTGGGTCATGTTGGGATAGCACCATGGGGTCAGCCCTGCATGGGGGACAGCCAGGCCCACCATGGGCCCAGCAGATAACCTAGATGTTTCCTTTTTATGGGTGAGCAAGCTGAGGATCTGAGCTGGACAGGGTGGGAACTGCATGCACATAGGGCCTGCTTCTCTCAAGCCTGGTGCCGTGCACTCCCAGTTTCTCAGTATCCCTGCAGGACGTGCCAGAGCAGGGTACAGACAAGGAAGAGTCCCAGGATTTCTCTGGAAGCGTCCTGTCTTCCTGGGGCTTGGGGAAAAAATCCCACAGTTTCTCAGTATCTGGCATGTAAACCCTACCTTTTAAAATTTGTTTTATTTAAAAACTTTTCAGATGGAGCCAAGATTTTGAATCTGCAGGGATCACAGCTCTGTGTGCCCTCAAAAGGGTGGGCAGCAGAGTCCTTGGAGAGGGTGCTATCCAAGGGCCGGCTCCTGGCAGGTGGGGACAGGCAGAGTAGGGTGCGTGTGGGCAGGGTGGGGCTGTGCTCAGTGCCTGCACAGCCTCACCGCCCTGGGAGCCCTGGGATTTAACCCGCCCTTTGTCTCTACCAAGCCCCACCCATATGGGACATGTGGAAGAAGGGCATCCAGGGACAGACCACACCCTCCCACAGCTCCGCACCCGGGTTTCAGGATGAAGCTGTTGATGGCGTCCACACACGTGGTTCCTTGGCTCTGGTCAGTGCTCAGCACAGACTGACGAAGCATCGACCTTGGGAACAAGCCCAGTCCTGCTTAGATTTACATCCACACCCTAGAAGCCATGGCTTCTCCATGTCTTGATGCCCCAGGCCACCTCGAGGCCTTTAAGCGGGGAGAGCGCCTCCTAGAAGAAGCCCAGTCGCTGAGGGGCATAGCCTGTTTGTAAGCACTACATGCAGCTGAAAGAGCAAAGCAGCCCCTCCCCCACAAAACCACAAAACTCAAGCCAGCCTCATAGGGCTGCCCTGCCTGGGCCCAAGCCTCCCTCTCACCCTTATCAGGGATTTGTCCAAGCAAAGCCTGTGCTAAAATAAGCCAGAATAATTCTTCCCCAGCCACACCCTCCAGTCCAGAGGCCACATTGAAGGATGGCTCTGGTATAGGGCTGTCAGAGGGCCGTGCAGCTTAGCCCTGCCCTGCCCTGCCCTCCTCTGCTCGGCTCTGCCCGCCCCTCAGTCATGTTTTTGGTACCCACAGGTGTGACGAGTACATTACACAGCTGGATGAGATGCAGCGGCAGCTGGCGGCTGCTGAGGACGAGAAGAAGACGCTGAACTCGCTGCTGCGCATGGCCATCCAGCAGAAGCTGGCGCTGACCCAGCGGCTGGAGCTGCTCGAGCTGGACCATGAGCAGACCCGGCGTGGCCGTGCCAAAGCCGCCCCGAAGACCAAGCCAGCCACACCGAGCGTAAGTCACACCTGTGCCTGTGCCAGCGACAGGGCCGAGGGCACCGGGCTGGCCAACCAGGTGTTCTGCAGCGAGAAGCACAGCATTTACTGTGATTAGGGGCTGTGGGGCGCCGCACGCTGCAGCTAACATCTGCTTCACCTCAACTAACCCAGCAGCAGCGGGACGGCGGTGCTAGGTCAATCTTAACGTGACTAATGCACAGAGGGTAGGAGTCTAGCCGAGGCGCCATGGGGCGTTGCATCAGCAGGACACTTGTGAGAGCTTTGTGTCGCTTCTCACTCCTCAAAGCCCCCTCAGGAGCACCCAGTCCTCAGCTGCTCTCTTAGGTGGGGGTCAGAGGTGGGGATAGAGCTGCACATTCTTGCAGCAGATGTGTGATGAAAGCATCTTCTAAGCCCTGCGCACCCGTGGGGAAACCCAAGGGAGGAGTCCTGGTCCTGCTCCCTCAGCACCCAAAAGGGGCAGAACCTGAGTTGAGACTTGCATGTTCCTCGCATGTGTCTAATGTCAGCACTAGAAAGCAGTTTTAGGAGGTTCCAGCCTGCAGCATAGGTACGACCTCAGAGGATGGCTTTGCACTTGGCATAGTTTCATGGAAAGGAGTACGTTGTAGTTTATGCAGTATCTGACTGCAAATCATATTCAGGAAAGAAGTGCAGAATTTCTTCCCCAAGCCCAGAGAAGAGCAGCCCTGAGCCCCTGTATTCTGCTGGCCAGACACACATGGCACAGACACAGCTGACCATAACCCAGGAATCCAGAGCTCGGTTTCTCATTTCTGAGATCAGGATGCTTGTATAGTGGCCTGTGAGGTGACAGATTGGCAGGGCCCAAGGCCCCAGGTTTTCATTTTTCATGAGAAAAGCTTTCCAAGTGCCTGGCCAGACCTTGGTCCTTAGTGCAGAGCCCGTCCTTTTGTACTTGGGGTGACCCCAGCAGCCAATTATCCGGCCTTCCATAGGGGGTTCAGTCCCAAAGACATGGGGCTTTGAAAACCCTAGCCTGAAGTCTGAGCCACCAAGGGCTTGGCTGGGTTGGACACCCACAGGTGTATCCAGAGCCCAGCCCGGTGCTGGGAAAGCTTTGCATAGGGCCAGGGCCACTTGTCAGGATTCACAGGTAGGAGATGTTTAGGTCTCTTTATTTAGTGCAATCTGGGGGATGGCAACAGAGAAAGAGGAAAGGTAGCTGTAGGGTTCTCCCATTTCCAGAGGCTCCATCCACACCTGCCTTCCCACATTCTGAGCAGAACTTTTCTCAGTACTTTTTTCCCGATCACCCTGTGGGACCAGCTGGACCTGAGGCTGCAGTCTTCTCTCCTGCAGGCTGCTTGCCTTGTCTCTCATGCGGAAGAGGCATTCGAGTTACCTGGTGAGAGACCGTGTTGCCCCCTCCCACAGCTCTCTGCCCTGCGCGTTCTTCCCTTTGGTGCCGAGTATGTTTCGGTCCCCTCCAGACTCCAGGACACGCCCATGTATGTCCCCTGCGTGTTCATCCTGGGCCCAGATCCCCCTGCCCCAGCAAGACTCGCAGTGGGATGGCTGCTGGCATGCCCACCCTGCATGCGCTTTGCCCTCTCCTTGCAAGCCTGGCACATAGCTTCTCTCCATACTCCTAAGGGACTTTGCAGACACCCAAGCCACTGGGACCCCTGCTAACACATGCAGGTCTTCTCTTCTGCCAACTAACGTGCTCGCGCCCTCCCAGCACGTGGAGAGCTTCAATTGTCAGATAAACAGGAAGCGACAGATGACCGCTTTCTAACGCTCTCTTTTCTCCCGTTTTCAGCTGTAGAGTAGCTGCCAGGAGGACTTGGCCACCCGGCCCTGTCACACTGCAGCCCCTTCCCCTTCCCTCTCGTGGCCCACAAGGAGGAAGGAAGGGCAACCTAAAAGCCCACTTAGAAACTTTTTGGATATGCCACTGCAATTCTTTTCAAAATAGCATTCCCCAGGTTTTTAATGGGAGGAAAAAAAGCTTTAATGTTGAGCATGCTGCGAGCTGCTGCGTGGAAAGGCCTCTGTATGGGCCGAAGACCCTTCTTCCCTGGCTGCCAGGCTCGCCAGGAGCCCACTGGAAACGCCCACCACGGGGGCTCCTTGTTACACATGTTCTTTTTTTATCCGATCAACCTGTGCACTTTTGATATTTTGATATTATATTTGCTTCCTTAATTCCTCGCGTAGAGACGGTCTCAGGTGCCGTGGTCTATGCTCGTGGTCCTGTAGCTGTCCGCCTCAGCTCCCACCGTGTTTGTCTGGTGTCAGCACGAGGCAGAGCTGTGTGCTCCATAGCGTGTAGCTTTAGACTCGGAGATGAGTGCTTTGACCCAGCGAGGAGCTCAGCTAAGTGTATCCACGCTGTGGTTCAGCAGCCTTTAGATCATACGGCATTGTGGTTCATGTTTGAAATTACAGATTTTAAATGCCATGTTCATTAAGAAATCCAGGGTATTCAGATTCTGGGGTTTTTCATATTGTATTATTATTATTCTTAGGAATAGTTCAATGTAACAAGAAGAAAACTTGACCTTTGCTCTGGTTAAAACAGTAATAGGCACTTGAAAAAAAAAGATAAATTATTGAATGAGTAGTATTACCTACAAATTCCAGAATTTTCTGGGTTTTAGGACGTTGTGAAGCATGACTGATTAACAGAATTTTATACAACTGTACCAATAAAATTCCAAATTGGAATTGTTTTGTTACTCTGGTTGTTGTGCCAAATTGTGGTACACTTAGAAAATTCTACAGTCGTCGATTTTTAGGGTGTTCTCTTTCAACACCTTTTTGTTAGTAATCATTGCCAGTAGTGCCTTCATCAGTTAAGGGAGGTGTCCCAGCACAGATCATTCTCAAAAGCGAGCAGGGAAGAGCTAGTGGGCATGCTGAAGGCCAGCGTGGACAGCAGGTGAGGCAGGTGCTCCTCACACCCAGACCTGGGCATCTTCATTGAGGGAAAGAAAACAGTCATTGTGCAAAATTCTGTTAGTCAGTGATTCTTTACTTGCAAATTCAGGGGCTTAGAAAATGAAAGCAAACACAAAACCTTGAGTGTGCTTTGGGAACCAAATGGACCTTCTGGGACAAGCTGAGCAAGCTGTATGAACGCCACGTTTGTGAAGAGCTGAGGGTATCAGGAGGGCCGACGCTGTGTTGGCATGCGCAGTAGGGGATGAGGGTTAGCCATAGTATTCTTTGCAAATGTGAAAGCGAGACATTATATCTTCTCTTGCTTGGTGTAACTAATCACTGTTAATTTCAGGAAACAGAACTCATTAAAACTCCTTAGCAAACCAGGTCTACATCCTGTTTTGTTTGCTGAGTGAGGTTAGTGGGAGTGGTCAAATTGGTACTCTTGGAGGAAGAAAAACTGTCCTTCCTTCTCCAAAAAAGGAAAAATTATAATAATATAAATGACAAAAATAAAAGAATTCTGTTTCCTGGAATAAGCATTTCTTATTCCTAGTTGTAGGGACTCCTATTTTTACCTTCCGTTACAGTGTTGATTCATAAGAAATATTGTTACATTTGAGATAACTTCATCTGTATGGGGTATTTATTTGCAATGATGTCTGAGTACTGTATTTTTTCTGTGCATTACCTTAGTGTCAGAATGTTGGTCTTTATTTTAAAGTCATATGCATGTTCTCCTGCCAAGGAACCTTTACACAGACCCAAACAAAAAAATAATAATCAAATGCCTTCAATTTCTGAGAAAATGAGGCAGAGCATGGAAAAGGAATAGGAAGGAGAAATTAATTGAGATTTTCAGGACACAGACATATGATGTGAATGCCTACAAAGCCAGTGCGCATAGGAACAGTGGGCCTGGGTAAAGAGTCACATTGGTAGGACCAATAAAGAATAATAAAAAGACAAAGCACATGTTTGTTCTCTGTGGTTGTTCTGACTCCGTGCTCCAGATAACTGTGGTTTAAGCAAGGCACAATAAATCCACTGCCTCAAACAACAACAGCAACAAGCCTATCAGGTAACCCTGGTAGTGGGAACTGGAAGCAGCCTGGGGTCCACCTTCAGGAGAATGGGGAGGGGTCATGTATATGTGGGGAGGCTGTCACTCCATCCCTGAAACAAGAATGTGTTCAAGGACCCAGAAGATGAGGGTAGGGAAAGGGTAGAGTTGGTGTCTGGGTGCTTGTGCCAATCAAATACACCACCAGGCAGAAGTGAGCCAGGCCACACTGGGCCACGCACATGAGTGGAGTGGAGGGCACAGACAATGCCCCCCCCTGGAAAGATGCCTGCCCCCCAGGGCCCTGACGCCTCATAACTCTGTCCTCAAGGGTCTTCTGAAGTGCAGCATCAGGTTTGAAGCCACAGCAGCATGTTGGTAAGAACACATTGTGTATACATAGACTAAAACTAGGAGTAGCCTATGCTATCCTGATGAGGAGGCAGGGATTCAGATGATGTAGAATCCTTTGCTGTCTAAACTCTCACTCTCTGAACCCAGGAATCACATTTGTCTGTAGGAATATGTACAAATATACAGTGGGCACGTTCATATGGTTGCTTGTGGGTGTGAGAAAAGGGGACAGTGTCTAGTCAAGGGGACAGTAAATACCAGGACACACTCCTGCCACCTCCTAGTCCGACAGCCTCAGTCAGGCCTGTGTGGCTTCACTCATGTAGGGCTTCCCTCTGGAAAGCCGTCTCAGGCTAGGGTCTTGCTGCCATGCCCCTTCCCCAGGACCCCTCCATCTGACTGCAGTCTCACTGCCATACCACCTTTCCTAGTTTCACTGTCACTGCAGAACCTCCAGCCTTTGATGATACTATTCTGCTTTAGTAGCAGCTGTTGGGACTTGTTTTCAGTTTAAACCATTCTTTCTGATGGAGTAAAAGAGGCAGTTGTCCAACTCCTGGAAAAGGTTGAAAAGAAAGCCCTGAACTGATCTAGAAGAACCTCAAGGAGAAGGGAGGTGTAAAGCGTCAGGGCCCTGTGGGGCAGGCTTCTTTACAGGGACAGTGTCTGTGCCTTCCACTCCCACACTTGTGCATGGCCCAGTGTGGCCTGGCTCACTTCTGCCTGGTGGTGTATTTGATTGGCACAGGTATCCAGACACTGAGTCTGCCCTCCCCCATCCTCATCTTCTGGGTCCTTGAACACAGTCTTCAGTTTCAAGGATGGAGCGGCAGCCTCTTGAGTGGGTGGGGTCTCAGGAGCTTGCAGAGGGGGACAGTCCATGCTGAAAGGCCTTCTGCTCAGCCTTCCCTCTGGGAGAGGGTGGTCTGCATTTCTTCTGCATCTTCCATCTCCCCGCAGTGTTTTCACCCCTACTTCCCGGCAGATTACTAGAGCTGGAAACAACAGCATGGACTTGAGAGCCGGACTGATGATTGAATCACCACCGTTTGGTAGCTGGCTGCCTTAGCTCTCTGAGCCTCAACTTCCCTATCTGTTAGGTGGGGACAAAATAGTGCCTCTTGTATAGGTGGTTGTGAAGCTTCATCAAGCCCTTGGTACCAGCATGCAGCAGGTACTCAATTGATGATTGGTGCTAATATGGTTCTTACTGTCATCATCATCACCAGTGCTTTGGACACAAGGCCATGTATCTAGGTCTTTGTCCTTTGGGGAATATAATTTTAAGCCAACTTATTAACAGAGTGTAATTTGCATCCAGGAAAGTGTGCACATCCTAGTATACAGGCCAAATTTGCACACAGTGAACACAGCTATGTAACTAGTAACCCCAAAGTTCTCCACCCCTACCCTCAGGTATGCTTTTTGGGGAGTATTTATCCTTCATCAGCACAAATTAATAGGGTGTCTGCTAGTCCTGGTGAGTCACTGGGCTGCCTTCTTCCCACAAAGCCTCCTAGGAGAACAGACATGCCACATCAGGTTTGCTTCATCAAAGTTTTTGTGAAATTTAGCACACATACATTAAAGTGCAAATAAAAGTGTCCACTGGCCAACTGGATTTTTGCAAACTAAATACTGTCACACTGTGTAGCCAGCACTCAGAGGAAAGGCAAGTGAGGATATCCCCCAGAAGTCCTGATGTTTTCTGCACCCGCTCCTCCCAGGGCTAACTCCCTGACTCTGTCAATGCAGGCCACTTTTGCCTATTTCTGTACTTGTAAGTGGAAGCATACAATAGACACATGGAGCTTTGATAGATTTTCTTAACAAAAAACTGCATTGATTTAGCACACCATGATCCAACTGTGTGTTTAGAGGTGTCTCATTTTAGATTGAAAGACACAAGAGTAAAAGGATGGAAAAAGATACCCCATACAACAGTAACCAAAGAAGAGCACAGGTGGTGGCTATGCTAATGTTGGACCAAATTGACTTTAAGGCAGAAATTATTATGCAAGGCAAAGGAGGACATCATGTAATGATAAGAGTCAATTCACCAGGAAGATACAACAGCCATACACATATATGCACCAAACAGGAACCCCAAAATATGTGAAGCAAAACTTGGCCAAATTAAAGGGAGAAATAGTTCAACAACGGTGGGAGTTTCAATACCCCACTTTTAATAATGGCTAGAAAAACAAGACAAGATCAGAAAAGAAATACAATACTTGAACAGGACTATAAGACAGTTAGAGCTAATAGACATCTATAGAACACTCCGAACAGAATACATATTAAATGCATATGTAACATTCTCCAGTCTAGAACCCGTTTTAAGCAACAAAACAAGTCTCAATAAATGTAAGACGATTGGAATTATACAAGTTATAGTCTCCAGTGACAGTGGAATAAAGTTAGAAATAACAAGGAGATTTGGGAAATTTACAAATATGTGGAAATAAAACAACATACTTCCTAATAAACAAGGAGTCAAAGAAGATATCATACAAAAGGTAGAGAGATCTGAAAAATAACCTAACCTCCCAACCTTAAAAAACTAGAAAAAGAGAAACAGCCCAAAGCAAGCAGCAAGAAGGAAATAGTAAAGATTACAACAGCGATAAATGAAATAGGGATGGGGGAAAATGGCAAAAGATAAACAAAACTGACAAACCTTTAGGTAGAACAAGAAAAAAAGTTACTAAAATAAAAAATAAAATTGTGACATTACTACTGATTTTACAGAAGTATTAAGGAGTACAAGCATACAATGAACAATTACGTAGCAACAATATCGGATCATCTAAACCCAAAGTAAGCAGAGGGGAGGAACTAGTAAAGATTAGAGTGGATATAAATGAAATAGAAAATCAGGAGAGAAAACCAACAAACCCAAAAGTTGTTTCCTTAAAAAGATAAACAGCCAATGGCAAACCTTTATCTAGACTGTTCAAGAAAAACATGATCAAATTACTAAATCAGGAATGAGAGTGGGGACATTAATAATGACCTTACAGAAAGAAAAAGGATTATGAGAAAATATAACAATGCTAAAAAACATAGGTACACTTGATGAAATGCCAAATCACTAGAATCACACAAACTCCCAAAACTGACTCTAAAGGAAATAAATAATAGGCATATAACAAAAGACTGACTCAGTAATCAAAAATCTTCCAACAGGAATTTCAGTTTCTGTGCTGGTATGTAAGGTGCTTAGAATTCATTACTCCATCCTAACAAGGGAAAAGCTAAACAAACAGAAAAAGCAACTTTTTAAAGATCTATCAGAGAAGTGAGCTCACAGGCCAAATCACTGTACCAAAAATTGAAAAGACAGATACAGAGAACTCTGTGAAGAACCTATTACTGGAAGCAGTAAGAAAGGCCATCTTTGTTATGAAGCAGCAAAGAAATTGGCTGAATTGTGTTTGTGTTCTAGTGTTTTGCGGCAGGTAGCCCTGTGAGTGATTAGGTCTTTTTGTTTGTTTGTTTTGTTTTTAGACGGAGTCTCGCTCTGTCGCCCAGGCTGGAGTGCAGTGGCACGATCTTGGCTCACTGCAAGCTTAGATCTTTAGCTGGAGCTATTTCTGAGCAAAGTGTTGAAGGGGCAGCCTGGTTCCTTTGAATTGTTTATAGTAAAATGAGAGAAGAAAGATAATTTAGAATTGTTGATCAAAAGGGAAGCAGAACTCAGAAATTTGGAAAACTCAGCCAATCCATATTGGAAAAAATGAAAAACCTTGTTCAGGAGGAAAGGGTCTGGCCAAGTAACTCTTTGATGAGGTGATTAGTATGGATTGACCATCTCAGGGAAAGCCAGGTGTTAAGAGAAAGATTGGTCTGCCATCTATAAACAGAAGCGAGGACCTAATTTTTAAGGCAATGGAAGAATGACCCCAAAGGCATTTCTGAGATCATCACAGCTACCCATCCCATCACGGGCCCTGAGTAGAAAGATGTGGGGGCATGGCTGCCTTCCCCCAGAATTAAAAGGATGCCCCAAGAGAGCCATGGGGCTGAGACGGAGAATCACTGTTGGGGAAGGGCCACTACAGAGGGCCCCCACTAGGCCCATGAGTCCAGACCAGTAGAGTCACCAGTGGTGGTTTCCAGGAGAGCCTCAGATGCATGACCCAGGCACAGAGCTACTGTGGAGGCAGGAGCAAGGCACAAGCACATGGCTGCCTCAGGGGCAAGGCCACCCAAAGCCACGGGGCAGGGCTGCTACCACATTGTGTCCTGAAGGTGGCACTATCACCTTAGTGGGCCTGGAGGGCAGAACATTGAGCCAATGATTATTCTCAAGCCGTAACATTTCATGTTGTTTCCTCTGTTGGGTTTCAGACTTACTTGGGACCAGTCACTGTTTTCTTCTTTCCTATTTCTCCCTTTTAAAATGGAAATATCTATCCTATGCCCATCCCACCATTGTATTTTGGAAGCACAGAACATGTTTGTTTCACTGCTAGAGAGCAGTTTACCTCAGAATGAGTCATACTTTCAGTCTCACCTATATCTGATTTAGATGAAACTCTGAACTGGAGATTTTGGAGTTGGTGCTGGAATGTTTTAAGAGTTTGGGGGCTATTGGGATGGAATTAATGTATTTTGCTTGTGACATAGACATGAATTTGAGGGGAGCAAGAGTGGAATGCTAGGGGTCTAAATGTGTTCCCTCAAAATTCATATGTTGAAATTCTAACCCCAAAAGTGCTAGGATTACAAAGTGGAGCCTTTAGGTGGTGATTAGGTCATGAGGTCAGAGCTGTCGTGATGAGAAAAGTGTCTTTATTTAAAACCAACAGCAACAACAAAAACAAAACAAAACCTAGAGAGGTTGCTCTTCCCTTCCACCATCTGAAGTTACAGTGAAAAGATGACTTTCTATGCCCCAAGAAGTGAGCCAGGTCTGCTGGCACCTTGATTTTGGATTTCCCATCCTCCAGAAATGCTAGAAATAAACTTCGGGGCCGGGTGCAGTGGCTCACGCCTGTAATCCCAGCACTTTGGGAGGCGGAAGTGGGCGGATCACGAGGTCAGGAGATCGCGACCATCCTGGCTAACACAGTGAAACCCCGTCTCTACTAAAAATATAAAAATTAGCCGGGCATGGTGGTGGGCACCTGTAGTCCCAGCTACTGGGGAGGCTGAGACAGGAGAATGGCGTGAACCCGGGAGGCAGAGCTTGCAGTGAGCCGAGATCGCGCCACTGCACTCCAGCCTGGGCAACAGAGCGAGACTCCATCTCAAAAAAAAAACAAAGAAAGAAATAAACTTCTGATGTTTCTAAGCCAGTCTATTTTGTTTTTATGCTCTAATGGACTAAGACACTTATGAAATGCCCAATTAAAACCACAAAAAGCAAAAAAGAAAAGGTGGAAAATAAAAGTAGAAACAAAGAATAAGGACAACAATAGAAGACAGTAACAAATGGTAGAAATTAATCCAGCCTTATCAGTTATCACTTTAAACATCAATGGTGTAAATGCTAAAATCAAGAATGAGAGTGGGGTCATTAATAATGACCTTACAGAAAGAAAAAGGATAATAAAAAGATTGTTGGCCGGGCACGGTGGCTCACACCTATAATCCCAGCACTTTGGGAGGCCAAGGTGAGTGGATCACTTGAAGTCAGGAGTTCATGACCAGCCTGGCAATATGGTGAAACCCGTCTCTATTAAAAATACAAAAATCAGCTGGGTGTGGTGGTGCGTGCCTGTAATCCCAGCTACTCAGGAGGGTGAGGCAAGAGAATCACTTGAACCTGGGAGGTGGAGGTTGCAGTGAGCTGAGATTGCACCACTGCACTCCAGCCTGGGCAACAGAGTGAGTCTCCATCTCAAAAAAAAAAAAAAAATTTCAAAGTGGATGAAAAAGCAAGACTATATGTTGTTATCTCAGTCCATTTTGTGTTGTTATAACAATGAATGCCTGAGGCTGGGCCTCAGTATTCTGGTATTCAGGTATTTGGCCCACAATTCTGATGGCTGGAAGGTTCAAGATTGGGCAGCCACATCTGTTGGGGGCCTTAGGCTGCTTCAACTCATGGCAGAGAGTTGGCATGTACAAAGGGATTACACATTAAGAGGAGAAGCAAGAGAGAGAAACTAAGGAAGCCAGATTTCAGCAACCCACTCTCAAGGAAACTAATCTATTCCCACCCAAGCAAGAACACACCCCCAGAGAAGGGCATTAATCTGTTTATGATGGGTCTACTCCTATGACCCAAATACCTACCTCCCACTAGTCCCCACATCCCAACAGTGTCACGTTGAGGATCAAATTTCAACACGAGTTTTGGCAGGAACAGACCACATTCAAACCACAGCAGTTGTCTACAAGAAACCTACTTTAAATATAAAGATAGGTATCAATTAAAAGTTAAGGGATGGGGAAAGGTATACCATACTAATGCTAATCAAAGAAACTGGGAGTAGCTATATTATTTTAGAGCAGACTTAGAGCAAGGAAAGTTATCAGCAATAAAGAGGGGCATTACATAATGAGAACAGGATCAGTTCCTCAAGTAGGCAACAGTCCTTTATGTGGACGCACCTAACTGTACAGTGCCAAAATACATAAGGTAAAAACTCTTAGAACTGCAAGGAAAAACAGACAAATTAACTGTTATAGGTGGAATCTTCAGCACTGCTCTATCAGAAATGAACAGATCCGGTAAGCAAAAAAAATCAGTAAGGACATCGTTGAGCTCAACACCATCAATCAACTTGATATAATTGACTTAGACGGCTTGATCCAATAGAAGCTGAATACACTTTCTTGTCAAGCTCACGTGGGACATTCACTAAGATATACCATATCTGGGCCATAAGACACACCTTCATAAATTGAAAAGGAAAGAAATCATGAAATGTCTGCTCCCAGAATCACAGAAGAATTAAACTAGAAATCAACAGAAAGATAGCTGGAAAGTCCCCCAATACTTGGAGGTGAAACAACATAAATCTGAATAGTACATAATCACAGAAGAAATCTCAAGATAAATTTTAAAATACTTTGAACTAAATGAAGATGAAAGTACAACTTAAAAGTTTAGAATACGGCTAAAGCAGTGCATTGAGGGAAATGTATTCTATTGGGTTGCACATATTAGAAAAGAAAAAAGATGGCCGGGCGCAGTGGCTCACGCCTGTAATCCCAGCACTTTGGGAGGCTCAGGCGGGCGGATCACGAGGTCAGGAGATCGAGACCATCCTGGCTAACACGGTGAAACCCCGTCTCTACTAAAAATGCAAAAAAATTAGCCGGGCGTGGTGGTGGGCGCCTGTAGTCCCAGCTACTCGGGAGGCTGAGGCAGGAGAATGGTGTGAACCTGGGAGTTGGAGCTTGCAGTGAGCCGAGATTGCGCCACTGCACTCCAGCCTGGGTGACAGAGCGAGACTCCATCTCAAAAAAAACAAAAAGAAAAGAAAAGAAAAGAAAAAAGATGTAAAATGAATACACACCTACTTTAGGAAGGTAGGAAAAGAACAATTTTAGATCTATGGTAAGCAGAAGAAAAGAAAAAGTAGAGCAGAAATCAATGAAATTGGAAACAGGAAAAAAAAATCAATGAGACCCAAAGTTAGCTCTTTGAAAAGATTTTTTTTTTTTGAGAGTCTCGTTCTGTCAACCAGGCTGGAGTGCAGTCGCATGATCTCGACTCACTGCAAGCTCCGCCTCCTGGGTTCATGCCATTTTCCTGCCTCAGCCTACCCAGTAGCTGGGACTAAAGGCGCCCGCCACTATGCCTGGCTAATTTTTTTTTTTTTTTTTTTTTTTTTTTTTTTAGTAAAGATGGGGTTTCACCGTGTCAGCCAGGATGGTCTCGATCTCCTGACCTTGTGATCCGCCCGCCTCAGCCTCCCAGAGTGCTGGGGTTACCGGCGTGAGCCACCGCACCTGGCTGGTAAAAATTTTTTTTAAATGGAAAACTTCTATTCAAGCTAATTGAGAAAAAAGACAAACTACAAATGTCAGAAATGAACAAGGGGACATCCCTGCAGATCACATGGACATCAAAAGAATAATAAAGGAATACTATGAACAAGTCTGTGCCCACAAATTCAATAACCTACATGAAATAGACCCATTTTTTGAAAGACTGAATCTGCCAGAACACAAGAAGAAATAGATAATGGGCCTATATCTATTAAAAAAATTAAATCAGTAATCAATAACTTTCAGAACATAAGTGCAAGGCCCACATGGGTTTACCAGTGAATTCTACCACACTTTTTTTTTTTTTGAGACGGAGTTTCGCTCTTTATGCCCAGGCTGGAGTGCAGTGGCGCGATCTCGGCTCACTAGAACCTCCACCTCCTGGGTTCAAGTAATTCTCCTGCCTCAGCTTCCTGAGTAGCTGGGATTATAGGCACACACCACCACGCCCGGCTAATTTTTGTATTTTTAGTAGAGACAGCGTTTCACCATGTTGGGCCAGGCTGGTCTCAAACTCCTGACCTCAACTGATCTGCCCGTCTTGGCCTCTCAAAGTGTTGGGATTACAGGCGTGAGCCACCACGCCTGGCATCTACCACACATTTAAGGAAAAAATTATACCAATCCTCTACAGTCTGTTCCAGAAGATAGAAACAGAGGGGAAACTTCCTAACACTTTCTATGAAGCCAGCATTGTCCTATTACCAAAACCAGACAAAGACATTAACAGAAAAGAAAAGGACAAACCAGTATTTCTAATGAACAAAGATGCAAAAGTCCTCAACAAAATATTAGCAAATCAAATCCAAAAATGTGTAAAAAGAATTATGCTCTATGACCAAGGGGAATTTATCCCAGGTATGCAAAGCTGTATCAAAATTGGAAAATCAATTCATGTAATCCATCACATAAACAGGGTAAAGAAGAAAAATCACCCTATCCTATCAATAAATGCAGAAAAGGCATTTGACAAAATCCAACCCCATTTATGATTAAAAAGAAAAACTCTCAGCAAACTAGGAATAGAGGGGAACTTCTTCAATTTCATAAAAAGAACATCAGCAAAATACAACTAACATCATAATTAATGGTGAGAGACCTCAAGTTTTCCCATTAAGATGAGGAACAAAGGCAAGGATGTCCCCTGTCACCAGTTCTTTTCAGTATTCTACTGGAAATCCTAGCTAATGTGGTAAGACCCAAAAAAGGGGGAGAGGGGCTGGGGACACTGGCTCATGCCTGTAATCACAGTAGTTTGGGCAGATTGCTTCAACCCAGGAATTCGAGACCAGCCTGGGCAGCATAGTGAAACCCTGTCTCTACAAAAGATACAAAAATTATCTGGGCATGGTGGCACGCACCTGTAGTCCCACCATTGCACTTCAGCCTGGGTGACCCTGTCTCAACAAATAAATAAACAATAAGTAAATAAATGGTATCCAGATTGAGAAGGAAGAAATAAAACTGTCATATGCAGATGACATAATTGTTTATATAGAAAATCTGAAAGAATAAACAACAACAAAAACCCCCTGGAACTAATAAGCAATTATAGGCCAACAGTAGGATACAAGGTATATAAAAATCAATTGCTTTCCTATATACCAGCAATGGACAAGTGGAATTTGCAATTAAAAACATAACACCATTTACATTACTATCCCCCCAAATGAAATAATTAGGTATAAATCTAACAAAATATGTTAGATCTATATGAGGAAAGATCTATATGAGGAAAACTAGAAAACTGATTAAAGAAATCAGAAAAAAATACAGATCTTTTGTATTCATTGGTAGGAATACTCAGTATTGTCACAATGTCAATCTTTAACTTGATTTGTACAATCAATATAATCCCAATCAAAATCAGAGCAAGTTATTTTGTGGATATTGACGCACTAATTCTAAAGTTCATATGGAGAGAATAGACAACTCAATATTGAAGGAGAGGAACAAAGCTAAAGGCCTGATACTACATGTCTTAAAGACTATAAAACTACAGTAATCAAGATAGAATGGTCAGTGTGGTATTGGCAAAAGCATAGACAAACAGAATAGAGAGCCTAGAAATAGACCCACACAACTATAGTCAACTGATCTTTGAGAAAGGAACAAAGGAAGTATAGAAGAGAAAAGACAATCTTTTTAACAAATGGTGCTGGAACAACTGGTCTTCCACATGCAAAAAATGATTTTAGGCAAAGACCTCATATTCTTCATAAAGAATTACTCAACATGGATTACAGACCTAAATGCAAAATGCAGAACTGTACAACTCTTAGAAAATATAGAAAATCTAAATGACCTGGGGAATGGCAGTGACTTTTTTTTTTTTTTTTTTTGAGACAGGGTCTCATTTTGTCACGCAGGCTGTAGTACAGTGGCATAATCACAGCTCACTGCAACCTCTGCCTCCCAGGCTCAAGTGATTCTTACACCTCAGCCTCCTGAGTAGTTGGGACCACAGGTGTATGCCACCATGCCTGGCTAATTTTTGTATTTTTTGTAGAGGCAGGGTTTCACCACGTTGCCCAAGCTTGCCTCGAACTCCTGGCCTCAAGTGATCCACCTGCCTCAGACTCTTAAACTGCTGGGATTACAGGCCTGAGTCACTGTGCCTGGCTTGCTTTTTTTTTTTTTTTTTTTTGAGACAGGGTTGGCTCTTTCGCCTAGGCTATAGTACAGTGGCACAATCTCGGCTCACTGCAACCTCCATCTCCTGGGCTCAAGCCATCCTCCTGCCTCAGCCTCCTGAGTCTCTACAGGCCCACGCCACCGTGCCCAGCTAGTTTTTGTATTTTTTTGAAGAGATGGGGTTTCACCATGTTGCCCAGGCTGGTCTTGAACTCCTGAGCTTAAGCGATCCACCTGCCTAAGCCTCCCAAAGTGTTGGGATTACCGACATGAGCCACTGAGCCTGGCCACAATACATGGATGTTTTTCAATAAATATATTGGAAAATTTTTTTGGTGATTTGTGACAATTTGCAAAATCTCACAGGCAGACCATGTAGTTTAGAAATATTGAAAAACTTAAGTAAAAGATATGTCATGAATGCCTAAAATATATGCTGATATTAGTTTATTTTATAATTGACTACCATAAAATATACACAAACATAAACTTTACCAAAACGTATGCACACAAAGACTGTACATGGTGTCATTCAGTCAAGAGAAATATAAACAAACTTAAAGATGCAGTATTAAATCATAATGGCATAAGATTAACTGTAGTGCATACTGTACTATTGTAATAATTTCATAGCCACCTCCCTTTCTATTGCAGTGAACTTATGTGTTTTGATTGTCTGCTTAAAATGCCATCTGATGCTAATCACCTCTGTGTGAGCAGTTCATCTCTCCAGTAAAGTATCAGAGAAAAAAGTGGTCTTTCACAGTTTTCACATATTTCACATATTTTTCATCATGTTTGGTCCAATACCATAAACCTTGAATAACACCTTGAGACCCATATGAAATGCCACCAATGATGCTGAAAGTTCTCCCAAGAAGCAGAGAAAAGTCATGACGTTACAAGAAAAAGTTGAATTGCTTAATATGTACTATAGATTGAGGTCTGCGATTGCAGTTGCCCACCATAATGCTTCATCTTGCAAACAGACATTGTAAACTTATGGTATTGATAAATATTATACATTACTATAAATGTATTTTCTTTATAACCTTAATAACATTTTCTTTTCTCTAGATCACTTTATTGTAAGAATACAGCATATGACACATATAACAGAAAATATGTGTTAATCAACTGTTTATATTATCATTAAGGCTTCCAGTTAAGATTTCGAGGAGTCAAAAGTTGTATGTGGATTTTTAACTTGATTGCAGGGGCAGGGGTTGGCATCCCTAACTTCTGCATTGTTCAAGGGTCAGCTGTACATGGAAAATCCTGAAAAATATGCATGCCACAAGTGGGACATGCTACTGGTGCATGTGTGTGAGACCCACCACTGCCCTGCCTCTAGTGTGCACATGTGGGGACCCCTGTCACCCCATCAGTGCCCCATGGAATCACTTTTGCCAGCCCCCCTCCATAAGGGTGTTTTTGGCAGGAGACTGGGAAAACCTCAGCCCCACCAGTGCAGCAGATTCTTAACCTAGTGGGGCCAGAGAAAAAGGCTGCAGGTCTGGTCCCAGCACCCCCAGGTTTAGAGCACTCAGCCTGGGAGTGCAGAGCTGAGTCTTGGCCCCATGAAATCATCCAGAAACAAAGCCAATTGACTAAACCCAACTTATACCATAGTTCAACCCTCAAGCACATCAAAGAATATAAAAGCAAAAAGCTCCATTCAAAGGACAGCAGCTTCAAACATTAAGTGAACATCACCCCACACAGATGAGAAAGAACCAGTGGAAGAACTCTGGCAACTCTAACAGCCAGAACGTCTTCTTAACTCCAAACAACCATATTAGATCCCCAGCAATGGTCCTTAGTCAGACTGAAATAGCTGAAATGACATAGAATTCAGAATCTGGATGGCAATAAAGATCATTGAGATTCAGGAGGAAGGTGAAAGCCAATCCAAGGAATCTAAGGAATCCAACAAAATCATACAAGAGCTGAAAGATGAAATAGCCATTTTAGAAAGAATCAAACTGATCTAGAGCTGAAAAACTTGCTATAAGTTCATAATACAATCAGAAGTATTAACAGCAGAATAGACCAACCTGAGGAAAGAATCTCAGAGCTCACAGATTAGTTCTTCAAATCAACTCAGACAAAAATGAAGAAAAAATTTTAATGAGCAAAGCCTCTGAGAAATATGGGATTATGTAAAGAGACCAAACCTATAATCGATTGGCATCTCAGAAAGAGAGAGCAAGCAACTTGGAAAACATATTTGAGGATATTGGCCCCAAAATTTCCTCAACCTCAGTAGAGAGACTGGCATGCAAATTCAGGAAATTTGGAGCACCCTAGAAAGATACTGTATCAGGCAACCATCCCCAAGACACATACTCAGTAGATTCTCTGAGGTCAACACAAAAGAAGAAATGTTAAAGGCAGCTAGAGAGAAGGGGCAGGTCACATACAACGGGAACCCCATCAGGCTAATAGTAGACTTTTCAGCAGAAGCCTTACAAACAAGAAGAGATTGGGGAAATATATTCAGCATCCTTAAAGAAACAAAATTCCAACCAAGAATGTCATATCCAGCTAAATTAAGCTTCATAAGCAAAGGATAAATAAAATCCTTTTTACACAAGCAAACACTAAGGAAATTCATTATTACCAGACTGCCTTACAAGAGGTCCTTAAGGGAGTGCTAAATATGGAATACAAAACAAAAGACTGTTGCCTGCCACCATAAAAACACATAGTCCACTGACACTATAAAGCAACTATACAATCAAGTCTGTGTAACAACCAGTTGACAACATGACTGGATCAAATCCTCACATATCAATATTAACCTTGAATGTAAATGAGAAAACATCCCACTTAAAAGGCACAGAGTGGCAAGTTGGATAAAGAAGCAAGACCCAACTGTATGCTGTCTTCAAGAGACCCATCTCTTGGCTAGGAGTGGTGGCTCACATCTCTAATCCCAGCACTTTAGGAGGACAAAGCAGGAGGATCACTTGAGCCCAAGAGTTGAAGACCAGCCTAGGCAACATAGTGAAAGAATTTAAAAAGAGAGAGACCCATCTTATATGCATGACACTCATAAGCCCAAAGTAAAGCAATGGAGAAAGATCTGTGAAGCAAAGAGAAAACGAAAAAGAACAAGAGTTACTATTCTTACTTCAGACAAAATATAAACCAACAATGCTCAAAGAGGACAAAGAAGGACATTCCATTAATGATAAAGAGTTCAATTCAACTATCCTAAATATATATGCATCCCAAATTGGAGCACCCAGATTCATAAAACAAATTATTAGAGACCTACAAAGAGACTTAAATAACCACATAATAATAGTAGGGGACTTCAACACCCTACTGACAGTGTTGGACAGAACATTGAGACAGAAAACTAATAAAGGTATTTGGGACCTAAACTCAACACTTCACCAAATGCACCTGACAGACATCTACAGAATGCTCCACCCAACAACAGAATATACGTTTTTCTGTTCTTATGTACACATGGCACATACTCTTAAGATTGACTGCACACTCAGCCATAAAGCAATTCTCAACAAGTTAAAAAAAAAACAAACCAACCACACTCTCAACCACAGTGCAATAAAAATAGAAATTAAAAACAAGAAGATCTCTCAATACCATATATGGAAATTAAACCACTGGCTCCTGAATGACTTTGGGTAAAGAATGAAATTAAAGCAGAAATCAAGAAACTCTTTGAAACTATTGAAAACAAGGATGCAACATACCAGAATATCTGGGACACAGCTAAAGCAGTGGTAAGAGGAAAGTTTATAGCTGTGAGCACCCACATCAAAAAGTCAGAAAGATCTCAAATTAACAACCTAACATCACACTTAGAGGAACTAGAAAAACAAGAGCAAACCAACCCTAAAGCCAGCAGAAGAAAAATAACTAAAATGAGAGCTGAACTGAACAAAGTTGACATGTGAAAACCCATACAAAAGATCAATGAAACCAAAAGTTGGTTCTTTGAAATACTATCGCAAGGACAAAAAACCAAACACCGCATGTTCTCACTCACAGGTGGGAATTGAACAATGAGAACACATGGACACAGGAAGGGGAACATCACACACCCGGGCCTGTTGTGGGGTGGGGGGAGGGGGGAGGGATAGCATTAGGAGATATACCTAATGTTAAATAACGAGTTAATGGGTGCAGCACACCAACATGGCACATGTATACATATGTAACTAACCTGCACGTTGTGCACATGTACCCTAAAACTTAAAGTATAATAAAAAAAAAGAGAGTAAACCCCAGGTGTGGACAGACATGTAACCCATAGGTCTTCCCTGCAGTGGAGCGCTATTGATCTCACAGCCAAGAACAGTGCTGAATTTGTCCTCTCTGAAGAAGATAGAGTCAAAAAGTACAAGGAGTGAATGACTGAGCTACTATACTCAATTTTATTATTATTATCAATTAATTAACTTATTTTAATTGTCAAATAAAAATGATATATGTTTATGGTGAAAAAAAAAATGAGACTCATAGACCTCTAGCTAGACTGATAAAGAAAAAAAGAGAGAGAAGATCCAAAGAAACACAATCAGAAATGACAACGGTGACATTACCACTGGCCTCACTGAAATACAAGAAACCCTCAGAAAGTATTATGAACATCTCTATGCACACAAACTAGAAAACCTAGAAGAAATGGATAAATTGCTGTAAACATTCAACTTACCAATATTGAACCAGGAAGAAATTGAATACTTGAACAGACCAATAACAAGTTCCAAAATTGAATCAATAGTAACAACAACAACAACAACAACAAAAACCTACCAACCAGAAAAAGCCCTGGACCAGATGGATTCACAGCTGAATTCTACCAGACATGTAAAGAATAGCTGGTACAAATCCTACTGAAACAATTCTAAAAAATTGAGGAGACAGACCTCCTCCCTGATTTATTCTATGAGGCCGGAATCATTCTGATACCAAAACCTGGTGAAAAAAATAAAACTTTAAGCTAATATCCCTGATAAAATTAGATGCAAAAATCCTCAGCAGAACACTAGCAAATTGAATCCAGCAGCACATTTAAGAGCTAATCCACTATGACCAAGTAAGCTTTATTCCTGGGATGCAAGGTTGGTTCAACATATACAATTAAATAAATGTGATTTCTCACATAAACAGAACTGAAAACAAAAACCCCATTATCATCTCAATAGATGCAGAAAAGGCTTTTGAAAAAATTCGACATCCTTTCATGTTAAAAGCCCTCCACAAACTAGGTATTGAAGGAACATACCTCAAATTAATAAGAGCCATCTATCACAAACACACAGCCAACATCATACTGAACAGGCAAAAGCTGGAAGCATTCCCCATGAGAACCAGAACAAGACAAAGATGCCCACTCTCACCACTCCTATTCAACATAGTACTGGAAGACCTAGCCAGAGCAATCGGGCAAGAGAAAGAAATAGAAGGCATCTGAATAGGAAGAGAGGAAGTCAAACTATTTCTCTTCACAGATGATATGATTCCATACCTAGAAAACCCTAATGTCTGTGCCCAAAGGGCCCTAGAACTGATAAACAACTTCAGTTAAGTTTCAAGGTACAAAATTCAATGTACAAAACCCAGTAGCATTTCTATACACCAATAACATTCAACCTGAGAGCTAAATGAAGAACACAATCCCATTCATAATTGGCACAAAAGGAATAAAATGCCAGCTGGGCACAGTGGCTTATGCCTGTAATCTCTGCACTTTGGGAGGCTGAGGTGGGTGGGTCACCTGAGGTCAGGAGTTCAAGACCAGCCTGGCCAACATGGTGAAACCCCTTCTCTACTAAAAATAAAAAAATTAACTGGGTGTGGTGGTGGGCGCCTGTAATCCCAGCTACTTGGGAGGCTGAGGCAGGAGAATTGCTGGAACCTGGGAGGTGGAGGTTGCAGTGAGCCAAGATGGTGCCATTGCGCTCTAGACTGGGCGGCAGAGCGGGACTCCATCTCAAAGAAAAAAAAAAGAAAAAAAAGAATAAAATACCTAGGAATACAGCTAACCAGGGGTGTAAGAGATCTCTACAACAAGAATTATAAAATGCTGAAAGAAATCAGAGATGACATAAACAAATGGAAAAACATTCCATGCTCATGGATGGATAGGAAGAGTCAGTATTGTTAAAATGGCCATACTTCCCAAAGCAATTTATAGATTCAATGCTATCTTATCAAACTACCAACACCATTTTTCACAGAATTAGAAAAAAACTATTCTAAAATTCATATGGAACCAAAAAAGAGCTTGAATAGCCAAAGCAATCCTAAGCAAAAAGAACAAAGCCCAAGGCTTCACACTACCTACTTCAAACTATACTACAAGGCTACAGTAACCAAAACAACATAGTACTCGTACAAAAACAGACCACATACACCGGTGGAACAGGTTAGAGAACCCAGAAATAAAGTCACACGCCTACAGCCATCTGATCTTTGAAAAACTGACAATAACAAGCAATAGGGAAAGGACTCCCTATTCAGTAAATGGTGCTAGGATAACTGGCTAGCCATATGTAGAAGATTGAAACTAGGACCCTTCCTTTCACCATATTAAGAAAACTCCATGAATTAAAGACTTAAATATAATAACCTAAAACTTTTTATAAAAACCCTAGAAGAAAACCCAGGAAATACTATTCTGGACATAGGCCTTGGCAAAGATTTCCTGACACAGACTCCAAAAGCAGTTGCAATGAAAACAAAAATTGACAAGTGGGATCTAATTAAATTAAAGAGCCTCTGCATAGCAAAAGAAACAATCAACAGTATAAGCAGACAGCCTACAGAAAGAGTGAGTGAAAATATTCAGAAACTATGCATCTGACAAAGATCTAATATCCAGAATCTATAAGGAACTTAAACAGATCAACAAGCAACAAACAACCCCATTAAAAAATGGGCAAAGGACATGAACAGATACTTCTCAAAGAAGACATACACTTTGCCAACAATTGTATGAAAAAGTGCTCAACATCACTAATCATTAGAGAAATGCAAATCAAAACCACAATGAAATACCGTCTCACACCAGTCAGAATGACTACAATTAAAAAGTCAATAAATAAGGCTGGGCATGGTGGCTCATACCTGTAATCCCAGCACTTTGAGAGGTCAAGGCAGGTACATCACCTGAGGTCAGGAGTTTGAGACCAGCCTGGCCAAAATGGTGAAACCCTGTCTCTACTTAAAATACAAAAAAGTACCCGGATGTGGTGGTGGGTGCCTGTAATTCCAGCTACTTGGGAGGCTGAGGCACAAGAATCGCTTGAACCCAGGAGTTGGAGGTTGACCTGAGATCACACCACTGCACTCCAGCTTGGGCAACAGAGTGAGACTCCGTCTCCAAAAAAAATAAATAAAAATAACAAATCTACAAACCTTTAGCTTGACTGACAAAGAAAAAAAGAAGAAATGTGAATAACTAGAATCAGCAATAGAAGTGGAGACATTACTATCAACCTTACAGAAATGAAATGTAAGAGAAGAAATGAAATGTAAGAGAAAAAACGATGAACACCAACAAATTAGATAACCTAGATGAAAGACAACTTCCTAGAAACACACAAATTATCAAAACTGACTCAAGATGAAATAGAAAATACGAACAAGCCTATAATATGTAAATAGATTAAATCAGTAATTTAAAACCTCCCAGCAAAAAAAACATCTCAAACTACAGGACTTTCTTATTGAAGTCTACAAAACGCTTAAAGAATAATGAACACTGGCCAGGCACGGTGGCTTATGCCTGTAATCCCAGCACTTTGGGAGGCGGAGGCAGGCGGATCACCTGAGGTTGTGAGTTTGAGACCAGCCTGACCAACATGGAGAAACCCTATCTCTACTAAAAATACAAAAAAAATTAGCCAGGCATGGTGGCGCATGCTTGTAATCCCAGCTCCTGGGAGGCTAAGGCAGGAGAATTGCTTGAATCCGGGAGGCGGAGGTTGCAGTGAGCTGAGATCGTGCCATTGCACTCCAGGCTGGGCAACAAGAGCAAAACTCTGTCTAAAAAAAAAAGAAAAGAATAATGAACACCAAACCTCCTTTTTAAAAAAGTTTTCTTCCCTAAAAAGGAACACTTTTTAACTCATTCTATGGAGCAATTATTACATGTATACCAAAGCTACCTAAAGACACCACAAGAAAAAAAAAAAAGCAATATTTCCATATGACTGTAAATGTAAAAAATTCTCAATAAAATAATGGCAAACTCAATGTAACAGAATATTAAAAGTATTATACAGTATGACAAAGCAAGATTTATTACAGGAATGCAAGGGTAGTTCAACATAAGAAAATCAGTGTAATACACCGCATTAACAGAATGAAGAGAAAGAAAACCACATGATTATTTCAGCTGATATAAGAAAAGTATTTGACAAAATCTAACTCTTTTATGATTAAAAAAAAAAAAACTCAGAAAACCAAGAATGGAAGGGAATTTCCTCAGTGTGATAAGGGCATTTATGAAAAATCCACACCTAACATTATACTCAATGGTGAAAGACTGACTGCCTATCTCCCTAGGAGATAAAACAAGGATACTTGCATTAATCGGTGCTTTGTAAGCTTTACCTTCAGGAGCCCCTCCAAGTTCTTAGACTTAGAACAAAGAAAAGCGTCCTGCTACTGGCAGGCAAGAGGAAAGTAGCTATGTTGCAATATGCCCAGAGCTCTCTGTTCTCTCTAACAAAGGCCTGGCCTCAAGGGAAACTGTTTCACCAGAGCCTCACTAACTTGGAAAGATGGAAATTCCTAACATCAGCTCTATGTAGCCCTCCTGTCTCATCTAAGGAGGGAAAAAAGCCAAAAGCACCTGTGACTGTAACATCCCAGGGAGCCCAGACCCACCAAAAGACTGAGATAACCATGGGGTTATAGATCATTTATCATTGCCTGACATTTTACCACCATATCAGTTGGGCTCCTGTTTAATAATAACAAGGGATGGCCAGGCGCAGTGGCTGACACCTGTAATCCCAGCACTTTGGGAGGCTGAGGTTGGCAGTTCACAAGGTCAGGCGTTTGAGACCAGCCTGGCCAACATGGCAAAACCCCGTCTCTACCAAAAATACAAAAATTAGCCAGGCGTGATGGCATGTGCCTGTAGTCCCAGCTACTTGGGAGGCTGAGGCAGGAGAATCGCTTGAACCTGGGAGGTGGAGGTTGCAGTGAGCCAAGATAGTGCCACTGCACTCTAGCCTGGGTGACAGAATGAGACTCCGTCTCACAAAAAAACAAAACAAAACAAAACAAAAAGCACAACACAGGGGATTAGGGATTACAGTGGAAGGAACTGCAAGGCTCAGACCCTATTAAGAAGTCTCCAGGGGAAACAAAACAAAAAAAAAAAAAGAGAGAGAGAGGGGAAATTTAGCCTCTGACACCTACAGCTATGCCAAACAGTAAACAAAGCCTAACTTCTAGCCAAATAAACATAAAACCTCACACTAGAGGCCTATTTGCCTCAGTTTATTTTACCCAATATATTATGTCTGGCTTTTGACAAAAAATTACAAGGCATGCTAAAAGGTAAAAAAACACAGTCTCAAGAGACAAAGCAAGCAGCAGAACTAGACTCAGATATGGCAGAGATTTTGGAATTATTAGACTGGGAATTTAAAATAAGTATGAATAACATGTTAAGGGCTCTAATGGCAAAAGTGAACAATATGCAAGAACAGATGGGTAATGTAAGCAAAGGAATGGAAACCCAAAGAATCAAAAGGGGATAAAAACCACTATAACAGAAGTAAAGAAAGCTTTTGATGGGCTTACTAGTAGGCTGGACATTGTCAAGGAAAGAATCAGTGAGCTTCAAGATATGTCAATAGAAATTTCCCAAACTGAAAAGCAAAGAGAAAAAGGAATGAACAAATGGAATCCAATATCCAAGAACTTTGGTACAATTACAAAAAGTGTAGCATACACATAATGGGAATACCAGAAGGAGAAGAAAGAGAAAAGGGAACAGAGGAAGTACTTGAAATAATAATTGAGAATTTTAAAAAATTGATGACAGATTCCTAACCACAGATCTAGAAAGCTCAAAAGAATACCAAGCAGGATATGTGCCAAAAAACCTACACCTAGACATAGCAGAAAACAAAAGACAAAGAGAAAATATTGAAAGAAGCCAGAGGGAAAAAACACCTTACCTACAGAGGAACAGAGGTAAGAATTACCTCAGATTCTCTTCAAAAGCCTTGCAAACAAGAAGAGATTAGAGTGATAGAAAGTTTTCAAAGGAAAACAAAACTACAAACCTAGACTTTTGTATCCAGTGAAACTATCCTTCAAAAGTGGAGGATAAATACTTTCTCACATAAACCAAAACTTAGGGAATTTATCACCAGTAGACCTGCCTTGCAAAGAATGTTTAAAGTTCTTCAGAGAGAAGGAAAATGATACAGGTCTAAAATTTGGATCTACATAAGGAAACAATAGCATTAGAAAAGGAAAAAATGGGCTGGGCACGGTGGCTCACGCCTGTAATTCCAGCACTTTGAGAGGCTGAGGTGGGTGGATCACGAGGTCAGGAGATCAAGACCATCCTGGCTAACACGGTGAAACCCCGTCTCTACTAAAAGTACAAAAATTAGCCAGGCATGGTGGCGGGCACCTGTAGTCCCAGCTATTTGGGAGGCTGAGGCAGGAGAATGGCATGAACTGGGAGGCAGAGATTGCAGTGAGCTGAGATCACGCCACTGCACTCCAGCCTGGGCAACAGAGTGAGACTCCGTCTCAAAAATAAAAAAAAAAAAGGGGAAAAATGAAGATAAGATAAAATAATTTTTACTTTTAATGGATCTAAGTTTGCTCAAAATAATAATAGTAAAAATGTATTTGGTGATTATAGCTTATGGGTAAGTAACATGAATGTCAGCAATGTTTTAAGGGATGGAAGTGAGAAATAGGGAATGTTTTATTACATAGTACTTGCCCTACCCATGAATTTTATTTTAATGATAGCCATCCTAATGGATGTGAAGTGCATTCCTTTACTTTTAATCTGTTTGTGTCTTTATATTTAAAATGGTTTCTTATAGACACAAATAGATTAAAAGTAAAAGGATGTGTGTCACACTCATTAGGATGGCTTTTTTCTTTTTGAGATGGAGTCTCGCTTTTTCTCCCAGGCTGGAGTGCAGTGGCGCTATCTTGGCTCACTGCAAGCTCCGCCTCCTGGATTCACACCATTCTCCTGCCTTAGCCTTCCGAGTAGCTGGGACTACAGGCACCTGCCACCACGCCCAGCTAATTTTTTGTATTTTTAGTAGAGACGGGGTTTCACCATGTTAGCCAGGTTGGTCTCGATCTCCTGACCTCGTGATCCACCCACCTCGGCCTCCCAAAGTGCTGGGATTACAGGCGTGAGCCACTGTGCCTGACCGACAATAAATTAAACTTTTATTGAGGCATAAGCTGAGGTCCAGAAATGCATTTCCACTGACTTAACCCCAGCACTGTGAAAGGAGGAGCCATGCACCCTAACTTCCCTCCCTCCTCCACCAGGCATGTTCATCCCCAGTTTCCCACTCAGGAGCCCTTCCGAGGCCCAGGCTGCGGATCCATAGCCTGAGCACACATGACCGTATGATTTCCAGCTCCCCTGGTGCTTCAGTGGGAGTTTCTGTGGTGGCTGTTTGGGTCGCCCCTGGTTATTTGATCTGGTAGCTGGCACTTGCAGCTCATTTGAACACTAGACTCCCCACTTTCCACTTCTTTTGGGGGTGCATCCATGTGTGCATTTGTTGGGAGGGCATTGGCTGTTTGCTTTCAGGGCAGCCTCCTACAACGGAGCCGAAATGAAGTGAATTAAAATGAATTTTGCAGTGGGACGTCTAAGCTCATTTCAAGACAGCCTGAAGGTAATAAGAGACAGCTGAGGTCCAGACACAAACCAGACCCCTCAGAAGCATCCTTGGGGTGCAGAGAGCTACTGTAAGCTTCTGCTGCTTCCTGTGTGTGTCATGGCTCAGGGCACTGCCAGCATCGTGGGTTTAAGGGGTCATCTGAAGGCTGGGCGAAGTGGCTCGTGTCTGTAATCCCAGCACTCAGGGAGGCCGAGGCAGGTGGATCACCTGTGGTCAGGAGTTTGAGACCAGCCTGGCCAACATGGTGAAACCCGTCTCTACTAAAAATACAAAAATTAGCCGGGTATGGTGGTGAACACCTGTAATCCCAGCTGCTCAGGAGGCTGGGGCAGGAGAATCTCTTGAACCCGGGAGTGGGAGGTTGCGGTGAGCTGAGATCACGCCACCGCACTCCAGCCTGGGTGACAGAGTGAGACTCTGTCTCAAAAAAAGGAGGAGGGGTCATCTGAGACCTTTATTTCTCCCTTTGTTAATAACACATAAGTACACAATAACACAGATAATGACTATGACATAGTGAAGCAAACACCTGCCATCCAGCTTAAGAAGGAGTAGCCCTACCTCCCTACCACCTACCACCTTCTCCTGTGTGCACTGTGCATGCCCCTTCCCTCAATTTGGGTTGATTACTACCAATGTGTAGTCCCCAGACAATCTTGTTTAGTTTACAGGTTTTGAACTTTTTTTTTTTTTTTTGAGATGGAGTCTTGCTCTGTCACCCAGGCTGGGGTGCAGTGGTGTGATCTTGGCTCACTGCAACCTCCGCCTCCTGGGTTCACACCATTCTCTTGCCTCAGACTCCCCAGTAGCTGGGACTACAGGCGCCCGCCACCATGCCCAGCTAATTTTTTTGTATTTTTAGTAGAGACAGGGTTTCATTGTGTTAGCCAGGAGGGTCTCAATCTCCTGACCTCGGGATCTGCCAACCTCGGCCTCCCAAAGTGCTGGGATTACAGGCATGAGCCACTGTACCTGGCCTGAACTTTGTATAAATGATATCAATCTCCTGTACTGTATTCCAATTTGATTTTTAAATTCAGCATTATATTGGTGAGTTTGTTTCATGTGGGCATCTGAAGCTGTTGTCTGTGTTTACAGCTGTATAGTATTCCTTTGAGTGTGTCCCTGTTATTGGTTGTCTGGGTCATTTCTGGGCTTTGCTGTCATGAACAAGGCTGCTACAAGCACTGTGCACGGGCCCTAGGCATCCACGTGCAGCAGGTGCTCCAGGAGTAGGAGTGGGCAGGTCCCCTTTATGGAGGATATGTCCTCTCACAGTGGCTGTACTGCTTCCCACTGCCACCAGAGGGGGAGTCCCCTTTGCTCCACATCTTCCCCAACTAACACTGGTCTTTTCAGATTTTTAAGTACTTACCAACGTGGTTTTGTCTTGTTTTGTTTTGTTTGTTTGTTTGCTTGATGCAGTCTTGCTCTGTTGCCCAGGCTGGAGTGCAGTGGTGCCATCATAGCTTACTGCAGCCTTCACCTCCTGGGCCCAAGTGATCCTCCTGCCTCAGCCTCCTGAGTAGCTGGGACTATAGGCTTATGCCACCGCACCTGGCTAATTTAAAAAAAAAAAAAGAAAAAATTAAGGCTGGGCGCGATGGCTCATGCCTATAATCCCAGCACTTGGGAGGCCGAGGTGGGCGGATCCTGAGGTCAGGAGATCGAGACCATCCTGGCTAACATGGGTGCAACCTCATCTCGACTAAAAAAAAAATACAAAAAAAAAAAAATTAGCCAGGCGTGGTGGCGGGTGCCTGTAGTCCCAGCTACTCAGGAGGCTGAGGCAGGAGAATGGCGTGAACTCGGGAGGCAGAGCTTCAGTGAGCCGAGATCATGCCACTGCACTCCAGCCTGGGCAAAAAAGCGAGACTCCGTCTCAAAAAAAAAAATTGTGCCTGGGTGCGGTGGCTCACGCCTGTTATCCCAGCATTTTTCGAGGCCAAGGAGGGTGGATTGCTGGAGGCCAGGAGTTCAAGACCAGCCTGGGCAACATAATAAAACCCCATCTCTACAAAAAAGTACAAAAATTAGCTGGATGTGCTGGTACATGCCTGTAGTCCCAGCTCTAGGGAGGCTGAAGTGGGAGGATCACCTGAGCCCAGGAGGCTGAGGCTGCAGTGAGCCAAGATCACGGCACTGCACTCCAGCCTGGGCAAGAGAGTGAGACACTGTCTCAAAAACAAAAAAATTTTTTTTTAGAGGTGGGGTCTTGCTATATTGCCTAAGCCAGTCTCAAACTCCTGGCCTCAGGTGATCCTCCTGCCTTGGCCTCGCAAAGTGCTAGGATTATTCAGGCATGAGCCACCACACCCAGCTGAATCCGGATTTTTTTTTAATTAACTTTATTGAGATATACATACAAGAAAATGCACCCATGTAAGTTCAGCTTGCTCTCTTTTAATAAGTGTAACCAGCACCTCAATAAAGATATAGAACATGTCCACAACTCCACAAAGCCCACCGGTGCCCTTTGAGGTCAGTCCCTACCCTTGGTCCCAGGCAACCACGGATCTGCCTTCTGTTGGGGATGACTTTTGGTGTTTCTTTTGCTCAGCATGTTTCTGAGATTCGTGGGTGTTGTACACACCAGTGGTCTGTGCCTCACAATTGCAGAACAGGGTTTTGCATACTTTATTCACTCATCCACTGATGGACATTTAGATAGTTTCCAGTTGGGGACTATCAAAAATAAAAATGTTGTGAACATTCAGTTATAGATATTTGTTGGGACATAGGTTTCATTTCCCTTGAGTAGATACCTAGGAGTGGAAGTGAATTGCAGAGTTGTGGGTTAAGTAGTGTAGGTCAAGCTTTGAAACTTCCCAGTGATTCTCTACCCATGGCCGCGCAGGCCTCTAGTGGCTTTGTATCTTCTCCAGCCATTGGCATTGTTGGTCCTCTTTTTTTTTTTTGAAATGGGGTCTTGCTCTGTCACCCAGGCTGGAGTGCAATGGCACGATCTTGGGTCACTGCAACCTCCTGGGTTCAAGCAGTTCTCCTGCTTCAGCCTCCCAAGTAGCTGGAATTACAGGCATGTGCCACCATGCCCTGATAATTTTTGTATTTTTAGTAGAGACGGGGTTTCGCCATGTTGGCCAGCCTGATCTCAAACGCCTGACCTCAGGTGATCCGCCCACTTTGGCCTCCCACGGTGCTGGGATTACAGGCATGAGCCACCAGGCCCACCCATTGGTCTTCTTAATTTTGGCTCCTCTGGTGGGTGTGTAGTAGTCTCTCTTGTGGTTTTGATTTGCATTTCTTTGCTAACTGAAGGTGCAGCACATTTTAATTGTTAGCTGACATTTGTAATTTATAGTTGTGAACTGGCAGGCCATTTGCCTTCAGTGGGAAAATCTGTGTGTGTGTTGCTTGTCTTATTATTGTAAGAGTTTGTTTTTCTCTGGATTTGAGTTCCTGTTGTGCGAGAGATACATAGGGTATTTTCTCCCAGTCTGTAGCTTGTCTTTTCATTTCCTTTTCTTTTTCTTTTTTTTGAGACAGAGTCTTGCCCTGTCGCCCAGGCTGGGGTGCAGTGGCGCGATCTCAGCTCACTCCAGGCTTGTCTCGAACTCCTGACCTCATGATCCACCTGCCTCAGCCTCCCAAAGTGCTGGGATTAGAGGCGTGAGCCACCGCACCCAGACTTCATTTCTTTTTCTTTTTTTTGAGACAGAGTCTTGCTCCGTTGCCCAGGCTAGAGTGCAGTGGCGCGATCTTGGCTCACTGCAACCTCTGCCTCCCAGGTTCAAGCTTTTCTCCTGCCTCAGCCACATGAATGCTGGGACTACAGGCGCCTACCACCACGCCTGGCTAATTTTTGTATTTTTATTAGAGACAGGGTTTCACCATATTGGGCAGGCTGATCTCGATCTCCTGACCTCGTGATCCGCCCGCCTCGGCCTCCCAAAGTGCTGGGATCACAGGCATGAGCCACTGCGACCAGCCTCTTCTTAATGGTATGTTTTGTTGAAGAGAATTTTTTTTTTTTTTTTTGAGGCACGGTCTTGCTCTGTCACCCAGACTGGAGTGCAGTGGCATGATCATAGCTCACTGCAACCTCTAACTCTTGGGCTCAAGTTATCCTCACACCTCAGCCTCCTGAGTAGCTGGGACCACTGCCTGACTAACTTTTTTATTTTGAATAGGGTCTCACTATATTGCTCAGGCTGGTCTTCAACTCCTGAGCTCAAGTGACCCTCCTGCCTCAGACTCTCAAAGTGATGGAATTACAGGCATAAGTCACTGCACCCGGCCCAAAAATACTATCTTAATTACTGAAGTTTTGTGGTGAGTTTTGAAATCAGGCCATGCATGTCTCCAGGTTTGTTCTGCAAGTGTGTCTCCCATGCCTTATCCTTTGCATCATTGTACAAAGTCAGCTTGCTAGGCCAGGCATGGTGGCTTATGCCTGTAATCCCAGCACTTTGGGAGGCCAAGATGAGTGGATCACTTGAGGCCAGGAGTTTGAGACCAGCCTGGCTAACATGGTGAAACCCCGTCTCTACTAAAAATACAAAAAAAATTAGCTGGGCGAGGTGGTGGGCGCCTGTAATCCCAGCTACTCAGGAGGCTGAGGCAAGAGAATCATTTCAACCCAGGAGGCAGAGGTTGCAGTGAGCTGAGATCATGGCACTGCACTCCAGCCTGGGTGACAGATCAAGATTCTGTCTCAAAAAATAAATTAATTTAAAAAAATGCTGGGACCGTAAGTTTTGTTTGTCGGGTTTTAGCACAGAAAAGCATAAGGAAGAAATAGTGCATAATGCCACTGCTAAGATCACATCCTTAACCTCAAAAAGTGAAAAAGGAATGCAAGAGAATGGTTAAACATGTTATAATACGTTGTCCATTTCCTCTCTGAAAAAAGTCTGTGTCGACAGTTTCATGGGTTACCTTTGCAATATTTTTTTCTATACATCCTTTCCTAAAAATGCAGCCAGAAGGCACCATACTTTTATTTATTTATTTACTGTTTTTTGAGACGGAGTCTCACTCTGTCACCCAGGCTGAAGTGCAGTGGTGCGATCTCAGCTCACTGCAACCTCTGCCTCCCAGGTTCAAGTGATTCTCCTGCCTCTGCCTCCCGAGTAACTGGGATTACAGGCATGCACCACCACTCCCAGCTAATTTTGTATTTTTAGTAGAGATGGGATTTCACCGTGTTGGCCAGGCTGGTCTCAAACTCCTGATCTCAAGTCATCCACCCACCTCGGCCTCCCAAAGTGTTGGGATTACAGGAGTGAACCACCACTCCTGGCCCAGAAGGCACCATACTCTACACGTTGTCTTGCACCTGGAGGTTTTGCTTACTGCTCTGGAGGGTCTCCCTCTTTTCTATGAATGGCTGCAGAGTGTCCCCCCGAAACACACTTGCGCTGCAGGGTGACCAGTCAGTCCCTGCTGACAGCCACAGAGGTGGTTTCCAGTTTTGCTCATAGGAAGTTCTATAGTGGGTACCTTTTTATGGCTGCCTTGGCATAGCTCTCTGTAGGTGCAGTGGGTATCGCGTTCGCCCCAGAACTCTGGGTGTCAGAAGTGTTCTAGTCATGCTTTGCTGTGGCTGCCCTTCTCTTTTTTCTTTTTTTGAGATGGAGTCTCGCTATGTTGCCCAGGCTGGAGTGCAGTGGTGTGATCTCGGCTCACTGCAAGCTCTGCCTCCTGGGTTCACGCCATTCTCCTGCCTCAGCCTCCCGAGTAGCTGGGACTACAGGTGCCCACCACCACGCCCGGCTAATTTTTTGTATTTTTAGTAGAGACAGGATTTCACCGTATTAGCCAGGATGGTCTCGATCTCCTGACCTCATGATCCGCCCACCTCGGCCTCCCAAAGTGCTGGGATTACAGGCTTGAGCCACCGCGCCTGGCCCGGCCTTTTCTCTGTGTCACTTCTCATCTGCCTTCTGTCCATCTGGCCCCCACGCCCATTGGAGCTCCCAATCTTCCTCACTCAGGGTAAGATGCAGGATCTCCCTATGTGGGCCCTGGACAAGGGAGTTGTATCTTCCCTCCTGGGAACATGTGTACAGTGGTGGCTCTCACCCAGGAAATTTTCCCCCAAGTGCCATCTAGGACAGTATGGAGACATTTTTGGTTGTTGCAAGTGGGGGCTGGGGGTGGCTATTGGCATCTAGTGAGTGAATACCAGGAATTCTGCTCACCATCTGTGTTAGTTGGGATTGTCCAGAGAAACAGAACCAGTACTACAGATATTTATAGAGAAAGAGATCTATTGTAAGGACTTGGCTCATGCAACTATGGAGGCTGGTGAGTCCCAAGATCTGCAGGCAAGACCCAGGGACACTGATGTGTGTTCCAGGCCAGAGACTGGCAGGCTCGAGACCCAGGAGGAGGAGATGTTTCACTTTGAGTCCAAAGACAGGAAAAAGCCAATGTCCCAGTTTGAAGGCCTCAGGGAGGAGGAGTTTCCTCTTACTCAGGGGAGGAGCAGCATTTTTGTTCCATTCAGGCTTTTGAACTGAGAGATGAGGCCTGTCCGCCTTGTAGAGGACTGTCGGCTTCACTCAGTGCTGTGGTCTGAATGTCTGTGTCCCCCCAAAATTCAATGTTGAAGCCAACCCCAAGGTGATGGTATTAGGAGACGGGGGCATTAGGGAGATGATTAGGTCATGGGGGAGGAGCCTCAGGAATGGGATCAGTGCCCTAATAAAGGAGGCCTCAGAAAGCCACCTTGCCCCCTCCACCACCTGCCCCTTCCACTATGTGGGGACACAGTGAGAAGGTGCTCTCTATGAGGTAGGGGCCCTCTCCGCATGCCAAATCCGCCGGCTCCTTGATCTTGGACTCTCTAGCCTCCAGGACTATGAAAACACATTTCTGTAGTTTATAAACCACTCAGTCTAGTATTTTATTATAGCAGCCCAAATGGACTAAAACAACCAGTCTGCCAATTCAAATATTAATCTCATCCAGAAACACCCTCACAGACACACCCAGTCAGGTTAACACATGAAATTCACCATCACAGCATCCTACAATGCCCAGAACAATGCCTTCCACAACTCGTAATTCTTTGGTCCAAATGTCAGTAGTGCGGAGATTGAGAAACCCTGGCGCAGAGGAAGGAGCTGCATTTATCTTGATACAAAGGCGTATCTAGGATAAATTTCTATGAAAGGGTGTTTGCATACTTTATATTTTAATAGATATTGCCAAACTGTCCCTGGAAGGATTGCACTAGGTAAGACTACACTCTACAGTGTACAAGAAGGATGTTTGTTATCTCATGGCCTCTCCAGCAGTGGTTATTGTCAAGTGTTTATGCTTGGAACATTTTTTTCTCATCAGAGAGCTGTAGAACCAAGCCTTTGACCAGCAAATCCAGGGACTCTGTAGCCTACTAGTTTTAGCTGTTTTCTAATTATTTTTATAATACAATTCACTGGCTGCTAATGTGGTGAAGCAGGTTCACATTCCTGAGGGCTGAGAGTCGTTTCTGCGTGTTGGGGCTGATTGTAAGCAGCTTGGCTGGGTCTGTACAGTGCTAACTTGAGGTGGTTCCCCTTGAAAGAGGCCAAGGACAGAACTCACTGGGGTTGTCCACTGGGCTGGGGAAAGACATACTTCCCCTGGAGTGGGAACTTACAAGAGGGAAGAGAAGCAAGGCTCAGCAAGGGGCTGGGTCCCAGGCATCTTCACGGAGGCTGCCCTGGGCAGAGAGGCCTCCCCAGGGAGCAGCCCTAAGCCAGGCACCCCCTTCCTTCCCTCTGCCTAGCCCTGCCTGTCACCTCCTCTAACTTCCATCCCTGGGGGACTCTGCTTCTCCTTGGTCCTGCTAGCAGGAGCATCTTCCTGGAGCCAAGTGGGGCCCCAAGGGAGGTCTGGTCAGTTCTAGTTCCCCACAGCCCTGCTTGCTCATGGGCCCCCATGGTCCCTGCCCCGGAAGCATCCCGTAGTTTTTGGCACCTGGTGTGGGCTGGCCCTTGCCCCAGTCTCCACCCTTGGGCGTCTCCCAGCCCTTTCCCGGCAGGTCCCCCTGCAACCCACCCAGTGCCTGGAAACCACACCAGGGTGCCGGAGGCCTTGGGGTGCAGGCATCGGCTTCATATGCATGGATGGTGACACATTCCTTTACAGTCTCTCTCTCGGGCACAGAGAGGGCTATGAGTCCTGCTGGCCAAGCCTGCCTACGCCATAATCCAGCTCTTTGTCACTGCTGCCTACAGCACTTGCATAACCCTGTGACTCAAGAAGTTTCTGTCTGCCTGGGACCTGCCATCACTGTTCCCGTCAGTCCTCTGGAAGGTTCCCAAGGGCTCCTCCCTCCTCCATCCCAGCAGGTGGCTGGCCTGTGTCTGCTTCTTTAGCGGGGTGCCCATGCAAACTGCCTGGTGCCTCCGTGTGGCCTCTCTTGGCCTCCTCTCTTCCAACCGTTCAGAGCTTCACTCTTCCTGCACACCCCCGTCCGCACCCAAGGTCTGCGGTCCTGTGTTCTACAAAGCCTCTGCCTGTTACTCTCTGAAACCTGGGGTGGGAACGCATCTTTATTGCTTCAGTGGCTCCCACTCCAGCCTCATCAGTGGTGCCCTGAGGCCAATTTCAAGCCTGTTGAACTCCAGGCTTGCTATAATGTTTCTTGATCCTTCTCTCAGCTAGTTACCTGCCTATAGAGGCTCTGTCCAGGGAACACGAAGAGAAGGGTGTCCTGCTGAGCACAGTAGGGGATGGCTGTGGCCCTTCTCTCCTCCACCCTAGCCAAGCCAGCGAAATATGTTACAAGGCCCAAGGGCTCTCTCCAGGCCTAACACCCTACCCTAGCCTGCAGAGCTACTCTGTCCCTGCAAGCATGGTGTCCGTCTCTGACCTTCAAAGTCCTGCCCGGAACAGATGCTCCTAGCCTTTCTTTGTCTTGCTGATTGTGCCCCTACCTCATTAACTCTCCCTCCTCACGCTTCTCTGACACTTGCTATTTTTTGAGGCTGGACTGGAAACCAGGAGTCCTCTTATATTTATTTTTAATACGTAAAATATGTACATATGTGCGTATAAAATTAAAAAAGGAAAAAAGGTTACAGAGTACAGCTGAGGTGTTTTTTTTCTTTGTCTCCACCCATTCTACTCCTGGTATGTAACTGTTACCAATTCTTTATGTATCTTTCCAGAGATATTCTATGCATGCCCGTCAAAATATGTGTGTATGTTGTATATTTTTATACAAATGGTAACAATATTCACAGTGTCCTAGCTTTATCTTTTTCACTTGCTGTATCTTGAAGATCACTCTATTCTTCCCAATGACTGCATACTCTTTCATGGATAATTTAGGTATCTACTTGCTATCTTTTTCGACAGTTATGTACATTGTGGTTATGTAGATTCTGTTGTGCAGAGATTTTAATTTTTTATTGTGATAAAATATTCATAACATAAAATTTACCATTTTAACTACTTTTTTTTTTTTTTTTTTGAAATGGGAGTTTCGCTCTTGTTGCCCAGGCTGTAGTGCAATGGTGTGATCTTGGCTCACTGTGGCCTCCGCCTCCCAGGTTCAAGCGATTCTCCTGCCTCAGTCTCCCAAGTAGCTGGGCACGCCCGGCTAATTTTTGTATTTTTAGTAGAGATGGGGTTTCGCCATGTTGGCCAAGCTGGTCTCAAACTCCTGGCCTCAGGTGATCCGCCTGCCTCAGCCTCCCAAAGTGCTGGGATTATAGGTGTGAGCCATGGCACCCGGCCTTAACCACTTTTAAATATACAGTTCGATGGCATTAAGTACATTCATAATATTGTGCAACCATCACCACCATTAATCTCTAGAACTTTCCTCATCTTGTAAAACCAAAACTCTGAATCCATTAAAAACTGGCTCCCCATTCCTCCCTCCCCCAGCCTCTGGCAGCCATCATTCTACTTCCCGTCTCTGTGAATTTGACTATTCTGCTACCTTGAAATTTTACCTTCTGTTTTGTGACAAGGTCTCACTCTGTCGCCCAGGCTGGAGTGCAACAGTGTAATCAGATTACTGTATCCTTGAACTCGTGGGCTCAAATGATCCCCTTGCCTTAGCCTCCTCAGTAGTTGCGACTACAGGTGTGCCATCATGCCTAGTTAATTAAAAAAATTTTTTTTGGAGCGATAGGGTCTTGCTATGTTGCCCAGGCTGGTCTTGAACTCCTGGCCTAAAGTGATCCTCTTGACTCAGCCTCACAAAGTGCTGGGATTATGGGCATGAGCCACTGGGCCTGAGGTTAAAATTTTAAATATAGACAAAGATGTCAATCTTTTCTCTGATGGACTGTACTTTTTTTTTTGTCTTGTCTAAGTCAAAGATGATGCTAATGCCATGGGATGCCCTCACTGGGGTGGAGTTGGGGTGTCCCTGATTATGCTGCAGTACTGAGTTTCATTGGATTAAATTTCTAGCTGTGGAAATGATGAGTCAAGTGAGATTAGCTGCATTAATTTTAATAATATGGCCAAATTGAACTCTAACATTGGACTGTCACCTTGGAGAGCATTTTCCTGGAGTGTAAAAGAGAGGCAGGTGGAGGGTGGGTGCTGTGATTTGAATGTTTGTCCCCTCTAAAACTCATGTTGAAATTTATCTGCCATCGTAACAGTATTAAGAGGTGGGATATTTAAGAGGTAATTAGGGGCTGGGTGCCGTGGTTCATGCCTGTAATCCCAGCACTTTGGGAGGCTGAGGTGGGCAGATCACTTGAGCCCAGAAGTTTGAGACCAGCCTGGCTAACATGGTGAAACCCCGTTTCTATTAAAAATACAAAAATTAGCCGGGTGTGATGGTGCGCACCTGTAGCCCCAGCTACTCGGAAGGCTGAGGAAGGAGAATCACTTGAACCTGCAAGGCAGAGGTTGCAGTGAGCCGAGATCGTGCCTCTGCCTTCCAGCCTGGGCGACAGAACAAGACTCCATCTTAGAAAAAAAAAAAAAAAAAAGAGGTAATTAGGTCATAAGGGCTCTGTCCTCATAGGTGGGATTAATGCCATCATAAATGGGCAAGTTCTGCCTTTTGGCTGGAAGCGCCATCTTCCAGTAATTTGCCAAAATGATGAACACAAAGGGAAGAGAAGAGGGGCCCAGTATATGTTATCTAAGCCTTTTAGAAAACAGGAAGTTATTCCTTTGTTCACATACATGCGAATCTATAAGAAAGGTGATATTGTAGACATCAAAAGAATAGGTACTGTTCAAAAAGGAATGCTCACAAATGTTACCGTGGCAAAACTGGAGCAGTCTACAGTGTTACTCAGCATGCTGTTGGCATTGTTGTAAACAAGGGCAAGATTCTTGCCAAGAGAATTAACGTGTGTATTGAGCACATTAAGCTCTCTAAGAGCCAAGATAGCCAAGACAGTGAAGGAAAACGATCAGAAAAAGAAGGAAGCCAGAGAAAGGTACTTGGGTTCAACTGAAGCGCCAGCCTGCTCCACCCAGAGAAGGACACTTTGCGAGAGCCAGTGGAAAGGAGCCTGAGCTGCTGGTACCCATTCCCTCTGAATTTACGGCATAATAGGTATTACAAAAATAAAAGACCACTGGACTACAAAAAAAAAAAAGATATAAAAAAATCAAAGGGCAAGTTCTGTCCTTTCTTACTCTCTCTTTACCCTTCTGCCATGTGATGCCTCCCATGCGATGACACAGCAAGGCCCTTGCCAGATGCTGACATCTTGATATTGGACTTCCTGTCCTCCAGAACCGTGAGCAATTAGTTTCTGGTCATTATAAATTAGCCAGTCTGTGGTATTCTGTCATAGCAGCACAGGATGGAGAGCTGACACTCTGACAAGACCCCAGGAAAGTGACTGCTAATCCAGGTAACAGCATGCCCATCTTTGTATTCCTGTGTGGGAAGGAGCCGTGTGCTGAGGCCCCTGACTCACCATACTGGGAGGACCCCTCAGAATCTGTGGGGTTGCCTCAGGACAGCAGGGTCTTATCCCATGGCAGGTTCAGGTGACCCAAATACTTGCGTCCACCCTCAGGAAAGCTGCCCCAGTTCCATCTGGCTGGGCATCCTGAGGCTGCTGCATCAGGGCTCTGTTCTTGTTTCTGATCAGACAGGTAAGTCACATCTTTTACACAAAATTCAAATGTTACAGAATCATGTAGCATCATCAGTGCACATCGCCAAAGAAAAGCTCAGTTAACAATAAGACACATATTCCTTCTCTTTTCCATTCAAACACATTTGTTCCTGTGTTTAACAATGTATCGTGGCCATCTTGCATTTCTAAACACAGAGCTAGGTCTACCTATTTAAGAAATGTGTGAGGATTGGCCGGGCGTGGTGGCTCACGCCTGTAATCCCAGCACTTTGGGAGGCTGAGGTGGGCGGATCACGAGGTCAGGAGATCGAGAACATCCTGGCTAATGTGGTGAAACCCTGTCTCTACTAAAAATACAAAAAATTAGCTGGGTGTAGTGGTGGGCACCTGTAGACCCAGCTACTCGGGAGGCTGAGGCAGGAGAATGGTGTGAACCCGGGAGGCGGAGCTTGCAGTGAGCTGAGATTGCGCCACTGCACTCCAGCCTGGGCAACATAGGAAGACTATCTCAAAAAAAAAAAAGAAAGAAATGTGTGAGGATTTATTCATTTTGTGAAATTTTAGAGAAGTGGTATATGAATATGTTCTCTGTGAAACAGTCAACAATATAGAAATGTAAGAGGAAAGTTGGCTGGGTGCGGTGGCTCACGCTTGTAATCCCAGCACTTTGGGAGGCCGAGGCGGGCGGATCACTAAGTCAGGAGTTCGAGACCAGCCTGGCTAACACCGTGAAACCCCGTCTCTACTAAAAATACAAAAAATTAGCCGGGTGTGGTGGCGCGCGCCTGTAGTCCCAGCTACTTGGGAGGCTGAGGCAGGAGAATTGCTTGAACCCGGGAGGTGGAGGTTGCAGTGAGCCGAGATTGCGCCATTGCACTTCAGCCCAGGCAACAGTGCGAGACTCTGACTCAAAAAAAAAAAAAAAAAAAAAAAAAAGAGGAAAGTGAATTTCCTCCCCTAGTTCTTCCCACTTTCCTCTTTCCAGTGGGGCTAATATAATAATCTCTTTTCCTTTTTCGTTTCATTTATACACATTCTCACACATTTGTTTTACTTAACCATAGGCTTTCAACATCTTTCAGGTCAGTACAAAACAGGTCTAACATATATTTTTACTAGCTGTATGGTTTTTCTGAGTATGTCACCATTCAGCAATTCTGAGACTCATCTGGGAACTTGTTAGAAATGCGGAGGCCATCCTGAAGTGTCCCAAGCTGAAAACCAAGTCCTGTCATCACTCCTCCTGTCTGTATGAACACCCTGTACCTATCTCTGAGTATTTAAGGGAGAGTTCCATAGGATTAAATTTCTAGCTGTGGAGATGAGTCAAGTGAGATTAGTGGCATTAATTTTAATAATATGGCCAAACTGAACTTTAACATTGCAATGCCTCCCCACCCTCACCAGCAGTGCATATGTGTGCTGTCTGTCCCCTCCCCATCACCCATGGCAAACACTGCCTAAGACTGTTTCACCACACTGATATATGAGACACTTCATTATTTGTTTTTTGTCTGTTTTTGAGACAGAGTCTTGCTATCACCCAGGCTGGAGTGCAGTGGTGCGATCTCGGCTCACTGCAACCTCCGCCTCCTGGGTTCAAGCAATTCTCCTGCCTCAGCCTCCCAAGTAGCTGGGATTACAGGTGCCCGCCACCAAGCCTGACTAGTTTTTGTATTTTTAGTAGAGTTGGAGTTTCACCATGTTGGCCAGGCTGGTCTTGAACTCCTGACTTCAAGCGATCCACTCACCTGGGCCTCCCAAAGTGTTGGGATTACAGGCGTGAGCCACTGTGCCTGGCCGACACTTCATTATTTGAATTTCAATTAATTATGAAAGGAGCTGAACAATGAGTGTCTTCTTTTTCTGTAAATGAACTTTTTATTTTGGGATTAGATTTACACAAATGTTGTAAAGGTAGTACAGAGTTCCTATGTGCTCTTCACCAGCCGCCCCCAAAGTGAATACACATAACTGGCACATGCCCAAACAAAACAACTTACATTAGTACACTACTATTAACTAAACTTTAGGTTTTATTTGGATTTTACCTGTTTTCCCATCAATGTCTGTTTCTGTTCCAGGATCCAATCCAAGATCCCACATTGCATTGAGTCATCATGTCTCCTTAGGGTTCCCTGATCTGTGACACTTCTTCAGTTTATCCTTGTCTTCCATGACCATGGCAGTTTTGAAGTCCTGGTTAGACTGGGTCAGTCTCCCGTTCCCCCAGATCCTTCCTTCTCCTGGTCCGTGTCTCAGTATGAACTGTGTGAACTGTGTGAATTGTCCCTCAATTTGGGTTTGTTTAATGTTTTCTAATGATTAGAAAGGGCTTATGGGTTGGGGGGAAACGCCACAGAGGTGAAGTGCCTTCTCATCATGCCATGCCATATCGTGGCAACGCATGGTATCACATACTTTCTTAGTAAGGAAAATTCCGAACACACATAAAAATAGCAAGAGTAGAGTAAGAACTCATTACTTGGTACTCCACAATTACCAATGCTTTTCCACCCTGTTTCTGGATACTTTTCTTTTTCTTTTTTTTCCAGACGGAGTCTCACTCTATCGCCCAGGTTGGAGTGCAGTGGCACAATCTCAGCTCACTGTAACCTCTGCCTCCTGGGTTCAAGCTATTCTCCTGCCTCAGCCTCCCAAGTAGCTGGGACTACAGGTGCCTGCCACCACGCCCGGCTAATTTTTGTATTTTTAGTAGAGACAGGGTTTCACCATATTGGCCAGGATGGTCTCGATCTCCTGACCTTGTGATCCGCCCGCCTCATCCTCCCACAGTGCTGGGATTACAGGCGTGAGCCACCGTGCCCGGCCCTGGATAGCTTTTCAATATGGTTAGAAGACATTTTCATTTTACTTTTCTGTTCTCTTCTCCATCCTTCCTTCTTCCCTCCCTTCCTCTATCTTTCCTTTTTAACACAAAAGGAGAAAGCACTAACAGTGTTGGCAATCTATATGGGACCTAGATAGAAGAGCATAACACATCTAATTAAATTGCTCCCTCTCTTGGCTCAGACTGCCATGACAAAATACCATAGGCTGTATAGCTTAAACGACAGACATGTGTTTCTCATGGTTCTTTTCCAGCCTTCTTTTCTTCCAGCCTCCTCAGATGGGAACCCTCTCCTCTGCATTCCCACTGTTCGTCCCCATATTTGTTTCTTTTTTCTTTTTGAGACGGAGTCTTGCTGTCACCCAGGCTGGAGTGCAGTGGCAGGATCTCAGCTCACTGCAGCCCCACCTCCTGGATTGATGCAGTTCTCCAGCTTCAGCCTCCCAAGTAGCTGAGATTACAGGCACACGCCACCACATCCAACTAATTTTTGTATTTTTAGTAGAGACGGGGTTTCACCATGTTGGCCAGGCTGGTCTTGAACTTCTAGCCTCAGGTGATCCGGCCATCTCGGCCTCCCAAAGTGCTGGGATTACAGGCGGGAGCCACCGCGACCGGCCCCCTATACTTCTTTCAAAGCACCCGAGTTCAGGAGGGGAAATGGCATGGTCTGCCCAGGTGCTGTTGCCTGTGAATTTAAAAAGAATGATAAAACCAAATTTGGATTTAAAAAACCTTTTTTTCAGACAACATCTGGCTCTGTCACCCAGACTGGAGTGCAGTGGTGTGCTCTCAGCTCACTGCAACCTCCACTTCCTGGGCTCAAACAATCCTCCAACCTCAGTCTCCTGAGTAGCTGGAACTACAGGTGTGTACCACCATGCCCAGCTAATTTTTTTGTTATTTTTTGTAGAGATGGGTTTCACCATGTTGGCCAGGCTGGTCTTGAACTCCTGAACTCAAAGTGATCCACTCACCTGGGCCTCCCAAAGTGTTGTAATTACAGGCGTGAGCCACCATCCCCAGCATGAATCTGCTTTTTATCATCACCATATAATGGCAATTTTAAAGTATCAGGGATATAATACACCTCCATGGGGGAAAAAATCAAGATACAGAACATTTCTAGCACCTTAGAGGTTTCAAGGAAATATTTTAATGCTTAATATATTATTTAATCTCACCCCAACTCTCCTTTTTGCAGGGTGCTGAGGAACTCAACTGCAGTCATGTTTAAGCTTCCCTGGCCTTGTGGGGGCGTGGGAAGGACTGAATTTTGTGAGCCCTAAGGTCCTCTCTCTCTGTTGGGAGCTACTTACCTCCAGGAGTGGCTGTTTCTGCCCCCATTTCTCAACCATCCCTGTGGAGGGTCCTGAGCCACCTCCCACCCAGCTTCCCCACCACCCCCCCCCCACCGCCTCCTTTTTTCTCTTTCAGACGGAGTCTTGCTCTGTTGCCCAGGCTGGAATGCAGTGGCACGATCTGGGCTCACTGCAACCTCTACCTCCCGGGTTCAAGTAATTCTCCTGCCTCAGCCTCCCGAGTAGCTGGGATTGCAGGCGTGCACCACACACCCAGCTAATTTTTGTATTTTTAGTAGAGATGGGGTTTCACCATATTGGCCAGGCTGGTCTCAAACTCCTGACCTCATGATCCACCGCCTTGGCCTCCCAAAGTGCTGGGATTACAGGCGTGAGCCACCACACCCAGCCTCCCCCACTTTTTTTTTTTGAGACAGAATCTTGCTTTGTCACCCAGGCTAGAGTGCAGTGGCTTGATCACGGCTCACTGCAGCCTCAACCTCCCGGGCACAAGCGATCCTCCCGCCTCAGCCCCTCAGCCCTACAAGTAGCTGGGGCTACAGGCACAGATACCACACCCTGCTAATTTTTTGTAGAGACAGGGTTTCACCATGTTGCCAGGCTGGTTTGGAATTCCTAAGCTCAAGCGATCCGCCCACCTCGGCCTCCCAGAATGCTGGGATTACAGGCATGAGTCACCATGCCCTGCCCCAGCCTCCCTTTTGAGGCCTAAAATGGAGGAAAGAGATGCTCAAAGCCTTCAGCTCATTTTCCTGAGTCACTGGCCTGATTTCACTACAATTCCCAAGGCCTGGCAAGGTGCCCAGCCGTTCTCAAAGTTGGGTCTGCAGGTCCTCTCTTTGTGAACTACATAACTGCAGATGTTCTTCACAATGTGTATGTCAACCAATGCAATATATTGCAGCAGACCGAATGCCGAAGCACATGTGAGAACCTATTAGGTCAGATTTTAAAAAGATTTGCAAAAGTGTAAAACAATACCACTCCTTTATTTTGGTGGTGGGCGTGGAATGTAATGTTTACTTTTTTTTTTTTTTTTTTTTTTGAGATGGAGTCTCACTCTGTCGTCCACGCTGGAGTGCAATGGCGCGATCTTGGCTTACCGCAACCTCCGCCTCCTGGGTTCAAATGATTCTCTTGCCTCAGCCTCCGGAGTAGCTGGGATTACAGGCCTGCGCCACCATACCTGGCTCATTTTTGTATTTTTAGTAGAGACAGGGTTTCACCATGTTGGCCAGGCTGGTCTCAAACTCCTGACCTCAGGTGATACGCCCGCCTCAGCCTCCCAAAGTGCTGGGATTACAGGCGTGAGCTACCGCGCCCGGCTGTTTACTTTTAAACGAAACAACAAAAAACTTTAAAGCATTTTAACTTAGAATGTGGTAACATCGATAGCTGTAACCCACATTAGCAAAAGCTTGGGGCCCTCATTTTTATGAGTATAAAGTGGTCCTGAGACTACGAGTTTGGGAAATGCGGTAGCTCTACGAGGCGGTGCCATTCTTGCCGCCGCATCAGTGAATTTAGGAGAAGGAAGGTCGTTAGCCCTCTGCCTCACCGCCAAGCAGGAGCCTTGCGCTCCAACTGCGTCCCTCGAAGTCTTCAGGCAAAAGCGGGACTGGGGAGTCCAGTCCTGTGGCCCAGCCACATTTCCTCGCGTAGAACGTTGGACAATGTTTTCTACCTCACAGGACCATCCAAATGACTGCGTTAGGTATTCCCATGAAATGTACGATGAGTACACCCTATTCTACAGAAGCAAAAGCTGAGGCTCAGAGACGCCAAGAGGTTTGCTGGGGTCTCGCGACTAAGCGGTCCCAACACCCAGACACCCTGGCTACCCGGGGACTGCCGGTCACTACCGGGCGCCGAAAAGCCGCCGGCTCCTTCCGCCAGCTACACATCCGGCGCCGAGGCCGGAAGCTTCTCTTCCGGCTCCCAAGACCGCGTTCCGGAAATGAGTCGCTCTACCAGTACCTAAGATGGCCGCCGGCCCATCCACCGTCGCGATCGGTGTGAGGAAAGTGTCACGAACCCGGAATTGCCCGACTCCGTCATGGCAGGCGCCGGGGGCGTGGCTTCCGGCGGCCACAGCTTGCTAGTCGCCGCGGCGGGGTCGAGCGGGGGCGGCAGCTGACAGGCGCTCCTCCCCCGACCGCAGCGGCTGGTTCCCAGCGAGGCGGGCGGCCCCCAGCTCGCGTCCCCGAGTCCTAGCCCGCGAGGCGCCAGGGCTGCGCCTGGGCATGGAAGAGGGGAAGATGGACGAGAATGAATGGGGGTACCACGGAGAGGGCAATAAGAGCCTGGTGGTGGCCCACGCGCAGGTGAGCGGTGGACGTGCGGCGCAGGTCCGGTACCTCACTCCGACGGCCGGTATCACCCCGCCCCCATTATCCGTTTCCTCAACAGGGTCGGTTCCACGTCCCCCCAGTACCTTCCTCCTCCCCGGCCGGTCTCCGGAATTCCCCCACCCTCCAGCATCCCCCCCTACCGCTTGGGTTCCTCATCACCCCAGTATCCCCTCTCTACTGGGTCAGTCTCCCATTGCCCCAGATCCTTCTCCTGGCCGGTCTGTCGTCCCCTCAGTATTCCCGTTCCCCGTCAGAGTCAGTTCCACATCCCCCTCCCCGCCCCGTCGGTGCCGCGCTCAGCCTCACGCGGTGCCGCCTCCCGCCTGGATGCCCGCCGGACTGCCAGGCCGCAGTGGGGTGGAGGCTTGGTTGGGACGGAGGGCCCGGCCAGCACTGGAGGAAGAAGCAGAGTGCCCACAGTGCTGTTACTCTCAGCACCAAAAGAGTTCAGCCTCGTGAGACTACGGAATTGCTGTGCTGTTAATAGTAAGGGGATGTTGTCCACAGGTCCTCTTCTCAACCTTTTAGAATTTGAAGGCTTTCACCTGAATTCAACGAGGGTGAAAGTTTTAGAAACTGCAGTAAGATCTCGCAAAGGTGAATCCCAAGAGTGAAGCGTGTGGGTTTCTGTGAGGGCCCAGATCTCTCTGACCTTTTGCTGTCTGGTACAACCACGCAGGAATGTGGCCGGCTGGAACGGGGGAGGGGGGTGAGGGAGGCGAGGATAGGTGTCATGTAGGGAGGAGTTAGAGCATGGGTGTTAAAGGCACAGGAATCTCAGTGTCTACATTTGTGAAGTGGAACTAGTAGTAGAATTCACTTTGTGGGATTGTTGCAAAGACCAGTTACGCAGGAACCCATCAAGTTATGCTTAGCAAGTGATAATTGTCATCCCTTGGACAGATAAATAAAGTGAAAATCAGAGAGGTTAAGGGCATTGCCCGAGTCGAACAGCTTGTCAGGGATGATGTAGGCAGTGGAGTCCTGCCTTGCTTCTGTTGTTCCTATGCTGGGTGCATTGGTCAGCTGTAGTGTAAGCTGCAAACACCCAGGTAGCCCCTAGGTTGTGCCTTTGGATTTTGTTGCTCATTAGCACAGGGAACTAAAGAACAGAGACTACAAGCTTTGCTCAAGATCTTTAGGTGAATTAATAATGGACCAGGCTAACCTAAAGCTGTCCTTCTCTTGTGTAGTCCACTATTGGCAAAGTGAGGGATGTTTCTGCGTGAGTCCTTTTGTTGTTGGGTTACTGTGCTGATCCCCTGAATCCTTTCCCAAAACAAATACTAATCTTCCAATTCCTTGGTAAGATTAGATGTATCTCTGCATTTTAGGTAAACCTAAGACTTTTCTTTAGTGAGGGCTGATACATTAAATTTCAAAAGTAGTGGCAGATGAAGCAGCAAGTTTCAGGCTTGGAGCAAAAGGACACCCATGTTGAAAGAGCAGAGGCTTTGACGCAGTTGCCTCTGGCACTTGGATCTCTCTGCACGTTCCAGACAAGTATGTGTCCACCCCCTTCCCTGAGTAGGCATCTCCAGGGCAGCCTGGCCCTACCCTGTTGCACAGCTCTGATTGTAATGATTGTTTATTTTTATTTATTTATTTATTTAGAAACGGGGTCTCACTCTGTTGCCCAGGCTGGAGTGCAGTGGCGCGATCTCGGCTCACTGCAACCTCCGCCTCCCAGGTTCAAGCGATTTTCCTGCCTCAGCCTCCCGAGTAGCTGGGATCACAGGCATGCGCTACCGTGCCCAGCTAATTTTTGTATTTTTAGTAGAGATGAGGTTTCACCGTGTTGACCAGGCTGGTCTCCAACTCCTAACCTCAAGTGACACCCACCTCAGCCTCCCAAAGTGCTGGGATTACAGGCGTGAGCCACCACGCCAGGTTGATTGTTTATTTTTTCTTTCACCTTTTCAAATTTACCTACAGCCACCAGGCTGTTCTAGACCTATGCTATTCATTCTTTTTTTTTGAGACGGAGTCTTGCTCTGTCTCCCAGGCTGGACTGCAGTGGCGCAATCTTGGTTCACTGCAACCTCTGCCTCCTGGGTTCAAGCAATTCTCCTGCCTCAGCCTCCCAAGTAGCTGGAATTACAGGTGCCTGCCACCATGCCTGGCTAATTTTTTTGTATTTCACCACGTTAGCCAGACTGGTTTCAAACTCCTGACCTCAAATGACCCGCCCGCCTCAGCCTCCCAGAGTGCTGGGATTACAGGTGTGAGCCACTGTACTCAGCCTCATTTTTTATTTTAAATCTAAACTTGCTTTACTGTGCTCATTCCTGCTTGGTTGTTGTTTTTAGCTCATCATTTGAAATTGAAGATTATCACTGCACATAGTCTCATGAGAAAATGTTTCCCATCAAGTTAAGGTCAGATGGAGCCTGTGCCTGATGTGGTAACCTGAACCAAGCCTAGCCCACCAGCTCTGCCCTGTGGCCTGTTTGCTCAGGCTGTGGACCGAGGAGGAGAGAGAGCAATTCCCAGAAGGCAGCTTTTTAGGACCTGTTGAGTTCGAGCAGAGGGTGTGTGTCAGTGGGATAAGAGATGGGTGAGGTAGAATAGGAGGAGTCCGTGGTCTTGTGGATGCTGAGCATGCGCCCAGCCTCCTTCCAGCCGGGTGTGGGAGCAGGTGGACCCTGCTACTGTACTCCTTAGATCCACCTCATTCAGTCCAAGAGAGAGGGAGGCCTTTGCCAAGTTTTTCCAGGTAAGGAGAGGGTTGCTTTCTCTGAGAGGACATCAGCTTCTCTCAGAATTGAAAGGTCCCTAATGAGTCCTGTGCTGACCCCCATCCCCTCTACCATGAGAACATGATGCGCCTTCAGCCAGCCTGAGCTCGTCCTGCAGGAGCCGAGGGCCTAGGTAAGGAGATCTGCATGGTCATTGGCTGTCAGCACTAGAAGGAGCACAGTGATGTTCTTCCTGCAGTATGCAAACATGGGATGAGAGAGAGCCTTCTGTGCAGCGCAGGACTTGTAGGAAATGAGGCCTGGGGATGGAGGAACTAGGTGTGGGCTACAGGAGGGTGGGAGGTTGTGCCCAGGGTGGGCAGGAAGGTAAATAGCAGGCCAGCCATAGAGAGGCGTTTAAAGGTGTTCCTGACAGAAGGTGGTCAGCTTCCCCAAGGCCCTTCCACTCAGAGACGGCCCAGGATGATTCTCATTTTGCCTGTCAGTTTGCATTCTGCCTCTGTTTGGGATGGTTGTGCACCTGAACTTTCCCAGGCACAGGTAACCATGGTGTTCTCTGCCTCATGTGGTGTGGACCCTGTGGCATGCTTGAGAGGCTCTCGGCAGCCTGGCATGTTCCCTGGTGTGTGTCTGGAGCTCCAGACACTGACCCTGTGGGGGCTCCTTGATGAGGGAACTTCCCATCTGGGCACAGTTTCCTCGCTGCAGCCTGAAGGTGCAGTACTTGGGCCAGTGGCCACATCTCAGGTTAGTGAAGTCCACAGGTTGCCCCTTTATGCACTGCCGCAGGATTTCTCTCCTGTGTGACGCCTGCGCCTGCCTCCTTCGCCTTCAGCTTGTTGGTTTTGGCTCAGTGTCCTGTCCTATGAAGGTCACTTTAGGTTTGGTTTGTCATTCCATCTCCTAGGTGTCTTCAGATCTGGATCATGCACTTGTCTGGGGCACTGAGCCCCTTCCGGACCACCTCAGCCTTGGGGAGCAGGGGCAGAAGGTGGCCCACTCCTGTCATGACACTAAGCTGTCATGATGTTTTCCTTCTTACTGACAGAGGTGACAGGAAAGACTTTGCCATTTAGTTGGCTTACCAGCCAACTAAATTGATCACATGTGTGGACAAAGCTGCTCACTTCCAGTTGTTCCAGTTTCGTGACCTTTCTGAGAGTCTGAGAGCTTCAGATCATTTCTGCAAATTGTTTTGTTGCCTGGGGAGTTTTGGTGTCCCTTTGGTACCTGTTTAGTGCTTGGGATATTTGTCTGGGCATTGAAGGTGTGAAGCTCAAGCGGTCAGGTGCCCTTCTACTGTTTCTCTTCTCATCTTGTGTTTTAAGATTTCTGGTTCATAGATCATATATATATGTATTTTTTTTGCCATACAGCATGATTTTGTATATTTTAATAATTTAAATGATTATTTTGTAGTGGATGAATTAAGTCCTTTATATGAGGATGTGTTTACAGTTACGTAGAAAAAGCAGGTTACAAAAGAAGATGCATGATGTGGTTATAATTACAAAATGATTAGAAGAAAATAGATGAAAATGTTCTAAGTGGCTGTAACTGATAGTATCACGAATCACTTTTACTTTTTTTTGTTTTTTAAATATTTTCTGAATTTCCTACAATGGATATGTATGATACTCAGGAAAAAAGATTAATTTTTAAAAAGTTTATACTCTTTGATTTACTAATTTCTGTTCTAGTAGTCCGTTCTAAGGAGATAATTAGAAACGTAAATAAAGATCTTATACACAAAGATATCCATTACAGAATCACTTAGAACAGGTTAAGTGGAAAGCCATTGTGCAGTCCTGCAGGACTGTTAACTGGGCCATACTTCCTACTGTGGATGCTGAAAGCACATACGTTTATGTTCTCTGTTTTTTTCTGACTGTATAACATGTGCCCAAGCCCTTGGTCGCTCCCTTTTACAATTTTTAGCTGGACCTAGTTGAAATAGTCTTAGCTTTCTGTTACTGCTAGCATTTTGTTTAAACTAGTGATGTATTCTGCATTTGGGATTTTTAGTGGCGCTCTAGGCTGACGCAGCTGATGTGGCTTCTTTCCTGGTGATGTTCCTTCTTGTCTCATTTGAGCTCATTGGAGAGCTGTGCTTGTGGCTCGCTCTTTGTTTATTCCTTTCTTTGTATCTGCAGTTGCGTGATGAGGTCTGCTGTTTGGTGACTGCAGCCTGTGACAGTGCCTCTCGTGCACGGGGGTTTGTTGGTTTGGCCTTGGCTCACCTCCTACTTTTACACCTTCTGAGGTCACACAGCCACTTTTCTTCTGCCTGACTGAGCCTCCTTCTGCATCAGAATTCAGTCAGAGCAAAGCTCCCCAGTGACTTCCTGTGTCTTCTGAGAGCTGCGATCCAGGAGGGTGAGAAAAGCATCATTACTGTGTCTGCAGAGAGCAAGGCTGTGCCTAGGGCCCGGCCACTCCTGCCTTGTTGCCAAGCGGTTGGGAGATCTGAGGGCCCGGACTTGCTCACAGTTCCCTGTGGCCCTCACTGTGGGCCTCTAGGCAGCCCTGCTTCCCCTTTACAGGCAGTGAGGCTTTCCATGCCTATAGGGGTCAGCCCCATGCACGAGGTGTGCCTATCCCCACAGGCCTCCCCATGTTCTGAGAGTTGTGTGGGTGTGTGACCTCCCCCATGGCCCACACCTGTGCCTGCTTCAGTCCTGCAGAGGACACCATGAGGTCAGGACGGAGTTGCCGAGGCTTGAGGACATGCCCCATACAGGTTGGACAAGGGGCCAGCACTTACTGCGCCCTGACCCCAGGCTGTCTCCAGTCTGGCCTCCCTGCTCTTGCCTGCAGAGTACTGGGCTCCCATCCTCCACAGGCATCTTGGTGATGTCACTTTTCATCCGGTGTCAAATGTGCTTTGTATTTCTATCTGAGGCCATACATTCCCAGTGAAGCGAAGCTCACCCTTGGGAGCGCTTCCTGTTGGAGCCCAGTACCGTAAGCCCTGCTTCTTGTTCCCTCCACGGTCCTACGCATCCTGGACATCCCTTTCTGGGTTGCAGAGGTGGACTTCGGCACCTCCTGCCCCTGGTGACTGACAGACCCCGGGCAGCCTTCTCTGGCTGGGACAGAGCTGGAGCTGGAGCTGCGGGGGTAAGCTAAGGAGGGTCTACAGGGAGGGCAGCCTCTTGAGACTGGACATTTGGGATCCCCCATGGCCCCTGCCTGGGAGTCATCTTCACAATTCGGAAGAAGCTGGAGCTGAGCATTGCTTCTAGAAGGCATCCTGAGGGGTGACCCCTGCTGCTGTTGTCTTTTTCTGTCTTCCCTTCCCATGAAAGTTGTCTGATCTCAGCTTCAGGTTATCTCCTCAGCCTGATGGAAGACTTGACCTTGGTCCTTGTCTTTTGACAGATCTCTGGAACAGCTGATTTTGTGGGTGATACCCCTCCAGAGTGAGTCCTCTGTGGGTGGCGGGAAAGTCTCTCCTCATCTGTCCTGAAAGGCTCTTGTAGTTAGTAGCTTTAATTCCACCCATAAGGTGCCCCCTCAGGCTTCCCATTGGCAGGTGTCCCTTTTAATGTATTGGGGTTTTTGTGGCCTTCTATTTTTATTTAACACCAATTGTTGCTTCTTCTCTCTGAAAATATAGAATATCAGAAGGAAGGAAGTGAAAAACATCCAATATTTCTCCATGAAGAGAACAAGTTTTGTTAACACTTTGGTGCACTTTCTTCTAGTCTTTTTCTATTTATTGTCAAGCATCGCTTAACACCAGGGATGCATTTTGAGAGCTGCATTGTTAGGTGATGTTGTTGCCATATGAACACACCTAGATGGTAGAGCCTGCCCCATGCCCAGGCTGTGTGGGGCAGCCTATGGCTCCTAGTCCTCAGACCCGCGCAGCATGGTTCTGGACTGAGTACTGCAGGCCATTGGGACACAATGGGAAGTGTTTGTTATCTAAAGGTAGAAACTGTGGTATTATAATCCTATGGGACACACCATTGTTTCATGCAGTCCATCACTGACCCAAGTGTTGTTATGTGATGCATGACTGTATTTTGTCTTTATTGGGTAGTTAACAACACTACGTATCTGTTTCTGTTTTGGGATTTTTTTTCACTTAATTTTATAGCACAAATATGTAGAAAATCCTCATGCATGTCTTGAAGGGTGCTCACGTGTTCCCAGTGTTGCGTTGGACATCCTTGTGGGTGGGCTTTGCCGAAAGTCTTCGTACACACTTCTTTGGACTTCTGATGCTCAGGCTGGGTTCTTGGGTGAATTAGGCCCCTTGGCACACGTTGCAGATCGCTTTCCACATGGCTGTGCCACCTACCCTTCCGCTGCAGCCCAGAAAGGGATTTTTATTGAAATGCTTTTTGCCACTTTTGTAAGTGACGAGTTGTGTCCCTTAACCTTTTAAATCTTGGGGTTATTTAGTGTGTGTGTATAAATGCATCACTCCTCTTGTTCTTCCTGTTGTTTGGTGTTTTTGGCTTGTTAGAATCCTTGATTTTCATCTAATTTTCCAAGGTGGAAGCTTCCCTGTTACCAAGACATAAAGGTGTGGCTTGGGCCTTGGTTTAGCGTTGCTTTTGTTAAGAAACACCCCAGCCCTCAGACTGCAGAAGTATCAAGTTCTTCCCTTCCAATCTTAACTCTTTTTCTTCACTTTTTTTTTTTTTGAGACGGAGTTTCGCTCTTGTTGCCCAGGCTGGAGTGCAATGGTACAATCTCGGCTCACCGCAATCTCTGCCTCCTGGGTTCAAGTGATTCTGCCTCAGCCTCCCGAGTAGCTAGGATTACAGTCATGTGCCACCACGCCGGGCTAATTTTGTGTTTTTTAGTAGAGACAGGTTTTCTCCATGTTGGTCGGGCTGGTCTCGAACTCCCGACCTCAGCTGATCTGCGCGCCTGGGCCTCCCAAAGTGCTGGGATTACAGGCATGAGCCACCGCGCCTGGCCCTTTTTCTTCACTTTTAACATTTTATTCTAGACGTTAAGAAGAAGGTAAGTTTCAAATATCTGGTTTCAGATACTTTTTTTAAGAGGAGTAGTGTCATTATCTCCATAGCTGGTTAAGACCTGGTGAGCTGGCAGGAGCTCGGAGCCTGCTGGGGTGTTGGTTCTTGCTCACTCCTTCATGTGAAGTCCCCCAGGTGGCTGTGTTGACCCCCTCTTCCCCAGCCATGGGTGCCCCTTGGACTCATTGTGTCTTTCTGCTAATGAGAGCTGCTACAGTGTTTTTTCACCTGTTTCCTGCCAGCTGCCTGCATGAGGGTAATGGGGCCCTGTGGCCTATGCATTACGAAGCCCTCAGCCTGGCACATCTTGGGGACCACCCACCTCGGCCAGCCCAGCCTGATCAGGTCCCTCACATGGGGCAGTTGGCATGGGCTGTAGAGAATAGGTGAGCTGAGTGTGTCTGAGTTTTGGTATTGATGAAAACTGGCTGAGACTACGGTTCCCCTGGGGGTAGGTTTCTTGTAATAGTTTTTGGATGATAAATGGGTGGGTGGAGAAAGCAGTTTCCCTTGAAATGGACAAATCACTGTATTCAGGTTTCCTTGGTTGGTTGTGGCTCTTGGGCTCCATAATGGGAAGGGATAGCAGGAGATTTCCTGTGAGTGACAGCAGGGAGGCCAAGCCACTGTGTTTGGATGTGGTGGTGGAGGAAATGTGAGGAAGGGGCTGGGAGGGCCGAGTGGGAGGGCCACTTTGGGCTTCTCTGCCCAGGCTTGGAAGGCCTGTGTCCATATCCTCTCCTGGGGGGCAGCACAGTACCCAATGCCCCCAGAGCCTGCTGGTGACTCAGTAGCAGCGAGGAGCCTGGCCACCAGAAAGACGCTGAGAACCTCCCAGGGTCCAGGCCCTCCTCTAAACTTGGCTTCACCCCACATGACCTTGACCTTTGGGGTCAAGACCTTGATCTTGATCAAGGCTTCTCTCCAGGCTGAGGCTGGGCCAGCAGGCGAGGCTGGACCTGGGTTCTCTGAGACCTGATCTGCCCTTGTGCAGTCTCACTTCCCATATTTCTGTAAACTGGGACTCAGTTGCCCATCTTGGAGGGAGAGACGGCTGGAGATGATGGAGTTTAGGAGTGTAGCGTGGGCCCTGAAGCGCTGGTGCTAGCACCTGCTGGCTATTGCAATAATAATTATTAATAAGTGCTAGCAGGAAGAATGATGTTATTTTATTATCCACAAGGACTGAGGACTAAGTCCTCAATGATTTAGGCTCTGACATCTTTTTCTCCTGGGACCTGTGTATGGTTTTTCTTTGTATAGTGCCCTGTGCAACTTATTTTTAAAAATTTTTTCTTCATAAGCCAGATAATGGCTTTCTGAATTAACTTATACTTTATGTGAGTGGTTTTGTGTGTAATAATAATGCATAGGAAATTTATAATTTCCATTTATAAATAAACAGAAAAGACCAGTTGTTCCCGCCTTTCCTGGCAACAGAGGGGCAGGGAACTTCAGAAAGCTGAGTCTGTATTAGCAGGTGAATGCTGCCAGGGGAGGGGGGTCCTGTGTTCTTGTAGTTGGTATTTCTGTTCATGGGCCCACTGAACTCCTTCCTCTGAGGCTACAGTGGGGAATTTCTGTGGAGAGAAAGCTCATGTGTCTTGGCCTGGCATCACCCTGATCAGGACTGCTTTGCTACAAAAGTCCATTGTGCAGCTTATGAGTTAGTTCCATGATAAACCGAGACAGGCCTTGCTTTCCTGTAGATGCCGCAGAGCTCTGTGCATGCAGTCTGGCAGGTGAGTAAGCTTGGCCCCTGTGGGTGGCGGGGTTTGCCCTGTGTGAGGGACAGGGTGAGAGCTTGCACCATGGCAGCCTGGGTCAGTTTACACTGATCAGGGATTTCATGTAATGTATTTTCTTATTGTGTTGATTTTCAAGCATGACCCTCAGTCACACTTACACATCGCTAGCAGGGCATCACTGAATGCTTGCCATCAGTGGAGAGCTGTACTGTGTTTGATGCCTAATTGTTGGAGGGCGGGTCAGGCACACTCGAATAGCACACACCATCATGTGTAGGTGAGGAGCAAATGCACTTTTAGGGGAACGAACTTCTGGGGAGCTGTCTAGAGTTAGGACTTCTGTCGATCAACTTCTGCCTTTCCTTAAATTTTGGTGGAATTATAGTTCCATTAAAATGATCCTTAGCCAGTCGATTCCCATGATTGATTGTTGATGCCTGCCTTCAGCTTGGGAGGGGACAGCGGTAGCATGCATGCCATTGATCTTGGCTTCCCCAGGTCTCAGCTTGGGGCTTAAGGAGGGGACAGCTATCTGCAGCACAGCGAGCCAGGAGCATGGCATTGGCTGGGAACTGGAGCTCAGTCAGAGGGGCCCAGGGGGCCGGGTGCCTGGGATTTAAGAGCAACGACGTACATTGTCTAAGTAGGGCTGCGGGGAGCGGGTGGGGGAGTCTGGCTTGGTCTCCATAGGGCCTTTGTTGCTCCTTAGGCATCTTTTGATCTAGAAAATGGCCCTTTCTAAGCCGTCTTTAGTGCAGCCTGCTTCCTCCCTCCTGCTTAGGCTTTGCCCTGTGGCCTCGGCAGGGGCGCTTCCCAGGGCATTGGACCCCCCACCTTTGCACTGCCGTTAGAGCCCCTCCCAGGCGCATTCTCCTCCTACATATAATGTACGTTCTTAGAATGTATTTTTTTGAACATTTAAAAAATTGAAATATTCAAAATAAAGATAAATTAAAAAGAAGTTATTGTAATCATTGCTACTTGGAGATGTTAAACTTGTGCCGAATGTCCTTTCAGACCTTTTGATGTAGACACATCAATACTTATTTTATTTAAACATTTTTATTTTAAAAACTTGAAGTGTAACGTACCTGCAGAAAAGTACTCAGATCGTGGGTATAGCTTAATTATCACAAAGTAAGTGGACCCATAATCCTCTGACCAGTCCCTTCTAGAACCTTCCTTAGCAACTATTCATGCATGCCCAAGGGGTGGGCACAAGGGGTCAGTGTTACCTGTTTTTTGAACTTTATATAAATAGAATTACACCCATACGTGTGTGTGCTCACGTGTATTTCTCTTTTTATGAAAATAGGCTCATTCTGTAAGCCCCATTCGGTAACTTTTTTCATTTAACAGTATGTGATAACCACAAATCTGTGTCCGTAAGTACTGATCTTTCTTATAAATCACTGACTGTGTGATTTATAAATCACACTGAAATGTGTGCCACTGTGTTTAAACCATCTCATTATTGTTGGGCATTTAGGTTATTTCCATTTTATTTCTTTCCTTAAGATAAAGTCCTGGGAGGGGCTGGCTGGTCAGAGGCTGAAGGTTCTTGGTTGTCCCACTGCCCAGTGTGCCCTTGCTGGGTCCCAGCCCTGGCCTCCCTGCCCTGGGGGCTTCCCAGCCTCCTTGCTGTGGAGCTTCACTGTGGACTTTGTCCACTGAGGATGGGACCCCCAAACTGACTGACACCTTGTGCCTTGGCTTTGAGCAAATACTAATCAGATTTGTTTTATTTTCCAACAGCGCTGCGTCGTGCTGCGGTTTCTGAAGTTTCCTCCAAATAGGAAGAAGGTAAGATGGGTGGGTTTGCACCCAGACTTACAACAATTATTTAAGAAAACTCTGATTTTTTTTTCCGATGTAGAAACATTGATGCTAGTTGTAGCATTCAAAGATGATACAAGCATTCAGTGCAGAAAGTGGTGTGTCCATCATTCCTGATATAAAACTGACTGGGTCCAGCACGTTAACCCATGTGTCACTGTGGTAGTCTATGTGGCGCTCAGCCAGGAGCTGCCCTGGCCTGGCCTGTAGGTCCTGCTCAGAGGGCCCTGCTTGTGGCGAGGACCCCAGGATCAGGCAAGCTTTGCGTTGCCGAGTTCCATAGCACCTGCTGCCTCAGTTTCCCCATCTGTGGAATTGTGTCTATGAAAATAGAGTCTCCAGTGTGGTGGTAGACAGTCTGTGTTAAACATTGTGGTGGGAGGGGGTCGTTAGGTTTCTCTTCTCTGAGTCATCCAAGCAAAATGCCATGGACCACCCGTGAAAAAGCATTGCCCTCTCTTTTTTGACCACTGAGTTGCAGCTTTCTGTGCAAATCTCTGTTGGTCCTGGGGTGCATACCGAGTCGCGGAGGCTTCCTGCATTCAGGGCCCTTCTCTGCTCCCCATCTGATGCGTGGGTCCTGTGAGGGGACACATGCAGCTGAGCTGGGGGTGAGCTCCTGGATGGTGGCTGTTCCACTGTGGGAGCAGGCGGAGGCTGGCTTGGGCAATGGTATGGGGTTGGTGAGTCACTGCCCCTTGAGGGCTCCTGGGACATGGCAGGTTGGAGCATCTGAGGTAGAGGTCATAGAAAGGGAGGCCGGGGGGTGGTGGTGGGTGGAGGTGACAGCTGCCGCGTGGGCACAGTAGAAAGAGGGGAGAGAGCCATGGGAGAAAGCTGCCGTTGGTGGGGCCACAGTGGGTGTGGGGTCGAGGCAGGCAGGCGGAGGATAGGAAGGCCCCACTGTCTTGCGGTTTCTGCCTCAGCTGCTGAAGAGAAATAGGCCTAGGTGGTTTTGGTTTGTGGAACGCATCCCATGGAAACAAAGTCCATGCCTCCAGCCTTCTCTGTCCCCTTCTTTGCTGCATTCAGTGACTGCAGAGCCCAAACCACCCTAACCTTGACTCCCCCAAGGCCTGGCATCTGTGGCCCCTGTCAGATCTTCCTGTGTGGAGTGGCCGGGGCAGTGTCTGCCAGGCAGCAGTTGGCTACATTTCCTCTGTAAATGACATAATGTGGCACACTGTGTGATCAGTGGAGACTTGAGTGGTAACTTTTCTGTTGACCAGGGGGGCTTTATTTTTTTTTTTTTGAGACAGAGTCTCGCCCTGTCATCCAGGCTGGAGTGCAGTGGCACGGTCTCGGCTCACTGCAACCTCTGCCTCCTAGGTTCAAGTGATTCTCCCGCCTCAGTCTCCTGAGTAGCTGGGATTACAGGTGCCCGCCACCATGCCTGGCTAATTTTTGTATTTTATTAGAAACGGGGTTTCAGCATGTTGACCAGGCTGGTCTTGAACTCCTGACCTCAGGTGATCTGCCTGGTTCAGCCTCCCAAAGTGCTGGGATTACAGGCATGAGCCACTGCTCCTGGCCAGGGTTTTTTTTGTCAGAAGCTGTGACCACAGCTGTACTGGGCCATTGAGGGACATGGGGGTGATTTCTGTCTCAACCAGTTTCATCACCTTACTGACTCTTTAAGAACCTCTGACTGGGGAAAGAATATTCTACATTTAGAGGCTAAAGAGTAAAATCTCTTTAGAGATTGAGATGTGAGATGTCGGAGGTTTTCAAAGTCACATTCCTTGGAAGGCATGTGTAGGGGCCGCTTTGGGAGAAGGGCAGACGGGAGGCGGCAGCAGTGCGGTCCTCAGACTGCTACCTTCCCAAGTCTCTGGGCCGAGGAGGGTGGCATGGCTGGGGAGGGACGCTGGTGAGGAAGGGCACTGGGGACCTTCCCCTGGGTCTGAGGGCTGTCACCCGGGTTCTGTCTGTGGCTGGGATGTCCCCCTTGCTTGTGGTGGGGTCCGTGGTGGTTTTTGCCTCTCCCCTCAAGCAAGGCTCTGTTGGGAGGTCCCATCACGAAGGCTGTCCTGTGGTTGTCTCTTACAGACCTCGGAAGAGATATTTCAACACCTGCAGAACATAGTGGACTTTGGGAAAAATGTCATGAAGGAGTTTTTGGGGGAGAACTATGTTCATTATGGGGTAAGTGCTTTTTATTCACATCTGAATTCTTGGGCATGTTTTGCATCAACACTGCCAATTTCCCGGTGATCTTTGGAACTTTGTGCTTAATGATAACCCGCGTCCAGCTAGTCTCCAAGTGTTTCTCATTTGCTGTGCTGGGTGGCAGCAGAGTGGATACTGCAGTTTCTCTTTCCTAGCTGAGAAGCATGGGGTTCAGAGGGCCCACGTGAACCCCTGTTCTCCAGGGCCCGTCTCTGCCAGCCCTCCTGAAGGCTCCTGCTGGGTGAGGGCTCTTGAGCAATGCCCCTCAAGCAATGGCATTGCTCTCTGCCCCTGGGCACCTTTGAACACAGGAGGCCCTACATGGGAGGGTGGTGGCACCTGCTGGGGCTGTCCTGGGGTCGGCTTATCACACCCAGGAAGGGCCTCCGCTGCCCAATGAATGTTAAAAGCTGGGGTTTAGAGAAAAGCCGTGGGAGCCCCTGGGTGTTGCCGCCTGTGCTGGGGTCTGTGGGAATGGGACTAAGATTGCCAGCCCTGGCTCACTTCTTGCCTGGGCCTGTTCTCTGAGCAGATCTGTAGTTTTGAGACCTGGACAGGCCCCTGGGTCCCACCCTTCTGCAGCTGCTGTGGGTGTTGACTTGCCTCTAGCCTGTTCACTGCACTGTTGTGATGTTGGGAGTGTTTGGGGGTCACAGTTCCCCTGTTAGGAAGATTCATGCAGTTTTTTCCCTAGGGCATATCCCTTAGATGGCTCTGTGCCGTGACAAGTTTTCTCCTTGAGGAAGGAACATTCTTGGAGGCAAGATCCACCAGAATCCTCTGTGGCAGGAGGACTCGTGTGGTGATGGCCCTTGTTGGCCAGGGGCATGGGATTAGACTCGAGGTCCCATTGGCAACCTGGTGGGGTGAGCGTTAGGGACTGCTCTGAGGGGACAGGATAGGGGAGCATTTCCAGCAATGAGCAGTCTGGCTCCAGGTTTGTCCTCAGTGGGAAGGGTCACAGTAATGAACCCACAGCAAACAGGGCTCAACCCACAAGGCCGCCTGTGAGCGCATTTCCTCTGCCTTAAGATACCGACAAAGTGAAGCAGAGCTTGCTTGCCCTGCAGGTGAGCGTGTCCCAGTAGGACGCCGCTGGGCTCTGGCGCAGTGGGAAAGTAGGTGCAGAGCCCATTCCAGGCTGACGATGCACCCCTCAGGGTCGCTGCATCTGCAGGGCCACACAGGGCCACGTGAGGGAAGAACAGATGTGTCGGTGAGTTAGGCAAAGCGTAGTTTCCCTCCTGTTTGTTGTGGGGCAAGATACAACCAGCCCTGTGATGAGACCGTGAGACAGAGCCAGGGACAGCCACACCCTGGCTCCCAGCCCTGCCCGGTGGGTGTGGCGCTGGTCTGGGCCTGTCTCCAGTGCTGGGTGTGGGAGCTGGAGAGTTTAGGAAATGGGGAAGGGGCAGAAGCTGCTTGCCTTGTTCTTCCACTGTTGCTCCTTACATACTGGAGGAACCTGAAGGCTCAGGAGTTCCACCTCGCTGCTGTGGGCCAAATCCTGGTGAGGTTGGACGCTCTCTGGCGCCAGCCTCAGCTCCGTTGGAACCTCGCATGCTGACAGTTCTGTGCCGTGGCCCAGTTTTCAGGCTGGGGACATGAGTGAAGGGACAGCCAGGCTGGCGGCTCTTTGTCCTTCTGAGCAGTTGTCCCTTTGCCATTTAGAGGGTGATGCCTGGAGGTCCTCCCACATCTCAGCTCCCAGGTTACAGGGAGCTCTGTGGGATTCCAGGGGACAGCTCCAGGATGGGATTTCTGTGGGCTTTCCCTCTGGTCCTCTTAGGTGAATACCTTGTGCAAGAGCTGGTTGGTGCGTCCTCACGTGATTGGATGGTGGCGTGGTCCACACTCGCCAATGTAGTTGGACTTTTAAGAGGATGCTTACTGTCAGTATTTGTTTGTTTTTGTTTTTTATCTTGCTCTGTCACCCAGGCTGGAGTGCAGTGGTGCGATCATGGCTCACTGCAGCCTCAACCTCCCAGACTCAAGTGATCATCCTGCCTCACACCCACCCCCAAGTAGCTGGGACTACTGGTGCGCACCACCGCACCCAGCTAATTTTAGTTTTTCTTGTGGAAATGGGGTTTCACCATGTTGGGCAGGCTGGTCTCGAACTCTTGGGCTCAAGTGATCAGCCCGCCTTGTCCTCCTAAAGTGCTGGGATTATAGGTGTGAACCACTGCTCCAGGCCAGCGTTTTATTTTGACTTTAAACACAGATATGCATATTATAAAATCAGTGATTTACAGCTGTTGGAAATAAACCACCGAGGTCTGCTTTTCACCTGGGTGACTGTGAGTTCAGGCCATGCATGGGCAGACAGCGGTGTGGAGGGTCGTTGCCCTGTATGTGGACCTGAGACCTGCGTAGCTGCTGTGTCTCCCAGCCATATGTGCTGTGGGGTGGGGGCCAAGGCAGAGTGACGGCCTTGTGTGGTTTTGGGCGATGGTTCTCACACGCGAGGCATCCAGAGTCGGCATGCGTGCCTTTTGTGCTTTTGCTTTCTTTGGAGTGGAGCCAGTACTTGGACTTCTTGAGATGATCTAATTTACGAATTTTCTTTTTTTGTTGTTTTTGTTTTTGAGACAAATTCTCGCTCTGTCGCCCAGGCTGGAGTGGCGTGATCTCAGCTCACTGCAACCTCTGCCTCCCAGGTTCAAGCAATTCTCCTGCCTCAGCTTCCTGAGTAGCTGGGACTACAGGCGTGCGCCACCACACCCGGCTAATTTTGTATTTTTAGTAGAGACGGGGTTTCACCATGTTGGTCAGGCTGGTCTTGAAATCCTGACCTTGTGATCCACCAGCCTCGGCCTCCCAAAGTGCTGGAATTACAGGCATGAGCCAACGCTCTTGGCTTCAATTTACAAATTTTCGAATGTTTACATTCCCCACTCTTGTCCATTGTGTCACCTTACCTAATTCTGTACTAAGTTTATAGTAAGTCATATTTTGTTAATTTATAGCATGTTTAGGTAAATGACAAATCAGAAGTGAAACTGGCACAGCCGACTGGGAATGGACAGGGGTGGTGGTGGAGGGGCATGGATGTGACGGCGCAGGGTGGGGAAGGCATGATCTCTGTGGGCAGGATCCCAGCATTCTTAGCCTAGCAGATCTCCTGTGTCCGTTTGGGACTTTTTCAGAAGTCACAATTCTGCCACCCTAGAAACACGAGAGGACAGGGAAGATGGTAAGCAATGTGGCTTAAATAAAAACCTTTCATTTGGGAAACTGCACAGAAGAGCCATGTGGAGGGCAGTGCTGGGCATTGGTTATACCACGTCCTTCAGGGCTGAGGAGGCACAGGCCATCTTCCTGAGACAAGTGATTCTTCAGATGCTGACCTGCTCCTCAGGTGGAAGCGTGAGGTTCTCAGGTTGTCTGAGTGGTCAGTAAGGGTCTTCCATGTGGTCTAAGAACTGCTCTGGGTCCATAAATGCTGTAGAGACCAGAAGGGGGCTCGGAAGGGGTGCTTTGTGGCGAGAGAAGCTGGCTTTGAGGCTGGTCACCACCGTGGGCCCAGCCATTCTGAGAGCTGGCCACCCTGATTGCAGTGAAATGTTGGTGTCTCTATTTAACCTGGACATGTCCTGAAAATAATAGAGCAGCTTTTATTCCCAAAATCCACACACTGATTTTTTTTTAAGCAATAAACTTTAAAAAATATTATAAATTACACATAACATAAAAACCAACAGCTCAACTGTTTTTAGGCATGCAGTTCTGTGGCATTGTGTTCATGTCATTGTGCAATTCACACTGAGAATTTCATGTATTTTCTTACAGGAGGTCGTTCAGCTACCTTTAGAGTTTGTGAAACAGCTTTGTTTAAAGATACAATCTGAAAGACCAGGTAAGGGTGTTTAACTTACAGATATTGTTTGTAATTTAAAATATTCCATTTGAAAAGTGTTTGAAATGATTACCCATGTTAGGTATATGCATTTTTCAGTAATCCTTTTTTTTTTTTTTTTTTTGAGACGGAGTCTCACTCTGTCGCCCAGGCAGGAGTGCAGTGGTGCGATCTCGGCTCACTGCAAGCTCCACCTCCCGGGTTCACACCATTCTTCTGCCTCAGCCTCCCGAGTAGCTGGGACTACAGGCGCCTACCACCATGCTCGGCTACTTTTTTGTATTTTTAATAGAGATGGGGTTTCACCGTGTTAGCCAGGATGGTCTTGATCTCCTGACCTCGTGATCCACCCACCTCGGCCTCCCAAAGTGCTGGGATTATAGGCGTGAGCCACCGTGCCCAGCCAGTTTTCAGTAATTCTTTTGCCAGAAACTTCATTATCAGGGATAGAAATCCTGGGAGCTCATGGATACAATTCTCTGTATCAGAAAACCACAGCACTGCACAGAATATGTGATGAAGAACCAGTAAAGGCAGGTGCGGTGGCTCTCGCCTGTAATCCCAGCACTTTGGGAAGCTGAGGCAGGCAGGTCACCTGAGGTCAGGAGTTCGAGACCAGCGTGACCAACATGGTGAAACACCTTCTCTACTAAAACAAACAAACAAACAAAATATATATATGTACAAAAATTAGCTGGGCGTAGTGGCGGGCACCTGTAATCCCAGCTACTTGGGAAGTTGAGGCAGGAGAATCGCTGGAACCCGGGAGGCAGAGATTTCAGTTAGCTGAGATCACGCCACTGTACTCCAACCCCAGGTGACAGAGTGAGACTCCGTCTCAAACAAACGAACAAAAAAGAACAAATTAATACCACAGAAAACAACATGAGGGAGGAGCTGGAGGTGGAGGGTCTGGGGCAGACTTAGGAACGGGAAGGGTTCCCAGAGGCCTGGGAGAGGCAAAAGGAAACTGAGGTGACCTGAGCTTCAGGAGGGAGGGCCTGGCCCAGGAGGGTCTGCAGCCCAGGGAGCTGTCCCCAACCGGAGTCTAGGCTAGGTCTGTGTCCTTCTGAGGAACAGGGAATCCAAGGGCCTTCTGTGGCATCACCTTCCCCATCCTCATGTTGTCCTTCCCCAATCCCCTCCCATCCCTTCGCCTCTCCCTTTCTCCTCCATCCCCACCCACTCCCTTTTCTGCACTTGCTGGTGGCCTTATGACAGGAATCAGGTCAAACCTTTTTTTTCAGTCAGTGATCAAAGAGATAAATTTCGTGAGTTGAGGGTGGAAATGCCTCTGCCCGGAGCACAGCCAGGCAATGAGGGTGTGGAATTAGCCAGTATAAAATTTTTTCCTGATTTGATTTGGAAAATGAAAGCAAACCATTCTCTGGGTCTGCAGTCTCTGGCTGGGGCAGGGAGGAATGGGCTTCACACTGCAGGAAAGGCTGGGGAGGCGGGAACGCCACAGGACAGTGGCTAGGCTCCAGTTCTTCCTCTCGGTGAATGCAGTCTGAGCCCGGCTCCAGGGTGCTGTCTGCAACTGCTCTGCTGCTCAGCCTGCCATTTCATAACAACCGTGGGAGGTTTATCACACCACAGTGATAAAAACCAGACTTGGAGTAAGGCTCATTATGTTAAAGGAGGAAAGCCTGTCCCTGGGGTGCCTGGAGCCCAGGCTTGTTTGGTTCTGTCCACACCACGGGTTCCAGCAGATCTGGTGCTGGGGAAATATTGGTGCACTGGGGACTGGGAAGGGCCTAGATGTGAGAGAAGGTAGAGCCTGCAGCCCCCTCCTCTTCAAGTTCCTGGGCTAAGGGTGTTGTGGAATTAGGGGACCATCCCCAAGACCACCCTCAGGATTGATAATACGCTAGAAGGACCAACATAACTCACTGTTTTACTTATGGTTATGTTTTATTGCAGGAAAAGGATAAAGATGGGACCAGCCAAGGGGAGAGGTGCAGGGGTGGGGTCCAGGAGAGACCTGGCATGAGCTTCTGGGTCCTCTCCTCAGGGGTGGTGTGGGCAGTATTCACTCTCCCATATGGAGTGTGCCCACCAGGAAGCTCACCAGGCATTGTTGTCCAGAGTTTTCACTGGGGCTCAGGCACATCGACATGGCTGACCATCGGTGTGGCTGACTGCAGTCTCCAGCCTCTCCAGAGTTTGAGCCGATACCATAAGGCGTGAAGCTACCCCCTACATAAACCAAGTTATTTTTTGTTTTTGTTTTTGTTTTTTTTTTTGAGATGGAGTCTTGCTCCTTCGCCAGGCGGTAGTGCAGTGGCGCACAATCTGGGCTCACTGCAACCTCCTCTGCCTCTCTGGTTCAAGCAATTCTCCTGCCTACGCCTCCCGAGTAGCTGGGATTACAGGTGCATGCCACCACGCCCAGCTAATTTTTTGTATTTTTAGTAGAGATGGGGTTTCACCATGTTGGCCAAGATGGTCTTGATCTCTTGACCTCATGATCTGCCCACTTAGGCCTCCCAAAGTGCTGGGATTACAGGTGTGAGCCACCGTGCCCGCCTTTTTTTTTTTTTTTTTGAGACAGAGTCTTGCTCTGTTGCCCAGGCTGGAGTGCAGTAGCACGATCTCGGCTCACCACAACCTCCGTCTCTAGGGTTCAAGCAATTCTCCTGCTTCAGCCTCCCGAGTAGCTGGGACTGTAGGCACGTGCCACCATGCCTGGCTAATTTTTGTATTTTTAGTAGAGACGGGGTTTCACTATGTTGGCCAGGCTAGTCTCGAACTCCTGACCTCATGATCCACCTGCCTTGGCCTCCCAAAGTGCTGGGATAACAGGTGTGAGCCACCTCACCTGGCCTAAACCACGTTGTTACTGTGTGTGTCCCACAATCCCCAGGGAGACATGAGGTTTTCATCAGGTACAGAGATGCCCCCTGGAACCAGGGACAAGGCGGGGCCTGTTTTGGGCAGGGATCATCTCATCTCTCTCACTGACCTTGCTCTGTGTGACCCTTGCTCTGTTTTCCAGAGTCTCGCTGTGACAAGGACCTGGATACTCTCAGTGGTTACGCTATGTGCCTTCCTAATTTAACCAGACTCCAAACCTACCGCTTTGCAGAGCACCGGCCGATTCTGTGTGTAGAGATTAAGGTGACCTGTCGAGGGGCAGATGGTGTGGGTAAAGGGGAAAGGTCAGTCTTGGGTAGTAAGTCCAAGAGTCACGTGCCTTGGGTTCCAGTTCCCACTGAAGTGAGTGGTAGGCACCCTTGGCTCCTGGAAACTCCACTTGTTTCTGTCCTTCCACAGCCCCCACCTGCGTTCTGGTTCCTGCCATGGCTCCCAGATCCCAGGTTTAGGCTCATTCCTGGTAGCTCATGATAGAAGACCCCACCCACCCTGCATGCCTGGGCTAAAACAAGCCCTGGTTGAGGGTCACCAGAGGGAAGCGCGTTGGGTCCCCCTGACCCGTTTTCCTCAGAGGGCACAGCTTGCCAGGGTCCTCTGGGTTCTTCCTCTGTGCCCCTCCCTGCTGGCCATGCCTGCTTGGTGCTTGGCTGCTGTTTGCTGTGCTGCAGGAGCCCCATCTGCAGGTTGCCCTGTAGACTGGGGAGCTCTCTTTGTCCTGCTCAGGACGAATTTTCCTGGAGGCACAAAGGCCAGTGTGACCCTCAGAGGCACTGGTGTGTCATGGCCAGGAGTCCTGAATTTCTCTGGTGCCAGGCAGTGGGGGCTGGATGGGCCAGGGCCCCCCTTGCTTCAGCTCTCTGCTTCCCATGTCGGGGGTGGCTGTCAGGGTCCCTCAGGAAGCTGCCTCACATGCCCTGGCCTTTGTTCCCCTCCTCCAACTCTAAGGCAGCAATTTCTGGGTCACACTCCTGGCCTGAGCTCATGCCTCCTGATCCTCCTCACTTGTGGGTGGATGTTCTGCTTCCCCAGCCACCATCTCCAGTGCCCGAGGCTCAGCACAGGCCTGCGTGTGGTGTATGCTCAGAGGCTGCAGCTTTTAGAGGGCACTGGGGCTTCCTTGACCTTCTGGGAGCCTAGCAACTATCAGATGGGCCTCTGTCGGGCCATGTGCTAGTGTCAGTGGGAACAATGGTTCCGATTCTTGGAGCTGGGAGTCCTGGGTCCATCTCTACTACTAGAGGCTTGCAGTCACATTCTTGAATGAAAGCATGAAGCTATTGTGTGTTGTGCTTGTGTTGAGCTAGTGCAGAGGCACCACTGACCCTCCCCAGTGAGAGTTCCGGCCGTGGGTCCTCTAGCGGAGATGTTTGTGTGATCTGATGCAGGAAGTGTTGTTCCCGCTGGGAGGTGCAAATGAAAACAGCTTCTGGGGCCATTTATGCCTAATTATCTTGCTGCACTCATTATCTTGTAGTCAGTGATATGTCTATTTAGAGGTATGTGATTTCTTCCTAAATATTTTTCCTCCTTATTTGTTTATTTTACAGCCAAAATGTGGGTTTATTCCTTTCTCGAGTGATGTCACGCATGAGATGAAGCATAAGGTCTGTCGATACTGCATGCACCAGCACCTCAAGGTGAGAGCCAATGCCCAGCTGTGGGCTACTCTAGCTGCACGCTGGGGATCTGGGCTGAGGCATGGACACACACAGTTTTCAGAAGAGTAAAAGAAAATATGGATATTTTTAGTTGACATTTTATTTCACAAAGTGATTCATGTTCAACTTTTTTATTTTTTAAATTTAGAGACAGGGTCTCTGTCACCCTGTCAGGCTGGAGTGCAGTGATGCAATCATACTCACTGCAGCCTCCACCTCCTGGACTCATGCAGTCCACCTGCCTTGGCCTCCCAAAGTGCTGGTGTGAGCCACTGCGCCCGGCCCGTGTTCACCAGATTCACTCTTTTAAATATATAATTCAGTTTTAGTCTCTTCACAAGGTTGTACAATCACCACTTCTATCTAGTTGCTGACATTTTTATCACTTCAAAGCAAGGTGTCTTCCTCTTTCTATGAATATGGTATATTACATGATTTTCGCATGTTGGACCAACCTTGCATTTCTGGGATAAATCCCAGTTGCTCATGGTGTATAATACTTTTATATGCTGCTGAATTCAGTTTGCTAGTTTTTTGTTGAGGGTTTTTGAATCATAAGGGATGTTGGTGTGTAGTTTTCTAGTGGTGTCTGGCTTTGGTACTAGTGTAATAACTGGCTTCATGGAATGAGTTAGGAATTATTTTCTTTTCACTCTCCAGTTTTTTGAAGGAGTTTCAGTATTGGTATTGATTCTTCTTGAAATGTTTGGTAGAATTCACTAGTGAAGGCATTTGGTCCTGGGATTTTCTTTGTTAGAAGATTTTTGATTACTGATTCAGTCTCTTGTTACCAATCTGTTGAGATTCTCTTATTTCCTGAGTGGGTTTTTTTGGTAGTTGTGTGTTACTAGGAATTTGTCCATTTTCATCTAATGTGATGGCATACAGGTCAGTAGTAGTGTCCCCTTCTTTCATATCTGACTTTAGTAATTTGGTTTCTGTCTCTTTTTCCTTGGTCTAGCCACAGGATTGTGTCATATTTGTTGATCTTTCAAAGAAACAACTTTTGGTTTTATTCAGTTTTCTGCTCCCCTCTCCCCCATTTTCTATTTCATTTGTCTTCACTTTAATCTTTACTGTTTCCTTCCCTGTGCTTGGATTGGGCTTAGTGTGTTATTCTTTTTCTAATTTTATTTTTTTATTTTTTTTGAGACGGAGTCTCGTTCTGCACCCAGGCTGGAGTGCAGTGAGTAGCTGGGACTATAGGCGCCCGCCATCATGCCTGGCTAATTTTTTGTATTTTTAGTAGAGACGGGGTTTCACCATGTTAGTCAGGATGGTTTCAATCTCCTGACCTCGTGATCCACCTGCCTCGGCCTCCCAAAGTGCTGGGATTACAGGTGTGAGCCACCGTGCCCGGCCTCTAGCTTTTTATTGTAGAAAGTTAGGTTATTCATTTAAGATCATTCTTCTAATAAATCTTTAAGTAACTGCTTTCTCTTCATCCCATACATTTTGGTATGTTGTGTTTTCATTTTATCTTAATTCATTCTCTGATTTCTCTTTTGCTTTCTTCTTTGACGAACTGATAATTAGGAGTGTTTACTTTTTACACATTTGTGAGTCAAATTTTCTTTTGTTACTGATTTCTAGTTTCATTCCACTGTATTTGGAGAACATTGTTTGCATGATTTCACTCTTAAAATGTATTGAGACTTGTTTTGTGGTTTAACATAAGGTTCTTCCTCAAGACTGTTCCATGTTTGCTTGGGCAGAATGTGTAACCTGCTGTTGCTGGGTGGATTTTCTATAGATGTGTTCGGTCTAGTTGGTTCATAGTGTTGTTCAAGCCTTCATTCTTGTTGACTTTCTGCCTCGTTGCTCTGAGTGTTAATTTAAGATAATAACCTGAACAGTCTAGTTCAGGTTAATACCAACTCCATTTCAATCATAGACAAAGTTTTGCTCCTCTAAAGCTTTGCTCCCTCCCCCAACCTTTGTGCTGTTATTGGGATACAAATTAGATGTTTCTACATGATGTTCTGGGTGATACAGATTTGTAATTATTACCTTATGCAGTTGTCTCTTAAATTATATAGAGGAACAAGAATTACAAAATGTGTTTATACCTTCTTTTATATTTGCCTATGTAGTTACCTTTACTGATACTCTTTATTTCTTCCTGTGGATTTGAGTTACTATCTAGTATCCTTTATTTCAGCCAAAAGGACTCCCTTTAGTAATTCTTGTAGGGTAGGTTTTCTAGCAATGAATTCTTTTAGTTATGGTTTATTTGGCAATGTCTTAATTTCTCCTTCATTTTCAAAGGATAGTCTTGGTAGATATAGAATTCTTGGATGGCAATCTTTCTTTTAGCACTGAGGATATGTCATGATCCTGCCTCCTCCTGGCCTCCATGGTTTCTAATGAAACCATGGAGGAATCAGCTGTTAATCTTAGGGAAGGTGCTTTGTATGGGATGAGCCACTTCTCTCTTTTTGCTTTTTAAGATTCTCTCTTGGGCTTTGTCCTGTGACAGTTTGATTATGGTGTGTCTAGGTGTAGATCTCTTGGTCTTTATCCTAAAATTCAATCATTTTCTCTTCTGCCTACTCAAGCCTGTTCTTGAGCCCCTCTAGTTACTTTTTCATTTTAGTTACTGTACTTTTCAACTAAAGAATTTCTTTCTTTCTTTTTTTTTCTTTTTAGACAGGGTCTTGCTCTGTCACCCAGAGTGGACTGCAGTGGCGTGAACATGACTCACTGCAGCCTTGACTCCCTGAACTCAAGCCATCTTCCTGCTTCAGCCCCCACCAAGTAGCTGGGACTACAGGCGCACCCCACCATGCCCAGCTAGTTTTTGAATTTTTTGTAGGACAGGGTTTTACCATGTTGCCCAGGCTGGTCTCGAACGCCTCAGCTCAGGCACTCTGCCTACCTCAGCCTCCCAAAATGCTGGGATTATAGGTGTGAGCCACCATGCCCAGCCAGAATTTCTTTTTGGTTCCTTTTTATAATTTCTACCTCTCTATTGATATTCTCTATTTGTTGAGACATTATTCTCCTTGTTCTTTTTAGTTCTTTGTCCCTAGTTTCCTTTAGCTCTAAGCATATTTAAAATAGTTGATTGAAGTCTTTGTCTGGTAAGTCCAGTGTCTGGGCTTCCTCAGGGCAGTCTAGTGATTGCTTTTTTTGTTGTATATGGGCAATACTTTCTTGTTTCTTTGCGTGTTTTGTGATGATAGGTTGAAAGTGGGCATTTGAAATAATATAATGTGGCCCCTCTGGAATTAGATTCTACTCCCTCTCCAGGATTTTTTATTGCTGCTTCTTGTAGTTGTTACTGTTTGTTTAGGGACTTTTCTGCGCTAATTTTGTGAAGTCTGTATTCTTTGTCATATGTGGCCAATAAAGTCTGCTCAGTTAGCTTAGTGGGCAGCTAGTGGGTTTCCTTCCAAGGAAACCATGAAGTTAAACAATTGCCTCTAAATGTTTTTGACAAATGCCCATGGGGAAAAGGCCTCCTGCACGGGTGAGTTCTGAGCCAGGTCAGTGAAGACAGCCTTGCAAGTGTGATCTTTCCGGGAACGCTTGCAAGTGTGATCTTTCCGGGAACCCAGAGACAGGTCAAATAAGTGATTGTCTGAGAACGAGGCTTTGGAGATGTCCTGCCCTCATCTGCGTCCTCTGTGGCTGCTGGGCAGCTGGTTTTCACTGTGATTGCGGCTGTTCATTTTCAAGGTTCTGAACCTTGGAGCTAGAGATACAGGGATGGGAATAGGGCATTTAAAGTGCCAACAAGCTCACTGATCTTGCTTAGATTTAGCTGTTTTTCTTGAATAAATGCTTCCTGGATTGTTGCAAGTCTATGGTCAATTTCCAGAGTTCAAAACTTTTTGATTCTGACATTTTTTTTTAACCAGTTTTCTGATTGCCTTTACAGAGGAGAGAATTTCTGGAGGTCATTGCTCCACTATTTCACCAACATCACCCCTTCTTTTCTTTGTGGTGTGATTACTATCTAAGCTCTTAGGGGAAAGACGGTTATGTGAGCCATGCCCCTTGGGATGCAATTTTCATGGTCACCATTCACTTTCAACATATGTGACAGATGTTTAAGAAATACATTTTACTATAAAGCACTACCTGCTCATATAACTGGTAACATATGACATGGCATGAATTGGATTACCTGCCTTCCCAGGTAACTCATATTGTCAGATATATTTGCATATCTTTCCAGACTTCTTCCTGTGCCCACAAAAATATGCATGTAATTCAGGTGGAAATGAAGTGATCTCTGTCCACATGTTCTAATGTTTACATGCCTGTACGTGCATACACACACCCTTGCAAAGCAAAAATGGGATCATGCCATATGTACTTTGTCTAATTGCTTTTTTCACTTAATCCTTGAGGATTGTTTGTGATATATTCTTTAGGGCTTTTTCAGTGCATATTTGGATATATGCATGGATATTTGCACATAAGCTTTTTTTTTTTTTTAAGCAAAATTGACATTACACTGTATCCATTGTTCTGCCAGTTGCTTTTTTCCTTGAATAAATTTTGGTGACTTTTAACTCTACCTCTTTCTGGTAGTGGCTGCATATCATTTATGCATTTCTTCATTCAATAAATTGTTTGCTATGTGCTGGTCCCACTAGTGGATGGGCTGTGATTTATTTAGTCATTTCCCTACTGATGAGTGTCTCTCTTGGTTTCAGGGTTTGCTATTAGCAGTAAGGCCGCAGTGGACATTCTTGTGTCTGTACCTTTTTGCCCTGTGCTACTTCTTCTAGGTTCCTTGTAGATTTGCTGAGCCAGGGGACATAAGCATTTTAAAGTTTGGTGGATACCAGCAAGTTGCCTTTCAAAATGTTATGCCAACTTATCTTCCCACTGGCAATATGAAATTTCTTGTTAAGGACACCTTCCCTGTTACTGGATATTATAACTTCTGAAGGTTTGTTACTCTCATTACCAAAATTTAGCCATGTAATTTGAAGGTGTTTGCCACTTTCTTCCCTGCTCCTGTGAAGGGCTGGCCTGGGGGCCACGCCACATCATGTCTCACAGATGGGGCCAAGGTTTCCTTGAATGGAAGTCAAGTGGCTCCCTCCGCCACTTAGTGATGTGCACCTGCAAAGGTGGTGGCACCTTTTCCGGGGCAAGGCTGCAGCTCGTCTTCATTGTCTTCATCACTGATGCTGTTCTGTGTGTTCAGTTGGCACAGTGCAGTCACCAGCGCCAGTCACCTCATGCCCTCCTGTTGGTGTTTTCACAGGTAGCAACTGGGAAGTGGAAGCAGATCAGCAAATACTGTCCCCTTGATCTCTACTCAGGGTAAGAGAACACTTCTCCTTTGCCCCCTTGTGTCAGGTTCCCTGGAGATGGGTAGGGCGGGGGCCAGTGCCTGGTGGGGGGTATTTCGTGAGGTAGGAAGGCAGGGAAGGCCCTGTTCTGTCTTCAGGGCTCTCTTTTGCCATCAGCGCTGTAGACACCTGGGGCTTTGTGCTCCGTGCCTTGTCTCTGTGCTCACAGTTTGACGTGCTTGCTCACTTTTGGTTGTTTCCTCATCTGAATTGTGACTAGATTTGTCTTCTACTTATGTCAGAAATCAACTGGTGCTCAGCCTTGACCTCCATCCGTCTGGGCCCTCATAGTTTGGTTGTTTGTGCCTTTGATCTCTCCCTCCTCTGTGGATATTAAAAAGTCTGCTGCTGCAGTGGCTATTTCTGCCCCGGCAAGGTCTGCTTGCAGCCTCTGATCAGGTGCCTGGGCTCTGCTCCCCACCTTGGCCTGCCTCCACGCTCCCCGGCCTTCAGAGCTTTGCTGTGCATCCTGCACATTACTCTCCTGGGGCAGCCCAGAGTCCGGTCCTGGCCAGAGCCTTTGTGGTCAGGAAGGCGGTAGTGGCTGGGAGCTGGGGAGGGTCAGTCCGCAGTGGGGCCTGGGGGCCCAGCGAGCAGGCCCTGGGGCTGAAGGGGCAGCAGAGGATGCTGGCAGGGCTGAGGGTGGGAGCAGGTGGAGAGAGGCAGGACCTGGGACTCATGGCAGTGCCCTGCCCCAACTCAGGCACCCCCACCTCACACCCCCAGGAGAGAGTCCTTGGCCACAGAGCGATGTAGATTTGTGTGCCTTTGTTGTCCTTTTTGATCAGCACAGCTCCTCTTTCCAATCTCCTTTCCCTCCCTGGGACCCCTGTTACTGCAGAGCTGTTCTGGTGAGTCCGGTTTTTCTCGCTCCACTGTGTGAGTTTCTTTCCTCTTTCTTCCCCTGCTGTCCTCCAGCCATTCATTTCGTGCCCCTGCCTTTGTCAGTGCTCAGCACTGCCTCTGAGTGCGTGCCTGGTCATCATGTCAGTGCTTTTGGTTAGATGCTCTTTTAAACTTCCGGGAACAAAGATCGAACGCGGAGTTGTCTTTGGAAGTTAAAAAGTTCACAAACATTGGGAATGCTCATTCAGAAGGTGGCACCAACACCGCTCACTCCATGGCTTCAGCGAGTCTGGCGGTGCCCTCACCTGTGGGTCCCATGTGGATTTCCCTGTGCACCTAAAGGCTGTGAATTGTGAAGCATTCAGTAATAAAGATTCATTGTTGAGAATTTATTAACGTGTCAGAACATAAGTAGGGAAACCTCCCTGGAATGTTGTAGAATGCAGGCTTTTGGGAGTCAGCTAGAGTGCGTGGATACTGGATGCCTTTCTGAATGTGTGCTTGTGGGCTGTCCCTACTGGCAGGGTCAGGCTCGTGTGCTTGCATGGGCAGCTTGGCCTCCAGAGGTTCCTCCGTTGGGGGTAGGGGAGGAGGCCATCCTTGCAGCTCGTCGCTTGGAGGACGAGGGCTCCCTGGGGCTCTAGCCTCTCCTTGGCTCCCAGCACTCCCTTCGTGGCCCATCAGAGGTCTCCTGCTGCCCCTGAGCCTTTGGAAGTTGCGGCAGGAGGAACAAGGGAGGCATAGCAGCCCTTAACCCGTCTCGGGTTGGGCTGTGATGCAGCTGGTGGGGTTCCCACTCCTGTGCCTCAGTTGGGTCCCTCACATCTCCCGAAAGTCTGGGGTCAGGGCCAACCCCCACATCTCTGGTGAGTGCGTGTCAGGCTGTGGAGCTGCATCTGTGACCCTCCGGGGAGGGAGCCCATGGTGGGGCTGTAGTGAGGGGAGAATGTCACTGTTTGGACCTAGTTGGACTCTGGGTTTCCCAGCGGCCCCTGGGAGTACCCAGCATGTCCTCTGAGCCACGAGCAGGTGTGTGTGCAGGGACAGGTCAGTTCCAGCTGCATTTAAAGCATGTTAATGCTTTTCCCTTTTAGAAACAAACAGAGAATGCACTTTGCCTTGAAGAGTTTGCTGCAGGAGGCACAGAACAACTTGAAGATATTTAAGGTAAGAGCTGCTTTGATTCTATGGTGGTTTCAGGGTGGGGCTGGCAAAGGTTCAAGTGACCTCACAGATGAGGGTGTTGGGCTGGGCTGCACGTCATGTGTGTCTGACATCCCCTTTGGGGTCCTCATGCCCTGACTGGTTCAGTCATCACCTTGGACCTTCCAGTTCCAGACCTGTCTTTCCCTGACCTTTTTCTGAGCACGATTCCACAAGCATAGCATCTGAGTGACCCTGGGTTGCTCATGACCCTGGGGTGCTCGACCAAAGCCCCACCAGTTGCTGGGTGGGCCTTGGTCTCCCCTTATAAGCAGATGGGTGAACTGTGGGTGAGGATGGCTCTGGCACTATCTGGGCTGGTGTGACCTGGCCTGCTGCTGGCAGTGGTGTCCAAGGGAGAGGAGGTGGGGGTGGGGCTGGGCAGGGTTGGGGCATCTGCGGAGGAGAGGCTGCTGGGGAGAGAGGGGATGAGATGTAGGGCAGGGCAGGCCTGGGTGGCAGTCAGGGTGCCGGGTCCCTGTTAGACATGTATCCTCTGGGGTCCCCCTTGTCATCACCTCAGTCCCAGTTGTAGCCTCATGATCACACATAAGTGACACCTGGGGACAGAGTCCTGGGCTCCCTGCAGGAGCTGACAGCCATCGCAGGTGGATACTTCAGAGGAGGCAGGGCTGTTGAGTATGGGCCTCTCAGCTTCCTATGTGCCGTGGTCTGGACGAGGTGACTGGTGAACTGGAAGCCCTGGCCCCTCTCCTCGCTGCTGCACATGGCTGGCGTCCTGCTGCCCGGCTGGCTGCCTCTCAGCAGTGGGCAGATGGCGCCTGCTCTTGACCTGCCTCCCCAGGTCTTGGTTAGAAACCCATGGCGCTGGCTGCTGGGCAGTGAATTGGCTTCATTCCCTGTCTGCCTCTACCTTCCCAAATCCAGGAAAGGAAGACATATTTCACAGGCAGTTTTTATTTCATATTTATATAATTTATTTTTATAAACTCGATATTTAAGCCCTGAAGATACATTCTGTTTCATCAGGGATTTGTTTGAAGCCTGTCATAAGGCTGGCATGTTATCCCAGGTGGATCCTTTTCTGACCCCATCTGGCCTGCACCTAATGTCTCTGGAACTCTGGCTGTCTGCTACTTTTGTCAAAATCAGCTTGGAAAAGTCCTGAGGATTAGGATTGTTTCGAAAGAGTTGAAAAGGGAATGGATTAAGAGAAGGGATGCAGAATGATTTTAAGATAACAGGGCACCGCCAAGGCATGTTACCTACTGTGCGTTCCATCAGCTCTCCCGCCGATCTGGTCCGGTTCAGTATTGAAAGCCAGCAAGACAGAAAACCCTGAAAGCTCTGAAGTTCCAGGTGTGGGCCAGGTGCAGTGGCTCACACCTGTAACCCCAGCACTTTGGGAGGCTGAGGTAGATGGATTGCTTGAGGCCAGAAGTTCAAGACCAGCCTGGGCAACGTAGCAAAACCCTGTCTCTACAAAAAATCAAAAAAATTGCTGGGTGTGGTGGTGTGCGCCTGTGTTCTCAGCTACTTGGGAGCCTGAGGTGGAAGGATTGCTTGAGCCTGGGAGTTGAAGGCTGTAGTGAGCTTTGATTGCTCCACTGCACTCTAGCCTGGGCAACAGGGTGAGACCTTGTCTCAAAAACATTAAAATTTTTTTTTAAAAAGAAATAAATAAGGTTTAAAGAGTTGCTACTCTCCTGGGGTTGGCCGCTGTCAGGGGCCTTTCCCCTGGGCAGCATCCAGACCCCCATGAGTCATGGTGTTGACTCCCCCTGGGCATGGCAGCAGATGTCCCTGCCTGTGCCCTGGGAATGTGTGAATCTAAGTGTTGATGTTGTAAGGAGTTTCTTTGCTGGGCTTGATTTAAGAAGGCAGAACCGTCTTGAGCATGGACCATACTGGTGATGCCAGCAGCTTCTCCCACCATCTGGCTCAGCTGTACCACCCAGCACTGGGGTCACCCTGGGCGTGGCCTGAACCCCAGGACACACTCGTTTGTGGTGCTGGTGCTGACTGCCATCCTCACGTTTGTCTGCTCAGGGCCAGAGCCAAGGCCCTCAGGTTCTTGAGTAACTGGGCTGGTGGCTTTGGGAGTTTGTCACTTGTGGTGAGCATTTGCTCTTGGCTTCTGAATATACTGTGGATCATTGTCTGGGGGCGTTGGTCAGGCCAGGGCACTGCTCTTTAGTTTTTGAAACTTTCCTTCCTTTTCATGTCTTGAGGTTTGGTGCTTGGTTGATAGCACAGCTCGTGAGGGTGGATTTCCCCGGAGGAGCCGGAGTATGCAGCGGCCCCAGATTGGGTGGACAGCATCAGGGCCCTTGGCTTTCACCCGCTGCCTGGGATGCTGGTGGTGGGGACTGAGTTCTTTTCCTACAAGCTTGGTGGTTTGACGTTTCCCTCTTTCTTTTCCCTGTCTGAAGAATGGTGAGCTGATTTACGGCTGCAAAGATGCCCGGAGCCCCGTGGCTGACTGGAGCGAGCTTGCACACCACCTGAAGCCGTTCTTCTTCCCTTCCAACGGCCTGGCCAGTGGGCCCCACTGCACAAGGGCTGTGATCAGGGAGCTGGTGCACGTGATCACACGGGTGCTGCTGAGTGGCTCGGACAAGGGCCGGGCAGGCACCCTGAGTCCGGGGCTCGGGCCTCAGGGCCCGCGAGTCTGCGAAGCCAGCCCTTTCAGTAGGAGCCTTCGCTGCCAAGGTAGGGCCCAGCCTTCCCCAGGTAGGCGGTGGGGGCCGCAGGGGCCTTGGGACTCTGCAGTCCCCATGGGTGGCCAGGCGGTCAGCACAGCCTCCTGGGGGCTCTGGGGGATGCCACCTGGTTACGCCAGGGCTCCCAGCACGGGGCCTCGCTGCCTCTCACCCCCAGATGCAGACTCCCTTTCTTGCCTTTTATCTGCATCTGTAAATTGCAGGACACATTTGGGCTGTAGGATTTTCCCCCAGAATATCATCCATATGTTGTGGTCCTCTCTGGTTTGTTGAATGTTTTCAACCATGTTATATATCCTGTTGGATCCTCATTGCAACCCGGGGGACAGGTTTTCCTTGGCTTGTTCCTTAGACAGAGAGAATTGAGGCACAGAAATCCTGCAGGGCTGGGTCCTACCACAATGGGATGTCTTCACAAGTCTGGGGTGAAGACACAGACCCATGGGGCCTTTGGACTGCGGGACGCCTTCCTTGCAGACAGGAGCCGGGCCTGGCCGCTGCCACATGTCCTGACATCTCATGAGCTGACGCTGCCCGTGATTCTTGGCAGCCCATAGAGACCCCATGGTCTCTGGGAGCCTGAGATGGTTTGAAGACAGCAGTCCTGCTTGTGTGCAACCAGAAACCAACCCATACCCTAAGCCCTGCCTTATTATCTGTGCCAATTTTTTCTTTTGTTTTTTCAAGACAGGATCTTACTCTCTTACCCAGGCCAGAGTGCAGTTGTGTGATCTCGACTCACTGCAACCTCCACCTCCTAGGTTCAGGTGATTTTCCTGCCTCAGCCTCCTGAGTACAGGTGCGCACCGTTACACCTAATTTTTGTATTTTAGTAAAGACAGGGTTTCGCCATATTGGCCAGGCTGGTCTCAAACTCCTGACCTCAAGTGATCCGCCTGCCTTGGACTCTCAAAGTGCTAGGATTACAGGCATGAGCCACCATGTTTTCTCACTACAAATGAACTTTGTGGGGGTTTTTTTTTTCTTGTTATGAAAGTGATTCCTGATCATTTCAGAAAATTTTGTTAAAATTATGCCTATAATCTGGGCACATAATTGCTTTTAAGGAAGCCAACTGTGTCTGCAACGACAGATGGCACCAGTTGCTGAGGTGGTCTGGGGGCACCAACAGGAGGCGCCACAGCACCCCGGGGCTCCTGCAGACCTTTTTGGACATGGACACAGACAGGAGGGAGTGGAGCTGGGCCCTGGCTGCTGGGATGTGCAGTTTAAAACAATAAGATCATACTCTACATGTCATTTTGTAACTTGACTTTCTTTACTTAACTAGCATAAATCTGTATCTATATCATCACATATATGTTTTTTTTTTAAATTAATTATTTTTAAAGACAAGGTCTGTTTCTGTTGCCCAGGCTGGAGTGCAGTGGTGTGAACTTGGCTCACTGCAACCTCCACCTCCAGGGCTCAAGTGATCTTCCTGCCTCAGCCTCCTGAGTAGCTGGGACTACCGACACGCACTACCACGCCTAGTTAATTTTTGTATTTTTTTTTTGTAGAGATGGGGTTTCTCCATGTTGTCCGGGCTGGTCTTGAACTCCTGGGCTCAAGCAATCTGCCAGCATTGGCCTCCCAGAAAGTTAGGATTGCAGGCGTAAGCCACGGCGCCTGGAGATCACATGCATTTTGTTCTTTATTGACCATGCATGGATCTGCTGTAATTTTAACAAATCCCCTCTAGTTGGGCATGTGAACTTTTACTCCTGTTTCCCTGCATGTTGGCATTTTCGTGCCGGGTCCTAGTGAAATCTGCAGCTGACTACAGTTTTCCCCCTGCATGGACACCTTTCTTACTGTGTCTTTGCCTGTAGTTTGGTTCTTTGTGGGAGATGGTTGCTCCCTTCAGTGGCAGGAGATGATCTGGGACTTGGTACCTCCCAAGCTCACTTGGCACCCTGTACAGCACAGGTGCCAAACAACTGTGAGTGGCAAGTGGAGTTTTGTTTCTGCCTCTGTCCCTATGATATAACAGGTCCTTGTCAGTGGCTTTGACCCCTGTCTGTGGCTCTGTGTGGCTGGTTCTGAGCTCGTGCCTGTCGCCAGCCCAGGTCTTACCTGCCTCTCAGTGTGGGCTCATGGCTCTGGACTCTGCAGACAGTGTCCCAGGGTTTTCCTCCTTTAGTGGTCTTGCAGATTTAGGATGTCAGCAGGATCTTAGAAATTCCTTGCCTTGCAGTTGCAATGAGTCGAGATCACGCCACTGCACTCCAGGCTGGGCCACAGAGAGCAAGACTCTGTCTCAAAAAAAAAAAAGAAAAGAAAAAGAAGAAATTTTGTGACCTGACTTAAAATGAGGATTATGTCTAAACTTAGATCATAAAGTGACTTCCAGGGCTGTTGTGGTGGAATCTAAAGGACATTCTGAGAGTTGTGTTGGGAGAGGAGAGCCACGAGGCAGGACATGTGCATTTCTTGCTCCCTCCTTTGTGCTTGGCCTGGTGCATCCAGTGTGGTCCAGGCACGCTGCAGCTCCAGCAGCTCTGTGAGGCGGGAGCGTCATCTCGTCTGTCCTTAGTGCCAGTCCAGGGTGCAGTCCTTGCCTGTGGTGATGCCCGTATGGCGGAGCCCAGGATGAGCCCTGCGGTCTGCGCCGGCCTGTGTCTCCCTCCACGTTCTTTGATAATCAACATGCTCTCGTTTTCCCCTGATGTTCTCGGTAGGAAAAAACACCCCAGAGCGCTCGGGGTTACCGAAGGGCTGTCTTCTGTACAAAACCCTCCAGGTGCAGATGTTGGACCTGCTGGACATCGAAGGCCTCTACCCTCTGTACAACCGGGTTGAGCGATACCTGGAAGAGTTTCCCGAGGAGAGGTGAGGTCGGGCGGTCCCCCTGTTGGGCAGCCCTGAGAGGAGACTGTGGGAGTGGGCAGGGTAAGAATGCGCCTCCCAAGGCACAGCTTCCCAGGAGGATGAAGCATGCCGGCCACTTCCTACCCCAGTCCTCCGCTCCCAGGTGCCCAGGCCTGCTCTGGAATGTAGTGCCTTGTAAAGGAGGAACAGGGTCACTTGTTTCTAGAAAAGAAAGCACGTCTGTGACCTTGCTAATTCGAAACCCCAAGATGGGGCTGAGCCTGCAGAGGGCAGTGTTGCTCCACAGCTGAGCAGCGCTCCTGCAGGTCGTTCTGTGTCAGCCCAGCCTCTGTCCTGGGCTTTCACTGCGGGTCATTGGGGTCCACACCCGCGGTGTCCAGTCGGGGCCAGGATCCTCTTCCTTCCTCGCTGGTCTTCCTTGCATCTCTGACGCAGGATGCTACTTGTCATGAACAGGAGAAGGCTCAGCTTCAAGGCTCGCTGGTTCTGGTCTTGCTGAGTTCTGTTAAAAACCTTGATGTTTAACATGAGGGAGATAGATCTGTTATGTGTTTTTCAAAACAAAATGTGTGATGTTTAGTGGTGCTGGGCTTTGTAGACTGTTAGCAGTTTAAGAAACAACCTCCGTGCGGCTTTGTCATCCTGTTTTTATTGTGCTTTCTTCTTCAGAAAAACCTTACAAATAGATGGGCCTTATGATGAAGCATTTTACCAGAAGCTGCTTGACCTTTCCACTGAGGATGACGGGACAGTGGCCTTCGCGCTAACGAAGGTGGGCAGACCCATCCAAAAACTTGCTGTGTGATCCTTAGCTTCTTAGCACTAATCTGTTTTTTTGTTTTTTGTATTTTTTTTTCCATTACCTACCCCTGAGGTTTAAAGCAGAAAACTTGGGATCAAAAAGAAGTGGCTGAAGTTTCTCCCAGATGAACTGGGGCAGGTGGTGGTGCATTGAGGTTTTAAGGGGAATTTCCCTTGGTTGAGTTCTGCCCTGGCCCGTTCCTGGTGGGGTCAGGCCCCAGGGGCGGCCGATCTGCAACCCATCTGCATGCCTTCTCAGCAGCCCACAACAGGCTCTCTGCCAACTGTCCCTTGCTACAAGGCCCTTGCCAGGGTCCTGGGACCCCACCTGTGCCTCTGCCCTGCCCCTGGCTGTATGCGGGCGGCTTCCTTCCCTTAGAACCGAGGCCAAGGGACAGCCTGCAGGAGTCTCTTAGGGAAGAGGACTGGCCCTGTACTTCCTGGGTCTGTGAAATTCAGGGCTCCATGAGCTTGGATAGGAAAAAAATGGCATCTTCATTTTCACTAAGCTGTACCTGGAATTTAGCATTTCTTTCCATTACGAATGTGGCAATGAGCCTGTGGGTTCATCAGGACCCAGGAGTTTGCCACTAAGAGAATAAAAAAACAGACTTTCCGTCTCACACTGTAACTGCAGACACTTTGAGATGTGGTTTATTCATCACTGCATTAAATGTTACATATTACTACGGAATACATTTGTTTTTAAAAATATTTTGGCTCAGCACTTTGGGAGGCTGAGGTGGGAGAATTACTTAAAACCAAAAGTTGGAAGCCAACCTGGTCAACATAGTGAGACGCCCATCTCTACAAAAGAAAAATTAAAAAATTAGCTGGACGTAGTGGCGTGTGCCTAGAGTCCCAGCCACTTGGGAAGCTGAGGTAGGAGGATGCAGTCAAGGCTGCGGGGAACTGTGATCATACCGCTGTGCTCCAGCCTGGGTGACAGAGCAAGCCCCGTCTCAAAAAAACATTTTTTTTTTTTTTTGGTATTTTACATTTCTGCCACCTGTATTTTATATTACACATTTTAAAATGTTATCCTGGGCCGGGTGTGGTGGCTCACGCCTGTAAACCCAGCACTTTGGGAGGCTGAGGCGGGTGGATTATGAGGTCAGGAGATTGAGACCATCCTGGCTAACATGGTCAAACCCCACCTCTACTGAAAATACAAAAAAATTAAGCAGGCGTGGTGGCAGGCGTCTGTAGTCCCAACTACTTGGGAGGCTGAGGTAGGAGAATCACTTGAACCTGGGAGGCAGAGATTGCAGTGAGCCAAGATTGCACCACTGCATTCTAGCCTGGGCGACAGAGCGAGACTCCATCTCATAAAAAAAAAAAAAAAAGTTATTCTGAGAGAGGCCCATAGGCTTTACTAGGCTGCCAAAGCCTTTACAGGACAATAAGCAGTGAGGAAACCTGTTCTGGAGCGAGCTGGCGCTCCTCCCCACATGTGCATGCACCGCTGCCTGGAGCCCTGGGACCCACTTGCCCTGTCCCGTTGACATGTCTGTGGCTCACATTTGGGAGAGAGCCCTCAGTGCTTTCTTTAACTGGGGCTGCAGCTGTCTGTTTTGAGGAGAACTGAGGATGTCTGGTAAAGCCTCAGGTGAGGCTCTGACGCAAAGGGCCACAGGGATGTTAGCAGAGGCCCAGGGCAGAGTTGTCATCCTGGTGAGGAGAGTTCCAAGTGGAGCCCTGGGGTGAGAAGAAAGCAGTGGCACCTGCCTCGTGCTGTCTGCCAGTTGGGTACGTTGATTTAGGTATAAACAGCAGTGTGGCGGGTTTTTTCCTAAGAGAAGAAACAGGACTTTATTTCCTTTTTATGTATTTCTGTATTTTTCAGTTTTCCACAAAATAAGTATGGATTACTTTTTAATTTTACTTTAATCTTTTAACCTGATATGTAAATGTAGTGTTGTAAGCAGCTAAAGCAGACATTACTTAACTAGCAGAAGGGCTAAAATAAAGACACTGAAACAACACCAAATGGAGGTGCAGAGAAACTGGATCTCTCATCTGTTGCTGATGGGGATGGAAAATGACACAGTCACTCCGGAAAACAGTTTGGAAGGTTCCTACACACTAAACACGCAATTACCCTGTACTTGTGCTCCTGGGCATTTATCCCAGAGAAATGAAGACTGACACTCACCAAAAAACCTGTACAGAAATGTTCACAGCAGCCCTTTTTGTAACAGCTAAAAACTGGAAACCACCCACATGTCTTTCCACGGTGACCTCCAGCGGGTCAGACAGACTGTGCATTCATACCACAGAACTCTGCTCAGCACCAAAAAGGAACAGACTCTTGCTAAACAGCCCAGGTGGACCTCCAGGGGGCTTTGTTGGTGACGAAAACCAATCTCCAGAGGTCACACTGAATGATTCTGTGTGTATAACATCCTTGAATGGCAAAGATTTGTGGTTGCCAGGGGTTGGCAAGGAGGAACAAGGGAGGTAGATGTGGTTATAAAAGGTCAAACCAGGGGATCCCTGTGGTGATCAGACTGTTCTGTATCTTGACTGTGGTGGTGGATGCATGAACCTACGTGTGATCACACACACACTCTCATACACACTCGCATATATGTAAAACCCGAGATATCTGAATAAGATTGTGGATTGTGTCAGCATCACTCACCTTGCTGTGATATTGTAGCTTTGCAAGATGTTACTGGTGGGAGAAACGTGGCTTGAGGTCTTTCCGTGCTGTCATAGAAGGGCCTGCCCTTTTTCTCTTGTAGGAAGTTAGCTTCTGGTAATTGAACCTGAAGAGGGTAGTTGTGAAGCTGAAGCTGAGGAGTAGGCTGAGGACATTCCTTCCTACACAAAAGTTCTTGCACTCATATTGTTTATCTAATTGAACCCTGTGGGCCGGGTACGGCAGCTTACGCCTATAATCCCAACACTGTGGGAGGCTGAGGCAGGTGGATCAGTTGAGACCAGCCTGGCCAACATGGCAAAACTCTGTCTCTACTAAAAATACAAAAATTAGCCAGGCATGGTGGTGCATGCCTGTAGTTCCAGCTACTTGGGAGGCTGAGGCAGGAGAATCGCTTGAACCCGGGAGGTGGAGGCTGCAGTGAGCCAAGATTGCACCACTGCACTCCAGCCTGGGTGACAGAGCGAGAGTCCATCTCAAAAAAAAAAAAAAAAAAAATTGAACTGTGTACCGCTGAAGAAAAGAGGGAATATTGTCTTCATTTCAGTGCTCAGGAGACTGAAGCCCCCAATAACTCTTGCTTTTGTCTGTTGTGTAGTATCTGGTAGCAGGGGTCAGCAGACATTTGTAATGTCTGGTCCCTGTTGCAGGTACCCGGCCTGGCCACTGTAGCTCAAAAGGAGCCATGGAGAAAACATGAGTGGGGCTGAGTTCCAGGAAAACAAAAACAGGAGGTGGTGGGCTGCATTTGGCCCCCAGCCCATAGTTTTTTGACCTCTGTGTACTTTTACTTATTAGTTTTTTTTATGTCATTTTTTGCTCTATGTGTTTGGAAGTTACTCCTGTTTCTCTCCCTTTTGTGGTGTCTTGTCCAATTTGATCCTGCATATTTAAAGTCTAATCAGTTATTTCATACTCCCAGTCCACACACAATATAAGGACTTGGGACACTTAATTCCAGTTGTCTCTCCAAACTTATGTGCAGTATTGTTCTGTTTGTCTTGGTATTTTTTTTTTTAGTCATAATTTAGAGTATTATTTTACACAGATGTTTAGATTTATCCATGTGTTTTTCCATATCACTGCCTAACATTCTTGTAGCTTAGCTATTTCTCCATTTTCCTTCTTTTCTGTAACAACTTTATTGAGGTGTAATTTATATACCATACAGTTTACCCACTGAAAGTGTTCAGTGCAGCGGTTTTGACTGTATTGAAAGATACGTGCAATCATCAGCACAGTTGATTTTAGATTTTCATCACTTCAGTAAAAACCCTGTACCCTTTAGCTATCGTCCCATTGTCTCCCCATGACCCCCAGCCTTAGGCAACTACCTGTCTACTTTCTATCGCTGTAGACTTGTCTCTTCCAAATATTGCATATAAACAGAGTCATTGAATGTGTGGTCGTTTGTGGCTGGCTTCTTTCACTTAGCCTGATGTCTTCAAGGTTCATCCATGTTGTAGCATGCATCAGTACTTCATTCCTTTACATGGCTCAGTAATAGTCCATGGGGTGGACATATCCATTCATCCATTGATGGACATTTGGGTTGTTTCCTCTTTTTGGCTATTATGCTCAATGCTGTTATCAATATTTGGGTACAGGGTTTTTTTGCATGGATGTGCGTTTTCACTTTTCTGGGGTAATATGCCTAGGAGTGGAATTGCTAGGTCCAGTGGCACTTTTATGTTTAAATTTTTGAGGACCTGGGCAGACTTTTCCAAAATTGCTGTACGGTTCGATCTTCCCACCAGCAGTGTATGAAGTTGTCTTTATTTTTTTCCCATCTTCAGCAACACTTGTTATTACTTGTCCTTTTGATTTTAGCCGTCGTCGAGAGTGTGCAGTGGTATCTTGTAGTTTTGATTTGTATTTCCCTGAAGACTAAGAGCATCTTTTCATGTGCTTGTTGCCCACTTATATATCTTTTTCAGAGAAATGTCTATTCAGATCCTTTGCCTACTTTTTTTTTTTTTTTTTTGAGATAGAATCTCTCTCTGTCACCCAGGCTGAAGTGCAGTAGTGCAATCTCAGCCTCCTGAGTAGCTGGGACTAACTATAAGTGCACACCACCATCCCTGGCTAATTTTTTGTATTTTGTTAGCGACAAGGTTTCACCATGTTGCCCAGGCTGGTCTTGAACTCCTGAGCTCAAGTGATCCACCCACCTCGGCCTCCCAAAATGCTGGGATTACAGGTGTGAGCCACCGTGCCCAGCCCCCTTTGCCTACTTTTTAATAGTGTCATTTATCTTGAGAATTCTTTGTATATTCTGGCTACTAGACCCTTATCAGATACATGATTGGCAAATATTTTCTCCTATTCTGTTGGTTGCCTTTTTACTTTCTTGGTAATATCTTAGATGCACAAACATTTTTAATTTTGTTGAAGTACAGTTTAGTTTTTCTTAGGTTGTTCATACTTTTGGTGTCATATCTAAGAATTCATTGCTAAATAAATCTAAGGTCATGAAGATTTCCCATGTTCCCTTTTAATAGTTTTATAGTTTTAGCTCTTATAGTTAGGTGTTTGATCCATTCTGAGTTAATTTTGTATGTGATTTCAGGTAGAGGTCCGACATCATTCTTTTTTTTCAGAGACAGGGTCGGGTCTTGCTCTGTCACACAGGCTGAAGTGCAGTGGTGTGTTCGTAGCTCACTGCAGCTTCAAACTCCTGGGCTCGAGTAATCCTGCCTCAACCTCCCCTGTAGCTGGGACTATAGGTGTGCACCGTAACACCCAGCTCCAACAATATTCTTTTGCATGTAGATATACAGTTGTCCCAGCACCATTTTTTTGTTTTTTTTTTGAGACAGAGTCTCACTCTGTCACCCAGGATGGAGTACAGTGGCACGACCTTGGCTCACTGCAACAACCTCTGCCTCCTGGGTTCAAGCGATTCTCCTCCCTCAGCCTCCTAAGTAGCTGGGACTACAGGCATGTGCCACCATGCCCGGCTAATTTTTTGTATTTTTACTAGAGACAGGGTTTTGCCATGTTGGCCAGGCTGGTCTTGAACTTCTGGCCTCAAGTGATCTGCCTGCCTCAGCCTCCCAAAGTACTGGGATTACAGTTGTGAGCCACCGTGCCCGGTCAGCACCATTTGTTGAGGAGACTATTCTTTCCCCGTTGAGTGATCTTAACATCCTTCTTGAAAATCAGTTGACCATAGATGTATGGCTTTATTTCTGGATGCTCAGTTGTTCATTGATCTATATGTCTGCACTTATGCCAGTACCCTGTCTTGAGTACTACTGCTTTTTAGTAGGTTTTGAAATGGAGAAGTGTGAGTTCTCTAACTTTGGTCTTTGTTTTCAAGATTGTTGTGACTATTTGGAGCCTCTTGTAATTCCATATGAATTTTAGAATCAGCTTCGTCTACAAAGAAGCCAGCTGGGATTCTCATAGGGACTTGAGGAATCTGTAAGTCACCTTGGGTAGTAAGTCTTTTGATCTATGAACATGAGATATTTTTCCATTTATTTAGATCTTGGTTTTCTTTTGACATTGTTATTTAGTTTTCAGAGTGTAAACTAAGGTTTTATGCTTCTTTGTTAAACTTATTTCTAAAATATTTTCTTTTTAATGCTGTTGTAAATGGAATTGTTTTCTGAATTCCATTTTCAGATTGCTCATTACAAGTGTATTCAGGTGTAGAAATACAATTTGATTTTGTATATTGATCTTGTAGCCTGCATCGTTGCCGAGTTTGTATGTTCTAATAGTTTTTTAGTGGATTTTTTTAGGATTCTCTCTATTTAAGATCATGTGTGAGTAGAAATAGTTTTGCTTCTTCGTTTCCAATTTGGATGCCTTTGATTTATTTTTCTTGCGTAATTTCCTGACTAGAGCCTCCAGTACAATGTTGAATAAAAATGGCAGGAGTAGACATCCCTGATTTGTTCTTGGTCTTATGGGGACAGTGTTCAGTCTTTCATCGTCATGTATGATGTTAGTTGTTTTTTGTAGATTCCTTTATCAGATTGAAGAAGTTCCCTTCTCTTCCTGATTTGCTGAGTGTTTTTATTCTGAAAGGGTGTTGGATTCTGTTAGATGCCTTTTCTATATCATTTGAGATTATCATGTGGTTTTTGTCCTTTATTCTGTTAATGTGGTGTATTACATAAATTTATTTTCTGGTGTTAAAACCAACTTTGTATTTCTGGGCTAAATCCCACTTGGTCATGGCGTCTTGTCCTTCTTATATGTTGCTGGATTCAGTTTTTGATTATTTTATTGAGGATTCTCATATCCATATTCTTAAGATAGTGTGTAGTTTCGTTTTCTTGTGATGTCTTTGTTTTTGGGATCGGGGTGTAACACTGGCCTCATAGAATGAGTTGGTGTTCCAGCCTCTTCTATTTTTTGGAAGAAGTTGAGATGGATTGGTATTAATTATTCTTTAAATATTTGACAGAATTCACTAGTGAAGCCATCTGAGTGGGCTTTTCTTTGTGGATAGTTTTTTTATTTTTAATTCATTCTCTTTAATTGTTATAGGTCTAATCATATTGTCTGCTTTTAAGTCAGTTTTGGTAGTTTGTGTCTTTTTAGGGAAGTGTTCAGTTTATCTAAGTTTTCTAATTTATTGGCCTACAGATATTTATAGTTTTCTTCCTCTTCTTGAAGAATATTCTTTAGAAGCTATCTTAGTGAAGGGTTTTTGGTAAATTCCCTCTGTATCTGAATATATTCATATTTTGTCCACAGTTTTGAAAATAATTTTTTATCTGGGTGCACAGAAGGGCTTCATTTCTGTTTTTTTTTTTTCTTAATAGCATTTAAACATTTCATACAACATCTGGTTTTTGCTGTTAAGATGTCTTCTGATAGTCTGTCCTTGCTCAGTAGGTGATCTGTCTTTTCTCTCTGGCTGCTTTTAAGGTCTTCTCTACCTCTTTCTTGTCCTTTTGACATTTTAGTGCAATGTGATTTGGGTGTGCTGTGCTTTATATTTTTCCTGTTTGGTGTATGTTATGCTTTCTCTATTTGTGGATTTATGTCTTTTATTAGTTCTGGAAAATTCTCATTTTCTCAAATATTTTCTCTTCTCCATTATCATATTCACTTCTTCTGGGACTCTAATTTGACCTATGTCAAACCTTATTTTATCTCCCACACATCTTAACTGCTCTTTCATATTTTTCATATCTTTGTCTCCTTGTGCTACATTCCAGGTGCTTTTCTTTTTTCAGCTCTATCTTCCAGTTCATTGATTCATTCAGCTGTGTCTAATCTGCCATTTCACTTGTTTATCGAGTTTTCCATTTCAGTAGTTCTTTTTTTGTTTTTGAGATGGAGTCTCGCTCTGTCACCCGGGCTGGAGTGCAGTGGTGCGATCTTGGCTCACTGCAAGCTCCGCCTCCTGGGTTCACACCATTCTCCTGCCTCAGCCTCCCGAGTAGCTGGGACTACAGGCGCCTGCCACCACGCCCAGCTAATTTTTTGTATTTTTAGTAGAGATGGGGTTTCGCCGTGTTAGTCAGGATGGTCTCAATCTCCTGACCTTGTGATCCGCCCACCTCAGCCTCCCAAAGTGCTGGGATTACAGGCGTGAGCTACCACACCTGGCCCCATTTCAGTAGTTCTATCTTTAATTTCTGAAAATTCTATTTGGTTTGTTTTCACATCTCCTTGGTATTTTTTTCTAGTTCCTTGTGGCTTGTCTATTTCAAAATTCTGTCTTTTATTTCTTTAAGCAATTTATGAAGTTATTTTATATTCTGATATCAGATACAATAAAACCTTGGTGGTTAAAAAAAAAAAATCTCTTATTTTGGCTGACTCATCCGTGTTGCCTTGCTTGATTTTGTTTGCCTTGTTGATTTGTTTGATCTTAATCTATAGGAATCCTGGAGACCCAAATAGGGGATGCCTTCTTCCAGAGAGGATAGGGATCTTTGGCAAAAGGGAAGAGTCTCTGGTTTAGATAGATCCTCTACCCTGTGGCTTATTCCTAGAATCAGTGCTGATAGTGGCACTGGACTGTAGGACAGCTCAGCCTTCCCAGTTGCTTCATGCTCAAAACTCTAGTTGCAGCTCTTTGTGGGTGGGTGGTGAGAAGAGGGGGTTGGGTTAGGGATTTTCCTTACCTTATGCAAGCCCAACAACACGTTAAAAGGAGCGGTTTCAGGGATCTAGTTGTTTTTAGAAGGGCTGTTGGATGTCCTCCATAATCCTGTCTCTTTAGTGTGTTCACACCACTGTTAGTTACTTGGGTATTAATTTGTTGGTATTAAAAATAACGTTGACATTCACATTTTTGTACATCTACCGTTGTGCACTTAACATAGCATTTCTGTAAGACAGATTTTTAGATGTAAAATTGCAGGGTTTATTTTTGATAGATCCTGTCACATTGTCCTCCCCAAAAGATTTTACTAATTATATTTCTTCTTGCAACAGTTGAAGACAGTTTCCCCATGTCCTTGCGAACACTAGATATTACTAATATTTAAATGTTTTATTTTAATTTTCTAAACTTTTGCTTCATTAATCATTGTGAAATACTAGCAAATACAGAAAGGTACACAGAAAAAAATATACAACCCACTGACTTGTCACAAAGTAAAAATTCTTATGGAACCACCACTTATATTTGGACATGGAACACTGGCAGCAATCAGAATTCCTGTTGTCCCATCCAACCAGACCTTTCTCCTTCCTCCCAGGGTTAACTGTTGTACTGACTTACATCCCTGTAGTTTAGTCTGTCCTGTTTTTGAACTTGACTTACGAGATCATGCTGTATATATTCATGTCTCCTGTTTGTTTTTTTTTTTTAGCTCTGTGTAATATTTATGAGATTCACCTTTGCTAGTGCACCCATTGCCACATTTCTATTTACTTTATTGCCACATTTCTATTTACTTTAGAGTGATCCATGAATGGATATATAGTAAGTCCTTTCTCAGCATCCTTGACAGGTTCGTGGAAACTGTGACTTTAAGTGAAGTGACCTATACAGCAGGTCCTCAAATAACATCATTTTGTTCAATGTTGTTTTATCATAACGATGAGAAAAGAAATGGCTTTGTTTTTATTTTTGTTTTTTTGAGACAGAGTTTCATTTCATCGTCCAGGCTGGAGTGCACTGGCACGATCATGGCTCACTGCAGCCTTGACCTCCTGAGCTCAGGTAGGTGATCCTCCCACCTCAGCCTCACAGGTAGCTGGGAAGCACAGGCATGTGTCACCACACCTGGCTAATTTCTTCCTTTTTTTTTTTTGGAGATGGAGTCTTGCTCTGTCACCCAGGCTGGAGTGCAGTGGTGCGATCTTGGCTCACTGCAACCTCCGCCTCCCGGGTTCAAGTAATACTCAGCCTCCTGAGTAGCTAGGATTACAGGCACCTGCTAATTTTTGTATTTTTTAGTAGAGATGGGGTTTCACCATGTTGGCCAGGCTGGTCTGGAACTCCTGACCTCGTGATCCACCCACCTGAGCCTCCCAAAGTGCTGGATTACAGGTGTGAACCACTGTGCCTGGCATGCCTGGCTAATTTCTTAAATGTTTTGTAGAGATGCAGTCTTATTATGTTGCTCAGGCTGGTCTCGATCTCCTGGGCTCAAGCAGTCCTCCCACCTGGTGTCCCAAAGTGTTGGGATTACAGGCGTGAGCCACTGTGCCTGGCCTAGTTTTGTTATACATTGTTTGGCTTCAAGTCACAGTTTCCCAAGAACCCAGTGACAACATTAAGTGAGGACTTAGTGTACTACAATTTATCTGTTCTGCTGTTTTATGAACATTTGGGTTGTTCCTAGTTTTTGGCGGTTATGAATATTCTTGTACAGATTTTGTGTACATGTGCACACATTTCTCTTGGATATATCCCTAGGAGTGGGATTTCTGGGCCACAGGGATGAGTATACTTAGTTTCAGTAGCTACTGTAAAACAGTTTTACCTGATTATGTTCCCTGCAACCGGTTAGGAGTCACCTGTGCTCCACACCATCTCTTACACTTAGTTGTGGGTCTTCTGAATTTCACCCATTCTGGTGTGTGTGTAGTGGTATCTTGTGATGAGATTAAGTACCTTCTCATATGTTTACTGGATTTTTCCTTTTGTGATCTATTTAAGTCACAATTTAAGTCTCTTGCTCATTTTTTTTGGTAGAGTTGTCTTTTTCTTATTGATTTGAAGGCATTCTTTGTATATTCTGGATAGAAGCCCTTTGTCAATTTTGTGTCCAGTAGGTATCTTTTCCCACTATGTAGCCTATGTAGTTTGTCTTTTGACTTTTTTTTTTTTTTTTGAGACGGAGTCTCGCTCTGTCGCCCAGGCTGGAGTGCAGTGGCGCGATCTTGGCTCACTGCAAGCTCCGTCTCCCGGGTTCACACCATTCTCCTGCCTCAGCCTCCCGAGTAGCTGGGATTACAGGCACCCGCCACCATGCCTGGCTAATTTTTTGTATTTTTAGTAGAGACGGGGTTTCACCATGTTAGCCAGGATGGTCTCGATCTCCTGACCTTGTGATCCGCTTGCCTCGGCCTCCCAAAGTGCTGCGATTACAGGTGTGAGTCATTGTGCCTGGCCCGTCTTTTGATTCTTAATGGAGTCCTTATAAGAACGGTTCATAATGTTAAGGTAGCCTAATTTACCAGTCTTTTTCCCTTTTAAGAAGTCTTTCTTTGCCTTAAGGTCCTGAAGATATTTTCCTGCCATATCTTTAGAAAATTTATTGTTTTGTCTTTCACATTTTGTTGGGTGACTGTCTGAAACTGATTTTTGAAATGGCAGGAGGTGGGGTTTTATTTTCTTTTCAAATGGAATTATCCTGTCGTCACAGAAATTGTGAACACTACAGAGTCATAACAAGCTTTGATATCTGACAAATCCTTCTGTCTTCTTCAAGCATATCTTGGCTGTTCTCGACCTTTTGCATATCTACATGAATTTGAGAATCACCTCACTCAGTTCTGCAGGAAAAGCACAAACAAAACTGCTATCCCACAAAAATTAAAAACTAAAAAAAAAGCCACTGGGATTTTCATGGTGTAGCGTTAAAATGATGAGTGTTGAAATCTATACAATACTGAGTCTTCCAACATGGACATTTAAACTTTTATATATATATATATTATTCTGATAAAAATGTTTTATGGTTCTCTTCAGAGAGGTCTTATATTAATTTCACGATATTTGATGGTTTTAGATGTAAATGGCATCTTTAAAAAGATCTTACTTTAAAAGTGTTTGATTATGCAGTAATGTGATTGGTTTTTCTATTTTGACTTTGCATACATCAACTTTGCTCACTTGTATTAATCCTAACGATTATAGTTTCTTTTGGATTTTCTTTATATGTAATCGTAGTCTGTGAATTTGATGTTTTCCCTTTCCTTCCCAATCCTTATACCTTTCACTTCTTTATTTTACTTCACTTTATGTAGTTAATTTGTGATAGTATGAATTTTAGTCCTGTTCCAAATCTCAAAAGCATTTTACCATCAAGTAAATTGTTTAATGTAGGTTTTTTTTTCCTTAAGTGGCTGACATCAGATTAAAGAAGTTTGTTCCCTTCTTTTCCTGATTTATTAAGAGGATTTTTTAAAATCAGGAGCAGATGTTGAACTTTATCAATGCCTTTTCTATTTCTATTGAGATGATCATATGACCAAAATATTTTCTGTTAACGTGGTTAATTATGCAATTTGTTGTGATGTGTTCTTTTTCTGTATGATGATAATTGGGTTTGCTAATATTTTGTTTAGGGATTTTGGCAGATGTTTATGAGTGATAAGAACTGTGCTTTCTCTTTTTGTAATGTCTGTGTTCAGCCTTGGTGTCGAGGCCTAGACCTGCCCGTAAAACACTTAAAAGATGGTCTGTTTACTCTTTCTCTGTTGCCTGGAAGAGGTGGATTAACAACGGCTGGGTTCAGTGGCTCACACCTGTAATCCCAACACTTTGGGAGGCCAAGGTGGGAGGATCACTTGAGCTCAGGAGTTCAAGACCAGCCTGGGCAACATAGCGAGACCTCGTCTCTAATAAAAGTAATTAAAAATCAGCCGAGTATGGTGGTGCATACCTGTAGTCTTACCTGCCTGAGAGACTGAGATGGAAGGATTACTTGAGCCCTGCAGGTCGAGGCTGTAAGTGAGCTGTGATGGTACCACTGTGCTCCAGCCTGGGCAACAGAACGAGACCCTGTCTCAAAAAAAAAAAAAAAAAAAAAAAAGGAATGGTATTATTTCTGACTTAAATGCTTTGTAGAATCAGCTGTGAAATCAGCTAGGCCCCATAGTTGTCTTTGTAGGAAAGTTTCAAATTTTAGTAAGTTGTATTTTTCTAGAAATTTTTTGTTTTATCTATGTTTTCAGAATTTTGGCATATGATGTTGTTGGGTAATGTTCTTTTATTATCTTTTCATGTTTATAGGATTTGAAGTATGCTCTTTTATTCCAGATGTCTGATATTTGATTTCTCTCCCTCTCTGCTACTGTCTGAATGTTTTACCCTCCCACCCCCCCAAATTTATATGTTGAAATCCCAACTCCCAAGGTGATGGTGTTAGGAGGTGGGGCCTCTGGGAGGTGATTAGGTCATGAGGGTAGAGCCCTCATGATTTGAATTCAGGCCCTTATACAAGAAACCCCAGAGCGCAAGCCAGCCCCTTTCACCATGTGAAGTGACAGTGAAAAGAGGGCTGTGGATAAGGAAGTCGGCTCTCGCCAGATAGCAGATCTGCTGGCGCCCTGGTCTTGGACATCCCAGCCTCTAGAACTGTGAGAAACAAGTTTCTGTTGTTTATAAGCTACCAGTTTTGGGCATTTCGTGATAGCAGCCTGAAGGGGCTAGGACACTCCCTTAATCATTCCCACCAAGAGTTTAGTTTCCTAAGAATCAACTTTTGATCCATTTGTACTCTAGCTAACTGAATAGAGTGTAAGGATAGGAGCTGCTCATTTCCATCTGCTGTGAAAGGTTTTCTCAGGCCCCAAGAATAGTGTGTGGGCCTGAGCTAAATCCGTGCTTTGAGGTTCTCCCCACTCCCTCCCATCCAGTCCTGCCCTTTGGAAAGTGCAGCTTGGATGTTTTCGAACGCCAGATCCTCCAGGTTATATGCAATTGAGGGGAGTGGTTAAAAGGGAGACAGGAGATGATGGTCTGTCATCAGTACAAATATTGAGGCCAGTGATGTGTGAGGCCCAATTCCTTTTCTTTTACAACTGTTTATTTTTGTGAAAGCGAGAGCTATGCCATCTAAAACAATGCAAACCATATATGAAAGTCCAAAGAAGGAAGAGGAGAGAGTGCCTCACATTCTGCTCTGTAGAGGAGACAGTTGTGAGCATTGTGGTGCCTGTCCTTCACCTTTCTCCCTGCCCGCGTCACACACATGTGCACATGTACAGCTTTACGTATGTCGACTCTGACAGTGTGGTGTGTGTTGAGCTGTCCCTGGTCAGTATGGACAGACCCACATAGCTTGGAGCATGTGTTGAAGAGTGTAAATGTCAGAGCCAGCGTACCGGGTTTGAGTCCCTGCCTTGCCATTGACAAGCAGGGCATGACAGACAAGTGATGTCTGTGTCTGTTGCTTGTCTGTAAAGTGGGACGCCGGCCGTGCTGCCCTGTTGGGCTGCTGTGAGGGTGGAGCAAGTTAACACATGCACAGCCTGTAGAAGGGTGGCCGTCTGCCGTTGTCTCTGGTGGCTGTATGATGTTCCGGAGGGAATGTCGTTCTAAGCGATGCCTTGCTGAACACCCCCTGCGCTCTCCTTGCAGGTGTCGAGTGATACTCACTTGATACTCTGAGTGTGGCCAACATGCGGGGCTCAGGTGGCTTACTGCTTTTCCTTCCAAAGGCCGACTGTGGTGACCTTGCTGAAGACAGATCATCCGTCTCAGGGTCTGGAGTCGGGGTCCCACACTGCTTGCCGTGAGAGGTCAGGGGGCGGTGCTGGCCTCTGAGCAGCCCCGTGGCACTGAGGGCTGGCCCAGGTGCTCTCACAGGGCGACCTCCTGACGCCCGTGCTCACCGTGGCCCTCGCTCCTAATCCCACCCTCAGGTTCTGAGGCAGGAAGCAGTTCCCACACTTGGCTACTGGGAAGGAAGGTTGTGTGGGGGGGCAGAGGCTTCCTGTGTGACCTGGAGCTGATCTTTCCCGCCCCTGCAGGTGCAGCAGTACCGCGTCGCCATGACTGCCAAGGACTGCTCCATCATGATTGCACTGTCTCCCTGTCTGCAGGATGCCAGGTGAGGCCCCCACTGCAAGGCATGCAGCCTGGGTCTAACGGGGTTTTATGGACAGTTGGTGAATTGTTAATAGGATAGTTGGTTTCCCCATATTTAGAGACTCCATGGCGGAGTGACATAACTTCCTTGGCCTATGTGACATCATGGGGCTTACTAACTCTCGCCCTCTAGAAGCTTGTAATTCAGTCAAAAGACAGATTTATGGAGAATAACTTAAAAGGATTGTTAGTACATTGAAAGTTACTGTTTTCTAAGAAAATACTCCCAAGAGCTCAGAAACAATGTGGACAGTGAGCTGCCCATTGCATTCCCTCAAAGAAAGCCAGCCCCTGAGATGTGTGGGTACCTGTGGCCCTTGTTCCTCGGTCTCCCACAGTGGCAGCATGGCGCACCTGCCTTTTTACCACCACAGTCATTTGAAAGCCTGTGAGGCGCGCATTCATTCTGCTTCCTCTTCTGAATAACCAGCCTATGTGCCGCCCCTCTCCCTAATGTCACTAGTTTTGTCCAGTCCCCTCTGTTTCTGGGAATTCGGGATGAAACTGATAATCTCATAGTCGTTAGACAGCATCTCCATCACCGATCTTCAGGGGTGCTAAACCCTGCACCCAGTATTTGCGGAATGTTCCACATTCTTCTAACATGTGTTCCTGGGTCAAGATGACCTTGGTTGCTGGCTGCCAGCCACTCACTTTCCCGGTGCTTTTGAACTAAACAGTTCCCAGGATTCCTGTTCCCTGGCAGGCACAGAATTGTTTACTTTCCAATATGAAATACTGAGGAACATTATAGGGCTAACTGAAGTAGAAAAAAGGTTGTTCTATTTAGTTGAAAACTCCTGTTATCCCCTAAGGAAATACCTACAGGGCTAAGTTATGAGGAATTCCTTAACTGGATTAAGCTGGTGGTGTTCGATGAGAGAAAACCCACGAAGATACCACTGTTCAGCAGCCCCCCGACCAAGGATGCAGCTGGGCAATGGAAATGTGCTTGGATGCAGGGTGCCCTTAGGTGGGCTGTGAAAGGCCGCTGAAGGACAGACATGTTACTCACCTCGTCTAGCACCTGGGAATCTCTTAGTGCCTGGTCAGTGATGTCAAATTGGAAAGCCAGCATGCGGGGAAAGCTGAAGGCCCGGGTCCTTACGACCAGCTGCTCAGCAGAAACGACACTAGGAGGGGAGGGGAGGGCATGTCCTGAAGGCACTGAGCCATGTGGCTTCTCAGACCTAGGGTGTAGGCACTGGAACCATCCTGCACAAAGCACTCTAGCCAGGCCTTTCTCAACAAAAGGAGAGGATCTCAGAGAAGGCTTCTCCTCCGAGAACATGGCGTGTGGGGCTGGGCCTGCTTCCAGGAAGGTGTGCGCAGTGGCCGCACCTGTGAAGTTCCAGTAACTGTGGTGCTCTAGAGGCCTAGGGACAAACTAAGGCTGGGATTTATCATGAGTCATCTTGGCGTCTTGAGATACCTGGTAGACCTGAGACTAAATTTAGATCCCTAGACTAATTTGCAGCTCACAGATAGATTGACCACATTTAAACTTCTTACACCCCCTAAAATAAAGGCTTCTCCAGCTCTGCACTACTGTTTCTGCCCTGTCATAAAGGAAAATGTCTCAAGTTGGATCTGCCTTCCTGTCGCTGCAGAGCTTTGTCCCTTTGGGAATTTGGAACTGTGGAGAGAGCTGCCACAGCTTCCCGGCCTAAACCCTGATGCTCCTCTCGACCTCCCATTTGAAACACAGTGTGCGGCCTTGGCTTCTCCACCCCGATCCCCAGCACCCTTGGAGGCTGCTGGTCCCCCGGTAACCCCCAGCGGGTCAGTGTCCTGGAGAACGGCCTTCCAGGCAAGGGCTGCCCCCCTGCAGCCAGAAGGCCACCTGAGCCTCATTCTCCAAGGCTGCTAGAGGGCACACTTGTGGCACAAGGGACAGGTGTGTCCCTGGGGCCTCTTGCCCAGTCTTGGCCTCCGGGGTACTGAGGGGGAAGAAGAGCATTTCTGTGTCAGGAGCTGGTGCCCGCTGGTCACTGCCATTGGTTCCCATGGAGCTAGCTTGTGGTTGACCCAGGTAGTCAGACCCTCCCCGGGAGCTGCCTGGAACATCCTTCCTGTCTTTACACCCATGGTCTTGTCAGGTGCTGCTTCTGAGAAATTGGGGTGTCCTTTAAAATACGTAACCCTAGTCATGGGCTGGGGATGTGACTGTTCCAGCCCAGGTGCACCCAGCTTGGGTCTCAGGCCTCAGAACTGAGCAGTACCTTGGGCTTCTGAGGTTCTCCCAATAAAATGTGGCCCCTTGGGATGAGCTGCAGGCACACTCCAGCTTCTGGAGCGAGACTCATGACCTTAATTTGTAAATGAGTTATTTGCTGTTTACTCTTCAGATGAGAATAGTTACTTACCCCAGCAGCTTAGTCAGGGATTTGTTTTTTCTACAAACAGGATTCTGGGGCAGGGCAGCAGTGAGCGCCAAGGCCATGGTGAGCAGCGTCAGAGCAGGGACGTGCTGATCAGTATTTCCTCTCCTCGGCAGGAGCTTTTGAAGTTGGGGTTTGGCTTGTTGATTTCTAAATCTCAAAGCGTAGTAAACATTGGGACACCAGAACCCAGGATACTTCTCTTGGACTGAACTGAGCTTAGGTCACTTGTTTAGCCAGTGTCTTGAGTGCTGTGCGCTGAGTGCCCGGAGACGAAAAGCGGGACACACAGCAGTCAGAGCTCAGGACTCGGAGTAATCCTAAATGTGTTTTTCAGGGCAAATAATTAATCACATCTTGTTATAAGCACACGACTTCTGAGGTTAAAACCACAAAACTAAGCCCTGAGAAGCAAAATACAAAGGACTGAAGATAAAATTTGAGAATAAAATGAGAAACCAGATCTCTTCAAATGTGAACCAAAGGAGCTTGCGTTTCTCAGCAGACAGGAGAGGCAAAGAAGAAGGCTTGTCGACATTCCATCCATTTGGCGCTGGAATGGCCAGATCTACTTTTTACTTTTTGTTGGGTTTTGTAATACTTGGCTCATGATAAAGTGATTTTTCAGCGTTCGTTTATACCACTGGGCTGGGGGAACATCGCTCACATGTTCCACATAATTACTTTTCCATCTTTCAGTCCTTTAACCCTCTCTCGCCTGGTATGGTGGGGTGCACTGGCCTGAGGAAGCTTTGCACGCTGGTGCACACAGCCGGCACAGACAGCTGTCACACGCACAGATCACAGGTGCACAGAACGAGTGCTCTTTGTGAGCTGGGGTGTGAGGCCATTCACTTCTCTTTTAAAAGAGATTGATTTATCTAACTTTGCAGAAGTCAAAGAAAAAACATAAAAACATACTAGTTGAAAGAAGAAAGGGAGAGAGAACGGGAGGGAGGGAAATGAATGGGGGGCTTGTGTATCCTGAAATGGTACTTTTTACTTGCAGCTCTGATCAAAGGCCTGTCGTCCCTTCATCGAGGTCCAGGTTTGCCTTTTCCGTGTCTGTGCTGGACCTTGACCTCAAGCCCTACGAGAGCATTCCCCATCAGTATAAACTGGACGGCAAGATCGTCAACTATTATTCAAAGACTGTACGTGCCAAAGACAACGCCGTGATGTCGACTCGGTTCAAGGAAAGCGAAGATTGCACATTAGTTCTCCACAAGGTCTAACTCTTTCCCTGCAGTGTCTTTGAAACTTGAACATAATGTGAAGGCTGAATGATAGAGATATTTTCTGTTGTGTTGGGTGACCTTTGGTTGTGAATGTTTTTGCTTTTAACCCCTTTTGAGGTGGGATTGCCTCTTGGAGACATGGAATTGAAGAGCACTAGAAACAACTTCCTGGACAAGGAATGTAGGAAGTGAGTGCTGTGTCCCAGGAAGCTGCTCACACTCTTAAAATGGAAGTGTCCGTTAAGCCCTGGGAAGACGTTCTGGATAGTTCTTCTTTCCCAACCAGGGCTCATGTCTGATTCTCTAATGCGAAAAGCCTTATTCTAAGACCCAAGGTTTGGATCTGCTACCACCAGACTCCTAACATAGAAAACTTGAATTGTCACATACATTTTACAGTTTGGACTTTTAAGAAAACATGGATACTACTGGAACTTCCCCCAGCTGAGTTACATGGTCACTTTTTCAGTGCAAGCCACATATCAACACAGGTTTTTAGGTGGTTCCCTGCTGCACAGCGTGACCTCGTGGTCGCGCAGATGCCGATTCTGAGCAGTGTAGACTCAGGGTCCCTGTGGAGGTGCTGAAGCCCACAGTTCCACACAGGGCAGCAGGGAGCGCAAGGCTCAGGTCAGGATGGACACCACTCATGCGAGCATTGACCTTTTTTTTTTTGCTTTACAATTTAATCTTTCACATGAGGGGGAGATGAGCTGTTCTTTCCCACTAAAAATTGCTGCTGTAGAAGTTGGAGGTGGAGCTGTGACTGGCTGAGCTGCTGTGGCCGGGCTGGGCAGTGTGCCCCAACAGCTCAGTGCTTTCCTGACACTCCAGTGTCTGGGGTGGTTGAGGAGCGAGTTCTCTCTTCCTCCCAGACCAAGTTCCTCCCTCGGGTTTGCCTTGAGACGTGTTGCGTTTTTGGGCCCCGTGGCCTCTCCCTGTTAGGCTGCCACAGGCCCTGCTTCTGGAAGGTGAACAGCTCCTGGCTGCTGCCGAGAGGGTTCTCGTTGGGGTCACCAAAGTGTGCCCGGCTGCTATGAAAAACGTTGGGAATCTTGGTTTCAGTTTTTTATTCTATGCTAGGTTGTACAGACTTATTTATATCATCGTTTTGAGGGACTAATGGAGGCTTATTGTAACATATAATATTAGTGAAACCATGGAATTATATGAAAATGATACATGAGAAATAAGGAAACTATTTTGCTGATTGTAAATTTTTGTGGGAAATTTTGTGATAACTTGAGAATTATACTTGTTTGAATCAAGGCAACTCTTCTAGAATTTATTGTTCAATTCTGTCATATTTACTTCTAATTCTACTCTCAGAGGTGCAAAAAGATACTTATCTAACTGGACACTTTTACTGTTTTCTTCTCACTTCCAATGACACCGTCTCATACACACGGGTCCTGTGTGCTGGGATGGGGGCTTTGGTGAAGTGCACGGAGCTCACGGACAAGCCGCAGGCTCTGGGAAGCGTGGAGGTAGTGGCCGTTGAGTACTGTCTTGACCCAAGGGAGTTCACTGTTGCTGGGCTGGGGCTGGGGCAGCCTGGTTTGGGATGATTTTGCCCATTGTCACGGTGTGTGGAGGATGCTGGGTCCTGGGTTCAAGTGCACATGTGAGGGAACCCCAGTCCGTGGGAAGGTGGGCTGGGCTCCCTAGGTCCTTCAGGGCTGCAAGAGTTATTGCCTAGCACAGGGCCCAGACAGGGCTGGACTAGACACGATGAAAACAGCCTGTATTTGAGGGAGAAGAGAAAACAGATGGAGACCCCCACTCTGTCTGGTCTTGGCTCCCACCAGCCCGGGCTGTGAGGAGCCCCTGAGCCGCGGGTGCCACTGCTGTGGATGCGTTTCTGGCCCGTCTTGGAAACTGCTGCTGCTGCGTAGTCATGACGGCCCTGACTGGTTTGAGACAACACGCGTTCACAGATCTTAACAATGCTAAATGGGCGACTGATGAGGTCACGGTTCTTAAGGCACATCCGGGACGATCGATATAGCACTTAGGCTATGCAGGGGGGTCTTTCTTTCATAAAGGACCTCATTCCTTGCGTCCCAGCCCAGGAACAGTGCTGTCTTTGCTGTCTTAGGCCATTCTTGTTATTAAGCTGACAGCTTCACTTTCTTGTGGAAGACCAAGAACAGCATGAGGACTTGCTGAGACTGCCTCACGGTGCCACCATGCGGACCGGGGGGAGGCAGGGAGTGAGGGTGTGGCTCCCCTGGGCTACTAAGGACAGTTTAAAGATGAGGCGCCATAGGCATCCGTCTCCAGAGCCCCCAGGAGGCAGGAACCAGGATAAGGGTGGCTTCTCCCAGCTGAGTAATGTGGCCACCATGTCCAAGGTGGACTCGGTGTGAGGCTGCAGTGGGTGGGGGATGGATCCTCCCCACACATCTGAGGACACACAACCACTTGGTACATTTTCTCAGATGTTAAGCTTATTTTTATAAACCACATTGTACGTGTCACTTTTATTTGGCATTTTATACTTAACTAGTTGTATTTATTTTTCATGTCATGAGAGTTTCCATATAATGTGCCATAACTGCATAGACAGCACGTCTTCAGGGTGTGGTTTCTAAGCAGAAAATAGCAAATGTTTATATTGAATAAAATTGCATGTTCCTCCACGCAGCATCTTCATCCTCCACGTTCACTGTTTTGGAACTAGTTGTTCTCCTCTGCACAAAGCGATTTTATCAGGCTTTCCAGAGCAGCTTCGATTCCAAGCAGTCCTACCAGGGTTCGGAAGCTGAGAGGAGCAGTTTCTATGGCTCTGTTCTTGTCCAGCTCCAGGGCTATAAAGAAAACATTAAACCGGGTAAGAAACTTCAAGGTGGCAGCTTTTGGTCTTTTGTTTTCTGCTGGCATGGACCTCACCAAGACCCCGCACTCCTCCCGACTAGCTGCATGGGATGGGACATGCTAGTGGCGGGCGAGGAGATGGAGTGAGTGGAGGCCTCACCTACGGCTGGAGGCATATTCCCTGTGCATTCAGCCTGGGAGGGCCTTGGGGCAGCAATCCCTTTTCATGTTCTTTTTGAGTGATTATTGATAAAAATATTTAAAAATTGATAGACAAAGTACATTAATGAGATTTCCAATTTTTGATTCTTGCCCTTTGAAACCCAGAGGAAACAGGCAGGCGGCTTTGCTGGGCATGTTGAGAAGTCACCTAGAGCAGCCACACCCAGGGCCCTACCTCGCTGTGGGACTTTGGTGAGAAGATCCAGCTTTGGAAAAACCTTCCCATCTTCATCTATTTGTATCCTCCAAACAATGACTAATTCAAACCTGAAAAAGCAGTAAAACATGTCGTTATGTGCTTTTTGAAATCTGGCGAAAAGATTAGCAACCATGAGTCGCACCTGGTCTCCATTTCCCCATGCTGGGCTCCCCTGCTAGAAACCCCAATCCACAGCCAAGAAGAGGCACAGTCAGTAGCACAGGCAAATGGAACCAGGATCACAGGAAGGTGCTGCTCTGTCCCCACTGCATTGGCAAACATTAGTAGGCCAATACCAGCGAAGTACAGAACATGGAGCAACAGAAACTTCAAAATTACTGGTGGGAGCAGACATGGACAAGCCACTTTGGAAATAATCTGGCACTGACAGTAAGCTGAACATGCATCCATGCATGACACAGGAATTTCATTTCTAGGCAGTTGAGCCCAGGAGAAGCTTATGTACTGTGTGCCAGGAGGTGTGAGCCAGAACAAAGAAGCCACGTGCTCCAGAGCTGAAGAGCGCAGCAAGACGCTGTGTATGATCCCCTCCGGGAGGATGAGCAGTGAAACTGCACTGCAGCTGCTCATGACCCTGGAGGAGGTGAACGGTGACAAAGGCAAGTCCCAGAAGCCTGCATAAGGACCACATGATTTTAAAGCTTGGAAACCAGTTGAGTTGAGGCATTCACACACAGGTCATAAAAGCACACCCAGATGGATACATGTCCACACATGCACAGCCAAGGGAAGAGGATGGAGAACACGGCACGGGCCAGGGTGGCGCCGGGGCTGGTGGAGGGATCAGCTGTGCTATCAGGGCACTAAGCCTGTCCTGTTTCTTCTCATTGCTTTGGGGTTTTCCACTCACCCCTGGCTTCCTCCCTTCGATTTCTGAAGTAACAGCAGATCCACAAGCATCTCCACTTTCTCCCAGCCTCCCTTCCTTGACCCCATAAGTCCTGGGGTGGGCCCCAGGACTGGCGTTTTCCCCCTGCGGCCCAGCACATCCTCCAGAGCTCCAGCTCCCCGCACCCCCATACTGGGCATATCTGCTGGGACCACTGATTCCTCCAACCGACGACCTTTAGTTCTTGGTTAGGTAGTTTACTACTTAGAATCCTACTTAGGTGGTCTCCTACTTGGAATCCTTGTTTGAACAGGAAATGGGAGGCCCCATGGCCTGTGCAGGCTCACCCTGGCCGGCTGGCGCTGCGGATCCCCATGGAGCAGGAGGAGGGCCCCTCCGAGAGGTACACGGCATCTGGGTACTTTTCCTGCATGGGGAGAAGAAACGGGTAGACAGATCCACTGGTGGGGAGAAAGGGGCCATGGGAGGGGCACGGGGCACCGTTCCAGGTGTCTGGCGAAAATCAGGGTCCGAGTGTTTGCGCAGCATCCATGGGTGCCAACCGCCCCTCTTGCCCTTGCTGTCACACACGTCCGCCCCACTGTAGGTCTCTCCACAGCCTCCAGGCTCCCATGACTGCTGCTTCCCCATCATGAACATTGTACATAACCTCCCTACAGCTGTATTCTCATTTCACAGGTTTCCCCACACCCTTTCCATCTGGGATGGCTCCTTGGTCTGCCCTTGTCTGTCACAACCCAGACGGTCTGGAGAGGACTGGTCAGAGGATTCCCCAAGCGGATGCGTCAGGCTCTTTGCTGGAAAGCAGCTGTTTTCTCACGGTTTTAGCATCTGACCTGAAAAGCCCTTTGAGCTGAGGCTCCGTGAGGGCTGTGGCCGAGCCTGGACGCCCCTCGCCTGTCCGTCCTCAGGACTCACCCCAGTGGTGTCCAGCCCACACACCGTCCTGGGCATGGGCAGGAGCCCACCCTGGTATCCTCACTGTGCCCAGTGGTGGTGCGGCTCCCACTGCAGTAAGGGAAAGGGCCTACCTTGGTGAAAGTCAGCTTCATGATGAGACGGCATTTTATGGTCAAAAGCCTCCTCCCAAAAGCAGGGAAATCAAGTGGAATCTCACAGATTTCTAGGCTTGCGGTTCTGGGAGAGTCTGGTTTCCCCCATGCGCTATGAAAATTCTGGACACGTCTGCTGTTTCTGTTACAGCAGGACCTGGTAGCCTCTAGCTATCCCAGAACCGACCCGCGAATTTAGATCATCAAACCACAACACAGTTTGCTTACTGGAACCTGAACAGATGATACATATTCAAAACTGATAAGAGTAATGGTGGCCCTGTTCTCTCAGTTCTTAAAAACTTGTCTTTTTGGGCCAGGTGCAGTGGCTCATGCCTGTAATCCCAGCACTTTAGGAGGCCGAGGTGGGTGGATCACGAGGTCAAGAGATTGAGACCATCCTGGCCAACACAGTGAAACCCTGTCTCTAGTAAAAATACAAAAAGTAGCCGGGCCTGGCGGCACGTGCCAGTAGTCCCAGCCACTCAGGAGGCTGAGGCAGAAGAATCGCTTAAACCTGTGAGGCAGAGGTTGCAGTGAGCTGAGATCGCACCACTGCACTCCAGCCTGGGCGACAGAGCAAGACTCCGTCTCAAAACAAACAAACAAACAAACACTTGTGTTTTTGGCTGGGTGCGGTGGGTGGCTCACGCCTGTAATCTCAGCATTTTGGGTAGGCCAAGGAGGGCAGACCACCTGAGGTCAGGAGTTCAAGACCAGCCTGGCAAACATGGTGAAAGCCCGTCTCTACTAAAAAAAATTAGCTGGGCGTGGTGGTGGGTGCCTGTAATCCCAGCTACTCGGGAGGCTGAGGCAGGAGAACCCCTTGAACCCAGGAGGCGGAGGCTGCAGTGAGCCGAGATCGTGCCACTGCACTCCATCCAGCCTGGGCGACAAGAGTGAAACTCCATCTCAAAAACAAAAACACACACACACAAAAATGTCTTTTTGTCTGCTCTTGTGAGAACAGATTGCAGGGTCAGGGGTGACAGGAGACTTTCACGGTAGGCTCCGCCTGAGATGTCGAGCTCCTAGGGCTAGTCTCTGAGAGACGTGCTTTCCTTTCTGTCCTCTCACAGCGACTGATATAGAAGCCTGGGGGTGCTGCTTAAGTCTCATGCAAGCCCTGCCATGATTAAAAAGCACTGTGGCCTCCCCAGGCCTTAGGGAAGGATAGTGAGGGGACGTTTTCCCTGAGAAGCATCTGGCCTGACAGCTAGTCAGAGGACACAAGGCAAGGGAGCAGGCTGGAACTGCAGTGACAGGGCCTTCCTGCTGCTCCAGAGACTTGCCGGATTGAACCAGATCAGCTCTGCTGAATGAGGTTGTGTGGGGACAATGGCATGACAAAGCTTTTAAAGGAAGCAGCCCCTGCATCGCTGAGCTCTTGCCAGTGTGGGAGGCCCTCACCCTGTGCATGTGGGCCCAGCATGGCAAGGGTGCATCGCAGCACCAGCTGCACCTGCCAGAGGCTGAGAGGGGCCTGGCGGAAGCTTACAATTACTAACTTCAGCACAACAGTTTCCATAAGAAAATGTATACCTAAGTGATTTAAGTGGAAAGTGTTGGTTGATTTTTAAGCCGCAGGCTCTTCCAAATTAATCACAACTGCATGAGGACCGTAAGGGAGAGCCTGTGAACGTGGCAGCTCAGCTTCCAGGCTGGCTCAGCGGCAGCACTTGGGACTCATTGGGACGGCTGGGGCCTGGGCCAGCTCCAACGTGGGGCCCGAGGTTCAGCCTCCAAGCACAAGGGAGCAGATGGAGCAGCTCTCTGCCTCCCTGGGCCTCTCCTCACCTCTCCTTGTGAGCAAAAAGGGGTTTAAATTAGATGCTTTCAGTAAAAAAAGTGTACCTTACTCCCTTTAGTTTGTAAAATAAAGTCAAAGGTAGAAACGCTGACATTAGGAAGAGGTCAGGCATTCAGTGCATGTTTCTGGAGGACTTTTGTGGGACTGTGTGCAAAGGTTCTTTTGTGGAAGTTAATAATGCTCCATTCTTTTAGCCAAGGTCACGGTCACTGATAACTTGAAATAGAAAGGATGGGTCTCATTGGCACACATGTACAGGTGGGGAGAGAAGATGGAAAAGCTGTGAACAGGGGTACGTTAGTTATATACAATACAACTCAAGACAGAGTGGGCTTGAGATCATTAGGCCTACGGTCAGCACATCTCAACAGCAGTCGAGTTTTATAAATGACTGTATTTGACGTGGATAAAAGATGACCAAATTGGCAAGAAAGAGTTAAGACAAACATGCTCTGATGAGGAAGAGGTATGTACCGTATATTTTCGAATGCTTTCCATGACAAATAGTTACACACACAAAAAAAGTGAATTGAAAAATATCAAGCCTTATCTGGAAAGCTCCTTAGATGTGTCACATTTAAAATCGAGGCCAAGAGAAGGACGGCACCTGGCTGAGCCCCCGTGGGACATTCTTGGACCCGTGGCTCTCCCTAGTGCACCTTAGGGACCTGCACACCCCTGAGACTTCTGGCTTAAGGAAAGTGAACGAGATGCCTGTGCTTCCATGGATATTGTCAGGAAGGTGGTGATATAGGGGTGGCTGTTGGGAGGGGACCTCGCTGAGCACACTAACTGGTTGGCAGGCACTGGCACTTCCCCTCTGGAGCCCCCGCCTTCCACAGGAAAGCTCGTCTTAAGCTAGAAATGCTGAGGCAGTGATTCAAGTGGGTGTTTGTTCAGCTGGTTGCCATATGTGGGGAGTCTGCATTTGAGAGCTCTCCTGGTGTTTATGATAGAAAGATGGCTGTAAGAATGTTGGCAATTTGATATCCAGCCCCAGTTTTACACCTGAGACCCACTGTGCTGTTGTAATAGCTGCTGGATGCTAGTCCAAAGGGAATAGAATTTTTAGCAGAGCTTTACAGAAAACCAACCTTGTATTATATTTCAGTGCAATACCAAAGAGGAATGCTATGTCTCCCACTTAAATAAATGGGAAACCTTGAATCCTGAGTTTAAATCTACCCTTGGGTGTCCACAGATACGTTAACTCATCTTGACTAATATTTTCCCAAAAATTATGTCTGGCCGATTCAGTGACTTTTAAAGAATTGAGATAAATTCATATAAATTATATGAGACATAATTCCTTTAAAGTGTATAATTCAATGGGTACTAGTATATTCACAAGGTGGTGCAACCATCACCACTTTCTAATTCCACAACATTTCATCACCCCCTAAATGTACCCTTTAGCTATTGCCCCTAGTCCCCTTAACACCCACCCTCCCAGTACAGCCATAAGCAACCACCAGGCTACTTTCTGTCTTGCTTTCATTTGTATTTTAGTAACATTTTCTGTTTTGAAAGACACTCTGGTCTATTGAGAGATGACATCAGTGAGGTTACACCGTGGCATAAAATGCTGGCAAAACTCACACTAGACTCCGCAGTAACTGGCACTGGGCCAATTGGATATTCACATGATAAAAAAAACAAACTTCAATGCTTACTGCACACCAAATACAAAAATTTACTCTAATGAATCATAGAAATGTAAGTGCTAAAACTATAAAACTTCTCTATTCAAGACATTTCATACAAATGGAATTACATATGGTCTTTTATGTACCACATTTTCTTTATCCAATGATCAACTAACAGACTTTTGGGTGGTTTTTACTTTTTGGCTATTTGATTTTTTAAAAAATTATTATTATTATTGTTATTATTTTGAGACAGAGTCTTGCTCTGTCGCCCAGGCTGGAGTGCAGTGGTGCAATCTTGGCTCACTGTAGCCTCTGCCTCCTGGATTCAAGCGATTCGCCTGCCTCAGCTTCCTGAGTAGCTGGGACTATAGGCACCTCCTGGGTTCAAGCGATTCTCCTGCCTCAGTCTCCTCAGTAGCTGGGACTACAGACGCGTGCCACCACACCTGGCTAATTTTTGTATTTTTAGTAGAGATGGGGTTTCACCATGTTGGCCAAGATGGTCTTGATCTCCTGACCTCATGATCTGCCCGCCTTGGCCTCCCAAAGTGTTGGGATTACAGGCGTGAGCCACTGTGCCTTGCCCTTTTTGGCTTTTTGAAATAATGCTCATAGCATTACTGTTTATAACATTTGTGTATAAGTTTTGCACATACATATTTTCATTTCCCTTGGTTATATATCTAGGAGCGGGATTTCTGGGTCATATAATAACTCTCCAACCATTGGGGAGTTGCCAAACTGTTTCACAGTGGCTGCACTGTTTTTATAATTCCATCAGCAGTGTACAAGAGTTCTGATTTCTCCATAGCCCCATCAACACTTTGGCCATGAGTTGGTATCTCATTGTGATTTTGATTTGCTTTTCTCTTATGTGCTTACTGGTCATTTGTATACCTTCTTTGGAGAAATGTTTATTCAGATGTTTTGCCAATTTTTATTTTTTTAAGACAGAATCTTACTCTCTCTCACAGGCTGGAGTGTGGTGGTGCATTCTTGGCTCACTGCAATCTCTACCTCCCAGGCTCAAGCAATTCTCCCACCTCAGCCTCCCAAGTAGCTGGGACTACAGGCACATGCCACCACACCTGGCTAATTTTTGTATTTTTTAATAGGGACAGGGTTTTGCCATGTTGCCCAGGCTGGTCTTGAACTCTTGGGCTCAAGGGATCTGCCTGCCTCGGCCTTCATAGTGCTGGGATTACAGGTGTGAGCCACTACGCCTGGCCCCTTTGCCTATTTTTAAATTGGGTTATCTTTTAGTTATTGAATTGTAATAGCTCTTTATATATTCTAGAACAAGTCACTTACCCAATATATGATCAAAAATATTCTCTCGGTCTGTGAGTTGTCTTTTTACTTCTTTAATGTACTTGAAGTACAAAGTTTTTCATTTTGATGAAATCCAATTTAAGTTTTTTCTTTTTGCTTTCTGCTTGTGCTTTTGGTGTCATAGCTAAGAAACCATGACCTAATTCACAGTCACAGAGATTTACATTTATGTTTAATTCTAAGAGTTTTACAGTTTTAGCTCTTAAAGTTAGGTCTTTGATCCATTTTGAGTTAATTTTTATATATGGTGTGAGGTAGGGGTCCAGCTCCATTCTTTTGTCTGTGAATATCCAGTTGTCTGAGAACCAATTGTTGAAAAGACTCCTGCTTTCCCCATTCAATCATCTTGGTTTCATTTGTATTTTAGTAACATTTTCTGTTTTGAAAGATACTCTGGTTTATAGAGAGATAACATCTGTGAGGTCACACCGTGGCATAAGATGCTGGCAAAATTTACCCTAGACTCCTCAGTAACTGGCACTGGGCCAATTGGATATCCACATGTAAAAAAAAAAAAATGAATTTCAATGCTTACTGTACACCATATACGAAAATTTACTCTAATGAATCATACATAGAAATGTAAGGGGCTGGGCGCAGTGGTTCACACCTGTAATTACGGCACTTTGGGCGGCCAAGGCAGGTGGATCACTTGAGGCCAGGAGTTCGAGACCAGCCTTGCCAACATGGTCTCATGGTGTAACCCCTTCTCTACTAAAAATATAAAAATTAGCCAGGTGTGGTGGTGTGTGCCTATAATTCCAGCTACTTGAGGGGCTGAGGCACGAGAATTGCTTGAACCTGGGAGGTGGAGGTTGCAGTGAGCCAGGATTGCACCAGTGTACTCCAGCCTGGGCAACTGAGATTCTGTTGTCTCAAAAAAAGGACACATAAGGGCTAAAACTGTAAAACTTCTGAGAGAAAACATAGGAGTAAATCTGTGTAATTCTGGGTTAGCCAAAGATTTCTTAAATAAAAATGCAGGCCGGGTGTGGTGGCTCATGCTTGTAATCCCAGCACCTTGGTAGGCTGAGGTGGGTGGATCACCTGAGGTCAGGAGTTTGAGACCAGCCTGGCCAACATAGTAAAACCCGTCTCTACTAATAATACAAAAATTAGCTGGGCATAGTGTCACATGCCTTTAATCCCAGCTACTCCAAAAGCTGAGGCAGGAGAATTGCTTGAACCTGGGAGGCAGAGGTTGCAGCGAGCTGAGATCACGCTCTTGTACTCCAGCCTAGGCAACAAGAGCAAAACTCCATCTCAAAAAATAAATAAAACTAACTAAATAAAAAAGCAGTGACCATAAGAGAAAAATAAATTAGCTAATTGACAGACTGGCTTCATCATAATTAGAAACTGCTACTCTTAAAAGCCATTGTAAAGAAGAAGAAAAAGAAAAAGGCCAACCTCAGACTGAGTGAAAATATTGGCAAAAACTTGTATCCAGAATATATGAAGGACACAACTCAGTAAAAAGAAGATAAATAACCCAATTTTAAACAATGGGCAAAGGATTTAAACCAAACTAGTGACGTATCTTTTGCACATCTCTTATTTGGTTAAATGTGCAAAAGATACATCATTAGTCATTAGGGAATTGCAAATTAAAACCACACGGTGATGCCACAACATACCCATCAGAATGGCTAAAATAAAAAAGAGAACAATACTAAGTTCTGGTGAAGATGTGGAACAACTGGAACTAACATACACTGCTGCTAGGAATTGGATAAGTTTGGCAGCTTCTTACCACATTGAACACACTTACTACGTGATCCAGCAATCCCTCTCCTACATATTTACCCAAGAGAAAGGAAAACATGTCCATACAAAAAAACTGCATGCAAACGATCATTAGTAAGAGCGCCAAAACTGGGAGCAGCAAGTGATTCTTTAAGAATGCACATCAGCCCCATTACCACCTGCTGGTGGTGGGGAGAAGGGCAAGGATGAAGTTCGGAGCAGGGCAGGGCCAGAACACACAGACTGGTCCCCAGAACCCCACCTGATGTCATTTGGAAAGGATCACACTGATTGCTGCATGGAGAGTGGACTGGGGAGGTGGGCAAGATGTGGGAGAAAGCAGGGGGACCATGGCTGAGTGACACTGGAGTGACGTGGATGTGCTCTGGGGGTGTGGCATCAGGGCTTGCTGGATGTGGGGTGTGGAGAGTTTCTGACCTCCAGGGCAGGGGTGCAGATGAGGTACTTTTTGTGAGGTAAGGCAGGAGAGGTGTGTCGGGGGTGATCAGAGCTGAGTGTAGGCAGGAAGGTGGGGAAGTGCACAGGGATCGCTGAGGAGGGAGTGGGCAACAGCTCCTGCAGCATCTGGTGAAAGTAGCAGAGACATGTCTGTTGGACTTGGCACTGTGGGTGTCTTGGTGAGTGTACCACCACACCCCTGCTCTCCACGCACAAGACTTCTGAGAGAAGTATGATAAACTTCAGAAAGGTTTAGAAATGCCTACAGCAGGAGCACTGGGAAGAACAATGATCTGCCCTCATTTCAGAAAGAAAACTGACAAATACAAAGGCACCTCTGTGCCAGACACTGGTCTAGGTTCTTCACACATTACCATGCGTATGATCTTATGTGTGTTAGACAATCAAACCATTACCGAGTGAACAGGTACTGCCGGGGCCCTGGGGCCTGCACAACTGCCCTGCCTGGGACAAGGGGCCTTTGTCCCACCTCAGCCCACTTAGCTGTTGATTGGCTATATGACTTTGAGAAATCCCTTTTAAACTCTCTGAGCCTCAGTCGTGTTTTTACAGTTTAATTTGAGGCTGGGTGTGGTGGCTTATGCCTGTAATCCCAGCACTTTGGGAGGCCAAGGCGAGCGGATCACGAGGTCAAGAGATCGAGACCACCCTATCCAACATGGTGAAACCCCTTCTCTACTAAAAATACAAAAATTAGCTGGGCGTGGTGGCGCCCATCTGTAATCCCAGCTACTCGGGAGGTTGAGGCAGGAGAATCACTTGAACCAGGGAGTCAGAGGTTGCAGTGAGCCGAAATTGCGCCAAAAAAAAAAAAAGTTTAATTTGAATGTAATTTTGAATTTACAGAAACAGTATACGAGGAGAATGAGAAGCTGCCGCCTGTTCACACCGCCTGTCACCTCCCTCTGTGTTGCGCCATGCTGAGACATGGTACCCCTCGCCCCTGGACACACACAGGGTTTTTCCCCAATTGAGCAGATCTCCTATGTGACCAAAACATACTTCTCCAAACCAGAACGTGCCCCTTCAGATGTCCCCAGCTGTCCCAACTGCGTCTCTCCTTCCTTGTCCCCTCAGGCCCCAGCATGGCTGGTCTTGACAGCCTGGGTGCAGCTGCTGGCACCACAGATTGCTGAATCTGGGCCTAACGCTGCATATCCATGCTGAGTTGATGCCAGGTTTGGAGCCCCATGGAAATGCTGCCTGTGTGCCTCAGACGCGGCCCCACCACTGTGCTCCATGGGATGTCCTGAGACCACTGTCCACTCCTGAGTCTGAGACCCTATGATGGCTCATGGCAACACCAACGACAGTGAGGGTCCCAAAAGGTGGCTTTCCGTTTCCATCATTCCTCCCGCATCTGTTGGCTTTCTACCAGCAGAAAGAGCTTCTCCTTTTCCCTTATTCATTTGTATCAGTATCCACTCAGTCACTTGTTTATTCCATAGGCTGTAACCTGTTTAAGATCACTATTGGTCGTGATGCTCAAGCCCCCAGGTCTGGCCAGTATGAGCTCCTGTAAACTGCTCCTGGTTCTTCTGACACAGCCCCACCATTCTTTGAGGTCTTCCTACTCTCTGGCATCATCAGCTGTTCTAGGCTCATTTTGTACTTCCCTGCCCAGCTCTAGAATCAAAGGAGCTGACAGTATTTACAAACCAGGACCTGGGCTCGTTGCTCCTGGAGCTTCATTACTTCTAGGGCCTGTCAGTGGAAAGAGCTAGGAAGGACACACTGGTGTGTGCAGGTGCATGAGCCACTTGCAGCCACTTCCACCCCTGTCTGTGCACACCCATATTCAAAACACGCAGGCACGAGCTCTCCCAGACACCTCAGTCTAGCTCTTTTGACATCTGTCAGTCGCTTTGCTGTTGGGGAGAGACTGTGTCCCTTCACCCTCAGTGTATCCCCTTGTTTGATCAGCCGATTTACAGTCTCCCAAGAGTGCCTGCTGTCCCCTCCCAGCCCACTCCTCTGTGGGCACATGGAGCGTGACATGGAGCTGACACAACGCAGTCATTTATCTGACACTGAGACTTTCCCGGGCCTAATACCAGGCCAGGCACCTCTGTCCTTTTGGTCACAGCGTGGCGTTTAAATGAGGGCTGGTACCCCCACGGGGGAGGCGAGATGGGGTTTTCAGATTCTCAAGAGCTCTAACATGGAAAGGACTGGATATTCGAGCACTTTGTATCATCACAATCATTTGAAGTAACAACTAACCGCCGGCAGCACCAGAAGCTCCCTTTGGAAATTTCCTGATTGGCACACCTAGCAGAAGAGAGTCCCTCACTGACACAGCGTCCGACTGAAATGTTAACAGAAATCCCCAGGCTACAAGGCTGGACAAAAGGTGCCTGACTTTTAAATCTTTTGATTACATACAGGATGGAAAGACTGTATCTCCAAGTCTAATTGTGTGGATTTTTAACCAGTTTTTCTAGACTCTATTTGTGTTTTTGAAGTAAATACGTCCATGTAGTGATACAAGCAGAAAGGAATGCAGTGGCTATGCTGCTGAATTGCCTCCTGTAAACCATATTAGCCTAACTTTCCTGGACGTGGTCCTGAGGCTCGGACACGCAAACACAGACCTAGCGACACACACGTCTGCCCCTAAGAGTCGTCTGGTTGGTAAAAAACAAGGGAGCACAGCAACTTGCTGGCTCAGGAGGCATCAGACCCACTTGTCTGACCCTGTGTGGGGACGGAAGTCAGAGATCAGTCGCCCTCAGTGGATGAACATGGGTGTCCAGGAAGGACCCCTCAGGGGACCTGCACCATCCACAAGACCATCCACAAAAATAACTGGGAACAGCTGAGGAGCTCTGTTAGAAGGATTGCTTGTCCACAGGGAGTTAAAAAATGTGTCCTAAATGTTGCTTAGTAAAACAAACAACCAGAAAAGCCTCTCTATTCCAAACCCATGGTGGGGCATAAACCTGGGAGAGCTGGAATGTCATTGCAGCACTTTGCCACAGGAGCAAAAACACAACCCCCACCAGAAGGGATGGCCGACCAGGGCATGACTTGCGCTGTCTTTCTGGTAGTGACTGATGCCCCAGAACCCTCGCAAGGGCTTGTGCCAAACATTCTCCATGTGCCCCAGCCCCAGTGGGGTGGCCCAGCCCTCAGCACTTACCTCATCTCCAGACCTTTGCAGAACAGACCAGCTGGGAGCCTCCATCCTCCCTTGACCCAACTTTTCTTGTTTGTACAGACTTGGGAAGAACCAGGGAAACCCAGAGTTGAAAGAGACCCACTCTACTGGAAATATATCCCAATGGCATTTTTAAAACGAAGAGCTGGGGAATTTTAATAAACAAACAGCAAATGCAAGCATGAATAATGGGCCTGTATGGACAGGAAGAGAGCCAGGGCAGGAGACAGCAAATGACAGGCCAGAAGCCAGATCCCACGCCCTTCTGTTCTTGTATGGAACCTCAAGCTAAACATGGTTGAAAAGAACTCCAAAGATTTCGTGACATGTGAAAATTACATTAAATGCAAACTTCAGACTTCAGTGTCTGTAATAAAGTTTGATTGGCACACAGCCACCCTCACTTAGGTATATACAGTCTGTGGCTGCTTTTGTGCTGAACTTAGTGACTGAGCAGACTACATGGCTGCAAAGCTTAAAACAGTTACTCCTTGGCCCTTTGCAGAAGACACGGACCAGGAAAGACCAGGGGAGGTGGGTCCCACTGGTCCCCCAGGGAAGCCTGTGGAGCTCCAGGCAGTTTGGATGTTCATGAGACACAGATAAACCAAAAGAGAGGCTGGAGGAGGCCACAGCCTAGGGGGAAAGTAATCTGACCATGTCTCGTAAATGGAGAAACATCTAGTGGGAGCTACACCATACTTTTAATAGTGCTTTCTCTTGGGAAGTGACTCTGAGAAACAGGAGGAAAGCAGATTAAAAAAACAACCACTGGGCCAGGCGCAGTGGCTCACGCCTGTAATCCCAGCACTCTGGGAGGCCGAGGCAGGTGGACCACGTCAGGTCAGGAGTTCAAGACCAGCCTGGCCAACATGGTGAAACCCCGTCTGTACTAAAAATACAAAAATTAGCCAGGCGTGGTGGTGGGAGCCTGTAGTCCCAGCTATTCAGGAGGTTGAGGTAGGAGAATCACTTGACCCTGGAAGGCAGAGGTTGCAGTGAGCCGAGATCGCACCACTGCATTCCAGCCTGGGTGACAGAGGGATACTCTGTCTCAAACAAAAACAAAAACAAAAACAAACAAAACAAAACAAAAACTACTGACCACACAATCCCTCCCGTATGGCACAGTGATAGTCTAGCCAGGGGCTGGTGTCGGACGGGGAGGTCTGTCCTGTGTGACCTTAGCCCCTAAGCCTAAGATGGACTTTTTTCTTTTTCTTTTCACCCTTTTTGTTTCCTGGGCTCCTTTCAGGGCCTGGTTTGGGCCATTTCTGTGCTTCTGAATAGTAAAATGGTTTTCAAACCCCTAGGGATGAAATTCCAACAGAAATCCCTTTATTCTCAACCATATTTCCACTTCCTTTTTTTTTTTGACACAGAGTCTTACTCTGGGTGTGGAATTCACTCCATCCCAGGCTGGAGTGCAGTGGTGCGATCTCAGTTCACTGCAACCTCCGCCTCTGGGGTTCCAGTGATTCTCCTGCCTCAGCCTCCCTAGTAGCTGGGATTACAGGTGCATACCACAATGCCTGGCTAATTTTTAGTAGAGATGGGGTTTCACTATTTTGGCCAGGCTGATCTCGAACTCCTGAGCTCAAGTGATGCACCTGCCTCGGCCTGCCAAAGTGCTGGGATTACAGGTGTGAGCCACTGCGCCTGGCCTCCTTGTAGTTTTTGCCATGTTTCATCATAGTTCATTTTAATTCTGTTAAGCTGGAAAAATTCCTCAAAAAAAAAAAAAACCCCTTCAGTTATTTGTTTTATAACTGAATATTTAAATTTCATTTATCTGTAATCTTTGTAATCTTTGCTTCTCATACAAATTTCTGTCTCAGGAGACAGGAAACAGTGTGTTCCGAGCTGGCCATGTGGACAGGCCAGTGAGATGCCCTGCCTCCTGACCTTGTTCCAACTGGACCCTTGTGCACACAGTGCAGGGTGAGACCCAGTGCTGCCTCTGCCCATGTGATGTCACATCACAACCCCAGAGAAAATGAAGACAAGTTATTTCCCCATGTAATTTCTCCCTCCTGACACATCCTCTAGTAGATTCCCACTACTCCCGATACTCTGTGGAGGGTTTTCTCACTGGAAATCACTGTCCCTTTGCTAGGGTGATTATAGAAAGCTCAGAGGAGCAAGGACTACTGTGCTGGGGTTGTGGGGATGAGGCCAACTCGCCCTCACATGCCCACCTTCTCCCCTCCTTCACTCCTTCTCAGAGGGACCCATGGCAGTGGGGGGTGAGAGCTGGCCCCTGCCCTTGGCCAGCCCAGACAGAGAGGAGCCCTGTGACTCACAAAACCCACACCCCCAAAGAACACCTCAAACCAGTTTGAAAACAAACCTTAGCACTTTTTGGGAAATCAGAATTGGTGCTGGGAGAGATCATGATGTGAACGTTTGGCCACAAACACTTTGTCTAGAAAATGGAACTAAAAGAAGGAACAAACGGATATGGGAATCCTAAAAATGAATAAAAGTTACAAATATGATTTTTCTATACTTTCCCACTTTAGAATGGAAAGGGGAAAATTACTCAAGCAAAGTCAGTAATTTATACACCTTAGAAACATGCACCCTGCAATCACTCTAAAGGCAAATGTACCCATAAAAAACTGACTTCCCATTAAGATTACTAGAGAAAACAGAGAATGCTTCAGATTGGAATGTAAGTCCTAGCAGTAGTTCTTTTTTAAGATTATCACTGAAAGTTAATCATGTAGTAATTTTAAGCTTTGAAAAGGAATTCACTTCCCTCCTAGACCACTAATGTGAAAATGTGAGCCAAGTTGGTTTATTTTAAAATAGTCAGAAATGATAATGAAGAAGCTAAATATACACACACATATCAATGTAACAGTAAATACTAGAAACTCTTTAGAGATAATTCCACAATTTTCTCTTTATGTAATTATTCATATGTAATTATAACAGATAATGAAAGTAATATTCCAGATATACACAGAAAATTTTATCATTAAGGTTTAAACTCTCATTATTTCATAAATCTCAAAGTAATGCTGTCTAAAAACATTGAAACTAATTATAATTTAAAGTTATGATCCCATTTAAACTTTTTCACAGAATAAGGGAGATTCTGAGATTGGCAGGCGTTCTTGAGGTCTTCAGGTTCTTTTTCACAAGACAAATCACTCCCACTCCTGTCCCCACCCCGTTTGGAGCCCTTCATTCTTGCAGGCCCTGTGCAGTCGACTTGCACTATAGCTCATTCAATCCTCACAGTGGTCATATGAAATCTGCGGTATATTGCTCATTTTAATGAAACTAAGGCTCAGAATAATTAACATAACTTGCTTAAGATTACACAACTAGTAAATTGATTAAAACCTAAGGGAAACAGATTCCAAAACCTAAGCTTATAAACATTCTACTAGATAACATCTCTAAGCTCAAATATAGTTGCAGTATACAGGTCAAGTTTTATCACAATCAATTTGTAGCAGCATAATTCAGTGCTGGCAACTGACTTTGATGGTAGCAGAAAAAACATTTTTGTTGGGAAACATAATTGCCCCTAAAAATTTGCTCACTTTTTCCCAATCTAGTGCTAGACATGAATATAGCCAAGTCTCAACCTTGAAGAGCCCTGATCTAGTAAAGGAAACTTCCTATGCCTCATTTTTTATTAAAAATACTTAGAGGAAGTATTATAGAGGAAGGTTATAAAAAAAAAGCCACAGTGGGGCCCAGAGTCCAGAACCTCTCTGGCTCTTATCATCGTTTTTTTTATTAATAGATGGCTGCTGTCATGGCGGGGACAGAAGTCGGGGTGTAGGAGAGCCTTTCTGCCTCCCGTATGGACTTCCGACTAACTCTTCTCCATCCTGTCCCTACTTTCCAATGTACTTGATGCCTCCCATTTCTGAGCAAATTGGAATTCTATAAAACACATCAGCCTTCCTCAAGGCTTTCTCTCGTTTTAATCAAATACCACACTTTCTAGCTTCCAATATTGTATTGCTGCCTTCTTCCCACCTATTTTTCTATTCTTTCTTTTTTTTTTTTTTTTTTTTTTTTTGACACAGGGTCTTACTATGTTGCCTAGGCTGGCCTTGAACTCCAGGGCTTGGCTTGGCCCTACCTATTTATCTGTGCATTTATGTCTTTTAAAAACTAACCGGTCTGGGCAACATAGTGAGACCCCATTTCTACAAAAATTTTTAAAAATTAGACATGGTGGTGTGTGCCTGTAGCCCTAGCTACTTGGAAGACTTAGGCAAGAGGATCACTTGAACCGAGGAATTCTGGGCTACAGTGAGCTAGAATCACACCACTGCATTCCAGCCTGGGCAACAGAGCAAGACTCTGTCTCAAAACAAACAACCAAACAAACAAAACACCTTTTTTACTGCCATTTTAGAAAGGTTTTGGCAGGGTGCCTGATAAATGCTGTATGTTTCAATCTGCCATTTTTTGAGGACTTTCATGTTTAACAATGTGTTTATTTTTCCCTCATACTTGATGAATAGTTTGGGTATAGAATTTAAAGTTTAAATAATATTTATACTATATTTTATAAATAAAGCCAATGATGTATGTTCAAACTTGTACTTCACAGTCTTACGTTAAATGCTTTCAGTTTTTTAAAAATGGAAGGAAATAGGCTGGGTGCGGTGGCTCATGCCTTCAATCCCAGCCCTTTGGGAGGCCGAGGTGGGCAGATTGCCTGAGGTCAGGAGTTTGAGACCAGCCTGGCCAACATGGTGAAACCCTGTCTCTACTAAAAATAAATTACCCAGGCATGGTGGTGCACGCCTGTCATCCCAGCTACTTGGGAGGCTGAGGCAGGAGAATCGCTTGAACCCAGGAGACGGAGGTTGCAGTGAGCCGAGATGGTGCCACTGCACTCCAGCCTGGGCGACAGAGCGAGACTCCATGAAAAAAAAAACAAAAAACAAAACAAAAACAAAAAACAAAAAACTGAGCAGACTTGGGAGTTCATGCCTGTCATCTCAGCACCTTGGGAGTGTAAGGCCGGATGATTGCTTGAGGTCAGGAGTTCAGGACCAGCTTGGGCAACAAGGTAAGATCCCCATCTCCACAAAAAATAAAAAATTAGCTGCGTGTGGTGTTGCATGCTTGTGGTCCCAGCTACATGGGAGGCTGAGGTGGGAGGATCAGTTGATCCCAGGTGGTTGAGACTGCAGTGAGCCATGTTTGTGCCAATGCACTCTAGCCTGGATGAGAGAGTGAGATCTTATCTCCAAAAAATCAATAAACAAATAAACCATGAAGTCAACACATGTTCTTAGAAAAACAGCAACATGGCTGGGCATGGTGGCTTATGCCTGTAATCCCAGCACTTTGGGAGGCCAAGGTGGGTGGATCACCTGAGGTCAGGAGTTCAAGACCAGCCTGGCCAACATAGTGAAACCCTGTCTCTACTAAAAATACAAAAAATTAGCTGCGCTTGGTGGCTTGCGCCTATAATCCCAGCTACTCGGGAGGCTGAGGCAGGAGAATTGCTTGAACCTGGGAGGCGGAGGTTGCAGTGAGCCAAGATCACGTCACTGCACTCCAGCCTGGGCAACAAGAGCTAAACTCCATCTCAAAAAAAAAAAAAAAAAAAAAGAAGAGCAACCTCTCACATCCAGGACATAGAAAAATAGGGCACAAATAACTTACATAAATGAAAACTTTTTTTAATTTTTAAAAGTTTTTAAAAAATGTTTGTAGAGATGGGGTCTTGCTATGTTGTCCAGGATGGTCTCAAACTCCTGGCCTCAAGTGATCCCTCCACCCCAGCCTCCCAAAGTGCTGGGATTACAGGTGTGAGCTACCATGCCTGGCCACAAATGAAATTTTAAGTTGAAATTTTGTATTACATCAAGAGCTGATGGTTAAGGAAAAATGAAATAAAATGAATACTAGGCAGAGATTTAAAACTTGAGGGGCGATGAAAAGTCTCAGCAAAGTAGTCCAAAGGACAATGATAATTTATTCCATTTGCATAGTAGTTCTAGTGTTGAAAGATCTTTTAACACCTCATAACACCTTTATGAGGCAGAGATATAAAATTATGCCCATCTTTTAAAATAAGAAAAACAAGGCTCAGACACGCCGTGCTGTACCAGTGGCCCAGAGCCAGAAGTGGAAGCAGCAGCTGGGCCACCTGCTCACGGGGCCACCTACTCAAGGTGCCTTTCTCAAGAAAATTTTAGGTTCCCCGTGATCCCACTGATAAGAATGGAGGGAGACCAGAGGTGGGCTGACCCTAAAACTAATAAAGCTGAAGCTCCAGGAGCCTCCCTGCACAGGCTCCTCCAAGACCCTCACCTGGTTTTTTCTTAAACTACTTTTTAAAACAGTTTACATTGACAGGAAAATTGCAAAGACAATACAGAGTCCTTACATATCCCACACCCAGTTTCCCCTGTTATTCCTCTGTTATTAGCATCTTCCATTAGTGTGGGATGTTTGTTATAATTAATGAACCAAGATTGCTGCATCACTACTATAACTAAAGTCCAAATTTCATTCAGATTTCCTCAGTTTTGCCTTAATGTCCTTCTGTTCCAGGATTCCCATCCAGGATATCATATTACCTTTGAGATTCGTGAGAAAGGTAGCAAAGTGTACCTATATTCTTGGCTTCTCTACCGGGTTCCCTTTATCTACTGCTACCAGTTTAACTATTATGCTTGGTTATTTTAATAAGTGGCTCCCATTTTTTACCGAAAGAATTTAAAGAAAAAAACTTATAGTTTTTATTTGGGTCCCAAAATAACACTCGCCTTGTAGTCTGGCCACAGACCACATAAACCAGCTCTGCCAAACTCTAATCACTGTTCGCTTTCATTGTTGGCCCAGGCAGGAGGAAGGAACCAGCTTATTATGGGCTTGACTTAAAACTCAAAACAGATAACAGAAGAGTAGCAAACACCACTCTTTCATTTATTCATTTCTGTACAGATCATCCATGAATTGGCTAAACATCTTATAGCTATTCATATTTCAACATAGAATAGCTCTTGAATTAGGGGAAATGAGGGCAGAAGGAAAGAAAATCCTTTGCTGTCCTAAAACGGCTTTGCTTTCCTAGAGTAATTTCAGTAAAAATATTTCTGGTTCACCCTGTCTGTGGCCTGCACAACATAAGCTTGGGCTGACTCATTCATTCATTCAAAATGATATTATGGAGTATCTCCTGTGTGTGATGCCACGGTGGTCTGTCAGAAGTCTGTTTTTCTTTGTCCAGTGAGCCTTCTCATCTCCCTTCTTCTGGTGACAAATCCTTCTCACCTTTGCCCAGGAGCTGGCTCACCTCATCACAGCACTCTCAGCATCTTACACACAGTGTGGCTCCCCGGGGGCAGCTCTCCTGCCACCTGGGATTGAGAAGTGGATGCTTAGGGCAGATGATGCCAGGGCTGCTGGGAGGCTCACACAGTGGGAGAGAAGCCTCCAGCCCTGGGGCCAGCAGCTCTGGTTGTCTGAGCTACTCCAGTCTCTCTGCTAGCTACAGGAGCCACTAATGTTCCTTTTCGTTTAAGCCAACTTAGGTTGGGTTTCTGTCCCATCCTCTCTCACTTGTATAGAAAGAGCCTTAATAAAAAGCACAGATATGATGTTAAATGCTGGGTATATACTGATGAACAAAATCAGCACTGTGCATCATCAGGGGAATACAAACTAATACCACAATGGTATACCATGACACACACACCCAACTGGCTAAAAATGACTAACAAAACCAGTGTTGAAACAGGTGAGCAAATGGAACCCTCATACACTGCTGGTGAGAGTGTGAACTGGTACAGCTGCTTTGGAAAACTGTTTGGAAACAGGTACCAAAGCTGAGCATATGTATATGACATGATTCAGCAATTCCACCCAACAGAAATCTGCACACGTGTTCCCAATGCTCATGGTGCTACTGTTCATAGAGCCAGAACTGAGGAATACCCAGGAACAGTATGATGGATAAAGACTTTGTTGTATATCCACACAATGGAATACTATACAGCAATGAGATGAATGATCGAAAATTACAGTGTGATCAAAAATTGTAATGTGGATGAACTTCATAAAAAACAACAGGGAGCAAAAGAAGGCCAGCACAGAATACTAGGCATGGCCCGATTTCATACACATCAGGTTCTAGAGCAGGCTAGTGGATCCCTGCTGTCAGGAGCCAGCAGTGCTCGCCCTGGGCTGGAGAATGAATGGAAAGGAGTGAAGGGGCTTCATGCTCTGGGGCTGCTCATGCTGTTTCCTGATCGGAGTGGTGGTCATACAAGTTCATTTTGTGAAAAACTATCAAACTGTATATTTATCATGTATAAATATATCCATGATAAATGTATAAGTGTATACATTTATATAATGTATATATTTATACATGTATAAGTGTATACATTTATACATGTATATGTGTCTATATATGCTCTTTTCTGTATGTCTATTTTTTTTTATACTTTAAGTTTTAGGGTACATGTGCACAATGTGCAGGTTAGTTACATATGTATACATGTGCCATGTTGGTGTGCTGCACCCATGTATGTCTATATTTCAACAAAAAGTTAAAAAATAAGACAGTATTCCTGACCTCATGAAGCATAAAATTTGGTGGAAAAGACAGATAATAAATAACGAAATAAATTAAATTTATAATTTAAAAATTGTGATGAGTGCCAAGATGCCTCCTCTCTGCTGTTACCCTTCCACTTTGGAAAATGCTTTTTCTTTTTTTAATCTGGAAGCTCTGTAGCCATCTTGGTGACTTTACTTCCTCTCTTTGGATCTTTTCTAGCTCTGTCACATTTATCTTATCCTAGAGAACAGTGACCATAAATGAAACATCGCAGACAGATTCTCCAGGATTTGTTACAAAGAACATATCATCTATTTTATTTCCCGTGATTTTCCTGGATTAAGATGGGCAATCTGCAAGCCTTTGTTAATACTGTGGTATCTGGAATGCCGTTTTGGGAAGTCAGTATGTCTTTTCTTGAGTTAGGATTGACACACAAGGGCATATCTTCCAACAAGTATGGTTTGGATTTTTTTTTCCCTGCAGGTCTTATTTATTTATTTATTTATTTTGAGACAGAGTCTTGCTCAGTCGCCCAGGCTGGAGTGCAGTGGCGCAATCTCGGCTCACTGCAAGTTCCGCCTCCCGGGTTCATGCCATTCTCCTGCCTCAGCCTCCCGAGTAGCTGGGACTACAGGCGGCCGCCATCACACTGGCTAATTTTTTTGTATTTTTAGTAGAGGCGGGGTTTCACCGTTTTAGCCAGGATGGTCTTGATCTCCTGACCTCGTGATCCACCCGCCTCAGCCTCCCAAAGTGCTGGGATTACAGGCGTGAGCCACCGCACCCGGCCCCCTGCAGGTCTTATTTTATGCACAATTTTTTATTACTTTTTGGTGTGCTCTGAATAATGTTTTCAGTGCATTCCCATTCTCTTGGTATTTCAATGAGTGGAAATGTTTAAACTTATCTGAAAGTATAAAGACTTTAATGTTGACTCCCTTTTGGCTCATTTATTCAAAACTTCAATTGTTTAATACTTCTCTATCCTGAAACTATGGTCCACATTATTTTGTTCCACTAGAATTAGCTGCATCACGTTTGAATAAACGGGTCAAAAGCTGCAGATTAGAAATCTTTGATACATGCAGATATTAGTTATATACATTTGTTTTGACGTTTGTGAGCTTTCTATTTATCTTTCAAAATCTCCTTCTATTAAGAATTCAGCTAACTTGCACATTTAAATGACAGTTGAAGAAACATACTAATTTCCAGAAGCCAAAGCTGACCAAACACATGGAAAGGGATTGTACAGTTCTTGGATTTATTTGGAAACAGAGAGATGTTGTGTTTAAGGGCTGGACAGGGATAAGGGCCCCTGAGACCAGGAAGCTTGCATAACAACTGTCTAACTTTGATTATGCAGCCCTGGCCCGCAGGAGGAAATGGAAACAGGGAGTGTGGGCCAAGACAGTCAAGCTGTCAGCTTCTTTCTTAAAGACAAAATAGCCAAAGGACAGATTCCAATTTCCTAAAAGTCATACTTCGGCCTCAGACAAATACGAATTCTACACTGTTTTAAAAATCAAACATCTTTAAGCATAGCATTTATTCACACATTTGTAATAGAAAGAGGATTCTTTATTTACAAGTGCCATAAGTGCTGAATGCTAACCAGATGTGTTTTATAGTGTCTTATAAAGCAAGAGAATGCATTGAGAAGAAACTAAAGTTAAAGTTTGAAAAAAACCTTAGAACAAGTAGTTAACAATTTGTTGTGTTAATATAATTAAAGCCTCTGAAAACTCTTTGTTGAACTGTACCTCACCACTGACACACCATTAGAGAACTTGCTCAACCAGTGCCTGCCAGTGCCCTCCAGGAGCATTTGCAAAGCTCTTTGGGTCTTTTCTGTTCCACATCCTTTGTATGTGAATGTGACTGATGTTGTTATAAAGTGGGGCGAAGAAACAATGAAACCTCTTTTTGGGAGGTAGGTGTGGGGGAGCAGGGATGATACTGTGTAGTTTGAGCTTTTCAGATGAATACAATATTTTAAACATAATAAAAACATCATAATTAAAGGGTGAATAAAAACTGATAGAGTCAGGAAATATGAACATATGATTATCTTCAATTTAAATTACAACTAGACTTTGTAAGATAAAGTAGTTTAAAAAGGCATTCAACAACAATTTGAACTATCATTAAAAGCTCAAAATAAAAGAGCTCTAAATAAAAAATAGGTCTGTATAATGCTTAGTTGAAATCTTTCGTAAACGCATAAGAGAATCACTTCACACCCATTAAAATAGCTGTAATCAACAAAACAGACAATATCAAGTGCAGGTAAAAATGTAAAGAAGGTGGAACTTCACATACTGTTGGTACAGCCAACATGTATGAGAATGTCCATGTAATTTCAAGAATGTGGGAATGCTGTTCTGGGAAGTCAGTATGTCTTTTCTTGGGTTAGGGTTGACAGACAAGGGCATATCTTCCAATAAGCATGGTTTGGATTTTTTTTTTTCCCTGCAGGTCTTATCTTACACAAATTTTTTGGTGCATTATAAAATGGTACAGTCATTTTATAAAACCATTTGGTAGTTTCCTTTTTCTCTTAAAAAAAAATTTTTTTTTTTTTGAGACAGGGTCTTGCTGTCTCCCAGGCTGGAGTGCAGTGGCACAATCTCGGCTCACTGCAACCTCCGCCTCTGGGGTTCAAGCAATTCTCTCACCTCAGCTTCCCTAGTGACGGTGCACTGGGACTACAGGTGTGCATTACCACGCCCAGCTAATTTTTTTTTTTTTGGTGTATTTTTGGTAGAGACAGGGTTTCACCATATTGCTCAGGCTGGTCTTGAACTCGTGGGCTCAGGTGATCTGCCCGCCTCATCCTCCCAAACTGTTGGGATTACAAGTGTGGGCCATTGTGCCTGGTGCCTTTCAATTTTTTAATGTCCTTTATAAATTCTGAAATGATACATTTGCATATTAAGCAGAGCTATATTTGTCCCCTTAAATTTCGTAGTAATGCAGGTATTTTATTTATTCATAACCCCACATACATTCACCTCTCATGGGCGTCTCAGACTAGGGATTTACTAACTCTTGCAAGAAGAATGCCTTTATCTCTCATCTTCCTACAACCCTAACTCTGGGGCCCAATATTGGAGCTTCTTCCAGGAAAGCACCCAGCCAAGGTTCCACCTTCTTTACATTCTCACCTGCACTTGATATTGTCTGCGTTTTGTTGATTACAGCTATTTTAATGGGTGTGAAGTGATTCTCTTATGGGTTTATGGAAGATTTCAACTAAGCATTATACAGATCTATTCTCTCTTCAAAACACTTTTCCCTGAGCCCATATCCTGGGGGTTAGGTGATGGGAAGGGAGATGTTACAACAGAGAAAAACCTTTTAAAACTCACAGCTGGCCGGGCACAGTGGCTCACGCCTGTAATCCCAGCACTTTGGGAGGCTGAGGTGGGCGGATCACGAGGTCAGGAGATCTAGACCATCCTGGCTAACAAGGTGAAACCATGTCTCTACTAAAAAAAAAAATACAAAAAATTAGCCGGGTGTGGTGCCGGGCGTCTGTAGTCCCAGCTACTCGGGAGACTGAGGCAGGAGAATGGTGTGAACCTGGAGACAGAGCTTGCAGTGAGCCGAGATCGCGCCACTGCACTCCAGCCTGGGCGACAGAGCGAGACTCTGTCTCAAAAAAACCAAAACAAACAAACAAACAAACAAAAAACTCACAGCTGTTCTTTCTCTCTTTAAATTTTTATTTTTATACTTTTGTGAAATTCACATGACATAAAAGTAACTATTTTATTTTATTTTTTGAGACAGAGTCTTGCTATGTCACCCAGGCTGGAGTGCAGTGGCACAATCTTGGCTCACTGCAACCTCCGCCTCCTGGGTTCAAGTGATTCTCCTGCCTCAGCCTCCCAACTAGCTGGGATGACAGGTGCCTACCACCATGCCTGGCTCCAACATGCCCAGCTAATTTTTGTATTTTTAGTAGAGACGGGTTTCGCCATGTTGGCCAGTCTGGTCTTGAACTCCTGACCTCAAGCGATCTGCCCACCTTGGCTTCCCAAAGTGCTGGGATTATAGGTGTGAGCCACCGTGCCTGGCTCAAAAGTAACCATTTTAAAGTGATCAGTTAGGTGACATTTACTCCATTCTCTGTGTTGTGCAACCACCACCTCTATTTCCAAAACATTCTGATCATTTCAAAATAAAAGTGGTTCCCACTAAGTAGTTAATCCCAATTCCTGCCTCCCTTGGCCCCAACAACCACCACCCACCAATCTAATTTCTCTGTTTCTATGGATTTATCTGTTGTGGATACTTCGTATAAATGGAATCATACAATATGTAACCTTTTGTGTCTGGCTTATTTAGCATACAATTTTCAAGGTTCATCAGTATTTCATTCCTTTTTATGCCTGAATAATATTCCATTATATGCAAATACCACAATTTGATTGGTCCCCCCCCTTTTTTTTGAGATGGCAATTTCGCTCTTGTTGCCCAGGCTGGAGTGCAACGGCATGATCTCGGCTCACCACAACCTCCACCTCCCAGGTTCAAGTGACTCTCCTGTCTCAGCCTCCCCAGTAGCTGGGATTACAGGTATACGCCACCATGCCTGGCTAATTTTGTATTTTTAGTAGAGACAGGGTTTCTCCATGTTGCTCAGGCTGGTCTTGAACTCCTGATCTCAGGTGATTCGCCTGCCTCGGCCTCCCAAAGTGCTGGGATTACAGGCGTGAGCCACCGTCCGGCTGGGCCCCCTTTTTATAATTTCTGTCTCCTTATTGATATCTCATTTTGTTCATACTTTGTTTTCCTGTTTTTTTCTTTTTTCTCTGAGCATATTTAGGACAGTTGTTCATTAAAAGTGTTTGTCTAGTAAGTCCAATTCTGGGTTTCCTCAGAGATGATTTCTGTCATTCCCATGTGCCCCCGCCCCCGCCCCCACCAAATGGGACATTCTTTCCTGTTTCTTTCTATGCCCTGTCTTTTTCTTGTTGTTGAACACCAGGTATTTTGAATACCAGAATGCAGTGATTCTAGGAACCAAATTCTCCCGTCCTCAGGGTTTGCTGTTGTTGATTGCTGAGGGCTGCAGTTGTCTGCTTAACAACTTTTCCAAACCATTTGCACAGACTGTATTCCTGCTTGTGTGTGGTCAGTGAAGTCTTTGTTACAATATCTCATTGGTAAGCCAGTGACCTGATGGAGATTTCCTTAGATGTCTGGAGATCAAAGAAAATAAAAAAAAAAATGATTCTCCCAGTCTTTCCACTTTGGCTCTGAGAGGGGCACTCCCTTAAAGCTATGGCAGCCTGCCTACAACTCTGCCTTAGCCCTCACCCCTTACTTGCTCCAGCAGAGGTGCAAAGCTAGTCTCCTCTTAGGTCTTTTCTGAGTATGTATCCAATACCGGGCACGTATATTGTACTCTTTTTTCCCCTGGTATATGCATGGTCCTTCCAAGCCCTCTGTTCCCCAAGAAACTTCCCCCAGCCTCCTCCTTCGAGGGTTTTTGGATTTGTCTGCTGCTTGCTCTGTCCACCATCCCTTGCCCCAGGCAGGCAGGGGTAGTACATGACTTTAAATCTTTCTACAGGCTGGGCGCGGTGGCTCATGCCTGTAATCCCAGCACTTTGGGAGGTCAAGGCTGGCGGATCACCTTAGGTCACAAGTTTGAGAACAGCCTGGCCAACATGGCGAAACCCTGTCTCTACTAAAAGTACAAAATTAGCCGGGCATGGTGGTGCATGCCTGTAGTCCCAGCTACTTGGGAGGCTGAGGCAGGAGAATCGTCTGAAACCGGGAGGCGGAGGTTGCAGTGAGCCGAGATTGCGCCATTGCGCTCCAGCCTGGGCGACAAGAGCGAAACGCTGTCTCAAAAAGAGAAAAAAAAAATTTCTACAGATGCTACCACTTCCCAGAAAGCTACTCCAACTCATGAGGGGGTGGTGGGACAAAGGTCAGCCTCTGCACCAGTCCCTTCAGGAACCAGCAGACAGGTCAGAATGAACAACCACAGTTTTTAAAGAAGGTCTATATTCATCCCTTTGTACCAAGCAAGCTACACCAAGAACATGGGCTGCTATCGTCACAGCCGCCCCTTCTGTGCTAGGGAAGGATAGATGATAGCCTAGTGAAAACACCATAATATTGATACTTTCACTGGAATTCATAGGCCTTCTCCTCACCAAGCACTTGCCCAGTCGTTGCAAGTGTTCTGAAAGTTCTGAAAGTTTATTCTGTCAATTTTAGATTCCAGAGTTCCGAAAGTTTATACTGTCAATTTTTGGCAGTTTATGGTGGTTTCAGAGGAGATACTGATTCTTTGAGAGCCCTACTCTCCCATTTTCTTTGGTTTGGCAGTTTCTTAAACTGTAAACATAAGCTTGCCATACAACCAGTAATTCCACTCCTAGAAATCTAACGATGAGAAATGAAATCAAGTCCATACAAAGACTTGCACATGAACGTTCACAGCAGCTTTATTTGGTACAGACAAACAAATTCTAACCACTCAAATTCTCATCAACTGGTGAATGGATAGTCAACTATCAAAAATGGAGCCAGACTTTTGATTCTCTATCATTTACAAATCTCCAAAACTATCCTCCTTAAACATGAGTGATTTCATGTCACTATCCCCCCTCAAAAATATAAACTGATTTTTTAAGAGCCTAGAATGAAGACTATATTTCTAAAATGTGGTACTCAAGGCCCTCTGTAACATTTCTCCAAACTTACTTTCTAGCCTTTGCTTCTAATATTACAGCCCAGTCCTAGTGAGCAGTCTTCCTTCAGGCATCACCTGTAAACATTCTTGTCATTCTACTCAAATGCCATCTCTTCAGGAAATCTCCCTGCTTCCTCTACTATATTCCCATATAATCTGTATAGTATAGCAATCACTTGTGGTTACAGTTAGGTGTATATATTTGTTGCTTCAACTAAATACTGAAGCACTGAAACAACTATATAACATGCAATTTGTTACTGCTAGCATAATACATGGGTGCATAATAGGTGCTTGACAAACATTTGCTGAATTCATGAATGTACGAATGTACATGACCTACAAATGAAAAAGCTAAACAAAATGTAAAAGGAATTAATGAAACTGGGAATTATGGAAGAATAATTGAGAAATAAATTTAAACAAGAAAGGAAAAATAGGGAAATTTTTATATAGATGTTTTAATTTAAAGACTCTAGAGCTTTAGGGAAGACACTTGGCCCAAGACAGAAGCAACTACTGCAGTTCCTCACACATAACAGCCTGTTGAATGAACAATACAACTAACTGGTTAAAACGAACTTACAGCCAGGCATATCCCAGCACTTTGGGAGGCTGAGGTGGGAGGGTGGCTTGAGCCCAAGAGTTCAAGACCAGTCATAGTGAGACCCCGTCTCTTAAAAAAATGTAAAACTTAGCCAGGCATGGTGACGCATACCTGTAGTCCTAGCTACTCTGAAAGCTAAGGTGGGAGGACTGTTTGAGCCTGGGAAGTCAAGGCTGCAGTGAGCCGTGATGGTGCCACTACACTCTAGCCTGGGTGATAGAGTAAGACCCTGTCTCAAACAAACAAACAAACATAGAAACAATAAAATAAACAAAACACTGAACACCTATCTGTGCCAATACTATGTGAAACACATACTTAGGCAAGACCCTCATCTGATTTTGGGAAGCAAAGAGTAAATGGGAAAAGCCAATGCATGCTGGGAGTCACTGCAGCCAGGGACTTGTTTGGAAAGTAATTTGTATTGCTGCAGATGGGAGTCATTTGAATGGTACCTCATGAAATGGGCCAGGCTGGGACTGGGGGATGGCTGGGGTGAGGTGTGGCCAGGTCCCTGACACATTCTGAGGAAGTGGAACTAATCCCAGTGTTTTCATTCAGCCTTTGGTTATATTTGACAGACAGCACAATGCTTGCATGGGGCTTGTAATGGTTCAAGAAACTGAACTAAGCAGAGCCATCAACTCATAGACAGAAAGCTTGGTTTTTGCTACATGCCCAACCATTGCTAATACTCTTTTCCAAAGACATAGAGAAGTAATTTTCAGTATGCAAACATTTAAATTTTACCTTTGCTGTTCTGAATTATAGATACCAAATGGCATACCACCATAAACAGATGATGGCACAGCTCTTCCAGCTAGCATGCTGGTGATTTCATAGTGAAAATATTGTTTGTTTCACTAAAGCCTGCTTGAAAATTTTGAAAGCAAAACAACTCTTATCCACTGAGGACTATGCCTAAGTATAGCTAATGGTTTTAATCTACCCTCCAAAAAAGAAGAAAAAAAAAACCCCACTCCTCTGTAATTTAAGCACATATTCAGAAAAAAATGCTAAGAATGAAATAAAGCACCCATAATCTTTGAACCTCATATATTAGTTTAAGAATGATACTTGTGAGATAGAGTTAAAACCTACAAGATTCCTGTAAGCATTTACAAATATGCTATAAGTGAATGAAACAGAAAATAATCAAACCAATACATACCGACAGATTAATAGGTACAAAGCTTGCACTAGGTTACACAGTAAAGCAGTCCAACAATACAAAGGATGTTCTCTTCAGGAAGTAAAGATAAATGCATGTTGACTGAATAAAGTTATATTAAACACTAACTTTTCTGTTTGTTACAAAGGCTTTTTATAGGGTAGTCTACATGAATATTCTTCTGCTGAATATGTTTAACTCTATACTAGTGTATATCACCACCACCCAGCCATGCTTGTACAATTTGATCTTGATCCCACAGATAATAATTGATGAGACCAAGGATGGACACATGACCCAAGACGACCCAATCAGACTGTCTTGGAGAAACTTCACATTGAGAATCCGACCACCAGTCTGGGAAGTTGCTTAAACTGAAGACATATAGATGCATCATTTTGCCATGTGCCTGTCAAACACAGTGAAAGCTGTTCTGCAGAAGACAACACCTTTTGGGAGAGGAGAGTAAAGTAGACTTACAGAAAGTGGTGAGGCTAAGAGAACACAAGACCTCAGAAAAAGAAAGCAAGATAGAGAATCTGAAGACTCGGTGGGCCACAAGAGTATCCCCATTCCTCTTCCCAGGCCCTAGGGAGTCGTTCTACTCTTCCTGCCCTTTGAGAGCAGGATATTCTTCAGTGCCCTTCCAATACATTCCCTTGCGTACTAGGGCTTATTTGAAGTGTTGTTTCTATTACTTGCCACCAAAAAGAATCTTAACAATACAACAGTCCCCTTTTTCTATTCCATTACATAGTGACAATGAGGAATATGGAATGGGGTTGGGTGTCTTTTTTTTTTTTCCAGAAAGGACACCGTTATTGAACACAGATAATAAAAGAGAGGGCAGAATCAGGCTCCACATTATTTTTTCTTTACCTTTTGTCAATCTCCAGGGCCCTAAGCAATTATTTTAGTGAATTTTTCAGTTTTACACTTGTTATCTTGGGAAGAGGATCACTGACCTCTTCATTCTGTTCTATCTGGATGTCCCACAATTGACTTTTTAAATTGTTTTAAAATTATTTTTTTCCTTTTTGCTTTCTTTATCAGCTTTTTAAAACTGTGTCTTTGGGCCAGGTGTGGTAGTTCATGCCTGTAATGCCAGCACTTTGGCAGGCCAAGGCAGGCAGGTCACCTGAGCTCAGGAGTTCGAGACCAGCCTGGGCAACACGGCAAAACCCCAACTTTACAAAAAAAATACAAAAAAATTAGCCGGGCATGGTGGCATGTGCCTGTAGTCTCAGCTACTTGGGAGGCGGAGGTGGGAGGATTACTTGAGCCCAGGAGGTTGAGGCTTCAGTGAGCCAAGATCATGCCACTGCACTCCAGCCTGAGTGACAAAGGGAGATCCTGTCTCAAAACAAAACAAAACAAAACAAAACAAAACAAAACAAAACACCACCAAGTGTTTTTCCCCTGTGTTAGCTGAAAAGTCACATACCTTATTTTTGTTAAGGGGTTACCTTAGACATTTTATCATCTATACTCATCAAAGTCTAAACAAATGGATGTCTCAGTCCTCCTCTTGAACACAAGAATTCAGAACATTTTAATTTCAAGCAACCTTGTATTACTGTGTATTTTTGAATGCTAGCTTAAAAAGCCTCTCATATGACATCATTATGATTATGTTATACAGTCACTGTTTGACATATTTACCTTATTCTTTGCTTTTTATTCCTTCTTGCACCTCAAACCTTCCTTCTTGGATCATTTTCCTTCTACTTGGAGATGATCCTTTCATTCTAAAATGTGTGTCTATTGGAGGTAAATTCTCTCAGTTTCTATTTAATCTAACATTCTCTTTATTTCACTTTCATTCTGAAAGACAGTATTTGCTGGGTATAGGAAGTATGCTATTATTTTCTCTGAGAGTAACGAAGCTACCACTGCTTCCTGGTTTCCATTGCTGCTGTTGAAGGATCAGAGTTTGCCAATATAGCCAATCCATTCCTTTGGATGCTTCAAAGATCTTCGTTTCATCTTTGGTCACTGCAGTTCCATTAAATTATATTTAGGTGTGAGTTTCTTTATATATATATATTTTGGATCTTATTTGGTTTCTTGACACAGATTTTTATAATGCATAAACTATAATGTATGTCTTATAGAATGCAGAAAAAAACACAAAATGTAATATGGCTTAACAGAATCTTGCCAACACCCCAGAAGTACCCTGGCATTCCTCTTCCCCATCATATACCTCTCGTTTTCTGCTAAAGTAGTAAGTATCTTGATATTTATGTACTTATTTTTAAAAGACAGGGTCTCTCACAGTGCAATCAAACTAGAACTCAGGATTAAGAATCTCACTCAAAACCGCTCAACTACATGGAAACTGAACAACCTGCTCCTGAATGACTAATGGGTACATAACGAAATGAAGGCAGAAATAAAGATGTTCTTTGAAACCAACGAGAATAAAGACACAACATACCAGAATCTCTGGGACACATTCAAAGCAGTGTGTAGAGGGAAATTTATAGCACTAAATGCCCACAAGAGAAAGCAGGAAAGATCCAAAATTGACACCCTAACATCACAATTAAAAGAACTAGAAAAGCAAGAGCAAACACATTCAAAAGCTAGCAGAAGGCAAGAAATAACTAAAATCAGAGCAGAACTGAAGGAAATAGACACACAAAAAACCCTTCAAAAATTAACGAATCCAGGAGCTGGTTTTTTGAAAAGATCAACAAAATTGATAGACCGCTAGCAAGACTAATAAAGAAAAAAAGAGAGAAGAATCAAATAGATGCAATAAAAAATGATAAAGGGGATATCACCACCGATCCCACAGAAATACAAACTACCATCAGAGAATACTGCAAACACCTCTATGCAAATAAACTAGAAAATCTAGAAGAAATGGATAAATTCCTTGACACATACACTCTCCCAAGACTGAACCAGGAGGAAGTTGAATCTCTGAATAGACCAATAACAGGAGCTGAAATTGTGGCAATAATCAATAGCTTACCAACCAAAAAGAGTCCAGGACCAGATGGATTCACAGCCGAATTCTACCAGAGCTACAAGGAGGAACTGGTACCATTCCTTCTGAAACTATTCCAATCAACAGAAAAAGAGGGAATCCTCCCTAACTCTTTTTATGAGGCTAGCATCATCCTGATACCAAAGCCGGGCAGAGACACAACCAAAAAAGAGAATTTTAGACCAATATCCTTGATGAACATTGATGCAAAAATCCTCAATAAAATACTGGCAAACCGAATCCAGCAGCACATGAAAAAGCTTATCCACCATGATCAAGTGGGCTTCATCCCTGGGATGCAAGGCTGGTTCAATACAAGCAAATCAATAAATGTAATCCAGCATATAAACAGAACCAAAGACAAAAACCACATGATTATCTCAATAGATGCAGAAAAGGCCTTTGACAAAATTCAACAACCCTTCATGCTAAAAACTCTCAATAAATTAGGTATTGATGGGACGTATCTCAAAATAATAAGAGCTATCTATGACAAACCCACAGCCAATATCATACTGAATGGGCAAAAACTGGAAGCACTCCCTTTGAAAACTGGCACAAGACAGGGATGCCCTCTCTCACCACTCCTATTCAACATAGTATTGGAAGTTCTGGCCAGGGCAATTAGGCAGGAGAAGGAAATAAAGGGTATTCAATTAGGAAAAGAGGAAGTCAAATTGTCCCTGTTTACAGATGACATGATTGTATATCTAGAAAACCCCATTGTCTCAGCCCAAAATCTCCTTAAGCTGATAAGCAACTTCAGCAAAGTGTCAGGATACAAAATCAATGTACAAAAATCACAAGCATTCTTATACACCAATAACAGACAAACAGAGAGCCAAATCATGAGTGAACTCCCATTCACAATTGCTTCAAAGAAAATAAAATACCTTGGAATCCAACTTACAAGGGATGTGAAGGACCTCTTCAAGGAGAACTACAAACCACTGCTCAACGAAATAAAAGAGGATACAAACAAATGGAAGAACATTCCATGCTCATGGGTAGGAAGAATCAATATCGTGAAAATGGCCATACTGCCCAAGGTAATTTATAGATTCAATGCCATCCCCATCAAGCTACCAATGACTTTCTTCACAGAATTGGAAAAAACTACTTTAAAGTTCATATGGAACCAAAAAAGAGCCCTCATCGCCAAGTCAATCCTAAGCCAAAAGAACAAAGCTGGAGGCATCACACTACCTGACTTCAAACTATACTACAAGGCTACAGTAACCAAAACAGCATGGTACTGGTACCAAAACAGAGATATAGATCAATGGAACAGAACAGAGCCCTCAGAAATAATGCTGCATATCTACAACTATCTGATCTTTGACAAACCTGAGAAAAACAAGCAATGGGGAAAGGATTCCCTATTTAATAAATGGTGCTGGGAAAACTGGCTAGCCGTATGTAGAAAGCTGAAACTGGATCCCTTCCTTACACCTTATACAAAAATCAATTCAAGATGGATTAAAGACTGAAACGTTAGACCTAAAACCATAATAACCCTAGAAGAAAACCTAGATATTACCATTCAGGACATAGGCATGGGCAAGAACTTCATGTCTAAAACACCAAAAGCAATGGCAACAAAAGACAAAATTGACAAATGGGATCTAATTAAACTAAAGAGCTTCTGCACAGCAAAAGAAACTACCATCAGAGTGAACAGGCAACCTACAGAATGGGAGAAAATTTTCGCAACCTACTCATCTGACAAAGGGCTAATATCCAGAATCTACAATGAACTCCAACAAATTTACAAGAAAAAAACAAACAACCCCATCAAAAAGTGGGCAAAGGACATGAACAGACACTTCTCAAAAGAAGACATTTATGCAGCCAACAGACACATGAAAAAATGCTCACCATCACTGACCATCAGAGAAATGCAAATCAAAACCACAATGAGATACCATCTCACACCAGTTAGAATGGCAGTCATTAAAAAGTCAGGAAACAACAGGTGCTGGAGAGGATGTGGAGAAATAGGAACACTTTTACACTGTTGGTGGGACTGTAAACTAGTTCAACCATTGTGGAAGTCAGTGTGGCAATTCCTCAGGGATCTAGAACTAGAAATACCATTAGACCCAGCCATCGCATTACTGGGTATATACCCAAAGGACTATAAATCATGCTGCTATAAAGACACATGCACACGTATGTTTACTGCGGCATTATTCACAATAGCAAAGACTTGGAACCAACCCAAATGCCCAACAATGATAGACTGGATTAAGAAAATGTGGCACATATACACCATGGAATACTATGCAGCCATAAAAAATGACGAGTTCATGTCCTTTGTAGGGACATGGATAAAATTGGAAATAATCATTCTCAGTAAACTATTGCAAGAACAAAAAACCAAACACTGCATATTCTCACTCATAGGTGGGAACTGAACAATGAGAACACATGGACACAGGAAGGGGAACATCACACTCTGGGGACTGTTGTGGGGTGGGGGGAGGGGGGAGGGATAGCATTGGGAGATATACCTAATGGTAGATGATGAGTTAGTGGGTGCAGTGCACCAGCATGGCACATGTATACATATGTAACTAACCTGCACATTGTGCACATGTACCCTAAAACTTAAAGTATAATAATAATAAATAAATAAATAAATAAATAAAAGATAGGGTCTCCCTGTGTTGCCCGGGCCAGACTTGAACTCCTGGGCTCAATCTTCCCACCTCAGCTTCCAAGTAGCTGGGACTATAGGGGCATAACATTATGCCCAGCTATCTTGATTTTTCTACAAATACCTTCCTTGCTTTTCTTTTCCCTTAGATTTTTTCCTTACTTAAGTATGCACCCCTAAACAAGAAAGCTTATTTTTTTGCCTGTTTCTAAACTTCATGTATATAGAATCATAAAACATATATTTTGACTTATATTGCTCAGTATTTTGTTTGGGAGATTCATTTATGATGTCGTATGTAGCTCCATGGTGTTGTTCTTCTCAATTCTAAATGGTATTTCATAATAAGAATACATCACAGCCTCCCGAGTAGTGAGGACTACAGGTGCCCGCCACCATGCCCAGCTAATATTTTGTATTTTTAGTAGAGACAGGGTTTTGCCATGTTGGCCAGGCTGGTCTTGAACTCCTGGCCTCAAGTGATCAGCCTGCCTCAGCCTCCTAAAGTGCTGGGATTACAGCCGTGAGCCACTGCACCCAGCCCCTGTGCGTGTTTCTTGATATACATGTGCACATGTTTCTTTGGATATATATATACACACACACCTAGGGATATGTGAATCTTCAAATTTTACAGATAATGTCTAAGTATTTTTGTCAGTTTACAGTTCCATCAGCAGTATATGAGAATATCTATTGTTCCATATCCTAATAATTGGCAGGGTTAGTCTTTTTAATATTCTTTTTAATACCCACCATTCTGGTAGGTATGCTATGGAATCTCATAATGATTTAAAATTGCTTTTCTTTTATTAATGGATTTAACACTTACATTTGTTTACTCACCATTTGAATTTTGTTAGTATTTTTGGTGCAAACGGTCTGATCAAATTGCTTACCTATTTTCATACTGAGTTGTCTGTCTTTACCTGCCATACATACTACTTATTTACTGTTTCCAAGATATATTCTGGCCTGGCATGGTGGCTCATGCCTGTAATAATCTGTACACTTTGGGAGAGGCTGAGACACTGCCAAAATATGATTTAAATCATATTTAAGCCATTATGTATACACATGTAATGCATTATGATTTAAATAATAAACATTATATATAACAATTATTATTTAAATCTTAATGCATTGTATGCCTATTTATTGATATGAGATATCAATAGATATACATATCCCATAATAAATATCCCACATCAACAAACAGGCATACAATGCATTATGATTTTTAAAAATTATTGTTGTAAAATACAGATAACATAAAATTTATCATCTTAACCACTTTTAAGTGGTTTAAGTTTAGTGCTATTAAATATATTCATAATGTTGTGCAACCATCACCACTGTCCATTTTCATAACTGTTTTCCTGTTGTAAAATCGAAACTTGACACCTATTAAACACTGACTCCCCATTCCTTCCTCCCTTTGCCTTTAGCAACCACCCTAAATCTCTCCTATTTAGACTACTCTAAGTACCTCATGTAAGTGAAATCATACAGTATTTGTCTTTTTGTGACTGGCTATATCACTTAGCATAATGTCCACAAACTTCATCCATTTTGTAGCACATATCAGAATTTCCTTCCTTTTTAAGCTGAATAATATTCCATTATATGGACAGACTGCATTTGTTTATCTATTTATCCTTTGATGAACACTTGGATTGCTTCCAATGTTATAGCTACGGTGAATAATGCTGCTGTGAACATAGGGGTAGAAATATCTGAAGACTCTGCTTTCAGTTATTCTGGCATGTACCTCAGGTGAAATCAGTGGATCACATGGTAATTCTATTTTTAATTTTCTTAGGAACTGCTATGCTGTTTTCTATAGCAGCTGTACCATTTTATATCCCTACTATAACAGCGCGCAACGGTTCTAATTTTTCTACTTTCTTGCCAGTGCTTGTTATTTTCTGTTTTTTGGATAGGAGACATTCTTTTTTTTTTTGAAATGGAGTCTCACTCTGTCACCCAGGCTGGAGAGCAGTGGTGCAATCTCGGCTCACTGCAACCTCCACCTCCCAGGTTCACGCAATTCTCCTGTCTCAACCCCACAAGTAGCTGGGATTACAGGTGTACGCCATCATGCCCAGCTAATTTTTGTACTTTCAGTAGACACGGGGTTTCACCATGTTGGCCAGGCTGGTCTTGAACTCCTGACCTCGTGATCTGCCTGCCTTGGCCTCCCAAAGTGCTGAGATTACAGGCGTGAGCCACCGCGCCCAGCCTGGATAGGAGACATTCTAATGGGTGTGAGGTGGTATCTCACTGTATTTTAATTTGTAGCTCCCTAATGATTAGTGATGTTGAGCATCTCTTCATGTACTTAATGGCCATTTGTGTATATGTTCTTGGAGAAATGTCTATTCAAGTCCTTTGCCCATTTTTGAACAGAGTTGTTTTGGTGTTGAGTTTTAGGAGTTCTCTTTATATTCTGTATTATAATCCCTTATCAGATACATGATTTGCAAAATTTTGTCCTATTTGTGAGTTGCCTTTTCACTGTTCATAATGTCTGTTAGTACACAAAACTTTTACATTTTCACTAAGTCCAATCTGTCTCTTCTCCTTAAGTTGACTATACCTTTGCTGTCATATCTAAGAAATCACTTGCCAAATCCAATGTAGTGAAGCTTTTCCTGTTTTCTAAGACTATTATACTTTTAGGTTTTACATGTAGGTCTTTGATCCATTTTGAGTTAATTTTTGTATATGGTGTTAGCTAAGGTTCCAACTTCATACTTTTGCATGTGGATATCCAGATTTCCAGGCACCATGTGTTAAATGAATGTCATTTCCCCATTGAATGGTCTTGGCACATTAGTCAAAATTCATTTGACTAAGTACGGGTGGGTTCATTTTGGACTCTGTATTCTATTCCATTAGCCAATGTCTGTCTTTAAATCAGTCCTACATTGTTTTGATTATTGTAGCTTTGTAGTAAGTTTTGAAATTAAGAAATGAGTCCTCCAGCTTTGTTCTTTTTGAAGATTGTTTTGGCTACTCAGGGTCCCTTGAGATTCCATGTGAATTCTAGAATGAGTTTTTCTATTTCTGCGAAAAACATCACTGGAATTTTGATAGAGATTTCATTGAATCTGTAGATTGCTTTGAGTAGTACTGACATCTTAACACAGAGTCTTCCAATCCATGAATTTGGGACGTGTTTCCACTGATTTATGTCTTATTTTCTTTCAGCAATGTTTTGAAGTTTTCATTGTACAAATCTTTCACCTTCTTGGTTAATTCCTAGGTATTTTATTCTTTTTTTATGCTATTGTAACAAAATTGTTTTTGTAATTTCCTTTCCAGATATTGTTCACTGTTAGTGTATAGAAATCCAACCCATTTTTGTTATTGTTTTTCTAACCAATTTTAGTGTGTTCACTTTGTATTCTGCTACTTTGCTGAATTTATTTGTTTTCACAGGTTTTTGGGGGTAGAATCCTTAGTTTTTTACATATAGATCACATAATCTGTAAACATAATTTAACTTGTAGACAGCCTATAGTTACATCATTAAAAAAAATACATTCTGGGGGGAGGTTCCAAGATGGCTGAACAGGAACAGCTCCAGTCTATAGCTCCCAGCGTGAGCGATGCAGAAGACGGGTGATTTCTGCATTTCCAACTGAGGTACCGGGTTCATCTCACTAGGGCTTGTCGGACAGTGGGTGCAGCCCATGCAGCAGGGTGGGGCATCGCCTCACCTGGTAAGTGCAAGGGGTCAAGGAATTCCCTTTCCTAGCCAAGGGAAGCTGTGACAGATGGTACCTGGAAAATCGGGACACTCCCACTCTAATACTATGCTTTTCCAACGGTCTTAGCAAACGGCACACCAGGAGATTACATCCCGCGCCTGGCTCAGAGGGTTCCATGCCCACGAAGCCTCGCTCACTGCTAGCACAGCAGTCTGAGATCCAACTGCAAGGCGGCCGCGAGGCTGGGGGACAGGCATCCGCCATTGCTGAGGCTTGAGTAGGTAAACAAAGCAGCCGGGAAGCTCGAACTGGGTGGAGCCCACTGCAGCTCAGTAGGCCTGCCTGCCTCTGTAGACTCCACCTCTCGGGGCAGGGCATAGCTGAACAAAAGGCAGCAGAAGCTTCTGCAGACTTAAACATCCCTGTCTGACAGCTTTGAAGAGAGCAGTGGTTCCCCCAGCACGGAGTTTGAGATCTGAGAACGGACAGACCGCCTTCTCAAGTGGGTCCCTGACCCCCGAGTAGCCTAACTGGGAGACACCTCCAAGTAGGGGCCGACTGACACCTCATACAGCCCAGTGCCCCTCTGAGACAAAGCTTCCAGAGGAAGGATCAGGCAGCAACATTTGCCCTTCTGCAATATTTGCTGTTCTGCAGCATCCGCTGGTGATACCCAGGCAAAAAGGGTCTGGAGTGGACCTCCAGCAAACTCCAACAGACCTGCAGCTGAGGGTCCTGACTGTTAGAAGGAAAACTAACAAACAGAAAGGACATCCACACCAAAACCCCATCTGTACGTCACCATCATCAAAGACCAAAGGTGGATAAAACCACAAAGATGGGGAGAAACCAGAGCAGAAAAGCTGAAAATTCTAAAAATCAGAACGCCTCTTCTCCTCCAAAGGAACGCAGCTCCTCGCCAGCAAGGGAACAAAGCTGGACGGAGAATGACTTTGACGAGTTGAGAGAAGAAGGCTTCAGACGACTGGTAATAACAAACTTTGCTGAGCTAAAGGAGGATGTTCGAACCCATCGCAAAGAAGCTAAAAACCTTGAAAAAAAGATTAGACGAATGGCTAACTAGAATAAACAGCATAGAGAAGACCTTAAATGACCTGATGGAGCTGAAAACCATGGCACAAGAACTACATGACACATGCACAAGCCTCAGTAGCCGATTTGATCAAGTGGAAGAAAGGGTATCAGTGATTGAAGATCAAATGAATGAAATGAAGTGAGAAGAGAAGTTTAGAGAAAAAAAGAATAAAAAGAAATGAACAAAGCCTCCAAGAAATATGGGACTATGTGAAAAGACCAAATCTACATCTGATTGGTGTACCTGAAAGTGACGGGGAGAATGGAACCAAGTTGGAAAACACTCTGCAGGATATTATCCAGGAGAACTTCCCCAACATAGCAAGGCAGGCCAACATTCAAATTCAGGAAATACAGAGAACGCCACAAAGATACTCCTCGAGAAGAGCAACTCCAAGACACATAATTGTCAGATTCACCAAAGCTGAAATGAAGGAAAAAATGTTAAGAGCAGCCAGAGAGAAAGGTCGGGTTACCCACAAAGGGAAGCCCATCAGACTAACAGCGGATCTCTCGGCAGAAACTCTACAAGCAAGAAGAGAGTGGGGGCCGATATTCAACATTCTTAAAGAAAAGAATTTTCAACCCAGAATTTCATATCCAGCCAAACTAAACTTCATAAGTGAAGGAGGAATAAAATCCTTTACAGACAAACAAATGCTGAGAGATTTTGTCACTGCCAGGCCTGCCTTACAAGAGCTCCTGAAGGAAGCACTAAATGTGGAAAGGAACAACCGGTACCAGTTACTGCAAAAACGTGCCAAATTGTAAAGACCATCAATGCTAGGAAGAAACTGCATCAACTCACCAGCAAAATAACCAGCTAACATCATAATGACAGGATCAAATTCACACATAAAAGTATTAACCTTAAATGTAAATGGGCTAAATGCTCCAATTAAAAGGCACAGACTGGCAAATTGGATAAAGAGTCAAGACCCATCTGTGTGCTGTATTCAGGAGACCCATCTCATGTGCAGAGACACACATAGGCTCAAAATAAAGGAATGGAGAAGGATCTACCAAGCAAATGGAAAACAAAAAAAAAAAAAAAAAGAGGAGTTGCAATCCTAGTTGCTGATAAAACAGACTTTAAACCAACAAAGGTCAAAAGAGACAAAGAAGGCCATTACATAATGGTAAAGGGATCAATTCAACAAGAAGAGCTAACTATCCTAAATATATATGCACCCAATACAGGAGCACCCAGATTCATAGAGCAAGCCCTTAGAGACCTACAAAGAGACTTAGACTCCCACAGAATAATAATGGGAGACTTTAACACCCCACTATCAACATTAGACAGATCAATCAGACAGAAAGTTAACAAGGATATCCAGGAATTGAACTGAGCTCTGCACCAAGCAGACCTAAAAGACATCTACAGAACTCTCCACTCCAAATCAACAGAATATACATTCTTCTCAGCACCAAATTGCACTTACTCCAAAATTGACCACATAGTTGGAAGTAAAGCACTCCTAAGCAAATGTAAAAGAACAGAAATTATAACAAACTGTCTCTCAGACCACAGTGCAATCAAACTAGAACTCAGGATTAAGAAACTCACTCAAAACCGCTCAACTACATGGAAACTGAACAACCTGCTCCTGAATGACTAATGGGTACATAACGAAATGAAGGCAGAAATAAAGATGTTCTTTGAAACCAATGAGAACAAAGACACAACATACCAGAATCTCTGGGACACATTTAAAGCAGTGTGTAGAGCGAAATTTATAGCACTAAATGCCCACAAGAGAAAGCAGGAAAGATCTAAAATCGACACCCTAACATCACAATTAAAAGAACTAGAGAAGCAAGAGCAAACACATTCAAAAGCTAGCAGAAGGCAAGAAATAACTAAGATCAGAGCAGAACTGAAGGAGATAGAGACACAAAAAACCCTTCAAAAAAATCAATGAATCCAGGAGCTGGTTTTTTGAAAAGATCAACAAAATTGATAGACTGCTAGCAAGACTAATAAAGAAGAAAAGAGAGAAGAATCAAATAGATGCAATAAAAAATGATAAAGGGGATATCACCACCAATCCCACAGAAATACAAACTACTATCAGATAATACTATAAACACCTCTATGCAAATAAACTAGAAAATCTAGAAGAAATGGATAAATTCCTGGACACATACACCCTCCCAAGACTAAACCAGGAAGAAGTTGAATCTCTTAATAGACCAATAACAGACTCTGAAATTGAGGCAATAATTAATAGCCTACCAACCAAAAAAAGTCCAGGACCAGACGGATTCACAGCCGAATTCTACCAGAGGTACAAAGAGGAGCTGGTACCATTCCTTCTGGAACCATTTCAAACAACAGAAAAACAGGGAATCCTCCCTAACTCATTTTATTAGGCCAGCATCATCCTGATACCAAAGCCTGGTGGAGACACCACAAAAAAAGAGCATTTTAGACCAATATCCCTGATGAACATTGATGCAAAAATCCTCAATAAAATACTGGCAAACCGTATCCAGCAGCACATCAAAAAGCTTATCCACCATGATCAAGTGGGCTTCATCCCTGGGATGCAAGGCTGGTTCAACATATGCAAATCAATAAATGTAATCCAGCATATAAACAGAACTAAAGACAAAAACCACATGATTATCTCAATAGATGCAGAAAAGGCCTTCAACAAAATTCAACAGCCCTTCATGCCAAAAACTCTCAATAGACTAGGTATTGATGGGACATATCTCAAAATAATAAGAGCTATCTATGACAAACCCACAGCCAATATCATACTGAATGGGCAGACTAGAAGCACTCCCTTTGAAAACTGGCACAAGACAGGGATGCCCTCTCTCACCACTCCTATTCAACATAGTGTTGGAAGCTCTGGCCAGAGCAATCAGGCGGGAGAAAGAAATAAAGGGTATTCAATTAGGAAAAAAGGAAATCAAATTGTCCCATTTGCAGATGACATGATTTTATATTTAGAAAACCCCATCATCTCAGCCCAAAATCTCCTTAAGCTGATAAGCAACTTCAGCAAAGTCTCAGGATACAAAATCAATGTGCAAAAATCACAGGCCTTCCTATACACCAATAACAGACAAACAGAGAGCCAAATCATGAGTGAACTCCCATTCACAATTGCTTCAAAGAGAATAAAATACCTAGGAATCCAACTTACAAGGGATGTGAAGGACCTCTTCAAGGAGAACTACAAACCACTGCTCAACGAAATAAAAAGGGACACAAACAAATGGAAGAACATTCCATGCTCATGGATAGGAAGAATCAATACCATGAAGATGGCCATACTGCCCAAGGTAATTTATAGATTCAATGCCATCCCCATCAAGTTACCAATGACTTTCTTCACAGAATTGGAAAAAACTACTTTAAAGTTCATATGGAACCAAAAAAGAGCCCGCATTTCCAAGACAATCCTAAGCAAAAAGAACAAAGCTGGAGGCATCATGCTACCTGACTTCAAACTATACTACAAGGCTACAGTAACCAAACAGCATGGTACTGGTACTAAAACAGAGATATAGACCAATGGAACAGAACAGAGCCCTCAGAAAGAATACCACACATCTACAACCATCTGATCTTTGACAAACCTGACAAAAACAAGAAATGGGGAAAGGATTCCCTATTTAATAAACGGTGCTGGGAAAACTGGCTAGCTATATGTAGAAAGCTGAAACTGGATCCCTTCCTTACACCTTATACAAAAATTAATTCAAGATGAATTAGAGATTTAAATGTTAGACCTAAAACCATAATAATCCTAGAAGAAAACCTAGGCAATACCATTCAGGACATAGGCATGGGCAAGGACTTCATGACTAAAACACCAAAAGCAATGGCAACAAAAGCCAAAATTGACAAATGGGATCTACTAAACTAAAGTGCTTCTGCACAGCAAAAGAAACTACCATCAGAGTGAACAGGCAACCTACAGAATAGGAGAAAATTTTTACAATCTACCCATCTGACAAAGGGCTAATATCCAGAATCTACAAAGTACTTAAACAAATTTACAAGAAAAAAACAACCCCATCAAAAAGTGGGCAAAGGACATGAACAGACACTTCTCAAAAGAAGACATTTATGCAGCCAACAGACACATGAAAAAATGCTCATCATCACTGGCCATCAGAGAAATGCAAATCAAAACCACAGTGAGATACCATCTCACACCAGTTAGAATGGCAATCATTAAAAAGTCAGGAAACAGCAGGTGCTGGAGAGGATGTGGAGAAATAGGAACACTTTTACACTGTTGGTGGGACTGTAAACTAGTTCAACCATTGTGGAAGACAGTGTGGCGATTCCTCAGGATCTAGAACTAGAAATACCATTTGACCCAGCCATCCCATTACTGTGTATATACCCAAAGGATTATAAATCATGCTGCTATAAAGACACATACACTCGTATGTTTACTGCAGCACTATTCTCAATAGCAAAGACTTGGAACCAACCCAAATGTCCATCAATGATAGACTGGATTAAGAAAATGTGGCACATATACACCATGGAATACTATGCAGCCATAAAAAATGACGAGTTCATGTCCTTTGCAGGGACATGGATGAAGCTGGAAACCATCATTCTGAGTAAACTATCGCAACAACAGAAAACCAAACACCGCATGTTCTCACTCATAGGTGGGAATTGAACAATGAGAATACTTGGACACAGAGTGGGGAACATCACACACTGGGGCCTGTTGTGCGGTGGGGGGAAGGGGGAAGGATAGCATTAGGAGATATACCTAATGTAAATGTTGAGTTAACGAGTACAGCACACCAACATGGCACATGTATACATATGTAACAAACCTGCATGTTGTGCACATGTACCCTAGTGCACATGTATCCTAGAACTTAAAGTATAATAAAAAAAAGAAGAAAAATACATTCTGCTAATCTTGTCTTTTAATTGGAGAGCTTAATCTAGTTACATTTAAAGTAATTACTGATAAGGGAAGGATTTACTTTTGTCATTTTGCAATTTATTTTATATATTCCTTATATCTATTTTGTCCATTTCCTGTATTACCTTTTCCTTTGTGTTTTTTTGGCTTTTTGTAGTGAGGTATTTAAGCTCCTTTCTTGTTTCCTTTTGTACAAGTTCTGTAGCTATTTGCTTTGTGCTTACCTTGGAAATTACATTTAAGATCCCAAAGTTATAACAGTCTAAATGGAATTTATACCACTTTAACTTCAATAACACACCTAATCTCTGTTACTTTAACAGCTCTGTCACAAAATTACATCTGTATACATAGTGAGTCCCAAAACACAAGCTACAAATTCTTTGAAATACATTAGTTTCTTAAATTATGTAGAAAGCAGTGTTTGAAGTTACAAACCAAAATTATAATATTAGCTTTTAGACTAATAATATTTTTAAAGTGTAATAAGTTCTAGTGTTCTATACTACTGTAGGATGATTATAGTTAATATATTTAGTTTCAAATGGCTAGAAGGATACTGAATGTTGCTAACACAAAGAAATGATAAATGTTTGAGATGATGGATACGCTAATTAATCTAATCACTAACCACTTTATATATATATCTATATATATATATATATATATATCTATCTTATGTAACTGTATACCCCATAAATGTATAATTGTCAATTTAAAAAATACAAAAGTATTAGTCTCTTATAATCATGTTGAAAACGAAAAGTGAAATCACAAACAGTTGTTACAATACAAGCTTTTATAATTGCTCTATTTGCCTTATTGAGATCTTTATTTCTTCACGTTGTTTTGAGTTGCTGTCTATGGTCCTTTCATTTCACCCTGTAGAACTCCCTTAAATATTTCTTGCAGGACAGATGTAGTGGTAACATACTCCCTCAGCTTTTGTTCATCTGAGAATGTCTTAATTTCTCCCTCACTTTTGAAAGAGTTTTTTGCTGGGTACTGTATTCTTTTGTTTCCTTTTAGCACTTTGAAAATGTCAGCCCAGTGCCTTCTGCCTTCCAAAGTTTCTGAGAAATTTATGTGTGCTGCTTTCTCTCTTGCTGCTTTCAAGTTTCTCTGTTTTGCACAGGTGTATCTTTGAATTCTTCTTACTTGGAGTTTGTTGAACTCAGATGTTTATATTCACGTTGTTCAACAAATGTGGGAAGTTTTCAGCCATTAATTCTTCAGATATTCTTTGTGTTCCTTTTTCTTTCTCGTCTTCTTCTGAGACTCCCACAGTGCATAAGTTGATCCTCTTCATGGTGTCCCACAAGTCTCTTATGCTCTGTTCATTCTTCTGCAGTCTTTCTTCTTTCTGCTCCTAAGAATTGATCATTTCCATTGCCCTATCTCCAAATTTGCTGATTATTTCTTCTACCTGCTCAAATCTGCCTTCGAATCCCTTTAGTGAATTTTTCATTTCAGTTATTGTAGTTCTCAGCTCCAAAATTTCTTTTTGGTTTTAGATTTAATATCTCTTTGTTGCTATTTCCATTTTGTTCATACATCATTTTCTTGACTTTCTCCAGATCTTTAGTTCTTTGAGCATCTTTAGACAGTTTTTAAAACTCTTTAACTAGTAGATCTGCCATTAGGTCTTCTTCATGGACAGTTTCTGTTTATTTATTTTTTTCCTTTGAAAGGCTATATTTTTATGTTACTTTGTATGTCTTTTTGTGTTTTTGTTTTTTTTTTTTGAGATGGAGACTCACTCTGTCGCCCACGCTGGAGTGCAATGGCGCAATCTTTGGTCACTGCAACCTCTGACTCCTGGGTTCAAGCAATTCCCTGCCTCAGCCTCCCGAGTAGCTGGGATTACAGGCACCCGACATCACGCCCGGCTAATTTTTGTATTTTTAGTAGAGACGGGGTTTCACCATGATGACCAGGCTGGTCTCAAACTCCTGACCTCGTGATCCACCTGCCTCATCCTCCCAAAGTGCTGGGATTACAGGCATGAGCCACCACGCTTGGCCGCTTCTTTGTATGTCTTACAATTTTATTGTTGAAAATTGGACATTTGAATCTAATAATATGGTAACGCTAAGAATCAGACTCTTTTCCTTCCCTATGGTTTGCTGTTTTTATTATTATTATTTTTATTTTACTGATTGTTGAAGGTTGTCTCTGTGCCAAGTATCAGCCAGAGGTATAAACTTGAGGTTTTCTCAGGTGTATTTTGACCAATACCTTTCCCTGAGCATATGTGGTCACTTTTTAATTGTCCCTGTATATGCAGTTGCTTTTGAATCCTCCTAGTCTTTAATGCATGGCTCCCAAAAGGGGAAAGATAAAAAAATGAAAGTGGAGACAGGGTGCTAGCCGTTTACATCCTCTGGAAGTTACAACAGTAGTCACCTACCTCTTTGTCTGTATCTCTGTGATCAGAAATAGCAATCAGAGCACAAATCTCTGATATTTGAAGGATAGTGCTGGCCCCCCAAAAATTGTCTGCAGTTTACTCCAGGAACTGGTGCACAGCTGCCTGCCCTGGGGCTGGGTAGCTACTACTTTGTTAAGAGCTGAAATTGACCAGAATTAACCACAATTTACTGACCTAGTCTTCCTGTAGAACAAGCTTGTCTAACCCATGGCCTGTGGGCTGCATGCAGCCCAGGATGACTTTGAATGAGGCCCAACACAAAATTCGTAAACGTTCTTAAAACATTATGATTTTTTTTTTTTTTTTTTTTTTTTTTTTTTAGCTCATCAGCTATCATAGTGTTAGTGTATTTTATGTGTGGCCCAAGACAGTTCTTCTTCCAATGTGACTCAGGGAAGCCAAAACACTGGACACCCCTACTGTAGAAGCTGCAAGAGTTGAATAGACTCCAGAGTTCCAAAATAGTTACATCAGATAGATTCTGCCAATGCAATTGTTGTTGAGGTAGGGAGATAGATTCCTGGTGCTGCCTACTCTGCCATCTCCCCAGAATCCTCTAATATATTGTGATTTAACCAATCTTCTATTGATAATCATTTGGGTTATTTGTAATTTTTTTAACTACTTTATACACTACAAATGAATACCCATGTAAGAGATTTTTGTACATTTCTACAAACATTTTCGTAGGGCAGATTCCTAGAAGTAGAATGGCTTAACATTTAGTAAAGGCTGATAAAATGACCTACATAAAGAGTCTATCAATTCACATTTCTATCAACAATGTGTGAAAGTGCTTATTTTGGAGAGTTTTAAAATTCTCTTATTTTGGTTCCTGTAATTTCTGTAAACCTTGCCAGATGGCCTGGTTATAAATCATGGTCTATGATCTCATTCAGTTTTGTGGCTTCAGTACCATTCACACATACTGAGGGATCTTATATCTCTAGCTCAGGTTTCTCTTTTGATCCACAGAATGGATTATATTATCTTTCTCCATAAACCTGTGTTTACCTCAGGAAATAGCTATCCTATCATGCATTTGCTCATGCCAAAAACCTGGGCTTCATATTTGATTACTCTTCCTTCCTTTTCCCTACATCCAACTAAATCTTAAGTCCTGTTGATTTTACCTCCTAATGATATCTTGAATTCCCCCTACCTTAGTAAAGAAATATCTTTCTATTAGATTACTACAGTAACCTTTATTTTATTTTTTTTTTTTGAGACAGAGTCTTGTTCTGTTGCCCAGGCTAGAGTGCAGTGGTGTGATCTTGGCTCACTGCAGCCTCTGCCTCCCAGGCTCAAGTGATTCTTGTGCCTCAGCCGCCCGAGCAGCTGGGATTACAGGTGTGCGCCATCACACCTGGCTAAATTTTTGTAGTTTTTAGTAGAGATGGGGTATCTCCATGTTGGCCAGGCTGGTCTTGAACTCTTGGCTTCAAGTCATCTGCCCACCTCGGCCTCCCAAAGTGCTGGGATTACAGGAGTGAGCCACTATGCCCAGGCAAATGCAGTAACCTTTAAATGATGCCCTGTAGACTTGATCCTTACATTCACTTCATACACCACATTACAATCAGTGATTTTTCCAAAATGCAGACCTGTTGCTATGTAACTGGCTAAGTAAATAAATACACAAAGAAATAATTCCCCCCTCACCATGCAGACCTGGTTATGTTCCTCCCCTGTAGCCTTTGGGTCCCAGACCTTCACTGTCATTTCCAAAGCCTGTTGTGATCTGGCCACTTCTTTCCTGCACTCAACCCTCCAGCCTCACAATCATGTTCACACCACCCCACTTTGGGAGGAGGAGGAGGAGGAGGAAGAGGGGTAGGGAGGGGGGAGGAAGAGGGGGAGGGAGGATGAGGAACCAGCCAAAGAGATTAAGAAGGGAGACACAAGAGAGAGGGAGTTTCTCTCACTCTCACCAATTCTTTTGGTAAAAAACAAAATAATTGAGTGTTTGAAGAAAGATCATCTGTGTTAAATGCTGCTAAACCATTTGCTAATTCTTTAAAAACTCTAGATGTGTACTCTCCTATAGATTTCCAAAATAACTTCACATTTCTGCAATCACAGAAATGATCACACTGTTTTACACAGAGACAGTAATTTGATCCCTTCGTATAGACTATTGACTCTAATAGACTGTAAGAGCTATGCTTTATTATTACACTCAAGATGCACTCAATAAAAATGATACACTGATACACATATGTGTAAATCCTCAAAGAATTTATGTACTGTTTGGGGAAAACAGATGGTAACTGCCATTCATAACGTAAAGCAGAGAGAAATGAGTCCTGGTGTAGCAGGGTAAGTGGGGTGCTATGGGAGCACCGTGAAGCTGGAGAATGCTTCTTGGAAGGCATGATATTTAAGTCAGGGATTGAGGAAAAGAGCAGGCTACCAAAAAGTGGAGACTTGAGGCTTTAAAAGAATAATCCTTGTACACATAAAAGAAAAGTCAGTCATTTCCACAATACAATTCTTATAAAAATGCCATGAATCCTTGGGTACAGTTTGAAAGCCCCATTCACATATCTGTCAGAATTAAAACTAAAATTCTCTTTAAAAATAAAAACAGCACAATAAAAACAGCTAATATTAATTTTTCATCCCCCTGGACACTAAAAGATTCTAATGGAAATGAAAATGATGATATCATCTTCCAGTAATGGGGAAAAAATGAGGCTGTGGACAAACACTATGTTTTGATTTATTAAACCTCAAGTGAACTTCTCTTTATCCCCCCCATAAGTGATGGGTTACATCGGTTGCCAAAGTCGTCTTTTTCATTAAATACTTTTGTAAATATTGTGGTCACTCTGGTTTACAGCCATCTCCTTCAGACAGTATATCAGTGGAAAAGAATCCCCATTCCCAGCAAATGGTAAAACTACCATTTGTGTAATTTTCTCACAAACCTCACGCTAAGCATGGGTTTCAGGGTTTGCAGAAGGAAAATTGTAGGGAAAAGAACTGTTCTGGAGGCTGTGGCTGTGGCTGCCTGCTTCCCAAACCCAGGACACCACACCCTACAATATGAAAGAGAAACAACCTATGAAATCTCTAATGGTCTCACTTTGAAGATAAGAAAACTGGGGCAGGGCGCGGTGGCTCATACCTGTAATCCCAGCACTTTGGGAGGCCGAGGCAGGTGGATCACCTGAGGTCAGGAGTTCAAGACCAGCCTGGCCAATATGGTGAAACCCTGTCTCTACTAAAAATACAAAAAATTAGCTGGGCGTGGTGGTGGGCGCCTATAATCTCAGCTACTCAGGCGGCTGAGGCAGGAGAATCGCTTGAACCTGGGAGGTAGAGGTTGCAGTGAGCCAAGATCACGCCATTGCACTCCAGCCTGGAAAACAAGAGCAAAACTCCATCTCAAAAAAAAAAAAAAGAAAAGAAAAAAAAGAAAACTGAGTTCCAGAAGGGAAATGTGACTTATGCAATCCTCACTGTGAGGCAAGTGGCCTAGCTGAGATTTGAACTCCAGTTCTCACTCCTTCACGGTGATCTGTTACCAAATTCAGGCATTGAAGCCATCTAGTTTTTGTCTTAAAGGCTTCTGAATACATGTCTTTCAGTGTCTGTTGTGGAGGAATGAAGTGCTGACCAGTGACTTTTCACTTAGCCTGAAAAGTCATTTAGCTTCTGTGACACTTCAGTTTTCCTCCTCTGTAAACTGGAGGATAATAGCACACATCATTGGGTTGAAGAATTTCTTGAGATTACACGTGTACAGTGCCTAGCAAAGAACCAGGCATCTGGCAGCCAGTAGGTGCTCATTCATATTGGCTTCTTTGTTTCTCTCCCATCTGGCTCTCCCTATCATCTGTCAGGTATACTGTATGCAGGAACAGGTAAGAATTTGATTCTGCCAGTAAGCATACCAAAAATGTCTACTCTTAGGTTACTTTGAAACTCTACAAAACTACTCCAATGCTGAATAACATAAGCTTTGAATGTACACCCTTATGGTAAAAAATGACTCAATGTAGTTTTTATGAAGACAAATTAAACTATAAATGCCAAATGTGGTTTTCTTTGTACAAAGTTTCTGCTGTAATTTAAACTCTTCCTGAACTCTTGCCAGAATATTACAAGTGTTAAAACAGGTTGGTTTAGACATGCAAAAACAATTTCCTGCTGTAGGGACATAATATAAACTCACTATATCCATCCAAGCCCAAACTTATAAAAAGCTAAATGTTAAAACCAAGACCTAAAACCAATTGTTAGGTAAATCTTCCATTTCTGCAGTTCCATGAATTATCTACAATAAGGGATATTAAAGGAATAACAAGTTTGGGGGATTGCGGGAGGAACAGGGATGGTAGTTTGTCTTGTTCTTATAGATGTGCTGAGGCAGTGCTTGGGAGAAATCAAAGCCAAGGTGACCAAATGGAAGCTGGCAATTTAAGCTGTGTATGAAGCTCAGGAAAGAGCTCAGAACTTAAAACAGGTATGTAACTCATTAGCATATATTAAAGCAATGTGATTAATGGAGGTGCTAATTTATGCTTACTTAATGAATGAAGCAGATCATGAGGGAGAGCAAGAATGGTAAGAGAAGAGGGCCAGGAGGAAACTAGGTGAGTATCAACTTTAAGACATGGACAAAGGTCATGGTGGAGGGGAACCAGTAAGAGGTACTGAGAAAAAAAGTCAGAAAAGTAGAAGAGCAGATTGACTTCCAAGAATTGGGTAACCAATTTAAAAAAAAAAAAAAAAAAAAAGACAAGAAAAAGGAAGGCTGCATAGATAGGTTTGGAGCCACTGCGACTTTTGAGACTGCAGTTTTCTGAGAGCCATAAATGCGGAAGCAGAACGGTGGTAGAATAAGAATAAGGAATAAATGGAAGGTGAATACATGGAGGCATGTCCTGTAGATTACTTTTTAAAGAAATGGAGTAGAGAATGGGATGAAGGAATAAAAGCAGTTTGAGGACAGCCAAACAGGATGTAGGAAGATTATTTTTGGCTGATGGATGCTTAAGTAGGCTAAGAACAGATTAAGATTATATAAACTGCCATGCTCCTGATTCAAGGGTGCTGTCAGACAGGCTCCACTGTGACCCAACCTGGACATAGTCGCTGTCCACCACTGAACACTTGGGCTCTAATGTAATGCTAGATAGTTTAGTCTAATTAAGACTTTGCAATCAGCTTTGGGTCATGTCCAAAAGGATGGAAACTGGGGAGGTACGGGTTCATACCCAAGACTAGATGGCAAACTTCATGATGCAACACCAAGGGATTCGTGACTAAGTTTCTCATCCTTTAATGCTGATATATGATCTTTTGCTGTAATGGACAAGTTCATGATGATGCTTTCTTCAGTCATGATATGAGAACCTACTAGCCACTCACATGTTTATCTAGTTTGTTTTTTGTTTCTTCCAAACTAGACTATGACGGATTACGTTTTTCTGTTTTCTTGCATTTTGTTTCATTTCTTTTAGAGACAGGGTCTGGCTGTGTCACCCAGACTGGAGTGCAATGGTACAATCATAGCTCGCTGCAGCCTTGAACTCCTGGGCTCAAGTGATTGATCCTCCCACCTCAGCCTCCCAAGTAGCAGGGACTATAGTTATGTGCCACCTTGCCCAGCTAATTTCTAAATGTTTTGCAGAGATGGGGTCTTGCTTTGTTGCTCAAGCGATCCTTGTGCTTTGGCCTTCCAAAGTGCTGGGATTACAGGCATAAGCCATTGCACCAGGCCCAGACTGGTTTCCTTGATTTGTGTTACATCTAAGGTAGAGCTTCCCTTATTTCATCAGCAAAATACATTTAAAAACATAGGACAGCAGGCATGGTGGCTCATGCCTGTAATCCCAAAACTTTGGGAGGCTAAGGCAGGAGGATCTCTTGAGCCCAGGAGTTCGAGACCAGCCCTGGCAACATAGTGAGACCCCATCTCTATGAAAAAAAATTAAAAAAGAAAATTAAGAGATGGAGGGGATCATGGCAGACAGGAGGCAGGACTAGATTATAGCTCCAGAGAGACCATCATCTGGAGGCCTGCATTGTGAATTCTAGCTCCAGATCGACTGCAAGAATAAATTGGCAATCCCAAGAGGACCCACAGACCCTCTGAGGGAAATGGACTGCTCCTGCAGGACCTGGGAGGCACCCCAACTACTGTGAGTGCCCCAATTGCGGAAGTGGGAAAGGGAGACCCGTCTCTCCTAAACACACACCCCCACTGGAGAAGCTGAAGGTCTGTTTGCGGGAGAAGTTTCCGATTTTACCCGGAGCTGAGTCAAGTTAGAGAGCCCAGTGAAATACAGGGGTAGAGGAAGCAGCAGAAAAGCCCTGGGAGCTCGTTGGGTCCCCAAGCAGCCCATTCCTGCCTGACACCACAGGGATCCATCGGGAGGGCGGCCAGAGGAGCAGGGGTAAAACTCCACAGGGAGAATGAATTCTCTAGCCGAACTTTGTAACAATTTGAACGGGACAAGAAGCCTCCTGGCCAGAACTGGGGGAGGGCGCGAATCCAGTGTGCAGACTTCAGAGGCGGGGGAAGAGCCCTTTTCTTTGGCAGCTGGGAGGTGGACAGCCTCGGGTAAGTTTTCAAGCCCCTCTTGCCCTCTGCTTGGAAACAGACTTGGGGCTGTTGGGTGGCGGGGGAACTGCCCTTCAGTTTGCAGTTTGCGTGGGAACTGGGTGAGGCCTGTGACTGCCGGCTTTCCCCAACTTCCCTGACAACCTGCATGACTCAGCAGAGGAAGCCATAATCCTCCTAGGTATACAACTCCAGTGACCTGGGAATCTCACCCCATCCCCCACAGCAGCCGCAGCAAGACCCACCCAAGGAGAGCTCAAACACACCTAGCCCTGTCCCCACCTGATGGTCCTTTCCTATCCACCCTGGTAGCTGAAGACAAAGGGCCTATAGTCTTGGGAATTCTAGGACCCCGCCTACTGCTGGTCCCTTTCCACTCTACTACAGCTGATGCCTTCCAGGAAGCATCACCTCTTGACAGGAGGCCAACCAGCACAAAAATAGATAATTAAATCACCAAAGCTAAGGACCCTCATGGTGTCCATTGCACCCTCTGCCACCTCCACCAGAATAGGCACTGGTATCCACGGCTGAGAGACCCATAGATGGTTCACATCACAAGACTCTGTACAGACAACCCCAGTACCAGCCCAGAGCCGGGCAGACTCACTGGGTGGCTAGGCCCAGAAGAAAGACAATAATCACTGTAGTTTGGCTCACAGGAAGCCACATCCATAGGAAAAGGAGGAGAGTACTACATCAAGGGAACACCCCATGGGACAAAAGAATCTGAATAACAGCCTTCAGCCCTAGACCTTCCCTCTGATAGAACCTACCTAAATGAGAAGGAACCAGAAAACCAACCCTGGTAATATGACAAAACAAGGCTCTTCAGCATCCCCCAAAAATCACATTAGTTCACCAGCAATGGATCCAAACTAAGAAGAAATCTGTGATTTATCTGAAAAAGAATTCAGGAGCTTAGTTATTAAGCTAATCAGGGAGGGACCAGAGAAAGGCAAAGCCCAAAGCAAGGAAATCCAAAAAAATGATACAAGAAGTGAAGGGAGAAATATTCAATGAAATAGATAGCTTAAAGAAAAAAACAATAAAAAACTCAGGAAACTTTGGACACACTTTTAGAAATGCGAAATGCAGGCCAGGCGCGGTGGCTCACGCCTGTAATCCCAGCACTTTGGGAGGCCTAGGTGGGTGGATCACAAGGTCAGGAGATCGAGACCATCCTGGCCAACATGTTGAAATCCCGTCTCTACTAAAAAAATACAAAAATTAGTCGGGCGTGGTGGTGCATACTTGTAGTCCCAGCTACTCGAGAGGCTGAGGCAGGAGAATCACTTGAACCTGGGAGGCAGAGGTTGCAGTGAGACGAGATCGTGCCACTGCACTGCAGACTGGCGACAGAGCAAGACTCTGTCTCAAAACACAAACAAACAAAGAAATGCGAAATGCTCTGGAAAGTCTCAGCAATAGAACTGAACAAGTAGAAGAAAGAAATTCAGAGCTCAAAGACAAGGTCTTTGAATTAACCCAGTCCAACAAAGACAGAGAAAAAAGAATAAGAAAATAAGAACAAAGCCTCCAAGAAGTCTGGGATTATGTTAAACGACCAAACCTAAGAATAATTGGTGTTCCTGAGGAAGAAGAGAATTCTAAAAGCTTGAAAAACATATTTGGGGGAATAATTGAGGAAAACTTCCCCAGCCTAGCTAGAGAGCCAGACATCCAAATACAAGAAGCACAAAGAACACCTGGGAAATTCATCGCAAAATGATCTTTGCCTAGGCACACTGTCATCAGGTTATCCAAAGTTAAGATGAAGGAAAGAATCCTAAGAGCTGTGAGACAGAAGCACCAGGTAACCTACAAAGGAAAACCTATCAGATTAACAGCAGATTTCTCAGCAGAAACCCTATAAGCTAGAAGGGATTGGGACCCTACTCCTCAAACAAAACAATTATCAGCCAATAATTTTGTATTCAGCGAAACTCAGCATCATGTGAAGGAAAGATATAGTCGTTTTCAGACAAACAAATGCTGAGAGAATTCGCCACTACTAAGCCACCACTACAAGAACTGCTAAAAGAAACTCTAAATCTTGAAACAAATCCTGGAAATACATGACAATAGAACCTCTTTAAAGCATAAATCACACAGGACCTATAAAACAAAAATACAAGCTAAAAAGCAAAAGCAAAAAACAAAAAAACCCACAAAGTACACAGGCAACAAAGAGCAGGATGGATGCAACTGTAAATGGCCTAAGTGCTCCACTTAAAAGATACACAACAGCAGAGTAGATAAGGACTCACTAACCAACTATCCGCTGCCTTCAGGAGACTCACTTAACACATAAGGACTCACATACACTTAAAGTAAAGGGGTAGAAAAAGGCATTTCATGCAAATAGACACCAAAAGTGAGCAGGGGTAGCTATTCTTATATCAGACAAAACAAACTTTAAAGCAATAGCAGTTAAAAGAGACAAGGAGGGACATTATATAATGGTAAAAGGCCTTGTCCAACAGGAAAATATCACAATTCTAAACATATTTGCACCTAACACTGGTGCTCCCAAATTTATAAAACAATTATTAATAGACCTAAGAAATGAGACAGACAGCAACACAATAATAGTGGGGAATTTCCATACTTGTTACAATACCTTGGAACAAATGGATTAACAGATATATATACAGAACATTTCACCCAACAACTGCAGAATACACATTCTATTCAAGAGCACATGGAACTTTCTCCAAGATAGACCATATGATAGGCCATAAAATGAGTCTCAATAAATTTAAAAAAATTGAAATTATATCCAACACTCTCTCAGACCACAGTGGAATAAAACTGGAAATCAATTCCAAAAGGAAACTTCAAAACCATGTAAATACATGGAAATTAAATAACCTGCTCCTGAATGAGCATTAGGTCAAAAATGAAATCAAGATGGAAATTAAAAAATTATTTGAACCAGATGACAATAATGACACAACCTATCAAACCTCTGGGATATAGCAAAGTGGTGCTAAGAGGAAAGTTCATAGCCCTAAACGCCCACATCAAAAAGTCTGAAAGAGCACAGACAATCTAAGGTCACAACTCAAGGAACTAGAGAAACAAGAACAAACGAAACACAGACCCAGCAGAAGAAAGGAAATAACCAAGATTAGAGCAGAATTAAATGAAATTGAAACAACAACAAAAAAATACAAATGATAAATGAAACAAAAATCTGCTTCTTTGAAAAGATAAATAAAATTGATAGACCATTAGCAAGATTAATGATGAAAAGAAGAGAGAAAATCCAAATAACTTCACTAAGAAACAAAACAGGAGATATTACAACTGACACCACTGAAATACAAAAGATCATTCAAGGCTACTATGAACACCTATACACACATACAATAGAAAACCTAGAAGAGATGAATAAGTTCCTGGAAAAATACAATCTTCCTAGCTTGTAAATAAATCAGGAAGAATTAGATAACCTGAACAGACCAATAACAAACAGCAAGACTGAAATAGTAATTAAAAAATTACTGGCCAGGCGCAGTGGTTCATACCTGTAATCCCAGCACTTTGGGAGGCTGAGACGGGTGGATCACCTGAGTTCAGGAGTTCGAGAACAGCCTGGCTAACATGGTGAAATCCCGTTTCTACTGAAAATACAAAAAAATCAGCCAGACATGGTGGTATGCATCTGTAATCCCAGCTACTCGGGAGGTTGAGGCAGGAGAATCGCTTGAACCTGGGAGGCAGAGGTGTGGTGAGCTGAGATCACGCCATTGTACTCCAGCTTGGACAACAAGAGCGAAACTCCATCTAAAAAAAAAAAAAAAAAAAAAAAAAAAAAAATTTCCAAAAAAAAGTCCAAGACCAGACGGATTCACAGCAGAATTCTACCAGACATTCAAAGAAGAATTGATACCAATCGTTTTGACACTATTCTGTAAGATAGAGAAAGAAGGAACCCTCCCTAACTCATTCTATGAAGCCAGCATCACCTTAATACCAAAACCAGGAAAGGACACAACAACAACAACAACAACAACAACAACAACAACAAACAATACAGACCGATATCCTTGATGGACATAGATACTAAAATCCATAACAAAATACTAGCTAACTGAAGGCCAGGCGCAGTGGCTCATGCCTGTAATCTCAGCACTTTGGGAGGCCGAGGCGGATGGATCACGAGGTCAGGAGTTCGAGACCAGCCTGGCCAACATGGTGAAACCCCATTTCTACTAAAAAACCAAAAATAAGCCGGGCGCAGTGGCAGGCGCCTGTAGTCTCAGCTATTTGGGAGGCTGAGGCAGGAAACTTGCTTGAAGCCGGGCAGCGGAGGTTGCAGTAAACCGAGATTGTGCCACTGCACTCCAGCCTGGGTGACAGATCAAGACTCCATCTCGGAAAAAACAAAACAAAACAAAAAAGCACAAAGTACTAGCTAATAGAATCCAACAACATATCAAAAAGATAATCCACCATGATCAAGTGGGTTTCATACCAGGGATGCAGGGATGGTTTAACATATGCAGGTCAATAAACGTGATACACCACATAAGCAGAATTAAAGGTAAAAGCAGGGCGCAGTGGCTCACGCCTGTAATCCCAGCACTTTGGGAGGGTGATGCGGGTGGATCACCTGAGGTCAGGAGTTCAAGACCAGCCTGACCAAAATGGTGAAACCCCATCTTTACCAAATACAAAAAATTAGCTGGGAGTGGTGGCACGTGCCTGTAATCCCAGCTACTGGGGAAGCTGAGGCAGGAGAATCACTTGAACCTGGGAGGCAGAGGTTGCAGTGAGCCAAGATTGTGCCATTGCACTCCAGCCTGGGCAATAAGAGCGAAACTCCGTCTCAAAAAAAAAAAAGAATTAAAAACAAAAATCACATGATAATCTTAATAGATGCAGAATAAACATTCAACAAAATCCAGCATCGCTTTACGATTAAAACTCTCAACAAAATCGGCACACAAGGGAAATACCTTAATGTAATAAAAGCCATCTACGACAAACCCACAGCCAACATAATACTGAATGGGGAAAAGTTGAAAGCATTCTGAGAACTGGAATGAGACAAGGATGCCCACTCTCACTACTCCTCTTCAACACAGTACTGGAAGTCCTAGCCAGAGCAATCAGGCAAGAGAAATAAAGGGCATCCAAATCAGTAAAGAGAAAGTCAAACTGTCACTGTTTGCTGACAATATGATCGTTTACCTTGAAAACCCTAAGGACTCCTCCAGAAAGCTCCTAGAACTGATCAAAGAATTTAGCAAAGTTTCCAGAAACAAGATTAATGTATACAAATCAGTAGCTCTTCTATACACTAACAGGGACCAGGTGGAGAATTAAATCAAGAACTCAATCCCTTTTACAATAACTGCAAAAATAAATAAATAAATAAAATATTTAGGAATATACCTAACCAAGGAGTCGAAAGACCTCTACAAGGAAAACTACAAAACACTGCTGAAAGAAATCATAGATGACACAAAGAAATGGAAACACATCCCATGCTCATGGATGGGTAGAATCAATATTGTGGAAATGATCATACTGCCAAAAGCAATCTACAAATTCAACGCAATCCCCACCAAAATACCACCATCCTTTTTCACAGAATTAGAAAAAACAATTCTAAAATTCATATGTAACCAAAAAAGAGCCCGCATAGCCAAAGCAAGACTAAGCAAAAAGAACAAATCTGGAGACATCACACAACCTAATTTCAAACTATAAGGCCACAGTCACCAAAACAGCATAATACTGGTATAAAAATAGGCATATAGACCAATGGAACAGAATAGACAACCCAGAAATAAACCCAAATACTTACAGCCAACTGATCTTCGACAAAGCAAACAAAAACATAAAGTGGGGAAAGGACAACCTTTTCAACAAATGGTGCTGAGATAATTGGCTAGCCACGTGTAGGAGAATAAAACTGGATCATCATCTCTCATTTTATACAAAAATCAACTCAAGATGGATTAAAGACTTAAACCTAAGACGTGAAACTATAAAAATTCTAGAAGATAACATTGGGAAAACCCTTCTAGACATTGGCTTAAAAAAAAGAAAAATAATAAAAAGAAAAAGAAAAAAAAGAGGAAAAAATAAAATAAATAAATAGACATTGGCCTAGGCAAGGATTTCATGACCAAGAACCCAAAAGCAAATGCAATAAAAACAAAGATCAATAGCTGGGACCTAATTAAAGAGCTTTTGCACGGCAAAAGGAACAGTCAGCAGAGTAAACAGACAACCCACAGAGTGGGAGAAAATCCTCACAATCTATACATCTGACAAAGCACTAATAACCAGAATCTACAACGAACTCAAACAAATCAGTAAGAAAAAAACAATCCTATCAAAAAGTGGGCTAATGACACGAATAGACAATTTTCAAAAGAAGATACACAAATGGCCAACAAACATATGAAAAAACGCTCAACATCACTAATAATCAGAGAAATGCAAATCAAAACCACAATGTGATACCACCTTACTCCTACAAGAATGGCCATAATAAAAAAATCAAAAAACAGTAGATGTTGGCATGGATGCGGTGAACAGGGAACACTTCTACACTGCTGGTGGGAATGAAAACTAGTACAGCCACTATGGGAAACAGTGTAGAGATTCCTTAAAGAACTAAAAGTAGAACCACCAGTTGATCCAGCAGTCCCACTACTGGGTATCTACCCAGAGGAAAATAAATCATTATTCGAAAAAGATACTTAGACATGCATGTTTATAGCAGCACAATTCACAGTTGCAAAATCATGGAACCAACCCAAATGCCCATCAATCAACAAGTGGATAAAGAAACTGTGGGGTGTGTGTGTGTGTGTGTGTGTGTGTATATGATAGATCTATCATATCACATATATATGATAGATCTATCATATCACATATATATGATAGATCTATCATATCACATATATATGATAGATCTATCATATCACATATATGATAGATCTATCATATCACATATATGATAGACCTATAATATCACATATATGATAGATCTATCATATCATATATATACACATATATATCACATATATACACACACATATATATCACACATATATATATCATATATATATATATATATATATATATACACACACACCATATATATAACAAATGCTGTTAACTCATTCCTTTTTATGGCTCCATAGTATTCCATTATATATATATACACACACCATGGATGACCTGGATGAGATTGGAGACTATTATTCTAAGTGAAGTTACTCAGGAATGGAAAACCAAACATCGAATGTTCTCACTGATATGTGGGAGCTAAGCTATGAGGACGCAAGGGCATAAGAATGATACAATGGACTTTGGGGACTTGAAGGGAAGAGTGGGAGTGGGGTGAGGGATAAAAGACAACAAATAGGGTGCAGTGTATACTGCTTGGGTGATGGGTACACCAAAATCTCACAAATCACCACTAAACAACTTACTCATGTAACCAAATACCATCTGTACCCCAATAACTTATGGAAAAATAAAACAATAAAATAAAATAAAATAAATTAGCCAGGTGTGGTGGTATGTGCCCGTAGTCCCAGACATTTGACAGGCTAAGGTGGGAGGATTGTTTGAGCCTGGGAGGTTGAAGCTACAGTAAGCCATGGTTGTGCCACTACAGTCCAGCTTGGGTGACAGAGCAAGACCCTATCTCAAAAAACAAAAAGCATCAGACGTCATTTTGGGGAAGTATGCTATATCACAATAAGACTTCTATACTTAACTCCTTACTATATAACAGTACTATATATTTCTCACCCAAATTTTCTTGCCTGAAACTGTGGCTTCCACTCATGATAATTCCTGGCTTCCAATCCCAGCGTCACACTTAAACCTGGACAAGAGGGGTTTGTGACATGGGCTCCGCTTGGCCACTAAGCAAGATGTCTATGTGCTCTCCCACAGCCACCTCCCCAGGAAATGCTCTGAGTATCTGGTAGCCTGGAATTCTCTGCCCAAATAACTTTGTTTCCAGGGCTTATGCATTCCTCTTCCCTGGCTCTATCACCCTGAAGACAGACCACACTGCTAGTGCAAGCAACCCCAGGGCCAGAGGGTAGCTGCTCATATGGAGCTGGGGAAAGAGCCCTGAGGCATAAGTAGGTCATGGCATAGGGTAGAAAAGTGTGGCGGGCTGTGTACTGGCTCCTTCCTGAGCCACCATGTTTTGGTGTCAGTGAATCCTGAGGAGTTCAGGATTCTAAATTGGAACCTGGCTTTCCAGGTTGTTATGAAGGACACATTTCAAGATAAGAGAATCAAACATAATTTATTTAACTGCTTGCTGGCTTAAGGTGTAACTTTTACACATTTAGAATATCATATGTGAAACTTCATTTGTACTCTTGCCTCAACCCTTACATCCCTTTACATGCATAACTATCTAGAAATACTTCCAGCCTCCTGGACTGAATATTACTACAGCAGGACAGGAAATCAAACAAAGTCTAAACAAAAAAAAAACAGGTCTAAGAAAACTTGTTATATCAATTGTCATATCTTACAGTTTATTTTAATTCTCAAAAACAAAAGAAACTGAACTATTTCATTAGATTATTCCCTCTTACGAAGACTTCAGCACCCAGCATCCTCCAATGACACCATTTTTTTTTTTGAGACAGAGTCTCACTCTGTCACCCAGGCTGGAGTGCAATGGCACGATCTCGGCTCACTGCAACCTCTACCTCCTGGGTTCAAGTGACTCTCCTGCCTTAGCCTCCCAAGTAGCTAGGACTACAGGCACGCACCACCACACCCAGCTAATTTTGTGTATTTTAGTAGAGACGGGGTTTCGCCATGTTGGCCAGGATGGTCTCGATCTCCTGACCTCGTGATCCTCCTGCCTCAGCCTCCCAAAGTGCTAGGATTGTAGGCGTGAGCCACCACGCCCGGCCCAATGACACCATTTGTTCAAATGAGTTTGTTTCCACTTCTAGACTGAATGCAGGGGAATCCATCAATGTGTCCTGTCTCTGTTATCATGCTGAGTACAGAGATTCAGTGTCTGTTTTAGTTACCTGCGACTTCAAGGGAAGGCTCCAGACTCTAGTGGCTTGGTGGAACTATGGATGGAAGAACCAGACCCAGAACCCAGCCTCTAACTGTACTGTACTTTGTCCACATTGGCCATTATTACTAAGCCTGGCTCCTGAACAAACTTTGCTCAGGGAGTAAGAGAACTGCTCAGAGACAGAACGTACATCTATGTTCTCCACTGCCTAACAGCACTATCTTAGGGAGGCAGATCAAAGAAGCACAGATGCTATTGATAAAATGATATCTAATCCGGTGTCTGGGAAATTCCTTTGGCAAAATTCTCAATAGAATGTCATCTAGTTTTGTTTTGTTTTGTTTTTTTTTTTTGAGACGGAGTCATGCTCTCCCACTCAGGCTGGAGTGCAGTGGCGCGATCTTGGCTCACTGTAACCTTTGCCTCCCAGGTTCAAGTGATTGTCCTGCCTCAGCCTCCCGAGTGGCTGGGACTACAGGCGTGTGCCACAACGCCCAGCTAATTTTTGTATTTTTAGTACAGACGGTGTTTCACCACATTGGCCAGGCTGGTCTCGAACTCCTAACCTCAAGTGATCCACCCGTCTCGGCCTCCCAAAGTGCTGGAATTACAGGCTTGAGCCACTGGGCCAGCTTCATCTAGTTTTCACTCAAATCATTCTTGTCCTGTGCCCCTGGAACCTCATCAAGTAGCTCAGCTGGACAGTTTTGGTTATGAGAAAGTGTGTTCTTTTTCTAATTAAGTCCAAATCGGCCTGCTTGTAGTTTCTGTCCATTGATTCTAGTTCTGGTCTCTGGAGCACAACAGAACAAGTCCATAGCCCATTTTCCTATGAGTGGGTCTGTTTGGTCTCTTCTGTCTCCCTCCGCAGTTCCTTGAAACCGTCCACGTGAGAAAATCAAGTAGCTACATGTGATGAGTATTTTGCTGTCTTTCTGTGCCACTGTCCATTGTTTATCCTTCTATCACTACCAAACTGCCTTAATTACTGTAGCTTGTTTATAATCAGTGTTGATATTTGGGATAGAAAGTCTTATAGCCTTGTTCTTCTTCAGGAATGTCTTGGCTTTTCTTTGGCCTTTACATTTCCCTATAGAGTTTAGAATTTGTCAAGTTCTAGATAACACACACACACACACACAAAAGTGAACTGCTAGGATTTTGATTTGAATTTCATCAACTCTAAGATCAGTGTAAGAACAAATGTTATCTTTGCAACACTGAATGTTCCACTCCCTGAGTATGGTATCTCCCAATACCCATAAGCTTTAACTTCTCTCAAAATTTTATAATTTTCTCTGAGGATATCTTGCCTATTTTTTGTTACTTCATTCTTAACTACTTGATATATTTTAAATATACTTGATATTTACATATCTTTTCCTTAACTTCATTATCTCACTGTATAAAGACAATTATTTTTTAATTTCTAGGCAGTATAACTTGTTTTTATTAAAATATATTTCCAATCTGATAGTTGATGTACTACATTTGTGTTGTAGAAAAGTTTTGCCCAACATTAGTGATCATATGCAGTAATAAAATCTTTAATATCCTGGCAAGTATGGGGTGGACAACCCCCTAATTGGGACTCTCACATTTCAGGTATCCTTTTGTTCCCTTTGCTGAGCTGAAATAATGGTTTTGTCTTAATCCTAATGAATTTGACAGCATCAATTTTCACATTAATTTACTGTCTGATCTTCTTTGAAGTAGAGCTCCATTGAGCAGAGAAAGTACCAGCAAGAGAGCTTTCATGATGCCACAGCAGTGAAAGACCCCACAAAGCAGAACCATCAGCATGGTGGATTACACAGGAGCAAGGGAGGATCATGAGCCTTCCTAGTGACACACATGCAGCAGCAATCTGGACCTCAGGGATGCCAAACCACTATTTATTTTTATATATTAATTGTGTGTCTGGAAAACTCTAAAGATAATTTTAGTAATTTATCTGAAAATTCTTTTGGATTTTTTACATACATATCCACATAATCTGGGAATAGTAACAGTTTTTCCTTCCTTTACTTCTTTTTTCCCATAAGAAAATGAAGGAAAAACTGTTTCTCTTCTTTTTCTTGCTTTACCACACTGGCCAGGGCCTTCAGTGGGCATCACTGTTTTGTTCCCAGAAAGGGAAAACTGTCAGTATTTCACCATTTAAAAAAATAACAGCTATCTCGAGATATAATTTACGTACCATAAAACGCATACTTTAAAATATACAATTCCATGGTTTTTAGTATATTCCTAGTTAGGGCCATCACTACTATTTTTAGAACATTTTAGTCACTCCATAAAGAAACCCTGTACCCATTAACAGTCATTCCCTATCTTCTTACCCCCTTCATTTCAGGCAACCACTAATGTACTTTCTCAATGGATTCGTCTATTTTGGACATTTCATACGAATGAAATCATTCAATATGTGGTCTTTTGTGACTGGCTTCTTTTACTGCACGTAATGTTTTTGAGGTTCATCCATGTGGTGACACTTTCAGCATGTGTCAGTATGACATTCCTTTTTATTACCAAATAATATTCCCTTGTATGGCTATGCAGCATTTTGTACATTCATTCAACAGTTGACAAACATTTAGGCTGTTTCTAAATTTTAGCTGTTATGAATAGTGTAGCAATGAACAATTGTCCTCAAGTTTTCATGTGGACATATGTGTTTTCAGTTCTCTTGGGGATACAGCTAGTAGTTGAAGCATGTTGTTTTCTTGTAGATAATCTGTCAGACTAAAGATGTTCCCTTATATTCCTACTATGGTAAACATTTGCTTTCTTTATTCTTTTTAAAACACTAATGGCTGTTGAATTTTATCAAAAATTTTTTTTGCATCTATTAAGATGATCACAAAGTGTTTGGACTGTTACACTTACGCCGCTAGTTCTTGAATAAACCCAGTATAATCATAATATATTATTTATATATTGTTGGATTTGGTCTGCTAATATATACGTATTTTAAAATCTATGTTCATTAGTGAGACTGACCTGCAAAATTTTCCTTCTGACGTCCCTGTCAGTTTGTAATATAGTTATGCTGGTCTTAAAAAACTGGTAGAACTCGTGAAGAATATAGAGACCTGTGGTATCTCTTGTGGGAAGATTTGAAATTATGAACTCAATATCCTCAATAGTTATAGACAATTTAGATTTTCTGATTCTTCTTGTGACAATTTTATTGTTTTTTTAAAGAAATTATTCATGTAATCTAAATATATCAATTTACTAGCATAAAATTGTTCATAGTATTGTGTGCAGAACTGCTGGGTTCTTGGTCTCACTGACTTCAAGAATGAAGCCGCGGACCCTCACGGTGAGTGTTACAGTTCTTAAAGGCAGCGTGTCCAGAGTTTGTTCCTTCTGGTGTTCCAGTGTGTTCGGAGTTTTTTCCTTCTGGTGGGTTCGTGGTCTCGCTGGCTCAGGAGTGAAGCTGCAGACCTTGGCGTTGACTATTACAGCTCTTAAGGCGGTGCGTCTGGAGTTGTTCTTTTCTCCCAGTGGGTTCGTGGACTCGCTGGCTTCAGGAGCGAAGCTGCAGATCTTCCCCCATGAGTGTTACAGCTCATAAAGTCAGCGTGGACCCAAAGAGTGAGCAGCAGCAAGATTTATTGCAAAGAGCAAAAGAACAAAGCTTCCACACAGTGGAAGGGGACCTCTGGTGGGTTGTCAGGGCTAGCTTGGGCAGCCTGCTTTTATTGCCTTATCTGGCCCCACCCACATCCTGCTGATTGGTCCATTTTACAGAGAGCTGATTGGTCTGTTTTACAGAGAGCTGATTGGTCCGTTTTGACAGGGTACTGACTGGTGCGTTTACAATCGCTGAGCTAGACACAGAAGTTCTCCAAGTCCCCACTAGATTAGCTAGACACAGAGCACTGATTGGTGCATTCACAAACCCTGAGCTAGACACAGGGTGCTGATTGGTGCATTTGCAAACCCTGAGCTAGACACAGAGTGCTGATTGGTGCATTCACAATCCCTGAGCTAGACACAAGGTGCTGACTGGTGCATTTACAAACCCTGAGCTAGACAGAGTGCTGATTGGTGCATTCACAATCCCTTAGCTAGACATAAAGGTTCTCCAAGTCCCCACCAGATCAGCTAGACACAGAACACTGATTGGTGCATTTACCAAACCTTGAGCTAGACACAGTGTGCTGATTGGTGCATTTACAAACCTTGAGCTAGACACGGAGTGCTGACTGGTATATCTACAATCCCTTAGCTAGACATAAAGGTTCTCCAAATCCCCACTAGACTCAAGAGCCCAGCTGGATGAGCCCAGCTGGATTCACCCAGTGGATCCCGCACCAGGCTGCAGGTGGAGCTGGCTGCCAGTCCCGCGCCCTGTGCCCGCACTCCTCAGCCCTTGGGCGGTCAGTGGGACTGGACGCGGTGGAGCAGGGGGCAGAGCTCGTCGGGGAGGCTCGGGCCTTGAAGGGGCCCGGCGGGGCGGGAGGCTCAGTCTTGGCGGGCTGCAGGTCCGGAGCCCTGCCCCGCGGGGAGGCAGCTAAGGCCCGACGAGAAATCAAGCACAGCGCCGGTGGGCCGGCACTGCTGGGGTACCCGACGCACCCTCCGCAGCTGCTGGCCGGGGTGCTAAGTCCCTCACTGCCCGCTCCCAGTACGGGGCCCGCCAAGCCCACGCCCACCCAGAACTCTAGCTGGCCTGCAAGTGCCACACGCAGCCCTGGTTCCCGCCCGTACCTCTCTCTCCACACCTCCCCTAAACCTGAGCGGCTCCGGCCTCGGCCATCCCAGGTCCGAGCCGGCTCCGGCCTCGGCCATCCCAGGAAGGAGCTCCCACAGCACAGCGTGGGCTGAAGGACTCCTCAAGCACGGCCAGAGTGGGCGCTGAGGCTGAGGAGGTGCCAAGAGCGAGCGAGGGCTGCGAGGGCTGCCAGCAGGCTGTCACCTCTTAAGATTTTCTTACTGTCTTTTAAATGCTTTAAGAATTTGTAAGATGGGCGTGGTTGCTCACACCGGTAATCCCAGCACTCTGGAGCGGGCTGAGGCGGGTGGATCACCTGAGGTCAGGAGTTTTGAGACCAGCCTGACCAACATGGTGAAACCACGTCTCCACTAAAAATACAAAAAAAAATTTAGCTGGGTGTGGTGGCATGCGCCTGTACTCCCAGCTACTGGGGAGGCTGAGGCAGGAGAATTGCTTGAACCCGAGAGGCGGAGGTTGCAGTGAGCTGAGATCGCGCCACTGCACATCAGCCTGAGCAACAACAGCGAAACTCCAACTCAAAAAAAAAAAAAAAAAAAATTTATAGTGATAACAATTTCTCTGGTCCTCACATTGGTGAGCCACGCTTTCTCCCTTTTTTCATGCATCAGTCTTGCCACAGCTTTTACTAGTTTTGTTTTTTAAAGAACAACTTTGGAATGTAGAATATTTGACAAAATTCAACACCCTCTCATGATAAAAAAAAAAACCCCTCAACAAATTAACTATAGAAAGAATGTACCTCAACATAAATAAAGACCATTTATTTATTTTTTTGAGACGGAGTCTTGCTCTGTTGCCCAGGCTGGAGTGCAGTGGTGCAATCGTGGCTCGCTGCAACCTCTGCCTCCAAGATTCAAGCGATTCTCGTGCCTCAGCCTCCCAAACAGCTGGGTTTACAGGCATGTGCCAGCACACCCGGCTAATTTTTGTATTTTTAGTAGAGACGGGATTTTGTCAAGTTAGCCAGGCTGGCCTTGAACTCTTGACCTCAAGTGATCCACGTGCCTCAGCCTCCCAAAGTGCTGGGATTATAGGCGTGAGCCACCACGCCCAGCCCAATAAAGATCATTTATGACAAGTGCACAGTTAATATGTCATGCTTAACGATGAAAAGCTGAAAGCATTTCTTCTAAGATCAGGAATAAGACAACAGTGCTGACTCACGCAACTTCTATTCAACATAAAACTGGTAGTCCTAGCCAGAGCAATTAGATAAGAGAAAGAAATAAAAAATATCTAAAATGGAAAGGATAAAGGTACATTTTCTCTGTTTGCAGATGACATCTTATATAGAGAAAATTCTAAAGACTGCACCAAAAAACTGCTAGAATTGATAAATGAATTCAATAAAGTTTGCAAGATACAAAATCAACATACAAAAATCAGTAGCTTTTCTGTATACTAACTAAACTACATGAAAAAGAAATCAAGAAAATTTACAATAGATACGTAATAACAAAATACTTAAGAATAAACATAACCAAGGAGGAGAAAGATCTCTACACTGAAACCTATAAATCGCTGATGAAAGAAACTTAAGACATAAGTAAATGAAAAGATATCTCTTGTTCATGGATTAGAAGCATTAATATTGTTAGAATGACTATACTACCCAAAGTGTTCTACAGATTTTATGTAATTCCTATCGAAATTTCAACTTTTTTTTTCAATGTCATTCTTAACAGAAACAGAAAAACGATCATAAAATTCGTAAGGAATCACAAAAGACCCTGAATAGCTAATGCAATCTTTTTTTTTTTTTTTTTTTTTTTTTTTTTGAGACAGGGTTTCACTCTGTCACCCAGGCTGGAGAGCAGTGGTGAGATTTCTGCTCACTGCAACCTCCACCTCCCAGGTTCAAGTGATCTTCTGCCTCAGCCTCCTGAGTAGCTGAGACTACAGGTACGTACCACCATGCCCAGCCAATTTTTGTATTTTTTGATAGAGATGGGGTTTCACCATGTTGGCCAGGCTGGTCTTGAACTCCTGACCTCAAGTTATCCACCTGCCTTGGCCTCCCAAAGTGCTTGGATTACAGGTGTGAGCCACGAGGCTGGCACCAATGCCATCTTGATCAAAGAAAACAAAGTTGGAGGCATTATACCACCTGACATCAAAATATACTACAAAGCTGTAGTAATCCAAACAGCATAGTACTGGCATAAAAACTGACAGAGACCAATGGAACAGAATAGAGAGCCAAGAAATAAATCCATGCATTTACAGTGAATTGGTTTTTGACAAAAGTGCCAAGAGACACAATGGGGAAAGAAGAGTTTCTTCAATAAATAAATGGTGCTGAGAAAACTGGATATCCACATGTAAAAGAATGAAGTTAGATCCTTATCTGACACCATAAACAGAAATCAACTCAAAATAGATTAATGAATTAAATGTAAGATCTATAAATGATGAAACTACTAGAAGAAAACATAGGGGGCCGGGCGCAGTGGCTCACACCTGTAATCCCAGCGCTTTGGGAGGCCGAGGCCGGTGGATCACGAGGTCAGATCAAGACAATCCTGGCCAGCATGCTGAAACCTTGTCTCTACTAAAATACACAAAATTAGCTGGGTGTGGTGGTGCATGCCTGTAGTCCCAGCTACTGGGGAGGCTGAGGCAGGGGAATTACTTGAACCCGGGAGGCAGAGATTGCAGTGAGCCATGATCGTGCCACTGCACTATAGCCTGGAGCTATAGCTATATGAGACAGAGCGAGACTCCATCTCAAAAAAAAAAAAGAAAGAAAAGAAAACATAGGGGAAATGCTCCATGATATTGGTGTAGGCAATTATTTTTTGAATATAATTCCAAAAGCACAGGCAACAAAAGCAAAAATAGACAAATGAGATTACATCAAATTAAGAAATATCTACACAGTAAACGAAACAACAGAGTTAAGGGACAACATACAAAATGGGAGAAAATATTTGCAAACTATATATCTGATAAGGAGATAATATCCAAAATATATAAGGAACTTGATAGCAAGAAAACAAATAACCCAATCAAGAAAATAGGCAAAGGACTTGAGAATACATCTCCCTTTAAGAAAGGAGCCATTATAGAATACTGTATGGAGGTTCCTCAAAAATTTAAAAAGTAGAACTACCGGATGATCTAACAATCCCACTAATCTCAAAGGAAATAAAATCACAGGCTGGGTGCAGTGGCTCACGCCTATAATCCCAGCACTTTGGGAGGCTGAGGTGTGTGGATCACAAGGTCAGGAGTTTGAGACCAGCCTGGCCAAGATAATGAAACCCCATCTCTATTAAAAATACAAAAATTAGCTGGGTGCGGCGGCGGATGCTTGTAATCCCAGCTACTCATGAAGCTGAGGCAGGAGAATCACTTGAACCTGGGAGGCGGAGGTTGCAGTGAGCCGAGATTGCACCACTGCACTCTAGCCTGGGTGACAGAGCAAGACTCCGTCTCAAAAAAAACAAAAAAGGAAATAAAATCAGTATGTTGCAGGGACAACTGAACTCCCATGTTTACTGCAGCATTATTCACCAGAGCCAGGATATGGAATCAACCTAAGTGTCCATCAGCGAATGAATAAAGAAAATGTATATATGAAAGGAAGCAAATTCTGTTATTTATGACAACATGGATGAACCCGGAGGACATTATGCTAAGTGAAATAAGCCAGGCACAGAAAGACAGATACTGCATGATCTCACTTATATATGGAATCTTAAAAAAAAATCTAACTCAAATTAGCCAGGCACAGTGGCAGGCACCTGCAATCCCAGCTACTCGGGAGGCTGAGGCAGGGGAATCGCTTGAACCAGGAGGGTGGGGGTGTGGGGGTGTGGGCGGGGTGGGGAGGGGGAAGGGGGGTGGCAGTGGAGGTTGCAGTAGAATAGTGGTTACCAGAGGCTAGTGATGGGGAAATGGGGAGATATTAGTCAAAGGGTACAATGTTTTAGTTAGACAGGAGGAATAAATAGTATTTGAGATGATAATTTTTATTTTATTTTATTTTGAGATGGAGTCTCGCTCTGTCACCCAGGCTGGCGTGCAGTGGCGCAATCTTGGCTCACTGCAATCTCCGCCTCCTGGGTTCAAGTGATTGTCCTGCCTCAGCCTTCCGAGTAGCTGGGACTATAGGCACCCGCCACCGCACCTGGCTAATTTTGTTTTTTTAGTAGAGATGGGGTTTCACCATGTTGGCCAGGCTGGTCTTGAACTCCTGACCTTGTGATCTGCCCACCTCGGCCTCCCAAAGTGCTGGGATTACAGGCATGAGCCACTGCCCCCAGCCAATACATTTTTTAAAAAAGAAAAAATCCCCAACTTTTGGCTTTCTAAATCTTTTCTCCTTCATATTTGTTTTTTACTTTATCGATATTTTTGCTCTTTAATATTTTTAGCAAACACTCGCAAGGCAAAAGGCTGCTCACAGTTATCTCCTGATCTAGGTCCAGTGATTCCTTATTATATTCTCACTTCATTGATGATTTTTTTTTTTTTGAGACAGAGTCGTGCTCTGTTGCCCAGGCTAGAGTGCAGTGGTGTGATCTCGGCTCCCCACAACCTCTGCCTCCCAGGTTCAAGTGATTCTCCTGCCTCAGCCTCCCGAGTAGCTGCGACTACAGGCGCGTGCCACCATGCTCGGCTAATTTTTGTATTTTTAGTAGAGACGGGGTTTCACTATGTTGGCCAGGCTGGTCTTGAACTCCTAACCTTGTGATCCACCCACCTTGGCCTCCCAGAGTGCTGGGATTACAGGCATGAGCCACTGCCCCCAGCCTTCATTGATTATTTTAAGATGTTTTTATATGTGATCTCATTTTTTTTTTTTTTTTGAGACAGTCTCGCTCTGTCGTCCAGGCTGGAGTGCAGTGGCATGATCTCGACTCACTGCGACCTTTGCCGCCTGGGTTCAAGGGATTCTCCTGCCTCAGCCTCCCAAGTAGCTGGGACTACTGGCGCATGCCACCTTGCCTGGCTAAGTTTTTGTATTTTTAGTAGAGACAGGGTTTCATCATGTTAGCCAGGATGGTCTCAATCTCCTGACCTCATGATCCACCAGCTTCGGCCTCCCGAAGTGCAGGGATTACAGGCATGAGGCACCGCGCCCGGCTGATCTCATTTCTTTCTTACTTCAATGGGAAGGTTGGTATCAAACTATCAGTATTGGATATAGAAAACTGAAATTTTAACTGTGCACTTTAAAAATTTATGCCACTTATATGTATTACCCATTCAAAAATGTGAAAACTGTTTAAAAAATAAAGTGGCAGGGAAATGGGCATTTTATATATTTCTGGTGAAAGTATACATTATTTACTATAACCTTTTTGGAAAGCAACCTGGAAATGCGTACACAAACTCAAAAAGCCCATTCTATTTGAGGGGGGAAAGGGGAAACAACCCAAATGTCCATCAATAGGGGAATGGTTGAATGAGTTGTGGGATACTTATATATCATTACTCCACTTAAATGTAATATTCCATTGGGAAAGTAAGTTCAGCTAAAGTAAATGAAGCAACTGTAACACTTTAGTATAGCTTAAAAGGCATTTGAACTATGGGCCAAGAGGTCAGTCCTAGAACAAAGTCCATACTACTCCTCCCCTCACTTAGCATCCTCTCCATCTTCCTCCTACCAATCTAGCCACTAACCCTGCTTATCTTCCAGAAATTTAGGTTAAACAAGACCAAGAGCCTTCAAAGCCCTTAGTAAGTAGGCTATACTTAATTTCTGCAAACCCAAGGACTGCAAAACTCTACTCTGCATCAACTGAACGCAAATCAATCACTTTAATTAAGCTGAGCCCTTACTAGATAAATGGGACTCAAACCCATAAAAATGTAGTTAACAGCTAAATACCCTAATCAACTGGCTTCAATCTACTTCTTCCACAGGCAGTGGGTTGGGGTGGGGGGTGGGGGAGCGGGGGAAGGCGGGAGAAACCTGGCAGGATTGAAGCTGCTTCTTTGAATTTGCAATTCAACATGAAAGTCACCTCCGGGCTGGTAAAAAGAGGTTTAGCCTCTGTCCTTAGATTTACAGTCTAATGCTTTACTCAGCCATTTTACCTCGCCCTACTCCACTTACGTTGGCCAACCGTTGACTATTCTCAACTAACCATAAAGATACCGGAACATTGTACCTAATATTCAGTGCGTGGGCAGGGGTTGTAGGCACAGCTTTAAGCCTCCTTATTCGGGCTGAACAAGGTAAAACTAATTTCTGAGTATGGCCCTACTTAAAATTTCCAAAATTTACCTTTATTTGGGTATTAATATCTACAAAGCTGTCATATGGTAGACAATTGCATCCTTAAAAAAAACCCCAATTTATTGGTACTCTAGACAATCAGGAAAAATACTGAAAAGGTGATTTTACTTAAATATCACCTGAAAGAAATGTCCTAGAGTCTAAATCTTCATAGGCAGATGGCCCTGTGGCACGGGTAATGCTCACTCTGCTCATGTTGTTTGGTGACCAATACCACATTCCTGCAGAGTGTTGTCAGAACCAAGTTTTGGGACATAATCATGTCTGCAATAATAAAGGGGGTAGGAGAAACCATAATACCAGCATTTTCCATGTGCTAGTGTGGTTAAAATAGTTTCTGCAAAAGGACTCATGTAACAGTCCATTAAACCACAAAATTTTAGAGCAGGAACCTCAGAAATTATAAAATTTGGTTTTCTGCAACCTTCTCAATCTCATCGTGGTAATTACTGGTATTCCTCAGTGCTGTTACTTTAAGAGTTACTTCTTTTTTGATTGTTTGTATTCTTTTTAAGTTATTCTTATCTGATTATACAAAGCTCAAAACATGATAAAAATATAAAAGAACATAGTAAAAGTCTCGCTGTAATTACTGTTAATATTTTGTTGTTTATTCCTTCCAATTTGTTCTCTAGTAAAATGCTAAATTACATACATCAAAAGAAGGTAAGATCATAATACATGTACAGTTTTGAAAATCTCTTTATTCCTGGTATAGCATGGACAACTATGCATGGTGGTATTAATGGAGTTACTTCTGTTTCTCCAAATAGCTTTATGGTAAGCCCACTTTGTTCTCTATCTATACACAACTGGGTTAACTTTTTTTCTAATCCATGGTTACAGTACTTCAGAGTACTTCCTTGAAGGCACACTTTTGTACAGAAAGAGGTGTTTCTACAATGGGTTCCTAGAGGTGAAATGGTAGGACAGACAGCATAGCTACTGTTCAGCTGTCCTCAAGGAAGAGGAGAGTTTCTGTTTTCCCTACACACTGGCCAACACAGCATATCATCAACATTTTTTTCCCCCAAAAAACAATGTATGTATTTCAAATCAGGCCATGATTTTTGATTAGCAGTGGTCTTCAAGCTTGATTGAGCATTGGCATTATTTGGGTAATTTTTCTACCCCCAAAGTTTTGTCAGCAACATCTCACTATGGTAGTGAAAAAATAACCTTCCTGTTTTAATTTACTTTTCTTGACTGTTACTGAGATTGAGAAATCTTCCTCTTCTGTTTTATTGACCACTGACATTTCCTCTTCTATGAACTGCCTGTTTAATGGTGTTTGCTCATTTGTACTCATCTTTTTCTTTTCTTTTCTTTTCTTTTTTGAGATGTAGTCTCGCTCTGTTGCCCAGGCTGGAGTGCAATGGCACAATCTTGGCTCACTGCAACCTCCGCCTCCTAGGTTCAAGTGATTCTCCTACCTCAGCCTCCTGAGTAGCTGGGACTACAGGCATGTGCTACCATACTCGGCTAATTTTTGTACTGTTAGTAGAGACGGGGTTTCACATGTTGGCCAGGCTGGTCTCAAACTCCTAACCTCAGGTGATCCACCTGTCTCTGCCTCCCAAAGTGCTGGGATTACAGGTGTGAGCCACTGCACTCAGCTAGTTTTACATTTTTAAAAATAGATATCATTTTCCTTATTTTTAGGAAGTTGAGTGGCTTATGTATTTAGTCCCTTATCTTGATTCAGTCTATCTAGGTCATTTTACAAAATCCTGATTCAGTCTAACCACGTCATTTAAACAAATATTTAGCTCCTCTTTGCCAAATGATTTGGACCCCTGAAATAACGATATAAGAATTTCAGGCCAGGTGCGGTGGCTCATGCCTGTAATCCCAGCACTTTGGAAGGCCGAGGTGGGTGGATCACATGAGGTCAAGAGTTCGAGACCAGCCTGGCCAACATGGTGAAACCCCATCTCTACTAAAAAAAAAAATACAAAAATTAATCTGGCATGGTGGCAGGCGCCTTTAAGCCCACCTACTCGGGAAGCTGAGGCAGGAGAATCCCTTGAACCTGGGAGGCGGAGGTTTCAGTGTGCTGAGATCACGACATTGCACTCTAGCCTGGGCAACAGAGCAAAAACTCCCGTCTCAAAAAAAAAAAAAAAATTTAAAAAATAGTTCTAAAATTACCTAGTCTAGGATAGGCACTGAGTTAGGACCTTCATATCTGTTATTCCTTTTATTTTCAGAAAAATTTGAAAGGTATCACCCTAGTTTTACAGAAGAGTGAACTTTGGTCAGAAACATTAAGTAACTTACTCAAGGTCCCTCATAAACAGCAGGGTTGCGCTTGGAATCCTGATCTGTCTCTAACTTCTCATTTGCAGATAAAGAAACTGAGGCCAAAGTACACAACTAATTTGCCAGCGTAACAGGTAATTAGGAGCCACACAGCTCCCTTTCACATTTTCTTTCTATTATTTCATGGTTAGAAGTTACATAATTTCCACTGATATTAATACGTAACCATTTTTTTGTTGTTGTCGTTTTGTTAGTATTGTGTGTGAGATCGAGGTGGGTGGGCAGATGAGTTAAATATTATTAATCCAATTTAAAATAGATTCCAGATATACACAGCCTTTAGCTGACGAGAATATCATCCCTATAATCTGATAAAGCTCAAGTGACATCATCCTGGCTAGTATAAACTTTAACATTTTTAATGCGAATAGTCTATGAAAACCACAGATTTCTTAATCAAGCTCATTTTTGTGTTTCCAACTCTGCCTTTTCAGCCTGCAAACAAAATGCTCTTCCCCCACACCCACTGCTGTTTTCTACTTTTCTTATGATTAAAAAAAATATTTCCCTTGGTAACCATTTTCCCTGGTTACTTTCTTGGCTGATTTTCTGCACAAAGAACTGAAAGGCATTTATCCCCAAGGGAGGCAGTTATTTTAGATTTTACTAAGAAGTTCAGCAAATACTTTTCAACATTCCCTTCTGTCCTTTCTTTGTTTTTAAAGAAAGCTCTGATTTTGTTTCATTTTCAGCTGGAGACTTAAATGACACCAAGCAAAGCCTACTTAGTTTAGATCTCCAGGTAAAAAAGTTTTAAATTTTAAGTTTCTACTTAGCATGTGGAATGGTTTTAATATTTGGGTATTTTATTTCACAACTGTTTAACTCTTGAGTAAATTAGCTCGTTACTAATAGATTTTTAAAGTTCAAAGTATGCATTATTCTGTTTGTTTTTTTCACGATGTACTTCCCAAGTATTTCAGACCTTGTATACTTAGTATTAAATTATTTTTATATGTTTAGGTGGAATTATGTGTTCAATAGAAGTATAAATTGGTTTGAAAATATTATTAATTTTTAAGTCCTAAAAGAACATAAATAATTCAAAATATTTTTCATTTTAAATCTGTTGAATGAAGTGAAAATAGATAATAGACATCTCATGACTTCATGTAGAATTTTAAAATTCTAAATTAATATTTTTAAAGTTTACTTAAGATAACTGGTAAGAAATTTTAAATGAAGAAAAATAAGTTAATCAAGGTTTATAAATAATATTTAATGTTGGGATAAACACAGTAAGTGCTAGAAGGAAAAAAATTACTTGATAAAAATGATACTATGATTGGAATCCCAGAAAATTTACCTCTAGGAGGCAAACACTCAATTACGAAGTTGTTTATGAAAGCAAATATTAAGTGCAAAGCAAAATTCTGTATATCAATGAAAATAATGAGGGCCTAAGCATTAATAGTAAAATTAGTATTGAGAGACCATTTCCTAAAATGTATTTAAACACTGTAGTGAGACTGTTTAGATACTGATTTTGTCAAAATTCAAATAGCTCTGTAAGTTTATTTCTGTGCCTATCTATTTAGATTTCTGGGTAAGTAAAAGTGAGTCAATTTGGGGGAAAAAAAGAAAGAGAGGTAGTTTCCAGAATGAGGATACTGGGAGAGAGGGGTGTGCTCAGAATGGCCACAGCTGGCACATTCACACTCCTAAGCACTCAATCAGGCAATGCCCCATAAGTGAGTGCTTTCAGGATGCCTCAGGACAGCAGGATGCCTGAGACCCTCATGAGAGTTTAACTCTAGAGCCTCGAGGTCTAGGCCCTGACTCCTCACAACAGGATGGAAGGTCTGCACATACAATTGTTAATGCAAGAAAATTTCAATGTATACATTTCATGCATTGCAGAGCACTTATGATATCCATCAGAGCACACTTGCCATGCCACTCAGCAAATTCTAGTTTCACTTTGTCTCTCAGTTCAGGTTTTCATATTGCTTTCCCCTGCTGTTGTTGTTATTCCCTTCCAACATACTACTTTGCTCTCTGAATTGACTTTTATGATTTCAGGTGCCAATCAGCTAATGGATTTGGTCCTTCTTTACATGCTGCATGTTAATTTTTCTAAAACTAAAGTAGATTGCAAAAAGTTGTTCAAAAAGTTGTTCCAGTAACCTATGAAATATAGGTCATTTCAATAACCTATAGTAATGGTTTTCAAATGACTGTGGCAATTAATGTATATATACGCTGAAGAAAGGTTTGTATGCTGGCATGAAGATACTTTAGAGACTGCCGTTTGTTGAACAAAGGTGATGTGGCAAGTCAGACTATGAACTAACTAAGTGAAACCTGACTAGAGGAAGATGATTCTGGCAGATGAAGTTATAAAAAGAAGTACTGAGATTCAAGAGGGGAAACTGAGCTGACCTTGTGCCCTCTTCCCCTCTCACCAACTCCCTTGAAATAATACAAGATATATTACAGACAAATAAATGCACGAATATACAGCTACACTAGGAAATAAAAAGGGGAGCTCCTGGTGGGACAGACACTCTGAGGAGTCCTTCACAGACAAAGAGAAGACAGAAATGAATTTAAAGAGGAAAAATGTACCCTTGAACAGTCATGGGAGAAAACAGAGTGAAGAGAGCTTGTATAGGAAAAAAAGAAGTTTTTAGTTTAAAAGATCCCAAGAAGGATACATTAAACAGCAAAAACAACCTATACCAAGGTACATTCCATTCTTTTACCAAGGTAAAACTTCCAAATATCAAAGATATGTTGAAAATTTGAAAAAAATTTCTATAGAAAGAAAAAAAATTTCTTACAAAGGGATGAGAATCAGATTCAAGTCAAATTTCTCATCGGCAACACTAAATATAAGAAATAATGGACAAATATCTATAAGGTATTAAAGAAAAATGATTAGAATGATTTTGAAACCGTAATTCTGTTTCCAATTAAACAATGACATTTTCAGATCTTTAATAAGAGCACAGAATTTTACAACTTACAACATTCTCTGAGAAAAAGAGGATATATTTCTGCAAGAAATAAAAGGAATCTGAGGGAGCTTCTCCTTCTGATAATGGCAGACAAGGCAAGTCAGATCATTAGACCTGCTGAGAATAACTAGAAAGGGTGAGAAAAACAACAGGGCCAATATTTGGGATGGGACTGAAACCCAGAGAGGTTTAGAACAGTTTTTCTTCTAGAAGCATCTGGATTCCAGAAGAGGTGGTTGAGAAGATTAATAGAGTTTTAAAACAGCCTCAGGAGGACAGAGAGAAACAAACAAACAAACAAAATGGAGGCAAGCAAGCAGTGGGGGATGGTAGGAAAAGTGAAGTGGACCCAAAGCATATATATATATATATATATATATATATATTTTTTTTTTTTTTTTTTTTTTTTTTGTTTGAGACCGAGTCTCACTCTATCGCCCAGGCTGGGGTGCAGTGGTGTGATCTCGGCTCACTGCAACCTCCACCTCCCGGGTTCAAGTGATTCTCCTGCCTCAGCTTCCTGAGTATCTGGGACTACACGCGCGTGCCACCACACCCAGCTAATTTTTTTTGTATTTTTAATAGAGACGGGGTTTCACCATATTGGCCAGGCTGGTCTCAAACTCCTGACCTTGTGATCCGCTAGCCTTGGCCTCCCAAAGTGCTGTCATTACAGACTTGAGCCACCGCACCCAGCCCAAAGCATAATTATTAATTCAATATGGTGAAGCCCAGCTTCAAATCACTCAATATTCTATTCATAATGTACTTAACCTTATGCCTGAAACAGACGCAAATTCTCAAGTATTTTCATATACAATATCTGGCACTCCATCAAAGGTCATCAGGTATATGAAGAGACAAAACATGGCTAAAAACCTAAAGAAATAAGAGACAACCGAAATAGACACATAGAGGATCCAGAAAACCTAGTCTTCAGACACAGACTTTAAAACAAATATTTTTAATATGTTTAAAAAAATAAAAGATGAGATTAAAATTTTTAACAAAGAATTGGAAACAAAAAGAACATACTGAAAACCTGAAAACTAGAAAATACAATAAAAGAACAAGGAAGTCAATGGATAGATTTAATAGCAGATAAATCACAGATGAAGAGAGTATCAATGAACTGGAAGATCAGTTCAGAGAATAACCAGGATGAATCACTGAAGAGATAGACAAACAAAAAATACAAATGAGGGGAAAGTGACATTAAAGACACAATGAGAAAGCTGATATGCAAGTACCTGTAGTTATAGAAAGAATGAAAAAAGGGAAAAGAGAATGTACTATTTGTATAGTTAAGGGCTGAGAAGTTTCCAAATGTGATGAATAACATCAGGCCACAAATTCAAGAAGTGCCAAATAGGATAAAAACAAGAAAATTATATCTTTGTATACAGAGTGAAACAGCTGAAAACCAAAGACAATGAGAACATCTTAAAAACAGTGAGAGAAAAAAAATTACTTTTAAAAGTGAAAAAATTAGATTGAGAGATGATTTCTCAAAACAAACAATGGAAAAAAGAAGACATAGAAATTGTATCTTCGAGCCGGGTGTGGTAGTTCGTGCCTGTAGTCCCAGCTACTCGAAAGGTTGAGTCAGGTGGATCGCTTTAGCCTAGGGATTCAAGGCCAGCCCAGGCAACATAGTGAGACCTCATCTCAAAAAAAAAATAAAATAAAAAAAAAAAAACATTAAATAAAAAAAGAAAAAGAAAAGTAGGTGGGAAGAAGGCAACAATAAAATACTGGAAGCTAGGAAGGAAATGAAAGTGTAGGGGGAAAAAATCAACCGTATCTTCACAATGCTGAAAGAAAACACTTGTCAACCCCAGAATGTATATCTAACAAATACATCCTTTCAGGTAAACAAAAATAACTGATCAACACATCTGCACAAAAGGAATTATTAGAAGGTGATCTTCAGTCAAGAAGAAAATAATCCTAATAGAAGAAAGTAGATATAGGAAGGAACGAAGGAAAATGATAAATGTTTAGGTAAACCTAAACAAGTGGTTCTCAATTGAGGGGCGGGTTACATTTGGTAATGCCTGGAAACATTCTTTGGTTGTCACAACTAGGAGGAAGGTACTAATGGCATCTAGTGGGTAGAGGCCACGGATTGCTGATAAATAGCCTATAATATACAGGGCATCTCCCCATAAAAAAAGAATTATCTGGCGCAAAACGTTAATAGTGATGAGGATGAAAAATCTGATCTAAATAAACTTTGACAAAATAAAAATAATCTTTTGAGGGTTTAAAAATACATATATAATTAAAACACAGAACTGAAACAGAATATATACTGGGATAGGGTAAATGGAGTTGAAGTTCATCCTGGTTCTTGTATTGTCCAGGAAGAGGTAAAGGTACTAATTTATATTAAGACTTTGATAAGTCAAGGATGTATGTGGTAATCTCTACAAAGAAAAGAATGGTAAAAAGTGTATAATTACTAATGAAATAATAAAAACCAAGCAACAAGTTAAAAAGAAAGAAAACAGAAAAAGGAACATAGAACATGTAGGACAAATAAAAAGCAAATAGAAAGTATATTTCAATTCAAACATTAAATTTTACATTAAATATAAACAGCCTAAATGTTCCAATTAAAAGACAAAAATTGTTAAACTGCATTAAAAAACTCCACAATATGCCACTAATAGGAAGTATACTGAAAATATAAAAATATAGAAAGACAGCAAAACATATATTTTGCAGACATTAATCAAAAGAAAGCAATTACATGCAGGAGCAGAAAACCAAAGACCACATGTTCTCCCTTATAAGTAAGAGCTAAACATTGGGTACTCATGGGCATAAAGATGGCAACAATAGACATGGGAAGAAGGCAGGGAGAGGAACAAGGATTGGAAAACTGTTGGGTACTATGCTCAGTACCTGGGTGATGGGATCATTCATATCCCAAACTTCAGTACCACATAATATACTCAGTTAACAAACCTGCATACAACCCTCCTGAATCTAAAAAGTCAAAAAAGAAAAAAAATGCAACTACATTAATATTAGACAAAGTAGATCTTATAGCAAAAGCACTCCCGGAGACACTGAAAGTATCCACCTAATGATAAATGCACCAGAAAGATATAACGACTAAATTTGTACATACCTACAATCATTAGGACAAACAAGGCAAATTATTAGGACAATTTGAACAAATAGGTTAATAGTATTAAAGTCTTTAAAATCCTTATTGATATTCTGTCTACTAATTAAAAAATATTAATTACTTTTTATTGGCATAAAATGACTACTAATTTTTTAACAGACTTTTTTTCAAAGCAGTTTTAGATTCAGAGCAAACTGAGTGGAAAGTACAGAGTTCTCATATGTGCTTTTCCCCTACTATCAAAATCTCACACCATGGATAAATCTATGCTGACATATCATTATCACCCAATGTCCATAGTTTACATTAGGGTTCACTCTTGTTACTCTGTATTCTTGGGTTTTGACAAATTTTTAATGACATGTACCCACCTTTATAGTACTGTCGTCCCTTGGTACCCTTGGGGGACTGGTTCCAGGATCCCTCAAGGACACCAAAATCTGAGGCTGCTCAAGTTCCTTATATAAAATGGTGTAGTATTTGCATATAATACACATATCCTCCTGTATACTTTAAATAATCTCTAGATTACTTACACCTAATACACTGTATAGGCTATGTAAGTAGTTGTTATACTGTATCATTTAGGGGACAATGACAAGAAAAAAAAGTCTGCATATGTTCAGCACAAAAGCTACATAGGCCAAACTACATTTTTCGCTCATGGTTGGTTGAATCCACAGATGCAGAACCTGTGATATAAAGGGCTGACTATACTGTATCAGAAGAGTTTCACTGCCCTAAGAATCCTCTGTGTTCCACCTATTCATCCCTCTCCGCCCCAAATTCACTATTCTTTTATAGCTTGCATAGTTTTGCCCTTTCTAGAATGTCATAGAGTTGAAATCATACATATGCCATCTCAGGTTGGCTTATTTCATTTAGTTATATATTATATGCATTTAAGGTTCTTCCATGTATTTTCATGGCTTGATGGCTCATTTCTTTTTGGTGTTGAATAATATTCCATTGTCTGAATATACCATAGTTTTTTTTCCATTCACCTATTGAAGAACATGTTGGTTGCTTCTAAGTTTTGGCAATTATGAATAAAGCTCCTATACATATCTGCGTGCAGGTTTTTGTGTGGACATAGATTTTCATCTTATTTGGGTAAATACCAAGGGGCACGATTGCTGGGTTGTATGGCAACAGTATGTTAAGTTTTAAAAGAAACTGCCAAAGTGTCTTCCAAAGTGGCTGTACCATTTTGCATTCCCACCAGCACCGAATGAGACTTACAGTTGCTCCACACACTCACCAGCACTGGGTGTTGTCAGTGTTTTGGGTTTTAGACATTTGGTAGGTATGTAGAGGCATCTCATTTTAATTTGTAATCTGTCTACTATTTTTGAAACTAATATTTAGGATTGAAGTGTTGAAATTTTGGATGACAATTGTGGATTTGTCTATTTCTTTTTGCAGTTTTTGAAAACAAGTTTACCAATTATTTTTGGTAATGTCTAATCTGCTATTCATCCCTTGTCATGTATTTTTTCTCTCTCACATTGTAGTTTTCATCTTTAAAAGTTTGATTTGGGTTTTTAAAAATATCTTCTATGTTTCTACATTACATGGTTAATCCTTCTTCTCACTTCTTGAACATATAGAATATAGGTATAATGATTTTTAAACACCTACTTTATTAGTATATCAGCACTGTCATTTCTGAACTGGTTTCAATAAACTGATTTTTCCCATTATGGGTCAACTTTTCCTGTTTCTTTGTGTACCTGGTAAATTTACATTGGATCCTAAAACATTTGTTGGGTTATCTGAGACACTGTCAAGTTATTGTACGCAGTTTAATTCTTTCAGAAAGGCTTGCTTTTAAGCTTTATTAAATGGGATCACAGCAGCCTTTAGCCTAGGGCTAATTATTTTCCTCTACTGAGCTAATGCTCTTCTGAGTACTCTACCAGATGCCCTGTGAATTGTAAGGTTTTCCACTCTGACTGGTGGAACACAAACTCTTCCTGGTCTTTTTTAAGCTCCAGAGACCTGTTTTTTTTGTTTTGTTTTGCTTTGTTTTCCCCTTTGTCCTTTAGGTTAGTTCTTTTCCCAGTCTCAAGTATTAATAGTTTACTTACATACATGTGCTATCCAGTACTCAGTGGAAGACTTCACATCTCTGGAAGGGTTCCTCTGGGCTAGCTCTCACCTCTCTGTACTCTGCCCTAGGAACACTAGTCTCTTTGGTGTCCTCAGATTTCCAGCTGTATCTTTTCAACTTATGGAGACTGCTGGACTCTGCCTGTGTTCCCCTCACTGCAACTCCCTTGAGGGAGTAAGCAGGTCAATCACAGGTCTCTCCGGGCATTTGATTTGCATCCCCTTTCAGGGATCACTGGCCTGGACTGCTCTTTGTTTAATGTTTGGAAAATGCTTCAGATATATGTTGCTCTATTTTTAAGTTGTTTCAGGTGGGAAGGTATACGTAGTCCCTATTACTCCATGTTGGCTGGGAGTCAGATTTGATAAGTTTTGTCATAATACTGGTGTAATGGCTGAATGATTCTCTAGGAAGCGACCATGATGTAACTTCACAGACTCTCCAAAAGTCTGAAGTTACATCATGGTCGCTTCCTAGAGTATCATTCTACTTCATGGAGCCACTCTGGTTACTAGTTGTCAAACTAGTAGGAATGTTGTTATGGCAATACAGGGAAGGTGATCTCCACAAAACCATGCTCATTTTCTTGGCCTTCAGGTGATATACTGTATGCAGAATGTAAAAAATAGGTCAGTTAGTGACATCTGTACTTAGGCCAAGGACCCAGGATGGCAGCCATATGTTTGCTACTACCATTGTAGGTTTCTACTAAGAAACAATCACAATATTTGCCAAGACTTAGCACTGATCACCCTGCATTTCCTAAACATTTGGGTGGTAGACACTGTGGCTTGAGGAAGGCATTCATTACCCTGAGCTCATGCTCATGGTTTTCAGTTTAGATACCCTTGGAATTTCCCACAGCTTGTCTTAGGTTGTGAAGCAGACTTCTAAGAATCTGGATATCAACAAATTACAGTCATATGTCACTTAGCGACAAGGATACATTCTGAGAAATGTGATGTTACATGATTTTGTTGTCATACATCATAAAGTGTACTTACACGAACCTAGATGGGACAACCTACTATACACCTAGGCTATATGGTAGAGCCTATTGCTCCTAGGCTACAAACCTGTACAGCCCATGACTGTACTGAAAACTGTAGGCAACTGGAACAGAATGGTATTTGTGTATCTAAACATATCTAAAGCCAGGTGTGGGGGCTCATGCCTGTAATCCTAGCACTTTGTGAGGCTGAGGTGGGTGAATCACTTGAGCTCAGGAGTTTGAGACCTGCCTGGGCAACATAGTGAAATCCTGTCTCTACAAAAAAAATATAAAAATCAGCTGGGCATGGTGGCACGGGTCTGTAGTCCCAGCTACTCGGGAGGCTGAGGTGTGAGATTGGCTCGAGCCCAGGAAGCGGAGGTTGCAGTGAGCTGAGATGGTGCCACTGCACTCCAGCCTGGGTGGCAGAGCCAGACCCTGTCTCTAAATAAATAAATAAATAAATAATAAACATATCTACACATAGGAAAGGTATGGTAAGAATATGGTCTAAAATAATTTAAAAAATGGTACACTATCTAGGGTACTTACCATGAATGGAGCTTGGAAGACTGGAAGTCACTCCGGTGAGTCAGTGAGTGAGTGTGAAGGCCTAGGACATTACTATACACTACTGTAAATTTTATAAACACTGTACACTAAGAGTCTACTAAATTTATAAAAAAGTTTTTTTATTTCTTCAATAATGAATTAACCTTAGCTTACTGTAATTTAACTTTATATACTTTTTATTTTTTAAAAAATTTTGACTCTTTTGTAATAGCATTCCTCTTTTTTTTCTTTGTCTAAAGGCTTCTTGATTTTTTTAATCGTTTCAGAAAACTTTTCATTTCATTCCTCTTTTCTATAGTTTTTTTGGTTTCTATTCTGATCTTTATTATTTCTTTTTTTCCACTAATTTTGGGTTTGGTTTGCTGTTGCTTTTCTAGTTCTTTACGATGTATTATTAGGTTGTTTATATGAAGTTTTTCTACTTGTTGATGTAGGTGTTTATTGCTGTAAACTTCCCTCTTAGTACTGCTTTTGCTGTATCCCATAGGTTTTGGTGTGCTGTGTTTTCATCTTCATTTGTTTCAAGAATTTAAAAAAATTCCTTCTTAATAACACTTGGCTTAAAACACAAATACATTGTACAGTTGTACAAAAATATTTTCTTTCTTTATAGCGTAATTTTGTAAGCTTTTTTCTATTTTTATTTTTTAACTTTTCAAACATTTTTGTTAAAAACTGAGACAAACACGCATTAGCCTAGGCCTTCATTGGGTCTGGATCATCAATATCACTGTCTTCCCCCTCCATATCTTGTCCCACTGGAAGGTCTTCATGGGTAATAACACTCATGATAAGAATGCCTTCTTCTGAAATACCTCCTGAAGGAACCACCTCAGGCTGTTGCGCAGTTAATGTTTGTTTAAATAGATAGAAGGCATGTACTCTAAAACAATGATAAAAAGTATAGTATAGTAAATACATAAACCAGTAATATAGTTGTATATGAAAGTATTATGTACTGTACTGTACATAATTGTATGTGCTTTTTTTTTTTTTTTTTTTTTTGGAGATAGAGTCTCTCTGCACTCTGGGCATGGTGGTGCATACCTGTAGTCCTAGCTACTCAGTGCAACCTCCGCCTCCCGGGTTTAAGCGATTCTTCTGTCTCAGCCTCCCGAGTTGCTGGGATTACAGGCGTGCACCACCACACACAGCTAATTTTATATTTTTAGTAGAGATGGGGTTTCACCATGTTGGGCAGGCTGGTCTCGAACTCCTGACCTCAGGTGATCCACCCACCTTGGCCTCCCAAAGTGCTGGGATTATAGGCTTGAGCCACCGCGCCCAGCCTGTGCTGTATTTTTATATGACTGGAAGTGCAGTAGGTTTGTTTATACCAGCATCACCACAAACATTATGAGTAATGCGTTATGCTATGATGCTGTGACGTCTCTAGGCAATAAGAGATTTTCAGCTCCATTATAATTTTATGGGACCATCATGGTATATGCAATTTGTCACTGACAAAAAAGTCATTATGTGGTACATGACTGTACTTTCTTTGGTCAAATGGTCAGACAGAAAGATTGAGTCAAATGCTTGCAGGGTCTTTCAGGTTTTTTCTTTTCTTTTTTTTTTTTTGAGACAGAGTCTCGCTCTGTTACCCAGGCTGGAGTACAGTGCTGCAATCATTGCTCACTGCAACCTTGAACTTCTGGGCTCAAGTGAGCCTCCTGCCTCAGCCTCCTGAGTAGCTAGGACTACAGGTATGCACCACCATGCCCAGCTAATTTTTTATGTTTTAGTTGAGACAAGGTCTTGCTATGTTCCTTACTCTGGTCTTAAACTCCTGGCCTCAAGCAATCCTCCCACCTTGGTTTCGGCCTCCTATAGGGCTGGGATTACAGGCATGAGCCACAGTGCCTGGCCTCTCAGGTATTTTCTGAGGTTCCAACAAGATGACTGGGTTAGCAGTCTATGGCCACTTATCCCTTAATCCTTCAATGCCTCTCCTTTGCAGTTTAGGGTATTCATCTCTGTATGTAACATCACCTTGAATGTTTTACCATTCCTTCCTATCATAGATTTGTTCTGGTTGGCAAAGGAGACCAAGGTATGCCTGTGAGAATTGAAATAAATTTCATCACTGAGCAAGTTAGTTACTTTAACCTTCTAGAATCACCAAATACCTTAAATTCCCATTAAAAAGATAACAGCGGCAAATCTGTTGTGATCTGGGTTCTTATGATCCCTGGGGTTTTAGTTTCTCCTCCATACTGGCTGTGTAAGGAAGGCTTTTCATCTCAGGAAACACTGACAGTGAGTGGACCTGAGGCAAGAGCAGGAGGAAAGCTGCAAGGGGTATAGGTGTGTGTATGTGAGTATGTGTGTGTTTCTCAGCTGTAGAATTCTGAGAGGCAGTCAAAACTGCCAACCTTCCTTTGTAGGACTAACTTTAGGCCAAGAGAGATTGGCTGAGTGAATCCTTTGATGACAGCTGCTGCAACACCTTGATGGAGGTTTCTCTTGTCCCTGGCCACCAGACTTCACAGGGATTGCGCCAGTCTGTCTGACCATAATGCTACTACTGTACCAAGAGTGCCTAAATATTCATTTCTTAAATGTTTTTCAGCTTTACCATGTGCAAGGCCCTATACTAACCCTGAGACCAGCTAATTAAAGAGTTACTCTTCCTGACTCTTACCTCCTTATAACTGATGCTATTGACTGTTATTTTTATATGGCACCATCACGCCCTTCCCCCCAGACAATTATAAAGCTAGAGAATAAAAGCACAAAACAGAAAACGGCTGGGAAAATGGGTTGTGGATTACATCAGTCACAGAACGTCTTAGCAAACAGGTGGAGAGAAATCTCCCAAGTAATCTTTGAAAACCTGCAGAACAGTAGGGCCCAGAGAGGGGGCCATGTCTGATCCACCACCTTTACTGGTAATGAGTTTCCCTGGAACACATCCATGCTCATTTGTTTACAAATTGTTGTTGGGGAAAAGGCTTATGGAGTGCCTGCATAAACTGGCCATAAAAATATGGGACAATAAGTTGTGGAAAGCCACAAGAGGTCTCTGAGGAGGAAAGCCTTCTTATCGCCGTTATGTTCCCATGCTCTGAGTGCAACCTGCTCTCTTATCTATAAACACTGTGCTCAAGGAGAAAGACACTCCTCTGAAACACTGAAATGTGGACAGACGTACAGGCTCCTAGTTAAGCCCGCTCCTACTAGCTACTCTCCAATAAGTTAAAGATATGCTGTTTAAGCACAAAGGAGATTCATTTAAACCGCTACTGCTATAGATTACGCCTATGACATGCTGCCTCCCTTTCACTGTTTCGCCCTAAACATCTGCTTCTTAGATCTAAGTGATTGTACTCAATAAATCGTGTGGAGACCAGAACTCTGGGCCTTTTGCAGCCTCCATTGTGCAACTGGCCCCCTGGCTCCCATCTTTATGAACTCTTAACCTGTCTCTTCTCTTCCTTTGTTGCCACAGGGCTTTGGGTACCCTATGGGTGGTGTTGAGGCTGGTCCCCAACATATTGTCTATGGCTGCTTTCATGCTACAATGACAGAGCTGAATAGGTATGACAGAGAAGGTGTAGCCTATGACGCCTCAAATATTTACTATCTGGCCCTTTATAGAAAAAGGTTTCTAATTCCTGGTCTAAAGATAAAGGTAAGATACAAAAAAGTTCTGAACAGGCATGGTGACTCATGCTGTAATCCCAGCACTTTGGGAGGCCAATGCAGGAGGACTGCTTGAGCCCAGGAGTTCAAGGCTGCAGTGAGTCATGACTGAACCACTGCACTCCAGCCTGGGCGATGGAGCAAGACCCCATCTCTATTTAAAAAAAAAAAAAAGTTTTTTGATTCTGATAGAAGAATTCCAAATTATGATTTGGCAATAATACTATAGCATATAGTCCATATATCATAAGTGTAATTTCTCAAAGACTTGCCTACTGAGGCATACAAGCAAATATATAAGCCAATTTTCAGAAGTAAAAATTTAGTCACCACTAACTTTGAAATATTGTTTCATTCTAGAAATTGGCTGGTGGAAAAAAATCAAACATGAAGATTGCAGTTTTGTTTTGTTTTTTTCTGCTTATCATTTTTCAAACTGACTTTGGAAAAAATGAAGAAATTCCTAGGAAGCAAAGGAGGAAGATCTACCACAGAAGGTTGAGGAAAAGTTCAACCTCACACAAGCACAGATCAAACAGACAGCTTGGAATTCAGCAAACAACAGTTTTTACACCAGTAGCAAGACTTCCTATTGTTAACTTTGATTATAGCATGGAGGAAAAGTTTGAATCCTTTTCAAGTTTTCCTGGAGTAGAATCAAGTTATAATGTGTTACCAGGTAAGAGAACACTATGAGAGAGAGACAGAAAGAGGGAGGAGGGTGAGAGATGGTATGGGGAAAGAGAAGGAGAGAGGGAGAGAGGGAGAACATCTCCATGAAGATAATTTTCTAAAGAAAAATCCAGGTTATTATATTACTTTTTGGTTTAATCTACAAACATACATTTTAAAATAATTTAAAAAATAGGGCCAGGCGCGGTGGCTCACACCTGTAATCCCAGCACTTTGGGAGGCAGAGGTGGGCAGATCACGAGGTCAGGAGTTTAAGACCAGCCTGGCCAACATGTTGAAACCCCGTCTCTACTAAAAATACAAAAAATTAGCCGGGTGTGGTGGCATGTACCTGTAATCCCAGCTACTCGGGAGGCTGAGGCAGGAGAATCACTTGAACCTGGGAGGTGGAGGTTGCAGTGAGCAGAGATCACACCACTGCACTCCAGCCTGGGCGACAGAGCAAGACTCCGTCTCGAGATTAAAAACAAAACAAAACAAAACAAAACAAAACAACCCCCAAAAAACCAAAAACAACTTAAGGAACACATTTATAATTATTAGACAAAAATTACTTATCCTACCACTATATTTACAAAATCATAGTTATCATTTTGGTTTCTTTCCAGTATGTTTACTATGCATATATTTTAAATAGTTGTAATCCTAACATAGATAATATACATAAACATTTATAAACTACCTTTCCATTTATAACAATAGATCATCTAGAATACAGAAATAAATTATTCAGATGATTCTGTGAACATATGGCTATTACATATTTTCAACCAAAAATTTTCAACCACAAATAGAATTAAAGCCACTGAATTGATTTTATATAGGTTAAACCACTGACTTTTTAAAGATTTAAAAGACTAAAAATTCTGCTAAAGATTTCAATTAGGCATTTTTAAAAACGTATTAAATGGTTTACATTTTTCCAAATTTGGAAGGAAAAAGTATATTATAGACATGTTACCACTAAATAAAACTTTCAAAAGAATAACAGAAAATATCACCATATAATGTTCTGTGGCCAGTATTTCATATATTGTCTCAATACAGCTAAATGCTTCTTCGTTAATTATTTCCATGTATTTAACAGAAATAATATACAATTATCCTGAAAATAGGCAATTTAGGCCACACTTACAACATGATTGGGAAAAGAAAGGAAGAGAAATCAACTTAAAAACATTGTAATAATAATGTACTCATAACTGCTAAAGAAAGATGAGGTCAATTTTTTTAGTTAAGTGGAAAGATGGCTAAGCTATAATAATGGAAAACAAAAAGGCTGAAAAAGAAGTATTCATAATGTGATCTCAAACTTGTTTAAAAAAAAGTTTTTATATGTACTAAAGGGTGGTATGCATAAAAGTACAGAAGATATATACTAAGTATTTCCAAGTTGTCCGAAAATATTTTCCAGTGATCTTACAGTACTTTTTGATTGTATCACCACACATAACACAAAATTTACCATTTCATCCATTTTAAAGTGTACAATTCAATAGCATTTAGTACATTCACAGTATTGTGCAACCATCACCACTATCTTGTTTCTGCACATTTTCGTCCCACCAAAAGGAAACTCTGTACCTAAACTCCCCATTTCTCCCCACTCCCAGCCCTTGGCAACCACTAATCTGTTCTGTCTCTATGAATTTGCCTATTCTGGAAATTTCATGTAAATGGAATCACATAATATGTGGCCTTGTGTATTTGACTTCTTTACTTAGTATAATGTTTTTAAAGTTCATCTATTATTAGCCTGTATCAGAACTTCATTCCTTTTTATGGCTGAATAATATTCCATTGTATGGCTATACCATATTTGTTTATCCATATTGTCTACCAGTTGATGAACATCTGGGCTGTTTCCACCTTTTGGCTATCATGAATAACACAGCTATGAACATTAATATAAGTTTTCTTTCAACACCTATTTTCAATTCTTTTGGGTATATACTTAGGAGGGGAACTGTTGGGCCATTTGGTAATTCTATATTTAATTTATTGATGAACTGCCAAATGTTTTCCAAAGTGGCTATGCTGTTATATGCCCACCAGCAATGGAAGAGGACTCCAGTTTCTCTACATTCCTGCCAACAATTGTTATTTATTTTTAATTATAGCTGTTCTTGTATGAAGTGGTATCTCATTGTGCTTTTGATTTGCATTTCCCTAACAACTAATGATGTTAAGCATCTTTTTATGTGCATGTTGTCTATCTGCATATCTTCCTTGGAGAAATATCTATTCAACCCCTATGCCTATTTCTTTCTTTTTTTAAGAGATGGGGTCTTGCTCTGCTGTCCAGGCTGGAATACGGTGGTACAATCATAGCTCACTGCAGTCTTGAACTCCTGGGCTTCAGTGATCCTCTGCCTCAGCCTCCCAAGTAGCTGGGACTACAAGAATGCACCACCACACCTGGCTAACTTTTTAACTTTTTCTGTAGAGACAGCATCCCATTATGTTGTCCAAGCCGTTCTCAAATTCCTGGCCTCAAGAAATCTTCCCTCCTTGGCCTCCCAAAGTGCTGGAATTACAAGCGAGAGCCACTGTATTGGGCAAGTTTTGCCCATTTTTTTATTGCATTGCCTTTCTGTAGTTGAGTTGTAAGAGTTCTTTATGAATATTCTGGATATCAGGACCTTATCAGATATATGATTTCACATATTCTCTCCCATTGTGTACACCATCCTTTCACTTTCTTAACAATGTCCTTTGATGCAACAAATTTTTAATTTTGATAAAGTCTAATTTATCTTTTACTTTAGGTGTCACATCTAAGAATCCACTGCCAAATATGAGGTCATAAAGATTTTCCCCTATGGATTTTTCTAAGAGTGTTGTAGTCTTAGCTCTTATATTTACAGCAAAGGTCTAAATATAAGATATATTAGGTCTTTGATCCATTTTGAGCTAATGTTTGTATTTGGTGAAAGGTAGGGATTCAGCTTCATTCTCTTGCTGGTGTTGTCCCAGCACTAGTTGTTGAAGATTGTTCTTTCCTCCACTGAATGGTCTTGACACCCTTCTTGAAAATCAATTGTTCATAAATGTATGTCTGACTTTCAGTGTTCCATTGGCCTATACGTCTATGCTTATACTAGTATCACACTGACAAAAGCTGATTATCATATCTTTATAGTGAGCTTTTTGAAATCTGAAAGTGTGAGATCTCCAACTTTGTTCTTTTTTCTCAAGATTGCTTTGGTTATGTGGGATCAACTTTTCCATTTGAATTTAAGGATCAGCTTTTCCATTTCTGCAAAAAAAGGCCATGGAAATTTTGATAGAGTGTAGTGCTTTTGATAACCTGGAAGAAACTCATATGTGTATTTTTGTTCAGAGGAGGAATTGGGTAGGTGGGATTAGCCTATTGCAAGTATTCGAATGAGAGATGGGTAGGGCCTGAATTGGGCTGAGTTAGTGGTCGGGGAAAGGAGGGGACTAATGTGAGAGGCTCATTTGGGGGTGGAACTTGGGGACAGTGGCTCAGATGGAGGAAAGTTATCTGGAATGACACCAGGGTTGGAAGAAAAACATCCCCTCTAATATTCTCCTCAGCTTTCTAATGGCCTGCTTAGCTGATACACTTATCCACATATCTACAATCTTGTATGTAGGGAAATGAATATATGCACTGCATCATGAACTTTATTTGTTTATTTATTTATTTAGGGACAGTCTTGCTCTGTCATCCAGACTGGAGTACAGTGGAACGATCTTGGCTCACTGCAACCTCCACCTCCTGGGTTCAAGCGATTCTTATGCCTCAGCTTTCTGAGTAGCTGGGACTTCAGGCATGTGCCACCATACTCGGCTAATTTTTGTATTTTTAGAGGAGATGGGGTTTCACCATGTTGCCCAGGCTGGTCTCAAACTCTTGGTCTCAAGTGACCTCAGACTCCCAAAGTGCTGGGATTACAGGCATGAGCCACCGTGCCCAGACAGTATTATACACTTCAAAAGGGTGAATATTATAGTATGTGAATCATATTTCAATAGCATAATAAACCATAAAAGACATAGCTCAGTGTCTCATTGAGAAGCACCACGGAAGCATGCTGTCTGGTTTCACCTATTCCCATGTGCATATCAAGGGTGGGCTGTGAGCTCATCATTAGTGCTAGCTCAGCTCTCTGGTCACATGAGGGAACTGGATTGGCTGGCGGCTTGGGAAGTCTGGTGTGGCCATACGATTTGCTTTGGTCAGTATAATTAGACACTTTAAGAGCTCATGTGTGATTTGTAACCTCACATTTCCACTACCGCAGTGATCAGGACAGCCTGCTTATAGATGAATCCTGAGTGAATATGATGAGCTGAGCCCCTGTGTCCCCACATTAGACACAAAGTATAAATGAAAAATAACTGAGATTTGGGGATTGTTTGTTGATGTTGTATAATTTAATCTATCCTGATGGATACAAAATGGAAGCGCAGTTCAGCCCCAAGTTACCATGAGGAGTTCACTCTTAGAGCCTACGTGAAAGGGCTGAGAGGAGAGCCTGTGAAAAGCATTTCAGCATTTCTTATGTCTATACGACATCTTTACCCTATACATGAATGCACATAGAATTCTATTCTTGTGTGGTTAGAGCAGTTTGACTTCACATTGTGTTTACTTCCATTCACAGTTACTGATAATCACATAAGAAATTTAAATTTGTGCTTTTGTTTTCTTCTAGGAAAGAAGGGACACTGTTTGGTAAAGGGCATAACCATGTACAACAAAGCTGTGTGGTCGCCTGAGCCCTGCACTACCTGCCTCTGCTCAGATGGAAGAGTTCTTTGTGATGAAACCATGTGCCATCCCCAGAGGTGCCCCCAAACAGTTATACCTGAAGGGGAATGCTGCCCGGTCTGCTCCGCTACTGGTACAGAGATTTAGCTAAGCAAAATATCAGTGTGTGATTAATCTTTAACTTCCATTTGTTTTTGTTACTAATTTTAGATTAAAATTATGATACATTAGTCAGATCTGAGTACTTAAAATATTGGCAAAATGCTGATTAACATAGAAAATATCTGGGAAAATGTATGGTAGGGGATATAAATAATAGACTGTGGCTTTATAGTTCTAGCTCTATCAGATTCAGTAAACTTGGATGAGATTACATTCCACATTTGACTCTCAGCTTTAGAGATATGGTAACAGAATTTCTACAACAGATCCTGAATTCTTATTGCATTAAGGGCTCTGCTTTGGTCTATATGTGCATTATCCCACTTAATCCAGTGCAACGTGCCTTTATCATCTTGAAGCCAGGGTAAACAAAGGAAGAGTGATTTGCATCTAAAGAGAACAAAGCCCCAACCCTCTGGCTATACCCAACCACTCAAAGGCAGCACAGGAACCCACATCACTGCTTGGATAATCCCAGGAAAATGCAGAAAAAGTGTAGCCTGAAGCATGATTTTCTCATGTGGCACTTCTGTGTGCAGGAGATCACAGCGCGGGTTTTGTTGGCTGCTCATGGACCCCTTCTCCAATGAGGCTCATACCTGACTGAATGAAGGACCCTTGGGAGGGAGGCCCAGTCTCCTCTGAGAAAAGCCTAACCAACACCTTATGAAAATAAGCAAATAAATACTTGTTAAATAATTGGCTGGGAAGGGATAGGGACATCTTCTCTTGTCTATAACCAAGGTAGATTGCTCCCATGCACACAGATGATCACAGGGTAGGTGTCTACAAAAGTCTCCTTGCCAGGAAAAACTTTTGACTATTTAGAAATTGTGTTTTGCGTTATACTACCAAATATTTCACTAATATTTAAAAAGAGTTAGGAAAAAAGTGTTCAATGAAATGGATTCCTTGGAGTGAAATAAATACAAGGTTTACAAAGTAAGAGTCACAAATTCTCAGAAATTTTTTCAGAAGACTTGGAGTATTCTTGAAATGTAGTTATTTTGGAAAAATAAACTTGGATATACAGGAAGGATTTTAAATGTTTCAATATGATAGCTTTAGTTTCCTTTTACTAACTTTTTCCTATTCTTCTGCATGTTTTGCTAGAGATGTGAAAAAATAATTCACAGACTTTATAATACATACTGAATTGATATCTCAAGTAATTTCTCCAAATAATTATATTTCCTGAGTTCTTTTTGGGAGTAGTTTATATATAGTGTTAAATAAAAGTAGGCAGATGATTAAGTAAATTTTTAAATCTTGATGGAAGAAAACGTATGCACTCTGGCTGGGCACGGTAGCTCACACCTGTAATCCCAGCACTTTGGGAGGCTGAGGCGGGAGGATCACAAGGTCAGGTGTTCGAGACCAGCCTGGTCAACATGGTGAAACCCCATCTCTACTAAAAATACAAAAATTAGCCTGGCATGGTGGTGGGGTGCCTGTAATCCCAGCTACTTGGGAGGCTGAGGCAGGAGAATCGCTTGAACCCGGGAGGCGGAGGGTGCAGTGAGCCGAGATCATGCCACTGCATTCCAGCCTGGGCGACAGAGCAAGACTCCGTCTCGGGGGGGGGAAAAAAAAGTATGCACTGTGAAATCAGTTCTTCCTAGAACTGTTTACCCAGAGAGTGAATTTGAATCTAGTCTTTGTCATGTCTTCCCCACTTTCTGCCAAAGACTTAACAGCTAAATATAAATGTAGATTAACTGTCTACTATCATCTATTCTACTCCCACCATCATGGAAGGATAAACAGCACTCCTGGGCATATGTCTAAGTTAAAGCAACATCACTTAAGTCCAGAATGTCATTTGTAAGTCTCAGGTAGTAAAGATGATTTAAGTATAGAGTCTGGGACAGAGAAGGAGGAAAACTCTCTCTCTATAATTCTGAATTTCAGAGGATGATGTTATGATGCCATGGACAAAAATAATGACAAATCTATAAGCAAAAGTTGGTTTCACTGCTATAAGCAAGTAAAATATACACCTGTTTCACTTTTCTAATGTCTGGTAAACAGTCTGCAAATTCTCACATTAGCAATAGCCCCAGTGAACAGAACAGTATCTATTATAAAGGTATCACAACTGATTATAACACAATCTCACAACAGGATTGCTTACCATTTTGCCTCATGTGGCAATATTATTCCCTCCTTAGTCACCAGGTATCATGATATGTTAGCAAAAATAAGCATTAAGTTATTTAATATAAAAATTAGTATTAAGGCCCACAGGTGAATAAAATGTAACAGATATTACAAAATAGAAATAAAGTGACTATTAAAACTTTTTAAGCAAGAATTTCAAGGTGCATTTCATCTTTAAATTGCACTCAAATACTTGGAGGGAATAATATTTACTAACCTCATTTTCATTATGGTTTTTTCTTTTATTAATATCATCAACTTATCTCTGCTACCTCATCCTTGCGTGGTCATTAGTCTCCTATTCTCTACTCAGTGGTATAGCATTAAATGATAGAAATGAATTTTCTGGTGATTCTTCAGAACAAAGAGAACCTACCAATTTACTTCATAAGCAACTGCCACCTCCTCAGGTGGGAATGGACCGAATAGTAAGAAAAGAAGCACTTCAATCTGAGGAGGATGAAGAAGTGAAAGAAGAAGATACAGAGCAAAAGAGAGAGACCCCTGAATCTAGAAATCAGGGGCAACTTTACAGTGAGGGGGACAGCAGAGGAGGAGACAGAAAGCAGAGGCCTGGAGAGGAGAGGAGGCTGGCACACCAGCAACAACGCCAAGGAAGGGAGGAGGAGGAGGATGAGGAGGAGGAGGGTGAGGAGGGTGAGGAGGATGAGGAGGACGAGGAGGACCCGGTAAGAGGAGATATGTTCCGAATGCCCTCTCGATCCCCGCTTCCTGCTCCTCCCAGAGGCACACTGCGCCTGCCAAGCGGGTGCTCTCTGTCCTACAGGACCATCAGCTGCATCAACGCCATGCTTACCCAGATACCACCGCTGACAGCACCACAGATAACAAGTCTGGAGCTCACTGGTAAGAGATGTTGACTTCTGCTTTATTTTGTGCTTTAAAAGTAAATGACTCTTAGCAGCTGGGCACGGTGGCTCACGCCTATAATCTCAGCACTTTGAAAGGCTGAGGTGGCCAGATCACCTGAGGTCAGGGGTTTGAGACCAGCCTGGACAATATGGTGAAACCCCATCTCTACCAAAAATACAAAAATTAGCCGGGCGTGGTGGGGCATGCCTGTAATCCCAGCTACTCAGAAGGCCGAGGCAGGAGAATCGTTTGAATCCAGGAGGCGGAGGTTGCAGTGAGCTGAGATTGAGCCACTGTTCTCTAGCCTGGGCACTTGAGCGAGACTCCATCTCAAAAAAAAAAAAAAAAAAGTAAATGACTCTAAGCCACATGCAGTTGTATACACTTGTAGTCCCAGCTACTCAGGAGGCTGAGGTGGGGGAATGGCTTCAGCCCAGTAGTTTCAGACTAGTCTAGGCAACAGAGCGAGATCCTGTCTCTTAAAAAAAAAAAAAAAAAAAGTGAACGATTCTCATTGCTCTGTGAAGACTGTATTTTAATTTCATCCTAAAAATTGATCCTGAATAGACTAATTTCATAATCTTCAAATATATAAACTTTGCAGAAGAGATAGCTGTTTACTGCAGAATAGCAGTTAGGTATAAAGCAAACTCCTCCAAATCAAATGATGATTTCCTACTGATGTTTCTTAAAAATCAGCTTTAATGAGGTATAATTTATATGTAGTAAAACTTATTTTTAGTATATAGTTCTGAGTTTTGACAAATGCACATAGTCATGTAACCACCACCAAAATTAAGATATAGGACATTCTATCACTCCCCAAAATTCCTTGTTTCCCCCTCCACCAGTCACTGGCCACCACAGAACACTGATCTGTTTTCTGTCTCTACAGTTTTGCCTTTTCCAGAGTGTCACATAAGTGGAATCATACAATACATAGCCCTTTCAGACTGGCTTCTAATGTTTTTGAAAGCCACCCATTTTGTTTTGTGTATCAGTAGTTCATTCCTCTCTTCTGCCAAGTAGTGTTCCATCATGTGGATGGGGCAGGGTTTCCTATCAGTTAAACGTCATCTGAGTTGTTTCCAGTTTGGGGTGATTATGTATAAAGTTGCTATAAATATCCACGTACAGATGTTTGTGTGGACCTAAGTGTTCATTTCTCTAGGGCAATGCCCAGGAGTGGGACTGCGGATATGGTAAATACATGTTTAAGTTTATAAGAAAATGCCCCACAGTTCTCTAAAGTGGCTGTTCCTTTCCCACCTGCATGCTGGGGAGCTCCTGCCTCTCTGCAGCCTGCCCGCACTTGGTACTGTCAGTTGTTTTCTCCCTTCCTTTTTGACATTCTAGAGGGAATGTGGTCATCTAGACCTTCTGCCCATGTTTCCATAGGACCACCAGGGAGGGCTCTGAGTGGAACAACAGCAGGACCAGGTGTGAGAGGCTGGCTGGTGGGGACACTTTGGGTGCTGGGAGCAGCAGGAGCATTCGTCTGGGTAATGAGGCCCCCATGCCACGGGTGTCCCTGGAGATGCTGGGGTGAGGGAAGCTGAAAAGGTCAACACATTTGTGCAGAGATGGCCATCTGTGACAGCACACTGCCAGTGTCAAACATAATAGAAGCTTCCATGGCCTCTCTGACAAAGGATTTCATCCTACTTTCATATGATCACCTAAGGAACTCCTCTCATGCTCAGGAAAGTCCCTTCCTCCTGTGGCCTATACACCAGGTATGCTCTGCCCTAAGAAAACCCCATTTGTGAAAGTCTAAAGCCTTGGAAAAGATAAATGACCCATGCTGAGCTACACTGTTATGGTTTTATAAGAAGGTCACCACGTGGCTTTTATGGTATGTACTACTGGTATGCTCACTTTCCGGGTTTAAAAATTGACTACTGAACTTAACTAAATGTTAAAACAAAAACCTATAAAATTAAAGCATACAGGAACCTTTGTAGATTGAAGCCGTAGAGGCATAACATTAGATCTGAGAGAGTCTGGGAGATGATCTCCCCAAGCTTCTTATGCAGAGATGGAGACAGGCTCAGAGGAGGTGAGTGATTGGCATGAGCATTCATGGACAAAAACAGAGGCATGTTTCTAGTCCAGGAAAATGGCTATGGGAAAATATGAAGAATAAAAATCAGTTTCTGTGTAACCTTCCACACCTTTGTTGTAAATGTACAATGTTACCAGTACTCTCCAGCAGACCACATTCTGGCTGTGTTAAGCACCTTCATCTAAACCATGATATATTTACAGCTTGATGAATCCTTAGAGAGAAAATGTCAACTATGTTAAACCATCTATTTCCAGCTTGTTACTTTTCTGAACATGCTTTGGTTATATAATATATATTCTGTCCTTGTTCTGAGTATTGCTTTCTCCTCCAGACAAAGCTCTCTCTTGATATCTATGCACACATGCCCATACATGTGTGTACATGTATGTATATGCACACATGCCTAAAACATAACCGCTGTGTGTCCTAGGCAATTCCATCGCCTCCATCCCAGATGAAGCATTTAATGGATTACCAAATTTGGAAAGGCTTGATCTGAGTAAAAATAATATCACTTCTTCAGGCATAGGTCCAAAAGCATTCAAGGTAAATACATGCTCTGATTTGTCTATTTGGATGAATGGCTTCACTATGACTTGCATTGGTTGGAGATGGGGAAGGGAGGAAAAGGAAAATGCTTCTAATTGGTAGTCTTCTTCTAAGAAAGTTTCCTCTCTGATGTCCCTAATTTGAATTCAAGTTTTCCCTTGAATATAGTTTACTATTTTACATACTTTTAGCTTTGCTGTAAGGACACCAACAATAGCATCAGTGACAAAAGTAATGATTTTAATTTATGGAGTAGTTTCTTCCCAAGTAACTGAAAACATGCTAAAATCTGGTCTTTTAGCATCTGAAGTATTTTCTGGAAACAAATTGAGCCTATCTGGAACCTCTGTTAACATTTTTCAGGCCAGCAAGACACTGCTTCCTTTTTTTGTGTGTGCAATCAACAAAACCTGATGGAGGATACTTTGGCAGAAGGGGGTTCTGGAAAAACAAATAGGCTCATATAAAAATTAGGGATAGCTTGGGGAAGAAGAGGGAAAGAGAGAGAACAGGAAACAGCACAGAGTAAACCTTTGAAAGATACAGATTGGACTAATTATATATTTAAAAAAAAAAAAAAACAGGCCAGGCACAGTGGCTCATGCCTGTAATCCCGGCACTTTGGGAGGCCAAGATGGGCGGATCATGAGGTCAGGAGTTTGAGACCAGCCTGGCCAACATGGTGAAACCCCGTCTCTACTAAAAATACAAAAAATTAGCCGAGCGTGGTGGCATGCACCTGTAGTCCCAGCTACTCGGGAGGCTGAGGCAGGAGAATCGCTTGAATTCGGGAGGCGGAGGTTGCAGTGAGCCGAGATCGCGCCATTGCACTCCAGCCTGGGCGACAGAGGAAGACCCTGTCTCAAACAACAAAAAGGAGAAAAGAAGAGAGAATTCAAGGAATTTCAGAGCCAAGAGAAAAGGGGTTTATGTTTGTAAACAAAAACTCATAAATGTGTATGTTTGAAAAGCCAAAAATAAAGCACACTATATTCCACTAAGTGAAACTGTTACTCCCTTGGGCAGTCTTCTGGGTCTTCCACCCACTCTTCAGACAAATCACTGGTCTCTTCTATTCTCATTTCCTGTTTCTTATCTGGAGTCTGGCAGATAAAAGGGTTCTACATTCACACCCTAGATCTACTTCATGCTATCCATCCTTCTTCTAGAAAATGGCTAGCATTAGGGGGTCCTTTTCCTATTTGTCCAAGAGAAAAATTTGTAAGAGATTACCTCCTTTTCTTGCTTTGGAATTCTCTGTCCCATTCCGAAACTGTTGAAATTTGAATATGATCACTGGAGAAGTGAATCATTCCATGGGACTTTACTAAAACCTACCCAACCACAGGTCCCCACTTGTGGGGGTACAGGCTAGGTTTGACCAATGAACACACAACTACAAATGTGAAAAAGACACTTTTCCAGACAGTCAACTGGATGCCATATTGGAATGGCTTGTGATATCTGTAGTCCTTGGTTTTGAAAAATTTCCACAGTAATTAGTGTTATTTTATGACCTTTCTGGAGTAGATAAAAAACTGAGGTTTACAAGTATGTTTAAAGGATTGATTGCTATCTTAATTGTTAGCATCCATGACAGCTTCAGATTACTGCATGATTTCATAAAATTTCTGTCTATTGCTGTAAAGGTGGAAACCTAAGATCTAGCAAGAATGACCAATCCAGTAGTTATGGCAGCTTTCTCTCACTTTCTAAAGCTGCAATATAAACGTGGTGAGTAAGCTACAAAATAATCAAATGTAGTCTGCTGAAAATCCCTGAGAATCAATGCTATTACCAGGATCAATATCAACCTGGCAGGGGGAATAAGGGGTTTGCTGTGTGGCCTGGACATTACTGTCTAAGCCTAAGGAAGGATAGGTTTGTGAGACTTTTAGTCACGACCATTATATGAAATGTGACTGCACAGCTGTGACTAGATAAAAAAGTAACTTTGAGATTTGCTTTTTAAGCTTCTGAAGAAGTTAATGCGTTTGAATATGGATGGAAATAATTTGATACAGATTCCTTCACAATTGCCATCTACATTAGAAGAACTTAAAGTCAATGAGAACAATCTTCAGGCTATCGATGAAGAAAGTTTATCAGGTATTTAATATTTGTTTTTCAATGATATGCTTCCTTATAATCTTTCCTATATAGTCCTGTAGAAATTTTATTTACTGTATTGCCAAATGAATAAATAGTAAATATTTTTAGGTCACTTAACCATTTGAGTTGATAAAACTTCTTTTAACTATTGACTGGTAAAACGTAAAATGAATTTTAAACTGCCTATTGTCTTTGTACCTTACCCATGAATAACATTGTTTCTCAATGATTCCAGGTTCTTATTATTCACAAGGCAATAAATTTACTACAAATCCAAAATATCTGAAGAATTACGCTAAATATTCCCTGCACTGCCATGTGTTTTGTGTTATGGATCGACAATTTTGTCGGTTCTTTGTAGCGACTAACCAGTGCCATGTTTGTTGATTGGATCTCCTTTATCACTCTGATGGTCAACAGACCCCACCCACAACTCTTGCTGCCTCCATACACCTTGCTATTTTCATTTATCATGTGTTGGAACCTAAAAACAAAACTAAGCACATGGGAATTATGCATGGAATATGAATAAATGGGCACTGCATATGCGGCTGAGATGCTGTCCTACAAAGAAAGCACATGCTCTTCATGGTATTAACTTTGACTTTGGCAATTTTCTGCCTGAGAGGGCTTGGGCTGGAACTTCTGTACTCATATGTCACTGAAGTCCTGCTAACTCCACACCCCACGGCATGTGGATGCAAGGCTCCCACCATGGCCTAGCTTTCTGACAGCCTTTAGTGAGCGTGCCCCATGTTCTGTGCACTCGACATTGCTGGAAATGGCCCCTCTTCTGCTTGTTTCGGGACTGTGCTAGACAGCTGAAGTTGTCATATTGTGACTCTGTATAGAAGAGGCTTTATCACATTTTACTTTTCATGAATTCTAGCTAATGCCTTTGATTGTACTGTGTACTTTTTTGAGACAAGGACTGCCTACCTTTTCTTTTTATCTTCCTAATAGTCTAGCATAGCTCTTGAGGTACAGTGCTCAACACTGTCTGTTTCCTTGCTTTGAAACATATTATGTTTTTATTTATTATGTTATTTATTAAACAAAGCCTTTAAAGGAATAAAACAATTCAATTATTTCCTGTAGCTCCCAAAAAACTTCACAGGAACAAAACACTTCTGGTATTGAGAAAAGAACAATAATAATGAGAATTGCCAAATCTGAGGATTAGTTATGGAAATACTCAATTTCCAGATGGATTTCAGGACACACAGAAAAACATTAATAAACACAAATTTTGATGCAGACTGCCAAATGGGAAAGACATTAGAAAATTCAGTTTCTAACTGCTGAAGACCAAAGGGTGTCAGCAATTTAGAACAACTGTACTAACAGGCTGTATATGAACTATAAGTCAGTCACACTTTTAGTTGGGTTATCAAAATGAGATGTTATAAAACATGCACTCCTGATTGTGAACGTGCTTTCACACACCCCTGGAACTGCCTTCCAGAGTACTCTTCTCCTCCCTCACTCACAAATGCTTCTAGATTCCCAGAGTGTTGACAGGAAGCCAGGGTGAACGGGCTGTCTGCCTGCCTTTCTTAGCCCACCTTTCTCCACAGTCCGAGCACCCGAGGAGCCTCGGCCCCATGCCGGCAGTGCTTCTGTCCTCCGGCTCAGATACCCCCGGCTGCACTCCCTGGGTGGGCTGAGTTCTAAGAGCTACTGCAGTACTGGCCCCTCGGGTGCTGGGCTCCCCCTGGCTGGGAGTCCTGATGCTGTGGATGGTCAGGCTGGCTGCCAGGAGTGCTGTGAGGGCACCCTGCTTCTGTGTGGAAGCAGGTGGCCCACTGCTCTCCCGTCATCTCTCTTGGGGTGGCTCCTCACTCATGACCTTTCAGATTATAGCTCCAGAGAGGGGGAAGGAGGGCACTCCAGGGAGAGAAAACAGCACAAAGATGCAAATAAATGAGACAATTTGGGATACTGTGGGAGCTGCAAGCAGGCACGGTGAAGGTGAAAGGCAAGCAAAGAGCAGCACAAGGGGCTGCACACACCTTGCTGAAGGGCAGGGAATTTACCTGCAGGAGGAGCAGAGTCCACCTGAGATGTGCACACGTGTTATGGAGAAAGGGAAGGACTTACAATTGAGAGAGAGGTGTGAAAGGTGGAGGGAGGGACAGCTGAGGAAAACCAGGCACGCTTTAAAAGCATTTTTGTTGTCACTAATGACTGAAACAACTAAATCAGGAGCCCTGGAGGCTGCTCTAGTGGATGACCATGTGATGCTGCCTGCCAGGAACATCGAGGCACCTGCCATGTCCACAGCCTGTCATGGTACCACCCACCATGGAAGACTTCCTGTTTCCTGTCCATGAATCCTTTCAACATCCACCTCAAGTCTCACCTACAAGAAACGTTCTCTAGCTCCATCCTATTTCCTGTTACCTCCTATTTCCTATATATACCAGAGAATAATTGCAAAAGAAAACACAGTGTCCTGAATTTGCACTGTTTCTCTCTTTTTCTCTCAGTCATGTAATGGCCACTAGTTCATTTCTGTTATCTATTTTTCAATGAAAAACTTCCACTGCATTTCAAAACTTCACCTATGTACTAGAGAAAGATGTCAGATTCTCAGTACCTTTAGTTTTGGAAATGAAAGAGAATATGAGGAAATATAACCACTTATCCCAATTTACTGGCTGGCCTGGCTACTTCCTGTTGCTCAGCACTTCCATTAATCCTGAGCACCACCACCAGGTTAACCTTTGTAAAATGTGGCCCTTGTCCTGCCATCCCCATCTTGCTGCCTAGAGAATGAGAGCCAGACGTTGTTGTCCAGGGTGCAAAGGCCCTCCCAGAATTAGCTGAGTGTGGTGGTGGGGGCCTGCAATGCCAGATACTCGGGAGGCTGAGGCAGGAGAATTGCTTGAACCCGGGAGGCGGAGGTTGCAGTGAGCCAAGACCACGCTATTGCACTCCAGCCTGGGTGACAGAGCAAGACTCTGTCTCTAAATAAAATAAAATAAAATTTAAAAAATGTAAAAAAAGGCCCTCCCAGTGTACTTCTCTCTGAGCACCAACCTTCACTCCACTGTGCACAGCCACTCCAGGGCTAGTCTCCTCTCTCCCTGAGCAAACCCACATGGTCTTTCACCTACATGTGCTCAGCTGGCTATTTCAGCTTGGAAGTTCCTCCTACTTCTATCTAAATCTTTCTGTCTGTAGGAGCCTGGCACTTTCATACCACTCACATCTACACTGCTTTTTCTTCTTTTAATCTTCCAGCATTTATTATTTCTATTCCTGATGCAACCGTCTTTGCTGTTGCCTAAGAGCAGAACGGAGTCCCACATGGCATTCGGTGCAATGCCCATGAAGGGGGTTGAATAGAAAACATCCCCTAATCTGGGAATTTTGGCCACACCCTGAGCCTCTGACTCAGATGCCTTTGGGTATTATCATTGCTGAGCTGTCCATTTTGCAGCACAGAACTTCCATTTGACCTGGATCATACCACTCCTGAGACTAGTAGAAACAAAGTAGAAAAAATTTGTTTGTATAAAGGCCTTTCTTGCTAGTTCAATCTGAATGCATGGAGAATTTTTGATCATCATTCTTTCAAAGCTTCCATTTGGCTGCACTCTGTGCCAACAAGTGAGTAACTATGATGGGAATTCACTGTTCTGGTTTACTTCTGACTCCCTTGTTCAGAGACTGAGGGTGAGCCAGGGAAAGTGTTCTTTTCTGTGTCCTAGAAAAAGAAATCATTCATTGCATTAAACTTCTACCCACCCCATTGCCTATTATGCTGCCACTTCATACATCTATGTCTTTGCAATGTTTCCAATGACTGTCCACAACTTTCTATTCCTTTCCTACCTGAATTCCAAATCCCTGTTCAGCCACCACAATTTCTATGGAAACTCCTCTGCCTCTCTTTCCTATCTCCCTCCCTCTCTTCTCTCTTGCTTCTGTTCCTTACACATATTGTTAGCACCTAGCATTTCAATGATTTTTTTCAGGTCTGCCTCACTACTGGACCATGCATTTAGTTCTGGTTGAATTGAGCATCTGGGATGTACAAAGTACTTAAGAAAAGGTTTTATAGGAGGATACAAAGGTTTAAAAAAAACTGTATTTGCCCTCCAAATAAACCGGCCATTTCACATGACATTTCAAAAGGCTACAAAAATTTGCATGGTTTTTCAATTATCCTAATATTCTAATACTTTTATTTTTTATAGACTTAAATCAGTTGGTCACCTTAGAATTGGAAGGAAACAATCTCAGTGAAGCCAATGTCAATCCTTTAGCTTTCAAACCTTTGAAGAGCCTAGCCTACTTGCGTCTGGGAAAAAATAAATTTAGAATTATACCGCAGGGTCTTCCTGGTTCTATTGAGGTAACAATATATTTTTTTAGTGTTTTAAATGTATTATATTTGAAATATGGTACACTACAACAAAATATATTTTAAGACTATTGTGATGTAAATTAAACTCTAGTTTCATGCTGTATACAGAATTTCCTGTAATTTAAGCATTGTTTTTTCTTCAAGCAATACAAAATTCTGAATCGAAATTATAATTACTAGTAGAGACACCTGATACAGTGAAAAATGGTACTTCTGATAGCTCTTGGGGGAAATGGGAGAAATGAATTGAGAATTTAAATGAAACCACAACTTCCATGAGGTACTCTGACTCTCAAGACAGTGTAAACTGCCCCAATCTAGAAATGTGACGCTTATCACAGAAGCTCAAACAGGTATTAACCGTAACAGAGTGTCCACTCACAAATTCCAGGCAAAACCACAGACACTCTGACCTAACAGTAACTTGCATGGATACAAGTGTTGTACAAAGAAGGCCTCTGACTGTTTCAGCAACTCTGTAGCTTACAAGTTTTCACCCAGTTCCTACCAAAACTGTCCTGTGACTAACTCCAGGCCCCAAACCCCAGCCTTGCTTCATTATCCTCTAGAGATGCCCCACAGGTCCCCAGATGTGTGGTCTCCTTGCTGCAGGATGTGCTCCTGGGGGTCTTTGGCTGATGAATGTCAACACCCCTCATTTCCTGCGTTAAAAACACTGAGGTGGACCGTGCAGTGGCTCACGCCAGTAATCCCAGCACTCTGGGAGGCTGAGGCAGGAAGATGGCTTGAGGCCAGGAGTTTGAGAGTAGCCTGGGCAACATAGTGAGACCTTGTCTCTAAAAGATATATTAAAAAAAAATAGCCAGTCATGGTGGTGCACACCTGTAGTCGTAGCTGCTCAGGAGGCTGAGGTGGAGGATCACTTGAGCCCAGGAGTTTGAGGCTGCAGTAAGCTAGGATCGTACCACTACACTCCAGCCTGGGCAACACAGAGAGACCCTGTCTCTACAAACCACACCCCACCCTGCCTGCCAAAAAGAACACTGAGGTCCAGAGAGTCTATACATACTGGCAGACCCCGTGGGAACCCAGGTTTCCTTACTAAGCTCCGTTTCTCCTAGACCACATGATCATCCAGCCAGAAGTCAGGATGGAGCATTCTCCGGCTGCAGCCCCAGCAAGCCAGAAAAGAGGGTCATCTATTGTGATCTTATGTGGCTGTCATGGCTACCACCCTTCCTCTTCTTCCTATTTCCAGATTAAGTGACAGAGTTATGTAACACTGACATTTATCAGTAGGCTGGCTTTCCATCAGAATCTCCTGGGTTCTTAAGAAATACAGACTCTTGGACCTACCCCAGATATGCTAAGTCAGATTCTTTGTGGGACAGGGCCAGAAATGAATAATTAAAAAATTAAAATTTAAATAGATAATGCATACACATGTTAAAACACATACATACACAATGAGGATAATACAAAAGAGCAATCTGCCCCACTGTGAGCCTGAGCTTCCCATACTGACTTCTCTCTCTCCAGAGGGATCCACTCCTACCAGTCTGGAAAGCACTGGGCATACAAGCGCACAAATGCGTGGCACATACTACAAATCCTTCTAAAGCCACTGCTGTACACCTGCCTCACTTAACCATGCAGCCTCAAGGCTGTCTCATGTCATTCTTTCCTACAGCTGCAGAGTTTTCAACATATGGACAGGTGTGCCAGGATTTATTTGACTAGTCTCTTACTGATCTAGCTCACCTCCTAAATACATATGCAGGTAAAAGCAAAAAGTTGAAAATTGTTTTACTAATTTCTAACAAATACCAAAATTAACAAAGAGGGAAATTCTCACAGGTGGAATAGAAGGTGACACTAAAGATATATGCCAGTTTTACCTCTGAATTCTAACAAGAGAACAAGGAGAATTTTTATAATGCAGATCCTTTAGTGAAAAACTCCCTCTAATGCCAACTAAACTTAACTTGAAGGCAGCTAGCTATTAAAAACTTATTAACAGTTCTAGAAAACTTCTCCTTGGTTGTAAATTAAGGCTGTTAATTAACTTTAATTAATTATAACAAAAGCAAATCTAAAAACATGAGCCTAAAATATTATAGACCACATGAAATAGTAGGAAACAGGCAGCCTGGGAGCTGGAGGCTCGGCTAGGACAAGCCCCTCTCAGCATTAGTCATGTAACCACGGGTGGGCTTCCCTGTCTCTCCAGGCCCAACTTAACTCCACTGGTAAGTAGAGATTAAAATATCTGTCTACTTTTCAGAGTTTTTAAGCCCAAATGAGATAATTTATGTGAATAAGTTTTATAAAATAGAGAGCCTTGTATAATTATTTTGGTATGCCATTTCTTGCAACATATTATAGCTAATACATTTTAAATAAAATTCATTTGATTCCATAACCATGGCAGTGTGTTTTATTTTACTAATTAGTTATAAAATTTGACAACTTTCCTGTAATTCCAGCACTTTGGGAGGCCGAGGCGGGTAGATCACTTGAGCTTAGGAGTTCGAGACCAGCCTGAGCAACATGGTGAGACCCTGTCTCTACAAAAAATACAAAAATTAGCCAGGCTTCATGGCGCATACCTGTAGTCTCAGTCACTTGTGGGACTGAGGTGGTAGGATCACTTGAGCCTGGGAGGTCAAGGCTGCAGTGAGCCATGTTTGTGCCACTGCACTCCATCCTGCGTAACAAAGTGAGACCCTGTCTCAAAAAAAAAAAAAAAAAAAAAGACAACTTAAAAATATGAGCTTACTTGAAAGAGCAGTAAGACTCTTTAGATAATACTAATGATAATAGTCTATGTCACTATTTTAGTCTCCATGAAATTGAACGTATCAACTAACACAAAAGAAAAATAATAGTCTTCTCTCTTAATTATAGGAATTATACCTAGAAAATAACCAAATTGAAGAAATAACTGAAATTTGTTTCAATCATACCAGAAAGATCAATGTCATTGTACTACGTTATAACAAAATTGAAGAAAATAGGATTGCTCCTTTAGCCTGGATAAATCAAGAGTAAGTACATGCTACAATTTAAATTTTATTGAACTATTTCTTCCTCTCGCTATTATTAAACAGAGTATGGAAACTGGGAATGGGATAAGTGAGGGAGGTGACGATACTGAAGGGCTCGGAGACAGAATCGTTTCTTAGTGAACCCTTACCCTATCCCCAAAGTGGGCTACTTCATGCAGTTTCCAACCTGTGCGCTGCATGACTGGTGTTAGGATTATTGCAGTAACTACTGTTGTTGTCACCATACTGCATACTGGACACCCTATCATATGCCAAGTGCTGAGCTAGCAAGAACTGAGCCCCAGCTGTCTGACTTCGAGGTCTGCCCACTAGTGGTCAAATGCCACTCTAGCTCTGTCTACCTCACAGGTTGTCAGGAGGTTTGAATGAAGGATTATTCCCCTGCACACAGTGAGAAAGAAATCTGCCATACTCCTTCTCCTCATCATCATTAGGTGGAAGCACCAGGCTCCAGAGCCCAGGCCTGTTCTCCTACACTACACAGCCTTCTTTTCTCCAAACTATTTCTTCACCTCAACTCTTACAAAATAGACTGAAGAATGCTTGGCCTAACAGTGCAGGCCAAAAGTAGACTCTGTCTTCCTGGACAAGAATCAGCAGCCTCTGGCTATAGCTTTCAGTGAAGGGGGAGGGAGTCAGAAGCAAGCCCTGCAGCAAATCCAGCAGACAACTGGGATCTGGGATTGCGTGTCCTGGAACTATGTGCCTAAGTAGCACAGCCTGGGACACGTGTCATTCAGAAGCAGGATGGAGAGGCCAATTGGGCTCAGCAGCATGTGGCACTGAGCCCACTGTAGGCAGAGAAGTCTTCATCAGGTGAAAAGAGGGCGTGGGGCAGAAGCCTTAGGAGACTCAGGTGGGGTTCCTGAAACAAGCCAGTGAGTTCACCACGTTCCCCAGATCTTCTAGATGATTAACAGCATTTTCTAGATTCCCTCAGGCTCGCCTCAAGTCCCAGGTGTGCCAGGTCATCAAATCAAATGTGGAATGAAAATGTAGGGGAAGGGGAACCAAAACAAGCCAAAACAAACCAAACTTCCTTGCTGGAACCAGAGACAACTTTACAGATAGGCATTTAGATGCATGCTGGGATTCACGGGATTTCATTTTGGATTCAACGCATCAACCGTACAGATATTTTAGTCTTTGGGCCTCAGTATTGCCTCTAGGGATATGAGTTTTTCCCTCCTAGTCTTTGATGCTCCTCTCGCATGGACTCACATAGCTGGGAGGCAGTATGGCACCCTGGTAAGGACATGCAGCTTGGTGCAAGAGACTAGGGCTGGCTATACCTGGAAAAGTTCCTATTTGGAATCATCACTACAAACTGGGTGCTTATAGGAAAATGGACCAGCATCGAGACTGGCCTTATCAAAATTTAGAGCTGATGATCACCATCCTGATGTCCCTACCCTGTTTACTTTTTTCTTTGCTGCAGAAATCTAGAATCCATTGATCTCTCCTACAACAAGCTCTATCACGTCCCGTCCTATCTACCCAAGTCCTTGCTGCACCTAGTACTCCTTGGGAACCAGATTGAACGGATCCCTGGCTATGTGTTTGGCCACATGGAACCAGGCCTGGAATACTTGTACCTGTCATTTAACAAACTTGCTGATGATGGCATGGACCGTGTCTCCTTCTATGGGGCATATCATTCTCTGAGAGAATTATTTCTGGATCACAATGACTTAAAATCTATACCACCTGGGATACAAGAAATGAAAGCACTACATTTTCTGAGGCTGAACAACAACAAGATACGGTAAATTTTGGCTTTTTCAAGTATCTGTTTAAATTTTGGTTGGCAAAATATATGATAAAACAACCATGACATGATCTCTGGGATTTACGTTAAGGGAAAAAAAAATGGTGCTAAGGGGTTGGATTAAACAAGATTGGCAAATGTTAGTAATTACCAAAGGTGGATGACAGGTATGTGAGGATTCATTATAAGCTTTTCCTACTTTTGCACATGTTTATAAATTTCCATAGTTAAAACATCTTTTGGTCAGGTGCAGTGGCTCACGCCTGTAATTCCAGCACTTTGGGACGCCAAGGCGGGCGGATCACCTGAGTTCAAGAGTCTGAGGCCAGCCTGGCCAACATGGTGAAACCTCGTTTCTACTAAAAATACAAAACTTAGCAGGGCGTGGTGGTGCGTGTCTGTAATGCCAGCTACTCAGGAGGCTGAGGTGGGAGAATTGTTTGAACCTGGGAGGCAGAGGTTGCAGTGAGCCGGGATGGTGCCACTGCACTCCAGCCTGGGTGACAGAGTGAGACTCCATCTCAAAAAAAAGATTAACAGATTATTATATATAACACTTAGAACTTTAGAGAGAGGTTCAAATGAGTCTTCAAAGCAATAGATTATGTTACTACTCCTACCTCCATGTATAAATAAATAAAACTAATCTATAAAGCATAAAACGTAAATATATGCTAAAATTAAAACTGCTTCTATCTAGTTTTTTCTGAAGTCAGATTTCTGAATACATTTATTAAGACTCACTTTCCCTACTTTTGGGAACACATTTTTCTGCATGTGTTCAGCTTATATACTGAATCATCACTCCTGCCTAGATGGCATGAGTGTCTTGAGAATTAATCCAGAATATTTTGTTAGTAAGGTCTTTATCATTGGCAGTGAGGGAGACAATAACCTTGTTGTTCTGTCCCTGAGAATTATGCCTCTTAGTCTTTCCCCTTCTCTAAAAGTCCAAATAAACTAAATGCCTACAAAGACAAAACAAAAACACAGAAAAGTTCGTGTTTTTAAAGGTACTGGAGGAAGAGATGGGGGTTTGGGAAGACTTTGTAAAATTCAGTTTCAAAATTTTTTGGCAAAAATACTTCACAGGTTGTGCCATATGCTTCATACTGCATTGCATCAGAAGGCGTCTAATGTTTGTCCCACCTTTTTTGATTCTAAAATTGATCACTGGATTGAAGTGGTCACAGCCTGGTATCTCCTAAGACAAATTTACTCCTCCATCATTGAACCAATGGTTTCACTCACAGATGAATGTTGTTTGAATTCTTATTTCATTAGAGGTAACAAAATGATGAATTTCTATTTTTGCCATGCTTCTCATGCTCATTAGCTGGAATTCCTCTGTAAAAAATTTTTTGCTCATCAACTAGGGCTGCTTTGTCACTTTGAAAGGAAAGAAAAAAGCTCAGTTCTTTCCTTTAAACCACCAGTGGGAGTAAGAAGTTGGAGCCTGAATGTTTTTGCTTTATTTTGTTTTAGGGTTCTCTCTTTTTCTGGTGAATCAATATATACTTAGGCTTTCATGTAAGCAGTTATGTTTCAATCAATTGCAGTCATCTGGACAATGGTCGCCATTCAAACTGGCTCTTGTGTCTGCTCACTTGCTTTTGGGCACACGTGGGCCTCAGGCTTACTTTCTGCATTACCTACTGCAGACCTTCCTCCAAAGAGCTTGGCCTCTTTCTTTGGGGAATAGTATTGAGAAGCCCCAAGTGGGAACGAGACGTGGTCCTTTCAATTGTGTTGCTATTGTTTTGAGGCCTTTCAGTGGACTGCCAGGAAATTCCGTATTTTGAAAAGAAAGTAAGTTCAGACTGACATTCCCAAATCAAATTTAACATAATTGAATATTAATTCCTTTTATTAAAACTTGTTTCTCTTACACTGAAAATCTAGGTTCCCAACAATATTAACTTGGATGATCTTACAATATGTAAACAATTGTTTCAAAATGACATCATTATTACTGCTCATAATAAAAGCTTGAAGTTTATTATTTTTTGGTAGCTCTATTTGTCTTTAGGATAAGTTCCACTAAAGAAGTACAGCTGAAATACAGTGGTTTCCTCTGTAATATGTCAACAACTTAATATTCAGACATGTTATTTAGTTTATTTTTGGTTTTTAGAAATTGCTCTTTTCTTTTTGAATTAATATTATTTTTGACTGTGTTAAATATTTTTAATTCCAAAGTCAAAACTGTGTAAGAAGTTGAATTAAGAGAAGTCTTACTTCTATGATTGTCTTTTTTTAATATATATATATTTTCTTTTTACTATACTTTTAGGGTACATGTGCACAACGTGCAGGTTTGTTACATATATATACATGTGCCATGTTGGTGTGCTGTACCCATTAACTCTTCATTTAATATTAGGTATACCTCCTAATGCTATCCCTCCCCCAACGTCTATGATTGTCTTTTATACACTATATGATCCTTCCCATAGGTTAAATTTTTAAATTTCTAGTTTATCCTTCCAGTATTTATTTTTGCAAACAAAAGCCTACATACATATACATATTTCCCCATCCCCATCCATAATTATTATACAAATTATTACACAAAAGGGCAGTTTTCTCTCTATATATGTCTTAGTCCAATTCTGATGCTATAAAGTAATGCCCAAGGCTGGGTAATTTATAAAGAGAAAAGGTTTATTTGGCTCATGGTTCTTCAGGCTGTGCAAGTAGCACGGCACTGGCATCTGCATCTGGTGAGGGCCTTCAGGCTGCTTCCACTCATGGTGGAAGGGGAGATGGAGTGTGTAGAGATTACATGGCAAGAGAGGAGGCAAAAAAGAATGGGGAGGTGCCAGACTTCTTTTTTTTTTTTTTTTTTTAAACAACCAGCTCTTATGGGAATTAATAGAACAAGAACTTACTCACTCCCCTGATCCTAGAGAGGATATCAATCTATTCATGAGTGACTTGCCCCCCATGACCCAAACACCTCCCATTAAGCACCACCTCCAACACTGGGGATCAAATTTCAACATGAGATTTGGAGGGGTCAAAAAAACCAAACCTTATGGGGTATGTGTATTTTTTCTACCCTTTTTTTCTTTTTTCTTTCTTTCTTTTTTTTTTTTTGAGACAGAGTTTTGCTCTTGTTGCCCAGGCAGAAGTGCAACGGCGTGATCTCAGCTCACTGCAACCTCGACCTCCCAGGTTCAAGCAATTCTGTTGCCTCAGCCTCCCAAGTAGCTGGGATTACAAGGATACGCCACCATGCCCAGCTAATTTTGTATTTTCAGTAGAGACGGGGTTTCTCCATGTTGGTCAGGCTGGTCTTGAACTCCTGACCTCAGGTGATCCACCCACCTTGGCCTCCCAAAGTGCTGGGATGACAGGTGTGAGCCACCACGCCCAGCCTACCCTTTACTTTTTAAAAGTATCAGTATATCACTCCCCATCAGTATGTAGAGAATTTCTTCATTCCTTTTCACAACTGAATATTATGCAGATATACTATATTTTATTCAATCAGTTCCGTATTGATAGACATGTGTTTCCACTCTTACTACTAAAAATAATGCCACAAAAGATAAGTTTGTATAAATGTCATTTTGTTTTTTTCCAGTTTAACTTTGGGATAAAATCCTAGGAGTGGGAATGCAGAGTGCAAAGGGTAAAGTGTGTATGTAATTTTACTAGATATTGCCAAATTCCTCTCCAGAGGTGGCGCACCATTTTGCATTCTCTTCAGTGGTATTTGATCGGTCCAGGCTCACTATTAGAATATGTTAATGAGCTTCTGGATTTTTTTTTTTTTTTGCAAACCTTATAAATAAAAAGTGGTATGCCAGTAAAGTTTCAATTTACATTTCTCTTCTGAATGAAACTGAGCATTTTCCATTTTCCTCCTAGATTCTTAGGAAGCCTTTGTATCTGCGATATAAGTTACTTTCTCCTTCTTTGTCATGTTGTTTAACTTTGCACTTTCTTTTTAAAACCTGCAGTAAATTTTAAATCTTTTCATTCAGTGCTTCTGGTTTTCAAATCACATACAGAAAGAATCTCCCGAGTCAGAGGGTGTGACCACAGTCTGTTCTAGTGCTTCTATGGCTTCATCTTTCACATTTGAATCTCTGACGTAGTTGGAATTTATTCTGGTCTATAAGGATCCAACTTTATTTTAAGAACAAAATTTTTTTAACAAATGTTAAACTTAACTCCTAAAGGCAGATTATTACTGGGACCATGTGTGACTTGCATGTCTATTTTTCCTTAGGAACATTCTTCCAGAAGAAATTTGCAATGCTGAAGAGGATGATGACTCAAATCTGGAACATCTTCATCTTGAAAACAATTATATTAAAATTAGAGAAATACCATCTTACACATTTTCATGCATAAGATCATACTCAAGTATCGTTCTTAAACCACAAAACATCAAGTAATTCCAAGTTTTCCTTTGCTGTTTATAAACTTTACTCATGTATTTGTAGTAGCTGCATTTGTCATTAATAAGAGAGACATAATCCTCCTGTTATACTCAGTATCATTATATGCTAGTCAACCTGATTCACTAACACACAGATGAACAACCAAAATATACCTAAAAGGTATAGTCTCTAGGAGTTTTATTAATAGTAAAGGTAAAATCTCTCAGTTTCCTACCTCTAGAAAGAGGCCATCTCACTAGAATAGGATATTATGCATACTGAGCTAGACCAGAAGAGTCTGGAACAAAATAAACACAGCCTTTATAATCAACTTGAATACTGGTGTTAGCTGAGAACTCTGTAAGTCCCTTTAAAAATTATGTATCTTTTGGTTCAAGATTAAGAAGCATAATGACAACAAAAAAAGCAGGCAGAATTTATGAATAAGTGTTGTTTATTATTAAAACAATAATTTGTTAATTTCTTATAAGGTCCTGTGCTATAATTACTGGTATAAATATAACTGAATATTGGGGTAGCTTTCATTTCTTCCATTAATTACATGTGTAAAATTAAAACACTACTGTAATGTTAATTTCCTGGTTTTGAAAATCATATTATGGTTATGTACATTGTTAACATTAAGGAAAGCTGGCAGAAGGGTGTGCATAAATTCTATACTCTTTTTGAAACTTTTCTATAATTCTAAAATTATTTTTTAAAGTTAAACAGTATATTAAGATTACCTTCACTATTCCTCACTCAAGATTAAGACATTTTTTGAAAAGCAGTAGAGTTTGCTTAAAATACAAATTAATTATTCTTGACTATAACCTTGTAAAGGTAAATCTAATGTATAAATTTTTGAAAAATTTTGCACCACTGGTCATAGCATCTATCTCCTTTGCCTTAATTTACTGAAATACATCATTTTATTCGGTTCAATTGAAATAAAGCTATGTCTTTACTATGTATTGGCCCTACCAAAATCATATATTAAAATTTTCTAACATAATGATTTTTATCTTTGTATTGCTAAAGTAATTTATAAGACACATATAGAAACTATGTTGACTTCTTTTGTTACTCTCAGTTTTATGTCTTGGCTAGGAACTTAAGTGCCAGTGTTGGCCTCATTGCATAGGTTTCTCTAATTTTTTAAGCTTTAGTTATTTAATCATTTAATAGTTCTTTCACCACTCTAGGAACCTTCCATCCCCACTTCACAAAGCTATTATAAGAACTAGAAAAGAATGTAAAGCATTTTGGAAAGTATGGTGTGGATGATGAATGCAGTTATTATCTCATATAAAACTGAGAGGAACCAGCATAGCCAACCACAATTGACAATTTCATGGGTGACTTTCAGTTTCATGAGTGTGAAAAGTTTGACTTATTCCATAATGTTATTATTATTATTTTTTTAGACGGAGTGTCACTCTGTCGCCAGGCTGGAGTGCAGTGGTGCAATCTCGGCTCACTGCAACCTCTGCCTCCTGGGTTCAAGCGATTCTCCTGCTTCAGCCTCCTGAGTAGCTGGGACTATAGGCATGCGTCACCACTCCCCGCTAATGTTTGTATTTTTAATAGAGATGGGGTTTTACCATGTTGGCCAGGATGGTCTCAATCTCTTGACCTTGTGATAAGACCGCCTCGGCCTCCCAAAGTGCTGGGATTATAGACATGAATCACTGCACCAGGCAAGACTTATTCCATAATGTTACTTCTAAGCCTACTTTCTTAATAGGTAGGATTCAGAGATTATAACATGAACAACAATAATAATATGAAGATAACTGTTAGACTCAAGAGTCAAAGACTTATAGCAGGTTGTTAGGAAGAAAACTAGAATTTTATGGAACAAAAGTTGAGCTTCATAATCAGTTTAGGAATGAAGGTGCATTACTAATTTTAAAGTGGCCAGGTTGACTTTAAGAGACAGGTAAAAACAAGAAGATAGGGTTACACATCCATTTAACAACCCTTGTGCAACACTTATTGATGTATGAATATAAACACATTGACATAAATGGTTTAAGGCAATCTAAGCTGTAAACAAAATTAGTATTAAAGGGGGCTCAAACTGAATAAGGTGAGTCAGCAGAACTAGCATCTTGGGATGACACAGAGACAGATACTAAACGATTCATTCATTCATTTCTTACTCTGACTTTATTCAGCTGTGTTTCAGATGCTGTTCTAGAGACAGTGACAAACAGATCAGATGTGGCCTTTCCTCTCTGGTAGAGGCAATAAGCAGGAAATCAAACAGACAAGTAAGCAGGCAAGTGCTGTGCAGTCAGAAAAATGGGTGACAATGCGACGAGCACACTGGGGCCTGAGGGCCGCCAGGAGACTACGGCCACCCTCAACGGCCTGGATTAACAGCAGATCCAGACCGGTGCCTGTGGAGCAGACGCACTGTGGGCTTGCTGTGTATGTCGCTTCTCAACTCTGCTCTGGCTGCAGAATCCCAAGAAAAAAATGAAAATCAGAATGACTGATTGAAGCTTTTTTCTTAAGTGGAAGTTGTACTTATTTCTACTGATTTTATAATTTTTAAAATATGGCTAGCATGGAACTTGTTCAGCCCTGAAATTTCATGATGTTCTAGATGGGAAGTTTTAATTCCATAAAAAAGTGATAAATGTCCTTATAGCAAACACTCTTCACAATATAATGTACTAAAAAACAGATGTTCTGTTTGGCTTCAAAAATTACACTATAATTACTAACACACATATACACTAAAGAAGTCCTGGTCTAGCCATGATCTAAAAATATTAATGGTGTGTCTTGTCTTTGTATATATATACAAGGAACAGTATAATTTTGAGATTTGGCTTATTATCAATAAGAATATTATAAGCAGCACTAAAGAAATTATTTAGTGAAAGACATACAGAACCTGGTATAATGAAATAACTACACCAGGAACCAAGAGACTTGGGAGCCCATCTTGTTCTTCAATAATTATGCAGTCATTTTACTTCTTTGGGATTCATTTGATTCAATTATAAAATAACATGTTTGGAACAGATCAGTGGTTTTCAGACAGGGTTCATTAGGGGTTTCATGTCACTGATAAGGAAGTGAACAGACCTCTCTCTTCAAACAAAGCAGCTTTGCTCTCATCAGAAAGTGTTCACTCCCATCCCCCTTTTCTTCTTACAATCAACAAACTAGGTACTATCTAAATGACACACTAGGTTTTAAAATCCATCAAGAACATGCAGCCTTCTCTTCCCTTTCTCCAGCTCCAGCTACATTCCTGGAGCATCCAGGCTGAAGAGGCTTGGCCTTAGGAAGAGGCTGCCTGTTTTTCCTTCTGAGCACCAGTGCAGTGGGGTGAGATTAGCCCTGAGCAGACTGCTGGGCCCCTGACCGCCTTAAATGGCTAGTCGACAAGCTTCTGTAGGAACGAGCACAGTGCTGCAAGCTCACCAACCTCCTTGCAGGGCAGGTGATGATGCTGGGGCTCAGTGAGGGCAGGTGGCACATGAGAACAACAGGGAATATGTGGCTGAGTCTGGACTTCCCCTGCATCTTCTGACTCTGAGGCTGGTGCTCCTCCTGCTGAACCAAGCTGTCTCTCCCTTAGAATTTGGATGGAAAGTCTAGGGGACCCAAGAGTGGCAGGCTGCCTAATAAAAGGTCCGAACCTGGGCGGCTGATGCTCAACCGGAGGGTATAGGGCATGTGGTATGGCAGGTGTTACCAACGAGGGGAGAAAGATACTCAAAACCACCTCTCCTTCAAATGGCATCATCAAATGGCTCCACGTACATCTCCTTAGAAGCCATTCTCATTAAGTCAAAGTTAATTACTCCGTAAGATGACTGCTTTCATTAAAACACAAAGAAACTACCCACAATGTTGTACAGTTGAAATATGCACAGTGTCCTCTAGTTGTCACGGACACCTCCAGGGGTCATCAAGACGATTATTCCCACTCACACATAATTATTCCAGTAACTGTTTAATAATATGTAGTATAAATCTTTAAAGTGACTTGGAAATGTTAACAAATTATGACAATGTTTGTTTTAAGATTATTTTAGACTCGGCATAAGTATATGAAAATTTAAGCCACAAATTACAGGTATATAGCTAAAGGATAAAACCCCAAATTTTTGGCAGCATATTTGTGTTAGGCATAGTGCTTCAGGCAAAAATGGTTTCTCTAATTTTACTAATTTAGGTGGGGAGTAACAGAAGATGACTGTGATATAATACAGGATATAATTAACACTAAACCATACAACACATACACGTAGTTCAGAGGAGAAAGATCAATGGACCTTGAAACAGGAATGTGAATCAGTGAGGGAAGCAGATGGAGGGACTCACGTCTGGGCTTATTGGTCAGGAGTCTAGCCTCACTATGGCAGGAAAGGAGAGGCAAGACGAGGGCTCCTCAGGCCAGGAATTAGACCAGATTCAAGGCGATGAGAAATGCAGCATACCACTGAAAAATGCTGAAGCAAGAAGTGTTCCATGAAAGCAGCAGTTTAAGAAAGGAAAAAGAATTACTCACTGCAAAAATCTAGAGAGTGAGAGCCTTCACAGCACAGATACGAGAGACATCAAAAGGAATTCAGTGAATAGTTATCTTGTCAGATAAGGGGCACACAGAAAAGGGACCAAAGAAGAAACTGCTCTGATTCTCATAATGCTGCTAAGAAGTTGAGAGCCAGGGGCCATCTGTGAGAGAATGCTGAACTTGGGGTGTCACCATGGGGGTCAGGCAAGACAAGGAGAGGACAGTAAAGACGGGAAGGTATGAGGTCAAAGCTGAATGCACAGGCAAGGAGTATACCTGAAGGGGCCTACAAGAGAAGGGCAGTTGAGCCAATCTCTGATGGGCTCCGATCCTCAACTTCAAGGGAGGGACACAGAAGCCAAGTTCACTGCAGTGTCCATCTGACTTGAGCCTTTCACCTTACAGAGCCAGCTTCCAAGCACAGGATGAACTGCACCTAAAAGCCTAGCTCCTCAGGACCCCCAGCCCCACAAAACCCCCGCTATTCAGTGCCTGTGCCGCTACCCAGGACAGATCTGGTATTATTAGGTAGGTCTGTAGTGATTATCTCTTTAGTGTTATTAGTTAGGTCCTACATAATGATTATCTGGAATTATTAGTTAGGTATTGATTACTTTTTTGTGTATATGGGTGCTGTACAGTAGCTGGGTTGAGCGGTATAGCTTGTTTCTCCAAAAAGACTGTAAAACTTAACAGAGACAACTCATTTCTTAAACCCCTGAATTTGTGCAAAGTAGGTGCTAAAACGTCTCTTGAATAAAGAGTTCCATCTCCTTTATCTCCCAGTCAAAACTGGTTCAGCTTATGAGTTATATTACCCAAAGAGTTGATATTATCCAAAGTTGACATTACTCCTAAATAAAAAAGAAAGGAACCTGCAAAATTTAAGGATTTTCACAGAAAAACTTAGAAACTGAGCAGAAAAAGATTTATACAGGGTCACAAAAGTAAAAGGGAATCATTTATGTTATTAACATTTCTGACAAGGACCTCAGAAAGCTAAGTAAATTTTTTAAACAATTAAGTTATGCTTTGACAACTGGTAATACTTAGTAATCAATCTGATTGCTCTGCATAATAGCAACACTGACTATGCCTTCCAAAGCCATCATTTAAACATACCATAAATTACTATGTTCCTAAGATGCTGACTTAAAAGAATGAAATACTCAAATTCTGCTGTTGAAGTGAAACTTCCAAAGGGCGGAGTAAAACCCTTTATGATATTGATTCCACCTCTTTCCCTTATTTAGAAAAAGGATAGAAAATGTCCTCATGGCAGAAACATTTACAGACTGACAGATGACTGAACTATTTATCTATCCATGGTTGAACGTAAATTCAGATCCTTGATAGACTTAAAATTCAAAAATATTAAAAGTACCCATGAAAAGAAGTTTCTGCCCAGCTCTAACTTAACACCAAATGACCATTACAGGCCTTAAGCCCCCAAAGTCTGTGAAACATGGAGATTCATCTCTTGTAGTTAAAAAAACAATAATGAGTATCTTGGCTCTCAACTAGAATCAGTACTAGCCATGGACCTGGCCAAGTTACTTAGAGTTCTAGTTTCTTCGTGCACAAAATCAGGAAACAACATCTGCCTCCCAGGGCTGATGGGAAGACTAAACAAGTTGATATCCTGTGGAGGTGCTGGGCACAGGGTAGACATAATAAAGGTGAGTGTCAATGTTTCCAGGGACAGACTACAGGAAACTGGTGAGCAGGAAGTTACTTAACTCGCTCAAGGCTTCCAGGCCTCTGAGTGTGGTGAATATTAATTATTTAAAATAACTGATTTCTTAGATTGGTATTGAATATAGTGGAAAAAGGAGTGGGTCTAATACACTAAGACAGGGCTCTGCACACATGCTCTGTAAAGGGCCAGAAGTAAACCCCTTGGACTCTGTGGGCCAGTGGGGGTCCAGCGGGGACCCTGCAGCCTTGGCAACAGCGTGGCTCTCCTGAGGAGTAGGTGGGAAATTAACAACAAAACCTGAGTTTGACTGCCTTTCTTCTGTGTTACTGTATGATCATGTCCATGGCACGGAACAGAGTGAACCATGGTATACACGAACATCTGAGCAGGATCTCCAGGCTGAGGGAGCCAAGTGGGTGAGGAAACTGGAACTCAAAGAGTGTAAATGACATCTCATCATAAGATTAAAAAAAAAAATCCTGACCATAGGAAAGACAATTAAGTTTGATCTGTGTGATTCACTGTGATTACTTATAATACCTAAAAAGGGGGAAAATTGTATTTAAAACAGTCAGCCAAACTAGAGAAGTATCTGATCAATGAGCCTGTCCTATAAATGAATTCTTCCCTTAGAAATAACCGCTGAATGAGTCACCAACAGTATAGCAAGACAGTCTGCACTGGCAAACCCAGGCCTTTCCATCTGTAGCCCACATAGCAAACTTTGGGCAGAGGCTTCCCTAGCAAGTTTGTTCCTTTCCTATTCATTTCTGGCCCTACGACCATCAGCTCAATTGAAACTAGTCCAACAGAATCAGAGGCATTTGTAAAAGGTTTTCAGAGGAAAATCTACTGTAAACTGTGTAATCCTGAATTAGTCCATGTTTGATTCTACATGTCTTAAATAAGGCTTCAGCTTATGACATGTCTACAAGGTGAACAGGAGCATTCGAGACTGTAAGCCCGGCTGGATTTCAGTCTGTCACATACTGTTATTTGTAAAGGAATAAATGTTCTAAACTCAGTAAGTAAACTTTAGTGGTGATACAACTAAATCATAAAGGCATGACCATTTCTTCTGTGAAGTTATGTTCCCTTTTCTGTATGAAAATGGATAAAATCAAAACTTAGTCTAGCATATTTTTTCCTTTGTATAAAATGTGAAGAATGTGAATCCACACAAGGGAAAGCAGGACTGTATTAAAAATAACATGTGATTACACTAAATACATATTAGTTTGGAAAAGAAAAGGAATACATCATGTTATTAAAATGTCCTGGTGTGTTTCTAAGTAACAGAATCTCTGTGGTCAAATAAACTTACATTAAACTATCAATTGATATAAGCAAATCTTTTTATAAGTTGTAATCTGCTGAAGGTTCATTGTTTTGCCTAAACTGGGAATTACATTCACAAACATCAAATTTATATGTGAATCATTTGGAAAGTGAATTTAACTAGTATTGTGACACTAGGAATAAAGAATACATTATAAACTGTAAATCTATTCTAGGGCAGCAGTTCTTAACTATTTGAAGGATGGACCCCTTAGAAAATATGGTGAAAGCTATAATGGATCCTCTATGCAGAAAAATACATAGATAAAAACACTTGGCATGTATCAAAAGACTCATAAAGTCTTTCCACAAATTCTCTAAGTATTCATATACCCAAGTTAAGAATCCCTGTCTAACGTAACATCTTAATTAACTTAAAATAAATTTGGCGGTAAATATTTCACTAGAGTGAAGGATAAATCAAAGAGTTAAAGTTAATTTAAGGCAAACTGCCTTATCTGCTCCAATTATTTAGCATTTATTCCCCCTTTATTTGGTAATATTTTCAAGGCCACAGAAAAGTTTAAGTTCACAATGAGCATCTACATACCCTTCACTTATATTCACCAATGAATAATACAGATGTTCCCTGACTTATGATGGGTTACACCCTGATAAACCCACCGTAAGTTGAAAATATCATAGGTCAAAACGCATTTAATACATCTAAACTTTATCTAATGTCATAGCTCGGCCTAAGCTAGATACATGTGCTCAGAATACTATATTATTCTTCAGTTGGCAAAATCATCTAACACAAAGCTGATTTTATAATAAAGTGCTGACTAGCTCAAGTAATTTACTGAATGCTGTACTGAAAGTGAAAAACACAATGGTTGTATGGGTACTCAAAGTACAGTTTCTTGCTATCGAGCAAACTTTCACTTAATGGTTTTATATGTTTATTTATTTTTTGAGACAGGGTCTGGCTTTGTCACCCAGGCTGGAGTGCAGTGGTGTGATTGCTGAAGCCTCCACCTCCCAGCCAAAAGTGATTCTCCCACCTCAGCCTCCCCAGTAGCTGGGACTATAGGTGTGTGCCACCATATATAGGTGTGTGCCACCATGTCTGTTCTATTTTATTTTTTGTAGAGACAGGATCTCACTGTGTTGCTGATGCTGACTTAATTGTTTTAGCTTCCCTTGATTATCTTTCCTTAAATCAATTATTATATTGGAGGTTTCACTGTGGTGATTTTCTGTTATTCCTTCTGCATTCATTAGTTGACATTCTTCTGTAAGGAAAAACTCTGATCCTTTTAACCCTCTTTTCTCTGTTATTATAAAAAGGATTTAGTATTGTATGTGTTATAATCCAGTTTTTATTCTTTTTGAGATGCTCAAACTGCCCCTTCATGGTGGCTTCTATGTTCCTTTTCTGAGTCCTTGGTAAACTCTGCAAACTTTCACACTTCTTGGTACAAGAAAGCTTTTTCAGAAACCTTTACTTCTCTGGCCCAGACCTGTTGTGGGCCATTTCTCCAAGGAGTCCTGGTTCCCTTAGTGGGAAACAGTATTTAGAAACACAGATCTGGAAACCAGATGTGCTCACTGCTCTCAGGTCTGCTCAGTGGAAAGAGGTAAGAAATTTATTTAAAACAAAACCATTACTTGTACAGATTCCTCAAAGCAAACTGACTTCAGACATTCATTAAAAATATTTGACACAGCTGGGTGTGGTGGTGCACACCTGTAATCCTAGCGCTTTGGGAGGCCGAGGCGAGCAGATCACCTGAGGTCAGGAGCTCCAGACCAGCCTGGCCAACATGGCAAAACCCCATCTCTGCTAAAAATACAAAAATTAGCCAGGCGTGGTGGCCTGCACCTGTAATCCCAGCTACTCAGGAGGCTGAGGCAGGAGAATTGCTTAAACCCAGGAGGTGGAGGTTGCAGTGAGCTGAGATTGTGCCACTGCCCTCCAGCCTGGGTGACAGAGCAAGACTCCGTCTCAAAAAAAAAAAAAAAAATTGACACATGCAAAATATAATAAACAAAATTGTATAAGTCCTTCATTTTTCATAAATTCAACGGAATGAACATTTAGTGACAATTTATTATAATTCATTTTTCAGAACTAGAAACTTCAAGTAGGATGACAGAGTGAGCTCAGCCACATGACACAGCAGAAGCCAGTCCCTGCAACAGGAAGAGCTGTGAGGAGAGGGTAAGAGGAGGTCAGGGCAGCAGAGAACCATGGAGGGCCTACGTGCTCAGCAAATTGCTGCTACATAGGACATCAGGGTCAGTTTTTCCAGCTCATATTTTTCCAAATACATTGTAAATTTGGACTTCGATATCAAATGTCCTGGTTTTTAAAAATACTATATGCTCCAAACAATCTGCATGTTGAATACTGCCCCTGGGTCACAACCTACAGTATAAAATAAGTTCATTAGAAACCGAAGTGCCTAGTCCACCATGAGGGACACTTGAACATTAAAACTCATGAAATCTTAATCACTTATCCCTTCACAGAAGCTTTTTTAAGCATCTACTATACAAAAAACCCTATGTTATGCATATTTACATCCTAGAATTCAGTGGCCTAGAACATTCTTAAAGTGGGTGTTTGCATGGCACGGCTAACTCCCTCACAGCCCTCAGGTCTTGTGACTGTCACCTGACAGGGAGGGCACCCTTGACACCCCCACCCCTATCCTGCTTCTCTCCATAGCACTTACACTATTTGTTGAATGAATGGATTGGTGGACGGCCTTTCTTGTAGCTACTACTATAAAAGAACATTGTACAATCTATTCCAATTCATTTAGAATGTGAAGGACACCACAGACTGGCAAAAGAACATCAGAAAATTCAAACTGCCTACTTTTTTGGCAGGTGTGTGTGTGCCCCACAATATACTCCTGACACATGCTGCTCCTATAGCTCCTGCCTCACCTATCAAACCTTTTCATTTGGGCTGTGTGCAGGTGGTTCCCACCTGTAATCTCAGCACTTTGGGGGGCCGAGATGGGAGGATTGCTTTAGCCCAGGAGTTTGAGGTATGATTGTACCACTGCACTCCAGCATGGGTGACAGAGTGAGACTCTGTCAATCAATCAATCTTTTATTTGCATGAGACAGTTTCCAAGGTCCTCCCCTGTTCTTATTTGTGTTTGGACTTTGACCACTGTTGTCCATGTCTAGACCAGGAGAAGTTCTAGAAAGGGTGTGAGAAATCATACGAGAGCTTAGATTAGGCAATTTATTTTTATTTTCACGATGGTTAGCATATATAAGGCCAAAGGAAAATAAATTTGCATTAAAGTTCCTTTTATGGCAATCAATATTTTTATTCATAAACTGTCAGTACTGAGAATATTACTTTTTCAATTTTGTAATTTATCTTTGTGTTTGCAACATGTAAATTACTTGTGATTCCTAAATATACTGTTATAATGCAACTAGTTCTTCAATATTTAGACTAAGGCTCAATGAGGCAAAAATAAAACAATTTAAAAAGCATGGAGAAAAGAACTAGGTCCCCTCCATAGGACCCCTTTAGGAAACAAAAATGGAAGATTTTTCTCTTCACAATACTTGAGGGAAGAAGAGGTACACTGTTTCATTTGGAATGATAACCTGGAAAAGGGTGGAGATAAACTCCAGTTTCTTCCCAGATGGCACGTTCGTGCCTGCTGCACCATCTCTGGCAAATGTGAGGCAAAGCTTTCCATGTCACAGCCCCAAGATGGTGGAGGGTTGTGCCTGAGGCCTGCACCTTTACCACATTATCTGCAGAACAGAGTGAATAAGCCAAATATACTACCCCTAACCCCAGCATCTTATTCCAGGGCCTATTTCTTTCCCTAGGCCCTCTGACCAAAGATCGAAGCAAAATATCAGAGGAAGACTAGCTTAAGTCTCACAGTGGGGAGAAGGAAAAGTAGCTGTAACATATCTTTAGAAACACAATCTTACAGGAACTGCCTCTCAACTCTCTAGATATGGGAGGCAAAACTGCACCCAGAAAGGCCATGCAGGCAACTCGACTGAGGAGTGCCTTGGGTGGGTGACGTGGACAACATCCTGTGAGTATAGAAGAGAAAAACACAAGTCCCAGAGACAACAGTTGCCATGCAAAACCAGAAATCACAGACTGGGAAAGCCTAATTTTTAAAGAGAAGTTGAAATCTTATTTTTAAATACAGCAATTTCACCTAACAAAAATACATACACATGACCCCCAAATGACAGACTGAGGAACGTTCATAGTACCTCTCCAAAAGGTAATTAATCTAGTTGAATATATAAACAATTTGTGGCTTATTCATGTATGAGAATACTATACAGTGACAAGAATGAACTACTGTGTATCACAATGACACGAATGGATCTCAAAAGCATGTCACTGAATGAAAAAAGCCAGATGCAAAAGAGAATGCACAGTATGATTCCATTTATATAAAGTTCAGGAAATAACCTATGGTGCTGAACTCAGGCTGTGACTTGAGGAGTAAGAGGAGGGATTCTGGATGTATGAGAATGGAGTGTGAGGCTGGGATTTCTTGATTGGGGTCATTTTGTAAAAATTAATTGAGTTGTACCATTATGATATGTTTTTTTTTGGTAACATACACTTCAATAAACAGTTCAGAAACAAAACATTGTGCAGGACAAACTGAATTTGACCCAAGGGCTTCCTGTTTATGACTGTGTTCTGAAGGAATTTAGGCAAACACTAGATGCTCTGGATACAAAGATTTTAAAAATCCAGTTCATATTTTCATTATGTTCCCAATTCATCCAGTTAACAGATACATTTGCAACTGAAATATACTTGAATAAATGAGAATATGAGCATTCTAAACCAAACAGGAGGGCCGTCATTCCCTAAGGTGCTGCAGGGCTAGGATGGGGCCTGAGTTACAGAGGGCCACTAATGGGACTACCGAGCTGCCTGGAACTGTCAGCCTAGAGGTCCAAGGAGGAGTACTTTATTTAAGTGAGGGGAGGATGAACACATAGCCAGCTGCTATGCACATCTGAGGCACATGTATTCTTTAGGACTGTAGCTGCCTTGCTTAACACAATGTGTGCCATTTCTCTGGAGAGAGGGAACAAACGATGGTCAGACTCTTGATGACAGTAGAGAACAGGTCTTCTAACCCACTGGAAAAGCTCTTTGCTGGCCTCCAAATCTATACAACAGTTGGGAAGAACCATTGGGGTCACTTACAACAGTAAGTCCTTGCCACTAGGGTTAGAAAACTGTCCTCTCAGGCCGGCCATGGTGGCTCATGCCTGTAATCCCAGCACTTTGGGAGGCCGAGGCGGGCAGATCACGAGGTCAGGAGATCGAGACCATCCTGGCTAACACAATGAAACACTGTCTCTATTAAAAAACCAAAAAATTAGCCAGGCGTGGTGGCGGGCGCCTGCAGTCCCAGCTACTCGGGAGGCTGAGGCAGGAGAATGGCGTGAACCTGGGAGGCAGAGCTTGCAGTAAGCCAAGATTGCGCCACCGCACTCCAGCCTGGGTGACAGAGTGAGACTCCGTCTCAAAAAAAAAAAAAAGAAAACTGTCCTCTCTTGAAGGTCTTAGTTGATGTAGAATTGGGCAGTCTCTTGGGGATGAGTGGAAAGGGGGTACAAATAATGATTTATTTTCAGGAAATAGCATCTTCCCTGCTCTAAGTCTCCCTAAATGTCAGTGAGGCCATAGCTAATATTCTCTTGAAAAGGGAAAGTTGTATGCATCCTAAGAGGGTGTTACTTGGACATGCATGTGTGTCTGTGTTATATCACATATGTTGAGTCCAGGGAGCAGTTCATGGAGCCTCATCCATAGTTTCCCTGACATGCTATAGCAGTGCTAAAAGCTTAAAAAAAAAAAAAAGTCTGGAGAAGTATGCATAATGCAATAGCTACAGTCATTAGAAGAAAAAAAAAGTATGGTTCTTTCTCAGGTACATCTGAAGTTTGGGTATATACTTCAGTAATGTTGGTATCCTTTATTCAGATTGATAAATATTTTATTAGTCTATACAGGTTGAGTAATTTTTGAAATTGTAATTTACAAATATTCATTCACTTAAGAATCTAATATTTTTAAAACTAGGTATTTCTTGAATGACTCCGACTGCACTTTCAATGGCCAGTTGCCATGCATTATTAAACTTTCTTTTTTTTTCTTCTTCAGAATCTTCCAGTAGACGTCTAGAGTTTAGCTAGAAGTCTTGGCTACGATACAAACAGTGATGGAAAACACATGAGCAGTAACAAGTTTTAATCTTGCTCCTCAGTACTAACATGGACTAATCTGTGGGAGCAGTTTATTCCAGTATCACCCAGGGTGCAGCCACACCAGGACTGTGTTGAAGGGTGTTTTTTTTCTTTTAAATGTAATACCTCCTCATCTTTTCTTCTTACACAGTGTCTGAGAACATTTACATTATAGATAAGTAGTACATGGTGGATAACTTCTACTTTTAGGAGGACTACTCTCTTCTGACAGGTATGTTTCATGTCTATCTTACAAGTATCGATGTATACTTTACAGTCAATACTAAGGAGACATTAATGTTATTAATAAATGCTTATAAATAATAGGATAAAGTCCAAAGTTTATCTCTATAATTTCTTAAAAATCAGCATTTAAATACAAACCTAAATTTGTACCTAAAATTATTCTAGTTTTATGTCTTACCTATAATGAATGTATTTTAAATATAATTATGTGACTTTTTTTTTCAGCTAAGTGAAAACCTGTCATTATGCCTTACCATAAATGTTAACATGATTGATTTTAAAAGTCATCTAAATAAACATCTTGTATGTTTATCTAGGAAAATAACATTGCTATAATAATGATCATGAAGTTTGGGGATATCACAGCTATATTAAATGAAACAGTAAATATATTTTTCAATATTTAAAATATTTTCTAATGTGTATTTAAAATGTGTGAATTACTGAAATGTCAATTTTACTTATACATTTGAATATTCATTTTTTTCCTTGATAAATGTCTTCCTTATTATAATGAAATGGCACTGAAAAGTTCAAATGGAAATCTATTCAATTCCAAGAAAGAATACTTATCAGCAATAGTTTAGCTAGCACTATATTCAATATGAAAGATTAGGAAATTTTCACAGCATGTATACAGTCAGAATTTAACACTTTCAAAGATTTCCTTTGTCTACTCCCAAAGTAAATTTCTGATTAAATTTTAGATTAAAAAATTTAAGCAATGTATTCAATATTCTACTCCCTAGTAATCTAAATAGCGCACAGCATTCTTTCATGTTAATCTATTCAGAGGTGTGGCACCCAGGAAACAGTGGCCACATGGTGTAGGGACTGAGTCATAAAGAACCTGAGGGGGTTGTATTTCCCTAAAAATAAAGTTGTTTAAATCCAAGAATCAAGCTGTTAAAAGAAAGAAATGAAAAAAGAAAGAAAAATCGAGCACAAGCCCACACACATAAAAGGATCCTGATGTTTTTAGTTTGTTTTTTGGCATTAAGGAGTATAGTGTAGTAGTGGAAAGAACAGAGGATATATAGTCTTCTGTTACAACTAACTACTCAATTAAAAACAAATATTCTGATAACTGATCTGAGGTTTGAGACAAAAACAATTAACTTTACAAGCACAAGTCTTGAGGCACTGTGGGAAACATCATAAAAATGGAGAGGCAGTAGATTTTGTTTTTTAAGACAGTAGCTTGATTGCTAGACATGTGGAGAAATTAATGAAGGGCAAAATTAGTATAAAAGGAAGAACAGCTAGAATGCTTTGTCAGAATGCTAGTTATACTTCTAAGGTAAAATTAACTACTTTTTAAGGAAAGTGCTATCTTTATCAGTATCCATGAACAAATGGTACTGTGAATAAGTTTCCAAATGCATGTTGGACTTTTAACTCATTTGTTAGCTTACAAGACTATGCCTTGATTACATCTGAATTTGGTTTGGATTCCTTCGGTGAAATATATGGAGTATGTTATATCACATTTATATGCTGAAATCTGCTACTGGTACCTGTGAACTGATAGGCATGTTTAAACCCAGGGGAAAAGTTGCCAAGCGGGCCTTTAAACATGGGATTTAAAAGCACAGTGACTTATTTACCTAATAATAGTGTCTGAGAGGAAATACCATTTCACTTAGATAAACTTTCTAAGTTTGTAGACCAGTTAAATGGAAACAAGAAAGCTTATGTGCTTCTTAAGCTTTATTTCCAGTCCATATGTTATGAACTCTTTTAAGAACTTGGCCAAACCTCCTTACCTAGGCTTTTCCAGAGGAAAGTCTGTTTACTGTCTGGAAGTAACTATGAGATTAAAATCCATTTAGGAGGACATGCAGTCTAGTGCAAAGCACAACCAACAAGCAGTGAGGAAGCCAGCCCTCAGCTCCACCACCTCCAGCCAGTTCTGGACGCTCACTGCCTCTGCTTTTTCTCAGTAAAAGAGGGCCATGGGGGGAAAGTCTCAAAGACCTCTCTTAGCTCTAGGCTACTATGATTTATTAGTAATAGCAGTAGCACTGGAAGAATACTCCAAACACTACTCTGATTAAGAGAGACTTGAAACCAAAATCCAAAGCTTTCCATGAGTGGAAAACACTGGCAAAACTGGTCTAAATCAGGGAAATATTGAGTATTCCTGAGAAGAAGATTTAATATTTTTAAAGGGTTTAAAAATAGAGTAACCTGAATACTGCCAAAACTAATAAAACAGAGGTTGTACCTCATTAATAAACTCAAAATAAAACAGCCAAAAGTCATATCATTTTAAATGACATATAATATTCTCTACATTCTTTCTGAATAATAAGAAAAAAATACTGCTATCTAGGGTTCTCTCCTAGACATTCCATTATTTTCCTATTGGTAAACAGTTGCACACTGAACTGGGGGAGGTTTAGGACCTATACTTGATTGTACTTATTAACAAAGCAGTGGAAGAGACCCAGCAAGAGACTCAGGTAAAGAGTGTAAATAATGAATTCCTCATGGTATCAAGGTTGGCCTGACTTTTTTCTTTGCAAGCAACCAGGATACACAAATGCAAAAGATTAGATTAATTGTAAAAGGCTAACAGAAGACAGAACTAGCAGAGAGAAATGAATTTTCCAGAAGGCATTTTTGAGTTTCCATATAAAGACTTTCCTAACAGCCATGGATGGACAACTGTGGAAGATGCTGCCTTGAGGTAGTATCCTCTCCCTGGAGCTATTCAAGCAGGGTGGATATGCTCCCTGTTCCAGAATGTTCTGGAACCTTCACCACCAGGAGGAACTCCTGTTTCAAAGGTCTTCATCTCTTATTCTCCAGGAAAGGGCCTAACTACTATATAAAAGTGGCTGCCTCCACTGCTCAGCAACTGGAATGCTTCCCAACAGCTAAAGATAATGCTACTGCCTAAAACTTGCAGGCAGAAGTCTCCATTTCATATTTTAATTTTACCGCAGTTTTGATTAAAGGCAGGGAGGGTCTCCTGTAACTTATCAGTCTCAGAAAGAGGAGAGACAAAGGAAGGGGCCCCGGCTGATGCTTCTCCTGATGCCACTGGGGGACTGGTCAGCAGCCCTGAGGCAGGGATGTGGAAAAAAGCAGGACCACTACTGTTCTGCTCCCTGCCTTCCCTGCCCTGTGTGCCTTCTCCTTCTCCTCTCAACTCTCAGTTCTGCTCCTCATACCTGATCCAGTTCCTCATCTCGAACCTCAGCTCAGTACTGGGGAAGCCTCTCTTGACGGTGGCACGAGGCTGAAGGCATCTGGGAAACCATTACGTGGTGTGCAAAGGAGCTGAGGCCAGTCCTTGCTCCCGCTGCCAGGCCACAAGGAACACCACGATGTGTTCTTGGCACCCCACTTTGGATCTCTAACACATTCCTGGTGTTTTACTTTTTTTTTTTAAGTTCCATAGTTTTTTTGTTTCTACATTTTGGATATATTATCTGTTAAATAGGTTTTTCCGGTCCAGACTGGGAATCTAAAGCCCATTTGGTTCAAAGATTCTATGGGAAAAAACTTAAACTAAAACATTCAGGCTGGGTGCAGTGGCTCACACAGTGGCACACTTTGGGAGGCCGAGATGGGTGGATCGCTTAAGGTCAGGAGTTCAAGACCTGCCTGGCCAACATGGTGAAACCCCATCTCTACAAAAATATAAAAAATTAGCCAGGCATGATGGCACATGCCTGTAATCCCAGCTACTTGAAGGCTGAGGTGGGAGGATCACTTGAACCTGGGACGTGGAGGTTGCAGTGAGCCAAGATGGCGCAACTGTACTCCAGCCTGGGCGACAAAGTGAGACTCCATCTCGAACAAACAAACAAACAAAAAACCCCAAAAAAACAAACAAAAAAGCACAATCAACCAACTTAAAAAATAACCTTGTCAAAATCTTCATTTCCCATTGACCAGAACAAATAGGATTAAGCCTCAAGAAATTGTGAACCCCAAAACAATTTCCCAAGTAGGTGCTATTGTTTGACTTTTGGGTAGAAATAGATGAGAATAGTGTGTATGAGAAACCTTTGATTACACCAATTCCTACCAAAAGTGGTAGGAAAAGACAGCAGTATATGCAGAAATAAAGCAAAGAAAATTCTGTTGGCGGACTGACATTTAAAATATTTTAAAAGCAACATAATTAAGAAACTATGCATGGGAAGAAAAAAAAAATGCTTTGCTTATAATCCCATTATCCCTCTTACCAGGTTTGTACATTCTATTTCAATCTTTTTTTCATGTGAATATATGTTTTTATAAATGTCTTTAGTTCTATTGGTCTCAAACAGTAAACTGAGGGTTATGCGTAGACAGACACGGTGAAGAATTTTACTTTCAAAGCTCTGGGTACCACACATCTAGTGTTAAAGCCCTACACCCCTGTTCCTACCCCATAAGTCACAGTATATACAGTTTACATTGTCTATTTACTAATCCAGGCATTTTATTTTTTAGTTTTTCTATTAATGTACCTGACATTCAAGTGTTAACTTTACGATCTCGTATTACCTGACAGTAGTTGATTAGGAGTTGCGGGTTTTTTATTTTTGAGTAGGGAAGTGTGGGAGAGAAGAGGATGGGGAGGAAGGTGTGCTCTACTTTAAGAAATTCAGCATTCTGACGAGTGACACTGCATGGGGTACAGTGGGTGCTTGGTAAATGCCCACTGAATAACTCCAGCAACCTCAAAGAAAGCCAGAAACAGGACCTTAAATGACATTATAATTCTATAGCTCCTTGTTGCCAAGGTCAGACAAGGTCAAGGGCAGCTATGCACCTAGAAGACAGAGCTGTAATGCAAGAATGTTACAGAATAAACTGGAATCAGGGGCCAACTTTGATTTAGCTAAGGACCAAGAGCTGAATTTTCTAGGGAATGAGTATTTTGAAGGTTGAGGCAAAGCTGGGCACTAAACCTTAAGGAGTCAGGAGCCACACAACAGCCCTAAGTCAAAACACATAATGAGTCAAAGTTAGACAGACAGCAAAGGCACAGAGACAATGTGCCAGGGACAAAGTGATATTGAGAAGGAAGCCCCCAGTAACCTTTACCAGGACCCCATACAGCATTCACAGGATGACTGGAATACGAAACATCAACCTGCCTGCCAGCAGGGACACCCCATGCCTGCTACAGAACAGTAGTCAGCCACAGTTGGTGATTTCCACCTGGGGCTCTCCAAAAGAAGCCACTGAACCCTGTGTTGCCAGCACAATCTCTCACCCAGTACTACACAAATCTGATCACACAATCATTCTGTTCTCTACCTTCCAATCCAAGCTACACAGGTGCTTCTTTATGTACAGATGTGTACAGAACAGTAATTTGTATACTGGTTAGATAAGAAAAAATGACAGAGTATGCCCATGAAGCCACGAGATTTCTGGATAAAACAACTGAGTCCCCCCACATGAGCTGGAGCAGAAGGCAGCACAGAACAGGGAGTTGGGACACATGAGCCCTAGCTCTGGCTCCATTTATATTTGGTAGGTGACTTTGGGCAAGTCACTTAAGCTCTTTACGCCTCATTTCCTATGAGGGATGAGTCTAGAATAACATCTGAATTAACACCTCCACAAAGTAGTGTACAGATGGGAGGCTAGGGCTAGTTTTGAAATTGGAATCAGCATAGGATTATTAAAATATAAAAAACTCTTGCCATTCTCAGATCTGTCCTGTAACCTCCTTCCTAGCATAAGTTAGTGTGGATTATCACAGGAATATCACACATACCTGACCAGTGCCATCCAGCTACCCAGTGGGCAAATGTTCATGCCACCATTTAGATTTTTGGAGCATATGAGAAATTAAATAAAGTAATTATCAGGTTAATAACTAATGACAGTAGGACATTCTAGCCCTCGTCTGGTGATTAAAAAAGACATACCATATATAAATGAAGATATTTATTAAGTTAATGAATTCATTCTTGATTTTTAAATCCAGGAAAAAGCAGGCCCATGGAGAGATGTTAAAGCTGATTTTTTGGTTCTGGGAAATTGCAACCAGTTGGGATTTGGAGGGGTAGGTCTTCCCGAGGCTGGGCCAATCCTGGCTGACTATAGAAGTCTTTTGCAGCTCAGCTGCTCTCTGGCACTCGGGCAATGGCAGGCCTGGAGGACTATTTAGGTGACTGTAGCCTGGTGGACTATTAGGGTCTGCGGAGCCCTCTGCTGTGGTGGTGAGTGGATGCCCTCCTGCCAGGACTCAGTTTCACCAGTGAGCATCTCTAGGATGCATCTATTTTGAATAATTTCATAATGTTTTTAATTTTTGAAATTTTCAAAGAATATACACATTTCACAGGTAATAATTTAAAAATTAGGATATGTAAATATGGCAATAAATCTATGCTCTGAAGGTTCTCATTTGTATAGTTCTGTTTTGTGTGCATTTTAAAAATGCAACTGAAAACAACCTGGCCCCCCAAAAACAAAACAAGCAAACCGAACTCAGTGGAAAGATGAGTAAGAAAGAATAGTCTGGACATCAGACAGTTTGGATCAAATATTAGACAATGGAACAGATTAGAAGGAAAAAGATACCAATTGTGGAAAAAGTGACCAACTATGAGAGTGAGGTTGGGAAAGGTGGAGAGAAATCAGTTAAGGAAAAATTCCAGATGTTGTCTAAGGAGACAATGAAGATATTCCTCCTTCAGGGACACTGAATACATTAAGGCAATAGAAAGATTTTGGGAATACAGAGTTAGGTAAGATAATCTGTTTCTGTTTTTACGATGTTTATTAGCTTTTTCATTATAAAGGTAATACTCATTGCTCATTATGAAAGTTAAAGGAAAAAGGAAAACACAAGTCATCTATGGTTCTAGTGCCCAGAGTTTATCATCAATCAGGTATATTCCTGCCAGGTTTGTTTTTGTTTGTTTATGAGTGTTTGTAAGTATACAGTTTATGGATTTTTTATATTTGCTTTTTTTTATTTCACAAAAGATAATATCCCATATTTAAAAGTGTCTTTGCAAGCATTTTGTGGGTTCCAAAATATTTCATGGAATAAATATACTCTTTTATTTTACTATTCCCCTTTAACCATTATATAATTGTCTCAAATATTTCTGCTATTATAATTCTGTGATGAACATCTTTGTGCACTTTAGAAATGTTTCCTGAGACTAGATTTTAAAAAGTAGAATTACTATCTGAAAAAGAGATATTTTTAGAGTTCCCAATGCACATTGCTGAATTGCTTTCCAAAAATCTTTATAAATTTACTCTCAGATTAGCTAAGCAATGGATTAAAATGCCATTTCATTGCACTCTTGCCAGAACTGAGAAATGTATATATGCAGGAATTATATCCATTTAAATTTAATATCCCATGTCTGTTTAGTCCTAGACTGGTCTTCTACACTAAGACACCATGAAGGAGTATGTGCTCCTATTATTCCTGGCTTTGTGCTCTGCCAAACCCTTCTTTAGCCCTTCACACATCGCACTGAAGAATATGATGCTGAAGGATATGGAAGACACAGATGATGATGATGATGATGATGATGATGATGATGATGATGATGAGGACAACTCTCTTTTTCCAACAAGAGAGCCAAGAAGCCATTTTTTTCCATTTGATCTGTTTCCAATGTGTCCATTTGGATGTCAGTGCTATTCACGAGTTGTACATTGCTCAGATTTAGGTAAGAATATAAGTCGATTTTGTTTTGAAGAATAGTAATGCTATTCTGACAATTTAAAGGATGGAAAAAGTCTCATTGAAATTTCAAAAATAATCTGAGTGTATAAGTTTTTTTCATTTAAGTTTTTAGGTGGAAAGTACAGCAAACCCCAAAGTACATCCAAACTTATTTTTAAAATTAAGAAAATCAAAGGAAAACTAAGGGAATGTTGTCCATAGAACATTTCCTTCTCTTCCCCAGTTAAATCAAAGCATTTAATTTTAATTCCCTTCAGAGAGAATGGACATCACATGCAGTTCTATCTCAGGGTGCTAGCAGGTTGAGACTGTACTTTTCAGTAAAACTCCATGATAACAAAATAAGCTGCATGTCTAGAACAATGAAATGAGTTATAGAAAGCTTGTGAAATCTCTAATCTAGACCTTTTAAAGATAATGCTTTATTTGCTTTTTAGCAATTTGGGTTTAAAACTGCCTAAGAAAAAAGTGGATAAAGTCTTTTTAAAATTTATAATTCTTTGCTGAGTATTTTATTTCTTTAATACTTCTAATGAAGGAGCACTCAAGAGCACAGCCATGTCCCGTTCAAGGACGGGACTTAATGGGAATGCATATCAAGAGTTGTTGCCTTCAGCTATTTCCAAGAGGGGACAGCTGAGACTGGCCCCACTGTGGAGGCCAAGGTCTGGCACACAACTCCCACTCAGGGGCTGATGGCCCATCAGGGTCACTTCATGAGTCTGTATGAGCAGATGTCTTGAAAAGCATTAGACGTGCTTCCTACTGCCATAGCATTCATGGCAAGAGTTAAAGCTTACAATAATCTACTCTAGAGACCTTAATGAAGTTTGTCATTATATGACAAAATGAGAGGCAAACAAAAAGCATTCAGAAAAAGGGGAGACTAATACGAGCTAGACTTACTAGTAAAGTCTAATGAAATAGGCTAGGAAAAAAAATGGGTCTTAAGCTTTACCTGTGGAATTCTCATGAGAAAGAGATTAAGATGCAAGTACTGTTTGAGAAAACTTGTTCATGTAGAACGACTGTGGAAACAGCATCAGGAACAAGAAATGCAGAAGCTGAGACAGATGCTGGGTGTGAGAAGAGGTTAGTTAGGGAATATGAGAATGTACTATTGTACTAAACTGCATCTCAGACAAGAAAAAACGTTACCTACCATCAGTTTGCAAAGTGGGTGCATGTTAAAGCACTTTGTAAGTCAAAATTCCAGATAAAAATATGTGTATCTGCTATGACTCCACCAGATGTAAACTGGGTTAGTTCTGGGTAAGATGGTGAATAAGGACACATTTATCTTTAGTGCAGACCACCCCCACGTGCTGGCCTCCATATGTGCCACGGCAGAGCAGTCATATGCTTCCAACATGAAGACCCTGCATGAGACATTGCATAAAACTACTCCAGAACACACTTGTCACCAAAGACTTGAGAAGCCCAAGCTACCTCATGGCAGGAAGCTGGTGTTCCCATCACACACAGTCTCCCAAACATTTAGCTTTGAAAAAACTCTAGTAAACAAAATCCACCTAAGAATATCTGTGACAGTCAGACATGCCATCAGCATGCTGCTGCACCCATCCTACCTCCCCCAAAACGTGACCATAAAAAGGGTCTGGGCACTTATCACTCTTCCTCCCTCAGGAGATGAAACTCTTCAGAACTTCAGTTTTAACAGGGGCAGGGCAGGAGTAGGTTTGTCAAAATCTGTGCTACCAGGAGGATCCCTTCTGCAGAACCTCCAGCTTCCTATAAGACTTCCACTTCATTTTCTAAAACCAAAATAATATCCTGTGTTCATAAAAATGGCAAAATTAATCTATTCTAACAAACAAAACTGCACCCTACCTTGCTAATTCATCAAGTTACCCCCCTTCTTCTTCCCATATAGGGTTAAATTTCTTAAGAAAGTATCAATTTTATTTTAGTATTATTATTATTTTTTTGAGACAGAGTCTTGCTCTGTCACCCAGGCTGGAGTACAATGGCGCGATCTCGGCTCACTGCAACTTCCGTCTCCTGGGTTCAAGCGATTTTCCTGCTTCAGCCTCCTGAGTAGCTGGGATTAAAGGCGCACACCACCATGCCTGGCTAATTTTTATATTTTTAGTAGAGACGAGGTTTTACCATGTTGGCCAGGATGGTCTTGATCTCCTGACCTCATGATCCACCCGACTCGGCCTCCGAAAGTGCTGGGATTATAGGCGTGAGCCACCGCGCCCAGCCTATTTTTTTATTTTTATTTTTGAGACAGAGTCTCACTCTGTCACCCAGGCTGGAGTGCAGTGGCACTATCTTGGCTCACTGCAACCTCTGCCTCCTGGGTTCAAGCGATTCTCCTGACTCAGCCTCCCGAGTAGCTGGGACTACAGGCACGTGTAACAATGCCCAGCTAATTTTTGTATTCTTAGTAGAGACGGGGTTTCTTTCACCATGTTGGCCAGGCTGGTCTTACAACTCCTGACCTTAAGTGACCCACCCACCTCGGCCTCCCAAAGTGCTGGGATTACAGGCGTAAGGCACCATGCCTGACCAATTTTAAAGTATAGAAAGGAAAAGTACATAGAGCTGTAGGATAGAATGTTGATATTCAAATACTAGATTTTCAATTCTTCAATTTTTGGCTATTAAATGTATGACTACACTTCAGGAGTGAGGACGGTTCTATCAAAAGTGTACTGACATCTAGGCCAAGGCAGGCATCTCGCTTGAGTCCAGGAGTTCGAGACTAGCCTGGCCAACATGGCGAAACGCTGTGTCTAGTAAAAATACAACAATTAGCCAGGCATGGTGGTACACATCCTAGCTACTCGGGAGGCTAAGGCAGAAGAATCACTAGAACCCAGGAGGTGGAGGTTGCAGTGAGCCGAGATGGCGCCACTGCACTCCAGCCGGGGCGACAGAGCAAGACTGTCTCAAGTTAAAAAAAAAAAAAAAAAGAATAATATATGAATCAGTATGTGGAAATCAAAGAATTTACAACTAATTAGAGAAGTTAATTACTTAAAGGAAATGGGTGGTAAAGTTTTTGGTAATATACATGAAAAAAATCTAATTTTTCCATTTTCTAAACACAACTATCTAAGGCTTCTTAAAATGATCAAGACCCGGCTGGGTGCGGTGGCTCACGACTGTAATACCAGCACTTTGGGAGGCCCAGTCAGGCGAATCACGAGGTCAGGAGTCTGAGACCAGCCTGACCAACATGGGGAAACCTCGTCTCTACTAAAAATACAAAAATTAGCCAGGCGTGGTGGCACACACCTGTAATCCCAGCTACTCAGGAGGCTGAGGCAGGAGAACTGCTGGAACCCGGGAGGCCGAGGTTGCAGTGAGCCAAGATCATGCCACTGCACTCCAGCCTGGGCAACAGAGCGAGACTCCATCTCAAAAAAAAAAAAAAAGAAAGAAAAATTATCAAGACCCATATGCTCCAATTTAGCACTATAACAGCCTGAAAATTTGCAAAGAAAGCTAACATTCCTCAGCCAAAGGTACATCAACAGAAGCTGCACCTCAGTGGTTGGTCACCTTCTCACAGCCACTAAGGCCACTCCAATTTATCTCCTTTTATTCCACCTTAGAGGGGATGAGTAGTGACAACTATACCAATCTAGACACCTTGTAAAAATTAATAAGTTACTCAAAAAGGTCCTGAGGTCTTCCCCCAAAACAATGTTTTTTTTGTCATCTGTTATGACTGTTAAGTCATCTGTAACTTGATGATAATCATGGGTTTTAAAAAATGTATATTTCTACCATATTAGTAATCTCATCTTCAGCATGATTCTCTATTATATAATATGTTTGTTTCTTTCTAAGGTTTGACCTCAGTCCCAACCAACATTCCATTTGATACTCGAATGCTTGATCTTCAAAACAATAAAATTAAGGAAATCAAAGAAAATGATTTTAAAGGACTCACTTCACTTTATGTAAGAATATATCCTCATACTTTCAAAGATTTAAGTGAAAACTCTGTATCTTTGCTATAATGATTAATTATACTATGTTAGTATAAACAAGTCTTACTTTTCTGTAAAGAATGACAAAAATCCCTGCATTCAACAGCGTTCTAGTCAATTAAAAATTATAGATTTCATTCAATTAATAGTCTAATTCAATGGATGTTTATTAAATAATAGCCATGTAAAATGTAGTGGGCTGAGTTTAATGGTCCTCAAATAAGCTTACAATCTATTCAGGTAGTAACAGTCACTATACATTAAAATGAACAAGAAAACAATTACTTACAGCAATCATTAGCAAACAGTGTAAGAAATCTCTACCCAAACGTGTTAAGACACCACAAATCTCTAACAGCAGCACACAGAATATATCTGATTGATTAATATATACATGTATGGCTTATTTATTGGATCTTTAAAGAAGAAAAGAATTTTTTCTTTACTGTATTAGTATCATTTTAATATTCTAGGATTTAAAAGATTACTACTTCCATGTTTAACATTTTGGGCTGGGTGTGGTGGCTCATGCCTATAATCCCAGCACTTTGGGAGGCCAAGGCGGGCGGATCACTTGAGCCCAAGAGTTCGAGATCAGCCTGGGCAACACAACAAGACTCCACCTCTATAAAAAATACAAAATTAGTTGGCATGGTGGTGGTGCACGTAGTCTTAGCCAAGAGGTAGAGGTTGCAGTGAGCTGTGACTATGCCACTGCACTCTAGCCTGGGTGACACAGTAAGACCCTGTCTTAAAAACAAAAACAAACCAAAAAAATCATTTCGAAGTCTCCAGATTTTAGCAAGTAAAATTTCTGATTTAGTCTGAAATTGGGTTTGGAGGAGCACCTCATTTCCCCCGCCACCGCCTCCCCTCAGCACAGCTCCTGCCTCGCTGACTCTGGCATGGTGTTAGAGGAAGAGCTCTGGTTCTGTATCATCTGAGGTGGTAAGCCAGGCCTGGCTATTCCAGGCCATTTCCCCACACTCTCAGGCTGTGCTGGAGAAAACAAATTTAAAGTCTGTCATCTCTAGATAAGATAAAACTAAGAGAACAGGGTAGAAAATACCATAACAATATTAGCCCCTTGCTACCATGCAGGCCTGGCCTGTTCCTGTGTCTGAGAGATGTGGGGTCACCATGCCTCCCTGTCACCCTGGGTCAGTGCAGTGGACCCTGCTGGCCCATCTCTTCCTCCCTGTCACCCTGGGATTGAGGACATGCATGCTGATCATACTTAAGGCAGACTGAGGGATGCTCAATCCTTGCATCAAGCCTCCCTACAAAATCCAGCTCTCACACTGCCCGGTCAGGTAGCCAGCACCTTGTCTGCTCTTTTCACTTTCAAAGTGTGCAGGCAGCTCAGATCTGGTAAGCCTCCATTATCAATATAAAAGAGCAACTAGAAGAGCATATATTTATAAGTTAGGTCTCACTAAAACATTAAGACAGTCAGAAATGACACAATGGATTCCACCGAGGATCCACCCAGTCCACCCCACTAACTTTAGGCCACAGAATCTTTTGGAGAATGGCAGGCCATTATTCCACCAACAGAAGTTGGAAATATAGCCTGTTGATGCGTTTACCACTTCTTCAACCCCTTTTCAGCTTAGATAACCACAAGAATAATAACTAATGGCATATTTAATACTGGGGCTATGAAAGTTTTAAATTCATCATATCATTATTTTATTACATTTTAGGAGCATTCCAGGGACTTAGTCCATACTTATTCTTGTTATTCACAGGGAAATGAGAAACTAAATGGTATCAGGAGCTTTCTTAGACCTACTTGATTTCCTTTGAGAAATGCATGTCAGGTGTAGAGCAATGGAGGGAAAGCCCCCAGCTGTTAAGTAGTATTACTGCCAAGCTACTATTAGCAGACTGACCAGGTGTACTGATGTAAATCACTTTTTAAAGTACATGCTTTATACTTGAATTGTAGGTATACCACACAATTACAAAACATTTATATAATTATAGTATCACCTTATATGGTACCTGTCTTTTAAGAGAATCAAACTATTTTTTAGACATTCTACAAATTCTCTGTGTTAAGTTTTAGCTGCTTGTTTGGCACTTGGGTTCTTACACAAAGGATGATACAGTCAGAGCAAAATCACTGAACACAATCACAGCCCTCCCAGCTCACTTCCAGCCATTATGAGACACATGTGGCATGAATCACTGTCCTACTACTGAATGGCTATGCTCTTCTCATCTTCTGTCCTTACACTGTTTGTTAATGATGAATTGGAAGCTCTGTGATAATCAAGCCAGCACTGAGAGTGCAGTTTAACTGGATCACTCAGCCAGCTCACCATGCAGGGCAGGCAGTCCACCATGTGGCGCGGCTCTTACCAGTGCTGCACAAAACCTCTTACACAGTTTTGTATTACTTTTCCTTCCTTTTATGCAGTTCCAACAACTGCATGTTTTAATTAGGAAAAACAAACTAATAAAAGCCCAGTGCACTAGACTTGGATCTCACTGACGCACAGGTTCACTTTGTGGTGGGGCCTCTCTAACCCTCACTTGTTGCATGGCATAGGCAAGTCACCTTTCTTCACTTTACGCATTTCCTCATCACTAAAAGGAGAGTAATAATTCCTGCTAAATTTACCTCTTGGAATCAAGAGAGGATTCACAAACCATCTTGATGATCCACCAAGTTGTTAAATTCCCCTCACCTCATTTTTCAGTGTAACCAAAGGAAAAGAGAAGATACTTTTAGTTGGCATCACACACTCACAAACGAGGATATTTTACCAGTTGGTAACAAAATGTAGTTTCACCTCTTCTCCTAGGCTTACCCTTTCTTGGTGAAACTTTTAGCAATAGTGATATATCTGGAATTTCCAGAGGGTGAGAAAAGGAAAGCACAAAGGGCCAAGAGTGAGATGAGGAAACGTGCAGATACAAGTTTACTGAGCAACCAAAATGTGTATTTCTGCCATGGAAAAACAACAACAATATGAGTAATACCAGTGAGGCATATTAAACAAAGGGAGATTTTTGTGAAATGAATTTGAGAACAAAATCATAAAATGAATGAATCTAGAGCTGCTCCTTGAGAAAATCAGATGACCTGGATTGGTAAAGAGGGACAAAAAGGTCCTGAAGACGCTTAGTGGCCTGTCATCATTCTTGGTAAACACAGAAATTCTCTTTGAACAATCTGGCAAAGAGTAAAGAACTGAGCTATGCTCATTTTGCAATGAAAATCCTTATCAGAGTTACCAACATGTCCCAGTTTGCCTAGGACATTCCCAGTTTGGGTTCTGAAATCCCCACATCCCATAATCTCATGATCTGGGCAGACTGAGATGGCTGGTCACCCAAGCAGCCATGCACCCTTGGACATGTTGCAAAAGACTTGTGCAGAGAGCACACTCACACTGGTACGAGCTCTTTTTACTCTCTGGAGTTATTAGACCTCCTCTGGAGGATGCTGTCTTATTGCCCTGAGAAATACCCAAAAAACTGATAAGAGATTGAGTCATTTCTCAGGATCCATTACTATATCCCCAATATCTAAAATATGCCAGAATGCTGAGGGCACATGGTAGGATTTTTTTCCTTACAGGCCTCTGTTCTGGGAGAAATGGTAAACATTAGTAAATATGAAAGAAATGAGGTTTTCAAAGTAGACAAAATCATGCAAAAGTATATTTGGTGTGCACTAAACATAGTTTTGTAGAGTAAATAGATTTTAAGATAAGATAAAGATAATATCACTGGTCACTTCCCTGAAGGGAAATAGGAGGCTGAGTAGAGGTTGAAGGCTTAGCCATATGAAAGTATTATCTATTCAAAGATTAAAAAGATGCACTTCTATCTAAACCAATGGCACAACATTAATTATTATAGCTCTGCACTTTTCTAACTCAGTAGTAAAATTTTTTTAAAAGCTTAGATTGGGCTGGGAAAGTTTTTACATGGGTGATCTAGTACACCACTGATATAAATTGTACTGATTTCCATCATTGGCTAATCACTGTAGAATACTGGTAAATCAAATCCACTTCCTAATATTGTGTAACTTTCTATGCTTGATCAAGGGTCTGATCCTGAACAACAACAAGCTAACGAAGATTCACCCAAAAGCCTTTCTAACCACAAAGAAGTTGCGAAGGCTGTATCTGTCCCACAATCAACTAAGTGAAATACCACTTAATCTTCCCAAATCATTAGCAGAACTCAGAATTCATGAAAATAAAGTTAAGAAAATACAAAAGGACACATTCAAAGGAATGAATGCTTTACACGTTTTGGGTAAGTTTTTCAAATGAATGGGACATCTTGAAATTATAACAAACAAGCAGATGTAGAACACTTTATCGTCACTATTAAGAATAATTTCCAAAATTAATTTTTGAATAATCTTTGCCTAGATAAGCCATTTATAAACCAATTAAAATGTCCAACAAAATGTTTAGCACTTAAAGAAAATATGATCTTCGTAATACTGTCTCTCTCTCCCTGAAGAACCTCCTTTGAGGCCAGGCCTGGTGGCTCACGCTTGTAATCCCAACACTTTGGGAGGCCAAGGCGGGCGGATCTCCTAAGGTCAGGAGTTTGAGACTAGCCTGGCCAACATAGTAAAACCCTGTCTCTACTAAAAATACAAAAATTAGCCGGGTGTGGTGACAGGTGCCTGTAATCTCAGCTACTCGGGAGGCTTAGGCAGGAGAATTGCTTGAACCCAGGAGGCAGGGGTTGCAGTGAGCCGAGATTGCGCCACTGCACTCCAGCCTGGGTGACAGAATGAAACTCCATCTCAAAAAAAAAAAAAAGAACCTCCTTTGAAACACTTAGCGTGGTTTCTGTTTCTGACCAGACCCTAATAAAATATAACTTATTATTTAATTTAAAGGTAGTATTTTTAATGTATTGCATAAGCTACTCAAATATAATACACAAAATTAGTTTGGATATTATTTGGAATGTGCACCTAACATTTGGTTATCTGCTTTAAGATTATCGATGTGAGGAATTTTTTGTCTTATATTTAAAACTCTACCTGATTTTATTTCTGACACCTATCATATAACCATGCCATCTCCCTATAATATCCATTCAAAATTCATAACCAAGATACTAATTCATTTATTCATTTAATTCAACCAAGTGCCTGGCCTCACTTACTGGCATTTCTTCAAGGTTATATTTCTGCTAACAAAACAACAATTTCTAATTGACTTACAATTTAAAAAAAGTTTAAGACACAAAAATGTACACAGAAAAACATAAACATTTTGGATTATATGAAGGATGATCTTTTTTGATGCACTATTACAATAACAAAACCTTAATTGTGCTCATGGTTGGAGGAGAGTGAAAATGTCACTGATATGGTAATTCAAAGTGAAAAATAGTGAACTTCTCATATATTCCAGTTTACATAATACAAAGCCGTATTTTTCTGATGCTGACAGAAAGGACAGTAGATAGACAGAAGCAGATATACCGAGTGAAAATGAGCCTAAAGGATGAAGCTCACGCTTCTTGGGATATTCATTCTTGGGATGTGTCTCTCTGCACTGTGAGTTTCCTTTATATACAACCTATGTGTGCTAAGTCATGTCATTCTCCCCTGACAGAAATGAGTGCAAACCCTCTTGATAATAATGGGATAGAGCCAGGGGCATTTGAAGGGGTGACGGTGTTCCATATCAGAATTGCAGAAGCAAAACTGACCTCAGTTCCTAAAGGTTTGTATTTACTTTATCTAAGATATGGTATTTTAAAGTTGTCACCTTTCAATAACGATTCAATCTAATATTGTAAACTGTGCAGTATACACTGCAACTAGAAATCTTTGCACCAGTAAATCTGGTCAATATAGTCTACACACACATAAAATGCCATATGTAGTGCCTTTTTCCTGACAGAATTAAGCCACAATTTTTTTTACTCCACTAAGAATAAACATTAAGAAGCAATGAACTTTTAGTTTTCCTTCTCTTTCCTGACATTTACTCATTTATACCTGTCATTCTGTGCAGTACCTGTTAGAGGTAGAGAATTCTATACAGAAGAAAGCAGAGAAAGATAGATGGGGCAAGAGACCCTGTCCCCAGGCATTTAGCCACAGTTTGAGGTGAAGCCTATGAGCCCAGACTGGGCAGCCCCTGGCTCTGGCAGGAATGGACATGCCATTCAAGGCAAGGCATTTTGTACCCAGCTTCTTCCCAGGTGTACTGTGAAGACTAATGGGCCAATACACAGAAAGGTCTGAGGACAACATCCAGCACGTAGGAAGTGACCACCTGTGACATAATCATTACCAAGATGAGCACTGTGCTCTTTATCATGGCTTTGTGTGACCCAAGGCTAGCACCTCAAGTAGAATGCTCCTTAAGTCTGCCAGATGACCAGTGTTCTAACCCATTACTTCCAAGCTCCCTGTCTGATGATTAGCTGCATAGGATTGCCTTTCTTGGAACTCTTGCTCAAAGTCTTGCTTTCCTTATTCCCAACAAGGGCACATGCTCTCTTTGCTTTGATGACTAACTGGGCCAAAAATAACCCCTATGATTAACAACATATTTTTACTTTCCAACAGCTCCGTCTTTCAGTATCCATGAGTTAAAGCAGCAACTTCATCACGACCCCCTCTAATCTACTCACCTGATCCAGAAGATCAATAAAACAAACATATACAGATAATTTAAAAGACACAGTAAAGCTGTTATTATTAATCAAGAGGTGACCTTTCACTTAGGTCACCTAAAGATCATCTAAAGTAAAAGAGGAAAAATAACTTTTCTATCCAGGAAAACAACAGTTTAATTCAGAACTATACAAATCCAAAAAAACACCTCAGTGTAGCTTTAAAGGAGGTGGATGTTTTTCTACAAGAAACCAAAAATGTTACATTTACCTTCCCATTTTAGAAAAACAACAAAAAATGCAAATGCTACCCAATAAGTTAAACATATAAAATCCCTTTCATCTGCTGGAAGATAACATCCAGTAAAGGAGAGTGAAGACAAGGAAAAGAGGAAGGTAGAGGGAGGAGAGGAGGACAGCCTACAGGGCTGGAGGAGGGAGCTGCTGTTCCAGGCCACATCTCCTGACATGGCCATTCTTTATGTTCACACCAAAAGTCTTTCCTACACTGCAAAATTCTATTTAAATTTCAAAGTGTATCTTAAAAGTAAAGGTTTAACTTCTCATGAGTTTTCAAGATTCTTTCAAAGCCAAAAGGAATCTTTAGAAATTTAAATTGGAATCAAATCTCTCAACTTAAATAACTATTCCTTCAAATCCCCTTGACATTCAGAATTCACTAACCTGTGAAAGCTGACTGCCTGCATGGCATAATCCAGTCAGTATTACCCCCTGTGGCAAGATGAAAGGATGCAGGTATCCTGAGGGTCCTTACCAGACCCAACAAGTTATCATGTGGACAGGATGAAAATGTCTTCTTTCCTATTCGTTCAGGAAGTTCTACTGCATAATATTATGTGGGGAAGAGGGGAGACCTGTTTGAAGACAGGGTGGGAACAGAAATTCCGGTACAAAAGTGTGCTAACATTTGTCAGCAGTTACTGAGCTTCTGCCAAATTCACACCTCTGCTCGTTTTATCCTAGAGGCTACACTTCAATCTTCTCTCTGGTTACCCACCTTCCCCATTTCCTAAGGGACACAACAGTTCCCTCAACTTCTACAAGTCCTCTCCCAGAGATTATTCTCTTCCAACTTTGTACAACCTATTCTAGATTCGCTGGCACGTTGCACCAGCTATTTTTCTAGTGATTTTTGTATGTATGATGGATCTGCTCTAAATTAGCAAATAATGTCTTTGAGGACAGAACCTTTACCTTACATACTGGAGGGTCCACATAATCATTCCATAAATACAATTAAGCTCAATTAATCAAAATTCAAGAAATTAGAACCTTCTCAGTTTAGAAGAATTATTTTTCTGCTCCCTAGTTTATTTATTTTAAAATTCAAAATAGATTCTGTTATCAAAATAAATTCAGTCATGGAAACTATTATTGCTATTCATAAAGATGTTTCAATTATCTTCATCCGTCTTTATTGCTAATATAGAAGGGAAATATTTCATCAAGACTTGAAAAAAGGAGAGCATTTTCCAGCTAGCTAACCAGATACTTGGGTTGACAAATAATACTTTGTATATAGGGCTAACAAAATGAGGTTTGATGGAATCTTCTGGTCAGTCCCTTTCATTCCAGCTTCAGTTCATTTGGGGAGAGTGGGGGTCAGGATATGCCCCGTTGAGAAGAGAAAGAACGATTATTCACTGGGCACCTGCCATGTGCGGGGGTACTACAGATACACTTAGCTTACACAAAAACTACTGCTAATTGAAAGAATAGAGCCAGGCACAGTGGCTCATGCCTGTAATCCCAGCATTTTGGGAGGCCAAGGTAGGCGGATCGCTTGAGGTCAGGAGTTCAAGACCAGTCTGGCCAATATGGTAAAACCCCATGTCTATCAAAAATGCAAAAATTAGCTGGGCATGGTGGTGCACACCTGTAGTCCCAGCTACTTGGGAGGCTGAGGCAAGAGAATCAGTTGAACCTGGGAGGCGGAGGCTGCAGTGAGCCAAGACTGCGCTACTACACTCCAGCCTGGGTGACAGAGTGAGACCCTGCCACAAAAAAGAAAAGAAAAGAAAAGAAAGAATAAATACTGCAATGACCTGAACATATCAAATAGGGTAAAAATCCGTGTTTATAATGGTGTTTTAAAAAAAACACAAAAAACCTTAACTGGTCACCTCTGGGCATTGCATGAATTCATTACTTGAATGAATCAAGTTTTGCTGCCTTTTCTATAAAAACAATCTTACAAAGTAACTAAATAATTAATGAAAGAAAATTCTTTAGAGAAGAATTCCAGCTAATAAATCCATCAAGAATGACATCAGGAAGTCACCATTTTCCAATTCCTAATGACAGAATGGATCTAGGCAACAATCGTGCATGAATGCTAAGACCCTCAGGTGAAAGGCTGATTTGCTTTTATCTGAATGTCTCTCTGCATCTGACTACCAGGGCATAGGAAGAAGTTAAAGGATCCTGATAAATGATATCACATGGAAGCTGTCAGCCAAATCCACAAAAGGAGTGTCTCAAACAAATTAATATGGAAATAAATCAAAAGAAGAGGGAGAAAAAAGGAGGGAGTATGTTGTACATTAAGAGAGATTTCAAGAGCGATAAGAACCAAATGTATTCTGTAAACTTCATTTAATCCTAACTTGAACAAATCAACTGTAAAATGACGTATTTGAGACAAGTGGGGAAACTTTACTATATTAGATGACAGTAAAGAATGTATTAATCTTGTTAGATGTGATATTAACAGGGTGGTTATGTTAAAAAACAAAAAACAAAAAACAAGATGACCTTATCAGTTAGAGACATCTAATTGAAGAATTTATAGAAGAAATGACATTATGTATAAGATTTGACTTTAAATACTCCAGCAAAAGAAATATGGCAAAATAAAAATAGATAAACAGATCAATAAATAATTAAGAGTAGATAAAACAAGATAGGAAAAATGGAGATAACTGTTGAAGCTGAGCATGGTGGTTCATAATACTAGTTACTATTTTATGAATGGTTACAATTTTACCATAATAAGAAGTTAATAAAAAGTAGGTACCAGGCTGGGTGTGGTGGCTCACGCCTGTAATCCCAGCACTTTAGGAGGCCGAGGGGGGTGGATCACCTGAGGTCAGAAGTTTGAAACCAACCTGGCCAACATGGTGAAACCCCATCTCTACTAAAAAGTACAAAAAATTAGCCAGGTATGGTGGTGCATACCTGTTATCTCAGCTACTCAGGAGGCTGAGGCCGAAGAACTGCTTGAACCCAGGAGATGGAGGTTGCAGTAAGCTGATATCACGGCACTGCACTCCAGTCTGGGCAACAAGAGTGAAACTCTGTCTCAAAGAAAAAAAAGAGTTAGTGCCTAAAAAGTTGCCTAAATCCATAATCTGAAACTTGAAAAGTAAACAAATAGTCAATTGGGCTTAGTGATACTTGACTTAACATATATATTTCTCTTCTTATTAGGCTTACCACCAACTTTATTGGAGCTTCACTTAGATTATAATAAAATTTCAACAGTGGAACTTGAGGATTTTAAACGATACAAAGAACTACAAAGGTAAACGTTCCCAAAATTTTAACTTAGAATGATACCTCCTGGAGAATGTGCACAGGGACCCTGGTAGAGATCACTGTCTGTTTAGCCAGTTGCTGTTGGAACTGGAGAGTGTGAAGGGAAAACTAGAAAGAACCACAATTGGCCGGGTGTGGTGGCTCACGCCTGTAATCCCAGCACTTTGGGAGGCCAAGGCGGGCAGATCCCGAGGTCAGGAGTTCGAGACCAGTCTGGCTAACATGGTAAAACCCCATCTCTACTAAAAAATACGAAAATTAGCCAGGCATGGTGGAGGGCGCCTGTAATCCCAGCTACTCGGGAGGCTGAGGTTGCAGTGAGCCAAGACTGTGCCACTGCACTCCAGCCTGGGCATGGGCAACAGAGCGAGACTCCATCTTAAAAAAAAAAAAAAAAAAAAAAGAACCACCGTTATTACCACCTCTGCTGATAGGGGCGAATCAAGTGAAAAGAAGAAAATGACTTTTCAAATTTCCCTTTTGTTAAATTTAGGTCAAAGAATTTTCTGACAAAACTGGAAGATAGTTGTTACATACTGAAGTAGGTTATTAAATAAAGTAATGAAATATCTTTGAACATATATATAAATAGGACAGGCTTATATTCTAACTAGTTTGCGGTGTTTTCAGCTAACTCTATCACACCTAACCATCTGTGTAAGACTTGATGCATTTTATATCATTTTTAGGCTGGGCCTAGGAAACAACAAAATCACAGATATCGAAAATGGGAGTCTTGCTAACATACCACGTGTGAGAGAAATACATTTGGAAAACAATAAACTAAAAAAAATCCCTTCAGGATTACCAGAGTTGAAATACCTCCAGGTAAAACATTCTACTTGTGTTCAGTAGATATTGGTATTTTTCTTCAGTTTTTATAACACACTTTAGCACACCTCAAGCAAAGACCAAGTAAGCAGCAAGGGTGATTCAAACATAATGACTCTCCAGGTTGCATGAGGTGTTTTAAGAAGTAGGAGAGCTTTAGGAGAATGGTTTCTACATCGACGTCACAAGAAAGCTCAGGATCCATTTCCATCTTTTGGTTTCTCCTGTTGAAACTGCTGAGGACATTGCGGCAAAGCCGCTGGCACAGTTAATTTCAGATTTTAGGGCAGGGGTGGCTACGCAGAGGCAGGACTGGTCAGGAGGACATGGAGCAGTGTCACGTGTCCTTTTGATCTGGAAACATTTCTCAAGGCAGAGCAAGAGGATTAGGCTCCTGGTATTTTCGCTTTCAGTGTGGTGCTAGGATAGACATGTATATTTTTTTTTAAACATTCCAACCAGAATACAGTATATAACCAATTTAAAGTCACCATCTGGAGCATCATGAGTTCCCATTTTGTTGTTTGTTTTTATTCATTATTAGAAATCTTTTCCTTCTATTTGACAACTCTTAACTGGCTGGAAGGGGCCACAGATTCCTTGGAGAATCTAATAAAGATTTAGATCTTCCCAAGAACAAAAGTTTTCATCTTCCAAGGAGCTTGAGAACAAAACTGGGCAACAAGCCACTCTGCCTCTTCTCTTTTTCTTTCCGGTGTATCTTTAAACAAGTTTCGTTCACTGTACTCCTTTGAGATACAAACCATCAAAATGAATGTAATATAGGCAGGTGCTAATCTCAAGATCACAACTTTTGCTTTGACTTTTCCAAATGCTGCATTTGGATGTCTGTTTAGCCAGTGACTACAACTTGAGTCCGTCCTCTCTCAAGCTGCCCCATCCCTGATGTCATTTCTGCTTAATTTGCTCCACAACTCTGCTTCCAGCTTCTGGTCTCTCTTAAATCTACCTATACTCTTGCTAGCATTAATTAAATGAATAGAATTATAACACAAACAGAAGAACACATGTCATAAGCATATATTTCAATGAATGTCCACAAAGTAAACACACTGATGTCCAGCAGGTTTTCATTCCCAGTGAGATCAGTACTATGGTAAACTATACCTTGCACTTATATTGAGCAGCTGGGGGACTGAACACCAAACTTAAATGTTTTAGCAATGCCTAGAATTTTCATGATTGGTCTCATATCAGTCTTACTAAGACATAAAGGCAGAATCTAGAGGTAACAACAGCCAGGGAGGATATCCCACGTTGGCCAGCAAAAGACTTCTGCTCTTCAGTACACAAAAATGCTGTCAGTTAAGTAGATTGCTTTTATTTCCCAGAAATCTCACTGTTACCAAAAAAGGCCAAAGAAGAAATTAGAAGGGCTGTTAAAGGGAATGAGGGAAAGTTCCTCTATTTACCATACTTTTTGAGTAAGAATTTAATTTAAAAAGACATGTACACGGCCTGTAAAATTGTGACTTGTCCACTGGTGTACATAAGATCAAGTGATTTCAATTATTGATGCTATATTACAATTCTGCATTTAGGATGTTGATAGATCTTTCTACAAAACAACTTAGAAAAATTCTCCTTTGGTCACAGAAAATGCTAGCTAATAATTCTTCACAATCAAATTGTGAGCCTAATTCTTAGAGCATTAAATTTCATTCTTCTGATCATTTCTAATGTTTTAAATGCATTATTGTAAATATGGCACTGAAGTAACCATATATATACACATAAATATGTATATTTAAAAATATGTATGTTTATAAAAGTAAACATTACGCATGTATGTATTTATGTATATATGTATGTATGTACGTATGTATGTATCTATCTATCTATCTGGAGAGAGAGAGAGACAGCGACCCATGTGACCAGGCAGTATGCTCTGGGCCCTGGCGGGAGTCCTTCCCCAACACTTTTGTGTACAACACATGAGCTTGAGTTTTTATAATAGGTATTTAACATGCATAAGTGAGTACATCTACTTTACCTGAAAATACATTCAAGCCAATGTAAAATAAACAGATGAATAAACCCACAAACAAATGGCGACTACAGAGTATCTTCCGTTTACATTTACTGGGTATTTTTAATCCTTTCTTTTTTCCTACTACAACAGATAATCTTCCTTCATTCTAATTCAATTGCAAGAGTGGGAGTAAATGACTTCTGTCCAACAGTGCCAAAGATGAAGAAATCTTTATACAGTGCAATAAGTTTATTCAACAACCCGGTGAAATACTGGGAAATGCAACCTGCAACATTTCGTTGTGTTTTGAGCAGAATGAGCGTTCAGCTTGGGAACTTTGGAATGTAATAATTAGTAATTGGTAATGTCCATTTAATATAAGATTCAAAAATCCCTACATTTGGAATACTTGAACTCTATTAATAATGGTAGTATTATATATACAAGCAAATATCTATTCTCAAGTGGTAAGTCCACTGACTTATTTTATGACAAGAAATTTCAACGGAATTTTGCCAAACTATTGATACATAAGGGTTGAGAGAAACAAGCATCTATTGCAGTTTCTTTTTGCGTACAAATGATCTTACATAAATCTCATGCTTGACCATTCCTTTCTTCATAACAAAAAAGTAAGATATTCGGTATTTAACACTTTGTTATCAAGCATATTTTAAAAAGAACTGTACTGTAAATGGAATGCTTGACTTAGCAAAATTTGTGCTCTTTCATTTGCTGTTAGAAAAACAGAATTAACAAAGACAGTAATGTGAAGAGTGCATTACACTATTCTTATTCTTTAGTAACTTGGGTAGTACTGTAATATTTTTAATCATCTTAAAGTATGATTTGATATAATCTTATTGAAATTACCTTATCATGTCTTAGAGCCCGTCTTTATGTTTAAAACTAATTTCTTAAAATAAAGCCTTCAGTAAATGTTCATTACCAACTTGATAAATGCTACTCATAAGAGCTGGTTTGGGGCTATAGCATATGCTTTTTTTTTTTTAATTATTACCTGATTTAAAAATCTCTGTAAAAACGTGTAGTGTTTCATAAAATCTGTAACTCGCATTTTAATGATCCGCTATTATAAGCTTTTAATAGCATGAAAATTGTTAGGCTATATAACATTGCCACTTCAACTCTAAGGAATATTTTTGAGATATCCCTTTGGAAGACCTTGCTTGGAAGAGCCTGGACACTAACAATTCTACACCAAATTGTCTCTTCAAATACGTATGGACTGGATAACTCTGAGAAACACATCTAGTATAACTGAATAAGCAGAGCATCAAATTAAACAGACAGAAACCGAAAGCTCTATATAAATGCTCAGAGTTCTTTATGTATTTCTTATTGGCATTCAACATATGTAAAATCAGAAAACAGGGAAATTTTCATTAAAAATATTGGTTTGAAATAAAATATTTGTGCTTTGATGTTATTTTTCTTCACCCACCCAGCAATATAAACTATTCTTCAGAAAACTCTAATCTATATATAACATGTTTAGAGCAGTATTAATGTCAATTATTATTACTTTTTGTTTTGTTTTGAGATGGAATCTCGCCCTGTAGCCCAGGCTGGATGGAGTGCAGTGGCCTGATCTTGGCTCACTGCAACCTCCGCCTCCTGGGTTCAAGCGATTCTCCTGCTCCAGCCTCCCAAATAGCTGGGATTACAGGCACATGCCACCATGCCCAGCTAATTTTTTGTATCTTTAGTAGAGACGGGGTTTCACCATGTTGGCCAGGCTAGTCTCGAACTCCTGACCTCGTGATCTGCCCGCCTCTGCCTCCCAAAGTGCTGGGATTACAGGCGTGAGCCACTGAGCCTGGCCTAATGTAAATTCTTAATAACAATAATACATGTTATTAATACATATAATAATAACAATACACCATGTAATTCCTATGCTATGAAAGATAATCACCTTTATATTAAGCTACATCAAAAACAAGATTTTAAATAACTTGGGGGCGAGGGGGAAAGAACAACATTACAGATATACAAGAGATGGAGGTTTGGATTTCGAGGTTAAGAATGGGTAAATAAAGTCTTATTCTTCACAGTGGAGTTACTCAACTTTGGCTCCCTTGACATTTTGGGCCAGGTCATTCTTTGCGGCAGGGGCTGCCCTGTACATCTTTTAGTTGCACCCTGGTCTCTACACACTAGATGGCAGTAACACCTGCGTCCCCTGCCCTCCACAGGTTTTTGTTTGTTTTTTATTTTGTTAAGAGACAGAGTCTTGCTCTGTTGCCCAGGCTTCAGTGCAGCAGTGTGATCATAGCACACTGTAGCCACAAACTCCTAGGCTCAAGCAATCCTCCTGCTTCAGGCTTCCAAGTAGCTGGGACTACAGGTGCATACCACTGTGCTCAGCTAATTTTTTGTGGAGACAGGGTCTCACTTTGTTGCCCAGGCTGATATTGAACTCCTGGCTTCAAGTAATCCTCCAAGCCTTAGCCTCCTAAAGTGTTAGGATTACAGGCATGAGCCACTGCATCCAGCCTCCCCTCTACCTCTATAGTTTTGACAAACAACAATTTCTCCAGAAATTGACAAATGTCCCTGCAGGGAGTGGTGGAAGGTAGGGCAAAATCTCAGCAGGTTGCAAACAACGGCTTTACAGGAAAGTTAGTCAATTTCTAAAATGACATATCTGGAAACCTAGAACAAAACTGCTACTTTTTTGAGCAAAAAAAGAGGGAAGACCATGGTATGAGTAGAGGGATGATGATAGTATGATTTTAATAATAAATGTTCACCACCAGTAGTGCTAGAACCAGCAGTGTCCCGGGTTGCAGAACTTTGCCTTGGAAATCCAGTTCCATTTATAGTCTTGGGCAAGTTACCACCTCTCTGAGCCTGCTTCCTCACCTATAAAGGGTAGGGGTGACAACACTGAACAAGGTTGCTATGAAGAATAAATGATAAAAATATATATGCAATGCTTTGTAAACCATAAACATTTACAAAGAAAAATAAAAGATCATGAAGTCCTTAAAGATAAAAGAAAACAATACTATAATAATCACTCAAAAATTAAAATATTCTAAAGTTTCAATTGCTTTAATAAACAAAATAAATTTTTCTACAATGTAACAAAAAATTGTGATATCATGGCACTTATAAGAACATATGTAAAAGTAAAAAATGTTTACTGACATTGAAAAAACCCAACATCTTGAAATTCATCATTAAAATCATAAGGTAAATACTAAGGTTAGAATAAAAGACAGATTTATCTATGATCTGAATAGTGGAGCTTAAAGTAGCCAAGTTAATCTTTTTACAAAAAGAAAAGACAAAACCAAAATTTTAAAATACTGGAAATGATTCTTGAAATCCCTGCAATTAATTCACTGAGGTTTATGTTTGTATTTTCAATCTTCCAGCTGTTAGCCATTTTTGGTTTTAAGTTTGCAAAAAACAAATCACTAATAAAAATCATAAACAACCAAAACTGCATTAACATTTACTGCCAAAAACACATTTTCTGGTGAATACAAAATATTACCCACTGGAAAAATCCATTAAAGATTGAAAACAAGTGACTTACTATTTATTGGGTTTATGAAGGACTAAATTACTGAAGTGATTTTCTTTAACTATTATGAGGTATTTAGAAGTCACTAAAACAAAAACTTTTTTTTTTTCTTTTTTTTCCTGAGATGAGGTCTTTCCACAAATTGTCCAGGCTGGTCTCAAACTCTTGGGCTTAAGTGATCTTCCTGTCTCAGACTCCAGAGTAGATGGGATTACAGGCGTGAGCCACCACACCCAGCATTCCAAAAGCTTTTTTTAAAAAATTTCAATTTTCGTTTCCCTTAAGCTACCATACTATTTCTCTTTCATTCACAATTCAATCCCTTTTTGAAAGAATTGCCGCTTGGTGCAGAGCTGAGTTCAATTCCTGGGTATCCTTGTTAACTTTCCGTCTCACTGATCTGTCTAATGTTGACAGTGGGGTGTTAAAGTCTCCCATTATTATTGTGTGGGAGTCTAAGTCTCTAATAGACATCTACAGAACTCTCCACCCCAAATCAACAGAATATACTTTTTTTTCAGCACCACACCACACCTTTTCCAAAATTGACCATATAGTTGGAAGTGAAGCTCTCCTCAGCAAATGTAAAAGAACAGAAATTATAACAAACTGTCTCTCAGACCACAGTGCAATCAAATTAGAACTCAGTATTAAGAAACTCACTCAAAACCGCTCAACTACATGGAAACTGAACAACCTGCTCCTGAATGACTAATGGGTACATAACGAAATGAAGGCAGAAATAAAGATGTTCTTTGAAACCAATGAGAACAAAGACACAACATACCAGAATCCCTGGGACACATTCAAAGCAGTGTGTAGAGGGAAATTTATAGCACTAAATGCCCACAAGAGAAAGCAGGAAAGATCCAAAATTGACACCCTAACATCACAATTAAAAGAACTAGAAAAGCAAGAGCAAACACATTCAAAAGCTAGCAGAAGGCAAGAAATAACTAAAATCAGAGCAGAACTGAAGGAAATAGAGACATAAAAAACCCTTCAAAAAATTAATGAATCCAGGAGCTGGTTTTTTGAAAGGATCAACAAAATTGATAGACCCCTAGCAAGACTAATAAAGAAGAAAAGAGAGAAGATTCAAATAGACGCAATAAAAAATGATAAAGGGGATATCACCACCGATCCCACAGAAATACAAACTACCATCAGAGCATACTACAAACACCTCTATGCAAATAAACTAGAAAATCTAGAAGAAATGGATAAATTCCTCGACACATACACCCTCCCAAGACTAAACCAGGAAGAAGTTGAATCTCTGAATAGACCAATAACAGACTCTGAAATTGTGGCAATAATCAATAGCTTACCAACCAAAAAGAGTCCAGGACCAGATGGATTCACAGCCGAATTCTACCAGAGCTACAAGGAGGAACTGGTACCATTCCTTCTGAAACTATTCCAATCAACAGAAAAAGAGGGAATCCTCCCTAACTCTTTTTATGAGGCCAGCATCATCCTGATACCAAAGCCTGGCAGAGACACCACAAAAAAGGAGAATTTTAGACCAATATCCTTGATGAACTTTGATGCAAAAATCCTCAATAAAATACTGGCAAACCGAATCCAGCAGCACATCAAAAAGCTTATCTACCATGATCAAGTGGGCTTCATCCCTGGGATGCAAGGCTGGTTCAATATACACAAATCAATAAATGTAATCCAGCATATAAACACAACCAAAGACAAAAACCACATGATTATCTCAATAGATGCAGAAAAGGCCTTTGACAAAATTCAACAACCCTTCATGCTAAAAACTCTCAATAAATTAGGTATTGATGGGACGTATCTCAAAATAATAAGAGCTATCTATGACAGACCCACAGCCAATATCATACTGAATGGGCAAAAACTGGAAGCATTCCCTTTGAAAAGTGGCACAAGACAGGGATGCCCTCTCTCACCACTCCTATTCAACATAGTGTTGGAAGTTCTGGCCAGGGCAATTAGGCAGGAGAAGGAAATAAAGGGTATTCAATTAGGAAAAGAGGAAGTCAAATTGTCCCTGTTTGCAGATGACATGATTGTATATCTAGAAAACCCCATTGTCTCAGCCCAAAATCTCCTTAAGCTGATAAGCAACTTCAGCAAAGTCTCAGGATACAAAATCGATGTACAAAAATCACAAGCATTCTTATACACCAATAACAGACAAACAGAGAGCCAAATCATGAGTGAACTCCCATTCACAATTGCTTCAAAGAGATTAAAATACCTAGGAATCCAACTTACAAGGGATGTGAAGGACCTCTTCAAGGAGAACTACAAACCACTGCTCAATGAAATAAAAGAGGATACAAACAAATGGAAGAACATTCCATGCTCATGGGTAGGAAGAATCAATATCGTGAAAATGGCCATACTGCCCAAGGTAATTTATAGATTCAATGCCATCCCCATCAAGCTACCAATGACTTTCTTCACAGAATCGGAAAAAACTACTTTAAAGTTTATATGGAACCAAAAAAAGAGCCCGCATCGCCAAGTCAATCCCAAGCCAAAAGAACAAAGCTGGAGGCATCATGCTACCTGACTTCAAACTATACTACAAGGCTACAGTAACCAAAACAGCATGGTACTGGTACCAAAACAGAGATATAGATCAATGGAACAGAACAGAGCCCTCAGAAATAACGCCGCATATCTACAACTATCTGATCTTTGACAAACCTGAGAAAAACAAGCAATGGGGAAAGGATTCCCTATTTAATAAATGGTGCTGGGAAAACTGGCTAGCCATATGCAGAAAGCTGAAACTGGATCCCTTCCTTACACCTTATACCAAAATTAATTCAAGATGGATTAAAGACTTAAACGTTAGACCTAAAACCATAAAAACCCTAGAAGAAAACCTAGGCATTACCATTCAGGACATAGGCATGGGCAAGGACTTCATGTCTAAAACACCAAAAGCAATGGCAACAAAAGACAAAATTGACAAATGGGATCTAATTAAACTAAAGAGCTTCTGCACAGCAAAAGAAACTACCATCAGAGTGAACAGGCAACCTACAGAATGGGAGAAAATTTTTGCAACCTACTCATCTGACAAAGAGCTAATATCCAGAATCTACAATGAACTCAAACAAATTTACAAGAAAAAAACAAACAACCCCATCAAAAAGTGGGCGAACGACATGAACAGACACTTCTCAAAAGAAGACATGTATGCAGCCAAAAAACACATGAAAAAATGCTCACCATCACTGACCATCAGAGAAATGCAAATCAAAACCACAATGAGATACCATCTCACACCAGTTAGAATGGCAATCATTAAAAAGTCAGGAAACAACAGGTGCTGGAGAGGATGTGGAGAAATAGGAACACTTTTACACTGTTGGTAGGACTGTAAACTAGTTCAACCATTGTGGAAGTCAGTGTGGCGATTCCCCAGAGATCTGGAACTAGAAATACCATTAGACCCAGACATCCCATTACTGAGTATATACCCAAAGGACTATAAATCATGCTGCTATAAAGACACATGCACACGTATGTTTATTGTGGCACTATTCACAATAGCAAAGACTTGGAACCAACCCTAATGTCCAACAATGATAGACTGGATTAAGAAAACGTGGCACATATACACCATGGAATACTATGCAGCCATAAAAAATGATGAGTTCATGTCCTTTGTAGGGACATGGATGAAACTGGAAATCATCGTTCTCAGTAAACTATCGCAAGAACAAAAAACCAAACACCGCATCTTCTCACTCATAGGTGGGAATTGAACAATGAGAACACATGGACACAGGAAGGGGAACATCACACTCTGGGGACTGTCGTGGGGTCGGGGGAGGGGGGAGGGATAGCTTTAGGAGATATACCTAATGCTAAATGACGAGTTAATGGGTACAGCACACCAGCATGGCACATGTATACATATGTAACTTACCTGCACATTGTGCACATGTACCGTAAAACTTAAAGTATAATAATAATAATAATAATAAAAAGAAAGAATTGCCTTACCTCAGTCTGTATTACCTTTCTATTCACATGGACCTTAATCTGTTGTGGCTGACCTAACAATTCTCCTTAATCTATTTTCCCAAAATTATCTTATACAAATAACATTAAACAATAATAGCTGATTTTATTAGTCCATTCTCACACTGCTATAAAGAAATACCTGACACTGGGTAATTTATAAACAATGTTTAATTGGCTCATAGTTCTGCAGGCTGTATAGGAAGCATGGCAGAGTCTGCTTCTGGGGAGGCCTCAGGAAGCATCCAATGATGGCGGAAGGAGAAGGGGGAGCAGCATTTCACTTGGCTAGAGAAAGGGGAGGTGCCACACACTTTTAAATGACCTGATCTCATGAGAACTCACTTACTATCATGAGAACTGCTCCAAGGGGAAAATCCGCCCCCATGATCCAATCACCTCCCACCAGGCCCAACCTCCAACATTGGGGATTAAAATTTGACATGAGATTTGGGTGGGAACACAGATCCAAACCATATCACTGATGTTTAAAGAACATTTTCAGATATTCTTCTAAATGCCTTACTTTTAATCCTCACAATAACCCTATGAGGTACTTTTACTTATATCTGGTATTTTTTTTTTTTTTTTTTTTTTTTTTTTTTTTTTTTTTTTTGGAGATAGAGTCTCGCTCATCACCCAGGCTGGAGTGCAGTGGTGCAATCTTGGCTCACTGCAAGCTCTGCCTCCTGGGTTCACGCCATTCTGCCTCAGCCTCCTGAGTAGCTGGGACTACAGGCGCCCGCCACCACGCCCGGCTAATTTTTTGTATTTTTAGTAGAGACGGGGTTTCACTGTGTTAGCCACGATGGTCTCGATCTCCTGACCTCGTGTCCGCCCGCCTTGGCCTCCCAAAGTGCTGGGATTACAGGCTTGAGCCACCACACCCAGCCTGTATCTGTTTTTTTAGGTGTAGGAGCTAAGGAAATTAAATCACTTGTGGCAGATCTGGGATTTGAATACAGCAGTCTAGCTCCATGCTTTTAACTATGATGATACACTATTTTTCTTGAAAATCTCTGTTCACTTTGAAATCACCTTTGCAAATATATCAATGAGAATATTATGACAGTAAAAAAGATCTGACTAACCTACCCTCCATCTTCCCTTTCCTTAAATTATCACTGTGCTTTTGGGCTGAGCTAACTTTGGAAGACATTTAGGCTATAGTTTAAATGTAATAGACCTTGCCCAAAACTCAGCTTATTTTGTAAAGCTAATGGAAGGCCATGAACTGGGTGAAGAGAGGAGCCCGATTCTGCTAAGGTGTAGACATAGATTGTCAGCCATTCCTGGAAATAACGTAACTATTGTAGACTGGCTTTTTGGGATACCTTTTCAGGTTTTTTTGCATGGCTGACACCTACGGCTTCACCTGGACCTTCCAATCCCATTCCTGTGGCCCCATCCAGAAGCAATTCAGCCCACAGGAGAACGGCTTACACCCCCCTAGAGATGAAATCATAGGATTTCATCTCTGCCCCAACCAATCAGCAGCAAGCCTTGCCTCCCTGACCACTTCTCCAAAACTGCCTTTGAAAAACCCCTAACCCTCAGGAGTTCGAGACCAGCCTGCCAAAATGGTGAAACCCCGTCTCTACCAAAAATACAAAAAAATTAGCTGGGCATAGTGGTGGGCACCTGTAATCCCAGCTACTTGGGAGGCTGAGGCAGGATAATCGCTTGAACCTGGGAGGCAGAGGCTGCAGTCAGCAGAAATCATGCCACCGCACACCAGCCTCCTGGGTGACAGAGCAAGACTCTCTCAAAAAAAAAAAAAGAAAAAAGAGAAAAACCCCTAACCCACAAGATGATTTGAGTACTAACTCCATCTCCCACGTGGTGTGGCCAGCCTTGTGTCTATTAAACTCTTTCTTTACTACAATGCTGCAGTCTTCATTTGTGCAGTGGGCTGGAAGAAACCCTTGGGTGGTTACAACTTTGCTAACACACATTATGCTTTTCTGGTTGTCCTTTAGTGGCTAGTGTTCCCCAATATCCTTCATTTGGTCTCTTCTCTTTATTCCCTAAAAATTTCATCCATTGTAATCATTACCTTTAGGGTGAGTCCTTCAAAATCCACATCTCAAACACTTACCTCATTCAAAAGTAGCAACCTTTCAGAAGCAAACTTAAACATCTGGTGGCATAAAACTCAATCAAAATGAACATCATAAACCATTTCCTTCGAACTCATAAGGTCCCTATTGACTCTGTTTTTCCTCCCAGCTGTGCAGGTTCTAAACTTCTAGGAGTTGCTCAGCTGATTTCTAACCTTCCTGCATCTCTACGGACAACCAGGTGCCAAGTCCTGCCCTACCTTCTCATGCTTCTTGCATCCATTCCTTCCTTTTTATTCTCAGTCACTGTATCACAATCACATTCTTGTTGGAATATGTGAAAGGAAAACAAAATCTCAGGACCCCAAATTCACTATGCCAGGGGTCTATAACCCTAGGGTCATGGACCACAACTGGTACGAACTGAAATACACAGCAGGAGGTGAAAGGTGGGCAAGTGAGTGAAGCTTCATCTGTATTTACAGCCACTTCCCATTGCTTGTGTTACTGCCTGAGCTCCATCTCCTGTCAAATCAGCAGTGACATTAGATTCTCATAGGAGTGCAAACCCTATTATGAACCACACATGTGAGGGATCTAACTTGCATGCTCCTTATGAGAATCTACTGTCTGATGACCTGTCACTGTCTCCCATCACCCCCAGGTGGGACCATCTAGTTGCAGGAAAACAAGCTCAGGGTTCCTACTGATTCTACATGATGGTGATCTGTATAATTATTTCATTATATATTACAATGTAATAATAATAGAAACAAAGTACACAATAAATGTAATGCGACTGAATCACCCTGAAACCATTCCTTCCTCCCTCATGCCTGTCCGTGGAAAAATTGTATTCCACAAAACTGGTCCCTGGTGACAAAAAGTCTGGGGTCCGCTACACTATGTTAAAGAGGAAAAGTTAAGCTCGAAGCTGAATCATGCAAGCAACTCATTCCTTTGTTTTGAAACATTTAGAAGGCCAGATGTCCCCACAGGTAGCTACTCTGTTTACTTTATCTTACCTAAAGTGCTGATTTACTGAGCTGAGATGAATACATAGTTGACTATTCTTCCAGCCCTCCCTTTTTCCCTCCTTTTCTTCATTCCTTTTTTTCTCTTTCTCTCCCTCCCTCACTCTCTTTCTGTTTTTCTTTTCTTTTCTATTTTTTTTTTTTTTTAAGAGACAGAGTCCCACTCTGTTGCCCAGCTTGGTCTGTTCTTTCATATTCTCCAGAGGATTTTAGATAGCTTGGTTGCAAGGACTGTGTGTTAGTCATCTTTGCATCCTCTCTTCCCCTCCCCAAAGCTAACATGCTGCCTTTGTTCAATATACTTTTCTGAATGAAATCACTGAATGATGCTTATTAGTGAAGGAAAAGAAAAAAAATTTATTCACACCTTAGGAACACAATGTGTTTTTATCTGCTATATCTTCTTCCACTCCAGTAGCTCACTTTACCTTATAGCTCTACAACAGACTACAGTTACTATTTAGAGATACACTGTTATATTCTACATTACACAGAGGAAGGGGCAAACGGCATTTTTCCCCAATGCACTTTTATTAAGTATTTATTAATGGAGGCATTCATTATAGTTTCTATTATAGACTCTGAGGAGCTCTGAAACCGATTTTCCCAATCACCTCTGACCAGTGCTATAACAAAGAAAACATTTCCAGCAGTTATATCTCTCTTGGAGAAATAATAAAAAATTAAGGAGCTGCTTTAAAATGAACCCAAATATAGAAAAAGAATGAAATTATAGAGGGTCTAAAGAGGCAGAAACACTGGGACAACTCAGGCTAAGGCACAAAAGCACATGCCATTCCTTGGCTTTACAGTCAAGGCACAATCATTTGTATAAAGTCCTGGTATTAAGACTTCCAGTGATGGAGAGTTTTTTTTTCTTTACATTTACAGTGCTAGCAACTTTTATTCTTTACCTTTTTACCAAGGAGAATTTATGACAGAAGCGAAAGTAGAAAGAATAAAATAATAAACTTCTGTATACTTCTCACTCAGTTTCAAAAATTATTAATTTATAACCAATCATTTCATATATACTTCCATCCCTATTATTATCTTAATAACAGCATTTTTTTTTTTTGAGACATTATCTTGCTCTGTCGTCCAGGCTGGAGTGCAGTGGTGTAACTCGGCTCACTGCAACCTCCACCTCTCAGGTTCAAGTGATTCTCCTGCTCAGCCTCTCAAGTAGCTGGGATTACAGGTGTCTACCAACACGCCCAGCTAATTTTTGTATTTTTAGTAGAGACAGGGTTTTACCATGTTGGCCAGGCTGGTCTTCAACTCCTGACCTCAGGTGATTGGCCCACCTCGGCCTCCCAAAGTGTTGAGATTACAGGCGTGAGCTACCACGCCCGGCCAATAACAGCTTTATTGAGGTACAATTAATATACTATATAATTCAATCCTTTAAAGTATACAATTCATTGATTTTTATACTCAGGGTTGTACAACCATCACTACAGTCCATTTTAAAACACTCTTGTCAGGCTCCAAGGTGGACAACTAGATGCAGTCAGGGAGAACATCTCCAATGGAGGGACCACGACATCAGGAAGACTAGCTCACTCCTAGCAGATCTTCAGAGGGAAGGCATTAAGAGCAGATGAGGGAAGACAGAGATGCTAGGCTCAAGGGGAAGGAAGCTGGGAACCCTGCATGGGGCTACCACGCACCGGGACTCATTGCTGGACCCCAATGATGCTTGAAGAAGGGGTGACTGAACAGACAAAGGAGAAACCCACTCTCACCAGAGGCCTCTGGAAGCCCAGCAGGATGAGACACTGTGACCACCTTGAACATTTAAGTTGGCAGAGAAAGCTGCTTAGAGAAGTGGTAGGCACAGAACTCCAGCTGGTGTGGAGCCCAGAGGGTTTAGTGCAGAAGCATCTGCAGTGGAGCATGAACAGGGACGCCCATCCCCCTAGGCTCAACTTGCTCCCATAGGAGACGTTGGCCCTAGGGGAACTGCTGGACCTGAACTCCAGGAGACAGGGCTGGTCCGACTGGACCACTGTTTGGTCTGTTGGTCTCTCCAGGGTCCCCAGCCTGGCCACACCTGCTTGCAGTACAGCCGCCAGGTAACTCCTAGGGGCCCATGTCAGCTCCTGTAGTGGCTGAGCTCACCTAACTGGCAGAGTGCTCCAGCAGAGAGGCCACTGCTGACATGCACCAGCTTGCACACGCCCTCTCCCCACTGCAGCCTCCCCCATGCTGCTTTGCCTGCAGGTACTCGCCCACAGGCACCCCCAACATTACTTTAATAGTGAACAAATGGTGCTGGGACAATACATTCACAACACACCATATGCAGAGCTTAACATGGGACAGAGATAATAAGCATAAGAGCTAACACTATTAAACTCGTAAAACAGACATAAATACTCATGAGTTTGGATTATGCAATGATTTCTTAGATGTGACACCAAAATCACAAGCAAAAAAGACATAAATTAGACATCAGCAAAATTAAAACGTTTTGTCCATCAAAAGACATCATCAAGAAAGTAAAAAAAAAAAAGCTCATAGAATGGAAGAATTTTGCAAATCATATCTATCGATAAGGGACTTGTATCTAGAATAAAATTCCTACCACTCAATACTTAAAAACCCCAATTTAAAAATGCATGAAGGATCTAAATTGACATTTCTCCAAAGAAATGACCAAATAAACACATGAAAAGATAGCATCACTAATCATCAGGGAAATGGAAAATCACACCACAGTGAGGCATCTCATTTCATACTCACTGTATGAAATGTAAATTATATGCTATGATTATAATTTGATTAAAATAGATTCAGTATCTCAAAGCGGAGTGATATAGGACTGGCTAGGAAAATTTATAATTTATTTATTGAAAAGATCTTATCCCCACTGACTTGCAGTGTATATGTATCATAAATCAAGCAATCATATATGTCGAGTTTATTTCTGAGTTCAATGTCTATTTCTAAGCCTGAATTTTTATCCCATAGGTCTATACCTTAAGATTTTGTGGCCGGGCACAGTGGCTCATGCCTGTAAGCCCAGCACTTTGGGAGGCCGAAGTGGGTGGACTGCCTGAGGTCAGGAGTTTGAGACCAGCCTGGCCAAAATGGTGAAACCCCATCTCTACTAAAAATACAAAAAAAATTAGCTGGGCGTGGTGGTGTGCACCTGTAATTCCAGCTACTTGGGAGGCTGAGGCAGGGGAATTGATTGAACCAGGGAGGTGGAGGTCGCAGTGAGCCGAGATTGCGCCACTGCACTCCAGCCTGGGGGACAGAGCAAAACTCTGTCTCAAAAAACAAAAAAAAAAAACTTTGTAACATACTAAGTCCTCTTTGTTGTTTTATCTCAGGATTGTCTTGGTTATTCTAGGTCCTTTGCATTTCCATATTAATTTCAGAATTAGCATGTAAAATCACACAAAAACCAAGCTGAGATTATTATTGAGATTGCAGTGAATCTCGGATCATTTTGGAGAGAACTGGCATCTTAGCAATACTGAGTCTTTCAGTTAACGAGCTAGCTATTCTTCAATTTCCTTCTTGGCATTGTTTTGTAGTATTCTGATAAAAGTCTTACACATTTTTTTTAGAGTTACCCCAGGTTACTGATAGCTCAGAGGCTATTATAAATGATCTTTTAAAGTTTTATTTTCCAATTATGTATTGGTAATATATGGTAAAAATTGATATTTTTATATTGAAATTATAATCAGCAGTCTTGCTAAATCCTGCTGATTACACTGATTAGAATTAGACTGATTAGAATTAGACTTATTAATTCTAATAGTTTGCTTGTATATTCTTTTGGGATTTCAAAAATATAATTATGTCTACTGTAATTAAAGTTAGTTTTTATTCCTTTTTTCTCTACTTTTGTACCTTTTATTTCTTCTTTTCTGTATCTCACTGCTAGGAGCTCCAGTATAAAACTGAATAGGAGTGATGAAAGTAGATATTCTTGCCTTGTTCTCAATTTTTGGGGAGAAGAGAGTTGAGTATTTCCTCATGTTATGTTAGTGGCAGATATTTTTGTAGATACCCTCTATCAAATTAAGTCACCTTCCTAAAAATTTTCATCATAATGGTGTATTTAATTGTATCCAATGTTTTTTTTTTTTTTGAGAAGGAGTCTTGCACCGTCACCTAGGCTGGAATGCAGTGGCGTGATCTCGGCTCACTGCAAGCTCCGCCTCCCGGGTTCACGCCATTCTCCTGCCTCAGCCTCCCAAGCAGCTGGTACTACAGGCACCCACCACCACGCCTGGCTAATTTTTTTTTGTATTTTTAGTAGAGACGGGGTTTCATTGTTTTAGCCAGGATGGTCTTGATCTGACCTCGTGATCCACCTGCCTCGGCTTCCCAAAGTGCTAGGATTACAGGCGTGAGCCACTGTGCCCAACTGTATCAAATGTTTTTTATTTACTAAGATGTTCATATAATTTTCCTTTATTCTGTTAATATTATGAATCACACTGGGCTTTTTCAAACCAATTTGGAGTTCCTGATACAAATCCCACTTGATCATAATGGAGTGGTTTTTTTTTGTTTTTTCTTTTTTTTTTTTTTTTTTGAGACAGAGTTTCACTCTTGTTGTCCAGGCTGGAGTGCAATGGCGCGACCTCGGCTCACTGCAACCTCCGCCTCCCGGATTCAACTGATTCTCCTGCGTCAGCCTCCCAAGTGGCTGGGATTACAGGCATGCGCCACCACGCTCGGCTAATTTTTTTATTTTTAGTAGAGACGGGGTTTCTCCATGTTGGTCAGGCTGGTCTCGAACTCCTGACCTCAGGAGATTTGCCCGCCTTGGCCTCCCACAGTTCTGGGATTACAGGTGTGAGCCACTGTGCCCGGCCTTGTTTTTATATATATCTAAATTTTAACTTATAATGTTTTATTTACTATTTGTGTGTTTACTGGACTGTAATTCTATTTTCTTGTGATGCACCTGTCAAATTTTGGGGTAGGGGTTATTTCGGCCTTAGAAAGAATACCTCTCTCTACTTTTTAAAACATTAACTACAATACAATTACCATACCAAAAAATAATTGACAATATTTCCTTACTATCATCAAACCCAGCAAATGTTCAACTTGCCAACTGTTCCACAATTTTTAAACTCGTTTGTCTGTTGAGTCAGTATCCACATAAGGCCCACACAGATGTCATAAGTTGATATATCTTTTAAGTCTTTGTTTTGTTTTGCTTTGTTTCCTAAGAGTCTCACTCTGGCACCTAGGCTGGAGTGCAGTGGCGCGATCTCGGCTCACTGCAACCTCCACCTCCACGGTTGAAGTGACTCTCGTGCCTCAGCCTCCTGAGTAGCTGGGACTACAGGTACGCGCTATCATGCCAGGCTGACTTTTGTGTTTTTTGTAGAGGTGGAGTCTTGTTATGTTGCTCAGGCTGGTCTTGAACTCCTGGGCTCAAGTGATCTGCCTGCCTCAGCCTCCCAAAGTGTGGGGATTACAGGTGTGAGCCACTGCACCTGGCCAATATACCTTTTAAGTCTTTTTTAACCTATACATTTCCCCTTCATCCCTTTTTTTCTTCCTTACATTTTATTTGATGGAGAAACCAAGTTGTTTGTCTCACAGGCATTTCCCACAGTCTAGATTTTGCTGACTGCGTACTTGTGGTGTACTTTAACATATTCCTCTGTCTGCATTTCCTATAAATTAGTAGTTGAATCCATACTGTCGACTTCTTATAAACTTTCTATTGATGTTTGATATATGTATAGAAAAGTACATAGATGATAAATATGTAGCTTGATTAATTTTAACACTGTAGTTACATACCATGTAAGTAACATCCAAAAGTATGACTAATAAAATACAAAAATTCATGCACTTGTTTTTTATTAACGTTTTCTTAAACATACAGATAGCTCACATTTATTTCAATGTTTAATATTAGAAGTGTTTTGGGTCTTCATTACGAAGTTCGGTGATGATTCTATAACCAGAAATATGCCACAGGAACTTAACACTTGTTTGATAACAATTAGCCTATGGTAAAATTGGTTTCATTATATGTCATTTCACTTAAAGTCGCAGTTTCAAAGAACCCATTGACGATGTTAAGTGAGGACTTACTGAACAATAGTCTCGGTTTTACCTTGGGGGATATGTTTCAAGACATCCCCTGTAGATGCCTGAAACCACAGCAAGTACAAAACCTGATTGTTGTCAGTCAAAACACATTTCTGTTCACGTCTTCCACTCACAGATTTAATGCCTTTTCCCTCTTAACTAAATACTTATAATGCATTAATTGTGGTCATAACTTTCGCAGTTTGAGGTGCAACAGGAAACTAAACTAGTTTCTTTTTCCTTCTTCACAATTTTACAGATAGGAGATTTGGTCTTACTACAGATGTTAGCACTCTTACCATACCATTCTTTTTCTTTCCTTATTAAGTTGAGAACTTTTACTAAGGGAAAAGTTTTCACTTAAGGGAAGCACTTTATAGATCAAGCTTGTCCAACCCACAGCCATGGCCCACTGTAGCCCAGGATGGCTTTGAATGTGGCCCAACACAAATTCGTAAGCTTTCTTAAAACATGATGAGTTTTCTTGTGATTTATTTATTTATTTATTTATTTATTTATTTATTTATTTTAACTCATCAGCTATCACTAGTGTTAGTGTGTTTTATGTGTGGCCCATGACAATTCTTTTTCTTCCAATGTGGCCCAGGGAAGCCAAAAGACTAGGCACCCCGTTATAGATTCTCTTTGACATAAGGTTTACTACAACGTAAGTGCTGGGATACCATGACAGGTGATCTGATAACCCTAAGTGACTAATGGGAGGTGAGTGTATATAGTGTGGATATGTTGCACACAGGGATGATTCATGTCCTGGACTAGACAGAGCTGGACAGCACAGGACTTCGTCAGGCTACTCAAAATAGCATGTAATTTGAAACATGAATTATTTCTTTCTGGAATTTTCCATTTAATATTTTTGGACCATGGTTGACCATGGGTAACTCAAATGGGGGAAAGCAAAACTGTGGATAAGGGGAGGCCACTGTAAATATTAACTTGAATAAACATAAGTAACAGAAATTCTGGTTCCTAGGTCTCTATATTCACCACTCTTATCCATACTTAGAATCATTTCACTACTTTGAAGATCAAAGAGTTCCTTTCACCCAAATGGTACTTGTAGTAATATTACATAATTCTACAGAAAATATAGAGGGGATCAGACCAATAAGACTCAAGAGCATTCCAAGAATTTTAACATGGGATTGAGAAAGAGGACTAGATATAAAGCGATATCCCATAAAATAATAGGAAGACAAAGAGAAGGTGGCATAGAAAGACAAAGGAGCCACACAAGTTTAGATGTGGAGCAGCCTCATTGAAACCTCTTCATTTTAAGATTATAAAACTGATTCTCCAGAGAGACAGGTGACTTAAGACCACCAACTCATGAAAAGCTGTGGCCAGGGCCTCCCATGCTGGTCAGCCACTGTGACTCTATAGCTAGTGGGGGCTGGGGAGGATTCTACAATCTCTGTTTATTTGGAAACACAGAATAGCTTATCACTTATTTCCCACATATTTTAAAAATATATATATTTTAAATTATTTTTTCCAAAAATAAGCCCATTAAATTTACTGAAAAAAATTACCTAATTTTCACCATGGGAGGGCAGTCTTATTCTAATAAGCTATGGAAGTCTGAAAATAAAGACAAGAAAGCCAGGTCTACTTTAAAATAGTCTTAAGCCACTATTATTATATTTTTAAAATTTAGCCAATAACTTCTAACTAGAAGCAAAAATAATAACACACGATCTAATAAAAATACTTGGGAAAACAAAAAGATGAAATACTTGAAAACGGACAAACAGAATTGTGCTTCATATGCAAAAAAATCTAAGTCACTTCCCCATACTGGAAAATCTTAATAAGAACAAAAGAACAGCACCAAGCATTTACTAAGGCCATACCACGTAGCAATAACAAATGAAGCAGTTTATTGATTGACCGATTGATTGACTGAGATGGAGTCTCGCTCTGTCACACAGGCTGGAGTGCAGTAATGCAACCTCAGCTTTGCAACCTCTGCCTCCCAGGTTCAGGAGATTCTCCTGCCTCAGCCTCCCAAGCAGCTGGGATTACAGGCACATGCCACCATGCCTGGTTAATTTTTGTATTTTTAGTAGTGACGGGGTTTCACCATGTTGGCCAGGCTGGCCTCGAACTCCTGACCTCAAGTGATCCACCTGCCTTGGCCTCCCAAAGTGCTGGGATTCCAGGCAAGAACCACCACACCCAGTCAAAAATGAAGCAGTTTAAATGCAATGTTTAAATACTAAGCACTCAATCATTATGAAATCTTAATAATGGTAGATGTAGACACACCAATCTCAAAAATTATATGAAAATGCAAAGGACTTACAACAGTGAAAACAATTTGGAAAAAGAACAACAAAGTTAGAGGATGTATACTCTCCAATGGCAGAACTTACTGTAAAACTACCCTAATAAGGAGGGCATGACACTGGTATAAGGCAGACACATAGAGCAATAGAACAGAACTGAGGATCAGAAACAAACCTGCACATTTATGGTTAACTAATTTTTGACAATGGAGAAATAACTGTCCTTTCAACAAATGGTGCTGAGACAATTGGATATTCACATGCAAAAAAGTGAACTTAGATCCTAACCTCACACCACACACAAAAATTAAATCAAAACAGATCATAGACCTAAATATAAGAGATAAAACTTATAAAACTTCTGGAAGAAACAGGAAAAAATATTTAAGACCTGAGGCAAAGAGTTCTTAGACTTGACACCAAAAGCATGAAAAATAAAAGATAAAAAATCATAAATTGGTCCCAGTGCAGTGGCTGACATCTGTAATCCCAGCACTATGGGTAGCTGAGGTGGGAGGATCACTTGAGCCTAGGAGTTCAAGACCAGCCTGGGCAACACAGGGAGACCTCATCTCTACAAACAATAAAAAAATTAGCCAGGTGTGGAGGCACATGCCTGTGGTCTCAGCTACTCGAGATGCTGAGGAGGGAGGATCACTGGAGGCTGAGGTGGGAGGATCACTGGAGGCTGAGGTGGGAGGATCACTTGAGCCTGGAAGGTTAAAGTTGCAGTAAGTTGTGATTGAGCCACTGCACTCCAGCCTGGGCAACAGAGTGAGACAGTGTCTCCAAAAAATAACTTATAAATTGGACTTTACAAAATTAATATTTATGTGCCAAAAGGCTATTAAGAAGATGAAAAGCCTAGGCACAATGGCTCATGCCTGTAATCCCAACACTTTGGGAAGCAGAGTGGATCGCTTAAGCCCAGGAATTCAAGATCAGCTTGGGCAACATGGCGAAACCCTGTCTCTACAAAAAATACAAAAATTAGCTGGGTGTGTTGGCATATGCCTGTGGTCTCAGCTACTCGGGAAGCTGAGGTGGGAGGATTACTTGAGCCCAGGAGGCAGAAGCTTCAGTGAACCAAGAACCTACTACTGCACTCCAGCCTGGGCAACATAGCGAGACTCTGTCCAAAAAAAAAAAACAAAACAAAAAAAAAGACAAAAGAAAAAGACTAATCATACACTAGAAGAAAAATATTACAAGCTATATATTTGATAAAGGACTTATATCCAGAATATACAAAGAACCCTTACAATGTGTAATAAGACAAAAACCCAATTAAAAAAAGGCAAATTGATATACAGTTTTAATGTAATTCCTACCAAAATCCCAGCAAGATTTATTTATTTATTTTTGAGACAGAGTTTCGCTCTTGTTGCCCAGGCTGGATTGCAATGGTGTGAGCTCTGCTCACTGCAACCTCCGACCCCTGGGTTTGAGCGATTCTCCTGCCACAGCCTCCTAAGTAGCTGGGATTACAGGCACCTGCCACCATGCCCGGCTAATTTTTTTGTATTTTTAGCAGAGATGGGGTTTCATCATGTTGGCCAGGCTGGTCTCAAACTCCTGTCCTCAAGTGATCTGCCCGCCTTGGCCTCCCAAAGTGCTGGGATTACAAGTGTGAGCCACCACACCCAGCAGATTTCTTACAGATACAGACAAGATCATTCTAAAATTTATGTAGAAAGGCAAAGGAACTAGAATAGCCAAAACAATTCTGAAAAAAGAATATAGTGAGAAAAGTCATTCTACTTGATTTCAAGACTTACAATATAACTATAGTAATCAAGACTAGGTGGTGTTGTCAGGAAGACAGACGTATAAATAAATAGAACTGAAAAAGAAAAGCCAGAAATAGCATTAAGTGCAGACAATTGATTTTTGACATAGGCACCAAAGCAATTACTGAAGGAAAGACAGTCTTTTAAACAAATGAATTGAGTAATTGAATAGCCATAAGCAAAAAAAACCTTTCAAACCCTATATAAAAATTAACTCGAAATGAATCATAAAAGTAAAATGTCAAGCTATACTTTTAGAAAATAACATAGATGAAGATCTTTGAGAGCTAGGACTTTGTAAAGAGTTCTTAGATATGACACCAAAAGCATGATCTACAAAAGAAAAAAGAATCAATAAACTGGACTTCACCAAAATTTAAAACTTTTGCTCTGTGAAAGATGCTGATAAGAAGATGAAAAGGCATGCAATAGAATGGAGAAAATCTTTGCAAACTACATATCCTACAAAGGTACTCCTTGTTCTAGTATCTAGAACTGATAAAACTCAAGAGCAAATAAAAAATTCAATGGGAAAATAGGCAAAGGACATGAACAGACATTTCACTAAAAAGAATACACAGATAGCAAATAAGCACATGAAAAGATTCTGAACATCATTAGCTATTTGGGAAATGCAAATTAAAACTACAGTAATATATCACTACATACCTATTAGAATGGCTAAAATTAAAATGTGTTAAAACATCAAATGTTAGTGAGGATGTCGAGAAACTGAATCACTCATACACTGTTCGTGGGAATGTAAAATGGTGCAGCTGTTCTGGAAAATAGTTTGCCAGGTTTTTAAAAACTAAACATGCACTTACCATACGACCCAGCAATTATACTCTGGGCATGTACCCCATAGAAATGAAGACTCATGTTGACACAAAAACCTGTACATGAATGTTTAGAACAACTTTATTAGTATTAGCCCAAATTGGAGGCAGCCCAGATGTTTTTTCAGTGGACAGTTAAACCAACTATGGTACATCCATTTCATGGAATATCACTCAGTAATAAAAAGGAATAAACCAGTGATACATGCAGCACCTCAAATGAATCCCCAGATAATTATGTTTAGTGACACATTTCCAAAAGGTTATATACTGTATGATTCCATTTCTGTAACATTCCTGAAATAACAAAACTGTAAAATTGAGAAAAGATTAGTTTTTGCTAGGGTTTAAAGATGAAGGGGGAAGGGCAAGAGATTTATGTACCTATAAAAGGGCAACATGTGAAACTCTTGCAGGGATAAAAATGTTCTGTAATTCTACTATCTCAACCTCAATATCCTGATTGTAATACTGTACCATAGTTTTGCAAGATGTTATCATTAGGGGAAACTGGGTAAAGGGTACACGGTTTCTTTCTGTATTAGTTCTCATAACTGCATGTGACTCAATAATGAAATTGAAATAACATTTTTAATTAAAAAGTAAATGATTGCAGTAGAATCTAAGGTAATAGGAGAAATCTACACCAGGGCCCACTTGAGAATGGTTTTATAAAATGGTCAGACAGTATTTTTAATCACTCTGAACCTTGGGGATTTATAAATAAAATGAAAAATAAGGGTGATAAAGACAAACATCTGAATCTTGAAAAAGATGACCATAGATTGCCTGATAAGAGTTTCATCCCTGGATTATGTCTACCAAGCATTGCCAAAACACATCTAAGGTTGTACACAGTGTACAGTATACTTTTTATTTTATTTTTGAGATGGAGTCTCGCTCTGTTGTCCAGGCTGGAGTGCAGTGGCATGATGTTGGCTCACTGCAATCTCCACCTCCCAGGTTCAAGCAATTCTCCTGCCTCAGCCTCCTGAGTAGCTGGGATTACAGGCGTGCACCACCACGCCCCACTAAATTTTGTATTTTTAATAGAGATGGGGTTTCGCCATGTCGGCCCGGCTGGTCTTGAACTTCTTGAACTCCTGACCTCAGGTGATCCGTCCGCTTCAGGCTCCCAAAGTGCTGGGATTACAGGTGTGAGCCACCCCATCTTGCCCAGAAAACTTTTTAAAAAATTAAGGTCTGAATCATCTTGCATCTCTGGATGTTTTCCTCCAAATTTAACAATTTCTTTTTTTTAAAGTTTTACTTTTCTGAATGAGATTTTCTCCCAATATTTGTTAAAAAGATGATTCCTTCTCCACTGACTTACCTTTGGCAAAAATAAATTAATCAGAAATTTGTAAGCTTATATCTGAACTTTCTCTATTCCACTGCTCATGTGTCTATCCTTTTGCCAATACTTATGTTTATTTAGATCTTCCTCAATGTTTGCAGTTTTCAGCATGCAATTCTTACACAAATCTTATTAGATGTTAACTAAATATTTCGATCTCCAATTACTCATTCTATTTTTTTTTTTTTTTTTGAGACAGAGTCTCGCCCAGTTGCCTAGGCTGAAATGCAGGGGCACAATCTTGGCTCACTGCAACCTTGGTCTACTGGGTTCAAGCGATTCTTCTGCCTCAGCCTCCCGAGTGGCTGGGACTACAGGTGTGCACCACCACACCCAGCTAATTTTTGTATTTTTAGTAGAGACGGGGTTTCACCATATTGGCCAGGCTGGTCTGGAACTCCTGACTTTGTGATCCACTGACCTCAGCCTCCCAAAGTGTTGGGATTACAGGCGTGAGCCACCGCGCCCAGTCTCCAATTATTCATTCTAGTATATAGAAATAAAATGGATTTTTGTATACTGACTTCAATCTTGGCTCAGCTAGAATTAGTGTGCTTTGGGAATGATATTTAAAGGAAGGTGAGCACAAAGTATAAGATAAGTGTATTTTAAACAGTTGATGTTTAAAAAAATGTATACTTTTTTTTTTAGATGAAGTCTTGCTCTGTCACCCAGGCTGGAGTGCAATGGCGCGATCTTGGCTCACCTGCAACCTCTGCCTCCCGGGTTCAAGCGATTCTCCTGCCTTAGCCTCCCAAGTAGCTGGGATTACAGGCAAGCACCACTGTACCCAGCTACTTTTTGTAGTTCTAGTAGAGATGGGGTTTTGCCATGTTGGTCACGCTGGTCTCGAAGTTCTGACCTCAAGTGATCTGCCTGCTTCGGCCTCCCAAAGTGCTGGGATTATAGGCCGTGAGCTATCACACCCAGCCTAGGGTACATTTTTGTAATTACATTTTCATTGTTCTCATAGCAACCATTTATAAAACATTTCAGATGTTTTACAAATAATAATGTTTTATAAATGTATCTCAAATTATATAATCCCTTATTAACTTGTAGAACGTAATCTTTCTGCCTAATGTACCTTTTCCCCACATTAGAGAAGAAAAAAAGGTATCAGGCTGCCTTACAAAAACTCAAATGTAATTAGGGAGACTCACTGTCTGTACCAAGTACCAGTCAAACCGAAAACTGATTGCGGGAGGAATTTACTCCTCCTTCCTTGTTATGGTTTTAATGTTTGTCTCCTCCAAAAATCATGTTGAAATCTAACTGCCATCATAACAGTATTCAGAGGTGGGAACTTTTAAGAAGTATTTAGGTTATCTGATGCTGTTATTACAGGAGTGGAATCACTCCCTCTTGCTCTCTTTAACCCAGCAAGAAGTCCCTTGCCAAATGCTGGTGCCTTGATCTTGGACTTCCCAATAACTCCAGAACTGTGAGGAAATAAATTCCTGTTCATTATAAATTATTCATTGCGTGGTATTCTGTTATAGTAGCAAAAGATGAACTAAGGCACTCCCCAAATGCCTTTTTGCTTTGTGGTATCTCACGGTATGTTTTTTATTTAGTCAAAGAAGAAAAAATAAATCAATACCATGAAAGATTCAAATCCAAAATTTTTTTTGTATCTTTTTCCTGCCCTTTCCTCCAATTAACTAATACAATGGATTATGTATTCCCCAAATTAAAGGGTCTACTTCTATATGCACCTCCTCAACAACAAAAATATTTCCCAATGATTTCACCAAGTAAAATGCATCTTTCCACCCTTTCCTAGTCCTGAAAATGTGATTTCTAAAACTGCTAAATGCTAAGTACTAAGTTACCAGTCATTGTAGAAGAAACTTTGAATTAATTATGTAGAAAATAATTTTTTAATCGTGTATATAATTTTGGGACTTTGCTTCTGTGAGGGTGGAGTACTGGCTGCTCCCCGTGCCTATGAGTGCTCTCTCGCTTCTTCTGCAGCCTGTGATTGGTTGTGTGCTGGCTTTTATACCCAATCCTCCTTATTTGGCAAGGATTCTACAACATCTGCTAGTTTTGTTGTCACATGGCTTATTGATTTGAAATGTACTTTCATCTCGTGGTTTATAGGAGCTAACTGGGAGAAAGACCGAACAATAAATAGTCCAGCTGTCTAGATACTAAAGATTTACAAAATGTCTTTCAAACAAAGAGCTAGTCCCTTAAAAGCAATTAAAGAGAAGGTCAAATTACCATTTTCTTTTTTCCTTTTTTTTTTTGAGATGGAGTTTCGCTCTTGTCGCCCAGGCTGGAGTGCAATGGCGCCATCTTGACTCACTGCAACCTCTGCCTCCCAGGTTCAAGCGATTCTCCTGCCTCAGCCTCCCAAGTAGCTGGGATTACATGCACCCATCACCACGCCCAGCTAATTTTTATATTTTTAGTAGAGACCGGGTTTTGCCATGTTGGTCAGGCTGGTCTCGAACTCCTGACCTCAGGTGATCCAACCGCCTCAGCTTCCCAAAGTGTTGGGATTACAGGCGTGAGCCACTGAGCCCGGCCAAAATTACCATTTTCATGGGATCCACATGTGCCTAAAAAATTCAAGAGAATCAACTGAAAAACTGTAACACACAGTCATAGGTATAACTAGCAAGAGGTTAGTATCTATGAGATATAATGAACTTGTAAAAATCAATTTAAAAAAATTACATAATAGAAAAATGAGTAAAGGCCAGGCATGGTGGCTAACGCCTGCAATCCCAGCAGTTTGGGAGGCTGAGGTGGGCAGATCATGAGGTCAGGAGTTTGAGACCACCCTAGCCAATGTGGTGAAACCCCATTTCTACTAAAAATACAAAAATTAGCCAGGCGTGGTGGCAGGCGCCTGTAATCCCAGCTACTCGGGAGGCTGAGGCAGAAGAATTGCTTGAACCTGGGAGGCAGAGGTTGCAGTGAGCCAACATCATGCCACTGCACCCCAGCCTGGGAAACAGAGCTAGACTCTGTCTTGGAAAAAAAGAAAAGAAAAGAAAAGAAAAATGAGTAAAAAACATCAACAGGCATACAACAGAAGAGAAAATCCAAATGGCTGAAAAACATTCGAAAAGATGTTCAATCTCTTTAATAGGCAGGCCAATGGAAGTTAAAATCACAATGTAATGCCACTGAATACTTACCAAATTGGAAAAAGTTTAGAGAATATCAAGTATCAAGTATTAATGAGATCTAAACAAACGTACCCTTATCCACATCAAATGCCAACAGTGCATCAATCGACAGGCATGTCAAAGGGAAATAATATAACGTTGAGAAATGCCTTCAATAGTTAAAGAAATCTAGTGTATGGAAACAGTCCCATTTCAAATTTGATAGGGGAAAGGTGGACTATTCAATTAATGCCAGCAACATATTCAGTGGGATCACATCTCATACTTAACAAGCACTGTAAACACTAAACACCAGATTTTCAAATGCAAAAAAATTTTTTAAATTTAAAAATAAAGAAACTGGCCAGGCGCAGTGGCTCACGCCTGTAATCCCAGCACATTGGGAGGCTGAAGCAGGCGGATCACCAGGTTAAGAGATCGAGACCATCCTGGCCGACATGGTGAAACCCTGTCTCTACTAAAAATACAAAAATTAGCTGGGAGTGGTGGTGTGCACCTGTAGTCCCAGCTACTTGAGAGGCTGAGGCAGGAGAATTACTTGAACTCAGGAGGCGGAGGGTGCAGTGAGCCGAGATCGTGCCACTGCACTCCAGCCTGGTGACAGAGCGAGACTCCATCTCAACAACAAATAAATAAAAACAAAACAACAACAACAACAACAAAAGAAACCATAATAGTCCTAAAATGAACAGTGGAAATCAAGGAAGAATTTTTCAGCAAATGCAGAAGTAACTATAACACAAAAGCCAGGAGGCTGTTAAGAAGAGATGGATAAACTTGTCCAGGCGTGGTGGCTCACACCTGTAATCCCAGAACTTTGGGAGGCCGAAGAGGGCAGATCACCCGAGTTCAGGAGTTCGAGACTAGCGTGGTCAACATGATGAAACCCTGTCTCTACTACAATACAAAAATTAGCCAGGTGTAGTTGTGGGTGCCTGTAATCCCAGCTACTCGGGCGACTGAAGCAGAAGAATCGCTTGAATGACTTCATCTTAAAAAAAAAAAAAGAGAGAGAAGAGATGGATAAACCCAATGACATAACAAAAAGTCTTCATGGCAAAACCATCAAAAGCAAATTACAGATTGGAAAATAATAGTTAAAAGTCATAGCACACAGTTTCCCTTATACATAAAAAAACTCCTAGAAGTCATTAAGCAAAAGATCTACAATACAATAGAAATAAAAGATATAAGCAGTTCCAGAAAACGCAGCATACAGGGCTGTAAAATATAAAAGATTTTCAACCAGATCCATAGTAAGAGAAAAAAGAACTCAACTATAAGATACCATTTTAATCCACCAGATCATTAAAAGATTAAAACCTGATAAATGGTATGCGGAGGATTTAACAGCTGGGAGTGCCACTTGGAAGGGCCTCTGAGGAGAACAATCACATCTGTGCCTGAGGATTGACCCCTCAGACACACTAGCACACATATGCAGTCCCTTATAAAAGTTTATTAGCTGCACCATTGTTTACATTAGGAAAAGAGTAGAAACATCTCCAATTTCATACAAGAATGCTTTTTGAGAAATAATGATTTCTAAATATATGTATTTGCTTCTATATGTACAAAATATCTCTGGAAGGATTCACAAGAAAATGACAAGATGATGATGATGATGATGATGATGATGATGATTTTGAGACGGAGTTTCGTTCTTGTCACCCAGGTCAGAGTGCAATGGTGCAATCTCGGCTCACTGCAACCTCCGCCTCCTGGGTTCAAGGAATTCTCCTGCCTCAACCTCCCAAGTAGCTGGGATTATAGGCGCCTACCACCACGCTCGGCTAATTTTTGTATTTTTAGTACAGACAAGGTTTCATCATGTTGGCCAGACTAGTCTGGAACTCCTGACCTCAGGTAATCCGCCCTCCTCAGCCTCCCAAGGTCCTGGGATTACAGGAGTGAGCCACTGCACTTGGCCTGAAAATGACAAGATTATATTCAGGTAATTCAGATGCTGAGTTAAGGATAACAGTCATTTGTTCTTTACCTTCTCTGTGTTCTGTAGACTTTAGCCAAGTATTCACTGATTGTCTTCTGTTTTCAGTGTTTCTGTATTCATGCTTTTATGTTAATAAAAGTTTGTTTCACATATAGGCCATATGAGGCCTGCTGATGAGTTCACCAGGTAAGGTCTGGGAGGTGAGAGTAAGATTATTCCCCTGAATTGGTACAGAGGCCATTGTCTGGAGGCATCTTTCCTCCAACAGTCAGGAAAATAGAAACATTCAGAAAATGGAGAAGAAGATGCACATTGGAGGGTACTGTGCATTCATTCATTCATTCAAACAATATTTATTGAGCACCCACTATTGACAGACAGTTTGGGGACATGGTAGCTCATAAAAGAGTCTTATCAGAAAGGAGAAAGCAGACAAATAATTACATTCATAATTAATTGCAACTGGAATAAGCTGATGTCTTAAAGATAAGAGTTAGCTAACAACAAGATTGAGAGGTACAGAGGCCTAGCATCCTCAAGAGACAGAGAAGCTCCTTCAAAGGTCATAGTGAGACAGAAACATGGCAATGTGAGGGTCAAAAAGAAGCCAGTGTGGGTACAGCGCAGAAACCAGCAGTGCTGCAAACTGAACATTCCAAGAATGGGCAAGTAGTAGGCCAAGGTCAGATCATCCCCAATCTTGAAGATCAATGTTTGGAATTTACTTTTTTAAATAAAGCATCACTGGAAGTAACAAGTAGAAGCAAGTAACAAGCAGAAACAAGGAAGTTTAAGTAGACACAGTGTGCAGTCTGATTTTTATGCAGACAAGAAGAAAATTGCTTGGAGATGTATGAACATAGTCAAGACCCTACCCAGAACACCTGGGTTTGAGATGATGGCAGTCATGGTATGAGACACAGACAGACCAAAAAGATACTTGGGTGTAGAACACAAAAGATTCACCAATAGATTCAATTTGAAAGTCAGGGAGAAGTATTTACATCAGTGGTTCTCAAGGTTTGGTGGGACCTGGGACACTTGTTTAAAATGGAAGTTCCTGGGCCCATGCTCAGAGGTTCTGATTTTGTAGATCTTGAGTATAAAGATGCTGGAACCTGAATTTTTAATAAGCAGCTCTGGTAATTCTGATGATGATGGACCTCCGGCCACACTTGAGAAGGTACTAATTTAAAGGACTCCCAAACTTCTGGCTTACACAAGAGAGTGGTCAGGGTTGGCATGGGGGCACCATTTACAGAAAATGTGAATGATGATGGCCAAGAAAGCCTGTGAGTATGGGCCATGAATTCAGGAGCCTCTGCTCCTCATAGCCCCCTGGGAGCAGATAGACTAAGAGACTGACTGCAATTAATGTTTGGACTGTTTCTATAGGGCTGCCCAAGTGGCCTTTCTGATAGAAGTAGTTCATCAGCTAAGTGTCATTATCTGCCTTACAAACTTGATTCCATTTAGAATGCTGAGAGGTGGTTACTTCCAGGCATATGTCTGCCTTGACCCTGCTGACACTGGCTACCTGTGAGAGTACCACCTACTCCCTCCTCCTAGATCACTAGGCATCAGCCAAGCTGGCCTGTCACCACTCTGATACCAACTTGGCTTGCCCCATCACCATATTTAGTTCTAAATATCTAAACTACTTAAAATAGTTTCTGCCTGCCCTTTTTCAAAGATTAATTAATAGTCAGGGCATGGTGGCTCAAGCCTGTAATCCCAGCACTTTGGGAGGCTGAGGCGGGTGGACTGCCTGAGGTCAGGAGCTCGAGACCTGCCTGACCAACATGGAAAACCCCCGACTCTACTGAAAATACAAAATTAGCCAGACATGGTGGCACATGCCTGTAATACCAGCTACTTGGGAGGCCGAGGCAGAAGAATTGCTTAAACCCGGGAGGCAGAGGGTACAGTGGGCCAAGATCACACCACTGCACTCCAGCCTGGGCAACAAGAGTGGAACTCCATCTCAAAAATAAATACTTAAATAAATAATAAAGATTAATAGCCAGCTGCGGTGGCTCATGCCTGTAATCCCAGCACTTTGGGAGGCTGAGGCGGGCGGATCACCTGAGGTCAGGAGTTCAAGACCAGGCTGGCCAACATGGTGAAACCCAGTCTCTACTAAAAATACAAAAATTAGCTGGGTGTGGTGGTGCACACCTGTAATCCCAGCTAGTCAGGAGGCTGAGGCAGGAGAATCGCTTGAACCCAGGAGGTGGAGGCTGCAGTGAGCCAAGACGGCGCCATTGCACTCCAGCCTTGGCGACAGAGCCAGACTGTCTCAACAACAACAAAAAAGATTAATAGACTTTATTTTTTAGAGCAGTTTTAGGTTCACAGCAAAACTGAGTGGAAGAACAGAGACTCCCCAGATCCCTTTCTTTGCTGAGTGCCCTTTTTCTGGTACTGTACAATGCTCCAGGCCCATCTCCTACTTTCCTTGCTCCAGTCCTCCTGGAAACAGCCATTTCTCCAAGGAGCAGCCCTGGTTCCTTTTACTGGAAAATGATGTTAGAAACCAAGATCTGGGCTTTGTGTTTGTTGCTGCTTAAAGTGCTCCTGCTTGTAGGATCTCTCAGCCAACAGAGCAAGGAGGTCTATGTGTGTACTATGTGTATATAACATAATTACATTTCCCTTTTAACCAGCTGTATCTATATTAAGCTAAATATGAGTTCATACTGATGTCTTCAACTCTAATCTATTACCACATGAATCACTGTCACCACCTCACCTCGCTTATTTATTTGTAACTTCCACTCCAACGGTGAGACACCTGGCTCTCACCATCTGCCATACAGTAACTTAATTGTTCCATTCCAGTCCCCACATACAGCGGTGCCTGAACTGTTGACCCGTACCCCCATGCCTCATTCATTTTTATCCCTTTACCTTGCATTATTCTCTTCCATCGCACTCTACATTGTTTATATTCTGCATTTTATGCTTATTTATGTTTATTTTCTGTTTTCCTTCTCTATAACAGAGACTTTCACTGCTGAGTCCCAAGCATCTAAAATCTGCACAAAGTAGGTGTCCAGTGAATAAAGTGGAACAAATGAGCAGAAAATTGTAATGCTTATTATGTTAATTAAGCAGGTCTCAGGAGGGCCTTTCCTAGCCAGTCCTGTGTCACTCAGCTTTGAGATACTGAATCTATTTCAATCAAAGTATAATCATAGCATATAATTTACACTTTTCAACAATTCAACTCCTTTTCTCCCCAATTGCTACAATTATAACCACTTAACTAAAACAGTGAACTATTACAAACTCACATCCCCTATTTTTTCCTTTAAGGCCTGACTCTAACTACCACCACCTCCCCCCATCCCCATCCCTTGCCACCTTAAACCTCCTAGATAGACACTGCCAATCAGTTTAAATTTTCTAGACATTTTTATTCTGTCTGCTCTAGTTATCTACTGATTTTTCTTTCACACTTGTTAAAAACATGAATAACATAATCAATATCATAAATCCAAATCACAGAGTTAATGAGAAGTTATATAAACATTAGGCTGTTGATTTTCAGTTAATCTTCCAAAAGGACTGTGAAGGCCTATAAAACAATTTTTTGAAAAAGTACACAGATTTGCTCTCTCTTCCTTAGTGAAAGCCTGAGTTTTAAGAACAAAGACACTAACAGAAAACATATGGAAAAGATCAGTAACAAGATGGAATCTTGGCTAAAGTGTGGTCTGCCACGTTTTTCATACCAATGTCTCAAATAATAGACTAGATTTTTACAACTGCCAAAGCATCACTTGAAACACTGTATACTTTTCTTAATGCAAAGTTTAACAAAATAAATCTTGTGAGTTCTTTGTAAAAAGCTAATGGAAAACACTTTTTTGAGGAAACAAAATGAACTCCAGGATTCACTTTATCTTATTAGTTTGTAAAAGCTTAAAAGAATTCCCCCCCAAAATGAACTCCGAATCTACTGCCAAAAGACACAAGTCAACTCTCTGTTTAGAATATGAGAACAGTGTAAAAATTAAACATTAAAAACAGTTAACTGTTACTATTCAGGAGAGATAGCTCTATGAAATGAAGAAATTTTCTAAATCTACAAAATAAAGGCAATAGCTATTGAGTAACATAAGCTTTTCATCCCATTTTATTCAATACTACAGAATTATTTTGTGCAATAGTAAAAACAGGCAAATTGAAGATACACCTTTGGAGTGCAACCAACTGACTAATTTTATCTGAAAGGATATTAGAAGTCATTCTAGTGGGTACATCTGCCAAAAAGAGGAGAAATGAGATAGCTGATAAAAATGATGATAAAAATGAAGATGTAAGCCTTTGTATAGAAAAGTCGTATAGTTAATCTGTGTAAGCAATGACAATCAAGTGCATTTTAAAAATAAACAATGCGAAATGTTATGTTTCTAATCCTGATTTCTTGTTTTAACAAATAGAAGTACTGATATGAACCTAGGTGTTGAATAACCAAGGGACTCAAGAAATTTTGAGTTCCAGGCCAGGCGTGGTGGCTCATGCCTGTAATCCCAGCAATTTGGGAGGTGGAGGCGGGAGGATCACCTGAGGTCAGGAGTTCAAGACCAGCCTGGCCAACATGGTGAAACCCCATCTCTACTAAAAATACAAGAAATTAGCCAGGCATGGTGGCTCATGCCTGTAATCCCAGCTACTTGGGAGGCTGAGACAGGAGAATTGCTTGAACCCGGGAGGTGGAGGTTGTGGTGAGCCGAGGTTGCACCACTATACTCTGGCCTGGGCAGCAAAGCAAGACTCCATCTCAAAAAATTAAAAAAGAAATTTTGAGTTCCACCTTAAGTTGCTGAGACTCTGGAGTTCCCTGTCACAGTGGGCCTTAATTTGAAGAATTCTTTGGCATGAAAATGAAAATAAAAACAGTAATCAGTACATGCTGTTTCATTTAGTTTTGTTTGCCTTTCACATTAGAGGAAATTCTTGCCACACCTCAAACCAAAATTAAGGGGAAAAGAAAGAAGTAAGCCACATAAATCTGACCAAGAACACAAGCATCTTAATTTGAATCCACAAAGTTTCATGTAATGAAAAGAAATACATAATTTTAATTCAACCCGAGTGTTTTCCAAGAAGATTGTATTTGCTTAAATTGCTACAGTAATTCAAGAGACAGCCCTGTCTGGACACAGAGTTACTGTGGATTTTTAAGAGACTCAGTTAAAGAATTTAGGAATTTCTGATTCATTTAAAGGATTTACAAATTCATCAACCCCTGAAAACTAAAGCAAATTGAACAGGTATGATAATAAAATAATTTTCAATTTTTTAAGAATGTATTCCTACTGTTAAAATTTAAAAGTATATTGGATTTTTTAATATTAAAATAGACTGCATCTATTACAAAAGCACAATTTTTGGAAGCAAAATCTGGTAAAAAAGTTATGTTAAACTTTTGATTAGGCAAAATGTTCAAATAAAGTAGTATAATGAGTTTAACTTTCTCATTTAAGATTTACCCAATAAAAAATCTTTGTTTAGATTTTTTTTTACTTTGAATGAAAGGAAAGATTCTCAGGTTAAAGGAATCAATCTCTTTCTCTTCCTTAGGTCTCTTTTTTTCTATGAATTATAAGTAACAAAGAACCAGCTAATGCCTTTGAGGCATACAGCTGAGCAATGCTAGTGATTCCGGTTGGGGGGTTGATGGGCATTTGTACAAATTTCACTCAAGATTTTCTCCAAATTTCTCTACTGACTAAATCCCTGATATAGAATGTTTTTCTTTTCATTTACTTCTTTCTCAAAGGGAAAATACAGATGCTCTATCTAGTCTATTGAAGGATCTAGTTACTTTGGGTTTTAGTTAATTACGATTTAAATGTATTATGGCTAAAAATAATTGAGGTAATTGTATTTTTAATAGCAAAAAAATTTTATAAAATTAAAATTTAGAACTTTTTTGGAAAAATCTAAATTATATGCTAATATTTGCTTTCTTATATGCTAGTTTCTATGTCATACAAATAAAAACAATTATGTCTTTAACATAATAAAATGTTGAGGATTTTACTTTAAACTTTTCCTGAACAAGTAAATTATACCTCATTAGTAATTTCAATTGAAACTTTTCTTGATGAACACGAGTGCTTTTCTCCAAGTAAGAGAAATATTATGACACAGATGGTTTTATTGCTATAATATGAAAAATTCACATTGAAAACTGGTAATATATATATATTACTTTGCTCCAAACATTCTTTTTCACATTTGTTCTTTTCCTGCTACACGATGTACTAGGAAAGTGAGGAATACAGTATATTGTGATGAAGAAATATTCAATAGAAAAAGGAACAGTCAAGCTCTCATGAATATGTTCATTTGAAGAAATTATCATAGTGAAATAAATGCCTAGGAATAATCAACATTAGTAGAGAGAAGCATTTGCTAGCAAGCCTTAACCTATAACTTATTAACTTATTCATTCAACACACCTTTGAGCACTTATAACACTGCATTGTATTAGATTCTGTTAAAAGATATTAGGAAATGAGATGATCAACAATGAATTATACAATATTGCTGTGAGTTATCCTATAGAGAACAAGGCATACATTGTAGAGTATGAAAAGCAGAAGTAACAAAAATATGCTTAGCAAATGACTCAGAAGAGATTAGTTGGGGAATGAAAAATTTGGATAAAATAAGAGATTGTTGTAACAGGGGAAATTATCCTGGGGAAAGAGCAAGAGGCATAGAAAATAATGAGCATATAGATGAAAACAGGATGGATTTCAAAACAGAAAACTGCACTTAATCAAAGGGAGTGGGACAAGATTGTACTACATGGTTAGGAACGTGGAGGGAGGAGGACAAGGATGTTTAAGATAAGTTCAGGTTTAGAAGAGAAATTGTTCCTCAAGGAAAGACTTTCTTCTTAGGTGCTCACAAAGGCGGAAAGCAGACAATATTAAAAACCTCTTTATTTTCAGAGACGCCCCAGTCATGTCTTGATTCAAGGCCTTCTTCTTTTTTCCCAACAATTTTTCATAGTTGTTGAACAACAGACTCTAATTCTCAAATGTAAGGTTGATAACTGATGATTAGCTAATGTTCTCAACAAAGGGATAAAATTCAAGCTGAGTTTTCAGCCAGGCAGGTGGCTCACACCTGTAATCTCAGCACTTTGGGAGGCTGAGGTGGGCGGATCACCTGAGGTCAGGAGTTCGAGACCAGGCTGGCCAACATGGCAAAATCCCGTCTTAACTAAAAATACAAAAAAATGTAGCCAGTCGTGGTGGTGCACGCCTGTAATCCCAGCTACTCAGGAGGCTGAGGCACAAGAATCACTTGAGCCTGGGAGGCGGAGGTTGCAGTGAGCCGAGATTGTGCCACTGCACTCCAGCCTGGGTGACAGCACGAGACTCTTGTCTCCAAAAAAAAAAAAGTTAATATGTTATACTATAATAAGTACAATAAAATATTATAAAATTATACATAAAATATCATCAATGAGTATAAAATGTATAGAATATTCTATATCCATTCCTATTAATCTCCCAAAGTCTGGGTCAAATGATGTCTACAAAAGACTTTCCTGTCTCCGTAAGGCTGAGGTAAGCCACTGGCCCCACAGCATTGCCTATCTCTGCTATAAAGGATATTACCCTCTGCCTTAGATTAGGGTTCACTTTGTTGTATCTCTCTCCTCCACTAAGCTGTTTGCTCTTTACAGAAGGGACTATGGCTTCACGTCTTCTTCATTTCTGTATTCTCCACCAACTTAGCATAGTGCCTCATCACTAGAAATAATTCAGGACAACGGTAAACTGATGTAACCCAATCAAACTAACTACTAATATTTGTAAAGTGCTTCACTAAGCATGTTTACATACAGTAAAGTAGTAGAGTACACTAGGTGAATAAGCATTTCCAAGCAGACCCACTGGGAGCTTCCAGCCCAGCAAGGAGAGCCTGCTCTGAACACTGCCCTTTGGTATGATACCATAACTCCTTAAATCTACCTCCTTCCAAGATTCTCTACTTTTTCACCCACGAACACTGACTGTAGTGTGAAATCACAGCCCAAATATGTTAATTCATTAAATTAGGCATTCATTCCCAGAGTGCAAATTCCTCAGGTCAGAATTTAGGCCCTCCAAGGCCGGGGGTGGTGGCTCATGCCTGTAATCCCAGCACTTTGGGAGGCTGAGGGGGGCAGACTGGTTGAGCCCAGAAGTTCATGACCAGCCTGAGCAACATGGCAAAACCCTGTCTTTACAAAAAATTAAAAAATTAGCCAGGTGTGGTGGCACGCATCTGTAATCCCAGCTACTCAGGAGGCTGAAGTAAGAGAGTCACTTGAGCCCAGGAGATGGAGGGTGAGCCAAGAGTGCACCACTGCGCTCCAGCCTGGGTGACAGAGTGAGACTGTCTCAGAAAAAAAAAGTTAGGCTAATCCCTTCAGATCTGGATTTAATAGTCTTATTTTGCTCCTTCAAGAGTTAACCAACCACATTTCCCAAACACATCACCATCTGTTGCTTCTATGTTTTTGCTCATCTCTTCTAGCCAGAGATCTTCTTCCTCACTTCCCTCTATGAGAACCTCAACACTCCTTCAAAGTCTAGGTCAAATGCCACATCTTCCACGAATCTCACAGAAAAGAAAGAAAAATGGATGTAATATAGAGTTGCACAAAGAAACATCATGAATTTCAAAAGCACATATTGTTAAAAAAAAAACAAAAACAAAACCCAAACCATTGCTATTTTGGCATTTTCTTGTAGGTAGGGATACATATAAGAAAATAGAAATAAATGATATCTTGATCCTATTTTCTTGACTTAAAAAAAAGAAGCAAGGTCATCACCCAAAAACAATAATGGGGAATAAGGTATTAGAGGCTTCAGAGAGGAAAGTTACAAAACAGTAGCGTAGAAGAGAGGGAAGGAGGATGGTCTAAGGAAATGCAGCAGGACAGCACTTGAGGTTAGTGGTCTTGAATCGAGAGTGAGACCAGTCACCATGCTCCTGTTTTTCTTTAGTTACATTCAGCTGTGACAGTCAGGCTGTGAGTAGGTAGAGAATTGGAGTAACCAGAGTTGGAGTTTGGCAGATTGAAGGAGCCAGAAAGTTTAGGGCATGTGCAAAAGAGCAACGATAGTGATCAACTATGGGGTCTAAGTTGGTAAGAAGGAACTGACAATGTTGGGAGGTATGGATGAGGGACAGTGAAAAACAGTAGAATCAATATAGCTGAGGTTCCACGGAAATTGGAGAATTATTGCAGCTGGAGTTACTACATAGAGATAGTGGTCTGAGTGCGGAATACTCAAAATGAAGAGTATGAAGGGTTCCAGTAATAGAAAAGACAAAACCCAGGATGCGGGTGCATGGGAGCAAATGGTGAGGAAGAATGAAGGAAAGTATCACTGCAGGAAGAGAGCTCAAGGGTCTCTGACTCTACCTGAATAACTACTTCAAATTCCAAATACACACAATAGTTACATTTATAATTTCTGACAAGAAAAGAAGAAGAAATTGAGATGTTTCTTAACCTTTCTCAAATGGGGTTCTGTCAAAGAAAATAACTTAAGTAACTATTCTCTCAATTATACCAATGATGAAAAATAGCTAGAACCATTCTACATGAACAGGAGATAAGTCATTTCATTATATGCAATGATTTGTTTGGAAACTCATTCTCTCATGAAACCCTGGGTGGGAAAAGTAGAAAGGTCTCAGAATAAAAGAGGTAGGATTTTTTAAAACCTTTTTCCTAAATGATACATTCATTTCATCTGGATAGCAGTTTTCAACGTGCAAAGTACTTGTACATGCATAGCTCATACAATGCTAACAACGACCAGGCGGATAAGCAGGCAAGATATGACACAAGGAGGCTGGATGCAGTGGCTCACGCCCGTAATCCCAGCACTTTGGGAGCCCAAGGTGGGTGGATCATGAGGTCAGGAGTTCGAGAGCAGCCTGGTCAACATGGTGAAACTCCATCTCTACTAAAAATACAAAAATTAGCCGGGTGTGGTGGAGTGCACCTGTAATCCCAGCTACTGGGGAGGCTGAGGCAGGAGAATTGCTTAAACCCAGGAGGTGGTGGCTGCAGTGAGCCGAGATCGCACCACTGCACTCCAGTCTGGGCAACAGAGCAAGACTCCATCTCAAAAAAAAAAAAAAAAAAAGACACAAGGCAACATACAAGATAAGCAGCCAAGGTATAATTCAGCTATAATTGCAATTCTTATTTTATTGATGAGGCAAGAGGCAGATATGTTAAGTGACAGAAATGAAATATAGGTTTCAGGCTTCTCATCTGGGACATAATTGACCCTTCCCTAGAACTTCAAGTTTCAGCACTGAGTGTTCATTGTGAAGTGTGCCCTTTTGCAATTCTTTTCCACACAATATCCTCCTCCTGCATTCTACTGCACGTGTATTTGATTCTCCACAAGACTTTAAACACCTGGGAGACAAGGACAGTGTGTTTTTAATAATATTTTTGTATCTAAAACTTAAATATATTAATGGAAAAAAGGAAGCTAGGAAGAAAAATGTAAAGACACTTGAACTTTGTAGAATGTAAACACTGTATGTCTTTAGGATTTAAAGTAGTTATTCAAGCAGAGTCGGAGACTAAATAATTGGATTCTGGAAACTGTTTCATGAGGAAAATTTGATGGTGCTGTTAGTTTTGGACAGAAAATATTAAAAGGAAACATGAATACTATTTCTAAATATCTGAAGTTATCACACAAAAGGGAGCATTTCACGTTCTTCTGAAGGGCAGAAAAAGGTATCAGCAAATAGAAGTTGTAGAATCTCCCAGGCAAAAGCTCTCTAACTAAAATAAAGGTCTTTCCTCCCCCAGGCAGTGACCATCATTAAAGGATCAGGTAATTCCAAAGAACACACAGCATTTACAGTGGAGGGATCAGACTGTAGTTGACTGATGTCATGCTATTATCATAGATCTATACCCTAGTAAGCAAGAGAAACTGGGACTCTTAAAAGATGGTTACTTAGTAGAAAGTCTAGTATACCAGACTTTTGACTCAAGTTCAGTGTAATATGTGACTTAAAAAAAAAAAAAATCTCGGCCAGGCGCAGTGGCTCACGCCTGTAATCCCAGCACTTTGAGAGGCTGAGGTGGGTGGATCACCTGAGGTCAGGAGTTAGAGACCAGCCTGGCCAAGATGGAGAAACCCCGTCTCTACTAACAATACAAAAATTAGCCAAGCGTGGTGGCACGCGCCTGTAGTCCCAGATACTTGGGAGGCTGAGGCAGGAGAATCACTTGAACCGGGGAGGTGGAGGCTGCAGTGAGCCAAGCCTGCACCACTACACTCCACCCTGGGTGACAAGGCAAGACTCCATCTCAAAAATAAAAAGAAAAAGAAAAAGAAAAAAGAAAAAAAACTCACTTCATTTGTACTTAAACATTAATTTTGGTTTGAGGCCAGGCGTGGTGGCTCACACCTGTAATCCCAGCACTTTGGGAGGCCGAGGCCAGAGGATCCCTTGAGGTCAGGAGTTTGAGACCAGCTTGGGCAACACAACGAAACCTTGTCTCTACTAAAAAATACAAAAATAAGCTGGGCATAGTGGCATGCACCTGTAGTCCCAGCTACTTGGGAGGCTGAGGCATGAGAATTGCTTGAACCTGGGAGCCTGGGAGGCAGAAGTTGCAGTGAGCCGAGATTGTGCCACTGCACTCCAGCCTGGGTGACAGAGGAGACACTGTCACAAAAAAAGAAAAAAATTTTGGTTTGAGCACTGCCCATTCTTTCTGGATATTCTTTTATATATAGACATAGGTATAATACATTTCATATAACTGAGAATTTATACAAAGCGTATTCTGAGTTTACTCACTTTCTCCACAATGTTTCCTTTTCTCCTTGCAATAGGAAAAAAAAAAAGAAGATGGGTTTTTTAAGTCCAATATATGTTATTTTCTTCTTTTTTGGAGTCAAAGTACATTGCCAATATGAAACTTATCAGTGGGATGAAGACTATGACCAAGAGCCAGATGATGATTACCAAACAGGATTCCCATTTCGTCAAAATGTAGACTACGGAGTTCCTTTTCATCAGTATACTTTAGGCTGTGTCAGTGAATGCTTCTGTCCAACTAACTTTCCATCATCAATGTACTGTGATAATCGCAAACTCAAGACTATCCCAAATATTCCGATGCACATTCAGCAACTCTACCTTCAGTTCAATGAAATTGAGGCTGTGACTGCAAATTCATTCATCAATGCAACTCATCTTAAAGAAATTAACCTCAGCCACAACAAAATTAAATCTCAAAAGATTGATTATGGTGTGTTTGCTAAGCTTCCAAATCTACTACAACTTCATCTAGAGCATAATAATTTAGAAGAATTTCCATTTCCTCTTCCTAAATCTCTGGAAAGACTCCTTCTTGGTTACAATGAAATCTCCAAACTGCAGACAAATGCTATGGATGGGCTAGTAAACTTGACCATGCTTGATCTCTGTTATAATTATCTTCATGATTCTCTGCTAAAAGACAAAATCTTTGCCAAAATGGAAAAACTAATGCAGCTCAACCTCTGCAGTAACAGATTAGAATCAATGCCTCCTGGTTTGCCTTCTTCACTTATGTATCTGTCTTTAGAAAATAATTCAATTTCTTCTATACCCGAAAAATACTTCGACAAACTTCCAAAACTTCATACTCTAAGAATGTCACACAACAAACTACAAGACATCCCATATAATATTTTTAATCTTCCCAACATTGTAGAACTCAGTGTTGGACACAACAAATTGAAGCAAGCATTCTATATTCCAAGAAATTTGGAACACCTATACCTACAAAATAATGAAATAGAAAGTATGTAGACTTTTATTGTGTTTTGAAGAGAGAAAGAATGGAATCCTGATCTTTTAAAGAAAAAAATATTCAATAAGCTATGCTTTAGACATTGCTGAAAATAGTTGTTTTGAAGTTGCTTAAGGGAATGGCAGAAATCTGCCCCAGAGAAATGTGTGCTATTCAGTTTATAGTCCTTTTTATTAAATTTTATTGCCTTAAATATTGAGAAATAGGCTGGGCGTGGTGGCTCATGCCTGTAATCAGAGCACTTTGGGAGGCTAAGGCGGGTGGGGTGGATCACTTGAGGCCAGGAGTTCGAGATCAGCCTGGTCAATATAGTGAAGTCCCATCTCTACCAAAAATAGAAAAATTAGCCAGGCATGGTGGCATGTGCCTGTACTCCCAGCTACTTAAGAGGCCGAGGCATGAGAGTTGCTTGAACCCAGGAATCGGAGGTTGCAGTGAGCTGAGATCATGCCACTGCTTTCTGGCCTGGATGACAGAGCAAAACTCTGTCTTAAAAAAAAAAAAAATAAAATAAATAAATAAATAAATAAATAAATAAATATATATATATACACACATATATAATATATTTATTTATATATAAAAAATATATATTCTCTTTTATATATATAACTGATAATTTATACATATATATATAACTGACAATTTATACAGAGCGTATTCTGAGTTTACTCACTTTCTCCACAATGTTTCCTTTTCTCCTTGCAACAGGAAAAAAAAAAAGAAAAAAAGAAGAAATATATAATTTTATATATATATATTTTTTTATATATATGTATAAATTGTCAGTTTTATATATGTATATATATAAAAGAGAGAAATAATAGAGTACATGAAGAAATATGAGTATCCTAAGTAGTGGGATTGTAGATAATTTTTTTTTGAGATTGTTCTACTAGGAATTTATTAATCAGAAAAGCCAATGAAGCCATATATATTTTGTTAATATAAAACTCATAATTTAATTTTCTTTTTATTATTTGATTAATATAAAAAGGAAACCTAATTCAATTTATAAATATTTTAATTAACAGAATTATATCCCATACAATATAAAATCTAACATAGAATTATGGCTATAACTATGGATTATACTATAATACAAGATTAATTTTTAATTTATTTCTTTCAGAGATGAATCTTACAGTGATGTGTCCTTCTATTGACCCACTACATTACCACCATTTAACATACATTCGTGTGGACCAAAATAAACTAAAAGAACCAATAAGCTCATACATCTTCTTCTGCTTCCCTCATATACACACTATTTATTATGGTGAACAACGAAGCACTAATGGTCAAACAATACAACTAAAGACACAAGTTTTCAGGAGATTTCCAGATGATGATGATGAAAGTGAAGATCACGATGATCCTGACAATGCTCATGAGAGCCCAGAACAAGAAGGAGCAGAAGGGCACTTTGACCTTCATTATTATGAAAATCAAGAATAGCAAGAAACTATATAGGTATACACTTACGACTTCACAAAACCTATACTTAATATAGTAAATCTAAGTAAACATGTATTACTCAAAGTAATATATTTAGAATTATGTATTAGTATAAGATCAGAATTGAATTTAAGTTGTTGGTGACATCTGCATCATTTCATAGGATTAGAACTTACTCAAAATAATGTAAATCTTTAAAAATATAAATTAGAATGACAAGTGGGAATCATAAATTAAACGTTAATGGTTTCTTATGCTCTTTTTAAATATAGAAATATCATGTTAAAGAAAGTGAGTGTATCATTTCTATTAACAGTAATTTTTCTAAAAATGAGGAAGGAAGTAGCATTAGCAGTAAAGACCCACAGGCCATGACCTTTTTGATCACTCTGAGGACAATATTTAAATGACAGGAAGGTATATTAATGTAACAAGCATTCATTTAAGGAATAGACCATTTTCTCTGACCTCTTCTTCAGGAAAGCTTTCACACTGGTATTTGTGATCTCACCATTATGACATCCATCCCCCTAGCTCACCACATAGCACATAGAATGATATTTTTGATTTGTAAGAGGCCATCCAGGTACTAAGGACCCAAGGCATACAGATTCACAAAATTAACTAATCTTTTTGCCTCAGAATACCAAAACAACAAAATTATAAAGCTGTATTTGGACAACTAAAAAACACCAAACTATCTCATTGCAATTTGTATTTTAGCAGATTTCAGCAACTATCCTAAACAATGTTATTGTGTTCCATTTTAACTGGGATAAATGTTTTTGTAAAAATACAACCATAGAAAGGCCTCTTTGTTACAAAATGATTTGCAAAGAAATAACTGCTTTGTTTGCAAGATTAAATTAGTGTTGGCAAAATAAAGTTCTAAAGATAATACTAAACACTTTATGCTTATCAGCCAATATCTACATAAGCTAAAATTGAATACAGTTCCTTTATAATTTGAATGACAGGTTTTAACATCTTCTTTAAAACCTTAAAAATCACTTTTTCGTTAATGTATTATTTTTAAGTATTGTAAGTGTGCCTTACAATGATGATTATCTAACTGCTGTGATGAACTCTCTTGATATACCATGCTAATGTTTCATAGAATTTCTCAGATAAGGGACAAATACCAATCTAGGGCTGCCTATACAAATGATAACAATTCTGACAATATGCAACAGACAGACAAGTCAAACTATACTTCAGAAATAGTTTTCAAGCTTGCAAGTCTTTTTTTCTGGAAATACCAGTTTAAAGTGAAGTCTTTAATGCTCTTTACATCTTTGAGGAATTATTAGCATTATCAGAACCAGAACGCCCACCTGTTCCCAGGGACAACCTCAAGAATCCAGGATGAATATGAAGAAAACTCCATTCATTCGTCTAATCAACATTCATCAAGTCCTTTCTTATATAGGGCTTGGCAATAAGGGATCAATAAACAAAGTACAATGTGCAACTATGATGCCACAATATGGGCAAAGCACATTTTCAACAGAGGTTAAAAAAAAAATCTTAAGGCCCACCTCCCTTTTCTTGCAATTTTTAAATACAGGATATAAATTCAAACATTAAGAGTTAATACGTGGAAAATACTATAGGTGTTTTAGAAAACAAAGATAAGACAATTCCTAACCTAGAGCAATTTAAAATTTATGAGCCATTAGGGAAATGCAAATAAATGAGATATTACTATGTGCTCACTAGGATAGCTGAAATCAAAAGGCAGACAAATAACAAGTGTTGGCAAGATGTGGAAAAATTGGAGCCTTCATACACCTTTGGAAGGAGTGTAAATACTGCAGCTGCTTAGAAAAGCAGTATGGAAGTTCCTTAAAAAGTTAGTTACATATAGTCGGGCGCATTAGCTCACACCTGTAATCCCAGCACTTTGGAAGGCCGAGTTAGGTGGATCACCTGGGGTCGGGAGTTTGAGACCAGCCTGACCAACATGGAGAAACCCCATCTCTACTAAAAATACAAAATAATTAGCCAGGCATGGTGGCACATGCCTGTAATCCCGGCTACTTGCGAGGCTGAGGCAGGAGAATTGCCTAAACCCAAGAGGCAGAAGTTGCGGTGAGCCAAGACCATGCCATTGCACTCCAGCCTGGGCAACAAGAGCAAAAGTCCATATCAAAAAAAAAAAAAAAAAAAAAAAAAAGCTTAGTTACATATAACCCAGCGATTCCATTCCTAACTATATACCCAATAGAACTGAACACACATGTTCACACCAAAATTTGCATATAAATGTCCACAGCAGCATTATCCACAAGGTAGAAATCACCCACATGTCCATCAATGGATAAACAAAATGTGGTATATCCATTTCATGGAATATTATTCAGCCATATCCAAAGGTAGAAACCACGCAAATGTCCATCAATGGATACACAAAATGTGATATATCCATACAGTGGAATATTATTCAGCAATAAAAAGTAACGAAGCACTGACATATGCTACAACATGGATAACCTTGAAAACATTATGCTCAGTGAAAGAAGTCAGTCGTAAAAAGACACAAATTGTATGATTCCATCTTTATGAAATGTCCAGAACTGGGAAATCTATGGAGACAAAGACTATTGGTTGCCTAGAGCTGGGGATCATGGGAATGGGGAAAGTGAGAAGTAACTGCTAATGGGTATATGGTTTCTTTTTTGGAGTAATGAAAATGTTCCAAAATTGACTGTGGTGATGGTTGTACAAATGCAAAAACACTAAGTACTATTAAATTGTATACTTTAGGCTGGGTGCAGTGGCTCATATCTGTAATCCTAGTGCTCTGGAAGACCAAGGTGGGAGAATTGCTTGAGGCCAGAAGTTCAAGACTGGCCTAGGCAACACAGTGAAACCCTGTCTCTACAAAAAAATTAAAAATTAGCCAGGCATGGTGGTGCATGCCTGCAGTCTTAGCTATTCAAGAGGCTGAAGCAGAAAGATTGCTTGAGCCCCGGAGACCAAGGTTGCAGTGAGCCATGATCATGCTTCTGCACTCCACCCTGGCAATAGAGTGAGACCCCGTCTCTAAAAATAAATAAATTAATTAATTAATTAATTCATTAATTAAATTATATACTTTAAAAAGATGAATTGTATTGAATGTGACTTATCTCAATAAAACAGTTATTTGAAGAATTTAATAAAGAGAAGATCAAACAACTCACTCTAACACAAGGAAGAAATAAAATGCTAAAGCGGCAGTGACTATGAAAAACTGTATAAGCACAGATACCATAACTTTCACATCTGGTGAGGACCTGGAGGAGTAGTTGAAGGCTCCCAGGAAAAAGTTAATGTGTGGCAGGAACTGACTGGCAAAAGTAGAGAGAACAAGCTCCTGACTGGGGTTAATATAAAGACATGGTAATTACTTGTTTCACTTCTTGCACAGTTTAAGAGATTGAAAACCCTTCCTTTTTCAGAGCTCTGGAGTTTCAATTTGTATCTCCTCCTAAATGAATAAAAGAAAATACATTTTAATTCTCAAAGAACAGCCTTAGCAAATAATAAAATTGCAATTCAAATTTAGCAATTCTGGCCTGGCATGGTGGATTACACCTGTAATACCAGCACTTTGGGAGGCTGAGGTGGGCTGATCCTTTGAGCCCAGGAGTTCTAGACCAGCCTGGGCAACATGGTGAAACTCCATCTCCACTAAAAATAGAAAAAGTAACCGGGCATGGTGGTGCATGCCTGTAGTCCCAGCTACTTGGGAGGATGAGGTGGGAGGATCATCTGAGCCTAGCAAGTGGACATTGCAGTGAAATGACATCATGCCACTGCACACCAGCCTGGGTGTCAGAGTGAGATCCTGTTTCAAAAAACAAAAACAAATTTAGCAATTCAAAACAAGGAATCTGGCTGGGTGTGGTGTCTCACATCTGTAATCCCAGCACTTTGGGAGGCCGAGGAGGGCAGATCACGAGGTCAGGAGACTGAGACCATCCTGGCTAACACAGTGAAACCCCGTCTCTACTAAAAATACAAAAAAGTAGCTGGGCGTGGTGGCAGGCGCCTGTAGTCCCAGATACTCAGGAGGCTGAGGCAGGAGAGGTGTGAACTGGGGAGGCAGAGCTTGCAGTGAGCCGAGATTGCACCACTGCACTCCAGCCTGGGAGACAGAGCGAGACTCTGTCTCAAAAGGAAAAAAAAAGGAATCTGATATAAGAGCTATGTGGGTATAAAGCCTGACATGACACTTTTAAGCTAGGTGACTTTGAGTGAGTTATTTAGTTTAAGTGTCTCTTTCTTTGTTTTTTAAAAAAGATGGTTTCCATATGGTTGTCATAAGGATAAAGATAAATAATTGGTATAATAAAGCACATAAAGTGCACATGAGTTGGAGGTATCAAGTAAACAGTAAGGCTCACTGTAGCACATCTGGCCCAGCAGCCCACAGATCCAGATGCTGCACACTCCTGGGTGCTCACACTGTTTTTCCTGGCACACAAAACAGAGTAAGCATCTCTTTGGGTTCCTTCCAACATTTTACTCATACAAAAGATAGTGGACAAGAGAGACTACTAAGGGTTTCATTAGGGTGCTTAAATCATATATCTCACAAGTTCACAACCACTATTGGACACTGCAGCTTTTCAAAGCACCATCTGGATGGCCCACCAGGGTGAGGATGGCAGGGTTCCCTCCACCCCCTCACAAGGCACTCAGTTGCTGGCTTCCCTGCCCCAGAGTGTGGTCAACCTCCTCCTGTTTATTAGCAAGAACAGTTCAACTCTGCTCTGGCTCCTCCCTCTAAAAGTGCATATAAGTAAATGCATCCCACGTCCTCTAGCTCAGGGCCCAAGGAGGAGACAGATTAACAATCATTTTTTGGTACTTGAAAATGCCTTAACTCAAACCTGCTTAAGTACTTCTCATTAAAAACAAAACAATGAGGCTGGGCACGGTGGCTCACGCCTGTAATCCCAGCACTTCAGGAGGCCGAGGTGGGTAGATCATGAGGTCAGGAGATTGAGACCACCCTGGCTAACATGGTGAAACCCTGTCTCTACTAAAAACACAAAAAATTAGCCAGGCGCGGTGGTACGCACCTGAAGTCCCAGCTACTTGGGAGGCTGAAGCAGGAGAGTTGCTTGAACCCAGGAGGCAGAGGTTGCAGTGAGCCGAGATTGAACCACTGAGCTCCAGCCTGGGTGACTGAGCAAGACTCCGTCTCAAAACAAGCAAACAAACAAAAAACAAAACAAAACAAAGAAAAACCTCAATGCATTCCCTGGGAGACGATGAAGAATAAAGTATTTTCTTCAAATAGTACATCAAGACTGCACAGTTACCTATCGGAGCTACAGACTAAACCAGTTAATTTGATATTTATAGCAGGAAATAAAAATGTGAAAATTCATTTATTATTTTTCTCATTATACTACCAAGTATTTAGTTATGTTAGCTAATAGGTTAAACTGTAACTATTAACAAATAAGTCCAAGTTGCACCATAAACCCATTTAATTAACAAATATAAATGCATAACGAACACACATTTAACTTTTAGAAAGGAAATTTTAAGAAGGATACTTCATAAATTTGTTCACAATAATACTGGTTGAGAATGTTTAGCCAGTGTTTAAGAATTACCTGAAACACTACACATTTTCACTCGATTTCTCAAGCTTGGGAGCACTAAAGTAAAATACAGATGTATGCATATTATATAACACACTTAATCAGCTCCATGATGTAAAAAAGAAAATAGAAGAAATAAACCTTGTCTGTTCTACATAATTTTTCTGTTTTAAGAATTCATATGTCCCCAAGGATGGCTAGACCTAAAACCCTGGTTTCCTGATTCTAAATCCATTTCTTCTACATCTTGGAAATAAAGCATAAGAGCAGCTGGAAACAAAATTAAATCATAATGGCTACACATCTGAAGTTTCTTATATGTTCCAATTTCCTAAATTGATATAACTATTCCAAGTTATAAATCTGCCTAGGTGTAAATATCATAACATCATGGACACATCTTGCATCACTTTACTTGTTTAGGTTATGAATTCACTATACAGAGATTTATGTACTACTGAGAAAAACTAAATTAACAAATAAAATACAATTTTACCATGAGCTCTTCCTTACATTGAGTCATAATTCTCTCCATATAAATTTTACCCTTTAGTCTGGGAAGTAAAATACATGGGTTCTCATATTTCTTGTTTGAACAAACAATTAGGCTTCAAGCATAAGTATGAGATTTAAGACGGAGATCCAAACCACAGACTTTCCACAAAATCCAGAATGCTGGATTAAAAAGGGTCTATGTGTATCTAGTAACTCAGCAGTTATCAATACGAATGATTTTGCTTCCCCAACCCCCACCCATCAGTGGACAGCTGGCAATGTCTGGAGACATTTTTGGTCATCACAAAGTAGGGGTGGGGGTGGGGTGCAACTACTAGCATCTAGTGGGTAGAAGGCAGAGGTGCTGCTAAACATCCTAAAGTGCACACAGGACAGCCCCCACAACAGAGAATTATCAGGTCCAAAATGTCAGTAGTGCAGAGGCTGAGGAACTCTGTAGTAACCCGATTCAATCGATAAAAGTTCAATCGATAAAAAAACTGTGGCCCAAAACGTTAAAGAACTTGCCAAGGTCAGGGGAAGGTTCATGAAGAATCAAAACTAGAACTCAGCTGGGTGCAATGGCTCACACCTGTAATCCCAGTACTTTGGGAGGCCGAGGCGGGCAAATCACGAGATCAAGAGATCGAGACCATCCTGGCTAACATGGTGAAACCCTGTCTCTACTGACAACATAAAAATTAGCTGGGCGTGGTGGCGCATGCCTGTAGTCCCAGCTACTCAGGAGGCTGAGGCAGAAGAATTGCTTAAACCCGGGAGGCGGAGGTTGCAGTGAGCTGAGATCGCACCACTGCACTCCAGCCTGGAGACAGAGCAAGACTCCGTCTCAAAAACAAACAAACAAACAAAAACTAGAACTCAGGTGTTTTGACTCCTAAACCAAACTATTTCCTACAAAGTTAGAGAATGAAGATGAAGATGGGGGAAAGACTCTTCTGGTTTGTAGCATTCATTGAAAGCTAATCCACTTGGAGGTCATATGGTCTCTATCAGAATTAAGCCACTCCCCAAAAATACTTTTTCCCTGGAAGCTCTTGTTTCCAAAATTCCATTCCATTCAACACATTTTTTTGGTTGCCAACAGACAAATGGTACACTTTTGAGGAAATAAAACCCCTATAAGGCACCAAAGATAATACAATAGGGTCACCTAAAAGAACTCCACAGAGGCCAAGGTGGATCACTTTAGGTCAAAAGTTCGAGACCAGCCTGGGTAACATAAGAGGACCCCGTCTCTACAATTCTTTTAATTTTTTTAATTAGCCAGGCATGGTGGTGCATGCCTGTAGTCCCAGCTACTCAGAAGGTTGAAGTGGGAGGATCATTTGGGCCCACAAAGTTGAGGCTGCAGAGAGTCATGATCGTGCCACTGCACTCCAGCTTGGGTGACAGAGCAAGACCTTGCCTTCATAAAAAGAATTCCACAAAGAAGACTCTTTCATCTTTGGATACAATGCCTGCTCTTGAGCATGAGACAGCTTTCATCTTTTACTCCTGTAGAGTAAAAGCTAAATAGCTTTCTATCAGCATTCAATTCTTTCTGGAATAGAAAATCACCTCAGTTTCAAGCATTTTATATTGAGTACTGTGTAGTAAAGATTTTGGCTTTGCCTAAAGAGAGGTCTGGGCTTTGCCTTGGCTTCTGAGAGGTGATCTATGTTATTTCTGATAGGAGTGTTTTTGTTTAGGGTGAGATCAGCCACACCTGATAGTCTTGAGGTAGAGGTGGCTATGCCAGGAAGACCAACCACGTGATGTAGGATAAGGGATTTGGGTTATGTAGTATCAGTGGACCAGGAGGCTGAATTCAATCAATCAATCAATCAAACCTATTAATAAAGCCCCAATAAAAACTCTGAACACTGAGAATAAGCTTGCCTGGTTGGCAATACCCCACATACACTGCCACATATCAACGTAAGGCAATGCATCCAGAGAACAATGGAAGTTTCAAGTCTGGAGCCTTCTAGACACTGCCCCTACGCATCTCCCCCTTTGGCTGATTTTAGGGTGTATCCTTTTTCTATATAAACCATAATCATGAGTATAATGGTCTTCAGTGAGTTCTGAGAGTTCTTCTAGGGAATTATCAAATGTAATAAGAGTGGTTCTAGGAATCTCCTGAAATTGCTGTTGGTATCAGAAGTGCGGGTAATACCCATCTTGCCAGAAGACTATTTCCTCCTCTAGCTGTGAAGAAGCAGGCTGCAATGTTGTGAGCTGCCCTTTTGAGGAAGTCACATGGCAAGGAACTGAGGGAGGCCGTCAGTCAACAGCTAGCAAGAAACTTACGTCCACAGTTTCACATTCTGCAAGGAACTGAATGCTGTCAACAACCACATGGGCTTAGAACTGGATCATTCCCTACTCAACCCCTGAAGTGAGGCTGCAGTGCCAGATGCACTTCAAATGCAGATCCTGAAGCAGACCATCAAGCAAAGACACGCCAAATTCCTGACCCACAGAAACTGTGAGATAATAAATGTGTGTTATTTTAACTAAGCCATTCCTTTGTGGTAGTTTTTTACACAGTAATAGATAACCACTACAATAGATGAACAGTGGTATTCTTCAGCAATGCAACATTAGAGGAATGTTTCTAAAATGCAAACAGGATCATATTTAAGCCATCACTGGCTTAAAAATCTCTACATGGTCTCTCACTGACTACAGACTAAAGCCCAAATACTTTAGCAGGATATAAAATACTTTCTTTAATCCAACCTCTATTCCCCCTGTCTAGTCGCATCTCTTAATATGGTCCATCCCCCTGACTTCTTCTCTCTCTCCCTCCAAGCTCCAGCAGTATGCAAAACAAATTATAAATTTTCTGAATGATCTACCCCCATCCCCTCCCTAAGGGGAGCACGTGATGATCCCCTTGCCTAGAATACCTCATCACCTGCGCTTACCCTCCTCTCCTATCCTCTCTATAGAAGTCAGTTTGGGTGCAGTCTCCTTGACTCCCAGTCAGTTTGTGGCTTCTCCCAGGTTATCACAGAACTCTGCATATTTCTGTGTAGCAAGCCCTACCATGGATTCTAGTTGCTTGTTTGCTGCTTTTCCTGCTGACTTAGAGGCTATAAATCTTCCTTGAGGGAAGAAACTGAAGTTTGCTTATCTGAGCTTACGTGTCTGAAGTCCTGGCACAGAATTGGCGCTCAATAAACTTTTATTAAATGAGTGAATGCTAATAACATTGTATTCACTGGTCATAACTTTTCAAGGAAAGTTGTTCTTCACAAAATAATTTTCTGTAGTACAAAGCATCAAAGTGTACCATTAATGAAACTATGAATCTCTAAGATTCTCTAAATTTGGACATATGGTATCTATCCAGCTTACTTCTCAATATCTTGTTAACTTGCCACACAATACAAAACAAATCAATGTCTGTTGTTTCATTATTATATATTTCAAAGTATTTAAAAAAGTTTTACTGTATCCTTGAAGCCATAAAACCAACAATTTATATCAACTCAAGCCAGACAATATCACAATTAAATTTAAGATAATTCACATTCAAATAAAAACTTCAGTGCTCAAGTCTTAGTTTATTTAAGCTTTGATTTGAAAGGTTCTAAAACAATTTTGTCTAGAAAAGAAAACAAATTGTTATTCTTTCATTTTCTATTTTAATAAAATATATATCCATATTTGTTAAATTTTTAGCTTAAAGGAGAAAAGTTAATTTGATTGGTAAAAGCACCAAGGAGGAATTTTTTAAAAGTGACTCTTTAAAAAAATCTTCAAAGTTGCTTGTATGGTATCTACAATGCCACTTTAATTTTTAAAAGCCAATTTCAATATTAAAGTAATTTTATAAAGTTTCCTTCATTCAGCAAACAAAAGTATCTTTTACTATCAACCTCAAAAACTATAAATCAAATTTACTTTTAAAAAGCTAATTTTTATGCATCAGTTTTTCTTATATGTAACTAAAATAAAGGGGAGAAAAAATCCAAATGACAAAACTATCAAATAATTTGTGCTAAAACTAATTTTTACACTGGAAAAATATATTACACTGGCTATATATTAATTATGGTATTAGGGCAATATTTTTAATCCTCATAAAATTAACAACATGGACTATGTTGTCATTTGGTGTCCTATTTCATTCAAAAAGCAGATTGTTTGATCTCCTGGGAAATCACCAAAATGAAAAGGATGACTTTAAAACTATATCATTTTTCATAAACTAATATTCACCAAAACATGAATGTTTATTACACAATAATAAAATCACACAAGTTTATAGTCAAATTAGTTGAAGCAGACTGAGTGCAGCAGTTACAACAAATAACTTAAGCACAGTTCTCTAGTACAACACACTGCATTTCACCCTAGAGAAAGAATGCTGGCAAAGATCTCTACCACATGGAAACTGTTCTTAAAGCTGCTGGGCCCTGAAATTTTACTCAGCAGTTTGAAATCAAGACATAGCTTTTCTCATTCACCCTCCCACTTGGGGCTAATGCACAGACATGAACATCTATTGAGGAAAACCACAAAAAACTTCAAAACAGCTACAACGGTAGGCTTACTTTTCATATATTATTTTAAATATTGTTTGTTAAAGTGCGACTGACTCATCTAATAGTCTTAATAAATGTAAAGGCCATCTCTGGTTTAAGTTTCAGTTACCTCAATTAATTTTTAAGAAGTACTTATGTATATCATCGCATAAATTTAACATCCACGCAGGCAAGAATAGGGTGCTGCAGAAGTCACAAATCCATTATCTTCTTCATTTTCAACCTCTGGATTTTTGACAAACTGGCATCTATAATGCAGCATCAGCAACTCTTGAGTGATTCTGTTTGAAGTTACTTAAGAAAAAGTCTGAAATGTGTACCCACCAGAGAAAATCCATTGATGAGCCTAAAGGAATCCTTTCTATTACATTCCTCAAAGTTCTTTGATTAAAGTTCGGTATTTCCTCTAGCCTGCAATACTATTCTTTCAGTTTTCTTAGCTTAAATTAAAAATACAATACTATTAACTAAAAATTATGATCACCTATTAAAATTACAAAACTAAGAAAATTAAAAACGTATGGCTTTTCCTATATTCTGTACCACCTAAAGGTGTTAATGACTACTTTTCATAATGTTAAATTTAAGTTTTAAAACTTTTCTTGGAACTTGTTTCTGTTCATACCAATATAAATCAAGAGTTCTTATAAAGTAGCTAAGTGGAAATATGATATTTTTAACTCACATGAGACAGGATCTTGGGACTTTATTTTAACTATTTATACTACAGGTATCCTAAGAATATTTCAATTAAATATTAGTATGTCTGCTGAAGGCACTTAATTATTAAGAAACTTAAAATTATCAATCTTTCTTGAATTTCTGATAGAGAAGTAAAACTATTTTCCAAAACTATTTTTCAGAATGTTCACTGATACATAAAAACTGCTAGCATCTAATTAAAGATCACTAAGGGTTAAATACTGTTCTCTGGCCCTTACTGCGCACACCCTGCCAAAACATCCTCTAAGCTTTTAAATATTGCTTCGATGGTCTGAATTTTTATTTCCAGGGAAAAAGAGAGTTTTGTCCCACAGTCAGCAGGCCACTAGTTTATTAACTTCCAGTCACCTTGATTTTTGCTAAAATGAAGACTCTGCAGTCTACACTTCTCCTGTTACTGCTTGTGCCTCTGATAAAGCCAGCACCACCAACCCAGCAGGACTCACGCATTATCTATGATTATGGAACAGATAATTTTGAAGAATCCATATTTAGCCAAGATTATGAGGATAAATACCTGGATGGAAAAAATATTAAGGTACTTTATTTCTATTCTAAATTTAGCTTCTAAAATACTGCCCATTTAAATGCATGTTTTTGCTTTTCCTGAATGTGTCTGATAAGGTAAGGGGAAGGGAAAATCACTTTAAATGATTCAAACGAATTCATAATAATTGTCCCTAAGATTGTATTTTTAGAGTATGTATGCTTTCCAAATTAATAAATGGTATCTATGGTAACCAAACAGTATCTATAGTAACCAAAAAATAAAACTTAAAGAAAACTAGACTTTAAGATGATCCCTCACCAGTTGCAATTTATATATTAAGTAATGTTACACAATGCCCTATACTTGCAATGTTGTGTTGCCTCAAAAATAAATTAGCGGAAATGTGTATTTGGAGAAATAAAGATGAATTATCAGCTTAAGGTTATTATTATAGAAAACAATTTGAAGAAAATACATAGAAGAGTACTGGTTATTTTGATATCAATAGCATTCCACAATAATTTATATATGCCATCTACATACAGTACCAAAAACTGAAAACCTAGTCAATATAGGACTTTCTTTTTAAATCAATTTTAACAGTTTAGACCCTCTATCAATTGGTACCAAGTAACTGTAACTGTCTTTGAGTTAACACTGCAAGGGTGACGTTATACCACATCATTCATTCCCCACCTTTATGGGCAAACTAATTACTTGTGGTTTTCTTGGCACACAGAAATGAATGCTGGGTAAGGAAAAAGTTAATACAGCACTTAAGTATCTGTTGCCCACTATGTATGACACATACACATACACACTGGAAAATGAGAAATTCAGCCAAATATATAACAATACTGATTGTTTCAGAAGTTCTTCTCCACTATAAATTGGAGGATAAAGACTTATAAGATTGACCAGTTATAATTGCTACTTTCTCTTTTCTTTTTTGCAGGGGTACACAATGAGCAAATGTTAACACCACAGTTTCTTTCTTTCAGTTAATGCTTTTAATATGATAGCATTATTTTTGCCCATCACTAAGACACAAAGGATAGGTATTACTAATTATAGCTTCAAGTTAAAGAAAAAAAAGTCCCATCATAACATAGGCTATTGGCTCACTTGGATGATTTGAATCTATTAAGATTCCCTGATCCCTAAAGAGTTTAGAGATTATTTTTCTCTCTGCTTCTTCTCTTTACAGGGCTTTAGAAGTTTCTCTATCTTAATATAAATGCAGGGTCTAAGATATTTGTGGAGTGGAGTAGAATTCAACAGGACTTGATGTGCAAACACAGAGTAGAGGGAGGAAGTTCAACCACCACACAGATGGGAGAATGAAGGTGAAGGGCAGAGTCAGGAGTCAAGACCGAGACTAAAATGGAACATGCTTACAAAGGACAGAAAGAATAGGACACCACATAATACACTGTAATCTAATGGCAGAAAACGTACTCTCCAAGAACAGGAAAGACAGGATCTAAATTGTATCTACTCCAATTTCCCCAGAATTAATGGCCTACCCCAGTGGCCCAAGCAGGGTAGGTAAGGTAAGCTGGAATAAAAGGGATCCAAGAGCCAGGGCTTAATGGAGGGATATAGGTAATTAAAGGGTCACCCCAAGAAGAGACCTAAAGACCTTAATTGGTAGTTTATACTTGTGACATGGCTGGAGCTCTAGTCTTACTCAAAATGGTAGAATCTGAATGAGAAACTCAGTTCAGACAAGACCCCTGAGGAACAGTTTCACCTCAGAAAAACTTTCATTCCAATTCAGGGAATTCTCACCTAGCTTTCATTTGGAATTTCAGGATGTTCAACATTTATTAAGCACTGAGTGTAGCTACTGGCGATATAAAAATAAAAACACCCAGTTCTTTTACTCAAGGAGCTCATAGTCTAGAATAAAAACAAGCTAAAAAATACTTATTGTAATTTAATAGATGATAAAATGGAAATATGTATGAAAGCCTAATGGAGCACAAAGGAAATGCCACTAATTGTAACTACGAGAAGGTGTCTGTGATCCCTTCATTTTACAGAGAAACACAGACTTAATGAAGCTAGGTAACAAACTTTTATTTTTCCAATAGGAAAAAGAAACTGTGATAATACCCAATGAGAAAAGTCTTCAATTACAAAAAGATGAGGCAATAACACCATTACCTCCCAAGAAAGAAAATGATGGTAAGTATCATCTAAATATTTTTCAAATGGATCTTTTAAAAATAGCTATAATGGACTTTATTCCTTGTGGTAATCAAAAACTGACTCAAGATACAGTAAATACAAACAGTGGAATTTTATTTCCAATGATAAACTCAAACTGGGAGTGCACACCATTTGCCATCCCACATTATGAGTGAGAAATGTGGAGCAAGAACTTGTGAGAACAACCAAAGCTTAGGCAAGCTTAGCCTCCACAAAGTGTGGTTTCCATCCATATAAAATCTATTCGAGAAATACTTAAACACGGATTATTTGCAAAATACAATGTGCAGCCTCAGTATACGGTAAATATAATTATTGCCTTTAAGAAACTTACAGAACAGAAACACACATATACATCAATAATTACACATACATTTCAATTAAAATAGAAAACTTGTCATGAAATAACAAATTACAAGTCCTACTTAATAATTCCTGTGTACTTGGCTTACTCTTACTCTATCACAGAACATTATTTCACATGAAAACATGACAAAAACCACATATTAATTTCTATATTTCTAAAATAAAATGAAAATGAACCATAACAGAAAATAAAGCTTAAAAAGCGAGAAGTATGATAGTAAAAATAGATTTGAATAAATTTAAAGACATCCCAGGCTGGGCGTGGTGGCTCACGCCTGTAATCCCAGTACTTTGGGAGGCTGAGGCGGGTGGATCACGAGGTCAGGAGTTCAAGACCAGCCTGGTCAAGATGGTGAAACCCTGTCTCTACTAAAAATACAAAAAATTAGCCAGGCGTGGTGGCAGGTGCCTGTAATCCCAGCTACTCGGGAAGCTGAGGCAGAGAATTGCTTGAACCTGGGAGGTGGAGGTTGCGGTGAGCCGAGGTCGTGCCATTGTACTCCAGCCTAGGCGGCAGAGCAAGACTCTGTCTCAAAAAAAACAAAAACAAAAACAAAAAACAAAAGACATCCCTTGTTCTTGGATGGAATGACTCAAAATCATAAAGATGTCAGTTCTTTCTAAATTTATAAATTTAAAACAATCCAACTAAAATTACCAATAAATTTTTTTATAAAGCTGGAAAACCAGATTCTAGAATTCATATGGAACAACATGTAACAAATAACAAGGGAAACAGTAAACAGTAACAAGTATATGTAGGAATCAGATGTACTACACATTAAAATATATTATAAAACTCTATACTTTAAAAAGTGCGATACTGGTATATGAATAGACAAAAAGATCAATGAAATAGAATAGAAAATCCAGAAACAGACAAAAATACACATGAAAATTCAGTACATACTAAAGGTACCAACCTAAATCACTGAAGCAAAAATGGTCTTTTTAAAAAATGGTGCTGGGAGAAACAGCCATTTGAAGAGGTGTACATTTAGGTCCATACCTTACACAAAAAATAAACTCCAAATAGATTAGCAATCTGAATGTATAAAATGAAATCGTACAAGTACTAGAAAAGAATCTGGGTGCAGGGTGCCTCAAAATCCAGAGACAACAATAGAACAGAACAATAAATTTGACCCTAAAAATACCTGTGGTAAAGTCGAAGGCAACTAAAAACTGGGAAAAATATTTGTAACATATACTACAGATAAATAATATCACTAGATAAAGAGCTCACAGATAATATAACTAAAAATAAAGATCTAGTAACTCTAATTTATAAAGCACTCTTAAAAATCGAGGAAAAGAGATTAACCAAAAATCCACTGGAAAAATGACAGTTCACAAGATGATTTAAATGATTTAACCCAAATAAGTGTTCAATCTCACACAGAGACATATAAATTAAAATTACATTGAGATACCATTTTTAACCTATCTGATTGAAAAAAATTGAAGTATGACAACACATTAATATATTCCATGAGCAAGGGCTATGGGGTAAGACACTCATACACGGCAGCAGGAAGGCAAATCAACACAATGCTTTTGGACAGGAACTTGGCAATATCTAACAAAATAAAAAATGCATTTACTTTTTGACATAAGAACCAACTTTGAGGATTTTTTTTTTTTTTTGAGACAGAGTCTCGCTCTCAGACTGGTGTGCAGCAGTACAATCTTGGCTCACTGCAACCTCCGCCATTTGGGCTCAAGCAATTCTCCTGCTTCAGCCTCCGAGTAGCTGGGATTACAGGCACGCGCCACCACGCCAGGCTAATTTATTGTATTTTTAGTAGAGACAGGTTTCACCATGTTGGTCAGGCTGGTCTTGAACTCCTGACCTCAAGTGCCTCAGCCTCCCAAAGTGCTGGTATTACAGGCGTGAGCCACCACTCCCGGCCAACTTTGAGAAATTTACCTTGATGATATACTCCAAAATAAAATACAAATGCAAAATCACTAAAGCATTGCATGCAATTGCAAAATATCAGAAATAATTTAACTGCCCAAACACTGAAGAGTAGTTGAATAAACAATGGTAAATCCAACAGAAGAGAATACTATGCAGTTGTAAAAATGAATGAGGAAGATCTCTAAGAACTAACATGGAGTGATTTCCAGGATACACTATGTGGAAAAAAAAAACAAAGTGCAAAAGAATATCTATAATATGCTGTCTTTCATGTAAGAAAGAAAAGGATATAAGAAAATATATATGTATCTGCTTGTTTCTGTGAAAATAAATACAGGCTAAAAAGAAATTGGGGGAGAGGGGATGGCAGTTCTCTGCGTATATACTTTTTAATGTAGATTTAATTTTTAGAACAATGCTGTTTCGTATAGTCAAAAAACCAAATACGTATATAAATGAAATCAACAAGAATAAGGTAAAAAGAACCCAAATTGGAATACAAACATAAAAACATAAACTTGATTGTGCTTCAAATTAATAACTCAGCAAAGGAAGAAAAAACTCTAAGTAACTGTTAAACACAGCATTTTCCTATATACCTTCAGGCTAAGGACAAAAAAGAACTATAAACAAATATGAAGTTCCAGTGAGTAGGTTTGTTATGCACAGTGTTATGAGTTAGCAATACTGGAACTACTTAATATGTGTGCCAGAACTAAGTAAATATACGTAAATAATGAGAGCCAGGTTCCGCACTGTCAGAGAAACATTACAAATACGGAAAGGTGGAAGGCTAGAAAGAACACTGTGGAGTTGGTTTGGAATAGAAGATACTACTATTAACTCAGGGTTTGTATATACAGAGATACAGAAATATAGAAATGTTTCTCTCTGTTTATCTCTATGTGTGTGTATGTATACATGAGTATATGGTATACATATGCATGTATATTGTATATGTTTATATCCGTATATGTTGCATGTATGTGTATTATCTGTGGAGAAAGAGACAAATAAACACACACATTTATTTCCTAGCTCTCTCTGCTGAAAGAGCCTAGAAGCAACGTGATCTCAATGGCAATGAGCACACCCAGCACCTGCATCTTGGTTTCTAATACCATTCTCCACTAAAAGAAACCAATGCTGGCCGGGTGTGGTGGCTCATGCCTGTAATATCAGCACTCTGGGAGGCCAAGGCGGGTGGACCACCTGAAGTTAGGAATTTGAGACAAGCCTGGCCAACATGGTGAAACCCCGTCTCTACTAAAAATACAAAAAAAATTAGCTGGGCATGGTGGCACATGTCTGTAATCCCAGCTACTCGGGAGGCTGAGGTGGGAGCATCACTTGGACTCAGGAGGCAGAGCTGCAGTGAGACGAGATGGCACCACTGCACTCCAGCCTGGGTGACAGGGCGAGACTCTGTCTTAAAAACAAATGAACAAACCAAAAAAACCCCCAGTGCTTTCTGAAGAGATAGCTGATTTCAGGGTTGGGGCAGGAAAAATGCAAGGTTAGTTTGGGACATCTTGCTATGTTAGGAAATAAGGAAGTTCTCAAAGAATAATGGTGTTTTTTTGTTTGTTTGTTTGTTTTTTTAGACAGGGTCTCGCTCTATTACCCATGCTGGAGTATAGTGGCATGATCATGGCTCACTGCAGTCTTGACCTCCTGGGCTCCAGCAATCCTCCTGCCTCAGCCTCCCAAGTAGCTGGGACTACAGGAACGTGCCACCACACCTGGCTAATTTTTGTATTTTTTTGTAGAGATGAGGTTTCATCATGTTGCCCAGGTTGGTCTCAAACTCCTAGACTCAAATGATCCACCTGCCTCAGCCTCTAAAAGTGCCAAGATTACATATATGAGCCATTGCACCCAGTCTCCTGACAAAATGTTTTTAAATCCATCAAAATATATAAAAGAAATAGATATAAAAGATGTTTATGGGAAGGCCGAGGCAAGAGGACTGCTTGACCTCAGGAGTTTGAGACCAGCTTGGGCAACATAGTGACACCATGTCTCTACAAAAAATTTAACCAAGAAAAAGCCAGGTGTGGTGGCACAAACCTGTAGTCCCAGTTACTTGAGAGGCTGAGGCAGGAGGATCGCTTGAGCCCAGGAGGTCGAGGTTTGCAGTGAACCATGATCATGCGACTGTACCCCACCCTGAGTGACAGCATGAGATCTTGTCTCAAAAAAAAAAAAATAAAGGTATGTAAGGCCTGTACACTGAAATCTAAATAACGCTGCTAAGAGAAAATAAAGAAGACCTATATATAAGGAGAAATGTATTATGTTCGAGGTCTAGAAGATTCAATATCATTAAGATGTCAGTTTTCCCCAAATTTAGAGATTCAACACAATCCCAATCAAAATCCTAATAGGTTTTTTTTTTGTTTAATTAACAAGCTGATTCTAAAATATATATAAAAATATAAAGGACCTAGAATAGTCTAACAACATTGAAGAAGAACAAAGTTGCAGGATTTATACTAACAAGACTGTTACAAAGGTACAGGAATCAAGACACTGCAGTATTGGCATAAAAATGTTAAAGTGGGTCACCAGAACAAAATAAAATCCAGAAACAGGCTAACATGAAGTAACCAACTAGTTCTTGACAATGTGACAATACAATTCAATGGGGAAAGAATAATCCTTTTAAAAAACGGTGCTGAAAGAACCAGACAACTGTAGGAAAATTTTTCAAAAAAGAATTAACCCTTCCTGGCACCATATATAAAAATTAGCCCAAAGTATACCCCACACCTAAAGGTAAAGATCTTAAACTATACAACTTCTAGAAGAAAACAAAGTGTCAAATCTTGGTGGTCGGCAAACATTACTTAAATACAACACAGAAACCATGAATTATCAAGGAACCAACTGTTCTTCATTAAAATTTAAAATGTTTCATTTCCAAAAGGAAAACTAGTAAGAGGGAAAAAAAAAAAGACAAGTCATCAAATATATGGATGCCAAACAAGCACATGAAAAGATGCTAACATCATTAGTTATCAGAGAATACAAATTAAAACACAATGAGATACTATAACATGCCCTACATTTCAATTGCTAAAATTAAAAAGACTGACCATACCAAATGTTGGCAAGGATGTGGAGCAGCTGGAACTCTCATATGCTGCTGGTAGGAATGTAAAATGGCACAGTCCTTTGGAAAATAGTTTGACACTTTCTTCAAAAGATAAAACATACATTTATAAAAAGACCCAGCCATTCCACTCCTTAGGTACTTACCCAAGAGAAATGAAAGCATTAAGTCCACACAAACTTACACATAAATTTCTTTGAAATAGTGAAAACCTGGAAACAACCCAATGTCCATATGAAATGACCATGTAAATTGTATATATTGAGACAATTGAATACTACTGAGTAATAAAGAAGAATGAACTACTGATAAAGATTGAAAATCAAAATAATAATGCTGAGTAAAAGAAGCCAGAAAAGGAAGTAGATACTCCATGATTCTTTTAATATAAAATTCTCCTAAATGCAAACTAATGTATACTGACCAAAAGCAGGTCAGTCATTGCTCGAGGACAAGAGTGGGAGGGAGAGATTACCAAAGGGCAGGAGAAAACTTTTTGGAGTGACAGGTATGTTAATTAACTCACTTGTAGTGAACGTTTCATGGGGGTGTACATATGTAAAAATCGTATATGTTGTACGATTTAAATACACGCAATTAATTGTAAGTCAGCTAACCACAAAAAGCTGTAGCAGGAAAAAAAAGCTTGAAAGGGCCTAATCTGTGACAATTTGACTATTAAAATAAACACAGATTATGACTTATGGGACACAATTCATATTGATATGAAAATATCAATTAAAATTTCAAAAAATAGGCCGGGCGTGGTGGCTCACACCTGTAATCCTAGCACTTTGGGAGGCTGAGGCGGGCAGATCACCTGAGGTCAGGAGTTCGAAAGCAGCCTGGCCAACATGGTGAAACCCAGTCTCTACTAAAAATACAAAAAAATTAGCCGGACATGGTGGCACATGCCTGTAATCCCGGATACTTGGGAGGCTGAGGCAGGAGAATTGCTTGAACCCGGGAGGCGGAGACTGCAGTGAGCCGAGATCACACCACTGCACTCCAACCTGGGTGACGAAGCGAGACTTCATCTCAAAAAAAAGAAAAAAAATTCAAAAAATAAAATTTGACATGTTTATTTGATATATTTAAAATATATCAAAATAGGTCAGGTGTGATGGCTCACGTCTGTAATCCCGGCACTTTGGGAGACCGAGGCAGGCAGATCACTTGAGGTCATGTTCGAGACCAGCCTGGCCAACATGGTGAAACCTTGTCTATACTAAAAATTCAAAAAAAAAAAAAAAATAGCCATGTGTGGTGGCATACGCCAGTAATCCCAGCTACTCAGGAGGCTGAGGCAGAAGAATCGCTTGAAATGGGGAGGTGGAGGTTGCAATGAGCCAAGATCACACCACCACACTCCAGCATGAGCAACAGGGCAAGACTCTGTCTCAAAAATAAGTAAGTAAATAAAATAATAAAATATATCAAAATATATAAAACAAGTTCATATTGATATAAAAATAAGAAGAGAGTGCCAACTAACAAATGTAGAAGGAATGATGGAATTAGAAAATCACTATTTGGTTAGTCACAAATGATTCGGGTAAGAATCATCAATGGATGCTAAAACTAGTATATGAAAGTACAATGTCACACCAGACATTTAGATTCTCAAAGTACTTCTCCAGAATTACTTGTTATGAAGTGAAAAATATTAACTTTACTCAGTGAGAAACATGGCAAATACTAGTTGAACCAAGTGACCAAAGATATTATCAGGAATGGGATAAACAGATATCATGTGCTTTTGGACACACAGCACTGACGATCCATGGTACTCCTGCCAAAAATGAGAAACCTCTGCCAACTGAAAGGCATTCTGCAGAATAAATGCCCTGAAAAAGAAAACTAAACAAAAAAAAAAGCTCTACACTTTTCAAAAACAGGAAAAGGTATAAAAAACAAAGACTAAGGAATGTTCCAAGAGGTATGACAAGTAAATGTAATAAATGACTTGGGGTGCTAAAGGATCCAAACAGTGCCTACGATTACTCTAATTTTCAAGTTAATGGCTTCCTTACTTAACTAGTGGTTACTAAAGTCTAGCTACTGTCACCAATCTGAAATATGTTTCTCACACATTAAACTTAATAAGTCAAGCTCATGTTTACCTTAACTCCTGCTTTGTAAATTTTTTTGGTTTTCAAATAAGGAAATGTAACTGTCAATCAATTCAGCATTTAAGCAATCACCAGTAAAACAAAATAAAAAGAGATTCTCAAACAATATTCTGGTGAATTATCAAGCACAATATAGGTAACGAGTTACCATGACTATCTTTCTTATGATTCTGTAAAACATCTCTTCAAATTAGTAATAGCATTCATAATAGCAATAATTTTACTACTAGAGGAGAAATATTTTCAAACGATTGTTCATATTTTTATGATTTTATTCCCAATTTAGAAATGCCCACGTGTCTGCTGTGTGTTTGTTTAAGTGGCTCTGTATACTGTGAAGAAGTTGACATTGATGCTGTACCACCCTTACCAAAGGAATCAGCCTATCTTTACGCACGATTCAACAAAATTAAAAAGCTGACTGCCAAAGATTTTGCAGACATACGTAAGTTAAGCTGAAATATGATATTAGTATTAACTCGTATTAGTATTTAACTCATATAAACACAAGTTTCTATATAGTTGCTGCCTATCACATTCAGGTTTGTCACTTGAAGTACATAAATATCTAACATGTTTCACAAAAGTCCATTCATTTGTTGGTGAATCATCTTTCCACTTAGACAGATCCTGTGATCTTTCTTTACTGGTGACTTCACTGTCTATGATGACAGCCCATCTAACATATGGGCAACTATATCTTCTCAACTCCAATACTTCAAGATCCCTTGCTTCAGACACTGAGCAACACCAATATAACTGGGATGCTTCTCCAACCACAATGTTTTATTTTCTACCTGGACTATAAAAACACAGAAAGTGCTTTTTCTTACTTTAACTAATGGCTCTTAAACCTGGCTGCATATTAAAAATATCTTGGGAAGTGTTTTTTTTTTCTCCCCCCTCCCCCCAACCCGACATGGAGTCTTGCTCTGTTGCCCAGGCTGGAGTAGAGTGGCGTGATCTTGGCTCACTGCAACCTCTGTCTCCCAGGTTTAAGTGGCTCTCCTGTCTCAGCCTCTCACGTAGCTGAGGTGTGTGCCACCACACCTGGCTAATATTTGTATTTTTAGTAGAGATGGGGTTTCACCATGTTGGCCAGGCTGGTCTGGAACTCCTGACCTTGTGATCCGCCCGCCTCGGCCTCCCAAAGTGCTGGGAATACAGGCGTGAGCCACCATGCCCGGCAGGGAAGTATTTTTTAAATACTGATACTAGGTCCTACTTCCCAGGGGTTGTAATTCAGATCTGGGGTAGGGCCCAAGCAACATCATTAAAAACAAACAAACTCCTTGGATGATTCTAATATGGAAATACTGTTGAGAACAGTGGTATTTAATTCCTTACCAGGTCATTATCAATCTTGAACTTCTAGCAAACCTTAACTCAGTTAGTGTTGCCATAAGCACACCAGAATCCTCCATTTCTGCAGTACCAAATCCCAGTCCTAGATCACTAATTTCTTGTCAGTTTTCTAGACTCCTAATATTGTCAAGAGTTCTGAAAAAAATCACACCGAGAAATGCATACTAGCCCCGCTACACATTTATGAGACTAACCATAACCAGGTTCATGCTGCCACTGATAGCTCCCAAATGTGGATTGAAGTATAGTTGATCCTTGTTATTTGTGGATTCCATATTTGTGAATACCCACTTGCTAAAATTTATTTATAACCCCAAAATTAATACACATTGTGCTTTCATGGGCTTTCTCAGACATGCTCAGAGTGGCAAAAAATTTGAATTACTTGACATGCACATTCCCATCTGAGGTTGAACAAGGTAACACTGTCTTCTGGTTCCAGTTCTCATACTGTAAATAAATGCCCTGTTCACAGTCTATTTAACGACATGTTTTTCACATTTTTGTGCTTTGTGTTTATGATTTTGCTGTTTATTGATTTTTGTTTTTTGGGGGGTTTTTTTGTTTGAGACAGGGTCTCGCTCTGTTGCCCAGGCTGAAGTGCAGTGGTGTGATCTCAGCTCACTGCAGCCTCTGCCTCCTGGGTTCAAGGGATTCTTGTCCCTCAGTCTCGCAAGTAGCTGAGACTACAGGCATGTGCCACCACACCTGGTTACTTGTTTTATTGTAATTTAATTTAATTTAATTTATTTATTTTTTGAGATGGAGTCTTACTCTGTTGCCCAGGCTGGAGTGCAGTGGCACCATCTCGGCTCACTGCTAGCTCCGCCTCCCAGGTTCATGCCATTCTCCTGCCTCAGCTTCCCGAGTAGCTGGGACTACAAGTGCTCGCCACCACGCCTGGCTAATTTTTTTTTTTTTTTTGGTATTTTTAGTAGAGATGGGGTTTCACCGTGTTAGCCAGGATGGTCTCGATCTCCTGACCTCATGATCCGCCCACCTTGGCCTCCCAAAGTGCTGGGATTACAGGTGTGAGCCACCGCGCCTGGCCTATTATAATTTTAATAGAGATGAGGTTGCGCTGTGTTGGCCAGGCTGGTCTCGAACTCCTGACCTCAAGTGATCTGCCCACCTTGGCCTCCCAAAGTGCTAGGATTACAGGCATAAGCCACCACACCTGGCCTGATTTTGCTGTTTAACATGACCCAACACATGGTGCTGAAGTGACGTCTAACATCCCCAAGCACAAAAAGGCTGTGATATGCCTACAGGGAAAATATGTTAGATAAGGTTTGTTCAGGCATGAGTTATAGTGCAATATTAATGATTCAACAATATATACTCAGCCAAGTGTCCTTAAGCAAAAACACATAAAGTTATATACTAATAGTTGATGGAAATGTGTGGCCAGAGGCTCACAGGAACATAACCCTGTATTTCTCCTAGGAATAATGGTTCAGTATTTACAAATTCAACACTTGTGGTAATTTTATAGAACATGATTCCTGTGAATAAGAAACAATTGATTTCCTAATTATCCCAGATATACGTGATGCACACGCAAGTACGCGCGCGCGCACACACACACACACACACACACACTGAATTTCTCTCTCAATCTGTGTCACTTTAACAAATCAGGGAACATCTTTGTCTTTGTTGTTGTTAAGCGATAAGGCATAGAGAGATTAAGATTAAGATAACATACTCAGAATCACAACGCAACATGCCAGCAAAAAAATAAAAAAAATTACATGATTCCAATCAAATGTAATGCTTCCTTTCCATGATTTGCAACAAGAATTTCTTTCAAACTGCCTGACCATCCCAAGGAATTTGAACAGAGAAAGATGAAAAGACTCGATTAACTTTAAGATCACTTTCAAACCTGAGATTCTAGGACTCCAGTCAGAAAGGGAATCAATTTCAGGCACAAAGAGGTGTTCAGTGATCATTCCACAAAACTTTACTGGGCTATGAATTGTAAACAGTCTACCAGGCACTAAAAATGAAAGATGCTTGAGTGATCTGTTAAACAAATGCTTTTCTTCAGTCCATACAATAAGAATTTTACTTACGTAGTTGTTTTTTATATTTTTTTCCCTCTAGCTAACTTAAGAAGACTCGATTTTACAGGAAATTTGATAGAAGATATAGAAGATGGTACTTTTTCAAAACTTTCTCTGTTAGAAGAACTTTCACTTGCTGAAAATCAACTACTAAAACTTCCAGTTCTTCCTCCCAAGCTCACTTTATTTAATGCAAAATACAACAAAATCAAGAGTAGGGGAATCAAAGCAAATGCATTCAAAGTAAGTATTTTATAGTAAAACTAAGCATAGTATGAGTGATGATATGATAGATAAAAGAGAAACTTTGGTCTAGAATTGTATTTTGATTACACTTAAAAACTATTTTGATTTAATAAATGAAGACATTATTTACATAATAAATAACCATCCTATTAGGCTCATTCAGCCTAGCTTATACCCATATCTCAGTTAAAATACATAACCTTTATTTTATTTCATGGGACTATTTTGTTTCTCATTTTTTCACTTGTTCATACAGCAAATATTTATTTAGACAGACATGGTTGGCCCTCTCATGACACTTACAGTCTACGAAAGCTCAAAATGGGATATTTCCTGTGTTTCTTTTTCCTTACAATGTTAGCAAATTATAAACACCAGAAAAAAATAAAGATCCAAAAGTAAATACTGAATTTAACTTTTAATATTTAAAGATATTAGACTGTGAAATTCTATAGGGAGATTTTCCTTTGAATTTCATGAGAGCATGTAATATAAAATTTTATATGTAGTAAGAATTAAATACATTTCTTAACAATTCAAGCAAATATTATGTAGGAAAAAGGGAAAGTAATCTACTTCGGTTTAGGTAGACAATTTGTCTCAAAATGCATGACCTACAGGAGTAATCACTTTAGTCCAGGATTTCCATAGCTCTGATGTAATCATTCCCCAGATAAAATGATGACCATGCCATTGCTGGTAACAGACATAATCTCATTCAAAAGGCAAGGTTTCTTGCTTCTAAAGGTAACTTCAGAAACTATCAAATATTCATTATCATAAAGTTTATGATAATCACACACAGGTAAATTCTGTCAAAAAATGTACAATCTGTTAGAAAGTGTACAAATAGTCCATTTTTTCATTTTTCATTACAATTAAGGTATCTTTATTCAACTTTAAGGGACATTTTAAAGTTACATCAGAGCTCATCTGATGTTTCTTATAAGGAACTCAGAAGTTAAGGGACTCTTAGAGGACTTTTTAAAAGCAGATACACCTTTTTTTTTTTTTTTTTTGAGATGGAGTCTTGCTCTGTCACCCAGGCTGGAGTGCAGTGGCGTGATCTTGGCTTACTGCAACCTCCGCCTCCCAGGTTTGAGCAATTCTCCTGCCTCAGCCTCCCAAGTGGCTGGGACTACAGGCACACACCACCACGCCCGGCTAATTTCTACACTTTTAGTAGAGATGGGTGTTGGCCAGGCTGGTCTTGAACTCCTGACCTCAGGTGATCCGCCCACTTTGGCCTCCCAAAGTGCTAGGATTACAGGCGTAAGCCACCGTGCCTGGCCTTTTTTTTTTTGTTTTAAAGTTGTAATTTGAAAATATTAATTTGAGTTGGTCACTCTTTGAATAACAGACATGTTAAAGACCTATAAAAGTTGATCAGGACAGGTTCAGTGGCTCACGCCTATAATCCCAGCACTTTAGGAGGATGAGGCAGGCGGATCACTTGAGGTCAGGAGGTCAGGACCAGCCTGGCCAACATGGTGAAACTCTGTCTCCACTAAAAATACAAAAATTAGCTAGGCGTGGTGGTGGGCGCCTGTAGTCCCAGCTACTCAGGAGGCTGAGGCACAAGAATTGCTTGAACCTGGGAGGCAGAAGTTGCAGTGAACTGCTGAGATTGTACCACTGCACTCCAGCCTGGGCCACAGAGCAAGATTCAGTCTCCAAAAAAAAAGGAGCTGATCAACATTTCACAAAAAGAACATTTGAATATTCTGGGGTTTAGACAGGAATTACAGAAGGGATTTATGACAAGTTGGTATGAAAATAATAAACTTGGCCAGGCACGGTGGCTCATGCCTGTAATCCTAGCACTTTGGGAGGCCAAGGCGGGCAGATTGCCTGAGCTCAAGAGTTCGAGACCAGCCTGGGCAACATGGTGAAACCCTGTCTCTACTGAAATACAAAAAATTAGCTGGGCGTGGTGGTGGGCACCTGTCGTCCCAGCTACTCAGGAGGCTGAGGCAGGAGAATTGCTTTAACCTGGGAGGCGGAGGTTGCAGTGAGCTCAGATCATGACACTGCACTACAGCCTGGGCAACAGAGTGAGACTCCATCTCTAAAAAAAAAGAAAAGAAAATAATAAATTCAGCTGCCCTATAGTTTTGTTTAATGTCCTAAGCTGCTACAGTCACTAGTAGAATTAGGTTATTCTACCTCATGTAAATGAGACTCACTGGGAAGACAAGAGCTTGATGCCCACATGGTGGAAGGGTAGGGTGCTTAAGAAAGTATTAAAATAGCAACACAGAAAAGAATTAGCAAAATCTACCACAGGATACATATTGAAGATAAGGTAAAAGAGTAATGTCAGGGGAAATTACAATTATACACAATAATGGGTTACTGATCATGAAGAATAATCCAACATTAAGCCCTTAGGGAAAAAACCTGCATCAAGCTAACTGTTTGCTAAACTGCTTTGGGAAACATCTTGCTAAGAACACATTTTTTTTTTTTTTTCTTGAGATGGAGTCTCGTTCTGTGGCCCAGGCTGGAGTGCAGTGGCACAATCTCGGCTCACTGCAACCTCCACCCCCTGGGTTCAAGCAATTCTCCTGCCTCACTCAGGCTCCCTAGTAGCTGGGATTACAGGCATGTGCTACCACACCAGTTAATTTTTGTATTTTTAGTAGAAATGGGGTTTCACCATGTTGGCCAGGCTGGTCTCGAACTCCTGACCTCAAGTGATCCACCCACATTGACCTCTCAAAGTACTGGGATTACAGGCGTGAGCCACCATGCCCGGCTAAGCACACACATTTCTTTTTTTTTTTTTTTTTTTTTTCTTTTTGAGACAGAGTCTCGCTCTGTTGCCCAGGCTGTAGTACAGTGGTGCGATCTCAGCTCACTGCAAGCTCTGCCTCCTGGGTTCACAGCATTCTCCTGCCTCAGCCTCCCGAGTAGCTGGGACTACAGGCGCCCACCACCACGCCTGTCTAATTTTTTGTATTTTTTTAGGCCGGGCATGGTGGCTCACACCTGTAATCCCAGCACTTTGGGAGGCTGAGGCGGGCAGATCACGAGGTCAGGAAATCGATACCATACCAGCCAACATGGTGAAACCTCGTCTCTACTAAAAACATACAAGCACACACATTTCTAAGAAGTAACCACTTAGCTAGAAATTGGTGGAACTGAGATGGGAAACTCCAGAGGTACAGGAGAGGTTATGGCAGCACCAGGGTCAAAATTCAATCCCACATAGGGACTCACCTCATTAGTTCCTATCAAGACAAACACAAAGAGTACCAGAAGTTGGCATTAGAGCCGGATATTCAGAGATCAGATGAATGGACAGAAGTGTGGGGTATGCGGCAGAGCTCCACTGGCCATCATAAAGGATCAAAATACACTACACGTGAAGTCAGAAAAAAAACCCAAACAAGAAACTACCATACGAACAATTGATATAATTGATGTATTCATATCAATATGCAAGTCTGTATATATAGACATATACTCATATGCACATATATATTGCTTGAATCCTGTGAAAGAATGTACAGAACCTCAATAACACTCACATGAAATTTTCCTTACAGAAACTGAATAACCTCACCTTCCTCTACTTGGACCATAATGCCCTGGAATCCGTGCCTCTTAATTTACCAGAAAGTCTACGTGTAATTCATCTTCAGGTATGATAGTTCCTTTCACAATATCTGACTCTAATTACCTATGAGTCAAAATCTTGTGACTCATTGGGAACCTCACTTATTCACATACAAATTTTGGTTAGATCACTGTAGTAGCGTGATAGCTAAATGTCTGCCTATCAAAAAGATTAATACTAGGCTCATGAACTTTCTTCCCAGAAGTCCAGATTCCATCCAGAGCATAACAAGTAGACCAGCACAGTACGTGTGAAGTCTGCTCTTGATTGTATTTGTCTCCAGGTGTACATTTGAGTATTTCCTAATTAATTTGACACAAGGATTTGAAGTGAGGGGGCACTCAGACCTCTGACTTAGGTTTCCTTTACCCATTATATAGCATATGAAAGGTTGATTTCAGATTTCTGAACAATGTTTTCCTCGTTTTTTTTCAGTTCAACAACATAGCTTCAATTACAGATGACACATTCTGCAAGGCTAATGACACCAGTTACATCCGGGACCGCATTGAAGAGATACGCCTGGAGGGCAATCCAATCGTCCTGGGAAAGCATCCAAACAGTTTTATTTGCTTAAAAAGATTACCGATAGGGTCATACTTTTAACCTCTATTGGTACAACATATAAATGAAAGTACACCTACACTAATAGTCTGTCTCAACAATGAGTAAAGGAACTTAAGTATTGGTTTAATATTAACCTTGTATCTCATTTTGAAGGAATTTAATATTTTAAGCAAGGATGTTCAAAATCTTACATATAATAAGTAAAAAGTAAGACTGAATGTCTACGTTCGAAACAAAGTAATATGAAAATATTTAAACAGCATTACAAAATCCTAGTTTATACTAGACTACCATTTAAAAATCATGTTTTTATATAAATGCCCAAATTTGAGATGCATTATTCCTATTACTAATGATGTAAGTACGAGGATAAATCCAAGAAACTTTCAACTCTTTGCCTTTCCTGGCCTTTACTGGATCCCAAAAGCATTTAAGGTACATGTTCCAAAAACTTTGAAAAGCTAAATGTTTCCCATGATCGCTCATTCTTCTTTTATGATTCATACGTTATTCCTTATAAAGTAAGAACTTTGTTTTCCTCCTATCAAGGCAGCTATTTTATTAAATTTTTCACTTAGTCTGAGAAATAGCAGATAGTCTCATATTTAGGAAAACTTTCCAAATAAAATAAATGTTATTCTCTGATAAAGAGCTAATACAGAAATGTTCAAGTTATTTTACTTTCTGGTAATGTCTTCAGTAAAATATTTTCTTTATCTAAATATTAACATTCTAAGTCTACCAAAAAAAGTTTTAAACTCAAGCAGGCCAAAACCAATATGCTTATAAGAAATAATGAAAAGTTCATCCATTTCTGATAAAGTTCTCTATGGCAAAGTCTTTCAAATACGAGATAACTGCAAAATATTTTCCTTTTATACTACAGAAATGAGAATCTCATCAATAAATTAGTTCAAGCATAAGATGAAAACAGAATATTCTGTGGTGCCAGTGCACACTACCTTCCCACCCATACACATCCATGTTCACTGTAACAAACTGAATATTCACAATAAAGCTTCTGAGTAACACTTTCTGATTACTCATGATAAACTGACATGGCTAACTGCAAGAATTAAATCTTCTATCTGAGAGTAATAATTTATGATGACTCAGTGGTGCCAGAGTAAAGTTTCTAAAATAACATTCCTCTCACTTGTACCCCACTAAAAGTATTAGACTACACATTACATTGAAGTTAAACACAAAATTATCAGTGTTTTAGAAACATGAGTCCGGACTGTGTAAGTAAAAGTACAAACATTATTTCCACCATAAAGTATGTATTGAAATCAAGTTGTCTCTGTGTACAGAATACATACTTATTCCCATTTTTAAGCATTTGCTTCTGTTTTCCCTACCTAGAATGTCAGATGTTTTTCAGTTATCTCCCCATTTGTCAAAGTTGACCTCAAGATAACATTTTTCATTAAAGCATCTGAGATCTAAGAACACAATTATTATTCTAACAATGATTATTAGCTCATTCACTTATTTTGATAACTAATGATCACAGCTATTATACTACTTTCTCGTTATTTTGTGTGCATGCCTCATTTCCCTGACTTAAACCTCACTGAGAGCGCAAAATGCAGCTTTATACTTTTTACTTTCAATTGCCTAGCACAATAGTGAGTACATTTGAATTGAATATATAATAAATATTGCAAAATAAAATCCATCTAAATAGAAGGGTTCTGTTTTATTTGGAAAAATTGAATCTTTAAACTATCATAATCTTGAATGACTGTCATCTTTCTAGTTTTCAGAAAAATAATGTATTCCTATATTATTTTTATGATAAAACTTATGGAGCAAAACACCATCAAATAACTCTCAAATTAAGAAAAAATTCAAAAGTCAGTAGTTTTAGATAAGATAATGATAAGGGAGAAAGAACATTGGTAAAAGGTATGAATTCCAGAATTAAAGAAATAATTTGGGGATTTCTAGATAAGAGGATATATATGAACATGCATACCTTACACCTTCATATACACAACCTTAAATCACAAATAAAACAAAATAAACAATACAAATTATACCACCAAGATTCAGAAGATATCAGACGAAATAATTAGAGAAAGTAAAAATATGCTGTCTCCATTATATTCATAATGTTTCATTCTTGACACTAATAATTAGAGGCTTTAAATTTTTAAATGATTTACTTTTTACTAACATTGCTGAAAAAAACTAAAGACATACATAAATGGAAAGATGTCTTGTGTTTATGGATGGTAAGATTTAATGTTGTTAAGACAACAATACTATCCAATATGATATGCAGACTGAACACAGTTGCCATCAAAATCTCAATGATGCTTTCACACAAATAAAATGGAACTTCAAGAGACCCCCAAATAAAGAGAAGAATCTTGAAAATAAGAATAAAGATAGAAGACTCACATTTCCTAACTTCAACATTTACAACAAAGATACAGTAATGAAAACAGTGTGTGGCTGGGCGCAATGGCTCACACCTGTAATCCCAGCACTTTGTGAGGCTGAGGCGGGTGGATTACTTGAGGTCAGGAGTTCGAGACCAGCCTGGCCAACATGGTTAAACTCTGTCTCTATTAAAAATTCCAAAAAATTAGCCGGGTGTGGTGGCGGGTGCCTGTAATCCCAGCTACTGGGAGGCTGAGGCAGGAGAATCGCTTGACCAGGAGGCGGAGGTTGCAGTGAGCCAAGATCGCATCACTGCACTCTAGCCTAGGCGACAGAGCAAGACTCTGTCTAAAAAAAAAAAAAAAAAAAAAAAAAGGAAAACAGTGTGGTACTAGCGTAAGTACAGACATATAGACCAACAGAATAAATTAAACAGCCCAGAAATAAACCCTTCCAAATAGGGTCAGATACTTTTCAACAAAAGTACAAAGACCATTCAGTGGAGAACGCCAGTCTCTTCAACAATGGTGCTGGGAAAACTGGATATCCATATACAAAAGAATGAAGTTGGACACCTACCTTATGTAATATTTAAAAACAAACTAAAAGACCTAAACTTAAGGGTTAAATTATAAAATTCTTAGAGAAAATATAGAGGAAAACCTTTATGACATTGAATTTGGCACGGAATTACTTGGATTTGTCACCAAAAACACAGGTAAAAAAGAAAAAATAGATAAACTGGTCTCCATCAAAATTTAAAACTTTTGGGAGAGATTTGTTAAAGGATACAAAATTACAGCTAGATAGGAGGAATAAGTTCTATACCATTGTAAGATGACTATAATTAACGATAATATATAGTTTCAAATAGCTAGAAGATACTGACGGTTCCCAACACAAAGAAATGATAAATGTTTAAGCTGATGGAAATGCTAATTACCCTGATCTGATCACTATACATTATATGTATTGAAACACCACTATGTACCCCATGAATATGTAAAATTACTATTAGTCGATTAAAAATTAAATAAAAATAAATTTTAAAAATTAAAAATTTCTGCTCATCAAAGGACACTATCAAGAGTCAAAAGACAACCCAGAGAAAGTATTTTGAAATCATATATTTAAGAGGAAATTAATATCTAGAATATATAAAGAACTCTACAATTCAACAACAAAAAACAACCCAATTCAAAAATGGGCTAAGGACTTGCACAGACATTTCCTCAAAGATATACAAATGGCCAACCAGCATATAAAAATACATTTAACATCACTAACCATTAGGAGGATGTAAATCAAAACCACAGTGAGATATCACTTCCTACCCATTAGGTTGGCTATAGCCAAAAAAAAAAAAAAAAGCAGAAAATAACAAGTATTAAAGTAGTTGTAGAGAAATTGAAGTACTCGTGCTTTGCTGGTGTAAAATGGTACAAGCACTGTGGAAAAGAGTATGCGGTTCTTCAAATAATTAAACATAGAATTACCATATGATCCAGCAATTATATTTCCAGGTATATCATTACACTTAAAAGAATTGAAAGAGGTGCAAACAGATATCAGTACACTAATGTTCACAGCAGGATTATTCACAATAGCCCAAAAGTAAAAACAACCAGTGACCATCAGCAAATGAATGGATAAGCAAAATGTACATACATTTAATGGAATATGATCCAGCCTTAATAAAAAGGCAGGGGGAGGGCACTGGGCTTGGGAGGCCAAGATAGGTCAATTGCTTGAGCCCAGTAGTTCAAGACCAGCATGGGCAACACGGCGAAACTGCATCTCTACGAAAAATACATAAATTAGCTGACATGGTGGCGTGTGCCTGTAGTCCCAGCTACTTGGGAGGCTGAGGTGGGAGGATCACCTGAGCCAGGGACAGTCAAAGCTGCCATGAGCCGTGACTGCACCACTGGACTCCAGCCTGGGTGACAGAGTGAGACCCTGTCTCAAAAAAAAAAAAAAAAGAAAAGAAATCTGACACATGCTATGACATGGAGAAACTTTGAGGACATTATGCTAAGTGAAAAGACACTCCACATATATGAGGTACCTAGAATAGTCAAATTCATAGAAACAGAAAACACAACAGTGGTAGCAAGTGCTAAGAGAAGGCAGGAATGAGGAGTTAATGTTTAATGGGTATGTTTCAGTTTGGGATGATGAAAAACTTCTGGAGAAGGACAGTGGTGATGGTTACAAAACAATGTGGATATTGGTGACGGTTACAGGACAATGTGATAGGTTTTTTCCACCCTAGTAATTTTATAACTAGCAAAGACCAGCTCCTAGAAGCTCTTTACCCTCCATAAGAAAAATACACCAATTATACTTCATACCTGACTGGAAAGCACGTAGAGTCAAATCAGCTTTGGAAATGGAGACTAGTGCTCCCATTTTCCATCACCCATTCAAATGCATAAGGAAACAGCAACATTAGGTGATTCATCTATTACCATAACTGCCAGCACACTCCCTGGTCATTACTGTATTATAACACTTGTGAAGCAGAAATATTTAATTTTTCTGGCATTTTAAGACTACCTATGATCGAATATAACAAAATCATGAGAACACCTCAAGGTACTATAGTACAGAACTGCCCATGTTTCTTTGTGGAAAAAAATCCTAGGCCTGACAGATTTTATTAGCTCAACCAAATAGAATAAATAATAATAAGAAACAATAGAACCCCAAATAAAGGAGAGTTAGTACAAGTCCTAAAAACAATATTCATGATCTGGTTAGGCTTTTGAGAGAATCTGAACCCTGAAATATTATTTAAGTTGACTTTCAGAACTGGTTGCTGTGTGGATTAATGCTGTCAATAATTTGATGCTATCCAAATGAGTAGAACCTGAGGTATTACGATGCAACCAAACTTAATTTCAGTTATGCCCGAAAACAAAGAAAGGGAATAAAAGGAAGTACTTTAAAGTACCCATATCAGGCTTTAGGAAGCATTACTTCGCAAGAATCAGGCTTTGGTATTTAAACTCGAAATGCACAATTGAGAAGCTGAAAACACAGAGTCTGGCTCAGGAAGTTAGCAGTATACCACTACATGATAAGCCTGCTGTGATGATATTCTTTATTAACATTTGTTGTTTTACTTCAAATACTCTTGAAAGAATGTTTTTCCAAAATGCGGATTTTAAATAAATTTGAATATAACCACACTTCTTTCAAGACATTCCACAACATAAATTGTTCACTGATTTGTACAGAAGTAATCCTCCTCCAGTTATTCCAAATAATTGCAAATTCCAAAAGTCAATGAGAATATTTTCTACTGTTTGAAAGCTTTTAAGAAAAGGATGTTAGGGATGAATTCTCAATTAATATCAGCTTTGTTTTCCATATATGTTTAAATTCAAAGACTTCAGACTTTACCTTGAGATGTTTAAACGTGCGCTTACGATATTCAAACCACTCCACAAAAAAATGCAGGCTTCGGAAAAACATGAACAGATCTTTTCTCTCTTCTGCTCTGTAGGAATAAATGATTCTCTGATTAATAAATATCATTAAATGATAGACCCAATCTAGCTTTATTTCTTTTCCTTTTCATGTATCCTACACTAAAACCAAAAACTTGAAGTAGTTCTACATATCAATTCTTGCACTTGTGTGTGTGTGTTCCTCTGGTATGACTGCTAATGCTACTTTCTCAGCCTAGAATACCCCTTTCCCCATTTTCAAACGTTTAAGTCTACGTATTATTTAAATCACTCAAATGCCACATTCCCTGAAATTTTATTTGATGACTGTAGTATAATAAAGAATAATGAAGAACAGACAGTATGTAAGTGCCAGTTTCTGGCACAGCGCTTTAAAACCCTTGGAACTTCCTGAGTGATAGATGTGTCTTTGTTATGCTAATGAGTTGTCTCATAGTGGCTTCTACGTATTGCAGACTGGAGGCTGTTCACCAGGAAAACACATCAAACACATCACCAAACACATCATTTGAGGGCTAACCAGGAGCACAGCAGAACTTCCTGGTTGATGAATACACTGATGTACTGGGAGGATAATGTGTCTGGATTCCACAAGGAATCTCTGTCTCCCCAACCCCCAGACCTTCGTCTATGCATTACTTCCATTTGGCTGTGTCTGGGTTGTATCCTTCATAATAAAATGCTAATTGTAAGTATAGTGTTTTCAGTACGTTCTGTGAGCGGTTCTAGCAAATTATTAAACCTGAGAGATATGTGGGAACTCCAGAATTTATGGCCAGTTGGTCCTAACTGCAGGTGGACCTTGATACTTGCAGCTGGAGTGTGAAGTGGAGGCACTCCTGGTGGAGACCTCTGCCTATAACTTGTGGGGTCTGTTAGTGTGAGAACTGAACTGAGCTGCAGGACATCCAGTTGGTGACAGAGAACCATTGTCAGAACAATTACCACACCACCACACCACGTATCCTATTCCCTAACAGCTAGAAATAATCTCACTCCTTTGCCTAGGAGAACTCTCACAGGAATGAGTCTTAATTCTCTTAATAGTACATCTATGTTAATAATGTAAGCCACATACACCACAAGTAACTTGAAGGCAAGAACCATGTATCATTTAATCACTCATTTGATAAATGATTGCGGGAGTTGAGTTCCTGTACCAGTAATGATAGAGTAAGCATATTCCACCCCAATGCTTCCGTTAACTATAATTTAAAACCATGAACACAGCACATAAAGCAAACATCAGAAACTCTGAAATGTGGAATGAAGAAAGCAGGACAGGTAGAGTCTTCAGGAATCAAGGGAGGACCTGGAAAAGAATTCCTTAGGATTTATTTTTGCCTCCTGTATATCCCAGTCTGTACACAGGAGCAAACTGCAACCCAGAATTACCAAAGGGTACATTAACAACAACAATAACCCAAAAGGCCCCAGGAAAGACCATTCCCTCTAACCAACGGAGATCATGCAAAATGAGAAGAAACAGGCCTGGCAGAAGGGAACCCCAATGCCAAAAAGGAGCTGTGCCCCTTTCACTCCTAATCAGGCACTTTAGCCACAGAGGCTGAGGTGTGAAGCCTGTCAACCATCACTGCCAACAATAAGAAAAGCAGGCAAAGCAGAGTCCTCACCTCCCAATCGGGTACTGCTATTGGAAAGACTGAGAGAGGAAGCTTTGTCAGCTAGCCCCAACTGACACCAAGCAAACATAAGCAAAGAAAGGATGTCATTTCTGATCTCAACCAGCATGGCAGCTGCACACACAGTGGGTTGCTCTGTTAACTTTCCACACCCTGCACTTAAGTCATCCCAAGAAGAGATAAGGGAGAATCAGAGAAGAGGAGCCTTCAGACAAGAATCTTTTACATCTGTTTATGAAATCCTAAATAACCCCTACATAAAACGAACCAGAATCTACACAGAAAAAAAATACTGAGAACTGAATTATAGTATAGAATAATTTCCAGAATTCACATTGGCCTCAGGATAGTACATAAGTAGGGCAGACCACAATAGGATATTGAACTACAGACTAAAGTGGGCTAGGGTGTGCTTTTGAATTAGAAATTCAACAATAAGAACAAAAAAATTTTGGCAAAATAGGAAGTGCTGGGGTCATCCTGTCTCAGAAACACTGAAAACTACTGCATAGCTGTCAGAATCACTTTTACTGGAATTTGGGAAGAGAGTAAAAAGCTTACAACTGAGAAAACACTTAATCAGAAAAAGGGCAACTGAAAAAGGCTAAGAGCGTTTTGTAGTACTGTAAGATACCCTTGCCACACTCCCTACCTGGCCACAGTAGCAGTCTTAAAGATAGCATGCTACTTTACTAGCCTGAGAACCTAATCCTGACAACAGTCAAAGGGATCTTATTCTCAAGGAATTGTTTGTCTTGACTTGGTTCCCAAGTAAAAGAGACCTCATTCCCAAGGAATCGTTTTGATTCAAGGGGTCTGACTGCATTTCAGCTAAGTCAGAACTTTCTTGCAATTGATACAGGAGCTAGAAAGAAATTATTTAGGTAGATAGTGAGGGTTAAGGAGCCCTCAGAAAGGCTTCCCTTTTAATAAAAAGCAGCCCCCAAATCATTTCTTTTCTAACAAAGAGCAGCCTGAAAAATAGAGCTGCAAACATAGATAAGCAAGCTAGAAGTTTGCACAGGTAAATGCTCTGCAATAGAAAAGGGATACCTGGAAGCCAAGTATGTTAAACATGGAGGCTCCATCTTCCCTTTTCTTTCTTTTTTTTTTTTTGAGACTAAGTCTCACTCTGGAGTGCAGTGGTGCAATCTCGGCTCACCAAAACCTCCGCTTCCTGGGTTCAAGTGATTCTCCCGCCTCAGCCTCCCAAGCAGCTGGGATTACAGGCGTGCGCCATGATGCCTGGCTAATTTTTTTGTGTATTTTTAGTACAGACAGGGTTTCACCATATTGGCCAGGCTGGTCTCGAACTCCTGACCTCAGGTGATCTGCCCACCTTGGCCTCCCAAAGTGCTGGGATTACAGGCGTGAGCCACTGCACCTGGTCTCCATCTTCCCTTTTCTTTGTCACCACGTGTACAGTAAAAAAGCAGGCAACATGGCGCTGGCCCAGTAGAGAACCCATCTGCATAATAAAAGATTAGGGTGGGGCGGCCAGCTTCTTCACATCCTATGCAAGCGGTACACCTGGTCTGACCAATTTTTTGTGCCCTATGTAAATCAGACACTGCCTCCTCAAGCTCATCTGTAAAACCTGCATTTGACTGTGGAAGCGGCAACCCATTTTCTCTGGGACCCCTCTCTGTGCAGACAGCTCCTCTCCTTCTTTCACCTATTAAATATCCACTCTTAACCTCACAGTGGTGTGTTCATGTCCTGGTTTTCCGTGGCTGTGGGACAATGAACCTTGGGTATTACCCCAGACAACAATGCTGCTTCACCATGAAGACATAGCTACACAGGGGATGTTTTTCAAAAATACTAAAAGGCAAATTAACAAGTTGCTGCTGTGTAGGGCAAAAGCACAGTTGAGACAAACAACAGATATGCTGAAAGCCAAGGAAAGAAAAGGTAGGGAATGAGAATCTTTGGGGAATAAAGTCTTGGAAAAAGTGCTCAAGTATACCAGGGAACTAGAAAGCCACTTGAATGCTCAGGGCAGAATGCATGCTTAGAAGAGATCTGAGGGGAGCATAACTTCAACCTCTGGCTAATCTCTAGGCTAAGGACAGGACTAAGGCAGGGTTGTGAAAGACCTGGCTAAGCACTGAAGTAGTGTCCCCATACAGAACCAAAATGCACAGACCTGGAGAAGATATCTTTTTTTCTTATTTTTTTCCTTTTTGCCCATCATAATATTCAAAATGTACAGTATTTAATGACAATAACAAAAAACTAAGCATGCAAAGAAACAAGAAAATATGGCCCAGTCATAGGAAAAAAAAAAAAAGAAATTAACAGAAACTTCTCCTGTTGAATGACTAGGGGAATTACTAGGCTATGATTTTAAATCAACTGTCTTAAATATGTTTAGAGAACTCAAGAAAATCAAGAGAACAAAGTATGCAACAAACAGGAAATGGCAATAAAGAGAGAAATTTTTTTAAAAGAAATAGAAATTTTAGAACTGAAAAGTACAACAAATGAAATTAAAAATTCACTAAAGGGGCTCAACAGCAGATTTGAGTGGGCATAAGAATCAGTAAAAATGGCCGGGCGCGGTGGCTCACGCCTGTAATCCCAGCACTTTGGGAGGCCGAGGTGGGCGGATCTCAAGGTCAGGAGTTTGAGACCAGCCTAGCTAATGTGGTGAAACCCCATCTCTATTAAAAAAAAACCACAAAAATTAGCCGGGCGTGGTGGTGTGTGCCTGTAATCCCAGCTACTCAGGAGGCTGAGGCAGGAGAATCCCTTGAACCCAGGAGGCAGAGGTTGCAGCGAACTGAGATTGCGGCACTGCGCTCCAGCCTGGGCAATAGAGTGAGTCTCCCTCTCCAAAAAAAAAAGAATCAGTAAAAATGAATATAGGTCAAGTGAAATTATCCAGTCTAAGAAAGAGAAAGAAAAAAGAATGAAGAAAAATAAACGGAGCCTAAGAGACTTGTGGGACACCCAAAAAAGTACTAACATATACATAATGAAAGTCAAAGAAGGAAAGTTGAAAAAAAAGGGAGCTGAAATTATATCTTGAGAAATAACAGTCAAATCCCTCTGGATGAAAAAGTTAATATACACATCCAAGAAGTGCATAAACTGCAAATAGGATAAACTCAAAGAGATCCACATCAAGACACATTATAGTAAATCTGTTGAGCTCCAAAGAGAGAGAATCCTGAGACTGATATCCAGCAAAACTCTCTCTCACAAATGCAATAGAAATTAAGACATTCCCTGATTCAAGAAAGCTGAGGTCTGTTACTTGTAGACTTGACCTACAAAAAAATGCTCATGGGAATTCTTCAGGCTAAAAGGAAAAAACACTGGACAGTAACTGAAAACCATATATAGAAATAATGAACAATGGTTACATAGGTAAATAATGAAGAAAGTATCACTGTATTTTTATTAATAAGCCCTCTTTTTCCCATATGATTTAAAGACAAATGCATAAAACAAAAATTACTAATCTATGTTAATGGCCAAACAATGTAGAAAGATGCAATCTGTGACAATCACAATATAAGGGGGAGAAACATAGATATAAGAAGCAGAGTTTTTGCAAATTATTAAAGGTATTATTAATGCCAATCTAGTTTAGTATTAATTTAACCTAGGTTGTTATAAGTTTAAGATATTACCTGTAATTCTCAAGGTAACCAGTAAGAAAATAACTAAAGATTGGGAGGCCGAGGTGGGCGGATCACCTGAGTTTGGGAGTTCGAGACCAGCCTGACCAACATGGAGAAACCTCCGTCTCTACTAGAAATACAAAAATTAGCTGGGTGTGGTGGCACATGCCTGTAATCCCAGCTGCTTGGGAGGCTGAGACAGGAGAATCACTTGAACCCAGGAGGGGTTCACATACACACACACACACACACACACACACACACACACACACACAGCAAACAGCAAAACAGCAGAAGTAAATATTTCCTTATCAGGAATTGGTTTAAATGTAAATGGATTAAACTCACCATCAAATGGCAGAGATTGGCAGAATAATTTTTTTTTTTTTTTTTTTTTGGTCACTGCTGGAACAGGAAAGCAAGCCAGTAGCAATCCAGCAACTGGGGGTAGACCAAGCCAGCACCATAGATACATTTTCAGGAAAAAAGTCCTCCCTTACAAAAGCAAATGCCAAAAAAGAAGTGCCTGCTACAGTGTATGTGCAGATATCAACATAAGGGAACAGGTACATGAAAAGCAAGAAAACAGGACACCTACAAAGAAACCCAATAATTATTTAGCAATAGACAGTCAAAAAGAAATTTCAGAAATCTCAGATAAAGAATTCAAAACATTGATTTTTTTCTTTTTTGAGATGGAGTCTTACTCTGTCACCAGGCTGGAGTGCAGTGGAATGATCTCGGCTCACTGCAACCTCCGCCTCCTGGGTTCAAGTGATTCTCTTGCCTCAGCCTCCCGAGTAGCTGGGAGTACAGGCACGCACCACCACGCCCAGCTAAATTTTGTATTTTTAGTAGAGACGGTGTTTCATCATGTTGGCCAGGATGGTCTTGATCTCTTGACCTCATGATCCGCCCACCTCGGGCTCCCAAAGTGCTGGGGTTACAGGCGTGAGCCACCATGCCTGGCCTCAAAACATTAATTTTTAAAGAAGCTCAGTGAGATACAAGAGAATTCAGAAAAACAATACAATCAGGAAAATAATTCAGGATATGAATGATAAATTTATCAAAGAGATTGGTATTTTTAAAAGAACAAAACAAATTCTGGAACTGAAGAAATCACTGAAGGAAATATAAAATACATTTGAAAGCTTCAACAATAAACCAGATCAGGCAGAAGAAAGAATCTCAAAACCTGAAAACAGGTATGTTGGTATAGCCCAGTCGTTAATATATATATATATTTTTAAATAAAAAGACATGGGGTCTCACTATGTTAAAGAGGCTGGTTTCAAACTCCTAGCCTCAAGCCATCCTCCCATCTCAGCCTCCCAAAGTGTTAGGATTACAGGCATGAGCTACTGTGCATGGCCAAATTAAAAAACAAAAAAGGCTTTGTGACATTTGGGACAACATGAAGTGACCAAATTTACAAATTAGCAGTATACTCAAGGGCAAATAAACAAAGAAAGGATTAGGAAACTTATTTAATAAAATAACAGATGAAAACTTCCCAAGTCTATCAAGAGATTTAGACATTCAGAAACAAAATGTTCAACGACCTCAAAGCAAATGCAATGCAAAAAGATCTTCCTCACAGCACATTACAATCAGACTGTCTAAAGTCATATTTAAAGAGCAAATCCTATAAACAGCAAGAGAAAGGAGTCTAGTCACCTATCAAAAAAAAAAAGAAAAAGAAAAAACCTCAATCAGACTAACAGTGGATTTCTCAGGAGAAAACTCACAGGCCAGAAGAGAATGGAATGATATATTCAGTGTGTGAAGAAAATAACTGGCAACCAAATGTAGTCAACTAAATTCTCATTCATAAATGAAAGAGAAATAAAGTCATCCCAACACAAATGCTAAAAGAATTCATTACCACAAGACCATCCCTAGAAGAAATGCTCAAGGAAGTCCTAAACTTGGAGGCGAAAGGATGACATTTACCATCATGAAATCACATGAAAGTGTAAAACTCACTGGTAAAGAAAACATACAAAGCAAGAAAATAATTCAAACAGTACCACTACAAAAATCTACCAAATCACAATGACAAACTGTAAGAGAAAAAGACAGGAACAAAGAATATATAAAACAACAGAAAACAACAGTATGACAGGAACAAAGCCTCATATATCAATAATAAACTGGAACATAAACAGATTAAATTCTCTTCTTAAAAGATATAGAAAGGTTGAATGGATTCAAACATATTATCCACCTAGACACTGCTTACAAGAAACTCACTTTAACACTAAAGACAAATATAGACTGCAATTAAAGGGATGGAAAAAGATATCCCATGCAAACAAAATCCAAAAGCAAGTGGTGGCTATACTTATATCAGCTAAAATGAACTTTAAGTCAAGAACAGTTAAAAAAAAAAAAAAAAAAAAAAAAAAAAAAAAGATGGCTGGCATGGTGGCTTACACCTGTAATCCCAGCACTTTTTTTTTTTTTTTTTTTAGATGGAGTCTCACTCTGTTGCCCAGGCTGGAGTACAGTGGCACGAGTCTCGGGAAGCTGAGGCAGGAGAATCACTTGACCCCGGGAGGTGAAGCTTGCAGTGAGCCAGGATTGAGCTACTGCACTCCAGCCTGGGCAACAGAGAGAGACTCCGTCTCAAAAAAAAAAAAACAACAACAAATAGGTCATTATATAATGATAAAGGAGTCATTTCAGAAAAAACATGTAACAATTCTAAATATATATATACACCCAATATAGAAGCATCCAGATTCATAAAGCAAATATTACCAAATATAAAGAGAGAACTAGATTGCAATACAATAATAATGGGGGACATCAACACTCCGTTCACAGCATTAGACAGATAATAAACAAACAAAAAACATTGGATTTAAATTGGACTTTAGACCAAATGGACCTAACAGACATTTACAGAACATGCTATCCAACAACTGCAGAATGTACATTCTTTTCATCAGAACGTAGAACGTTCTACAGGACAGACCACATGTTAGGACACAAAACAAGTCTCAACATTTTTAAAAATCAAAATCATAGCATGTGTCTTCTCAGAACACACTGGAATACAACTAGAAATCAACACCAAAAGGAACCCTGGAAGCTATACACATACATGGAAATTAAACAACATGTTCCTGAATGATCACTGGGTCAACAAAACAATTAAGATAGAAATAAAAAAATTCCTTGAAATAAGTAAAAATGGAAACACACCATAGCAAAATCAGTGAGATACAGCAAAAATGGTGCTAGGAGGGAAATTTATAGCAATAAATGCTGACATCCAGAAGGTAAAAAGTTATAAACTATAAATCTAACAATGTACCTCAAGGAACAAAGCAACAACAAACCAAACAGAAAATTAGCAGAAGAAAAGAATTTCAAAAGATCAAAGCAGAACTAAATGAAATAGATAGTCAAAAAATAAATAAGCAAATAAATAATGCAAAGGACCAACAAAACAAAACGTTGGTTATTTGAAAAGATAAACAAAATTGACAAACCACTAGCTAGACTAACCAAGAAAAGAGAAGACCCAAACAATTTAAATGAAAATGGAGACAATACAAATGAGACCACAGAAATAAAAAAGATGAGAGACTATTATCAACAACTTATAAGGACAAGCTGTAAAACCTAGAGGAAATGGAAACATACAACATACCAAGATTGAATCAGAAATAAATAGAAAACTTGAACATAATGAGTAGTGAGATTGAATCAACAAGAAGTCTAGGTTGGGTGTGGTGGCTCACGCCTGTGATCCCAGCACTTTGGCAGGCTGAGGCAGGTGGATCACCTGAGGACAGGAGTTCAAGACCAGCTTGGCCAACATGGTGAAAGCACATCTCTACAAAAAAATACAAAAATTAGCCGGGAATGGTGATGCGCCACTGTGTTCCCAGCTACTTGGGAGGCTGAGGCAGGAGAATCGCTTGAACCCGGAAAGCGGAGGTTGCAGTGAGCCAAGATCATGCCACTACTGCACTCCAGCCTGGGAGACAGACTGAGACTCCATCTCAAAAAAACAACAAAAAAACAATAAAAAGTCTAACATAGAAAAGACCAGGACCAGAAGGAGTAACAGCCGTATTCTATCAAACATACATAGAAGAACTAATATTTATCCTCCTGAAACTATTCCTAAATCATCAAAGAGGAGGGAATTCTCCCTAACTCACTACAAGAGGCCAGCATTACCCTGATACTAAAACAAGTTAAGGACACACACATACATAAGAAAACTAGAGGCCCATATTCCTGATGAACACAGATGCAAAATCTTCAACAAAGTAACTAGCAAACCAAACCCTTTTAAGCACATGAGAAAGATAATATACCATGATCAGATGTAATTTATACCAAGGATGCAAGGATGATTCAACATATACAAATCAATAAATGTAATATATCATATCTACAAGATATAGGGAAAAAAACATATAATCTCAATTGATGCAGAAAAAGCATTTGATAAAATTCAACATCCTCCCAGGATTCAAACACTCAACAAACTAAGCATGGAGGGCACATACCTCAAAATAATACAGGCTACATATAAAAAACCCAAGGTAACATCATACTGAACAGGGGAAAGTTGAAAGCCTTTCCTCTAGAAACTAGAATAAGACTTCTATCACTCCTATTCAACATATGACCAGAAGTCCTAGCCAGAGCAATCAGGCAAAGGAAAGAAATAAAAGGCATCCCAATTGGAAAAGAGCAAGGTGAAATTGTATCTTTTTGCTTAAATGATCTTATATCTAGAAAAACCCAGACTCTACCAAGAAACTCTTAGATTTGATAAATGAATTTAGTTAAGTTGCGGGACAAAATCAATGTACAAAAATCAGTAGTGTTTTTATACACCAATAACAAATGTGCCATCTCATGCACATCCCATGCTCATTGCTTTGAAGAATTAATACTGTTAAAATGACCATATTGTCTAAAGCAATCTACCAATTCAGTGCAATCCTAGCCAATCTCTAGAGATAATCAACAATTTGCCCTTGAGTGAGTTTTTCAAATGCAAAACAACCAACCCAGAATCCACACCTCCAACCACCTCCTTTACCAGGTTCTCTCTTTACCAGTTCTCTCCACTATCCACCTGCTGTAATCACCCCAGGGCCAGATACAAGAGAGTTAACTAGGGACAGGTCCTCTGACCCAGAGCTCACTGAAATTATTCAAACAAGCCAAGCTTAAGCCGGCTTACACTGCCTCAACCATTCCTTCCCACGGAGACCACAATAAAAGCTCTTGCCCATAGATTTCCCCTCTCCTATTTGTCTCTTGACTGACCCCAGTGCTCCTCATGTGGCCCCTATGGTGTGGTGTGCCTCTCCCTCTTGTGAACTGTAACTACATTTTTAATGGCAATTGTCTCTTCATCTGTTAGCCTCACTATATTATTAGTTGTTAGTAATAATAAAAGCTATTACAATAGGCTCCCATTTATTTATTTTTAGAGATAGTGTGTTGCTCTGTCACCTAGCCTGGAGTGCAGTGGCATGATCGTAACTCACTGTAACCTGGAGCTCCTGAGCTCAAGAGACCCTCCCATGTCAGTCTCCTGAGCAGCTATAACTACAGGCAGGCAGGCAGACCTGGAAAATGTTTTTCAATTTCTTTTTTTGTAGAGACAGGGTCTCACTATGTTGCCAACACTGGTCATGAACTCCTGGGCTCAAGCGATCCTCCCATCTCAGTCTCCCAAACCATTAGGATTACAGGCATGAACCACTGCATCTGAGCCATTTATTCTTAACTTTTAAATATTAATCATGCAGTGCATATGAACACAGATATATGTCAAATATAAGCTGCTGATTCCCGTCAGTAGCCAAAAAAACTATCCACAATATATAAATACCAGAGGTGAGATTTAGTTTCTCCATATTTGGTCACTCAAAAGGTTCTGTAACAGACGATGAACTCATTGGGACTGCTTCCCAGAGAGACCTCATGAAATTGTTCTTCACAGCAGCTATAGTTATATTTTTATGAAGGTGATTAATTTGGTGTAGCTCTTGATCATTGAATAAACGGCCCCATGAAGCTGCTTTGAAGCTAACTTTGATAAAATTATTGGAAGCTAGAATACAGGCTGAGTATCCCTTATCCAAAAATGATTGGTACCAGAAGCGTTTCAGATTTTGAATTTTTTTCAGATTTTGGAATATTTGCATGTATATAATGAGATATCTTGGGGACAGTGTCCAGGTCTTGAAGGTAATTTTATACAATATTTTAAATAATTTTGTGTGTGAAACAAAGTTTGTGCACAATGATCCATGAGAAAACAAAGATGTCACTATCTCAGCCACCCATGTAGATGATCTATGGCTATATAGCATCATCATCATTCCTGATTCTGAATTTATGATACCAATAAGCAATAATTTTCTTAACTTATTCACACATAAGAACTTAACAGTAAAAAACATGACATGCCATTAAATAGTGAAAAAATAATGTATGCAGTGTAGTATCACCAAAATACCAGTTACCAGCTTTTTAAAAAAAGCAACAACTAACAATGGTAGGCTTTCAGTCTCCACCTATGATGCTGTGTTTTGATTAAAATGTTACTATAGGCCAGGTGCGCTGTCTCACGCCTGCAATCCCAGTGCTTTGGGCGGCTAAGGCGGGTGAATCGCCTGAGGTCAGGAGTTTGAACAGACTGTCCAATGTGGTGAAACCCCATCTCTACTAAAAATACAAAAACTAGCTGGGCGTGATGGCGGGCACCTGTAATCCCAGCTACTCTGGAGGCTGAGGCAGAAGAATCGCTTGAACCCAGGAGGCGGAGGTTGCAGTGAGCCGAGATCGCACCATTGCACTACAGCCTGAGCAACAAGAGTGAAACTCCATCTCAAAAAATAAATAAAATAAAATAAAATGTTACTGTATACTGTATTTTATTTTTTTAGGTGAGAAGAAACATAAGAAACAGTTGTGGGACCAAGAAATGGGTTCTCTAGGGATAAGGAGGCATTCTGCTGGATGGCTCCTGTAGAACCATTTTTAAATGTTTCCTCCAAAGGCCAGGCATGGTGGCTCACGCCTGTAATCCCAGAACTCTGCGAGGCTGAGGTGGACAGATCACCTAAGACCAAGAGTTCGAGACCAGCCTGCCCAACATGGCAAAACCCTGTCTCTACTAAAAATACAAAAATTAGCTGGGTGTGGTGGCGTGCCCCTGTAATTCCAGCTACTCGGGAGGCTGAGGCAGGAGAATTGCTTGAACCCGAGAGGTGGAGGTTGTAGTGAGCCGAGATTGTGCCACTGCACTCCAGCCTGGGAGACAGAGTGAGACTCTGTCTCAAAAAATAAATGAATACATAAAAATAAAATAAACGTTTCCTCCACAGTTATCTGCCTCATTAACAACAACTTTTGTCTTATTAATCTAGCTTTGATTTTAGAATCTGATATGATTTCTTGTTCTGTTATGAATGTGTGCTGCTACCGCAGCTGAAGGGAGCAGGGAGGGTCTTTTTCCCTTGAGGATGTTGAATGAACTGTGTTGTACACCTGCGTTTTGACTGCAAACGCAAGTCAGGTGTGGAATTTTCCACTTAAGGAATCATGTCGGCAATCAAAAAATTTCAGATTTTAGAGCAGTTTGGATTTCAGATTATGGATGTTCAACCTGCAGTAACTCCATGAGAGCTCTTGGGGAAGTCAGTACTGAACTAACTGAATCGTGATCCTCTCAAACAATATCCTCAAAACAGCCTCAGATGTTTGAAAAAATGAGCATGTGTGTGTAATAATCATTCAGCTTACCTGTACAATGATTAATCAGAGGAATAATTTCTTCCCAAATCCCTTCCAGGTATAACTTTTTATACTTTTCTGTGTTTTATTTTAAAAATAATGCCTTTTTAAAAAGAAAAAGACCACAAATACTGAAGAAAGCATCTGGCACATAAAATTCATTACTGAGGACTTTAACTAGATCAGTTGAGTGATCTGTAAATAGTGGTGGGCACATATACTTACTAAAGGAGTTTAGGAATCTGTGCCACAAGTAATACCAAACAATAAACAATCTGTAAAATGAAGTAATTTTATGTCTAGAGGGTGGCCCAAAGAAACAGTGTTTTGTATATCTGGTTTCACTGAGAAGGATTCCCCAAGTATTGGTAATCATCTCATGTTATAAAGAAGAGATCTAAGTTGTGGATGTTCTTCTACAGCTCTATCATTCCAATTCCAGTAAATTCCATCATTTCTCAGATATATTTTATTCTTCAATTCATAAATATATAAGTTTTTAGAATGGGACAGAACCCTGGAAATAATTCTTTTTTTTTTTTTTTTTTTTTGAGACGGAGTCTTACTGTCACCCAGGCTGGAGTGCAGTGGCGCCGTCTTGGCTCACTGCCAGCTCCGCCTCCCAGGTTCACACCATTCTCCTGCCTCAGCCTACTGAGTAGCTGGGACTACAGGTGCCCGCCACCGCGCCTGGCTAATTTTTTGAATTTTTAGTAGAGACGGGGTTTCACCATGTTAGCCAGGATGGTCTCGATCTCCTGACCTCGTGATCCGCCCGCCTTGGCCTCCCAAAGTGCTGGGATTACAGGCGTGAGCCACCATGCCCAGCGAACCCTGGAAATAATTATTTCCAGTTCTTTCATTTTGCAGATAACTCCACAGAGATTAAACACCTTTTCTAATTCAATGCTGTTAGTCATTAGTTTAAGAAAAAAAAAAGAAAGAAATGAAATACATAAAGGTACATTGTCCTTATTATCACAAATTTATAATTTACATGAGGATAAGAATAGTTATAGGCTGGGCACAGTGGCTCACGCCTATAATCCCAGCACTTTGTGAGGCCCAGACGGGTGGATCACCTAAGGTCATGAATTCGAGACCAACCTGGCCAACGTGGTGAAACCCCATCTCTACTAAGAATACAAAAATTAGCAGGGCGTGGTGGTGGATGCCTGTAATCCCAGCTGCTCAGGAGGCTGAGGCAGGAGAATCGCTTGAACCCAGGAGGTGGAGGTTGTAGTGAGCCAAGATCATGCCCCTGAACTCCAGCGTGAGTGAGAGCACGAGACTCTGTCTCAAAAAAAAAAAAAAAAAAAAAAGAGTAGTTATAATACAAGGCATAATTTGATACATTGATACATTTTTAGAGAGTACCTAGGGTTGATAACAAACTGATATGATTAGGCCAGGCAACCTCCTCCATGTACTCCTAGGTCACATTCTCAATGAGGCCTTCCCCAGTCAAGCTATTTAAAAATGCATACCTTCCCTCCTCCTGTGCAGCCCATCCTTGTTTATTTTCTCCCCACCACTTATCGATATCTAATATATTATTTATTTTACATATCTGTTTTGTTTATTGCCTGTTTCCCCTACTAGAAAATAAATCTCTTGAGTTTATGAAGACGGGCTTTTCTTTTGTTCACTGCTACATATTAAGCACAACGACAATGCTTGGCTGCAGAACAGGCAACACGTAACTGCTGGATAAATGAAGGAACACTAGCGACTTGTCTGTCTAATCTCTGCTTAACTTCAGGTCTTATATTTTCAAGTGGTTTGTTAGACAATTCACTCAAGAACTGTTTGAACACCAACCATGTACAAGGCACTCTCCTAGGTTACCTGGGGCTAATACTATCCCTCCCTCTCCCCTAGAGTAGACATTGTATGCATTTATATTCCTATAGCATGTACTCTACCATCAATTACCATGTATCATTGGTTTTGTGCATACACTAGGTTGTAAGCTTCATAAAACTGAAAATTATCTTGTTCATCATTGTATTCTTAGAGACTAATACAATGCAAAGTACATAATATGCTTTTAACATATATGTATTTATTTATTTAAGAATTTACATACAGTAAAATTCACTCTTTTTCTTAATTTTATGATTTTGGCCAAATGAATAGAGTTGTGTATCCAACACAACAACCAGTTCCATACACACAGGGGAACATAAAGAAGAATCACAGCAAATTTACTGTTAAGCCATAAGACAACAGACAAATGCCTCCAAAGTACTCAGGAGAAAAAACCCAAAGAACCAAAACAGTCAACCAAGGATTCTATACCCAGAATGATATCTTTCAAAACCAAAAATGAAATAAAGACTTTTAAGACCAAAATCATAGAAAAAGCTAAAAATTCCATTAAAAGCAGAATATTAGGCCAGGCACAGTGGCTCACATCTGTAATCCCAGCACTTTGGGAGGCCAAGGCAGGATGACTGCTTGAGCCCAGGAGTGTGAGACCAGCCTGGGTCACATAGTGAGACCCCCATTTCTAAAAAAATTTTTTTTTCTAATTGAAAAAAAAAAAGCAGGCCTTCACTACAAGAAACAACAGGATTGGCTGAGTACAGTGGCTCATGCCTATAATCCCAGCACTTTGGGATGCCAAAGTGGATGGATCACCTGAACCCAGGAGTTCAAGACCAGCCTGGGCAACATGGCAAAAACCCATCTCTACCAAAAATACAAAAAATTAGCTGGGCATGGTGGTGCATGCCTGTGGTTCCAGCTATTCAGGAGGCTGAGGTGGGAGGACCACTTGAGCCTGAGAGGTGGAGGTTGCAGTGAGCCGGGTTTGCACCACTGCACTCCAGCCTGGGCAACAGAGTGACACCTCATCTCAAAAAAAACAAAAACAAAACAAAAAAAAAACCCAATAGGATTGAGCAAATGAATAACTTTGTTGATATTTCTAGGAGCCAAGTTTCTCAATATGGAAGAAAGGACATAGAAATGTGAAATGATAGTATGTATATAGACACATAAACACATACATACTATAAACTGGGGATAAGCTAGAGTAGAACTGGAGGCCTTGGTGTACACTCATAATTTTGTAAATATTTATAGTCATGTGTAGCTTAACAACAGGGATACATTCTGATAAATGCATTGTCAGATGATTTATTCACTATAGGAACATCATACAGTGTACTTAAACCTAAATGGTACAGCCTACTGCAAACCGAGGCTATATGGTATGGCCTATTGCTCCTAGGCTATAAACCTATACAGCATTACTATACTAAATACTGTAGGCAATTGTAAAACAATGTTAAGTATTTGTGCATTTAACATATCTAAACATAGGAAAGGTACAGTAAAATACAGTAATGTAATCATGAGACTACCTTTGTATATGCAGTCTGTCACTGATCAAAAAGTAGTTATGCGGCACATGACTATTTGTGCACATGAATATTATATGAATCATGATTTCTTACATACAGGTTTGTGTGTGTGTGTGTGTGTGTATATATGTATAAATACATATTTCCTAGTACTGTTTGTTGAAAGAACCAAGAAGCAAAGACACTCCAATAGCAATGAACAGACCTAGTGTCAGATCTCAGTCTCTAATGCCATTTCCCACAAAAAGAAACTCTGGTTCCTCAGATAAATTGCTGAATCTACACCTAGGGCAGGACAGGTATATTGTGAGCCTGGAAAATCTTTTAATGACAGAATATGAGGAAGTGCTCAAAAATATAATAAGGAATTAACACATGGATTCAGGAGCCGGCTTAAAGAGATTCCCTCTGATCAAATCCGGGACACTTTGAGCACCAAAATAAGATTAAGAAATTATAAATCGTTGGAAAAAAAAGAAATGAATGAATCCATACATATTATAAATATGGATACATATACATACATAGAGAATGGTGATCTATTTCTTAAGCATAATGCCAAATGCCTACTGAGAAATGTGGAGGAAGTGCTAGAGTTGAAAAATCATCATTTTGCAAACATCATAGTAGAGAGTAGATAAGGTAGGAATAATCATAGATGCTAAATTGAGGAAGAAATATTAATAAAGAGTAGTAATTGTGTGGTCATCAAGTCTGTCCCCACAGATTGCATATTGGAGCCAAAGGAGAAAAAATTAGTTATCATATAGTGGAGAAATACAACAGTTTCATTGAGTGAAAAACTTAATATCACCTATGAGGGACAGCTATGCTGAGAAGGACAAAATATCATCTATGCAGAATTTGCCTAAGAAGGCATAGCATCAACTGATCACAATAGATGATCAAAGACAAAATAAGAAACATTCTATTGGGGGAAAAAAGTAGAAAGAAAAAGAAACAAACAAAAAAGTGGAAAGAACTTTTTTTTTAGAGACAAATCTTGCCCTGTGGCCCAGGCTGGAATGCAGTAGCTTGATCATAGCTCACTGCAGTCTCAAATGATACTCTTGCCTCAGCCCCTCAGGTAGCTAGAACTATAGGCATGCACCACTATGCCAGGCTAATTTTTTTTTTTTAACTTTTTGAAGAGATAGAGCCTTGCTCTGTTGCTCAGGATGGTTGCAGGAAGAGCTTTTTAAAAAGATGACAAAGTGAAACATGGCAAAGAAAGGCTAGGGAATAACTCCAGATTAAAGGAAACTAAAGAGACATGACAACTAAATGCAATACTTGAATTTATTTTATCTTATCTTATCTTATTTTATTTTATGATGGAGTCTTGCTCTGTCACCCAGGCTGGAGTGCAGTGGCACAATGTCAGCTCACTGCAACCTCCACTCCCCAGGTTCAAGGAGAAAGAAAATGCAATGTAAGATATTATGAGATCAACTAAGAAAACTGGCATATGGAAAGCATATTAGATAAAAGTATCATATCAATGTCAATTTATGAAGTTGATCACTGCACTGTAATTATATAAGGGAATATCTCTAAACTTAAAACTGCACATTTGAGCCGGGTGCAGTGGCTCATGCCTGTAATCCCAGCACTTTGGGAGACCAAGGTGGGCGGATCACTTGAGGTCAGGAGTTCGAGACCAGCCTGGCCAGCATGGTGAAACCCCATCTCTACTAAAAATACAAAAAAATTAGCTGTGCGTGGTGGTGCATGCCTGCAATCCTAGCTACTCAGGAGGCTGAGGCAGGAGAATCACTTGAACCTGGGGAGCGGAGGTTGCAGTGAGCCAAGATTGTGCCACTGCACTCCAGCCTGGGTGACAGAGCAAGACTCCATCTCAAAATAAAATAAAATAAAATAAAATAAAATAAAATAAAATAAAATAAAATAAAATAAGGCCAGGTACGGTGGCTCATGCCTGTAATCCCAACACTTTGGGAGGCTGAGGTGCATGGATCACTTGAGGTCAGGGGTTCGAGACCAGCCTGGCCAATACGGCGAAACCCCGTCTCTGCTAACAATACAAAAATTAGCCAGATGTGGTGGCATGTGCCTGTAGTCCCAGCTACTAGGGAGGCTGAGGCTGGAGAATCACTTGAGCCTGGGAGGCAGAGGTTGCAGTGAACCAAGATCTTGCCACTGCACTCCAGCCTGGGCAACAGAGTGTGACTCCATCTCAATAAATAAATAAATAAATAAATAAATAAAGTAAAATAATAAAAATACACACTTAAGTATTTATGGGAAATGAGCCATGATACATGCAACATGTCCTAAAAAGGCTCCATATCAAGAACAGCAGCAGAAACATTAAAAATCTAGATAAATATGGCCGGGGGCGGGGGCTCACGCCTGTAATCCCAGCACTTTGGGAGGCCGAGGCGGGCGGATCACGAGGTCAGGAGATCGAGACTATCCTGGCTAACACAGTGAAACCCTGTCTCTACTAAAAAATACAAAAATAATTAGCCGGGTGTGGTGGTGGGCGCCTGTAGTCCCAGCTACTCGGGAGGCTGAGGCAGAAGAATGGTGTGAACCCAGGAGGCAGAGCTTGCAGTGAGCTGAGATTACGCCATTGCACTCCAGCCTGGGCGACAGCAAGACTCCATCTCAAAAAATAATAATAATAAATAAATAAAAATAAAAAATAAAAATCTGGAGAAATATGACAAACTATTAGCCTTTTCTTAAGTTATTTAAAGTATGTATGACAGTTGAAGTAAAACATTATAATGTTATCTAATGGAGTTTTATTATTATCATTATTATATTTTGAGACAGGGTCTCAGTCTCCCAGGCTAAAGTGCAATAGCATAATCACAGCTCACTGCACTGTCGAACTCCTGGGCTCAAGTAATTCTCCTACCTCAGCCTACCAAGTAGCTGGGACTACGAGTGCACCCCACTACAATAAGCTAATTTTGTTGTTGTTTTTGTAGAGATAGGGTCTTCCTTTGTTGCTCAGACTGGACTAATGGAGTTTTTCAGCACATACATGTGAATATAATTCACATGAAAACTACCACATGAAGCAGGAAGGGGAAGTGATCCATGTGGTTATAGGACCACAAGACTATAACTGCAGTGGTAAAGTATCAAATCTAAATAGACTGTTAAAAGTTAGGTTACGTATGTTATAATCCCCACAGCAGCCAATAAAAAATAATACAAATATAGCCAAAACGTGAATGAAATAAATTAAAAGAGAATATTAAAATATATTTAAAGGAGAGGGTTTTGAGAAGATGACAGAATAGGAAGTACCAGAATTCCATCTCTCCACTTATATAACAATTTCACTGGCAGAATCTGTTTGATATAACCATTTGGAAACTCTGAGTCTAATGAAGGCTGGCAACATCCAGGCAAAGGCTTGGAGAAGGGCTTGGATGGTAAATTGTGATTAATTTTAGCAAATTTCAGCTCTTAGTATAGCAGCAGCTACCCATTTCTTCACCCCCACCCCCCTGGCAGGCAGTCATGTGAGTATAACCAGAGCAGCTTACACACAGCTTATAGAAGCCAGAGCAAGCAAAAAAAAAAAAAGGACCCTGTCCTCCAGCCATAAAGGATCTGTGTTTTGTTCACTGCGGCTTCTTATCACAGAAGTGTAGACAAAGAGTCAGGCAGCCATTGTAGTTACACATCCCCACACTTTTGAAAACCCTGCTTCCTCCAGTTGAAGTGATTTCCAGGGGACTTAAAAGGCCAGAGCTCCTTTTTTCCCACCTTCATTTTCTTCATTTCCCCTTTCTAAGAGCCGAACAATCAAGACTAGGACATTGACAAATAACTGCATATAAGGGGAGATTCTGTAAGAGATTGCACATACCCATGGAAAGCTTCAAGCCCAGAAACAAACTGAGAAGACCTTAAGTTTATACCTCAGGTTAATCCCTGGCACAGAGATGGCCTACAAAAATATGAATAAATAAATAAATAAAATAAATAATAACAATAACAAGCCTGTAAACCCTGGGGAAGAGGGAGAATCTGACTTTGGGGGTTACCACATTATTAGGTTCAAATGAGCCCTTTTCAACAACAATAACAACAAAACACAAGGGATACAAAGAAATATAAAAGAAGGCTGGGCACGGTGGCTCATGCCTGTAATCCCAACACTTTGAAAGGCCAAGGCAGGCGGATCACCTGAGGCCGGGAGTTCAAGACCAGCCTGACCAACATGGCAAAACCCCCTCTCTACTAAAAATACAAAATTAGCTGGGTGTGGTGGCACATGCCTTTAATCCTAGCTACTTGGGAGGCTGAGGCAGGAGAATCGCTTGAACCTGGGAGGCAGAGGTTGCAGTGCACCCAGATCATGCCATTACACTCCAGCCTGGGCAACAAGAGCGAAACTCCATCTCAAAAAAAAAAAAAAGAAAGAAAGAAAAAAAAAGAGATACAAAAGAATGGCCTCGTGAAATGAAAAAAAATAAATGAATAGACAGCATCCCTGAAAAAAAATCTGATGGTAGATCTACCATACAGACTTTACAACCACCATCTTAAAAATGCTAAAGAAAGATCTGGAGAAAGTTAAGAAAATGATACAGGAACACAATAGAAATATCAATACAAAGAAAGAAACCTAAAAGAAAACCAAAAGAAATTCTGGAAGTGAAAAGTACAATAATTAAAATGAAAAATTCACTACAGGAATTCAAAGGCAGATTTGAGTAGGCAGAAAGAAAAATCACCAAACCTGGAGATAGGACAATAGAAATTGTCAAGTCTGAGAAATAAAAAGAAAAAAGAATGAGGAAAAGTGAACAGAATGTAAGGAAACTAGCTGAGCGTGGTGGCTCATGCCTGTAATCCTAGCACTTTGGGAGGCCAAGGTGGGTGGATCACTTGAGGTCAGGAGTTCAAGACCAGCCACACCAACATGGTGAAACCCCATCTCTACTAAAAATACAAAAAATTAGCTGAATGTGGCAGCAGGCACCTGTAATCCCAGCTACTCGGGAGGCTGAGGCAGGAGAATTGCTTGAACCTATGAGGTGGAGGTTGCAGTGAGCTGAGATTGCGCCACTGTACTCTAGCCTGGGTGACAGAGGGAAACTCCATTAAAAAGAAAAAAAAAGAATGTAAGGAAACTGTGGGACATGGGGACATGTCAAGAGAACAAACTACCAACTTCTGCACTGTAGGAGTCTCAGAAAAAAAAAAAAAGAGAGGAAGAAGCAGACAGAATAAAGTGTTAAAACATCCCAAATTTGATGAAAGATATGAATATAAAACATCCAAGAGACTCAAAGAACTCCAAGATGAACTAAGAGATCCACATAGAGAAACATTATAATCAAGCTGTCAAAAGACAAAGACAAAGAGAGAATATCTTGAAAGCAGCAAGAGAAAAGAGACTGGTCACATACAAGGGATGTTCAATAAAATGATCAGCAGATTTTTCATCAGAAAGTATGGAGGCCAGAAGTCAGTGAGGTCATATATTCAAAGTGCTAAAAGAAAAAAAAAAATCTGTCAACCAAGAATTTTCTATTCTGCAAAACTGTCCTTAAAAAGTGAGGGAGATAGTGGCCGGGTGCGGTGGCTCACACCTGTAATCCCACTACTTTCAGAGGCCAAGGCAGGATCACCTGAGGTCGGGAATCGGAGATAAGCCTAACCAACATGGAGAAACACCATCTCTAATAAAAATACAAAAAAAATGAGCCAGGAGTGGTGGCGCATGCCTGTAATCCCAGCTACTTGGGAGGCCGTGGCAGGAGAATCACCTGAACCCGGGAGGCAGAGGTTGCGGTGAGCTGAGATCGCGCCATTGAACTCCAGCCTGGGCAACAAGAGTGAAATTCCATCTCAAAATAATAATAATAATAATAATAATAATAATAATAATAATAATAATAATGAGGGAGATGATCAAAGGGATGTGGCTGGAGAAAAGAAAAATAAAACAAAAAATAAAAAAAGTGCAGGAGAAATTAAGACATTCTCAGGCAAACAAAAGTTGAGGGAGTTGGTTATCATTAAACTTTCTCTGTAAGAAATGGTCAAGAGAATTCTGTAGAGTGAAAGAAAGGACACTAGACAGTAACCTGAAGACATATTAAGAAATAGACTCTTAGAACATATGGAAAAAGGCAAAAGAAGTAAAAAGTTTAAAAAAACAAAAAAAAAGACTCAATAAAGGTAAATACATGTGAAATTATAAAAGCTAGTATTTTTGCAACAATAGTTTGTTACTCTACTTTTTGTTTCCTACATGATTTTACAGACTAATACATTTTTTAAAAATTAGACTAAAAGCTAGTATTAATGTAATTTTCATTTGTGACTCCACATTATTTTCTATGTAATTTAAAAAACTAATGCATTTTAAAGAATTATTAGTTTACATTTTGGGGTGCACAACATATAAATATACAAGTTCATAACATCAATAATTCAAAAGGCTGGGGACTGTTGTAGGAAGTCAGGGACCCCGAACGGAGGGACCAGCTGGAGCTGCGGCAGAGGAACATAAATTGTGAAGATTTCATTTTAAAATGGACATTTATCAGTTCCCAAATAATACTTTTATAATTTCTTACACCTGTCTTTAATCTCTGAACATAAATTGTGAAGATTTCATTTTAATATGGACATTTATCAGTTCCCAAACAATACTTTTATAATTTCTTACACCTGTCTTTAATCTCTGAACATAAATTGTGAAGATTTCATTTTGATATGGACATTTATCAGTTCCCAAATAATACTTTTATAATTTCTTATGCCTGTCTTTACTTCAATCTCTTAATCCTGTTATCTTCATAAGCTGAGGATGTACGACACCTCAGGACCACTGTGACAACTGTGTTAACTGTACTAATTGATTGTAAAACATGTGTGTTTGAACAATATGAAATCAGTGCACCTTGAAAAAGAACAGAATAGCAGCGATTTTCAGGGAACAGGGGAAGACAACCATAAGGTCTGACTGCCTGTGGGGTCGGGCAAAAAGAGCCATATTTTTCTTCTTGCAGAGAGCCTATAAACAGATGTGCAAGTTGTTGCTACATTAATAAATCTTTTTCTCACCCTTTCCAGAAGGAAACAGAAGTAAAATTGAATAGTGGCTGCCTTTGGAGAAAGAGATGGGGTTAGTTGAGTGACAGAGAATTCTACTCTTCATTTTGCTCCTTTCTGTAGTGTTCCAATTATCTAATCCTTCCACATATCAGCTGAGGTTTTCTAAGCAGTAGTTATTTTTAGTTTACTTCCATATATTTTTAAATACCAAACTAATCAATACTGACTGACAATATCAATCAGTTAGTAAAATAGTTGACTAACCCCTGTGTTTATATATTCTGATATGATATGAAAATTTAGAAACTCTATCAATTTTAATATTTCTGTAGAGTTTTTGCATATGCATATTCACTATTAATACACAGAAGACTCCTAAGTTCAGGCTGATTCCTTTAAAGTGTCTATTCTACCCCTACAAGAATTGAAATAGTTTCAGTATATTTTGTTTTATAAATATTTAACTTATGTTTGCTCAGGTTGAGAAATGCAATGTTCCACAAGGGTCCATTTGCTAAATCTAAGGCATGAATGATTTTTTGGTAGTTACAGTATTTATGAAATATTGAGAATTTATGCATATGAAATGTCTCATAATGGGCTATTTTAGACTTAAGCTATTCTTTTTTTAGGTCTCCAGTGTAAAATTCGAAGAGTAGAAGCTATAGCAAATGAATATGCTGCATTTCTTGTGCTATAGACTCCTTAATCTTTACAGAAGTCTTATTTGTTCAGCTAGATTGGTCTAAAAGAAATGGTTTGATTTTCTCTCAAATAATTCAGCCTTCAAAAAGAAACCTTCCATGTCATTATTTTTGCAGCTGTAGTGCATACTGGGAGGCTCTGCCAGCTTGGCATTTAATGTGTTTGTTTTATGTAGAGTGTGGTATTAAAGTAGTGGCTGAATTACTTGAAGAAAAAAAAAAACAGACATGCAAGTAGGAGAGATATCGCTAAATTCTTTTCCTAGCAAGGAATATTAATGTTAATACCCTGGGAAAGGAATGCATTCCTGGGGGGAGGTCTATAAACAGCCACTCTGGGAATGTCTGTCTTATGCAGTTGAGATAAGGACTGAGATACGCCCTGGTCTCCTGCAGTACCCTCACAGGCTTACTAGGGTGGGGAAAAACTCCGCCCTGGTAAATTTGTGGCCAGACCGGTTCTCTGCTCTCAAACCCTGTTTTCTGTTGTTTAAGATGTTTATCAAGACAATATGTGCACCGCTGAACATGGACCCTTATCAGTAGTTCTGCTTTTGCCCTTTGCCTTGTGATCTTTGTTGGACCCTTATTAGTAGTTCTGCTTTTTGCCCTTGGAAGCATGTGATCTTTGTACCTACTCCCTGTTCTTATACCCCCTCCCCTTTTGAAACCCTTAATAAAAACTTGCTGGTCTGAGACTCAGGCAGGCATCACGGTCCTACTGATATGTGACGTCACCCCCAGCGGCCCAGCTGTAAAATTCCTCTCTTTTTACTCTTTCTCTTTATTTCTCAGCCAGCCGACACTTATGGAAAATAGAAAGAACCTATGCTGAAATATTGGGGGTGGGTTCCCCCAATAGGGGACAGAGCTCTAAAGAAACACAGGTCTTTTAAACTTTTTTTAAGTTAAAGTGGCATAAAATGAAATTGCAAGGACATGTGTGGTGGCTCATGCCTATAATCCCAGAACTTTGGGAGGACAAGGCAGGAGGATAGCAAGAGTCCAGGAGTTCAAGACCAGCCTGGGCAACAGAGTGAGACCCCTTCCTTTAGCATTTTTAAGTGGATAGGATGGATAATCAAGGGATAGGATAATCCATCACTCAGCCTCTTTCCCCAGCCACCCCTATCATTGCTCAATGGGCCCATGAACAAAGTAAAGTGGCCATGGTGGCAGGGATGGAGGTTACGCATGGCTCAGCAACAAGGACTTCCACTCACCACGTCTGACAAGGCCAATTTGCCAGCAGCAGGGATCAACACTGACCCCCGATATGGCACCATTTCTTGGGGTGATCAGCTAGCTACCTGGTGGCAGGTTGATTATATTGGGCCTATTCCATAATGGAAAGGGCAGAGGTTTGTCCTCACTGGAATAGACACTTACTCCGGATATGGGTTTGCCTATACTGCATGCAATGCTTCTGCCAAGACTACCATCGTGGACTCACAGAATGCCTTATCCACCATCACAGTATGCCATACAGCATTGCCTCTGATGAAGGCACTCACTTTACGGCTAAAGAAGTGCAGCAGTGGGCTCATGCTCATGGAATTCACTGGTCTTACCATGTTCCCAATCATCCTGAAGCAGCTGGATTGACAGAACAGTAGAATGGCCTTTTGAAGTCACAATTACAATGCTAACTAGGTGACAATACTTTGCAAAGCTGGGGCAAATCTCTCCAGAAGGCCATGTATGCTCTGAATCAGCATCCAATATATGGTACTGTTTCTTCCATAGCCAAGATTCATGGGTCCAGGAATCAAGGGGTGGAAGTTGAAGTGGCACCACTCACCAACACCCCTAGTGATCTACTGGCAAAATTTTTGCTTCCTGTTCCTGCGACATTACATTCTGCTGGCCTAGAGGTCTTAGTTCCAGAGGGAGGAACGCTGCCTCCAGGAGACACAACAAAGATCTCATTAAACTGGAAGTTAAGATTGCCACCTGGACACTTTGGGCTCCTCCTACATTTAAGTCAACAGGCTAAGAAGGGAGTTACAGTGTTGGCTGGGATGACTGACCCAGACTATCAAGATGAAATCATTCTACTACTTCACAATGGAGGTAAGGAAGAATATGCATGGAATAGCAGAGATTCATTACGGCTTCTCTTAGTATTACCAAGCCCTGTAAGTAAGGTTAATGGGAAACTACGACAGCCCAATCCAAACAGGACTACAAATGGCCCAGATCCTTCAGGAATGAAGGTTTGGGTCGCTCCATCAGGAAAAAAACACGACCCCCTGAGGTGCTTGCTGAACGCAAAGGGAATACATAATGGGTAGTAAAAGAAGGGAGTCATCAGTACCAGCTATGACCACATGACCAGCTGCAGAAACGGGGACTGTAATTGTCATGAGTACTTCCTTCTTCTTTCGTTAAAAATATGTTTGTGCATGTATACACTTGCACTAAGAAAGTACTTTCATTTTATTTCCTTTTTCCTTTATCATGTGACATATGATTTATTGACTTCATATCAGCATTTAAGTATTATCAACTTTATGTAATAGTATTTGGGTTGGGGATTGGTGAGTTTCTGGTTTTATGAAGGATAGTTGTATGTTAGGCACAATTATGACTATTATTGTCTTTATTTGAAGATTATGTATGATCTTAGGAGATGTGTATGGGTTCAAGTTGACAAGGGGTGGACTTGTCATGGTTAATACTAAGTGTCAACTAGATTGGATTGAAGGATACAAAGTATTAATCCTGGGTGCGTCTGTGAGGGTATTGCCAAAGGAGATTAACATTTGAGACAGTGGGCTGGAGAAGGCAGACTCACCCTTAATCTGGATGGGCACTATCTAATCAGCTGCCAGTGAATATAGAGCAGGCAGAAACACATGAAAAGGTTAGACTGGCCTAGCCTCCCAGCCTACATTTTTCTCCTGTGGTGGATGCTTCCTGTCCTTGAACACTGAATTCCAAGTTTTTCAGTTTTGGAACTCAGGCTGGCTCTCCTTGCTCCTCAGCCTGCAGACGGCCTATTACGGGACCTTGTGATCATGTGAGTTAATATTTAATAAACTCCCCGTTATATTATATATATATATATATATATATATATATGTATACACACACACACACACACACACACACACACACACACACAGGCTTTAAGCAACAGGCTTGAGAGAAAAGGCCCTGTCTTCTCTCAATGGGACAGATTCACAGAACTATCTTAGTTTTTTTTGGTTTTGGTTTTGTTTTTTCAGATGATGTCTTGCTCTGTCACCCAGAGGAGTGCAGTGGCACAATCTTGGTTCACTGCAACCTCCGCCTCCCCGGTTCAAGCGATTTTCGTGCCTCAGCCTCCCGAGTGGCTGGGGATACAGGCGCCCACCACCACACTCAGCTAATTTTTGTATTTTTAGTATAGACAGGGTTTCTCCATGTTTGCCAGGCTTGTCTCTAACTCCTGACCTCAGGTGATGTGCCCACCTTGGCCTCCCAACATGCTGGGATTGCAGGTATGAGCCACTGTGCATGGCCAGGACTATCTTATATAGATGGTGCAAATAAAGCTTGTGTGGTGCTTAAAAAAAAAAAAAAAAAAGGAAAAGAAAAAGAAAAAGAAATTCTGACTTATGCCACATGGATGAACCTTGACAACATTACACTCAGCGAAATAAACCAGTCAAAAAAGGCAAATACTGGCCAGGCACAGTGGCTCACGCCTGTAATCCCAGCACTTTGGGAGGCCGAGATGGCTAGATCACCTGAGGTCAGGAATTCAAGACCAGCCTGGCCAATATGGCAAAACCCCTTCTCTACTAAAAATATAAAAATTAGCTGGGCATGGTAGCGGGTGCCTGTAATCCCAGCTACTTGGGAGGCTGAGGCAGGAGAATCCCTGGTGAGGTAGAGGTTACAGTGAGCAGAGATCACACCACTGCACGCCTGCCTGGGCGACAGAGCGAGACTCCATCTAAAGAAAAAAGGCAAATACTGTATGATTCTACTTATATGAGGTACTTAGATTAATACTTAGATAGTATTAATCAAAATCACACAGACAAAAAGTAGAATGGTGGATGAGGAGAGGGAGGAAGTGGGAGTTATTGTTTATGGGTACAAAGTTTCTGGTTTTTTTTTTTTTTTTTTGAGATAGTCTCACTCTGTCACCCAGGCTGGAGTGTAGTGGTGCTCTCGGCTCACCACAACCTCCGCCTCCCAGGTTCAAGCGATTCTCCTGCCTCAGCCTCCCAAGTAGCTGGGACTACAGTCACGTGCCACCATGCCCAGCTAGTTTTTGTATTTTTAGTAGAGACAGGGTTTCACCATGCTGGATTTGAACTCCTGACCTCATGATCCACCCGCCTCAGCCTCCCAAAGTGCTGGGATTATAGGCGTGAGCCACCACACCTGGCCAAAGTTTCTGTTTTAAAAGAGGAAAGAGTTATGTTGACAGATAGTGGTGATGGTTGTACAACATAATGAATGTATTTACTATTATTGAAGTGTACTCTTTAACATGGTTGAGTTGGTAGATTTTGTAAGTATTTTGCCACAGTAAAAAAATAGGAAAACAAGTTAAATAATCTAAAAGAAGGCAAGAAAGGGTGTTAGTAGGTGTTAGTTCACACCTACTCATTTTTCAGATGTCAGCTCAAGCTTCAGGAAATGATTTCATGTTCTCTGTGCTAGTCTAATTCCTGATAAACACTTTGGGAGGCTAAGGCAAGAGGACTGCTTGAGCCTAGGAGTTTGAGACCAGCCTGGGCAATAGTGAACAAAAAAACCAAGTAGATTCACTGAAAACAAAGAACATAAAATAATAGCTGAATTAACACAAAGCTGCATAAGCATGTAGTTTATAGGGAACACTGGAGATTATGTGTTAAAAGTCAGTCTAATAACTATTTTAAAAATTATTTAAACATCTGAAAAAAATTGTTTTCCAAAAAGTATGGGCCTACAAAGAGGAGAAATTAGTTCATTCACGCTTAAAGGCCACAGTGACACGATATTTCGTTCTCCATCAAACAAGTGAGCAAAAAAATAAACTCTTAATCATGTGATGAGGGAGTAAGCCATGAAAATAATCTTAAAAGCTATGATGACTCAAGTTTAAACACATACACACAGAAGAAAAGACTGTTCTTTTACAATGAACTTTAAAAAATTCACAATTCCTTTATTCTTCCATTTGCATCTTCATAAAGGATACTGTACTACAGCACATAAGAGTTTTCCATATAGAAAGAAATTTTGTGTGTGGGTGTGGGTGTTGGCTCTCACAGCTGTAAGAATGACTGTAATTTATCTATTTTTCCTAAGCAAAGTCCAAACTTCACTAAACGTAAAACAGATGTCATGGATTTCTTTCATAAAATGTTGGCAGTAACCCATTTCAATTTCAGCTAAAGTAGTCAGGAAACAAAAATAACTCCAAATGTCTCCTTCTCAAGTATAAAGCGAACACAAAGAGAAATTTAGGATAAAGATTCCAAAATTTTATTCTAACAATAAATTCCTGGGACTATTACATCTAAAATTAGGTGACCATCAGAAATTAATTCACAAAAATATTAACAGACATTCTCACACATTACTGGTGGGAATACAAAACAGTATGGTCATTCTGGAAAACGGTTTGGCAGTTTATTATAAATTTAAACATACTCTTATACGACTCAGCAATTCCACTTCTGGTTATGTACCCTAGAGAAAAGAAAACTTACATTCACACAAAAACCTCTAGTGAATGTTCACAGCAGCATATACATGTATGTTTGTGTGTGTAATATACATATTTATAGCATATGAATGTTTGTAGCAGCATGAATGCATGTGTATGTGTGTGTATACATACAAACATATATAAAGATAATATGCTATATTATACACTATAATATGCTACATAAATGTATACATAGGCCAGGCGTGGTGGCTCACGCCTGTAATCCCAGCACTTTGGGAGGCTGAGGTGGGCGGATCACTAGGTCAGGAGATCGAGACCATCCTGGCCAACATGGTGAAACCACATCTCTCCTAAAAATACAAAAACTAGCTGGGTGTGGTGGTGCGTGCCTATAATCCCAGCTACTCGGGAGGCTGAGGCAGGAGAATCACTTGAACCAGGGAGTCAGAGGTTGCAGCGAGCTGATATCATACTACAGCACTCCAGCCTGGTGACAGGGCGAGACTCCGTCTCAAAAAAAAAAAAATAAAAAAAAAAGTATATATAATATGCTATATTCACCAAAAACTGAAAATAACCCAGATATCCTTCAATGGGTAAATGAATAAACAAACTATGGTACATTCATACAAGGGAATATGAAAACACAAGAAATAAAAAGCATTACAAGCGACATAAAGAACTCCTTAAATGGGCCCACTGGCAGACAGTACTGCAACAGAGGAAAGACTCTGCGAAGTTGCAGATAGGTTAATAGAAATTATCCAAACTGAAACACAAAGGAAAAAAGGCATGAAAGAAATAGAACAGAGCATCCAAATGCTGGGACAATATGTCAAATAGTCTAACATATGTGTCATTAGAGTGACACAGGGCAAAATAAATACTTTAAAAGACATGGTTGATAATTTTCACACAAATATACCCTAAACATAGCACAAACTACAGAAACACAAAATTAAGAGAAAGATTTAAGGCTGCCCCAAGCACACACACATGACACACTAATACAGAAAAATAAAGATAACAATCATCGCAGTCTTTTTGTCACAACCTATGCAATCCAGATTATGAAAGAGTATGTTTAAAGATATATGTTTTTTATCTTTAAACCTGTCTACTCAGAATTCTATGGCCAGCAAAAATATCTTTCAAAAAATGAAGGCAAAATTAAGACCTTTCCAGAGAAACAAAAGCTGATAGATATTACGGCCAACAGACAAGCACAGTAAGAAATGTTAAAGGGTCAGGTGCGGTGGCTCACGCCTGTATTCCCAGCACTTTGGGAGGCCAAGGCGGGTGGATCACCTGAGATCAGGAGTTTGAGACCAGCCTGACCAACATGGTGAAACCCCGTCTCTACTAAAAATACAAAATTAGCCGGGTGTGGTGGTACACACCTGTAGTCCCAGCTACTTGGGAGGCTGAGGCAGGAAATTTACTTGAACCCGGGAGGCAGAGGTTGCAGTGAGCTGAGATTGTGCCATCGCACTCCAGCCTGGGCAAAAAGAGCGAAATTCCATCTCAAAAAAAAAAAAAAAAGTTATAGGAAGTTCTTAAGGAAGAAGGAGCATAGCAGTTAGAAATCTGAATCAAATGAAATGAAGAATGAAATAAAGAAATGAAGAATGTTGGAAATGAAAAAATGAAGATAAATATACAAAAACACGTTTTGTCAGCCAGGCACGGTGGCTCATGCCTGTAATCCTGGCACTTTGGGAGGCCGTGGTGGGTGGATCATTTGAGGTCGGGAGTTCAAGACCAGCCTGGCCAATGTAGTAAAACCCTGTCTCTACCAAAAATGCACAAAAAAAAAAAAAAAAGAAAGAAAGAAAGAAAGAAAATTAGCTGGGCATGGTGGCTGGATGCCTGCAATCCCAGCTACTCAGGAGGCTGAGGCAGGAGAATTGCCTGAACTTGGGAGGCAGAGGTTGCAGTGAGCCAAGATCATGCCATTCCACTCTAGCCTGGGTGACCGAGTAAGACTCCATCTCAAAACAAAACAAAACAAAACAAGTTTTGTCTTATTTTTAATTGCTTTAAAAAATAATTGACAGTCTAAGGCAAACATAGTAACAATGCCCTGAGACATTTGGAACATGTAAAAGTGTATGACAATTATATGAAAATAATAATACAATGGTTGAGGGAAAATAAATGGAAAGTATACTGTTGTTCTTATAGTACATGTGAAATGCTTACTATTTAAAGTGAAAGTAGACTGTGATAAGGGAAGATCAAGGTAGAAGCAAGAGTCAATAAAATAATGACTAAAAATTTTTCAAAACCTAAAGATACCAATCCTGTCTGAAAAACTACAGATCTATAATGAAAAACTAAAAATAAATTCATAATTAGGCATATAACATTTAAATTGCATAACAGCAGAGATAAAGAAGAAAGAAACTCCAAAAGGAGAGGTAACTTACACGTAGTTGAATCTGGAATAAAATCCAGGTCTTCTGACCTATGTTCAGCACCCTTTCTAAAATACCAGTCACTCTCCACAAAATGGGAACCCAGTCTAAAAAATTGCCCAAAAAGCTGGGATTAAATATTTATTAAGTAACTATAATATGCTCATTATTACAGGAAGAGAGATATCTCACTACTCTTCCTTTTGTAATTTCCAAATAGCAGATGCTACTTCCAAACTATGGTCTGAACAAAAGGAAATATGTGATCTCTGCCATGACACAACACATTCTTGGTATTCTCCCTACCTCTCAAACAGTTCCTTTTCTAATTCCTTTGCAGGATCCTTCCCTTCTATTCAGCCAGTATATTTTAGAATTCCTCAAGGCTCAGTTCTAGGGCCTTTTCTAGTTCTACTCTATATTCCTTCATAGGCAAACTCATTCCTGCTCAAGGCTTTAATTCCTACCCAATAGAAGATAATTCCAGTGTTCTATATCTCCCACCCCCACCTCTACTGTGCTGCCTCTTTCTCATTTTTATTTCAGTGTTTTCAAAGGCACTCAAGTCCCATATGTCCAAAATAAAGTCATAATGTCACCTGACAATGGTCCTCTTCCAACCTTCCCTTAACAGCAGACGGGACCACCATAATCAAAGAGTTATCCCCTGTGAATGACCTCTAATCCCTTTTACTCAAGCAATCCCATGCCCACTCATTTTTGCTTCCTAATTATCCCCCAAATCCATCTAGCTAAGTATCATCATTTCAGTCCAAACTACAAACTTCTCTTGCCTGAACTGTTTTAAAAGACTAGTCATTGACTCACTTGTATCAATGATTGCACCCCTTCATTCCATTTCCCCATAGTATCCAGAATAATTCTTTCTAGGATGCCACACTTTTGCTTTCCTCAGGCCCTGCTCAAAACTTTTCAATAGTTTCACTTGGTCCTGGGACTGTGATAACACTCTTTATACCCAATTCCCAGTAGTATGGACCTTACCTAATTTCCTAACCTCATCTTACACCATTCTCCTAGGCTCTTGCCTCCACCTGTCACTGTGGCCCTGTGTCAATTGCTCACAGACACCATGCTCCCTGCTGGCACAGTGCTCAGCAAAGTTATTCCCTCTTTGTTAGTTCACACCTACTCATTTTTCAGATGTCAGTTCAAGCTTCAGCAAATGATTTCATGTTCTCTCTGCTAGTCAAATTCCTGATAAACACTTTGGGAGGCTAAGGCAGGAGGACTGCTTGAGCCTAGGAGTTTGAGAACAGCCTGGGCAATATAGTGAGACCCCATCTCTAATTTAAAAAAAAATACAAAAATAATAAAAAACAAAAATTCCTGATATATACTTCAACAGCATTATGTAACTCTCCTTTGTAGCATTTAACATAGCCATAATTTTATATTTACTTCTGCCATTATTTGATCAATATCTAACTTCTCCACTAGACTGTCAATTCCATGAGGACTGAGGATTGTGTCTTTTTTTGCTCACATTTTAATTTTAATACCCAGCACATAGTGAATGTGCAATAAATATAAACTAAATGAAAGAATGATAGATATAGAGAATATGGGCTCAAATATAAGCACAACAGTGGTGTTATACTTTCAGAGAAGACCTATTTACTTACTAAGAAGAGGAAAAGGTAAACTTAAAACTGTAAAGTGTAAATTTACTTTTTTTCTCTAAAAAAGTAAGTTTGTAAAATAGCTTACCTAGACACAAATTCACTTAATTCTGAGCATTCTGTGGGCTCCATTATTATGTTGAGGTCAGTAACAGCAGAAGATAATCTCTCCTTATTCTAAAATAAAGATAAAAATTTCTGTATCAAAGCACAGTAAACTTCAAAAAGACAAAAATACTTTTGAAATATGCAAAATGAAATGCCACCAAATAAAAGGAAAGAGTAATCATGACAGAAACAAAACAAAAACAAAAAAAGTTCAATCTCACTAATAATAATTGTAAATTAAAACAATAAGGTAAGATGCCTTTTTTTTTTTTTTTTGGAGACGGAGTCTTGCTCTGTCACCAGGCTGGAGTGCAGTGGCGCGATCTCGGCTCACCGCAACCTCCGCCTCCTGGATTCAAGCGATTCTTCTGCCTCATTCTCCCCAAAGCTGGGGAGCTGGGACAACAGGTGCCCACCACCACGCCCGGCTAATTTTTGTATTTTTAGTAGAGATGGGGTTTCACCATGTCGGCCAGGATGGTCTCAATCTCGTTTGTTTTGTTTTTGTTTTTGTTTTGAGACAGTCTCGCTCTGTCGCCCAGGCTGGAGTGTGGTGGCGCGATCTCGGCTCACTGCAAACTCCGCCTCCCGGGTTCACGCCATTCTCCCGCCTCAGTCTCCCGAGTAGCTGGGACTACAGGTGCCCGCCACCATGCCTGGCTAATTTTTTTGTATTTTTTAGTAGAGACGGGGTTTCACCGTGTTAGCCAGAATGGTCTCGATCTCCTGACCTCGTGATCCACCTGCCTCAGCCTCCCAAAGTGCTGGGATTACAGGCGTGAGCCACCGTGCCAGGCGGTCTCAATCTCTTGACCTCCTGATCCCCCCGTCTCTGCCTCCTGAAGTGCTGGGATTACAGGCGGGAGCCACCGCGCCTGGCCGATAAGATGCCATTTTTACCTATAAGATGAGCAAAGACTGGCCGGGCGCGGTGGCTCACGCCTGTAATCCAGCACTTTGGGAGGCAGAGGCGGGTGAATCACCTGAGGTTAGGAGTTGGAGACCATCCTGACCAACACGGTGAAACCCCGTCTCTACTAAAAATACAAAAAATTAGCTAGGCGTCGTGGCAGGCGCCTGTAATCCCAGCTACTCGGGAGGCTGAGGCAGGAGAATCGCTTGAGCACAGGAGGCAGAGGTTGCAGCGAGCCAAGATCGTGCCACTGCACTACAGCCTGCGCAACAGAGCGAGACTCAGTCTCAAAAAGAATAACAATAATAATAATAAAAATAAATAATAAACTTGTGAAACAAAGCTTGGATTCCAAATAAATTACATCTTTAAAAAAAGTATTGAACTGTACACTTTAAACTGGTAAGTTATATGGTATGTGAATTATATCTCAATAGAACTGTTACCAGAAAAAAAAGCAAAGAAAGGAAAAGGAAAGCAAAAATCTCAGGAGCACATCTGGTCTCTTGGTCAAGTATGTGTAGATACATGTTAGATTTCAGCTTTTCACCCATTAGGATAGGCAAAAACAAATTTTTTGTTGGGTTATAGAATCCTGTTTAACAACTCAAAAGCTGACTTCAAAATATTGTTTTTCCATCTTTCCATCTCTCCCCTGCTTGTGGTACTGCTAACTAGGTCAATTCTCCCCAGTTGGTAAATAAGGGAAGAGACCTTATAAACAATCTGACCTCAAAGCCCCTACATGTGTCTCAGTACCACATTCCTTTCTACTATGGTCCACTTAAGCCCACAGTTCTCATTCTCCTCTACAACTGAAGGATTATGGGTAGAGATCTTTAGGAAAAGGGTGCCATTAAGTTGGTCCTTTTTTTTTTTTTTTTTTTTTTTTGAGACAGGGTTTTGCTCTATTGCCCAGGCTGGAATGCAGTCGTTCAATCACAGTTCTTTGTGACCTTGAATTTGTGGGCTCAAGCAATCCTCCTGTCTCAGCCTCCCAAGTGGCTAGGACTATATATGTAAGTAACCAAGCCTGGCTAATTTCTTTTTTATTTAAAAAAATATATATTTTTTAGAGACAGGGTCTCGCTATGTTGCCCAGGCTGGCCTTTAATTCCTGGGCTCAAGCTATCCTCCTGCCTTGGCTTCCCTCAGTGCTGAGATTATAGGCGTGAGCCAATGTGGCCAGCTTAACTTTGTAAAACTTACAAATCTCTCATGAAGCACCCTGTATTGGATTTCAGTGTTTAGACTCAAATGTCATTAATATCAAACAGATTTTCTTTGGAGCCTGTGATAATGGAATTGTATTCTCTTCCATTTAAAAAAATTGCTTATTTTTTGAATAATTTTGTTCATTTCATTGGGACAGAAGTTATGGAAACATACTTAACCTGCCACTTTCCCCACAAACTCCTACCAATCTAATTGACTATATTGCTTGGATTATGGAAGGCTGATAAACGTTAATTCTGATGGCCTTACAACTCTTCACAAATGTAGTACTAAGAACACCAGAAAGTAAATCTGGCCAACAGAGCTCTATGTCCCAACCACCTTGGACAACAATAGCTGCACCAACATGAGTAATCATTCAAACTCTCTGGATCCATTTACTTATAAAATAATAGGGTTGACCTAGACAAACTATAAGTCATCACTTTGTTCTAACATTCTATTAACATGATTTGAGGTCATGTTTAGTTCAAATATTATATTAATATAACTTTATTACAACAATATTCTGTAAATTGAGGGTTTTACTATTTAGATTACTTTTTAATTTTCAGATAGCTAAACCTCTCCCTCTAGTGGAAATTTTATTTTTAAAAAATGTTTTAGAACACACAAGGTTGCTGTGTCATTTCTTTTTCTATCAGTCTTCACAGTAAAAATGTAAAAATGTGCTCAGTATGTAAAATGGTAAAACTATTTTAGAAGGCAATTTGCCACTATCAATCAGAATTTGTAAGTTTCCTTTGACCCAGCAATTCTACTAGATATGTTTCTAAAGGCATACATACACAAGTTGGTATAGAATATGCTAGAATTTACCATTAAGTAATAAACATTTCAAAAACTTTTCATCAAGTTATTATATCAGAATTGTAAGCAATAAAGAGAAACGAGATAGTCCTTTGTTTTTCCCTCCCCAAGTAAGAACTCTTGGTGCCTCTCACACAACTGATTCCAAAAACCCTGTTGATTCCACAGCTCTCTGTAATTTCTTCCAACACCTTGTTTACCAGTCCTGGTCTTCAAGAAGAATCATAAAATCTAAAAGGCTCAGAGAGAAAGTGAGAGTTCTTAACACAGCCAGGGAGAACACACTCTTTCTGTAGCACTTTGTTAGTAAAACCAATCAGTCCCAAAACACATACATACTTTAAAACTTAAACAATGACAACTCATGTCTCTTTAGAGACTCAGCAATTACTAGGTTCTATGTCCTTCAAAGAAGATATCTACAGTTCCTCTCCTTAGATTTTTTTCCCCCTGCATCCGCTAAAGCATATAGGACAGAAACTGCTAGTAGTCCCCTCTATTTATACTTTTTTCTTGCCCCAGTTTTTCACTGGCCATATGGCCAAGCATAACAAAGACTAAATTCCCAGCATCCTTTGCATGAACTTGTTGGCCAATAGAATATAAGTGAAAATGATGAATGTACAACTTCCAGAAAGTGTCCTTTAAAAGAACAGGCGAGGCTTTCTTTGCCCAACTTCTTCCTGATACCTGAAATGCTAATGTGATCATTGTGCCATGACTTGAAGCCATGTTGGCTGATGGTAGAACCTGATTATCATAAAACCACCATATTAGCCCTTGAAAACTTACAAGTTTACTTAAGTAATAGAGAAATACACTTCTAGTACCTTTATTTTTAAGTTTTCTGTCTGGCACAGCTCAACTGACTCTAATTCATTCAGCATGTGAGCTAACAGTATAATCTCAGGCCATTATCAAATGGTCACAAAATTTTCAATCATGCTTTCATGACATGAGGATGAGAATATTGGCTTAAAATACTGTTGAGGTCTGGGTCAGTGCCAACACTGTCTGTTAGGAGGCAGAGTGTGGCCACAGCAGCAGGGGTTGCAGGACCTAAGTGGCAGGACATCCACTGTCTGGCTTCTGTCCTGTCTGTGCTGCCCTGGGGCGGCTGCCCAGGCCCAGCAGGCCAAACCATGTGGTAGTTCATGCTAGGAATGACTCTGGTCAGGCAGCTGTCATTCTTTAGGAGCATATCACATTATCAGAAATGTCTTCTACTATCGGGGGACCTACCCCAATAATCACATAGGTTCATTTCTATTTTTCCTAAGCGTCGGCCGGCTTGAGAAATAAAGGGACAGAGTACAAAAGAGAGAAATTTTAAAGCTGGGCGTCCAGGGGAGACATCACACGTTGGTAGGATCCGTGATGCCCCACGAGCCACAAAAACCAGCAAGTTTTTATTAGGGAGTTTCAAAAGGGGAGGGAGTGTGCGAATATGTGTGGGTGACAGACATCAAGTACTTAACAGGGTAATAGAATATCACAAGGCAAGTGGAGGCAGGGCAAGATCACAGGACCACAGGACCAAGGCGAAATTAAAATTGCTAATGAAGTTTCAGGTACCATTGTCATTGATAACATCTTATCAGGAGACAGGGTTTTGAGATCAACTGGTCTGAACAAAATTTATTAGGTGGGAATTTCCTCTTCCTAATAAGCCTGGGAGCGCTATGGGAGACTGGAGTATATTTCATCTCTGCAGTCTCAACCATAAGAGACAGGCGCCCCTGGGGGGGCTGTTTATAATCCTATACCTCCAGGCACGTATTCTCTTTCTCAGGATGTCCCATGCTGAGAAAAAGAATTCAGCCATATTTCTGCCATTTGCTTTTGAAAGAAGAGAAATATGGCTCTGTTCCGCCCGGCTCACCAGCAGTCAGAGTTTAAGGTTATCTCTCTTATTCCCTGAACAATTGCTGTTATCCTGTTCTTTTTCCAAGATTCCCATATTTCATATTGCTCAAACACACATGCTGTACAATTTGTGCAGTTAATGCAATTATTACAGGGTCCTGAGGTGATATACATCCCCTCAGCTGACAGGATTAAGAGATTAAAGTAAAGACAGGCATAGGAAATCACAAGGGTATTGATTGGGGAAGTGATAAGGGTCCATGAAATCTTCACAATTTATGTTTAGAGACTGCAGTAAAGAAAGGCATAAGAAATTATAAAAGTATTAATTTGGGGAACTAATAAATGTCCATGAAATCTTCACAATCCATGTTCTTCTGCCATGGCTTCAGCCAGTCCCTCCATTTGGGGTCCCTGACTTCCCGCAACATTTTACATGGTGACCTCATCCTTATCTGACTCAGGAAGGCATCAAATTACTATTTGATACTTTCCATCAGAGGTTTAAGGTGACTGAAGTATGCAACTTAAATAAAGTGAAGATATTGTAGTCTATGTTGGATATTATAGCCTATGTTATGTCTCAGGCCATAGCCCCACTAAGGAGCATACCAATCAATCTTAGGGTACAACCCATCCTGGAAGGTATAACTCCACTAAGAAGCTCATTCACCTCAATGTCAGAGGATAATCTTTCCCTTTTCACTTGGATTTGTGGACAAGCCTCTCAAGGACAAGACTAATTCTGCCCACAACGGAGCTTCTCTCCGCATAACCTATGAGGCAACTGTGAAAGAGATGAACTCTTACAGTAGAAAAAGCCTGCAAGACCGCAAGGCTGCTAGGATTCCCCTGAGCAGTTTCCTGGACATATATACTAGAGTGCAGATGTTTTCGGAGATGGTAGTGGACCATAGGATTATGATTCCACCAACCTGCCATGGGTTGCAGGCCTGGCCCATTAATGGATGCCAGCATACAGAAGAGCATTCAGTAGATTACCACTCTCAGGTCAAGTTCACATCAGCCACAAAGAAAGAAAATATAGTCAGTCAGACTATGAAACCTTTTACAAAGGGACAACATCCAGGAGTCCCTGAGCCACCTAAAGGAAAAGCCTGGGGTGGTGGCACAGGTTGTCCAGCCTAAATGATACCAATCCATTTGGGTCCATTCTCTGCTTGAGTCTTCAGCAAATGATCTTTGTGGTCATGTGATATCTCCTTGGTGACCTTGTACATCCCCAAGGCCTGCTGCCCATATGGGAACAATGTCAGTCCCCTAGAGCCACTTACCACCCATGCCCCTGACACATTGAACATGCTGAAATGTGTTTTGTATCCTGCTCAAATGGCCTAGGCAATGCTATACTACACCTTTTCTTGGTCACTTTGGCAGTGTGAGAGTGATACTCTAAGACGAGTACAGGCTGGGAGCTTTGCCATCAAATGAGGGGGTCTAGACAACCCCTAGCCCATCCTCAGCCTGCCAGAGCCAGTAATAGCAAATGGAGACTTGGATTGCAAAGAGAAGCAAAACTTCCAAACCCAGGTAACTGTACCAAATCCTTGGGACTAGTTAGGGAGTGGCTATCTGACAAAGAATAAGGAAAAGTCCTGACTCCATAACCAAGTCCTGTCTCATACAAAATGGGAAACTTGGGACTGTTTTTGTGGCTAAGGACACTGATGAAAAGGATAAGGAATCCTGGCACATGACCCTGAATATAAGCAGGCAGCTTGTCCATAGGACTCAGTTACAACAACTACTCTACACCACTTTAGATATCTGATGAGCTGAGGCCAATGCAGCCTGACAGCCCTTCCCTGTTCTGTTCCTCCTCTTTGCACACATTCCCTGTTGGCCCAACTGGCAAAACCAACTGGTTGAAACTGCTTTCTCCTCTTTCAACTGCTTTCTCTGGCTTTCAACTTTTCTTGGAGTCAGCCTTTGAAGGTGGCTGAGCCCTGTTCTGCTGCACCCTGGCCAGTGGGGTTACTTGTTATCATTCTGTCTGCTTTCGCTTTCCTGCTTCCTGATATTATGTGAAGGTCTTAGCCAAAGGGGTCTTCCTCCCTCTGTTGTGTCTCAGCAGTTCAATACGAGGTACAAGATCATCCAGCCCCAAGGAGCATTCAAATGGCTGTGGTCCCAGATGACCACAACCTCATGAGAGGCCCTGAGCAAGGACACCCAACTGAGTGGCTCCAAAATTCCTGACCCACACAAAATAGGTGAGATAATTAATAAATATAGTCAGCCCTCCCTATCTGTGGTTCCACATCCATAGATTGACCAACTGCAGACCAAAAATATTTGAAAAAAAAAAATCTACAGATGCAGATGGTTGGATCTGTACTGAACACGTACAAGTTGTTTTTCTCATAATGATTCCCTAAACAATATACTATAGTAACTATTTCATAGCGTTTACATTGTATTGGGTATTGGAAGTAATCTAGAAATGATTTAAAGTATAAACGAGGATGTGTGTACATTATAGGTAAACACTACACGATTTTATAGAAGGGACTTGAGCATCCGTGGATTTTGGTACTACAGGGAGTCCTGGAACCAATCCCTCACAGATACTGAGGGATAATTGTATTTTTGGTGGTTTTTTTTTTGTGTGTGACAGAGTCTCACTCTGCTACCCAGGCTCGAGTACAGTGGCACAATCACAGCTCACGGTAGCCTTGACCTCCTAGGCTCAAGCAATCCTTCTACCTCAGCCTCCGGAGTAGCTGGGAGCACAGGTGCGCACCACCACGCCTGGCTAATTTTTTATTTTTTTGTAGAGACAGGGTCTCACTACATTGCCCACGCTGGTCTCAAACTCCTGGGCTCAAGCAATCCTCCTGCCTTGGCCCCGCAAAATGCTGAGACTACAGGTGTGAGCCACCATGTTTGGCCTATTTTGGGTTGTTTTAAGATGCTAAATATTATGGAGACTGGTTAAGCAGCAATAGATAACTAATAGATATTAGATGGCTGGCATATCACCTAACTACTGATGACACCCAGGACTATTCCCACAACCTCATGGAATTGCACTGGAAGCCCAGGAGCATCTTGCTACCTGTCCTTCAATAAAGCACCTTTGGCTTTCACAACAACCCTACCATATGCAGTTGCTGGGCTATTAATACCTGAAATTTTGAAAATGTACCACTTTGCACAAATGTGCTATGAATGGGGGGGCCCTGGCTCATGAACTCCTCTTCAGCTCCATCACTGTTGAAGGCTGGGGTGTGGGAATTGTTTATCTCATAGCAGAAGTATCTCTGTTATCACAACATGCTTCTTAATTTACCTGAATTTCCAGAATCTGAAATTCAAGTTGAAATGTAACCATGTGGCAATTTCCTGATAATCTGTGTCTCTGTAGAACTTTTCTAATACCTGTAAAGCAGAAAAACAAATATTTTGTTTGCAAATAGCCATTTTCTTCAAATGTGTATTATTTAATTTTGTGTGAATATCTACAATACATGTGGGTATATGTGTGAAAGTGTGCATTAGCAATTACATTGAAAAACTCTGGAAGAACGTAAACCAAATTGATTATCTTTGCAAAATAAAATTAATGATAACTTGTGTTTCTAGTTTTCTTTTTTTTTTTTCCAGAAGGAGTTTCGCTCTTGTTGCCCAAGCTGGAGTGCAATGGTGCGATCTCGACTCGCTGCAACCTCTACCTCCTGGGTTCAAGCAATTCTCCTGCCTCAGCCTCCCGAGTAGCTGGGATTACAGGTGTGCACCACCATGCCTGGCTAATTTTTGTATTTTTAGTAGAGACAGGGTTTCACCATACTGGTCAGGCTGGTCTCAAACTCCTGACCTCAGGTGATCCACCCACCTCGGCCTCCCAAAGTGCCGGGATTACTGGCATGAGCCACTGCGCCCGGCCAAGTTTTCAACTATACCAAAAGTTATGGTAAGTAGTAGAAATGTACTAGTATAACCCTAGACAAATTTGAGTCATGTTAACTGTTCAATGCTTTTTATTTTTTCAACACTATCTAGTACTTAAAGGCAGTAAATTGAATCCATGCGTTCACCTCTGCCATCTCTCAAAACTTCACTAAAATGTCAGTGATATTTTTGAGATATAACATGCATACATTTGAATGCATAAAATGCCCTATTCTTAAGTATACAGCTCAATATTTCTTTTATACATGTGGTTGTTCAGGTAACTACCACTGAGATCATACTACAGGAATTTTACAGAACCTATAAGGTTCCCTCATATCCTTTCCCAGGCTATTCCCTACCCCCAAGAGGTAAGTAAGCACTATCCTGACTTTACGTAGTCATCTAGTTTTGCTAATGACGTTACTTTTAGAAGGGCAAGATTCTACAAGGATAAAGGGAACAGGGAAGATAAGAGCAATCAGATTTGGGAAGCTGGAAATCAGATGGATGCACTAGATAGCACATGGACAAATGAAAGTGACCTGGTAGAGCCAGGAAAACTGAAACCTAAGCCAGCAAATGAGGAAAACCCAGAAGTAAGTTCATTTACATAGCAGAATACGAGACGGGTATTATGAGTCAGCAGCACCAAGTACCTTTATGGGAGGTGAACCTGGGGCTCAAAATAGGAAGACTGGTTAAAGATTTGTTCAATAAGTAGTTAGGAAAAAAAGACAGAATGGTACAAATTGACATAATTTGCTTCCTAATTAGATGTACTGGTAAGAACAAAACATCACTTTCATAGTTTTCCTGCCAAAATTGCACAGGAATGTCATCAAGAGGAAACTATCAGAAAAAAAAGAGATTGAAGAACAATCTATAATACAAGTGGTCTTCAAATATGTCTATGTCGTAAGAGACAGAGAAGAATGACCAGATTAAGGAGACTAAAGAGACATAACAGATAGATGCAATGCTTAATCGTGGATTAGATGTGGAATTGTTTAAACAAATAGCTATGGAAGACTCACTATGGTTAAGATGTCAGTTCTTCCCAACTTTGATCAGTACATTCAATGCAATCCAATCAAAATTCCAGCAAGTTACTTTCTGGATATCAACAAAATGATTATCAAGTTTATACGCAAAGGCAAAAACTCAGGAGAGCCAGAATAAACTTCAAGAAAAATAAAGTTTAAGAACTTAAATGACCTGATTTAGAGACTTACTATAAAGCTACAGTAATCAAGACAGTATGGTATTAGTGAAAGAGTATACAAATAGGTCAATAGAACAGAAGAGAAAGTCTAGAAATAGACTCACGCAGATACAGTCAACTGATCTTTGACAAAGGAGCAAAGGCAGTTCAATGGAGAAAGAATAGTCTTTTTAACAAAAGGTGCTGGATCAACTGAACATCCATATGCAAAACAAAAAAAAAAAAGAATCTAGACACTGACTATACCTTTCACAAAAATTAACTGAAAATTTATCACAGATCTAAATATAAAATACAAAACTATAAAACTCCTAGAATATAGGAGAAAATCTAGATGACCTTGGGCTTTGTCCATAAAAATAAATGTGCCAAAAATGCGGTAAAGAAAAAATGCAGATGGAATCCTGGAAATAATCTACAGCAACCACTTTATTTTGCATATAAGAAATCAGACAGAGAGAGACTTACTAATCTGTCCAATCTCTAGGCTTTATTTTTTCTTTATGTCCAGGCTTTATTTTTTCTTTATAGATGAACACTATGCATACATAAATTGCATATAAATATATAGCATGATAAATTTTCAGTTCAGTACTTTTTAACTTGAACACACTGATTTTTATTTTGTTTTATTTTATTTTATGTTATTTTTGAGATGGAGTCTCGTTCTGTCGCCCAGGCTGGAGTGCGGTGGCACCATCTCCACTCACTGCAACCTCTGCCTCCCGAGCAGCTGGTACTACAGGCATGCCCCACCACGCCCTGCTAATTTTTGTGTTTTTGGTAGAGACAGGCTTCACCATGTTGGCCAGGCTGGTCTCGAACTCCTGACCTCAAGTGATTCGCCCGCCTCGGCTTCCCAAAGTGCTGGGACTACAGGTATGAGCCACCACAACCGGCCTTTTTTTTTGTTTTTTTGGTTTTTTTTGAGACAGGGTCTCACTGTCACCAAGGCTGAAGCGCAGTGGTGCAATCTCAGCTCACTGCAACCTCCGCCTCCCAGCTTCAAGCCATTCTCCTGCCTCAGCCTCCCGAGCAGCTGGGACTACAGGAACACTCCACCATGCCTAGCTAATTGTTGTATTTTTAGTAGAGATGGGGTTTTACCATGTTAGCCAGGCTGGTCTTAAACTCCTGACCTCAAGTGACCTGCCCACATAGGCCTCCCAAAGTGCTAGCATTACAGGCGTGAGCCACTGCACCTGGCCTGATTTTTATTTTTAAATAATGAGTAAGGGTGCATTTTTAACAAAGTTCACAGACAGCAGAAGAGGATTAGTCCTTCAAAACCATCCATACATCAAGCCCATCTACATATTTTTAACAACATACATTTAAAGCTAATCAAAAGACAAGAATAAAAATTATAAATTAAAATACTACTCTCGGCCAGGCGCAGGGGCTCACACCTGTAATCCCAGCACTTTGGGAGACCGAGGCAGGCGTATCACGAGGTCAGGAGATCAAGATCATCCTAGCCAATGTAGGGAAACCCCGTCACTACTAAAAATACAAAAATTAGCTGGGCATGGCACTGCGTGCCTGTAGTCCCAGCTACGCGGGAGGCTGAGGCAGGAGAATTGCTTGAACCCAGGAGGCAGAGGCTGCAGTAAGCTGAGATTGTACCACTGCACTCCAGCCTGGGCGACAGAGGAAGACTCTGTCTCAAAAAAAAAAAAAAAAACCCTACTCTCATTACTTTGCAGTAACACTTAATTTTCGACTCCAAATTCCATTACTTAGTTTGTAAACCGACTCTTACAGAATCAAAATGGAGAATTTAAAAGAATCATCATAGGCACTGAAGGAAATTCCAAAAGAAAGTTCTAAAAAATGTTTGGAGAAATAAAAGCATAGCTGCAATAAAGTCTACATTCTTCACATGATTATTTTGAAGGAAATCAAGATCATTTGATTACCTAGCTTCAGCTACATTCATTAACACACCACAGAAACTGTGTCTGCCCAACTAATAGCTATGGAAAACAATAATGACTTCAAAAAGCTCTTTGATTACGCCACTGCACTCCAGCCCGGGTGACAGTGCAAAACTCCATCTCGAAAAAATAAAACAAACAAAAAACAAAGGAAAAAGAACAAAAAAATAAAAAACAAGATATTTCTCTTCCGGTACCATTACTCTTGCTGAATTACTTGCAATTAATTTCAAGAAACTCCTATAACTACTTAGATTTCTGGCTTTAAAATGATATTTCTTCTTCATAATTTCTATATTTTTCCAAGTTTGCTAAAATGAGCACATATTACTCACAGGAAAAAAGCATTTCAACTCTTGTGATGTCCCTGTCTGAAATCTCCCATTCAAACCACATTAGCTTTGTCAAGACTCTACGCCTAATCTTCATGCTGCGGCTTTTAAGCTAGTAAAAGTCTTATAACTGGCCTATCCTCATTCTCTATTCTCTCTGCATTCCATCTCTTCCTTTCAAGTAATTTAAGTCTCCAAATTCCATCACTCTGTTTCTACATGTAATTCAGTCTCCCTGCAGTGGCTGCCCAAGACCCTCTCCCCTGTCATGAGGGTAATTTTCAGTGGAAAAGTCAGAAAGCACACCAAAAATGATTTCTGCTTTTGGGAATGTTATTCTTGACCAACCAAAGTTCTTGACATCCAGTTGCACAGCTGCAGTAGCTTCCCTTTATCTCTTAGTGCATCACAGATCTTTGGCAATAAAATCTAGTCATTGGGACCAGAAACCTTCCTTCCAGCAAAAGGTCCAGCTGCTAAAATATTTATCTTGGCAGCTTTCATGTCAGTGCTGAACAACTCCTAAGATGTATAAATTAATGGTGCTGTTGTTCTTATAATCATTATTCGCTTATTACTATTTACTTGACTATTAAGGTACTTAATGATAAAAACTGTGTCTGTTCTTTTCCATCAGGAAGGAGAAGGTAAAAAAAAAAAAGAAAGAAAGAAAAGAAACTGTGTCTGTTCTTTAATATTTATCTCAGGCAGCCCTTTTTTTTTTTGTTTTAAATGGAGTCTTGCTCTGTCCCCCAGGGTGGAGTGCAATGGCACAATCTCAGCTCACTGCAACTTCCACCTCCCGGGTTCAAATGATTCTCCTGGCTCAGCTTCCCAAGTAGCTTAGATTACAGGTGCCCACCAACACATCCGGCTAATTTTTGTATTTTCAGTAGAGACAGAGTTGCACCATGTTGGCCAGGCTTGTCTCAAACTCCTGACCTCAGGTGATCTGCATGCCTTGGCCTCCCAAAAGCTGGGATTATAGGCATGATCACGGGGCCTGGCCCAGGCAGCTTTTTGAACACCGTGATGTTCAAAAGATATGTGAGTAAACAAGTTTACCACAACCATACTTTCAAATACTTACCTTGTAGAATTTTAATTCAATATTATGACAACCAATTTCTTATGCATAATAAGGTAAGCTTCCATACTATGTCTAGATTTAAAAAAAATGCTTACTCTTTTCTGTCATCTCAGTGCTTGTTAGGTCTTCTGTCTGCTTGGAGTGATTTCTTATATTGATGCCAGTAAGCGTACTTAGAAATGAAAGTTCTGATTCTAAATGTCCAAGCTGATTTTTCAGATCTTTTGAAGACTTCCATCCTTCCAAATTGAATTGGTGTATGGCTTGAAAAGATTTTCTAAAAGGCAAATATCAAAAATAATCACTCCAATTACTAACACGTGTTTCATCTAATAACCCCATTTTCCTCAAAGCATTCCCATTTTGTCCCTCTTACTCTCTTCCAATTAAGTCACCTTCCCCCATTAAAATAAAAAAAATTAAAAAATTAAAAAGAATTTTCTCAAAACCAGTGTGGTTACTAACACCACCACTTTTTTTTTCTTTCTTCCTTTTTAAGAGATGAGGGTCTTACGCTGTCACCCAGCCTGGAGTGCAGTGGTGTAATCATAGTGCACTGCAGCCTTGAACTCCCAGGCTCAAAGGATCCTCCTGAGTAGCTGGGACCACAGGTATGCCACTGTGCCTAGCTAATTTTTTTTTCCTTCTCATAGAGACAAGGTCTGGCTTTATTACCTAGGCTGGTCTTAAACTCCTGACTTCAAGCAATCCTCCCGCCTCAGTCTCCCAGCGTGCTGGATTACAGGCGTGATCCACCATGCCCAGCCCACAATCTTTAATTTCAACAAAAAACATATGTAACCAAATTATACTTCCAAATTTCCACATATTAGAAACACCTTTCAAATAAATTATAACAGGACTACTTTGCAAAATTACAATGTGTGTTCTGACCCATGAAATTCCAGCCTAAATGTCTGATATATCTCTCAAATTATTTTAAAAGATGTCTTGAAATTAAAAAATAGGCCAGGCGCCGTGGCTCACGCCTGTAATCCCAGCACTTTGGGAAGCCAAGGCGGGTGGATCACGCGGTCAGGAGATCAAGACCATCCTGGCTAACACAGTGAAACCCCATGTCTACTAAATATACAAAAAATTTGCCAGGCGTGGTGGCAGGCGCCTGTAGTCCCAGCTACTCGGGAGGCTGAGGCAGGAGAATGGTGTGAACCTGGGAGGCGGAGCTTGCAGTGAGCAGAGATTGTGCCACTGCACTCCAACCTGGGCGACAGAGCGAGACTCCCTCTCAAAAAAATAAAAAAAGAAAGAAATTAAAAAATAAAATCAATTAGCTAACTTTAATTTCTAAAAGTAAACACCACAGAACGTTTTATAGTAAGAAAGAGATTTATCGGAAAAAGAAATAGCAAATCTCTTTAAACATCACTATGGCCAGACATTCTTCATTGAGAACATATAAATATATTTTCCTTGAGAAAAAGAATGAAATTTTAGTTGGCCTGGCGCAGTGGCTCACGCCTGCAATCCCAGCACTTTGGGAGGCCAAGGCAGGTGGATCACTTGAGGTCAGGAGTTCGAGACCAGCCTGGCCAATATGGTGAAACCCCTTCTCTACTAAAAATACAAAAAATTAGCCTCGAGTGGTGGCGGGTGCCTGTAATCCTGGCTACCCAGGAGGCTGAGGCAGGAGAATTGCTTGAGTATGGGAGGCAGAGGTTGCAGTGAGCCAAGATCACGCCACTGTATTCCAGCCTGGGCAACAAAGTAAGACTCTGTCTCAACAAAAAAAAAAAAAAACAAAGAAAAGAAAAAAAAAACTTAAACTTTTTTAAAAAAAGAAATTTTAGCTAATAATTGTATTAGATGGTATTTTTTTTTTGTCATCCATTATTTCCTTTAAACACTCTGCTACATTCTATACTGTTGACTTTTCCGGCCAGCTTAAAACATCTCTTCCTTGGATTCTTGGGCATAATTATCCCAATTCTCATTTGCTATCTAGGGTCAGCTTCTTGTCTCCAACATTAGAGGAAAACCCTAACACTCTTACTTCTGCTATCCTAAATATGTATTCTTTCATTCTGCAGGAACACTAAATGATTAGCCTTAGCTCCTCTATGCCAGTAACTCTTAAAATATACCTCTAACCATGTATCTCTTCTTCCTGCAAGGTAGATCTAGCTTGATAGCTCACCAAATCGTTTCTCTTGGAATCTGCTTTTCCTCTAAATTACCCTACATTTGTTAATAATAAAATATTTCCCTTGGTATGTCAGGCTCTATACCTTGGAAGTTATCCTTGACTCCTTCACTTGCCTGACATCTGGACTTACTGCCATCCGTTCTGCTCCCTCACATAACTATTCTTCCTTTTGTATTTCTAATTCTACTACATTAACCAATGCTCTTATGACCTTATACCATCTCTACACAGAATAATCTAACTCTATATTCTTCACACTGAGAATCCAAGACTTAATAAAGTCTGTAAAATTTGTCTCAAATTTTGTTTTAATGCTAATTTAAAATGTTAATATAAGTATATTCTGTATCATGAAACTACCACAGCTTCTTTTGCATTTGCCATCATAGACTGATGCCCCTACAAATTACATTAAATATAGAAGTCAAGGAAAAAAGAACAGATTGGGCACAGCGACTCACTCCTGTAATCCTGAGGCAGCCCAGGAGTTCAAGACCAGTCGGGCCAACATGGTAAAACCCCATGTCTACCAAAAAATACACACACACACACACACACAAAATTATCTGGGCATAGTGGCAGGTGCCATGCCTTCAGTCCCAACTACTTGGCTGGTGGAGGGTCGCTGAGGCAGGACGATTGCTTGAGCATGGGAGGTGGGTGAAGGTTGCAGTGAGTCATAATCATGCCACTGCACTTCAGCATGGGCAACAGAGTGAGACCCTCTCTCAAAAAACAAAACAAAAAAGAAAAAGAAAAAGAAAAAAGAACAGAGACAATCTTCATATATAAATGATGTGCGGCCGGGCACGGTGGCTCACGTAATCCCAGAAGTTTGGGATGCCGAGGTGGGCAGATCACCTGAGGTCAAGAGTTCGAGACCAGACTGCCCAACATGGCGAAACCCCATCTCTAGTAAAAATACAAAAAATTAGCTGGGCATGGTGGCGGGTGCCTGTAATCCCAGTTACTCGGGAGGCTGAGGCAGGAGACTCCCTTGAACCCAGGGGGCGGAGGTTGCAGTGAGCTGAGGTTGCGCCACCACACTCCAGCCTGGGCGACAAGAGCGAAACTCCGTCTCAAAAAAAAAAAAAAAAAAAGCCATAAATATAAATGAGCTTCTGACAAGTGAACACCAAATGTCACAGCAAACTATGAAGGAAAATTTCAAGGTATTTCCGATAGAGCAAAGTGGTAAGAGAACCAAGTCATCATTAAAGGCTGGATATGCAGAACTCAAAAAAGAACCTGCAGTTGTCAGAGTGGCTAGTAGGGAGTTCGTGTTTAATAGGTATGGTGTTTCAGTTTAGGGGTGATGAAAAAGTTCTGAAGATGGACAGTGGTGATGGCTGTACAACAATGTGCATGTGTTTAATGCCATTGAGCTGAACGCTCAAAAATGGTTAAAATAGTAAATCTTATGTATATTTTGCCACAAAAAGAAAATCTGCATATTCTTATTCATAGCAGTTATTTAGTTTGAGCAAAATATTTGTGTATTTCAACTAATGATGTTAGTTTGAGCTATTTTGGATTTGTTTGAATTTTATTCACTTTGTGGTTTTATTATTTGTAAGTTTGTCCTCATAACATAAAAATTTTTTGTCAGAATTAGGAGCTTGCAAGAATTTTTTTTCCTTTAAAATCAATCTGTACACGAGTTTAAAGGTCAATGGTCTACTAATGAGTGTTAGTTACTATTATGAGGCAAGTACTCTTCTAAATGAACTACATATATTAACTCAATTAGTCCTCACAGCAACCCAAAAACTTGGGTATAATTTTACCACGGAGGAAACTGAAGCACAGAAAGGGGGAGCTCACTTAACCAAGATCACTCAGCCAATAGCAGAGACAGGATTTGAAAGCAGGCAATTTGGCTCCACAGTGTGGACATATGGATATAGCTGAATAATTTAGCTCCAATTTTCCTACCTCCAATCCATCCAACCACTTATAATCACTTAAAAAAATAGCTTGGTACATAGGTTCCAATCCTCCTCCTCCACTATAGTGAAAAGAAACCTCACGGTTAAATCCAAACACCCTGGACTGACATTTAATGTCTCCCACAATCTGGACTCTTCTGACTTTCCAATTTAACCACTGAGAAGTCCCAGATTATATAAATAATCTACTAAGAACTAAAAATAAAATCCTACCCCACCCCCACAATCACCTGAACCGACTCCCTCTTGGTCAAGGGGACCCCAAAGAAACCTTAAAAACTCAGTTCTTAACCATGACAGGATGGGAGGTCAGACACACCTCGTTATACCCCTTCCTATTTGGGATGTAGACACAACAACTGACCAGCATTAATGTTAAAATAGAGATCGTAAGAGTTGCAGAACGGACTCTGTGGCAATAAGATACCAAATTATAAACAAGACCTAAGGCCATGCCAGGCAAGGGTTAAGTCACATACCCCCTACCTTTAAAAGAATGAACTATGTTCTAACTGCCACAATATTTTTTTCACTAGCACTGGCCTCCAGATAAGCAATATTGAAATAATTGCAGTTCATCCACCACCAGATGCTAACTGATTCCCCTGTTCCACAGGCTTTGATAGGACAAGAGAATGATTTCAAAAATTTTCTTTTGATAAGATCACCAACCATGGACTTGTTCTAACAGGTTTACAAGGCCTGTGTACTTAAGTACCTTTGCTTCCCTCCTTCAACTTTTGACGTACAGGGCCTAATTGTAATGCATTTAAATATTAAGTCAGCTTCCCAAAATGAATATGGAGTGCATGTAATATGCATTTTTATTCAGTACAGGTGAGCACATCTCCCTTCGTGAATATTCATAGCCCCTCCTATAACCTGTTGAATATGTATACCTAGCCCACTCATACAGCATAAATCCCTGCCCCAACCCCTCCTCCTCCAAAGTGTGGGCCTTTCTGCTTTGCCTGAGACTATGCTTCCTAGCCTGTCAGGATGGCCACTTTGCAGACTGTAACCCTTTTTAAGAAATAGTCTCTCTAAATTTGCAGATCTCATGATTTTTCAGTTGACACTACTATGGGGACTAATGAAATCTTGTGGCCAGTAAAGAAACTATTTTTCCCTGGTTCTTAAACTTCCAAGTGTGCACACAAATCCTCTGTTAGGGCAGTGTATTTTTTTAAAATGCAGATTCTGATTCAGTAGGTCAGGATGTCGCTCTAACAAACCGCCAGGTAATGCTAAAGCGTCCCATCTGTGGAGCACACCTCAAATAGCAAGGGTCTTTAATACATTTACTCTCATTTGTGGAGGAGCACACCTTTTTCCTCTCCCTTTAACCAGTCACAGCTTCCTCTACTTTCATGACCGCACGCAGACATTTTCTGTAGATCTCCTCCTTCCCATTTTCTACCAATTCTTCTCCAGTTAGCTCAGGAAAAATCCCATTCTTTCTGCACCTATGTCAAATTACTCTTGACTCAAAAATTGAAGACAGTTTATGTTTTCGAGAGGCTTCTATGTTTGAGATGATAATACATAATTACGGTTGCAGAGCTTTTCTCTCCCTCTCCTTCAATAAACCAAAAGTGCCCAGACTTTGGAGTAAAATTTTTGGGTCCCAATCCATCTCTGACAATTCCTTTCTCTGGAACCTTGGACAAGCTACCTAACTTCTCTGAGCCTCAGTTTCTTCAACTATAAAACAGGGCTAACAGTAGCACCTACCTCAGAGGAATGTCAAATTCTCCTGCAGTCTATATTAACTACTTTTCTTTTATCAACTTAGTTTTTTACCGAAGTTATTTTTCAAAGGAATTTTTATGTCATCGTAAACACAAAGTCATTATCAGTTGAGATGGTTAGCTGACCTACCAAAACAAATGCCATGAAACCAAACGGAGTTATTAAATCCCAACTAGAGATACTTCTGCATACTGGAGGCGGAATTATCTAGCTAGGGATATAGTCAAGACTTCCTCCTTGTCAGTCATCCACACAGACGACTGCGATTAAACGAGTTAATACCCTGCAATGCGTTTACAGCTGGGCGCCGTACGCGCTGCTCCCAACTCTAGGCCATCGTCATGACAGGATCAATGCCAGTTCATGCCCACTTTCTAGGGCTGGGAGTAGGAGACCGAGGATGTCTGTGGAGATTCACCCGCCTGGCCCGGGAACCCTGGCCAGCGGGCCCTGGGGGACTTGGGGTGGTCACGTACTGGACTCGGGACTTCTCTTCCCAGGGCGCCGGTGGGTCCTCACACGCTCGCCGCAGGGCCGCGATCTCAGCTTGCAAGGCGCGCACCTCTGCCAGCTCTGCGTCCATGGCGCGTTGCTGACCGCAGCCGGGCCGGCAGCGCAGCTGTCACTCCGACCTGCGCGCTTCACCCGCGCTTCAAGCCTCGCGCGCGCTCCCGGCGCGGACCATCCCAGAGCTCACGCGGAGGGGAGGCGGGAGAGCTCCGCGTGACCCCAGCGGCCCTGCACGTCCAACTCCGCTCTCGCACGAGAGCCTGAGTCCTCCACTTCCCCGCACACGTTTCCCTGGCTGTCTAAGCAGTGGCTATACTTTCTCTGGAGAGCGCGTTCTTTGCTACTCCAAGCCCAAGCGCTCCGCTGCTCACCCTAGCCGGCAGCCTTGGAGCCGCCCGGCCGCGTGCCTCACTAAAGAGGCAGGGCTGGGATCACGTGGAGGGGAGCGCCTCTTTATTTTTTTCACCTACTTCCTCTCTTACGCCGACCTAGTCCAGGAATTGGTACACACAGCGATAGTGTTCAATAGAAACTAGGGGATTTTGGTTTAGGCTCTTTTGCAGTCGTTGAGGGGGAGGTGACGGAGGCGTCAGGGAAGGTGGGAGGACGGAAAAGGAAATTAAAAGCTCTTGGGAACTGAATTGTGGTAACGGAACCTTAGGAGGCTGGGTTGGAAATCGAGTAGGAAGGAAGAGAGGATGCTCCGTTGGGACACGTGACCAGAAGTTAGGGGCTGCAGCGGCGCTGGCTTTAGGTGAACGACGTGGTGAGGAGTGGGTTTCGGGCATGAGAAGTCACAGGGCCGTTTCCTAGTCTCTCTTCACTTCTTTGGGTCTTCTCAGAGAAAGAAGGCTGCCGTGGGTAGGCTGGGGGCGGAGACTATCGGGAAGAGGTAGGCCGAAGTTCTGCCCAGAATACACGCCATGTGGTGGACGCTGGTTGGGAGTCTCTTCTGGAAAGAGTCTGTCAGCTCTTGGGGAAGGGAAGGGCGAGAGCTGAGCGCCTGCCGGGTGCTAAACGAAATGAGAGATACTATGATGGGCCCTAGTACCTCTGGAAAAGTTTTCCTGAGTCCCCTGTGATACAGCAACCTTCATAGTATAGTGTTAAGAATTCCAAGTTCTGAAGGTAGACCTGCATTATAATCCTGGATTCACTAATTTTCGGTATGGCATTGAGGAAGTGACTTAACCTCTTCTGCTCTCCTGAAAAATGGGAAACATGCAAACTACTTTGTACAATGCAGGCACATAGCAAAAACACAAGTCTGTATTCGCTATATCCCTTGATCTTTGTGTCTGAACCCCACTTTGCAGCACTTTTATTGTGACATAATATTGTGCCATTTGTTTTATTCTTTTGTGACTATAAGGAGCTCCTAGCCTCTCTATTCACTTCTTTGGGTCTTCTAGGAGGAAGAAGGCTGGGGTGGGTAGGTTGGGGGTGGAGACAATTAGGAAGAGGTAGGCTAGCTCTTTTTATCTTTTAGTGCGTTACATCCTGTTTCTGTCAGACTTTGTTAAAGACAGTAAATGAATGTATGAGTGAGTCAAGGAAAAACATCTAAAAACATGAATACATAAAATTAAGAGGGATAGAGTGTAATATTATGGCCATTTGGAGGAAAAAAACTCTGTCTGTACCTGTGTCTATATGGGTATGGGGTTGCTGTTCCAAAGTGCATTCATGAAAGATGTGGATGTAGGGCTTGGGCAAAACCTCGAAGACTAAAATTTGGAAGTAATACAATAGGAAGTGAAATACAGATCCAGGAGACGGATTTGATACAGAAGGTTCAGAGGAAGTAGTTGTTTTGTTAGATTTTAGAAGAACTAAGGGAAAGAACTCTTCTCTGTATACAGAAAATTACTTTTCCCACTGAAACACACCCAAGTATATGCCCAGCCTTCATGAAAGTGAACAGAGAAACGAAGCGCCTTTATGTGGGTGGCCTTAGCCAGGACATTTCTGAGGCAGACCTACAAAATCAGTTCAGCAGATTTGGAGAAGTTTCGGATGTGGAGATCATCACACGGAAAGATGACCAAGGTAATTTATGGTCCTTCACTGGGCAGTTATAGGCAGACATAACTCAGGTTAAGTGCTAGAAAATAAAACAACCCCAAGATAAATGTTAGCTCTGAACACCAAAAGTTTTAAGTGATGTTGTGGAGGTATAATGTGTGATGTGGAACTTGACCAGAATTTGTTTCTGAAATAAGAAAAAATTCCAAATTCTAAAACATCTGATTTCAGAAACATATTAACTTCCAGTTTTGAGAACTAGAATTTTCTAACATGGATTAAGTGTCCCGTTAAGTAGACTATCACTAGCATACAATCAAAATGTTTCCTTATCTGACTACTGGACATTTTCTTCTTTTTTTTTTTGGAATATTTTGATAATTATGCTTATTTTTATAGCCAATAAAAAACAAGGTTTATCTTTGAAATAATAAGTTTTCAAGAGCTATTTTTTTTTTTAATTTAGAAACAACCGTTTTTACATTGCTCTCTGGATAAGAATTTAAATAAATTGTTTTGTTTGTTTGTTTGTTTGTTTTTTAGGAAACCCACAGAAAGTTTTTGCATATATCAACATCAGTGTAGCAGAAGCGGACCTGAAAAAATGTAAGATCATCATATATTTTCTATACTGTTTGCCAGTTTGTATGACTCTGTAACTTGGAATAACTGGTTCTAAATCTAAACCTCCACAGCCATTTTTCACGTTATCCAGAGGGACAGCAGTGATGAAGAGAATTCCAGTATCGTATAACTCAGCAGGTTTAGGTCCATTCCATTTGGCATCAGCAGACATGGTAGCACTTTACTGGTGGGTTTACTTAAAACTGCTATTCTCAAATATTTTGGACAAGGGACCAAACTTTCATAGAAACTGCCTGTTACATATATCCCACTGAATATCATGCCACATTCCCCCTCAGTCTGATCATTTCTTTGACAGCTAATCCTTGTCACTAAACACTCTTGAGGGGGCTTTAAAATACACCCTTGTAAGACCGTATCCTTGAAATTGTGAAATCTCTTGTTGATAAGTTTAGTAAAGTCAAGGGCAAACAGTGGCCTTCAATGAAGAATGGGAGATAATCCATACTGCCGCTGACACAGTAACATATTCTAGTTATTTGGAGGCCAAAAAGTGAAAAAAGACACGGAAAATAAGTAAAGGGAACACGCTAATAGAGGAAGAGGGCAATCAGTCTTTTGTAATTTCATTTGCGAAAAGATTGCTTTATTCTATTTTACATTGAGGAATATATGTGATAAATGTGAAGTTGTGGTTAAGAATACATCAACTAGGCTTTGTGACCTGTGGCAAGTTACTTAAACTTCTCAGCCCAAGTTTGCTTATGTGATGAATGACAAAAGATAGTGCTTGCCTCATAATATTTCTGTGAGAATTAAATTAAATGATACATTTGCAATACTTTGGGAGGCTAAGGCAGGTGGATCACTTGAGGTCAGGAGTTTGAGACCAGCCTGGCCAACATGGTGAAACCCCATCTTTACTAAAAATACCACAATTAGCTGGGTGTGGTGGCAGACACCTGTAATCCCAGCTACTTGGGAGGCTGAGACAGGAGAATCACCAGGGAGGCAGAGGTTGCAGTGAGCCAAGATAGTGCCACTGCACTCCAGCCTGGGCGACAGAAGGACACTCTGTCTCAAAAAGAAAAGATAAATTTGTACTTAGTACAGTATCTACCACCTACAAAATTCTGTTAATGGTATTATTAAGGAAGCTGACGGCAGATGCTCAGAGAAATCAATTACTACGGCATAGTAATTCAAACAGTTCAGTCACTCATAGTTAATTCATCTGCAAGTTCTACAGTGATAATTAGTATGAGGTGATAAATAAAATTAAGGTGCTGTAGGATTCCAGAGTGTCCTCTGATTCACCTGAAAAGATGATTGTTTTATAGTTACAGGAAATATATGTTTTATAGTTACAGGAAATAACAATAAAATATACATTAAATATCAGTTATTCAGAGGTTCCTGACATTTGTTTACAAACAAATTGCAAATAAATTTTGCTTTACTTTTTACACATTTTGCCTCATTCCAATCTAGTAACACTGTGAGATAGGGAGTGTAAAGACTCTTTTGGTAAGTTGTCAAGATGAAACAAGAGCCTAGGCTCCCTCTCTCCAGGTCTCATTTCTTTTCTTCCACTTCCCCTGGATCTCTTTGTGATAAACAAGCCTGCTTTTCTTGATACTAAATAATTAGAAAAAGCACAAGCTGAAATATATTTTTACATTGCCATGTACTTGTAATAATTCTTTACTTTATAGGTATGTCTGTTTTAAATAAAACAAAATGGAAAGGTGGAACATTACAAATTCAACTAGCAAAAGAAAGCTTTCTGCACAGGTAAGTTTTGCTCCACATGGATTTAAGCCCTATTTTTTTTATATTGTAAGTGGTTTTATATATTATTTCAAATTATCAAGTAATATAGTATTATATTCTTAACAAATTCAAACATATAAGTAGAGCTGAAATCCCTTTCAACTCTGAATCCCCTTCACCCCAGACGAACAAAAAGGATAATTTCATGCATTTACGTATGTATGTAATAAGCTATAAAAGTATATATGTACTTATTTTCTCTGTTAATGAGCTATAAAAGCATATATGTACTTATTTTCTCTTTGTTAACACACCCTTTTGTGGCAATGTAGATCTTCTCCCTTTATAACAATTGTTAGTAGTATTTCAGAAAATGGTTATACCACAATGTAGTGGTCCCTTCCCACTGATGACTGTTTCTACTTTTTCATGGTCATAGATGATCCTGGAGCACATATCCTATGTATATGCAGGTGTTTCTCTCAGTTTATATCAGAAAATGGAGTTGCTGAATCTTAGCATTGTCTGCATTTAAATTTTAGTAGACTACTAAATTGCATATGTTGATTTTGACTGTTAATGCTAGTGTCATACCAAAATATAAAGGAAATAGGAGATCACTGTATGACAGGCATAAGAGTGATTATGCAAGTGATTTAAGAGCAAGACAATGTATTATAAAAACCATTAGAGCTTTTAAAATCCTAAAGGTATTTTCAGGAAGAAAAGGTATTGTTGGGGAGTTTTCAAAATAGGAAACAATTTAAGAATATACAGATAGAGGCCGGGCACGGTGGCTCACGCCTGTAATCCCAGCACTTTGGGAGGCCGAGGCGGGTGGATCACCTGAGGTCAGGAGTTCAAGACCAGCCTGGCTAAAGTGGTGAAACCCCGTCTCTACTAAAAATACAAAAATTAGCTGGTTGTGGTCATGGGCTCCTGTAATCCCAGCTACTTGGGAGGCTGAGGCAGGAGAATCACTTGAACCTGGGAGGCGGAGGTTGCAGTGAGCCTACATTGTGCCATTGCACTCCAGCCTGGGCAACAGGAGTGAAACTCTTGTCTCAAACAAAAAAAAAGGAAAAAAAAAAAAGAATATACAGGTAGAATGACCAGGAGAGTTGATAAGCTTGTTCCAGACCAATGAAATGTAACAAGAACAGATATATTCTAAAACGAGTGGCAAGCAACCTACTTTGAGGCATGTTTTGGGGGACTGGCCTTATGAAAAAGGTGAGAATTTGATTTTGTTCTTCAGCTGAAGCCTAGGACTGTGAACAGGGTGGTTATATACCTTTCATTCCAGCAGCAGTTGCCAGCCTACTGTGTACAGGCACTAGAGCCCCATGCTGAGCAGGTTGAGCACACAGTGCTGCTGCTTGGAGTATCTGCGTGGATATGCCTGAGAAGCATGGGTCTGATGGTTATTCTGGGACATAAAGGAGACAGACCAGAGGCAAAGAGGCCAGTGAGGACTGCTCTGTGCAGTTGTCCAGGCCTGAAGAAGGTGGCGGTGATTTGAATCAGAAGAGGTGGCATTCTCTTCATTAGGAGGATATGGATAATCAAGACCTAACAAATTGGGCTCCGAAAGATACCTTCGTCATGGGGAAGAGTGAATGGAGAGAAGATAATATAAAATGCCAAACGTATATAAATTGAAAGGGGAAAATTGAGAGAACTTGCGATCCATGGTCTTGGTCTTCCATAAAGGGGAACTGGGACATCCACTGGAGCAGAGCACAGGTATAAGCGTGCATGTCAGGGATTTGGGAGACTGACTGTAGTGTAGTGGATGGGCTAAGAAAAGAACCCTCATGCTCTGGTGGGACAGCCCTGACAGCACAGCTTGTCACTGCTGTCCAACCGTATAGCTCAGTTGCTGGTGGTAAGGGACTGGTCAATAAACTACAGTAGATTGATGGAAAGGCATGTTGTACAGCAATCATAGTGATGTTTTCAAAGAACGTATAAGTTGATAAATGAAGTGTACCCAACTGTGCTTATGATATTTGGATTACATTATAAAATATGTATATTTACATACAGAACAAAGATGAAGTTAAGTAAACAAAATATTAACAAGATGAGGGATAAGGAATATGTTTTGTTTTCTTAACGGTTCTGTCTTCCAGTATTCTATAATAAAAACATTGTATGTTCAGATAAGTAGGTAAGCTATTATGCTACTAAGAAAGCATTTTTGTTTTATTTTGGTTTTTAATACTACAAAGCTGTTTATAGTGCTCATTTAGGCACACCTAAAGTGAAATAACCATTTTACGTGGCTGATTATTTTGACTCTTTTATTTGTATTTTCTTTTTGATTCAGATTGGCCCAAGAGAGAGAAGCAGCAAAAGCTAAGAAAGAAGAATCAACAACAGGTAACGCCAACTTGTTAGAAAAGACAGGAGGAGTGGATTTCCATATGAAAGCTGTGCCAGGGACAGAAGTGCCAGGGCATAAGGTGAGTCTCCTCTGTAGCCTGAGCCAATTACATGGTCTTGGAAACTGATGCCTGAGATCACGTGATTGTGGGTGTCATGTCTAAAACCAGTTACTCTTTTCCCCTTTCTTGGAGGCAATTAACATAGATAGGACTTTATGATTTTCAAGGTGCATTTACAACTCTTAGGTAAGCATAGTTCTCCATCATTTTACAGAGAAAGAAATCAAAACTCAAGCAGAGGTGGACTTTCAAGGGACATAGGTAGCAAGGAATACAGGCAGGTCCCAAGTTTGCCTGTTCAAATTAGCAGCCAGTGTTTTTTGTAAACCATCTTACACGGTTTACTTGGGATTGATAGCTGCTCCAAATCTTCCTTTTTTTTTCTTTCCTCTCACAATTTTTCTCTTTGGTAACTCTTATTTCATTGTCAGAAAACTAAACCCAACAGTAATCATAGCCCACTGATTTTTTTGTTGTATTTACCTAATATTGTTATTAAATCTTTTCCATTTGTGTCACATATAGTAAATAAATTCTTTTTTTTTCTTTTAGAATTGGGTTGTGAGCAAATTTGGAAGAGTCTTACCTGTTCTTCACCTTAAAAATCAACATAAACGTAAAATATCCTTTGGCCTCTCAACATAATTATTTACCACAGTGACGGATACTTGTAAAATACCTTTAGCATTTCACTGTCTCTTATCAGTGAATCTTTAGGTGTTTGTTTGCGTGTTCCCAGTTTCTTGGTACTCACCTACATGTATGAAACAATTAGAGCATGAGAAAATGGATTGAGGTTTTATACAATAAGTAATTCAAATGATGAGTGCCAAAGAAGCAGGTTGGTTTATTAATTTATTCATATTGTCATACATGGATTCAAAGCCATTGCTGAAGGAGCTAAAGAGGGGTGAGAGACCCAGAGACCATCATTAAAGAAGGCTTTAGAATTGAGGTAGGTTTTGAATTAATAAGAAGTGATGGGAAGTAGTCTTGGGAGTAGGAATAGTAGATAAAAATATGTGGGCAAGCACGAGGATGGTGGGTTGAGAAATAGTTTGGAGCAGAGTGTGAGCAAATTCTAATGCCTATTCAGTGAGGTCACATTGTCTAAGACCTTGAAGACCTGGTATCATGGAATTCTGAGCAGTGTGTCTTAATGTATTCTTTTTTTTTAATCTTTTTTTTTTTTTTTTTTTTTTTTTGAGATGGAGTCTTGCTCTGTCCCCAGGCTGGAGTGCAGTGGCACAATCTTGGCTCACTGCAGCCTCTGCCTCCTGGGTTCAAGCAATTCCCCTGCCTCAGCCTCCCAAGTAGCTGGGACTACAGGTGTGTGCCACCACACCTGGCTAATTTTTTTGTATTTTTACTAGAGACGGGGTTTCACCATGTTGGCCAGGATGGTCTTGATCTCCTAACCTTGTGATCTGCCCACCTTGGCCTCCCAAAGAGCTGGGATTACAGGCATGAGCCACCGCACCTGACCGTCTTGATGTATTCTTTAGCTTGTAACCCTGGTGTCAGTCAGTAAGGGGAACAGTAGCAGGTATTTGAAACAGAGGGATTATAATATATGCAGTTAGTTAAACAAGTGCTGGAGGAGCAAAAGCCAAAGGTCAGATTCCCCACTGATTGACAACTGCAGTAAACCACTACCCCACTGGGACTAGAGAAGCAAAAACGTGTGTCCTCTGAGCTCACAGCTACTGTGCCACTGAAACCACTACTACCTGAATCCAGGCCCTAGTTGCACCGGACATAGCTGTGACCTCTGCCCTCCCTACAAGTGGCTCAAAGTCAGGAAAGTACTGATTTCTTCTTTTCCACTTTCCAGCTTTCCACCAATGGCAGCTGCTGATGGCAAAGAGGAAGATATTGAAGGACAGTAGAGACAATAGACACTTTTTGGCACACCTCACATATAACTGGCACATATAAGTAGTTATTGAAAAAAGGGACTTTCAAGAGTAATCGCTTAAGGTGGGGTGCAGTGGCTCACACCTGTAATCCCAGCACTTTGGGAGGCCACTGGGGGATCACTTGAGCCCAGGTGTTTGCGACCAGTCTAGGCAACATAGTGAGACTGTAACTCTACAAAAAATATTAATAAAAGAAAAATCAGGCTGGGCCCGGTGGCACATGCCTGTGGTCCCTGCCACTGGGGAGGCTGAGTTGGGAGGATCACTTGAGCCTGGAAGGTTGAAGCTGTATTGAGCCACGATCATGCCGTGGCACTCCAGCCTGGGTAGCAGTGAAACCCTGTCTCAAAACAAAAAAGAGTGATAGCTTAAAGCACCTTAATACTTGCCTATTCATATGCTTTAGGGAATCAGCAAATGACAGCCATCATTACAACACATCGATGTTAACTAGAATCTTTCCCGGATAGTGTCGACATAGGCCTGGTAAAGATTTATTAGATTTTTTTTAATTTTTAATTTTTATTTTTAAGACAGGTTCTCACCATGTTGCCCAGGCTGGTCTCGAACTCCTGGGCTCATGTAATCGGCCCACCTCGGCCTCCCAAAGTGCTGGGATTACAGGCATGAGCCACCGTGCCCAGGCCAGCTTTCTAATAAAGACCTAAAAATGTTGCAGAGAGTGAGTTCATGTGAAGTGGATGTTATTCAGCTAGGAGAATCAGAGTTAGGATGAGTAAGAACTGAGAGAACAGAAATAGCCAAAAGAATTTGAGAGTAAAGGACACACATGTGGCCATGTCCTCTGGGTTCTCCTGAACCCAGAACTTTGCTTTACTGTATCAGTTCGATGGTTGGATTTCTGTGATTTACAGAAAATAGCCCTGAGACCTGTGTACCTATAATATAATCTGAATAGGTTTGCTATAATATCCACATACACTCCAAGTAATTTCTGCCAACTAATAGTGGTGGTACTAGACTTTAACTCAGCAAATGTCATAGAAAGCTCAGTTTCTTAGACCCTGAAAGGTAACCTAGTTAAGTCCTCATTTTCTTTTACAGGAAACTGAAAGGGGGGGGAAATGACTTATTTGAGATTAAGCAATATTTTTTGTATCAAAGATTGATGAGTTTTCCTAAAACCAAGTGCTTTAGTTTTGTTTCTTGACTTGCGTAACATCATCAAATATGATCCCTCAAAATACTGCCACAACCTGAAGAAGATAGGGGAGGATTTCTCAAACACCATTCCTATATCCAGCCTGACTTGGGAATTAGAAGGAGGGAATGACCCTATGAGTAAGAAACGGCGAGGAGAGTTCTCTGACTTTCATGGCCCTCCCAAGAAGATAATAAAAGTGCAGAAGGATGAGAGTTCCACTGGGTCTCTGGCCATGAGTACAAGGCCCAGGAGGGTAATAGAGAGACCACCCTTAACACAGCAACAGGCTGCACAAAAAAGAACTTGTGATTCCATTACTCCTTCTAAATCATCTCCTGTACCTGTTTCTGATACTCAGAAACTTAAAAATCTACCTTTTAAGACTTCTGGCTTGGAAACTGCCAAGAAGAGAAACAGCATTTCTGATGATGATACTGATTCTGAAGATGAATTGAGAATGATGATTGCGAAAGAGGAAAACTTACAGAGAACTACACAACCCTCAATAAATGAATCTGAAAGTGATCCTTTTGAAGTTGTAAGGGATGATTTCAAATCAGGCGTTCACAAACTGCATTCTTTAATAGGTTTAGGTATCAAAAATCGTGTCTCTTGCCATGATAGTGATGATGATATTATGAGAAATGATCGTGAGTATGACTCAGGAGATACAGATGAAATTATTGCGATGAAAAAAAATGTTGCTAAGGTCAAAAACAGTACAGAATTTTCACAAATGGAAAAATCTACGAAGAAAACTTCTTTCAAAAATAGAGAAAACTGTGAGCTTTCTGATCACTGTATTAAACTACAAAAAAGAAAAAGCAATGTAGAGTCAGCCCTCAGTCATGGATTAAAGTCTCTTAATCGTAAATCTCCCTCTCACTCCAGTAGCAGTGAAGATGCTGATTCTGCATCAGAATTAGCTGACTCTGAAGGAGGTGAGGAGTATAATGCCATGATGAAAAACTGCCTTCGTGTGAATCTCACTTTAGCTGATTTGGAACAATTGGCTGGCAGTGATCTGAAGGTTCCAAATGAAGATACTAAGAGTGATGGACCAGAAACCACCACCCAATGCAAGTTTGACAGAGGCTCCAAGAGCCCCAAGACTCCCACTGGCCTCCGCAGAGGCCGACAGTGTATTCGTCCTGCGGAGATTGTGGCTTCCCTGTTAGAAGGAGAGGAGAACACCTGTGGCAAACAGAAACCAAAGGAAAACAATTTAAAGCCAAAATTTCAGGCTTTCAAGGGAGTAGGCTGTCTATATGAAAAGGAGTCAATGAAAAAATCCTTGAAAGACAGTGTTGCCTCTAACAATAAAGATCAGAATTCCATGAAACATGAGGATCCCAGTATCATATCCATGGAAGATGGGTCCCCATATGTTAATGGCTCATTAGGTGAAGTGACTCCATGCCAACATGCAAAGAAGGCGAATGGCCCAAACTATATTCAGCCTCAAAAAAGACAGACCACTTTTGAAAGCCAGGATCGCAAGGCAGTGTCCCCTAGCAGTTCTGAAAAGAGAAGTAAGAATCCTATTTCTAGGCCATTAGAAGGTAAGAAGTCCTTAAGTCTTAGTGCAAAGACTCACAACATAGGCTTTGACAAAGACAGCTGCCATAGTACCACAAAGACAGAAGCTTCACAGGAAGAGCGGTCTGATTCAAGCGGCCTCACATCTCTCAAGAAATCACCAAAGGTCTCATCCAAGGACACTCGGGAAATCAAAACTGATTTCTCACTTTCTATTAGTAATTCGTCAGATGTGAGTGCTAAAGATAAGCATGCTGAAGACAATGAGAAGCGTTTGGCAGCCTTGGAAGCGAGGCAAAAAGCAAAAGAAGTGCAGAAGAAGCTGGTGCATAATGCTCTGGCAAATTTGGTGAGTATATTTTCAATGTATGGATTTAACAAGAACTCAGAAAGTTCAGCTTTTCTTTCCCATGAAGTTAGGTGTGCCCCCATAGAGCTGATTGTCTTGGTGTTCACCAGTTTCATGTTTTGGTTCTTGAGTTAGCTTTTTCATCTGGTTTATCTGAAAATTTCTTTATAATTTTCTTTCATTTAGAAGCTATACCTGGTATAGTTAAGTAATGTATTCAAATGTGTCTGAATTTACATAAAAATCACTTGTCAAGTGATTTATACCTTGCCAAGTCTTGCCAAGATTTACTGTAATGGGCTTTTGTTCATTCTTCTAACAATTGTTAAGTACACCTTTATAGTAAGTGCCAGATTTATAGTATGAGGATGGTGATCTTGCCTTTCATACAGTTTTTGGCTCATGGTGTGGCATGCTGACAGTCACAGTTCAGTTACACAGGGCCAGGAGGGGGTTGTGCCCCTGTGCCTTGGCAGCACGCAGGAGACACACTAAGTCAGTTGGGAGCTTCTGTAGTCTGAGCTGAGTGGTAGGAAAAGATTTGTGGGAATTGGTCAGGCCCAGGTGAAAGGGTGGAAAGGGAGTGGAAAGGCTTTCATTCTAGGAAAAAGGAACCGTTTATACAAGGGTGAATGTTTTCAATCAGTGTAATTAAAACTTATACAGCATGAGATGGCAAGAAATGAGGCTAGTGGTTTCATTTTGTTCATAAAATGAAAAGAGAGTGAAGAATTTTAAGCAAAGGAGAGAAGATTAATTGTGTCTATTTTGGAACAGGAGTTGACAAACTACACCTCAAAGGCCATCCAGCCCATGACCTATTTATGTACAGCCTTCAAGCTAAAAATAGTTTTTGAGTACAGAACAAAGACGATATGTGGCCTGCAAAGCCTAACATATTTACTCTGGCCTTTTACAGAAAAAGTTTGTCAACCTCTGTTTGGGAGAGATCCTTCAGACCATGATGAAAACAAATCGAACGGCTCCGTCTGTAACCAAGGAGAGCCTTTGGGGAGGTGGAAAGTCAAAACCGTAACAACAGCAATGGGAATAGATTGACTGAATTGATACCAAAAAGTTTAATTGATAGGACTTGGTGATAACTGGATAGGGATAGAAAGAGGAATTGTAAGTTTCTGTCTTAGGCAAATAAACAGATGGTGATGGCATTCACTAGATAAGGAAAAAGGGCAGGAAGTAGACTTGGCAGGGGAAGGGAGTGATAGGTTTAGACATGTTCAGTTTGAGATTGGGTTGTTTTAAGACAATGCTTTTTTTTTTCTTCCTTTATTTTAGGTTCTGGGGGTATATGTGCAGGTTTGTTACATGGGTAAGCTGTGTGTCTTGGAGGTTCGGTGTACAGATTATTTTGTCACCCAGATAATCAGCATAGTACCCAATAGGTGGTTTTTCTTTTCTTTTTTTTTTTTTTTTTTTTTGAGATGGAGTTTTGCTCTTGTTGCCCAGGCTGGAGTACAATGGTGTGATCTCGGCTCACTGCAATCTCCGCCTCCTGGGTTCAAGCAATTCTCCTGCCTCAGCCTCCTGAGTAGCTGGGATTACAGGCACCTGCCACCACGCCCAGCTAATTTTTATATTTGTGGTAGAGATGGGGTTTCACCATGTTGGCCAGGCTGGTCTCAAATTCCTGACCTCACGTGATCCGCCTGTCTTGGCCTCCCAAAGTGTTGGGATTACAGGCGTGAGCTACTGTGCCCGGCCCAATAGGTGGCTTTTCAATCCTTACTCTCTTTCCACCCTCCACCCTCAAGTAGACCCCAGTGTTGATTGTTCTTTTTTTTTTTTTTTTTTTTTTTTTTACAGGGTCTCACTCTGTCACCCTGGGGTGCAGTGGTATGATCTCAGCTCACTGCAACCTCCATCTCCCAGGCTCAAGCAATTCTCCCACCTCAGCCTGCTGAGTAGCTGGGACTACAGTCACGTGCCACCATGCCCAGCTAATTTTTGTGTTTTTGTAGAGATGGGGTTTCACCATGTCACCTAGGCTGGTCTTGAACTCCTAAGCTCAAGCAATCAGCCTGCCTTGGCCTCCCAAAGTGCTGGGATTTCAGGTGTCAACCACTGTACCTGGCCTATTGCTCCCCCATGTGTACTCAACATTTAGCTCCCACTTATAAGTGAGAGCATGCAGTATTTGGTTTTCTGTTCCTGTATTAATTTGTTTAGGATAGTAGCCTCCAGCACCATCAATGTGGCTGTAAGGGACATGATTGCATTCTTTTTTTATGACTGCATAATATTTCATGGGGCATGTGTACCACATTTTCTTTATCCAGTCCACCATTGATGGGCATCTAGGTTGATTTCGTGTCTTTGCTATTATGAATAGTACTCCAATAAACATATGTGTGCATGTGTCTTTATGGTAGAATGATTTATATTCCTTTGGGCAAATATCCACTAATGGGGTTGTAGGTCAAATGATAGTTTTGTTTTAAGTTCTTTGAGAAATCGCCAAACTGCTTTCCACTGTGGGTGAATGCATTTACATTCCCACCAGCAGTATATAAGCATTTCCCTTTCTCTGCAACCTTGCCAGCATCTGTTATATTTTGACTTTTTAGTAATAGCCATTTTGACTGGTGTGAGATGGTATCTCATTGTGGTTTTGATTTGCATTCCTCTAATGATCAGTGATGTTGAGCATTTTTTTTGTATGCTTGTTGGCCATGTGTTTGTCTTTTGAGAAGTGTCTGCTGTGTCCTTTGCCCATTTTTCACTAGGGTTGTTTGTTTTTTGCTTGTTGATTTGTTTAAGTTCCTTATAGATTCTGGGTATTAGACCTTTGTCAGATGCATAGTTTGCAAATATTTTCTCCGATTCTGTACGTTGTCTGTTTACTTTGTTGATAAGTTTTTCTTTTGCTGTGCAGAAGCTCTTTAGTTTAATTAGATCCCACTTGTCAATTTTGGATTTTGTTGCAATTGCTTTTGGAGTCTTCATCATAAATCTTTTTAAGATGCAATGCTTTCGATGGCCTCCCTAGGATGGTCATCCAGAGGATAAGCCAACGCACATCATCTTCGGTTCTGACAGTGAATGTGAAACAGAGGAGACATCGACTCAGGAGCAGAGCCATCCAGGAGAGGAATGGGTGAAAGTAAGAAGTTCAGGATGTCTCTGTGGACATTCATCTACTTCTGCAGATCCACACCACAAACAACTGGCAATCTCAACATAAAACCCTCCTGAGAGCCCCAATGAGACCCAGGGCTTGCCAGGTCACCTCATATTGAGACTACAGGGGTCTTGGAGATTTTTATATATGAACCTATATTCTCCACAACATCTGCAGCATGACATCAATATTAGTGAAACGCTACAAAAACTGTTCTTGCATGTAATAACTACCTCCCCAAATCCAGGCTTCACTGGAGAGCCTCTGGATTAGTGATCCCAGAGGCCAGTTAGATTTCACTGAGTCAGGAATTTCCACCTGACCTGCCATTTACTCATTCCTGGTAGATGAGTCTGGGTTACTGGCTTTCAATGTGAGGGAGAAGATTACGTTATGAAGGGAAATACTGCTTGTTTGCCTCTGCTATTAATAAATGTTGTGTTTCTTCACAGGAGTCTATGGGTAAAACATCAGGGAAGCTGTTTGATAGCAGTGATGATGACGAATCTGATTCTGAAGATGACAGTAATAGGTTCAAAATTAAACCTCAGTTTGAGGGCAGAGCTGGACAGAAGGTTAGTGAAGACTGAAAATAATTAGACTTGCAGCATGTCCTTATTTTTTGACATAGTCCTTAAATCTGGGTAAATGCAGGCAGACCTTAACCTACATTATAGCATCGGGGTGTTTATTTGGAGAGTGAGTCTTCTGTGATCCTCTCTGATTGGTTCATAAGTAGATGGAGGTAGGCAAACATCTTAATGTAGTGAATTTCAGTGTGTGGGGAGGTGTACATTGACAGTCTTCGTCAGAAGCAATTTCTTGGGAATGTGGCTATCAATTATGTATGTTTTCTGTCTGTGTAGCTCATGGATTTACAGTCGCACTTTGGCACCGATGACAGATTCCGCATGGACTCTCGATTTCTAGAAACTGACAGTGAAGAGGAACAGGAAGGTAAATGCTTCATTGTCCAGAGTCCTGATGTCATATCTGGGGACACTGAGAAATCACCTAGTATACCTCCTTTGTTTAACACATGAAGAAACTCTCCATCCCAAGACATTGGATTGAGGAGTTTATAATCAAATGTACAGTTAATACTAAGTTTGTTTGTACATAGTAATTTAGGAAAATTTAATTACTTAGAGCTGCCAGAAAGGAAAGGAAAAAATAACATCCACCAAAGGTACCATTTTCCTCTATCCCATCCTTGGCATGAGAAGAAGTTGAGTTTCCTACCTGGCAGTGGATCAGCAGGTTCTGGGTGAAGCCATGGAAGACAGTTAAGTCACTCTTGGCTTTCTAAAAGGAACAGTGTTCATCGTCCTCCAGTGTGCATACCTGGTGCAGATTATTTTTTAAAGCTGTGTATCACTGAATGCCATTCTACTTGAATTTATCCCTGTTTGAATGTATCTAAGAGTAATGATGCTATCAGAAGCATCCTAATTCTACTTCTTTTCACTTACTATAGCATTTTTCACAGCAGTACTTCCAATCTTTTTCTACAGGACCTTCTCCTCTTACCCTTTTAAAAACACCTTACCTCTTACGTCGCTGGCTTGAATGAGCTCCCTAATTCCCTCTCCTAATCTCAGAACTTCTCTGCCCTTCTTTTTTTTTCTCCTTCCTGAATTAATCTAATCTGCATTTTAATCCTCACCATTCCTACTTCCTATTACTCCTTTCATCACTTGCATTTTCATTCTTCTCCTTCTAGCTTCTTCCTTTTTCTACAGACATAGTTAGGTCTTGTGGTCCCAAAAAAGCCATTCCTCTAACCATGCCAGTTTTCAAGTTTGTACTCCATCTCTCTTTCAGTTCTAAATTTGAAGTGAAAAAGTAAATTACATCTAATTCAGTAGCAGTTGGCTTTTTACTGAAAACAATCTGTGATTTGATCTTCTCAATTCTTTGAGGTGATTATTAACAGTGTTGGACTGTTTCAGGAAACCAAGGTTCAGAGAGTTTTAAAATGAATTCTCTAGGGTCCTCCCAAATTCTGTTTCAGTGCTGAGATTACAGGCATGAGCCACTGTAGCTGGCCCTTTTCCAACTTTTGAAAGCACAATGTTTGTCTATCCTGCAAGCAGCAGCACAGCCAGCCTCCATCACCTTGAGCCCTTTCCAGCATTGTATTCTACTTGACTTTCTCACTCAAAACTCCATGTTGAAAACACAAGAATGAACAGAACCTGGAGACTAACCTTCATTTAGAAGGTACATAGGTTATTTTCTTAACTTCTGCCAATTTTGTCTGTTTCTTTACAACTCTTTGGGTGTGTGTTCCCTCAAAGCCGTAAACAACTTGTCCTCCAAGTGCAGTGGCATTGTCTCCAATGACATCCTCTTCAGCTAACCTAGAGCATATGTCACTGTTGATCATCCCTTCTTGAAATGTTCACTTTGCTTCCAATTGCATCATAACTTCCTGGTTTTCTTAACTCTTTATTCCTAATTTTTCTTTTGCCTCCAAATATGGGTTCTTCCCAGGGTTCTGTAAGTCCCTATAGCTTTAGCCTTCACTTGCACATGAGTATTTTTCAAATTTGGATCTTCTTTCTTCCTTGCTGTTCTGCTGAGCTCCCAACTGGTCTTAAACGCCTGTTGGATATTTTCCACAGGCTTTCCTGAGTTTGTGTTAAAACTCAGCAAGTCCAAACCAGCTCTTCTTAACCTTTCTGCGTTGATGGCGTGTCCATTCTTAGAATCTCTGTTGTTGTTTTTTTCTTTCCTTCTCAACATTTTATTTTTATTTTTTTGGAGACAGGATCTCACTGTGTTCCTCAGGCTGGAGTGCAGTGGCACAGTCATAGCTTACTGTAACCTCAAACTCAGTCTCTCTAGTAGCTAGGACTACAGGCATGTGCCACCATGTCCAGCTAATTTTTGTATTTTCATAGAGACAGGGTCTCGCTGTGTTGCCTAGGCGGGTCTCAAACTCCTGGCCTCAAGTGATCCTCCTGCCTCAGCTTCCCAAAGTGCTGAGATTATAGGCATGGAACCACTGCACCAGACCCCTTCCCAAATTTTGAGGCACAACGTTTTGTCTCAAGTAAGCAGCACAGCCAGCCTATATCACCTTGAGCCTTTTTCAGCATTATAATCTACTTCCCTAATGCTTATTAGATTAAAATTTAAATTGATGTTTTTGATAGTCAAAAGTTGTTGAAATTAGCAGTTTCAACCTAATGCAGTGTAAACTTTTTGTACTTTATTATTTCAATATATGTGTTCGTTTTGTTTCCAACACCTAGCATGCTTTCCTACCACCTCTAGGGATTCAACTCTATCTTTCCTACCTCATAACTTTACCTAGTTTATAAAGCATCTTTTGATTCAGTTAAACACTATCTCAACTTCCTTTGAACCCTTAGAAACTTTGGGGGCATCCCTGTAGAGTACTTAAATTAGCATTTTATTCTAGTTTCTGTTAGTTGGTTATTTATATCCTGCAGTAAGTTGAAAGAGTCATACAGGCTTAGACTACTTTTGTATTTCTGTAATCCAAACTAGCTGTTTAACTTTATTCTGTGATATTTTGTCTGTTTGTAGTAGTTGAGGATAGTAGCTTGTAAAAGTCCATGATGCCTTAGTATGTGTAGGGCATATGGTTTTTTTCCCATAATACTTGTTATTGAATCAAAGACTGAAACAACTATCCACTAATATCTTATATTGTCAGATATACCATTACCATTTTTCACTCTTTATCATTTTTAGATTTACGTAATTTAGATTATGTTTAGAATGTTAAAAAAATCAAAGAGTCTATAATCACTGTAGTTATTAGTATCTTGCTCTATTACATTTGTCGATCTTTACCTTAAAAGTTTTAGACTTGCTACTGAAAGCCATTAAATTCAGACTTTCATAATTAGGAACAGAAGTAGGACTTTTCATTGTCTGGTCACGCAGACTTTCTGAGTTTGCTATGACTGAGGGTCTTTGGTTATGGAGGTTAGTGAAATGAGGTTAAAGTTTCTTCTTCCTGTCTTAATGGATTTTGAACATGTTTAGGTACTTGGTAAATATTTGATGATTGAGACTTCTCAGGCTGTGTTTTCCAAGAGAGTATTAATTATCCCTTTTCCTCAAAGAGGTAAATGAAAAGAAAACTGCTGAGGAAGAAGAGCTTGCTGAAGAAAAAAAGAAAGCCCTGAATGTTGTACAAAGTGTTTTGCAAATCAACTTAAGCAATTCTACAAACAGAGGATCAGTAGCTGCTAAGAAATTTAAGTATGTTTTATGTTCCATCCCATTCTACCATATCATCCTTTGCCATAAATGTCTTCTTGAACTCAATTTAAAACTAGGTCTCTTTTAATGGCCTGGGGAGGCAGCTGGCAATATGTATCAGACCCTTAAAAATATACTTGCCTTTGACCCAGTGATTCACTTCAAGGAACTAATCTTAAATTATTTCTGTATTTATACACTTAGATGTCATAGCAGCATCGCTTTCATTAGTGAAACAAATGGGAAACAGTTTAAATAGTAACTGTAAAAGTATTTATATAAACGTAACTGTTATGGAAATTTTCAGGCATGAAATTTAGAGAGACTAATGAAAGCCCTGTATACCATCATTACCTGTACACCAGGTAATGAAAGCCCTGTACACCATCACCTAGCTTTTACAGTCACCAACATGTGACCAGTGTTCTCTTCTATACCTTTATCCAACCCCTACTTTACACAATGAAATGTTTTATGCAAATCCCAGATAGTATATCATTTTATCTGTATGTATTTTAGTATGTTTAAAATCATTTTAAAAGCTAAAAAAATCCAGGAAATCTCAAAAGTAGGTAGTTTAAAATATTTTTTCGGCTGGGCATGGTGGCTCACACCTGTGATCCTAGCACTTTGGGAGGCTAAGGTGGGCGGATCACCTGAGATCAGGAGTTGGAGAGCAGCCTGGCCAACATGGTGAAACCCCGTCTCTACTAAAAATATAAAAATTAGCCGGGCATGGTGGCACATGCCTGTAATCCCAGCTACTTGGGAGGCTGAGGCAGGAGAATCGCTTGAACTTGGGAGGCGGAGGTTGCAGTGAGCCAAGATCACGCCATTGCACTCCAGCCTGGGCAACACAGCGAGACTCTGTCTCCAAGAAAAATCTATGTATATGTTATTTCTAGTAAGATCCTAGTTATCTTATCTGATGTTATATGGCTTCTTCTTGCTGCAAAATTAGAATCTTCCTAGTGCTGAATTATAATTTGCTACTTACTTTTTGTATTAGTGTTCTGTTTTTATCTCTTCCAACCTCCCTTCCTTTTTTTACATAGGGACATCATACATTATGATCCAACGAAGCAAGACCATGCCACTTACGAAAGAAAAAGAGATGATAAGCCAAAAGAAAGGTAAGTAGAGCTACTTCTTTTAGCAATAGGATCATGTAAATTAATCTCATTTCAGACAATTAAAAATGTAGGTAGGAACCAATATCCTACTCATTGGTCCCACTGTATTAAGATTGGTGGGGTAGGGGTAGTGCAGGTAGAGTTAGAAAGGAATTATTGATGTGGTGGAGGAGGTCTTACCTTTTAACAGAGGAATCTATAAATGATATGTACTCCTATCATTTATACCTTTTATTTGTATAAATGATGCCTTTTATTTGTACTAGTTTCTTGTGTCTTCTGTAGCTACCACAAACTTAGTTACTTAAAATCACAAAAATTATTTCTTTACAGTTCTGGAACCTAGAAGTCCCAAATTAAGATAGTGAACAGGTTATGTTCCTTCTAGAGGTTCAGGGAAACAAAGCTGTTTTATGCCTCTCCTAGTTTCTAGTGACTGCCACCAATCCTTTGGTGTTCCTTGGCTTGAGACTACATTACTCCCATTTCTGCCTCTATCTTCACATGGCCTCTTCTTTTCTGTCTCTCCTCTTTGTGCCTCTTATAAGGACACTTGTGATAGCATTCAGGGCCCACTTGGATAATCCTGGATGGGCTCCTCATCCTAGGACCCTTAACTTAATATCTCTGCAAGACCCCTTATCTAAATAATGTTAACATTCACAGGTTTCAGGAATTAGGACATGGACATAGCTTTTGGGGGGCAACCATTCAACCATCTAGTGTGGTAGGAGCTTCTGTTTCCTATAGATGTGCAGTCAGTTGGATAAACATGGCAAATATATGGAGCAACCAGTAGCAGCTTGGTTTAAATCCTTCATTTTCCAACTGCTAATAGCCACGAAAATCACAAAAGGCAGTGTGGTATCCTGAATTGAATCTTGAAACAACAGGACAATTTGTGGAGAAACTAGTGAAATCAAAACAATGTCTGAGTTTAGTTAGTGGTAATCTACCAATGTTAATCTTCTAATTTTGACAATTATATCCTAGTTACATACACACATAATTACATTAGGGAAAACAAAGTGAAGGCTATTTAGGAACTCTACTATTTTCGTTACTTTCTGTAAACCTAAAATTGTTCCAAAATTATTCTTTTAAAAAGAATCACATTTTAGACTAAAGTAGAATATTAATATTCCCTCCAATGTAGGATATATGTGTGTTATTTCAGATAATCCGTATTGAACAAATAGGATATGTTTACCCCCTCCCTATACCCCTAAGAAGTCTCATCCCTTTACATCAGCTCAAAATCCAGGATGTCATCATTCAGATCAGATCTAAGTACAGATGAGGCTTCTCTGTTATTCCTTGAGTACAGTACCTTGAGTGCAGTTCTGTTTGATAAGACCTATGAACTAAAAAAGCAAGTTATCTACCCTTCCTCCAATATAGAGCGGTGGAACAGGCATTGGATAACCACTATAGGTACTGTTCAATGAAAGAAAACAGGCACAAAGGAGTCACATGTCCATAGTAACTCTGAAATCTAGACAGACAAATGTTGGAAGGTCTTTGATTAGGACTGAGGGCCTAGGAATAATTCTTCCTGACCGTTGACTTGGCTTTCTGGATCATCCTTCTCTTTTCATAAGTGCTGGCACAGGTTTACAGCTGAGTAGTTTTTTCAACCTGCTTTTTGCTTATAGAAATTTGGGAGTCCAAAAGCCTGTTCATTTTGAAATGTTCCTGTACCTACCAGTCCAGTCTAGTGGTATTTCTGATAATATAATTCTCTTAAAATCTTCATAAGTTATCTGTGAATCTTCTTGGAATTCACTCTGTTAGATGAAAGTCACACAAATCATTTTGAGATAAGCCTTTTTTGTTGTTTTTTTAACCCTGGGCTTCTACTGAAACTGCTGAGAGATAATGCCTCTAACCTCCATAGAAGCCCTATTGTTTGAACAATTGAAGTTTATTTTCTTTTTTGTATAATCTTAGAGACAGGGTCTTGCTCTGTCACCTGGCTGGACTGCAGTGGCACAATCATAGCTCACTGTAGCCTTGAACTCCTGGGCTCAAGTGGTCCTCCCACCTCAGCCTCCCACATAGCTGGAAATACAGGTGTGCACCACTGTTCCTGGGTAACAGTTGGAAGCTTCTTATCTCTTTTTAGGGTCTTAACAAAGAATTTTGTTTTATTTTTAGACCGAGGTCTATAACTTTTTCTGTGACAGGCAAGATAGTAAATAGATAAGACTTTGCAGGCCAGACCATCTCTGCTGTGATGACTCCACTCTACCTTTGTAAAAGAAAAGCAGCCATAGACAATATGTAAACAAATGAGCAAGGCTGTGTGCCGATAAAACTATTAAAGGACACTGAAATTTTCATTTCATATAATTTTTTCATGAAATGATGTTTGTTTTTCCCCCTATCATTTCAAATGATAAAAAAAATTCCTTAACTTGCAGTTCAGACATAAGTAGGCAGTAGCCTGGACTTGGCCCATGGACTATAGTTTGCCAACCCCTTCTTTAGACCATGTTTTTCTGAGGCTGTCATAGAGTTGATCTTTGCTTAGAAGCCCTTTCTTAAATTTCATGTCATTTGCCTTCTGGAGATTAGGAGTCTTCAAAACCATGAATTCCTGGCTCCCTTTAAAAAAAAAAATTCCTCCCTTTAGTTTCATTCTCTCCTCTCTTATTTCACTGTAATCAGTAGGATGAAACCAGAATATACCTTTAACACTTCGCTGGACATCTCCTTAGCTAGATCACCCAGCTAATTAGGTACATTTTCCATTTTCCACAGTACACACAATGCAGTTGACAGTGTTGCTAAACTTTCTACCACCATGTAACAAGGATTCCCTCTTCTCCAGTTTCCAATAGGATTTACCTTATTTTTCTCTTAAGCCCTTACCTGCAACCTTCTCAAAGACCATATGGTTTCTACTAACAGTTTTTTCAAGGTCCTTCTAGCTTTTGCTGTGATCTTAGTCTCAGAAGTTATATGTCATCCCATTTGGCTTACTCTGTCCATTAAAAGAGTCACTAAGTCCAGCTCACACTCAAGGGATGAGGGAATTAACTTCCACCCCTTGAAGGAAGAAGTAACAAAGAGTTTTTGGACAAATTTTAAAGCCACCACATGGTGGTTAAATGATAATCACTTGGAACTGCCTACCATTTTTTATAGAGCTTGGTTTCCTAAGAGGCATATCTGTCTTAAAACCTAACGAGGTTGGTTTATTTACCGAAATACTAAAAGTTTCTCTCTTTGATATGGTCTCTACCACTAAGAATGGTTATTTAGGATATCCTGTTCACTTATTATTTTACGTAGTACATTACAAACTTTGGCCTGGTCTTCGAGGAAAAAGGATTTTAATATTTTCTTAGCTCAAAATTCAGTATTGGAAACTGCCAAGTAACTTTTTGTCCCAGATCAAAGAGAAAAGCATATTCATTCCTAAATACAGAGCAGATTTATGGTAATATAAAAATTTCATTTCAAAAGACACTATACATATTTATAATTAATTTCTACAACTGATTTACAATTTTACCAGTTACTGGTAAAATTCCCAGTATCTTAGAAGTCATGTGGCTTACAGTTTTCATTTTGCCTATGAGAAAACTGAGGCCTAGTGAAGCTAAGTGATTTCCTTACTTATACCTAGGTGTATAGTTTAGGCATAATTTCTGAAATGTAGTTCAGAGAATGATAGAATATGATTCATGCAGCTGTTTGAGATTTGTGTAAAAAAAGCTTATTGATCAAGATTTTGCTTCTATTAGTAGAGTTCTATATGTAGAGTTTTACTTATTTTATTTCTCTATTTATAAGTAGAGTTTTATATTCTGGTTGTTGATAGGATAGAATTAAAGTTGTCCAAGATTTTTTCTTTTCTTGATTTCTGGAAATTTCCCAAAACTTGTTTCTTTGTGATGCACATGTCTACATATGTCATTTCAGTAAAGCAAAACGAAAAAAGAAAAGGGAGGAAGCTGAGAAACTACCTGAGGTGTCTAAAGAAATGTATTATAATATTGCTATGGATCTGAAAGAAATATTCCAAACTACAAAATATACCAGTGAAAAGGAAGAGGGCACACCCTGGAATGAGGACTGTGGTAAAGAGAAACCTGAGGAAATCCAGGACCCTGCAGCTCTGACCAGTGACGCTGAGCAGCCCAGCGGGTTCACGTTCTCTTTTTTTGATTCAGACACTAAAGACATAAAGGAAGGTACTTTTCTTTTTTCCCATACTTTTTTATTTTATTCAGTTTGAACTTAATTGATTGAATCTGCATTAAGTGTAACAGATTTCATGTTAGCTGAAGAAAGGACTCTTTCTTCTACCTAGAAGATTTGAGATTTAGTGTCACAGGAGCATAAACACGATGTTCCTGAAGCTGTGAAAGAAACTATTTTTGCATTTAAGGAAGCAAATCTCTACTAGCTGCCATATGAAGGGAAGCCAGAGAATAATGTACAGCATCTTTTCTGTTAAGTAAAACGTCATGAAGAAGTATAGTAAATCACATAAAGAGCTTTGTATCTTAAATGAAGCTGAAGATGCTATGACTTATGGAAAACTAGTGCTATATATAAGATAAAAGAAGATATAGGTAACCTTGGTTTTACACAAATATGCCATGTCATCAATATGCCAGTTATTGCACAGTTTATCCTTGAAGATTTGCCAGAACCTAGAGAGAAGTATAAACACTAGTACATACAGTTTTGCATTTCATTTCAAGAGGCTTACCTCTAAAGGCCAACATGGGCCACAGGTTAAAAAACACCTGACCTGTTCCTCACCCAGGGTTCCAGCTTTCTGGAAGTTCCCACTGTAAAAGCAGGTAATACCTATACAGAAGAATACACACATACCTAACTACAATGATTCTACTTTAAAGATCAGCAGTTAAAATAGCATACATGTGTTTGGTAGATTAAAATAATTTTTTTTTTTTTTTTGGAGACAGAGTCTCTGTCACCCAGGCTGGAGTGCAGTGGTGCAATCTCGGTTCACTAGCAGATAATACCAACTCCGTGGTACTTTAAAAGGAAGTATAACAATCTAGTAGTTGTTCAAAAAGTATTGCAAATAAGACTTCATTTTCTTGTCTATATAAACTGTTGAGTAGAGTTGGCATGATGTAAATAGTAACGATAGTTTTTCTAACTTTGAGAGCAAAACGTGAGAAATTGACCTTGAAACGAGTCCTAAAGACATCAGCAACTTGAAAGATGTTTTTTAAGTACTTGGGAAATTTTGAAGACTTGTGAGGTGATTGTCCTGATCTTATAGCAGTAGTTTTTCCAGCAGTTCTAGCAAAAAGTTTTGGGTATTGAAAATGTAAAGATATATTCCTTTTCTCATTTATAAATAGACAAGAGGGAAACCTGATTTCCCTGTATCCTATTATATTTTAGGCTTCTCATGCAAGCACAGATGCCATGGTTATTTTAGGTGTCATTTTTAAAAATTATATAGCTCATTTATAAACCTTTATTTTTTAAACCTTTTTTATATTACTGCTGTCCTTATCAGATCATTCTAGCAATGCCAAAATTATGATAGTGGCTTCTGAAAATATTTGAAAAATCTAAAAAGATGATACTACCTATTTTTTTGATACTATTTTAAATTAATGATTAACATATTGGAACTTTAGATATGTCTACGTGGTAAAAGTAATCAAATGAATGTGTTCAGAAATACTTGGCTGTGGAGTTACAATCCCATCATCTTTTGTTGTCATAACGATATAGAGACCTACAGAGTTGAAACAGTGAAACCTGGAAAGATTGTCTGGCAGGAAGACCCTCGTTTACAAGACAGCAGTTCAGAAGAGGAAGATGTTACTGAAGAAACAGATCACAGAAACTCCAGTCCTGGGTAAACAATTTGTTTCTTTGCAGGCATAGTTCATAATTTGTAAAATCTGAATTAGACATACTTTAGAAATATTTTAGCTTCTCTTCACATGACAACTAAATTGTCTTAGCTTCTTTTTTTATTTTATTTTTTTTTTTTGAGACGGAGTGTTGCTCTGTCGCCCAGGCTGTAGTGCAATGGCATGATCTCAGCTCACTGCAACCTCCGCCTCCCAGATTCAAGCAATTCTCCTGTCCCAGCCTCCCAAGTAGCTGGGATTACAGGCACGTGCCAACCACACCTGGCTAATTTTTGTATTTTTAGTAGAGGCGAGGTTTCACCATGTTGGCCAGGCTGGTTTCGAACTCCTGACCTCAAGTAATCTGCCCACCTTGGCCTCCCAAAGTGCTAGGATTACAGGCGCCCTGCCACTGAGCCTGGACATCTCAGTTTCTTTAGAGTGTTCTCTAGCCTTTTTATAATGGAGAGTGTGTTTCCTTTTCCATGAGATTTGGATAGCACTAAGGGGAAGATAGTTTGTGCATAGAAAAGGGAAGGTGGCCTGACAGTGAAGTCACTGGTCTGGAAACAGGATGTTGCAGTTGACTGGGTGCCTACCCATGGGAGGCACTGGCAAATGGGGTAGCAATGGTGGGAGTGAGAGTATCAGCAACCAACACAGGAAAGATAGAGGTTCTACTTAAACAAGTCTTCATTATCAAAGCTTCAGATAGAAGAATGTTAGAGGGAGGGTTGTTTTAACTCAGGGCAAAATGCACAAAATACAAAGCAGATATATTTAAGAGTCTCGCTCACCTGGATTCTAGGGGGAAATGAAAAAAGATATATTTAAGAAATAGTGTATTTATGTTTTGAATGTAAATATTTCTTCTTAAATATTGAAATTAAACCAACCAATACCTATTTTTCTCTCTCCTTTGTCCCTTTCTTTTCAGAGAAGCATCATTACTTGAGAAAGAGACCACTAGATTTTTCTTTTTCTCTAAGAATGATGAACGACTTCAAGGTCAGTCCATTTTTTTCATCAAATTACATACATAGAACAGGTAATAATACAGCTACAGTAATTCACATCCAGGAATTTTGACCGTTGGTAATGTCATGTGGTTTAACCCCATTTGTTCACACTGATGAATGTTAACTTGTAAAGCTGTCAAGGTCTGAGAGCTCCCCACTCACCACTTTCTTTGCCCGCTCATTCTCATCAACAAAGGGTTGTTTTGTTCCAAGGGCTTCCTTAGATGTTAGACATATAAAACCCCTAAGTTTTAGTGCCATAAATTCCATGTGAAAACTCAGGCTGTTGGGGAGCTCATTTCTTAAAGCCTAGCATAAACAAAGTTACATAATAGTAAATGATATATATAAACAGTAAAAGCAATATTATATTTTTCATTTGGAAAGAAAAAATACTAATTTTTGAAAATAGGTAGAAACTGAGGGAAAAGAATGATCTTAACTGGTATTCGAGACCTTGATAATGCCAACACTTAGAATATTACCAATTTTAGTAGTAGTTTGCTGCCTCATCTTTCTTCTTTTTCCCCTAATAGGTTCTGACTTATTCTGGAGAGGAGTAGGAAGTAATATGAGCAGGAACTCTTGGGAGGCCAGAACAACCAACCTGCGTATGGTGAGTAATTGTTTCTCCATATTATTTCCTAAAATAGACATGTTACCTATCTAGAATTACAGTCCTGGAAGGGAACTCATGAATGGTATAGGTGAGGAGACTGCAGACTGGCTCAATTGAGTGACTGGTCTCAGAATCCAGCCAAGCCTATTAAGTAACACGAAAGCATCAGATTTTTAAAGACTGAATTATAGTTCCCATTATAAACAGTTAATGCCAAAAATGCCAATATCCCCTCTTCATTTCAAAAGAGCACTTTCAAAATAGGTTTCCACAGCCCTGACAGTGAGAATAACCTGTTTTACTTCTATCTACTGAACATCTTAAAAACAATTTGTTTATTGCTAACCAAGTCTTTTTTTTTTCCTAGGATTGTCGAAAGAAACATAAAGACGCAAAAAGGAAAATGAAACCAAAATAATAAATGTCAGCTGGTTTTGATACTGAATGTGAACAAGGCTCACCTAAGGAAACTGACCCAGAAAACAGTTTTAGCTGACAAAGAAGAAATTTCAGAGTGAAGGAATTTTAAAAATCTGGCTGACGGAATATCATTCTGGTTGCCATCTTTTTCTGTGGAACTCCTCTGCATTTCTTCCTAAGTAATTACTTCAAAAATTAAATTCAACTTCTTATAAAGGAAGAACAAGATAGTCCTTGAAAATACTTTTTGTATATAATCTCTTTGCCCTCTATCCTGAGTAACTAATGGACATCTTCTCATGCAAGGTTTATATGAAGCCTTTTTAAATAAATGAGTCAAAGCACTTGTATTTTCCAGCCTAGGCTTTGTGTGAATTATAGGCTATTTGAAATTTTATTTCTGATTATGTCAAATACACCTTCCATTTTGTCATTTTTGTTTAAACTGATAAATTACAAGTCAACATTGAGTTTTATACTTGTGTTTTGGTGAATGGTTAACTGAAATATAGGACATTTCAGACCAACATCATATAAGAGTTCTGTGAGGACCAGGAGAGGAAGCCAAATACAGTTATCTTGTCATTGCCTCTAGGAATTAAGGAACAACATCTAGATGTACACCAATCCCAAAATTCTAGTTAGACTAAAAGCTTATGAAAAATACCAAGTGCCTGAAAGATAGGTAGTCACAATTAGGAGTCAGGACCCTGAGCCCAAATAGGGAAACAGATTTAACATTACATTAAATAAACCAACCTGCCTAGATTTCAAGACATACGTCTCCTATCAAAATGGGCTCTGTATGAAATAGTATTACATAGGCCGGGCGTGATGGCGCACACCTGTAATCTCAGTACTTTGGGAGGCCAAGGCGGGCGGATCATGAGGAGGTCAGGATTTCAAGACCAGCCTGGCCAACATGGTGAAACCCCATCTCTACTAAAAATGCAAAAATTAGCTGGGTGTGGTGGCTCACACCTGTAATCCCAGCTGCTAGGGAGGCTGATACAGGAGAATCACTTGAACCCAGGAGGCAGAGGTTGCAGTGCTGAGATCATGTTGCTGCACTCCAGCCTGGGTAACAGAGTGAGACTCCATCTTAAAAAAAAAAAAAAAAAGAAATAGTATTATATAGTTCCAAGGGACTATCATTAAGCCATGATGTGTGTACCTAAAATTAGTATTTATTGATTTACCTATGCTGAATATAAACTCTTAACTGTTGGGATTTCATCTGGTGTGTTAACCATTATGACCCTAGGGCTTATGCTCTATGTTTTTTTAGTAAGGGTCCAAGGAACTAAATAACTTGAAGAGTAATTCTGGATTCCTAGGTTTCCAAAACTTCAGACTTCAAGGAGAGTGTGGACAACTAAGCAGCAGGATAAATAATTCACACTTTCTACCTTCTCTTGATGTAGATCACATTTGTACCTTATTTTCTATTGCTGCATAGCAAATCATCTCAGTAACAATCATTTATTTTATGCACAAATACTGCAATTTGGTCAACACTCACTAGGGACTGCTGATCTGTGCTGTGTGCTTTCACTGGGGTGGTTCAGCTAGGGCTACGGGATCTGTTTCTAAGATGGCCCACTCAGTGCCTGTTCATGGGCTTCCTTACAGCATAGCAAAAAAGCTCTAGGAGCAAGTGTTCTCAGAGGCAGGAAGCAGATGCTGCCTGTCTCTTAAGGCCTGGCCCAGAAACCGGCTCAGTCACTTCACTGTATTCTACAGGTTTAAACTGACACACAGCCCAACCAGACTGAAAGGGAGGGGACACAGATCCTCACTTCTTAGTGGGAGGAGTGTCAGAATGTGTGGCCGTAATTTAAATCCGGCACATGTTTCACAAGCAGACAAATAAGTAACATCAAGTAGCCTTGCCCACCCCCCAGTTCCTGCTCCCCAGATGAAACCACCTTCAGCAATTTAATTTCTCTAGTATTTACCTCCATGTTTCTACCTAACATGCTTATGCTCTGATTTCTTGGTTTTTCACTTCCAGACACTACATATTCTGAAAAGGTGAAAAAATTATTCACCTCTTCAGTCCAAGTAATATATTTTGACTACAGTTAACTTTTTTGCTGGAATTTTTTCATTTGCTTAACTTTTTCTAGACTTAGTCTTCCCATACCTTCCAACTGTGGGACATGATGAGGTTTCTCTTCAAATAGCCTGATCAATCCTTTATTCTTTAATTCACAGTGCCCCCCTCTTCCCTTTTTCTCCTCTTTCCTTTCTGCCTTTGTTACATGCCTAGACAGGCCACAGTACCAGGCGTTATCAGTACCAGCTCGTATTCCTTATCCGAAGAGAAGACTAGCTCTCTAGCTCATTACAGACAGCCCTTCCCCCTTTCCCCTCTCTCTTACGTGCCCACCTTATCTAAAGAAAGTTAAAATGTTTAGCCAACTGTGGTTATTTTAGATTGTGAGGCCCAACTCCGGCCAATGGAGAAAGGGTACAGGGGCAGGGTTTGTGTCAGGGATAAAGGTTCTCGTGCCCCTTTGTTCTGGTGTGCTCTCATGGTGACTGGCCAAGGAGAAGCACCCCTCTGCGCAGAAGTAAAATTGCTTTGCTGAAAATCCTTTGTTTGAATGTTCAATTTCCTTAGGATTTTGAGCATTATTTCCAACACAACAGTACTATTAATATAAATGTTTCTCAATCAAATTTTTAAATAATTAGACTTGGCCTACCTCACCTTTGTCCAGGAGCCCTCTGTCTGGCTCTATCTGGGCTCTCTGGATAGGTGACAAAAATGAACTGAACAAGGTGGCAACGTGAGGAATGTGAAAACTTCAAACACATTCCAAATACTTTCAGTTAATTAACAAGATTTGCAGCTATTAAATTATGTACGTTATGTGAGTATAGTCAGAACACTGAGTTACCCATGATGGAGGACATGAAACCACTTTAATCCTTCACACAGGGCCAAGACGGTAAGTAAAGTTAAATATATGCTGAACAGACTATCAAAATGTTCCTAAACTTAATAAGAAACTGCATTCTACCTATTCTAGGCCAGATAAATTTTTTATATCCCTCTAACGGATACAATAGGCAGCTACGGAACTACTCCCAATTTGGCAAGATCCAGAATTTCCTTTAGAGGCTCTGGGGCCAAAGCCCGAGGCCTACTGCCCTTTGCAAGGCTCCAGATTTTAACCAGCAGATCAGTAAGGTACCAAGCCGACTCATAGCAATGATAATAAGTATGCAGGCCGGGTGCAGTGGCTCATGCCTGTAATCCCAACAGTTAAGGAGGCTAAGGCAAGCAGATCGCTTGAGCCCACGAGTTTGACAGCAGCCTAGGCAACATAGCAAGACCCCGTTGCTACAGAAAATACAAAAATTAGCCGGGCGTGGTGGCGCTAGCCTGTAGTCCCAGCTACTTGGCCAGGGATGAGGTGCGAGGATCATCTGATCCGGGGAGGTTGAGGCTGCAGTGAGCCATGACCGTGCCACTGCACTCCAGCCTGGGCGACAGAATGAGACCGCTTCTCAAAAAAAGAAAAAAAAATCGTTTGTGCAATGTTTTCATTACCGGAAACATTTTAAGTAAAATACAATAAAACTTTTAAATCTGGTTGTCAGACCCTTCCTTCCCTTTTGTTATTATCGTTTCACGTAGCCATTTATGATAGGAGAAGCGGCTTTGGGGTCGGCGGCTCAGGGCCCAAAAGTATAATTATTAAAGCCACCTCTCCGGAAGTTGCTGTTTGTCGTTATCAATTTAGGTACGAAGTGTCCAGTCAGATAAATACTGACAAAAGCAAACAAGATGAAGAACATGAGCCCCGACCTCGGCGCCCCTTCCCAGTGGGCCGTCACCTACCCGGAGGTGCCCACAACCCGAGTGAGACCTCGGTCTACACTACTGCAACGGATACAAGCAGCACGCACAGCGCCGCCCTCAGCGCTGGTTCGTTTTCCACGTGGAGGCGCAAAACCAGCAAGCACCACTGTCGCACCATCCGAGCCAGTGGGCGCAATCATGTCCGGCGCGACCAATCGGCGCCTGGCTTGTTGGCAGGTGTCAGGCAGCGCGCACTGATTGGCCGGTGCGGAGCCTGTCTCCTTCACTGGATCCCGCATTTTCAGCGCGTTGCATCACCTCCGTGCGCCCGGTTGCAGCGTGGACGCCGGATGAGTTGCTTTTAGGCTTGCTGGCCCGCGGGGCTGTCCAGGCACGCGAGGCCCCTCAGGTACGCCCTCTCTTCCCTGCAGGATCCGGCCCTCAAAGACGAGGGTCACGCACGCGTTACAACCCCGAAACAGTAGCACAAGATTTAATTTTTAAAAGAGCGTGTTTCTTCGGGGCTTGCCGTTCGTTCGTTTCCAGCCTCAGGAATTTATGGTCGCCTTTTTGAATGAGGTAGTGTTTGAAATGAGTAAAATCTTTTTAAAATGATATACATAGTATAAATTGATATAGCTGTGACTTTATGTATAGGCAATACGTATTTTTATATGTCTTAATTTATTACCTTCAATGGCTGCGAGATACTTATTTTATTGATGTACCGTAATTTACTTCAGTCACCATGAATATTTAGATTGTTTTCAGTTATTTGCCTGGAGAAACAATTATTCGGTGAATGTCATTGTATACACATTTTGTACATTTGCATGAGTATACCTGTGGAGTCTATGTTAATAGGATATAACTAAATTGAGGAAACGTTTGAGACGGTCCCACTTTCAGGTTACATTTGACTTAATAGATTATGAAGACCTGAGAATAAAAGGAGAAACAGAAATGGATTTAGAGGAGAATGAAAAGGGGGAACAGAAATAGGCTTATAGGTAGGATCCACATGACTTGATGATTAATTGGTTGTGTGTATCTTCTGAGTAGTGTCAGGGGTGACTCAAAAATGTCATGCCTAAGTAATGGGAAGAATATTGGAACCACTAATACAGTAGTTTAAAAGGGAAGCAATTCTGGAAGGAATTATGAAATTTTAAACAAAACATGGTTTTAGTGTGCGTTTCTAAAATATATTGAGGCAAAATAATATGAAGTAATGTGAATAATATGTAGTTAATATCAGGGAGGGTGGTCTCGAAATTGCTGAACGGGAAGTTGAGGTTAAGGTGACCTGAAGGAGTTGTGGAGCAGCGAAGAGTCAAGGGCCTGGATTATAATAAGAGGGAAGCAAAGGGGATGGCATCCCTCTGCACAACAAGGTTGTTGTGCAAGGTTAACCTGCTCTGTCCCTGCCCTGTGGTTGCTGGATGCTGTTGTGCATGGACAGCTCTCCAGTGGATTCGATGGGCCATAGCAATCCTGTGATTTATGCATGGAGGCTGCTTCTCCTCAGCAGCTGCCATAGCCCGGTCGCTGGTACATGATTCTTCCTGAATAGTCAATGCTGTTATACTGAGTGTTTATGCTTGACGTAATAATGCAGTGATTCTTAATCTTTGGGGAAAGTAGAGACTCCCTAAAAAACACAGTAAAAGCTGAATGAGCTGGCCAGGCATAGTGGCTCATGCCTGTAATCCCAGCCCTTTGGGAGCCCAGGGCAAGAGGATCGCTTTAGCCTAGGAGTTGAAGACCAGCCAGGGCAACATGGCAAAACCCTGTCTCTACAAACCACCCCCTCCCCACCAAAAAAAAAAAAAAAAAAAGCTGAGTGTGGTGGTGCACACCTGTAGTCCTAGCTACTTGGCGGGCTAAACTGGGAGGAACACCTGAACCCAGGGAGGTCAAGGCTGCAGTGAGCCATGATTGTGCCACTGCACTCCAGCCTAGGTGACAGAGTGAGCCACTGTCTCAAAAAAAAAAAAAAAAAAGGAATGATCCTCTTCTCAGAAAGCTTAAATCTTATTTTCTCAAAAATAAAAATTCAGATAGATATTCCTGAATAATTGTTAGAACAGTGCAAGAGTGGTGATGTTCAGACTTTGATGTGAATGCTCATCCCCTAGGGATCTTGTTAAAATGCAGGTTCTGACTCGTAGGTGCGAGGTGAGGCTGGTAAGTCTGCATCTCTAATAAGCTCCCATAGATGTGGGCCATAGTAGGACCAGCCTTGAAGAGATTAGAATGTGTTGGTATCTAAAGGTCTGTTAGTCTTCAGATAACAATCCCATAAGTTTCAGTTGGCCTCTGATAAGGTACACAATGAACCTAAATAAATCAGTAAATGCACAAACACTTATTTTGGTCCTTGAAAGGCTAGAGGTTATAATAAGAGTTGAAGATCTAAAATGCCTTAAACCTTCTGTTTAATACCTTTTAATGGCATACTGTGATCAGAAATAGCTATTTCAGTTAGTTAAACAGCCCAACTGTTCTTGTCCTGTTTTTTCTTAAATTAAACTCAGAGGCACTCACACATCTGAAAAATTAATGAGGGTAAAAGAAAATGAAAGATACTACTTGTCACAGACTTTTTTTTAAATGATAACTTGAATCAATAACTTGATTAGACTATGATGCTTTTGATGCTTTCAAAACTGTTTGAGGTATGTAGGTGTCTTTTCCTGTAGAGTTGATTACCCTGGTCTGTTGTGGTTCTTGAGTACTTAAGATTTTTTATCTTCTCTGTTGTTCCCTTATTAGCAATTTTATCCCCTTCTGATCTGATACTGACTTGGAAAGCTCGTCACCCACCTTGTTAGAATTGTTAAGTAAATATAAATAGACTTTGAGAAGGAAAGGTCTCAAGGGTGGCTCACTAGATACTTAAGTCATAGATTGATCAAGTATCTCTGCATGAGGTTATTAGCAAAACATTTAAAAAGACACTTTAAGACTTCTCTCATTAGGGACTAAACCAGAAAGGTATAGGGCTCATCCTTCATAAAAATCATGAATAAGCAATAAAAAGGGTAAAATGGAAAACTGGAATCTATATTTGAATGTGAGATTCTCATCTTTTTAGCTTTAAGATTTTTTAAGTTTTACCAGTTTTCCTCAAAGAGAAGATGAAGTTACTTCAAGAGAACTGATTTCTGTCATGTGAGTGTAGGTAAGAAAATTCTTAACTACTTTGAGATATTTTTCTTCAGATTATTAATGAGTTTTTTGCACCACTAGATAGAATTTCCAAGATTTTCCTGCTTACTTTTGGAAACATTGTCTCTACCATTACTGAATATTAAATAATAGCCATGTACCCCTCCCTCACACCATATACGAAAATAAAATTATTTGTGGCCTAAATGTAAGCGAAAAATCTATAACCTTGTTTAGGTAATGGTTTATTGATGACACCAAAAGCTCAAGCAGCAAAACCAAAAATTGACAAATTGGGCATCATTAAAATGAAAAATCTTTGTGCTTCAAAAAATGCCATCAAGAAAATAAAAAGACGGCCCACAGAACAGGAGAAATTTTTTATAAATCATATATCTGATAAAGGATTTGTATCCAGGATGTATACATAACCCTTAAAACCCAACCACAAAAAGAGCCCAATTAGAAAATAGGCAAAGGATAAATATCTATCCAACGTGGATACGCAAATGGCCAATAAGCATGTGGAAAGATGCTCAGCATCATTAGTCCTTAGGGAAATGCAAATCAAAACCACAAGATACTACTTAACATCTCCTAGAATGACTGTAATTCAAAGATGGACAATAAGATGTGTTGGGTAAGATCTGAAGAAATTAGAATCCTCATTCACTGCTGAGGGAATGTAAAATAGTACAGTCACTTTGGAAAAATTTTGGCATTTTCTCAAAAAGTTAAATACAGAATTATCATGTGACCCAGAAATTCTACTTCTAGCTACAAACCCAAGAGAAATGAAAACATAGATCCACACAAAATTTTGTATGTGAATGTTCATAGCAGCGTTATTCGTAATAACCAAAAAGTGGAAACAATACAGGTATCCAAGAAATGATGAATGGATAAACAAAATGTGGCATATTCATGAAATGGAATACTATTCAGCTATCAAAAGTAATGAAGTATGAATACATATTACATCATGGATGAGCCTTGAAAACATGCTAGAGAAAGGAAACCAGATGCAATAGGCCACATATAGATGATTCCTATAAATTTTCCCATTTATATGAAATGTCCAGAATAGGTAAATCTGCAGGGACAGAAAGAAGATAAATCGTTGCCACTGGCTATGGAGAAGAAAGAATGGGGAGTGACTGCTAATGGTTTTGGGGTGTTTTGGTGGGGAGGGGAGGTTGAAAACGTTTTGAAATTAGGTATTACTAGTTATACTACCTTGTAAATATACTAAAAAGCCACTGAATTGTACACTTTTTACATTACACTATGTAAATTGTACATCAATAAAGCTGTAATTTTTTAAAAGTATGGATAGTGTCATGTACACCCATGTTAATAATATGGTACTCTGTTATTCCTAGATTTCTCTTTTGACAGTAATAAATTTGATTTCTTTTGCAGCAACAAAATGCTTCAACAAGTTCCAGAAAACATAAATTTTCCTGCTGAAGAAGAGAAAATCTTGGAGTTTTGGACTGAATTTAATTGTTTTCAGGAATGCTTAAAGCAATCAAAACATAAACCAAAGTATGTGAATTTTTTAGGTTAAGTTCCCTTAAGAATAGTCATTTCTTAGACTGAATTCCATTAAAGCAGATACTTTTTTTTTTTTTTTTTTTTTGAGATGGAGTCTCGCACTGTCATCCAGGCTGGAGGGCAGTGGTGCAATCTCTGCTCACTGCTACCTCTGCCTCCCGGATGCAAGTGATTCTCCTGCCTCAGCCTCCCGAGTAGCTGGGATTACAGGTGCCCGCCATCACACCAGCTAATTCTTGTGTTTTAGTAGAGACGGGGTTTCACCATGTTGCCCAGGCTGGTCTCGGACTCCTGACCTCAAGTGATCCACCCACCTCGGCCTCTCAAAGTGCTGGGATTACAAGTGTGAGCCATCACGCGCGGCCTAAAGCAGATACTCTTTATTAATCTTTCTATTCCCAGAATCCCCCAGCTCCCTATGTAGTGGGTACTCAGTAGTAGATATACATTGAATGAATGAGTTCTCAATTATTGGGGTAAATTTTGTTTCTTTAAAAGGTCATCTGAGTAAAATTTATGTGTCATCCTCCGTGTCACCCTCTTTCCACCTTTATTTTCATCACCACCCTCGTTTAGGCACTTATACCTAAGTACCCCATAGAAGGCTACTATAGTACTACCTGCCTTTAGTCCTCATTCACCTAAAAGACTAGTCCTTTAATCAGTGTTTTCATTATATGTCTCCTCTGGTCAAAAACTATGAGATAGGGGTTTATTGCCCTATTTTACTGATGAGATAACTCAAGATCAGGATAAATAATTTGCCTTATGTCATGGAACTAATAAATGAAAAATGGATAATCAAATGGAGGTCTCTGTAGCTCTACCACAATTGTAGCCTTTCTGAAGGCAGGACCACCAGTAAATATCAAATCAATTATGTCTGTCGGTTTCCTGATCTTGCTGCTTTTCTCCTTGAAGACTCCACTATGACAAGAGCTATCTATAGAAAAATGCCTTAAATTTTGGCTGTTTTTAAATGGCTTGATATATTTTTATTACCTGTTAGATTTACCTTCTATGATGGTCCTCCTTTTGCAACTGGACTGCCTCACTATGGACATATACTTGCGGGTACAATTAAAGATATAGTTACAAGATATGCTCACCAGAGTGGGTTTCATGTTGACAGAAGATTTGGATGGGATTGCCATGGCTTACCTGTGGTATGTTTGAGTATCCAGCTTTATAATTTTCTGATTTTTTTTATAAGCATTAGATTTTGTCATATAATATGTTCAAGTATGATGAACGTTGACTGTCAGACCTTCTAGTTCATTTCTATAATATTTGTAGTTTGATTTGTTTTGTTTTCTAGAGTTGCATAGTTGCAGTTGTTTTCATAGGGCAGCGTGGTAACAGTCTTATCACAAATTTTCAGGAATATGAAATTGATAAGACACTGGGAATCAGAGGACCAGAGGATGTGGCCAAAATGGGGATTACAGAGTATAACAATCAGTGCCGAGCAATTGTGATGAGATATTCTGCTGAGTGGAAGGTATGTTGGGTTTTTTTCAGTAGAATGAACAGCAAATGTAGTTACTAAATGGGCATTGAAATGGTTTATGGTCCCTTGTGCTTTTTTTATTAATTTATTTTTTGTAGAAAAAGTGTTAGCTTCCACCTTCAACCCTATTACTTAAACGGTTAGCTTAAACTGAACCATCTCTCTTCTGACTTCTGTGTGCTTAATTGGTCTAACTTTCTTGCATGATCACCAATAGGGAAAAATTCTAATAAGTATAACATGATATATAGGCCTTTTCTTTTTTTCTCAAATACTTTTTTCAATTTTTTTAACTTTTCATTTTGAAATAATTTGACTTATTAAACAATTGAAAAAGTAGTATGATGGGTTCCCCTATATCCTTCATCCATCTTTCCCAGCTGCTAACATCTTCGGTAACCATAATATTAATAGAATTTTCAAAAGCAGTTGCCCCATTAATTTTTATTTCTGACCAATCACATATTGCATTTGGTTGTCATGTCTTTTTAGTCTTCTTAAGTATGGAACATTTATTTAGTCCTTTGTATTTCATGGCCTTCTCACTTTTGAAGATTGCAGAACAGCTATTTTCTATAATGTCTCTCAATGTGTGAGGTTTCCTGATTTAATTTAGGTTATGCATTTTTGGTGACAATGCCACAGAAGTGATGCTATGCCCTTCTCAATGCATTATATCAGGTGGCATGTGTTGCGGCTATGTCACATTGATGGTGATAACTTTGTTCACTTGGTTAAAGTGCTGTCAGCTTTCTGCTTTGTAAAGTTGTAGTTTTTCCTTTGTAATTAATAAGTATCTTGTGGGGAGATTCTTTCCAAATATTCTTTTTTTTGTCATACATTCACTTATTAATTTTAACATCCATGGATGGTTTTTGCCAGTAATAATTATGCCTGTGATATTTGCCAAGTGGTGGTTTTGGTAGACTTTTATAAGTGAATATTTATACTTGTAAATAACATTTTGTGCATGTAGGATGAATGCCGAGAAAACTGGTTCTTAACCTTACATAATATGTTGTTGGCAGTATAGATTTACTTGTACCATTGATTATTCTGTTTTCCCAAAATTTTCATTTGTGATGACAACAGAAATAAACACACATTGATGTACAATTATAAATATCATTGTCTAATACTGTTCTAATATTAATATTTTAAAGTCTACTGTTAGCAGACTTGGCCGATGGATTGACTTTGACAATGACTATAAAACTCTGTATCCACAATTCATGGAATCAGTCTGGTAGGTTTATTTAAAATTGTAAATATGGTAAATATTCTATTCTGTTGTATTGATAATTGGAAAAATGCACTAGCATGAATCAGTTTATTTTTGAGTCCATCGTTATTTCTCTGAAAATCTTTGGGAACAGGTTTGTTTTTGAATGTAGAACTTTTATTTTTATTTTTTTGAGACTGAGTCTCGCTCAGTTGCCCAGGCTGGAGGGCAGTGGCACAGTCTTGGCCCACTGCAACCTCCGCCTCTCAGGTTCAAGCGATTCTCTTGCTTCAGCCTCCCAAGTAGCTGGGATTACAGGCGCCCGCCACCATGCTTGGCTAATTTTTGTCTTTTTAGTAGAGATGGGGTTTCACCTTGTTGGCCAGGGTGGTCTCGAACTTCTGACCTAGGTGATCCATCCACCTTGATCTCTCAAAGTGCTACGATTACAGACGTGAGCCACTGCGCCCAGCCTGCCAGTTGCTTTTCTTAACATTATGTGTTAAATATCATTCGATATCAGTAGATATTAGCATTTTAATGTCTGCCTGATGTCTTACTATATTGATCTGTTATAATTTACCAGCCAGTCTCCCAATGAAAGACATTGTTTTTTCACTTATTTGGCAGACAGAAACTCTAAAAAGAAAATGGCATAAATGTTTGCATTTTCAGAAATAGAATTTTGTTCTGTAATTGTGAAACTCCATCTCTTACCAGGTGGGTCTTCAAACAACTCTATGATAAAGGCCTTGTTTATAGAGGTGTGAAAGTCATGCCCTTCTCTACGGCATGTAACACTCCACTTTCCAACTTCGAGTCACACCAGAATTATAAGGTACGTGAAATGTAGAGACATTATTCAGCATTGAGTTTTGTAGGTGGAAGCTGAGTAGTTATGATCACAGTAGGTATTCCCAAGTAGACCCAGTGTGGAATGTTGCCCACGACATCCACCACTTTGACCACTTCTTACTGAGTGCTGGAAATATTGCCAGTTAGTATACTAAGGCTCTGTTAAGATGAGGGATTTTTTTTCCACATTGGATTTATGATGTGTCTTAATGTGATAGGTTTTGCTTGTTTTGACCATATTTTTGTGCCTCTCTGTTGGGTTAACAAGTCCAGCTTTGACATACTTCCTGTAGTCATCGTTTCTTAAGGGTTGAGTAATTTTATGCCTTATCTGGGACCTCATGATATCATTTATTTGTTAACGGTATTTGGAAAAAAATTAATTTGAGATGCCAAATGGTATTATTTTTCCTCTGATGAGATAGAATCAGTTGTTGTTGTTGCTATGATTGAGGTGTTTAGACATGTTTGATGTTTACAGAGTGTATTGTTATACCATATCTAGACAGATATTATATACTAGTAAGTCTTCTGAAATGTGAACCATCTCTTCTCGTGTGTATACTGAGTTGTTTTCAGTTTTGAGAGTTTATCTGACCCTCTGTTTTTAAAGGATGTTGACTTGTTTGGAATTCTTGTTTCATGGCCTAGGTTTGAAAATTACATTAGTAAAATTTGCCTTTCAAAGCACGTTTTATTTATAGAATGCTTTCACATATCCTGTTTGATTGATCTTTGTAAATCCTTGTAAGGCAGGTATGATGATTTCTATTATCTCCTTACCACCTCTCTGTGCTCATGTTTGTATTTTTTTAGTAAAATATTTTAAGCACTTAACAATGTAGAGAATGATATGGTAAACACAAGGTTTCCAAGGCTTACCTTTGTCAAATCTTAATATATTGCTATATTTGGTTTTTGTTTGTTTGTTTGTTTGAGTCAGAGTCTTGCTCTGTCGCCCAGGCTAGAGTGCAGTGGCGCGATCTTGGCTCCCTGCAACCTCCACCTACCCGATTCAAGCAGTTCTTTGCCTCAGCCTCTGGAGTAGCTGGGTTTACAGGTGCCCACCACCACGCATTTTTAGTAGAGACAGGGTTTCACCATTTTGGCCAGGCTGGTCTTGAACTCCTGACCTTGCGATCCACCCACCTTGGCCTCCCAAAGTGTTGGAATTACAGTTGTGAGCCATTGCGCCCGGCCTGTTTGGTTGTTTTTTAAAACACTTGAATGTGGACAGTTTCAGGGACATGCAAAAGTAAACAGAATGGTATAATTAATTTCTGTAGGCCCATTAAGGCCCCCAGCACCAATGACTGGCTAATCTTGCCTCATTCATACACATATTCTTTCCCACTTTCCTTCCAATTCTGAAACAAATTCCAGATATCATATTATTTCATCAAGAAATAATCCAGTATAGATCTTTCATAAATAATCTTTATCTTCTTTAAACATTGCCATGTTAGCATTCGTTGTCACACCTTAAAAAGTCATCAGCAGTTACCTTTTTGTTGTTGTTGTTGTTTTTGAGATAGGATCTCGCTATGTCACCCAGGCTAGAGTGCAGTGGCACGATCTCGGCTAACCACAGCCTTGACCTCCCGGGCTCAAGTGATCTCCCCTTTCAGCCCCCTGAGTAGCTGGGACTACAGGAACATACCACCATACCTGGCTAATTTATGTGTTTCTATAGGAGTGGTTTCACCATGTTGCCTGGGCTGGTCTTGAACTCTTGGGCTCAAGCAGTCCACCCGCCTTGGCCTCCCAAAGTGCTGGGATTACAGGTGTCAGCCACTGCACCTAGCCACCTTTAATAGTTTTTATTTTAATATTCTCAAATTATGTAATTCCTGAACATCATCAGTTCATATTTCTAATGGTTTAATCATTTCCCAAGGGGTTATATTTTATTTTTATTTATTTATTTTTTTAAATCAGGATCTACCAAGACTTAAACACATGGTGACTGTTGTCTTTTAGGTCTTGTACACGTTTCAGTTGGTTATATAACAAGTAGTGGAATTATCGAGTCAGAGTATACTTTGTTTTAATTTTTATTTTTTTGAGACGGAGTCTCACTCTGATGCCCAGGCTGAAGTACAGTGGTGTGATCTTGGCTCATTGCACCCTCCTCCCAGGTTCAAGCAATTCTCCTGCCTCAGCCTCCCGAGTAGCTGGGATTACGGGTGCCCGCCAGCATGCCCAGCTAAGTTTTGTATTTTTAGTAGAGACAGGGTTTCGCCATGTTGGCCAGGCTGGTCTTGAACTCCTTACCTCAGTTGATCCACCTGCCTCAGCCTCCCAAAGTGCGGGTATTTTTACAGGCGTGAGCCACCACGCCCAGGTGAGTCACAGAGTATACTTAATTTTTAGTTCTAATACTGAGGTTGGGAAACTTTCCTCTGCAAATTAAATATTTTAGGCTTTTCAGGCAAAGTGTTCTCAATTTTGTCACCATTCTTAACTCACCCACTGTATGAAACAAGTGATGAGCCAGATTTGGCCCAGGGGCCATGGTTTGCTGACCTCTATTCTACGCGGTCTGTATATTGATTGTTAACCAAGGGTTTTTAAAATTTTTTTGACTTGACCAAGCACAGTGGCTCACACCTGAAATCCTCGCACTTTTGGAGGCCGACCTGGGCAACATGACAAAACCCCATCTCTACTAAAATTACAAAAATTAGCTGGGCGTGGTGGCGTGAACCTTTAGTTCCAACTACTCCACAGGCTGAAGTAAGAGAATGACATGAGCCCAGGAAGTTGAGGTTGCAGTGAGCCGAAAGTGTGCTACTGCACTCCAGCCTGGGTGACAGAGTTAGACTCTGTCTCAAAAAAAAAAAATATATATATATATATATATATGTGTGTGTATGTATATATGTAAGTATACATATATATGTATTGGCTTAAAACTTTTATTTATTTATTTTTAGAGAAGGGATTTCAGTCTGTCACCTAGGCTGGAATGCAATGGTGCAAACACAGCTCACTGCAGCCTTGACCTCCTGGGTTCAAGTGATCCTCCAGCCTCACCCTCCTGAGCAGCTGAGACCACAGATGTGCATCACCATGCCCAGAAAATTTTTTTATCTTTGTAGAGATGGGATCTCACCATATTGCCCCAGCTGGTCTCAAACTCCAGAGCTTGTGCGATCCTCCTGCCTTGGCCTCCCAAAGTGCCAGGATTATAGGCATGAGCCACCGTGCTAAAAAATTTTAATTTTTTACAAAAATTAGCTGGGCATGGTGGTGCACACCTGTAGTCCCAGCTATTCAGGAAACCGAGGCAGGAGAATGCTTGAACCTGGGAGGTGGGGGTTGCAGTGAGCTGAGATCACGTCACTGCACTCCAGCTTGGGTGACAGAGTGAGATTCCATCTCAAAAAAAAAAGAAAAGAAAAAAATTAATTTTGATGTAGTTTCAAACTCACAGAAAAGCGGAGAGTTCTTTATATCCTTCAACTAGATTCCCTAAATGTTAACCTTTTACCACATTTGCTTTATCCTTCTCTCTTTTTATGGGAGTGGGGCACAGTACCCTTTGAGAGTAAGTTGCAGGAATTATGGCCCTTTTCCTCTAAAAACTATATATTTCCTAAAATCAGTAACATTGTTTGAAATAACTGGAGTTAGAAAATTAACATTGATGCTGTATTACCTCATGTGTAGATCTTATTGGGTTCTGCTTGTCCCAGCAGTGTCCTTTATAGTTAACAAGAAAAAAAGAAGGAAAGAAAAACAAAAAAGACCTACATTGTGTGCTTCATGCAGTGGTATGTCTCCAGCCTTCTTTAATCTTAAAGAGCTCTTTAGTCTCTTTATGCCTCATAATACTGACATATTTGAGGAGGTACAGGCCAATAGTAGTGTCTCTTATTTCAAGTTTGTCTGATGTTTTACATGTGACTAATGGCTCTCGTGTCACTTTATTTAAATTGCAGTTGGTTTTTGTTGGGGATTGATTTTTTTTTTCCTACCTTAGAGCTATTTATTTTTAAATCCTTGATATTTTTGTGTTGAAACATTTCCGTAAAGTTGGAGACAATCTTGTTCTTATTTAATGAGCTGAATTTATATGGGTCTGTTACAATTTCAAGTATGTGTTGCTTCAGTAGGATCTTTTTGGTATTTTGGGCAAAAAGATAACCATATTCCAGAACAGTTATCTTTTTGATCTAACTCTTGATGGACTTACAAAATAGATAATCATAATACTGAAACCTCCATCATATGTTCCTACTTAGACATTACTTTAAAAAGTTACCAGAGGCCAGGCATGGTGACTCACGCCTGTAATCCCAGCACTTTGGGAGGCTGAGGTGGGAGGATCACCTGCGGTCAGGAGTTTGAGACCAGCCTAACCAACATGGAATAACCCCATCTCTACTAAAAATACAAAAATTAGCCACGTGTGGTGACACGCACCTATAATCCCAGCTACTCGGGAGGCTGAGGCACAAGAATCACTTGAACCCAGGAGGCAGGGGCTGCAGTGAGCCAAGATTGTACCACAGCACTCCAGCCTAGTGACACAGTGAGACTCCATCTAAAAAAAAAAAAAAAAAAGTCACCAGGTGTCAAAAGACATTATTTTTGAGACTACTAAGGTGATGATTAAAACATTTTTTAAAGTATTTAAAAATTTTTTTACTTGGAATTTCTTGCTATTTTCTGTTTGTAAGTCTGGTAAGTGGTTTCTTCGGTTTACCCTGAAGATTTATTTTATTCCTCTTTAGGAGTAGTTCCTTTTTCTTAGGTGTCTGTTATTGTGGATTTCTAAAACAATACTTTACCTCAATTTATTTCAGGATGTTCAAGATCCTTCAGTATTTGTAACTTTCCCTTTGGAAGAAGATGAAACTGTATCTTTAGTTGCTTGGACAACCACTCCCTGGACTCTACCTAGTAACCTTGCTGTGTGTGTTAATCCAGAAATGCAATATGTGAAAATTAAAGGTAAGTGGGAGGCTGGTTACTTATGATTAATATGGATAAGATAATTTTATATTTTGGAAAATATGAAAGCTTACCTTTCTTTTTGCATGAAGAATAGAATTATTTGAAAACAATCTGACTTAATTAGAAAAATAACTTTAAACATTTGTTTTCATTTCTAATTGAAAACTAACAAAACAATTAAAATAGTACAGAGATATAAAAAGTAGAACATAAAATTTTCTTATAATTTCCAGTTTATAGTACATTTTTCCACACCATGCCCCTGTGACAGATGAAGAATCTAAGATTCAGCGATGTGGCATCACGTCGTTACTAGCAATTGATACCAGAACTTGAGAACTTTTTGCCTTTCAAATGTCCCCTGGTAGAGAGTTACCAGTCTCAACGAGGGCCTTTCCGAGATTTAAAAAGAAGATTGGTACTTTGTGAACAAATATACCTTCAGGTTTGGTAGTTTTGTGGCGGTAAAAGAAAAAGAGAAAAACTCATTGCCATGAAAAAAGCTATGGCACAGCTGCTGTGGAAGGCAGTGACATTTCTTCAAAAAGCTGAATGAGATGACACTATGGCCCAGCAATTTCACTTCTGAGTGTTTTCCCCAAAGAATTGAAAGCAGTCTTGAACAGTTACTTGTACACCCGTGTTCATAGGAGCATTATTCACAGTAGTCAAAAGATAGAAGCAACCCAAGTGTCTATCATTGGATAAATGAATAAACCAAATAGGGTATTTACGTACAGTGGAATATTATTCAGCCTAAAAAAGAAAGGAAATTCTGATACAGGCTATGCCTTGAATGAACCTGGAGGACATTATGCTAATTAAAATGAGCCAGTCACCAAAAGACAGATACTACATGATTCTATTTATATGAGGTATCGAGAAGTGAACTTCAGAGAGCAAAGACTAGTAGAATGGTGGTTGACAGAGGCTGGGAGGGAAGGGGGAGTTATTGTTTAATGAGTACAGAGTTTCAGTATAGGAAAATGAAAAGGTTTAGGGTATTGATAATGGTAATGATTACACAACATTGTAGATGTATTTAATTCTGTGTAAGAATGGTTACCATGATTTTTAAAAATAGTTGTATTAAAACAGTCAACTTGATTGAACAATAGCTTGTGTTGGCAAGGGAAAAATATTGAGAAAGGAATGGGGAAAGATTGGGTGCCAGAAAAAAGGTACGGAGGGAGTTTTTTATTTGTTCTTTCCTGGGAGCAAATAGGACTAAGAGTTGACCTACTGGAAAGCTGTTGGCCACAAAGAGGCCTGGCTCAGGTGTCTGCAGCTGCTTCTCTGGAGCAAGGACAGTCCCATCTGCACAATTTCCCTATGTCACTGGTGGGTCACTAGCCATTCTGTGGTGAGCTTGACAATCTCAGCAGCCACCTGACTGAGATCTCAAAACACATCACCCATCTACCTGTGTATAACTCTTGTGCTTGGCAGACTTTGTATCTGAGCTTTATCAGAAACTGTGGTCCCCACTTACAATGAAGTTCCTGTGAGGTCAGAGCTAGGGAGTGGCAGCCTTATTCATAGCAGTTTTTCAATAAATTGGAAAGGCTTTTACAATGACCCATAGATACTCATTTTTCTTATAGTGAACTAAATATATGACATAGGCTCTAGTAAATCTCAGATGTGTAATATCATAGCTTATGATGAGAGTTTAAATTGGCCTAGATTTTCAGTATCAAAGTTTTAACTGTTCATACATTTGCTCCAGCTTTTCTTTTCCTAGGATGCCCCAGGTATCCTCCAGAAACACTTACAATAAGGGTACACAGATGCATCAAGGACATTCATCATGCCAGTGTTCATAGTAGTGAAAATTTGAAAGCAATTTAAGTGTCTGTCAACTTGTTAGAAATAATTCGTACCTCTATAAAATAGCGTCCCATAGAGCTCTTTAAAAGGATGAGAAAAGTCTGTATGTGCTAATACATGGAAGTATGTTGACAGTATATTAAGTGAAAAGCTACAAAATCAGATAGAATATTACCTCAATTAGAAAAATAAAAAGAACTTACACATTTACCTATATGTTTGTTTGTATATACATAGAAAAATATCCGGATCCATAGACACCCAAATGAGAATGTCTGAGAGGGGGTGATATGTGGCACTTAATTTGTGAGCTACTTTGTCAATGTTATTTTTAAACATTGACATGTTTACCTTATGAAGGAAAAAATAAAGATTTACTTAAAATGGATATCTGAGCGATAAATAATAACTACCAACTGCCTAAGTGCATTTGATGTTTTTGTCATTTTCATGTTTGGGAAGCAGTATACCATAGTGTTCTTTGCAGTATTTCTCTGTGAGTACTGGGTACAGTAGAGGCACATGGTACAGGAGCTCCTCAGGACAAAAGTATGCTTGATGCATGTCTTTGGAATCAGCCAAGTTCAGAATATAACCCAAGTCCATGTTTTTCCTTTTTCTCGTAGATGTTGCCAGAGGACGATTACTCATTTTAATGGAAGCCAGATTGTCAGCCCTCTATAAATTGGAGAGTGACTATGAGATCCTTGAAAGGTGAATATTCAAATAGTTGCTCTGTGTTTGTGTGCATGTGTCTGTATGTGTGTCTTTAGTTTTAAAAAGAAATAAACTTTGTTATCCAAAAGCTTGCATTATTCAAATTTAGTTTTAAGTACTAATACTATACTAAGTACTTTGCAGTCACACATTACAGCATGAATGGCTAGGGCTAAGAAGCCAGTAAACCAGAGGGGAGTGGTAGCTTGATGTGGCTGCAGCCTCATATTTGATTTTAATCTAATTGTGAGTTTGCCTTTCTCCTTTTCTAGATTTCCTGGTGCCTATCTTAAAGGCAAGAAGTACAGGCCCCTGTTTGACTATTTCCTGAAGGTAAGCTTAGGGACCGCTACTGTGGGCGCTCTCCACAATCTGATTATTTGATAGCTGGGGTGTTGTGAGAAGTGGAATTGACATTACTTTTATGAGTGTACCTGAATCCAGAAAGTCTGCTTTAGTACCAACAAAATTAAATTGTTTGTGTAGCTTTCTTGTCTTAGAGGATTTTTTTTTTTTTTTTTAAAAACAGGGTTTCCTCTGTCCCCCAGGCTGGAGTGCAGTGGCACAATCACAGCTCACTGCAACCTCGACCTCTTGGGCTCAAGTGATTCCCCTGCCCCATCCCGAGTAGCTGGGACTACTGGCACACAGCACCACACCGGGCTAAGTTTTTAGTTTTTTGTAGAGACAGAATCTCGCTATGCTGCCCAGGCTGGTCTTGAACTCCTGGAATTGCAAGCATGAGCCACTGCACCTGGCTGGGATTTTTTGTTGTTGTTGTTTTTGAGATGGAGTGCAAATATCGTGCAATAGCGCGATCTTGGCTGACTGCAACCTCTGCCCCCCAGGTTCAAGCAATTCTCCTGCCTCAGCCTCCCGAGCAGCTGGGATTACAGGCATGCTGTAATTTTTGTACTTTTTAGTAGAGATGGGGTTTCACCATCTTGGCCAGGCTGGTTTTGAACTCCTGACCTTGTGAGCCACCGTGCCTGGCCAAGCTGGGATTTTTTATTTGAATATTTTTCTCAAATTGTATGAGGAATCATTTTACATTTGATTGGATTTTTAGGTGTATATTTTTATTGCATGTAGTCTACATATCACCCAGGGTATTTATTGAGGTTTTTGTTTGTTTGTTTGTTTTGACAAAGTTAAGATAGTAATCACAGTAAAACATCATGTGGAAAGGTAAACACAATTTTATTTCAAGGAGGTTAATGAGGCAGGTGTTTTAAATCTAGGCACCACGACAGAGCTCATACATTTAGCACCTTAGTTTCTTCAGAGTCATAAAGTTGTTTTATGTGGTTTTATTTTCTGACAGTGGAGAATCCACAGCTACAGTTGCAAACCCTGCTGTCCCCACTCCCACACTCTCTCACCGAAAGAATAGTGTCAAAGAGGAATTTCTCCGTCCTTATTTAAAGGTCTTGAAATGAGATAATGAGCAGACCTGGCCTTATGTGGAAATAATAATCAACTGGACATATCACTTACGTCCCATCCCAGAAAAAAATGTTCGCTGAACCCTCAGTTGTTTCTGTTCCGTGTGGGGAGAGTCTGGTTGATTAAGGAGACCTCTGTGGTTTGGGCCCTATCCATGGTGTGTCTGTTACCTGCCTTTTCACTTTTGTGCCTCTTGAGTGTTTTCCCACATTTCTCGTTGCCTACTTGATAGCCTTCTTCCTCCTCCCACGTTGCTGCCCAGTGGATTTCCATATGTTCTGCCCTCATCCCATTCCTCCCTACAGGCGTTAGTTATTTACCAGCAATTAGGACGTGCCCTCCCCAGTCGGTATGTGGCAGAGCTGCTTCCTGACCACATCCTCCCACATTACTTTAGACATATCCTTTATTCAGTCAAACTGGCTCTTCCCTTTCCTGCTTCCCTGCCTTTCTTTAATTAAGTTTTCCTACTGTCTTAAAAGTCTTTATTTTTTTCTTATGTTGATATCTGCTGAGTTAACTCACCCTTCAGGTCTGAACTCAGATGTCCTCTGAAAGTTTTCTGAAATGCATCTTTGGTTTCTCCCTTGGAAAAATGTCATTACTTCATTCCATTCTCCTATCATATAGCTTAACATACTTTGTTTTATGTTGTATTTTTTTTATTATCTGAAATCTCTTCCACTGGATCAGTGACTCTCACCTTTCTGAATCACAAAACCTATTGAGAACCCAAAAACTCAACCCCCTGAAAGAATGCACATGGATACACTAGACAGGAACTTTAGGTTAAGTAGAGGTCTGTCTGGAATATGCACTTGGTAGGTATTAAGTTGAATAACACCTACTCATTAAATAAGCTTCTTAAACTACCTGAAACCTTCGGTGACTTTAGGCAAGTACTATAAATCGTTTGACCCAGGACGGAATCATCTGATGTTCACTGAAATATACCTGTTGTGAAATATCGAGGGAAGCTGAGTCAGCGGACACTGCCTATGGAGCAGCACTGCTGCTCCTGGTGGTTGGTATCTACTGACCTGGGTGGAAGCAGCCCAGCCATGGCCTGGGTAGGCCCAAAGTAGACCCTGAGAGACAAGATGCAGTGACTTTGTCTATACTGCTTCTAAGTATAGAACATGTAACTAAGTATACATGTAATTCTAAGGACCCATGTATTCTGTCTTTCTGTTTAAACTATCGAAGTTTTAGCACCTATCATACTATAACTTCTAAAATGTTTCAAGGTGATTTAGGTTACAACAATTAAAATTTTATGGTTATTTTTCAAGTTTAGTTTTAAGTTCCAAAGAAACCGAGTGCTGTGATGTAATTGAAAATAACATTGTATTTGCAACCAGAAGACCTGTTCCATGTCCTGGCTTCATCATTGCTGGTTGTGTGATTTGGATAAGACTAAGTTTAATCTTTGTTCTGAGCTTGCTCATCTGTGAAATGCAAATACAGCCAGAATATTTTTAAGACATGGGACTACTAATAGCTTGTTCACAGAATTATAGGAGTTAAATGTGAAAATCACTTGTGAAAGTACTTTTTACCAATGCAAAAAGGAAGGACATCAAAGGGCCAGTTTGGCAGAAACAAGGGTTTGTGGAAAGAAATGTAAAAAGATGAAAGTAGAGTAGGTCTGTTAGCATTATATGTATTAACATGATGATATTGCTGTTGCAAAGAAAATGAAATTGAACACATTTCCCCTGAGTATTAAGGTGGTGGAGTACCTGTAAGTAGAACTTACTACTCGTGGCTCCCACCTGTTCCTTTCAAGATTTGCCTTTATGACTGAATAACTTGAGCTGAGTTGAAAGGAGAAAGAGAAGCAAAACATATGCAGTGATTGAAAATGTACCAGGAAGTGAACAATTTAGGGAGCATGCTTTCTGAGACTGTATCCTAAACTGCATAGGGACAAAAAGTTGGGGGAGGGAGAACTAATGAAAAACACGTTTGTAACCAAGGAAATTAGAAATTTTTATCTGCCATTCTCCAGATAATTATTTCGTTTATAAGTGGTAACTTTTTATTTATGGGAAAAATGTATTGAATTAGCATGTTTCTTCCCAGCCTGCATTATTCTTTCTTTTCTATTTCTGAAAATAATTTTACCGGTTAAAAGCATTTTCAGGTTCTTAGGAAAAACTGTTACAAAGTTAACGTTGTAACACAGTAATGTTTCATCCCTGAAGCCTGCTGTCCTTTCTTTCCAGTGTAAAGAGAATGGCGCTTTCACTGTGCTTGTTGACAACTATGTGAAGGAAGAAGAAGGCACAGGGGTTGTCCACCAAGCTCCTTACTTCGGTGCTGTGAGTAGCATAAGTCTGGCAAATGTATTTGAGTATGTCGGTAGCCACTTTTCATAGATGCGGAGTCCTGTGTCTCATCATGTTGGGTTACCAGGTTGGCCTCTTTTCTGGCTCACTGCCTGCAAGATGGCTTGTAAAATTTGCATCTGCAATTCCCTTTCATCCTAAGCTGATTTCTGGAAAGAGTGGGCCAAATCCAGTAAACTCTTTTTGGTGTGCAGTTCCGTGAGTTTTGACAGGCATCTAGAGACGTGCAGGTGCCTCAGCCACCAAGATACAGACCATTCCCATCACCTCTGCTGTGTTCTTAATTAAATGTTCAGAAGGGGGAATCTGACCTCTCCCCTCAAAACAGTACTCTACAGTTAATTTTATATTTTGACTAGAATAATTTTTCTAAAAACACATTCCTTTTTATGTAATTTGTGTATGAATAAAAACAGAATAACATAAAGGCACATGCTTTACAGTAAACCACCTCTCACCTTAAATCATGGCACTGCCACTAACGGGCAGTTCCTGGGTAAGTTGCCTGGCCTATCTGGACTTCTTTTGCCTCCTCTGTAGCATGGTGTAGCATGGTGTAGCACCTACATACACATTCCTCTAGGCTTGATCGTTTTGTCAGTGAGAGGGATTGGAAATGTGACTTTGTTCTAAAAGGCAGTGGCAGTAGTCTGCCCTCATCTGCCATTTTGCTTTCATGCTTAATCTCTGGGATTTTTTACTTTTATAGATGTAGAGGGTACGGGTGCAATTTTTTTACATTGATATGTTGTATAGTAGTAAAATCTGGGCTTTTAGTGTAACCATCACTTGAATTTTTATTATGGAAATCTTGAAACATACACAGAAGAAAATATGATAATAGATTCTTTTTTTCACATCATCCAGCTGCATTAACTCTCAATGTTTTGGCAATCTCTCGTTTTCTTCCTCTGTACAGTAGCACACTTTTTTATTTTGGCTGGAGGATTTAAAAGCAAATCCTCATCCTCATGTCTTTCGTGTCTAAGTAATTCTAGCTGCATCTCTGACTGATAAGGACTTTTATTTTCAGTATAAATATCCAATAAAGTCAGCAATTCCTTAATAATCACCTAATACCTGGTCCATTTTGATGGAAGGAAGCATTCTTGATAATACTACTTAAGAGTTTTAGGAACTAGTCAAATATTGTTCATAATCATTTTAGGGTCAATTAACTGGTATGGTTACCCCACTCTTAGTAGATAATAAAAAGGTAACTTCTTGGTTTTGAATTGTAGTGTAGGGGTTTTTTTTTTTTTTTTTGAGATGGGAGTCTCGCTCTGTCACCCAGGCTGGAGTGCAGTGGCAGGATCTCGGCTCACTGCAATCTCCGTCTCCTGGGTTCAAGCGATTCTCCTGCCTCAGCCTCCTGAGGTTTTCTTTTTTAAATGTGGGTGTTTGTCATTAACTCTAGAGTTATATCTCATATATCTATTCTCAATGCTGTGCATGTTAATGTTATAGAAGATTCATTCTTTAAACTATAGCTTTTAACACCATTTGGTAAATTTTTTTTTTTTTTTTTTTTTTTGTTTTGTTTTGTTTGAGACAGAGTCTCCCTCTGTTGCCCAGGCTGTAGTGCAATGGTGCAATCTTGGCTCACGGCAACCTCTGCCTCCCAGGTTCAAGCGATTCTCCTGCCTCAGCCTGCCAAGTAGCTGGGATTATAGGCACCTGCCACCATGCCTGGCTTATTTTTTGTAAATTTAGTAGAGACAGGGTTTCACCATGTTGGCCAGGCTGGTCTCAAACTTCTGACCTCAGGTGATCTGACCGCCTTGGCCTCCCAAAGTGCTGGGGTTACAGGCGTGAGCCACTGCACCCGGCCTTGGTAAACATTTTCTGAGAGGCCTTCCGTTGCACTTGTCTTCACCAGGCAAGGGTAGTGTTTGATCTTCGCAGAGTCTGTGCACTTGTGCGTCATCCTGTTGAACATCACTGGTTCTGGATGCATTCAGGAATGCTGCTCTTAGCTTAATGCACTGGGTAAAGTTACTTGCTCCACACTCAGTGGTTCAAATTGCTGCACTTAGGGGCTTTTCCTGTCTACCCACATGACACCACACCAGTCAGCCTCAGCACAGGGAGAGGTGAACACAGATCCAGGTGGAAGCATGTCAGCTTTCCAGCTTGTCTTGGAGTCAACCCAGAGTGTGGTTTCACCAACATAAGGCAATCTCTTTAATTTTATATTTAGGCATCATAACACAGTGATGAAGACTATAGACTCTGGAGCCAGGCTGTTTGGTTTTGAATCCTAGCATTGCTGCTTCATAGCTGAGTTACTTCTTGGTACCTCGACTTTCCTATCTGTAAAATAGGAAATTTTTGGTTTTTCAGATGTGTGTGCTGCTGTTATAAATCAAATTTGATTTAGTTTTAAAACATTCCTGTGTGGCTGCTCTGCTTATGGAGTAGCCATTCTTTATTGCTTTACTTTCTTAATTCCTTTCACTTAAAAAATTGATGTATGTCATCTATCTTCTCATTTAGTGGATACTCTGCTACATATGGAGGTCTGGGAAATAATATTTGAGAAGACTAGACTGGGTGACCTAACCCCTGTCCAACTGTGAGGGTCTGATTCTCCGAATGGTCTTGAGTTACCTTCAGTTTACAGGACAAAGTTGATGAAATGTATATGTTACAATATAGAACAATTATCTTGGGAATCTATTACCTCATGCTCACACCCATACATAGACTGTTTTATTCTTCCCTCTCTTTTGCCTTTTCTCAGGAGGACTATCGGGTCTGTATGGACTTTAACATTATTCGGAAAGACTCACTCCCTGTTTGCCCTGTGGATGCTTCAGGCTGCTTCACAACGGAGGTGACAGATTTCGCAGGACAGTATGTGAAGGTCTGTAATCCATATAGCATAGAAGGGTGACTGTTACTTCTGATTAGTCTCTACCATCATTTATAATTGTATTGTAATTCTTCTAGGAAGTTGTTTTTATTTGGTTTTGTCATCGCATGAAATCCGTAAAGACAGATGTTATCAGTTACGTTCAGAGGGTCTCATATCTTTAGAGGATGCATGCTGAAATTTCATGGGGAAAGATCAGAAAAACTCCAGTTCATGCCTCATGAAGCACCTTTGTGACCTTGGGGTTGTCATTTCAGATCGAAAAACTTTATGACCTTAAATGTTGTGGAATGTACTTGAAAATTACTTAAAGTTAGTGACTAAAAATAATAAATAATATTTGTTATTTGTGCCTTTTATTCATAACAAGGTATCAGATTCTAGTAATATATTGTTCCTAAGTATTATAGTATGTTTTAATGGCTAAATTTTAATTTTTTTTAATAGGATGCTGACAAAAGTATCATCAGGACTTTGAAGGAACAAGGCCGACTTCTGGTTGCCACCACCTTCACTCACAGCTACCCTTTTTGCTGGAGGTCAGAAGAAACAAAGACTGTGTTGTAGCTAGAGCTTCCAGTCTGTGCTTACACTTACTATATGTGCCCATTCCATCTTATTTGTGGTGTTCATCTCACTTGTATCCTTTAGAGTTGGTTTGGGAAGCCACCTTCTTACTTCATTTTTAGGAGAGTTGGGTTTTTTGTTTGTTTTTTTGTTGTTGTTTTGAGATAGGGTCTCACTCTGACGCCCAGGCTGGAATGCAGTGGTGCAATCACAGCTCACTGCACCCTCCACCTCCCCGGCTTAAGCAATCCTCCCACCTCAGCTTCTGGAGTAGCTGGAACTATGTAGGTGGTGCCATCACACCCGGCTGATTTTTGCATTTCTTATAGAAATGAGGTTTCGCCATGTTGTCCAGGCTGGTCTCAAACTACTGGGCTCAAATAATCCTCCCACCTTGTCCTCCCAAAGTGCTGAGATTACAGGCATGAGCCACAGCGCCTGGTCTAGGAGAGTTTTATGAATGGCTAAAAATGTTGCTTTCCTAAGGAACTGTGAGAGAAAAATAGACCTGTACAAATCTGTTTTGTATTGTGGCCACATTTTTTTTAGGATGAGAAGCATCTCTAAAATTTTGTAATAGAGTTTATTGAAAAATTTAATATGATTTTAACCTTTAATATAAGACCATGCTGTAAAAGTATGGGTGAAAATGAAATGTTCAGTTGCATCGTGTTTGGTTTCCACATTGCCTCTTCTGTGTTGAAGTTGAAGTTGACATTGTTTCTTAGATAATTGTCACTAGCAGAACTATTTTTTTCTACTCTTGTTCTTGTATTAGTTTTTGCCTTTCTTACTATTGTGGAAAGATATGACCAATTTTGAAGTCTTAGATGTTTTTATCTATAATAAAAATGAATATTAGCAGAAGGCCAAGTAAGTGATGATGCTGTCAATAAGACATGAAAAGTCAGTCTTACCGTAGTGCCTACTAGTCTCAGCCTGAGCAGCTATGTGTGTGTTTCTGCTTCCCCAGATCAGACACTCCTCTAATTTACAAAGCAGTGCCCAGCTGGTTTGTGCGAGTGGAGAACATGGTGGACCAGCTCCTAAGGAACAATGACCTGTGCTACTGGTGAGCAGTAAGATGTGTTTCTTCATAGTGTCTTTTGTCATGTGGTTAGTAAGTATGGTTTACACTTCCCCCAAGTTATAATTTTAATAACCCATCTTTTATTGGGTATTGTAATAGCTATCTTTTCTTCTGTGTGTTTAGGAGCACAAAATAATTCAAATAATGTTACAGAACAGAAGTAACATCCTTCTTGTGATAAAGTATGTAAGGGAGTATTTTTCTTTTTAAACTCATTGGAAATGATAAACCACCATTTATTCGATTTAGGGAATGAAATGACCTTGGAAAAATATGGCTGTACTGCCAGAGTTTGCTAGCCTTCAATAATAGTCATTTTCAGAGTAAACATTATTTTCAGATATACCTGCAAAAGCCATTTGTACTTACTCTTGTTGGTCCTGCAGTGGATGATGTACCCTGTGCTTGGCTGTATGGATAAGCTCCAAGCACAGAAGCCTTTGCTTTCCATAGCTGATATGTGTCCTGCAGGTGATAGCCCAAGAAGTATCATTTCAGCCTCTGGGTACAAAATGAAACAAGGCTTGAACCTGTGTATTTCAGATGAATGTTTTTCACTACAAGTTTGAAAAGTAATCACCACTCTTAACTTCTCACAAGGACCCAACTAGACTCTAGAAAACTGTATCTGAGTTTAGGAGAATGGGGAGAATCTCAGGGCAGCAAAGGAAATAGTTATAAACTGTAGCTTTCTAATATTTCTTAGCAGAGTGGTCCTGATTTCTCAAAAGACAGCTTTTCATTTTTAGAGCTAGTAAGCTAATTAGTTCCCCTAATGTGTAAGATACTAGATATAGAATATTAGTAAGATAGCCTCGAGGGGGTGCAGGCATATAAACTGATCTTTGAAGTACAGGGCAGTAACTGCAGTGCCCAAGAGAAGAAGGGGAGGTCTGGTAGCCTACCCTGACTCAGCCTTGTGCTTGAAAAGGATTTCTGCAAAGCTGAACCTCAAGGAATAAAGAGTACTGGGAGTGGGAGGGATGCAAGAGGATGGATGCAGAAGGGAGGGAAGCTGCGTGTCAGAGGGCAGGCAGGCTGCGTGTCAGAGGGCAGGCATGGGCAAAGCCAGTTAAGTGAGAAGGATTCTAGGGAACTTGCCTCATTGCCAGAGCCTGAAATTCAAGACCAAGGATGACCAGAGAGGTGACTATAGAGAGGGCTGCTAGAGCAGCTACCAATCCCCTGGCCTGTTGGCCTTTGCTTAATGAGTTCAGAAAAACTGCTATGGTGAGGATAATGTGAAGACTAGAGTTGTATGGGATGAGGCTGGCTAAAGCTAAGGTGACTGGTTAGAGGTATGTGGCAGCTGTACTCCAGTTGAAGAGGAGGACATGGGAGGCCTGTGTGCTGTGGGGTAATCTATTGGATGTAGGTCATTGATGGCAGCACAAACTGTTGTGTGTGCTATGCTGTCCATTTAGAAGACATTCTCTTTGCAGTGAGCGCCACGTTTCCAGAGTGTTTGGTCCACAAAGCGTTATACAAAGGCTCCTGTGGGTATTATTTACATGTTGAATTTTTCCATATTTTTATGTGATTGGTTATGTGATCTGTTTATTGCAGGGTCCCAGAGTTGGTACGAGAAAAACGATTTGGAAATTGGCTGAAAGATGCACGTGACTGGACAATTTCCAGAAACAGATACTGGGGCACCCCCATCCCACTGTGGGTCAGCGATGACTTTGAGGAGGTGAGGCATGGCAGTATTTCCTTGTGTTGATTTTTGCTAAAGCATTTTGTTCATGAAATCTGAATGTGGTTTAAAAGAATAGGGTGTTTTTTTCTTTGCCCCTTTCTTATTTCATCTTTTTTCCTCTTTATTCCTTTCTAGAATCATGACATAAGATAATCTGTTTCTGGGGTTTTTAACTTTTTTTCCTTGAATTAAATACAATTTATAAAACTTTCCTCTGTAAAAATAAAAGGATACAGTTTTCTCAGGGAAATACACACTTTAAATGTTTTTTTTGTGTGTTTCCCCGATGTCTTTTCTTCCCCCTACATTAAGGTATACTATTAGCTTATGGTTAAACTGACTTTATAGATGATGAAAAAAGAAAACTTGAAAAGAAATTTACCAAAGCATTACAGACCTTTAACTTCTAAAATCAAATGAATAAGAGGATGTGTGTAGATATATAGATGTATGTGGATATACTATGTCCTCACTTAATGTCATACAGAGGTTCTTGATAACTGACTTTAGGCCGGGTGTGATGGCTCCCACATGTAATCGCAGCACTTAGGGAGGCCAAGGCAGGAGGATCGCTTGAGACCAGATATTTGAGACCAGCCTAGGCAACATAATGAGGTTCCATCTCTACAAAAATGTTTGTTAAATTAGACAGGCATGGTGGTGCACGCCACTTAGTTCCAGCTACTGGGACCTCTCAATGACATCAGGCGAGGACTTACTATACAGATAGATCTGTGTGTTTGGCCTTCTGTCCAAAGCTGACAGCATTGTTGCAGTGATGAGCGGCAGCACCCTGGGGACCTTGGTGAATCTCCCATAGGGACCTGAAAGGCAACAGTGAAGTAGCTGAATCAGAAGACTTTTCAGGACTGAACAGGAAGGGCAGAGAAAGAGGCCACCAGTGTTCACTAGGATCAGAAGCTCCCTGGGTGAGAACGCACAGCAGTTCCTACTGGTGTGGCCCTTGTCAGATGATCCCTCCATTCTGAGTGCCCCAGCTAGCCCCATCTCTCAGCTCTTTACCTGGATATAATCCTAGCATCCTGTGGCTTTGTCTGATTGCTTTAATCGGGTCCAAGCATAATATAGTCATGCACCACATAATGTCATTCAGTCAATGACAGACCGCATATACGACAGTGGTCCCACAAGATTATGATACCATATGGTTACTGTGCCTTTTCTGTGTTTTGTAATGTTTAGAAACTCAAATACTTCCTGTTTTAGTCTGTTTAGTGTAGCTACAAAGGAATACCTGAGGCTGGATAATTTATAAAGAAAAGTAGTTTATTTGGCTTATGATTCTGCATGACTGGAAAGTTGAAGACTAGACATCTGCATGTGGGGAGGACCTCAGGCTACATCCACTTATGATGGAAGGCTGGACAGGAGCCAGAGTATGCAGAAATCACATGGCAAGAGAAGAAACGGGCGGTGGGGTGGGGGCAGGCTCTTTTCAACAGTCAGCTCTCACAGGAGCTAATAGAGAGAGAACTAACTCACTGCAGAAGGAGAGCATTGGTCTCTTCACGAGGGATCCACCCTGTGACCCAGATGCCTCCCATCGGGCTCCATCTGTCAATACTGCCACACTGGGGATTAAATTTCAACTTGAGATTTGCTGGGGACAAACCATATGAAAACTAGAGCATTTACCATTGTGTTACAGTTGCCTGCAGAATTCAGTACAGCCACATGCTGTACAGGTTTGTAGCTTAGAAGTAATAGGCTCCACCATATAGCCTAGCTGTGTTTTAGGCCATCCCATCTAGGTCTGTGATGTTTGCCTAAGGAAATCACCCTAACAATGCATTTCTCAGAATGTATTCCCACCATTAAGCACTGTATGACTATAATTTAGCTCTAGCTTTTTCTTGGGAAGATTCTAGATTAATGAGCCAGATTCAGGTGCCAGGAGGAAACTAAAATGCCTTAGAGAAATAATCTAAGATGTTTCACTTATGCCAGTTACTTTGACAATTTGCACATAATAAACCCTTAATATCCATTGAGAGTATGGCTATGAATGTTTAAGATTCTCTCTAGGTAGGGACTCCCTCTGATACTGGGGTGGAAACAGAGGAGCAGTGGCAACCCTGGCCTCTTCAGAGACTAAGAGTAGGCTGTGTCTTTCATGAGAGAGAAGCCACATTAGCAAATACTATCCTTCGGCCCAGATTGGTGTGTTAATGTGCCTTTAAATCATCAGTCTCAGGCTGGGTGGCTCACGCCTGTAATCGCAGCACTTTGGGAGGCTGAGGGTGGCTGATAGCTCGAGTCCAAGAGTTTGAGACCAGCCTGGGCAGCATGGCGAAACCCTGTCTTTACTAAAAATACAAAAAATTAGCTGGGTGAGGTGGTGCCTGCCTGTAGCCCCAGGTACTTGGGAGGCTTAGGTGAGAGGATCACCTGAGCCCAGGAAGCTGAGGCTGCAGTGAGCTGTGATTGTGCCACTGCACTCCAGCCTGGGCAATGGTAGTGAGACCCTATCTCAAAAAAAAAGGAAAAAGAAAATCATCAGTCTCTCAAAGTAAACATGCATGCTATATAAATTAACTCAGTATGCTCTGTTTGGCTCTAAGGAGCTCCTGCTATTGAACTTTGTTTTTGACAGGTGGTATGCATTGGGTCAGTGGCGGAACTTGAAGAACTGTCAGGAGCAAAGATCTCAGATCTCCACAGAGAGAGGTCAGTTTCTAAATGTTCGATTCACTTCAGTTTTACGATTCTCCTATTAAGACCTGGTCTCTAGCAGATTACAGAGCCACACATGGAAGTGACTAGCTTGCTGAATTACTTTGCTGATGACTCATGTCATATTGCAGTATTGTGGCCTCTGTCCTTGTGAAATGTGAGGTGAATGGTGCATAACCTTTCAGATGGAGGATTCATGGTGCTCTCTGAAAGCCTTTGAGAATTGCTGATATTTCTGTTTGCAAATGTGTATAATATCTTGTCAGGGTTTTGTGTTTCCTATTAGCAATTAAACTGCAAGTTCTGTTATGCTTACAGTTAATAGAAATGACTACTTTTCTGTTTGTTAGTGTTGACCACCTGACCATTCCTTCACGCTGTGGGAAGGGATCCTTGCACCGCATCTCTGAAGTGTTTGACTGTTGGTTTGAGAGTGGCAGCATGCCCTATGCTCAGGTTCATTACCCGTTTGAAAACAAGAGGGAGTTTGAGGATGCTTTTCCTGCAGATTTCATTGCCGAGGGCATCGACCAAACCAGAGGATGGTATGCCTCCTTGTTCTTTCATCACGTGTTTTATTGATTTTATTTTATTTAGGGAGTATTTTACTAAGTCACTGCCATTTATCTACTGGGTGATGGAGAGATTGTGGCAAATAAGACAGGCTACATTCCTGCCCTCTCCCCTCCACCACCAAGCACGGACATTAAAGTGCCTTTTGAGTAGGACTCTCCCACTACAATAGGGCTGTAGTTTTACAATTTCAATGATCTCACTGGCATTTTGGAATATATGTGTTACACTGGATGTTAAAATGATAAAAAAAGTTATGTGTTCTTAGCTTACGTCAGATCATTTACTCAAATGTTTGAGTATTTGCATAAAAGACAGTAGTTTGGGTGCTAGAAATTTGAGGGATAGTTGGTAATGTGCTCAGATATTGAGGCTAGCCTTATAAATCAACATTCTAAAAAAATCCAGATTTTTAAAAAATATACATATGAGAGAGGATTTGGGCATTGATTTTTATCTGGTGCCTTATGTAAAACAGTTCCTTAATTGGAAGAAGGTGAATTACTTTCTTTCCATGGATTGGCTTTGCTGGCCCAGGCTTTATTTACTTTTTTTTTTTTTTTTGAGACAGAATCTTGCACTCTGCTGCCCAGGCTGGAGTGCAGGGGTGTGATCTCGGCTCACTGCACCCTTCGCCTCCTGGGTTCAAGCAATTCTTCTGCCTCACCCTCCTAAGTAGCTGGGTCTACAGGCATGCACCACCATGCCCAGCTAATTTTTGTAGTTTTAGTAGAGACTGGGTTTCACCATGTTGGCCAGGCTGGTCTCGAACTCCTGACCTCAAGTGACCCACCCGTCTCAGCCTCCCAAAGTGCTGGGATTACAGGCGTGAGCCATTGCGCCCAGCCCAGGTTTTAATTATACATTCACAGTAATGTTTCTGCAGGGGTGTGTTAAAGGAATTGTTGGTGTCATTTTCTCTCTTTGACAGCTTTGGGTAATCATTGAATTCAAGTCTTCATGTTCTGGAATGTGCTGTCTTCAGATTCCAGTCCTTTTTGTCTATAGGAACAGCTACCCAGCACAAATTCTGTTTTTAGAAAGGGGTAGATGCCTTACCAATGAGCTTGTTCCTTTGAGGAGTAGCAAAGTCTGTTAGCTGGTAACAGTCCTCATGTGGATCCCGTGTCCTTGGTGCCTGCCTCCTTCTCCATTCCTGAGGCCTGGGCTACCTCTCCTGGGCACCAGGGCTCCTCCCAACTCTCCTTTAGAAGTGGGAGGGATATCTGGATCAGTGTTTATGTTAACTATGGGGTCTGGTCTCCTCAGCTCATGTCCCTTGATGTTCTCAGAGTGCAGGACTAGGTAAGAGAGGCAGGAAAGCATCACCCCCAGGACAGTGGTCAGGGATATGAGTTCATTTGGGAAACAAGCTAGGTAGCACATAAATGAGGTACATAACATTTTACAGAATAAAAGCATTTTCTAGTCTGCCTTATCACTTTTGGGTGAGAGTGCATTTTGCATCTTTTGTCATCAAATTGTCTTTTCCATATGATCTTGTGCCAAATTCAAAACCCATCCTTCATCTTCAGCTAGGTGCTTCTGGGTGGTCCTGAGAGGCCACCCAGTGCTGCCATGTGGCTCTCCACACAGACTTCCTGGGAGCTCTGGTAACAGAGAAATGGTCAGTAAATCATTCCAGACGTTTATTTCAATGCTTCTTTCAAATCTTAGACAGTAATTTGATTGGTCTCCAGTAACCAGGATTAAGAATCATTGCTTTAAGTGATTCTCAAGAAGTGTGACTTATCAAAAATAGAAATTCAATGAATAAATACAGTTTCTTTCTTATGCTTGGACTTCATTTCTATTTTTATTGAACTGTTTGGGGTTTTTTTTCAGGTTTTATACCCTGCTGGTGCTGGCCACGGCCCTCTTTGGACAACCGCCTTTCAAGAACGTAATTGTGAATGGGCTTGTCCTGGCAAGGTAGGTCAACTTTGTTGTAGTGACGGGTGGAACTTTGTCTCCACTGTTTCTTAAGAAGGAGTGCGTGAGAGCGGTCAACTTTGTTGTAGTGACAGGTGGAGCTTTGTCTCCACTGTTTCTCAAGAAGGAGTGTGTGACAGCTAAGCCTGATGGAGGAGGAGGAAGGGGAGGACTTTCAGATTGTGCTACTGCTAGTAACATAATGCTACTAGTGATATTACTAGTAATAAAATAGCATTTACTAAACTTAGCACTTTATGAAATACTTTTGCTTATAGATCTTATTTAATCTGTACATCAGTCCTTTCATGTAGATTTTGTTGTCCTTTTTTTAACACACGAGGAAGCTGTGGGTTCTAGAGACCACAGGTGCCCAGGATCAAAGCTAGTGACAGCCACACTGGGCTTGACCGAGGTACTCTGCCACCAGATCCCATTCTTCCCCTCATCTGAAACTTCCTCCCAATGGGCATTATTTCCCACATTTTGCTATTATAAGGAAGTCTCATTTTTCCTTTACTTTATTACCTCTAGTCATTAAGAATAAAAATAAACATAAATGAAAATTTTAAAATGAAATATTTTAAAATAGAATTTGTGCTGAGTACCCACACAGAAATCCTACTTTATATGCTGTGTGAGGAGGAAGAGGATGTCACCTAACATTTTGTGCATCCTTATTTTTTGCCAGGCCCCACTGTGTGCATTTTCACATTTTAACTCATTTAATCCCCAGAACCATTTGAGATGGGTCCTATAATCCCTTTGTGACCTTTGAGGAATCTGAGGGACAGGAAAAAGTGACTTGCCAAAGGACACACAGCAAATGAGTGGTAAATGCAAATTTTGAACCCAGGCAGTCTGCCTCTGTAGTATGTGTACTACTTTTTTTTTTTTTTTAATTGAAAATTTTATTGAGGGCTGGGTGCTATGGCTCATGCTTGTAATCCCAGCCATTTGGGAGGCCATGGTGGGCGGATCTCCTGAGGTCAGGAGTTGGAGACCAGCCTGGCCAACTTGATAAAACCCCCGTCTCTACTAAAAATACAAAATTAGTGGGTGCAGTGGCACACACCTGTAACCCCAGCTACCTGGGAGGCTGAGGCACAAGAATCGCTTGAACCTGGGAGGCAGAGGTTGGAGTGAGCCAAGATCATGCCACTGCACTCCAGCCTGGGTAATAGAGTGAGGCTCCATCTCAAAAAAAAAAAGGGGGAAATTGTATTGAGATCATTGTAGATTTGCATGCAATTGTGAAAAATAATAGAGATCCCTTAAATTCTTTGCCCAGTTTCCCCCAGTGGTCACATTTTGCAAAACTACAGTATATATCACAACCAGGATATTGATATAGCCCACTAATCGTATTCAGATTTCTCTAGTTTTACATATACTTATTTGCTTATACGCATTTACCTGTATACGGCTATCGTGTGTAGGATCCTGTATCCAGCAGCACAGTCAGGTTACTGAATGAATTCAACATCAAAGGCTCCCTTCCTGCATTGCCTTCCCCTCCTGCCTTCCCACTGTCATCCCCAATCCCTGGCAACCACTGGTTTTTTCTCCATCTCTGTAATTTTGTCGTTTCCAGAATGTTATATAAATAGAATTATACAGTAACTAACTTGGGGGAATTGGCTTTTTTTTTCTTTTTTTTGAGACAGAGTCTCACTCTATCACCCAGGCTGGAGTGTAGTGGCGTGATCTCGGCTCACTGCAGCCTCCACCTCCTGGGCTCAAGCGATTCTCCCATCTCAGCCTCCCGAGTAGCTGGGACCACAGGCATGAACCACCACACCCAGCTAATATTTTGTATTTTTGGTAGAGACAGGGTTTCACCATGTTGACAGGCTGGTCTCGAGCTCCTGAGCTCAGGCGATCCACCTGCCTCGGCCTCCCAAAGTGCTAGTATTACAGGCATGAGCCACCGCACCCAGCTGGCTTTTTTTAAATCCACATAATTCCATTGAGATTTTAGATGACTGCACCTACCAATAGTTCCTTCCTTTCCATGGATAAATAGCATTCTGTATTATGGGTATGCCATGGTTTGTTTGATCATCCACCTCTTGAAGGACATCTGGGTTGCTTCTAACATTTGGCAATTGTGAATAAAGCTGTTGTGAACAATTGATAATAGGTTTTTATGATAATGTAAGTTTTCATTTCTTTGGGATATATTCTGACACATCTTTCTTCTTCAGTCTACCCTGAAGCTTCCTCATGGACTTAGTATGATATTCAAAAAGAAGTTTGCAAATATTAACAAAATATCTTACCATTGTACCTTAACACTGTTTGTTTCTTTTTTGAGACAGAGTCTTGCTCTGCTGCCCAGGCTAGAGTGTAGTGGCGCGATCTTGGCTCACTTCAATCTCTGCCTCTCAGGTTCAGGCAATTCTCCTGCCTCAGCCTCCCCAGTAGTGGGGATTACAAGTGTGCGCCCCCACGCCCAGCTAATTTTTGTATTTTTAGTAGAAACAGGTTTCACCATTTTGGCCAGGCTGGTCTTGAACTCCTGACCTCAGGTGATCTGCCTGCCTCAGCCTCCCAAAGTGCTGGGATTACAGGAGTGAGCCACCGCGCCCGGCCTATTAGCACTAACTTCTATCTAAGTTACTCCTTCCCATTTCATTTTGTATATTCCTGTTTGCAAATGATTTGTATCCTTAAAACAAGATCATCTGTGATATTGACTTACTTAATTGGCATCTCCCTTTTGTTTTACAAGTGATGGCCAAAAAATGAGCAAACGGAAAAAGAATTATCCAGATCCAGTTTCCATCATCCAGAAGTATGGTGCTGATGCCCTCAGGTACAAACCAGTGCTTTGCCTTGTGTGTATCTATTGTTTTTTTATGTAAGCATCTCCTATACTATTAATCAGTATTCTTAGATTTGGTTTATAGTTAGGTTTTTAGCAACATATCTCTGTTATTTGGATGTTATGTTGGTATGGTTGTTGATTTTAAACCCCCAAAATAGTTTTCTAAATAATAAAGGCATTTTTAAACCTAGAGGTCTGTTTGAGGAAGAGGACCTGTGTTGGGTGTTGTTGAGCTGTCCAAGTCCTCCCCAGGCTAGATGCTGATTGCCTCTGCCTTACTTCCTTTCTAGGTTCCCTGTCTTGTTGGTATTAGAATTCTCTTTCATCATTTGTTTTAATTTTGTACTTACAGAGCCATGTGAGATATATCTATGCTAGAGGTGATAAAAAAACTCATATTGAAAAGCTTTTGGAGAAATTTGAGCCACTGCTTGAGGTAGCTGTAATCATGAAACCACACAGTGTTCAAGTTGAAAGGGACCTAGAGATCTTGTTCAGCATCCCTGTGTCCTAGGCATGAGACCAGTGCCCAGGCCTGTGACTCAGCACCTTCACACAGTACCTCTGTTGACCAGGAGCCATTAGTGGGGCTCTCCCCCAATTCTCCACTGTCTCTTAGACTCACCCTTGGCACTGCTGCCCATTTGGGCTGTGTAATTCTTTGTGGTGGTAGTTCTTTGTAGGATGTTTAGCAGCATCCCTAACCTCTGCCCACCAGATGTCAAGACTCTGCTCTGTGAAGGCTCTTCCTTGTGAGTCCCTCTCTCTGCAAGCAGCAGATGCAGGTCGTGTCCGTGGGAAGGACACAGTGGCTCTTGACGAGGACCAGGCCAGCCTTTCTCTTAGTGCTGGTGTACCCCATTGGTCCTGCAGTGAGAGTGGCATAAGATGCATTTCTGTGCTATACAGTGCCATATTTTGGTGTCAGATTATATACGTCTTTTATAATTTGCTAAGTCTCTTATAGAAAGTGAGAGTGAGTTTTGTGAGTTTTAAATTGACCACTCAAAGAGTATTCATAATTACCCCCTTTTGTAGAAAATAGGACTGATTTTCATCTTGCTCTCTCAATATGTCGAGTAGTAATAATTGGTTTACTGTCTAAGTACCTTTTCTGTCTAATTTTTCTCCCTCTTCCAGATTATATCTGATTAACTCCCCTGTGGTGAGAGCAGAAAACCTCCGCTTTAAAGAAGAGGGTGTGCGGGACGTCCTTAAGGATGTACTGCTCCCATGGTACAATGCCTATCGCTTCTTAATCCAGAACGTTCTGAGGCTCCAGAAGGTATGGGCTGTAGGGGGCTGCACATGTACCTGCCGTGTCTCCACAGCGCTCCCTTCACCAAGCTGTGAGGTGGAGCTCTGTGTGAGACTTTAGGGCTGCTGTTCTCTGCTGCCTGATGCTGGGGTAACTTAGAGCCATGGGGAGGCCATACATGCAGGTGCGGAAGGTATCTAGGGTCCGGGCTATGCCAAGACCATGGGCCCTAGCCTGCAAAAGAGTTATGTCATATAGTTGTTTAGTCGCCAGTTGTTGTTTTTGTTTTTGAGGTGGAGTCTCAGTCTTGTCACCCAGACTGGATTGCAATAGCACGATCTCGGCTCACTGTAACCTCTGCCTCCTGGGTTGAGGCACTGCCTCAGCCTCCCCAGTAGCTGGGATTACAGGCACCCACCACCATGCCTGGCTAATTGTTTTATATTTTTAGTGGAGACTTGGTTTCATCATGTTGGTCAGGCTGATCTTGAACTCCAGACCTCAGGTGATCCGCCCTTCTTGGCCTCCCAAAAGTGCTGGGATTACAGGCATGAGCCACGGCACCCAGCTTCGTCAGCCAGTTCTTGGTACCAGGAACACCATGTTGAGTGAGACACCCCTCCCCTTATGGAACCAATGGAGTGGGAATTGGGAGATACAGTAAAGAGTCAGCAACTTTTAGAGAGAGCACCCAGTGAAGGCGGAGTCACAGGCAAGCTAGGGCTGGCCACTTGAGATGGGTGGTCAGAGAAGGCCCCTCAGTGGGGTGGCATTTGGGCTAATCTGAGAGTGACAGCAGTTCTCGATGGAGTTTTCAGTGGGTTGTTAGGGTCACATATAATAGTTGTGATGTATGTGGAAGTGTACTTCAATGGCAGTTACCTCCACGCCCAGGAGTTACTTTCTCACCTGAGAAGCCCTTGCTCTAGAGCCACCTTCCATGCCCCACAACTGACCATTGTCAGCGTCCATCACCTTCATTGAACATGTTCCTGTATGGGCTTTCAAGACCTGATTTGGGGTCAGAGTTCCGATACTGCACATCTGATCTCCAGCACCTTACAAGTAAAATTGCTTGTAAGTAAATAACTGTTGAATGAAAATGAGATATTATTCCTGCTTGAGCAGATGAAAAAGCTGGTTGGAAAAATGAACTCTTGTTATCCCACTCCAGCAGGCAGGTCAATTACTTCTGCTCCCCTTGGGCTCTGGTTGTTCTGCTAATGAGGACACATCATGTTCACCTGAGGCTCTCAGAGTAGCCTTTCCCCAGGAATTGAGAAGGGCAGTCATCTTCCCCAGGCTCCCAGCATTCCTCCTCTCTGCAGCCTGCCACCTGTCCTGCATGTGGTTCTCTGCCAAGTAGGGCAAACAGTCCTTGGGCAGGTGCACTCTGCAGGTCTCCACTGGTGTGGGACTCAGGAATACAGGCGGGGTCAAAGCTCCCCACAGCCAGGGCCCATCTGAATATACCAGCAAGACACAGACTCCATGATCAGGGCCTTAAACACAGAGGAAGAGTCACATTATCACTGCCCCGCTAGCCTGGTTGTGGTGCTGCCAGAGAAACAAAGCAGGACATGAGTTCTGTTTGTAGAGCAAGGACTTAAGATCAAGGAGGATTTTGCAAAGCAAAAAGAGTGGGATAGAACTTTCTGGGTAAAATGAACAGCCTTAGCATGGAAATTATTTCCCAGTACTCATTTTCAGTTTGTGGACAATCATTCAATCCTAGACAGTTCTACTGTCCTTCCTTCCTGAGGTTTAAAGTAACTAAACCCTACACTTTTCTGACAAGATTTTAGAATATCTTTCAATTCATAATTACTCTTTGGTGCAGAGAAGTAATGTTTTCCTAAACTCTCTTCAGTTTACTCAAAAACATAATAAATTAATTGAGGACTTAATGTGCCACGTTGGTGCTTATCTTGAAAATATTGCTGAAAATCAGAAATTCACATTGCCAGTAGGGTCTGGGATTTTTTCTTTTTGTTTTTGTTTAAGTGATTTAAGAAGTTTATTTCCTCATAGTAACTTTCTTCCCAAGTGTGCCAGTGTTTCATTAATTGTTCCTTCCTAGGAGGAAGAAATAGAATTTCTCTACAATGAGAACACGGTTAGAGAAAGCCCCAACATTACAGACCGGTGGATCCTGTCCTTCATGCAGTCTCTCATTGGCTTCTTTGAGACTGAAATGGCAGGTGAGTCTCTCTTGGTCTGTCCTCCCAGGAATAAGGACTATTCTCTTTGTAACTGCCCTTTTGATATTTAATAGTGGAAATATTGAGAGATACAGAAAATTAAATAATTGTTTCCTTTTACCTCTCATATAGTTTTGTTAAGGCTTGTTAATTGTCGTGATATCTTTGTTTCAAGACCCTGGGGACTTCTGGCCTGGTGTGGTGGCTCACGCCTGTAATCCCCAGCATTTTGGGAGACCAAGGCAGGCAGGTCACCTTAGGTCAGGAGTTCGAGACCAGCCTGGCCAACATGGCGAAACCCTGTCTCTACTAAAAATATATTTAAAAAAAAAAAAAAAGTTAGCTGGCCATGGAGGCGGGCGCCTGTAATCCCAGCTATTCAGGAGACTGAGGCAGGAGAATTGCTTGAACCTGGGAGGCGGAGGCTGCAGTAAGTTGAGATTGCACCACTGCCTGGGCAATAAGAGCGAAACTCCATCTTAAAAAAAAAAAAAAAGCCCTGGGGAATTCTGTCTTTAGGGGGTGTCCTCGTGGTCTCAATGCTCCACAGAAGAGCTTTAGAGCTGGATAGCCATGGGTTCAGAGCCCAACTCTACCACTTGTTCCCAATCCAGAGAGTTGCCTGAAGTCTGACCGTCAATTTCCTTTTTTTTTTTTATGGGTACATAGTAGATGTATATATTTATGGGGTACAGGAGATATTTTTATATAGGCATACAGTGTGTAATAGTCATATCAGGGTAAATGGGATATCCATCACCTCAAGCATTTATCATATCTTTGTGTTGCAAACATCTCGGTTATACCCTTTTTCTTGTTTTTAAATGTACAAGAAATTATTGTTGACTGAAATCACCCCATTGTGCCATCAGATGCCACTCTTATTCAGCCTATCTTGACCTTCAGTTTCTTTATCTGCAGAATGCCCAGTAGTGTTTGTAAGGCTTAAGTAGAGACGATTTACATAAAGTAGCTGGCAGATGATAGGTACTCAATAAATAATACTTGTTATTAATGCATTTATAACTTATTTTTAGTTCTATTTTCATTACTAAATAGTCCCCTTCTTTTCCAGAAAAATTAGAAAAGTCAGAAGAGCAATAATGAAATGGACATTTTGCTGTTATTTCTATTAACTAACAACAGTGAGTTCGTTGGGTAATTTTACAGAGATTCAAAAAGTACATTATGTTGGCTTCCTTAAGGTTTGAGATAATCACAACTGTAGGTCCAGGTGAGAAATCTGGGACACCTCAGACAGTCAGTTAAAGTGGGTGGACAGAGGCCCTGGGTCACAGTGAGGGCAAAAGAGGGCAAGGCAAATCCACCCTCACAGGGCTCTGCGGTTCCTGCTGCTGTTGGGCAGGAGCAGCGGCCGCCACAGACCTGGGATTCACCATTAGCCTAGATACGGGCACATGCTGCTCCCTGGAGTAGGCGCTGCTGCCCCATTTAGCACAGAAGGACTGCTACAGGATTTGTCCACCTTGTTAAACATGTAGAAGGATCACGACAGTCCAGCTGTTGCTCAGATAGACACAGATGAAGATGGAAGTGAGTGTGAGGCTGAGTGCTGCCCTGGCGAGGGCAGCACTGGGAGCCCAGCACACTCCCCAGACATGCTCACACCTGTGTCTGCTTTTCCCTCCTGAGTGATACAAGTGGGTGGGAAACGTGGGGATTGTTGCCCGGACCCCCTTCAATATTTGGGCACCAGCTGCCATGACCTCCTGTGAAGCTGGGTCTGGAGATGCGCATTCTGGCTGGAGCCTGGTCTGCCTGGAAACTGGAGATCGGCAGCCACGTTTTGTGGGCCGTGTTTAAGTCCCGGTTCTGCCGGCCTGTCAGCTTCATGTCCTCCACTCCCTCAGGAGCACTGTGGGTATGAGAGGACCTGCCTCACAGGGTGGTGGTGGCCTGGGTAGTGGCTGCTGCTGCTGCCCCTGTGTGTTGTATGTTTATCCATTGTATGTGGAGTTCTATTTGGGTTCATTTACTCCCTCAGAGTTGAAACCAGAACATAGAAAACCTGAGCTTCCTGGAAGGTAAAAAGTGCCGTGAACCCTAGAAATCATTTAGACAGGTCTCAGTTACTGAAATCACATGTCTAAGAAAGTGTGACCAGCTAACGACTCTGGCCTGGGGCTCAGCCCACTGACATCTGAGTTCTGGTCTTTGTGAAAAGCAGCAGAGAGCAGCTCTGCCGGTTGCAACTTCTCGTCTCTTAGCTTAGACCAGAAGCCTCATTAACAGTCCCTGGACTCTTTTCATTATTATAAATTGTATTTGTTTCTAAGTATCGGTCTTATTCTTTTTGTTTTTTGTGTTTGTTTTTATGTAACAAAGAGTATTAATTAAATGGGAGGTGAATGAGAATCCTTAAAATAAGCCTTGCCTCAGACAATTGGCTAAACACCCTTTCTTTCCTACTTGATCTCTGAGTTTCTCAGGGAACTCTTCAAATCCTCCTAATTCCTCAAGACCTTCACTACCTCTGATGCTGTTTTTACTCGACTGTTTTAATGTTTAGAAGGCCAGTTCTATTTTATTCATAGCCTGTGCCAGAGTTTCTTAACTGCAGCACTATGGGCAGTTTGGGCCAGGTCATCCTCTGTGGTGGGGCTGTGCTGTGCTTTATAACTGAGCAGCATCTCTGGGTCTACCCATTAGATTCCAGTAGCACCGTGCTACCCTCCAAGTTGTGACAAGCAAAATGTTTCTCCAAACGTTGACAAATGTTTCCCATGGGATAAAATTGCTTTTGTTTGAGAATCACTGGCCTATGCTGTGCCTCTTAGCATCTGAATTGTGCTTTTTGTCTTTTAGTTGAAGTACAGTGTAATACAATGGAAAGAAGTTGGGCATTGTTGATGCTGTCAAATTGCACAGCTCCGTGTAAATGGCACTTCCTACAGTTGTGTAGTGGGCAGTCTTGGACTTTGATCCACACATACTGGAGTTTTTGGCTTTTCTCACTGACCAATGGGAATTCGCATGTGGCTCACATGGTGATTTTTTTGTGTGCACCCCTAAACACTCTGACTGCCATGTAGCACATCCTCAACAAACAGTCATTATGTGATTGATTCATTTTGGTTCTTTTCTCCTTAGTAAGTGGAGGCACTTGGATGGAAGGAGCTGCCCCTTCTTTGTTGTATCCAACCCTCTCCCCACCCCAGATGCCTGGTAACCCACTTGCTGCCTGATTGACTTGTCTTACTTTTAGCTTATAGGCTTTATACTGTGGTGCCTCGCCTGGTCAAGTTTGTAGATATTCTGACCAATTGGTATGTTAGAATGAACCGCAGAAGATTAAAGGTAAGTGCAGACTGCTGTTGGGAAAAGCAAAAAGTGTATGAAGTTTGAAAGTAGAAGAAATATGAGAATAGCCAGAAGGGAGAGGAACATTTTCAGTTGCTCTCCGTTTTTGAAGCTTTGTTTTTCTTTTCCTTTTACATTGCATTTTAACTATATTTGTCATTTGAGGGATAGGGATCTATAAGTTCTAAAAGTCATTTTGCATTATTTTCACAACACAATTATGTACATGTCATATTGGAGGGAGAATGTCAAGGCACAAACAGGACTACACTGAGCAGACCTCTTAAAATTCAAAATAAAATCATGCAAATATTTTATAAAAATACTGGTAGATATGGCATTAATATTGAGAGGGGTACTTCCTTCTACCACAAGGGAGTCAGATATTATTTACTGTGGACAGAACTCCTCTGTAGCTGTTGGGGGTTTAGGATGAGCAGAGCATAGGTCCTGGTCTCAGGACTTAAGCCAGGTACATAAATAACAATGATGCTTAATAGAGAGAGCGAGGTCTCTTTACTGCAGGCCCAATGAAGGCTCCCACTACCCATTAGTCATGTCTTTTTTTTTTTTTTTTTTTTTTTTTTTTTTTTTGAGAAGGAGTTTCACTCTTGTCACCCAGGCTGGAGTGCAGTGGCATGATCTTGGCTCACTACAACCTTTGCCTCCCAGGTTCAAGCAGTTCTCCCTCAACCTCCCCAGTAGCTGGGATTACAAGTGTGCACCACCACGCCTGGCCAATTTTTGTATTTTTGGCAGAGACAGGGTTTCACCACGTTGGCCAGGCTGGTCTCAAACTCCTGACCTCAGGTGATCCACTGGCCTCAGCCTCTCAAAGCAGTGGTGTTACAGGTGTGAACCACCGTGCCTGGCCAGTCATGTCTTAAAAGGCATTAATAATAAAAGCCTGCAACACAACTGTAATTTCATTTTTGTGCAGATGTATCTCACACACACGTATCTAGAAGGACATATGCTAAGATGCTTACAGTAGTTGTCTCTGGATAAATTAATTATGATTGTAGGAAAAACAAAGATAATGAAAAAATTTCAATGAATTGGTATTTTTTTTAATACACATTATATACTTTTTTAACATAAATCTTATTTAAAGGTACTTTAAAGTTTTTGGTTAGCAACTGTTTTTGTCTGTTGTGGGTAGATCCATTCTACCTTCAGCCTTCGGGTCCTACAGTTAGGCTCTACTTCCCTGTCAGCTCGCCTCAGGTGGGGATAGTCAGTGGGACAGCAGGTGCACATCCTGGCCAGGCCTCCTGCACTGCCCTGAAGGGCCACCCTGGTGGCACTGACCGTGGATGGCCTGTGGTCGTGGCCCTTTCTCCTTTCTCTGTCTCATGTCTTGTCTGTATGCTGCATGTTCTTTGAAGATTGCCTCTTTTTAATAAACTTATTTTTTTAATGATAAACACTTATTTAACAGTTTAATGTTTATGTTTCCTTTTTACTCATTAGGGTGAAAATGGGATGGAGGATTGTGTCATGGCCCTAGAAACCTTGTTTAGTGTTCTGCTTTCTCTTTGCAGACTTATGGTAAGATGATTGGCTTCTTTCTAGTACCCTTTGGCCTATGGGCTGCCTTCAGCACCTACTTGCTGCAGCATCCTCCATTTATATCCATTCTGTATTATTCTGCCAAAAATAGATATAGAAGTTTTATAACACCTTATAGCTCTAGTTCCTTATCAGAAATCTTGTTAGCTTATACATGTTAAGTAAGGACTAAGAAATACTAGATTCTTTCTTACAGTCTCTGGCAGTACAATATATGTCAGGGCCCTTGGCTCTAGAATGAGGATCTACAGTTCAAAGTAAGACATACCTCATCTTAATGTGGATTGCCATAATTGTGAGTAATGGGGGAGGTTCTTCAGCTAATACCTGTCTGAGTAAATATATATATATCACAAAAAATACTTTAACTTAGCATTGAGAGGAAAACGTGCAAGTAATTGTTTGATATATGTTCTTATCAGTTCAGATATTAGTTAAATAATATAAAAGTGGAACGGCTCCAACTTTAATTCTTTTTATCCTGTTTCCTTTACTCCATATGTTATAAGGCTCCTATTTATTCCTTAACCGAAGGAAAATCTGCTTTGTACAAGGTGCTGTGCCTGGTGCTCTCCATGCCTGATCTCATCACCTCCATCCTGTGAAGCAGGGGGTATTTTCCCCAGTTTACAGATGAGGTTTCTGAGGTGTGGGACAGTCAGTCTTCTGTGCATATTGACTTGGCTGATACATCATTAGGTGCTCCTGTTTCTATTTTAGACATCCTTCAGAATTCTAGAGGTGCTTTGGGTTTTTCTATCTACAGTCCTGCAGCTATGCTTCAGGGATATGAGGCCATTTCTCATTCACAGGGCATGTTTTGTAACCTCATGCTCATTTTGGTGCCTATTACTGTGTCATTCTCTAACATGTTTAGTTGTTTCTCAGTATAAATGAGATCAGTTGTTGATGACTGCATATAACTGACATGATGTCCTGTGTCTTCATACAGGCTCCCTACACACCTTTTCTCACTGAATTGATGTACCAGAATCTAAAGGTGCTGATTGACCCTGTTTCTGTTCAGGACAAGGACACACTCAGCATTCACTACCTCATGCTGCCCCGTGTTCGGTAGGACTCAAATAGAAATAAGCCTCACCTGTGCCAAGGAGGGGAGAGTTGCTCAAGCATGTGGGGAAGAGGAGGGATTTCCCTGCTCCAGCTCCATCTGTGCCTTGCCTCCCGCCCCAGCTGACATGAACTCCTCAGGCTGCAGGATGGGGCCCACTTTGGTACACGGTAGCAAGGATGCTTGGTGTGGAACCCCTTTGTAGAGCTGTGGCAGGTGGGGTGTGGGCATGCCCCATGGGGGCTCCTTGGGGAGATGCCGGGTGCTGAGTGGTAGGCACTGCGCTGCCCTTCCCCAGTGCTTCACCAGGAGGGCCTAGCCACACTTCTCTAGCCTGACCCTCTTCCTCGCTTATGCATGCCTAGTGCCTTCAATTTTCTCCTCTTAAATCTAAACTCTTTCATATTCCTACCTCTACCACTCAGAGAAGAATTGATTGACAAGAAAACAGAGAGTGCAGTATCTCAGATGCAGTCTGTGATTGAACTTGGAAGAGTGATCAGAGACCGAAAAACTATTCCCATAAAGGTTTGAAATTTTACTTCTATTTTACATGGCACAGACCTAAATTAATTAAGTGTTTGGAATGCTTTTTTAATATAGAGAGCTTCCACCAATGGCCTTTTTCCTTTTCTGCAGTGAGGGTGTGAATGACTTAGTACTAGTCCAGCCTGACTAGAGCTTGAGATTCAAATAAACATTTAATATTCCATTTTTCTGCAGTTTTAGAGGACTGGCTGCTGAGTGAACTTTCCCCTCCCTTTTCCTCCTAGTATCCTTTGAAAGAAATTGTGGTTATCCATCAAGATCCAGAAGCTCTTAAAGATATCAAGTCTTTGGAGAAGTATATCATTGAGGTAAGGTAGATGATTTGTCTGTTTTTGGTACAGATAGACTTAGAACATTATTTTGATGAATAATCCTCAAAGTACATATTGACTCTATAATTTATTTTTATTAGTATAGTCATAACAAATGTAATAATCCATATTTTACACTGTGCTTGGAATCAACATAAATTTGTTGTAATTCTTTTAAAAATATTTCAAGATCAATGAATTTCTTTACCTATCATCTATCATCTTCATTCACTTCCCTGAAGTTCTGTTCTTTTCTGTCCTGTCCTTTCCTTTTCCTTTTCCCTTACTTTACTTTTCTTTCTTTTCTTTCGACAGAGTCTCTCACTCTGTCATCCAGGCTAGAGTGCAGTAGTGCCTTACCACAACCTCCACCTCCTGGGTTCAAGCGATTCTCCTGTCTCAGCCTCCCGAGTAGCTGGGATTACAGGCACCCGCCACCATGCCCAGCTAACTTTTGTATTTTTAGTAGAGAATGGGGTTTCATCATGTTGGCCAGGTTGGTCTCAAACTCCTGACCTCAAGTGATCTGCCCGCCTTGGCCTCCCAAAGTGCTGGGATTACAGGCATGAGCCACTGTGCCTGGCCTTCTGAAGTACTTTTTGATAACTACCAAAGAAACTTTGTTCCTCCAAATTATGCAAGTGACAAGTACCCTCGCATGTAAAAAGTCGAAGCAATAGCATAGGGAGCCTCTCTCCACCCCATTTCTCCCTGGAGTCTCACTTCCTGGCTGCTTCATAATTTATTTAATTACTGTCCCGTTGTTTGACATTTAGGTTTCTGATTACAAACAAAAGCTTTGTGTGTACATATATGCATATATCAGTGTATGGATATTGGATAGATTCCAGAAGTGGAGTTTTGGGGTCAAAGTTTATAGTGTCAGTTGTCTTCCTAAACATTTTTATTCCATGATATTTTAAAACATCTTTATTCCATGATGTTTTAAAAACGCATATGTTTTACCTCATCTTCTTTGTGATGATAGAAAACAAATATTTTTTAAAATTTCATTGTTTATTCTTTTCACAGGTGATATTTAAAATCATTATTATAGAAAATGTTAATTTCTATATTTGGTTTTCAGTTGCTTGAAAGTTGCAGAGAAATATTAGAAACCAAAAGTTAGATTTTAAATTCTGACATTAGTACCTGTGGCTATGCATAAAATAGAAATTTTTTTTTTTTTTTTTTTTTTTTTTGTGACAGGGTCTCGCTCTGTCACCCAGGCTGGAGTGCAGTGATGTGATCTTGGCTCACTACAGCCTCCATCTCCTGGGCTCGGGCAATCCTCCCACCTCAGCCTCCCAAGTGGCGGAGATTAGGCATAGTAGTACAGGCTTTTGTAGAGATGGGGTTTTGCCATGTTGCCCGGGCTGGTCTCTAACTCCTGAGCTCAAGTGATCCTCCCACCTCGATCTCCCGAAGTGCTAAGATTACAAGTTTGCGCCACCACACCCAGCTGAAAAATTTTGAAATTAACTACTTCACTTAAAATGAGATTAATTAATGTAGCTAAATATAATGGCAAAACTAAACATTCCGTATTATTTGCTTCAAGCTGTTCTCATTTTCCCATCCGCTACTGTGCCATCACCATCCCTGCCGCATCAGTAATCCTCAGTAGCATGACTGAAGCATGAAGTGTTCTGTTTAACTGATCTTCTGCTTAGTTAATAGTTAACCTTGTGGTACTCTGCAATTGCTTGCACAAAGGTTACCTCTGAGGGATGAGGTTTATATTTCTGGGTCTGGAGTCCTTTTTCTGTTATGCTCAACTGTCTTGATAGATCTTCATAACAAGCATTTTCTTCTTACCATACAAATCACTGGTTTTTAAGCATATTTATAGAATGGTACAACTATCACCATAGTTTTAGAACATTTTCCTCGTCCCAGAAAGAAAGCCAGTATTCATTAACATTCACAAACCATTTTCCCCTCAATATCTGACCATTTCCTGGCATCCACGAACCTATTTGCTATCTCTGGATTTGCCTTCTCTGGACATTTCATATAAGTGGAATCATACAATTTGTAATCTTTATGTCTGGCGTGTTTCACCTAGCATAATGTTTCACATTAATTTATGTTGTAGCACATATGAGTGCTTCAGTCCTTCATATTGCCAAATACTCTATTGCATGTGTATGCTGCATTTTGTTTATCCATTCACAGTTGATGGACACTTGAAGTGTTCTTGCTTTCTGGCAGTTAGGAATAATGCTGCTGTGGACCTACATTTTTGTGTGAACATATGTTTTCATTTCTCATTTTTGTTTCCTCTTGTGCATTAACTGTAGGAACTCAATGTTCGAAAAGTTACACTGTCTACAGATAAAAACAAGTATGGCATTCGGCTAAGGGCAGAACCAGATCACATGGTCCTGGGGAAGCGTCTGAAGGGAGCCTTTAAGGCAGTGATGACGTCCATCAAGCAGTTGAGCAGTGAGGAGCTGGAGCAGTTCCAGAAGACTGGTAGGTGTCTACACAGACAAGGGCACCATTTATGTCCTGAGTCTGAGGGATACTTTTTAGGCTACTGTTTGACTTTTAATATCACATCCTTTCCTTTCCTGTCCTGTCGTGTCCCGTCGTGTCCTGTCCTTTCCTTTCCTTTCCTTACTCTCTTCTCTTTTCTCTCTTCTCTCTTCTCTTTTCTTGACAGAATCTCGCTCTGTCATCCATCCTGGAGCACAGTGGCGCGATCTTGGCTCACTGCAACCTCTGCCTCCCAGGTTCAAGTGATTCTCCTGCCTCAGCCTCCCAAGTAGCTGGGATTACAGGCACGTAGTACCATGCCTGGCTAATTTTTGTATTTTTGGTAGAAACAGGGTTTCACCATGTTGGCCAGGCTGGTCTCTAACTCCTGACCTCAGGTGATCCACCCGCCTTCGGTCCCCCAAATTGCTGGGATTACAGGTGTGTGCCACTGCACCGGTCCATCCTTTTCTTAAGTAAAACTTTTTTTCCTGTTGATAAAAATGTTTATTATAAATAATTCTTACAGTTTAGAAAGAAAATAGCTGGGCACAGAGGCTCACATCTGTAATCCCAGCGGCTCACATCTGTAATCCCAGCATTTTGGGAGGCCCAGTTGGATAGATCACTTGAGATCACTACAGGCACATACTACCACACTTAGCCAGATGTGGTGGTATGTGCCTGCCATCCCAGTTACTCTGGAGGCTGAGGTGGGAGGATCCCTGGAGCCTAGGGTGATTTTGTCCTTACTTTCATGGTGCTTGCTGACATTGAAGATTTGGGAAAATAATTATGGTTTTGATAAGTGTTATAAAGGGAAGGTGTAGGGTAACATAAAAACATGTGGGGGTACCTAACCAAATGATGGGATTAGGAAAGGGAAATCAGCCCCATCTTGCTACCCCTATACAGAGCATTTCAGGGTGCCCAGAAATTTGCAGCTCTGCCATGATTAGAATCATACATGGTCTGAGTGTGGCTGTCTGACATCCTGTAACTATCCTGGGGCACAAGCTGTTTATTGTTACGGCTTCCTCTGAAGTTGAAAATCATAAGCTAGGAGATGTCTTGAGAAGAGAGATTTGAGGATTCATAAATCAGATGGGGGAACTGTCCCTAAGATTCTCCAAATATTTAGATAGAATTAATAAAACATAAGACATCAGCAGCTAAACCTCAAGTTATTACTAATTACTAATCAACTCAAAATATTAAAATAACAAAGTGTTACGAGCCTTCAAGCCACAAATCTAAATTGTTCGCCAGATAGCCAAAGCATCAAAAATTCCTGAGATGGCTGGGGGTGGTGACTCATGCCTGTAATCCCAGCACTTTGGGAGGCCGAGGCGGGCAGATCACGAAATCAGGAGATTGAGACTGTCCTGGCTAACACGGTGAAACCCCGTCTCTGCTAAAAACACACACACACACACAAAATTAGCCAGGTGTGGTGGCAGGCGCCTGTAGTTCCAGCTACTCAGGAGACTGAGGCCGGGGAATGGCGTGAACCCAGGAGGCAGAGCTTGCAGTGAGCCGAGATCCTGCCACTGCACTGCAGCCTGGGTGACAAAGCAAGACTCTGTCTCAAAAAAAAAAAAAAAATTCCTGGGCTAAACCTTATTTGAAATTGAAAGCCTAGTTTCTGAGCGTACTGTTCTGCACTGATGGAAAACAAGATCATCTTCAGAACACAGAGACAAAGTAAACATAAAAATGACACCCGGGTGCTCAGAGCCCAAGAAGGTCATCATCAGTGACAACAGTGGGCCTCCCTATCAGCGGGGGTGTTAACATCAGCAGCTGTTCACATTTCTGCCTCCCCTGAACAGGCATGATGCTCAGTACTACACACTGCCCGTCTCATTTTAGCCTCACCACACCTTGCTCAGCAGGTAGCAGAACACCATGTCATACAACCAGCAAATAGTGGACCTAAGTTCACTTTCTCTTTAAAGACTGTATTTTCTTCATGACATCCTGCTGCTCTGTGTTTATGGTGAGCATTTGTTGCCTCTTGGTGCCTTCCCTTAGCTTTGTCATGTCTTTGGACCTGAGAGTTTATATAAAACAGTAGATACTGGTGATGACTTAACTGTCTTCAAGGTAGCATAGTGTAATCTAAAGAAAGTTTGTCATGTCTTGGCTACAACCATGACATGAGTCAGAGGGAAATGATCTCTTGAAGCCTCTGTGGCTTTGTTATTGTGAAATTTTAATCAAGAAGGGGCATAATACACGGGTAGTGGGGCAGCTTGAAGAGGAGGGGAAGCTGATTAACAGTGTAGCTGCTTCTCCATAGGGACCATTGTTGTGGAAGGCCATGAATTGCACGATGAAGACATCCGCCTCATGTACACCTTTGATCAGGCCACAGGTGGGACTGCGCAATTTGAAGCACACTCAGATGCTCAGGTATTTTTCTGTTTCCTAGAACATTTCTTTACCAAGAGATGAGAGCATAAGAGGAGAAAGTATTTGCCTGTGCCTTTCCTGATAATGTTGACAGCTTGTCTCAGGGTAAAATAAACCAGTTACTTGGTTTAGATTGGCTTTATTAAACTAATATATTATTATGCCCTTAACATATGCATTTGTTTAGTGAATACATAAGTAAGCATTTTGTGATTTCTACATGTCAGTCATTGTCCCAAGTGTGGGGTTGCACAAAAATGAACCCTTCAAGGAATGAGTCAGTCAAGGACACCTGAAATTAAGCCAGTTCTTAGTATTCTACCTGATAAGTTATCTGGTAGAAATAAGTACACAGAGGGCTCCTATCCAAAAATAGGTGTAGGGTGAAAAGTGGTCAGGGAACACTCTTTTCAAGAGAATATACAAACTGTTTTAGATTCCAGGATCAATATTTTTTGCCATATTGGAGAAGAGACTATCTCTTTGCAGTCCTGACCAGACATCCCCAGTCAGCATAGTTGTAAGATCTCGCATGTGGGTTTGGGGATATTGCAGGGGTCCCTCTGTGCTTAGCATACCATGTGCAGGGGAAGGTAGAGCAGCACCTCCATGAAAGGAAGGTCGACCTCCTCAGTCCTTTACCCAGGCGCTTAAGTTAGATGTGTACAGAACTCTACGTGGGAAGACAGTGGCAAGGAGTCGGAGGTATCGTAGCTGGGAAAGAAGGCAGGGAGGAGGTTTCTAAACACTGACAGTGGGCAGTTCTTCCTCATTACAGCAGATGTTAGGGGCCTGAAAAGTTGTCCACCTTACAAAAGTGTCATGTGATGCTTCTGAGTTTCTTGACATGGCTTACATGTTGTAGTGGCCCTGCACTGACTGGAATTTTGAGTTTATCATGCATTTCACTACCTCTGATGCCTTTATGAAGTGAGTCATTTCTTAACTTCTCTGTTTACTCAAAGGTAAATGAGATGATGCCTAATGTACAAGTCTTTTGTAGAGTATATTTTACTCTGCAACATGCTGTGTAACAGAAGCGATAGTGTCATTATTGCTACATCATAATCAGCAACCTTCAGAATAGATGAGATAGAAACATTAACCTTAGCAAAAATATGGCAGTTTAAGTCACAGAAAGTTTTGTGGTCCATTGTAGAATTTGTCTTGAGTCGTTCTGACAAACCTGAAGATCACAGGGGTCATGGTATAGGAAAGTCACTTGGAGTTGACTGCGCTGAGGCCGTTGATCCACTTGTTGTGGCCTGAAAAGCTGTGCTGCTCCAAGGGCTTCATGATTATTGATCTTACTTATTAGAAGAGTTGATATTACTTCTTAGATGGCCAAAAAGCAGAGTCATGTGAGGGACTCTGATAAGAGGTGGTCCCAGGGCATCTCCTGTGAGCAGCACCCTACAAAAAAACAAGAAACAAAAACCTGCACACCTTTCTCCAGAGACAGAGGACTAGCTGATTATGAAGAAGTACCTGAATGATAAACTAGATTAATTTTATTGCTTTTGCTCATTTGTGTGAAAAAATAGTGCTGCATTATAGACTCTCCAGATTTAAATAACATTTTGCTGAGTTGGGAAGAAGTGTTTCTCCTTATTTGATTGTCATGGTGTGCACTGTTCATTCCCACAGGCTTTGGTCCTCTTAGATGTCACTCCTGACCAGTCAATGGTAGATGAAGGAATGGCTCGGGAAGTCATCAATCGCATACAGAAACTTCGCAAAAAGGTTAGTTTGTCAGTTAAGAATAAGCTACTGTTTTGGCTTTTTGTTTGTTTTGGTTGTTTGGAGAAGATAGGAGAGGCAGGTAATATAAACCATAGTGATCAATGCATAACAATCACTAATCCATAGTCCATTTGGAATGTATTCTGCAGAAAAGTCACTCCTCTTCCTCTCCCCACGTGTTCACTCCCAAGTCGTAGCTTTCAGCCAGCCTGTGCCTTTTCCCATCCTTTTTTTTAGCTCCGTTGGGCTTCTACAGAATATCCCCTGTGACTGGAGCAGAAGGTAATCAGAGCTGATAGTGTCTTTGCAGAAGGGCAGAGGTGCAGTCAGCATAGACAGGCTTCTAGCTTAGGGGAGATTCCCGGATTTGGACAGAGTTGGGTAGTTTTTCCTTATTAGAGAGCTGAGGAATATGCAGGGAGCTCATCCTGGAGCGCAGAGGGGCTGCAAAGCCCCTGCTAGTGAGAGAATCAGGAATTTCTTGCCCTGTAGAGGGCAGTGACAGCTAACATACATCTTTCTTCCCAGACGGTTCAAGGTCTGAGGAGGCTGTTCCAGCAGATGAGTGGGTGCTTGTGACCTCTGAATCAGTTCAGAGCTTTGTAAGTGGGTTCTAAGTAATTTCTTGGTTTCAACATTCATGAGGTACTGATTGTTCTAGGAAAAGAAACATGCCCTATCCCCCAAAGAGTGGTGAAAAAGACACAAAGTTAATCATGTACTGAGTGCAGTTAGTCTTACGGATCACCCAGCAGGGAGGGAAGGGTGACTGCCCTTCTGTGATGATTCAGCATGGGATCTGTAGCCCTTGTTCAACAGTACCTTCCTTCAGTTCTGATTAATAGAATGTACTTCCCTTTTAAATTTTTCTGTGTGTGTTTTCAGTGCAATCTGGTTCCAACTGATGAAATCACAGTGTACTATAAAGCAAAGTCTGAAGGAACATATCTGAATAGTGTTATTGAAAGCCACACAGAGTTCATATTTACCACCATAAAGGCTCCCTTGAAACCATATCCAGTTTCTCCATCGGATAAAGTCCTTATTCAAGAAAAAACACAGGTGAGTCCTGAGTTCCACTGAACTACTACTAAAGGGTTTCAGATTAGGTTTGACTTTGTGTACTCACGTGTTGATATTCTGTCCCACAGTAGAGATCGGCACAGCACTCTGTCTTGAAGTATTGCTCTGGACAGTAGTGGGTAGAGTCAGAGAGTGGAAGCTCAGAAAAGATGGAGCAGGGAGGGAAGATGGAACTGTTTTCACAACAGTTCTCTTGAGGAAGGTAGCCAGGAGGGTACATGAGCTTTGCCCGGAAATAAAATGGCCTGTTTTTTCTAAAACTAGAAAAGGCAGTGTGTGGATTCTGGTAATTATCATTAAAAGTAAATAGCAATTGGCTTGAAAAACATTTAACTCTTCTGGTAGTGGGTTCTCCATAAAAGTACAGTACAAAAAAAGAAAGATTACAATAGCATTTCTGTTGTTACATCTAGGAATTTTAGATATACTTATGAAAGTATGATATTAAGGTAGGGAAGATATTGGCTTATAACTTAGAAGTAGATCATTTAGACTGGGCACAGTGGCTCACACCTGTAATCCCAGCACTTTGGGAGGCCAAGGCGAGCAGATCGCTTGAGGTCAAGAGTGCGAGACCAGCCTGGGCTGGTGAAACCCCATCTCTACTAAAAATACGAAAATTAGCTGGGCATGGTGGTACACGCCTGTAATCCCAGCTACTCGGGAGGCTGAGGCAGAAGAATCGCTTGAACACAGGAGGTGGAGGTTGCAGTGAGCCGAGATTGCATCACTGCACTCGATCCTGGGCGACAGAGCAAGACCCTGTCTCAAAAAAAAAAAGTTGATCATTTAAAATATACCTCAGTCACTTGCTTAATCATTTGCTCCGGTCTCATTCTATGAGACAAGTAGGACAAGACAAGGAGGGGCTGATGATGGCTGTTTATTTTTTCAGTGAGGCGAGTTGCAGTGTAGTTTCATTTTGTATTTTGCATATTGTGTAATTATTTGACTTTTTTTAAGTGAGCATATATTTTTAAGAAACCAGGATAAGAAGAGAAGAAAAATGGGATATAAATTGTAGCTTTTGATACTTTGAGTAATGAGATTGAATATGTTATCAATTGTGTACAGCTCTTGTTGTTACTGAGAAGTCACTGTGTTACACGATGGTGTGGCACATTGCAGTCAGGTGCCACAGTTACTCAGTCATACGTTCTCATGTGCTCAGTTGAAGGGATCTGAACTGGAAATTACACTCACCAGAGGATCTTCCCTTCCTGGTCCTGCTTGTGCATATGTCAATCTTAACATTTGTGCAAATGGCAGTGAACAAGGTAAGAGTAAATTCCATGATTTGTGTGACTTTTTTTTAGTTATACTTATGGATGTGAAAAAACAACCAAAAAAACTTATGGATGTTTTTAAGAGAATTGGAATAATTATTTAATCATGTTTAATAGATAACTTTTTCTTCTTGTCATCAAAATGAATTCACTAGGCGAGATGCAGTGGATCATTCCTGAAATCTACCACTTTTGGAAGCCAAGGTGAGAGGATTGCTTGAGGCCAAGAGTTCAAGACTAACCTTGCCAACATAATAAGATCCTGCCTCAATTAAAAAAAAAAAAAGGGCCAGGCATGGTAGCTCACACCTGTAATCCCAGCACTTTGGAAGGCGGAGGCTGGTGGATTACTTGAGGTCAGGAGTTCAAGACCTGATAAACATGGTGAAACCCTGTCTCTACTAAAAATACCAAAATTAGCCAGGCATGGTGGCAGGTACCTATAATCCCAGCTACTCAGGAGGCTGAGGCATGAGAATTTCTTGAACCCGGGAGGTGGAGGTTGCAGTGAGCTGAGATTGCACCATTGCACTCCAGCCTGGGTGACAAAGCAAGACTGTCTCACCAAAAAAAAAAAGAAAAGAAAAATGAATCCACTAAAGTAAATGATTGGACTTATGCTTGTGGAAGCATGAAGCAGATACAGTTTTCCCTATTCCTCCTGCTAAATACATCTAAACACCCTGGATATTACATGTAAAAACAAGCATAAGAAGACTCTCAAAGATGTAAGGAAGAAAGCAGACCACCTAAGGACCTTGTAACCAAGTGACCTAAAAGTAGTAAGTTCAGGGTTTTCTTTTCTGCCTCGTATACCCAAAGTTGGAACTGAAGAAGCTGGCAACCTGGAAATGTCAAGTACAGACCAAAGAAAGCCTCAACAAAAATTCTGCTCCCTTGACAAAGGATCAAGAGATGGGCAGCCTAGCAAGACAGAAAATTTTGAAACAGTAACTGCTCTACTCTAGCCAGACACCATAGAAAAAACTATGGCCCCACCACCACCCACATTAGCAAAGGCCAAGTGGGGAGCCTGGACTTCACCCTTGCCAAGCTGAAGACCCCTCCCCTGTCACAGGGGTATCAGAGAAGACAAAGTAGGAAGCTGGGACTTTCATCCTAGTGGGGGGCAGTAATGAGCCCCTCTGCCCGGTGGCATCAGTGGAGGCCACATGGAAAGCCTAGATTTCCATCCCTTCTGGGCAGTAACAAGGCATCCCTCCCATTTACAAATGCATGGCAGCAGTGAGGCCACACACCACGAGCAACTCCTCTGTAGTGTCAGTTAAGGTATGCGTGAAACCCAAACAGGATAAACCCAAAAGAATCCACATCTACATATATCATAATCAAACTTTTGAAAACCAAAGACAAAAAAAGTCTTGTGTGCAGTGAAAAAGATATAACACCTAACTTACAGGGGAAGAACAAATGATATTGGATTTTTCATCAGGAACTACAGAGGCCAGAAAATGAAAAGGCAGCATTTTTCAAGTGCTGAAAGATAAGTATTGTCTACCAAGAATTCCATATCAATCAGAAATACCCTTCAGGATGATGGGAAAATAAAGACATTCTCAAGTGAAAGAAAACTAAAAGAATCCGTTCCCAGCAGACCAGTCCTAAAAGAGTAGCTAAAGGATGTTCTTACCACAGAAAGGAAATAATGAAAGAGGGAATCCAGAAACATCAGGAAGGAAAAAAGAAAAATGGAAAATCAAAATGGAGGGTAATTCAATAGACTTTCATTACTCTCATGGGTCCAGCAAGCACTATATCATTGTTCGATGTGGTTCTCTGTGTATATACACTAAGGCCTCAACATCATCAGTGAGTTCTTGGGTCCTGCAACTTTAAGTGAAGTGATGTACTGTGTGCCATGGGAACTTAACTCCTGTGGTAAAGTTGGTTTATTATATAGTACATCATTCTGCTTGAAGTCACAGTTTCCAAGAACCTACCAGCAACATTAAGGATTTACTGAACAAGAAATAATAGTTAAGACAATTACAAAGGAGCGAGGTTTCTACATTTGTCACAAACCGGTAAAATATTGACACCAGTGGACCTTAGGAAGTTATGTTTATGTTAGGTACTACTTGGAGTTACCACTAAGAAAAGACTATACCACAGGATACATATAAAACCCTAGAAAAATAAAAAATGGAACTCTAAAATATGTTTTAAGTAACTGTATTAGTCCATTTTTCATTGCTATAAAGGAATACCTGAGGCTGGCTAGTTTATAAAGAAGGTTTATTTGGCTCACAGCTCTGCAGGCTGTATGAGAAGCACGGCACAAGCATCTGCTTCTGTTGAGGGCCTCAAGAAGCTTTTACTCTGCTTTACAGAAGATGAAGTGGGAGCAAGTGTATCACATGATGAAGAGAGGGAGCAAGATAGAAGCCAGGCTCTTTTAAATAACCAGCTATCGCATGAACGAACAGAGTGAGAACTCACTCATTACTGCAACAAGGGTACCAAGCCATTCATGAGGGATCGGCACCAGTGACCCAAACACCTCCCACTAAGCCCCACTTTCCCACATTGAGGATCACATTTCAACATGAGAGTTGGAGGAGACAAATATCCAAACTATATCAGTAACCCACAAGAAGCTAGGAGAGAAAATCAGAACAAATATGCCAGGCACAGTGGCTCACGCCTGTAATCCCAACACTGGAAGGCCAAGGCAGGCGGATCACCTGAGGTCAAGAGTTCAAGACCAGCCTGGCCAACATAATGAAACCCCACCTCTACTAAAAATACAAAAATTAGCCAGGCTTGGTGGCGGGCGCCTATAGTCCCAGCTACTCAGGAGGCTGAGACAGGAGAATCGCTTGAACCCGGGAGGCGGAGGTTGCAGTGAGCCAAGATCACGCTCCTATACTCTATACTGGGTGACAGAGCGAGACTCTGTCTCAAAAAAACAAGCAGAACAAATGAAAGATTGGCATATTGTTAAAAACACATTAGCCAAGTATATGCTGTCTATAACAAACTTCTAATATAATGATACAGGTGAGTTGAAAGTAAAAGGGTAGAAAAATATATACTATGCAAACATTAATCAAAAGAAGCAGGAATGGTCATGTTTGTATTAGATGAAACAGACTTCAGAGCAAAGAAAATTACCAGGGGCATTAAATAATGATAGAAGTGTCAGTACACAAAGAAAACAGTGATCCTAAATTTATATGCGTCTAACAAAAGAGTTACAAAATACATGAAATAAAAAGATACAGACATTAAAGGAGAAATAGACAAATCTACAACTATAGTTGGAGACTTCAAAGTACCTTTTTCAGTAATCAATAGACCAGTTAGAACACCTCAGCCAAAAATAGCAGAATATAAATTATTTTTGAGCTCTCACAGAACTTTGCTGAGATACATTATAACCTGGGCCATAAAACAAACCTCAACCAATTAATACAGTTGAAACCAGAGTGTGCTCTCTGACCACAGTAGAATCAAACTATTAATTAGTAATATAATAATGAAAATCTCCACACTCTTAAAAATAAACAACATGCTTTTAAATTATCCATGATTAGGGAAGAAGTCTCAAGAGGGAAAGAAACATAGAACTGAGTGTAAAGGAAAATACGACATCAAAATATGTGGAATGTGGCTAAAGCAGTCCTGAGACGGAAATCTGTTGCACTAAAAACTGAAAGAAAGATGGTTTCAAGTCATAACCTAAGGTCTAAACTCAAGAAACTAGATAGGAAAAAAAGGCAGAATAAATGCAAAGTAAGAAGAAGGAAAAACATAAAAATAAGAGATCAGTGCAATTGAAAACAAAAACGATAGAGAAAATTAATGATACAGAAATCTGGTTCTTACCCAAAAATTCAGCAAAATTAATAAACCTCTAGTGAGACTAATAAAGAAAAAGAAGACACAGTTGCATATCAGGAATAAAAAGAATTATTGATACAGATTGCCAAAATCAAAAACGCAAATACTATGAATAAATCTCCATATGTAAGTTTGACAACTTGGATGCTTGTCGCCCAGGCTGGACAGTGCAGTGATGCCAACTCAGCTCACTGCAACCTCCACCTCCTGGGTTCAAGTGATTCTCATGCCTCAGCCTCCCGAGTAGCTGGGATTCCAGGTGTGCCACACCACGCCTGATGAATTTTTGTATTTTTTTGTAGAGACGGGGTTTCACCCTGTTGGCCAGTCTGGTCTCAAACTCCTGGCCTCAAGTGGTCTGGCCTTCTTTGGCCTCCCAAAATGCTGGGATTACAGGTTTGAGCCACTGTTCCTGGCCTGAAGTGAACCCTGTTTCTAAAAAACACAAACTACTACAACTCACACAATATCAAACAGATAATTTTAATGGCCCTATAATTATTAAGGAGATGAATTTGTAATTTAAAATCTCTGAACTAATCTCCAGGCCCAGTTTCACTGGAGAATTCTTACCAGAATTAACACCAGTTGTACACAGACTCTTCCAGAAAATAGAAGAGGAAGGAACATTTCACTCATTTTATGTGGTTATTAACCTGCTACCAAAACCAGATAAAGACAGTATTAACAAAAAAGATAGGCTGGGCACGGTGGCTTATGCCTGTAATCTCAGCACTTTGGGAGGCCAAGGCGGGTGGGTCACCTGAGGTCAGGAGTTGGAGACCAGCCTGGCCAACATGGTGAAACACCATCTCTACTAAAAATACAAAAATTAGCCAAGCCTGGTGGCGGGCGCCTGTAATCTCAGCCTACTCGGGAGGCTGAGGCAGGAGAATTGCTGTAACCTGGGAGGCAGAGGTTGCAGTGAGCTGAGATCGTGCCATTGCACTCCAGCCCAGGCCGACAACAGCGAGACTCTGTCTCAAAAAAGAAAAAAAAAAGATAGAAAACAGATATTCCACATGAATATAAATGTAAAATTCTTCCCAATAAATTATTAAATAGAATTCAGCTATGTATACAAAGAATTATGCACCATCACCAAGTGGGATTTATTCCAGGGATGCAAGGCTGATTCAATATTTAAAAATCAATCTAGTCCAGGCGAGGTGGGTCACGCCTGTAATCCCAGCACTTTGGGAGGCTGAGGCGGGTGGATCACAAGGTCAGGAGTTCAAGACCAGCCTGACCAACATGGTGAAACCCTGTCTCTACTAAAAATACAAAAATTAGCCGGGCATGGTGGCGCGTGCCTGTAATCCCAGCTACTCAGGAGAGTAGGATTATTGAGGCAGGAGAATTGCTTGAACCTGGGAGGCAGAGGTTGCAGTGAGCCAAGATCGCACCACTGTGCTCCAGCCTGGGCGACAGAGGGAGACTCCATCTCAAAAAAAAAAAAAAAAAAAAAATCAATGTAATTATCGTATTGTCAGACTAAAAGATTACATGAGTATAGCAGTTGATTCATAAAAAGCATTTGATCAAATTCAACACCCATTCATGATGAAAATCCTCACAAAAATAGGAAGAGATGAGACCTTTGTGGACTGGATAATGAGCATTTTGCAAAAATCCTACAGCTACCATTATACCTAATGGGGAAAGCCTGAATTCTTTCTACCTAAAATCAGGAACAAGGCAATCACAACTCATATTCGACATTGTACTGGAAGTTCTAGCCAGTGGACCACGGCATGACGAGGAAATAAAAGTCATGCAGATAAAGAAAGGAATAAAGCTGACTCTATAGAAAATCATAAGGAACATACATACAAACACCTGAAAAAATAAGCCAGGCTTGGTGGCTCACGCCTGTAATCCCACTTTGGGAGCTAAGGCAGGCAGATCACCTGAGGTCAGGAGTTCAAGACCAGCCCGGCCAACATGGTGAAACCCTGTCGAAAAAATATAAAGAATTAGGTGTGATGGCGGTCACCTGTACTCCCAGCTACTCAGGAGGCTGAGGCAGGAGAATCACTTGAACCTGGGAAGCGGAGGTTGCAGTGAGCCGAGATCGCGCCATTGTACTGTAGTTTGGGCAACAAGAACGAACTCCATCTCAAAAAAAAAAAAAAAGCTCATATTGCCTGGTTTTAAGATGTGGCCTGGGATCACCATATTGATCTTCCCATGCCAGCTGCTCCCATGATGGTTGTGTGTTTATTTAGACCTGTGATGATGTCTCAGACAGTACATGGTTCCCTGAACTGCTTTGCAACTTCAGTGATGTTGTATGGCATTGAGCTGGTCCATCACTGCCAACATCCTGGCTGTCTCAGGTTACCCTGTAGAAGGAATCGGATGGTCAGTGGTGTGCATCAGTAATGTAAACAAGAACAGTGTTCTTGTACAGAGGGCCAGCAGCATGAGCAGTGATAAGACAGGTAGGGCCTATTTTCCCATCTACCAACTCCAGGACTGGCCATTCCTGGGTCAGTTGACCAGACACCTGGAAAGAAGAGCTCTCAACTCCAAGATTATTTTCTTAGTAATAGCTTTAAATGCAGCCACAGCTTGGTCGTCTGCCTTAATATGATTTGATATGTTTTGCAATTTACTGTCCTGCTGAAAGCATTCATATTATGAGGGAAAAAACCATACAAATCATCGCTAAATCTGTTATTTTTAAATGTTTGGCCTTTTTCTATACCCTTTGGATTCAAGCATTAATTGGGTTTCCAAAGTAATTGAATAGAAATCATATTGCTTATAAAAAAGAAAAAAACTTTTGAGTCACAGGATGTAAGATAAACATACAAAAATGAATTTTATTTCATAATAGCAATCTATACTAGCAATGAACAAGTGGGCAATGAAATTAAAAATGTGGTATCATTTACAGTCACTTAAAAAAAGATGCTAGGTCAGGCGTGGTGGTTCACGCATGTATTCCCAGCATTTTGGGAGGCTTAGGCAGGAGGATTACTTTAGCCTGGGAGTTCGAGACCAGCCTCGGCAACAAAGTGAGACCCCGTCTCTACAAGAAATAAAAAACTAGGCAAGTGTGGTGGTGTTCGCCTTTAGTCCCAGCTACTTGGGAGGCTGAGGTTGGAGGATTGCTTGAGCCTGGGAGATGGAGGCTGCAGTGAGCCATGATCATGCCACTATACTCCAGCCTGGGCCACACAGTGAGACCTTGTCTCCAAAAAAATATTCAGATGTAAACCTAATAAAACATGTTGGGACTTGTATACTGAAAACTTCAAAATAGTGATGAAAAAAATCAGACAAAATCTAAGTAAGTGGAGAGACGTGTATGGATTAGAAGATTCAATATAGTAAAAATGTATCTTCTATCCTGCTGTGGTTTGAGTGTGTCCTCCAAAACTCAGGTTAAAATGTCATTGCCATTGTGACAGCATCATGAATTAGTTAATTACTTCACAAGAGTTATGATAATTCTTACCCAGTCCAATGGTGTGATCTTAACATCAGAAACCTGTACTTGTCAGAGTCCTTTCCATTGCATCTCCTCAAAGATGAAACACTTTAGATTCACTGTTGCTTACAATAGTTTTCAGGAAAGTGCCAGAGTAAAACAATTAACTATCGTTGGATGACAAGACTTTAAATGGCCATGGTTAAATATCTAATGAGAGTTCATTATACTAATGTTGCAATTGACAAGGAAGTTTAGTTATTTCTGTGGTATACAGCATTTTAAGGTAACTAGAATTATGACTGATAACATTAGACCAGGCTATCAGATTTCTAAGAATTTCACACAATTTCTGGAACACATTATTTGTACAAGTTAAAGAAGGTTAAACAACATTTCTTATTTGACAGCGCTTCCCATGCAGATCTAACGTAGTCAAATAAGTCTAACTTGTTTACTGTTTCTCTTCATAATGAAAGAAAATTCTCTTGAGATATTTCAGGGGGCCTCTGAAAGCTCCCAAAGTTAGCTTGAGGTCAGAAAGACTTAAGTTTAGAGTTTGATTTTGGGAAGCTAGTAAAAAATATCAAAGGCTTAAAACACTTGATTAATAGGATTGCAGGTCACTGAAGCTACAGTCACTCATTTAACCAGAGTGATAATTAAAAATATCAAAGGCAAATATAGAAAGTCACAAAGTTATAAAAAGACCTGAGCAGTTTTAATAGAGAGGACTCTGTTTCTCTGTTTTCTTTTCTGTAGAGACAGTGTCTCACTACACTGCCCAGTCTGGTCTTGAACTCCTGGACTCAAGCAATCCTCCTACCTCAGCCTCCCAAAGTGCTGGTATTATTAAGGCTTATTAATTTGATAATTTATAAATAAATTCATTCAGAACTTACCCAGGTTGACCACACATAAAATTCCTTTTCCAAGATTCCTCTTCCACAAACCTACTACAACTTTCTCATACCCTTCTGTTTTGGATTAAATTCTTCCTCTTACTGTGAAACAAGTCATTCTACTATAAGGCAAAAGTTAGTCTTTTTCTCTTAACGAACACACATCCTTCATACTTCATAGCTTCACCTTACCAAAACCATGTCTTTTCCTCACATACAGAATCATTTCTCTTATTCTAGTTATAACTGTCACATCAGCATTCTATAGATTGGCAAATCTATGAATCAAATTTGTAGAAACATATGCTTCCTTGTAGTATAATTTATGTTCCACTATTAATGCTTCAGTATTTTATTTGGAAAATATCTACATATCCAATGAATATTCATCATTTAAATTAACAAAACCCCTAGGCTGTAAATTACCAGTGGGGAGCTATTTTTGAGTAGACATAACACAAACAAAGCTAGCTATCATTAAGTTATTTCTCTGTTAGCTACTTTTACAGCATGTGCATGTTCGGCAGTCTTCACAAAAACAAGAATCCTAAAAAGTTTAATAGATGAGATTTTTTGTTTTTTTGCTGCACTCGAAAAACGTGAAGTAATGGATACTGGCACCCACTTGCACATTGTTCATAGGTTGAACTCATAGTTGTATAATTATAAATATGTAGTGGAGGTAACATAAACTTATTTGATAATAAATCCTGGTAGGATTTAAAAGTTGTATATCTGCATTATATATTCTTACCCAAGTCACATGAACTTGAAAAGCATGTGTGTTGGTTTCTATATTGCTGAGAGAATACTTAATTTATGTGAAATGCTTATTTTTCTTTAAATCAATTAAATAGAAATCTTTTATGAATTAATTTTTGACCATACCATCTGGAGGTAGAAAAACATCTCATGGCTGGGTGCGGTGGCTCACGCCTGTAATCCTAGCCCTTTTGGAGGCCGATGCAGGCAGATCACCTGAGGTCAGGAGTTCAAGACCAGCCTGACTAACATGGAGAAACTCCATCTCTACTAAAAAAAAAAAAAAAACAAATACAAAATTAGCTGGGCATGGTGGCACATGTCTGTAATCCCAGCTACTCGAGAGGCTGAAGTAGGAGAATCACTTGAACCCGGGAAGTGGAGGTTGCTGTGAGCCAAGATCATGCCATTGCACTCCAGCCTGGGCAACAAGAGCAAAACTCCGTCTCAAAAAAAAAAAAAAAAGAAAAAAATAACACATATACGTAACATACCTACATGCACAGGCATGTATAAGCATACAGATAAGCAGATTTCTTAGCTTTCATTTGAAAACTGTAGCCATGTGCTAGGTACTATAATATAAAACACACTAGTTTATGAAACAATAGCTGGATCAAAAGTATATTCCCAGCAGATGGAATAAATTAAGGTTACTTACTTAGGTGGCCAAAGTGCTCTACTAGTATTTTTGGAAAAGTCTTAAGATTTTTCATTTAAACATTAAACAAAGAGTTTTAAAGCCTTGACACAAAACACTGTCCTTAAAAGGGAAAAGTGATATATTGAACTAAATGAAAATTTAGGTTTTGCTTTGAACATCCTATAAAAGGATGAAAGACAAGCTACAGACTGGGAGAAAATCTTTATAAAACAACATATTTGACAAAAGACATATCTAGAATACGTAAAGATCTTTTAAATCTCAACAGTAAAGAAAAATCCAGTTAGAAAATGGGGTAGAGATATGAACAGACATTTACCAAAGGGAATATACAAATGACAGAAATGTCCATGACAACATTTAACGTCATTAGCCGTTAGGAAAATTCAAGTTGAAATCACATTGAGGTCTTAATACACAGCTATCACAATGACTAAAATTGCAAGTAGTGACAGCACCAAATGCTGTATCTCATACATTGCTGGTGAGAATATAGAATGGTATGATCACTCTGGAAAATAGTTCGGCAGTATCAGAAAACTAAATATGTGCTTTCTATAATGACTCGCAGTTGCACTCCTAGGTGTTTATCCCAGAGAACTGAAAACTATGTTCACCACCACATGAATGTATATAGTACTTATATTCATAATAGCACCAAACTATAGATGACCCAGATATTCTTCAGCAGATAAATGGCTAAGCAAACTGGGGTACATATCATAGAACATTACACAGTAATAAAAAGGAACAACTATCAGCACAGTAACTTATTTTAATCCTTAGAAATTGATGCCAACTGAGGCCAGGCACAGTTGCTCATGCCTGTAATCCCAGCACTTTGGGAAGCCGAGGCAGGCAGATCACCTGAGGTCAGGAGTTTGAGACCAGCCTGGCCAACATGGTGAAACCCCGTCTCTACTGAAAAAATACAAAAATTAGCCAGGCGTGGTTGTGGGTGCTTGTAATCCCAGCTACTTGGGAGGTTGAAACAGGAGAATCTCTTGAATCCAGGAGGCAGAGGTTGCGGTGAGCCGAAATCGCACTACTGCATTCTAGCCTGAGCGACAAAGCTAAACTCCATCTCAAAAAAAAAAAGAAAAGAAAAGAAATTGTTGCCAAATAAAAAAAGTCCCAAAAGGTTCCATACTGTATGATTGCATTCACATAACATGTTTTAAATGATAAGATTATAGAAATGGAGACTGTTTGCCAGGGATTAAGGAGGGAATGGGCCTGGGAGGGAATTGGGTATGGATATTAAAAGGCAACACGAGGATTCTCATGGTGGCAGAACTACTCTGTATCTTAATGATGGTGATGGGTACAGGATTTTACACGAGTGATAAAATTGCATAGAACTAAACATACCCACGTGTACACATGCCCCAGTGAGTAAAAGTAAAACTGAGGCAATCTGAATAGGATCAGTGGATTGCATCAGTGTCAATATGCTGGTTGTGGTATACACTGTAGTTTTGTAAAATGTCACCATTAGGGGAAACTGGGTAAGGGGCCTGTGGTATCTCACTACGTGCATTTGGCTCTACAATTAACTCAAAATGTTCAAATATATTAATAAAGTAAATATCCGTACATGAATCTAAGGTGCAGAATAAATCAACATCAGGGGTCAGATAGTATTTTTAACCATCGTGACCTGTGGGAATATACATATGGCACAAAATGAAAAATGACAATCATAAATAAGAATCATGAATACAAAGGTTTAAATCTAGAAAAAGACAAGAACAGATTGCCTGGTAGAGTTCTATGCCTGGACCATAGCTACCAAGGATTGCCAAAACACATGCCAAGGATGGAGATGTGTGTGTGTGTGTGTGTGTGTGTGTGTGTAGTGTATATATTGCATATACACTATATATGTATATATATGTATATATATCCATCCTTGGTATGCTTTTATATGTATATAATAAGCTATATATACACATATATATAGTGTATAGTTGGGGGAAAAGGAAAAATATTAGGGCTTGAACCCCTTTGTATCCCTTTTCCTCCAAATGTAACATTTTCTTTTTAGTTTTATTTGTCTGATTGAGGTGTTATTTTTGTGGCTTTTTAGGTGGAGTATTGCTCCTGGAAAATCCAAAAGGTGACAATAGGTTGGACCTTTTAAAGCTGAAGAGTGTTGTCACTAGCATTTTTGGTGTGAAAAATACAGAGCTGGCTGTCTTCCATGATGAAACAGGTATGTGGAAAGTGAGAGGAGCCTACGTCCTTTGACTCAAGATGGATTGGTGAAGGTCTTAATTTGCTGTCAGTTGTACTATACAACTTTTGCATTTTTCCTAACTCTCTTGAGTCAGGGCCCAACTCTTCAGCAGTGCCTGCCTGCAGTGTCTATTCATGCCTCCTCATTGTGTCATGTGACTGAAAACCCTGGGCTTAATGGATCTAATCTTTCCCTCTCACCTGTTAGCTAGCTGGTGGACTTCAGGCTTCAGAGTCCTCTGTTGTGAGGTTGTTTTTGTTTTTGAGACAGGGTCTCACTCTGTCACCCATGCTGGAGTACAGTGATGCAGTCATGGCTCACTGCACCCTCGGCCTCCTGGGCTCAAGTAATCCTCCTGCCTTGACCTCCCAAGTAACTGGGACTACAGGCATGCCACCACCATGCTTGGCTAATTTTATTTAATTTTTTTGGAGAGACCAAGTCAGTATATTGCCCAGTCTGGTCTTGAACCCAGGGCCTTAAGCAGTCCCCCTGCCTTGGCCTCCCAAAGTGCCGAGATTCCAGGTGTGAGCTACCACACCCAACCGTGAGTTTTAACTTTATTAAACACAATGCCTGGATCTCACTAAGTCTGGATTCTCAATAAAGCAAACCTGAAAAATTTTTAAAGAATTATAGATGCATTCTCCCGCTGTTACGTATTGAATTGTGACCTCTGAAAAAAAAAAGATTATGTCCTAACCCCTTGTATCTCTAAATGTGACCTGTGGAAATAGGATTATCGCAGATGTAACTAGTTAGGATGAGGTCATACTGGAGTAGCGTGGGCCCCTAATCCAGTATGACTGTTGTCATTATAAGAAGGTGGCCATCGGGCTGGTCTCCAGCTCCTAACCGCCAGTGATCCGCCAGCCTTGGCCTCCTGAGGTGCCGGGATTGCAGACGGAGTCTCGTTCACTCAGTGCTCAATGGTGCCCAGGCTGGAGTGCAGTGGCGTGATCTCAGCTCGCTACAACCTCCATCTCCCAGCCGCCTGCCTTGGCCTCCCAAAGTGCCGAGATTGCAGCCTCTGCCCGGCCGCCACCCCGTCTGGGAAGTGAGGAGCATCTCTGCCTGGCTGCCAATCGTCTGGGATGTGAGGAGCCCCTCTGCCTGGCTGCCCAGTCTGGAAAGTGAGGAGCGTCTCTGCCCGGCCGCCATCCCATCTAGGAAGTGAGGAGCGCCTCTTCCCGGCCGCCATCCCATCTAGGAAGTGAGGAGCGTCTCTGCCCGGCCGCCCATCGTCTGAGATGTGGGGAGCGCCTCTGCCCTGCTGCCTCGTCCAGGATGTGAGGAGCGTCTCTGCCCGGCCGCCCCGTCTGAGAAGTGAGGAGACCCTCTGCCTGGCAACCGCCCCGTCTGAGAAGTGAGGAGCCCCTCCGCCCGGCAGCCGCCCCGTCTGAGAAGTGAGGAGCCCCTCCGCCTGGCCAGCCGCCCCGTCCGGGAGGTGAGGGGCGCCTCTGCCCGGCTGCCCCTACTGGGAAGTGAGGAGCCTCTCTGCCTGGCCAGCCGCCCCGTCCGGGAGGGAGGTGGGGGGGTCAGCCCCCCGCCCGGCCAGCCGCCCTGTCCGGGAGGTGAGGGGCGCCTCTGCCCGGCCGCCCCTACTGGGAAGTGAGGAGCACCTCTGCCCGGCCACCACCCCGTCTGGGAGGTGTACCCAACAGCTCATTGAGAACGGGCCATGATGACAATGGCGGTTTTGTGGAATAGAAAGGGGGGAAAGGTGGGGAAAAGATTGAGAAATCGGATGGTTGCCGTGTCTGTGTAGAAAGAGGTAGACATGGGAGACTTTTCATTTTGTTCTGTACTAAGAAAAATTCTTCTGCCTTGGGATCCTGTTGATCTGTGACCTTACCCCCAACCCTGTGCTCTCTGAAACATGTGCTGTGTCCACTCAGGGTTGAATGGATTAAGGGCGGTGCAAGATGTGCTTTGTTAAACAGATGCTTGAAGGCAGCATGCTCGTTAAGAGTCATCACCACTCCCTAATCTCAAGTACCCAGGGACACAAACACTGCGGAAGGCCGCAGGGTCCTCTGCCTAGGAAAACCAGAGACCTTTGTTCACTTGTTTATCTGCTGACCTTCCCTCCACTATTGTCCTGTGACCCTGCCAAATCCCCCTCTGCGAGAAACACCCAAGAATGATCAATAAAAAAAAAAAAAAAAAGAAGGTGGCCATGTGAAGACATAGAAACACACGGAGAAAATGCCATGTGGTGACAAAGGCAGAGATTGGAGTTACACACAGCTGCAAGCCAAGAAACAACCAAGATTGCCGGGAGCCTCCAGAAGCTAGGAAGAGGCAAAAAAGAATTCGCCTACAGGTTTCAGAGGGAGCACATCTGCCAACACTTTAATTTTGGACTTCTGACCTCCAGAACTTTGAGACAGTACATTTCTTTTATTTTTATTCCCTAGCCCCCTGCAGTTTATGGGACTTTACTATGGCAGCCTCAGAAAACTAATACTCATTTTATGAATCTGAATGCTCATTTTCAGAAACTTTTAAATAACTTAAAAGAAGAAATGCAAATGGCCAACTAAGGAACAACTGGTGCATCTTAATGGTAATCAGGAACTTGCAAGATAGTACCACAGTGAGGTACTATTAACTGCCACCAGATTGGCAAAAACTAGAAGAATCTGGCAGACTCAAATGTTGTCAGGGATATTGCATAATGGGAACTCTCATTCACTGCTGGATTATGAATTGTTGGAACCACTGGAAAACTGTTTGCTATTGTATCCATTAAAGGTTGGATAGGAGAAGCAAAAGCAATGTGGGAGAAACCAAGTAAAATTCTACAAGAAGGTAGCAAGTTAGAGGTCTGAGAAAAATCTCTAACCAGGTTCCACCAAGGTGGTGGATAAGTCAGTGGAAAGCTGGATCTCTGCCTAAAGTCACGGTAGGATGAGAAGTAGAAACGAGCAAAAACAGGCTAGAGTGCACATCTATCTGACCTCATCCCACACTGACAGGTGCCTTGCAGAAGAAACTGCTGGTACACTTTTCCAGAGAGTTGCACACATTCCTGGCCTGGAAGTTGGAAGAGCAGAGGCAGGAGCGTGGGCTGCTCACTGTCCCACTTAACCCAACAAGTTGGCAGATTCACAGCAACCTGAGAAAGCCAAGGGCACGGGCCCCATGTTAGCCTGTTTAGCATAATGACTGTTACTAAACTTCTACCTTCTAAATCCTGTGTAGATTTGTCTGTGATCAAGCCATTACCCAGAACCAGGTCAGACAGAGAACCTGGGAAATAGTTTTAGCTTAGCTGCATTGACACAGGATGAAACCACCATAGTTCACCCCATTGTGATCTTGACATCTATACATGGCTCTTTAAATCATATGTAACTTCCAAATAAAGACCCTAGTAGATTAAAAAAAAAAAAAAAATCACACTTTTAACTCTTTCTTGTACTGCTTCAAAGATGCTAACTTCATTACCCAAAACGAGATAGAAAGTTACCTTATCCTTCTTTGGGTGATGTTGATTTCTCTTCTAGCTGAGCCATACATCCCTCTTTTGCTGTTCTTTAACTTCACTGAGGTATAAGGTTAACCCGTTAAAATATTTCATGTTATATGGTAAGGAAATAAGAGAGTGGAAAAATAAGAATTGGCTAATATATATTAATACATAATGCCACACTTCATTTGCTGAAAAATGAGTTCTCTGGTCAAGCGATGCTATGTGGAATGCTGTGTTGGTAAATAAGACATTCTCTACCTCCATGGATGGTGGGTTTGCCAGAAGCATTATAGGTGACAGTGGCAAATCCTTGTCCAAAAGGAGTGTGTGTTCCAGTAAGACCAAAGCACTGCCTTTTCCCATAATGGAAACAGTGCAGTACAACCAAGCTGCCATCAGGAGTCTGGCTTGTCTTTCCTGGCAATAACACTGTATCGAAAGCTCAAGTAATGGTTCCCGCTGTTGGTAGGTGGGATACGCAGTAGCAGCTGTAGCAAAATCAGCCTTAGGGAGTGGAAGTAATGTTGTGGAGCCCGTGGTTATTCTTCCTCCCAGTCTGGGTGGCCCCTTTGTTCATCAATCCATTGGGCAAGGGCAGGAGTGGCTGGCGGCAGAATAGAACATGTCCACTGATTATTATTATTTATTTTTTATTTTTTATTTTTTGAGACAGGGTCTCACTCGATCACTCAGGCTGGAGTGCAGTGGCTCAATCATAGTTCAGTGTAACCTCAAACTTCTGGGCTCAAGCAATCCTCCCACCTCAGCCTCCAAAGTAACTAGGAGTACAGACACATGCCACCATGCCTGGCTAATTCTTTTCTTTTTTGTAGAGAGGAGGTCTTGCTGTATTGCCCAGGCTCAGTCTCCTGGCCTCAAGCAGTCCTCCCCTTTCTGCCTCCCAGAGTGATAGGATTACAGGTGTGAGCCACTGTGCCCAGCCTCACCCATTTTTAGATCCTCATTCATAGTCTGCCCATTTGTAGAGATCTGTCCACATACCTCTTGCCCTAACTTCCTTGTCACCAGTTTTCTAATTCTGTTCTTTGAGTCCCTGGCTGTTCTCGTTTAGTCCAGCTATTGGCCAGTGTCCATGAATCAGTGTAGATCTACTCCTAGCTATTTCTGCTGAGCAAAATGACCAGCCGGCTGCACTGAAAGAAGCTGTGCCCATTGGGAGGATTTCCACCCATCACTATTCTTCAGGGCTACCCAGAGTCAGAACAGGGCCGTTAAGACTGTAATTGTCTACTTTGGATGATACAGCGTATTGTGCAGTAAAGCCCTACACAGCAAGCCCTAAAATGTTTTCTTTCTCTGCCAGCCAGTCCTGGAAGACTTCCTACAAGGCCACACCTGTGGTTGAGAGAAGAGACCATGTGGGCCTAGGCTGAGCATGAGCATCTAGCCACTGGTGCAGCAGTTTCCTTGTTCCCTGAGCCAGTGCCCCAGCCTAGTCTCATACCTACCATTTCCACTCAATATTTGGAGGCTGCCCTGTGGGCCTGTCCTATATCACAACCATTACCAGTCATCTGCCTGCGCATGCATCCCCAAGCAACGTTTAATGTTCTCTAAATGAAATTACACTGCATATGTTCTGTGTATCATGCTTTTTTTCACATCTGCTCCTGAGTCAAATAACATCTTCTGACTGTAATTAGCACTTTTTAATGTAAGTTTTTCATGGTGAAGCTTGAGATTCTGATATAGGAGGAAATTTTAAGAGGAGCTGTATTATACAGAGAAAATACTAAAATAGAGAAAACAATTAGCCCTATATTTCAGATTATGAATATTATGATGTTTGTTTTGCAACATTGAGATTTCCTACCATTACATGTCATTAAAGGCTGGTTTTATAGAAAAGGCAATGTCTCTTGATAAACAGAAATTAAGTGGAAAGCATTATCGTAAAAAGATACATGATAGTTAAATAGGAAAAATTGAATGACTTCAGTTTTGAATTTGTTCGTTAACCCTGAAAGAATTGTTGTTGTTATTTTTAGAAATACAAAACCAAACTGACTTACTGAGTCTTAGTGGAAAAACACTTTGTGTGACTGCAGGATCGGCTCCCTCTCTGATCAACAGTTCTAGTACTCTTCTTTGTCAGTATATCAACCTACAGCTCCTGAATGCAAAGCCACAAGGTATGTGCCTCCCCACAGCAGGCAGACTGTGGGGTGCTGGGCATTGAAGTTGTCTTTAATATTCAAATATGTGTGTATTTCTAGTCGGCTTCAAAGTATTGCTTTAAAGTGTGGGCTCTCACGCAACTTTGGGGAGCAACCACAGGCTTTTCTTTTGGTGTGTTATAGAGACCCTCATCCATCTGGCATGGTTAGGAAATGAAAAAATTGGTTAGGTAAAAATTACAACTAAATTGTTTGAGTGCCAAAACATTTTAATCTCAAATTTTACTTTCTTTTCTGAGGAAAAATGTTCTGAAAACTTCTATACCTCCATGCCTTAATCAACAGACTAGATTGATAGTGATTTTTTTCCTGATATTTTAGGATCCTCATTGTGCACATTTGTACTGAAGTCTTCGGGCTCCTCACTTCACTGTGTACTGAGTATCTGCTCCCCAAGCTGCTGGGCTTTTATATAAGTTTTTTTTTTTTCTTTTTCCCCTTCCCCTTCACCTCTATGAAATGTTGAGAGCTGTTTCTGCATGGACTGCATCTTCAGCGGTCACACTCACGCTCCTGGACGCACTGCTGGCCTCAGCACTGCCTGTTAGAGCTGTCCGCAGTGGCCACCTCTTTTGGAGCTAGAGGGTGAACTCTCGAGATTTAATCCAGTTTGTTCTGTCTTCCACAGAGTGTTTAATGGGGACAGTGGGCACTCTCCTGCTTGAAAACCCACTTGGGCAGAATGGACTCACCCACCAAGGTCTTCTGTATGAAGCAGCCAAGGTGTTTGGCCTTCGGAGCAGGAAGCTAAAGCTGTTTCTGAATGAGACCCAAACGCAGGGTAAGGAGATTGTGGACCGTAAGTTTTTTATTTTTGTTGAAAGTAGATTTTGATGCCATTAACCATTTGTAGCATATACATGTAAGATAGTACTATTGTTATCCTGTTTTGTTATTCTTTCCCCAGAAATTTACCATAATATAATTTTCTTTTCTTTTTTTTTTTTTTTTTTTTTTTTTGAGACTGAGTCTCACTTTGTCTCCCAGGCTGGAGTGCAGTGGCACGATCTTGGCTTACTGCAACCTCCGCCTCCTGGGTTCAGGCCTGGGGCTTCAACCCAGGAACAAGGATTCTCCTGCCTCAGACTTCCGAGTAGCTGGGACTACGGGCGCCTGCCACCATGGCTGGCTCATTTTTGGATTTTAGTAGAGACGGGGTTTCACCATGTTGGCCAGGCTGGTCTCAAACTCCTGACCTCAGGTGATCCGCCCACCTCGGCCTCCCAAAGTGCTGGGATTACAGGCGTGAGCCGTGATGCCCGGTCAATAATATAATTTTTTAATAGCAATTAAAAGTATAATTACTTTTTGCTAAATCTAAAAACTACATTGGTATGTTATTAAAAATACATGCTTCTAGGTAAATCAGCATATTTGCTGACCCTAAAATTGTTCTTTCCCCCAAAAGTCAAAATTATCACAGGGTTGTAAAATAGCCTGACATTACAGCCTTACAGCTGACATTATACCTCCCTTTACAGTTTATAAAACATGCTTACCTGCATTTTTTCCTTGAGACACGTAACACTGTGAAGAGCTAGATCATCAGTTGACATATTCCACATTCTATTATCTAGAAAATAGAAATTAAGGATGGCGACCTGCACTTACTTGCTGGTGTCAGGCAGCTTATTTTCTCCTCCTCCCGTTCTCCCACTTAGCACTATTCACTTCTGAGATTTCAGCTTCTGTGGCTGCTCTGTCAACTTCTCTGTTGACATCCTCACCCTACCCTCTGAGTTTCGTTCTGTAATCCTGCTACACATCAGACATGTTCACTTTAATATTGCTGCCACTGCAATCACTTCCCCAGACAGCTTCCCTTTGTGGGATCTGTTTTTTTCTATTTATACCCATTCTTGACATCTCAATTCAAGACTTTTACCATCCCATCCTTTTATTTGTAACACCTGATAGCCTGGGATTTATTGGGCTTTCTGTGTCAGTATTTGTGTCTTTCGGCACTTGTGGAAAATTGCCAGACATTATCTTGTCCAACTTACCTCTTATTCATTCTCTCTGGTATTCTCTCCTTCTGACACCTTGTTTAGACATATTTTAGATGGACTTTCTCACTCTATCCTACCTCTTATTCTCTTTTCCTATTTTCCCTCCTTTTGTCCTTATATACTACATTCTGGATAATTTTGGCTTTTTTATCTTACCCTTGTTCCTCTGCAGGTAAGGTGCTGCTTTTCTCTGCTTCCTTGAAGATTTTCCCTTTGTCTTTTACTTTCTGCAGTTTATGATTTCCCTAGGTGTACATTTTTTGGTATAAGGCAGTGTTTATTTCTGTTACAGTGTTTTGGTTTTTTTGTTTTGTTTTGTTTTGTTTTTGAGACTTGGTCTTGTTCTGTCACGCAGGCTGCAGTGCAGTGGCTCAATCACAGCTCACTGCAGCCTCAAACTCCTGGGATCCAGCGATCCTCCCACCTCAGCCTCCCTAGCTAGGACTACAGGCACGCGCCACCATGCCCAGCTAATTTTAAAATTTTTTTGTAGGGACAGGGTCTTGCTATAAGGTCAAGGCTGGTCTTGAACTCCTGCCTTCAAGTGATCCTCCCACCTTGGCCTCCCAAAGCATTGGGATTACAAGCAAGAACCACCACACCCTGCCTAATTTCTACCATTTTCATTCTATTCGTGTTTTTTGTTTGTTTGTTTGTTTGTTTGTTTGTTTTGAGACAGAGTTTCACTCTTGTTGCCCAGGCTGGAGTGCAGTGGCACGATATCCCAGCTCGTTGCAACCTCCACCTCCTGGGTTCAAGCGATTCTCCTGCCTCAGCCTCCCGAGTAGCTGGAATTACAGGCATGTGCCACCATGTGCAGATAATTTTTGTAATTTTATTTTATTATTTTTTTATGATTATTATTTTTATTATTATTATACTTTAAGTTTTAGGGTACATGTGCACATTGTGCAGGTTAGTTACATATGTATACATGTGCCATGCTGGTGCGCTGCACCCACTAACTCGTCATCTAGCATTAGGTATATCTCCCAATGCTATCCCTCCCCCTCCCCCCACCCCACAACAGTCCCCAGAGTGTGATATTCCCCTTCCTGTGTCCATGTGATCTCATTGTTCATTTCCCACCTATGAGTGAGAATATGCAGTGTTTGGTTTTTTGTTCTTGCGATAGTTTACTGAGAATGATGATTTCCAATTTCATCCATGTCCCTACAAAGGACATGAACTCATCATTTTTTATGGCTGCATAGTATTCCATGTTGTATATGTGCCACATTTTCTTAATCCAGTCTATCATTGTTGGACATTTGGGTTGGTTCCAAGTCTTTGCTATTGTGAATAATGCCGCAATAAACATACGTGTGCATGTGTCTTTATAGCAGCATGATTTATAGTCCTTTGGGTATGTACCCAGTAATGGGATGGCTAGGTCAAATGGTATTTCCAGTTCTAGATCCCTGAGGAATCGCCACACTGACTTCCACAATGGTTGAACTAGTTTACAGTCCCACCAACAGTGTAAAAGTGTTCCTATTTCTCCACATCCTCTCCAGCACCTGTTGTTTCCTGACTTTTGAATGATTGCCATTCTAACTGGTGTGAGATGGTATCTCATTGTGGTTTTGATTTGCATTTCTCTGATGGCCAGTGATGATGAGCATTTTTTCATGTGTTTTTTGGCTGCATACATGTCTTCTTTTGAGAAGTGTCTGTTCATGTCCTTTGCCCACTTTTTGATGGGGTTGTTTGTTTTTTCTTGTAAATTTGTTTGAGTTCATTGTAGATTCTGGATATTAGCCCTTTGTCAGATGAGTAGGTTGCGAAAATTTTCTCCCATTCTGTAGGTTGCCTGTTCACTCTGATGGTAGTTTCTTTTGCTGTGCAGAAGCTCTTTAGTTTAATTAGATCCCATTTGTCAATTTTGTCTTTTGTTGCCATTGCTTTTGGTGTTTTAGACATGAAGTCCTTGCCCATGCCTATGTCCTGAATGGTAATGCCTAGGTTTTCTTCTAGGGTTTTTATGGTTTTAGGTCTAATGTTTAAGTCTTTAATCCATCTTGATTTTTGTATAAGGTGTAAGGAAGGGATCCAGTTTCAGCTTTCTACATACGGCTAGCCAGTTTTCCCAGCACCATTTATTAAATAGGGAATCCTTTCCCCATTGCTTGTTTTTCTCAGGTTTGTCAAAGATCAGATAGTTGTAGATACGTGGCGTTATTTCTGAGGGGCTCTGTTCTGTTCCATTGATCTATATCTCTATTTTGGTACCAGTACCATGCTGTTTTGGTTACTGTAGCCTTGTAGTATAGTTTGAAGTCAGGTAGTGTGATGCCTCCAGCCTTGTTCTTTTGGCTTAGGATTGACTTGGCGTTGCGGGCTCCTTTTTGGTTCCATATGAACTTTAAAGTAGTTTTTTCCAATTCTGTGAAGAAAGGCATTGGTAGCTTGATGGGGATGGCATTGAATCTATAAATTACCTTGGGCAGTATGACCATTTTCACGATATTGATTCTTCCTACCCATGAGCATGGAATGTTCTTCCATTTGTTTGTATCCTCTTTTATTTCCTTGAGCAGTGGTTTGTAGTTCTCCTTGAAGAGGTCCTTCACATCCCTTGTAAGTTGGATTCCTAGGTATTTTATTCTCTTTGAAGCAATTGTGAATGGGAGTTCACTCATGATTTGGCTGTTTGTCTGTTATTGGTGTATAAGAATGCTTGTGATTTTTGTACATTGATTTTGTATCCTGAGACTTTGCTGAAGTTGCTTATCAGCTTAAGGAGATTTTGGGCTGAGACAATGGGGTTTTCTAGATATACAATCATGTCATCTGCAAACAGGGACAATTTGACTTCCTCTTTTCCTAATTGAATACCCTTTATTTCCTTCTCCTGCCTAATTGCCCTGGCCAGAACTTCCAACACTATGTTGAATAGGAGTGGTGAGAGAGGGCATCCCTGTCTTGTGCCAGTTTTCCAAGGGAATGCTTCCAGTTTTTGCCCATTCAGTATGATATTGGCTGTGGGTTTGTCATAGATAGCTCTTATTATTTTGAAATATGTCCCATCAATACCTAATTTATTGAGAGTTTTTAGCATGAAGGGTTGTTGAATTTTGTCAAAGGCTTTTTCTGCATCTATTGAGATAATCATGTGGTTTTTGTCTTTGGCTCTGTTTATATGCTGGATTACATTTACTGATTTGCGTATATTGAACCAGCCTTGCATCCCAGGGATGAAGCCCACTTGATCATGGTGGATAAGCTTTTTAATGTGCTGCTGGATTCGTTTTGCCAGTATTTTATTGAGGATTTTTGCATCAATGTTCATCAAGGATATTGGTCTAAAATTCTCTTTTTTGGTTGTGTCTCTGCCTGGCTTTGGTATCAGAATGATGCTGGCCTCATAAAAGGAGTTAGGGAGGATTCCCTCTTTTTCTGTTGATTGGAATAGTTTCAGAAGGAATGGTACCAGTTCCTCCTTGTACCTCTGGTAGAATTCGGCTGTGAATCCATCTGGTCCTGGACTCTTTTTGGTTGGTAAGCTATTGATTATTGCCACAATTTCAGAGTCTGTTATTGGTCTATTCAGAGATTCAACTTCTTCCTGGTTTAGTCTTGGGAGAATGTATGTGTCGAGGAATTTATCCATTTCTTCTAGATTTTCTAGTTTATTTGCGTAGAGGTGTTTGTAGTATTCTCTGATGGTAGTTTGTATTTCTGTGGGATCGGTGGTGATATCCCCTTTATCATTTTGTATTGCGTCTATTTGATTCTGCTCTCTTTTTTTCTTTATTAGTCTTGCTAGTGGTCTGTCAATTTTGTTGATCCTTTCAAAAAACCAGCTCCTGGATTCATTAATTTTTTGAAGGGTTTTTTGTGTCTCTATTTCCTTCAGTTCTGCTCTGATTTTAGTTATTTCTTGCCTTCTGCTAGCTTTTGAATGTGTTTGCTCTTGCTTTTCTAGTTCTTTTAATTGTGATGTTAGGGTGTCAATTTTGGATCTTTCCTGCTTTCTCTTGTGGGCATTTAGTGCTATAAATTTCCCTCTACACACTGCTTTGAATGCGTCTCAGAGATTCTGGTATGTTGTGTCTTTGTTCTCATTGGTTTCAAAGAACATCTTTATTTCTGCCTTCATTTTGTTATGTACCCATTAGTCATTCAGGAGCAGGTTGTTCAGTTTCCATGTAGTTGAGCGGTTTTGAGTGAGATTCTTAATCCTGAGTTCTAGTTTGATTGCACTGTGGTCTGAGAGACAGTTTGTTATAATTTCTGTTCTTTTACATTTGCTGAGGAGAGCTTTACTTCCAAGTATGTGGTCAATTTTGGAATAGGTGTGGTGTGGTGCTGAAAAAAATGTATATTCTGTTAATTTGGGGTGGAGAGTTCTGTAGATGTCTACTAGGTCCGCTTGGTGCAGAGCTGAGTTCAATTCCTGGGTATCCTTGTTGACTTTCTGTCTCGTTGATCTGTCTAATGTTGACAGTGGGGTGTTAAAGTCTCCCATTATTAATGTGTGGGAGTCTAAGTCTCTTTGTAGGTCACTCAGGACTTGCTTTATGAATCTGGGTGCTCCTGTATTGGGTGCATATATATTTAGGATAGTTAGCTCTTCTTGTTGAATTGATCCCTTTACCATTATGTAATGGCCTTCTTTGTCTCTTTTGATCTTTGTTGGTTTAAAGTCTGTTTTATCCGAGACTAGGATTGCAACCCCTGCCTTTTTTTGTTTTCCATTTGCTTGGTAGATCTTCCTCCATCCTTTTATTTTGAGCCTATGTGTGTCTCTGCACATGAGATGGGTTTCCTGAATACAGCACACTGATGGGTCTTGACTCTTTATCCAATTTGCCAGTCTGTGTCTTTTAATTGGAGCATTTAGTCCATTTACATTTAAAGTTAATATTGTTATGTGTGAATTTGATCCTGTCATTATGATGTTAGCTGTTTATTTTGCTCGTTAGTTGATGTAGTTTCTTCCTAGTCTCGATGGTCTTTACATTTTGGCATGATTTTGCAGCAGCTGGTACCGGTTGTTCCTTTCCATGTTTAGCGCTTCCTTCAGGAGCTCTTTTAGGGCAGGCCTGGTGGTGACAAAATCTCTCAGCATTTGCTTGTCTGTAAAGTATTTTATTTCTCCTTCTCTTATGAAGCTTAGTTTGGCTGGATATGAAATTCTGGGTTGAAAATTCTTTTCTTTAAGAATGTTGAATATTGGCCCCCACTCTCTTCTGGCTTGTAGGGTTTCTGCCGAGAGATCTGCTGTTAGTCTGATGGGCTTCCCTTTGTGGGTAACCCGACCTTTCTCTCTGGCTGCCCTTAACATTTTTTCCTTCATTTCAACTTTGGTGAATCTGACAATTATGTGTCTTGGAGTTGCTCTTCTCGAGGAGTATCTTTGTGGCGTTCTCTGTATTTCCTGAATCTGAACGTTGGCCTGCCTCGCTAGATAGGGGAAGTTCTCCTGGATAATATCCTGCAGAGTGTTTTCCAACTTGGTTCCATTCTCCCCATCACTTTCAGGTACACCAGTCAGACGTAGATTTGGTCTTTTCACATAGTCCCATATTTCTTGGAGGCTTTACTCATTTCGTTTTATTCTTTTTTCTCTAAACTTCCCTTCTCGCTTCATTTCATTCATTTCATCTTCCATCGCTGATATTCTTTCTTCCAGTTGATCGCATCGGCTCCTGAGGCTTCTGCATTCTTCACGTAGTTCTCGAGCCTTGGTTTTCAGCTCCATCAGCTCCTTTAAGCACTTCTCTGTATTGGTTATTCTAGTTATACATTCTTCTAAATTTTTTTCAAAGTTTTCAACTTCTTTGCCTTTGGTTTGTATGTCCTCCCATAGCTCAGAGTAATTTGATCGTCTGAAGCCCTCTTCTCTCAGCTCGTCAAAGTCATTCTCCATCCAGCTTTGTTCCGTTGCTGGTGAGGAACTGTGTTCCTTTGGAGGAGGAGAGGCACTCTGCTTTTTAGAGTTTCCAGTTTTTCTGTTCTGTTTTTTCCCCATCTTTGTGGTTTTATCTACTTTTGGTCTTTGATGATGGTGACGTACAGATGGGTTTTTGGTGTGGATGTCCTTTCTGTTTGTTAGTTTTCCTTCTGACAGACAGGACCCTCAACTGCAAGTCTGTTGGAATACCCTGCCGTGTGAGGTATCAGTGTGCCCCTGCTGGGGGGTGCCTCCCAGATAGGCTGCTCGGGGGTCAGGGGTCAGGGACCCACTTGAGGAGGCAGTCTGCCCGTTCTCAGATCTCCAGCTGCATGCTGGGAGAACCACTGCTCTCTTCAAAGCTGTCAGACAGGGACATTTAAGTCTGCAGAGGTTACTGCTGTCTTTTTGTTTGTCTGTGCCCTGCCCCCAGAGGTGGAGCCTACAGAGGCATGCAGGCCTCCTTGAGCTGTGGTGGGCTCCACCCAATTCGAGCTTCCCGGCTGCTTTGTTTACCTAAGCAAGCCTGGGCAATGGCGGGCGCCCCTCCCCCAGCCTTGCTGCCGCCTTGCAGTTTGATCTCAGACTGCTATGCTAGCAATCAGCGAGACTCCGTGGGCGTAGGACCCTCCGAGCTAGGTGCGGGGTATAATCTCGTGGTGCGCCGTTTTTTAAGCCCATCGGAAAAGCGCAGTATTCGGGTGGGAGTGACCCAATTTTCCAGGTGCCGTCCGTCACCCCTTTCTTTGACTCGGAAAGGGAACTCCCTGACCCCTTGCACTTCCCAAGTGAGGCAATGCCTCGCCCTGCTTCGGCTCGCGCACGGTGCGTGCACCCACTGACCTGCGCCCACTGTCTGGCACTCCCTAGTGAGATGAACCCGGTACCTCAGATGGAAATTCAGAAATCACTGTCTTCTGCATCGCTCACCCTGGGAGTTGTAGACCGGAGCTGTTCCTATTTGGCCATCTTGGCTCCTCCCCCAATTTTTGTAATTTTAGTAGAGACAGGGTTTCACCATGTTGGCCAGGCTGGTCTCAAACTCCTGACCTCAGGTGATCCACCCACTTGGGCCTCCCAAAGTGCTGGGATTACGGGGGTGAGCCACCACACCCAGACCATTCTATTCTTTGAGTTTCCGTCTTTCTGTTTACATTGCCCGTCTGCTCTGCTTGTTCTGTTATGTTTCTGTTGAAGCCCAGTTTTAAGAAGCATACGTCTAGTTCCTTGGAGACACTGACAACCCAGACACACTTTAAACTCAATCATTTTGGACCATAGGGAGAATGTTAAGAAAGCTGTGACTGGGTCTGCGTGGTGGCTCACTCGTGTAATCCCAGCACTTTGGGAGGCTGAGGTGGGCAGAGTTCAAGACCAGCATGGCCAATATGGTGAAACCCCATCTCTACTAAAATTAGCTGGACATGGTGGCACATGCCTGTAATCCCAGCTACTTGGGAGGCTGAGGCAGGAGAATCTCTTGAACCTGGGAGGCAGAGGTTGCAGTGTGCTGAGATTGCATCACTGCACTCCAGCCTGGGCGACAAGAGTTAAACTCCATCTCAGAAAAAAAATCTATGGCATTCCCAGTCATACACAAAGGCCAGGAGTTGTGATGGAGACAGGATCTGTCTATCCCTACTCCAAAACAAAGCTAAGTGAGGTGATTTTCTCTGTATTGGTTTCTGTGGCTGCTGCAACAAATTTCCACAAATGGGATGGCTCAAGTCATCTCACAGCTCTGGAGGCCAGACACTGAAATTAGGGTGTCAGAAAGGCCACAGTCTCTCTGAAGGCTCTGTGGGAGAATTCCTTATATACTTCTTCTAGCTTATGGTGGCGCCAGGCATCCCTTGACTTGTGGCCACATCACTTCAGTCTCTGACTCCGTGGTCACATTGCCTCCTTCTCTTCTGTTTCCTCTTTTTCCAAATAAAGTGAACATTCACAGCTCCTGGGAATTTAGAACCTGGGCATATCTTTGGAAGGCCATTATTAACCGATTACATTCTCTTCACTTTTTCTCTTGTGGTGAAGGAACTTACTCAAATTAACCCTTTTGCTATGGGTTTCTTATTTGAAGTTCCAGTTTCTTCAGCAGAGATTTGTTGGACTTCCCGGTTTGTATATACCGGAGGCTTTTCTTTCCCTGCTTTCCTAGCTCTTTAGTGCCAAAAGCATTAAGCCACCAGACCCCATGGGAGTCATTATTTTTGGCCTCTGTGTAATTCTCCCGTTTTCTTCCTGTGCAGCTTTTTTTTTTAAATTTAGTTGCATATCGTACTTTTAAATTTTCTGTCATGATGTTAAATACTAAAGCTCTATTTCTTCTTGGGTTCCTCCTTCCCTCCCTGGGTTTATTTTCAGTGACTCTCCTTTGTCGTTTTCCCTCTCATCTCATCATTGGGCCTCATCATCCATCTAAGTCACCAGTCTGCAGTCTGTACTCTTCACCAGAGCTATCTTCATGAACATTCCTGCCTTGATTTTGTTCCCTTGCTTAGAGCCCCCAAAGCTCCTTATTCTCTTATGCCTCAGAATCTTCCCTTCCACACAAGATCCTTCCTGCTCTGGGCCTTCCCTGTCTTGCTAATTCTGTCCATGAGTCTTTCACTCTATCAAAGGCTTTTTTCACTCTCCCTCGAACACACTTGGCTCTTTCATTGTGGTATGGTAGTAAAGATCATCTAATAATGTAGCTTTCTATTTTGATAAGCTTATATAAAACTTTAGAGATAATTCTTAACTCTTCTTGTCCCTCAAATCCTTTGGTCACCAAGTACTGTTGTGCAGTGGAGCTGAAGATGACATTTATCTCTCACTTGTTCTTGCAAGCAAATGCAGTGGCATGATTGAACCTGGTCAGGGGTAGAACCATGTCTGTATGAATTATGTATTTATAATACTACCTGCAATTCACAGAACCATTCTTAACCTGTGCTGCCTTTCTGTATTCTCTTTACTCTGTGACGTTAGTTAGGCAAAAGTTTAGTGGGTGAGAACTTTTAAATGTTTAGTGATTTATCTAAGATTACCACAAAGTTGGAACTTTTTCTAATTCAGTATCTTTCCAATCTAGTATCTATAGCTTCGTTTTCATTATGCCTTTTCTCTCAGAATTGTCTTTCATAAAGTATCAATAACTTGGTAAATTAGAAGAGCCACAAAATGTTGACCATTTTAGAAACCCTTAGATGTCTTCTTGCTTGCTCCACTAAACTCTAAACATCATCTCCAGGTCCTGTAATTATCTATTAAGGAAGTAGCTTTGAGAGTATTCTCACATCTAGGATTGCTGCTAGGTAGGACAAGAGCTATTTTTAAAGGAAGCTCATCTGTTTGCTTTAAATTCAGATCTGACTAGAAGCAAAATGCTCCACAGTAGGCAGATAACTTTAAATTTTCTTTTTTTTTGTTTTTGAGTTGTATATTCAGTATATTTCAATCAATTGCATTTGGGTTATATTTTTGGATGCTCAGAGTTTTCGTCATTGGCCATATTGGATCCTGTATTCTTTAACATGATCCTTTGTCTTTGGTAAATTCTTGCTTTCTCACGTAGCAACATGTCCTAGGCTTATTATGTACTTTTACTTCTCCAGACGTAGAAAATAGCTGTTCTTCAAATTATAGAGAATCATATTTTGAAACCACATATCTGGGATACTGAGTTGGCACAGCCTCTAGGCTTTTTTTGTAGACATAGGAAGTATCTGTGTATGAGGAAAAATAACCATCTTGGCAGTACCCAGAGTTAGCCAAACTGTGAAGTGATGGCATAGTCCTCCAGAAGGCTCCAGGAGTCTGCCCGATATCTAACTCCACCTGCAAGGAGTGAGGATTCTACTCAGGGAAAGATCCACACAAGACCCCCATCACTGCTGGCACCAACTGCAAGTTCCAGGGATTTTCCTAAACCACCCTCAGGTTCAGTAACCTGCTAGGAGGACTCAGACTCACTAAAAGGTATTACACTCATGGTTTGAATTAGGGTAGGGAAAGGATACACGTTAGAACCAGCGAGAGTGAGAGAGAGAGAGAGACCCTGGAGTCATGGATAATGTTTCTTCCTCTCATCCCTTACATCTGACAACACAGAGACTATATTACCAACCAGGGAAGCTCACTCGAGCCTTGGTGTCCAGTTTCTGTTGAGGTTTCATTCTGTAGGCATGATTGCTGTCTTTCTCAACTGATATACCATGTGACCCAAAGTCCCCATCCTAAATCATATACTTGGTCTTTCTGTCCTGGCCAGCACTACCCTGAATTGTCTCATTAGCAACAACTGTCAGGTTTGGTGAACATACCCACCATGAGAAACAAAGATTCCTACCAGGAAATTCCAAGGATTTAGAGGTTCACCTCAGGAGCTGGGACAAAAGGCAGAACTCTTAGGATAAGGCCAAATTCCTTACTACACAAGCAGTTAACATTTTTTTAAATATTCACCCCCAATAGGTAAAATACTGATTTTTTTTCAACTTTTTCTTTCCATTCTAGAAATTACAGAAGACATCCCCGTGAAGACTTTGAATATGAAGACTGTGTATGTTTCTGTGTTACCAACAACAGCAGACTTCTAGCATGTACTTATCAATGTTGTTCGGTCAGCCCTTCCCTAATTACACCTATCCCCTACACATACATGCACATAGACACACACATGAACACACTGAAGATATTTCCTTCAGGTGTGTGTAAAATATGCTGCTTGGATTGAAATTCAAATGGGATTGATTAGTCAAGTAACTTGAGACCTCACAGTAATCTTCACACTTAACCTTAGACACCTATGCAGTCATGTTGGGAGCAGGTTACAATGTTACTTCAGCCCACAGTTTATTTCTATACTTGAGTTCTTAAGTACAGAAGATAGAAGTGATTTAAATGGCATAGTATATATATCATTTTCTGGCCTTTTAAAATTTATTTGAGACCTCTTGATGAAATGGACATATTATATATTTCTGCCACCTGGATTTTCCTGGATAATTTGATGGAATATTTTAAGTTTCAGTAAATCAGAACAATAAACAAACTCAGATATAAATGTGTTGAAAGTAATTCATTCTCCCATAGATAAATGAAACTTGAAATGTGTAAACTTTGAAGAACATAAAAACTTCATGGTGGTTTCTTATTAAGACAGTGGACTAGACATCTAATAAAACTTCTTTCCAAAATCCCAGGTGATAATTTGAGTCCTCAGAGAAGCAGATGACATGACAAAGTTAGATGTGCAAGAATTTATTAGAGGAAACATAAATGGAGGATAAACGGGAGATGGAGCAAGCGTAGGTCGAGAGAGCCTTCAGACTGCAGTGTGGGTCTGACACCTGTAAAAAGAGAAAATGAAGATTGATTAGCAAAAACTTAGACTGCAGTGCAACTCTAAGATGAAGTCTTGGTCAGGCCAATGGAGAGTTCCCAAGCAAGGATTCCTTTTAGTAGAGTTCAGAATTGGGCAGAAATAGCCTGGCTTTGTTTCTCTGACTTCCTCAAGTCAGTTTCTGGGAGGAGACCAAGGGGAGCGTGGCCTTCGCACAAATGCCTTGATGGATCTGAAAGTACCAACTACACTCCTCATGTCAGATTCTTTTGAAGGGAGATCTGAATGATACATCCCTATGGCTACTACAACAGATGCATTCACACAAAAACCCACAAGTTGGAGAAAATAGAGGAAACAACCAGAACTTGGGGAATTGGAAAGCAGATAGACGGTGTTAACTAACTTGGTAGACCCAGGAAACCCCAATTCTAAATCAATGGAGGAACTGATAAACTTACTTACATTTCAGAATTCACAGCACCAGTTAACCTCTGGGATGAAAGGTAGAAGAGGCACAGAAATAGGGACGATTGCGTGAACACTGGGAAGCCTTATAGCTTCTCCCATTTCCACGTTGCTAAGCAACTTTATTCCCCCCACAGTTGGCATCTGGAAGGTAAAAAGTGACTGGTTGGTAGAAGTCGGAGTGAATGGAAGACAAGAGTACTTGTAAGCCTGGAGGATTCCTAAAACCAACCCTCAGCTTAGATAATTTGCTAGAAAGACTCAGAACTCAATGAAAGCTATTGTATTCGTGGTTACAGTTAATGACAGGGAAATGTTAAAGATCAAAATCAGCCAAAGGAAGAGGAGAGGGCAGAGCCCGGGAGAAGTACCAAACACAGCTCTTGTCCTGTCTCTCTGAAGTCAGCAAGCATTACTCTACTGGCATCAGTGTGTGACAGTATGCACAGAGTATTGCCAGCCAGGGAAGCTCACCCAAGCCTTGGAACCCAGAGTGTTTACTGAGGCTGCTTTACATATCCATGATTGATTGTCCATGTGGTTAATCGCAGTCTCTAGGTCAGCTGCTCGTGCATGACCCAAAACCTCCACCCTAAATCACATTGTTGGTATTTCTGATGTGTTGTACACCCCCCCCACCATAAGACTGTATAGATTTGTCCCACCCCAGCCATAAATCATACTGTCAAGGCTATTCAGTATGATTCAAGATCCCCAGGTAAACAGAGGCATTCCTATGTAGCATAACATCCAAGGGCAAGGCCAAATTCCTTTATACAGAGTACTGTACTGGAAACAAGATTAAGTGGCTTTATGTATACTGTCCACTATACCAAAGAAGAATATAAAAGATTGACACCAAGTATTGGCTGGGAAAAAGGCTCACTCTGAACAATTAACTTTGAAGTTGAGAAGTCCATACTCAGGTCAGTGTTTTAGCCCCCAACTCTTATTCATGAGACTTCCATCTAGAATTACGAGAGATCTAGTGAAAGCCTCTAATCCAAAACCAAAAGAGAGTACCAAAACAACTTTGAGGAATCAAGCAATGCAGTGAGAAGAAAATTCCCCCTGCCAAATGTGTTAATATCCTTAGAGTTATAAGATACTACATCTGTAAAATAACGATGCTACAAAACATGAAAATCTCAAGAGGAGAAAAAAATGTTCCTGTTAATATAAGACTTAATAGAAAAGAAAAAAAATCATTGGAAAATAGTGTGAAATTTTCCAGACACTAGATAGATTAACAATAAATATTTAAGGTGGGAGAAAAGAGATATTATACATAAGTTAGAGTCCAGGAGTTCCAGTATCCAAATTGTAGGAATTCCAGAAAGAAGAAAAATAAGGTCAGAAAATTATAATTAATGTAAACAAATTTTGCAGAACCTACAGCCAGATTGAAAGATATCTTTGGCCGAACACGGTGGCTCATGCCTGTAATCCCAGCACTTTGGGAGGCCGAGGTGGACGGATCACGAGGACAGGAGATCAAGACCATCCTGGCTAACATGGTGAAACCTTGTCTCTACTAAAAATACAAAACATTTAGCCGGGCGTGGTGGCAGGCGCCCGTAGTCCCAGCTACTCGGGAGGCTGGGGCAGGAGACTGGCGTGAACCTGGGAGGCGGAGCTTGCAGTGAGCTGAGGTCGTGCCACTGCACTCCAGCCTGGGTGACAGAGCGTGACTCCGCCTCAAAAAAAAAAAAGATATCTTCAAATGTCTAGCACAATGCATGAAAATAGACTCACTTCCAAGGCACATAACAGAAATTTCAGAACATAAAGAAAAGACTAAGTTTCTAGAAAGAAAAAAGCAAAAGGGATATACAAAAGATTAGCAGTTAGTAAGGATTTTTCTTTTCAACCTCTGGGAGCACAGAACAATTTAGTAAGGATTTGATTTCTCAGCAACACAGTAAGAAGAGAATCTCCCCAATTCTTTGGGGAAAGTTTTCTAACTATATTGTACCCAACCAAATTATCAAACAAGTATGAAGGTAGAATAAAGACATTTTCAGACATGAGTTAGGTCTCAAAAAAAAATTATCTCCCATGTACTCTTTCTCAGGGAGTTATTGGTAGTGTACTCTACCAAGCTGCAGCAACCCCACTGAGGTCGTGGTTCCTAAAACCATTCTCCCATGAAGGGAACTAGGTTTCCCTGGGAAAAAAATGGCTGCTTCTAGAGCTGGAGCTGGGAATGTACGATATGAATCTGAAACATCTTGTAGTAACAGAAAGTAAAGTGATCAAAAAACAGTGGTGAGTGACATCAGCAAGATGGCAAAATATTAATAGTAAGCCCTGCTGGGCGTGGTGGCTCACACCTGTAATCCCAGCACTTTGAGAGGCTGAGGTGGTGGATCATGAGGTCAGAAGTTTGAGACTAGCCTGGCCAACATGGTGAAACCCCATCTCTACTAAAAATACAAAAATTAGCCGGGCGTGGTGGCACATGCCTGTAATCCCAGCTACTCAGGAGGCTGAGGCAGGAGAATTGCTTGAACCCGGCAGGCAGAGGTTGCAGTGAGTCAAGGTCGCACCACTGCACTCCAGCCTGGGCGACAGAGCAAGATTCCATCTCAAAAAATAAAAAAATAAATAAGCCCCAGGCCCTCATTCTCCCATAGAGACACTGACTTAACAATATACGGACCAAACTGCCTTTGTGAGAATTTTTCAGAAATCAGTTTAAAAGTTGCAGTACCCCAGGTGAACGTAGAAGCAAGAAGAGCTGATTTGAAGCAGGTGAGAAAGTCCATTACATTTGCATACCATAGGTTCTCCCAGTACCAAGCACAGTGCAGCACAATCTGGAGATACCTCCCACTTGCACCTTCCTTCTCAAGAGGGAAAGAGTAGAGTGGAATGTATGTCCCATGTTCTGGCTTATAGTGGGGCTGACCAAAGGACTGATTTCTGTTCATGTGACTCAGAGCACTGACAGGAACAGTGTCATACTTTGGATGACTAGGGGCTGCTGAGAACAAATGTGAGACCTATAGCCTTGTTACAGCACTGCAGGAACTAGTATCATAAACAGATACCAAGGGGAGCAAGAAATTATGAGTTCCTTAAAAAGACACAGGGGCAAACCTCTTCAGGAAATTGCACAGACAAACCCAGAGAAGATACATCGCTAGAAAAGATTCAAGAGGTCCCCAAGATCTCCAGCTAAACTAATTTGTAATGCTGTTCCTTTTTACAAAGCCAGTCTATAAAGGCTAAGAGAGATGGCTGTTTTTTCAGATGCCCAAATCTCAACAAAAGATTAGCAGGTGGCCGGACACAATGGCTCATGCCTGTAATCCCAGCACTTTGGGAGACCAAGGCAGGAGGATCACTTGAATCCAGGAGTTCAAGACCAGCCTGGGCAACACAGAGAGACCTCATCTTTACAAATAATTTAAAAAATTAGCCAGCTGTGGTGGTGCATGCCTGTTATCCCAGCTACTGGGGAGGCTGAAGCAGGAGAATTGCCTGCGCCCAGGAGTTTGAGGCTGCAGTGAGCCGTGATCAAGCCACTGTACCCCAGCCCAGACCCTGTCTTTAAAAAAAAAAAACGGCTGGGTGTGGTGGTTCATGCCTATAATCCCAACACTTTGGGAGGCCGAGGCGGGCAGATCACCTGAGGTCAGGAGTTCGAGACCAGCCTGGCCAACATGGTGAAACCCCATCTGTACTAAAAATACAAAAATTAGCTGGACGTGGTGGAGGGCGCCATAATCCCAGCTACTCGGGAGACTGAGGCAAGAGAATCTCTTGAACCCAGGAGGCGAAGGGTGCAGTGAGCCAAGATCGCACCATTGCACTCCAGCTTTGGGGACAAGAGCAAAACTCTGTCTCAAAAAAAAAAAAAAATCACAAGGCATACCATGAAACAGGGAAACATGGCCCTATCAAAGGAACAAATAAATCTCTAGAAACTAACCCTAAAGAAATGGAGATCACCAGGCAAAGTGGCTCAACACCTCTAATCCCAGCACTTTGGGAGACTGAGGAGGGAGGATCACTTGAGCCCAGGAGTTCAAGACCAGCCTGGGCAACATAGAGAGACCCTGTCTCTAGAAAAAATAATAAAATAAATAATAAATAATAAAATACAATTAGCTAGATGTGGTAGCATGTGCCTGTAGTCCCCGCTACTTACTTGGGAGACCGAGGCAGGTGGATAACCTGAGCCTGGCAGGTCGAGCTGCAATGAGCCATGATTATGCCGCTGCACTCCAGCCTGGGTGACACATTAAGACCATGTGTCAAAAAAAAGAAAAAAGAAAAAAACAGAAACGATGGAGATCTATTAGTTGTCTGACAGAATTCAAAGTAATCATCTTAAAGATGTTCAGTGAGCTACAAAGAACACACAAAATCAGGTAAACAATATCTGCACAAACAAAATGAGATCAATAAACTATAATAATGTAAGATGTTAGTGATCAGGTAAACTGCGTGTGAGTATATCAGCTGTATTTGCATCTTTTTTATAAATCTGAAGATATAGAAGTTCATTTTTAATAAGTGTCAGAAACTGAAATTAAAAACCTATTGTAGGCTGGGCACAGTGGCTCACGTCTATAATTCCAGCACTTTGGGAGGCCGAGGCGGGCAGATCATGAGGTCAAGAGATCAAAACCATCCTGGCCAACATGGTGAAATCCTGTCTCTACTAAAAATACAAAAATTAGCCAGGCATGGTGGCGCACGCCTGTAGTCCCAGCTACTCGGGAGGCTAAGGCAGGAATTGCTTGAACCCGGGAGGTGGAGGTTGCACTGAGCCAGGATCGCACCACTGCACTCCAGCCTGACAACAGAGCGAGACTCCATCTCAAAAACAAACAAACAAACAAACAAAAACCCTATTGCAATAGTATCCTAAAATATGGAATACTCAGAGATAAATTTGACCAAAGATGTATAGTGCTTGTATACTGAAAACTACAAAACATTCCTTAGAGATAATAAAGAAAACCTGTAGGCCGGGCACAGTGGCTCACACCTGTAATCCCAGCACTTTGGGAGGCCTAGGCAGGTGGATCACAAGATCAGGAGTTCAAGACCAGCCTGGCCAACATGGTGAAACCCCGTCTCCACTAAAAATACAAAAAAATTAGCCAGGCGTGGTGGCGAGTGCCTGTAATCCCAGCTACTCGGGAGGCTGAGGCAGAGAATTGCTTGATCCCAGGAGGCGGAGGTTGCAGTGAGCCGAGATTGCATCACTGCACTCCAGCCTGTGTGACAGGGCAAGATTCCGTCTCAAAAAAAAAAAAAAAAGAAAAGAAAAAAAACAAAGCCTATATAAATGGAAGAGAGAAATAATGTTTATATTAGTTAGCTAAGATTGCCATAACAAAATACCACAGACTGGGTGGCTTAAACAACAGAAATTTATTTCTTTACATTTCTAGAGGTTGGAAGTCCAAGATCAAGGTGTCAGCAGGTTTGGTTTCTCCTGAGGCCTCTCTCCTTGACATTATCTGCTGGCCATCTTCTCACTATGTCCACATATGGCCTTTTCTGTGATTGGTTCCTGAGCAAAGTAATGCTATAATGGACTCATGGTTAACTGTCTCTTAACACAGCTGCTGAAAGTGGATTCTGTGTTCCCTCAGCCAGAGACCTGTCAACTTAACCAGGACTCCATAGTGCCACTGGGAATTTTGGTTCATGAGAAGAGCTTATTTACTTCTAGCAGTGTCGCCATCAGCTAAAGATAAAACATGTTCCTGATGGCAAGGCTCACGCAAACATAATTTAATACTTTCCCACAACCCACTCCAATTGCCCATCAATTCTTTAGCCCCATAAAGCCCTTCCAGCTCTCCCTGAATGCTGCTCCAGGGTGGGTGCCCTCACAGGGGTCTTCTGGTCCCCTCTTAGATACTCATGTGCAGGTGGCCTGTCTGAGAGGGCCTGAGTTGTTCAGTCTGTGCTGAAAGCTCCACCTCAGGCCTCTGCTTATGGTCTTAGTTATTTGCTCTCACAAGCCTGTTCTTCTTGCTCATCAGACCTCCCGTGAAAAGCTCTGCTGAATGAGACAGCACATTGCTCTATTAAATGAGAATGTAAATGACAGCTACCTCATTAGAAGAAGTGGGGCTGGGTGGCATGGTTTATGCCTGTAATCCCAGCACTTTGAGAGGCCAAGGGGAGAGGATCACTTGAGCCCAGGAGTTCAAGACCAGCCTGGGCAACGTAGCAAGATCCCATCTCTACAGAAAATTTCAAAAATAAAAAAGACTGTCATGCAGCTCAAGGTCATGATCTGAAATGAAACAAACAAAAGTCTATCCGCAATTCTAAAGCCATCTTTTAGAATTTAACACTTTACTATTGTTACACATTGTATATAATCCTTATGTATAAATGTTGGTTGCACTTTTTGCTGTTTTACTTTAGGTTTTTCTCTTGCTGGTTGTATTAGTCTGTTCTCACATTGCTGTAAAGAACTACCTGAGGCTGGGTGCAGTGGCTCACGCCTGTAATCCTACCATTTTGGGAGGCCAAGGCAGGCGGATTGTCTGAGTTCAGGAGTTCGAGACCAGCCTGGGCAGCATGGTGAAACCCTGTCTCTACTAAAATACAAAAAATTAGCTGGATGTGGTGGTATGTGCCTGTAGTCCTAGCTACTCCGGAGGCTGAGGAATGAGAATCACTTGAACCTAGGAGGCGGAGGTTGCAGTGAGCCGAGATTGCGCCACTGCACTCCAGCCTGGGCAACAGAGAGAGACCCTGTCTCAAAAAAAACAAAACAAAACAAAAAACAAAAAAAACTACCTGAGACTGGACAGTTTATTTAAAAATGTTTAATTGACTCAGTTCCACAGGCTGTACAGGAGGCATGGCTGGGGAGGGCTCAGGAAATTTACAATCATGGCCGAAGGTGAAGGGGAAGCAAGCACATCTTCACATGGTGACGGGAGAGAGAAAGCGAAGAGGGAAGTGCTACACACTTTCAAACAACCAGATCTCGTGAGAACTCACTATCACGAGAACAGCAAGGGGGAAATCCACCCCCATGATCCGATGACCTCCCACCACATCCCTCTTCCAACATTAGGGGTTACAATTCAACAAGAGATTTGGATGGGGACACAGGGCCAAACCATATCACTGGTAAAAGGTCATCATATTAGGTCATTTCCTTCTATGTCAGTGGGAGATTTGCAATGCCTTTTCTTATTGGCAATATGTTGTGAGTATTTATCTTGACTTGGGCACTATTATCAACCTCTTACTTCATGGTATTTTGCTTCCCATTATCTCAACACTGTGAACTCCTCCCATATTCTGTATTGAAGGAAATTTATTTTTTTGTAGTCCAACTAACTTCCTTTATTTTTATTATGGTAAAATATACCTAAAATTTACCATTTTGATTTTCTTTAAGACAAGAGTCTTGCTTTGTCACCCAGGCTAGAGTACAGTGGCATGATCATAGCTCACTGTAACCTCAAAAATATCAAACTTCTGGACATAAGCAGTTTTCCCTGTCTCAGACCCCTGAGTATCTCGAACTATAGACATATGTCACCACAGCCAGCTAAATTTTTTTTTTTTTTTTGTAGAGACAGGGTCTTGCTATGTTGCCTAGGCTGGTCTCAAACTCCTGACCAAAAGTAATCCTCCTGCCTAAGCCTCCCAAAGTGCTGGAATTACAAGTGCGAACCACTGGGTCAGCCTTTTTGTTGTGTCTTTTTCTGGTTTTGTTATCAGGGTAATATTGGCCTCTTAGAATGAATCTGAAAGCATTCCCTCCTCTTTGATTTTTTGGAATAGTTTGAATAGGACTGGTATTAGATTGTCTTTAAATGTTTGGTAGAATTCAGCAGTGAAGTTATCAGATCCTGGGCTTTCCTTTGACAGGAGACTTTTTTTATTATAGGCTTCAATCTTGTTACTTGTTACGGGTCTATTTGAGTTGTGGATTTCTTCATGGTTCAATCTTTGTAGGTTGTATGTGTCTAAGAATTTATCCATTTTTTATATGCTTCTCAATTTATTGGCATAGAGCTTATGCCTCTAGTGATCGTTGAATTTCTGCGGTTTATTTGTAATGTCTCCTGTTTCTCTCTGATTTTATTTATTTGGTTCTTCTCTCCTTTTTTTCTTAATCTGGCTAAAAGTTTGTAGATTTTGTTTTTCTTTTCAAAACTCCAACTTTTTTATCTTGTATATTATTTGTCTCAATTTTATTTATTTCTGCTTGATCTTTATTATTTCTTTTCTTCTAATTTTGGGTTTGGTTTGCTCTTACTTTTCTAGTTCTTTGACAGGGTTTCACTCTGTCACCCAGCCTGGAGTGCAGTGGCACAATCTCCGCTCACTGCAACCTCCGCCTCCCAGGCTCCAGCAATCCTCCCACCTCAGCCTCCCAAGTAGCTGAGACTACAGGTGTGCACCACCATGCTTGGCTATTTTTTGTAGAGATGGAGTTTCACCATGTTGCCCAGGCTGGTCTCAAACTCCTCAGCTCAAGTAATCCACCCGCCTTGGCCTCCCAAAGTTTTGGAATGACAGGCATGAGCCACCACACCCGGCCATGCTTTTCTAGCTTTTTAAGATGCATTGTTAGGTTGTTTAATTGAAGTTTTTCTACTTTTTTGATGTAAGCATTTATTCTAGTAAACTTTTATCTTAGCACTGCTTTTGTTGTATACCATAGGTTTCATTCTGTTGTGTTTTCATTTCCATTTCTTTCAATAAATTTTTAAATTTTCTTCTTAATTTCTTCATTGACCCAGTGGTTGTTCAGAGGCATGTTGTCAAATTTTCATGTGTTTCTATACTTTCTTTTCTTTCTTTCTTTCTTTCTTTTTTTTTTTTTTTTTTTTTTTTGAGATGGAGTCTCCCTCTGGTGCCCAGGCTGGAGTGCAGTGGGTCAATCTTGGGTCACTGCAACCTCTGCCTCCCAGGTTCAAGCGATTTTCCTGCCTCAGCCTCCTGAGTAGCTGGGATTACAGGCACATGTCACCATGTCCAGCTAATTTTTGTATTTTTAGTAGAGACGAGGTTTCACCATGTTGGCCAGGATGGTCTCAAACTCCTGACCTCAAGTGATGCACCCACCTCACACTCCCAAAGTGCTGGGATTATAGGTGTGAGTGCCCAGCCAGTATCTCCAGTTTCCAAAGTTCTACTTGTTATTGATTTTTAGTTGTATTCCATTGTGATCAGAAAAATTACTTGCTATTATTTGAATTTTTAAAACTTTGTTAAGATTTGTGGCATAACATATGGTCTGTCTCTGAAAATATTTCATGTGCTGAGGAGAATAATGTGTATTCTGCAGCTGTTGAATTAACTGTTCTGTAAATGTCTATTAGGTCCATTTGGTCTATCATGCAGATTAAGTCTGATAAGGGTTTTTGTTGTTGTTGTTGATGATTGTCTGTCTAGATTTTCTATGCAATGCTGAAAGTGGAGTGTCAAAGTCCCCAGCTGTTATTGTATTGGGAACTCTCTCTCTCTCTCTCTTTAATCCTAATAGTATTTGCTTTATCTATCTGGGTGTTCCAGCACTGGGTACATTAATGTTTACAATTATTATAACCTCTTGTTGAATTGACCCCTTTATCATCATATAATGACCGTCTTTGTCTCTTTTCACAGGTTTTGACTTAAAAATCTATTTTATCTGAAATACATATAGCTATTCCTGCTCTTTTTGGGGGTGTTTCATTTGCATGGAATGTCTTTTTCCATCCCTGCATTTTCAGTCTATGTGTGTCTTTATAGGTGAAGAGAGTTTCTTGTAGGCAGCATATAGTTGCGTCTTTTAAAAATTTGTTCAGCCACTCTATGTCTTTTGATTTGTAGAACTTAGTACATTGACATTCAATGTTATTATTGATAGGTAAGAACTTACTGCTGCCATTCTGTTCATTTTTTCTGGTTGTTTTGTTGGTCCTCTCTTCCTTTCTTACTTCCTTTCTGTCTTCCTTTGTAAGTGATTTTCCCTGGTAATATGTTTTAATTTCTTGTTTTTTTATTTCTTGTGTATCTATGATAGGTCTTTGCTTTGTGGTTATTATAAGGGTTGCTAGTAACAGCTTATAACTAGTTATTTTAAACTGATGAAAACTTAACACTGAGTAGAAAAAAGGAAAAAAAGCAAACAAGCAAAGAGAAAACTCAAAAAAAAAAAACTCTACAATGTTACTCCATCTTCCCTTGCCTCAATGGCTGTTTTTTGCCTTTTTTTGGGGGGAGGGTTTCTCTAATTATATCTTTTTATATCATCTATCTCTTAAGAAATTGTCGTTATTATTATAATTATTTTGAGGTCAAGTCTTACTCTGTCGCCCAGGCTGGAGTTCAGTGGTATGATCTCAGCTCACCGCAACCTCCGTCTCCTGGGTTCCAGTGATTCTAATGCCTCAGCCTTGTGAGTAGTGGGGATTACAGGTGTGCAACACCGTGCGTGGCTAATTTTTGTATTTTTAGTAGAGACAGAGTTTTGCCATGTTGGCCAGGCTCACCTCAAACTCCTGACCTCAAGTGACCCGCCCACCTCAGCCTCCTATGTTGTCATTATTATTATCATTATTATTATTATTATTTTCTTTTTTGAGATGGAGTCTTGCTGTCGCCCAGGCTGGAGGGCAGTGGCACGATCTCAGCTCACTCTAGGCTCCGCCTCCTGGGTTCACACCATTCTCCTGCCTCAGCCTCCCAAGTAGCTGGGACTACAGGTGCCCACCACCACGCCTGGCTAATTTTTTGTATTTTTAGTAGATATGGTTTTCACCGTATTAGCCAGGATGGTCTCGATCTCCTGACCTTGTGATCCGCCCACCTCAGCCCCCCAAAGTGCTGGGATTACAGGTGTGAGCCACCACACCTGGCCGTCATTATTATTTTTGATAGATTTGTCTTTTAGTCCTACTAACGATATGAGTGGTTTAAATAATGCAATTACAGTATTAGGCTATTCTGTATTTGTCTGTGTACTTAAGTTTACCAGTGTGTTTTATATCTTCAGTTGCTTTCTTGTTACTCATTAATGTCCTTTTCTTTCATATTGAAGAACTTCTTGTAAAACAGGTCTGGTATTGACAAAATCCCTTAGCTTTTGTTGTCTGAGAAAGTCTTTATTTCTTCTTATGTTGAAGGATAATTTTGCTGGGTATAATATTCTAGTCCAAAGTTTTTATTCCTTTAATACTTTGAATGTCATTCTATTTCCTCAGGCTGGTAAGGTTTCCACTGAGAAGTCTGCTGCCAAGTGTATTGGAGCTCCTTTTTATGTTATTTGCTTCTTTTCTCTTGCTGCTTTTAGGATCCTTTCTTTATCTTTGACCTTTGAGAGTTTGCTTATTGTATACTTTGAGGTAATTTTATTTGGCTTGAATATTCTAAGTGTTCTTGATCTTCATGTTCCTAGGTATTCATGTCTCTAAGTTTGGAAGGTTCTCTGTTATTATTTATTTGAATAAACTTTCTACCCCAGTCTCTCCATCTACCTCCTATTTAAGACCAATAGTTACTAGACTTGCCCTTTTGAGATTATTTTCTAGATCTTGTAATATTGCTTCCTTCTCTTTTACGTATTTTTGCTTTTTTCTCCTTGGACTGTGTGCTTTCATATAACCTGTCTTTGAATCTACTGATTCATTCTGCCACTTGATCAATTCTACTGTTGAGAGATTATGATTCATTTTTCAGATTGTCAATTGAGTTTCTAAGCCCCAGAATTTCTGCTAGATTCTCACTCTATTGCCCAGGCTGGCGTGCAATGGTGCAATCTCAGCTCACTTCAACCTCTGCCTCCCAGGTTCAGGTGATTCCCCTGTCTCAGCATTCTGAGTAGCTGGGACTACAGGCATGCACCACCACACCCAGCTAATTTTTTGTATTTTTAGTAGAGATAGGGTTTCTACTAAACCCCATGTTGGCCAGGCTGGTGTGGAACTCCTGACCTCAAGTAATCCACCCACCTTAGCCTCCCAAAGTGATGGGATTACAGGCGTGCACCACTGTGCCTGGCCTCTGCTTGATTTTTAAATGTTAATTCTTCATTAAATTAATCTGATAGAATTCTGAATTCCTACTCTGTGTTATCTTGAAGTTGTTGGGCTTCCTCAAGATGGGTATTTTGAATTCTCTGTCTGAGAGATCATATCTTTAATCACTCCAGAATTGGTCACTGGTGCCTTATTTAGTCCATTTGGTGAGATCATGTTTTCCTGGATGCTCTTGATTCTTGTGGATGTTCAATGATATCTGAGCATTCAAGAGTTAGGTATTTATTTCAGTCTTTGTAGTCTGGACTTGTTTGTATCCATCCTTTTTGAGAAGGCTTTCAGTAATTGAAATGGGATTGAGTGTTGTTACATAAGCCTGTGGTCATTGTTAGCTGTTTTAGCACTGTGAGTGCCCTAAGTCCAGGAATGCTGCAACTCTTGTAGACTCATAGACATGTGACCTTGGTGGCTTTGGGAAAGATAAGAGAGAATTTCCTGGGTTACCAGGCAAAATTCGTCACTCTCTTCCCTCTCTTTCCCCTAATCAGGAGTCTCTCACTACACTGAGCTACCTGGAGTTGAAGGAGGGGTGATGTAGGCACTCCCATGGCCACCATAGCTGGCTCCATGTTGAATGGCACTTGAAGCCCACAGCTTTCCAGAACAGCACAGTACTGAGGCTCATCCAAAGCCCATGGCCACTACAACCTGGCTGCCACTGATGTTTATTCAAGATGAAGGCTACTTTAGTCAGCTGGTGGTTAAGCCAGCTGGGACTCAGTTTCCTCCCGCTGGTATGAGGGATTCCTCTCTGACCTAGGGCTGGTCCAAATACTCCCTCCTTGGGCACCAGCAGAATTTTGCCCTGTGTTATGGGCCACTGTGACAGGGCAGCACTGATTTCCAATGCAAAGTCCTACACTCACTTCACTTTCCTTCCCCCAAGAACATAGATTCTCTCTTTGTATTGCACTGCCTGGGGTTAGGAAAAGGATGCTGTAGGCAATGTGAAACTGTCCTTCCTACCCTCTTCCAGGCCTCTGTCATTATTATGTTAAAACCAGGTACTGTAATTACTCATCTGATTTTTTCATTCTTATGAAGGTACTTTCTTGAGTGGATCATTGTTCATTTTGATGTTCCTGTAGGGGGACCATCACTGGAAGGTTCTATTTGGCCATCTTGCTCCACCTCCTCTCTTCTATTGATTTCATTAATGTCCTAAAAAATCAATTTTCTCTCTTTTTCTGTGTTATATATCATTGGCTTCTGCTTTTATGTTTATTGTCTCCCTACCCCCTTACTTTAGAGCTGACAGCTTTTTAGAAACTTTTAGTAGTTTAAAGGTCAGTGTTCCATTGCCCTCTGTCTTCCATTGTTTATGATAAGAAGTTTGTTTCATTCTTTTTTTTTTTTTTTTTTTTTTTTTCTGAGACGGAGTCTGTCTCTGTTGCCCAAGCTGTAGTGCAATGGTGCAATCTTGGCTCACTGCAACCTCAGCCTCCCGGATTCAAGCGATTCTCCTGCCTCAGCCTCCTGAGTAGCTGGGACTATAGGTCCCAGCCAATTTCTGTGTGTGTGTGTGTGTGTGTGTGTGTGTGTGCGCATGTGTGTATGTGTGTGTGTGTGTATGTGTGTATGTGTGTATGTGTTTTAGTAGAGATGGGGTTTCACCATGTTGGCCAGGCTCGTCTGAAACTCCTGACCTCAGGTGATCTGCCTGCCTTGGCCTCCCAAAGTGCTGGGATTACAGGCGTGAGCCACCATGCCCAGCCCTTATTCTTATTTTTTATTCCCTGTAAATTTTCCTTTTTTTTCCTAGTTCCTTTTGTCTCTTTATAGCTGGTTAAGTAATTTTTTTTTTTTTATTTTGCATTGTAGAGATGGGGTCTCACCACCTGCCCACGCTGGTCTTCAACTCCTGGCCTCAAGTGATCCTCCTGCCTTGGCCTTCCAAAGTGCTGAGACTATAGGCATAAGCCACAGATCCCAGCCTAAGTAATTTGATTATGATGTGCATGGTGTAGTTTTCTTTGCATTTCTTGCGATTTTTGGATATGTATGTTCATGGATTTCATTATTTGGGGATGTTTTGCCTTAATTTCTTCAAATATTTTTGTATGCCCCTGCCTCCTTTGGAGTTTTCAATTAAATTTATATTAAGCCCCTTTAAATTGTCCCATGCACATCACTGATTCTCTGTTTTCTACTCTTTTCTTCCCTCTGTGTCATTTCTCATTTTAGGTAATTTCTAATCCTGTGTCTTCAAGCTCACTAATCTTTTATTCTGCCATTTATTGCCCATAATAAATATTAATTTCAGGCCATGCATTTTTTATTTCTAAACATTCAACTTATTTCTGACTAAGGACTTGTATCCAGAATATATAAAGAACTTCTATCACTCAATAATAAAAAACAACCCAATTAAAAAAGGTAAATGTCTTTAATAGATACTTCAGAAAAGGAGATAGAGAAATAGGCCAAAAAAACCATGTGAAAACGTGCTCAACATCATTAGTCATCAGGAAAATGCAAATTAAAACCACAATCAAATACTACTATACTATCATTCAAATGGCTAAAATTTCAGAGACTGATACTACAGCGTGTTGGACAGAATTCAGAGCATACAAAAACTCTGCTGGTGGGAATGCAAAGGGATAAAATCTTTTTCCAAAACAGGTTGGCAAGTTCTTTTTTTTTTAAATAGAGACAGAGTCTCACTTTGTCACCCAGGCTAGAGTGCAGTAGTGCAATCATAGCTCACTATAACCTCAAACTCTTGGGCTCAAGTGATCGCCCTGCCTCAGCGTCCTAAGTAGCTAGGACTAGAGGTATGCACCATCATGCCCAGCTAATTAAAACTATTTATTTATTTATTTATTTTTTGTAGAGACAGGGTCTCACTATGTTGCCCAGGCTGGTTTCAAACTCCTGGCCTCAAGCAATCCTCTCAACTTGCCTTCCCAAAAGTACTGGGATTACTGGTGTGAGCCACCATGCCCAGCTGGCAATTTCTTATAAATCAAATATATATTTACCAAACAGCCTAGAAATTGCACTCCTAGGTTGTTACCGGGAAAAAAAATGAAAGCATATGTCCATATAAAAGCTTATGTAGGAATGCCCCTAGCAGCTTTATTTATAACAATAAAAAATTTAAAGCTATCCAAATGTCTGTGAAAAGGTTAATAAATTGAGTTATATCTTTACAATGTACTACTTCTCAGAGGGAAAAAAGAATAATTATTATTGCTCATCAACATGGATGAATCTCCAAAACATTATGCTGAGAGAAGCCAGATCCCTAAATATACCTGTGTTACTATTCAACTTGTATGAAAAAGACATCTAGGCCGGGCATGGTGGCTCATGACTGTAATCCCAGCACTTTGGGAGGCCGAGGCAGGTGGATTACGAGGTCAGGAGTTCAAGACCAGCTTGGCCAAGATGGTGAGACCCTGTCTCTACTAAAAATACAAAAATTAGCTGGGCACAGTGGCAGGCGCCTGTAATCTCAGCTACTTGGGAGGCCGAGGCAGGAGAATCGCTTGAACCCGGGTGGCAGAGGTTGCAGTGAGCTGAGATCGCACCACTGCACTCCAGCCAGGGCGACAGAGTGAGATTCCATCCCAAAAAAAAAAAAAAAAAAAGACATCTAAAGCAGATCAATGCTTGTCTGGGACCATATTTCTTTTTTTTTCTTTCCTTCCTTTCTTTTTCTTTTTTTTCCCAGTGGGTGGTGAGGTTGAAGTGGGCCATGATGGACTGGAGAAAGCACAGGGAACCTTCTCAAGTGGTAGAAATATGACATACCTGGATTGTAGTGATGGTTACATTGGCACATACTTATGTCAAATCTCATTAAACTCTAAAATATAATAAGTGGATTTCATAGTATATAAAGTATGCTTTAATAAAGTTGATTTAAAAATCTATTCTGCTGTCAGTCATGTTACACATAGGGGTTAGGGACTTCTAGCCAGAACATATAGGAGAGAGCCTTTCACCCTTATAGGTGGTATAGCTAGCCCTGTTCACTCTTTGGCTTTCAGGGAACACTGGGGAGTAGCTCCAGCCAGTTACTGTCAGTTGCCAGAGAGATACTAGAAGCCAGCCTCTGAAAGACCGAAAAAAAGCAAACAACAACAACAAAAAAACCCTTAGGTCTCTCACCTGAATGGGCAGTGGTGGTTAGATGCTTCCACACAGACACCTTTCAGTCTCACCAGCGTGTCACTCCGACCAGAGACCTGCAATTGCCTCTGTGCTTAGACTTTGTCCGCTAAGGGTCCTGAGTTGGGAAATGAAAAGAGAGAGGGGAGAGAGTTTCCCAATAGGAGAGAGAGTCCCCGTATGGGCCACCCAAGTGTCACCGGGGAGCAACGACTATCTGGGCTGGTGGCGTGGAGGTAAAAGAAACTACCAAGACAGCTGTAGGTAGAGAAAGGCAGATGTATTAAAGAAAGTAGGAAAATACATTGTGATAAGGCAATGGGCAGCCTGCAAGAGAGAAGCTAACTGCCAGGAAACAAATGCTTGCTGAGGATTTTATAGAATGGAACTTGGGAACTAACTTGCAAACTTGCACTCTTCTGTCAGCCAGGATGTTTGATAAATTGAGGCATTTGATGCTAAGCAGAAATTTGAGAGTTATGTATGTTGTTTGTTCAGGAGGTCTGTATGTCCTGGGCAATAAGGAAAAACAGACCTATAATTCTTCTGCTTTCTCTTTTTGTTTATATGTCCTGAACCGTGAAGAAAAGCATATTTACAGCTTATCTGCTTTATCTCTTTGCTTTGATTTGGTCCCACCAGCCTGACTCCTTTTCCCTAATTAAGACTCCACATTTGGGAGGCCAAGATAAGAGGATCGCTTGAGCCCAGGAGTTGGAGACCAGCCTGGGTAACATGGTAAAACCCATCTCTACAAAAATACGCACACACACAAAATTAGCTGGGCATGGTGGCATGCACTTGTAGAATCTCAGCTACTTGGGAGGCTGAGGCAGGAGGATTGCCTGAGCCTGGAAGGTTGAGGCTGCAGTGAGCGGTGATCACATTTCTGGACTCCAGCCTGGGCGACGAAATGAGACCCTGTCTCAAAAACAACAAAAGCCACAACAACCCACAAAAAACAGAGAGTGTGAGGAGAAGGGACTCCTAGGTACGCATATGCAAGCCCAGATCTACAGAGAGACAAGGAACTGGCCCAGTGTATTAGTCAGTTTTCACTCTGCTATAAAGTCGCCACACGAGACTGAGTAATTTATAAAGGAAAGAGGTTTAATTGACTCAGTTCTGCATGGCTGGGGAGGCCTTAGGAAACTTACTATCATGGCGGAAGGGGAAGCAGGCACATCTTACATGGCAACAGGCCTGGGGGACACCACTCCCACAATCCAATCACCTCTCACCAGGCCCTCCCTCAACACATGGGGACTATGGGGATTACAATTTGAGATGGAATTAAATTATCCAGTCTCAGCCAAACCATATCACCCAGTGAACAGTGAGCGGGGTGGGGACAGAGGGCCAGGGGGAAAGAGCCGCTGAGCTGCAGCCAGAGTGATGCAGCAGGAAATGGTGCTGAGGTGAGGCTGGGGGCCAGGCCAGAGCAGCTGGGTGTGCACTGTGCGTTTCACAGATGCCTGGAGGGAAAAGGCGGGGCCTGGGGGAATGTGGAGCAACAATGACTCTCATCCACTGCTGGGGGAATGCAAAATGATACAGCATCTGGAAGAAAGTTTGGCAGTTTCTTACAAAGCTAAGTATACGCCTACCATGGAACCCGAAAGCACTCATAGATATTTACCCAACTGATTTGAAAAGTATGTCCACATAAAACCTGCATGCAACATTCACTGCTTTGTTCCTAGTCATTAAAAACGGGAAGCAGCCAAAATGATCAACAGGGGAATGGACAAACTGTGGTATATCCATAAAACAGAATTCAATTTAGTGATAAAAGGAACAAGCTATTGATCATGCAGTAACATGAATGAATCTTCTTTTTGAGATGGAGTCTTGCTCTGTTGCCCATGCTGGAGTGCAATGGTGCGATCTCAGCTCACTGCAACCTCTTCCTCCCGGGTTCAGTTGATTCTCCTGCCTCAGCCTCCTGAGTAGCTGGGATGACAGGCATGTGCCACCAAGCCCAGCTAATTTTTGTATTTTTAGTCGAGACGGGGTTTCCCTGTGTTGGTCAGGCTGGTCTTGAACTCCTGACCTCAGGTGATACACCCACCTCGACCTCCCAAAGTGCTGGGATTACAGGCGTGAGCCACTGCACCCAGCCACATGGATGAATTTTAGATGCATTTTGCTAAGTGAAAGAAGCCAGACGCAAAAGGCACACGTGATATGATTCCATTCATAGAACATTTTGGACAATGCTGAACCATAGGGATGGAGAACAGATCCGTGGTTGCCAGGAGCTGATGGAGTGGGGAGAGGTTGGCTCCAAAGGGGATGCATGGGAGACCTTGCGGATGTAGGAACTGCTCCTTTTGTTGCTGGAGTGGTGGATGGGAGACTCTACACATTGGCTCAGATCCATGGAACTGCACAGCCCTGAGACTGAACTTTCGTGTGTGCAAACTAAAAAAATCAACCAGGATGGAAATAAAAACTCATCAAACGTATACATGGGATACTTACATTTCATTGTATGTAGATTTTACCCTAATAATGTAGAAACTGAGGTGCCCTGAAGATCTCACTACTTACTTGGCAGACAATCTTAAAAGGGCCTCAGTTGCATTGTCAGGGTTTGCTACAAAATTAAACAGCATTAGCACAAAACAAACACAACATTCTTTTGTCTCTTTTCTAGGCAGCAGGCTTTATTTTGTGTGCTTTGGGCTTATTCTGTCAGGAGAAGGGTGCCTAGTGTCAAATCCTGCAAGGCCTGAGATGGGGGCCTCTCAGGTGACCTTAGGCCTCCCAGGTGACCTCAGATCTCTCAGGTGAGGTCTATCCTCCCAGGTGACCTCTGCCCTGCCAGGTGAGGTTCTAGCGCAGTGACTTTGACTCTTGCAGGACATGGGCTACTGCCAGGGTGTGAGCCAGGTCGCTGTTGTCCTGCTGATGTTCCCCAAGGAGAAAGAGGCCTTCTTGGCACTAGCTCAGCTGCTGACCAGCAAAAACCTGCCAGACACTGTAGATGGACAGCTGCCTATGGGGCCTCACAGCCGGGCCAGGTGATGGCTACACTGGCCCAGTGACGGCAACCTACAGCCATAGCGCCTTCTGTCCCTGCCTCATTCGGTGGGCTAGGCAGCGCACCATAGGTCCTCCCAGACACCTGGCTCTGTAGTGGAAAGAAGGATTGACAGGCTCCCCGCAGCTTTCACCCTCTCCTTTGTTCTGGAACCTGCCGCTGCCTAAGGAATTCTTTGGCAAAAGACTGCTTCCTGGGTCTCAGGGGTCGGACATGGGGAGGGTCAGGGCGGGGTCAGGGGCTGTCTTGGGAGGGGGTTAGGGACGGGTTCAGCGCCTGTCTGGGGCTGGGGTCAGGGCGAGGTCAGGACCTGTTTCCCAGGAGTCAGGGCCAGGAGTCACCGCCTGTTTCGGGGGTCAGGGTCAGCTCCAGTTCCCCTTCCTTCTGTCCTCGTGTCAGGCGATGATGGGTGTGGGGTCAACGCGGACCAGAGCCCAGCCGGGGCCCCTGCTCTGGTCTCTGCTGCCGCTGCTGCTCCTGAGCCCAGAGGCCGCCCCTGCCCCACAGTCCCGCGCCGCCAGCCCCTCGCAGGCTCCGGGGGAGGCCAGAGAGAGCTTGGGGGCGCAGCAGGGCCGGGAGCCCGCAGCCAGAGCCCAAGGTCCGTTTGAAGCAGAGGGTGTGGGGCCGAGCCGGCCTCGGAGGCAGAGGGCAGGGGGCAGGGGGCATTTGAGGGGGCCACTGGGCCACGGGGGCAGGGGGTCGAGGGCTCGGCAAGACCAGATGAGGTAAGGAGTGTCCGGGAGAGGCAGGCGTCTGCGGAGAGATGGGGGAACTGCAGGCTAGAGGCGGTGGGGAGAAGGCCGGGGCTCTGGGCCTGGTGCCAGGGCCGGAAGTCACCCGAATCCGTTGTCTCTCTCTCCTTCCCTCCCAGCCAGGTGGCTCCAGAGACGACATCAAGCAAGGTGGGTCAGGCTTCCCGCTCTTGGTCCCAGGACTGGGTGTGGGGCCCACGAAACTGGACGGGGTGCCAGGGCCTGGTGCCTGGTGCCGGGGCTGGGTGGAGGGAGACAGCACCGGGACTGCTGCTGGGCCCCGGGAGTGGGGTGGGCCCTGGGGTCTCATGTCCCCTTGTTGAGGCCTGGAAGCGTAGGCCAGGGATCAGGACACTGCCCCTCAGGGGTCCAGGCCCGCAGCTCCCCCTCCCAGCTGTGAGTCTCAGAACCAAGGCTGTCCACATCAGCCCCACCCCCTCTCACCTTCTAAAAATAGAAGATCAAGAATCAGAGAGAGGGAGCAAGTTTCCCCAAGTCACACAGCACAACAGACTCCTGCCTGAGAATCTCTCTCCCTGGGATACTGGAGTGAGGTGCGGGGGTGGGCACAGCCACTTGGACACCCCCGAGACCTTCAGTTCTTTGATCTGCAAAGTAGGCATGCAGGTGTTCTGATGGAGGGAAGTAAAGTCCCAGGGCTGGATTCCAGTCCACCAGTCCTTGGCAGGTCCGGATGAGCTGCTGTGGCCACCCTGGGTCAGCCTTGCCCTGCCTGCCAGACCCCTGGTCCCTCATTCCCACAGAGCCTGCTCAATTGTACTCTGTCATCTGGTCCTGCTAGTGGCCATAGAAGGCAGATGCTGGAGTAGCCCTCAGTCATTTTGGCCAGGTCACCTATTCTTTGGCCTTGGTTTTCCCATCTGTGAAGAGAGCAGAGGCCTCACTGGGGTGGCATTCATGGGCACCACTAGTGTCTCTAACAGGTGGACCGGGGTGTCTCCACAGTGTGTGGGAAGCCTAAGGTGGTGGGGAAGATCTATGGTGGCCGGGACGCAGCAGCTGGCCAGTGGCCATGGCAGGCCAGCCTGCTCTACTGGGGCTCGCACCTCTGTGGAGCTGTCCTCATCGACTCCTGCTGGCTGGTATCAACTACCCACTGCTTTCTCAAGTGAGTCCTCCCTCCCTGGGCCCCAGCAGAGGGGCTGATGGGGAGGAAGATGCAAGGGACGAGGGTTAGGGGGCTGGGGGGGTTATGTCTTTCTCCTCTGGGCTTTGCTCTGGGGAAGTCTGCTGCCACCAAACTGATGCAGTGCCTGCCGTTGACCCGTAGTCCCCTCCACCAGGACTGTCCTCCCCACTCTCCACCCACTGTCCCTCCATCTGCCCAGAACCTCCTCATCCTTCATCCTCAGCTCTGGCAGGGAGTTCCCTGGCCCCTGTGTCTGTCTGCTCAACCCAGACATGCGTGAGAGCATTGGCAGTGTCTGTGCTGGCCACCTGCAGGGCTTCTCTTCAGTGTGCACCATGCTCCTGTGAGTCAGACTCCAGGCAGGGACTGGGGACTCTGCAGGTAGCCAGCAGCCAGGCGATGCTTTTTTTCTGTAAAACTGTATGCCTGGAAGGAGCTGTGCCAGGCTGCATGTATTGGTGGGAAGAGTGGGGCCCCCTGACCCTGGAGAATGACATGGACAGTCAGGGGTGCTACTCCTCTGGCCCTCCTGAGCCTGACTCAGTGCCCAGCTTCTGAACAGTCATGGAGGGACCCAGAGGGAGAGGAAGGCATCACAGTCCAGGTATGGAGTCAGCTTGGGCACCTAGTGGCTTTGAGACTCCAACTATTGGGCACCGTGAGCATCTCCTGGGTGTCACACCACCCAAGACCCTCTATGGCACAGAGTGTGGCAAGACCCCAAGTGAAGGTGTCTCTATGGGAAGGCGAGGCACAAGCTCCAACAAGCAGGATGCAGGAGAGAAAGCCCAGAGTGAGTGAGAAGAGCTGACCCGAGGCAGGGTCATCCAGAGAGATGCTGTAGTCTTGAGGGAGGATGAGGAGCTGCAGGGGATTGCCAGAGGGGAGGCTTTGGTATGGGGAGTGTGGCGAGGGGTTTCCTGGCAGCTGACCCATGTGAACAAAGTCACAAAGGTCAGAAGTTTCATTACTTGTGTTCAGGAACAAGAAGAGCATCAGTTTCATGCACTCATCTGGGCATTGAACAAATCCTTTATGAGTGCTTACAACAGTGGGGAAGACACCCTTGGGGAGAGCAGGAAAGGTGGTTAGGCCAGGAAGCAGGTCATAGGTAGCCTTCGGAAGGATCAGGCTGGAGCCAGAATTAAGCCAGAGCTCCTCTTGTGTAAAATAAAAGGGCTGGATTTGATGACTCTGTCAAGGACTTTCCTGGCACTAGGATTCTCTGCTCCTCTGATTCAAGGGTGTGCTGGGGAAGCCATATGTCCTGAGGTTGTGAGTAGAATAGCCATTAGCCTCAAAAAAAAAAAAAGAGCTCCTGACTGTCAGAAAGGGGGATACAAAGCTGCCTAGAATCATGTCAGGGGAGAAGGACCCAGAGGTGTGTGGGCAGTTACAAGTGGATGTAAAAAGAGAGTGCTGCCCCGCACTCTCAGAGAATGGTAAAAATGGGCCCTTCCTCCTCCAGCAAATCCCAGGCCCCGAAGAACTATCAGGTTCTGTTGGGAAACATCCAACTGTATCATCAAACCCAGCACACCCAGAAGATGTCTGTGCACCGGATCATCACCCATCCAGACTTTGAGAAGCTCCACCCCTTTGGGAGTGACATTGCCATGTTGCAGCTGCACCTGCCTATGAACTTCACTTCCTACATTGTCCCTGTCTGCCTCCCATCCCGGGACATGCAGCTGCCCAGTAACGTGTCCTGTTGGATAACCGGCTGGGGAATGCTCACCGAAGACCATAAGAGGGGTGTGGGAGAGGCGGGAGGATGAGGGAGGGGAAGGAGAGGGAGGCAGAGGGGAAGAAGGAAGGATGGCTTAGCCAGGCAAAGAGGAAGCCACTGGACTTGGCCCTCTGTGCCTCATTTCCATGACCGGTAAGGTGAGGACCACCACGCTGGGGCCTTTCTACTTCTGAAAGTTTGTGATCCCATAGCTTTAGAGTTCCCTGAGTCCCAGGCTCTGAAAGTCTGGGAATCTTTAACTTTTGAGAATCCAGAATCTGGGTTCTTTGAGTCTTCATGGTTCTTCTTTTTAATGTTTTATTTATTTATTCATTTATTTATTTACTTATTTATTTTTTGAGACGGAGTCTCACTCTGTCACCTAGGCTAGAGTACAGTGGCATGATCTCGGCTCACTGCAACCTCCGCCTCCCAGGTTCAAGCAATTCTCCTGCCTTAGCCTCTCAAGTAGCTGGCATTACAGGCATGCACCACCATGCCCGGCTAATTTTGTATCTTTAGTAGAGACAGGGTTTCTCCATGTAGGTCAGGCTGGTCTTGAACTCCTGACCTCAGGTGATCTGCCTGCCTTGGCTTCCCAAAGTGCTGGGATGACAGGCGTGAGCCACTATTTTAAGGTTTTAGTCAGCCATGGGACTAAGATGACTCGATTGAACTCCAAAGACATGCTTGGGGGCTGGCCCATTCTAGGTCACCACCAAACACTTGGATCGTCCCTTGCTTGGGAAGGTGCTTGGGAAGAGTGGAGAGAAAACACATGGTGGCTCTGCAGTCTGAGGCTGCATGATCCAGTTAGAATGATTGCGACGTAGAACTCTTGACCTTCTCTGAACCTCATGTTGCTCTTATCCTAACCTGGGTCATTCATCTACTTCACAGTCTTGTTACGTGACTGAATAACAGAGGAGAGAGTTGTGTGTGTTTTCATCGTTAGATGAGTAGGAAAGAAATGTAAGCAAAGATTTATACACAAGAGTGTTTATTGAAGAAAGGAGTGTTTACAGTTTAGGGAAATGCTTATGGTATGATGTTAAGGGAAAAAGGAAGAACATATATTTAATTATGTGTAGGGTTAGCATTTCTCAACAGAGGTGCTGTACGTATTTTTGATAGAATATGTCTTCACTGAGTGGGGCTCTGCTAGCATCCATGGCCTTTGACTGCCAGATGGAGGGGATTCTCCCTGATCATCTGCTGGCTGGTCCCCAGCATTCACACATACATCTGGTTATACCTTGAGGGTAGAGGCAACATATACTTGTTTTAATATCCCAAACGGTGCTCCTGGGCTGGTACCACCGTGCTGCATGACACTGATAGACCACCATTTCTTGCCTGTAGCTTCGGAACTGGTCACCCAGCTTCCATTCTTCTGTGCCCCCACTGTAGGCTCCATGTGGGTGTCGGAGTGTTACTTTAAATATTAGTCATGTCACTTCCCGGTTCAGTATTCTACAGTAACTTCTCATTTGTGCAAAATGAAATCCAGACACATGGCCAGGCGTGGTGGCTCATGCCTGCAATTCCAGCACCCTTCCCATCCCCCACCTCCCACCGCGCCCTTCCCATCCCCCACCTCCCACCACACCCTTCACATCCCCCATCTCCCACAGCACCCTTCACATCCCCCACCTCCCACCGCACCCTTCACATCCCCCACCTCCCACCGCACCCTTCACATCCCCCACCTCCCACCGCACCCTTCACATCCCCCACCTCCCACCACACCCTTCACATCCCCCACCTCCCACCGCACCCTTCACATCCCCCATCTCCTGCTCCAGTCATGACACATCCCACCTTCCAATGCACCCTTTCCATTCTTCATATTTCACTGCAGCCATTACATACCCCATCTTTTACTGCAGCCTTCACATACCCCACCCCATCCTCTTGGGCCTCCTGGGTACTCTTTGAACATCTCAAGGCTATTTCTATCTCGGGGCCTTTAGCTGCTGTTTTTTTTTTTTCTTAGCTTGCTTGTCATTCTCATCTTTGCAGGAGTCACTTCTTTACATTTACTATTCAGTTTTTTTTCTTGGTTTTACTTAATCATGTGAGCTAAAATAGGCAACCCCCTCTATCACATCTTCCTGTTTTATTTTCTTCATATCACTTAATCTAAAATATTTTTTAATTTATTATTTCATATAATCTGTCACTTTCTACTAAAAATTATCTATATCATTAGCATGTAAAAGACAGCACCAGGATAGCTGAATAGATGAGTGAATAGATCAGTGATTGTGTTAGTGAATGGATGGATGGATGGATGGATGGATGGATGGATGGATGGATGAATGGATAAATGGATGGATAATGGATGGCTAGAATGATGGGTGACTGCATGGATGGAAGGATAAGTGGAGGGATGAGTGGATGGATGGATGGATTGATGGATGATATTTGAGTTGGTAGATGGATGTTTGGATAGATGTGTAGATAGAAGGATTGGTGAGGGGTGGACAGATGGAGTGGGTGGATGTGTCAGTGGGTGGATGTGTCAGTAGGTGGAGAGGAGGATAGGTGGGTGAGAGATGGAGGGCTCGATGGAGAGATGGCTGCAAGGATGGATGGATGGGCAAATATCTGGAAAGTGAGTGGATGAATGGGTAGGTGTGGGAAGATAGGTAGATGGAGGAATGGGTGAGTGAGTGGATGGGATGATGGGTGGAGAAGAAAGGTTAGTGATAGATGGAGGGAGAATGGATGGGATGGTTCATGAAAGAGTAAGTTGGTCAGTGAATAGTTGCTAAGTTCCAATAAATGAGTCATGTGTTGGTGGGATTTGCCTCTTGTAGAATAAGAGAGGTGTGATCTATTGCTATGAGAGAGGTAGAGGGAATAGGATGACTATGTGCAAAGGTTTGAGAAAAAGAAGAGAAGCTTATCAAGGATGGGTAGTAGAGTGAAGCAGCAGTTAAAGCTCAGCAGTTCTGAGAAAACCTATGTTTGGGGGGTTGTGGTTAGCAGTCAGACAGAGTAGGGGCTCAGAGTAGCCTGAACTTTCTTAGTTAACCTACAGGACATGTCATTGATCTCCCCCTTATCTATTCAGTGCAACTGTCACCACCCTTCTATCTCCAGGAGGGCAAGGTGGGCCTCATTGAGAACACACTCTGTAATACCTTATATGGGCAAAGAACTGGCAAAGGCGAGACCTAAGCTTTGCACGAGGAGATGCTGTGTGGGGGGGGACTTCTCGACAGGAAAGTCCATCTGCAAAGTGAGTACGGTCATTTCCTCTCTTCCTTTGCATATTCTCTTGGCCTCAGTTTCCCTTGGGACGGGTCTCTGTGTTGCCTCTGCTTTCTTTGTGGTGTCCCTTGGAATTCCTGTTTCCTCTCCTCTGAGTGTCCTCCCTGGGCTCCATCCCTCAGAAGTCTCCCCTAGACTAGCCCCTTCCCCAGCGCATCTCAGCAGGAACATCTGCTGGAAGGATCTTCAAACAGCATTTTTTAATATATTTTAAACTTTTTATTAAAGCATAATATATATACACAAGAGTACATAATTAATAAGTATATAGTTTGGTGAACTTTCCCACACTGATACAACATGTTACCAGCACCCGAGAAGCACCCATGTGCCTCCTTCTTATCACTAACGCCCAAGGGTAACAAACACCTTCACTTTTAACACCGTAGATTCTGAAATTCCTGTAAGTGGAATTTACAGTCAGCACTCTCTTGTGTCCTAACAGTGTATTTCTGAGATTTGTCCATACTATTACACGTTGTTATGGTGTGTTCTTCTCACTGCTCGACAGCGCGCTATTGTGTGAGTTGAATTCTACATTGGATAAGTATTTGAGTAGGTTCCAAGTTGGAGGTATTATAAGTAGCTGTGCTATGTACATGTTTGTATTTGTCTTTGGGACACAGATGAATATATTTTATTGCATAGAATCCTATGAGTAGAATTGCTAGATAAAAAGATGTGTCTGTGTGTTCAGCTTTGGCAGAGGATAGCAAACCGCCTTCCCTCTAGCAGAGGATGAGAGCTTCTTTTCTCACCAACTTTTATTCCTTTCCATCTTTTCTGATTTTGGCCATTTTGGTGAGTGTGTAGTTTTTGGCTTAAAATTTTTTGTATGTTTATTATTATTGGATATCTTTATGAAGTTTCCCTTCAAGTTCTTTTTCTCCTCTCATTTTTCTGTTGGGTTGTCTGTCTTTTTCTTCTAGGAGCTCTTTATGTATTCCGGACATAAGTTCACAGTAAGATACATGGTGTGAAAATCCTTTTCAACCTTCTGTAATGTTCCATCTTATAGGTGGGGAAATTGAGGCCCAGAGAGGAAAAGTGGCTAGCCTAAGTGAGGCAGTACAACCTGGGCCCAGGTGTTGCGACTCCAAGGCCAACCCTGCCTCCACAACCTCTCCCACAGGTGGTAGCCTCTTAAGCTGACATCTGTGGGCCGAGCTTTTGCATAGACACCACTGTAGGGCAGAGAGGAAAGTGCTGGGACCCTGGAATGAGAGACATTGCTCCACCACATGTGCCTGCCCTGTGACCTGGGATGTTCTCTTCACCTCCTGAGCCTGGGTCCTCATCAGCTGCGTGAGGATTCCAAGGCCTCCTCCATGAGGTGGTTGGAAGGATGGCGTCCACTTGGAACCTCAGAGTGTGACCTTATTCGGAAGTAGGATCTTTACAGATGTAATTAGTTAAGAATCTCAAGATGAACCCATCCTAGATTTAGGGTGGGCCCTAAATTCAATGACTGGTGTCCTTAAAAGAGGGGGAGAGGCCATAGAGACACACATGGAGAAGATGGCCATGTGCAGAAAGACATGGAGAGGAGAGGGATGCCGCCACAAGCCAAGGAATGCCTGTGCCGCCAGAAGCTGGAACAGCCAAGGGAGGGTCTTCCCCTAGAGCCTTTGGAGGTAGTGTGTCCCTGGAAGCACACTGATTTCAGTTTTGTGGCCTCTAGAACTGTGAGAGAATACATTTCTGTTGCTTCTAAGCCACCAAGGTGGTGGCAGTGTGTTATGGCAAGCCCTTGGAAATGGATATGTTTGGCAAAGACCACAATGCTAGCAAAATGATAGATTGAAAACTAGAACCAGGTCTTTCCTTCCCCCTAGTCTGAGCCCTGAGTCCCCCTGGCCCGTGGGAAGGGCTCATTGGCAGCACTGTTTTCAATATTGCCCGGCAAGCTAACTGAGTAGTGGGAGGGAGCTCAGCCCACCTGCCTGCCCAGCGGGAGCCAGCCCCAGGCTTCTTGGTTTCCTGTCCACGTCCACATACTTCATTGTTCCTCCTTTCTGGCTGTGGCCTGGCCCCTTCTCCTCACAGAGTCATCTGTACCCCAGGGGGAGCAGGGAGCCTGCCCAATGCCCAGCCCTGGTGGGGCTCAGCCAACAAGTCCTTAGTCCAGCTCCCTTCCAGCCTTGTTCCCCACCAGCCTCTCTTGCAAAGGTCATGCCCCTGGAGCCTCAGGGCCAGCACACTTTGCCTACCTGCTGGACATTCCACAGTGCCCTCAGCCCTGCCCCTCCTCTAGTTCCTTGCCCAGGCCAAGGACACCACTGAGGTGGACATCTCCTGAGCCTTTCAGCCACCACTGCCTGTCTGTGAGATTCCATCTGGATTCATCTCCTGCTGAGCCATCTGCTGTGGTCCCCGCCTCCACCCTGTGGCTCTCTTCTCTTCCCTGCATGGAGCACGCAAAAACAGCTTTGAGGAGAGAGAGAGCTGCAGGGTGACTCAGCGCTCAGACTGCGAGCAGGACACAGCTGGTTGCAGTCTTCACTCTGTCACTTGCATGTGCTGTGACCTTAGCTAAGTTTTCTCACCCGTGCAGTGGGCTTGCTAACAGCCTCCACTTCATAAGGTTCCTGTAGAAATGTAGCACCATGCCTGGCATTTAGCAGGTGCTTAATAAGTGTTGGCTTCCATGTTCCTGGCCTTGTCTGTTTTCCTCTATCTGAGTTGTACTCATTCTTCTGGGCCTATCTCGGACCTGCCCTTTCACCCAATGTGGAATTCACCACCAGGCCCACCAGTTACACGTGGCTTCCTCTGTCTCCACAGTAGTGCAAACCACAGCCTAGTTTGCATGGGGTACATTAATGTTGGGACTTCCTCTGCGTACTCGGAGCTCCCAAGGGTCAGGGCCAGGAGACCCTTGGAGTCCTTCCCGTCTCTCCCAGACTGGCCCAGAATCAAGCGTGATGTTGGCAAGCAGGTGGTTCATCTGCATGGATCACTGAGGCCTGGAGTAGTCAGGGACCATTGCCCGGAGGACCAGGCCTCCTCTTGCCCTCAAACAAGCTGGGTGGGCACTCCGAGTAGGGAAGCACTGAGGGGTGGATCTGAGACAGCGAAGGCACTTTCCACTCCCAAGAAGACCCCGGGCATGAATTTGCCAGGGCTGCAGGAGCAAATCCCCACAAACTGGGCGGCTGAGACCACAGATGTCTATTATCTTGCAGTTCTAGAGGGCAAAAGTCTAAAATCAAGGTGTCATCAGAGCTGGGTTTTTTTCTGGAGGCTCTAGAGGAGATTCAATTTCCTTTTCCAACTTCTAGAGGCCGCCCACACTCCTGGGCTCATGGTCTCTTTCTCCATCTTCAAAGCTATCAGTGTGACCTCTGTGTCTGTTGTCATATCTCCTCCTCTGACTCTGACCCTTCTGCCTCCTGCCTTCCCTTATAAAAAACTTTGTGATGACACTGGGCCTTTTGAGATACTCCAGAATAATCTCCCATCTCAAGAGTCTCCACTCAACTCCAGTTGCAAAGTCCCCTACGCCATGTAAGATAACACATTCACAGGTTCCAGGGATGAGGATATGGATGTCTTTGGGAGTATTCTTTAGTGACCGCACCACGTCACCCCTTCTCTCTCCTCTGGCCTCCACTCCCCCAGCCCAGGCCCCTCCCTCTCAGTGTGCTCTCTTGCTTCTCATCAAACTGAGAAGATGAAGCAATGAGAAGCTCGCTCTTCTTGGCCCCACATCTGCCCACCCTGATCTGCCTAGTCTCTCCCCCTTGCCCCGATGGCTCACCCTGGGCCAACCCATCCTTGAGCACCGGGTCGCTAGGGCCTTTCCCCTACTCCTGTGTCCCCTGCCCTCCCTCTCATGCCTCCCACGTCAAGGCATGGCAACAATCTCCTCCAGCTACTGCCCCATTTCTCCACCTTTCTTCCCTGAAGACTCCTCCCAGGCCTGACTGCACTGAATCACCCAAACCAGCCTTGTCCCTCTCATGCCACCAAAGCCACTTTGTCCACAGCCTCTGCCTTGCCAGAGTCACTGCTCCCTTGACACATCAGCAGCATCTCACGCTCAGCTGCTGGTGCCAGTCGCCAGCCACTCCACTCCCACTTTTTGCTACCAGCTGCCTCTGAGGAGATAGCAGACTAGAGGCCCCCCAGAATCACCCTGAGGACAAAGAAAGAGGAGTTAGCTTTGGGCGATGATCATGTCTGAGACACCAGGTGGCAAGGTCGGATGCTCTGTGCCTCCTCTTTCTGAGTCAGGGTCCCACTGCAGACCCACCAGATAGAAATCTCCAGGTATCAAAGCTCCTGAGCTGACCCTCAGAGTGGACAATTATGGATCTGAATCTATCACACGTGGACCCACCCTCTGCCTTCCACACCCAGGACAACACACTGCTTGAAGCCTAGAAGGAACAGCTGTATGTACAGGGCCTGAGAGGGGCTGGGCCCTTCCGGCCTCTCAGTGCTGGAGACCCCAGAGCCGAGTTCTTAGCCTTCTTCCTTTTGTCTCCACTCCTTTTCCCTGGTTGGTAAGAAAAGGCCAGAGTCCACAAGTCCTTTGGCTCCTCCTTCAAAATACCATCCCAAATCTGACCATTTCTTCCCTCCTGTAGTTTCCTCCCTGGTCCCTCCTCTCTACCTGGTGCTCAGCAACTTCTTTCTCTACATGGCACCAGACTGATGGTTTAAACAGGTCACGTGTCCCCCACCCTCCAGCATACAGTTCTCCAAGTTGCCCCTCTGCAGCTCTGAGACCTCCCTCTGCCCCCTCACTCCCTCCCACAAGGTTTGCCCCATCCTCTCCTGGTTTGCGCCAACTGGGCCCTCTCTTCTGGACCTCGCAGAAGTAGGTTCTGTTTCCTATTTGAGTGTAAGGTCAGGAAAGCTTGTTGTGATCCATGGATACGAAATGTCCTCCCGCTTCCATAGGGTCAGTTGGCTTATTTATCTATGCACCATGGGGGACAGGGTTTGTCTTTTCCCCGTGTTTCCCAAGAGCAGTGCCTGCACTGGATGCCCCAGGTGCACCCTGGACTAGTGGGCGGAAGAGCCGGCTGTGGGCCCTGCCTCCCACCACCCTGAAGATGAGACCCTTTCTTTTTTCCCTCCCTTCCTTCCTTCCTTCCTTCTTTCCTTTTTTTTGAAGGAGTCTCGCTCTGTTGCCAGGCTGGAGTGTAGTGGCATGATCTTGGCTCACTGGAACCTCCGCCTCCTGGGTTCAAGCGATTCTCCTGCCTCGGCCTCCCGAGTAGCTGGGAGTACAGGTACACGCCACCATGCCCAGCTAATTTTTGTATTTTTAGTAGAGACAGGGCTTCACCATGTTGGCCAGGATGGTCTCAATCTCTTGACCTCGTGATCCGCCTGCCTCAGCCTCCCAAAGTGCTGTGATTACAGGTGTGAGTTACCGTGCCCAGCTGAGACCCTTTCTTTGGGTCTCACTTTTTGGCCCATGATATAGGGGGCTTTCAACTGCATGATCCCACCCTGACAGCATTTCAGGACTCCAGTAACTCCAAGCAACTTTCTGGAGACCCCTGCCTGCTTCCCTAGTGATGTGGGCTGTCTCCACAGGGCCTGGGCATGGGCACTTTCTAAAGATACTTTACCAAAAAGTTGAGAGAAAACCAAAGGCCTAAATGAACAAAAAAGGACGGGGCGCCCAGAGGGGATGTTCTGCTGCAGCTTAGGGTTCACAAGAGCTGCGCTCTGCACAGAGGTTTCAGCTGGCTGTGCTTTGCTAGCAGGCCCAGCGCCTCTCAGGCCCTGTACATACAGCTGTCCCCTCTAGGCTTCAAGCAGTGTGTTGTCCTGGGTGTAGAGGGCAGAGGGTGGGTTCACGTGTTGGTAGATTCAGATCTATGATTGTCCACTCTGAGGGTCAGCTCAGGAGCTTGATGCCTGGAGATTTCCATCTGGTGGGTCTGCAGCGGGACCCTGACTCAGAGAGCAGAGGCGCAGAACGTCCGACCTTGCCACCTGGTGTCTCAGACACACTCATCCCCCAAAGCTAACTCCTCTTTCTTTGTTCTCAGGGCGATTCTGGGGGGCCTCTAGTCTGCTACCTCCCCAGTGCCTGGGTCCTGGTGGGGCTGGCCAGCTGGGGCCTGGACTGCCGGCATCCTGCCTACCCCAGCATCTTCACCAGGGTCACCTACTTCATCAACTGGATTGACAAAATCATGAGGCTCACTCCTCTTTCTGACCCCGCGCTGGCTCCTCACACCTGCTCTCCACCCAAGCCTCTGAGGGCTGCTGGCCTGCCTGGGCCCTGCGCAGCCCTTGTGCTGCCACAGACCTGGCTCCTGCTGCCACTTACCCTCAGGGCCCCATGGCAGACCCTGTGATGACCGCAGAGCCCCTCGACCCCTTCTCTCTGCTCGGCCTAGGTGTCCATGCTTGACCCTCCCTCTCCCTAGCCCACTGTCCCTCTAAATGGTTCCTAATCCTGGCTTTTCTGCCTATCAACTGCCATTCCCCAAACCAAGCTTGGCAACACAAAACCAAACCCAACAAAAGAGTCATCTGCTCCTCCTCCACCCCGCACGGCCCTCCAAGGCCCCTCCTGCTCCTTAGTGCTTGCCCTTTCCATAGGATTCATTGTCTGACTCCCAGGGCAGGAACCTGGGACCTCACACAAAGAATCTCAACTGTGGGCTCCTAGGAGGAAAGCAGGGGTAGGGGGGACACTAGGGGTGCTGAGGGAGCTGAGGCCGCCAGCTGGGAGGGAGTGGGGTCAGTCTGCACTCAACGTTGCTCCTGCCACAGGAAGCACCCAGGCCTTCAGAGGAGCTGAAACTACACCTGGTGTCCACAGTGTCAGGGAGCAAGGGCTTCTCTGAAGTACAGGAACAGCGCTCCTGGGGCGTGGAGGAGGGAGGTTCGACTCCCAGTGGAGACGGAAAAAGGGAAGTGGCTGGTGCACAAAGTAATTGAGCAGGACTGGGGAACAGGATCCCAGCCATGAGAAGAGGGTTCCAGCCTGCAGCTAGAGTGCTTTCAAAACATGAGGGTCTGGGAAAGACTGACAGAAGCAGATGGAGGAGGGTCCTGATGCCAAGCCAAAAGCCGAGGTTTAGGTCAGCCATGCTCAGAGCTCTGCGCCTAGGGACAATTCCTGCCCCTCCTCACCTGTCCCCGTAGGCCCTGCTTTCCCCAAGTCTGCAGGCACTTGACCCACTGCCCATCTCCAAAGCCCCCAATCCTGCATAAACATGCTCCCTCCTGTCTAAGGCCCTTGGCCAACCCTGCCCCAAGAAGTCTGTACTCCTCCAGCTGGTAGAGCCTGGTATTACCTTATCTACTTAGCTGATGCAGGATTTAGTGCCCCAGCAATAAGCCTCAAAATAGTGTTCTGGGCCATCCTTCCTGCAAGCCTGCTGGACACAGCCCTGTGCAGCCAGCAGGACTCCTAGAGGCCTCTCAGCACAGCCTACCCCCAGCCTTCAGAGACCACGGGAAAACGGGAGAGCTCCCATTTAGCACATGTCTGTATGGACAAGGCGCCATCCAAAAGTTTCAGTGCACATTGTCCCCAGTCTTGGTATTGGCCACATTTCCTGTACCCTCACAGGCAAGGGGCACAGATAGACTCACATGCATGTCAACACTAGGACCTCACTGGCTTAAACCCTCTACTACTCATGCAGGAATTCTCACCCCAAAATAATATTGTGAGGCCTGAAGAAAGTGTCTTCCCAGTATCCACTCCTGTAGGGGTATTTCCAGCAGTCCCTGCCTCTGACCAGAGCTCCACCACTGAGGTACTGCCATGCCTAGTAATATGTCCACTACTAGTGTCCAGCCTTAGAGCTCAGCGGTCTCCACAGAAAGTGTTCCCTCCCCTGGTGGTAAGCTCAGTTATGGGGTCTCAGAGCAGGGCTGCTCAGGACTCTGAGAGGTCAGTGAGTTACCAAGACAGCATGTGCTCCACGCATGTTCTCCAGAAGGTCAGGGGAGCTTGGGCAGTTCTGTTTAGAGTATTAGCCACTCCACTGTCCCCAGAGCCACTATTCTCCTTTGTGGCAGCCACAGGCTGGCTGTGTCCTGAGGGCCTGCCTGTTATACACCTTATGCCAGGGGTTAGGTGATTTCCTGTCCTCCTGGATGCTCTCAGGCCTCTAAACCAAAGGGTGGGGATACATACCTAGTCCACGCGACAGATCAAACAAATCTCAGTTCCTGCACAGTTAGTTTCCCTGTTTCTTGAAACCAATGTAAGTGCTCAGTATCCTTATCCTGGTTTAGTTTATTTTTAAAGATAAACTGCAGCCTATTAGGGTTGAGTAGGTTTTTTTTTTTTTTAGATGGAGTCTCGCTCTGTCGCCCAGGCTGGAGTGCAGTGGCGCAATCTCCGCTCATCGCAAACTCCACCTCCCGGATTCACACCGTTCTACTGCCTCATTCTCCCGCCTCATTCTCCCGAGTAGCTGGGACTACAGGCACCCGCCACCATGCCCAGCTAATTTTTTAAATTTTTAGTAGAGACGGGGTTTCACCATGTTAGCCAGGATGGTCTCACTCTCCTGACCTCGTGATCCACCCGCCTCAGCCTCCCAAAGTGCTGGGAATACAGGCGTGAGCCACCACACCCGGCCAGGGTTGAGTGGCTTTTTAAAGATATCATAGGTAGTATGTAGTGGAACAGAAATTCAAACTGAGATCTCTCTTGAGAGAGCTCAATCACTGTTCTTTCCACACCCACAGACTGCACCCAAGATGCCTTTTATCCAAGCCTCAGACACCTGAGGGAGGCTTACTCTGACCTGTCCCCAAAGTGAGCCTCAGATATCCACTCCTGAAGAGAGAGACGAGTAGGGCATGGAGGGCCCTAGAGTCATCATCAGGGCCCCCCTGTTCTCCCAGATGGTGCACGGGCATGGGCTGCTGCTTTTGTTGCCAAAGTCATCCCCAGACAAGCTATGGGAGTGAAATGAAATGAACCAAGATCAATTAAAGACTTCCAGTTTCCAGTCTGGAGTATAAGAAGCTTGGAAGTCATCACTCCCATTCTCAAAACAAGAAAAAAAAAAGCTGAACAAACTGAAAGTCAACAACTCTTCTTAGATCTGTCAGAGAATTGAGGTCACAGGGCAGATTACTACCCTCAAAACTGGAGACAGGCAGATACAGAGAATCACGGTTAATCTGAAGGGAAGCTCAGATGTAAAAGCTGGCTATTGGAGCCAATCCCAGGGTAGAAAAACCTAAACTGTAATTGACAAAGTGCTGAGGGTTCAATGTGGATGAGCTTGACAGTTAAAAACTCCATGTCCAGTCTTAGGAGAGCCCCAACTTTCAGGAGTTTTACCTTCAGTAGCCTTACCAGATTCTCAGGGTGTAGATCAGAGAAAAACCCCCTCCTGATTTTGGCAGGACGATGGGAAAAGTAACCATTTTGAAATAAAAGCAGAACATTAGTTCTACTTTGCAAAAACCTATCCTTAACAGAAAATATTTTTACCAGAGCCTAATGTATTGGGGTTTTATCAGAGTCTAACTGAGTTGCGGAAAGAGAAGTGTCAAACTCCAGTTCCCTGTGCCTTCCTGTCCCACCAGGGACACGGGCTACTGAGAAGCACATGTGCAGGTCACAGCCTAGGAGCATAGGCTCACTGTGCACTGTGCCTGGAACCTAATTACAGGATTATCGAACATTTCCTCTCCCACATAAGTGCCTCCTCACCACATCAGTAGGACTTTTGTATAATAAGGGAATTATAATGGAAGGAATTGACTGTCTCAGCACTTATTTAAGAAGGAGTCTCTAGGGAAACTCAAAGACAAGCGGGGAGATACTAACAAGGACACCTGAGTACATTTTGCCTCTGACACCTACAGCAACACCAAACAGTGAAGACAGTCTAACTACCAGCCAGATAAACACAAGAGCCTTACACAAAAGACCTCTTTACCTCTGTTCCTTTTGCCCAGTGTATCATGTCTCACTTTCAACCAAAAAAAGGGAACTAAAAGGTACTAAAAGTGAGCACACTAAAAGTGTACTAAAAAGTCTGCAGATGAGCCACAGCTGCGTAGGGTCCAGCTGCTTCTTGTTGCAAGCCCGGGAATGATTGTACTGCAGCGGGAGGTTCTTGGCAGTGGAGGAGCCCTGCAGCCAAGTTGCCCACGGAGAGGCTCTGCTGCATGATCTCGCGCACCTCCTTGTCGGACAGCAGGTAGGGAGAGGGCACCGGGAAGCTGGGCGAGGGACCACCACCTTGTCCAAGGGGATCTTGCAAAAGTCCTTCCTGCTCCTCTTGGGGGCAGCGGGGGACCCTCAAACTCCTCCTCAAACCTCTCAGGGTTGATTGCATAGCTCCTCATGTCTCTGCACTGGGGGCCAGCACGTGGACCTTGCACTGCTGCTGGTAGGAGCGCCTCTGCTCGTGTCCCGGCGCAGGTTGCCCATGAACTCCAGGGTCCAGAAGCGGTCGTTTTTGGCATGGAGGTAGAGCAGACACACATACTGGCGAATGAGCTTGATGCAGGACAGGTCCAGCTGCTTCTTGCCCAGGGAACCGCTGGAGCTGTACTGCTTGTGCAGGTTCTCATGGGTGAAGAGCTTGGGGAACAGGGGCACCAGCAGGTGCAAGGCGAAGTTGCCAATGGACAGGCTGCTCTCATAGATGCTGTGCAGATGCTCCTTGCTGAGCAGGCAGTCGGTGCCAGGCACCTCCAAATTGGGCTGGGGGATCTCCAATTTGTCCAGGTTGATGAGTACCAGCCAGATCTTCTTGGAGCGGCGCTGCTCGCCCTTGGAGCTATCCTCCACCCTGATTACTGAGATGTCATCGGGAGGCTGGAGGAGTTGTAGCAGTCATCACGTGGGGGGCTCGTCTTCACTGCCCGCATCCAGCCTCAGGCCCTGGAGCTTGTCGTTGATGCGCTGGGCACACTGCTGCAGCCAGGCCTCCTCCTCCTGCATATGGGAGAAGTAGACCTCTGTGTAGTTGCAGATGATCTGCAGCCTCTGCGGCTCCAGCTCCTGCTTGCTGCCATCCCCATAGCAGCTGTAGTACTCGCCCAGCTTGCAGTGGTCAAAGAGCTCAGGGAAGAGCCAGTGGAGGAGGAAGACAGCATATTCGCTGGGCGAAGAGGCTTCATCCAGGAACTCGGTGAGGTCCTGCATGTCCACCACGTGGTCTGAGGCCATGGTGCTGCTCCGGTCCAGAGACAGGCCGTCCTCCTCGTCTTTGTGGTCCAGGAAGTGGCCGGGGTCCACTGCTCGGCCTCAAAGAAGCTGGCAGCCTGGCCACCGGGCTGGCTGTTCTCCATCTCCCTCTGGGCCCAGAAGTGGCTGAAGAAGTTATTCAGCTGGGGCAAGCACTCGGCCTGTCACACGGCCATGTCCTTCACCGAGGGGTAGTAGACCTCCACGTAGTTGTGGATGAGCTGCAGGTGCAGTGACTCCAACTTACGCTTGGCCTCAAAGCTACAGGCACTGCAGCCTCGGGAGAAGTCAACTGCAGCTGAAGAGCTTGGGGAAGAGCTGCACCAGTGGGCAGCCTGCCAAGACCCCACCCGACAGGCTCTGGTCCACCATCTGCTTGAGCTCTGCGGCCCATGAGCTGCTATGCGGTGGTGGGGGCAGCTGGAATTTGGCCACCATCTCAGTGGGGTTCACCTTCAGGGAGAGTATGTCCATTGTGCTGTGCAGCTGGGACCTGTTAGACTTGAGGGTGTTGAACATGTAGAATATCTTCTGGATCAGGAAGTAGATGTTAGGGTCACTGTTGGTGGCCACCCCAGTGCTGCCATAGTCCCACTTCTGTGGCTCATTCAGGAGCCTAAGTGACGAGGGTCTGTTGCTGGCATTTACCTTCTGGAAGAGCTCATATATGTTTAGCAGGTCCCCTGAGGGACGGTTCTTCTTCTCCATGAACTTGTGTGAGGTGCCATACATAGGCTTTTTGTAGTAAGGGGTGGTGGCATGGTTGCAGAGCTCCTCCTTGCCTGGCCACACAGAGCCTGAGCTCCTGCCCTGCTGGCCTGCTCTCCATTGCCTTGGCAGGGCTAGATTTTCTCAGGTTCCACATTCGTGCTAGGAGCACCTCTGGGATCAGCTGCCTCCTCTCTATGCTGGGGACGGACTCTGGCTGGCCATTGCTGACCAGTCAAGTCCTGGAGGGCAGTGAAGATGCTTTCCAGAGGGTGTTTCTCAGAAGTCCTGGAATTCATGGAGCTGCCTAGAGCAGCAACTTTGGCCTGTCTCCACTCTCACTTCTTAGAAGTTCTTCTACATCTTCACTGAATTCAGTTGAGTTCATCTTCTGTTCCAGTGGGACTCGAGTTCTGTACTTTACTGAGCAGCCTGAGCCAAGTTTAGGCACCCAGTGGTGGGGAGGGTATGGGGCCAGGGAGTGGGAGCAGTGCACAAAGGGCCTGGCCAGGGCGGCTGGGGGAGGCGCCGGGGGCGGCAGACAGCCAGGCACCGTGTATTTCCCCTCTCTTTGTGAGTGTCTGTGTGCTGCGCTCTCATGTGACATGACAGGACTCCATGTGACATTTCTGCACAGGGACACAGGAGCCCTTGCTGCAATGGAACTGCAAACCCTCCACCCACACCTCCGGCCCACCCCTCCCCCTCAGTGGGGCACACGAGGGCTATTTCCTTCTTATTTATTTATTTTTTATTCTTTTCTTCCTAGACTGCTCAGCAGAATAGAATAATATCATGTATATGTGGGTTTCAGAAATTTTAATTCTTTATTTCTAGGGTTCTTGCATATACTTGGGATGTATATTTGTGAGTAGCATGGATATAAGTGTATTTTTAAATAGGAGTTGTTTTAGGATGCTTTGGGGTTGAAAGTATATGCATAGTTTATGATGTGATAGAGTTTAGAGGTATTGATTAAGGGAAGTGTTTTATGAATTTTGTCAAATGTATTTTCTGAAATAATTGATATTTTTCCTTTATTCTATCAATGTGGTGTACTGCACTGATTGATTTTGTGCATTGAAACCATCTTTGTTGAATGGTGTTGAACTATCAGTACCATTGATGTTGAACCATCTTTGCTCTCCAGGAATATATCCCACCTATTCCTGGTGGATAATCTTTTAATGCACTGTTGTGTTTGGTTTGCTAGTATTTTGTTGAGAATTTTTGAATCAATATTATAAGGGATATTGTTTGCTAGTGTTCTTTTATTGCAGTGTCTTTGGCTTTGGTATCAGACAATGCTGGCCTTGTAGAGTGAGTTTGGAAGTGTTACCTCCTCTTCAATTTATTGGAACAGTTTGAGAAGGATTGATGTTAATTCTTCCCTAAATGTTGGTAGAATATACCAGTAAATTCACCTAGTCCTGGGCTTTTCTTGGTTGGGAAGTTTTTGATTACTGATTCAATCACCTGATGAGTTATAGGCTTCAGATTTTCCATTTCTTCATGATTCAACCTTGGTAGATTGTGTTTTTGTAGTATTTGTCTATTGCATGTAGATCATCCATTTGTTGACATACAATCATTCATAGTTCTCTCTTATCTTTTTTATTTCTGTGAAATCAGCAATATCCCCTCTTTCATTTTGAATTTTAGTTGTCTTCTCTCTTTTGTCTTGGGTAACCTAGCTAAAGATTTGTTAGTTTTTTTGTTTTCTTTTTTTTTTTTTTTTTTTGAGACAGAGTCTAGCTCTGCCGCCCAGGCTGGAGTGCAGTGGCGTGATCTCAGCACACTGCAAGCTCTGCCTCCCAGGTTCAAGCAATTCAGCCTCCTGAATAGCTGAGACTACAGGTGCATGCCATGATGCCTGGCTAATTTTTGTGTTTTTAGTAGAGACGGGTTTCACCATATTGGCCATATTGGCCAGGCTGGTCTCAAACTCCTGACCTTAGATGATCCACCCACCTTGGCCTCCCAAAGTGCTGGGATTACAGGTATGAGCCACTGCACCCAGCCCTTGTTTTTTCATTTGTTGGTTTTGTTTTGTTTTTTCTTTGTTTTGTTTTTTTTCAAAGAACACATGATTTTGTTGATTTCCTTTTTTTTTTTTTTTGAGATGGAGCCTCGCTCAGTCACCCAGGCTGGAGTGCAGTGGTGCGATCTTGGCTCACTGCAAGCTCTGCCTCCTAGGTTCAGGCATTCTCCTGCCTCAGCCTCCCGAGTAGCTGGGACTACAGGTGCCTGCAACCATGCCTGGCTAATTTTTTTTTTTTTTGTATTTTTAGTAGAGATGGGGTTTCACCATGTTATCCCAGATGGTCTCGATCTCCTGACCTTGTGATCTGCCCGCCTTGGCCTCCCAAAGTGCTGGGATTACAGGCGTGAGCCACCGCGCCTGGCCTGATTTCCTATTTTTTAAAAAATTTTCTATTTTATTTCTGTGCCCTAACCTTTATTGTTACTTTTCTCTGCCAGCTTTGGGTTTAGTTAGTTTTTTGTTTTTTGGTTTTTTTTTTTTAGTTTATTAAGATGTAAAGTTTCATCATTAATTTGAGATCTTTCTTCTTTTCTAATCGAAGTGTTTACAGTTATACATTTCCCCTAGAACTGCTTTTGCTGGCTGCCATAAATTTTGGTATATTGTATTTTCATTCAAAGATACTGTCTAATTTACCTTGTAATTTCTTCTTCGATCCATTGTTTGTTTAAGAATATGTTGTTTGAGGCCAGGTGTGGTGGCTCATGCCTGTAATCCCAGCACTTTGTGAGGCTGAGTTGGGCAGATCACCTGAGGTCAGGAGTTCAAGACCAGCCTGGCCAACATGGTGAAACCCTGTCTCTACTAAAAATACAAAAATTAGCCAGGCTGGTGGCGGGGGCCTGTAATCCCAGCTACTCACGAGGCTGAGACAGGAGAATCACTTGAACACAGGAGGCAGAGGTTGCAGTGAGCCGAGATCATGCCATTGCACTCTAGCCTGGGCAACAAGAGCAAAACTCAGTCTCAAAAAAAAAGAGAAAGGTTGTTTGATTTCCACATATATGTGGATTCTTCTGCTGTTTATTTCTAGTTTGATTACATTTTTATCAGAAAAGGTATTTTCTATGATTTAAATGTTTTTAAACTATTAAGACCTATTTTTTGGCCTACCATAGTCTGTCCTGGAAAATGTTCCATGTGCACTTGAGAAAAATGTGTATATCTTCTTGGTGAGTTCATGCTTTTATCATTATACAGTGTTCATGTACCTTATACCAGTTTTTGACTTAAAGTCTATTTTGTCTAATGTTGCTATAGTCACCCCAATCTCTCTCTTTTTTCTTTTTTTTTTTTTTTTTGTTTGAGATGGAGTCTCGCTCTGTCACCAGGCTGGAGTGCAGTGGCGCGATCTTGGCTCACTGCAACCTCTGACTCCCTGGTTCAAGTGATTCTCCTGCCTCAGCCTCCCGAGTAGCTGGGATTACAGGCACACACCACCATGCCCAGCTAATTTTTGTATTTTTTAATAGAGATGGGGTTTCACCATGTTGGCCAGGATGATCTCGATCTCCTGACCTCATGATCTGCCCACCTTGGTCTCCCAAAGTGCTGGGATTACAGGCGTGAGCCACCGCGCTTGGTCTTAATCTCTTTTTATTACTATTTGCATAGGGTGCTGTTTTGCGGGGGTGGAGCCATCAAACCATGTTTTTCTTCTGCTTTCAAACCACCAAGACAGTCATCAACATAGAAGATGTCTGTAACCAAACTGTATGGGATTCTCCCCACCAGCAAGCAGTAGACACTAGCTGGGTATCCTCCAATTAAATTCTGTCACTATCTACCTGGGCATAATGTCAGACCCCACAGGTTGAAGGCTCAGTTTCCAAGACTGCTCCCCCACCAACCACTAGTTACAACTCTGGGCCTCCAGAACTTCTGATTGACAGGCTTCAAGTTGGGGTTCCCTCTTTGGGATGGATTAATTTGCTGGAGTGGCTTACAGAGCTCAGGAAAGCACTTAATGTTTGCCAGTTTATTCTAAAGCAGCCATCCCCAACCTTTTCGGCACCAGGGACTGGTTTCATGGAAGAGGTGAGGGAAGATTAGATCCTACCTTGGGACAGGTGAAGGGAAGACAAGAGGAGTCAGAAAGATTCTGTTTCCTGAGACCTACACCTAAGGCCTAACACACCCAACATTAGAATCAGAGGTACCTTTTTATATTATTTTACTTTCAACCTATTTGTGTCTTTATCTTTTTTTTTTTTTTGAAATGGAGTCTTGTTCTGTCACCCAGGCTAGAGTGCAGTGGCGCAATCTCGGCTCACTGCAACCTCTGCCTCCCAAGTTAGAGTGATTCTCCTGCCTCATCCTCCTGAGTAGATGTAGCTGGAACTACAGGTGTGCACCACCATGCCCAGCTAATTTTTGTATTTTTAGTAGAGTTGGGGTTTCACCACGTTGGCCAGGCTGGTCTTAAACTCCTGACCTTAAGTGATCTGCCTGCCTTGGCCTCCCAAAGTGCTGGGTTAACAGGTGTGATCCACTGTACCTGGCCCTGTTTGTGTCTTTTTTTTTTTTTTTTTTTGGAGATGGAGCCTTGCTCTGTTGTCCAGGCTGGAGTGCAGTGGCATGATTTTGGCTCCTTGGAACCTCTGCCTCCTGCAAGCAATTCTTGTGCCTCAGCCTCCCAAGTAGTTGGGATTACCGATGCACGCCACCATGCCCAGTTAATTTTTATATTTTTAGCAGAGACAGGGTTTCACCATGTTGACCAGGCTGGTCTCGAACTCCTGACCTCAAGTGATCTGCTCTTCTCTGCCTCCCAAAGTGCTGGGATTACAGGTGTGAGCCACTGTGGCCAGCGTCCTATTTGTGTCTTTAGATCTAAAGTGAGTCTGTGTAGATATTCTCTAGTTGAATCATATTTTTAAAAAATCAATTCTGCCAATTTATGTTTTTTAATTGCAGAGTTTAATACATTTACAACTAAAGTAATTACTGATAGGGAAGAACTGACTATTGCCATTTATTTTCTTTTAAGTCCTATTGCTTTTTTTGTCCTTCATTTCCTCCATTATTGCCTTTTTGTGTAGTTGATTTTTGTAGTGAAATATTTTGATTTCCTTCCCATTTCCTTTTGTGTACATTCTATTGATATTTGTGGTTGCTATGGGGATTACATATAGCATCCTACATGTGTAACAGTGTATTTTAAATTGGTACCGGCTAATTCCGATCACAATTTAAAAACTCTACTCCTTTACAACACCACCCACCATTTTATATTATTGATGTTACAGTTACATCTTTATATATTGTGTACCCATTACTATATAATTATTTTTATGCTTTTGTCTTTTAAATTATGTAGAAGAATAAAAAGTGAAGTTATAAGCCAAAAACTGATTTTTATATTTATCCATAGATTTGCCTTTATGGAAAATCTGTATTTTTACATGGCTTCTAGTTACTGTCTAGCATCCTTTATTCCTTTTGAAGTATTCCCTTTAGCATTTCTTGTAGGGCAGGTCCTTCAGCTTTTATCTGGAATATCTTAATTTCTCCCTCACTTTTGAAGGACAGTTTTGTTAGATATAGAATTTTTGGTTGTTTTTTTTCCTCAGCATTTTAATTATACCATCCCACTAACTTCTGGACTGTACAACTTCTGCTGAGAAATATGCTGATAATTTCCTTGAGGAAGTATCTTGTGCTGCTTTAACAGAATGCCTGAGACTGGGCAATTTATACTGAGCAGAAATTTACTGGCTAACAGTTGTTGAGACCAAGAAATCCAGTATCGAGGTGCTGGCATATTGTGAGGGTCTTCTTCCATGTCACCTTCTTACTGTGTGATCCCATGGTGACAAGCATCACGTGGCAGAAGAGCAACAGGGGTGAGAGAGAGAGACAAAGGGAACCTGAACTTCCCATTTTCTGGTGACATTCATCCCACCAATGAGGGTAGAGCCATCATGGCCTAGTCATCTCAAAAGTTTCACATCTTACTAGTGTTACAGTGTCAACTGAATTTCAACATGAGTTTTAGAGGGGACAGACATTCAAACTGTAGCACCATGTATGTGATAAGTTGCTTTTTCCTTATTGCTTTCAAGAGTCTCTTTTTGTCTTTCAACAATTTATGTATTTTATTGTGTATTTCTTCAGATTTTATTAAGTTTCTTGGATTTACGTGTCTATGTCTTTCGTCAAATTTGGGAAGTTTTGGGTCATTATTTCTTGAAATAATCTGCCTATCTCCTTCCCCTTTCTCTATGTCTTATCCTACTAAGACCCACCTGCCCCATAATGCATGTATTGGTCTACCTGATGGCACCCCATAAATTCCTTATGCTCTGTTCACTTTTCTTTATTCTTTTTTCTTTTTGCTCCTCAGATTCAGTAGGGCCTGTCTTCAGGTTCACTGATTCCTTCTTCTGCCTGTTTGAATCTGTTGATGAATTCTGATGAATTTTTCAATTCAGATGTGAGATTTTTCAGCTCCAGAATTTGTTTGGTTATTTTTATATAAATTCTGTTTGTTGATATTTTCATTTTGCTCATATATCATTTTCCTGGTTTGGGCGGGGGGTTCTTTGTGTTTTTCTTTTGCTCTTTAAGCATATTTAAGACAGTAGTTTTAAAGTATTTGCTAGTAAGCCTGATGCCTTTTATCTTCAGGAACAACTTTTAGAGGGTTATTTTGTGCCTGTGAGTGGGCCATGTTTTCTCGTTTCTTGTGACCTTTCGTTGAAAACTGGCAGTTGAAAAAACAGCCACCTCTGTCTTTATAGACTGGCTCTGTATAGGGGAAGATCTTCAAGTATCAGTTCATCATGAACACTTAAAGTCTTCTCAGGTCTTTTCTGGGCATATGTCTTCCCTGTGTGCATGCCTTTCTCCAGTCCACCTTATACACAGCTGCTTTTCATGACGTCATTTCTGTGAGTGTCACCCCTGCCTCTTCCCAGGGTCTTAGCAGTTCTACTGTATTTCTCAATCACTAACCTCTTGCCCCAGGCATCTGCAGGTCTGTAATCCCCCTGAAGCTTTCATAAGTTACATTTCACAGCTTTGTCCAGTCTGAGGTGTGCTTCATTTGGCCATCTGAGCTCTCAGTTAGGTGACACAGAGATTAATCAGGCAATCCCTGGACAGATTAGAATGTTGCAAATTTGGCCTACCCTGCTCTCTCTGCTCAGTTGCCCCATAGGGTAACTGGGGACTGGGTTGCTGCTTCCCCCAAATCATACTGTACAGTTCCAGGGAGGGAGTAGGGCAAGGGCAAATTAAAATGCCATGAACTTTTTTTACTGTTTTGAATATAACTTTTTCTTGATTGGGCTTTTGCTTGGTTGCTGTAATCTTTACTGATTTCAAGGGCTCCTATAAGGCTATTTTAGCCAGTATTTAGATGTTTATTCTACATTTATATGGGGGATTTCTGGAAGCTTCCTAGTCTTCCATCTTGCTGACATTACTCCTCTAACCCTCCTATTTTAAGATCAGTGCATTAGCAGCCTTAATTTCATCTGAAATTGTAGTTCCTTTTTGCCATGTAACCTAACATTTTGACAGGTTCTGGGAGTTAGGACACAGACATTTTTTTCAGACATGAGTAAATTTAATGTAGTATCTTGAATGGGATCCTGGAACAGAAAAAGAACATTGGGGAAAAGCTAATGAAATTTTAATTAGATACAGAGTTTAGCTAATAGTAAACTATAATAATACCAATGTTGGTTCATTAGCTATGACTAACGTACGTTGGTAATGTAAGATGTAAACAATGGCAGACATAGGATGTAGAGTATATTGGAACAATCTGTACTGTCTTTGCAACTTTTCTGTAAATCTAAAGCTTTTCTAAAATTAAAAATTTATTTAAAAGAAAAGAGTAACTATAATATATAATAAAACTCTGTAGTACTTTTGGACTGAGGTAGAGTACTCAAAGAAGGACAAGCTTGAAAGGGGGACCCCTCCCCAAGTCTGAGGTTCAGACCTCACTGGAGAAGGTACAGTTGCAACCCACTGGGAGGTAGAGACATTTGCTGATTTTCCCAGGCGAGTTGGCCCTCAGTTGCTAGTTGGGCAGGCAGGAAGCAACTTCGGGGTGCAGGAAACCCGGCATGCAGGTTTTCAGAGGGAGGAAGGTGCCAATGGCAACCCTCTGCAGTGCAGGTGGGGTGCAGGTGAGCAAAGGAAGTGAATGCATTAGCGGGACTGGAGGAATAGTGAGTGCTGTGTCTATGTCCAGAGGGCAAGAGACAGGCCAGGCTCTGAGGTCACTGAGTGACTCCCCTCTGGGCACATGACTGGGCAGAGCACCCACCTCATACCACTTCTCAACTTTATGGCCCCAGAAGCAGCAGGACAGCCCGTTTCTCCTTGCAGTGTTCTCCAAGCACCCTCTACTGAGAAAACTATAAACCAAAAGTACCTGAGCCTAGTCTCAATTAATTTGGGAGTTTATTTTGCCAAAGCTAAGGACATGCCTGTGACAAGCCTCAGGAGGCCCTGATGACATGTGCCCATGGTAGTCAGCCTACAAATTGGTTTATAAACTATGTCTTTTAGGAAGAAATAAGACATCAAACAATATATGTAAGATATACATTGGTTCAGTCTGGAAAGGCAGGACAACCGGAAGCAGAGGCTTCCTGGTCATAGCAGATTCAAAGATTTTCTAATTAGCAATTGGTTATTATCTAAAGAGCTGGAATCAACAGAAAAGAATGTCTGGGTTACAGTAAAGGGTTGTGGAAAAACCAAGGTTTTTATCTTCTTTCCTAGTGTCCCAAGATTCCTTCTTTTATTGCTTACTGTTTGTCTAGAGAACTTCCTTTAACCATTCTTTTGAAGGAATCTATTGGCAATACTTTCTCTTAGTTTTCTATTGTCTTCGAACGTTCTAATTTTCTCTTCATTCCTGAAGGGTATATTTTGCTGGGCATAGGATTCTGGGTTGATGTTTCTTTCCATTCAGTACTTGAAAACTGTCCAACCATTTCCTTAGGGCCTTATGGCTTCTGATGAAGAATCTGCTAATTTTTGTATTTTTAGTAGAGACGGGGTTTCACCATGTTGGCCAGGCTGGTCTTGAACCCCTGACCTCAGGTGATCCACCTGCCTGTGCCTCTCAAAGTGCTGGGATTACAGGTGTGAGCCACCATGTCTGGCTCTCGCTGCTTTTAAAATATTTTTGTTGTCTCTAGTCTTTATACTTTTACTATGATATGTGCATTTCATAAGTTTGACTATAATGTGTCTTAATGTGGATTTCTTTCCATTTATCCCATTTAAGATTTGCTCAGCTTCTTGAATCTATAGTTTTGTCCTTTGCCAAATTTGGGAAGTGTTCAGACACTCTTTCTTTGTGTACTTTCCGCACCCACCCTCTCCCTTCTTCTCTTCCAGGACTGTTGACACAAACTTTAGAACTTTTCTTATTGTCCTACAGGCCCTGAAGCTCTGTTCATTTTGTGTGTGTGTGTGTGTGTGTGTGTGTGTGTGTGTGTGTGTGTGTGTGTATTTTCTGACTATAGGTTGAGTAATTTTATTGTTCTACATCCCTGAAGCTCTGTTCATTTGTTTGGTCTATTTTCTGACTATTATTTAGATTGGGTAATTTTATTGTTCTATATTCAAGTGGCAAACAGTCTTCCAGGTGCAGTATCATCTGATTATTCCCTCTGCCCCCCTGTTCTGTGGTTTAGTGTTTCATTTTGTTATTGTATGTTTTAGCCCTAACATTTCTTTTTGTTTCTTTTATAAATCTGCTGTTTATTTGCAGCAATTTTCTGGGTTTTTTTTTTTTTCATTTGCTTAAATCTGTCCACAATTGCATAAATGGAAACACATTTTTGATGATGGCTGACTTAAAATCTTTGTCAGATAATTCTAGCATCACTGTCATCTCAATTTCAACATCTACTGATTTTGTGTTTTAATTTGCTTTGAAGTATTCTGCTTTCTTCATATGAGTGATTTTTCTATTGCAATCTGGTCATTCGGGATATTATGAGATTCTGTGTATGATCTGAATCTTCTGTTCTGGCTGGTTTTAGCTGGCATCCCTCCAGCAGGTGAAGGAGAAGACACTTTGGTACTGTTCGGTGAGGGTATAATCCATCTTTCCACTTGAGCTCCATCAATACACACAGGGGGGCCTTTATTACAGCATAGGTGAGGATAGCAATCCTGGCTCCCCATTGGGGTGCCCATTGATACCCCGATGCCTGGGAGAGGTAGACATTCCTCCTTACTGGCCGCATGTGACCTCCACAGACAATACAGGACGTGGGGGTGGCCTGGTCATCTCTGGGCAACAGCAAAATTCTTTATTCTCCACTAGTCCTCCACGGATACTATTCAGTGCTGGAGGGCAGGGAATGTGGGTTTATTCCCTGCAGACAGGAAGCAAGGGTGGTAGAAGATGAGCAGCAAATCATCTGAAGTGCGTTTATTCCCCGCAGACAGGAAGCAAGGGTGGTAGAAGATGAAGGTGCTTGTAAGCCAGTCCCCCAGGCCCAGGAAAGCTGCAAGGAGGGGACGGAGTCGCATCTACCCTTTGCTGTAACCAAGGGATCCCAGAAAGCAGCCCGCAGTGGGTTTTATACCCTGGGGTCCTGTGAATGCTGGGCTAAAGCTTGAAGGATGTCTTGTTTCTGGGGCGGGGCCCAAACAAAGCCTGATTGTTCTCAGTCTGTTGCATTCCCAGTGCATTCCAGTCATTCTGGAGAGGTACCAGCCAGAAACAGGGAGAGCTGGGTTTGTCCACGGCCACTTACAGAACAGTCCCACGACATAGACGGACTTAAAAGAGATACGCAGCTTGCTGTCTACTCAGTTGACGGGCTTTCTTCCCCTGGTTGTTCTACAATGTTGGACTTCCTTGGTGGTGGTAGTGGTACTGTGTGTGTGTGTGTGTGTGTGTGTGTGTGTAGGCACACATGTGCATGTGTGTATCAATGTGTGCATCTTTGTACATATGTATGCATTTGTGCAACTATGTACATGTGTGCCTGTGTATGCATATCTTAGCGTGTCCTGGGTGTGTTCATGTGTTTGCATGTGTACATGCGCCTCTGTGAATGTTTGTATGTGTGGTGTGTGTGCTTATGTGTGTGTGTATAGTCACACACACGTGTGCAATCGTGGCCCCATGGAATGTACTCTCTGGGCATCATAAGTGTTTCACACAGGCTCGGGAACGACGGGCTTCCCTCAGGAGCAGTTCATAGGACTCCTCGTCCCCATAGCTGTCAGGACCCTTTGGGAGAAGTCCTGCGCCCACCTGGAGGTCAGGGAAAGACCCTGTTTCACACATGGCTGTGCAGCCTTCACTTCAGCCCCCACCTCCATCCTGGGTCCCAGCCACTGTGCTCTCACCCTTCCCTGAACTGTCCCTGACATGACACAGTTGGTTTTATCATTATGAGTTGTAATCATTGTAGAGATGGCTTATCTGACCTTCTATAGAGATTATAAATCCCTTCGGGGGCAAAAACTACACATCATTAATTGAAAAATTATTTTATTATACTTCTAGAACTCCAACATTTTCCAGAAACTGGTGTCGTTATGCCACACAGGGTCTAATCCTCTCTCCCTGCAGAGCTGGGACCATCCAGCTGTGCACAGGTCCCCATGAGGTGGGTGTGTGCCATCTGATTGGGCTGAGTGGAGGCTGCCCACAGCTTCTCTAACAGCCCCAGATGCTCCCGGGGGCAGGTGCACTAGTCAAAGCTAAAGGGATCCATTCTGCCTGGAGACCCGCTCCTGGGGGCAGGTGCACTCAGTCGAAGCTAAACGGATCCATTCTGCCTGGAAACCCCCCTGAATCGCCACCTCGCCCTGAGTCCCAGCTATGCTTCACCGTGTTCTCACTCTGTGGAGGAGAATCCCTGGCTGGACCCTGGGTCATCCCACCCAATAAAAGAGCTCATGGGTATTACAGAAAAGGCTTAAATTTGACAGTTAAAGATAGAAATTGCCAGTGAAGAAAATTCATCTGTTATAATATACAAATAAAGCATGTGTTTATTGAAATAGTACCTCTATGAAGAATACTTTAAGAATGTGAATGGGGTTTTGTTTTTGTAAACTTTCAATTACCTTCCCTTCCCTGACCCTGCCAGGTATTCATCTCCTGCCCAGATCCCAGGGTGGCCTTCCTGAAATGAACGCTCCATCTGAATTTTCTTCTCCCCTGTCTCTCAAGAGAATGCCCAGGCTCCTAACCATGTCTCAGACTGCCCTGCACCTCAGCCTCTGTCTCTGCACCCCCAGGCATGTTCAACCTCTTGCAATTCTTGCATTCCCCATAGTTCATGACCCAACCTTTGCCCCCCTACCAGCTGGTCCTGGAATACCCCCCAGGCTCGTTTGTGAACCCTCAGGAGTATTCATGTTCCAAAGTCGCAGCACTCTGGAAGCCGCCTCCCCAGGCTGCTGTGGGTCTTTGCTGGGTCCCACTAGTGTCCAGGTCTGTCTCCGCCATGGCCCTAGTGCCATCTCAAGAGTCTGTTATCTCCTCACCAGCACTACCCTAGACCATGGGCTTCCTTGATTTATTTTCTCAAGATCCTCAACACCCAGCTTGGGGCCCAAGGCACAGTGAATACATAGTCCATGTTTTTAAATGAATGCATTTATGTTCTAAATGGCTTAAACATTCCCTTGCTCTATCAGCTGAGAGAGTCTAGAAGCAACAACACCTCACTAGCAATGAACACACCAGTGCCCAGATCTTGGTTTCTAACACTGTTCTAGGAAAGGAGCCAGAGCTTCTTGGAGAATTGACTGATTCAAGGGCAAAGGCAGGACATGCAGAAGATAAGCCAGGAGCATCTTTAGTAGCAGAAATTAAGGAGATGCCCAAAAAGCCAAGTGATGAGCACCTGTCAGAGGCACACAGGAGCTGGGAACCCACCACGGGAGCTCACCAAGGCCAACCTCGAAGAAGCTGAGCAGGAAAAGAAGCAAAGTCACACTGGAGTCCAGCCCGAGCATGGGCTGAGTATCCATGAGTCCATAGCAATATAAATAAAAGATTGAGTACATAAGTAATGTGGAGGCATGGATGAGTATCCCCCCCAGGACATTTCCCAGTCACTCATGTAGCTACTTCTCCTCCTCGGAAGTGGAGCACAACCCATACCCCTAAGTGTCGGCTGTGCATGGCGACGTCCTTCCAGAGAGTACAGCATGGAGAGGGGGACTTCACAGTGGGGAGACCTCAGCCAGCCGACTACAGCCACCACTGTCAGTGAAGAGTCATGTCAGCAGCGTGTGTACCCTTGTTATGACATGATGAGAATGGCATTTATCTGTGTGGTCTTCCTCCCAAAACCCATAACCCCAGGCTATTTACGAGGAAAGCCTCAGACAAATCCCAACTGAGGAGCGTCCTGCAATGCACCTGATTAGGGCTCTTCAAACCATCAAGGTCATCAACGGCAAGGGCCGTCTGAGACCCTGTCACAGCCAAGAGGAGTCCAAGGAGATATGGCAGCCAAATGTGATGGGGTCCTGGGCAAAAACAGAAAATTGGGTAAAACCTAAAGAAATCTGAATAAATGCAGACTATTGTTAGTAATAATGTATCAGTGTTAGTGGTGACGAATCTAGCCTACTAATATGTTAACAACGTGAGAAATTGGGTATGAGTATATGATAACTTTCTGTAATATTCTTGCAAATTTTTAGTACATGTAAAACTATTGCAAACAAAATAATTTATTTTAAAAATGACCTACCTAAAAGAGGTTAAACTTTGATTACAAATCAACTAAACTCAGCCTGTTTTCAAGACATTACTCTTTGTTATGGTCTGTAGGGGTTCTGAAAATTTTTACAAATATAATTTCTCCTTTTGAAATGGGGTGTTCCAGAATGCCATGCCTTCACAGGTATAATTGGGGTTTCAGATCGGGAGAGACAGCCCTGAAAGATACCCAAGAAAGAAATAGTCACAAGTCTAGAAATTAAATTTTCTGATGTTCTAGGTATTGATTTTCTTGGAACGTCTGACATGTCTAACACTTATACTGCACCACATCACTGAATCTATTGTACTTTAATGATGGTTTTTGTTGTTCACTTGTTTTTAACTGTGGATCATTTCAGTGCAGCTTCAGGCTTAGCATTAGATGCTAACAGCCACTCTATTGAATATCTTTCTTTAGGTATCAGCATTTTCTACCTGGGAGAAAGAATTACACAAAATCGTGTTTGACCCACGCTATCTCCTGCTCAACTCTGAGGAACGAAAGCAGGTAACGGGGTGGGAAGGCACTTTGACTGCAGAGACGCAGCATGAAAGCGACTGTTGCATCCTGGATCTGGGGAGCTTTTCATTGCTGAATAACAGACACCCATGTTGTAAATTTGGCCAGTGGGGAGGAGTTACAGCTCCAGTACTGTAGCTTGCGAGCTTGTAAGCAGAGTTAGAGGGACTGAGGAAGGTTATTCTGGTCATTATTCTTACCTCAGTATTTGGTTATGACCCTGGAAGACAAATACTTTTAAAGATGAACATGTAAATTTTAGGAACATTAACCCTCATTCCAAATGACTATAAATCATATGTTAAAAATACGAAATACTTCAGGTATTATATAAAGATAGTGAAATAGGTGGTCTTACATAAGACCTTAAGGTTTTATATGCTTAAAGTCTTATGTAATATGAAAGTTGTCAGAATCAAAATGAAGTCACTAATGTTAAGAAACCCCTAACAAATAGAATGGAGGAAGGCCATGAAGAGAGGGTTCTCATACTTGTATACCTGATAACTAAAAAGACTCTACGAGAACCACAGTCTTGCACACAAGGCCGTAAAAACCTTTTATTTTATTTTATTTTATTTCATTTTATTTTAGACAGGATCTGGCTCTGTTGCCCAGGCTGGAGTACAGTGGTGCAATCTTGGCTCACTGCAACCTCCACTTCCTGGGCTCAAGCCATCCTCCCACCTCAGCCTCCTGAGTAGCTGGGACTACAGGCACCAGCCACCACGCCTGGCTAATTTTTGTACTTTTTGTAGAGATTTGGTTGCTGTATATTCCCCAGGCTCATCTTGAACTCCTGGGCTCAAGCAATCCTTCCACCTTGGGCTCCGAAAGTGTTGGGATTATAGGCGTGAGCCACCGCACCTGGCTCATCACAACCTTATACACACAAAAAGCACTTCTGCAAGGACACCTGCCCAACAACTGCCTGTCCAACCTCAGACTGGCTTTGTCCTGGTATGGATCTCTGTAGCCAAAGATAATTATTTCAAAACAATGATTTAATCCTCTCATTTATTTTTCCTTAAAAATTATTGTCTTTTTTTTTACCTCCCTGAATATTCTTGTCATTTACGATGGCATGTGTATTCCCGTTGCAATGCTCTCTTCCCAAATAAGCATCCATTTCATTTCAGAGAGCCTCTTTCTGCTTGTTCTTCAGGTTGACAATAACACTGATGAAATAGGAGTGGTCCAGAGAACAACCGCAGCACAGTGAAGGGTGGAGTTCTACAAAACACCGCCCACAAAACACGGAATTGATTAGAGGGGGTTCTCCGGGGGCTATTTTAAGGAGAGACTTGCCAGGGGTCTGCCCTAGCTTTTCACAAAGTAGGTCCCTGAGCCAACACTGCTTTCCGTATCAAACAGAGGGACAGATGGTGTTGGCTCACAGGAGGGGCCTGTTGTTGCTGGGAGAGGGACCGATGGTCTGACAGCATCAGCGGGCACAGCCTGGGTTTGTGTGGCCCGTGGAGCGTGTCTGAGAAGGGCCCTGAGATAGACTCTGGAAGGTCCGGACTTCCCTGCCCCAGTTAGACTCCATGTGTGCGGCCACATCTTGCCCTCTCTTTGCCCTTTGAGTTCAGAAATGATGCACGTGGAAGGTGAGCTATCAAGAAGAGCCGCTGAAAACAGAAGAGCCAGAGTTAATTAGGGGAGGAGGGGTTCTGTGACCAGGGGCCCCCATGTTGGTGTCCACTGGATTTCTCACACCAGCAGAGTCTGATAAAGCCCCAGATGGAGGGTATGGGAATTGCCATTTTATTTTCAATTCTGTCCTCTGCTCATAAAGTCCCTTTAAGCAAATGCCTGAGATGGTGTCAGTGAAGCGCGAACCCACAGAGTCTCAGTCATATGGACCCGCGTTGCTCGTTGTAACCAACTCCCGCTCTGTCCTCACTCCCATTCCGAGCCCTCGACCCACCACTCCGCTCGTTGGAACTGTACCCTCTCGCTGGTGCAGGCTCAGGGGTAGGCTGGGCAGTGTGACGTGTTCCCAGGATTGACTGCCTTGGAATACAGAACTTGAACCTTGCAAGAACTTGGAATTAATAATATTTTATTGTCTTCTAGCTGAGTTTCATTTTCTATAAAGAAATATTTTAAAATATGCAAAATGTGTTATCACAGCCTCAAAATAATGCTACAATAGAGTTAGCTGAGTTTGGGTGTTATATATATTTTTCCTATAGCAAAGGAAAACCATAGACATTAATAACTGGTCATATTTCGCCCTTTTTTGCAATTTTAAAAATCAAAAATTTCAGCTATGGGCTGGGCACGATGGCTCATGCCTGTAATCCCAGCCCTTTTGGAGGCCGAGGTGGGCGGATCACCTGAGGTCAGGAGTTCCAGACCAGCCTGGACAACATGGCAAAACGCTGTCTTTACTAAAAATGCCAAAAATTAGCCAAGTGTAGTGGTGCTTGCTTGTAATCCCAGTTACTCAGGAGGCTGAGGCAGGAGAATCACTTGAACCCGGGAGGCACAGGTTGCAGTGAGCTGAGATCACGCCACTGCACTCCAGCCTGGGCAATAAGAGCAAAACTCCATCTCAAAAAAAAAAAAAATCGGCTGTGAAAAAGCATAACAAGGAGCCTGTGTTTTTATGTGACAGAATCACTGGAGGACAGAGGCAGGAGCCATAAACCGGGCAGTGTCTAAAATCATCAGTACATCTGGGGTGTGTGTGGTGTGTGGGGCATGTGTGCTGTGTGTGGTGTGTGGGTTGTGTGTGGTGTGCGTGGCACGTGCCACGTGTGCCACCACCGACTTGTTTGCTGTTGCCAGTTGTTCTCTCTCTGTGCCATAGATACCTTTTGAGGCTGTTAGTCCCTTTAAAAAACATTGAATAAGTAAGATCATCCTCACCACAAAAAGAAAATTACAATTTATGATCAAGCCCCTTCCAAATATTCTAGTTTAAATGCTAAGGCACATCTCTTAGAACAGCTGGGAACACAGGGGCCCAGTCTGCTTGCTGGTTGGAAGTGGTTCATGGGCAGGGCAGGGCTGGTCCCCTGATGTCTGGGGGACGTGGGCATCCCACCCAGGGCTCATCAAAGGGAGCACTGTGAGGCTGGACCTTCCTCAGGCCATCGTCAGAGACCACAGATGCCAGCCCTGATGGGGTTGGGCCTGCCTGGGCTGGGATGCCCTGGCCTTGCCTGGGTGGGTCCTCTGCAAATAGATGAGATGAGAATATAGCTCATGCTAAGTACCTATTGCCTGGGGAAAACCTTTAAAGGTCCCCGTGAGATCACCCAGAGGAAACTGTGGGCCTGTCCTAACGTCCTGCAACTTGGTCCCAGAAGGTCCAGTGGGAAAGAGGAGGAAGCAGGCCACGCCGTAGCCAGTGCACTGGAGGGTCCAGAGAGTGCTCAGAAGAAGTGCCTGCAACCTCATCAAAGGGGAGCATGGCAGCTCGTATGAGGAGTGGGATGGAAAGAAATCATAGCTGGACCCCATCCAAAGACCACAGTCCTATTTAGGAAGAAATTGGGTTAGAAGTATCAGACATAGAATCTGTACAGGACCTAGTGTCATACAGCGTTTTCATGGGGAAAGCTAAGGCCCCTGGTGTGAAAATCACAGCCCTTCCTCTGCTGGATGAGCTGCACAGGAGAAGAGGGTGATCCTACACAGAATCAGGGTCAAGGCAGTGTGAATCAGGCCTGTTTCTATGGCAACAAATAGTGTTTTGTTTTATTGCGGTAGAACATACAGCAATGATATAATAGCCAATGGAATCTCTTTTAAAAAGTCATGCTCCACTTTGGATAAAGCTGGTATAATTTGTTAAGGATGAAAAACAAAACCTGCGATGTTAAATTATAGCAGCATAAAATAAAGTAACAGAGCAAAGGGAGAGGAAAGAGAGAAGCATTTGATGAGATGGAGAAACGGTTCTAGGCAGAGAGAGAAGCAGGCATTTCTGAAGAGCCCTGACCCCACAGCCAGCCAGGCTTTCTCTCTAGGTCTAAAATTAATAGAGCAAAACTCTAGCTAATGATGGAGCCACATGCTTTTATTTGGATAATAACCCTGCATTCATTTTTTATTAGTTAAATATAAGATAACTAAGAACTTACATTGCTATTTGCCTTGAAGGTATAAGAAGCCAATTATGGCCTGGCATGGTGGCTTACACCTGTAATCCCAGCACTTTGTAAGGCTGAGGCGGGTGGATCACCTGAGGTCAGGAGTTCGCAACCAGGCTGGCCAACATGGTGAAACCCTGTCTCTACTAAAAATACAAAAAAAATTAGCTGGGCATGGTGGCACACACCTATAGTCCCAGCAACTTGGGAGGCTGAGGCAGGAGAACTGCTTGAACCCAGGAGGCAGAGGTTGCAGTAAGCCAAGATCATGCCATTGCACTCCAGCCTGGGCAATAGAGCAAGACTCTGCCTCAAAAAAAAAAAAAAAGAAAGAAAGGAAAAAAAAAAGAAGCCAATCATATTCTTACTTACATAGACATGCACATATTCTCAATTTAAGTCATATTTGTGGATGTTTCATTTTGCTGCTGTATCTTCAGGAGACCAGTGGCATTTTGTATTCATAATCCTGTAAAGGTTTGCCACTACTGACATGGAATCTGAAACAATAAGAAAAGTGGGAAGAGAGCTGCTCAGGAGAAGGGGCTGAGCAGTGCTGGGGTCGAGGCTTTCACCTGCCTGCCCTTCCTTTCTCATCCCCACTCACTTGGCATGAGTGTAGAAGAAGCTGCCTGCTTGGTCCTCGGTCACATTCTAGGATCGGCCTGGCAGTTGGTTGGATTGGTGCACAGTTGCTATTTATTGGCCTTATAGGATCCTATGTGGACTTTCTCTTGATATTTTTATTTATGTTTGCATAAGCACTTATCTTCAGTTTATTTTTAACATTCTTGAGTTTGGGGTAGCATGAGGAATGAAAGAACTTTGTCCCTCTTTGACTCTGTAGTCCATAAATGACCGTTTTTCAGTTGTTAGAACAGTGATCCATCTTACTCTGACAGAGAAGAGGTTCTGTGGCCTGTCACAAAGAGATTGCATCTCGTTATGTGGGCTGCCAGGTTCCAGGAGAAGTGCCCTGGAGACTTGCCCAGAATTGCCTGCCGGCTGATGTGCGTGTTCTTCCCACTGAAGAACAGGGTTTTCCTGTTTGGGGCAGCATTTGAGATGCATTTCTGGTCAGACAGGGGCGTGCCCAGTACCTGAGGGTCAGGCCTCCTGGCCAGTTGTTTCCACACTGATGACCCAGGCAGCCTGGCATCCCGTGACCTCCTCAGAAGAGGCCGCTTATGCGCCCTGAGTCCTCCCCAAGGTGCCAGACACCCAGGTTCACAAGTGGGGATCAGAGATGCAGAATTTACTTTCTTTTCACAAGTTAAGGTCATTTTTGGGAGACTCATTTTGGGAGAATGTCAATTACGTCACCCTAGGAAGTGACTAGCATGAACTAAGTGCTCTACTATGTTCTGGTGCCACTGGCCGTGATGAGAAAGTGAGGAGGCCGCGCATGACGGATGCTGCTCAGAGGCCACAGTGAGGACCACTGCAGCCTACAGCACAGGTTCCAAACCACCACTTGGTTCCAGACGCCTGCAGAGAGGGCAGCCAAGTCATTCTCCGGGTTTCTCCAGCAGGGCTGTTTCACATTTGACCCAGAAATGGCACCTGCATGTAGAGAAACGCCGGGCCGTGTGGGGACCCAGGTTTAATTATTCAGACCGCTTGGATCCTTGAGAGCTATGCTGAAAGGCTATTGCTCATAACTCCAGCAGCTGTGAACAAGAACAGCTTTTGCCATAGATTCTTGCTGCTTTCTCATGTTGTGCTTGGAATACAAGATTTCATTTCTAATATGCAATTTCATGATGTTTTTCTTTTTTTTTTTTTTTTGGAATCGCAAGAATTCCCAGGCCCTCTTTTTATTTACAGTGATACCAAACCATCCACTTGCAAATTCTTTGGTCTCCCATCAGCTGGAATTAAGTAGGTACTGTGTATCTTTGAGATCATGTTTTTGTCTCCACTTTGGTGGATACAAGAAAGGAAGGCACGAACAGCTGAAAAAGAAGGGTATCACACTGCTCCAGCTGGAATCCAGCAGGAACCTCTGAGCATGCCACAGCTGAACACTTAAAAGAGGAAAGAAGGACAGCTGCTCTTCATTTATTTTGAAAGCAAATTCATTTGAAAGTGCATAAACGGTCATCATAAGTCAAACGTATCAATTAGACCTTCAACCTAGGAAACAAAGTTTTTTTTTTATTTAATAATACACCACACTGAAATTATTTGCCAATGAATCCCAAAGATTTGGTACAAATAGTACAATTCGTATTTGCTTTCCTCTTTCCTTTCTTCAGACAAACAGCAAATAAAATGCAGGTGAAAGAGATGAAACACGACTAGAGGCTGACTTAGAAATTTATGCTGACTCGATCTAAAAAAAATTATGTTGGTTAATGTTAATCTATCTAAAATAGAGCATTTTGGGAATGCTTTTAAAAGAAGGTCAAGTAACAGTCATACTGCTAGAAAAGTCCCTGAAAAAAAGAATTGTTAAGAAGTATAATAACCTTTTCAAAACCCACAATGCAGCTTAGTTTTCCTTTATTTATTTATTTGTGGTCATGAAGACTATCCCCATTTCCCCATAAAATCCTCCCTCCATACTGCTGCATTATGGCACAAAAGACTCTAAGTGCCACCAGACAGGAGGACCAGAGTTTCTGATTATAAACAATGATGCTGGGTAATGTTTAAATGAGAACATTGGATATGGATGGTCAGATGAAAGATACCAAAATGTCAGATGTTTTTCTTCTGTGTCTGTGTTTTAAGATATTTGAACAGTTTGTCAAGACAAGAATAAAAGAAGAATACAAGGAAAAGAAAAGTAAATTGCTGCTAGCCAAAGAACAATTCAAGAAACTTCTAGATGAATCGAAAGTGTCTCCCAGGTGTGGAGAGAGAAATATACTGGATGATTTCTGGGGATGGGAGCTTACCAATGACAAGAGGACTCTTCAGGTTTGTTTTTGTTAAATCGTGTAACCCAGCCTTCCACAGACACGAAAGTCTGAGCTTTGAAGACCTGCCGGTGAGACCAGGCTGACTCCCCTCTATCATGCTGCCTGTCATGAGCCTCCAAATGTCCCTCTCATCAGTCCTGGGAAAGTGGGCTATTTGCTAACCAAATGCATCACAACCATTTTATTCCTACCCTGCATGCATTTCAAATGTCAGCAACCCTGACTGACCCAAATAATCAATCAATACATAAGCACTCATGAGATGAGGTCTAGTTTCTGATCTAATGATCAAGAAGCAAAAATGCAAAGCTAACTACAAACAACAGAGCCATATAACCCCTACCACACCCCTTGGTTCCAGATGTCTTCACAGTTGGTCCCAGAGTAAAATGAAGATTTGACATACTGGACAAGTGAACTGAGTTAACTAGGTTGCCAAAACTTACTAAAATAATAAATGAGGCATTATTTCCATGAAATAAGACACACTTATAAGAAAATAGATGTTAGACATTGGAAGAATATATAAGCTTAATTCTTTCTTAAAAATTAGCTTTAATTGACTGATCTTTAAAAAGTAATGAACATGGACTGGGCGCGGTGGCTCATGCCTGTAATCTCAGCTACTCGGGAGACTGAGGCAGGAGAATGGCGTAAACCCGGGAGGCGGAGCTTGCAGTGAGCCTTGATCGCGCCACTGCACTCCAGCCACAGAGTGAGACTCTGTCTCAAAAAATAAATAAATAAATAAAAAGTAATGAACATGTACTACTTTTAGAACTATAAAACTGTAGGTTTTGTAAACATAAAAATGGTTAACAATGTATTTTTATTTTAGACTGGAAGATGCAACATCAGTTTGTTTGTTTTTTTTTTTTGAGACAGACTTTCGCTCTGTCACCCAGGCTGTAGTGAAATGACACGATCTTGGTTCACTGTAACCTTCACCTCCAGAGTTCAAGCAATTCTCCCTGCTTCAGCCTCCCAAGTAGCTGGGATTACAGGCATGTGCCACCACGCCCAGCTAATTTTTGTATTTTTAATAGAGATGGGTTTTCACCGTGTTAGCCAGGATGGTCTCGATCTCCTGAGCTCGTGATCCACCCGCCTCGGCCTCCCAAAGTGCTGGGATTACAGGCATGAGCCACCGGGCCCGGCCAGCATCAGTTTTTAAATGGACATTAACTGATGCTTTCTATGAAGGCATAGGCCTCCTTTGTTTGACCTGCGATTTGGTTGATCAAGAATTAGGTGACCTAAGTTAATGCTAGTTACACAATCCTCATAAAACTTCTCTAACTATTCTAAGGACAGGTACGTTCCGAATGGGGAAAAAAATAGCATGAATTATCTTCATCACAAGTGCTAATGTAGACAAGTAAATGTGTGTCCCGTTGCTTGCAACTTGTGATTTTCTATGGTTAAAGCAGTCATGAGAATGCTGGGTTCTAGCCATGGCTTAGCTGTGTCCACCCACCAGATGGCCATGGGGCAGAGGCAGAGGAGGCAAGGGCTCAGGAAAGGTGCTGGAGAGCCCCTTCTCTGCCTTAGTTCACAGCCTGGCCCTGGCCCATCTTATCCCGGCCATGGGGTAAGTATCGAACCTTCCTGTGCTTCAGAGCCCTCCTGCAAATGGGAGGATGACCACACACACCTCAGAAAGTGACTAGGAGGATGGCGTGAGGGGCTGCAGAGAGGGACCCCAGTGGTGCCTGGTAGGCAGGAGGAGCTCCGAAAGTGGTAGCTGTCATTACCGCTATTGAGATCGTCATTACTCTTAAAGACATTTGGCCAGCATTCTCTATTGATAAACTAACAGCAATAAGCCACATACTCCCCTTCCCATGAATATATCATGAAGACAACGGAAAAAATATTCGGAATGCATTGAGCCATTTAACGAAGATGACATACACACATACACACACACAGAGGGAAAACGAGGGGTAGAAATTAGAAGGGAGTTAAACTGACTCTTTTTAAAATGAGATTTAATTGCCTGCTATTTTTTAAAATAGATTTTATTGTATATATTTAAACTATACAACATAATGTTATAGGGCACATAGAGATCATAAGATGCTTACTAGAATGTAGCAAATTATTTTAAGATTTACATATTGCTTTTATAATTATAAAGCTATTTTTTTTATTTTAAAAGTAGCTAAGTTTGCAACATTTCAAAAACTTTTTCCACATCTTCTGTCTACTTTTCTGTAGGCATCCCAGTGAAACATGTACAATTCAAATGACCACATGCTGGACAGCCAGGCGCATCCCCATGCAGGCCACGTGGGCCTCTTAGAAGCAGCCTCCTGGGACTGTGTAGCCTCCTGCAGCCATACAATCCCGTCCTGGTCGCCCGTCTCAGCCTCGGTCCTGAGCAGCCTGTGGGAATTGTGGCGAAGGGACAGTCCAGAACACTCCTGGACAGCCCCTAGCCCCAGCCCTGCCCGCCTCTCGGGAGAGCAGCCACCAGGGACTGGGTCCTAGCCAGGTGGGGTTGGCCACCCGGTGGGGTTGACACCTGGTGTTCCTTCCTGAAAGCTGCAGCAGCTACCTCCTTCATGGCAGGCTGGCCCGAGTCCCACTTAGCGGAAGGAGAGCAGAGATCCAGGGCCCGTGAATCAGCTGACCTTCGTGAGTTCACACCACAGCTCATCAGCACCAGCAGAAAGCCGGTACTGCCCCTTGGCATGGCTAAGGGTCCATGGAAGTGGGAGCTCCCTTTCTTTTCAGGGACACTTTTTCTCAGAGAGGCCCAGAATAGGACCTGTCTAGCAGCTGCCCCTGTCCAGCCCCTAACTGAGAATGTGTAGACGCCTGTCTAGCCAGGGGAGCGTGGAACAAGCCCAGGCAAGTCTGACCGTTTGACTCATCCCCCGCAGGTCAGGGGTGGAGTGTGGCTTAGCCACGGCACACCAAGGTTGTTACATCAGTAAAGGAAGGAAGGGGGAAGGACAGAGAGAAGGGAAGAAAGGAACGGGGAGAAAAGGAGGGAGGGAGAGAAGGAAGGAGGAAGGGAAGGCAGGGGAGAGGGCAGGAAGGAGGGGGGGAGGCAGAGGGAAGCCAGAGAGAAGCGCTTTTCTTGCGAGAGATGTGTAAACAAACACCCCCACGGACGGAGAGCAGGAAAACGGCAGCGCCTTGAGGAAGGAATGAGACGAATTGTTCAATGACAGAAATGAGCATGAGTCTGCTAATTTGTCTTGTCTTCTAACAGCCATGTCGGCATAATCTTGTTGTTTGTATATTTCACAAGCTATTAAGTTATAATAATTTAACACAATAATTCAGTGTCTGCAAGGAAGTGTAAAATTCTCTGTAAAGAGAAATGGGAGGGAATAAGAAGAATCCCCCGGACAAAGAATGACCACATTTTCCATGCACCCCGGAGCACATTGCCCAGGCCAGGCCCTGTCCAACTGTTGCTGGACAAGCAAGTGCATCTGCATAGGCCAGCGGCTCCAAGCCTTGGCTCTTCTATCCCTGTCCCTATTCCTGGCTTCAAGTTCAAGGCTAAGAGAACAGGAAGCTGCTTAAGAATAAGTTGCTTAAGAATAAGTTCTCTTCCCCACCCTGGTCTGGATGCTGCCTGGGTCCTCCCCTTCCCTCCTTCCCTTCCCTCACTGCCTGCAGCTGAGCAGCTCTCCCTGGGAGCTTTCTCTGTCCCACACCAGGAGCAGGAGACTCAAAGAGGATTGCGCCCTGCCTCTCCCACTTTCTAGTTTTTCATCCAAAACATGGCTTCTCTGGACATTGAGGTCCAGGGAAGTTTTGGGACTTGCACAGGGTCTCATAGCAACTGAGAGACTGAAGATTAGAACTCACAAACCCCAAGTTTCCGGAAGGAGGAGTCAAACTCTTAGAATCTATTAGAAAGGGCGACTAAGACTGGGCCAGGGAAGGGTGGCCTTGGAAGTGAGAAATGAGACCTGGCACGTTGGCACCCCCACCCCCAATTCACAATACATCCTCTCCAAGGCTGGCTCTCCCCTGTTAAGGCCGCCTGTTTCTCTGCCTCCTCATCTGTAGCCCCTGCAGGGGCCCGTCTAGACCATGTAAGGGAGCACGCTGGCGTCTTCCATCAGGTGCTCCCCTCCCCTCCCTGGTTTTTCAGACTGTATTCTAAAAAAAAAAAAAACAAAAAAAAAAAACCCTAAAATTACTCTGGGTTCCCAGCAGAGCTCATTCCATCTTCTTCGCAGCTTCTTGCACCTCTCACAGCCCGCAACTACACACACACCTATCCTACACCTTTCATAGAATAGGCCTGCTTCCCTCCCTCCCATGCTAGCTCCAGGACTTCCTCCTCCAGGAAGACTTCCATGACTGACATTTCTTCGCCCTGGTTATCCTAATAACAGCACTGGCTAACATTTATTGAGCTCTTCCCATGTACCAGACATTATGCCAAACCCTTTGCAAACATCATCTAAGTGAATCCACACAACAACCCTATGAGGTAGATCTTAACCCTGTTTACAGGTGAGGAAACTAAGTCACAGAAGGGCTAATCAACTGGCTGGGGGTTACATAGCTAGTAAGTGATAGTTTGAACTCTGCTTTGTTGTGGCAAATGCCACAACCCCTTACTCTCTGCCTCCAGCATCCTGCCTCCATCATTTTGGCTGTAGACATCCCCTGCAAATTACCCTGTATCTACACACACACAGAGAAACACGCAGACACACACAGACACACACGCACATACAGACACACATGCACACACCATCTAACCTTTCAAACAAGTCCAGTGGTTATCAGTTATCACAGGCAATCTTAAAGTTATAATTCCCAAGAAAGCAAACAGCAGTCTGAAGTGGGGGTTGCATGGTGTAGCGGCCCCTCCCTCAGCCCTGGTGGCAGTGGGCTATGAAAATGGGTGCTTAGGTGTGACTGCAAGTGCATGAGCCTGACGTCTTTCACAACTAGCTGCGTGAGATACCTTTTCTGGCACCATCTGTTTACTGACACTGCTCAGCCTTGGGGGCCCAGAGTAACTACCCAGATCTTTCTACTCAGGAACAACTCCGGGGATTATCTGCCCAACAAGTTATTTGCTGTCTGTGTATTCCTGTCTGTGCATCATGTGTACATGCAATACAATAGAACAAGAGGTGATCCTTTTGCAGTTAAGAAGCGTGACGATTGGGTTTTCATGCTCACGTGTGAGAAGTGCCTCCCTCAAACCTTGTTATGAAGTCAGCACATTACTGGTCTTTTTTATTTAAAAAAAAAGAAGAAACAAAAAAGAATAGAACAAGAGGCATCATGCCTTCTCATCACCATCAGATTGGATGTCCCACGGCCAGGGGCTCCATCTCCCCCTTGGTCTATTTCCAGAACAGGCCCTAGCCAGGGAGAATGTCGAAACCCCGGTGAGTGTCAATGAGCCTCGCTGAGACCACAGTTTAGGAGGAAACTGTTGAAAAAAGAGAGACATATGAAGGATTGTGAGTATCTGAAGTGTGTCTTCCCAACCTTGATCAAACAGGCCTGGCATTGAGCCCAAAAGTGGTAATAGTTTTTGGACATGAGTATCAAGGCAAAGAATACCAGTTGACTATAAAGATGCCTTTCTGGTCTTCCCTAGAACAAAGATGGAGAGGTGGAAGCACCTACTTCATGAAAGGTATTGGCTAGAAAGAGAAAATCTCACAGCCGTGGAGTGGGGGAAGAGATGTGATGTCATTTTTATTGAGACCAGGTCAAGGAATGTGCAAGAGGACTTGCGGGTACCTTCTGGAGCCCATAGCTCCTGGGCGCCTCCTATGGTTCCGTCTATGGCTCCTTCTAAGGATCTTCGAGTCCTCTCTGGCCTGCTACTTCCTGCATATCCAAGTGTTTTAACATTTTTCATTCTCAACTCTGTGTCAGGAGGATCTAAGTCCCCACCTTCCCTCCCGATCCCCAACCCCCAATTTGCACCAACTGGTTGGGCTCCAAGTCCCCAGAACCAGCCAAGTATTGATCAAGAGTTGCCCTGACAGTCACCTCCCCAAGCACACAGCTCTCTTCCTCCAGCCACAAACAATTCCCTTGAATTCTACACTCACCCACTAGGCTCAATTTCCCTCTGGTGTGGAGAGGCCTGGTAGTTTACCTCCACCTCCACGGAGCACCCACAGGAGGCATGATAATACTAGCCACCATTTCAGAGTCACCCTCGGGTGTCAGGCACTGTGGGGACTTTCACTGAACATATTATCTCATTTAATCCTCTCAGCAACATGCTTCCTCCTCTCCATGTACACATCAAGAACCTGAGGCTTAGAGGTGTTCAGTGAGTGACTCTCAGTAGGTGGCAGAGCTAGGAAGGAACCAAGGTTTGAGTGGCCCAGAGAGAGGCACTGCTGGTTATATCATCAGATGCGAATCTGTGCTGTCCTCAGCAAGGGCTGGGATACATGGGGCAGGGCCAAGGTGGGCACCTCCTAACATCGCTGAAAAGAGAAAGGAGCCCCAAGACTTCCCCACCCTGGCTCTTCTCCATGCCAGCCCTCAACCCCACCTTCAGGTGCCTTTGTGGTAGAGCTGTTCTCCAGAGAGGGCAAAGAAAGAAAATTCCTCCTCTGAGACACCCTCAGGACAACTGTAGATATCCCTCATGCACCATCCTGATGGGACCCCTCCCCAGCCCAGGGCAGGGAACACGGTCCTCTGCTACCTCCTTCCAATATTCCAGACCCCACTGCTAAATTCCCCACATTGCCTCAGGACCCATCGTACTCTTTCTAGCTCCCACTCCCTCTCTTCTCTCCGCCATTCTCAGAAGCATCCCCTGAGTCTTGAGAGAGAGGGGGGCTTTCTCAATCCCCAGGAAGACACAGACCAGCTCAGAAAACCCCACCTCCACTGAACCCAAATGCAGACTTCACAGCTCCCAGGGAATTGTGACAAGTTAGTGGGAAAATCTTCTGCCAGCATGGATGGTAGGATGCTTGAATTCCAAAGGTGACAGTGTACCTCCTACCCCAGGTCCTTCTAGAAAAAGGATCATTAATCAGTCTAGGAAGACTTAACACTGGGAAAGGAAGCTCTGGAAGGCCTTATCTCCCCTGCCCCTTCAACCCAGGCAAGGGACCTTCCTTCAGCTCACCCAGAGAAAGGCTCCACAGAAGTCATATCTAAACTCTTTAGCCACAGGACCCTGTCTTCCAATGAACCAATGTCACATACTCCCAGGATAGAAAACTGCTGAAAGCAGGGCTGGCCTGGGTGTGGGCTGGGGCCGGAGCCTGCCCTGCTTTGCCAGATGCTGAGCACCCAGCCTCTGTGCAGTTGGTAGCTTTATTCCCATGACTGCCTCCGCCGTCACCTGCTGCACTGTGAAGGATTCCATTTGTCCTTCTAGAAGATGGGCATTATTTTTCTCTTCTCACTCCCTTACCTGGCCCACAGCCTGTGCCTTTTGGAGTGGAGGAGGACATCCCAACCTAGGGACAGGGACATTTGGAGAGGAGCCCCATGAAGAGTTGCCATCTGGGACCCTCTGCCTCCCACCAGGACACTGCCAACACTGAGCATCCTTTTAGTTCCACAAATTCTTGCTAGGCCCCTATAAAGATTCGCCCAGCGTCCTCTTCCTCTAAGCTCCCACGTGCTAGAACTCCCACATGCTAGAAGCCATGAGGGGTCTCTCTCAGGCCAGAAGGAGCTCTGGGATCCTAGCCCTCAGCAGAAGGCCCCAGGCTTTCCCACCTGCTCCCAGCTCCTCTGAGGAAGTTGATGGAGCCTGCAGAGCTGGGCTGGAGGAGGTCTCCTTTCCCCAGAGCGGGGCTGGGGGTGCGGGTAGGTGGCCTGGAATGTGCTCTCTCACCCTCCTCCTGCCCATGTGGTAAGCAGCGAGAGCCCCCAGCCCTCCAGCTCTGAGGGGAAGCTCCTGTGAGCCAGACGGACAGGACAGCTGCCCCCAATAGGGTCCCCTTCACGGGCCATCTCACCCCAACTCAGACGCTAAAAATGGTTCTCCGCTTTTCAGCCTCCGCGCCTGCCCACAAATTAGTGTCTCCAACACAGCCTCTTGGGACATGACTTTAGGGAGGCCCCTGGGGGAGCCGGGAGGCCCCAGTAAAGGGAGATGGTGCTGGCAGAGTCCCTTTCTGAGGAGACAAGAGTGGATAAGGCCCCCCTCCCAGCTTCTGGGACCCCCCCCCCAAAGAAGGCCACCCAGCCTCAGTGTGACAGCCCTGTTGTCCTCACCATGGCAGAAGAACAGACATTATTTCCACCCCACTGGGGCACGCTCCCCTCACCTCCACCTCCAGTTCTGTCAGCTTTACCCTCAGCCACCATCCTGGGCACTGCTCTGCTGGAAGAGAATGCAGCAACAGGAGATGGGGGAGCCAGCCCCGCGCCCTCCCGCTTAGGGTCCAGAACCCACCTTGCCAAACCTGGGCTCCCGCAGTCAGCCCACAAGCACGGAGGCCAATGGGGAAGCCAAGTCAGGGAAGCCTGGTCTCCCTGCTCGCCTGATATTTAGTCTCAGACTCTTCTCCCCTCCCCAGTCCCGCAACGGTCAACTTGGAAGGGGGTGAACCCTCTCCGGGATGCCCACGCCCCAGGGCACCAAGCAAGCAGGTGTCCTGCTGAGGCCAGGACTGGGTGCAAGCCAGCAGCCCGCAGTACCAGGTGGAGACAGGCGGGCAGTACTCACAGGTAAGCCGTCAGGGGATCCAGGTCCCCCGGTATGGCGGACAGCCCAAGCTCAAGAGCAGTCGGCAGACAGCATGATGCCGTCCTCCTGGCAGTGGCAGGGGGCCGGGCAGGCGGTAGGCCCCGGGCCGGGCTGGGGGGCGCAGCCGGCGCTCGGGGAGGCGCACACAGCGGCGCGAAGTCACAGCGCCCGGAGCCTGGGCGGGTTGGGCATCTCGGCGGCCGGGCTGCTGGGTCACCTGGCGGCCAGGCGCGCAGACGCACGGGCGCGGTGTCCGCAGCTGCTTTCTCCCGGTCCCGGCGGGCTGCGCCGTCGGTGGGGACCGCCCCGGGGGCTCTACTGGGCGTCGGCGGCGGGGCGGTGCAGTCAGAGAGGAGCAGGCATTGTTGAGTGATCTTCGTTATTCAGTTTCACAGGCTGGGCTTGGCAAGGGAGGGAGACCCAGCCGGAGGAGGAGTCAAGGAAACTTTCTACGCTGCGGCTAGCTCCCTTCCCTCCTTCCTTCGGAGCTGGCAGGAATTTCATTCAGGAAAGATAAAAAAAGGAAAAAAGCAAAGAAACCCAAGCGAGCAAAGCTCAGCCCGTCAGAGACCTGCACTTGTTTAGAAAGGGTGTCCCAGGGCCTTGGCTGCAGGGCTGGGGACCCTCTTGCCTTTGGGGATAGCCACGGGGTCACATGGGACCCAGAGGAGATCTCTGAAAGAGGCCTTGGGGCTCTCATAGCCCCTCATGCCTTCACCACGTTTCACACTGGAGGAAACAGAGACCCAAGAGGAGAAATGATTTGTTCAAGGTGACACAGCTGATAGGGCATCCCCAGAGCTGGAACTCGTCAGCCCTCCTCGGCCTTATCCTAGGACAAGAGAGAGGGGAGTGAGGGGCTACCCTGGAAGAGGCCAGGCTGCGGAGGGTTCCACTGCAAGCTGGGATGACCCGGCAGTGGGCAACCAGGAGCAGTCTCCTCCCTGAGAGGTCGCGCCTTGACTCCAAAGAAACGGGTGTGGAGTTCCACTCGCTGAGTGCACCCTGGGTGGAAATGCACTCCTGCAGCCTCTGTCAGGTTTACTGTCAGGTTTACGGGGACCACCTTGATCCCTGCTCCCAGGACCTCGGCAGGCTGAGGGACTGCGTGCAGCTCAGCTGCTTGTCAAGAGGCCACCTCAAAGTAAGCAGATTGGCGCCACCTGGAGGCCGGGTGCTGCACCTGCAGCTCGGCCACCCTGAGGCTGGAATCCCACCAACTGGCTGACCTGGCCGGCCCCAGAGCCCTGGTGAGCAAAGGGCACGGTGGTTAAAACTGAGGCCAATCCCTGTTCTCTCCTTAGACCATAGTGAGCTGGCTGTGCTTCCTTCACGCAGCCTCTTGCTGTCTCTGGTCTCTCCCATGCTGAGCCAAGCCCCAGTGCAGAGCTAGAGCAGGCTGTGGGCACCCCTCCTTCCTTTTTTGCCCTGTCTCCCCATGGTCCAGCCAGAGGGTATACCAGAAACCTGGGACCTCAGAGGCATCCAGGATTTCTTCCACCCTGTCCTTCCACATGCCAGAATCCTCTCATCAACACCTCTCCACTCTCCGATAACCTCCCAGGGCTAGAGGGGCTGCATAGCCGGACCAAGAAATGAGCAGACCCTGACCCTAGGCCTCCCGTTGGTGCCATGGCGCTGAAAGTAGAAGATGAGCCTCCTAAGAAGGCTAGAGGATGGGCCTACATGACCAGAAAGACTCACAGATAGAGCCACCTTTGCCCTATGGCAGAAAGCTACCACAGGCCAGCCTGCACTTCCTTCACTCAACCATAGCCTTGGCTCCATCTCATTTGCAGCTCCTGCTGCTCCAATGTGAGATTTTCCCAGAGTGGAAAAGCCATGGTTGAGCCCTGTTGCAACCTCAGCAGCAGCTGCTTGAGACAGACTTGGGCAGCTCAGAGCAGAGCCTCCAGCCTGCTTTTGTGAGGGTCATTAGGGGGCCCACCCTCAGCTCCTGATAAACATGGCATATGGAGGACACCGGCATTTAGTCCTCCTGGGAGGGCACCAGTGCTTTAGTCTCGTTCTGGGAAAGCTCCCGGCTGAGCAGCCAGCACGACCTCTGTACCCTTCTTCAACCAGGCCTGAGAAGGACCCTCCTGACTTCTGACCCGTTGCACCTTAGTAGGAACTCAGGTTGGCCAAAGAGCTCTCCCCGCTTCCCCTTGGGGAGACCCGACTCCATTTCAGGGACTCTTGCTCTGATCTTTCCAGGCTTTCTCTGTGTCCTCCCAGGGCCTTCCACCAGGGGCAGTTAGTGTCCAGCATCAGGCACTGCACCTGGAAACTCCCAGCCTGACCAGGGAAGCAGGCAGGAGCTCATGTGGCCACCAGCAATCATGCACATGGTATGCAGTGCAGTCCTACAGTGTGTGGGACAGACAGCTGCCTCCCCACCCTCTTTTCTGGTCTCTGCTGCTCCTCCTGGTTTTTCCTTTCTCCATATGCCTTCCCTGCTTTCTCCCCCACCTCTTATGTAGAGGGGAGGAAGAAGGAGACAGAGAAGGAGCAGGGAAAACTTGGCACCTCCGCCTGAGGGGTGCCTCCAGCACCTGCCTTCCGAGTAACAGGGTAGCTCTGGCACCTCCATCCTGGTGGGGGCTGAGGGTGGCCCCTGGGGGCTCTGGCAGGTAGAGAAGGCTGGGGATGGCAGGAGAAGGGAAGTGGGAAACAGGATAAACCCTACTGCATACAGCATGGTGCGTACAGGGTGATGAGGCAGAGGACAAACAATTTGGAGCTGTGATTCTGAATCCAGGGCTTAGCACCACAGGAAACTAGACGTGGAGAGACCAAAGTCTGAGGAAATTTAGAAACTGGAGGATTAGCAGGGAGAGGATTGCTTCAGGGGAAAAACCAACAGCATAGGGGCCATAGGTCACCAAGTTCAACCAGACTCCAGGTCCTAGCTTCCATCCCGGCTCCATGTTTGCCCACGAGACCCACACGCTGGGCCCAGGCCTGAGGATGGACAGACAGAACACACTGAGCTTCAGGCTTGGCCACAGGTCTTTATTCCAAGACCCTGTACCTTCCCAGCACAGGGCCCAGTGGAGGCCGCCCTTCCAGGGAGCCCAGGCCCACGTGGATGTGTCAGGAATGCTGTCCCCATCCCACAGGGCACAAACCTCTCCTGCACCGTGACCAGTGCTGACTCAGGGCAGCCCGTCTGCCAGCGCGCTGTTCAGACAGTTGTAGAGGTAGACATACTGCTTCTGGAGATGGACATAGGGTTAGGAGGCTCGCCCCGCCTGCCCCAATCTAACAGAAAAAGGCTCCCTTGTGTCCCCCAACCCCTAGGGCTCCATCTGGGAGAACGCACAGCGGTCCACAGCGCCACCTGGTGGCTACCCGGGTGGTGCTGCCTAGAGGCCTGGGCAGAAGCTCCCTCATCCCCCCGCCCCTTCCCACAGCTGAGCCCCCACGCCAGCCCGGTCGCCCCTGGTCGCCTCTCACCAGTGTTGGGGTCATAAGGCCACAGGCCTGAGACTGCTGCAGGGCCACGTTAAAGATATCCACGGTGCACTCAGACCCTGCCTGCTGCAGCAGCTGCTCCATGGCCAGGAAGGTGCCCAGCTGGGTTGCACCCTTGCTGCAACTGACCTAGAGGTGGATGAGGTACCTAAAGGGGGTGTGGCGGGGGTGTCCACGGATGTGGGAAAACCCAACCTGGGCGCAGGGACTGAGAAGGGACACCGGACACTTGGTCAGCCGGCCAGCCTGGACCTAGGGAGGGAGGCGGTAAATTCCCACCATATTCCTGAGGACAGGGTAGGGTGTGGAGAAGACAGGGGCATTGTGAGACTGTGTCCTTTTGACCCATAACCCAAGCAGAGCCCAGGGAGATCTGAGGCTATGCCAGAAGGGCAGGGAGGGGCTTCCAGTGTCCGCTCCCCCAAGACCATTGTCCACTCCCCCAAGACCATTGTCCAACAACACTTGGAGTGGCTGAGCAGTGTGCCCGGCTTCTTGTTGTTGCCCCGAGAGCAGCACTGGCCCACAGCAGCCAGGAAGGGCAGCAGGGTGGTGGCGGGCAGCTCATGCCCAGGCTCCAGGTATGGAAATTGCAGTCTCTGCACCTCCCTTTCCTTCCTGCTCTCCCCCTGTGGCAAAGACATGATCAGCATTGGTGCTGGAGAGGGCAGAGGAAGCCCACACAGGACTCTTCCCCATGCACCACCCCATGCCCTGTGGCCCCAGCACCTACATGTGTGACCCTGAGGAGGGTACAGAACCAGCCTGCTGTGCTGCTCTCAGCCACCCAGTGCACCGTCACCATGTCTGTGACTACGGGCTGCATCTCCGTTGGCCAGAATTCCTATGGCTGGGACCAAGTTAGGGCTGCTCAGGCAACTTCCTGAGATCTCTGCCCCTGCCCTGGTCACAGACAGCACCACAAACTACCCGCCTCCATCCTCACCCCTAACTCCTGAGCCTCCCTTCCTCTGTCCTCTGCTCTGTCACCTTCTCCATGACATTGGGTGGGCAAAGAGAGACAAGCACATGAGCCCTGTGCTGCCACACCAGCTCCCAGAGCTCCTTTGGCCCTGCGGGGCCAGTCAGCACCGTATGATCACGGCCAGAGGGCCCACCCTGCAGAGCACAGATCATTGGCTTCCAGAGACTGAAGGTGCCCCCTGCCCAGTCCACAACTCTGGGAGCCCCCAGCAGCCCCAGCCCGGGAAGTACAGGTGGTCAGAGAGGGCAGGAAACAGTGGCAAAACCAGCATCATCTCACAGGGAAGAGCCAGGCTTCGGGCATGTCGTCAGGGGGGCTCTCCTCCACCGGAGAAAACTGCCCCTGAGAACGGTCATCTGAGGGAAGACAGTGAGGGTGAAGCTGCCAGAGGTCCCCAGCCCACGCTGGCCCCCTGCCCCTCCACAGGGTCCACAGTGAGACTCACAGGAGACGGGGCTGTCCTGCTCATAGCCAGGCGGGGGTGCGGAAAAGCCAGCCTCGTCCTTGATGGCCTACAGCAAGAGCTGGGAAGGAGATGGGTGCCCTGAGGCTGGGAGGTCTCACTGCAGGGTTGGCTCAGCAGCGGAAGGCTGCCCTTGGCTGTCACCCACTTCCCGGCCTGAAGTGTACCTCGTACTCCTTCAAGAAGCCAGCATTGGCACTGGCTGCCCTCTTGGCACACGCCTGCGGGAGGTCCGTCACAGAGATGGGCCAAGACCTGGTGGGGGGGTTGGAGAGGGAGAAGGCACTCAAGGTTCCCCAGCTCCCCGTTCTAGTCCGCTCAGCTCTGCCCACGAACAGGAGCAGGGAGCCTGCCTGTGGGAGGCACAGGGAAGCTGGGACTTACTCAGAGATGTTGAAGGGTCCTTCCAGAATCTTGTTCAGTAGGCAGCTGTGCAGGAAGACGTACTGGCTCTGCCAGGGGAAAAGGCATCAGGCTGCTCAGCGAGGAGCGAGGGGGGCCTGCAGGGAGATTTTTCAGGCCCTGACCAGCAAGGCAGGGATCAGGTAGGAGGGCAGAGGGAGCCACTGAGAAACCTTCCCTCCACCGTCCCATGGTGTCAAAGCTGACAGGATCCTGTCCCACCTCCCCTTTCACAGAATAGAAAGCACAGCCCAGGTAGGATGGTGATGTGTCTGAAACCCTCTCCCCAAGGTCTTCTGTGTGCCCCATGAGCTCTCTTTCCTGGTCCCTCCTGTAGCCCTGTGGCCACCCACCTCCCTCCCACTCCTTCAGGGTCCCAGCTGCCCAGCCCAGCCTGCAGGGCCCTCACCAGGGTCTGGATCATGAGGGGCTGGTGCATCCGGAGTGCATACACAGCATGGAACACGTCTACCATCTGCTCCTCCTCCAGCTGCTGCAGCAGCCTCGACAGGGCCACGAAGGTGCCTGTCCGGCCCATGCCCACACCGCAGGGACAGCCCCTGAGGAGCTGAATGGGTGAAGAGGCTGCCCATGTCCCCAGCTCTCCCCACAGTCCAAGAGCCCTCCATGCCCCCAGGCCAGGCAGGGGGCTCTCCACCCTATGCACTCACCTGCTGTCACCTGCAGTGCACCAGGATGGGTCCCACGCCCTGGGTGGCCCTTGCCTGCTACTGTACCAGCTCCATAAAGGCGAGCAGGGAGCTGGGAGCCTCAAGGATGCTGTGGTCGGATCAGGTGGTGAACTGCAGTTGCTCCACCCTCCGTTGATGTTGCTGGACAACCTAAGAAGGGGGTGGGAAGGGGACAAGGGGGCAGAGGGGCCCTGCTGCTGCTCCTTATCTTCCTAACTCCAGGTTCCCATGGCCCAGATCTCACACTTTCTTCCCCAGCTGCCTAAGGGCAGGGATGATGCAGACCAACTGTTCCTTGAGGGTGGCAGCTATGTCTCCCCCATCAGGATGCTTCCTGAGCCCTCAGGTCCTTCTCTAGCCTCCTGGGTAACCTCTGCATATAGAGGGTGCCTGGGCAGAGAAGTGATTCGGGTCTCTGGCTTTCCTGCCCCAGGGGTGCACAATCTGGGAAGGAAGATGGGCACAGGGGGCATGGGGTGAGGCAAGAGCCCTGAGCTGGCATGGGGGAGGTCAGGAACCATCATGTCTCTCCTGTTCTTCCTTTCCCTCACTGTGCAGCCTCAGATAAACCCTTAATCTTCTCTGTGCCTCTCTACCCCTTCCCTAACACACTCTTCCCTGGGTGGTGACTGAGTACTTGTGGTCCTCCGAAAGAGAGGGCTCCAGGGACCCAGGAAGTGAGGCAACCTTCTCAGGGGTCTCAGCTCTAATGCCTGTCCCATCCCCTCATCCTTGGGGCACGCACGTGCTGCAGCTGGAATTCCCGCTTGGTCCACTCATCCTCAGGCTCCTCAGCTAGGAGGTGGATGGTGATGTGACCATGGGTGTCCGGGGTAGAGTCGGTCAGCCAGTAATGCTCACACAGCACCTGGGACCAGAAGGTTGGAGAGGGGAAGGGCGGCTGTGGGCCCAGCCCTATCACTGCCGCCCCCTGCTTTACTCAGTCCCACCCCTCCCTGCCCACCTTTCTGGTCCCTGCCACCCTGCTGGGATTCTGCTCTCTGTAATGACCCAGCTCCAAGGCTTCCTCCTCCAGGAGCTGCTCTCCCTTGCCTGGGCTCCGGCACCCTTGCCCTCAGACCTCTCATGACTCTCAGGATTCTGAGTCAGCCACAAGGTTCCTGTGCCAAACAGAACAGCCCTTATTCCGCGGCCAGCGGCCCTGGGCTCACTGCTCCAGCAAGAGGACAGACTCGGCAGCCTCTCTGCATGTCCTAGGGCCCTGCATCTGCCAGGCTTATCGAAAGGAAGGATCCCTGATGGTACCTTTGACACCGGCCCTGGGCAGTCCCTACCCCTTGATGCCTTCTCTGCCCAGGGCAAGAAGCCCGTAGAAACAAAGCCAAGCTGGGAGTTTACATACCTGTTTCCTCCCACTGCCTCCCCATCCCAGGTCTGGGTGGGAGGTGGGTCCACTACCCTCCAGGCCTGATTGGCCTCACTCCAGTCTGCCCCGCCTTCCCACGGGAAGATGCCAACGGGGCCATCCCCACAAGGAGAACGTGCGCCACCTGGTGGCCTTTCTAGGAGCCTGCAAGGCGCACTCACCCTCCCGTTCTCCATGCTGATGGTCGGCATGATGATGATGCGGACCTGCTGCTCCCGCACCAGCCGCCAGAAGTTCTCCAGTGTTTTCTTGAGAGGCCCCTGAGAGGCAATGAACTCCTGTGGGCGGGTGTAGCCCTGGGGTGTAGGAGGCAGAGATCAGGAACATGGTTAACGGGCAATGCTTGGTGTCAAGCACACAGCAGATTTCCAACATTTGACCTCCAGGAGTGAGGATGCTGTGCACACACCTACATGTGTGCACACACAAGAACACGTGTGCACCCAGAATGCAAACCAGAAGGGCTGACTTCAGAGACATCACCCCCGTCCCTGTCCCACCCCAAAGGGACAAGAAAAACCCCAATGAAAACAAGATACTGACATGAGTTAAATAGCCCATCTAGGCCACCCTCTTCACCCACCCAGAGTTACCTTCCTAAAACCAAACTGCGTTTCTTCCATGCTCAAAAATCTTCTATGGCTCCCAATTGCCCACCAAATAGAGTCCAAAGCCCTCAGCCTAACAATCAAGCCCTCCTTCATTCAGCCCATTCAGCCCCAGGCTATCTTTCCCATTACATCTCCCACCACCCAGCACCTCCCCACTCCCTCACCCCTACGCACCCCCCACCACACACACACACACACACACACACACACACACACACACACACACTCTCACACACTGCCTGAACGTTACTGCCTGGCTGTTCTCTGGCTGCTTCTTCCAGTCAACAGAATGTCCTTCCCTCTTTCATCACTTATCAAAATGTTACTCATCCTTCAATAAATCAAATGTCCCCTCCTCTGGGAAGCCTTTCTTGATTCCTCAGGTGGATGAAATTTCCCCTTCCTCCATGTGCCCTGAGTAGTGTTTTTTCCTCTATTACAGCCCTTGTCACAGTGTGTGGTGAATGTCACACACATGCCTACATGCTCCTTTGAAGGTGGGGAATGTGGCTAACAGCTCTGCCTCCTGCAGGCCCAGCACAGAGCCCAGCACACAGTAGACCCTTGCTAGACACCTGCTGGATTGAGCTCATGAAGCCCAAGCTGGTGATCTCCTAGAGAGCTGTTACAGCTAATGAAGGCAAGTGTGGCCTGCAAACCAGCCCATCTCCCGAGCAGATCCCAGATCCCATGGACAGCCTCACCGGTGGCCCTTACTGGGACCAAGTTGGCATTGATGTAGTCAGAATGAGGCTCTCCCTCCAGCTGGGTCAGCCTGACCCTGGAGTGGTCATCTGCAGAGAGTGAAAGCTGTGCATTCAGGGTTGGGCACATGAAGCCCCCTGCTCCCATGCCAAGCCCTAGCCCTCTGCCATGCCTCCTTTCCTGCCCCCAGCACTCACAGGGTAGCACATGTGGTTAACAGTTCTTGGTGGTGTTGGCAGGGTACTCAGCCTCCAGTCTGGGCTGCTCCTTGCTCACCTCCTTCAGCTCCTGCAGGGATCAAGGGCAGGCACTGGTTGCTGAAGTAGACCGATCTCACCCCATGCCAGGAAAGGGGCAGTGGGGGCAAGTGTGCAACTGGGAGTTCCCTCCAGACCTTCAGACAGGTCCCAGTCTTCCCTCCTCTGAGCTCACGGGTGGTAAAGGCCTCACCTCGAATTTCAAAAAGAAAGCCTGGTGCGCATGAGCACTCTTGGCCTCATAGTTCTGCCTGAGGCCACAACGACCACAGGCTTATGTAACAACACTCAATCCCATTTCAATTACTGAAAGCCTTCTCAAAAAGGATGGATACAAACACTCCAGACTACAAAGATTGAAATAAATACCTAACTCTTCAATGCTCAGATATCATTGAACATCCACAAGAATCAAGAGCATCCAGGAAAACATGATCTCACCAAATGGACTAAATAAGGCACCAGTGACCAATTCTGGAGTGATTAAATTATATGACCACTCAGACAGAGAATTCAAAATACCCATCTTGAGGAAGCCCAACAACTTCAAGATAACACAGACTAGGAATTCAGAATTCTATCAGATTAATTTAATGAAGAATTAACATTTAAAAATCAAGCAGAGGCCAGGCACAGTGGTGCACGCCTGTAATCCCATCACTTTGGGAGGCTAAGGTGGGCGGATTACTTGAGGTCAGGAGTTCCACACCAGCCTGGCCAACATGGGGTTTAGTAGAAACCCTATCTCTACTAAAAATACAAAAAATTAGCTGGGTGTGGTGGTGCATGCCTGTAGTCCCAGCTACTCAGAATGCTGAGACAGGAGAATTGCTTGAACCTGGGAGGCAGAGGTTGAAGTGAGCTGAGATTGCACCATTGCACGCCAGCCTGGGCAACAGAGTGAGAATCTAGCAGAAATTCTGGGGCTTAGAAACTCAATTGACAATCTGAAAAATGAATCATAATCTCTCAACAGTAGAATTGATCAAGTGGCAGAATGAATCAGTAGATTAAAAGACAGGTTATATGAAAGCACACAGTCCAAGGAGAAAAAAGCAAAAATAAATAAAAGAGAAGGAAGCACTATTACAAGATCTAGAAAATAAACTCAAAAGGGCAAGTCTAGTAACTACTGGTCTTAAATAGGACGTAGATGGAGAGACTGGGGTAGAAAGTTTATTCAAATAAACAATAACAGAGAACCTTCCAAACTTAGAGAAAGACATGAATACCTAGGAACATGAAGATCAAGAATACTTAGAATATTCAAGCCAAATAAAATTACCTCAAAGTATACAATAAGCAAACTCTCAAAGGTCAAAGATAAAGAAAGGATCCTAAAAGCAGCAAGAGAAAAGAAGCAAATAACATAAAAAGGAGCTCCAACACACTTGGCAGCAGACTTCTCAGTGGTAACCTTACCAGCCTGAGGAAATAGAATGACATTCAAAGTATCAAAGGAAGAAAAACTTTGGACTAGAATATTATACCCAGCAAAATTATCCTTCAACATAAGAAGAAATAAAGACTTTCTCAGACAACAAAAGCTAAGGGATTTTGTCAACACCAGACCTGTTTTACAAGAAGTTCTTCAATATGAAAGAAAAGGGCATTAATGAGTAACAAGAAAGCAACTGAAGATATAAAACACACTGGTAAACTTAAGTACACAGACAAATACAGAATAGCCTAATACTGTAATTGCATTATTTAAACCACTCATATCATTAGTAGGAAGACTAAAAGACAAATCTATCAAAAACAATAATGACGGCCAGGTGTGGTGGCTCACACCTGTAATCCCAGCACTCTGGGAGGCTGAGGTGGGTGGATCACGAGGTCAGGAGATCAAGACCATCCTGGCTAACACGGTGAAACCCCATCTCTACTAAAAATACAAAAAATTAGGCGGGCATGGTGGTGGGTGCCTGTAGTCCCAGCTATATGGGAGGCCGAGGCAGGAGAATGGCGTTAACCCAGGAGGTGGAGCCTGTAGTGAGCCGAGATCATGCCACTGCACTCCAGCCTGGGTGACAGAGTGAGACTCCATCTCAAAAAAGAAAAAAAAATGATAATAATAATGACAACATGGGAGGCGAGGTGGGTGGGTCACTTGAGGTCAGGAGTTTGAGGTGAGCCTGCCCAATATGGCAAAACCCCATCTGTACTAAAAATACAAAAATTAGCCAGGCATGGTGTTGCACACCTGTAATCCCCACTACTCAGGAGGCTGAGGCATGAGAATCGCTGGAACCCAGGAGGCGGAGGTTGCGGTGAGCTGAGATCAGACCACTGAACTCCAGCCTGAGCGACAGAGTGAGACTTGACCTCAAACTAATAATAATAAAAACGACAGTTTCTTAAGAGATAGATGATATAAAAAGATATAATTAGAGAAACCCTCCCCCCAAAAAAAGGCAAAAAAACAGCCATTGAGGCAAGGGAAGATGGAGTAACACTGTAGAGTTTTTTTTTTTTGAGTTTTCTCTTTGCTTGTTTGCTTTTTTTCCTTTTTTCTACTCAGTGTTAAGTTTTCATCAGTTTAAAATAACTAGTTATAAGCTGTTACTAGCAACCCTTATAATAACCACAAAGCAAAGACCTAGAATAGATACACAAGAAATAAAAAACAAGAAATTAAAACATATTACCAGGGAAAATCACTTAAAAGGAAGACAGAAAGGAAGTAAGAAAGGAAGAGGACCAACAAAACAACCAGAAAAAATTAACAGAATGGCAGCAGTAAGTTCTTACCTATCAATAATTACATTGAATGTCAATGTACTAAGTTCTACAAATTAAAAGACATAGAGTGGCTGAATAAATTTTTAAAAGACACAATTATATGCTGCCTACAAGAAACTCTCTTCACCTATAAAGACACACATAGACTGAAAATGCAGGGATGGAAAAAGACATTCCATGCAAATGAAACACCCCCAAAAAGAGCAGGAATAGCTATATGTATTTCAGATAAAATAGATTTTTAAGTCAAAACCTGTGAAAAGAGACAAGGAAGGTCATTATATGATGATAAAGGGGTCAATTCAACAAGAGGTTATAATAATTGTAAACATTAATGTACCCAGTGCTGGAACACCCAGATAGATAAAGCAAATACTATTAGGATTAAAGAGAGAGAGTTCCCAATACAATAACAGCTGGGGACTTTGACACTCCACTTTCAGCATTGCATAGAAAATCTAGACAGACAATCATCAACAACAACAACAACAAAAACCCTTATCAGACTTAATCTGCATGATAGACCAAATGGACCTAATAGACATTTACAGAATAGTTAATTCAACAGCCACAGAATACACATTATTCTCCTCAGCACATGAAATATTTTCAGAGACAGACCATATGTTATGCCACAAATCTTAACAAAGTTTTAAAAATTCAAATAATAGCAAGTAATTTTTCTGATCACAATGGAATACAACTAAAAATCAATAACAAGCAGAACTTTGGAAAGTAGAGATATTGGCCGGGCACTCACACCTATAATCCCAGCACTTTGGGAGTGTGAGGTGGGTGCATCACTTGAGGTCAGGAGTTTGAGACCATCCTGGCCAACATGGTGAAACCTCGTCTCTACTAAAAATACAAAAATTAGCTGGACATGGTGACATGTGCCTGTAATCCCAGCTACTCAGGAGGCTGAGGCAGGAAAATCGCTTGAACCTGGGAGGCAGAGGTTGCAGTGACCCAAGATTGACCCCCTGCACTCCAGCCTGGGCACCAGAGGGAGACTCCATCTCAAAACAAAAAAAAAAAATAGAATCACATGGAAATTTGACAACATGCTTCTGAACAACCACTGGGTCAATGAAGAAATTAAGAAGAAAATTTAAAAATTTCTTGAAAGAAATGGAAATGAAAACACAACAGAACGAAACCTATGGTATACAACAAAAGCAGTGCTAAGATAAAAGTTTATTAGAATAAATGCTTACATCAAAAAAGTAGAAAACTTCAATTAAACAACCTAACAATGCATCTAAAAAGCTAGAAAAGCATGGCCGGGTGTGGTGGCTCATGCCTGTCATTCCAAAACTTTGGGAGGCCAAGGCGGGTGGATTGCTTGAGCTGAGGAGTTTGAGACCAGCCTGGGCAACATGGTGAAACTCCATCTCTACAAAAAATAGCCAAGCATGGTGGTGCACACCTGTAGTCTCAGCTACTTGGGAGGCTGAGGTGGGAGGATTGCTTGAGCCTGGGAGGCGGAGGTTGCAGTGAACGGAGATTGTGCCACTGCACTCCAGGCTGGGTGACAGAGTGAAACCCTGTCAAAGAACTAGAAAAGTAAGAGCAAACCAAACCCAAAATTAGAAGAAAAGAAATAATAAAGATCAAGCAGAAATAAATAAAATTGAGACAAATAATATACAAGATAAAAAAGTTGGAGTTTTGAAAAGAAAAACAAAATCTACAAACTTTTAGCCAGATTAAGAAAAAAAGGAGAGAAGAACCAAATAAATAAAATCAGAGAGAAACAGGAGACATTACAAATAAACCCCAGAAATTCAACGATCACTAGAGGCATAAGCTCTATGCCAATAAATTGAGAAGCATATAAAAAATGGATAAATTCTTAGACACATACAACCTACAAAGATTGAACCATGAAGAAATCCACAACTCAAATAGACCCGTAACAAGTAACAAGATTGAAGCCTATAATAAAAAAAGTCTCCTATCAAAGGAAAGCCCAGGATCTGATAACTTCACTGCTGAATTCTACCAAACATTTAAAGACGATCTAATACCAGTCCTATTCAAACTATTCCAAAAAATCAAAGAGGAGGGAATGCTTTCAGATTCATTCTAAGAGGCCAATATTACCCTGATAACAAAACCAGAAAAAGACACAACAAAAAGGCTGACCCAGTGGTTCGCACTTGTAATTCCAGCACTTTGGGAGGCTTAGGCAGGAGGATTACTTTTGGTCAGGAGTTTGAGACCAGCCTAGGCAACATAGCAAGACCCTGTCTCTACAAAAAAAAAAAAAAAAAATTTAGCTGGCTGTGGTGACATATGTCTATAGTTCGAGATACTCAGGGGTCTGACACAGGGAAAACTGCTTATGTCCAGAAGTTTGACATTTTTGAGGTTACAGTGAGCTATGATCATGCCACCGTACTCCAGCCTGGGTGACAAAGCAAGACTCGTCTCAAAAAAAAAAAAAATCAAAATGGTAAATTTTAGGTATATTTTACCATAATAAAAATAAAGGAAGTTAGTTGGACTACAAAAAAATAAATTTCCTTCAATACAGAATACGGGAGGAGTTCATAGTGTTGAGATAATGGGAAGGAAAATACCAAGAAGTAAGAGGTTGATAATATGGCCCAAGTCAAGATAAATACTCACAACATATTGCCAATAAGAAAAGGCATTGCAATTCTCCCACTGACATAGAAGGAATACTGACATAGAAGAAAATGACCTAATATGATGACCTTTTACCAGTGATATGGTTTGGCTCTGTGTCCCCATCCAAATCTCTTGTTGAATTGTAACCCCTAATGTTGGGAGAGGGATGTGGTGGGAGGTCATCGGATCATGGGGGTGGATTTCCCCCTTGCTGTTCTCGTGATAGTGAGTTCTCACGAGATCTGGTTGTTTGAAAGTGTGTAGCACTTCCCTCTTCGCTTTCTCTCTCCCGTCACCATGTGAAGATGTGCTTGCTTCCCCTTCACCTTCGGCCATGATTGTAAATTTCCTGAGCCCTCCCCAGCCATGCCTCCTGTACAGCCTGTGGAAATGAGTCAATTAAACATTTTTAAATAAACTGTCCAGTCTCAGGTAGTTTTTTGTTTTTTGTTTTTTTGTTTTGAGACAGGGTCTCTCTCTGTTGCCCAGGATGGAATGCAGTGGTGCAATCTCGGCTCACTGCAACCTCCGCCTCCTAGGTTCAAGTGATTCTCATTCCTCAGCCTCCGGAGTAGCTGGGACTACAGGCACACACCACCACATCCAGCTAATTTTTTGTATTTTAGTAGAGACAGGGTTTCACCATGCTGCCCAGGCTGGTCTCGAACTCCTGAACTCAGACAATCCGCCTGCCTCGGCCTCCCAAAATGGTGGGATTACAGGCGTGAGCCACTGCACCCAGCCTCAGGTAGTTCTTTACAGCAATGTGAGAACAGACTAATACAACCAGCAAGAGAAAAACCTAAAGTAAAACAGCAAAAAGTGCAACCAACATTTATACATAAGGATTATATACAATGTGTAACAATAGTAAAGTGTTAAATTCTAAAAGATGGCTTTAGATTTGTGGATAGACTTTTGTTTGTTTCATTTCAGATCATGACCTTGAGCTGCATGACAGTCTTTTTTATTTTTGAAATTTTCTGTAGAGATGGGATCTTGCTACGTTGCCCAGGCTGGTCTTGAACTCCTGGGCTCAAGTGATCCTCTCCCCTTGGCCTCTCAAAGCGCTGGGATTACAGGCATAAACCATGCCACCCAGCCCCGCTTCTTCTAATGAGGTAGCTGTCATTTACATTCTCATTTAATAGAGCAAAGTGCTGCCTCATTCAGCAGAGCTTTTCACGGGAGGTCTGATGAGCAAGAAGAACAGGCTTGTGAGAGCAAATAACTAAGACCATAAGCAGAGGCCTGAGGTGGAGCTTCCAGCACAGACTGAGCAACTCAGGCCCTCCTCAGACAGGCCACCTGCACATGAGTATCTAAGAGGGGACCAGAAGACCCCTATGACGGCACCCACCCTGGAGCAGCATTCAGGGAGAACTGGAAGGGCTTTATGGGGCTAAAGAATTGATGGGCAATTGGAGTGGGTTGTGGGAAAGTATTAAATTGTGTGAGCTTTGCCTTCAAGAACATGTTTTATCTTTAGCTGATGGCGACACTGCTAGAAGTAAATAAGCTCTTCTCATGAACCAAAATTCCCAGTGGCACTATGGAGTCCTGGTTAAGTTGACAGGTCTCTGGCTGAGGGAATACAGAATCCACTTTTAGTAGAAACAGGGTTTCACCACGTTGGCCAGGATGGTTTCAATCTCTTGACCTCATGATCTGCCAGCCTTGACCTCCCAAAGTGCTGGGATTATAGGTGTGAGCCACTGTGCCCAGCCTACAATAGGTTTTTAATTTCAGTTTCTGACACTTATTAAAAATAAACTTTTGTATCTTTAGATTTATAAAAAAAAATGCAAATACAGCTGATATACTCACACGCAGTTTACCTGATCACTAACATCTTACATATTATAGTTTATTGATCTCATTTTGTTAGTGCATATATTGTTTTCCTGATTTTGTGTGTTCTTTGTAGCTCACTGAACATCTTTAAGATGATTACTTTGAATTCTTTGTCAGACAACTCATAGATCTCCATCATTTTTTTTTTTCCTTTTTTTTTTTTTTTGACACATGGTCTTAATGTGTCACCCGGGCTGGAGTACAGTGGCATAATCATGGCTCATTGCAGCTCGACCTGCCAGGCTCATGTTATCCAAATGCCTTGGTCTTGCAAGTAAGTAGTGGGGACTACAGGCACATGCTACCACATCCAGCTAATTGTATTTTATTATTTTATTATTTATTTTGTTATTTTTTCTAGAGACAGGGTCTATGTTGCCCAGGCTGGTCTTTGACTCCTAGGCTCAAGTGATCCTCCCTCCTCAGTCTCCCAAACTACTGGGATTAGAGGTGTTGAGCCACTTTGCCTGGTGATCTCCATTTCTTTAGGGTTAATGTCTAGAGATTTGTTCCTTTGATAGGGCCATGTTTCCCTGTTTCATGGTATGCCTTGTGATTTTTTTTTTTTTTTTTTGAGACAGAGTTTCACTCTTGTCCCCAAGGCTGGGGTGCAATGGTGCAATCTTGGCTCACTGCAACCTCCGCCTCCTGGGTTCAAGAGATTCTCTTGCCTCAGCCTCCCGAGTAGCTGGGATTATAGGCGCCCTCCACCACATCCAGCTAATTTTTGTATTTTTAGTACAGACGGGGTTTCACCATGTTGGCCAGGCTGGTCTCGAACTCCTGACCTCAGGTGATCTGCCCGCCTCGGCCTCCCAAAGTGTTGGGATTATAGGCATGAGCCACCACACCCAGCCGTTTTTTTTTTGTTTTTTTTGTTTTTTTTTTTAAAGACAGGGTCTGGGCTGGGGTGCAGTGGCTTCATCACAGCTCACTGCAGCCTCAAACTCCTGGGCTCAGGCAATTCTCCTGCTTCAGCCTCCCCAGTAGCTGGGATAACAGGCATGCACCACCACAGCTGGCTAATTTTTTAAATTATTTGTAAAGATGAGGTCTCTCTGTGTTGCCCAGGCTGGCCTTGAACTCCTGGATTCAAGTGATCCTCCTGCCTTGGTCTCCCAAAGTGCTGGGATTACCCACACACGAGTGTCCCTTTGAACAGACGCTTACTGAAAAAAAAATTGTTCCTAAACCAGAAGAGGAGTTTGCAAAGAATGAAAGGATATCTCAGAAGAGACCAAAGAAACAGAAGGTTATGGCCAGGGAAGAAATTCAGCATAAAATAAATGCAAATAAAAATTAAAAATATGTGTACCCAGATATTACCAAGAAGTTATAGAAAATCAATACCTGAATGAGAACTAATACTCCTGAAGACAGTTAATAAATCAAATACTTGGAAACACTGAGGTAAGTATAATTGCATCCTCAGAGGAGCAAGTGATGTTGTTTTATATGCGTTACATTCAGTTTTTCTCCCCCCGGTTTTCCTACTGCCCCCCCAACCAGGTCATCATCTCCACCACTCCACCAAAACTGCTCTCACTGAGGTCATCTGAGATGCCCGCATTGCTAAAGGCGTGGTCAGTTCTTTGTCTACCTCTTGGCCTTTTAGCACTGCTCAACCAGATGGCCACTCCATTGTCCCAGAGCTCTCTCCTCGTTTTCTTTTCTTTTCTTTTTTTTAATCATTAATAACTTTATTTAAATATTCCAAAGATCCCAACCCCATTCAAAAATAAAAATTGTAAAGCACTCCATTCAATAAAAGCACAGAAGTCCCCCTCAATAATTAGTATGACAATTCACGATACAGCTCTTACTCTGGGAGAGTTTATTTTGCCCTTTATTCCAAAAGGTACAAAATCATCTGCGGCCTCAGATATTAACCCCATTCCATGCTAATGTCACACCACTAAGGTGCAACTCAGTGTAATTATTAAAGCTTATAACACACTTCCCCAAGAATTTATAGATTCTTTCTATAAATAATAATTTAAAAAACAGTGAACCTTAAGACCAATACATGCTTAACAAGAGACCTGAAATTTCTGCAAGGACACTTTTGTTTCTTGATAGAAGTATGACTTTTCAAAGTCTATTCCCAGCAACAGAAACACCAGACCCAGCTTGGCCAAATAAACAAAGTAAAACGAGTGATTTCTAACATGCTAAAAGAATACGTTTTCATCAGCTCCACAAGAAAGCAGTCCTGGTCATTCAGAAGGCTCCTATCATCCCACCAGTCTGCAGTCGTTAGAAATATATGCTTTACAGGCCACAGGCTGTTCTGGATTTGGTTTCAGACACCAGTGACCAGAAGAGGCCAGTTTTGCATGTGAGGGGTGTGGGCCCTCGCTGCCTTGGGCCTGCTCACTGGGGTGGGTGGACCCCTGCCGGGTCACAGCCTGCTGTCACGTCCGGACTGTTGGCCTCTTCTGCGTCCAGGCTGTTGGGCTCTCCTGCTCTCTGTCCCTCAGTCACCTCTCCTGGTTTTCCTCAGACCTTCCCAATGTTCCCATTCAGTCCCATTGGCTGGCCGTGCCCGGGTGCTCAGGCTTGAGCCTCTTCTCTCCCCATTCCTTCCTTAGGTGATCTCATCTGGAGTCTTTAAGTTCTCACCGTAACCTAGCACAGGCCTGGCTGCTTGCAGCTTGTACAGCCAGTAACAAGGATGAAGTACAGGGATAGGAAAGTGATTGTATTCGAGCTAGCAGTGGGAAAGTAGTCAGTTTACACCTCCAGAAACAGCTTCAAACTTTAGGCTGGGAAGAGGGGATTCAAAGCAGCACCTTGGAATGGGAGGCATGCTGGCGCAGTGCTGAGTATAAAGCCTGTGTGTCCTGTTACCACTGTAACAGGAGCTGTAGTCCACCTGGGGCCCCGGCTGGCATCATCTCAACATCTCATATGTTGCTGGTGGGAATGCAAAATGATGCAGCCACTCTGGAAAATAGTTTGGGCATTTTTTATAAAACTACCCTGTGATCCACCAATGGCAATCCTGGGCAAGTATCCCAGAAAAATGAAAATTGATGTTCACACAAAAATCTGTACACAAATGTTGATAGCATCTTTTATTCATGACAGCCTAAAACTGCAAACTACCCAAATGTCCTTCAGCACATGAATAGCTAAACAAACTGTGGTACACTCATACTATGGAATGCCACATGGCCATCAAAAGGAACAAACTAGTATTCCATGCAGCTTCCTGGATGAATCTGTAGGGAATTATGCTCAATGAAAAAAGTTAATCCCGAAAGGTCTCTTATTGTATGATTCCATTTACATAACATTCTAGAAACCCAGAACTATAGAAATGAAGAGAAGGTTAGTGGATGACATGGACCAACGAATAAAGGCAGGGAGAGGAAGGGAACTTGGTGTAGTGGTAAAAAGACAACACGAGAGATCCTTGTGGTAAATGAATGATTCTGTATCTTGACTGTCAATGTCAATATCCTGGTTGTGATATTGTACTATAGTTTTGCAAGATGTTAACACTGGGGAAAACTGGATATTGATGACATTGAAGGTAAAGAGTACATGTGCTATTTCTGAATTATTTCTTACAACTGCATATGAATCTAAAAATATCTCGGAATAAATAATTTTTAAAGCAATATTGTATTGGTATGGTACAAACAAATAGACTAATGGAATCAAATATAGACTCCAGATATAAATCCTATTAGGTTTGTTTCCCCAGAAGCAGACCACAAAACAAGGATTTGTGTAAAAGTAATTTATTAGTGAGCATTCTCAAGAAAAAAATGATAAAAGAGAGGGGAGTTGGGATGAGGAAGGGAAGGCTACTGGAGTGAGTTGAATGGTGGATCTCAAAAAGGCATGCCTATGTCCTAATCTCCATGTGATGGTTAGTTTTAGGTGTCAACTTGACTGGGCTAAGGGATTCTCACATAGCTGGTAATATTTATTTCTGGGTGCGTCTGTAAGGGTGTTTCCAGAAGAGATTAGCATTTGCATTCATAGACTAAATAAAGCAGATTGCCTTCACTAATGTGGGTGGGCATGATACAATCCATGGAAAGTTTGAGTAGAACAAAAAAGCAGAGGAAGGGTACATTTCATTCTGTGTAAGCTGGGACATCCATGTTCTCCTGCCCCTGGACTTTGGTCCTCCTGGTTCTTAAACCTTTGGGCGAGGACTGAATTACACCACTGATGTTCCTGGTTCTTCAATTTGCAGATGGCAGATTGTGTGACTTCTCAACTTCCATAATCATGTGAGCCTTTTTTTTTTTTTTTTGAGACAAAGTCTCGCTCTTGTCCCCCAGTCTGGGGTGCAGTGGCATAATCTCGGTGCACTGCAACTTCCGCCTCCCGGGTTCAAGCGATTCTGCTGCCTTAGCCTCCCAAGTAGCTGGGATTACAGGTGCGTACCACCATGCCCAGCTAATTTTTTGTATTTTAAGTAGAGACGGGGTTTCACTATGTTGGCTAGGCTGGTCTCGAACTCCTGACCTCAGGTGATACACCCGCCTCAGCCTCCCAAAGTGCTGGGATTACAGGCATGAGCCACTGCGCCTGGCCAAGCCAATCATTATAATAAATCTCCTCTTATGTAGAGATCTATATATGTTTTATTTATCCTGTTTCCCTGGAGAGCCCTATTATACCCCAGAGCATGTCAATGTGACCTTATTTGGTGGAAGGGTCCTAACAGATGTAATGAAGGATCTCAAGATGAGATCATCCTGAATTATCCAGGTGGGCCCTAAATCTAATGAGAAGTGACTTTATAAGAGACACAGAGGAGAGACACATACAGGAAGAGATGGCCATGAAAAGATTAAGGTAGAAATTACAGTGATGCTGCCACAAGCCAAGAATTCCTGGAGCCACCAGGACCTGGAAGGGGAAAGAATGATTCTCTCCTAGAGCCTTCAGAAAGAGAGTGGCTCTGTCAATACCATGATGTTGGACTTCTGATCTCCAGACTTTGGAGAAAAAAATTTTGTCTGTTTTAAGCCACATAGTTTGTGGCAATTTGTTATGGGAGCCCTAGAAAACTAATACAGATTTTGGTACCAGGAAGTGGGTGCTACTTTAATAAATACCTCAAATTGTGGAAGTGACTTTGGAACTGAGTAATAAATAGAGGTTGGATGGTTTTTGAGGTACTTGAGAGAAAAGTCATAGAATTTCTTGAAGAGACTGTTAGTGGAGTTATGGATTTTAAAGGCAATTCTGGTGAGGGAACAGAAGGAAGTGAAGAGCATGGTAGAGAATTCTTCCATCATCTTAGAAATGTATATCTCATCATGAGCAGAGTGTTAGTAGAAATACAGATGTTAAAAGTGGTTTATGTTGAAGGCTAAGAAGGAAATGAGGAACATGTTACTGGAAACTGAAGGCAAAGTGATCCTTGTGACACAGTGGCAAATAACTTGGATGAATTGTGTCCTTAGGTGGACAGCAGAATTTGTAGGCAATGAACTTGGATATTTAGCTGAGGAGATTTCTAAGCAAAGTGTTGAAGATGCAGCCTGGTTTCTTCATGCTGTTTGTAATGAAACAGAAAAGGAAATAAGCAAATTGAGGAAGGAGCTGTTAAGCAAAAAGAAACAACACTTGATGATTGGGAGCTTCTCGGCCTATTCAGATTGCAAAAGATGCTAAAATTGGGAAACTCACTGTTGGGAAAGTGTACTCTGGATACAGGGCCGAGGGTGTGCCTAGACAATATTGTGCTGAAGAGATCTGCTATACAACTGATGGATCCCTCAATTATCTCACGGATCCAAGGATAGATCCAGCGTTATCCAGGAAAGATCTGTGGGGGTTCTTTTATCTAATGGCATGGATCCCTGTGACATACATGGGAGCCTCAAAAGTTCTTGAGAAGGTTGTACCAGAAGAAACACTGTCAGCTTGGCCTGAAGGGGCTGAGACAGGACAAAGTGAAAGAGAGGCTGTCAGATATGCACAATTCTTCAGGCAAGAAGAGGACTGATAGAACTACTCAGGTATCAGCATGTGCTGCCCTTCAAGAAAAAGGAAGAATCACTATGAGGACAGGGTCATGGGCACAGGGGTAGAGGCTGAATGTTCAAGAGCAGAGACCTACCAAGTTGCCATGAGCAAAGAGGCCTATGAAGCCATGAGCCCAAAAGACACAGCTTCAAGCCACAGAGGATTATTCCCAGACCTTGAAACCAAATGACTTTGCCTTGTTGGATTTCTAACTTGCTTGGGATTGATGACCCTTTTATTCCTTCTAATTTCTCTGCTTTGCAGTGAGATTGTCTATCATATACGTGGCCCACCTTTGTGTTTTCGAAGCAGGTAACTTCTTTTCTAGTCTCACTAGTCAATAGATGCAGAGGAATTTTGCCCTTGCATAGCTCATACCCATAGACTCACCTACACCTGATTATTTATATGTGAATATTTGAGACTCTTTGAATTAATTTTTATGATATTTAGGTGAGAGTTAAGACTTTTGGAGATGTTGAGACGGAATGAATGTATTTTGCACATGAGGCAGATGTGAATTTGGAAGGCCAGAGGTTGGACTATAGTAGGTTAAATGGTAGAGCCCAAAAAGACATGTTAACATTCGAATCAGGGAATAGAACCTGGGAACATGGCCTATTTGGAAAAAGGTTCTTTACAGATGTAACTAAGTTAAGGCTCTCGCTGGAAGAGGCAAAAAAAGTCTTCTCCCCCCAGAGCCTTTGGAGGGAGTATAGCCCTGTCAACACCTTAATTTTGTACATCTGGCCTCCAGAAATGTGACAGAATAAATTTCTGCTGTTTCAAGGCACCCAGTTTGTGATCGTGTGTTACAGCAGCCCTAGGAAACTGATACAGAGGCCAAGCAAAAGTTCCAAATCAAGCAAAGTCCCACGGTGTATTCCTTCCAGTTATCCCAAAATATAACAATCCCAAAACAGTGGCTTAGAACAATAACAATCGTTTATTTTTGCCCACACATTTGGGTGTCATCTGGGCTTAGCTAGGCATACCTCACTCAGGGTCTCTCAGTGGTGGTAACCAGATGGTGGCTGGAACTGGAGCCACCTCGAAGGTGTCGTCCCTCACACGTCTGGTACCTGGACTAGTAAGACTCAAACAGCCAGGGACTGGGGCAGCTGGGGCCCCTTAGTCATCTCTTTCCCCTTCTATGTGGTTCTCACATGATCTTTCTACATGGCAGCTGTATTCTCTTATAGAAGCTGCCACAAAGATATGCCTTTTGATGAGTGTGTAAAAGAATTTGCAGATAGTACCATTGACTCAGAATTGCAGAGAGTATGGTGAAGTTCACCCCTCAGAGTTGTCTTGCTAAGTAGGGCAAGGAAGCTGCAATATTTATATCCCAGCTACCATCAGTAATCCACACTGGTAAGTACTGCCCAGGAGAAGATACATTCTCAGATACTTCCAACTCTCCAGGAGAGCAGGAAACGTGGGAATGGCAGCCTTCAAGGGGGTCCTCTGAGAAATGCAGGCGTGGCTGCTGGAAGGAAAGCACCCGGGGGAGGAAATGCACGCAAGCACAGGACTGTGAGCAGAGCACTGACACGGACTCCATATCGCCAGCTTATGTGGAAATGTAGCACATAGTGTAGCGGCATCATTATCTGGGGTAATACCTGAGGTTCATTGTCCCACAGCCATGGAAAACTAGGACGCGACACACCACAGTGAGGTTAAGAGCAGAAGTTTAATAGGCAAACGAAAGAGAAGAGCTATCTGTGCAGAGAAAGGGGTCCCAGAGAAAATGGGTTGCCAGTTCTGCGGTGAAACGCACAGGGTTTTATAGATGAGCTTGAGGAAGTGGCGTTTGATTTACGTAGGGAATGAAAGACTGGTTGGACCAGGTGTGCCATTTGCATAGTGCATGAAGAAGCTGGCCTTCCCACCCTAATATTTTATTCTGCAGATGGCTTCTCTACCTGACTGATGCCATGTTGCCTGTTCCTTCACTGTACACGTGGTGACAAAGAAAATGGAAGATGGAGTCTCCATATTGAACATACCTGGCTTCCAGGTAGTCTTTTTCTATCGGCACAACTGCCAGCATTCTCCCGTGCACTGCCAGCTTGCTTATCTATGTTTGTAGCTCAATTTTTCAGGCTGCTCTTTGCAAAAAAGAAATAATTTTGGGGTTGCTTTTTGTTCAGAAAGAAGCTCTGCTGAGGACTCTCTTACCTTCACTATCTGCCTAAATAATTTCTTTTTGGCTCCTGTATCAATAGCACTGGTACCATTTCAGAATTCTGGGGAAAGTCAGGGTTACTCAAATAAATGGCACTCAAAAAATTGTTATTCCTTTAGAAAAAAACATAATTAAGTCCCTTAACTCTCATTATCCAAAAATATAGTTTCCAGAGTAAAGAGCTAATTGCAAATAACAACAAACTGCTGCAAGAATGGTTGGAAACCATAGATGTGGTGAAGAAGGCCTTTCTAAGCAATATGCAGATCCAGAGGCAAAAAACAGACTGAAGCACTACATAAAATTTAAAATTAAAGTATGATGAAAGAGCAGAAACAACTAGGCGGCAACTGAGCAAAAATATTTTTCACATATGAAACAGAAAAATATAAGATATTCAGAATGTATAGAGTTCCTACAAATCCATAAGAAGGCAAAAATAACCAATAGAAAAATGGATTAAGAATATGAATTGGCGATTCATACAGTCTATAAATGCCAATAAACATATAAGAAGCTGCACAACCTCATGAGTAACCAGAAGCATCAATAATAAAGGATAGTGAGGTATCATTTTATCTCCATTAAACTGGCAAATTTTTTTAAAAGATTGATAATATCCATCATGGACTAGAGCATAGAAAAACTTCCAAATTATTTTAATTGGTTGAGCCATTTTGGCAGTACTTATCAAAATTAATAACGTGCATAGTCTTCAGATATATCCCATGTTGAAAAAACTGGTCAGAAAAACTCCAACATGCACAGAAAGATATACACACAAGGAACATCGACAGTTATGGCAGCATTATTTGTAATAGGGGAAAGGTGGGAACAACATAAGTATTCACCAATAGGGAAACGTTTACATAAAATGGAACGATGAATATACATAAATTATTCCATGGAAGTCTTCAGCCATTAAATATGAGATATATTAGGAAAAAAATGCTAGAAAAAAAATTTAAAAAAAGTTGTAGAAAAGTCTTGTCCCTATGATCTCAATTATATTTAAGAAATCCAATCCAATTAAGTATGTGCGCGTGCATACTGTTTGCATATGCATTGGAAGGCTCTAAAAGGTTCTTTACCAAACTGCTATATGATTTAATACCTGCAAAGCCTTGGCCTATGTCTGACAAAACAGGAAGTGCTATATGGGTTGGCTATTTTTGTGTATAATTATGCATTTCTTAATGATAATGCATTGCTGGATTACTTATGCTACTAAACGTAAACGTATTGGCCAGGCGCGGTGGCTCACGCCTCTAATCCCAGCACTTTGGGAGGCCGAGGCAGGCGGATCACCTGAGGTCAGGAGTTTGAGACCAGCCTGACCAACATGGAGAAACCCCGTCTCTACTAAAAATACAAAATTAGCCAGGCGTGGTAGCCCACGCCTGTAATCCCGGCTACTCGGGAGGCTGGGGCAGGAGAATCGCTTGAACCCGGGAGGCGGAGGTTGCGGTGAACCGAGATCACGCCATTGCACTACAGCCTGGGCAACAAAAGCGAAACTCCGTCTCAAAAAAAAAAAAATAAAGTAAACGTATTGCAATCATTTTAACTCTCTGCGCCCAGCTGATGACCAAGTGTAAGGCCCGTTCATTACTACTTTCTCCATCCTGAATCCAGCAGGGAGGGTAATAGGACACAAGGTAAACAATTCTTGGAAAAACTGCGGCATCCCACCTGACCCCGTCCAGCCTCCTGTCAACCAGTGCGCAAGTGCGAGTAGGCGGTGCCCAGCGCTCCGCCGCCCCGCCCTCTGCGGAGGTGATAACGACACTGAGCAGCGACGCGCACTTTTGGGACGCGCTTGTGACCCGCCTTCCGGAAGGAAGCGGCTAACTATGGCGACCGCCACGGAGCAGTGGGTTCTGGTGGAGATGGTACAGGCGCTTTACGAGGTGGGCTCCGCGCCATTAGCGGTCCGCGACCACACCCGGGCCCGGGGAGGGTGGGAGGACGCGTGTGGATTTGTGGCCTGAGACCTCGGCGGGACTGGCTCGGTCACGCCCAGACTCGGTGCCTCTTGCTGGAAGGACTGCCGGGAGCTTCTAGTCCCAGCGGTTGAGTGTAGGGAGGAACGGGCGGGGGCGGGGGCTGGGACTGAGGGTCTCGGTTTGAATTCTTATGCTCCGGGTCCCCTGGAAGCTCCGGAAAGGAACACGTGTAAGGGGACGCAGGAGACAGGTCTGCAAAAACCAGAGTTTAGACGGACGATAAAACGGAGTGGTGAAAATGAGTGGAACACCTTCGTCTGGGAAGGTCCTAAGGAAGTCAGCTCTTTGGAACTACGGTACAGTTCGTTGGGGAATAAAATTGTAATAAATTGGAGTTTGTTTTTGTCGAAAAGAAATCAAGTGACTTAGGATTTGTGAATAAAAAATAGTTTGTCATTCTTCTGCGTACATCAGTTTTCTGTCTTATAAAGATACAACTAGTTTAGTCGATTTTTATTTATTTATTTTTGTTTTTTTTTTTTGAGACGGTGTTTCGCACTTGTTGCTCAAGCTGGAGTGCAAGGGCGTGATCTCGGCTCACTACAACCTCCGCCTCCCGGGTTTAAGCGATTCTCCTGCCTCAGCTTCCCAGGTAGCTGAGATTACAGGCATGTGCCACCATGCCCGGCCAATTTTGTATTTTTATTAGAGACGGGGTTTCTGCATGTTGGTCAGGCTGGTCTCGAACTCCCGACCTCAGGTGATCCGCCCGCCTTGGCCTCCCAAAGTGCTGGGATTATAGGCTTGAGCCACTGCACCTGGCCGTAGACTTTTAAAGGAAGAATAGTTAAGAGTTTTTTGAAGCCTAGTTATTTCAGATACATAAGATAATAAGAAACCAGAATGTCAATCTTAGTGTTCATTCATTTAATAACTGAGAGTCCCCGTGCTGTCTTGCAGAGCTATTCATTGGGCACTGAAGAACTTATTTTATTTTATTTTATTTTTTAAAGACAGGGTTTCACTCTGTCGCCCAGGCTAGAGTGCAGTGGTGCGATCAGCTCACTGCTGCGTTGACCTCCCAGACTCAAGCGATCCTCCCACCTCAGACTCCCGAGTAGCTGGGACCACATACCACCATGCCCAACTAATCTTTTTTTTTTTTTAATAGAGACGGGGGCTTGCTGTGTTGCCCAGCCTGGCCTCGAACTCCTGGCCTCAAGTAATCCTCCTGCTTTGGCCTCCCAAAGTGCTGGGATTACAGGCATGAGCTACCACACCCAGCTGCAACTGAATTTTTAATTTAACTTAAATAGCCACGTGTAACTTAGTGACTGTCCACATTGGACCACACAGATCTAGATGCTAGGGATAGTGCGGTGAACAAATAGGCAGAAGTCCCTGTGCTTAAAGAGCTTACATTCATTTCAAGTGAATTTCACTTTACTTTTGATGATTTAATATCACCAAACTTAATATCACCGTCTACTGGTAGGGGTAATGACAGTGTCTTCCATTGCAGGACATACTGGGAATTTTATCTTGAAACAGCAGAGACAGCAGATGTGGCTCTGTCTTATGCTCATGTATTAAGTGATGCCCAGTATTAGGTTAACTGTAGTGACCTAAAATGAGCCACTAAAATTGAATGATCTTTTTTATAAATGATTTTTTAAAGAAATGGATTATTTTCTGTTAAATGTTGTTTGCTCCCTTTTTGAAGACTGACAGTAGTGTAACTTCTCATTCCCCGAAACTGTCCAACAGTGAGACTTGGGAGAACTCCTGTATGTAACATTTCCTGGGAAGGAAAAGAAGTGGTGTTTGTGATTTTTATTAATTCACTAGAGAGAGAGTTTCTCAGCTTTTCTTAGGGTGATTTCTTTTTGGAGTGGGCTCTTAACTAGTGGCTGGGGCAGATGTTTGCTTGCTAGAATCCAACTATTGAGAAAACTAAAAGGGTATTTAGACTTATTCATAAATGAATTGTATTTAGGGGGATGAGCAAATTTTAAAATTCATCATAAACTTCTTACTCCCAAATCCTATGCGTGTTGAATGTAGAATTTGAGTAGTCTTGTATAGTGTACCCAAAAAAGAACCACTGAAATTAAATAATCCGATGGTTAATATTGGGATTCTGTGTTAGATTTTATTTATTTATTTATTTGAGACGGAGTTTTGCTCCTGTTGCCCAGGCTGGAGTGCAGTGGTGTGATCTCGGCTCACCACAACCTCCACCTCCTGGGTTCAAGCGATTCTCCTGCCTCAGCCTCCCAAGTAGCTGGGATTACAGGTATGCGCCACCAGACCCAGCTAATTTTGTATTTTTAATAGAGACAGGGTTTCTCCATGTTGGTCAGGCTGGTCTCAAACTCCCGCCCTCAGGTGATCTGCCCACCTTGGCCTCCCAAAGTGCTGGGATTACAAGTATGAGCCACCACGCCTGGCCTAGATTTTATTTTTTTAATTTTAATTTTTATTCCCAAAGAAGTTTTAAAAGCTAAAAATATTAGGGGTTTTTCATGTGAGGGAGAAATTGCCTGCTATTAGAAATGGGGAAAGGAATGAATAGAAATTAAGGGAGCTTCGAAAGTAAATTGTTAAGAATAGGCTAAAAGTCACAGGAGGCAGTATATGCAGGTGTAGTAAATTTTATGTGCAGGTGTTAGAAGTGTATGTTTCATATCTTACTTGTTTTTGACTCACTCTTAGGCTCCTGCTTACCATCTTATTTTGGAAGGGATTCTGATCCTCTGGATAATCAGACTTCTTTTCTCTAAGACTTACAAATTACAAGAACGATCTGATCTTACAGTCAAGGTACGAAATTAAATCTCTGTTTTAATTATTGGGTATGTGATTATAGTTGCTATGTCTTTCCAGAAAGGATTTGTGGTGGCTCAACCATGTGTGTTAAAGCATTTTCTGTAATGTAAGGAAATCAAGGGGAATGAATTATTAGGGTAGGCAAAATATGGGGAAATCTAGAAATAAAGTCAGTACCCAAATGAAGACCATATTATGGTCTTGGATACTTTGCTAGGAGTAAACAGCAGTCTTGCAAATAGATGGTTAGAGGGAAGCATGGGCAACTACTGGAGTTTGAATATTCATAAGTGTTGTGTGAGTTGCTGCAGAATAGCACAACTATTTCTGAAGTATGGGATAAAGATTCCCCTGTGGTCTTCTTAAAGGAGAGTCAGAGTAGAAAAGAATCCTACTCATACCCATCTCAAATTGAATTTTTATGTGTATGGTAAATCAAAAAAGAATTCTGAGCATAGAAGTTAAATTTTCATAAATTGTCAAGTCACCCACAAAACTACATGGAAAAGAACCTCTAGCTCTAGTGATAAGGAAAGAGGCGAGGGTGGTTAGTGCACAAAACTCACAAGTGATTGTTTTTATTCTAGCCACAACGAGACATGGTATTTCTAGCAGTGTATTCACTGTGACTTTTGCATTGCAGCAGACAATTTTGATATTGCCGAAGTTGAAGTAAAGTGACTGCGCCTGAAAAGCTTCAGGGGGTTTGAATAAGGATAGCTATAATAACAAGTGCTATGTGGCTTACGGAGGAATGAGTGATAAGTGATTTTAAATCAGTTTGTCTTAGACAAATAGAGCTTGTTATAACTATTCCTCATAAGGATAGTATGAGGAAGGGGTAGGATATATATTCTATTAGGGGGCTGAGGATGAGGGTAAGTCATATGATACCGTAGCCTCCTAACTACTGAGCTGGCAATAGAGACTTCTATGTGGGCTTTAGGGAGTCATAGGTGAAGTTCGTATAGGGGTATTTTTACTATAAAAGCCATAATACATGCTAGTCATATAAGGTTGTTAGATCAGAAGTTTAATAGTTCTTGATTAGTAAACATTATTATTAGGATATTTAGTGAACCTGAGCTATTTCAGGTGTGGATGAGTGTAATAAGTAAGGGAAGGGATCCTACTAGTGTGTAAAATAAGTATGAGCTTGCATTAGGCATTCTGGTTGGTTACCTCAGCAGGTAATAATGATTAGGGTAGGGATGAGTGTAGCTTCGAAAAGAATGTAAAGTATGACTAGTTCTGTGGCTGTAAATGCTGTAATTTAAAAAAGTTGTAGGAAAATTAATTTGGAAATACGGAGTTTTTTTCCATAAGGGTGATTCATTAGATAGGTGATGTTGGCCTGCTAGGATTATAAGAGGTAGTAGTCAGGCTGTTTGGATTAGAAGAGGTGATGTTAATGCGTCAGAAGAAAAAGTTAATGAGAAGTTAGATGAATTATTGTTTGGTTGATTAAAAAATAATAGGGTAATGAGGCTGATGAATAGGCTATGAGTAGCTATATTCAGACTATAGAGTTTTTGGAGAGTTATATTGTAACAGTATAATTGTTGGAATAATAATTTTTGGCATTGGAGTAAATTTAGATTTTGTACATAGTCTAGGCCTTATGCGTTGGAGATTGAGACTAGGAAAGCAAGGCCTACTGCGGCTTTGCAGGCAGCAAATACTAAGAGGATAATGGGTATTATGAATCCTAGAGTGAAATGCATGTTTAAAATTATGAGTGTATTTATGATAAATATTGATAGTATGATGCCTTCTAGGCATAATAGAGATGGTATTAGGTGGGATCGATAGATTAGTACTCCCAGCAGTGCTATGGTATATGCTAATATAATGTTAATATAAATAAATGGCATTTGGTAAATATGGTCTATCATAATCTAATGAGTCGAAATCATTTAATTTAAACTATTTACCAGTTCAACTCAATCTAATCCTTTTTGGGTTCATTCATAAATTAGGCCTAGGATTAGAATGGTAATTAGTAGAAGGGTTGTACTGATTATTAGTATAAGGTTATTTGTTTGAAGGGCTCATGGCAGGGGTAGGAATAGGACGATTTCTAATCGAATAGGAGAAATGTGATGGCTACTAGAAAGAATTTTATGGAGAAGAGGAGGTGGGTAGAGGTTAATGGATCAAATCTACATTCATAAAGGCTGGATTTTTCTATGTAAGTATTAAGTTATGCAAGTCAAAATGTAATTACTACTAATAATAGAGTTAATAAAGTGTCAGTTATTAGGGCTAGTGCTAGGTTAATTACTCTTTTTCAGACTTTGTCGAAACTAGTTGATTGGAAGTCAGTGGTACTGCTTATACTAAAAGAGTAGTAGGACCCTCACCAGTAGATAGAGACACATGGGAATAGTCATACGACATCTACAAAGTGTCAATATCAAGTGGCGTCTTTAAAGCCAAAATGGTGGTTGGATGTAAAATGAATTTTTTTTTTTTGAGACAGAGTTTCGCTCTTGTTGCCCAGGCTGGAGTGCAATGGCGCAATCTTGCCTCACCGCAGCCTCCGCCTCCCAGGTTCAAGCGATTCTCCTGCCTCAGCCTTCCCGAGTAGCTGGGATTATAGGCATGTGCCACCACGCCCAGCAAATTTTGTATTTGTATTAGAGACGGGGTTTCTCCATGTTGGTCAGGCTGGTCTCGAACTCCCGACCTCAGGTGATGTGCCCACCTCGGCCTCCCAAAGTGCTGGGATTACAGGGATGAGCCACCATGCCCGGCCTAAAATGAAATTTTAATTGGCAGAGAAGGCAGATGGTGAGAATTGTTGATCCAATAGTAACATGAAGTCCATGAAAGCCTGTGACTATAAAGAATGTTGAGCTGTAGATTCCATCAGAGATAATAAAGGGGGCCTCGAAATATTCTGAGATTTGTGGAAGGGTGAAATAGACTCCTAAGAGGATTGTGGTAAGTAGTGCTTGAATTGTTTGTTTTTGGTTACCTTCTGTTAGGCTGTGATGGGCTCAAGTCACTGAAACTCCTGATGCAAGTAATATAGACGTATTTAGGAGAGGTGCTTCTGAAGGGTTCAGGGGAAGAATAGCTGTTGGGGGTCAATGTCCTCCTAATTCTGGGGTTGGTGCTAAACTGGAGTGATAGCATGCCCAGAAAAAACCGGCGAAGAAGGATACTTCTGAGATAATAGGAGCATCCTGTATCGGAGGCCTTTTTGGACAATTGCTGTGTGGTGGCCTTGGAATGTACTTTCTCGGACAATATCACGTCATCATTGATATATAGTCAGTGTGTTGGTTAGTAGGCCTAAAGTTAAAAGAGTGGTAGAATTAAAGTGAAATCCTATGGTTAGGCCAGATGTTATTAGGAGAGCCGAGAGAGCTCCTGTTAGTGGTCAAGGGCTAGGTACAACTCTATGGTAGGCATGTGTCTGGTGGGTCATTATGTATTATGCGAACAAAGACGTACTAATAGTGTGAAGACATAAGCTTGAATAAGAGTGACAGCGAACTTGAGAATAGTTAGTAGAATTAGAATAATAAGAAATACTGAAGTTGCAGAGACACTAATAATTGATAATATTAGCACTGCACTGTATTTTAATTCTTTTTCTCCTGTAGGAAAAAGAAGAACTGATTGAAGAGTGGCAACCAGAACCTCTTGTTCCTCCTGTCCCAAAAGACCATCCTGCTCTCAACTACAACATCGTTTCAGGGTAAATTGATTTTGCTACCTGAAGTACTTGTATTTGGCTTCTTGTAGTAACCTGCAGTCTATAGTGCTTTATATGTAGTAGTCCTTTTTTTATCTGAAACAAAACATTTTGAAGTTCCCAGGAGTAACAGCTTTAGCTCCTGATTTTAAAAAATTTATTCTAGGGATGATACAGGCATTTTTTAAAATCTCCAATTTAAGCATTAATGTTTGCCCTTTTTTCCAAGAATGCACACATGTTAATATTTCCAATGGTCGAACACTTAAAATGAAAAGCAACAGACTTCTGCTTTTTACCCATCTGGTTATTTTCTGATTTTAAATTTGTCGCACGTTACCCTCATAATTCTAGATACTGTATAGTATGCTTAACTACCATTTGTTGATTCATCAACTACAGACAACACCTGTTGATCCCCACAATATGAATTATGGAGCTTCCGCTCACTTATGCCTCTTTCCTCCTTGCTTCCAGTGTCTCATCTATTTTTTACTTTTCATTCTCTTGGCTATCTTTGCTATATTGTATGTATTTTCATTAATTAAGAAATACAGTAAGAATATAGAAAGTTATCAGATATAGATATAGATATCAGACACCTATATACCTACCACCCAGAATTAATTGGTGTTAACATTTTGCTATTTTTAATTCAAACTTACTTTTACAGGTAAATACAATATTACAAATGCATCTTAAGAAATTCCTTCACATCCATCACTTACTCTTGCCTCTCATACGGATAACTACTGTCTTGAAGTTGGTGATTGTGTTTTCTTTGCCTATATTTATAATTTTACCATATATGCCTGTTGCCATAAAAATACTTGGTTTATTTTAAAATGTGATACAAGATATTTTCCTGAGTAGTATTGTTCTGATTCTGATCTGATCAAACAGGAGCTTCTATTCTTTACTTCTGTAGATCTCTTCAGTCTTATAAAACTTTTATATATTCTGAAATCAAACCTACCAATCTTTTTTTTTTGAGACAGAGTCTCGCTCTGTCGCCCAGTCTGGAGTGTAGTGGCGCAATCTCGGCTCACTGCAAGCTTCGCCTCCCGGGTTCACGCCATTATCCTGCCTCAGCCTCCCGAGGAGCTGGGACTACAGGCGCATGCTGCCATGCCCGGCTAATTTTTTGTATTTTTAGTAGAGATGGAGTTTCACTGTGTTAGCCAGGATGGTCTCGATTTCCTGACTTTGTGATCCGCCGGCCTCGGCCTCCCAAAGTGCTGGGATTACAGGCGTGAGCCGCCGCACCTGGCCCAAATTTACCAATCTTTTATAGTTTGGTCTTTTGAAGTCTTAGGGAATCGTTTCCTACCCTAAAGATCTAATTTGATTGTTTTCCATATGATGGTCAGTTGTCTCAGCATTATTAGTTGAATAATCCAGTATTTACCTACTGCTTGGAAATTTCCCTTCTTTGGTAAGCCAGATTCCCTTCTAAAGGGTCTATTTCTGGCTTTTATTTTTATTCATTGGATATATTCGTATCTCCTTATACCAGAGACTCATTCATGTATACCACAGCTTTATAATAAACGTTGATTAGAATGTTTTTCTATCTCCGTGTTCTTCAAAATTGTCTAGACTATTCTTGACCCTTCTTCACTGTGAGTTTAGGTTTAGGTGATCATATTTAACCAAAAAAATGCATTTGGGTTTTTTATTAGAAGTGTGTTGAATTTATGGATTAATTTAGGAGGCTTGGTATCTTGCTGATACTTAATCTCACTACCCATTTACATGGTATATATTGCTTGCATACTTGGGTCTTTTGTTTTCTATAGTAAAGTTGCTGGAAGAGGAGGAGGGGAGGAAAGAGGAGGAGAGGAATGCACACATATGGGTGTAGGAGGCTCCCTTCTGAAGGGAGGCTGGAAGGAGAAAGATGTGGGGCTAGGATGTGTGGGGCATGGGTCAGAGGTCAGAGGCACTGAAACTGCAGCTGAATGAGAGCAGCCTCCTTTCTCATTAGGTGGAACCCCCAAAATGGGGGCAAGGTCAGTGGGAAGAGCCAGGGAAGAGTTAGGAATTATGGATATCAAATTTTACTCAATTCTTGGTGTGAGAGAAGGTGGAGGGACAGGCAAAATGAGGGGCCCAACAGCACGTGGGCCGAGTCAGAGTAAGACGAGGAGCTGGGATCCGTGAAGTGTAGGTGGCCAGGGGCAGGGAGTCTCAGCAGGTGTGGAGACAGCAGGGGCAGGCTGGGTGCCACTGCAGTTTGCCATGTCTTACTTTTTTTTTTTTTTTTTTTTGAGACGGAGTCTTGCTTTGTCACCAGGCTGGAGTGCAGTGGTGCGATCTCGGCTCACTGCAACCTCCACTTCCTGGGTTCAAGCCATTCTCCTGCCTCAGCCTCTCGAGTAGCTGAGACTACAGGCACAAGCCACCATGCCTGCCTAATTTTTGTATTTTCAGTAGAGACGGAGTTTCACCATGTTGGCCAGAATGATCTCAATCTCCTTTTTTTTAATTAAAAAGTAAACTTTAATGTCGAAAATGCAGACTTGGGGAGGGCAGAAAGATCACACACAAGGCTGTCACTTCACACTTGGAAGGTTGCACAGCAGCGGGCAGAGACGCTCCTCACTTCCCAGATGGTGAGGGGGCCGGGCAGAGGCGCTCCTCACTTCCCAGACGGTGCAGGGGCTGGGCAGAGGCGCTCCTCCCTTACAAACGGTGAGGGGGCCGGGCAGAGGTGCTCCTCACTTGCCAGACAGGGTGGCGGCTGGGCAGAAGTGCTCCTCACTTCCCAGATGGGACGGCGGCCAGGCAGAGGTGCTTCTCATTTCCCAGATGGTGAGGAGGCCGGGCAGAGGCACTCCTCACTTCGCAGACAGGACGGCGGCAAGGCAGAGGCGCTCCTCATTTCCCAGACGGTGAGGAGGCCGGGCAGAGGCACTCCTCACTTCGCAGACAGGACGGCGGCAAGGCAGAGGCGCTCCTTACTTCCCAGACAGGGCGGCGGCTGGGCAGAGGCACTCCTCACTTCCCGGGCTGTGAGGCGGCCAGGCAGAGGCACTCGTCACTTCCCAGAGAGGGTGGGGGCCTGGCAGAGGCGCTCCTCACTGCCCAGACGGTGCGGTGGCCAGGCAGAGGCGCTCCTCACTTCCCAGATGGTGGGGCGGCTGGGCAGAGGCGCTCCTCACTTCCCAGATGGTGGAGCAGCCGGGCAGAGGCGCTCCTCACTTCCCAGATGGTACAGGCAGAGATGCTCCTCAGGTCTCAATCTCTTGACCTCCTGATCCACCCGCCTGGGCCTCCCAAAGTGCTGGATTACAGGCGTGGGCCACCACGCCTGCCCTGCTGTCTCTTCTTTCTCCTCCTAAGCAGCTCTCTTAGTCTCCTGAATTTTGATGTTCTACTTAACAACCTCATGTTCTTACGCATGTTGCCCTGCTGGAGGCGTCCTTCTCTTTGGGAAGCCTGACCCACCAACAGTGCCTCAGGAGATAGACATGGAAGCTTAGCCGGTGGGGGCCCCTCATCTCTCTCCCACCTCAGTTGCAGGGGAGGGGTCGGTTGCAGCTGCAGCGGTGGCCCCGACAGTTTTCTTTTGCGGGACCTGTGGCCGGCAGCTCTGGGTGGAGAAGACCTACTTGATCCAAGAGCTGCAGGATCCTTGGGCTGCATGTCCTCCCCCACCATCAGCAAGCCTGGAGAGCTGGGCAGGTGGTCTTTACCCAGCACCTTCAAGGCCGCCTTCTCTGGCCACAGGGAGCAGCCCGGAACTGGGGCAGGGAGCACTGTTGGAAGTGGGTCAGGCTTCCCAAAGGGAAGGATGCCTCCAACAGGGCTGTGTGAACTGGCGACTCCATGGCCCTTGGAGTAGAAACTCACTGCATGCACCTGGGCCTTGTCAGTCTGGTTGTTTTCTGTCAAGCTCTTGAGGTGGACATTTCCCTCCAAGGGCCTGGGATTGTACCAGGAGGAAGTGAGGTTTCCCTGAGTCTCCAGGGGCCTAGAGGTGGAAGCTGCTTCCCCATTGCTACAGGGGCCCCTTTTATTGTCCTCCTGCCCCTGGGTCTCTACCTGGTCTTTCACCTCCGTTGCTTCTTTGGGCTCTTCTGCCCTCACCTCCATCTTCGGGAGCCTGGCTGGGATCACCTGCTCATCTAATGAAGGAAGTTGAAGGTTAAACTTGCCTCTGAGACAAGAGATCCTCACGGGGCTGAGGTGTCCAAACATCCTGGAGTTGCGAGCAGACAGCACGGGTTTCTTCCTTGAGGGGGGGGCTCCAGACCACAGGAGGCAGGACCCTCTGTGGGGTGCCCGTGTTCCGAGGGATAAGACACAGCCTCACAGGGGCGCCATCCCACCTGACTGGAAAAGAAGGCCCAAGATGTCGCTGACGGTTGAAGAGGAGTGGGAAACGGCCCCAGATTCCCGGGGCAGGCACAGGTGCAGGAGCCGCGGGGTGAGCCCGGCCAGCTGGGAAGGCCTCACGGACAAGACGAGCAGGTTGCCGGTGGCGTGGCCAGGACCTGCGGTGGAACCAGGAACAAAATATGCTTAGTGAGTTGCCCATTTTGAGCGAGTTGTGCACAGACGAAACTAAGGGTCAGAAGCGGAGAGGATACTCCGAAGTCACCCACTTCTCTGTGGCCGGGTGCACACTGGGCATCTGGGAGTTTATGACATCACTATGGGGCTGGTGACAGAGCCAGGGTGTGAAGGAGTGCTTAGGAGCCCAGCGAGGGTGCCTACAAGAGGAGTCAAAGGGCAAAGGGTGAGACCCTTCCACCAGTCCCCCTGGACTCTAGCCTCAGGGACGTCCTGCTCCTGGGGGCAGGTGTGTGGCCCTGGATGGGCCCCCCTGTGGGGCTGTTGGGGGTGCGGGGCTGATCCGCCAGAGCCATGGCGCCTGGCCCAGGTGCTGGCTGGCACCCAGTGGCCCTGTCTTGGACGGCCCTGTCCCCCGGGTTACAGGGCCAGAACCTGGAAGCAGAGCACAGGACCAGCCAGATCCTGCCAGGCTCCCCCGGGGCCTTTCCAGTGCCTCTGTGCCGCCTGGAGCAAGGCCCGCCTTCTCCATGGCTGCCGTGGCCTCAAGGGCCACCAGCCTTGCTTCGCAGGTTTCCAAAGAGAGGACGCGGTGCCCTGACCTGACTGGATGCGCCTCTTACCACATGCCTCCCTGGCAGGCAGGGTCTCCGCTTTTTACAAATTTGCCTGAGACCATTCCTCAGGTCATTCAGGTGGTCATGGCCCAGCCAGGCTTTGAACCTGGGCTGTGCGATTCCACAGCTGGCGTTCTGGCCTGTGTGCCTCATGATCATGGATACAGCATCTATTCTTATTTTTTCCTGTAGTTCTGGGGTACTTAGCACCGTGGCATATCTGTAATAAGCACGTGCACACCTCGAAGGAGGTCTTCACTTCAGCATAGAAGTTGACCATGGCATGCTCTGGGCTCCAGTCTTCTACAAAGATGTAGGGCAGGAACTACCAGTTGTCAGCACAGCACCATCCCACATTGCTCTTCTAATGGAGCCTTTCACCCCAGATGTTCTTTCTCGTCTGATGGGAAGGATCCACGTATGTAAAGATTATGTTCTAGATCAGCTTTGGTCTGTCCTAAAAGAAATTTGCCAGTGGATTATTCCATATGGATAAAAGTCAGTTTCTCTGGTCTTCCTGGAATGTGTCTAGAAAGCAAATACATTATTTACGAGTTCATAGTAGATCAATATATTGGATTAAAATATGACAAACATAATTTGGTCATTGTGAGCATGCCAGCTCGGTCAACTATTCACCACACATGATGCCCTAAATATAACTCTAGGTTTTCTTATGCCCAAGAGAGGGACATACTCTTGGGTGTCTGGACTAGGGAAACATGTATGAAAAACCATTTGGCCACTCTACATCTTGTTATTGGAGAATCAAAACTATCTATATTCAAAGATATTATTAAAAGGTAAGAAGTTAACTTCTGTCATTTTGTTAATTGTTTTCTGGTTGTTTTGTAGATCTTTTGTTTCTTTTTTTATTGTTTGCTTTATGGTTTGGTGAGTTTCTGTACTGATAAGCTTTGATTCCTTTATTTCATTGACATATCTGGTGTAATTTTTTTCTCTGGTTACTCTGGAGCTTACATTTAAAAATGTATAGTTATGATAGACTATTTAAAGCTGATAAAAATTTTGATCACACACGAACCTGCTATACTACCCCCACATCCCTTGTCAGTGCACAAAATTTGTACTTTTTTGCCTTAATTTATATTGTTCTGTATTGGGTGTTTATTAATAACTCATTGTAGATATAAATATTTTTGACTATTTTGATGTTCAGCTTTCTCAAGGGTGATTTGAAAGATTCTAAAGCATTAATTTCAGTAATGTAGAATTCTCAGTTTGAATATGAATTTACTTTTAACAGTTAGGTGGATAGTGTCCTGTTTTTGCATTAGTATTCTTTCACTTGCGATTGAAGCACTTGTTAAGCATTTCTTGTCAGGCTGGTCTTATGGTGATGAATTCCATAAGCATTTGCTTGTCTGGGAAAGACTTTATTTCTTTAATTTCTGATGGGTAGCTGTGCTCAGTACAGTACTCTTTGCTGACTGATTTCTCATTAGCACTTTGAATATATCATCCTCATCTTTCCTAGCCTTCAAGGTTTCTGCTGTGAAAACTGATAGTCTAATGGAGACTTGCTTATTTGTGATCTGATGCTTCTTTCTTGCTAATTTTAGAAGTTTTTCTTTGTGTTTGACTTTTGACAAATTGATTATAATGTGCCTTAGAAAAGGCCTTTTTGGGTTGAATATGTCCCTTTAAGCTTCACGGAACTGGATGTCCGTATCTCTCCCAAGAATTGGGAGATTTTCAGCTATTGTTTTGTTAAATAAGTTTTCTGTGTCTTTGTCTCTTTTCTCTGTTTCTCTTCTATATTTTCAAAATCTGTTATCTTAGTATCATGGCACAAGTCTCATAGACTTTCTTTGATTCTTTTTACTCTTTTTTTCTCCTTTTTTCCCTCAGTCTGGGTTATTTCAGAAGTCCTGTCTGCAAGTTCAGAAATTCTTTTGTTTGATCTAGTGTGCCATTGAAGCTGTCAGTGGTACTTTTTAATTTAATTCATTCAATTCTTCATTCCTAAGGTTTCTGTTGGTTTGTTTTCTTTTTTCTTTTCTCTTTTTTTTTTTTTTTTTTTTTGAGACGGAGTCTTGCTCTGTCGCCCAGGCTGGAGTGCAGTGGCACGATCTCGGCTCACTGCAAGCTCCGCCTCCCAGGTTCACGCCATTCTCCTGCCTCAGCCTCCGGAGTAGCTGGGACTACAGGCACCCGCCACCACGCCCGGCTAATTGTTTGTATTTTTAGTAGAGACAGGGTTTCATCCTGTTAGCCAGGATGGTCTAGATCTCCTGACCTCGTGATCCGCCCACCTCGGCCTTCCAAAGTGCTGGGATTACAGGTGTGAGCCACCACGCCTGGCCTGTTTGTTTTCTTTAATGGTATCTATGTCTTTGTTGAATTTCTCATTCAGGCTATGGCTTGTTTTTTTTTATTATTCGATTAAGTTTTCTCTCTGTATTCTTTTGTATCTCATTGAATTTTCTTAAGATCAATATTTCAAATTCCTTTTAAGGCAATTTGAAAATTTCCATTTATTTAGGGTAACTTTGTGAAGAATTATTGTGCAACTTTGGTGGTGTCAAGTTTCATTGCATTTTCATGCTTTTTATCTCCTATGTTTATATTTATGAGACTGTTGACACGGTCACCTGTTCTAATTGTATAGAGTGGCTTATGTAGAGAAAGATTTTCACCTGGAGATGTGTCTTAGGGTGTCAGTTGGATGGGCTGCATCTGCTTTAGTTCTAGGAGGACACAGTAGTGTAATATCTGTGCTTTTCTCTTGCCTGTTTTTTTTTTTTTTCTTTTGCTAGTATCCATTTTGGTGATACCTGTGAGTGTCTTGGTGACCTAGGCTGTAGGAGCATGTGCAGTTTGTTTTTCTGCTCAGGACTGGGGGCTGGGGGAGAAGGCGGCGGTGTCAGGAAGCTGCATGCCTATCTAGTGACTGTGTTACTGAGTCACAGGGGTTGGTACACCAGTTTGAGATGGGACTCCCCTGGAAACACTCGCCTAGCTGTGGATTACTGGGGCTGGTCTGCAGGTTTGAGATGGGGATCACCTAGAAACACCAGGGCCAGTTGGTGAGCGCACTGATGGCACAATAAATCAGTAATCGGTCCACAGTTAGAGTGTTGCAGTCACTAGGATGTGGAAGGCAAACCTCTTTGAGAGTTTGTTTCTAGGATATAGACAGCAGTAGCTGCTTTCCTGGAGAAGGCTGTTGTAATGACAGGGTAGCCCCTGGGATGGAAGGAGGCAGTGACCACTAGTTCATGGAACAGAATATACTCAGCTATGGCTTGGCTTTCTAGATGGTGCTATATGTGGGCTCCTTCTCTGGGGCAGTATAGCCCTGTGGGCATCAAGCAGCTTCCTAAACTAGGCTGCTAGAGATGGGGTTTCACCATGTTGGTCAGGCTGGTCTCAAACTCCTGACCTCTGGTGATCTGCCCGCCTCGGCCTCCCAAAGTGCTGGGATCACAGGCGTGAGCCCCCATACCTGACCTACCTTTTTTTTTTTTTTGTTAAGAAACTTGCTTATGTTGTTCTTTATTTTCTTCTTGACTTTTTTTTCCCCAGGTTTCCTTACAGTCATGCGTCACTTAATGACGTAGATACGTTCTGAGAAATGTGTTAGGCAATTCCATTGTCATGCAAACATCATAGAGTGGACTTACACAGACCTAGATGTGTAGTGTGTACCTATAACCTGGTACGCACCTAGACTATATGGTATAGCCTATTGCTCCTAGGTCACAAACTATACAGCATGTTACTCTACTGAATACTCTAGGCAGTTGTAGTAAAATGGTATTTGTGTATCTAAATATATTTAAGTATAGAGAAGGTACAATAGGGCCAGGCATGATGGCTCATGCCTGCAATCTCAGCACTTTGGGAGGCTGAGGTGGGCAGGTCACTTGAGCCCAGGAATTTGAGACCAGCCTGGGCAACATGACAAAACCCCTTCTCTACCAAAGAATCCAAAAAATTAGGTGGGTGTGGTAATATAGGCCTATAGTCCCAGCTACTTGGGAGGATGAGGTGGGAAGATGGCTTGAGCCTGGGAGGTGGAGGTTGCAGTGAAACAAGATTGTGCCACTGTGCTCCATCCTGGGCAACAGAGCCAGACCCTGTCTTAAAAAAAAAAAAAAAAAGTACAGTAAAAATACAGTATTTTACTCTTATAGGACCACTGTTGTATATGTGGTCCATTTTGTCAATTGAGATGTTAAATGGCACGCGACTGTATATCCATTAATTGTAGGCGATTTGAGACTGGCTCTCTGAAAACACATCTACACTCACTGTGCCCAGGCCTGGAATAGCTCCTGTCATGCCTTTGTGTGGATTAGGGGAAGGTACTCTTCCTCCAGCAAGTGCAGCAGCCTGGTGCAGACCTTGGGCTGTGGTGCCGATCCCTGGGTGCCCCTAACAGGACCCCAGCTCATGCAGCAACCTTGCTCTGCCCTTTCTTCTGGCAGAGTTCAGATATAGGATAATGTGTCCTTAGATAATTTAGTGGTTATATTTTTATGACTTCATTAGTATTATTCATTAGTTGGGCCAATGTTATGAGGCTATATTTTCTTTATTGGATACTTTTGTTTTCCCCAGAGTTAATCATTTTTGTTTGGTTACTTGATTGGTTCTACAGTGGTCTTTATGTTGTTTGCCTCTAGGAGCATAAAACTCCATTCAGAATGTTCACACGTTAGTTATCTATTAGATTCACTTTCTTTGTTCTTTCTCCTGCTCCACTCCTGACTGGTTGTTATATGCAGCTGCTACACAGGGTGGCCCTGGAGTGTCCCATCACCATTAGCTTGAGAATTTCCTTTCTCTGTTCTGCATTGGCTATTTCCTGTCTCTTGGTTTACAGTAGATTATAGATAGATTTCAGAGAAGGGTCATGGAAGGTGAATTTTTTTTTTTGAAACCTACACATCTTAAAATTTTTTATTTTTACCCTTTTGCACTGTACTGATTGTTTTATCAGTTTTATTGATCTGTTAGACACTTCCTCAATATCTGGTGATTGTTAACATCCCTTCTTTTTTTTCAATATGCACAATATTTTTATTGTCATCAAGAACATTATGTAAATTGTTTGCAGAAACTACAAGAAAATTGAAGGTTGTTTTGTTGATAGTGAAAGGCAATGGAAGGGCACTGTGGATCAATAAGGCTGAGGGGCGAGACAAAGAGGGCAAAAATCTTTACTGAGCTCTCGGGCGAGGTTCACTGGTCCGCAGGGGGAGGGCCAGGGAAGTCGCGCTGTGCCAAAGGTGCAGAGCGCTTTTATGGATGCTGGGTGAGGAGTGGGCGGGGTAGGGGCGGGATAGGTTGAGTTTCGTGCTTCTGAGTGTGACACGCCCTAGTGGGCATGCGCGTTGGTCCGGGTGGCGGGAACAGGAAAGGTGAACCCGGAAATGCTGAGTCAGGGTACCCGATGTGGCTGTCAGGATGGCGGGAATAAGCGAAAATGCCAAGTCAGGGTAGCCAAGATGGCTGCCGAGATGGCGGGAACCGGTGAATCCGGGAATGCTGAGTCAGGGTAGCCAAGATGGTTACCGATCGCCATCTTGGAGTCTTCACCGGAGTCCAATCAGATTACATTCAGTGTTACTTTTCTTCAATTTATGCAATACCTATTTACATTCAATACTGAGTTGACACAAGAGTAAGCGAATTAACTTAGATTTTTTTCCTTTAGACAGAAGCCTTATTGATATATAATCTATTTACCATAAAATTTACCATTTTGAAGTGTAAGGTTTTTTTCCTTTAAACAGCAGCTGTATTGATACGTAATCTATATACCATAAAATCTGTCATTTTGAAGTGTATAATTAAGTGGTTTTTAGCATATTCCCAGAGTTATACAACTATCACCACCATCTAATTCCAAAATATTTTTATCACCCCAAAAGAAATCCCAAAGCCATTAGCAGTTACTTCCCACTCCTTCCTCTGCCCAGGCCTTAGCAACCATTTATCTACTTTATGGACTTGCCTATTCTGGACATTTCACATTAAAAGGAATAAACAATACTTAGCCTTTGTTTCTGGGTTCTTTCACTTAACATAATGTTTTCAGGACTCATCCACATTGTAGCATGTATCCGTACTTCATTTTATCACCAAATAATATTTCAGTGTATGGATACACACATTTTGTTTATACATTAATCAGTTGATGCACAATTGGGTTTTTTCCCTCGTAAGAGTATATGAAAAAATAAAAAATAATAAAACTGCTATGAAATAATGTGTACACATTTTTGCATGGGCATAATGTTTTAATTTTTCTTGGATATATACCTAGGAGTAGGATTGCTGTGTCATGTGATAACTCTGTGTTTAACATTTTGAGGAACCCCCAAACTGTTTTCCAAAGTGGTTGCATCATTTTATATTCCCACTAGCTACATATGAGGTTTACAATTTCTTCACATCCTTAGCAATGCTTATTATTTTCTATTTTATTGTAGCCATCCTAGTAGGTGGGAAGTGGGATCTTATGGTTTTAATTTGCATTTCCCAGATAACTAATGATGTTGAGCACCTTTTCATCGGCTTATTGGCCATTTGTATATTTTCTTTGGAGAAATGTCTACTTTAATCACTTAGCTGTTTTCAATTGGGGGTTCTTTCTATCATTAAAACTGTAAAAGTTCTTTATATATTTTGAATCCTAGTCCCTTGTCAGATATATGATTTGCAGATTTTTTTTTTCATTCTGTGGGATTTTATTTTACTTCTTTGATAGTGATCTTTGAAATTCAAAAGTTTATTTTAATGATGTCTGACTTCCCTGTTTTTCCTTTTGTTGCTTGTACTTTTTTGTCATCTGTAAAAACTTTGGCTTAATCTAAGGTTATGAAGATTTACTCTTTCCTGTCTTCTAACAGTTTATAGTTTTTGCCCTTACATTTAGTGTGTAATTCAAGTTAATTTTTGTATATGGTGTGAGGTAGAGGCCTATCTTTATCTTTTTCCAGGTGGATGTCAAGTTGTCCTAGCACCGTTTGTTGAAAAGACTATTTCCCTTCTGAGTTGTCTTGTTGAAAATCAGTTGACCATAAATGTAAGGATGGTCTATTTTCAAGAATGACACATGAAAATGGTCATTGAGAGCCCTGTTAAAATGGGCTTGGCTTTTTCTTCAGTTTTACTGAGGTATAATTGCTAAATAAAAATTGTATATATTCAAGATGTATAATAAGATGATTTTATATTTATATATATATACACACACACACATTGTGAAATAATGACCACAATCAAATTAACATATCCATCACCACATTTAGTTACCATTTGTGTTTTAGAGGGGTGAGGATGGGGTGGGCTTTTTGACTGAGGGGCTTGCACTAGGATAATCAGACAGGGACCTGTTCGTTTATTTGAGGGGACCCCCAAACTTAGTATTTATAGTTTTTATTCTCTTGGCTTTGTGTTTCCCAGGAGAGGAGTCCTCTAGTCTATTACTTTGCAGGTAAAAAGCTGCTTTCCACCATTTGGGAGCTGAGTTGAAGGCAAGAGGCCCAGGGTCTTACCATTCATTATGTAACTCACACCTAATTTTTGTCTTCAGAACGGCACCCCTGCCTTCACTCATTCTTAGGACTTCCAGTTTATACACAGCCTCTCCAGAGAGCACTTCTTCAGGGTGGAGGAGGGGAGTGACTGCCTGTTGTCTAGGCACCCAGCCAGTCCTCCTGTTGTCGGCCTTTCCCGTTTTCCAGTGTTTAATGGAAGCTGGTGCCCCAGTTTGGGAGCATGTTTCAGGCGTTGCTGCTTGGCTTTTCACTGCTGGCCTAGGCTTGCCTTTCTCTTTGATCTCTTTGACTTATCAAATACAACTTATCCATTTGCTTTCCAGTTTCCCACATTTTGTCACCTTTCTCCTTGTTCTGGTCTGGGTGGGTTTAGACCTTTAAACTTTGTAGGCATTTTGCATTTGCTTTCTGAGTGTGCTTTCAGAAGAGATCAAGGGTTGAGGTGTTTTTTAATGTTAGCTGATATTAAGTGGTATGAAGAAATATCAAAGCAGGGTCAGTAAAGAGAGGTAGAGTTGCTGCATATATTTCTTGTTCATTTCTTTTGACTGCTACATATTCTTCTGTGTATACAGCCACCAAATTTTACTTCTCCATTTTCCTCATGATAGACACCTAAACCGCCCCCATTTCCCACTGCTGCAAAGAATCCTCTGATTAATATTCCCTCATGAACCTAATATTCCCTTGAATTTCTCTGGGGGTATAGAACCAGGAATAGGATACTGATATATGCCTGCCTAATTTTCCTGTAGGACTTTTCTGTGTCATCTATGGTCCCCTGAGATAGTATATAGGAATTCAAGTTTTCCCTACATCTCTGTTTAGCAATACTGTTTGCTTTGGATTTCTCTTAATGTTTGAGCCTTTGAGCATCACTTCATCTACTTTTTAGCTACTGGAGTCTTCTGCTTCTTTGAATGCCTCTTCATATCTTTTACCTGTTTTTTTACTGGATTCCCAGTCTTTCTTTTGATTAGCGAAGGTTCTGTATACCTTGTAGATTTTAATCCTTAGTCAATTTTTGAGTTAGTACTCTGTTACATTGATTCTAAGACACATACTGTTTTTCCCTAGTTTAAAATCTTTGAAGTGGGGATGAATCTTAAAGCTGCTGAGAGTCACTGATGAGTCATTGTCAGCCAGGAAGGTAGTTTGTGACATGGTTGTCATTGCTTATGTACCAGTGAACTTCGTGGTGGCGGGCTTACTGTCAGCACTCCAGTTGAAGTGTATGCCCTGCTGGTCAATGAGGCAACTGATAGCCGGAGAAATGGCCAGACCTGCAGAGCAGAGGCAGAGGATGACAAAAGGCTTTGAAGATCTCTTTGTCAGACTTCCTGTTGCCTTTGGGTAGTATCAGCTTACTTTCTAGAAACATGTGATTTAATTGGAAGGACGATAAAACTATGAGGTTAGTTCAATAGGAAAGTTGCAGCATCAGAACTTGAGAATGGGTGACAGTTAACATGTCAGATAATCTCAGAAATCATAGTGGAGCATGCTGGTAAGAAATGCCAAGACACTGCCAAGAGCAAGGAGAACATGGTATGAAAACTTGTGGTATCAGTGACTTAGAGGAGAGGGACAGAACTCAGTTAAAGAGGTTTTAGGAATGTCTTGACTTACATTTTCCTTTTCATAAGTACAAATGTAGTGTAACAAAAATCTGGGTCTAAGAATGTATAATAGACCTTTGCATTAAGCATAAACTAAAAAGCTGCACATGACAAGAAAACATCATTGTATTTTAATTGACACTGTTTCTCTTCCTTAGTGATGGATAAAATACAATTGATGACATCTTAGATTCAGTGAAATACAATAAACCTCTTCTCTATCACCCGTCTGTTAACTTTGTCTTTGGTATCTTTCGTTGAACCAAATTTCTTAATTTTGACTTGGTCAGATGCATCCATCTTGGCCTTACGGTTTGTATTCTTAAAGACTTGGTTAAGAAATCATTTCCTACCCTGAGGTCCCAAAGACATTCTTCCACATTTTGTTATCTTTTCTAAAATACCTTTTAGATTTTTAATATGGCTGGAATTCACTTTATACCTGGCTGTTCAACTTTATCCGTAGAGAAAAATTTGTGTGAAACCTAGTGGTTTGTGGGGTAACTGCTGTCATTTTCCAGGTATTTGTATGTACACAGTTCTCATGAATTCTAGATTCTTTCATTGGTCTCTGCCTACCTGCAAATATTACAGTATTTGCTTCCTTCTGGTAAAGCACCTCCCGGTTTCTAAATTCAGTTAGCCATTCCTGAACTTGTATCCTTCTGTGTAATTATTGAAGTTTATAGAGCTCCATTAGAAATCCTGGTGGAATTTTAGTTGTGATTGCATTGAGTTTGTAGTTTATCTTGGCAAAATGTAATATCTTTAAAATGTTGAGCCATCCCTTCAGCTGACCATCGTATATCTTATCATTTATTACTGTCTTTATATTTTTCTTGATACTGTAAATACTTTGTATTTTGTTACCTTTATTTACTATTAATTCCAATGGTTTGTTGATTTCGTTGAGTTTTTTATGTAAGGTGATCATATCACCTGCTGATAACAGTGTGACTCTTCTCAGACGTGTGTGTGTGTGTGCACACTTGTTTATTCACATTTTTGGACTTACAGTTTTACTGGTATGGCCTTTAGTAATATGCTGAATAGTAAAAAGATACCAAGCATCCTTGTTTTGTTCATATTCATAAAAGTAATGGCTCTCTTGTTTCCCAGTTAATATCTGTAGGTTTTAGGTATTATAGTCTTATCAATTCGAGACCATTTCCTCCGATCTAGTTTTCTAAGAGTTTTATAAATAGATGTTGAACTTCATCAAATGTTATTTCTGCATCTAAGATCATTGCATGACTTTTCTTTATTATGTTGTATTTTCTGAAATTTTTACTTCTTATTTAACTTCTATTAATATATCTCTTAGGTGTACTCTGTTCTTTTTCTAACTTAGTTGAACACTTAATTTACATTTTTAATCTTTTCTAGTATTGATTGACATTCTCTTTACAAAACACCCTGAGTGTAATTCAGGATTCAGGCTTAAAAAAAGGTTTTGAAAGATAATAAAGTACGTATTCCTTATTACAGAACCACTCTCATGCAGTCTAGGGCAGCATCCCCAGAATAGTTTCATTCCATTGAGTAAATAAAAGCAGTAAAGAGTTTCATATATGTTTAGGACAGGTTTTGCTACTGAATGAACTTGCTGCAAACTTTCAAAATTGAGTGTGAGGCATAATGAACTTTTCTGTGTTTAAGCCTATAAATTCCCTTCTAAGTACTATTCCAGCTGTAGGCTATACTTTTTTTGGGGGGAGGGAGGATGGAGTCTTGCCCTGTTGTCAGGCTGGAGTGCAGTGGCGCAATCTCGGCTCACTGCAACCTTTGCCTCCCAGGTTCAAGCCATTCTCCTGCCTCAGCCTCCCCAGTAGCTGGAACTACAGGTGTGTGCCACCACGCCCAGCTAATTTATTATTATTATTTTTTAATAGAGACAGGGTTTCACCATGTTGGCCAGGATGGTCTCAATCTCTTGACCTCGGGTGATCCACCCGCCTTAACCTCCCAAAGTGCTGGTATTACAGGCATGAGTCACTGCACCCGGCCTGTAGGCTATACTTCTAATGTGTGTTATTCAGACCTAAATATTTTTTAATTTTCTTTTTTTTCTTTGACTAAAGCATAATGTTTTCCTTGAGTTTTTGTCTTCTCAGTAATTTATAATTTATTGCTATGTGATTAAAAAACATGTTCTGGATGATAGCTTTTCTGAATGATTTGGCTGCTCTTGTTGACACTTGCTTTATGTCTTACTTTATTGTAAATTTTGCAAATGTTCCACGGCTTTATCACAAAAATTTATATTATATATTCCTTTTATTCAAGGTGTCTTGTGTCCATTACATCAAGCACTTTAATTATTATTCAAATAGTTGACAGTCTTAGCCGTTTTCTGTCTGGTATGTAAATGAATGAGAAAGAAAGAGACAGTATAAAGATCAGTATTACCCACCGTATGGATTCATTCTCTGTCTCTGTTTCGTTTTTAAATTGTTTAGTTTGAAGGTGTGAAATGTATGTGGGCTCAGCATTTTTACATCGTTTTGAATGTCCCTTATCTCTAACAAAAATTATGTTTTACCTTAAAGTCCATTTGTCTGATAGCAGTGTAGCTACACCAGCTATCATTTAGTTATTCTGTGATTAATAGGACTCTGTTTTCAATTTTACTGTATCATTGTGTGTAGTTCTTTTGTACATAATTGGATTTTAATCCTAGTATCATTTTTTAACTGAGGAGTTTAATCTGTTTACATTTATTTTGATTACTAACTTATTTGTATAGTAAACACTAATATCTGCTGAAATATGAGGTGATTCACAATTTTCCCAGTAGCATTTAAAAGAGTTTCTTGGCCAATTTGATATGTAAATTTAAAGGGATGTATAAGAAATGGCCAAAAATAATGTTATTTGATTTATTAATGTAATTGCACATATATATTTAAAATGTCATTGTGCAAATAATATATTCAAAAATACTGCTCTTTCCTTTACCCCATGCAGCAGTTTTATTCTAATTCTTCCTAGGCATCTTGGATACCATATTCATCATTAGAAGCATTGAAAAATTTATGTTTAAAGTCTGTCATTTTCACGTCTGTCTGAATACTTGGATGCATAACTTTTTGAATCTGTGTATGTTGCTATCCCTCAAAATTTTACCCAAGTCTCATTCAGTATTTGTGGTTCTACACTTGACCCCTTACAGGGTTGCTTTTTGTTGTGGTCTTTAAAAGGTTTGCTTACTTGGTTGTATACTGTTTCATTGTGAAGTCCCGCTCCCAGGAATATGTATTATGTGTGGGAAATAAGTACAATATCTGTGTCAAATTATTTTACCTCCCTTTATAAAAAACAAACTGATTTCTTCAAAACACCTAAAGGTAGCATTGTTAGAGATCATTCTGGTTGAAGTTGTAACTAATTAGTAGTGGGTACAGCTGCATATAATAGGAAACCCAAACTTAGATGGCTTAGGGAAAGTAGAAGTTTATTTGCCCTCACAAGTGGGGAGCAAGGTAGCTAGCGCCACAGATGATTAGGGACCCAGGTTACCATCCTGTGTTCTGTCCTTGAGGTGTGTGACTTCCATTCATAAGTCACCTTAAGGGAGGATGTCAGGCAGATGGGCAGAAAAGAGTCTCCTTCTGGGCCTGTCAGCTTGGTTACGGCAATGCTGGCCACACCTAGTTGCAGGAGCAGCTGACAGAAGTGGTCTTTTGTTCCAGGGCAGTGGCCTTAATTTTTTCATTTCTTTTTTTTTTCCCTTGCCTTTAGTCTGCTTGATCAGGTTTTCTTGATTAGACTTCCCTTATTCTTTTCTTCTCCTCATGCTTAACATAAGTAATTCCTGTCCAATTTTTTTTTGTTTGTTTTTTGAGACAGGGTCTCACTCTGTTGCCCAGGCTGGAATGCAGTGGCACCGTCTCAGCTCACTGCAGTGTCTCTCTCCCAGGTGCAAGGGATTCTCCTGCCTCCGCCTCTGGAGTAGCTGGGATTACAGGCATGCACCACCACACCCGGCTAATATTTTTTGTATTTTTAGTAGAGACAGGGTTTCACCATGTTGGCCAGGCTGGTCTCGGACTCCTGACCTCAAGTGATCCCCCTGCTTTGGTGTCCCAAAGTGCTGGGATTGCGGGCATGAGCCACCTTGCCCCAAATGTTAATTAATCTTCCTCTCTTCCTTACTGAGCAGTACAGGGACTTACTAGACTCCTACTTCAGTTGTTCCCCATCCCCACTCCCCCTTTCTTGATGTCTGATATTTGACCTCCACTTATTTTGTATCCTCCAGGATTATTATATTTGAGAATCACCTTCTTTACCTATTTACCACTTTCTTATTGCCAGTCTTTAGGTATTTCTTTCTTTATCCGTGCAGCTTCTTTGCGCTTAAAATTTCTTTTTCTAAAATATATTCTCTATTAGATTGTTATGTAGAGATTCAGAGAAGGTAATCTGTATCTCTTAATGAGAAATGTTTTTATTTTACCTCCTTGGATGACAGTTAGTGGGTAACAGGTTCTAAGTGGATCATTATTTGCCCTGCAGCCTTGGAGAATTTCTTCATCATGGCCTGGCCTGTGTTATGGGGAGACTGTGTCAGTCTAATTATTGTTCATCTTCTGTTTTTTCTAGTGGCTTTCACAATTATTTTTCTCTAAAATTCTACAGTTTCACTGTCATGTGTCTTCTTGTAATTTATTCATATTTATCCTACTTGGGATTCATTTTTGTACTTCAGTCTGTGGATTTCTGTCTCCCATGAATTCTGGGAATTTTTTAGCTTTTATCTGTTCAAACATTGTCTCTCACTTTTTTCCTCCAGTTTTTCCCTGTAGAGCTAATGTTTAGTGTACTTTTAACCTTCATATCCTCTACGTTCAGTATGTACTCTTTCATATTTTTGCATCTCTTGGTAATCTCAGCTCTGTCTTTCATTTTTCTGCAGTGTCTGATGGGGTATTTAATCTATCTTTTAGATTTCTAATTTTATTGGCTCTTAGATTTTATTTCTGGAAGTTATATTTGACTATTTAGCAAGTTAGCCTGTCCTTTTTTGTTTTTGTTTTTGAGATAGAATTTTGTTCTTCCTGAGCAGGCTGGAGTGCAGTGGCACAATCTCGACTCACTGCAACCTCTGCCTCCTGGGTTCAAGCGATTCTCCTGCTTTAGCCTCCCCAGTAGCTGGTATTATAGGCATGCGCCACCATGCCTAGCTTATTTTTTTGTATTATTACTAGAGATGGGGTCTCACCATGTTGGTCAGGCTGGTCTTGAACTCCTGACCTCAGGTAATCTGCTCGCCTCGGCCTCCCAAAGTGCTGGGATTACAGGTGTGAGCCACCACGCCCAGCCCAGCCTGTCCTTTTCTTAGTAACTTTTTAACCTTTCCTTATGTTTATGCTCTTGGGAGCACTTTCTAGTGTCCAGCGTCTCGCGTTCTTGGGCAGTGGCCCTTCTGCATGTCTTGTATCCTGACTCTCACTCATGGTGGGGTTGTGGTTTTTGATTGGGAAAGTTGTTTTCTCTCTTTTGAGTCCTCTCAGGTCTCGATTGTGGAGATGTCTTTCTGGTTGGTTTTACTTGCTTCTGCAGCATACCCTATAAGATTTTAGGTTCCAGGATTCCTGTATCAAGTGCCCATTATGACCTATTCCTGCTAGCCTGCATGGGGCACAGGTCTGAGACTTCCATTTCTCACCGGAAACTTTGTTCCTTCGCTACTCCAAGTGCTGGACAGAAATAGTATCCCTACATCACATCATGCTGCCTTCTGATAGCTTTTGAGCTGTGGTTAAGTGTTTTGGATATACTTGTTCTTAATCATTTGTTTTCTGTGTATTACAGTTTTTATAGAATGGTCTCAACGTTTATGGCACCTTTGGTACATGGGTGGTCTATCTCGGTATTTGTTTGTTGTTTGTTTTTTGTTTTTAATCTTTTTGTGACTGCCAATACCTGACTATGAAATCAGGGAGGACTTAGGAAACTTAAGGAAACCTTGAGAAGTAAGAACCTGAATAACATGATAAAATCAGAATCACAGTTGAGGAGGTGAGTGGCACTGGATTTGAAAGAGAAGCCCGGAGGGCAGCCAAGATAGCCGAATAGGAACAGCTCCGGTCTACAGCTCCCAGCGTGAGCGACGCAGAAGACGGGTGATTTCTGCATTTCCATCTGAGGTACTGGGTTCATCTCACTAGGGAGTGCCAGACAGTGGGCGCAGGACAGTGGGTGCAGCGCACCATGTGCGAGCTGAAGCAGGGTGAGGCATTGCCTTACTTGGGAAGCGCAAGGGGTCAGGGAGTTCCCTTTCCTAGTCAAAGAAAGGGGTGACAGACGGCACCTGAAAAATTGGGTCACTCCCACCCTAATACTGCGCTTTTCCGACACGCTTAAAAAACGGCCCACCAGGAGATTATATCCCTCACCTGGCTCGGAGGGTCCTACGCCCACACAGTCTCGCTGATTGCTAGCACAGCAATCTGAGATCAAACTGCAAGGCGGCAGCGAGGCCGGGAGAGGGGCGCCCGCCATTGCCCAGGCTTGCTTAGGTAAACAAAGCAGCCGGGAAGCTCGAACTGGGTGGAGCCCACCACAGCTCAAGGAGGTCTGCCTGCCTCTGTAGGCTCCACCTCTGGGGGCAGGGCACAGACAAACAAAAAGACAGCAGTAACCTCTGCAGACTTAAATGTCCCTGTCTAACAGCTTTGAAGAGAGCAGTGGTTCTCCCAGCACGCAGCTGGAGATCTGAGAACGGGCAGACTGCCTCCTCAAGTGGGTCCCTGACCCCTGACCCCTGAGCAGCCTAACTGGGAGGCACCCCCCAGTAGGGGCAGACTGACACCTCACACGGCTGGGTACTCCTCTGAGACAAAACTTCCAGAGGAACGATCAGACAGCAGCATTCCCGGTTCACGAAAATCCGCTGTTCTGCAGCCACTGCTGCTGATAGCCAGGCAAATAGGGTCTGGAGTGGACCTCTAGCAAACTCCAACAGACCTGCAGCTGAGGGTCCTGTCTGTTAGAAGGAAAACTAACAAACAGAAAGGACATGCACACCAAAAACCCATCTGTACATCACCATCATCAAAGACCAAAAGTAGATAAAACCACAAAGATGGGGAAAAAACAGAGCAGAAAAACTGGAAACTCTAAAAAGCAGAGAGCCTCTCCTCCTCCAAAGGAACGCAGTTCCTCACAAGCAATGGAACAAAGCTGGATGGAGAATGACTTTGACGAGTTGAGAGAAGAAGGCTTCAGACGATCAAACTACTCTGAGCTACAGGAGGAAATTCAAACCAAAGGCAAAGAAGTTAAAAACTTTGAAAAAAATTTAGACGAATGTATAACTAGAATAACCAATACAGAGAAGTGCTTAAAGGAGCTGATGGAGCTGAAAGCCAAGGCTCGAGAACTATGTGAAGAATGCAGAAGCCTCAGGAGCTGATGCGATCAACTGGAAGAAAGGGTATCAGCGATGGAAGATGAAATGAATGAAATGAAGTGAGAAGGGAAGTTTAGAGAAAAAAGAATAAAAAGAAACAAACAAAGCCTCCAAGAAATATGGGACTATGTGAAAAGACCAAATCTACGTCTGATTGGTGCACCTGAAAGTGACGGGGAGAATGGAACCAAGTTGGAAAACACTCTGCAGGATATTATCCAGGAGAACTTCCCCAATCTAGCAAGGCAGGCCAACATTCAGATTCAGGAAATACAGAGAACACCACAAAGATACTCCTTGAGAAGAGCAACTCCAAGACACATAATTGTCAGATTCACCAAAGTTGAAATGAAGGAAAAAATGTTAAGGGCAGCCAGAGAGAAAGGTTGGGTTACCCACAAAGGGAAGCCCATCAGACTAACAGCTGATCTCTCAGCAGAAACTCTACAAGCCAGAAGAGAGTGGGGACCAATATTCAACATTCTTAAAGAAAAGAATTTTCAACCCAGAATTTCATATCCAGCCAAACTAAGCTTCGTAAGTGAAGGAGAAATAAAATACTTTACAGACAAGCAAATGCTGAGAGATTTTGTCACCACCAGGCCTGCCCTAAAAGAGCTCCTGAAGGAAGCATTAAACATGGAAAGGAACAACCGGTACCAGTCACTGCAAAATCATGCCAAAATGTAAAGACCATCCAGACTAGGAAGAAACTGCATCAACTAACGAGCAAAATAACCAGCTAACATCATAATGACAGGATCAAATTCACACATAACAATATTAACTTTAAATGTAAATGGACTAAATGCTCCAATTAAAAGACACAGACTGGCAAATTGGATAAAGAGTCAAGACCCATCAGTGTGCTGCATTCAGGAAACCCATCTCACGTGCAGAGACACACATAGGCTCAAAATAAAAGGATGGAGGAAGATCTACCAAGCAAATGGAAAACAAAAAAAGGCAGGGGTTGCAATCCTAGTCTCTGATAAAACAGACTTTAAACCAACAAAGACCAAAAGAGACAAAGAAGGCCATTACATAATGGTAAAGGGATCAATTCAACAAGAAGAGCTAACTATCCTAAATATATATGCACCCAATACAGGAGCACCCAGAATCATAAAGCAAGTCCTGAGTGACCTACAAAGAGACTTAGACTCCCACACATTAATAATGGGAGACTTTAACACCCCACTGTCAACATTAGACAGATCAACGAGACAGAAAGTCAACAAGGATACCCAGGAATTGAACTGAGCTCTGCACCAAGGGGACCTAACAGACATCTACAGAACTCTCCACCCCAAATCAACAGAATATACATTTTTTTCAGCACCACACCACACCTATTCCAAAATTGACCACATAGTTGGAAGTAAAGCTCTCCTCAGCAAATGTAAAAGAACAGAAATTATAACAAACTGTCTCTCAGACCACAGTGCAATCAAACTAGAACTCAGGATTAAGAAACTCACTCAAAACCGCTCAACTACATGGAAACTGAACAACCTGCTCCTGAATGACTACTGGGTACATAACGAAATGAAGGCAGAAATAAAGATGTTCTTTGAAACCAACGAGAACAAAGACACTACATACCAGGATCTCTGGGACACATTCAAAGCAGTGTGTAGAGGGAAATTTATAGCACTAAATGCCCACAAGAGAAAGCAGGAAAGATCCAAAATTGACACCCTAACATCACAATTAAAAGAACTAGAAAAGCAAGAGCAAACACATTCAAAAGCTAGCAGAAGGCAAGAAATAACTAAGATCAGAGCAGAACTGAAGGAAATAGAGACACAAAAAACCCTTCAAAAAATTAATGAATCCAGGAGCTGGTTTTTTGAAAGGATCAACAAAATTGATAGACCGCTAGCAAGACTAATAAAGAAAAAAAGAGAGAAGAATCAAATAGATGCAATAAAAAATGATAAAGGGGATATCACCACTGATCCCACAGAAATACAAACTACCATCAGAGAATACTACAAACACCTCTACGCAAATAAACTAGAAAATCTAGAAGAAATGGATAAATTCCTCGACACATACACCCTTCCAAGACTAAACCAGGAAGAAGTTGAATCTCTGAATAGACCAATAACAAGCTCTGAAATTGTGGCAATAATCAATAGCTTACCAACCAAAAAGAGTCCAGGACCAGATGGATTCACAGCCGAATTCTACCAGAGGTACAAGGAAGAACTGGTACCATTCCTTCTGAAACTATTCCAATCAATAGAAAAAGAGAGAATCCTCCCTAACTCATTTTATGAGGCCAGCATCATCCTGATACCAAAGCTGGGCAGAGACACAACCAAAAAAGAGAATTTTAGACCAATATCCTTGATGAACATTGATGCAAAAATCCTCAATAAAATACTGGCAAACCGAATCCAGCAGCACATCAAAAAGCTTGTCCACCATGATCAAGTGGGCTTCATCCCTGGGATGCAAGGCTGGTTCAATATATGCAAATCAATAAATGTAATCCAGCATATAAACAGAACCAAAGACAAAAACTACATGATTATCTCAATAGATGCAGAAAAGGCCTTTGACAAAATTCAACAACCTTCATGCTGAAAACTCTCAATAAATTAGGTATTGATGGGACGTATCTCAAAATAATAAGAGCTATCTATGACAGACCCACAGCCAATATCATGCTGAATGGGCAAAAACTGGAAGCATTCCCTTTGAAAACTGGCACAAGACAGGGATGCCCTCTCTCACCACTCCTATTCAACATAGTGTTGGAAGTTCTGGCCAGGGCAATTAGGCAGGAGAAGGAAATAAAGGGTATTCAATTAGGAAAAGAGGAAGTCAAATTGTCCCTGTTTGCAGATGACATGATTGTATATCTAGAAAACCCCATTGTCTCAGCCCAAAATCTCCTTAAGCTGATAAGCAACTTCAGCAAAGTCTCAGGATACAAAATCAATGTACAAAAATCACAAGCATTCTTATACACCAATAACAGACAAACAGAGAGCCAAATCATGAGTGAACTCCCATTCACAATTCCTTCAAAGAGAATGAAATACCTAGGAATCCAACTTACAAGGGACATGAAGGACCCCTTCAAGGAGAACTACAAACCACTGCTCAAGGAAATAAAAGAGGATACAAACAAATGGAAGAACATTCCATGCTCATGGGTAGGAAGAATCAATATTGTGAAAATGGCCATACTTCCCCAGGTAATTTATAGATTCAATGCCATCCCCATCAAGCTACCAATGACTTTCTTCACAGAATTGGAAAAAACTACTTTAAAGTTCATATGGAACCAAAAAAGAGCCCACATCGCCAAGTCAATCCTAAGCCAAAAGAACAAAGCTGGAGGCATCATGCTACCTGACTTCAAACTATACTACAAGGCTACAGTAACCAAAACAGCATGGTACTGGTACTAAAACAGAGATATAGATCAATGGAACAGAACAGAGCCCTCAGAAATAACGCCACATATCTACAACTATCTGATCTTTGACAAACCTGAGAAAATCAAGCATTGGGGAAAGGATTCCCTATTTAATAAATGGTGCTGGGAAAACTGGCTAGCCATATGTAGAAAGCTGAAACTGGATCCCTTCCTTACACCTTATACAAAAATTAATTCAAGATGGATTAAAGACTTAAACGTTAGACCTAAAACCATAAAAACCCTAGAAGAAAACCTAGGCATTACTATTCAGGACATAGGCATGGGCAAGGACTTCATGTCTAAAACACCAAAAGTAATGGCAACAAAAGCCAAAATTGACAAATGGGATCTAATTAAACTAAAGAGCTTCTGCACAGCAAAAGAAACTACCATCAGAGTGAAGAGGCAACCTACAAAATGGGAGAAAATTTTCACAACCTACTCATCTGACAAAGGGCTAATATCCAGAATCTACAATGAACTCAAACAAATTTACAAGAAAAAAACAAACAATCCCATCAAAAAGTGGGCAAAGGACATGAACAGACACTTCTCAAAAGAAGACATGTATGCAGCCAAAAAACACATGAAAAAATGCTCACCATCACTGGCCATGAGAGAAATGCAAATCAAAACCATAATGAGATACCATCTCACACCAGTTAGAATGGCAGTCATTCAAAAGTCAGGAAACAACAGGTGCTGGAGAGGATGTGGAGAAATAGGAACACTTTTACACTGTTGGTGGGACTGTAAACTAGTTCAACCATTGTGGAAGTCAGTGTGGCGATTCCTCAGGGATCTAGAACTAGAAATACCATTTGACCCAGCCATCCCATTACTGGGTATATACCCAAATGAGTATAAATCATGCTGCTATAAAGACACATGCACACGTATGTTTATTGGGGCACTATTCACAATAGCAAAGACTTGGAACCAACCCAAATGTCCGACAATGATAGACTGGATTAAGAAAATGTGGCACATATACACCATGGAATACTATGCAGCCATAAAAAATGATGAGTTCATGTCCTTTGTAGGGACATGGATGAAATTGGAAATCATCATTCTCAGTAAACTATCGCAAGGACAAAAAACCAAACACCGCATGTTCTCACTCATAGGTGGGAATTGAACACTGAGAACACATGGACACAGGAAGGGGAACATCACACTCTGGGGACTGTTGTGGGGTGGGGGGAGGGGGAGGGATAGCATTAGGAGATATACCTAATGCTAAATGACAAGTTAATGGGTGCAGCACACCAGCATGTCACATGTATAGATATGTAACTAACCTGCACATTGTGCACATGTACCCTAAAACTTAGAGTATAATAATAATAAAATAAAATAAAATAGAGAAGCCCTTGAAGCCTTAGGGAAGAAGAAAGAAAATATTTGGAGAGCACCTCTTATGAGCCAGGCACTTTCATAATAGCAATTTCCCTGAGAGGTAGACTCTCCCCTACTTTAATGATGAAGAAACTGAGAATCACAGAGGTCAGTGATGTCCCTAAGCTTCTGAATCGTCAATAGCCATAATACAGAGGGGATCTCTCTGACAGACTCTATAACCCATGGTTTTTTCACTGAGTCTTCTTGCCTTTTTTATAAGTTAGTTCGCTTTCATGAATTTACTTCAAGTTGTCATTCTTTTCTTTTCCTGGTTTCCCAGCATCTGTGTTTTCTCAAGGATGACCAATGCTGTTAAAAGGTATCAATGAGAATAGTGTTTCTCCATTTTTTCTGGCTACAGTGCATTTTATAGAGCAACCCAGTACATGGACCAGTACAGATACATAGTCCCATCACTCACCCTGTGCCATGGTTCTGATATTTTCTTTTCCGTTCTATTTTGTTTTACTGTTTCCTCTGGTTAAAATAGGCTGATTGTGACCAACTAACTTGGTCTCACAGCCCTTTAACAGTTTGCAACCCATAATTTGAGCCCATGATTTTGAAACATGGCTCATGGCTCGAATATAGATCAGCAGAGGGCTTAACGGAAGTACCTTCAGGAGCCCATTCTCCTGTCCCAGCCGGGCTCATATCCGGCTCCAGTGTAGCTGCCACCCACATTCTCCCCGCTCCCCAGGAGTGTGAGGATTCCTCTTCAACAGCATTCCAGCGTTAACTTTAGACATTGGGAACATATCCCACTTACTCTTTAGTGGCTTCCTATACATGACATTTCTTTTTAAGCCGTTTAACTATGCAAGATCATAACTCACTCTGCCTATTCTTGCCTTTGATCTTATTTTATATTTTCTTCCTGTTTGGCTTATTCCAGATTTTTCTGAGATACTTTATTTAGCAGCTTCATTCTTAAGCGAGTTTTAAAACCAAAGCATTTAAGATTTGCCATTCATTCATCTTGGAATTCTAGCTTATTTTTCTTTTTTATTTTCATAGTACAGGTATTTTATTAAAAATAAAATTAATGGAAAAATATCTTATTTTTAATGTACCATGCTCTAATATTACTTCTTAAAAACAAGAAATCAAAGACCAGTATGCAAATAGGGTAGGATGACAACACTATGTTGTTGTGCCTACCACCAAGGTAATATGATAGCATGTAACATGAATGTGTAATTGACATGTACCACTCTATCTCTTCCCTAGCCCTCCAAGCCACAAAACTGTGGTGAATGGAAAAGAATGTATAAACTTCGCCTCATTTAATTTTCTTGGATTGTTGGATAACCCTAGGGTTAAGGTGAGTAGCACATATTGCTGAAGTGGACAGATAACATTACTGATTTAAGAAACTAGACATAAAAGACAAAGGCAGGCTGGGCGTGGTGGATCACTTCAGGTCAGGAGTTTAAGACCAGCCTGGCCAACATGGTGAAACCCCATCTCTACCAAAAAATACAAAAATTAGCAGGGCATGGTGGCACATGCCTGTAGTCCCAGCTACTTGGGAGGCTGAGGTGGGAGAATTTCTTGGGCCCAGGAGGTGGAGGTTGCAGTGAGCCAAGATGGTGCCACTGCACTCCAGCCTGGGCAACAGGGCGAGACTCTATCTCCAAAAAAAAGAAAAAAAATCATAGTATTGGAAAGCGCTATGCAAGTTTTTCCCATTACTTTTTGTCTGACAGAGTTGTGAGCGGGACCTAGACAGAGAGAGGCAAGAGTCTCTTATGTGGCTCAGTGTTAGGCAGCAACCACAGAACTGAACAGGCCAGACCTAGAGAATAGTTGGAGAAGGGTCTAGGAAATTGCTCTCTCTCCTATTGGGATTGTGGGCTAACAGGCATTTTCCAGGAAAGACTTGGCCCACAAATGCAGAAAAGTTAACCAGGTTTTGAGAATCAGGCTAGTATAACTTTTCCATATTTTAAGTCATATACTCAGTCTTTACACCTGTCTCTTCTTTATATTCTGTTAGAGTTGGAGGAGGAAGGAAGGAGCTCTGTGGGTTAAAGAATAGGAAATGTTTGTTTTGAACTCTTAAAGATAAATTATTAAAGTATAATTCTTGTACTTCAATAAAGGCAGCAGCTTTAGCATCTCTAAAGAAGTATGGCGTGGGGACTTGTGGACCCAGAGGATTTTATGGCACATTTGGTAAGTTTTTGTTGTGTTCTCTTTGAGACTACTGCTTTCAATAGTTAAGATTCAATTTTAGGCTGGGCATGGTGGCTCACACCTGTACTCCCAGCACTTTGGGGAGGCTGAGGTGGGAGGATTCCTTGAGCCCAGGAATTTGATACCAGCATGGGCAATATAGGGAGACCCTGTCTCTACAAAAAATAATAAAATTAGCCGGGCATGGTGGGCTCATCCTCGTGTGCATGTGTGGGGATTGCAGCGTGAGGAACGAGTGCAGAGCAGCAGTACTCTTTATGCAGGGGAGATGGCCTCATACTTCTGCCCACAGTCCACTGATGAGAGCGGAACCCCTGCCATGACTAGCCACGCAGGGGGCTGAGAAACAGCTCTAGGAAGAAAGTGGAGAGCAGATTGCCTGGGGTGGAGGGAGGGGGGATAAACAGTGTAGTTTTTTATCTTTCTAGAATGAAGATGAAGGATCATTGATTTCCTTGTGTATGGATAATCCGGGAACAGGCCAACTAAATATTTGATGAATGTATGATTTCAAATACAGTGAATTCCCTGGGAGTCATCAAAGAAGACCGGCATTTTATGGTTGTTTTTATTAAGTGTATATTCTTTGCTCCTGAAAATGTTATTAAATAATTGTTTAGGCCGGGCATGGTGGCTCATGCCTGTAATCCCAGCACTTTCAAAGGCTGAGGCAGGCAGATCACCTGAGGTCAGGAGTTCAAAACCAGCCTGGCCAACATGCTGAAACCTCGTCTCTACTAAAAATACAAAAATTAGCTGGGCGTGGTGGTGGATACCTGTAATCCCAGCTACGTGGGAGGCTGAGGTGGGAGAATTGCTTCAACCTGGGAGGCAGAGGTTGCAGTGAGCCGAGATCATGCCACTGCACTCCAGCCTGGGCAACAGAGCAAGACTGTCTCAAAAATAAATAAATAAATAAAATTGTTTAAATGAATTTATTGCTGGAAATAGCATTTTGGCTTATAAAATGACACAGTGTGGGGAAAGTAGAGCAAGGGAAATATCTTCCATCTTCCATCCTTGTTTCCATTTCTGGATCTTTTTGTGTTTTTTTACTTTAACAGTTAAGTTTTTTACTTTTGTGATTTTTTAATGTAAGGGAGCACCTTATGTTATCCCTAAGCTAGTTTGGTGATTACATTATTTGTCTTGGAAACAGATAAGGAGAAGTAGTGTCCAGGAATCCTACAGCTGGAAGTGATCTTTAAAATCTTTAGTTCTAACCCTAAAATTAGAAATTGGCCAGGTTTAGTGGCTCATGCCTGTAATCCTAACACTTTGGGAGGCCAAGAAGGGAAGATTGCTTGAGCCTAGGCATATGAGACTAGCCTGGGCAATGTAGTGAGACCCCGTGTTTACAAGAAATAAAAATAAACCTGGCACTAGCGTGAACCTGTAGTCCCAGCTACACAGGTGGCGGAGGCAGGAGGATCCCTTGATCCTAGGAGGTTGAGGCTGTAATGAGCCGTGTTCACACCACTGCAATTCAGCCTGGATGACAGAGTGAGACCATCTCAAAAATAGTAATAATAATAATATAAACCAAGTATCCTGACTTCCATTCTTGATGGCAAGTTTGAAGAAATAAGCTCATATCAGAGCCTCCCACTTTCCTCTAGTCTAATGCAAATGGGTTGTTTGCTTGGTTTTTGATTGGTAGGGAATTATTTTCTTGGCAGGTATTAGAAAACTAGAAAAGGCACATTTTATGGGGTTGTTGATTGTAATCTGATGAAAGCTTTCTGTGACTGCTTGCTGAGGTAAAGGAATTGTTTTTGTAGGTAGGTACGGAGGAGAGCAGCAGCTTGTTGGTATTAGATATCAGGGAGTTTTTGCTGTATTTTTCTAGGAAGTAAAGAAGTTGTTTGGGAGGGTAAAGGTGGGGATCATTGAAAGAGGTTCAGAGGTGTAGGGAGATGGGGGAGGTTGCTGAGTCAGCTGGCAGGGCAGGGACAGCTGTGTAGTAGGAGGAAGAGAAGGAAATACATAGCCAACAATCTCTGGCTAAGGAAGGATTGGAGATGGTGAGGAGGGAGTGGGTGAGGTTGATGGTTTGCTGGAGATAATTAGATGGAGGGGTAGAGGGTGGCAAGGGAATGGGAGTGAGACAAAGAGTAAGTATAAAAGAAAAGAACTTCATCAGGGTGGAAGAATTGGAGAGTACCTTGCCACAGAAGGTCATCTGTCCATTCTGAGAGAGTTAAGGGTGGCAGCTTGAGGGTGACACCACGAGATATCAGCTACAATGGTCTGGAGTAAAAGCGTGAACTGGTAGTATAGACAAAAGCAGGGCATTTAGAAGTACGTGAGAATGGTTAGTAGGGACATAAGTAGACAGAGTTTAAATACTGGGGTGACTGTGTAAAGGCCTACTGTAAATAAAAGGTATACAGGGTTATTGTTCTTTTTCAGGAATGTGGGTAAGTTTAAGGGAAGTGGGGGAGAGTACTTGCGACTTCAGGAGGAGGCAGAGGAGCTAGGCTGGTCGTCTGATGGGCACAGTTTTATCCTGGAGCGATGAACCCAGTGGGGAGGATTCTGCAGACGACTGTGGTTGGGGTACTATAGACGACCAGGTAAGGTCCTGTCCACCGAGGTTCTAGAGTTTGAGGGGTCAGGTTCTTAACAAGAACTGACCGTCCGGCTAGGGTGTCTTTATATGGCTGGGTATCTGGAGTAGGTAAAAGGAAATTGGCAGCTTAGTGGATTTCCTGTCTAGCCTGTTGAAGGACTGGAAGATAATCACCAAGAGGGGTGGTGTCTGAAATAAGGTTGGGACCCAGCAGAAAGGTGCGGCCGTGTAAGAGTTCAAATGGACTGTACCCGGTGGGTTCCCAGGGTGTGGCTCGAATTCGGAGGAGTGCAAGGGGTAGGAGAGTGGTCCAGTCTTTTTTAAGCTGGAGGGTAAGTTTAGTAAGGTGTGTTTTTAAAAGGTCCTTGGCTTTTTCTACTTTTCCAGAGAACTGAGGGTGATATGGGGCATGAAGATTCCATTGAATACCGAGGGCTTGGGAAACTGCTTGAGTGATTTGGCTGATGAAGACCAGCCCATTATCAGACTGTATGGAAGTAGGGAGACCAAACCGGGGAATTATGTCTGTTAGAAGAAGGAAATAACTGCAGTGGCCTTTTCAGCCTTCAGACCCCGTGGGAAAAGCCTCAACCCATCTGATGAAGGTGTCGACCCAAACCAGGAGGTATTTGAGTTTCCAGACACGGGGCATAAGAGTAGAGTCAATTTGCCAATCTTGAGCAGGGATAAATTGTCGTGCTTGATGCATAAGGAAAGGAGGAGGTTTAAGAAAGCCTTGATGGGGTAGTAGAGTGGCATTATAGCCCATTGAGAGGTGATTGTTTTGAGGATGGATTTCCAGGCTGGAAAAGAAATGAGAGGTTCTAAAAGGTGGGTTAAAGATTTATATCCTACATGGAAGTGGTCATCAAAGGAGGAGAGGATAGAGTAAGCTTGAGAGGCAGGGAGAAGGAGCTTTCCATGATCTAAAAACCAGTTGCCTTGAGTGGGAAGTGACTGGTAGTTTAAGGTTTCAGAAGGAGAGTAATAGGAGTGATAGATGAGAAGGAGAAATATTGGCCACTGGGAGCAGATACTGGGGAGTTTGCTGTTTCTTTGGCTGTTTTATTGGCATAGGTGTTTCCTTGGGCAATGGGATCAGAGGTTTTTTGGTGTCCTTTGCAGTGGATTACTCTGGCTTTGGCTGGAAGGAGGGCAGCTTTAAGGAGGGCTTTATTAAGGGGGCATTGATAATAGAGGATCCTTGTGTAGTGAGAAAACCTCTTTCTGCCCAGTTGACAGGGTGGCGGTGGAGGATGTGAAGGGCGTATTTAGAGTCAATTAGATATTAACATGCAGTCCTTTGCCAAGAGTTAGGGCATGAGTTAGTGCTATTAATTCAGCTTGTTGAGAGGTTGTAAATGGGGAGAGTGCAGCAGTTTCAGTGATAGATGAGTGAGACACAATGGCCTATCCAGCTTTTCCTGGTGTTAATCAACTGGTTTTTGAAGAACTGCCATCAATAAACCAAGTGTGGTCTGGGTCAGGGACAGGAAAAAGGGAAATATGGGGAAAAGGAGAGGAGGCTATGTGGATTAAGGAAATACAGTTGTGTGGATTAGGATTTGTAGTGGGTAGTAAGTGAGAGGCCGGGTTGAAGTCCTGTCCAAAGGCAATGGTCCCCATGAGATTTTCAATAAAGAGTGAATAGAGCTGGAGGAGGTGGGGAGCCGAGAGTATGTTTTATATGTGAAGAGGAAACTAAGTCTTGGAGGTTGTGAGTGCTATAAAAGGTGAGTGGGGCATAGCCTGTGATTTTGAGAGACTCTAAGAGTATAAGGGCTGTGGCTGCTGTGGCATGCAGGCATGACGGCCAGCCCAGGACTGTAAGATTAAGCTGTTTGAATACAAAGGCTACTGGTCACAGGCCTGGTTCCTGAGTAAGAATTCCTACAGCGCAGCCCTGCGTTTTTGCTGTGTGGAGAGGAAGGAGGGTTGGGAGGAGTCGGGAAGCGCTTGAGTAGGGGTTGCCTCTAGGGCCTTTTTTAGAGTAAAAGGAGGGGCGAGGGAAGGATTTAGGATCTGTGGGTTCAGCTAAGTTTCCTTTTGTGAGTTTATAGAGTGGTTTGGTTAGGATGGCAAAACCTGGTATCCAAAGGCAGAAGTATCCAACAACGTCTAAGAAGGAGAGGAGTAGTTGTTTGGTGGTGGGGATTGGAATTTGGAGATTAGCTGAATACGGTCTGCTGGAAGTGCACACCTATGTTGGTGGAGGATTATACCAAGATAAGTAGAAATTTGAGCTTTGGAGGGGGATACTCTGTACCCCTTGGAGTAGAGGTGTTGAAGAAGCAGGATAGTGTCTTGCTGGGAGGATTGGTAAGAGGGGCTGCAAAGAAGAAGGTCATCCACATATTGAATGAGATGGGAAACAAATGGACGAAAAGAAAGCAGGTCACGGGAGAGGGCCTGGCTAAAGTAGTGTGGGCTGTCTCTGAAACCTTAGGGCAGGACGGTCCAGGTGAGTTGTTGGGACTGGTGGGTGTCAGGGTCAGTCCAAGTAAAGGCAAAAAGGGGCTGGGAAGAGGGATGTAAGGGGATGGTAAAGAAGGCATCTTTGAGGTCAATAACAGAATAATGAGTTGTGGAAGGCGGTATTGAGGATAGGAGAGTATAAGGGTTAGGCATGACAGGATGAATGGGGAGGACAATCTGATTGATGAAACGAAGGTCTTGGACTAGCCTGTAGGATTTATCTGGTTTTTGAATAGGTAGGATGGGAGAGTTGTAAGGGGAGTTGGTAGGGACTAAGAGGCCATGCTGTAGTAGACAGGTAATAACAGGCTTTAGGCCCCTTAAAGTCTGTTGTGGGATGGGGTATTGGCATTGAGCAGGATAAGGGTGGCCATGTTTCAATGGGATGATAAGGGGTGAATGATCAGTTGCAGGCGAAGGAGTGGAGGTATCCCATACTTTAGGGTTAAGGTGGGGAGATGAAAGGAGAGGTTGCGAGGGAGGTTTGGAATTGGATAAAAGGGTAGCTCTGAGATGTGGCTGTAGTCCAGGAATAGTCAGGGAGGAGGATAATTTAGTTAAAATATCTTGGTCTAATAAGGGGACTGGGCAGGTGGGGATAACTAGGAAGGAGCGCATAAAGGAGTGTTGCCTGATTTGGTACCAGAGTTGGGGAGTTTTAAGGGGTTTAGAAGCTTGGCCGTCAATATGCACAACAGTTGTGGGGGCAAGGGAAACAGGCCCTTGAAAAGAAGGTAACGTGGAGTGGGTAGCCCCCGTATCGATTAAGAAGGGGACGGACTTACCCTCCACTGTAAGAGTTACCCGAAGCTTGGCGTCTGTGATGGTCCAGGGGGCCTCCGAGATATTCGGGCAACGTCAGTCTTCAGCCGCCAAGCCGAGGAGATCTGGGAAGGAGTCGGTCATTTCGGGTTTGTACTCCAGGAGCTCCAGGATTGGTGATGAGAGTCAGACAGTCTGACTTCCAGTGAGGGCCCACACAGGGGCATGGCTTAGAAGGAATCCCGGGCCGTGGGCATTCCTTGGCCCAGTGGCCAGGTTTTTGACATTTGAAGCAAGGTCCCAGAGGGGCAGTTAAACGCTGCGGTTTGTACGCCTTGAAGTTTTTGCAGGTAGGCGGTGCTGCTGGGGTTTGTTTTAAGGTGGAGGCAAGCATTTGTCATTCTGAAAGGCGCGCTGCCGCCTGGCAGCCTCTTCCCTATTATTGAACACCTTGAAGGCAGGGTTGATTAATTCCTGTTATAGGGTTTGAGGGCCAGACTCTAATTTTTGAAGTTTCTTTCTAATATTAGGAGCTGACTGGGTAATAAAATGCATGTTAAGAATAAGGCGGCCTTCTGTCCCTTCAGGGTTTGGTGCTGTATATCGCCTGAGGGTGGCAGCTAGATGGGCCATAAACTGAGCTGGGTTTTCACCTTTGTTCTCAGTGGTCTCCTTTAGTTTGTCATAATTCACGGCTTTATATGCAGCTTTCTGAAGCCCTTGAACTAAACAAGAGATCATGTAGTCCTGCCTGGCTATGCCTTGGGCCCCTGCCTGGTAGGTCCTTTGGGGCCTTCACGGGTACTGCCCTAGTGCCTGGCCTTGGAGGCCAGGCTCAAGGCGCCAGCAGTCATCAGCATAAGATTGAGCTAGGGTCCAAAGTGAAGATGACATTTAAGTCATTCCAAGTGGGATTATAGGACTGTGTTAAGTATTGGAATTCTTGTATATATTTGAGTAGGGTCTGACGGAAAAGAGCCTGAATGCTGACTGATTTGGGAAAGGTCAGATATAGAGAAAGGGATGTGAACCTGGACTTTTCCTTCGGCTCCTGCCACCTCTCAAAGGGGAAATTGCTGGGCAGGGGCATGGGGGTCGGCTTCAGGGTCAAATTGTAAGCCAGAGCAGGTGTGAGGAGGGATGGTAATGGGAGGGACGTAAAGGGGTGGCTTGTGGGTAGAACTCGGTTCTGAGGGGGAATTAGGGCCAGGTTCGGATAGGTGGGTTGGGGGGAGAAAGATTGAAGGGGTTAACAGGTAAAGAGGAGTCAGCATCCCCAGTGGAAGAAGGAGAGGTAGATGGAAGGGAGATAAGGAAAATTTGGGATGGACCACATTGGGAGCAGAGACTAGGGAGAGATCATAGTAAAAAATGCCTGGATGTAGGGTACCTCAGACCATTTGCCCATTTTGCAACCGAAGTTGTCTAAGTCCCGCAAAATAGAGAAATTGAAAGTGCTGTTTTCTGTCCGCTGAGAGCCATTGTCTAATTTATATTGGGGCCAGGCCGTGTTACAGAAAAAAAAAATTAGACGTTTAGGCTTTAGATTGGGTGAAAGCTAAGAGGTTTGAGGTTTTTGAGGACAGAAGCCAGTGGGGAAGATGGAGGGTGGGAGGTTGCCCATGTTAGAACTGGGAAAGTTTGAGGGGAAAGAAAGAGACAAGGAAAAGAGCAACCACTAGCATCCTCAGTGGGCATCCCCAATGGAGGTCCCGGGTTGTGTGGCTGGCGAATGGCCAAGGCTGGCATCCCTGGCATTCACCAAACACTGAGGGAAGACTGTCTTCCCAAGAAGAGTCCGTGACCAACGTTGGATTTTGGAAACATGGATAAGAGGAAGGTTCCTTGTCTCAATTTTGAGGAGAGAAAAAGAGGGAGAGAGATGAGGAGAGACCGAGGCAGCTTACCCGATCCGTAGACAGAGGTGGGAGTGTTCGCGGGGGCTGGTCTGAGGTCCTGAGGTCGAGGGAAGTCTCTTTGATGGAAGAGCGTGGGGAGGATAGGGGAGAGGTCTCCCAGAGAGAGTTCCCCTATCCCGGGCTTTCGGCACCGAATGTTATGCATGCGTCCAATTGAAGAGACAACCTGAACAGGCTAAGTGTGAGCAACAAGGCTGTTTATTCACTCGCGTGCAAGTGAGCTAAGTATGAAAAGGGAGTCAGCAGAGGGTGGTGGGATTGGAGATGGTTTTATAGGTTAGGGGTAGGCAATGGAAAGTTACAGTTAGGGGCTGGATTTTGCAGGTAGGGGAAGAATGTCACAAGGTACATTATCACAAGGTTACAGAGCACAGTGTCATGTGTCATGAGGTTGATTGATCAGTTAGGGTAGAGCCTGTTACAATGGTAGAATGCCCCAAGGCTGGCTAATCAGCTAAGACAGGTACTAGCCGTTTTTCTTCTTTTGTGGTTTTCCTGTTGTCCCAGATTTTCTGGCTGCAGGACACCTTCTGGATGTGTACGTGTGGGTCACAGGGGTCACGATGGCTTGACCATGGCGCAGCTTGGTCAGGGGACCTTACAATTTGGTCATAAAATTCCTAGATCTGCCACTTCCTCTTACCAGTCATGGGATCATGGTTTTCTCAGGTGTAAGTGGGAACAATCATTGCTTGCATGGCTTTAGAACACTTTGCTAAGGATCACATAAGATACCGCATGTGAAAACATGAAAAACATTTGGCTCTGTATGTTCCAGTGAGTACCTAAGGGCTATCACTTATACTCTTAAGAAGAAAAATTGTGCATGTCTCTAGGGATATTTTTGTGTGTGTGTTGTTGTGGTTGAGACGGAGTTTCACTCTTGTTGCCCAAGCTGGAGTGCGATGGCGTGATCTTGGCTCACTGCAACCTCCGCCTCCTGGGTTCAGGCGATTCTCCTGCCTCAGCCTCCCAGGTAGCTGGGATTACAGGCATGCGCCACCATGCCCAACTAATTTTTTTTTTTTTTTTTTTTTTTAGTAGAGATAGGGTTTCTCCGTTTTGGTCAGGCTGGTCCCAAACTCCTGACCTCAGGTGATCCTCCTGCCTCGGCCTCCCGAAGTGCTGGGATTACAGGTGTGAGCCGCCACACCTGGCCTCTAGGGATTTTTTTTTTTTTAAGGACAGTATGTATGCAAAAATATGAAGGCCTTAAGAGAAAATGTAGTTTGTTTCTAAACGTCCTAAAGTCAGCTATTTTATGGTGTTCTCTCTGGAAAACAACCAGGAAGGCCGTAATCTCTCCTCCTTGTAAGTGAGAAGCTGAACAAGTGGCTCTTATTGGAAGATAGTCTTAACAATTCAGAATTCACATAGCTTTATTAGAAGATTGCCTAAGTGTGACCAGGTTTTTGCTTTTAAAATAAAACCTTTTCTTTTATTCTACAAGTATTAATGTAATTAAACAAACTCTTAAATAGCATATTGCTTGTTCCATGCCAGGCAGTGTTCTAAGTGTTTTATCAGCATTAACTTGTGCAGTCATCCTACTAACCCTTGAGGAAGGTAGGACTATCCCCCCTATTTGACAGAGGAAGGCACCAAGGCTGCCCAGGGCTGAACCCCCAGACCTAACTACAATCTGAGCTCTGTGATGACCGAGATAGTGAGGCCTCCTGTCCCTGAGGTTCTGGTGAGGGAGCCAGACAGGCAGATAAGCAAGTGCAAGAAAGTGCTGAGGGCTGTGAGGTGTGCGGAGGCATTCTAGGACACCTCCCTCTATGGTCACTTCTCTGCCGTGTTTAATACTAACAGTGAATTGTAGAATATAGTACTTTAGTTTTATTCCATGCAAATCTACAGCTCCAGTTAGTGAAATGGATCATACACACAGAAGATATGGACATCAAAAGTTGAAGAAAAGTGAGTGCCCTTGTAGTTTTCCTGCTTGCTGCCTTCTCCTCCCTTAGGTTGAGAGTTTCTTCGTTGCACAAAGGAGCATCAAGAGAAACAAGTTCTTCAGTTACCCATATTTACCTGTCACAAAACCTGCTTTGCAAGGCTGACATCAGCTAAAACCCAGTGTCTTCTGATAGAAGGAAAAGACTAGTCTTTTTGAACTTTTGGGACTATGCTAGAACCAGTAAGTCATTGATTTATTGTTGAGAGATTCTTCTTCCCACTTATGGCAACTGTATATAAACAGTTACGAGTATACCTAATGATGGGAAGATTTGTAACATGCTGATTTTCATCAACTGGGTAACTCACTCTAAAGTCCTGAAACAGGGTTATACTCAGTTTTACATTCTCATCATTCATTGATGAAAGGAGTCATTTAGAGCTAAGAAGTCTACAGAATGATTTAAAATCCCTTTTGTGGTTAGCAAAAATAATTTGTATACATAGCATGTTTTTCTTTTTGAAATGGAGATACCAAATGAAAGCAAACCACTGTTGCCTGAGTTGTCCTTCTGGCTGAACTGTGAAGGTTTGTGGCAGATACTTTCAATTAGAAGCACCATTATACTTTGAAGGAGGCCTCCTACCTGGGAACGTGAGAGGTGGCAAAGTGATGGCGCTCAGAGAACAGTAATGAGGATGAGAAGGAAGACATACCCAAGAGTAACCCATGCTCAGCTACTTGGCTGTTTTCCTCTTTCTTGCTAGATTTTGCCTGAAACCTTTTCTGATAGCATCTCTCCTAGAGGGCGGCTGTCAGATACAGGGAATCACGGCCTTGGATTTCATGTGATCGTAGTGTCAGAGGTCTTATACTCGAAGATCACCTGGGATACGTTCTTCTAAACTCTGTGTGTTGTTGTAAAGTCCTACGTTTATTTAATGTTGGTGTAATGAAAAGTGTCCTTTTTATAAAATAACTATAACCAATTGGTAATGGAAATCAAATGATATTGACTGTGTTAACGTACAAATAGGAAGAAGCATGCCTCATATTTTATCACTATTTGATAGGAATGGAATTAATAGTTCATTTTAACAGTTTTGTAACGTTCTTTAGGAAGTCTGTAAATATACTGCCTCCTGCCAGGCCGTCAGCCCTCTCTGCTGCCCCTAGCTCAGGAATGCCCAGACCGCCTGCCATTGCCTGTGCTTGGGTTCTCATCAGTAGACACATCACGGCTCACTCATCCTGGGTCTCAAAATCCAACTCTGTGGCCTCTGATTTCCCTCCTTTCTCCCATAGCGCTCTAAGACTGGAGGGGCCTGGCTTCTTCGAGCGCTCTCCACACAGGGCCTGTGGTGAAACTCTGTTATCTAGTCCTCCAGGGTTGGGTCCTGCCATAGTTAAAAGAGCTAAGGGAATTTTTTAAAATCCCTTTCCCTCCTTGATAATGTCTCATTTTAAGGCTGTTTTAAAGTTTTAAGATTCTAAGCTGGCCAGTGGCCTATTTATTCTAAGCATCACTGGTCCTCCGTCCGAGGGCATGAAGCCTCATGGTTCAGTCTGAGAGGTAAAAGGCTGTAAGGAGCCATGATTTAAGAGGAAAATAAAACATGTCAGTCTAATAATTATAATTTATCCTCACTATTATGTCAACATCCTCCTTACAGTGCATCTATAAAAGGACTATATTTCCTTTTGTACTATAAATTTGAATTCTTCATTACACTTACAAGAAATTCAGACAGAATCCCAGCCCCAGAAAGTGATGGGAGGTGCCACTACTAAATGCTGACACAGATTGTTAGAGGAGTGGTTACTGGAGTTCTAGTAAGTGTCACCTTCTTGATGCAAAGTATACAGGGTTCTTTTTGCTAAAATGCAAACAGACATTAATAAGTTAACATCAAACATTGGTGAGACCTCAATGGTTTTGGTCAAGGACAGTTAATGCAGGGAAACTTGGTAGGCCTTGAAGTCTTACAGTAGAGTGATATCAAAGCATAACCAGAAGTTGGAACTGCCCCAGTAACACATTTTGCAGATAGATGCGTAGCTGATTTAGTTCATGTATTTTAGAAGTTGTATGGGCCTAGAATTATTTTAATAGATCTTGTATAATCTATCATTTAAAAACAATTCCATTTTGGCCATAAGGTGAAAGTATTGATAATTATACTGCTTGTGTTCTTTTATTTGTTCTTTAGTAGAGAAAAAGAATTATAAGGCAGTTTAACCATTTAACTTTTTTAACTGAAATAGATGTTCATTTGGATTTGGAAGACCGCCTGGCAAAATTTATGAAGACAGAAGAAGCCATTATATACTCATATGGATTTGCCACCATAGCCAGTGCTATTCCTGCTTACTCTAAAAGAGGGGACATTGTTTTTGTGTAAGTAAACTTTACGTAGTTTTCTAATAGCAGTTCCTTTGAAATAATACTGACTGTCTTAGAGAAATACTTCATTAGAAGTTATCTGCATAAAATAATGCTGCTTTTTGTTTTTCAAGAAATAGTCACCTCACCAAAGGTTTCAAAATTTGTGAAACCTTCACTTAAAAGATGCTTAACGGTGTCTATAGTCATTTATCTGCCATGGTAATTATTTATTGATGTCCAGATGAGGACAGCTATCTGCCTTCTTTGTGCAGCTCTGTGGCTGTGTGGTATCCTAGTCTGTGGTCACCACCTCACGTTGTCAGTCAGACTGCCCGGCAAAGTCTCTCCATGTCTCATCACCCATTCACCCCGTCACCTGGTCTCAGCTGATCTTGCTTCCTACCTTATTAAGGATAGAGGAGCCGTGACTTGGACACTTCTTTGACTACCCACAAGTGGATCTTCACACTCGCGTGCCTGTGCTGAATGCATGCTACCGAGGTTTACTGTGAAGGGCAGGGTACAGCCAAGCAAGGGCTGGCAGGCCCCAGGCAGCTGGTTAAACCAGTCAGAAGCATCTGCTGCCCCAAGCCAAGCCCTGTCGTCCTATGAGTGGACTAAAATTTGGTCTCAAATTGACTTTAATTTCCTCTTCTCTGTTTTTTTTTTTTTTGTGTGTGAGATGGAGTCTCACTTTGTCACCACGGCTGGAGTGCAATGGCGCAATCTTGGCTCACTGCAACCTCCGCCTCCCAAGTTCAAGCAATTCTCCTGCCTCAGTCTCCTGAGTAGCTGGGATTACAGGCATGCGCCACCATGCCTGGCTAATTTTTTGTATTTTCAGTAGAGACAGGGTTTTACCGTGTTGGCCAGGCTGGTCTCAAACTCCTGACCTCAGGTGATCCACCTGCCTCGGCCTCCCAAAGTGCTAGGATTACAGGCGTGAGCCACCGCACCTGGCCTTTTTTTATTTTTATTTTTTAATTTTTTTTATTTTGAGATGGAGTTTCACTCTTGTCGCCCAGGCTGAAGTGCAGTGGAGTGATCTTGGCTCACAGCAAGCTCCGCCTCCCGGGTTCAAGCAATTCTCTTACCTCAGCCTCTCAAGTAGCTAGGACCACAGGCACCCACCACCAAACCTAGCTAATTTTTTGTATTTTTAGTAGAGATGGGGTTTCACCATGTTGGCCAGGCTGGTCTTGAACTCCTGGGATTACAGGCGTGAGCCACTGTGCCTGGCCTCCTCTTTTCCTTTTTAACATCACAGCCAGAGTAATCTTTTTAAAATGTAAATCCTATTTTGTCACATTTTATTTAATACAATTTAGAGCTTCTATTGTTCCTAAAATAAAGACCCAAGTCCTTTGTATGATCTTGTGAGCTCTGCATCACTTTTTCAGGCTGATTTTGTACCATTTTCCCTGAGGTGTTTAAGCTGTAGCCTTGCCAGCCCTGTATGCTAGTGTCCTCTCACCTTGGGGCCCACGCACATGCTCTTTCTGACTAGAACACTGTTCCTCCTCCCTTCTCCTACTTAACCTTCTCATCCTTCACATACGTCACCTCTGCAGGGAGGCCGTCCCACACCTCAGAGCAGGTCAAGACCCCTGCTGCATGTGGACAAAATCTTACAGCCAGAGAGAATTTATTGTTCTTGTTTATCCATGCTCACACGAGCACTCAAACTGCCTGTCAAGGTCACCCTGCTTCTCAAGCCTCCCTCCCACACACAGACACACACACTCTCTCACACGCACCCTGCTCTGCTCATTTGCTTCATACTTACTGTACTTTTCTTTTGTAGAGCTTGTAACAGTTTATAATTTTATATCTGTGTGGTTATTTGCTTCTGTTTCTTGCTGGGAGCCCATTACTTAGAATAGTATTTATCATTTAGTAATGGTCAATAAACAGTAGTTCAGTAAATGAATGAAAGGAAGCTGGAGCTCAGAATAGGGGCCAGATAACTGTGTTGCAGAGCCTGGCATCCCTCAAGCCCTGCACTGGCCTCTTGCTTACCACTCACCGTTGGAACGCTTGTGCAGCGACAGAACCTTCTATCATAATTACTACAGAGCTGACTCTACCTGGGGCTTCTGCAGTACATGTGACCCATTCCTCACTATAGCCCTACAGCAGTCTAGGAGCACTACAGCAAATGTCCTGGGTCTAAGTAGTATACTAATGTGACCATAAAAATGAATATTTTTATTAATTTTTGGCAAATAGTTTAAAAAATAATGTGAAAGACTCATCACTAACTGAAGCGCCATTGACTTAAACAGTGTTTCTAGGTTTTTAGTAAAAGCAGAGTTACAGACAGCTGCAGTGTCATTCAGTGTCACTTTATACACAAGCACCCCACTATAAATTCTTTTAAAGTCCAGAAAAAGTTGATGGTTACTGGTGAACTCCTATGCTTCCTTTGATAAATACTACATTGTGTTTTTTTTTTTAACTGCTAGGAAACATAGGCTAAATTCACTTCCATGTGTTATGCCCAGTGTCTTAAAATTTCCATTTCCAGTGAGTTGCTAACCTGTTTATTCTGCTACGTAATTTTAAATACTCTACCTGAAATGTGTTTGAATGTAGGAGTGCTAGAGGTAAACATGGTGTTTGGTAAATTGGTTTTGATAAATTTGTCAGGCATAGACACTGTGTGATGCTTCATTTCCTTCCTTTCAGTAAACAGTGTTAATGCTTTGCCAATAGTGGGGCTCAGCACAGTGGTCATTCATGGACTTAAGTCTGTCCTATCACTCCACTAAGTATGTGTTCATGCTGCTTCACAGATCTTTTTAAAATTAAACTTTTTACATTCAGATAATTGTAGATTCAAAAGCACTTGTAAGAAATAATATAGAAATCCTTTGTACTTTTTACTAAGTCTCTTCCAGTGAGGACCTCTTGCAAAACGAACAGTTTCACAGCCAGGATATTGACTTTGTCATTGTCAAGATGCAGAACATTTCTGTCGCCACAGGGATCCTTCATGTTGCCACATCCACATTCCTCCCATCTGCCCACTCCTTAACTCCTGGCAACCACTAATCTGTTCTGTTTGTTAATTTTGTTATTTTAAGAATTTTATACAAATGGAATCATCCAGTAGGCAACACTTTGGGGTTGGCTTTTTTCATTTAGCGTAATTCTCTGATGGTTCATCCAAGTTGTTGCTTGTATCCAGAGTTGGTTCCTTTTGATTGATGAGTATTACTCCATGGCATGAAGGTACCACTGTTATTGAAGTTACCTTTTAAAGACATCTGAGTTGTTGCCAGCTTTGTGCTGTTATAAAAAAAAAGCTGCTCTAAACATTCATGTACATTCATGCTATGTGAGCATAAGTTTTTATTTCTGTGGAATACATGCCAAGGAATGCAGTTGCTATGTTTATAGTATTGCATAGTTTTTAAAGGAACTCCTAAACTATTTTCCAAAGTGTCTATACCATTTTATGTTCCCATCAGCAAGATATGAATGATCAAGGTTCTCCACATCTTCAGAAGCATTTGGTGTTATCACTACTTTTTTAGCCAGTCTGATAGGTGTATAGAAAAATTTATATTTTTCTGATGGCTAATGATGTTGAACATCCATTCATGTGCATATTTGCCATCTCTTCAGTGAAATGTCTTTTCATGTCCATTTTCTAGTTGTATGATTTGTTTTTATACTAATGAGTTTTGAGAGTTCTTTATACATTCTAGATCATAGTTCTTTATCAGATATGTGGTTTGCAAATACAAATTTTGATGTCCACGTATTCATTGCTAAAATATAGAAATGAAGTGGATTTTTTGTGTGCTGAGCTTGTATCCTGCAACCTTGCCAAACTCACTTAATTAGCTCTAGGAACTGTTTTTCTAGATTGCTTAGGATTTTCCATGTAGACAGTCGTCATGTCATCTGTAAATAGTTTTATTTATTTTCTAATCTACTTACTTTTTATTCCCTTTTATTGCCTTATTGCACTGGCAAGAACTTCCAGGACTGTGTTAAAAGTAGTAAGAGAAGACATTCTTGCCCTATTCCTGATATTAGAAAGCGTTTACTCTTTCACCAATAAGTATAATGTTACGTGCAGATTTCTTACAGATGCTCTTTATTACATTCACTTTCCTGCACCTCATCTTTTTTTTCTGAGCATTTTCATTGCAAATCAATGTGAATTTGGTTGGTCAACTACTTTTTCTGTATTGGTTGATATGATCATGTGATTTTTCTTTTTTAGTCTCTTAATGTGGTGGATAACATTGATTTATTTTCAAATATTGAACCAGCCTTGCATACCTGAAATAAATACCACTTGGTTATGGGGTATAATTTTTTTTTTATAAAAAGCTAAATTCGATTTGCCAGTCTTTTGTTAAGGATTTTGAATCTGTGTTCATGAGGGAGATTGTCCTATAATACACTTTTTTTGATACTTACTTTGGTTTTGGTAGCAGAATAACACTTCACAGAATCAATTGGGAAGCGTTCTATCTTCTATTTTGTGGAGCTATTTGTATAGAATTACTTTTAATTATTTAATTGTTTGGTAGAATTCTCCCATGAAACCATCTGGGCCTGGAGAGATTTCTTTTTTGCAAGTATCTTAATTCTGAATTCAGTTTCCTTAGTAGTTATCAGGCTATTCAAATTATCTGTCATATTGAGTGAATTGAGGTAGTTTGTGTTTTTCAAGGAATTGGTCCATTTCTTAAAAGTTGTCAGATGTACATGTGTGGTGCTGTTCATGGTATTCCCGTATTATTCTGATGTCTGCAGAGTCCACAGTTATATACCTTGTTTCACTCCTGGTATTGGTAATTTGTGCCTTTTCTCCTGTTTTCTTTGTCAGTCTTGTTAGAGGTCTGTCAATTTTATTGATCTTTTGAAAGAATCAGCTCTTTGTTTCATTGTTTTTCTCTATTGTATTTTTATTGTCAGTTCCATTGATTGATTTCTCCTATTATTTCCTGCCTTCTGCTGACGTTTGGTTTATTTTGTTCTTTTTCTTGATTTGGAGGTAAGAGCTTAAATTATTAATTTGAAACTTTTTCTCTTTTCTTGAATGTTCATTTAGTGCAATGAATTGCCCTCTCAACACTACTTTAGTTGTGTCTCACAAATTTTGATGTGTTGTGTTTTCATTTGTATTTAGTTCATTTTTGTTTTGTTTTAAGAAATAGGGTGTCATTATTTTGCTCTGGTTGGCCTTGAACTCCTGGGCTCAATGGATTCTTTTGCTTCAGCCTCCTGGGTAGTTGGGACTACAAAAACACACCACTATGCCCAGCTTACACTTTCCCTTTGACCTATGGATTATTTAGAAGTGTATTGTTTACTTTTCAGGTGTTTGGGGACTTTAAATTTGTTGTAGTTTGGTTTATGGCTAATACGGTAGTCTATTTTGGAATATCTTATATGGGCACTTAAAAAATGTGTATTCTGCTGCTGTTTGGTGGAGTGTTCTATAAATGTCAAGTCTTTTTGGTTGATGGTGTTTTTGGGTTCTTCTGTCTTGGTGATTTTCTGTCTAGTTCTTCTATCAGTTGTTGAAGGATAATGAAGTTTCCAACTGTAATTGTGGGTTTGTCTATTTCTTTCAGTTTTATCAGTGGTTGCATCTCAAATTTAGCTTTTTTGTTTAGTTCATATTTAGGATTACTAAGTTTTCTTGATGAATTGACCCTTTTAGCGTTTCATAATGTTCTTCTCTGTCTCTGATAATTTTCCACTTTTTGTGTATGTGCTGCCAAAGCAAACACTCTGATAATTTTCTTTCTTCCAAAGTTTACTTTGTCAGATACCCTTTTTATTATTTTTTATATTACATAGTTGTGTGTATAAATCTGTATTTTTTACTACCTATATTATTATATTTGTAGTGAGTTTCTTACAGACAGCATATAGTTGGGTCATGTTATTTAATTTATTCTACCTGCCTGTCTTTAAATCATGTATTTGTACATTTACATTTAATGTAATTATTGACATAGTAGAGTTTAAGTCTGTTAAAACAAAGTCTGCCATTTTGCTTTTTGTTTCTTGTTTGTTCACTCTACTTTGTGTTTCTCTATTTTCTCTTTTCTGCCTTTCTGTGGGCTAATTGAACATGTTTTTAGAATTTACTTTTTCTTTGTATAGCTTTTTTTAGTCATTACTCTGAGTGTTACATTACACATATATTATAATAGACTACTGGTGTCATTGTACCAATTCAAGTGTAGAAACTTTTACCTTCCTTTACATTCCTTTATTTGCCTCATTTACATTATAATTGTTTTAAATATTTCCTGTACATACAGTGAGAACCACATCAGTGTTTTAATTTTTGCTTTAACTGTCCAAAATAATTTAGAAGACTCCAGAGGAGAAAAAAAGCCTAGTGTATTTGCCCATATTTTTTACTTACTGTGCTCCTTCCTCCTTCCTGATAATCTAACAGTATTCTTTTATGGCTTTTTTCCTATTTAGAAGGCTTCCTTTGGCCATTTCTTTAGGGTAGGTCTGCTAGTGACAAATATTCTTCATTTTTCTTAACTGAGAATGTCTTGATTTCACCTTCATTCCTAAAGGATATTTTTGCTGGTTATAGGATTCTGGGTTGACAGTTATTTTCTTTCGGCATTAGAAACACATTGTGATGCTTTTTTTCTGGTGTCTGGTTTCTGATGAAAAATCTCCCGTCATTCAAATTGTTTTTCTCTATGTATAAGGTGTCATTTTTCTCTGGCTGCTTTCAAGATTTTTTTTGTCATTTGTTTTCAGAAGTCATCTATGATGTGCCTTGGCAACTATTTGTTTGCATTAGTCCGTATGGATTTTGCTCAGCTTCTTTAATCTGTAGATTTAAACCACTTGACAAATTTGGGAAGTTTTTAGCCATTATTTATTTGAATACTTTTTTAGCTCCCCACCTCTTTCTCTTCTTCTGGAATTCCAATGACACAAATGTTACGTCTTTTATTATAATCCCATGGGTCCCTGAGACTCTGTTCATTTCTTTCTAGTCTATTTTCTTCCTGTTGTGCTCAGTGAATGATTTCTTTTTTCTTTGTTTTTTTTTTTTTTGAGACAGAGTCTCGCTCTGTCACCCAGGCTGGAATGCAGTGGCGCCATCTTGACTCACTGCAAGCTCCGCCTCTCGGGTTCACACCATTCTCCTGCCTCAGCCTCCCGAGTAACCCGGACTACAGGCACCCACCACCACGCCAAGCTAATTTTTTTTTTTTTTTTTTTTAAGTAGAGATGGGGTTTCACCATGTTAGCCAGGATGGTCTCGATCTCCTGACCTCGTGATCCACCCGCCTTGGCCTCCCAAAGTGCTGGGATTACAGGCATGGGCCACTGCGCCCGGCTGTCAGTGAATAATTTCTATTGCTTGTCTCAGTTCACTGATCCTTCCTCTGCCTCCATTCTGCTGCTGAGCCCATCCACTAAGCTTCTTATTTTAGTAATTTAGTTTTTCAGTTCTGATATCTCTGTAGGACTCTTCTTTGTATCTTCCATTTCATCACTGAGGCTTTTTATTATTTCATTTGCTTCAGGTGTCTTCATGGTGGCTCATTAAAATATTTTTATCGTGGCTGCTCTAAAATTGTTGTAAGATAATCTTGATATCTCTGTCATCTCACTATTGGCATTTGTTGTTTCATTCTACTTGATATCTTCTGGTTCTTGATATAAGGGATATTTGATGGAAACCTAGACACTTTCATATTGTGCCGCTGTAGTCCATGTCTAGTTTAAGCCATCTCTTTTATTTGGCTTTCTCTGACATGATTCCAACAGGGGAAGGGGCTAGGGGACTGCTGCCTCATACTGCCAGGAGGAGGAACAATTCAGGGGCCCTACTCGGCCTCCATTGACATCGTTGGGGGTTTCTTTGTTGCTGCTGGGTGATGCTAATAGTCCTGACTCTCCACTCGCCCTCCTGTGACACTGCCCAGGAGGAGATGGGGAGGGTGCCCACTACTCCCAAGTGCAGGTGGAAGTTAGGGCTCTCCATGTGTTCTTTGCTGACACCACAGTGGGGGTGGAGGGGGTCCACTTGTTACCAACTGATAGGAATAAAAGGCTCAGCTTCCTACTTGGCCTTCCCTGACAACACCCTAGGAGGTGTGTCGCCTTGTTACAGCCTCTCGAGGGTCAAAGTCTAAGTTCCCTTCTCAGCCTTTGCTGACATAGATGGGGCTGGGTACCCCTCATTTTTTTCTGTGGTGTTTGGCTACAGTAGAATAGTCATTGTCTAAAAGTTTTCTGTCTAGCTGGGCTGCCAGTATTACTTCTCAGGGCAAAATAATGGCAGAGTAATGTGTCAGTCATATCAGAGATGCCACTGATGGTGAGGCACACCAGTATTTTATGTTTCTTAGAAAGAGAAAAGTATGTGAATAAACTGATATGTCATCCATAGTAAGATGCATGCTAATTTCAGAGAGATTAATATATAGTGAGAGTGTGCTTCTTGGAATAGATTAAATATGGTAGTTATGTGAAAAGGACTCATGGATGAAGAGCAAACAATGATGTATAAATATTCAAACATGTTTTATTTATTTGCTATGCTCATGTTAACAATCAGTGATTGGTCAGCTTACAAAAACAAGCATTCCTTTTTGAGAATGTTGACAAGACCCTTTAAACCCAATTTGGTGGATCTCTTTTCCTTGCAGAGATAGAGCTGCCTGCTTTGCTATTCAGAAAGGATTACAGGCATCCCGTAGTGACATTAAGTTATTTAAGCATAATGACATGGCTGACCTCGAGCGACTACTAAAAGAACAAGAGATCGAAGATCAAAAGGTATGATTCTTTTGAAGAAAATTATACAGTTCTTTTGTACTTTCTAACCAGCTAAATTATATATGAAATGGTAATTTGTCATGAAAACTTGCCTGTGGATCACATTTGGATATTAAGGTGTTCCTGCTTATTAAATGTACTTGGTGTTGGAGAGCCAAGTCTGATTGTAATTGCCTTGTCATTGCCGTAATTACATATAGCAAATTGGAGGGAGGTAATCCAAGCAGCTTTCTGAGAGATCAAGAGAGGCTGAAAAACAGCATGTGCTTAGTGAGGCAGGGAGATGTCTACTCATAGCTGGGCATAATGACACCAAAACTTACTAGGCCTTTAATGACATGTACCTAGTGAATTCAGAATAGGCTTATTCATACCAGAATAAATCATGTATCAATTACATGAGGAAAGAATGGCAGCAAGCTTATTATATTAATATATGAACAAAGTGAAGCCCTTTCTCCCCACCCCACCTGTATCCTGCTCTGAGCAGCTACTGCCTGTGGGAAATGACTGCCCCTAACATGGTCTCCTTCCAGCTTGCAGCCCTGTTTTCAGCTGTTTCCTCTCGAGAACCTAACATAACCCAGGTGATGGTGGTTTGGAAGTAGCTCCTTGGTGTTCTGATTAGGGTGAAACAGAGGAAGTGTGTTCAGAGCATCATTGTTAAAATTACAATTTATTTTCCCCTGATGACATGGGTAAGTAAAGTAGCTCAGGTCTGTGGTTCTGAGCAGGACACCATGATGTGTGTCTTCATCTCAGACACAGTTTCAAGTGGACTTTGCCAGTGCAACTCAGTCATAACTAGAATAAATGATAAAAATGCTCATCACATTTCTTAATTTTGTGTATTTTGTGTTAATTTTCAATTTTCCAAATATTTGCATTATTCATTTAGGATTCTGTCATCTTTGTTTAGGTGTCAGCCTAAGTGCATCACTTCATGAATATACACATTCTCATGATGAATATGCATGATCTTGCCATTTTATACTAACTCTGCTCTAGGCTAACATTTCACATTTACACAATTTAGAAAAATCTATAGGCAAAATCTGAAAACAGCCCATTCCACTGATTAATTTCTTTTACAAAGTATAAAAAGATGTTTCTTATGATGATGCAGTAATAGAAAGCTAGTCTGTTTTCAGTACTAGAACTGCAGTCTGCTGCCATTTGTTTTGCCTAGTATTGTATAAATTTGGAAAACATCAGATTCAAGTTTTGTATGTGCTCTTTTTCTACAAGATCTGTAAGCCATAGAACTTTTTTTTAAATGAGCAACAAGAAGTAAAATTAAATATCTTGAAACTTATTTCTACTTTATAATTTTTACTTTTTTACTAATTTATATTTTTCTTGCTGAGAGCAGGCTTTCTAAGTAACTCTACATTTTGGTTTTTAGAAATATTCATTTTCAGTTTCATTTTCACATAAATAATCTGGTCGTTAACACTTTGAATGTTTTCTTTGTCCATTTTCCAAGCGCCATGGTTCATGAATTGTTTTTTATCCCCTTTCCTACAGGGTTCCCATAATGGTCAGTGGATATGAACAGTAGTTCATAAAAGGAATACACATAACTATGAACAAGTGAAAAATAGCCTGGCCTCACTAATAATTAAGGAGATTAGGCTAGGAGTTTTGCCTGTTAAATTAGGGCATGTTTTTAATAGTAATAGTCAGTGCTAACACAGATGTGGTGAGACAAAGAGTGTTCCTATGACACTGGAAGGAGTTTAAATTGGCACTGCCTTTCTGGAAGGCAAATGGGCAGATACATTCCAGGATCCAAGTAATTCCATGCCCTTTGACCCATTCCTGTGGTGCTGTCTTTAAAAACTTACGAGAAATGATGTCACATTTTGAAGGATATTCATATTGTGATATGAAAAAGCAAATGAAGGAAACAACTAAATCCAACATTAGGGAAATAAGTAGTTTATGGTATACTCACAGGCAGAACGTCTCCATTAAAATCATGTAATCCGAAATAATTTAGAAATGCTCACAGCATAATGTTTTTAAAATCAGGTCCTAAAACTACAGTAAAATCCTGATTCTGAACAAAGTAATTTATATGTTTATACAAGAAAGACAAAAATTATCACCGTGTGGTATGATTAGCTGATTTATTTAATTGTTTTTTGTACTTTTCCATTTCCCAAGAATCCTACATTGAATATTTTTAAATCTAAGAAAATGTTTTTCCTTAAAGACAGGCAGAGGTAGCATGCCCTGTGTAGAAATTAGGGTGGCATCTCTTCATCCATCACTTCTAACATATTGCTAGCTCCCCAGCTTTCAGTTGTGAGTTGACAGAGTAAAGATGATTGAGCAACATCAGTGATATGTACTTTTTATTCCTCAACAAACTTTTTTTTTAGTGCTACTGCTGTGGGTTGTAAAATACCCCTTAAAGCATTGCTCTGATACTTTCTAATTCTGATCATTTCTAATTGTCCATTGGAGCAGAAACTTAGAGGCAAGAGATCTCTGAGTAAGAAGGTAATGGCAAACTCTATCTGTGGATCTCAGTATTTTTTGCAGTCCCACACACCTGAACCATGTACAGTTTCATACATGTGGGAGATTTATTAGTGACTTGCTCTGAGCAGAGTGTGTGAAGGTGTGTGTTTTTTGAAAAGATCTCTGCCGGGCGTGGTGGCTCAAAGCTGTAATCCCAGCAGTTTGAGAGGCCGAGGTCAGTAATCAAGAGGTCAGGAGTTCAAGACCAGCCTGGCCAACATGGTGAAACCCCATCTCTACTAAAAATACAAAAATCAGCTGAGCGTGGTGGCGGGTGCCTGTAATCCCAGCTACTCGGGAGGCTGAGGCAGAGAATTGCTTGAACCCTGGAGGCGGAGGTTGCAGCGAGCAGAGATGGCGCCACTGCACTCCCACCTGGGTGACAGTGAGACTCCATCTCAAAAAAAAGAAAAGGAGACCTCTCTACCCCACCACCTGGGAACATCATTGGACAAGCTCATAGTCAAATTTTACTTGATCCGATAATACATCAGTGGGGAGTGAGGAGGGAACAGGGTTGCCCCTTTTTTTGGGAGGTGAAGGAAAACGGTTTGAGTTTTTTAACTTTTTGTTATGGAAAAATGCCAACATATAAGAAGGAAACACAGTGGTATAGTGAAGCCCCCTGTACCCTTCTCCCAGCTTTGTTATCAGCATTACATCATTCTTGTGCCATCTGTTCCTCACCCCATCTTCATGATGATGACCTTCATTATAGTTGTTTTGGGTAAAATTGACAGACATTGAATCACATGAATGCAGCCATACAATTTTGACCAGTGATTATACCCATGTAACCCAGGAATGTCAGCCCCATTATGATGTAAAACATTCCCATTTCTTTAGAAAGTCCCTTAGGCCCCTTCCCAGTTGGAGGTTTGGAGGGTTTTGTTTGTGTTTTAATATTCTCAGAGGGCCTAATTAGTTTGTGTGTGTGGCGGGTCACCTAGCTAATGCTGTGAGCTGAAAAACGTCTGAGAGAAGATAGTACTGTTGTTCATCTCAAAATAACCCATCACAAACACTGAGCTTTCAATTCATTCAGAATATTTTTTTAGGAATAAATCTTGTAAGGTGAAAGTGCTGGGGAATATGTAACAGATCTTGTCTTCAGAGTTACTGAAATGTAAGATGTCTGCTTTTTCTCTTTTAAAGAATCCTCGCAAGGCTCGTGTAACTCGGCGTTTCATTGTAGTAGAAGGATTGTATATGAATACTGGAACTATTTGTCCTCTTCCAGAATTGGTAAGCAACCATGTTCAGCTGTAATTTTAATATTTGGACTATTTGACAGATGTGCCTTTTGTTTATGACCGCTTTTAGTGTATAACGTCTGCGTTGCTTTGCGCATTAGGCCTCATAAGCATATTTTGCTCAGATCAGGGAAGAAGAACAACACTGAATGCCAGTGCTGGCCTTCAAAGAGTAATCAAGACTGCTCTGTTGCCCAGGCTGGAGTGCAGTGGTGTGAACACAGCTCACTGCAGCCTTACCCTCCTGGGCTCAAGTGATCCTTCCACCTTAGCTTTCTGAGTTAGCTGGGACTACAGGCACATGCCACCACACCTGGCTGATTTTTCCCTTTTTTGTGGAGTAGGGGTCTCACTGCGTTACCCAGGCTGTTCTCAAACTCTTGGGCTCAAGCGATCCTCCTGCCTCAGCCTGCCAAAGTGCTGGTATTACAGGTATGAGCCACCACACCTGGCCAAAACTTAGCTTTAGCTTTTTTTTTCTCCCCCGCAAGACAGTCTTGCCCTGTCGTCAGGCTGGAGTGCAGTGGCGCCATCTTGGCTCACTGCAACCTCCTCCCCGAGGTTCAAGCAGTTCTCCTGCCTCAGCCTCCCGAGTAGCTGGAACTATAGGCGTGCGCAGACACCCCCAGCTAATTTTTGTATTTTTAGTAGAGACGGGGTTTCACCATGTCGGCTAGGATGGTCTCAATCTCTTGACCTCATGATCTGCCCGCCTGGGCCTCCCAAAATGCTGGGATTACAGGCATGAGCCACTGAGTCGGCCATACGTAGCTTTTAAGATCCAGCTTTATTTAGGTGAAATCAACGTATAAAATACACCTACTTTAAGGGTAAAGTTTGATAAGTTTTGACAGATGTATATACATCTGTATCACTGCAGCCATCCACCACCACAGTCAAGATACGGAATATTTTTATGTAAGACAATGTTTATCCAGAAAGAAAACTTTATCCAGAAAGCTTCCTGATGCCTCTTGGTAGTGAGTACCCATGTTGGCCCCAGACAGCCATTAATCTACTTTCTATTCCTGTAGATTAGTTTTACCTTTTGTAGAATTGCATATGAATGAAAGCATAGCTTGCTTTTTTGTTTTTTTGTGTTTTGTTTTTTGTTTGAGATGGAGTTTCACTTATGTTGCCCAGGCTGGAGTGCAATGGCACGATCTCGGCTCACCGCAACCTCTGGCTCCTGGGTTCAAGTGATTCTCCTGCCTCAGCCTCCCAGGTAGCTGGGATTACAAGCATGTGCCACCATGCCCGGCTAATTTTGTATTTTTAGTAGAGACAAGGTTTCTTCATGTTGGTCAGGCTGGTCTTGAACTCCCAACCTCAGGTGATCCACCCTCCTTGGCCTCCCAAAGTGCTGAGATTACAGGCGTGAGCCACCACGCATGGCCAAAACTTAGCTTTTTAATAGTGAAAGCAGCATAACTGTTTTTAGAAACCATGACCATTGAGATTTCCTTTATTGAGGTGAAATTCACATAACACAAAATTAACCAATTTAAATTGTACAGGACAGTGACATTTATTACATTTACCATGTGTGCAACCATCAACTTTAGGTCAAAAACCTTTTCATGACTCACGAAGAAGACCTCAAACCCATTAAACAGTCACTCCCCATTTTCTTCTCCCTCTAGCTCCCAGCAACTACCAATCTGCTTTCTGTCTCTATGGATTTACCTTTTCTGGTTATTTCCTATAAATGGCATCATATAATATATGACCTTTTCTTTCTGGCTTCATTCACTTGATGTTTTTAAAGTTCATTAACATTGTATACCATGTATCAGTATTTCATACCTTTTTAATGCTGAGTTATAGTCCATTGCATGGATAATACCACGTTTTGTTTTATATGTTCATCCACAGATGGATATTTGGGTTCTTTCTACCTTTTTGCTATTGCAAATAGTGCTGTTGTGAACATTTGTGTACAGGTATTTGTTTGAATTCCTGTTTTCAGTTCTTTTATGTATATATCTAGCAGGGTAATTGCTGGATTATATGGTAATTCTGTGTTTAACTTAATAAGGAACTGACATACTGTTTTCAACAGCGATTGCACCATTTTACATTCCTATCAGCTATATACCAGGGTTACAGTTTCTCTACATCTTTGTCAGCACTTATATTTTCCAGGGTTTTTTGTTGGTTTGTTTTAGCCACCCTAGTGAGCATGAGGTAGTATCTCACTGTGGTTTTGATCCTGTTTCCCCCAAATGGCTAATGATGCTGAGCCTCTTTTCTTGTTTTTTTTTTTGTTTGTTTGTTTGTTTGGCCATGCGTATACCTTTGGAGACATATCTATTCAGGTGCTTTGCCCATTTTTTAAATTGGGTTGTTTTTTTGTTTTTAAAAGAATTCCTTGTATATTCTGGATACTAGATGTTTATCAGATACATGATTTGCAAATATTTTCTCCTATTTTGTGGGGGTTTGTTTCATTTATTTGATACTGTCCTTTGACACACAGTTTTTAAAAATTTTGATGATGTCCAGTTTATGTGTTTTGTTGTTGCTTGTGCTTTTGTGTTTTATTTTAAAATCTTTGTTTAATCTGGCCGGGCACGGTGGCTCACGCCTGTAATCCCAGCACTTTGGGAGGCCGAGGCAGGTGAATCATTTGAGGTCAGGAGTTCGAGACCAGCCTGGCCAACATGGTAAAACCCCGTCTCTACTAAAAATACAAAAAAATTAGCCGGGTGTGGTGGTACACGCCTGTAATCCCAGCTACTCGGGAGGCTGAGGCAGGAGAATTGCTTGAACCTGGGATGTGGAGGTTGCAGTGAGCCGAGATCACGCCAGTGCACTCCAGCCTGGGCAACAGAGCGAGACTCTGTCTCAAAAAAAAAAAAATAATAATAATAATCTTTGTTTAATCCAAAATTATCAAGATTTATTGCTATGTTTCCCCCTAAGAGTTTATAGTTTTCAGTCTTACATTTAGGTCTGTAGTTCATTTGAGTTCATTTTTGCGTATGCGTTGATGAAGAGGTCCAATTTTATTCTTTCACAAGTGGTTATCCAGTTTTGCCTGCATCATTTGTTTAATGTTTCCCCATTGACTGGTCTTGGCACCCTTGTTGAAATTAATTGACCATAGATGTATGGGTTTATTTCTAGACTCTATTCTGTTTCATTCTTCTATATATCTGTCCTATGCCAGTACCACACTGTGTCAATTATTGTAGCTTTGTAGTGAGTTTTGAAATCAGGACATGTGAGTTCAACTTTGTTCTTTTTCAAAATTATTTTAGCTATTTGGGGTCTCTTGAAATTCCATTTGAATTTTAGGATTAGCTTTTCCATTTCTGTAAAAAGTATTGTTGGGATTTTGGTGGGGATTGCATTGAATATGTAGTCACATTGGGAAGTATTACCATCTTAATGATATTAAGTCTTCCAGTCCATGAACTTGGGATTTTTCCATCTATTTAGATATTTCCTTCAGCAATGTTTTGTGATTTTTAGTATATACGTCCTGCACCTCTTTGGTTAAATTTATCACTAAGTATTTGATTTTTTTATTCTACTATAAATGGAATTGTTTCCTTAATTTCCTTTTTAGATTGTTTACTGCTATTTATAGAAATACAACAGATATTTGTGTATTGCTTTTGCATAATGTAACTTCTGCTGAATTTATTAGCTCAAATAATACTTTTGTGGATCTTATTCTATGTATAAGATTACACCATCTGTGAATAGAGATAATTTTACTTGTTTCTTTTCAATTTGGATGCCCTTTATCTTTCTTGCCTGATTGCCCTGGCTAGGACCTCGACTACAGTGTTGACTACAGGTGGCGAAAATGAGCATCTTTGTCTTGTTCCTGATCTTATAAGGAAAGCTTTCAGTCTTCTACCATTGAGTATGATGGTAGCTGTGAGTTTTTTATAATAACCTTTTATCAGGTTGAGGAAGTTCCTTCCCATTTTTAATTTATTGAGTGTTTTATCATGAGAGGTTGTTGGATTTTGTCAAATTTTTTTTCTGCATTTATTGGGATGATCATGTGGGGTTTTTCCCCCTACATTCTTCTAATGTGTATGTAATACATATTTGATTTTTCCATGTTGAACCACCATTGCATTCGGCCATTGAGATTTTAATCTAGGAGTCTATTAATTGAATAAGGATTCAAAATAAGGGTTCCATATGTTGTTTTTAAATGTTTTCACTATTTCTGAGGAAATCTAAATATATTTTAAGTATCAATAGAAGAGATGTATTTGTTTTCTTCTTTTTGTTTTTGTAAGAGTGTCAATGGTTGATAGAATAATGGGAGGGAGGTAGTGAACCAGAAGATACTAGGACGTATATTATAGGGCTACAGTAATGAAGCAGTGCTAATGGACAGATACGAAACTAAAGATGAAGTGTAGGAACAGCTCAAGTGTAGATAAGCACTGAAGCTGGGCATGGTGGCTCACACCTTTAATCCCAACACTTTGGGTGGCGGAGGTAGGAGAATCACTTGAGCCCAGGAGGTCAAGGCTGCAGTGAGCCATGATCCTACCACTGCACTCTAGCCTGGGTGGCAGAGCAAGACTCTGTCTCAAAAAAAAAAAAAAAAAAATCAGTATTGTGCTGTCTTTTGTTAAGTGAATCATTTTAGACCATCTAAAGGACAATTGATTCTCATCATTCACCCTACTTATATTCTATAAAGTTGCCATGAACACTGGAATAAGAAATACTAAACTATTGCTGCTAGGGCAAATAATAGGGTTAGGTTCCTCTGAGCCTCTGGTTACAACATTTTCATCAACCAGTTGACACAAAACTTGCTTTATGTGTATTTTTGTTTAAAGGTGTCTTATTTAATGTCTGTTGATTCATTGCACTACCACTCATGCCTGAACAAAGCTTCTCTAACACACAAATTTTCTCCATAAGGGACATCACAGCACTAGGAGTAATAGACGGCACTTTAGCATGACACTTGGGGGCGACTCTAAATAGCAAAATCACCAACAAAAAGCACAGAAGTCCAAAAAAGTGGCAGTAAATAGGCCATGAAAAGGGTAGTTGTTCACAGGATCAGAGCTGAAACAGTCGCCTGTTCACCCTCACCTGGGAAAACACGTGTCAGGTAATTCAAATTCTTCACTGCTCTGCACATGCACATATCCGTGATGACAGGAAAAAAGTATTGATATGGAGGTTGCAAATAAGTTTTAATAAGTAGATGAATTTGCACATATAGAATTCACAAGTATTGAGAGTCAGCTGTACATACTTTTTAATCTTAATTTTTTTCTCCATAATATGTTCTATATGGTGCTAATCATTAGTATTTTAACGTTTATATAACACTTAGGTTAAGTTAAAATACAAATACAAAGCAAGAATCTTCCTGGAGGAAAGCCTTTCATTTGGAGTCCTAGGAGAGCATGGCCGAGGAGTCACTGAACACTATGGAATCAATGTAAGTTCCCCTTTTTTAAGAACGTTTCCCCTCTTATAGGAGACATGTAGTTCCATTCTGCTAGGCCTATATTTTTATAGGCACAAGACAGTGTTCCTTATCAGTTTGAAGGGTCACGAAACTTTGGTGTCTGTCACCTCAGTGAGCCCAGGATGAGTCTAGTCAGCCAGACCAGGGAACCCCATCTTCCTTCTGCACTTATAAACTCGGAGTGGGTAGTCATGGTTTGTGCTCTGTTTGCAAAGTTTCATTCGAATAGACTTTTAGTGTCTCTTCTCTAGAAATGGTTAAATTTTGCCTTCCAATTATTTCTTAAAATCATTAGGAATTTCCTGAGTGGTCTTTTCAGAAGTATTCATGACGGCAGAGAAAGGATACTGTTTCTGGTGTTTAAAAATCTGTATTCTATATAATGTGTTTGTGGGAGGTAGATACAGTTACGCGTGCGTGCGTGTGTGTGTGCATGTGTGTGTGTGTCAGAAACACCACTGGCATGCATTCAGCAAAACCTCTTAAAGTCCCAAACAGAATGAGGTGTCATGTTTCCTTTTCTGAGGGAAATGGACCCAGACTGCCCGCAGTGCCTAGTGGGTTTTGCTCCTGGAGCCTCAGGGCAGAGGAAGTCAGCCAGTCTTGAACAGCTGTCTTACCAACCACCATGGGAAGAGTTACAGAAAGCTTTTTCTCCAAAACATGCGCATAAGAGCTGTGCAACCTGTGTTACAGAGTTGAACTATAAAACGTAAAATTGCCTTACATTATCGACATCCCGCTAACCATATAGTCCCAGAGAAAAATGTAAAGCAGAGTGAATATCCCGGGAGGTTGGATGGAAGCACCTCCTCCAAGGCAGACTGACATTCAGCAGTTACATGCACCGAGGAGGTAAATGGAATAAATGGAAAGATAAATGGAAGTGTAATTCAAGCAGATTTAGCAGTACACTACAGCCTTTTTTAAGGCATGAAAATTTTTATGGAGGAAAAAACTTGAACTTCACTGTTGTAGTTTTGTGAATGCTTCCAGCAGTTGTCACTTTGGGAAATACTGTGAGGAAATACTCACAAGCGCCTGAGAGTAGAGAGCAGAATGTACGGGCTTTATTTGGATCCTGATTCAAACAAATGCTGTTAAAAGAAAATTTGGTGAGACAATCAGAGATATCTGAACACTGAATATTTGAATATATTTAACATCAAATTTAAACTTAACATTTAAAAATTGTTAATGTCTTAAGTATGATACTAGTTTTGTGATTATGTTTTGAGAGAGTTTTTATCTTTTAGAAATACACAGTGCAATGTTTATAGATGAAACCCCATGAAGTCTGGGACTCACTACAAAGAAATGATGAGGGTGGTAGGGGATATAGGTGAAGCAAGGTTGTCCTTGAGTTGATAATGTTTGAATCTGGGTGATGGGGATTCTTTGTTCTGTTCTACTTTGTTCAGGCTTGAAATTTTTCATAATGAAAGGTTTAAACATGCTTTTTAAAAAGGGCAGGAGTGCAGAGTTTCTCAAAACTCTGCTGGATCTATGAAACACTAAGGAAAACACTAGCTGTGTTCTGACAATCCATTAACATGGCCATCAGTAAGTAATGATTGAATGCCTACTGTGTGCCCAGAATGGAACTTGGTGCTGAGGGCTGGACCCAAAGATGAGGACCGAAGGAGTTCTGAGTGGTCAGAAAGATGTAGGACTCAAAGCCCATTAGGTCATTTTAGAGCACATTAGGTTCTTCTGCTGTCCAGTTGGTCAAAGATTCCATCGCCATGACGTTTGGATAAATTGACTTATGAAATGCTGAGAGGCAAACTGAATACAAGAATAAAGTGCTCAAAACTTCGATAGACTTTTTATTTATCTCAGTGCATCCCATGAGGAAGGCCAGCTAGACCACTGTTTTAGCGAGGAAATAGTCTTATTTTGTACCTGTGACTACTTTTAATATCGAACAGCTTTGGGTTTTATTTTCTTATAATTTATTTGTCTTTGCTGTGAGTTAATTTGTCATGTATAATGAAATGGTAAAAATGTATAAAATGAGACAGTTTCAGATGGGCCATGAGACTACAGTTCATTCAGCGATAGATGTTATATGGTTTATTTTTTATTTTCATGTAGATAGGTAGTTTGAATCCAGATATTAACAGACAGTTTAATGCTGTTAAATTTTGTCTCTAGGCTTGAAGTTGGCCTTTTTTTTCTTTAAACTGTGGAATAACTGTCACTCCTCCTTTTCCGGCAGATTGATGATATTGATCTTATCAGTGCCAACATGGAGAATGCACTTGCTTCTATTGGAGGTTTCTGCTGTGGCAGGTCTTTTGTAATTGACCATCAGGTGGGTTCTTTTTAAAAACAGGAGCTAAAACTGAAACTAATTTCTCCATTGGTCACCTCAAAATATAATTTTGAAATACGAAATTTTACTTAGTTTATCACACAATTTTTATTTAAATGTCAATTTTTAAAGAATCACTCAAAATATTTCTATTTAGAAATGATCTCACATTTAACAAAAAGTCTTGTTGCTGTTACACGTATAATGTTTATTTATGGCTGGATCTTACCCCCCTCACCACATGTACACACTGTTCAGTAGTTGTTCTAGAGAACTGGTGCCTTTCAAATGTTTACCTAGAAAGGACAGAGAATGTGTATATGTCTTCATTTGTTTCTTCTCAGCGACTTTCCGGCCAGGGATACTGCTTTTCAGCTTCGTTACCTCCCCTGTTAGCTGCTGCAGCAATTGAGGCCCTCAACATCATGGAAGAGAATCCAGGTATAACCCTTTAAAAACCCAAGGAATCAAAGAGATTTCAGGTTACGTTAGTTGTGTTACTGATTTACTTACTGGAGAAATTATTTGCCAGACAAAACTGGTTTGCAGTTACATTATATGGCATTCATAGGAAGAATGGCAGTGAAGAAGCTATTCCTGCCCCAAGGACTTGGGGTCAGAGCTTTTCTCCTGTGCTTGGGGCCAGAGCCAGAGCCAAAGCAAGGCTAGCTCAGATAGTGGGTGGAGATGCTGGGAGGACGAGGGGCTCTCAGCCAGTTCTGGGCCTAAACGTTCCATTGGTGTAAATAAGCCAGTCTTTATTTGGTTAATAGTTTTTTGAGAAATCAGCTGAAGCATGCTGCTTTTTTATCTGTGCAATTTTATAAATATTGTGAGTTTTCACCTTTAGCCTTTGAATCATCAGTTGGTACTGAGGCCAAGCCGGGTTTACCAGCAAAGAACTTACTCAGTGGGAAAAATAAAAAGTCTACTAAGAATTTAAAATGTGGCCTTTGGCTATGACAGTGCCACCTTTGCAAAGCTTAAAACGGAAAGGGAGCAGCAGGCCCTACCCGGTACAGTATTTCTGAATCTTCATCACTGATACTAATTCAGAGAACCAGAAAATGTGTGTCTCTGTGCTCATTCATATGCTTGCTTCTCAGATGGCCTGGCACGCCTACCTTCTGATCAGATACTTTAGTTTTGGGATTTTCCTTGAATAAAAAAGGAAAATATCAAGAAAAGATTGTAAAAATTACTTTACTATAGTTGATTTTTTACCAAATTGTTTAGGATAAAGAAATAAGCAATAAATTTGTACCCTTTGATTCTTAGCCAGATTAGGATCTTGATGAGAACAAGAGGCATTGATTGTTCTTGAAAGCATCATTCCAGGTTTGTTGAAAGTGGGATACTGAGGTGAGAAGGGGCCAGTTAGCACGCACCAGAGACAAAGCTTGGGCCTTCAGGGGAGTATGGGTTCTTGGCTCTGTTAGTATGTAGAAGGATTTGTAGCATTTTAAATTGATGAACTTGATCTGGGTCTTCAAAAATATTTTTAGGTTAGTACTATCATAAGTTTCAAATAGACTCTCAAACGTATTTTTTTCATCTAGGTATTTTTGCAGTGTTGAAGGAAAAGTGCGGACAAATTCATAAAGCTTTACAAGGGTGAGTTTTATATATTTTCAACCAACATAAAGTTTATCTGCACCACACTTAACAACTAATGGAAAGTTTTAAATTTCTAGGCTTGGGTCAGTTTGACCAGATTGCAGCTAAGAAACCAAAAACTTAGTTCACTCACATTGGTTTATTTGTGTAAAACCAGATCATCTGTTTTAAAGAATCGTGACTTTGTTTTTCTGAAAATGAAACAAACTCATTAATAAAATATTACAGCAGTACAGAAGATAGAAAGATGAAAATAACAACCCAACATCTTACCACCAGAAATAACCAGGGTAAACACTGAAGCATCTCTCCATGTCTGCACACACAGGGATGCCATTATATATTATGTAATTAGATGACTGGGTTCATACCATCTGTGTTACTTTTTAATAAATTACTAAGTTTTAACACAAGAAAAAGAAACAAGTGAAATTTTATCAGTGTTTTTTTTTTTTTTTTTTTTTTTTTTTTACTACACAAGAGTCACTTTTTTTTTTTTTATTATACTTTAAGTTTTAGGGTACATATGCACATTGTGAGGTTAGTTACATATGTATACATGTGCCATGCTGGTGTGCTGCACCCACTAACTTGTCATCTAGAAGAGTCACTCTTTAAGATTCCTCTGTAGTTAAAAAAAAAAAAAAATGGAGGTTGGTGATATCTCCAGGCACATTTCTGGTCTTATATAAAGTGATTTCACATTGCCCGAGGTCTTTCTTTTTGCCTTTCCTAAGGTTAAACATGCTTTCTTGGTCATGAAAGTCCTATCTGTGTTCCGGATATGGAAACTGGAGACTTAACTGAAAGAAAAGGACAATTGATAAATGAGTACATCACAGCTGTTCCAGATAAAGAAGGGGCAGAGACATTAAAGTTCTGGGTGTGTCTGTGTGATAGTAACAGCAGTTCTTGCATGATTTATGGTAGAGAGATATATTTGTATTGGTTCCAGTTCCATTGGTTTGTGAAATATTAATATGCCAACACAGCCTAGCATATTGGAGTCACTGGAAATGCATCAGTGCTAGCCTTACATGCCTTTCACTCTATGGTGTTAACCTGCCTTTTTCTAAGTCTAATCTCCACTTACCCCAGCTGTATCACACTTTTTCTTTCCAAAATTCCTAATCCTCTGTCTTCACTCCCCTCACTTTTAGCTAACAGCCTGGCCTTATGCTGTCACTTGGGACTCTGTCATATTTCCTGACAAATCTACACACCTGTGGGTATCTGAACCAGTCTTCCCTCCTGTAGACCAGTAAATGTTGCTCCAACTACCACAGGCCCTTTTTTTAAGGACTGAGTGCCTTTGCTTGTCCCTGCTACTTTGTCATCAGCCTGTCCCCTTTCTTGTGTTATTTGATTAGCAGTCATGTCCACTTTAAATTCCTCTTGCCTGTCACCTGACGTTTCCCTCTGCAACTCCCCATGTCTTTGCTCCTCTCAGTAGCTATCATCTCCACGTCTTCACTTACACTGGCAGCTCTGAGACCTGGCTTCTGCTACTGCCCTTCGCCTGGACTGTTTTTGTGGAGGTCTCCACTGACTGCTGAATCCAGTGGACCATCTTCAGAGCTCATCTTCTTGATGTCCCCATAGTTTTCAGCACAGGTGACCACTCTTTCCTTCTTTGGACTCTGCTACACTGCACGCCTGGATTTCCTTTTACATCTTTGAATGGCTCCATCTCGGTCTCCTCTGAAGGCTTTCTTTCAACACCTTGCTCTTCAAGGCTTTGTCTGTGCTTCTCTTTTCTTCTCATTACCTTCTTGAAGAATTGCCTTCTCCCACACCTGGAGCTCCACATCGTTTCATGACACCTGTATAGAGACAGCTCCCAGCTTCGTATCACCACCCTGGACCACTGCAGCTGCAGGTCTCACACCCAGTTGCCTACTCAGTATCCACAGTTGGAAGACTCCATGGCACCTCACAGTAAACACACATTCATAAGGGTCGCAGGGGCAAACCGTGCTGGTATCTAGATGGTTACAGAGAACAGTAAACAAAATAGCAAAGAGGCCAATGTGACAGGAGGAAAGGAGTGGGAAATCTGGTGGAAGATGAGGGCTGGGTCATGGGCCATCCGCACACAGGGACTTGTGAGCCGTGATGAGGACATTGGCACACAGAGGAAGCCCTGGCATGGTTTTGAGCAAAAAAGTGAAACAGCCTATCTGATACCCTAGCAAAATTACTTTTGCATGGTGTGAAAAAATACATTGAACAGCAGTAAGAACAGAAGCAGGGAGACCAGTTAGGAGATTGACGCAGGTGAAAGGTGATAGTGACTCTGACCATGTTGGGAGCCATGACCTGCGAAGTGTCTGGATTCTGGGTATCTTCTGAAGGGAGAGCACACTGGATCTAGCAGAAGTTCATATGCAGGGTGAGTGAGAAAGAGAAGACTCCAGGTAGAGCTCAGGGGGTTTGGTCAGAGTAAATAGGTAGAGTTGCTAATGAGTGAGAGGGACAGAACTGTGGAGAAATACCTTCTGGGGAAGGTCAGCAGTGGTTATGTTAAGCCCAAAGTGCCCATCAGACATGGAGTGCAGAGCAGCAGCTGGATATACAAGTCTGAAGTGTGAGGGAGAGTACTGAGCTAGAGATAAATGTTTGAGTCTTGGGGTATGGATATTATATGAAGCATTTCAGTGTGAAGAGGTCAGAAACTAGCAAAGACTAGTCTGAGAAAGAGTGGCCAGTGAGGAAGAGGCAGGCTGGAAGAGCCTAGAGTCCTGGAAACCAGGGAAGAAATTGCTTATGTAGGAGGTCAGCCTGTGACATGCCGCTGCTGACAGGCCAGACCAGATAACAGAACACTGATCCTTTGACTTCGTTATGTAGAGGTATTATGACTTGGTGAGTAGTTTCAGGGGAGTGTGGGGTAAAATGCCTGCTTGAAGGAGGTTCCAGACAGGTGGACACGGCCTAGATGACTGTTTTGAGGAGTTTTTCTCTGAAGAGGGACTAAGAAACAAGATGGTGGCTGGAGAAAGAAATTGGTCAAGAGAAGAATATTTCAGTTTAAGATTACTGAGATCAATTTCTGAATAACATCTGGCTAAGTATAAAACATCCTTTCTCCTACTGGTTGACAGTACTGTATCATATACCAGGTTCCCATTTGTACCTAGATCTGTTTTTAAACTGTCTCTTCCATTCCATTGGTATATTTGCTCATTCCTCAGACTCTTTTGATTTTGTCTGTTTTTATCACTGTTTTGGAATACAGGTTTATCACTAGTGTCTGTTTTTATCACTGTTTTGGAATATGGGTTTCTCCAAAATTATTGCTAGAATCTTAATTGGAACTGCATTAAATTTTCTGATGAATGTGGAGGGAAATGTCATCCATGAACATGAGCTCTCTATTTAAATCTCCCTTTGTGTCCTTTAATGGAATTCCTATAAAGCCCTTGTACCTTTATGGAACCTTTAAAGGGAATTTTCAGACATCCTATAGATTTTGTTGCTGTTATGAATGGGGTTGTCTTTTCTGTTATATTTTCTACTTGATTATTGCTGATTCATAAGAATATTATTATTTTCTCTAAACTGACCTTATATCCAGGAGTCTTTCTAAACTCTTAGTATTTCCAGTAATTGTTTCATTGTGTTATGATGATGTGCATGGAAGTCCTGTTATCTGCAATAATGGTGTTCTCTCTTTCCTTCCTAATGCTTTTGCGTCTTAGTTCATTTTCTTATTTTATTGCTTTGGTCTGAGTCCCTAATTTGTATTGAACAGTGGCAATAATAGCAAACATTCCTTCCTTATTCCCAGTATAGAAGCACTTCTTCATTAAGTATAAAACATCATGCTATGGGTTTTTGGTGAGTAGCTTTTATTGAATTATTCCTAGTTTTGTTTTGTTTTGTGGTTTTTTTAAGAGACAGGATTGTGCTATGTTGCCCAGGCTGGAGTGCAGTGGCTATTCACAGATATAGTCAACACACTATAGCCTCAAACTCCTGGACTCAACCAATCCTCCTGCCTTCACCTTCCAACTAGTTGGGACTACAGGCATGTACCTCTGCACCTGGCTAAATGATTCCTAAATTTGAAGGCCTTTTTTTAAAATCATAAATAGACGTTGAACTTTATCCATTTTTTTTACATCTATTAAGGTAAATCATAAATTTGTCTTATGGCTGAATTACATTGAAATATTTTCTGATGTTAAACCATCCTTGCATTCTTGAGAAAACCGTTACTTCATTATAATATCTTTTTCTACACTGTTAGATTTATTTAGCTAATATTTTAATTTGACTTTTTATATCTGTTTATAATTTAAATGGATCTATAACCTTGTACCAACTTTACGTAACATAGGAGTCAGTGTTAGGGTAGCTTCGGTAGATGATTTGGCTATTTTCCACTCTTTCTGCTTCATGGAAGCACTGAGTAAAACAAGGCTTGATCGTTTCTTCAGAAGTTGAGAGTAGGTCTCCCACTTTACAGCCATCTAGGCTTGGGGCCTTTGGTTTGGGAATAGTTGTTGATTATCTCTCATATATCTATATTATTTTAACTTTTTATTTATGTAAATTTGGTTTTGTGTGTTTTCATCATAGTGTGTTTTCTTATTTTTATGCACTGTCTCATTGCACTGTGTTCTTACTCTTCTTCAGCTTCTTACATTTAGCTTTTGGTTTTATTTCGTATTTTCCAATAAATATATTAAAGATAAATATTTTCAAAGGCAGTATCTTCAATGTTTAGTTCTGAGTAATTTTTTTGTTCAATTTTTCTCTAATTTCTCACTTCTCTCATCTCTGAGATTGAGTTTGGGAAAGGAAGTCAACATCCTATGCTGGTTTGCCTCTGTTTTCATTGTAATAGAGATAGTTATTGGTGTCAGGTTCTCCCTATAGACTGTAAGCACACAGTGGAGACCGTGGCTACCTTGGTGATTGCTCTGTCCCTGGGAGCTAGCCCAGTGCTCGTTTATCCACTGGGATAAGATGATATGTTTGGCAAAGTCTTTTGTTAAGGAATAGTATAATAGACTCTGAAACACGGCTTCGCTGAACTCAAGCTATAACTGTGTCCGTTTGGTTTTAATTAAACTCATCTGACATTCAGCATCTAGGCAACCAGAGACAGGGCATTTTGTTTAATTCCTTCTCTCACTAGCATGTGAAATGAGACCATTTGATCAAAAAGCACAAGTTAGATCTGGACCTCAGGTGCCTTGTATTTCTTTTCTTTTTTTTTTTTTTTCTTTTGAGACAGAGTCTTGCTCTGTCACTCAGGCTGGAGCACAGTGGCGCGATCTCAGCTCACTGCAACCTCCACTTCCCAGATTCAAGCGATTTTCCTGTCTCAGCCTCCTGAGTAGCTGGGATTACAGGCACGTGCCACCACACCTGGCTAATTTTTGTATTTTTAGTAGAGACGGGGTTTCACCACATTGGTCAGGCTGGTCTTGAACTCCTGACCTCGTGATCCCCCCAACCTTGGCATCCCAAAGTGCTGGGATTATAGGTGTGAGCCATCGCGCCTTGTATTTCTTGAGGAAAATTGAGGCCATTTGATTCATATGAAATGCTATTTGGAAAGCAGTTTTTTTTGTTGTTTTTTTTGTTTTTTGCTTTTGTTTTTGTTTTTGTTTTGAGACAGAGTCTTGCTTTTGTTGCCCAGGCTGGAGTGCAGTGGCACGATCTCAGCTCATTGCAACCTCTGCCTCCCAGGTTCAAGCGATTGTACTACCTCAGCCTCCCGAGTAGCTGGGATTATAGGTGTCCACCACCACACCTGGCTAATTTTTATATTTTTAGTAGAGACAGGGTTTCACCATGTTGGCCAGGCTGGTCTCAAACTCCTGACCTCAGGTGATCTACCTGCCTTGGCCTCCCAAAGTGCTGGGATTACAGGCGTGAGGCACCACACCTGACTGAAAGCAATTTTTTAATACTGTGAGAATACATGACCTTTAAAAAAAAAAAGATACTTGATATATGCGTTTAACATGGTCAGAATTTACACAGGAAATGGGTTTTCAAAGTGTATTGCTTAGTTTCTACATTAGTAAAGAACTAATCTAGAAGGTTCCCCCACATTCCACATGCTCAAGATTCCATGATTCAGACCTGTAGCCTGCTTTATTGAGAGATCTAGCATGATATATTTATATTTAAAGAAAGGAGACGCTAATTAATAATGTTCCAAGGGTGATTGGAAGGCCAGGTCAGATGAGTTTCCAGAATTCACATTATTGTAACACACAGTAGTCATTCTGTAAAGGCTTGTTGAGTCCTAAACTGGGAAGATGCCATTGTGCTACCTAGTACTTTTTATTGTCATTTCATTCTGAGGGAAAAACAAATCGTTTTAGGTGAAACAAACTAAATGAAAGGAATCTAAAATGTTTAGCTCAGTTTCAAATAGACATATATCACATTTGTGTCCTAGGAGGTAGGTCAAAAGTCAAATAATATTTGTTGTTATAGGATAAAATAGACTTTAAATGAACCTGACTAGATAGTAGCCGAGATCGTGCCACTGCACTGCAGCCAGCCTGAGTGACAGAGCGAGATGCCATCTCAAAAATAATAATAATAATAATAGTAGTATGACATAGCATCTCATGGCAGCTGTAGTAAAAATACAGGATTAAATTTAATTTAATTTAAAAATACAGGATTTGGCCCCTAAAGATCTATCTTTCTCCTTGAGAAGCTACAGATTTTTGTGCTATTAATCCTAAGTAAAAAGAAAATAATTTTAATCCAAGTAAAATCTAAAACTTAACATGCAAATAAGGACGTTTTTCTATCTAAACATATTGCTGTTAGTCAAAATATAAGGTATGTTTGGTATTTGTTGAGTTTTTCTTTGAGACAGAGTTTTGCTCTGTCACCCAAGCTGGAGTGTAGTGGCACAATCTCAGCTCACTGCAACCTTGACCTCCTGAGTTCAAGCGATCCTCCCACCTGAGCTTCCCAACTAGCTGGGACTACAGGCGCAAGCCACCACACTCGGCCAATTTTTTGTTTTTTGTTTTTGTTTTTGTTTTATTTGTAGAGATGGGGTATAATGTTGTTAATGTTAGAAATCATCCCTGTAATTTATGAGAGACAAAAACTGAAGACATAGATAATAAGCAAGGAAGCATAACATAAACTGTAGTGAGTAGCTTGTGAAGGATCCAGACAGGATGAAAAATAGCAAATGATGGAGCAGAGCCTTCCCTAAAGTGGGTGATGAAGAAGGCCCCAGCAGCAGGCAGTGCTGGAGCTGGGCCCTGGCACATGCAGCCAACACAGGGAAGAACAAACATTGGGGGCGAGGGAGCACATGGCAAGGGAATGACAGGCCAAGGTGGGGCCCAGAGGGCCTGTAAGGAGGCACAGACTCCCTGGTGGGAGGCTGGGGCCATGAGACCCGGTCCTGCACTCAGGAAGCCACATTGCAGGCAGACTTTTTTAGATGAGGAAGCACTGCCCAGAGTGCCTCGTTTCCCTTTCTTTGTTGGAATTGGAATGATGCTTCCCATCAGTCGCAAGCTTCTGTACGTTCACTGTGCCTTGACATTGTGGACTTCTAACATTATTTCTCCGTGAGCGATCTTCAAGCCTGGAAGGGACTTACAGCTGTGTGTGTGTTTCCCTTCTTCAGCATTTCTGGATTAAAAGTGGTGGGGGAGTCCCTTTCTCCAGCCTTTCACCTACAACTGGAAGAGAGCACTGGGTCTCGCGAGCAAGATGTCAGACTGCTTCAGGAAATTGTAGATCAAGTAAGTATCCGTTGACTTGAGGCATCCCCCCACACCACTTCTGCCCTTGCCCCAAGCAATTTTTTAATGTTAAATTTTTAAGAAAAGTCTCTTTGCCCTGAGAGAGAAGAGGGTAGAAAGGAAGATGCTGGTGACCCGCTCTTGACATGGAATCCTAATCCTCCAGGTCCTTCCTAGCTTCTGGCCATGGTAACAGGCAGCAGGCCCTCCCATTGGGTCAATGTGTGGCTCCCTCCAAAGATATTGTGTTTTGTACCACTTTGCATTTAAATATACTTGGCCTCTCCTCTGAAAAATTAGCCTTGCAGAAAACTCACTTGCTCACCATTTTACAAAGCCAGGCTTTCCTATGTGTAGTTGGGGGAGGCATTGTGTGTGGGCATAGCACACATTCCTGGACGGCTGGCTGTCCCCGCAGCACAGCTCAGGGACAGTCCACTCACAGTCACCCTGAAGTCAGGATGCTCTTGTAAACGGAAAGGAAGACCGCTTTTTATAACATACCTAATTTGGGGAGATTTATTTAAATTTCTTTATCTTCCAAAAGTTATTTTACTACTAATTGTCTAAGAAACACATCACCAGGGAAAACTGCTTGCCCCTTTTCATCCAGTAGCACTACCCCTCCAGAGTGCTTCCTGCCCTGGGCACGCGGGTTTACAGTGGTTCAGAGCCAACAGAAGTTTCTTTAAAAGGGGGAGGAAGAGCAGCGGAATAACCTGGGCAGGAAGGACTCAGGACGGGCAGTGGGATGCCACCCACCTTGCACCCCTCTTCCAAGTCCTGGGATGCTGGACATCTGCTTTCAGAAGAATCTGGACTTTTATGTGGGCTGCTGCTGCTCCTTTGAGAAGAATCTGACATATACCTAGTATGTATTTGAGAATGAAAATGGGCATGATTCTGCTTCCTTGTCCAGAGGCTGTAGCTATGAGCAATGCTACTAGGTTTCTGGGGTCATAATGGCAGCTACCACCTGTCATGTGCCTTTCCTAGGCCAGGCCCTGTCCTGAGCCTCATCCGCCTAGACAGCCTCTCAGGCAGGCTCTTCTAGGCCACATGGCTGTGCAGTATACAGACCGGGTGTGCAGGCAGCCTCTGCTGCCTAGCTGGCTTCAGCTGTCCTATGTCCCAAATGTTTGAGCCACGTAATCTGGAATAACAGATTTGTGGAGAACTTCATAAAATTTGTGGTCTTCTAGAGTCAATTACATTAAAAAATAAATAAAAAGCCCCAGGATCTGAGCTTCCTAAGGAAACATGTCAGATTATGAATGATCAGGCTGGAGCTACTTATCTTGTGAGGTGAGGAAATGCAGCTGATGTCCCCTCAGGCACAACTCTGTGGACATGAAGACTCTCTAGACAGGGAAAAACATCCCACTGCCTGCTTTACTGCCTCATTGTTTGTATTGTAACGTTCCTTAAATACAGACAAACACAAAACTAAGTATGACATCTTTGTGATTAGAGTTCTCATACAAATGGAAAACTAAAACGCATTTATACATTAAATACAAACTAAATGGACAAGCCAGTAAAATTCCCATTCATTTCATTACCTTCATGAGGCAGGTGAATTTGTTTTTTTCAATGGACTTGCCCCAGCGGGACAGCTGAGAGCTGTGTTCACAGAGCAGGCTCATGAGCTGCATGCGCTGGTGTTGGGTCTGAGTAATGGCTCCGCCGTTCTCACTGAGTCTCTTCTCGAACTGCATCAGGACAGTTGTCCACACATGCTTCATGTTGAGGGACAGTTGCCTCCTTCAGATGCCAGTGTATTCATTGCATAGTAAATCCACCTCTGTTCTCTTTTCATTAGATAGCAACAGCTAAAGTCTTACTACTGCTTTGTACCAAAGAGACGCAGAGGAGGACGTGCGAATGAAGCAACTCGGTGTTAAAATACCATGCTTACAGGAATTAGCCACGTAATGAAAGAGGAAACGAAAAGTCTGTGGACAGCTCACAGATCCCAAACTCCTGTCTGTGGGCCTGGTTTGATACTGGCTCTCTTAAGGAAATCCTCTTGAGAGTTGAGTGAGAAGAGAACAATCTGGGGTAGGGAACAGAATACTATCTAGAAACTTCATTGATAGAAAAAATACATATATCTTCCCGCTTCTGTGCATCATCACAGCTTCCATTTTTAAAATCTTCCGAATCTTTTGTTCCACTCCCCTCATCTTTTCAATATTTGAAGGAAAGAAAAGAACCATGCTGCTGTAACTCTTATTTAAGCTTTGTAGATCTGAGAGGCTTTGCCAAGTTTATGTTGAGTTGCTCAACAGGACACTGTTTTTACAAACTGAGCTATTGTTTATAATGTCTCTTAACCAGCCAGGGCTAGAAACAGAGCCAGTCCAGATGTTTGCAGGAGTTCACTTTTCCAAGTACACTTCCAGAGCCTAGAGTCAGCGGGAGGCTGTTGTCATTGCCTAGTATGGTTTTTCCATCTCTTCCTCGCAGCCTACGACGTGACCCCTCTTCAGGCAGATACTTTTACTGCCAGAGACATGGAATAATTGTTCTTTCCTTTACACTGCCCTTTGCTCTGTTGCTATTTTTTTTTAATATAACTCACATACCACATACCATAAAATTCACCCTATTGAAGTATATCGTTAAGTGGCTTTTAGTATCATACATTCAGCAGGTTGTGCAACCATTACTATCTCATTCCAAAACTTTTTCATCACTCCAGAAAGAAACCCCTGTAGCCTATTACCTTGCTCTGGTGTTTGTGCTTTCTTTATTTTAGTAGAGATTGTTTTCATTTTTTCTTAATGTTGACAGATGGTTAATATATAGGAAAGCTGGGTAAAACTTTGTTAACGCCAGATTCTGCAGTGCCCAGTGGCACCATGCCCAGATGCCACATGTGGACATCGTTTTTGCTAATATCTGAAGTGCAGTGGTTTTTCTCTGACGCAGTTCTACTGGTGGTGGTGGTCATAAGTCCAGCCTGCAGGACTTTGCTCGCACCACTTCCTCATGTGCTAACTCTGCTTTGTCTAAATGGTAGTCACTAGCTAGCTATGGCTGTTTGAATTTAAACTAAGTGGAAATAAGAAAAGGTGCAACTGTGACCTCTCAGTAGCACCAGCCATATCTCCGTGTGCTCAGCAGGCACACAGGGCTCATGGCGACTGCTGGGCACTACACAACAGAGGTATTTGTCATTGCAGAAAGTTCTGTGGACAGTGCTGCCAAGGTGGTGGTGTAGTATTTTGGTGATATCTTCTAGCAATTATAATTGGAAAAGTGAATTAAAGCTACCGTTGCAGGATTTCAGCGTTCCCCCAGTTTAATTACCACCATGTCTGAAGTCCAGGTTGCAGATGTCTTCTTTTTCTTCCTACAGTGCATGAACAGAAGTATTGCATTAACTCAGGCGCGCTACTTGGAGAAAGAAGAGAAGTGTCTCCCTCCTCCCAGGTCAGTTGACGTTAAAATATGACCTTATTTTTTTCCCCTACTCTGAGCTCTATGAAATACGTTATCTTTTGAAAAATTTTGAAAGACTATCATAGGCTATGGAAGAATATCTGTCATTAAAATATAGTACATTACCTGTCTTCTGCTCTTAAACTAGAAGTTTCTAAAATTTTAACTGAAAAGCTCCCAAGGACTCACTGAGTACCCTCTCAGTTAACTCAGAGAAATGTCTGGGAGCCCAGCAATGAACTTGGGCAAACTGAGTTTCCATCAGCTCATATCTGCCACATCTGAAAGGTGGCACATGCCACACCAGGAGTTCCTGCCACAAGGACCGTCCTGCAGGGAAGATCGGCAGTGTGGGGTGGGGGTGGGCATGCGCCTCTGCTGCTCCTTCAGTCAGCAACACTCAGTAACATTTGAGAAAAAACAAGCAACAGTGGGGAAAATGTACAGCATCAAGAAAAAACACCAAAAGTGAAAGACTAATGTCTTACTTTTAAGGAGACTGGATTCTGTTCACAAAGCATATACGAGGTAGTCCAAGGAGTTGGCCATCCCACCACAGCACTGGGCCAGGCAGTCACAGCAGGGGGCATGGACATGGTCAGTTCTGCCCTGGGGCATTGCTCAGGCTTTTGAGAGCAGGCGATGTCTACACCAAAACTAGAGAAGTGTGTGTGTCGGGCATCCTGTGGGCATCGTGGCTTTCCATCAGATGAGGTGGTGTGTGCTTTGCTCAGGGTTTTCAGTGGCTTGGAGACCTCCAGGTTCATCTGGGAGTACAGAGTGCAAGCCGCAGAAGAGCTGGAGAGAAGGGTCCTGAGGCCAGGTGCCAAGTCAGGGAGGCTGCAGGAGAGCCCACTGGGGAGTTTGAATGCTCTGCCGGCCCACAGTGCCAGACCAGGATTTGGAAGATCACTCTGGTAGCAGCTCAAAGCACCTTAAGGAGCCTGCCCTTTTCAGCCAGGTGCAGTGGCCCACACCTGTAACCTCAACACCTGGGAGACCGAGGTGGGCAGATCACTTGAGCCCAGGAGTACAAGACCAGCCTGGGCAACATGGTGAAACCCCATCTCTGTAAAAATTAGCCAGGCATAGTGGTGCACGCCTGTGGTCCCAGCTACTTGGGAGGCTGAGGTGGGAAAATCACCTGGTTCCAGGAGGTCAAGGCTGCAGTGAGCTGAGATCACTCCATTGCACTCCAGCCTGGGCTGCCCCCTTCATTTTTTATTGCACTCATCCAAAGGTGTAATCCTACATCCTACGTTTACTTGTTAGTAAGACCGTAGGTGCATGAGGACGGGAGCCGTGCTGGTTTTGTGCCCTCAGGACTCCATGCACAGCATAGTACAGCTCAATAAATATGTGTCAAATGCATGAAACAGATGTTTACAGATGAACTCTGGGGGACAGAGGTAGCATTGTCCTTTCAAGCTATTATTTCTTTGATTTCCTGAAAACTTGAAAATTTCTGCCATGCCTTAGAGTATTACAGAGCTTTCACATTGCTATTGACATAAATACGAACAATCAAACTGTCGTTGATTTGAGAAGGATGGAATTCCTGCTTTGTGCCTGGCACTGCCTGAAGCAGTACATGATGGACAGGATGCTATTTCCCAGCTTCTGAGGCAGAGCCCACGGAAACTCACTCTGACTGGGTGTGCACTGGTGTGGTGTAGGCCGAGGCCTTCAGGCTGCAGATTCCCTGCCGCAGCAACCCACCTGCCACAGTAGTGAGAAAGTGACTGTGGGCAGCAGGTACATGAATAGACAGGCCTATTGGGAGGACTGCCAGGAGAGGTTTGTTTACAAAAATAGGCAGTGGATTTGGCTCTCAGGCCATATATGGTTGACTGTGAGTGCAGTTCCTCACCTCACATAGATAATTCTTTTTTCTGTTTGTTTGTTTTTGGTTTTTTTTTTTTTTTGAGACAGAGTCTCACTCTGTTGCCCAGGCTGGAGTGCAATGGCGCGATCTCGGCTCACTGCTAGCTCCGCCTCCCAGGTTCACGCCATTCTCCTGCCTCAGCCTCCCAAGTAGCTGGGACTACAGGCACCCGCCACCACACTGGCTAATTTTTTGGTATTTTTAGCAGAGATGGGGTTTCACTGTGTTAGCCAGGATGGTCTCGATCTCCTGACCTCGTGATCCACCTGCCTTGGCCTCCAAAGTGCTGGGATTACAGGCGTGAGCCACTGCGCCTGGCCCACAAAGATAATTCTTTGTGTCCTTTACTGTTCTCAGCATTCGGGTTGTGGTCACGGTGGAACAAACAGAGGAAGAACTGGAGAGAGCTGCGTCCACCATCAAGGAGGTAGCCCAGGCCGTCCTGCTCTAGGCAGAGTCCCGGGACCATGGCCTCCTGCCACACAACACGCAGAGAGGACTCAAGACTCCCGCTGGCCATGGAGTGGCCTGAAAGAGAGCAAGAACATGTGGATCTTTGATAGGATTGTTACCAAATGGTGTCAGTATGGACCAATTGTGTGACCATGAGAAGGATGCTTATTTTTTTTAAAAAGAAAACACATCTAAAAGCCCAGGAACTGATTTTTTTAAGAGGAAAACTAATGACAGTGTATAACTGATGTTTAAATTGTGCATTTAGTACTATTTAAATGTTTTCTTATACTAGTATTTTATATTCTTTTGTTGTCGTTTAAAACTGGAGCTTCAGTGTCTCTTCCCTCCCTCTAATAGTAATGGTTCAGTAAGCACTCCTTAACTCCTTAGTATTTCATAGAAAAATGACTGCAACATTAAAGCTAAGAGGAACACTTCAACATATGTGGTACAAATTTATATTGAAGATCTAAATAAACCACGTATTTTCCAGTCTTCGTTGTGTGAAGCTAAATGGTGGCTAAAAGGAACACTTTTTGTGTGATTATTATAAACTTTGCATTGTATTTGAATCTTAGAACTTTTGTACACACTAAATATTGATGTCACACCATTTCTAATCTGAGCATCCTTAGCCAGAGAATATTCATTATACTTCCTAAGTGAGCAATAATTTAAATCAGAAGCTATTTTATTTTAATGTAATTAACCTTTCTTTACATTTCTTATGTGTTCACCTCTAATCTGTTTTAGGAAGAGAGTTGGTTATTATGTTGATCCCATAATATAAATCATATCCTTTATATTTTAGAATATCTCAAATGTATTCCTTTTTTGTATGGTGGGTTTGCCTAGGGACGTGTAACTACAGGCTTTTACTAAGCCAAGGAAAAAGAGAATTTTTCTTTTCATCTTACAAATTCCAGATATCTACAAAAGATGTGAAAGCACTAAAAATACCATTTTTAAGCAGTACTTTACCTGTTTTTTCTTTAGCAAACCAGGTTATGTGGTGTAAAGGTTTGTTATACGTGCCACAATATAGCATATAAATATTATGCCATCATTCCTTCTCTTGTTAAAGGTAGAAGAATAAAATTGTGATTTTTATAACCTGTGCTTATTACTCAAATGGTCTTCAACATCTTTTTAAACAACACATACTTTTTGAATGTTCAGTTTCTATTTTGCTTGAGGTATTTTGTACATATGTGCCTTGTGATTGCTGCTGCTTTAAAGGATAAAGTACTCTTTGGGGGATGAGTCTGGTTTGTTTTGTTTTATTTTTTAATGAAATAAACCTATATTCCTGATTATTAGTCTATTTGCATATGTAATATATCCAACAGAATAGTCTCTTAATTTTAACTTTTTTGCACTGGGGTAGTATTCTTTGTTGTTTGGTCTTATTTTAGAAAATAACAATTAAATTTCTTAGTTCCTTTTTTCACATCCAACCAAAGAATATATAGTATCTGAAGTTTCCTAGGTTCTTGCTGACCTCATAGGACTACAAAAATATCATGGCCATTATTTTCATAAATAACTGTTCAGCTTCTTTTAGAATACTTTCTAAGTGAAAATAGCAACATCAAAATAATGTTTGTAATAAACTTTTTGAAAATATGATCAGGAGTTTCTGGGAAAGATGGCGGATCAGGCACATTATTTCAGTCCTTAAAACCAACATTGTAAACGAAAGGAACCAAAAGTAAAATTTTTGTGTTAAAATTATAGAGTGACCACAATCCAGTAATATACACCACGATGAAATGTCTACTAGAAACAGTAAAATTTGGATCAAACTGAAGCAAAATGCTGAGAAAGTACAGTCATCTCAAATCTGGACCAAGTTACAAATTCCTCTTTTACAGAGTGAGAAGTTTCCAGAGTGCTCTACCAATGATCTGTGTTTTAAAAGGCAGTGGCTTGGGGTGAGCAGTGTAGAGACCATTGGGAGCCCATTTCCACTCAGCAGGACTGTCCGCAGGGAAGAAGAGAACCACACCACCTTTTTATTGTCTGTGACTAAATTCTAACTTCAGGAAAAGTAGGGCTTTGGGGCAAGTTGGGACAGAAAATACACCAGTTATTTCATCAAATTCAGTACTTCACTAATTGTACCATGTGTACTTTTTTTATGTACCACTAGAAGAAAATAATTCTATCTGTATTATGCTGTAAGATGTCTTCCAATATTAGAGATATTACAATGTGGGTAGAGAAGATGTATCTTTAAGTCTATGAAATAATAATCATCTGATGTGTGGGCCTCATGCCATCTTTCCTTGTGGGCATAAAACCTTAGTCCCAGAAGATAGAGATGTCCAACATGTAAATCTGAATATCTCCATGCATCTTTCCAAAACACTGTCCCTATGATGACATCAAATAAAAACATTCATAACGTACACCTAACAGTATGGGTTAAGCTATGGAGGATGCTTAAACTTCATTTCCTTACTTATTTCCTGGTGAAGAGGAGTAGGAAGCTTAAGGATGATGGAACACAGATAAAATAACTCATCTCGACAGCAACATTTTCTAGAGATTTGAAGGAAGAAGGAAATGTGATTCAAGGATTTTATTTCCACAAAGCAGTCTTTCAAGTAACAAAGTTATAGAAAAACAATTTAAAATTAGAATTTAATACTTCTTTTTGAGCCCTTCCTGAGGGAACCACTAGGGGAAAGCATCTGATTAAGAAATGCAAGGCCGGGCATGGTGGTTCACACCTGTAATCCCAGCATTTTGGAAGGCCAAGGCAGGAGGACTGCTTGAGATCAGGAGTTTGAAACCAGCTTGGGGAACATAGCGAGACCTGATGTCTACAAAAATAAAAGCCAGACATGGTGGTGTGCACCCGTAGTCCTAGATACTTGAGAGGCTGAGGCAGGAGGATGATGTGAGCCTAGGAGGTCAAGGCAGTCATGAGCTGTGATTCCAGCACTGCACTCCAGCCTGGGCAACAGAGTGAGACCGTGTCTCAAAGAAAAAAAGCAGAATGATAATCTGTCATGAGATTGGAGTTTTTAAAAAGTAAAATACTTTAATGTGTGTAAATTATACCTTGCGAATTAACTCAAAACCAAATAAAGCATGTTCTCACTTAGGAGCTAACCACCGCATACTCATGGACGTGAAGATGGGAACAATACATACTGACTGTGGGAAAGGAAGGAGGCAGGGCAAGGGTTGAAAAACCATTGGGTACTATGCTCAACACCTTGATGATGAGATCATTTGTACCCCAAACCTCAGCATCATGCAGTATACCCAGGTAAGAAACCTGCATATGTACCCCTAAATCTAAAAGTTGAAAAAAAATAATTTACTTATAGTGTATTATGTAAATAGGTGGGGTACAGTAGAAAAATATTTAGACAAATGGAATGCTAGAAGTACAAAAACGGGATTAGGTACATTATAGGAAGTTGTATTATAAAGATAACTAGTAGAATAAAAACATAAAACTTCCTAAATTCAAAAAAAAGCAAAATTAGACCCTATACAGGGGAAAAATAATAAATATAATGCAATACACACAGAAAATACACCCAAGTATCAAAACTGCACTGTACCCCCTGAATCTATAAAAAATTTTTAAAAATACAACAAAATAGCATGAGGTGAGACTAAGCATATTAATCATACAGTGAATGGGCATCCACTTACTTTTTTTTTTTTTTTTTTTTGACACAGGGTCTCACTCTGTTTCCTAGGCTGGAGTGCAGTGGTGCAATCACAGCTCATTGCAGCCTCAACTTCCTGGGCTCAAGCTGTCCTCCTGCCTCAGCCTCCTGAGTAGCTCGGACTACAGGTGTGGGCCACAATGCCTGGCTAATTTTTTAAATATTTTTGTAGGGACAGAGTTTTACTCTGTTGCCCAGGCTGATCTCAAACTGCTGGGCTCAAACAGTGTGCCCACCTCGGTCTCCCAAAATGCTAGGATTACATGCATGAGCCACTGCACCTGGCCCATGCACTTTATTTCTACTCCAAGAAAAAATTTTCAAATTGGTTCACAAAGCAAAACACAAACTCTGCTATATACAAGAGACAAGAAAAGCTAAACATGGCTGGGCACAGTGGCTCACGCCTGTAATCCCAGCACTTTGGGAGGCCGAAGCAGGTGGATCACCTGAGGTCAGGAGTTCAAGACCAGCCTGACCAACGTGGAGAAACCCTGTCTCTACCAAAAATACAAAAATTAGCTGGGTGTGGTAAGAAAGAACTCTTCACCCAGAGATTCCAAAATACATAGTCTTTTCAAGTGTACATGAAATATTCTCCAGGATAGACCACATGCTGAGCCATAAAACAAGTCTCAGTAAATCTAAAAAGATTGAAGTCATAAAAAGTATATTATCTGTCCACAATATGATTAAATCAGACATCCACAGTAGAAAGGCAACTGGAAAACACTCAAATTAACTGGTATGCTCCTAAATAACCCACAGATCAAAGAAATACACAAAGGAGGTTTTTAAATGTTACGAACTGAATGAATTAAATGCAATATATCAAAAAAATGTAGTTACTAGTTTTATTATAAAAAACATTATTTGCATGATGAAAGATTACAGAATTTCAGTGGGCAGCTTCATGTTGATGCCATTTCAATAGTGATTTGTTTCAGTCTACATACTTTTCAAGAATGTCTGCCATCTCTTAATAAGATACAATCCTTGTCATCTAGAACTATTTTGGTGTCTCCATATTCTGGAGGAAATTTATTTTTGACTTTCATGCTAACTGGTTGAATCTCTCCACCTTTTCCCTTATAGCCTCATCCAGCAGCCACTACTATTGCTTGCAATACTTTTCCTTTAGATTTTTCTGGAAGCCTAATGTCTCCTTTGGTTACAGTTTCTGCTGCACTCCTTTCAACCAATATTTGCCTTTCAACCAATACTTTCTTCCAAAGAGTGGAAGAAACTTTCCAAATGCTGGTCCTGCCATGACTCCTGTAGCAGCCACAGCTCATATTCTGCTCTCGTGCTGCCATCACAGGCCAACAAATCAAAGTTTATGTGAGGCAGCTAAAGCAGTGGTTAAGAGGAAATTTATACAGGTTTTAAATGCCTGTATCAGAAAAGGAACATCCCAGTAATAACCTAAGCTTCTGCCTTAAAGTAAAACCCCAAAGCAAGTAGAAGGAAGGAAATAAAGATTAGAGAGGCTTTTTTTTTTTTTTTTTTTTTTTTTGAGACGGAGTCTCGCTCTGTCACCCAGGCTGGAGTGCAGTGGCGCGATCTTGGCTCACTGCAAGCTCCACCTCCCGGGTTCACGCCATTCTCCTGCCTCAGCCTCCCGAGTAGCTGGGACCACAGGCGCCCGCCGCCACGCCCGGCTAATTTTTTTGTGTTTTTAGTAGAGACGGAGTTTCACCGTGTTAGTCAGGATGGTCTCGATCTCCTGACCTTGTGATCCTCCTGCCTCAGCCTCCCAAAGTGCTGGGATTACAGGGGTGAGCCACCGTGCCTGGCCTAGAGAGGATTTTTTTTTTTTTGGAAAAATATCAATAAACATTTATTTGATACAGTCATTTTAATACATACAGTGATGGCTCGTCCCCAGGCTACTCGGGACCAGGGTACGGGGCGGGGACGAGGACCGGGGACAGATGGTCACAAGGCGGGCGGGGCCCGAGTTCACCGTCGAAACATCTTGCAAATAAACACTTTGTAGATAGACTATATATGTATATATACATGGTTACAAGTGATGGCTGGAACCTCTTTCAAAATGCGCTTATGTACTGAGAACTAGCATTAAAAAAACCCAAACCAAGAAACCCAAAGCACAGGACGCGCGGCCGCGAGGCAGGGGAGAGCCTGGGGCCCCTGACCCGGGCCTGGGGGAGCCGCCTGGGGCCCGCCAAGCAGGGCACACGGGGACGGCCCTTCCTGGGGTCAGGCTCACTGGCTCCTTCCCTTCAGCGCCACCAGGCAGGAAGGCCAACAGTCACACAGGAGGCACCCTCACTTGCCTTTGCACCAGTAAATAAAGTGCATCCTATTTCCGTGTGAGCCAGTCCTTCCGGGCCCTTTCCTGTTCTCAGGGCAGGGGGCGTGCGCTGAACCAGAGGTAGATCTGCATAAAGATCCCCGACTGGTCCTCAGGCAGGGCCGGCACCCACCACACTCTAGGGGTCTTGGTCCCTCTCAGGGCTCCTGGAGGCCTGTATGGGCCAGCGTGGGTAGTGGGCTGACTCTGCTGAGCTCCACCCAGGGCCCTACCCCTTGGGAGGAGGGCTCTGCAGACCAGCATGTGGGAGAGGGAGGGCAGAAAGAGAGGACTTTTTTTAAATAAAGAAAATTAATGAAATCAAAAGACTTTCTTTAAAAGACATCAACAAAACTGACAAACCTTTAACTGGACTAACCAAGAAAATAACAGAGAAGACATAAATTGCCAAAATTAGGACCTGAAGAGGTAACATCACTACCAATCCCACAGAAACTAGACAACTTAAATGACACGAATGTATTCCAAGAAAGACGCAAATTATCAAACTCTGGAATAAAAAGAAAATCTGCCAGGGTGGTGGCTCACGCCTGTAATCTCAGCACTTTGGGAGGCTGAGGTGGGTGGATCACTTGAGGTCAGGAGTTCAAGACAGCCTGGCCAACATGGTGAAACCCTGTCTCTACTAAAAAGACAAAAATTAGCCGGGCTCCATGGCATGCGCCTGTAGTCCCAGCAACTCCAGAGAGAATCACTTTTGAGCCTGAGGGGCAGAGCTTGTAGTGAGCTGAGATGGCGCCACTGCACTCCAGCCTGGGCAACAGGATTGAAACCCTGTCTCAAAATAAATAAATAAATAGAAAATCTAATAGACTATCACAACTAAAGAAATTGAATTAATAATTTAAAATATTTTCACAAAAATATCCATGTACAGGTAGACACTAGGGAATTCTGTCAAATATTTAAAGAAAAAGTAGTACTAATCACTCACAAATTTCTTTCAGAAAAATTGAGAAGGTGGCAACATCTCACAATTCATTGTATGAGATTATTATTATGTTGATTCCAAAGCCAGACAAATTACAAGAAAACTGCATATGAATTTCCCTCCTGAACATAGACACAAATATCTTTAACTCCTTTTCAAAACGGTGTTCAAGAATCTAGCCTATATAATAAAGCTAAAAAAGAAAATTAAAAGCATCCAGATTGGAAAGCATCCAGTTTAAAAAACAATTCTATGTATAATGTCAAAGAGAATAAAATAATAATTAATTTAACAAAAATATATAAGGCTTATACACTGAAAACTACAAAACATTGCTATAAGAATTAAGATTGGCAGGCCAGGCATGGTGGCTTACACCTGTAATCCCATCATTTTGGGAGGCCGAGGCGGGCAGATCATGAGGTGAGGAGATCAAGACCATCCAAGCCAACATGATGAAACCCCGTCTCTACTAAAAGTACAAAAATTAGCCAGGTGTGATGGTGCACGCCTCTAATCCCAGCTACTCAGAAGGCTGAGGCAGGAGAATTGCTTGAACCCGGGTGGCAGAGGCTGCAGTGAGCCGAGACGGCGCCACTGCACTCCAGCCTGGGAGACAGAGCAAGACTCTGTCTCAAAAAAAAAAAAAAAAGATTGGCTGGGCGTGGTGGCTCATGCCTGTAATCCTAACACTTTGGGAGGCCAAGACAGGCAAATCATTTGAGGTCAGGAGTTCGAAACCAGCCCGGCCAACATGGTGAAAACCTGTCTCTACTAAAAATGCAAAAAAATTTAATTGGGCATGGTGGCAAGCACCTGTAATCACAGCTACTTGGGAGGCTGAGGCAGGAGAATTGCTTGAATCTGGGAGACGGAGGTTGCAGTGAGCCGAGATCACGCCACTGCACTCCAGCCTGGGTAACAAAGCAAGACTCCATCTCAAAAAAAAAAAAAAAAGAAAAAGAATTAAGATTTAAATAAATGGAGAGCCATTCCATGGACTAGAACATATCCCAAAGTAATTTATAGTTTCAATTCAGTTCCCATCAAGATGCCAGCAAATTTTTGCACAGAAATTGATAAGCTGGACCTAAAATGTATGTGAAAATATAATACAAGGCCCTACAGTAGTCAATGGCAATTTTTAAAAAGAACAAAGTTGGAGAATTTACGTTATCTGATTTCAGAACTTACCATAATACTGCAATAGCAAGACAGTGTGTTTTACTAATACAAGGATACATCCATGGAACAGAATCGAGCGTCTGGAAATCAATAAACCCTTATATTTAGGGCCAGTTGACTTTCAACAAAGTGCCAAGACAATTCAATAAGGAAATGATAGTCTTCTTAACAGACGTCACTGGGAGAATTTGATATTGTAGTAGGTTAAATGATGGCCACCTGAAGAATCAAGTCCTAATCCCCAGATCTTGTAAATGTTACCTTCTCTGGAAAAAAGGGAATCTGTGTAGGTGTGATGGTTAAGGATTTTGATATGAGCTTACCCTGAATTACATTGGTAGGCCCTAAATACCATCAAAGAGTCCTTGTAAGATACAGGCAGAAAGAGGTGACACAGACATAGATGGGGTCACCCAGAGAGGAGAAGGCAGTGTGAAAACAGGCAGAAATAGGAGATACCAACTTCAAGCCAAGGAATGCCAACAGCCACCAGAAGGTAGAGGAGGCAAGGCACCCATTCTTCCCTGGAGCCCTCAAGGGGGCATCTCTTTCTGATGCCTTGATTTCAGACTCTGGCCTCCAAAACAGTGAGAAAATCAAGTCTTAGTGTTGTAAGCCACCAGTTGGCACTAATTTGTTACAGAGGCCATCGGAAACTAATAACAGAATCTATTTGAAAACAAAAAACTTAGACCTACTTTGTATATCTAAATTAATTCAAATTGTCCATAGACATCAATGTAAGAACTAAAACTACAAAACTTCTAGGAGAAAATCTTTTAAATCTTGAGTTAAGCAAAAAGTGCTTACATATGAAATACCAAAAGCATGAGATAGAAAAGAAAAAAATTGATATACTGGATTTCATTAAAATTAAAAACTTTTGATCTTCCAAAACCCCCATGAAGGAAATGAAAACAAGCCACAGACTGTGAGAAAATATTTGCAAATTATATACTTATAAAGGATGTGTATCCAACTATATATAAAGAACACTTACTACTCAGTCATAAGAAATTTTAAAACCCAATTTACAAATGGGTGAAAGAGTTGGTATTTCAACATGAGAGCCATAGAAATGATAATAAGCACATGAAAGAGTTATTAACACTATTAGGCATCAAAAAAATGGAAGTTAAAACTACGAAGCAACATCATTACACACCCACTAGAATAGTCGAAAAGAAAATACCAAGTATTGCCAAGATATGGAAAAAGAGAAACTTGATATATGGCTGGTAGAAATGTAAAATGGTGTTATCACTTTGGAAAACAATGTGGCAGTTTCTTTAAAAAGTTTACAAATGTGTCATGTGCTATAGTCTAAATGTTTGTGTTCCCCTGAAATTTCTATGTTGAAACCTATTCCCCAATATAATACTAGTAAAGGTCAAGGCCTTTGGGAAGTGATTAGATCACAAGGGTGGAGCCCTCATGAATGGAATTAATGTCCCTAAAAAGCCCAAGGAAATCCAATGGCCTCTTCCACTATGTGAGGACAGAGCAACAAGGCATAATCTATGAGAAAGCAAGACCTCATCAGACACCAAACCTGCTGGCACCTTGATCTTCATCTTTCCAGCCCTCAAAACAGTGAGAAATAAAGATCTTGTTTATAAGCCACCCAGTCTACAGTATTTGTTATAGCAGCCCAAACAGACTAAGGCAATATGGCCTAGCAATTCTGCTCCCAAGAGAAACAAAAACATATGTTTATGCAAAAACTTGTAAACAAATGCTAACAGCAGCATTATTTATGATGGTGAAAAACTGGAATCTGTCCAAATGCCTACTGTATTAGCTTGTTCTCACACTGCTATGAAGAAATACCTGAGACTGGGTAACTTATAAAGAAAACAGGTTTAGTTGACTCACACTTCAACATGGCTGGGCAGGCCTCAGGAAACTTACAATCATGGTAGAAGGGGAAGCAAACATGTCCTTCTTCACATGGTGGCAGGAAGGAGAAGTGCCAAGCAAAGGGAAAAAGTCCCTTATGAAATCATCAGATCTCATGAGAACTCACTCACTATCATGAGAACAGCAGCATGATTCAGTTACCTCCCACTGGGTCCCTCCCACAACACGTGGGGATTAGAGAAACTACATGATGAGATTTGGGTTGGGATACAGCCAAACCACACCACCTATCAACTTGTGAATGAATAAACAGAGTGTGGTATGTCCACACAATGGAATATAATTCAGCAAAAAAGGAAATGAACTATGGACAAAATGTTTCAACATGAATGAATCTCAAAAACATTCTAACTGAAAGAAACCAGATGCAATAGACCAGACCACATAGTGTATGATTCTATATATATTCAATGTCCAGAAAAAGCAAATTGAGGCCGACCGCAGTGACTCATGCCTGATAATCCCAGCACTTTGGGAGGCCGAGGTGGGTGGATCACCTGAGGTTGGGAGTTTGAGACCAGCCTGACCAACATGAAGAAAACCCCCGTCTCTGCTAAAAACACAAAATTAGCTAGGCGTGGTGGTGCGTGCCTGTAATCCCAGCTACTTGTGAGGCTGAGGCAGGAGAATCACTTGACCCCAGGAGGTGGAGGTTGCAGTGAGCTGAGATTGCACCATTGCACTCCAGCCTGGGCAACTCCAGCCTGGGCAACAAGAGCAAAACTCCGTCTCAAAAAAAAAAAAAAAAACTCAAATTGAAAGAGACAGAAGATAGGTTTTGTAGTTGGCCACAGCTAGCAGTGAAAATGGGATTGACAAAACCAGCTGGAGGGATCTTTCTGGGGTAATGGAGATGTTGTAAAAATGGTCATGGTGATGGCTGTCCAACTCTGTGAATATACTAAAACCCATTGAGTCAAGTGCAAGCCCAGCCTTGGACAATAAACAGAGGTGTTAATGAATCAACTTTCTTTCTGTCATTATAGCAAAGAGTTTCTTATCTGGGCTGCCCATAACAAACATTTAGAAAGAAGTCTGTGATGTGGGACAGGTGGCATGTCTACGCACAGAGGCAAGATGCCACACTGAGAGCAAGGAGGCAGCAAGAGGCAAGTTTTACAACACAGAGCTCTATCCCAGTCTAGTCCTAGCCACGAGTCTGGGGACATGATCTTCGCTGAACACATCCTCACCTACAAAATAGGGGGTTGCACTGGAGAACTGTATTTTTCAGGACTGTCAAATCCTCCTCTTCTCATAGCATTTTCCCCAGGCCAGATTGGGAAACTCTACTTGGCTCCAGACACACCTCAGTCACTGAGAAATTACTACACATACCTCCCTCTAGAAAAGTGCAAAATCCCTTTTGTTCTTGTCCACACTAACCAGTTAGTTTTTGTTTTTAGAGATGGCTAATGCTGTCACCCAGGCTGAAGTGCATAGTGCGATCATAGCTCACCACAGCCTCGAACTCCCAATCCTCCCACTTCAGCCTCCTGAGTAGGCGTGCACCACCACATCTGGGTAACATTTAACATTTTTTAGAGAAATGGGGTCTTGGTATGTTGCCTAGGCTGGTCTTGAACTCCTAGCCTCAAGTGATTCTCCTGCCTGGGCCTCCCAAAGCACTGGGATTACAGGTGTGAGCCATGGTGCCAGTGTTCTTTTTGACCAAGGTGTGCAAACCAAAAGCTTCAAACGTTGCATTCCATTCCTGGAACTCTTGTTATTTATCCTTGGAGTGTCTCTGTCCCCCAAAATTCAATATTATCCCTTCCCTAATTAATGGCTTTGAAGCGATTTCTTTGCAGCTGCGTTTCCTGCTGTTCATCCTCTAGCGCAGCGGTCCCCAACTTTTTTGGCCCGGGAGTGGGGGACGCGGGGAGTTGAGGGTTTTGGGATAAAACTGTTCCACCCCAGGTCATCAAGCATTAGATTCTCATAAGGAATGCGCAACCTAGAGCCCTCACATGCATAGTTCAGAATAGAGTTCGCGCTCCTATGAGAATCTGATGCCCCCACTGATGTAACAGGAGGCAGAGCTCAGGTGGTAATGCTGGCTGGCTCTCACTCACCTCCTCCTGTGCGGCACAGATCCTAACAGGCCAGGGACTGGTACCAACCAGTCCACGTCCTGGGGGTTGGATACCCCTGCTTTAGAGAAAGGAATATTTCTGTCCCTATTAATTCACATGCACAGCTTTAGAACCAGCTTCCTGGCTCTTACACAGAAATCCAGATATCCTGGCAGTAAATTCCTCATCGACCTCTGCACCTCCCACCCTGTTAAGAAAGTTAACAAGTGAAAGAGAACTCTGTTCAGATCACTAAAAGCATCCCAGCACGGAGACCATGCCTCCAGAAGTGAGAGTCTGGGAGGCTGGTGTTGTCTGTGGGCTTTCCCAACCCTTCCAGGTGACAAAGAGTCCTATCTGCAGCTTAGCCTTACCTCAGCCCGCAAGCTCAGAGCGAATAAATTGAGTGTGAGGCTGCCCTCCACACACACAAGCCTGAGGGCCCTCCTCAGGAAGAAGTCCCCTGCCCCCTCCTCAGTGCAGGGCCTCGTGGGAGAGTCCTGGGAAGGTTTCTGAGTGGACACTGGGTTGGAACAGGACTGAGCAGCAGTGTGCATCTCAGCCTCTCATTTCCACAGCCTCCAGATCTTTGGAAGATACAGTCCTAATGGCTGTCGCATTGACCTTTTCAAAACTCTTGATTTCTTTTGTTCAAGTGAAGACAAAACCCTTGTTTTGCCCTGGTGCGGATGCCCACAATCTCTGCCTGGAGCTGAGCACGACCAGGGGTCAGTAACTGTGCGCTGTCCATTGTTCCTCGTCTGTTTCTCCTCACCTGGTGCCTGTGTGGCCCTCCTGGCTCAGGGTGTGTGTTTCATCTAACTCTATCACTTAACACGGGCCTGGGAGCTCCTTATTTGTTGTTTCTAGAGACAAGAAGCCTTGCTTCTGTTGTGTACGTTGTTTACATTACACAAGTGGTATACATTCGTATTAAACATCCAAACAGTAAGGAGGCCTGAAGAATAAATCTTGAAAATCCTGTTTTCACCCAATTTTACTCCCTTCTCCAGAGGTAACTCTCTTAACAGTTTGTTGGCTATCCTCCGAGAATGGTTTCTAAACGTTTACATATGTACCTGTATTCAAATTGCTTTTTACAAAACATAAATAGAGCAATTTTGTTGTTCTGATTTAATGTAGGAACATTTCCATAGCATTACTTCATTCACTACGTCACCCAGGCTGGAATGCAGAGACTCAATCTCGGCTCACTGCAATCTCTGCCTCCTGGGTTCAAGCGATTCTCCTGCCTCAGCCTCCTGAGTAGCTTGGATTACAGGTGTGCGCCACCATGCCCGGCTAATTTTCATATTTTTAGTAGAGATGGAGTTTCACCATGTTGGTCAGGCTGGTCTCAAACTCCTGATCTCGTGATCCACCTGCCTCGGCCTCCCAAAGTGTGGGGATTACAAGCGTGAGCCGTCGCACCCAGCCCATTCCCTTTTATTCTTGCAGAGTATTCTGTAGTTTGGATGTAGTACAATTTATTTGACCCATTTTCTTTTCATAGACATTTAAGTTTCTTTTTTTTCCCTATTACAAACAATGCTGAAATGAACATCCTTGATCCTGTAACGTTACGTAGATCTGCAGGTGTTTCTGGGGTATGGATTCCTAGAATTGGAATGGCTGAGTCAAAGGGCTTCCAAAGCCTTTGATAGATACCAACATTTTTTTTTTTTCAGAAGGAGTTTCTCTCTTGTTGCCCAGGCTGGAGTGCAGTGGCATGATCTCAGCTCACTGCAACCTCCACCTCCCGGTTTCAAGCGATTCTCCTACCTCAGCCTCCCAAGTAGCTGGGATTACAGGCATGTGCCACCACGCCTGGCTAATTTTTGTATTTGTAGTAGAGACCACGTTTCTCCATGTTGGCCAGGCTGGTCTTGAACTCCCAACCTCAGGTGATCCACCTACCTTGGCCTCCCAAAGTGCTGGGAGCCACCGTGCCCGGCCAACAAATATTTTGTAAGTCATCTTTATTCCAAACATTTTTTCTTTCTGTTATTGAATTTGTTGTCTCTTGTTTCAAATATTTGTCTTGTCAAATCTGCCAATCTCTTTCATTGTGGCCTGGAAGGTTTTTTGTTTTTGTTTTTGTTTTTGTTTTTGTTTTTGTTTTTGAGATGGAATCTCTCTCTGTCGCCCAGGCTGGAGTGCAATGGTGTGATCTCTGCTCACTACAACCTCCATCTCCAGGGTTCAAGTGATTCTTCTGCCTCAGCCTCCCAAGTAGGTGGGACTACAGGCACCCACCACCATATTCGGCTAATTTTTGTATTTTCAGTAGAGATGGGGTTTCACCATGTTGGCCAGGCTGGTTTCAAACTCCTGACCTCAGGTGATCCACCTGCCTCAGCCTCCCAAAGTGCAGGGATTACAGGCATGAGCCACTGCACCCGGCCTATGGCCTGGAAGTTGTGCCTTGCTTAGAAAATTGTCCCTACTCCTGAATTATAAAGAAGTCATCCTTTCTCCCAGCAATGTCCAGTGCTCCCCGTGTATTCACAGCTGGTTGGTGAGCTGCTTGTCTGTCTCTTGACCAATAAATACTAAAACTTTCCAGCTATTGTAGGTTTCTAATATGTTTTTGTATCTGGTAGGGCAAGTCTCCTATTGTTCTCTTTTTCAAAAGATTCTCAGGCATTCTTACATTCACACTTTTTCTCTTCCAGAACTCTAGAATCAGCTTATTATGTTATAAAATTGGTCTGGCTGTGTCTGCAGCCATTTTTCCTTCACACCTGCTGATGGGTGTCGGTCCTTTCTGTTAACAAACCACCTGATGAGATCGAAATGCTCCAGCCAGCTGTGTTGCTGGAAGCTGCTTTTAAATCTGCTCAGCTAGAAAGTCCTCAGAGACTATGCTTTGTTCACTTTGCCCCCCAACATCAGTATATGACCCATCCCTATCCGATGCTTGTTCAACATAAATGTCATCAATGGATGTCTACAACAGCAGAGAGCTTATAAGACTTCCACTCTTGCTTGAGCAATTGGCTTTACCTCTAGATAGCTGGATTTCTCATGAATAATACACAACGGTTGTACGGGTTCTGCCTACCTCACAGGGTGATTCTGACACCAAATGATGCCATGGGTGTGATGGGCTGGCAGAGTTTTAAAGAATTGCACTGCTGGCCCGGCACGGTGGCTCACGCCTGTAATCCCAGCACTTTGGGAGGCCAAGGCGGGCGGATCACCTGAGGTCGGGAGTTCGAGACCAGCCGGACCAACGTAGTGAAACCCTGTCTCTACTAAAAATACAAAAATTAGCTGGGCATGGTGGTGCACGCCTGTAGTCCCAGCTATTCAAGAGGCTGAGGCAGGAGAATCGCTTGAACCTGGGAGGTGGAGTTTGCAGTGAGCTGAGATCGCGCCACTGCACTCCAGCCTGGCGACAGAGTGAGACTCCATCTCAAAAAAAAAAAAAGAAAGAAAAAAAAGAAATGCACTGCAGTGATGCTGCACATCTAATGAAATGAAAGGGAGTGGATGGAAATAGAGGTAAAAGCCAGTGAAGAAATGAAAATGTTCTCCCCCAGCCATCTGCCATGCATCACTCCTGCAGAAGCCTCTGGAGGAGGCAAGAGACATGCTGTTCTCAAACCTCCAGAAGTCATGGGAAGCAGCCTGTGACCCCGGGGAGAACACCTCCTCGGATGATGGATGAAATTCTGCTTAGAACATCTGACAAAATCTCCAGTGTACAGAGCCTAGATCCAGGATAGCCTTTCCTTCCTGCTCCTCTTGGTGCCTTCAGGCTACTGGAAATCACACCGGAAAACAACATTCCTAGACTGAAGGCTCGCAATGTTCCCTATGCCATTCCAAGCACTTTTTATGTGTTAACTCATTTAATCTTCCCCAAAATCCTGTGAGGTGGATGCTACTAGCATCCACATTTTATGGCTGAGGACGTTGAGGCACAGAGAGGTGAGGGGACTAGCCCATGGGCACATAGCCCATAAGAGGTAGACTCTGGGTACAGCCCAGACAGTTTGGCTGCAGTGTTTGTGCTCCTGACCACGAAATCACACTGCTTTCTCTCTTTTTTTTTTTTTTTTTTTTTGAGACAGAGTCTCGCTCTGTCGCCCAGGCTGGAGTGCAGTGGCGCGATTTCGGCTCACTGCAAGCTCCACCTCCCAGGTTCAAGCCATTCTCCTGCCTCAGCCTCCCAAGTAGCTGGGACTACAGGTGCCTGCCACCACGTCTGGCTAATTTTTTTTTTTTTTTTTTTTTTAGTAGAGACGGGGTTTCACCGTGTTAGCCAGGATGGCCTCGATCTCCTGACCTCATGATCTGCCCGCCTCGGCCTCCCAAAGTGCTGGGATTACAGGCGTGAGCCACCGTGCCCGGCCCACACTGCTTTCTTAAGCAAGATCTCATTTTCATGGTGCTCTTTCTGTTTGTTGAGTGTGTATGTATGTTAGCTGTCTATCTGTGTTAGATACATATACCCAAAATAATGTGTCTGGAGTGATGTTCAGCTAATGTTAATAGTAATTATTTCTAGATGCCAGAATGTTGAGAAATGCTAGATTCTTTATAATTTTCTGGTGTTAACTTGAAAATTCAATAATATACTCATTTTATTTTTAGAAAAAAAAATGAATCTGTATTAGAAAAGGAAAATGCTTGGAAGTACTATAAAGTACTTTAGAAATTAAATATTTATTAGTTTATATTTTTATGCATTCTTCTTCATTTTTGCATTCCCTAACTGCTTCATTCTCAATCTATTTTTTTATTTAATGTATTTTTATATTCTTGTAACCTACTAAAAATGTTTTGTAGAGTAAAATGGGATATATTTAATTGCTATATAAGATTTACTTTATTTATACCTGTGTTTTATTTGTCAAATAAACATCTATCTTTACCTATTTGACCCCTATTTTGTGAATAATACGTTGCCATCATTTTGGGAATTATATTTAAAATTTTTAATTTTTATATAACTTGCTAAGTATAAATATAATTGTCTAGGCGACTCTTAAGTGAGATATTTCCTTTAATTTTTTGAAAGATGTAGATGAAGCAATTTGACCTTTATTCCTTTTTTTTAACATAAAAACCCAGCAAACTAATACACGCATATGGTTTAAAAATCAAATTGAATTGGAAGATTTCCACCACAAGTGTCACCACCTTCAGCCACACTCTCAAGAGGGAACTACTTAAACCATGTTCTCTTTAATTCTACTGAAAAACCAAACATTTGCCTGAATGATATGATGCCCTTATTTTCTGATTTATCAACCTTCAGCAGTAATTAGGATCTCCTATTTTGTAACTATTTTATATATTTCCTTTCCCCATTTTGCTATCCAAATTACTGCCTTTTGTGCGTTCATTCTTATAAGAGTTCCTAGTTTATGCTGGGTAGTAACCCCTTATAGGTTTTAGGCAATTGCACTGTCAGATATTTGTCATTTATTTATTACCTGTCTCATTGAACAGAAGCCCAAATTTTGTCAATTTTATGAGCATAGAGTTGTTTATATTATTTACTTGTTATTTTAATGGCTGCAGGATATGTTGATATACTTTCCTTTTGACATTGGGGATTATTTGTATCTTCTTTTTTATCTTTGTCAATATTACTAGAGGTTTATCAATTTTATTTTTTTTTGACAAATGAGGTTTTTTGCCTTATTAATTTTATCTTCATGTATTCAGTTTTATTGATTTCTGCTTTATTATTTTGTTCCTTCTGCTGCTTGCTTTGTTTTGTTTATTTCATTTTTTTCTCTTCTTTTTCCAGTCTCTTGAGCTAGAACTTAGGTTATCAATTGATATATTTTCTCTTTTCTAATGTAAGCATTTAAGTGCTATGAATATCCCTCTCAACATTGCATTAGCTGAAACCCACAAATTTTGATAAGCTGTGTTTTTAGTTTCATTTATGTCCATTTTGTTTTTATTTTTCAATATCCTTTGAGACTGCTTTGACCCATAGATTACTTAGAAGTGTATTATTTAATTTCCAAGTGTTTGGAGATTTTTTTCTGTTGTCTTTAAGTTATTGATTTCCAGTTGAATTCAATTATGGTTAAGAGAATATATTCTGCATGATTTCAGTCTTTTTAAATTGGTTAAGGTTTATTGTATGACCTAGGATAGAGTCTTTATGATGAATGTTCCATGAGCATTTGAATAGAATATGTATTCTGCTGTTGTTTGATGGAGTAGTCTATAAATGTGAGTCAGTTAATGGTGCTGTCTATTCTTCCATATCCTTGCTAATTTTATCTCTAGTAGTGCTATCAATTGCTTCAAACTGAGTTTTGAATTCCCCAACTATAATTTTGAATTTATTTCTCTTTTCATCTCTATTGGATTTTACTCCATATATTTTGAAACACTGTTGTGTGTTGCATACATAATTAGGATTGCTTTATCCTGGAGGATTAATTCTTAATTATTATGTAATTCTCTTTTTGTTTCTAATAATGTTATTTGCTCTGAAGTTTATGTGACATTAATATAGTCACTCCTGCTTTTTTCTCATTTATGTTTGCATAGTATATCTTTTTCCATTTTTTGTTTCCTACCTATTTTGTTATTTTTTACATCTTTGGTTCATAGACACATATAATTAAGTCCTGTGGTATCCAATGTGACAATCTTTGAATTGGTATATGTATACCACTTATATTTAAATTAATCATTCATATGCTAAGGCTTAAGTCTGCCATTTTATTATTTGTTTTCTGTTTGTCTCCTTTGTTTCTTATTCCTCTGGTATTTTTCCCTTGCTTTCTTGTGAGTTACTTAAACATTCATTGGAATTAGATTCCTTTTTATTTATAATATTTCTTAGTGTACTACTTTCTACAGTTTTGTTAGTGATTGTTCTAGGTATTACCACATATATATGTAATTTACTATAGCCTACTGATGTCAGTACCCCTTTGAGTGAAGTTAAGAAACCTTGCTTCCATGTAGATCTCTTTACTTTTCCAACATTTTAAATATAATTATATGAAGTGTTTACATACATCGAGTGCCATACTGAACAGTGTTATAATTGTGGCTTCAAACACAAAGTATGGTTAAAGAAACTCCATAAGTGAAGTGTAGTCTATTATGCTTACCTTTCTATTTTCCTATTCCATTATTCTTTCCTTTCTGAAGGTCCAATCATTCATCTATTGCGCTTGTCTGTCTTAGTCTGCTAGTGCTACCATAACAAAATACCATAGGCCAACTGTCTTAAACAACAGAAATTTATTTCTCACAGTTCTAGAAGCTGGAAGTCCAAGATGTTGGCAGGTTTGGTTTCTCCTGGGGCCTCTCTCCTTGGCTTGCAGATGGCCATCTTCTTTCTGGGTCCTTACATGGCCTTTGCTCTGTATATACACAGCTGGTGTGCCTGCCTCTTTTTATAGGGACACCAGTCCTAGTGGATTAGCAACCCACCCTTATGACCTCATTTAACCTTAATTACCTCTTTAAGGGCCTTGTTTACAAATACAGTCACATTGGAGGAGGTTAGGACTTCAATATATAAAGGTGAGGGTGGAGGAGACACAATTTAGTACCTAACATTTTCTTTATGTTTGGGGACCATCCTTTAGCTAAAGACTAAATCTGCTAGCAACAAATTCATAGTTTTTTCCATCTAAAAATGTCTTATTTCCTCCTCATTTTTGAAAGATGGCTTGTTAGATGTAGTATTCATTGTTGATAGTTGGGGTTTTGATTTGGCTGATTTTTACTTTTTTATTTTTGTTATTTTTTTTCATCACTTGAAAAATATGGCCTTGATGGTTTCAGATTAAAAATCTACCATCATTCAAGTTGGTCTTCCACTATAGGTAATGCATCGTTTATCTCTAGCTGTTTTTAAAATTTTTTTGTCTTCAGTTTTTCAGAAGTTTATGATGTGTCTCTGTGTGGATTTCTTGGGGTTTATCCAGTTCCATTTCACTGAGCTTCTTGATTCTGTAGTTTTATGTCTCTTTCTAAATTTGGGAAGTTGTCAGCCATTAGTTTTTTGAGTTCTTCTTAGCCCCAGTCCCACCTTATTCTCTTTTCCTTGTGGAACTCTGTATGAATGTTAGATACTTTAGAGAGTTGGATATCTGTCTCACAGATCCCTGTGGCTCTGTTCACCTTTTTCAGCCTGTTTTTCCTCTATTTTCCAGATTGAATAAATTCTGTTGATCTATTTTCAAGTTTCCCTGTCATGTCTACTCTAGTATTGAGTCTATCCAATGAATTTTTTTATTTCAACTGTATTTTTCAGTTCTAAAATTTCCATATGGTTCTTTTTTTTATAACTTCTATTTCTTTGCTGAGATTTTTAATTTTTTGTTTCAAGAGAATCACAATTGTTCGTTGAAGCATTCTTATTGCAAAAGTTTTAAAATCTTTGTCGAATAATTTCCATGTTGTATTTATTTTAGTATTAGCATCAATTGACTTTTTATTATTGAAAGTGTGATTTTCCTGATTTTTGGTATGATGAGTGAATTTTTATTGTATCCTGAGCACTTTGGTTGTTACATTAGGAGGCTGCTGATGCCACTTAAATCTTCTGTTTTAGCAGACAGTTAACCTTTTCCAATTTAGTCTAGCTTCTGGCCCATTTTTGTGAGCTGTAGTTCCAATGACAGCTGCTATGCTTTGAATTTGTTCCCCAAAAAGTGTGTGTTGAGAATTTAATCCCAAATGAAACAGTGTCGGGAGGCGGAGCCTAATGGGAGGCATTTGGGTCATGAGGGCTGTCCCATCATGAATGGATTAATGTCAATTATAAAAGGACTTGAGGCTGCAAGTTTAATCTCTTGCTTTCTCACACACATTCTCTTGCTTTTCTACCTTCTGACGTGGGATGACATGCAAGAAAGCCCTTACCAGATGTGGCCCCTCAATCTTGGACTTCCGAGCCTCCACAACTGTGAGCCAAATAACTTTCTTTTCTTTATAAATTACCCAGCCTTAAGTATTCTGTTATACCTCAAGTATTCTGTTATATCAGCAGAAAATGTACTAAACAACAGTTTAGTTTTCAGAGCCCTTGCAGTTCTATTCTGGTTTGCCTCATTCTTCTGACATTTTTGAAATTCTCACTTAATTCCTGCTGGGGCTCCCTTAAGGAGTGGAAGTTACTTTCCTGGATCACCTGATGTTCCTAGGCCAACCTCTGCCATAGGAGTTAAAAGGGGCTGAAGCCACTGGGCTTATCTTTGTGTGTCACTTCATGTGCATTATATGCCCTTTGTGATAAAGGGTAGGGAGATGCTGGGCTTTGCTAATGCTGCCCCTGTGGATGGATTAGCCCACTCACCAATTACCCAAGTGTGGAGTAAGGATTGGGTCAACCCAGCAGGGTTTTGGAGGAAAATCAGGCCACCTGTTTGTGGCCAGTTGTGAAACAGGAGTTAGAGCTCCCCATTTGGTCTCTGTTGTGCTTCCCCTTTACCCAGTTCTCCAGCCAGACTTTTGTTTGTCTGTCTGATTGTTTGTCTATGCCTATTGGAGGTTTCAGGCCTCTCTGGCATCCAGTCTGGGGTCATATGGGAGATAAAAAGAAAAACCAGGGAACTCACCAGGTTGTCATTTCTGAAGTTTTAAGGTCTCTAACCTATCTACCTTCTTCTCTCAAGCACTCAGAATTCTTTTATCATTGTCTGTTGAATGATTTCCAGGGTATTTTGTTATTTTCAGAGGTGTTAGAGGGTAAGAGGAGAAAAAAGTGAATCTATACTTTCTCTTTTTTTTGTTGTTGTTTTCTTTTCTTTTTTTTTCAGATGGAGTCTCACTCTGTCGCCCAGACTGGAGTGCAGTGGCGCAATTTTGGCTCACTGCAACCTCTGCCTCCCGGGTTTAAGCAATTCTTATTGCCTCAGCCTCCCGAGTAGCTGGGATTACAGGCATGCACCACTATGCCCCGCCAATTTTTTTTTTTTCTTTTTTTTGAGACGGAGTCTTGCTCTGTCGCCAGGCTGGAGTGCAGTGGTGTGACCTCAGCTGACTGCAACCTCCACCCCCTGGGTTCAAGCAATTCCCCTGCCTCAGCCTCCCGAGGAGCTGGGACTACAGGCACCTGCCACCATGCCTGGCTAATTTTTTGTATTTTGGTGGAGACGGGGTTTCACCATGTTGGCCAGGATAGTCTCAATCTCCTGACCTCGTGATCCACCCACCTCGGCCTCCCAAAGTGCTGGGATTACAGGCGTGAGCCTTTGTGCCCAGCCTCAATTTTTGTATTTTTGGTAGAAACAGGGTTTCATAATGTTGGCCAGGCTGGTCTGGAACTCCTGACCACAAACGATCTGCTCACTTCAGCCTCCCAAAGTGCTGGGATTATAGGCATGAGCCACCACAGCAAGCCATCTATACTTTCTTGTTCTTGAACTAGAAGTGTCATTTATGACTTTACAAATAAAAATGGGAATGAACCATTAAGTTCCATAGTGACAGGCGTCATTGCTGGGCGTTGGTACAGAGTGGACATTCTATAATGATTTGTTGAATGAATGAATGAATAAATGAATGAATGAACAAAGTTTTCATACTTCAATTTCAGTATACTTAAGCCATTTGTAAGATAGAGCCTCGGCCGGGCACGGTGGCTCACGCCTGTAATCCCAGCACTTTGGGAGGCCGAGGCGGGCAGATCACGAGGTCAGGAGTTCGAGACCAGTCTGGCCAACATAGTGAAACCCCGTCTCTACTAAAAATATCAAAAAAATTAGCCAGGCGTGGTGGTATGTGCCTGTAATCCCAGCTACTTTTTGGAGGCTGAGGCAGGAGAATTGTGTGAACCTGGGAGGCAGAGGTTGCAGTGAGCCGAGATCGCACCACTGCACTCCAGTCTGGGTGACAGAACGAGACTCCGTCTCAAAAAATAAAATAAAATAAAATAAAAGACAGAGCCTCATACCTCTGAATTCTTGGGCAAGTATCTATTAGGGTTTAAGGCTGCATCTTTCTGAGAAAATATCATGTTGATTGCTAATCTGAAGTAAAGACGTTACTATTTTCCAAAAGCTGATGATACTGCTATCTACTTATACCTGTCCATCCATCCATCCATCCATCCATCCATCCATACATACATACATACATCCACCCACCCACTCACCTATCCATCCTTTCATTCATTGACCCATCAGTCTATCTGTCCATTCATCTGTTCATCCATCTGTCTGTCGGTCTGATGTATCTATTTATCTATCTAATCACCCTGAGGTCTCCTTTTCTCTTCTTCAAAAAGAATATTTGCTATTCAGGGCCAGGCATGGTGGCTCACACCTGTAATCCCAGCACTTTGGGAGGCCGAGGCGGGTGGATCACGAGGTCAAGAGATCAAGACCATCCTGGCCAACATGGTGAAACCCCATCTCTACTAAAAATATAAAAATTAGCCAGGTGTGGTGGCATGCGCCTGTAGTCCCAGCTACTTGGGAGGCTGAGGCAGGAGAATCGCTTGAACCCAGGAGGTGGAGGTTACAGTGAGCTGAGATCACGCCACTGCACTCCAGCCTGGCAACAGAGTGAGACTCTGTCTCAAAAAAAAAAAAAAAAAAAAAAAAAAGAATATTTGCTATTCAGTATCCAGTTATACTGAGCATAATAAGTTAGGACTGGAAACCACCCCCTTAGCTGGAATCTTTCTTCAGAAAAGATGCCGGCATTTAACATACCGAAATGACAAAATTTTTAGATTTTACTCTTGATAGTGCTGGATCAACATGACAGAATGTCAGCATTTTTTAAAGACTTAAATGTCTAGATTTCTACTAAATTTCCTTCAGCTCACACTCCCTTTTCCCTGTAAATATGATGATGATTCTCAGATGTGGCTTTTTAAATGAAAGCATCTTAATTACGCAGTAAATAACTCGTACAGTAAGAGACCAACTGCATGGGGATGCATTTCACATAGGATCACACTCGCTGGGTTTTGTTTCTTACATCTAAATTTTACTCCACAACAGATACCCAACTTTTTGTATTCAAGAGATGAAATGCATAAGGAATTCATTAAGAAATCAGGCTTTGGTGGGACAGCTTTGATTTGACACTTTTGAAATACGATCCAGGTCATGGCAGTGAGTGATGCTGACCTCTTTTTTGGCAAGAGCATCTGGACTTTATTATTTTAAATCAGGTTGTGGGGTGCTGGTATCCACTCCTCTCTGAAACTGCTACTGCAGCAGGCCTTACATCCTGAGACTATTTGGGAAATTAATATGGGTTCTAAATATTTATAAATAAATTTTATATTTATTCTTGATTTTGTTGTTTTGTACCTCACTTTATAAATCTTTAGAATTCCAAGGTAACAACCTTTTATGGTTTATCTGTAATGGTGGCCTTCATGCCACAGATAAATCAAATCTATGTCATTTGATTAGTATTTAATTTATTCCCTCAGAAGCATAAGTAACACTGAATAGATTATTTATGAATGTTTGTTAAATGAATGGAAAATTACTCCAAAATAAACTATCATTAAAAACATGTGAGTGGGCCAGGCACGATGGCTCATACCTGTAATCCCAGCACTTTGGGAGGCCAAGGTGGGTGGATCATTTGAGGTCAGGAGTTCGAGACCAGCCTGGCCAACATGGTGAAACCCGGTCTCTACTAAAAATACAGAAATTAGCTGGGCATGGTGGTGGGCACCTGTAATCCCAGCTACTCGGGAAGCTGAGGCAGAAGAATTGCTTGAGCTCAGGAAGCGGAGGTTGCAGTGAGCCAAGATCGCACCATTGCACTCCAGCCTGGGCGACAGAGCAATACTCTGTCTCTCAAAAAAACAAAACAAAACAAAACAAATGTGAGTGTGCTATGGGAGGTGAATTAGGTGGATTTTTGGCTACCTGCACACTTCACTCCCTTTTATTTCCAGTGGTCAAGAGTTCAAAACAAAACTATCTCTTTAATTCCATTCCTAACTGAAGTTAAACAAGACAGGGTAAAATTGGGTTCAACCTCAGTTTTCAGCAGCTAATATGTACTGTTTTCTGATTTTGGGGATGCTTATTTTTCAGGATCAGAGTCTGGTTAAAAAAAAAGAAGAAGAAAAGAAAAACCACTTTCACATCTAAAGAATTTACCAGCTGTTTCTATTCCTTCTTTTCTATTGTTTCTGAAATACTGTCACACATTCACTTGTCAATTTCATAGAAACAAAATTCCAAGTTTCAAAGTTGAACAGGATATTTCCATGAGCTTTCATATTCGTAAAAGACTTTGTAAAAAAATATTTTGAGAAGAGATTCTGCATAAGAAAGAAATCTGTGCCAGCTCTGTAGATCTAGAATGCAGATTCTCATTTATATACAGGTCAGGGGACCTAATTGGATCTTCCCCATTCTTCTCCCCAAGACTTATCGTAAAATTACTCAAGGTTGTAGAATATTTGTATCTGCTGTATTATATCTCAAAGCTCTCTAATAAATTGCATCCCATTTTAAACCCCACAAAATCCACTTACAGGTGAGAAAGCAGAGACAGAAAAACTAATTCACTTGACTGTGATCTCACAACCAGGACACAACCCAGACCCACTCTTAACTCCTGTTCATTACCATACAGTACTTTTCTCTTTACCACACAGCAATCCAAAATGGGTTAAAAATAGCCCTGGAATATAAAATCTTGGACAAACAATAATTTCCAAAGGGCTCTTGGATCTCCACTAACTTCTAACAACCCCTTTGTTCCCCTAAGCTGTAAGATTCTCTGTGTCCCACCTTCTACTTTTTTTTCATTGAACAGTCCAGAGGTCTTTTATTTTTTTTAACGCCTATTATGCCATGAATTCATAGGGAATAGGTACCAGCAGCTCAGGCTGCTTCCCATTGGTTCTCACAAAGTGTGCTTCTCTGGGTGGAGCAGGCTGGCACTTCAGTTGAACCCAGGCACCTTTCTCTTTGGCTTCTTTCTTTTACTGATCATTTTCTTTCACACGTTTCAGGAAGCTATCTCGGCTCTTAGAGTGCTTAATGTACTCAATACACACATTAATTCTCTGGGCAAGAATCTTGCCCTTAACTTGTTTGTTTACGACAGTGCCAAGAGCATGCTGGGTAATATTGTAGACTCTTCCAGTTTTGTCAAGGTAACACTTGTGGGCCATTCCTTTTTGAGCAGTACCCATTCCCTTGGTGTCTACATTATCACCTTCCTTATAGATGTGCATATACGTGGCCAAAGGAACAACTCCATGTTTTCCAAAAGGCCTAGAGAACACATATCGGGTGCCTCTCCCCTTTCCCTTTGTGTTCGTCATTTTGGCGAATTACTGAAAGATGGCAGTTCTGGCTGAAAAGTCTACCTTCTACTTTTAAATGTAAGGTTTTTTCCCCTTCAAATTACAGCGTCTGCTTTTTTCTCTTTTATGTCAAAAATTACTTTTAAAACAAGAAAGTGAGAGAAACTAATTTATTTATTATTATTATTTTTTTTTTTTTTTTGAGATGGAGTCTCGCTTTGTCGTTCAGGCTGGAGTGCAGTGGCGCGATCTCAGCTTACTGCAAGCTGTGCCTCCCGGGTTCACGCCATTCTCCTGCCTCAGCCTCCGGAGTAGCTGGGACTACAGGCACGCGCCACCATGCCCGGCTCATTTTTTTGTTTTTTTTTTAGTAGAGACAGGGTTTCACCGTGTTAGCCAGGATGGTCTCGATCTCCTGACCTCGTGACCCGCCCGCCTCGGCCTCCCAAAGTGCTGGAATTACAGGTGTGAGCCATCGCGCCCGGCCTTATTTCTTAGAGAATACGTGTCTATTATAGTCTTGAGTACTTTGTTGATGAATATTCTTTTGTTGTTGTTGTTGTTGTTGTTTTTGAGACAGCGTCTCGCTCTGTCACTAGGCTGGAGTGCAGTGGCAGGGTCTCGGCTCACTGCAACCTCCACCTCCCGGGTTCAAGCGATTCTCCTGTATCAGCCTCCCAGAGTAGCTGAGACTACAAGTGCATGCCACCACTCCCAGCTAATTTTTGTATTTTTAGTAGAGACGGGGTTTCACCATGTTGGCCAGAATGGTCTCGATCTCCTGACCTCGTGATCCGCGCGCCTCGGCCTCCCAACTTTTGTTGTTTTTGAATTGCTCTTTATCTGATTTCTTTCCAGGCAGAATAGACTCTTAAATGTTAAGAACACAGGGCTTTCCAGCTGGGCGCGGTGGCTCAGGCCTGTAATCCCGGCACTTTGGGAGGCCGAGGCGGGTGGATCACCTGAGGTTAGGAGTTCGAGATCAGCCAATCAGCCTGGCCAACATGGCGAAACCCCGTCTCTGCTAAAAATACTAAAAATTAGCCAGTGGGTGCCTGTAATCCCAGCTCCTAGGGAGGCTGAGGCAGGAGAACCCCTTGAACCCAGGAAGCGGAGGTTGCAGTGAGCCAAGGTCATGCCATTGCACCCCATCCTGGGCAACAGAGCGAGACTCCGTCTCAAAAAGAAAATAAAAGAACATAGGGCTTTCCACCGGGTGCAGTGGCTCACGCCTGTAATCTTAGCACTTTGGGAGGCCAACGTGGATCACTTGAGGCCAGGAGTTCAAGACCAGCCATAGCCAACATGGCGAAACCCCATCTCTAGTAAAATACAAAAAAAAAAAAAAAAAAAAGCCAGGCTTGGTGGCCGCGCCCGTAATCCCAGCAGCTTGGGAGGCTGACGCTTGGGCAGCTGGGGCGCCAAGAATCACTTGAACCCGGGGCGGAGGCTGTAGTGAGCCGAGATTGCGCCGCTGCACTCCAGCCTGGGCGACAGAGCGAGATTCTGTCTCAAAAAAAAAAAAAAAAAAAGAACATAGAGCTTCGGAGTCAAGAAGATGGGAATTGGGAATTGGAATTTCAGTAATGGTCTCTCAGTTTCTTAGCCATGTGACCTCAGGGAGCTCGTTGAGGCTGTTTCCTCGTCTGCGAAATAAGGTACTACAATCGGCTTTACGGCGTCACGCAGCAAGAGCAGAGGTAACATTTAGGGCCGTCATTAACGCTATGGCAGGAGCGCGGATGATTCCAGCCCAGGGCCCGGCAGAGAGGGCGCTCTGTAGCACAGTGAGGTCTGAGAGTCCGCGTCTTGGCATCTAATTGAATGTCTACTACGATGTGGGTGGGTTCCAGCTCTCTCAGAAGCAGATCCTGAGAGAAGGACTGAAGTGCAAGCAGCTATGTGGGAGGTGATCCCAGGAAACGCCTGTAGGGGAGAGGAAAATGGAGCCGCCCAAGTCCCTGCAGGGACTTCACTGAGAAATAAATGACTGAGGCTTCCGCTGTGGACAACCGGGCTCAAGCCTGTTGGGACCTTCACGTCGACTGCTTGGTGAGAAGGAAGCCTGGCTGGCGACCCACGGCTCCTGCCCTGGTTGAGGAAGGACCGCGCCCCCCGCCAGGGGCCCGCAGCCCGAGGGAGAACTGCCTGCGCCCCTGGGGTACTGCGCCCAGTAATGCGTAGGGGCCCAGTTCCCTGCCCGGCTGTGCGGCCTCTCCCTGGTCTCTCTCTACACAGTGGCAGACCTACCCGGGCTGCTCCAGTAGACAGCAGGCTCACCTCCATCAGGCACCCATGCGGGTGCCCAGAAAGGCTGTCGAGGGCTCCCTACGAGGGAGGCGGGCCTGGGGGGAGCTGACAGCCGAGGGTGGCCTGCTGCCAGCTGGGGCAACAGGGTCTGCCCAGGAGCGGTCTATGCATGGCGTCTGTGTCCAGCACACTTGCCCTCTTCCAGAACTCTGACAGGCGGGGTCTCACTGCCCGGTGCCACCCCTCTGAGAACCATTCCTGGAGAAAAGACCTGTAGGTATGATCTGTGGAGGGGAGACTTGGCTTCCTGCCGACCACGCTCTGGTGGGAGCCACCAAGCCTCAAGCTTCCCTCACACACACGCAGCACAACCAGCGTCCTAGCGCCTTAGTCTTAAATAGGAGCAGAGAGGCAAGGATTACCAGCGCGGGAGGGGCAGACACAGCAGAACAAACAGAACAGAGACAATTCAGGTAGCAAAGTATTCACACATCCTCCTGTGGTTAGATACCATCAGAACTGGAAGAGAAAATCTGCACTCATGAATCGAGAATAATCAGGGACAGAGCTCTTGAAAATAGCCTGTTATTTATTTATTTTTATTTTTTTGAGACGGAATCTAGCTCTGTTGCCCAGGCTGGAGTACAGTGGCGCAATCTTGGCTCACTGCAACCTCCACCTCCTGGGTTCAAGCCATTCTCCTACATCAGTCTCCTGAGTAGCTGGGACTACAGGCATGCACTACCACACCCGGCTAATTTTTGTATTTTTAGTAGAGATGGGGTTTCACCATGTTGGCCAGGCTGGTCTCGAATTCCTGACCTCAGATGATCTGCCTGCCTCAGCCTCCCAAAGTGCTGGGATTACAGGCGTGAGCCACTGCGCCCAGCTGTTTTTTTAAACAAAGTTCAGTAGGTAGGTGGGAGACAAAATTAAGGAAATATCAGGGTAAGAGGGATAGAGAGATGGAAACTAGAAGAGAAAATATAAGAAATGTAGAGACTCATTCTTGGCAGTACAATATCTAATAAATTGGAGCTACTTGGGAGACTGAGACACTAGAATCGCTTGAACCCGCTTGCAGTGAGCCAAGACTGCACCACTGCACTCCGGCTTGGGTGACAGAGTGAAATTCTGTCTCAAAAAAAAAAAAAAAAAAAAAAAAGTCAGCTTTTTTTTTTTTTGATGGAATCTCGCGATTATCTATCAAGCAATTCTCCTGCCTCAGCCTCCTAAGTAGCTGGGACTACAGGTGCCCACCATCACGCCTGGCTAATTTTTGTATTTTTAGTAGAGATGGAGTTTCACCATGTTAGGCAGGATGGTCTCGATCTATTGACCTCGTGATCTGCCCATCTCAGCTTCCCAAAGTGCTGGGATTACAGGCGTGAGCCAACGTGCCCGGCCCTTTTCTTCTTTCTTTCTTTTTTTCTTTTTCGTTGAGATGTTGCCCAGGCTGGAGTGCAATGGCGTGATCTCAGCTCACCGCAACCTCTGCCTCCCGGATTCAAGCGATTCTCCTGTCTCAGCCTCCAGAGTAGCTGGGATTACAGGCGTGCACCACCACGCCCGGCTAATTTTTTTTGTATTTTTAGTAGAGACAGGGTTTCTCCATGTTGGTCAGGCTGGTCTCAAACTCCCGACCTCAGGTGATCCACCCACCTTGGCCTCCCAAAGTGCTGGGATTATAGGCGTGAGCCATGGCGCCCGGCCAAAAGTCAGCTTTTAGTAAGAACAAACCCAGTCTATACTTGTCTATGTCAAATAGTCTAAAAATTTGGACTATTTTGTGACAACCATAAGCAAGTCTCAAGGTTACAAGAAAATGGTTCTTGAAACTATTAACACAAGACTAGCCCTTATACTTCTTAACAAAAAGATGTAGCCAGAAGATTATTTTATGATGATAAGGCACAGAATATGTGTAGATTTAACAGATTTGTTACTAAACTGTTTCTTATCTATCTAAACAATATCTAATGACTAGCTCAAGTTTGTTCTTTTAAAAGTACCTGTTTTAACAGATTCTCATTCTGTCAAGGTTTTTCATTAAATGCCTCCACTTCGGCTAGATTTTCTAGCCAAGTCTGTCTGCAAGGAAATGAGGCTTAATTCCACCCAAAACACCAGAGAGAACTGATAATCCTAAACTTCCAGAGGAGAAAAAAAACTTCCTCTACTGCACCAGACACTGCAGATAGTCTGCCAAACAGCCATCTTCCCTTTCCTGCCTGTTAATAGAAGCCAGGTTTGGAGGCCTGTAGCACGGACCTCCGGAGGGAGGAATCATGATTGCGCCAGGCACAGGGGGCTCCTTGGCCGGCTATTAAACTGTGTAGTATGGCACAGTCCTGACCAAGGAAATTCAGGGAGACGTCTGCTGGGAATGGGGTAATTTTATTGCTTCTCTCCTTGTGACTCAGGCTGTGATGTTTGGAGCTGGCACAGTCATCTTGTCTCCTTGAAGCATAACATCATCAACATGCTGAGGATGGAAGAGCAGAGAGCTGAAAGGAGCCGGGGCCCTGGTGAGCATGGTGAGGTGCCAGTTCAGCCTTGGGATAGCTTACTTCCAGTCCTCCTACTAAGGAAGCAGTCAATGTACCTATACTATTCTTAGACAGATATTATGTTCTGAAGGGAGTCACCCAAACTATGCCACTTTAGCATAAGGATTATTTTGAGCTGAAGACAATTGAAAAGCAGCAGACTCAAGAAACGCTCACTACCTTTCTCTGTCTGCTGACAAAACAAGGCATACATTTCCTGTTGTGAAGGCATCCCCTGCTCTCATATCAGGAAGGGAAAGACAACCTTTATTACTGGAGTGGGGAAAGCATGGAGATGAGTCTGCACAAACAGACCTATTAAATAACCCTTACCATCAACTGGTGTCCCCCATAAATTTACCTTCCCACAATTTACTGCTCCTAGAAGCACAAATTCTTTTCCTTTGTCCTGTCTCCACAATTTATCACTCTGTTAAAATAACATATAGACCCCCGGGTCTAGCTTCTCTTTGGGTCTTCACTTCTATGGAAGCTTCCATATACATGTAAAAATTAACATCAGATAAAATTCGTATTCCTCTTCTACTGTTAGTCTGTCTTTTGTCAGTTTAATTAGCAGATCCCAACGGCAGAACCTAAGACACCAGAGGAAAAGTTCTCCCTCTTCTACAGTTCCTTGCTGCCCAAGCCATCTTATTTAATAGGCATACAAAGAATCAGAAATAAGAATACCATAAGACATCTCAACAGCAATATGGAAAGTTAGAATATAGCAAAATATATCTTCAAAGCTCAAAAAGACTACCAATCACCAGTTGTGGGTAAGAGTCCTCATTTCCCTCTGTCTTCATCAGTGGCAGCTCATTCTTTTATTTGAATTTGCTTATACCCAGTGAGACTGAGCATTTTATCACAGACACATTGACCTAGTGGATTTCTTCTAGAAACTGTCCATTCATTTGATTTGAATTTCGTGTCTCTTTTCTTAATATGCAAAGCTTCTTTTGTATTCTGATACTACTCCTTTGTTTTCTATGCTGCAAATAACTTCTCCCAGTTTGTGATTTGGACAGATGAGGGTTTGGATTCCAGACATCCCATCTTTGAGAATGAACACACCACTAATCTTAGGCAAGCTACTCAACCTTGTTCTCCACTGTGGACAATCAAGTGATATAACCCAACTCACAGGATTGTTTGGGTCATTAAGTGAAATAAAGTGTGTCAACTCCCCATTAGTATCTGGGACATGGTAATTGATTAATGTATAGAGATAGGTTTAGTGTTATCAAGATTTATAGGCCAGGCTTGGTGGCTCATGCCTGTAATCCTAGCACTTTGGGAGGCCAAAGCGGGTGAATCACCTGAGGCCAGGAGTTCTAGACCAGACTGGCCAACATGGTGAAGCCCCATCTCTACTAAAAATACAAAAATTAGCCAGGCATGGTGGCGGGTGCCTGTAATCCCAGCTACTTGGGAGGCTGAGGCAGGAGAATCACTTGAACCCAGGAGGTGGAGGTTGCAGTGAGCTGAGATCACACCACTGCACTCCAGCCTGGGCAACAAGAGCGAGACTCCATCTCAAAAAAAAAAAAAAAAAAAAAATTCACAGGTTCTTAGAGCAAGAAGGAATCTAAGAAAACATTGAATGTATTGATCATTGAATGACGATATTGAGACAGCATTTATCATGTTCTCATGTTCTCAGAGCTGTTTTGGGAGTTTTATTCATATTAACCCATTGTTGTGAGCTCAGTACTCACAGCAATGCTATGTAATAGAAGAGGGAATTTACTATGGGAATTGGCTAATGTAATTATGGAAGCTGAGAAGTCCCACAGTCTGCTGTCTGTAAGCTGGAGAGCCAGGGAAATCAATGGTGTAATTCAGTCCAGGTCCGCAGGCTTGAGGACCAGGGGACCTGAGGGTGTAACCCTCCATCTGAGGCTGCTGTCCTGAGAAATCAGGAGGCTGCTGGTATAAGTCCCAGAGTCCAAAGGCAGGAAAACCTGGAGCTCTGATGTCCAAGGGCAGGAGAAGAAGGGTGTCCCAACTTCAGAAGAGAGAATGAGTTCACCTTTCTTCTGCCTTCTTCTTCTACCTAGACCCTCAGCAAATTGGATAGCGTCCACCCACTTTAGGTGAGGGCATCTTCCTTACTCAGGTTGCTGATTCAAATGCCAATCTCTTCCAGAAACACCCTTAGAGACACACCCAGAAATAATGCTTTACCAGCTATCTGGGCATCCCTTATCCCAGTCAAGTTGACACCTAAAATTAACCATCATATCTCCCAAAGATTGGAAAGAAAGTATTTTGCAGACAATAAGGAGGAACCACCCACCCTACATCACACATCTGTGGACCTGCTTCTGGGAAGAGGGCCCATAGCTTCCCTCAGGCTCTCAAAGGGAACAAACAAACTGCCAGTCTAAATCCTAGCCCTTCAAAAACTTGACAGATGCAACTTTTCTTTTTCCCTTTTGCAATAAAGAGAGTTCCCTGCACTGCAGGAGCACCCTGCATGGGTCTTACTTGTGTGGATAAAGGAGAGGCAATAGATGGTGAGAGTCTCTGCATCTTTCCACATCCCAACAGGGCACTCATTAAGTAAGTTAACAGCCTGGAGATTTTAACTGGAATGGGTATTCTCTGCAAATAATTGCTTTGTGTGAGGATCTCGAATCTGGGCCCTTGTTAAGAACCTTCTTGGTGTTAGTCCTGCCCCGCCCCTGGGCATGGATTTATGTAAGCCATCCCTGATTTCTGAAGAACTTCAGGAAGAGACAGCCTGCAGCCACTCAGTTCACTTCATCTCAACTAGAATTAAGGCTGGATGGCTTTTTTTTTTTTTCTTTTTTTTGAGATGGAATCTTGCTCTGTTGCCCAGGCTGGAATGCAGTGGCGTGATCTCGGCTCACTACAACCTCTGCCTCCTGGGTTCAAGCAATTCTCCTGCCTCAGCCTCCTGAGTAGCTGGGATTACAGGTGCCCACCACCACGCCCGGCTGTCTTCTGTATTTTTAGTAGAGATGGGTTTTCACCATGTTGGTCAGGCTGGTCTCGAACTCCTGATCTCGTGATCTGCCCGCCTCAGCCTCCCAAAATGCTGGGATTACAGGCATGAGCCACCATGCCCAGCCTTGAATAACAATGCTTTTAAGGTTTACTTCTGTAGAAAGACTTTTCTGAATTAAGCCAATTTAGGTTAAAACTCCATCCAAGGTTTTAACAAAGTATGGTGAACAAATGCTGTTTTAATGCAACAATAATACTCCTTTCTACCCAGTTACGCTTAGGTAAGGAAATGCGACTTGTTTAATTTAATCCAGTACCTGGCCTACAGCACTTGAAGGTCTTGAGGGAGTTTGTTTAAGCAATCTTGTTTCTCTCAAAGCCAAAACATACGTAAATTAAAATTCTTTACTGTATTGGGAAAATTTTAACTGATCACATTTTCCTGGTAGTACTATTTTCAAAAGGACAACCATGAAAATATACACAATAAAATTGTGTATATTTTAAATGCCAACAAAATAATCTACCTAACAGCATTCTAATGTATAAACAAACAAGTATGTGTGCCCAAGAGGAAACAACTGTGCATTTAGATATGAAGAATGGGAAAAAAGTATCATGTCTCCTCTACAAAGTAAGATTTTCACTCCATTTTGAGCAGGACTTAAGGGTTACATTATAAAATATGTAAGAAATAATGTTTATTACATAAAAACTTTATAAATTCAGGAAAGTATCACATACAAAAATTATCCTTAATTCTACTTCACAGAGGTAACCAACAAATTATTATTAAGACTTGAAAAAGGTAGGCCGAGTGTGGTGGCTCACGCCTGTAATCCTGGCACTTTGGGAGGCCGAGGTGGGCGGATCACCTGAAGTCAGGAGTTCAAGACCAGCGTGGCCAAAATGGTGAAACCCGTCTCTACTAAAAATACAAAAATTAGCTGGGCGTGGTGGTGTGTGCCTGTAGTCCCAGCTACTTGGGAGGCTGAGGCACAAGAATTGCTTGAACCCGGGACGAGGAGGATGCAGTAAGCTGAGATGGCGCCACTGCACTTTAGCGTGGGTGACAGAGCAAGACTCCGTCTCAAATTAAAAAAAAAAAAAGTAGTATAATTAGTGACAGAGTTCGTTCAGGAGGTAGGAGAGGAATTGTTTAAGAACAAATGTTTGAAGAAGGTACCCTTAACACTTCAAAAAATTATATATACGTATGTTTTTACATATATTTCATTCTGTAAAATAGGTATTATTCCCATTCCATCAATGAGGAATTTCTTCTGAATGAATTTCTGCAGGCATCTTTATTAATTCTCCTATTTATAGCTATACTGCATGTGAGGGATAAGAACAATAACAGGCCGGGTGCAGTGGTTCACACCTGTAATCCCAACATTTTGGGAGGCCGAGGCAGGCGGATCACTTGAGCCCAGGAGTTCGAGACCAGCCTGGCCAACATGACAAAACCCCATTTCTACAAAAGACACAAAAAATTTGTCAGGCATGGTAGTGCATGCCCATAGTCCCAGCTACTCGAGAGGCTGAGGTAGGAGAGTTGCTTGAACTCAGGAAGAGGAGGTTGCAGTGAACCAAGATTGCACCACTGCACTCCAGCCTGGGTGACAGAGTGAGACCCTATCTCATAAAACAACAACAACAGCAACAACAACAAAAAACCCCACGATAATAATGATTAACATTTAATGAGCCCAGCAATTTGTCAGGTACTTATTCAACTCAAAAATGAGTATTATTATTATTCCTATTGTCATTGTTCTTATCACTCATATGCAGTATAGCTATAAATAGGACAATTCATAAAAATGCCTGCAGAAATTCCTGAATGAATATAAAACTTTTTATGAATAATCAATATAATCATTAAATCCAGATAAAGTATTATTGTAGGCAAGACCCACCGATGGATGCTAATATTGGTGGGGAAAAGTTTGAGGAGAAACAGGATATTTGCATTGTCTTGAAGTAACTCCCTCATTAATAAATCACACTGCACCAGTGGAGAAAGCCAGCGGGCACCACTTTTCACTGGGTGGTGGGGGTTCACATCACCAAGAAGAAGACGTATTGAATGACGAAGCCCTGTGTGGATGCATTGCACTGAGGGCACAGCATTATTTATGCAGTATTCTTGCTAAAAATGCATAGCCTCAATCAGATTATGAGAGAACATCAGACGGACCCAGACCAACAGACATTCCACAGCAATAACTGACGAGTATTCTGCAGAAGTGTGTTTGGGTCATGAAAGACAAGACTGAGAGACAGTCCCAGATTGAAGGAGACTAAGAAGCTGCAACAACTAAATGCAAGGGGGCTCCTAGATGGGAACCTGGAAGAGAAAAAGGGTGTGAGTGGGGAAACTGACCAAATTCAAATTAGATCTGTAGTTTATTTTGCATCATGTCACTGCTAATTTCCTGTTTGATCGTTTTGCCCTGGCTATGAAAGATGTGAACATTGGGAATGCTGGGTGAGGTTATATAAGAACTGGCTGTTCTATCTGCAAAGTTTTATGTAAGTCCAATATTATTTGAAAATAAAAAAATATAAAGAAAAGAAGTAATGGCTACAAGCAGGATGGTTCTTTCCCACTTGAGCCTCAAATCAATCACATGTTCCCCAGACAGTTGTTCTCCAGTTATTGCCACCAATTTGTGATCTGGCTGCTTCTCACAGGAGAAACTGTCACAGCCCCCAGGAGAACCATGGTAGGGACTGATTGATTGATTTGTAAATTAAGTTCTGGGCAAAATAGCAAAGTGCTGGTTATTAATGATAAAAGAACTGGCTCTTGCTTACCAACAGCTGGCATATGATAAGCAGAAGCTTGAATTCAGGGATCTTCAAAGACACATAGGCAAACTGACCAAAATGTGCTAAGCACTGAAAATGCATGGCATCACAGGGCTCTCGGACTCGTGGAGAGGTTGTGGGGGGCAGCAGGGAATAAACAACACTCTTCTCCTCCTGAGTTCTGAACCAATTCACAGTACCGTCAGCTAGGGAGCAAAATGGCAGTTTACTAGTGTTTAACCTCACTGGGGAACAGGGTTTTTCCTCTGCTTTCCAATAGGTTTTTTCCTAATCTTATCCAGCTTCACCCAATCACAGGCACACGTGAGTAACCACAGCCCCTGAAATGACAGAATACGATGACTATGTCTTAGATAGCCCGTTACTTCCCCAAATCGTGAAAGAGCCAGAAACCCTCTGCTTCTCCTCTCTAGACACCCACCAAAAAGTTCCTGTCTTCCCTTCCACGGACTGGAGTGAAGGGGAAGAGAGTAGAAATTCCTTATTCATAGGTGAAGGGGTTCAGAATGTGCTGCTCCGAAATGTGCACTTTGACATCAGGATTAATTGGAGTTGACAGCAACTGAGAAGATGGAGATACAAGAAAAGCTCTCTGCCCTCCCCCTATTTGCTTAAATCAGGACAGAAATTGGCAAAGATATCCCCCTTCTCTCTGCTAGGAAGGACAGAAGCTAATCACCAGAGACAATTCTAGATGCTTATCAGCTGGAGAAAACACTAGAGGATCCTACTAACCACCCTTATCTTCCACTCTACCCATAGATGATTTGCCTTCCCACAGTTTGCTGTAACTAAAAGCTCAAAGTCCTTTTCCTTTATCTCATCTCTTCTCTACAAATGTATTGTTCTTTGATAAGGATACAAGCCCACGTTTTCACCACCCCTTTGAGTTACTCATCTCTGAGTGCTCTCGTGTGTGCACGGTGCAAGTGCTAATAAACTTGTTTGTTTTTCTCTTGTTAATCTGTCTTCTGTCAGTTCAATTTACAGGGCCTCCGCCAATGAACCCAGGATAAGTGGAGAGAAGAGAAAATTTTCCTCTCTTACATGGGCTAAACTCAGAATGCTGGGAAAAGAAGGAAAATACATTTCCTATAGCCCCTACCTAAAAGTCTAGTAAAAGTACATGAATTAAGATTTCCAGCGCCTGGGAGCTGGGTGTGGTAGTGAATGGGGTGTTAATGTTTGATGGGGACAGAGATTCCATTTTGCAAGATTGTAAGAGGTCTTGGAGCCAGGCACAGTGGTTCGTGCCTATAATTCCAGGAGTTCGAGACTAGCCTGGGCAACATGGTGAAACCCCATCTCTATAAAATACAAAAGTCAGGTGGGGGGTATGGTGTTTTGGGATGGATGGTGGTGATGGTAGCACAACCATATGTTTCTTTTTTCTTTTTTTTATTTTTTATTTTTAGAGACGAGGTCTTGTTCTGTCACCTAGGCTAGAGTGCAGTGGTGTAATCACAGCTCACTGTAACCTCGAACCCCTGGGCTCAAGAGATCCTCCTGCTTCAGCCTCTCCAAGCTGGGGACTACATGCGTGTGTCACCATGCCAGGCTAATTTTTTTTTTTTTGTACTTTTTTGTAGAGACAGGGTCTTTCCATCTTGCCCAGGCTAGTCTCAAACTCCTGGGCTCAAATAATCCTCCCGTCTTGGCCTCCCAAAGTGCTCGGATTATAGGTGTGAGCCACTGTAATATGCACAACAATATGAATGTACTTAATGCCACTGAACTGTATGCTTGAAAATGGTTACGATGGTAAATCCATATAATATATAGTTTATCACAATTTAAGTTTAATTTTTTTTTTTTTTTGAGACAGAGTGTTGCTCTGTCTCCCAGGCTGGAGTGCAGTGGCACAATCTTGGCTCACGGCAACCTCCGCCTCCCAGGTTCAAGTGATTCTCCTGCCTCAGCCTCCTGAGTAGCTGGGATTACAGGCGCCCACCACCATGCCTGGCTAATTTTTGTATTTTTAGTAGAGATGGGGTTTCACCACGTTGGCCAGGCTCATCTCCAACTTCTGACCTCAGGTGATCCACCTGCCTCTGCTTCCCAAAGTGCTGAGATTACAGGTGTGAGCTATCGCGCTCTACACAATTTAAGTTTTTAAGAAATGAAAGGAAATAGTACATGAATTAATAGCATGGCTGCAAATCCATTATGGCTATACTGTATCAATACTATTTGGAAGCCAAATCAAATAGCATCACTAATTCTAGATTTATGTCCACTCTGGTGAAGAAGTAGAAAATGGTCTCAGAAACTTTCTTTTAGTTAATCTCTCTCCGAGGACTACAGCATAGGGATGATAAGAAAATATTCCTACAAACATTCCTACTTGCTTCAGCAGTAAATGAGAGGATGGTTTGGATTTCTCAATCATGAACAAGGGAAGAAGCTCATTCATGGATCTTAGCAAAGAAGAAGTCGGTGGAGACAGAAGATTCCAGGGAAACAATCCATGACATTGTTTTGTTCTGAGTCAAAGGCAACATCGCTAGACTCAGATAAGTGAATGGGTATTGGCTGAGATGGCGGTGGTTAGGGTGAGAAGGCACCATGTCTCCTCCCCGCAGGTGGCCATGTTTTCTGCCCCAGATCTCATCTTTATTCCTCGGATATGAAGTGTCTCTGAGATGGCTCCAGATGGAACCTGAACCCCTGACCTCCCCACGTAAAGACATGCGTGACACCCATTACACCATCTGGGGCTCATAAAACCACATGCTCTGTCTTTTCCTGGCTCTCAAGCTGTTCAAAAGCTGAAGGGCAATATTTGGGACCGCTCTGGTTTATTTGTGGACTTTAATTCAAAACACATTTCCACAAAGAGAGGCAGAACAAAGCACAATAGCACTAAAGTTCAATTTACATTCTCAGTCAGTGAAACAAAATGGAAATAGAAAACAGTTGTGGGAGAGTCGTTTATAACCAAACTACGGCTCCAAAAGCGCCTTTCCTATAATGTCATGGAGTAAAAGACATTTTAGAAACCGCCAGCAAACACTTAAGTGACCAAAAAAGGAGAGATGAAGACTTTCTATTTAAAAAAATTATTAAAGAGCTGATGATGTCGTCTGATCTCTCCCTCCTAATCTGGCAGATACAAGGTTATTTCCATATTTCCTGATTTAAAATACTTTCCTTCTCTTGACGGTTGTTTGGATCCTGCCAGTCACTGGGAAGCCAGTGCTGTCATGGAAATCCCTGCACACGACACACGGGTTTCCTTCGGTTTGGCGAGACATTCCCAGATGACCGCAGAGCTTGTCTGCCATCACATCTCCGTGATTTCCAGGTACAAATTTGCCGTAGTAAGTTATGTCTGGCTTGTTCTGCAAAAAAAACACCAAGTGCTAGTAGATGGATTCAATTGCAGCCACTATGTCAGTGACATGGTTAAGAAACAGTGTGCAGAGCACGTGCTTACGTGATTAGAAACGCTGCAGAGTCGCAATGATAAATAAAGGGGCTCCCTGACTTAAATTTCAAACTTGATCTCACACAGTTAATTAGCAGCAGAACTAGAAGAAGATGTGTCATTCCAAGTCTTAGGCATTTTCTACAAGGCTGAAAAATGGAAATTCTTCTGGTAACAAGTACAAACCCCTCATCCCGGCGGCCACGGGAAACGCTAGCAGCTCTGCGGAAGAGGCGGGTGGGGGGCAGGCTGGCCTCATCCCTCGGTCTGTGCTTGCGCTGTTTTCTTCTCTTCCAACTGATGAAATCAGAGCTTCTCTAAAACAGCTCTGAGTCCCCAGGCCAGCTTCTCTTTGCCCACTTAGTGTTTCTTTCTTTCTTTTTTCTTTTTCTTTTTTTGCGGCGGAGTTTCGCTCTTGTTGCCCAGGCTGGAGTCCAGTGGCAGATCTCGGCTCACTGCAACCTCCGCCTCCTGGGTTCAAGTGATTCTCCTGCCTCAGCCTCCCGAGTAGCGGGATTACAGGCGTCCGCCACCATGCCCAGCTAGTTTTGGTATTTTTAATGCAGGCGGAGTTTCACCAGATTGGCCAGGCTGGTCTTGAACTCCTGACCTCAGGTGATCCACCCACCTCGGCCTCCCAAAGTGCTGGGATGACAGACGTAAGCCACCGCGCCCGGCCACTTAGCATTTCTTTTGCTGGCTCTTTCTCATAATATAACTACTTATCGGCAGGCATGCTTCTACTGCCCGGTTGTCAGCTTTCTAAGGATGTGAGCTAGTCCTTATTCATCTTTGCCTCCTGGATTTTTGCTCAATGCTTGGTGTGTAGTCAGTGGCTTGTTAGATGTTTTTTGGAATGAACTGACGCTCTATCCATACTAAATTCAGTGACTTTTCAAATCAAAATTTTTTTCAACTTTTTATTTTACTTTAGTTTTTCCAGAGATAACTGCCAAGGAAATCTACTTCAAATACATTTAGGTTTTCTAGGAAATGGTTGGAGGCAAAACTTGTTAGCTCCCCCAGAACCCAATTCATAACCCTCAAATCCCTTTCTTGCACTTAGAAGAGTTAGGATAGTGAAATCCTGGCTTCCCAGGCTCCCTTGCAGCTCAGTTTGCCATGTGATTCAGGCATGGCCAAAGATAAATCAGTGAGAGTCCCTTGGGAGGCTTCTTGATAAAGAAAGGGGCCTGTGGGCATTGCTAAAGAAAGGGCCCTGTGGCCCTTCTCTTCCACTGAAGGTTGCTGCAGCCACCAGCAGCCACAAGGCAGCAAATATGAATCTGAAATCCATTCCCACCAAGGACAGAGGAGCAAGAAGATAGAAAGGATTAGGATTCCTGAAGGCATTATGGAGCAGCTGAACCTCTGGTAACAACTGCTGCCTCCAGACTTCTTGTTATTTAAGAAAAATATGCCCTTCATTATGTAAACCACTTTTAGGCAGGAGGAGGCCTAACATCTTTGAATCCTTCCAGTTCAAAAAAATTTTGGAGCAATTGCTCTGAGCAAGCACTGTGCTAGTTAGAAGGGAAATACACAGCTTGACTAAGACTAAGCAAGAATGAAGATGCCTTTTAGAATTTAGAGGAAAACCTGCTTGAGGGTATTATCACGTTCCCAAGTCTTATATATGTATATATATATATTTTTTTCTGGTATGATCTCCCAACATAAAACTATATAAAGTGGACCCTTGAACAACATGGGTTTGAACTGCATGGGTTCACTTGTACAAGGATTTTCTTCCATCTCTGCCACCCCTGAGACAGCAAGACCAACCCTTCCTCTTCTTCCTCCTCCTCAGCCTATTCAATGTGAAGACAATGAGGAGGAAGAACTTTACGATGGTCCACTTTCACTTGATGAGCAGTAAATATATTTTCTCTTCCTCATGATTTTCTTCATAACATTTCTTTTCTCTGGCTTACTCTATTATGAGAACACAGTGTATCATACATATAATATACAGAATAGGTGTTAATTGCTGCTTATGTTATCAGTAAGCCTTCCAGTCAAAATGTCTGCTATTCATGGCTAAGTCTGGGGGAAGTCAAATGTTATTTTGGATTTTCGACTGTACAAAGGAGTGGGTGTCAGCACCCCTAACTCCCACATTGTTCAAGGGTCAACTGTATGTATTTTTCTGAACAATGATTTTTAAAAGATTACAGCTTTCATGACACTTTATCCCTGAGTACTTCCTCCTACACTTCCAAAAAATGAGGAACTTCTACAACCAATATCATACTTGAGAAAGTTGATAATTCCCAAAGATCATCTAGTGCTCAATCCATATTCAAATTTTCCCAATAATCCAACTCCAAATTTCTATTTGCTTTTTTAAAAACCAGGATCCAATCACTGCATTATGCTTTAATCTACATTAGGCCCCCCACCCCCTTATTTCTTCATGATTTTGGCTTGTCAAAGAGACCAGGCTAGTTAGCATGAAAAGTGTGTGACTTTAAGGATTTTGTCAAATTGTTTCCTTCTTATGTTCTTTTACCTGTTCCTCTGTTCCTGTATTGTCTGTCAACTGGAAGTTAGGTCTAAAGGTTTGGAGAGATTTAACTTAAAAATATTTTTGGTGACCAGGCGCGGTGACTCACGCCTGTACTCCCAGCACTTTGGGAGGCCGAGGCAGGCGGATCACGAGGTCAAGAGATGGAGACCATCCTGGCCAACGTAATGAAACCCTGCCTCTACCAAAAAAATACAAAAAATAGCTGGGTCTCTTGGCGCGCACCTGTAATCCCAGCTACTGGGAGCTGAAGAATCTCTTGAACCCAGGAGATTCCTGGGTTGAACCTCCGTCAGGAGGCGGAGGTTGCAGTGAGCAGAGATCACGCCACTTCACTCCAGCCTGGCGACAGAGCGAGACTCCATCTAAAAAAAAAAAAATTTGGCAAGAACGTGGTGGAGATCCATGTGTGTCTGTCTTTCTTTCTTTCTTTCTTTCTTTCTTTCTTTCTTTCTTTCTTTCTTTCTTTCTTTCTTTCTCTCTCTCTTTTCTTTCTTTCTTTCTTTCTCTCTCTCTCTTTTCTTTGTTTCTTTGTTTCTTTCTTTCTTTCTTTCTCTCTCTCTTCTCTCTCTTTCTTTCTTTCTTTCTTTTCTTTCTTTCTTTCTTTCTTTGAGACGGAGTCTCGCTCTGTCGCCCGGGCTGGAGTGCAGTGGCGTGATCTTGGCTCACTGCAAGCTCCTCCTCCCAGGTTCATGCCATTCTCCTGCCTCAGCCTCCCAAGTAGCTGGGACTACAGTTGCCCGCCACCATGCCCAGCTAATTTTTTGTATTTTTTAGTAGAGATGGGTTTCACCATGTTAGCCAGGATGCTCTCCATCTCCTGACCTCGTGATCCGCCCTCCTCGGCCTCCCAAAGTGTTGGGATTACAGGCGTGAGCCACCGTGCGCGGCCCCATGTGTGTATTTCTTATGGTGTCTGCTCATCACGTGGAGTTGTGTGGAGCTTCACACATATAAGCGGAGTTGAGCTTCTTGGTCACTGATCTTTTGCCTCTGCTTTCTATCCACAAATGCTCATGACTCCCTAGCACACTGTCCCTGTGCCTGGTATGATATGACCAGTCATGGTCCCACACCTCCATTTTTTGTGCTGTGCCTTGTACAGAAGTAATTTTCCTCCTGTAAGCGTGGTCTACAGTCATAGAAACAGTAGACAAGGCATTGTGATAATAAAAGATAATAAAAAGAGATGCCCTAAGGGATCTACTGTATGCTGGACATTCACTTCCTTACCTCCATTGTGGAATAGTTGTCCAATTTCTCCTTGGTAATGAAGATCAGTCACCCCAGCCAACACTAGCTCTTTTTGCAGCATATTGATTCAGAGGCATGAGGAACCCAAGGTGGCCAGGTTGCAGTCAACTTCCAGTTCAATTGAACCATTGTTTTTGTCCTCCCACTGAAACTAGACTTCTAGGCCAGTGGAGCATAAAGTCACAGGACCAGGAAGCAAAACTTTTGCTAGTGGGTCACTAGGGGTGATGGTGAGTGGTGCCTCTCCCATTTCCACCCCTTTATGTCTGGACCTGTGAATCCTGGCTGTGGGAGAAACAGCACCATAGATTAGATGCTGATTTGGAGCGTATCCAACCTCCTGTGAAACCTTGCCCCAGCCCTGCAAGGTACTGCTACCTAACTGGCACTGTAACTGAGTCTTCAAAAGGCCATTTCACTCTCCCAGCAAAATTGCTGCTTTAGGATGATATAGAATATGGTAAAACCAGTGAATTCTATGAGCACAGACCTATTGCCACACTTCTTTCACTGTAAAGTGAGTTTCTTGATCAGAAGCAAGGCAGTGCGGCTGATGGTGAATAAGGCATTCTGTGACTCCACAAATGGTAGTTTTGGCAGAAGCATTGTGAGCAGGACAGGCAAATTTGTATTCAGAATAAGTGTCTATTCCAGTAAGGACAAAACTCTGTCCCTTCCATGATGGAAGTGGTCCAGTGTAATCAATCTGCCACCAGATAGCTTGCTGATCCCCCTGGGTGATCATACTGGGGGCTCAGTGTTGCTCTCTGCTCCTGGTAGATTGAGCAGTCAGTGGAGGCTGTACTCAGGACTTCCACTCTGTGCTGCTGAGCCTGTGCACAATCTCCATCCCTGCCACCATGGCCACTTTGTTCACAAGCCCACTGGGCCATGACAGAGTGGCTGGGGGAAGAGACTGACTGATATCCACAGAATGGATTGTCCTATTCACCCAATTATTAAAGTCCTTTTTGCTGAGGTCACCCTTTGATAAGCATTCACATGAAACACAATATCTTTGTGTTCTTTTCCCAGAGAGGTCTATGCACATAGAGCTTCCCCAAATTTTCATGTCATCAATTTTCCAGTCATGTGCCTTCCAGGTATCTGATCATCCAGCCAAACCATTGGCTACAGCCCATGAATCAGTTTGTAATTGCATATCATGCCATTTCTTCTTCCAGGCAAAGTGGACAACCAGGTAAACTGCTCAAAGTTTGGCTCACTAGGAGGATTTCTCTTCACCACTGTCCTTCAGGGCTGTCCTGGAAAGGGGCTGCAGTGCTGCAGCTGTCCACTTCAGAGTGGGGGCTGCATATCCCGCAGAACCCTCTGTAGTCCAGGACTGACTGTTTTCTTCCTCTGACAATGATTGTCAGGAACTTACTTGTAAGACCATCAGTGCAGGCTAGGAGAGAGGAGGCAGTGTAGCAAGGCCACTTCACGTAATGTACTTGTGCCTTCAGGGCCTACTTGGGTCTGATCATGTATATACCACTTCTATCTGATGATGGAGTGCTGCTGTGCACACCCAACTTCATGGGTTGGTGGGTCAAATACCACCCAGTTTATGAAGGGCAGTGCAGGTGGCCTGGTAACTTGATGGCCCATGCTTGAGTGTTCAGCCTCTAAGACCCAGTAGCAGGCCAAGAGCTGTTTTTCAAAAGGAGAGTGGTTATCTGTTGAGGAGGCAGGGCTTTGCTCTAAAATGTAAAGGCCTGTACTGCCATTCACCCATACAGGCCTGCCGAGGGTTCCAACAGCATCCCTATCTGCCACTGGCATTTCAAACACCATTGGATCTGCTGAGTCATATGCCAAGCAGCAAAGCAACTTGACCAGCAGCCTAGATCTGTTGCAGAGCCTTCTCCTGTTGTGGGCTTTAAGCAAAACTAGCAGCTTCTCTGGTCACTTGGGAAATGGACTGGAGTAACACACCCAAATGAGGAATATGTTGCCTCCAAAATTCAGAGGCCCATTAGGCACTGTGCGTCTTTCTTAGTTACAGGAGAGGCCAGATGCAATAGCTTACCTTTCATATGAACACCTTAATGTGCCTCCACATCACTAGATGCCCTAGAAATTTCACAGACATAGAAAGCCACTGAAATTAAAAAAAAATATTATTTCCCATTCTCTGACATGCAAATGTCTTACCAATAAATCTAGCATATTTACTACTTCTTGTTCTTAGGTCCTGTCAGCATAATGTCATCAATGTAATGGATGAATGTTTATGTCTTCTGGAAGGGGAAGGCAATCAAAATCTCTGTGAACTGATTGTGACATAGAGCTGGAGAGCTGACACACTCCTATCAGTGTAGGTATATTGCTTGCCTTGCCAGCTAAAGTAAACTGCTTCTGGAAGTCTTCACTAACAGAGATGGAGAAAAAAGCATTTGCTGGACCAATAGCTGCACACCATGTACCAGGGTTTGTGCTAATTTCCTCAAGCAATGAAACTACATCTGCTACAATTGAAGTCAACACCTGATTAAGTTCACGATAATCCATCCACTGTCGTCCTCCAAAATCCATCTGTCTTCTGCACAGTCCAATAGGTGAGCTGAATAGGTTTATGGTGCATCCTTAAGTCCTTGATGGTGACACTAATCTCTGCAACCTCTCCAGAAATGTGGTGCTACTTTTGGTTTACTATTTTCCTAGTCAAAGTAGTTCTAGTGGCTTCCACTTGGCCATTCCCATCATAATAGCCCTTACTCCACTCTACTGGTCAGGGAACAAATGTGGGGATCCAACGAGCTGCTGAGTACATTCATTCCAATCGTGCGTCCTCAAACTAGGAAATCACAACGGGGTGAATTCAGGGACCTGCTGGGCATGGGGAGTGAATGATTATCGGGAGATTTTCTTTTAAGGGACACAAATTTTGTTTTTGTTTTTGTTTTATTGAGACAGGGTCTCATTCTGTTGCCCAGACTGGAGTGCAGTGGCATAATCTCGGCTCACTACAACCTCTTCCTCCCAGGTGCAAGTGATTCTCCTGCCTCAGCCGCTCTAGTAGCTGGGATTACAGGTGCACGACACCATGCCCGGCTAATTTTCGTATTTCTAGTAGAGACGGGGTTTCATCATGTTGCCAGGCTGGTCTTGAACTCCTGACTTCAAATGATACACCTGCCTTGGCCTCCCAAAGTGCTGGGATTACAGGGGTGAGCCACTGCAACCAGCCACAAACGTTTTAAAATTAGATTGTGATGATGGTATATTCATAACCTGGTGAATATATTGAAAAACATTACATTGTATACTTTAAGAGAGTTTTGTATATGTTAATTATATCATCAAGCTGTTTTTTTTTTTTTAATTTCAGTGAGTTGTTTTCCTCCAATTCAAACTTAACTCCATATGTACTTTTCCCTTAGAGACCTCTGTTTTTTTTTTCTCTGATTTTATTTTCCTTTTTACTCACCTAATCAAGAGGGGGCATTTAAAAGATTTGCAAAGTCATGGGCTAAAAAGAAAGAATTGTTAACTTTGCATAATGATGATGTTAAGGGTGATTTTTATTTGGGGGTTATACAAATTTTCTATAATTAGTTTTTTCTTTTTTACTATAAAAATACTGATTTTTTTTTTTTTTGAGATGGAGTCTTGCTCTGTCACCCAGTCTGGAGTGCAGTGGTGCAATCTCGGCTCACTGCAACCTCTGCCTCCTGTGTTCAAGCAATTCTCCTGCCTCAGCCTCCCAAGTAGCTGAGATTACAGGTGTGCACCACCACGCCTGGCTAATTTTTTTTTTTTTTTTGTATTTTTAGTAGAGACGGGGTTTCACCATGTTGGCCAGGCTGGTCTTAAACTCCTAACCTCAGGTGATCCACCCACCTCAGCCTCCCAAAGTGCTGGAATTACAGGCATGAGCCCCGTGCCTGCCCATACTGATTTTTTCTATTATAAAATAGCCTTCCAGCATCACTTTTACTTTTCAGCTTTCTTACTATTTCTGCTTTGCTTACCCATATAGGGGAGGAAACACTTATTTCTACCCTCTCAGGTTTTGTGGCTGGCCCAAGAATTCAGCTGAGATAGATTAACAGGAGACAAGCATACACATTGGTTTAATATTTTAACATGTGCACAGGAGTCTTCAGAAGGAAAACAAAGACTTGAAGAAGCCATTAGGCTCAAAAGTATAGACACCATTTTACACACAGAATGGTAAATTATGGGCATGTGACAAGATAAAGGGCTTGGGTTAGGGACAGTAAATTGTGGGATGGTGACTAGGAAATATGTGGGGAAAACCAGTAGGGGATAAACATTATTTTTGTAGGGCTTGTTTGCGCAGGTCCATTCTGCATCGACTCCCAGTCTCCGGTGACATGAATGTTCTCTTCCTGGTACAGGGAGGGCACCTTTCTCATGGGGAATTTTATGACCTGGTTTTAGGTAGAGAAGCGGCAGGGCAGAGAACCCTGTCTGCATCTGTTTCTGATGTGCTTTCAGTTCAACGAAATCAATATGCCAAAGACATATATATTGGGGTGGCCAGTTTTGCACCCCTTCACCCAGAATCCCCACATCCTCATAGTGGCTGAGCTGTTCCTCATCGTGGACTTGGTGGCACTTACCTGTATGGAATTTTCTTGATTTTCTTTGTGACTGAGGCATGAGTTTTCTTTTCTGGAAATATCGGATAGATGATAACATATCCATTAGAATACTCTTGGCTCATCTAAGCGATGAAGGTAACTATAAGTGGAAGGTGGGTTAGGTTCCAGGTGTGGTTGATGAGAGGCTCAGCTATGCCATCAGTGACTGGGGAGCTTTCTCTCCTTGTCCTCTGGCAGTTTGGGTGCTGGCTTTTCTCTGGCAAGCACAGTGGGGCAGCAGGGGAAGACCTCACATTCAGCCATGACAACATCTAGAAGGACATATTCCAGAATTCCTCACTTCCCAGCAGACTCTTCCTTCACCAGTTAAGGGAATGGAGTTCCACTGAGGGACAGGGTGGGGGGAGCATGGAAATGGGGGTGGGTCAGTTCTTCCTGGCTTCAGTCTGTAGGAAAGAAGACCTGAAGAGCAAACACAGAAACAAACCAAGGTACTGGAAGGAAGACAGAAGGTCAGATGGATGCTGGGTGGACAATCAGCCCAGCAGAGTTGCCCTAGCATGGCTGCCAGGACTTGGGTCCAGCAGGCAGTGAGCTTTCCACCTTCTCTCTGCCTCCCGAGGCCCCCTCTTGTACACACACACATTCATGTAGTTCTGTATTCCAGGGGGCACTTGCTGGAGCTGATTGACTGATGTAACCCATCACACTTCTGAGCTTTCAAGATAAAAGAGACATTTGCGGCCGGGTGCAGTAGCTCACGCCTGTAATCCCAACACTTTGGGAGGCTGAGGCGGGTGGATCACCTGAGGCCAAGAGTTCAAGACCAGCCTGGCCAACATGGTGAAACCCTGTCTCTACTAAAAATACAAAATTAGTTGGGTGTGGTGGTGCACACCTGTAATCCCATGTACTTGGGAGACTGAGGCAGGAGAATCACTTGAACCCAAGAGGCAGAGGTTGCAGTGAGCCAAGCTCACACCATTGCACTCCAACCTGGGCAACAAGAAGGAAACTCCATCTCAAACAAACAAACAAACAAACAAAACAAAACAAAACAAAACAAAACAAAAAACAGAGACATTGCACTGTGGCTAGACACAGAGTAAGCCCAGGTGAGTGTGTGTCTTAAAGCAGTCTGTGATCTGTGACTATCAGGGCAACTATCAGGCATGACATGATAGGTTGCATAGATCTGTTTTTTTTTAATTTTTAAATTGTGGTAAAATATACATAACATAAAACTTACCATCTTGGCTGGGCACAGTGGCTCACACCTGTAATCCCAGCACTTTGGGAGGCTCAGGTGGGTGGATCACTTGAGGTCAGGAGTTTCAGACTAGCTTGGCCAACATGGTGAAACCCCATCTCTACTAAAAATACAAAAATTAGCCTGGTGTGGTGGCACATGCCTGTAATCCCAGCTACTCGGAAGGCTGAGGCAGGAGAATCGCTTGAACCTGGGAGGATGAGGCTGCAGTGAGCTGAGATTGCACCACTGCACTCCAGTCTGGGGGACAGAGTGAGACCCTGTCTCAAAAAAAATAAAAATAAACAAACAATAAACAAACAAAACCTTACCATCTTAACCATTTTTTTTCCCACAGTTGCAAGATTTAATAGAGTGAAAACAGAGCTCCCATACAAAGGGAGGGGACCAAAAGAAGGTAGCCATTGCTGGCTAGGATGCCTGGGTTTATATCCTGATCATTGTCTCTCCTGCTGTGCTCTCAGGCGATAGATGATTGGCTATTTCTTTACCTCCTGTTTTTGCCTAATTAGCATTTTAGTGAGCTCTCTTTACTACCTGATTAATCAGGTGTGGGCTAAGTTGCAAGCCCTGTGTTTAAAAGTGGATGCGGTCACCTTCCCAGCTAGGCTTAGAGATTCTTAGTTGGCCTAGGAAATCCAGGTAGTCCTGTCTCTCAGTACCCCTCTCAACAGGAAAACCCAAGTACTGTTGGGGAGGTTGGCCGACGACCATTCTAACTGCTTCCTGCTGAATTGGGGTGTAGTAGGGGTTGTGCAGTTGAGATTTCCTCAGGAGGGGTGGCTTCAATGTCATCAACATCAGAGCATGGGCTAGCAGCCTGGTCCAGGGGTCCATGGTAGATCTTAGTCATAGACCTCATCTGGGGCTCCATTTGAAGAACTATTCGTAGCTTTACAGCTTCAATTCTGGAAGAGACAAACTTAACAAGGAGGTTAAACATACAGGTTCCAAAGAGGAGTAACAATATTATAGCTTCTAGAGGTCCTAAGAAGGGGAGAATCCAGGGCATCCATTGGCTGAGGAGGCCGCAGGGTCCAGTGTTTTGAAGCTCCTCTGCTCTACGTTGTATTCAATCTCGAATTTCTTTAACTTTCTCAGTGATGATTCTGGATTGACTAACATAATAACAGCATTCTTCCCCTAAAAACAAATAGGATCCCCCTCTTTCAGCGGTTAGCAAGTCTAAAGCTCTTCGATTTTGAAGGTCTACTGCTGCTAGGGAGTTAAGGTGATCTTGCAAGGTGACCAGGGAGTCGGCAACCGGTTCCATGTCACCATTTAGTTCTTGAGATAGTTTGTAGTAGAACTGAGTAGAGGTTGTAATACTGCCAATGCCAGTACCTAGTCCACCTAGTACTCCTGCTCCGATAACAAAAGGAAGAATGGGTACTCTTTTGTTGTGGGGCTTAGGTATGACATACTTGTATAAATCTTGTTCAGTGTAGATGGTCATAGGGGGCACTAAGAATGAGAGGAAGCACATAGATTCCGAAGAGCCATTCAAACAATGATAGGCTGGATACATTCCTCACTGAGGGCCCTGGTGCCTTTGGATAATTTTAGCCCTAAGTATTTAACCTGCTGTGAGCAGAGCTGAGCCTTCCGTTTGGAAATCTTGTAGCCACAGGCAGCAAGGAAATTTAAGAGCGCTTGGGTGACTTGATGGTACAGGTTTCTGAACAGGCGGCTAAAAGTAAATCATCCACGTATCAAAGGACAAGAGTGTCCATGTATGAGAACTGGCTCAAGTCTTGGGCTAATGCCTGGCCAAATAGATGGGGGCTATCCCTGAACCCTTGGGGTAAAACAGCCCAGGTGAGTTGAGACATTGGTTTAAAAGGATCTTCAAAACATCTTAACCATTTTTAAATGAACAGCTCAGTAGTATTAAGAATATTCGCATTGTAGGCCGAGGCAGGCAGATCACGAGGTCAGGGGATCGAGTCCATCCTGGCTAGCACAGTGAAACCCCATCTCTACCAAAAAAATAATGCAAAAAATTAGCCGGGCGTGGTGGCGGGCGCCTGTAGTCCCAGCTACTGGGGAGGCTGAGGCAGGAGAATGGCATGAACCCAGAAGGCAGAGCTTGCAGTGAGCCGAGATCATGCCACTGCACTCTAGCCTGGGTGACAGAGCGAGACTCTGCCCGCCCCCACCCCCAAAAAAGACGAATATTCACATTGTTGTGCAACCATCACCACCATTGATCTCCAGACTCTTTGTCTTGTAAAATGGAAACTCCATTCCCATTAATCACCAACTCCCAGTCCCCTTCCTCCAGCCTCTGGAAACCATCAGTCTACTTTCTGTCTCTATGATTTTGTCTGAGTACCTCATATGAGTAAAATCATACAGTATTTGTCCTTTCATGACTGTCTTACTTCACTCAGCATGATGTCCTCAAGGTTCCTCCGTGTTGTAGCGTGTGTCAGAGTTCTCTTCTTTTAAGGCTGAACAATGTTCCAGGGCATGGATAGATCACATGTTGCTTATCCCTTCATTCACTGATAGATACTTGGGTTGCTTCCAGTGTGTGAGTCTTTAACCAGCCGATTGGCCCTGAGGATCCATGCTCCAAATTCTCTATAAAGACCGATGGTTAGCTGTGTTACTTTTTTTTTTTTTTTTTTTTTTTTTTTGAGATGAAGTCTTGCTCTTGTCCCCAGGCTGGAGTGCAATGGCGTAATCTCAGCTCACTGCAACCTTCGTCTCCTGGGTTGAAGCGATTCTCCTGCCTCAGCTGCCCGAGTAGCTGGGATTACAGGTACCTACCACCACAACCGGCTCATTTTTGTATTTTTAGTAGAGACAGAGTTTCACTATGTTGGCCAGGCTGGTCTCAAACTCCTGACCTCAGGTGATCTGCCTGCCTTGGCCTCCCAAAGTGCTGGGATTATAGGCATGAGCCACTGCGCCCAGACTGCTGTGTTACATTTAAAGACTACCAAAAAGGTAGGTCTCAGACTTTCCAATGGTAGCTTGTTTTGAATTTAACACAGTTTCCAAATAAATTACTTTTTAAAAAAAAAATTTGTTCCATTTTTTCCCCCTGGCTTGTCATTCTGGAAGTAAAGAAAAACATTTCTGCACACTTCCCACAACAAACCTTCATGCTCCAAGAATGAGTCATCACATTTCTGGATGGAGCAAAGACGCACAGGCAGTGAAAGCATGCATTTAGTCTTCCAGTGAGGGATCCTGACACTGTGACTTAGCAGCTACCTTCAAGTGAGCTTTGAGGGTCAGGACTCGGTCAAGGCAATAAAGTCTCATTTTTTGCTAGAGAGGATGGGATCTGCTCTTGGTATTTATGGAGACTGTCAGCCATGGTCCACGAGGAATCATATCTCCTTGAGTCTAGGCTCCTCTGACAAGTGGCAGTGGGCTCTCCCTTTTGAGATACGGAGTCTATTTCTCCATCCCATGAATTTGGGCTGGCCATGCAATTTGCTTTTGCCAACAGAAGGTGGCAGAAGGGACAGAGTGCTGGCTCCAGGGTTAAGAGGCTTTGCAGTTCTTGCTCTCTCCCTGGTGGAACCAAGAAACCACCATATCTAGCCTGTGTTGGATGGAGAAGGACTCAGATGTCCCACCCCAGAGCTAGAAGCTGCGAGTGAGTCTGTTGGGTACGTACTTGCCCAGCTGCCCCTCTAGCTAAATGTGATCTTGTGGGTGAGCCAGGAGAAACCGGCAGAGGACCCACCCAGCCAACCCACAGAATGATGAAAAATAAATAATCATTGCTATTATAGGCCACTCCATTTTGGGATGCTTTGTTTAATAGAAATAGATAACTGATCCAGTATTTGAGAACATAAATGAGTTTCTGGCTCTGAGGGAGGATGCGGATAACAGCAGTCCCAGCGCTGCCAGGCTTTGTGTCTGAGAGGTGGTGGACCTCCGATCCCAGCATGGGTACCAGTCCTGGGAGGTGCAAGATTGTGCATGGCAAGACGACGCTGCTGGCTGGCATCACACAAGGGTCTAAGACTAGGGGACCGGCAGGTGGGGTGGCTCATGCCTGTAATCCCAGCACTGTGGGAGGCTGAGGCGGGAGCATCACCTGAGGTCAGGAGTTCAAGACGAGCCTGGCCAACATGGTGAAACCCTGTCTCTGCTGAAAAATACAAAAAAATTAGCTGGGCCTGGTAGCGGGCACATGTAGTCCCAGCTACTCGGGAGGCTGAGGGGGCGAATAGCTTGAACCCAGGAGGTGGAGTTTGCAGTGAACCGAGATCGCGCCATTGCACTCCAGCCTGGGCAATAAAATGAGACTTTGTCTCAAAAACAAAACAGGCCAGGCACGGTGGCTCAAGCCTGTAATCCCAGCACTTTGGGAGGCTGAGGCAGGAGGATCACGAGGTCAGGAGATCAAGACCATCCTGGCTAACACGGTGAAACCCCATCTCTACTAAAAATACAAAAAAAATTAGCCGGGCGTGGTGGCGGGCACCTGTAGTCCCAGCTATTCAGGAGGCTGAGGCAGGAGAATGGCATAAACCCAGGAGGCAGAGCTTTCAGTGAGCCGAGATTGTACCACTGCACTCCAGCCTGGGCGACAGAGCGAGACTCCATCTCAAAAAAAAAAGGACTAGGGGACCATCCCAGCACTGCAGCCCCTACACAGCCCCCACCTACTCCTCCTTCGTTAATTGAACATGTTGGACTCAAGCAGTTGTACTATGGACATGCCACCTGGAACTTCCCATCAAGTCACTAAAATTTTAGCAAACCAGCAACATCCTTGGACATGGCAGGGAACAATGCTGGACTTGCCCTGGAGGGTCCTAGGACTTCTAATGGGTGGGGGCACTAATCTTGATATTGTGCAGTCACCAGCCAGGAGCTGGGGAGCTCAAGGGCCACCTTTGCATGCATGGTCTGGAGCCCATTGGAGTCCTCAGGGTAGAGAACCAGTAGTGTAATTTATAAAGAACAGAAATTTATTTCTCACAATTCTGGAGCCTGGGAAGTCCAAGATCAAGGTGCCAGAAAGTTTGGTTTCTGTGAAGGCCAGGCCTCTCCTTTCCAGACGGCAGCTTAAACGCTGTGTCCCCAGAGGGGAGGAGCACTGTGTTCTCACTTAGTGGAAGGGACAGAAGGGCAAAAAGGGCCTATGTAGTTCCCTGCAGCCTTTTGATAGGTGGCTAATCCCATTCATAAGAGCTCCACCCTCCTGACTTAATCAATTCCGTATGTATGTATGTATGTATGTATGTATGTATGTATGTATGCATGTATTTATTTTTTGAGACAGAGTCTTGCTCTGTTGCCCAGGTTGGAGTACATTGGCGCGATCTCAGCTCACTGCAACCTCTGCCTCCTGGGTTGAAGTGATTCCCCTGCCTCAGCCTTCTGAATAGCTGGGACTACGGGCACGTGCCACCACACCAGGCTAATTCTTGTATTTTTAGTGGAGCTGGGGTTTCATCATGTTGGCCAAGCTGATCTATAACTCAAGTGATCCACCCACCTTGGCCTCCCAAAGTGCTGGGATTACAGGTGTGAGCCACCATGGCTAGCCATGACTTAATCACTTCCTAAAGACCCCACCTCTTAATACTTTCACACTGATGATTAATTTTCAACATATGAATTTGAAGGTGACACATTTAGACCATGGCAGGTAGTAAACACCCCTCTTAAAACCCAACTTCATTCTATTATAGATGGAATGCACATTTACAGTTTCTCCACTGCCTACCTTATCTACTATGACCTAGAGCTCAGTTTAACTGTCACTCCACCTACTTTATAGTAGTCCCACGTTATCCAGTTTTGCATCCCACAGTTTCAGTTACTCCTGGTCAACCACCATCTGAAAATATTATTAAATAGAGAAGTCCAGCACTAAAAATTCATACTTTTAAGCTGCATGCCATTCTGAGTAGTGTGAAAGTTTATCACACGCTACTTTTTTTTTTCTTTTTTTTCAGACAGAGTCTCACTCTGTTGCCCAGGCCGGAGTGCAATGGCATGATCTCAGCTCACCACAACCTCCACCTCCCAGGTTCAAGTGATTCTCCTGCCTCAGCCTCCCAAGTACTTGGGACTACAGCTGCACACCACCATGCCCTGCTAATTTTTGTATTTTTAGTAGAGATGAGGTTTCACTGTGTTGGCCAGGCTGGTCTCAAACTCCTGACCTCGTGATCTGCCTGCCTCAGCCTCCCAAAGTGCTGGGATTACAGGTGTGAGCCACCACACCCGACTTTTTATTTTTTTGAGATGGAGTTTCACACTTGTTGCCCAGGCTGGAGTGCAATGATGTGATCTCAGCTCACTGCAACGTCTGTCTCTTCGGTTCAAGTGATTCTCCTGCCTCAGCCTCCCAAGTATCTGGGATTACAGATGTGTGCCACCATGCCCAGCTAATTTTTGTATTTTTAGTAGAGATGGGGTTTCACCATGTTGGCCAGGGTGGGCTTGAACTCCTGACCTGAGATGATCCACCTGCCTCAACCTCCCAAATACTGGGATTACAGGCATGAGCCACCGCGCCTGGCCACACTGTCCTTCTTTGTCCTACCTGGGATATGACTTATCTCTTTGTCCAGTATATCCATGTTGCAGATGCTACATGCCCAGTAGTCACTCAGTAGACATCTCCATTATCAGATCAAAAAAACAGTATATATAGGATTTGGTAGTATTTGCACTTTCTGGCAGCTGCTGGGGGTCTTGGAAAGTATCCCCTGTCTTGGAAAGTATCCCCCCTTAGGGGATAAAGGAAGAACTATCATACTATGTGTATTGTTTGGTAGGGCAGCTGCAGTGGTTAATTTTCTGTGTAGACTTGGCTAGGACATAGTACCAATTTTTTGTTAAACACCAGCCTAGGTGTTGCTATGAAGCTATTTTTTTAGATGTGATTAACATTTAAATCAGTAGACTTCAAGTAAAGCAGAATTTCCCTTCATCATAAAGCCCATTTCCCTTCATAATGGGGGTGGGCCTCATCTAATCAGTTGAAGGTCTTTTTTTGTTTTGTTTTGTTTTGTTTTGTTTTGTTTTGTTTTGGTCTGAGAAGGAGTTTCACTCTTGTTGCCCAGGCTGGAGTGCAATGGCATGATCTCGGCTCACTGCAACCTCCACTTCCCAGGTTCAAGCGATTCTCCTGCCTCAACCTCCCAAGTAGCTGGGATTACAGGTATGCACCACCACGCCTGGTTAATTTTGTATTTTTAGTAGAGACGGGGTTTCACCTTGTTGGTCAGGCTGGTCTTGAACTCCTGACCTCAGGTGATCTGCCCATCTTGGCCTCCTAAAGTGCTGGGATTACAGGCATGAGCCACCACGCCCGGCCGGGGATAATATTTTTGTTACTGTATTCTCAAGTATCTAGACGATAATAAAGAATTATTAAATAAATGAGTGCCTGTGTGGAAGGTCTTAAGAAAGACTGAAATACCCTGAGAAGAAAGGAGTTCTGCCTCCAGACTCCCTTTGGACTTGCTCTGCAACTCTGACTCTTCCTTGGGGCTCCTGCCTGCCAACCTGATCTACAGAATTTGAACCTACTAGTTCCCACAATCCTGTCCAATTTTTTCAAAAATGGATATTTATCTCTGTCTCTCTCTGTATACACACACACACAGACAGACACACACACACACACACACACACACACACACACACACCCTGTTGTGCTTCTCTGGAGAACCCTGACTGATACAGCTACTCCAACAGACTGCCACACACTGGGTGGTTTAAACAAGGTAAGTGATTGTCTTGCAGTTGTGGAGGCCAGAAGTCCAAGATAAAGGTGTTGGCAGGGTAGGTTCCTTCTGAGGGCTGTGAAAGAGAATCTGTTACAGGCTGCTCTCCCAGCTTCTAGTGGTTTGCTGGCAGTTTTATATCCTTGGCTTGTAAAAGAACCACCCGGATATCCATCTTCATCTTTATATGGTATTAGGAACTGAATGTTTTTGTCCCCCCAAAATTCATATGTTGAAGCCCTAACCCCCAGTGTGATGGTATTTGGAGGTGGGGCCTCTGGGAGGTAATCAGATAGATGAGGTCATGGAGGGGGGGTGCCCCATGATGGGATTCATGCCCTTTTTTCTTTTTTCCAACTTTTATTTCAAGTTCAGGGGTACATGTGCAGGATGTGCAGGTTTGTTACATAGGTAAACATGTGCCATGGAGGTTTCCTGCACAGATCATCCCATCACCTTGGTATTCAGCCCAGCTATTCTTCCTGATGCTGTCCCTCCTCCCTCCCCAGCTTCCAACAGGCCCCAGTGTGTGTTGTTCCCCTCCCTGCGTCCTTGTGTTCTCATCATTCAGCTCCCACTTATAAGTGAGAATATGAGGAGTTTTCTGTTCCTGTGTTAGTTTGCTGAGGATAATGGCTTCCAACCACACCCATGTACCTGCAAGGGACATGATCTCATTCCTTTTTATGGCTGCATGGTATTCCATTTTATATATATATATATACATATATATATATACCACATTTTCTGTATCCAGTCTATCACTGATGGGCATTTAGGTTGATTCCATGTCTTTGCTATTGTGAATAGTGCTGCAATGAGCATACATGTGCATGTATCTTTATAATGGAATGATTTATAGTCCTTTGGGTATATACCCAGTAATGGGATTACTGGGTCAAATGGTAGTTCTGTTTTTAGGTCTTTGAGGAAACACCACACTGTCTTCCACAGTGGTTGTACTAATTTACACTCCACCAACAGTGTGAAAGCATTCCTTATTCTCCACAACCTCACCAGCATCTGCTGTTTTTTTACTTTTTAATACTTGCCATTCTGACTGGTGTGAGATTGTATCTCATTGTGGTTTTGATTTGCATTTCTCTAATAATCAGTGATGTTGAGGTTTTTTACCTATGTTTGTTGGCCACATGTATGCCTTCTTTTGAGAAGTGTCTGTTCATATTCTTTGCCCACTTTTTAATGTGGTTAATTGTTTTTTTCTTGTAAATTTGTTTAAGTCCTTGCAGTTTCTGGATATTAGACCTTTGTCAGATGGATACATTGCAAAATTTTTCTCCCATTCTGTAGGTTGTCTGTTGATTCTGATGATAGTTTCCTTTGCAGTGCAGAAACTCTTTAGTTTAATTAGATCCCATTTGTCAATTTTTGCTTTTGTTGCAATTGCTTTTGGTGTTTTCATCATGAAATCTTTGCCTGTGCCTATGTCCTGAATGGTATTAACTAGATATTCTTCTAGGGTTGTTATACTTTGGGGTTTTACATTTAAGTCTTGAATCCATCTTGAATTAACTTTTGTATATGCTGTAAGGAAGGGATCCAGTTTCAATTTTCTGTCTATGGCCAGCCAGTTCTCCCAGCACCATTTATTAAACAGGGAATCCTTTCCCATTGCTTTTTTTTTGTCAGGTTTGTTGAAGATCAGATGGTTGTAGGTGTGTGGTCTTATTTCTGAGTTATTTATTCTGTTGTATTCTTCAAAGCAGCCAGGCTGGTATGGCTGAGTCAACCAAATCACAGAGATGGCAGCCATCCCTCCCCCCAGGAGCTCTATCCCAGGGAGAGATCAGAGCTCTGCCGCAGGACCCAAGCTAGAGTTGCTAAAGCCCCCACAGGGAGGTCCTGCCCAGTGAGGAGGAATGAACCGGGGTCCCACTTAAAGAAGCTGTCTGGCCACAATCTGGCAAGGCAGCTGTGCTGCATTGTTGGGGACCCTTCCTTATCTGGACCATTTGTATTCTCCAAAGCCGACAGGCTGGAATTGCTGAGTGTACCGAACCACAGAAACGGCAGCCACCCTTTCCTCTGGGAACTCACTCCTATCTCAGGCTGACTCCAGCCTGTTGCTGTTGGATGTGGCTGGAATTCTAAGCCAGTGGGTCTTAACTTCTAAGGTGCCATGGAAGTGGGGCCTGCAGAATGACACTGCCTGGCTCCCTCCATTCAGCCCCCTTCCTAGGGATATATACGGACAGATCTCCTGCCTTACCGGGGATCCTGGGTCTGGAGTATGTCAGACTCCTGGGACTCTGTGAGTGCCTGAGCTGCTGCTGCCAAGACTACACACAACTCTGTGTATTGGACCTAAGGCTCTGGTGGCATGGGCTCCCAAGGGGATCTTCTGATTCATGAGTTGCAAAGATCTGTGGGAGAGGTGGTGTTTTTCAGGTGGTGTCACACAATCACTCACTGCTTCCCCTGGCTGGGATTGGGGGTTTCTTTGGCTCCGTGCCACTCCTGGGTGGTCTGTCACCCGCCCTGCTTTTTTTCATTCTCCAAGGGTTGAGTTGTTTGCCTAGTCAGTCCCAACACTAGAACCTGGATATTCAAGTTGAAGGTGCTGAATTCACTTGCTGCTTTCATTCCTTTCTGTGAGTGCCACAGACCGCAGCTGCTTCTAATCGACCATCTTGGACCCTCTCTCTTGTGGCCTTTTCTATGACACTGTCTCCACACACACAAACAGAGGAAAAGCCACATAAGTGAGAAGTCCATGGTCTCCAAGCCAAAAAACAGGCCATGATGAGGAACCAATTCTGTCATCACCTTGATCTTGAACTTCTCAGTTTCCAGAACTTGAGAAATAATTGTCTGATGTTTAAGCCACCCAGTCTATAGTATTCTGTTATAGAAGCCCAAGCTAAGACACATGGCATTCTCTTGTGTCTATGTCTGTCTGCAGATTTCACCTTTTCATAAACACACAACTGTAGTGAACTACGGCCCACTCTAATCACCTCATCTTAACTTGATTGCCCCTATGAAGATCTTGTCTCTAAACAAGGTCACATTCTGAGGTACTGGGAGTTAGGACTTCAATATATGAATTTTTTGAGGGGACACAATTCAACCTATAACACTTGGCCATCATGTATGAATCATTTCAACTTTCCTCCCACAAATTTTAACTTTCTATAATTTTATTCATCCTTCCTACCTATAGTGGACATTTGGAATTTGTTTGCTCAATAACCTCTCCTCATTCCTAATGGTTGCTAGTATCCTTTTGGAGAATCACTTTCCTATTTTGTGCTGGCATAGGCTCATTCAAATACACCATCTGCTACTTTTAAGGTCATAGCAGATGATTCTCCCCATGGCCAGTATCAGCACAGCTGCGGGGAGAGAGACACCTGTGCACCAAGTTCATCCAAATGAATGCTCTCTCCTGGAGCTTGAAACATGATGGCAGGAACATGGATTGGAGGTTATTCATTGTAGCAGGCTCGTACTCATCAGACTGACCCTATCTAGAACTCATGCAGTGATTCCTATTACAGGCCGTACTGAAGTCCACTGGTTTCCAGTGATTTCCAATTCCTGTCCATTCCTTGGTATTCCCCCATACAAATTCCTTTTTACTTAAGGAAACCTGAGTTTCTGTTCCTTCCAAAAAATAAGCCCTAAATAAAACATAAATTAGTGCCATTAGAAGGGTAAATGCATGTGGCAGGTTAAAGCTGGCCACAAATTCTTCATTGCTTCTCCCATGGATGAGGGGTCTCTTTCCTTCCCCTTAGACGTGGGACAGCCTGTAACTGCTTTGCCCGTTAGAATGTAACATATGTGAAGCTCTGTTAGTTTCAGGCTTAGCCTTTCATACCAATGGCTATTAGCTTGCTTTTGGAGCCCTGAGCAGCCATGTAATGAGATTGACCACCCCAAGGTGATCATGCTGTGATAAGCCCAAGCTATGTGGAAAACTCCAAGAAGAGAAAGACACTATGTGAAGAGAGAGAAAGGCCAATGAGCCCCAAGACATGTGAATAAAGAAGCCATCTGGAAAGGAAATGCACCAGCCCCAGCTATCCTTGTTGACCCTACGTGGCTCAGAGACAAACCACCCAGCTGAGCTCTTCCCAAATTCCTGACCTACAAACTCATAAGCAAAATCAAATGATTGTTTTAAATCCCCTGTTTTGAGGTAGGTAGTTACATAGCAATAGTTAACCAGAAGAAATAAACATATCCTCAGGAAATACAAGTATGGGATGATACAGAAAACCATGACACTCTCGGCCAGGCGCGGTGGCTAACACCTGTAATCCCAGTACTTTGGGAGGCCGAGGCAGGTGGATCACGAGGTCAGGAAATCAAGACCATCCTGGCCAACATGGTGAAACCCCGTGTCTACTAAAGTACAAAAAATTAGCCAGGCATGGTGGTGCACACCTGTGGTCCCAGCTACTCGGGAGGCTGAGGTGGGAGAATTGCTTGAACCCGGGAGGCAGAGTTGCAGTGAGCCAAGATCCTGCCATTGCACTCCAGCCTGGCGAGAGAGTGAGACTCCATCTAAAAAAAAAAAATGAAGACCATGACACTCTCACCCATACATGGGTGTGGGAACAAAATAGCTGATGTCATTCTGTGACAAAATCCGCATTCCTAGGATAAACCTCACTTGGTCATAGTGTATTATCCTTTTTATATTTGTAGAATTTAGTCTGCTAAAATATTGCTTAGGGTATTTTGCATTTAGTTCATTGCGGATGTTGATCTACAGTTTTGTTTTGTTTTCTTTTTCTTTCTTTTCTTTTTGAGACAGAGTGTAGCTCTGTCATCCAGGCTGGAGTGCAATGGTGTGATCTCGGCTCACTGCAACCTCCGCCTCCCAGGTTCAAGTGATTCTCCTGCCTCAACCTCCTGAGTAGCTGGGACTACAGGTGCACACCATCACGCCCAGCTAATTTTTGTATTTTTGGTAGAGACAGAGTTTCACCATGTTGGTCAGGATGGTCTCGATCTCCTGACCTCATGATCCACCCACCTTGGCTTCCCAAAGTGCTGGGATTACAGGCGTGAGCCACTGTGCTGGCCAGTTTTGTTTACTTGTAATGTCTACCTTGTTTTGGTATCAGGGTAATCCTGGCCTCATAAATTGAGTTAAGAAATATTTCCTCTTTTTCAATTTTATGGAAGACTATACATAGAATTGTTGTTATTTCTTCCTCAAACATTTTGTAGAATTCACCAAGGATGCCCTCTGGGTCTGCTATTGTCTTTGGGAGGAAATTTTTAACAACATTTGCAATTTCTTTAATTGTATTTAATAGATACAGAATTATTCAGGTTAGCTATTTCTTCCAGAATGAGCTTTAGTTTGTGTCTTTGAAGGAGCTGAGCAGATACATCTAAGTTGTTCAAATTATTAGAATAAAATAATTTAAAATATCTCCTTCTTACCCTTTTAATGTCATATGCTCTGTATGGACATCACTGATGTCATTCCTATAATGTGTCACTCTGGCTACAGATTCATCAGTTTTATTGATCTTCTGAAAGATTTGGTTTTGTTGATTTTCTGGTTTCTGCTTCATTGAATTCCCCTCTGATCTTTACTGTTTTTCCCCTGCTTTCCTTCCATTTAATTTGCTTTCTTATTTATAATTTCATAAGGTAGAAACAGAGGTCATTGATTTCTGTGCTATTAATTTCCCTTTAAATACTATTTCTGTAGCATCTCCATAAATTTTGTTATGTAGTGTTTTCCTTTGCATCCAATTCAAAATAGTTTGTAAGTTCTCTTTTTACTTCTTTTGTATTCCTTTGATCATTTAGCTGTGTGTTATTTAGCTTTCAAATATTTGGGGGATTTCCCAGAGATCTTACTGTTGTTGATTTGTAATTTAATTACATTGTGGTCAGAGAATATACTTTTATGACTGAATCCTTTTAAATTCATTGAGACTTGTTTTATGGTACAGAATATATACTATCTTCCTAATTTTCTTATATCCTTAAAAGAGCATTGCATGGAGTGTTTTAAAAATATCAGTCAGATCAAGCTGAAGGATAGCATTGTTAGGTCTTCTACATCCGTACTGATTTTCCATTTTCTATCAATTATTGAATGAGGAGTGCTGAAATCTCTCACTATAATTATACAGTTGGTTTTTTTATCTTTTCACTTTTGTATTATCTATTTCAGAGCTCCTTTATTAGATGCGTAATTGTTTATAATTTGGAAATGTTAAAATTGTGTCCTCTTGATGAACTGATACCTTTGTTATTATGAAATGGTCTTCATCACTGATACCATTTTTAACTATAAAGTCTACTTTATCTGATATTAATATAACCATTATGCATTCTTTTGACTAGTGTTAGCATGGTATATCTTTCTTTATCTTTTTACTTTTTACCTATTTGCATCTTTTTATTTAAATTGCATTTATTGTAAGCAACATATACTTGGGTCTTGCTTCTGTATTTAATCTGATAATTTCTGACTTTTAATTATAGTGCTTTGCCAAATATACTAATGTGACTATTAATTCAAATACATTTAAGTCAATCATCTTGCTTTTTGTTTTCAGTTTGTCCCATCTGTTCTTTTTTCTCTTTTTCTGCTTTCCTTTAGATTAACTGTATGTTTTTTATGATTCTGTTTGATCAATTTCATTGGCTAATGAACTATAACTCTTTGGTTTGTTATTTTAGTGGTTGCTTTAGGATTTGTAGCTTATATCCTTAACTTTTTGCAGTCTAGTTTCAAGGGATATTACACAATTTTAAGTACAGTGAAAACCTTATAAAACTATACTCTCATTTTTCCTTTCCTGCTCTTTCTGCTATAGTAGTTGTCATATATTTTAGTTTTACATATGTTAGAAACCCCACACACTGTTTCAGGCCACATGGTCTCAGAGCCTGAATTGTCTGAGCCAAAATCCATCCTCTTAATATATGTGCTAAACTGCTTCAAGAAAACAAACAAAAACAAATGAATAAGCAAAAACCCTGCGCTCAAATTTGGGCTCTGAGGAGCCTCAGCTATGAAAGACATGCTGGCTAAACATAAGGCGGGATCCTGGCTAAAATGCAACACAATCAGGAAATTCAACATCACATCTGTATGGATTCTTGATGGTTATAAAATTCTTGATGTATTATCAAATGCTACTAGGATGCAATTGATAGATTTCCAGAGTAATGTTACTCTAATCTATTTTTTTCACTTGGAAAGTATACATATTGTAATACACAGTTTTGTGTTGCGTAATTAGTATATTTAATTACACATATGGTGCTTACAGTATGCCAGGTACCATTCTAAATGCTGTACATATATTAATTTATTTACTATTACTTCATCGTAGTCTATTTACAACAAGCCAGTGACCATTGCTATAGATGACAATTCAGAAAATGTTTAACTTGAGAGTATAATCAATTTTGAGGATGGTATGCATTCTGTTATATTATTTTTGCTACATTGGTTAGATCAGGAGTTACCAAGACGGATTTAGTTTCCATCCCATGTGAATACTAAATTTCTTTCTATCCTTAAGAAGAAAAATACTTTGTGTTTTATTATTTCAACAAGTTCTCAATCTTATTGTTTCAAATTGACCCAATAAATTTTAGTTGTTACTGTTCATATCATTTTTATGATATGGCATCAGTTTCTCAAATAAACCCTGACAGGAGCAGGGTTGGAACTCATGGCATAATGTGTCGTTCGTATAATCTACACCCCCTAAGAGATGCATAAATCATACATTTTTGTGCAGTAGGATAGAAGGAGTTCCCATGTGCTCCAGTGAAGGAACTCTGAGCACATCTGTGGAATGTCAGTGCCCTGGTTCAGGTGGAAAAGACCATGTGAGGTGGTGGTCCCTTGGCTGGCAGCACAGACTCCCCAGAAAAGGTAGTGGCACATCACTCCAAAAGGCCTGTTAGAACCAGTGAGGGAAGCAGTTCAGCCATCCTGCCAGTGAAGCTGACGGGCGTCTGTGTGGATCTGATGACTCTTCTCTCTCCTTGCTATTAGGATGAATCACATCAGTCTCCCAGACAATGTCTTAAAGAAGAGAAGCAGGAGGAAAGTGAAATCTAAAAAGAGGCCATTTGGACCAGCACATGTGGAGAGTTAAATATTGAATAAACCCTCAATAAAAATAAGTAAAGTTGTAGTTTTATAAATAGTGATATGTGCCAAGGAGAAAATACAGCAGCAAAGGGAGATGGGAACAGTTAAGTTTGGGACTAGGGTGGTCAGAAAATGCTCCACTGAGAAGGTGACACTGCTGAAGGAGGTGGAGAAATCTTCCATGTAGGCTCTTAGGAAAGAGCATTCCAGGAAGCAGGGGAGCTGTACCCAACCTGTTGAGGGAGATTAAGCAAACCAGTGCAGCAGGAATGAGTGAGTGATAGACAGGGAAGGTCCTAGGAGCAGAGGGCACAGGGGAACAGATGGCCAGGTCACATGGAGTCTGCAGGTCACTGGAAGGATGTTTGCCTTTTCTTTTTTTCTTTGACATGGAGTCTTGCCCTGTCACCCATGTTGGAGTGCAATGGTGTGATCTCAGCTCACTGCAACCTCCGGCTCCCAGGTTCAAACCATTCTCCTGCCTCAGCCTCCCGAGTAGCTGGGATTACAGGCACCCGCCACCACGCCCAGCTAATTTTCTTATTTTTAGTAGAGACGGCGGTTTCACCATGTTGGCCAGGCTGGTCTCGAACTCCTGACCTCATGATCCACCCGCCTCAGCCTCCCAAAGTTCTGGGATTACAGGTGTGAGCCACTGCACCGGGCTGGGTGTTTGCCTTTTCTACAGATGGTGACAGTTGTGGAAAAAGTCAGTGGGAGAGAAGGAAACGGTGTGAGTTGGATTTTAAATGCAGCATCCCGGCTGCCACGTTGAGACCAGGCTTAGCATAGCAAGGATGGAAGCAGAGAGGGCAAGTTAGAGGCTGTTCCACTAATTCATCTAAGAGACAATGGAGGCCTGGACCATGGTCAAGCCCCTAAAAATTGGTCGTTATAGGAATATTTTCTGACGATAAAGCCAGCATGTTTGCTAATGGATTTGATTTGGCATGTAAGAGAAAGGGAAGAGTCAAGGGTGACTTCAAAGTCTCTGGCCTAAGTGATATTCACTGAGATGAGAAAGATTGCAGGAGGAGTATGCTATTTTTTGGACATTTCAAAATTTGATATGCCTTTGAAAACTCAAGTGGAAATGTTGAGTATGTCGTTGAACATCTGACCTTCAAGTTCAGGGATTCAGACTGGAGATGGTCATTTGGGAATATCAGCATCGAGTTGGCATTTAGACATGAGACTGGAAACTATCACTAAAGGAACAAGACATCCTAATATTTAGAAGTTAGATTGCTGAGAGGAAGCAGAAAAGGAGATTATAGAAAATGACCAGTATGGTCAGAAGGAAACCAGAGGAGTAAAATGTTTAGGAAGCCAAACAAAGGAACTGTTTCAAGGTGAAGGTCAAATGCTACTAATAAGTCAAATAAGATGAGGACTCAAATTGATTCCTTAGATTTAGAAACATGAAAGTCACCAAAAACCTTGTCGGCCGGGCATGGTGTCTCACAACTGTAATCCCAGCACTTTGGGAGGCCGAGGCAGGCAGATCACCTGAGATCGGGAGTTCAAGACCAGCCTGACTAACATAGTGAAACCCCATCTCTACTAAAAATACAAAAATTAGCCGGGCATAGTGGCAGATGCCTGTAATCCCAGCTACTCAGGAGGCTGAGGCAGGAGAATCGCTTGAACCTGGGAGGTGGAGGTTGCAGTGAGCCGAGATAGAGCCATTGTACTCCAGCCTGGGCAATAGAGCGAGACTGTGTCTCAAAAACAAAACAAAACAAAACAAAACAAAAAAACCCACACCTTGTCAAGAGTAGCTTTTGTAAAGAGATAGAGGTAAAATCCTGGTAGAAGTGGGTTCAAGGTCAGTGGAAATGGTGAAGTAAGAACCTCTAAAAATTTTCTGCTCCACAAAAGCAATGGGAAAACTGAGAGAACTGTCAGAATCAACTTTCTAAGAACTCCGGAAATTAACCTAAGGTTTGTAGCAATCCAGGGAGTATTTATGCAAAAAAAGAGGCCAAGTCTCAGTAAAAACAGTAAAATTATGGTGCTTTAACTTGCCCTATTCCCAATTTCTTCTTCAGCTTCACAGAAGCCTTGATAACCAGCAGCCTGTTAGCCACCAGAAAAAGCAGAATGGAGGTGGAGCTTCTTCAAAGCCTCCTTCCCAAAGAACTGTAATTCTTTGGTTTGTCTGGTGGTTCCCTGGAAGGTTCCACTTGAAAGGCTGTCTCTATTTGACCAGATTCAGAGCTTGCCTAGAGAGAAAAACCTTTTCCCAGAGATGTTTGTTGAAAATATTTACAGGCAACTGTTTAACCTGACTGCTACATAGTTGGGAAAAACAACAGGCTAACAAGGAAGCTTAAAAGGAAAAGCTGAAAAATGAGATGTCCATGGGGCTTTGAAATGCTCCAACACATTCCAGAGAATCTGGAAGGCTCTGCTCTGTGCAAACTCAGAAAAAACCCGAGAAGCCCCTAAGCTGCCACTTCTGATGGACCCTGAGCTTCTGTGTCAGCAGGAAGTGAAGGCGAAGGCAGAGTTGTCAGCTGCCTGGCTGAATGTGGAAGGCATGTCCCAGCATGCACACACAGGCCCTTGGCAAGGATTGGGAGACTGACTGATTCCAGGTGTTTAAGGAAATCTGTTCAATCAATAGCAGGCCAATAAGCTAATCAAGCAGAGACTTCAGTGGCCACACATGACAAAGAGTACTGTCTCAGTCCACTTGGGCTGCTGTAACAGAATACTATATCCTGAGTGGCTTATAAACAACAGAAATTTATTGCATACAGTTCTGGAGACTGGGAAGTCCAAGATCAAGGCACTAGCAGATTCAGTATCTGGTGAGGGCCTCTTCCTGGTTCATAGTTGGCACCTTCTTGCTGTATCCTCACATGGTGGAGGGGGGCAAGGCAGCTCTCTGGGGCCTCGTTTTATAAGGGAACTAATCCCATTCAGGAGGGCTCCACCCTCATGGCCTAATCACCTTCCAAAGGCCCCACTTCCTAACACTATCACATTAGGTTTCAACCCATGAATTTTGGGAGGACATAAACATTCAGTCTAAAGCAATTATAGACAGAATTAATTTCAGAAGAATTTTTAAACACACAAACAACAGCTAAAACAAGAAGCAACAAGGAGAAGTTCTGGAAAGGGGAGGAGATTCTGATTTCCAGAAATGTCACATTATGTTATTTAAATGTCCATGTTTTTTGTTTTCTTTTTTAAGATGAGGTCTCACTCTGTTGTCCAGGCTGGAGTGGAGTGGTATGATCATGGCTCACTGCAGCCTCAACCTCCTGGGCTCAGATGATCCTCCCACCTCAGCCTCCTGAGTAGCTGGGACTACAGGCATGTGTCACCACATCCAGATAATTTTTGTATTTTTTGTAGAAATGGAGTTTTGCCATGTTGCCCAGGCTGGTCTCAAACTTCTGGGCTTAAGCAATCTGCCCACCTTGGCCTCCCAAAGTGCTAGGATTATAGGCATGAGCTACTGCACCCAGCCAAATGTATAATTTTTAACAAAAAATTATGGAACATGTAAAGAAACAAGAGTGTATGGCCCATACATGTAGAAAAAAAGCAGTCAGTAGAAAATGTCCCTGAGGAAGCCCAGACATTAGACCTACTAAACCAAAGACTTGCAATTGGCTGCCTTAGGTATGTCCAAAGAACTATAGGAAACCATGTCTAAAGAAATAGAGTATGGCCAGGTACGGTGGCTCATGCCTGTAATCCCAGCACTTTGGGAGGCGGGGGTGGGTGATCACAAGGTCAAGAGTTCGAGACCAGCCTGGCTAACATGGTGAAACCCCCATCTCTACTAAAAATACAAAAATTAGCTGGGCGTGGTGGTGCGCACCTGTAGTCCCAGCTACTTGGGAGTCTGAGGCAGGAGAATTGCTTGAACCCGGGAAGTGGAGGTTGCAGTGAGCTGAGATCGTGCCACTGCACTCCAGCCTGGGTGACAGAGCAAGACTCTGTTTCAAAAAAAAAAAAAAAAAAAAAGAAAGAAATAGAGTATGAGAACAATGTCTTACTAAATAGAGAATACCAATAAAGACATACAAATTATAAAAAAGAAAATAGATTCAAAAGAGTACATCAAGAGATACATTGGAACAGACTCTTCAATGTATCTTTCAAGTTGTTTGCAACTCTTTCAAGTTGTTTGCTCTAAAATGGAACAGAAAAATGGGGCAGTAGCTGAAGTGGGATGTGGAATCAAAGGGGACTTTTTTCTTTAATAAGGAAGAAATAATAGCACGTTTGATTTGATGATGAGATTAATCCAGTACAGCAGCAACAAGAAGCTGCAGGAGATGGCAGGGGAAGAACCCTGTTGATCTTGAGCAGATGACAACAGATAAGCTTCAGTGACTCCTGCCTTTGTTAGGTGCGAAGGTTAGATAAGATGCCTCATCTTAACAGGAAGAAAGAGAGTGTTCACAAACAGCTGCACTGTATGTTTTTCTCAATGAAGTAAGAGGCAAGGTTGCAGCTAAGAATGAGGAGGCAGAATCCATGTTGTGGGTTTATGGAAAGAGAAAGGGTGGGAGAGCAAACCAACCAGGGAAACACTATGGGATTTCTGGCTAGGACTATGGGCCCAGTTGAGTAAGCCATTAGTTACTTAAAATGAGACTCATCAGCAAGGCTGGGTGATTCTCTGGTATGATGGTGCAGGCCAGCAGGTGGATTTAACCCTGGGCTGGGAGGTAGGTAGTCATCCTCCTTCACTTCCTTTTTTTTTTTTTTTTTTGAGACAGTCTTGCTCTGTCGCCAGGCTGGAGTGCAGTGGTGCGATCTCGGCTCACTGTAACTTCTGCCTCCCGGGTTCAAGCGATTCTCCTGCCTCAGCCTCCTGAGTAGCTGGGACTACAGGCGCCCGCCACCACGCCCAGCTAATTTTTGTATTTTTAGTAGAGACGGGGTTTCACCATGTTGGCCAGGATGGCCTCGATCTTCTGACCTCGTGATCCGCCTGCCTTGGCCTCCCAAAGTGCTGGGATTGATTATAGGTGTGAGCCACCACACCCGGCCCCTCTCCTTCACTTTCATTGCTGCTTCCAGGTCATTCCTTGTCCAAAAACTCCAGCCCTGAATCTATCTGTGTCAGTATGTACAGATCTACCTCATCCTTTTATACTGCCATACAACTGTATATTACATAGTATATATGTGTGTGTATATAAGTGTGTGTGCATATATACACTCATACACACACACGGTTCATCTAGACATTCCCTACTGATAGATATTTAGGTGATTTCTAATTTTTTTTTGCTATGAAAAACAGTATTGTATGTAGTAGGTAGTCTTCAAAGGTGGCTCCCAATAAAATACACCTCCAAGCTTTCATGTCCTTCCCACACTGCATCTGGGCTGATGCTGCTGTGGCTCACTTTAACTAACCCAGTCAAAATGAATTGGTGCTATAACAGGTCCAGGCCTAAGCCTTAAAAAGGCCTTTAAAAATATTGGCAGCTTTCTGGTGGACGCGGTGGCTCACGCCTGTAATCCCAGCACTTTGGGAGGCCGAGGTGGGTGGATCATGAGGTCAGGAGTTAGAGACCAGCCTGGCGAACACAGTGAAACCCCTTCTCTACTAAAAATACAAAAAATTAGCCCAGCATGGTGGCACGTGCCTGTAATCCCAGCTACTCGGGAGGGTGAGGCAGGAGAATCGCTTGAACCCGGGAGGCAGAGGTTGCAGTGAGCCGAGATCGTGCCACTGCACTCCAACCTGGGCAACAGAACAAGACTCAGTCTCAAAACAAAATGAAACAAAACAAAACTGGCAGCTTCCACTTTTGTGGTCTTGGGAGCTTGCACTATGTCAGAAGTCCAATACTCTTCTGAAGAAAGAGGCCACATACAGAGGCCTTAGAAGAAGGAGATGTCCCATACTTCCTCTGGAAACACAGGTCCCATGGAAGAGCACCAAGGTGCCAGATATGTGACTGAAGAAGCCATCTTGGATGTTTTCATCCACTTGAGCCTCCAAAGTACCATAAGTTAGCAAAAGAACCACCCAGCTGAGCCCAGTCAACCCACAGAGTGTTGAGGCAATCATGAATTGTTTTAAGCTTTCAAGTGTTGAGATTTACTGCATGGCCATAGATAAGCGAAATACTGCAATAAACATCAACAGAACTTCCCTCCTTATCCTCTAAGTATACAGAGAACTAAATGACTAGGCCATTGGGCATGCAAATCAAGTCTTAATAAATTCTGTTGAGTTACACTCCAAAATGGCTGTATATCACTTTATATCCCCACCCACAATGATGAGGGGTACCAATTTCCCTTAAAATGTTTGCCAGTTAAAAAGTGGGATTTCAAGCTGGGCACAGTGGCCCATGCCTGTCATCCCAGCTATGCTGGAGGTTGAGGCCAGAAGATCATTCGAGCCCAGGAATTCAAAACCAGCCTGGGTGACATATCGAGAAAAAAAAAGACATTTCATTTCATTTTGCTTTTCTCTGATTACTAATCAAATTATTTGTTTTTCATATATTTACTAGATATTTGTGTTGACTTTTCTGTTAACTGCCTGTTGGAGAAGAGACAAACAGGATTGTCTTCTCCCTGCAGCTGACAACTGCAAGGTATTTATATACCTGCCCTGGCCAGGCCATGCCCATGTCCACAACAACCCTACTGTCATACACTTAGGTGGATGTCACCTATACCCTCCCAAAATCCTATTAAGAACAGAGAGAAGCAGGCTGGGCACGGTGGCCCACGCCTGTAATCCCAGCACTTTGGGAGGCCTACGCGGGTGGATCACCTGAGGTCAGGAGTTTGAGACCAGCCCGACCAACATGGAGAAACCCCATCTCTACTAAAAATACAAAATTAGCTGGGCGTGGTGGTGCATGCCTGTAATCCCAGCTACTTGGGAGGCTGAAGCAGGAGAATCACTTAAACCCGGGAGGTGGAGGTTGCAGTGAGCCAGGATCACACCATTGTGTTCCAGCCTAGGCAACAAGAGCGACACTCCAACAACAACAACAAAAAAAAACAAAAAACAAAGAGAAGCTGCATGCAGCCTGAGCACGCCTCTTCATGGGGTGATGAGAGCGGCAACATCATGTGATCATCCTGCTGAACTGTGATGGGAATTATAACCCGAAGTCTCTGTCTTGTCATAACTCCCTGTCACCTTCCATTTGAGGACTGCCTAAGTCCCAGAGAGGACCACTACATCTTACTAACAACAGTGCAGTAGGATGGCCTCATTTGCATATCTGTAAGACCCAAGAAACCTTGGGGGCGGCGGGGGGTGGTCTCAGAGCCAGCACATGTGCTAATCACAATTTCCATCAGCACATGAGGGTTTGCTGCTTGTGAAGACTTTAGGCTCCACTTACCTAAAGCTTGAAGATCCAGGTTTTTCTGGATGCTCTGGATCTTCTTCTTTTTTTTTTAATTACTTATTTATCTATTTGATTTATTTATTTATTTATTTATTTATTTATTTATTTATTTATTTATTTATTTTGAGATGGAGTCTCACTCTGTTGCCCAGCCTGGGATGCAGTGGCGCGATCTCGACTCACTATAACCTCTGCCTCCTGAGTTCAAGCGATTCTCCTGCCTCAGCCTCCTGAGTAGCTGGGACTACAGGCCACCACACCCGGCTAAATTTTGCATGTTTTAGTAGAGATGGGATTTCGTCGTATTGGCCAGGTTGGTCTTGAACTCCTGACCTCAGGTGATCCACCTGACTTAGCGTCCCAAAGTGCTGGGATTACAGGCTAGATCTCCTTCTGATGGAACCCTCAGAGTGGATCCAGTTTAGGGATGGCCTAGGCCACTTCCCAGAGAGCAAGAGCATCCATGTATACAAGGCAGCCCATGGACATCACTTGTACCCTCCTGGAGGGGAAGGAACTGTGGCCTTCTTCCCTAACACAAGGTGTGTGAGTGTGTGTGTGTGTGTGTGTGTGTGTGTTTGGTCTAGCTGAGATAATTTTATGTTAGACAATTTTTTATGTTTAGTAATTTTATAATGAGTGGTAATTTGAAAGGGCTACTACCTCTGGTCTGTGGCCATATATTACTTTCTATTAGTTTTCTGGGGCGACCGTAACAAAAGACCACAAAACTAAGTGGTTTAAACAAAAGAAACCTATTGTCTTACAGTGCTGGAGGCCAGCAGTCTGAGATCCGAGTGTTGGCCAGGCCATGCTCCCTCTGAAGGCTCTAGGGAGGGATGTGTTCCAGGCCTCTCTCCAGCTTTTGGACATTCCTTGGCTTATGGCAGCACAACTTTACTCTTCACGTGGTGTTCTCCCTATCTGTGCGCTTGCTTTGTGTCTGTCTCTTGGCCCAAATTTCCCCATTTCCTAAAGAAACCCAGTTGGATTAGGGCTCACCCTAGTGACCTCACCTTAACTTGATTATGTTTGCAAAGACTATTTGCAAATAACGTCACATTCATAGATACTGGGATTAGGACTTCAATAGCTTCCTGGGAAACACAATTCAACCCACAACATACATTAAAACCAGTGGGGTGGATGTAAGGCAGCTCACTGCAGGTTCCAGTGGCAGGTGGAGCCATCATTTTCTATATATTTTAGAGATTGTGTTAATCAAGAGAGTAGCTGTATGTCTAAGCATTGTCCAACAAAACTGGTGATTGCCAATCCATAGGAAATAGAGATTGTAACTGTGCTTTTGAGACCAGAAGCCAATTATTATTATTATTATTATTATTATATTTTTGAGACTGGGTCTCACTCTGTCACCCAGACTGGAGTGCAGTGGTGTGATAATGACTCATACAACCTCAAACTCTTGGACTCAAGCGATCCTCCTGCCTCAGCATCCCAAATAGCTGAGACCACAAGCGTGTGCTACTACACCTGGCTAATATTTTTTAATTTTTAGTAGAGACAGGGTTCTGCTATGTTGCCCAGGCTGGTCTCGAACTCTTGGGCTCAAATGATCCTCCTGCCTTGCTTCCCAAAGCACTGGGATTACAGGTGGTCACACCTGGCCTATGCATTATTATTATTATTATTATTATTATTATTTGAGACAGAGTCTTCTTTGTTGCCCAGGCTGGAGTGCAGTGGCACGATCTCAGCTCACTGCAACTCCCGCCTCCCAGGTTCAAGTGATCCTCCTGCCTTAGCCCCCCTAGTAGCTGGGATTATAGGCACACGCTACCATGTGCGGCTAATTTTTGTATTTTTAGTAGAGACGGGGTTTCACCATGGTGGCCAGCCTGGTCTCGAACTCCTGACCCCAGGTGATCCATCTGCCTCGATCTCCCAAAGTGCTGGGATTACAGGCGTGAGCCACTGCGCCCAGCCTACACATTATTTTTAAAGGGGATTTTGGAAGATATTATTGGCATGAAATCTTGCTGAACAAAAATCTTAGCGGCATTAGTATTTTAATCTAACAATCCTATAGTAGTAACCATGATGATATAAATACATCTATTATTTTTAGCTGTTCCATCAGGAAAAACCTGACCACATATGGGGTATATGGGAAGTATATATTTGGTCTTGGTTCTCAGTTCATAGCACATAGCCCCAAAACTCTTGGAGTTTCCTGAATGATCGTGTCTTTTGTCGTTGATAAGAACTCATTTAGACCATACCTGGGTTTATCTTAATAAGATGGTTTTGGGCTCGGGGCCTTAAATAACTTCGTATTAGGGGCTGGTCACCAGAAACAGCAAATCTTTATCAGAGGGTTGGAACTTTCAGCACACCTCCCCAACATCTGGGGAAGGGAGAGAAGCTGCAGACTGAGTCAAATCACCATGGCCAATGATATAATCAATCGTGCCTATGTAATGGAATCTTCATAAACACCCCTCACCTATGGGGCTGGGGGAGCTCTGGATTGGTGAGTGCACTGGGATACAGGGAGGGTGGTGTGCCTGGAGATGCACGGCAGCTCCATGCCTCCTAACACCAAACCTCAGCCTGTGCATCTCTTCCATATGGCTCTTCCTGACCGTGTCCCTATAATACACGGGCAATAGTAAGTAAGGTGTGCTCCTGAGTTCTGTGAGCTGTTCTAGCAAATTATCCCACTGAGGATGAGGTTGTGGGAACCCACGAATTTGTAGCAAGTCAGACAGAGGTGTAGGTAACCTGGGAACTCAGTACTTGGGGTTGGCATCTGACGTGGGGGTCAGTCTTGTGGAACTGAGCCTTTAAACTTGTCGAGTCTGCTCCTAAATCTGGATAGCTAGTGTCATAATAAAATGAAACTGCTGGGCACCCAGCTGATTTTGGGTGAATCAGAGAATTGGTGTTGGCAAAGATACCACATACTTGATTTCAAGAGAATTCTCAACACAATTAAGGAGATTAAGTCAGCCGAGCGCAGTGGCTCATGCCTGTAATCCCAGCACTTTGGGAGGCCGAGACAGGTGGATCACCTGAGGTCAGGAGTTCGAGACCAGCCTGGCCAACATGGTGAAACCCCGTCTCTACTAAAAATATAAAAACTAGTCGGGTGTGGTGGCGGGCACCTGTAATCCCAGGTACTCAGGAGGCTGAGGCAGGAAAATTGCTTGAACCCGGGAGGCAGAGGTTGCAGTGAGCCAAGATGGTGCCACTGCACTCCAGCTTGGGCAACAAAGAGTGAATACTCCATCTAAAAAAAAAAAAGATTGGAAATTTAAGATAAAGTTTCTTTTTTTTTTTTTTCTTTTTTGAGACGGAGTCTTGCTCTGTCACCCAGGCTGGACTCCAGTGGCACCATCTCAGCTCACTGCAACCTCCGCCTCCCGGGTTCAAGCAATTCTCCTGCCTCAGCCTCCCAGTAGCTGGGTTCATAGGTGTGCACCAGCATGTCCAGCTAATTTTTGTATTTTTAGTACAGGCGGGGTTTTGCTATGTTGGGCAAGCTGGTTTTGAACTCCTGACCTTAGGTGATCTGCCCGCCTTGGCCTCCCAAAGTGCTGGGATCACAGGCATGAGCCACTGCGCCCGGCCAAAATTTCTTTATTATAATGACTACTGCACTCAAGCCTTGTGAACTTCTAAAGTTTGTAGCTATTGGTGAAAACAAGAATCCTTGTTTTATTATTCCTGAATCTGAATTTTTGGAAACAAGAAAGCCTGAATAGCTTAAACAGCTGTACACACAAATATATGGTTTGAGGTAAAATTTACTTTACAAAAGCCCCATGTTTCTGGATAATGAATAATTTCAGGATGAGTCTACACTTCAGTCATGTAAGTGGGAAATGGAGAGACCGCCAGCATCATTAAGAAAGAATCTGCTGTACATTAGAGGGAAAGACAGCAGACTGGGAAATAAAAGAATTTATTCTATTTGCCCTAAATCAGAGCTCAACATGTCAGCATTTTTCTGCCTTCCTCTCTTCCTTTTATCCACAAATACACTGCTGGCACATTACAGGCATTGCTGGGGACATGCCAGTCTCTTCCTTGTGGAGTTTCAGGTCGGCAGGGAACACAGACTTCAGTTCAGTGAGCATGCAGAGCACAGTGGTCTGTGCTCAGGTGGGTTTCCGTGGAGCCCTGCCCCACTGTGGGGTGAGGACAACAGAGAAGGCATTTCCAAGGAAGTGGCATCCACAGGGATGAGACAAAGTCGTTTGAGTGAAGGGAGTGAGCGAGAGCATGCTGTAGGCAGAAAGAACTGCTTGCTAAAGCGCCCCCTGGTGAAAGGGAGTTCATGCTTTCTATGTTTTTGAGAAAATGAAAGATCAGAATAGCTGGAAAGTAGAGAGCAAGAACATAGCACAGAATGGGCCTGAACAGGTAAGGAGGTGTCAGATCCCCAGGGCTATGAAAGATTTCAGGCTTTCACTTAGGAACAGGAGCAAGGCATTTGGCAGAAGCATCGTTAGCTTTAGTTTGAAGAGATCTTCCCATATATGGGTGGAGAGGAGACTGGAGCAGGTGGAAGCTAGAGATGGAAAGACTAGTTAGGAGGCTCTTCTCCAGGCAAACGAGACAAGCATCTCCGGCTAGGGTGATGGTGATAGAGAGAGAGGACGGGAGGCAGAGGGCATTGGGTGGAGACCAAAGGCCGTGATGCTAAGTGCACATAGGAGAGAGGGCAAGGAGGGGGTTGGGCTTCTGATCTTGTGGAACTACACGGATGATGGTGCCATCAAGTGCAGGAGGGAACGTGGGAAAAAGATGAGGTTTGGGGCAGGGTTTGGGGTAGGGCGATGTAGAGCTTGAGTCCATGATTTAAATAACTTGAGTTTGAGGTGCCATTGGGACAGTCATGTGGAAACGCCAGGCAGGCAGCTGCAAATGTAAGTTTGGAGGTCAGGGGAGCATGCCAGGCTGGAGTTACAGATTTAGGAGGTGCTGGGCACATAGGTGACATTGGAAGCCATGAGCTTGGAAGAGATTTCCCACCGGGAGAGTGTGGAGCAAGATGAGAGGATGGCAGAGGACCAAGACCAGCATAATCACCAAGTGGAAGAGGTTAAGGTGCAAAGAAGAACAAGGAGAAATGGCTAAATAAGTAGAAGCAAAACCAGGAGCTCTTGATATCATACAAGCCGAGGGAAAACATGTTTTGAAGAGGGAATGGTCTAGGGTAAAATGCTGCAGAGAGACTGCGTGAGAGAAGAACAAAAATGTATGTTGGTTCAGTACATGGATGACCACACCCAGCTGCTTGTGTGGATTCAGGGTGGCAGACTGGCAAGGAGTGTGGAGTGAGGAAATGAAGCCATTGTGTTTGACACGTCTGGCGATTTATCTTGTTTGCAGTGGGATATTTGTAGAGCTCCCTGCTAGTGGAGCAGAAGGGTACAATTCAGCTGAGGATTTCCTAACTGAAAAAGTAATAAGCAAGTGAAAAACTCTACCACACTGGTCTGCATGTATTCCTCACAAAAGCGCGGTGGGCCCAAGGCCTTGGACTGTAGTCACCTACTTTCCACGTCCACGCAGTGAAGTTTGGTATGCCCAGATACTCCATATCGTTTTTTTTTTTTTTTTTGTAGCGGGGGAGGGGTCTGATTTGGTATTTATTGAAACTCAAAAAGCACTACCTACAAATGAAAGAATGGATAAACTGGACTTCAGCAGAATGAAAAACCGCAACTTATGAAAAGACATCATTAAAAAAATGAAAACTAGCCAGAAACTGGAAGAAAATATATCTGTCTCTTTGAGTTTTCACTCAGAACATACAAAAAAGAGCTCTAAAAACTTTTTTTTGTTTTGTTTTGGAGACAGGATCTCACTCTGCAGCCCAGGCTGGAGTGCAGTTGTGCAATCATAGCTCACTGCAGCCTCGTACTCCTTGGGCCCAGGTGATCCTCCCATCTCAGCCTCCCGAGTAGCTGGGACTACAGACGCTCACCACCATTCCTGGCTAATTTTAAATTATTGTTTGTAGAGACAAGCTCTCACTATGTTGCCCAGGCTGGTCTCGAACCCTTAGGCTCAAGTGATCCTCCCACCTCGGCCTCCCAAAGTATAGGGATTAGAGGCAAAAGCCACCATGCCTGGGCAACACTTGAAAAGAAGAAGGCATCCAACCTTATGAAAAAATCAGAGAAGAAAAGAAATTCCATGATTTGAGGGAGACAAAGAATAAAAATAAAAATAAATCAGCAAAAATTTGACTAGACATCTGACAAAAGAAGGTAGGCTAACGGCCAATAAGCATAAGAAAAAATATAGAATATGACTCCTCATCAGGAAAATGTGAATTAAACCACATAATTTAACCACCCAGGTCTCAGATATCCCAGGATACCCCTGGCCTTGAAATCTTCACACTGGCTCTTCACTCCAGCTCAAATACTCTTCCCAGATATGTGCATGGCTCCCTCCTTTCTTAAGGCCTGCAAGGGCTTGTTCCCGCCGGTCTTGCTAGTATAGACCCTGCTCATTTTCTCTCCCTCTTGCTTGCTGTTCATCACAAGGATGAAAATGGCTGTCCCCATACAGCTGGTGTGGTGTCAGCCTCCAGTGATTCCTATCTCTTGGTATATATAAACCTGTTTAGTTTCCTTCTATGACAAAGGGCCCACCCATGGAGCCAATAGATACTGCAGAAATTATGGCATGTGACTTCCAAGGCTAGGCTATAAAAGACACTGTGGCTTCTATCTGGCTCTCTTTTGGATTGCTCACTTTGGGAGAAGCTAGAAGCCATCTTGTGAGGATGCCCAAGAAGCCCACGTGGCTACAAACTGAGTCTTCCCATCCACACCTAGCACTAACTTGCTGAGCATGTGAGTAATCCACCTTGTGAGACTCCTCTAGCCCCAGCGAGCCTTCAGATAATGGCAGCACTGGCTGACATCTGACTGCAACCTCCTGAGAGACCCTGAGCCAGCACCATCTAGCTAAGTCTCTCCTGCCTTCTCGACCCAGAGAAATGGTGTGAAATAACGAATGTTTACTGTTTTTAGCTGTTAAATCGTGGGGCAATTTGTTATGTGGCAATTGATGACTAATACAGATGGAAAGGAATATGTTGCTCCAATTTGGCCTTGGACGTAAGCCATATTCTCTTAACCACTGAGAAAGCTTGTATTTTCATCCTTCCAACTTTGCTTTTTTTGTTTATCCTTCAGTTCAGAACCTACAGAAAGGGAAGGAGAGAGTGAGAGAGAAATGCCAAAAAAGAAAGCTTTAAAAGGCTTTTAAGAAATCATATGCAATATAACCCACATTTCTGACTCCACCCAAGAAACTGTCAGCAAAATATATGTTGCTGTTTAAACCTTTGAGTTGGGTTTGTGGGGCCTCAGTCATGTGAAAATAACACACAGATGGGGGCATGATGAGGTCATTTTCCTGAAGGTCACACAAAAATAAATGGCAGGGCTGCTGATGAAATGGTTCTGGAGCCACATGCTCACGCTGTGTGAAGTGGAAAGCAAAGGTGCTGGGACCACCTTCTCCGAGCTGCACAGCACCACGGAAAGGACACAGCATTGCTGAGGGAGGGGTTTTCCAGGGCAGGTTCAAGACCCTTCTCTGCAGCCCCTGTTGGGTTTTCCCTAGATCCAGAAGAGAGGGGTGTGGAACTAAGTGCTTCAGCACCTACTCTTAAAACATTACTCTAAAAGCATCCTTAAGGATTCTAAGGGAAGCTAAAGGGAGGAAAACCCCAAAGATAAACCCCTGGCAGTCCTCTAACCACTGGGGAGAGCAGCCCCCCCGTTCAGACCCGCACCAGCCTGGGCAGAGGAACAGCCTGAGCCCGTCTAAGAAGTTTGGTAATAATTTTGCCATCCAGTTGAGGAGGGGCTAGGATCTTCTCCCATTCTCCTACTGGATTTACAGCAGCTCCTGGGAATGAGAACTGCGTGAGATATTTCCCTACACAAATTGGGTAGAGATAGCCGGACGCCTAAATACTTTTAACAGAGGTAACAAGCTAGAGCTGGCTTAGTCATTTTGTCCGCAGACCATAGCAAGAGAGTTTTTATTTCTGGCCACGTCTGAGGCCTCACGTCTGGCACCCAAGGCCAGGGCTCTCCCTAATGCCCTCCAATTAACAGAGCTTGGTACTCCAGCAAAAACACCAAACAAACTGCTGGATAATCAGTTAAAAGATCAATCTCATGGAACAAGCAACTGAGATGCTGGAGAATCCAATTCCTTCCTCTAAGAGGAAAAACAAAGACATTTGCATGTGCTGAGCAAAACCAAGAATAAGCAAGAAAACATGCTATTTGAATTCCGTTCAAAATGTCTCTAATAAGTGAAGCAAATTCTGCACATTCTGGGCCTCTGCAGAGAACAAATAGTGTTCTGCCTTTAATGGGTAAAATTATACAATTTGCTTTTAACAGTAAACCAAAAGCCGCGGTGGCTTCGGATAGCATCGCGCTCCCGAGGGCTCCCTCCACGCAGCTCGACCCCTGGCAGTTTTGAGCATTTCGGGGGACGCGCTTGTCCCCACCGACCTGGGAGGGCGCCGGTGCCAAGGCGGCCTGTTTGTTTTCCTGAACATTTCCTTTTGCAACTTTCGCTTCTCCTCTTCCTGCCTCACCGCTGGTGTCTGGGGCTGGGTGGCTCTCAGATTTGTCCCGGTGCGCAGTGCAGCCTGGAGTTACTGATTTGTGACCTAGATCCCCGGGTGTGTCGCCCCCGAAAGTCGGGGGCACCCGCTCTGGGCGCCTCTCCTGCGTGGGCAGACCCGCCGAACTCCGGCTGACGCCCCCAAGGCGCCACCTTTGTGTTCAAGCGTTCCGAGGCGCAGGCCCGAGGGCGGGCGCAGGAGGCAGGTCCGGGGCCCCAGCTGCAGCCCCAGCTCCTTGGGTCCCGCCCGCCGCCCGCGCGTTCCCCCGGCAGGGGGCGCCGGCGCAAGCCTCGCTCTGCCCATCGGGGCGGGCGAGCGGGGACCCTGCCTCCTGCGCGCTCGCCCGCGGTCCGCCCCCCGCGCTCGTCCTGGCGGCCGGCGGGACGCCCCAGCCCGCGCCAAGGAACCTCCCCAGCCAGCCCTTGCCGTGGCCGGAGCCGAGCGGCGCATCCGGGCCGGAGAAGAGGACGACGACGAGGTCCTCGAAGTGGACCCGTTTGCGAAGCGCCAGGGAGAAGGAGGAGCGGACGCATCGTAGAAAGGGGTGGTGGCGCCCGACCCCGCGCCCCGGCCCGAAGCTCTGAGGGCTTCCCGGCCCCCACTGCCTGCGGCATGGCCCGGGGCTCGGCGCTCCCGCGGCGGCCGCTGCTGTGCATCCCGGCCGTCTGGGCGGCCGCCGCGCTTCTGCTCTCAGTGTCCCGGACTTCAGGTAGGATCTGGCGTTCCGGCTTGTGCGCAGACGGTAGCTCACGGCTCGCTTGGCCAGCCCTTCCGCCGCCACTATGCTCCCGGCCGCTGCGCCGGCGCCCATGCTCCTGAACGAGGGGCGCCAGGCAGGGCCATTCGCATCTCGCCCGACGCCGCTCCCGGCCCGCACCCCGGACCCCCTCGGGCTGGTTACAATAAGCCGCGCTCTGGGGACGCCTAAGTGTTTCCAGAGTCTGGGGGCGGGCGGCGGCGGCTGGGAGCCTCTCGGTGGCGCTTCCCGAGGGTCGCGAGTGGGAGTGCGAGTGTGAATGTGAGTACCCGCCCTGGGCCCGGGACCCGAGTCCGCAGATGTGCCCCGAGGGTCCCAGGACCCGGGCTTCCTCCCCGAGGTCTTCCTCCTTCAAGGGCACACGGCCCCGAGTGTCCCCCGTCTGTCTCGGAGCGTCCCCCCACCCCCAGGGCGGCCTGATGCCTGGCAGAATCCTGGGGTGGACGTGGCCCCGGAGAAGCGGCTCTTGCGGCGGGGGTGGGGGCGCCGGCGGCTCCCGGGTCCTGACTTTCCCAGCCCGCGGGCCGCTTGATGGAAACGGGCTCTTTGGCATCCCTTTTGTTGGTCCCTGAAACCTCCTCTCCCCCACCGCTCTGGGGTGGCCGAAGTGGTGTGTGATCTGGATTGAAATGGTTTGTGACTGGGATCGCGGGTCCCTGAGCGGCTGGGGCGCGGCCGCCTTCTGGCCGCGCCGGGGGGACCCCCGGGACCTGTAGGAGGCTGGCGGCGGGAGGGGCGGGGCCCGGCTCCTAGGTGGGTTTCCTCCCGGGGCCCCACTTCCCCCGAGTCCCTGCGCGGTTTCGGCTGCTTGGATCCGGGGCGCAGAGGAACGGCGGGGAGGTTCGGAAGTGCAGCTTGGGACCTGCCTAGGTTGCCTGGAGGAGGCGGCGTTAGCTCTGGCGGTGCAGACTCCGGGAGCACCTCCCGCCCGCGCGCCTCGGGCCGGATTCTCGGCACCCTGCGGGGGTGGAGGAGGGCGGGCGGGGCCTTCAGGCCCAGGAGCGCCAGAGACCTATGGGGTTCGCCTGAAGCCCCCGGAATGTGTGAGACACTTCTTACTAGTAAATGGGCTTCAGTATCCCCCATCCCTGCACTCCTGCAGGAAGGTGAGAATCGGGACAGTCGCAGGCTGGGAGACGCTCTGCTTTTCCTGCGTCCTGCTGGGAGCTGCGCGCTCCAGGTATCCTGGCCTGCCGCCCTAGCCGGCCCAAGGTACGCGAGTCAGAAAGGCTGCACAGTCTTTCCTGGGGGGGGGTTTTAGTTTAAGCAGATGTTGATTACGTCAGACATTCCTAATTACTTGATTTGGGAAGGGAGCTTGCGTTTATCTCACTGTGCATTAAAGCATAAACCGCTCAGAGTGCACAATAAAATAAGTAGACCACATTCTAAGTTGGTATCCATCACTCAAGACCTCTGTCGATTTCTGCAACCCCTCCCCCAAGAATCTCCCAGGAGATCCCTTTGCTGGGGGAGAGGGGTGGCGGGGAGGCGGCTTAAACACGTTGCTGGACGTGCTGTTGGGCGGCTTTTGCTGTTCACCCTGCGGTTAATTGTCCTACAAAAACTCTGCCTTGCAGACCATGAGGGTTGAGCGCAGCCTTTGAGGGGCGGTGCTGTGGTGGGGGTTTTTAGATGGGTGATGAGGAAAGCATGATGGGTCCATTGCTTAAGCCAAGGTGGTTGTAACAGGAAAGTTCCTTGAGTTTTGGGTGAAGGAATTTAAACACTCATAGTTTCCAGTGAATGTACAAATGTCTTATATGAACAAAGCAATTGGAGTCGTTTTCTTTAATTTTTGAACCCTGTTCTTTTTCTAGTGAAATACTCATAATCTTTATAGGAGAGGGCATAGGATATAATTCTCTTCGTTCTGTATGGCTAGGTTAACAAAATCCAAAGAGTATGATAATTTTTATTCAAAATAATAATAAAATTATATGATTACAGGAGATTTGAGTGTTTGGGATCTTTTCTGCTGTGAAAAGAGGAGTCCCTGTTATTTGAGTGTGTTTTATCCACGAAATAATTTATTATGTAAAACTATTTAGGGGTTTTTCTAAAAGGATTTGTAAGTTCTTATTCCACATTTTAATAGCAAGACTCTGTTTCCTCTGATGACAAATACTGATTTGGGACTATATACCAATCCTAGGTAGGGTAGGTGGGGAACGATGGAGCATTAGGGTCCCCCCAGCCCCCATTTTTGGCAGTGTAGTGTTTACTTTTGGCCCAGATCCCTGGAGTGATGGTGGTAATAAATAATGATAGTGATCCGTCTAGAAGAAATCCATCTAGAAGAAAATAAATGGAAACATCTTGAATAAGAAGACTTTGTGGAAAAAGAAAAGTTTTTATGTATATAGTAAGGCAACATATTTTTCTTATTACGGCTGTGTACCAAGCACAGAGCTACACATTTGAAATTTTTCAGTATAATTGTGAGATCCTGCTTAACTCTCATGTCCACTTCATAAAGCATGTCACCCTGAAAATCTGATCGCCGTGGACCCTATGTGACACTCAGTGTAACTGAGAGGGCTCTGGAAAGCCAAGCTGAACTTTTAATTAGTAAAGCAAATCATGGAAAACTGACAAGTCTGCTTTATATTTTATATGTAAAAAAGCAACATGGGTTTTTTAAAATGTGCGTTTTCCAGGGGTAGTTTTTGGTGACTGCTCTGCAGATTTTTAAGGCAATGTTAAACAACATTTTTATTTTTATTGTGAAACCTTTTTTTTATTGTTTATTCAAAGTGCTGCTGTAATTGGTGTTTGTATGTCTCTCTCTTAAGTGTGGTTTGCAGTGAATCACTTGTTGCCCCTTAAACAGTTAGCCTGGATTTAACCTCCAAGAGATTAAGTCTGGCAGAGTCTGAATTTTACACTGCTCTTTTCTTTGGAAGCTCTTCTGAAATCAGTGGAATAGAAATACAGGGGTACGAACAGCTCATCTGACAGGTAGGGAAGATTAATCCCCTTTAGAAAGGTTTCAGCTGGTGGACTGGCACTCCTTTAAAATGCATTCCCTGAGAGGCCAGGATGGGAAAAGTTATTAGTGAAATGGGAACTGGATGTGAAGGACTTGAGCTCCCTAATCTGCAGGACCTGGCTAGTCTGTTGTAGTGCTGGAAATTTGTGTACTCTTTGTAATCCTTTCCCTTGGAGAGTTCTAATTATATAATTCCACATTGTAGTCAGGGAAAAGAAAGTTAACGCTACAAACTGTTACTCCTTCCCAGGGTTTATAACCATCTTCTAAAATGGTTCCTTGATGACAGGCCTTTCCTTTTGGTGTTTATCTGGTTCATTCCCTGGGAACCTGGAGGGGACACTGTGAAGGACTCCCTCCTCCTCCTCTTCCACACCCCATCAGCGTCTTGTGGTTTCCACGTGGTGAAGGGCTGGGCAGCCCAATTTTGGGTTTACCTTGAGGTGCCTCCTTGGGGGCTCCTCGGGGCGGGCTCTTCCTTGCTCTTGCCCATTGGTTGTGACTCCATACATTGTCATTAGGATATTTCCTTTTTGGGAGCCCCGTGGTGACCACCAAGTGGAGAATACCAAGCATGTAAGGTTTCAAAGTAAAGAAACCAGGGGGCTTTGTTTTGCAGTGGAAGCATTGCTAGCTAGGTCTGGATTTTTATTGGTTGCACCCCAGCTGCATGGCCAATAGCAATTTCATGAAGGGACTGTTGGGTTGAAGGGACTGGCTTTGAAAACATTACTTCTCAGTGACCCTTTGGGCTCTTAGGTTCTGCTTTGCCCCACAACACCACCATAACACTGTTGAGGCTTTCAGTGGGTAGTGTGGGCTTCTTGAGTTTTGAAAGTAAAAATCCAAGCAACAAGAGGCGCTCCAGCCCATTAATTATAGCTGCAACTGGCCGGGGTTTTGTAGCAGCCGCCTTTTTCTAGCATGTATTTATTTGGTTTTGTTGAAGAGCTTGCCAAGTTGGAAACGAGGGCGGGACAGCTTTGCTTGCGTGTGCAGTTGTCATAAAATATGTCTGGGGTGTAATCTGTTTAAAATCATATTCGTAGAGTGGCCAAAGAATTGTTGAACAGTGTTGGGAATTTTCATAAAGCTTTTACAAAATAGGGAATTTTATTGGTGTGGTTGGCACTGTTTTTGGGATTTCTGTGGGTGTTTTCTTTTTAAGTCCTATCTCTGAAAAAAGCAAAAAACTCAAAAGCTAAAGGGAAGGAAATAATTACAGAAAAATGTAGCTTAATTCGACTAAGTAGCTTGGTCCTCTAGAAATCCTTAAGTTCTAGTGGGAAGTGGTGTGTATGTCTTTAATTGTCGCTGGAATGAGCTTCAGTAAGCACTCTGTCACTTTCTAGATGTTATCAGAGGAGAATGTGGCGGCTGCTTCAAGTCCTCCTGGAGTGGGGGAGGGTTCCCCTAAATCCCAAATACTCCTAGCCTAATGGTTTCCACACCCTCCTGGAGGGATAGTTAACACAATGGGCAGTTAAAATAAGGAAATGTTTAGGCCTGAACTCCTCATTGTAGGCTTGTGCTGTGGAATATAGTAGCCACCAGGCACACACAGCTATATAAGTTAAAATTAATTAAAATTAAAAGAAATTAAAGATTCACTTCCTCCCCTTCACTGGCTTCATTTCAGGTGTCAGTAGCCACAAATTGCTATGCAAAAATGTCACTGGGATTTTAGTAGAGGTTGCATTGAATTGGTAGATGGATCTGAGTAGTATTAACTTTTTTTTTTTTTTTTGAGTTAAGGTCTTGCTCTGTCACCCAGGCTGGAGTGCAGTGGTGCAAACACGGCTCACTACCTCTGGCCTTAACCTCCTGGGCTAAGCCTCTACCTCCTGGGCTCAAGTTATCCTCCCATCTTAGCCTCTGAAGTAGCTGGAACCACAGGCACGCGCTACCGTGCCTGGCTAATTCTTTGATTTTTTTTCGTAGAGATGGAGGTCCACTTGTGTTGCCCAGGCTGGTCTTGAACTCCTGGGCTGAAGGGATTCCCCACCCCCACCCCAGTCCTGGGATCGTAGGCATGAGCCACCTCACTGGCCATCATCTTAACAGTATTGTCTTCCTGTCCATAAACACAGGATGTCTTAACATTTATTTAGACCTTTCATTTCTTTCAGCAATGTTTTTTAGTTTTTAGTGTATGAGTCTTTTGCCTCTTAAGTTAAATCTATTCCTGAGTATTTTATTCTTTTCGAGCTGTTGTAATTGGAATTGTGTTTTTTAAATTTCCTTTTCACATTGCCCACTGTTAGTGCACAGAAATGTAACATTTTTGTGTGTTGATTTTCTAACCTGCAAGCTTGTGGAATTTGCTTATTAGCTCAAATAGCATTTTTGTAGCTCTTATTCTGTATGTAAAGTCGTATCATCTACAAATAGGCATAATTTTACTTCTTCCTTTACAATTTGGATGCCTTTTATTATTTTTGGTCTTGCCTAATTGCTCAGCCTGGAACTTCCAATACAGTCATGGGCCAAATAATGATGTTTTCAGACGATGGACCACCTATATGACAGTGGTCCCATAAGATAACACTACTGTATATGACTGTGCCTTTTATATGGTTAGATACACAAATGCTTCCCATCCTGTTACAGTTGCCTACAGTATTCAGTACAGCCACATGCTGTATAGGTTTGTTGTAGCCTAGGAGAAGTAGGCTACACCACATAGCCTAGGTGTGCAGTTTGTGTGAGGGACACTCTATGATGTTCATATGATGATGAAATTGCCCAGGGACACATTTCCCAGAATGTATCGTCATCGTTGAGCAACGCATGACTGTACTGTGTTGAATAGAAGAGGTGAAAATGGGCATTCTTGTCTTGTTCCTGATCTTGGAGGAAAAGCTTTCAGTCTTTTAACATTGAGTGTGATGTTTGCTGGGCTTGTCGTATATGGCTTTTACTATGTTGAGGTGGTTTCCTTTCTATTAGTTTATTCTCATTTTTTGGTATATTTTTGACTTTTAGAACATGCTAACATTCTACAAGTTCAAAAAATAAATCACTAAGAATAGCAGGAAACTAGAATTGAATACAAAGAAGCACATAAATGCAAATGTGTTGCAAATGAGTAACATGACTACACAGATGGGGGAAAAGAAACCGTAATGTTGGACTCAGTGCTTTGACGGTGTATCCTCAGCCTACAGGAGAAACAACAACCTGAAAGCAAAACTGGCACCCTTCTTAGTAGGTTTGATTTTCATAGTGGTGTGGGTATATCCATTCTGAAATGACTTTGTGTGAATTGTGAGATTAGACAGATAAGAAGTGTGTTAATAGTGTTGTAGCCAGGGTGCTCACTGAGGAAGGAGGGAGATATAAGGATGGAATAGGGGAAGGCAAGGAAGAATCTGGAGGGGTTGAATTGGAATTGGAGGTATCAGTGTAACTCATGCTTTCATTTATATATATATTTGGTATATATTATGTTAAATTATGCACCGTAATTTGTAAAACATACTCTACACATAACAGTTATTTCTTAGCACCTCATTAGCAGTGAGCTTTCTTAGTGCCCAGATGTTGGTTTCTCAATACTGTTGCATCTTAAAGGAGCTAGAGAACCTTGGAGAAATGACTGAATATGGGATGGGGACAGGGAAAAATACACAATAAGCCTGAAACGTGTTCTTGTGTTAGAACGCAAGTGAGTGGTGAAAAGTGGTGGGGGCATGGCAGATGTACTCAGGGGCCAACTTGAAGGAGTTGCAGCCAAGTCTGGGACCATTTAGGCATCAGAATAAATAAAGACAAGCATGGATTATACAAGGAACAAAATAGGCATCCAGGACTCACCATTGATAATAAGTACATAACTATATGTATGAGTTTCTTAGGCCTGCTGTAGCAAAATGCCATAAACGGGGTGACCTAAAAACCAGAAATGTATTCTCCCACAGTTTTAGAGGCTAGAAGTCCAAAATCAAGGTGGCGGCAGGGCCACGATCCCTCCCAGGGCTCTAGGGGAGAAAACTTTTTTGCCTCTTTTAGTTCCTGGTGGCTCATGGTGCCCTTGGTTTGGAGCTATATCACTTTGACTTCTATCGCCATTTTCACATGACCTTTTATTGTAAGGACACCAGTGATTGGATTTAGGGACCACTGTAAATACAGGATGATTTAATCTCATGTTCCTTATTACTACTGGAAAGACTATTTCCAAATAAGGTCACTTTCTGAGCTTCTGGGTGGATAGGGAAACACTAATTTACTACAAAACCTAAGTGGGAGGGGTGGGGAAGAGAGGGCACTTCCTAGAGCAAAGTGCCAACTGATAAATGGGAGGCGAGTTGGGAATAATCACATTTTACAGCAATAACTGTACGGATTGATTTGGGCAGGCGTCATGAATGAGTGCTAAACTCATTAAAGAAGACATGTTTGATGAGGAGCAGGAAATGTCTGTGGTCTCAAAGGATTTCCCCACAGATTCCTTGTTGGCAAGGGACAGTTGCTAACTGTAGACTGGCGAGATTTGCATCCCAATACCTGGGTGGTCCAGGTTAATGCCACAGATTTGGGCAGATGGATGCCGTCCTTCCCAAGAGCATACATCATTTAGGTTGCTTTCTATCTGGGGAAGAGAGTCTGATTATGAGCAAAAATCAGCAAACGAAATGGAGGGACATTCTATGAAACAATGGTCTGTAGCAAAAATTGTCGAGGACATGAGCGATGAAACAGGGCAGGCCAGGTCCAGCTTGAAGAAGACCACAGGGGCCTGGTGTGGTGGCTCACGCCTGTAATCCTAGCACTTTGGGAGGCTGAGGCCAGCGGATCACAAGGTCAGGAATTCAAGACCAGCCTGGCCAACATGGTGAAACCTCGTCCTCACTAAAAATACAAAAGTTAGCCGGGCGTGGTGACATGTGCCTGTAATTCCAGCTACTAGGGAGGCTGAAGCAGGAGAATCACTTGAACCCGGGAGGTGGAGGCTGCAGTGAGCCGAGATCGTGCCACTACACTCCAGTCTGGGCAGCAGAGCAACACCCTGTCTCAAAAATGAAAGAGAAGAGAAGAGAAGAGAAAGGAGGGCAGGGCGGGGCTGGGCGGGGTGGGGAGACAGTACAATACAGTACACCACAGGGTAGGTAGAGAAGACAGTACAATACAATACACCACAGGGACAAGGCAGTCCAGTGCATGTGCTGGCCCTGACCCTGTGCTGGAGGGAAAAACATGCTGTCGTGGATACTAACGGAACCACTGAGGAAATTGGAAGGTGAGCGTAAGTTATTTAAACGTGTTGTCAGACTTGTCTTTCCTGAGTTTGTTAATTGTGCAGAGGTGGTGTAAGAGGATGTCTGTACTCATAGGACATACACGCTGCCATGTTAAAGGATAAAGGGGCTTGATGTCTCCAGCCTACTATTGTCATCTCAGACCATGATAAAGCCCATGGGGCAAGAGTGACACATTAGTGAACCTGGGCAAAGAGTAGAGGGAAGTTTCATGCACCATTCTTGTAACTTCTCTGTAAAGGCGAAATGGTTTCAAAGTAAAGAATTAAGGCCGGGCACGGTGGCTCACGCCTGTAATCCCAGCACTTCTGGAGGCTGAGGCGGGGGGATCACGAGGTCAGCAGATCGAGACCATCTTGGCTAACACGGTGAAACCCCGTCTCTACTAAAAATACAAAAAATTAGCTGGGCACGGTGGTGGGCGCCTGTAGTCCCAGCTACTTGGGAGGCTGAGGCAGGAGAATGGTGTGAACCCAGGAGGCGGAGCTTGCAGTGAGCCGAGATAGCGCCATGGCAGTCTGGCCTGGGTGAAAGAGCGAGACTCCATCTCAAAAAAAAAAAAAAAAAAAAGAATTAAAAATGTTAAATTCTAACAATGGATGGCTGAAGCCAGTGCAATGAACAATGGAGTTTAGCACATGCTGTTAAAAGAAAGACTCAAGGCCCGGCGAGGTGGTGGCTCACGCCTGTAATCCCAGCACTTTGGGAGGCTGAGGAAGGTGAATCACCTGAGGTCAGGGGTTCAAGACCAGCCTGTCCAAAATGGTGAAACCCCATCTCTACTAAAAATACAAAAATTAGCCGGGGGTGGGGGCTGGGTGCCTGTAATCCCAACTACTCGGGAGGCCGAGACAGAGACAGGAGGATCACTTGGACCCAGGAGGCAGAGGTCACAGTGAGCGGAGATCGAGCCACTGCACTCTAGCCTGGGTGACAGAGCAAGACTCTGTCTCAAGAAAAAAAAAAAAAAAGAATTGCACGTTATGATTTTATTGGAAATGGTGTCACAGGGACTGAGGATGGATGCGATCCAGGTGCTTTTGAGGCCAGACAGCATTTCATTGAAGGGACTGAAAATCTCTGTCTTTGTCTAGTTTCTGGATTGCCCCAAGTTTTCTGATTTTTCTTTCTTAAGATTTTTATTATAGAAATTCCAACACACATAAAATTAGACGACTGCAGTGAACCGCTGTATATTTTTCACTCAGCTTCAACAGTTGCCACGTTCATTTCGTTTCATTTCCCCCGGCCTACTTAACAGTCCCCAGACAGCCTTAATTGTTTACCTGAAAATACTTCAGCATGAATGGTAAGAACTGTTTTTTTCACACCATCTCAATACTGTTATCAACAAGGAGCCCTGGTGTTGTCTGATACCCAGCCCTGCTGGAAATGGCCTTTCACACTTGATTTGCGCACAGCGGGGCTGAGTTGCCATGAATGCAGCTGTGCTCTGGGGTTCCCGTGGGCTTGGAAGCTCCGAATTCTGGAAGGTGTTGCTTCCCTGCATCACATAGGCTGTGGCCCTCTGGGTGCAGAGCCCAGGAACCTGGGCTTGGAGTGGCACTGAGTCTCTCTTGGACATCTTTGTGCAGGTGAATGTGGGGTGGGGCCCGGAGATTCAGGCCACGAGGCATCTGCTGAGCCTTGTTTAATCCAGCCCTTCCCAGTCCCGTTTATTCTGGAGCCCTCTTTTGGTGGGTGCTCTTGTTACCACCTCCTTCAGCACAGCCTGTGGCATGGACCAGTCTCCACTGTACTCAGAACACTGGCTTTATGAAAACAAATGCAGTATTAATGCGTAGAAAGGAGGGAGGAGGCACTTTCACTTCCGTGTGTTTACTGCCCCTCTTCTTCTTTTTTCCAGTAACAAACACAAAATACTCAATTTTCTCCTTCTTGGTGTGGAGGCTTTGACATCCCACTGTGGGATGGAGAGATGGCCTTTACCACAGAGAGAACAGATGAGGGATCAACATCCAGAGTATGTAAAAGAATTCACAAGATCAGTGAGAAAAAGATGAACGCCCCAGTTAAACGAGGGACAAAAGGTACAGTCAGGCAGTTTGCAGAAGAACAAATACAAAAGGCCACAAACTTGTGAAAAGTGTGGCCTTATTAGGATTCAAGAAAATGCAGATTATAAAACAGTTATCCCAAGCTCTTTGACTCATTGGATCACTGAAATCAGAAGTGGGTAATAAGGAGCACGAAAACCATGATGCGGGAGCATGGCATTAATGGTGCAGGACTGGCCACAGGTAGGGCCATTTGGCATTACTTGTTAACATTTAATTTAATTTAATTTTTTTTTTTTGAGATGGAGTCTCGCTTTGTCGCCAGGCTGGAGTGCAGTGGCGCAATCTTGGCTCACTGCAACCTCTGCCTTCCGGGTTCAGGCAATTCCCCTGCCTCAGCCTCCTGAGTAGCTGGGACTACAGGCACGTGCCACCACCCCTGGCTAATTTTTTGTATTTTTAGTAGAGACAGGGTTTCACCATGTTGGCCAGGATGCTCCAGATCTCCTGATCTTGTGATCCACCCGCCTTGGCCTCCCACAGTGCTGGAATTACAGACATGAGCCACTGCGCCTGGCCACTTGTTAACATTTAAAATGCACATACTCCATGGCCCACTCTAAGGAAATACTCATGCTCTTCCTTGGCAACACCATTTGCAGGAGTGAAACATGGAAACATCTATGTGTCTTTTAATGGGAGCCAAATAAGTGGTGCTAATTCTCAACTGTGGGTTATTCTACAAATGCAAGTCAATATGGGGATCTACTGATGCAAATAGAGGAAGATTTCAAAGAAGAGATTCTGAGTGGGGAGAATGATACAGAAGGAGAGATGTGTACTTACCTATTTAAAAACTCTCGCCTTCCTGCTCTCATTTCTGTGGAGATACCAATCTCTAGAATAAGATCCCCTTCTTCCTTTTTGAGATGAAGTCTTGCTCTGTTGCCCAGGCTGGAGTGCAGTGGCACAATCATAGCTCACTGTAGCCTCCACCTCCTGGGCTCAAGTGATCCTCCTGCCTCACTCTCCCACATAGCTAAGATTACAGGTGTGCACATCACATCTGGCTCACATTTGTTTTCTTTTTGAGATGGAGTGTCACTCTGTCACCCAGGCTGGAGTGTGGTGGTGCAATCTCAGGGTTTACTGTAACCTCCACCTCCTAGGTTCAAGCTGATTCTTCTGCCTCAGCCTCCCGAGTAGCTGGGATTAGCTACCAACATCTGGCTAACTAAAAAAAAAATTTTTGTAAGAGAAAGAGTCTCACTATGTTGTTCAGACTGGTCTCCAACTCCCGGACTCAAGAGATCCCTCCACTTTGGCCTCCCAAAGTGTTGGGATTAGAGGTGTGCCACTGTGATTGGCCTGGAATAAGATCTTAAAATACCCAAATATTAGACTAACTCGGGTCAGCCTGGAGGAGATGAGGGGGTTGGTCAAAGGTGTTGTCTTATTTTAGCTGAAGTTGTTTATTTACTTATTTACTCTAACAAGGAAGCTGCTCTCAAGTGTCATTAATAGAATTCAGGCTGGGCACGATGGCCCTTGCCTGTAATCCCAGCACTTCGGGAGGCTGAGGTGGGAGGGTCACTTGCAGTCAGGAGTTGGAGACCAGCCTGGGCAACATAGCAAGACCCTGTTTCTACAAAAATAAAAATGAAAAATTAGCCGGGCGTGGTGGTGCATGCCTGTAGTCCCAACTACTCGGGAGGTTAAGACAGGAGGATCACTTGAGCCCAGGAGTTCAAGGCTGTAGTGAGTGCTGTGATCACTGCACTCCAGCCTGGGTGACAGAGCAAAACTCAGTCTCAAAAGAAGATAAAAAGACTCAGGGTCTTTTTTGCCTGTCTCTCCTGTGCTGGTGATCACTTTGTTGAATCCTTTCTTGAAGCTCCTGGGGAAGACATTTATCTCTACAAATTGGAACAAGTGAGTCGGGCTGCTGCAGTGAGGGCCTCTTTCCCTTCATCTCCCTCCTTGCTTTGTAAGAATCCTTTGTCTGGCTCTGACCAGAGGAGAAGGTGGGAAGTCAGCTTATTGAGTAGGCTGTGGCAGTTCATATGTGAGTTGGGGTGCATCTAGACCCCTGGGGCGTCTGGATCTCTGGGTCTGGGGGGCGTCCTGTGAGCTGTTAGAGAAATGGGAGTTCGGAGTTGTCAGAAACTCGCCTCATCCTCTGGGTTTGCAGACTCCCCACGAGGGGAGTCTCTGCGCTTTACAAATATTTGATCCACATTCCATTTTGAGCATATTTAACATTTTTAAAATGATCATGAAAGCCTCCACTCAAGTTTGCTTCCTGCCAGACCAACAGTGGGTCCACAGGCGCCTCTGGGTCAGCTTGTTTTAGCACAGACTGAAGCAGCCGTCTCTGTTTAATTCTATAATCCCGAGTTTGCACTGTGAGCTCTTGAAAAAATACTTTAGCTTGTGTTACTGGCTGCAGAAAATCATAATTTTCTTGATATTCTGAAACTAAAGTAGAAGATGGGAAATCTTTTTTTTTTTTTTTTTTGAGACGGAGTCTCGCTCTGTCGCCCAGGCTGGAGTGCAGTGGCGGGATCTCGGCTCACTGCAAGCTCCGCCTCCCGGGTTCACGCCATTCCCCTGCCTCAGCCTCCCAAGTAGCTGGGACTACAGGCGCCCGCCACTACGCCCGGCTAATTTTTTGTATTTTTAGTAGAGACGGGGTTTCACCGTTTTAGCCGGGATGGTCTCGATCTCCTGACCTCGTGATCCGCCCGCCTCGGCCTCCCAAAGTGCTGGGATTACAGGCGTGAGCCACCGCGCCCGGCCGAAGATGGGAAATCTAAAAGATTGTTGAGGTGGAAATAAGATTAGAGCTGCTTCCTAAACTTGGAGTTTCAAGTTTTTATGGCCATTATAATGGAGGCTCAGGGTTCCCACTTACTGACTTTTTAACAGAGAATATCACACTGTTATTGGTTGAATTGCTCAAAAGAAGATATGTTGAAGTCCTAACTTCCAGTACCTCAGAATGTAACCTTATTTGGAGAAAGAGTCTTTACAGAGGTGATAATTTAAAATGAGGTCTTTACGGTGGGCTATAATCCAATGTGACTGGTGTCCTTAAGGGTCAGTTTGGCCACAGGCCAGCTCACACAGGGGCAGATGACATGAAAGGTGGCTGAAGGTAAGAGACCACAGGCAGACGACACTCGGCTTATGGACAGCCGAGGACCCTCAGAAGGAGCCAACCCTGCCAACTCCTGGCCTCCAGAGCTGTGAGACAACAAATTCTTGTTGTTTAAGCTGCCCAGTTTGTGGTGCTTAGTTACGGCAGCCCTAGGAGGCTAACACACGCATCCACCCATAAGTGCCTGTGGATCAAGTGCAGCTCACTATTGATTTTACTTTTTGGGTTTCTGCCTAAGAATTAACTTGAAAAAAAGGTTCTACTGCTAAACTATTGCTGAGCCTCGGGAAGTGGGGTAGTGGTGGTGAGCTGTCTGGCCCCGGCCCTCAGCGCTGGTCAGTGCTGCGGTCAGGAGTTGGGGGCACAGACTCATGAGGCCAGTCCTGGCTGGAGGCGGTGGGTGCTTTGTGGAGTAGCTGGGGCTGCGGTCTGTGTGTTCACCGCTTGTCATCCCTGCACTTGGCCAGCCCCTTGGGCATATGGGGCACCTCTGTGCATCCTGTCCTGTGTCCAAGGCCTTCTCTCTGGGGGTCATTGCTAGGCTGCCCATCTGTCTCCATCACCTCCCTCCAGCTATTGGCCTGGAGAAGAGTCCTGAGCCTTGTCACTTGTGGGCTGTGCTTGGGGTACATGATTTCTGCAGCGGGGCATCCCAGATGTCAGAGCAGATGAGGCAGCTCTCCGGGGGTGGGTGCTGGTAGAAAGACAGTCTGCCCCCAGGGCCAAGCCCCCTGATGCCAGGCGCCTAGTGCTGCCCGTCCTAGGGCCTTTGTTTCTCTTACAGGGACCTGGGCAAAAACAAAAAAGCCAACAAAAGCAAACATCCTCATGGCGGCTGGAATTGTGGGGCTGTCAGCAAGTGTGATTTATGCGGGACCTGGAAGCCCTTTGAAGTAGGAGGCAAAGTGGATGCCCCTGGTCTCCTGGGGAGGCTGTGTTAGGACCAAATGGAGGAAGGAGCTGCCATCCTCGCCCTGGGAGGGTGTGTCAGGGAGCTCTCTCACTTTTGTTCCATCTCCAAAGCACAGGGGTAGGCCCTGAAGCAGTGGACAGAAAAAGAGGTGAGCTGCGTTTGCTCCTCCAGCTTTTGTGGAGCCCGCAGGGCAGGGGCAGGGGTGCTTGGCCAGCTGGCTGCTCCTCTGAGGTTTCCTGGTGTGTGGCAGCCAAGTCATGTTGAGTGCCGGAGGTGGGGTATCCATGGAGCGGTGCAAGGAGGAGATTTGCAATGAGCATATTTGGGGGTGTCAGTGTGGACCCAGGTGGCCGCCGGGGACTTGGGACTGGAAGGTGACTTTTCACAGATGGATCCTAGTGGATGCTTTAGATTGAAATGAGATGCAGAATTCTGTCTTCTGATTGTATTAACAGTGCTGTCAAGAACGTAATTATGTAAGATTCAACCAGCTTTCTTGACATCTCAGTTTTCCTTCACCATTTGCAAAATTTAGTGTGTCATCATTTTAGTTTGGAAATTTTATTTTGGAAATAAAATGTCATTATTATTTTCTTTTGAAAGAAGGAAACTCCATTGTTTTGCAAGGCAGAGCTCTGACACAATTACGTCTAATTAGTGAAGTGTTGTATATGTTTTCAGAGTTCAAATAAGGTTCACGTACTCTCTTTTTGTTGTTGTTGCTGTTTTCTAAACTCTGAGCTCATTTCTTTTCTTTCTTTTTAAGAAAATAATAATTTTAAAAGAACTAAGTCAAGTTTCTCATAGTTGACCAACCACACATTTCTATGGGGCCCTAAAAACTCAGCTGTTTAAAAATAAAGCAAAATGAAAAAGAAAGAACAACAGCCAAATGAGGGTATACGTTGAACTACTCAGGATTAAGTTTAAACAAATGCTTTTCATAATTGCTGTCTTCCCCAGCCAGAAACTAAGGCCTGCTGTGTGCTTTGGGTGTGTGGGTGGGTGGGTTGCTGGGGGAAGGGTCCTTGTAATATTCGGGGAGTTTTGGCTGGGGCCAATTATTTGTTCATAATTCTAAGTATTTAAACAATGCTACGTATTTTCTGTCTTTTATGGAGGCAGATATCTCTAAGTGGCCCCTCCTGGTGCTGGGGTATGATCAAAAGGGACTTCTGTAAGTTTTCACTGGACTGCTTTAATTTTCTATCAGAACAGTGTATTTAGTACTTGATTAAGTAAAAAACAAGAAAAAACCAAAACTAAAAATCTAGTAACACATGTTGATGATTTGAAAAAGAAACCAAAACTGAGAAGGGTGTGATTGAAGAGCACCTCCCACTTCTCCCTTTTCACTCGCCCCCCCGCATCCATAAACACACTGAACAGACTTGATGCTTCATTCCTGATGTTTTCTGCGCACATGTGCTTGTTTGTGCTTCTCCTTTATTTATTTTTAAAAATTCTGGTAAAATTCGCATAACATAAAATGAATCATGTTAAAGTGAACAATTCAATGTCTTTTAATCCACTTTTATTGTTACTTGACCATTACTACCATCCAGTTCATTTTCATCACCCCCAAAGGAAGTCCTCTACCCATTAACCATCACTCCCCATTTCCCCGTCCCCGCCTTTTTCCTAGCCTCTGGCAACCGCTAATCTACTTTCTCTCCCTGTGGATTTGCCTATTCTGGAAATTTTATGTAGAAAATGTCATGCAGTATGTGGCCTTTTGTGTCTGGCTTCTTTCACTTAGCATAATGTTTTCAAGGTTCATCCACATTGCTCCATTCTTTCTTTGTTTTTATACACAGTGAGATCATACCATACATACTGAGGTTTGCTGTTTTCACCTAACGATAGTTCTCATAAGTCTTTCTGTATTAGTACATGCCAGGCTACCTCATTTTTAAAAACCATTGCTAATATCTGTCATTTATGTATACATTGGTAGTATCTGTCATTAAAACAATTTGCTGATAGCTCTCATTTGGAATTTATTTCCCTGGTCTCCTGTGGATGTATACTTCTGATTTTTAGCTATTACTTGAAACAGGTCTGTAGTGAACATCTGTAAACATATTTTTTTTTTTAACTCTGTGAGTATCTGTAGAGCCAATTTCCAGTCCAGTACTTTGTGCAAAGTATTATATTTTTTGAGACAGTCTGGCCCTGTCGCCCAGGCTGGAGTGCAGTGGCGCAATCTCGGCTCACTGCAACCTCCACCTCCTGGGTTCAAGCGATTCTTCTGCCTCAGCATCCTGAGTAGCTGGGACCACAGGCGCGTGCCACCATGCCCGGCTAATTTTTTTTTTGTATTTTTGGTAGAGACGGAGTTTGACCGTGTTAGTCAGGATAGTCTCGATGTTCTGACCTCATGATCCGCCTGCCTTGGCCTTCCAAAGTGCTGAGATTACAGGCTAACGCCTGTAATCATAGGCCACTGTGCTTGGCCTATGTTTAAACTTTTGATACTGTCTACAAAGTTGTTTTCCCAGAAGGTGGCAGCAATTTATTCTCCCAGTAATGATGCATGAACTTTTTGGGTTTTTCTAGGCCCAGCAACATTGGAAATCATCTGGCATTTTCATCTTAAGAAGTATGAAAAATAGAAATGGCATCTTAATTCTGTATGTTGACATTTTAACAATTGTCCACCAGGCCAACTGTCCTTATAAGTAATTTGTGTTTCTTTTTTCTGGCAAATAAGCGTTCACTTTCTCTACTAATTTTCTAGCAGTTATTCTCAGTTGCCTCACTGGTTTCTACAACTATTTCTGTTTTCTTTTCTTTCTTTCTTTTTTTTTTTTGAGACAGTCTCGCTCAGTTGCCCAGGCTGGAGTGCAATGGCGCAATCTTGGCTCACTGCAACCTCCGCCTCCCTGGTTCAAGTGATTCTCCTGCCTCAGCCTCCCAAGTAGCTGGGATTAGAGGCATGCGCCACCACACCCAGCTAATTTTTTTTTTTTGTATTTTTAGTAGAGACGGAGTTTTGCCATGTTGGCCAGCCTGGTCATGAATCTAAGACTATTTCTAAGAATATTTAGCCATGTACCAGATTCTGTGAACGTGTTTTTTTCCTCACGTTCTCCTTTGATTTTTTTTATGATATTTGTTTTCATGCGGTAAGTCTTAAGTTTTATGGAGTCAAATTAAGCCAGCTTTTGTTTTATATATTTTGAGTTTTGAGACATATATTAGAATCCCTTTGCCATTCTAAGCTTGTTTTTAAAAAATTATGCTGTTTTGGGTAGGTTCTTAATGATCTTTTTTTGTGTGTGTATGGTTAAATCTTCGGTTCACATGCAACTTAGATCCAGCTTTATTTTCCTCAGAAAAATGAATTGTCCTGAAATTCTTCATTGTGTAATTAATTCCTTATCAAAGATTTGAAAAGCAGCTCCCTCTTTTTTTGGGTATTAAAATTCCATGATAGATTGGTGTTATTTCTGGAAAATTCAGTTTTTATCTCACTTTTAATTACCATAGCTTTCTAAATTTTGGTATTTGGTAGGACTAACTCTTTACTCATTGTTCCCAGAACTTTATTGGCTAGTGTCACTTATTTTTCTAGATAAACTTTAGAACAATTTTATTATAAGTAAGGCAAGTTCTTAAGGCTATAAATTGTCCCATGAGTGTAGCTTTAGCTACAGCTTTTATGTTGTGTTCATGTTGCATGATGTTTTTAGTATTGTTCTTTTCCAAATAGCTTGTCATCTCAATTTTATTTCTTCTGCAAGACAAGAAGAAATTTTAATACTTGTAGGGAGTTATTTTGTGGTTTTATTGCATTTTGTGTAGATAGTGTGATCTGCTATGTTTTGGTTTTAGGGAATTTGATTTTTTTTTAAATGGCTTAAAATTTGGTTATTAAGTGGGACCTTAGATATAATCTCAGTTAAGAGCAACTTCATTGGTTATATAGTTTAGTTTTTCTGTATCTTCACTTACACTTTTGTCTTCTTTATCTGCCCTAAGTAGAGAGAAAAGTTGAAGGTATCCTAAGCCATTATTTTGGTCTGTTTCTCTGATTTTGCTTCAGATTTTGTGTTGTGCTTTTGGACACTGGGATGTCTTTTACATATATTCATGACAGAGCCTTACTGAGAATTCTACTCTTAATCATTTTAAAGTGTCCCTTTTACTTCTAATTAAGGAGAGTATGACATTAATATTACAGTTCTTCCTTATTTGTGACTTGCCTGGTACATCGTTGCCATTTAAAAATTTTCTATCTTCTAGTTGTTTGGATTCAGACAGATTTTAAATATAACAAATAGTTTTATTTGGAGTTTAATCCTATTGTTTTTTTCTTCTTGATATTTATTTTCCCTCAGTTACACTTACTGAGATAACATATTTGATCTCATTTTTGTCACATTTGGGGGAGCATAGTTTCTATTTTTAGTGCCTCCTTTTTTCTCCCTTTTGTTTGTTTTCTTTGACTTTTATGTAAAATATCTGTCCAAATCCAAGTGATTAGAAGGTAAAAAAGTGAAAAGAAAGGCAATGATGTACCAGACAAATACTATGAATTTTTGAGATTCAGCAACTTCACCAGTTCATGCTCTGATAATGACCAGCCATATCCATTCTTCTTGGGAATTAGGTCTTCAGTCTGCAAATTAAGTCTTGCTTTATTTTGGCTTCATTTTCATCCATTAAACGTTTGAATCCATGTGTTTCTGTTTGCTGTATTCTGTTTTTCAGGAACACCGCTTATAGGTGTGTTGTATCTCAGCTGTCTGTAGCCAGCATTTCTGTCCTTTCTCTTTGACTTCCCCTGACACAGTGATTTGTCAATCTTGCCCCCATGATGAACTCACTTTTGCAGCTTTACATTCCTCTGGTGTGTGTTAGAAACAAGTGCCCAGTGCTGCAAAGAAAAACCAGCACTTAAATAGGAAGTTTCTCAGCAAGGCACATTTACTTCTGCAGAAGAGTGCTGCTTGTGTTTGTCACGCTTGCAAGAGCACACTGAACAAAGGAGAGAAGGGGTTTTTATCCCTAATGCAGCTTCTGTTTCTGTTTCCTTCTCCTATTGGCTGCAGTCGGACCACACAGTCTAAGCTGATCCCGACTGGCTGAGACTTAAACTTTTCCAAACAGGGTAAATGCGTGGAAAGAAGGGGAAAGTAGGAGTAGTTTACAATTTGTGACTAAAAAGTTGAGTCTTTGTTTCTAGCAGTTTGCACAGCAAAGGTGGGAAGCGTTATTAACAGAACAGGAAAGAGCAAGAACGTTTGAAGAGGAACTGATTGTTTCCAGCATGTGGGACCTAGGTCTGTATAAAAGCTTCCAGGTGACTCTAATGTGTGGCTAGAGTTGAGAATCTCTGCTTTTCAGGGGAGCTTTAAAAAATATGGTGGCTGGGTTGGTTTCCTCCTGCTTATGATTTCAATTGTCTGGGGTGCAGCTTGGGTGCCCAGATTTTTTTTTTTAAAGCTTGCAGTTAAAACTAGTGTGCAGTAGGGGTTGAGCAGCCACTGCAGTAGGACACAGATCTGGGAATGAAAACAAAGACAGCACATTTTCTTGGCCTTTCCTTCATCTTTGCTCTCTGTGTTCAATGATGTGGGAGTCAGGTCCCGGGGAAAACTCTGTGGTACTCAGGATCTTGCACGCCCCTGGCCTTAGCACCCAGGAAGCCACTTGAGGTAGTGGCCGTCCTCTTCCTGGGGTTTATGGAGGTGTGTTTTGGCTTTTGGTGCCCACTCTTGATTTGTTTGACCTTTCTGGGTGGTTTAGAGTTGAGGCTCCTTTGGGTTTTCTTGGACTTGGAGCAGTGTGAAGCAACTTTGCTCTGTCCTCTGTCATTGGGAGCCACCTGCATGGGTGTTGGAATGTCTTTGGGTCATAAGTTGAATTGAAAAGAATGCCCGTGGGGACCAGAGGCAAATTCTGGTGCTGGTTCTTTTGTGTCTCTAAACATGACTTGTTCTGGAGGTGTTGCCTCAGTCTCTTGATGGGATAGAACATTGGCTGTGTGGGATGGAACCCCCTCTCCACGGGTTACACCTTGATGCACTTGTCTTATCCTCTGAGAAGCTGCAAGGGCGTCCATGCTGACCACTGGCGTCATCTCGAAGATGCCATGCCTTTGCGGAGCTTTTAAATTTTCCTCTGTGGCTGCGGTAACGTTTTGCAAAGTGGATTTCACTGTGCCCCCCTCCCTTGCGTTCCTTCACAGAATGACAAAGCCTCCAGGGTGGGCACATTTGGAAACTGGTGCAGCCTGTTTTACAAAAACCTGCTTTGTATTTTCTAACATAGTGTTTCTCAAACATATTTGATCATAGCGCTCTTTTATTTTGGGGACTGTGTTAGGGGAAATACGGGTGTGGAGGTTTACTGTTTCTGATTCTGTGGAGCCACAAAAAGTCAAATCGTGTTCCCATGCAGGCACAAAGCCACAGTGCCCATGCTTCCTTGCTCGACAGCATGAACCCAGCCTTCTGCAGAGAAAAGCAGTGATACTGTGCAGGCATGGCTGGTTTTCTTGCCAGTCTTTCTATTCAACACCTGTAGCAAAATAAGCAGGATAATTGACATGACGGCTTTTCAACATTCAGTCCTGATATTTATTGAACTAGTGATGTAGATGAGGAAAGTGCAGGGTGCACATTTTCTCCTGTGGAGCTTGCATGATTGACACCACTGAACGGGGGTCCTCCACTTACTATCATGGGGTTCTTCAGAAGCACTCCTCAGCATGTGATTCATGCCAGGATCTGCCCTGCTTTTTAGATGAATTATGTCATTTAGTCTTTGAAACAGTCTGTGAGGGGAGATGCTGTTTGTCCCTTTTACAGATGGGGAAACTGAGGTAGAGAGAAGCAGCATGCCTTGCCCAGCATTATGTCCCCAGAATGGTGAATCTGGATTCATCTGGGGCAGTTTGGCTTTCCAAGACTCTGCTCTCCCATGAGAAGCCCACAGTCTGCCTCTTTCCTTGCCCAGGGTCAGCGGTGAGCCCACGTCAGAGTGGTGTACCTTCCTTTCTTTATGTGGCCACCAGGGCACAGTCCCACACCGTGGTGGGTGGCATCCCAGTGATGGTGCCAGAGGGATTTTACATGGAAAGATTTTGTTATTTACATTTCCTAAGAGAAGGGTACCTGCCATGCCACGCAGGGCCTCAAGGGCAGCAGCAGGTTGGGTTGGGAGGCAGAGGGGCAGTGAGGGGATTGGGAAATACAAGGCAGTGGGGGACGGTTCCAGATGGGCTGATGTGACTCTTGTTGGCAGGCTTTGGGGCCTGGGGGTGGGGGCTGTTCCTGGGTGTCTGGTGCCTGGTGCCTGCCCTGGGGTCACATAGGGCCAAGAAGTTGGCTTGGCGTGTGAATGTAATGCAGAAGGTGGTGGCAGGTGAGTGTGATGCAGGAGGTGGCGGGAAGTGGGGCTCTAGGGTGGTTGGTTTGCATAAGAAAGGCGAGCTCCCAGTGGGCCCTTTGCTGTCTCTAGGATTTGCCAGGCCTGGGAAGGGCAGTCTCTAGCTAGTGGGGCCACAAATGCAGGAGCATCAAGGATACAGAAAATAAAATATAGTTGATACAATTGACCCTGTGATGAATGGATGCCAAGTAGACAGTTATAGAATCTAGAGGCTGGGCGCGGTGGCTCACGCCTGTAATCCTAGCACTTTGGGAGGCCGAGGAGGGTGGATTGCCTGAGCTCAGGAGTTCAAGACCAGCCTGGGCAACATGGTGAAACCCCGTCTCTACTAAAATACAAAAAATTAGCCAAGTGTGGTGGCATGCACCTGTAATCCTAGCTACTTGGGAGGCTGAGGCAGGAGAATTGCTTGAACCTGGGAGGTGGAGGTTGCAGTGAGCTGACATCGCACCACTGCACTCCAACATGGGTGACAGAGAGACTCCGTCTCAAAAAAAAAAAAAAAAAAAAAGAATCTAGAAAACACAGAGCCAGCCACAGAGGGCACAGAGATAGGGTACGGAGGTAGCAAATGGAGGTGGTGAATGGAGGTGGGGCATGGAGGTGGCCCTCGGACTTTTTTCTCCCCTGGTCCCCCTTCAGGGTCCTCTGGCTTTGGAGTTTGTGTACGGTGTTTAGTTCTTCCTGCAGTGAGTGGGTCAGCAAGGACTTTTCTTGCAGGCAGGCTGTGAAGTTACACTTACCTGTGTAATGGTTTGGGGATTTGGATGAGCTTCCAAAAGCCGCTGAGGGCGGTGACCACCAAGTGACCTTAAGATCCTGGTTTTTGGGGGAGCTGTGGGTCTCTGACCTGGAGAGTATGACCTCTAACCCAGCTGTGTCCAGGACGCAGTTTGGGTCTTGAAAGACTTACGGTCTGAAAAAGATCACTTTGCTCTGGTGGGCTGAGTATGGCCCATGAAATGGGGCAAAAGAGCACCGTTCTACCAAATTTAATGATATAACACTTCTTATAAAAAACGTGTTATTTTTTTCTTTTTAAAATTTTGGTATTAAAATACACAAAACATAGAATGTGCCATCTTAATTGGTTTTGAGCATACAGTTCAGCAGCATCAAGAACATTCACGTTGCTGTGCAGCCATCACCACCTCACTACCATCCATCTCCAAAACTGTTTCCCCTTCCCAAACAGAAGCTCTCTCCCCATGAAACACTACCTCTTTATTCCCCGCTCCTGAGTTCCTGGCAACCCCAATTCTCCTTTCTGTCTCTATGTATTTGACTACGCTGGGGACCTCGTGTGAGTGGACTCGTATAGTGTTTGTCCTTTGTGCCTGGCCTGTTTCACTGAGCGTGATTTCATCAGGGTTCACCCGGACGTAATACTCTTAATCTTTTAAAGAAGGTAGATGGATTTCTACATCTGGCTACAGTGATTGGAGTTTAAAAAAATGTATCCCATGTTTATGTGTTTCAAATCCTGTTGCAAGGATAAATATAGGATGTCTTCTTTTTTTTTTTTTTTTTGAGATGGAGTCATTCTGTCGCCCAGGCTGGAGTGCAGTGGTGTGATCTTGGCTCACTGCTACCTCCACCTCCCGGGTTCAAGCAATTCTCCAGCTTCAGCCTCCTGAGTAGCTGGCGTTATAGGCATGTGCCACCACGCCCAGCTAATTTTTTTTTTTTTTGAGACGGAGTCTTGCTCTGTCGCCCAGGCTAGAGTGCAGTGGCATGATCTTGGCTCACTGCAAGCTCTGACTCCCGGGTTCACACCATTCTCCTGCCTCAGCCTCCCAAGTAGCTGGGACTACAGGCGCCCGCCACATGCCCTGCTAATTTTTTTTTTTTTTTAAAGTAGAGATGGGGTTTCACCATGTTAGCCAGGATGGTCTCGATCTCCTGACCTCATGATCCTCCCGCCTCGGCCTCCCAAAGTGCTGGGATTACAGGCGTGAGCCACCGCGCCTGGCCTAATGTTTGTATTTTTTTAGTAGAGATGGGGTTTTGCCATGTTGGCCAGGCTGGTCTTGAACTCTTGACCTCAGGTGATCCGCCTGCCTCGGCCTCCCAGAGTGCTGGGATTACAGGCGTGAGCAACCGCGCCAGGCCTAGGATGTCTTCTTAAGTGTGCACGCAAATCATGCAGGAGAAATTAGGCAGAGTGCGTGGAAGCCAAGTGACTTGTTTCTCACCAGGAGGAAACCCCATCTCTGAGGTCAGTTGGTGGCTTCTCTACCCAGGTGTCTGTTGAACCCAGAGTGGTGTCACACCTCAGGATCGGTCCCCCAAATTCTGTGCAATGAAAGGGTAGAGTGAGCGAGTTTTCTTCTCTCTGGCTCTCTGGCAAGCACTCTTGACATAGGATTGCTGTTACTCTGTATTTGAGTTCCTATGGATTATCCATCTGTTGGTTTTCTGCCATCCAAGAAACTTAGGTGTGTGCATGTATTTGGGGTTGGAGGATAAGGATGGCGAGGGCATTGGGAATTGGGGCTTGTGTGGAGGTAAGTCATAAGTTTGAGAAGAAATGGGTGCATGTGCCAGGCACCAAAACAAGTGCATATGCATGCTGCACACACACACACACACACACACACACACACATACAGGCAGCTGACAGCATTGTCAGGGGTGTGTACCTGTGAGCTCACTTGTGCTGAGCAAGGACAGAGCTTGCCGAGCTGGGGGCTGGGTCTCGTGGGCTTGGGCTGAGCTGTTGGGATGGCTGAAGGCTGTATCTTGGGGGAAGTGCGTTCTTGAGAGCTGTGTAAGTTAATGTCTATGAGATGAGCAGATGGTTGGTGTCATGAGGGTGTCCTCTTCTAGAAGACTAGGGCCCTACAGCGATGGTTCTCTCAGTGGTGTCTCTGGACCACTGGCATCAGCATCACCTGGGAGCTTGTTAAAAATGCAAACATGGTCAGGTGCAGTGGTTCACACCTGTAATCTCAGCACTTTGGGGGAGGCCAAGATGGGAGGATTACTGAGCCCAAGAGTTTGAGACCAGCCTGGGCAACATAGTGGGATCCTATCTCTACAAATAATAATAATAATAAAAAATAGCCAGGTGTGGTGGCTCGTGCCTGTGATCCCAGCTACTTGGGAGGCTAAAGTGAGAGGATTGCTTGAGCCTGGGAGGTTGAGGCTGCAGTGAGGTATGATTGTGCCACTGCACTCCAGCATGTATGACAGAGCTAGACCCTGTCTCAAACAAACACACAAACAAAACAAAAAAAGCAAACTCTTGGGCCTGCCCCGCGTCTGTTGAATCAGAATTTTTTTTTTTTTTAGATGGAGTCTCGCTCTGTCGCCCAGGCTGGCGTGATCTTGTCTCACTGCAAGCTCCGCCTCCTGGGTTCCCGCCATTCTCCTGCCTCAGCCTCCCAAGTAGCTGGGACTACAGGCGCCCGCTACCACGCCTGGCTAGTTTTTTGTATTTTTAGTAGAGATGGGGTTTCACCGTGTTAGCCAGGATGGTCTCGATCTCCTGACCTCGTGATCCGCCCGCCTCTGCCTCCCAAAGTGCTGGGATTACAGGCGTAAGCCATCGTGCCCGGCCTGAATCAGAAATTTTGAGGTGAACTCAGCAATCTGTGCCTCTCTAATGCACGTAAAAGTTGAGATCCACTGGCTGTGATTCCCATAGAGGGCCTGGGACAGGAGGACGCAGGCAGAAGCCACTGGCCTTGAAGCTGCCTGTCACTCCACCACAAGGGACTGAGACCCGATGGACACCTTCCTCCAGTCCTCCCCTTGCCTCTCTCCACCGCAGGGACTAGGAGGGATGGCCGGGCAGTCCCCAGCGTGACCACAGGATGCCTGATGTTGGGAGTGGGGACAAAGGATAGGAAAAGGGCTGGGCAGCAGGAGGGATCACCTACCATGGAGGACAAAGACCTTGCCCTCAAGTGTCCCTCCCATTCATGGAGTACCAGCTCAGTTCTACTCAGTGCAGACAGGCAGCAGAACAGCAGCTTGGGGAGAGCAGGAAAGAATCAGCTGCCAATGTTGTAGTGGAGACGGATTTCAGGGCCTGATGAGGGTCCAAGTATGGACTGCAATTGGGATGCATGAGAACATCCTCAAACCCTGGAATAGGAAGGCACCCATGTGCCCTGATTTCTCCTCGGCTCTCATTCCAGGAGCCACACAGGACAGTTGACCCAACACTTCTGCCACCTGAAGAACGACACCTGCATTCCTCCATCTCTGGGACCACCAAGGAACTCAGGGAGCTTGGAATCTCTCAGATCAAAAAGATACTGACTCATCGGATAGCCATGCCATCCTGAAAACGGCCTTCCTTGTGTGTACATTATTTGCAACAAGCAACAAGTTTATAAGCACTTTGGTAAAATTGCATGTGAGGGTTAAAATATTAAAGTCAGTGCGTCAACTTGAAATAAATGATGAGTTATTGATTACTGCTAAAGAAAAAATGTAATATTTGTGGTCCTGTTATGGTTTAGATGTGAATTTTAAAAAGAAAGCCTTTGTTCAGAGTTTTGCACATTTCCTCAACCCTGGGTCTCCAGAGCTTTGTTTTGCTTGCCAAGTCTTAAATTAGCCATCTGCAAATTTCCTTACCTTGGGTATTTCTGGATATAGGAGGATGCCCAGGGTGTGCATTGTTCTGTAGCTGTACCGTCCAATTGATAGCCATTAATCACATGTGGCTATTTAATTGAAGTTAACTCAGACTGAATAAAATTACAAACAGACCCTTGGCTGCACTAGCCAAACTTAAGTGCTCAGTTGCCACATACCACATGTGGCTGGAGGCCACACTGGACAGTGGAGATAGAGACACTCTCCCTCTTCACAGCAAGTTGGGCAGTGCTGCTTTATACTGCCTCATCCCCAGCATTTTGGCCAGTCATAAGTACTTTCTGAGCACCTGCTCTGTGCCTAGAGGCTGCTAACTTGTTAGCTTATTGAATAAAATACATTGGGCATCTTCTCTGTCCAGGTGATCACTGAATTCCTTGGCATAGCTACTTAGGTAACAGACATCTATTCTTTGGCATGAGGGAGAGGCTTTATGTATGTGAAGATGGAATGGAGCTGTATTGGGCAGTGGGGAGTGGGGAGGTCATGCCCAGCAGAAGTGAGGCAGAGTGAGTCTGTTGGAGGACAGGGCTTTGAGAGGCAGGCTGCCCCAGTGTGCACCCAGAAAGGAGGGCAAAAGGCTGAGCAGCTGGACTGGGGTTGGATGCAGCAGCTATGCAGCTGATTTGGAGAGCCTGACATGAGAGGACACTGAGGAGTCGACAGGTTTTGGAGAAGATTCCCATCTAATAGTTTTAAAAAATATTCTTGGTCGGGCGCGGTGGCTCCTGCCTGTAATCACAGCACTTCAAGAGGCCAAGGCAGGTGGATCACGAGGTCAGGAGATCGAGACCATCCTGACTAACATGGTGAAATCCTGTCTCTACTAAAAATACAAAAAATTAGCCGGGCATGGTGGTACGCGCCTGTAGTCCCAGCTACTTCGGAGGCTGAGGCCGGAGAATCGCTTGAACCTGGGTGGTAGAGGTTGCAGTGAGCTGAGATCATGCCACTGCACTCCAGCCTGGGCAGCAGAGTGAGACTCCATCTCAAAAAATAAAAAATAAAAAAATTATTTAAGTAGAACAACATTCAGTATGGACATCAAACTGTTGATATTTAACCTGTTTCTTATTTGATTGCAAGGAAGATGGGACTCAGAGAAGACGCTGTTGATTTCCAAGTAACATTTCATTCACAAGTCTTCAATTTCTTTTGGGTACATACCTAGCAGTAGAATTTCGGATCACATGGTCATTCCATGTTTTTTTTTTTGGGGAACTGCCAGACTTTTCCACAGTGGCTGCACCATTTTGTATTCTCACCAGCAGTATTCCAGGGTTTTAATTTCTCTACGTTCTCAACAGTACTTGTTTTCTGTTTTTGTTGTTGTTGTTTGTTGTTGTTGTTGTTGTTGTTGTTGCTGTTGTTTGGTTTTTTGGTAATAGTCGTCCTAGTCCTAATGGCTGTGGAGTGGTCTCTCATTGTGATTTTGATTTGCATTTTCCCAGTGACTAATGATGACATCTTTTCATGCTCTTTTTGGCCAGTTGTGTATTTTTTTTTTTTGGAGAAATGTCTATTCAGATCCTTTGCCCAATCTCACCTTGGGTTGTCTTTTTATTATTGTTGTTAGAGTTTCATTTACTTTTTTTTTTTTTTTTTTGAGACGGAGTCTCTGTTGCCCAGGCTGGAGTGCAGTGGCGCGATCTTGGCTCACTGCAACCTGTCTCCCGGGTTCAAGCGATTCTCCTGCCTCAGCCTCCTGAGTAGCTGCGACTACAGGCGTGCGCCGCCACGCCTGGCTACTTTTGTGTTTTTAGTAGAGACAGGCTTTCACCATGTTGGCCAGGCTGGTCTCCTACTTCTGACCTCAAGTAATCCACCCGCCTGGGCCTCCCAAAGTGCTGGGATTACAGGCGTGAGCTACCACACCCGGCTTCATTTACTTTTAAAAGACTAAACATTACCATCCCCTTGAAGTTAGAAGGGAAGAACTTGGTGACACAAAGAGGCCTGCGGCTTGGTCTGCAATTAAGCACAGGCTCTTGAAAAGTGTCCTCTTTTGCCAGTGTGGTTTGGGATTTCCACAGCCTCTGCATTCTATTCCTGATTCTGCTTTACTTTTGCCATATATGTAAGTGTGTGTATACGTGTATATATTTAAGAACGGAGGAAAAAATATAATTACTTTTAATTTGGAATTCCTGTTTTAACTTTCCCCTATATTAAAGAAGGACTGATTTTGCATGTACTTAGGCTGAAGTAGCCACTTCTTTGTTGATATGGGGTTGAGGTCTTGATTCATTTTTTCCTGCAGGTCAGAGAGCACTAGGACATGCCCAGGGCCAGTTTGTGGGACCCTTTGTGGGGAAGGGACAGTGCTTCTCCTGTCCGCTACTTCTTGTGGCTGGCCACCTGCCATTTGGCACCTGGTTGAGGATGGGACATGAGTGTCCACTCCACAGTGCTGTGTTCACCCCCTCGGGTGGAGGTCCAGTTTGTTGGCAATGATACTGCACACAAGCTGTCTGAGGCTTGGCTATCCTAAACAGTCTCTGGCTGGTTTCAATATGAGTTATTTTCATATTTTAGTGTATAAAACCTCCAATTTACATTTTGATGCAGATCAGTGAAGCACACCCTTGGTCCGTGCCTGAGTGCCTGGGGCCACATTAATTAAATTATGTTCACTTCAGATCTTTCTTTGTGCCCCATAGTGGGGTCTCCGCCTCTTCTGCCTGTAGCTCTGTCACCTCTGAACATATCGTCTGCTTGACCTATCTGTCATGTGTATTTGTTTTTATCTGCTTCACACCCCAGAGCAGACATCTTCATTTGCTTTGTCGATATGCTCCCAAGTGCCTGGAAGCACCTGAGACAGACCAGGTGTTTAGGAAGTACCTGCTGAAGGAGTGAAATGCTAGGCTTCCTCACCTGATCTCTGTTCCCTTGCCTCTTTCTGAATGTCTCCTGTGGGCAGGGTAAAGCATTGTGTACTTGTTCTTTTTCTTTTCCAGACAGGGTCTGGTTCTGTTACCCAGGCTGGAGTGCAGGGGTGCAATCATAGCTCACTGCAGCCTCAAACTCTTGGGCACAAGTGATCTTCTCACCTCAGCCTCCCGAGTAGCTGAGACTACAGGCATGTGCCATCATGCCCAGCTAACTTTTAAATATTTTGTAGAGATAGTGTCTCGCTATGTTGCCAGGGCTGATCATTAACTCCTGGGCTCTAGTGACCTCCCACTTCGACCTCTCAAAGTGCTGGGATTATAGGCATGAGCCACTACGCCCGGCCATCGTGTTTATTCTTAAGCACAAGTAAGGGCTTAAAGTTAAAGTAAAAATGCTTTTTAAATTTTTTCCTTTAATGAACATGGAATTCATTGAGGTTTTGATTCTTTTATAATTTTTTATGTTACTCAAAAGAGAAGGAATAATATCTCCTCAAACTTTGTTTCACAAATGGCCTGTTGATATTGGGAGTTGAGTGGGATTTATGTGCTGGCTTCTGAGGGGGTCAAGGGAGCCTGGTGGGGCAGGTGTGGGATGGCGGTGGGTGCTGCTCCAAATATTCCCTTCTAAACTGTTCAAAATATTTCTGAAAGTTCAGGTTCAGTAAATGCTGGTACCGGTTGTTGGTTCTACTCTCCTCCGAGTCCACCCCAGTGGTTGACACCTCCATGAAGGTGGGCTGGGAAACCTTCCCAGGAAGGGTACAGGAGGAAAAGTGTGAGATCGGCCAGGCTGGGTGAAACCCTCCCCACTCCGGCCCCCACCCTGCAGGATGAAGGAGCAGAGTGGGCTGGGGGAAGCAGCTGCCAGTAGACTTTATATCATCAACCACCAGAAGGGCAGGTTTTCCAGGAGACTTAGAGCTGAATGGGTGTCATAGGAACCCTGGTACACATTTGGTAAGAAAGAAAAAAAAACCTAAATGAGGCTGAATGATCCTCTGAGAATTTTGAAGAATGTTAATACTGAAAGTGAGGTTGAGGTGTAGGATTCATGGTGGGCAGGTTGTAAACCTGGTGTTTCCGTTGGATTCAGATGGTCCAGTGCTCGGAGACAGCGAGGAATTTGTGGGTTCTCCTGAACCGTTGTTATTACACGAGTTGGCCTTTGCTTTGATGTGAATTTATCCTGAATGAATTTGGTATTTAAAGAAAGAACAGTCAAGAAAGCAGAGTCTTGTAGAGATCCAAGGCATACCATATTTTACGTTTGAGCTCAGGAATTCTGGTTGCCTGAGCATCAACTGTTTAAAAGCAAGGGGATCGTGCCTAAAAGCCCTAATTATTGTCAGTAGCAATTACGAATGTTTATTAAGTGCCCATTTAAAAGCCAATATTGTTATCCTGGCAGTATGAGGAAGTAGTATATTTATCATGTAGTATTTGTCCTTAAAGATTTCTAATCTACCTGGGAAGCTGGACTATATGTGTTAAAACATGATGCAAATAAAATCCTAGGCAGTCTGGCTGTGTTGAGTGGAGTGGTCTGGAAATGAGGTCACAGGGGTGCGGACTGCAGAGAGGGGCGGGGAAGACCTCAGAGAGGGACACTCAGTCTGTGGGCATGACAAGGACAGGGGTTGGGGGGCTGTGTACGTGTGGGCTTATTGCTGAATTTTGCCTTATTTTGCTTTTTCAACTTCAGTCATCTGTAATGAAAGGAGCTTTTGCTACATGTAAGCCAGCCTTTTAGAGTTGACCACCAGTTATGTGCACAGGACATTTGTAGGCTCTTCCTGTCCCTTTTATTTTAACAACAGAATTCTTAAAATTAAGAGATAGAATCCACAAGCCAATACAATTCAGCTTTTCGGAGCGTACAATTCACCAGTTTTTAAGATATTCACAGAATCGTATAACCATCACTACTATGGAATTGCAGAAAATTTTTATCACTTGCTTCTGTTTTGACAACATATTACATTGTGTCATAGGAGACTGCCTCTCTTTAAGCCCGTTTCAACCTACAAAAATGGCAGTTTCCTATGTTCAAACCTAATTTACCTACTGTCAAACACTTGTCTTAAAAGCCCTCCTCTGAAAGCTAGCATGAGATTTTTCCTCCACCTTCTTTTAAACTGTCGGAAAGTATTTAGGGTTAGGGAACCACATGTGCTGAGAACAGTTAAGGGACTTTATAGGGAGCCTAGGGTTGGGGTGGCTTCAGATCTTTGCAAGTCTGTTAAGTGGGAGAACTTGACCTCTGGCCCTGTGCCCTTCAACAACTTCTTTTTTTTTTTTTTTTGAGACGAGTCTCCTGTCGCCCAGGCTGGAGTGCGGTGGCGCAATCTCAGCTCACTGCAAGCTCCGCCTCCCGGATTCACACCATTCTCCTGCCTCAGCCTCCCAAGTAGCTGGGACTACAGGCGCCTGCCACCACGCACAGCTGATTTTTATATTTAGTAGAGACGGGGTTTCACCTTGTTAGCCAGGATGGTCTCGATCTCCTGACCTCGTGATCCGCCTGTCTCGGCCTCCCAAAGTGCTGGGATTACAGGTGTGAGCCACCGCGCCCGGCCTGTGCCCTTCAGCTTCTAATGGGAACAGTTAGGATCACTGGGTGGAGGTTACTGGGACACCAATTTCAGTTTGATACAAGAATGAGCTTTCTACTTATAAAGCTGCCTCACTATCCAGCTCTGTGCAGTGTCCAGGTGTCATTGGGTGAGCTTGGATGGAGGCAGAAGGATGCCCTGCACTGTGGCCTCCAGTAGGAGTGCCCTGCTGGCCTGTCTGGCTTTGCTCACTTGTCCAGATGCTCTCCTGAGCACCCCAACCCCAGTGTGCACCCACGCATCTCTCTCCCCTATGCAGCTCTACACCAGGTACGCTGGTTTTGCCCAATGTGGGGAGCACCGTTGCTGTGCTCAGCCTGCAGAAGTGGGATCTGTGCCCGCTGTGGGGAGGGTTGGCCAACGTTGGGTGCCCAGGTCTTCCTGGGCATGCTTTCCAGGGTTTCTAGCACATTTCCTTTTCAGCACAGATGATGCTCTTAAAGATTCGGGGTGTGGCCCAGGGGTGCCCTCTCAGTGAGGACACACGAGCTTCCCTGCCCTCTGCATAATGTGTCAGCGTCCACACCTCCAGTCTGGGTCCTTTTTTGTGACATGGATCGTACTTCCCCATGAACTCCAGTCTCTTTCTTGGCGTTGTTTCTCTGCACGTATCTTCTTCTCGCACGTGTCTGGGTTTGAGATTATTTTTCCTATGTTGATTTTTAGATGGTATTGGCCAAAGTGTTTAGAACTAAGAAACCTACAGACCCAGCGTAAGGGGGTAAATGACAGCACAAAAAATAGAACAGAGAGTCTGTTTGAAGAGGGAATTTGAAATTCATGCCAGACCAAAAATGGTTGAGCTGAAGCATTGCTCTTAAATTGTTTAAGGGAGTGGGAAGAGTGCAGTGGGGTCAGGAGGAAATTAATGAACTTCAACGAAATGGTTGGTGATGGAAAACATATAAGCAACACGTGAATAAACACGGGGAATTAATTTTGGAGCTGCTGGGAAGGAGTAAAACTAAAGAATAAGCAAGGAAAAGCAGAGCGTCTGTGGGGGCAGGGAACATTTTCCACTCCAGCATGGGACAACCTCGACCATCTAGTGAAGCCTCTTCTTTGAAAGCTCTTGAGAGAATCTTTCTACCATGTTGGTGGCCGACTTCACCTTTCTTCCTCCTTTGCCAGTTTCTTGGGAGAAAATGGTAGTTAAGTATTTTTGTATGATAAGGCTTCAGATTCTAAGAGCGATTCCAAGATTTTTTTCTTAAATTACCAGGAAAAAAGTCCATATATGAAATCCCAGTGTCAGGACCTGGAAAAGGGTCCCAAACACATTGGCATCCACTTAGATGCTTTGCTAGCAGTCTGAATTACCATAAGGAAAAAACCGTACATAATGGAACCAGATGGGAGTGGCTGGCTAATATTTGGAATTCTTTCCACTTAAGAATTATCTTAATTTGAGGAGGATCTTTGAAGTCCAGGGGAAGTTGCCAGGTGGGGAAGAGGGAGTTCTGTGGGTAAAGGTGAGGGGCAGGGTGGGAGCCCAGGGTTTCCCTCAGGACTCCCTGCAGGGAGTGCATCAGGGCTGGCCTGGCTGCGACAGGTGGGGCATTGCATAGGCAAAATGCTTGGCGAGATTAAAGAATTAACCAATATAAAGTCAGGGGAGCATCACCTGAACAAAATAAGCTAACAGGATTTGGAATCCACGTAAGATTATCCATGACTTAGAATTTCTAATTCCATTCCAGGGATTTTGGCTCCTAGCAAGAACACAAAAGGTGCCAAAAAGATTAGTTGCGGGGGAAACAAATTTCCGTGATTAGATCAAGACAACTTTGGCTGCTAGGAGCAGAATCACCCTTCCCTCCCTTCTTCCTTGTTGCTTTCCTGCGTGGAATGAGTTACAGCCAAGATGTGACTTCACATACATCCCAGGGCCTCTGCTGACAGATGCTATAACACAATTAGGATGGAGGTGTTAGAATTGTGCAACACTCAATTCTAGATCCTGCCAGAGCCTAAGCCAGGAACTTGGTCTTTGCCTCGCCTGCCCCTCATTTTGAGAGGTGAAGCCAGCTGGATTTCTGGGCGGGGTGAGGACTTGGAGAACTTTTTCGTTTTATAGGAGGATTGTAAAATGCACTAATCAGCATTCTGTATCTAGGATTGTAAAAAGCACCAATTAGCGCTCTGCGTCTAGCTAGAGGTTTGTAAAATGTGCCAATGACTGCTCAGTAAAAACATACCAATCAGCACTCTGTGGTTAGCTAGAGGTTTGTAAAATGGACCAATCAGCAGGATGTGGGAGGGGACAAATAAGGGAATAAAAGCTGGCCACCTCCCCCCGCCCCCCACCTCCCCCAAGACAGCAGCAGCAACCTGCTCAGGTTCCCTTCCATGGCTGTGGAATCTTTGTTCTTTCGCTCTTCACAATAAATCTTGCTGCTGCTCACTCTTTGGGTCCAGTGCCACCTTTGAAAGCTGTAACACTCACTGCTTCATTCTTAAAGTCAGGAAGACCACGAACCCACCGGAAGAAAAACTCCAGACACACCACCTTTAAGAGCTGTTAACACTCACTGTGAAGGTCCGCAGCTTCATTCTTGAAGTCAGGGAGACTGTGAACCTACCGGAAGGAACAAAACTCCGGACACACTTTCCCCATTGGGAGATGGAAATGCACCAACCTCTTCCCCAGGGGTGCCAGAGAAGATGATTCCAGTTAAAAGGGGGCTGCTGTTGGTGTCTATGGGAGCCGCGTGTGGTAGTCACAGTCCTCAGTTCCCTTCACGGTCCTGTGCCAGGTGGAGGCCGCTGCACCTAAGAGTCCTCATGTTGGGGATGACAACTCCGACCAGCTGCTGAGCTTGGGTTGAGACTTCAGCAACCATAAACGCCAGGTAGCAGGGTGAGGTACGGAGCCGCCCCTGCTGTTCTCGGGATGATGATCCCTTTGTTCAAATGGCTAGTTCCTGATCCTAGAAGCAGTGATGATTCCAGATACTACATCAGAGGGATGGAAATATTCTGACAGGGGTGATGGACCCACCTACCCATATGAAAGATGATAAATGTACTCTTCAATGGTGATGCTGAGTGGACTGGTGACGTTTAATCCAGAATTTAGGAAAGCAGCTGGAAGGCCAGGCCCTGTGTAAGTTTGCCCTGTGGACCTCCTTTGTGCTCCTGTTCAGGTGCTCAGGAGCAGGAAGGGGCCAGGTGACCCCTAGTCATGACAGATCTACACCTGCCGTGGCAATCACGGTTGCCTTTGTCAGTGATTGGTTGTCTGTGACTGCAGGTCCTGGTTCTGACCAATGAGATGTAAGGGGGGCGGGGCTTCCTTTCCAGGCAGAGGAGTTTTGGGGAAAAGCCTCTCCCCTGCCCCGCCGTACTGTTTAGTCAGTAGCTGGTGTGATCCCTGGAGCGGCCACTGTGCCCACAAGGTGACCGGCAGGAGGATGGAAAGCTCATTCACAACCCCAATGGGAGGGAAAGAGAACCTGGACCTCGGTGACGTCATGAACCACCTCCCCGCAGCTCTCTTGTTAAGGGAAGATTCCTTTATGGTCAAGAGTTTTCTTTCATAATACAGCCCAAAATATCCTCACTGCTAGAAATGAAGGAAGTTGTAGTACAGGGTATCTCTTGGGAATTTAGTTTCATTCTAGTGTTCGATTTTCTGAACTAAATTGAGGCCTCCTGGAGGTTTAAACTCTGCACATTTGAAATATGGCCACGTTATGCTTGGCTGGGAATAAGCTATCAACCAAGTGATAGGATGGCCCCGTGGCTCGAAGGGAAGCGCCTTTGTACTTGAGTTCTTAGCTTACACACAGTATAAGGTGGCCAGACAGTGGAGCGTGGCCCAGCAAGCACACGGGGGCATTGGCACTTGGCAGCGGTGGTCAGACTTGGGGAATAACAGCATGAGATTTTTTTTTGGTTGGCAAGAGTTTCTGGCTGGAAACTCTCCAGAGAGACTTTACCATCTTATTTTGTAAAAGTCTTTTTTAACATTAAAAAAGTTAATATTCATGCAATTGACCAAGGGGCCATTTTTCAGTGTGTACACTGGGTGGCATTAAGTACAGTGTTGGACAGCCATCACAACCATCCATCTCCCGAACTTTTCATGTTGGGAAACTGAGACTCTGTCCCCATTAAACACAACTCCCCACTTTTCCCTTCCCCCAGGCCCTGGAAACCACCCCTCTACTTTCTGTATGCATTTGATTGCTGTAGATACCTCGTATGTGAAAGCTTTTTGAAAATCAGATTTTTTAAACTGTCAAGATTGGTGAAAGTACAGACTGGCCGGAACAGAGGAGGATTTGGGGAGTAGTTTAGAGAGTAAATCCATTAGAGGTTGAAGTAGTCCCTTCCCATGCCAACTATGGGTACCTGGGTTTGTCCCAGTTGATGTCAAAGTTTTTATTAACGGTGGATCCAGGGGCAGCTGTTGGTAATTCTGTCTTCTACCTGGGCAGTTTTGGGTTTGAGTCTCCAGAAAAATTGGCAAGTTCTTATCTCAGCTGATACAACATAGAATTTTTTGTTGTTTTCATTTATTAGCAAAGCAAGAATCTTTTTGTCTCTTCTCTGGAACAAAGAGAGAAAAAAAATCAAATTTTGGAAAGACTGAAAGTGTGATTCATTCCAAAGAATAAAAATCTGCTCAACCGGTATCTACTGTGAATCACTGTTAGTGGTGCATTTGAAGGCTTTGTATCAGATACTGCTGTCTGACCTGTTTTTGTAGTTATTTTCAATTTTAGTAACTATAGTCGATTTTTCTTTTAAAAAGAGTACCATTGTATACTCTCTGCTGGCCTTTTTTTGTTTTGTTTTTTGTTTGTTTGTTTCTTGTTTAGATGGAGTCTCTCACTCTGTTGCTCAGGCTGGAGTGCAGTGGCGTGATCTCGACTCACTGCAACCTCTGCTTCCCGGGTTCAAGCGATTCTCCTGCCTCAGCCTCCCAAGTAGCTGGGATTACAGGTATGTGCCACCACGCCCAGCTACTTTTTGTATTTTTAGTAGAGACAGGGTTTCGCCATGTTGGGCAGGCTGGTCTTGAACTCCTGACCCCAGGTAATCCTCCCGCCTCGGCCTCCCAAAGTGCTGGGATTACAGGCGTGAGCCAACACGCCTGGCCTGCTGGCCTATTTTGTAAGTATTCCTATCCATTTTTATGGTCTTAAGATTAGCTAAAAATGAAATTATTCTATTAACTTGAATACTTAAGGGAAACAATATTAAAATATTACATTTAAAAATTATTTAAGGAATAGTTATAGCTGATAAATCAGAAATATTCCAGATTTTTCCTGTTACATGTTTGTTAATTTTTTTCCCAAAACACTTAAGCTTCACATTCTTTTAAATATGGAGATTTTTGCTTTGACTTTGGAAGAAAGCACATCCTGGCAGAAGAATACACAGAAGCATACTTTTAATTTTGAAATAATTTTATTTTTAATATATTTTTATTGATACATAGTAGTATATATTTTGGGAGCACATACGGTATTTTGATATCTGTATACACAATGTGCGATGATCAAGTCAAGGTAATTGCAATATCCATTACCTCAAACACTTCTTTTTGTGGGAAACATTACAATTCTAGCCATTTTGGAATTCATAATAAATTAACTGTAATTTTGCTACTGTACTAATAAGTAGGAAATTTTAGGCGTACAGAAAGGTTGCAAAAACTGTTCCATATTCCCTTTAACTCGGCTTCCCTTAATGTTAATCTCTTAAGTCAATTGATACATTTTATGAAAACTAGAAAGTTAATATTGGTATACTAGTGATACTATTAAGGAAGCCACAGACCTTGTTTGAATCTCTAATTAGCAGTTTTCTCACTAATGTCTGTTTTGTGTGATCCAGGATCCCACATTGCATTTAGTTCACCTGTTTTTCTAATTTGTTTCTAGTTTGTGACAGTTCCTCAGTATTGCCTTGTTTTCCTGACCTTGACACTTTGGAGGAGTACCTCCGATAAATTTTGTTGAATGTCCTTTAATTTGGGTTTGTGGTTTTTTTTTTTTTTTTTTTTTGCTTAGACTCAGGTAATGGACACTGGGCAGGAAGACAGCAGATACAATGTTGTGTTGTAGCAGGAAGCACGTGAATTTCTCTGTTCCTTTTCTGGGGATGTTTACTTTGATCACTGGGTTAAGGAGCTATCTGCCAGATTTCTCCACCTTAAAGCTGCTGTTTTTCCTGTCTTAACTAGTATGTATCTTGCCAGAAGATACTTTGAGTGTGAGTATACTGTTTCTCATCATGTTCTCCTCCACTAATTCTAGCCTCCATCTGTAGTTTTTGCTTGCAGTAATAATGATTTCAGCTTTTGTCTAGTGTGGCTTTGTATTTCACCATCTCTTCTGCATTTACTAATTGGAATTCTTTGGTCCCTACTTCCCTATCTATTTATTGAATTATTTATTGAAGCTTATTTTAAAAGTATGGTAATGCGCCACGTAATGTTTCGGTCAACAGCAGACCACATATACAATGGTGGTCTCATACGATTATATCATATTTTAACTGCACTTTTCTGTGTTAGATGTTTAGATACACAGATACACAGTGTTGCAATGCCTACAGTATTCAGTACAGTCACATGCTGTACAGGGTTAGTGCAGGTGTGTAGTAAGCTGTACCATCCAGGTCTGTGTGAGTATTGTATACTCTGATGCACGCATGGCAACAGAATGGCCTGAAGACGCATTTCTCAGAATGTATCCCTGTCCTTAGGGGACACATGACTATAGTTTGTTCTGGTGCATTGTTTTCAAAAAGAGCCTGTGTGTAGAACACTGCATTTTGTATATTTTCAAAGGAACAGGTGGTGGGGTAGTGTGCAGATGTGGAAATGGGCCTGGCAACGGCCAGATCCCTTCCTTTGTCCCAGGTATTGTTTGGAAGCATCATTTGTAGTGAATGACTAATAGTGTTCTGAAGCATTTTCTATTGTTCTAAGTTGTTTCCATCATTCTATATTATTAAAAGTATTACATAGTTGGCTGGGCGCGGTGGCTAACGCCTGTAATCCCAGCACTTTGGGAGGCTGAGGAGGGCAGATCATATGAGGTCAGGAGTTAGAGACCAGCTTGGCCAACAAGGTGAAACCCCGTCTCTACTAAAAATACAAAAATTAGCTGGGCATGGTGGTACACGCCTCTAATCTCAGCTACTTAGGAGGCTGAGGCAGGAGAATCTCTTGAACCTGGAAGGTGGAGGTTGCAGTGAGCTGAAATCAGGCCACTGTACTCTAGCCTGGGCAACAGAGTGAGACACTGTCTCCAAAAAAAAAAAAGTATTACATATTTTATGTATTTAATGAAAACCAATTTTCTTTGAATATGATGCTTCTCTTTATGTAGTTTGGATATTAACCTGTTATTAGATGTATGATTTGCAAATATTTTCTTTCATTGCCTTGGTTGTGTTTTCACTCTGTTGGTTGTTTGCTTTGATGGATAGATGTTTTTAAGTTTGATGTAGTCCAGTTTGTCTGTTTTTGTTTCTGTTGCCTATGTTTTTGATGTCATATCTCAAAGTCATTATTTAAGCATAGATTCCCATATGTAAAATTAGTAAGTCTCAAAGATATTTGGGGGTGGAGATACTAGTAATAGTAGTAATAAGCCCAGATATTTTGGAGTTGTTTGATAAGTCTGGCCAGATTGCCTTCAGCACACAGTCATCAATTCAATCTCCAGTCTGAAATGTCTGGAATTGCCTATTTCACATCACCAGTGCCAGCACTGGGCACTGACATTTAAGTTTCTTTTCTGCTAAATTGACAGGTTAAAAGTAAAGATTGGCTGGGCATGGTTGCTCACGCCTGTAATCCCAGCACTTTGGGAGGCTGAGGTGGGCGGATCACAAGGTCAGGAGTTTGAGACCAGCCTGGCCAATATGGCAAAACCCCATCTCTACTAAAAATACAAAAATTAGCTCAGTGTGGTGGTGGGCGCCTGTAGTCCCAGCTACTTGGGAGGCTGAGGCAGGAGAATCACTTGAACCCGGGAGGCGGAGGTTATAGTGAGCTGGATTGCGCCACTGCACTTCAGCCTGGGCCACAGAGCAAGACTCTGATTGAAAAAAACTAAAAAAAAAAAAAAAAAAAAAAAACAAAACAAACCTAAAAAAAAAAAAGAATAAAGATTATCAGAATGCTTATAAAATAGCTAATGATTTGAAGAAAAAGCACAGTATGTCCAGTATGTCTTTACTTTAGAAAGACATAAAGCTTTCCAAGATATTAAAACCCATAGATGGAACAGGAGGAAAAACCAGATCCTTCATACAGTTAAACATAGGAGCCTGGGGCCGAGTGTGGTGGCTCATGCCTGTAATCCCAGCACTGTGGGAGGCTGAGGTGGGAGGATTACTTGAGGCCAGGAGTTTGAGAGCAGCCTGGGCAACATGGTGAGACCCCGTCTCTACCAAAAAAAAAAAAAAAAAATTAGTTGGATGTGGTGATGCATGCCTGTGGTGCCAGCTACTCGGGAGGATGAGTCAGGAGGATTGCTTGAGCCCAGGAGGTTGAGGCTGTAGGCCACTACACTCCAGCCTTGGCAACACAGTGAGACCCTGACTCCAAAATCAAACCAAACCATGGGAGCCTGAGAGGAGAGGCAGGTTTGGTCTTCATTCCTGGTTTTCCAATCAGTGATGACAGATAAAAAAGCTCCTCTTTCCAATAAGAAGAGGATGCAGAGGGGGTGTGCATCATGCACCCCACTCCTGAGATGCACACATTTGACTCTTGTTACCCTGGGTGAGGAAATGCACCCATGCTATGAGATCCCAGACAGAGCAATGGAAATGGAAAAGGAGAAGCAATTAGCAAGCAATTTTCATTTTCTCATCAGAAAGAAATTATATAGGTTGTTTCTGGCAAAGCAGCATGTTGCGTTAGGCCCTGTGGACTCCGGTGCTTTGCAAATTAAAGAGGTTTGGGGTCATTGTGGTTTCTTCTTAAATTCCTCTGTTGGCTCGATACTGACAACAGCTGGATCTTCCAGGATGTACTAATTTGGGGTGATGGAAGGGAAACTCCCTCATGGTCAGTGGAGTTTTTAACTGTTCAAAGTGTCAGTTTTATGGGTTTTCATAATGAAAATATAAGGTGTTTACATTTTAAGGAATTTGAGTCACTTTTCTTAATTGGCACCCTCCGCTTGAAATCTTAGTGCTGTTTCCTTTGGCTCTACTGAATGTTTAAAATCTCAGTGGAGCTCATTTTGGGTAATCTTTTAAATATGTTATTAATTTTATTTGTTATTAGTATCAATTTTGAATTACCAGTAGAGGGATGCTGAATTTATTTTAAACTTATTTCTTTGAGACTGATATTGTTTATTTCCCACTGGTAATGGCGTATTCCTTGATTTTATGTAAACATCCCCTCCTATAGTGTAAGTACCTGGTCCCTATCTACCTCCTGGGGTTGTTGTTTTGGGGATTAAATGAGTTAATGGTTATAAGGTCCTTAGAGCCAGCACTTGACTTGCAGAAAGTGCTAGATGGGTGTTTGTTAAGATAACTGATACTAAGCCTGCTTGTTAAAAAGTCATTAAAACGTTATGTTTTTACTATTACATTTTAAAAGGCCTTCTGAGTTGCATGGTCAGGAGATGTTCTGATTGATGTTTTCTGTCAGTTGCTACTAAAACATCTCAAGCTGGATGTGCTGCGGGTGCCCCAGGCACAGCTTTAAATACAAACGTGTCCCATTGTCTCCCTTGGAGCCCTTCCTGGCATAGATAGCGTCCCCACCACTCACCATGTGACCAAGATGGAAACCAGGGAGTTGCTTTCAACTCCTCCCTCCCCCCATTGATAATACAGCTGTGTCACCTGTGCCTCCAGACTCAGTTTGGATTCCACTCTCTATCTTATCCAACTTTTTGTCATAGGGTTTTGCGGCATTTGCAGTTCCCAAAGGAAGTTCTTTCCCACAACAATTAGTGTCATCACAAGTCCTGGATGTTTCCCTGAAGACCAGATAGTCACCTTTCCCTTTATTCTGGCCCCTTGCCCTGTGCCCACCTGGAGGCAGTCATGTAGGGTGGCCCTGGGTGTGGGGTGGCCAAGCTGACCTGGGGTGGGGCAGCATCCGATCCACGCTGCAGCTGGGTAACCTGAAGACCTTGTGAGGCAGGAAGCTCATGACTCAATTTACTGCATTCTTGGGTCCACTGGGAAGAGAAATGCTCCTGTTAAGTATGAGGTATCCTGATAATATGCCTTCTGTTTAAGGAATGGATTTTGGAGGATAGATCTCAGGAATTTGGGAAGCCAGCCCCCTTTGTAGACATTGCAGTGAGTGGGAAGCGCCAGGTTTCCCAGCAGAGGAGGCCCTTCCTGTAGCTGCTCAGGGTGTGGCTTTCTCAGAAAGATGACTTAATTGACTCAATTTTGATCCCCCTTTTAAAAATATCACCTTTTTTCACTGTGCAGAATCCCACTTCAGTGATAACGAAAGAAACTTAGGGTTTAACGTGCTGATATCCTAAAAAGAAATTGGGCAAGGCAGTCACCCAGATCCCCTTGCCCCAGGAACTCAGGAGAGGCAGTGCTTCATTTCCTTTTGCTGGTGGATTTTGGACACAGCTGTGTCCATTTGGTTTGGGAAGGACATTCCCATGTGTGTTGCCTCCCAGGTCATCAGCACTGTCCTGCCTGTTAATGTGAGGAGGAGTCTGGGGGCTGCATGCCATTGTACAGGGGGAAAAATTATATGCAGAGCCATTGAGAATGTAAAGAAGGGGCTTTTCACCTGGAACAAATGGCTTCCTGTTTATCACTTAAGACAATTATGCAGATTTCTTATTTTAACGGATTTCATACGCTGCTGTGAGACAGCCCCCTGCCAATTTGTCTCCCTCAATTAAAAAAAAAGATAGATGAAATCCAATGGGGAGTTAGTGCTTAATGGGGACAGAGTTTCAATTTTGCAAGATGTAAAGTGTGCTGGGGGTGGAGAGTGGTGATCCTGCACAACACAGTGAATGTTCCCACCGCCACCAAACCGTCCACTTAAAAGTGGCGAAGATGGCAACTTTTATGGTATACTGTTTACCACAATTAGAAAAATATAAAAGCCTGAAAACCTGAATCCACTGAGTTCTAGGCGCTCTAAAGCTGGAGCCTGGACCTTGGAAGTCCTTGGTGCTTCTCAGACTGTCCGTGGTGCAGAACTATGTAGCAGGTTCTCCCTCCAGCTACTGCAAACCAAAACGTTTCTAAAATATAATGAAAAAGATTAATAGAAAATAAAGACCAAAAAGGATAGATGAAATCCCCTTAATAATGCAACGGTCATTGACCATGACTTAAGAAAATAACAACAACGAAAGAACAAAACCGAGGGGATTTTCTTGAATTCCATGAATGAAGGGGAAATGAATGGTGGAGGTGGCTCTTGGAAGGTCAGAGAATTGAGGGGCATTCTCTGCTTGCAGAAGACCCTTGGCGGGAGCTAAGACTCTACCTGCAGTGGACTTGTGGCAGCCTGTGACCATGTGCCACTAAGAAGGGTGCTGTGGGTTTCCTGGGAGCTGAGACGGCAGAGCCACCCTTTAAGGTTTCGTTTTCCTCAAATGCGCAGACTTTCCTCAGAGGCTGCCATGCAGAGATCTTGTTCTGTGGGTCAGGGTAGAATTTTCCTTATGAACGGGCAGTTTGTCATTCCAGGTATCCTACTGGGCACAGAATTGTCCAGTCCTGCTCTGTCGTGCAGCCCCTCTGGGTGACCTGCATGGCTGCTGCGAGTGCACGCTGCTCTCCCCCTCAGCCCTGCCACCTCCTTCTGCAGGCGGAGTTGTGGTCACAGCCTGGCCACGGGAGCTTCAGGGACGCTGACGCCTCTCAGGGTTTTGGTGTGGTTTAAAAACCCTCTGAGTTTAACTTTATTATGCCTGCTCAGCAATTATTACTCTGTGTGTGTGTGTGGTTTTTTTTTTTCAAAGAATTCTCTTTAAGGGGTGTTTTTGCTTCTTCATTAATAATAGTTTCTTAAAACCACCAATTCAGGGTTGCACATAAATGTAGTCTGTAATTTTCTGCATTTTCTTTAATATGTAATCTTCCACTGGGATCAAGAATTCCCCAGGAGAGGCTCTGCTCTTAGCTCTTAAAAAAAAAAAGTTGATTGGCTCCCTCTCTTAGTTCTTGGGCTTTCAAATTTGCTTTAATTTCTATTTTCTCTCCCTAAAGAGTGTGATGGCCCCTCCCCCCACCCCCATTTATCTACCATGTAGTGGGGTTTGTGGTCTTCTAAAAAGAAAAACAGATTTTGGAGTGTATGTGTGGTGTACGTGTGTGTTATGTGTGTTTATGTGTGTTGGGGGCATCTGTATATGTGTTGTGTGTGGCATGTGTGATGTTTGTGTATGTGTTGTATGTTTGTGTATGTGTTGTATTGTGTCTGTGTATGTTGGGTTGTGTGTAGTGTGTGATGTCTGTGTATGTCGTGTATGTGGTATGTGTTGTGTCTTTGTTGTGTGTGGTATGTGTTGTGTGTTGGGTTGTGTTGTCATCTTTGTGTGATGTGACATTTGTATAGTTTTTGTCTCTCTGTGTGTGTGGTATGTGTTGTGTGTCTTGTGTGTATGGTGTGTGATGGTTGTGTATGTGTTGTGTGGTATGATTGTATGTGTGTGGTGTGTCTGGTGTGTGGTATTGTGTGTGCTGAATTTGTGTGGTGTGTGATGTTTGTGTATGTGTTGTATGTGGTGTTTGTGTTGAGTGGTGTTTGGTGTATATGTGGTGTTTGTGTATGTGTTGTGTATGGTATGTGTTGTGTGGTGTGTCTTGCATGTGTGATATTTGTGTGGGGGGTGTGTGTGTGATATGTGGTTTGTGGTGTATGAGTTTTGTGTATGTGCTGTGTGTGGTATATGTTGTATGTCTGTGTGGTGTGATGTTTGCGTATATGTTACGTTTTTGTGTGTGGTATATGTTGTGTGGTATGTGTTGTGTGTATTGTATGTTGTGTGGCATGTGACATTTGTGTATGTCTTGTGTGTGGTGTATGTGCTGTGTGTGTGGTGTGTGTGCGCACACGTGTGTTCTGCAGCTGTGCACCTTGGAGCCGTCCCAGGTAGTAAGCCAGAATGGAGGCAATAATGAGTGATGAGCAGTTTGTTTTTTCCCTTTTTGGAGGCTTTGCCTCATTAACTTGGAACCAGAGGTTCCTGAGGCCACGGGTGGCAGAGTCGAGGAGGCCTCCAAAGCCAGCAGTGGAGCGTAGGAGCCAGGGCGCTGGGGTGGAGATGGGATCTTTACAGCCTGGAAGGGACATCCTGTGTGTCTTGCTGCCTGCCACTGGGTGCCCTCCTATAGTGTTGGTGGCTGCTCCAAGCGCCAAGGCACCCCCACCATGGGCCTGAAGCCTGATTCCACTTCCTTGCTCCACAAGGCTGGGCCACCCTCTGCCTGGTCTCTCCAGGCTGTGACTGGATGGCTTTTCTCCAGGGCGATGGCCTGTTGGTCGTGGCGCAGGTCCTACCGCTCCCTACCCCAGCCCTTGGGCCTTCCAGCCCTTTATGGACTGAGCCCGCCTGACTGGAACATTCTTGGGCTCTTGGTGCTAGGAGGGCAGTGGGCTCCACCCGCTAAACTTGTGGCATCCTCAGGTCAGGTGAACAAGGCACAATGGAGGCAGGGAGCTCTGAGTTTCTGATCTGAGGAACCTCCTCACCCCGGGATCCTTCCATGATCCCTGGTGCCAAATCTGGCTTTGTGGTTAAAAAAGGATGACCTGGGCCCGGGTGTGGTGGTGCATGCCTGTAATCCCAGCTACTCGGGAGGCTGAGGCAGGAGAATTGCCTGAACCTGGGAGGTGGAGGTTGCAGTGAGCCGAGATCCTACCACTGTACTCCAGCCTATGCGGCAGAGCGAGACTCTGTCCCCCCCCCCAAAAAAAAACAAAAACAAAAACAAAAAATCAAAAAAAAGGATGACCTGTCAGGGCAGTGATTCCTACCTTGTGGGATGGTTCACATGTTTCTTTGAATATCTAAAACCACTCTCCTTTAAAAATATTTCAGCTGTTCACTGACTGTATTTTTGGAAATTAAATGGATATTGTTTTGAGAATGCAGCAATATCCCTTTAAATACGTAAAATAAGTATGGGCATTTTATTGCCGTGGACTCTCTCCACGACCCCAGTCTGAGGTATTTTTATGAGCTCCTAGTAAACCCCGTCTCAAGCCAATTGCGTTTGTTTTTGTTCCTCTTTGTCTACAGAGTTGTCGAATGCTCACCGGGAAGGGGTGGGCAGTTGTCCCTTTGGGGATGTTGAGAATGTGGGGAAACCACTTCCCATTTGCTGACTTAGGGGCTGGTTTAGGAGAAAATCTTTGTTCTTCCCTTTACAGAAAATATTTAGGTTGGGGTTGTTTGTTCCAGAAGTGTCTGCCTTGAAAATACTCCATGGAAGAATTTGGAGATGTAGGAATGGCTTAAGTTTTGACTTGAGGAGAAAAAAAAAAGACACAACGAATCGACTTCTTGGGGCCACAGACCACTCCAGCAGCCTCATTTCCATTTATTTTGGGGGCTTGTGTTGTAGAAGTGAGTTGATGCCCGATGGGAAGAACTGGAGCAGATCACCCTTCCCAGACTTTCTTGGGCAGGGGAAGCCAGCGGGTTGGGGTGTGGGCATCTGAGACCCCTCCATGCAGCATCTATCTGGGTTCCTCCTGGGCCGACTGCAGTCAGGGGCACAGAAAAAAAATCCTGTTGCTCTCTGGATGTGGCAGTTTTAATTTTCCATGCACTCATACTTTAGGGGAGAACATGTATTTTTTTTATTTGCTTTTGTTTAAGTATATGTATTTTTTTCTTTATCATAGTAAAATATGCATATCATGGAATTTACCATCATAAGTATTGTTTGGTGGCATTAAATGCATTCATATTGTTTTGCAACCATCACCGCCATCCACAGAACTCATTTCATCATCCCCGACAGAAACTCTGCACCCATTAAATAATGCCTCCCCCATCTCCTCCCCCAGACCCTGGCAGCCACCGATTCTACCTTCTGTTTCTATGCATTTGACCACCCTAGGGACCTTGTAGAAGTGGAACATGCAGTCTATGTCCTTCTGTGACTGGCCCGGTTCCCTTAGCATGCCTTCGAGGCTTATCCATGTTGCAGCATGTGTCAGATTTCCATTCCTAAGGATATGGTTTTTAAATAGTCATTTGTTTTGCCAGTGCAGATAAAATGTTTACATATTAACTCCATGCTGATGAAGCGGTTTCTTCTTACAGTGAGCTTAACAGTGTCCCTTTCTTGTTGCTTCAGTTGAGACTGAGCTCTCCAACTGATGCTGGATGTCTCAGGGAGGGCCCCATGGTGTCTGTTGGGGGTGGGGGCAGGGTCGCCCAAGGAGGGCCCTTGGTGTTAACGGAGATCCTTGGCAGTTCAGGAGGTCTCAGGCGGCTCACAGCCACGACCACCCAGCTCCCCATCGGGAACTGCTTTTGAGATCTGTTTTCAGTAGGGGCCTGAGGCGTGGGAAGGCCCTGGCTGTGAGAGGTACAAGCAGGGTGGGCTTGGTGGAGAGGTGATGGAGGGCCTGGGATTTGGGTTTCCTGGAGGGAAAGAAGGGAAAAGACCCTGACAGCGAAGGGGAAGTTTACTTCATTTTGTGATACCTGAGGATAGAAATTGAGCTTTGGTTTAGAAATGAGATATTTCTACTATGAAGAAAGAATTAAAGGAAAATTGAGAAAACCTTTAAAAATAATTGTTTCTCCTTCCTCTTCTTTGTTGTGTGAGTATGCATCTCTTACTTGTTGACTACTTAGATGAATCAGGCCGTCATCTGTGGTGGGGAGCCCTTGTGAGTTACTAAATATTTCATCTCCATGAGCCCCAGTTTCTGCATCTGAAAAATAGGAATGTTAACCGTTGTGTGGATTAAATGTTGGGACTGGTTGAATGAATTGAGGGAGGTATTCTGTGCGAATGGCCTCTTTTCAAGTGCCTCTGGCTCTGTTGGCCTGCTGCTCCAGAATTGAGGGTAGGCCCCCCCACCTACACCTGGCAAAGGTACAACTGACTTTTCCTCACACAGTAGCTATGGAAAAATAAACAAAGCTCCTTTTTATTTTTTGCTTTTTTTTTTTTCAGAGCACTCTTTTTTTTTTTTGAGATGGAGTCCCAGGCTGGAGTGCATTCGTGAGATCATGGCTCGCTGCAACCTCCACCTCCTGGGTTCAAGCAGTTCTCCCGCCTCAGCTTCCTGAGTAGCTGGGATTACAAGCGCATGCCACCATGCCTGGCTAATTTTTGTATTTTTAGTAGAGATGGGGTTTCATCATGTTGGTCAGGCTGGTCTCAAACTCCTCACCTCAGATGATCCGCCTGCCTTAGCCTCCCGAAGTGCTGGGATTACAGGTATGAGCCACCACACCCATCCCAGAGCACTTTTATTTTTAACCCCCTGTAGAAGGCAGATAATGTACTGAGCCCACATTTGAAATGACGTGAGCCTTTTCTCCTGTTGGAAAACAAAGATCTTAGTTCTAAGTGGGTGGGAAGATAAGCCAGTGAGGAAGGACACTGTTGGTTTGATTATACTTGAGGCAACTAGTAAACTATCACTACCTCCTAGTTATTGGTGTTTCATGATATCCCACAGGTATCAGAAACATTCACAAACTACTGACATGCAGATTTGCATTTCCCATGGGTACAGTTGGAGATAGTCTAACTTATACTAAATATGCTGTATAATTTATGTGTTATACATACCATGTAACATAGTATACCTATTTATAGTATAGTTTGCATTTCAGAAGAATATAGTTGGGCTGTCAAGTAACACAGTTTTACAAGACAGTTCTTTTCTCTAGTTGAAGGATGGTGGAGTGGAGGGGGATTCTGCCCGACCTTCCTGGCTCTGGATTCAGTCTGGCTGAGCTGAGGGGCCCCTTGTGCAGCTTCCTCGTAGTACACATTAAAAACCCTTCAGCTTAAAAAACAATCTGCCCAGAAAAGGGATTTATAGTCCAGTATCTGATTAAACGATGTGTGTTTCAGTTCCCAGAACTTTGCTTCCTAGTTGCTCTTTTTAATTAATAATGGATTTCCTTCTTAAAAACAGATGTGCATTCTTGGCTTATTATTTTTTTCCCTTCAAGCTGGAACCTATGCCTCTGTTTGCACAGAATTGAGGTGTGAAGTGGGTCTAATGGTCCTGACAATTTGAAGGACTTTTAAGCCTGTGGTTTTGTGACAAGTGCTGACTCTAGGTGGGAGTGGCCTTGGCGGCCCAGCTGCCCCCAGTCCATGGAACCGACGTGCCCCGCGAGGAGTCCTCTCCTGGGGCCTGTCCTGGTTCACTGTCAGCACTCTCTTCCAGAAGCTTGTCGTTTTCCCGCCTCCTTGGCTGCTTTTGAATGTTCTGGATGCCACGCGGTGCCTTCCTCATTTCTTGTTTCCTGCGGGTCCCACGTGCAGGCCCGGCGCCCTCGTGTCCCTGCCAGCCTCTCTTGCTCCAGGCAGCCGGAGGATTGCCCCGCGCCGCCACCGTTCCCTGCGTGGGGGGGCCTGCGCCAGGGTCGGCTGCCTGCTGTGCCTCTCAGCCGCTGTCATTGACCATCTTGTGCGGGAGGCAGCTGGAGGACTTGCGTCTGCCGTCTGCCCTTCCTGCAGCCCCTTGCGGCGTCCAGTTTGCTTCTGCTTCTGCGCTTGGGCCTCTGGATGCGAGGCTGCTGGGGCCCTGCCCCCCACCCCCTGGCGGCCCTGGGGGACCCGCTGCATCCTGAGCTTATCTGGGGGCCTGCCCAGCACTGGAGGGAGGCTTATCTGGAGCCCTGCTGACTTGCTGTCTGTCAGTTTGCAGGCTTTAAAACTTATCTTACTGGTGAGTGCATCTAGTGGGTTCCAGGCTGGCATTCTTTTGGTCTCTAGGTACTTATCGATTAATGTTTTACTAAATTATCAAGCCTGCATTCACAGGTCAAATGTAGATTTTATACTTTAATAAACTTGGGTCTCATATTCCTAGTTTCCTGGTGGATGTATGTGTTCGAGTGTGCAGATGTGTTGCATATGTAATGTGTATGTGTGTGTATGCACAGTGCACCTGTGTGTGTGTGTTTGCGACCAGTTTCCTGGTGTATGTGTACGTGTGCGTACGTGTGAGTGCATGTGGGGATTGTGGCGCATGTGTTGTGTGCACACGTTTGTGTGTGAGTGTATATGTGTGTGCTTGTGTGTAGATTCCTGGTGTGTGTGTCTAAGGGTTGAGGTGTCAGGCAGAGCGTGGGGAACTCTGAGGAACTTGGTCCCAGCTGCCCCCTCCTCCCCATCTTTCTCCTTGGGGACGGAGGAGGCTCTGTTCTCTCCTGCCCACCTGCTCAGTGCCAGTTCCCAGCTCTCCTGCTGCTCAGCTCTTAAGCAGACCTTTTTCCCCAGGTGTATCTGCCTATACCTCTTTACCCCATGTGTGCACCTGAAGGCACCGGGACTGGTAGGGTGGTGTTCACATGCAGCACACAGGAGGGACACAGGGTTCCATAGTCTCCTTTGACAGAAGAGGAAAGAGGCCAAGCAGGGGACATTGACCTGGGGCCCCACACATGGTATAAGTGCTGGGTCCTGCTCTGTCTGCTGCTCCCCAAATATTTGCACAACTGCCCAGCCTCAGCTGTGGCCTGGTGTCTGCAGTCGCCCTTTGCAGAGGCTCCCAGCAGATAATGCCACCTATTTGCCTCATGAGTTCCTGTGCATTTTCTCCAAGATACACTCCTGCTCTGCCATCCCCCGCACCCCCTGGGGGCCCTTTCCGGTCCATGTGTTTCTGGAGGACAGAGGTCAGGCCGGAGTCAGCGGAACAGGAAGAGGCCACCTGGTGGGCTCAGGCAGCTCTTGGCGGCTGTTTGTCCTGACACACGTGCTGAAGCGGGCTGCCATTTCCGCTGCCCTCTCTGTTTGGAAAGCAGCCTCTGCTGTTGCTTCATCAGAACAGTATCAGAGTGAAGACCAAGAAGATGCTCAGGCCACGTGGCATCGGGTGTCTGAGGCTTCTTCCAGTTTCCTGGAGTTACTGTGGCCTTGCTCAGCTGTGTGCCAAGCGTGGAAAGCACCTGGTCATGCCCGTTCTGGAGGCAGCCGGGCCTGCCTGCCATCATGTGTTGCTCTGTGCTGCGTCTCCTTCTGCACTGGGGCTGGAGTCAGCCTTGTGACTAATAGTCAGGAGAAGGGTAATCTAAATTCAGCTTTGCAAACAAGATTGTCCTTTTAAAGTCCTGTGAGAGTTGGTGATTTACGGGCATCTCTGGGCAGATGCCCTCCTTGCTAGCATTTCCTCATTGTTCTCATTCCCTGGGGAAGTGGGGCTCTGTGTTGTGCTGGCCACCTGGCTGTACGTTTGTCTTGCCCTTGAATGGGAACACTTTGTCATGTATAAATCACACCTCCATAAAGTTGTCATGAATAAAGGGGTGGGGTTCTGTAGGACGTCTTGGGGTTGTAATCCTGGCTCTCCAGTGTGTTTTTTGGGCAGATCATTTAGTATCTTGGGTCTCAAATGTCCATCTCTGAAACGGGGACACCACTTCTCTCCCCACAGGGTTTTGTGAGGTTTGGGGCATGGGATATGCACCCAGCACTAAGCACAGTGCCAGCCACATGGTGTTATCCAGATGACAGCTGTCGTCACTCTGGGCTCTTAGTTGGCCACAGGTCACCTTTCCTCCGAGGGAAGTTTGGGATGGAAGTGGTTAGAAAGGCTCTGGACACAAGACTCATTTGCAGAGAAGGAACCAGATAACGGATGCTTCACTAAATTGGCAAAGCCACTTGAGACTTTCTTTCCAGAACCGGTGACCATGAGGGGATCAGTGATTGTAGACAGGCTTGTGGGAGTCAGAGAGGCCCAGGGGTGTGGCCCGAGGGGTTCTCGGGGTGTGTGGACCCCGCCGTGGCAAGGTCAGGATGGAGCCTGTGGGTGGCCCGTCTGGTGCTCCTTCTCCCTTCCTCTTCAGTCTCACCTTCTGTGGCTCCAGGCAGGGGGACTGCACTCTCTGTCCACATGTCCACCTTCCTCACCACACATCCTCAGGTGGATGCAATGATACACACAGGGACTCCCTCAGAAGCAGACCCGTCCTCAGGGAGGGAAGTCTTGGTGACCGGGCCTGGGCTGCCTTTGGAACTTTGGTGTGGACATCCCACTTATTTCTCTTGAGTGTTTTTATTTAGAAAGAAGGGTGAGGCTTGGAGTGAGGCAGCCTCCCCAGGCCCCTTTGTGAGATGCCCCTGGGCCTGGAAGCCTGTCCTCAGCCCACCTGTCTTCTGCTCCACAAGCTCACCCCACATCTTAGGCTCGCCTTCACACCTTTGGCCAGGTGGTTCCCCCCACCTGGAATACCCCCCCACCCACTTCCAAATCCTGTTCTTTGGTCAGAGCATCACCCAGTATCACTTTGTTCTTATGACAAAATTTTCCTAAAGCCATGGAAGGTTGTACTAACTATTGACATTATCACCAACCCCATGAGACTATTATTATAACGTTTACTAACCACATAACTTTTGGCAATGCCTTAGAGGAGAACATGCCAGAAGACCTGGATCACCTTCTTTCCTCTGTACAAGTGGGATAGGCATGTCTTCCCTGCTTCCCCTTTGGGATTATTTTGGCCTAAAACAAGAGACCATGTTTGATTTCACTTTGAAAATTAAATTGTATAAGTTTAATTGCTAATTTTAATAAGTAGCTTGACTATCAAGTTTAATGGGACTCGAAAACTCCCAGCCTTTCCCTTAATTTGGGAGCAGTTATTCTGATCACAGTGCTGTGTGGGGAAGGGTGGGGCTCCACAACCCACCCGTGCTTCCTATGCACTTACGGGGTCTACGTGTGCATCCAGCTGCCAGTGCTGCATTGCACCGAACACGGAAGAGGAGCTTTCACGAGGAGCATGGGCCTTCCCCTTCCTTCCCTTTGCTCCCACTCGCTCTTTAAATGAGCTGTGTTACCGGGCAGAGAGGACTTAGGGAGAGCAGCCGAGGGCGGTGGAGCCCAACGGTGTTTGCTGGGGCCTGGCCAAGCAGAAAGCAGAGGCCTGTCAGGAATGATTAAAGAGCCCAGTGTTGGAAAAGAACAGGCCTTTATGTTGGTGGTAAAATGATTAGAAAGTAATAAGAAAAATGCAGGTTTGGACAGAACATTGTTTTGTTTAATCAGTTCTAAGCCCAAATGAAAAAAAAAGTGCCCTTAGAAGTAAGTTTAAAAGGGATTACAACATACATGTGAACATTTCTCCCATCTAGTTTATGAGTTTAAACTTTAAGGGGAAGGGGGCAGATAAGTCTCTTATTTCTTGGTGTCCAGTGAGGCAATTTCTCTAATGGGAACCAGAAGCAGAGAGAGTAAGAAACATGCTGATGTGAGCAGGCACTTTTGAGGTATAAGAAACTGTCAAGTGATTATTCACACTTCTGTTGGCTGCGCAAAATCCGGATATGGTGAGATCTTTCCAGAAGCCGAAGGAAAAACCTGGAATCTGATCACCTTGTGAGGAGAAATAGGGATCTGAGGAGAATTAATTCTGTTGTTTTTAAAGTGGTGTTTCTGAAGATAAACTGGATGAGGACAGCATTGTGGGGAAGCGGGGGAACCAAGATTGCATCTTTGATGTTCAGCCAAGACAGAGTCAGGGCTACAAATATACCCAGTGGAGCGGCACTGGCAAGGAAGGACACGCAGTCTAAGGAGAGATGGTCTAGGGTGATGCTGCTTTTTCATCTTCACAATATTGTATGCACTGCGTGAATTTCTCTTCTAGAGGAAGGAAGACAGATTTTGGAAAACTTTTCCAGTAATGTGTTCTATGGATTTCATCCTTTTTTGCAACATTAACCTTGGGCATTTGTCAAAGATGGAGGCTGTTTGAATATTTTTGAAAGATTGTGACATGGGCTCAAGTTTTCTTGATACACAAGCAGTCTCAGCTGCCACAGGTGTCTGGTGGGAGGTACTGGCACGCGGGTGACATGGAGGGACCTTGGCTTCCCTGTATCACCAAATGCCTGAATTACCAATTAAGAGTAGAGTCATTTTTTTAAATAGATTTATGTATTTCTTTTTTCTTTTTTGAGACAGAGTCTCGCTCAGCCGCCCAGGCTGGAGTGCAGTGGCGCGATCTCGGCTCACTGCAACCGCCGTCTTTCATGTTCAAGCGAATTCTCCCGTGTCAGCCTCCCGAGTAGCTGGGATTACAGGCATCTGCCATCATGCCCGCCTAAATTTTGTATTTTAGTAGAGATGGGGTTTCACCATGTTGGCCAGGCTGGTCTTGAACTCCTGACCTCAAGTGATCCGCCCGCCTCAGCCTCCAAAGTGCTAGGATTACAGGCGTGAGCCACCGTGCCTGGCCTAAATAGATTTATTTTTTAGAACATTTTAGGTTCACAACAAAATAGAGATGAAGGAACAGAGAATTCCCATATTCCCTGTAACCTGCCCAACATCCCCTACCAGAGTGGTGTGTTTTCTACAGTTGATGAACCTATATTGATATATCATTATCACCCAGAGTCCATAGTTTACCTTAGGGTTCACTTTTGGTGCTGTATGTTCTGTGGGTTTGAACAAATGTAAAATGATATGTGTCTACCATGATAGTATCATACAGATATTTTTCAATGCCGTAAAAATTTTCTGTACTCCACTTATTCATCCCTTCCTCCCCAATCCCTGGCAATCACATGACTCCATAGTTTTACCTTTTCTAGATGTCTTATAGTTGGAATCATATAGTATGTAGTTCTTTCAGATTGGATTCTTTCATTTAGCAATTGGCATTTAAGTTTGCTCTATCTCTTTTCATGGTTTGATAGCTCATTTCTTTTTAGTGCTGAATATTTCATCCACTAGATGTACCACAATTTGTGTACCCTCTTACCTGCTGAAGGACATCTGCTTCCAAGTTTTGGCAATTATGAATGAAGCTGCTGTAAATATCCTTGTGCAGGTTTTTGTGTGGACATAAGTTTTCATCTCCTTATACCAAGGAGTGTGATTGCTAGAACATAGGGTAAGAGTGTGTTTAGCTTTGTAAGAAACCATCAAACTGTCTTCCTCAGTGGCCGTACCATTTTGCATTCTCATGAGCAGTGAATGGGACCTCCTGTTGCTCCACATCCTCCCAGCATTTGGTGTCATCAGTGTTTTGGATAGGAGGAACTTTCAGGGGAGAAATAATTAAGCATACTGAAGGAACTGGAAAGGACAGAATTCCCCTCCACTCTCAAGAATAACAATGGAAATGCCCAGGGCATCTGATGTTTAAAACTATAGTTCTGGGCATATTTTGGGCACTCACAAGTTCTCTGTGAGAATGTTCAGTTTAAACTCATTGTGTTTTTGCACAGCCAACAGAAGTGAATAATCACTTGACAGTTTCTTATACCTCGAATGTGCCTGCTCACATCAGCATGTTTCTTACTCTCTCTGCTTCTGGTTCCCATTAGAGAAATTGCCTCACTGGACACCAAGAAATAGGAATTTATATGCTCCCTTCCCCTTAAAGTTTAAGCTCATTATGTTTTTCTCCTCAATGGTAATCTAAAATCCGTGTTAATCAGTTAGCAGACACACATGTTATGATGCCAGGGGAGATCAGATGAGGCTGAGGCCCCTTGTGCAAACGAAGGTGGGGAACAAGGGACCCAAGCATTGGCATGTCTGAGAGAAGAGACTTCTTGGTAGAGGGAGTGGCCAGTGCAAAGGCCCCGTGGCTGGAGCAAGCTTGGTGTGTTCAAGGAAGAGCAGGGGCCAGTGAACCTAGAGGTGGGTGCTGGGAGAGTGACGGGGCTGGAGTTGGGGAGCAGGGACCAGTCACAAGGGCTGTGTAGGCCACAGTGAGAACTTGGATTTCATCCTGTGTGCATTGGGAAGCTTTTGGAAGGCTTTCAGCAGGGGAATGTTGTGACTTAGTTTTATGCTAAAAAAAACACCCTCTGATGGGTACAGAGTTTCAGTTGTGCAAAGTGAAAAGAATTCTGGAGATAGATGGTGATGGTGGTTGCCAACAGTGTGAATGTACTTAAAGCCCCAGAACTGTCCATTTAGAGATGGTTAAGATGGTAAATTTTATGCTATTTTGGGTAAAAAGTCTCTCCGAAATGGCAGGAGAGTGTGGCAGGGGAGAGGATGGTGGCTCGGATTGGATGGGTGGTATGGAGTATTGATCAGTGGCGGGATACAGTTTGAAGGTAGAGGGAGAGGCACTGGCCGTTGAAGGAGTCTTGGATGTGAATATCTTCTGTTACATATGTGGTGTATTAGTCTGGGCCCTCTGAGATGCAAACTCCCAAAGGGGATTAGAGGTGCAAAACATTTATTAGGGAAATGACTAAAATGAGTAAAATGGGAAGAATAGGCAGGGGTTGTTGGGAGAGTCACCAGCCTGCCGTGAGGCGTGTCCCCCAGTGGAGGGGTGTGGGGAAGAAGGGTTGGTGCAAGGACCTCAGCCTGCAAATTTTTTTTTTTTTAAGACAGAGTCACACTTACTCTGCCACCCAGGCTGGAGTGCAGTGGCATGATCTTGGCTCACTGCAACCGCCGCCTTCCTGGTTCAAGCAATTCTCCTGCCTCGGCCCCCTGAGTAGCTGGGACTACAGGCGTGTACCACCACACCCAGCTAATTTTTGTATTTTTAGATTCTCCTGTCTTGGCCTCCCAAAGTGCTAGGATTACAGACATGAGCCACCATGCCCAGCTTCAGCCTGGGGTTCTGTCTGGCCAAGTCGGCAGGGGTGTCTCCTAGCCAAAGCTAGCCATCAGAGGTGTCCTGTATCTTCCAGTGCCAGGCATGCTGGAATGTCCTTGTCTGTGGGAAGAGTGGCCTTGGGGTCCTGACTCAGTGTCCCCTTGCAGTGAGAGGTCTGAGAAGCTTGCTCCCATGGTTACCACAGGTGGACTTTTCACTTCACCCTTGGTTTCTTTTGTTGAGCAGACGTTTAAAAATGATTGTAAATTCATCAATGTACTTTATAGTATAGACCCCAGGCCCTCACAAGGATAGTACAAAAGAGAAAGTATCTGTGGCCAGGCATGGTGGCTCACGCCTGTATTCCCAGCACTTTGGGAGGCTGAGGCGGGTGGATCACGAGGTCAAGAGATTGAGACCATCCTGGCCAACATGGTGAAACCCCGTCTCTACTAAAAAAATACAAAAATTAGCCGGGTGTGGTGGTGGGCACCTGTAGTCCCAGCTACTCAGGGGGCTGAGGCAGGAGAATTGCTTGAACCCGGGAGGTGGAGGTTGCAGTGAGCTGAGATCACACCACTGCACTCCAGCCTGGCAACAGAGCAAGACTCCATCTGAAAAAAAAAAAAAAAAAAGAAAAGAAAAGAAAAAGAAAAAGAATCTGCCATTCTGAGGTAAAATAAAAAAAAAAAATCCAACACTTAGGTCAGGTGCTGGTGTAAGCTCTTTATATAGTTTAATCTGTTTCATCCCCTCAAGAACCCATTGAGATAGGTATAGAGTTACCCCACTTAACAAATGAGAAAACTGAGGCATGGGCGGGGTAAGGGACTTGCCCAAGGTGGGAGCCAGGGTGCCAGGAACTGGGGTTCTGTCCCAGGCTGCTCTGCCCTTCTGCAGACGATGGCAGAATTTGAAGATGCCCCAAGTTTCCCACCTGCCGGTGCACTTACCTAGGGCCCTACCCAAGGATGTGCTGATGGCGGGTTTCCCTTTCATCACTAGGTTGTGTTGTGTGGCACGGTGAGTTTAGAAAGGGAGATTATCTGGCCAGTTTGGCTTCATCACAGGAGCCCTTAAAATCTGGGCCTAGAGGTTGGGACAGGAAGTCAAAGATTGAAACTGTGAGAAGGATTTGATGTGCCTGTGCTGGCTTTTTTTTTTTTTTTTTTTCTTCTTAGACAGATTCTTGTTCTGTTGCCCAGCCTGGAGTGCAGTGGCGCGATCTCGGTTCACTGCAACCTCTGCCTCCTGGGTTCAAGCAGTTCTTCTGCCTCATTCTCCTAAGTAGCTGGGACTACAGGTGTCCACCACCACGCCTGGCTAATTTTTGTATTTTTAGTAGAGATAGGTTTTCACCATATTGGCCAGGCTGGTCTTGAACTCCTGACCTCAAGTGATTCTCCCGTCTTGGCCTCCTAAAGTGCTGGGATTACGGGTGTGAGCCACCATGCCCAGCCCCTGTGCTGGCTTTAAAGGTGAGGGGCCCAGGGCCGGGAATGTGGGCAGCCTCCAGGAGCCGAGAGGGGCTGCAGCCCACACCCAGCAAGGAAACAGGGATGCAGTCCTGCAACCAAAAGGAACGGAATATGGACAACAACCTGAATGAACCTGCAAAAGATTCTTTCCCTGGGCCTCTAGAAAGGAACACAGCTAGGGCCGGGTGCGGTAGCTCACGCCTGTAATCCCCGCACTTTGGGAGGCCGAGGCAGGTGGATCACCAGAGGTCAGGAGTTTGAGACCACCCTGGCCAACATGGTGAAACCCCGTCTCTACTAAAAATACAAAAATTAGCCGGGAGTGGTGTTGGGTGCCTGTAATCCCAGCTACTCAGGAGGCTGAGGCAGCATAATTGCTTGAACCTGGGAGGCGGAGGTTGCAGGAGCAGAGGTTGCAGTGAGATCGTGCCACTGCACTCCAGCCTGGGTGACAAGTGAGACTCCATCTCAAAAGAAGAAAAAAAAAAAAAAAAAGAAAGGAACAGCCCTGCTGACAACTTGATTTTTAGCTGTGTAAGAGGTGGGAACCCAGCCATGCTCTTCTTAGACTTCTGATGTACAGAACCGTAACTTAATACATAGTTGGTGTTTAGAAAAGCTGCTAAGTTTGAGGCAATTTGTTATGTAACAGTAGAAAACTAAAATATCAAACTACAGATGCCCTCTGAACACTTGAAAATAGAGATGGAAAAGTCCTGCATAGAATTTAGCAAATAAGCCCTGGTACTATGTTAAAAGAACAACAGCAATTCTGGGATGGTTCAGCATTAAAAAAATCCACATGAGGGCATTTTAATTTTAGAGGGAAAAATCATCTCAGTGGATGCTATAAATGCTTGTGCTAAATGTCAGCATTCTTTGCTGACATTAGCAAAATAGGCCTAGTTAACTCCATAAAAGGATTCTTTCAAAGATCTTCAGTGAATATTCCATTTCAAGGTAAAACACAGGAGAAGATACAGATTTCTGTTGTCACCGTTACTGTCCAGTGCTGCTCTGGTCGTCCCAGCCAATACGATAATTAGAAAAGATAAGAGCAAGCTCTCACTATTTGTAGGTAATAAACTGGAAAATTCAAGGGAATCAACTGACAACTATTGAAACTTAAGGAGAGCAAGGTGGCCACATGTTAATTAACATAGGAAACCCATTAGCTTCCGGATGCATTGCTAGGGGCCTCTTTGAACCAAAAACTATAAAACACTTAGGAATAAGTTTAATAAGGAGTACAGCATCTATAAGTTTAATAAGGAGTGCAGCGTCTACGAGAAGAAAACCATAACACTTACTTATGTTTGTTGTTAATCAAAATCCCAAAAGGTATGAGAAGTCTTCTTAGTGAATATCAAAGAAAAAGAAATGAAGAAAAAGCTTTACAGGAGAAGATTCCTGCCTCCTTATGTGGAACTCGTTCATTCCACAGTTAGCGTTTCCCTGCTTGAGGCCGACAGTGGCTCCCTGGCCCCTGTGCCTGGGTCCGTACCCAAGGTGGGTCCTTGCTGGTCCTGCTGGTGTCTCCATCGGTGGCCCTTTGGGCTGCTCTCTGGTTCTGGATTTTCTCTTCTGACTTTCTTCCAGAAAGAGGGAAAGAAGTTGCCATTTTCTAAGAAAAGAGCAATCCATCCTAAGAACACCTCTGACCCTCACTGGGCTCTTACTACTCACTTGGCTGAAGCCACTAACTCCCCTGCCCTGGGGTCCAGTCAGTGTGGGAGAAAAAGCCCTGGAGACTTTTTGCCTGTTCTGGTTGGCTCAGCCAGGAGCTTTGGCTACAGGAATGGTAACCCCCTCCCCGCTAATATTATACCCACTGTTCTTATGGGCCGAAGCCAGGATTATTCTGGAGCCTTTTGCTGTGCAGAGTGTGTCTTCCGTGTGGGTCAGCCATAAAACAATATCATTTCTCCCTCTGAAGGCTCCTCAAGGAGGCGGGGTGCACAAATGTAGATTATAAAGCTTAGCGCTAAGTTTTTGGACTTCAAGAAATTCCTGAGTTAGCCTTTCCAAAGCCAGGTCCTTGGCCCAGTTTTAGGGAGTTAGTGTGTTGTGTGCAGAGAGTTTTGGCGTCTGATGTTGGCTTTGGCATTTGTCATGAGCCCACTGACTGCTTCAGATGGAAGGGACCGTAGTGGTCTTCTGGCCCGCCCTGTAGGTGTGGGCAGCTATGCAGCCTGTACAGAGTGAGGGGGTCTGTCCGGGTCCACACAGAGAGGGTCAGCAGCTCTAGGTCTGGAGTCGCCTGGCAACAGAAACAGAGACGCCGAGGCACCCCCCAACCACGTCTAGCATGCAGTATGTCTAGTGTGTGTGGACATACCTTCTCTGTCCTATTGGGGCGCCTTCATGGTATAGATTTGAGACAGGCACCTTCACAGTGTGTCCACCTGAGGGTGTGATCTGCCCAGTGGCCCAGCGTTGTGTGCCTGGGGCCCTGGGACTCCTGGCTCCTCTGTCCTTGTCCCTGTCCTCACTCAGGGCTTGGGAGTGGGTCCCACACTCGGCAGCTTCAGCTTTGCAGGCAGCGGTTGCTCCTTCCTTGGTACCAGGTGTTCCCACTCTCAGGAAGTGTCCCAGGACTGTGGAATCCTCTTACTGGTCTCACTGGAAAGTAAGATTTAGTATTTTATTGGCTAGGCATGGGGGAATGAAGCTCCAGCTCTCTATTTTATTACACGGTCTCTCTTCCAAATGAGGTTATTCTGTGATCATTTGTTTTTCCAAGAAGTTGTTCAGAGTCAGTTAGAAAGCAAAGAAAAAATGGGAGAGCCATAAACATGAAAAAAATGGAAGAGCCATAAACATGAAAAAAAAAAGGAAGAACCTCACCAACCTGCTTCGTGGACAGCCTGTCACACTAGAGTGGGCTTTGGCAGCAGAGAGGAGTGAATAAAGAAAGGACATTGCTTCCCGTGCAGGACACAGCCAGCCAGAGGTCTCTGAGCATTGCCAGCCCCTTTCCAGTCTTGCCAGTGATTTCCTCCTGCTCGTTTTGTCCAGTTGCCCCTTGTTTCTTATTAATGCACATGGACACATGTTTTATTCTGCCATTTCTGAGCAAGTGGTGTGGCCTCGATCACCCTCTGAGAGCAGAGTGGAAGAGGACGCATGGGCAGGGAGGCAGAAGTGTTGATTACAGCTTCAATCGCATCCCAGCCTGGCTTCACTTGTTCCTGGGTAGGACAGAGACATTAAGCCAGGAAGGAGTTTTAGGAGTGTCTTGCAGTAGTGGCTAGAGATCTAGGATGAAATGGTGTCTTCATTGAGTCTTGCAGGAGGGTATCAGCGTCCAGTGGAAGAGGAGGTTGTGATTCTTACCCAGGTGTGTTCCTGCATCTGCGTCCTCTAATCTGGCACTATTTGCTTCCCATTGAGCAGTGGTGTTTGTAGTCCATTGTTTGTACCTTTAAGTCTTTAAATCCATGTTCAGCTATGCTCTAAATAAATGGATCTCAAAAATATAAACAGGCAGTTCACTAGGAGGAGACCTTCCAAACACTCATGAACCTGGGAAACACAGTTAAAATCACAAGGAAGTAACATCAAATTCACAAAAGTCTAGAAAAAGCATTGATGCCATCAAATTTACAAAAATATAGAAGTCTGACAATACGAAGTGTTGGCAAAAATGTGTTATGGAGGCTGGGCATGGTGGCTCACGCTTGTAATCCCAGCACTTTGGGAGGCCGAGGCGGGCAGATCACGAGGTCAGGAGTTTGAGACCAGCCTGACCAACATGGCAAAACCCCGTCTCTACTAAAAATACAAAAATTAGCTGGGAGTGGTGGCTCGTGCCTGTAATCCCAGCTACGCAGGAGGCTGAGGCAGGAGAATTGCTTCAACCCGGGAGGCAGAGGTTGCAGTGAGTTGTGATGGCACCACTGCACTCCAGCCTGGGCGACAGAGTGAGACTCCATCTCAAAAAAAAAAAAAAAAAAAAAGAGAAAAAAAGTGTTATGGAGAGAAGAAGCTGCTGGAGGGCGTTGAATTTGTACGCCCCGTTATACCTACATTATTGGGCAATTTAGCAATTACTGGAAAAGCTGAATCATGCTTCTCCTACTCAGTGCAATTGCATTCCCAGGCATAGGTCAGAGAACCCCTCAGATAAGGGCGCAAGGAAACCATAAGGGGAATGTTCATAACAGCTTTGGAATTTGCAAAAACTGCAAGTAACCCAAATGTTCACCCACAGAACAGTGGGAAAAAACTTGTGATATATTTATTGACTGGAGCCACATGTTCAAACATAGATCTCACAGCTTAGCATTGAGCAGGAAATACAAGTTGTAGGAGGCTTGATATTTATGTAAAGGTTAAACCTATGCAAGGAAATCTTGCGTACTGCTCTGGGATACATACTGTAGGGAAGTACTATATTAATATAAACTCAGGATTGTGGGTGCCATTGGAGGGGGGCTCGAGAAAAGAATAAGCCTTTCATTTGGCCTGGTGTGTTCATTCACTTTTTTGGAATGCATCTGAAATATTACATACCAAATTAAAATACTGTGTTTCCAAACCTATAAAACCGATGGCAACTTTCAAATAATTGGATGTTAGAAATGGAACTCTCAAAAGATTTCCTCCTCCCCACGAATGTACCCTTTGCCTAGGATGGGAGGCTGTCACCTGGAGTAGCAACCCAAGGCCCTCGACCGCAGGGGTCCTAGCAAGCCTTGCCTTTGTGCATCTGCTCTGGGAGCCAGAGAAGTTGAAAGCGGCCTCACTCGGGATTTTTGAAGAGGTTGTATTTCCCGACAGTCCTGGATAAAAGACACGGCAGGCAGTCTGACTGTCAGGGGAGTCCCTTCTGGGTCTGTATTTATATATCCCTAGGAATCCTCTCCTGCGGGCTCTTAAATGGTAAGTAGTGGGTTCGTGACCTGTGGTGAGAAGAAAGATGCCCCAGCAGGTAACGTTATCTTTTCCTTTCATCTGTGAATCTCCCTGCTGCAGGCAAAGCACCCCTGAGTCCTGCAATTACGGCCTTCCCACCCCCAAGCTGAAAAACCTGATTTTCTTCAGGAGAAGAGAAACCTCATCCCGGGAGCGGAATTTGGTTTGTATTTCCCGAGTAGAGGCGGTGTGGTCAGGGATAGCTTAACCCTCCGGAGCAGCCCGGGCCGGGGGTTGCCGGGAAGGGCGGGGCGGGGGAGTGGTGGTCGCGGGTCCCCTCGTGAGGGCAGGAAGAGGCTGTGACTCGGGCGGAGGGGCTGCCGCGCCGTGCGTGGGTGCACAGTCGGTGGTGTAAGCAGAGACCCTGGTGTAGACAGATCGCGGTGTGGGGAGGAAGCAAGTGGGTGTGCAGAGGCCGTGGTGTAGACACACGCCGACGTCTACCGGCCCACGCTGTCGGTCCAGTTCTGTCTAGCTCTGCACCCTGGAAATGGCGAGGGGAGGGGGAGAATGATGGCCCTGGTGGGTCCCCGCTGGCTCCAACAATCTGGGCTGTTCACATGGCCTCCTCTCCTGCTCCTCTAAATGTGAAACCCCTTTAAGATGGCATCTTTATGTCTCCAGAAGATAAATGCGCCTTTTAAAAAGTAACCATGGCCGGGGGCGGTAGCTCATGCCTGTAATCCCAGCACTTTGGGGAGGCTGAGGCGGGTGGATCAGTTGAGGTCAGGAGTTCGAGACGAGCCTGACCAACATGGTGAAATCCCGTCTCTACTAAAAATACAAAATTAGCCGGACGTAGTGGTGCACACCTGTAATCCCAGCTACTCGGGAGAGGCTGAGGCAGGAAAATCGCTTGAACCCCGGAAGCGGAGGTTGCAGTGAGCTGAGATTGCGACATTGTTCTCCAGCCTGGGCAAGAAGAGTGAAATTCTGTCTCAAAAAAAAAAAAAAAAAAAAAAGGAAACCATACTGCTACTTAAAAAGGCACTTCCTAATATAAAATATTCACAGTTCACATTTTCCTGTTTATTTCATGAGTTTTGTTTTATTTTGTGTGTTATTCAACAGGATTTAGATAAGACCTAGGTATTTTGATTCGTTGATTTGATTTAAACGCATCACAGTGGTCATGTGGGAGAAAAATCAGAACCTTGGGGCAGGGCTTTTGTAGATCACTTTTAGGGTTCCCTGTTATTTCTATTTGGAATTACATTTTGGCGGGGACCAGCATGTTTCCAGATCTCGGTCTCACCCAGGCATTTGGCCTCTCCTTCCCTTAGGTCCCATGTCATAGCCACCCTGGTGCAGGCCCAGGCGGGAGCCACACGCTGCTCAGTCCTGGGGAATCCCAAGCCCCTCCACTCTGTGCAAGGAATGGAGATAATGGGCTGAGAATTAGGTTTTATTAAAAGCAAAGCCCTTGAAGGATGGTTATTCCCGCCTGGAGATCCCACAGTAGGGCCTTTGGAGTGATAGACATCCCCATCTCCCTCCACACCCTGCCCTACCGCCCCCCAACCCCCAAAGCTTCAACAAAGGCTCCTTTTTAAAGTTTTCCGGTGCCCTTTGCTCTTTGTTTGCCTTCCCGCTTTGTTCTCTGGCCAGCTGCAGGCCACACTGCCATTTGGAAAGGAGTTTCCTTGGGTTTGATTGACAAATGGGAGAGAATTGGGATGCAGAGGCTCATGCCTTCCAGAGAATATTTTGGAGAAAGGTGGGAACTAGAGAGAGCTGCTGGCTTTGCAATGTTGGGTTCTGAGAACTACCAGGGGTGGGGTTCGTGAGCCACACACAGGCTTGTTAGCTCTTTAAGTTCGCGAGGCTTTAAGTTCTTAAGGCTTTGTAAGCTTGCAGTGATAACACAGAAAATACCAAGTTAAGGCAATAAAATGGTCTCCCCAACCAACTGATCACTTCCCAGCACAGGAAGTTGATGACTTAATTTAGAAAATATGATTTTAAAAATTGGCCTCAAAGCGTTTTTGGACTCAGTTCTGTGCATGTTAATATGTATCCAGATTATATCCTGACATTCATTTAGAAAAAAAAAAGACTAAAAAATTTTGCCAAACTGGAAATGGAGACATGTTATGGTCTGTGGATGGGAAGAGTCTTGAATGTGTATGACAGCCCGCAGGATGTGTTAGCTCCAGTTCCAGCCAAAAATCCAAGAGAGTAATGAGTTTGTCAGATATCGTCAGATCAGGGAGAAGATTTAGATAAAACCCTTCAGCATTAATATTCTGGCAATATTAAAAATTATCTTAGAAAACCAGGCCTGGGGATTGGGGAATGGAGAATACAGAATTTCTGTACCTAGAAGGCCCCCCGCAAGCCTTTTTTTTTTTTTTTAAAGGTAATCAAAGGTAAGTGGAGAGTAAGTAATTCTTTTTGTAGGCCAATTAGACAAGTCATGCCTGAAGCCTCCCCCCACCCCCCATGACTCCTGGAGGAGACTGAGACTCCCTGTCACAGGGGTACCCACCAACACACATCCCTGCTGGTTGAGATCTAAAATGCTTATCTGAACAGCCTTGGCTGGTCTGTTGCTGCCTGTGTTTATTTGGATGTATTTCAGCAGAAGCCATCACACAGACAGGAGAGGTGGGTTTTATGAGATGGTGTTGAATGAGGGACAGGTCAAACTGAAACCTAATTGACAGATGATCAGATTGGTGAAACCAGAGAGAAAAGAAAGGGATTAGTACTCAAGTACCTTGACTTCAGAAGTACAGAGCTTCCCTTTGGTGACTCCTTCAGCTCCATTTTTGTTGAGTGAGCTTTGGTTCTAGCTCCGTGGTAGGATGGTGAGTGTGCTTTCTCTCTGGGTTTCTTTTGTGTACTTGTCTCAATGGCCATAACATGGCACTGCATTGGTGTGAAATCCCCTGAGATTTTACCTCCAGATGCAACTCATGCTAGATAGGGGCCCTGGGTAGGGGGCTGAGAAGGGGGTTCCGAGGCCACCAGGACCTTGGAAGGGGAAGGGATTTTGGTGGTGATTTAAGCGCTAGCAAGGGCTCTGTTGGAAATGATTCACTAACTTCCTGCAAGGACACTTCAGAGGTGTGATGGGCAGTAGTACAGTGGGTGGGGTGTGTTTCTTGTTTGGAGTGAGAGAGGGTTCTGGTGCGTAGGAGTCTCATTCCAAGGCCTCTTGTCCATCAAATTCTGTTGGGCAGCACTGTCCAATAGAATTTTCTACAATGATAGAAATGTTCTATATTTGTCATGTCCAAATCAGTAGCCTGCAGCCACATGTCCCTATTGAGCACTGGAAATATGATTAGTGTGAATGAAGAACTGCATTTCTGATCTTACTACTTGATTTTAATTAATTTAAATGTAAAGGGCCCCATGTGGCTAGTGGCTACTATATTGGACAGTGCTGTTACAGAGCTCCATCTATCACCTTAATAATTTTATATCATCCGTACAAAACAGTGAAGAAAATGTGAGTGGGAAACATGAAGAGTGATGAAATGAACAAGTTGAGTGACTCCCACCCTGTTGAAGAGATTGAACTTCATCCCCAGTTCCTGTGAAGCTTTCTGGATCTCGTCTTCCAAGGTAGTGATGGTCCTCTGTTTTGTGTTAATAATTCCTGTACTTTGTAGTTTTGCCATATAGGACAGGCCAACTATCCTTTAGTCTGAAATGCTTGGAAACAGAAGTGTTTCAGATTTGGGTTTTGTACCATACATACAGGTTATGCATCTCTAATCCAAAAATCCGAAATCTGAAGTACTCCAGTGAGCATTTCCTTGGAGCATCATGTTGGCACTCTGAAATGTTCCAAAGTCTGAAACACTTTGAGTTCTTGTTTCAGATTAGAAATATTCAACCTGTAGTATATATCTCTATTAGTTTTCTGGGACTGCCATAACGAAGTCCCACAGGCTGGGCTGCTGAAACAACAGGCATTTACTTTCTCCCAGTTCTGAAGGCTGGAAGTCCCAGATCAGGTGTCAGCAGGGGTGACTTCTCCTGCCTTTCTCCTTGGCTGGCAGATGGCGCCTTTCTCCCTCTGTTTTCACGTGGGCACCTCTCTGTGTCTGAGTCCTCATCTGCTCTTCTTATGACATCTGTCTTCGTGGATTAGGGTCCACCCTAATGACTTCATTTTAACTGAATTACTCTTTTAAAAACCTTATCCCCAAACACAGTCATATTTTGAGGTCCTGGGGTTAGGATTTTAAGGTACAATTTTGGAGAGACACAATTCAGTTCATAACAATCCATAAACAGCAGATTGCTTAGTTTTGCCTGTTTTTGACCTTTTGATAAGTGGAGGCTTGTTGTATATATTTTTTCGTTCAGCATTTTCACTGCCTCTTCATGGTCAATTGGAGACCACCTTCCAGCTCTCATGGGGAGTGGATTGTCTTGGTCATGGGCTAGTTTTTTTTTTTTTTTTGAGACAGAGTCTCACATTGTCGCCTGGGCTGGAGTGCAATGGCATGATCTAGGTTCACTGCAACCTCCGCCTCCTGGGTTCAAGTGATTCTCCTGCCTCAGCCTCCCTAGTAGCTGGGATTACAGGCACCCGCCACCATGCCTGGGTAATTTTTTGTATTTTTAGTAGAGATAGGGTTTCACTATGTTGGCCAGGCTTGTCTCAAACTCCTGACCTCAAGATCCACCCGCCTCAGCCTCCCAAAGTGTTAGAATTACAGGCATGATCCACCGTGCCTGGCTGGTCATAGGCTAGTTCTATAGACTGAGCTGTGAGCTCTGGGTTCTCATTCAAGGTCGAAAGGACAGGAACCAAACTGTCCTAATTGTAGGCTCCTCAGGCTTCTCCCTGTACATGACAAGGAGAGGTGGCTCCTGTGTGGAACCCTACACTCCATTTGCCCAGCTAGATAGATGCCCGACACATACTGCTGCCCAGCCTGAGGGCCTCGCCTGCCCTCCTACTCCTTTAGTAGAACTTTCTTTCAAGCCCTCAAAATTCAGATGCCTCAGTGCTTTTCCTCGAATTTCTCCCCTCATCCTTCTTCATCTCAGGAGGTTCTTTGCCCCTGTCGGGCTTTTCTCTACAAACCCTCTCTCCGTGTGATAATTCCCCTGGTCTTGTTTTGTCTTTGCTAATCACCTTCGCTAATGAGGCCTGATAGCTCAGGAGTGCTCGTCCTCCCTAATTTTTTCACCTCATGATAAAATTAATACATGTATGTCAGTATTTAGAAGAAAAATAGTATAAATAAGGAAACAAAAATTATTTGTAACTATGCTGCTGGAGATAACTCACCATCAAAAAAGGAGTACTAACAGTAAGTCTTCACTTAACAGCATTGATAGACTCTTGGAAACTGCGACTTCGAGTGAAATGACATACTGTATAACAAAACTGATTTTACCATACACTAACAGATATAAACAAGAGTTAAGTTCTTGCAGCATACAGTATGTCATTTCATTTAAAGTTGGAGTTTCTAAGAACCTTATCAATGATGTCAAGTGAGGACATAGGACTCATTGTACTAGCATTTTAACACATTTGTGATCATACTGACATGGTTTTATTTCATAAACATGTTTTTCTTGTTACCTACTTGGTGTTTTTATAATAATCAATTTTAATGGTTGCATATTATCTAGTCAAGTGCCATTTCCTGTAACAGATCAAACACTCCACTCGTTTTCAATATGTAGGATTTTTTCAGTTTTTCCAAGTTATATTTGTGAAGTTCAGAACTTACTGGAAAGTTGCAAGTAGAGTATATGGAAGTTCCTTCTCCCCCCTCTAGCCATCTGAAAGTAAGCGGCTGGCAAGATGTCCCATTACCCCCAAAATGCTTTAGTATGTATTTTCTACAAACAAGAACATTCTTGTACATAATCCTAATACAACCATCATGAAAATCACAAAATTAGAACAGATGCATGACCACCATCAGACCCCAATCTGGACAGTTGCAACAGCAGTCCCAGTAATGTCCCTTTGAGCAGCAGGATTCACTGCAGGGTCATTTGGCTCTGTGCTTCTGGAGTCTCCTCCAGTCTGGAACATTTCCCAGCCTGCCCTTGACCTTCATGACCTTGACATTTCTGAAGAGTGCAGGCAGGTTATTTTGTAGGAAATCCCACAACTTCTGTTTATCAGGCTTTGTATATGGGCAGGCCCATTGCAGAAACAATGTTGTAGAAATCGTTTTCAGTGCTGTTTTTGAATGGTGCACAGGGTCACTTTGTCCCCTAACTGATGAGATTGACTGGCTGAGGTGGCATCTGTTAGGCCTTCCCTTTCAAATGAATCAGCATTTGGTATTTGGTGGGGAGGTTCTTGGAAACCGTCAACCTCATCAGGCTCTCACTATATTCATGGATTTACTTGTATTAGTGTGCTCACAGCACTACTGTTTTATCCAGTGGGTTATAATCCTGCTTTGGAATATCTATAGCTGATGCACCTACAAATGCTTTAAATATATTTTATTACGGCATTAGTTTGCTAGGACTGCTGTAACAATGCACCACAGACTTAAGGGCTTATACAATGGAAATTTATTTCATCCTAGTTCTGGAGGCCAGAAGTCTGAGGTCCAGGTTTCAGCAGGGCTGGTTTCTCCTGTGGCCTCTCTCCTTGGCTTGCAGATGGTGTCTTCACCCTGTGTCTTCACATGGTCATCCTACTGTGTGTGTGTCCTTTTTTTTTCTTATAAGGACACAAGTCATACTGCATTGGGGCCCACCCTGATGACTTTATTTTAGCTTAATTACTTCTTCAAAGGTTCTGTCTCCAAATGCAGTCACATTCTGAGCTATGGGAGGTTACAGCTTCAACATACGAATTTTGGAGGTCACAATTCAGCCGATAATAATTAGGAGCTATGCTTTGTATTGTAGTAACATCTGTTGACTTCTACTGTGATGAAAAACTTAGTATTGACCTCCTTAACATTTCTGAGAATCTTCTCAGAAAAAATGAGTGCAAGCAGAGGCAAAAAGCTCTGATTTTAAGCAAAGATGGACACGTGGAAGGAGTTGGAACTAGACTTTCTGCAGTTCTTGTCTAAGTTAATAGGACTGTCTAGATACACGATGAGGTGTTCACTTAGTCTGCTGCACCCAGACTTTGGTTAGACCCTGGGCTTTTCCTGGGATTTGTTTCTTGGTGGGCATACCTTGATGTTGCATTACTTAATATATAGAAGGAAGAGAGTGGGCTCTTCCAAGGCCCAGCTGACCTCCTGCTCAGGTACCTGCATAAGTGCGTGAGTGTATATCAAAAGTGTTGAAGGGTTTATGAATTATTTAAAGAAAGCTGAAGTTATTGCCTCTGCAGTGGGGGACATGGGTGGCTGGGGAAAAAGAGTAGAAGAAAGTCTTTCACTCTTGTGACTTTTGAATTTTGTTTCATGTGTCCACACACACACACACCCCCCCACACCCACACACCCACACCCACTCCCACTCAGAAAATAAATAAAAGATAACTTTGGAAAAAGGAAGTAGAGAAGAAAAAGGGATCAGCATTCTCTCTTACTGCTTGTCCTCTGTCTTTAACATTATAAGGACATCATCACTTTCCCTGAACCTCCAAGGCCCTACCAAGGTGGAGGTCTTCCTGGGCCAGGCCCTTGGTGTGGTGCAGTGGCCCAGTCTGTTCCGATTACTCATCTCCCTTCCTGGAAATGGAGCCCTATGTCCGTTTGGTGATGCACCCATTAAGAGATCCTTTTCCCATGTTTGACCAATTTCTGTGGCTTTTGGGAACAATGTTGTTTGGATTTGTCTTTTTTTTTTTTATTGTTTGTTTTGTTTTGTTTTTTCTTTTTTTGAGATGGAGTCTCGCTCTGTCGCCCAGGCTGGAGTGCAGTGGCGCGATCTCGGCTCACTGCAAGCTCCGCCTCCCGGGTTCACGCCATTCTCCTGCCTCAGCCTCCTGAGTAGCCGGGACTACAGGCGCCTGCCACCATGGTTTCACCGTGTTAGCCAGGATGGTCTCAATCTCCTGACCTCGTGATCTGCCCGTCTCGGCCTCCCAAAGTGCTGGGATTACAGGCGTGAGCCACTGCGCCCGGCCCCCGTCTTTGTTTCTTAAAGTGCAGCTTTTCTGTAATGAGTTTCTTGTTGGGGGATTCTGGAAGTGTAGTTGGGTTTTAATTTTGGTCTGTAAGGAGTAAGGGCTCTTTCCGCTGAGTGTGCTTCTCAGAGAATGATGGGCTATGGTTTGGCTTCAGCCTCCAAGTGGCTTTCCAAAGAGGTGAACTGGACCAATTTGAGCCCAGCCAGGCACTGGATGTGCAAGGGGGGAGCTTCTGGGATTACTGACAATGAATAAACCCAGACTCTGTCCTTAGGAAACTACATTTTATAATAAGAGTCCAAGAAATGAATAACTTGGGAGATGCTCTCAGGTGGGTTTGCATGAAACACCATGAGGACCTAAAGAAAAAACCCACTTCTGCCAGGCAAGGCTGGGAAGGCTTTGCAGAAGAAGAGTCTGGCCTCAGGAGCTGACCATGAGGGGTGAATCATCCTCACCAGGTGGAGAAGAAGGGCCATGGAGGTGCGAAGGAGCCCAGGACCCTGAAGCCCAGGAAAGGGAGGGCGCAATTTTGATCTGTTGAGGCAAAATTCTTTCATTCTTACCTGCTTCCTGCCATTTCCCTTGCCCCACATCAGTGTGCAGATTAAATGAATTTAATGAATGTATCCCATCTAAGGGCTACTCTAGGGTGTTTTTTTTCCTAGCAATGAAAGGATTTCTCAGCTGCTATAAATATTCCATTTGCTGGAGGAAGCCAGAGCCAGTACTGGGTCCCTGTGAAGTTCTGAACACTCTGGAAATCTTGTTAAAGCTGGAGGCTTACATAAATTATGGGGTCCTCATCCTTAAACCCTTTCTTTGTTAGCCTCCTTTTGATGAGAAAATAATTGATTATCTTTGGGGAAAAGAATACCTTGAGTTATTTATAACCCTTCTCCCTGGGGAACTCTGGAACTGTTTGCAAATGTAATCTAATTATAAGCCTGACACTCTCCCACCCAGGTTGGGGCAGGTATTATTACACCGTGGTACTTCCTTCTCCTGTTTTAGCATAAATCTAAACCTGGGAGATGAAGTGGCTTGCATAAGTGTAATTTAGTCTGTCAATAGGCATAGCAGGAATAGCTGCTATATAATGAACTCCAGTTATAAAATGGTTTGATAAAGTCATTGGTGATGGTTCTTCATTAGAGGCTGAGTGAGAATTGACTCTTAGGAGTGATTGTAATTGTTGTCTGGCAACACCTAATATGTCTCCTAAATATTCAGTATTTTGGGTACATTTAGATCACTCATTTCCCCTGTATAGGTATCTATCTTCTTTTCCTGAACACCATAGTAGTTATCTGATCTTCTTCATCCTCTTCTGGTCGCAAGACCCCTTACTGGGGAGGTCATCCTGTGTCTTTCTGTCCCCGTCCACTTAGATTGGGCACATGACTTATGGATAGCCATGTACCCCCTGACAGGCTGATCTGAAGCATTCCTGGAACTTCTTGATCACCTTCTTTCAGGAAGTATGGATGAAACCTTGTGTGTATGGTGGTGAGTGAGGTTGGAAAGAGAATAGAGAGGGATGGGAAGAGGAGACACAAATGTAGGAAGCTGCATTTAAAGGGTAAGTTTTCTGAGTCCTTGTAATTTCCACCTGCACGTGCTTGATAGTTTGGGTATCATTCTCAGTTGCACGTCATGTTCTTTGGAATGTCACCCCACAGTCTTCCCAGCACCCTGTGCTGCCTTCTGAGCGGTTCACTGCCACTTGAAGCCTCATTCCTTTTCTGGTGACTTGTTTTTGCTTGGAGGGGTTTTGGGATCTTCTGTGTACCCTGGAGTTCATTATGATGTGTTAAATGTGCATGTCTTTTGTTCGTTCTCAGTTGTGGCTTGGCCCTTTTCATATGGACACTTGAGTCGTTCAGCTTGGTGATGCTCTTCGTGTCCTTTTAGAAAATATTCCTCTCTCCCACTTTTTTTCTGTTCTTTCTGAAGCTCCTCTTTACTTCTTTCTTCTCCTCACTGTGGAATTTCAGCTTTATCTTTCAATCCTACAGTTGAATTTTCCTTTTAATGTTGGAATCCTATTTTGATTTCAATACCTTCTTTTCTATTTTTTATTGCATTCTGATGATATTTTAAGAAGGCAATGCCTTCTCTAATGTCTCTGGAACTTCATTTTCTTTCTTTTGGCTCTTGAGTCATCTTTGTTTCCTCTGGAGTGATTTGTTTTCTTATCTTGGCACCTCTGTTTCATATTGGGAGCTTTCTGCAGATGTCTGGTTATTCTTGGTTAATTCTTGGTTCAAGCAATAGCTCACAATTGGAGAGTTTGCATGCGTGGATGGTGAACTTCACTTCACATTTGGTGTCGGGGACTGGCTATTTTACCAGGGACCCTGGGTACCAAGATATACAAGTCCCTTCCTGAGGCCTTCACTTTCATTTCACTTTTTTTTTTTGGAGACAGAGTCTGGCTCTGCCGCCCGTGCTGGAGTGCAGTGGTGCTATCTTGGCTCGCTGCAACCTCCGCCTGCTAGGTTCAAGTGATTCTCCTGCCTCAGTCTCTCGAGTAGCTGGGATTACAGGCGCCTGCACACCTGGCTAATTTTTGCATTTTTAGTAGAGATGGGGTTTTACCATGTTGGCCAAGCTGGCCTTGAATTCCTGACCTCAAGTGATCTACCTGCCTTGGCCTCCCAAAGTGCTGGGATTCCAGGTGGGAGCCACTGCATCTGGCCTTATTTTAATTTTAATGACAAACACACTTTTTTTTTTTTTTGCCCCCTGCAGGGATTAGGAGAAAGGTAGAAATGCCTGAGTGCCAGGTCTGCTCCGAGCTCAGTTGAGATAGCAGTTGGCCATTTGGGTTTCCATGTGTCCATCTATACATTCACACTCAATCTCATTGTTTGTTACCCCACCTTGCTTTCTGATGAACCTGGTGTTTCCAGGTTCTGAGTCTTCCTGTGGCTGAGGGAGCCACTTGGACCCCCCTTATAAAGCTGCTTTATCTTTTAGTGGCACTCCCCATGCAAAGATCGTCCGTGTGCTAGCTTCCCTGGCTTGCTGTGCTATGTGTCTGTTGACTTGCTTTCTTCTGTACATTTCTGGAGCTCTCTCACCTCCAGAGAATGTCTCTGAAAACTTCATTTTCTTTCTTTTGGCTCTTGAATCATCTTTGTTTCCCCTGGAGTGATTTGTTTTCTTATCTTGGCACGTCTTGTGACCTTTCTCATGTTCTCTGTATGGCTATGGCTTTCTTACTTTGTTTCATTCTTATCATTTTGTAGGACTTTTAGGAAGGAAAATAAAGAAAGCATGGTCAATCCAGCATTGTTCACTGGTGGGTATCATAATTTGAGAAGTACTGCAATAGACCTTTTGCTATTTTCTGCTGGCTCTTAAAATGAGAAAATTAAACAATTAGTTCCTTTAGGGCACTGGGACATTCTTTTCAAAGCATCTACATTTCCACAACTTTGTTGAGTGGAATCAGAGAAATACTGGCATTTCTACAATACTCCCTATTACCAGATGTTTGTTACTTTTGATTTAGTCAAATTCTTGTTCATTTAAACAATTCTTCTTCACAAAAATGTGAAAGCACTTGCAGGATATCTCTAGGCATTTCATTTACGGAATTACATGTTGAAGTTAGAGTAGAAGTCTGCTCACTCTCTGATCCTGGGACCGTTAATTGGTTGGCATAACTCAAAATGTCTTCTAAAGTTGGAGAAAATGTAATAAAATGATCCACCCATATGTTAAACATTCTGTTCCATTTAGATCATGTAAGTGTCCGTTAATTTACCAATTTTTTGAGGTAGGCCAAGGCTTTTTGGTGAGAATCAGCTGATAGAGGAGTTCTCAGTTGTCTTTCCTTTTTTTTTTTTTTGAGACGGAGTTTCGCTCTTGTTGCCCAGGCTGGAGTGCAATGGCGATCTCAGCTCACTGCAACCTCCACCTCTGGGGTTCAAGTGATTCTCCTGCCTCAGCCTCCCGAGTAGCTGGGATTACAGGCATTCGCCACCATGCCTGGCTAATTTTGTATTTTTAGTGGAGACAGGGTTTGTCCATGTTGGTCAGGCTCGTCTCAAACTCGGGACCTCAGGTGATCCACCCACCTCGGCCTTTCTGTGCTGGGATTGCAGGTGTGAGCCACCACGCCCGGCCCAGTTGTCTTTCTTGCTTATAGTACAGAGTTTTCAGTTTTGGTTTCTTTAGAAGTCATATGACAACGGGAAGAAATCTGTGAAGCAGGCTGAGGTCAGATGTTTACAGTATTTTCCTAGTCATTTTCTGTTTTATCGCCTAGGCTTCTTTCGAACACGGATTTTTTTTCATTGTATGGAGGCTTTTCAAAGCCAACTTAGTTTTTCTAGATAAAACTTTTAATGTTTATAGTTCATCAATTAAATACTTAATTACATAATTTAATGAGTAGAATAAGTGCAGCTGGCCTAAGCAGGTTTGTGAGCAGCTGTGGTTGAGTCCTGGGACACGTGTGCCACTTTCACGAGGCAGAAATGAGGAGCGAGTGTGCAGAGCCTCCTGAACCGGTGCAGGTGGCCAAGTGGCCGCCACAGAGCACCTTTTACTGGGGTAATCCTGCTCTGAAGCAGATTGGGTTTCATGTCAGTGGAGTGAAAATGAAGGGTCTTTTCTCTTCCCCTAAGTGGGGTGATTCCTTGAGGCCCTGTCTGGGAGGGAGGCTTCGTCAGCCCCCTTCCAGGTGGATGCGATCACTTTCTCATGCCCTGACTTGATTTTCTATGGGCAGAGACCAAATTACAGGCTGTAAGTGTTCATCAGAGCAAAAGAAGCCCAACTCCCCCAACCAATTCAATAGGACCCCAGACAGAAAGCCTTTAATCTGCTCTCTTAGTGCCCTCCTTTTAAAATTTATCTCTGAGGAGAAGCGAAAGTTAATTTGTCAAAGGTAATTTACAGCCTGAATATTCAGGGGAGGAAAAGGTTCCCCTGAAGGCATCTCTTGATGGAAGAATCTGGATGTAGAACACGGCTTCGGACTCTGAGATTCAGCTGCTCGGCGCTGGATAAATTACAGTGCTGTCAACACAGCTATATATATTGCTGGGCTGGGTACAGTGTGTTCCAGTGGAGGTGGTGTGTACATCTGCCGTGGCTCAAATGCACTTCAGATGTCTGTGGGATTGCAACAAAGAAGGCCCTGTGACACTTTTTGTTCCCATTGGTGGCTTTTTCTTTTCTTTCTTTTTTGAGATGGATTCTTGCTTTGTCACCTTGGCTGGAGTGCAGTGGCACGATCTTGGCTCACTGCAACCTCCGCCTCCCGGGTTCAAGCAATTCTCCTGTCTCAGCCTAACGAGTAGCTGGGAATGTAGGCGCCCACCATATGCCTGGCTAATTTTTCTATTTTTAGTACAGATGGGGTTTTTACCCTGTTGGCCAGGCTGATGTCGAACTCCTGACCTCAGGTGATCCACCCGCCTCAGCCTCCCAAAGTGCTGGTGCTGGGATTACAGGCGTGAGCCACCATGCCCAGCCCCACTGGTGGCTTTTTAATGCTCTTGCTAGAGAGAGCTTCCAGTAGTAGTCTAGTGGGACATGGGCCCGATGCACACAGGCAGTGGTAGTGGTAGATGAGTCGATGTACAGTTTTATGTTAAGTTCAAGAATGACAGGGGAGGGTGAAAACCAATGTTGACACTGTGTATCCGGAAAAGCAAGCCGGACCCACAGGACCAGAGACTGTTGATGGAGCAAGCCTTATCCAATATCTGTTGGAATCGAAAGTATGATGATGACAAAAATGTTGACATTAAATAGTCATGTCTCCAAGAAGTTTAAGAATTTCAGAGAAACTGTACTTAGGTTCTTTTACAGAGTTAAAAATGTTTGAGTCATGCCATGGTCGAGGGGACACTTGGCCTGTGGACCTGCATGGGCCTGGTTCCTGGTTCCATAGATTGATGCAAAACACACCAGGGTGCCTTTACTTTTCCCCAGTGTGTAAGGGACCACAGCATCCAGGTCCCTCTCCATCCCCCAGAGGATGTTGGTACTTCGGCCATGAGCCATGCCTTCCTCATTTCTACTGAAGAGCTGCTAAGGGAGTTCTTACTCTGCATATTTCTGTATTTCCAGCCCAGCCTCTGTAATATAATAAAACGCACGCCCTGTGTTTCAGCAGTCGACAGTGCTGCTTCATAAGCAATGTGTAGTATAAGGAACACTTAATAAAATGGCCTATAAACACACCAGCCCCAAGGTAGGACTTGGGAAATACTAGGGTGAAAGAAGAGGTAACTTACTAGTAGCCTCATAAAAATCTGTACAGGAAAAAAATAGAACAAATTCTGGCTGTGTGGTGTAAACACTGCCTGATTCCTCGTCAAGGTTTGGCAGTAAAGTGAGGAATAGTCATTGGATGTATTGGAAATCTTGGGGTTCATGGACATTTGTCAGGCTTCCCTTGGGTGGTGGTGCATCATTCACAGTTAAAACGACGAGATGCACCCCAGGACGAACGGTGCCAGCCTGAGAGTGTAACTCCGAGTGTGTTTACATGAGTGGCCACAATCTGAAAACTTTCCTTTTGACATAAACTCAGGTTATATCATACCAAGAGTGAGGAGTCTCTTTTATGCTGTTTTCCAGGAAAAGGGAGAAAAAACAAATGAGGGTGAATAAGTAATGTAAATTTTTTTATTATAATTATTTGTGGAGAAAATGAAATTCCTCCACAGATCTGTTTTTGTTATCTGTTGCTGTGTAACAAAACACTACTGCACAATTTAGAGGCTTAAATGGATAATGTGTTGTTACAGCACACAGTTCTGTGGGTTGACAGGGTCTTTCCTGGGGTCTCTTGCGTGGCTGTCGTCAGATGCTGGCTGCGGTAAGATGCTGGTGGGGGCTGCAGTCATCTGAAGGCTCAACTGGGCCAGACATGAAGATGGCGCACTGACATGGCTGGTTGGTGGTGCTGTTGGGTGCTGGGGGGGTCTCTCGACCCAAGAACCCATACGTGGCCTCTCCAGGTGGCTTGGCCTTCTCACAGCATGGTGGCTGGGTTCCAAAAAGGACTCTCTCAAGAGGGAGTGTGTTAAGGGCAGAAAGTGGAATTTGGCCACTTACAGGCTTCATTCAGAACCAGCACTCAAGGCCACTTTCTTTGCATTCTGGGGGTCAAAGCAATCACAGGGCCCACTCTGATTCAGGAGAGTGGGGAAACAGACTCCAGCTCTTGTTGGGGGAGTGTCGGGGACACCATATGGAGAGCATGTGAGATGGAAGATATTGTTGTAGCCTTCTTTGGAAAATACAACCTGTCGCAAGAATTTAAAATGGAAATTGAATATACCATCCCTTTGTCACAGGCATATGTATGTTTGTATTATTATAGGACATGAACACATTCTTCCACTGTAGGGTGATTAATTAATTAATTCAGCCAACTTTTATCTAGCACATGCTGTGTGATATATCATGCCAATCCATGGCAAGATGAGGGAGAATGATAGAATGAGATAGTAAGAAACACAGATAGTGGTTTAGATAGAGGAAGACAAACACACACAGTGATATATATGGCAGACAGCTGCTCTACACATGGAAGGAGACCAACATGGAAACAGAGAAAGTGAGACTCTTCAGAGGAGAGACAGCAGAGGAAGCTGCATGTTAGAGTTTTGAGGAACAGGATGGGACAGAACATCCCAAGCTGTCCTCAGCTCTAGAGAAGACCATGTTAAAATAACCGAGGGTTTCTTTGGTCAGGAGAGTCCCTAAACCTGGACATTTCTGCCTCTTCCTGGAAGGCATTGCTTTAAAGAGTAATTTGATCTGTAGAACAATACTATTTTTAATGCTGGTATTAGCAGTTCTTTGCGTTTATGTTTTTACTTAATGTGAACTCTGTTGATAGCATTCCAGAAACTAAAGGAAGATCATGTGTTGAGTTTTCTTGACTCTGTGAGTGTCACTAGAAAAGACTTATTCTAAAATATTTTTGCCAGGTGTATAAAAATATTCTACACACTAGCTCAAGCTGTCCTGCAAAAATCAGTGCCATAGCTGTGGCTTGAGGCCATTTGCAGGCTATGTGAAATAATGCAGTCCAGATTTGTTGAAATATGAGGTTTTTTCTTTTTGACACCTGCACTTCCAACATTTAGTACTTTATTTGATGTTAAAAATCTCCTTTTGATCTTGAGTTGTTTTCAACATCCTAGAAATGTTTCCTTCTTTTGTAAAAGTTATATGGGACACGTGCTAGGGAATTGAAAGGATAACAGTGTTTGTAAATAGATAGAGCCCTGAAAATAAGTGAATGGTGAATTAGACATTCATTTTTCTTTGTTAAGTGATAGATGTTGGGAGCCCTGGCTTTTTGGGCAGTTGCAGGGGAAGTTGCCATCAAGACCCGGTCTGGCTATCCTTGCCCAGCCAACTGGTTCCCTGATCCCGGTGTGTACCCTGCTGTTGCTCCGTACGAAGGAGTTTCCTTGGTTCTAAAATACAGGCTGTAGGCACATGATGGTGTTCTAGTCTTTGGACAGTTGGGATCAGTCAAGAAAAACACAACATTTCATATTTCATGACTAAATGATCCAGGTATTGACTTAGATTGGGGGTCAGCAAACCTTTTCCAAAAAATAATCAGATAGTAAATATTTTAGGCTTTTTGGGTCTTCAGCTCTGCTCCTGTGTCAAAGCAGGCAGAGATCATATGTAAACAATATGTCTTATTAAAACTTGTGGACATATAATTTTATGCATGCCTCAAAATCTTCTTCATTTGATGTTGTTTTCAACAATTTTAAAGTGTAAAAACTATTCTTGGCTCTCGGAACAGATGGTGGGCTGCCTTTGGCCCACGGATTGTAGGTTACTGACTACTTCCCAATATCTTGCAGGAATAGACACACATTTTAACAGGATACTTGACTTAGATAACTTTTATGAATGCTTATTTTTTTTTCTTCTTAAAAAAGTTCCTGAGGAAGATTTTTTAAAATTTTAGTTAAGTTAGTACACCGAAATAGATTTTTGTGATATGTAGTTCTATGAATTTTAACACAAGTATGGGTAGCTTTGTATAGCCACTGCTAAAATCGGGATATGGAGCAATTGCAGCTGCCTTGTGGTACCTCTTTAGAGTTGCCTTTACCTCCACCCACGAGCCTTGGCAACCACTTGTCTTTTTTTCTGTCCCTATAGTAGCTTTGTCTTTTTAAGAATGTCAATAGTGGAATCATACATTATTTAACTTTCTGAGCTAGACTTGTTTATTCACTCAGCATAATACCTTTGCCATTCACCCAAGTTGTTGCAGTTACCCATAGTTCATTCCTTTCTATTGCCGAGCAGTATTTCATTGTATAGGGGTTCACGGTTCGCTTATCCATTCACCTGTTCAAGGGCATTTGGGTTATTTCTAGTTTTTGCCAGTTATAGATAGAGGTGCTTTAATATGCCTGTACACAACTAGCCGTGGTGGCTCATGCCTGTAATCCTGGTGACTTGAGAGGCTGAGGTGGGAGGATTGCTTGAGGCCAAGAGTTGAGACCAGCCTGGAATTTATTGAGACTCTGTTTCCAGAACAATGTATAATAAATTCACTGGGTGTGGTGGCACGTGCCTGCAGTCCCAGGTGCTCAGGAGTTTGAGGCCAAAGGATCACTTGAGCTCAGTAGTTCCAGGCTGCAGTGAGCTATGGTTGTGTCACTGCACTCCAGCCTGGGTGATAGGGCGAGACTCTGTCTCTAAAAAGGAAAAAAAAAATATATTCACGTGTAGGTTTTTGTGAGAGCATATGTTTTCCTCTCTCTATGGTGAATACCTAGGAGTGGGATTACTGGTGACATAAGTGTATGATTAACTTTATAAGAAACAGCCAAACTGTTTTCCAGACTGCATTCCCAACATTGATGTGTGAGACTGCCACTTCATCATTTTTGTTCTTCCTTCATTCCTGGTGGTCCAAGTTCTCTTTCTGGTATTAATTCCCTTCTGCATGAAGCACTTCCTTCAGCGCTTATTCCACTGCAAGTCTGCTGACAGTGAGTTCTATTAGCTTTCCTTCATTTGAGAATGTCACCTTCATCCCTTAGTGATGTTTTCACTGGGTATAGAATTCTGGGTTGATTGTCTGTGTCTTTGAGCACTTTAAATAGTCTGTGCCACATCCTTCTGGCCTTCATTGTTTTTAACGAGAAATCTGCAGACTTTAAAATAGTTTTACCTCTATAAATAACGTGTTTTTCTCTGATTGCTTTTAAGATTTTTTCCGTTTGTCTTTAATTTTCATCAGTTTGATTATTCTGTGTTTGGATGTAGATTTATTTGGGCTTATCTTTTTGGGGATTCACCAAATTTATTTTGTGGGTTTACATTTTTTTGCCACATTTATAAAGTTCTTAGTCACTTCGTCACTCTTTTTTTCTTCTTCTTCTGGGAATCTGGGGATATAAATGTTGGACCATTTCATTTTGTCCCACAGAAGTGATCTGTTTATTTCTTTTCAATTTTTTTCTCTTTTGTTCACCTTGTATAATTTTTATTGACACTTCTCTGTCCTTATTCCCATTGATCCCTTTCATTGAGGTTTTTCTTCTAGTTATTATATGTTTTCCTTCTAAAATTTTCAGTTTTCTCTTTTTTATATTTTCTGGGGGTTTTTTGTTGAGACATTTTATCTTTCTGTTTGTTTCCAAAGTGCTTTACTTGTTGGCAATTTTTATAATAGTTGTATTGAAGTCTTTGTCAGATAATTCCAACATCTGTGACATCTTATTGCTAATGTCCATTGATTGAGATTTTCCTGGTTCTTTGTATGTTGAGTAATGTTGGATTGCATCATGGAGATTTTGAATATTAGATTTTGGTGGTGAGACTCTGGGTGTTGTTCAGCCGTTGTGGGGAATGTTGATACTGTTTTACGGGCAGTCAGTCTGTTTGGGTTCAGGCTGCAAGTTCCGAACAGCCTTCCGTGTTTGCAGTCCCAATGCCGGTTCTACTTTCAAAGCCTCTATAGTGCTCTTGGATCTGTCCCACATGTGTGCCACACTGTGGCCAGACTGGGACGGGGGTGGTGTTCTGCTGTGCAGTTCTGTTCTCAACATCTGCTTAGGGTCAGATACACACACACACACACACACACACACACACACACACACACACACAGCTCATGGGTGGTCTCAGGAACTTGTAAACAACTTTAAAGGGTCACTTTTCTGAGTTTTCCCTTCTCCATCATCTCCCTGGTATTTTCAAGTTCCTTAAAACACCCATTTCAGTCCTCTAGCCCAACATCTTGGGTTTTAGTTCCCTTGTTTGGCTGCATACTCACCTTGACTATGTCCACGTCTCAGAAAAACAGTTGAGGACACAGAGAGAAAAAACAGCAATGGAGTTTGACCACCTCTTGAGACCCCAGCTCCTCCAATTGCAGAATTAAGTTATCTCTCAGGGTTTTAAGCTACTGCAGTTACTTGTTGCCACCTCCACCATCACTGGATGGGGACTGGAGTGCAAGAGAATGAAGAAAAGAAAGAAAATGAAAAAAGAACCATGCTTTCTGTGCTCTTTTAGTGGGGAAAGATATACTTATCTTCACCCTGCTCCAGCAGAGCTGGAAGCCTCCTCTGGAAGCTCTCTTCTGTGCTGATGCCCTTGTATGAGTTTGGGACTATGTTAAGTTCAAACCTGGAGATGCTAAGGAGTCCCTAAAGAAGTGCTCCCCTATTCGTTCCAGGTTTTATAGCTCCATTCATGGGAGATGTGGGCAGAATATGCCGACTGTATGTATCTTGTCCAGAACCAGAACCCTCAAGATATTTTGATCAGAGTAATTTACAAATTTTATTTTCTATGTGGTTTTCAAGCAAGTAGCACCAACCCTATTTTGAGGAGGATGTGCAGATTTCAGATGGTTTCAAAATCCTTTCCATTTTCTCCCCAAAATTGGGTTATTAAATTACTAGATTCCGTTGTCAGTTCTGCCCCATAGAACTTTTGGGGAAAATGGAAATATTCTGTATCTGCGTATGGTAGCTGTTAGCCTTATGTGGCAATATTAAGCTCTTGAAATGTGGGATGGGCTAATGGAATTCTAAATCTTCTTTAATTTTAATTAATTTAAATTTTAAAATTTAAATTTTAGTAGCCCCATATGTCTGGTGGCTCCCTTACTGTTCAGTGCAGCAAGTTTATTCTGCTGTGGAAAGCACGCTTTAAAACATGCAGCTGGTACAAAAATTAGCTAAGCGTGGTGGCGCAGCTGTAATCCCAGCTACACAGGAGGCTGAGGCAGGAGAATCACTCAAACCTGGCAGGTGGAGGTTGCAGTGAGCCAAGATCATGCCACTGCACTCCAGCCTGGGTGATAGAGACTCAGTCTCAAAAAAAAAAAAAAAAAAAAAAGACTGGGCGTGGTGGCTTATGCCTGTAATCCTAGCCCTTTGGGAGGCCGAGGCGGGCAGATAATGAGATCAGAAGTTTGACACCAGCCTAACCAACATGGTGAAACCTTGTCTCTACTAAAAATATAAAAATTAGCTGGGTGTGGTGGTGCACGCCTGTAATTCCAGCTACTCAGGAGACTGAGGCAGGAGAATCACTTGAACCCAGTAGGCAAAGGTTGAAGTGAGCTGAGATTGCGCCACTGCACTCCAGCCTGGGTGACAGAGCGAGACTCCATCTTAAAAAATAAACAAAAAAACAAAACCCAAAAAACATGCAGCTGGCAGGGTTGGATTTGGGCAGAGGGAAGAATATCACTATTTCTTCTTTGACTGTTTCACTGTAAATCATTTTCACTGTGATGCCAATATTGTACCACGCACCTGGCTGGAGTAATTTGATTTAGGTAATTCAGAAAGTGTCATTTATTCAATATGTGTAGCTAAATTTGGATAACATCCCATGTTAGAGTCATATATCCTCTGGAGCAGTTTAAAGAAAATACCTTTTGTATTCTATTTTTTGGAGGTGGGGCCCTGTTGAACATCACTGGCAATGCTGACTGAGCTCTTCCCTTCTTTCAGAAGTCACCTTAGGCAGGTTGATGTGGCCCCCAAATAAGCCACCTTGTTTTCACTTCACTTCCTCACCCCCATGCCTCCAACCAAAAATTAAAGTAGGACTTAATCCATAGTTTTGTAGTATTTCATTTAAAATAAATGGCCTTGGGCCCATATTTTGAAAATGAAATATTGTCATGGCCCTTTTTAAAGGAATGACAAAGGACTGATCTGCAAATTTGTATCTCTTCCTTGCTTAGAATAAGGTATTTACCTAACTGCTTTTGATTACTTGGTGTGCTTTTAAAAATGAAATGACTTGTCTCCCTTCCCTATGTTGACTCCTACAAAGCCAATGTTTTGGTATTCTAATTTCTGTAGAGGAGGAAAACTAATGATACTACAGTCATGTTATTTTTCAGATACATTAAAGAAAGCCAAAACGTGGTTTCACAGTTGGGTCATTTGATTCCTTGAGTGTCTCTAATCTGGAGACTGTTTTCTTAAGCAGAGTCCCAGAGTAGGAGAGGCGTCACTGTAACCGAGTGAAGAGCGCTGGCTGGAAGTGTGTAACCTGCCAGCTGATGGGCTTAAGAGCAGCAAGTGCCTTCATGTGGTTTCTTTCTTTGTTGTCCTGTGAAAGAACTCGTGGAGATCTCTTAAGCTCTTTATTGCTGTGTAGAATTACTGTATTTGAAAAGTATACTGCAAAAAAAAAACTTTTAGCCTTAGCTTTCACATTGAGGATTTTGTAGATTACAGAGAACTCTATTGAAGACTTTGCTGTTGAGGTGAGCATTTTGCAAAGTATAAAACTTCCTGGCTAAGGGGAGTACTGTGTCCATTTAAACTTGCCACTTGAAGAAGCCCGTCCGCTAAAGTGATGTGACAGCACTTTATCTTCTGATCATCCCCCTTTCCCTTCAGAGAGAAGGAAGATGTAAAGGGGTGTGCAACATCTGCTTAAATAAAACATATGCTACAGTTGGACCGACCAAGATGTAATTTATCTTGTTACTTTTTTTCTGTGCTCAAGTTATGGTGAAAGTTACCTATCTTTAATAAGTTATTGTCTAAAATGAGCACATCCTGAAAATATCCTGGCCCCCTGGTCCCTTCTGACATGCCAGCATGGACGTGGGAAGCAGTTGATTCTTGAGACTCACATATGGAAGGAGAGAGTGGGTGTGAGTGATCGCTCTGGCAGGGTTGCTGATTGTCTTGATTTGTGTTGCAGTCCTGGCCAGAAGCCTTCCACATGCTTTGATCTATGGCAGCGTCTCTGCAAAATTTGGCAAGAAAATCCTAATGTGTTTAAGTCATAATTAAGATTGTGTAGCAGGGCTGGATTGTTCATTCCTTCTCCATGTGTGTTGACAGTGCTCCTTATCCCCTCCCCTGTCTCTGTCCATGGCTCGTGTTCCTGGCCTCCTGAGGGACAGGTGGACTTGGGGCCCAGCGTGGGCTTGTGGACTTGTGGCAGGACTTAGGATTCTCTTCATTGCAAGAACCAAGCCTTGTTCTGGCCAGAATCACTGATAGGTGGATGGAAACAGGTGGATCTCTTTCCCTGGGTGCAGTGTCCAGTAATTCACATAATCTAACAGGAATCCTGGGGCCTTTCCTGTCGAATTTGAATTCGGGGAACACAGAGGTGTGCAGTGGAAAAGGAAATTAGTCTGCACATGAGGTTAAGGATGGGACCCTTGCATATTTAAGGGGGTCCAGGAGTTTATCTCCCAAACTAAGCCCGCCTGCATCTTTTCCTGAACCCACCTTATTTTCCACTTTGTTTCTGCGTCTGCTTCCTTGTGTGTCTTTCTAGTTTTTATGTTGCCGGAATCTGTTCCCCTTCCCTTCCCATTTCCAGCATCTCCAAATTAGTCATTTTTATATTTACACTTTGAGATACAACTCATGTATCATGCAGTTCACCATTTAAAGTCTATAACCCAGTGGTTTTTAGTATATTCACAGAGTTTTGCAACCATTACCACAATCAATTTTAGCACATTATAATCACCTGAAAACCATGCCCATCAGTCATAGCCCCCTTTCTCCTATCTCCCCCCAGGCCCAGCCATCTGCGAATCTCCTTTCCATCTCTATGGATTTGCCTATTCTGGACATTTCATATAAACGGAGTCGTGCAATATGTGGTCTGTTGTCTCTAGCTTCTTTCACTGAGCATAAGGTTCCCAAGCTTCATCCATGTTGTAGCCTGTTTTAATGGCTAAATCATCTTTCACTGTACAGATACACCACGTTTCTTTTGTTTTTTGTTTTTGTTTTTGTTTTCTTTTCTTTTACTTTAAGTTCTGGGATATATTACCACATTTCTATCTATCTATCTATCTATCTATAGACAGTGGGGATGTTTTTACTTTTTGGCTATTATGAATAATGCTCCTGTGAATGTTCCTATCTACATTTTTATGTTTTCATTTCTCTTGGTTGTATACCTATGAGTGGAATAGGCAGAGTCCTCTGGTAACTCTGTGCTTAACCTTCATGCCTGCAATCCTAGCACTTCGGGGGACCAAGGCGGGAGGATCACTTGAGGCCAGGAGTTCAGAACCAGCCTTGTCAACATACTGAGACCCTGTCTCCACAGAAGAAAAATGTAAAAATTAGCTGGGCTTGTTGGCCCAAAGAACTGCCAGATTGTTTGCCCCAGCGCTGTACCATTTTACATTCCCACCAGCAGCATATAAGCTTGCACTTTCTGCACATCCTCACTAACACTTGTTATTGTGTGTCTTTTTTATTATAAGCGAACTAGTAGGTGTGAAGTATGGTATCTCATTGTGGTTTTGATTGGCATTTCACGGATGGCTAATGATGTTGAACATTTCTTCATGTGCTTATTTGCCATTTATGTGTTTTCTTTGGAGAAATGACTATTCAGGTCCATATTTTGACAGAGTTGCCTTTTTTACTATTTAGTTGTGTTTGGATTAGTCAGCTTGGGCTGCCATAACAAAATACCGTAGACTGGGGGGCTTAAACAACAGAAATGTATTTCTCACAGTTCTGGATGCTGGGAATCCAAGATCAAGGTGCTGGAAGATTTCAGGGCTGCCTTCTTGCTGTGTCCTCACATGGTGGAGGGTGAGCAAGCTCTGGTTTCTCTTTCTCTTCTTTTTTTTTGTTTTTTGAGACAGGGACTCACTCTGTTGCCCAGGCTGCAGTGCGGTGGTGTGTTCATGGCTCACTGCATCCTTGAACTCCTGGGCTCAAGCGATTCTCCTGCCTCAACCTCCTGAGTAGCTGGGACTACTGGCATGTGCCACCATGCCAAGCTAATTTTTACATGTGTCTTCTGTAGAGACAGGGCCTCAGTGTGTTGACGAGGCTGTTTCTGAACTCTTGGCCTCAACTGATCCTCCTGCCTTGGTCCCTCAAAGTGCTAGGATTGCAGGTATGAGCCACCACTCCTGGCTGCTGCTCCTGCTGCTCCTGCTCCTCCTCCTCCTCCTTTTTTTTTTGGTGATGGAGTCTCGCTCTGTCACCCAGGCTGGAGTGCAGTGGCGTGATGTCAGCTCACTGCAAGCTCCGCTTCCTGGGTTCACACCATTCTCTTGCCTCAGCCTCCTGAGTGGCTGGGACTACAGGCGCCCACCACCACACCCGGCTAATTTTTTTTTCTTTGTATTTTTAGTAGAGATGGGGTTTCACAATGTTAGCCAGGATGGTCTTGATCTCCTGACCTCGTGATCTGCCCTCCTCAGCCTCCCAAAGTGCTGGGATTACAGGCATGAGCCACCATGCCCGGCCTTCTTCTTCTTCTTATAAGGGCACCAATCTCATCATGGGGGCCCCACCCTTAGGGCCTCATCTAAAACCTAATGACTTCCACAAAGCCCCATCTCCAAATGCCATCACATTGGGCATTAGGGATAAGAATTTGGGGTGGGGGGGATACATTCAGTCCATAACAGCGTTCTTTATATAATCTAAATACAAATCCCTTAACAAATATATACTTTGAAAGTACTTTCTCCCATTTTGTGTCTTTTTACTTATTTAATGTTATCTGTTGAAGCACACAAGTTTTTAATATTGATGAAACCTAATTTATGTATTTTGTTGTTGCTTTGTCTTTTGGTATTATTTCTTAGAAACTGTTTAACTCAAGGTTATGAAAAGGTACACTGTATTCTTTTAACAGTTTTATAGTTTTAGTGCTTACATGGCCTGTGATGCATTTTGAGTAAATTTTTGTGTACTTAGTGAGGAAGGGCTCCAACTTCATTCCTTTGTGTGCAGATGTTCATTTATTCCAATACCAATTGTTGAAGAGACTATTCTTTCTCTGGCATTGTTTTGGCAACTTTGTCAAAAATCAGCTGGCCATAAATGTGAGGGTTTATTTCTGGACCTCCATTCCACTCATCTGTAGATCTGTATGTTAATTTTATACTAGTACCATACTACTTCAGTTACTGAGAAGTCTATGAGTCCTCCAACTTAGTTCCTTTTATTTTTTTCAACATTGTTTTGGCTATTCTGTGTTCCTCACATTTCCATATGAATTAGAAGCAGCAGGTCAATCTCTGCAAAACAAAACAAAACCTCAAAAAATAGGTGAGGATTTTGGTTGGGGTTGTGTTCAATCTATAGAAAAATTTGAGGAGTATTTCCATCTTTAACAGTATTAAGTATTCTGATCCATAAACACAGGATATTTTTCCATTTATTTAGATCTTTAAAAAATTTCTTTCAACAATGTTCGTAGTTTTCAGAGTGTAAGCCTTGTACTTTTTTGGGAGGATTAAATTTCTTCCTAAGTAATATATTATTTTTTAATGCTATTGTAAATGGAGTTAACTTGGTTTCATTTTCACATCGTTTATTGCTAGCATATAGAAATACAAATGATTTTTGTATATTCGTTTTGTATATACAAGTGATGGTTAATTTTAGGTGTCCGCTAGACTAAGGAGTACCTAGAGAATGGTAGAGCATTACCTTTGGGTGTGTCTGTGAGGGTGTTTCCAGAGGAGACTGGCGTGGGAGTTGGTGGACTGAGTAGGGAAGATCTGCCCTCAATGTGAGTGGCACCATCCAATGGGCCTGGATAGAACAAAAAAGGTGTCTCTCTCCCGGAGCTGAGACACCCTCCTCTTGCCTTCACACGTTAGTACTCCAGGCCTTCCAGCCTTTGGACTCTAGGACTCACACATGGCTCCCTGGGTTCTTAGGCCTTTGGCCTTGAATTGAGCTGTGCCCCGGCATCCCCGGGTCTCCAGCTTGCAGACTGCCGACTGCGTATTGTGGGTCTTTCAGCCTCCATGATCGCTGTGAGCCAGTTCCCCAAATGAATCCCCTCTCATGCATTTCCATATGTACATCCTATTGGCTCTGTCTCTCTGGCCAACTCTGACTAATACATTTTGTCCGTTGGCATGTGCTTGCTCAAAGATGGACTATCTTCCCCCTCAAGCCACCGTTTCTCATGGGAAACTCCCCTGTTTCTCATGAGATCCCCCATTCATCCAGGGAGCCTTGGGGTGCTTCAGTTTCTTTCACAATCAGGGAGTCACCAAGCGCTGCCGAGGGCTTCTCTGCTAAGGATGCCCGTTGTCTCCCGGCCTGCTCTCAAGGGAACCCCACAGCTTCTCTCTCACCCTTCCCTCTCCCAGATGGCGAAGGTCTAACCTGGTCAGTGCCTGATGGGAAGGGCCTGGAACCGAGCCTTTCCTGAGAGGGCTCCTGTTTCTCCCTGTGCCTTCCTCAGACCATGCCAACTGGGGTCCCCACTCGCCTCCCCAAGAGAGGCCCCTGCCTGTGCTTGTTTTCAGGACGAGCTCCCTTACTCATCCGGAGCAGCGTCCAGGCCCGCAGGACTGAGCACACCCTGGCATCTCCAGTGTGGGCTCAACGGGGCTGGGTCTTCTAGTTGTGCTTTTCTTTGTGATGGTCCCGCCAGGTGGAGCTGCATGTACTTATTGTGGCTGAAACACATGGTTTTGTTTGTTTGTTTGTTTGTTTGAGACGGAGCCTCACTCTGTTGCCCTGGCTGAAGTACAGTGGCAAGATCTCAGCTCACTGCAAGCTCTGCCTCCCAGGTTCAAGCAATTCTCCTGCCTCAGCCTCTCAAGTAGCTGGGATTACAGGTGTGCACCACCACGACCGGCTAATTTTTTCGTCTTTTCAGTAGAGATGGGATTTCGCCATGTTGTCCAGGCTGGTCTTGAACTCCTGACTTCTGGTGATCCGCCTGCCTCTGCCTCCCAAAGTGCTGGGATTACAGGCGTGAGCCACCCTGCCTGGCCTGAAACATGTTTTTTTCCAAAAGAGACTGTTGTTAATTGTTCCCAGGACCACAGTCTGGAACACTCCAAAAAATACCCTTGCCGCCTTCAGATCTTTCTTAGGCTACAAGAGAAATACTTTCGAGACCATCCTGGCCAACATGGTGAAACACCATCTCTACTAAAAATACAAAATTAGCAAAGCATGGTGGCGTGCCTGAAGTCCCAGCTACCCGGGAGGCTGAGGCAGGAGAATTGCTTGAACCCGGGAGGCTGTGGTTGCAGTGAGCCAAGATGGCACCACTGCACTCCAGCCTGGGCAACAGAGTGAGACTCTGTCTCAAAAAAAAAAAAAAAAAAAAAAGGAATACTTTCAGATGGTCCTTCTTGGCAGGAATGAGTTCCATCCTGGCCTAGGGTCTTTACCTTGCCCTGAATCTCTTTGTGGGTCACCAAACTTATGGACTGACCAGGCTGGGCCTTGTACTTGGCTGGACCCATGCTGCCTGGCTCCCGAGCCCTTTGCATTAGGCCTTCCCAGCATTTGTTCTTCATCCCTCCTTGGTGGCAACCCTGTTTGCCTGGTGTCCCCGGTGACACCTGGCACTGTGTGTGTTCAGGAGGTGGGCAATAGAGCCCGATGCCTGGCTCTGATTCCTCTTCTGTCCCCCATAGCTGCATGATCTTGGGCGAGCTGCTTAACCTTTCTGTAAACCTCATCAGTAAGCTGGAGTTGCTGGCACTGGCCTCACGGGTCCTTGTGGAGATTACATGACTTGGTTCTTGTCGGGACTTAGAACTCCCTGTGGCATGCAGAGGCCCTGAGGGATGGCTAAGTGCTATTGTTATTATTACTGCCTGTGAGCTGTAGTGCACACACAAAATGTGTCCTTAAGCGAAGTGACAATATTGTGATCTTGTTTTTCAACTCATTACTTTGCCTCCACGTTAATGAGCCGCCCTAGCAGTTCTCAAATTGTAGCCCAGAAGGCTTGTTAAGTACACAATGCCTGGCCCCACCCACAGATCTGGGTGAGTCTGAGATTCTGCCTTTCTAAGGACTTCCTTGGGGCTGCAGCCGCTGCTCCTCATTGGGCACTTTGAGAACCACTGCTCTGTGGGGTGTGTGCCCTGTGCGCGCCTGTGTGTGCCTGTGTGAATGTATGCCTGTGTGAATGTGTGTGTGTTTGTGCGTTCGTGTGTGTGCCTGTGTGCACGCAGGTGCCTGCATGTGTGTGCCTGTGCTTAGATGTGTATGCCCGTGTGGATGCATGCGTGTGTGCAGGTGTGCCTGTGCCTTCTCATGGCCCAGGTGAGCTGCCAGCAGTTACCCGCACCCCCACCTCAGTTAGCCCTCGGTGTGGGGCACAGGAGCCCAGGTTGGAAGCTGTAGGAACTCGGGGTCCTGTCTTTGGGCACAGCCTGGTGAACCGTGGTCTTTGTTCCCCAGGTGCTTCAGTGGAGCAGGCCATGGCCAACCTTTGTTTCTTCTTCCAGCGGGAGGATTAGGACCGGATTCTGGGTGGGAAGCAGCCTTGGTTTTTATTTGCTGGGCTTGGCGGCCTATATCCGGAGGACCTGTGGTCGTCGTTTCCACCCTCTCCCCCTCCTTCTCCAAGTTAACCCCTTTATTTTCTCCTGTTCATTTCAACAGGATTTATGCTTGATTAAGTTACTCTCTTTTATCATAATTAAAGAAAAATGTGGTGGGAGAGCGCTAAATACTCCGTTCAATGAAAACCAGATTGTTGAACCTGCAGGGAAACAAGGGCTGCCCTGTGGCTCCAGGCCCCTCCCAGGGAGATTGATCGCTGGGAGCTGTGGGGAGGGGGCGGAGGGGAGGGGATTTAAGCTCCTCAGGGAGGAAGTTGCCTGCTCCTGCCGGCCCAGAAGACAGGGGCCTGCCTCCGGGCTTGCCACCCCCTCGTCCTGGGTCCTGCCTAGCAGCCGGTGTGTAACATCTCACTCCTGACGCAGTCAGGCACTGCTCTGCACACAGGCCCTGGATTTATAAAGGCCTTTTTCTCATGGTGCCTGCGAGTCTCCTGCTGTAGAACACGACCTACTGGAATGTTTTTAAAAAGTGTGTTTTTAGTTGACTCAGTTCCTCATGCTGGTCGCAGTTGCTCATAAAGGCAAGGCTGTGTAAAAATCCTGCCGAAGCCCTGGCAGTCACAAAGCCCTTGCTCCAAGCTGGGACCTGGAGTGGCGGGGCGGCGAGGCCCCACCGCCTGCCCAGTGAGGTCAAGCCTGGCTGCGGGTGGTTCCTGTGCAAAAGGGAAGGCTGCCTTCATGTTGCTTAGGAAATTGTTTCTGTAATATGTGTAGGATTCTAAAAATGGTTAGACCTGTGTAGTTGGATGGGAGGGGAGGAGGTGATGACTGCAGGCTGGGTGGCCTCCCCGATGGTCACTCGTGAAACAAGATGGCAGGTTCAGGAGCCATGGTCTAGTCTCCTCTCTGCCACACTGCACATAAGTGTGCATGGGCACCTGGTGAAGGGGTTGTTTTAGGGGATGGGAGTGAACACAGGCTCTGGGAGTGAACACGGATTCTGGAGACTCAAGACAGGGGCCCTGCCACTTACCAGTAGTAGGGTGACCTCAAGTGAGTACCTTAGTAGAGAATGGTGGAATTTGTTCCTCGTCCATTGTGGATGGTTAAAATAATACCCCTGGCATGGGACTGTTGTGGGGACTCTATGAGCTTGAGCAGTGAGGCAGCCAGCACAGCAAGCATCCCAGTGCATGTTGGGAATTGCCATTGTTATGGGCCATCTGTTTAGGAGGTAGAGCCTCAGACAAGGACATCGTATTTGTCAGCTCAGTCTGCCGTAAGTACCCCAGACTGGGCAGCTTAAACAACGTTCATTCTCTCACAGCCCTGGAGGTGGAAGTGTGAGATCAAGGTGTCAGCAGGGTTGGTTTCTCCTGAGGCCTTGCTCCTTGGCTTGCAGTTGGCTGTCCTCTCCCTGACTCATCACGTGGTCGTCCCTCTGTGTGTGTCTGTGTCATCTCTTCTCCTTATAGGACACCAGTCAGGTTGGGGTAGGGCCCACTCATATGACCTTGTTTTTACCTTAATCTCCTCTTTAAAAGTCTGTCTCCAAATGCATTCTAAGGTACTAGGAGTTAGGGCTTCAGCCTGTGAATTTTGGAGGAACACAATTTAGCCCAGACATGCAATTTAACTTACAGCATTTTGAGCATATTAAGGTCTCGTTTTGTTGCCCAGGCTAGAGTGCAGTGGTGCAACCACAGCTCACTGAAGCCTCCACCTGCTGGGCTAGGTGATCCTCCTGCCTCAGCTGCACAAGTAGCTGGGACTACAGGCACACACCACCATGCCTGGCTAATTTTACTTTGTTCGTGGAGACAGGGTCTTGCCATGTTGCCCAGGCTGGTCTCAAACTCCTGGCCTCAAGCCCACCTCAGCCTCCTGAGTTGCTGGGATTACAGGCTTGAGCCACTGCACCCAGCTTATTTATGGGTTACAAGGACAATTCGTTTTTCTTTTAAATTTACTTTTTGTTGGGAAGTCCCAACAAATGCTAGGAAGACCTAGCATTCCAAGATTTTATGGGTAACCTCTGGAACCTGTTTATTTCTGCCTCTCTGGCTCACTGGGGGCTCCTGGAACCCAGAGCCCCAGGATCATTCTGGTGGTGCGGCCCCGGTGCCTCACCCGGCCGGCAGGTGTATCAGACTTCTGTGCAGCAGTGTCTCTTGGGGGTGCTGACCCCAAGGCCGCCCTGGTCCCTCCTCTCTGAGGTAGCATCCCAGAGTTGTGTAGTTACGCTGGTCCTCTGCTTCCAGATGCTTCTCCCCCATACCACCCCCATTCCCCTCATCCATGCCACCATGTCATGATGTCCGTAAACCAGCAGCCAGAGGAGGAAGCCTGTTCACACTGCTCCCCGCTGGGGAGAAGCATTCCTCCAGCAAAGGCAGGCTGATTGCCCCTGGGTGTCCCTTCCTTCTCTAAGATGCTTACCCTGCCACTGGGGGCAGGAAACTGGGGGTGGAGGTCACTGTTCCATGGAAAGGGCTGTTCCAGTGCTGTGGGAGATGAACCTTCACCCCTCCCTTCTCGGCCTGGGATCAGGACTTTTCAGCCTGCATGATCTCCCGACCTCGCCTAGGGCCAGGCTGCCCTGGCGGGAGGGCCGAACGCCGTGCCCTGATCTCTCTGGGCTGAGTCCTGTCTCAGGAGCACTTGTCATGCACGCTCAGACACTCCTGTGGGAGGAAAGTTGCAGGGCCTGGGCTTTCTGGGCACGTGCTGCTCTCTTGCTAGGAGTGAGGATGGATGGACTCTAGGAGCAACTATTAGCAATCCAGCAGGAGCTTCCTCCAGCCTGCGAGCATTGAGTCTAATGTGAACGTGGGTCCTGTGGGATAAGGGGAGGCACTTGTTGGGATGGGGTGTGGGGTGATAATTTGACTTAAAGTTAAGATATTTTTAAGAGTAATTAAGTTAAATTTTATGTTCACGAGGCCTACAGAACAGTTCCATTCTCCTGAAAATGTTGTTTGAAGCATTTTAATATCAGTTGTAATATAAGCTATTGATGTGTCTTTTCATTTGCCTTTACTAAAATATTGGAGGCATATCTTCTAGTTACTAATTATTCTAATTGATGGATTAAAGTAGTTTTTAAAATAAAAGGCTTTGCTAATTCCCTGCTGGCTCATCCAAGCCAAATGGCCGGTGGCAATGCTATTTAAACAGCACTCTACCATTCAAACCTTACCTCTAACGAGAGGCAAAGCAGTGAGGTCTTATTCTAAAAGTGCATGTGTAAGTGGTTTTGCTTGATCCAGCGTTTAGGTCTGAGACCTCCAGCTTACCAACCGCCTTCCACTTTGCAGCCCTCTCAGAGGCAGCGGAGACTCCAGGGCCCTGAGATTCTGATCCTGCACTCCTCCTATCACGTGACCTCGGCTCCTTAAAAGAGGACACTTGCTCTTAATTTTCTTGTCTACAAAACTGGGGCAGCAATAGGAAGGCCAGTCTCCTTCACTGAGGGATTCCGGGTAAAATGAAATGACTGCCTCATTACCTTGCAGTGACAACTCTGCAAATGGAGTACTGTCTTTGAACAGAAGGTCAGCAGCAGCAGAGTGTGCTGTCTGTGCTTGTCTGTGACAAGAAAAGACCATGCCAGTCAAGTCTTGGTCGTTATGTAGTGGAGAGTGTTGCCATTGGCCCCTATCCTACGCCTCACCACCTCCTGCAGGCTGCTGACTCCACGCCCTTGTGACTTGGTCACAGGACTTTCCTGGCCAGGGTACTTGGTCTACAGGCAAGGTACAGTCGGGTGCTGGGAGCCAGTGCATCCCCCTGCTATCAGCAATCCTCCAACAATAAGCCCTCATTGGGTAGTGAATGCTCCAGCTGCCTTGCCTATGGGGGTGGGCAGCTCTGAGACGTAGGGTCTGTGTGGCCTCCCACAGGGGCCCAGTGTCTTGCGTGGTGTTGCCCATAGCAGGAACCTACTCATGCACTACCTCTGGGCCTCTTCCCCTTCTCCTCTCCTTCCTACTCCACTTCAGGGCCCCCTGGCTTCATCTCCCAAATGCACTCTGGATTGACTTCTTGGGGAGCCCAATCTATGATGGAAATATTACAGATATTGGCCAAGGAACACTTTGTTCCTCAGCGTCTCATGCACCCTCACTCTGCTCACAGCTTGCTGCTTCCTTTTAGATTTCATGTCTCTCTGCCATTTCCCACAGTCCTTGCTGCCCACAGCCCCATCAGGCCGAGTTGAATATTCATGCATGAAAATTTGACCAACTCGGCTCTTCATGCGCTACTGTCACAGCATCAGCCCGGGCACTGTAGATTCTCAGAGTGGGATGTCGAGTGGGACGTGTCCTGTTGTCTTGAATTAGCAGCCAGTACCCAGAGTGAGGACCAAGGGGGTGAGGTAGCCCTTGGTCTCAGGAGCACTGCCTGTCATAGGGGTGGATACTACTCCTCGGGGCTTCAGAGCGGGTCCTGCACCCACCTGAGTCTCTTGTGTTGATCAGGGTGTAGTGGAGGGCTGGAGGCTGGACAGCACCTGCCCTCCCAACTTGACTTGTCACAGTACTGTGTCTGCAAAGGCCATCTATGTGGAGCCACACCTCCCGGGACCTTCTGCTTCACTCTGCCCCGGTGCCACCTTTTTGACCCCAGGCTGTGTCCTCTGGTGCCACCTCCCCTCCTTCTTCCACCTCACCTGTTGGGGCCACCTTACCTATTCACAGCACGGTCACCTTTCCCAGTAACTCTGGTTGGGTCGTTAAACTCGCCCGCCCTCTGGCCGTTGAGTCCTGGTGCCCTCTGATCAGGCCCATCCCGGAGGAGCCCTGCTGTTTTGGTCTCCGGACTCAGGCCTGGCAATCCCAGGGGCAAAGGCCCAACCCCAGGCATAGATCAGACCCCTCATGCCTCAGCCCCAGTCCCCAGCCAGTCTCCCACAGCCTGGCTGCCTCATCGCCTTGCTCTGGGGCTGGTCCTCCACGCTCCATGGTGGTTATTTTTACCCTCACCCCCGCCCACAACCTCGCGCTCCGCCAGCCTTTCTGGAGTGTGCTCACAGAGCATGCGCTGAAGAGGGAGCAAGGAAGGTGGCGAACGCAGGAGGGGCAGCCGTGTCCAGTGCTGCACTGTGTCCGGTGGCAGAGGCCTGTGCCAGTGGGAAGGTCAGAAATCTCCCTTCTCTTCACTCTCTTCAGAGGAGAAAGAAGTCTTCAGAAGGGGAATCCCCCAAGTTCTTGGTCCATTTTCCTATAGGCATCCTTGTCCTCTTCTTTCCTGTTAGGATAGGAATGATTTCTTTAACTTTTTGAAGACAGTGCCTTGGCCTGTTACACGGACCCTATTTTTTACCGACTTCTTATGGACTTACATTGTGTGTGTGGGTGTGTGTGTGTGTGTGTGTGTGTGTTTGTGTGTTTTCCATTTATTTGTAACTCTGCCCTTTCAACTGAATCCAGATGGGCTCAAGTTCCCTGGTGTGAAGAGAAGACAAAATGCTGCCCTCCGCACCTCTTTCAGGAAATCCTCCTGTATTATATTTTGAATGCAGCTCCCTCCACCATCTGGGATGGAGTCATTGCTTTACAGCAGTCATAGCTGCTGTCATGAAAGATGAAGCTGGTCTCCAGGACACTAGGAGGTTGCAAAGAGCCACATGAGTTTATTGGATATGACAGAATTTCTCCAAGTGGGGAAGCTAAATTAAGCAAATGGTAAGTATACATTTTGTAAAATGATAAAACTCTCATTAGTTGTGGTTGGTTCAGTTGTCTATTTAGAAAATGCAAGGGACTCAACTGAAAATGTTAGCACCAATACAGAGATGTAGTATGTTGGCTGGAGGATTCAGGACCAACTTAGAAACATCAGTGGCATTTTTATATATCTGTAACCATAAAAATAAGTAATAGAAAAAAAACCAGTAGCAGCAAAGCCATTCAGATACCCAGGAATAACCTTAGTGAGAAAGGCACAACACTCCTGAGACTTCACTGAAAAATTTGAAAGAAGATTAGACTAACTGGAGAAGAAAACCCTATTGTCTTTTTTTTTTTTTTTTAACAGAGTCTTGCACCGTCACCCAGGCTGGCGTGCAATGGTGCCATCTCGGCTCACTGCAACTTCCGTCTCCCAGGTTCACGCGATTCTCCTGTCTCAGCCTCCCGAGTAGCTGTGATTACAGGCGCGCACTACCACATCCGGCTAATTCTTTGTACTTTTAGTAGAGACAGGGTTTCGCTCTGTTGGCCACACTGGTCTGGAACTACTGACCTCATGATCTGCCCGCTTCGGCCTCCCAAAGTGCTGGGATTACAGGCATGAACCACCATGCCCGGCCAGAAAACCCTATTGTTAACGGGAAAGTAATATTGTAACGATATCTGTTCTCCCAAAATTAAAATACAAATTTAATACAGTTCCAACTAGCACCCCAGTAAGTTATTTTATAGAATTTGGCTTGCTGTTTCTGAAGTCCACGTAGAACTGAAAATGAGCAAGAAGAACCAAGACAGAAAAAGTGAAATTATCGTGAGAACCTTGCTCTACCCAGTGTCAAAATGTATTGTCATAATTAAATAGACAAATAGATCAAAAGAAGAGAATAGATAATCCACACACAGACCTATGGAATATATGGAATTTTTTTTCTTTTTCTTTTCTTTTCTTTTTTTTTTTTTTGAGACGGAGTCTTGCTCTGTCGCCCAGGGTGGAGTGTGCAGTGGCGTGATTTCAGCTCACTGCTAGCTCCACCTCCCGGGTTCAAGCGATTCTCCTGCCTCAGCCTCCTGAGTAGCTGGGACTACAGGCATGTGCTACCATACCTGGCTAATTTTTTGTATTTTTAGTAGAGATGGAGTTTCAACGTGTTAGCCTGGATGGTCTCGATCTCCTGACCTCTTGATCCATCTGCCTCGGCCTCCCAAAGTGCTGGGATTACAGGCATGAGCCACCGCGCCCGGCCGGAATCTATGGAATTTATTAAGTGATAAATTCACTCACTTTTCCAATGAGTGGGGAAATAGTGAAGTTTTAAATAAATGATGTTAGAACAATTGAGTGTGCCTTTGGGAGAAGATCATATTAGACATCTGTTTTAATACCAGTCACCCCCTGAAAAAAATAGATGAGAATTTGTTTATGACATTGAGGTAGGAAAATCGTTCTTAATAAGTCAACAAGAACTGTAATAGAAATAATTGGTAAATCTTAATAGAAGCCCTATTGAAGGGGCAAAGGACAATTTTTAAAGGGATTCTCAAAAAATAATATATAAATAGTAAAATTAGAGAAGAGACTCATCTTTGCGAGTTACGTTAATTTCCTCTGGCTGCTGTGACCAATACACACTTAGTTGCTTAAAACAAGACAAATTTATCCCCTTACAGTTCTGCAGGCCAGAAGTCTAGCCTGGGTGGGTGTGGCCTCACAGCCCCACAGCCTCTTCCCATTTCCTGGCCTTCTCTGGCTTCCAGACCCACCTGGGTTCATGGCCCCTTGTCCATCTTCAGAGCCAGCAGCATGGTTTCCCTGTCTCCTTCCCTTTGCTTCAGCGTCACAGTCTTTTCTTGTGGTCCTGAAGGACCTTTGTGGGTACTTTGGGCCCACCTGATTGTCCAGGGTCGTCTCTTCATCTCAGGATTCTTAATTTAATCACACCCACAAAGTCCCCTTAGCCATGTAAGGCCACATGGTCACAGGTTCTGGGGATTACAATGTGGCCATCTTGGGTGGATCCTTACTCTGTCTTCCACACTATATTAGGAAACATAAAATAACATAAGTTATGATTTCTAACTATATTAGCAGGGTTTAAGGTGAGGGTATGGGGAAATGGGCATTTTAATAAACTGTGGAGTATAGATTACCACATCCACTTTGGAGGACAGTCAGCTGTCCTTAAAATCAATAACAGGTGCACCCACAAACCCAGTAATTCTGTGTCTTGGGATTTGCCTTCCAGACATACTGAGCTCAGGGCACAGAGAAGTCGATATGAGGATATTCATAGCAATGCTGTTTGTGGGAGAAAAAGAAATAACTTAAGTGTTTATTGCTTTGGAAATGACCAGAAAACCAACTCATAAATATGGAATATTAGTGCTAGGGAATATTACACAGCAATGAAGAAAATGAGGTGACTCAAACCTCAAAGATCTCCAAGTAGCATGCAGATAGTGATGCTATTTAGGCCAAACAACATGTTCAAAACACGATATTCCTACAGGCAGAGGAAGATTTGAAAGCGTAAATGACACAGTACTAACTGGTTCTATCTGGGGAGGTTGAAGTCATGTCCAAGAGACTTCAGCTTTATCTACAAGTGTGACTCAAAGAGAGGAGTGTATTCACGTAATACTTGCATAGTATAAAAGAAAGTTTCAAATGTAAGGGTATAATGAAACACAATAAAGGGCATAATGAAACAAAAGGTCAGATATTCTGTAGTAATCTCCAGAAGTCCACATTCTTTAGGAAATCAAATTTGATTCTAGGGCTGTGGATTACATATGAACATGGCCATGTGGCCTAGGGTGGGAATCAGGGTCAGAGCCCAGGGTTCTTTCTAGCCGGCTTCCTTGGAAGTGTTAGTTTTAACAGGAAAGTTGAAGAGAAGAGGGGAGCTTGGAAGCACATCTTTGAAAGTGAAGAGATTGCGTTTTCGCCAGTCAAGATATTTTCCATGTGGCAGTTTATTTCTACCTACAGGGCCCCTTTATTTGATCTCTTGTTCTCTTTCCTCACCCCTGGATTGATTCTCCATGTTGAAATCAAGAAAAGCCTGGGAATCTCATCTGACCGTAGTTGGGAGGTAAAGAAGAGCTTGTGGGAACATTTCCTGTGATTCTCTTGAAATTACAAAACCACTCAAGAAAGGGTTTGGTCCCATGGTAAGGTTGGCCAAGGTGATCTCAAGCAAGCCCTAGAGTCACTTCCGAAGTGTGGGCACCTGCTAGACATGCCTGCTAGATATCTGTTCGGATGGGATGATGGAGGGTGGTCGCTGTGGAACTGCACTTAGGGCTGGGGAATGTTTCCCTGTAGACTCACTGCAGTCCATTGTAAGAGTCCTGATGTTCCTAGACAATAATACCTTTTAAGGAATTGTAATTGCTTTAAAAATCTCCAAACACTAGAATGTGTATCTCCCCTTTGTATGCTACCTGGATAATAGTATAAACATGTTCCCAACTCTCAGCCAGCATGAGTCTAGTACAGTATTTCAACTACAGCCTTAGGTCCAACTGTTTTTTTTTTTTTTTTTTTTTTCTTCCCCCCTGAGACGGAGTCTCACTCTGTCGCCCAGCCTGGAGTGCAATGGAGCGATCTCAGCTCACTGCAACCTCTGCCTCCCAGGTTCAAGCGATTCTCCCTGCCTCAGTCTCCCGAGTATCTGGGATTATGGGCATGCACCACCACACCTGGCTAATTTTGTATTTTTAGTAGTGTTTCGCCATGTTGGCCAGGCTGGTCTTGAACTTCCGACCTCAGGTGATCCACCCAACTCGGCCTCCTAAAGTTCTGGGATTACAGGCATGAGCCACCTTGCCTGGCCCCAAATGTTATTTTTAAAAAATTAAGCGTTAGCCAGATTGATTAAAACACAGATGGCACTGAGCAGAGCCCCCATATATCTACGTCCATCATCTGATGCCCTGCCTCCAGATGGGTGGACAGACAGAGGTCCACTCCTTTTCTGAAAAACCAGCAGAGTTTACATACAGCTCCGCTCCCCTGGTTTAATTTAATTTAATTTCCATGCTTCACTGTTAATACTGACCTTCAAGGTAGGGGATTCGCAGGAAAAGAGTTCTTTGTCAGCTTATTGAATGGCATTCTGTCTTGATTAGGACTGGCATGCATACGTTATCAGAAGTAGAAATCAAGAAATAGCATCAAACCAACATATTTCCTTGTTATGTTTTGGTAAAATCACATCCATTTCCATGGTGAGAGAAGACTCGAGTATCCTTGGTTTTGTGCCCCAGGTGATAAGGCTCTTCAAGTTTCTGCTTGCTCTGAAAGATTCCACAATATAAATAACTTTCTTTAAAAGGCTCATCTGTTTCACATTTTGAGACAGTTTCTGTACTGCCAGGCAGAGCTGCTAGCCAGGAGTTCTGCTGAAGCTGGCTCCTGCATCCTTCCCGTCCTGGAGAGTGAGTCTGCGTGGGTGTTTCCTGCAAGATCAAAGCCTGACTTGAGCTTGGTCGAGCGGAACTTGAGTTCTGGGGAGTGTGATTCTTGGTGGCAGCGAAGACGTGAAGGATGTCTTCCTGCGACCAGCATCTCCTGGCCGGCAAGGGCAGGATCCATCATGTGCTGGGAGTGGGGTTCATTCTCAGGCCTGCTCTCGACCCTCAGCCCTGGCAGGCTGCACACGGAAATGAGAAAAGCGGCTCTGGAGGAGAGCTGGGGTGCAGTTGGGTCCCGCCTGCCTGGGCTTACTTTGAAAGACTGGAACTGTTGCTGTATGAGCTGGCTCCTGCAGGGCCTCCTCTGGCGCCCTCAAGTCTCTTTATGTGGGAAGTGGGGGGACTGCATTAGGGAGCCCTTTCTGGGGGAGTATATGTGTGGTATGCAAATGAAGCCTGCTTCCCATGTTTTGGTGCCTTGTACAGAGGAGCAAGGGGGCGTCGAGGGACCTGGCAGTAGATCTTGTCTGCAAAGGACTACCTCTGGAATTTGGGGAGATGGTAGCGAGGCCTAATGAGGGGTCCAGGAGGGAGGGAAAGTGGCCTCCCAGAGGGGTCAGGCTTTCTGTCCAGTGGGACAGGCACTTCTCCCGTCTTTCTGGTTCTAAGTCTGTCTGTGCTGTCTGCAGACCTGCACATACTGATGCCTTAAAGCTCTCATTTCATTTCTCTGTTGAATCTTGCTTTAAGAAGGATGGGGCCACACCCACCTTGAGCCCACATTCCCTCCTTGTAGTCATCCTCCATCTTCCCCCATTTCCCCCCGGCCCAATCCATGCCATTTGTGTCTGTGAGCCTTTGCATGTGCTGTTCCCTCAGCTTGTGATGTCTGCAGCTCTGCCCCATGGTGAATCCATGCGGTACCCTGTGGTTATCTGGGTACCAGAAGGGCACCTCTTCTTAAACATGTCTATAGCCGCTTTGACAGATAATTTCTGGAGGCACAGTTCTGTTCCTGAAGTCATTGATATTTGAGCCCCATCTGCCCTAGAAGGCAACGGAGTGGTACCTGAAAAGACAGACTCCAGCCCAGTGGCTTTCCAAGGGTCTTCTCCAGAGCTCTGGAGTTCAAACAAGGTTCAGGGACCACCGCAAATGAGGTTCAGGGACCACCGCAGAGGGTGCTTATCAGGGGGCTGAGGGTACAGGCAAGACTCGAAACTTGAAATCCGAAACCTCTGGCCTGCTTGAATGGAGCAGCTCCATTGCATTGTGGTTACTGAGGTTTCTCCTGAGATTTCCTTGAGAACCTTCAATTCTCTGCAGAAAGTCTGCTCTGTAGGCTCCAGATGCCCTGACAAAGCACCGAGACTGGGCGGCTTAAACAGCAGACATTGATTTCCTACAGTTTGGAGGCTGGAGGTCCATAGTGAAGGTGTTAGCAGATTTGGTTTCTGGTGAGGGCTCTCTTCTTGGCTTGTAGATGGCCGCCTTCTCACTGCATCCTCATGGGGTGGAAAGAGTGAGTGCCAGTGTCTCTTCCCCTTCTTGTAGGATGCCAACTATATTGAATTGGAAGCTCCCTTTTGTCCCTTTTAACCTTGACTGCCTCCCTACAGGCCCCGACTCCAAACACCGTCTTACTGAGGTTCAGGCTTTGACATATTTTGTGGGGACACGCCTCAGTCCATGGCAAAGCCTGTAATCCACTCTACAGTATTCCAAGCTTTAAGATGAAGAGACAGGCTTAACTTCTCAAGGTCGTCCAGAGAGAGAACAGCAGGCCTTGCCTGGGCCCCATTGTTGTAGAAGCCCAGCCGGGAGGCATCCTGGGGTTGGTATCACCCAGTGGCTCCCTGTGTGAGTGTTAGTCACCTCTGGCTGCAACCACCATGGGATTGCTTCTTCTGCCAGCTGCTTCTCAGTGGGGACTGTGGTGGTGGTTGCATCCGTGTAGACATTTGTCAGAGCTCTTCATAAGGTACACCTATTTTTTTTTTTTTTTTTTTTTTTTTTTTTTTGAGATGGATTCTTGCTCTGTTGCCCAGGCTGGAGTGCAGTGGCATGATCTCAGCTCACTGCAACCTCCACCTCCTGGGTTCAAGCAATTCTCCTGTGTCGGCTGAGTAGCTGGGATGATAGACACCTGCCACCATGCCCGGCTAATTTTTGTATTTTTAGTAGAGATGGGGTTTCGCCATGTTGGCCAGGCTCTTCTCAAACGCCTGACCTCAGGTGATCCGCCCGCCTCAGCCTCCCACAGTGCTGGGATTACAGATGCGAGCAACCGCGCCCAGCCTGGGTGTGTGTTATTATATGTAGATTATACCCCAGCAAAGCTGATTAAAACCATGCTTTGGTGTGAGCATGCTTTGGGTGTGCATGAGGGTGGGGGTTGGCTTCTGAAAGGTGCTGACTGGGAACTCCCCTAGTGCATATGCTTGTCCTGTGGTGAGTTTTGGGTAAGAATTAGATGGGATGGTGCGCTGGTATGGATGTCTCTCTGAACATCCTCTTGCCTGGGATCCACACAGTGAGATCACCTGAAAGACTTGGATTTGGGGGCAGGCATGGCCTTGTGGCTCTGGCTGGTTGCAGCATCCCTAGAAGAGACTTACCAGGTGGTCAGGGCCTGGCTTCCCCAGGACAGGCTCTCACCCTGGGCAGCCCAGGCCCTACACTGGGAGTGAGGGTGCTGGGTGGTGGGGAGGGGTGCGTGCAGAGGCTTTCACTGTGCTCTTGAGTCGCTGGACAGAGGGCCCTTTTCTGAGAAAGTTTCCTCATTACACCTTGGGCGTAGGGTGGGGAGGGCAGAAAATACAAAACTGCCCCTCCCCTTACAGGCCACCGTAACTTTCTCTGCTGGATTGGATTCATAATTTTGAACTGTGTCATGAATGCATTTTGCTTTGTCTGGCAATCTTTTGCAAACCATGAAATAGTTGCTTTACATTAGGATGCGTGTGTAGAAAATGCAGGAATGACATTTCCCCTTCCCGCACCCCCTTCCCCCCGCCCCGCCTTCCCTGTCCCATGGGAGCATGCAAGGACCTGGGGCGAGGCTTGCTATTCTGTATACCGTGGGGGAGTATAGAAAATCATTACTAAACACAGCCTTTTTGACCCGTGAACTTATTCAGCTTCTGGTTTTCTTTTCAACCTTCCTAACAGTGTAGGTTCTGGTAGCCACGAACCTATTACACCTATTAAGACAACATCCCGCCAGTATGGGGGCTGGACATGGGGCCCATCCGGGGCTGCAGTTCTTTAGGACAACTTTGAGCAAGTTCAGCCCCAGCCGCTGCCTCCTAAAACTAAGAATATCGTACAGTGGATTTCAGATTTGCTGTGGACTGAATTGCGTCCTTCCCAAAATTCATATGTTCTCTTCAGACACAGAGAGAGCCTGATATTTGGAGGACGGCAGGAGGAAGTAAAACCACAGCCTGCGTGACAGCAAGTGGCACGAAGGAGGCGGTGTCTTTGGGGCTGGCAGCTCCCTGGGCGAGGAACAAGCGCTGGTCTGTGGAAGGTGCAGGAGCGTGGAGGCCGAGAGCCCATCTTGTGTGCCGGCCCAGAGGAGGCCCCCAGGAACCTGCAAACAGTGTTTCTTTGTGCTCTCGGATCCCAGGACAGACGACCTGAAACTGGTAGCTAGAAGTCTAGCCACCAGGCAGCAGTTTAAATCAAAATAATCACTTTAAGAAACGGTAGGGAACTTTGCTGGAGAACCATTTCCTCCACCCTGAAATAGGAAAACACATTCTGATTTATGCTGCTGGCTCAGGGCAGCTTGCTGAAACGTGTGCAGCTCCGCGTTTGATGGCCCCCTCCCTTCATCCGCCCCGCTGCAGGGATGAAAAAGCATTTAGAAGGAGAGTGTGGGGACGGCCGTTAGTGCCAGAGTGGCTGTTGAAAGGCCCCGCTCTGCAGGAAAGTGGCCTTCAGAGGCCAGAGGTGCAGACAGCAGGGCCGGCATCCCAGGGTTGGGAGCAGCTGGAACCAATGTGGGGGTTGGTTGTGTTTTGAATTGAGATTTTTAGAAAAACTCTGCCAAGCCCTTCTAACTAAACGAGGTCACTCATTCCTCAATGAGAAGCAGACATGGTCCAGCCAGGCGGGGCATGTGCAGACTCTGGAGCCGGGGGTGGTGCCACGGGGCTTGTCTCTACTGGGGCTCCTCCTGCTGCCCCTGTGTTCCCTGTGATTTATCACCTGCAGACATCGACATGCATGCGGAGGAACTGTAGTTGTGTGGAGTCTCTAGACATATAGTAATTTCTAAGTGCGAGCAAGCTAGTGGGATTGGGGGTCACAGCCCTTTAGGAGAAGTCCATTTTCTCCTTACAAAGCAGAGAATTGAAGTCAGCAGCCCCTACTCCCCACCTGCGCCTCTCATCTAGATCAGCATTTCTTAAAGGCACTGAGGGCTGTCAGGAAGGACGTATTATGTCGGAAATAAGAACATTTCTGGAAAAATAAGTCTAGGATACAACAGACTGTCTTGATGGGGCCATCTGAGTCTTTAACCTGGTCATGCACCTGACCTGCCCCACGGGGGAGCGTGGAGGGCCCTCTGGCTCAGACCCCACTGACTTTAGGGCTCCTGGACAGCACCTGCTTGTGTTCTGAGGCCCTCATTCCAGGGGAGCCATGAGAGGTTGAGGACATCCTCTAGTTCCTGTACGTGTCTTCAGGGTCTTTGCAGGGCCGCAGGCCACTGTGTTTTTTCTGTATTCCCTGGATAACTGGCTGCTCCCTCCAGCTCCAACATGCTCTTTCCCTCCTGCGCATGTAAACACATTCTCTGTGGGTTTTTTTTCTCTCATTTTTGCTTCTAGTTGTTCTCTTTTAAATTCATATCCTTTTAGCAAATAGTTTGTAAATGTAAAGAGGAAAAGAAACCCCAGAGTGCCCCATCTGAGGGGCTCACGTGCAAGGGTGTTTAGGCAGCTCTCAATTGGGAGCATCTGTGTTTTCACCTCTGCTCGAGAGAGGGGGAAGACACCTCTTGAGGGGATGCCCCCCTCACCACTGCTGCAGGAAAGCAAAGAGCTGCAGAGAATTAGGTGGCACCTGTGTGCCAGCTGGATGCAGAGCAGCACATCAGTGACAGGTGGCTGGAGGTGGCCTCTGGGCTCTCGGGAAAGGAGGAGGGGGGTGGCAGGAGCCCTGGCACCTCCTGCCTGCTGCCCTCTGATTCCAGAGGTGGAATTAAGATACTGGAATATTCAAAGTGCCTGTCTGGGCAAACCCAGCCCATTTCTCCTCATTGCCTCAGAGGCAGAGAAGCTGTGGACAATTGGAAGTGGGCTGGCTGTGCTGTTCTTTAGGTCACAGTTGGTGGAGAGTGCCCATGCCTGTGGCGTCCGATTGGCCTCTGGCATGAGACACTAACGCACGGGGTGAGGACACGGCCCCCAAGGGCCAGCATTTGGGTTCTTGTGCCTGTGCTATTGACTTGCATTCTTGGTGCCTCAGTTTCCTCAGCTGATAATCGGGATAATGATGGGGTCATTGTGAGGATTAAAGGAGATAACACATGCATGGCACCTGGCATACATGTGTTGGCTGTTCCTAATCTTGACAGCAGTAATAGTAATCAGGACAGTAGATGTTTGTGACACTTGGGGATCAGGAGTATGCTCGAGTAATTAGGGGATGAGGAAAATAACTCCTTCCTTCACCTGCTGTCCATTTCTTGAAGATACTTGCTTTTGACCATCTCTCCTCTTTATGCTTTTTCTCTCCTTTCTTTCCTTACTTCTCTTTCTCTCTCTTCTTTATTCTGCACTTGCTTTGCAGGCATGGGTCTGCACAGGGGCAGTATGGATCCAAGTCCTGTTACTGGAAGCCTGGCCTGGTGAGGCTGGTGGGTGGGGCTGGCAGGGTGAGTCCATCAGAGGTCCACATCCTTCCCCGCCCTGACTTCATTGCTTGGCCTTGGGTAAGGCATTCTGTCTTTTCTTTGGAAAATGCAGACAGAGATGACTCTCATGGTGGCTGCCAGGGCCATGCACAGAATGTGGAGGAAATGCATAGGCTGCTGGCAGTTGAGGTGCCATTAATATAAGAAACAGTCTAAGAAGAGGAAACCCAGTGGGGATGGCAGGGAGGTCTGGTGCAAACCCCACCAGGCTGGCATCCGAGGGCACTGAAGATTGAAGGAGTCCCCTGCCAAAGCTTGCTCCCAGGAGAGGTCATGCAGACGTGTGGAGGGCAGAGGGACGAGGGAGGCTGCTCAGGAGCCCACCGGGCTGTACTGCTGAGCACCAGCTTTTGCATGGAAATACACATTTACAGACTTTTTCACAGACCTCACCCATTTGCAAACCACCTGATGGTTAGATTTAAAACATTATCACCTTAAACCAATAAAAATAATCTTTTAAAATTAATACTTTGAAGAGCTTCCGGCCTTTGCCAGTCTGTGTCAGGGACTGCAGCTTTGGCTGTGACTTTAGGGGCAGTCTCATGGGCATTCAGGCAGAAGCCACATTCCGAGACCTAAGAGAATTTATGAATTGGTAGAGGAGCATTTAAAGTGTTGGTGTGGCAGCTTAGAAGAGGGACTGCTGTGAGTTTTAAAAAGCTCCTGGTCAAACTCTAGAAAATGTTGAGTTTTCCGTGGACTCATGTATTTATTAATGTGTTAATCACTTCCATCACTCTGGGAGTGAACACCCACAAAGTTCCAGGTCATCCGTGCAGATCCCTCTGTATTCTGTGCTTTGTTTTGCTTTGTAAAATGAGGATAAAAGGAGCATACGTGAGCTCAAGGGCGGTCAACTGATGGGCCAATGGCCGGGGAATGAGACTGGACCCACGTGATGCCTGTTTCAGTCTATGATTTGGCTGTGGGTGCACAAGCTCTGCTGTATTACATATAAGGAGCTGTTTCAGCTTGTCTTTGGTAGTTGGACACAGTCTTGCAAATCATGCCATTAATGCATACAGCCCATGACCACACATCTATAATGGTCTCACATGTATAGGATACAACAAATGCATGCAATGAAATGGCTAGAGAATGAAACAGAGCTGGAGCATGGGGTGTGGATCTCAGGTCCTTGCGTAGGAACAAGGGGCTGCCGCTATCTCATTTGGACACGCAGAGGGGATTTGGATGCTCCAGGCCTGCCTGGGAGACAGTTGAGAGAGTCACCCAGGCTGGCATTTGGTTCTGGCCATCACCGCCTCACCTGTCTTGGTTGTTGGTGTGTTTGTCTCTCCTCATTCCCTGTGCGCTGGGCAGATACTGACTGAGAAAGTATGGGCGGTGCTGTTGTAGGGCCAGGGAGCATGGCCAGCTCAGGAGGAAGGCCCCCAGCTGGGGATCCAGCCTCGCTGCATGTGGCCCCAGGCCTGAAAGAGGGGAGCTGGCATCAAAACTGGAAAGAAAACGTCAGACATCTCTCCTGTCTCAGTGATGTGGGTTTATTTTAATGAACAGAGGCCTCCTTGAAGCAATTGGGTATGGTGGGCCCGTCTGGAGGGTGCCTTTGGAAGTGTTTGTTCTTGTCTGGGGTCTGTCACTGGAAGGCTCTGGGTTTTCAGTGCACTGCAGAACTACAGGTTTCCTCATTCATAAGAAGAGAAGGTTAGAAAGAGAAAGAGAAACGGGTAACGTTATCCCGGGCCGTTGTGGCATTTTAATGTCACACGTGTGTTCCTGTGCAGCTGCTGGTCCTTGCTCTCCCGGGTCCCTCCGCTCTGATTCCTCTACTACCCACTCCCAATGTGCCTCCCAGGACAGCGGGGCCTCGGGAGTGCCCCTTAAGCAGCCAGGTACTCTCTGCTCTGCCAGATGAAGTGGGCATTTCCCGGGCAGGGTGAGGCTCTCCCTGAGAAATGCTGGGCAGTCCAGGGAACGGGGGCCAGTACAGTGTGGGGTGATACAGCGCTGTGGGCAACGCAGGTGGGGATGTTTCATCACCAGAGCCTTTTGTGAGTGATGGAAAGAAACACATTTATGAAAAGAAAGGGGTGCACTTTTGGTGGGGTGTCCCCAAGTAAAAGGTGGTTGAGAAGGGGAATTGTATTAAACAGATCACCCTCAGGAGTGTCGGTGGAGAAAACCGACTTCTGGCTCCCGAGGCTCCCCCGGGACACATCACCCAGTAGAGAGGCAGACACACATGTATGCACGCCACACTCACATACCACACACACCACACATACAGCACACACACACCACATACAACACACACACACCCACACCATATGCACAAACATGTATCCCCACATATATACCTCTCACACCACACACACAATATATACCACATACTTCCATAGACAAACTCAAAGAAACACACAAACACACTCCCTCACATTCATATACCAGACACACCACACTCATATACCTCCCCACAACATACACGCACCACACATACCCACAGCATGTGCACACATATCCTCACGCGTATACACCTCACATATACACACACACATAGACACCCCACACCACACATACACACACACCCCACAGACCCACACTCACAACACACACCACATACATACACACATACACCATATACACACAGACACACCCCTCCCACATTCATACACCACACATATACACACAGGCACACATGCCTGTACTTACACACACACACACACACACACACACACACACACACACACACACCCCCGATCTGACAGCACCAGGAATCAGGCCAGGATATTGGAGGAGGTGTTTTGGTAAACACGAAATACACCCAGCCTCCTGCTGCCCCCCAGAACCCCTTCATCTTGTTAATTGGTGAATTCTTTCCTAAGCTGCTGTCATCCCACGCTTGTGTTGCTATGTGCCTGCGCGTAGCCAGTGCGGAGGGCCTTGCATGTTGTGTAGTGTGTGCTTTTTGTGTCTTTATTTTAATGCCATTTTTGACTCGTTGCCCAGGATTCCGTTGTTAGATTTCCCTCTCTCCCAAACTGAAATTTATCTAATTCTCCCTTAGAGTCCACCGGGAACTTCTCTCTAGTTTCTGCTGAAGCAGACTTCTACTGTGTGCCGAAAGACGATTTTCTTGTTCTTTGTGCCCGTTTATTTAAAACTCCAGAATGGAGCACTGCTTTTATGAATGCTGGGTTTCACGATAACTCATAACATCTGTCATGGTTAATGCTTGGACACACAATGCCTTTACTCTTTTAAAAAGGGTCTAACGGGAGAGATCCTATTTTCCGACTGCAGCGGGGTCTCCTGCGCCGGCCGTGGTGCTCGGGGTCTCTATTCCCAAGGGGCCGAGACAGCCATGCTGGGGTGGCTGCCTGCGAGCCTGGTGAGGGACCCATTCCCCAGTGGTAACATCAGAAGCAGAGGGTTCTGAAGATGAGATCTTAACTCGGAATGAAACCCCGCAGTCCGATCTCAGGGTGTTTTCGTGTCTTGTCTATACAAAAGATAGCTTATGCCAAGGAGAGAAAAGATAGCGGCTGTGACCAGGCGTGGCATGACTGGTGAGTCAGGAATGTTTCAGGTGCCAGGAGGGGAGGGGCTGCAGGAGATGCAGAAGGGCGTCTCAGCCCTTCACTCAACACTGTGTGCGCACTTGGCCCTGGTCCCAGCTCTCGGGGCCTTCAGGTTAATCCATAGTCTGAGTGGCTCACTTGGTTCAGAAATGGCCTGGTGGTGCCTGGTTTAATTTGCTTTTATAAGCTAATAGGCTAAGTTGAGCATTTCAAAGGGGCGATTTTTCCTTCTTAAAGTTGCAGTGAACACATCTTTCAGGATCCAGAGGGAGAATTACACACATAAGGTATGCCCAGGTTAAGGAACACGGTAAAGATTTTAACTGCCTAATAAACTGTAAATCCCTAAATAAACTCCCAGACAAGGCAGTAAAAGCTAGACGTCAACATGCAAAAATGAAACTAGTTTTGTGAGGGTAGGGGGAGTATGGGTAATTTCTGTTTTTCCTAAAATACATATTTAAAGTGGCAGTTCGACAATGAAAAGAAAAGTATGGTTCGGTGATTTTTTTTCTTTTATGTGTTCCACTTAGAATGTGTGAACACGTGGCGCTGTAGCCTACATTCCTTATTCTTTTACTTCTACCTTATAGCTTAAAATTAAAAAACCTACAACAGTGATTAAAACTATATATTTTTTTCTACTTGCCAAATGTGTGTAGATCAATCTAAGAACACTGGACATTAAGAAATTTTCTTATGCACAAGTGGAATTTGTCTTCTCCTTTTAAAACACGTTAAACATCTTGAAAATGAGACAACTGGGACATGAAAAATTTATGAGATGGCTTTGAGAATAACTGCTGATCCTTTAATTGATTGGCCTTCTTCCCCAAGCCCCTTAAGATCGCTTACCTTTGGGTAGTGTTCATAAAGTGCAAAGAGCAGGGGGATTGTTTTAATATGGCAAGGCTTCTCCCCGCCTCCCTTCTTAAACAGCTAAGTTTCAGCCAGTCATATTTGGTGATTTTTTTATTGTTACAAGTTTTGGTTTTTTATAGTGGATGTGATGTGATCTCATGACATGGCTGTTTGTTTTAAGACCAGTAAGCAGGCTGGGCACAGTGGCTCACGCCTGTAATCCCAGCACTTTGGGAGGCTGAGGCGGGCCGATCATGAGGTCAGGAGATCAAGACCATCCTGGCTAACATGGTGAAACCCCGTCTGTACTAAAAATACAAAAAACTAGCTGGGCGTGGTGGCTGAGATCGCGCCACTGCACTCGCTTGGGCGACAGAGTGAGACTCCATCTCAAAAAACAACAACAACAACAAAAAAAAAAACAGTAAGCAATGCAGAACAGAAATTCCTAAGGAACCATTTATTACCATGTACACATCTCGAGTGAACTTTTAAAGTTGTTTTCCTTGAATACAGTTTTTTTAAAGAAAAATTATTTTATTTTCTTGTGATGATTTTCCAATCTAATAATCTTAAATTACTGTAATTTCTTTCCTCTAGAAAAACATGGTATATACCATTGACCAAAGCTGCAAACAAAAATCTGCAGCTAGTAAGTGGAATATAGCAGACAGACTGAATGGACAGGGCTTGTGTGATTTGAGGGGTTCCTGCCTGGCACCTGGCTGAGGCCACTGCCCAGGCGGCAGAGGTGGAGGAGCGAGCTGCCATTCATAACTGGGCAGCCTGGAAAAACCAAGGCTTCAAGAAGTTCCAGAACTCGCCCCAATGCAGGATCCTGTGAGCCGCAGCTCCTCCTGCCACCCTCAGAGCTGACATCAGCTGGCACAGCCCCCAGACCGGGGGTGGGGCAGGGGCAGGCAGTTAGCTGCGTTGTCGCACCAGAGGACAGAGGAGACCTGGGCTTTCTTAGCATTGCTGCTCCTGAACATCCATCAGCTGCAGACTGTTTTTTTTTTTTTTTGAGATGGAATCTCACTCTGTCTTCCAGGCTGGAGTGCAGTGGTGCGATCTTGGCTTACTGCAGTCTCTGCCTCCTGGGTTCAAGCGATTCTCCTGCCTCAGCCTCCCAAGTAGCTGGGACTACAGGCACGCACCACTACGACTGGCTAATTTTTGTATTTTTAGTAGAAAGGGGGTTTCACCATGTTGGCCAGGCTGGCTTCGAACTCCTGACCTCAAGTGATCTGCCCGCCTCAGCCTCCCAAAGTGCTGGGATTACAGGCGTGAACCATGATGCCTGGTCCAGACTGGATTAATAATTGGTACCTCTTCCCAGGACAAAGTGCCATACGACAATAAAAACAAATGAACTTCACCCACAAGCTACACTGTGGGTGAATCCCACCACCAGATGACAAAGGAAAGAAGGAGGCCACAGAGAAGCATGGTGGGATTCCATGTGCAAAGTTTTGTGTGTTTTTAAAATAGGTGAAACCAAACTCTGTTGTTTAGCGGGGGAATGCAGGAAGTAAAACCTCATTGCTTGCATGTGCCTTGGATTTTACCAAACACGGCTGGGGAAAGCTGTTTTCAAGCTATACAGAAAGGTAGGGAAGTGACGATCACAAAAGCGTTGTCCTAGCGCCCAGAAATTAAGCAATTACTATAGAAGTGAAAGGCGGACATGTGGAGGAGACATCTCGTGAGAGTGTTTTTGTGGTGTCTTCTTGAGAAAGGTTTTGTGGGAGACCTTCCCAGGCTGGCAGGTGGCTTGGCCTCCACCAGTCAGCCCCTGAGCTCCACAGGTGCACCCTTCCGCCTCCTGCAGCTGCAAGTAGTGGTAGCTTTTCCCTCCCACCCCTGCTGGTCTTCCTGGAGAGATTTAGTTCATTTTAATGATTTTACAGGTCTTATGGAAAGATGCTCACTGCTGTTGCTGCAGGCTCCTGAGTTTACTGCGATGAGTCGGTAGCCTTACTGGGAACATTTTCACTCATAGGAGATGGGGATCAGGGATGGGGCAGCAGGGCCGTGGAGAGAGTTCCAATCTACATTTAACTCTGAGCATGTCAGGGCAGCCCCCAGTGGCTCTGACAGGCTGTTTTTGCTCCTTCTGCTTTTCCAGTATATGGAATGAGGGCTGGGGGCAGTGTGTGTGCAGAGAAGAGAGCAATGGAGCCCATAAATCAGTGCAACCGTCATGGTGAAATTGTACATGTCTCCTTAAAGAAGCCACGGAAATGGAAGTGTTTTAAGACAGAGGAGCCAAGGCTATTTTGGGGTGGCCTAGCATGTTTGTTTCATGAGGCACATCTTTGCTTCCATTAGCAAATGGCACTGCTGTGAACTGGCTGGATTGGTGCAGGACCCTTGGAGGTGAGGGGGCAGCAGGTTGTGGAGAGAGGCTTCCAACAAGGGGGCAGCACATGAAGACTGCAGGGGCTGTGTCTGCAGGGGCTGTGTCTGCAGGGGTCTCTTTAGGCATCTTCAGCTCCATCACCATGTGTTGTAAGACATGCCTGGCCTCAGGCTCCTCATCCCTGGCCCACCCACCCACAGTGACGTTTGTGCCCAGAGACATAAGGCAGGGTGCATTCCTGTGCTGGACTGGAAAAGCAATCATTTCCTGGCAGAGTGCTTGGTCAAGTTGTAAAGTGGTCTCACTTGAACAGAGCCCATGCTATCGGGTTTTATTGGAGCTGTGTTTATCTTGAGCTCTGCAGGAGTCAAAAGCTCACTGGAACTTTTAGGTAAAACCTGTGTGTGTGCAGATGGGCCACACCTTCCTTGGTTTCAGGACAACAGTTTTGCTCGGCTTTAAAATCGCAAGAGCTCTCATTTGGGATCCATACCTTTGGAGAAGGTCCTGACAATTTGACTCCACTTAGGTTTTTCATGTTGGAATCTTAAGTGTTTTGATAGATGGGTCCCTTTCTCAGTGCTGTGTGTCTGCATGAATCTCGCTGACCTTTGCTTCTCATGGCTGTCACAGAGCAGCCCTGCTGACGACGGGACTGGTGGGGTATTTTGTCCCAGCTATTCCATGCATAAGGTGTAGAGAATATGTCTTCTGCCATGGCTAGAGTTAAATAAAGGAAAATTCATGCCAGGCTGAGTTCAGGATTGATGTTTGCTCTGTGTCTGCATTAAAAAATAAACCACAAACATGGTTGTCCTCCAGCAGGGCTGGTGTTGAGTTAGCAGCTGCCAAATGACTTGTGGATGGTGGGTTTGCACGCGGGGACGTGGTCCTGGGCATCTGTGGCACAGGGAAGGGAGGAGATGAAACACAGCTGGGGCTCTGGGCAAGTCCACCCAGCGATGCTCAGGAAAGCCAGGACCTGAGTGGGCTCCCGTAGCCCACAGTTTCTGGTCTTGTTTCCTGAGCCAGGCTGTGCCTTTTTCTCTGGGTAACAAGATAGATTTACTGACCTTTGCCATGGAGATCATGTACTTTGGAACCCGAGACCTGTTTTTACTTTCCATTTGTCAGCTGGAACAAAAGCCGGAATGAGCTTTACAGTCTGCAGGCCCAGGGGGACGGCCTACCCACTCTCCACGCAGTGTCCTCCCTGGAACCATCCCTGACCTCAGCCTGTGGGTGCTTGAGGCTGGGGGAGAGAACACAAAGAGAAATCCCATGGCTCGAATATGCCTCAGATTTCCCTGAACACTGGGCTGGGGAAAGCTGTTTTCAGACACAGTGAGGGGACGTCCCTCCCTCCATATCCCTTCAAGCTGAGTCTTGCAGCAGGACTCGGGTCTGCTCTTGGCTGCGTGGGGCAGAGGGGATGCTCCAGCAGATGTCCAGGACAGCTCCTTCTGCGTGTTGAGGCCCCAGGGAGCTCTCGGGGGCTGAGCAGAGCTGATCAGTTGGAGGCTGGCAGGAGTGCAGGCAGCTCGAGGCGGGCATGCAGGTCTGCAGGGTGCGCTGGCCATGGGCTGCTTCTCTTCGATAGGGGGTCATTGAGGGATGTGCATGGAAAGGAGTGCTCAGCTACTCCAGGGGCCTGGGGGGCACGGCTCTGGCGTGTGGCGGTGCTGGTGGTGGGACTGGGAGTTGTCTTTGTCTTGGAATCAGTTGAGGGTGACCTCAAGAGATTTGACTTGAGCGCCTGAAAGGACATGGCCGCCATTTGCTGGGAAAGGGACAGTAGCGGTTGGGGCAAAGCTGGGAGTCACGATACAGGCACAGTGCACTCGGCATGCCATTTGGACACCCAGCTGGGGGTGGCAGGATGAGGACCTGTTGCAGAAGTGCAGAGCAGGACGCTGGAGCCCAGCGTGGATGCGTCGGGAGCATCCGGCAGGCTGGATGGACAAGCAGCTGAGCAGCCTTGGGGGTCCTTCCTCCCTCCCAAGCATTTATGTCTGTGGGTTGGTGTCGTGGTGACGCATCTGCAGCCACCCTGATGCCATGCCTCTTGCCCACTCGGCAGAGAACACCTGGGTGTTTTGTCTCTCAGCCCACCTTCCCTGTCCCTCTTTGGGGGTGTTGCAGGGCTTAGGGGAGCCCACTCTGAGCCCCTCACCTGCTTTTGTGTACCACATCCTGACTTGCTGGTGGGCTCCTACCCAGGAGGGCTGTGCTGACCTGGGCAGGGCTCAGGTCTGGCACTGCAGCGTCTTCTCTTGGCATCTCTCTTCCTCCTTTCCCCTCCACTGAGGTTTGGGGCTATAGGAGGCCCCGATTTCTGCCAAGATGGACGTTGTATTTCTAGTTGCTGTTTCTCTCCATTGTTTTGGGGTGATTTGAGGAGTGTACCTGTCAGGGTCCAACTAGAGAAACAAAACTCGTAGGAGATATATATGAAAAGATTTGTCACAGGGAATCGACTTACTTGGTTGTTGGGTCTGACCAGGCGCATTTGAAATCCATGGGGCCGACCACAGGGAAGGGTGGCTGGAACTGTGGGCACCGCTGAGGCTACTGTCCCTGGTGGGAGTTTCCTCTTTCTCAGAAAAGCCGCTGCTTTGCTTTTGAGGCCTTCTACTCACTGAGCCAGGCCCACCTGGGTCATCAAAGATTATCTCCCTTACTTAAAGTCAGTCACATGACAGCCGACCTCAGTCATGTGACAGCATACCTGGAGAGCAGCACCTAGAGTTGCATTTGACTGATGGCTGGACCGTGGACCCTGGCCGTCATGGGTAGGGGACACAGCCTTTTTTTTTTTTTTTTTTTTTTTTTTTGCCATTGTGACCCCAGAAGTTGACAAAGACTCCTCCAAACTTCTCATTTAACATCTCATGGATGTTTGAAAACATAACATAATCTGTGATATTTCTTCTGTCGCTAGTCACTGTGTTTAAATTTTAAAGTAGTGAATTGTACCAGTGTTAATCCAAAGAAGAATTAAGAATTATTTTTCCCTCACACCTGGAATGGCAGTGAACATGGCTGGAGTTGATTGGCTGTGAGTGCCTTGGGCTCTATGAGAGATTCATTAGGGGATCTCCATTCCTCATCCTGCTCTACAGGGTCAGCCTTGTGGTGACTTTATGGTCAAGCCCACCAGTGGTCAGCTTGCAAGTCCAAACAGGACAGAACATGTGTGGCCCAGCCTGAAGGAGGCACCCGTTGGTCTGGGGCTCTCTGACTTGGACTTCTTTCTTAGGTCAGGGACATGATTGGCTTGCATTTGACCGCACACACAGCATCTTTTTACAGGGAAGGGAGATGGCACCATCTCCTCTGGCAGGGCAAGCTGAAGTCTGCAGTCCTTCCCTTGCTTTTTTATTTTTTTGAGACAGTTTTGCTCTTGTTGCCCAGGCTGGAGTGCAATGGTGTGATCTCAGCTCACTGCAAGCTCCGCCTCCTGGGTTCAAGCGATTCTCCTGCCTCAGCCTCCCAAGTAGCTGAGATTATAGGATTCTCCTGCCTCAGCCTCCCAAGTAGCTGAGATTACAGGCATGCGCCACCATGCCAGGCTAATTTTGTATTTTTAGTAGAGATAGAGTTTCACCACGTTGGTGAGATTGGTCTCAAACTCCTGACCTTATGTGATCCACCCACCTCGGCCTCCCAAAATGCTGGGATTACAGTTGAGAGCCACCACACCTGGCCTGTTCACTTGCTTTTTTGCAGGGGAATGGATGTTGTCCCCCCAGGTGCCTCTAAGGAAAAGCAGCACAGAATCCTCACCTCATTTCCACCAAACGCGGCTGGTCCCTTCCAAGAAGATATTTGATTCCTCTCAGCCCAAAACATGACTTCATGCTTGTGTTCTTTTTCTTAAAAATAATAACAAACTTACGTTACAAAAGTATTAATACAATTTTTTTTTTTTGTTTTTTTGAGATGGAGTTTCGCTCTTGTTGCCTAGGCTTGGAGTGCAGTGGTGCAATCTCGGCTCACCACAGCCTCCGCCTCCCTGGTTCAAGCAATTCGCCTGCCTCAGCCTCCCGAGTAGGTGGGATTACAGGCATGCACCACCACACCAGGCTAATTTTGTATTTTTAGTAGAGATGGGGTTTCTCCATGTTGGTCAGGCTGGTCTTGAACTCCTGACCTCAGGTGATCCGCCTGTCTCAGCCTCCCAAAGTGCTGGGGTTACAGGCGTGAGCCACCATACCCAGCCACAAATTTTTTAAGAAATTGAAATCATAGAAAGTGTGTACTGTCAATCCCTTCCCAGGTCTCAAAGGCCAAATGTAGCTCCTGGTAACAGTTTGATGTCTACCTTTTCAAACTTGAGTTTCTCTACACACACACACACACACACACACACACACACACACACACACACACGGACACAGTTATTTAGTTTTGGTAAAATGTATTCATACTAACTTTTTTTTCAAAATTTGTTCCCTCAATATAATAACATAAACTTCCATGAACGATGGATGCATAATTCTTTCTTATCTTTTTAATGGCTGCAAAATAAACTCGAAGCTCCATTTCCTCTGCAAATAAACAAGACCATTGCCCACTATACCCAGTTTGGGGAGGCTGGTGGGCTCCAGTCTACTTTCCTGCTTCTGCAGTTGGGTTTTGTGTTGTTAGTGCTGTGTGCTCTGAAACCTGCTTATGGGAGTTGTGTTTGTTATTGTACAGACATAGCTTTCTTTTCTTTTCTTGTTTTAGAGACAGAGTCTCACTCTGTTGCCCAGACTGGAGTGCAGTGGTGTGGTCATACCTCACTGCAGCATTGAACTCCTGGACTCAAGTGATCCTCCCACTTCAGCCTCTAGGGTAGCTTGGACTAACAGGTTCATACCACCATATCTGGCTAATTTTTAAATTTTTATCGTTTGTAGAGACAGGGTGTCACTGTGTTGCCCAGGCTGGTCTCGAACTCCTGGGCTCAGGCGATCCACCTGCCTTGCACAGCCAAATTGCTGGAATTACAGGCAAGAGCCACCACACCCAATCAGAAATAGTATAAATGACATAATCTATAAATTCAATGGGTGTAAAGAAAGGAAAAACTCAAGTTGACTGATTTGAAAATACAGGATGAGGAAAACTTTTAAAGATAATTTTTGTTGAATTAGATATGAGTCATAATGAAAATTGATTAGGGTTTTGTATTCAGATGCATAGGTGCATTTAGACACTTTAAGAAAACCAAACCAGGAAACAGATGAAATATGTGATTTGTGAAGAAATTAATGTGAACGGCAATGAGTAGATTTTTTACTCAAAGAAAGGGCTGGGCTGCACATCTGTTGATTGATTAATGATGGTTCATTTATTTGTATTACGTTAAAAATATTTATTGTGGGTGTGGATCATTATTTATAGTACCTAACTATCATTTTTAATGTTTCCATTAATGAACATTCATATGAATGAAGATTCGTATGGATCTTGGTTATATCCGTAGGAAGGCGTCAGCTGGTCCAGTTCCAGAATATGACTGTGCCTTCATTTCATTGCTCCCTGCTCTAGTTATTTACAACTTTCTTTCCCTTGGTTTCAGGTAACCTGGAAATATTCACAGATTACACCTGAGCTCACAGCCTTCTTTGAGATGTGTGCTTTTTTTTTTTTTTTTTTTTTTTTGAGACGGAGTCTCGCTGTGTCACCCAGGCTGGAGTGCAATGGCGTGATTTTGGCTCACTGCAACCTCCGCCTTCTGGGTTCAAGTGATTCTCCTGCTTCAGCCTCCCGAGCAGCTGGGATTACAGTTGCATGCCACCATGCCCAGCTAATTTTTGTGTGTGTGTGTTTTAGTAGAGACGGGGTTTCACCGTGTTGCCCAGGCTGGTCTCGAACTCCTGAGCTCAGGCAATTCATCTGCCTCAGTCTCCCAAAGTGCAAGGATTATAGGCGTGAGCCACCGTGCCCAGCCAACATGTCTGCATTTTATTACAAATGTGCCCATACACTTCTGAGAAGGGTAGAGCATGTTAATCTGTATGTCTCACTCTGGCTGCACTCCGCGGAAGCGACTGCCTGTGAAGTTTAATTGGCTTGGAGGTGGGACAGTGCCATGATGTCTAGTTAACATATATTTAAGTTATACCTTGAGGTCATTTGAAAATGGAATTCTCCCTAGTGCCCAGCTAGTGTTTATCCTCTGATGTTTCTAATCATTTAGCCATTTAAAATAGGGAGATGATGAGACACTTGGAAGGCTTTTAAGAAATTAATCTCCCACTTAGCTTTTTATAATGTTAATTAATGTCTATACCAAACTCAAAGCAAACATTAATGATGTAATAATCTAAGTAGTCTCTTTAATATCAAGGCTAATTCAAAAAGCCTTGTATGAGGTTGCTCAGCAAGTCTTGTCAGTGTATTAAGACAGGAAACAGAAACAAGGGGCGAGCTAATGGATTGTAGAAGATGCAATTACTATTTTTAAGAGAATATGTGCTTTATTTATTTATTTATTTGAGACAGGGTCTTGCTCTGTTACTCAGGCTGGAGTGCAGTGGTACAATCTTGGCTCAGGGCAGCCTCTTCCTCCCGGGTTCAAGTGATTCTCCCTCCTCAGCCTCCCGAGTACCTGGGATTACAGGCGTGCACTACCACGCCAAGCTAATTTTTGTATTTTTAGTGGAGATCGGGTTTTGCCATGTTGGCCAGGCTGGTCTCGAACTCCTGAACTCGAGTAATCCACCCACTTCGGCATCACAAAGTGCTGGGATTACAGGTGTGAGCCACCGCACCCTGCCGAGAATATGTACATTAAAGCCCAAGTAAATAGACTAAAAACTTTTAGAATTAATTTGTGAACTTACTAATGAATTTACATACAATATATTGGAGAAGATTTCCTATGTATCATCAATAATCAGAAGATGTACAGGGGAAACATTCCATTGCAAAAGCAAAATAGATAAGCCACACCACTGTACCATCAAAAATATGCAGGTGCTGTTGAAGTTACCTAAAAACTTCACCAAACAATAAGAAAGTATGTAAGAATAATGAAATTTTCAAAAGTACAATAATTTATTTATGCTCTGGAAGACTGAATGTTTTAAAGATGTCAGTTCTTCTGAAGGTAGCAAACATTTAAAATAACCCCAGTGGGACTTTTCAGGGATGCTGGACAAAAGGATCCTATGACTCATTTGGAGGAATAAAGAAATGGCAAATGCCAAAGAAAATTTTGAGTCTGATAAATGGTGAAAGGAGATCTTTACTGTGTTTTCAAATACATAAAAAAGCTGCAAAAACTACAACAACATGGCACTGCCCAAAATGATGGATACTGATAGGAGAACAGGCAAAGGAGACAAATACATTTCTTCAGAAGAAAACTACTATGGTTGTTATAACAATTTTAAAAGTCCTGAGAATCATTGATTCCAGAACTAGAAATTAAGCCTACCGATGGAACACGTTTTGGTTATCAAATTGAACAAAATTATATTCTTAGACACTGCTGATCGATCTGTACATTGGACCGATCTGTACATTGGACTGATCTGTACATTGGACCAGTCTCTTGAGGGAACGTTTTGGGCCATGCATCCTGAACCCACCCCCTGCTCCTTGGACCCAGTACTTTCACTTCTAGGAATCCGTCCTGAGTAGATGGGAAGAGAAATAAAGATTTACAGATGGAAGTGTATCATAGCTTTATTTGGTGCAGTTGACAATTAGAAATGAACCTAGTGTTCAGAAGCAGGAAAATACTTAAGTAGATTTCATAAGCTACATAGAGAAATGTTTATTTATTTATTTACGAGTTGGGGTTTTACTCTTGTTGCCCAGGCTGGAGTGCAATGGTGTGATCTCTGCTCACTGCAACCTCCGCCTTTTAAAAGTCACATTAAAAAAAAATGATATAGCAAAACCTTCAAAATGTAATATTCATCTATAATGATATGGGAAAATTTTTATAATATAATGTTGATTTAGTCAACTAAGCTAAGCTCACAGGAGATACTTGACTACATAGAAGAATTGGGTTCCTTATGGAGCATATAGTTAGGGGGCAATATAACAAAATATTATTAATATTATATTAAAAGTTAATGTAGCAGGAAGTTCAATTTATGAAATGAGTCTAATCGTGTAACAAAAAGTGAACTATAGAGTGCGTATATAGTTAGGGAAGTCAGAAGGCCATGCGTCAATGCTTTAATAATGGTCTTGTCTGGTAAACATATGGCAGATGATTTTTGTTCCTTCATTATTCTTTCTAGCACTTTCCCAATTTTCTGTAAAAGCTGACTTGCATTTTAATAATCAGAGCAAAGTTATAAAAGAACCTTCAGAGTCTCCCCTTCTCAAAATGTTACTGGATGCAGTACATACACATTTACAAAAGATCACATTCTTTTTTCTTTTTTCTTTTTTCTTTTTTTTTTTGAGACGGAGTCTCTCTCTGTTGCCCAGGCTGGAGTGCAGTGGCGCGATCTCAGCTCACTGCAAGCTCCGCCTCCCGGGTTCACGCCATTCTCGTGCCTCAGCCTCCCGAGTAGCTGGGACTACAGGCTCCCACCACCACGCCCGGCTAATTTCTTTTTGTATTTTTAGTAGAGACGGGGTTTCACTGTGTTAGCCAGGATGGTCTCGATCTCCTGACCTTGTGATCCGCCCGCCTCAGCCTCCCAAAGTGGTGGGATTACGGGTGTGAGGCACCACGCCCAGCCACATTTATTTAACCCAGTAACTAACCACTGATTTCTGCATAGTTATGCTGGTACAATGGCAGGATCATGTAATTAACCAGTATATTTCTTTTTGTTGTTGTTGTTTTTTAAGGAACACAAATAAAAATGTAAGGTTTACGTCAAGGTTAAAAACACGATGAAATAAGAAAGGGGGTCTGGAGTATGTGTGGAGATATACCTGGGTATAACAATGAAATGGCGTGATTGCTGGTAGAATGTTCACTATGCCGCACCATGTTCTATGCTCCATACATTCAGTCCTATGAATGGGAAGGGCTCATTTCCCCCATTCTGTAGATGAGAAAACTGAAGCCTGGTAGTCACGCTTCTTGGGAGTATCCTGGGTAGCCCTGGCCAAGGTGGGCTTTGAACCCAGGGAGCCTGGGCTGTTAACTACAAAACCACAGGATACGTACAACATAAGACATCGACATTCCTTGTCCAAATCGCCAGCAGGCAGGGGGGCGAAGCCACCCAGTGAGAGTTCCTAAGAGCCAGAAAGGAGGAGACCCACACTCCTGCTGGATCAAAGCTGATGTAAGTCAGCATTAAAGCTTTTCATTGGTTTATTCGCCGATGGAAGGACCTTCTCTTTCTTTCTCTTGCCTCAGAATCAGTGTTTGCCCAAGACAGCAATTTGTGGAAATGGAGAAAATCTGAGAATTCTTCTGTGGCTTTGCTAAATTGAGGCTTGTCCTCCACAGTCCATCCTACCCTCCCCCACTTTTTTTCCAGCAAAATAAGTGATAGTTCACTCACCTTCTAGGCATAAGAGTCATCCTTTCTCTGTGGTCAAACCAGTTCAGAGCTGACTCAAAAGTCCTGTGACTTGTTGAAATACAACATTGGATGTGTGCCCCCTGTTCTCTCCCGGCATCCCGAATACTGGCGTTGGGATGTTTCCTGACACCCACCTTCTCCCCCTGCCTGGGTCTCAGGCAGATGTTCCTGTCCAAGTCTTTCTGCATCGTCTGGGCAATGGCAGCTGTCCAGGTCTTCCAAGTGCAAGATCTCAGGATGGTTTCACAAGTACATTGCACTCTGTTTTATGTTCTCACCACAGGGGAATTAGAGGTGAATTACAGGTGAGTGGAGCCCACCGGGTGCCCCACAAGTTTGACACCTTCGCCCCAGGTGTCCAGGTGGGTGAATAGCCCATCACATGCCCCGCACTTCCAGGGAGAGTCTCTCCTAGCACCTGGGAGCATCTGCTCCCAAGTGGGGTGTGGCTCGAGCAAGCTTTAACTTTATTGCGTGTCCTCAGCCTTCCCTGATTACCGAAGGCTTTCTTACGTATCCTGGGAGGGGCGCCTTGCTTTAAGGGCTTCTGTGTGTTACAGACATGCTGCCAGCGGTGGAAACAGATGTGTTTTTCTTGTTGGCCCCCATGTCTGAAAGACACATGTTATTTGTCATTGGCTTACTTAAGGCCACAAAGAAACATTGACAGCCCAGCCCTGTGGCCTGTCTGACTTGGGAACAGGACCCAAGCCCAGATCGCCCCCCTTCCTTTTCATTTCCTTGGGGCCAGCGGGCCGGGGGTGCCCTGTGGGCAGCGCTGTTCACTAGGTTAAGGGGGCCCTGTTTTGTCAGAGAAGAAAATACAGCTGGCAAGAGGCCTTGCCCGTCACCCCCTCCTGCCAGGGCAGGCTGTTTCCTAATTGCAAACACATGGGCTGGTTCCAGAGCGTGGGGACGGATTCCATGTCCCGCCTGGGAGAGCTGTGTGTGTCCCACCCCGATGCCCTGTTTCTCATCAAGGAAATGGGGGTGTTGCATACCAGGGCCAGAGGACAGCTGCCTCGGGTGGGGGAGTTCCCGGGCACTCCCAGATGTGCCTGCTGGGAACATTTTTGGTGTGCGTTGAAACATTGGGATTTGGTTGCATTTCATCGTCCTCTGTTTCCTACTACATTTTTGGTGAGTGCTTTTGAAATTTTTCTCCCTTTCGCTTTTCTTCCTGTGTTTGCCACTATGAAGTAGACCTGTTGAATGCACTGTGTCCTGCAGAGGGGATGCCCTGCCCCCGGCGTGTGCACATTCCTACCTGTTAGTGAGGTTTAGTGCCCACTTCACTGGGAACATGAAGTGCCAGGGGATGCTGATGCTGCAGTCCCAAAAGGCCACACCCTGAGTGGAGAGGCCCCTCTAGCAGGAAGCACAGTGAGTTTGGCTGGGGGAACCCCACAGGCATGTAATCCAAGGGGCTTGGATGTAATGCCCAGCTTCATCATTTCCTTGTGGCTCTGAGCATTTGTTTACCTGCCTGAGGCCCATCCTTTATCTGTAAGATGCCGGTAATGGTGTCTCTCTGGGAAGGTGGCCTGGTCGTGATGATTACCTGGGAACTGTGAAGTAGAGAAAGTCTGGCAGATTCTATCGTCGGCACATGAAATTCTTATTTTCTCTGCCCATCGACTTAGACACACTGCTGTGAAGCACCAGCTCATTGTGAAAAGCCTGTTTTCTCTGAGCTCTGCTAGTGGAGGTAGAAGCAGGCTGACTCTGAGCACAGGCATGGAAGAACAGCAACAAACTGCAAGGATCTTAGAGGAACCGCTGGTGAATCCGGCAGAGATTGTGTATTTCAGAGAAATTTAGGAGATTGAGATGCCTTGGGCATTTGGAGCTCTGGGGGCACCTTCCCTGACGCCCCAGCCTAACTAAATGTAATCCTGTTTATTCATTGTCACCTTGGGAATGTGGGCCTCCTTATTCCTTCCCGTCTTTTCATTATGAGAGTTTTCAAATATGCACAAAAGTTGAAAGATAATACTGCAAACACACACATAAACTCTCCACCCAGATTCAGCGGTTGTTGATAGTATGCTGTTTCTTGCCCCCACTTCCTCTCTGCTCCTTAAATCCATATTTTATAAAAATTTGTTGCTGAGGCTGGGCACGGTGGCTCATGCCTGTAATCCCAGCACTTGGGGAGGCTGAGGCAGGTGGATCATGAGGTCAGGAGTTTGAAAAAAAAAAATCAGCTGGCGTGGTGGCATGCGCCGGCAATCCCAGCTACTTGGGAGGCTGAGGCAGGAGAATTGCTTGAACCTAGGAGGTGGAGGTTGCAGTGGGCCGAGATCATGTCACTCCAGCCTGGGCGAGAGAGCAAGATTCCGTCTTGAAAAAAAAAAAAAGTGTTGCTGAACAGTTTGAAAATAAGTTGTTGACATCATGACATGCCCCTGCCCCAAATATGTGAGCATCCATCTCCTCTAAGAAAAACTGTCATTCTCCATAATGGCAGCACCATTCTTACATGGAACAAAATTAACAGCAGTCCCATGATATCGTCTAATGGTTACTTGATATTCACCTTTCTCCAGTTCTCTTCAGAATGTGTTTAATAGCTTCTCTCTCTGCAAACCTGGATCTGCTTGTTATAACTGCTTAGACTCTTTAATCTAAAATAGCCCTTCCTTTTTGTTCTTACCTTTGTGACATTAACTGTTAGAAGAGGAAAAGCTAGTTATCTTCCAGAATGTCGCACCTTTGAATTAGTGTGACTGTTCCCTCCGGTGATGTTTCTTACTGTCTCCCTTACTGTCTTTCTCTGCCCTTGTGTTTGCTGTCAGACTGGATGTCTCTGCGTCTGTGGCCAGAAGACTTATTGGAGAAGCTGTGCACGTCTGGCTGCATCACACGTAGGGGTCAGTGGTCCCACTGTGTCAGAGATGCTAAATCCGACCACCTGGTGAAAGTGGTGGCTGCCCCCTTCTCCCACTCCTCTGAAAAGCCATGTTGTATTTCTGCCTGTCCTGAGTATGAAATCTGTAGGACGATACTTGGACATTCTGTATCTATCTTGTTCCCCAAACAGCCTTCTGCTCAGTGGTTTTCGCATCCAGTGAGTCTTGCCTGAATCAGGAATTTTATGGCAGGTTGCAAAATGACAATTTTCTAATTTTGCCATTTCTACTGAAAAGAAAAGCCTCCTCTGCTTTTGAGAATCATTGATGGCTGATGATATTTTTAAAAACTCAGTGTATTACAGAATCATTTTTGTTCTTCCTGATGCTCAAATTCAGTCTATGGGAGCCCTGGAAGCAGGTGCCTTTGTTCTTTTAGTTTTTGAGTCTTTCTTCCAATCTGGCACAGTGAGGTACCCCAGCTCACCTTGTATTATACATCCACATCGTCCAGAGTGAAGATGAACTGTTTTTCCAAGGAACTCTGATCCTTGGTGGTGGTGTGTAAACACCAATGCATGGATGCTGGTGTGCTCAGGGACCCTGAGTGGCCACTGCCTCCAGGCCCTTCAGTAACCAGCTCCAGGAGAAAACATGTTTTAAAAATCTTGACTTTGTATAGCTGGTTCCAGTTCAAATTTCATATTCAAATGTTGGCCTCTTTACATTTCCATCACTTCATGGATTTCTCTCATCCCGATTTGGGTCAACTGCCGTGTTTACAATTTGTTTTGAAGCGCCTTTTTTTCTAGCCTTTTCTTGGTTTTTGTTTAACTGTGAGGCTTTTTTGTATATATATATTTTAGCTGTCTTCCTTCCATCTTTCCTTTGCTTGTGTCCACCTTTCACTAAACATACATTCAGCATCAGTTTTATCCAAGAAATAGGAAGCCTTGAAAGACAAGGACCCTCGGTCCCAGTGCCTGGGAACTGCTGAGTAGATGCCTTGGACCTGCTGAGTAGATAGTATAGTGGGCATGATGAGTGCTGTGTAATGACGCCGGGGCTGGAGTCCTTGTCTAAGGCAGAGACGTGAGGATCTTCGCCAGGGCAGTAATATTTGTGTCCTGGGGTGAATGTCTGAGCCAAGATGATGTTTGAGGATAGCAGAAAGACTAAGGGTTGGCACTGACAATGGTTGACTCACATTTGGAAGGGCTGGAGAACGAGGACAGGGGGAGTAAGTGACTCACAGGTGAGCATGTGGGCCTTTCAGGGGTGCATGGCTGTGGAGGGGAGCTGTGGGGCAGGGGGTACTACTGTATGGGGCAGTCTGATCTGCAGGTGTTGCTGAGGGAGCAGGCTGCTGGGAAGACCAGGCAGCCAATGTGGAAAGGAGACCACCAGGAAGGGTACAGACAGCAGAATGGTGGTTCCATGGTGGAGGGGAGGTGCTTTTTAACTAAAGGAGTTGGGCAATAATAACGAAGCAATGCATGCCTATCACATACTGTATTTATTTGCACAGGCTGCTGTAATAAAATGCCACAGACTGGGTGGCTTAAACAACCGAAATTTGCTTTCTCCTAATTCTGGGGGCCAGAAGTCCAAGATCAAGGTGTGGGCAGGGTTGGTTCTCCTGAGCCTCTCCATGGATTGCAGATGCTGTCTTCTCCCTGTGTCCTCACATGGCTGTCCCTTTGTGCGTGTCTGTGTCCTCACTTCCCCTTCTTTTTTTTTTTTTTTGAGACGAAGTCTCATTCTGTTGCCCAGGCGGGAATGCAGTGGCATGATCTCAGCTCACTGCAACCTCTGCCTCCTGGGTTCAAGCAATTCTCCTGCCTCAGCTTCCTGAGTAGCTGGGACTGCAGGCATGTGCCACCATGCCTGGCTAATTTTTTATTTTTAGTAGAGACGGGGTTTCACCATGTTGTCCAGGCTGGTCTTGAACTCCTGACCTCAGGTGATCCACCCGCCTTGGCCTCCCAAAGCGCTGGGATTACAGTGAGTGAGCCACCACACCTGGCCTGACCTCCCCTTCTTATAAAGCCATGGGTCATAGTGGATTAGGGCCCATGTATAGAACTTCAGTTTAACTTTGCAAAGACCCTAAAGAATAAGGTCACATTCTGAGGGACTGGAGGTTTTAACTTCAATATGTGATTTTGGGGGACACAAGTCAACCCATAACACACCCATCGATAGGAAGCACTTGGCTATGTAATAACCCACTGACTGTGAAACAGCATTGCGCACGTGGGTGTGGAGGGGAGGGGAGGGAGGGAGCCAGCGTAGTGGTGGACTCTCCTGGTAGATTGCCTGCCGTGGCTCCTGACTGTAGATCTGGGGACCACACTGAAGCCACTGTGCATTTTCTCTGCTCAGGGCTGGGGAGGTGACTGCCTGGCTCTTTGTGAGTTCCCCAGGACACCCCAGATGAATGTGTTCAGGGCATTGAATTCTGCTTCCATTGGTCTCTGCTGGGGCCCTGGTGTCCATCTTGCTCAGATTCCCGGCTGACTTGTAGAGGGCATCCTGCCGTGGGAGCGTGGCTTTGCTCGGGTCTTGAGGATGAGACTTGGAGCCTCAGGAGAAACACGTCCATCTTCCCAGACATTGTTTTGTTTATTAAATTAAAATTTGAGGTGGGGGCAGTGCATTTTAAAAACCAAAACAAACATGGACATGTAATAAAGAATGCAAAATGTACGTTAATTTTTAAGTAGAAAGGAAAAAGATTACAAAGATAGCTGTAGTGTTGAAGGCAGCATTGTGAGAGACTCATCACCATCCCGACCTTCTTACTGCCCCTTCTTCTTCATATGACAGGTGTGCACACACAGACACACACGGGTACAGACACACAGGTACAGACACTGTCAAAGACAGACACATACACACTCAGAGGCACACACACAGACACATACTCCAAGACAGACACACATACAGAACACTAAACAGACACACACACACAAATACAGACATACACAGAGAACACACTTAGAGACACAATGACATTCAAAGACAGACAAACACAGGCACACACAGAACAAAGACACAGACATACACACAGAACACTGAGACACACACACAGAATATTGAATGACACACAGATACATACTCAAAAGACACACACAGAACACACTGAAAAACACACAAAGACAGATACACAGACACTGAAAGACACAGACACAGAGAACACAGAAACACACCAACACACACTCACTCAAAGACAGACAAACACAGACACACAGAACACTCAGAGACACACAGAATATTCAGACACACACAAAGATACACACTCAAAGACAGACACACAAAGACAGACACAGAACACACGCCAAGACACGCAGAGACACAAAGATACACAAAGAGACACACAGACACATACACAGACACACACAGAACACACACAGAGACTAACAGACACACTCAAAGACACACACGTAGACACGTGCATCGTCACAGACATAGACACACATACAGATGAACAGCCTTGCCTGTAGCCCCGAAGGTTGGCATCTGGGAAGCAGGACCCTCTCTGTGCAGCGACAGCTCTGCTAGGAGCCTGGGGGTGGGGGTCAGCAGCTCAGTGACAAGGTTGGTGCTTCTGTGGTGTTCCCATGCTGTGTCAGTCCTGGCCTTGGGCTGACACCTCATTGCCCGCCAGCTCCCTGTGGCTGCGGGGGCTGCAGAGATCATTCACCAGGGCTCATCTTTGGGCCGAGTCCATTCACGCCACTGTGGCCATTTCCCTCCCCTAGACCCACCAGGCTTCTGGCTGGGAAGAGAGGAAGAGGCGGACCACCTCTTTGGGACTGACCGGACAGAGCTGTGGGGACCGTGGGTTCTTCTTGGGATGGAAGAAGGAGTCATCCTTCAAGAACAGAGACAGAATAGCATGACCTGCAGAAGAGGGAGGGGGCAGGACTCTGCAGGCTGGGGAGGCCCTGGTCCCCCAAGCTGCTCATGGGTAGGGCTCAGGGTGGGAGGGAGTTGAGTTGGTGGCTTCCTGTGCAACTAAGAGAGGCCAGAGGTGAGGCTGCCCAAGGCTGTGTGTGGGCTGTTCTCCACGCCATTGGTATTTCCATCTCCAGGACTGCTGGGGCAGTCGCTAAGACCCCCTGAGCCCACTCTGTTCTTTCTGTTTTCTCATGGATACAGTGTTAGGCTTACTATGCCAGCGTGGGCCATGGTCTCTTTTCTTCTAGAGAGTCCCAGGGACTTCCTTTGTGGCATATGCTTCCTCTCGGCCACCTCAGAAGGCTCTGTTAGGAATGGTTCAGTCATTGCAGACATTGCCATGTCACCTGAGGGGTCTCCAGCTCCCCTGGGGTCCAGGTGGCATGAGGGGCCCTTTTGGAGAGGGCTGGCTACTGGTGGGGTGGGGGGGCGTGGTGGGCGGGAGTTGGTGGTTGTGGTGGAGTACAGGGAGATAGCCTGTGGGGGGGTGTGGCATTTTGTTCCAGTTAAAGATATTGCAAAAGATACGTGGTTGTGCTGTTGCAAAAAAAAGTTTAGTATTTCTGTCCTCCCTGAATGAAAGACATTTAGCCTTGCATATCAAAGAATAGGAATCTGTCATCTTAGAAGTTACTAATTTGCAGTTCTGTGACACAGATTTGCGTAATTAGAGGATTTGATCGCCAGGCATGTGAAACCTATACAAATGTTGGTCCATGTTCTTGGAAAGAAGTCAAACTTTGAGGCTGTTTGAGCGAGTCATGATTCTTTAAAGTTGCCACAAGCTGAATTGATTTAGTTTGGCAGAAACTACAAAAACAAACACGGAGTTTAGAAAAAGCAAAGGCTCATGTGATCACCGCTCTGGCCCCAGAGAAAAGGAAATGCTTCGTAAGTTGCATTGCGGACCAGAGCGTGTTGAGGCTCCCTTTCCCCCACCTGATAATTTTCAGATCGTCTGGAACAGCTATAAACAAAAGCTGGAGACGCTAAAACAGCCCATAGCCCCTTCCCCTCCCTCTCCTCCCTCTTTCCCCTCCTCCTCCCTCCCCTTAACAACTAGCTGGGCCTTTGTTTTCTTTTTGCTTTTACTCCCTAAGTAAATCTTAATCACTGTCGTTAAACCCAGCCTTGACTTTCTTTCCGTTCCCATGGATACCAGATGGGGCCTCATATTGGCGAGGTGGCCATAGGACTGCAGGACCCAGGAGGCCCCGACGGGTGCCTGGCAGGCGAAGGGGGTGCTGCTCCTGGCGCTGGTGGCCGGGTAGGATGATCCTGAGCATCAGTGCCTGGCCCAGTACAGCTTGAGAGACCCCCTTCACTCCCCGGAGGAGACGTGCACAGGTGGCCAAGCTGGAGGAGCCTGCAAGTTGCAGGGGTCAGATGTAGCAGGTGGCAGCCATCAGGATCTGTCCAAGCCGAACCCCTTCCCTGGTGCCTTGAGGTAGAGACCATCTCTGTCTTGCAGGTCACTGTCTCTATCTTGCACGGCCACCTGCAGTGGTCCTATAGCTGCATTGGTCTGGGATTTACCAGGAGCCCTGGACCCCACGAAGGTCTCCTGCCTTCCTTGGTGGAGGCACGCCAGGGTCCTGGCATGAACTCAGGGTGGGGACAGTCCAGTTCTGCCCCTCCCTGCTGGGTCCCGGCCTTCCTTCTCGACTCTATTTCAGTAAAGTCAGGTTGGCTGAGAGAAATGCCAAGCCAACCGCCTCACCAGCACTGAGCCCCTGGGGTTGTGTTTGAAACGGCAGATGTCAGCTCTGCCCTCTGCCTGCTCAGAGGCCCCGAGTGAAGCTTCTGGAAGGCAGGCAGAGCCACAGCCCATGGGTCTCCCCACAGGCAGTCTATATCTCTCCTTCTGAGATGTTCAAAGTGATTTAGAAGTACAGATGGTCAGTTAAAGACACCTCTTCAAATGCTTTGTCACATTTTTAGGAGATTTAAGATCATGTCAACTTAAGGTAGGGCAGCTTTGCTGTGGGATGGTTATCTTTCTCTCCAAGTGTCTTGTCTCTGTGAAGTGGGGCTGAAAACCAATGGTGAGTGGTAAATGCTGGTCTCTTCCCCCTTCTCCCATACCCTCACTCCTTTATCTCATGTTTAAATCCTCCATGGACTGACATGTCATATCTCTGGAAATATGTAGAACCAGGCAATTCTAGAGTGTGTGTGTTGGGGGGGTGGGGGGGTGGTAAACAAGGACCCACTGAAGGAGGGGATCGCGGATGCCAGGGAGGGCCCTGCATACCACAGCGGGGAGCTGTGGGGTGGTGTGGGAGCCTTGGCAGGTGGGCAGGAAGCCTGGCGGGGGGAGGTGGCTTCTGCAAGGAGATCAGGTCCAGGCTGGGGGACAGAGCTGGCATTCGGGGCAAGGCCGAGGAAGCACAAGTGTCCACGTCTCAAGACAAGAAAGAGCGTGGGTGATCTGAGACCAGCCAGAGGGGAAAGGGGGCTACTCTTGTGGGAGGTGAGGCTGCCCAAAGAGCCTGGGCAGGTCCTCGGCTGGGGTTGGTGAAGATTTGGAGCTTAGTTGAGGTAGGTGGAAACGCCTTGGAGGGTTTCAGCAAGGAGGAGATGTGATCTGATTGATCTCTTGAAGGGTCTCCTGTGGCTGTGAACATTTGGGTAATGTGGTAGAGCATGGAGGTGGGGCCAGGCCACAGCAGTGAGCCCGAGCAAGGTTGCTGGTGGCTACCGTGAGGGCAGGCCCAGGGAGAAAGACAGGGGACACTGGCTCCGAGACCTGTATTGGGATAGAACTGATGACCGATGGACCGGCTTGAGGAATCCAGGGAAGAGGGAGCCAGATGGCATCGGGTGTTTGCCTTGAGCCACTGGGTAGAAGGTGAGGCTGCTTACCGTTTATGGAGAAGGGTTTTCTGAGAGAGGAGATGCACAGGCTTTGGGGGTGACCGTGAGCAGGTAGAGAGTGGCCAGTAGGGTCCCATGGGGCAGGCCGAGTTTGTGCCGTGAGAGCCAGTCTCAGGGCAACCCCTTCCACGGGCGCTGATGGTTTTGTGTTGCTGTTGGGTTTTTGAGACATGCCTATCTCCATACATCTGTGTTGCCTAGGGATGTGATGATATCCTTCCGATCAACTGAGAAGGGCCTTGGGACCGTACCCTGCATTGCAGGGTGGTTTGGCATCCTGTGAAATGGTTTTCCTTTGCAGGGAATTTATCCAAAGACCATGGGTTTCAGAGGCTGACGGTCACAGTGCCATCACACTGTTCGTCAAGAATACCTCTCGATAGCCAGCAGGTAATTTCTGAGTTAAGAACAGTATTTACACTGTTTATTTGAGGATTAGTGAAAATCCTGTAACTCACTATATGCCTGTCAAAGGCAAGAGGAGCTTGATTGAATGCCTCAGTCTGGTTGTATTCATTCTACGTGTGAACATTTAATGTTCTCTTTTAAGCACCTTTTTTTTTGACCCATGTATTGTAATTGCCTTTAAAGTTTATTTTTCAAACCATGTGACAACTTTTATTATGAATGAAAATGCCTGTGGTTTCTTTGCTCCTGAGAGGAAGCTATACCGCTCTGTAATAACTGATCATAAGAGAAAAATCATTTTATACACACCATGAATCTGTAACATGGCATGTTGGAAACCATAGATCATTTTAAAATGTAATGCATATCATTTATTATGGAAAAAGGTATTTTTTAATGTTACTGGATTTCCTTCTTGAAACATAATCTATATAACCATGAACTTTTTCTTAAACCCATTCAGTAAGCAGGACTCCTCAATTCCCTACAAGAATTAAATTACTTGTATTACCTGGTTCTGCCTTATAGCTGTTAATATTTTTCTGTGTCCTGTTTTCTGAACAGGCAGTGAGAGGGCACACCTCTGAGTCATTGCTGGGGACAATCACTTGCAGGTGCTTCGAGGCATTGTCACCGACTGTGTCAGCCCTTGTGGGGTGAGGAGGGGGCCCAGAGTGCTTCTCTAAGCCCGTGGAAACCAGCCGGGCCTGGGTTTCAGCTGGGTTGTCTTTGTTTTGTGTTTTACGTTCCACGGCCCATGGGCCCATCGTCCAGCCATGCCGGAGGTGTGTGTTACTTCATGGCCACACTGGCTCCCTTCCTGGGAGTTTTCCTTCTTCACAGCATCACCCAGATCCTTGAAAGGCAGAACCCTGTCATTTTTATCTTACAGAGAAGAAATTAGGAGCACATGGTGGTAATGCCCTACCATTTGACTTAATGAGGGAGCCTGTAAACGTGGGGGATCTCAGGTTAACTTTTTGTCTTTAATTTGTGGATTTCTTCCAAAGAGTGGTATGTAACAGCTGGTCTGCTTTAATGGTATCGCTTATAGTGATGTTATTTTTGTGTTCAGAAGTCATGGCTTGTCAGCGGCTGGCAGTCATGGAGGGGGCCAGATTCTAGGATGATGCTGTCATGCCAGGGCCCTCCGGAGCCTGTCTCACCTGAATGATGGATGGCCGCTCTTCTCCCTGGAGTGTGCGTGGGGTAAGGGGAGGCTAGAGTGCGTGGCCTCTGACGAACGGACAGGAGTGGTTTCTGTTCTCTGGGGAAGTGACAGAGCCAGGCTGTTGCCTTCTAGAGGCAGAGGGATGCCTTCCACGATCAAAAATAGATCAAGGTTTCTTTCACTTTGATTTTTTTCCTCAAACATTCTCCTTTCTTCTTCCTTCTTTTATTCTTATGTTCAGAGGCAGGGTGTCCCTCTGTTACCCAGGCTGGAGTGCAGAGGTATGATCTCTGCTCACTGCAACCTCGACCTCCCAGCCTCAAGCGATCCTCTTGCCTTAGCCTCCTAAGTAACTGGGACTACAGGTGTGTGCCACCATACCCGGCTGGAACATTTTTCTTCTTGACAGAGCATCTTATTTTGCAATATCTTCTCCTTTAGGAGGGAAAATGCAGTACAGCTCAGGATTATACTTCAGTGCCACCATGTCCCATAGGCCCTCAGCTCTCATTCTTGCTGCCCCCTTTAAGTTTTCTGAGTGAGTTTTGCTCATTTCCAGTGTCCAAGGGCCTTCTGAACTCTGGCATGGGGAAGCCTCATTTTTCCCAGGCGGTAAACACGCTCTCTGAGGACTTAGAGTTTAGGATGGAGTGTTTTGGTGAAGGGAGTCAGAAAGGGCTCTCAGAGAGGTTTCTAGAGGGGGCCCTGAATTCATATGGAGTGGCAAAGCGCAGCTGAGGAAATGGGACACGCTGGAATCTTCCAGAAGCTGCTCTGGGTTCAAGGCGGGGCCCATTGGGTTTCTGGGGTTGGGTGTTTTCTGACATTGCGTTGCAGTTTGGTTCCTCAAGGATCCACAGTGTAGGCCTAGTTTCAGTTTTCACAAAGCCCCTTTCTTGACTCCCACTTTGCCCTCGCCAGTTTCTGTGGCTCCTTCCACCCAGTGGGCCCTGAGTGCTGTTCCACAGACGGCAAACCCATCCTGACCCAGACGCGCCAGCCCCAAACAATCTGGTTACTGTTTAAACAACCAGTGTAAATAATGAGCCCTCCATTACCAAGAGTATAAATACATTTAGACAAGTCAGAGTTTTGTAGAGTGAAAGTTTAGGTTATGGGAAAACATCAACAGCTGTAATTTGTAGGCCTTTGTAGAGCGAGGGGTGTGAGTGATGTCAACTGTAGAAGGTCGACATTTCGTTTATGTGTTTTTTTGTCATTGTGCCAGGAGGAGATCTTTGTTATATTTCCTTTGCTGAGAATTAATCTTGAGGGGGCAGCACCTGCCAGAATTTTTATTTTTTTTTTCTAAAAGTAAATGTCACCTAGGTGGCCAGTGTTGATGGGCACCCTGGCAGGGCTGTTGTGGGCAATGATGATGAACTTTGTATGGAGGATTGCATTTGGTTAGCCTCTCCTAGTATTGAAAAAATAATTAAGGGCAAACCACAGAGGCATATGATTGAGGTGAATTCTACGGTAAGGAGACAGATGTACATGTGAAAAAGAACCACAAACATTGGCTCCAGGTAGAGAGCCTAATGCTATGGCTTTCAGAGCATAATAAATTGAGCTCTGTAAGTCAACACAGTCTTTGGCTGGGTCTCTCTTTGGTGAAGGGGTAGAATGAAGCCTCCCTCTTTTTATTTTTTGGCCAAAGTGGGAATTATCTGAAGACCTGTAAAATTAACTATTTTTCTTTACAAGGAGAAAGGGACAAGGCAGAAAGTCCCACGGGTGTGAGGGATTACTGGGTTTCTCTCCACCAATAGCACAGTTCACACACACCCAGCTCCAATCCAAGGCCTATTTCAGTGGGCCCCAGTGTGTGCGACAGGCCACACACACGTGTGTGTGGGGGGGGTGGGGCGGGGAGGACAGGCCACACACACGTGTGTGCCTGACCCTCAGAGGTGCTGATCCCGCCTTATGTTGGAAATAACATTCAGTGTTGGTTTTCACAGTCACCATCAATCCGTGGATTAGCTTCTGAGGCCTCCCCTGACATCCCCCCTCCCCACATGCCCGGCCCCCGCGCAGGAGCCTGAGGATGTATTTGTTTTAAGATTACCTACTTGGGAAAAATAGAAGGATCGGGTAATCTCAACGACCTGTTTGCTAAATCCGCCCGTTTTCTTCTGCATCTCTACTTCCAAGAGATGTGATGTAGGGATTTCACACAAACACACACAAGGAGCCGAAGGGATTGTGTAGATTTCAGCAGAGACGAGGAGTCAAGTGAATGGAACACCGAGACCAAGTTTGTCCAGCCTGTGGGCCACTTGTGGCCAAGGATAGCTTTGAATGTGGCCCAACACAAATTCTTACACTTTCTTAAAACAGTATAAGATTTTTTTTTTTTTTTTGCATTTTTTTAAGCTCATCAGCTGTCATTAGTGTTAGTGTATTTTATGTGTGGCCCAAGACAATTCTTCTTCCAGTGTGGCCCAAGGAAGCCAAAAGATTGGATATCCCTGACTAAGACCAAACCAGAGTAAAAAGGAGGCAGGCACTTGGAGTGTGTGGGGAGCTCCCCTGGGAGCAAGGCCCCATTTTAAAGTGTGCCGGGATCTGTTTTAACCAGGAATAGAAAGACACACAGATACGGAAATGGCTTGTGTCACAAACCCTAGAAGAGGAGGCTTGCTGTGAGGGACCACTCTGAGATCAGCAGGAGGCTGAGGGAGTGCAGGGAAACAGGGCAGGCATGTCAGCATGTTCCAGGTGTGGGGCTGCCCCTGGCTGTCGGATCCCCGGCCCTGGGTGTCTGTGGCCAGGAAATGGTGGCCCAGGGTGAGAGCTGCATGAGGAGGTAGTTGGGTGGCTTCCGTGTGGTTGGTTTGCCTATGAAGGCCCACTAGCAGGTGATGAGTGCTTCCCTCTAGGAATTGGCCAGCCCTTCTAGCAATTGAGAGGGGCCATATCTCTAGGATCAGCAAGGCCCCAGATGTCAAAATATCCAGAAATACAGCAAATATAAAGGCATGATTAACACAGCCCCTTCCTCAGAGAGACCCTCCCCCTCACTGGAGAAGCGCTGGGGCGGACCTGGGGCAGTGGCCAGCTTTCCACACGGGCCGAATGAGCACCCCCGGCCACACAAAAGGATGTCCCCATGTGGGCCCTGCGCTCCCCCGTGGTTCCCGTGCAGTCTGGGCCTGGGTTCCCCTGGAGGGACAGCTTTTCCCACCTTTGCCTGTCACTACTGCACGGAGGGCTGGCAGAGGCCCTGACAGCTTTTCCCCCACCAGCGCCGCTGTCCCGGCCTAGGGGAGGTGTGGGAAGGAAAGATTCGTATGGGCATTTGCTTCCTGTCCCCCAGCTGCCAGAGCCAGTGTCCCTTTTCCTCCTAGCCAGCCTCCTCAGGCCGAAGAGAGGGGGAATTCCCATGAGTTTGCCACTTGCTCTGTTGATGAGAAACTGCATCTTATAGTTTCTGCTGAGAAAAAGAACCACGTGACGTGTGACACCAGAATCGATACCACTTGTCCTTGTACCTTCCTATGCCAGGTGGGGCTTAGGTCCTAGCCTCTGTGCAGCATGAGAGTGCCGATGTCTCCCCTCTGGGTCTGTCTTCCTCACAGCGAAGTGGGGTCCTAATTAGGGCCGCATTCCCTGTGTGTGACCCGCAAACGTAGACTCCACTGGGATGCAGAGGCCAGCGTCGTCCCTCCTGTTCCGGCCACACCTGGTGACACAGACCGCAGGGCTCCCGGTGCTGCCTGCGGTTGTCCTTGTGGCAGCCTTTATTGCTGAGCATGCAGCCTCTGCCGAGAGTGACCGGACAGGCGTCCTGTGTGAATGCCCTGTCTGAGGTGGAATTTACTGAGGTGTTGCTGCCGCTAACGGTAAAGAACACAAGGGCCTGGGCCGGGCCCTGCTTGCAGCTGAAGTGCAGAGCAGAGGGTCCCAGCTGGGTTGGCATGTTTAGGCACTGTCTGCGGAAGTAGATGATCGTGTCTTACAAGGAGGTAAAGCCCGGGAGAACATCTGTTCAAGCAGAAGGCAAAACCGCACCCGTCAATCCCGCAGGTGCTTCGGGCCTGAAACTCGCCTCTGGGAAGGCATTTGCTGATGGCTTCTCATGTTTGCCACGTGAACTCTCTCACCTGAGTGCTTGAGAACATGTCTGGCTTGCTGCATACACTAGATAGTGTAGCTGTTCAAACTCTTCCCAAAGACGCCAGCCCAGTACCGATGCCAAGCCCTGGTGAACTTCAGGAAACCATAGACCCCATTCTGATTCTGTCGCCACCGTAGCCTCGGGCATGGTGGGAAATGTCTCAGCCCAGGGTTGCTGGTGCTGGCTCCGCCGACATGGGGGCTGGAGGCCCTGTGCCTGCTGTCTTGCCCTGGGGCATCTGAAGGGCGGGACTGGGGGTCATGTGTGGCGTGGCCGATTTAGTCGCTGAGCAGCCTGTGTGGGGTCTCACTTGCTCCTCGGTGCATTGCAAGATCAGCTTTACCAAGTTGCCACAAATGACGTGTGAGAGAGGCACTCGTTTCAATTCCAGCTGCCCTTGGACACTGGACACTGTTGCTGAGTCAAGATGTGCGGAGGGCAGTTTGTGGTGATGCCCTTCCCATTCCCAGCAAGGTTAGCAGTGACCCTTGAAGGTGGCAGTGGAGCCGGGAGCCTCACCAGCCTGGTCTGTGGGCATGTGGGCTCTGAACATGCAGTGGTGAGGACGCCCACGGCGCCTGCCCACTCTTGCTGCCGGCTGTACCCCAGACGCCTCAAGCCAAGATGTTGCTGCATGTCTGTGAATTGCTAAAAATGAGTCACACTGGCGAGTGCCGCTGGCCACTGAGCAGGATTTGGCTTTGGCCCTGGACCTGCCCGGTTGGTGCTAACTGCGTGGGCTGCACTGCTGCACCCCCAGCTCTCTGTGGGGCTGAGGGGTCAGTGGCTTATTAAGAGCTGTGCGGAGAGAACTGTGAAGCAGAATTGTTGCTTTTGCCCTAACAGTGGCTGTGAAAATGAATGTGGCCATTTGCAAAGAAGCTGAAATAACAGAAGGCAGAGAAAAGCTGTGTGCCTGGTGCCCACTGTTCCTGGTGGGTTCACAATGGCAGAGGGTTGGGGTCAGCTGAAAAGGAGTCTCAACTGTGTACTGACTCAGGAGCAAAATGTTAGACTTCACACTGACACTCCCATTGAGCAAATTATCTGCATGTATCCTTTTGGTTTTTCCAGGGAATATTGGCATAAAAGAACACCTGGTGGGGAGAGATGGAAGGGAGGAGTGACATTGTAGACTATTTGGGGACCCCTGAAGGAAGTCAGCTACAGGGATGTGCAACATGGAGGCAAGAGGATTTGATTTAATATTCTTAGGGGAGAGGAAACCTTTCATCCCCTAGGGCATGTCCATTTCCAAATGACAGCCCAAAACAGTTTAATACTTCACACTTTTTTTTTTTTGAGATGGAGTCTCACTCTGTTGCCCAGGCTGGAGTGCAGTGGCGCGATCTCAGCTCACTGCAAGCTCCGCCTCCCGGGTTCATGCCATTCTCCTGCCTCAGCCTCCTGAGTAGCTGGGACTACAGGCACGTGCCACCACGCCCGGCTAATTTTTTATATTTTTAGTATATATTTTTTATATTTTTAGTAAAAAAAAATATGTATATTTTTTATATTTTTAGTTTCACCGTGTTAGCCAGGATGGTCTCGATCTCCTGACCTCGTGATCCGCCCTCCTCGGCCTCCGAAAGTGCTGGGATTACAGACGTGAGCCACCGTGCCCAGCCTACTTCACACATTTTACCTTACTTACAATGCATGATAATTTATGATTTTTTTTTGAGATGGAGTCTTGCTCTGTCACCAGGCTGGAGTGCAGTGGCACGATCTCGGCTCACTGCAAGCTCCACCTTCCGGGTTCAAGTGATTCTCCTGCCTCAGCCTCCCCAGTAGCTGGGTGGCATGTGCCACCACACCCAGCTAATTTTGTATTTTTAGTACAGACGGGCTTTCACCATGTTGGCCAGGATGGTCTTGATCTCCTGACCTCTTCCGCCCGCCTCGGCCTCCCAAAATGCTAGGATTGCAGGTGTCAGCCACCTCGCCTGGCCAATTTATGAAGATTTTAATTGAGGAGAGGCTTACTGATTGGAATGCCACCTTATGTTTCTCACATCAACCACATTCAAAGTGCATATTTAGTGATTCTCAGGTTTCAGTTCCTTTAAAATGGGCAAAAACTCTTAAGACACTTGGAAAATGCAGGATCCTAATAGATTTTCACCCCCTCACTTCAGTGTTTTACTGTCATCATATGCACAAGTAGCTGTTTTAAGCAACCCACTTTTTTTTTTCCTAAAGCATTCCGCTTAGTGTTTATAGAAATAATTTTCTTCTTGTTAGCTGTCAGGTGACGTCACATTTTGCAATAGGTACCTAAACAACATAATTATAGTAACAAATACAACTGGTATAGACAGGCTTGCGACCGAGCTAGCCCTGGGTGAGCACAAGTCTTAGCTGGTGCAAGAGGCATTCATCCATCAGCACCTTTCACAGAAGAAATGGACAGTGTCATCTGTCAGATCAGCTTGGAGAGGGTCGCCGTGTCATAGTGTACAGTGATCTCACTGACTTCCCCAACAGGCCTGTTCTGGAAAAACTCTCAAGTATTTTTCCTCTGCTCTCACACCACAGCAACAATCACCAACATAGACGAAGACTTCTGTGACCAAATGTGGAGATTTTTGTGCACATACAAGCAGTGGACGCCAGCTGGGTGTCCTCCAGTCCACTTTAGACACTGTCTACCTGGAGGTAGCGTCTGATCCCCCCTCATTGAGGATTCAGTTCTGCAAGACTGCCTCTTCTTCCCACCAGTTGCAAGTCTAGGTCTCCAGAACTTCCAACTGACCTACTGGCTTCAGGTTGGGGTTTTCACAGCTCTCTCTTTGAGTTTGTTTAATTTGCTGGAGTGTCTCACAGAACTTGGGGAAAACACACTTACTGGTTTATTTGAAGGGTATTACAAAGGATCCAGATGAACAGCCAGGTGAAGGGATACACAGGGCGAGGTCTGGAAGGGTCCCCAGTGTAGGAGCTTCTGTTCCTGTGGAGTTGGGGTGCCCCACCCTCCCAGCACGTGGATGAGTTCTTCACCTTCCTGTTGGCCTCCACGTGTTCATCTCTCAGGAAGCTCTCCAAACCCTGTCTTTTGGGCCTTTCATGGAGGCTTCATTGGTTGTCCAGGCTGCAGCGTGGACAACCATGTCAAAATGTGATTGGATAAAAAGGATATGATCTAACTCCAGCAAGGACCGTCTGTTCAAATTCTTCCTGGCCTCTCTATGTAGCCTTCCTTCTCTACATAGCCTTCCAGGGTAGGGGGCAGGACCCCTTCTGGAATGAGAGTTTTATGACCCTAAGTCTGATTAAGTCCTGCTTTGGGCAGGTGAAAGGAGGGCAGGAGAAGGTCAGAGATTCTGTTTCCCAAGTCTGCTTCTGAAGCCTAAAGCACCCCAACATTATAACAAAAAATTATGAGCAAGGAGCTGTGGACAAAACTCAATATGATCGGCCAGGCGCGATGGCTTATGCCTGTAATCCCAGCACTTTGGGTGGCCGAGGCGGGCGGATCACAAGGTCAGGAGATCGAGACCATCCTGGCTAACACGGTGAAACCCCGTCTCTACTAAAAATACAAAAAATTAGCCGGGTGTGGTGGTGGGTGCCTGTAGTCCCAGCTACTTGGGAGGCTGAGGCAGGAGAATGGCGTGAACCCGGGAGGCAGAGCTTGTAGTAAGCTGAGATCGTGCCACTGCACTCCAGCCTGGGCGACAGAGCGAGACTCTGTCACAAACAAACAAACAAACAAAACTAATATGATCATAATATCACAAGGTCCAAAATAGAACTTGCTGTTTTCCTCTCTCCAAACCACTGTTGCCCCCTGCCATGGTCTGAATGTTTGTGTCTCCGTAAAATGCCTATATTGAAATCCTCACCCCCAAGGTGATGGTATTAGGAGGTGTAGGGACCTTGGGAGATGATGAGATCAGGAGGGTGGAACCCTCATACGTGAGATTAGCACCCTTAACAAAGAGGCCTCAGAGAGACCCCTTTCTCCTTCTGCCATGTGAGGACACAGCCAGGAGGTACTGTCTATGAACCAAGAAGTGGACCCTCATCAGACATGAATTCACCAGTGCCTTGATGTTGGGCTTTCCAGCCTCCAGCACTGAAAACGGATCTCTGTTGCCTATAAGCTGCCTGGTCTATGGTATGCTGTTAGAGTGGCTCAGGTGCACTGAGAGAACCCCCTGTCCCTATTTCTGCTAATAAGCCATGCTGGGTCCTTTCTTCAGCCCTCCACACCCGAACAGTCACACAAAGCAGCCGGTTCTACCTTGAAAAGGCACATTGTATGCAGTTGTACTTTTTCATCATCAAATTAAAATCAGGCTTGTTGAATTGCACTGAATCCTCAAGTGCCCCTCAACTGCCCGAATATACTTACTGAGGCTTTGGACTTCTCTGGAGTGGTGATAGTTTGTGCGATTCCATCAGTTTTGTCCCTGTGAGGATGTCATCTGGGCATAGTCTGTACCTGCACCCTCATGGGGAGGGCAGTGTTGGTGAAGGAATGCAATCTCGCTGGACATTTTTGAGTGGAATTTCATCTTCCCATCTTTCTTCTTTCTGTATTCACCCCTCGGCGTTGGGTTGAAAGGTGTGCATATGTGTGTGTGTGGGTGTGTGTACGTATGTTCATACTTGTGTGTGAGCATGTGCATGGGTGTGTACATGTACTTCTGCTGCCATCCTATGAAGACATGCCCAGGCCACGCTGGCATTTCTTCCTCTGCCACTCCTTAGGTTGGTGAGTGTGATTTAGATTTCCAGCTTTCATGTGGAGAGTGTGTGCCTCTCCGGCTAGGGGGAGCAGCCTGTTTAGGCTTCCTGCTCTAGCTGAGAAGTAGAGACTTATTCAGGAACAGGAGAAGAGAAGGAGGGAAGCTGAAACTAATGGAAGGAGAGGGGCTGATAGGAGAACTTGGAATCCCAGGAGCAGCCGCTGACTGCCATGAGGCTGTGTCTTGGGGTCCTCACCTGTGTACCTGGGCCCCAGGCTGGGAGAAGGAATGCTGGATGATGGTCTCTCAAATCTGTTCTCCCCTGCCCCTAACTCCGTGTCTTGGAGTGGATGGACAGAACTGCATGGCCATGTGACTGTCCCAGGCCGAGCAAAGGTGTCCAGAGGCCTGCAGGTGGTGCTGGCACCAGAGGCTTCTGCATGACCTTATGTGCAGTGGTCACTGAGGCAGACAGGGCTTCTGAGGGGCCTCACCCTCAGGGAACTCGAGGATAGTCATGTGGCTTTGGAAGGCCAGAAGCCATTTAATTGGGTGTCATCATTAAATACTACTTTCGTCCTACCATGTGAAGTACTTTGAATAAATGCTTTTTTCTGTGAGAAAGGAGGGCTAAGGGTACATACCTTATTCCTATGAAGCATTTTGGTTTTAGCTTTTAAATCACAAAGGAAAGAAAAAGGAATTTCCTAGGGGGTGGGTGTGCAGTCATAGAGAGGGCTAGATAGTAGAATGAAGCGTTTGAATGATCTAGCTAACTTAAGTAAAAATAACTCAGTCAACTGACAGAGGAGCCTGACAGCCCGTTCTCATTCATGCTTCTCATCTCAGAGTGCAGTTCTGTGACCACCCCCCCACTCTGAATCCATTGCTGTAGTTTCATCTCTAAAGATTGGCCCTAGTTGGTGAATTGGGAATTTAGGAATTAGCCCTGGGCAGGAGCCGGCAGGAGCCCAAGGCAGCTGCACAGTGAAGGCATGCCTGGAACTGAAGTACAGGCCGCATGACGCTCTGCCACCCTGGCTAAAGCGTGGCCCATGTGAGCCGCCTTTCTCTCTCCTCAGGAGATGAGCATGCAGTCTCCAAGGACGGCCGCAGGGGTGCTAAGCCCTTGACACTTGGAGGCTCCCTGGCCTGGCAGTTCCATGAGGCTGGAGTTTAATAAGAGGCTGTCGAGCAAAGGTCCCCCAAGGGTGGCTTTGTGGCCTTGGCAGCTGTGGGGCTGGCACACGCACTGCTACAATAGCTTCTGGGAATTAGGGCTGTGTTAATTGCCTCAACGTTTCAAATCAGAGGGTTGCTGGAACACAGGAGAGAGAGAGGCAAAGGTGGTGGTAAACTCTTCCCTCCTGCCAGTTCCTGAGCCTGCCATTCCTGCTGCTAGCCTTGATAGTGGCAATGCTTGCAATGGGACCCTGACGGAGCCGTGTGGCAGGCCTGGCTCTGTGCTGAGCAGCTTTGAAGGGTGGATGATACCATGATGGTTCCTATTTTCAGATGAGTAGACTCAGCCACAAGCCACTCTCCTAATGTCAAAAGGTCAGAAATGAGTGTGTTTCTGGTGATTTTAGGGTCATAGCAAATTAATAACGAAATCTCAAATCTTTTCATCCAGAGAAGAGATCATCCCAGAAAATATGTGGTGTGTCCTCAAAGTCAACTCCCTAATAAGGTGTTTTATGCCATGGAGTTGCACATTCAGCAGAGATTGTAAGGTCTACCATGAAGCAGGACTTGCACAGTCAAAGCAATTCTTGAAAATGACTGAAGGTCCCTGGAAAGTATAAGCTGTCGGTTTTATGCACAAGGCCACATGCTGTCATGAGGGAGGCACATCTGTGTGTACGCCCACGTAGGGCTGTGGGCCCCCCAAGGACCCATACGCAAGGCCACATGCAGTCATGAAGGGAAACACATCCGTGTATGTCCATGCCTGGCTGTGGTTCCACCCAGGGCATGCTTCTCTTCTTGGAATGTTCTATGTGGGTTTTTTTGTTGTTGTCTCCTTCTGTGAAATTCTCATAGTTTGCATGGTTTTTAAAAAATTGTGTTAAAAAATACATAACAGAAAATTTAGCATCTTAACCATTTCTGAGTGTACAGTTCTGATACATTCACGTTGTTGTGTGACCAGTCTCCAAAACTGTTTTCATCCTGCATAGCAGAAACATTAAACAACTCCCTGTCCCCTCCTCCAGCCTCTGGCAGCCTCCATTCTGTTTTCTGTTTCTGTGGATTTGATTGCTCTGGATATTTCACAGAAGTGATTCACATAGCCTTTGTCGTTTTGTGGCTGGCATATTTAGCATAATGTCCTCAAGGTTCATCCCTGATGTAGCAAATGACAGAATTTTCTTTCTTTTCAAGGCTGAATCATATTCTGTTGTGGAATATACCACATTTGTTTATCTCTTCATCCGACCTGAGGGCACTTGGGTTGCCTCCCCGTCTTTGTAATTTTTTTCTGTACCATTTTCTACAGAGGCTGCACCATTTTGCACCCCCACCAGCAGTGCACAGGGTTCCAGTTTCTCCACCTCCTCACCAAAACTTGTTATTTTCTGTTTTTACGGCTGCCTTAGTGGGTGTGAGCTGATAACCTGTTGTCGTGGTTGTGATTTGCGTTTCCTTAACGGCTAACGATGTTGAGCATCTTTCGGTGTGCTCGGTGGCCATATACATGTCTTCTTTGGAGAAATGTCTGCTGAAGTTTGTTGCCCATTTTGTGGTTGGTTTGTTCTTGTGTGGCCCCTGAATGCCTTTCGCCTTCCTCTTGGAGTCATAGTGTGGTGGTTCCTCCACTTCCACAGTGATTGGGAGACCAGGAAAACCTCTCACGTTCTTTCCACCTTGGCTTTCTGCGCACCTCGTGCCACTGCAGGCTGGATTCAGTCCGTTTCCCTTGGGCAGAAGGGGAGGCATTGCTGGTGCTGTTGAAACTGGAGTTTTGTAAGCCTTGCCCTCTCTCTCCCCAGCTCTCTCCATTTCCTTCTCTTTGCCAAGCCCTGTGGTTGAAGTTGCCTGTGTTTAAATGGTGTTTACAGAAACTGCTGCCCAGAGACAATGCTGCCCTTATGTCTTTTGGGTGTAAGCAGTGATGCCTCTGGAAGTCGCTCCTTTTCCCTGCAGTTGAGACTGGGCAGGGGTCTCAAACCCAAATGCCTCCAAGTTCTGCTGGGTGATACAAAAGGACAGGTTGGGCCAAGTGAGCCAAATTGGCCAGGCGCGGTGGCTCACGCCTGTAATCTCAGCACTTTGAGAGGCCGAGGCAGGCGGATCATGAGGTCAGCAGATCGAGACCATCCTGGCTAACATGGTGAAACCCCATCTCTACTAAAAATACAAAAAAAAGTTAGCCGGGCCTGGTGGCGGGCGCCTGTAGTCCCAGCTACCTGGAAGACTGAGGCAGGAGAATGGCGTGAACCTGGGAGGCAGAGCTTGCAGTAAGTGGAGATCACGCCACTGCACTCCAGCCTGGGCAACAGAGCGAGACTCCATCTCCAAAAAAAAAAAAAAAAAAAAAAACACCTTCCAAATTAAGAAAAGGTTTGTTTATGATGGGCTTCGTCAAGCAAATGGCTTGGGCTCGGCTGTCAGTCCTAAGCCCAGTCACGCAAACCTGCAAGGATGCACTGGGGCATGGCCCCATCTGCCCAGACGCTGAGAACCTGCTGTGCGCGATGGTCCCCAAACATTTCAGTCCAGGTCCTTTACCCTGCCTTGCCAAGCTCATGCTTTGGCATGAGCCCGCCCGTTCATGTTCAGCATATCCAGTCAAGGAACCCTTTTCAGAGGTCAAAGCTGCTGGAAAATCCTTTGACTCCTTAGCGTCCTCCTGTGGGGTCTGTCTGTGTTGAGTGAACTTGTGGAATATAGCAGTTTCTAGTGTAGGGAGGTAGAATTCCTCCTCTCCCCTCCTGGGGATTCCGGCATGAGATAGATGGACAAGGAGAAAAGCATGCAGGCCAGGAGCTGTGGCTCACGCCGGTAATCCTAGCACTTTGGGAGGCCAAGGGGGGTGATCACGAGGTCAAGAGATCAAGACCATCGTGGCCAACATGGCGAAATCCCGTCTCTACAAAAAATACAAAAATTAGCTGGGTGTGGTGGCGGGCGCCTGTAGTCCCAGCTGTTCGGTAGGCTGAGGCAGGAGAATTGCTTGAACCCGTGAGGTGGAGGTGGCAGTGAGCTGAGATTGCGCCACTGCACTCCAGCCTGATGACAGAGTGAGACTCCATCTCAAAAATAAAATAAAATAAAAAAGCGTGCAAATTTTATTTAGTAAGCTTTTCATGGACACGAGAGCCTTCACATGAAGAATGAAGACTCAAAGCAACATTTGGAGCTGAACGCTTCTATCCCAGATTGAACAAAGAGCAGTAAACTATGGAAACATGGCAAGACAGAGGGGTTTGGGCTAGGGTGGTTAATTATGGAGAAGTGTCCAATTAAACTCCTCCATGCTTTGAATTCTTTACATATGAAAATGATGGTGGGAGCAAAAATGTAAGTGGGGGTGGGAGGGGGTGAGATTCTGTTCCCTCTGTAGGTTTCATGCATGCCCATAGGTAGCAGAGTTCCCAGGGGCCCTTCCTGGCTGCATTGGTCTCATATCCTCATTTCTGCAAAACTTTCCCCTCCAAGAGGAGAGTGTTCCAGGCCTTTTCTCCTCATCCACTTTTTACATGGTGTCAGACTTGGCATCTGTTTTGGTAAATATTTTAAATAGGGCTGAAGCCCATGAAGGGCTCCTTGCTGTCTGCAAGCCAGTGTGTGTTTGCACAAATAACGAGTCTCTTTGGAAGCGTGGCTGTGAACTTTACTGTGGCCTCGTAACTACACGTGAAGCCCGCTGGGAATGGCTTGGGAGGACAACAGCAGTGCGTGGGCGTGATGCCCACGTGCTGTGCTCTGGTCCCTCGCCCCTTCCTGTTTTCCATCTTGATCAGGAAGCTGATCTGCCTCGATGGCCTCAGTTTTGTGTTAACATTTTTAATACAGTAAGCTCAGTAACTCAAATTAGAGACCACAGAGAAAGAGGGGCCACAAAGAAATTGCTCCTTTCCTTGAGGCCACGTGTGTCCTCAAGGAGTTGACGTTTCTGGACATCTCAGGTCTCTCTCCAGTCAGCAACTGTCATGTTCCCATCGTTGGCTAAGAGAGGTGCTGGCCAACAGTGCTTTGCAGTACACCACAGATGACAGAAATATCTGCACTGGTATTATTCTCTCTCTCTCTTTTTTTTTTTTTGAGACGGAGTCTTGCTCTTGTCACCCAGGCTAGAGGGCAGTGGTGCGATTTCGGCTCATTGCAACCTCCGCCTCCCGGGTTCAAGCGATTCTCCTGCCTCAGCCTCCTGAGTAGCTGGGATTATAGGCGTGTGCCACCGCCCCCGGCTAATTTTTGTACTTTTAGTAGAGACAGGGTTTCACCATGTTGGCCGGACTGGTCTCGAACTCCTGACCTCAGGTGATCCACCCACTTCAGCCTCCCAAAGTGCTGGGATTACAGGCATGAGCCACTGCACCGGGCCAGTGATGTTATTCTCTAAGAGGCTGATGAGTTATGAATGAACAAATGTCCAAAAGTCACAAAAAAGGAAAGTAAGGCCTGAACGGCTTGTGCTGCCCCATGTGTCTCCCTTCACTCCTCAGCTGTGGCCTTGCTGTTTGGTGGACCCTGGCCACGCACACCTGGGGCTAGAGCTGGGTGCCACTGTGTGGGGGTTCCTTGAGAAGGGAGCCATGGCCCCTGCTGAGGGGTACAGTGGGCCAGGAGCATTGCTGGCATCAGGGATTTTTCCCAAATGAGTGGTGAGAGGTGGAAAAATTAGAAAAGGGGAGAGATGGAGAAAAACAACTGGCATTTATGGACTTGTGTGTCAGGAATGTGAGACACAGTTCAGTAAGCTGGAGAGAGCTTTCCTTGTCCCTACTTGGTATTTAAGGAGATGGAGGCAGAGAAGCTGTGTTTCCTGCCTTGGCTCAGGGCTGGTAGGTGGCAGAGGCAGGCTCTGCATGGCCCCCATCTGGCCAGAACCTCCTAAGGGCTCCGTTTCTGAGTGCACATGGGGAGAGGGTGCAGCACAGAGTTGATGGCTGGACTCCGTTATAGCTGCATTTTATTTCAACTCTAAGGCTGGCCACCTCCGTGCTGAGAGCCCGCAGGGAGAATGTAAGGTGGGCTGGAGGGGAATGCGTGCCCCCGTCTCGGCACTGTCCACACTTGGGACGGTCATACTCCATGCTGGGCTGTCCTGTGTGTTGGGGGGAGTGAGCAGCGTCCCTGGATTCCACTCATGAGAGGCCAAGGGGCACCTCCCAAGTCTGATCATCAAAAATGTCTTCGGCTTTGGCAGTGTCCCCTGGGGCAGTGTCATTGAAAACCACTGGAGTAGAGGAAAGATACCTTCCAGAGGGTGGGGAGAGAACTGCAACAGAAAAGGAAACCACTCCATCACAACTTGGCTCCACCACACACAGGTGGATTCAGAACAAGAAAAGGAACAATGCCAAATCAGAGTGACAGGGCGCGAGGGGCATGTGTGAGACAGAGTGGGTGGGGAATGGATCTCTCTTCAGCTTGGTGTTTCTGTGTGGAAATTCTTAATCGCAAGTCTCCAAGAGGTTGCTCTTTCTCTGTGAAGGCACTTGCAGGTGCACAGGGTCAGAGCGTCTCTGCTGCGTGGTGTATCTCTCCCGCCTGCTTCTCCAATCCCAAGGGTCACCCACTTCACAGATACAGAACTGAGTCACAATAGAAAGCACAGGATTTCCTCCACACTGTGTTCTGGCAAAACGAAAGTAGACAAAAGTAGAGCACAGAGCTGGAGGATGAGAGGGGGCATCTCACACTGAAAAATTCATGGACAAGATAGCAGGGCCCAGGGTGTCAGCCCCGCCCACAGAGCCCAGGGTGTCAGCCCCACCCACAGAGCCCAGGGTGTCAGCTCGCCCACAGAGCCCAGGGTGTCATTCCCCACCCACAGAGCCCAGGGTGTCAGCTCCACTCACTAGCCCAGGGCGTCAGCTGCACCCACAGATCCCAGGGTGTCATTCCCCACCCACAGAGCCCAGGGTGTCAGCCCCACCCACAGATCCCAGGGTGTCATTCCCCACCTACAGAGCCCAGGGTGTCAGCCCCGCCCACAGAGCCCAGGGTGTCAGCCCCACCCACAGAGCCCAGGGTGTCAGCCCCGCCCACTAGCCCAGGGTGTCATTCCCCACCCACAGAGCCCAGGGTGTCAGCTCCACTCACTAGCCCAGGGCGTCAGCCGCACCCACAGATCCCAGGGTGTCATTCCCCACCCACAGAGCCTAGGGTGTCAGCCCCGCCCACAGAATGCAGGGTGTCAGCCCCACCCACAGAGCCCAGGGTGTCATTCCCCACTAACAGACCCCATGGTGTCAACTCCACCCACTAGCCCAGGGTGTCAGCCTCGCCCACAGAGCCCAGTGTGTCATTCCCCACCCACAGAGCCCAGGGTGTCAGCCCCACCCACAGAGCCCAGGGTGTCAGCCCTATCCACAGATCCCAGGGTGTCAGCCCCACCCACAGAGCCCAGGGTGTCAGCCCCACCCACAGATCCCAGGGTGTCATTCCCCACCCACAGAGCCCAGGGTGTCAGCCCTGCCCACAGAATGCAGGGTGTCAGCCCCACCCACAGAGCCCAGGGTGTCATTCCCCACTAACAGACCCCATGGTGTCAACTCTACCCACTAGCCCAGGGTGTCAGCCTCTCCCACAAAGCCCAGTGTGTCATTCCCCACCCACAGAGCCCAGGGTGTCAGCCCCACCCACAGAGCCCAGGGTGTCAGCCCTATCCACAGATCCCAGGGTGTCAGCCCCGCCCACAGAGCCCAGGGTGTCAGCCCCACCCACAGAGCCCAGGGTGTCAGCCCTATCCACAGATCCCAGGGTGTCAGCCCCACCCACAGAGCCCAGGGTGTCAGCCCCACCCACAGATCCCAGGGTGTCATTCCCCACCCACAGAGCCTAGGGTGTCAGCCCCGCCCACAGAATGCAGGGTGTCAGCCCCACCCACAGAGCCCAGGGTGTCATTCCCCACTAACAGACCCCATGGTGTCAACTCCACCCACTAGCCCAGGGTGTCAGCCTCGCCCACAGAGCCCAGTGTGTCATTCCCCACCCACAGAGCCCAGGGTGTCAGCCCCACCCACAGAGCCCAGGGTGTCAGCCCTATCCACAGATCCCAGGGTGTCAGCCCCACCCACAGAGCCCAGGGTGTCAGCCCCACCCACAGATCCCAGGGTGTCATTCCCCACCCACAGAGCCCAGGGTGTCAGCCCTGCCCACAGAATGCAGGGTGTCAGCCCCACCCACAGAGCCCAGGGTGTCATTCCCCACTAACAGACCCCATGGTGTCAACTCTACCCACTAGCCCAGGGTGTCAGCCTCTCCCACAAAGCCCAGTGTGTCATTCCCCACCCACAGAGCCCAGGGTGTCAGCCCCACCCACAGAGCCCAGGGTGTCAGCCCTATCCACAGATCCCAGGGTGTCAGCCCCGCCCACAGAGCCAGGGTGTCAGCCCCATCCACAGATCCCAGGGTGTCAGCCCCGCCCACAGAGCCCAGGGTGTCAGCCCCACCCACAGAGCCCAGGGTGTCAGCCCTATCCACAGATCCCAGGGTGTCAGCCCCGCCCACAGAGCCAGGGTGTCAGCCCCATCCACAGATCCCAGGGTGTCAGCCCCGCCCACAGAGCCAGGGTGTCAGCCCCACCCACAGAGCCCAGGGTGTCAGCCCCACCCACAGATCCCAGGGTGTCATTCCCCACCCACAGAGCCCAGGGTGTCAGCCCTGCCCACAGAATGCAGGGTGTCAGCCCCGCCCACAGAGCCCAGGGTGTCAGCCCCACCTACTAGTCCCAGTGTATCAGCCCCATCTACTAGCCCAGACTGTCAGGCCCACCTACTGAATCCAGGATGTCAACCCCTCCCACTGAGCCCAGGGCGTCAGCGTCCCACCCAGGTACCCAGGCATAGCTTAGTCACACTGGAACCTCAAATAGACATTATCACAACTACTCCAGAAGACAGATCTGGGAAGACACAAAAATTGTAGAGTGAAGATGTGCCATGAGAATTTGGAAAGAAAAGGTAAAACATGTGAAAATGTTTTTTTTTTTTTTTTTTTCCTTGGGACAAGGTCTCACTCTGTTGCCCAGGCTGCAGTGCAGTATTGCCATCTCGGCTCACTGCAGCCTTGACCTCCCAGACTCAAGCAGTCCTCCCACTTCAGCCTCCAGAGTAGCTGAGATTACTGGCGTGCGTCACCATGCCCAGCTAATTTTTGTAGAGATGAGGTTTTGCCATGTTGCCCAAGCTGGTCTCAAACTCCTGAGCTCAAGCATTCCACCTGCCTCAGCCTCTCAAAGTGCTGGGATTACAGGCATGATTCACTGTGCCTGGCCAAAAGTGTTCTTTAGAAGCATACAGATCTTCCCTGGGGAACGTGTTCAGTCTCAAGTGAGCCCTGCACCGATGCCCAGGCCCTCTGACCCTTGAGGTTTTGCTCTGGTTTTCTTCAGGCGCCAACTCCTCCAGCCTGGGGATCTTTGCCTGGGAGTGCCACCAGCACTTGTTCTTTTCATGGTCTCATCTTCCAAGTCACTTAACACTGTGAGGATGGCATCACCGGGAGCCTCTGAGTCAGGGGTCATGGGTGTGAGTGTGCACGTGTTTCCTAGGCTGTCCCACCTGTATGTACATTCATGCTTATTTTTGCCATAACAGAGGTTCCTGTGTGCTATTTGGTTGTTCAGACAAAAGTGCTTTAAAATACCAAGCTGAGAGTTTCCCTTTAGCCTGGAGAAACAGGAGGCACATCACCCAGTGGTAATTACCCATGACATGATGCCATGATTGATTAGTTTAGGGCTTCTGGCTGTGAAAATAAAAAGGCCTCAAGGAAAAGCTCGGAAACAACCATGATTTATGAGTTTATGAGTCTCAATTAGGGAAAACAATGTATTGAAAAATGTTCTTTTTTATAGGGGCGTGGGAAGTAAGCAGTGTCTGGTGATATGATTGCTAACTTAATTCATTCAATAAATTCTTTTAAAAGGAGAAAGCTTAGAAGTGACTAATCCATTAGTTTAAAGAAAAAATTCATAGTTGGCAATTACATGTATTTTTATGATAATCACAAACAGTAGTTTAAACTGCTTAAGTATATTCAACATCAGTGCCACAATACAGTCACCATAAAATATACATTTCTGTCCTCATTCCAAAATTCTCGTTCTTCTTATTGTAGAAATCAGACATCAGCTAATGGCACTGAATATGTAAAGACGGTGGATGGAAGATATTCAGAAAACAGAATGTAAAGACTCTGTCTCATATTAGAAATGCATGGGGCGATTAGAGGCAGAGAAATCTAAATGCAGCTACATATAGTTTCATGCAGTTGATATTTTGTTATATAATGCATTACTTTTTTTTTTTTCTATTGAGATGGAGTCTTGCTATGTTGCCCAGGCTGGAGTGCAGTGGCACAGTCTTGGCTCACTGCAACCTCCACCTCCTGAGTTTAAGCAAGCCTCCTCAACCTCCGGAGTAGCTGGGATTACAGGCGCCTGCCACCACACCCAGCTAATCTTTGTATTTTTAGTAGAGACTGGGTTTCACTATGTTGCCCAGGCTGGTCTCGAAGTCTTGACCTCAAGTCATCTGCCTGCCTTGGCCTCCGAAAGTGCTGGGATTACAGGTATGAGCCACTGCGCCTGGCCTATAATACATTAATATTTAAAAATTTTTAGAGAACTAGAGAATCTCATTAAAATCAGAATTTCCAAGGTGAATTATTTTGTTTTACTTTTTTATTAGAAAAATTAAACTAGTTTTTTTTTTAATTGAAAAAGAAATGCCTAAGGAGAATCGCTTGAACCTGGGAGGCAGAGGTTGCAGTGAGCCAAGATCACGCCACTGCACTCCAGCCTGGGCCTGGGTGACAGAGACTCTGCCTCAAGAAAAAAGAGAAAGACAAAAAGAAATGCCTAAATGTGCTAAAATACTTAAGACAGCAGCTCACTGGGTTTCCCTCCCTAAAGCCTCTATGTGGATTTGTTTCTTCTGGGATTTCTGGTGACTGTAACAGGTCAAGCTGTGTGTGTCCAGGAATGGCAGGAAAGGGACACACTGTGGTTCTCACCTTGCTTTACTTACTGGTGAGTCTGCCGACTTTCTGCATCTCATGCACAGATTTACTTCAAGCTGCAAGCCCAGTGAAGTGTGACAATTAATTCAGTGGTGATGGGGTGACAGTAGAAACTTAGTGTTGTTTTGAGAGTTAAACAAAATAACTAAGGAGAAGTGGTTTAGCCAGTGCCCAGCACTCAAAACTTGTGAATATTGCTGTCCTTATTGTATTTTTATTATATCCACTGTTATCTATTTCATTTAACAATTGTGTGTCTATACTGTAATTCGTTAATGAATTTGGGCTTGATTGGTATTTGGATAGTCTCCCATCTTTTGCTGTGACAACCAGAGCTGGAACAAGCATCCTTATAGTTGCACCTCCAGATAGCCTGGAAGATAAATTCCTGGCTGTGGAACTGTGCATAGGCACATGGCTGGTTTTGGTAGAAGTCCTTATGGTGCAGCAGAGATTTTGAGGCATCGTTCACACCATGGACCAGGCTATAGGTATCCGACTCCCAGCCCTTCCATTGTCATGCATGAACTCTCTTTCCTATCCCAGTTTACCTCTGTTTAATTAGCACTGTAGTTTTGAATCTTTTCATATTTATTAGCTATTGCAATTTTATTTTTATGTAAACTCTTTGTGTCTTTTTTTTTTTTTTTGAAACGGAGTCTCACACTGTCGCCCGGGCTGGAGTGCAATGGCATGATCATGGCTTACTGCAACCTCCCCCTCCCAGGTTCAGGCAATTCTCCTGCCTCAGCCTCCTGAGTAGCTGGGATTACAGGCACCTGCCACCATGCCCGGCTAATTTTTTGTATTTTTAGTAGAGACAGAGTTTCACTATGTTGGCCAGGCTGGCCTTGGACTCCTGACCTCATGATCCACCCGCACCAGCCTCCCAAAGTGCTTTTGGTTTTCTATAGTCTTTTTTCTCATTAATGAACAGAGCTGTTCACTCATGGTTTTGTATTATATGCTTAAGTCTGTGATCATTTGGAATTTACTTTTTATGAAGAAGGAGATAGGACTTCAGCTTTTTTTTTTCTCAAATAACTGTCCTGTTCCAGTGATTTATGGATTCATCCTTCATCTTCCCATTTAGTTGAAAAATTGCCTTATTAATAATCTTTGTTTTCATACATATTTGGATCATTTCTCTATTCTCAAATTCCATCCTATTGATCTGTCAATCCATGTGTTAGACTTCATGGAGTAATAGACATTACTCCAAGGAAGATGTGCTTGTCTGTTTGCATTTTCTTGGACTTTCGTGTCTATATTCATTAGAGATACTGATGTATAGTTTTGTTTCCTTCGATGTTTTTGTCTGGTTTGGTATTAGGGTAATACTGACCTCATAGAATAAGTTGGAAAGTATCCCCTCTTCTTCTAGGAAGAGACTATGAAGGATTGACCTTAACTCTTCTCTAAACATTTGATAGAATTCACGAGGAAAGCCTTTTAGTCCTTTGTGTTCCTTTCTGGGAAGGGTTTTTTGGTTTTGTTTCATTTTGTTTTGTTTTTGTTTTTAATAAATTCAACCTCTTTACTTAATAGAGATCTATATAGATTTTCTGTGTCTTCATGAGTCAGTTTAGTGGTTTTCATTTCTGTAGGAATTTGTCCATTTCCTCTAGGTTATCTAATTTGTTGGGACACAATTGTTCTTAATATTCCTTTATAGTCCTTTTTATTTCTGAAGGTCAACGTAATCCCTGCCTTTCATTCTTAATATTCTTAATATTAATAATTTGAGTCTTCTCTTGGTCAGTCTAGCTAAAGTTTGCCAGTATCTTTTCAAAGAACCAGGCCTTGGCTGGGCGCATGGCTCATGCCTGTAATCCCAGCACTTTGGGAGGCCAAGGTGGGCGGATCACAAGGTCAGGAGATCGAGACCATCTTGGCTAACACGGTGAAACCCAGTGTCTACTAAAAGTACAAAAAATTAGCTGGGCGTGGTGGCGGGCGCCTGTAGTCCCAGCTACTCAGGAGGCTGAGGCAGGAGAATGGTGTGAACCCGGGAGGCGGGAGCTTGCAGTGAGCTGAGATTGCACTACTGCACTCCAACCTGGGCGACAGAGCGAGACTCCGTCTCAAAAAAAAAAAAAAAAAAAATAGAACCAACTTTTGGTCTCGATTTTTCTCTGTTGTTTTGCTGATTTCTATTTTATTTATCTCCCTTCAAATCTTTGTTATTTCCTTCCTTCTGCTAGCTTTAGGTTTAGTTTGTTCTTCCTTCTCTAATTCCTTAAGGTGTAAAGTTAGGCTGTTGATTTAAAATCTTCTAAAAAGTAGACTGAAAATTTAGAGCTGTAAATTTTTCTCTGCTTTAGCTGTGCCCCTTAAATTTTATGTTGTGTTTCATTTCTGTTCATCCCAAAGTATTTTCTAATTTTTGTGTGTGATTTCTTCTGTGCCTTGTTGGTTATTTAAGAATGTTTTGTTTAGTTTTCGTATATTTGTGAATTTCCTAAATTTTCTTCTGCTGATTTCTAATTTCATTCCATTGTGGTTAAACATACTTTTTGATTTTTAATCTTTTTAAATGTATTAAAGGTTATGTATTAAATGTATTAAAGGTTATGTATTAAATGTATTAAAGGCCTAGTATCTTGGAGAATGTTTTATGTGCACTTAGGAAAAACATACATTCTGCACTTGGGTCGAGTGTTCTGTTCGTGTTGTATCTAGTTGGTTTATAATGTTGTTCAAGTCTTCTATTTTCTTACTGATATATTGTCTAGTTCTTCTGTTATCGAAAGTGGAGTGTTGACATCTCCAGTTATTGTTGAATTATCTATGTCTCCTTTTATTTCTGTAAGTTTCTGCTTCACATATTGTGGGTCTCTGTTGTTAAGTTCATATACATTTATAATAGATTGATGGGTTGACCCTCTTAGCAGTATAAAATGTCCTTCTTTGTTTCTAGTAATGATTTTTGCCTTATACGATCATGCATCTCTTAGTGGTAGGAAACATTCTGAAAAAATATGTCACCAGGCTATTTTGTCATTGTGTGAGCATCATAGAGTGTATTTACACAAACCTAGAAGGTTTAGCCTACTATACCCCTCAGCTATATGGTAGAGCTTATTGCTTCAAGGCTATTAACCTGTACAGCATGTTACTGGACTGAATATTATAGGCAATTATAACACAGTGGTATTCGTGTATCTAAATATAGAAAAAGTACAGTAAAAATATAGTATAAAAGATTTCAATGCACCATCTGCATAGGGCACTTACCACGAATGGAGCTTGCAGGACTGGAAGTTGCTCTGGGTGAATCAGTGAGTGAGTCGTGAGTGAATGTGAAGGCTTAGGGCATTACTGTACACTGCTGTCGATTTTATAAACACTGGACACTTAGGCTAGACTGTTTATAAAAATATTTATTTCTTCAATAATAAATTAACCTTAGCTTAAGGTAACCTTTTTACTATATAAATTTTTTAAACTTTCTGTTGTAAAAACACTTAAAGCACTAACACATGCACAGCTGTATAAAGATATTTCTTCTTTATGTTTTTATTCTAGAAGCTTTCTTATTTTCAGTTTTTTAAAACTAAAAACGAAGGCACAAACACACACATTAGCCTAGGCCAACACAAGGTCCATACCATCCATATCACTGTCGTCCACCTCCACATCTTGTCCCACTGCAGGGTCTCAAGGACAGTAGCACACATGGAGCTGTCAACTCCTGTGATAATAATGCCTTCTCCTGGATACCTCCTGAGGGACCTGCCTGGGGCTGTTTAACAGTTGAAAGTAGGAGTACACTGTAAAATGATGATAGAAAGTATAGTATAGTAAGTACATAAACCAACAACATAGTCCTTTATTGTCATTATCAAGTATTATGTACTGGACATAATTTTATGTGCTGTACTTTTTTTTTTTTTTTTAATTGAGACGGAGTCTCGCTCTGTCACCAGGCTGGAGTGCAGTGGCGCGATCTTGGCTCACTGCAGTCTCCTTCTCCCAGGTTCAAGCGATTATTCTGCCTCAGCCTCCCGAGTAGCTGGGATTACAGGCTTTCGCCACCACACCCAGCTAATTTTTGTATTTTTTTTTTTTTCAGTAGAGATGGGGGTTTCATCATGTTGGCCAGGATGGTCTTGATCTCCTGACCTTGTGATCTGCCCTCCTCGGCCTCCCAAAGTGCTGGGATTACAGACATGAGCCACTGTGCCCGGCCTGTGCTGTACTTTTATATGACTGGTAGAGCAGTGGGTTTGCTTAGACAGCATCACTATAAGCCTGTGAGTAATGCATCACACTACAATGTAACTAGGTGATAAGAATTTTCCAGCTCCATTGTAATCTTATGGGACCACTGTTTTATATGTGGTTCTTAGTTATGGAGCACATGACTGTAGATTATTTTGTCTGATACTAGTGTAGCCACTCCAGATTTCTCATGGTGGTTGTTTTATGATACATCTTTTAAACCTATTTGTGTTTTTGAATTCGAAGTGTGTTGCTTGTAGGCAGCCTATGTTTGGGTAGTGTTTTTTTTAAATCCATTCTGCCAGTCTTGGTGTTTTGATTTGCCTTTTTTACCCACTTACATTTAACTTACTTACCAATATGGTACGCTTTACTTCTACCATTTTGCTACTTGTTTTCTGCATGTCATAATTGTGTCTTTTTTATTTCTCTATTTCTGCCCTTGTTTGCATTAGATAGTTCTTAATATACTTTTAAAATTCCCTTATTATTTGTTTATATATATTTGATGGGGTTATTTTCTTAGTGACTTCATCTTAAATTTTTTAAAATCTAGTTTGGATTAGTACTAACTTAATTTTGGTAGCATACAAAAATTTTCCTGCAAAATATCTTGCTTCCCTTCCCTCTCTTTTGAACTATTAGTGTCATAGACTTTATATCTGATGTGCTATTAGTCCATCAGCACGGTCTTACAATTGGGGCTTAATGCAGTAGTCTTTTAAAACAAGTAAATGAATAAAAGAATTACAAAAAAACATGTTTATACTGTCTTTCACAGTACCTACTTAGTTACCTTTACTAGTACTCTTTTATTTATCTCTTCATGTGAATAAAATTCCTATCCAGTGTTCTTTTATTTCATCTTGAAGGACTCTTGACTATTTCTTATAGGGTAGTCTGCTAATGATAGATTTTCTCATTTTTTAAATTTAATTTTTATGTAAAATTGATGCAATAATTCTGTATTTTTATGAGGCACAGTCTGATATTTCAGTGCATGTATGCATTGTATAATAATCAAATTGGGGTAAGTACCATGTCCATCACTTTAAACATTTATTATTTCATTGTGGTAACAACATTAAAAAACTTCTCTTCTAGCTATCGTGAAGTATACATTACATTGTTACTCACCAGAACTCACTCTTTGTAACTGTAACTTTGAACCCATTGACCGACCTCCCCCAATCCTTTCTTCTCCTTCCCCTACCCACCCTTTAGTGGCCACTATTCTACTCTCTACTTCTATGATCAACCTTTTTAAATTGTCCTTCATTTCTGAAGAAGAGTTTGGCTGGATATTGATTTTTTTTTTTTTTTTTTTGAGACAGAGTCTCGCTCTGTCACCCAGGCTGGAGTGCGGCACCATCTCAGCTCACTGCAACCTCCGCCTCCCAGGTTCAAGCGATTCTCCACCTCAGCCTCCTGAGTAGCTGGGATTACAGGTGCCCGCCACCACGCTTGACTAATTTTTGTATTTTTAGTAGAGAGGGGGTTTCACCATGTTGGCCAGGCTGGTCTTGAACTCCTGATCTCAGGTGATCTGCCCACCTCGGCCTCCCGAAGTGCTGGGATTACAGGAGTGAGCCACCACGCCTGGCCTGCATATTGAATTCTTGATTGAAAAATCTTTTTTTTTTTTTCCCCAACACTATGATTGTGTTGTCCCCCTGGGTTCTGATGAGAAGCCAGCTTTTAACATTATTGAAGATCCCTTTTATGAGATAAACCGCTTCTCCTGCTGCTTTCAAGATTCTGTCTTTCAACAGTCTATGATGTGCCTGGTCGTGGATATCTTAGAGTTTATCCAACTTGGAGTTCTTTGAGTTTCTCAAATGTGTAAATTAATACTTTTATCAAACTTGGTGAGTTTTCAGTTATGTTTTCTTCAAGTATTTTTTTCTCCTTCTTTCTCTTCTCTTACTGGACTCCTATTATGTATGTGTTGGTATTCTTGATAGTGCCCTATGGGTCTCTTAGGCTCTGTTCATTTTTCTTCATTCTGTTTTCTTTGCAGACTAGATAATCTCTATTGACCTGCCTTCCAGTTCACTGATTCTTTCTTCTGCCTGCTCAAATCTGTTGTTGAGTCTGTCTAGTGAATTTCACTTATGGCACTTTCAACTCCAGAATTTCTGTTTGATGCTTTTAATCACCTTATTACTATTCTCTATTCAGGAAGATAAAGTTATTGTAATTTAAAATTCTTCACATATCCTTTTCTTTATTTTTTTGAACATATTTATAACATCCTATTTAAAGTCTTTGTTGTATGGCTGGTTAGCTCAGTTGGTTAGCATGTGGTGCTGATAAAGTGTTTGTCTGTTAAGTCCCAAATCTTGGCCTCTTAGGGACATTTTCTGTTGGCCACTTTCTCCCCCCCATTCTGTGCATGTGACATACTTTCTTGTTTCCTGGCATGTCTTGTGATTCTCTGTTAAAAATTGGACAATTCAGGTAGCAAATCACCATACCCTTCAAAGTTTGTTGTTGATGCTGTGTTTTTTCTTTTTGTTTTTTATTTGATGGTTGATGGTGTTTGCCTCGTTACTGTTAGTTTAGCAGCTTTCCTTGACTAGTTCTCTGGTTTATGTATTTCCTGTAATGTGTGACCACTGAGTTATCTGCTAATTTTTAAATAAATAAATAAAAAGAAAGATTTTATTTATTTATTTATTTTGAGACAGAGTCTTGTTCCGTCTCCCAGGCTGAAGTGCAGTGGCCTGATCTCTGCTCACTGCAGCCTCCAGGGTTCAAGTGATTCTCCTGCCTCAGCCTCCTGAGTAGCTGGGATTACAGGCACCCACCACCACTCATGGCTAATTTTTGTATTTTTGGTAGAGATGGGGTTTCAGCATATTATGCAGGCTGGTCTTGAACTCCTGACCTCAAGTGATCCACCCACCTCAGCCTCCCAAAGTGCTGGGATTACAGGCGTGAGCCACCACACCCAGCCTCTTTTTATTTTTAAACCCTGGATTCTGTGGGGTCACATCTGAGCCAGTATAATTGTATATAATTAGCCAGTCACTGTTCACATTTCCTTTCCATACATGCCTTGCCTGTGTTTCTGACACCTTTCATCAAAGATCTGTATGAGACGGAGATGACATGCTGTCCAGCTTCAGGGAGTTTGTAAAGACGGCTTCAGCTTTCATTTCCGGATTGCACAGGGTCTCATTGTCACCCAGAGAGGAGTGACTGTGGTGTCCTCTCCTGTCCCAGGTCTTTTCTGAGCATGCATACAACCTCTTCCCTTCCCCGGGAGTGTGTCAGAGCTTTTGAAGTTCCGTAGCTCCTCTAATTCTTTAGGATTTCATTTTAAATTCAGGGTCAGGCTCATGTTGACTGCAGTTATAGTCAGCTCTAGGCAGCTGAGGTTGCCAGCAGTTTGCTGTTGTTTTCATAATGCCCCAGGGGTATCTGCCATCTGCCACCTTCCCTACCCCTCCGCCCCCAGCTGAGTTCTGAGGCGAATCTAGAGATTTCCCAGAGTGCTGCAAGTCCAGACAAAATGTTGACTCTGTTATGGGGCCAGTACTTTTCACAGAGCTCCACAAGTGGAGTCTCTCACTGTTTGCGAGGTTGGTGGCCTTGGCTACTTCACCATTGAGCTGGGGAGGGAGGGGCAGTGGGAGTAGCCCAGGTTAACTGGTCACAGACCCACCTTCTTATCAAGGTTCAGCAGGTTCCCTTGAACAGACAATTTTCACCTCATATTTTTGTTGGTGTCAGCAGAGAGCAAGTTCATCCTAGATATCACTCTGCCACTCTGGAAGTGGATTCTCTAGTATATTGCCCATTTATTTATTTATTTATTTATTTATTTACTTATTGATTGATTGATTGATTGATTGATTGACAGAGTCTTGCTCTGTTGCCCAGACTGGAGTGCAGTGGCATGATCATGGCTCACTGCTGCCTCAACCTCCCAGGCTCAAGCGATCTTCTCACCTCAGTCTGTGGAGTGTCAGGGTTCACAAATGCACACCACCATACCTGGCTTTTTTTTTTTTTTTTTTTTTTGGTAGAAACAGGGTTTCCGTATGTTACCCAGGCTAGTCTTGAACTCCTAGGCTCAAGTGGTCCTCCCTAAGTGCTGGGGTTATAGGCATGAGCCACGGGTGCCAGCTATATTGCCTTTTGAGTCTGGCTTCTTTCACTTAGTGAAATGTATTGGAGACACTTCTGTCGTGTGTATGTTGTATCAGTTGGCTCTTTCTATGGTTGAGTAGTGTATGGTAGAGTTTTAAAGTTATGGGAGTTTCTTTGGAGTTGTAAAGATATATATGCACATGTAAAAGGGGATGTTGTCAGAGAGATTGTGGAACCTTGGGCCTGCCACAGTTCCTGGAGAATTTCGGGGCATTTCAGGTTCAAAGCCAGTGGAGCAGGTCAGTGCTCTCCAGTGTTGTGGAGGAACAGGAGCCCATGCCCTGCAGCAGATCTCAAGGGCCACAGAGCCGTGTCGCAGGGGCTCTGAACTGTGACACTGTCATTGGCCTCTGGTGTAGCAGGCACCACCCCACATCTGGAGCAGATATGAGTCCTGGCCCCAGCCTTCAGACAGTGAGCCAAAACTCAGAGACTCCTCGTGCAAAATGAACATGATGGTGGTCACCAAAGTATTTGTTTACTCATCAGATATTTTTCGAGTGCCTAGTGCATCTTGGGCTCTATTCCAGGGGTGGGACAGACCACCATCACCTAGACTCTGGAGTTTCATTCTGATGCAAAGACAGATGGTGAACCAGATGCATGTGTGCACACACAGTGCTCTGGAAAGAAATACAGCAAGGAAGACAGCAGTCTGAGAGTAGGGCTAAGTAGGCTTCAGGTTGTCCAGGGGAGGCCTTGTGTAGGAACTCACATTGAAACAGGGGCCTGAAACAACGTGAGGGGTGAACCATATGCACAGGGACCCTGAAACAAGTGAGGCGTCGAACCACATGCACATATGGGGAAGCATTTTCCAGGCAGAGGAAAGAATAAATGCAAACTGCAGGGGAGCAGCTGGAATTGGAGCTAAGGGAGGGAGAGATGAGGAGTGGAGGCCACCCCAGGAGCAAACTCTGTGTGTGTGTGTGTATACGTGTGTGTACCCATGTCCATGTGTGTAGGGCTAGTGAAGGGAGCTAGCTTTTCCTCTGAGCAAGTGGGAAGATGCTGGAAAGTACTGAGTACAGGAGCATTCATTCATTCATTCATTCATCCACCTAATGAGCAACTTGCATGCTGCTCTTCAGGTGCTGGGGCTGGCAGTGAGCACACAGATAGAATCTCCTGGCCCCATGAAGGCGAGACAGAAAAATAAACAGCCAGTTACCTCATGGAAGACATTAAGGGAAAAGTTAAACAGAAAAGCAAGTTGGGAGTGGTTAGGTTAGGACTTTGTGTGTACATGTGGAGGGAAGTATTTGACATTTTGAGTAGGGCCAGGGAGGGCCTTGCTCAAGGATGTAGTGTTGTATGAGAAAGATTTTTAAAAATTCGGTAAACTTTGTAAATGTAATTTACGTCTACAAAAGTACATAAATTGCCAGTGTATAGTTTGATGAATGTTAACGTGGTATATACACCCACTAACAGCAGCCACACCAGCAACTCCCAGCAACCTGCTCCCACCCAGGCATTGAAGCCAACTGTGTTCTGACTGCCATCACCACGGATGACGTCTGCCTGCCTTTGAACTTAGTGTGAGTGGAACTGCACAGCACGCATCTTTGTATCTGGCTTCCTGCACCCCACCTGATGCATCTGAACTTCACCCATGTTTTGTAGGTGACAGGATTTGAAGCCCCTTTGAGAGGCTTCCTGTGGCTGCTGCATGGAGAGCAGGTGGGGGCCAGGGGGTGCTGCAGTCGCCCACAGCATGTTAGCAGGGCAGGTCCTGATACATTCTGCAGATAGAGCAAACAGCATTTCGTGATGGATTGGGTGTGGGATTTGAGAGGAAAGGAGTCAAGACGAACTCCAGCCTTGTGGCCTTAGCTGGGAGCAGGGTGGAATCAGCACTGTTGCAGCTGGGCAGCTCCGCAGGGCACAGGTGTGTAACGGGAGGCCGGGCTGTGGTGTGGACAGGTCAAGCATGGTGTCTCCTGGACATGCAAGTGGAGGTGTGAGCAGGTGGCGGGATTTCTGAGTTGGCTTTCAGGGGAGCGGTCTGGCCTGGACAGGTGGTTTGGGAGTTGTAGGTGTTCTGGTGTTATTTAAAGCAAGCCCTCAAGGAGTCAGGATGGAAAGAGAGGGAAAGCTTTTCCATTCAGAGGACTGGGGAGGAGGACAGACTTACAAGCGGGTGGAGGCAGGAAAAGATCCAGACGTGGGCAGTGGAGTGGGGAGGTTGTGAGCACGATGTGCGTGGAATGGGGGCTGTGTGAATGCTGAATAGGGTCGTTACCCACAGCAGTCAGGCTGCAGAAGGCCAACTCCACCTCCATCCCTGGTGTGCCCTCCAGGCTCGCAGAGCCGTGGAGTGGCATTGGTGTAAATATTATGAGAAAAAGAAATGTCAGCCAAGGAGGTAAGAGCTGAAAAGCTCATTTGGGCACAAGACTAGGCCTAGGGCGGGGCTGCAGCTGCAGCTGAAACCCTGGAGGGGTGAAGTGGGAGGACTGCCGGTCTCAGCAGATGGCTGTGAGGGTTGGAGGTGGCTTCCATATAAGTGAGAGTTGGCCTCAGAAGGGAGGGGTTTGGGGCACTAGAGTCACTAACAAGTTGGCAGTTCCTGGGCATGCGAGCAGTCCCAGCACACCTGTACTTAGCCCAGAGAGCCTATCCATCCCTTCTCAGCGAGGCACTCACTGTGAGGCTGAGCCTTGCCATTGTGTGTGTCATTCTCAAGTCAGCACTAAGTTTTGAAGACAAATAATGCTTTCCCTTATGGGTTGAATTGTGTCCCTGAAAATAGAAACACAGGAGTCCTAGTCCTCTGTGTCTCAGAATGTGCCCTTATTTGGAGATCGGGTTTTTACACAGGTAATTAAGGTAAAAGGAGGTCATCAGGGCTCTCATCCTATGGGACTGGTGACCTGTAGGAAGAGAGATTTGGACGGAAAGACGGTGTGCATGGAGGGACAATGAGGAGATGGAAGGAGAAGCCATGGTCTGCCAGCAAGGAGTGACCTGCAGCAGATCCTCTCTCCCAGCCGCAGAAGGAACCTGCCCTACTGACACCTTGATCCTGGCCTTCCAGCCTCCTGAACTGAGACAAGGCGTTTCCATTGTTTAGGCTGCCCCATCTGTGCGGCTTTGTTGTGGCTGCCTTAGGAAACCAACACAGAAGCTGCCTTAAAAAGAATCACTGCTACTTCCTGTGATCATAGCAGACATTTACCCCTGTTTGATTCCAAGACTCTGAAGCAAATTCTGGCTACCAGAGAATCTTCTGCTTTTGAACCCCCTCTGGGTTAGCCTCTGGCTACATGGCCTGGGACCTGGATTCCTGGTTGATGGAGGTGGAGCCTGCTCCAGACCTGGCCTTAACTTAAAGCAAGCTTGTCTAACCCGTGGCACATGCAGCCCAGGACGGCTTTGAATGCAGCCCAACACAACTTCTTTCTTAAAACATTATGAGGGTTTTTTTTTTTTTTTTTTTTTTGCTATCAGCTATCGTTAGTGTTAGTATATTTTACGTGTGGCCCAAGACAATTATTCTTCTTCCAGTGTGGCCCAGGGAAGCCAAAAGATTGGACACCCCTGAAAAGCCTTAAGCAAATGGAAGACATCTGCTTTTGCTGCCAAAGGATAATGCAGTTTCTTTTCTAATCAGGGTGTTTTTTTTTTCTTTTTTACATCCCTCCCTTTAATTAAAAACTTTCCAGAGATTCAAGGTGACAAAGTAACCTTTTGTATGCATGGGAGTAACTAATATTCAAGAGCTACTTCCTTGAAACTAGATGAAAAGATACAATAAACCTGGAGCCTTTACTTAGCATTTCTGTTTGCTCCTTTTCTGCTGGTTTTGGTGCAGAAACAAGCAGCCACTTAAGAGAAAGCAAGCCTCAGCTCCCTGTCACAGGGAGGGGACCTCACCTTCTCACTGTATCTGGTGGGGGTGGAGGTGCGGCATTTGGCCTCCCAGCCCGGCCAGGCTCACCGCTGCCAGGGCTGTGGATGCTGGGAAGAGAGAAGGTCTGTGAAAGGCCTCAATTCAGCTGCCTGAGTGGCCTCTCTCCCCCTTCACCTAAATATTCCTTTGGCCCCTGACAGTGGGCTTTTGTTGGGGGCTCTGGGGGCTGTCAGAGACAGAAAGTAGAAAGAGCTTTATGAAGGCAATATTGAAGGGAGTTGGGCTGGTACATTGACTCACTTGGAGGTTTAATACGTTTGCTTTAGAAGTGGAATCACAGCAAAGTTCAAATTGGTGAAACGGTTACTCCATTTTCAAGTTGATGAGTTTTAACTCCCTATTTCCAAAGTAGAGTTAAGCCAGCCCTTGAAGGAATATAAGAACAGAGGCTAGTATTTACTCAACTCAAAGTTAGAAATAATGAAAATAAAAAATTACAGACTGTTAAGACCACTACCAATTAGGTACTGGCAGCCCACCTGGAATGCTGTTTGGTTTTCTAGCTGCAATTGAAACACAGGGTGCAGTGTCTTAGTAAGAGCATTCCCCGAAACAGTCTCAAGGCTCTTTGCTATTGACATACTTCTCCTGACCCAGGTCCCAGACTAATAATGGCCTTACCCTTTCGGGACTTTATACGCTGCTCCTTCCCAATTTTTAACTTTTCTTCCTTAACTGTTGCCTTTCTAGCATCATGGGTGTTTTCGATCTGACGTGTTGCCGAGCTGAGTAGTTGTTGTGGAACACATGAGTGACATTTGCACGTGCAAGTGGGACAGTGGGTGCACAGAGCTTGCTCGCAGCGTAGCTCATTGTGAAATCTGTCCTTGCCATTCATTCAGGGGGTGTCTGGTTTGCAGCACCGTCACTTTCTCAGGCTGTGCTTTTTCCCTGCCGTGACTTCTGTTCTTAAACACATCCTGCAAATTATACCTTCACATGAGGACAACCAAATCCAAGAATGCCAAGCTCTGGTGAATAAAATACCCTTACTAATTAAAAAGAGGCTGCTTTGAAGTTGTCTGAACATCCTGAAGACTGCATCTAATTGCATCACAGTAAGCATACCGATTCAGATCAACAGGTGAAGAGATGAATGGATGAACAGTCTGAATAACAAAGCATGTTTAAAAGAAACGCAAATCAAAACCAGAATAGCACCATGGACTCAAATCCAAGGGCATAGGTGAAACTTCATTAATAAATGCTTGCTTAATGGTGTGACTGCTGTTAATGAGAGAATGATTGTGATACTAGAGGTAGAGCCTTGGAATCAGAACAGACGTGCTTGCTACTTTGCAGATATAAATTTATCTTTTTTTTGAGATGGAGTCTTGCTCTGTCACCCAGGCTGGAGTGCAATGGCACCATCTTGTCTCACTGCAACCTCCACCTCCCAGATTCAAGTGATTCTCCTGCCTCAGCCTCCCAAGTAGCTGGGATTACAGGCACCTGCCACCACGCCTGGCTAATTTTTGTATTTTTAGTACAGATGGGATTTCACCACGTTGGCCAGGCTGGTCTCAAACTCCTGACCTCAGGTGATCCACCCGAGGCCTCGACCTCCCAAAGTGCTGGGATTACAGGCATGAGCCACCACGCCAGCCCAATTAATCTTATCTTGTTGATGCCATAAATCAAGATGTCACATCAGAGGTCTGTGTTGAAAGAAGGTTTTCAGAAGAGTTTTGTTTGATGGTTATATAATTTCTTTCTTTCTTTCTTTCATTTTTTTTTTAGACGGAGTCTTGCTCTGTCGCCTAGGCTGGAGTAGTGTGGCGTGATCTCGGCTCACTGCAAGCTCCGCCTCCCAGCTTCACGCCATTCTCCTGCCTCAGCCTCCCGAGTAGCTGGGACTACAGGCTCCTGCCACCATGCCCGGCTAATTTTTTGTATTTTTAGTAGAGACGGGGTTTCACTGTGTTAGCCAGGATGGTCTCGTGATCCACCCGCCTTGGCCTCCCAAAGTGATGGGATTACAGGCGTGAGCCACTGTGCCTGGCCTGGTTATATAATTTCTAATTCTTCAGAATCTGCACCTCCAGCTATTGCAGGCCTGATGTGACTCTCTTAACAGCAACCGGGCATCATCCCTATCAACAGTGAACCCTTTCACTTTGGCCATTCTGTAGACACCAATTGGTTCAGCCTGGAATATACAAGACATTCATAAAGTGCTTCCAAGAATATGCTACAAATTCCTGCTTAAGAGCTGATGTCTCCATGCCAATGACAATTCCTGTAGGACTCAGCTGAAAAATCCAACATTTTCCAAAATGTTTTAATTTCTAAATATTTGCCAGCATGCTGTATAAATCATTGAATAACATATTAAATCCAGTGAATCTGTGTCAGATTCTGTTCATAGGGTTAGGGTGCATACTTGGCTTTGAGGCCATTTACCAGGGATTGCATCATTAAGAATGTAAAGTATTGGCCAGGCACGGTGGCACGGTGGCTCATGCCTGTAATCCTAGCACTTTGGGAGGCTGAGGTGGGTGGATCATTTAAGGTCAGGAGTTCGAGACCAGCCTGGCCAACATGGTGAAACACTACCTCTACTAAAAATACAAAAATTAGCCGGGCGTGGTGGTGGGCACCTGCAGTCCTAGCTACTTGGGAGGCGGAGGCAGGAGAATCGCTTGGACCCGGGAGGCAGAGGTTGCAGTGAGCTGAGATCCCACCACTGCACTCCAGCCTGGGCAACAAGAGCGAAACTCTGTCTCGAAAAAAAAAAAAAAAAAAGAAAAGTATAAGTGTTTGGAGGTAGAATGTTTTATGCAGTTCTACTTGTGAGCCTTGGTTTTAAGGGATTGAACAAGGTGATGGAAATGTGTAATTGTTCTTCAGTAAGCTTTTTACTTTAGTTTTAGATTTATAGAAAAGTTGTGATGACAGTACATAGAGCCCCCACACACCCCACACCCAGTTTCCCCTATTGTTAACACCTTACCTTGGCATGGTACATTTGCCCCATAATACGGGTGCATTATTCTTGACTAACGTTCACACTATTCATTTTCCCTTAGTTTTTACCTAATATCCCTTTTCTGTTCCAGGGTCCTGACCAGGATACCACATTATATTTAGTCTTTGCTTCTAGAGTGTCATGTGTGTTTTTGACATGGATAAAACTAGATATTGAATGTGTCATTTCATTATACCAGCCACACTTAAATTTTTGTTTCATATTAAATGTTTTCCTCTCTTTAAAAAGTATCAAAAAACTAAAAGAAGCTTATAAATCACTACTCCCCTACTCATCTACCCAAGGGTTGAGTTTCCCTCTGGCTTCACCTCGCCACTCTGTGATGTTTTTACAGTGAAAATGACCCAGGTCCAGCGGAGAAAAGTCAGGGCACTGTGCCTGTCATACGGATGACATTCTTGATGGTCATGTAGGGCACACTTAAGAGCATTTTACCCAAACGGAGGACGTGTGGGTTTGGCTAGAGTAGTGTCCTCATATTCAGGAGAAAAATATATTGAAGTCCTGAAGAGTCAGGACAGATGAATCTCCTCTCAGAATCTCTTTTCTGATGGTCCAGAAGGCCACGTGGCCTCTTCTCTTGCTCCTCCAGCTAAATCCAGGCAACTAACGAGGACAGGGACCTTGCCTGGTGAGCTCATCATCTAGCTGGGGTGCAAGGGTGCCTGCACCAGGTGAAAACCGAAAAGGCCTTTATGTAAAGAATGACTCAGGACAGGCACCGAGGAGATGTTGCAGGGCGCACGACCGTGATCATTCACCAGCCATATCGGGTTGGCAGTCACCACCAAGGCAAGTTGTGGTGTTGTGAGGTTGTCACAAAGTCATTCGGTCAGGAACGATGATAGCCCATTAGGTGCAGAAGCACGTGCTCAGTATGTGTACCCATTGCAACATCCGTTGTGGTGGCCCCTAAACTGGCCAAGTTGAAAGTGTTCCCTGATCCTGCGAGTCACCAGCCATTCCTCCCAGCTTGTGTGCAGCAGGAGTGAGGGCATGTGCAGGTCTCCTTACCAGGCCAGCCTGGCTGCTCCTAAATTGCCCCACCTTGGGAGCAGCAATCCTAGTAGCTCTGGCATTTTGGGGTAGTTCCTCCCTTTCATACTTCAGTCATCTCTGCGGCCTCATGTATGTTTTCCACATCCCCTTCTCCTTGTGGAGACAGACCCCCCGAGTCTGGGAAGTGGTCTGAGTGAGCCAAATTAATGGCCTTGTTTACTAATCCCGTGGTACAGCATGCTTTCTTCTTTTTTTTTCTTTTTGCTACTACAGGGCATGCATTTTGAAAAGTATAATTATAAAATTGATGCTTGTTTAGAATACTGCATATTATATGATTTCATTTATAGAAAATGTCCAGAATAGGTAAATCCATAGAGACAGCAGATTCGTGGTTACCAGGGGCTGAAGGAGACAGGATAGAGTTGGCGGGGGGATGACTGCTAATGGGAATGAGGTTTTTTGGGGAGATGATGAAATGTTCTGGAATTTCATAGTGGTGATCGTTGCACAACCTTGAGAATGTACTGAAAACCACTCAATTGCACACTTTAAAATGGTGAATTTTATAGTGTGTGAATTATGTCTCACACACCATTAAAAAATTGATACTTGTTCACAGTAGAGCCATTTAAATGGAAATAAAAGAAATTTAAATTACCTATAATTCCAGATAACTAATAATAACATTTTGATGATGATGATGATGATGATGGGGTGTGTGTGTGTGTGTGTGGCAGTTTTGTTGTTATTATTTCCATGTTTTGTTTATTTTGGAGGAAAGGTGGTATTCTTAGCTCTTTTTACGGGTTAGGAGAAACCCTATTGGGTTCTGCTGAAAACACTGAGCCCTGTTTTCACTTGTACCCATTCTACTAGTTCACATACTTCCTGTCACATTTTGCTTATTGACTTTAGAAGGCTGCAGTATCTGGAGTGAGCCCAAACTATGTAGTATAGGAAGATAACACTTTAAAATTTCGAAATATAAGTGGTGTCTTAGTTTCTCAGATTAGCAATAACAACCTAGTTTTGTTGAAACTTAAAGTGTCAGTTCTAAAGATCTCGTGATTGGACATGCTGAGTTTATTAACCACATTTGACTGGCAGAGGAAGTGAAATTTCCACACGTGAAAATGCCTCCATTTCTGAATTAGAAGCTGACTTGGGAAGAGCTAGGACTCTTTTCCACAGGGAAATTGGGCTAGTGAAGCTTATTTTTCTTTGGGGTATGTATTTATTTGAGTGTTTCAGACCATTTGTCAATTTCTAAGCAGTTAATAATTTTTGTCTCTTTTCGATGTGTGTATATAGTGCAAGTATGTTTGATTTCATGTGGTCTCTCTACATTTAAACAGTGCTGAGTGATGGTGTGTGTAATGTGCTGATGTAAAATTTCAAATCCAAACTGAAGTCTTTAATACTTCAGCAGAAGTCCATGGACTGCCTTGCATAGCTGATGTCAGCCTCTGTTATGTAGCAGGAGGTGCTTCTGTCTGGGTTTCCATGATGGGACCACTCGTCCTCCCCCAGGGGTGCAGCACCAGCTGTCCCCATGTGGTTTACCTATTGTTGAGGAAGAGTAAAATGCATGCAACTGTTAACCTGAGGAAGAATGGTAGGATTGCCCCGGGAGAGGTGTATGGTTTGCAGGGAGACTTAGAGAATAGAAACTTTTCTTCTAAATGGCTGGTCATGGACATTTTATGAAAGATGGCTCAGGGCTTGGCTTTTGGGGACGGGTAAATTTGGACTAGAAATGATAGGAAGAATGGAAGTGAAAAGCCACAGCGCCCATTTATGTCCTTTACATTGTGGGGTGGGTACTTGGCTGCTGCCAGTGGGTCTGGGGATGGGGAGGGGAATGAGTTGCTTAAGAAATTCTCCAACTCTGAATTTATTACCCAGTTACCAGGACCTCCATCTGGAGGGCAGTCTGCGGCATCTGGCTACAGAAGTGTTTGATTTTGCCAGCCAGTGCTTTGGTTTCTTTCTCTCCCTCTCCTTCCCGCTCTCTGTCCCTCTCTGAATGAAGCCCAGGCTCCACTGACTTATTTCCATACCTGTGTTGCAAAGCCCCCGCATTTGCTATTCTTGTGATAAGCTTCAAAATCACTTTTACTGTTACATCATATCTTTATATCACTATAAAATCCCTCTAGAGGTTACCATAATGTCTTATCCCTCTGTGTTTTCTACAAATACTGGGTAGTTTTGCTAGAATGCTGTTGTCTTTGCATAAGAAGCAAATTAAAGGCTCCTGAAAGGAAAACTTGTTTAATACCTATCCTGGTTTCTTTTTCCCAGGTGAAGTGGAGGTTCTGGATCCGAACGACCCTTTAGGACCCCTTGATGGGCAGGACGGCCCGATTCCAACTCTGAAAGGTGAGCTGGGACATGCAGGTGCTCTCCATGTCCTCCAAATGCCCTGTGCTGAGGCTCATCTTGCACTGCCATTGCCTGAAGGAAGGCGCTGGGGGTCCTCTGGCCCCTTGGTGCCCCCTGGTGGTGGGTATGGTGGAATGCCACCTTGATTCCTGTGTTTCTTGACTTGGAGGGCATTGAGGGCCTGTTGGGGCCACAGGTGGGAGGTGACACGCAGGGAGGCATGGGTGGACAGATGGCGGCCTGGCAGATGGGGAAAGGGCCTGAGCGGAGCCTTAGGAGCTGGATTCCTGTTGCATGTGACTCCAGAGGTGTGTGTACGTCTCAGTGGGCAGATGGACGGCCCTCCTCCTCCCAGCCACCTGGAATTCTGTCTTGTGGCTTCAGTTCTTCCCCTGGGCCTGTGGTCAGAGCCATGCTCACTTGGCACACCTTGCAGGAATGCACCATAGATTTGTAGGGTCAATAGAACAAGTTTCCCCCGGATGCAGACCTGTGGCTTGAGGAACTGACGTGTTTGCTAATGCATATAGTGTTACCCCATAGCCACAGATAGCCTGTCTCAGTCAGCTCAGGCTGCCTTAGCAAGCACCACAGACCAGGAAGCTGAAACAACACACACACTTCCTAGTTCTGGAGGCTGGAGGTCCAAGATCAAGGTGCCAGCACAGTTGGGTTCTGGAGAGGACCCTCCTCCTGGCTTGCAGGCAGCTGCCGCCTTGCTGTGTCCTCTTACGGTGGAGAGACAGAGGTCTGTTTGATTCTCTTCTCATAAGGACACTATTCCTGTCATGGAGGCCCCGCTGAAACCGACCCAATAGTCCTATAGGCGGTTCTTTGGGATAAACAGAGAAATTGACCCTTCTGGTCTTAAAGTTTGAAACTTACATTTGTTTTATCTTGACTTCCTTCTTCAGGAAAAGGATGCCCAGACCCCTCAAAAAAGTATCGAATCATGCTTCTCCAGGCCCTCCTTCATCATGTCTGCTTCCTTACCCCTCCCTAGTTCCTGTTTTCTCACACATAGTTACATTTCTTCTCTGATGTATAAACCCCAAATTTTAGTCCATTGGGGAGATGGATTTGAGACTGAGTTCTCATCTCCTTGGCTGCAGCACCTGATTAAAGCCGATTAAAATCCTTTTCCTTGGCACTGCTTGTTGTTTCAGTGATTGGCTTTCTGTTTGGGGAGCAGGAGGACCTAGACCGAATCCCGGTGTTTTCATAACACCCCCATCATGACCTCATCTAATCCTAATTACCTTCCAAAGGCCTCACCTGCAAATATCATCACATTGAGGGATAGAGCTTCAACTTATGGGTTTGGGGGGCACCACTGCTCAGTCCATAACAATCAACTGCCAGAACAGCCACTTTATTTCTGTCCAATCTACAGAGTGGCTCTGCACAGCTTCCTCATGGAGGTCAGTTGTTTAAAACCAAGAGCAGGTGGAGCTCTGCCCAGCATGCAGGGTGGCAGTGAGGCTGGTGCCTGGTGCTTGGAGGCTTAAGAGGATTCCATCCTCTGTAGGATGTTAAATGTAGTAAACGCATGCTCTGAAAGCTTGTTTAGTACACTGGCCTTGGGGACCACATTTCCTTAGGAAGAAAAATAGTTTTTGTTGGTTAGATTCTCAACTTCTTTCTCAAAAGCCTGACTTAACCCACAGTGCAGACAGACCACAGATACTTACTGATTGTCCCCATAGCTGGCTCTGCGCAAGATCCTAGGACGTGTTGGCTGAACTGTGCTCTCTGCTGTGTGGATTTTACAGGTCTGGGGAAAGGCAAGCTGTCAGGTCATGATAAAATTCTGAGTTGTGGCCAAGTGGCCTAAAGGAAGAGATCAGGTTTTGGGAGGGTAGAAGAGGAACACATCTCTTGATCTGGGCACAGATGGTTGTGCTGAGATCTGAAGAGTGGACACTGGCCAAGTGAAAACGAGAGGGAAGTGTGTGCGAAGCCCAGTGGGGGCCCTGGGTCAAGCGGGACTTGGTGTCATGGTGGTACCGCAGGGGAGATGCCTGGCTTATGGGCTGGGGCAAGGTGGAGGTCAGAGTCAGCCGGGGTTGAACCCATGAATCTCAATAGGGCAGCTGGAAGGCTCTTGAAATTCAAGTCAGTTAGAATAAATAAAATTACGATTTCAGTTCCTTGGTTGTACTAGCTACATTTCAGTTTGGCAAGAGGCTCCCACAATGGGTAGCACAAATCTAAAACGTTCCAGTATCACGGAAAGTTCATGGGGCAGCCCTGGGCTACGCCCTGCACAGCACTTTAGGTCCTGGAATTTGTGTTTGATTGTCGGTTGTTGAGGGCGTCTGGTGTCGGGGGTGGTGCAGTTTGATTTACTCTGTGAAAAAATCACACGGCAGCTGTGAAGCACGGTTTGAGGAGAAGCAGAGGATGCAGTTGAGGGGGAGGGGGCGAGTGATGAGAAGCAGACAGGCCATATTAACGGCCGAGAATCCAACTTGAGTCATTCCATAGACTCTGATATTTCCTTGGGAAAATGTATTGCAGTCCTTTGTTTCAGATGCGCTGCAAACCTCTCACCCGGGGGCTTCCTTGTGGGCCTGGGGCGGGGCTGTGCCAAGGCTTCTGGAGCAGAGGGCTGCAGGGGCCCTGGGACTGCATGTGGGATGGGAGCTGTTCTTTAAGTGGAGTGATCACAAATAACCCTGCGAGGCAGAAACAGCTGCATATTCATGATGCACTTAGGAAGATGCATTTGCTTATCAAGGTGAAAAAATGACCATCAGATGAAATTTGACAGAAAATTTTATTCCCTGGATGCTGCAAGCTCCTGGCATTTATAAGTCAAATTCAGTGCTCTAAGGTAGGATTCTCTCAGTTCCATTTCTGGGAGTGGAGCAACTTCTCAAGCGTAGAATAGAATGCTTTCTACCGTGCTTTTTGTTTGTTGGGATTTGATAATCTCTTGACTTTTTTGTTGTTGTTGTTAACCCACAAGTGAATGGTTTAAAAACCATGTGTGTTCAGTGCGTTCCCATGACCGAAAGGAGTTGATTGATTACAGAGTTTGGAAGTTTGCCTCGGACCTGTCCAGAGCACAGAAACACGGACGCTAAAGGTGGCCCGTCAAGTGGGCACATCTGTACATACATGCATGTTTATGAAAGGGTAGTACAAAAAGAAAGCAAAGAACCACAGAAGGCCGGGCTGCCTTTCTTTGCAGTAGCAGGATAGAGTAGTATAGTATCACAGTTCTGAGCCTGGGTTTGCAAGAGGATGGGCCTGGATAAATGGTGGCTTCACCCTTCCCCCTGGGGTCAGGGCCTTGGGCATGGCACTGCTCTCAGCACAGTTTCAAGATGGGAGCACCCCCAGCATAGGCGGGATGAAAGGGCTTGCTCAGTTCACTGCAAGCACCTAGAAACAGTAGCTGATGCTGGCGCCATTTGTTAGCATCACCATCGTGATGATTGGTGGATCATCAGCACTCTTAGCGGGACAGGATCTGTAGTGAACTGCCCCCCAGAAGTCTCAGGGTAGGGGCCCCAATCTTTCCCTTGCTCATGAATTATCTGGTCCTGTAGTGTGATTTTACTTCCTTTTGAGTTCTTGCTCCTGCACAAATGGAGACTCACTCCACCCGTCCTTCTACTCCTGGCCCCTTCCTTATATGATTAGTAATAGAAGGAGTCGGCCTGGCAAAGCCAGACTCATTCTTCCTGCACGTTTTTGCTCATAGAGCTTCTGGGAATGTCACGCTTGGCCACATTTGGCCTAATCACATGTATAATCATAGCTGAATGTACTATATTAGCTATTTATTTAACCCAATCATCAGTCATGATGTATAAACATCTGCAAAATCACTGGCAGGTGACATTGGCCTGTGGACCAGTTCATCAGTGATATGACAGCTTTACCTTTGGCCAAGCAAAAGCGAATCTAAGAATTAGCTGGAAAATGTGTTTTTGTTCAGATGTCCTGGGTCAGTATTTGGCATGAAGCTTATATTTGGTAGATGGTATCGAGAGAGAGAGAGAGAAGAGAGAGAGGAGAGAGAGAGAGAGACAGAGAGAGAGATTCTCAGAGCAAAAAGCCTATATAGAGAAAATGAGCACTAAGGATGTTGTGATTTACAGATGAAAAGTTTGCCTTCAGTTTTCATATGCCAAAGTACTGTCATTGTTTAAGACTGCAGGCGACTGTAGGACTTGGTTATAACCGGGTTAACATGTGAGTGAATATTTAACAGAGCTTTGTCTTCGTTGTTACATTAGACGTCCAGGAGACATACACACATACATGCTTTAGAATTATCATTCTGTTACTTACAGAGGCTTATATCTGACCTAGAAACCACATGCTCTTTCGTTCCAAGACTGTGTTTTAAATGCACATGGAATACAGCTTGTGTTTTGAAAGATCAGTACTTTGGAATGTTTGTGGGAAGTGGATAATTTCTGAAGGCTGGGGCGGGGTGATGTGGGCTCGCCCGTCTGCTGGCCTCCTGTTCTGGCTCAGCCAAAATAGACCCGGCGAGCTGTGTCTCTCGACTTCAGAGAAGAGCTGCTCCTCGTCCACACTGCAGCCAGCAGGGGGATTCCTGACTTTGCCCATATGAGGTTGTGTTGCAATTATAGGTGATCTCAAGTGGATTCTAAATAACAGGGTAGTGAAACCAGTGCCTGGGTTACTAGGCTGTTCCCTGCTATTTGTGCCATGTCAGGCTGTGGTGCTGAACTAAAATTTCCTTGGAAAGAGAAAACAAAGCAGTCAGCAGAGCTCCCTGAGCTGACATGGAGACCATGCCTATTGGTCTCTGTTTACCAAGCATCAGTTTCCCAGTTCATGTAGGTCATATCGGCCGAATTATTGTGTGTGCTTCTGGTTTATTCTGGAACTCCTGGCATGCGTGCCTGTGTGTACGTATGATAGTTTGTTAGGTTTAACATAGAGTGAGGGTCTCCAAGGCTAAAAGGGTACAAATGAAAATGGGATCATCCCTGCAAACATAGTCAGCATAAAGTCTGTCAGGCTTGTTATTCACAACTTGGGCTCAGCATCAGGATGTGCCATGCAACTCTGCTAGGTGTGTCTCCTCTGGCCAGGGACCCCACAGAAAGTTACTTTTCAGGCTCCAGTTTCTGAATCTACAGACTGGGCATGATGAATGTTAGTTGTTCTGAGCGTGCACAGAGATGGCAGTTGTGTGTCAGCTGCTGGGTGCACGCCTGGTTCCAGGAGGCAATAACGTTGTTGTGCCTGGGCTTGTTGTTTCCTTAGAATACGGAAGACACTCCCTGGAGTGGGTGTGCTCCAGGTGCCCAGACCAGAATGTGAGAGGCACCCTGCCCCCGCCCATACCGAGTGAGGCTGGGGTGGGCCCCCGTGCTGACCGCCAGCAGGCGAGCCAGGGTAAAGATTATGAGGAATGTCCTCCTGCCAGGTGATTGTAGCCTGTCCTCAGAATTCTTTTCATCTTGAGAACATAAAGATTGAACACAGAGGTGACGCTTAGGTTTACCAGATACCCACAAGGGGTACTCAGGCACAAATAAGGATGCACAGGGGAGCGTGGTGCAGTCCCCAGGGCCACCATGAGGGCATCCCCCTGCAGCAGACTGCTCTGTTATTCCTTAATAATTTCCCTGCAAAGAGAGAAAGTACAGGGTCTAGACACATAGAACAATAAAGAGAAAATAACGTGAAGAGTACGGTGCAGCAGAAATGCACATGGAACTGCTGGTGGTCTGGATGTCCAAGGCGGTACTCGGATGGGCACGGGGGGTTTCTGGGAGGATGTGGCCCCTGAACTGAGGCTTCTTGCATTCAGCAAGTATTTACCGAAGCCCACAGCATGCTGGGCGCTCAGAGTCTCTGAAAACGTCCCAGTATGAGGCGGCGTGGTCTCTGCCCCTCCGGGCTCTCTGAGTGTCTTTCTAAATGGGAGAAGCAAGTGTGGGAACCACAGGAGGACCTCAGATCATGAAGGTACTGGAGGGAGGCGGGGCCGGGACGGGAGTGAGCGGTGCTGGCTGTCACAGTTGGGGTGGTCGAGAGGCTGAGCCCCACTGAGAGAGGACGTAGGGGCAATGGCTGGCAAAGGCCCCACAGCTCAGGATGCTCCAGGCAGGAGGCGGGCGTGGGAGAGGAAGGGAACGTAGAGTCCCGCTCAGAGCAGCAAGGCTATGACACCCAGTCTCACGGTGGGCACGCAGGGTCAGACTCGGGTTTCATTCTGGCCACTTCAGCTGTTATGTAGCCAAGGGCAGGAGTGGGGGGTGGTGTCCCACATGCCCTGCGTGCTCAGGGAACCCCCAGGACAGCTCTGAAGGTGCTGATATGCTTAAGGGGCACAGGTAGGGAGAGGACCAGGCTGCCACCAAGGAGGCCAGGGTGGGCTCCATGCTCATTGTGGGGCATCTCAGCCCTGCGGGTGTCGGCTGGAGCTAGAAACTCCTTTTACGAGGACACGGGAGGCTTGCACTGAGCCCAGTGTCCAGTGTCCACATCCACATCCACCCTGGGCTGGGGATTGCTAGGGGTACATTTTGTGGGCGCAAAGAGAAGCTCCAGGATGACATGGGGAGGGAGCAGCTGTCGAGCACTAGGACTTGGTGGAGGGAAGCTTCCAGGCAGGTCATTCTTAGGTTCCAAGTCAGCAGCCAGTTCAGCCCCTGCCAGTCTTGTCTGCCTCCGCCCGGCCCACAGCCACGCAATCCCAAGCAAACCTTTCCCTAAGACGTTTTCTAACATCCATTGGACAAAACAAACATGAGATGTCCAGGTTGTGAGCGTTGCACCACTCTGGAGGCTGAAGGCCATGTTCGAGGCACCTTTGATCCAAGTAGGGGACCCTTTATCCTCCTATTGGCTGTGAGTCTGCAATGCCTATTGGGTTGTCTGGATCTGGAGCCACTGAATGGTCTTGGAAGAAAACTCTACCCCACAAATAGGAGGTTTCAAAGTGTGCACCGTTGGTTATTCGGGGCAGAGTTTGGGCCGGGCACCTGAGACTGTCTGGACTGTCTGGAGACCCACAGCGGCTTCCTGCCATCGATGAGGCTGATTTCTGCCTCCGAACCTTCCCTGCAGTCCTCGATCAGCCCCTGTCTTTCTCCCAGGGGTAGCGTTCTGACAACCTGCGCCCAGCGGGGTGGCGTCCCTATGGTGGGCGGCCGTTTCCCTCATCTGACTGGTATTGTCAGTGGCTATTGTTCTTCCTCCTGCGGGTGACACACACGGACAGCAGTGATTCTTCCTGAGCTTGCTGGATTTGAGACCATACTGCAAAGGGCTGTGCCACCACCTGTCTGTCTCTGTCTGTCCCCAGGGTGTGCACACACCCATGTCTCTGTCTCTTTGGGTGGGTGTGGATGTCACCTGTGTGTAGGTCTTAACTTTAGTTTCTTGGGCTGTCTCCTTCCTTCTACAGCCGTTCTTCTTTCTTCTTCAATTCCTCTACCCTAGCAAAGGATGAGGACCTTTGTCATAGCAAAGGACTTCAAGACGAGGTGCCTTAAGACATCAGAATGTTTTCTCTCAGCTCTGGAGACCGGAAGTCTGAAATCAAGGTTTGTTGGCAGAGTCGGTTCCTTCTGAAGGCTCTGGGGACAGTCTGTGCCATGCTTCGGTCTGAGCTCCAGGCATTGCTGGCAACCCTTGGTGCCCATGGTGCTCTGTGGCTGTGGCGGCATCACTCCATCTCTGCTCTTTCTTCCCTCTAGGTCCGTGTCTGAAATTCCCTCTTCCTGTAAGGACAGTGTTGTTGGATTAGGGCCCTCTCTAATCAAGTAGGACTCCTCTTAACTTCGTTACATCTGCAGTGACCCTGTTTCCAAATAAAGTTACACTCACGGGTTGCGGGGATGAGGACTTCAGCATGAGTGGCTGGGGGACACGGGTCACCCCACCATACTCTCAGTTTCTTCAAAGGTACAAACACTCTTAGGTGGTTTTCTTCATCTCGCAAGTCCCCATGCTTCTAGTTTTCCCCGTTTTATCTGACTCCCATCCTTCCTGACACTGCCCCTGGTTTTCTGCAGCTGGCTGCATGCACCACTCAACAGCTCAGTGGGAAAGCCCGAGTGGAGTGGCCACTGTTCCACACCCGCAACGGATTTATTAACCTGGAAGTATCTTCCCTTGGGAGGAGCAGCTTTATGTCCTTCCTGCAGCTCTCAGGATTTCCATTCCATGTGCCCTTCCAGGAAATTTGTTTTATTTCCCGCTAATCAAAGCGCCATGACCTCATGATCTCTAATATGTAAAGTTTTCTTGATCTTCCTGGACTGATCAGTGTGACCTGGTAAAAGCAGATCCTCAATGCCTAAGTAATTTGACCAAGTTGGTGAATACTTGGATGATTGGCTGGATTTAAAAATCGTAAGTCGGCTGGACATGGTGGCTCACACCTGTAATCCCAGCACTTTGGGAGGCTGAGGCGGGTGGATCACGAGGTCAGGAGATCAAGACCATCATGGCCAACATAGTGAAACCCCGTCTCTATTAAAAACACAAAAATTAGCTGGGCGTGGTGGTGCATGCCTATAATCCCAGCTACTCGGGAGGCTGAGGCAGGAGAATTGTTTGAACCAGGGAGTTGAAGGTTGTGGTGAGCCGAGATCACGCCACTGCACTCCAGTCTGGCGACAGAGCGAGCCTCCGCCTCAAAAAAAAAAAAACCGTAAGTCATTGATCTGACTCTGACTGTGAGACAGAGCAGTGAGGGGATTCCTCTGTTACTTTGCCTTTGGGTTGTTTTGATGCTTGGACTCAGCTCCCTGTCCAGAGATTTGCAGTGCACAGAGAGCTGACGTGGGCACTGGGGAGATGAGCCTGTACCATCAGTTGCTAAAGTTGTGCCACTGTTAAGTTAGAAAGGGGAAGTTTTTTGGTTCAATTAAAAGGGAAGACTTCTGTTCTGTGTAACGCTATGGAGTGTGAGTGCTGCCCAAATCCAAGTGAGCCGAAACCTCAGTCAGCCATGCCTGGCTCCTTTTGGCCTGGCAAATTGTTTCTGGAGAGGTTTAGGGCAGCTACAAAGGAATGTTTTTGTGAGTTGGAGGAGAGCTTAGAAAATGGTTAATACAAACCCCGTATTTTGCACATAAAGGAAATGAAGCCAAGAGAGGCTAAATGACTGGCTATAAATTAAACACCAATGGAGAAAGAAATATTGTGCTTAATCTCTAGAGAGCTTTCTTTCCCGCTTTCATGTTTGGCCCCTAGAGAATCGATGACGTTGAAAATGGTGGACCAGACTCATTTGGCAGCCCTCCCACATAAATTACATATGAGTGCTCAATAAAATACTAGTAAAAGATGCAAATGCTTATATGAATGTGCAAGGGAGGTGGAGAAATGCCCAGGAGCCAGGAATGGAAAGGAAGCAGAATTATAAGTGACAGCCCTGGGCTGCCGCAGCAGAAGCCACTTGAGGTAGCCCACTACGTTTGCAGCTTTGGAGAACAGCCCAATTTTCCTAGGTCCTCAAAAAGAGTTTATCTGAGACCAAGGGCCGAATTCTGAAGGCGTCATGGAGTTGTAACATGAGCTCACCAACAGTGAAAAGTGGTGTCACCACATGGCCGTGGCACACATGTGGACGTGTCTGTGGGCCACAGAGCAGAGAGGGCACCAAGACGTGGACACAGCAAATCCTGCAGGGCTTTAATGTCAGAATAGGCTCGGGAACATAAATGCTACACTTGAGAATATGCAGGGATAGGGAAATCCTGATGGAGAGTAAATGAAATAAGAAACCTAAAGTTACTGATTTCACTTGGAATTGGATGTACTAAGTTTCTTCTAATCAGGAGAAATGAGGGACTAGGAGAAAAATCTAGCTTGGTTTTAGGAAAATAAAGGAATGTGCATTTTTTGCACCCTGATATAAGGCCTATGAAATATCATCTCTAATATAGAAACGATTCTGCTAGGTCCAGTTTCATCAAGAGCCTTGGGTTTCCACACCAAGCCACGAGGGAACCCATGGGCTCTACAGAACCAAAGCTTTGTTGACAAGCTTACCTGTGAAGCTAGGAGACCTGCGAGCTGCAGTCCTGGAGAAGAGGGATGAGCACATTGCCACAGGGTCAGCCCCTGGAGGTCAGATGAGAGATTTCCTCCACCCTGGCTCCAGATGGGAAACACAGAAGGCTCTCCCATGAGAAATCAGTTGGGACTGGCATCTCTGGAAGCCAGATTTACATTACCAGCATGCTATAGGAAATTCCAAGCCAAAAAGTTAAGATAAAACTTGGCACTGCCTGTCAAGGGAACCCAGTCCTCAAGGGATTCCCTCAGAAAAACCAGCCTTACAATAAAAAAATTACACAGCACACTTGTCGAGGCCCAGGATGAGTGGCAAGCTAGTAAACAATGAAGCCAGAAGGATTAAAGATGAAAGGAGGAAACAGAAACCACATAGAAGAAAAAGCAGTGGTGGATTTGAAAAGGAACCAAACAGACCTTCTAGAAAAGAAAGATATAGTCCATGAAATGAGAAACTTGATGGGTATGTTACAGGGTAGATGCACACAGCTAAAGACAAAAAGGGTAAGGAGTATTAAAAATAGGGAGAGAGCACAGTGGAATTATCATATGAGGAAAACCAGCATATACCTAGAAGGATATTTAATATTTTATGAAATACTGATAGAGGTTTTATAGAATTGACAGAAAGCACAAATCTTCAGATTTGAGGAAGAGCACTGAGACCTGAGGAGGCTAAAATAAAAATAAATTTACTATTAATGATAGACAATTTGGAATGGCAAAGACAAAGGAAAAATATTGAAAATAGCCTAAGAAGGGGAAAGTTCAGAATACTTGCAAAGGGAACAAGAACTGCAGGACTTCCAACAGTCACCATAGAAGCCAGAGGACAGTATTGCCTCAAATTCTATACCCAACGAAACTATCATTCACGTGTGAAAGTCATGGATGTTTTCAGACCAAGACTAAGAGTGTTTGCAGCCTTAGTCCTTTACCCAAAGAATGAATGTTATTCAGGATGAGCTCAATTGAACCTAAGAGGAAGGAGTGAGATGCAGGATGTGTTGGTGAGGAAAGAAGTTGGTAGATCTCAAAATACTCTGACAGTAAAAATAACAATAATTGGAGGCTTAAAATCAGAGTGTATCTAAGCAGTAGGAAGCAGTTCAATGTGTGTGGTGTGTGTGTGTGTGTGTGTGTGTGTGTAAGTGATTATAGCTCATAGCATTTAAAGTCTTTTGTAATTGGGGGACTTTGCTAAATTAGGTAAGCCTATAAAAAGTAGTTAAGCTAGCCACTTATGTATAACTTTCAAATAAGCAGAGGGGAAAAATGGAGCATTTAAAAATCCAATAGAAGATAGGAAAGAAAAAATAAAAGGCAATGGAAATATTAAAAATAAAACTCATCAGTTAAAAATGTAGACTCAAAATGTAAAATTATATGCCACTTATAAGAGTTATATCTAATACAGAATCATAAAAATGATAAAGATATTAAAAAGATAAAAGTAGGGCTATGTTAACCAAAGGTTCCCTGAGGATGGCTATAATAATATCAGATAAAATGATTTTCTAGGCAGAATTGTTGCTTAGTGATGTATGGACCAAATGATGTAATAAAACTGAAGTTGGGAATGCATCCAGCCCCATCATTTCCCATATATCAACTCAACTTGACAGAATTACTAAAAGCTATTTGACAAATGCAAAGTCTTTGAATCTAGTAGATAAACATATTAAAAATATGAAAAACAAAATCAACAAGCTTGATCAAATGGGCACTTAAAACTCTGCCATGAATGTAGAATAAGCACATTCTTACTACGCATATGTGGACCATCTTCAGGAAGCCGACTCTGCGGAGCATATCTCAGTGGCTTCAAAGAATTGTGATCACACAGACCATGTTCTGTGACAACAGTGCAATTAAAGCACACTTTAAATAACTCATAGCTAAAAGAAAAATGTCATAAGATATATTACACAATATTTGGGTCTGACTAATGATGTGAAGATTAATTAATTGGATGGCTAAAGAAGAGTGGAAGGAAAATTTTACACTTAATGCATACATAGAAAAGGAAAAAGATATAAAATGAATTAACTACAGAAGTTGGAAAAAGCATCAGAATAGAGAGATGAACAGGCAGTTACACAAGGGGAGCCCCAATGACGAGAAATATTCCAAAGGATGTGGAAGCTCACGAGGAATTCATAAGATGCGAACTAAAACTGTAGCGCAGCACCTATCAGATTGGCAAATATTTTAAAGCACCCAAACACCAAATTCTGGCACAGCTGTAGGGAAGCACTTTAACTCAGATATTGTTAGTGAAGTACAAATTGTTTCAAGCACTTTTGAGACTCAGATCAATGAAAGATTTCAAGACTCTATGACACCACATCCAAGTGGATACTTTTTTCCCCTTCCAACTTTCATTTTAGGTTCGGAGGTACATGTACAGGTTTGTGACATGGGTAAATTGTGTGCCGTGGGGGTTTGGTGTACAGATTACTTTGTCACCTAGGTAATGAGCATAGTACCCAATAGGTAGTTTTTTAATCCTCACCCTCCTCCTACCTTCAGTCCTCCCGTAGGCCCTGGTGTCTGTTGTTCCCTTCTTTATGTCCATGTGTACTCAGTGTTTTATTCCCACTTATAAGTGAGAACATGAGGTATTTGGGGTTTTGTTCCTGTGTTAATTTGCTTAGGGTAATGGCCTCCAGCTGCATCCATGTTGCGCAAAGGATATGATTTTTTTTATGGCTGCATTGTATTCCATGGTGTATAAGTACCACATTTTCTTTATCCAGTCATGTATGTACTTTTGAGAGACTCTTGTATATGCACAGGACAAGACATCTATATAGGTGGTCATTAAATGTTACAATAGCAATAATGTGGAAATAGCTTACAGTCCTTCAACTGGGAAATGGATAAGGAAATTGTGGCTTGTTTGTATAATGGGCTATTCTATTACACAGTAATTAAAATAAATGGAGCACATCAACCAACATAGATGGGTGAAATCAACTAGCAAATATGACCTTTCAGGGAAAATTTCTAAAAGCATAAAATAATATAAATATGCATTGGAATGATGCATACAAGTTCTCTGGAGAAAAATAAGCAAGAGTAGGTTTTGGTTGCATTCTAGAATTTTTTTTAAGTGTTCAAAGTGAAATATGGGAAAATTAATGTCAAATCTTTATACGTTTTGTTCATGGTTATTGTTTGATAGCTGTGTTTTTTCTGTATGTTTGCAGCATTTTAGCATTTAACATTTTTAAATCAAAAAAGAATGTTGAAAAAACAATTAGGCAAAAAGATATGGGAGATATGAATTTTGAAAGCAAAAAGGTTATGTTATTGTTATTTGAGGAAGATGGTATCTATGTGGAAAATCCAAGGCAATCAACTCAGAAACTGTTATAACTAAGATAGCTGAGTAAAGTGGCAAGATCTTTAAAAACTTGCAAATGGGATTAAGTTAATTATTTTGAGAAAAGAGGATCATTCTCTCTTATCCGGGTAGGCCCAGTGTAACCACAGAGGTCCTTAGGAAACCGGGGCTGGAAGACTGGATTCAGCAGTAGATGTGACAATGGAAGCAGAGGGTGGAGTGATGCAATGAGGAATCACTGGCCAAGGAAAGAGGGGGTCCCTAATGTTACTGAAACACCGGGGTTTGGTCTAGGTCCTGCTGCTCACCACACGGAAAGCCAATCACTGAGACAACAATTATTGCCAAGAAAGAAGGCTTTAATCCGGTGATGCAGCTGAGGAGATGGGAGCTCAGCTTCAAATCCATCTCCCTGTCTGATTAAAATGAGGGCTTTATATAGCAGGGAAGAAAGGTAGCTATGTGTGGGAAAACAGGAACATGGAAGGGGTAAGGAAGCCATCCTGATGATGGAGGGGCCTAGTGTCTTATTGTCTGGATGTGATGTGATGATCTGGTGAGTTTCAATTCTTTGATACTTTTTTGAGAGGTCCTTTCCTGAGGAAGGGTCAATTTCTATGTTTATCCAAAAGAACTGTCTATGGCAGTGGTCCTCAACCTCCCAGCCATGGACTGGTACTGGTGCGTGGCCTGTTAGGAACTGGGCTACACAGCAGGAGGTGAGCAGTAGGTGAGAAAGTGAAGCTTCATCTGTATTTACAGCCACTCCCTATCAATTACATTACCACCTGAGCGCCACCTCCTGTCAGATCAACAGTGGCATTAGCTTCTCATAGGAGCTCAAACCCTATTGTGAACTGTGCATCTGAGGGATCTAGGGTGTGCGCTTATGAGAGTCTAATGCCTGATTATCTGTCACTGTCTCCTGTCACTCCCAGACGGGACTACTAGTTGCAGGAGAACAAGCTCAGGGCTCCCACTGATTCTACACATTATGGTGAGTTGTATAAATAAATAGAAATAAAGTGCACAATAAATGTAATGCTCTTGAATTATCCCCAAACCAAGGCCCCTACCTCAGGCCATGGAAAGATTATCTTCCATGAGACTGGTCCCTGGTGCTAAAAAGACTGGGGACCACTGGTCTATGGGACTGTTGGGTTGGTTTCATTGGAAACCTGGCAAGGTTTGAGGAAAGCAGTTCTCACACAGAGCCTCTAGAAGGAAGGCAGCCCGTGTCACATGGATATGAGGACTTTGACCCCCATAACTGTAAGATGAAAGATATGTGTTGCTTTACACCCCTGTTTGTGGTAACTTGTCACAGCAGCCACAGGAAATTAGTACACTATGTAGATGATTGCTATCTAATAGTTTCCCTATAAACCTAAAGTCATTTAGACAGAAATAATAGAAAAAGTATTTACAATAGTAAGAAAAATTAGAGAACAGCTAGAAATCTACCTAAAAATATATGTGAAGATCTATATTAAGAAAATTACAAAGCTTTTCTGAATACTTCAGAAGGTCTGAAATAGATACATAGACCATGCTTTCTCAATATCATGAAGTGGGTAGTTTTATGCAAATTATCCATTAAAGTCCTACTTTTAAAATGGAACTTGCTGGGATGATTTTAAAATTTAGAAGAGAAAAGTAGCAATGAAATTGAGAATATTGCCCTCAAAAAGTAACAGTTGTTTTTCTTTTCTTTTTTTTTTTTTTTGAGACAGAGTCTCGCTCTGTCACCCAGGCCGGAGTGCAGTGGCGCGATCTCGGCTCACTGCAAGCTCCGCCTCCCGGGTTCACGCCATTCTCCTGCCTCAGCCTCCCGAGTAGCAAGGAGTACAGGCGCCCGCCACCTCGCCTGGCTAATTTTTTTTTATTTTTAGTGGAGACAGGGTTTCACTGTGTTAGCCAGGATTGTCTCCATCTCCTGACCTCATGATCCACTCGCTTCGGCCTCCCAGAGTGCTGGGATTACAGGCGTGAGCCACCGCACCTAGCCCACAGTTGTTTTTCTTAATGTCCAAACGTACTTCAGTCATCATAATTTAACAAATGTGATGTTGCCACAGCAACAAGCCAAGTGATTTAGTGGGGAGGGGAAAGGCAAGGTTAGAAGTGAATAGAGCTTGTTTTAGATGGGCAGCCAGAAAACACCTTCCATGGAGGGGACATTTCAGCAGGTGTGATACATGAGAGACAGCAAAGAACACTGAGGAGTGGCCTTGGCCAACTGAACAACAAGGAACCAGCTTGCTGTGCTTTGGAGAGAGCAAGGGACTCCCTGTCCAGTGGGGAAGAAGTGTGGGGAGGTTAGAGAAAAATTTGGGAGCGTTGATACTGTGGATATAATCTAGTTATTCTCCATTATCTGTCTTTCTGATTTCTTTCTGAAGGCTCAATTTTACTCACCTACTTGGGGAGACAGCTGTAAATTATCAGGTTACCTAATGATGGCCCCATCTGAGTACTGGTCCCACTGAGCTTCCAATATAATGTGAAGATGGCTGCCTCAAGGCCTGGCTGGAACGTGGTGCTGTCCGTGAGACTCTATCCTGGTCCCTTCCCACCTGGGCAGGCCTTTATATGCCACTGCCTCAGCACCTTCCCAGGTATAGCTGCTGGCCATTTAGCAATATTCTTTTCAATGCTAGTCTGGCCAGAACACAGTGAAATGATATGCTGGGATGGGCAGCCCAGATTATATCAAAACCACCACTTCACATCGTCACAGCAGATTAGATACTGCATTCAACAGAGAAACAAAGACATGGGATCCAGTAGACGGGAGCATGGGGAATGCAGATTCCCCATGCTGTGCCTGTATGGTTGAGTTAATGAAGATCATACATACAGAACTTTACCCTGCCTGATTCAGCCTATCTTTTTAAAGAATTGTCATCAGCATTTTAGTGACCTTCCAGCTTTATGTTGTCAATAAGAAGTACCTTCTATAACTTAATTCAGTGAATGGAAAAGGGTTGGCTAGGAGAGTATCCAGGTAGAACCTAATGATGTTAATAATAATTATAAGTAGTGGTCTCTGCTCATTAATGACTACTCTGCAGACAGGTGCGTTTCCACTGTCCCGTGAATGAAGACCGTCTCCTCATCTTAAATCCACCGCCTGGCTTCCCCCACCTCTCCATCACCTCCACCTCCACAGATGCTGGAGGATCCTACAACACTTCTTACCCTTAGGGTTCACTAGAAATACTATAATTTTCCGATTAAATCTGTAACAACAGATGCCTGCCATCTTTCAACTTCACTTGAAAAGAAAGGATCAAGGCCAACCAGAAATGAGCCAAAAGATTCAGAACATGGATGTATCTGTTTTGAAGTCATTTTCAGATTGCTGTGTTGTTTTAGCTTTGTCTGATGTAAGTTCATGTTGATGATTAACTTTCTTGTCCAACATTAGTTTTCCCTACATGTTACATTAACAGAATTGTATTTGCATGTTCCTCTTAAGAGACGGAGTAGTTCTCCAGCCTCTTGACCACACCACACACCTGCGTGTGCAGGCACACACATACATGTGCACCACACAAACACCACACATGCATACTCACACACATCCCTCCTCCTTTGTCCCTTTCACTTCCCCTTGTTCCCTGTAGCCTTGCGTTGCCCCCTAGAGCTCCTGCCTGTGGCTGTACTGGGCTCCCCACTTATCAGGGCAGTGTTTCCAGCTCCTATTTTAGGAGCAGCCCACTCACTCCCCATTCTGGGTGCTTTAAGACCCTGTGTGCCCCCTAGTGTGTGTGCGCGGGACTGCTTCTGTCTGCTCTGGACCTGGGTGCAGCAGGACAAAGCCTTCAGCTCCCCCTCATCAGCATTGTAACTTCTGTTCTATTTACAGGACTGTGATTAGCTTGGTTTGGGGATGTCCATGTTTTGTCACACATCTTTTTTTAATATTTTACTTCTGTGGCTTTGTGCTTAATGATATGGTAGGCAAGGAGGAGGGACTTTCTGAGCGTGAATTTACATCATTTTGACCAGCCTGGGTTAGATGTAGTGTTTGGAAAGAGAAGCACAGTTGATCCTCATCATTTGCAGATTCCGTAATTGTGAGTTCACCTAATACCTAAAGTCTATTTGTAACCTCCAAATCAATACTTACGGTGCTTTTGTGGCCTTTCACAGACACACGCCCACGGCAGTGAAAAATTTGTGTCCCAGCTGGGGCTAAACAAGGCGATGGTCTGCTCCCTGGTTTCTGCCCTCATATTGTGAACATGTGGCCTTTTCTTGGTCTATTTAGTGCCAAGTTTCTTGCATATTTGGGCTTTTTGTTGGTGATTTTATTGTTTATGATGGCCCCCAGGCACAGCACTGAAGTGGTCTGGTGTTCCTAAGTGCAAGAAAGCTGCGACATGCCTTATGGAGAAAAAAATGTGTGTGAGAGAAGCTTCGTTCAGGCATGAGTTATGAGGCTGTTGGCCATGGGTTCAATGTGAAGGAATCAACAGTACACATTGAATATGGTGTCTTTAAACAGAAACACACATAAACCAAGGTTATGTATTGGTTGGTTGGTGAAAGTATTATGACGAGAGGCTCACAGGAATTTGACTCTGTATTTCCCATAGGAGCAGTGGTTCAGTATTCACTAATTCAGTGTTCCCTGTAGCTTTCTAGAAGATAATTACCGCAGATAACAACCTATTTTAGTAGGTGACAAAAATCGAAACCTTCCCTTGGAAGAGTTCATAGCAGAGCCCCCAGGTAGCCCTTCCTTCCAGCCCTCACTGACGCTTGCTCTTTTGTGACCGCTCTCCTTGGCAGGTTACTTTCTGAATTTTCTGGAGCCAGTAAACAATATCACCATTGTCCAAGGCCAGACGGCAATTCTGCACTGCAAGGTGGCAGGAAACCCACCCCCTAACGTGCGGTGGCTAAAGAATGATGCCCCGGTGGTGCAGGAGCCGCGGCGGATCATCATCCGGAAGACAGAATATGGTTCACGACTGCGAATCCAGGACCTGGACACGACAGACACTGGCTACTACCAGTGCGTGGCCACCAACGGGATGAAGACCATTACCGCCACTGGCGTCCTGTTTGTGCGGCTGGGTGAGTTGGACAGTGAAATTGTGTGGGTTAGCAGATATGAAGGTTCCCAGCCACCGAGCAAGAGGTCCAGTTGCTATTTGAAACTGAACACACACCAGTCAGCACGAGGGGAGAGCAATGAAACCGTTCCCTAGGGCCTTCCCCATGTGCCCCAGGGCCCAGCTTGACCTGTTACCCATTTACTAGTAATAAGAGAAAATAGGGCGAGGCACGGTGGCTCACGCCTGTAATTCCAGCACTTTGGGAGGCCGAGGTGGGCGGATCACCTGAGGTCAGGAGTTTGAGATCAGCCTAGCCAACATGGTAGTAGTTGGCCAGTTTAGTAGAAACTCCATCTCTACTAAAAATACAAAATTAGCCTGGCATGGTGGCGGGCGCCTGTAATCCCAGCTACTCAGGAGGCTGAGGCAGGAGAATCGCTTGAACCTGGGAGGTGGAGGTTGCAGTGAGCCGAGATCACGCCATTGCATTCCAGCATGGGTGACAAGAGTGAAACTCTGTCTCAAAAAAAAAAAAAAAAAAAAAAAAGAGAACAAAAAGAAAATAGGTGCAGATGGAGAGGTTTATGGACCTGGAGCCCAGAAGACAATCCCAGGCACACACGAGGAGCTGAGGTGTTTAGCAGGAAGGCTGTTTGTTAGGAGGTCAGGTGTCAGTGGGAGAGTGGCCACACTGCAGGACGGCTAGGTAGGGCCCGAGGCTGACCTGGCTGGGGTGGGGAGAGAGCTGAGTGCGATGACCAGAGATTCTGAGTCTCTGTGCTCGTCACACCTGGTGAAGGAATTAAGTGGCAGGAAGGACTGTGTCCCCCTTCATCCCACCTGTGAAAAACTCCCAGGCAGCAAACGCCCCGGCCCTGCCACCGAAGCCCACGCCATCCGATCATAAGTAGTAAAACAGATTTTGTGTGTAAAGACTAGATGAGAAGAGAGAGAGTAAGGACAGCAAAAACTCCAAAAACAAAGATATCCTCAGTGACAAAGCACCCCTTCCCTTGTGTGTGGTTTCCAGCCTTGCTGACGTAATCACGAGTGGAGCCTGAGGCCCGAGGACAGCTGCCCACCAGTGAGCCCGCTGGCTTCAGCCTGTTTGCCACTGGCCTGATTTGAAGAAGGTTGTATTCCAAATCATGGAGTATTAATAACTTGTCTTTTTGTTTCCTCTTTTTAGGTCCAACGCACAGCCCAAATCATAACTTTCAGTAAGTATCTGTTTTCCCCAAGCCGTGTTCTGCTGCTCTGAGGGTTTTTGTTATGTAGGAATCCGGGGTTTAAATCCTGCCAGCTCATGTCTTTGCCGAATTTGCTAGAAGTTGGCTGGGCTTCACACAGGGGTGGCCACGTGCTTGCTTAGGGTTGGGAAACATTTACATTTTTCATGTTTCTTGTACAGAAAAAAAGTCAGAAAAACAAAAATGGTTAATTTCTTTCTGTGATTGTGACCTTACACAGGGCTACTGAGAGGAGTATAAATATACAGGCCAGGTTGCCTGGGCACCAGGAAGGATACCGGCTCATTAGGACATTGGGAAACAGGGACGTAATTCACTCTGAAATCCCAGCACTACCAGCTGCAGTTAATAAATGTGTGCCCCTGAGCCTTGGGCCACCCCGTGGCAGTGGGTGGGAGTCTCAACCCCACCTTGCAGATGAGGAGACCGAGGCTCACAGCCAGGCTCACACTCCTTCACGAGCTGCTGACAGCAGTGGCTTTGAACTCAGGCCTCTGGTTTCCCAGTACGAGGTTATTCCACTGTGGCCAGGCTGTCTTGGGAGAGTCCCCTCTGAACTGCCCACACTCTCCCATCGTGTACCCAGAGGAGTGCTCATTCCATTGCCGGTGTTTGAGATGAGCAGTGACTGTCCGGGTTTCCTGCATTTCCTCCTCAGACATATTGGAGAGCAGTGCTTCACTTTGAGATGTTCTGAACAATAGCATGAACACTATATGGTTGGTAAAGTGTGCAGTGTTGGCTGATTTCTGTTTCCCTGGGCCTTGTACCCATTACCCACCCATGATGTGCTGCAACACCACGTTGGGAGGCTGGGCAGGGCAGCGACCTGTCTCAGCAGACATCAGCAGCTTGCTTGCAGAGGGCAGATTTTTTTCCCCCCCCAAATAGACAGGCCTGGCTTTTCACCCAGACTGGAGTGCAGTGGCACGATCACAGCTTACTGTAGTCTTGTACTCCTGGGCTCAGGCCATCCTCCCCCTTCAGCCTCCCAAGTAGCTGGGACTGCAGGTGCGTGCCACCACACACCCGGATAATTTTTTCTTATTTTTTGTAGAGATGGGGTCTCACTATGCTGTCCAGACTGGTGACAAACTCTTGCCTCGAGCAATCCTCCTGTCTCGCCCTCCCAAATCACTGGGATTGTAGGTGTGTGCCACCACACCTGACCTAGAGGGAAGATATTTGGGAAGATTCTGTGCTGAGCAATAGTGATGGAGCATTTTTCCTTAATAGTCCTTCAGACACAGAGTAAGGAAAGAAGAAATTGCATCATGAGCACAATTATGGGGCTTTGGAAAAAGGCATATAAGTCATTTCAAAAGTTGAACTATTGTTCTCTCTTATTTTATATTTATGTCTTTTATTTTAGTTATTTTATTTTTTGAGACAGAGTCTCGCCCTGTCACCCAGGCTGGAGTGCAGTGGTGCAGTCTCCGCTCACTGCAACCTCTGCCTGCCAAGTTCAGGCAATTCTCCTGTCTGAGCCTCGAGTAGCTGAAATTACAGATGCGCACCACCATGCCCGGCTAATGTTTGTATTTTTAGTAGAGACGGGGTTTCACCATGTTGGCCAGACTGGTCTCGAACTCCTGACCTCAAGTGATCCGTCCACCTTGGCCTCCCAAAGTGCTGAGATTACAGGCATGAGCCACTGCACCCGGCCTATATTTATGTATTTTATAAATAAAACTTTTATAGTTCATTTATATATAGTTACATAAATATATTATGTAACTATATAATATATTGTAAATACATAACATATAATTACAGAGCTATAATTATACAAATATTAAACATTCATATATTTATATACAAATTGTAAATATATATATTTATATAAATTATTTCACAATATTTTTACATTGACTTTCTTCTCACTTTAAGTTATGGATTTAATCCACACATTGATGTAAATGACTGGGGCAGTTTCGGAAAGTCCCGCCTGACCTCCCATCCTTCCAGGCCTCCTGCCTCCCTTGTCATAAAGGTAAATCATCCAGGGAGTTTGTAGGCACTCAGTACATACATACATCTACCTAAGGAAATACAAAACAATCAACTTGAAAAAAGGTCTAAAAGCACATAAATTACTCAGTATTATTGAGGCAATGAAGAAATATGCTTACCTATACACTATTGATGAGAAATTTCTGGAGTGCTATTTGACAATAAACACAAAAATATTTTTAAAAAGAAATACCTCTTATCAGTTTTATATACTTTTTTACATAAATGATGCTATACTTGACATGTTTAGTTAACAGTATTCACAGAAATCTTTCCATCTCAGTGTATTTGAGGTTTCCAGATGCTCTCTTTCCCTGTTTCTGGACTCATGTGCAGAGCATGTGACTGTTCCATTGTGACAGGCATTCCCATCAGGGAAGCCTCATCCCAGCCACTCGTGCCACCGCGTCTCCCTTCCCTGGCCCTGAGACCTGTGGCTGGGTTTCTCTAGGAGAGATTCTGAAGAGGAAAAACTAAAGGGGCACAGGCATCCCCTTTTTAAAACTGATACTGCCAAATGGTCATTCGTAGGTTACTTTCCCGACAACGTCAAAGGACCCATTTCTCCTTATCTTCCATAAGATGACTTCCAAACTTGTTAACTTCTGCCACTCTGAAGGATGAAAAATGAATAAATGACCTGCTTTGTTCTCCATTTCCCTGGTTACTAGTGAGGCTGAGCATGTGGACACACATTGCTTGGCACTCATGTCTCCTCTTTGTCAATTGCCACTTCATATTCTTCGCTCATTTTTCCTTTACATTGTTTCTTAATGAATTTTGATAATTCTTTATGTCTTATTTCTTGATCATATAGAAATTAAAACTTTTACAAATTAATAATTTGTTTTTCATGTTATGTCTTGTTAAAGAATGTCATGATTTCCTTGAAAGATTCTGATGGTAGTTTGATTGGAATTACAATGAATTTTTAGGTCAGTTTGGTGAGAATTAATATCTAAATTGAATTTTCTTATCAAGGACTACTTTCCTTTGTGTTTTGAGGTGTTTTCTTTTTCTTAACATTTTATAATGAAAAATTTCAAACATACGGTTGAAAGAATTTTATAGTGGGCTCCTGTATACTCACCAGCTAGATGCTAGCATTTACATTTTACTGTGCTAACTTTATCACTTATCGTTCCATCCAGCCTCCATCTGTCCATCAATCCATCTGATTTTTCATTCATTTCACTGAGTTGCAGATACTTGTACATTTACCCTGAAATACTTCAGCATATATATCATTAATGAGAGTTCAGTATCTGTTTATGATTCTTGCTCCTCCTTCTTCAGTTAAAATTTGCATACCAGTGAAATGCACACATCTTAAGTATAGCACTATAAGGTCTGACAAATGCATAAATCTCTGCAATCGAAACACCCTATCCAGATACAGAATCTCTGTCACGCTTGCAGGCTCTGTCGTGCAACTTCCTAGTCAACTCCCTTCTACCCCAGGCACCCACTATTCTGATTTTTTAAGTAATGGACTAGTTTTTCCTGTTATTAAACATCACAGAAATGAAATCCTTCAGGATGTAGCCACTTAAGCCTGGCGTCCTTTTAGCATAGTGCTTTTGAGATTCATCTGTGTTGTACATGTATCAGTAGGTTACAGCTGTTTATTGCTGAATAGCATTTTATGGTATGAACATACGCGTTGATTTATCCATTCTCCTGTTGAAGGACACCTAAGCAGATTCCAGGCTTGACTACTATGAATAAAGTTCCTTGTATAGGAATACTCTATACTTTTTGTGGACATGCATTTTCATTTCTGTTAGTGTTAACTAGGCGTAGAATTGCTGCATTATAGGGCATGTGTGTGCTTAATTTTATAAGACATTCCTGGGCCTTCTCCTGAACTCTTTTTACCTCCACCCACAGTGTGGGAGACTTGTGATGACTCCACATATTTCCCAACATTGGTGTGGTCAGCCTTTTTAAGTGTAGCTATTCCGGTGTATGCAGTGATTCAAGTGATTTTTTATATCATTCCAGCCTCTTGAAAAAGCAATTTTTACTAGTCATTTTTAAATTTTCAAATAAATGTATTTAAAGCTGTAAAGTTTCCTCTGAATACCATCTCCCTGCTTCCACCACGCATTTAGGCTTCTGTTGTTTGATACTGTTTTCTGATTTTTGTTGCATTATTATTAGTGAATATGGGCTGTTTATGTTTTATTCTTGATAATTTATTGAGATTTTTCTTTGTAACCAGTTAGATACGGTCCATTTTTGTGAATCTTGCCTGTTGTTTCAAAAATACGTGTGCTTTGATGTATCTGCACATTTCTTGACTCATCTGTGAGATTGAGTATTAAGTATGTTATTAAAAATATCTATATATTTTTTATCCACATGAGTACCAGATACCTGAAGATTTGTGAAAGTCACCCACACTCAATCTGGATTTGCTAGTTTCTATTAGTTCTCTATTTTTAATATTTTGTGTGTATTTTAAGGTTATATAGGTTTTTGTGGGGTTTTTTGGTTTCTTTTTACAGTCCCTTTTAGTGCTTTTTGCCTTGAATTCAGTTTTGCCTAACAATAATAGAGTTCCACATGCTTTTTAAATTTGCATTTGCCAGGAACCGTTTTTATGATTCCTGTCCCACTCTTTAGTCTTTCACCTTTTTGTGTTCTGTTTTATGTAGGTCTCTTGTAAATGATGCATAACTAGACTTTTTTTGGGAGGTTGATGTGGAGACCTTTCCAGTCTGAAAGTCCATGTTAATACATAGTTAAATTCATTTTAACTAATATACAGTATTCCATTCTGTGAGTCAGTTTCCACTTGAATCATGCATTGACTGCCGAGTGAAGGTTAGTTCTTTTCACTGATAGGGACCCTCTTATAGTGACTGTGCATCCCAAGTCTCTTTGTCCCTATGGGTGAAAGTCCTCCAGGGACAGAGATCAGGAAGCAGGATTACGGGTGTGCATCTCCCACCTCTCCCAGGAATGGCCAGATTGCCCTCTATGATGGCCAAGTCATTCATAGCCTCACCTGCAACACATGAGTTATTATTTCCTCATGTTTTCTAGCACATGGTATTATCAGAACTTAAAATGTTGCCAGCATCTTAGGTGTCAAATAGTAATTTTACATTACATTTCACCAGTAAATAGTGAGGTTGAACATCATTTTGTCGTTCTAAAAGCCATTGCATTGCCTGTGTGTATCCAGCCTATCCTCATTATTTTCAGATTCCATATTTGCAAATTTGCTTATTCACTAAACTTCGTGTCCCCCAAATCAACACTCGTGGTATTTTCATGGTCATTCTTGGACATGCACAGAGTGGAGAAAAACCTGAGCTCCCTGACACATGTTTCCAGCTGAGACTGAACCAAACTACACTGCCTTCTTGTTCTAGTCCTCATACTGTGAGCACATATCCTTTCTGTCTACTTAGTGTCACGTTTTTCCTATTTGTGTGCTTTCTGTTGGTGATTCTGCTGTTGTAAATGGCTCCCAGGCGTGGCGCTGAAGTGCCATCTGGTGTCCCAAGTGCAGGGAGCTGTGATGTGCCTTACGGAGAAGATGTGTTGTTAGAGGCTGTGCGTTTTCCACGAATCAATAATATACATCAAATAAGATGTCTTTAACCAAAAATGTACATAAAACAAGATGTGTATTGATTGGTTGAAGCAAATGTTTTAACCAGAGGCTCTCAGAAAACTAACTGTATTTTCCCTGGGAACAGTGGCTCAATATTCACTAATTCAGTGTTTGTCGTGACATTATAGAAAATAACTATGGTAGATAACTAAAATAGCCTGCACTTTGTCCATGTTTCTGTTAGGATATGTGTTTTTCGGCCGGGTGCAGCGGCTCATGCCTGTAATACCAACACTTTGGGAGGCCAAGGCGGGTGGATCACCTGAGGTCACGAGTTCAAGACCAGCCTGGCCAACATCGTGAAACCCCATCTCTACTAAAAATATAAAAATTAGCTGGGCATGGTGGCACATGCCTGTAATTCCAGCTACTTGGGAGGCGGAGACAGGAGAATTGCTTGAACCTGGGAGGCGGAGGTTGCAGTGAGCCAAGATCACGCCACTTCACTCCAGCCTGGGCGACAGAACAATACTTAGTCTCAAAAAAAAGAAAGAATATGTGTTTTTCTTGCTTTATAAGAGTTTCAAAATAATTTCTAGGTATATGCCTTTACATAGTTATTACTCCATCTAGAATTTATTTTTATGCTGGTATAAGCTAGTATTCTCCTATAACATTTTTCTCTACAGATGGCCTGGAGTCTTGGCATCATCTAATGAATTACCTAATCTGTAATCATTAAATTTAATATCACCCCTGTCCTGTGTGAAATTTCTATAGATGGGGGTCTGCTTATAGGCTGTTTTGTCCCTATAGCTTCTGTTCCTGGACGAATTCCACAGTATGCTAACAGTACAGCTTTGTAATATATCTTGCCATATATAGGGAAACATACCCTCCTCTACTGCTATGGACTGAAATGTGTTTCCCACCAAATTCATGTGGTGACAGAGCCTGTACTGGAGACAGGACCTTTAGAAAGGTGGTTAAGGTTAAATAAGGTCATAAGGGTGGAGCCCTGATCCAAGAGTACTGGTGTCTTTATACAAGAGGAAGAGATACAGAGATCTCAGGTGCCATCTGGAAGGCAGGAGGAGAACCCCCACCAGGAGCCAAAGTGGCTGGCACCTTGATGTTGGACTTCCAGCCTCCAGAGTGTGAGAAAATACATTCTGTTGCTTAAGCCACCGTCTATGATATTAGTTATGGCAGCCTAAACTGATGATTGACCCACCTTATTACCATACCATTTTTCTAAATTATCTTTCCTGTTATTTGCCTTGTTCTTTTCCTTGTGAATTTTATATCTTTGTATTAGAATTGAATAGAAGTTTGATTGATTAGGGGAGAACTAATGCTGCTGTTTCTAGTTTGTAGTTTGATATTTCTTTAAGTTGTCTGTGTGCTTTTATTTTTTTTCTTTCCTTTCTTTGGAGACGGAGTTTCGCTCTTGTTGCCCAGGCTGCAGTGCAGTGGCACGGTATCGGCTCACTGCAGCCTCCGCCTCCCAGGTTCAAGTGATTCTCTGCCTCAGCCTCCTGAGTAGCTGGGATTACAGGCGCCTGCCACCACGCCCGGCTAATTTTTGTATTTTTAGTAGAGACAGGGTTCCACCATGTTGGTCAGGCTGGTCTCCTGACCTCAGGTGATCCACACGCCTCAGCCTCCCAAAATGCTGGGATTGCAGGCGTGAGCCACCAGGCCCGGCCTCTGTGCCCTTTGCAATATAGTTTTATAATTTTCTCCATGACGACCCGGCATATCTTTCTTAAGTATGTTTCCAGGTGGTTCATTGATTCTGCTAATGATACTGATAATCTTTCTCTCCCAAATTTTATTTTTAAATTGTGTGCTAGTGGTGGTTGAGAAAGGCATTAAATTTTAAATACAAATCTTACACCCACAACTTTGTTGAACTTTTTCATTATTTTTTCCTGAAGTATCTTTTGGATTTTTTTTCCATGGGGGAATTAAAGTTTTCTACAAATACTTTTTTCTATTCCCACCTTTATGTATTCAATAAAAATTATCTATATTCCAGTGTACAACACGATGTTTTGATATATGTGTACATTGTGAAATGGCTAAATCAAGTTAATGGACATATGTCTCACTTGACAACTCATCATTTTCTTGTAGTGAAAACACTTAAAGTCTATTCTCTTTGGCATTTTTTTTTTTTTGAGACAGCGTCTCGCTTTTTCGCCCAGGCTGGAGTGCAGCAGTGCACAGTCTTGGCTCACTGAAACCTCCGCCTCCCAGGTTCAAGCAATTCTTCTGCCTCAGTCTCCCGAGGAGCTGGGATTACAGGCGTGCACCACCATGCCTGGCTAATTTTTTTGTTTGTTGGTTGGTTTTTTAGTAGAGACAGGGTTTCATCATATTGGCCAGGCTGATCTCGAACTCCTGACCCCAGGTGATCTGCCAATACATTGTTATTCACTATAGTCATGTTGTAAAACCGATCTCTTGACCTTAGTCCTCCTTCTAACTGAAATTTTGTATCCTTTGACCAACATCTCCCCAGTTCCACAGTCCCAGCCTCTGGTAACCACCACTGTGCTTTCTGGCAGAGGGCTTTTCCACACGAGGACATCCTTTGACTTTGTAGTGTGTAGTAGCAGCCCACTGGCTGTCATCTTTCTGCAGCCATGAGTTTCTTTTCCCCAGTGACCCTGATTCTGTTTCAGTAGACTGACTCCTCCCCCGCCCCACCGTGATGATATGCTTACGATATCTCTGGACCTTAACCAAAGATAGGAGAGAATCAGTGAGCTTAAAACAATAATCCACAGTTTCTCTGATTCTTTTACTCGACCAGTTTATCAATCAGTGACACCTCTTTTGGGCCACTTCTATAGAAAATGCACAACAGTTCGCATTCTTTCATTGTTGGTCAAGAGGTGTGTCCTGTCTGTATAAATGGAGAGTTGAACAGCGAATAGTAGTATCGCCTTGGCTTAGCCCTGTGTGCAGCGTGACAGCAAGACATGGTACCATGGATTCTTAGCCATGAACTCTGATGGTTGCTAACTCAGGCCTTCCACTCGTGGCTCTTCCTTGGGTGCTGCCCTGGCCTGTCCACACGCGTGAGCGCTGTGATGTGTGGGACTAAAGCTTGTGCATGTTGAGGGAGGTGGATATCCTTGAAGGTTAAAGGATTTACCACCATAAGACATTGCTTTCCCTTCTATCCCTGTTTAATTGGGGGTGAGGAGGGTGTGTATATGGAGAACAAAGCTTGAAGAAAAGGCGGTGCCTCCACAGATGGACCTTCCGAGGCCCGGGTTATCCAAGCTGACTCAGCGGCAGTGTTGGTCGTGCTTGGAGATTAATGCTAGGCTGCCTGTCTCATATTTCATATGTGGGTTTTGTTTTTCCTGCTCTGCTGAAACGTGGCACATTTAGATGAGTATAGGCCCATACACAGGTCCTGCTTCTAGTGGGAGGGAAGTGGTGGGGTGGGGCGTGCTGCCTTCCCGAAGTCAGAGCACCAGAGCCCTTGGCTGGCGTGTGTTGCTGTCCTGGACCCACCCCATGGCCCACAGGTGTGTGCATGCATATTGTGCTACACACACACACACACACACACACACACACACCTGCTCAAGGAAAGTGTGTTATTCTTTTGAATAATGAAAAGTTATGTTAATTATTGGCCTCTGGGAAATCACCTTCCTGGGGCCATGGCCCTGTTATTTTCTTATGGGAACAAGAATCAGTTAATTCCAAGACTTCAGCCGTTCTCCATCCAGATGTTTGTGACCCGGGACTCCTTGTTTTCAAGTCTGACTTATCTCCCCAGCTCCAGCCCCATATGTTTCACCCACATAATGAGCCTCTCCAGGTGGATGATTTGAAGGCACCTCTCGCCAAGTGGATGATTCGAAGGCACCGCTCGCCAAGTGTGTCTACACGGAATTCGGCCAGCTGCCAGCCCAAACTCCTTCCATTGCTATTTTCGGGGAGTTTTCATAAGTCTAGTTCAGAGTTTATCCTAATTACAGGAAAACAGCACTATAAAATTGAAAGTGCCAAGTAAGAAGCTGGTAATTAGAAATGACGTGAGCAGAAACCAGGCCAGGCCAGGCATGGTGGCTCAGGCCTGTAATCCCAGCACTTTGGGAGGCCAGGGCGGGCTGATCACTTGAAGTCAGGAGATGGAAACCAGCCGGGCCAACTTGGTGAAACCCTCTTTCTACTAAAAATACAAACATTAGCCAGGCGTGGTGGTGCGTGCCTGTAATCCCAGGTACTAGGGAGGCTGATGCCTGAGAATTGCTTGAACCTGGGAGGTGGAGGTTGCAGTGAGCCGAGATCACACCACTGCACTCCAGCCTGGCCAACAGAGCGAGACTCCATGTTTTAAAAAATAAATAAATAAATAAACAAACAAAAAAACCAAGCCACCTTATTGCTGACAAACTCAGGCAAAAGGCTGACATTTGGCATTTGATATTAAAGCCCTCAGACCACCAACCTAATCAAGTTCAACTTAATTCAGACAGAACTTGAAGGAGGGAAGCCAGTCTAATTTTTTTCTCAGTGACATCTTTTTATGGTAAGTTCTGTTTTCTAGAAAATACAACTTTCCTTAAATCCCATAGTACAGAACCGGAATAAAAGCTAGAAACTGAATTTAAGGTTATGTGATACAAGCAGTAGGTGACTAAATAGACAATCATCAGTAAGATAATTCGAGAATAGATACACATTTCTAAATGCAGACTATAGGCTGGGCGCGGTGGCTCAATGCCTGTAATCCCAACACTTTGGGAGGCCGAGGTGGGCGGATCACCTGAGGTCAGGAGTTCAATACCAGTCTGGCCAACATGGTGAAACCCCATCCCTACTAAAAATAGAAAAATTAGCCAGGTGTGGTGGCACACACCTGTAATCCCAGCTGCTTGGGAGTCTGAGGCAGAACTGCTTGAACCAGGGAGGTGGAGGTTGCAGTGAGCTGAGAGCGCGCCATTGCACTCCAGCCTAGGCAACGAGCAAAACTCCATCTCAAAAAAAAAAAAAAAAAAAAATAGGCTGGGCATGGTGGCTCATGCCTGTAATCCTAGCACTTTGGGAAGCCAAGGTGGGTGGATCATCTGAGGTCGGGAGTTTGAGACCAGCCTGACCAACATGGAGAAACCCCGTCTCTACTAAAAATACAAAATTAGTCCGGTATGGTGGCAGATGCCTGTGATCCCAGCTACTTGGGAGACTGAGGCAGGAGAATTGCTTGAACCCAGGAGGTGGAGGTTGCAGTGAGCCGAGATCGCGCCACTGCATTCTACCCTGGGCAAAAAGAGCGAGACTTCGTCTCAAAAATATATATATATAATATAATTAATAAATAATAAATGAGACCATATGGTGACACAGGATATTTGCATTTCAACAATAATGAAAATGTGCACACTTGATGTGCACTCACACATGGAATGCCGCTTTAGGTTGTTTTGTTTCCACCCGAGCCCGTGGATTCCAGGGGCTAGCTCTTACACCATATTATGCACAGTGAGAGCCTTTTACCAACTGACTTCAGGGTTTTTCAAGGATACAGCAACCTTCCAAGGGGGAAAGTGTTTGGCTTACCTGGGAGGGACTAGCCACCTGAACAGCGTAGGGGAAAATAAAATTTACTTCCCAGGGAACTGGCACCCTCAGAGCCATTGTCTTCTCTGCCTCTGGCCACCTTATGTGATCCTGGCCTTAGAGGTGGCCATTGCAAAAGCCAGTATTTCCAAGGTTCTGCTGACTTGGATTTTTATGATATCAAACATTGGTGTTGGGCATGTTTAGTTGGATCAAGTGGATGTTTTTGCCACATCTGTTATCAGTACAGTCAGATATTCAGAGTATTTCATTTTGGAAGCAGAGAGTAATATACAGCGTCTAATTCTCAAGGAAATCATTCATTCAGTTAACACATTTCAGCTTCAGCTGGGCGTGGTGGCTCACGCGTGTAATCCCAGCACTTTGGGAGGCTGAGGTGGGCTTATCACCTGAGGTCCGGAGTTTGAGACCAGCCTGGCCAACATATGATGAAACTCTATCTCTACTAAAAAATACAAAAATTAGCTGGGTGTGGTGGTGACTGCCTGTAGTCCCAGCTACTTGGGAAGCTGGGCAGAAGAATCAACCTCCAGGAGGTGGAGGTGGCAGTGAGCCAAGATCGTGATACTGCACTCCAGCCTGGGCGAGCGACAGAGCAATACTCTGTCTCTCAAAAAAAAAAAAAAAAAAAAAAAAGTTAACAAATTTCTGTGGAGGGTCAACTGTGCGCCAGGTCCCATTCAAGACATTGAGGATACAACAATGAATGCAACAGATAAAAACTAAAAATTCCTGCCTTGTGCTGTTGACATTTTGTTTGGAGACTCTTATGTCTGGCCTCTTTCATTAAATGTAATGTCTGAAAGATTTATTCTGGTTAACTATACAGCACTTCATTCCTGTTTATTGAGAAGTATTCTGTTGTATGAATGTACTACAATATGTTTATTCACCTATTGATGAGCATTTGGGGGCAATTATAAATAAAGCCATGAACATTTGTTTTCACATATTTTTGTGAACATGTTTTCATTTCAATATTGTGATTTTTGAAGTTTCAAGTGTGGAGGCCTTGGACATCTTTTGTTAGGTTTATTCCCAGGTATTTTAACCATTTTCAAATATAGAGTGCAGTGGCATTAAATTAACCCCAGTTGGTCCATGGGCCTCTTTAGTATTGTCTGTGTTTATTTTGCTGGATTCAGTTTGCTAATGTTTTGAGGAGGACGTTGCCCCTTTTGATGGTAGGCATTTTGGTCTGTAACGCTCTTGTGGTGTCCTTGTTAGATACTCTTGTGATGTCCTTATCGTATTTTTCTTTTCTTTTTTCTTTTTTTTTGAGATGGAGTCCTACTCTGTCACCCAGGCTGTAGTGCAATGGCATGATCTTGGCTCATGGCAACTTCCACCTTCCAGGTTCAAGCGATTGTCCTGCCTCAGCCTTCTGAGTAACTGGGATTACAGGCACGCATCACCACGCCTGGCTAATTTTGTATTTTTAGTAGAGATGGCGTTTCACAATGTTGGCCAGGCTGGTCTTGAACTCCTGACCTCAAGTGATTCACCTGCCTCGGCCTCCCAAAATGCTGGGATTACAGATGTGAGCCACTGCACCCGGCCCTTATCATATTTTTCTGATGTCCTTGTTAGATATTTGTATCAGAGTTGTCAGTCTTTTTGTCTCTTTGCTTCAGTTTGGAAATCTCCTGTTGATCTGTCTTCAAGTTCATAGATTTTTTTCTTCTGCTGTATCCACTCTGTTATACAGTCATGCATCATGTAACAGTGGAGATACGTTGTGAGAAATGCATTAGTGATTTTCTCCTTGTAGGGACATCATAGAGTGTACTCACACAAACCTAGATGATTTCCCCTACTGCACACCTAGGCTATATGGTACAGCCTGTTGCTCCTAGGCTACAGACTTGTACAGCATATGACTATACTGAATACTGTAGGCAACAGTAACGTAATGGTATTTGTATATCTAAACACAGCAAAGGTACAGTAAAAATATGGTATAAAAATTAAGAAATGGTACACTTACATAGGGCACTTACCATGAATGGAGCTTGCAGGACTGGAAGCTGTTGCTGGTGAGTCAGTGAGTAAGTCGCGAGTGAATGTGAAGGCCCAGGACATTACACATTACTGTACACTACTGTAGACTGTGTAAACGCTATACATTTAGGCTACAGTGAGTTTATTAAAAATTGAGTAATTGCACTACAGTGTTATGACAGCTCCGATGTCACTAGGCGATGAGGATTTTTCAGCTCCATTGTAATCTTAGGGGGCCACCATTGTGTATGTGGTCTGCTGTTAACCAAAAACATCGTTATGTGGTGCATGGCTGCACCATCCAATGAATCTTTTATTGTAGACTCTTATGTTTCAGTTCTAGGCTTCCTGTTTAGTTCTTTTATAGTTTCCATCCCTCCTGAAATACCCCACATCTTCACTACACCTTCTTCTGTGTTTTCCACATCTATTACTTTAAAGCCCTGTGATACGGTTTGGCTGTGTCCCCACCCAAATCTCAACTTGAATTGTATCTCCCAGAATTCCCACATGTTGCAGGAGGGATCCAGGGGGAGGTAATTGAATCACCCACATGTAGCGGGAGGGACCCAGGGGGAGGTAATTGAATCATGGGGGTCGGTCTTTCCTGTGCTGTTCTTGTCACAGTAAGTCTCACGAGGTCTGATGGGTTTATCAGGGGTTTCCACTTTTGCTTCTTCCTCATTTTTCTCTTGCCGCTGCCAATGTAAGAAGTGCCTTGTGCCTCCCACCATGATTCTGAGGCCTCCACAGCCATGTGGAACTGTAAGTCCAATTAAACTCCTTTTTGCTCACAGTCTCAGGTATGTCTTTTATCAGTGGTATGAAAATGGCCTAATCCAACCTGCTCTGCTGATTCTTACATCTAGGTTATCTTTGTGTTTGTTTCTCTTGACCACGGGTTATATTTTCCTGTTTCTTTGCATGTCTGGTAATTTTATTGTATAGTGGACATCATGGTTTGTATGCTAGGTTTTGCATTCAAAGTAAAGAGTATTGAGTTTTGATACAGCTGCATATTAGCTTACTGTCAGAGCACCCAATGCTTAGGGAGTTTTTGCTTTGTGAATGTGGCTGGTCTGCTCTGTCTCCTGGTGAGTCACAGATTGAGCTTCCTCTGCTTCACCTAGGCAGGCAGCCCATTTAGACAGTCAGCCTCTCTCATAATAAGATAAACAATTATGAGAATGGGTTACTACTTTGTAACAAAACAATTAGGGGAAAATGTTAACTTCCTATGCAATATGTAGCTACATTTGAATTTTGACATGGATTCCTTTTCAACCTTAAAAAAGCCTTAGTTTCCTTTAAACCTCCTTCATTATTAATACCCATGAATTTTTATTCTCAGCATGTGTCATCTAGGGGAAGGCTGTGGATCCCCACCATCTTGCCAGTCTTGGTGGAGGAGCACCTGCCATCACAGTCTGCTGGCCCCTGCCTCTGTTTCTCCCTGATCTCCTACCCCTCTCCTGTTGCTTTTCTTACCCAGGGTTGTCATTATTTTATTATTATTATTATTATTATTATTATTATTATTATTACTACTTGAGACAGAGTCTTGCTCTGTCACCAGGCTGGAGTGCAGTGGCACAATCTCTGCTCACTGCAACCTCTGCCTCCCGGGTTCAAGCGATTCCCCTGCCTCAGCCTCCCGAGTAGCTGGGACTACAGGTGTGCACCACCACACCCGGCTAATTGTTTGTATTTTAATAGAGACGGAGTTTCATCATGTTGGCCAGGATGGTCTCGATCGCCTGACCTCATGATCCACCCACCTTGGCCTCCCAAAGTTCTGGGATTACAGGCGTGAGCCACCGCACCCGGCCGAGTTGTCTTTATTTAGCACCCTCTCTCCTCCCTGACAATCACTTCTTGGTGTAGAAGTTTCTTCTTCATCCATGTCCCGTCAGGCCTTGGATCAGTGCCTGGCAGCATGAGGGGCAGGGGATTTCCACACTTCATTTCTGAAACGTGGATGCTCCACCAGCTGGTGAGCATGTCTACTGCACTTACGTTGCTGAAGGAATTTTATAGCTGCCAAATTCCGTTTCAGTCCTTTCCTTGCTTTCCCAGGGATCCACTTAACAGACTCTCTCCAGCTCTGTTCCTCTTCCAAGGCCCCAAATGTGCCAGATAAAGATAAAATATAATTGTTGGAAAATAGAAAGCAACTCCCATAGTTTTCTCAGACAATTCAAAAGCAAAGATGCCATTTTCCAAGCACTTCTATCTGGCTTTTTGGGGATATATATATGTATATATATATATACATATATATATTCCCCCCCCCGCCCGAAACAGAGTCTTGCTTTGTCACCCAGGCTGGAGTGCAGTGGCGTATTCTCGGCTCACTGCAAGCTCCGCCTCCTGGGTTCACGCCATTCTCCTGCCCCAGCCTCCCGAGTAGCTGGGACTACAGGTACCCACCACTACGCCTGGCTAATTTTGTTTTTGTATTTTTAGTAGAGATGGGGTTTCACCGTGTTAGCCAGGATGGTCTCGATCTTCTGACCTTGTGATCCTCCCACCTTGGCCTCCCAAAGTGCTGGGATTACAGGTTTGAGCCACCGCGCCCAGCCTGGATATTGTCTATTCAGATTGAAAGCCCGCTTCGGTGAGGGAAGTGTGAGCGGGGTATGATGGCAGGAGCACCCTCCACCCCAGCACCCCCTTGTCATCTTCCTTACATCCCTTGCTCTCTCTGTCCTGTGGGCACCTGACCAGCGGCCAGGGAGAAGCCTGCAACAGGGGGAACAACCTTCTCTTCCTTGACTCTTGCAAGGTAGAAAAGAAATGGCTTACACTTGTGGGGGCATCCCAAGGGACTGATCTGAATCTCATAGCTTAGGCATAGCTGACATTAATCTGATCAGGCATGTCTTAATGATTTTTCTAGCAGAGTGGACAAAGCACCCTGAGCCCGCCTCCAGACAGGGACATGTCCAGCACATACCCAGGCAGAGGTGACTTCCATTTATGTTGGTAGTGTGGCCAGTGTCTAATCAGCAGTTAACTCCAGTGCAAAAAGAGTGAAAGCTGGGCAGGCAGGCTCGCATTGTTAACACATGTGCTGCCTATTTAAACTACCTTTAAGGAACCCTTAACCCAAGGAAACAATGGCTGGTGAGCTGGAGTTAACACCAAAATCTCTTTCTTGAAGTATTTATAGCTCCAGGTTCTGTTCTTTGAGAAAAGGGTTTTCTGCAGAAGCTTGAGAAGGTCTTCACTATTGCAAGTGTTCAGCCTCTGCCTTAGCAAGAGAGTTCAGATAGGGATTTTAAATCCATGTGGTTAAACTGAACACATTCTTTTTTTTTTTTTTTTTTTTTTTTAAATTTAAAGACAGGGTCTTGCTCTTGTCACCCAGGCTGGAGCCCAGTAGTTTGATCTCGGCTCACTGCAGCCTCTGTCTCCCAGTTCAAGTGATCCTCCCACTTCAGCCTCCTGAGTAGCTGAGACTACAGGCACACGCCACCACGCCCAGCTAGTTTTTGTATTTTTTATAGAGGTGGGGTTTCACCATGTTGCCCAGACTGGTCTCGATCTCCTGGGCTCAAGTGATTCACCAGCCTTGGCCTCCCAAAGTGCTGGGATTACAGGCACGAGCCACTGTGCCTAGCCTTAAATTGAACAGAATTCAGATTTCATTTGGGGATGGTCTACTCTAAATGGATGTAGAATGGAAAGCCGAGTGCTCTCAGGCTTATGGGGTAGGTTCCAGATTTTCTGGAAAACAAGCTACAGGCTTGAGGTGCTCATGCAAGGCTTGTCCGAGCATCTTCAGTCCCCTCTTCTGCCAGCAGTGGCAGCCCCCGATGTGTCTGCTGTGGCTCATTGGCGTCAATGGACCTTTGGAGGGTCCTGAGCACCACTTTAAAATCCTCCAGGATACTTATCATGATGGCTTTCATTGGCTGAAGCCAGACCAACAGTTTCTGCAGAAAATAATTCAGCACAAACTCCAACCTGGGGACCTGGGAAAGGATTACCCCATCTTCCCATCCATGCAGGCTGACCGGGAGGAGCAGGAGGGAGAACAGCCTGTCCGTGTCTCTCCCTCTTCTGACCTCCTACGCCTGTGACATGCAGTCTGTGCCGTCCATGCAGCGGTGGCCAGGTCGCACTTCTGCGTAGAGTAGGCATGCATGTATGCCATTCTGTGAGTTCTTTGAGGCTTGGACTTCTTGGAGTCCCTACCATCACCTTTGAACATAGTAGAGAATACATTTGTGTATTGCTTTTCTCCTTTTCAAATATTTCTGCTGTTTACCTTGTGGATTGTCATCGTTATCATAAAAGCCTTGTTTGCAAACAAGGGAAGTTTGCAGGGGCATTGCCATAATGTCCCTGATGTATTAAATAGTTCAAGGGTAAGGTGAAACACGTGCCTGATGTTCTGGGTATGTGCATGTATACACAAACACATACCCATCCCCGTGTACCCTTCACCTCAAGAATCATCCTCACCCTTAACCAGTCCTCCCATTCTTTTTCCATACTCCCTTAAAGATGTGGAATTTTTTGAAATTAATAGGCATTTTTTAGAACAGTTGTAGGTTTATAGAAAAATTGAACAGAAAATCCAGAGTCTTCCCGCCCTCCTTCTCATAGTTTCCCTTATTTTAATGTCTTGCATTCATGTGAGACATTTATTGCTGCTGAGCCAATATTGATAACATTATTATTAACTAAAATCAGTAGTTTACATTAGGGCTTATTCTTTATGTTTTACCTTCTATGGGTTTTGCCCAATGTATAGTGACGTGTGCTCACCATTACAGTATCATACAGAATATTTCACTGCCCTAAAACCCCAGTGTGTCTCTTGGAATCCATCCCTCCCTCCCTCATAACCCCTGGCATCCACTGACATTTCTCTATAACCAGTCTCTATAGTTTTGCTGTCCATGGTTTTGCACTTTCTAGAATGTCATATGATTGGAATCATACAGTATGTATGTAGCCTTCAGATTGGCTCTTTTCACCTAGTAATATGCATGTAAGTTTCCTCTCTTTTTGTGGCTTGATAGCTCATTTTTTTTTAGCACTAAATAATACCAGTGTCTGGATGTACCACAGTTTGTTTATCCATTCACCTACAGAAAGACATCTTATTGCTTCCAAGTTTTGACAATTATGAATAAAGCTGCCATAAACATTTACATACAGGTTTTTGTGTGACTTATGTGTTCTACTTATTTAAATTTACTTATATAAATACCAAGTAACAAAATTGCTGGATCGCAAGATGCTGGATCATAAAAGAAGTCATTGGCGGGACCTGGCACCTCCCAGAGCTCTAACAGACTTTGTGTGTTTCTTACCAGGGATGATTACCACGAGGATGGGTTCTGCCAGCCTTACCGGGGAATTGCCTGTGCACGCTTCATTGGCAACCGGACCATTTATGTGGACTCGCTTCAGATGCAGGGGGAGATTGAAAACCGAATCACAGGTAGGAGCTGCAGACCTTTCTCCCAGGATGATAAGCATGCACACAGCCATCTGTCGCACAGATGGTGGCCACTGTGTTTCATCAGTTAATGGCATGGTCAGTGGGTGCCTCTTCCATTTCATTTGTGGTAGAAACCAGAGATCTTTTTTAGAAGTAGTGGCAATTGCTAACATGATTTGCCCTAAAAATGTTCCTGGCCTGTATGTTTAAATTAGCAAGTGTGGGTTGCTTGGAATATACTTCTGCACTTTTAACTCAGCCAAACCGTGTGGGTCCAAAGCACTGTCCTCACTGCAACGCCAGGGCCTCCTGCCCCGGGCCTGCCACACTGGCGCAGATAGCCTCAGCGCCCCCACACTCACTCTGCTTGACTTCTCATTCTGTACTTCCTGACTCTTCTATCCTCTCTGAGCCACGTTTGGTCCAAAGGCACCCAGGCCTGATTGCAGCTGTTTTGGGGAAAGAGTCGCGGGTCATCAGTGGTAGGGATGCTGCAGTGAACACACACTTTGTCAGTCCTGGGTTTCCAGAGAACAAAGCCACGTCTTTGGGTACCTGGTTCAGGGTCTGAGAAAGTGGCAAGTCAATTAGGAACTGCAGCTGCTCATCCTTGGTCTCATTAGGACTTAACTTCTCTGATTGGCTGTCCCAGTTCCCAGCATACAACTCGAACACATTGATGGGGTCCGGGGTCCTTCTTAGGGGAAAGGCCTTGGAAAGGAAGAAAATTAATTAGACAATAGTCCTACAGAGCCCTCCTCCTGCTGTCTCTACTCTCTCCACAAACACATACACATTTTCTCTCCAGATCCCATAAGGAGCAAGACACATCCTGTGCAGATGGCCGGTGCCCCAGCACCTCAGTTTAGTTGGATCCTCTCCATGGGAGCGGGAGGCTCTGCTGCAGATTAGAGTCAGTGGGTGATCTCTGATGCCTGCGCTCCTGGGAGAGTGTGGTGGGGCAAAGGGGATACAGGGCACTGACCTGTTAAGGGGTGACAATGAGGATCCAAGGCAGAAAGTCACCTCATGTCACTGACAAGCCCTTCTAAGTTCAGGTCACCCTCGGACTAGAGAGTCGAACATCACATTCACGGTCACAGAAGAGACTGCCTGGCCCATGTGCTGGTACAGAGACCTCTGAGGACAGGGCCAGGGGGTCCTGTGCAAACTGAAAGAGCCATCATGAGACAGAGAGGAACCTGGAGATGCCATCCTGTTCCAGCGGGAGATGGTTTTGAAAATATGGCTACCTCTCACTGCAAAAGCTTTCTTTGCCATTAAAGTAGGACTTCTCAAAGGTTTTTACCGAAACACACAGTGGAAAATAGAGAATATACTTTACGCCATGACTTAGTGTACACATACATGTATTTCACACAACTGACATAGGTTACAGGGAATAACTTTCACCCTTCGTAAAAGCGGTGCACTTGGATTTTTCTTTTCAGTTTTATTTCATTAAATAAAAAAGTGGCCGGGCACGGTGGCTCACGCCTGTAATCCTAGCACTTTCGGAGGCTGAGGCGGGCAAATCACGAGGTCAGGAGTTCAAGACCAGCCTGACCAACATGGTGAAACCCCATCTCTACTAAAAACACAAAAAATTAGCTGGGCATGGTGGCGGGTGCCTGTAATCCCAGCTACTTGGGAGGCTGAGGCAGAAGAATCACTTAAACCCGAGAGGTGGAAGTTGCAGATCGCGCCACTGCACTCCAGCCCCAGAGACAGAGCAAGACTCTGTCTCAAAAAAAAAAAAAAAAAAAAAAAAAAAAAAAAAAAAAGTTAGAGCCCTTAGTAGGAACCGTGCATTCTGACATCCTCTAGTCTGTTCTTACCATCTTTTAAAATGCTAGCTGCAGACTCTCAGAATTAATTAGACACCCTACTAATTGGCAAGCACTGATCCAGGGCACAAGATTGTCCCTCAGTTATCTCTTCAGGAGTTGTTTAAGGAATCAGCTTGCATCCAAGCAGCCTGGTTTTATAGCATCTTTTAGAGAAGAGTTTAGAATGAAGATTTTCTAGGTGGGTGGCTTTTTGAAAACAGTAAATTTGAAGTTGCTCTCAACAGACTTGTGGTTTTGAAATAAGCATAGTAATGACTGCGTTGTGTGCAGTGTTGTGTTGGAAAGTGTTGTGTGACATTCAGGGTGTGGACAGATAACAGGATGTGAGTTGTTGGATCTCTTTGTGCCTAGAATTGCACTTTCAGAAATAAGCAGTACATTCTCAGGGTGAGGAGAAGGAGAAAGAGAAATCCTATAAAGATCAGCAGAGACATCCTATCAGTGGATTAGCCCAAGAGAAGTGACAGCTTTGGCATTCTTAGACAATCTTTCCCTGCCTGGAGGTCAAGGCCTACCTACATTTTTGACAGCCATCCATATAATCCCAAATCTGTAATGATGGGATTGAACAGGGTTGAAGCCTCAGTTCTTCCTCCAAATCCAAGACATCCTGTACTGTAACTGCTTGCCCTCTCTGTTCCTCCATTTAAATATCGGCCACAGGAACCCAGAGGAGGGGAGGTGATGTGATGAGCACAGTAGTGCCTGCACACAATCAGGACAGCGTGGCTGCTCCCGCCCACTGACGCCGCCTTTTACCAGACCCCTGGGCCCATTCACGCTGAGGGCCACTTTATAGGCTCTGTGTGCACTCTCATTCCCCAGTGTGGGGTCTCAAATCACTCTTCAGGTACAGAAACAGGCCCGGAAAGGCATGAGTGATACCACAAAGTGATCACGCACAAGGCTGTTCCCACACAGCTGCCCATCCCGTTCCTGGGTGGGTTCCCAGGGAATGACTGACAGCGGCACTGCCACCTGCTGGCCAAACCTGGCACAGCACTTACACGCTTTCCTTGCCTGGAGGTCAAGGCCAGCATTCTTGACAGCCCTCTGTATAATCACCAAATAATCGCCAAATCTGTAATGATGGGATTGAACTGCATTCGTGGGTGGAGTTAGGGCTCCTCAGGGACTAAATGCCAGCTTCTGGGTTTTCTGCCACGCTGGAGGACACAGCCTCTGCTGGGTGTGCAGGCAAAGGGGCCTGTCTGCCTCCACTGTCCCCAAGCTCAATTGTTGTAAGCCAGCCTTTCACAGGTGAAAATGGGGTAGTGAGCCCAGGGCAGGCTGATGCATTCCTTAGAGCCCTGCCTTGGCCAGCTTCTTCACCCTTACCAGTGTCCAGCCATGCACCCCAGGTGCAGCAGATCTCTCCCCAACACCCCCACTTTGTTCCCGAACTCACCCCATCTTCTAACCACCAAACTGCATCCTCTGACATCTTGCCCTTAAAAAACAAACCGCCCTACCAAAGGGGGCTCTGGATCTTCGGGTTTTTCTGCTCCCCCTTATCACAGAACCTTCCAGAGTTGTAACGCGGCTCTCCTCCCACTTTGCTGCTCTCACCCTCTTGGCTTTCCGCATTTTACCAACTGTCTCCTCCAGCTGCAGTTCACAGAGCTGAGCTGACTCCCTCTTCCGGGACAGCCTTCTCCCCAGACAGATCTGGGACATTGGGAAGCCTGGGGCTCGGTACTGCACTTCTTGGCCTGCGCTCTCCACACATGGCGGGTCCTTAGGATCTGCTTTTGCATCTGAAGTCTGAACCCTCTTGTCCTGGAAGAAGCACCTAGCGGAGTGAGCTAGGGGGCCGAGTTTTCCTTCTTTCTTGTTCTGCTTCTGATGTTTCTAAGTGAGGCCCTGGGACCAGGGACTTTTCTGTGACTGCTGCAAATCAGAGCAGGTGATGGGCAGGCTGGCCTGCTGGTGGGGAGCCTCTCCAGGGTGGTGTGCGGGGCTCGGGGTTGGGGAGTCTGGGGCGGGGCGGGGCATCAGGGGGCTGAGTGGGCAGTCTGGGATGCCAGGCTGGGGGTGGGGACTGGATGAATGTCAAGGGCGCAAGGTGGGTCCCCCGCTAACGCGAGTCTCGCGGGCTCTGCAGCGGCCTTCACCATGATCGGCACGTCTACGCACCTGTCGGACCAGTGCTCACAGTTCGCCATCCCATCCTTCTGCCACTTCGTGTTTCCTCTGTGCGACGCGCGCTCCCGGACACCCAAGCCGCGTGAGCTGTGCCGCGACGAGTGCGAGGTGCTGGAGAGCGACCTGTGCCGCCAGGAGTACACCATCGCCCGCTCCAACCCGCTCATCCTCATGCGGCTTCAGCTGCCCAAGTGTGAGGCGCTGCCCATGCCTGAGAGCCCCGACGCTGCCAACTGCATGCGCATTGGCATCCCAGCCGAGAGGCTGGGCCGCTGTGAGTGCCCGAGGGCCCGGGGCGGGACCGGGGGGCGCAGGGAGTGTAGGGCCCTTGAAATGTGTATGGGGGTGTCGGTGAAGCCCAGGGAGCCCCATCTGTCCAGGCCCCACAGAACCCCCTTAGCAGCCGAGGGCCCCACAGCCTAGGCCTCCATTCCAGCAGGGCAGCAGGCGGGGCCTCGGATCAGGGGCTTTGGAGCCATTCAGCCCCAGGCTCGCATGTGGGCTTGCACTGTGTCCAGCTGTGGGACTCAGGTGAAGTCCCTCCACCTGCTTGAGCCTGGGATTTCCCTTCTCTGAAATGGGAGTGATCTCACTTCCTGTGGAAATGGCTGTTGCGGGCATGAGAGGAGACAGGGCCAGCTTCCTAACTTGCCCGACGGTCAGCACGCACTCGGGCCGCCAGGCGAAAATGCAGACTCTCAACTCCTGCCCCAACCTCCTGAAACCTGGAGGATCAGTCCCCAGAAACCTGTAGGATCCTTAGCCTTGGATGAATGTGAGGCCCACGGAGATGCTGCAGGACTGGCCTGGGAGGGCACCTGAGAAGAACCTGTAACAATCAGGCATCACTAGGGAAGGAAATACAGGGAAGCACCGTGCACCTTTCTACAGGTCCCTGAATCGTGGGGCCTAAGGGATGAGCGTGGGGGAGGGGGACAGTTCTGAGCCCGGGGCCTGGGTGTGGCCTGTTTGGGGTCTGCACAGGACGAAGAGCATGCTCCCCACTGCCCCTCTTGCTGGCAGCAGCCCCTGCCCTCTGGAGGCTTAGTAAACCCCAAGTTGTGAGCCCCAGCAGGGTGGCCATGGCCAGTCAGGATGGCAGACACAGGACAGGGAGCGCTGCTTATGTCTCCGAGGAAAACCATTGGCTGACATCACTGCATCCATACGGGTTGTTGCCTCCCTGAGGAGTGAGACCTAGGGAACGGGCCACCTCCGCCACAGCTCCGGGGCTGTATTTAGCATCGTTGGCTAATCTGGGGGTCCAGGAATGGCCAGGACTCCTTACCAGGACCAGCCAGGGCCTGGTCCTTGGGCCCGTTGCCTGCATTCAGACCCTCATTGTGACCCTGGACAAGTTGCTAAGCTCTCATATCCTTATATTCCGTGGGGATGACACCAGTACTAACCCGTGGGGCTGAAATGAAGGTCAAATGAGGCAATATTTAGGAAGGTGGTTTTTTTGTTTGTTTTGTTTTTTTGAGACAGAGTCTCACTCTGTCACTGAGGCTGGAGTGCAGTGGCATAATCTTGGCTCACTGCAACCTCCACCTCTCAGGTTCGAGCGATTCCCCTGCCTCAGCCTCCTGAGTAGCTGGGACTACAGGCGTGCGTTACCACATCTGGCTAATTTTTGTATTTTTAGCAGGGACGGAGTTTCACCATGTTGGCCAGGCTGGTCTTGAACTCCTGACCTCAAGTGATCCACCCGCCTTGTTAGCCACGGTGCCCCAGCCAGGAGGGTTTAGAGCAGCGCCCCACACATGGTAAACACTACAGAAATGTTCACCAAATGCACACCCCAACCCCAGGGTTCCTCCATGGAGGTGGCGTGGCCTGCACTGTTCTCACCCATGGCTGAGCAGGGTGTCCTGAGATGGAGGGGCCAGGCCCTTCTTGCTTGCACAGTTGGCTTTCTTCCTAGAGCAAGTTGATCCTGAGGCTGGGGAGACATCCCCATTCTGGTGGGGTGGTGGTGTGCAGGTGCCTCGTGGGTCCCAAGAGATGGTTCTGGGGCTGTGGAATAACTTTAGACAAGTTTCCTTCCCCATGCCTATCCCTGATGTGCCCTGCATTTAATTTGTGGGCTTGGGACTTCATTAAGCCATTACTTTTAATGCCTCTTTTCTGGTAAGTTATGTAAAATCCTTGGATCTTTTGGAAATTCTAGTTTGGGCATGTGTAGGCAGAATGGTTTTGTTGTACCCCGGAGGTTTTCCTAACGTGTTTTCCTTGTTCAGACCATCAGTGCTATAACGGCTCAGGCATGGATTACAGAGGAACGGCAAGCACCACCAAGTCAGGCCACCAGTGCCAGCCGTGGGCCCTGCAGCACCCCCACAGCCACCACCTGTCCAGCACAGACTTCCCTGAGCTTGGAGGGGGGCACGCCTACTGCCGGAACCCCGGAGGCCAGATGGAGGGCCCCTGGTGCTTTACGCAGAATAAAAACGTACGCATGGAACTGTGTGACGTACCCTCGTGTAGTATGTATTCTCTCTCTCTTTTTTTAATGTGTTGATTGTTGAGTGAACCTTGTGATGAGGGCGTTCTGTCCTGACCTGGGTTGGGGTGTGCCTCTGTACGGTGGCGACCAGAGACCCCTGATCTTACCACAGTGACCATTTTAAATAAAGCTGTTGGGCCACGCGTAGTGGCTGATGCCTATAATCCCAGCACTTTGGGAGGCCGAGGTGGGCAGATCACTTGAGGTCAGGAGTTCAAGACCAGCCTGGTCAACATGGTGAAACCCCATAAAAATACAAAAATTAGCCAGGTGCGGTGGCACATGCCTGTAATCCCAGCTACTCAAGAGACTGAGGCAGGAGAATCACTTGAGCCTGGGAAGCGGAGGTTGCAGTGAGCCAAGATTGTGACACTGCACTCCAGCATGGACAGCAGAGTGAGACCCTGTCTCAAAAATAAATAAATAAATAACGCAAGTTATTGGTTGTTATGAAAGTAACATCTGACCATTACAAGACATTTTAAAATATAGAAAAGTCTGAAGAGTAATGTCAGATCACCCCTAATGTTACCACCCAGTAGTGACTTGTTTGCGTTTTGGCCCACCCCCTTCCATCAGCCCTTTTCCCATGTATGGATGGTCCTGGGATATTCACTTTGACATTTTGTTTCTCCATTAACATTATCTCCCAGTGCGGTGGCTCACAACCTGTAATCCCAGTACTTTGGGAGGCCAAGACGGGTGGATCTCTTGAACCCAGGAGCTTGAAACCAGTCTGAGCAACATGGCAAAAACCCGTCTCTACAAAAAATACAAAAATTGTCCAGGCGTGGTGGCACACCTACTTGGGTGGTGGAGGTGGGAGGATTGCTTGAGCCCAGTAGTTCAAGGCTGCAGTGAGCCATCATGGTGCCACTACGCTCCAGTCTAGGCAACAAAACAAGACCTTTTCTCAAAAACAAAAAACAAAAAACACCATTATTGCTCAGTAGTTCCTAATATTCGTAAAAATATTTCCCTTCCACCCACCAGCTTTTGAGCTTTTCACTGCTTCTCAGATTTTACACTTAGGTTTGGTGGAGTGAGGCGAAAATAGAATTCATTGCTTGTCCTCATTCCTTGCAAGTGTGTCTGTAATGTCATGAATATGGAAGCTCACGTGGCTGATGGTTGACAGCTTCGACAGTTCTCACCTCTGTCTTAGTCATGCCCGGTTCACCAGTCCAGGCAGCAGGGTAACCAAGGCTGGGCTGGGAGCTGGAAGCAGCAATTGGTGAATGAGTGGGCACCCGCGGATAAAGAGAGAGCAGCCGGTGAAGCGAGGCTGGGCTCACCATGCACCTGGAGATCTCCTCCTGGGGTGCAGGCCCGCGTGTCTCTACTCCGAAGTGCAGGAAATAAACACTGGCACTAATGACCTTCCTGATGTGTGATTCAGCAGCTCCAGATTTGGCATTGCCTCTGGCTCAGCAGATCAGACACAAATCTTCAAGAATGTGTTCATTATGGGAGAACAAATTTTAAGAATGAAATTATCAGTCATTCAAATTGCGGTCTAGGCACTCTGGAGCACTCCAGACCTTAAAGCTGTCCTGCAATGAAGGATGGCCCTGTGCCCTGTAAGGAACAAAAGCAGGTTGTAGGACAGAACTGTGTTAGAGGTGCTTTTTTGCTTATTGTTTTGTTTCTGGCAAAAGGAAAATGAGTGGGAGTTTGTGTGTGAGCACACACAGGCTCCTGACTTTTACGAGGTTTTGGAAAGATGGATATCAAACTTTTAGCAGTGATTTCCCCAGACCTACAAAAGTGTTCAAATACAAGACTTTTTTTTTTTTTTTTACAGTGAGTAGGAATTACTTTTGTAATTAAAAATAAATCAAAGCATGAAAAAAATGTATGATTTTGGACCAGTCAATTCTTAGAATCTTGTATCGCAGGTTTGTACTTACAGGGCATAAATGGAAGGATATTTATTGCAGAATCACTTGTGAGAGCTAAACATAAAACAGACTGTTTATCAGTAGGGCTGGATGGGGCAGTTGGAGACGCCTGTGCTGTGGAGTGGCATGCAGCTGTGGGAGAACACACATATCTATCTGCTCCAACATGAGCTGCTGTCCAAGAGATTTTATTCTGCCAAAAAAACAGGAGCAGGAAAATATGGATGACACGATTCTATTTAAAATCAAGTTCATTTAGGCCGGGTGTGGTGGCTCACGCCTGTAATCCCAGCACTTTGGGAGGCCAAGGCAGGCGGATCACCTGAGGTCAGGAGTTCAAGACCAGGCTGGCCAACAGTGCAAAACCCTGTCTCTACTAAACATATAAAAATTAGCCAGGCATGGTGGCGGGCGCCTGTAATCCCAGCTAGTCGGGAGGCTAAGGCAGGAGAATCACTTGAACCCAGGGGGCAGAGGTTGCAGTGAACTGAGATCCCACCACTGCCCTCCAGCCTAGGAGATAGAGCGAGACTCCATCTCAAAAATAAATAAATAAACAAACACTCTGTCTCAAAAATAAATAAAATAAAGTTCATTCAACATTCGAATTAAGAAAACCATATAAAACTACTGTGTCTATATGTCAGAATAGTTGAATATCGGTTGTTCCATGTGGTTCAACCTAAAATATACATAAAGTTAGGAGAACACGAAACTTAACCATTTATAGCCTTTGGGAAAGAGGACTGTTAGAAATACTATCTTTTGAAAGGCCACATTTCTGTAATACTACAGTTTTTCCCAGTAAGCATGAGTCATGTTGGTAATGTTAAGTAGATAATAAAAGCAGGTGATGGTGTCAGTGTGAGCTCACACCTCTGGTCTTGGCGTGAGAGTGGCCTGGACTCTCCTGCTAACCTTAATAATGAAAAATGAACCAAACCCTAGTAAAAAAGAATGAATCGGCATCCCCAGTGCCCCGAAGATTTCTGGAACACCTGCCTCAGAACCCTTTCAGAGGGGAAGCTGCTAGGTGGGGCCAGAAGAAAGTTTTGTTTGTGGTTTTACTTGATTTCTTCTTATTTGGGGGAGCAGGGGTGGGGCAAGGCTGGGTTTTGGGACAAGGTGCTTTTTTCCTAAGGTGGCAGTAGCATGTTCACTTTTAGAACCGAGTTAGCTCTTTTAGGCCTCACACTGACCAGAAATCACTTGTTTGCTTCCAGATGAGAAGCGCTTTGCCCCCTGGCCATGGGGCCCTCTAAGTCTGATATAGTTATTTGCAAGGTTAAGGAGAAAACAGAACACCGTGGTTTTCTGGGGATGTGGGAAAGTGGCTCTCTAGAGAACTCACCTTCCACCAGGCTTAGGGTCAGCGTCCTGAAACGGCACCACTTTGTCTTACATTCAATTGCTTTGACGTGTGGGGTGCTTGGGGCCACGCAGCCTGGGAGGAGCCAGCCCTGCCTGGAGTCCTGCTCAGAATCTGAGGTCACCTCAGCCTGCCTGGTGTGCCCCCTGTACCTTTCTGTAAATCCTGTAGAGGGAGACAAAGAGTTACTTTTCCCTGTGATTTAAAAAAAAAAAAAATGCAGGGAAGGTAGCTGGTGGCCTTGAATCTTGGTACCCAGTGCTTTCCAAGAATTCTTGTGCCCCTGTTGCATATTGTATTGGGTCAAGAGCATGGACTACTGGTGCTCTTTTAAATCTAGTGCATGTTTAATTATTACCCTAAAAGAATCTGTCATCATTAGATAAAAATGTGAAGAAAACATTAAAATGTTGAATGAGGAAAAGGATCGTGTCTAATCCCAGTACCAAGTTTCACTCACCTTGGACAAGGGTCTCCAGTGAATTTCATGAACTTGTCAGTAGCTGGGGAGACCTTGATAAAAGTGAAATTGGGCAGAGCACCTATCTCCGATGGTATTCAAACATCAGGAACAGAAAGCGGATGTGGTCGTTATTAAGATCATTAGAATTCATTTACTTTTTATACTGCATATTCCCGCTTGTTTCCAGGTTGGGCAGTTTTGGGTTTTGTTTCCCCAGGATGCAGCCGGGTGTGCATTTTTTGGTGCATCATGTTTTTTAAGGTGTGGTGTGCCCTTTTACCCCATTGTGTAACTTAGGTGATGACACACGTGCACGTGAAGATTTTGGCTGGAGGTGGAGAGTGGGTTGGTAGAGAACTTAGAGTAGAAAAGGGATGTTTTCTGAAAAATCACGAAAGCCTTATTGTTCACAGGTCCCCGAGACAGCAGCAAGATGGGGATTCTGTACATCTTGGTCCCCAGCATCGCAATTCCACTGGTCATCGCTTGCCTTTTCTTCTTGGTTTGCATGTGCCGGAATAAGCAGAAGGCATCTGCGTCCACACCGCAGCGGCGACAGCTGATGGCCTCGCCCAGCCAAGACATGGAAATGCCCCTCATTAACCAGCACAAACAGGTCTCCATGCCTTACATTTTCTACCCGGGTGGCTCTTCCAGGTTTAATCCTCAGGGGTTGTTTCCCCCAACATTAAATGTCTTAATTTACTTGATACATAGCACATAATTATTTTAAACTCCGCTTCATTTTGCCATTTTTTTTTTCTGTAAACTAGATCAGGACATGTGTGCTTTAGAAAATAAATGGCAGGCGTGTTGGGAATTCACTGCCCCAGAGTCCATGGGCCTCCTTCTGCCTGGACCATGCTGCCCCTGTGGGCCCCAGCGAGTGTCCTCACTGTCCAGGTGCCTCAGCTCTGCCCAGAAGACACACAAGAACAACAGGGCTCCAATGCTCCCCATAATTTTTCTTGACACTTTTGGGTTGGGTTGGTTTTGCTTTGTTTTGTTTACAGGGAAGGATAGGAGAATAGCTCTTAAATGGGAGTAGGTGGACAGGCTACCACTAAAAGGCCACCCCTCATCCCAGAGCAGCCTTAGATGGGGGTGGGGCACTGAAATACAACAGATGAGAACATGTGCTGCAGCCTCTCCAGGTTGTGTTGTAAAAGGGCATTTACACTCATTGCAAGCCGTAGGTAACATCATTCTCAGCCAGCTTTGCAGGGGCTCTTCAAGGTGGCCAGGAGGGAGCTGATGCACTTGGCTCTTCAGTCCCAGAGTCGGTGAGAGTTTGCTATGGGCAGGGGCTGGCCAGCGAGGAGGGCACAGAGCCCCGGGGCTTGCACGGAGGCCCAGGAACCTCTGGGGAGGATGAGGGCTGGCCACACGGGAGGAGCTGGTGTCATAGAGGCCGAGAGAGATGCAGGGTTCTCAGGGCTCCTATCACCTGTGGGGTACTCTTTCCAGGAACATGTTTAACAGAGACCCTAGTCAAGAGGCCCATGGACAGGCCCATTGAGGGAACCTCTGTAGAACAACTGGCTTGGACTCTTATAAGTGACAAAATTGCCAAGACAAAAATGTCGTGGGAAAGCCTCTGTGGGGTCCATGAGAAAAAGACATCACATCTCACGTGATGTGTCGGCACACATGGGGGTTGGAGGGAACCTGGCAGGGTATGTCCGGGGCAGCCCCAGGGCAGCTGGTGCCTGGGCCTGGCTGTAGGGTGTGTGTGTGTGTCCACACATGCACAAGTGGGAAGGAAGTCAGTGTGTCCCAGCTGGATTTTGGAGGGACCTTATTTGTAGCCTGGTTGGGATCTGTGGAAGATTGCAGATGGGAAGCAACCTTGGCATCAGAGCCGTATTTAAGGTTAACTAGAGAGCTGTGGGTGGGCAGGCCAAGGCTGGGTGGGCAAAACCAGCGGGTCTTCTGCAAGGCCCCCCTAGTCGTGGCCGCACAGGGACTCCACTCCTCCCGGCTGCTCTGCAGCTTCCTCCAGGGCTGCGGTGACAGTGATGTTTCACGTGGGGCTTTTCTTCTTGACAGGCCAAACTCAAAGAGATCAGCCTGTCTGCGGTGAGGTTCATGGAGGAGCTGGGAGAGGACCGGTTTGGGAAAGTCTACAAAGGTCACCTGTTCGGCCCTGCCCCGGGGGAGCAGACCCAGGCTGTGGCCATCAAAACGCTGAAGGACAAAGCGGAGGGGCCCCTGCGGGAGGAGTTCCGGCATGAGGCTATGCTGCGAGCACGGCTGCAACACCCCAACGTCGTCTGCCTGCTGGGCGTGGTGACCAAGGACCAGCCCCTGAGCATGATCTTCAGCTACTGTTCGCACGGCGACCTCCACGAATTCCTGGTCATGCGCTCGCCGCACTCGGACGTGGGCAGCACCGATGATGACCGCACGGTGAAGTCCGCCCTGGAGCCCCCCGACTTCGTGCACCTTGTGGCACAGATCGCGGCGGGGATGGAGTACCTATCCAGCCACCACGTGGTTCACAAGGACCTGGCCACCCGCAATGTGCTAGTGTACGACAAGCTGAACGTGAAGATCTCAGACTTGGGCCTCTTCCGAGAGGTGTATGCCGCCGATTACTACAAGCTGCTGGGGAACTCGCTGCTGCCTATCCGCTGGATGGCCCCAGAGGCCATCATGTACGGCAAGTTCTCCATCGACTCAGACATCTGGTCCTACGGTGTGGTCCTGTGGGAGGTCTTCAGCTACGGCCTGCAGCCCTACTGCGGGTACTCCAACCAGGATGTGGTGGAGATGATCCGGAACCGGCAGGTGCTGCCTTGCCCCGATGACTGTCCCGCCTGGGTGTATGCCCTCATGATCGAGTGCTGGAACGAGTTCCCCAGCCGGCGGCCCCGCTTCAAGGACATCCACAGCCGGCTCCGAGCCTGGGGCAACCTTTCCAACTACAACAGCTCGGCGCAGACCTCGGGGGCCAGCAACACCACGCAGACCAGCTCCCTGAGCACCAGCCCAGTGAGCAATGTGAGCAACGCCCGCTACGTGGGGCCCAAGCAGAAGGCCCCGCCCTTCCCACAGCCCCAGTTCATCCCCATGAAGGGCCAGATCAGACCCATGGTGCCCCCGCCGCAGCTCTACGTCCCCGTCAACGGCTACCAGCCGGTGCCGGCCTATGGGGCCTACCTGCCCAACTTCTACCCGGTGCAGATCCCAATGCAGATGGCCCCGCAGCAGGTGCCTCCTCAGATGGTCCCCAAGCCCAGCTCACACCACAGTGGCAGTGGCTCCACCAGCACAGGCTACGTCACCACGGCCCCCTCCAACACATCCATGGCAGACAGGGCAGCCCTGCTCTCAGAGGGCGCTGATGACACACAGAACGCCCCAGAAGATGGGGCCCAGAGCACCGTGCAGGAAGCAGAGGAGGAGGAGGAAGGCTCTGTCCCAGAGACTGAGCTGCTGGGGGACTGTGACACTCTGCAGGTGGACGAGGCCCAAGTCCAGCTGGAAGCTTGAGTGGCACCAGGGCCCGGGGTTCGGGGATAGAAGCCCCGCCGAGACCCCACAGGGACCTCAGTCACCTTTGAGAAGACACCATACTCAGCAATCACAAGAGCCCGCCGGCCAGTGGGCTTGTTTGCAGACTGGGTGAGGTGGAGCCCTGCTCCTCTCTGTCCTCTGACACAGAGAGCTGCCCTGCCTAGGAGCACCCAAGCCAGGCAGGGGGTCTGGCAGCACGGCGTCCTGGGGAGCAGGACACATGGTCATCCCCAGGGCTGTATACATTGATTCTGGTGGTAGACTGGTAGTGAGCAGCAAATGCCTTTCAAGAAAATAGGTGGCAGCTTCACTCCATGTCATATATGGAGTGAATATTTCAAAACGTTGGGAATAAGGGCCTGCAAAAGGCAGCGAGGAGGCACCTCGGGTCTTGAGGTTCCTGACAACCGATCTGGTCTGTTGGTTTGAGGATGAAGGGGCTCCATTTCTGCTGCCTCCCTGCTGAGAATATTCTCCCTTTAGCAGCCAAAGATTCGCTGGAACGGAGGCTGCCCTCTGCTGCCTGTTGGGGTCGGAAGACAAGGGGCTTCTGAAATGGGAGTTCCTGAGATACAACAAAATGTGTGCCTTCAAAGAAACTGACAGCTTTGTATTTGGTGAAATGGTTTTAATTATACTCCATGTGTATTTTGCCCACTTTTTTTGGGAATTCAAGGGAAAGTGTTTCTTGGGTTTGGAATGTTCAGAGGAAGCAGTATTGTACAGAACACGGTATTGTTATTTTTGTTAAGAATCATGTACAGAGCTTAAATGTAATTTATATGTTTTTAATATGCCATTTTCATTGAAGTATTTTGGTCTTAAGATGACTTTAGTAATTTAACTGTTTATGTTACCCACGTTGGGATCCAGTTGGTCTTGGTTTGCTTCTCTCTGTACCACGTGCACATGAGGTCCATTCATTTTACAGCCCCTGTTACACACAGACCCACAGGCAGCCGTCTGTGCCCCGCACACATTGTTGGTCCTATTTGTAAATCCCACACCCGGTGTATCCAATAAAGTGAAACAAAGCATGTGATTGGCTCTCTTGCAGGTTGTAAGGATGCGAGGCAGCGGGAGGCAGTGCTGGATGACGGAGACGCCAAACGGTGATGATTTGAGCTGAGCCCTTTCTGTGGGTTTGGGAGGTTTGCCCTGAGCCAGGAGCCCCATGCTAATGGGGATATCCCTTGGCAGATAAATGATGGAACTAGCTCCGTGGCTTCTCTCTGTTAAGGTCTCCAATGCAGGTTAGTTAATTGCAGATGGTGTGAAGATGGTCTTTGGTTTTAATCTCATCCCCTCCTGAGGTCCCAGAGCCCCTGACATTGTTAAACCTGGAGCCTGGCACTTCTGGGGGCCCTGGAGCAGCAGGGCTGAGTTCAAGGGAGGGGGTGAAAGAGAATGGGCCTCCTTCATGGGCTGCCTGCATCCCCTGCTCTATCTGTGGTGCAGTTGGCTAGTCCAAGGTACACCTGGGTCTGAGCACAGCTGTTATAGGGTGACCTGGGGAGCAGTGGCTTCAGAGCTTCCAGTATTAACTGGTGTGGGGAGAGAGTATGCAGAGACTCAGGTGTAGCAAGTCCCCTCACTTGGAGTAGATCATCAAACTGACCATGTCGACCTGAACCTTATCTTGTCATAGGGGAGAAATCTTTTTCTTTTCTTTTTCCTTTTTTTTTTTTTTTTTAAGACAGAGTCTTGCTCTGTTGCCAGGCTGGAATGCAGTGGCATGATCTTAGCTCACTGCAACCTCCACCTCCCGGGTTGAAGTGATTCTCCTGCCTCAGCCTCCCCAGTAGCTGGGACTACTTGCACGTGCCACCACGCCCAGCTAATTTTTGTATTTTTAGTAGAGACGGGGTTTCACTGTGTTAGCCAGGATGGTCTCGATCTCCTGACCTCGTGATCCACCTGCCTCGGCCTCCCAAAGTGCTGGGATTACAGGCGTGAGCCACTGTGGTAACATCTTTTTCTAACCCACTGCAAGGCTCATGGCTGAGGCCCCTGTAACAAAAGACAGCTTAACGAGAAAAGCCTCAAGCAACCCAAAGAAGCAGGGAAGCCTGTGTATTTCCATACTAAGTTTGGTGGAGTGGACAGGCAGGCAGAAGTGTGGTTGGACAAAGGGATGTGACCAATGGCAATAGACCGGGGTGGGGCCGGGTAGGGGCTTGTTTGCAGGCTTGTTTGTTCAGATTCTTTTCTTTGTCCCTGTATCTTCAGAGATAAGGAGCTTCCCTTCCTCTGGGTAGAGGGAGGGCACCTCTGGAATGAGGGTTTTATGGCCTGTCTGGGAGGAGAAGGGCGGGAGAAGGTCAGAGAGACCTTCCTGATTCTGTGGCTTCCTCAAATGCCAGGTGCCACGTTTTGGGGGATCATGTCCTGACCCCATCACTGTCCTCCCCTGGTTTGCGCATAGCGCTGCTCACAGAAGATTCACCCACACACAAATAAACACAGAGTTCTAATGTGCATCCTAAAAAGTCAGGATGGACCCTCCCTTCTCAGCAGAAGGAAGAAATGTGATTAGACTAAGGATTCAGAGCACCTCTCCCGGCCAGTGCGGTCTGGATTGAATAGTAAAAAAGCTCGCGGTGAAATGGAGTTACTTCTCATTTCCACTGAGCTGAAAGAGGAACTTACTTTTATCTCGAATTTGGTACACCTGATGGCTTAACTGTTCTATTGAGACCTGAGAGTGAAAAATGGGAAATAACCCCCCTGTGGCTGCTTTCTCCACAAGCAGTTGACCATCACCCTGCCCTGCCAGAATTAACCCCCAGGCAACTGACAGTGCCGCAGAACTACAGCTGCAGAGATTCTGCTGAAAAACGTTCGGAGGTTTATTTTTACAGAGTGGGGGAGATTTTGGTTTGGGGATTTTGAACATCTCTGTGTGTTACCATCATTTTAATTGTAAAATCTTGATGCATCATAAGATTACTGAGTGTTTAAAGTTCCTGCAGTTGAATAATAGCGACTTGGTTGGGATGTTCCAGAACAATTGATTCTAGAGCTGAGATGCATGATTCAGATACTAGTAACGTGCCTGTCCTTGTTCATACCCACACAACAGGGAAGTTTTCACAGCTATTAAGTCACTTAAACATGATTTTTAATCCAGCCATATGAACTCACAAATGCCTTTGCACTCCTTATATTTTTTGATCATCATTGTTGCAACAGTCTGTCAGAGCACTGGATACATTTTTCTCTACTGATGTAGGGTGCGTGACTACTCCAGTATATAAGAGCTTCCAACTGACTCAGGAAAATCCCTTGGTTCTCCCAACATGGAAACACTGTTTAAAAACTCAATTCAGGTTTAGTTTGACCTCACAATTGCACACTGATCACTATTTTTGGACAGTTTGTGATCTGATGTTTAAAATAAATCTTGCACAGGCATTGGTTTTATGTGTTTCCTACGGGAATATCTAAAATCCTTTTTGAGATGAACTTTGAAAAGGGGGTTGTGTCAAAGTCAGTGTGCTTCAAAGTGAGATCTCTGACCCTCTCCTCGCCACAGTCAGTCCACACGAACTTCCCAAGATCAATTCTCCTCCCACCCCACACACTTTCCTCCCTCATCATTCCCCAAAGTAGTAGAGATTGCAAGTATTTCTTGGCCTGGCTCTTAGTGGGTGCCCAATAATTGGCTCTTGAAATAAAAGAGTAATGCTCTATTTAGGGAGAGAAGGCCTGGGTGTAGGTTTACCTGATACCAGCTGCAAAGAAGGACATAGCCTCGTTGTCTTTACAGTGTCGCGTTCCTTTTTCATTTAACTTATTAATTATTGAGTAGCTGATGTAGTCCCATAGTTTAAAGATACCAAGGGAAGTTCCATCCCTCATTTGCCCAGATTTCCCTCCACCCTCCCCCTACAAGTAACTGCTGTTAACTGTTTCTGAGGGATCTTCCCAGAGTTCCTTTATACATACGTAAGTCAATATACACGTATGTTCTTCTAGTTCTTCCTTTGACTTTTTTACACAAGTGGTAACTTTCTCTACAACTTGTTTTCTGCCTTGCTCTTTTCACTGGACAGTGTGTTTTGGTGACCTCAGCTTGTTAGTGGTAGGGAGCTCTGGTTCATTAGTATTCTGTGCTAGGGGTGGAGGGAACTTGGTTGAACCCATTGCTCACTGCCGCTGCGGAGTCTGCAAGTGTGACTGCTGGAGACATCCCCAGAGTGGCTTTGCTGGGGAATGAGCTGCCAATCATCAGTGCCACAGTGCCCTCCGTGGGGCTCGGCCAGTGCACCCAGCCACCAAGACACCTGAGAGTGCTGGCTCCCCCAGCCCTGGAATGCTGTTCACATCTCTGCCCAGGGCAGCTGCCCATGAAGGGCCTGGGGACACATAGCTCAACTCTCATGCAGGCTTTTAGAAAGACAGGGCAAGTTGGCATCTTAAGCTCATTGTTTTTTACACTAATTTGTCCTGTTCATGCTCCTTCTCAGTCAGCTTTTCAGTGAAAATGTTGCCCAGAGGCAGAGAGGTGTATCAAACCATCCACTGGGCATTGGAAGGCCCTTGGGCATCTGCAAGTACCCAGGGGAGGCACCAGAAGAAAGTGACTATATCTCTGGAACTTCAGAAGCCAACTGTCACACCCCTCTAGGATGGCAGCTACAAGCCGCGCCCCACACCCAGGATGGCAGCTACAGCACCCCACAGGATGGCAACTTTAACCCCTCCCAGGCAGCTACAACCCCCCCCCCCCGCCAGAATGGCAGCTACAACCTCCCCAAGATGGCAGCTACAACCTCCCCAGGATGGCAGCTATAACCTCTCCCAGGATGGCAGCTACAACTTCTCCCAGGATGGCAGCTACAACCCTCCCAGGATGGCAGCTATAAACCACCCCCAGGATGGCAGCTACCACCGCCCCCAAGATGGCAGCAACAATCCCCCCAAAATGGCAGCTACAACCTCCTCGCCCAGGATGGCAGCTACAACCACCTCGAGGATGGCAGCTACAAGTCCCCTGGTAGGGCAGCTACAACTTCCACAGGACAGCAGCTACAACCCCCCCCCCCCGCCCCAGGATGGCAGCTACAACTCCCCCAGGATGGCAGCTGTAACCCCCCAGGATGGTAGCTACAACCCCCACCAGGATGGCAACTACAACTTCCCCCCCAGGGTGGCAGCTATAACTCCCCCAGGATGGCAGCTACTTCCCCTCCCAGGATGGCAGCTACAACCCCCGCAGGACGGCAGCAACAACCTCCGCCCACAGGGCAACTATCACTCCCCCCAAGATGTCCCAGCCCTGCCCTTTCATTGCTGCAGTCCACCAGGGGCTAACTCCAGATGGACTGGGGTGCCTACGTGAACGATACTTGATGAGTCAAAGTGGAGGCGGTGTCTGGGAAGGGAGAGGGGTCCAGACAGGTGGAGGGAATCCAGGAGGCAGGGAGGCAGTGGCTTCTCCAGCTCCTCCTGCCCATTGGTGCCAGCTCTGTGTTCTCTCCATGGCACTGCCTGCTCCTGTACGGTATCTGACAAGGCCGCCTTTCCATCCTTATTGCCTTATCCGCACAAGCATTTTTCTACATTCCACTAGCTGTCTAATATGGCTTTTCTTTTCCTAGTTTTGAAAAATCATCTTTTTGTCTCTCTTTTTTTTTTTTTTTAACTGCATTTTGATTGTCTCCTCACCACGGTGGTGTCTTTACAGGAAAACTGCACTAAAGCCACCTGTTTTGGGGGAAAGCCAGTGTAAACTAATAAGAATGTGGAACCATAGCATTTTGTTCAGAAAATTCACCATTACTTTCAGATACACAAAATAATTCAAATTAGGCTACAGGAGCCAAAGACTAACATGCGGATTGCCTGGAATATTATTAGTGTTCCCGAAGCATCCTCCTGCTTCTATTATTTCTATTCTCAACTTGCTTGGCAAAGCTTTTCCCATAAATAATGCAAAGGGATACTGCAGCCACAGCACGGAACTAACACGGGCCAGTGTCAGATGGACCGACAGGGTGGGAACAGATGGGTGCACGGACCTGCGGTGCTCTTGAAATCTGGCTGTTGCCTCGTTTGACTTTTCTTATGTGCTGCGACCTCACACTTCTTACCCTGGGAGACCCACAACATTTTTTAGCAATGAGTTCCAGGCCCCACGGCAGGCTCTTCTGGTCCCTTCAGGTAGAAATCTTGGGGCTCAGTTAGTGTCCCCTGGTTGTGTTACAGAAGACTGAGTCCCCACTTCATATTTTAACAGCTTTGTTGTGGCATAATGTGTCTGGAGTTGGTTCCTGCCGGTGGGTTCGTGGTCTCGCTGACTTCAAGGATGAAGCCACCGACTTTCGCGGTGAGTTTTTCCAGCTCTTAAAGATGGTACGGGCCCAGACAGTGAGAAGCGGCAAGGTTTATTGTGAACAACGAAAGAACAAAGCTTCCATAGTGTGGAAGGGGACCCGAGCGGTTGCCGCTGCTGGCTAGGAGATGGCCAGCTTTTATTCCCATATTTGCCCCCCTCTCATGTTCCCTTTCTGTCCTATCAGAGTGCCTTTTTTTCAGTCTTCTGCACGATTGGCTACTTTTAGAATCCTGCTGATTGGTGCATTTTACAGAGCAGTGATTGGTGCATTTTACAGAGCGCTGATTGGTGTGTTTTACAGAGTGCTGATTGGTGCATTTTACAATCTTCTTGCTAGCTAGAGCACTGATTGGTGCGTTTTTACAGAGTGCTGATTGGTGCATCATTTTACAATCCCCTTGCTAGGTACAGAGCACTGATTGGTGCATTTTTACAGAGCGCTGATTGGTGCATGTTACAATTCTCTTGTAAGAAAAGTTCTCCAAGTCTCCACTCAACTCAAGTCCAGCTGGCTTCGCCTCTCAATAATTTACTTGCGTAAAATTCACTCATTCTAGGTGTCAATTCAGTGATTTTTTAGTCCATTTGCAGAGTGTGCAGCCTTCTCCCCAGTCTAATTTCAGAGCATTTCCATTATCCTGCAAGGGTCCCTCATGCTTGTCAGCCCCAGGCAACCTGTTCTGCTTCCTGTCTCTATGGATTTGCCTTTTCTGGACATTTCATATTAATGGAACCATAGAATATGTAGTATTTGCCTCTGGCTTCTTTCACTGAGCAGAAAGTTTTCAAGTTTCATCCATGGTGTACAGAGCGAGACTCCATCTCAAAAAAAAAAGTCCTTTTTTTTTGCTGCATAGTATTCCATTGTAAAGATATACCACACTGTTCATCCATTCATCCATCCATGGACATTTGAATTTTTCTAGTTTGGGGCTATTGTGAATAATGTTACTGTGAACATTTGCATACATTCATGTGTGGACATATGTTTTCACTTCTCTTGGGTCGATTCCTAGGAGTGAAATCACTGAGTCGTATAGTAAATCGTTGATTTTTGTTTTTGAAACAGGGTCTCACTCTCTCACCCAGGCTGGAGTGCAGTGGTGCAAACACAGCTCTCTGTACCCTCAATCTCCTGTGCTCAAGGGATCTTCCTGCTTCAGCCTCCTGAGTAGCTGGCACTACGGGCCCATGCCACCATGCCTGGCTAATTTTTTTTTTTTTTTTTTTTTTGTGGAGATGGGATTTCACCATGTTGCCCAGGCTCATCTCAAATTGCTAAGCTCAAGGAATTCTCCCACCTCTGCCTCCCAAAGTGCTGGGATTACAGGCATGGGCCACCACACCCGGCATTTGTTATCTTTTTAAGAAACTTCCAAACTATTTTCCATAGTGGCTGCACCATTTCACCTTCCCACCAGCAATGAATGAGGCCTCCAGTTTCTTCACATCCTCACCAGCACTGGTTATTATCTGCCTTATGTACTGTATATATAGCCATCTCAGTGGGTGTGGAATGAGAGCCATGTACTTTTAAGAATATCTGAGGAAAACATTACTTAGATGAAAGGATTGCAGTCACAGAGAAAGTTCTATGAATAGTTTATGAATTCTCATCAAATGCCCTTCATTTATTTATTTGTCCACACAGCCATTCAACAAATGCTTCTTGGGCACAGGCTGGGTTCAGTGGTGAACAAGCTGGGGAACACCATCCCTACTCTCTGGAGGCAGGTTATTAAACAGGAAATACTGTAAAAAACAAAACAAAACAAAACAAAAAACAAAAACAAAAAACAGAATAGGTCTTCCTGAGAAAGCAGTATTTGCTGAGTGATGCCTCAGCCAGAGCGCAGCTGTGGCAGCTGATGAGGCCCACGCTCATAGCATTAGATAAAGGGCGAAAGCCTGCCGCCTCCATCGTGGGCACACCAGGACATCTGGTACCTGCGTTCCTCTGCAGCTTGTGATTCCCAGTGGCTGCACTCTTTCTTTGGAGGCAGAGCTCTTCCTTCACCTGAAGACTCTATCTTTCCTCAGTCGCAGAGCCCAAGACCCCCACGGTTCTGCCAAGACCCTCATAGTTCTGCCTGGGAACTTGGGTTGGGAAAAAAAAAATCACTAACCTACATTTCATTCAGAACTGCGATGTAGCATTTCCCTTATTATACACATAGGGAAAAAACCCAGAGACGTATTGCTATTATGGGTGGCTGGTCGCCACTAAACACTGGTTATTTTCATGTCACTTTGCAGTTGTGGCCGATACTAGAAATTCTATTTCGCTCATCACTGCTTGACAATAACACACATTATTGGGCCCGCTGCAAAATCTTGTTATTGAGTTAATACAGAAGCACACAAATGATAACACATCCCAATGTTATTTTTTAAATATTTTGATAATTTTAATATTAGATGTTATCTTTGAAGTTTGTGTTTTATTTTTTGTGTTATGAAATTATACCCTGAGAAGAGACCCAAGTCCAAATGGGTCCAAGGTGCAGAAAAGGTTAGGGGCCCTGGAATGACCTGTCTTCCTCTGGGACCACTCCCCCGCATGCTGGAACCCCCGGGCGGGCGCGGGTCCTTAGCTCAGGTCCTCCCTTCATACGCTCGCTACGGCTCCGCCTCCTCCTGGCCTCGGGCGTGCTCCAGACCTCCCCGCAGGCGCCTCCCCGCCCACCCCTGGCTCCTCGCCCTACCCAGTTGGGTCCGGCGAGAGGGAGGGGTCCGGCGAGAGGGAGGGGTCCGGCGAGAGGGAGGGGTCCGGCGAGAGGGAGGGGTCCGGCGAGAGGGAGGGAGGTCTCTCTATCGACCTACAGTTCTCATTCTGTTTTGCCAAGTGTACGCCAAGAAGGACATGGCGCCGCGTAAAAGCAGGAACGACGTCTCCTGGGCTGAACAGGAGCACAAACTGTTCTGAAAGGGTTTTTTTTTTTTTTTTTTTCGGAGTAAATGTTGATTCGCTGCTGTTCTTGCTTGGGAGCTGGTGCCTGTCTGCTGTGCTCGCGGGCTCTGAATTTTTAATTTTAAAATTAAAAATATTTAAATTTTAATTTAACTTTAAAATTGAAGTTTAATTTTTTAAAAAATATTTTTTAATTTCAAAAATTTAATTTTTTTATAATTTCAGGTAAATTTTCTTCAAGTTTTAATAACGCAGTAAGAGTAAACTTCTAGTTACCTAAAATAGTTTTCAATGTGAACTTCATTCGCTTAACATAAATGTTACGTTTCTCTCCTACAAAATACAATTGACCATGTTCACAAGGGTTCTCTTTCTTTTTTCCCTAAAAGTAATTTTAGTTCACAGCCAGAAAAAGGTCCTTCAGTTTAAGAAGGGGGGGGGGGGGTAGCATAAATACCAGTCCCTGGACAAATGTGTGTGTCGAGGTACGTGAAAGCCACAGATGGAGAAAGTCAGTCCCCACCTGCGAAGGTGGCATCGTGGGAGGTGAGGTCCCTAAGGCAGGGTTTCTCCCTCTTGTGTTCACTGCTGGTCCCCAGCACAGAGAGGCGCTCCATAAATAATTGTTCCCACACACAGATACACACTCATATACACATATACTATACACACACCACGTTCCATACACACTACACATATTCATATATAAGAGCTGCTCTCTGCTGGCACGGAGGTCCATGGACGGGGTGGGAGGAGACTCACGTGTTGTGGGGGCTCCCTCTCTAAGGCAAGTGGTCCCATAAAAGCGAGCAACGCTTTTCTTTTTTAATTTCAGGTAAATTTTCTTCGAGTTTTAGTTATTATGCAGTAAGAGTAAACTTCTAGTTACCTAAAATAGTTTTCAATGTGAACTTCATTAGTTTAACATAACTGTTACATTTCTTTCCTACAAGATACAATTGACCATGTTTACAAGGGAAAGTGATCTGGTAAAAGCTGGCTTTATTATGTGGGTTCTATAAATATGCAAACTCATTGCACATGTAGTGTTCCCTTTTAACAAATTGTATTAACTTGATTATCCCTTCGGGATTTTTTTTTTTTTTTTTTGCTGAAATAACCTAGTCTATATAAAAACCCAATCTCTTCCTTGTATGTGCAAGAAAACTAAAGTGCTTATTAGGAAAGCTGCGTGTTTAATATACTGTGGCCAACACGATTATTTGGAACAGCATTTTTTGGTTAAATTGTGGGTGAAATGCTCTATCCCAAATGCAGACATGCGGTATTAGAGACTAGACCACAGAAATCCCGATGGTCAAACTGATCCGATGTGAGATTATTAGATTAACCTGGACCACAGATGGAGATCTCAGTCTGCTGGAGGCCTGGTGCTATTCTGGGCACAGGGATGGGGCAGAGAACCAAACAGACACATGAAGGGAAGGGAAGTACATTCTACAGGGTTGGGAAGCTCAGTTCCCTGAGGAAAACGCAGCTGGTGAGGGGGATTCCTTGGCCTGAGTGGGTAGTTTAAAGAGTCTGGTCGGAAAGCCTTTCCACTAGTCATCAACTGTGCCTCTAAAAATCACTGTAACTAAGAATCATCTAAAAAGGTGTCTGCACCTGAACCCGGTGATGGCTTCTTCATCCTCTTTAACTGCAAACAAAAATGTGCAGGCTACAGCAGCACAGGCAGCTTATTTGCCAAGAGAGTGTAACATAAAACTGAGAAAGTCACTCTCATTATTTAAAAAAAAAATGCATCTCTGAAAACTGTAACTTCCCAGTTAGTGAAGTTAGGATCTCAGGATCATAGAAAGCGGGAAAAATGACTGGTGGTGAGTCATTTGGATTTGTATGGGAGACAAGAAGCCACTCTTAATCCACATGATTAGCCACACCGGAACCCTTAATTGTCCTTCAAGCAGAAATGAAGGAACTGGGAGAAATGCCACTAGAAAATGAATTCTAATTAATTCATTCATCCAGATCCTTCTCTCTTTTCCCTAAAAATAATTCTAGTCACAGCCAGAAAAAAGGGCAGGAAAGCAGTTTAAAGTGGGGGGTGTAAATACCAATCGGTGGAGAAACCTGCGTGTTGAGGCATTCTCAGAGTGAAAGCCACAAATGGAGGAAGTTGGTCCCCAACTGCGAATGGCATCATGGGAGGTGACGTCCCCAGAGCAGGGTTTCCCCCTCTCTTGTGTTCACTGCTGGTGAAGAGCGTAGGTGCTCCATAAATAATTGTCCCCACACACATACACAGATACTCATACACATACACCACACACACAATTTCACACACACCACACATACCACACACACACCCATACACATACACCACACACACACCCCACACACATTCCACACATACCCATACACATACACACCACACACATTCCACACAGACACCACACATACCACACACACACCCATACACATACACCACACACACAACCCACACATATTCCACACATACCCATACACATACACACCACACATACACATACACCACACACACCCACACCCACACACACGTTCCACACACACCACACACACTCATACACACACACCACACATACACCACACACACCACACACTCATACACACTGCACACACCCACACCCCCACACACATTCCACACACACCACACACACTTACACACCACACACACCTTCAGCACCATACAGACTCATACACACATACACCACACACAGACACGTATTCTGCAAACACCACACACATTCACACACACACCATATACACATTCACATGCACACTTATACACACACACCACACACACCACACACATCTTGCACACACCACACACATACACACCACATCAACCCACACCACACACACACTACACACACACACCTCATATACCAGAGACACATACATAACATATACACACCACACATTTCACACATACCATACACACCGCTCACATATCACACACGCCACATACACATCACAGATAACACACACACCTTGCACACCTCGCACACAAATTACACACACACACCACACATACAGCACACACATGTGCACACACACAAACACTCCAGAAACACCACACATCACATACACAACTCACACACCATCCACACATACACCACACACCTCACACAACCTCACACATACCACAAACACCACACACACACCTCACATACCACACACATACACCACACACATCACACACCACACACCGCAAACATGCACCACACACACACCTCACATACTACACACATCACACACACCATACACATACACTCCACACACATATCACATACATACACTCCACAAACACCAAACACACACCTCACACACACACACCACACACAAACACATACACACCATACACACCTCACACAAAAACACACATCACACAAACATACATATATACATACATTCCACACACAAACCAAACACATCATATACACAAATGCACATACACAGCACATATACCACACACACACAAACCACACAACACACACACACCAGACAAACCCTACACACACCACCCACACATCACACACCACACACCACACACACACAGACACACGCACACAAGTTTCTCTTCTACCCCAAGGAGTGCAATTATTTGTTCACTGGTTTTCTTTCTAAAAATCCTCATTGTGAATTTCTGGTAAATAAAATTCTCCACCTCTAAATTTTTTAGCATTTAGGCTGTTTCTAAACTGTTGCTCTTCTAATGTCATAGTGAACATTCTTGTGCACCAAACATTAACCTGCCACCTTACCTGACTTAGCCGAGTGTGGGCTCGATGGTTGCAGTTACCATCTTTGTGTGTTCTTGCGGTGCCAGCGTGATCCTATCTGCTTTTCTTGTTCTCTGCGTCTTACCTTTATTTACCTTTGTTTTGATTTGTTTTTTGATACTGTTTTGCTTTTCTCGAACTCAAGTTGATTTTCTTCTCACAATCTATGTCCACAGATGGAAGTCAGGGGAACAAAGTTTCGTGTTTCACCGGAAGCCCCTCCTTTCTCCCCCTAACTTGGCTTCAAGTGCAGCCAAGTAATAAAGCCCTCACACAAGGCTTTGTGGTCACAGGTCTTGGTGACCGTGCGCATGAATTCACATGTGCAGAAGAAAAGTAAAACACTTTTCCTGCACTTCCCTCCTACCATGAAGTTAAATTATTGAACTTTTGAAGGCGACTTCTCTTACACCAAGTAAAAATGTCTGCATTAGTTTTCATTTGGATTAAAAAGTAGGACACCAATACTGATACGGGATGAAATGGGGTGCATGTTGGGTGCTGGTGCTCTGTCAGAAGTTAATCCTTCCGTGAGTTCCACTGCCAAATGCCAGGTGACCATCTGCCAAAGCCAGACACTAGAGTGGTGAGGACACGTTTCAATCAGAATCAGTAACTTTTTTTTTTTTTTTTTTCGAGACAGAGTCTTACTCTGTCGCCCAGGCCAGGCTGGAATGCAGTGACACAATCTTGGCTCACTGCAACCTCCGCCTCCTAGGTTCAAGGGATTCTCCAGCCTCAGCCTCCCAAGTAGCTGGGATTACAGGTGTACGCCACCACACCCAGCTAATTTTTGAATTTTTAGTAGAGACGGGGTTTCACCATGTTGGCCAGGCTGGTCTCAAACACCTGACCTCAGGTGATCCACCTGCCTCGGCCTCCCAGAGTGCTGGGATTACAGGCATGAGCCACCGCACCCGGCCTCAATTAGTAACTATTGGTAATAGGAGAAAATCCAGCATGAACGCATCAATCTGAACAGAAGTGACCAGGCATTTTAAAGGGAGGATGAGGGACTAGGGAGTGGGTGAGTAGGGGCTCAGTGGAGCCAGGGAAGTAAAAAATTACAGAGAGCTGGGAAGGCGGCTCTGGTCCATGTGAAACCCATGTGGATTTGCTAACTAACTGACACATATCAAGATTAGGCTCCTGTCTGCCCACAGAGGCTGGGAGACCCTGCTTGAAGGCCCTACCTTCAGGTGTTGGCTGGAATAAACTAAATTCTTTTGGCAGCCTTGAGTTTTCCTAGGCAGGCACATTATGGGTGCTAGGGATATAGCTGTGAGCTATTAGAAACTATGTTAGAGTTTATTGGGGCCTGGTTGAGAAGGGGCTCAAAAGAGACTGTTTAGAGTTTGGCCAAGGAAGAATTTTTGTCACTTGCCTGAGGCCAAAAAGATTGATTAAAAATACAACAACAACAACAACAACAAACAACAACAACAAGAGGTGGGTTACTGTTAGTTAATCAGAAATAGTAAGGTCAGAAATATTCAGAGATAATGAAGGGGTCCATGTTTTGATAAAAGGCCATGAAAAGTCATGGAAGCCACAACTAGTCCACACCAAGCTTGGCAGATAGATGTGTAGAGCAGCAGCTCCCAGGATGAATAGCCACTGTGGGAACATTAAATGCAGCTTTCAGAAATTGAAAGAGCAAGTCAGAAAAAATATCTGCAAACATTTCGTTCTGAAGGACACAATCCCTCAGCTTGGTCTAATTAGGCAGACTGATAACCTTGGTTCATACACATAGTATCAAGTTTTTCTTATAGCACATTTTTAATAATCAATCATGTACTTAACAACGAAGTAAGCCTTATTAAAATCCCCAAAGTAGAAACTTTACAAACTGTTTTTGCTGACCATAATTCCATAAATCTTTTTGTTGTTGTTGTTGAGACAGGGTCTTGCCCTGTCACCCAGGCTGGAGTGCAGTGGCATGATCTCTGCTCACTGCAACCTCTGCCTCCCGGGTTCAAGGAATTCTCATGCCTCAGCCTCCCCAGTAGCTGGGATTACAGGCATGCACCACCACCACCTCTGGCTAATTTTTTTTGTATTTTTATTAGAGACAGGGTTTCACCATGTTGGCCAGGCTGGTCTTGAACTCCTGGCCTCAGGTGATCCTCCCACCTTGGCCTCCCAAAGTGCTGGGATTACAGGCACAAGCCACAATGCCTGGCCCGTAAATCTTAATATGACCAGAAAAATAACTACTTCCAGTCAGGTGCGGTGGCTCACGCCTGCAATCCCAGCACTTTGGGAGGTTGAAGCAGGTGGATCACCTGAGGCCAGGAGTTCAAGACCAGCCTAGTCAACGTGGCAAAACCCTATCTCTCCTAAATATACAAAAATTAGCCAGGTGTGGTGGCACACACCTGTAATTCCAGCTACTCGGGAGGCTGAGGCAGGAGAATTGCTTGAACCAGGGAGGTGGAAGTTGCAGTGAACTGAGATCGCACCACTGCACTCCAGCATGGGCGACAGAGCAAGACGTTATCTCAAAAAAAATATATAATAATAACTACTTGAACACTTTTCTAGGTAAACCCTGGATCAAAGAAAAAATCAAAATCAAATGTCAAGGTATCTAGAAATTAATGAAAGAAGAATACAATTATGGAATACAGCTAAAGCTGCATTCTAAGGAAAAGTTAGAGCTTAACTACTATCTTATTTAAAAACAATAAAAAGCAAGCACAATTTATATTCACAAACAGGAAAGATCCCCAACCCCCATCCTCCTGTCCACACTGCTGTGACACTGGCTTTCAGAGCCCTTAGAGCTTCCTCAACTCTTAACTCTGTTCTCCTCTGCAATCCACCCCCATTCTTTCCTCCCTCTGACATCCTCACTCAGGCCTCGTCTTCGACCCTTTCCTTTCTGAGTGTTCTACTTCTGCTAGTAACTTGTTAAATGAATAGTAAACTGAATTTATTTATTTTTTCATTATTTTCTGACATTAAAAGTGATAAAGAGGCTGGGCGCAGTGGCTCACGCCTGTAATCCCAGCACTTTGGGAGGCCAAGGCAGGTGGATCATGAGGTCAGGGGATTGCGACCATCCTGGCTAACACGGTCAAACCCCGCCTCTACTAAAAATACAAAAAAATTAGCTGGGCATGGTGGCGGGCGCCTGTAGTCCCAGCTACTTGGGAGGCTGAGGCAGGACAATGGCGTGAACCCGGGAGGTGGAGCTTGCAGTGAGCTGAGATTGCACCACTGCACTCCAGCCTGGGCGACAGAGCGAGACTCTGTCTCAAAAAAAAAAAAAAGTGATAACTGATTTTCTGGTAACTTTAGCAAGATGGTGGAAAAGGAGTTCCCTTTCTTGTATCCCCTACAGCAACAACAGTTTTACAGCCATCCACAGACAAAATGCCTGTGTGCAAGCTCTGGGATCCAGGTAGGAGGTTGCAAAACTCTGGTGGAGGCCATGACCAAGGAGGGCCATTTTGAGAAAGCAGGCTCACTGACTATGGCAGTCCCAGGTGGCCAGGCTCACTGACTGTGGTCCCAGCTACACACCTGGAAACAGCCTATTCCCCTGTGGACTCAGCTACAGCCCCATTTGGCCTTGGTCCTGCCACCAACATGATCCACCAAAGGCCCTAGGAGGAGTCATGCTCACCCATGCCTCATGTAACATGCCCACTGACTGAAGGTTGACTGCTGATCCTGAAATAGCCCCGTAACAAGCTCCAGCTCCTTTCAACCATGGCTTGAGAATGGTTCTGCTCACCAAGGGCATCAGATGGAGACACACCCAACTGAGACCCTGGACCTCAGTCCAACTGGAGATAATGAAGTGACCTGTGACCCAGCCCCAATTCTGCTAAGCCATGATTTGGGGCAGTCCTGCCCACCAAGGAATCCAGCAAGAGGCATACCCATCCATACCCCTGGAGGCAGACTTGCAGACCTCAGTCTGTGCTGTAGACTCTGAAGCAGCCTTGTGACTTAGTTCTAGCCCCACTCAGCCATAGCCTAAAGTCAGTCCTCCCCACCCAGAGACTTTCCCAGTGACCCAATAGGAGACGTCTCAGGGACCTGGCAGAAGCCACACTCATCCACACACATGGTAACAGGCCCACTGTTTGCAGACCCAACTGAGCACTCTGAAGTGGATTACTGTCCTAGTGCCAGACCTACTGCCCAATTTTCTGGAGGCAGTTCCATCTGCCCAGGGACAAAGGCTGAATTATCACCCACCTGAATGTCTGGTAACAGGCCTACCAATGATGGACCCCATGCAGACCCAGCAACAGCCACATAACCTGGCCCCAAACCCACTCAGCTGTGATCCCAGAAACAATCCCATTGGTCTGGATGGCAGCAGAAGGTCTTTGCCTGCCAAAACCAGCCTGTAAAGACTAGAAGAAGGGTTTGCTCCTTCAAATGTGCAAACACCAATGCAAGCCTACATGGAGCACAAAGAATCAGGCAGACACGACACTACCAAAAGAAACTAATAAAGCTCCAGTAGCAGACCCCAAGAAATGGAGGTCTACAAATTGCCTGATGAAGAACTCAAAATGAAGTCAGGCCTCTGTACCTGTGGGTTCTGCATCCATGGATTCAGTCAACCATGGATCAAAACTATTTTCGTGTCTCCAACTGCACACAGATAGGCTTTTTGTTGTCATTATTCCCTAAACAATACAGTATAACAACTATTTACATAGAATTACACTGTGTTAGGTATTATAAGTAATCTAAGATGATTTAAAGTATACAGGAGGATGTGCATAGGTTATATACAAATACTATGCCATTTTATATCAGAAACTTCAGCACCCACAGATTTTCATATCCATGGGAGGTCCTGGAACTAGTCCTCCATGGATACTGAGGGACAACTACACTCATTTTAAAGAAGCTTGATGAGATGCAAGAGAACACAGACAGACAGCTAAATGAAATCAGAAAAACAATGCATGAATAAAATAAGAAGATTAATGGAGAAAAAAGAATCAAACAGAAATTCTGGAGCTGAAGAATACAACGGCAGAACTAAGCAATTCAATAGAGAGCTTCAGCAGCAGATTTTTTTTTTTTTTTAATTATGCAGAAGAGTCAGTGAACTCAAACACAGGTCATTTGAAATTAGCCAGTTAGAGGAATAGAAAGAAAAAAATAATGAAAAAGAGTTAAGAAAGTATACAAGCCCTACAAGACACCATCAAACAAATGAATATATTCATTTGAGGATTTCTAGGAGGAGGAAACAAAGGAAATTAAAGCCTATTTAAAGAAATAATGGCTGAAGACTTCTCAAATCTTGGGAGGAATATGGACATCTGGATTCATGTTTAAAAATAAACAAAATGTTTGGGAGGCTGAGGTGGGTGGATCACTTGAGGTCAGGAGTTCAAGACCAGCCTGGCCAACATGGTGAAACCCTGTCTCTACTAAAAAATGCAAAAATTAGCCAGGTGTGGTGGCTCATGCCTGTAATTCCAGCTCCTTGGAGGGTGAGGTGGGAGAATTGCTTGAACCCAGAAGACAGAGGTTGCAGTGAGCTGAGATTATGCCAGTGCCCTCCAGGGTGGGTGACAGAGTGAGACTCCATCTTAAATAAATAAATAAACAAAATAAACAAACTTTCGTTAAACTCACCAAGAAAAAAAGAGAGGACTGAAATAAATGAAATTATAAGTAAAAGAGGAGACACCACAACTGATACCACAGAAATACAAAGGATCATAAGAGATTATAATGAATATGTATATATCAACAAATTGAATAATCAGAAGAAATTGATAAATTTCTAGACACAAACAACCTACCAAGGCTGAAGCATATAGCAGTAGAAAATCTGAACAGATCAATAATGAGTAACAAGAATTTTATTACTAAATTTAATTACTGAAGCAGTAATAAAATGTTTCACATTAAAGAAAAGCCTAAGACTGGCTGGGCACAGTGGCTCATGCCTGTAATCCCAGCACTTTGGGAGGCCCAGGTGGGCGGATCACAAGGTCAGGAGATGGAGACCATCCTGACTAACATGGTGAAACCCCCTCTCTACTAAAAATACAAAAAAAAAAAAATTAGCCCAGCGTGGTGATGGGTGCCTGTAGTCCCAGCTACTCGGGAGGCTGAGGCGGGAGAATGGCGTGAACCTGGGAGATGGAGCTTGCAGTGAGCCGAGATCATGCCACTGCACTCCAGCCTGGGCGACAAAGCGAGACTCTGTCTCAAAAAAAAAAAAAAAAAAAAAAAAAAAGAAGAAGAAAAGAAAAGCCTAGGACCAAATGGTTTCACAGATGAATTCTACCAAACATTTGAAGAAGGATTATTGCCAGTTCTTCTCAAATTCTTCCAAAAATTGAAGAGGTGAGAACACTTCTAAACTGATTTTACATTGCCAGCTTTATCCTCATACCAAAGCCAGATAAGGACATTACAAGAAAAGATAATTACAGGTCACTATTTTTGATGAGTGTAGATTTTTTAAGTCTTCAAGAAAATACTAACAAACCACCTTCAAAGCACATTAAAAGGATAATACAGGGCGAGCATGGTGGCTCACGCCTATAATCCCAGCACTTTGGGAGGCTGAGGCAGGTGGATCACGAGGTCAGGAGTTCAAGACTAGTCTGACCAAGATGGTGAAACCCCATCTCTACTAAAAATACAGAAATTAGCCAGGTGTAGGAGTGGGCGCCTATAGTCCCAGCTACTCGGGAGGCTGAGGCAAAGAACTGCTTGAACCCTGGAGGCAGAGGTTGCAGTGAGCCGAGATCATGCCACTGCACTCCAGCCTAGATGACACAGCGAGACTCTGTCTCAAAAAAAAAAAAAAAAAAAAAAAGATTATACATAATGATCAAGTGGAATTTTTCCCTGGGATATAAGGATAGTTCAACATATGCAGACCAACAACAAATGTGATACACCACATTAAGAGAATGAAGGACAAAAACCATATGATCATCTCAATAGATGCAGAAAAGACATTCAGCAAAATTCAACATCATTTCATGATTTTAAAAAACTCTCAGAAATGAGGAACAGAAGAAATGTGCCTCAACACAATAAAAGCCATATGCCACAAGCTCATAACTAACATCATATTCAATAATGAAAAGTTGAAAGCTTTTTCCTCTCAGGTTAGGAACAAGAAAGGATAATTTTCATTACTATTTAACACAGTTCTGGAAGTTTTAGCCAGAGCTAGGAAAAGGAAATAAAAGGCACCCAAATCAGAAAGGAAGAGGTTAACTGCCTATGTTTGCAGATGACATGATCTTATATATGGAAAACCCTAAGACTCCACCAGAAAATGGCTAGAACTAATAAATTAATTCAGTAAAATTGTAGGATACAAAATTAACGTACAAAAATCTGTTGCATTTCTATACACAAACAACCAACTATCCAAAAAGAAATTAAGAAAATAATCCCATTTACAATTTCATAAAAAATCCAAAATATGTAGGAAGAAGTTTAACCAAGTAGGTAAGAGATCTGTACACTGAAAACTATAAGACAATGATGAAAGAAATTTTAGAGACAAAGAAAACATATCCCATGTTCATGGGGTTGGAGTGATTAATATTGTTAAAATATCCACACTATCCAAAGTGATCTATGAATTAAATGCAATCACTATCAAAGTTTCAATGGCATTTTCCACAGATATAGAAAAAATTCATATGGAACCACAAGACTCCAAATAGCCAAAGAGGTCTTGAGTAAGAATAACAAAGCTGGAGACACCAAATTTCCTTATTTGAAACTATATTATAAAGCTATAGTAATCAAAACAGTATAATACTGGCATAAAAACAGACACATAGATAAATGGAACAGAATACAGATCCCATAAATAAACTCCAGCATATATGGTCAACTAATCTTTGACAAGAATGCCAAGAATACACAATGGGAGAAACGACAGTCTCTTCAATGAATGGTATTGAGAAAATGGATATCCACATGGACCCCTATCTTACATCACACACAAATATTAACTCAAAATGATTTAAATGTAAAACCCAGAATCGTAACACTCCTAGAAGAAAACATAGAAACAATCTTCTTGACATTGGTGTTGTCAATGATTATTTGAATATGACACCAAAATAATAGGCAACAAAATAAAAAATAAATAAGTGGGACTAGATCACACTAAAAAGCTTCTGCACAGCAAAGGAAACAATAAAATGAAAAGGCAACCTACAGAGAAAATATTTGCAAACCACATATCTGTTAAGGGGTTAATATTCAGAACATATAGGGACCTCACACATCTCAATAACAAAACAAAGAACAAAGCAATGTAATTGAAAAATGGGCAAAGCGCCTAACAGACATTTCTCCAAAAAAGCCATACAATGGCCAACAGGTATGTGAAAATATACTAAGATTCACTAAACATCAGTGAAATGTAAATCCAAACCATAATGAGATACCAGCTCATATCTGTTCGACTTGTTGTCAACATGATAACAAGTTGATAAGATGATATCAACAATATGATAACATGTTGATAACAAGTCTAGTTTTCAAAAAGTCAAATTTATAACAAGTTTTTTTCAGAGTCAAATGATAACAAGTGTTTGTGAGGGTGTAGAGAAGAGGGTGCCCTTGTACACTGTTGGTGGGAATATAAATTGGTATAGCCATTTTGGAAGAGTGTGGAGGTCCCTCAACAATTAAAAATAGAACTATCATATGATCCAGGACCCCTATTTCCGGGTGTATATCCAAAGGAATTGAAATCAATACCTCAAAGAGGTAGCTACACTTCCATATTCATTGCAGCATTATGAACCACCTAAGTGTCTGTGATGGATAAATGGATTAAAAACATGTAGTATATATATACAAGGGCATATTATTCAGCCATAAAAATAAGGAACTAGGCTGGGCACGGTGGCTCATGCCTGTAATTCCAGCACTTTGGGAGGCCGAGGCGGGCGGATCACGAGGTCAGGAGATCGAGACCATCTTGGCTAACATGGTGAAACCCCGTCTCTACTAAAAATACAAAAAATTAGCTGGGCGTAGTAGCGGGCGCCTGTAGTCCCAGCTAGTCGGGAGGCTGAGGCAGGAGAATGGTGTGAACCTGGGAGGTGGAGCTTGCAATGAGCCGAGATTACGCCACTGCACTCCAGCCTTGGCGACAGAGTGAGACTCCGTCTCAAAAAATATAAATAAATAAAAATAAAAATAAGGAACTAGTTGGGTGTGGTGGCTCATGCCTATAATCCCAGCATTTTGGGAGGCCTAAGCAGGTGGATTGCTTGAGACCAGAAGTTCTAGACCAACCTGGAGAGCATGGTGAAACCCCATCTCTGCAAAAGTATAAAAATTAGCCAGGTGTGGTGGCATGCACCTGTAATCCCAGCTACTCAGGAGGCTGAGGTGGGAGGTTTCACCTGAGCCCAGAGAGGTCAAGACTACAGTGAGCCACGATTGTGCCACTGTATTTTAGCCTGGGCGACAGAGTGAGACCCTGTCTCAAAATAAACAAACAAACAAATAAGGAGGTACTGCCATTTATGACAACATAGATGAATCTATAGGACATGATAAGTGAAATAAGCCAGATGCAGAAAGAGAAATAACACAGGATCTCACTTATATGTGGAATCTTAAAAAGTTGAACTCATAGAAGTAGAGACTAGGTGGTGCTATGTTGAACAGGGATGGGGTGTGACAGGTGTGATGGAATGGGGAGATGTTGGTCAAAGAGTACACACTTACTGTTATAAAATGAGTAAGTTCTGGAGATCTAAGTTACAGCATGGTGACTATAGTTAATAATACTATGTTGTACACTTGAAATGTGCTAAGAGTATCGATCTTGAAGATTCTAGCCACTCACAAAAAGGCAACTATGTGAGGAGATGGGTGAGCTAATTAGCTGGTTTGTGGTAATCATTTCACAATGCATGCATTTGCCAAGTCATCACATTGTACACCTTGTATATGCACAATTTTCGTTATTCAATTATACCTCAATAAAGCTGGTGAAAAATAAGAAAAATAGCCGACTTATTTAATTTCTTCCCTAGTGAGAAAATCAGACTTAACTCCCACTGTCCATGGGCAATTATTCAACAACGTTCTATTTCGGGTATGCATTGCCTGGGACTGGCTCATCTGCCACCCCTCTCTGGCATCACCCTCCTTGTTTATTGGCACTTCCACAGCAAAGAAGGAAGGGAATTTTAAAACAGCAATGCCCAGGCAAGTCTGTTTTTTTTTTCTCCCCCTTTTTTGGCTGAGGTAAGTCTGTAGTGATTGATTCTCAATGATTCTTTTTTCTTTTTAGTGATTCTAAGATTCTCTAACTTGACAATAGGAGTGTGTGCAGCTCTTGCTAACATCATATTGGTTCTTTCTCTTTTTGACCCAGTGTATGACCCTAGAGAAAACTCTTAACTTTTCTGGGCCTCTATTGCTGAAATAATCAATTAAGTAATGCTTAGAGGAATAACCCTCAGAGCCTTAAACACAAGTCTGGGGTCTAAGAAAATTGGAGCCTCTGAGCTAAATGTTGTCCTCCCTTTCCTTCCTTGCACAAACTCAGAATTCTAAATTGGAATTACTCCTTTTTTTTTTTTTTCAGATGGAGTCTTGCTCTGTCACCAGGCTGGAGTGCAATGGCACGATCTTGGCTCACTGCAACCTCTGCCTCCTGGGTTCAAGCGATTCTCCTGCCTCAGCCTCCCGAGTAGCTGGGACTACAGGTGCTCACCACCACTCTCAGCTAATTTTTGTATTTTTAGTAGAGACGGGGTTTTGCCATGTTGGCCAGGCTGGTCTCGAACTCCTGTCCTCAAGTTATCTGCCTGCCGCAGCCTCCCAAAATGCTGGGATCACAGGCGTGAACCACCGTGCCTGGCCAGGATGACTCTTGAAAGTTCTGAGAGTGGAAAAAAACACACTCAAAGGTTTTTTTTTGTTTGTTTGTTTTTAATTATATCACTCAATAATAATCAACACAGAAGACTTCCATGACCAAATGTGTGGGGATTTTTTTTCCCCACATACCAAGAAAGCAATGGATTCTGCAGGGGACAGCAGTTAGGTATCCTCCAATTCAGTTCTGACACTGTCTACCTGGAGATAGTGTCAGATCCCACAGGGCTCAGTCCTGCAAGACTGCACCTCCTTCAGATGCCAGTCCCAAGTCCGGTCTCCAGAACTGACTGACTGGCTTCAAGTTGAGGGTCCCACAACCCCCTCTTTGGGTTTGATTAATTTGCTGGAGTAGCTCACAGAATTCAGGAAAACACTTATTCGTTTACTGGCTTGCCGTAAAGGGTATTACAAAGGATACAGATGAAGAGATGCGTGGGGCGAGGTATTGGGGATGCGGAGGGCGAGGTGCGGAGATTCCATGCCCTCCCCGGGTGTGCCACCCTCTGGGGGCCTCCATATGTTCAGCTCTCCAGAAGCTTCCAAATCCTGTCCTCTCTGGCCTTTTTATGGGGACTTTATCGGATAGGCCTGATTGACAACCATGTAGAAATGTGATTGGACAAAAAGCCTATGATCTAATACTGACCGACTGAGCAGGAAACCCCATAAGGCCTGCGTGTTCAGATCCTTCTTGGCCTCTCTGAGCATCCCTCCTTCCCCCAGGATATCAGATAGGACTCTTCCAAAATGGGGGTCTTATGACCCACAATTAGAAAGGCAGGTTAAATAATTTATTTGTGGCCACCCCGTCTCTACTAAAAACACAAAAAATTAGCCGGGCGTAGTGGCGGGCGCCTGTAGTCCCAGCTACTCGGGAGGCTGAGGCAGGAGAATGGCGTGAACCTGGGAGGCGGAGCTTGCAGTGAGCCGAGATCATGCCACTGCACTCCAGCCTGGGCGACAGAGCGAGGCTCCGCCTCAAAAAAAAAAAAAAAAAAATTTCTTTATGGCCAACTCCAAGACAGACAAGTGGGAGAAGAATCCTGCCTGGAAGAGAAAAAGGAGCAGGTGGAAGGAGGGTGGGAGAAGTTCAAGAGAGAGACTGTTTTGTGAGGGCTAAAGCACCCCGACATTATAATAAGGGTTATGAGAGTTATGAGTCAGGAGTGAACTGTGCTTGAAAACCAACATATATATAGCATAATGTCACAATTGCTAACTCCATTTTTTACTTTTATAGGTTATTCAAATTTACTATCTCTTTTTGAGTCAGTTTTGGTCATTTGTGGCTTTCATGTAAGTTGTGTAATTTGTAGTACAAAGTAGCCTTTACTCCTGATTTTTCTAAGGTCTAAGACTAACTACTGACAAATTACTACCGACAGATTACCATAAACTCAGCGGCTTAATAAGAGGCATGATTGACAACTGTGATTGGAAAAAAGACCATGATCTAATAACGACAGACTGGGAGGGAAACCCAGGCAAGGCCTGTGTGTTCAGATTCTTCTTGGCCTCTCTCTGCGGCACTCCTTCCCCCAGGGTAGGGGGCAGGACCCTTCTGAAATGGGGGCTGTGTGAGCCACAGTCAGACAAGGTAGGGCAGGTAATTTCTTTACGGAAAGGCAGGGAAAGAGTAGGGTCCTAATCGGGCGAAAGGAGAGCAGGAGGTCAGAGAGAGAGAGAGAGAGATTCTGTTTGCTGAGGCTTACTTTTGAGGCCTAAAGTGCTTTAACACTACAGCAAGAGCTAGGGGAGTTATGAGCCGGGAATTATGCAGTAAACACGGGATGAATTTGTGGAGATAAACACAGGACATTCTAGAATTACATAATCCGACCTCAACCTCCCCAAAATCCTGACAGGGAAGAGGTACTGTTCCTACTTTTCACTTGGGGAAACAGGCTCAGGGGAATCAAGCAACCCAAAGCATCCTTTAGGAAAAAGCAGGCATTTAGACCAGGGCCGTGACAGTGTCTGGGTGTGGGAACACGAGTGCCAGGTGGCAGACTGGAGGTGCCACACCTGGGGTGACAGTCAGCCCCCCTGTCTGCAATCCCACTGGACCTTTGCACTTGGAGGTGCTAGGAGGGTCTCAGCCCTGTAGTGTGGAGTGCAGTGCAGAGGTTCTGGGGAGCATAGGGACTCCTCCTTGCAGTAGAGTGAGGTGGGTGTGAGTCCTGAGGGAGGGTGTGGGGGAAGAGGAGGCTCCTCCGGCAGGTTGCTCCCCCTCTCCACCCACCTTCCCCAGCCCTTCCTGCTGCGGCACCTTTGAGCTGCCTGTGGGCCCCCAGCCACAGTGCCCTCCAGGACAGGTCCTGGCACGATGGATGTGATGCCGCTGGGCCAAAGGGGCCCTGGGCTGCAGGTCCTCTGGGGCTCCCAGAAAGATCCCTGTGACCTGAAGGGCTGGCAGGGATCTGTACAGTGGGGGGGTCCCCAAGAATGAGCCTCAGCCCGGAGTAACCGTGGCGGATGAACCCAGCTGGTTTTGTCTTTATGGAGATGTGGGCCCATTTATTCTTTTATCATCAATTACTTAATGTTAATTTAACTGTAAAACCACACACCAGCCAAAAATGGAATTTTATAATTTTGTTACCCTCAAAGTGGGGAAGCTTGTTTTCTACTTCTTAAAACGCTGTGAAATCGCTTTTTAAATGCCAAGATGGAAAGCTTATGTTATTAAAATGGCATATATTACACATCATTTGTTTTATTATGTAATTTATTATTATTCTTTGTAATTTTATATTCATAGCCCCAAGTAATAGAGATCCCATTAGGCAGAACATTCTGGAGTGGGAGGATCTTTTAGAAAGTTAGTTTTAGAGGCCAGGCGCGGTGGCTCACGCCTGTAATCCCAACACTGGGAGGCTGAGGCAGGTGGATCACGACATCAGGAGTTCAAGACCATCCTGGCTAAAATGGCGAAACCCGGTATCTACTAAAAATACAAAAAATTAGCTGGGTGTGGTGGCACGCACCTGTAATCCCAGCTACTCAGGAGGCTGAGGCAGGAGAATCGCTTGAACCCGGGAGGCGGAGGCTGCAGTGAGCCGAGATCCTGCCACTGCACTCCAGCCTGGGCAACAGAGCGAGACTCCTTCTCAAAAAAAAAAAAAAAAAGGAAAAAAAAAAAAAAGAAAGTTAGTTTTAGAAGAAAGAACTGTCAAAGCACAATAAATAGAGAGGCAAAAGAATATAAGAAAGAATCAGATTGCTCACTAGAAGCTTATTGAAAATCTTAGACAAAATTCTCCCAAATATCATAAACATTAGGCACTAAGAACAAATGCCTCTGCCCCCATGCACAAAGATTTGTTTTTTTAATGCTCAGGTTTTTGAAATCTAGTTTTTAAAGTTTAACTTCTTCAGTTTTTAAAAGTTATCTTTGGGGAGAAATTCTTCAAAAGTTAGTATTGCCAGAGCAGGGAAACCGGAGAAGTGTATAAAATGAAAGTAATAAAGGAAGAGGTCAGCAGTAGCCTCCCTTGCTGAAGAATCAGTTAATATCTGCACGTTCTATTTTCCAAAAGGAGTTGAAGCAATTGAATAAGTCAGTAGGCACTCGCTGTGCACCTTGGGTACCAGAGCTGGGCTGGAGGAATCGTGGGATTTTAGGAACATTGCTGAGGGTTCTTGATGCTGGAGGCTGGGCTGGTGGGCAGAGGGACCTGGGGACACAGACATAGAGACAGTCCTGTCCTAGCCAATTCAGAAGGAGGGGAGAGAATCACACCAACCCCCTTAAAGGACAGTTAGGACAGGACTTTGTGCAGGCAAATGAAAGATGGGACATTCACATCCTGCTGGTGCTGCAATCACTGTTTGGCAGTTTCTTAGAAAATTTAAAGTATTTTATGACCTGAAAGTTCCACTACTAGGTGTTTGCCCAACAGAAATGAAAACATCTACACAAAGAGTTGTACATGAATGTTCATAGCAGGCTCATTCCTAGTGTCCAAACATGAGAAACAAACGAAATGTCCATCAACAGGTGAATGTATATCCAGTCAATGGAATGGAATACTCCTCAGCAGTCGGAATGAAACACACACACACACACACACACACACACACACACTCACACCACACACACACCACACACACACCACACACACAAGCACATCACACACACACCACACACACCACACACATCACACACACCACACATACACACCACACACACATCACACACCACACACACACCACACACACACACCACACACCCATCACACACACCACACACACACATAACACACACACCACACATCACACACACATACACACAACGCACACACACATCTCACACCACACACACACATCACATCACATGGGTCTCAAAAACAGAAAGTGCATATGGTATGATTCCATGTGGAGTTCTAGAAGAGGAAATACTGGTCTATAGTGATTAGGCAGCTTTTTGGGGGGTATCTGGAGCCAGGGGTACAAGCGTAGGTGGGAATTTTAGGCATAATGGAAGTGTCTGTAGCTTGAATGTGGTGTTGGCTACACAGGTATATACGTGTCAAAATTTACTAAATGATAACCTTAAATTGATACAGATTATATACACTTTAAAGCAGCGGTCCTCAACCTTTTTGGCACCAGGGACCAGTTTTGTGGAAGACAATTTTTCCATGGACAAGGGACGGGGGATTTTTTTCACGACGATTCAAGCACATTGCATTTATTGTGCACTTTCTTTCTATTATTATTCCATTGTAATATATAATGAAATCATTACACAACTCACCATAATGTAGAATCAGTGGGAGCCGTGGGCTTGTTTTCATGCAACTAGATGGTCCTATCTGGGGGTGATGGAAGACGGTGACAAATCATCAGGCATTAGATTCTCATAAAGAGTGTGCAACCTAGATCTCTCACGTGCGCAGTTCACAATAGGGTTCACACTCCTATGAGAATCTAATGCTGCTACTGATCTGACAGGAGGCGGAGCTCAGGAAGTAATGCAGGTAATGGGAGTGACTGTAAATACAGATGGAGCTTCAGTGGCTCTCACCTCCTGCTGTGTGACCCAGTTCCTAACAGGCTGGGGGTGGGGGACCCCTGCTTTAAAGTATACCTCAATATTTGCTTGTGTAACAAACCTGCACATCCTGCACATTTACCCCAGATCTTAAAAGTTGAAAAAAAATAAAGTAGTGGTTTTAAAAAAAATACAAAGAACCCTTCTAATGTTCTTAAATGTGGATGCTAATACTTGCCCATCACAAAAGTGCAGATGGTGAGTGGACAGTGTTTGCATTCAAATGAAAGATTTTTTTAAATCTATGCAGTTATGCCACGGGACCCCAGCCTGCACTGCCATGTGACTTCAACCGCATGACAGACCCTGGGCCCAGAGCACTCAGACTCATGAACAAAATAGGTGAGTGTGGTTGTTTCAAACCACTGTTTTGGAGTGGGTTATGGGACAACATGAGATAACTGAGACAATCAGATGAGATGTTTGGTTTCAGCAAGGACGGGTTCCTGTTGATGGAGATAGGGAGGATCAAAAGCCTCAGGCTTGAGTCTCTGTTACACCTTCTGCACCCATTCTTTTCTCTGGGTGTGTCCAGGGCCCTGGACCACTTCCTCAGCTGTGATCAGAGGACTCTCTGGGTGAGGTCTGCCCAGCTGCAGAACCAGGTCCAGCTAAGAGTCTGTCATTTCGTGGCCAGACCAGGGTCCAGGAGCCCATTCAAGGAGCCTCCCTGTTGCTGTAGGTAGAAAGGCTCTCGGACTTGCTAGTGAATGCACAGGTGCAGCCCCATGTGCAGGGGTGCTAACACTTGGTGTGACCTGCAAGAGACTGGAACTGAATCTTTATTCTCCCCTGTAGACAGACTCTCCTGAGGTACTGCTGTGCACACATCTCTGACAATGGTCCCAACCGAATGTGCATGGTTCCACACGGTGCAGCTCAGTAACTCCTTCCCTCAGGCTTGCTCTCCCTCCGTCCCTGCCTCACTCCTGGTTCCCTCAACTCTCCAATTGCCTCCCGCACTGTATTCCTGGGAACCCAGGCTTAGAGAGTTTCCTGTTGGATATTTAACTGGAAATGTCAATTCCACGGCTTGGAATTCATAGTAGAAGTTTGGGCTAGAAGTACCCACTTGGGAGCCTTTGGCATATGGATGGTATTCCAGCCGCAACACTGGAAGAGATGCCACTGAGGGTCTGAGTGTAGATTTAAAAATAGAAGAGGCCTGAGAACTGAGTCATTAGCACTCTATTGTTTAAGGGCCCTGGAGGTAAGGAGGCGTGCCCAGGGAGATAGGAGGAGAACTGAGAGCATTACTTAAGTGAAAAGGTGTCATGGGGAGGAGGCAGTAATTGGCTGTGCCCACGCCGTGGATGACACCTGACCTTTCACTGTGTGGACATAGCCAAGTGGCAGCCTCGCAGGTTTCGACAGTTTGGGTGGAGAGGCCAAGGGGTCACGAGCAAATTGGAAGAGAGCAAAGAAAAACAATGAGGATGGGATTTTCTTTAAAAAGTTTTGCTTCATGGGGAGACAAGAAAATCTGTGCCACTCTTACTCTCTTTTTTCTTTAAATAATCCATTTTTCCAGTCTGTATGTTTCTAAGGTTTTTCTCTTTACTCCTCCAATTGAGGAATTTCATCAGCCTGTAGCGAAGTGTCGGTTTGTTCAGGCTGTTGTAACAAAATGCCACAGACTGGGTGGCTTAACCAATGGACGTCTATTCTCTCAGTTCTAAAGGCTGGAAGTTTGAAGGTTCAGGGAGCAAGTTTCCTCCCCAGGACAGCAACCCATCCCATGTCTCACAGAGTGGCCTCCTTGGGCAGTGCCTCTCCACAAGGCAGTGCGAGGATGAGAAACCAGCTTCTCACCTCATCTCTTTCTGATCCTTCGTTTGTGGACTCCCACAACGAAACCTATTTCTTTTTCTTTCTTTCTTTTTCTTTTTTTTTTGAGATTGAGTCTCACTCTGTTGCCCAGGCAGGTGTGCAGTGGTGCGATCTTGGCTCACTGCAACTTCCATCTCCCGGGTTCAAGTGATTCCCCTGCTTCAGCCTCTGAGTAGCTGGGATTACAGGTGTGCACCACCATGCCCAGCTAATTTTTGTATTTTTAGTAGAGAAGGGGTTTCAGCATGTTGGCTAGGCTGGTCTCCAACTCCTGACCTGAGGTGATCCATCCACCTCGGCCTCCCAAAGTGCTGGGATTACAGGTGTGAGCCACTGTGCCTGGCCCTATTTCTTAACTCATACCCCATGATGACCCTGACAGGAAGAAGACTTTAAGAGCAGAATGTTATGTTTTAGGTTTTCACTTTGGGTTGCTAGCTTAGTTATATGGATATTACTGTTTTCTTTCAGTCCAAATTGTTGTCTTTGAAGGTTCTTAAGAACTGAAGCATAAGACTTCCCACAGGACTCTGAGAAGTGGTGTTGCCACAGGCAAAGTGTCTGTGTCCGACAAACCCCAACTCTGGGGGGGCCTGTGAGGAAATGGAGACTTTCATTTCCAGAACGTGGAGCGGTACATTGGTACAACCTCTTTGGAGAGCAATTGGACAGCATCAACAAGTTTAAGAATTGCATACTCCATGTTCTACAATTCCCTTTTTCGGTATAACACTGAGAAAATTTTCCACCCGTGGACAAGGAAACAGGCATAGAGAAGTTTGAACAGCAGCGTTGATGTTGGCCTCTGCCTGGGGCTCTTCCTCACATGTACATTGAGCTGATTCTTTATCTCCTTGAAGCCTTTGCTCAAAGATGCCTTCTCAGTGGTGTCTGCCCTGACCCCTATCCCCACTGAAATGGGAGCCTGTTTCCCTCTGCATATACCCACACCATCCAGACCCCTCTTTTTCTGCTGGGTTTTTTTTTTTTTTTTTTTGCCTGTAAGACTTAGCAGCTTCCAACACACTAGAAATGTATTCACTTATGTTTATTATGTGTGTCCTCCTCAACCTCTGTATTAGTCCATTTTCACACTGCTATGAAGAACTGCCTGAGTCTGGGTAATTTATACAGAAAAAAGGTTTAATTGACTCACAACTCTCCATGGCTTGGGAGGCTTCAGGAAACTTACAGTCATGATGGAAGGTGGAGAGGAAGCAAAACACATCTTACATGGTGGCAGGAGAGAGAGCATGTGGGGAAAATTGCCACTTTTCAACCATTAGATCTCGTGAGAACTCACTATCATGAGAAAAGCATGGGGGAAACTGCCCCCATGATCCAATCACCTCCCACCAGTTCCCTCCCACGACATGTGGGGATTACAATTCAAGGTGAGATTTGGGTGGGGACACAGATCCAAACCGTATCATCCCCCACCCAAAGTAGAACATAAACTATAAATATACAAATGGATTATGGTCAGACCATGTATGAAAATAAAATTCTGAGCTGGGTGTGGTGGTGTGCACCCAGCTACTCAGGAGGCTGAGGCAGGGAGGATAACTTGAACCCAGGAGTTTGAGGCTGTAGTGAGCTATGACCATGACTGTGAAGCGCCACTGCACTCCAGCCTGGGCAACACAGCAAGACCCTGAGTCTAAATTAATTAATTAATTTTTAAAAACTAAAAATAGCACTCTGACTCACAGCCTGCAGCAACCTGTCCAGAAAACCAAACTCTTACCCACAGTAAACAACCCAGGAAGGCAGCCCTGCTGTCAGTCAGCCTGGTAGGAAGTCACACTGCCCTTTCTGGCGACAATCCAGGAAGCTAAACAATTACCTCTGTAATAATCAGGCCCAAATGGCCAGGACATGATTAATAACTGACAGCTTCTCTAATTTTTGTCCCCATTTCCAACTTAGGACCAAGCAGAGAAAGCCAAATGTGTCCCCCTAACCAATGTCATTGGATCCCTGCTTCTAGTTAGCCACCTCCAGCTTCCCGAGGCCCACAGCCTCCACCAGGGCCCACTGTAACCTTCCCGTTCCTCCACTGTGAAGCTGTCCTGGGCCTCTGCCTGCCTTTGATCTCTGCCAAATGCCAGTGATGGTGTTAACATCCTTGCTAGAGCAAGCTCTGTATAAACAGCCTTTGCCTGCTCTCACTTGGTTGTCCTTGGTTTATTTCTACACTACACAAGGGGAGAGGTTTCTATCTAATTTTTTTTCCCCACTGACATAATCCCTAGAACATTGCCCAGTACCTAATAGGAGCTCAGCGATGATGAATGAATGACTAACAAAAAAAAACAGAATTTCAATGTCTAACTTTAGGAGAATGGATGGATGGATAATTTATGGTTTATTCATTCTATGGAAATTGCTACATACTACAGCCATTAAAATGAATGAACTAGATCTCAAAATATTAAAATGAATGAATCTCAAAACTGTAATGTTGGCAAACATTAGCCTAGGCCTCCACAGGGTCGGGATCATCAATATCACTGTCTTCAACCTCCACATCTTGTCCCTCTGGAAGATCTTCAGGGGCAATAATACGCTTGGAACTGCCATCATCTCCTGTGATGACAGTGCCTTCTGGAATGCCTCCTGAAGCACCTGCCTGAAGCTGTTTTACAGTTAACATTTTTTTTAAGACGTAGAAGGAGTACAATCTAAAATAACAATAAAAATCAGAGTAGAGTAAGTATATAAATCAGTAACAAAGTCTAAATTAATTAGTTAATCATTTAAAAATTTAAGCAATTTATAGAGGACACATGCAATATAATACCATTTATACAGATGTTAAAATCCCAACGTGTCATGGAAACCTACATATACAGTGAAAGTGAAATACATGCCCATGACTGACCCCCACCAACTTTGTCGGGATGGTTGCTCTTAGAGGCTGAGGAAGGAAATGTCAGGGGTGGGGCAGCTGGAGAAGGAACTTTATATCTACATATATATTTTTCTTTATAAGAAATAAAATAGGCTGGCCATGGTGGCTCATGCCTGTAATCCCAGCACTTTGGGAGGCTGAGGCCGGCAGATCACCTGAGGTCAGGAGTTTGAGACCAGCCTGGCCAACATGGCGAAAACCCATCTCTACTAAAAATACAAAAATCAGCTGGACGTAGTGGCTGGTGCCCATAATCCCAGCTACTCAGGAGGCTGAGGCAGGAGAATCACTTGAACCTAGGAGGCAGAGGTTACAGTGAGCTGAGACTGTGACAGTGTACTCCAGCCTGGGTGACAGAGCAAGACTCCGTCCGTCTCAAAAAATAAAAAGTAACAACAAATTATTAAGATTTGTTAAATCTGGTGATGAGTACCTATGATGATATTTATTGTACTTTTCAGTATATTTGACATATTTTGTAATTAAAAAATAACATAATAATGAAGTAATGATTCAAAATTCAGATTAAAATATGGATGCCATGTAGTAATGGCAAGGGGATGGTGGTGTCAGGGATGATGCTGCAGGGCTGAGAGGGTGCCCCATTAATATCCCCATGTCTGCCTCCTCCTCACCTCCCCACCTCTAGCCCCAGTGACTCAAATTTGTCTCTGACAAAACCACTCTGAATGGTTTTGTTGGCAGAATTCCCAAGCAATTCCTTCTCTTTCCACTGCGGCCACCTTCCTAACCAGGTCCTTGGCCCTTGCAGAGAGTGTGAAAACCTGGAAAGAGCTCAGAGAAGAGCGAGACTTCATGGGGCTGGAGGTGGGCCTGGCTGGTTGGGGCCTCCAGGAGGCATTTTCCACCCCGTGCAGGCCTGGCCTGGACTCAGGTCTGATCTCGGCCTTGGGGAGATTGATGGGCACGTGCCCAGTGACTCAAGAGGCCCAAACCAGCCCACAGGACTGAAGCGTGTTGTGGAACATGCTCACACGCACAAACACTCTTGCACACATACATGAGTGCACATTTGCTGCAGTAAACATGTCCACTCATATGTGCGTACTCACACATACACCACGTGATTCCACTTATGCCATTCTGGAAGAGGTGGAACTGTAAGGTCCCAGAACAGATGAGAGGTTGCTGAGGGCTGGGTTGCGGGAGGGCTTGGCTTTGTGGGTAGGGGTGGACACGAAGGAACTTTCTGAGGTGATAGAAATGTTTCTAGATCTCTGCATACTGTGGTGGTAGCTACATGATCGGACGCATTTCCTGAAGACTCATCCAACTGTACACCTGCAAGGAGTGAATTGTGTGATATGCAAATTATCCCTCAATAAGTCTCATTTAAACAAACCAATTTTTCTAATAGTGAAAAGGTGCACTCTGTGCTCTCCTGTGAAACCCACCCAGTTATCTTTTTGTGCATTTCCATTTCCAGGGTTTCTAGTGGGCATGAGCATTTTTGCCTATGTTTATTACAGTCACGTGCTGCGTACATAATGATGTTGGAGCCAATGGTGGAGCGCTGTACTACAGTGGTCCCATAAGATTGTAATGGAGCTGAAAAATTCCTATTTCCTAGTGACGTCGTGGTCATCGTAATGTCTGAGCGCAAAATGTTACGCGTTTGTGGTGATGCTGTAAAGAAAGGTGTTGCCTGGCAGTTGTGTAAAAGTCTAGCATACACAATTATGTACAATACATAATACTTGATAATGATAATAAACGGCTTTGTTACTGATTTCTATACTTACTCTACTCTGATTTTTTTTTTTTCTGGGGGGACGGAGTCTTGCTCTGTCGCCCAGGCTGGAGTGCAGTGGCACGATCTTGGCTCACTGCAAGCTTCGCCTCCCTGGTTCACGCCATTCTCCTGCCTCAGCCTCCCAAGTAGCTGGGACTACAGGCGCCTGCCACCATGCCCTGCTAATTTTTTGTATTTTTAGTAGAGACGAGGTTTCACCATGTTAGCCAGGATGGTCTTGATCTCCTGACCTTGTGATCCACCCACCTTGGCCTCCCAAAGTGCTGGGATTACAGGCATGAGCCACTGCGCCCGGCCTACTCTGATTTTTATTGTTATTTTAGATTGTACTCCTTCTACATCTTAAAAAAATGTTAACTATAGAACAGCTTCAGGCAGGTGCTTCAGGAGGCATTTCAGAAGGCATTGTCATCACAGATGATGGCAGTTCCAAGAGTGTTACTGCCCCTGAAGATCTTCCAGAGGGACAAGATGTGGAGGTTGAAGACAGTGATATTGATGATCCTGACCCTGTGAAGGCCTACGCTAGTGTGTGTGTGTCTTAGCTTTTAACAAAAAGTTTAAAAAGTAAAAAAAAAAAAAAAAAAAAATTTATAAATAGACAAAAGCTTATAGAAAAAGGATATAAACAAAATGTTTTTGTGCAGGTGTACCATGTGTTTTGTTTTAAGCTGTGTTATTACAAAAGAGTCAAAAAGTTTAAAAAATTAAAGCATATAAGGTAAATAAGTGACAGTAAGCGAAGTTTCATTAATTAATTAATTTTTGAGATGGAGTCTCACTCTGTTGCCCAGGCTGAAGTGTAGTGGTATGATCTCAGCTTTCTTCAACCTCTGCCTCCTGGTTCAAGCGATTCTCCTGCTTCAGCCTCCCGAGTAGCTGGGATTACAGGTGTACACCACCATGCCTGGCTAATTTTTTGTATTTTTAGTATAAACGGGGTTTCACCATGTTGGCCAGGCTGGTCTTGAACTCCTGACCTCAGGTGATCCACCTGCCTCAGCCTTCCAAAGTGCTGGGATTACAGGCATGAGCCACCACACCAGGCCTAATTTTTTATTATTGAAGAAAGAAAAGTATCTTCATAAATTTAGCATTGCCTATGTTTATAGTGTTTATAACATCTACAGTAGTGTACAGTAATGTCCTACACCTTCACATTTGCTCACTGACTCACCCAGAGCAACTTCCAGTCCTGCAAGCTCCGTTCATTCTAAGTTCCCTATACAGCTGTACAGTTTTTCATCTTTTACACTGTATTTTTACTGTACCTTTTCTATGTTTAGACAGGTTTAGATACACAAGTACTTGCCATTGTGTTCCAATTGCCTACAGCATTCAGGACAGTCACATGCTGTGCAGGTTTGTAGACTGGGAGTAATAGGCCACGCCATACAGCCTAAGTGTGCAGCAGACTGTACCAGCTAAGTCTTTATGATGTTCACACCATGACAAAATCACCTAACAACACATTTCTCAGAATGTGTTTCCATTGCTAAGTAATGCGTGACTAGACTTGTTTGAAACATCTATGGTCACTGATGGGGGTAGGTGGAGAGTAGGAGGGCATGAAGGCAAACAGAAGCAGGTGGTGGGGAACAAGAGGAGGGGAGCAAGACAGGGAAGCTTCCTCCTTGGAGCTGACCACGTCCTATTTCATCCATTCTTTCTTTCCAATACAGTCTCCTAGAGCCTGCTTCTGTTCCCCTAGGCTATCTTTTCCCCCAAGATGTTCTTTTGCAGTTACCGTCCCCGGTGAAACTTAAGGACAAAATGCAGAGGGACATCAGTCTTGGGCATGGGTCTTCTTTGAGATCTGTGGTTCCACGGTGGTAACCACAAGTTGTGCTTTATAGAAGTTCTTTTTTTTTTTTTTTTTTTTTTTTTTTTTTGAGACAGAGCCTTTTTTTTGAGACAGCCCAGGCTGGAGTGCAGTGGTGTGATCTCTGCTCACTGCAACCTCCGCCTCCCAGGTTCAAGTGATTCTCCTGCCTCAGCCTCCTGAGTAGCTGGGACTACAGGTGCCTGCCACCACACCTGGCTAATTTTTGTATTTTTAGTAGAGATGGGGTTTCACTATATTGGCCAGGCTGGTCTCGACCTTCTGACCTTGTGATCCACCTGCCTTGGCCTCCCAAAGTGCTGGGATTACAGGCGTGAGCCACCGCACTTGGCCCCAGAAGTTCTTTACTGTACTATTTCAGCATCAAGTGAAATAAATTCTGTAACACTGGTGTATTAGTCAAGGCTCTCCAGAGAGACAGAACCAACGGAATATAGATAGATAGATAGATAGATAGATAGATAGATAGATAGATAGATAGATAGACAGATGAGAGGGGGGTTTATTCAGGAAATTGGCTCACGTGATTATGGAGGCTAAGAAGTCCCACCACAGGCTGTCTGCAAGGTCAAGACCCTGGGATCCTGGTAGCGTGGCTCAGCCCAAGTCCCGAGGCCTAAGAATGAGGGAAGCCGGGGGTGTAACTCTCAATCCGAGGCCAAAAGCCTCGGAACCCAGGGGGCCATTACTGTTAAGTCCTGGAGTCCAAAGGCTGGGGATCCTGGAGTTGTTGTCCAAGGACAGGAGAGGAGGAGTGTGTCCCGATGCCAGCAGCTAGGTGGACACATGACCCCTTTCTCTGTTTTTCTTCTTTCTGAGGCCCCGGCAGATTGCACGGTGTACCTTCCACACTGAAGGCAGAGTTTGCCCACCTAGTCCACACAGAGACACACTCTAACCTCCTCTGGAAACACCCTCACAGACACACAGACACACCCAAAAACAATGTGCCACTAGGCTTCTAGATATTCTTAATCCAGTCAAGCTGACGGCTAATATTAACTGTTGTGACTGGTATTGTCCTTTTGTTCTGCTACTTTTGCTGACTGGATATGTATGAAATGGCACCTCATTTAGATTTTTAAATGGACATTTTTAATTTGGTGTTCATTTTTTTTTTCCTGATTACTGGAGAGGTCAAACACCTTTTCACAGTTTCTGGTCATTTGGGTGTTTTCCCATCAATTGAGTCTTCATGTTTTCTGGCCATTTCTGCTGAGTAGTTTGTCATTTTCTTATTGTCCCACATGAACTCTTTACATCTTCTGGATACTAATCATTAGCTGGCTAGATGAATTGAAAATATCTTTTCTAGTATATTGCTCAAATTTTATCTTTCTTTATAATATCTGTCTCACAAAATCTTTTTTTCTTTTCTCTGTCACTCAGGCTGGAGTGCAGTGGTGCGATCTCGGCTCACTGCAACCTCCGCCTCCCAGGTTCAAGCGATTCTCCTGCCTCAGCCTCCTGAGTAGCTGGGACTACAGGCACGTACCACCACACCTGGCTAATTTTTTGTATTTTTAGTAGAGAAGGGGTTTCACCATGTTAGCCAGGATGGTCTCCATCTCCTGACCTCGTGATCTGCCCACCTCAGCCTCCCAAAGTGCTGGGATTACAGGCATGAGCCACCATACCTCGCCCACGAAATCTTTTACATTTAACATAATGGAGTTAACCAGATTTTACATGATGACTTGTGTCTTATTCAACAATTCTTTCCACATCCAGATGTCTCATAAATACCAGACAATATTTTCTTACAAAAAATTTAAAGTTTGCTTTTCACATTTAGGTATTTAATCTAGAATATATTATTTTAGTGTGTGATATGAGGTAGGAAAATAAAACGTACCTATTTTTCTGCAGGATAGGCAATTGTCCAGCACCATTTATTAAAAGTTGATGTTTCTCTATGAGTGTAACGCACTTCCGTGACACACCGTCACAGTATGCATAACACAGGAAGAAGTCTATTTGCAGACTGTTTTCTCCACTCGTTGATTCTTCTAAACACATTTTAAAAACAAATGCTTCTTGGCTGGGCGCGGTGGCTCATGCCTGTAGTCCCACCACTTTGGGAGGCCAAGACAGGTGGATCACTTGAAGCCAGGGGTTGGAGACCAGCCTGGCCAACATGGTGAAACCCTGTGTCTACTAAACATACAAAAATTAGCCTGGCGTGGTGACACACGCCTGTAATCCCAGCTACTCAGGAGGTTGAGGCAGGAGAATCACTTGAACCTGGGAGGCGGAGGTTGCAGTGAGCTGAGATCACGCCACTGCATTCCAGCCCAGGTGGCAGAGTGAGACCCTGTCTCAAAACAAACAAACAAACAAACAAACAAAAAACCACCAAAAACCACAAAAAAACCCACAAATGCTTCTTTAAAACAAATATATTCTATTTTTAATATTTTATTCTTTATGCTGTCATGTTTGCAGATACATTAAGTCAGGTTGAGAAATTACATTCTTATATCGCAATAAATGAGTCCTAATCTACTAACCTTATCATCTGGGCAGTAGAGCTGTATGCAGAAGAATGCCATCTTTTTGTTGTGCCTCTGAATTGCTTGTAAGGCCACATGACCAGTGCTGTTTTCTCTCACTTCTGATAATGGGGAGGAACTGGGATACTTGAGGGTCACCCTCCTAGGAAACCAGTCAGTAAATATTTGATTGATAGGTAGTTTCCATTTATCTACAAAATGAGATTACTCTTCATATGTGAGACATGGTTCTGCAAGTCCTAAGAGAGTTCATCATGCATTCTGTTGTTTATTTTTCTTTTGGAACGCCCTAGCTTTTCTTGACCAGGCAACCCATCATGAAATTTAGCATTGCAAAAATTCTGAATTGTTGGGTAATGAACCCAGTCTTCAGAATTTACATGGGGGAATCATTGTGGTGAGGTGCAGGGCACATCTTGGATTAGCTCTATTTTGTGAAATAAGATGTACTTGAGAAATAATCACTATATTTTTTCCTTTTTCTATTTTATATGTTTTGGGAATTAGTTGTGACAGTGTCTGTGGTGGGCAGAACCTTAGGTGACCTCCTCCAGGGTCCCCACATCCGGATGTTCACACCTTTGTGTGACCCCTGCCTTGACTGTGCGTGAGACCTGTGGCTTGCTTAGGCAGACACAATACGGCAAAGGTGATGGGCTGTCACTCCGGTGGTGAGGGTATGTTAGATTAGACTCTGTTGCCAGCTCACTCACTCTGGTCCCTCTCTCCCTGGCTGGCTTTGAAAAAGCAAGTTGCCATGAGTCAGTCCCAGACACGCAATGACACAAACTTTGTCTAACACACCACCCCAGGGAGCTTTCACAACCAAGCCCTGGGGACATCATGATTTCAGCCTGAGAGACCCAGAGCAGAGGCCTGGTTGAGCAATGCCTGTACTCCGACCCCCAGAACCTGAGAGATGATACATGCGTGTTGTTTGAAGCAGCAATAATGTTTGAAGTAATTGTTATGTAGCAATAGAAAACTAATACATTGACTTACAGATGATTTCTGAAAGTCATTTTCCTGGCTAATGCATACGATGGTTGGAATGTTCCAACCAATTCCACCGGGTTTGTTTTATCCAGATAAGAAATAGATAATGTTTATATTAACTCTTTCCCAGGGCCTATTACATTAACTTGTAGTTGAATGCTCACCCGCGGTTCTAAAACATGCGCTAGTTCCTACTTTCCCCTGCCTGTTTTATTTGTTCTCAAAGTCAGATGACTTGAGCTTGCAGCTCCAGCAGGGAAGGGTCCTTGTCTTTCCAGGTCACTGCTGTATCCCCCAATAACCAGCGAGGGCTGGGTACACAGCAGGTTCAAGAGATATTGGTTAAATAACTAGGTACATGAACAAATGGTTGTCATCACATTCTTAATAGTGTTATAATTCTCTGTCTCAGACTCTGGGGTAAGCGTTTTATGTACATTATCTCTCTCAATCACTACAACAGCCGTGCTGGATAAGTGGGACCAGTCTCCGCGGACAAGTGGAGACCTCGGGTTCCCAGAGTTTAGCGATCATCAGAGATCAAACGGAGATTCAGTGGCAGCACTGGAGATCGGACCGATTCTATTTAAAACACTTGTCTATTTAAGTATATTTAAGAACACACACACACATAAATATATATATACACACATATACATGCACGCAATATATACAGCATATATTTCTGTATAAATACATATATTTGTACTATACATTTATAAATAAAATTTTATTTTGGTAAATAAAATTATATATAAATTTAGCAAAAGGACTGAAATTCTCCGTCTACACTGATCTCTCTCGAGGGAGTGCAGTTTGGCAGCCCGGCTGCCCGAGGCTGTTTCCTGCCTGTGGGGTCCGTGCGGCGCCTCCGCGGGCTGTAGATGGCGCTCGAGTCCTGGCAGCGCCCGCTCCTCTGCGCCTTGGCAGCGCCTGTGTTGACTCCCGGCGCCCTTGGCTGGTGGGAGAGCGTATTTTCTCACAATTAATACAGATGGGTGGCCCCATTATGGGCGCTTCTTCATCTGTGAATTATTTCGTGTGAAGAGAAGTGCTTGCGCATGCTTAATTTCTAACCGCGATTCGGGGCCTCTGTGCCAGCCCCCGGGAGGGAAGTGGGAAAAGCTGGGGGGCTTCTAGGGATCCTGCTCGTGCCTGGAGAGCCGGGCGCCGGGGAAGGAGCGCGTGTGCGGAAGCCTCCTCTGAGCCTCTAAAGGACTCATGTCATCTCGGTAATCTCACAATATCCTTATGAAGGAGGCACGGTTATTAGACCCTTCGAAAAGAGGAAATGGCCTAGAAAAACTATTCTAAAGAATTGAACTGGAATAAAACTATTCTAAAGAAAGGGAATGGCGTGAGGCTGCTCCCGCCAGAGTCCGAGGCTAGCCCATCTCCACCTCGGGCACTAAAGGAGCGAAGAGAGCAGAGATCCCCTGCGTTTCTTCAGCAGTTAGTGCTTGTTCCTTTTTATCGTCAACAAGAAGGACCAGCAAAGCCATGGCGACATGCTGGCATCTCGTTTTGCAGGGTGTGACCCAAGGAACTGCGTGCTGTGGCCGTGGCACAGACGTCCCCAGTCCCCAGCCCCGGCCAGGTCCCCTCCTGCTGGGGTGGGGTGGGGCGGCAAGCAGTGGGGGCGGCCCATCCGCAGCCTCCCAGTGAGTGCTGGTGCCTTGGAGGGGGCCACGTGATATGTTGAGTGGGTGTCGGGGGGAAGGTGGGGGAAATGGTGTCACAGAGGTCTTTGATGTTGTAAATAATTTCTATGCCATCTTAAAGAGCCAACTGTGGAAAAATATTAGTCGAAACGGGATCCAACTAAACATGATAGGCCAACAAGGTGTGAAATGTGAGGTGTTGTATTTTACGTCGAGGCCAGCGTGAACAGATTTTAAGTCTGGTTTCTGTAGGGCTCCATGGCAAGGGGGCTGGTGGGGCACCAAAGACAGACATTTCCTGCAAGGCTGAGGGCGCCGGCCTGCCTTTCCCAGTGCTTCCAGTTCACTGCCGTTTGGCTGCCAGGAAGGCTAATGTCTGACACGCCCTCTTTTGGCATCAAATAACCAAAACTAGTCAGTTCTAGTAAATTTAGAAATTTACCAAGAGCTGGAGTCCCCTTTTCATTAAATCCATATGCTTACTGGAAGCTAACGGGGGTCATAATACAATATATTGAATGAGACAAACACTATGAAAAGAATTACACTAATTTTTGTTGTAGTAAAATCACAAACTTTCATTTGCATGATGAAAAAATACATATTGAGGCAGAACTCTACGATTGGCATGTTAGGTATGAAATTAAAGGCCTGGGAGCATGAAATCGTCCTTTAGTATCTGGGGCTGATAAGATTTTTAATCACTTTTATATGAGACCACAGATTATTTATAATCGACTCACTTAAATAGTCTAACTGATATGGTTGAGGTAACTTTAAAACATTTTTTGCTGAATGACTCACCCAGGAAGCTTTGAATCTGGAAGATTCTGCCTCTAACAGACTTCCAACCACTTCTCTAGAACCGGTGGCTTACCATTCCCTTCTCCCAGAGCCTATCCAGATGTTAACACACGACGACGCAGAAACCAGCACGCATTTATCCAGCATGCTGAAGGTAAGGACTGTGTTACCAGGATTCAGTTCAGACTTAGAAAGTGCTCAGTCTGGCCGGGCACGGTGGCACATGCCTGTAATCCCAGCACTTTGGGAGGCTGAGGCGGGCAGATCACAAGGTCAAGAGATCGAGACCATCCTGGCTAACATGATGAAACCCTGTCTTACTAAAAATACAAAAAAATTAGCTGGGTGTGGTGGTGTGTGCCTGTAGTCCGAGCTACTTGGGAGGCTGAAGCAGGAGAATTGCTTGAACCTGGGAGGTGGAGGTTGCAGTGAGTCAAGATTGTGCCACTGCACTCTAGCCTGGCGACAGAGCGAGACTCCGTCTACAAAAAAAAAAAAAAAAAAAAAAAAAAAAGAAGAAAAGAAAAGAAAGTGCTCAGTCTGTGTGGGTGGATTAAAATTGGAGATGAGTTTCATAAGGTAGCCCGAAGGATCAATCGACCTCATTTCATTCTACTCCTATGCCTCAAGAGATCCTTCCTGCATGCTTATTAGGGTATGAGAAGAAATTACTTACTTATTAAAATTCAAGAGTGGGACAGTAAAAAGAGAGTAGAGTGTTTAAAACCTTTTATTCCTTTGCTTTTCTGGAAGCAAACAGAGACTTATAGGCTATTGTTTTGCTGTTTGTCAAATATTTTGTAGGTGTGAAATTAATAATGAGTCAGGCAACTGTGCGAGATGCTGAGGATACAGCAATCAAATGCAGGGACGGTATCTTCTGGAGCTTCCAGCCTCACAGGAGGACAGTCAATCAAACGAGCACAGAGAGGGGGAAATTTAGTGACACAGAGTGCCTTCCCTAGACAGAGGTTTTTTGAGGAACAACATCCTTATTGCACAAATATTGCAGTGGTGTTGACGGAGTCCCTCCCTTTCTTCTCTCAGCCCTACATTCTATTCAGGTGCGTGGAGAATCCTGGGAATCTGCACACAGGTGCTGGGCAACACCTGGACCAAGAAACTTTTTGGGGTCTAGGGAAGCACAGGAGGTAGACCAGTAGTCTGGAGTTAGAACCACGTTTCCTGAAAAGGAGCAGAAGTTATCTAGACAGAAAGTGGGAAGTGCCTGCTGCAGGACTGGGGCTGTCCCAGGCAAAGGTTCCTCCTCGGTGCAAGCAGGAAAGGCATTGGAAGACCTGAAAGAAAATGAGTATGTCTGGAATGCAGTACCCAGAAAGGGTAGCCTGGGGAAAGAGGCAGGGAGACTGAGAAGGCCTTGATGAGAACCAGAGCCAGGAGGTGGACATAATTTACCCTCAGCCAAGGGAAGAGTCATCAAAGGGGTTGAAGCACAAGAATGACACGGCCACACCTGTGTCAGGATGAATCAGGTGGGGTATGGAGAATATATTCTCTGTGAAAACATCCAGGAAAATGCCACTGTCATGTCTCAGGTCTGTCTTATCTTAGGTTACCCAAATGACTTGCTTTATATTTTTGCTTTGTCTTGTCTTTGTTTGTAACTTAAATCCATTAAAACAGTTGCAGCCGCTGCATCACTAGGTGGTATAACCACATGCAGTATCATGTCAGGGCCACAGTAACAGAGGCCCACAGGCCGAGTACCTTAAACAGCAGAAATCTAGTTTCTCACAGTCCTGGGGGCTGGAAGTCTGAGATCAAGCTATTGGCAGGGTTGGTTTCTTCTGGGGTCTCTCTCCTTGGGTTCTAGATGGCTGTCTTCTCCGTGTCTTCATATTGCAGTCCCTCTTTACCAATTTGTGTCCTAATTTCTTCTTATAAGGACATCAGTCATATGGGATTAGGGCCCACCCAAATGGCCTCATTGAAGCTTAATTACCTCTCTGCGGACCCTCCCTCCTCATACAGTCACAGTCTGGGGTATTGGAGATTAGGACTTCAACATATGAATTTTGGGGTGTTGTGGGGAGATGCAGTTTATCCCATAACACTCTACTTAAGTAAAATGCTTTTTCCAAAATGTTGCTGCAGAAGAATTTTGAAGCAAAGGAGCCAACAAATTTTCTCTTGAAACTCTGGGAGCTCAAGCAGTCCAATTTAATTAAATTCATTTACTACTAAGTAAATGCCTGTGCACACAATGTACTCCTCTAGAGAAAAGCCTATTGTCACTGCATCTATATAATTGAATCACAAAAGATGCCTCCCTTGCCTCCCCCCACGCCATCAAGTCCTTTCATCTGTTTCCAATAAGGGAAAAAAGAGAACTCTTCTGGGCATGTTTACATTTTATCTTTAAACAAAACTAAATGGAATTTGACATGGTAAAGCCAGGCCATGTTACATATCAATGTGAAATGAAACGTTTCTCGGGCCAGGTGTTGCCCAGCACCTGTGTGCAGGTTCCCAGGATTCTCCACGCACCTGAATAGAATGTGGGGCCCAGAGAGGAAAGGGAGGGACTCAGTCAGCACCACTGCAATATTTGTGCAAGAAGATGTTTCTTAAAAAACCTTTAGTGCCTTTTATTGACTTTAAAAGTCACAGTTTTCCTTAAATACTTCTTTTTCCCAATTTCACTGTAACTTACATCATATTCTCTTACATAAAAATTACTCTCCAGACTGAAATTCTTCATTCTGACATCTGTCCAAAAATGTTTCTTCTGCAACTTGCAGTCGTAACTACTTGTTTTAATACCACCACCTCCTTCTTCCTGCTGTCACGTTCTTGCAGAAAAGGCAAGTGAAAAGAAAACATTCCTCCTGGGATCCCAGGAAATGCAGTATAAATCTCTGTCGAGTGATTTGCCATATTTATGTAACCAGTAGAAAACAAACACAGACATGTACTACAATCAGGAAGCTCCAGTTTGCTCTATTTTTAAAAACCTTGGTCTGCTTTCTTCAGAAAGAGAGTCAGCTGAAGTCAGAGTTTATAGATTCCTTATCAGCAAGGCCATCCCCTACAATGATCAGCCTAAAGTCCTCCCATTCAAAAAGTTAGGGGACAAAAACTAGACCATATGCCCAAGTTAGCATAGTCCATATTTTCAGGAGTTCATAGCCCTATCCTATAGTGCAAAAGTGGGAATGACAGAATTTAGTGTTATAGCTAGAGTAGCGTGGTGTGACAGGAAAAAAAAAATCGCTGACAAAGAATGACATTTTGAAGCAGAACTTTATAATGAACTTGTTATGTACGAAGTGGAAGGCCTATGTCTTGAAATCTTCATTAAGTATCCAGGGCTGATGTTTCCCTGAGATTTTCAATCTCTCTGATATGAGACCAGAGATTATTTGCAATTTAGTTATTGAATATTCTAAATTACTGGGTCATAGAGTCACTTTACATTTACTGTAACCCCAATGGGAATTTTGAGAGAGATCAGCAATTTTATTCTAGACATTTTCTGGAAGAACAAAAAAAATAGCTAATATATAATGGTTTAGAAAAATAAAGAAAAATGGAGATTTCTTTTCCTTACCAGAAGCAAAACATACTCTAGAGACTTCTACTTCTGGGGAAATGAAGTAGATGCACATTTACTTAGTCCCACCAATAGGTATAACTAAAAACCCTGGAGATTGTATATAAGATAAACATCAGAATACTTCGATTGGCAGACAGAAGAAAGCAGACTGTTTAGGGGCTTTGGGACCCAAGGAAGACTTGGTGATGAGTTCTCTGGGCTTTCTTTTGCCTCTTATGTCTTAGACTGGATACTGGAGAAGCCAGCAGTCTGTAAACACCAATGTGCCCTGGACAAAAAAAGTTCCAAAAAAAGATCTGCTTCCCCTAGACAGAGGATCAGCAAAGGGGCAGCCTAGCAAGACAGAAAACTTTCAGACAATAACTACTGCATTCAAACCAAATGACACAGAAAAAACTATGGCAGGACTCCAGCACTTACATGTGGCTGAGTGGGGACCCTTGATTTTCACTCCTGACAGGCCAACAGGGAGCCCCAGCTCCCCGCTGGGTGGCAGCAAGCCACCTTGTGTCTGGTGGCATCAGTGGATATCACATGGGGAGCCTGTGCTTCCAACCTGACTCACATATAACAAGGTTCCTCCTTCTTTCAAAGGTGGTGTCCCAAGAGGCTTAGTAGAAAGTCAAGACCTTCTCTATCCATCAGTAGGAGAAAGGCCCCACCCCCAGCTGCCTGAAAGAATGGCTAAATTCCAAGTTCAGAAACACCTGAAGCCTAAAGAATATGCTCCCAAATAATCCATAGGTCAAAGAGAGAGTCTCAAGAGAAATAAAAAAATACTGACCTAAATGAAAAGGAAAACACATCTTATCAAAATGTGTGGGACACAGCTAAAATAATGCTGAGAGAGAAATTTATAGCAATAAATGTTTACATAAGAAAAAAGTAAAATTCTCAGCCAGGCGCGGTGGCTCACGCCTGTAATCCCAGCACTTTGGGAGGCTGAGGCAGGGGGATCACAATGTCAGGAGGTTGAGACAAGTCTGGCCAATACGGTGAAACCCCGTCTCTACTAAAAATACAAAAATTAGCCAGGCATGTTGGCATGAGCCTGTAATCCCAGCTACTTGGGAGGCTGAGGCAGGAGAATTACTAGAATCCAGGAGGTGGGGGTTGCAGTGAGCCGAGATCATGCCACTGCACTCCAGCCTGGGTGACAGAGCGAGACTCTGTCTCGGAAAAAAAAAAAAAAAAAGAAAAAAGTAAAATTCTCAAATGAGTAATTTAAGCTCTCACTACAAGAAACTAGAGAAAGAAGAGCAAAATAAATCTATAGCAAGCAGAAGGAAAAAAATAATAAAAGATAAGAGCAGGAATCAGTGAAATCATGAGCAGAAAAACAGTAGAGAAAACCAATGAAACAAAAAGTCTGGTTCTCAGGAAAGATCAATAGAATTGACAAATCTCTAGTAAGACTAATAAAAAAGAGAGAAGACTCAAAAGTTGATATCAGAAATGAAACAGAAGATATGATGATAGATCCTGTAAACATCAGAAGGACAATAAATGAATACTATGAACAACTGTACATACATAAATTTGACAACTTAGGTGAAATGAACCAATTTCTCAAAAAGTACACTGCCACAATTAACCTAACATGAAATAGATAATTTAAATATCCGTTTGAAATTAAGACAGTTGAATTTGTAATTTAAAACTCCTCCAAAAGTAATCTCTAGGCCCAGATGATTTCACTGGAGAATTTTACCAACTGTTTAAAAAAGAATTATCACCAATTCTACAAAAATCTTCAAGAAAATAAAAAGGAAGGAAATACGTTCAACTCATTTTATGAAGCCAGTATTACCCTAATACCAAAATCAGACAAAGACAGTAAACAAACAAACAAACAAACATAGACCAATATCCTCATGAAGATGCAAAAATTCTTAACAAAAAATTAGCAAATACAATTCACTGCTGTATAAGAATAATTATATACCATATTCAAGGTATGCAAGGCTGGTTCAATATTTTAAAAATCAATCAATGTAATCCACTATATTTATAGGCTAAAGAAGAAAAATCACACGATCATATCAATTCATGAAGAAAAGCATTTGAATAGTTTAACACTTGTTTATGATACAAAATTCTCAGAAAACTAAGAGTAGAGGGGAACTTCAACTTGATAGAGAATATGTACAAAAAACTGTACAGCTAAAATCATACATAATGGAGAAAATTGGAATGGTTTTCTACTATGACTGGGAACAAGGCAAGAATATCCACACTGTCATTGCTCTATTCAGCAAAGTGCTGGAAGTTCTAGGCACTGTAAGAAGCAAGAAAAGGAAACACAAGTCACGTAGACACTAAAGAAAGATATAAAACTGCTTCTACTTGCAGATGACATGATGATCTATGTAGAAAGTCCCAAGGAAAATACAAAACCAAAAAACCCAAACTCTTGGAACTAATAAATGAGTTTAACAACTCATTTATAAGCAGGATATAAGGGCAACTGTAAAAAAAAGTCAGTTTTATTTCTATATGTTAGCAAGGAACATGTGTAAAACAAAATTTAAAATACAATGCCAGTTACAATCACTCAGAGAATAATGAAATACTTGGGCATAAATTGAAGAAAACATGTATGGGACATGTATGCTAAAAACTACAAAGTACTGGTTGAAAATCTAAATTAATGGAGACCGAATTTGGGTTCATGGATTGGAAGACTCAACATAGTGAGAATGTCTATTCTTTCCAAATTAGCAGACAGGGTTAGCACCATTCCTATCAAATCCTAGGAAGATTTTTTAAATAGATATAGACAAGACCATTCTAAAAATCTATATGAAAAACAAAGGAACTAGAATAACTAAAATAATTCGGGAATAAAAGAAAAAAGTGGAAGCAATCACTTTACCCAATTTCAAGACTTACTATGTGGTTACAATAATTGGTACTGTGGTGCTGGCAGAGGGATAGACATATAGGTCACCGGAACAGAATAGTGGACTCGCAGGTAGTTTCACAAGTACGGCCAATTGATTTTTGACAGAGTTGCAAAAATAATTTGATGGAGAAAGGATAGGCTTTTCAACAGATACTGCTGGAGCCATTGGATATCCACAGACAAGAATGGAATGGAATAGAATAGAATAGAATAGAATAGAATAGAATAGAATAGAATAGAAGTAGAATAGACATAAACCTCACACCTAATGCAGAGGTTTACTCAAAATGGATCATAGATTTAAAAATAAACCATAAAGCTTTTAGAAAAAAAAAAAGGAAGAAAATATTTGGGTCCTAGGGCTTGGTAAAGAGTTTTCAGTCATGCCATCAAAACACATTCCATATAACCAGCTTAGCGAGGAACCTAAATGAGCTGAAAATCACAGCACGAGAACTTCATGAAGCACACACAAGTATCAATAGCTGAATCAACCAAGTGGAAGAAAGAATATCAGAGTTTGAAGACCATCTTGCTGAAATAAGGCAGGCAGACAAGATTAGAGAAAAAGGAATGAAAAGGAATGAATGAAACCTCCGAGAATTATGGGACAATGTAAAAAGACTGAAGCTATTATTAATCGGAATACCTGAAAAAGAAACAGGGAGAATGGAACCAAGTTGGAAAACACACTTCAGGATATTACCCAGGAGAACCTCCCAACCTAGCAAGATAGGCCAACATTGAAATTCAGGAAATACAGAGAACATCATTAAGATACTCCACGAGAAGATCAACCCCAAGACACATAATTGTCAGATTCTCCAAAGTCAAAATCAAGGAAAAAATCTTAAGGGCAGCCAGAAAGAAAGGCAGGCCACCTACAAAGGGAAGCCCATCAGATTAACAGTGGATCGCTCAATAGAAACCCTACAAGCCAGAAGAGAGTGGGGGCCAATATTCAACATTCTGAAAGAAAAAAATTTTCAACCTAGAACTTCATATCCAACCAAACTAAGCTTCATAAGCGAAGGAGAAATAAAATCATTTTCAGAAAAGCAAATGCTGAGGGATTTCATCACCCCAGGCCTGCCTTGCAAGAGCTCCTGAAGGAAGCACTAAATATGGAAAGGTAAAACCAGTACCAGCCACTGCAAAAACACCAAAATATAAAGACCAATGACACTATGAAGAAACTGCACCAACTAGTGGGCAAAATAACCAGCTAGCATCATGACGACAGGATCAAACTCACACGTAACAATACTAACCTTAAATGTAAATAGGCTAAAAGCCCCAATTAAAAGACACAGACTGGCAAATTGGATACAGTCAAGACCCACTGGTGTGCTGTATTCAGGAGACACATCTCACATGCAAAGACACACATAGGCTCAAAATAAAGAGATGGAGGAAAATTTACCAAGCAAATGGAAAGCAAAAAAATAAAAAGAAAGAAAAAAAAAGGCAGGGGTTGCAATTTTAGTCTCTGACAAAACAGACTTTAAACCAACAAAGATCAAAAAAGACAAAGAAGGGTATTGCATAATGGTAAAGGGATCAATTCAACAAGAAGAGCTAACTATGCTAAATATATATGCACCCACTACAGGAGCACCCAGATTCATAAAACAAGTTCTCAGAGACCTACAAAGAGACTTAGACTCCCACACAATAATAGTGGGAAACTTTAACACCCACTGTCAATATCAGACAGACCAACGAGACAGAAAATTAATAAGGATATTCAGAACTTGAACTCAGCTCTGGATCAAGTTGGACCTAATAGACGTCTACAGAACTCTCCACCCCAAATCAACAGAATATACATTCTTCTCAGTGCCACATGTCACTTACTCTAAAATTGACCACATAATTGGAAGTAAAACACTCCTCAGCAAATGTAAAATAACTGAAATCATAACAAACAGTCTCTCAGATCACAGTGCAATCAAATTGGAACTCAGGATTAAGAAACTCACTCATAACCACACAACTACCTGGAAATTGAACAACCTGCTCCTGAATGACTCCTGGTAAATAAAGAAATTAAGGCAGAAATCAAGAAGTTCTTTGAAACCAATGAGAACAAAGAGAAAATGTATCAGAATCTCTGGGACACAGCTAAAGCAGTGTTAAGAGGGAAATTTATAGCACAGAATCCCCATGTCAGAGAGCTAGAAAGATCTCAAATCGATGCCCTAACATCACAATTAAAAGAACTAGAGAAGCAAGAGAAAACACATTCAAAAGCTAGCAGAAGACAAGAAATAACTAAGATCAGAGCAGAACTGAAGGAGATTAGAGACATGAAAAAGCCTTCAAAAAATGTATGAATCCAGGAGCTGGTTTTTTAAAAAAAAATTAACAAAATAGACGACCTCTAGCTAGACTAATAAAGAAGAAAAGAGAGAAGAATCAAATAGACACAATAAAAAATGATAAAGAGGATATCACCACTGACCCCGCTAAGTACCAACTACCATCAGAGAATACTATAAACACCTCTACGCAATAAACTAGAAAATCTAGAAGAAATTGGTAAATTCCAGAACACATACACCCTCCAAAGACTAAACCAGGAAGAAGTCGAATCCCTGAATAGACCAATAACAAGTTCTGAAATTGAGGCAGTAATTAATAGCTTACCAATAAAAAAAAACCCAGGGCCAGATGGATTCACAGCTGAATTCTACCAGAGGTACAGAGAGGAGCTGGTACCATTCCCTCTGAAACTATTCCAAACAATTGAAAAGGAGGGAATCTTCCCTAACTCATTTTATGAGGCCAGCATCATCCTGATACCAAAACCTGGCAGAGACACAACAACAACAACAACAAATAAACTTCAGACCAATATCCCTGATGAACATCAATGCAAAAATCCTCAATAAAAATACTGGGAAACCAAATCCAGCAGCACGTCAAAAGCTTACCCACCACAATCAAGTAGGCTTCATCTCTGGGATGCAAGGCTGGTTCAAAATATGCAAATCAATAAACGTAATCCATCACATAAAAAGAACCAATGACAAAAACCACATGATTATCTCAATAGATGCAATGCAGAAAAGGCCTTCAATAAAATTCAACATCCCTTCATATTAAAAACTCTCAATAAACTAGATATTGAACATTATCTCAAAATAATAAGAACTATTTATGACAAACCCACAGCCAATATTATACTGAATAGGCAAAAGCGAAGCATTTCCTTTGCAAACCTTCTGCACAGAAAAAGAAACTATCATCAGAGTGAACAGGCAACCTACAGAATGGGAGAAAATTTCTGCAATCGACCCATCTGACAAAGACCTAATATCCAGAATCTACAAGGAACTTAAACAAATTTACAAGAAAAAAACAACCCCATCGAAAAGTGGGCAAAGGATATGAACAGATACTTCTCAAAGGAAGACATTTATGCAGCCAACAAACATATGAAAAAAAGCTCAACATCGCTGATCATTAGAGAAATACAAATCAAAATCACAATGAGATACCATCTCATGCCAGTCAGAACGGCGATTATTAAAAAGTCAAGAAACAATAGATGCTGACGAGGCTGTGGGGAAATAGTGCTTTTACACTGCTGGTAGGAGTGTAAATTAGTTCAACCATTGTAGAAGACACTGTGGCAATTCCTCAAGGATCTAGAACCAGAAATAGCATTTGACCCAGCAATCCCATTACTGGATATATACCCAAAGGAATAGAGATCATTCTAGTATAAAGACACATGCACACGTATGTTTACTGCAGCACTATTTACAATAGCAAAGACATGGAACCAACCCAAATGCCCATTAGTGATAGACTGGATAAAGAAAATGTGGCACATATATGCCATGGAATACTATGAAGCCATAGAAAGGAATGAGATCGTGTCCTTTGCAGGGACATGGATGAAGCTGGAGGCCATCATCCTTAGCAAACTAACACAGGAACAGAAAACCAAACACGGCATGTTCTCACTCATAAGTGGGAGTTGAACAATGAGAACACATGGACACAGGGAGGGGAACAACACACACCGGGGTCTGTCAGGGGATGGGGGGTGAGGGGAGGGACAAATAACTAATGCATGTGGGGCTTAAAACCTAGATGACGGGTTGATGGGTGCAGCAAACCACCATGGCACACATATACCTATATAACAAACCTGCACGTTCTGCACATGTATCCTGGAACTTTAAAACAAACAAACAAACAAACACATTCTATAAAAGCAAAAAGTTAATACATTGGACTTTATCAAAAGTTAAAACTTTTGTTTTGCAAAAGACCCTGATAGGAACGTGGAAAGACAAGCTACTGGGATAAAATATTTGCAAGCCACATCTGGCGCAGGACTCATATCTAGAATAACAAAGAACTCTCAGAAATCAGCATTAAAAGACAACAATCCAACTGGAAAATGGACAAAAGGCAAGAAGAGGATATGCAGATAGAAAATGAGTGCTTGAAAAGGTATTCAACGTCAAACCATATTGGGATATCACTATACATTTATTAGGCCAACTAAACTTTAAAAATAATGGTAACTCTAAATGCTGGTGGAGAAGCAGAAAAACGGTATCTTTCATACATTGCTGGTGAGGATGTAAAATGATACAAGCATTCTATTTTTTGTTTTGTTTTGTTTTTTGATATGGAGTCTCACTCTGTCACCCAGGCTGGAGTGCAGTGGTGTGATCTCAGCTCACTGCAACCTCCGCCTCCTGAGTTCAAGTGATTTCCTGCCTCAGCCTCATGAGTAGCTGGGATTACAGGTGTGCACCACCATGCCCAGCTAATTTTTATATTTTTAGTAGAGACGAGGTTTCACCATGTTGGTCAGGCTGGTCTCAAACTCCTGACCTCGTGATCTGCCCGCCTCGGCCTCCCAAAGTGCTGGGATTACAGGCGTGAGCCACCGTGCCAGCCAATACAGGCATTCTTAAAAGTCATTTGGCAATTTCTTAGAAAACTAAGCTTACACTAACCATAAAATCTAGCCACTGATTTCCTGGGCTTTTATTTCAATCAGCTCAATGAAAACTTATATTTGCACAAAACCTATAAATAATTGTTTATAGCAGCCTTATTTGTATTACCAAAAAGTGGAAACAATGACAGGATTCCTCAATGGATGAATGGTTAAGCAAACTAGGATATATCATACATGGAATACTACTCAGAAATAAAAAAGAAAACAAGTTATTGAAACATACAATACTTGAATGGGTCTCAAAAACATGCTGAGCAAAAATGTCAATATCAAAAGGGCCAACACTGCATGATTTCGTATATATATAAAAATACATATTTTGTTAATTCAAGAATGCTGTGTGTGTATATATATACAATTTTGTTAAAAATTCAAGAATTAACAAAATTCTATAGATAGATACACACACCTTCTTATTAATTCAAGAATTAACAAAATTGTAGAGATAGGAAGCAGATTAGTGATTGCCAGGGATTAGGAATGATGGGGTGGGAATGGAGGTGGGTGTGAACAGGGAGATCTTTGTAGTGATGGAATACTTTTGTATCTTGATTGCAGTGGTACTTACACAAATTTGCACATGTGATAAAATGACATAGAGCTATAAGCACACTGTACAATGTCAAGGTCCTTGTTTTGCTATTGTACTATAGTTATGTAAGATATAAGTAACCATTGGGGGAAACTGGGGAAGGGTACCTGGGACTTCTATGTATTATTTTTGCAACTTCTTATCATCTATAATTATATTTTTAAGAGCACCAACCCTAACATAATATAAAGTTACAAAAATTAAAGCAATGTGGTAATAGCAGAGACCAGTGTATCAGTGGAACAGAGTCCAAAGTTCAAACAATTAAATATGGAAATTTCACATATAATAGTAGTGGCATTTCAAATCTAAAAGTATGGATTATTTAATTGAGAAAATAGGCAAGCCAAAACAAAACAAGTTAGTCACATGTATAAATTCATAAATATGTCAAGTCACTCACATAAATTCCAGAAGGTTTCAATAACTAAAATCCTAATTATCAGTGGCAGAAAACATATATTATTTTCATAATATCCAGGTGGAAGGAGTCTTTCTAAGCATGATATAGAATTCGGAAGCCTGAAGGAGAAGGATAACAGAGCTGATATTTAGAAATAATACTTTGTGATTCTGGAAGCTATACTATAAATAAAGCAAGACCTATGACAAATTTTGAGGATATATTTGGGACACAGTAATGAATAATACATAAAATACCTAATGAGAAAGAAAATAGATAATAGAAAAACAGACCAAAGGAATGAACAGAGAAAAAAATTAAAATGCCAAAGAAGCTCAATGTTACCAATAATTAATGAAATCCAAATGAATATACTAAGACATCATAAAACATTTATCACAGTGGCAATGATTTAAAATAACTCACTATACCTAGTGTTCTGAGGATGTGAGGAAATGGGCACTCATAGAAAGTTCGTGGGTAGCGTCGCTATTTGGATGACAATTTGGCAATAGCTAGAAAAATTTAAACATCATGACCCTTGGATCCAGTAGTTTAAATTTTAGAAATTTATCTCATAAAATTATTTGGGCAAGGGTGTCAGCATATCTGGAAGAGGAAGTTATTTGCAGCACTGTTTCTAATTTTCCAAAGTTAAAACCACTATAGACTCTTTCACTCAACAGTTAATTGGTACATACAATGTGTTGTCTCCATTTATTAGAATTATTGTGCAGATTTTAAGAATTGTGGAACAAAACTACATATACCATAAATACTTGCAAATGCAGGGGGTATCAGTTTAAGTGAAACTTGAATTTTAAAGCATGAGGATGCAATTTAAGCTTCTATCATATATTAGCAATTGTACATGGGTGTGTGTCTATATATATAGATACACCTATGTACACACACACACACACACACACACACACACATATTTACGCATACTTATGTAATCATAGAATCCCTTTACAAAAGGATCCAGAATAAATAATAAATCTTTCTAGAGAGAACTGTGGGATGGGGAATTTGGGAAAGATTATTTATTTTCTTTAATATACTTTTAAACTTTATTAAAGTGATGTAAAAATATTGCTTAAAATGTGAAATGAGACCGGGCGCAGTGGCTCACGCCTATAATCCCAGCACTTTGGGAGGCTGAGGCAGGTGGATCACGAGGTCAGGAGTTCAAGACCAGTCTGGCCAAGATGGTGAAACTGTGTCTCTACTAAAAAAACAAAAAAATTAGCTGGGCGTGGTGGTGGGTGCCTGTAATCCCAGCTACTCAGAAGGCTGAGGCAGAGAATTGCTTGAACCTGGGAGGTGGAGGTTGCAGTGAGTCGAGATCATGCCACTGCACTCTAGCCTGGGTGACAGAGCCAGACTCCATCTAAAAAAAAAAAAGGGAATGGTATACAAAGTTTAAAGTGAAAACTGGCCTTAGATGTTAGATGTGGGTTAAAAGTCTCCAGGTGGTGGCTCTGGCCTGTAATCCCAGCACTTTGGGAGGCCGAGATGGGTGGATCACCTGAGGTCAGGGGTTCAAGACCAGCCTGGCCAGAACAGTAAAACTCCATCTCTACTAAAAAAATACAAAAATTAGCCAGACATGGTGGTGGACGCCTGTAATCCCAGCTACTTGGGAGGCTGAGGCAGGAGAATCGCTTGAACCTGGGAGGCGGAGGTTGCAGTGAGCCGAGATCATGCCATTGCACTCCAGCCTGGGGTGACAAGAGCGAGACTCCATGTAAAAAAAAAATAAAGGTCTCCAGTTAAAGATAATTTGACAAGGGAAAAACCACTATTGAAATAAAGTAAGTAACACTGGAAATAAAAAAGAAGAAAATATGAATTAGGCCAACACAGGGATCTACACATCAGCATAGACCTAGACTTACCTTCCTGTTTTGTGACTCTATGACACAGCACTGTTGAGCGGTTACTGATATTTCCAAAGGAACTAAACCTCTTCAGGTGGTTTAAGAGACAACATGGCCAGGAAGTGGGACCGCAGGACCTGGCAGCAGGGCGTGATCATCTCCCTGGTGTATGAAGGGCAGTGATCAGACAGACACCATCAATGGGAGAGTGTGCTTGTTCAGCTGTTGTAGTCAATGGGAGTAACTGCTTGTGTCTTCCTTGGTTGGGGACAAGGAAAGAAGGAGGAAAGAAGGAGGTGCCCAGAGTATAATGTAACAACAATTTCTCCAAGACACCAACAGCCTGCTAGAACTTCCGCCTTGTTTCCACTGTTTCACAAAGATGCCATACAAAATGGTGGCACTTGGAATGCTTTGTCCCTAAAGCAACACGAGGCCGAGCGCGGTGGCTCATGCCTGTAATCTCAGCACTTTGGGGGGCCGAGGCGGGTGGATCATGAGGTCAGGAGATCAAGACCATCGTGGCTAACACAGTGAAACCCCATCTCTACTAAAAATTCAAAAAATTAGCCGGGCGTGGTGGTGGGTGTCTGTAGTCCCAGCTACTCGGGAGGCTGAGGCAGGAGAATGGTGTGAACCCGGGAGATGGAGCTTTCAGTGAGCTGAGATCGTGCCACTGCACTCCAGCCTGGGTGACAGAGCGAGACTCTGTCTCAAAAAAAAATTAAAAAAAATAAAAAAATAAAATAAAGCGACACGATGGACCTAGTAAAGGTCTTCAAGGGTCTGTGTTGCATCAGCTTCAGACTTTCCATGGCAAGCCATAAAAAGAATCTAAAATATGCTCATTCTTGAGAGACCCTAGTCTCTAAATTTCAGATTTCACACATCATTCAAATTATTAATCTTCTTTTCAAATGGTTCTGGGGACCGCCAAGCATGCGATTTTTTCTTAGTATTTTATGTCTTTCTTTTTTACGTTAACAAGCAGCAGTGTTTTCTTTGTGGAATTAAACTCCACAAAAATATCTTTGCAAGCAGATTTGTGTCTTGATAACAATCTGTTGATTAATTTGGCGGTAGAATGCTGATGGAGTGCGTGAATCTCTGGGAAGACTTCCAGCAGATACACATCAGTGTAATTAAACGCTTCCAGCATTTTACAACTGTCAGGATGATGTTTTACCATTCTGACACCCAGCCTGGCTTCAGCTTGAAGGGGAGTGTGTGTGTGTCTTTCACCGCAGTTCATGTGCTAGTTCACACTGCCTACCCCTCAGTTTCTTTCCTGGATTCCTTGAAGACGCAAGAGGGTTGAAGATACATGAGGTTGAAGATACAGGAGGGATACAGAAATATCCGAGGGTTGCAGCTTCATCTGTTCTTCCATCTTTCCCCAAAGATCCTTCTCTGCTTTCTCCAAAGGTGATGCTGATAATCAGGAAGGCAGTCCAAGAGGTGGGGAAGAGGGGAAGAGCATAGGTTTTTGGAGTGAAACAGAACCATATTTAAATCCTGGTGCCATTTACAAGTTTTGGGACAGAATCTATTTCCTCTTGTGTCTAATGGAGTAAGAACATTTTAATAGGAGACTTGGGAATTAGAAGGCAATGTTTGGGAAGTGCTCATTAGTCCAGGGACATGGATATATGGGACTTAGAAGTCCTTAGTAGTTGCTAAAATGCAAAAGGCTTTTACACTTTTTGAAACAGCTTTACTTATATTGAATCTTGTAATCCCTCCAGCAAGCCAGGGAGGTGGGTGGGGCAGAGGTGTTTACATCCTCTTCGAGAGGAGGAATATGAGGCATTAGTCAATTGCACAACTTGGCCAGGGCTTTCCAGACCAAACCACCCTTTGGTGCCTTTGGGATGGGGTGGAGAGGGATCAGAGACGCGAACACAAAGACTGAGCGTGAGGGTGAGGTGAGAGTGTGGAGGATGACTCTGGGACCTGCTGAAACCTTTGGGACTACCTTTTGGCATAGTCGATGGGGCAGCCCAGGAACTCTTTACTGTTTGTCTTTTTGTGAGTCTTAGCGTTGACTCCCCAGCATGGTAAATCCTCTTCATAACAGGAGTGATTGCACCCAGGGGATTCATTTTTGGGAAGTAGAAAAGAAACAGGGATTATTTAGATTCCATGTCTTAAAATTCGTGGTAATTCTACCTGTGTGGGACTGCAGTTTAACTTTGCTCTGTCTTGTGCATCATAGAATCCCGAAAGCTAGTACAGTTTAACCCTTTTCTGTTATTCCATAGCCACGTGGTAATGCCTGACCTGATAGCATTTTGAAGTTCATGCAGTGCTCTCGGATATGTCATTCACAGTGAGCAGAACGTTCATTAGGACAGGGGTTTTTGAGTGTTGTGGCCACAGTCTTGCAGCTACTTATAGCAGAGTTAGGACAGGGCTCAAATGTCTTTCTCATCTCTGCTCAAGCCATCTGGAGATGGGAAACGTCTGTGGTCCACACATTGCAGCCCATGATAAAAGACACCTCCTTGCATTGAAATTGCTTCTGCTTGATTCTCATCCATCAACTATGCATTCTTTATTTCAAATATGTGTTTGTGTAGCTTCTGTTGGTAACTTATGAAACAGAGCCAAATCCCTCCTCTAGAGATATCTCTTCACAAATTTAGCGACAACCCTCACGCACCCCCCATGCCTTCCTTTGTGCTCCTCTTTTCAGGCCATGACCCCCAGCCTGTGTGTCCCCCACACAGTGACGAGGGTTTTAGACCCCTCCCATTCTAGTTGCTTTGCTTGAGAGACATCCCAGTCCGTCCTTTACAACATGCTTCCTGCCCACAGCCATGGTGCTCCAGTATGGTCTAAACCTTCAAAGTAGAGCATGTGTTCATCCTTGGGTCTCCAGCCCCAGACCCTGGCAGACTGAAATACCCAAACAGAGAGCAGGCAGTCACGGCATCCTAACCTCCACTTGCTCCTTGGCTTTTGTTCTACCTTCAGTGCTTCACTGTATTTTGGCCACGGGTTTGGGCACCACTGGATCCTGCACTTACTCTCTTACATGTGGACTTCTGTCTTCCCTCTGCTTGGTAGTGAGTTTGGGCATCGCCATCATCTCCTTGGATGAGAAACCCCTGGATACCTGGAACCCTACGGACAGGTTCATCCCAGGCAATGAGAGCTGGAGAATACACACGTGGAAGAACTATGACCACCTTTGTTCTATATATGGCAACTTTTTAATACACCTATGGCCACATTAGCTTTGTGAGAAGCTATTGAATGAGTTTACGGTTCACTAAGCCCCACCTCCTAGTCTTCATGTGTCTTGTTTTGTACATGCTGTTCATTTCTTGGATTCAAGTAGAGGACTTCATGTTTATTCCTCTTATACTTTCCTTTGTAATATCTACTGTTCATCCTGCAGTTCAAGGTATTCTCGGACTCCAACCTGTCATCGTGAGTACTCACCATTCTTCAAAGCTTCCAATCATTCATTAAGCTTAGTTAAATTTAATTAATTTATTTTAACATTTTGCTTTCAATTCCTTTTTATTTCAATAGCTTTAGTTGTGCAAGAGGTTTTTGGTTACATGGGTGAATTGTATAGTAGTGGAGTCTGGGCTTCTAGCGTACTCATCCCCCAAATAGTGTACAGCGTACCCGATCGGTCATTTCAAAAGGTTTCCCAGAATCTTTTCTTCTTTTCCACTTTTGCAATCTTTCCTCACTTCCCCCTTCTTTCCCACCTAATAGAGAAGTGACATTTCACTTCTCTTTTACACACACACACACACACACACACACACACACACACACACATACATTTTCTTCACTTGGGATATAAGAGTCAATGTTAAACCAGGAGTAACCTCACCAAGAAATTTGGCAATTAGGTAAGGACCATAAAGCTCCACAGGAGAACTACCAGAGGCTTGCAAATCTCCAAGGCGTGGTCCATGTGAGAAATCTTGGAGGAGTAGGAAGGCCCTGGGAACTCCACTGTGAGAAAATGCAACTCAAAATCAAGGAATGCCGCTTCAAGTCAATTCGTCAAAAATACATGATGGAGAAGAAGTAGAAGTAAAAAGTTTCCACTAAATGTCAAGGATATTACACAGGGGACTAAGAAAGCATTTACCATTTGAGTTCCTGAGGAATCCATCAAAGGAGGCAATGTATGCACAAATTCTGCTTGAAGTGTGTTTGGGACCTGGGACCAAGACAGCGGCAGGAGACAGGAGAGGAATGTGGCGCACTCCAAAACTCAGGACAAAGTGCCTGCTAGTTTCTAACATGAGTGAAACAGGTTTATCCAGCATTTCAACACTCATTTTAAATGCATTTAAATTCAGTGTTAATGTTGGAACATTTCAGTGATGCATCGTATCACTGTAGTGTTTTCTTCACCATGTCAAATGCCTCCTGGAAGTTCCTGCTGCCCATAGAGTGAATCTAAGCTCTGTTACTGGGACATCCAGTCCACATATATGAAACATTTCTAGTATTTAGTATACAACCATATTTAGAAATATATAATATATAAAATATATCAGAGATTGACAAACTATGACTCATGGGCCCACTACATGTTTTTGTAAATAAACTTTTATTGCCACACAGCTATACTCATTCATTTACATATTGTTTATGGCTGCTTTTGCTACGATGGCAGAGTTCAGTAGTTGCAACATAGGCCATATGTCCTGCAAGGCTGAAATATTTACTATCTCCCCCTTTAAGATAAAGTTTGCCCAACCTGTCATACATAATATAACATATGACATCTAACATGTAATATATCACACATGCTATATTTATAAAAATAATAATATACTAAATTGTGTATAATATGAAATATATGATAATATATCATATTAGATCATAACTCATCTATAATTCTTATACTTGTCTAAAGTTTGGGGATAAGGTATTTGGTGGTTTGCACAATCGAACCATTAGAGCATTTCCCTAGTTTAGAGAAATTGTTGTGTTAGAACATCTAAAAATTGTGGGTTTGGTTAGAATATATGGAAACTGTTCTGCAAAAATAGTGATTGATACAGCAATTAAAAAACACAATTCTAGTTATGTTTTCCAAATAAATGGTTAACAGATGGAGTAACTTTTAAGGCTGGTTCACATCAAGGACTGTGGTTCAAATTGGGGTTGAGTGATTGATTCTCTCAGCCATTTAGAGAACACACACATTGGCGCAAAGTCAGTAGATTTGAATTTTGTGGCCCAGGCAGAGAAACAGCTTTGGGGTCTAGAGCATTCAAAAGCTAATTTGGGAGGAAATGGTATAAAAATCCAAATGTGTTGAACAGATGTATGGAGATTTTTCACTGTGTGTTTCTCTGACCCATTCAATTTGCTATGCTTTGCTCTTTGGCTAAGTCTTCACTGCAAAGTACCAGGGTAGAACTGTTCTGTGATATTATGCAGGCTTTATCCCACAAGATGACATGAGAAATCAGACCATTTATTTCATGGAGGGCCTGCAATGTGTACTTGAGCCTTTATTTTCTGCCCTCTGATTGCAACAGACAGGTAGGCCTCGGTTGCTTTGTAACTAATAACAAAGCTGTCTCATTCTAACCTACGCAGATTCAGTAGGACTTTGGTTCACAGGCATTAATGAAGAGTACATAAACTTTTGGCAGACTTGCACACCTCTTTCTGTTTGTTGACAAAGAGACATTGCATAGTGTTACTGGAGCCAAACAATTCTCATCTAATGCATATGAATAGTCACTGAATGCACAGGAATTAAATTATAAAGGCATCTGTTACACCATGAGGGACTTACCGCTAAGCTGGGCACTTCTTGTTTATTTGGAATGTCAACTAAGAACATTTCATCTGAATGAGACAATAAACTTTTTAGTGTCCCTCTGCTAAACTCAGACAAACTATTAAGTATGTGTATGATGTGGCAGCTGGTGTGGCCAGTGGTCCGCACACTCCCTCTGGAGTCGGATCAGGAGTATGGCACTGGTGGTGTTTCCTGCAGTCTCTGGTTACTACCTCCCCACCTCAGTGGCATCCCTCCCTTGTTCTGTCTCCCTCCCTTTTATAACCTGCTTCTTTTAGGGCATGAATTCACAGAGGGTTAGCCAAGAGCAACAGTGGATTTGTCATGTGGGGGATTTGCCTATTAACAGAGGGGCAAAGCTTTAGAAAGCTTCAACTGGGAAAGTTTCTCTGAGCAGCTCAGCTTTTCTTGACAGAACACCACCTGCAGGAAGAACCATGTCACTCTGCCTCCATAGGCCATAGACTGCTTTTCCAAAATGCCTCTCTCAGGACTTTAGCAGTAAAGTCTAAAAAGAGGGGTCTCTGTGGTCCAGCACACTTCAGCCCTGTCCTAAGCTATGCGCTGTGAACTGGTGGGCATGAGGAGCTAGTTACTATTTCCATGGTCCAGCACACTTTAGACCCATCCTAAGCAAGATGCTGTGAACTGGTGGGCGCGAGGAGCTAGTTATATATTTCTATGATTATTATTATTATTTTTAGACAGAGTTTTGCTCTTGTCACCCAGGCTGGAGTGCAATGGTGCCATCTCGGCTCACTGTAACCTCTGCCTCCTAGGTTTAAGCGATTCTCCTGCCTCACCCTTCTGAGTAGCTGGGGTTACAGGCGCATGCCACCACGGCCAGCTAATTTTTGTATATTTTTAGTGGAGACAGGGTTGTGCCATGTTGGCCAGACTGGTCTCCAACTCCTGACCTCAGGTGATCCGCCCGCCTTGGCCCTCAAAGTGCTGGGATTACAGGCATAAGCCACCATGCCCGGCCTAGCTATATATTTCTAATGCGGCCTTATCTCCTACCAATGGCAGTAGGATCCTGGATTGGGAATTGCTGCCATTGGATGCCCTCTGTGAAATGGGCCCCTGGGTCCTAACAAGTTCAAGACTGAGAAGGAGCGGTCGTGAGATGAAGAGGTACTTGTGGTATGACTGTGGGTAGAATGGGTGCTGTCTGGTTAGTGGGGAGAAGGGTTCTCTAATTACCAGTGGGCTTTTCTCTCTATGACTAATTAATTCTGCTTTGGATGCAGCAGCCCTGCTCTTGTCGGGAGAGATAGCATCTGCACTCATGAAGCTGGGCACCCTCACACTGCCTCATCAGCTGCATAAGCAGAGGCCTCAGCCTTGCCGAGTGATTTTGGCACAGCGTGTGTATCTTGTGAGGCTTAGAAAGCCACTGACATTTTGAAATCCTCTGGGACTTTGTTGCTCTGCTGTTATCCCGCCGTCACTCAGGGGCAGTGTGTCATCTGCTCACTATTCCCTGAGCTCATTTGCCTGGCCCTCTGTGATGTGGAGAGGGAGGGGCCGCCCCCAGCAGCTGTGTGGAGTCCGGTGCCATCCAACCTATTGGCTTCCTCATCTCACCTGGTTTTCATATCCAGTATATGCTATTTGTTTATTGATTGGGAGGGTTTGGAAATGACTTTTCTTTCCACAAATACTGAGAGTCCCAGCTTGCATGGACATGAGTGCCTTGTGTGCAGAGAACTTAGTTCTCATCTCCTGATGCTGGAACACAATGGAGTTTTTGCCAAGATTAGAGGGATGATGGGATTGACAGTCCCTAGATTTTGTTAGGCCCTGCTCAAGGGGGCTGGGTTTGAACACCACATTCTATGGTTGTCCTGCTAACAGGCAGTCATCTGAATGGGTTTGAGTAAGTGAGACATGAAGGGAAAACAAAAGACCTCACCCATCCATGAGTATGAGATCTTCCCTGACATTCCAGCACTCAGTTCACTCCTGGGATGGGGAAACTTCAGGTTTTGAAGAGCGTCTGTTGAAACAGGTAGATGAAGAAGCTAAATTCTTGGACTGCTGATGTCTAGCTGACTATATTGGACATGAATTTGTTTAGTTCTCAAAGGAATACTGGGGATATTTTCTTTCCCAGTTTACCATTGAGACGAGCTGTGAGGAGGTTTTCCCAATGGTACAAAGTAAGTGCAAGGCTGGGATCTGAACAGTCCTGTCCACGGTGCCACACTCCCCATGAGTAGGCCAACCTCAGCCAAACCTTAGAGGATCTTTGCTGGGGAAGGAAAAACCACTTCTTCCAGTGTCCAAGTATTGCAGGAAAACAAGGAGATGGAGGAGGGAAGAACCCAGGGACCAACATCTCAGAGAAGAAAGGCAGTGGAAGAGGCTAAGACATGAGTGAGAAGTGGCCTCTTGGGCTGTGCCCTGACCCCACACTCCACTCTCTGCACTGACCTAGATGGAAAACAGAGATGAACAAGTTGGGTGGCCGGGGGGCAGTCCCAGCAGAGGGGATGGGGGCCCCTGTGCTGCTGGGTGGGACGTGGCTGTGGTTTTGGTGTCTGACTGGGGACCTTGTAGAGGGGATGTCACTGCCACAGGGGTGAAGTGACCCTGGGTACCAACAGTGGGGTAGGTTCCCGAGCTCCAGGACCAAACAGCCTGAGTTGGGGACAAGACCATGCTCTCTTGCAGAGGATGGACATAAGAAAGAAAAGTACTCCTGCACCAAACCGAGGCTCTGTTAGAAAGGAAGGAGGAGGCTGGGTGCAGTGGCTCATGCCTGTAATCCCAGCACACTGGGAGGCCAAGGTGGGCGGATCACGAGGTCAGGAGATCGAGACCATCCCGGCTAACACGGTGAAACCCCATCTGTACTAAAAATACAAAAAATTAGCCAGATGTGGTGGCGGGTGCCTGTAGTCCCAGCTGCTCGGGAGGCCGAGGCAGGAGAATGGCATGAACCTGGGAGGCGGAGCTTGCAGTGAGCTGAGATCGCGCCACTGCACTGCATCCCGGGTGACAGAGCGAGACTCCATCTAGAAAAAAATAAAAAAAAAGAAAAAAATAAAGAAAAAAAGAAAGAAAGAAAGGAAAGAGGAAAGATTGACATTGGAAAAGGGTTACTGATGTTAGGAAGGGAAAATTGACAATGGGAAAGGGAAATTGATAATGGGAAGGGGAAATTGATACTAGAAAAGGAGAAATTGATGCTGGGAGGGAAAAACTGATGAAGGGAAAACAGACCCCTCAGCATCTGCCCTGCATCCAGGTGAGTGATGCCAGCCTGTCGGGAAGGCTTCGGCTAGTGATAAAGCTCATGCTCAGGCACGGAGGCACACAGAGGGCAGTGTCTCCACAGCCCTTAGCGCTGTGAGGAGTAGCTGAAAAAGTACAGCAAACCTCCTTGATTAGCCTTTGCTTCATGGTGTGATGCATTTCTGCTTCCCTGCAATTCAAGAAAGCAAGGCATCGTCTAGTGGGAATAGCTGGCCCTGCTTCTGGCAAGGCCCCTCACCTTCCTTCTGCATATCTGCACTCACCACTGGCCAGCAGCGTCTCCTCCAGGAACTTTGCTTTCTCATCTCAGACTCTGAGAGCATTGGAGTTTATATTTTGTTCTAGCTTAAAATTCCTGTCTAGCTCCACCCCCTCACCACCCCACCGGAGTCAACTGACCTCACCTTTCACTGAGAAATAAACGTGCCCTAGGAAAAACCCCGTTGTCTTCTGGAGTCAAATCCTCACTCTGCCTCAGTCTCTGTCTTCTGAGCCCCAGCTCCCATCTTCTCTCCCTTATGTCTCCTTCTGTTTCCTGGATCATCCGTCCTCCCTCTTTTTTGATTTTTCCCATCAGCCCACCACCCCATTCTCTATCTCCCATCTCCGACAAAAGACTTTGGACACGGAGCCTCTGATGTCCTCACTCCCTCCTCCCCTGCCCAGAGCTTGCCACAAGTTCATCCTCAGGCACCATCTCCTTAAAAGTGTATTTTGCCCCTATAATTTAGTGTGAATCCTTCACTTCTCCCCATTATTACCAGCCTGCTCAAGCCTCTGACACCTCTCATCAGCCTGGCTAAGAGCCTCCTGATGGATTGACCTACTTCCATTCCATTCCTTCTCCAACCTGTTCTTCTTAAAGGAATTATTATTTTTTAAAAATAGAAATCAGACTACATCATGCTCTGGTGGAAAACTCTTCCATTTTTTGCAGTCACTCAAATTCACATGAAAATCCGAATCCTTTTCCAAGGCCTGAAAAGCCCTGGGAAGTCTGAGGTTGGCCAACTCCCTGACCTAGTCTCAGCCCGTGTTCCTCTTCCAAGCTCTGTCACAGCTGATGTTCTCTTCCCCATGTGTGAAAAGCCCTTTTCCATCTCTGGGCCTTTATCTCTTGCTGTTTCCCCTGCTCTTTTTTTTTTTTTTTTGAGACAGAGTCTTGCTCTGGCACCCAGGCTGGACTGCAATGTTGCGATCTTGGCTCACTGCAACCTCCCTCCGCCTCCCAGATTCAAGTGATTCTCCTGCCTCAGCCCTCTAGAGTAGCCGGGATTACAGGACTGTACCACTATGCCCAGCTACTTTTTGTATTTTTAGTAGAGATGGGGTTTCACCATGTCAGCCAGGCTGGTCTTAAACTCCTGACCTTAGGTGATCCACCCGCCTCAGCCTCCCAGAGTGCTGGGATTACAGGCGCCACCGCACCTGGCCTCCCCTGCTCTTCTAACAAGTGCCTCCCTCTCACTTTGGAGTCCCTAAGGGGCTCCCGCAGACCTACCCGGAGCAGCGCCTCCAGCTCTCCTGGCCTTTTTGTCACATGAATCACTGTTTCTGCTTGTTTCCTCTGTTCCAGTGCTTACTGCTTTCTTATTCATTGGTCTGCCTTATCCACTAGAATGAGCTCAGTGTGCTGCTCTACCTCTTGTACCTGGAGCAGTGCCTGCAATTCACAGAGTATTTGGTGATCAGAGTCCTTCACATCTTCATTCTCCTCCCTTGCCTCATCTGGCTTGCCTGTCATTTACTTTTTTAAAAACGTTTTTATTTTGAAATAATTTTATATTCACAAGAAGTTGCAAAAATACTACAGAGTGCATTTATAGCTTTCTTTAGTAATATCTTACATAATAACCACGGAACAATCCTCCATCACCAAAAACAGGAAAATTACATTGGTATGGCACTGTTAACTAAACTGCAGACTTTATTTGGACTTCATAAGATATTACATGCACTCTTTTTAAAATTATTATTATTAACATTATTGGTATATATTTCTGTAAGATTTTATCACATGTCATGCAGTAAAGGGTTAACTCCACAGTCTTGGGATTTTTAAACCTTGCACATTCCAGAGGAAGGGCTGGCCCTTGGCTGGCTCCTGGGAGAAAAGCTCTAAACCCTTAGAATAACCTTCCTGATAAGAATGTGCTTGTATACCTGCCCATCTTGGGCCACTCCAGATAACTTATGCTAACAATGTGATTTATGGTGGGGGCCTTGGGCCATGCAGTATCAACTTGACCCCTGGAGGAGCTGGAGACTAACTAAGGCCAGTCACTTGGGCCATGCATGTCTACAGGACTGATCCCCTGTAAGAATCCTGGCCACTCAGGCTGGTGTGAGCATCTGTGGAAGGCGATACTGCCTGCATGTTGAAATACATTGTTGCTGGGAGAATTTCTATATTATTCTGTTCTTGCATTGCTGTAAAGAAATACCTGAGACTGGGTTATTTATTTATTTATTATGAGATGGAGTTTTGCTCTTGTTGCCCAGGCTGGAGTACAGTGGTGTGATTTTGGCTCACTCCAACCTCTGCCTCCCGGGTTCAAGCGATTCTCCTGCCTCGACCTCCCGAGGATTACAGGTGCCTGCCACCATGCCCAGCAAATGTTTTTTTTTGTATTTTTAGTAGAAACATGATTTTGCCATGTTGTCCAGACTGATCTTGAACTCCTGACCTAAAGTGATCCACCTGCCTTGGCCTCCCAAAGTGCTGGGATTACAGGCATGAGCCACCATGCCCAGCCTATTTCATTTTCTTGACTTATTTCACTAGCTAGGACTTCCAGTATTGTGTCGAATATAGGAGTGTGTATTAGGGTTCTTTAGAGGGACAGAACTAATAGGATATATATATATGTGTGTGTGTGTGTGTGTGTGTGTGTGTGTGTGTGTGTGTGTGTGTAGAGAGAGAAAGAGAGAGAGAGAGTTTATTAAGTATTAACTTACACGATCACAAGGTCCCACAACAGGCTGTCTGCAAGCTTAGGAGCTAGGAGAGCCAGTCCGAGTCCCAAAACTGAAGAACTCAGAGTCTGAAGTTTGAGGGCAGGAAGCACCCAGCATGGGAGAAAGATGTAGGCTGGGAGGCTAGGCCAGTCTTTACTTTTCACGTGTTTCTACCTGCTTTATATTCACTGGTAGCTGATTAGATTGTGCCCACCAGATTAAGGGTGGATCTGCCTTCCCCAGCCCACTGACTCAAATGTTAATCTCTTTTGGCAACACCCTCACAGACACACCCAGGATCAACACTTTGTATTCTTCAATCCAATCAAGTTGACACTTAGTATTAACTGTCACAGAGTGGCAGGAGTGCACACCTTGCCTAATTCCTAATCTTAGGAGGTGAGTATTCAATCTTTTACCATTAAGTATTATGTTAGCTGTAGGTTTCATGTGTGTGTGTATGTGTGCACTTCATCATATTAAGGAAATTCCCTTCCATTCCTAGTTTGCTGAGAGTTTATCATGAATAGGTGCTTTTAGCTCAATGTTCTCCATTATTTTTTTGTTTTCAATTTTATTCATTTCTGTTCTATCTGCATTATTTACTTTCTTCTACTTGCTTAGGATTTATTTTGCTCATCTTTTTCTGGTTTCTTGAGGTGAAAGCTTAGATTGCTAATTGAGAACTTTGTTCTTTTCTAATATAAGCATTTAGTATTATAAACTTCCTTCTAGGCATTGCTTTAGCTGTATCCTACAGATTTTATTTTATGTTGTTATTTTATCTTCATTCAGTTCAATGTATTTTTCAATTTCCCTTGCAACTTTCTCTCAGAACCATGGATTATTCAGAAATGTGTCATTTAATTTCCAAGTGCTCAGAGATTTTCCTGTTATCTTTATGTTACTCATTTCTAGCTCAATTCCATTATGTTCAGAGAACATACTTTGTATTGTTTAGATGCTTTTAAGTTAGTTAAATTTTATTTTATGGATCAGGATGTTATCTATAATATTGGTATGTGAAAATCGTGTGTATCCTGCTTATGTTGGGTGAAGTGTTTTATAAATGTTAATTGGATTTCATTGGTTGATGGTTATTCAGTTCTTCGATAGCCTTGATTCTTTTCTGCCTAGATCTTGTATCTATTAGGAGACACTGAAGTCCCTGATAACAACTGAGGATTTTTCCATTTCTCTTTTCAGATCGTTCAGTTTTGGCTTCATGTTGTTTGGTGCAGACACATTTAGATTGTCATATTTTTTTGGTGAAGTAACCCTTTTATCATTATGTAATGCCCCTCTTTATCCTTGGTAACTTTTATTGGTCTGAAGGCTACTTGGTCAGACATTAATACAGACACTCCTGCTTTCTTTCTATCAGTATTTGCAAGTTGTATATTTTCTACCCTTTTACTTTTATCCTGTATAGGCTGTTGAATAGCTGTTGAAATGTAGAACCTTACCACCATTTGGGTCCCTTTATCCACCTCCCTTCTTATGACATGTCTAAATATTACCTCTATATACATTAAGTCCCATATCAGACAGTATTATATTTTTTGCTTTCTACCTTCAAACATGTGTTTGAAATTTTAAGAGAATAAAAACAATCTATTTTTTTAAAACAAAATGCTTACCTTTTCATTGTTTTTTATTTCTGATTTTCCAAGTTTTCTTTTATTATTTATTTATTTATTTTTTGAGACAGAGTTTCACTCCTGTTGCTCAGGCTGGAGTGCAATGGCAGATCTCAGCTCACTGCAACCTCTGCCTCCCAGGTTCAAGTGATTCTTCTGCTTCAGCCTCCTGAGTGGCTGGGATTACAGGCATGCGCCACCATGCCCAGCTAATTTTGTATTTTTAGTAGAGACGGGGTTTCTCCATGTTGGTCAGGCTGGTCTCGAACTCCTGACCTCAGGTGATACTCTTGCCTTGGTCTCCCAAAGTGCTGGGATTATAGGCATGAACCACTGCACCCGGACTATTATTTATTTTCTCTCTGTAGAACTGTCTTTAGCAATTATTGTTTTATAGCAAGTCTGTTGGCTGAATATTTTAAAAAGTTTTCTTTCATCTGAGACTATCTTTATTTCACTTTCTTTCCTGAAGGATATTTTGCTGGATATAAGTTATTAGAATCTTATAGAAAAAAATCTATTAGGAAAAAAACTATTCTTTTTTTTCAGTACTTGAAATATATTGTGCCACTTTTTTTTCATGTTCATGAATTCTCGTCATCAATCTAGACTCATTTCGGTTTTTAAAAATAGTTTTCTCTTTTAATTGCCTTCAAATAACACGATTTTTGTCTTTATTTTTTACTAATATCTTAAATTAATGTATATTTGACCATTAAAGATTATATATATTTAAGGTGCATAATTTGATGATTTGATACATGTATATTGTGAAATTAAGCATCTCAAACTAATCAACATATCAATCACCTCAGATAGTTACTGCTTTTTCTGGTGTTGAGAGCACTAAAGATGTACTTTCTTAGCAAATTTCAGGTATACAATAAGCTCTTGTTAATTATAGTTTCATTGCTGTGTATTAGATCTCCAGAACTTATTCATCTTGTGTAACTAAAACTTTGTACCCTTGGACCAATATCTCCTCATTTCCCTTTCCCCCAAGCCTCTGGTAACCATCATTTCTACTCTTTATGAGTTCTTTGTGAGTATCAGATATAAGTGAGATCATACAGTATTTGTCTTTTTGTATCGGCTTTTCAAACCTAACATAATGTCCTCTAGGTTCATCCGTGTTGTTGCAAATGGTAGGATTTTCTTATTTTTAAGGTGAAATAATATTTCATTATGTGTGTATATCACATATTCTTTTTCCATTCTTGTATTGATGGACACTTATGTTTCTATATCTTGGCTATTGTAAATAATGCTAAAAGGAACATGGGAATGCAGTTATCTCTTTGAGATCCTGATTTTATTTCCTTTGGATATATATCTAGAAGTGGGACTGCTGGATCAGGTGATAGTTTTATTTTTAATTTTTTGAGGAACCTGTCTGCTGTTTTCCATAATGGCTATTGTGGTATCATATAAGTTTTAGAACTGTTTTTTCTGTTTCTACCTAAGAATGTCACTGGGATTTTGATAGAGATCATGGTAAACCTGTAGGTCATTTTGGATGTATGGACATTTTAACCATATTAATTATTCCAATCCAAGAACATAGGATGTCTTTTCAGTTATCTGTATCTTCCTTAATTTCCTTTATCAATGTTTTATAGGTTTTAGTGTACAAGTCTTTCACCTCTTTGGTGAAAAGTTATTCCTAAATATTTTATTCTCTTTGTTGCTATTGTGAATGAAGTGGTTTTCTTGATTTTCTTTCTGGATAGCTTGTTATTTGTGAATAGAAACATTAATTTTTTTCATGTTGATTTTGTATCCTGCAACTTTAATGAATTATGTATTGGTTCTCACATTTTTGTTGTTGGTTGTTGAGTCTTTAAGGTTTTGTACATATATGATCATGCCATCTGTAAGCAGAGACAATTCAACGTCTTCCTTTCTGATTAAGATGCTTTTTATTTCTTTTTATTGCCAAAGTTCTGTGGCTAGGACTTCCAATACTACGTTGAAAAGAAGTGTCAAGAGTGGGCATCCTTGCCTTGCACCAGATCTTAGAAAAGAAGCTTTCAACTTTTCCCCATTGATTATGATGTTGGTGGTGGACTTTTTATATACAATCCTTATTGTGTTGAGGAAAGATCCTTTTGTGCCTATTTTGTTGAGATTTTTTTTTTTTTTTTGAGACAGAGTCTTGTTCTGTTGCCCAGTCTGGAGTGCAGTGGTGCAGTCTTGGCTCACTGCAACCTCTGCCTCCTGGGTTCAAGCGATTCTCCTGCCTCAGCCTCCCGAGTAGCTGGGACTACAGTCACACACCACCACGCCCAGCTAATTTTTGTATTTTTAGTAGAGACGGGGTTTCACCATGTTGGCCAGGCTGGTCTCAATCTCTTGACCTTGTGATCTGCCTGCCTCGGCCTCCAAAGTGCTGGGATTACAGGTGTGAGCCACTGTGCCTGGCCGAGAGTTTTAATTATAAGTTGAGGTTAAACTTTGATCAAATGTTTTTTCTGCATTGTTTGAAATGTTCATGTAGTTTTTTTCTTTCATGCTGTTAATATATCACATTGATTAATTTGTGTTTATTGAACAATCCTTGCCTTTCTGACATAAATCCCACTTGGTCATGGTATAGGGACTTTCTAATGTGCTGCTGAATTTGGTTTGTTGGTATTTTAACAAGATTTTTTATAGCCATGTTCACCAAGGAAATTGCCCTGTAGCTTTCTTTTCTTGTTGTGTCTTTACCTGGCTTTGATATCAGGGTAATACCGGCCTCATAAAATGAGTTTGCAAGTGCTCCCTCTTCTTTTATTCTTTAAATCCAGACACACTTGAATCATGTTCTCTTGAAAATAATGTTTTATTTATCTCTGGTTGCTTTAAAAATTGTTTCTTTGTCTTATGTTTTCAAAAATTTATTATTAAGTATTTGGATGTGGATTTCTTTGGATTTATTCTAGTTGGAACTCTCTAAACTTCTCGAATTTGTAGGTTAAGTATAACTTGTAACCAAGTTTTGGAAGTTTCCTCAGGCACTACTTTTTCAAATATGTTTTCACTGTCACATTCTTTCTCTTCTTCTGAGACTCCTACAACATGAATGTTAGATCTTTTGTTATTGCTGCACAACTCTCTGAGGCTCGGTTCAGGTTTTCAATCTATTTTCTCTCTTTTGTTCAGGTTGGTTCACTTCTGTATATCTTTTCTACTTTACTAATTCTTCCGTCTGTCATCTTCATTTTACTAATGAGCCCATCCAGTGAGTTTGAAAATTTTGGTTATTTTGTTTTCAGTTTTACAATTTCCATTTGGTTCTTCCTTATATCTTGTATTTGCTGAGATTTTCTATTTTTCCATTTGCTTGAAAGGTGAAATTCCTAGTTGGAGCATTTTTATAATCACTACTTTAAAATACTTGTCAGGCTGGGCTAGGTGGCTCATGCCTGTAATCCCAGCACTTTGGGAGGCCGAGGCGGGAGGATCACAAGGTCAGGAGATCGAGACCACAGTGAAACCCTGTCTCTCCTAAAAATACAAAAAATTAGCAAGGCATGGTGGCGGGCGCCCATAGTCCCAGCTACTCGGGAGGCTGAGGCCGGAGAATGGCATGAACCTGGGAGGTGGAGCTTGCAGTGAGCCGAGATCGCGTCACTGCACTCCAGACTGGGCGACAGAGCGAGACTCCGTCTCAAAATAAATAAATAAATAAATAAATAAATAAATAAATAAATAAATAAATAAAATACTTGCCAGATAATTTCAACGTGTGTGCTATCTTGCTGTTTGTGTCTATTGATTGTTTTTTCTTATTCAAGTTGAGGTTTTTGATATGACGGGTACATTTGGGTTGTATCCTGGATATTTTGAATATTATGCCATGCAACTGTGGTTCCTATTTAAGTTTTCCATTTTACCAGGTAGTCAACCCATTTAACTTTAGAATGCATATCCTGGCTCAATTCTGTGAACTGTGGCTCAAATGTCAATAGTTTCAAGTGTTCACAGCAGTGTTGTGGATGACCCAGAGTTAATCTGGAACCTGGGCAGCATTCCACACCACAGTTCAGTTCTCAGAGTCATTTCACACACAGTCTACTTTGGGGGTATTCCCAGAGCTTTATACCCAGACTAAAAGATACCTTTCTTGGCTGGGTGCAGTGGCTCACGTCTGTAATCCCAGCACTGTGGGAGGCTGAGGCGGGTGGATCACGAGGTCAGGGGATCCTGACCACCCTGGCTAAAACGGTGAAACCCCGTCTCTACTAAAAATACAAAAAAATTAGCCGGGCGTGGTGGCACGCACCGGTAGTCCCAGCTACTCGGGACGCTGAGGCAGGAGAATCTCTTGAACCCAGGAGGTGAAGGTTGCAGTGAGCTGAGATCGCACCACTGCACTCTGGCCTGAGCTACAGAGTGAGACTGTCTCAAAAAAACAAAAAACAAAAAAACAAAAAAAAAACAAAACCAACCAACAAACAAAAAAAACCACAAATCTTTCTGTAGCCTCTTCTTCTCTGTAACTTCCCCTTCCCACTGTCCCACACCTTTGCTGTTGTTCACCTACTGCAGGGCAGGGATAATGGACAGTGTTCCCCCTAACAGTCTTTGTGGCCACTGTGTCTGGTGGGAGGGGTTGAGAGGCACTGCCTTGGGGTGCTCCCTTGGGTAGGAAGGGGGTGGTCCGCACAGCTCTGCTTCACTGTCTTTGTGGCTGATGCCTCAAGTGTGTATAGGGGGACACAACCTGCCTTTGCTGATGTTCACTCAGTGTAGGGTGGGAATGGTCAACAGAACTCTCTTCCACTGTCTCTACTGCACCTAGTGGTGAAGAGGAGGGAGGCTACTATTGCTTGTGTTTGTGCAGGGGCTGGGGCGGGGGGACGGTTGGCAACCCAGAGTCTCCACAGATCTAGGTGGGGAAGGACACAACTTCTTTCACGGTTTTGCCTTGAGTAAGGCAGGCAGAGTCTGTGTGGTTTCATCCTGTGGGGCTGTTCTCTTTCCAGTCTTGGCTAGAGATAGTGGGGTTTCCTTGGGTTTTCTTTTCCTATTTGACTGTGCCTATTGGTGATTCTGGGTTGCAGGCAGATGTAGGAACCAGGGCAAGATATATAGGAAGCCAGAAATCTCCAAAGAGCTACCACCAGGTTCTATGCGGAGTCCTGAAGTCCCCAATCAGTCTCTTTTCTCCATTTTTCAGGGACTTCTAATAGTTGCTTTATGCATTTCATCTGGGTCTTCAGTTATAATTAGTAGGAGGGATAGGGCGGAATGTGCTTATTCCCCCTTGCCTGGAACCAAAAACTCTCCCCTTTTGGTTTTATTGATAAAATGTTATCTCATTTAGACTGCCACCTTGAGCCCAAGACTATACCACTTTTCACTGATGTTCCTCTCTCTTTAACTCTTATAGTCTTTTACTATGTGTCATGTAATTTAGGACATAATTATATACCATAATTATATACCAACTTGTAATTCTTGCTGATTCATTCATGTTTATTATTCTTATCTCTTTAACTAAATCTTAAGCCTCATGTGGAAATACATGAGATGTCTTCTCTAGCCCTATAGTGCTTGTCACAGTTCTGGGTTCAAGGTTGGCACTTAACTATTTCCTGGCTGAATTAATTAGAACTCTAGTACCAATATGCTGCTGAAGCCAGATTGACCTGCTTTCAAACCCTGTCTCTACATAATACTAGTTGTATATCTTAAATAAGTTACTTAATCTCTTTGAGCTCTGGATTCCTCATTTGTAAAATGGTTTTCATAATACCTCTATCACAGAAGGTACTGTTTTGAGAATTATAAGTCAAAATATGCCTTAAGCATACGCTGCAGTGAAACAGATGCTCAACGTTGTTTCCTTTTTCTTCCTTCATCATGAGCTTTGTGAGAACCCATCTTCACTTCATAAGAATAATAGGAGTTAAAGGACAAAAAGGGAAGTTGTGGCAGATTCCAAAGATGCCTTTTTTCCCTACTTTTGTTGGGCTGATTTGGGTCCAGAAAATTGCACACTCCTTAGCCACAGCAAGAATGAACTCTTTTCTCTTTGCTCCTCCTTGAACCTCTTTCAGTACTGAAGTGCCAACATTTGAGCCTTCAGAAGATGGCTCCATGCAGCAGCTGGCTCATACATAGCAGCTCAAGGCACCTACCTTTTAGAACACTCAGGCTGTCTCTCCCTCAAGGACTCTACAACAACGATCCTGGCTGATTTTGTAAGCTGAAGAGGCTCCAAAAATGAAAGTAGCCAGATTCTGAGGATAAGGCAGAAATTGGAAAAAAAAAAAAAAAAAAAAAGTCCAGGACTGTGAACGGTGCAAGCTGCTGAAATTTGCTGCCTGGTCATCTTGGGATCCCTATGTGTTTCTCCTGGGGACTAGCATTTGGTAAATGTGACTCCATCACCCTCCAAGCAGCCTGTGTTCCCAGAGGACATGGCGTTTTTATGCTGGTGAAACTGTGTGGGGAAAGGGAGAGGGTGACAGGGTCTAAGAGGAATACTGTGACTTCAGTTCACCCGAGAAATGCTTGAGGCAGGGGGACACAAAAGGAGGAAAAGAAAACTTGCCAAGGGAGGACATTTAATATAACTGGTTGATGAATTTTGTTGAGAATATCCAGAGAGGGGTCTTTGGGAGGTGATGCTAATACTCGCATGGTGGTGGGGGAGGCAGAGTGAGGGTGCAGTTAATAATCAGGTAAACCTGCAGGCGTAAAATGGAAAGTGAGCCTGGATTGGCAGAGTCAAGACTCCGTGAGTGCCTCTTAGAAGGAGAGTCGGTGCCCTCTGCTGATGCAGACAAGGCCAGCAGGTGCGCCATCTTCCGCCATTAGGGAGGAAGCCGTAGGCTTTCATTTGGTACCAGCCTAAAACTTGTGGAAGGCAAGGCCAGAACAAACATGGTACCTTTCCAGCTGGGAGTCTTTGAGTAACACTTGATGTGGATCCGGAGAGGCAGAGTACTCCTTGGAGCATGAGAAAAGAGGTCCCGGATGGCACCTCTGCCTCACCCATCTCTATTTCCCTGAGCAGTTCATTTCTGGCCCCAGCTCAGAAGAAATGTCTTTCAAAGGAGTTCATTTCTCTTCGTTCCTCAAGCTCTGTTCTTTGGGGTCTTCTTTGCTGCCCGGATGGCTTCCCAGTGTTTTCCTCTTAAGCCACATATCTGGGGAAAGTTCTGGCCAATGCCATCTCTTCCACCCCTTACTCTTCTGGAGGTGCCTCGCTTCCCAGAGTGGTGTTTATGTCTGGGTTAGATCAGGGTCCTGTCCACATCCCTGGCTGGCCCATCCCTTGACCTGGCTCTGCCGGCATGGCGGTTAGAGTCCATCAGATGGCAGGTGATGGCAGGTGAAGAGGGGAGATAGCATTGGATAGGGTGAACGCTCCAGGCAAATGGCCCTGGGCTGAGCATGCTGAGGCCTACCTCTCCTCCCCAGGCCTTTAGCCCTCTGTGTCCCTCCACTCTGGAAAGTGCCATGTATGTAAGTCCCACTCTCAGGACTCAATGTGCTTTCACATGAGTGTACACGTGCACAAACACTTTAGAAGCTTATGGAGATGTGGCTGGAGAAATGCTAAGCAAACCTTCATGCCATCAGTGATGGCCTTGAAGGTGGTGTTGAGGGGCAGATCCGGTGCACCAGCATGGAGGAAGAAGAGGTGAGTCTGCCTGAGATGGGCAGCACAGGCAGCAGGACCAGTGTGCATCTGGCGTCTGGAGCCCAGGAGTCCACCACAGTCCCCCAGCCTCCACTGGGTCAACTTCTGGACAACACTCACCTCTCCAACTTTGCCTCTTTTTCTTTCCTATAAAATTAGGATATTAACTTTAGAAATTAAGATGCAGATGGCTTAAAAATATACAAATTTTGGCATGAGTATGTAATAATTATATTCCCTTGTACCTGAAATGTCCCTAAAATGAAAGAGACCCCCCCACCCCACCCAATTTATTGCTAAGGCTCGTGGCTATAGGTGAGTGAGTCTGAAGGGCTAGAGTTTACACAGCAGAAAGTAATGAAGGACCAGAGTAACCACGAGGGAAGGAAGTGGACACGTGGACTGATGGGGTCTGTGGGCTGGAGCGTTTCTGTTCAGCTCTCTGAACTGATCCTTAAGGTGGATGTTTAGATTTCCAAGTGGTTTGTTGCCATTTCTTTCCATTCAATGATTTTTTTTTCCCTGGAGAGAAAGATAGTGCTTTCTCTCTGGGAAATGCCTGATGCACACACATACAGGAAAACACACACACACGTTCACACATACGTTCACACACATGCACACAAACACATACGCACACTACAGAAAATTTAAAGCAATGATTCCTGTAGCTGCTACAACCTTCATATTTACAACCAGCTCACATGTGTGTTATCATTGATGAGGAGCAAACACTCTGCTTACTCACATCCCTTTGCAAGTGTGCAATGTGTGTGGTTTATTTATAACTGCTGGGGGAATTCCCGATTTGTTATTTGTAGGCATGTATGATTCTAGTGCAACACTAGAGTGATGTAATTTTCTTTGCTTAATTTCCCCAGTGTGCTTGTAATTATTGATTTACCAAATGAAAGAATTCTCATTTCAGCAGGCAGTCATTACTTCAGCCACTCCCGTCTTGGCTCTCTACCTAGATGGAGGAAACTGGCGAGCTTTGTGCTGTCCTGCATAGCATCAAAGGCCTGTCGAACTTCTTGGGGCCATGTTACTTCCCTCCCAGGCGCTGCCCCCAGGAGGAGCAGTGTTTGCTTAGGGCCTACAGGCCGATGATTGCATATATAGCACATGATCTATTTGTGTGTTTTCTGCAGTATTTTCATTAATCTTCAATTTCTACTAAAGCTGTACACTACTTAACACTGTCCATGCCAGTGTTTAAAATAAACTAGTGTGATTCCTAGGCACGAGGTGAGCCCCTTGCTGCTACACCACACCATAATCAGTGTTCCTTCTCAAACTCTGGTCCCTGGTCCAACTGCTTCAGCTTCATCTGGGGATGACATGCAAATTTTCAGGTCAAGCCCAGACTTAATGATTTTGGGACTCAGTGATCTGTGTTTGAACAGGCGGCCCTGAGCAGCTGCCACCGTGTTGGCTCTGAACCTGGATGGGGAGCCTGAGGAACTCTGGTCTAAGATGCACAATTGCAAAGGCCTGCAAGCCTCTCTGGGCTCCTTCTTCTGCCTCCTCCTCCCAGACAGGGTTGTGATACTTGCTCGGGTCTGAGAGGGGCTGGCCCTGGGAGCACCTTCCTCTTAGTGGATGTCACTTCTTCTCTGCTTACTTCTTTCTTTCTTTCGTTTCATCTAGCCAGCTGTTTCAGCCCTCTAGCACCTCTGGGCGGCCTGTCCTGTGACCCATACATGGAATTCCCTGAGGCTGCGCCCAGCCTGTTCCACAAGAATGTCCCAGTTTGACTTTTATGTTCCACTGCTGCTTTGTGATTTATTTCATAGGGGCAAACTTGCCCTGCCCCGGAGAACATGGGCAGGCCCTGTGACCTTTCCACCCACTCTTGCCTTGGCTTGGCAATTGGGATGTCCTTTCTGAGACAAGAATAAAGTCCAGGACCTGGATATGGGATCAGACCCTCTGCCCACTGCAGCCGGGCACACTGAGGGGAAGCAATGGGAGTGGACAAGGCACCATCGGCCTCTCTTTATTGTACAACCCATGCTTCACCAGTGGCCAAGGCTGCCTCCTGCAGGCAGGCAGAGCAGGGGGCTACCAGGGAGTTATACTTGAGATAGAGGGATCTTAATCTGTCTTTGCATCCTCCAGGCCTGGCAGGTGCTTAAAGTGCTGCCACTAACTACTTGCGACCCTGGGTGAGTTACTTAACTCTTAGGTCCTTTCTTCTGTGAGTGAACTCCATGGAAACTTCTGGGAGGGGGGCTCAGAGGCCCCTGCTTGGAGTCCCTTGGAGGCCACCACGCACCCAGGCCTCGTTCTCCTGCTGTTCCCCTCTCGTAGCCTGGAATTTTTAGGGCCCATGACCTATTCCGGTAGGTTCTTCTAGGCAGAACTGACAAAGTGCCCAACCACTACTTTAACTTTGAATTCTGCTCCAGGTCTTGAGAATCATGCCCCCAGGACCCAGCATCCCCTCTCCTGGTTGAATGTGGGGCATTTCCTCCCAAGCGTGGCAGGAGATTGCCTTTCCCCCAACTCTGCTACTGCTTCAACACTGCTCTCTCCTGTCATCCAGGCTTCCCTGGGTAGGAATCAGACTCCCCTCCAGGGTGTTCCCCAAGACTCTCATGCTCATGCTTCCCCTGGCTGAAGCCCCTCAGGAGACAGGAGTGAAAGAGACAGGGCCCACTTCTTCCCCAAGCTCTCTTCAAAACCCTTCCCCTAAAATCTTCTTTTCTCCAGCGCTCCTCCCTTGCTGAGGTAGAGGGGCTCAAGACTTGTCAAACTGGCTCTGAGCCATCTCTTTTGAAGATCTGAATTTGTAATTTTGTTTCTATTATGTCTTAGTGCTTCGGTTTTAACCTCCTGTCATAGCAGTCTGAGATTTGCAGACTGCTTTTTCCATGATGACACCTGTAAGTTTACCTATGTGCAGGCTATATTTTCCAAAGACAGCTACATCCTCATCACACCTGCTCTTCTGCAAGGTGACCTTGCCGTTCCCTAAATGCTGAGCAGTACCTGTATTTCCTGTGCTCAAATCCAGGCAGGCAAGAGAATCCATGTGAGTTCTGAGGTTAGGTCATGAAAGGTGATACAGCCTCCACCTCCAGGTTCTCTTGAAGCTCTGACTGACATGTAAGAAATCCAAGGCTGCCATGTTGTGAGGAAGCCCAAGCCACATGGAGAAACCACATGTGCTTGAGATTCCTGACCCTACCCACGAAGTCACCCCCAGCTTTCTGGTCCTTCCAATTGAGGCCCCCAAAATGATTGACAGAGCCACCTTATCGTGTTCTTTCTAAAGTGCCCACAGAATCAATGAGTATAATAAAAATAAATTTCTAAGAGCCTAAGTTTTGTTGGACTTTTTTACACAGATATAGAGAATTGACATGCTTATCATCTATATGGCAATGTCCCTGACTCTCCCTTTTGAGCTCAGATTCCTCAGAGGTCTGGGGCCTAGGCCCATGGGGATCAACCTCAAGGTTTCTAAGTTTTAATAATTCCAAACTTTTTCTTTTATTTCCCTAGCCCTAGGAATGGTAGCTGCATTTTGCAAATGCAACATTTGTGGTACCTCAGAGTTCTTTTATTGCCATTTCAGTTACCTAGTTAATAACTTTTTACTTATTTGCCAGTTGTTTGTATTCGATTATCTCTATTTAAGTAGATGTTAGTTTCTGTCCCCTGACTTGACTTTGACTGATACTAAAAATAGATACCATTTATTATTCTGGGTAAAGAATATCAATGTTATTAATTTCATTAAGTAAAAAAATCTCAGACATTAAAGAAGTTGTAAATGCAATGCAAATACACTATTTTATTTTCCTAAACCATCTGAGCGTGTTTTGCTCATTTGATGCCCCCAGGACACCTGAATCCTTCAGTGTGTATTTCCTACAAACAAGGACATTCTCCTGCATAATCACAATACATCCATCAGAAGCAGGAAATTAATATTGATTTCCTACAAGCTTGTAATCCACAGACCCATTCACATTTCATCAGTTGTGCAAATAATGTCTCTTATAGCAAAAGGATCCAGGCCAGGGCATGTGTCACGTGACTCGTAGTCTTGGTTAATCTGGAACAACTCCCTTTTCCTTGTATTTCTTTGATTTTCATGACCTTGACACTTCTGAAGATTACACACAAGTTATTTTACAGAATGTCCTTCAGTTTGGATTTGCCTGAATTTTTTTTTTTTTTTTTTGTAATCTGATTCAGGTTCTGCATTTTGGGCAAGAATCCCACAGAAATTATGTCATGTCCTCATAATACACTAGCAGGTAGCACCTGATCTTGATTTGCCCCATTCCTTACAATGTTCACTTTGATCTCTTGATTAAGCTGGTGTCTGCCAGCCTCCTTCACTATCAAGGTACTCTTTTTTATTTTGTAATTAATAAGTATTTTGGGGGAATCTACTTTGGAACTATGGAAATGTCCTCAATTTTTAATTTATTTACTTATTTATTTCTATCACTATGGACTTGTGCTTTCCTCTTTTACTCAATGGGGTATAATCTGTTATTTTCAGCATGTATTTTGACAACCAAATTGTTTTAGATTTGATCAATGGGAGCCCCTTCAAGCTGGCTTCTGTGGCCTTTTGTTAAGCTTTCAGTGTGCTGTGATTGCTTTATTCTTTCCTGATGGCACAAGACATTCCAGGCTCTTCTTATTCTTTCCCTGCCCTAGTACTAGAATCGGCCATCTCTCAAAGAAGCCAAGTCTTCTTTTAGTAGAGAATGGTATTTAAATACCAAGATCTGGCTTCTAGATGTGCTCATCGCTTTTAAGGTATTGCCCCTTCCAGACTCTTTCAGTGAAGAGAGAGCTAAGGAATATTTGTATATAAGCATTTACATGCCTGTATCCTACTCTGTGTATGTATGTATCTATCTATCAACCTACTTATATATTGAAAATCATAGATTTGTCCTAATATCTCAATTTCCAATGCAAAACTGGAAGGTTCATTCTAATTTTCTTTTTCTGTGTATTAATTTCCTTCTCTGACAGCGGGAAACTTGGCTTTCAGTGTCTTGAATACATTTGCTTGGTCAATTCCACCATACGTAACCAATCTCCCATTGCCACTGCAACCTCTTGTGCTGTGGACACTCTCCCCACCCCACAAAAATCACCTATCACATTAGTTTTCTAGGCAGAAATTGATTTTGTCACTGTTCTGGAGGCCAGAAGTCTGAGATCAAGATGTTGGCAGGATTGGTTTTTTTTTCTGAGGCCTTTCTCCTTGTCATGTAGATGGCATCTTTTCTCTATGTCTTCTCATAATACTATGATTTAAATGTAACCCTTCAAAATTCAGGTGTGAATTCCAAAGTGAAAGTATTGAGAGATGGGGCCTTTAAGAAGTGATTAGTCCATGAAGTCTCCTCCCTTGTGATTCAGCTTAATGGCCCTCATAAAAGAGGCTTCAAGCAGGGCTAAGCTTGCTTGCTCTTCTGCCTTCAGCCACATGAGGACAAATGTTCCTCCCTTCTGGAGGATGTAGTGTTCAAGGTGCCACCTTGAAAGCAGAGACTGGACCCTCTCCAGACACCAAATCTGCTAGCACTGTGACCTTGGACTTCCCAGCCTCCAGAACTGTGACAAAATAAATTTCCGTTCTTTATAAATTACCCAGTTGGTGGTATTCTGTTATAGCAACACCAATTGAACTAAGACACATGGTCTTCTTCCTGTGTGTGTATGGGTACTAAGGTCCTCTTCTTGTAAAGATTAGGGCCATCCCAGTGACATTATTTTAATTTAATTACCTCTTTAAAGACCCTATTTTCAAATATAGTCCCATTCAAAAGTATCAGGGGTTATGATTTCAACATAGGAATTTGGGAGGACAAAATTCAGCCCATAACACCCACCCTCTCTCACAGGTGAAAGTAACTGTGTTAGCTAACTACAGAGGCAATATCATCCCAGTACACTGTTCTCTGCCCCATCTCGTAGCTGTCACTCACCTTTGGGCTACTCTCCTACATTTATTGGGAACATTTCCTTTGTCTCCCTCATAAGTCCAACTCATGTTATCTTTTATCTAGATGAGCTAACTCCTATCTTAGTAGGAATTCTGTGGCAGGTTAAAGTTGACTACAAATTCTTTGACATCCTTTCCATATAAGAGTGGGATCCTTTTCTCCTCTCCTTGAATCTGGACTGTCCCATAACTGTTTTGACTAATCAAGTATGGAGGAAATGATGTTATGCAATTATAGGTTTAGTCTTTAAAGCTTTTGTTTTGGTCTCTGCAAGTGCTGAGCTACCATGTCTGACTAGTTTACAAGAGTGTATACATGGAGATTCTGATAATATATGGCATGGAAAAGGAGCTCAGCTGAGCCTAGTTGTCTCAAACAAGGCACCAGGTGTGTGAGAGAAGCAGTCTTGAGCTCCCTAAGCCAGACTAGCCACTAATTGAATATAAACAAGTGACTGACACATAGACCAGAGGAATTGCCCAGTTTAATCCTTGAATTCTTCACTCACAAAATTGCAAAATATCACTGTCATTTTAAGCCGCTAAATTTTTAAGTAGAACAATCTCCTTGTCTTTACTGGCCTTCGCCTCCATCTCAACTCTAATTCCACAGCTTTGATCCTGTCATTTCCTGGACCGCTTCAACACTGAACTGTCCATAGGCTGCAAACACCTTTCTATCTGTTCTTCCTCTTACTTACTTCACCATGCCAGAATTTAATATTCAGCAAACCTCATCACCCTAAACTCCTGAAGTTTTCTCCAGTCTGTCAGCTGATTCTTGGCTTTGATTTACTTCTTTTCTATCCTGTTCAAGCCACATAATGTATCATATCAATACTCTCTATCATGTTAAACTTCTGGGATCAATCCCTGCTCCCAGCCTGCAAATTCATATCTCTGGATTAGTCTACTTATTCACCTCTTTCACTTCTACACATAGGAAGCTGGAAGTTACTTGAGTCTTTGTTCTTTGGTTTTCTGCATCAGGTCCCTACAATGACATTTAGAAGATAAGACAGCACTGTCTTGTTAAGTAGGAATAAAGTTTATCAGGTAATTGAAAGGAAACAAAGAGAACTCTAAGTATCATGGAAGTAACAAGTGCTGGAAGCAGCTACCACCCATAGAACCTGGAAAACAAAGGAAAGAAGCTGCACTTCTTAAAACTTAAAATCTCAGAGGAGGGGACCCCTTGAGTCTGGGGCCTAGACCTCTGAGGAGAGGTGTCTGCCCAGCTTATCTTTTAAATGCCATTTTAGGGACCTGATGCAGAAAACAAAAGAACAAATGCTGGCATTTCAAAGTGTGTGTGTGTGTGTGTGTGTGTGTGTGTGTGTGTGTCTGTGTCTGTGTTTTACAGGGGAGTGAGACTGGTTTGGGGAATGTTGGGAGAACATTCAGGAACAAACTACTTATGGTGGAACAAATTACACTCTCAGAATGAAAAAGTAAAACATTTTTTTCTTTCTACTCCAGGCTTCAGTCATCCCTTTAGTGCCTTCTATTGATAGAGCATAAATGTGTTTGCAGAGCTCCTGCCCCAGCCTCATATACTGAAGGTAGAAGGATGGGCTTGAAGCTGGGAGACAGTAGCCTAACAGATAGTATAGTAAATTTAAGTAAAATACTTGTCGACAAACTTTGGTTTTGAACCCAAGATGGATAATTCTAAAATTGTTTTGAATCATGTTAGATGAATTTAACCCATTTATAATTATTATGATAACTCATATGTGTTATCTATTTATTCAGTCTTATTTTATGTTTTCTGTTTATGTTGCTTTATTTTAAAATTTTCTTTCTTTTCTTTCACATCTTTTGATATGTTTCCTTTTAAAAATCATATTATTCAGTAACTTGTAAATTAGATAGCTAATTCTATTATACTGTGTTACCTACAAATTAGAATAGCAATGATAACTACTTATTTAAAATTATATTTCTTTTCAATGGCAATAATAAAATTGGATAGGATGCTACTCCCACCAAAGAACAGAGGGCTCTGTTTTAAAGAAATTATGCTAAAACATAATTGGAAAATAATATGTATTCTAGTCTGGGAGTCTGTGTACCATGTCTTTCTCATTTTGACTCTTGGAGAGCCCAGTGTCAATGCCAGTTCCTTTTCTGCTTACCCAAAGAAAGCCCACCAGTCTATTTGCCCTGTCATGCCCTGCCCTGCCCAGAGCATCCAGCAAGAATTCCCATTCAGTGGTGAGACTGATGGAAAACAGACTAATGTTCTCAACAGCAGAGGAAACCACACCAGCCACCCTGGTCTTTTGATTTAACTAGAACTGAGCAACTGAAGACCAATTGGCACATAAGGAGAAACTTCTGTGATCAATCCTTTTTTTGTTGCTTGTCTTGGTTTTATGCCTTTTATGTGCCTTGATATAAAAGGCATAAAACCAAGACAAGCAACAGAAAAACTGACAGCAAAAGAAGAAGAGAATCCGAAGACATTAAAAATCCCCTTAATTGATGAATTAAAAGAGATTTTGGAAACATATCTAGATAACAAGAGCAAGATGTTACAAAAATGTGACAAAAAAACTGAGATCTTTAATAAAGAAAAATTAGGATTTAAAAAAAATTTCAATAGAAGGCCTGGAAAATCCAATGAGCTCCTTAGAGTCAGAGCAAAAAGAAGGAAAATATTAGAGAAGCAAAGGAAGTATAGAAAACCAATTCATCAGGCTTTTCAGAAAGAGTGAACAGAGAAAATTAAGAGAACAAAATTATATTTATTTATTTATTTTTTGTTGAGATGGAGTTTTGCTCCTGTCACCCAGGCTGGAGTGCAATGGCGTGATATTGGCTCACTGCAACCTCCGCCTCCTGGGTTCAAGGGATTCTCCTGTCTCAGCCTCCTGAGTAGCTGGGATCACAGGCACCTGCCACCATGCCCAGCTAATTTTTGTATTTTTAGTAGAGACAGGTTTTGCCATGTTGGCCAGGCTGGTCTCGAACTCCTGCCCTCAAGTGATCCACCTATCTCGACCTCCCAAAGTGTTGGGATTACAGGCATAAGCCGCTACTCCTGGCCCAAAATTATATTTCTTAAAAAATTAAAGGAAATTCCCAGGGCTGAATGATATGAATCCCCTATTGAAAGGGCATGCTGATTCCTGAGTGCAGTGAATGAGAAATGGCCCCAACTGATATACATGCTCATTAAATTTATGAGCACCAAAGGAAAAAAGAGGTTTCTGGAAACTCCCAGAGAGAAGTTAAAAAAAAAAAAAGAAAGACCCTTTTTAAAGGGATAAAGGCCAGATTGACATGAAACTCTTAAGACGAGGTAAAATATTCAATTTTTTTTTTTTTTTGAGACGGAGTCTTGCTCTGTTGCCCAGGCTGAAGTGCAATGGCGCAATCTTGGCTTACTGCAACCTCCGCTTCCTGGGTTCAAGCAATTCTCCTGCCTCAGCCTCCCAAGTAACTGGGATTACAGGTGCACACCGCCATGCCCGGCTAATTTTTTTGTATTTTAGTAGAGACGGGGTTTCACCGTGTTGCCTAGGCTGGTCTCAAACTCCTGAGCTCAGGCAGTCCACCCGCCTCGGCCTCCCAAAGTGCTAGGATTACAGGCATGTAATCTCTTTCTCCTCCTCCTCCTCCTCTTCCTCCCCCTCCTCTTCTTCCTCCCCCTCCTCTTCCTCCTCCTCCGCCTCTTCCTCCTCTGCCTCTTCCTTCTCCTCCTCCCCTCCTCTGCTACTTCTTCTTCTTCTCCTCTTTTTCTTCTTTTTCTCCTTCTTCTTCTTCTTCTTCTTCTTCTTCTTCTTCTTCTTCTTCTTCTTCTTCTTCTTCTTCTTCTTCTTCTCCTTCTCCTTCTCCTTCTTCTTCTTCTTTTCTTCTTCTTCTTCTCTCTCTCTCTCTCATTATTTCCCTACAGTTTCCACTCAAACAACTTTAGAGAGCACTTTTATTTCTCAAACCCAGGCTTTCATCTCATTTAACAGATTATCTGTTGAACATTTTACCAAATATCCTCTGGAATTAGTGACCAAATGATCAAGTAACATTAAAGAGTGTTGCTTTACTATTCTGTTGCCCAGAGTTTTCATTTGGGTAATATTTTTTTAGTGAGCTTGCCTGCCTTTAGAGAGTCTCATTCATCTTTTTCTAGTCTGACAACCTGTGGTAAATTTAGTCTTTAATATGTTTATGGGATGAAATAGACTGCATATTTAAGAGTTTCAAAATAAAAATAGCATAGAACCCTAAGGATATAGCTATAGCTATTAGGGAATAAAGAAGTATGGTATCTATCCTTGATAAACTCTGTCTCTGACTTCTTTGTGGAAAGTGTAATATATTTTGGGAGCATATGGCTCCATGCTAATGCTTATTAGCAAATGCCATAGCTTATATTGTTCTATGCCTTATAACCATTTCAAATGGCATTTGAAAGATACAATTTTAAAACAGCATTGGATGATATTCTTCAAGAGAAGGCACAATAAATTCACATAATAAAGCCACTCCTGCGGCTCTTATTGATGTGTGAGAGAGATTGGGGAAGGGAAGTCCTTGAGGGACTTCAGCCTTAGATAAGCCCTGTCATCAGATCTCATTCTAATAGAATGTAAGCACACTTATAACTGTTGACTTAAAAGGACTGAGTGGACCAGCAATGAACAAGAATGATGAGATTGGAAAACATAGAGCAGGATCACACTAGAATAGAAAAGAGCATCAGGAAAAAGTTGGAGAAAGATTCCTCTACCTCTATTTTTATTTTAAACTTTTGTGGAAGTGAGTGATTTACAGGGATTATTTGTTAGTACTTGAGAATGCCTGAGTGTTCTGGGATATGGTCTGACGCTCCTGGCCAGTTGAAATGAATGTGTCAACCTTAATGAAATCTCCATAGCAGTCTCTACTTGTTACAGTAACCTGTTCTGCCTATGTACACAGAGAGCAATTAGCCTGTATCAGACAGACACAAAAAGGTGGCGCAGCCCTGAGATGGAGAGGGTGTGCCAGGATAATGGCAAATGTAGGTGAAACCCTCAGACTAATTCTACAATAGGTCACTTGTTCCATCACTTTGTCCATTGGAAAGGAAGTGACTCTCAAGCTACATCTCATCAGGAAACCTGGAAGCTTCTTGACAAGAAGCCTTTGACTGACCTTCAGATGGTCATCTTGGCTTTTCACTATCCAGCACAGCAACCCCTTTCTACCTACTCTCATTGAAGCTCAGAATGGCTGCAATTTCTTGTTTGCCACACAGAAGCCTCAAGAGAGGTCCACTGACTCCCTGCATTCCAGATCTTCTCCTCCCATTCACACTTGTGGCAGCACCATCTTCTCATGACAGTCAGGGTCAATTAGTCCATCATGCAGTTAGTCTTTTCACCACGTGTGGGCTCACAGGTAAGAGCAGCCCAAAGTGCCCATGTGGCATTTGCAGCTGCAGGTGCAGCAGAATCCTTACTTGGCTCCTGGACAGAAGCACTGCCCAATGGGAACCAGGATTTCTAATACAGCAAACCTACGTTTACAGAAGTGGGAGGATTCTTTTTCTCTCCCCTCCCCTTTCTTCCCCTCCCCTCCCTTCCCCTCTCCCTTCCCTTCCCCTCCTCTTCCTTTCTGTTCCTTTCTTTTCCCTCCCTCCTCTTCCTTCCTTCCTTTCTTCCTTCCTTCCTTCCTTCCCTCCCTCCCTCTTCCTTCCCTTCTACTTTCCTTCTTTCTTTCCATTAGCCATAATAAGGTAGAATTTACCTGCAGTAAAAAGTACAGATCTTAAGTGTACAATTTGATGACTTGACAGCTATATATCTGTGTAAACACCACCTCTATCAAGATATAGAACATCACCCTCATCCCTAGAAAGTTCTCCTGGCCTCCTCTGCAGATTCAGGAAATAAAGATTTTCAAAGCAGTTCTTTTCCTCAAGTGGTTCACTACCTAAGTGCAGCAACAGGGCATATATGCTTTAGCCCCACTTTGCTGGCCCAAAGGTCCCACTGGATTCTGGTTTTTGAAATTTGATTAACAGAGTGTGCATTTCCTCTGCTACTCCAAATCAGATGCTCATAGCTAAAGACTATCTCTTGAAAGCATGATGGATGATGGCAAATTATTTTTAGTTTAATTAACAAAATGGACAAAGAAATCAGTAATCCCACAGCTGTGTGAAGCAGAGGCTAAGGAAATTGGCTAGCGCCCTTCATTCCTGCCCTACAAAGCCTGGGTTCTGGTCCTGGTGAGTGCTGAAGCCATTTCTGGGTGAAGAAGAATCTTCCACCCAACACGTTTCCTTCCTCTGCTTGCCCATCTTCCTTACCTGCTCTCAAAAGCAAGATCAGGCTACAGCATTTTGAAAGGCAGAGGAGACAAAGTTTCATCTCCTTTTCTTGAGATTGGCTCTTCATCCCCTACTCCTCACCTCCTGGCTTTCTTAATGGCCTTACTTCTTCTTTTTTTTTTTTTTTTTTTGGAGTCTCACTCTGTCACTCAGGCTGGGGTGCAGTGGCATGATCTCAGATCATTGCAACCTCCACTTCCTGGGTTCAAGCAATTTTCCTGCCTCAGCCACCCTAGTAGCTGGGATTACCGGCATGTACCACCATGACTGGCTAATTTTTGTATTTTTAGTAGAGACGGGGTTTTGCCATGTTGCCCAGGTTGGTCTCGAACTCCTTATCTCAGGTGATTTTCTGCCCACCTCAGCCTCCCAAAGTGCTGGGATTATAGGTGTGAGCCACTATGCCTGGCATCTAATGGCTTCACTTCTGACCCCCATTTCTCTCTCTCTCTCCCTCCTTTTCCCTTGCCAGACAAGGAATTGGCAAGCTGTACTTGGAGGAGCCTGGGGCCTGGACTGTTGGAGAAGGGTTTGTGCTGAAGGCAGGACCTTGAAAGAAAGAGAGAAAGGAAGATCCAAACTAAGGAAATGGCAGGAGGAAAAAGGCAGAGACAAAAATCTGAACATCAGACAGAGAGAGAGCCCAATGGTATACGTTTGGAGGGTCAGACAGAAACTTTTTACTTGCTGAGAGAGTTTGGGCAAGTTAGTTAATTTCTCTGATCACCAATTTTCACATTTGTAAAATGGGGAATAATTAATGCCTTTGAGGGTGGATGTGAGGATTTTTGCTGACATATGTGAAGTGTGTATGATGTGCATGGTGTTCATTAGATTATGTGAAATGACGGCTATTACTATAATGAGGCATGGTTAGAGCAACACAGAGACCAGCCTGGCTGAGAAAAAAGACGCATGTAGAATTGAAAGGCTCCAGTAGGAGCCAAGTCATGGAAAATTATTAACTAATGTAATTTCTTTAAAAATTATTCTCGACTTCTTAAAGCTTCTTAAAACTGGAAATACATGGAAGGTATATGGAACCTATCATCTCCATTTTGAGATGGTCAGATTTAAAAAAAGATAAGGCGCTAAATATTATTGCTATATTGTGTCTATGTAATGGGTCGGCATTCTTCGTTATTATGACGAAGGCAATGTAAGGAAGATGTGCTGAATGACTCTTGAGTCTAATGCAATATGACTTCCTGTTGTGATCAAAGGCTGTTTATCATGGTGGTGTTAGAGGGAAACTGACCCTAGGGGAGTGATGGGTGTGAAAGTAACTTCCCAAGGGCAACAAACTCAACAAACATTTACTCAATAAACATTAACAAGTACATGGTGAATGCTAAGCTCTCTGCCAGGCATTCTGCCATTATTCTACCTCCTCTGCAACCAAGATTTCTATCTAGAGATACAGATGGAAGATACCTGAGTTCATGACTGAATTTATTCCTATTTTAGTATCTTGTTTCTCCCTTCCTTTGGTATGAACTTTTCTTATACTAACTCTTTATTATATTAGAAATATCTCCCCCTAAGTTATGTTCTGCAATTTTGGCAGTTTTATTGATGTATAGGATTTTTGTTAAGTTTTAGTATACCTCTATTAAACCATCACCACAATTGACATAATCACCCAAAGGTTTTCTTTTGTCCCCTTGCAATCTTCTCCTGTTACCCCTTTCCAAGTTCTGAGCAAGTGCCATGAGGTAATGGGGGCTCCATTCTTTCACCCAGCCCCTACTTTTGGAATGGAGACTCTACCTTGGCATGGCATGCTGAGAAGGGTGGTGCCATAATCACCCTTGCTCCAGCTGACTGGAAGTTGTTCCACATCAGGAGATGTAAGGACCAAGAGGACCCCAGGCTTCTGCCCTGCCTCCACTGGGCATTCAGAACCTGAAATGAAAGTGTCCCTGGGAGAGAAGCTTGCCATTGTCCTAGCCCCCAGAGTCAAAGCTCTGGCTGGAAGGCAGAAGCAGGCCATAAAACAGACAGCTCCTAATCTCTTCCTAAAGGAACTTACTTCATTTGCAAAAGAGGATAAAAGAGTTCAAGCTCAAGGATTCTCTCAAGAACAGTGAAAATTGTGGTGAAAGATGATTGGGAGGCAGGTCAAGATCTAGGCTAAACTGTAGGCCTTCTAGTTTGCAGGAGAGAACTGGGGAAGAAGACATCTGGGAAGGGCCCTCATAGTGTCAGAACACATATCAAACAGTGACTTCAGAAACTGTTTCTTCAAAGGAGCCAGAATTTGATTGGGTTAGTTTGTAGAACAATTTATGCCTAAGGGAATTGTTAATAATGGATTAATCAGCTGGAAATTAGTGGGGTTTAACAACTGGGTGTGGTCAGAGGAAGACAGCCCTACCAAAACCACTGTCATTCCAGGTTTGTAAAGCTAAAGCTGAACCTCCCAGAGGAGCAACATCAGAAGTGGGTGTGTGTGGTGGCATAGACTTCATTAAAATAATACAGTCAATCACTAAACAAATAAACCAGGAAATTAGAATAAGCCTGGGGGTTGGGGGAGGGCACTAGTATTCAAAGTTGCTACAATATATTATACAAAATATCCCATATCCAATAAAAAATTACAAGGTGTTCAAATCCAAGACTGTGTGAGTCATATATTGAAACAAAAGCAGGCAGCAGAAATTACCCATGACAGTAATCAGATATTATATTTATCAGACAAAGACTTCAAGGTAGACATTATAAACATATTTACAAAACTAAATGAAACCATAATTAAAGGAGTAAAGGAAGGTATGATGACAATTTTGCATTAAATAGAAAATATCAGTAAAGATATAGGTATTATAAAAAAATAAAAATTTTGGAATTGAAAAGTACAATAACCAAAATAAAAAACTCACTGGACAGGTTCAGTAGTAGATTTGAGCTAGCATAGGAAAGAATAAGCAAGCTTAAAGACGGATTGATAAAAATTATGCCAGCCAAAAGAACAAAGAATAAAGAAAAATGAACAGAGCCTAAGAAAATTGTGGGACACCAGTAAATGCAGCAAGATAGGCATAATAGGACTACCTGAAAGTGAAAAGAGAGAGAAAGAACAGAACATATATTTAAGGAAATAATCCCTGAAGACTTTCCATATTTACTGAAAAACAATAACCCACACATCCAGGAAACTCAATGAACTCCAACAGGTTAAATCTACAAACAGTTCCACAGACACATCATAGTAAAAGTGCTGAAAGTCAAAGGCAAGAAGAAAATCTGGAAAGCAGTGAGAGAGAAATAACGGGTCACTTAGAAGGAAACCCCAGTAAGACTAACAGCTTACTTCTCAGCAGAAGCAACAGAGGTCAGAAGACAGTGGGATAACATATTCAAAGTTCTTAAAGGAAAAAAAATTGTCAAACAAGAATCTTATATTCAGAAATGCATCTTTCAGAAATCAGGGAAAATTGAAGACTCTTCAAGATAAACAAAAAGAATTTATTGCTAGCAGATTACACTTTACAAGAAATTCTAAAGCAAAATTTTTCAGATTGAAATCAAGTGCCTCAGGACTGTCATTCAAGCCCACGTGAGCAAACAAAGAACACTAGTAAAGGTAATTACGTAATTATAAAAAATAGCATAGGGAGCCGCTGTGGCTCAGGCCGGTTGCTCTGGCACTCGGGGAGGCGAGGTTGCATGTTCGAGGCCAACCTGGTCAACATTGATTTAAAAAAAAAAATAGCATAGATGCAAATTTTTGTCCTTTCATCTCTTAACTGATTTAAATAACAATGGTGTAAATAATATTTATATGATGTATTGTTGGGCCTGGACCATATAGAAATACAGCATATGCATCATATGCTTGCCAATAGCAGCACAAAGGAGGTGTTTGGGAGCAAAGTTGATTGAACTAAAAACATAACTACAGATGTATCGGGGGACCTGCCCCGATACTCACGTAGGTTCTTTTCTATTTTCCTAAGCGTCGACTGGCTTGAGAAATAAAAGGACAGAGTACAAAAGAGAGAAATTTTAAAGCTGGGCGTCCGGGGGAGACATCACACATTGGTAGGATCCGTGATGCCCTACAAGCCACAAAAACCAGCAAGTTTTTATTAGGGAGTTTCAAAAGGGGAGGGAGTGTGCGAATACGTGTGGGTGACAGACATCAAGTACTTAACAGGGTAATGGAATATCACAAGGTAAGTGGAGGCAGGGCGAGATCACAGGACCACAGGACCGAAGTGAAATTAAAATTGCTAATGAAGTTTTGGCACCATTGTCATTGATAATATCTTATCAGGAGACAGGATTTTGAGATCAACCGGTCTGACCAAAGTTTATTAGGCGGGAATTTCCTCTTCCTAATAAGCCTGGGAGCGCTGTGGGAGACTGGAGTTTATTTCACCTCTGCAATCTCGACCATAAGAGACAGGTATGCCCGGGGTGGGGGGGGCAGTTCAGAGACCTACCCCTAGGTGCGCATTCTCTTTCTCAGGGACGTTCCATGCTGAGAAAAGGAATTCAGCGATATTTCTCCCATTTGCTTTTGAGAGAAGAGAAATATGGCTCTGTTCTGCCCGGCTCACCGGCGGTCAGAGTTTAAGGTTATCTCTCTTATTCCCTGAACAATTGCTGTTATCCTGTTCTTTTTTCAGGGTGCCCACATTTCATATTGCTCAAACACACATGCTGTACAATTTGTGTAGTTAACGCAATTATTACAGGGTCCTGAGACGATATACATCCTTCTAGGCTGACAGGATTAAGAGATTAAAGTAAAGACAGGCATAGGAAATCACAAGGGTATTGACTGGGGAAGTGATAAGTGTCCATGAAATCTTTACAATTTATGTTTAGAGATTGCAGTAAAGACAGGCATAAGAAATTACAAAAGTATTAATTTGGGGAACTAATAAATGTCCATAAAATCTTCACAATCCACGTTCTTCTGTCATGGCTTCAGCCGGTTCCTCCGTTTGGGGTCCCTGACTTCCCGCAACACAGATGTTAAAGCACTAATTATAATAACTTATTGTTGGGCTTATAACATTAAGATAAATAATATGCATAGCCATAATAATACCACAAAAATAAGGAAAAGGAATAAAGCTGTATAGACTAACATTTCTCTGTATCACTGGAAATAAGCTGGTATCAATCTGAAGCTGATTTGTATATTTTGAGATGTATATAGCAATCCCTAGAGTAACCACTAAAAAGTCCCTCAAAATATAGTGAAAAATGCATTAAATAAATTAATATGCAGCATTAAAAATATTTGCCAAATTCAAATAAAGCAATAAACAAGAAATTGAATAAAAATAACATGACATATAAAAAATAAAAAATAAAATGGCAGACATAAATTCAACTATATCAATAATAAGTTTAAACATGACTAAACACACAAACAATCCACATCAAAGGTGGAGATTGTCAGATTGGGACTGAAAATTATCCAAGTATATGCTACCTAAAGGAGACACATTTTATTTATTTATTTATTTATTTATTTGAGATGGAGTCTTGCTCTGTTGCCCAGGCTGGAGTGCAATGGCACGATTTCTAAAGGAGACACATTTTAGATTCAAATATACAAATATGTTGAAAGTCAAAGATAAAAAAGATACATTATGCAAACAGAAACCCCAAGAAAGCTAGAGAATCTTATAGTTATATCAAAGTAGACTTTGTAACAAAAGAAGTTACTAGAGATAAAAAGGGATATTTTATAAAGATAAATGGGTCAACACATCAATAAGTTATAACAATTATGCCAACATAAGCACTAGTAACAGAGCACTAAAATACATGAAGCAAAACTGACAGAAATGAAAAAAAAAAAGACAAATCAAGAAAAGCAGCTGAAGACTTCAGTACCCTACTTTCAATACTGAAAAGAATAACTAGACAGATCAACAAGGAAATAGAAGACTTGAATGACACTATAAACCAACTAGAACTAACAGACACCTATAGAACTCCACCCAACAACACAGAATATATATTCCTCTCAGGGGCACATTGAATATTCTCCATAATAGACAATATACTAACCTGTAAAACAAACCTCAATAAATTTGAAAATATATAAAGAATACAAAGTATGGTTTCTGACTGCAGTAAAATGCAATTTGAAATAAATAACAGAAAAAAATTTGGAAACTCAAAAATAAATATAACATAAACAACACACTTCTAAATAGCCAATGGGTCAAACAATAAATCAAAAGGGAAATTGGAAAATACTAAGAGATGAATGAATATAAAGACATAACATACAAAAATGTATGAGATGCACCTAAAGTAGTGTTTAGAGAGAAATTTATAGCTATAAATGCCTATATTAAGAAAGAAGAAAGAGCTCAAATGAATTACCTAAACTTCCACCTAAGACACTGGGAAAAAAAGCAAAATAAATCCAAAGCAAAAAAAGAGAGGAAATAAAAAATATTACAGAGGAAATTAGTGAAAGCATAAATAAAAAAGCAATAGAGTTTGTTCTTTGGAAAAATCAACAGGTTTGATAAATCTTTAGCTAGATTGGCCAAGAAAAAAAAGGAGCAAAAACTTACTGAAACAAAAAAGGAGACATTATTACTAGTCTAACATAAACAAAAAGGATTATAAAGGAAAGCTATGAACAATTGTATACCAACAAATTAGATAACTTAGATAAAGTGAACAAATGGTTAGAAAAACACAAGCTACTAAAACTGACTAAAAAAGAAATGGCAATCTGAATAGAACTATAGCAAGGGAGGAGATTGAATTAATAATCATAAAAAAATCTATTCACAAAGGAAAATCCAGGCCCAGATGGCTTCACTGCTAACTCTACCAAACATTCAGTGAAGAATTAATACGATTTTCCCACAAACTCTTCCAAAAAATAGAAGAGTTGGGAAAAGTTCCAAACTCATTTTGTGAGCCCAAACATCTCAGGAAAACTATAAACCAGTATCTTTTATTAATACAAATGCAAAAATCCTCAACAAAATTGTAGTAAACCAAATCCAGCAACACATAAAAATAATTATACATCACACTAAGTGTGATTTATAAAGCAAGGTTGGCTTAACATCTGAAAATCAATTAACATAATACATTTTATCAATGGAATAAAAAACAAAACTCATATGCCCATCTCAATAGACACAGGGAAAGCATTTGATAAAATCCAACACCCATCCATGAGAAAAAAAAAACTCTCAACAAATTATGAATACAAATGAACTTCCTTAACTTGATAAAATGCATCAACAAAAAATCCACTGACAATATCATACTTAATAGTGAAAAACTTAATGCTTTTCTCCTAAGATCATGAAGATAAGTCTGTTCCAGCAACTTCTATTCAACGCTGTTCTGGAGAGTCTAGTCAGGGCAATTAGGCAAGGGAAAGAAGTAAAAGGCATCCCAACTGGGAAGGAAGATGTAAAACTATCTGTATTTGTAGATGACATGATCTTGTATCTAGAAAGTTCTAAGAAACCCACTAAAAAGTTATTACAACTAATAAATGAGGTAAGCAAGGTTGTGGGGTACAAGATCTATGTACAAAAATCAATTGTATTTCTATATTGTGGCAATGAACAATATGAAAATGAAATTAAGATAAGCATAAAATACATAAGATTAAATTTAACAAAAGTGTGTCTTAGCACTTTTTTGTTATATTTAATCTTAAGTATTTAAGATTAGCATCATTGACTGGGTGGTTTGGACAATAGACATATATTTCTCACAGTTATGGAGGCTGTGAAGTCCAAGATCAGGATGTCAGCATGTTCAGGTTCTGGTGAGGGCCTTCTTCCTAGTTTGCAGAAGGCTGTCTTCTTGCTGTATCTTCACATGGTCTTTCCTTGGAGTGTGTGCATGGAGAGAGAGAGAGAAAGTTCCAGTGTCTGTTTCTCTTTTTGTAAGAGCATATCCATCGTGGGGGCCTCACCCTCATGACCTCATGTAAATGTAATTAACTTTTTTTTTTTTTTTGAGACAGAGTCTTGCTCTGTCACCCAGGCTAGAGTGCAGTGTGTGATCTCAGCTCACTGCAACTTCTGCCTCCCAGGTTCAAGCAATTCTCCTGCCTCAGCCTTCTGAGTAGCTGGGATTACAGGTGGTGCCACCATGCCCAGCTAATTTTTGTATTTTCAGTAGAGATGGGTTTCACCATGTTGGCCAGGCTGATCTTGAACTCCTGACCTCGTGATCCTCCCGCCTTGGCCTCCCAAAGTGCTGGGATTATAGGCGTGAGCCACCGCACCTGGCCATAATTAACTTTCAAAGGCACTACCTTCAAATACCATCATGTTAGTGATTCGGACTTCAAACATATGAATTTGAGGGTAGTAGGGACACAAGCATTAAATCAATAATGAAGCATAAAACTTATACTCTACAAACTATAAAATATTGTTGAAAAAAATTAAGATGATCTAAATAATTAGAAAAACATCCTATGTTCATGGATTGGAATACTTAACATTGTTAATATGGCAATACTCTTCATACTGATCTATAAATTTAACACAATCCTTATCAGAATCCTAAGCAGATTTATTTGTAGAGGTTGACAAGTTGATTCTAAAATGCATGTGGATATGCAAAAAATCTGAAAGCAAAGCAAAACAAAGCAAAACAAAACAATCATGAAAAAGAACAAAGCAGGAGAACTTGTACTTCTCAACTTTAAAACTTACTACAAAGCAATAATAATCAAGACTGTGGTACTGGCATAAGTTACAAAACACTAACTCAAAATGAATAAAAAACTGAAATGTAAAAGCTAAAACTATAAAACTCTTAGAAGGAAACACAAGGATTGATCTTCATGACTTTTGATTTAACAAAGGATTCTTAGGTGCAATACCAAACATAAGCAACAAAAGAAAAAATATTAAAAAATTTTGTGCTTCAAAGTACATCAGCACAAAAGTAAAAAGATAGATAATATGATATATACATAATAATAGAAAATGTTTGCAAATTATATATCTAATTACTTATATCTAGAATACATAATGAGCTCTTACTACTCAATCATAAAGAGATAAACCAATTTTAAATGGGCAAAGGATCTGAGTAGGCATTTTTTCAAGGAAGGTATGCAAATAGATAATAAGAACATTAAAAGATGCTCACCATAATTAGTAATCAGGGAAACCAAACCAAACCAAACCAAAACCACAATGTGATATGACTTCATACCCACTAAGATGGCTAGAATAAAAAAATCAGATAGCAGGGATGTGGAGAAACTGAGCCTTCATAAACTGCTGATAGGAATGTAAGATGATGCTGTTTTGGAAAACAGTCTGGCAATTCTTTACATAATAACTCTATTAAGCATAGTTTTCATATGGTAAATAGTTGTGTCATATGGTAACCAGCAATTCTATTCCTAGGTATAAACCCAGGAGAAAAAATGGCATATATCCATATAAAAATTCATACACTAATGTTTATAGCAGCATTGTTCACAATAAGCCAAAGATGGAAACAATGCAAATGTACATAAACTGATGATTGGGTAAACAAAATGTATTAAATCCATACAATGAAATGTTATTCAGCCAGAAAAAGGAATGATGTATGTTACAACATAGATGAACCTTGAAAACATTATACTAAGTGAAAGAAGTCAGTCACAAAAGATCACATATTATATGATTCCATTCATATAAAATGTCCAGAACAAGAAAATTGACTGAGACAGACAGTAGATTAATGGTTACTTAGGGGTTTGGGGTGGCGGATGGGAGGGTGGGTTGATTGCTAAGGGAGACAGGGTTTTGTTTTCAGATGATAAAAATGTTCTATGGTGATGGTTGTGTGTATCTGTGAATATACTAAATATTGTTGAATTGTACACTTTAAATAGGTGAATTGTATGGTTTTTGAAATGCGGCTTAATAAAGTTGTTAAAAATTCAAATATCCAGTTGTTCGCTGGTAATAACTTTCTTTCCCTTTCTTTCCCTTTCTTTCTTTCTTCCTTCCTTCCTTCCTTCCTCTTTTTCTTTCTTTCCTTTCTCTCTCTCTTTCTTTCTCTCTTTCTTTCTCTCTTTCTTTCTCTCTCTCTTTCTCTCTCTCTTTCTCTCTCTCTTTCTCTCTCTCTTTCTCTCTCTCTTTCTTTCTCTCTTTCTTTCTCTCTTTCTTTCTTTCTTTCTTTCTCTTTTTTTTGAGATGAAGTCTCACTCTGTTGCCCAAGCTGGAGTGCAGTGACATGATCTTGACTCACTGCAACCTCCGCCTCCAGGGTTCAAGCAATTCTCCTGCCTCAGTCTCCTGAGTAGCTGGGACTACAGGTGTGTGCCACCATGCCTGGCTAATTTTTGTATTTTTAGCAGAGACAGGGTTTCCCTATGTTGGCCAGGCTGGTCTTGAATTCCTGACCTCATGATCCACCCACCTCAGCCTCCCAAAGTGCTGGGATTACAGGCGTAAGGCACTGCGCCCAGCCTCTTTTTTAAAATTTCTTTTGTTCCTTATAACACTGGCTCAAATCTGAGAGCTCAAATCTCCAGTAAAAGTTGAATGGGATTGGTGGAGCAAACATTTAATCTTGTTTCTTATGTTTGGGGAAAAAGAATCAATCATTCATCATTAAGTATGTGTAAGCTGCAGGCTTTTCAGAGATTCCCTGTAACAGGTTGACGAAATTTACCTCTATTCTTAGTTTTCTGTGAGTTTTTATCAGGAATAGTTGTCGGATATTTTCAAATGCCTTTTCTGTATCTATTGAGATCATCATATGTTTTTATTTCTTCTTTTAGTGTGTTAATATGGTGAATTTTACATTGAATTTTGAATGTTAAATATTTCCTGTTATGCAGGCCTGCTTGTGATAAATTCTTTCGGATTTTCTGTGTCTGAAAGCATCTTCATATTTGAAAGATATTTTTAGTGAGTATAGAGTTCTAGATAAACTAAAGGATTTATTCTTTCACTACTTTAAAGCTGTCCTCATGCTTGCGTAGCTTCTCATGAGACACTGGCTTATCTTTGTTTGTTTATTGTGTGTCTTTTGTTCTCCACTGGCTTCTGAGATTTTCTGTCTGTCACCGGTCTTGAGCATTTTAATTATGACATACTTCTGTATGGTTTTTCTTTATGTTTCTTTTGCTTGGGCTTTCATGACTTTTTAAATCTGTGGGTTTACAGTTCATACCAAATTTGGAAAATTTTAATTTTTTTCAAAGATATATTTGTGATCCCTATTCTCTCTTCTTAGTAAAATCCACTTACACTCATATTAGTCCACAATTACAATAAGAATATCAAAGATCACTGATCTTTATAACAGATATAAAAATAATGAAAAGGTTTGAAGTATTGCAAGAATTATCAAACTGTGACACAGAGATACGAAGTAAACAGGTGGAGTTGGAAAAATAGCACTGATATACTTACTGGACATGGGGTTGCCACAGACCTTCAGTTTACAACATGCAGTATCTGTGAAGCACAATAAAATGAGGTATGCCTGTATTTTGTCTGTTTTCTAGGGTGATTTCAGTCTGGAGGGTAAATCTGGTTCCTTTTCCTCCTTCTTCACTGGAAACATTTCAGATAGTAATGATGAGACTCTGTGCAGAGTTGGGTGGCTTGAGTTAAGGCAATCAACAAGAAATGCTCTCAGAGATTCACCCCAATCTGAACCTGAAGGAATAAGGAGGAGGGAGAAGTTCCTGGAATCTGGCAGCACGTAACTGCAGAAGAGGACACTTAAGAAGAGCTGGGACTGCCGGGAAAATAGCCGCTGCCAGAACCTTGGTGCAGAAAAGTGTTAGCATAGAAGACCTGGCCGCTGTCCTTTGAAAGGCCAGCTTACAAGGGTGGCCCTTTGCTGGAGTCTGTGAACTTAAGATTTCTGGAGGGTTCCTACTACCTTTACTGATAAGAGTGGCTACACTGTGACTGAATGGTACAAATAATATGGTTTAACTAACACTTGCTTTCCTTCTCGGAGTTTGGATTTTTTTTTTGAGACATTGTCTCTCTCTGTTGCCCAGGTTAGAGTGTAGTGACATGATCTAAGCTCACTGCAACCTCCACCTCCTGGGTTCAAGCAATTCTTGTGCCTCAGCCTCCCGAGTAGCTGGGATTACAGGCACGTGCCACCACACCTGGCTAGATTTTGTATTTTTAGTGGAGACAGGGATTCACCAGTTGGCCAGGCTGGTCTCAAACTCCTGACTTCAAGCAACTTGCCCGCCTCTGCCTCCCAAAGTGCTGGGATTACAGGCATGAGCTGCCATGCCCAGCCTGGGAGTTTGAAATTTTGATATAGAAAAATAGGGTGTCACATGACCAGCCCCCAGTAAAAATCCTGGGCACTGAGTTTCTACTGTGTTTCCCGGGGTTGCAACATTTTACAAGTGTTGCCACAGTTCCTTGTTGAGGGAATTAAACACATCTTGTGTGACTCTACCAGGACAGGACATGGATTGTGCCTGGTTTCCTCCAAACGTTTTCCTTTTCTGATTTTGGTTTGTATCTTTTCATTGGAATAAATTATAATCACAAACAAGACTATACACTGAGTCCTGTGAGTCGTCCTAGCAAATCATCAAGCCTGGGGGTTTTGGGGATTCCTGACACAGTTGGAGAGGTGAGGAATGAGAAGGAAAAATAAATAATCCAACTTCTCCCTCCTGTAGCTACTTTGCTGCTAGTGCACAGGATTCACCTGGAAGCTAGAAGGCAATGGAGCATGGATGGTGCAAAACAGAGGTGAACCTCCCAGGCCTGGGCAGGGCAGAAAAGCGGGGAAAGTGGACTTAGGGGTTGGGAGTCAAATGCCGAACAGTCGGCGCAGATGCAGAGCATGTGCCTGCTGCGTCCCCTGCTCACCAGCAAAGCCCTGGAGCCCATGGCCTCTAATGCCAAAGTGTACAGGGCAAAAATAATTTTAATTTAAACTTTAAAAGTTCAAAAGACAATTTAACCCATCTGACAAGGGATGAATAACCAGAATATACAAGGAGCTCAAATAACCCTATAGGAAAAAAAATCTAATAATCCAATCAAAAGATGGGCAAAAGATCTGAATAGACATCTCTCAAAAGACATACAAATGGCAAACAGGCATATAAAAAAGGTGCTCGACATTGCTGATCATTAGAGAAATGCAAATCAGGCTGGGCGCGGAGGCTCACACCTGTAATCCCAGCACTTTGGGAGGCTGAAGCGGGTGGATCGCTTGAGGTCAGGAGTTCAAGACCAGCCTGGGCAACATGGCAAAACCTCATCTCTACTTAAAATACAAAAATTAGCCAGGCGTGGTGGCATGTGCCTGTAATCCCAGCTACTTGAGAGGCTGAGGCAGGAGAATCTCTTGAACCTAGGAGGCGGAGGTTGCAGTTAGCCAAGATGGCGCCACTGCACTCCAGCCTGGGCAACTGAGTGAGACCTTGTCTCAAACAAACAAACAAAAACAAATAAACAAAGAAATGCAAATCAAAACTACAATGAAATATCATCTCACCCCAGTTTAAATGGCTTTTATCCAAAAGATAGGCAATAACAAATGCTGGTGGGAATATGGAGTAAAGGGAACACTTGTACACTGTTGGAGGAATGTCAATTAGTACAACCACCACGGAGAACAGTTTGGAGGTTCCTCAGAAAACGAAACATTGAGCTACAATATGATTCAGCAATCTCACCCACTAGGTATATACCCCCAAGAAAGGAAATCAGTATATTGAAGAGATATCTGCACTCCTATGTTTGTTTATAAACTCCTATGTTTATAATAGCTATGATTTGGAAGCAGGCTAAGTGCCCATTAACAGATGAATGCATAAAGAAAATGTGGTACATATACACAATGGAGTACTACTCAGCCATAAAAAAGAATGAGATCCAGTCATTTGTAACAACATGGATGGAACTGGAGATCATTATGTTAAGTGAAATAAGACAGGCACAGAAAGACAAACATCGCATGTCCTCATTTATTTGTGGGAGCTAAAAATCAAAATGATTGAACTCATGGGCATAGAGAGTAGAAGAATGGTTACCAGAGGCTGGGAAATGTAGTGAGAGGCTGAGAGGGAGGTGGGGATGAGTATTAAAAAATAGAAATAATGAATAAGATCTACTATTTGATAGCACAACAGGGTGACGATAGTCAGTAATAACTGTACATTTTAAAATAACTTAAAGACTGTAATTGGATTGTTTGAAACTCAATGGATAAATCTACCCTTGGGATGGATACCTCATTCTTCATGATGTGCTTATTTCACATTGCATGCCTGTATCAAGACATCTCATGTACCCCATAAATATGTTCACCTACTATGAACCCAGAAAAATTTCTAAAAAAGACAATTAAAAATTTTGAAATAGAAATATAACATTGAAAGCTATAATTTGATCTAACATTTTCTATGCATTCTTTTCCTTTGTTGTTGAAGAAAGTTTTACACTTTCAACTTCAAAATACCTTTCTTAGTGAAAAGTGCTTTTAATATCAATAAAATATTTAAATATCACTGTTGAATAAGATTAGCAAATTGGCACTCATAATTTAGGAACTTTCCTAAATAAAATAGTGTGTTTTAAATTTAATTATAAAGAACTTTCATTTTGACGAAGCTGGTACATGACCATTTGAGAGATGATGGCAATTTTCTCGGCTCTTGGTATCAGCACTCATTTATCCATACAATAAATTGTTATTGCATATCTGCTTTGTGACAAGCACTGAACTAAGTACTTAAAAAAAGAGCTAATGTCCATTTCAAAAGCAGTGATTGCTTTTTCTTTGGAGGAAACAAATATTAGATCTTACAGCATTTGATATATATATTTTTTGGTCTGGGCGGTACATCCTCAGACACTCTTTTAAACTGTAAGTTTAAAAACTCTTGTATGCATTTGCAAAGATAAACTCTCATCATTCACATTCCAATACCTGTACTTGGTAAATAACAAAGTAAATTAAATGAGGTTCTTAAGAGTCAGTATTCAATGTTGCTGAATCCTCAGCTAATTCAATGCCTTCTTAAATGACCAATACAAATTAAAAGTCATGAAAGGTTTTCTAATTAAGATGACATTCCCAGAGAGGCCCAGAGCATTCTGAGGACATCATTTTGTGTTGATCTGTCACTGAGTATTGCTTTGGCTGTGCCAAAGGAAGGCCTTGGAAGAGCCAACATCAGAAGTGAAGGGTGGAGAGCAGGATAAGGAAGATTCTGTCAACTGAGGACTTCCCTGGGGTCTTCAGGAAGCACTGGATGGCAGCAAGGGGTGTGGATCTTCGATTACCGCTGCAGAACAGGGCAATTGGTGATGGTATTTATCCTGGGCATATACTCCCTTGGCTTTCCTCACCAGACAACTACCCGTAAGTAGCCCTTTGGCTTTTAATTTACCACGAGAAAGATAAACCCTGCTAAAGGGCTGTCGAGCGCACAGACCTTGGGGTCTTTAATTCCAGCTGGAATGTTTACTGTGTGATCTTGGCCAACTTCCTTCCCCTTTCTGAGCTTCAATTTTTGCACCTGAAAAATGGAAATAGTGACAACTCACATTGTAGTTTTGTGTAAACTGCTTAACTTGATTAGTATGATCTGCCTTTCTCTCTCTCTCTTAGCTACTAAGGTTGACCTTATTGCTGCACAACCCCCTGCATGGTCATCCAAGGCCTAGAGACTTAAATATGCTTGAAGATCTAAAGTTAAGGATCATTAATGGTAGGGCACCAAGCTGTATAACAGAATAGTAGAGATTTCTCTGTTCTTGCTTCTTTATGGCACTATCTCAAGTAGATATTTTTTTCAAAGTAATTTTATTATGAAATCCAAGCATCCAGAAAAGTTGCAAGTACTGTACAAAGAGCTTTTTTTTTTTAACGGAATTATTTGAGGGCAAGTTGTTGCTGGGATTCCCATCACCCCCAAATACTTCAGTATTTATAGTTGTATAAATACTGAAGGACCTTCTTCTGTGTTATCTCAGAATAACCATTAACACTGACGTAATACTACCATCCGATCCTCAGACCCCCTTTGAGTTTCACCAGTAATGTCCTTTATAGCCAAAAAATCCAACCTAGGACCCCACTTTGCATTTAGTTGTTATGTTTCTTTAATCTCCTTCATTCTAGAAGAGTTAAGACCCTGACTTTTTGTCACACATTTTGAAGCATGCTCATTTGTTTGTTTCTTTCTGATAATTCCTCATAATGGGCAGAGGTGATGCATTTTTGGCAGGCAATTACAGAAATAATGCTGAGGTCTCATTGCCTTCTGTGAGGTGGCCTGTGATGTCAGCTTGTCCCATTACAGGTGATGTTAAGTTGGGTCACTGGGTTAAGGTCATCCAGCTTCTTCACGGTCATGCTATTCTTGTTCTCTTTCTAAGTGGTATTTTGTGGAAAGTTATGTGGAAATTGTATGATTATCCAGTTTCTCCTCAAACTTGTACTCATTAACCTACCAGATTTAGCGCCTATTGATGTTTCTTGGCTGAATTTATTGTTACCATGTTGTTTGGCATTTTCACTTATACATTTATTATTAGCGTTATATTATAAGGAAAACTTCCTTTTCTCTCTACTTGTATTTGTTTTTGTGTTTATATCTGTATGAACTGATGGTTCCCTGTTTTATTAAAAGGTTTATAATCCTTTACCGTCATTATTTACTTTGATATTCAAGTTATTCCAGATTTAGCTGGCAAAAGCCTTTTCAAATCTCTTTTTCATGCCCTTTGTCAAGTCTCCATCACTCTTGAGCATTTTCTTACACTCTGTAACTAAATGTTCCAGCTTCATCTTCTTTTTTCTGCCCTAGCCATAGAATCAACTATTTCTCCCAAAAGCCCTAGTTCTTTTTCTTTTTTTTGAGATGGAGTCTCACTCTGTCATCCAGGCTGGAGTGCAGTGGTGCAGTCTCAACTCACTGCAACCTCTGCCTCCCGGGTTCAAGTGATTCTCCTGTCTCAGCCTCCTGAGTAGCTGGGATTATGGGCACGTGCCATCATGCCGGGCTAATTTTTGTATTTTTGTAGAGACGGGGTTTCACCATGTTGGCCAGGCTGGTCTCGAACTCCTGACTGCAGGTGATCTGCCCGCCTTGGCCTCACAAAGTGCTGGGATTACAGGCGTGAGCCATTGCGCCTGGCCTCTGGTTCTTTTTAGTGGAGAAAGGTATTTAGAAACCAAGATGGGTTGCTAGATGTGCTCATTGCTATTGGAATGTCATTTAAAAGACAGTTTCTGAATGGTAAAATTATAAGTGATTTTCAATTTATTTTATTTTTGGTTTCTGTTTTTTTTTTTTTTTTTTTACCAGTACCTTTAATTTGTCTTCTCTGATTTAAAATCATCTTTTTGGCTGGGTGTGGTGGCTTACACCTGTAATCCTAGCACTTTGGAAGGCTGAGGAGAGCAGATCACTTGAGGTCAGTAGTTTGAGACCAGCCTGGCCAACATGGTGAAAGCCCGTCTCTACTAAAAATACAAAAATTAACCAGACATGGTGGTGCACACCTGTAGTCCCAGCTACTCTGGAGGCTGAGCCAGGAGAATCGCTTGAACCCAGTGGGTGGAGGTTGCAGTGAGCCAAGATTGCGCCCCTGTACTCCAGCCTGGGTGACAAAGTGAGACTCCATTTCAATAAATAAATAAATAAAATCATCTTTTTATCTTGCTTTTGTTCCTGCAGCTAAATTAGAAATTTGAAGTGTTTTCCTTAAAAAATGCAATGGCATTCTTTTTTCCTTTTTCTTTTTTTCTTTTTTTTTGAGAGCCTGGTAGAAGCTTGAGGTTTTTTTTTTTTCTTTAATTATACTTGAAGTTCTGTGGTACATGTGCACAACATGCAGGTTTGTTACATATTATACATGTGCCATGTTAGTGTGCTGCACCCGTTAACTCGTCATTTGCATTAGGTATATCTCCTCATGCTATCCCTCCCCACTCCCCCCACCCCATGACAGGCCCCAGTGTGTGATGTTCCCCACCCTGCGTCCAAGTATTCTCATTTTTCAATTCCCACCTATGAGTGAGAACATGTGGTGTTTTCTGTCCTTGCGATAGTTTGCTGAGAATGATGGTTTCCAGTTTCATCCATGTTCCTACAAAGGACATGAACTCATCCTTTTTTATGGCTGCATAGTATTCCATGGTGTATATGTGCCACATTTGCTTAATCTAGTCTATCATTGATGGACATTTGGGTTGGTTCCACATCTTTGCTATTGTGAATAGTGCTGCAATAAACAAACATGGACATATGTCTTTATAGCAGCATGATTTATAATCCTCTGGGTATATGCCCAGTAATGGGATGGCTGGGTCAAATGGTATTTCCAGTTCTAGATCCTTGAGGAATCGCCACACTGTCTTCCACAATGGTTGAACTAGTTTACAGTCCCACCAACAGTGTGAAAGTGTTCGTATTTATCCACATCCCCTCCAGCACCTGTTGTTTCCTGACTTTTTAATGATCACCATTCTAACTGGTGTGAGATGGTATCTCATTGTGGTTTTGATTTGCATTTCTCTGATGGCCAGTGATGATGAGCATTTTTTCATGTGTCTGTTGGCTGCATAAATGTCTTCTTTTGAGAAGTGTCTGTTCATATCCTTCGCCCACTTTCTGATGGGGTTGTTTGATTTTTTCTTGTAAATTTTTTTTAAGTTCTTTGTAGATTCTGGATATTAGCCCTTTATCAGATGGGTAGATTGTAAAAATTTTCTCCCATTCTGTAGGTTGCCTGTTCACTCTGATGGTAATTTCTTTTTCTGTGCAGAAGCTCTTTAGCTTAATTAGATCCCATTTGTCAATTTTGGCTTTTTTTGCTGTTGCTTTTGGTGTTTTAGTCATGAAGTCCTTGCCCATTCCTATGGCCTGAATGGTATTGCCTAGGTTTTCTTCTAGGGTTTTTATGGTTTTAGGTCTAACATTTAAGTCTTTAATCCATCTTGAATTAATTTTGGTATAAGGTGTAAGGAAGGGATCCAGTTTCAGCTTTCTACATATGGCTAGCCAGTTTTCCCAGCACCATTTATTAAATAGGGAATCCTTTCCCCATTTCTTGTTTTTGTCAGGTTTGTCAAAGATCAGATGGTTGTAGATGTGTGGTATTATTTCCGGGGGCTCTATTCTGTTCCATTGGTCTATATCTCTGTTTTGGTACCAGTACCATGCTGTTTTGGTTACTGTAGGCTCGTAGTATAGTTTGAAGTCAGGTAATGTGATGCCTCCAGTTTTGTTCTTTTGGCTTAGGATTGTCTGGACAATGCGGGCTCTTTTTTGGTTCCATATGAACTTTAAAGTAGTGTTTTCCAATTCTGTGAAGAAAGTCATTGGTAGCTTGATGGCGATGGCATTGAATCTATAAATTACCTTGGGCAGTATGGCCCTTTTCACGATATTGATTCTTCCTATCCATGAGCATGGAATGTTCTTCCATTTGTTTGTGTCCTCTTTTATTTCATTGAGCAGTGGTTTGTAGTTCTCCTTGAAGAGGTCCTTCGCATCCCTTGTAAGTTGGATTCCTAGGTATTATATTCTCTTTGAAGCAATTGTGAATGGGAGTTTACTCATGATTTGGCTCTGTGTTTTTCTGTTATTGGTGTGTAGGAATGCTTGTGATTTTTGCACATTGATTTTGTATCCTGAGACTTTGCTGAAGTTGCTTATTAGCTTAATGAGATTTTGGGCTGAGACAATGGGGTTTTCTAAATACACAATCATGCCATCTGCAAACAGGGACTATTTGACTTCCTGTTTTCCTAATTGAATACCCTTTATTTCTTCTCTTGCGTGATTGCCCTGGCCAGAACTTCCAACACTATGTTGAATAGGAGTGGTGAGAGAGGGCATCCCTGCCTTGTGAATGGCATTTTTTCTTATAAATTATATCTCTGATTTTCTTTTCAATGAAATCCATGTGTTCAATATGCTTGTTCACAGTTTGCCTCCTGCCAAATGATCGCTTAATCCAAATATCTGGGCATCATACTGAGCTGAGTCTTCTGCAGAAAGTATGGTCCACTACCTGAGACCCCTGTCAAAGGGAAGCTCACACATCCTGAGGTCACTGTCTGGTGTGAGGGGAGGACAGCTGATAACTACGTGGTTATGCAGTGTTCCCAGGCATCACTGGTCCCTAGCCATGGCCTCTGCCTACCACTGCCACAGATACAGAAGGAATGCCATCCCCTTCAGACTCAGCTTTAATCCTCAGAGTTTCATCTAGTCCTTTATGGGCAGATGTTACCCAAACCCAAAATTTCCACAGGCCCTCTTGATTTTTTCACAGTGTTCTAGATCAGACATTGAGCCTATGCATATTACACCCCTGCACTGACTTTCTGATTTCCAAAGCAATTCTACAATCTCTGCAACCCACTCAAAGTTTTTCTTTACCATCTGGAGCCCTTCCAGAGTTGCTTCTTTGAGGTCACAACAAGACTGTTTGTCTTTCTGTTTGCTTTGATCTCTCGATGGCCAGAGTCTCTGGGTATCATTATCAGTAACATCAGCAGCAACAACAACTTCTCTGGTGGTTACATCAACACCAAATTCAATCTTCGTGTCAACTTGTACACAGTTCTGTGGCAACCAGGATTTCTCCAGTATTTTAAAAATAACCTGTGCAGCATGACTCACGCTAGCTACTTCACTTTGGCCTTTACCAAGTCCAGCACAGCAAAATTTCACAGCAATTCACTGTTTCTCATTACTGGCAGCACCCTTGAAAACATCTCCACGTTAGGTGAGTAAAACTCACATCTGTCGATGACACCAGGATTTCTTTTAAGAAAACAACAAGTTGCTATTCTGCAAACCCCTTTAACTGGAATAATTTCACACTGGGGCACAATGAAAGCCATATCCCCACATTTTTTGGTGAAAGCAGCTTTGATACTTGCTTCCTGTAATGACTGAAAAATATTATACAACTGATGATTTTATTTGTGATTGCAGCTTTTCCTTCCAAGCGATTCTAGCTGCATTTCCTGCTATAATATGGTCCTTGGACTACAAGAGGGCTTTCCGTGAACTACCTAACAATTCATAGACTTTTTTTTTCTCATGCACTTTTTCTTTTTTTAACCAGTGTTCAGTACCTTAGCTGCTGCCATTAGCCTGAGTGGGTTGGGGATGGTAACCTATTTTATTTTTTATTTTTTTTTACATTTCCTAAAATTTCTGTCCTAAACATCTATCACTTTCATGGTGGTATATTTTATACCATAAAACAAACCCATATCAAACCCTAACTCCTCATCCCCAAATGAAAGCATCATCTTATATTGTTTCATTTAGCTCAGAGGAAATTGACATAGATTTGCTGTCCTTTCCCTCATTCCCAGTAACCAGCACATCAGAGAGCCTTACTGAGTTTGCCTTCAACTAACTATAATAAATCCTCCACCCTTTAACGTCTCTCCTTTTTCTGGTTTCCAACCTTGTCCAACCCTCTCTCACATGGACCCCAGGGACCTTGTTGCACTCTTTTAAGAAAAGTTTTTTTTTTTTAATGTTGTAATACTTTATACATGTAATGTAATACATAAACAAATTCAAATTAGGCATCATAATTGTAAACCTAATATTTGTAAACTCACAACTCATCTTAAGTGACAGGATGTTACCAGTACACTTGGAGCTATTAGGTTGAACCATGTGAAATGACATTTTTGAAGATTAAACAATTTTTGAATAGAGGCAATTTCATATGATTTCATCTCATACTTGTGTGTTTTCCCCAATCCTGTTATCCTGCCTTTTCCCCAGCAATAGCTCTCTTCCAACCTGAAATTAACTTATCATTTTCCTGATACTTAAATATTTTTAACACATATTTATATGTTGTATATCACTAAAAAATGTTATTTAACTTTGTTTTTGAGGTTCATATATACTGTCTTGCTTTTTAAAAATTCAACATTAGTTTTATGGCTCATCCATGTTGCTGGGCGTAGATCTATGGTTCATTCTTACTGCTCTGCAGTGTTGTCCATGCTCCATCCCAGGAAGAGAGAACAACTTATTGGTTTCCGATATGAATAATCTTGCTGTGAATATATTTGTACATTTCTCCAGAGGCCTATGTACAAAAGTTTCTTAGGTAGTGGTTTTGAAACATTTTTTACTGTGACTATATAAGAAATACATTTATATTGAGACTCATCACACACACAAATATACATATATTAGGATGTTTATATGTAAAGCAATTTTCTCGAAATGATACTTTTCTTCTTCAGTATGATGTGCTCTGATATTTTCTATTCTTTTCCAATCTGGTTTATTTTAGAGAAAAATTTTGGTTATAACCCCCTACATTTTAAAAAAATTTATGGAGCATTATTTTATAGTATGTGGTTATCAAATCTTCTGTTTATTCTAATAATGTATATTCTTTGAGATGTACAGGATTCTATATGCTTATATATGTACACACATATGTACACACAACTATGTATATTTATATATATGTGTATATATACACACACACACGTGTGTATATGTGTGTGTGTATATATGTGTATATATATATGTGTGTGTGTATTTATGTATATATACACACACACACATACGTGTGTGTGTATTTTTTTGAGACAGGGTCTCGTTCTGTTGCCCAGGCTGAAGTGCAGTGGTACAGTTATAGCTCACTGCAGTCTTGACCTCCTGGGCTCAATCTATTCTCCCACCTCAGCTTCCTAAGTAGCTGGGACTACAGATACATGCCACCTTGCTCAGCTAATTTTTGTATTTTTTAGTAACACCGGGTTTCACCATGCTGAGGCTGGTCTCGAATTCCTGGGGTCAAGCGATCCTCCCTCCTTGGCCTTCCAAAGTGCTGGGATTACAGGCGAGACCCACTGTACCTGGCTGGATTCTATATATTTTTATGAGTTCAAACTTGTTAGTAGCTATTTGAATAACTGCTTGTATTTACCATTTTACAGTTGTTCAGATCGTTTCATGCATTGATAATTGAGAGAAGTGTGTTAACGTTTCCCACTGCAATTATAGACGTGCTGTTTCTTCCTATAGTTCTATCAAGTTTTGCTTTATATGTTTTTAGCTTATTTCATTAGACGCATATAAGTTATACATTATTTTGCTTTCTGGTGAATTGATTCTTTTATTCTTTTTTGATTACTGGGTTTACTCTAATAATGCTTCAAGACTTGACTCTTCTGTTTGATGTAATAACCAGCCTTTTATTGATTATTTGCCTGGTTTATATTTTTTCAACCATTTCTTCTTAATCTTCCAGCCATTCTTTTGTTTTAGGCATGTTGCTTATAAAAAGTATTTTATTACTTTTAAAAATATTCAGTCTGGTTTTTTTGAAGAGCAAGGTGAGTCACTTTATAGTAATTGTTATTACTGATGTTTTTAGATTTACTTCAATTATCTAACTTAATTTTTTTCTTGCTCCTTTTATCCTTCTTTTGTCTTGCTTTCTTTGAAAGGGGAGTAGATTGAGTTTGGTATATTTTTAATTTTGTCTTATTCCATACTTTCCGTGTATAATAGTTTGGAAGTTATTGATCTATTTTCCTCTTTGAGCAACTACCTTTGAAATGTCACTGTGACGATTTAACAGAATCTAAAGTTGATTAATATCTTAATTATCTCTTTATCTGTATATGAACCTTAGAGCATAAAGCTCCTATCTATAGGCCAGGCATGGTGGCTCATGCCTGTAATCCCAGCACTTTGGGAGGCCGAGGCAGGTGGATTACTTGAGGTCAGGAGTTTGAGACCAGCCTGGCCAACATGGTGAAACCCTGTGTCTACTAAAAATACAAAAATTAGCCAGGCATGGTGGCACGTGCCTGTAATCCCAGCTACTCCGGAGGCTGAGGCAGAAGAATCCCTTGATCCTGAGAGGCGGAGGTTGCAGTGAGCTGAGATCGTGGCACTGCACTCCAAAGTGAGTCTCTGTCTCAAAACAAAGCAAAACAAAACAGAACAAACAAAAAAATTCCTATCATCTCCTCCCCCCTCGTTCACATGCCATTGATGTCTAGTACTCTAGCTCTCTTCTTTCTTTTTTTAACCCCCACGTGAGACATTTTTATTTAACACTGCTAATATTTGTTTTTATTTACTTCAATGTTCTTTTGGTCATAATTCCTTTAAGTATCCCAGGCTTTTATTCTAGATACTTTTTCTGAACTTCCTACTGAAACAAATACATATTTTAGAATTTCCTTAATGAAATGCATCTTTTAGAATATTTTAGATCAGAAGATGTCTAAAAGCAACTACGTTTTTATTCAAATGAAAATGTGTTTATGCTGCCTTTCTTTTTGAAAGATACCTTTTTTGAAAGATACTTTTGATAGTTTTACGATTCTAAGTTGGCAATAATTTTGTGGTCAGATGTGACTTCATTGTCTTCTGGTTTCCATGCTCACTGTTGAGAAGCCTCTGTCAGGATAATGATTGCTTGTTTGTAGTTGCTCTATTTTTCTCTTTGGTTGCTTTCAAGATCTTCTCTTTGACTTGAGATTCTACAACCATATTGCAAAATCTGTCTGCATATATACTGCTTTTTATTTATTTCGTTGGGTATTTGTTATGTTTCCTGCATCTGTGCACCATGAAATCAACTAACTCTGGAAATTCCTAAAAATCACCTCTTTTCTTGTCTCTCTGTTCTCTCCTTCTGGGACTTTGATAGATGTAACTTAAATATTTTATTCTATCCTCTGTGTCTTTATTCTCTTTTATATTTCCTATCTCCTTATCCCTGTATTAGGCTTTGTTCAATTTCTTTAGGCCCATCTTTCAGTTCACCAATTCCTCAATCTCTGCTTAATCCACGAGTTAGCTTATCATTAACATTTTAATTTTAATAATTACATTTTTATTCCTTAATGTGTCATTTGATCATTTTCAAATATGTCTTGTAATTTTTTACAGTATTTTACTCCATAATTATTATTATTTTTTTTTTTGAGATGGAATCTCGCTCTGTCACTCAGGCTGGAGTGCAGTGTCTTGATCTCAGCTCACTGCAACCTCTGCCTCCCGGGTTCGAGTGATTCTCCTGCCTCAGCCTCCCAAGTAGCTGGGATTACAGGTGTTCACCACTACGCCCAGCTAATTTTTGTATTTTTAGTAGAGACGAGGTTTCGCCATGTTGGCCAGGCTGGTCTCGACCTCCTGACCTCAGGTGATCCACCCGCCTTGGCCTCCCAAAGTGCTGGGATTAAAGGCGTGAGCCACTAGACCCAGCCTCCATAATGATTTTTAAGATCCGCCTTTTATTTCTTCAAACATTTCACACATTGTTACTTTATATACTATTTTATAATTACAATTTCTTGAATGTTTTGTTTTAGTTTCTGCTGGCATTCCCTAATGTTAGCTTGTTTGTCTGGATGTTGATAACTGTAGATTGTGAGCTCATATTTTTTTGAACTTAATCTGAGAAAATCCTTGGGATTAAAATAGGTTACTTTGCAATATAGAGCATTTTTGTTGCTTCTGCTGGGAGCTCAAGGATACTACCAGACTACAACCACACTGCTTCTTTAAGAGCTTGAGTTCAGATCTCCAATCCTGCAGTGGGTCCAAAGTTTGACTTCTTTGCAGTGCAATTCTAAGAATTTGCCTTCAGAGTTTGTGTTTGCACACCTGCTCTGTTCAGGTTTCACCTCAGGCTTTCTCCTCACTCCTTCTTGAAAATTTCCCATTGCTTTCCTGGGATCCTACCATGTATATTGTAGTGAGAGAGCCCTTCAGGGTACCTCAAACCCTGTAATGTCAGAAGCCCTTGATACCTCTCATAAGTATCTACATGTGGTTGTAGATACATGTAGATACACAACAGCCAAAGAGACTTTTTAAGAAAACATAAATCACATTACACTCCTCCCTGGTTGCAAACTCTCAAATGCACCTCTCAGCACACTGAGAACAAAACCCAAATACCTTATCTTGGCACCTCAGGCCTGCGGAATCTGGTTGGTGCCTGTTTCTTGGACTCTGTTTCCTACTGCTGCATGCATGGTCCAGAGGGACATTTTCTAGATTCTTTCCACAGACAGCAGTTCCCATCGCACAGTTATAGACCCTCTGTTTGAAATTCTGCCTGTTTCCCTGAAGCATCCATCCTCTCTTTGGCCAGTCTTGGCATGCCAGGATCCTCATCAGTAGGATCTCAGCAGTAATCATGCTTCAGTCTGGCTTCTCAGTGCCATTCCACCTAATGCAGCCACCCTCATCACCAGTCACACTGGATTACCTGTTTTGTTCAAAGCATTTATCACCATTTAAAATGATCGTAATTGTTTTTACACTTCCTCTGTTTATTTTTGCCTCTTTTCTAGGATATAATTCCAGGAGCACAAATTCTGCTGAATCCCAGTGCTAAGAAGTTATGGCACCTAGTAGTCACTCATTAGATATTTACTGAGTAAATAAAAGAAAGTTACAACTCAGAAGTACTGTATTAGAATCCTTGCAAAGTACGTGGTTTCTCCTAGGAAAATATATGAGATACAAGAAGAGAGATGGATGAGGAAAACCAGGGTGTGGGGAAGGCCTGGGCCTTTGCATCAGGGGTTTTTAATTAGTAGTGGAACCCCATTATCTTGTTCCTTAACTCAGCAGCCCTGGATTCAAAACATCCGGGCAAGGTCAACTTTTGACTTTGTCTCTCAACCCAGAGTTTATCCATTTATCCACTGAACGAAGTTGAATGTGCTCCCATTCTACCTCTTTTTTCTCATGAAACTTGCAAGACTTTGGACAAACACACACACACATACACATACAAAGTTTTTTTTAAAAAAAACTTCAAAAATAATCTGTCTCATTGATCTTTCATAAACGTTTTTACTACCTCTGCCTTTTATTTCTTATTTCACACATTGTTACTTTATATTCTATTTCAGAATCAAAATTTCTTGAGTGTTTTGTTTTAGTTTCTGCTGGCATTCCCTAACACTAGCTTGTTTGTCTGGATGTTGATAACTGTAGATTGTGAGCTGATATTTTACTAGTGATCCCATGGTCAAAATCACTCTCTCAGAATCTAATTCAGAAAATACTACTGCATGCCCAGGAAATTAAAAATTAATAACACTTTTTGGTGTAAAGCAGGAATAAGTTCAACTGTTATTTTTTGTTCAACATCAACTCTTTGAATGATGATGTTTAACTCTGAATCTTGCTGTGCATAGTATGCAGAAACAGCAGTCTAGTCTCCTTTTGATTAATGAAAAAGCACTTTTCTTTCTCTCTAGCTGTTTTCCTCTCAGTAATGCATACACTGAAAACTGAGAACACATATATACATGTTGCAAAAATTAAGAGTTTGGAAATGTCATTGTTTTGGCAGATGTGGTTAGTCTTTTAAGCATGGCCAAAATGGCCCCTTGATAACTTCATTGTGACTTTATGAGTGTTAATTATTACTGAAGGCTGGGGTTTTGCCAGGTCCTTTAGCTGTATGGGGCCAGAACTGGCCAGGGGCTTTTTAGGATGTTTCCAATTTAAATGAAAGCTCCAGGCAACATTTATCTTTTTTTTCCCCCAAACTTTTCTTAATTAAATTTTTTTTTCAAGCCTTACTGAATTCTTTATGCCAACCAACTGCATCTTATATTGTAAATTGGTTTTGACTCTGAGGCTTGCATTTTCACTCAAGCCTGACCCTAAGGGTTTTGCAAACCTGGCGTTCCAAACTTCCTCATGTCTCTGTGCACATGATTCAAGCTGACGTACATGTATAGCGTTTATAAGTTGTTTGCTTTTGGTGGAAATCAGCTTCAAGAGGCAAACTTTTACAATGATTTTCTGAAGCCTAATTCTCTTATATTTGTTGCCTTTACCTGACTCATTGCCTTTTAAGTAGTGTACAGTATAGGCTCCAAAAGCAAGATCAGCAATTGTTATTAGTCATTATGGTAGGAGAGGTAGCAGTAGCAATATTATCTTTTCCAAGTGAAAAAATATGATCCGTTGCCATCTTGCAATTTTAATTGTTCTCTTGGACAGATTTTGAGGAAGTCATACAAAGGAGTAGATGGTATTTGATTTATTCTTGAGTAGGAAAATAAGATTCTGACATCCTTCTGTTTGTGAATATGAGTCTCATCATATACCTGTGAATAAGCTGTAAAGGTTTTCTATAATAAGGGATTTGTCTGGTGTTTGTTCTGACTTCCTGGCACAGGGCTTCTAAAGCTCTTGGATTTTTCTGAGTGGTAGAACTGCGTTTGTTATTCATGAGCCTCTTGGCTCACTCTTGAGTTTATGCTAATGAGGTGACTCCCAGTGAGCCCTTAGACAGCTTCAGGAATAGGGGCTGGACAGAAGAAAGACCATCCATGAGATACTAGGGTTGGGACTTTGACCCAGCCCAAGCTCCAGAGAAGGTAGGGGAAGCTGGAGACTGAGTTCAGCCTGGTGGCCAATCATACCTACGTAATGAACCCGTCAAAACTCCACACACTGAGCATCAGGGATGATTTTGTTGATGAACACGTGGGTGTGCCAGAAGGGAGGTACACCCTATTTTCACAGAGAGGGCAAGGAAGCTCTGTGTTGGGGATCCTCCCAGGCCTTCCCTCTGTATCTCTTCATCTGGGTGGCCCTGAGCTGTTCTCTTTATCGTAAAGCTATAATCAAAAGTGTAGCACTTCCTTGAGTTCTATGCATTGTTATAGCCAATGATCAAACATGACAGGATTGTGGAAACCCTTGAATTACTAGCCAGTTGGTCAAAAGTGTGAGTGGCCTGGGACCCACTGAACTTGTGGCTGCTGTCTGGAGGGGGCTGTCTATGTGAATATTCATACACATACACTCGGGACTGACTGTGCTCTTCACCTGTGAGGTCCGTGCTAACTCCAGGTGGTTAGTGGCAGAATTGAACTGCAATATACCAGTTGCTGTCAGAATTACAGATAAAATAAAAATCTTTGAAACTGGCTAAAAGACAGTTTCCTCTATATATCTGGGTAAAGCATGGAAAGTCCTTCTGAGTGAAAAAAGGTGACTGGCCAGGCTGAACACAGTTTCTTTAGGTTTACCTACTGAGCATAGAAAAAACACCTTCTTGAAAAACTGTTGGGTACTGTGCTTAGAACCTGAGCGACGGGATCATTCATACCCCAAACCTCAGCATCGCATAATATACCCAGGTAACGAACCTGCACAGGTACCTTCTGAATCTAATATAAAATTTGAAAAAGAAAGAAACATATATATATATTCAGAGAAAGGGCATATATATATATATATATATATATATATATATATATATACATACACAGAAAGGGAATATATATATATATTTTTTTCACAGTAAGGGCATACACACACACACACACGCACACACAAAGAACTCTTAAAACTCAGCAGTAAGAAAACAATCTGATTAAAAAGTGGCCCAAAGACCTTAACAAACACATCAAAGATGATATATGGATGGCAAAAAAAAATGAGAAAAAAATGTTCTGTATCACATATCATCAGGGAGTGCAAATTAAAACAGCAATGAGATACTACTACGCATCTTTTAGAATCACCAAATCTGTAACACTGACAACACCAAATGCTGGTGAGGATATGGGACAACAGGAACATTGCCAGTGGGTATGCAAGATGGTATAGCCACTTTGAAGGACAGTTTGGTGGTTTCTTACAAAACTAAGCACAGTCTACCATAGGATCTGGCAATCATGCTCCTTACTATCTACCCAAAGGAGCTGAAAACATGTTCATACACATACACACAAAAATCTACGCAGAGATAGCAGCTTTATAGCAGCTTTGTTCATACTTGCCAAAACTTGGAAGCAACAAAGATGTCCTTCAGTAGGGTAAATGGATGGATAAACCATGGTACATCCAGACAATGGAATATTATTCAGCACTAAAAAGAAATGAGCTAGCAATCTGTGAAAAGATGTGGAGGAACTTTAAAGGCATATTACTAAATAAAAGGAGCCAATCTGAAAAGCCTGCATACTGTATGATTCTAACTATAAGACATTCTTATAGTGGTTGCAAAATCTGTGGTTGCAAGGGGTTGGGGATAGGGAGAGAAACAGAGCACAGAGGAGTTTTAAGGCAGTGAAGATACTCTGTGTGATACTATAATGATGGATATGTGTCATTATACATTTGTTTAAACTCAGGATTTACAACACTAAGAGTGAACCCCAGTGTAAACTATGAATTTCGGGTGACAATGATGTGTCGGTGTAAGTTTATCAGTTGTAACCAGGGTATCACTCTGGTGGGGGATGTTAATAATGTGGGAGGTTATGCATATGTAGAGGTAGGAGGTATATGGGAAACCTTATGCCAGCCTCTGAATTTTGCTGTGAACCTAAACATGCTTTAAAAAATAAAGTTGTGGCCAGATGCGGTGGCTGAGGCCTGTAATCCCAGCACTTTGGGAAGCTGAGACAGACAGATTGCTTGAGCCCAAGAGTTTGCAACCAGCTTGGGCAATATGGTAAAACTCATTTCTACAAAAAATACAAAAATTAGCTGAGCATGGTGGCGCACACCTGTGATCCCAGCTACTTGGGAGGCTGTGGTGGGAGAATTGTTTGAGCCCATGAGGTTGAGGCTGTAGTGAGCTGTGATCATGCCACTGCACTTCAGCCTGGGCAACAGAGTGAGACTCTGTTGAAAGCAAGCAAGCAAGCAAGCAAGCAAGCAAGCAAGCAAACAAGCAAGAAAAAAAGAAAGAAAGAAAAAGAAAGAAAGGAAAGAAGAGAGAGAGAGGAAGGAAGGAAGGAGGGAGGGAGGGAGGGAAGGAAGGAAGAAAGGAGATAGGGAGAGAGAGAGAAACGAAAGACAAGAAGGAAGGAAAGAAGGAAGGAAGGAAAGAAGGAAGGAAGGAAGGAGAAAAGAAAAGAGAGAGAGAGGCCGCTTTCCTGGAATGCTCTGGGAACAAGCAGTGGCACTTGGGAACCAGGTAACAAGCTGCAGCAAAGAGTTGGGAAGCTGTTCTTCCCACATTGTATTACATGCTTATTACATTGTAATAAACAAAAATAAAATAAAAACAAAATAAATGTAATTACATTAGAATACATGTTTGCTCTGGCTTCTTGGAATCTGGAAACTCAGCCAGCCTCAAGAGGCATAAATAACAGTATCCTCACGGCAAGTCCTGTAGGCAGTGGTCTTCAGGACTGTGGGTGTATTGATTGATAGGTAGATTGAAGCTGCAGGGGCGAGCAGGTGAAGCTGAGTGGGGACGGTTGTTGATGCCCTGGATGGGCAAGCAAGGCACGTTTTGGGGAAGCCCTGAAAGAGTTGGCTAAGGGGGGATTATATGTGAGTGCCAAGAGAGGACCTGGCCTTGGTGCTGTCCATGTGGGTTCATGTGTGTGTAGATGCCCATGAGGCTGGTGGCATTTGGATATAATGGGGTTTTCTGGATGCATGACATGGGGCTATCTTCCATTGAGACAATCACTAGATGAGGTTTATAAACAATACATTTTAAATTTTAGGCATGGTTAGGTGTACTCTCCACCAGGCAACAGAAGACTCTGTGGATTAGAGCAAAGGAAAGGCATGTGGACAGATGCATAGGGAAAATGAAATGCTGGAGAAAGTGACCTGACTTGTTTCAGGCCAGTACTCCTACCGAGAGCTAGAAAACATGGACAAAACTGTAGGAAGGAACCAGAAAGCTAGCAAAAGAGCAAGGACTTGGGGTTACAGAGCCCAGAGAGAAGGTAAGCCAGGACCAGGAAACTCAGCTTTGGGTGTCGTTTTTCCACAGAGGCACCTGATGATTTTCCAGCAGAAGCCGAGGGGCTGAGAGGTGGAGAGCAACCAAATGGCCATGTCTAAGACAGCCTTCTGCTGTAAAGGGTTCTACAGGACATGCTGTACAGGGGAAAGCACTGGCCACCATAAGACTTTGAGCACTTGAACTGGGGCTGGTGCAATTGAGGGATTAAAATTTTGATTTGATTTAATTGTAATTACTCTATAGTTAGTCTCAATAGCCTCATGAGGCTACTGCTTAGCACAGGTCTGGAGCCTCCCTTAGGTCCTGAGAAGGGCAGTGCAGCCACCTGGGAAGTGTGTGGGCTTGGTAGATGACCAATGCTCAGTTTGAATCTTGCCTTGCCCCATAGTAACCATGCAAACTTGGTGAATAATTCCCCCCTCTGTGTTCAGTTTCTTCATCTATAAAAGGAGAATAAATAGGGCCAGGTGCGGTGGCTCACACCTGTAATCCTAGCACTTTGGGAGGCCAAGGCAGGCAGATCATGAGGTCAGGAGTTCGAGACCAGCCTGACCAACATGGTGAAACCCCGTCTCTACTAAAAACACAAAAATTAGCAAGGTGTAGTGGCATGCGCCTGTAATCCCAGCTACTCGAGAGGTTGAGGCAGGAGAATCGCTTGAATCTGGGAGGCAGAGGTTGCAGTGAGCCAAGATGGCGCCACCGCACTCCAGCCTGAGTGACAGAGTGAGACTCTGTCTCAAAAAAATAAATAAATAAAAGAATAAATAAAGTAAAGCCTACCCCATAAAAAGGTTTCACATACTGGTGCCTGTATACAGCAGGCATTCAATAAAGATTAGATGGAATCGTCTATAGATTGTGAGTTCCAAAAAGCTGACATCATTTTTGAAAGCTCAGCTTTATTTTCTTCAAAAACAAATGTCAATATTCATGTTACTGAACTTATGTATGTTTTTATTTTTTCTCAAAATCCCAGAGGCATGTTCTACTTGGAAAATAAAAATACATTTCACAGTATAGATACTCTAGAGAAACTATTTTCTTAAGAAGCTACCAAAGGTTAATGACATAACCCAATGTATCTCAACTTTACAATCAGATGAAATTATCTGGGACACACACAAAGGACTTGTTTTCCTACCACTCATTCTCTCTTTTTTTTTTTTTTTTTGAGATGGAGTCTCGCTCTGTCGCCCAGGCTGGAGTGCAGTGGTGTGATCTCAGCTCACTGCAAGCTCCACCTCCCAGGTTCACGCCATTCTTCTGCCTCAGCCTCCAGAGTAGCTGGGACTACAGGCGCCCGCCACCATGCCTGGCTAATTTTTTTTGTATTTTTAGTAGAGATGAGGTTTCACCGTGTTAGCCAGGATGGTCTCGATCTCCTGACCTCGTGATCCACCTGCTTTGGCCTCCCAAAGTGGTGGGATTACAGGTGTGAGCCACCGTGCCCGGCCCACTCATTCTCATTTTTAATAATAAAAAAGTTAAAGTGCAGTCATTTGCACAAAGAAATAGCCTGTTGTGGTACACACAGTCTTAGGAAGCCACCTTCAGAGAGTGTATTGATGCTAGAGGGAGCAACTTGTTTACCATTCTTGGGCAGGAAAAGATGGGGCTTGTCAGGACCTTTTCTACCCATGCATCAGGAGTCAGCTGATGGCTGTGATTTAGACTTGACACCATCAGAGACAAGCAAAAATAATGTACAACTGCTTTTGACTACAAGAAAAAAATCCCATTGTATTATGGACTTTCCCAGTATTGCAGCAAAGGAAAGAGTATTTGCTAACGTGTCAATACTCCTCAAGTAAATTGCCACCTACCCTGATAATATTCCCTGCACCAAACCATCCAAAATTATAAATGATGCACCTTTTCTTTTAAGACGGGACAGAGATGCTGGGGGAAGACATGGAAAAGGATAAATGTGAGGTTACTATGTATGCTCCACCCAGCCATGCACCATCAGGATATTAATAGTTGTTGTGGCCAGGCGCGGTGGCTCACGCCTGTAATCCCAGCACTTTGGGAGGCCGAGGCAGGCGGATCACGAGGTCAGGAGATCGAGACCATCCTGGCTAACACGGTGAAACCCATCTCTACTAAAAATACAAAAAATTAGCCGGGCGTGGTGGCAGGCGCCTGTAATCCCGGGCGTGGTGGCAGGCGCCTGCTACTCGGGAGGCTAAGGCAGGAGAATGGCATGAACCTAGGAGGCAGAACTTGCAGTGAGCCGAGATTGTGCCACTGCAATCTAGCCTGGGTGACAGAGTGAAACTGTCAAAAATAAAAATAATAATAATAATAATAAGTTGTGAACTCCACTTTAGCCTGGCCACCATCCTTGGGGACTATGACTGCATTTATTTACCCTTGAGCTTCAGAGAACTGGGGTCTCAGAGCTACTAGCAGCAGAATTTGGAGCCAAACCCAGGTCCTCTATCTCCAATGTCTACTATTTCCTCTGCTAATTGACTCCCTTACTGTCTTAGTCCATTAAGGCCGCTATAAAAAATATCGTAGGCCAGGTGGCTGGTAAAAAATAGAAATTTATTTCTCCCTGTTCTGGTGGCTGGGAGTCCAAGATGAGGGTGCCAGCATGGTTGGGTTTTGGTGAGGGCCACCTGGGGACGGTTGCAGACTGCGCAGTTCTTGCTGTGACCTCACATAGGGGAAGGGGCAAGGGTCTCTCTGTTGCCTCTCAATCCCACTCATGAGGGCTCTACTATCATGGCCTCATGACCTCCCGAAGGCTGCACTTCTTATACCATCACCTTGGAGGCTAGGATTTCAACATAAATTTTGAGGAAACACACACATTCAGATAATAACATTCCTCAATGGGTCTTATTAAAAACCAAAATTCTACACCTTGAACCACCTTTATCCCAAGAAAATAGAGTGTACAAGCTTGAGAATAAGTTTGTGCCAAGATATGTTTGTACTGCCCCATGGAAAAAAAATCATTCTAATAAAAATTGGATGTAGACTTTGGGTGGTAATAAGGTATCAGTGTAGGTTTATCGATTGGAACAGATGCACCACTGTGAGGGGGGTGGATATCGATAGTTGGGGAGGCTGTGCTTGTGAGGGAGCAGGGAGCATAAAGGAAACCTCTGTGCCTTCTGACCAATTTTTCTGTGAACCTAAAACTGCTGTAAAAAAAAAAGTCTATTTGAGAAGATAGGGTGCAGTAGTTACTGTGCTCTGAGCACTGTCCGATAGTTTTATAAAGGAGCTCACTCATCCTTACAAGAACCGTATGAGGGAAGTTCAAGTAGCATCCCATTTCACAGATGAGGAAAGCAAGCCCAGGGAGGGTCAGTGACTTGCCCAGAGTCCCGCAGCGAGTTAGGTAATGGAACTGGAACTCAGACCTCACGCTCGGTCTCAGGTTCTGCACCTCCTTTAGAAAAGGATGAGGAACTGCTGAGACTCAGGTGCACACCACTGGATCTGGTTGTCTTCAGAGGGCTGTTTCTTTTGATGGTCCTCAAGGATCTCATCAAAGCATCATTCAGTAATTCACTTGGGATATTTCTCAGAAGAGTATTCCATAAAAAGAGAAGACTGTCTAGGTTAGAGCTGGAAAAGACGAAGAGCATGTCTCGGTGCCCATGGCCTTGCAACTGGACTCTGGGGGTGCAGGAGCAGCCCACGAGTTTCGTGGATATGAACTTGGTCCTCCTAAGAGGACCTGCAACACCAACCAGCACCTTCCCTTTCTTCTACTGGAGCCCCTTGCTTGTTTGTTCCTTGTGGACACTGGTTGATGATTGCATGTAGCTCTGGGGGTTGGCTGCTGAAAGCTAACTCAAGCTGCCTGCCTTCTAACAAGCTGCAGAACTCTGCAGGTGCAACTGATCTTGCCCCTGATGTCCCTGTTATTTATTCTCCCTTCCCAGTTTTCCTTAAAAAACAAAATAAAACACCTTAATAGTGTTTGTATTTTTGTAAGTTGCCTTTATTTGCCTAGGCCTGGTTACAGATACCTGAACAATTTTCTTTTTCTGTTTCACGTAGGCATGGACACCTGATTTTCTTTGCCTTTTTTCTCTTTCTAGGTTATTTCTACCTAGGACATGAAATGAATGGAATGCTTGAGAAATTATTGCCACACCATTCTGCTAGGTACAAATCAAAAAGAAAACACGTCTACTCTTGGTGTAATTTCTAGCTCTGCCTCAAGAATCTTCTAGCAGGCGCTTTTTCACCTGGCTTAATGATCAGGTCGCACCCCTGAGTATGTCAGTCAAACGTTTCTATCACTTTTCAGCTTTGCTGTAGTTGTAGCAGAGATTCAATGAAACCTGCAAAGCCTAAAATATTTACAATAATGGCCCTTTACAGAAAAATATTTACTGGCTTGTGCTATAGATGATATCCTCTGATCAAAATGTAAAATAGTTATAATTAGTAATAATGTTTTGCCTTCAAAAACAATCCTAGATACTTTGGGTTCAAAAAATAACCTTTAGAATGAGATCATGTCCCTTGCAGGGACATGGTTAAAGTTGGAAGCCTTTATCCCTAGCAAACTAACACAGGAACAGAAAACCAAATACCGCGTGTTCTCACTTATAAGTGGGGAAGCTAAATGCTGAGAACACATGGACACATGGTGCGGAACAAAACACCCTGGGTCCTGTTGGAGGACAGGGGGTGGGGAGATGGAGAGAATCAGGAAGAATAGCTAGTGGATGCTGGGCTTAATACTGGGGGGATGGGCTGATCTGTGCAGCAAACCATCATGGCACACGTTTACCTGTGTAACAAACCTGCACATCCTGCACATGTACCCCTGAACTTGAAAAAGAAAAAAAATTGCCTTTATAAAAATCATAAAATATATAGAATTGAATGACAAGAACACTGCATATAAAAACATATGAAAACACAGCGTACAGAAAATTATAGCATTAGATAAATATATTAGAAAAGAAAAAAGATTAAAAGCTCATAAGCGTTCAACTCAAGAGGTTACTTTTGGAAAAAAGAGTTAAACCAAAATCAAGTAAGGAAATAAGAAAGAAACGAGGAGATATTGGCAAATTAGACAACCAAAAATATCTGTGAGAATTAACAAAAGCAGAAGCTAATTTTGGGGAAAAAAGTAAAGTCTACAATCTCTGGAAGGTTTGATTAGGGAAAAAAGAGAAAACGTTAAAGAAGGAAAGAAAACAAAGAAGGAAGAAAAAAGAGACTTCAATGCAGCTGTCCCAAAGATTAAAACTTATAACCAAATACAATGGACAACTTTACTCCAATAAATCTGAAAACCTAGACAAAATGGTTATTTTTCTAGAAAAGGGTGTCCTGTCAAAACTGATTCAAGTACAGATTTAAAACCTGAATAGACCTTTAACCATATAACCATAGCCATAGAACTTATAGGTTTAAAAATGACCATAAGAGAAATTAAATCAGTAGTCAAAAATCAATAAACCAAAAAGCACCAAGCTTAGAGGATTTTTTTTTTTTTTTTTGAGATGGAGTCTCGCTCTGTTGCCCAGGCTAGAGTGCAGTGGTGTGATCTCGGCTCATTGCCAGCTCTGCCTCCCGGGTTCACGCCATTCTCCTGCCTCAGCCTCTCCAGTAGCTGGGACTACAGGCGCCCGCCACCACACCAGGCTAATTGTTTGTATTTTTAGTAGAGACGGAGTTTCACCGTGTTAGACAGGATGGTCTTGATCTCCTGACCTCGTGATCCGCCTGCCTCGGCCTCCCTAAGTGCTGGGATTACAGGCATGAGCCACCGCGCCTGGCCAAGCTTAGATGATTTTATAAGTGAAATTTATCAAATTTCCCAAGAAAAGATAACTTCTTATCTTAAGACTGTTCCACAGAATGGCATGAGAGAACCAGACAAAACAAGGGGAGAGAAGAAAATCTCACTTGTGAACATAAACACAAACATCCTTTAAAAATTTACAAATGAAATGCTTCGGTGTATATCACACATCAGCACACCTCACCTGAGGATTGCAAGATTATTAACCTTAGGAAATATATTAATATAATTCATTGAGTTACAGGTTAAAGAAGAAAAAGCATGCTATCCTCAAAAGGCGCAGGGAAAAAAGCATTTGATGACATTCTACATTTACTCATTAAGAAATACATTAGCAGGCTGAGTGTGGTGGCTCACACCTGTAATCCCAGAACTTTGGGAGTCCGAGGCTGGTGGATCACCTGAGGTCAGGAGTTAGAGACCAGCCTGGCCAACATGGCAAAACCCTGTCTCTACTAAAAATACAAAAATTAGCTATGCACGGCGATGCACACCTGTAATCCCAGCTCCTTGGGAGGTTGAGGCACAAGAATCACTTGAACCCAGGGGGCGGAAGTTGCAGTGAGCTGAGATCGCACCACTGCACTCCAGCCTGGGTGACAGAATAAGACTGTCTAAAAACTACAACAACAACAACAACAAAAAAATAAAGTAAAAGAAGGAAAGAAAGAAGAAAGAAAGAAAGAAAGACATTAGCAAACTAATATAATATTAGAATGGGACTCCTATGCCAGGTAAATACTATCTGCTGGAAACCTACAGCAAATATTAACATTTAACAGGCAAAGATTAGAAATAGTCCCTTTAAAAGCAGATATGCAGTGAGACTGGGACTACCACAGTGTCCAGTCGGCATTGTCGTGAAGGTCCCAACCAGGACAATGAGATGAGATGGAAAAGATAGAAGTAATCGTTGCAGAAAAGAACAAGACAAAATTATCATTTGCAGATGATAGCATTGCCAATACAGGAAATGGAAGATAAAATAGAGACAGACACAGACTAACAGAAGATTGGTGTTTTCATAATATAAGAACATTTGGGCAAATCAAAAAGAAAAAGTGCAATATGGGCAAAAGAAGGGATAATTCACCAAAAAATCTGATTGGCTAATAAATGTGAGTGAGAGGTTTAGCTTCACAAAAATCAGGAAATGCAAATAATAAATGAAACAGTTCGCACCCATCTGATTGAAAAAAATCATTAGGTGTGATAATTCTCAGAGCTGGTAAGATATGGGATAGTGAGGACTGTCACTCTGCAGAGTCATTTTGCAATGTTTAGGGAGAGACTCAGCAAATTCAGTACTAGGAAGGAGTATTTTAGAGAAATCGGTAAATGATTTCTCTTAAACACGACAATGTTAATTGTGTTCGGTAATTGTCAGAGACTTAATGACAATATGTGACGGAAAATGGAAAATAACAGACATTACTTAAGGACAAGGATACATTAAGAGAAATGTGTTGTTAGGTAAGTTTTTTTTTTTTTTTTTGAGACTGAGTCTCTCTGTCACCAGGCTGGAGTGCAGTGGCACGATCTCAACTCACTGCAACCTCTGCCTCCCTGGTTCAAGCGATTCTCCTGACTCAGCCTCCCAAGTAGCTGGGACCACAGGTGCATGCCACCATGCCCGGCATGTATTTTTAGTAGAGATGGGGTTTCACCATAATGGCCAGGATGGTCTCGATCTCTTGACCTCATGATCGGCTTGCCTCGGCCTCCCAAAGTGCTGGGCTTATAGGCGTGAGCCACCGTGCCCAGCCTTGTTAGGTAATTTCATCATTGTGCAACCATCACAGAGCACATTAACACAAACCTAACTAGTAGAACCTACTGCATACCTAGGCTATGTGGTAGAGCCTATTGCTCCTGGGATACAGACCTATATAGCATGTTCCTGTACTAAACACTGTAAGCAGCTGTAACACAATGGTAAGTATTTGTGTATCTAAACATAGAAAAGGTATTATAATCTTATAGGACCACTGTCATACGTGCAGTCCATCGTTGACCAAAACGTTATGTGGTGAATGATTGTATTTGTAACAGCAAAAATCTGGAAGCCGATTTGTTGTCCATCTATAGGGACTTGGACAGATAAATTGTTGTATATTCATACAATAAAATAATGTTAATCAGTGAAAATGAATGTAACAACATAAACTAATCTTGAAAAAAAGTTGTTAAATAAAAAAGGTAGGCTGGCTGAGGTGGCTCACACCTGTAATCCCAGCACTTTGGGAGACCGAGGCAGGCAGATCACTTGAGGCCAGGAATTCGAGACCAGCCTGGGCAATATGGCGAAGCCTCGTCCCTACTAAAAATACAAAGATTAGCCGGGTGTGGTGGTGTGTGTCCCAGTTGGCACAGAAAATTCAGTACTCCTGTACCGAATTTGCTGCTGAGTCTCTCCCTAAACATTGCAAAATGACTCAACAGAATGACAGTCCTCCCAGTTACTTGGGAGGCTGAGGCACAAGAATTGCTTGAACCCCGGGGGCAGAGGTTGTAGTGAGCCAAGATTTCACCACTGCACTCCAGCCTGGGCAAAAGAGCAAGACTCTGTCTCAAAAAAAAAAGAAAAGAAAAGAAAAGAAAGAAAAGTAAATCATTGCAAGGCAATGCACACCTGTGTAAAAATGTAAAACACACAACAGAATGCTATACCTTGGCTTTGGATGCATAATAGTGAGGGAAAGGTATAAAAACGTGGATCTGTAAAGCCACACAAACTTAAGGAGAAGGGTTCCATGGAGGCCGGGCATGTGGTGTGGGATTTTCAGCCCTGCTTATGAAGCTCTACGTAAGAAGCGGAAGCAACCGCAGAAGGTTAATGTGCTCTCAGCAGTGTGCAGGAGCTGTGTCACTGTATTTTTTGCTTGATTTATTCTCTGTCAAAAAAAGGAAGGAAGGAAGAAAGAAAGGAAGGAAGAGAGGAAGGGAGGAAAGAAGGAAGGAAGGAGAGAGGGAAAGAAGGAAGGAAGAAATGAAGGAAAGAGGGAAGGAAGAAAGGAGAGAAGGAAGGAAGGAAAGAAGGAAGGAAGGAGAGAACGAAGGAAGGAGAGAAGGAAGGAAGGAAGGAGAGAGGGAAGGAAGGAAGAAAGGAGAGAGGGAAGGAAGGAAGAAAGGGAGAAGGGAAGAATAAAAAGGGAAGGAGGGAGGAATCCTCGTGGTGTGGGGATCGGGTTTCTGTGCCTCTTCTGCCAAAGTGTTCCCTTTGGGAACCCCCAAGTCAGTGGGTGTGCTCTGCAAACTCCTTGCATCCTAAAGCCGACAACCCTCAAGAGCAGGCTGAGTGAGACGGAGTGGAGCTGGCTCAGGTATAGACCCAGGTGGTGCTCACAGGGGCTGCCTGGGCCAGGGTTCAACTTGCCATCTAGGGAACGAGGATGAGCCCTCAGATTCAAGCAGGCCTGTTGGGGAGACCTAGGCCTTGTGCGGTCGTCTTTCTCCTTAAGAAAAAAATTAAACCAATAGTTGGCTGTTGTGGGCAGCCCTTTCTAAGGTCATCCTGAGGGGAGGTTCCCAGAGCCAAAGCTCCCTGTCAGCAATCCCTGAAGCTCACCCCCAAGGCAGGCTCTGGCTTGAGAAGCAGCAGAATGCTCTGCGAGTGGGGGTAGCAGGTGAGGGGGCTGTGAGAGCACAGAGGCTGGTCCACCTGGAGGTCCTGACTTAGCGAGCCTGGGGAGGGCCCCACAGCATGCTTTTCTAACCCGTGCCCCCTGGGATGTCGAAGCTGCTGGGCCAGGACATATACATCTTGAGAGCCCTGGCTCTCCGAGTGTCAAAGCTGCTGTTCTGAGGCTGAGGCTGGTGGATCACTTGAGTCCAGGAGTTTGAGACCAGACTGGGCAACATGGCAAAGCCCCATCTCCATATATATTAGCTGGGCATGGTGGTGCGCACCTGTATTCCCAGCTACTTGGGAGGCTGAGGTGGGAGGATCACTTGAGCCCAGGAGGTCGAGGCTGCAGTGAGCTATGATTGTGTCATTGCACTCCAGCCTGGGTGATAGAGCAAGATCCTGTCAAAAAAACAAAAAACAAAAAACTGCTGTTCTGGAAGCACACTGGGAGCAGGCATGGAGCTGTGGGAGGACGCAGGCAGGATCAGGCTGTGTCCACGGTCCCCTGAGGCTTAGGAATTGATGAGACTGTAGAATGTCCCATCATCACTGACAGTCAAGACACACCTATGCCTCTCCTTCATCATTTTTGCAGGATCAGGAGAGAGTAAGAAAAAGGACAGGGCCTGGTGGTACTGGGCACGTATATATTGGACAGTGTCTGTCTCCTTCACAGGCATGGGCTGGTGGGGATTGTGAGGCCAACATGGCTAGGGAGGGGCCTCTGCCTAACGTTCCCTTCTGTGGCTATGCGATGATGCTCTGGGCTGACACCTCAGAGCATTCTGATGTGGAGGGGACGGAGTTCCTAACCCTTGTAGCTTTCACTGAGATACCTGAGTGCGTTGCGTTTCTTTCCCTTATACTTCTGAATCTCTGCATAATTCTGGCTCAACATTTTCTTTCAGGAAGTTGAGTAATCTCCCATAGGCTTGAGGGACACAGTGTCCAGGTGAAAAAGAAGGATTAAAAAAAAAAATCTTATTTCCCAAGTAGGTGTACCCTGGCAACGTTGTCTGTTAGGAAATGTGGGGCACTTTTTGTTTTATTTTGTTTTGATTTCCATTTCCATTTAACAACTGCCCCCAAAGAGCTGCAGAGGATTAAATTACAGAAAATGCAATGAGACCTCTGTTGCATTTTATCCCTGTGGAGTCTCATGTTGACATGGGCAGGCAGGAGCCAGGAGATGTCCAGGAGCTCTGGGGGCTGGGCTCAGGTTGGGTCCCTCTTCACCAAGAGGCTGGGGTGGGCCCTTGGGGACACCTGAAAATACTGAGAGTGAACGGAGTCCGTGATGGCATCTGTTCGATATGAACCAATGCCCTGACTCAGCTGTCCTTTGCCAGGGCTGCAATGAGTGTCTGGCCACAGAAAGGGCCTGTGGTCACAGACACTGATGGGTGGAGGCAGGAAGACCCCTCCCCACTCAAACATCCATTAGGGACAAGTCCCCAGAACTACATGGGTGGAACGAGCTGGCACTGCCCCCTGCTCCCTCCACAGCGCCAAGCAGTTGTGAGGGTCGCCTCCTGACCTGGCAGCCGCAGGAATGGCTGTCCCCTCCCGGAATCTGTCATCTCCTCGAGGCCACGACAACACCCTCTTGCCACTCACACATACATCATTTGAGGTCCAGTGTCCCCCCAGCACTCCCAGTTCTTGCTGGAATGGGCGATGTGCTGCTTAGAAACCAGCCCCGGGGAAGCCGCCTCCTCCAAAGCAGGCTGCAGGGAGCCCCGTCAGAACTCTGTGCTCCCTCTGGTGTGGGAACCTGGGCTACTGCCATGATGGTGAGGGTGGGGGATGTGGAGTTGTGCCAATTCTACACCCAGGATTGGCCTGCTCTGTCGTTTGCCAAAAGCAATACACAAATAACAAATAAAACTCACGCTAGTGCCTGACCTGCTTTCCTGAAGATGGCTTCATCATGTGTTGGGAAACCCCTGCGTCAGGGACTTTCTCTTGGCAAGCCTCCCACTCACATGGGGGAGAGAACGTCAAGGGGAAGCCAGTTAATACAGTGAGCAAGGGCTGAGGAGCCCAGGGGAAGAAAAGAAGTATCAAGGATGCTGGCCCTGGCTGGACTGATTCCTGGTTCTCTGATCCCAGGCCCTGGCCCCTTATGATGGTTCACGTTATGTGTGGACATATCTGAACCACAGTGCCCGAATGAGTGGTCACATATTATTCACGGTGTCTCTGTAAGAGCCTTTGGACGTAAACTGCACCATCGACTCTTCCCTGAGTCTCTTGCCTGCTGGCCCACTCCCAGATTTTGGGGTTGTCAGCTTCCGTAACTGCATGAGCCATTCCTTGAAATAAATCTACCTATCTACCTATCATCTGTCTATCTCTTTGTCTACCTATCATCTATCTACCAGTGTATCTGTCTACCTACCTATCATATGCATATCTATCTATCATCTACCTACCTATCTACCTGTCCTCTACCTGTCTTCTATCTACCTACCCACTATCTGTCTCTCCACTTACTTACCTGCCCTCTTCCTATCTATATACCTACCTACCTACCATCTGTCTATCTAGCTGAGTGCTCAGAGGTTCCAGGAGGTCCGCATTGTGCGTTTGTTCACTTTTCTGGGGAGAAACTCCATTCCTTTCATGGAATTCAAAATATTAGTCTGTGGCCTAAAGAGAGTTAAAAACAAAAGTTAAGAACTCCTGGGCTAGTTAATGAAAAACCTGTGGGAGGGAAAAACGATATAACGAATGAAGGAAAATAAGAAGAAAGGAAGGCCAGGTCAAAAATGAAAAAAAAATATATATATTATATATATATTATATACAATAGATCCGCAGAGGATTAAATTACAGAAAATGCAGAGACCTCTGTTGCATTTTATCCCTGTGGAGTCTCATGTCGACATGGGCAGGCAGGAGCCAGGAGACATCTGGGATATATATTATATATATCCAAAATATACATATATATATACATATATATATTTTGGAGACAGAGTCTGGCTCTGTCACCCAGGCTGGAGTGCAGTGGTGCAATCTCAGCTCACTGCAACCTCCACCTCCCAGGTTCAAGCGATTCTCCTGCCTCAGCCTCCCAAGTAGTCGGGATTACAGGCATGCGCCACCATACCCGGCTAATTTTTGTATTTTTAGTGGAGACAGGGTTTCATCATGTTGGCCAGGCTGGTCTTGAACTCCTGACCTCAGGTGGTCCACCTGCCTTGGCCTCCCAGAGTGCTAGGATTACAGGTGTGAGCCACTGTACCTGGCCAAAAATGGATATTTTATTGCTTGTTTTAAAACTCAAATACTTAAATAATATCATAACTGCATTTTAAAAAACTCTTGGAGAATTTTTCTCAGCATTCTACACATTGGTCATTTGTAGACTTCATTAAGCCTGACTCTACAGCCTTCTAAAACTGAACTGTTTGGTTTAGGTTGAGGCATTCAGAAATGAAGAGGAATGCTTTTTTCTTTCTCCTTTCCACCCGACTAAGAAGTCACAGCCCCAAATTTCCCTGTGTTGTCAGTACTGCACTTTGGAGCCCATCAGTTATTCCAGGAACACTTGGTTGATGAGGCCTAAGAGAGATTTCTCCATCCCGGTGCTACGCACCTATTATCCAGGGCTTTCACGTAAGAAGCGAGATTCATTTACGAAACAGTCAGTAAGACACTTCTTTAATTAAGGTCTCCAGTGAGAAAACATACTGTCGTTTTTTTGAATATTCAATTTATACTATTAGAGAGTCGCTTCTAAAACACTCGTGTGTCAATTCCATGCCACGTTCGACTCTTGATAAACATCTCAATGAACGGATGGAAATGGTTAGAATCCTACTGGGCCTGACCTGAGTGCAGCATAGAGCAGTCACCTCTGAATGTTCACAAAGTGCCTCACCAGAGTCAAGCTGGCCAGAAAGGTGGGATGATTGTCTGGAAGAATTGACTACTACTACTACTAACAATAATAATAATAACAATGACAGCAATAACAACAACAATATAACAGCAACTAACGTTTGTCAAAGACAGAACTTGCCAAGCACTGTACTAAGCATTTTACATAGATGCTAGTTCTCCCCTTCGTCTTACTGAGTCATCCCAGCAACTCTAGTACTATTGTTCCCTGTTACACAGGGAGCTGGGACTCAGGGGCATGGACAAATTGCTCAGCCCCACAAGCTGGGGTAGAGTAGAGGGGGGATTTGGCCAGAGCCCTCCTCTGCCCAATGTCCACCACTAGTCTAAGTGGGAGCATGAGGGGAGAAAAACCAAAAGTGTGGATGAAGGAGCATTTTATGGGATACTGAGTGAACAAGGCACTGACTTATAGCCTTGCCCTAGTGTTTGGTTGGGACTCTCAGACCCAAAGAACCGATATCCTCAAGTTACTGTGTGTAGTTTGAAGAAGGCACCAACTTGTTTTCATTGCTATTTTTAGTATTGATTCTGTATAAGAAATGCGACTCCCTCTAAGACACTCTGTAAAGTTGGATGACTTCAGTAGCAGTTTCGATGTTGTTTTAGTTTCTTTCCTGTCTGAAATTGTCCTTTATTAACAAGGAGGCCCTTTTGTTGAGTTTTAATAGTCAAATTAACACCTTTCATCATTCTCTGGCAACATTTCCAGAGCATTCTATAAGCTAGGATTCGCTCCAAAGATGAGAACAGCACATCAGGCTTGGGTGTGTGCGATGCCACTGGAGACGCCACAGGAGAGGCTGCTGGGCAGCTCTGACTGTGGCCGACCACATCAAAGCGCTCTTTGTAAAGCACCACCCCGTGTTGAGTAGTCCCTCCAGGTTCTGCAGGGGCTTGCTTTACACACTCTGCAACCCGTGTTTCATCCAGCAGAGACACCATTAACATTCACATACAGAAAACAAGCTGTGAGCGCTTCTGCATTGGCTGGGGAAATGGCCATGTACATTTCATCCTGACAGATATTGTAGTAAAGAGTGCCCCCATCTAGCAGAAAGTTGTTTTGGGCTGATACATTCAAGGTTTGTCATCATGAAGACTTATTTGGGTCAGACATGGTGGCTCACGCCTATAATCCCAGCACTTTGAGAGGTGAGGTGGGAGGATTATTTGAGGCCAGGAGTTCAAGATCAGCCTGGGCAACATAATGAGACCCCATCTCTACAAAAATTTTTAAAAATTGGGCTGAGCATGGTGGCTCACACCTGTAATCCCAGCACTTTGGGAGGCCGAGGCAGGCGGATCACTTGAGGTCGGGAGTTTGAGGCCAGCCTGGCCAATATGGTGAAACCCCGTCACTACTAAAAATAGAAAAAGTATCCGGCTGTGGTGGCAGACACCTGTAATTTCAGCTACTCGGGAGGCTGAGGCAGGAGAATTGCTTGAACCCGGGAAGCAGAGGTTGCAGTGAGCCAAGATCGCACCACTGCACTCCAGCCTGGGCGACAGAGGGAGACTCCATCTCAAAATAAATAAATAAATAAATAAATAAATAAATAAATAAATAAATAAATAAATAAATAAGTCAGGTGTAGTGGCACATACCTGTAATGCCAGCTACTTGAGAGGCTGAGGTGGGAGGATCGCTTGAGCCCAGAAGTTCAAGGCTGCAGTGAGTTATGACCTCACCATTACACCCCAGCCTGGGCAACAATGAGATCCTGTCTTTAAAAAAAAAAAAAAAGGAAAAAAAAGAAGACTGATGTGCTCACTGACGTCTCTGACAGGGCTGCTGAGTAGTATCTCAAGCCCCAAGTCTGTCGAGGCAACACAGCATTTCCTGCATCATCACCATCATCCACGGCATCCACAGCACCCACGTGATCTGTCTCCAACCCTGTGCTCAGCCGTGGAACATCAATCATAACAAGTTGCTGTTCAGATCAGGTGTCCAGGGCTTTTTCCTGTAGGGACTAACCATTAAGGACACCTTTTCTTCAACAAAACCAACATCTGTTGCATGATTAATAACCACAGCTAACAATTATTTAGTGCTTATTTTGTGTCAGGCACTGGCTTAGGTACTTTATAAACGTGCCTTCTTCACAGCCACGGTATGAGATGTAGGTACTGCTAGCTTTCCCATGTTACATGTGAGAAGCAGAGGTTAGGTTAAATAGCACCCACACATTCACAGAGCCAAATGCCAGATGGCATGGGGTGCTAGCTCTGAGAACACCCAAACCTGGGGGCCTCTGGCACCACCCCAGCCAGGATATGGGGCTGAGAATTGAACTGAAACAAGCAAGAAAGCTCTTCCCAGCAGCAACATCCATGTGAAGTCACCAGGTCCCGATGAGCCTCTTGCCTCCTTAGTTCGACCTGCAGGGTGTCGCACCACCAGCATCTTGCCCTGTGGAGCTGTCCGGGCACACTTTGAACCCTGGTTCTGCTGTTAACTAGCTGTGTGGCCCCGCTCATTTGTTTTCACTGGTAAATGGGAGTAATATTAATAACCCACCCACAGAACTGTTATTAGGGACAGTTGAAAAAATGCATCTAAAGCAGAATCTGATAGACAAAAATGGATGCAATTTTTAGTGCTAGGCCTTTAAGAAGTGGCCCTGTCCTGAGAAGCACATTAATCTCGGGCTGAAAATGATATTTTAACTGAAAATTATGTAATCTTCATGAATTTTTTAAAAAAGACTATAAAGCTCCTCACAATGACTTTTCCAGCATTGTGCTTCATGTGGGATTGGGGAGGAAACCCAACTCCAGCCTCTTCGATTTTCATGTGGCTTTGATGAACCCATGTGCTTTTGCTTGGCTTTAGTGTGTGCTCCTGAGGGCCTGCTTAGCTCTCCCACCTTGCCAGGTGGCAGTGACGGGGAGCCCTGGGCTGAAGCAGCTCACGACACCCTCCTCCCCTGAGACCAGGGCACTGTCCACTTCCACAGCTGCCCAGACAGCTGTCCAAGATGGCCCCACGAGACCTCAACTTTGCCAAAAGAGCAAGTCAGGTAGCTCAGCATACCCACCTCAATAAAACCTGAGGGGCTAATCCCATTCTACAGCAGTTTCCCTGGTGAGCTCACAGTCCCCCGACCTTGCCTATGCAATGGAGCACGTAGGAGCCAAGCGTAGGAGCTGGAAACACTTTTTCCTGCTTCCATGCAAGCCACCCGGAGGTGGCTGCCATCATCGTGTTTCTGCAAGTGTATTCCCCAAAATAGTATGTGAGCGTATTCCCCAAAATAGTAACCACACTATTCTACAATATCCCATATGGCGTGGTGCATGCCTGCTGAGACTACGTTTTACAGCACCTGTCAGGGAGGGGAGTGGGTGGGCAACAGTTAGACAAGCCAGGTCAGGGGAGAGGGATTCCTGAGAACTGCAGACCCATGAGGATGGAGGGGAAGCAGAAACTAGGTTTAACCCCAAGGTCATCCATGGAGGAAATTTGTAAGACCACAGTTAATGGCAGCCAAGGCTCCAAGACATGGCTGTTCAGCTCAGGTTGGGATCCAGGATCCAGGAATAGGGAAGATGCAGTAATCAAGACAGGCTCTCTGGCAGCCTTGCACCTTTAGGGGTATAGGTGAGGAGGCTGGCAAGGGCAAGGGCAGGGACACATTTCCATTACAGAAACAAAATGTAAGTCCAGGTCCTAGAATGGGCCCAAGCTCACAAGAGACTAACAGCATGCTTGACCTCCATAAATCCATTCATCATTCATTATCCATCCATCTATCCATTCACCCACCCATCTATCTATTCAACCATCCACCCATCTACTCAATTCACTCATCCACCCAGCATTCATCCTCCATCCATTCACCCATTCATCCACTCATCCACCCATGCATCCACCTACCTATCCATCCACCCACCCATCCACCCATCCATCCATCCATCCATCCAACCTCCACCCACTCATCCACTCATCCATCCATCCTCCACCCATCCACCCATCTATCCATCCATCCTCCACCCACTCATCCACTCATCCATCCATCCTCCACCCACCCATCCATCCATCCATCCAACCTCCACCCACTCATCCACTCATCCTTCCATCCTCCATCCATCCATCCAGTCATCCACCCATCTATTCACCCAGTCATCCTTCCATCCATCCATCTATTCATCCATCTCATTCTTTTTATCATTCAGTATAGTACTAGTGATGAAAGAAAAATATTAAAAAATATATAATTCCTCTTCTTGGACCTCAAATGGGAGGACAATGCTGAGTCATTCAAGCCAAGGAAATATTCCCCATGCCTCGGGTGACTCCCATCTCTTGCCTCTCCATGAAAGCAGTAAAGGTCTGTCTTACTGGGTCTGTCCAGGTCCTGTCTATTATACTCTGATAACTACATAGAGGAAGGCTGGAAAGGCAGGGGTCCAAGCAAGTTCTCATAGCAACTGTTAAACTTTCCCTAGTGCGTACACAAGATACACGTGATGAGTGTTTCCACCTTTCCTATCCATTAAAAAATGGGAGGCGGGGCGATAAAGAGTTCAAAAAGCACTAGAATTCCAATTTCCAGTGGATTCGTTTTCTGTTGCTGAAAAAACGACCACAAACAGCAGCTTAAAACAATAAGCATTTGTTATTGTACAGTTTCCACGGGTGAGGAGAATAAACTTTCCTGCTTTGCCAAATTCACAGGGCAAATGTCAGTGTTTTCCTATTTACCCACCTCTAATAAGTGCCGGATATTTTACACTCATCATCTCTTATTGGACTGAGACCAGGGCACAGAGAAATTCTACCGATTTCCTAGTGCACAGTCTTGAAAAGCAAGCCAGTTGGGTAACCCACAAGCCCAGCTTCAGGGGCATAAGAGTGGGGGAGCCCCAGCTGTCTGAAATAAAGGGGAGAAGAAGGTCTCGCTGGGACCCTTAGGATCCAAGCACAGCCAGGCTTTTTTCCAAGCCAGCGCCGTTAATGCTAACATTATCCTTTATTGGCTATTAAAAACTAGCTCTGGTTCCCCTTAGTGTGTGGATAATCATAATTACTGTAGGAGTAGAAAGTATGTGGCAATATAGCATGACATAAAGTGCCAAAATGGTAAAAATATTTCCACAAAGGTGTTCTTCCCTGAAAGAACACACCTATTTAGGGACCACAGATGATGTCCTATAATATAGTCTCTTCTCCATGTGTCTAAACCCATGAAATAAGGCATGAGGGAAGGGGTTTTTCCCAGAACACCTCAATGTCCCTCTCTGCCAATCAACAGAATGAGGCTTTTGAACCCCTTAAAGAAGTAAAAGCAGCCTAGCGTGGTGGCTCACGCCTGTAATCTCAGCACTGTGGAAGGCCGAGGTGGGTGGATTATGAGGTCGAGAGATCAAGACCATCCTGGCCAACATGGTGAAACCCCATCTCTACTAAGAATACAAAAATTAGCCAGGTGTGGTGGCACGCACCTGTAGTCCCAGCTACTTGGGAGGCTGAGGCAGGAGAATTGCTTGAACCAGAGAGGCGGAGGTTGTGGTGAGCCGAGATTGTGCCACTGCACTCCAGCCTGGTGACAGTATGAGACTCCGTCAAAAAAAAAAAAAAAAAAGAAGTAAATCTCCCTTTTCTAGATGGCAGGATAGCAAATGTTTGAAAAAATATTGATGCACCTGTTCTTTCTACCTTCTTCAATGTGATCTTCTTCTTCAGCCAGGGCCTTATGTTATCTGGGGAAGATTAGACATTTTATGGATGAAAACAAAGAGAAAGAGGCAATGTCTAGCTTTTAACTTCTAAGATAAACTCTTGAAGCACTTGGTGAGAAAGCAAGCCCAGCTTTGTGGAGAGAGAGACAGAGTTTGGAATTCCCAAACTTGCCATCATATATAAAGAGTGAAGATGAGCAGTTCTGACCATACATGCCCTCTTAGCCCAGGCAGAGAGATCTGAGGCTCTGCACAGGGGAATCCCTCAACAGGGAGGCCGAGGAGGGGGTCTCATGCCTCCAGGTGGGCAGGGGGATGGATTGGAGAGGGAGGTTTGTAGGGAAGGACAGGGCCAAGGTGAGGATGTTATCAGCCCTCCGTGAGAAGGTATAGACCCCAAATGGAGTGAGGTGGAGTGCAATGTAGTGTGGGCTTATCCCTGCTCCTATTTGGAACTTCCCAAGACAGCCATGGCCAAGCAGCAATGGCTAAGAGTGAAGCTTCAGATGATGGCCTAGCCTGGGGCCTTTTCTCTGTGGAAGCCACAGGACAGGGACTGTGCCTGAGATTGCTGGTTGGAGCTTTCAAGGGCACCAGAACAAGGTGCACAGGGACCCCAGAGTAGGAGCTGAGGGTGGGACCCAGTGGGAGTTGCACACAGACCCTGAAGGATTTGTGCCCCCAGGGGCTGAGATGGGGACCTCCCAGGAGCATCGTCTGAGCCCCATTTGTGCAGCATGGGGGAGTACAGGTAGCTGCAGAGCAAGTGGAGCCAGAGACCAGGGTGAGACAGCTAGGCAGTGGGCAGCTAATCTGGAGCAGCAGGCTCCTCCAATGCCTCGAGGCTGGGATGTGCCTCCCTGCACCTAGATGCCATTTGGGACAGAGAAATGGGTGAGCCGGCTGCTCGGAAGACAGGAGCGTCTCTGATAGCTAGAGTGTCTGCAGAAGACTCAGTCTGTGCCTTAAAGAGCCTGGTAAAACCTAAAGGAGAGGTTCAAACTGAGCTAACAGAAACTGGGGAGCTTCATGGTAAATTTGATTTCCCCCCATATCAAGACAAGATTAGTCAGAAAATAAAATATGTTGAAACTGAGGACTAGATAATGTCAAGGAGGAGATCCCTGAGCCTGCTGTAGAAGACAGTTTCCCCAAGTTCCATTTCAGAGGAGTTTAACCTTACAAAGAAAAGAATATATGACTACACCACCCCATGCAGACATCTCTGGTAGGAGGTTGGTGCTGCAGGGCTGAGAAGGGCCAGGGAGGAGGTGCTAACCAGCCCCTGTGGTGACTGCTGAACAGGCTGCTAACAGGATGTCAGAGCTGGAGGTGTTGGGATCTGTCCAGCCCAGCATTTTAATCTCACCAGTAAGGAAATTGTGGTTGAGTGGCTTGTCTCAGCCTTCCACCTAATGCATAACGAGTTAAAATCAGAGCCAGGATTTAAATTCAGGTTTCCAGATATACCAGACAAGTCGCAATTAAAAGAAAGCTTATGCAGCAATATTTCTAACAGGCAAAATAGAATTTGGCAGAGAGCATAAATAGGGATTAAAATAGATAATACATTATGAAAAAAGGAATAATATACCAAGAAGTAATAACAGCCATGAATTTATATGCACTCATCAACATAGCTTTGAAATATATGAAGTAAAAAATTGACATAATTACAAGAAGAAAGAGAAAAGTGGGATATTTTGGTAAAATTATATCACAAACTGCCATATCAGTTACATGATTAGTCAGGCAGTAGAAGATTTGGGCTATAAAATTAATAAGCTTGATTCGATACAAACACCCAAGCAGTGTGTGTGATCCCAGCTCACTGCAGCTTCCAACTCCTGGCTCAAGTGATCCTCCTGCATCAGCCACCTGAGTAGCTAGACTCAGGATAGACTGTTGCACTCAGTAGCTAGAGAATCTATATTCCTTTTAAGGTTATGTAGAATACTTATAAAAACCAATCATATGCTATTTCCCCCCAAAAAACTGAATTCAGAGTATATGTCATAGAAACCATGTGCTCCAACTTCAATATAACTAAAGGGAAAATAATAAGAATTAAAAATGTAAACCTAAATATAAGTCACATACTAAAGAGAAAATAACAATAGAGATTCTTAAGTATTTATAACAACAAGAAGATACCAAAAATAAAAATGTGTGCCTTGCAGCTAAAGTGTTACATGAAGAGAATATTTATAAACTTGAAATGCACTACTAAACTAAGATTGAAAATATATATTAGTTCAAATTAAGGTTTGTAAAAAAAGAATAAAGCATTGTAAAGAAATTAGACAGAAAAGTCGTATAAAGCCCAGAGTGGAAATCAGCATATGAGCTTTTTAAATCAATAAACTTTATTTCTAGAGTAGATTTAGGTTCACAGGAATCCTGAGTGGAAAGTCCAGAGAGTTCCCATATATCCTGCTATTCTCACAGATGCACAACCTCCCTGACTACGGACTTCCCACAGCAGAGCGGCACACTTGTAAAATTGCTGAACCTACACTGACACATTATTATCACCCAAAGTCCATAGTTTACATGAGAGTTCACCCTTGGTGTTGTAGATTCTATGGGTTTTGACAAATGTATATTGATGCAATCACCATGTAGTATCATACAGATTAGAATAAAATCAATTCAGCTTTCCTGATGTCCTGGCCCCTTCTGAGCAGACTGCCCAAGGTCTGTACAGGAGGAGGACACCCAGGGCTCTGCCACACTTTGTCTCCCAGCCCCTTGCTTGCTGGGAGTAGCCCATCAGCTTTTCCTTACCCGTATGGAGCAAAGCCAGAAAGACATATAAAGGCAACCTGAGGATTCCAGAGAACTCTCCACCCTGTGGGAGTTCCAGGATTCCTTTGGTCTGTTCTCTGGGGAACCCCATTTATGAACGGGAACTTCCCAGGATGCAATTTTGAATCAGCCCTGGCTACTGAGAGCTGTCTCTGGCTCCTGGGAACAAACAGCTTTTGCCAAACAAGCACTGCCAGGAATCGTGAGTTCATAAATGAATCCTTAGGAGCACCATTAATTGCCCAATGAGCGATTTCAGGCAAAGTAGGTCTCTGATGTCTCCTAGATGGCAAGTGAGTGTTGGAACTTGCCCCCAAGATTTGGAGCTCTCGTGCAGCTAGTCAAGGGGATGATGGTGGTGAATTTTCCAGCGACACTGCCAAGGAGGGTGTTTGCATCCACCCCTGACTCCATTGCTTTTGTGCTTTGCAGAGCTTTGTTCTGGCCTGCAGAGGCACAGTGGGTCTTCTTGCTTGGGGAAAAGGTTGCCACAGGCAGTTCTTTAACTGTCTTGCATCCTAGCTCCAGATTTTCCCCGATCCCTTTCTCCCTGAAAGGTATAATGCTTAAGTTCTGGTGGCAGCAAGGAATAGAACTTACTTTTTTTCTTTATGAGAATAAACACAGTAATAGCATTCAAGTCGTGTATTTCATGTCGTTATTCCTGTGTGTGTCCTAATTTCCTCTTCTTATAAGGACACCAGTCACACTGGATTAGGGCCACCCTAATAACTGGCATGAACTCCCGGGTGCCTGGCATGAACTCCTGCAATTTTGGTGAAAAGATTCCTCGTGGGACCAAACTGTCTTCCCAGGCCCTATTGTCTCTCATTAGGCACGCATCCCAAATTGGGAAGCCATCTGCTTGTTATCTACAGGGAAGACAGGGAGCTAACATCTAGCCCTCCTTCACCATTGTTAAAATAAATACTTTAGACAAATTCAATTTAACAGAGTTTATTTGAGCAAAGAAGACTGGCAAATTGGGCAGCCCTCAGAACCAGCAGAAGTTCAGAGAAAGAAAAGTGAGGCACAGAAGTAGCTGGATTGGCTATGTTCAGCGTTTGCCTTATTTGGGTGTAGTTTAATTAGTCAGCTGCCGGAGACTGGCTGAGACTGGCTGGATGTTACAGAGATAGCACTCCTCAGCCAGCGTGCGTTCATTCTGCAGGGATTCAAGGTAAGGGGCAGCCCCAAGCCAGTTAGTTTCACACCACTGAGATGCAGAATGTCCTATTCAGCAGTCCAGAGCCCTCCCATTTTAAAAGACAGAATGTTTTCCACCAAGAATTATTTTCCGGATAATTACAATATTTTAACACTCTGCTCAAATTTGACTGTTTGTGAAGCCCAGGCTCAACAGGGTCACATCTGAGGGCCAAGTCTTGGACTTTGAGCAAGAAGTGCCATCAGGGAACTCAGGACAATGTGAAATATAACTACAGAATATAGTGTCTACATTTGAACAGCCTTATTCAGAATAGGCCTATTTCAAGCATTTCATTAAAAGTGACTTCGTTGTTTCTCTCTTCCCCATCTACCCTTTTTCTCGCCTTTGGTGAGGAAAAGATGAGGTGAAGGGCACACATAATCACTTCACGCACAAGCCAGCTGGGTGTCCAGGAAAGGATTTCATTATCTTGCAATGTATTTCACAAAAGAAGAGTAAACTATGGGTTTCTGAAACATTTCCAGTGGTCCTCTGGAGAAAACCAATTCTTAATTCTATAGTTGGAGGGCAGTTTTGATAAATATGAGAAATAATAGATAGCAAAGTTCTACTAGTCCTGACCCTTTTCCACTGCAGACAGAATGGTCTTCAGGACTGGGCTGGGCAAGATGGCTCACGCCTGTAATCCCAGCATTTTGGAGGCCAAGGTGGAAGGATCACTTGAGGCTAGGAGTTTAAGACCAATCTGGGCAACAAAGTGAGACCCTGTCTCCTCAAAAAAAAAAAAAAAATGCAAAAATTATAGAGGTGATGTCATGTGCCTCTAGTCCCAACTACTCAGGGGGCTGAGGTGGGAAGATCACTTGAGCCCAGGAGTTGGAAGCTGCAGTGAGCTGTGATCACACCACTGCACCCCAGCCTGGGCAACAGAGCAAGACTCTGTCTCTAACATAAATAAATAAAATAAATAAAATCAGATTGGAAGTGTTGGTTTCTATGTTGGTCTCCTAGGGCTTCTATAACAAAGTACCACAGACTAGGCAGGCATCTTAAATGACAGAAATGGATTATGTGTCACACTTCTGGAGGCCTGAAGTTGGGGGTCAAGCTGTCATCCCAGTTGGTTCCTGCCGAGGCCGTGAGGGAGAATCTGTTCCAGGCCTCTTTCCTTGTCTTGTAAACAGCCGCCTTCTCCATCCTCACATGATTGTCCTTCTGCGTGTGTGTGTCCTGATTTCCTCCTCTTACAAGGACACCAGTCACACTGGATTAGGGCCAACCTAATAACTCCAGTTAACCTTATAAATAACTTTGTAAAGACCTCTTTCCAAGTAAGGTCTCATTCTTAGGTACTGGAGGGTAGGACTTCAACATATAAATTTGTAGGGGGCCACAGCATATTAATTTGGGGGGTACACATAGCAGTTACCTTACGGGATGCAAAGTCAGTCTGCAGGATGAGAATCCCTGCAGTCCGTGCTTGATAAACACAGCTGTTGGAATAACAAAGGAATCAGAATTCCACCTTCCGTGGGGAGATATGGATTTAAATGGGAAGTACCCGGGTGGAAATTTATGGTTGTAAGGATAACATGGCTAAGCAGTCTCCTTAGTGTTTATTTTCATACATTTCTATTAATAACATTTTTTCTTTGAAAAAATGACCCCTTCCCATGTCCTTTCACGGTTAGCCGCATCTCATCCAACTCAGCATCCTTTTCTACATCTTTTTCCTTGAAGGCAGCCAAGGAACTCCTACAGCCTGTGGAATTCTTCCTTTCTTTAAGCCTTTGCATGCAGCGTTTGAATCACATAATTGGCTTTTTCTCTATTCCGCACAACTTAGCACTTTCTTGGTTGCCAATTTTCTTTTGGGTACAGAGTAGGTGCAATTATTGCATAGAATCTGATGGTGACATGGAGCTAGGAAGTAGTCCCTCACTTTAAGACTTATCCTTGCTGGGCATTGTGGCTTACGCCTGTAATCCCAGCAGTTTGGGAGGCCGAGGCAGACGGATCACCTGAGGTCAGGAGTTCGAGACCAGCCTGACCAACATGGAGAAACCCCGTCTCTACTAAAAATACAAAATTAGCCGCGTGTGTTGCACATGCCTGTAATCCCAGCTACTCGGGAGGCTGAGGCAGGAGAATCGCTTGAACCCGGGAAGCGGAGCTTACGGTGAGCCGAGATTGCACACCATTGTACTCCAGCCTGGGCAACAAGAGTGAAACTTGGTCTCAAAAAAAAAAAAAGACTCATCCTTTGTCTCCAGTTACATCACAAAACTGCTTGTATTATGTTCTCCTCATCCAAGGACAGTGGTAAATAAATAGTAGGTGTTCAATGCATGTTTGTGATTTGTTGTTCTCATTTTTTTGCAGGACCCATTGTACGCATTTGTCCAAAAAAACAAAAAACAAAATCACCCAGAGCCTGTTCAGTGTGGTGGCACTTGCCTGTACTCTCAGTTTCTTGGGAGGCCAAGCTGGTAGGATCACTTGAGCCCAGGAATTCGAGGCCAGCCTGGGCAATATAGTGAGACCCCGTGTCAAAACAAACAAACAAACAAGCAAACAAACAAACCAACCCCCAAACCAGAAAACAAACAAACCCAAAACCCAGAGCCCGACAGTAGTTAAAAGAGTGAAAACAGATTTTAATCAGGAACTATTGCAATAGGGGAAAAGAGACCTTAATTCAGAACATAAATAAGGAAAAGTGAGAATTTATAGCCGAGAAAAAAGATGGGGGTCAGTGAGTGAAAAGTTCCTAAGAAGAAACATCAGGGGTGATGGGGATTCTGGCTAAACCAGCCAAACATGATTCTTGCTAAAGGCAACTCAGGATGACCAGACATCACCTGGGGTGGTAGAGGATGAGAACTGATGGCCATCAGTTCTTGAAGTTGGGAGGTTCTGGTTAAACTAATTTAGAAAGATTCTTGCTAAAATTGGGCATACATGGCCAAGAACAGGGCCTGGTCAGGCTTGACGAAACTGACAAATTTGGTCAAGGAAGATAATCTTTGTTATACTTTTCTTTTTGCCACTTGAGGGGCAAAAACATCAGAAAACCAGGAAGCTCTATCTGCCTCCCATCTCCTTTTGGGGGGCATCTATAAATAGTATTGCCTTTAGATCCAGACAGGAAGGACCCCTGCTATAGGCCTCATATTCTAGAGAATCCTAAGTCTCTCAGACACACACTCAGACAGACACAGACACACACACACAAGAACACCTGGGCTCCTGTGCCTGGTAATAACACTTCTCACTTATGGTTGTTATTTTCTGTAACAGGTCTACCATATCATGATAAATCATACTTACTAAATTTTAATTTTTCCTCATTTGGTTAAGTATGAGACGTGACTCTAAAATGCTGATGCCAGTTCCCTACTAACATAGGAGGTTATTGCCTGTGGGACTTCTTTTTTTTTATATTGTGGCTTCACACAGGTGTTTTCAGGTATCAAACAGGATAATAAATCTAGGTTTTATTTGTTTTGTTTTGTTTTTTGAGACAGGGTCTCACTCTGTTGCCCAGGCTGGAGTACAGTGGCACAATCATGGCTCACTGCAGCCTCGACCTCCCAAGGCTCAGGTGATCCTCCTGCCTCAGCCCCACTGAGTAACTGGGACTACAGGCATGCACCAACATGTTGGCTAATTTTTGTATTTTTTTAAAGTAAAGATGGGATTTCACCGTGTTGCCCAGGCTGGTCTCAAACTCCTGAGCTCAAGCAATCCATGTGTCTTGGCTTCCCAAAGTGCTGGGATTACAGGCATGAGCCACCGTGCCTGGCCTTAAATCTAGTATTTTCAATGGCAGCTGTATAACAAAGTTTTCATCTCCACCATTGCATTAGTCTGTTTTCATGCTGCTGATAAAGACATACTGGAGACTGGGCAATTTACACAAGAAAGAGGTTTAATGGACTCACAGTTCCGCATGGCCGGGGAGGCCTCACAGTGGCAGAAGGCAAGGAGGAGCAAGTCACATCTTACTTAGATGGTGGCAGGCAAAGAGAGAGAGCTTGTGTAGGGAAACTTCCGTTTTTAAAACCATCAGATCTCATGATACTTATTCACTATCATGGGTACAGCACAGGAAAGACCTGCCCCCATGGTTCAGTTATCTCCCACTGGGTCCGTCCCACAACATGTGGGAATTATGGGAGCTACAAGATGAGATTTCGGTGGGGACACAGAGCCAAACCATATCAACCTCCAAGTCCTTTTGTACTTCCACTAGTATCTCTCATTTCTTTCTCCATCTTTCCATTTTACAACTACTCAGCAAAGCCATACTCCCTCTGACCTCAGCTACTGCAACAGCCCTCGAGCTCATTTCCCTAATCTGTCTCCTCTGCTCATCCTCCACCCAGTAGCCACAGTGACCTGTGTGCAATGTAAATGTTAATGACACTACCTGACCTCATTCCCTCTGATGGCTTCCAATGCTCCCAGCATGGGATCCCTTCCCATGGCCAGCACATCTTTCCTGGATGTGCCTCCTTCCTCCTTCTCCTGTCTCACATGGGCCACACACATGCCACAGCACTGGGGCCTCAGCTCACCAACAAACAACAGCGAGCGTTCCCAGCCCCACCCCCCATGCCTTGCTCACCCTGCGGCCTGAAATTCACTCCGTCCTCACTCCACCCCATTCATACTTCCTGGCCATGAGACTAGCTTCTTCTTACACTTCAAGTGTCTACTTGAAAGGCATTTCCCCAGAGATTCTTGTCTTGGCCCCACTGTCTAAAGCAGCTTACCCCACTAATCACCCCTCTGTCTCCTACTGCCCAATTGGTGCCTTTTTCTAGCCGCCATTACTACTGAAACAGTCTGTGTGCTCACTTCCTAGTTACCTTTCTTGCCATCACTAGAATGTAGGGTCCTATCAATATTTCCGTTCAATGCATATTTTCAGGATGAACAAAGAACCTTTATTTTGATCTTTATGGGAAGTACAAAGAAAAGCTACGTAGACTCATCCAAATTTTAACTTGCATCTCCATGGGTTAAACAAAACACTGTTCCTTTTTGTTCCCTCTTTATTTTTGCCCCCCATATTTCTTCTTACCTCTAAAGAGTAAGGTTTTAATAACATTGAAGATATTTTACTAAGGTCTTCTCACATCTTTATGACAGCCCCAGAACCATGCCTATATCCTCGTGCATTTTTCTGCTCTCATAGAGGGAGCTTTTCTACTTTTTCTCCCATTTGAGAGTGCTCTGCTGGTGGAAAGGTTTACTTTAAGTCTCCCCGCTAAGCCTCTGTAATAAGAATACTCTATCTCACAGCTGTCAGCTCTTTTAAACAGTGCTGCCTCTGGTTCTTTGAAAAATGCCAGCCATTTATTTAATCCCGGCTTTGGCTTCAAGTCCACTGGAACAATGGCTAGCATGCCTGTGATTACGTTATCACCATTTCTCTGTGTTGGGAGAGGCTTTGTTGGTACATGTGAGTCAAAGACTTCTTGCTGTTTCCTGATTTTTCTCTTTGTTCTCTCCAGTCTTTCTACTTGGCACCGGTTAGTGTGCCTGGAGGTTTAAGACCAGGTATAATATAGTAGCAAGATGCAAAGCTGGCATATGATGTCAGAAGCAGGTTGAGGTTTTCTGTTTGTTGATAAACTCAGTAAAAGAAAAAAATGGATGTTGTCACCTGTCGTGGGTCATAGTAAACAGAAAGCCACCCCTCTCTCAGGCTGATGGTTGATTCAGGTTCATCCATTCAGACAAATAAATACCTGACAAATATTTATTAGATACTTAATAGGCACTATTAGTTGCTACTCACCTGAGATGGCCTAATGTGGGTAATTTCAATGAACAGCCATTCTTTTTATGAGCTTGTTTAATTTTTTTTTTTTTGAAACATTGTATTGTCTTGAGTGTGACAGAAACGTCCACCAATCTCTGTCTTCCCTTTTCCTTTGGCTATAGACTCACAACTTTTAGTTAGACACATGCTGTCTTGAATGAAGACCACATTTCTCAGCCTCCACTGCGTTTAGTGTGGCCATGTGGGTAGGACTTGGTCAAGGAGAAGGTAGCAGAATGTTGCAAGTAACTTCCAGGAAGAGTCTTTAAGAGGATGGAATGTCCTTCTTATTTCCCTCTCTTTCCTGCTGAATGAAATGCAGATGTAGTAGCCAGAATTTGAGCAGTCGTTTTGATCATGAGGTGGAAGCAATGTGCAGAAGATGATGGGGAAAAAAAGGAATTTCAACAGATTTTTGGGAGAGAAAAATCAGATGATACAACTGGTTTAGAAGGGGGAAGAAATTTACAATCCATGGTGCCTGTAGAGATTGAGGCTAATGGGAAGAGAGTGTTCTGCCTTGCAGAACTTGTGAAATGCTCAGGAATTTGAGGCAGTACATACAGTGGTCAGCTGGATTAATGAGGGCTGGCTGGAGACTGTGGAACAGTCAGACTCTAGAACACCTTCACCCTCCACACTCAGGCAAGTCACTCCTCCAGGTCCTCCAACCACTGCCCCTATAGATGAGATGAGTATTATTCACTGGAGAAGCTAAGCAGGAGAACTGCTGGATGTTGGGAAACCAACTGAATTGCAGGGTAGGGCAGTAATTGTGGAAATTACAGACATGTCTGTATGAGAAACAATTGAATCTATGCCCTCTCTCTCTCTCCCACTTTCTCTCCTAGGACATCTTTTGCAGATGTCACAGACTTCCATCTGAGGTGGAATAGTTTCACCCTGAAACCATGCAACTATAGGCTATCTATAAGAGACACATTTTAGATTCATAGAAACAAGTAGGTAGATAATAAAAGGATGACACAATGTACACTAGGCAGACAGTAGGCAAAGAGAGCTGGATTAGCTATACTAATATCAGATGAAACTGATTTTGAAAGAAGAAAAATCACAAGAGAAGAGAAGGCATTTCACAATTATAAGAGGGTAAACATATCAGAAAGATATAGCAATTATAAATGTAAATGCACCTAACACTGGGTCTCAAAATACATGAAGCAAGGACTGATAGAATTGAGAGCAGAAATAAAGTCGGAGATTTTAATTATAGTCTTTCAAATATTGATAGAACAGCAATTCATAAAGTCAAGAAGGGTATAGAAGACTTGAACAACACTATCAACCAACTTGACCTAAGGGACATATATGGAACACGCTACCCCAAAACAGAATGCACATTCTTTCCTGGACTTCAAGGAACATCCTACAGCAGTGATTTCCAACCCCTGGCAGGAACCAGTCCCAGTCTGTGGCCTGTTAGGAACCAGGCTGCACCGCAGGAGGTAAGCGGCGGGTGTGCATTACTGCCTGAGCTCCACCTCCTGTCAGATGAGTGGTGGCATTAGATTCTCGTGGGAGCACGAACCCTATTGTGAACGGCATATGTGAGGGATCTAGGTTGTGTGTTCCTTATGAGAACCTAATATGTGATGATCTGAGGTGGAATAGTTTCATCCTGAAACCATCCACCACCTCTATCCCACAACACCCACTCCACCCGTTTGTGGGAAAATTGTCTTCCATGAAACTGGTCCCCGGTGCCAAAAAAGTTGGGGACCGCTGTGCTACAGAATAGACCCTAGACCCTATTCTAAGCCATGAAACGAGTTGCATTAGTTTCCTGTGGCTGTTGTAACCAGTTGCCACAAATGTGGTGGCCTAAAACAACAGAAATGTATCCTCTCCCAAGTCTGGACTCCAGAATTCCAAACTTCCAGTCTGAAATCAGTATTACTGGGCTGAAATCCAGAAGTCAGCAGGGCTGCACTTCCTGCAGAGGCTCTAGAGGATGATCCCTTCCTGGCAAATTCTGGCTTCTGGAGGCTGGCAGCATTCCTTGGCTTGTGGCTGCATGACTTAAATCTTGAGATCCTTAATTTAATCACACCTACAAAGACCCTATTTCCATATAGTGTCACATTCACAGGTTTCAGGGATTAGGAAATGAATACCTTTGGGGAGATCTTTTTTTTTTAGCTTATCAAGCAAGTTTCAAAAAATGTAAAGGGCTTACAATAATGCAAATGTTCTGTGACTAAAAATTAAATTAGCAATCAACAAGAGAAATAAATATGGAAAACGGTTACACATTTGGAAACTAAACTACCAGTTTCCAAGTATTCATGGATCAAAGAAGGAATCACAAACAAAATTAAAAATATCTCAAATTGAATGAAAATGAAAGTACCACATTTCAAAATTTATAGGATGCCATCAGTGCTTAGGGGGAAATTTATAGGTTTAAACTCCTATATTTGAAAAAAGAAAGTTTTAAAAAAGAATAACAAGCTTCCTCATCAAGAAGCTAGAAAAAGGGCTCAGTGCTGCATCCTACCCTCCACCAGCTGCCAGAGTGAGAGGGAAGGGACCCTTTCCTCTCTGGCCTGAGAATCAAGGGCATGGAGCCCAGGGGGCAAGCAAAGCAGGGGTCTGAGGGCTCCCTCTGGGCACTGAGGGCTCCCTCTGGGTTCACTGCAGTCCGTGGGGCATTGGGCACCTGGTCCCTGAGGGCAGCTTGTAGGGGGTAACTCTCCAGCATCCAGGTCTCCCGCCCCTCCCTTTTTTCCCCTCTATCTTTTCCTATTTGGAATGAAGTGTGGTCAGTCCCGGAAGAGAGACAGTGGCACTAAAGCATCCCTGTCCTAAATTTAGGAGGGTGGGGGATGGAAGGAATGCCTGATCCTGGAGAGGGAAGCCCTAGGCTTCTGTGAGGGCATGGGGTGGGGAGCTGCCAGCTGCCCAAGGTCAGGAAAAAAAGTTGTGCTTAACTCCGCAGCAGGGTGCCTTGAAGGGTTGTGAGCACAGAAGGGAGAGGGCCACACGGGGCTGTGGATCCTCTTTTGACTGTGGCAGAAGAATAGGAAAGATTCTAAACTGTTTGGATGCAGAGCCTTTGACTCTGAAGGCAGGAGGTAGGATTTTATCACAATGCACATGCTACCCTCGCAACTGAGCCTGGCCTCAGGACTTGGACCTTAAGTTAGGGGTTCTATGCTTGACACATACTAGTAGTGATTGATAGGGACAGGATGCAGGGAAATTCTGGACAGAAGATGGTGAGTGCTCAGCAAGGGTCCCACCTTCAAGCCAAAAAGCCTGAAACCACTGCCCAAAGTGAGAACTTACATCCCTGTTTTCCCCATCAAATGTTGCCTTTTCCAAAACCACCCATACCCCTACCCCATCCCATCCTGTGTCTATAAAAACCCCAGGCTCAGCCAGCAGAGAGAGGAGAAGCCACTGGATATCAGAGACTATGGCTGAACATCAGAGAGAAGCAGCTTGACTTCAGAGGGACAGCTTGATAGTGTAACTTTAGGGAAGAATCTGGCCGGAGAAGGCTGGACATCAGGAGATTACCTTCCCACTCTGTCCCTTTTTCAGATCCCCTTCCTGCTGAGAGCCACTTCCATCGGCAATAAATCCCTGACATTTACCATCCTTCAATTTGTTCATGTGACCTTATTTTTCCTGGACGCTGGACAAGAGCTTGGGTGTCACGAGTGTGGATGTAAAAGGCTGTCACACTGACCCTTTGCCCTCGCTGGCAGGAGGCAGCTGCCTCAGGCGAAAAGGCAGAAGGTTGACTGAGCTGTTAACACTTAGGCTGCCCGTGGACAGCAGAGCTAAAGGAGTACTGTAACACTCCCTCTGGGGCTTCAGGGGTCATGGGTACCCCTTGCAGATGTTGAGGCAGGCCCGCATAGAGTTTTGCTCCTGCCAGAGCCCACAAGTGCTCGTCCTGGCTCCAGCACCTGCTCACCTGAAGTCCCCCTCCCACGAGGGGTGGAACGCAGCAGGTTCAAGCAAGTGGAGTTTGCCCTGTCGGTGCTGAAGTAGTGGCTAGTTCCAGTGCCCGTGCACTCCAGTTCCCACCCACAGAGAGGTCAGGGAAATATCCTGCTTCATTGTAGTGTCCAGACTAAAACAAAACATAAAAAACCAAAACCCTAGAAAAAGGAGTGAATTAAAGCAAGAGTAAGTAGAAAAAGAAAAAAGGCAATAATGAAAATCAGACCAGAAAAAAGTCAATTTTTAAAAAGACCAATACAGAAACATCAATGAAATAAAAAATTCATTCTTTGGAAAGATCAACAGAATTGATAAACCACTAGGTAGACTGATTAAGAAGAAAAGAGAGAAGACACCAATTCCAAAATTAGAAACAGAATAGGGAACATCACTCAGACTAAAGAAATTGAATGGATTAGAAAGATATTATAAACAATTGCATGCAAACAAACCCAAGAACCATAATGGAATGGACAAATTCCTAGAAAGACATAACTGAAACTGTTTCAAGAAGAAATAGAAAATCAAGTAAGGAGTTTTAATTGGTGATTAAATTGCCCCATAAATAAAAACCTGGCCGAGCACAGTGGCTCATGCCTGTAATTCCAGCACTTTGGGAGGCCAAGGTGGGAGGATCACCTAAGGTCAGGAGTTCGAGACCAGCCTGGCCAACATGGTGAAACCCCATCTCTACTAAAAATACAAAAATTAGCTGGGCCTGGTGGCAAGCACCTGTAATCCCAGCTACTCAGGAGGCTGAGACAGGAGAATTGCTTGAACCCAGGAGGCGGAGGTTGCAGTGAGCTGAGATTGCATCATTGCACTCCAGCCTAGGCAACAAGAGCAAAACTCAACCTCAAAAAAAAAAAAAAAAAAAAAAAAGAAAGAAAAGAAAAACCCAGGCTCAGATGGATTTACTAGTGAAGATCTTCAAATATTTAAGGAGGAAAAATAAAAAGGATTATACAAAAACTTCAGAACATAAACATCCTGTCCCTATCAATCACTACTAGTATGTGTCAAGCATAGAACCCCTAACCTAAGGTCCAAGTCCTGAGGCCAGGCTCAGTTGGGAAGGTAGCGCGTGCATTGTGATAAAATTCTACCTCCTACCTTCAGAGTCAAAGGCTCTGCATCCAAACAGTTTAGAAACTTGCCTGTTCTTCTGCCACAGTCAAGGAGCAAGGAACACATCCCAACTCATTTCATGAGGCCAGTATTACCGTAATAACAAAGCCAAAAGAAAAATATTGCAAGTACAGAAAGCCACAGATCAATATCACTTGTGAACATACACATAAAAAGTCTTTAAAAATATTAACGCACTTAATCCAGCAACAAATAATAATAATAAGCATTACACTACGATCAAGTGGGAGTATCTACCAGCAATGCAACGTTGTTTAACATCTGAAAATCAATTAATGTAAAATACCATATTAAAAGATACAGGGTGAGTGGGAGTGGTGGCTCACACCTGTAGTCTCAGCACTTTGGGAGACTGAGACAGGAGGACCCCTGGAGGCCAGGAGTTTGAGACCAGCCTGAGCAACAGGCCAGATAAAATATATATTTAGTCTTCAATCCCCGTTTCCTGGCATAGAACTCCTAAAATCCTTAGACTCGCTTAAGTGACGTCTGTTTGTATCCCAATGAGTTGACTGATGGTTGGCAGCCCTTAGGCAGCTTCAAAATGGGGCCTGGTCACTGCAAAGACATATATATGAGAAACAATTGGGCCTATGACCTCTAAGGCAGGATTACAGGGTTGGGACTTCCAGCCCTACTCCTCAAACTCCGGGTAAGGCAGAGAAGCATGGCCAGTGATGTAATCAATCATGCCTACAAAATGAAGCATCCATAAAAACCCAAGAGAATAGGATTTGAAGAACTTCTGGATAGCTGAACACGTGGACGTTCCTGGAGGGTGCCATGCTTGGGGAGGGGATGGGAGCTCTGCACCTATCCCACATACCTCACCGTATGTGTCTCTTTATCTGTTACCTTGTAATATTGTTTATTTAGAGATGGAGTTTCACTCTTATGCCCCAGGCTGGAGTGCAATGGCGTGATCTCGGCTCACTGCAACCTCTGCCTCCCAGGTTCAAGCAATTCTCCTGTCTCAGCCTCCCAAGTAGCTGGGATAACAGCCGTGCGCCACCACATCCGGTTAATTTTGTATTTTTAGTAGAGATGGGGTTTCACCACATTGTCCAGGCTGGTCTTGAGCTCCTGACGTCATGTGATCTGCCTGCCTTGGCCTCCCAAAGTGCTGGGATTATAGGCATGCGACCGGCCTTAATATCATTTATAATAAACCAGTAAACATAAGTGTTTCCCTGAGTTCTGTGAGCCACTCTGGTAAATTATCAAACCTGAAGAAAGGGTTGTAGGAAGCCCAACTTGAAGCTAACCAGTTAGAAGTTCTGGAGGCCCAGACTTGTGATTGGTGTCTGAAGAGGGGGTAGTGTGAGAGACTGAGCCCTCAGCCTGCAGGATTTGATGCTATCTCCAGGTAGATAGAGTCAGAATTGAATTGGAGGACACCCAGTTGGTGTCTGCTGCAGAACTGATTGCTTGCTTTGTGTGTGTAGGAAACTCCATGGCCCTTCAGTCACGGAAGTCTTCTGGTTGATTGTTGTGGTGTGAGCAGAGGAAAAACAGTCTGAGTTTTTCCACCTTCAATGAGTCTGACTGACCAGTTAATAAATCTGTTTATTAATTCTTTTTTTATCATCAAATGGTTTTTCTGCATTTGTTGACATGTTTGTATTGTTTTTCTTTTTCAATATGTTAATATGGTGGATTACACTGATTGATTTTCAAATGTTAAATCCACTTAGCACTTCTGTGTCAATGGCTCATTGATGGCAGACCCTCTGCCTCTGGCCATCTCTGGGCCTTTCTCTCTTGCCTGTGTCTACATGATCATTTTAGATATCACATTAGCCTTCAAGGCAGAGGGAGGCATGGCTCTAGTAAGATCCACCCCCCCCCTTTCTATCCGGAGAGAAATGATTTTCCTATAAGCCCCCTCAGCAGATTCTTTCTTTGTGTCTCATTAGCCAGACCTATGCCATGCCACATGGCTACCCTTGGACCTAAGAAAGACTGGAAAAGCAAGACTCTTATCCAGGAGTATGTTCACTGTTACCATAATCAAATCTGATTCAAAGTTGCAGGGAAGATGAGAGAAAGGACATTAGGTATGCAACTTACCATGGCCCCTACAATAACCTTTGTCTTTCTAATTGGGTTTTTGTATTTTTCTTCTTTATCTGTGGTGTTTCTTTACATATTCAGATTTTAATATACTACAAGCTAAGCACATGAAAATATCTTCTCTCAGTGAAAGATCTCCCTTTTCCTTTTACTCCATAATGTCTTTCACATGTTAATTTTTATGTAGTGGATTTTAAAAAGTATTTCAATTCATGGTCTGTGCTTTTTTTTGTTTGTTTGCTTAAAAAAATCCTTCCTTTGTTGGAGATTGTTTTTTCTGTGGCAACCCCACATTTCATGCATTGTGAAGCTGTTTCTCCAAAAGAGCTGTGTGCTTATTTCTTCTGGGGTAGTTCTTAATCCATTACAGTTTTGTGAGTTTCTTGCCTTGAAGCGTCTTACAGCACGAGGACAGTATAAATTCTAGACTCACATGTGGCTCTGGCTTGGCATTTTTATTCCTAATGAAAGATATTTTGTTTTCTTTCCAGATCCTTTGATGGAAGAAGCCTCTTTGTCGTTACCCTGGCTGGTGGGAGGAACTTTTTATCACCTCTTAACCGACATTATAACCTTTAGAAACCCCCAATTTATACCAAGGTCTTAACACTTGGACCCACAGCCTCATATCTTGTCTTTCTGTGGGTGTTAACATCCAAGTCTGGCTGTTTGACCTATAACTTCATCTAATACCATTCTCATTCCCCAGGATGCTATAGCAAGATCGTGCAAGGTTGACACTCCCACTCTCCGATTGTTCCTTGTGTCTGGCATTTTCTTTCTTGTGAGATAAACTGCATAGTCGAACTTTTCTCCCTTCCTTTCTTTCTCTTCTTCTTTCTTTTCCTTCCTTCCTTCCTCCCTCCCTCCCTCTTTCCCTTCCTTCCTTCCTTCCCTTCCTGCCTTCCTTCCTTCTTTCTTCTCTCCCTTCCTTCCTTCCATCCTTCCTTCCTTCCCTCCCTCCCTTCTTCTTTCTCTCTTTCTTTTCTTTTCTTTTCTTTTCTTTCTTCTCTCACTCTGTTACCCAGCTGGAAGTGCACTGGTGCGATTATAGCTCACTGCAGCCTCAAATTACTGGGCTCCAGCAATCCTCCCATCTCAGCCTCCCAGGTACTTGGAACCACAGGCACATTTTAAAATTTTTTGTAGAGACAGGATCTTGCTATGTTGCCCAGGCTGGTCTTGAACTCCTAACCTCAAGCAATCCACCTGCCTAGGTCTCCCAAAGTGCTAGGATTACAGATGTGAATGACTGCACCCATCCATGCTTATTTTTTAAAATTTATTTTTTTCTCTACTAGATTCAGCATTCCCATATTTGAAATGGGAAGAAGTTTCATGTCCATTCTGGCTTCATGTGGTTGGAAGAGGAAGCCCCATGAATATTTTTATGGATGCCCCAGTGCTGTTGAGTGCCTATCAACACCACCACGAGCTTGGCCACTTCACATCAACAGCAGATTTAATTTGGGATCTCTAAACACTATTTGTGGTTGTGTAGACAGAAAGAATTTTTCTAATAAAATAAAAATTAAATGTGGCTCTGTTTTCAAGATTAAGCTCTTAAAATGATATTGTTCAGCAAAGATGACAGATTAAAATGAAGGGAATAATTTTTTTTAAGATGACTGTGATTCTCTTCCTGTGTCCTGCTATACACATCAGTAGCTCAGGCAAAAGCAAGAGGAGACAGGGACACCGACTGGATTATGCAGCTCTTATAAGCACAGGGTTTATTGAAAGACAATTGCTTTGGATCACTAAAAAGAAGATTACTCCAGATTAATTTATTTGAGTTCTCTAAGTCATTTTTAAAGCAATAAGGAAGAGCTACATCAAATAACAATTATCTGCATTTCAAAAATCTGTTTATATAAATCTTAGAAGGAGCTCAAACGTTGAATGACCCGAATGCTTTAAATGTAAATAGAAGAAAATGATGTTGCAATTCAACAGTCTGGAGAAAAACAATTATCTTGGCTACTAGGCCTTGTATTATGCATTTCTTTATAGATGAATAGATTCTTTGAAATAAAAGAAACTTCTGTGGATCATTTAATTCCATCTCCACAAAGAGGCACCCTTTGCATAAATCATTCTAAGCATTTATGCTGGATTTCTACCACAGTGCTGAACACACAGGAAGTTGCCTTCAGTAAACCTTTCGTGAATTGAATTTATCTTATTCTTAATCCTTCCCAGGGAAAAACAGTAGGAAAGAGCTATATATTTCTCTTTAACATGCCTGTCTAGAAAATTATATAATGTTTTCCTATTGCTCACCTGCATCCCTCTTTTATTTTCTTTCTTTCTTTCTTTCTTTCTTTCTTTCTTTCTTTCTTTCTTTCTTTCTTTCTTTCTTTCTTTCTTTTTCTTTCCTTCCTTCCTTCCTTCCTTCCTTCCTTCCTTCCTTCCTTCCTTCCTTCCTTCCTTCCTTCCTTCCTTCCTTTTTTGACACTGAGTCTCCCTCTATTGCCCAGGCTGGAGTGCAATGACGCAATCTTGGCTCACTGTAACCTCCACCTCCTGGGTTCAGGCAATTCTCCTGCCTCAGCCTCCCAAGTAGCTGGGATTACAGGTGCGTACCACCATGATTGACTAATTTTTGTATTTTTAGTAGAGACAAGGTTACACCCTGCTGGCCAGGCTGGTCTGGAACTCCTGACATCAGGCGATCCACCTACGTCAGCCTCCCAAAGTGATGGGATTACAGGGGTGAGCCACAGCACCCATCCCACTTCTGTTTTCTTAATCTGAGTGTGCTAGTGGTGGTGCACTAGTAAATGTGTAACAGTTGGCTCTTCAGAAAATTTTTTTGTTACAGTTGCTGATTTCTATGATGTAAATACTCCCACAATAACTTAATCAAGATACAAACCTGACATCACTGAGTACAGAGTTGGGAAGAGATATTAAATATCACATCAGTATACAGTATTTCCACTACACAGATACAATGAGCATACATATTTTTAAGAGCATAAGTAGCAGTAAAATGTAGCAAACTAATTAGGCAGTGATGAGTTTTGAGTACTTATTATCATTATTGATAAAATAGTTGATTGTAATTTCAGAGTTTATTTTTAATGACTATAACAATGATGACTTTGTGAAAAATGCCTCTTAAAGTCTATGTACCCACTTGACCGTCCCTCTGGCTCTTTTCTGTACAGATTCCAATTACTTTCCCTTCATCATTGAAGTGGACATCATCAGTTTCCTGTTTCTGCTTTCTCTCTTTCCCCCCAAAACACATTTATTTTATTTTATTTTTTGAGGCATAGCCTCACTCTGTTGCCCAGGCTGGAGTGCAGTGGCACAATCTTGGCTCACTGCAACCTCCATCTCCCAGGTTCAAGCCACTCTTCTTGGCCTCAGCCTCCCGAGTAGCTGGGACTACAGACGTGTATCACCACGCCTGGCTAATTTTTGTATTTTTAGTAGAGATGGGGTTTCACCATGTTGGCCAGGATGGTCTCGAACTCCTGACGTCAGATGATCCGCCCACCACAGTTTCCCAAAGTGCTAGGATTACAAGCGTGAGCCACGGCACCCGGCTGGAACACACTTTTCAACTAAAGTTCAGCCTCTAACTTCCCTCTTCGATTCCTTAGCAAAATATGCTATTATACAGGGTTTTCTACAAATAAGCAACTCATGTAGTAGCAAATGTAGAAGCAGAAAGCCATTGTGAGGGCTCAATTAATACAATGAACTATATTGGTAGAATAAAGCCTAATAGATATAAAAAGGGTTTCACAGAAATCCAACACCCTTTCATGACAAAAACTTTTCAACAAACTAGAAATAGAGGGGAACCCAGTCCATTTATGTTCTTAAAATTATATATGTTTATTGTATCTGTGTAGTGGAAATACTATATACTGATGTGATACTGAGTATCTCTTCCCAACTCTGTATTCAGTGATGTCAGGTTTGTAGCTTGATTAAACCATGGTGGGAGTATTTACACCACAGAAATCCCCAAATGCAACAAAAAATGTTTTGAAGAACCAGTTGTTATACATTTACTAACACGCTACGAGCACATCCAGCTTCAGAAAACAGAAGAATGCTGGTGAGCAATAGGGGCAAACTTATTCAGTGTTCTAGACAGGAATGTTACAAAAAGCCTGCAGCTAACATCATATTTAAGGGTGAAGGAAGGAATGCTTTCCTTCTAAGATCAGAAACAAGATAAGGATGTCTGCTCTCACCACTTCTATGTAACAATGGACTGGAGGCAGTCAGGGGAAAAAAGAACAAAAGAAAGAAACAAGTAGAGAGAAAAAAATCCAGATTAAAAAGGAAGAAGTAAATTATCAGATGATATGACTTTATAGACACAAAATCCTAATAAAATCTACTAAAAACTATTAGAAATAAGAGATGAGTTGAGTAAGATTGCAGGATGAAAGATCAATGTACAAAAGTCAATTCTATTTTTATTCTTTTGCAATGAACAAGGATTCTAAAAATAAAATTAAGAAAACAGTTCCATTTAAAGTAGCATCAAAAAGAATAAAATATTTAGATATAAATTTATCAAAAGAAGTACAAAAATTTGTATAATGAAAACTATAAAATATTGTTAAAAGAAATTAAAGGCAATCTAAATAAATGGAAAGACATCCCATTGTTTTGGATTTGTTGCTGTTAAAATGGCAATACTCTCCAGATTGATCTATAGAGTCAACATAATTCCTAGCAAAATCCCAGGTAGCTTTTTCCAGAAATTGACAAACTAGTCTTAAAATTTATATGGAAATGCAAAGGACCTAGAATAGTAAAAATAATCTTGAAAAAAAAAGTTGGAGGAGTCATTGTTCTTGACTGTGAAACTTACCGTAAAGGTAGTGTTTGTAGTTGCATACACTACAACAGATAGTGTTGTACCGGCATAAGGATAAACATATAGGTCAAGGGAATAGAATTGAGTGTCCAGTAATAAACTCTTAGATTTATAGTCAACTGTTTTTCAACAAGGGTGCCAAGACAATTCAATAAAGAAAGAATATTCTTTTCAACAAAAGATACAGGAACAACTGGATGGCCACACACAAAAGAATGACAAGGACCCCTATGTTACATCATACACACACATTAACTAAAAATGGATCATAGACCCAAATGGAAACGTTAAAACTATAAAACTCCTGGCAGAAAATATAGGAGTAAATCTTCATGACTTTAGATTAAGCAAGGACATCTTACATACGACACCAAAAGCACAAGCAATGAAAGAAAATAAAAGATTATTGCTCTATATCAAAACCAAAAACTTTTGCACTGCAAATGATGCTATTGAGAAAGCAAAAATAGAACCCACAGAACGGGAAAAGACATCTGCAAACCATACATCTAATAAGGGACTTGTATCCAGAATATATGAAGAACTCTTACAACTCAATAATAAAAAGACAACCCAATGTTCAAAAGTACAAATGACTTCAGCAGATATTTCTCCAAAGAAATATGCAAATGACTGATAAACACATGAAAAGTTGCTCAACATTTTTAGTCCTTAGGGAAACGCAAATCAAAATAACAATGAGATACCATTTCTTACCCACTAGATGGCTACAATAAAAAAGACAGACAATAACAGTGTTAACAAGATCGGTGAATTGGAATCCTCCTCTGTTTCTGATGGGAATGCTGTAGAAAACAGTTTAGTAGATACTCAAAATGTTAAACTACATGTTCCAGTAATTCTACTTTCAGGTATTTATACCCAAGGGAATTAAAAACATACACATATACAAGAACTTGACACGAATGTTCACAGCAGCATTATTTATAACAGTGAAAAAGTGGAAACAATCCAATTCTCCATCAACTGACAAATGGATACATAACATGTAGTATATTCTTATAAGGGAACATTATTGGCATGAAAAGAAATGAAATACTTACGCATGCTACGATATGATGAACTTGAAACATTATGCTAAGTGAAAGAAGCCAGTCACACAAGCCTGCATATTTTGTGATTCTGTATATATGAGATGTCCAGGATAAGCAAGTTTACAGAGACAGAAAGTAGTTTAGGCGTTGATTAGGGCAGGGCTGGTTAGGAGGGTTATGAGGAGTGAGTGCTAATGGGTGCCTGGTCTTTGAGGGTGGAAACTGAAAATATTCTAATTAGGTTAGATTGTGATGATGGTTGCACAACCTTGACAACATATTAAAAATTATGGAGTTGTATGCTTTAATTGAATGAACTACATAATATTGAATTATATCTTAATGAGGCTGCTGAGAAGAAAACTATAGAGGTCCCAGAGTCCTGATCAGATTCTCAAGTTTGTGGATTTTGTCTAAAGCGGTTTGGCTTCCTTGCTGGATGTTTCCTGAATCCCAAAGGGCCTCCTATGCAGCTCTTTCCCACTTGAAAAGGATGGGATGGATGCTGACTTTAGAAACACTGCCTTTTCCCTTAGGATAGATCCTTTCTTAAACTTGTTGGTCCACAGGACCCAGTCAGCCTTCCAAGTGCCCTCCGCATCTCAAGTGACTTTCAGTGCCTCTGAGCCCCGCCGTGTTGGGTGACACTTGGATTCTCCAATTTTCCCCAAGCCTTTCTCCTCAACCTGGAGAGGGGCAGTATGTTTTTAGGTGACCCTGTGAGTTGCTGATCGCACAGACTAGGCAGCGTATGAATGTTTGCAAGGTGTTTTTCAGGGGACACTGCTACTGTCACATGAGAACACGTCCAGGCCAAATACATATGAGGTACAGCCAACTGCGTGCTGAAAGGTAGGAGAGCAATGCCTTGGGTGCAGCAAGACACATCAGCCCAGCGTTTATAAATGGTTTTTTGGAAACATTTATAAAGTCACCACTAAATACCCTTTTCATGTAAAACTGTAATTTCTTTTGTGTATTATTTAACCATTATTTAAGAATGTCTGCTCATGGTGAAATGTTTGTCTTTCCAATATTTAATTAAATTTCATTTCATGGTTTAAAGCATTCCTTTGCTTTATGACTTTATGACTTGTCTTTATGCAAAAACGATCAGCCTCATTTTTGTGTTCTAACTGAGTGGAACTATGCAAATGTTTTGATTAAATGATAAACTAAACAGTTTTGCCAGAAGCAGCTATTTCCACAGGAGGCTATGCTACTGAATTATCCAAGCAAAATGGAATGATGCCAGTCGCTGGCAGATGTAGGGAAACTGATAGAAGCTTCTAAATGTGTCTATTATCAAGCAATCAAAATAAATTTAAAAGAAGTAAAAACCAAAAAACAAAAACAAACAAAAAAACTAAACAAAACCTTAAGATAAAGTTGGTAGACATGGTCACACGTAGTGGTGGGCCAGTTTGCTTGGTATCTTCCACCTAAACTTTTTGGCACTCAATTTACACATTCTGAAACTTGGTTTCCAAGTTTGTTCCTTTTCATTTGGAATTCCCTTTCCTATAGAAACAGTGTTAAAGTTGGTTGTGTCTCAGGCCAGCCCATGAGAAACTTTTCAATACATAGTATAATTAAAACACTCTGCATCTGCAATGAAAAGTGTGGAAAACAAAACTGCAACAATATCAATCATTCAAATAGGAAAACAGTAAAAAAAATTTAAAAAATTATCTTATTTCTGAGGTTGGTTCTTGTGAAAATCACATGCAATTAGAAAAGAAATGAGGCCAGGGACGGTGGCTCATGCCTGTATTCCTAGCATTTTGGGAGGCCAAGGTGGATGGGTCACGTGAGGTCAGGAGTTCGAGACCAGCCTGGGCAACATGGTGAAACCCCATCTCTATTAAAAATACAAAAATTAGCCAAGCATGGTGGTGAGTGTCTGCAATTCCAGCTACCCACGAGGCTGAGGCAGGAAGATCACTGGAACCCAGGAAGCAGAGGCTGCAGTGAGCTGAGATCACACCACTGCACTCCAGCCTGGGTGACAGAGCAAGACTCTGTCAAAAAAAAAAAAAAAAAAAAGAAAAAGGAAAGCAAGAAAGCGAGAAACTAAGAAAGAAAGAAAGAAAGAAAGAAAATGAAAGGGCATTTGGAAATGTTGTGGATAGCCTGAGGCGAAGCTGCGAGCCTTTTTTTCTTGGTTCTGGTCCTGTCTTGGTTTGGGTTTCCCCCACAGCCAACCCTGAGACGAATTTGAGCGGTAATGGCAGGAAGCCCAGCGAGGACATAGGAAAGCGAGATGGGGACACAGGAAAGTTATCGAAGGACTCATTGTTGAGTGGGTTACTGTTGTGGGTAATAGAGCTCAATCCCACTGGGACCCTTTGAGCAACTGTGCAGAAAACACTTCAGCAGAGTGACAACCGGGGATGAGGAAACTGGGATATTGATTCCTGATTTTCTTTTCTTATTGGTGGAGACACTCCTGTGAGTGTTAACTGTATGGTATTTTCAGCCTGCCCTGCCCACAGATTGAGCATTTTCTGGCAGCTGGAGAAAGCTCCAAGATGCAAGGATGCCACCAGCATGAACCATCTGCAGGTGGTCACTGGCATTGTCTCAGCACTGACAGCAGACCTTAAAACACCCAAAAAATGCTAAATTAATAGGCTTTATTTTATAGAGCAGTTTTAGGTTTAAAGAAAAATTCAGCAGAAAGTACAGAGTTCCTCTAAACCCCCAGCATCCCCACCCCCCATAATTTTTCTTATTATAAACATCTTGCATTAGTGTGGTGTGTTTTTTGCTATTGATGAACCGACATTGATATATTATTATTAACTAAAGTCCATAGTGGCATTAACTTTCATTCTTGGTTTGGATTTTGACAAATGTATAATGACATGTATCTACCATGATAGTATCATTCAGAGGAGTTTCATTGCCCTAAAAGTCCTCTGTGCTTCACTTATTCATCCCTCCCTCCTTTTCCTACCAGAATTTTTACTGTCTCCATGGTTTTGCTTTTACCAGACTACCACGCAGTGGGAATCATGCAGTGTGTACCCTCTTCACATTAAATTTTTTCACTTAGCAATATGCATTTCAGTTCCCTCCATGTTTTTCTTGACTTGACAGCTCATTTCTTTTTATTTTTGGATAATAGACCATTGTATGGATGTACCACCTTTAATAGGACCGAGATGTACCACCTTTAATAGGACATATTAAAGGACATCTTGGTTGCTTCTCAGTTTGGGCAATTATGAATAAAGCATCTATAAACATTCATGTGCAAGTTTTTGTGTATAAATAAGTTTTCAACTCATTTGGGTAAATACCAAGGAACACGATTGCTGGATTGTGTGGTATGAGTATGTTTTGTTTTGTAAGAAACTGCCAAATTTTCTGCCAAAGTGGCTGAGTCATTTTACACTAACATGAACAATGAGAGAGAGTTCCTGTTGCTCCAAACCTCACCAGCATTTGATCTGGATTTCAGCTACTTTAATAAGTGCATAGCTTATTAAATAAGTGTGTAGCTTATTATTGTTGCTTGAATTTGAAATTCTCTGATGACATGTGATGTTGAGTATCTTTTTATGTACTCGTTGCCATCTATATGTCTTTTTTTTTTTTTTTTTGGACAGGATCTCGCTCTGTTGCCCATGCTGGAGTGCAGTGACACTCCTCAACTCAGGTCACTGCAACCTCTGATTTCCGGGCTCAAGTGATCCTCCCACTTCAGCCTCCTGAGTAACTGGGACTTACAAGCATGCGCCACCACAGTCAGCTAATTTTTGTATTTTTAGTAGAGACCAGGTTTCTCCATCTTGGCCAGGCTGGTCTTGAACACCTGAGCTCAAGTGATCACCTGCCTCGGCCTCCCAAAGTGCTAGGCTTACAGGCATTAGCCACTGTGCCTGGCCTATATGTCTTCTTTAGTGAGGTATCTGTTGAGGTCTTTTGCAAGTTAATTTTAAAAATTAATTTTTTAATTAACTTTTTCATTTGCTTACTTTGAGTCTTAAGAATTCTTTGTATATTTTGGATATCAGTCCTTTATCAACTATGTCTTTCCCAAATATTTTCTCCCAGTCTGTGGCCTGTCTTCTTATTCTCTTAACAGTGTTTTCCACAGAATGCAAGTTTTTCAATTTCGATAAAATTCAACGTCAGTTTTTTCATTTATGTATTGTGCTTTTGGAATGTGTCTAAAAAGTCATTGTCAAATCGAAGTTCACCTAAATTTTTTCCTATATTATCTTCCAGACATTTTATAGACTTGAATTTTCACATTTCGTTTCCTGGTCCATTTTGAGTTAATTTTTGTGAAGGTGTAAGGTCTATCCTTTTTTTGCATGTGGATGCCCAGTTGCTCCAGTACCAATTGTTGAAAAGACTATCCTCCATTAATTTGCCTTTGCTTCTTTGTCAAAAATCAGTTGACTGTATTTGTGTGGGACTCTTTCTGGGCTACTCTGTTCCATTAGTCTATTTGTCTATTCTTGTCTATTCACACTTGATTACTGTAGTCTTATGACAAGTCTTGAAGTGAGGTACTGTCAGTCTCCCTACTTTCTTCTTCTCTTTCAATATTTTTTTTTTGTCTATTTTGGGCTGTTTGTTGTATAAACTTTATATATGTATTTATTTTTTATTTTTTGAGACAGAGTCTCACTTACTTTGTCACCCAGACTGGAGTGCAGTGGTGTGATCTCGGCTCACTGCAACCTCTGCCTCCTGGGTTCAAGCAATTCTCCTGCCTCAGCCTCCCGAGTAGCTGGAATTACAGGTGCATGCCACCACACTCAGCTGATTTTTGTATTTTTAGTAGAGATGGGGTTTCACCATACTGTCCAGACTGGTCTCAAACTCCTGACCTCAAGTGATCAACCCACCTCAGCCTCCCAAAGTCCTGGGATTACAGACATGAGCCACTGCGCCTGGCCTGCTGTATTAACTTTAGAATCAGTGTGTTGATATCCAATAAAATAATTTGTTGGGATTTTGACTGGGAGTCTGTTGAATCTCTAGATTAAGTTAGAAGGTCACCTTGATAATATTGAATCTTCCTATCCATGTATATGGAGTCTCTCCATTTATTGAGATTTTCTGTAATATCTCCCATCAGATTTTTGTAGTTTTTCTTATCTAGATCTTAAACATATTTTGTTAGCTTTACACCTAAATATTTGTTGATGGTTAGTTGCTAATTTCACATGTTGATTTGGCTAGGCCACAGTACCCAGATACAGTGGTTCCTCTTTATCTGCAGTTTCTCTTTTCACAGTTTTAGTGACATGCAGTCAACTGTGGTCTGAAGATATTAAATGGAAAATTCCAGAAATAAAAAATCCATAAGTTTTAAATTGTGCCTCCTTCTGAGTAGCACGGTGAAATTTCATACCACCTTGCCCTGTCCCAGCTGGGATATGAATCATCCCTTTGTCCAGCATTTCTTTTTTTTTTTTTTAAATGAAAGTTTTACTTATTTATTTAATTTTTTTTTGAGACAGAGTCTTGCTCTGTTGCCGAGGCTGGAGTGCAATGGTGAGATCTCAGCTCACTGCGACCTCTGCCTTGTGGGTTCAAGTGATTCTCCTGCCTCAGCCTCCCGAGTAGCTGGGATTATAGGCGCCTGCCACCACGCCTAGCTAATTTTTGTAGAGAGGTTTCACCATGTTGGTCAGGCTGGTCTTGAACTCCTGACCTCAGGTGTCCTCCTGCCTCGGCCTCCCAAAGTGCTGGGATTACAGGCATGAGCCACTGCGCCTGGCCTTTGTACAGCATTTCTATCCTGTCTACACCACCTGCCCATTAGTCACTTAGTAGCCACCTCGTTTGTCAGGTCAACTATAAGGGTATCACAGTGCCTGTGTTCAAGTAACCCTCATTTTACTTCATAATGGCCCTAAAGCACATAAGTAGTAATGCCAGCAATTTAAATATGCCAAAGAGAAGCTGTAAAGTGCTTACTTTAAGTGAAAAGGTGAAAGTTCTCAACTTAATAAGAAAAAAATCATAAGCCGAGGTTGCTAATATCTACAGTAAGATAAAAATCTATTCTTGAAATTTGAACAGAATATTATTTTAATTGTTCTACTTTATTATTTATTAGTTATTGTTGCTAATTTTTATTGTGCCTAATTTATCAATTAAACTTTATCATAAGCATGTATGTATAGGAGAAAACATAGTGCATATAGGGTTTGGTAACATCCATAGCTTCTGGCATCCACTGGATGTCTCAGAACGCGTCTCCTGAGGATGAGGGAGGACTACTGTATTTGGTCAAACACTATTCTAGATGTTTCTCTGATGCTTTTTTTTAAGCAATGACTAATATTTAAATTAGTTGATTTTGAGTATAGAAGATTACCTTTCAATGTGGGTGGGCCTCATCAAGCAGTTGAAGGCCTTAAAGAAAAAAGAATGACCTCCCTCAGAAAGAGGGATTTCTGCCAAAAGACTGCCTTTGGATTCATGCTGTAACATTCGCTCCTCCCTAGGTCTCCAGCCTGCTAGCCTATCGTAGATTTTGGACTTGTCAACCTATACAGATGTGTGAGAAAATTTTCTCTTTCCCCCTCCCTGCCCTCTGTGTGTGTGTGTGTGTGTGTGTTATGTGTCTGTGTGTGTGTGTGTGCACAAACTATATACAGTTGTCCCTCAGTAATTGAGAAGGATTGTTTCCAGGACCCCTTGCAGATATCAAAATTGGTGGATGCTCAAGTTCCTTACACAAAATAGCATAGTATCTGCATATAACTTACATACATCATCTGGTATACTTTAAATCACCTCTAGATCACTTACAATACCTATTACAGTGTAAATGCTATGTTAATAATTATTATACTGTATTGGGTTTTATTTTTATTGTATTGATACCTTTTATTGTTTTTTCTCTGAGCATTTTTGATCCACAACTGGTTGAACCCCCTTCTGCAGAAACCTTGGATATAGAAGGCTAACTGTACATGTCAAATGTCTTAGTTGCTATAAAGTAATACCTGAGGCCGAGCAATTTATAAAGAAAAGAATTTTATTTGGCTCACAGTTCTGCAGGCTGTTCAAGAAGCATGGCACTGTCATCTGCATCTGGTGAGGGCCTCAGGCTGCTTCCACTCATGGTGGGAAGGGAATGGGAACTAGTGTGTGCAGAGATTACATGGTGAGAGAGGAAGCAAGGGAGAGGGGAAGTGTCAGGCTCTTTTTAAAATCCACCCCTCACAGAAACTAATAAAGTGAGAACTCACTCACGCCAACCACGGAGAACATTAATCTACTTATGAGGGATCTGCCCCCATGACCAAATATCTCTCATTAAGCCCCACCTCCAACGCTGGGGATGAAATCTCAACATGAGGCTTGAAAATATCAAACAAACCAAAATATAGCATCAATACACCATATATGTACCAATATGGATTCAGATATAGGTTCTGTTTCTCTGGAGAACCCTAACACAGAATTTGGTACTGAAAGTGGTTCTAAAGGAACAGAATTTTAAGAATGAGTTTTCTGGGTTGGGGTTTCTGTAATTTTGTCTCTAATCTGATTAGATTTAAAGACATGAATGACTATTTCCAGTAGTAAAAGGAGCACTGATAGTCCATGGTGCTGTGTGGTAATACAGGTCTGCAAAAGACCGTCATTAGATACTCCTAATCAAACACTCATCAAGAAGCAAGGATCTGGGTGATACCCTTCAAACATTTTTGTCAAGCTAATGAGTAAGACAAGATTGGCCGGTAGCTCCTGCTTTCAATGGACAAATTGAAGAAGAAAAGGAGTTCAGAGATTTGATTCAAATCCACATGAATGATCTGAAAGCTTTCTGTGCCCTGAAAGAGACACTTAACTCTTGTACCTGCAAAGCTGAGATTGCGGAAAACCAAATCCAGAATCTCATCCTACAAGTTACTGAATTACAATACAAATAGAATTCCCAGCCTTGTAAGGTGTCTACTGTTAAAGTGAGGGATTGATAAGGAATGAGATTCCAAACAATGGAATGGGGATATATAGGAAGACCCCAGTGAGGCTGGGGACATTGAACCCCTAGATTCTGCTGAGTTTCTTTACCAGTAGAAGCTATTATTCTATCCCCGTCTGAGGAAACTGTAATGGTATCCTCCGTGGTAGTTGTCTTACAAGACAATGCTGATTCCCCTCAGGATCCACCCCCAGCACTGCTCTGCTTCTAGGCCTATAACTAGACTCACATCCCAGAAGACCCCTAAAGGTAAGGCATATAGTGGGATCCACGAAGAGTGCACTACACTCCAAAAAACTACATGATTTTTCCAGTGTACGCAGACAGAAATCCAGGGATAGTAAGGGTGTGGAATAAAGAGAGAAAGAACATAGAGTTGGATATAAAGTTGGATCCAGCTGGAACTGTTAACATCGACTACTAAGTGGATATTCTAAATTTAATGTTGCAGCTTGGGGAGTTAGAAAGGCTCTACAAGTTGCTCGGTTGGTTAAATGAAACAAGGAGCAAAACGTGGCCCACAGGAAATAAATGTGAAATGCCACACCTGCCTTGGCATTTTGTAGAGAAAGAGAGTCAAAGGCTTGTGAAATTAGAACGGCAGAGTAGATTTGTCACCTCAGACCTGCTCACTCACTCTGGAGAGTCTAGAGGATACACCTTTCACTACAACTGTGAGAAACAAATTTGCAAGGGGATCTCCAGCATCCTTGAGGAGCCCCTTGATTACTCTTCTCTCTGTAGATCAGAAACTAGAGTGGGAACTGCTGCCACTGAATTGGAAAACCTGAATGCAAAGGAGGGTAGTTGAATCTGGGTGGCAGGGACCATGTGTTGGCACTCAGTCACTAAAGACAAGGCAGGTGGGGCTGCTGTAATGAACAATGGAGTCAAAGCAGCCATCGTAATAGTCTGACCTGCAGACAACTGTGGCACTGGCTGGTGATCATGGTACTTCTAGAAGTGAAATAGGTAAGATGCTTACTAAATCCTTACTTGATCTGCAGAAGAATTCTACATCAAGTGAATAAAAAATTAACTTAAATCATAAAAACATAGAATCATGGCTTAACCTGGTGACTCAAATTGCAGCTGCTGTGGCAGATGTGGTTTCAGTGCTTGGGTAAATTAACACATCCCTAATACCTGGTATACAGCTATTAATCTGGCACATGCTTTTTTCTCTATTCCTATTAGTAAAGACCATCAGAAGCTACTTGATTTCAGTTGGCTAGGCCAGCAATATACCTTCACTGCCCGATTTCAGGGGTATATCAACTCTCCAGCTCTGTCATAGTTTAGCTTCCAGGGTTTTTCATCACTTTTCCCTTCCACAAAACATCACATTAGTCCTTACATGGATGTCCTTATGCTGATTGCATCTGCTGAGCAGGAAGTAGTGACTAATCTAAGGTTCTCGGTAAGACTTTTGTGTGCCAGTAGGTGGGAAATAAATCTGACAAAAATTCAGGGGCCTTCTATGTCATCGAAATTTCTAAAGATCCAGTGGTGTGGGGCACGTGGAGCTATCCTTTCTAGGGGGAAGGAGGAGTTGTTGCATCTGGCTCCGCAACCAAGAAAGAGGCACAACACCTACTGGGCCTCTTTAGATTTTGAAGCGGACTTATTTCTCATTTGGTTGGTTGTGCTTTTTTGTCCATCTACCAAGTAACCTGAAAACCTGCTAGTTTTGAATGGAGCCAAGAGCAGGAGGAAGGCCTGCAACAGGCTGAGGCTGCTGCACAAGCTGCTTTACCCCTTGGGCCATATGACCCAGCAGATGAAGTGGTGCTTGAAGTGCTAGTAGCAGATAGAGATGCTGTTTGCAGTCTTAGGCAGGGCCCTATAAGTGAATTGTAGTGCAAGACCTTAGGATTTTGGAGCAAAACCCTCTCATCCTCTGCAGATAATTATTTTCCTTTTGGGAAACACCTTTTAGCCTTAGTGACACTGGGCCTTAGTAACACGGAACACTTAACTATGGGCCACCAAGTAACTATGGGACCTGAGCGGCACATCATGAACTGGGTGTTATTTGACCCTCCAAGCCATAAAGTGAGACACGAACGGTAGCACTGTCATCAAATAGGACAGAGCACTCAAGGTACAAGTAAGGTACACGAAGAAGTGGCCCAAATGCCCATGGTTCCCACTCCAGCTACACTGCCTCCTCTCTCCCAGACTGCACCTATGACCTAATGGGGAGTTCCCTACAACCAGCTGACAGAGGAGGAGAAGGCTTAGGCCTTATTTATAGACAATTCTGCACAATACGCACTCACTACCCAAAAGTGGATAGCTGCAGCACAAGAACCCCTTTCTAGGAAATCTTCTCTGTGGGCAGAACTTCAAGCAGTGCTACTTGAAACTTATTCATTTTGCTTGAAAGGAGACAGGGCCAGATGTGTGATTATATGCAAATTCATGGGCTGTAGCCAATGATTTTGCTGGATGGTCATGGACTTAGAAGAAACATGAGTGGAAAATTACTGAGAAGGAGATCTGAGGAAGAGGTGTGTGGATAAAACTCTTTGAATGAGAAAAAGAAAGAAAGAGAGAGAGAGAGAAAGGAAGGAAGAAAAGAAAGGAAAGAAAGGAAAGAAAGAAAGAATGAAGACATTTGTGTCCCATGTGGATGCTCACCAAAGGGTGACCTTAGCAGAGGAGGATTTTAATAATCAAGTGGATAGGAGGACCCATTCTGTGGATACCAGTCAGCCTCTTTCCCCAGCCACCCCTGTCATTTCCCAATGGGCTCATGAACAAAGTGTCATGGTGGCAGGGATGGAAGTTATGCATGGGCTCAGCAACATGGACTTCCACTCACCAAGGACTACCTGGCCACAGACACGACTGCATGCCCAAACTGTCAGCAGCAGTGACCAACACTAAGCCTCAGATATGGCACCAGTCCCCACGGTGATCCGCCAGCTACCTGGTGGCAGATTGCTTACATTGAACACCTTCCATCATGGAGGAGGCATTGTTTTGTCCTTACTGGAATAGATACTCCAGATACATATATGCCTTTTCTGCATGCAGTGCTATTGCCAAAACTGCCACCTATGGACTTATAGAATGCCATTTGCCATCATAGTATTCCACACAGCATTGCTTCTGATCAAGGAACTCACTTCACAGCCAAAGACATACAGCAATGGGCTCATGCTCATGGAATCCATTAGTCTTATCATGTTCCCCATCAACATGGTGCAGCCGACTTCACAGAACAGTGGAATGGCCTTTCAAAGTCTCAGTGCCAGTGCCAGGTAAGTGGCAATACCTTGCAGGGCTGGGGCAACATTCTCCAGGAGGCGGCCTATGCTGCAAATCAGCAACTAATCTATGGTGCTGTTTCTCCCATAGCCAGAGTTCACTGGTCCAGAAATCAAGGGGTAGAAATGGGAGTGGCATCACTTACCATCACCCCTAGTGATTTATTAGCAAAATTTTTGTTTCCTGTCTCCACAACCTCAGGTTCTGCTGGCCTTGTGGTTTTAGTTCCAGAGGGAGAAATGCTTCCATCGGGAGGCACAGCAATGAGTCCATTGAACTGGAAGTTAAGACTGCCTCCCAGCCACTTTGGGCTCCTCTGGACAGCAGGCCAAGAAGATGATCTTCACAAGTAGTTCTCCCCTAGCATAGCTTTTTTTCTTTCTTTTTTTTTTGTCTTTCCCTGCCCCTGACTCCTTTTCCTGGCTGCCATGTTCCCAGTCTGTTTCCTTGAAACCCCCACTCCTCTTGATTCTGGGTTCACCCTTAGAGGAAGGCTAGAGGGGGCTGGAACAGCTGGCATACAGCTCTAGCAGTCTTTTCCCTGGGAATGGTTCTGGGTGAATTTTACAATTTCTTTCCTTTTACTCTAGTCCTAGAGCTTTTTCTTAGTGTTTCATTATGGGAACCTGCTGGGGTTCCTGGAGGGAAAGCCCAGCAGAGTGTGCCCGCCAGAGCCTGCAGACCCAGACATTCCTCACTCCCACACTAGTCTACACTCAGCCCTGAGTCATTTGCCAAAATTACCATTGAAGTTTTGCTACTAGCTTATGACTCCAGTGGCTTCTGTTCCAGGTAAGTAGATGTCAACCGTGAGTCTCTGGACTTGCCTCTTTCAAGATTTTGGGATGGCAACTTGCCCTGAATCCTCAGTTCTCTGATGGGCCCCGGAAAAGTCATTACGTTTCAGTTTATACAGCTTTTTCTTGTTACTAGGATGGGAACGTTGACTTCCAAGCTCTGACATGTCAGAGGTGAAACTGAAAGCCTCTCATAAAAAATTTACATGAATTATAATTTTTAAACTTTTTATCATGGAAATTTGAAGACATTTCTAAAGTAGAGAGAATAGACCAGATGCGGTGGCTCATGCCTGTAATCCCAGCACTTTGGGAGGCTGAGGTGGGTGGATCACCTGAGGTTAGGAGTCTGAGACCAGCCTGACCAACATGGTGAAACCCCATCTCTACTAAAAATACAAAAATGCACCAGAAATGGTGGCATGTGCCTGTAGTCCCAGCTACTTGGGAGGATGAGACAGGAGGGTCACTTGACCCTGGGAGGCAGAGGTTGCAGTGGGTCAACCTGTAGTGCAGTAGCTGGCACACACCTGTAGTCCCAGCTACTTGGGAGGCTGGGGCAGGAGAATTGCTTGAACCCGAGAGGTGGAGGTTGCAGTGAGCTGAGGTATCGCCATGCACTCCAGCCTGGGCGATAGAGCGAGACTCCGTCACAAAACAAAACAAAACAAAATTCCTACTGCCACCATAAGCCCTCTGAATGCCCACAGGTGATACTTTAATACTTAAAAAAAAAAATAGGCAAAAAAAGGCAAAATATTAGGGTGTGTAAAAACTGGGTGGTGGGTATGTGGGTATTTATTATATTATTCCTTAAATTTATCGAATTTTAAAGTATTTTATAGTAAAACTTGATTAAAATGGCAAAAACGAGCAACATGGCAAAATATGAAAATGTGTTGTAACTGAGTGGTGGATGTATGGGATTTGGATTGTTTTATTCTCTAATCTTCTCTGAATTTTAAAGTCTTTTATGATAAAACTTATTTAAAGTATAAGAAAAAATGTTCATGAACTTGAGGTGGAGAAAACTGCGTAAATATTTTCTACCAACCTTTAAGAAAAGATACAAACAGAAGAAAGTGAAAGGGGAAAAGCAGTGGTCAGCAGGCATATGAACAGATTATCAGCCAATCTCATAGCTCTGAGATGGTGCAAAACTAAGATGTCATCTCTTCCCTTTCATTTATTTGTATTCTTTCTTGTTTTGTAGTGGAACTGTTTAAGGCCTAGAATTTTTCCCTGAGTGTAAGCTAACCAAGTGTTATGGATTATGATACATACTTTTTTTTAAAGTACTACTTTGTAAGTATTGCACAAATTTGATTTTGAGTCCCTCTTTGGGGCCAGATCTGCTTATTGTACAAGAGAAAGTTAAATGTCTTTTGATGTTTGCGTTTTTCTGTTTGTTAATTTTCCTTTATTTCTCATTAATACAGTGTAATCTGAAAATGTTACCTGAACTATTTCTACTTTATAGAATTTTTTTTGAAGTTTCATTTGGGGCTTTATCTATAATCAGTAAGTATTTCATGAACAGTTCAAAATAAGCTGTATTCTGTTTTATTCCAGGCATAGCATTCACTATATATTTATTAGATTTACCTTATTCTGTGCATCATTTAGAATCTCCTCATGGTTTTTATTTTGAAATGTTTTCTGTTCATTAGAATTACCTGAGGAGCATGTGAAAGCTCAGATTCCTGGGTGTTGCTCCGGACTTGCTAACATAGAAGCTTCTGGATGGCAGTTTTAGGCACATCACAGACAATTCCGGTGCACGGTGCATTTTCAAGGCCACTGTCTATGTTCTTACTGAATTTTTCTCTACTTGATCTGTCAGTAGCTGACAAGTGAGTTAATGTCTCCTACGGCTGTTGTATTTCCATGTCTCCCTGTGTTTCCTTCAGTTTTTGCTTTATAAATTTTGATAATAGATTATTTGGAATGTGGAGATTCATGATCATTTTGTATACCCTAAATATACATAGTGTTTACTTTTTTTTTTTTAGATGAAGTCTCGCTCTGTTGCCGAGGTTGGAGTGCAGTGGCGCAATCTCAGCTCACTTCAACCTCTGTCTCCTGGGCTCAAGCCATTCTCCTGCCTCAGCCTCCTGAGTAGCTGGGATTACAGGCATGCGCCACCATGCCTGGCTATTTTTTTTTTTTTTTGTATTTTTAATAGAGACGGGGTTCACCATGTCCGTCAGGCTGGTCTCAAACTCCTGACCTCAAATGATCCACCCACCTCAGCCTCCCAAAGTGCTGGGATTACAGGCATGAGCCACCATGCCTGGCCTACTTTTCAATTTAAAAAACAAATAAATAAAATTCACAGAGCACGGGGATTGTGTGTATCGAATGGAAGGTAAGTACTGTATTATAAGCAACAAGGAGACACAAATGAGAAGGGACTAAGAAAATGAGAAGATGGAGAAGGTGTAAAGTGAGTAAATTTCTCCACTGCCATCATATGGAATTGCTATATACTTCCCAAATTTGATAAACAAAAAAGGTGTTTAGGCCGGGCACAGTGGCTCACACCTGTAATCCCAGCACTTTGGGAGGCTGAGGTGGGCTGATCATCTGAGGTCGGGAGTTCAAGACCAGCGTGACCAACATGGAGAAACCCCATCTCTACTAAAAATACAAAATTAGCTGGCCATGGTGGCACATGCCTGTAATCCCAGCTACTCAGGAGGCTGAGGCAGGAGAATCGTTTGAATCCAGGAGGCAGAGGTTGTGGTGAGCCCAGATCACGCCATTGCACCCCAGCCTGGACAAGAGCAAAACTCTGTCTCAAAAATAAATAAATAAATAAATAAATAAATAAATATGTTTAAGTATATTCCTTCATTTGAAAATCTTTTCTGAGTCTGTCACAGCTTCCAGCCTGGGATAGACAGTCATGCAGTTGTCCCCATGGAACTTGCACTCTAGTGAGGGGAGAAGACAACCAAAAATTGGCCAACAGTAAGATCGGTAACTTGGTGGTCTTTGTTATAATGATAGTAAGGGTAGAGATGTGGTGGAGAAAGTGGATGCCAGGTCAAGAATGGCCTCTCTGGGGAGGTGATGTCTGAGCTTGACCTGAAGGAGTAGCTGTGGCAGTCGTGTGTGGACCTGGGAAGGAACCTTTTAGGGCAAGTGTATGAGCCCTGAGTGGAAAGGGCTTCAGAGCTGGACAGGATGACCAAGCCCTGCTAGGGCAATAGAGATACAGAGAGGCTGCCCTAGAATGTCTGGCCCATTGCAGAACCCTGCCTTGCAGGCATTGAGGAAGAAATGGAGTGTTAGTTTAAGAACAATGGAGTCTGTGAAGGATGTAAAGCAGGACAGTAGTGTTATCTCCATGTGTAGAATGAATGAATGTTGAGGGTAGAGTGTGTGTGCAGGGCTAGGGGGTAGTAATGAGGCTCCTGCCTCCTCCAGGAAGACGTGCTGGTGTCACACTGAGGGGGCTGGAGTGATGAGGGTGAGAAGTGAATGGAATCAATTGTGCTGTGGAGAAGAAATGACATGACTTGTTGGATTGAACTTTGCTGGATAAAGACAAAGAAGGAATTGAGGATGACACCTCAGTTTTTGACCTGGTAAGGAGGTAAAAGAGTCATCTCTTTACTGAAATGTGGGAAAGTGTGAAAGGAAAGCGTCTGGGAGGCTGGAATCATGATTTGGTTTTGACACATCAAGTTGGAGGCACTTAGCCACCCAGCAGTGATGTTAGGTAGACAGTTGGCTGGCCAAATCTAGGGCTCATGGAAGTGATCTTGAATTGGGAAGGCATGTTAAAAGATATAATAACAGCCACTTGTAGAATTATAGTATTAATATTAAAACAAAAATTAGGCAAAGGAAGTGCTTGTTTCATTGCAGGGAATCAATAGATATTATTAAAGTTTGTCAGTAAAGAAAAAAGGTTTAAGTAAATTATGAAGAGTTGTAAAGCTACTTCTTTATAAAAAGGAAAATATTGACACACTCAAAAAGAGAAGCCAAACAGCAAAAGATTTTTAAAATGAAGCAGCGGCACAGAAGACATAAGAAAATAAGAGGTGAAGAGAGAAAGGCAAACACATCCGTAACATCAAATAAGGGATGAACTGCTTTATTAAAAGGAAAAAATGATTTTCAGATTGACTCATAACCCATGTAAAAGCTGCATATAAAAACAAATAACAGATGACAAAATGGCACAGGACATTTGAGATGACAGAAGATGGGCAAACAACTAGGGAAACAAAATCAGAAGAAAGCAAGGTGGCAATAAAAATATCAGGAAAGATTTAATGTGGGGCAAAGAGCATTCAGTGAGCAGGGTCGTTTGATAATGATAAAAGGTACAATTTACACTGTACAATGCCCTCTATACCTATATATACCATCTATACATGCCTCCTATACCTATATATGTTTTGATATGTGTATACATTGTGGAATGGCTAAATCAAGCTATTTATCATATGCATTACCTTACATACTTTTTTTTGTGGAGAGAACACTTATAATCTACTCTTTGAGTAATTTTAAAATATACTATATATTGTTACTAATCCGAGTCACCACGTTGTACAATATTCCTCCTGTCTAATTTTGTGTCCTTTAACCAACATCTCCCCAATTCTGCCACCTTCCAGCCTCTGGTAACCACCATTTTACTCTCTGTTTCTATGAGTTTGACTTTTTTTATGCTCCACATATAAGTGAGTCATGTGGTATTTGTCTTGCTGTGCTTGGCTTATTTCACTTAGTGTAATATCCTCCAGTACTATGTTGAAGAGGAGTGGTGAGAGTGGGAATTCTTGTCTCGTTCCTGTTCTCAGAGGAAATACCTTCAACTTTTCCCCATTCAGTATTATGTTGGCTGTGGCTTTGTCACAGATGGCTTTTATTACATTAAGGTATGTCCCTTGTATGCTGACTTTGCTGAGGGTCTTAATCACAAAGGGATGCTGGATTTTGTCGATTTTTTTTCTGCATTTATTGAGATAATCGTATGATTTTTGTTTTTAGTTCTGTTTATGTGGTGTATCACATTTATTGCCTTGTGTATGTTAAACCATCCCTGTATTCCTGGTATGAAATCCATTTGATCATGATGGATTATCTTTTTGATGTGTTGTTGGATTCGGTTAGCTAGTATTTTGTTAAGGATTTTAGCATCCATGTTCATCAAAAATATCAGTCTGTAGTTTTCTCTTTTGGTTGTGTCCTTTCCTGGTTTTGGTATTAGGGTGATGCTGGCTTCATAGAATTAATTAGGGAAGGTTCCTTCTTTCTCTATCTTGTGGAATAGTGTCAAAAGGATTGGTACCAATTCTTCTTTGAACATCTGGTAGAATTCTGCTGTGAATCCATCTGGTCTGGGACTTTTTTTGTTGGAATTTTTTTTTTAAATAAAGTTTCAACTTCTGTTAAATGTATTCCTGGGTACTTTATTCTTTTTGATGCTATTGTAAATGAAATTGCTTTTCTAATTTTATTTGCAGTTTGCTCATTGCTACTGTATAGAAACACAAGTGATTTTTATATACTGATAGTATATCCTACAGCTTTGCAAAATAGGTTGCTTTGTTTTTTTAATTATACTTTAAGTTCTGGGATACATGTGCAGAACGTGCAGGGAATTTTAAAATTACTGTTTCAGTCTCTCTGTTTGTTGTTGGTCTGTTCAGGGTATCTAATTCTTCCTGATTTAATCAAGGAGGGTTGTATTTCTCCAGGAATGTATCCCTCTCTAGGTTTTCTATTTTATGCGTGTAAAGGTGTTCATAGTAGGCTTGAGTGATCTTTTGTATTTCAGTGGTGTCAGTTGTAATATTTCCTGTTTCGTTTCTTAGTGAGGTTATCTGGATTTTCTCTCTTCTTTTCTTGGTTAATTTTGCTGATGGTGTATCAATTTTATTTATCTTGTCAAAGAACCAGCTTTTGGTTTCATTTATCTTTTATATATTTTTCTTTGTTTGTTTCAGTTTCATTTAGTTCTGCTCTGATCTTGGTTATTTCCTTTTTTCTGCTGGTTTGGGTTTGGTTTGTTCTTGTTTCTCTAGTTCCTTGAGGGGTGACCTTAGATTGTTTGTGCTCTTTCAGACTTTTCGATGTAGGCATTTAGGGCTGTGAGCTTTCCGCTTAGCACCGCCTTAGCTGTATCCCAGAGGTTATGATAAATTGTGTCATTATTGTCATTCAGTTCAAAGAATTTTTTAGTTTCCATCTTGATTTCGTTTTTAACCCGGTGCTCATTCAGGAGCAGTTTATTTAATTTCCATGTGTTTGTGTGGTTTTGAAAGTTCATTATGGAGTTGATTTCCAGTTTTATTCCACTGTGGTCTGAGAGAGTGCTTGATATAATTTCAATTTTCTTAAATTTATTGAGGCTCGTTTTATGGCCTATCACATGGTCTATCTTGGAGAAAGTTCCATGCGCTCTTGAATAGAATGTGTATTCTGCAGTTGTTGGATGAAATGTTCTGTATATATCTGTTAAGTCCATTTGTTCCCAGGTATAGTTTAAATCCGTTGTTTCTTTGTTGACTTTCTGTCTTGATAATCTGTCTAGTGCTGTCAGTGGAGTATTGAAGTCCTGCACTATTATGGTGTGCTATCTCATTTCTTAGGTCTATTAGTAATGGTTTTATAAATTTGGGAGCTCCTGTGTTAGCTGCATATATGCTTAGGATTGTGATATTTTCCTGTTGGACAAGGCCTTTTACCATTATATAATGCTCCTTTTTGTCTCTTTTAACCACTGTTGCTATAAAGCTTGTTTTGTCTGATATAAGAATAGCTACCCCTGCTTGCTTTCGGTGTCCATTTGCATGAAATGTCTTTTTCCACCCCTTTACTTTAAGTTTATGCGAATCCTTATGTGTTAGGTGAGTCTCCTGAAGACAGCAGGTAGTTGGTTGGTGAGTTCTTTTCCATTCTGCAGTTCTGTACCTTTTAAAAGGAACATTTAGGCCATTTACATTCAATGTTAGTATTGAAACGTGAGGTACTGTTGCATTCATCATGCTCTTTATTTTTTGTTTTTTGTTTTTGTTTTTTTAACTTGCATTTTTGTTTTATAGGTCCTGTGTGATTTGTACTTTAAAGAGATTCTGTTTTGATGTGTTTCCAGGGTTTGTTTCAAGATTTAGAGCTCTTTTAGCAGTTCTTGTAGTGGTGGCTTGGTAATAGTGAATTCTCTCAGCATTTGTTGAAGGAAAGAAAATGACTGTATCTTTCCTTCATATATGATGCTTAGTTTCACCGGATACAGAATTCTTGGCTGATAATTGTTTTGTTTGAGGAGACTGAAGATAGGCCCCCAATCCCTTCTAGCTGTTAGCATTTCTGTTGAGAAATCTGCTGTTAATCTGATAGGTTTTCCTTTATAGGTTACCTGGTGCTTCTGTCTCACAGCTCTTAAGATGCTTTCCTTCATCTTAACTTTGGAAAACCTGATGACAATGTGCCTAGGTGAAGATCTTTTTGCAACGAATTTCCCACGTTTTCTTTGTGCTTCTTGTATTTGCATGTCTAGGTCTCTAGCAAGGCTGGGGAAGTTTTCCTTTATTATTCCCCACAATATGTTTTCCAAGATTTTAGAATTGTCTTCTTCCTCATGAACCTGATTATCCTTAGGTTTTGTTGTTTAACATCATCCCAGACTTCTTGGAGGCTTTATTCATATTTTCTTATTCTTTTTTCTTTGTCTTTGTTGGATTGGGTTAATTCTTCAAGCTCTGAATTTCTTTCTTCTACTTGTTTAATTCTATTGCTGAGACTTTCTAGAGCATTTTGCATTTCTAAAAGTGTGTCCAAAGTTTCCTGACATTTTATTTTTTTTCCTTTAAACTGTCTATTTCATTGAATATTTCTCCCATCGCTTCTTGTATCATTTTTTTGGATTTCCTTACACTGGGCTTCACGTTTCTCTGGTTCCTCCCTAATTGGGTTAATAACTAACCCCCTGAATTCTTTTTCAGGTAATTCAGGGATTTCTTCTTGGTTTGGATCCATTGCTGGTGAACTAGCATGATTTTTCGAGGCTGTTGATGAGCCTTGTTTTGTCGTATTACCAGGGTTGGTTTTCTAGTTCTTTCTCATTTGGGTAGGCTCTACCAGAGGGAAGGTCTAGGGCTGAAGGCTGTTGTTCAGATATTTTTGTTCCACAAGGTGTTCCCTTGATGTAGTACTCTCCCACTTTTCCTATGGATGTGGCTTCTTGTGAGCCAAACTATAGTGTTTATTGTCTCTCTTCTGGGTCTAGCCACCCAGTGAGTCTACCTGGCTCCAAGCTGGTTCTGGGGGTTGTCTGTGATGTGAACCATTTATGGGTCTCTCAGCCGTATATACTAGTGCCTATTCCAGTGGAGGTGACGGAGGGTGCAATGGACTCTGTGAGGGTCCTTAGATTTGGTGGTTTAATGCTCTATTTTTGCGTTGGTTGGCCTCCTGCCAGGAGGTGGCACTTGCCAGAAAGCATCAGCTGTGGTAGTGTGGAGAGGGACTGGCAGTGGGCAGGGCCCTAGAAATCCCAAGATTATATGTCCTTTGTTTTCTGCTACCAGGGTGGGTAGAGAAGGACCATCAGATGGGGGCAGGGCTAGGCGTGTCTGAGCTCAGAGTCTCCTTGGGCCGGTCTTGCTGCGGCTGCTGTGGGGGATGGGGATGAGATTCCCAGGTAACTGGAGTTGTACACCTAGGAGGATTATGCAAATAATTTTTGAGTGCCTGTATGGGACAAAGAAATGACCATATATAAAGTGACACACTTATAAACTGTCTCACTTTTCCTAAGTGAACTTCCTGAATTAAGAAAATCTTTTAACACAAAGAATCCCTGGATATAATTGGTAAGTTAGAGAAAGAAGTTTTTTCTCCTTTTAAATCTACCCTTTCTGAATGAATACCATACACATTATTTTATCTTTTTCTTTTGTAAAGATATAATTATGCATTTTTCTGCTTATTAAAATATGTCTTTTTCCTGAATTCAAAGAGAGCCCATACCCATCACATAAGATCCACAATAATGGAAGCATTCTATTACTGAGACTGGCTGCTATTATTGTTTTAGATTCTCATCTTTTAGTCTTTTCTGTGCTTTTTTTTTTTTGCATTAGTATCCCATTTCTGTGTAACAAATTACCACACATATGTAGCTTTAAGCAATACAGATTTATTAGCTCACAGTTCTGTAGATCCGAAGTTCTGCATGGCTTGACTGGGTTCTCTGTGCAGTGTCTCCCAAGATGATATTGAGGCGTTGGCCAGGCTAGGCTCTTCCATGGAGGCTCTGGGGAAGAATCTGCTTCCAATATCACTGGGTTCTTGACCAAGTTCAAGTCCTTGCATCTGCAGGACAGAGATCCTCGTATCCTGGCGAACTGTCAGCTCCCCATCTCTCAGCTCTTTAAGGTTGTCTGATTCCCTCCTCACCTGCTTCCTCCAGGTTCACACCAACAGCGGTGCATTGACCACTTCTCATGCTTCAAATCTCTCTGGCTTCCTTTCCTCAAACAGCCTGAAAGATTCTCTGCTTTTAAAGGGTCTCATGTGATTATGTCAGGCCCACGAGGAGAATCTTTCTGTATTAAGAGCAACTGTGCTATATAGCATAACATAATCATGGAGTGATACCTCACCCTGTTCACAAGTTCTGGGGGTAAGGGAATGAAATCTCAAGGGACTTGTTTAAAATCTTGTTAATCATGTATCTAGACACTTTTTAATTTTAATTTTTAAACTTTAATTTGGCATTTTAAATAATTTAAAATGGAATCAGGGTGATACTGTTTCATACACTTTTTACTTAACTATACATGGTGAATTTTTTTTCTGTCCTTAAATGTTCTTCTAGCATGTAATGTTTTAGGACTATAGAGTGTTTTACTGGATAGAGGTACATAATTTATTTGTATCATGCCTGTGTTTCACATCTTTTCAAACTCTATTGTATAAATCATGCAGCAATTTGTGTCTCATAAACTCTTCCACGTAAATCGCTGTGTCAAAGGGCTTCTAAGACACACTGCCAAGCTGGCCTCCTGAAGAGTCATGCTGGTGCATGCCCCTCCCAAAGGCGTGTAAGCCTGCTCACTTCCATGGGGCCCTGCTAACATTTGTTTACATAGGACAGCAGCAATGTGAGACTCAGACACCATAAACAAGTCGGCCTTCAGCACTCACACTTTGTGACCCTGGCCTTCCATAGTGCTTCTACCCCTCAATGCATTTTCAACTGGGGAATGTTGAACACCTCAGAATTCTTTGCTACCCACTGGGCCACATATCAAGGTGTTGTCTCAGGACTGACCCCAAAGGCTTGTCAGCAGAGTCCCCTCCTGCCGAGGGGCCTAGGTGGTTAAACAGTGACTCAGTGGAGTGTCTTCAGTATAGGTCATTTCTGTGGTTGTGAGTAACTGGGCTGCTTCAGCTCCCTGGCTTCACTCCTTATAGAAAAATAGACTCAGCCCTTATTGGAATAATCCTTTCACTCTTTAAGCTATTTATATTAGTTTTTGATTAAATGGCCACTCACTGTGTTTCTTGGGCTGAACCCATGCTGTACATCCTTCTGAAACACTAAGTCTTTCTTTAGGAAGAGTAAGAATAGTGCCAGGGCCTTGACAAGAAAGAGTGTGAAGTTGGCACCCCAGATGCTGCGTGTCTGCGCAGAGGGCTTCTCTCGGCTTCTGCTTTGTTAGGCTGGAGTGGAGTTAGCAGGAGATTGGAGGTGGTCAGTGCAGGCTTCCCCATGATGATAAAGGCATCAAGGCCAGGTGACTGCCCAACACTTCTGAGGGTGTCCTCCAATTAAAGACCTTTGTCTCAGAGACAAAATGAAGTAACAGCAATGGGCGTGTTTTGCTAGGGGACTTCAATTTTCGATGGTGGTTATTACTGACAGTGGAGTGGCCAGTGAGATAGAGCCTCATGCTGAGAAACTGAGGGTCCTCATCATGAGCTGCCCCAGGCTTTCACTACATCACTAGCCATTAAATCTGAGCCTGAAAAGTCACAGAGAATGGCTCTTGAATATACCATCTTAGAAATCATGTATTAAGTTTGTCTCCACAGGTAACAAGGAATACAAAATGGAGCTCTTCCATAAAGAAGTAGGCTTCCAACAATTTTCCTGTTAAATAGGATGAAGTGTGTGCACATATGCACTTGTGCAGGTGTGCATGTGTGTCCTCCAAAGGGAAATAATACTTAGTTTAAATCATTCATGTTTTTTAATCTTTACAATCTGCATTGATTATATTTTCTGAATAATTACTGTTTGGGAGAGTGGAGGTGGGTCAGTACAGATCCCTCTGGGACGGTTAAGACATCAGGCCCAAGAAAGTCTTTAATGTTAAAGTATCCTTGTCTGCCCCTTTGCCCATATGTCCAAAAATATTTTTTAGTATATTTTTAACATACTTTTATGAAATCTGAAATTTTTATATTTTATGAAATCTGAAAGTAACATATTTTTATGAAATCTGAAAGTAAACAACAATAAAATCTACCTAAACCAGACAAACGAAACTACCATTCCTTACCATAAATGGAGGACTTGCAGAATCCAATGTCCAGATGAGAAATAACGTGCAAAGTCAGCCACTAATGAGGGGAAAGCAAAGCCTTTATAGCGCTCCTTGGTTCAGGCTGTTAATACAGAGCATAACACAAAAAGGTAATTGACATGTTCTAATACATGTTTAGGACCCAATGCCTGACTTTATAGGAGTGACAAAAGTTAACACATTTACTGAATTCTGAATGGTGTGACATCAGGTATTGTATATAATATAATATATATATACACACACAGATATAAATTCACATATATACACACATACATATATTTATATATCTCCATTGGTTCTAGTTCTTTGGAGAACCCTGCCTAATACAGTAACTCTGGCTTTATTTTATACAAATAAAATACAAAGTGTCATATGATGAGGGAATGCCATCACTGTTACAGATGCATTTTCAGACACAGATCTGAGGGGATTGTTGGGAGAAAGCTCAGGACCAGCTGCAGGCTCAGGTGGGTGAGCAAGCCTGCACTGTTACTGGCTTTGGCTTGAAGATGACCAGACTCAAAGGAATGCAGTGCTAACATAGGTCCTGGACTCATAAAGTCAATCCACAGGTCCTACATTTCACATTATTATGGTGAACTACAGTGACTGGAGGAAGACACATTTTCTGAGTGATTTCTAAAAGGCTGTCTATGCAATCTGGTATAAAGCAAAGAGAGGTTTGCTTAAAAAAAAAAAAAAAAAAAAAAGAAAAAGTCCAAATGAGGGTTCTGCATCAAAACTGCCCCCTGGAAGTGTGTGTGTTTAGGATACCACCACTAGAAACCATTCTGGAGCTCTTCTGGCACTGACTTCAGAGCCAGTGTATCAGTTTAAGAAGCAAACTGATGCTCTTAAGTAGTCTGCAGGCAGCCCCCTGTACCTTGTTTCTGAGCTTCCTTCTTTCCCCTACTCTGCCTTCTTCCCCAGCAGTGGACACCAGCCCAAGGACTCAGACAAGGGCCAAGTGAGAGCCTGCAGGAAGTCAGGACCTGGTCCTTACGCTCCTCATCACAGCTAGCGAGTGTGGCTGTCTTCCCATGGCACCGTTTATTTCTCACTCAGACCTCACAACCTGTAAGGCGGCTGCTCTCATTACCGGGGGGACACGAGGCACGGAGAAGTCAAGAATTGAGTCTCATTCACACTTTAGGAAATGCCCATCAGGCTTTAATGTATTTCAGAGCACACGACAGTGCTGCTTCGCCCAGCTAGTTTTTCCTGACCACTCCCCTCGCCCCTCTGCAATGACAACCAGGTGAAGCGTGGGCCAAACACGCTGTGTTGCTATCGCCTACCTAATTCTCCACCCTCGTGTTGGCCTTCCGCTCAAGGCAGCATAGTTCCATTGTTAGGAAGGAGACTCTAAAGCCACACTGCCTGAGTCTGAATCCCACCCCTGCTGCTTAGTAGTAGGGGAATGGAGAGCAAGTAACTTAATATTCTGTGCCTCAGTTTCCGTATCTGTAAAATGGCACTAATAATGGGACTGACTCATAAGGTCGTTTTGAGGATTAAATGAGTCAGTATTTATGAGGCATGTCAGACAGTTCCTGGTGCAGAGTAAGTACAGGCGGGTGTGAAACAGACAGAACATCTGTGGGGTGGGAGGCAGGGCCAGCGGGACAGCAACACAGGGACTGTGTCTGTGTTGCTCCCACTCTATCTGCAGGGCCGGGAGTGTCAGACGCAACACTGGTTATACACCATGTTCAATACATACTTTTCGGATGTTGAATATTGCTACACTCAGGTATGTTTAACAGCAAAAGCAATGTTTTTAACAACTACATGTATATTGCCTCTTGGAGAGGTCAGATTTTCCCTAGCCATAGTGCTTAAAGCTATGCATTCTACCTCAACTCCAGTGCTTAAGATGACAGTAGATAATTGGTATTAAAAATGCATATAAGTCCATATAATGGACTCATAGATTATTACTCAGGTATAAAGAGAAATGAGCTATCAAGTCACAAATATTCATGGAGGAACTGTAAATACATATTGCTAAGTAAAAGAAACCAGTCTAAAAAGGCTGCATTCGGTATAATTCCAACTACATGACATTCTGGAAATGGCAAAATTATAGACAGTTAAAAGGTCAGAGGTTGCCAGAGGTTCAAGGGGAGGGAGGGATGACTAGGCGGAGTGCAGGGGGTCTTTAGGGCAGTGAAGCTATTCCTTCTGATACTGTAATGATGGATACATGACATTATGCACTTGGCAAAACCTGTAGAATGTACAACAGGAAGAGTGAATGCTAATGTAGTCTGTGGACTTTACTTAACCATAATGTATCAATATCGGTTCATCAGTTGTAATAAATGTACCACACTAAGGCACTATGTTAATAACAGGGAGTGTGGATGTGGGAGAGGAGGTATATAGGAACTCTTTGTACTTTTCTGTGCAATTTTTCCTTCAACCTAACACTGTGCTACAAAATAAAGTCTATTAAAATAAAATGTGAAAAGCATATGAGGACTCCACTCCCTTCTTCAAATCAAGGAAGGAAGGAGAGGCACTAATATTCACTAAGAATATATTGCACACTAAGCACTTTTTATTTATCTCATTTATTCCCCACAGAGATGATGAAGTAGGTATGATTCATAAATAGAAACCGGAAGACGGACACACTGCATGCACATGCCCTGATTTCTTTTCCCCAATCAGGAGGAGATTGTTTCCGCCATCTGACTACCTCTTCTCAGCTCTGTAACACAATCTTCATCTAATTTGACTGAGTTGTCCATTAGCTGGCATTAAGTTCCTTTCAAGCCCACTTCTAGTACTTTTTGCTTTTCAAAACATTTAAAGAGAACAATTTAAAAGAGAGAGATAAAAGTAAGTCCTTTACAAAACTTTCCCAGAGCACCAAAGAAGACTGAGAAAGTAGCCACAGGGCCTAAACCCCAAGGGCGTAGAACATCCCAGACAGTGAGAGAGCACCTCCAGGGTGTGTTGATCCTGGAAAAGTAATAAAATGTTGCTAAATGTATCCTTCTTCCTCCCCAATCTCCTTCTCATAGCTGTTCCCTGATTTCCATTTCTTTCTTTTTAGGGTAAGATCCAATGCAATAACACCATCCTCACTCATTCATGAAGTGTCTACTGAGCACCTGTTGCATGCCAAACACCATGCTAATATTGGGTATCAGCAGCCAGGTGCGGTGGCTCACGTGTGTAATCCTAGCTCTTTGGGAGGCAGGGGCAGGTGCATTGTTTAAGCCCAAGAACAGGGCAGGTGCATCGCTTGAGCCCAGGAACAACATGGCAAAACCCTGTCTTTACCAAAAATACAAAAATTAGCTAGGCATGGTGGTGCACACCTGTAGTCCCAGCTACTCAAGAGGCTGAGGCAGGATGATCACTTGAGCCTGGGAGATGGAGGTTGCAGTGAGTGGACATCATATCACTGTGCTCAAGCCTGGGCAAGAGAGCCAGACTTTGTCTCAAAAAAGATAAAAATAAAAATAAGTAAATAAATATTGCACACTAAGCAGCAAAGAAAGCACATGAGCACAAGAGGCTCCCACACTCCCACCCTCCCAGACCCCCCCACCTTACAGACCCCACCCTATATATGCTTTCTCTCTGCCTGATGAGGGCTCTCCCGAATGTCTGGTTAGGCTACACCCAATTCCTAATAAAACATCTTGCCACAGATTTCGAAAGACTTGGGAAACATTAAAAGTGACCTCCCCATATGCTGTCACTCTTAGAAGATCTATGCCATTGAGCAGGACTGTTAGCCAATGGCTCTTATTGGTATCTATTTCTGGGGGTAAATTTCAGTTTTGTGGATTCATGGTGTGCACTGTAAGCAATCAATTGCTTTTCCTTGGCCCACTTTAAGTTTCCGAAAATTTTAATTATGTTGAGTACTATCTTGTTCTCAGAATCCAAAATAGTTTGAAGGTTACAATTTTGGACTTCCTATACCTTCCCTTATCTAACACTGCTAAATCTTACCTCTCTCTTCTCTGACAGCAAGATGAGTCTCTACAACTGGGGAGGAGAATTCACTTCCTGCAGATGTTTACTAGTTTGCCTGATCTTCTCTGGAGCACTTTTTCTTTTCAAATACCATCTATTGTTAGTTGTTGTGTAACACTTCTGTCAGTGGCGCTGTTGTTTAAATAAGGCATTCCTGAAAATTTCCTTATCTGACAGGCTTTTCTCACTTTCGGGAGGGAGGAACCCAGAGATTTCAAGAGACCCTTTAAAGGAGAGGGTTAAGTAAGTTCTGTCAGAAGACTGCCTGCTGATAAAAGTCATGTCCATTTCTGACAACGTTCTGTTGTGGTTTGTAATTGCTCTGTGATAGAGCTTGTCAATCTCTGTGGTTATTGAAAGGTGTTATGATGGACGAGAAGAGTTGAACAGACACTGGGGAGGCATGCGAGCTCCCTTAAATGTAAGCAAAATGTACGTGTAGTGTCCATTTAGAGCAGAGAGCCCTGCAGCCTGACCCCAAGTCCCCATGAAGGCTCCCAGATAGATGATGTGGTCATCTGGTTGGAGGAAGGATTCCATCAGTGCTTTGTGAAGCCCCTCACCCACCCTTGGTGTTCTGGGGGCAGTCATGTCCCCCTAGACCCCCATGCTTTTCTGGAGATGAGCTGTGAGTGTGCCCAATGACTGTAGAGCATTCCTTAGTTCTTACAGGTCCTTGCATTTTCCAGATGCATGGAACACCCCTCCCCAGCCCTCCAAAGGGGCTGCAGGCCATTCTAAAGTGGGGCTGATTTTCCTTTCTTTCTTTTAAGGCATTTCTTGCATAGAAGACAGAAACAACAAATGCCCGTGCCTCCCACTGCAATAAATATGTGAACTTGAAAGGCAAGAAGAAGAAAGTGGAGCAAACCAGTGTTTCTCACAGTTTTTGGTCTCAGGATCCCTTTATGATCTTAAGAACTATTGAGGGCCTCCAAAAACCTTTGTTTATTGTTTGTTTACTGATAGTTACTGTACTAGAAATTAAAACGGAGACAATAAAAGATATGCACTTGATTTATTTAATAATAATATATAAACCCATTGTTTGCTAACACAAATAACATATTTTAAGTTAAAAAATAACATATTTTAAGTTAAAAAAAATTCCAGGCTGGGTGCTGTGGCTCACTCCTGTAACACTTTGGGAGGCCAAGGCGGATGGATCACCTGAGGTCAGGGGTTCAAGACCAGCCTGGCCAACATGGCAAAACACCGTCTCTACTAAAAATACAAAAAAAAAAAAAAAAAAAAATCAGCCAGGTGTGGTGGTGGGTGCCTGTAATCCCAGCTACTCAGGAGACTAAGGCAGGAGAATCACTTGAACCCAGGAGGCAGAAGTTGCAGTGAGCCAAGATCACACCACTGCACTCCAGCCTGGGTGACAGAGTGAGACTCCGTCAAAAAAAAAAAAAAAAAAAAAATTCCAGACAGAGTGGCATTAGTTTACAGTTTTGTGAAACTTTTAAATGTCTGCATAGTACACACAGAGTGGAATTTTCGTATCTACTCCTGCATTTAATCTGTTGTGATATCACAGGTCATGTGGCCTCTGGAAATCTTTACTGTACACTCACCAAAGGATGAGACTGAGAAAAACAAATCACATCTTATTATTATTATAAAAATATTTGACCTTGTGGAACCCCAGGGATCAATGAACCACACTTTGAGAAGCACTGAATTCAACAAATCGTTTCACTTTTCTTAAAAAGGCGAAAAGCAGTGGTAAGATTTGTCCCTTTTTGACACTGGGGAAGAAACCCAGGCATTGATGCACGAACACACTAGCAGGAGAGCCTCTGCTCCGGCACAGTGGATGTGATTTGCCCTTTTCCCACCATAGCAAGAACTGTGGCCTTCCACACACTCAACTGATTCCAATGGGCCAAAATCTTTGCTTCCTTGTTAATGTTCAAGTCATTACTACTGGGACCCTGTTGTCAGGATGGTCACTATTTTTCCATTTTCACACCCCCTAGGTCTGGCTGTGGTGGCATCTTTGCTTTCCGACAACAGCAGTGTGTTCCAGACTCACTCTCACTTCACCTGCTCCAACCAGACTCTGCCACTTCCAAGGCACCCTGGTGACTCACAGTGGGGCAGAGCAAAGGGAATCTCATTTTATTTCACACAAACTCTCCAAGGTAGGGTCAATGGCACAGGGGCTACCAGACAGTGAGTGATATGGCACGAACATTTCTTCTCTTCAAAAGGTCAAAAGTTTAAGCTGAGATTCCCAAATTAACTGTTTCTTGTTAGGCTTGCTGTATTATGAACTTTTACCAATTCTATTTGCTCCTTTCTTCACTGGCTTTGATGCACTGTTATACATCATACCAAACAATATGTTCAATCACAGTGACATCCTCAGATTTAGAAGTCTTGGGTGTTTTTTTTTTTTTTTCACCAGTTGTGATCTTTGGTTCAGGACCCCCAGAATCAAAGTCTACATATTCAAGTAATCTTCCTTACCACTATCCCTCATGAATAGAGCAAGAACTCTTTTTATTTTTATTTTTGAGACGGAGACCTCTTCTGTCATCCACCCACATGGGAGTGCAATGGCGTGATCTCGGCTCACTGCAACTTCCGCCTCCCGGGTTCAAGAGATTCTATGCCTCAGCCTCCTGAGTAGCTGGGATCACAGGCATGCGCCACCATGAGCGGCTAATTTTTGTATTTTCAGTAGAGACAGGGTTTCACTATGTTGGTCAGGCTGGTCTCAAACTCCTGACCTCAAATGATCCACCCGCCTCGGCCTCCCAAAGTGTTGGGATTACAGGCACGAGCCACTGCGCCCGGCCAATCTGGATATCTTTAACTTCCATCTTCTGTTTTTGTTTTGTTTTAGCCTTATTATCCTGGCTGGAACTTCCAGTACTAAGTTGAATAGCACTGGTAAAGTGGACATCCTTATCCTGTTCCTGATTCCAGGGTAAAGAACTTATGGGATAATCTTATCTGGTCATGGTAAATAATACTTTTTATGTGCAGCTAGGTTGCTAATATTTCGCTGTGAAGTTTGCTGTCTCTCTTTACTGGGGGTTTTGTTCTGTACGTTTCTTTTCTTGTGATGTGTTTGTCTAGCTCTGTCACTGGGATAATGCTGGCCTCCTACAATAAATTTCTCTTCTCTTTTCTCAGAGTTTGTGAAGGACTGATATGATTTGATAGAATTCACCTGCAAAGTCATCTGATTCTGGAGTATGTTTTTGTGGAAAGCTTTTTTTCTCTTTTTTAAAAAAATCGTGGTAAAATATAGATAACATAAAATTTACCGTTTTAGCCAATTTTATGTGTACATTCCTGTGGCATTAAGTACATTCACGTGGTTGTCCAACCACTACCACCATCCATTCCCAAAACATTTCGTCTTCCCAAAATGAAATTTCATACCCATTAAACCACATTTCCCTTCTCCCCGAGCCCCAGCAACCACCATTCTACTTTCTGTCTCAATGAATCAGACTAATCGAGGTACCATGTATATACAGAATCACACTATTTGTCCTTTCGTGACTGGCTTATTCACTTAGCTCAATGTCCTCAAGTTTCATCTGTGTTGTAGCATGTGTCAGGATTTCCTTCCTTTATAAGGCTGAATAACATTCCCTGTATGGATAGACTACTTTTGGTCTATCCATTCATCTGTCAATAAACACCTGGGTCACTTCCACCCTTGGCTATTGTGGACAATGCTGCTATAAACATGTGCGTACAAATATCTGCTTGAGTCCTCACTTTTAGTTTCTTTAAGTACGCACCTAGAAGTGGAATTACTGGATCATGTGTTGATACTGTGTTTAATTTTTGAGGAACTGCCACGCTTTCTCCACAGGGTTTCAATTTCCCCACATCCTTACCAACACTTGATATTTTCTCTTGTTTTTTATAGTGGCCATCCTAATAGGTGACAAATGGCATCTCATTGTGGTTTTCTTTTCATATGCTTATTGGCCATTAGAATATCTTTTTGGGAAAAATGTTTATTCAAGCTCTTTTCCATATTGGGTAATTTGTCTTTTTTTAAGGATAGGATTTCACTGTGTTGCCCAGCCTGGTCTTGAACTCCTGGGATCAAACAATCCTCTCATCTCAGCCTCCCAAGTAGCTAGGACTACAGACATGTGCCACCATTCCTGACTTGTTTGTCTTTTTGTTGTTGCATTGTAGGAGTTCTTTATATATTCTGCATATCAATTCCTTATCAGATAAATGATTTGCAAATATTTTTCCCCATTCTGTCGGTTGTCTTTACACTTTGTTGATGTGTTCTTTGATGCACAAAAGTTTTTAATTTTGATGAAATGCAATTAATCTGTTTTTTATTGCTTTGCTTTGATGTCATATCCAAGAAATTATTTCCAAATGCAATGTCATGCAGGTTTTTTCCCAGTAAGTTTTCTAGTTTAGTTTTATGTTTAGGTCTCTATTCCATTTTGGGTTAATTTCTGTAGATGGCGTAAGGTAAGGGTTCAACTTAATTCCTTGCATGTGAATATCCAGTTTCCCAGGACCATTTGTTGAAAATCCTATCTTTTCCCTATTGCATGGTCTTAGCATCCTTGCCAAAGTATACACATGAGGGTTTATTTCTGGACCCTCTATTTGATTCCATTGGTTTATGTGACTGGGTTTTGACAGTATCACATTGATTACTATAGCTTTGTGGTAAGTTTTGAAATAAAAAAGTATGAGACTTTCAACATTTTTTCTCCCTTTTCAATATTATTGTAGCTATTTGGCTAATAAAGATTACATGTAAATTTTAGAATGGACTATTCTATGTATGCAAAAAATTTTGTTGGGATTTTGATAGGAATTGAATTGAATCTGTAGATCACTTTGGGTAGCATTGACATCTTAACGATATTAAGCCTTTCCATCCATGAATACAGGATGTCTTTTCATTTTTTGTGTTTTCTTTTATTCCTTTCAGCAACATTTTGTAGTTTTCAATGTACAAGCCTTTCACATCTTTGGTTAAGTCTATTCCTCTAAGTGTTGTTTTTCTTTTTGATGCTATTTTAAATGGAGTTCTTTTTTTTAAATTTCCCTGTCAGATTGATCAATGTTAGTGTACAGAAACACAAATGATTTTTGCATGTTGGTTTTGTGTCTTGCAGCTTTGCTGAATTTATTAATTCTATTATAGCATTTTTGTCTGTGTGTATAAAATCTTTAGGGTTTTCTACATATAAGTTCATATTGTCTGTGAACAGGGATAATTTTATTTCTTTCCTTCCAATTTGAATATCTTCTATTCCTTTTTCTTTCCTAAATGGTCTAACTAGAACTTCATGTTGAGTAGAGGTGGAAGAAGCAGGCATCCTTATTTTGTTCATTGTCTTAAATGAAAAAATTTAATTCTTTCATCTACATATGATGTTATCTATAGAATTTTCATATATCACCTATATTTTGTTGTACATTATTTGTATTCCTAGTTTGTTGACTGTTTTTACCATGCAAGAGTGTTGAATTTTGTCAAATGCTTTTTCTGCAGTATTTGAAATGGTCTTTTTTTAATCCTTTATTTTGTTAATGTGGTGTATTACATTTATTGTTTTTTTGTATGTTGAATTAGCCATGCATTCCAGGAATAAATCTCATTTGATCATCATGTATAATCTTTTGATATATTGTTAAATTCAATTTGTGAGTATTTGTTGAACGTCTTTGCATCAATATTCATAAAGGATATAAATCTATATTCTTCTCTTTTTCTGTAACATCTTTGCCTTTGGTGCCAGTGTTATGCTGTATTTTTAGCTCTAAAATTTCTGTTGGTTTTTAAAATAATTTCTATCTCTTTATTGATATTCTTATTTTGTTTATATATCATTTTCCTGAGTTCTTTTAGTTCTTTATCCATACTTTCATTTAGCTTTATGGCCATATTTAAGACAGATGTTTTAAAGTCTTTGTCTAGTAAATCCAATATGTGTTTCATCAGGGATCATTCTTGGAGATTTATTTTGGTTCTTTGAATAAGTTATGGTTTTCTTTTTTTTTTGTATGCCTTGTGATCTTTTTTTGAGAATTGAAAACCCAACCACTTCTCCCAATATTTGCAAACTGGCAGAGAAGACCTTCATTCATTAGCAGGGCACATTCTGAGCCTTGGTATCTGCCTGGAGTAAAGGCTTAAATTCTTTTCTGGGCATGTGTCCTATCTGGGCTGGTGTGTGTGTGTGCCTTTTTTTCAATGTCCGTTAGATATTCCATTGTATTCTTCTGCTTCTAATTTCTTAGAAATTAGGCATCCATAGGTCTGCAAATTCCCCTACAACTTTCACATGCCATGACACCTGCCACTGTTTTGTGTGGCCTTTGCAAGCATGAGATCTGAGCTATGCTGCTTTTTCCTATCTGAACTCTGAGTCAGGTGAGACTGAAACCAGTCCCTTGAACAGCTTGCAGATAGATTAGAAAATTGCAAATAAGTTCTCTGCTTCTGTGTAGAAATGTGATTGGACAAAAAGGGTATGATATAATACTAACGGACTGAATTAGAAAACCTGACAAAGCCTATCTGTTCAGATTCTTCTTGACCTTGCTGTGTAACATTCCCTCCTTCTGGGTATGGGGCAGTATCCTTTTAAGATGGGGGTCTTAGGACCCACAATCAGAAGGCAGGTCAGAGAATTTATGGCCAGCTCCAAGACAGAAAGGTGGGGGAAGGTTTCTGCCTTGAAGAGAAAAAGGGGCAGGTGAAAGGTGGGCAAGAGAAAGTCAGAGAGAGCGATTCTGTTTTCTGAGGCTGCTTATGAGGCCAAAAGCACCCTGACATTATAACAAGGGTTATGAGAGTTACGCACTAGGAACCACGAATGCAAACCAACATATATGTATCATAATATCACAGTTGCTAGCACAAGTTTTTACTTCTATAAATTATTTACGTTTACTATCTTTTCTTGAGTCAGTCTTGGTCATTTGTGGCTTTCATCTAAGTTGTCCAAATTTTAGCAAAAAATAGCATATACTATTACCTTATGATCCCGATTTTTCTAGGATGAGTATTTTAGTCTCCTACTGTTGCTATAACAAATTACTATAAACTTGGTGGCTTACAACAACACAAATTTATTTTCTTACAGTTCTAAAGGTCAGAAATATAAAATGAAGGTGTCAGAAGGCCAGTATTTCTTGTGGCGGCTCCAAGGGAGAATCCATTACCTTTCCTTTTCTAATTTCTAGAAGCTACTTGTATCTCTTGGTTTGTAATCCCTTCCTCCATAATCAAAGGGTGTCACTTCAATCTTTTGCTTCAATTTCCTTCTTCCATCTTTGACCTTCTTGCCTCCTTCATGATAAGGTCACTTGTGACTACATTTAGGGCCCACCTATATAATTCAAGATAATTTTCTAATCTCAAGATTCTTAATTTAATTATATCTACATATCCTCTTTTGCCATAAAGATAATGTTCACAGATTTTAGTGATTAGGATGTAGATTTTTTTTTTTTTTTGAGATGGAGTCTCACTCTGTCACCCAGGCTGGAGTGCAGTGGTGCAATCTTGGCTCACTGCAACCTCTGCCTCCCAGGTTCAAGCGATTCTCCTGCCTCAGCCTCCCAAGTAGCTGGGATTACAGGCACCCACCACCATGCCCAGCTAATTTTTGCATTTTTAGTAGAGACAGGGTTTCACCATTTTGGACAGGTTGGTCTCAAACTCCTGACCTCAAGTGATCTGCCAGCCTTGGCCTCCAAAAGTGCTGAGATTACAGGGGATGTAGATATCTTGATGGTGGGGCATTATTCAGCCTATCACAGTAGAAAAAAGTGCCCCATCTTTCATTCCTGATTTTGGTAATTTGTGTCTTCTCTCTTTTTCCCTTGTCAATCTTGCAAATTTGTAAATTTATTTGATTTTTCCAAAGAACTAACTCTTTACTGTACTAATAACTTTGTTGAGGCACATTATATAAATCACAAATTTCAGGTGTACAATTCAATGGGTTTTAGTACTTTTACTGAGTTGTGCAATTGTGATTCCTTTTTCTTGCCTAAATGGTTTAACTAGAACTTTAATATTTATGTTGAATAGAAGTGGGAGAAGCAGGCATCCTTATTTTGGTTAATTTTATGTGTCAACTTGACTGGACTATGAGGTGCCAAGTCATTTTGTCAAACATTATTCTGGATGTGTCCAAGAGAGTGGGATTTTTTTTTAATTAACATTTTAGGCAGTAGGCTGAGTAAAGTGGATTGCAACCCTAATGTGTGTGGGCCCCATCCAATCAATTGAAGACCTGAGCAGAATAAAAAGGCTGAGTAAAAGAGAACTGCTGCCTGTCTGACTGAGCTGTAACATTCATCTTTTCCTGCCTTTGGGCTCAAACTGAAACATTATCTCTTCTTGTGTCTTGAGCCTGCATGCTTTCAGGCTATAATGTATACCAGTAGTCTTCCTGGTTCTCAAGCCCTCAGACTTGGACCAGAACTACATCATTAACTCTCTAGCTTGCCAACGGCAGATCTTGGAACTTCTCTGTCTCCATAATCACATGAGTCAACTTCTTATAATAATCTCTTCCCCACTTTGCATTTCTGTCTCTGTATTTTCCCTGGGGTTCTGTTTCTCTGGAAAGCTCTAATACAGTAAATCATTATTAAAAATCTGTTTTAGACATTTTCATCACTCTAAAAAGATCCCTCATGTACTTTTACTGTTAACGCCCACAAACCCCCTCCCTTCCACCCTAGGTAATCACTAATCGACTTCCTACCTCTCTTGTCTTGACATTTCACAAACATAAAATCATACAATATTTCACTGTTATCTTTATTATTTGTTTTTCTGCTAGCTTTGCATTTAATTTGCTCTTTTTTTAGTTTCTTAAGGTGGTAGCTTAGGTTATTAAGATATTTCTTCTTTTGTTATATAGGTTCTTAAAACAATGAATTACACTCTAATCTCTGCTTTATTTGAATCCCATAGATCTTCACATATTTATGTGTTTCCATTTTCATTGAAAATATTTTCTAATATCCCCTGTGATTTCTTTTTTGACCCACAGTTATTTTAGAAATGCACTATTTAATCCAAATATTGGGGGATTTTCCAAATTTCTTTTCGTTCTTGATTTCTAATTTAATGTCTTGTGGCTGGAGAACATACTGTACATTATTTCAAGTCTTTTAAATTTATTGACATTCATTTTATGGCCTAGCATAGTGTGTCTTGGAGAAGGTCCATACACACTTGAAAAAATGTGTATTCTGATGTTGTTGGATGAAGTGTTCTATACATGCCAGTTATGACAAGTTGGTTGATAGTACTATTGAAGTCTTCTATATCATTGCTGATTTCATATATAGTTTTAAGTCAATTACTGAGATAGGATTATTAAAATCTTGGACTATGTTGAAACATTAATTTTTTTCTTTAAATTTTGTCAGGTTTTACATCACATATTTTGTAACTCTTGTTAAAAGTGTCTCTTTCTGGTACCTTGACCTTTTTATTATTATGAAATTTTCCTTGTTGTCTCGAATAACGCTTTTTTCTTAAAATCAATCTTGTCTTAGTATAGCTACTCTGGCTCTCTTATATTTTACTGTTTGCATGATGTGTCTTTTCCACTGTTTTACTCTGAAACTGTATTTTTGAATCTATGGTATATCTCTTGTAAACAATATAGAGTTGGACTTTGTATTTTTTTAAATGTAGTCTGATAATCTCTGTCTTTTGATTGGACTATTTAAATCATTCACATTTAATGTAATTTTTAGTGTAATTAAAATTATGTCTTCAATTTTTTCCATTTGTTTTCTATATGGCTCAGGTCATTTCTCTTTTTTGCTTCCTCTTTTACTGTCTTCTTTTTTGTTAGATTGATATTTTCTAGTGTATCATTTATTTTTCTTTTTTGTTAAATTATTTTCTTTGAGGATGTTCTCAATTTTGCAACATGTATCTTAACTAATTACAATCTACTCCAGAGTCATATCCATTCATAAAATAAACTTTGCTCCAATATAATTTCTTTGTGGTATTGTCATACAAATGACATTTTTCTATAAGCTCGACAATATGGTTTTATAATTATAGTTTTATACAATCTTACACATTTTAAATTACACAAGAGAAAAGAGAAAAATATTTATTGCCTGTCACACCTCCAATATATTTACCTTTCCCCATGCTTTTTTTTTGTGTTTGTGGATTTTAGTTATTGTCTAGTGTTATTCCCTTTCAGCCTGAAGGATTCTTTAATATTTCTTGTAAGACACGATTGCTAGTGATGAATTCTCTTAGCCTTTGATCATTTGGGAGTGACTTTATTTTGCCTTAATTTTTAAGGACAATTTTTCTGGATATTGACTTCTTAATAGGTGGGGTTTTTTTCCTTCTTTCTTTCAGCATTTTAAGTATACTGTTCCACTGCCTTGTGACCTTTATTATTTGAGTCAGCTTTTTATGATTAATCATTTTTCTCTTGTTGCTTTCAAGACATTTTTGGGTCTTTCAATAGTCTGACCATGAAATATTTAGGTATGAGTCTCTTTGTGTTCATTCTACTTGGAGTTGAGCTTCTTGAATCTGTAGATTATACTTTTTAAATTCCAATTTTGGAATTTTTTTGGTCTTTCTTCAAATATTTTTTCTTCCCCTTTCTCTCTCTCCTCTCTTTCTAGGGAGTTCCATTACACTCAAGAAGGGACATGAGAGGGTTGGGTGGAAAGTAAGAGCCAGGACAAATTTGTAAATGAGCAGAACTTGAAATGAGTTCCCTAGCCCACAGACAGACCTATTGGCAAAGAAAGGAAGCCTTACTCATTTAAGGTGTTTGATCATAACCCCTGACCATCACTGGCTAACAACTAAGGTATACTGATACAAAGTGACCCATAGAAAGCCAGCCATATAAATTAGAAGAATAAAAATGAAAAAGAGAGAGAGCGCACAAGTGCATGCATTTCTTGTGTCCCAAGGGTCTCTGAAGCTCTCTTCATTTTTTCTGTTTATGGGTCTCTGATCCCATTTTTTCTGTTTATAGCTTCTCACATTCCTTGTCTGTGAAGTTCAGCATCTGGGCCTCATTAGAGGCAGTTTCTATGAATTGCTCATTTTCCTGCATGGAAGTCACACTTTCCTGCTTTTTAAAGTATGTCTCCTAAGTTTTTATTGAAAACTAAACATCTTAGATAATATATTATAGAAATTTTGATTCTCCCCCACGCCACCTCAAGGGTTGTTGTTGTTACTCTTTTTTTGCTTGTCTGTTTTGATAATTTGCCTAAACTAATTCTGTGGTGTATCTTTGTTGATGTCCCTATTTCTTTTGTTTCTCTTTCTTTCCTTTCTTTCTCTTTCTTTCTTTTCTCCCTTCCTTCCTCTCCTTCCTTCCCTTTCTTTCTTCTTTCCTTTCTTCCTTTCTTTTCTTCCTTTCCTTTCTCCTTCTTTCCTTTCTTCCTTCCATCCTTCCTTCTGTCCTTCCTCCCTCCCTCCTGTTTTTTTCCTTCCTTCCTTCCTCCCTTCCTTCTTTCCTTCTATTTTTATTCTTTTCACTTATATGGCTGGCATCCATGGGTCACTTTGTATCAGTATGCCTGACAAGTTAGCCAGTGATGGTCAGGGATTATGATCAAACACCTTAAACGACTAAGGCTTCTTTTCTGTGCCAATAGCTCTGTTTGTGGCTGGGAAACTCATTTAAAGTTCAGCTCATTTATCAATTTGTCCCGGCTCTTACTTTTCACCCAGCCCTGTTGTACCTCTTTCTGGGTATGTATAGCCTCAGGTTAAGCCAGAGATGTGTGGATTGCTGGGGTCCTCTCTGGTCTCTTCTGAATGTGCACACAGCCTTGCACGTATGCACAGCCTTAAACCGACAGAAATGTGGGAGCTTACCAAGGTCCACTATGGCTGTCTCATTCCCTTGATTTCCTGGTTAAATTTCTGGCTAGCCTGCAGGTCAGCTGGTCTCTACCGGAATCAAGCCTCGGGCTGACTGCAGTGTTCTTCTTCCCTGTTCCTTTGCCACTGGGCTTACTATTGTTTCCAATAACATCCAGGAGAATGGAGTTCTTCCTACTCTCCACTCCAAATCAAGTTATCACCCTCTGGTAGCAAAGCTTATGGTTTTCATTCCCTGATGAAATACTTCACTGACAGAGCAGGCAGTGGGGGTGGAACCAGCCCCCAAAAAAGAGCCACAACTACCTGAGATCCCGCAGTTTTCTCACTCAACCTTTCTTAATTTGTGGAATGCCTTTGGTTGATTCTTAGAGTCTTGAAATGGTGGGTTTTTTTAAATAATTTTTTTTCAGTTGCATTGTTTCTTCTCAGAGAAAGGACTTGCTAAGCTCCTGACCCCAGCACTGTGGAAGCGCTGCCCCCAGGAATCTGTACTTTAACAAGCCCCCCATGTTTTTCTGATGTGCCTTAAAGCTTGAGAACTAGTGCTTCTACCTAGAACCAGTTTTTCCACTTACGCAAAGGATCCCATCCCCTCTCGCAGGCTTCAGATCCTGAGTCTCTGCTCTTTCTTGAACACGCTCCCTTCTGCAGGCCATTCCGCTGGCTTTTCTATTTGCCCTGTGCCTCCTAGATACTCACATTCACTCATTCACCATCTTTAAAGTCTGTTCAAATCTTGTCTTTTCAATATTCCCTTCTCTTTCTATCTTGTATTAAACTGTAATTCTTATTTCTTAAGCTTACTATTTTTGTTTGTTTCTCTCTACTTGAATATATGCTCCAAAGGGCAGGATTCTTTGTCAGTTTTGTTCACTGATGTATCCCAGGTGCTGAAAACCCAAAACTGTGCCTGGAATATGGCAAATACTTGTTGAATGAATGAACATAGTAACTGAAAATGTACCATGAAAAGAAACATTGAGTTACTTAATGGCACCTGGTGCCTAGGATGCAAGGATCTCTCCAAATACGTCTGTCTGTCTAAATTCTAAGGGGTCACACAGACACTGGGCTTCTTGGATGAACACAGGCAAAGTTGGAAGGCAAAAAGAAAAGGGACAATAAATTATTTTCATGTATACCTGACCCCTGTAAAGTTCAGGAATACCACTGTTTGATTTATTGTGCTCTTGGGAACTGGCAGTACTAGAATTTCTTTTGTTATCTAGCTAGTATCTGGTGTAGGAAAGAAACACCTCTCCCCCTGAAGGCTCTGATGATCATCTCCCTAGGCCTTTTCACTGTCACTCCCAGGAAGGGCGCTTGTCATCCTAGACAGGAAGGCCTGGACACCTTGAAGTGGTGGTCCGGAGTTGGTTCCTTCCTGGTGGGTTCATGGTCTCAGCCGTGGACCTTCATAGTAAGTGTTACAGCTTTTAAAGATGGCACAGACCCAAAGAGTGAGCAGCAGCAAGATTTATTGTGAAGAGCAAAAGAACAAAGCTTCCACAACCAGTGGAAGAGGAACTGAACGGTCCCGCAGCTGGTTGCTGCTGGCTGGGGTGGCCAGCTTTTATTCCCTTATTTGTCCCTGCCCATGTCCTGCTGACTTGTCCATTTTACACAGTGCTGATTGGTCCATTTTACAGAGTGCTGATTGGTCCATTTTACAGAACGCTGATTGGTGCATTTTACAAACCTCTAGCTAGCTACAGAGCGCTGATTGGTGCATTTTTACAGAGTGCAGATTGGTGCATTTTACAATCCTCTTGTAAGACAGAAAAGATCTCCAAGTCCCCACTCCACCCAGGAAGTCCAGCTGGCTTCACCTCTCAGTGGGACTTGCTTCCTTCTTCCTCACCAGCTTCCAGCTTTGAACAACAGCCTGATTAACCACCACACTATCAGAGCTGGTAAGAGCGCAGAGTGGGCACATTGTGCCCCATGCCTGGCACGTGCTTGCACAGCAGCCAGCATCCTCTATCTGTTCACTCTCTACTTTTGTTTCTGGGAAACTTGAATATGAAATCTTCTAGCACTTTATAAACCACTGGTGTGAATAATTTTTTCTTGAAAAGCAAATGAACTGTTTCATTTTTCACAGCTCAACTCTGAAGCTACCAGCAATCAATCATTGTCCAATATAAAAGGTGAAGAAACAAAAGACAGGCCAAAGAAAAGGGTTTTATTTTAACTTCTTATTTTGAAATGAGTATAGACTCATAAGAAGATCAAAAAGCAGAACAGAAAAGGCCTGGGTACACTTTCCCAGCGTCCTCCAATGGCGGCAACTTGCATAACTCGAGTACATGATCAAACCAGGAAACTGACACTGGCACAATATCATCCCAGGCTGGTTTTTACATGCACTTGGCAAAAGAAAATTTTCAACGTTAAATCGGCAAATTCTAGGAAATACTTGATTTAAGTTTTATACTTCAATTTTTGGGATATCCATGATTTAATTAAGTGATAAGAGAGGATTGAATAAAGCCATGCCATATTTCCATAGAAATAGGTGTATTAATGTCCTGCTGTTACCATGGCAAATTACCACAAACCTGGTGGCTTAAGGCAACAGAAATGGGCTGGGCACGGTGGCTCATGCCTGTAATCCCAGCACTTCGGGAGGCTGAGGCTGGCTGATCACTTGAGGTCAGGAGTTCAAGACCAGCCTGGCCAACATGGTGAAATCGGTCTCTACTAAAAATACAAAAATTAGCCCAGCATGGTGGCGGGCATCTGTAATCCCAGCTACTCAGGAGGCTGAGGCAGGAGAATCACTTGAACTGGGGAGGCAGAGGTTGCAGTGAGCTGAGATTGCGCCACTGCACTCCAGCCTGGGTGACAGAGTGAAGCTCCATTTCAAAAAAAAAAAACAAAAAAAAACAGAAATGTATTCTCTCACAGTTCAGGAGGTCAGAAGTTCAGTATCAGTTTCAGTAGGCTGAAATCAAGGTTTCCCTGCCAATTTGCAGTGCTGCTTGCATTCCTTTGCTTGTGGCCAGATCACTGCAGTCTCCACCTCTGTCTTCACATGGCCTTCTCTTCTGCGTGTGTCATCTCCCCGTCTTTTACCGACACTTGTGATGGCATTTACAGCCCATCCAGATAATCCAGGATAACCTCCTCATGTCAAGATTCTTAACCACATCTGCCAAGACCCTTTTTCTTTATAAGGTAACATTTACTGGTTCCAGGGACTAGGACCTGATATCTTTGGGTGGCCGTCCACCTACTATGTAAGGTAAATTCAGGGATTGAATAAGGAAAGACTGTCACCTATGCAGCTGGAGGTTCATCATTGGAACATGCTTTCACTTTAGTGGAAACAGAAAGATTCTCTAATTCCTTAGAACCAAAAGCTTTGGGCTCTTCTTTAGTTCACATTGTACTAATTTGTGATTGCTTTAAAATCCAGAACTGGGTAAGATTTTTCCCACTTTAACCCCAATTCTTTTTACACGTTTTGCCAATGGGTTTGAAAGACGTAATGGAATTGACTACCCTTTCATAAAATGAAATTGTAGTTTTCATAAAACTCATAGTTTGCATTTCTGAAAAAAGAGAAAAGAGAAGTAGTTTTCTTTTGGGGGGCCAAAATAGCTGTTTCTTAATTTATAAACCAGGCATTGAGTCTGATTTGAGTCACTGTCTTTTTTCTTCCTATGTAAGTGGACATTTTAATAGTGAAAGTCCAGAAAACGACTGTGGCGTGGGCTGATTCTGAGCTGGCATTTAGCTGCTTGATAAGACGAAAGGAAGGAGGCGCGTAAATGAGTGCTTGATTACTCTCTGCCGCCTGCAGCTCCTCCCCCGCCATCCACTGTGAATCATGTTGCAGCAACAGCACATGCCAGACAAAGACACTGAAGTCTATGACATCGCTTGCAAAGAAGTTGTATTAAATGTCCTCAGTGAAATGACTTCAGAAAGTTCTCATTATGTCAACCAATCTTCACCTCACAAAATGAGAGCTGGGGTCAGAGAGAAACAAAGAATGTTTTTGTGGCACACTGCAACCAACGCAGAGTTTATGTGGCAGATGTTCATCCAGCCACGCAATGCAGATGACTTCATACGTGGGGGAGTCTGCTTACCATTGCATCGGCTGCTTCTCCCCCAGAACTACATCATCACCACTTCTTGAAGGCAGTTTTTATGAGCAATGGAGAACACTATGAACATAGCTGGGACCAGTGTGTTTTTAACTAGTTTTGTGTCTCTGAAGCAATCCCAAACTAACCTTTTTTTCTTTTTCATATCTAATTTTCTAACTCATGATTTAAAAAATGATGTCTGTGTTTAAATGCTTTAAGTACCTTTTTTTCATGCTTTCAGTACCTTTCTCTTTATTCTGTATCTCTTGTGATTTGGGTTGCTAATATCTTACTAATTAACATATTTTAAATATACAGCTATGTGGTTAAGGTGTTAAATTGGATTTTTTTAAAAGAATAAGATGTAGGCTGGGCACGGTGGCTCATACCTGTAATTCCAGCACTTTGGGAGGCCGAGGCGAGTGGATCACTTGAGCTCAGGAGTTCAAGACCAGCTTGGACAATGTGGCGAAAACTTGTCTCTACCAAAAATACAAAAAAAAAAAAAAAATTAGCCCAGCATGGTGGTGCACACTTTTGGTTCCAGCTACTTTGGAGACTGAGGTTGGAGGATTGCTTGAGCCCTGGATGCAGAGGTTGCAGTGAGCCAAGAATGCACCACTGCACTCTAGCCTGGGTGACAGAGTGAGATCCTGTCTCAAAGAAAAAAAAAATTATTTTAGAATTCTAATCCAGATTCACTTCCTTCCCCAATGGCCAACTGAAAATGACAAAAAGAATGAGCAATAGAGAAGAAACCAATTTCCTTGAAAATACATGCAAAACCATAGGTTAAAAATAATAACTGCAAAAGACAATACATTTTGGATCACACTGGGACATAACACCAAGAAGCATATGCAACCCCACAGGTCATTTCCAGCTGACAGTTTCCCATAAAAGGGTAGCACAGCCCTAAGGGGTGCAATCAAGGGTCCTGGCTAGGGTGTCCACACCTGGCATTTTGGATGAGCCAGGCGGGGGGGAGATCATCAAGATGCCTAGAATTTCTGCAAAGCATGTGGCAGTCAGCTTAGTATGAGCTGCTCTATTACCCCAAATATACTCGAACATCCAGGCTTTGCTACAAACCACATGGGCCTGCTTTCCTTGGAATGGCCCATTGAGATTAGTGAGCAGACACTGGGTCCTTGCACAGAGGACACTGCATCCATGAGAAAGTCCTTCCAGAACCCCTGAGTTCAGGAGACCGCCCCACCTCAATCTGTCCCTTCCCCACACAGCTCTTAGCAAATCCTCATTAACATGAACAATAATTCCCCAAAAAGAGAACAATGACAACAAACAAAGACAGAGGAATAATATACATCAGAAGTAAAAGAAAATGTGAATTAACATTTCTCCATGAACTCACGGAAATCAAAGGAAGCATAATCACAGTGAAGTAAGAACTCAGAGGAGATCTGTAAGACATCAAAGAAGAGACAATAATATAACAGAAGAAGATTTAAAGTAAGCTGTGAAAGCTTAGGAAAGAATGAGAAAGCAGGATGGAGACAGTCCAGACAGTACAGAAACAAAGGCCTTTGCAGTGCAGCCGTCCGATGCTGGCTCCCCAGGAAATAGACCCAGGATGGAGATGAGCTTCAAGACTTAGGAGGAGTGCTCTTGGGATTAACAACCATGGAAGGGGAGGGGACCAGCATGGGTGGCAGAGGAAGAAGTGGAACTTTGACGCAGTTCTGTGTTGAGTTTGGGTCTTCTAAGAAGCAGATGCCAAGAGATTAGACATAAAAAGAGAGTTATTGGGGAAATAACTAACTCAAATAACCGTCTCTTATTCAACCTTCTGCTCTGGCTCCCTTGACCAAGCACCCTCCAATTCCTTATATAGGTGCATTCTTATAGCTCCAGGCAGCATCTGCTGCTAGATCCTCTGGTTTCTTTAGGGTACAGTTGCCTTCCTCCCCTTTCAGGCCCAACAGTTCCAGGCTGGTTTGTGTTGTGATTTAACCTACTTACTGGTCTGGTATCCAGGAAGGGAGGTAGAGGCAGATCCTGAGGAAGGCACAGGTATCGGGAGGAGAGGACCCTAAGTCATCTTCAACAAAGGGTAGGCAGGACCGAGGTTCCTGTGTGCAAGCTCAGAGGTTCAGGGGAATCTGGAGATTTGATATTTTAGGAAGCATTAATCCAGATGTCCCCATCCTCTATGCTGGGTCCCGTTCTTTCCCAGCCATGGCCTCACCTTGACATAACAGTGTCACCTTGGTGGGAATCCACCTCATTTGGAGCTCTGCCACTCTCAAGGGAGGTCTGACCCTGGCACTCAACCCTCCCTTCCTTTTCAGTGCAGGAGGTGAGAATTTCTCTATTCATGACCAAAGAAGGCTTCTGCATTCATTCTTAGCTGTTAGTTGCTAATTGATTATCCCAGCTTTTTTATTTTCTTTCCCAAAGGTCAATCAAGTTTAGCAATAGCCAACCAATCCCCTTTTCGTTATGGTTAGTATTTCCCCCACTTTTCCCAAACCCTTGGCATATCACACGAGTTAATGCACTTCCTCTCTCCAGGACACCACCAATGGAAGCTTTAATGCCTGCACCATTTCCTATGCAGCGCTGTCTGTGCTCTACCTACCACGAGTCATTGGGTCTTCATTGCCAGGTAGGCAGGGGCTGATCCACCCCAGCCTATGTGGGTCTCACCGCAGTGCCTATATTTTTGAACATGATCTTGTTCCTTTTTTATGGCTGCATAGTATTCCATTGTGCATATGTACCACATTTTCTTTATCCAGTCTATCACTGATGGGCATTTGGGTTGATTCTATGTCTTTGCTATTGTGAACAGTGTTGCAGTGAACATACATGTGCATGTATCTTTATAATAGAATGATGTATATTCCTTTGGGTAGATACCCAGTAATGGGATTGTTGGGTCAAATGGTATTTCTGGTTCTAAATCTTTGAGGAATCGCCACACTGCCTTCCACAATGGTTGAACTAATTTACACTCCTAACAACATTGTAAAAGTGTTCCTATTTCTCTGCAACTTCACCAGCATCTGTTGTTTCTTGACTTTCTAATGATCGCCATTCTGACTGGTGTGAGAAGGTATCTCATTGTGGTTTTGACTTGCAATCCTCTAATGATCAGTGATGTTGAGCGGAACAACACACACAGGGCCTGTTGGGGGGCAGAGCATCAGGAAAAATAGCTAATGCATGACAGGTTTAATACCTAGGTGATGGGTTGATAGGTGCAGCAAACCACCATGGCACACATTTACCTATATAACAAACCTATACATCCTGCACATGTACCCCAGAACTTTAAAAAAAAGAATGGAGGGGATAAATGGAGATAAATGTCCTGGGCTTCTTGCACTGGCTGGGAGAAGGGAAAGAGTAACAGTTGATATTAGATCTAGGTAAGTCCAAGATGTATTCTGTCATTTCCAAAATAACCATTAATAGAAGAGAAAAAGAGTGTATAACTTTCAAACTAAAACAGAGAAAAACGAAATAAAAAGATTGTTTTACATAGATGTATTACGTGATGGCAAAATAAAACAAAAGATTCTTTTCGTTTTTTAGACAGAGTCTTGCTCTGTCACCCAGGCTGGAGTGCAGTGGAGCGATCTTCGCTCACTGCAACCTCAGCCTCCCGGGTTCAAGCAATTCTCCCTGCCTCAGCCTCCTGAGTAGCTGAGATTACAGGTGCCACCACGCCCAGGTAATTTTTGTATTTTTAGTAGAGACAGGTTTTCGCCATGTTGGCCAGGCTGGTATTGAACTCCTGACCTCAGGTGATCCTCCCGCCTTGGTCTCCAAAAGTGCTGGGATTACAGGCGTGAGCCACCATGCCCAGCCTAACAAAAGACTCTTTCAATATGAATGAGATAAGAAAACAATGGAAAAGAACCCAGAACAGGTGGAACAAAATGACAGATATATTGTAAATCTAAGGAGACAGAAGGGTTGAAATAAAGGATGAAAAAAGAAATCCAGTTATCATTAAACAAAATAAAATTGGTATAGCTGTACTAATACCAGGCAAATACAATGTATACTTTGAGGGAAAAACACACAATTAGAGACAATGAGAATCACTACGTAACTGGACCCGCAGCCTCAAAATACTTAAAGCAAAAATTGATAGAACCACATAACCTCATAGAGCCACAGTAATTCACAACCACAGTAGGAGATTTTACTATATATTTTGCGGTAATTGACAGAATAATGACAACCAAAAAATCCAGAGGAAAGAATATTTAATCAACATGATCCACAAACTTGACCTACAGACAGATATGACATAGTTCCTTGAATCTAAGAAGTCCTTGACTGGAAGACACACTATTATTTTATGAGGCACTAAGAAAAAAGAGAACCATGTTAACTGAGACACAATGATTTCTCATCACTTGACATTGTTAGACCACACTGATTGAGGAAGCTCCTTTATATTTAATTATGTTGTTCTTGTGCATATTTTTAAAGGGGAATATAAGAGAAATAAATTGTATTAGCTATTTCTGAAATGTCTTTGAGAATTATTTGCTTTGGGATTTCTTCAAGACTCAGAGCCATCAATGTTCATGTTTTTCCAAACATTCTCATCCTCTTTGACATCAGGAGGGTTGGAAACACGGCATTGCTAAGAAAGAGCTCTGTTACTGTCTATGGGGTTTTTTTCCCAAACCGGTAATACTGACTTTAAGACTCTGATGCTTGATCCTACCTGAAAAGTGGCAATGGAACATTTTCAGACAACTACTAAGACTCACATATCTTCCTCAAATGGTCCTTAAACGATCTGACAACTAGAAGGTGAAGAGGTTGCAGTTGCTGTGTCATACACCATACATGTAGACATTCATATGTGCACAGGCAATGACAACGTCACAGGTGGTCGTTTGTTCCTCTGTGATTATAAAATGTGTCCCAAATTTTGCATGTGTCTTAAAATCATTGAAATAGAGTAAAATACTCCAGAATATAAAATATTTTCATGCACACATGGAACATTGACAGAAATTTCCCACCTTGTGCACCTGAGAGTAAGTCTCAACACATTTGAAAGGACCGTATAATTCCAGAGTGTGCTGTCTGATCATAATCTATGATAGAAGTCTATAACAAAAAGATAACTGGAAAACCCTTAATATTTTAACATGAGAATTATGATTCTAAATAACCAACAAGTCAAATAAGAAATCATAATGGCAGTTGGAAAGTATTTTTAAATGAACTTAAGAGAAAAAATTTTAGTCTTAAATGAAAGCGCTGTACTAGGTAGGATAGAAGAAAAAACGAAATTAATAAAATAAAAATCAACCCAAAGAACATAAAAAGAAGGAAACAGTGAAGGTGAGAACAGATATTAATAAAATAAAAAACAAATATGCAAAATCAGTGAGGGATTCAAAGTTGACTCCTCAGGGCAGGTAAACTTCTGGTGGCAATGATCAATGAAGGCCTTTTTTTTTTTTGCTTCCAGAGTCTTGCCCTATTGCCCAGGCTAGGGTGCAGTGGCACAATCATAGTTCATTGCAGCCTTGACCTCCTAAGCTCAAGGGATCCTCCTGCCTCAGCCTCCTGACTAGCTGGGACCACAGGCACATGCCACTATGCCCAACTAATTAAAAAAAATTTTTTTTGGTAGAAAAATGGGGTCTCCCTGTGTTGCTCAGCCTGGTCTCAAACTCTTGGGCTCAAGTGATCCTCCTGCCTTGGCCTCCCAAAGTGCTGAGATACAGGAATGAGTCAACTCATCCAGCTGAAGAAGGCCTCTTGAGGCCTGCATCTGAGAATTCATTGCTGAGATTTCTGCCTTGACAGGAAGAGGCCAGTCCATTTTGTCTCTTTCATGTTGGCTTTTGAAATTCAGTGGAGGGACTTTGCTTTTCCTAAGGCTTGCTTCTGCCTCCCATTGGGCTCCTCCAAATTTCAGGAATCGGGCTGGTTGGAGCCCTATGCGGACTAGAGCCTTGCTTCTCACACAGTGGACTACAGACCAGCAGCTTCAGCAGCTTATTAGAAATGCAGTCTCGGGTCCTGCTCCAGGCCTACTGAATCAGAACTGTCTTTTCACAAGACCCTCAGATGGTTTCTATGGGCATTAAGGTTGGAGAAATACTGGCCATGAAAAACCACTGAGAGAGGATGCTCAAATCTCACTTGTGCTTTTGGGTAGCCACAGACAGGTGGTCACTGCAGCCACTATTCCCCAGCCAGTGAGGACCATGGAATTTTCTTCCCACACTCCTCACCCCCACCTTTGCCTCACCATCTCAATGACAGTTACTGTCATATCTACTGCTTCCTTGAGAAATCATCAGAGGTGGTAATATTCAGTTCTAACGCTGAAAGAGATGTTCAGCACTGCATAAATCAGGGTTAAGCAACTTTAGAGATCTGTGGAAACATGGCAGAGACCACAGGGTGACTAGGGAGTGATAGTTTGATCCTGGGCTCTTCCGAGATGAACAGACACCACCATCCACCTTCACTGTATGCACTTGGTTAGCCTGTGGGAAGCATGTCTCCAGCCAGCCAGGTAGCTGTCGAGCACATCCTAACCAGCCTATTAAAACCGTGGGAGAGAGTTCTCCCAGGAAGCCCGTTGCTACTTTACATTTCGCCTCTGTTTTTATCAGAATAGAATTGTGAAATTTCCTCAACATGGAGTCTTTTGATCCTTGAAAGTGCAACAATAGTAATTTTAGCAGCCTGGGAGTTATTTTCAATCTTTCCTAAAGCTTAATGGAAACAAAACATTTATAAATAATAAGTCTGCAGAGGCTAACTAGAATGGTCTGTTTCTTTTCATGAGCCTGGGGTTTAGCCAGTTTACTGCCTATTTTTATACTTGCTTACTGCTGTGGGTTATCATTTCTGTTGCTACTGAGTTTTGTGTACTCAGATATCATTAATAAAGTGGAGGAATTTATTTGTTTTTCCTTAATGAAAGCAATCGGTTTGGTAGATGAAATCTTTTAATGCACAATGTCATTTGTGGGTAGAAATATTACCATAGGTCTCCTCGATGTTAAGAAGGGTCACAGCCACTACTCCTCTTTTGGTCATCATAGTTACTAAACTTAGAAAAAAACCTGACCAGATAGAGCAGCACAGAAAACATGGAGAGGCATCACATGTCTGCTTCTAAACATCCTAAGCAACGTGTTCTAACCATAACCCTAGCCCCTAAAATTTGTGTTCTAGTAAACTTAAAGGATCTTTTCTTATGATTGTGCATAGGAAAAAAATTGGGAATTTTTCTTTTTTATGGTAGCCTCCATAGCTCTGATTACTGAACCTGAGGAAGATGGCACAGATGGTTTGCTAAGATTTTTGTCAAGGATTTTCATGTCTATGTTCATGAGGGATACTGATGTCTGTGATTTTCTTTTCTTGCAATGTCTTGGTTTCATTTTTATATCAAGGTTATGTTGATCTCACAGATGAAGTCATTCCCTCTTCCTCTTGAAGTATTCCCTCTTCCTCCATTTTCTGGAGGAAAATGATCAAATGATCCCACTTTATGGCTAGTATTGCAAAGATCTTACATATATATTATCAAATCTTACATGTTTACTAAAAGTAGAATAAATCAAGATCAAGTCAATTTATTCTAGGATGGCTCAACCTTGAAAATTTCTAAAATATAATTTATTGTATTCCTTTATTATAAAATTAGAAAAAACATATCTATGGAAACTAAGAGGCATTATACATAATTCAACGTCTTGATTTTCTTTTTCGAAAGCAATATTTTAGTACAACAGGAATGCATGGAAATTCCCTTAATAAATAGGTTTTCTTTGTTGTTGGTTTTTTTTTTTTTTTTTTTTTTTTTTTTTTTTTTTTGAGACAAAGTCTCACTTCGTTGCCCAGGCTAGAGCGCAGTGGTGCAAACACGGCTCACTGCAGCCTCGACCTCCCGGGCTCAAGTGATCCTCTCACCTCAGCCCCCAAGTAGCTGGGATTATAGGTGCATGCTTTGGGATTTCTTCAAGACTCAGAGCCATCAATGTTCATGTTTTTCCAAACATTCTCATCTTCTGTGACATCAGGAGGGTTGGAAACACGGCATTGCTAAGAAAGAGCTCTGTTACTGTCTATGGGATTTTTTTTCCATACTGGTAATACTGCCTTTGAGACTCTGATGCTTGATCCTACCTGAAAGGTGGCAATGGAACATTTTCAGACAACTACTAAGACTCACATATCTTACTCACATACCCAGCTACATTTTTTCTTTTCTTTTCTTTTCTTTTTAGAGACGGGGTTTCACCATGTTGCCCAGGCTGGCCTTGAGGTCCTGAGCTCAAGCAATCCACCTACTTTGGCCTCCCAAACTGCTGGGATTTAAAGGCATGAGCCACCGTGTCCGGCCAATAAAGAGTATCTATCAAAACTAAACCCAAATATTGTACTTAATGATAAAACAAACATACCTATCTTAAACACTTTCACAGGGACATTACTGCCATAGGCATTTTTTGGTGCATCTAAATCTAGAGTTTCTCAGACTTAGCCGATAATGACAATTCAACAGGAACAGTTGCCCCACCTCAAAATCCCAGTCTGCAGAGTAGAGACCTGGGCGTGTGATCCTTAAACAAGGGTTCCAGGTGAATCCTTTCATCCTTTCATTTGGGGAACACTGATCCAAGTGCTTAGCTCATTTCAGCTTTGAAAAGTGTTATAAGCTTACTCCTCAACCTCTTCTCTGAATTAAACCATACCATTACATTTTCTTCAAAGATTTAATATTCTAATCTTAGTCCTCCTAATTAACTCAACAGCTATTAGCTGAGCATGCTTTGAGGATTTGAAATCTCTCTTTAGAGTTGTGGGTCCTTGAACTTTTATATGAATATGATAGTTTGCCTCAAGGTTGCTGGGAGGCTCTCAAACGCAAGGATAAAGACTATGTGACTTTTAAGCTTCCTTCCCACCCCCCTCAATTTTTAGATACTTGAAATGTTGCATCTGGTCTGTGTGTAAGTTTACTTTTCCTAATTCTGCAACTAATCTACAATACATTCCTAGTTTGTGGAGAGTTTTTATCATGAATATATGTTGAATTTTGCCAAATACTTTCACTGCATCTACTGGGATGATTATATTTAACTTCTAAAATATATTTAACTGTTGAAAATCTGGTAAATTATATTGATTGAGTTTTTGAATGTTAAATTCATTCAATACCATCCATGAATTCCTGGGATAACCCCTATTAAATCAGGATATGTCACCCTTTTATAAATGTGTGCATTTTGGTTTGCTAAGATTTTTGTCAAGGATTTTCATGTCTATGTTCATGAGGGATACTAATGTCTGCGATTTTCTTTTATTGCAATGTCTTGGTTTCATTTTTGTATCAAGGTTATGTTGATCTCATAAATGAAGTAATTCCCTCTTGCTCCTGAAGTATTCCCTCTTCCTCCGTTTTCTAGAGGAAATAATTTCTGGATTCCAGCTGTGTCATTTCCCTTCAGGTTAAAGAAGAACTTCTAGGCCGGGCACGGTGGCTCACGCCTGTAATCCCAGCACTTTGGGAGGCCAAGGCGGGCGGATCACGCGGTCAGGAGATCGAGACCATCCTGGCTAACATGGTGAAACCCCGTCTCTACTAAAAATACAAAAAATTAGCCAGGCATGGTGGCGGGCGCCTGTAGTCCCAGCTACTCGGGAAGCTGAGGCAGAAGAATGGCGTGAACCCGGGAGGCGGAGCTTGCAGTGAGCCGAGATCGAGCCACTGCACTCCAGCCTGGGCGACAGAGCAAGACTCTGTCTCAAAAAAAAAAAAAAAAAAAGGACTTCTGGTATTTCTTGTAGCACAGTTCTGCTGGAGATAAATTTTCTGCAATGTCTTTTTTATTTTTGAATGTATCTGTCAGAGTTTAACCAAAGAAGCAGGATCAGTCCCTCCAGATGCTTCCCTTCCTGTCTGTCCTCATCAGCAGGAGACGGTAGCTGTGGTTGGTATGAAGCACCTGTATATCAGAAGAGGGGACTCACCTACAGAGCAGGACATGCCTGCCTACAGATGACAGCACTCAGTCACCCAGCTTCCTACACCCACAGAAATTCATTCCCATCACTGTTTTCTCCAGGACTGATAATACGTTCCTTCATATTCACTATTGTTTAAGTCATTCTACACTCCTGGGCTAGCCCCTGGGTCCAATCCCCTAGGCCGGACTTCCTAAATATTGCCTTTATTTAAAATAGTCCAGGCTGGGACTCATGGCTCTCTCCCGTAATCCTGGCACTTTGGGAGGCCAAGGTGGGAGGATCACTTGAGCCCAGGAGTTTGAGACTAGCCTGCGCAACACAGCGCAGCCCCATCTCTATGAAAAATAAATTTTAAAAATTAGCCAGGTGTGGTGGTACACACCTGTAGTCACATCTACTTGGGAGGCTGAGGCAGGAGGATCACTTGAGCCAGGGAGACTGAGGCTGCAGTGAGCTATGATCACATCACTGCACTCCAGCCTGGGCAACAGAGTGAGAACCTGCCTCAGAAAAATAAAATAAAAATAAAATCAAATATTTCAGCTCACTCTCCCCATAAGTTATTGAACCATCCTGGCTAGTCTAACATTTTAGCATACATACAATAGAACTGTATCAGTGAGACAAGATTTCAAACCTGGAAGCAACATGAAATCCTTTGGCAGATAGTGTTTACCAGCTTCACCTGCTGACTCATCGAGGGGAGGAGGTAAAGGTGCCAGTGCTACATTGTTACATTCATTGGGAATCCTAGAAAAGAGGGCCCTACAGGACTCAAAATCAAATTGGAGTGCATATTCCTTCATGCAGTACTCAGGGGCCTAAGACATCCAGGAGTAAAATGCATGGCCATCTTATTCCTAGTGTGGCTTTGGCGAGGGGGTGGAGCCATCCCTTTGGGCACATTGGCCAATAACCCCAACTCTTCCCTTCAACATGCCAGTTCAACATCCTGGACACCAGAATTCTCCCAGCCTTCTTACATGAGCCTAAATCCTCCCTTCAAACAGAAGAAGGAACGGAGCTGCGGTGATTTGAAAGGAAGATCCATAGCTCTCTCTTTGTTGGTGGAAGGCAAGAAACAGAAACAGCTGCTTCTACTCTGCTGCTGACGTGACCTCCTTCCCCTTTCATTCCCTTGCAGACTGGTCTTTTTGGTTTTCTCCAGCCATTACTGGTGTGCGTCACTGGGGCCTCCCTTCTTCCAGCACATTGGTCTCACTGCCCTCATCTGTTCTCTATCATCAAAGCTTGTCTGACCCTGACCCTCAGCCTGGGTGGAGAGTAGGGACCCCCACACCTGCCCACTGTACTTGTTGACTAGTCAGACCCAAAGTGACAAGCCTGAAACTGCGTCTGCAGCATGAGGCATGGACAGCCATGACTCAGCATCCAGAATCAATGAGGAAGCAGTTACTTCATGTCTCCATACGGGACCTGAAAACACTACCCCTGAAACAGTACATGTTATTTTTTAAATGTTAGCATTTTAAATGCAAAACTTTGTAGTGATCATACACATTTCTCACACAATGTGTTGGTCTGAATTCAATCTTTTCTTGATGAGTCGAATGATGTGGTAATTTGACACATTGATGGCCCCCAATAAATGTCACCTGCTGGTATTCACATCCTCGTGTCATTCCTCCCCTTGAATCTGGTCTCTTGTGATTCACCTTAACCAGAAGAACGTGGTGGAAGTGACGCTTTGCCAGGTCCAGGCCTAAACCTTAAGAAGGCTGGAGGCTTCCACTTTTTCGGTTCTGGGGGGAAGCCAGCAGCCATATAAAAAGCCTCATTATTCTGAGACTGCCATGCTGTGAGAAGCCCACCCTAGCCACATGGGGAGGCCACACAGAGGAAAGCTGAAGCCCCCTTGTCAATACCCCTGGCAGAGTCCCTCACCAACTGCCAGCACCAGAAGGCCAGCCTCATGAGGAGGCCATGTGGACATGGATGATGCAGCCACATTTGAGCTGCCCCACTAATGGCACACAGAAAAGAGACAAGCTGTCCCCGCAAGCCCTGCCCAAATTGCGCAATCATGAACAAATCGATGGTTGTTGATGTTGAAGCCACCAAGTCTCAGTGTGGTTTCTTATACAGAAAGATGACTCACCGGGAACATCAGTATTGATCAGTGATGGGATTGTGCCAATCTTCGCAAGCAAGCCGGAGCGCCATATGAGAGTGTAAGGAGGGCTTATGATTTGCATTTTGCACTATTAAAAAGTCAGCTGATATTCCTCCCTGATGTGAAGGCACTCTACTATAAAAAGGGGCTTTGGGTCTTCAAAAGCACTGATAATTAGGTATGGTAGAGGGAACGAAGAAGTATGAGAAGAACGCAGGAGAGTGGATGGCCCCTTGTAAAAACGGGAGAGAGTCATTTGTTGTTGATAAAGCACAGGGGACTGGAGTGAGGAGGAGAACTTTTTTTAAAGACTCATAAAGATGTCAGGGCTCCTAGGAAACAGTAGAGTTGTGGATAAACATGAAACACCTGCACCCTGGCTCTTTTCCACGATAACCTGAAAGAGGAAAGATCAGTTCTCGAACATAGTTTGAGTGATGTACACCTAGGAATAGTGCACCACATGCTTAGGAGCGGGTTTTATTGACATTCTCAATAAACAACTAGGTGTAATTTTGTATACTTAGAAGCTTGAGGGCTTTCTTTACCTTAGTAATTCCCTTTCTCTCTCTTTGGGATACTTTTCATTAGAGCATACTTAGCTGGTTTATTAGCTGAAATAATTATGTGTTGATGAAAAGCACTAACAAATTGCAGATGAGAATAACATTCTCCATGGGCAATCGCATGCTGTATTGGAGGCCTCACTTGGAATTCTTTGGGAATTTCAGCCCTCTATTATGATGGAATCATCATCTATGAAAATTGTTATTCTCTACACCAAATATTCCATCACTGTCAGGATTTAAGAGCTTAATTGTTTAATGAAGCCAATTTTCAGACCTCTCCTTATTTCTCCTTCAATATGAAAATTGGCCCATTAAAAATAAATAAGAGATGAAAATTTGGGTCATGTAGCCAGATGTGTGCTCCATTTAGGTTTGGATAATTTAGTCACTGTGGCCATGGTCTGAATTAGTGCTCCTGAAAGGTGCTGACACCTCTCCAACTATAGGCTCCACATTTGGCATCCGCATAGAGGAGGCATTTGTAGGTGGAACTCTTTCAGCCTTAGTATTTACTCAATACTAAGTAATTGTATTATTGTAAATTGTAAGTGTAAATTATAATTGTAAATTTAAGTGATACTAACAACTTAATTGTAAATGTAAACGATACTAAGTGAATTGAAATTACTTAGTATTGAGTGAACAATACTGGTGAAAACATAGACCTCGCTGATTAACAAAAGATTGTAGTGTGTATCGTGTGCAAACTCTGCATTAGGAGGCTACAGCCCGATTAGTAACTTTCCAACTAGTTCTAATGTATACAGGTTTTATCAATACCTACTCTTGGTTCCTGCCAGTGATATTAGGGTCTACTTTAAATGATAAAAATAATGTAATTTATACCAATCTTACCACATTCCATAGATTAATATATCAAGTGTAGCTGTAAAATCATCAGCTGAATATTCCCCAATTTCTTTCAAAACATCTAAAACTTGCAGGAAAATAGAAATAATAGTACGATGAACACCCATAAACTCTCCCTCCAAATTCACCGATTGTTAATGTTTTGCCACATTACTTTGTTGCTCCTTTTTTCTCTCTATAAATGCAGACACACATTGGGAAATAAGCTGCAGTCATCACTTCCGCTTCAGTGTGCACCTCTCAAGAACAAAGATACTTTCCAATTAACCACAAAATCATTAACAACTCCAAAAATTCAATATTTAATATGATGGTATTAAAATTTCTTCAGTTGTCACCAAAATGATCTTCATTGCTGTTTTCTGTTTTATAAATTCAGGATACAATCAAAGACCTCACATGACAGCTGGCTACCACACTTCTTCAGTCCCCTCACAGTGATTTGCTGATCAAGACCTTAGCTTTTTGAAGTCGACTTGTAGAATCATCCACTCTCTGGATTTGCTTAATTTTTTATCTTGATTAGATTGCAAACAAAAAATAAATCTAAGCCCCCCTCTTCGACTGACCAAACCAACCTCCTCTTGGCCAAGGGAACCCCAGAGAAACTCATGATGAAACAGAAGGTCAGACACGCCTCGTTATACTCCCCGCTGCCCCGCCCCACCCCCGTCTGGGGTTTAGACAAAACAACTGACCAGCATTCACGTTAAAATGGAGATCAGAAGACTGACAGAACAGGCTCTTTGGGGCAATAAGATACCAAATTATAAACAGGACCTAAGGTCATGCCAGTGAAGTCACCCACTCCTACACTTAAAGAGTAAACTATGTTCTAACTGCCACAAGGTTTCTCTTTTTCTTTTTCTCTAGCAGCTAAACAAGGGCTAGACTTGAGATAAGCAATATTAAAACAATTATGACTCATGGGCTCACAGATGCTGACTAACTGAACCCCTGCTGCACCAGCCATGACTACAGTTTTGACTGGACAAGGCAGTGAATCAGTAACCTCCTCCTGATAAGAAAATCACCAACCATAGACTGGCTCTGGTCGGTTCGCAAAGGCTGAAGACTAGTGCCATCGTGTCTCTGCTGCACCTCTGATCACATAGAACCTAACAGTAATACATTTAAATGTTAAGTCTCTATCCCAAGATGAACATGGGTCTATGTTTGGGAATATTCATAGCTTCCCTGTAAACTGTCAAATAGTAGGTTTAGCCAACCCATTCACTATGAGCTCCAAATCCAACTTCTCCTCCTTCAAAGTGCCTGTCTCTGGTCTTTGCTGGAGGCCCACTTCCCAGCCTGCAGGATGGCCACCTTGCAGGCTGTAACCCTTTACAAGAAATAAAGTCTTCTTTCCTAAATTTATATATCTTAAGTTAGCAAGATGAAGTTTAAACAGCTTTGACAAGAAAACTACCTGGCACTGTAGTCTGCTTCCTTTACATCATTAGTGTGTCCCATGATTGGGCAATTCTGACTTCCATTTATTCTTCAAGGTGTATCCTTTTCCTCTTTATACTTAAAAATAACCTGTGGGTGATGCTTTGAGATTGTGTGCCTAACTCTTCAGCCAATGATTTTAGGTGCACTGCTGATTCTTGCCTAAATCAGTCATTACCGTGGTGACTGCAAAATTTTATTGTTAAATTCCTTCATTCCTCCGATATTTATTAAAAAGTATTACTTTATAAAGAAGAGCTGCCTTGCCCCTATTTTAAATGTATTACTAAGGACTTGAAGATTTCTTTGTTTATTTTAGTTAATGTAATATAACCCATTACGCCCTTTTTAAATGTTCAAATTGTCCCAACTATGGCTGGTGGGAGTCCCTTTCAGTGAGCACCTGTGTTCTTCTCACATATCCCTCTGAGATTTTTGCTTTGTTTTAGCATTTTTCTTGCTTTCTGGCACAGCAAAGCATCCCCAGCTTGCCTTGTGTTTGTTTCCTGTGGTTAGGCATTTACATTGCTTCCACCATTAGCTATCTCAAATTATGGCACAGTGAATAACTACACATGAATTGATTTGCAGCTGCCATGTGGTATCTCAAAGAAAAATTCCAAGAAGTAAGTTTGCAAGATTGAAAGATAAATGTCTATGTGATTTTGCTAGAAATTGCCAAATGCCCCTCCCAAAGAGTTGTAGCATTTTGCACTCTTATTAGCCAAAGTGCCAGCTTGATTTTTTTTATATTCACACTTCAGAGTAAGTTCCTCTCAGAGAAGTCACTATTTTTTGAAACTCTATTTTTACAATTACTTTATGTCCCTTCATTACAATCTTAAATTATTTCACTTAGCAATTTTTGTCATATATGATAATATTCGAGAATTTTTATCCCAACTTTTATTTAATTTACTGTAAAAATAATACATGCTCAGTTATTTGATTTTTTTAGAAAACCTCACAAGTCAGAGCAAATATAATTGTACTTTGTAGAGCATTTGCAAACCAAATTAAATTATTTTGGTTTTGTTACTACAGTTCTTCAGATTGGTCACAAAATGATATAAATTTTATATAATTTATGCATTGGCTTTTGAGCCCATATCCAAAGAGAGAGACTCTAAAACTATTTTGAGCAATTTCAGCATCATTTGAATAAGTTTATGGCCTCCCACAGTAAAACTTTAAAAGATAACATGCTTTCAAGTACATAAATATCATTGTATAATTATTTTCCTTAAGAAATAATATTTCAGAATCATTACATTATTTGTTTGCCCCTGACAAGTATAATTATACAAGTCTAGCATAAGAACAAATAAGATCAAATATTCTATTTAAAAGAAACAAATTTAGTTGCACACTAACTAAAAATATGCTCACTGGCAAAAATGTTTCTTCCTTGAGTTCTGTGCAAGACAAAAAGAAACAAACTTCACGTTAAATAGGTATTTAAGTATGGAATGGTGGTGTCAAATGCTTACTCAACTATTAAAGTTGGTTAGATATATTTTTATACCATGGTTAACAAATATTTTCAGTATTTTTCAAATTAGTGATAGATGAATAAATGATTTAATTGTGAACTCTTAACATTCATGTTTGTTTAAGCCAAGTCACATTACCTTGAGTAGGCATAAAACTATTAGAAGCTGGTTCAGTTAACTAATGGATGCAGACATCCTAGACAGTGATGTTTCCATCCCTGCAACTAGTAAAACTATGTTATTATTGGTGGTGACTGGCATATTTGCAGTCACTTTTTCAGTTTGGATTTGTGAGGCCAGTACGTTAAAAAGTGGTGCATTTCTTCTTGGAGTCTACCAGCAATTCAGATAGCTGCCAGGGAGTGACTGAGACCTCCCATCTCTAACTGCATGACTAATTAAGATGACCTAGGTAATATTGTCACGGATTTATTTCAATTGGCATAGAAAAACTGAAAGTAGAAATGTAATATATAATCAATCTTCTCATACTGTGCATAAGCACACATACACACACAGACACAAGAATAACCCTATGTACTATATTATACAGCTTTGTTTTTGTTGAGTACCCGTCACGTGCCATGCACTGAGCTTGATTCTTTTACATAAAATTCTAGCGAGATAATTTCACATGCAATCTATGTAGTGTAATCTAATTCAGAGGGGAGGATATGGTCACTCCCTGATAGAGAGGAGACTGGTGAATCTCAAGAGATTAAATAACATGCTGATGATCATCAGAGAGAACACATCAGCAACGCATCTCCAATTGCTAGGTAGTGTTAGATGTAATACAGTCGCCTAGGTAAAAGCAGAACTTTCCTTTAAAATCTCAAATTTTAAAGGACTACACTAGTGGTGGGCGCCTGTAGTCTCAGCTACTTGGGAGGCTGAGGCAGGAGAATGGCGTGAACCTGGGAGGCGGAGCTTGCAGTGAGCCGAGATCGCGCCACTGCACTCCAGTCTGGGCGACAGAGAGAGACTCCGTCTCAAAAAAAAAAAAAAAAAAAAAAACAAAAAATCTCAAATACACTTTACTTGCTGATTTTCCTTATTGCATTCAATGTAGTAAAACCTGCTTTTCCGTTTGTGCACAATGGAGGCACCTCCCCCTTGTTGCTGGGGCCTGGGGAGGACAGAGTGGGGGATGGTGGTGAGAGACTGTTGGTGTCCACCCTGCTACGGTCCGTCCCTATGCCCACTGCTTCGCTGACAGGGCGCCCCTTCCCACAGGAGCTGGAAATTCCAGATGGCTGCTTTTCCCGCTTCTTGTGAAGCCAGGTGTGGGCCTGAAGCCATCCTGGCCACCAGACTGTCTTGGGGGTTGGGGGGACAGAAGAAGGGAAAAGTGTGTGTGTGAGGATGTGGCCCTTGCCGCTGTGAAGACAGAAGCCTGCGGCTGACAGGAGGGAGGATGGGCTGACTTTTGTCGTTCATGTTACTATGCCTATTAGTACACCAACTTACTATCATGATAATTTTAAGGCAGTCATTTTGTTCTTCGATGTTCTGTTAAAATGTATGTCTTAAAGAATAACAGCGTCTAGGGGAATAGAATGGAAGGCCAGTGGCTCCAGCCACTGCACCAACCTGGGCACTGTCCAGTCTCCAGACATGTTGCTGTAGAAGGCAATCAGCGCTGGATTTTTAAACTGTTGCTACCCAGCGTGGTCCTTGGGCCAACAGAATCAATAGCACCTGGAGATGGCTAAAATTCAGGATCCAGGGTCCCACCCAGACCTGCTGGGCCAGAATTTGCATTTTAACCAGATGCCCTGGTGATGCATGCACTGAGGCATGTGTGAGCATCTTCAACCGCTTTTCCAAAAAGTGGAACCACTTTTGCATATTCTGTGACCTGCAACCAAACATGCCCAACTGAGGCAGGGGTTGTAGTAAACACCGTGCAGCCCTGCGTCAGCTCAGTAGAGTCTCCGCTCTCTAACTTCTTACAAGTGTCTTCAGTCTAAGTACAAGACGCTCTCTGGCCTGTTCACTCCGATGGCAAGAAGCTTTTTATCAATGCCTGAGAAATACCCAAGCCAAACACTCTCCGGGAAAGCCTGGCATGGCCTCTAGTAAAGAGTCAGGTTTCTCCCCAGCCTCTCCCTACCAAGGCTGGCAGTGCTGATTCGTTATGGCTGCAAAGACTTTTTCTTTTCTTTTAAAAATAAGCTCTGTATGAATTCTTCCATTCCATTTCCCTAGACTCCCTTATTCTTTAAAACACAGGTTTTAACAGAACAGTGAAGAGCAAAATAACTGCCTTAAAATGATCATGATAGTAAGTTGGTGAACTAATAGGTATAGAAATAGTGGAATACTACTTCCCCCGCACCCGACCCATTTTAGTTCTCCTTTAGCTCACTTAAAAAAAAAAATAGAGGATAGGCACATATTAATGGGTAGCTTCCTCGTGTCTGTGTGTGTGTGCACTGAAAAATGCACTTAATAATTTATGTACTCGTGCTTTAAAATAAGCAACATTAGACATCTAGTATAACCTAATTATCAACATTTTAGTATTGCAAAACTAGTAAAAGTAGAGAAAGTCAACATGTTTCCCAGTTCCCAGAATGTAATTTTCCATCCTGGGAATTATTTTGACAATATTTTAGCAAATGGGAACTTTTTTTCCTCTTTCTGGGCAAAAACTGGACCTTTTTGACCCTTACACAAATGATTATTAATCTTTCCAGATTTCTGTTTTTTTTTTTTTTTTTTTTACATTTCATAAAGTGGAACCCAAAACTGTAACTGAACACAGTTTGGAGACAGATGACTAATTTCCTAAACTATTTCTGGATTTTTCCTTTGACTACTTATAGCTTCAAACAGGCTTCCACAGAAAATTTCGCTGTGAAGTCCTCCCTGCTCCCCCTCCAGTCCCCTTCTCCCTTGAGAGGTAGAAGTGAAAGGTTTGTAATGGAACACTTTAAAAATGATTCCACTGGGCCCTGCCTCCTATTCACTAGCAAGGAATGTGGTTGTGCTTATACGGCCGAGGTTAGTCTAAAAGAATTTTCATAAACCACCAATTGCATTACATCAATGCATCATCTTAAATCCCATGGTGATTTTCCTAAACATAACTAGCTCACTGGCCTCAAACCGATTATCTCTACTTGTCATTACAAGAAATTCTCTAAATGTTTATGTTCCTACAGGACCATACTAAAACGGCCAGTTAGCTAATGTGGAATACTAAGGGAAAAGTAATATATATGCTCTCAAGAAATTATGCTGGGGTGGAATATATAGCCACCAAGCAAAACTGTCCAAAGATCATGCTGCCCCTAGAACCTGTGAGAGGAAGCATTTCGTTAGCCCCATTGTTTCTGTGAATTTATTTATTGTTGTGGTGGGTGAAGTGAAGGGACTTTGGTATGGAAATGAAGAGGAAGCAGGATAGTTATTTAGAGAGACTATTCCTCTTTCCAAAACACCATCGGGCAAAAATGCCTGCCCCTGATACTCTGAAATTGACCGAGAATGACAGGGAACTCAGAGAGAATGAGGAGGACCTTACAAAATTAAAATGTGAGCTCCTCAACATCACTAATCATCAGGGAAATGCAAATCAAAACCACAGTGAGATATTATCTCACCCCAGTCAGAATGGCTATTATTAAAAAGACAAAAAACAACAGATACTGGCAACAATTCAGAGAAAAAGGAACTCTTATACTCTGTTGGTGGGAATGTAAATTAGTATAGCTACGATGGAAAACAACATGGATGTTTCGCAAAAAAGTAAAAATAGAACTACTGTATCATCCAGCAATCCCACTACTGGGTATTTATCCAAAGGAAAAGAAATCAGTATATTAAAGGGATACCTACACTCACATGTTTATCACAGCACTATTGACAATAGCCAAGATACGGAATCAACCTAAGTGTGCATCATTGGATGAATGGATAAAGAAAATGTGGTATACATACATGGTGGAATATTATTCAGCCATAAAAAAGAATGAAGTCCTGTCATTTACAGAAACATGAATGGAACTAGAGGCCATTATGTTAAGAGGAATAAGCCAGGCTCGGAAATACAAATACTCCATGGTCTCACTCATGTGGGAGCTAACAAAGTTGATTTCATGGAGATGGAGAATAAAATGATAGATATCAGAAATGGAAAAGTCAAAAGGAGAGGGATAAAAAGAGGTTGGTTATGGGTACAAACATACAGTTAGAAAAAATAAGCTATCCTTTGATAGCTGATAGGGTTTCACTGTGTCCCCACCCAAATCTCATCTTGAATTGTGGTTCCCATAATTCCCACGTGTCATGAGAGGGACCTGGTGGGAGGTAATTGAATCATGGGGACAGGTCTTTCCCGTGCTGTTCTCGCAATAGTGAATAAACCTCATGAAATCTGATGGTTTTATAAAGGGGAGTTCCCTGGCACATGCTCTCTTGCCTGCCGCTATGTAAGACGTGACTTTGCTTCTCATTCGCCTTCCCCCATGATTGTGAGGCCTCCCCAGCCATGTGGAACTGTGAGTCCATTAAACCTCTTTCCTTTATAAATTACCCAGTCTTGGGTATGTCTTTATTAGCAGCATGAGAACAGACTAATACAATAGCAGACTAGGAAAGTATACTTAAGCAACAATATTGTGTACATTTTAAAGTTACTAGAAGAGAGGACTTGAATGCTCTAAAAATGCTCCCAACACACAAAAATGATAAACACTCAAAGTGATGGGCACCCAAAATACCCTGACTTCATCCTTGTGCATATTCTATGCATGTAACCAACTCACGTGTGCCCCATAAATATGTAAATTATTATCTATCATTTAAAGGGAAAAAATTGTGAGCCCTCGAACGCAGTAACTGGTCAGGAAGATAATGTTATGAGCTCTAAATCAAGACATGTCTCCTTAGCATATTAGCATATTGGACTTATGCAGCTCTCTGAAAAAGTAATTTTTGGTTATGGCTGGGAGGAGGCCTGTAAAAAACAGTATAAAAAGGAAATCAGGTGTTGTATATCCTGAAGTTTTGGCTTTCTCTAAGACCTCACCTTTCATTGCAGGCTCTTCTCATTCCGTGAGTGACCTCACCCAAGACTTGAACTTCCACAGGTGTGCTGATGACCAAAACCTCCATCCCCAGCCTGGCTTCTCTTCTGAGCTCCAGATGCAAACTGCTAGCTGCGTATGGGGCATCTCCTTAGGGGCCTTCCATGGGTACCTCACAGTGACACATCCAAATGCAACTTCTCTGCCTGCCTAATACCTCCATCCCTTAGTGTATTCAAGAAGAGGTAGGTTTGTCACTCACCTGGTTGGCTGCTCTGTGACATGAGCTTGTCCCCTGTGGCTCTGGGTCAACCCTGGTTTGCTGGTGTATTCCTGCAGGTCACCACTGAGATCTGCTGAGAACAGTACCAGCTGTTCCCTTAGCACAGGCCCTGGGGTGGCTGTGGGGGCCGCCAGTCTCCCATCACATGCTCCAAACACCACATGGAGGCTGATCAAGGGATGGGACCCTCCGATGGGGAAGGAAGGAGAGTAATTAAATAGAATTACAGCATGCTTGGTGGAAGCATTTAAAACTGAGTGCTAAAATGACTATCCTGAGACTCTAGGAGAAAAGCATTAAAAACAAACAAACAAACAAAAAAAACCTCCTCCCTGAAGATGCCTTGTGGGCAATCGCCCAGAGCTGCAACAGTGTGAATCTCCAGCCTGCCAGGAAGCCCACTCAGATTGCTTTCACCCATACCCAGCACCCCCTCCAGCACCTGTGGCTCCAGCCATTCTCAGTTACTTGTGCCTCCAAATATCTCTGCCTGTTTCACCCTCCTTGCCTTCACATTGCTATTTTTCCTGGATTTCCTTCATCTTTCAGCTACTCCATCTGCTTATTCTAAATCCCTCTAGTACCTGTCTCAAGCATCACTGTCCCTGAGCCCTCGCCTGAGTTAGAGGCACATTATGTTAGAGCAGGTGCCACACCCTCACCTCCCTGGAACCCCGCCCATCTCCTCTTCTCACTTGATTCCTCCCACTCAGGGGCTTTGTGTTTGCAGCGCCTGGCCCAGCACTTGGCACATAGCATTTCACAAATATTTGGGGGAAGAATGACAGCTGTAAAGAACAGTATGCTTGTGTTCAAGACCCAGGATTAATGCCCCACTTTGCTATTTCAAATGTGTAGTTTTGCTGAGGTAGTGTAATTTCCCTGATTTCCCTGAGTCCTCTTGTCTGTAAAATGGAAGATGATCCCTTTCTTCTTCTAGTGAGGATCAGCATCACAAGGGGAGTGTGCACATAAACCCAGAAGTTTCACCCAAATGTAAGCTTTTTTTGGGGAAAAAAAAGGAGCTAAGAAGAAGAATAGCTGAAGCTCACCTAGCTCATACTCTGTGCCAGGCACCATTTAATTGATCCTTGCAATTATCTCATAAAGGAAGCTAAGTCATTTGCCAAAGAGCATAGAGGTAGGACATAGTGGAGAGAGGATTTGAACCCAGGCAAGTCACTCACTTGTAAATACTTTCACCAGGCAAATCTTTGGCTTCAGAATGTATAGGCTTAAAAGCCCGCTGACGACTGTAATACCAAAAGCTAACGCTGACTGCACGTTGCCTATATGCTGAGCTCCGTGATAACCATTCTACAGTGACATCGACCTATGCTGTCCACAGCCCTACTGTATCGGCGTCCTTGGTCCCATGAATCCGATGAGAAAATGGAGACAGAGCCATGGGCACTCGACCAGGCTGCAGGGCTAGTGTTCAGGCCTGACCCACACTTCAGAGCTGGGGCTGTCCAGCACCGTGCAGGGTTCAGTGAAGATGACCTTGAGGCAGCAGCTCCTGGGCTGTGCAGGACCAGGAGGGAAGCCCAGTCGAGGCTCATGGACAACCTTGCTTGGACACAGCTTTGTCTCAAAACTGGAAGTGTTGAATGATCTTCAAGTCTCTGTAGGAAAAAGAGGTTCCAAAACAAGGAACTAAGGCCGAGGACCACTGGGAATTGGGGCGGGCTAGCAAGTCCCTCTTGTGTTTAGAGTAGGAGACTTGACCCAGCAGGGAGAGCCTGAAAAGGCCTCGCTGAGGCTCTGAAAGCAAAGGTCTAGTGAACTCATCTTAGAGAAGGCTGCTAGTGTTGCGGAGGTCTCCTGCCTGTAAAAAGTTTGTAGTCCAGATTTTTCCCATGTTGTGATAACATTCTAATGTGTTAGGTTTGAGGTTTCTTCATGAATAGATTCAGGATACGCAATTTTGGTGGGAAGCAAGAGAAGTGCAAAAAGCTATGTTTTTCTCAGCACATCATATCAGGAAGTACGTGAAGTCCACCATCTCTGATGCCAGCTGTGATCCGCTGGTTAAGGTGAGGCCTGCCAGCCTGCACCAGTGTAAAGTGACTATTTTTCCCTTCGTAATCCATCAGTATTCCGCGAGGAGCTGCACTGAGATCATGAAAACATCCTATTCCTCCTCACCAGCTAGTTCTGTCTTCCGCTGACAGCTGTCTGAGTCAATATAACTATGACTGTTACCAAAAGGTGATTTTCTCATTAATTCATTCTTTAGGATGAAAACTTATGGACATTTTATGAAGTGGATAGCTTGTATGCCTCAAAAATACCAATCTCATTAAAACTGAGGAACTGCTCCACATCAAAAGAGACTAAGGAGCTATGACAACTAAATGCAATGTATGGATCCCAGACAAGAATTTATTTTTCTTTTGCTCTTAAAGACATTACGGGAGCTGCATGCCATGGCTCACGCCTTTAATCCCAGCACTTTGGGAGGCCGAGGCAGGTGGATCACCTGAGATCAGGAGTTCAAGACCAGTCTGGCCAACATGGTGAAACCCTGTCTCTACTGAAAATACAAAAAGTTAGCCGGGTGTGGTGGTGGGCACCTTTAATCCCAGCTACTTGGGAGGCTGAGGCAGGAGAATCACTTGAACCTGGGAGGCGGAGGCTGCAGTGAGCCAAGATAGCGCCACTGCACTCCAGCCTGGGTGACAGAGCGAGACTCTGTCTAAAAAAAAAAATAAAATAAAATAAAATAAAAGACATTACTGGGACAATTGGTGAAATCTGAACAAGTCCTGGAGATTAGATAATATTATTTGAATGTGGATTTTCTGATGTTGATACTTGTATTATGTAAAGAATGTCCTTGTTTTTTGGGAATTACATATTGAACTGTTTAGGAGCAGAGGAGGTTTTGGCTGCCACTTTCTTTCAAAAGGTTCAGAAAACTAGTATGTATGTATAGAGAATGATAAGACAAACATGGTAAAATGCTAACATCTGAGGAATCTGAGTGAAGGGTCTATGGGGGTTGTTTGTAATATTCTTGCAACTCTTGTACATCTGAAATGATTTCAAAATGAGCGAACGTTTTTAAATGTGCTATGAGTTTGAACTGAATATGTGTACTTGGCTCTTTCTGCCAATGAATGGTTGGACTCCCCACTCCTACAGGGAAGGGACTGGGGCTGTCTTGTCTCTGGGAGCATTCTGAGGTGGGTAGACAATCTACTCTGTTCCCCTCTGACAGATGCAGATCCACAGAGAGATGTAGTCAGAAGTATCTTGGTCTATCATGCTGTTGTGGAGGGGAAACACTTAAGTCAAATCAAAGCTCATCTTTTAGAACACTGACCGATACTGGCCCATCGCTTTTGTCTGTAAGTTCCAGCTTTAGGGTATGACGCTGCCACTGTCACAGGCTCCTGAAATAGATGATGCCAGAGCACGGAGCTTCCATAGGACAGAAGGCTTTACATGGCAGCAACAATAAAGCCCTTTAGCCACTGAGCCCTGCAATGAAGGGCAAGAACAGCAAGTCATGAGTCTTCACCACCACATGAATAAGCTGCCAACCCACAGTGCCACGGAAACACAGGCTCTGAGCCCACATGCCCACAGTGCAGATAATGACCTCAGCCTTCAAAGGGGAGAAAGAAGCGCCCCCTAAAACAGTCCTTTAAAACCCTCCTTCGTCATTTGTGACAGCACAATTTGCTGTTTCATTTCAGTCTCTTATGAAGACGCCTTCTGAATCAGTGCTCTATTTTGAGCACAAAGTCAGGATGTCTGTGGCTTCAGCCAAAGAGGCTCACATGGAAGACCTGCTGAGCTAGTTGCTGATTCAAGCCTGGACCATTCCTGAAGTTCTTCTGGGTGAGTGGGAAAGGGTCACCCATAATAGCTTTTTCTTGGCCTTCCTATTCCTTTCCCACCCTGTCCACTTAGCATCCCTCTAGAGAAAATAGGAAACTGAATAGATGCCAAGAAAATGGACACACTCCACATGCATTAATAACTTCACTATATTAATAGCTTGCCAAAGTCAACTATCTCCCTAGGGGATCTTAGTTTCTCCTCTTGTGTCTATTTTTTGTGTGTTTGTTCTTTCTTTTCCCTGGCCTTCTTATAGAAATAGCATGTAAGGTAACCAGTTGTAGCCTTTGTAATGATATTCATACCTAATGACAGCAGGGCTGGCCCCACAGATGCCTCTCAGTCACTGAGTTCCCATAACGAGGGCACTTTACACATGCCATCTACCATCCCATCTAACCCTCAAGACAGACTTACATTTTACATCCCAACTTTGCTGATGAGAAACTAAAAGCTTAAAGAGGTTGAATCACATGCCCAAAGATGCATGGCTAGTACAGGTGAGATTCAGACTCAGTCTATTTGTCTTGGTGCGAGAGCCTTAGCATTTCCACTCTGAAGATGACCAGCTTCTTCATTTGCCTGTTGAGGGCCCAGTGTTCTTTTACCAAATCGGCTTTGGTGCCTGGAGTGCATGAGGACTCATGACCCTTAGCTCACTTTCCACCTGTAGTTGCCCTTTTATTTCATTGCTACAAGTCTCCTCTGTAACCCTGTTCAGCAAGAAAGTGAATATATTCAGGCTTTTGCTCAGATTGTCATTCAGATTCCTCCACGATGTGTGAGCAGGGGTTCCTCAAAATGCAAAGCTGGGCAGTGCTGCCATCTTCTGCCCCGGCTAGTGAGGGGAGCCCCAGTAGCTAATCCTGTGTGTCCAGCCCTCCTACAGTTTGTAATCCATCATTTGGCTTTTTGTGAGTTATGTGACATCTGGGCCTGAGAAAGAAGATGTTCTCACCTCCCAGGGGACCTGAGAGTCTGTCCTGTTTCCCTGGATACAATCACCTCTTTGTTTGGCTCCTCAGGCAACAGCATCCCTAGAATGATGCTTCCAACAAGTGCCTGGGATGCTCCTCTCCTGGACATGGCTGAGTTGCACCCATCGCCCGCCGTGGCACCCACTGGAAGCTTGCACAGTAGTGGCTTCTCACAGATGCAGCGGCACTTCTCCATTGAAGGGCCCAGGGAGCCTGACTCACACGCGGGACCTGAGTCTGACGTGTGTCCTAACTTTCCTCTAGAGGCTTCCAGTGGGGTTGAGCCACTACTGCCCACAGCGATAACGTCTGTAAAGCACCCTGTGCATCGACTTCCTTCTCTTCTCTGTTTCACATCCACGCCCCTCCCAGTGCTTCCCAGCATCAGTGCCTAAAACATCCCTTGCACTCAGATCTTAATCTCAGTGTCTGCTTCTGGGAAAACCAGCCTCAGGCACCCCCGGACTCTTCTTGTACATCCCTAGTGCAGTGGTCCGCTGCTTAGCCCTCCGTGCAATGGTGCTGACAGTGGTGAGGGCAGACAGCCCAGAGTTCCACACTTAGACTTTTCCATTCCAGGAAGCTGCTGTTCCAGCCAGAAGGCACCCTCAGGAGTTCCTGGCGGGTACAGGAGGGCAGGGCTCAGGGTGGGGAGCCACTCCAGAAATGTGAGAGAATTTTCTGTTCCAATGGCGTATAGGGAAAGATACAACATTCTCAATCCAATTCCGAGTGCCATTAAGCTCAGAAACAAAAAATATTTCTATGCAAAAGAAAGGAATGTTTTGTCTTTTGCAGATTCACAGTGTTTCAAAAGAGTAAGATGTTTCTTCTTCTCCTTCCACCTTAAAACCCTCTTTTCTACCCTAAGTTGCACGCTCCATTAAGTTATCTAATGGTTTCCAGGAAGTAATGGAAACCCAGAGTCATGCACCCCACTTCTGCTAGCAGTCATTCGGGGCCCCACTGTGATCCCGTCCTCAGGGCACCAGGTCATGGAGTAGGTGAGGGTGTGTCTCGGCATCCAGGCACACACTCATTTCCTCCCTCACTCTAATTGGCTCAGGGGTGGACATGTGACACCTTGAGACCCAATGAAGTATCTCCTGGGACTTCTGGGAAACAGCCCTTTGCTTCTCCTCACTGGTTTACAGTAAAAGGATAAGGGCTGGGGCCTTGGCAGCCATTTTGCTCCCCTGAGAGAAGGGCCTGAAGTTAGAGCCCACAGGAAGAGGCAGAGCTGAGAGGGAAAAAAACACCAAGTCTTGTGACACTGAGCAGTGGAATCTGCCTGTCCTCCTCTGGACATTTCAGTAGTTTAGTCATTCAGTTCCCTTTCTTGCTTCATCTGGTGTTGAGTTTTTCTGTCACTTATTGCAAAGAGTCCTAATTGATGTGAACAGAAGGGAGAGGTTTCCTTTTTTTCTCTCTCTCTGATCCAAAATGACTGGTAAGTTTTCTTCATTCTCCTTTGCACCATGACCCAAGTTTCTTTCTCCTGTCCTCTGTGACCCAGAGTGGCCCTAAGAGGCAGGGCACGTGGCTGCTGGAGGCCCCTCAGCGTGCGTGAGTATCTTAACATTTCTCCTTGAAATCCTCTGTAGAAATGTAACTGACTCCGCCAAAGAGGGATGACCAAACTCATAAGGAGTGTAAGGAATTTGCACTTGAGATGCCCAAGAGTCTGATTCTGACATGCTAAGGTTTTATCCCAAAAGTTAAGATTTCATTAACAAATCTTTATGCAAAAGCGCTTGGAGAAATTTGGCTTTAAATTCAAGTGCAAAGCGTAATCCTTTTAATAAGCTGGGACCAATGTTTTGAAAGGGAGAAAAAAATTTTCAGTGGTAATTCAAATATGTAAAATAAACTATTTATCTACTAGTTCTTCTGAAAGGCTTATAAACATGGTAACTGTAGTAGAGAGTTTCTCATATTACTTCATTTTTAAAAAATCCTTTAGTTTCTCTCCAACTTATTAAATACTCAACATACAGAAAACTTGCAAAAAATAATCAAGTGGACGTCTACATATCCTTACCTAGATTTACCAATTGTTACTGTTTTGCCATATTTGTATTATATATACATATATGTGATTTTTTTTTTGAGGAAGCATCTGAGAGTTAATTACAAGCATCATGACACTGAACCCTTGAATGCTTTAGCATTTCTCTCCTATTAAATGAGATAATTATATAATTATCACACTCAGGAAATTAACATTGATAGAATACTAATTATTATTATTTTTTTACACAGGTATCACTCTGTCATCCAGACTGGAGTGCAGTGGTGAGATCATGGCTTATGTAGCCTTGAACTCCTGGACTCTCAACACAGCCTCCCAAGTAGCTGGAATTACAGGCACATGCCACCACACCCAGCTAATTTTTGTATTTTTTGTAGAGATGGGGTTTCACCATGTTGCCCAGGCTGGTTTCAAACTCCTGGGCTCAAACAATCCCACTTTGACCTCCCAAAGTGCTGGGATTACAGGTATACGCCACCATGCCCAGCTCACAATACTATTGTCTACGTCTTTGGTCCATATTCAAATTTTTTTCTTTGTCCTAAGAATATCTTTCACAGTTGACTTTTTTCTTTTGACACAAGATCCACCCAAGTATCATGCATCACATTTACTAATATTTTACTTTTGAACATTATGCTACAGCCTTTTTTCTAGTTCTTAATGAACTATCTTGGGTTATTATGAAACTGATAATTGTTCCATGAGTTGCTTATTTTCTATCAGTTTCTATTAGTTCTACTGATTAATTATTGAGAGAAGTACCTAAAGAATTACCTAAAGCCCACAAGGGTTTGGGCATTTGTGTAATTTTTTAAACCTAAGAGAACCTGTTGATTTTATACTTACAAGCAAAACCCATCCTGTTGCATTATACATTATCACAGGAAAAAAAGTAATCAAAGGAGGTTGGTGGCAGATGTATGATGATATTGATAATGTAGTGATGGGGATGATGAAGCTGAGGAGAAGGAAGGAGTATGGTGATTTTAAGTCAGGTTGACTGAATTAAAGTTTTGCCTGAAGATGTATATCTGTGTGCTCTTTTGTATTATGAGTGTTTTGCCAAAGGTAGCTGCTTCACATACCTCCTGGAGCTATAACCGCTTCCTTCAAGATCACTGCCTTGACCCCATTATCACCAAACCTACACCACATCCCAAAACTACAGTGCCATGCCTCCCACTCACGGACTGCCATATGCCACGTCTTTACTTGAGAATGGCGCTGTCCCGCAGAATGTTCTACAAGGATGGAATGTTCCAGACATGCACCATCCAGTACATGTGGCCACTGAGGGGTATGACTAAAGTACTGAAATTTTAATTTTATGTAACTTTAAATACTTTAAATAGCCACAGATGGCTGGTGGCAACCATATGAAAGAGTGTGGCTCTAGGTCATGGCTGCAAAACTGCTTTTCCCCTCAGAGCCCCCAGTTCAGATTCGCTGGCCAGCACCTCTCACAGCCCATACACTGTTTAGAGTTCACCAGTAGGTTATGGTTACCTCAGAGAAGAATTCAGAAGTGGTCATCTTGTTTAAAATTCACAAATCATCCCTCTTCCAGCCCAGCCCATGCAGAACTCCCCGTTTGCCTCCCTGATTGATTTTCTCCATGCATTTACCATGGCTTGGCATGCTGTGTATCTAACTTATTTAATTGTTTACTGTCCATCTATGTCCACTGTGATGTAGCCTCTCTGAGAGGAGTTTCCTCTGTCTTGTTTCCAGCTGCATCAGTAAACACTTGGGAGTGAAGCAGGCGCTGTAGACCATCGCCCGGGAATGCCTACGTCTCACCAGCACCACGTGCCTTACATATCACGCACATCCAGGATGCCCATACACCCTCAGCATGGTGGGGAACACGGGAGGCAGCAGGGTAGAGGAAAACAGGGGGCCCTAAACAGGGCTAAGTTCCAGCTTACCACTCATAAAAATAGTGGTACTTTTGGCCAGCTGGGTTGTTATGAAAAGTAGAAATAATAAATGTGAACAACCTATCGTGATGCCAGCAGCAGAGGATAGCCCCGTGCACATGTAGAATCTCACGAATGTGATTCAAGTCAGGCATCTTAAAACCCTTTTCAATGATACTTTCTTATAAGGGAGCAGGCAACGTGTTTCACTAGGGAATAAAAAAGAAGGGCCCTTGATACCTCTGGAAAATCTCAGTGCTGAGTGCTTCATCTGCGGTAACTCATTCATGAGTGGTCATTATCCTCATTTTCAGTTGGGAAAACTGAGGCCTAGAGAAGTGTCCTGAATCCCAACGTCTGTAGCGGGACATGAACTCACGAACCTCCTGCAGTGTGTTTCCAGAGCCTGCCAAGTCACTCTGCTGTACCACCTGGCATGTGACGTGCCAGACTGAACAGCAAGGCAACTGGAATGAAAGTCCCTCCTGTCATTCATTCAAATCCAGTGAGTCCCTCCTTGTAAGCATTGAATGAGGTGAGAAGCGGGAGGTTGGTGAGAAGGGCAGCTGCTTCCTGCTCCACACAGTCCAGGAAAAGTGGCTGACCGGCCACGCAGCTCACATAAAGAGAATGGGGGCATTTTTATGTTAGGATAGTTTTAGCCACGCAGTTCACATAAAGAGAATGGGGGCATTTTTATGTTAGGATGGTTTTAGGATCTTTCAGAGGCCACTTCTTGTTTGCTCCCTGGCTGAAGGAGCCGAAGAGCTGCTCATTCTTGCTCTTGCGGGGGGGTGGGGGGTGGGTTGGGGGGAATCTCATTTCAAGGTCAGAGACTGAAGGAGTTGCCTCTTTGGATCTGCACTAGAGTGCCAAATGCCCAGGCTTAGGAATTATTTTTAGTTGGGAACGTCACCCCAGAATGTTGTGATTCCAGAGATCGCCACCCAGGCAACCCTCATGCAGATGGCTGAGTAATGCAGCAGCCAGCACCAGGGCTCCAAGGAGGGGCAGGAAAGAGAGAGAAGCCAGTTCCTCGTGTCCTCATTTCAACTGACTGTGTGTTCCTGGTACCCTGACTTTTCCTGGTTCCTGCAACTCCAGACTCCTGCTGGGGACAGAAGAAATGTGGGTATTTCCCGGTCCTCTTGTCCTCTCCAGGCTTTCTGATTTTGAGCAGGGTGAGTACTATGCTAGTTTCCCAGATTCTATTTTCATCCTGCTGGTGCTGGATCCAACTCTGGACATTACAGCATATCCCAGCAAAGCTGTCACAGGCTGGCCAGGAAACATAGGACGGGAGGGACAGAAGGAGGGGGTGAGAAGGGAAGACTGCAGCTTCCTAGCTTCTCCACCCACAGCCAATGGAAAGGGCTCTGAAGGTGACTTATATGGCCTTTGGAACCCACCACCAGGGAGAGAACTCAACAGGTGCAGACTGTTGAGCAGACTGTTGAGGGAGATGATAAGGGAAGAGACCAGGAACTGGAAGTTGGGCAACAAGTCTTCTAGCCAGGGATGTTGTGGAAGCCCATGCTTCATAACCTTATGTGGATAGGCAGTCGATGGTCTTATCTGCATAGACCCATACTCTGCTGCTGACATGTGCGCCTTTCGGGTGATGACGCAGTCCTTTCTGCCCCATTACCTATATACATGTGCAGAAGTTCTTCACCATACTCTAGAGTCCAACTTATTTGTCTCTTTTTAAAACGTTCAGTTAGGAGGCTGGGCATGGTGGCTCACACCTGTAATCCCAGCACTTTGGAGGCTGAGATGGGCAGATCACCTGAGGTCACAGAGTTCAAGACTAGCCTGAACAACATGGCAAAATCTCGTCTGCACTAAAAATACAAAAATTAGTCGGGCGTGTTGGTGGGGGCGCCTGTAATCCCAGCTACTAGGGAGGCTGAGGCAAGAGAATCACTTGAACCCGGGAGGCAGAGATTATAGTGAGCCAAGATCGCACTACTGCACTCCAGCCTGGGCGACAAGAGCAAAACTCTGTCCCAAAAAAAAATTTTTTTTGGTTAGACAGTAATCTATACTCCTAGTAAAATCACCATCATCATCATCATCATCATCATCATCATCACCCAGCCCTGGCTTCTTTATATTAAACTACTGCCTCCCAAAGATAAAGGCCAGATGTACTCTTTGCCATAACTTTCACCACATTCATATAACCAGAGGCAAACACTGTTTTTGATAATATTTTATAAAACCATTTCCTGTTTTATAAAACTGGATTCATGCTGTGTACATTTCTGTGAAGATTGCCTTTCACACTTCTTGTAGTTTTTTGCCAGGCCAAAAAGTGTTGCAATAGACATCCTCAAGTACAGATACTTTTATTTTTATAGAGTAGATTCTGAGAAATGAGATTGTAGGGCCAAAGGGTATGCGCATTTTAACTTTTTAATGGATATTGCCGGATCACTTTCCAAAACAGTTGCGGTTATTCCTGTTCCCACGGGCAAAGTATGCAAGTGCCTTTTCCCCCAATCCTTTCCGGCACCAAGGTGTCATTTTTTCTCACTTTTAAGCAAATAGATTGCATGAAATTATCTTACTATTTCTTAAAATTTCATTTTTCTGGCAAATAGTCAAATTAATTATATTTTCATATGTTTATTGATCGTTAGTAATTATTTTCTTCAAAACTATCTATTAATATTTTATGACTATTTCGCACTGAGATTTTAAAATCTTTTTATTTTTCAAGCATTTTATTGTGTTATAGATGTTAACTCTTTATTTGTCACATATATTTCTCTGTTGATCATTTGTCCTTTGACTTTTTTTATGATAGTTTTTGCCATAATATTTTAAAATACAAATATCATTGGTATTTCTTGTGTTGTTTACAAAAAACGTTAACCGCAAAATCAAAAGCAAAGTAATTAGAAAAGAGTATGGTGATATATACAAGAAAGTATCAATTACAAGCACTGTTTATCATTAAAATAGAAATAACCCGAATATTGAAATATTAAGGGTGTAATTTAATTATAGTATTGTATACAATCACAGCCATCAAAAAGCAGATGACTATGATTGTATACAATACTAGAATTATAACTATTTACATGAAATGAGACTCAAAATACATATTTTGATGTGAAAAATAAGGTTACACGGCAATATGTATCTTATGACACCAACTATTTATATTTTTATAAGTGCATAGAAAATACTTGGGATATGAATAAAACCAACTACGTTTTATGCTAGTGAAATTACGTGTGTTTTCCCATTTTTTTATCTATGTGTATACATACTTTTTAAAAATTATCTCAAATTAATTCTGTAATGAAAGAATAAGGTCTATAAGGATTTACACACAAAATGTATTATCCCTTGGGAGTAGAATTGGGCTAAGAATCGTTGTTAGCTGAAGGAGTCTTTCAATGTTAACTCTACACACCTATGTGTTATTTAACTTTTAAAAACACGTTATTTCTGAAATATTTTAAACTAACCAAATAAAAAGGAAATGAAATGTGGATGTCAGGAAGTACTCCAATAACATGAAGTTGACATAGAATAAATCTTTTAAGGTCACCCTCTGCGCGCCCTTCCCTGCTCCGCTGTCAGCTGTCCCATCCTTTCCTGTGGGTAACTGTGGGTATTATTTACTCTGAGTCCTATCAGATCCTCTAAAGGTGCATTATGTATGGATATGCATATTTACAAATCTCTACCTTTTCAAGAAGGCTAATGTCACAGGACAATTAATTGAGAAGTAATTTTTTAGGAGCTCAAGCCATTTTGTTGCCTGCATTTTGACTTAATTTATGAGGTCTTCTTGGTCCATAGATTTCAATTTTTGTGTAGTCAGACCTCCTGAAATTTCCTTGCTGTATCTTTTATTGCTTCAAAACCCGTAGTCCATCGCCAAATTTTAAAATACAATCTATTCTCCTTTTTTTTAGTGTTTTCTAAGGTCTTTGTTGTTGTTGTTTTTTATATTTAGCTCCGTAATTCATCTAGAATATATTATTCTGCATGTTGTGAGGTAGGAATTTAACATTTTTTTCTAAATAGAGAATCAGTTGTTTCAATACCCTTAGTTGACCAGTTCAAACTTTCCCTGCACTTGAATGCTACTAGTAGAATATTCTATGTTTCATGTTTATGCTCTCTTGGGTTTCATTACTCTCTTTGATTCGTTCTGTAAGCTCACACACGGGTTTAACTACTATAATTTAGAGTATAACTTAATATCTGGTAGACCATGTTCTCCTTCTTGTGCTTCCTGAACTTTTTCCTGGCTATTCATTTACTGTTTAAAAAGAATGAAGAGGCAGTGAGCCAAGATCAAACCACTGCACTCCAGCCTGGGAGACAGAGAGAAACTCTGTCTCAAAAAAAAAAAAAAAATATTAGATTATGAGAACAAAATACAGGAGGTGGCTGGCAAGATGGCCAAATAGGAACAGCTCCAGTCTGCAGCTCCCAGCGAGATCAACACAGAGAGTGGGTGATTTCTGCATTTCCAACTGAGGTACTCGGCTCATCTCTTTGGGACTGGTTAGACAGTGGGTGCAGCTCACAGAGGGTGAGCCGAAGCAGGGTGGGACATCACCTCACCCGAGAAGTGCAAGGGGTCAGGGAACTCCCTCCCCTAACCAAGGGAAGCCGTGAGGGACTGTGCCATGAGGGACAGTGTACTCTGGCCCAGATACTACGCTTTTCCCATGGTCTTTGCAACCCGCAGACCAGGAGATTCCCTTGGGTGCCTACGCCACTAGGGCCCTGGGTTTCAAGCACAAAACTGGGTGGCCATTTGGGCAGACATTAAGCTAGCTGCAGGATTTTTTCTTTTCTTTTCATACCTCAGTGGTGCCTGGAACGCCAGCAAGACAGAACTGTTCACTCCCCTGGAAAGGGGGCTGAAGCCAGGGAGCCAAGGGGTCTTGCTCAGTGGATCCCACCCCCACAGAGCCCAGCAAGCTAAGATCCACTGGCTTGAAATTCTCGCTACCAGGACAGCAGTCTGAAGTTGATCTGGGATGCTCGAGCTTGGTGGCGGGAGGGGCATCTGCCATTACTGAGGCTTGAGTAGGCGGTTTTCTCCTCACAGTGTAAACAAAGTCACCAAGAAGTTCGGACTGGTTGGAGCCCACCGCAGCTCGGCAAAGCCTCTGTAGCAAGACTGCCTCTCTAGATTCCTCCTCTCTGGGCAGGGCATCTCTGAAAGAAAGGCAGCAGCCCCAATCAGGGGCTTACAGATAAAACTCCCATCTCCCTGGGACAGAGCACCTGGGGGAAAGGGTGGCTGTGGGCACAGCTTCAGCAGACTTAAACGTTCTTGCCTGCTGGCTCTGAAGAGAGTGGTGGATCCCCCAGCACAGTGCTCAAGCTCTGCTAAGGGACAGACTGCCTCCTCAAGTGGGCCCCTGACCCCTGTGCCTCCTAACTGGGAGACACGTCCCAGCAGGGGTTGACGGACACCTCATACAGGAGAGCTCCGGCTGGCATCTGGCAGATGCCCCTCTGGGACAAAGCTTCCAGAGGAAGGAACATGCAGCAATCTTTGTGTTCTGCAGCCTCTGCTGCTGATACCCAGGCAAACAGGGTCTGGAGTGGACCTCCAGCAAACTCCAGCAGACCTGCAGCAGAGGCTCCTGATTGTTAGAAGGAAAACTAACAAACAGAAAGGAATAGCATCAACATCAACAAAAAGGATGTCCAAACAGAAACCCCATCCGAAGGTCACCAACATCAAAGACCAAAGGTAGGTAAATCCATGAAGATCAGGAAAAAACAGTGCAAAAAGGCTGAAAATTCCAAAAAACAGAACATCTTTTCTCCTCCAAAGGATCACAACTCCTCGCCAGCAAGGGAACAAAACTGGACGGAAAGTGACTTTGACGAATTGACAGAAGTAGGCTTCAGAAGGTGGGTAATAACAAACTCCTCCGAGCTAAAGGAGCATGTTCTAACCCAATGCAAGGAAGCTAAGAACCTTGAAAAAAGGTTAGAGGAACTGCTAACTAGAATAACCGGCTTAGAGAAGAACATAAATGACCTGATAAACATAGCACGAGAACTTCATGAAGCATACACAAGTACCAATAGCCAAATCAATCAAGCAGAAGAAAGGATATCAGAGATTAAAGATCAACTTAATGAAATAAAGCGAGAAGACAAGATTAGAGAAAAAAGAGTGAAAAGGAATGAACAAAGCCTCCAAGAAATATGGGACTATGTGAAAAGGCCAAACCTGTGTCTGATTGGTGTACCTAAAAGTGACGGGGAGAATGGAACCAAGCTGGAAAACACTCTTCAGGATATTATCCAGGAGAACTTCCCCAACCTAGCAAGATAGGCCAACATTCAGATTCAGGAAATACAGAGAACACCACAAAGATACTCCTCGAGAAGAGCAACCCCAAGACACATAATCATCAGATTCACCAAGGTTGAAATGAAGGAAAAAATGTTAAGGGCAGCCAGAGAGAAAGGTTGTGTTACCCACAAAGGGAAGCCCATCAGACTAACAGCAAATCTCTCTGCAGAAACCCTACAAGCCAGAAGAGAGTGGGGGCCAATATTCAACATTCTTAAAGAAAAGAATTTTCAACCCAGAATTTCATATCCAGCCAAACCAAGCTTCATAAGCAAAGCAGAAATAAAATCCTTTACATTCAGCACATGTGTCCCAGAACTCAGAGTGTAATTAAAAAAAAAGAAAAAGAATAAAGAAAATAAAAAGGAGACCTAGGAATGTGCTCAATCTCCCCACTTTTGGGGTCTCTTTGTTGTGTTCATTCATAAGCATTTATAATTTTCTTTGTCTAGGTCTTGCACATTTTTATTAGTTTTATCTCTGGCTGTTTTTAGTTTCTGTTTCTTTACGTGCTTGAAATTTTTTCCCCAGTACTTTTTATAGTGAATTATTGGAAAGCGATTGATTTTTCCATTTTGATCTTGTATCTGGTTATCATGCTATCAGTTGCTTCTTTGGGATTTTCTTAGAAGTTGTGGTGAGTGGAATTCTAAGATGGGGCTTATGACCTGTCCCTGGCCTCCCTCTAGGTTACACTGCAGAAGGGATTTTGCAGAGATAATTAAGGTCGCCAATCAGTTGACCTTAAGACAGAGAGATTATCTGGGCTGACCTAACCTCATCACATGAGCCCTTTAAAAGCAGAGCATTTTCTGCAGCTGCAGAGAGAAGAGGAATTCAGAGATGTGAAGCACGAGGGGGTTCTATGTGAGGGACTCCCTGTCGCTGAGATGGAGAGTGACATGTGTCAAGGAAACAGGGAGCTCAGCTGGGCAACCCCAGGAACTGAACTGTGACCACAACACCCAAGAGCTTAGAAGTGGGTTTTCCCTGACTCTCCAGACAGGAATTCAGCCCAGCCAGCACCTTGATTTCAGGCTCTCGAGGCCACAATCAGGGAACCCAGTGCAGCCCGGCCAGACTCTGGACAACAGAACTGTGAGAAAACAAATGGGAATTGTCTTAAGGCACTAAGTTTCTGGTAATGTGTTATGCAGCAACAGAAAACAAACAGAAAAGTCAGATCATTTAACAGGAATTAGAGTTTTGCTCTTCCCTTTCTAATATTTACACCTCTAATATATTTTTATTATTCTGTTAGCGTCTAGAACCTCCAGAAAAAGGCAAACTTCGGCAGCAGTAGTGGAATTCTTGTTTGTTCCTGATTTTGATAGGAATGTTTAGTGTTCACCATTAGCTGCTTTACGTGCAATAGATTTCCTTTATCACAGTAAAAAGTTTCTTTTATCCTAATTTACAAAATGTGATATTCAGTAAGAAATGTTGAATTGTATTGAATGCCTTTTCAGCTACCATCACAGAGATTTTTTGTTTTTCTTCTTTAATTTGTGAATGTAGTGAATTGCGTTCATAGACTACCAAAGGTTGAAACACTTTGCATTTCCATAAATAGACAATTGGACATTGTTTTTTTTTTTTTTAGACGGATTCTTGCTCTGTCACCCAGGCTGGAGTGCAGTGGCGCAATCTTGGCTCACGGCAACCTCCGCCTCCCAGGTTCAAGCAAGTCTCCTGTCTCAGCCTCCAGAATAGCTGGGATTACAGGTGCGTGCCACCACACCCAGCTAATTTTTGTATTTTTTGTAGAGACGGGGTTTTGCCATGTTGGTCAGGCTGGTCTCAAACACCTGACCTCAGGTGATCCACCTGCCTCAGCCTCCCAAAGTGCTGGGATTACAGGCATGAGCCACTGTGCCCGGTCAGTCGTGATTCTTTTATACACAGCTAGATTTGGTTTTGCATCATTTTACATAGGATGTTTACATCTATGCACTGAATTGAGGTATGGGTTTCTTTGTGTGGTATCTGGTTTTTTAGTATCAGGAAAGTCCTAGTCTTGTAGAATGAGGTAGAAAGCCTTACATTATCTTCCATGCTCAAACATGGAAATTAACTGTGCTTTAAAGGTTAGTAGAATTTACTTGTGCAAGTCTCCTAGCCTCTTTCCTTATGGAGCAGTCATTCATTCATTCATTCACTTAGCCAATAACCACTGAGCACCAGGCATAGGTCTGGTGTCAGGGACCCCACAGTGAACAAGGCAGCTTCTTTCAAAGAGCTTACAATCAGTTAACTATCATTCACTACCTTTGATTTTGCTCCAGTTAGTATTTTTGCATTTGCAAGCTATTATCAAGTAAATGTCATTCACATATATTTTACTGGAAAATTCATTTAATCTATATTATCGTATTTATGGTTATAAGTAGTCCTTAATAATTTTTAAAACTTCCTCGTATCTTGAGTATATGGCCTTTCTCATTTCCAACATTGTTCATTTGTGAATTCTCTCACTGTTTCTTAACCCACCATGCCCTGGCATATCTGGTCTGTTGGTTTCAAATATATTCATTTTGCAATATTTTATTAATTTCTGATTTTTTGTATTAATCTTTTTTTAGCATCTTCTTGCTATTTTTATTTTGTAGTCTTTCTTTGTGTTCCAATAATTTCACTTAAGGTTAGAATTTTTCCTCTGAGTGACATTTTGGCCACATCTTGTAGGTTATAATATTAGGTACTTTTGTTAGAATTCTGTACCTTCAGCTAAAATTGACTGTCATGTTAGCCCAAGATGTATTTAGAGGAATTTAAAATGTTTCTATATGAATACCCATACATATATATTTATGTTTACATCTATCCATGTAGTTGGAAGTTTTGAATACATACATAAAACATATGCTGCACATATCTATACATAAGTATATTATAGGTCTAGAAGTCAGGGTCAAGGTCTGTACTGGAATGGATAATTTTGTGATCAATCTATGGATAGATTATAAGTGGAGTTATGAGTACATGAAATGGTTGGAACAAAGTAATGAGTGGGTAGAAAAGAAAGCCTTGAGAAATGATAACAATGAATGCTCAAGAAAATGAGATATGGGTTTGTCATGCCAATTGAGAATGCATTCAACTATCAGTCACAGAACCCCTGACTAACAGCAGCTTTAGCTTAGGGCTAGTAGGTCTCACAGGGCAAGAAGTCCACACAAACTTGCAGGGATGGTACAGTGGCTCCACAAGGCCATCCAGGTTCTTTCTTACTTTTTTGTTCTGCCATTTAATATATAGGCAGGACTTTGTCTACATGAGGGGCTGACTAATCTGGCCCACTGCCCATTTTGTAAATGAAGTTGTATTGGGAAACAGCCACACTGGTTTGTTTCCCTATTGCCCATGGCTGCTTTTGAATGACAAGGACAGATTAAAGTACTCAGGAAAGAGACCTTTTGGCTAGCAAAGCTCAAGTCGTTTATCTCATCTTTCTTCCACCTCACCTAACCCCTTCAGAGTGTTAGGATTCCCAGGATGAAAATCCACAATTTAGGTAGAATAAAAAACCATTTCCAGTCTAGCCCAGCACATAAGGCACTAAGAAGCCATCACTCCTGCCCTCACAAGAGAAAGACATAAATGGAAAATAAACAACTCTTATTAGATCATAGAATTGAGTTTACAGGCCAAACCATTGCCCCAAAATAGGAAGAGACAGAAAGGTGCATATAGAGAATCACCACATACTGGAACAGAAGCCAAGGAGCAGCAGCCTTCATGGGAACTAGTGCCAGGGTAGAAAAACCTAAATTATACACCAATATCTCTCGTTAGCCTAGATGAAAAAGCCTTCAATAAAATATTAGAAAATCAAATCAAATAATATATAAAAAGAATTACATACTATGAACAACTGGAATTCATTACAGGTGTGCAAGACAGGTCAATATTCAAAAATCAAGTAACATAATCCCTCATATCAACACATTAAAGAAGAAAAACCATAAGATCATATTAATAGGTACAAAAAGAGCAATTGACAAAATCCAACACCCATTCATGATGAAAACTCCTAGCAAACTAGGGACAAAGGGGACCTTTGTCAACTTGATTAAAAAAAAAAAACAAAAACCCTACAACTAACATGATACATAAGGGTGAGAAACTGGATGCTTTCCCTCTAAGGTCAGAAACAAGGCAAAGCTATCCCTCTCACCACTCCTATTCAACATTGTTCTGGAAGTACTCACTAATGCAATAAGATAAGAAAAGGAAATAAAAGTACAGATTGGAAGGGAAGAAATAGACTGTCTTTGTTCACAGATGACATGATTGTCTATTTAGAAAATCTCAGAGAATTGGAGATTGTTCCAAGATGGCCAAATAGGAACAGCTCTGGTCTGCAGCTCCCAGCGTAATCGATGCAGAAGACAGGTGATTTCTACATTTCTAACTGAGGTACCTGGTTCATCTCACTGGGACTGGTTGGACAGTAGGTGCAGCCCACGGAGGGTGAGCCAACACAGGGCAGGGCGTTGCCTTACCCAGGAAGCACAAGGAGTCAGGGGGAATTCCCTTTCCTAGCCAAGGGAAGCTGTGACAGACAGTACCTGGAAAACTGGGACACTCCCGCCCTAATAGTGTGCTTTTCCAACTGTCTTAGCAAATGGCACAACAGGAGATTACATCCCATGCCTGGCTCGGCGGGTCCCACGCCCACGGAGCCTTGCTCACTGCTAGTGCGGCAGTCTGAGATTGAACTGCCAGGTGGCAGCCTAGGCTGGGGGAGGGGCGTCTGCCATTGCTGAGGCTTGAGTAGGTAAACAAAGGCACTAGGAAGCTCAAAGTGGGTGGAGCCCACCACAGCTCAACGAGGACTGCCTGCCTTTGTAGACTTCACCTCTGGGGGCAGGGCATAGCTGAACAAAAGGCAGCAGAAACTTCTGCAGACTTAAATGGCTGTGTCTGACATCTCTGAAGAGATCAGTGTTCTCCCAGCACAGAGTTTGAGCTCTGAGAACAGACAGACTGCCTCCTCAAGTAGCCTGACCCCCGTGTAGCCTAACTGGGAGACGCCTGCCAGTAGGGGCTGACTGACACCTCATATAGCTGGGTGACTCTCTGAGATGCAGCTTCCATGGGAAGGATCAGGTGGCAATATTTACTGTTCTGCAGCCTCTGCTGGTGATACACAGGCAAACAGGGTCTGGAGTGGACCTCCAGCGAACTCCAACAGACCTGCAGCTGAGGGTCCTGACTGTTAGAAAGAAAACTAGCAAATAGAAAGGAATAGCATCAACATCAACATAAAGGACATTCACACCAAAATCCCATCTGTACGTCACCATCATCAAAGACCAAAGGTAGATAAAACCACAAAGCTGGGGAGAAACCAGAGCAGAAAAGCTGAAAATTCTAAAAACCAGAGCACCTCTTCTCCTCCAAAGGATCATAGCTCCTCATCAGCAATGGAACAAAGCTGGACGGAGAATGACTTTGATGAGCTGACAAAAGTAGGCTTCAGAAGGTCAGTAATAAACTTCTCTGAGCTAAAGGAGGATGTTTGAACCCATCACAAGGAAGCTAGAAACCTTGAAAAAAGATTAGACTAATGGCTAACTAGAATAAACAGCATAGAGAAGACCTTAAATGACCTGATGGAGCTGAAAACCATGGCATGAGAACTACGTGACACATGCACAAGCTTCAGTAGCTGATTCAATCAAGTGGAAGAAAGGGTAGCAGTGATAGCAGATCAAATGAATGAAATGAAGCGAGAAGAGAAGTTTAGAGAAAAAAGAGTAAAAAGAAATTAACAAAGCCTCCAAGAAATATGGGACTATGTGAAAAGACCAAATCTACATCTGATTGGTGTACCTGAAAGTGATGGGGAGAATGGAACCAAGTTGGAAAACACTCTGCAGGATATTATCCAGGAGAACTTCCCCAACCTAGCTAGGCAGGCCAACATTCAAATTCAAGAAATACAGAGAACACCACAAAGATACTCCTTGAGAAGAGCAACCCCAAGACACATAATCGTCAGATTCACCAAGGTTGAAATGAAGGAAAAAATGTTAAGGGCAGCCAGAGAGAAAGGTTGGGTTACCCACAAAGGGAAGCCCATCAGACTAACAGCTGATCTCTCGGCAGAAACCCTCCAAGTCAGAAGAGAGTGGGGGCCAATATTCAACATTCTTAAAGAAAAGAATTTTCAACCCAGAATTTCATATCCAGCCAAACTAAGCTTCATAAGTGAAGGAGAAATAAAATCTGTTACAGACAAGCAAATGCTGAGAGATTTTGTCACCACCAGGCCTGTCTTACAAGAGCTCCTGAAGGAAGCACTAAACATGGAAAGGAACAACTGGTACCAGCCACTGCAAAAACATGCCAAATTGTAAAGACCATTGATGCTAGGAAGAAACTGCATCAACTAATGCGCAAAATAACAAGCTAACATTGTAATGACAGGATCAAATTCACTCATAACAATATTAACCTTAAATGTAAATGGGTTAAATGCTCCAATTAAAAGACACAGACTTGGGGGGAGGGATAGCATTAGGAGATATACCTAATGCTAAATGACGAGTTAATGGGTGCAGCACACCAACATGGCACATGTATACATATGTAACAAACCTGCTCGTTGTGCACAGGTACCCTAAAACTTAAAGTATAATAATAATAAAATTTTAAAAAAAGTAAAAAAAAAAAAAAAAGACACAGACTGGCAAATTGGATAAAGAGTCAAGACCCATCAGTGTGCTGTATTCAGGAGACCCATCTCATGTGCAGAGACACACATAGGCTCAAAATAAAGGGATGGAGGAAGATACACCAAACAAATGGAAAACAAAAAAAAAAAGCAGGGGTTGCAATCCTAGTCTCTGATAAAACAGACTTTAAACCAACAAACATCAAAAGAAGGCCATTACATAATGGTAAAGGGATCAATTCAACGAGAAGAGCTAACTATCCTAAATATATATGCACCCAACACAGGAGCACCCAGATTCATAAGGCAAGTCCTTAGAGACCGACAAAGAGACTTAGACTTCCACACAATAATAATGGGAGACTTTAACACCCCACTGTCAGTATTAGACAGATCAACGAGACAGAAGGCTAACAAGGATATCCAGGACTTCAACTCAGCTCTGTACCAAGCAGACCTAACAGACATCTACATAACCCTCCACCCCAAATCAACAGTATATACATTCTTCTCAGCACCACATCACACTTACTCCAAAATTGACCACTTAGTTGGAAGTAAAGCACTCCTCAGCAAATGTAAAAGAACAGAAATCACAACAAACTTTCTCTCAGACCACAGTGCAATCAAACTAGAACTCAGGATTGAGAAACTCACTCAAAACCACACAACTACATGGAAACTGAACAACCTGCTCCTTAATGACTACTGGGTAAATAACGAAATGAAGACAGATATAAAGATGTTCTTTGAAACCAATGAGAACAAAGACACAACATACCAGAATTTCTGGGACACATTTAAAGCAGTGTGTAGAGGGAAATTTATAGCACTAAATGTCCACAAGAGAAAGCAGGAAAGATCTAAAATTGACACCCTAACATCACAATTAAAAAACTAGAGAAGCAAGGGCAAACAAATTCAAAAGCTAGCAGAAGGCAAGAAATAACTAAGATCAGAGCAGAACTGAAGAAGATAGAGACATAAAAAACCCTTCAAAAAATCAATGAATCCAGGAGCTGGTTTTTTTTAAAAGATCAACAAAATTGATACACCACTAGCAAGACTAATAGAGAAGAATCAAATAGACACAATAAAAAATGATAAAGGGGATATCACCACCTATCCCACAGAAATACAAACTACCATCAGAGAATACTATAAACACCTCTATGCAAATAAACTAGAAAATCTAGAAGAAATGGATAAATTCCTGGACACATACACCCTCCCAAGACTAAACCAGGAAGAAGTTGAATCCCTGAATAGACCAATAACAGGCTCTGAAATTGAGGCAATAATTAATAGCCTACCAACCAAAAAAAGTCCAGGACCAGAAGGATTCACAGCCAAATTCTGCCAGAGGTACAAAAAGGAGCTGGTACTATTCCTTCTGAAACTATTCCAATCAACAGAAAAAGAGGGAATCCTCCCTAACTCATTTTATGAGGCCAGCATCATCCTGATACCAAAGCCTGGCAGAGACACCACAAAAAAAGAGAATTTTACACCAATATCCCTGATGAACATCAATGTGAAAATCCTCAATAAAATACTGGCAAACCGAATCCAGCAGCACATCAAAAAGCTTATCCACCATGATCAAGTGGGCTTCATCCCTGGGATGCAAGGCTGGTTCAACATACGCAAATCAATAAATGTAATCCAGCATATAAACAGAACCAAAGACAAAAACCACATGATTATCTCAATAGATGCAGAAAAGGCCTTTGACTAAATTCAACAGCCCTTCATGCTAAAAACTCTCAATAAATTAGGTATTGATGGGATGTATCTCAAAATAATAAGAGCTATTTATGACAAACCCAAAGCCAATAGCATACTGAATGCGCAAAAACTGGAAGCATTCCCTTTGAAAACTGGCACAAGACAGGGATGCTCTCTCTCCCCACTCCTATTCAACATAGTGTTGGAAGTTCTGGCCAGGGCAATCAGGCAGGAGAAAGAAATAAAGGGTATTCAATTAGGAAAAGAGGAAGTCAAATTGTCCTTGTTTGCAGATGACATGATTGTATATTTAGAAAGCCCCATCGTCTCAGCCCAAAACCTCCTTAAGCTGATAAGCAACTTCAGCAAAGTCTCAGGATACAAAATCAATGTGCAAAAATCACAAGCATTCCTATACACCAATAACAGACAAACAGAGAGCCAAATCATGAGTGAACTCCCATTCACAATTGCTTCAAAGAGAATAAAATACCTAGGAATCCAACTTACAAGGGACATGAAGGACCTCTTCAAGAAGAACCACGAACCACTGCTCAATGAAATAAAAGAGGACACAAACAAATAGAACATTCCATGCTCACAGATAGGAAGACTCAATATCGTGAAAATGGCCATACTGCCCAAGGTAATTTATAGATTCAGTGCCATCCCCATCAAGCTACCAATGACTTTCTTCACAGACTTGGAAAAAACTACTTTAAAGTTCATATGGAACCAAAAAAGAGCCCACATTGCCAAGACAATCCTAAGCAAAAAGAACAAAGCTGGAGACATCACTGGCTGACTTCAAACTACACAAGGCTACAGTAACCAAAACAGCATGGTACTGGTACCAAAACAGAGATAAAGACCAATGGAACAGAACAGAGGCCTCAGAAACAACATCACACATCTACAACCATCTGATCTTTGGCAAATCTGACAAAAACAAGAAATGGGGAAAGGATTCCCTATTTAATAAATGGTGCTGGGAAAACTGGCTTGGTATATGTAGAAAGCTGAGACTGCATTCCTTCCTTACACCTTATACAAAAATTAATTCAAGATGGATTAAAGACTTAAATGTTAGACCCAAAACCATAAAAACCCTAGAAGAAAACCTAGGCAATACCATTCAGGACATAGGCATGGGCAAGGACTTCATGACTAAAACACCAAGAGCAATGGCAACAAAAGCCAAAATAGATAAATGGGATCTAATTAAAGTAAAGAGCTTCTACACAGCAAGAGAAACTACCATCAGAGTGAACAGGCAACCTACAGAATGGGAGAAAATTTTTGCAATCTACTCATCGGACAAAGGGCTAACATCCAGAATTGACAAAGAACTCAAACAAATTTACAAGAAAAAAACAAACAACCCCATCAAAAAGTGGGCGAAGGATGTGAACAGACATTTCTCAAAAGAAGACATTTATGCAGCCAAAAGACGCATGAAAAAATGCTCATCATCACTGGCCATCAGAGAAATGCAAATCAAAACCACAATGAGATACCATCTCACGCCAGTTAGAATGGCGATCATTAGAAAGTCAGGAAACAACAGGTGCTGGAGAGGATGTGGAGAAATAGGAACTCTTTTACACTGTTGGTGGGACTGTAAACTAGTTCAAGCATTGTGGAAGACAGTGTGGTGATTCCTCAAGGATCTAGAACTGGAAATACCATTTGACCCAGCCATCCCATTACTGGGTATATACCCAAAGGATTATAAATCATGCTGCTATAAAGACACATGCACACATATGTTTATTGCAGCACTATTCACAATAGCAAAGACTTGGAACCAACCCAAATGTCCATCAGTGATAGACTGGATTAAAAAAATGTGGCACATAAACACCATGGAATACTATGCAGCCATAAAAAAGGATGAGTTCATGTCTTTTATAGGGACATGGATGAAGCTGGAAACCATCATTCTCAGCAAACTATCGCAAGGACAGAAAACCAAACACCGCATGTTCTCACTCATAGGTGGGAATTGAACAATGAGAACACTTGGGCGCAAGGCGGGGAACATCACATACCAGGGCCTGTTGTGGGGTGGGGGTTGGGGGGAGGGATAGCATTAAGAGAAATACCTAATGTAGATGACGAGTTAATGGGTGCAGCACACCAACATGGCACATGTATACGTATGTAATAAACCTGCACGTTATGTACATGTACCCTAGAACTCAAAGTATAATAGTAATAATTAAAAAAAATCCCAGAGAATCAACACAAAACCCTGTTGTAACTAATAAGTGATTATAGCAAGGCTGCAGTATACATGGTTAATATACAAAAGTCAATTGCTTTCTTATATACCAACAATGAACAATTAGATTTTGACATCAAAAATGTGATATCATTTATATTAGCACCCCTCTAAAAGAAATGCTCTATTAGAGTATTCCAGAGAAACAAAACTGAAAAGATGTATGTTTGTGTATATATACACACATGCACACATACATCATATACACATGTATACATACACACATATGCTATATATACACACACATATGCATTTACACACACACATTTAAGTTGTATATACATATAATATGATATAATATAATATATAATATGTGTATAAAGACAGAGAGAGATATTTAGTTTAAGAACTTGGATCATGCAATTTGGGGTGCTGGCAAGTCCAGAATCTGCAGAATTGGCAGGCTGGAGACTAAGGTAACAGTTGTTGTTGAAGGTAGCTTGACTCTCAATGCAGTCTGCTTTGCAGAATTCCCTCTTCATTGGGGGAATCATTCTTTTTTCTTTTAAAGTCTTCAACTGACTTGTGGAAGGTATTCTACTGTACTCAAAGTCTGCTAATTTAAGTATGAATCTCGCCTAAAAAATGCCTTCAGAGAAATATCTAGGAGAGTATTTGACTAAATATCCGAGTATCATGGCCTGCCCAAGTTGACGCATAACATTAACCATCACAAGTCCACTCTTTGTCAACTTGACACCCGTATATACCTCTTTAAACCATGTTTATTCTCAGAATAAATACAATAACAATGTCATACTTCTGCCTAATGTGATAGAACTATCCTGCGTATGGCCAAAAGTGCATTAACCCTTTCCTCAAAAAGGATGCAACGTTCTTGGGTGATGTTTACTCTTTTCCTTGATGTCTTACAACTTAAGTATTATGAAATAAAATTAACAATGCTTAAATACTATGATACAGAGCCAATACTTTACATGTTATATGATAAGGGGATAAGAGAGGGAAGAAAACAAAGACATTATACAAACATACATATCCATAACAAAACAAACTCATGCTCATAACAATTGCAGTTCTCTTTTTACATAACAGGTCATACAGTCTTAGCTGCTTTTTATAACTACTTTCATCCACTACCATTCTGTATTTCTTGTGTTCTCAGGAAGCATCTCAGCTGGTCATGGTTTTTCACCTGGTAGAGTGACTCTAACCTTCATTCAGAAGGGTCTGTGTTGTTAGTACTCTGGCTGGAGTTGGGTTGTTGTCATTGTAAAGTCCATTGACTTTAATTGCAGGGCATGGTAATATTAAGAGATGTCCTAACATATCTCCTGTATTCCAAACACACTCTTCCTTACCTCTATTGTGGATTAGTGGTTCAATTTCCCTTTGGTAATCAGGATCAATCACACCAGCCAACACAAAGACACAGGCTAACTAAAAGACTGAGATCTAAACATGTGACTTTAGAATGCTTACACACACACACAGATCTACTGTACATCACACACACCCCACACATACACACACACACACACCACACCCTTTACTACCATGCCTACAGGGCTGTAGTATAATAACAGTGGGTTCCAGCTAAAAGAACCACAAGACTCAGACTCTCTCTAAAGAAAAGTACTTATGAAAGGTTAAAGTGAAGAGGAAAGATTAGAAAACAAGGACATTAGAAGAATTTTAATCCTCTGGCACCTATAGCACAGCAAACATTAAACAGCCCAACTCCTGAACAGATTAACATAAATTCTCACATAAATCCTAACATAAATGGCCTATTTACCTCAGTTCCTATTAACCAATATAGCACGTCAAGCATTCCACAAAAAATTTAAAGGCATGCTAAAAGGAAAAAAAAATGCACACACTACAAGGAGACAAAGCAAACGCTGGAATCTGACTCAGCTATGACACAAATGGTGAAATTGTCAGGCAAAGAATTTAAAAGACTATGATTAATATGTTAAGAGCTCTAATGGGAAAAATAGAGTAAAGGTAGACAAGATGCAAAAAAAAACATGGATAATACAAGCAGGGAGATGAAACTGGAATAAAGAATCTAAATAAATTTCTAGAAGTAAAAAACACTGTGGCAGAAATGAAGAATCCCTTTGAAGGGCTCACCAGTATACACAATACAACAAAGACAGAATCATTGAGGTTTAACACAGGTCAGTTAAAACTTCACAAACTGAAATGTGAAGAGAAGAAATATTTTTTTTAAAAAACAGAACTGAATCTCCAAGAACTTTGGGACAATATCAAAATGGGCAGTGTATACGTATTTGAAATATCAAAAGAGAAGAAAAGGTACAGAGAAGAAGAAATATTTGAAGTAATAATGGTTAAGAACTTTCCAAAAGTAATGACAGACACCAAACTATAGATGCAGAGCTCAGAGAACACCAAACATGATAAATACCAATAGAATAACATTTAGTAACATCCTATTGCAACTTAGAAAACCAAAGACAAATAGGAGTAATACCAATAAATACCAATATATCTAGGAATAGCCTATTGCAACTAAGAAAACCAAAACAAAAAGAAAATCATTAAAGAAGACAGAGGAAAAATACAGCTTAACGCTAAGAGAGCAAAGATAGAGATTAGTTTTTGGAAGAGAAGAATCTTCTCATCAGAATCCATGCAAGCCAGAATTGGAGTAGTAAATTACTCAAAGTGTCAAAAGAAAAAAAGTTCACACCAACCTAGACTTTTATATGCAGAAAAATTACCCTTCAAAGTTGAAACAGAGATAAAGACTCCCTAAGACAAACACAAACAGAAAATTTATCACCAGCAAATTGGCCCTGCCAAAAATTTTATAAGCTCTTCAGGCAGAAGGAAATAACATAGGTCAAAATCTTGGGTCTGCATAAAGAGTGGAGCTGCATCAGAGAGGGAATGAATGAAGGCAAAATAAAACATTTTATATTTATTATTCTTAATTGATACAAAAGATAACTGTTTAAAGTAACAATAATAACATTGTATGGGGCTATTATGGCATATGTATAAATGAAATGAATGACAGCAATGTCACAAGGGAAGGGAGGAAGCAAATAGGAATACTCCATTATAAGGCACCTGCACTACCCATGAAGTAGTATAGTGTTATTTGAAGGTAGAGTTAAGTTAGTTTAAAATATATTGTGTTAACTCTAGGACAACCACTAAAAAAATTTTTTTCAGAGGTATATTTGATATGCCAAGATAGGAGAGAAAATGGAATAATATAAAATGCTCAGTTAAAACCTGAGAGGGCAGAAACATGTGAGGGAGGTGAGAAACAAAGAAAAAAATACAGCAAATATAAAATAAATATGGTAGGTATTAACCAACTATACCAATAATGACTTTAAACATGCATGGTCTAAGTACACCAATAAAAAGACAGAAATTTTTGGTGAGGGTTAATAAAAAGAAAACTATATGTTGTCTACAAGAAACCCACATAAAATATAAAGATGCAAATATGTTAAAAGTAAAGGATGGGGAATGATATACCATATTAACACTAATCAAAAGAAAGCTGGAACAGTTCTATTTTTCAACAAAGCAGACAGAATTATCAGGGATAAAGAGGGACATTACATAATTATAAAGGAGTCGATTCTCCAAAACAACAGAACAATTTTAAATGTATATGTATCTAACAATAGAGCATCAAAATGCATGAGGCAAAACTTGATAGAATTAAAAGAAGAAATGGACATATCCACTATTATCGCTGCAGACTTCAACACTCTGTTGGTAGTTGATAGATGGAGCTGACAGAAAATCAGAAAGGATATAGACAACCTGAGTGTCACTACCAATCAACTAGCTCTAATTTATCTTTATAAAAGTCTTCGCCCAACAGCAGCAGAATGCACATTCTTTTCAAACTCACATGGAACATTCACCAAGACAGGTCATGTGCCGGGCCATTCTTAGACTGCAATGGAACTAAACTAGTAAACCATAACATAAAGATAGCTGGATAATCCCTGGATATTTGGAAATTAAACAACATTCTTCTATATATTACATTTGTCAAAGAAGTCTCAAGATAAAATATTTAATAAATAAATATCTTATTTAATAAAATAATAAATAATGAAATAAATAAAATTACAACCTATCAACAGTTGTGGAATGCAGCAAAAGTAGAAGTTAGAAGGAAGTTTATAGCATGAAATGTGCATGTTGGCAAAGAAGAAATATCTAAAATCAATAACCTAAGCTTCCACCTTATGAAACTACGGAAAGAAGAACAATTTAAGCCTAGAGCAAACTGAATAAAAGAAATAATAAAAATCAGAAAAGAAATCAATGAAATTGAAAATAAGAAACTATGTAGGATATCAACAAAACCAAAAGCTGGTTCTTTGAAAATATCAATAAGATCGATAAACCATTACACAGGTTAACCAAGATAAAAATGTAGAAGACATAAATTACCAATATTATAAATAAGATGTCATTATACTAATTCTATAGATATTAAAAGGATAATAAAGAATATTTCAAACAATTCTGTGGCCACAGATTTAATAACTGAGATGAAATGGATCAATTCCTTGAAAGACATAAACTACCAAAACTTATACAAAAAAATAGATAAACTGAATATTTTATGTCCATTAAGCAAATTGAATAATAATAACTATTTCCTTCCCTCCCCCCACCCCCAAAAAAAACATTGGGCCTTGATGGAATCAATGGTAAATTCTATCAAACATTTAAAGAAAAAATAATACAATCTCTTCCAGAAAATAGAAGCACAGAGGGCACTTTCTAACTTATACAATGAGGCCAGCATTATCTTAATACCTAAACCAGAGAAAGATATTATAAGAAAAGAAAACTACAGACCAATATCTCTCATGAATGTAGATATAAAACTTCTTAATAAAGCATTAACAAATTGAGTTCAACAAAGCATAAAAAGGATTATGCATTACAATCAAGTGGAATTTATTCCACGTATGCAAAGATGGTTCAAAATCTGAAAATCAGTCAATGTAATACATCATATCAACGGTCTAACAAAAAGCACATGATCATATTAATAGATGCAGAAAAAGCATTTGACAAAATCTAACACCATTTATGATAGAAACTCTCAGCAAACAAGAAATAGAGGGAACTTTCTCAATAAAGAACGCTTACAAAAAAACTATCGCTAACATTATACTTAATAGGATAACACAGATCCTCCTAAGATCAGGAATAAGGCAAGGATGTCCACTCTCACCACTTCTATTTAACATTGTATTGACAGTCATAGCAGGTGCATTAAGACCAAAAAAAATAAAAGATAATAGATTGGAAAGAAATAAAGAAATGTATTGATTGCTAGTATATTTGGATTTACTTCTTATTTTGTAGTTTGTAGTAACATATATACTCAACTATCAACTAACAAAGTCTAAAGTTATTTCACACCTGGTCCTTCTCAGCAAGACAAATACCTTAGTAGGTTTTAAGTACCCATTGAATAACCTCCCCCCATTTTGTTAATGTTGACTAGATTCCAAATCCACGTTATTAAGCATATAGAACAATGACCGTGATTACCTACCTATATTGGCAAGACTATAGTCTTGCCAATATATTTTATAGATGTGTGTCACTTTGTTTCCTAAATAAGATGCCTTTCCTCTAGGTTCCTTTTCCTCTCCTTACCTGAGGTTCATCCTTAAGAGTTATTAAGGACATTGCGATGAGGAAATCATCCTAGGTTATCTGTGTGGGCCCTAAATCCAATGCAAGTGTCCTAATAATAACAGAAAAGCAGAGCTGATTTGAGACAGGAGCAGAGAGGACTCAGACACAGAGGAGAAGACAATGTGAAGCTGGAGGCAGAGATTGGAGAGACGCGGCCATAAGCCAAGAAAGCCAAGAAACACCTGAAGCCATCAGAAGCTGGAAGAGGCAAGGCAAGGTCTTCCCAAGAGCCTCCGGAGGGAGTGTGGGCAACACCTGGCTTTCAGACTTCTGACCTCCAGATCTAGGAGTGAATACATTTCTGTTGTTTTAAGCCACGAAGTTTGTGGCAATTTGTCATGGCACCCTCAGAAAACTAACATAGGTCCCTTTTGGTTTTTAGTTATCAACTCAATCCTTACCCCACATACACACACAACTTGTTATTTTTGCTTTTTATTTGTAACTTTTCAAATTTTTACCTGAATTTATTTTTTAGTTAAAAAAATTTTAAGAAGTCAAACTAGGTTAAGTTTTCCTAAGGGCATTTTCCTAAGGGATGTATTTTCTTCTGTGTATAAATTGGAAAATGTGAAACTGTGGAATTGACAAGATAAATAAGATGGGGTTGGTTGGCTCTACAAACAAGGTAGCTTAACAAGTTCTTCACCATAATCGTCCCTGACTGAGTAAATCTTTCCAAAATCAATGACCAGGAACAAGTTTCCACCCAAGATAGATGAGAAACTCCAAACATGGCATAGACAGCATGGAATTCAGATGTTCCCAATGAAAATGACAAAAGCGTCTTACTCATTGCTTATGAAGTTACACAGAAGGAACTAGATGGCAATGTAGCATTTAATTTCTATTCTAAACCTTTCTATATTGCCTATATGCTTAGGATATATTAGGCATTTTTGCAGTTTTCAAGACATAAGTAAAATAGTACTTTTGAGTTGTAATGCCTTTCAGAGGGTGCCCAATGCACTTACCCCATATGCCATGCATTATGAGCCAGATGTTCATTTTTGACTTCTCTATTTAATAACTAAAGACTCAGGTGTATGCTTGCTAGGCTCTAAATGTGCATAACTCAGGAACTTTGCAGAACTCCCCCAGGGAAAACCCTTGAAAAATAAAGAATGTGATTTGGTGGATAAACATTCCATCTCCTGTCTTTCAGGTGGACAATTCTGGTTTCACAAGTTGTCTATTAAGAACAAACCCCAAGCTGGGCGTGGTGGCTCACACCCGTAATCCCAGCACTTTGGGAGGCTGAGGTGGGCAGATCACTTGAGGTCAGGAGTTCAAGACCAGCCTGGCCAACATTGTGAAACCCCATCTCTACTAAAACAATAGAAAAATTAGCCAGGCATGATGGTGCACACCTATAGTCCCAGCTACTTGGGAGGCTGAGGCAGGAGAATCATTTGAACCTGGGAGATGGAGGTTGCAGTGAGCCAAGATTGCACCACTGCACTACAGCCTGGGTGACAGAGTGAGACTCCATCTCAAAAAAAAAAAAAAAAAAAAAGAACCAAGCCCTCCTTGCCCATGGCAGCAATCTGTACACTTTTCTTTCTTCTTTTTTCCCTGTCTCACTCCCCTGGTCCCTCACTCTTCCTCCGAGGATTGCTTCTCAAACTACCTGCACAGCCTTCTCCTCTGACTCTACTCAAGGCAGAAGGAGCAGTGGATGGTGGGGGTGGCTGGGGAGAGAGGTTGCTGGGGAGAAGGGAGCTCAACTCAGACATTATTTTTCTAACATGTTTTATGAACAAAGGAACGTATAAAACCCCAATCTCTCTACCTTCTCCACCATCCTCATCAATATCTTCCCCAGATTCTGGATGAAGAGGGTATATAAAAAGGGCTCTTTGTCAGTGTGCCTTTGCCTAAGGAAAAGACTCTACGGTATGTCTCATTACCCCCATTCATCCATCCATCCATTCCTTCATTCATTATACATACATTCATTGAGCACTGTATTCGAGCTATAGCATTTGAAATGCAAATATTAATAAAAATCAGTACCCGCATCAAGGATTTTATAGTCTAGTGGAGAAAGTAAATACATAAACAAATATTTTCTTTTTTATTTATTTGTTTGTTTTTTGTTTTAAGACAGAGTCTCTCTCTGTCACCCAGGCTAGAGTGCAGAGGTATGATTATAGTTCACTGCAGCCTTGAACTCCTGGGCTCAAGCAATCCTCCTGCCTCAGCTTCCTGAGTAGCTAGGACTATGGTGCACACCACCATGCTCAGCTAATTTTTTATTTAATTTTGTTATTGTTGTTGAGACAGGGTCTCACTATGTTGCCCAGGCTGATCTCAAACTGAGAGAGGAGAGAGGAAGGAACAAGTTAAGCAGAGACTTAGGACATGTCCTTGGAAGAGTTCTTTTCTAAAAGAGCAGCCTGAAAGATCAAGCTACAAGCACAGATAAGGAAGCAAGATCCAACATAAAAACTGCCTTTTGTGTAGCCAGCAAGATTCACATATACATGATGGGCTTCACTGAGCACATCCCTTTCCTTTTTTGGGCATACTCAATTAAGGGAGCTTGCATAGGGAGTCTTGCCTAAAACATGCCTATAGCTGCACAGATAAGATACACAGAACCAGGCAGGTCCACAATGGAAAATTCCATCCCCTGACACATGGGCAGTAGGGAAGTTAAATAACATGGAGTAACTCAGACTAACAGCCCACATGGGCACTAGAGGGACAGGGTGGAACTGTCAGGAATTCACACCTTATGCAAACGAAACACTTAGTCCTGACCAGTTTTTCGCACCTTATGCAAATAAGGCATCCTGTCCCACCAGCCTGTTTCTAAAAATTATTGTATTCAACTGCAAAATGGCATCCCTCTCCACAGCAGAGAGCTTTCTTCTTTCACTTATTAAACTTTGCCCCAACCTCATCCTTGGTGTCCATGCTCCTTAATTTTCTTGACACCAAGAACTTCAGGTGATACCTCCAGCAATGAGATCACTTCAAAATTCCAGGCCTCAAGCAGTCCTCCTGCCTTGGACTCCCAAATAAGCAAATACTTTCTAATGACTTTGATAGAACAACATTAAATTAAGAAAAAGTTAACTAAAATATTAAGTATCACCAGAAATGGTAACTAGGTAGGTAAATATATAAGAATTTTTAACATTAAAGTCAGTGAAATAGAAAACAGAAAAAATAGAATCAATAAAACCAAAAGCTGGTTCTTTGAGATGATAAAAAAAATGGATAACTTCTAGAAAAGCTTATCAGAAAAAAAAGATAGAAGAAATGAAGGCCCAATATCAAGAAGGAGAGAGGTGACATTACTACAAATGCTACAAATGTTAAAAGCAAAACAGGAGAATACTATGAATAATATTATGCCAATAAATCTGACAATTTAGACAAAAATGGACAAACTCCTTTAAAGACATAAACTACCAAAGCTCACTGAAGAAGATAAATAACCTAAATAGCCCTGAATCTCATAATGAAATTGAATTTTTAGTTAAAATCCTCCCAGCAAAGAAAACTCCAGGATAAAATAACTTCACTGGTGAGTTCTACCAAATATTTAAGAAAATAATAATACTAATTCTATAAAAACTCTTCCAGAAAATTAGAGAGAACAGTTCCAAATTCTCTCTACAAGGACAGCATTATTGATTCAAAAAAACTAACAAATGTATTTTTTTAATTACAGATTAAAATTCCACATAAAAATATATGTAAAAATTCTAAATAAATCTAAGTCACTGATATATAAAAAGAACAATATAACATGGCAAAGTGGGGTTTATCCCATGAATACAAGGTTGGCTTGCATTTGAAAATCAATGCAATCTACCACATGAACAAATGAAAAGAAAAAAACTGTATGATCATCTCAAGACAGAGAAAAAAACATTTCACAAAATCATATTTACATTTTTCATCTTAAAATCTTGCAAAAAACTTGGAATAAAAGTTGCTCAAACTTAAAAAGAGTACCTACAATAAACCTATAGCTAACATACTTAGCAGTAAAAGATTAAATATTTTCCCCCAAATTAACAACACAAAGATTTCACTCCACCTGTTTTCAACATTGTACTAGAGGTTCTGAGCAGTGTAATAAGGTGATGAAAGACATAAAAGACATTCAAATTGGAAAGGAAGAAGTAAAACTGTCTCTATTTGCAAACAGAAAGCTATCTATGAAGAAAATCCAATGAAATGTGCTACACAGCTACCAGAACTAATATAATATAATACATTATATTTCTATATGGTAACAATGAACAATGAGAAATTGAACTTTAAACACTGTTTATAATAGCATAAAAAACACTTGGGAATGAATCTGACAAAGATGTGACCTCTACACTGAAAACTATAAGATATTGCTGAGAGAAAGTGCAGAAGAAATAAATAAATAACAGCGATAACAGTGTTAAATGCAGAGATAACAAGTGTTTACAGCTTGGAAGAATCAATATTATTAAAATGGCAAATCTCTCCTAATTGATCTATAAATTCAATGAGATCACAATAAAAATTCCAGAAAGTTTTTTTTTGACAAAAACTGACAAACTGATCCTTAAAAAATGTTAAAATTCAAAAGATTGGAACACCAAGAGAACTTTTAAAAAGAATGATAAATTTGGATAGTAGCACTATCTTATTTTAAGCATTATTGTAAAGGTACAGTGATCAAGATAGTGAGACATTAGTGTCAAGATAGACACATAAATCAATAAAAGAGAATAAAGAGTCCAGAAATAGAACCACACACATATCTTTTAATAAAAGTGCAAAGGTAATTCAGTAGATTAAAATATAGTTTTTTCAACAAACAGTGCTGGGACACTTGGATATCCATATGCAAACAAAACAAAACAATACAAAAACCCAAAAAAGTGAACCAAAAAGGAATTTAATGCATTCCTCACACCATATAAAATGTTAATTCAAAATGGATCACAGACCTAAATGTAAAACCTAAACTATAAAATACCTATAAGAAAGTAGAGGAGAAAACCTTGTCATCATGTGATAGGCAAAGATTTTTTAGATATAATGCAAAAAGTAAAATTAATTCAGAAAAAGTTAATGAATTAGACTTTATCAAAATTCAGACTTTCTTCCCTTTAAAAGCATTGCCAAGAAAATGAAAAGCTAGCCATACACTGAGAAAAAATATTGCAAACCGTCAATCTGATAAAGTCATCCAGAATGAAAAACTCTAAAAATGTAATATTGAGAAAACAAGCAATCCAATAAAAAAATTGTGTCAACACTTCAGGAAAGATGAGATAAGAATGGCTACTAAGAGCATGGGAAAGGTGTTTAAAATATTTATCAAATAAAGACTTCAATAAGATACCATAATATAGCTATTAAAGTAGATAAAATTCGAAAGACTGACCATACCAAGTGTTGGAAAGGATAGGAAAGAACTGGAACTTTCCTATTCTTCTGATAGGAATAGAAAATGGTATAACCACCCTGGAAAGCTGTTTGGCAAGTTTCTAAAAAAATTAACCATTAACCTACAATGTGACTGATCCAATCATTCGACTCCTAAGACACGCAAACACATGTTGAAAGTGCTGGAACAATTTGTAATAGCCCAAAGCAGGGAATGAACCCTATGTCCATCAATGGATACATGTATATCCATACAGTGGAATAATATTCAACAATAAAAAGGAATAAACGATTGATATATACAACACCATGAATGGATCTCAAAATAATTATACTAATGAAAGAAACAAGTAGGAAAGTTGTGTGGTTTCCCTTACATGAAATTTTAGACAGTGTGAATTAATCTCCAATGACAGAAAACAAATCAGCAGTTGCCTCAGAATATTGGGTGAGGGTAAGGGGGAGGCATGAGGAGAGTTTTAGGGGTGATATACATGTTCATTAACCCACTTATGCTGGAGGTTGCAATTTTTAAAATTTTTGCAATCAGACCTTGGCTATGACCTTGAGCAGTAGGATATAAATAACTCCCACGTGCATAGCGTTCCAATAATGGGATATTAGGCATAAATGGGTTAACTTGAATGTGGTGATGGTGTCACAGGTCTATAAGTATGTCAAAATGTGCCGGATTGTACCCTTCAAATATGCGAAGTTTATCATGTACCAATTATTCAATTACACATCAATAAACCTTTTTGTCAACTATCAATGTTTTAATAAGGCCAAAGAATGCTTGTAAAATAAAACAGCCCTGGGTAGATGAAGGGTTTGGAATAAATCCAAAAAAAGATTTAAAAAGAATTTTTAAGTTAGAGCTTATCAAAAGGACATCAAAGCTGGAACAATTTAGGCCACAAAATACAGAATGATAGTATTAAATAGAATAAAATAAACATCATTAAGCCACAAGTGATGTAAATAAATAAATAAATAAACAAATAAAATGGGGAGATGGGACAGCATTTCCTTACAGAATAACTACAAGTAATAAATGCAGAAGGAAAGAGGGAAATAGAAACTCAACATCAGTCAAACACCACAGCAAAACTTGCCATAGAAAGATCCATGGATGGGTGCTAAAATTGGTGAGCAAAAGTTTGAGGAAAAGCAATATATTCACATAGTCTCAAATATCTCCCTCAAGATGTTTATTACTTACAAAAAGACCTAAACAGTGGAGAAACTCAACAGATACTACCTTACCCAAATGATCAAAGGGAACATCACCCTCATATTCGTATAACTCATAGTCCTATCACAAACCCCTCATTTCATAAGAAAACATTAGATAAAGCCAAAATACTGTACAAAATAACTGGAGGCAAAGAGCATGCAGACTGTGTTCACCATGATGTCCCTAGCAATTACTGTAACATTTAACACATAGTAGACATTTAATAAATATTTTTAAATGATGGAATTCATTAGAAAAATGAGTTCCAGTTATTGAGAAAACTTCTAAAGTTTCTTATGAGAGGTTTTGTTTTGTTTCGTTTTGTTTTGAGATGGAGTCTTACTCTGTCTCCCAGGCTGGAGTGCAGTGGCACAATCTCGGCTCACTGCAACCTCTGTCTCCTGGGTTTAAGCCATTCTCCTACCTCAGCCTCCCCAGTAGCTGGGATTACAGGCACGTGCCACCACAAGCTGCTAATTTTTTTATTTTTAGTGGAGACGGGGTTTCACCATGTTGGCCAGGCTGGGCTCAAACTCCTGACCTCAGGCAATCCACCTGCCTCAGCCTCCCAAAGTGCTGGGATTACAGGCATGAGCCACTGTGCCCAGCTGACAGTTTTTTAAAAAGTAAAAATTGACAATCACTTTGGGGTAATTGAATTATGGCCCAATTTCTAAGGAAATGTATGAATTTCATAGGTAATCAAGACTTTGTGGTTTTACTGTAGCATTTTTTTTTTCAGAGTCAAAAATTCGGTGTTTTGTAAATACAAAAAGGCAAATATTGTTGGGATAAAAAGCCTCCCAGAAAGTTGATTTCCATGGAATAGAAATAATTTTTCTATTCCAATTGCCTTGTTTGCTTGTGCTTAGGGAACACAAATCATGGGTAATTTTACTTGTGATATTCTTTTTTTTTTTTTTTTTGAGACAGAGTCTCACTCTGTCTCCCAGACTGGAGTGTAGTGGTGCCATCTTGGCTCGCTGCAACCTCCACTTCCCGGGTTCAAGCGATTCTCCTGCCTCAGCCACCTGAGTAGCTGGGACTACAGGCATGCGCCACCCATGCCCAGCTAATTTTTGTATTTTTAGTAGAGATGATGTTTCACCCTGTTGGCCAGACTGGTCTCAAACTCCTGACCTCAAGTGATCCCCCGCCTCAGCCTCCCAAAGTGCTGGGACTACAGGCATGAGCCACTGTGCCTGACCTTAGTTGTGATGTTCTTTAATTGTATTTCTCAAGCCTTAATCTCTTGAAATTTCTTTTCCATGTCAAAAACTAATGTTTAATTCCACATGACACACAAAACCAGAAATGAGATACTATAAGCTAAAAAGATAAATCTCAAGTCAGTAAGACTTGCCCTCATTTTGTGGCTATTTTTAATGTTTTAATTCTATCAGTTTTCATAATTAGATAACACCTACCAATACAAATGCACCCTATTCCCATGTTTTAATTTCAGAGAAAATTTTAGACTAATCTGTATAATAAATGATTGCCTTAGTGTAATGTTGGAAATGTCTCTGCTTTAAAATACAGTCTCGAATGGTCAAATAGTTTTATTAGTATACCCACAGGAGAAAAATGCTAAATAGCAAGGATTTAAGAAGAATTTTTGAAATATGTTGGGAAAAAATCAAGTTTATGTCTCTCCGAAATAAAGTTAGTTTTTAAATATTTTTGTTAATAATTCATTACATTTAATAAGACAAAGGCTTATGAGGTAAAACCTACCAAATGTTTGTATTCTGCTTTTATTTATGATGCTATTATGGGCTGAATTGTGTCCCTCCAAAAATTTCTATGTTGGAGTCCTAAACGCCAGTACCTCAGAATGTGACCAGACTTGGGGATAGAGTCTTTTCAGAGGTAATTAAGTTATAATGAGGTCATTAGTGTGGGCCCTAATCTAATATGTCTAGCTTCCTATAAGAAGAGGATATTCAGATACAAACATGTACAGAGGAAAAACCATGTGAAGCCACAGGAAGAAGATGACCATCAACAAGCCAAAGAGAGAAGCCTGAAACAGATCTTTCCTTCACAGCTCTCAGAAAGAACCAAACCTGCTGACACATTGACCTCAGATGTGTAGCCCTCAGAATTGTGAGAAAGTAAATTTCTGTTGTACAAGCCACCCAGTCTGTGATACTGTGTTATCACAGCCCTAGAAAATTAGTGCAGGTGACAATTCCAGCTTTTGTTCTTACAGCCGTGAACCCAAAAGTCTCTGAGACAGGCCTCAATTAATTTAGAAAGTTTATTTTGCCAATGTTAAGAATATATCTATGACACAGCCTCAGGAGGTCCTGACAACATGTGCCCAAGGTGGTTGAGGTACAGCTTGCTTTTTTTTTTTTTTTTTTTTTGAGACAGAGTTTCACTCTTGTTGCCCAGGCTGGAGTGCAGTGGTGTGATCTCGGCTCACTGCAACCTCCGCCTCCCGAGTTCAAGTGATTCTCCTGCCTCAGCCTCCTGAGTAGCTGGGATTACAGGTGTACGCCACCACACCTGGCTAATTTTTAGTTTTTATTTTGTATTTTTAGTAAAAACGGGGTTTCACCATGTTAGCCAGGCTGGTCTCGAACTCCTGACCTCAGGTGATCTGCCCACCTCAGCCTCCCAAAGTGCAGGGATTACAGGCGTGAGCCACCGCACCTGGCCTAGCTTGCTTTTGTACCTTTTAGGAGACATAATACATCATTCAATACCTGTAAGAGGTGCATTGATTTGATCTGGAAATGTAGGACAACTGAAAATGGGGGCTTCCAGGTTATAGATAGATTTAAAATTTTTCTGATTGGCAATTGGTTGAAAGAGTTAAGTTATTATCAAAAGGTCTGGAATCAATAGAAAGAAAGGTCTGGGCTATGATGACAGGTGTTGTGGAGACTAAAGTTTTATTATGCAGATGAAGCTTCCTGGTAGCAGGCTTCTGAGAGAATAGATTTTAAATATTGTTTTGGTGTTTTTATCAGACTTAAGATCTGTGTTGATGTTAATGCTGGTCAGCTTTTCCTGAATTCCAAAAGGGAGGAGGGTGTAATGAGGTATGCCCAAACAACCCTTCCCATCACAGCCTAAACTAGTTTTCCAGGTTAACTTTGGAATGCCCTTAGTCAAGAGGAGGCTTCCATTCAGATGGTTGAGGGGCTTCAAATTTTATTTTTGGTTTACATAGCTAAAAAATACTTCTTGAACTTTCAAGAATTGTGAGGGGTCTAGGATTTTACTCTACTTGCAAGCTAACAATTTAGACTATTACTGTTTCTCAGATGCTAGCAGAAGACATGAGATTCCTGGGTCAGAGACAAAGGACTTCCTTACTCATGGCAACAGCAGGTCATGTGCGTGGATATCCTGTTTTCCCTGAATCCCGCAGGGCCAATTTAAACAGTCCATGATGAATGCCCATGTGTACAGTGGTTGTGTTACAAGACAAGAACCCACACATCTTAGATGAGTCATCACTAATATGCTAAGTAGAAAGAGTCCTGCTTTTTGTCTGAGAGACATTACTTCATTATCTCTCAGGTGTGCTCTCTGCAAATACAATCCTGAGGAATGGGTCCAGATAAAGAGTGATCAGGATCTTGTATTCTTGGCATACTCAGCAAGATCATGAAGAGATATTGAGGGCCAATTGTGGCTTGCCTTTCCCAGTGAAGCTATTATCTGCCAGGCACAATGCTAGAGGCCCTAGTGGTGATTAACAAGCCAAAATGTGGTATGTTAAGAGTTATGATAAGAATCAAAACACATGGAAGGGTATAATTCTTTAAAAGGATATGTGATTTTGTATAAGGAAGTCAGAGTATGTTTCTCAGAGGAACTGATGATTTAACTGACACTTATAGATCAATAGAAATTCTGTATATGAAGAGATAGAGGAGCAGAACTAGAGGCAGTTCTAGCAGCATACAAAGTAAAACAAAGGCCAGGGGGTGAAAGGATTGGGTGCAATTGGAAACATGCAATACTCAATATATTTGGAATCAGGAGTAAGAAGGAAGAGTGGAAAGAAGGTAAAATTAAAGGTAGGAACCAAAGCCAGGTCATGGTGGGCTTTGAAATCATGCTAAGAAAAAAGAACGTTTTCTTGAGGCTAATGGAGAGCTAGGAAAATGGTTTTAGAGTGAGAAGTGTTGGGATGAAATTTGGTTTTCAGAAAAAGTTACCTTGGTTACTGTTTGGGGAACAGATTTAATCAGAACAAAGCTGAAGCTGGTTAGGTACCATTAAAGTAGAACAGAAAAAAATTTGGTAGCCAGGAAGCCAGAGTCAAGAGATCTTTAGGATTTACAAAATTGAAGGGAGAAATATACAGTTCTACAATAATAATTGAAGACTTCAATACTCCACTTTCAATAATGAACAGAACATTTAACCATAAGATCTATAAGGGCACAGAGGGCTTGAACAACACTATAAACTAACTAGACCTAACATACATACACAAAACCCTCCACCCAACAATAGAAGGATACACATTCTTCTTAAGTGCACATGGAATATTCTCCAAGATAAATCATGTGTTAGGTAGGCCACAAAGCAAATATCAATGAATTTTAAAATTGAAATTATACAAAGCATCTTCTCCAACTATAATAGAATGAAGCCAGAAATCAATGCCTGTGAAAATTGGAAAATTCACAAATATATGGAAATTAAGCAATGCATTCTTATATAACCAATGGGTCAAAAAGAAATCACAAAAGATATTAGATGATTGGAGACTAATGAAAATGAAAACCAAACTAGTATACCAAAACTTATGGGATGCATGAAAGACAGAGTTCAGAGGGAAATTTGTAGCTGTAAATGCCAACATTAAAAAGAAGGAAGATCTCACATCAGTAGCCTAACTTTATATCTTGAGGAAATGGGAGAAAAAGAGCAAATTAAATTCAAAGGTAAGATAAGGAAGAAAAGAATAAAGGTTAGATAGCAGATAAATAAAATAGAGAATACAAAAACAATAAAGAAAGTGAATTAACCCAAAAGTTTGTTCTTTGAAATGATCAACAAAATTAACAAAATTTAGCTAGACTAATAAAGAACAAAAGAGAAAAGATACAAATGACTAAAGCCATAAATAAAAGTGAAGACATTACTATTGACTATACAGAAATAAAAAGGATTTTAGGAGAATAGTATGAACAATTGTATGCAGAAAATTAGATAATCTAGGTGAAATGGACAAACTTTTAGAAATACACAAATTACCTAAACTGACTTAAAAATAAACAGAAAATCTCAACAGACCTATATAACAAGTGAAGAGATTAATTCAATAATCAAAAATGTCTCAACAAAGAAAAATCCAGGACCAGACGGCTTTACTGATAAATTCTACCAAACATTCAAAGAACTAATACCAAACCTTGAACTGTTTTTAAAAAATAGAAGAGGAGAGGAAACTTTGTAACTAATTCTATAAGGTCAGCATTACCCTGATATCAAAGTCAGATAAAAACATCACAAGAAAAAAGAAACTTCAGACCAACGTCCCTTATGAATAGAAATGCAAAAATCCTCAACAAAATCCTAGCAAACTAAATTGAATGGCACATTAAAAAAATTATACTCCACAACCAAGTGGGATTTATATCAGGAATACAAGGGTGGCTCAACATAAGAAAAGCAGTAAATGTAATACATCACATTAATAGAAAGAAGGGGGAAACCCACATAATTACCAAAATGTAATGCAGAAAAGGCATTTGACAATCCAATATCTTTTTTATGATAAAAATAACTCTCAGAAAACTAGGTAGAGGAGGGAAATTTCTCATATGCTAAAGAGCATTTACGAAAAACCCGCAGCTAACATTATACTCTATGGCAAAAAACTAAAATTCTTCATTCTAAGATCAGGAATGAGACAAGGAAGTTCACTTTCACCCTGCTGTGCAACATTGTATAGTTAAGTTTTAGCCAGAGCAATTAGACAATAAAAAAAAATAACGAAAAGGAGCAGGTAAAATATATTTATTTGCAAATGGCATTGTCTTACTTATAGAAAATTCCAAAGAATACACAAGAAAGCTAATAAATTAATTCCACAAAGTTTCAAGGTGCAATGTCAATACCAAAAATCAGTTGTGTTTCTATATACCAGCAATGAATAACTAGAAAAGGAAATTAAGAAAGCAATTTCATTTACAATAGCATCTAAGGTAATAACATACCTAGGAATAAATTAACTAAGAAGGTGAAAGACTTGTATACTGAAAATTATAAAACGTTGCTGAAAGAAATTAGGACCAAAATTAATGGAAAGACATCCCATTAAAAAGAAGACTTAATAGTATCAAGCTGTCAATACTACCCAAAAAGATCTACAAATTGAATGCAATCCCCATCAAGATTCTGATGACCTTTTTTTCTAGAAAGGGACAAGCCAATCTTTACTTCATATGGAATTTCAAGGGACCCTGAATAGCCAAAGGCACACTGAGAAATATAATGAAGTTAGAAGACTCACACTTCCCAGTTTTAAAACTTACTACCAAGCCTTAGTAATTGGTTTGAAAGGGGTCTGTTCCCACCAAAACTCATGTTGAAATTTGATCCCCAGTGTGGCAGTGTTGGGAGGTGGGGCCTAGTGGGAGGTATTTGAGTCATAGGGAGCAGATCCCTCATAAATAGATTAATGTCTTCCATCAGAGGTGAGTTCTTGCTGTCACAGGATTGGATTAGTTCCTGCTAGAGCATGCTGTTAAAAAGAGCCTGGCTTCCTTGGTTTCCCTTTCTTGATTCCTCTCTTGCCATGTTCTTTTTGCACGTACTCCGCTTCTGCTTTCTGTCATGGATGGAAGCAGTATGAAGTCCTCATCAAATGTAACTGTTTAATGTTGGCCTTTTCAGCCACCAGAATCATGAGCCAAATACACCTTTTTTTAAAGTAAGTTACCCAGCCTCAGGTATTCTGTTATAGCAACCCAAAATGAACAAGAAAGTAAGCAAAATAGTGTGGTGCTAGCATGAGGATAGACATAAGAGCACTAGAATAAAATTGAGAGTTTGAAAAAAAAGACATTTGACAAGGGTGCAAAGTCTATGTAATGTGGAAAGAATATTCTCTTTAATAGGTGGTTCAAAAGAATAAAGTTGAATCCCTAGTTCATATTACATACAAAAGTATACAAAAATTAACTCATAAGGGATCAATGGCCTAATTATGAGAGCTAAACCATAAAACTCTTACAGGAAAGAATAGACATGATCTTCAACACCTTGGATTTGGCAATAAATTTCTAGATATTACACCAAAAGCACAATTAACAAAAGGGAAAAATAGACAAATTGGGCTTCTTCAAAATTAAAAACTTTTGTGCATCAAAGAACACTGTCAACAGAGTAAAAAGGCAACTTACAGGATGGTAAAAAGAATATTTGCAAGTCATATAACTCATAAGGGTTCAATATCAAGAATAGAAAAAGAATTCTTAGAACTCAACAATAGAAAGACAACACAACTAAAAAGTAGTTAAAGGACTTGAATAAATATTTCTCCAAAGAAGATATACTCATAGTCAATAAGGATGCGATAAGATACTCAACATCACTAACCACTAGGGAAATGAAAATTAAAGAGGCACAATGAGATATCACTTCACAGATACTAGGATGGCTATAATTTTAAAAATGGAAAATAACATATGTTAGCAAGGATATGGAGAAATTGGAACTCTTGTGTGTCATTGGCATAAATATAAAATGGTGCAGCTCCTGTGAAAAACAATTTGCCAGTTCCTCAAGAAGCTAAACATAGGATTACTATATGAACCAGCAATTCCACTACTAGCAATCTCAATACCCAAAGGAATTGAAAGCAGGACTCAAACAGATACTGGAATGCCAGTGTTCATCACAGCATAGTTCATAATAGCTCAAAGTCAGAGACTACCCATGTATCCATCAACAGATGAATGGGTAAACAAAATGTGATATATACATACAAATGGAATACTATTCAGCTTTAAAATGAATGAAGTTCTTATATATGCTATACATGGTTAAGACTTGAAAACATCAGGGCCGGGCGCAGTGGCTCACATCTGTAATCCCAGCATTTTGGGAGGCCGAGGCAAGCAGATAACCTGAGGTCGGGAGTTTAAGACCAGCTTGGCCAACATGGTGAAACCCCGCCTCTACTAAAACTACAAAAATTAGCCAGGCATGGTGGTGCGGACCTGTAATCCAAGCTACTTGGGAGGCTGAGGCAGGAGAATCACTTGAACTCAGGAGGTAGAGGTTGCTGTGAGCCAAGACCATGCCATTGCATTCCAGCCTGGGCAACAAGAGCAAAACTCCATTGAAAGAGAGAAAGAAAGAAAGAGAGAGAGAGAGAGAGAGAGAAAGGGAGGGAGGGAGGAAGGAAGGGAGGGAGGGAGAGAAAACATCATACTTAGTAAAATAAGCTAGACACAAGAGCACGTATATTGTATGATTCCACTAATATGAAATACCTAAAATGGTCAAATGTATGGAGACAGAAAGTATATTAGAGATTACTAGAGGCTGAGGGGTGAAGGAAGAAGGAGTTATTGTTTATGGTTACAGAGTTTCCATTTGGAAGGATGAAAATGGTTTTGGAAATAGTGATGATGGTTGTACCATATTGCAAATGTAATTAATGCTATTGAATTGCACTTTTAAAATGGGTAAAATTAGGGGTGATTTCAGCAAGATGGTCAACTAGAAGTTCGTAGAACTCGTTGCCTTGCAACACACACAAAAACAAAACAATGAATATACAACTACATTTCAACCAAAATAACTAAAGGAGAACACTAGAGAAGAGAAAAGGAGCAACAGAAATCCTGTGAAGCACAGAAATCCAGTATGGCTACGTAGAGAAGGGAAGGAAACAGTTTGCCTCCACCAACTGGTCGCCCAGTAAGGATCAGCTCATAACCAGGAGAGACTTTCTCTCTGCAGGGAAAGGTAAGCAAGAGGACTCCTGAAACCCCCATCACCACTGTGGACATCTGCATTCTTCATTATTGGAGACTCCCACAGTCCTCACAGATTCTGATCCTAGTTAAGGGAGCTCCCCAGTGTCTACACACTGCACTACCCCAGAGAAAGAGCTGATGTTGTATCTCTCTCCTTGTGGTCTGAGCTGCTGCTGTTCTACACCGTCTTGGAATTAGGGCCACTGCCAGACTGTGTTCTGCTCCAGGGATGAGTAGCCATTGCACCTCTCCATCCCTGAGTCTTTGCTGCCACTGTACCATGCCCACATGATAGCATTACCATCTCTAAGTCAAGCTGTTACTACAACCTACCCCTGAGCTAAGCTACTGTGGAGACACTCCATCCCCCCGATTTCAGTCACTGGAGCACCCTGCCCTCAGGGTCTGAGCTAACACTCTTCCTCACTGCTCTGGGATCTCAAACCTCTGGCAGTTGCATCTCCAAGTACCATAGCTGAGGTAGTGCCCTGCTTTCTATGGACCCTAAGCTTCAGCCCTACAGAGCAGTCTTGCGCCCCCAGTGCCCAAGCCAATGCTGCACCCCACCCCTCAGAGAACTAGAGCCCCTGGCAATGTGTGTAGCCATACTCTGGAGCTGAGCTGATGTGGCACCTCATATTCCAGGGAAACTTACCCTTGGCTGAGCTGTTCTACCCCACCTTTTAGGCTCCACAGCTAAAGGCCCTGCCTCCCTAAAACTGGAGTAGTCCCCCAGAGTCCAAGCTGCTGAGGCATGCCCACTCCATGGGGAATAGAGTCATCACTGTCTACTCCCCGGTCCTCAGGGCCTAAGCCACAGCTGGGCCATTCCTGGGTCATTGCTGCTGCAACAACTGGCCTCACAGAGCCTGGGTTACTGTCATGCCTCACATTCTCAGAATCCAGAGTCACTACTGTGTGGTATCTCATCCCTCAGGGCCCAAGTTGTCACTGTTTCCTATTGGTTCTGGGACCTGAACTGCAGTTGTGCCTTGCTCCCCAGGGCCAAACCCTCAGAGTACCCCTTCTTCCCAGAGCCAAGTCAGTACTATGCCCTGACCACCAGGACCACAGTCATAGCTACAACCTAGCTCCATGGGCCTCAGCTGCTAGGATATGCCTCAGAGCAACAGACCCCAGCTTTATTAGAGAACTAAAGCCACTTGTGCCTCAGAGAGTGAACTGAACCTCAAGTCCCAGGTCCTATAGTAGTTTTGCAAGACCCTGAGCCCAGCCCAGGACTCTGGCTCTACAGACACTCAGAGCACCTGGGCCCTGGATCCCAGCACCATTACCTGTGGGCCATGTCAGGCTTGAAACGAAGAGAGATTCCTTCAGCTAAGACACTTCAGCTAAGTGGTGGAGAAGAAAAGTACAGGAGAATCTCTAAAGCTCTTGCCACCAAGAATCCTAATAACATATGCTGCCACCACTGTTGCCACAAAATCTTGCAGCCTAGACCACTGAGGCACCCACAGTCATTGCTGATGTTCATCACAGGTAAAGAAGCTACATGGAGAATTACATAACTACACCCACCTGGGACCAGACCCATCACGCCCTGCCCAATTGTCTCCCTCAAGCCCATCTGTGGGTGAAAATCTTTCCCAACAAAAGCCACTGTGTAAAGTTTGAGAGAGGTGACTGCTCCACCAGATGCACAAACGTCAATGCAGGATACAAGAAACACAAAAAACGAAGGAAATATGATACCATCAAAGGAACACAACAATTCTTCAGTAACTGACTCCAAGAAAATGAAAATTTACCAACTGCCTAAAAAAGAATTCAAAATAATGATTTAAAGGAAATCCAGGAAGATACAAAAGAATACAGATAGATAATTCAATGAAATCAGGAAAACAGTTTATGATCTGAATGAGAAATTCAATAAAGAGATAGATATCATTTTTTTTAAAACCACACATAAATCTTAGAATTAAAGAATTTGATCAATGAAATGAAAAATACAATCAAGAGCTTCAACAGCAGACTAGATCAAGCAGAAGAAAGATTCTGTGAACTTGAAGATAGGCTGTTTGAAATGAATCAATCAGAGGAAAAAAATGAAAGTGAAAAAGAATGAAGAAAGCCTGTTGGACTTATGTAACACTACTAAGCAAACAAATGCTTGCAACATGGAATTTTCAAGAAAAGAGACAAAACAGGGACAGAAAGCTTATTTAATGAAATAATTGCTGAAAATTACCCATGTCTTGAGAAAGATATTAATGTCTAGATTCATGAAGCTTAAAGTTATCCAAACAGAACCAAAGAGGTCCTCTCTGGGGTACATTATAATCAAGCTGTCAAAAGTAAATGATGGCAGCTGCAGCGTGTCTTGAGCCAGGGCCGCTAAGAGACCAGCTGCAGTGGGGGAGGTGCGGCTCGGGCTGCATGCTCATGGAGCTGGTGGGGGCTGGTAACAGGTGGGAGCCCTGCCCCCTTCTGAGTTGTTGGGGCAAGAGTCCTGCAGCCACCCAACCACAGCTACCAACCCAGCCTAGGAAGCCCCTCTGTCCCTGCAGGCTTGGAAGTGCCTGCTCCCAGTGCCCACTCTGGGGTGGAGCAAAGTCGTGGTCGAGCCCAGGGCTGTTGTGACCTGTTCAGGTGTGCATGTGCTTGGGGTGGTGCTGACATGTTAGCCCCCTGCCGCCTTGGCCTCCTCCAAACTTTGGGCCCTGACCAGCACAAGTGGGAGGCCAAGGAGGTGCTGACGGCAGCTCAGGCATGGGCCTGCAGGTGCCCTTCAGCACAAACAGCATGGGCACCATGGACAACATGATTGGTGGCAGGAGGCATACAGGCTTCTGGGCAGAAAGGGGCTGTTCCCTGGTGAAGCCCCTCCTTCAAATCCCAGATGGCCTGAAGCATGGGGGCCAGGCTATCAGTTCCAGGTAGAGTCTGTGGACTGGAATGAGAACTTACGGCGCTTTTTCCAGGCCTGCCCGTGGCTGCCCATGGACCAGTCAGCAGGCATTTCTTCCCTTCTGAGCCCATAAAAACCCCAGACACACTCAAACTTGAACAGACATCAGGATGACCTGCCTATGGAAAGTAGCTACCCACTGTGGGTCTCCTCTCTACTGAGAGCTAGATATTCATGTGCATGACCTGCCTGCAGAAAGGAGCTACCCACTTTAGGTCTCTTGAGAGCTGTTCTGTCATTCAGTGAAGCTAGTCTTCACCTTGCTTACCTGCCAGTTGTCCACATACCTCATTTTTCCTGGATGTGGGACAAGAACTTGGACCCACTGAATGGCAGGACTGAAAGTGCTGTAACACAAACAGGGCTGAAACATGCCCCTCTGCTTGCCACATTCCGGATGACAAGAAGGAGAGAAGAGCTGTGGCCCTTCGGGGAGCTCAGACCTAGGGGCTCCCAGAGCCAGGGCTGTGGCACCCTCTTTGGGTCTGTGTGGTTCCTGGCATCTCCAAGCTTCTGGGCACCACCATGTCCCTCTCGTCCAGATGTGGGCACCCACAGCAGAAGCCACATGTGGTACATCTGGTCCAGCTGCAGCCTTGCAGGGAGCCAGCACCTGTGCTGGCACCTGGAGCTGCCTGTGCTGCCAAAGCAGCCAGCATGCCTGGCTGTGCACAATGACCAGATCCTGCACTTGCTCACCCACACACCCCTCACCACTCTGCGCCTGGCTCGCCCTTGGCAGGTATAGGTTACAGGCTGGTAGCATAAGCTGAGCACAGCCTGCTGGGCTGAGTGGGCAGAACGAGCCCAGCAGACACAAGCAATACTCAGGCAGAGGACACTGCTGACCACAGAGGTTTCTGGCTGGTGAAGTGACACCCCAAGGACATAGAGAATTTAAAAGGTAGCAAGAGAAAAGCATCGTGCCATGTATAACAGCATTCTCATTAGACTATTAGTGGATTTCTCAGCAAAAACCTTGTAAGCCAAGAAAGAAAGGGGTAATATATTTAAAGTACCAAAAGAAAAAACCAAGCTAGCCATAAATACTAAATCTAGCAAAGCTGTCCTTAAGAAATGAAGGAGAAATAAAGTCTTTCACAGACAATGAAAAGCTGAGGGAACTCATCACCACTATCCCTGCCTTATGACAAATGCTTAAAGGAGTTCTTCAAGCAGAAAAAAAAGGACAATAATTGCTATAATGAATACCTAGAAAAGTATAAAACTAGTGAGGAGTAGTAGTATAAAACTCACTAGTACTTTTATTCTTTCATATGTATGAGTACAGGCAAACACATACTCAAATTCAGAATACTCCAACACTATAATGGTGCTATGTGAATCATTCATATCTCTAGTATGAAGGTTAAAAGTCAAAACAGTCAAAAATAACGAAAGCTACCATAAGTGGTTAAGGAATACAAAATATAAAAATATGTAAGTTGTGAAATCAAAAACATAAATTGTGTGGGGTAGGGTAAAAGTCTAGAGTTTTTATATGTGACAGAATTTAAGTTGTTGTCTGTTTAAAATAGTCAATTCTAACTATAAGAAGTTTTATGCAAGCCTCATGGTAACCACAAAGCCAAAACCTATAACTGGTATACAAACAATAAAGAGAAAGAATCAAAGCTTAGCATTACAGAAAATCCTCAAATCACAAAGATAGACAAAAAAAGCAAAGGATCCACAGGACAACCAGAAATCAAATAACAAAATGGCAGTAGTAAGGTTTTACTTGTAAATAATAACCTTAAATGTAAGTTGATTAAATACTCCAACCAAAAGACATAGAGTGGCTTTGTGAATTAAAAAAATAAGATCCAACTATATGCTTCCTACGACAGACCCAGTTTAGGTTTAAGGACAAACATAGACTGAAAGTAAGAGGATAGAAGAAGATATTCCATGCAAATGGTAACCAAAAGAGAGCAGGGGTGGCTGAAACTTATATCTAATTAAATATACTTCAAATCAAAATCTGTCACAAGAGACAAAAAAAGTCATTATTTAATGATAAGGGGATCAATTCATCAAGAGGACATAACAATTATCAATATATATGCACCCAACATCAGAGTACCTAAACACATAAAGCAAATATTAATGGACATGAAGAAAGAAATACACAGCAATACAATAATAGTAGACCATTTTGATACCTCATTTTCAACCATGAATAGATCAACTACACAGAAAATTAATAGGGAAATACTGGACTTGAATTTCACTTTAGACCATACAGCCCTAACAGACATATACAGAACATTCCATGCAACAGCAGCAGAATACACATTTTTCTCAAGTACACATGGAATATTCTCCAGGATACACTGTATGTTAGGCCACAAAACAACCCTTAACAAATTTTAAAAAACTAAAATCATATCGAAGATTGTTTCAGACCAAAATGGTGTGAAACCAGGAATCAATAACAGAAGATATCTTGAAAAACTCACACATATGTGGAAATTAAACAACATGCTCCTAAGCAATCAATGAGTAAAAGGAGAAATTAAAAGGGAAACTGTAAATACCTTGAGACCAATGACAATGGAAATGAAACATACTAAAACCTATGGGATGCAGCAGCAGCAGTTCTGAGAGGAAAGTGTACAGCAATAAGTACCTACATTAAAAAGGAAAAAAGATCCCAAATAAATAGTCTAAAAATATTCTTCAAGAACTAGAAAAAGAAGAACAAACTAAGCCCAAAGTTAGCAGAAGGAAGGAAACAATAAAGATCAGAATAGAAATAAATGAAATGGAGAACAGAAAAACCATAGAAAAAAATTGGTAAAACTGAGTTGGTTTTTTAAAAAGTAAACAAAATTTAAAAACACTTACTAGTCTAGCTAGCAAAAAAGAGAGAAAAGACTCAAATAAAATAAAAAATGATATTGAAGATATTACACGGATGCCTCAAAAATTAAAAGAATCACACAGGACTATTATGAACAATTATATGCCAAACAAATTGGATGACTTAAGAGTTGGATTAACTCCTAGAAAAGTAAAGCCTACCACAGTTAAATCAGAAAGAAATAGAAAGCTTGAACAGAATAATAACAAAGAGATTGAAGAAATAATCAAAACCCTCCCCCAAATTAAGAGCCCAAGACCAGATGCCTTCGCAGCTGAATTCTACCAAACATTCAAAGAGGAACTAATACCAATACTTCCTAAACTCTTCCAAAAAATAGGGCTACAGGAAATACTCCCAAACATACTTTATGAGGCAAGCATCATCTTGATACCTAATCCAGACAAAGACATCACAAGAAAAGAAAACTATAGGTCAATTTCTCTGATGAGAATTAATGCAAAAAATTCTCAATTAAATATTATCAAACCGAATTCAACAACACACCAAAAAGACTGTACATCATGACCAAGTGAGATTTATTTCTGGCATATAACACTGATTTAACATATGCAAATCAATCAATATAATATACTACATTAACAGAATGAAATAGTAAAAACCATCTGATCCTCTGAATTGACAAGGAAAAAGCATTTAACGAAGTCCAACATCCTTTGTTGATAAAAAACTCTCAACAGCTTAGATTTAGAAGGAAAGTTTCTCACACATAATAAAGATTTTGTATGCAAACCCCACAGCTAACAACATAATCAACAGAGAAAAACTGAAAGCTTTTCCACCAAGGTCCAGTACAAGGCAAGGATGACAACTCTCCACTTCTAGTCAGCATAGTACTGGAAGTTAGCAAGAGCAATCAAACACGCACACACAAAAGAAATAAAAGGCAATTAGAAAGGAAAGAAAAAGTATCTCTATTTTGCAGATTGTACAATCCTATATGTATAAAATCCCAAAGATTCCACAGGGAAAAAAAACAGTTAGAACTAATAAGTGAATTCAGTAAAGTTGCAGGATTCAAAATCAACATACAAAAATCAGTAGTGTTTTTACTCACAGAATAATAACCTAGCTGAAAGAAAAATCAAGAAAACAGTCCCATTTACAGTAGCATCAAAAGAAAATAAAGCACTTAGAAATTTAACCAAGGAGGTAAAAGATCTAGACACTAAAAACTGTAAAACATTGATGAAAGAAGTTGAGGAAGAATAAATACAAAGATATCCCATGCCCATGAATACAATAATTAATGTTTTTAAATTGTCTGTTAACCAAAGCAATATACAGATTCAATGCAATCCCTATCAAAATCCCAATAACATTTGTCACAGAAATTTTTTTTAAAGTTCAGAAATTCATATGGAACGACAAAGCATCCTGAATAATCAAAACAATTCTGACAAATAGTTGAAGGTATCACACTTTCTGATCTTAAATTATATTGCAAAGCTATAATAATCAAACTCATACTGTATTGGAATAAACCCATACCATATTGGAATAACAGGCCATAGACCAGTGAAACAGAATAGGGTGCACAGAAGTAAATCCAAACATGTATGGTCAATTAAGTTTTGACCAAGGCACCAAGAGGACACAATGGAGAAAGGATAGTCTCTCTAATAAATGGGGCTAGGAAAACTGAATTTCTACATATAAAAGAATGAAATTGGACTGTTATCTTACATCATGCACAAAAAGCAACTCAAAATGGATAAGATACCTAAATTTAAGACCTGAAACTATAGAACTCCTAGAAGACACTAGAGGGGAAAAGTGCCTGAACATTAGCCTTGACAATGATTTTTTTCCCCTAATTACACCAAAAGCTCAAGCTACAAATGTAAAGATAAGTAAATGGAGCTACATCAAAATAAAAATCTTCTGCAAAGCAAAGGAAATTATCAACAAAATGAAATAGCCTATGAATTGGGAAAAAAAATTGTATACCCTGTATCTGATAAGGGGTTATCATCCACAACTTATAAGAACCCCTACAATTCAATAGCAGAAAAACAAATAACTCAATAAAAAATGAACAAAGAACCTGAATAGACATTTCTCCAAAGAAGATATGAAAAACGGCCAACAAATTTGTAAGAAGGTGTTAAACGCAGTTAATCATCAGGAAACACGAGTCAAAATCACAATGAGATACGACCTCACACCCATTATGATGGCTATTATTTAAAAGTCAAAAGATAACGAATGTTAGGAAGTATGTGAAGAAAAAGGGAAGGCTTGCATAGTGCTGGTGGAAATGTAGTTTGGTGCAGCCATTATAAAAACCAATATGAAAGTTTCCAAAAAAATTAAAAATAGGACTACCATGTGGCCCAGCAACCCCCTTTCTGGGCATATACCCAAAGGAAATAAAGTCACCATTTCATAAAGGTATGTGCACGCCCGTGTTTACTGCAGCACTACCCACAATAGCCAAGATATGGAAACAACCTGTGTGTCTGTAGAGATACAAATAGTTAAGAAACTGTGCTACATACATATAGATAAAGACATATTATTTTGCCTTTAAAAAAGGAGATCCTGCCATTTGTCACAACATGCAGAAACCTGGAAGTTTGTGCTAAGTGAAATAAGCTAGACACACACACAAAAATACATGATCTCATTTACATGTGGAATTTTTTAAAGAGTCATATATACAGAGATAGGGAATAAGACACTGCTTACCAGGGGTGGGGCTAGGGAGGTAGAAAGGAAATGGGGAGATGTAGGTCAGAGGACACAAAGTAACAGACATGTAGGATGAACAAGTCTAGAGATCAAATGTACGTGAAGATTACAGATAATAAAATTGTACTGTATTTGTGATTCCTGCTAAATGAGTAGACTTTAGCTATTCTTGCCACAAAAACTAACAAAAGTGTAACTGTGTGAGATGACGAATATGTTAATCTGCTTCTTTATAGTGACCATTTTACTATCTACATGTATCCCACAATATATTTACATCTTAAGTATAAATGATTAAATTTATTTTCTTAAAAATGGTCAACAGGCAAATTTTGTTATATATGTATTCCTGATCCAAAAAATATAACATGTAATACATCAAATACCATTGAATCGTGCACTTTACATGGGTAAATTGTATGGATGTGAATTATAACTCAATAAAGCTGTTTTAAAAAAGAGATTTAGGACAGTGTTCTTTAATCCCCAGGCCACAGACCGGTACTGATCCCTGGCCTGTTAGGAACTGGCCCGCACAGCAGGAGATGAGCGGTGGGCGAGCAAGCATTACTGCCTGAGCTCAGCCTCCTGTCAGAGCAGCGGAAGCATTAGATTCTCATAGGAGTGTGAACTCTACTGGGAACTGCGCATGCGAGGGATCTAGGTTGCGCACTCCTTATGAGAATGTAACTCCTGATGATTCGACACGGAACAGTTTTATCCTGAAACCATCCCCCAAAACCCTTGCACGTGGAAAAATTGTCTTCCACGAAACCGGTCCCTGCTGCCAAAAAAGGTTGGGGACTGCTGATTTAGGGGATAGTGTCAGTAGGAAATTGTAACTGACTATATATGAAGGATGTAGTGAACATTTGTCACTTTATGGCTACTTGGCAGAGGAACCTCTTCCTATTTTGGGTTATAGAGCCTGTCTCCAATCAGAGAAGTTGAAGATCTTCTATTAATTTTCCCAGACTCTTGGTAGCCAGGGTCCTGGCATATGACGTAGGTCCTGCCAATCAGACATACTTAACTCCTCCTTAGCTCCCCACCTTCAACTCTTTGTTGTTGTTGTTGTTGTTGTTGTTGTTGTTGTTGTTGTTGTTGAGGCAGAGTCTTGCTCTGTCGCCCAGGCTGGAGTGCAGTGGCGCCATCTCGACTCACTGCAAGCTCCGCCACCCGGATTCACGCCATTCTCCTGCCTCAGCCTCCGGAGTAGCTGAAACTAAAGGTGCCCGCCACCACGCCCGGCTAATTTTTTGTATTTTTAGTAGAGACGAGGTTTCACCGTGTTAGCCGGGATGGTCTCTATCACCTGACCTCGCGATCCGCCCGCCTTCGGCCTCCCAAAGTGCTGGGATTACAGGCGTGAGCCACCGCGCCCGGCCCCACCTTCAAATCTTAATCAGAAAATGGTAATGTGAAGAAATGGAGATCATGCAGGCTCTTTCCCTGGGGCAGTGCCTGTGAAGGTGGCTGTATCCTGTTTGCAGGAGCTTTCTTTCTGGTAGCAGCATTGGAGGAGTGTGCCATGCAGATGCAGTTTCTCTGTCCTACAGCAGAGACAGCAGTGCCTGCGGGAGATCAATTCTGCAGTTTGATTTGGGGCATAGCTTCCGGCTTTTTAGCCTTCAAACCTGACTTGCCACAGATTCTGTGAGTTGCCTGGAGTTTTTTGGGTTTTTTTGTTTAGTAAATTACTGTTCTGCTCATATTAGCCAAAATCGGTCTGTGTTGCTTGCAACAAAGTACCCTGAATGCTGTAAAAAATTGCTCCCAGATTCTCAGCAAGTTGAGTGAACTATGGGATGTACAAGATGTAACTGAAGGAAGTAAAAATCCAGCTAGTATTAAAGGGAAGAGTTCTGATAGTACCTGGCATGCATAGATGAAATGTTAATTAGATTATAAGCTGTAGGCACATGGAATAAACTGTTCACTGAAAGTCTCAGTAAGGGACCCTGGTTGACCACTGTCACAGAATAGAATGGTAGTCATGAAGACCATGTGGCAAAATCATAGTCCTCACTTCACCAAGGCAGACCTTTCTTCCTACACTCCTCAGTTTCAGGCGCAGGCAGATGTCTCTAAAACTGATTCAGTGCCAAACGGAGCCATCATCCAGCCTCTAGAGGCAGGTGGACTCGGTCAGGCTTCATGAGGACCATGATGAAATGGCACTCAAGTTCCATTTCAACCTCCTTTGAGTGGCCTTTTATGTACCATAGAATTTGAATTCCACATTTACTAGTCTCTCTTGCAACTGGTATTCTGGATGCAAATTAAGATAAAATTTGATGGTGAAAGAGAGGTGAGGCACACTTCCTGTTGAGTTAGCAATTGCTGCAGGCAGGCAAGGTCATAGAGATGTTGGAGTTTTCTGACCAGCAGCTCCAGGGGCCTGATGATTGTATTATTGTATAAGTCAGTTGCAGCAAGCGTTTTTATCACAATTCTCACAACTCTGGGTTCTGATCATTTAGAGGACTGAATATCCAAGGAGGGTGATGCTTCCACTACTTGACATAGCAAATACTTGCTATGCCTAGTGGGGGCAGTGGAGAGAGAGAGAAAGAAAGAGAAAACACACAATTCAGTTATTAGGTACTTTGGGGGAATGCAAAAGAAAACCAGGGAAAGCACAGGGGTGCCTGGAATCATAGAAGACGGCTCATACGGATACTGTTATGTCACCTACAGGCAGCCTTGCCATGGTCCTTGGGCATGTTCATGCTGACCTCCACATTCCCTAGGAAACCCTTTAGAGAAGTGTTTGGCAAACTACAGGCCTATGGCCCAAATCTAAACTGCCACCTATTCTTAATTTTTTTTTTAATTGCGATAGCTTTAAGAGTACAAGCGATTTTTGGTTGTACATGGATGAATTGTATAGTGGTGAAGTCTAGGTGCACTTGATTTTTTTCGAAAATTATTCGTATCCTTTTACTATTTTCCTATTGGATGTTGATTTTCTTGTAAATTTATAAGAGTGCTTAACATATTAAGAATGTTAAACCTTTTTCTAGAATAAAAATGTGAACTATTTTCTCAAATTTTTTGTCTTTTAATTTTAAGGTGTCTTTTATCAAACAAAAGCTGCTTCACGGTTAATTAAATATATTTATCTTTTCTTTTGTAACTTCTGGGTTTCATGTAGACCTGTTCTCCCATATTTTGGTTTTGTACTTTTATGTGTAATTTAACACTTAAATCTTTAATATTACGGGAATATTTTTATGCTTGGAATGAGATGAAGGTCTAGCCAATGATTCCAACATGATGTATTTTCCCTTGGTTAGTAGACACTTAGCATCCATTTTTTTCTACTCCCATGCAATCTGATATCTACTTGGGGAGGCTTGAAAGCTGAAGAAACATGTCTTAGACTTCATGAAGCTGAGGTTCTGGAAGCATATTATGTTCCATTGTTTAGAAGCACTCATGAGAGCCTGTGTTGTGCAGACTGGTCTCAATCTCCTGGTCTCCAGTGATCCTCATGCCTCAGCCTCCCAAAGTGCTTCTATTATACGCATGAGTCACTGTGTCTGGCCTGAGAATCAACTTTTTAAGTTTCTCAAAATATCCATTAGAATTTTGATTAAGAGAGATTATACTCATTGGTTAATTTGGGGGTAATCATCATCTTTATAATACTCTTAATCAGAAATATATTCAATTTTTTTACTTGTTTGGCTTCTGTTAGTCATTATTCAATGTTTAATAGTTTTCTTTATGTAGACTAGCTTGTACCTTTTTGTTAGATGTAGTATTAATTATTTGATAGTTTTTCTTATTGTGAATAAGACACTTTTCCCAAGTATATTTTAAATATATTTAAATATAATATTTTTCAACTAAAATACTAAGAGCTAACATTTATTAAACACTGCCTAGGCACCAGATATGTTATTTATGTTATGCTTCACATGTTATTCAGTCACAAATGAAAATATTGTTCACAAAATACTCATCTAACAATGACTTAAACAAATCGAGGTTTGTGTTTCTCATGTTCAAGAAGCCCAGGAGTAGGTAAACAGGTGCTGATATTGACGCTTCCCTCATGGTCAAATGGGTGCTATAGTTCTAGCATCATGTCCATTTTTAAGGCAGGAGAAAAGGAAAATAGGGGCACCTGCAACTTCTTATTATGCCCGTTTGGCCAGAATGATGTCAGTTAGCCACCCCTGCCATCAAGGAAGTCTGAAAGTATTTGATACTTGCAAATCCCAGAGTAAATAAAGACTGGATGAATAAGCTTGTAAGTAGATCTTGTGTGAGTCAAACTGCAGCAATGCTCATTCATAATATCCTCACCATAACCTTCAGAGGGCAGCATGACTACAATCCCAAGTGTGCAGAGGAGGAAACTGAAACATAATGAGTCTCAGCAATTTGCCGATAGTCACAGCAATAAATGTAGAATGTGTGCTTTTAGCCATTCTATTACAAATGATTCCCATATGCAGGAAAATTTTGTTTTTAAATATTAACATCTTGTCCAGCTACATTACTGAATTCTTCTATTTTTGCATAAGCTTTAGTTTTGCTACATAAGTAAATGAACATATGGAATTATAACTTCCTTGTAATACTGATAATTCTTTTTTTTCCTGTCTCATTGCAATGGCTAAGACCTTCAAAATGATGTCAAATAATAATGAGTTTCCTGTTTATTTTCCTACTTAAATAGGAAGGACTTTATTGTTTCACCATTAAATGATTAAATTTACACTGAAAAAGAATGCTTTTCAGATATTCAGTAGTAAAGATAAATATTTTTCAGTAACAAGAAAGTTTTCTTTCCTAGTCTGCAGTTCAAAATGTTTTCCTTTTATCACATCAAAATAGCTATACTTCTGACTACTCTCCAGCTACTTTAGCAATATATATCATACTCCAAAAGAGTACTAGAAAAGACCTCCCTAAGACCTTCTCACACTAATGCTTTACAAATCAACCTCCCATTTCTTTTCAGCTCTGCCTTTGCACAGCAGAATTAAGATCTGGCAAAAAAAAACCTAAACAACTTCACTGGAATATATAGGTTCTTATGTGTCAGCAACAGTTTTCATAATACTGCAAAAGATAAGAAAATGGACAATTTCTCTGCAAGACTGAGAGTCATCTTTCTCTGCTACTTTTCGTGAGGGACATGTTTTCAGGAAACCTATTTTTGGGACTATTGCTGCACTTTGAATCTTTGACAGGTTCCGAAAGAAATTGGCTGGGCCTGAGTTTCCCAGAAACCGGAGCCTGAATCAAATCTCCTGTGCTAAGCCTTTCTTGGGAGGTACAATTCTAGAACTGCAAGAGTAGGAGGAAAAGAAGAGGAGACAGAGAAATAGGGGAAGTACATTTATAAGGACAAGGTACACTACCAGGTTGACTACAGTGCCCCAAGACAGCACAGACTGTGGCTGGGATTTGGGACATCATGCCACTAAACATTGTAGAGAGGAGGTATTTATCTACTGGTTCCATCCCATCTCCTGTCACTCATGGCTCAGAACTAACCTGACAGTGTGCCAACTACCCTACATCATGGGGTTGTGTCACCTGCCCCGGTAGCCCCTGGGAAAGACAGGTTCCTGGCCCTCTGTGCTTGTGTGAGTTCCTAAGTGATGGGAGGTGCCCATCTGTAAGTTCTGTCCATCTTACTTGCAGCAGCAGGAAAGCATTGGGAACCCAGGAAGACCCAAGTTAGCTGCTGGTGGTAGAAGAGGGAAAGGCGTCCAAGACAAAGCCTGTCCAGTAGCAAGCAAGAGAGGCTTGGGACAGGTGAGGCAAAGGGGATCCAGGAAGGAGACACACTGGGACTTGCAGAGAGGTCATTTTTACAAAGGAAAGTGGTGTTTTACTTATGCATTAGGGGGAAAGTCTTGTGTGGCCTGGGTCATTGAGCAGCACAAGTCCTGCACTGGGAACCATCCCAGACAGCCAGGAGCAGGAACAGAAGCAAAAGGAACTCTGGAGCAGCATAGCCCAAGTACAGACACTCCCTGAAGGCCAAAGTCACGTCGGCTTCCACTGTGGTTAAACTGTTCAAGTCAAATTCCACTTGCTTCTAGTCTCCAGCTGGCTTTCTCTCGTGGGATGAATACACACCCTTTGTAATAGCACAGGAGAGCATGTGCCAGTGCATCCCTAAGCTCAGGCTCTGTTCCCGTGACACCTTTCCCCTCTCCACGGAATGGTAGAAGGATGAAACATCTTAATATATGTGATGCGCCCAAGACGGTGTGTGCATGCTGTGGTGTTTGAGCAGTATTTGTTATTATTCTTACTGTGTAGAGGAACTGAAGCATATATAGCATATGTAAAGTACTATTGTGCTGTTTCTCAGATGAAGAAACTGAGGCATCAAGGTTTCACGTGACTTACCCATGGCCACCCAGCTCTAGAGTCCAGGCTTTGAACCATTTCCCTACACTAATTCTTAATGTGTGACATTTGGGGGAAAAAAAGCATTTAAAACAATGTGTTTTAAATGCTTGAATAACGTACTGCCTGAATAACGTACTGGTTGGTTTTGCTACTCCAGGTCCCCTAGGCCTGGGCCTGGTCTACATTTCCACACTGCTCTCCCATGCCGACTTTGCAAAACCTGGGTTTCCATCAAGCTCTCTGCCAGGACTTGTCACTCCCCAAGGTTCCCTTGGTCACCAACCACACTGGCTTTGCTAGGCCTGGCTTTATGTGGTACTCTTTTGAGGCATGATTCCTGCCTGTAGAATACCCATACATCTTTAAGACTTTGGTCATAATCCCAGCACTTGGGAGGCTGAGGTAGGAGGATCACTTGAGGCCAGGAGTTTGAGACTAGCCTGAGCAACATAGTGAGATCCTGCCTCTACAAAATGTTTTTTAATTAGCCTGGTGTGTTGGCATGCACCTGTAGTGCTAGCTGCTTGGGAGGCTGAGGCAGGAGGATTGCTTGAGCTCAGGAGGTCAAGGCTGCAGTGAGCTATGATCATGCCACTGCACTCCAGCCTGGGCAACAGAGCAAGACCCTGTACCAAACATTTTTTTTAATAAAAAAGAAAAACTTTGATTAAATTATACCCTCTTTCAGGAAGTACTTCTGCCTCTGCTTCAATGGAATGTGGGTCTCCTCTCCTTCAAGCCCCTCTTGGTACACAGTCTGGTCTTTCCAGTGACAGTTACCACACCGCGACAGTATTCGAGTTATGCTTTTAACCCACCATCCTCATCTTCCCATTAACCTCTAAGGGCCTGGCTTAGTTTCTGGCCCCTGCTAAGTAGTCAGTAAACATGTACCTTAAGTGAGGGAGTGAGTGAATGAGCGCCAAGTCTACAGCAGGCATGGGACATCACTCAACTGTTCAAGGGATGCCTGGCACCCAGCAGGTGCTCCATAAATGGAAGAATGAATGAATTCTAATCCCCATCCACCTCTGTTATTCTTTCTTGTAGATGTACATGCTCACTTGTTCATCTGAATTGAATAGGATCCTGGCAGCGTAACAAGATTTATTATGTATATGTAATTAATATGGACACGCACACACATACGCATGCACAGGCACAAGTATTTGGTTGATGATACTATTTTTCTGATGTATGTTGATTCTTTTTTGGGTTAATAATAATAGCTAACACTTGCTAATATATCAGGCACTTTCCTAATCAGTTAATAGGTACTAATTTTATCCTCAGAACAAGTTGAGATTGATACTATAATTATAAATGGTTGTCAAAAGGTGAAAGTGAGGCACACAGCAGACGAGAAAAGTAAGTTGCCCACAGCCACAGAGTTCCTGAGTGGCTGTGGGCAAGCTGGGATGTGGACACGGGCCTCTGTATCTGGGTCTTCAGCACTGGGCTCTACTGCCTGCAATTCCTGGTGACTGCCCGAGAGCTGGCTCTTTTATCATCCTGCCAGTATGCGGACTCACAAAATCCTCCACAGACCTACATGCACCGCCTGAGAGCAGCATCACACAGCAGCAGCTGAAAACACAATGGCACCTGAATCTTGAGCACTTCTGAAAGTTTCTCAGAAGACCAGAAATGCGGTCAAGCACCCAATTTCCGGACTTCTTAAGTGCATTTACCAAACGGAGAGCATTCACTTTAATCTCTTGCTGAAACAAACGACTCCAGAAGACAACTTTTGTCTCTGGAGTGACAAAAGTTGGTGGGCAACTCAACAAGGTAATTTTCTCTTGTCCATGTTACAATTAGGCCAAGGGAAGGTTATGAATGAGCCAGTGCTTGCCATAGCTGCTTTGCTGCAAATGCCACATTTGCAGTTTTTCTTTTCTGCAATATATGCTGGTGGCATGTTAGTCAACCCATGCTAATGAGAGAAGGAACGTGGCCAACCATCTGGTTGGCTCCCTCGGGTTTCAGATGAAGGAATGGACATTCAGAGAGGTGAAATGATCCCCTTGGTGAGTATGGGGTACAGAATGCACCAGAATTTCAGCTTCTGAGTTGCAGCTGTGTAGCTCTTTCCAGTAAACTATCCTGTGCATGACTTCACAGAAATGTTTAGATAAGCTTTACTTCGTTGATTTGAACTGGATTGCAATGTGGACCTGTCTTGTCTTATTCTTCATGAAATGATTTTTGTTAGAACATATTTCACAATTTTCTATTTCATATACTCATAGCCCTGCTAGCTGTGTTCCAGTTGCTGGCTGAGTGCTGCCACAATGCTTGCTCCATCGCCAAGATTTTGCAATGAACACGATTAGCTGCTCCCACAGTCTTGACCATTTTTAGTGTATTCTCCTTTTTCCTACCCACCTTTTTTTGTTAATGTCCCTTATTTTGGCACTCTTACTCACATATACCATTTAATCTGAATGAATAAAAATGCTTACTGAAATGTGTGCCATCTGTGGTGGCTGAATTTAAAGACATGTTTCAGTTTTTGTAATAGTGTACTTGCAACATTTTCTCTTCTTTGCAAAATCACCTCTTTCTGGTCTTTTCCTGGGTCCTTTGGAAATGCTTTCAAATGTATTCAGACCATCAGCTGATTTTGTCTGGGGAAATCATGTCGTTGGTGTAGAGATCTAATTTCTTTCTTAGCTTGAGCAAGAGCTGCTTAATAGGAAACATTTTGGCTTCCCATACTTTAAAGCCATCGCTTCTACAGGGAATGTTATGTGACCATCTTCTATTACCCAATTTCCCACAAAAGCTAGTTTTTGAAAAAGAAGGCCAAGCATGCTAATAGAACTCCTGCTAATGGAGCCACATGGCAAAGTTAGGGGACCGAGAGGCAGAGGCTGGAAGACAGTTGAAATCTTAAAAACTATAACGTCTAGGTTGTGGCTGGGATAGGTAGGTGGCAAGAGCAAAGAGAAAAGTGGATGTTTGGGGGAATGAAGGAATCCCAGGAAGTAATGATCTGAATGACTGGAGAAAGGCCAAAGGAAAAAACTAAGAATAATAGAGTAAATCAAGATAACTAAATTTAAAAAGAAAAAAGGTCAACAAAGGTAGAAAAACTACAAGAAAAGGCAAAGCGGAAGAGGAAGACAGAGGTGAAAGATTAAAAATGGCATGAATAGCAGAAATAAAAGTGCATGAGTGGTGGAAAGAAATATCATTCCAGGAAGTTTCTGCCTCAACAGTCAATGACTCATTGCATCAAAGCCAAAATCCCAGCAAAAAGCACACACTGATGGGCGTGGGGAGGAGAACCTCACTAAGGCTACCATGCTAGCTCACATCTTAAAGCCTCCACTTGAAAACAAAACAGGTCTGGTGCTGTGACTCACACCTGTAATTCCAGCACTTTGGGAGGCCAAGGTGGGAGGATTGCTTGAGCCCAGGAGTTTGAGACCAGCCTGGGCAACATAGAGAGACACTGACTCTAACAAAAAAAAAATTAAAAAATTAGCCAGGCATGGTAGTGTGCACCTGTAATCCCAGCTACTTGGAAGGCTGAGGTTGGAGGTTTGCTTGAGCCTGGGGGGGTCAAGGCTGCAGTGAGCCGTGATCACTCCACTGCCCTCCAGTGTGGGCAAGAGAGCAAGACCCTGTCTCAAAAACAAAAACAACAACAACAACAACAACAACAACAAAAACGGTATGCTATGGATTCCCAGAAACTGAACTTCTGTTCCTGGAGTTTAATAAAAAGACACAAGGTGGTCCATAAACATACTACAGTGGAAAGAAAATGGTCCTGGCACACAGGAGCCCTGATGCAGGCTGCCGGCCACCAGACCAGACAGGAGGTCACCAAAGGGCTTTTAGTTATCGAAGTTTTTTCTACAAAGAAATCCATAAGTCCAATGCACAAAACAGATAGGGTAGAGCTGCCCAATTTGGTTGCCAGGTAGGCAGCCTGCTTTTTAGCCACTGAGTCCCCCGTCTCCACCCCCTGTTCCCAGGACATCTCTGTAGAACTCAGAGGACTCAGACTGTCCAGCCTCTGGGTAGGTAAGTCCTGCAGTCTTTTATTTTTTAATGAATTGCTTGCCTAAACTGAAAATCAGGATATTTTACCAAAAAAAAGAAAGTCAACTTTCTTTTGAATAATTGGAGCTGTGGGCTGTGCAGTCTTTTATTTTTTAATGAATTGCTTGCCTAACCTGAAAATCAGGATATTTTACCAAAAAAAAAAAAGTCAACGTTCTTTTGAGTAATTGGAGCTGTGGGCTCCTGGAAACAGCAATTGATGAGAGAGCTGAAAAACAGTCTTCTTCAGTGGGTCACTTTCTTTTTGCCACAGTCCACGTGTGGCTAACGTCCTGAATTCTCATTATCCATCTGACTTTACAGTTACTCCGGCCTAGTGAGGTCCACTGTAAAATCCCTGGGATATATATATGGCCTCTTGGGGATGTTCCAGCTCAAGACATTCTGCAGCTGTAGAAAAATTATTACTATATTAAATTAAGTTGTTACTAAATTACAAATTCCTATTAATTCCCATTTTAGTAAGGAGAAGTCACTGTTTTAGTCATTCTGTTCTCAAGCTATAGCTCTTATATTTGCTTAGTCAGAAACCATGTTGGCAGTATAATAAAATGAATTAGAATGTGGTTGATTGTCTTCTGCTGGTAGTTCTCATCCCTGTCCAGGCACCTCCTCCCTTGCCCCTGCCCTCAATCCACCCCTAGCACTGAGAGGTTGCTGAGAGCAAGAACCCCTTCCTCCTCCTCCTGAGAACCTTACAGCCCAGCTCCACCATCAGGCACATGCTGATGTCTTCCTAGAAGCCTCCCCACCCTGGTTAATTTGTTTCAAATATCTTAGGTTTTTATGCTCCATTTACTCGAGTTAATCTGCAAATACTTACCTACTCTGTGAATGTTCTAGGATATAATATTAGATACATCATCACTTCGGCCCTGGGGACAGATCCTTCATCCTGTTGTTTAGTGGTGTCCTAATCACCAGGAGGAGCTAAAGAGTTGTTTTCTAAGCTGGTATCTCAGATACCTTTCACACTTCCTCTGATTTCCAAGTTAGATGGTAACAATGAATGATGCACAGATATAATACATACACAATCTAAAATACTCCAAGTAAATATAGGAGCATTCGATTTCAAAATTCAGCATAAAGAATAAGTTTCCAGGTTGAGAGAACTCCTCCAGCATCACTGCCTGGGGTGGCTCCAGGCACGTTCTTTACCTGTCTTGAAGGTCGAGTTGTCTTTAAAGAAAGACATTTACTACAACGGCTTTGAAATTCCATGAAATTATTCAAAATGCAGAACAAGGTCAGAACACGTGAAGGGGAGGGTAGATTATGCAGGACAGCCCTGGATTTCTAGACAATAGCTGCATTTCTGACCCCAAAAAGGCAACTAATATGGATATGATTTTGATTTCATCTAAGAGAGGTTCTCAAAGCTACAAATAAGCATTGTAAGGTTTGGGCAAAAAGGAAACTATCAGTAAATTTGAGAAAAGTGGCCAGGCACAGTGGCATGCGCCTGTAATTCCACTACCAGGGAGGCTGTGGCCGGAGGATCCTTTGAGCCCAGGAGTTCCAGGCCAACCTGGACAACATAGTAAGACCACATCTTGAATTATTATATATGTATGAGAAAAGTGGAAATTATAAACTAAAATCAGGATTTGTTCTCATGAAGGTAGTCAAGTTTGGAAAATGTGTAGTGGAGGGGATGTGGTTCTTGCATTAGTCAGCACCGGGAAGATGGTGTCGGGGAACACGCTAAGCCCATATTGTACGTCTGAGTTTTCAGAGCCTTGTCAGCAGAGCTGTACTACCAGATAAATCACGAACAAGAGTGCGTTCAAAACCACAACGCTGCCCTGGAAGGCTTTCCAAAAACTCAACTGATAGGTGATAAAAATTTTTTAAATATGACTTGCGTTATTATGATATTAACTGTGCAAGAAGGGGAAAGGTAGAAAAGACAATCTTGGCGAGTAGATAGATCTGCTGCTCATGGCAGACACTAGGGATGGTACCTGGGTGTTCACTCTGCTCTTCTCTTTACTTTGGTTTTTGCTTTTTAAAAACGAAAGGAGCAAAAAGAAGTGGAAAGTCGTGGAGGCACTCGGCCCAGCCCCCACGTAGTTCAAGGAGACCAGGAGGGAGCTGGCTGGTGGAGGTCCTGCCCACCTGCCACACTCCGTATTTGGGCAAGCCTGTGAGTCACTGTCGGGAACATGGCTCCCTTCGCCAAGGCCAGCACTGACCACTATCCGTGTATCGGTAAACGCAGGGAGTGTGCCACGTGCCTTGACAGTCTAGCGCGACGACTTAAGAAGTCGCGGCTAGGTGCTCTTTTTTCCATTTTTTTACGTCTCTTCCGTAGCCCGGGAATTTGGGAGAGAAGACTACCGTATCCAGTTAGACGCAGAAATAACACTAAGCAGCTATCAGCTCAAAATCACAGGAAGAGATCCCGCGCGGTCGTCTCAAGCCCCAGCACCAAACGACAGTGGGCGTCCCAGCGGGGGCACCCGAGCGCGGACCTTCACATCCTCCGAGGAACGCCGCACCCGCGTGGCGGGGGTGGGTAGATGGACCTCAGCGAGCCTCGTTTCCCAGTCGTGTTACGCAACAACTTTGCAGCCGTCATCTTCGCCCTAATTGTGCAGGGGGCGGTGTTTGTGCGTGGAGCTTTCCCTCCCGGCTCCGGGCCGTCGCGGCTCTCGGGAGAGGCGCCGGGACATTTTAATCGCTGCCTCCGCCGCGCAGCCCTGCGCAGCTGCCCGGCCGCGCCAACCCCTTCCCCGCCGCAGCGCGCCCCGAGTGTTGGCAGCTTGCCAGCCGCCACCCCCCGCCTTCCCTCCTGCCCACCCCAAGGTAGAGGGCTCCTCTCGGGAGTGTGCGGGGAAGGGGAGGCCGAGGTCCGGGCCACGCCCGGGTAGCCGCAACCCGCAGTGCTCAGTCGGCAACAGGTAGCCCAGCAGGCTGCGGCTCTCAGGAAGACAAAAAGCGCCTCTGCGAGCAAGTGAGGGTCGCGGGGAGCGCAGAGCCACCGCGGCGACCGGGAGGGTGAAGGGAGCCAAGAGCGGACGGGGCGGTGGGACGGGGGGCTCCCGGGCTCCTCCGCAGGCTCGCTCCGGTCGTGTCGGCCGCGTGGGCCGTTGCGCAACACTCGTTGCGCCGGGAATGGGGCGCCAGCCCTCGCGGGCGCTCGGACGGCGGTGGCCCTGGCCGGGGAGGGACGCGAGCTGGTAGTGGCGCCGCCGCGGAGGGGGAGCTGAGGGCGGGGAGGCGGGGCGGGGCCGCGGAGTGCCCGCCCCGGCCCGCCCCTGCCGGCCGCGGCCATTGGCGGCGGGCCGGGGGCGGGTGCGGGCGCGGCGATTGGGGCCGCGGCCGCCAGTCACGCGGGGCTGGCGGGCGGCGACGTAGCGCGGCGCTCGGAACTGACCTACTAACACACATCTCTCCGCGCGGCCACGGCGCCCGCGGACCCGGCGCGCCCGCCCGCCTCCCGCGCCGCGCCCTCGCCGCCGCCCGCCTCCCGCCGCGGCCCCGGAGGCCCGGCCCGGCCCGAGCCCCGAGCGCCGGCGGCCCGACTCCCGGCCGCCCCTTTCTTTCTCCTCGCCGGCCCGAGAGCAGGAACACGGTAAGCGCTCCGCCCACCGCCGGCCGGGGGCCCGGCGACCGCTCCCAGGGCGCGCTGCGGGCGGGCGGGCGGGCGCGGGGTGCGGGCCGCGCTGTGTGCGGGGTCGGGCTGTAAGCTGGGCTCGCCAGCGGCGGCGAGTGCGCGCGGGGCATTCATTACATAAACTTTTGCTGCCTTGTCAGGATGGGACTCGCCACCTTAAGGTGGCTGCTTTGATTGCAGCGCCTTCGCGCCGGCACGTAGTCCTGGCTGGTTTGCGCTCTCCCCCCGCTGCTGTTGCATAATGTCTCCTGATTTCAGGAAAATTGATGTTTTGGTAAAGAAGAGCGCCAGGCAGGCTGAGCCCTCTCCGAGCGGGAAGATGCTCTTTCCTCTCTAGTGTCTTTCTTTCTCGTTCCTTCTCTGGGGCTGGCGGCGTAGGGGGGAGAGGAATGGGGGGTTGAGGAATGGGGAATAGTCTTAATTTGCTTGGTGAGAAAAAGGGTTGGTAGCGTGAACGGTGACGGCATTCGGAGAATGCCTGCGCGGCGTTTGTTTGTGTCAGGGGCTGTGTCTGCACAGACGTTTTCCACCCTGTTTGTCGTCAGCGTGTTTTACAAGCCCTCGGGAAGGTTGTGGGATTTGTCCTTTCATACATTGCATAATCTGCCCACGGTGAAATGTTGGCAAGAATTGCGGGCTGATGTGGGAATATGCGCGTATGTGTGCAATGATTTGGTAATTGAGGCGCAGCGTTGGATATTAGATCGTTATTTACGTCTATATTACGTCCCAAATAAACAGGTTTTAAAACGATACTACAAAACCTAAAAGCAAGAATTGCTCGCATTGAATTCTGATCTTGGGTACTACTGGGGTTCGCCCTTTCAATGTTCTCAGCTGTTATTTTTAAATCTGGGACGAACCATTGTGACGTTTACCTCCCCACCTTCCTAATTTTAATGCATTCCATTCGATCAGCCCTTTTTCTCACCTTATTGTCATTGCTTTTTCAGACACGACAAGACAAATCACATAATAGTTTCCTGGAAATGTTGCATTATGTAACTGCCGAATTTGCTGGCAGTGAGCATAGAGAGAGGGAGCTAATTACGTGATTTTATAATCTTGCTACAAAGAAAGTAGGACAGTCTCAGCCTTTAAGAATGTCACTATAACAGTTTTTTTTTTTTCCTTAAGGATATTTTAAACAGGAAAGTAGACAACCGGGTAAGCATGGAGTTTGCTCATGCTGCCGAATGTGTGTCTTTTGCCCTAAATGAAACGCACGTTCTTCTAAATTTAGCCCTATCACATTTTAACAATTGTGGCCTCGCAGTGCTATTTCTGGTGTTTTCTCCAGGGCTGTGTGCAAATACAAGTTCAAGGCCATTTGCTGTAGTTTTAACTCCACGCCTTCGGAGACCTTTGATAAGATTGTATTTTTAGGAAGGCATTTCGCAGCGCCCGGTGATTTGCTGGATGCTGGCTCCCATTTATGTTTTTAAAGGACACTTTAGGAAACTGCTGTTCTCTGAGAACAGCAGGGAATGGCCAAGTGTCATCTTCTGTTCTTGGCTTTTGTAAATAACAACAGTAAGTGAGGTCAGAAGTATTTATTTACCCCCAGACCAGATATGACCTATGGGAAACAGATATAGGTTAGTAGATTGTTTTTTTGTCTGGATACCCTGGTTTTACTTATGTGAAGATGTGTGAATATGTAATTTACCCAAATATTAAATTTCTTCCTGGACTGTTACATAGTGATTATGTGTGAATATATGTATATGATGGGATGTATATATAACGTAACATTTAAATTAAGTGCAGGGTTTTTTTTTGTGGGAGGTGGGGGGTGGACGTCTCTGGAACAGAGTATATTACCCCAAATAATTGCAGTCGCTTTCCAAGAAGCTAGTTGCTCTAGGCCCCCAGCTTCAGACCCCGACCTACTTTGCGAGCTCGGGTGGGAGTCCCAGGCCTGTAGGGGCCGCGTGGCGCCACCTTCCGATCGCGATCTCCAATGGCGAGTCCGTGCGGCCCCCAGTGCGCCGCTCCCTCCTGCGGGCCGGTGGGGTCTGCGAGAATCCGGGGCTGGGGGCGGGTCTGGTAGTGGCGGGCGGGGACCTCGGGTCGGGACCGAGAAGCGCCTCCGAACGGCAGTTATACTGGGGCTGCTCAGTGGCCTGAGCTCCTCCCTGCCCCCTCCCCACATTCCTTTGTTCTGGCGCGGGGGGTCCTCGCGGCGCCGAGGCCCCGCTGCGCCGCCCACCCGGAGGGAGGAGGGTCTCTGGGAGGCGCCGCGTGGGGGCGCGGCCCGTGGAGCCCGGGCGCTAGGGACCGGCCGGGGCCGGCGTACGGGTGCGCTCTGGGTTCGCCCGGGCCGCGGGAGCCAGGGAGCCAGGGAGCCAGGGACCCCGGCTCCCGCACGGGGCAGACAGGGGCAGCGCGGGCGACCCGGAGCGCCTGCGTCTCCGCGGCCCTCCTTCCAACAGGGCAAATCCAGGGGCCTGACTCCGCGCCTGTTCTGCGGTGAGGTTCAGAAACCTGCAGACACCTTTGTTCCAAGAGTCTTCATTGTATTTCGGAACCAAGCGCGTCTCCATTCTTGAAGTGAAAAAGACCTTAAGAAAAACCTCCAAACGTCCACCGGCCACAGAAATTGGGGGTGGAGGCGCTCCAGTATTGATAGTGATTAAAAGGAAGGCCTCAGCTTGACTTTGGCCAGTTGAGTTGAGCCGATTTTTTTTAACCTTTAATTTATGTGGTCAAAGGCTAGAGGAGAGAGAACACTGATCTCCAGAGTTCAAAATAAAATCTAAACGCCCACATAGACGCTGCTGTCCTACTGTAAAACTACAGTACTTTCATCCTCGCATAAAGACTTCCAAGATTGTACCCATGCAGTAATTCATGGAGACATCACAGATGTTCTCCTGAAGCATATCAACGCAATCTGCTCTTTGTTGAAAACTGACCGAAAACTTGCTTTCTTTGGCATCATACCCTACACCGCTATCCCTAATCAGTTTCCCTCCTGTTACAGGCAGTAGTTAGAGAACAGGTTTCGGTGAGGTACAGATCCTAAGAGCGCAGGCCCTGGGCTCACAAGAACCCTGGGTCCCAGGCCCCAGCTTGTTATCTTCCAACACTGTCCTGATTTCCATCACTCTCCAGGGTAAACTGAGGGAATAAAACCTGTTGACTTAGTTGGTTGTGAGGAGTTCAATAAATGTTTCCTGTGTTATTGATCAGGAACCAGAATCTGTGTGTGTGTGTGTGTGTGTGTGTGTGTGTGTGTGTGTATTTACCTTCATTTTTCTCTTTGTAAATCTCTTCGCAGTAACAGTAAGGATTCGTGTTGGAATTAAGTCTGTAAGATCTTTCTTGAGATACTTTTTTTGTTCTAATAATATATATATTTTTTAATTTGCCATCGTGTTCAATGTTAATTTCAGTTTGAGGGGAATTCCTGACAGGATTGCAGAACCTCAAACTTCCCAAGTCATTGGGTTAATGTTTTGGGGAGCTGCTTGAAGGAATAGAGAGATGAGTCGATTATAGTAGCAGGAATGACGTGACAATTGCCATATTAATAGCTCAGCTTTTTCCAATTCCCTTACACATTCTGTGACTCATTTTCTGTAGCTTGGATGATTTCTCTATCTAAAACTTTGTGGTCTGAGATCAGCAGTGGATGGTGAGACCCCACAGATAAGCTCTCTTGTAGGGGGTATATGTAGCCTGAAAACTAAGGCCAGTCCTGTGAAACTGTTGATATTTGACCCTTTTGACCAAATTTTCATTTGGTTTACCCTTACACTTGCGACATAGGTCAGGGCTTCAGTAAGAGTCACGAGCAGCAAAAACAGCCTGGAACTGATAGGCATCGTTGCCTTTTGATACTGATCATTCTTCAGAAAAGAGATAAAGAGTTAGTATTTACTAAACACATACTCTGCATGTGCCAGGCACAGTGTTGAGGGGCTCTGTTATCATCCACATTTCATAGATGAGGAAATGGAAACTCAGAGAAATGAATTTGCAGCCCAGGTCGCAGAGCCTGAAAACCAGATGGGGAAATTTGCACCTCAACAAAGTGTATTCTCACACTCACTGTAGTTTTTGAAACAATTTCCTTTTCTGGGTTAAAGACTTATTTTTGTGCAGTGCAGTTATAACATCACTGTGATGCAACAGCCTGAAAATTAAAACCCTTTGTGAGAGGCCTTTCGGACGTTGAGCAATGTGCCTGACTCACCAGCTGAGTGGATTTTTCTAGTTGACCTTGCCTTGGTCATTAGAGTCAATTTCGAGATGTAAATGCGATTGCAGCATGGAATGGAAAAGGTGCAGTCATATTGCCTGGGCTTTATTTTTACCCAGGTTAAACTCATATACTTCATGATTTCCATTGTAATCCAGATGCCATTGATGCTGTTAAAGTTGTTTATTTTTAATTTGTATTGAGGAATGAGAGCACACTTGGGATTCAATTCAAAATATAACAGAAACAATGTAATTGAAATTGCCTTTAATATTCATTTCTTGTTTTTGTAAGGTATGCCTGTATTTCACGGGGTTTAATACATTGTTTGATATCCTGTTATTTTTCTAAATTATATTTGAGTTGATTTCTATCCAGGTTGGACTTGTATGAGAATGTTGAAAGACGTTGACCTTTGATCACAGACATTACAATATGAATTTTTCAGTTTCAAAATGAATTTTTATTACTACTACCCCAGTTATCTTTCACATTTCTTTGTAAGTAACTTTACTGTAGTTAAAAAAAAAAAAAACACCCAAAACTGTTTCTCATATGGCTTTAATAATAGAGCATAAACTTGTTTTTATGATAAGAAAGTTTACTAGAGATTTGCTAGATGCCATTTGTTATTAATCTGTGCTTTGAGGACTCAGTTTCATAGGACTCAGAATGATGTTTATAAGCCTTTTAGTTATCAGAACATGATGTCTTTTATTAATTAGCTTTTTAGGGGTCTTAAACTGTAATTAACTGGCCTTCAAATAAACACTACAAATAAGCATTTGAAAATCCACTCTATTCATAAGGTAGAAAATGACATTTATAATCATCCACTGACTGGAAAAGTGGAAAAAGAAATTAAAAAGCCAAGTGAAGCAAGTTGGGATGATTCTACATTATCATTAGAAACTTTCAAGAATTTTCTCAGCCTGACTGTCCCCTTAGCCCACCATTTTTGCCATCATTACACCATGTTGCATGTATTACTTATTCATTGGGGAATTTTCTACAACTGGGTTACTTTGTGATTGTTGGTGTCCTTTTAAGATTTCAGATTAGTTGCTACACTGATCAGTTATCTTTTCAGAAGTTTCAAGATATTAATAGTCCCCACATTTAAGTTTCTATAGATTTTTAAAAAATTATTACTGTTCTGTTTTTCCCCCATGTTACTACCCATCTTTAGTGAGAGCTGTTCTTATTTCTCAAGCTGTGCAGTTAATTGGTCGTGCTAGCGTGTATGTGCTTACTCTGTGCAGGCTTCAGAATAATTTAATTGTGTATTAAGTTTCAAACACTGACGACCTCTTAAAGAAGAATGTTAAGTTATACTATTTCATATTTCAATTACTTAAATTACATCAGTGATGTAATAAAATGCAATGTTGTCATCGTATTTATTAAATTTAAATTTAATTTTCAGCTAGTCCTTTGTCGAACTTGAAATATTTTCATTTATCATAAACTGGATCAGGCTTTGACACATTTATTTACAGAGGCACCCAAATAGAAAAAGTAGGTCAATTTGTTGCTATGATAGAATAGATTCTGGCAGTGTGCGAGAGTGTGTGTGTATGTGTGTGTGTGCGTCTTGCCTGTCTTGATCAAGTGCACATTTCTCTCTAACTTTGGGGTAAGCTGCTTCTTGGGGACAGAATGGCCCTTAGAGAGGTTTAACATAGTTTTCTCAGCTTAAAAATCCTTCTCTTTTTCAACGGGATTAGAAAATTCTCTTGCAACTTCGGTGTTTTCTGACTGAGTTTTTTCACTCCCCATTTCCTCTGGGTTGTACATGTATAGTGAATTCTTTTCTTATTTCATCTCTGCTTTTAAATACTAGATTGTTTTCTCATCCATGAAAAGAAGTAAAGCATTTCATTGACGCAGATACTGTGAATTTTACCCACAGGAAGAAAATGTAGGGTTAACATATTGCTAGTATTCATACTTTAAAAGTATAAAGAGATGTGAATTGATTAATTGATTTGATTTTTTCATGAAAATGACATTTATCTAAAAAATAAGCATCTGCTGTCTTACTGGAGAGGTGGCTTACAGTTTAACATAACTTAGGTTTACCTTGAAGACATTTTTTTTTCCTTTACTGTTATCTGTATTATATAACAGGGAGAAAACAATACATTCAGAGAGTAGAGGGAAAATAAGATAATTCTATAATGTTTCCAAATCATTGGGCATATCAAATAGTATTTCATCTTCTATTGACAGAATTTTAAAAACAAAATATATATTGCAATTTGCAATAAAACTTACCCTTTATAGATAATTAATAACAAAATGTTCTCAGAGTAGATTTTAATGTTTAGACTATTAGTAAGATTTCAGATGATTGAAACAAAGCATGTTTATTCTTTTCTTTTGTGGAGCTTGGATTGTTAAACATTAGTTCTGGGAGAGACCAGGGAAGATAAAGGTCTATCATAAACATAACTAATGAGATAACTCCTCAAGGATAAATTTGGTCTAGAATTATTGTTATGAGGTTATATTCTTTTATAGAATTTTCTAAATCAAATCTTGTACTTAATTAAAAACAATAGGGTAATCTGACTTAAACTTTAAAAATCTGGGCTTATGAAATATAATTCTTGCTATATAATTCTTGCTTAGAGAAGTAGTGTGATGGACTATACAAAAGCATTAATTAGTGATGGCACCTTCGGAGTATGTATGGAAAAATATGTCAACTGGTAGGTAATAATACCTGCTCTTAAATTTCTCTTTTTTATTTGTGTTTTCAAGGAGAGTCATATCATCTAATGTGTGTAATGAAGTTAATCGTGCTGAATACACTAACATCATAGAATTGGCATGTAGTGTCAATTATTCACCAAAAAAGAAACTTAAGCAATGACTAATATACCACAACATTAGATGTTGATTTGAAAAGATGATGCATAGATGAAGTAATTGTTAAATTAATCATAAGGGAAAATATTGAGGCTTGAAATAAATTTGTTAGGTTAGCATAAATCCTGAGGCTTTTTGAAGGCATCGTAAACTACTTTTGCATTTGCTTTAAGTTCATTGTTGAGGGGCATAAGGAGAGCTCAGAGCCCATCTGTGCCCAACTGCTGTGTGGTCTTGGGAAGGTCAGCCTGTCTTCTAGCTGATTAATCTGCAAAATGAGAGGGTCAGAGAGACACTGTCCCCCGCCTCATGTTGAAAACAGATTACACTCTTGGATTTGTTAAAAAAAAAAAAAAAAGAAGAAGATCATAGGTGACAATGTCCACAGCTATCATATTTCTTTTTCTCTATTTAACATAATTAGAATAGCCAGGAGGTTAAAATTTTAGTAAAGATATGAAAATTAATAAAATGTTTTCTCAATTCATAAATAGTGCCAGATCTGAAACATCTAAGGAGGATGGAGAAAAGTTCTAGATAGTATCTTTGCTGGCTAAAGAAGTTAAGACAGCATCTAAGAGAAGTTAAGGAGCCAGGCGTGACGGCTCACGCCTGTAATCCCAGCACTTTGGGAGGCTGTGGCAGGCGGATCACCTGAGATCGGGAGTTCAAGACCAGCCTGACCAACATGGAGAAACCCCGTCTCTACTAAAAATACAAAATTAGTTGGGCATGGTGGCGCATGCCTGTAATCCCAGCTACTTGGGAGGCTGAGGCAGGAGAATCGCTTGAACCCAGGAGGTGGAAGTTGTGGTGAGCCAAGATCGCGCCATTGCACTCCAGCCTGGGCAACAAGAGCAAAACTCCTTCTCAAAAAGAAAAAAAAAAAAAAAGAAGAAGTAGTTAAGTTAGCATAGTGCCTTACTGCGCCCAAAGTAACTTAGTAAAAGGGTATGTATTACTCAGAAATGAAAGTGACACAAAAGAGAACTGTGTGTAAATGAGACTGCATTGCAAAGATGCAGAACCACCTGTGAAAGTGTAGGAGAGAGTAAAGGAACTGGGCCTGAATGTACGCTCTGCCATTTAGCTATGTGACACTGGGCAAGTCACTTGACTTCTCTGAGCCTTAGTTTTCTTATCTGAAAATTGTCACCAAAAGTGAATGAAAGAAAGCAGGTCAGGCTCCCAGTGCCCATTCTGTGGTAAGTGTTCAATAAATGGCACCAATTATGATTGTTTTTGTTATTATCTCCATGACAAGAAGAAAGCCTGCACCCCAGGCCCATGTTTGTGCAACTCTGCACTCACACCTGGTTCCCCTCTGCTCACCTGTTTGTCTCCCACCCACCCACGACTGAGCGCCTGGTCTCGGGAGTTTGGTTTTTCTCTCCCTCTTTATGTGCCCCTAGTCTCCCCTTGTGCCCAGTACACAGTAGGTGCTCCATATGTGTTGAATAAACAAATTAATGAATAAGAGAATCTCTCTGTTAATAAGTAAAATATCTTCTTTACAATTCACATAACATTAAAAAGAAAGCATCAAAAAAGTTTTCTGTTTACAAAACTCTCTTATATAAGGTATATGGGTGACTGTCAATGAAATGTTGAGCACCTAATATCTTCAGGTTTTTGCTAGAAGACAAGTATATTTTAATTTCCGCCCTGAAGTAATTCGCAGTGTAGTTGGGCACAAAAGACAAACACGTGGAAACACACACAGTGTATATGATTGTGCCTGTCTCCGTATCATCCCATAATGCTGATAAACTCTTTTCAACACTGCAAGATTATTTGATAGATAATATTACAGAAAATATCCTAAGATAGTGTGGTGATTTGCCATTGAGTTGTAGAGACCATGAATGTAATACATACAGATGAGAGCAGAATCACAGATTTATAGTGACATGCCATGAAATTCAAATAGGAAGAAGATGATTAAAAACAAATGAGGTGGCCTGGCGAGGTGGCTCACGCCTGTAATCCCAGCACTTTGGGAGGCCAAGGTAGGCAGATCACCTGAGGTCGGGAGTTCAAGACCAGCCTGAACTCCCCATGGAGAAACCCCATGGAGTTTCCCCATCTCTACTAAACCCCATCTCTACTAACATGGAGAAACCCCATCTCTACTAAAAATACAAAAGTAGCTGGGCTTAGTGGCACATGCCTGTAATCCCAGCTACTTGGGAGGCTGAGGCAGGAGAATTGCTTGGACCCTGTAGGCAGAGGTTGCGGTGAGCCAAGATCGTACCATTGCACTCCAGCCTGGGCAACAAGAGTGAAACTCTGTCTCAAAAACAAAAAAGCAAATGAAGTTTTCTGTAGGTTAATGTACCAACAAAGTTGTAGAGATGATAAAGTAGTCATATAGTACTTAGACACCTAGAAGACATGAGTTAAGGAAATTTTAAGACAAATGGGGCTATTTCAGTTAAATAGAAATAGGACCTATTGTGAAGGCTCCTTCCCAATTGGGCCCCAACCTTGAAAAGGTCCTAGAAGTTTAGGAAGAGTAACTAAGGCAGACAGAATGGCGGGGCATTTCAAAAGCATTACTGTAAATCTAGTAAGTGAGGCAAAATAAAGGAATCTGATTTTTTTTTTTAAGAAGGAACAAATAAGATAACACATGGAAGAGAAAGATTCTCAGGTGGAGAAAATAACCAGAATAATAGTCTGCAAGGGATCATATGATGTTTAAAAACTAAAAGTGGAAAAAAGTAGTGGCCAAGAGTATAGTGGAGATTTGAAAGGTGCCTTGGGAAAGGTCAGTGCAATTGTCTTCTTTAACTGGGATATCTTCCTCTTTACTTCTCCACTCATTTTACTTTAGCAGGAGGACTTTGCTGAATGGCAGAGTGCAGACTTCAACAGAGGAAAGAATCCATTCAATATGTAAAGGAAACTGGGTTTTCATATTAGAGGACAAAACCTAAATGCAAATTAGAGGAAATAGTATTGTTGGCCGGGCGTGGTGGCTCATGCCTGTAATCCCAGCACTTTGGGAGTCCGAGGCAGGCAAATCACCTGAGATCAGGAGTTCAAGACCAGCCTGACCAACATGGTAAAATCCCGTCTCTACTAAAAATACAAAAAAATTAGCTGGGCGTGGTGGCGCGTAACTGTAACCCCAGCTACTCAGGAGGCTGAGGCAGGAGAGTCGCTTGAGCCTGGGAAGCAGAGGCTGCAGTGCACCAAGATTGCACCACTGCACTCTAGCCTGGGCAGCAGAGCGAGACTCTTATCAAAAAAAAAAAAGGAAATAATATTGTTTAAATGATAAATAGGAAGATTCCTTCTCTGCAACATCACTGCTGACTGTGACACACTCCTTGCCTTCATTTCCTATTAAAGTTTCATTACCAAAAAACAAACAGAAACTTGATATTAATAATCACAAATTTCTCTGAGTTACGACTAGCTGTTCCCTTAACTATGTTGGCTCAGTTTAATGGGCAAAAACCTGGCATGAAACATTATTCTTTATGATCCTGAAATTATTACATAATTCCTTTCATTCCCTGGAAAAGACAAAAGAAGCTGGCAGGCTTTTCCAATTGATAAAAGTAAACTTCATTTTATTAGTCATTATGAAACTAGGCGTAAGAAGGAGATAGTGGCATCATGTAAGAACATTACATCTTTTTTTTTTTTTTTTTTTGAGACGAAGTCTCGCTCTTGTCCCCCAGGCTGGAGTGCAATGGCGCGATCTTGGCTCACTGCAACCTCCGCCTCCTGGGTTCCTGGGTTCAAGCGATTCTCCTGCCTCAGCCTCCCGAGTAGCTGGGATTACAGGCGCCTGTCACCACACCCGACTAATTTTTGTATTTTTAGTAGAGACGGGGTTTCACCATGTTAGCCAGGCTGGTCTCGAACTCCTGACCTCAGGTGATCCGCCCACCTCGGCCTCCCAAAGTGCTGGGATTACAGGCATGAGCCACCACACCTGGCTCATTACATCTTTTTAGTAGGGTAGAATAAAGTGCCACTGTGTGCAGATCGTGCTGATGGAACTGTTGTACCATGTCTATTTAACGAAAAATATTACTGACTGGAACATTAGGCAGAGAATCAGTGTCTAGAAACACAGTTAAATTCAAAAGCCCCCATGCAATGATTGCTACTGGAACATAACATGGATTTTATTATCTCGAGCTAAGGCAACTGTCAGGCCAAATTTGTAGTGTAAGTATTTCATCAATGGAAGAGGAAACTAATGAATGATTCTATTTTTGAGTTGTTATATTTTACTTGAAACTAATTCATATAAATGAAAGAAATTTTTTTCTGTAACTATATTCTCTTGGTTTAAAAGAATTTCATTTCAAGAATGCACTATACTTTTAAAAACCCCCTTTGAATAGTAAGTGTTTTTTTGTTTTGTGTGGGGTTTTTTTTTTTTTTTTTTTTTTTTTGACAGAGTCTTGCTCTGTCACCAGGCTGGAGTGCAGTGGCGTGATCTCAGCTCACTGCAATCTCTGCCTCCCAGGTTCAAGCAATTCTCCTGCCTCAGCCTCCCGAGTAGCTGGGATTACAGGCACACACCACCACACCCAGCTAATTTTTGTATTTTTTAGTAGAGATGGGGTTTCACCATGTTGGCCAGGATGGTCTCGATCTCCTGACCTTGTGATCTGCCCGCTTCGGCCTACCAAAGTGCTGGGATTACAAGTGTGAGCCACCGTGCCCCGCCTAGTAACTGTTTTTTAGTTCAAAGCTACTATGTAACTGAAACCTGAAATCTATTTTGACAGAATTTTCAAGATCACAAAAAGCATTTTGGATACTTCAATCTTGAATGTTTGATAGAACAAATTCAAAGGAATCAGAAAAAAAAATTCTAATCTCTTAAACTCAGATGCTTGTAAAGAGATGGCTTGATGGAGAAGAATCCTTTTCATTTAGTTGCAGTGAGTCACCTGGTGGAATTTGCTGGGATATAAGCCTACCAGGCAGTCAAGGATGTGATGGGCAGGTTTATGTCCACGTTAAGGTGTAGATTAAAACCAACAGCTCCGTTGTTAATGTGGCTTTTACTTTAGTTTTTGTAGAAGAAGTTTGTCTCCATTTGTATTTTATTCCATATAGGAGTGCAGAACTTTTTTTTTACTCACGTTAAAGTTTACTTGGTAAAGTCCCTTTTAAGAGGTGAGCATATCTGCTTGGCAGTGATGTAAATATTAGGTAACATTATTTAGAAGCACCACGGTATGCATGTACTGTTTAGAAACTTACCAACCAGAGGCTATCTGTCATTTCCTTCCTGTAATTGCCCACACCCAACTATTTCTCCATTTCGCCTCATTAAATACAGCCTTCCTCTACTTCTCTCTGGGCAGAGGTTATTTTATTTTTCCCTCACTTTCCTGGATCACATATTCTCTTACTGATAGGCCTCATTAGGGATTTGTCCTTTACAGCTTTATAGTTTAGGTATTTGGGAACTTATTTCCTTTTTGAAAATGCTAACTTGTTGAAAGAAAGAACTGTGGCCATGCCTCATCTGTGCTTGTATGCCCTAAATGCTTAGCATATTTCCTTGTACATAATTTGTAATAAACATTTATCCAGTGAATAACTGGTTTTTTTTTTATTCATGTATTGCAGATAACGAAGGAGGCCCAACTTCATTCAATAAGGAGCCTGACGGATTTATCCCAGACGGTAGAACAAAAGGAAGAATATTGATGGATTTTAAACCAGAGTTTTTAAAGAGCTTGAGAATACGGGGAAATTAATTTGTTCTCCTACACACATAGATAGGGTAAGGTTGTTTCTGATGCAGCTGAGAAAAATGCAGACCGTCAAAAAGGAGCAGGCGTCTCTTGATGCCAGTAGCAATGTGGACAAGATGATGGTCCTTAATTCTGCTTTAACGGAAGTGTCAGAAGACTCCACAACAGGTGAGGAGCTGCTTCTCAGTGAAGGAAGTGTGGGGAAGAACAAATCTTCTGCATGTCGGAGGAAACGGGAATTCATTCCTGATGAAAAGAAAGATGCTATGTATTGGGAAAAAAGGCGGAAAAATAATGAAGCTGCCAAAAGATCTCGTGAGAAGCGTCGACTGAATGACCTGGTTTTAGAGAACAAACTAATTGCACTGGGAGAAGAAAACGCCACTTTAAAAGCTGAGCTGCTTTCACTAAAATTAAAGTTTGGTTTAATTAGCTCCACAGCATATGCTCAAGAGATTCAGAAACTCAGTAATTCTACAGCTGTGTACTTTCAAGATTACCAGACTTCCAAATCCAATGTGAGTTCATTTGTGGACGAGCACGAACCCTCGATGGTGTCAAGTAGTTGTATTTCTGTCATTAAACACTCTCCACAAAGCTCGCTGTCCGATGTTTCAGAAGTGTCCTCAGTAGAACACACGCAGGAGAGCTCTGTGCAGGGAAGCTGCAGAAGTCCTGAAAACAAGTTCCAGATTATCAAGCAAGAGCCGATGGAATTAGAGAGCTACACAAGGGAGCCAAGAGATGACCGAGGCTCTTACACAGCGTCCATCTATCAAAACTATATGGGGAATTCTTTCTCTGGGTACTCACACTCTCCCCCACTACTGCAAGTCAACCGATCCTCCAGCAACTCCCCGAGAACGTCGGAAACTGATGATGGTGTGGTAGGAAAGTCATCTGATGGAGAAGACGAGCAACAGGTCCCCAAGGGCCCCATCCATTCTCCAGTTGAACTCAAGCATGTGCATGCAACTGTGGTTAAAGTTCCAGAAGTGAATTCCTCTGCCTTGCCACACAAGCTCCGGATCAAAGCCAAAGCCATGCAGATCAAAGTAGAAGCCTTTGATAATGAATTTGAGGCCACGCAAAAACTTTCCTCACCTATTGACATGACATCTAAAAGACATTTCGAACTCGAAAAGCATAGTGCCCCAAGTATGGTACATTCTTCTCTTACTCCTTTCTCAGTGCAAGTGACTAACATTCAAGATTGGTCTCTCAAATCGGAGCACTGGCATCAAAAAGAACTGAGTGGCAAAACTCAGAATAGTTTCAAAACTGGAGTTGTTGAAATGAAAGACAGTGGCTACAAAGTTTCTGACCCAGAGAACTTGTATTTGAAGCAGGGGATAGCAAACTTATCTGCAGAGGTTGTCTCACTCAAGAGACTTATAGCCACACAACCAATCTCTGCTTCAGACTCTGGGTAAATTACTACTGAGTAAGAGCTGGGCATTTAGAAAGATGTCATTTGCAATAGAGCAGTCCATTTTGTATTATGCTGAATTTTCACTGGACCTGTGATGTCATTTCACTGTGATGTGCACATGTTGTCTGTTTGGTGTCTTTTTGTGCACAGATTATGATGAAGATTAGATTGTGTTATCACTCTGCCTGTGTATAGTCAGATAGTCCATGCGAAGGCTGTATATATTGAACATTATTTTTGTTGTTCTATTATAAAGTGTGTAAGTTACCAGTTTCAATAAAGGATTGGTGACAAACACAGAACTCCTGCTCCATTGCATTTGATTTGATGGAGAAGAAAAGTCAATTTAAGTTATAAAAATAAATATTAAGATATTTTACATTTTATATGAGAGAGTTTTCTCCCCTGAATAAGAGAAAACTGAAGTGCTAAGTTCAGCAAATAATTTGTTTTTCCAGGCTTCTAAAGAAAGAAAAATAACAGTGAATTTTCTTGCATTTGAGACTAATTCACTAAATTACTTTATATTATATATTTTTCTGTAAGATTATGTTTTCTCTATAATTTTCTTAAGTATAAAAATACAAGTTGTTTGGTAACAGCCTCTTCTTAGTTATCTACCCTTTAAGTATGACACATGGATGTGGATAGTTGAGTCACTGATGCATTTTATTAAAGTCTGTTTTAAAAGAGCAGATAAAGACTGAGGATGAGGCATTTTTATGTTATTATAAGTCTTAACAGTTCTAGAGTATAACAATCTAGGGAACTAAGCTAAACACTGTTTAGTTTCTAAAATTTCAAAGAACACGTCAATTACCACATGCCAAAATATATAATCTGAGTATATATAATGACATTTTAGAAGATTTATTAATGATGAATAGGAAGAATGGCTCTATATCTTCAGATGTTTGCTTAAAAATTATAGAAGTCCAAAAAAAAAAAACTTCCTAAGTAAATTGAGGATAAGACCATTATTGGTTATTTGTCCAAGACGCTCAGTTGCCATAATTATAGAAGTAAGCGTGGTCAAACGTGGACCAAGTGCTTCTGTTGCAATGCCTGTGACTGGCATCTGCCTCTGCGTCTGGGATGGGGTGGGGTTGGGGGAAAGTTGCGGGGGTTGGTAGGTGGGCTGGGTGTTAGTCAGGCACAGCTTTCTCCAGAGATAACTGCTCACCGAAGCCCTCTTCAGAATCGTCTCTTTCCACACTGACCTCTTTTCTATTCTAGAAGTGGGTAAAAGACTTGAGCAGTCCTGGAACTGGTGCAGAGTGACAGTGACTCAGCCCTCACTTCTCACCCGCATCTCACGTTGGCAGGGAGGCAAAATGCAGGCAGGAAGAGCCCAAGGGTAGCATCCCGTTTTAGGTGCCTGTAGTCTGTGACTCTCCGCTTTGAGCACAAGCCTGATTTTTGATATGCTAAGTTTCCTGCACTTTCATATTTTTAAAAAGTATGGTGCCTTGTATTAAAGGCACTGCCAGTAACACACACACACAGGCCATCCACTTTGTCCTTTTTGCCACAGGGGTCACTTTCCTCTCTGAAATCTCCTGGCTCTTAGGGAAATGTGCTGCCTGGCTCTGCTCTTGGCCTTCTCTCTCCAGTATTTTACTAGTGGCTGGGTGAAGCCCAGAGGCAGACTCTTCTCATTTATAAGTGAAAGTTATAAAGCAGGGAAGGAGAGCTAAAATATCCGATGGGAGTCAGGATCCAAAAGCCTTTGACGGCCTAGATGGGTAGGATGAATCTAACAACACGAAATATAATAGGGATACAATGTAAAGCCAGGTTCTTACATTAAAAAAAAAAAAAAAGCAACTATCCAAATTCACAACCGGGAGAAAAATAATAAAATAACTACATTTTTTTTTTTTTTCTGAGATGGAGTCTCGCTCTGTCACCCAGGCTGGAGTGCAGTGGCTCCATCTCTGCTCACTGCAAGCTCCGCCTCCTGGGTTCACACCATTCTCCTGCCTCAGCCTCCCGAGTAGCTGTGACTACAGGCGCCCACCACCACGCCCGGCTAATTTTTTGTATTTTTAATAGAGATGGGGTTTCACCATGTTAGCCAGGATGGTCTCGATCTCCTGACGTCGTGATCCGCCTGCCTCAGCCTCCCAAAGTGCTGGGATTACAGGCGTGAGCCACCACGCCCGGCCTAAAATAACTACATTTTTAAAAATGAGTTTTAGTTCCCTCAAGCTTACTAAGAGTCAACAACAGTGGAATGTTGGGTTGTGTCAATGCAAATAGCATTCCAAGCACGGGTGGCTGTCCTCCGTACCTGGGGTGCACGCTTGATAAGAGGTGCAACAGCAGACATTCCAAAAGACAAAGTACTAAGAAAACTATTGGTAAATTGTCCAAAAAGGGATGAACCTTACACTCTGGGCTACTGAAAGGGAGAATAAGTAGATAATAGCAAGAAAGGTAAATCTCGAGTAGTTTTTTTTTAGGAAGAACTTTGATCTCTCAGAGCAGTGAAGAAGCAAACAGCACCTTCCCCAGTAATCTGTGAATATTGGCGCTCATGGTGTGTAGCACACTCAGATATCACCATTTGAACTCTTTTCCTTAGCCTTCTTTTGCCTTTTCATTTCAAGGATCTAAGTTATCATTGGGATCATTTTTAAATGTGACCCCTCGTGGCCGGGGGTGGTGGCTCACGCCTATAATCCCAGCACTTTGGGAGGCCTAGGTGGGAGAATTGCTTGAGTCCAGGAGTTTGAGCCAAGAATGGGCAACATAGTGAGATCCTGTCACTACCCCCACCCCCAAAACCTCCCCAAAATTAGCTGGGTATGGTGGCACATGCCTGTAGTCCTAACTCTGCAGGAGGCTGAGGAGGGAGGATCGCTCAAGCCCAGGAGTTCTAGGCTGTAGTGAGCTGCAATGGCACAACTGCACCCCAGACTGGGCAACAGAGCAAGACCTTACTTATCGCCCCCCCCCCCCAAAAAAAATGTAACTCCTTAGGAATAAAAGGAATATCATAAACAAGCAATTCCAATCCCACTAGAGACCAAAGAAACGCAAAGTAAAATTACACCGTGATACTTTGGTTTCATGATGTCAACCAACCAAACACCACCGCCTCTCCTTCCCACTCACAGAGCCCCCAAGAATGAGAGAAAATGTGTTTAAAACCAAATAAATGTATAACTATATTCAAAAATAAGAAACACAAACCTCAGAGCTCCAGAAGGTTTAAGAATTCCCAGCAAGGTGGCTATCCGGCAGGCCTAGATAGTGAGAGGAAGCTGCGGTCAGTCACAACCCGAGAAAGCTCCCACTGGGTTCCGCCCCAGTGACTGAACAGGAGAGCCCTGTGGGGAACCTGAGTGATCCTCAGGGGCATTGGCTGGGCGAGGACACAGCAGCCACAGCCACCAGCCAGGCCAATCGCAGTGGGGAGCAGCGCAGGGCAGAGTCGGCGGCCGGGGGCGGGGGTGGTTGGGGTGGCCTGCGCCCTGGTAGCCCACAGCGCCCCTGTGCAGTGCACGCATGCGCATGCGCCCCGCGGGAAGGCTGCACAGCTGCATAGCCATCTTGTGCCCATTGTTTGGCCTTTTTTGATTTTCGGTTTTTCATTGTTGTGCCCATTTTTATAAAGAGGAATGCTGAGACTCTGAGAGGTTGACTTGTCGAAACTCTCCCAGCTGGCCATGAAAAGCAGCGGTCAGGTCAGGCACTTTGTTCTTCCCCCGATATACCCGGGAAATGAGACTAAGGCGTCTCTCCAACCTGCATGAGAAAAGGAAGGAGTCCAAGGGAGTATCCAAAGTGACTTTGCTCTGTCAATCAGTAAAACTGCTGTCTAAGCATCTACTTGTATAGATATATAATAACTGTGTAATAACTTTATTCTTTTTTGTCCTCAACCAGCAAACATTCCCAAATTAAAACAGCCCCCATCAGCGTAGGTCTTCCATTGCTCATGGATATGCACACGTGTTTCCTCTCCTGAAGTCAGATTCCTCACAAATGGGCACCTTTTTGACACACAGCCGTTGTTAATTAAAACCTTAAAAGAAATCATGTTACATTTTTTAAAAAACTAGTAGCTGTTAAGCTCATTTTTTGAAAACTATGAATTATTTCTCAGAAATGAAAATTATTGGCAGCACCCACCTGGTTTTTGTTGCTTTGTGTTCTGTGGGGCAGAGATGGGGAGTTGTTGAAGTGTAGTATTAATTACCACTGGGATGTCTTGTGCTGGGCCACCAGCTACTTGCACCAAAAAAATTTAAATAAGAAAAACTTGTGGTTGGGTGTGGTGGCTCACGCCTGTAATCCCAGCACTTTGGGATGACAAGGCGGGCGGATCACCTCAGGTCAAGGGTTCGAGACCAGCCTGGCCAACATGGTGAAACCCTGTCTCTACTAAAAATACAAAAATTAGCCAGGTGTGGTGGCGGGCACCCGTATTCCCAGCTACTCAGGAGGCTGAGAGAGTAGAATCACTTGAACCCAGAAGACAGAGGTTGCAGTGAGCTGAGATTGTGCCACTGCACTCCAGCCTGGGTGACAAGAGCGAGACTCCATCTCAAAAAAAAAGAAAAAAAAGAAAAAAAAAATCTTGCCAAGGATGTGAAATTGTGGCATACTCAAAATACCAGTGAGGATACAGAAGTAAGAGAACATGCAGAATTATGAACCATATAGTCTTCCCAGAAAAAGGTACACAAGGATATCTCTGGAAAGGTAATAAAAAATACAACTGGTTTAAAGAGTCAGCCATGCACGGTGGCTCACACCTGTAATCCCAGCACTTTGGGAGGCTGAGGCAGGCGGATCACCTGAGGTCAGTAGTTCAAGATCAGCCTGGCCAACATGGTGAAAGCCTGTCTGTACTAAAAATATAAAAATTGGCCGGGCGTGGTGCGCGCATCTGTAATCCCAGCTACTTGGGAGGCTGAGACAAGAGAATTGCTTGAACCCGGGAGGCGGAGGTTGCAGTGAACTGAGATCATGCCACTGAACTCCAGCCTGAGTGACAGGGCAAGACTCCATCTCGAGGGAAAAAAAAGAGAGAGAGAGTTTGGCAGTAATTCCCAGAGGTTGCTTATTTTGATTCTAGTGGATGTAAGGAAAAAATTAATTCAAGAATTAGTGAAAATAAGACCCGGGGTAGTATGAGCACCAGAAAATAGACGACACTTCCTGACGAAGAGGCGCTACTTAGAAAGTTGGGAGAGAGAAGCTGTCACTGCTAAGTCATGCTGGAGACCGGCAAAGAGTGGTTACTGTCTGCTGAGTATCGATAAGTCTACAGAGAGGCAAACAGAAGTACTTGTGTAGAGCCTTCTAAAGTAAACTATTTCAGCTAAGTAGCCCAGACAGGTATGACGGCCATTTTTTATACCTCACTTTTGTCAATCTGATCCACTTGAGAAGGAAAAGGTTACTTTGGGGAAAAAACCTTAATAAAGTCCAAAGTTCTGGAGGTCAAGAAACTTTTGAAAGAGTACATGGAAGAAATCATGGTAGGAAAGGAGGGAGAAAAAGGAAGTTGTTCAAGAATAACATAGCAATCTAACAAAAGGGAGATGAAGAACAGGAAGGAACCTCAAAATTAATAACCCCTGAAGTAAACATATTTCAGTATAACAGGGTTAAAAAACAAAGTTGTTCTAACAGCTATGTCAGATTTCTAGTGAGAGAGGGAACTTTCTTTCTGAGAAAAGAACTTTGATATGATACTGGGATCCCAGCAGAAATGCTAAAAACCGTGATGTTTGTAGATGCCTGGCACAAACATAGGTAAGTTGCTTTGCAGAGAAAGTGAGTCAGATGATGGTGGTGATTTGTGCTTTTTTAGGGCAGCGGGGAGGATTGCTTTTGAAAGAAAGAGGATGGAGGAGAAAAGAGAAGGGAGGGAACCCTGCCTGGCTAAAGAGCCAATGCAGACTCCCTGTGGGTGGGCAGCCACAGGACCCAGAAGGCCACTGTCTGATTTGAAATAGTTTCCATTGCCGAATGGAAACAGTCCAGAATATTTCCTCCTTAGATTTTCAGTAGGTCCTACTAGACTCAGAAATGCTTTTTGTGAGTTTTTGTTTGCTGGACTTTATATCTGAGTGAGCATTCTGCAGAGCAGCTTGTCTGAAAGCAGGAGTCCAAGGCCATGGCCATGAAGGCTGACCCGAGGAACCTGCAGAATCTGGAAGGAGACTTGGACTGTGACGACCCATGCAACTAAGACCTGGAGGTCATCTTATCTAGATCTCAGGGGTTAGGGAACACCCCTACCTGCTAATTTTCAATGACCATGAATCGCCTAATGGATACCCAGTTCTGTGCAACATGCTGTAAAGGAAACATAACAAAAAGAAACTATCTCCTTGTGAAGAGTTTTAAATCTACCTGTAAAGGAAAGACCAAAATGCTAAAAGTAGTAAGAGCCAATAGAGTACATTATCAAGAGGTAGAATAGGTAGAAAGAAATCTATCTGGCTGGGTGCAGTGGCTCACGCCTATAATTCTAGCACTTTGGGAGGCCAAGGCGGGCAGATCACAAGGTCAGGAGTTCAAGACCAGCCTGGCCAAGATGGTGAAACCCTGTCTCTACTAAAAGTACAAAAATTAGCTGGGCATGGTGGCGCATGCTTGTGATCCCAGCTACTCGGGAGGCTGAGGCAGAGAATTACTTGAACCCAAGAGGCGGAGGTTGCAGTGAGCCAAGATTGTGCCACTGCATTCCAGCGAGGGCGACAAGGCGAGACTCCATCTCAAAAAAAAAAAAAAGAAATATATCTACCAAAGAAACTCAGGAAACAGAACTGGGAAGAAACTAAAGGACATTTTGGCAATTAAAGAACCTGGATTAGTCAGGTGTGGTAGTCACACCTGTAATCCCATCACTTTGGGAGGCCAGGAAGGAGGATTGCTTGAGCTCAGGAGTTCGAGACCAGCCTGGGCAACATGGGGAAACCCCATCTCTGCAAAAAATTTAAAAATTAGCCGAGTGTGGTGGTGTGTGCCTGTAGTCCCAGCTGGTCAAGAAGCTGAAGTAGGACAATCACTTGAGCCCAGGAGGTCAAGGCTGCAGTGAGCCGTTATTGTACCACTGCACTCCAGCCTGGGTGACACAGCAAGACCCTGTCTCAGGAAAAAAAAAAAAAGACATAAAAAGAAAGCAAAAAAGAAAGAACCTAGATGAGAAGGAAAATTTAGAACTTGGATGAGCAGGGAAGACGTGTTGGGCATGAATACTACTGTTGGGGGCAGGGGGCGGTAAAGTGATGAAGTACTCTGCATCATTGCAGAAGGGAATTTATTCAGAGGATTAGTAACAGAATTCAAAGATGAACATAGAACCAGTTGCCAAAGGACCTTGAATTCCAGGCTTAAGAAAATGCCTTTGATTCACTTAGGAATGGCTGGAGGAAATGTAACCTTGTAAATGCTGCTGAAAGACTTATCAGGGGTGTCAGCTCAAGGTGAATCCAGGTGGGAGAGTCAGGAGAGCAGGTGAGCAGGAGTCAAGAAAAAGATCTGGAGAAGCCAAAGAGCTCTTCCTTCCCTGGGTACATTAGTGTGTTCTGAACACTTCAACAACAGTGAAACCCCAGCAGAGCCAGGGTCACTGAAGATGGTGCATTGTAATGAACCTGTTCTTCATTTTCCGCAAAGTATGATAAGTATCATGATGTTATTTTTTGCTTCTTCAGTTTGTAGTTGCTTTTGTATTGTATGCCCCAAGTGGCACCTAATATCATACCAACATCAATACAGAACAAAATTGGGATAATTACTGAAATAATTCAAGGGAAAATATTCTGAATTTTTTGATATTTTAAATGAGTGTGTTTCTAGAAAAATCAAGATAATTGTCTATATTTTCCACTTCACTTGCTGTGAACATGCAAATTAGGCCTAAAGCTTGCAAAACACACTTAAAAACTCACTTTTTCCAGGTAGAAGGAAGCATCTTAGCACCTCCTCAGAGTCATGGAATAAGGCAGAAATGAGGGAAGTGTCACTCTTCCCATTCATTAAGTTTGAGAGTAAATTAGCCTCAGGCCAGAAAGTTCTAGGATAGAGCAAAGTGTACTATAGGCCAAGCATGGTGGCTCACACCTGAAATTCCAGCACTTTGGGAGGCTGAGGCAGGCGGATCACCTGAGGGCACGAGTTCAAGACCAGCCTGGCCAACATGGTGAAATCCTGTCTCTATTAAAAATACAAAGAATACAGGTGTGGTGGTGCACACCTGTAGTCCCAGCTACTCAAAAGGCTGAGGCAAGAGAATCACTTGAACCCGGGAGGTGGAGGTTGCAGTGAGCTGAGATCATGCCACTACACTCCAGCCTGGGCAACAGAGCGAGACCCTTGTCTCAAAAAAAAGAAAAAAGAAAGAAATAAACGTATGCTGTAATAACTGGTGAAAGCACCAACGTGGGGTGGCTCTCACCTGTAATCCCAGCACTTTGAAAGGACAAGGCAGAAGGACCCCTTTAGGCAGGAGTTTAAGACCAGCCTGGGCAACACAGCAAGACCCCGTCTCTATAAAAAATTTTTAAAAATTAGCTGAGGTGGTGGTGGGCACCTGCAGTCCCAGCTACTTGGGAGGGTGAGGTGGAAAGATTGCTTGAGCCCAGGAGTTTGAGACTGCAGTGAGCTATGATAGCTCCATTGCACTCCAGCCTGGGTGATGGCGAGACCTTGTCTCTTAAAAAACAAAAACAAAACATCTTTTTTCCTCTCTGTGCTTCATATTGGGTAATAAATAAATAACTGGAGAAAGCAATCAAAAATGGCTAAGCAGAAGAAAATACAAGCGATGGCTAGAGCCTGCTACTTTTATTTGTCCCTGCCTAATGTTCTTGCAAGTTCTCTTACACCTCAGTATTATGAATAGCGTACCAAAAATTAAATGGTGCCTTAAACGTGCAGTAACGCATATTTATGATGAAAGCGTAAGAAAGAATGAACAACAGGTCATTTTTGAGTATGCCTTTTATGTATTTTAAACATACACAGTCACAGTGAGTGCTAAGGCAAGAGCCCTGCTGGCATTTCCTTTGCCCCCTCTTCCCACAATTGTGATTGAAGAACTAGGTGACCAGGCCGCAAGTGACAGCAGATTTGGAAGCTGCTTCAGAGGAATGTTCTGCCTTTGCAGAGGGGAATTGTTTCCCTGGGGACATGGCTGGCACAGCTGGACTCCGTGAGCGCCAACTCCCGAGGAAGTGTGGTCCTCTGGGCTTCTGCGCGATGCCACTAACATTGGGCTTCTGCACAATGCCACTAACATTCACTGTACTTTGAGAGCTCTTCCTGTGTCCCAGAAATAGCCTTTCGCAGAGGTCGGCAGGGAAATTTAAGTCACCTGGCCACGTGCACAGAGTGGGTAGGTGAGGAGCAAGGAGGTGACTTTGAGAGCCACACTCCTAATCGCTATGCGACACTTCCTTAGGTCTGAGCTGGTAGCATTTTTAAGGGCAAAAAAATCATGGGGGAGAGGGTGAGAAGCATAATAACTATTTTACTCCCCCAGTTTAGGCTGCAAGAGCCTAAACTAGTCTGTGGGCTATCACTACTGTCCCCAGTGCCAGTGAGCCCTGCACCATCTACCACACTGTGCCTACTGCTACAGGCCGACCACCTCCCCAAAGCCCACATTGAGACACACTGCCCACCTTCTTTTTTGGGGGGAACAGGATCTCACTCTGTCGCCCAGGCTGGAATACAGTGGTGCAATCATGGCTCACTGCAGCCTTGACCTTGATGATTGCTTGCATGGCTCAAGCAGTCATCCCGCCTCAGCCTTCCAAGTAGCTGGGATTACAGGTTCGTGGCACCATTTTTTTTTTAATGCTAAATTTGAAGTTTTTAAATTTTACATTTAAAGTTCGCGCCACCATAATTTTTAAATTTTTTTTTAATAGAGACAGGGTTTCATGATGTTGCTCTGACTGGTCTAGAACTCCCGGGCTCAAGCAATCCTTCCGCCTTGGCTTTCCAAAATGCTGGGATTATAGGCATGAGCCACTGTGTCTGGCCACATTGCCCCCCTTCTAAAAACCTCAGGAGACCCTCTTGGTTACAAATAACAACGCCTAAACCTCCTTGTCTGAAACTTAAGACCCTTAACATTTCAGCTGATACTAACCTTTCCTAGCGTATCTCCCATTCTCTGTGAATTCCAGACTGTGGGTTGCAACTGCACTGGCTTGTGCCATGAATGCCAGGGACACTAGCCAGCATTTCAGATGCAGGAACAGATGACATGGCAGTGCATTCAAGGTAGCAAGTCAAGCTGCAGTTTCAAGAAACACACATCCTGACATGTTTGCATTTCCAATGTAAAATGCATCTCTTATGATAGGTCTCTGCTGAAGCAAAGTCTTGAAAGCCGTGATTTCATACCACTGATGTGAACTGTTCTCCCTGGAACCCAGGAAGCCCACAGAGAGGCTTTACTGGCCTCTGGGAGGCAAAAGAAGGGGGCATGAAAGCCTAGGTCTCAAGGCCCAGTTCTCCTCTCATTAGTGCTCCTCTTTTTCGTGTGTGTGTGTGTGTGTGTGTGTGTGTGTGTGTGTGGTATTGGGCTTCTACCTGGTAAAAGAGTTCTGCTCTTCCCTACTCTGTGACAACATTCTTCATCACCCCATATCCTGGGTGCTCTTCTGCTTCCACGTCTACAGCACGCGCCTGCCCTGGCATCCATCATACAGCTCTTTTCCTGTAGCATTATTCAAAGTAAATTCTGATACAAGAAAATTAGGACTACCTTTTCAAGACAATCATTTTCTAGGTTAGATAATATCTGTGTACTACTGGCATTACTGTTCTTTCCATCTAAAAATCAGCCCTCTTAAATGGTACCCCTTGAAAACAACTTGAATAAATTAAGTAGTACCTTGCCAGATTCTGGAAATGCAAAACAAAAATGTCCTAGTATTTTAGACCAGTGGTTTCCAACTTTTGTTTATCCCACAGTCCTAGCTATTAAAAAAAAAAAAGAAAAAAGGAAGAAAAGAAAAGAAAAGAAAAAAGTACATCTATCTATGTATCTATTATCTACTTTCCTCCCTATCTATCAACCATCTATCATCCATCTATCATCTGTCTATCCACCCATTAACTCATCCATCTAGCTGTTATCTATTTACTTATCTACCCATACATACATCATACATCTATCTATCTATCTACCTATCTTTTTATCCATCCATCCACCCATCCTTCTATTCGATGAGAAAGTGCAGGTACTAAAGTCAGTTAGAATATTAAATATTAATAAACCTTGCTGAGTGGGGTGGCTCATGCCTATAATCCTAGCACTTTGGGAGGCCAAGGTGGGCAGATCACTTGAGGCCAGAAGTTTGAAACCCTATCTCTACTAAAAATACAAAAATTAGCTGGGTGTGGTGGTACACACCTATAATCCCAGCTACTTAGGTGGCTGAAGCACGAGAATTGCTTGAACCCAGGAGGCGGAGGTTGCAGTGAGCCGCTGCACTCCAGCCTGGGTGACAGAGCGAGAACTGTCTCAAAAACAGGAATAAATAAAATAAATATTATTAAAGCTTAATGTATCTCATTTTCAGACAAATAAATATGAAAAATAATTCCAATATTCTCCCTGCATCACAAAGGATAATTTTGTAAACATACTGGGCATCATCCTTGGACCCCAGTAAAGACCACTGCTTTGTATGAGGAGGGATTGGAGGTAGAGGAATGGCAGCTTTTCATATACTTGATCAGCTAATTGGGTTTTTACAAAAAAAAAAAAAGGTAAGGCACATTTTGACATCCCAGTTTAAAGCTTTTAGATGTTTCCAAATGTTAAAAATATACACACATCTCTATTTCTTCTTCTCCCTATTTCTTCTCACCAGCTTGGATTTTAATGGCTAAGATAGCCTTATAGATGGTTTCCAGTTTTGAACTATTTTTGACACCTGCACTATATTTTAAAATTGAGGCTATGTTTGTCTTATAACATGCCTAAGACTTGTTTATTACCTAAAAATGAACAAGGAAAGTCATAGCCTGCCTTAGTGTTCTTCCAGTGGACAGGAAAAAGCTTCTACCACTGAGCAGTTTAATGAGGCAATGGGAAACTACATAAAGTTTGGCTTTGAATCCATCAGGAATTGTGTTGATTCAAGGCACCAGAAAGCTCCTTATAGAATATAAGGCCAAAGAATATAAGATCCCCCTGTATTTTATTTTATTTTATAATTTTTTGAGACGGAGTTTCGCTTGTGTTGCCCAGACTGGAGTGCAATGGTGTGATCTTGGCTCACTGCAACCGCCGCCTCTCAGGTTCAAGCGAATTCTCCTGCCTCAGCATCCTGAGTAGCTGGGATTACAAGCATGTGCCACTACACCAGGCTAATTTTTTTTTTTTTTGTATTTTTAGTAGAGACGGGGTTTCACTATGTTGACCAGGCTGGTCCCGAACTCCTGACCTCAGGCGACCCACTCTCCTAGGCCTCCCAAAGTGCTGGGATTACAGGTGTGAGCTACCGTGCCCGGCCAAGTTCCCCCTTTAAAATTTGTAAATTCTTTCAGGGCTAGCATTCAAATAGGCTTTGAGGGAAAGCAATCACCTATTAAATTCTTTGTGAGAAACATCTCTGGATTAAACTTGAGAGGGATTCCATCTGGTCTCTGACCTTTGAGCTTCTTTATAATTACAACTGACCCCAAAGTCATTGTATTTTGCAGTTTTCTACCTTGGGTTCCAGCAGCCTTCATGATATTTGTAAGATATTAAAATTACCATCTGCTATTGCTTACTATGTCTTAGGCTTCTGATGTGATAAAAGTATTAATTATTTTAAGCAGTACATTTTTAAACTTCTTATCCTCTTTTATGAATGCTCACTAATGAATTCTTATTAAGCCATTAAGGTAAGTATGGTAATTTATTATTACATTTTTTTTCCTATAAAATGGGAACAGCTTGTCTGGATTTGCATCTATAATGGTAACAGTAGCTTCAAGAACATCTGCTTTGGTGTTAACTTCTAATAGGCCTTGCGTGGAGCAATCTGTTCTCCATGTATGGGACCCAGTCATTACTCACGTTCCTGAGAAAAGATGGCACCAAGTCAACTACTGCTGGTTTTATTTGTATTATTTTTAAGTCATTTTATTTTTTGCTGTAGATATCCTGTAATTGAAACATACTACTTACTTATAAGAATTCTACTAAAATTCCACTTCTATACTAGGACTAAAGTATTAAATTAGGAAGAAACATACATAGTACATTCAAATAATGCATATTTCATGAATCTTTGAGGTATTCTTGCCATTTGAGGAATTCCTGAAATGAGTCATAACCCACAGGATACATATCCGCAGAACTTTTGTTTTGTGACTTGCAGCAGCAAGTCGCTTACAACCAGTTTTACACATGTTTGTCTGGTTTAACTTCCTAAAATACAAATGTGGTCAACCCAATCTTCTGATTTCTTACTTTACAGACTAAGCTTTGCTATTCAAAGTGTGGTCCAGGCTCCAGCAGCGAGAATCTGACATGGAATCTTCTAGAAATGCAGACTAGCAGGCCCCTCTCAGAATCAGAATCTGCACTCTAACAAAATCCCCAGGTGATACATCATACTCATTAAAATGTGAGAAGTAAGATCTATAGGAACGGCCCCCAAAAAAGTCTGTCTTGGTGAAACTAGTGAAAAATGAAGAACCACAAAACAGTGAGTTTGTCATAAAGCTAAAGGTATCTAACGTTTTTAGTAGACAAGTATGAAATCTCCCCCTCCCTGCACTGCCACACTCCAATCTCTTTTCCATCCTCAGCGTCCTTGTTCCCACCTTGCACAACTCTGGGCCTCTGCACATGAAGCTTCTTCCATTGGGAATCCCCATCCCTGTCTGACAAACTCCTTTGAATTCTTCAAGACCCACTCAGTTTCTACCACATCTGTAAAGACATTCTCAGTGGTGTCCCTACAATGCCGTACTCATGCTGTGATTATAGTGTTTCTCACATTATATAAAATGTTGTTCATGTGTCTGTCAACACACCTAGACCATGTGCTCCTCAAAAGCAGGACTGTGTCCTCTCCGTCATTGTCTCCTCAACTCCTAAGAAAGACAGACACAAACTAGTTGCTCAATATGTTTGCTGAATGAATGTGACCTATGTGGAAATAAGCACCAGCAGAGACAGTTATTGTGAAATACTCCATTTGATAGGTTGAATGTGGTACATAGAAAGGCTGTCGGTTCAGGAGACCACTTGCTAGAAGACTTTGGTCAAGTCACTTAATCCTTCTGTGCCTCAGTTTCTTCACTTGTAAAATAAGAATACCTGATTTCTCTGAATGCATTGGATTATTCTGAGGGTAAAATGCAAGGAATTATAAAAGAATCTTTAAAAGTTAAAAAGCAGGAACATCAAACACATGGTTAAACATCAATATGAGGCAGTAATCTTTTTTTTAATGTACCATTAGAATGAAGACATACTATATATGAGTATTTGTGGCTCTTTTGGTTTTCTAGAGCTGCTGTAACAAAGTCCCACAGTCTGGAGGCTTAAACAACAAAAAATCTATTTTCTTGTAGTTCTGGAGGCTAGAAGTTTAAGATAAGGTGTTGGCAGGGTTGGCTCCTTCTGAAGCCTCTCTCCTTGGCTTGCAGATAGATGACGTCTTCTCCCTGCATCTTCACATGGTCTTCTGTGTGTGTCTGTGTCCTCTAACTCTCTCTTTTTATAAAGACACCTGTCAGATTGGGTGAAGGCCCACCCTACTGACCTCATTTTAACTCAATTGCCTCTTTAAAGACCCTGTCTCCAAATATAGTCGCATTCTGAAGTACCAGGTGTTAGGACTTCCACTTACAAATTTTGAGGAAGACAATTCAGCTCTTAATAGTGACTTATTTAACTTTACACAATAAGTGTTTGTGGCATTTTAATAAAGGTAAGGTACCTCCTACCTGCTCTATCCATTCCTCAAATCCAGCCGGTTGTTAGGGTTCCCGATTTTTTTTCCAACAGTAGGCCATTCAGAAATGCAAAGCACCATTCAGTTAATAATGGTGCGCCAAGACGGTTCAGACTTGGTAAGTGGGATTTCATTCGAACATGACTCAAGTGGAGAAGGAGGTTTTTACGATATTTTTAACGTTATAAAAATATAAAAGAAATATAATATAGAAGTATAGAAAGAAAAATTTAAAACTTCCCCTTCCCCAATCTGATCCCCCCAAGATGACCAATGTGAAGTGGTTTAATGTGTATTTTTCCATATTAAAAGTGCTTATATATGCAAACCTACACAAAAAACATATGCACATATGGAGTCTCCATATGGAGGCATTTTCACACCCATTTTACTTTTGTCAGTAACCCATCATACTGTCTCAGTTTCATGATGTAATTGCAGTGGAATTACATTTAACAGCTCAAAGTTACATATAATCAACACATTTCGATGGCGGTGGAGGAGGCAAGCAATGTGCCTCTTACTTGCCGGTGAGCCCCAGGGCTCTACTACCTCCTCATGCAGACTTAGTCGGTTGGCCGCCATGATGGTTAATTTTAGGTATCGACTTGACTGGACTTAAAGGACACCCAGATGCTGGTAAAGCATTATTTCCGGGTGTATTTGTAAGAGTGTTTCTGGAAAAGATTACCATTTGAATTGGTAGACTGAGTAAAGAGGGTAGCTCTTCCCAGTGTGAGTGGGCATCATCCAATTTGTTAAGGGCCCACACAGAGCAAAAGGGCAGAGGAGGGGCGAATTTGATCTCTTCCATTTGAGCTAGGACATCCATCTTCTCCTGGCCTCAGACATCAGCACTCTGGGTTCTCCGGCATTTGGACTCCGAGACTGACACCGTCACTTCACTGTTCCTGATTCTCAGGCCTTCAAACTCAAACTGATTTACATCACTGGCTTTCCCGAGTCTCCAGCTTGCAGACAACAAATTGTGGGACTCCTTGGGCCTCCATAATTACGTGAGCCAATTCCTATGCTAAATCAATTCCTCTGTCTTGTGTGTGTGTGTGTGTGTGTGTGTGTGTGTGTGTATAAATCTATACAACCGCACAGTGAACTCTTAACTCACAAGAGTCAACCTCTAAGATGCTGTCCTCTGTTTGTAGCTTTATACTGATTTATTTTCTTTTTTTTTTTTTTGAGAAGGAGCCTTATTCTGTTGCTAGGCTGGAGTGCAGTGGCGCAATCTCAGCTCACTGCAACCTCTGCCTCCCGGGTTCAAGTGATTCTCCTACCTCAGCCTCCTGAGTAGCTTGGATTACAGGAGCCCACCACCACACCCAGCTAATTTTTGTATTTTTAGCAGAGACGGGTTTCACCATGTTGGCTAGGCTGGTCTTGAACTCCTGATCTCAGGTGATCCACTCGCCTCGGCCTGCAGCAAAGTGCTGCAATTACAGGCATGAGTATACTGATTTCTTGAGTCACTTGAAGCACAAGTCTCTCATTTTTAAGAAGCTAAATTTACTTACTACTATGCTTAATTTAAATGTTGTTTTTCTGGCTTTAATAATTTCTTGTCTTCAGAAAATTATCACATATGTTCATATTCCGATGTGATCAAATGCTTGCAACTATTTTTTTGTTTCCTTTTCTAGGCCTTGTGGCCTAGCCCCTTTCCTTTCCATCTCCCTCTGGGGTCTACCTATCTGGGGAAGCATGCATTCTCTGCTCCTCTGTGCCTTGAGTCTTAGGGCACCAGCTCCCCACAAAGATGAGGAAGCAAACAGTTTATCAGCTACAGCAGTTGTCCAGTTCTACCAGTGATCAAGCAAGTAGATCTTATTCTAGAACCTGGTATTGGCAGGCTCATTTGGCCTGCAGATGGAAAGCCATGTTTGCTAATAGTGGTGTTAGTAATAAAAGTAATAGAAGAGAACCTGAGATAACACATAAATGAATGTTGGCTTTGTCTCCCTCCCTAGTCCCGTTGCTCAACAGGTTGGGGTAGTAGAGTATAAAATGCATAGCATTACGTGCATGTTTTGGTGGTGTTTGTTAATATTCAATTCTGCTATGGAAGGAAAAAAATGGAAAGGAAGAAACTTAAGATAGAAGTATAGATGAGTAGTAAGTATGTAGCTTGGAAGACATCCACAAAATTCTCAAGATACGTTAGATAAAGAAAAGTTGTTAGCAAGCAAAGCGTGAGAGAATGGACTGAGAGATACCCAACATATATTACTCTAAATATACAGGAGGCACTTGAGGCAATACATATTCATGAGGTTTGAATTCAACCACCCATCAGTGACACCCTTTCTGGCCCTACCTGTTCTCTGTCTAAGAAAAGCAAATAAAACCCTTATCTGCTCAGCAGGCTAATTGACAAGCTGTCAAGTGGCCAGGCATCCTTGCCGCCTTGGTGCCAGGCACCTCCTATGGTTGGGCACCCTGGCTCAAACCTCAACACTAGTCCTTATAACATCATCTATAGGGACAGCTGATGAGACAGAGACAAATGACAGACACACCACATGAACACTGTCATGTACCAGGATTCAGAGAGCCTGGCCCTTCATCCTGCTCACACCCTACACTAAGTCTGCTAACTAACCGTATTTCTTTTCCCTTGCATCTCCGTGTGTGTTTTAAATTGACTTAATACATTAAGTGCCTGGAAGAGTTTAACTTGTCCGGTGAGACTTTCTGTTCTGTGACCTCTGCAACTACTTGGCTGGTAATGTCAAGTTGGTGATGAGTATGGGATGAATCCCAACTAAATTAACAGGAAAACGAGGTCACACTGCAGAAAGACTCTCTGAAATCAAAGCCATACTTAAAGGAAAACCTCCAGCCTAGGAAGACTATGAAAAACTGACTCACAGTCTAGTGTAGAAAAGGCATTAAACAAGAATTTAGGAAATAAATCCAGGTTAAAACTCAACGCAGGCCTAACCAAATCCATAGGAGTGAAAACAAGAAGCAAAAACCTAGAGCCAAAGGCAATGGCTTCAGTGTTAGTGGGGGCTTTGATAATGTGCATAGGCAGACGTTATGGCAGAAATCAGACTATAGTAGCAACTGCCCACCTCTGGGAGCTGACCCTGGGGAGTCTTTGACAGCACCCCCACCTCTGCCTGGAGGATACAAAGAGGATCACTATGATCAACCAACAGAGCGATCGTATGCTTCAAAACCAGGAAGTAATTCTTGTGGTCCTGTTGCTCAAATCAAGGAAATGGGGGGCTTATACTAGGTCAGACTTAAAACAAATGATAGGAGAATTTAATTAAATCTCAAGAAACATAATGAATTAGCAGACTGAATTAAAAAAAATTCTAGGCTGGATTTAAAAAATCCCAGCACTTTGGGAGGCCAAGGTGGAAGAGTCACTTGAAGCCAGGGGTTTGAAACCAGCCTGGGCAACAAAGCATGTCTCTACAAAAATAAAAAATAAAGATAAAATAACCCAATGTGGTGGCGTGCACTTATGTTCCCAGTTACTTGGTAGGCTAAGGTGGAAGAATCGCTTGAGTTTGAGGTTACAGTGTGCTGTAATCACACCACTGCACTCCAACCTGAGTGACAGAGTGAGAGTCTTACTCAAAAAAAAAAAAAAAAAAAAAAAAAAAGCAGGGCTCAGTGGCTCACGTCTGTAACCCTAACACTTTGGAAGGCCAAGGCGGATGGATCTCTTGAGGCCAGGAGTTCAAGACCAGCCTGGCCAACATGGTGAAACCCCGTCTCTACTAAAAATACAAAAATCAGCTGGGCATGGCTATACGCACCTGTAATCTCAGCTACTTGGGTGGCTGAGGCTCAAGAATTGCTTGAACTGGGGAGGCAGAGGTTGCAGAGAGCCAAGATTGCGCCATTGCATTTCAGCCTGGGTGATGACAGAGTGAGACTCTGTCTCAAAAATAAATAAATAAATAAATAATGATAGAAGAATTTAAATCTCAAGAAACATAATGAATTAAAAAAATTCTGGGCTGGGTGTGGTGGTCACATTTGTAATCCCAGCACTTTGGGAGGCCAAGGCAGAAGAGTCACTTGAAGCCAGGAGTTGGAGACCAGCCTGGACAACAAAGCACGTCTCAACAAAAATAAAAAATAAAGATAAAATAACCCAGTGTGGTGGTGTGCACCTATGGTCCCAGTTACTTGGTAGGCTAAGGTGGGAGAATTGCTTGAGGAGTTCGAGATTACAGTGTGCTGTAATCGCACCACTGCACTCCAGCCTGAGCAACAGAGTGAGAGTGTTACAAAAAAAAAAAACCACACCGGGAGTGGTGGTGGCTCACACCTGTAATCTCAGCACTTTGGGAGGCCAAGGTGGGCAGATCACTTGAGGCCCGGAGTTTGAGACCAGCCTGGCCAACAAGGTGAAAACTCGTCTTTACTAAAAACACAAAAATGAGCTGGGCATAGTGGTGCGCATCTGTAATCCCAGCTACTTGGGTGGCCAAGGCATGAGAATTGCTTGAACCAGGGAGGTGGAGGTTGCAGTGAGCCAAGATTGCACTACTGCACTCCAGCCTGAGTGATGACAGAGTGAGACTCTGTCTCAAAAATAAATAAAAACAAATGACAGAAGAAAGTAACTAAGTCTCAAGAAACACAATGAATTCGCAGAATGGATTAAAAAAATTCTGGGCCAGGCATGGTGGTCACACTTATAATCCCAGCACTTTGGGAGGCCAAGGCAGAAGGGTCGCTTGAAGCCAGGAGTTTGAGAGCAGCCTGATCAACAAAGCATGTCTCCACAAAAATATTTAAAAAAAATAAAATAACCCAGTGTGGTGGCATGCACCTATGGGTCCCAGTTACTTTGTAGGCTAAGGTGGCAGGATAGCTTGAGGAGTTCAAGGTTACAGTGTGCTGTGATCACACGACTACACTCCAGCCTGGGTGACAGAGTGAGATCGTTACTCCAAAGAAAAATTCTGTTCAGAACCACTCTATCATTATAGTTTTTGTCTTTGTCTTTTCAAGAATGTCTTATAAATGGAATCACATGGCATTTAACATTTTGAGTCAGGCTTCCTTCACTTAGCACAGTACCTTTGAGATGATCCAAGCTGTTTTGTGTATCAACGGTTGGCTCCTTTTTATTGCAGAGTAGAATACCATGATGCTACGGCTGGACCACCATATGTTAGCCATTCACTCTTTGAAAGACATTTGGGTTGTTTCCAGTTTAGGGCTATTACAAGTAAAGCTTGTGCAAAGTTTTGTGTGAAAAGAACTTTTCAGCCCAGATGCAATGGCTTATGCCCGTAATCCCAGCACTTTGGGAGGCCGAGGCTAGTGGATCACTTGAGGTCAGGAGTTCGAGACCAGCCTGACCAACATAGTGAAACCCCGTCTCTACTAAAAATGCAAAAGTAGCTGGGCATGGTGGCACACACCTGTAATCCCAGCTACTTGAGAGGCCGAGGCAGGAGAATCACTTGAATCTGGGAGGCGGAGGTTTTGGTGAGCCGAGATTGTGCCACTGAACTCAAGCCTGGGCAACAAGAGTGAAACTCCATCTTAAAAGAAAAGAACTTTTCATTTCTCTAGGGTCAAAACCCAGGTGTGGGGTTGCTGGGTCATATGTAAGTGTGTGCTTAACTCTGAGAAACCGTCAAACCGTTTTCAAAGTGATGGCACCGTTTTGCATTCCCCTGGCAACACGTGAGGCTTCCGGCTGCTTCCTATCCTTCCCAGCACCCAGTATTTTTTATGGTACTCGTTCTAATAGGTGCCTAGTGGTTCCTCCTTATTTTTTTCTCTGTCTCTTTATAAGAAACTTTGAAGATTAACTCATCATAAAAGAAAAAACAAAACATGTCACTTGTTAAATACCTGAAAGAAAAATAATAGAATGTAGCTGAGGAAAAGAATCAATTAGGCCAAAATAGCAATAAACTATTTAGGCATTACCCAAAGAAGGCCTTTAGTACTAGATGTTATAAAGGAAAAATAAAAATAACAGCTCTTCCTCTCTGGCCAAAAAAAAAAAAAAAAAAAAAAACAACAACTACACAGAGGCCCAGAGAGACATTTAAGTACTGGAGACATATATTTTAACCTCGGGTAACCTCTTTATGCAATTACTGGAAGACCTGGGACATTGGGAGAAGACTCTCACAACAGCTCACCCTTGACCCACCTGAGCAAGCTGGTCTCACCTCCCTCCTATTCTCCCCATCCCTTTACCTGGAAATCACTATTTTGGATAACTGTGCTTTCTTGCCTCTGACATCAACAAGTAGGTGGTTGGACAGTCTGAATCAAATACATTGATACATTGATTTACACAGATACACAAACATACACACACACACCCCACACCACACACATGCTACAATAGTATACTGGGCATTACAACAAACTGGAAACTAGCCAGCAACACTGAACACTACAAGGGCAATGGGTTGGATTTACCCCCAGCCAGACACAGTGGGGATAACAGCCTCTCTACTCAGGTAAAATGAAGAATGACATCACAGAAGGGGCTGAGAACCTGTGGTGTGCCATTTGCTGTGGGCCTGCTGGGGTCTAACAAAGCTTGGAGGGGTTAGGGGGTGGGAAGATCCTTGAGGGGAAGGCCCTGCGGATTTGGGCCCTCCCTGTTCAAAGCTCTCAGACAGGCAGTGCCTGAGGCCCTGGGTATGCTCTGCTGAAACTCCCAGGGACTGAGCCTGGCCAGGCTTAGCCAAAGGTGGAGAAATGTGTCAAGTTGGCTGAATTACAAGCTATGCTCAAAGACATAACTGGCGACATATTTTACACTGATTCCTGAACAATACCAAATGGTGTTAACTACCTGGTCTGCACATTGACAGACTACAAACTGGGAAGCTGATGGCAAAAGGGTGGCAAAATCTAGCAAAAAATAATAAAAATTAAAAAAAAAGAAAGAAAAGTCCAGGCATGCTTCGTGCCTGTAGTCTCAGTTACTCAGTAGACTGAAGTGGGAGGTCGTTTGAGCTCAAGCATTCAAGGCTGCAGTGTACTGTGATTGCGCCTGTGAATGGCCACTGTGCTCCAGCCTGGGCAACACGGTGAGACCCTATCTCTAAAAAATGTTTAAAGATTAAAAAAACAAAAAACCCAACCAACAAAACAAACACACAAGCAAAAAGAACATTGCCACGTAGCCCAACCCTCACCTTAAATAAATATCTGAGGCCATATAACAGGAGTCAATGGACAAAGTAACTCAGAAAGTATATACAAGACTGTATTACACAAGGAACAGTAAAAAATCAACATAAATTAAGCATAGTAAGATATTAACAACAATAACTCATAATAAAATGAACAATTATAAGAATATACTGAAATAAAAGTTATGTGAATGTAGTCTGTGTCTCAAAATATCTTATTGTACTGTACTCACCTATTAGTGGAAGGCACTTGACTGTGGGTAACTGAAACCATGGAAAGTGAAACCCTGGCTAAGGGAGACTACTGTACACTAATCAAACAAAAACAAAGCTTGGCAAGTGACACTTTTGAAAAAAAAAAAAAAAACCCCACCAAAAACCCCCATAAATTATCCCATAGAATACAGTAAATTGTGTTTCTGAAGACTCAGGCAGGACACTCAGGAACAAATTCTCTGACAACAAGAATTGAACAAAAACACATTCGTTTAAACAATGAGGCTATTTTACCAGCTCTTCAAAAATGTGATCCATGTCATGCTGATGAAGTCAGCCTTTCACCTGTCAATGGAGAGATTGACAGATCAGAGGAAATAAACTGAGCCAAAGATGGCAGATGGGTTATGGGCAGGTATTACCCAGACCCCTGTCATGGAGCAGAGAAATACTGTCTCACCACCTAAGATACAAACTCAGCACTGGCATTTGCTATCCGGGCAGATCCGTAATTCCTGACCACTACTACAGGGTCCTGCCATCTCTCCAAAAATGACTCCTGCTCACAAGCAGAAAATGATCAGAGAAAGTGACCAGCATACTTCACAACTCAGGTGGTCCAGGTAGGGGCAGAGGTACATAGGCTTATCCATTTAAATTGGTCTTTTACCTCCCCTTGAACTCTGAGTTCGGAATTAGATGAAGTTCCTCTTATTAATTTGGCCTACAGAACTTTAAGAAGCACCAATTTAAAATAGGACAGAGGGCAAAAACAAAAAGCAAAACAAAATTGGGATGGGTGACAAAATAAACTTCTAATGTTTTTTTTTTTTGTTTTTTTTTTTTTTTTGAGACGGAGTCTCGCTCTGTCGCCCAGGCTGGAGTGCAGTGGCGCGACCTCGGCTCACTGCAAGCTCCGCCTCCCGGGTTCACGCCATTCTCCTGCCTCAGCCTCCCGAGTAGCCGGGACCACAGGCGCCCGCCACCACGCCCGGCTAATTTTTTGTATTTTTAGTAGAGGCGGGGTTTCACCGCGTTAGCCAGGATGGTCTCGATCTCCTGACCTCATGATCCTCCTGCCTCTGCCTCCCAAAGTGCTGGGATTACAGGCGTGAGCCACCGCGCCCGGCCAAACTTCTAATGTTTTAAGGGTGTTAGTCTTTCAGTATAAGTCCTTGTCTTACAGAAGTGGCCAAGAGAGTCCATAAATAACAATGACTAAACAGCTAGATAACTAGATAAACCAAAACGCCAAAAAAAAAAAAAAAAAAAAAAGAAAGAAAACGTCAGTACTATTAAGTACAATTTATTTTATATATATTTTTTGAGATGGAGTCTCGCTCTGTCACCCAGGCTGGAGTGCAGTGGCGCAATCTCGGCTCACTGCAACCTCTGCCTCCCAGGTTGAAGCGATTCTCCTGCCTCAGCCTCCTTAGTAGCTGAGACTACAGGCGCACGCCACCAGGCCTGGCTAATTTTTGTGTTTTCAGTAGAGACGGGGGTTTCACTGTGTTGGCCAGGCTGGTCTTGAACTCCTGACCTCATGATCTGCCCTCTTCGGCCTTCTAAAGTGCTGGGATTACAGGCATGAGCCACCACGCCCAGCAGTACAATTTAAATGAACTGTAACATTTGGTTGGTAAATGCAGAGGTATACAAATTGTATGGAGAACATCATGGGTGGCCAGGCTCAGTGGCTCAAGCCTGTGATGGGAAGCAGAGGTGGGAGGATTGCTTGAGGCCAGGAGTTTGAAACCAGTCTGGGCAACATAGAGAGCTCCCGTGTCTACAAAAAAAAAAAAAAAAAAGAATAAACTAGCTGGGCATGGTGGTGCATGCCTGTAGTCCCAGTTACTCAGGAGACTGAAGTTGGAGGATCACTGGAGACCAGGAGTTTGAGGCTGCAGTGAGTCATGATTGCTCACTTCAGCCTGGGTGACAGTGAGACCCCAACTCTGAAAAGAAAAAAGAACTTCAAGTGTTATATTCCCATTTAATATGAATACTTGAACACAGTATGTTAGTACACACAATATATTCAAAACACAGTATATTCAAAAACATCTATTTGTCTTCTCTCTGATCTCATTATTTTATACTTTCTAAATTTCCTCTGTTGATTTCATGGGTCAGATAAATTATCACTCTTTACACAAAATATGTAAAGGCATAAAAATATAAATATATGTATTTAACTAAATTAAATAGCAACTGCTGTTTTCTAAAAAGATTTGTTCCTGTAAACCTGAAATAATAGTGTAAAACAGTTCACTCTTGCTATCCGCATGTGATTTTTTTTTTTTTTTTTTTTGAGAGACAGGGTCTCACTGTGCTGCCTTGGCCCAGTCTAGAACTTCTGAGCTCAAGCGATCCACCTTCCTCGGCCTCCCAAAGTGCTGGGATTACAGGCATGAGCCACCACACCCAGCCCTTCCATGTGAATTTTTTTTTTTTTTTTTGAGATGGAGTCTGGCTCTGTCTCCCAGGCTGGAGTGCCATAGTGCGATCTTGGCTCACTGCAACCTTGCCCTCTTGGGTTTAAGCGATTCTTCTACCCCAGCCTCCCGAGTAGCTGAGATTACAGGTATGCACCACCACCCCTAGCTAATTTTTGTATTTTTAGTAGAGAGAGGGTTTTGCCATGTTAGCCAGGCTGGTCTCAAATTCCTGACTTTGGGTGATCCACCTGCCTCAGCCTCCCAAAGTGCTGGGATTACAGGCGTGAGCCAACATGCCCAGCCCTGCATGTGATTTTTAAATATTGTACCTTCGATTTTTAAAATCAACAATGATTATATCACACTTTAAATATAATTTTTGAGATCCGTGATTGTCTTCAAGACCTATGACTAATATTCAATTAAGGTAGTAAATAATGTTGTCACATGAAATCTTTGGTAACTAAAATGCATAAATAAGAACAGAGATTATAGAAGTGATAGACCACTCTATAATAGCATATTTGCTCTTTGCAAAGCTCAAATTAAGACGGTAAATTTATATGATGTATATTGCTTTAGATAATACAATGATATTTAATTTATCAATATTTATTTTAAAAAGCTGAAGTTAAAACTAACTACATATGTATATTTAATAAAAATGCATATAAAGTATATTAAAGATGTTAAATGAAAAAAGCTTATGAATAATGAAGACAGAGAGTGAATAGTTCAGATGAATATTATTTTGACCCTTGAATATACAATCTGCTCTTTAAAAAGAGAAAACAATTTTGTTCTCTGTCTTGAAAACAGAACCCCACTGTTAACTCTTCTCACAAGAGTCAACCTCTGAGAGGTCATTCTCTATTTTGTAGCTTTGCCCTGATTTCTTGAGTCATTTTAAATAAGTCTCTAATTCTGAAAAAGTCAAATTTAGGTAGTAGTATGCCTAATTTAAATATTATTTTTCTGGCTTTAATAATTTCCTGTTTTCAGAAAACTATCCCATGTTTATATCCTGATTGATTAAATGTTTGACAATTCTTTTTTCTTTTCCTTTTCCTAATCTAGGTACACAGATTAAACCCGGCAAAAAAAAGAAATTAATTACGTAGTGATAAAATATAACTAATATAAATTTCAATAATCATTTGCTTTTCAGGTTGGATAGAACATACTTAGGTTATGTATAATGATTGAGGCAAAGCTGTCAACAAATTAGTTTATTCCTGGATACAAAACTCCTTGTAATTTGGTACAACTCTAATATAGGAACAAAATCAAAGACCCTGGACATTTGTCAATATCTTCCCTGATAGTTCCTTCTCTCTGTATGATCATTGGCTAAATACCCAAATAGGGGATTCCATTCTCCTCTCTTCTGATTAAATAATATTGACTAATCACAGCTATTCAGTCTTGTCTCCTGCAGGTGGTTTTATAAACTATAAATCAGAAATTGAGTTTTTTAGAAGTGCCTCCTCCCCAGAAAGCCCTAATAAAAGATGGTACCAGATAGGAACAGACTTTTCCCAAGGGATAACATTAGGATTTCCAGGACTCTTTCTATCTAGAGAGAGATGACCTCATTGAAGTAGACTGCTCGACCCAAGTTTATCGGTATATTTGACTTTTGAGACTATGCCAACTGGATATCCATGTATTGAAAAATTAAAATCAGAGTACTGTGTCACACCATACACAGAAATAATTCCTGATAGATTAAGCACATAAATGTGAAAAATAAAATATTTAATATTTTAAAAGAAAATATAGGAAAATATGTTTTAAGACTCTTACATCTTAAAATATATAGAAAAGGCACATCTGATAAGAAACAACCAGTAAACCTGACATCATTAAAGTAAAACCCCCATTCAACCAACGACAACAGAAATAAAATGAAAATAGAGCTCAAAGAGTGAGAAAAGATACTCAAATGCACATAAGAGGATATAAAGAATGTATTAAAAACTTCTACAAACCAATGAAAACAGGATATACCACTCAGAAAAAAACCTAAAGGATATGAGTAAAGAATCTACAGGAGAAGAAATTAAAATATTGCATAATCATTTGTAAAACCACTCAGTCTCCCTAGTAATCTGAGAAGAGCAAATTTAAAACACAAAGATCAACCATTTCATGACCATCAGATGGGAAAAATAATTTGTTGTCATTATCTTTGTAGAAACAGAAATCCTTTTTTTTTTTTTTTCCAGACGGAGTCTCGCTCTGTTGTCCAGGCTGCAGTACAGTGGTGTGATCTCGACTCACTGCAAGCTCTACCTCCCGGGTTCACACCATTCTCCTGCATCAGCCTCCCAAGTAGCTGGGACTATAGGCGACCGCCACTAGGCCCGGCCAGTTTTTTTTTTTGTATTTTTAGTAGAGACAGGGTTTCACTGTGTTAGCCAGGATGGTCTCGATCTCCTGACCTCGTGATCCTCCCACCTCAGCCTCCCAAAGTGCTGGGATTACAGGTGTGAGCCACCACGCCCGGCCGAAACAGAAATTCTTATGCATTGATAATGGAAATATAAGCTCACACAACTACTTTGGAGGATAATTTCTCAATATTTTATGAAGCTAAAACTGCTCATATCTTTTGACCAGTTTCATGATTTGGACAATATTTGTAATTTTCTGGCAAGTGTGTATAAGAAGACAGATAACAGAATGTTCACTGCAGTATTGCCTATAATACTGAAAAAAATTTGAAAGCAATGTAAATGCCATCAACAGAGAATAAAATAATGATTTAGTCCTTTAATTGAATACAAATAATCAAAAGAGTGAGCCAGAGCTGCATGTATCAAAAAAGATACATTTCAAAATCAAACTGAGTTAAAAAATACACATACTGAGTTTGAAGAGTTAACAGTGTAACAACTTGCAAGAAACTAAGCACAATATTTTAGAAAAGTGATCATCTCTGGGAAAGAAGAGGCAATGAGAGGATTTCAGAAATAGCTTTAATGTTCCCATTATATCTAATACCCTTAAAATAATTTAAACTAAGACAAAATACTAGACTTTGAAAGGACTGGGTTGTGGGAATATAGGTGCCATTTTGTTACTCTTTGTGTGATTTTCCATGTTTGAAGTATTTAATCACAAAAATGTAATAAAGAATTTTAGTTGTCTCAATAACTTCCGTCAGTTGCTATAATTTAACAAATGAAATCTGGGATAGTTCCTCAGGCTTTGTCTTTTGTGGCGTTTAAGAATATAAGAATATACATATGTATAAGAATGTTCTTCATTTGGGGTTTGTCTAATGCCTCCCCACCACTAGAGTCAAGTCACTTGGATACTGTGCAGATGATGGGTCTTTCTCAGGATTCACATCTGGTGGTAAGTGATATCACTCATTGGTGTTGCTAATTTTGATCATCTAGTCATGCTAGTGTCCAGCTTCTCCATTGTACAGTATTTTCCCTCTTACATTACAATAAGCAATCTGTGGGGAAAGACTAGGATCCGCTGCTTATCATAATGGCTCACCAACTTGGTTTATCCTTCATCACTGCTTCTTGATGGAATCAGTATTTATGAAGGATGTTGTAATATGAATTTCCAACTCCAGTATTTCCTCCATGTTTACCACTTGGCCCTTGACATTCTACTGTAAGCAAATGCTTTCGCACTGCAATCAACCATCCATCCACCCACCCATCCATCCATCCGTATCTGTCTATCTATTGTCAACTATCTTCAGTATGGACTCATTGATTTCCCCCTTTTTTCTTAATGGTTTATAATTTATTACCATCTTAGTTATTTTGGTGTTCAAATTATCTAAGATTTGGCCACTGGCATCCCCTTAAAGCCTGCTCATGCAACATGTGCCCCTTATTTTATTTTATTTTTTTAGCATTTCCTTCTTTTTTGAATAACAGCATATTCCAGGATTATCTTCTGCCATCTTTGCGTGATCCCTGGAAATTCTCTCCAAGGACTACGTTTATAATTTATTGGGATAAGTTCCTCATTTTCCCTTTCAGTGTGATTACGATATTCATTTGAAATACAGATAGTTTAAGGTTTGCTTTCAGTTTTTTTCTTCTTTCCCATTCTCATAAATTAATATTATTTTTTGAAGATGTAGAACATTAACATGCTTCTAAAAATCAAACTGATATAAAAAGGAATAGTGTCATTATCTTCTGTATCCCTTTCATCCCAACATCCCCTCACTTATAGGTAACTATTCTCGTTTTTTTGACTTATCCTTTTTGCATTTTTCTTTGTTCTTGTAAACATAAGCAGATATGTGTATGTCTTCTTTCTTTCTCTTCTTTCTTACATAAAAAGTAGCATACCATATATGCTCATGTTGGTCTGGCACAGTGGCCCGTGCCTGTAATTCCAGCACTTTGGGAAGCCAAGGTGGGTAGATCACTTGAGGCCAGGAGTTTGAGACCAGCCTGGCCAACATGGTGAAAACTTGTCTCTACTAAAAATACAAAAATTAGCTGGGCGTGGTGGCACATGCCTGTAATCCTAGCTACTCAGGAGACTGAAGCACGAGAATCACTTGAACCAGGGGCGGGGTAGGGGTGGGAGGTGGAGGTTGCAGTGAGCCAAGATTGTGTACCACTGCACTCCAGCCTGGGTGACCGAGCGAGACTCTGTTCCCTCAACCAAAATATATATATATATATATGTTTACTTTGCTTTTTTTTCACTTAATTGTATATCTCAGATATAATTCAATCTGTCTAGAGCAAGATTCTTCACTCATTTTACAATTGCATAGCACTCTTCTGACCATAGAGTTCTTGAACATTATGACAAGACCTGATGAATTAAGAACAGAGAGAGGAGAAAGGCAGGAGACAAGTTTTCTAAGGATATAGAGAAAAAGGCTGCTTCATTTACTTAAAATGTCACCCAGGGCTCTGGGAGTGTGCCAACACCATAGTCAAAATACCAGCACTGGTTTGGAAGCCTGCATTTCATAGCTTCTGTCTCAATTCCATTTAAATCTCCTTTAGAGACAAGAGAGGAAGCAAGAGAAAAATACACATCTATCTGCTATCACCCTCTTCTCCTTTTTACTATAGTCGGGATTTCCAAACTCGAATGGGACTCAAAACTTGACTACACTATACATTTGTGCTTGGCCCAGCTGTAATAGTTCGCAAAACTAAAAATATAAATTAAATGATGCTAAGAAAGTCTCAATTTCTCAGCCAAATAATGTGTTCCTATAAAACAAAACAGAAGATTATTACCTATAAGAACTGCTACACCATAGAATTTTTAAAATTATACTCTACATTCTTGTTTCTTTGTATAAGAACTCATAATCTGACCTTGGGTTAAATTTTAAAAAGAAATCTCACCTGTTCTTAAATAAATAATACTCAATTATTTTTGCTGTAATCTTTCTCCCCTGGGCAGTAGGGAGGAGAACTTCATAAACAGAGTTACATAATATTTAAACTAATACGCAGTCAATGCACTACTGTCTCCTCTCATTTTCTGTATTTCCTCAGTAGTATCTACTGTGAAATGGGCTGGGCTCTTATCAACTCCAGGAAATGACCAAGAGCCTGATAGTGATTTAAGAGAAACATCTGGTTCCTTTTATTAAGTGTGGAGATAGAAATCAAGATAAATGTTATCATTGGAATGTTGCTTGTGTTTCATTATCCTGGCTACAGATAAATGAAGTTCCAGAGTGCTGTTCTTGCTCAATAATTCAGAGAAGATTACCCAGAACAGCAATTTTATGCATTTCTTGGCCAAAAGAGCCCTAGTTGTCGGAAACAGCCTCTCAGGCAGCCTTTCTTCTTGTTCTGCTGAGACACTGATACCTTGTGTGCTTGGAGCTGCAGGAACTATTGGATTAGTCATTTCTGCCCTTCAAGGGACCTTAAGTATGCTGTACAAATATCAATTTCTGTGGGCACCATAACATGAAAATGACCAGAAGTTTGTTCATAAGGCAAAAGTCACTTACTGTCTATATGCATTGATGGGCAAACAGCATTTTTCAGCTGTAAAATTTCAAATAATTTTTAGGTACTTCAGAAAGAGAATATAGCTTAGAAGAATGCAATTTAGTTACAATTGCTTTTAAATGCCTATATGTACTGTATATAAAATAAAAGGCCTGAAGAATCTGCCTCTCCTAACAACACTTTAATACAATGTGTATTAGTCCGTTTTCACACTGCCGATAAGACATACCCAAGACTGGGCAATTTACAAAAGAAAGAGGCTTATTGGACTCACAGTTCCACATGGCTTAGGAGGCCTCACAGTCATGGTGGAAGGTGAAAGGCAAGGAGGAGCAAGTCACATCTTACATGGATGGCTGCAGGCAAAGAGAGAGAGAGCTGGTGTAGGGAAACTCCCATTTTTTAAAACCATCAGATCTCGTGAGACTAATTCACTATCACAAGAACAGCACAGGAAAGACCCAACCCCATGATTCAATTACCTTCCAATGGGTCCCTCCCATGACACATGGGAATTGTTGGAGTTACAATTCAAGATGAGATTTGGGTGGGGACAAAACCAAACCATATCACAGTCGTTCTCAGCCTTGGCTGTACATTGGAATCATCTGGGGAGCTTTTAAAAACCCCAATGTATAGGTAGGTGAAGTGGCTCATGCTTGTAATCCTAGCACTTTGGGAGGCCGAGGTGGGAGAATCACCTGAGGCCCAGAGTTTAAAACCAACCTGGACAACATAGTGAGACCCCCATCTCCATAAAATTAAAAGAAAAATTAGCTGGCATGGTGGTGTGCGCCTATAGGCCAGGGCAGGAGGATCACTTGAGTCTAGGAGTTTGAGGCTGCAGTGAGCTATGATCCTACCACCAGCCTGAGTGACAGAGAAAAACCCTATCTCTAAGAAAAACAAACAAACAAACAAAAAACACAAAAACACCAATGTCCAGGCCGCAGCCTAGACCAATTAAATCAGAATCCCTGAGGGTGGTATCAGCAATTTTAAGAGTTTGGCCGTCCTAGGACATTCCAATGTATACCCAAGAGTGGCCACTCTAAGAACACACATTTTATTTTGTCACTTCTTCATTCCCTATTTTGTGAGAGCCTGTAGAAAGGTGCCATAGCACCAATATGGCCAATACCTACCTGGGCTCTACCCTAGTGAGGCTGAGGTCTTCATCCAGCTGTCCATGTTTTCGTTTGCCTTAAATGAAATTCAGAGGAATGTTTTAACTTTAAGTGTTGTCATTTGACTCATGGAATCCATTGAAGAGTGACGTGTTTAAAAAAATACAACTAAAGAAATGATGTTTTAACTAATCTACCAGAATTGGTACAACAGTGACGGATTAATACTACCTGCTCTACAATTCTAATTTAAAAGCCAAATGCTAAGTCTTCAAAATTAAATCGTAACTTTTGGAGGGTTTGGTCCTAGTTCTGACTGACCTCATGGAAAACCACAGATCTTAGTTTTATTTTAACAGAATGAACAAATGCAGTGTTTTACATGGACACAAAGAAGGGAACAACAGGCACCTGGGCCTGTTGTGGGTGGAGAGAGAGGATAGAAAAACTACCTATTGAGTACTGTGCTTATTACTTGGATGATGAAATAATCTGAGCCAGGCGTGGTAGCTCACGCCTGTAATCTCAGCACTTTGGGAGGCCATGGTGGGTGGATCACTTGAGGTCAGGAGTTCAAAACCAGCCTGGCCAACATGGTGAAACCCCCTCTCTACTAAAAATTTTAAAAAATTAGCCAGGCATGGTGAGAGGTGCCTGTAATCCCAGCTACTTAGGAGGCTGAGGCAGGAGAATCACTTGAACCCAGGAGGCAGAGGTTGCAGTGAGCAGAGATCGTGCCACTGCACTTCAGCCTGGGCAACAGAGCAAGACTCTGTCTCAAAAAAAAAAAAAAAAAAAAGAAATAATCTGTACAGCCAACTCATGTGACATGCAAATGACCTATGTAACGCACCTGCACATGTACCTCTAAACCTAAAATAAACATTTAAAAAATGCAGTGTTTTAGACCATCTAATTTGTGCCAGGCATTGTGGCAGACCCCGGGGACACAATGGCATGTAAGATGCACAAAGCCACTGTTCTCATGATTCTGATCATTTAGCAGTAATGAAGTGTGAATTCTGAGAACACACATAAAAACCACAGACATTCTTCAACATAATTGAGAAATCCATCCTGGCCTACGGACTTGAAAAAGAAGAGCACTTAGCCCCAGATGTCAAAACTTAACACGTGGCTCTAGATTATACTTTCCCTTACAGTAGATCACATATGTACTTCCCAGAAACCAATACCATTGATAAATAATTATAAAAAGCAACAAGCATTTTCCCAAGCAAGATTCAGATTATACCAAATGCCCCCATTTAGGCATAATTTTCGCTAGTAGCACGTCAGTGATGTGCTTGCTAAAAATATATGCTATTTCTTTTATATTTAATAGGAAAACAAGTCGTCTTTAGGGCTAAATATGCCTTTTGGCTCTAAAGGCCAACATATTCCTGGGCGTTTGCTGGGTTACAACAGATTGTGACTGAGTTGAAACAAGCCACAGGGATTTCTGAGCTGTGCCCCCTCTCCCTGGGGCTCTGCACCCCAAAACACCTAATACTTGGAGGGGACTTCTCTATTGTTTCAAAAAATAATTTGTTTGATAGGTTTGATATTCTTAGGTTTTTCTCCCCTTTCTCTTCTGTTTCTCTTTCAAAGTGGTTATTATTTCAAGCAAAATTTTGACAGTCTCCCTTTTGTCTTGAAATGCAACTGTAGAATACCTTTTTCTTAGAAAAATAAAAGTCAGGGCCGGGCAAAGTGGCTCAAGTCTGTGATCCCAGCACTTTGGGAGGCCAAGGTGGGTGGATCACTTGAAGGTCAGGAGTTTGAGACCAGCCTGGCCAACATGGTGAAACCCCGTCTCTATTAAAAATACAAAATATTAGCTGGGCATGGTGGCGCGTGCCTGTAATCCTAGCTACTTGGGAGGCTGAGGCAGAAGAATTGCTTGAACCTGGGAGGCAGAGGCTGCAGTGAGCCGAGATAACGGCATTGCACCCCAGCCTGGGCAACAAGAGTGAAACTCCATCTCGAAAAAAAAGAAAGTCAGGCTCCCACATGGCAGGTCCTCTGCATCAACTTCCTGGGTGGTAGCCACTCAGGAAGGTGGCACAGGACAACTGTGCAAGAAGCACAGGGCGCCCGCACTGCTGCTGATTAACAGGGGTTGAAAATCAGGAGTTCTTCCTTCCACATCTCCCAAGCCCCAGCTTCATTTAACTAGGTTTTCTAATTTGGAGATAGATAATTATCAAGTGACTTCATATAAGATGACACACATGGAGAGTTTCTACTGGACATCTATAGTAATGTTGCTGATAAAATAAGGTCTGATTCATTTCCTGAATTATTTATAAATTCAGTTCCTGAAAATAAACCGACCATCCTAGGCAATACACTGCTCTTGATCTGTTGATTTGACAAAGGAATTTTAATGAATTGCTGGGGTTGGAAAGAAACGCATCATCCTGGCTTTCTTGGCCCTAGTTCAAAATGTGAATATTCACATGCTACGCTACAGGTTGGCAAGCTTTAAATAAGCAATGATTTGAAAATATGTTGTGGTTTGTATGAAAGAGACTTAATCTTGAGAATGAAAATTCTATAACAGTTCTTGGCCTTTTGGCTAAGATCAGGTGAAAATGCTATACACTGGCCAGGCACTGTGGCTCACACCTGTAATCCCAGCATTTTGGGAGGCCAAGGCGGGTGGATCATGAGGTCAGGAGATCGAGACCATCTTGGCTAACACAGTGAAACCCGGTCTCTACTAAAAATACAAAAAATTAGCTGGGCATGGTGGCGGGCGCCTGTAGTCCCAGCTACTTGGGAGGCTGAGGCAGGAGAATGGTGTGAACCTGGGAGGCGGAGTTTGCAGTGAGCCGAGATCGCGCCACTGCACTCCAGCCTGGGTGACAGAGCAAGACTCCGTCTCAAAAAAAAAAAAAAAAGAAAAAAGAAAATGCTATACAAATACATGTTTCTGAACTTTTATTAAATCTCTGAGCCAATTGTCTCCAATTTTTAAAAATCACATCTTCTACCAGTGAAAACATTTTTAGGTACATAATTCCTATATATACACGTTCACACATATATGTATATATACACACATATGTATATGTATGTATGTACACACACAAAAGTTATAGGGAGAAGTAAAAATACAAGCAGAAGTCCTAGGGTTTTTTTTTTTCCCTATCCTAATGTATATTGTCTCAGAATAACTAATCATGCCAAAGTTATTGTATCTTAAAGGTAATAAAAATAACAACTGATATTTATTGAATGCATATAATATGCTGTACTATACTAAGTACTTTACATATATTATTTCATTAAACCCTCAAACGAATTGCTATGGTCTGAATGCTTATGTCCCCCCAAAATTCCTATGTTGAAATGTAATCACTACTGTGATGGTTTTTGGATATGGGGCCTTTGGGAAGTTATAGGTCAGGAAAGTGAAGCCCTCACGAATTGGGATTAGTGCCCTTATAAAACTGATCTCAGGGCAGACGTAGCGGCTGATGCCTATAATCTCAACACTTTGGAAGGCCAAGGTGGGCCGATTACTTGAGCTCAGGAGTTCAAGACCAGCCTGGGTAACATGGTGAAACCCCATTGCTACCAAAATACCAAAATTAGCTGGGCATGGTGGTGCATAACTGTAGTCCCAGCTCCCTGGGAGGCTTAGGCAGGAAGATTGCTTGAGCTCAGGAAGTTGAGGCTGCAGTGAGCCAAGATCACGCCACTGCACTCCAGCCTGGGCAACAGAGAGAGACCCTGTCTCAAAAAAACAACAAAAAAAGAAAAACATAAAGGAGACTCCAGAGAGATGCCCTGCCCCTTCTATCATGTGAGGACACAGCTGGGAGGAGCCATGTATGGACCCAAAGTGGGCCCTCAACAGGCAACCAATCTGCTGGCACCTAGATGTTGCACTTGCCAGTCTCCAGAACATTGAGAAATAAATTTCTGTTGTTTATAAGCCACCAGTCTATGGCATTTTGTTAGACATGCTGAAACCCCGTCTCTACTAAAAATACAAAAATTAGCTGGGCGTGGTGGTGCATGCCTGTAATCCCAGCTACTGGGGAGGCTGAGGCAAGAGAATGGCTTGAACCTAGGAGGCAGAGGTTGCAGTGAGCCGAGATTGTTGGTTTAGGACGGGCTGAATTTTATCTTTTTGCTATGTAGAAAAGAGTCAAGTTGCTCTAATCCTTGAACCACAGAGGCTTATGAGAATTCAAATTCATGTCTGGTTTCCCTGTATTCAGAGATTCTACAGAGAGAAAATTCTCTCCTAAAAGGAACTGTATACCGGCCAGGCACGGTGGCTCACGCCTGTAATCCCAGCACTTTGGGAGGCCGAGGAGGGCAGATCACTTGAGGTCAGGAGTTGAAGACCAGCCTGGCCAACACGGTGAAACCCCATCTCTACTAAAAATACAAAAATTAGCTGGGCATGATAGCATGTGCCTGTGATCCCAGCTACTCTGGAGGCTGAGGCAAAAGAATTGCTTGAGCCTGGGAGGCAAAGATTTTGCCATTGCACTCCAGCCCGGGCAACAGAGTGAGATTCTATCTCAAAAAAAAAAAAAAAAAAAAAAAAAAAGAAAAGAGAGAGAACATTTCCTGATAGTGCGAGAGTTGGTTTCATTTTTTTTTTTTTTTTTTTTTGAGACAGGGTCTCCCTCTGTCATCCTGGCTGGAGTTCAGTGACCCGATCAGAGCTCAGTGCAGCCTGGACCTTTCTAGCTCACATGATTGTCCTGCCTCTATCTCCTGAGTAGCTGGGACTACAGGTGCATGCCACCATGTCTGGCTAATTTTTTTTTTTTTTTTTTTTTTTTGGGAGATGAGGTCTCATTATGTTGCCCAGGCTGGTGTTGAACTCCTGAGCTCAGAAGATCCACTGTTCTCGGCCTCCCAACGTGCTAGGATTACAGGCGTGAGCCACCGTGCCTGGCCTGGGAGAGTTAGTGTCTAACATACTGCAGACCTGGCCTTTGCAAAGCTTGGTGGCTAGTCCCCCAAATGTCCAAGTGATTTTTCTCTTTGTGATACAAATGGAAAACTACTTTACTCAAAGAAACAATTATGACCCTGATAGAGCAGTACAAAAAGAACAACACTGGAAAAGTCTTGAGAAGTAGAATCTATTTTGCTGCTTTTTTTTTTTTTTGTAAATTAATTTCTGGATAGTCACGAATCAAAGAGACAAACCAACTGCACTGTCATCTGTTGCTTTTTTTCTGAAGCTGCTGAAAGCACTAATGATCAGGAGATTAGCTAATGCCTATTCTTTGAGCAAAAGGAAGCATTATTCTATCAGTGCCTCTACTGTCAGTGCCTCGTGCCTAACTATGACAAAGACTTTAATGAGAATAACTGGATGTCCTGGAGAAAAAAGAGAACATGAACAGGGAGGCAGGAGGTTATGACAAAATACCTTGCATGGATTTGCATAAGGTTCTGCAGCTTACTAGCTATGTGACCTTTGGCAAATTGCCTTCCTTAACAGGGGGAGACAGAGTGCTTATGAGCACAGGAGGAGGTGTGGGCTGTTGACACTATTATCATCCAGGGAGGCTGCCACAGATTTGGGGAGGCTCAGGGATATGGGGATAGGTCTACAGAACCGGCTACGGGAAACTGAGGAAGAAGAATCCCTTTGTTATAGACTGAGTTGTACCCCTCCAATTCATATGTGGAAGCCATAAACCCCACAGTAAGTGCATTTGGATATAGGGCCTTTAAAGATGTGATTAAGGTTAATTGAGATCATAAGGGTGGGGCCCTCATCTGACAGGAAAGGTGTCCTTTATTTAAAATTAAAATTTAAAATTTAGTTTCAGGGGGTACATGTGCAGGTTTGTTACAAGAGTATATTGCATGATGTTGAGGTTTTGGCTTCTATTGATCCCATCACCCAGATAGTGAACATGGTACTTCCAATAGGAAGTTTTTCAGCCCTTGCCTCCCTCCCTCCATCTCTCCTTTTGGAGTCCTCAGTGTCCACTGTTTCCATCTTTATGTTCGTGTGTACCCAAGATTTAGCTCTCACTTACAAGTGGCGGCATGCAGTATTTGGTTTTCTGTTTCTGAGTTAGTTTGCTTAGGATAATGGCCTCCAGCTGCATCCATGATGCTGCAAAGGACACGATTTCATTCTTTTTATGGCTGCATAGTATTCCGTGGTGTATATGTGTCATATTTTTCTATTCTGAATAGTGCTGTGATAAACACATGAGTGCATTTTTGGTAGAAGTATTTATTTTCCTTTGGGTATGTACCCAGTAATCTCATTACTGGGTCGAATGGTAGTTCTATTTTTAGTTCTTTAAGAAATCTCCTCTCTACTAAAAAATACAAAAAATTTGCTGGGCGTGGTGGTGGGTGCCTGTAGTCCCAGCTACTCGGGAGGCTGAGGCAGGAGAATGGCGTGAACCCAGGAGGCGGAGCTTGCAGTGAGCCTAGATCACGCCACTGCACCACTCCAGCCTGGGCGACAGAGCGAAAAAACAAAACAAAACAAAAACAACGAAATCTCCAAACTGCTTTCCACCATGGCTGAACTAATTTACATTCTCACCAGCAATGTATAAGCATTCCCTTTTGTCTGCAGCCTTGCCAACATCTGTTATTTTTTGACTTTTTAATAATAGCCATTCTGACTGGTATGAGATGGTATCTCATTGTGCAGGGGTCCCCACCTCCCAGGCCATGGACTGGTACTGGTCCACGGCCTGTTAGGAACCGGGCCATACAGCAGGAGGTGAGAGGTGGGCCAGTGAGCATTACCACCCAAGCCCCCGCCTCCTGTCACATCAGGGGGGGCATGAGATTCTCAGAGGAGCCAAACTCTATTGTGAACTGTGCATACAAGGGATCTAGGTTGAGTGTTCCTTATGTATAAAACCCTAATGCCCAATGATCAGAGGTGGAACAGTTTCATCCCCATTCCCTCCCGCCCCCACCCCTGGCCCAGTCCATGGAAAAATTGTCTTCCATGAAACCGGTCACTGATCCAAAAAAGTTGGGGACCACTGTCATTGTGGTTTTTATTTGCATTTATTTGATAATTAGTGATATTGAGCATTTTTTCATGTTAGCTGACTGTATGTCTTCTTTTGAGAAGTGTCTGTTAATGTCCTTTGCCCATTGTTTATTTTTTATTTTTATTTTTTGAGACAGGATCTCACTCTCAGTCAGGCTGGAATGCAGTGGCCCGATCTCAGCTCACTGCAACCTCTGACTCCCAGGCTCAAACAATCCTCCTACTTCAGCTCCCCACCCCAGTAGCTGGGACTACAGATGTGTGTCACCACGCCTGGCTAATTTTTATATTTTTAGTAGAGATGGAGTTTTGCCATGTTGTCCAGGCTGGTCTCCAACTCCTGAGCCCAAGTGGTCTGCCTGCCTCGGCCTCCCAAAGTGCTGGAATTATAAGTGTGAGCCACCATGCCTGGCAGCTTTGCCCATTTTTAAATGAGGTTATTTGTTTCATTCTTGTTGATTTGTTTAAGGTCTTTATAGATTCTGGATATTAGGGTGTGCTGGATGCATAGTTTGTAAATATTTCTCCTGTTCTGTAGGGTGTCTGTATACTCTGTTAATGGTTTCTTTTGCTGTGCAGAAGCTCTGTAATTTAATAAGGTCCCACTTATCAATTTTTGCTTTTCTTGCAATTGCTTTTGAGGACTAAGCCGTAAATTCTTTGTCTAGATGGATGTTCACAAGAGTATTTCCTAGGTTTTCTTCTCTGATTGTTACAGTTTGAGGTCTTAAATTTAAGTCTTTATTTCATCTTGAGTTATTTCCCTTGTATATGGTGATAGATAGGGGTCCAGTTTCATTCTTCTACATATGGTTAGACAGTTTCCCCAGCACCATTTACTGAAAAGAGAGTTGGAAAGATGGTCTTATAAGGAGAAGACATACCAGGGATGTGCACGCACAGAGGAAAGGCCGTGTAAGAACACAGGAAGGAGACACCATCTGCGAGCCAAAGAGAGAGACCTCAGAAGGAACCAGTCCTGCTGACACCTTGATCTCGAACTTACAGCTTCCAGAACTTTGAGGAAATAAATGTCTATTGTTTAAACTGCCCAGTGTGTGGTATTTGTTATGGCAGCCCGAACTGACTGACATATCCTCTTCAGTACCCTTTACTCCATAGAAGGTTGGTTGATTTAGAGGAGAGAATAACATTCTCATCCACTAGACAAGCGCTTAAGCGACAAGGCACAATGAACCCAAAGACTATAAACAAGAGGGGGCTAAGACCATAGATGTCTAGTTATACCCTGATAGAGCAGGTATTCCTTTTACCTATTTGGAGGGGTATGAGGGAGATACCACCTATCTTACAACTAAGAGGGTTAAAAGCAATAGGGTGGGCCTCCTGATCTTAGACTTAAAATTTTATGAACAATTTCTATCCTAGACCTGCTGAAAGCAGACAAGAATATCATATTATGTTATTACAATAGTATATCACTGATTAATATCTGTCTTTACTACTTTAACTACTGTTGGCTTTATCTTTGACACCTTCCTCAGGTAGGGCAGAGTATCTACATGAATTATTGGAAATTCTTCTGCTTGGGAGTTTGGTCTCTTCTCATTTAACTATTCAATCATTTATCTGTATCAGTATGTATACATGGATATTTATTTTATGCTTTCGGATATCATGCTATGCCACTTTATTCTATTGTTCATCTTGTTCCAGCTGTGGCCACTGGGAACTCTCTCAGTTGGTTCCTGCATCTCTTTGACATCTGCCCATCATTTTGGGGTTATTTTGAACACTTTCTTATTTTCTGGCACCACAACATCCTTCAGGCTCATCTTGTATATTTCCTGCCCCAGTCCTAGAATCACCCATTTCTCCAAGGATCAATGGGGAATTCTTTTTTACTGGAGGATGGTATTAGAAACCAAGATCTGACACTAGGTGTGCTCATTGTCGATGGTGTGTTATTGCTTCTAGTTCATCTTAGCTGACAGAGCAGGAGTGTGTGTATACTCATGTGTGCATATGTACTTATCTGTAGATGTTTCTATGTGTATCCATCTATATCTATATTAAGCTAAACATGAGTTCATACTGATGTTTCCAGTGCTAAACCCTTATCAAACAAATCATCCTGGCCTCCTTCCCTTGCTTATCTGTAGTCTCCCATACCAACAGGGAGAAACTGGCTTCTACCATCTGCCATCCATTTACTTAATTGTTCACTGATATCTTTAAAAAATGCTAAATGTTTCTATCAATTACTAGCATGGTTCTCTTCAACATTCTAATTGTCCCAGGCAAGGCCAGTAGAAACCCTTCCGAGCTGTGGTCTTTCACATTTCTGTCAATTGTGGAGCACTTCAGTGTTTTCTGGCACAAGGAGATATTCTGATCTCACCTAGTTTTTCTCTGTCTCAGACACTCAATCAGTCATCTCTTCAAGGATCCCAAATCCTGTCTCCTGACTTTTGCAGCAGCTTTATTGAAGTATTATTCACATGCCAAGCAATCCCCCGATTTAACATATACAATTAAATGGTTTTTGGTATATTCTCAGAGTTTGTGCAACCATCATACAATAAACTTAGGACATCCTTATCATCCCCAAAAGATGCCATGTACCTTTTTGATCTCATCCCCTAGTCTCCCCATCCCTCTCATCCTGAGATGACGAAGGTTTGTATTTTCAGGACATGGCACATGTGTTTGCATATTTGCATGTATGCACGTATACACAATCAGCAACTATGGAATTGTCAGGGGGAAGAAGCAGTATCTGGGAAATCGTGACCATGCAGGATCCAACGCAGTGGGTGAAATTTCCAAATGAAATGATAATAGAAGGGCTTGATAAAACTCCCTACTGATTGGGGTCAGAGTAGTGGTGGAGAAGATGAAGCCCTTACAATCAATTAGGAAAAGCAAACAAAAGAAAGTCATGATTAAGAACTCAGGTTTTTGGAGTGGAGTGTTTGAGTTCCAGTTCCAGCTTTGTTATTTATTAGCTATGTAACTTTCAGTAATTTATGCCTCTCTTTACTTGTCTGTATAATGTCTACTCTTCTCCAGAGGTCATGGAGCTCATAGGCACACATGGTTGCTACCTAAAATGAGACCTACAATACCTTGGTGGGGGTGGATTGCAGTGTCTGGTCAAGGAGTCTCTGCAGGGCAGAGTGAGAGAGGGTGTCTTCAAACATACCTTTTCTCTGGGGGTAGTGTCCTTGGGTAAGGCTTACTGGATCCCTTCAAGGCTCTAGAGATTGGATTTTCTGGATTTGACATCCAATCCCTCCTTTTGGAGGTAAGTACTCAGACTAGATGGGAAAAGACCTTCTGGAGTGAAAGGCCACCATGGGGCTTATGATATCGTGATATACTAAGAAAAAGATATTTGGTCCTTGCCTTAGTCCATTTTGCATTGCTATAAAAGAATACCTGAGGCTGGGTAGTTTCTAAAGAAAGGAGGTTTGTTTGCCTCACAGTTCTGCTGGATGTAGAAGAAGTAGAAGCAGGTCAGGAGATTAGTGGGTGTAGTACTCTGAATACTCCAGCTTTTCCACTCTTTCACTCTTGCCATTTCTTCCTTTTTTTTTTAATTATTATTTTTTTCAGTGGCAGAGTCTTGCTATGTTGCCCAGATTGACCTTGAACTCCTGGGCTCAAGCAATCCTCCTGCTTCAACCTCCCAATGCACACCACCACACCTGGCTATACTCTTCTCATTTCAAACAACAAGCCCTACCCGCCTTTTCCCAAACTGATACTCATTATTCCTGTTTCATACTTGACAATCTTTCATTGAAAAGTAGAAATTCCAGAGGTCATGACATTTTATTGAGTACCTTAACATTTATTGAAAGGCTGTTCTAACTAGTGATTAAGAATATGGGCTTTGGCTGGGCCCACTGGCTCACACATATAATCCAGCGCTTTGGGAGGCTGAGGCAGAAGGACGGCTTGAGCCTAAGTTCAAAACCAGCTTGGGTAACATAGTGACACCCTTGTTTCTAGTAAAAAAAAAAAAAAATTAAAAGATTTTTAAAAAAGAAAAAGAACATGAGCTTTGGAGTCAGATGTATCAGTATTTGAATTCCAGCTCCATGGCTTCCCAGATGCAGTCTTTGGTAAGTAACTTAATCTCAGTTTCCTCATCTATAAAAATGGGGGTAGTAATACCAACTTGAAAGTTTCCTGAACATTAAATAAGACAGCGAAATGCCTTCTTAAATAGACTAAGAAGGAAGTTGGTAAATGGTAGCTAATATTTCCACGCTGCTCTATTTCTTTCTTGGTGCCAAGTGTTTTACATACTTATCAACCCAATAAATGGGCATAATTATTCTCATTTTATAGGTGAAGGAATTGAAGATAATTCAGTGGGGCATGGTGGCTCATGACTGTAATCTCAGCACTTTGGGAGGCTGAGGCAGATGGATCACCTGACGTCAGGAGTTCGAGATAAGCCTGGCCAACGTGACAAAACCTTGTTTCTACAAAAAGAAAAAACAAAATTAGCTGGGCATGATGGTGCCTGCCCATAGTCCCAGCTACTCGGGAGGCTGAGGCAGGAGAATCACTTGAACCCAGAAGGTGAGACCACGCCACTGCCCTCCAGCCTGGGTGACAGAGTGAGACTCTGTCTGAAAAAAGAAAAAAAAAGAATTCATAAAGTGAAATAGATATATTAGCTATACTGCAGATGAAGAAGAGGAAGCATGAAGTATTTAAATAACTCACTGATGTCTCAAAGTGGAGCAATTATAGAGCAGGGATCCAAAGCCATGTCTATTTGGTTTGGAATTTGTTAAATTCCTGATATTTGGCAATTTGCTGTTAGTTGTCATGCTTGACAGGTTGTGATAGTCATGGTGATGTTTATTAGTTGCATTAATTTTTAAGAATCAACTTTGGTCACAGACCTGAGATACGTGCATGACTATTGCAAATAAGGACGAGAGTCCCAAATGTTAGGGAAGGGGATAGTCCTCTATGTTGCATTTTTTCCATCAGGCTCTATGCCTTTAGAAACAATGGGTGGTCCTTTGTTTTCTTCTATAACCCAAACAATCTATGATTATCTTTCTGCAGCTGTCCTAGTCAATTATCAGTATTATCTGAAGTTATATTATTTTAAATAGCACTGTCAGGAGCTCTGTATAACTGCTTTCTCTAAATTTACCATCTATTGATGAACCGACATAAAGATATCAAAACAACTGGAGACCAATATTAATAAACAGTAATTATATAATTGCAATAATTGCAATGGTTGATCTGTAAATACAATTGTGAGTTTCCTAGTGTTACGGAACCTTTGAGGTGTCGATTTCCTGGCCAGAAACCTCTGTGGCTGGTGGCACCTTTGCCAGAGTTCTTGTCCTGGGTCCAGGAAGAATGAGGTATGCAGACAAGTGGAGGGTGAACAAGACAAAGAGAAGCTTTATTGAGCATTAAAACAGCTCGGAGGAGACCCGCAGTGGGTAGCTCCTCTCTGTAGGCAGGGTGTCCTGAAGTCTGCCCAGCTCCTAGGAGAGAGGAGGCCCTGGAGAGGGTAGCTCCTCTCTGCAGCTGGTTGTCCTAACATCTGCCCAGCTCCTAGCAGAGAGGAGGCCCTGGAGAGGGTCACTCCTCTCTGAAGCTGGTAGTTCTGACATCTCTGCAAGTCTCTGAAGCTCTCAGCTGAGAGGGTAGCTCCTCTCTGCAGCTGGTTGTCCCATCATCTGCTCAGCTCTGGCTGAGTTGGGGATTTTATGGGCCTCAGAGGGGAGCAAGTGCCTGCCGCTGATTGGTCCATGGGCAGCCATGGGCAGGCTCGGAAAAGGCACCACAAGTTCCCACTCTGGTTCATGGGGCTGGCAGCCCAACCCCCAGCCTTCAGGCCCTCCTTGGCCAGAAGCTGGGGCCTCACTGGGGACCCACCCCCTTCTGCCCAGGAGTCTGTCTGCCTCCCACTGCCATTCATGGTGCCTGGGTTCAGCCTCAACTTTGCTCCAAGAATGGAGCAGGTGCCAACAGCAGGGAGAAGCCAGGCAGCAGGAGCAGGCATTTCTGAGCCTGTGAGGGCATGCAGGGCCTTCCTGGGCCCCCAAGAGTGCAGGGATGCCTGGGGCTGCAGCCGTGGTTTGGGTGGCTACAGCTGCCCTCGGGGAGGGCAGGGCTCCTGCCTGCTCCTGGCCCCCTAAGAGCACAGGGAGGCTCAGATCTGCAGCCACACCTTGGGTGGTGCTTCTGCCTGCTCTGTGGAGCAGGAGGCCCCAGTCTGCAGCTGTGCTGCAGAGGCAACCAGGGAGTTCCCACCCCAACTCAGAAGGGGTGGGTCTCCCGCTTGTCCCTGGCTCCCGCCAGAGAGCGTGCAGCCCTGGCCATGCCTCCCTGCTGCAGCAGTAGGCCGTCTGGAGCAGCCGCTGCCATCTCTAGTACAGTAATTCTCATAATTTTATTTTGCCTTGGTATCCATTTTGAATATGTTTAACTTTCTCATATGAGAAGCAGGGCTCAATCACCTTTGATACAGTTTCCAGTTCTCTGCTTCCTCCCAGTTCTTCAATGTGATCCATCCAGATATCTGCTTAATGCAACTGCTTCCTGGTGACCATCTCCCTATGGGACAGGTAAATGCAGCCTGCTTGACTCACCTGTTGACCTCCATAACCCACATGGACTGTGTAGATGGGCTCCAGTGACCACCTCACAGTGACAGGGTGACTCCATGGAACTTGTGCCTGCTTGTTCTAAACTCACCAATTAGAACTTCCATGGGAAACTGCTTGGGTAACACGCTGGACCCCAACAGAGGCTTTAGCTCCACAAGTGCCCCTTCCTTGACCCCCTTCCACTGGCTGAACTCCCTGTCACCTCCAGATTTACCCTCCCTCTGGTGACCACAAGACCAAATTAGAAAGAAACCATAACAATAAAAATCACAACACCCAGCAGTCAACATGTACATCATTATCAGAAAAGAGGAAAGATACAAAGGAAGCAAAGTTTTCCTTGTAGTAAACTTCAGGAAAATTTTCCTGCATGGAACTTTACAAAAGATAGAATAAAAAGTGGGCTGTGCATGGTGGCTCACACCTGTAATCCCAGCATTCTGGGAGGTCAAGTTGGGTGGATCACTTGATGTCAGGTGTTCAAGACCAGCCTGGCCAACATAGAAACACCCATCTCTACTAAAAATACAAAAATTACCCAGGTGTGGTGGTGTGTGCCTGTGATCCCAGCTACTCAGGAGGCTGAGGTGGGAGGATCATTTGAGCCTGAGATGCAGAGGTTGCAGCGAGAGGCGATCACACCACTGCACTCCAGCCTGGCCGACAGAGCCAGAACCTGTCAAAAAATAAAAAATAAAAATAAAAATAAAAGTGCCTTCAACATCATTTTACAGCAGATGCAGTAATGGAATTCAGTCTACTTTTTGTTTCTACATTGGATAAAAGTTGAGGACATAATGAAGGATGTTTTGCTTAGGACTAAAAAATACAAGAAATTTCTGTGGCACTAGACGTATGCTCATAGCAGCACACTTTTCAAACAGTATTCTTTTTTTTTTTTTTTTTTTTTTTTGAGACAGAGTTTCACTCTTGTTGCCTGGACTGGAGTGCAATGGTGCAGTCTCAGCTCAGGGCAACCTCCGCCTCCCGGGTTCAAGCAATTCTCCTGTCTCAGCCTCCCGAGTAGCTGGGATTACAGGCGTGTGCCGCCACACCTGGCTAATTTTGTATTTTTAGTAGAGACAGGGTTTCACCACGTTGGCCCGGCTGGTCTCAAACTCCTGACCTCAGGTGATCCACCTGCCTCGGCCTCCCAAAGTGCTTGGATTACAGGCGTGAGCCACCGCCCCCTGCCCAGTATTCTTAAATGCAAGCTTTCCCATTAGAGATCTGATAAAAGCTAGGTAGCATTAATTATACTGCAACGTGCTTTGATGAGTACCTACACACTAAATTGATATCCCGAGTTTCTGGAAGAGCTACATACTCTAAATCCCATCTCAGCGTATGGCTTGTTTGAACCCCTGTAAGACTCTTTCCGTCCAGGAAGGGCCATGGGACATCGGTACGAGTGGGTGGGCTGGAGAAAGAACTCCTTTGCCTGTTTGCTGTTCTCATCCTTTTCCTGAACGCCACGTAGTAAACATCATTTATGCTTATCAGGGACGCTAAACCAACAACCTGAGATCCATAAGTAAGGCAGTGACCAACGATGGGCTGCCACACTTTCAGCCAACTTGAGGAGACAAAACTTTTTTGTTCACTTTTGCAGCTTACTTAACACAGGACCGCAGGGCATGGTCCAGGGAGTACGGGGAGATAATTCCCTCCGGGTGGTTCTTATAGAAAAGTCTTCCCTGAATTATTCCATAACCTTGGAAAACTACTTTCTTTCCTTTTGTATTGGACAAACCATCCAATCTCGCTTGGAGAATGGGGCAAGGCCTCGGGTCACCGGGCTTCGGCGGGGCAGTGAGGGGCGGGAACACGGCTCCGGAGGGCGGGGCCAAGCCGGAGCGAGGCGGCGGGTCCGGACGCCGTGCGCGTGCGCGCGGCAGGTCGGCGCCGGGCGGGGGCGGAGCGGCCGTCGCAGGTCCACGCCGTAAACAGACAACATGGCGGCCGCGGTGGCGGCGGCACCTGGGGCCTTGGGATCCCTGCATGCTGGCGGCGCCCGCCTGGTGGCCGCTTGCAGTGCGTGGCTCTGCCCGGGGTTGAGGCTGCCCGGCTCGTTGGCAGGCCGGCGAGCGGGCCCGGCGATCTGGGCCCAGGGCTGGGTACCTGCGGCCGGGGGTCCCGCCCCGAAAAGGGGCTACAGCTCTGAGATGAAGACGGAGGACGAGCTGCGGGTGCGGCACCTGGAGGAGGAGAACCGAGGTGAGGTGCGAACGCTGGGCAGGCGCGGGGCAGCGGGCGGCCGCTCGCTCTCAGGACGGGCATAAGGTGCAGCGTCCGCCGGCAGGACGCGGGGTCGAGGTCAGGCAGGCGCACCGAACCTGGGTCCCTCCCCTTTCTCACCTCCCTACTCACCCAGCGTGGCCGCTTCCTTGTGCACCTATTTCTTGCTTTTAATAACCTAAACGTGTACCCCCGAGCAGCTTACCTGTAAAGTGACCGCATTCAGCGCGGCAAACAGAAGTGCAGCTTACGCCCTCCGCTCCAGACAAGCCAAGGTCAATATATACCCTGGGGATTTAATCCTTGCTACCAGGCTTTATTGTTGCTGTGTAATGGCTTTCTGTAAACTCAGCTATTAGTGGTGGAGTTGTAAAAGCTGCGGTGAAACTGCCTTTTATTATTACGGAGAATCTTAAATTTGAAGCTGCTCAGCTGGAACAATTTTTCCTCTTGTTCATTTTCTCTTAGAAAGTTAGTCTTGAGGGACTGTTCCACTTCATTTAAACAATTTTGAGCACTTTTTATTTTCCTCAGCTCTGGCGATAAGAATGTGGATGGTATGGATCTTGCCCTTGAGCTACCTTCTACGGGAGGAGACATCATTAGCAATACAATACAGAGCTTTGAAGGCTTTGAAGGAGGCTGACAATCCTAGGGAATACTGTTACAGCTCAGTTCCTTTCACTGGCAGTGCAGGGAAAAGCTAAAAGGGTCGTGAAGGGTGGAATAGCAGTTTCCACCCTTAACCTCCGGGTTAAGCCAGAGGACCAGTGTTTTAATTTTGACATGCATTTGTTGAGCACCTATAATCTGTTAAGCAGAAGTGAAAAGCGTGTAAGTCGTGATTGGTTTTAGTGTAGTGAAGCAGATCCTGGTTATTAGTAGGCTGTGTGAACTTTCAAGGCATGGTAAGAGGAAAGGGCTGTAATACCTGCAGGGTTTCGCCATTTGAAAGGGGTTCCAAGGCATTCTTTAATAGGCAGTGGATTTTGCCATTTGTGAGGGTTCTTGGGCAGACTTATCTCACGTGTAAAACAGGAAAAACAATACCAACTTTATAGGTTTGTTATGAAGATGAGATGAGATTGTTAATGTAAATTGCCACTAGCACGTAGCAGTGCTTCAGGAGTGTGATGAATGACTTTATTCCTTACTTATTATTCCAGACAGAGACAAGAACATGGTCAAAGGCATGGAGATGTGAACATGTGTGGTGTATTTGGGACGTAACATAAGGCAAGTGTGGCATAAGCAGAATAGTAAGAAATTCAGCTGGAAGCATAGACTAGCACTGGAGTGATTAGAGCCTGAATGCCATCATCTTTTGGGTAAGCTTAGTCATGCCGGGACTTCACTTCCGTTAAGTGTACCAACAATATGTTAGATATAAAGGGATTGCAAGTACAGCTACTAATATGCACCATATTCTATTTTTTTGGTCGTTATGACTTGAATGCAATTAAAGGAATATTTGTGCAGAATGTCTGGACAGACTTTAAGTTAGGATCTGAATGGACAGAAGAGAGAATATCAGATAATAAAAGATAATAAACGAAAATTTTTTTGGGTATCATGGTTTCTTTTTTTTTTTTTCTTTAGCCTTGATTTCCTGATGAGATAGGACATACATCATGGTTTCTTAAAGTTGACCCCGCCTCCTTTGAGAATTGGCAAGAATGACGACTCAGGCTTGGCTAACATTACCTAGGCTTTGCTTTGCTTTACTGTTGAACCAGCAATAAGCAGTGCAAAGAAAAACATGAGGTCAAGGGTACTACAGGTGAAGGAGTTTCCTGGGTGCCTTTATTTCTCTTAGAGGTGGGTCCAAAATTTGGTGCTCTCAGCAGCCTCTAAGGAATAGGATAACTCTCCTAGTCACAGGAGCCTCAAACAGCATGCAGCACTTTAGGTGGGTGGGGGTAAGTAGTGCAGAATACACCAGGTCTCATCTGTTATCTGGGCTCCATATTTGTAATTTGTTGTAGGAGGCATAGCTCTATAACCAAATTTCCTTTTCTTTTCTTTTTTTTTCTTTTGAGATGGAGACTGCCCAGGACTTTGAGGCTGCAGTGAGCTATGATGGAGCCACTGCACTCCAGTCTGGGTGACACAACAAGACCTTGTCTCTTAAAAAAAAAGAAAAAATGTATGAACCTATTTATGTAGAATAGCTCCAACAGAACATATGATCCATTTATGTAAAATAGCAACAACAAGCCAAATGGTAATATACAACTCTATTTCTGTATGTAGATACGTTGAACATTTTCTGGAAGGTTACATTACATGTAACTGTGATAACTGTGGCTTCTTCTGGGGAAGGGAATGAGCTGGTTCTAGGGAAGGAGGACTTTCACTTTGAGTGTATTTTTTCATTTTGTATAAGCAGAACGTATTTTGTTTTGTTTTTAAAGTCTCAGCAAAGTTGTTACATTCATCTTTCAGTTGTGTGAGCTTTATAGAGCAGGATTCATGCTGTGATGTGACCTTGTTACAGATTCACTGAAGATTTTTGTATGTTTTGTGAAAAGTCAGGAAAATTAAGGTTGGCATGTGAACGCCTAAGCTTTTCTGAGTTTGGTAAACTTTCTAGGTTATGTGAGGAGGATGCATGATAATTGAGTTCTTGAGAAGTGATTGAATTGTGAATTAAAGTGAGACAGTTATAAAAAAAAACTTTTAGACTTTGCTGAATAAAGCTAAGGTTTTATTCCATTTTAGAATACCAAAAGCCTACAGATACATTTGATGGTACAGTTGTTACATATTAGATAATTCATTTCAGATTGCAGAGCTAATTTCTAGCTTTTTGAAGTGGAAGTACTCAAAACATCAAGTCTCAGATATGGGACCAAAATTGCTGGAATTAACTGTGTTAGAAACATTTTGATGGCACTTTACCCTTCAGTAATAATGTCAGCATTATCATATCTAGCAGAAATTATGGTGAAACTTTTAATACTTACTGCATGAGAGGTGTTCATGCTAGAAGGGAGGTTAATTGGGTCCTCATGTTGTAAATTTTACATGTATCATATCATTCGATTCTAATACAGTCCCATGGAGTGTGGAACTGTTAGTATCTTAATAGAGTAAGAAACTGAGGATCAGAGAGGTTAAGTAACTTGCCGAATTCTTAATAGAGTAAGAAACTGAGGATCACAGAGGTTAAGTAACTTGCCGAATAGCTAGTAAGCGGCAGACTGGGATTTCATCCCCAGCAATCACACCTTAGAGCCTGCATTCTTAGCCCTTGGACGTTGTATCAACTTGGATGTCTGAAAGGCACTTCAGATTCACTTTAATTAAAAACAGAAACTCATGAGCTTTACTCCCCTCCACCCTCACCTTGGTAGTTTTATGATTTTGTCTCATTAAATGTCATCTTTCATCCAATTGGTGAAGCCAGAAACCTGGTAAATACTCCTTAACACTTTCTTCCAGTTAAATCAGTCCTCAGTCTAGGCATCATTAACTCATTTAAAATTTTTGAATAGTTCTTGAATCCTTTCACTTTCCTTTATTTTTACCACCACCAATCTCAGCCAAACCTGTTATCTGTTGATTGGACTCGAATTGTGTCTTGAAGCTCCCACCCCTGTCTACTTCTGGTATGATCTCCAAGTATAGAAACTATTCCCCCGCCAGTTTTATATGTGCATGTGTATATGTTTATACCTACGTAAACTCCTTCAATGGTTATTAGGATGAAGACCAGACTTTTTAGAAGGTCTGTAAGGATATTTCTGGCTTGTGCTGACCTCTTTACTTTCATTGGTCACTCTCTTCTCCCCCTCGTAGGTTACAGGACATTCAGTGGGACCATGACTAGTTTATGCTTTTCCTGTTTCCTCTGCCTGGCAGTCAGCCCCTCTCCTTCACTCTCACCTTGACTCCTACTTATCCTTCTAACCTTCACTGTCTGGGGTAAGCTTTCCCTAACCATCTCCTTTTGCCCCAGACCATTATCAATTCTGGTTACAAGTTACTGTAGCACCACTTACAGCTTGTAAAGCAGTTTGAATGGATTATTAATGATATTTATGATTATTAATGATTTCTATGATTATTAATGTTTGTATTTCCCTCCTAGACTCTAGTTCCATGGCTGCTGATCACTATAGTACGTACTCAGTATGTTTGAATGAATGGACACATCTAGTCTTAGCTGCTTGATTTTCTTCCTGAGGAAACTGAAGCTTGAACAGTGTAACACAGTTTTATTCAAGTATAGAGTTAGATTACCACTTAATAGCTGAAGGAAGTTACTTCACCTCTCCAAGTCTCCATTTCTTTATCCGTTAACTATTGATAAAAGTAGTGCCCACCTCTTGGGTTGTGGTGGGGATTACATGAGTTAATTCGCTTAAAGCACCTGGAGCAGTGCCTGAGGCCTACTGGTGGTAGCTGTTGTCAGTAGTATTGGGACCTACCCAAAGTCATTCAGCTGTTTAATACAGATCCTGTCAGATAGCAGTCCTTTATGCTTTTCTCTGTACTGAGAGCATTTGGAATTCTTGCAAATTTACTCTTGTGAGCAGAAGTTCATCTTTATACTTTAAAGAATGGGTCTGCACAGTTTCTTGCACAGCGAAGGCATGTGTACATTTTGTTGTCTTCAGTTTAGCTCAGTTGCAAATAAGAAACATACCCACCCTGACTCAGTGGAAGGTATTTCTGATACACTGTGAAAATTTGTCTACTCCAAGAACAAGAAGGTTAGTAGAGGTTGTGTAGAACTTTGAATATCAAATTAGGATCTTTGAAGTTGGATATTTTGAAATAAATAATGAAAGGATTTTAAGTAGGGGATGCATTCTATGCATAGTACTGTTTTTAGAAAATTGGTAACTGGAAGGAATGGGAGGCTGGGTTTAGGTGATGGTCTTTGATTAAAAAGTGGGGCAGTTAGGAGTGACAGCTGGGTTTGTGGGAGAGATAATGAACTTTGTTTTGTATAGGTTGAGTTGGAAGTACTTCTTGGACATCTAAATGGAAGTGCCCTCAGGTTAAGTATATCAGACAGAAATCAGGAGAGAAGCTTGGGATAGAATTACTGAAAACTGTGTAGTATGAACAACAAAAAAATGGAGATATTAACAACTGGTCCTAGAAAAAGCAGATGCTATAATACCTGCATGTGACAAGGTTTATTAGCGGTTACTTTGGTATCTACTTGAAGATGATGAAACCACATTTTAAATAGTATCCTTTAACTTAAAATTTTCACTAATAAGTCTAGTCTTCCCTCTAGTTTGAGTTAGTGATGTAAAATTTACCAAAATGTTGCAAATTATCTTGGTGCTTAAGAAGAGATCGATTGAAGGGAACGTGATGTCATGAATTTCTTTGATTTGTTAAGTTCGAAGCTAGCTAGATGTGTGATGTAGAGTCTGTTCTCTGAATGCCTTGCTCACTCAAGTGCTTGTACTTTTTTTCCCCTTTAACTAGGAATTGTGGTGCTTGGAATAAACAGAGCTTATGGCAAAAATTCACTCAGTAAAAATCTTATAAAAATGGTGAGTGTAAAGATTAAACTGTTTGCTTCTAATATTAAGATATATTATTGTCATCAATGTAAAAATGTTTTGTTTTTTTTTTCTCTTTTTCCTCCTATGCTTCCTATTTCTGTTTAGCTATCAAAAGCTGTGGATGCTTTGAAATCTGATAAGAAAGTACGGACCATAATAATCAGGAGTGAAGTCCCAGGGATATTCTGTGCTGGTATGTAAATATGTTGTATTATGAAATTAAACTGTAGTCTGATTTTTCCTCAATAGTAATCTGTTTTCCATTAGAATGTTCTTTGGTTTGAACCCCATTACCAACAACTCCTCTTTGTCTGTGTTTTACTGATTCACAAGAAAAAAACATGCTTAGTCTGTCAGCATTAGAAAGAAGCTTTTGCAACATTTAGATTGTTTTGGAAGTTGAAAAAAAATCTTTGAGCCATTAAAATACTTGTTTGTAGTACCTGTAGTACATGTAGTACAATGTTGTTTGTTGTGTCTTAATTGTGGCCAATATTCTTTAGTTTCATTCTTTTTTTTTTTTTGAGATAGAGTCTTGCTCTGTCACCCAGGCTGCAGTGGCGTGATCTTCGCTTACTGCAACCCTCGTCTCCCCAGTTCAAGTGATTCTCCCGCCTCAGCCCCCCGAGTAGCTGGGATTACAGGCGCCTGCCACCTCGCCTAGCTAATTTTTGTATTTTGAGTAGAGACAGGATTTCACCATGTTGGCCAGGCTGGTCTCGAACTGCTGACCTCAAGTGACCCACCATCTTTGGCCTTCCAAAGTGCTGGGATTACAGGGGTGAGCCACTGTGCCTGGCCCCTAGTTTCATTCTTAAGGATTCTCAATTTTTTAAAGCTTCAATCTCTGTGGCTTCTGCCTTAAAATATTGCAGAATAGTGTGATATTTAGAAATATGCAGTGTATTTTGGCTTTTGATAAGGTTTTATTGCCTCCTTAATACATTTCTTAAAATGTAGGATACCGAAAAGAATTAGTTTTAATTCCAGTTGAGTAACCAAAGAGTGTAGGTTTATTACTCCCAGCTGCTAGGGTTATGGTGTTATGCAGTACAGATTTCTGTTTTCACATTTGTCAAATGTGAGTAATACTGTCTGCTTAGTAGGAGTGCTTATAAGGGTTTTATGTATATTTTGAGTTCTTTGTTTTTTTAAACAATGTGAAAGACTTATATCAAGAGAATTAGGATTCTTATGTCTAGATCATATTCACCAGGTGAATATGATCTTGAGGTAAAGGAGTATAACACATGACTGATGGTTGAGAGGTTCTCTAAAGGTCATTGGATGGCTTATTGGGAAGATACAGAGTAGCTTTAGGGTTTTTAAAGAAGGCCCAATTATATGAATTTTTGAGGAGTGATATCAATGTTGTGAAGACAGATTAACATTTTAAAAATAAGTGTTAGTGGTCATCCCGGCATTGTTTTTCTGTTGGCAGTAGGTTTTATAATTATTGCACTATAGTTACTGGTGGAATTCTTTTTATTTTACATATTCTTTTGCAGCCCATTTGTTCTAGATTTCTGCATTAGGAATATACTTTGAAAAAAGCTTTAATGCTTTAGCACAGTTTGTGGATGTCTGTTACAGATTGCCTTTTTGAGGACATGCAAAATGTCCTCAAATAATATACCACATGCTGTTTATTAGAATAACATGTTAGCCTTGAGTACTTTTTAACAAGTTAATTTAATCTATTTACTTTGCTTTATGTGCTTTTAAACTTTCGTACAATCAGGATAATCTTTTAACTCAAGATTTGTGACTGTATTTTGTCAACAAAAGTCAGTGTCTTAATTATAGAAAAATTGGGGCATATCATTCTCTTTTAGTAATTCAGTGTATATGATGGAACTGTTCTTTCAGATTTCTCCGAAAGGTTTTCCTTTCTTGTTTTTTTTTTTGAGACGGACTTTCACGCTTGTTGCCCAGGCTGGAGTGCAGTGCCACGATCTTGGCTCACTGCAGCCTCTGCCTCCTGGGTTCAAGTGATTCTCCTGCCTCACCCTCCCGTGTAGCTGGGATTACAGATGCCCGCCACCACGCCTGGCTAAATTTTTGTATTTTTGCTAGAGACGGGGTTTCAACATGTTGGCCAGGCTGGTCTTGAATTCCTGACCTCAGGTGATCCACCTGCCTCGGCATCCCAAAGGGCTGGAATTACAGGCCACACATGGCCTCTTTTTTACATGTATTTACATTTATAAGCTGACCAGTAGGTCTGTCTTTTTTTTTTTTTTTTTTTTTTTTTTGAGACGGAGTCTTGCTCTGTCACCCAGGCTGGAGTGCAGTGGCACGATCTCGGCTCCTGGGTTCACCCCATTCTCCTGCCTCAGCCTCCCGAGTAGCTGGAACTACAGGCGCCCGCCACCAAGCCCGGCTAATTTTTATATTTTTAGTAGAGACAGGGTTTCACTGTATTAGCCAGGATGGTCTCGATCTCCTGACCTCGTGATCCGCTCACCTCGGCCTCCCAAAGAGGTCTGTCTTTTAACATGTACATATGAAATAAAATTATAGGTAAATAAAATCTCTTTACATTATTTAAAGAATATTTAAACTTACAGCCTATATTAGTATAAACATCTTAATCAGGCCACATTTATCAGTTATTGTTGAGGAATGTGGTCTTTCACATAATTAAAGCTTTAATTTGTACTCCAAAGTAGTAATATTAAAAGAAACCTCTGCTGGGCGCGGTGGCTCATGCCTGTAATTCCAGCACTTTGGAAGTCGAGGTGGGTGGATCACAAGGTCAAGAATTCGAGACCAGCCTGGCCAACATAGTGAAACCCTGTCTCTACTAAAAATACAAAAAATTTTCTGGGCGTGGTAGTAGGTGCCTGTAATCCCAGCTACTCAGGAGGCCGAGGCAGGATAATTGCTTGAACCTGGGAGGCAGAGGTTGCAGTGAGCCGAGATGACGCCACCTCATTCCAGCCCGGGTGACAGTGTGAGACTCCGGCTCAAAAAAAAAAGAAACCTCAAAAACACAGTGTACCGTTTATTGATTATCCTTTTAGCCTCTTCTCCATCCCTTGAAAGTCATCATTTTCCCTCTTCTTTTTCTTCTCCCACAAAGGTTTCTCTGTATATATTAATACTGTATTCCAGTGATACCTTGCTCATTTCTAAATATTTAAAGCTTAGCAAATGGTCTTGCCTCAAATTTCTTGAGCATAGGAACTCCTCTTATTCTTTGAGAATCATCTTTTACATTCTCAGAACACAGCAAACAACAGGGACTCAGCATTTATTTGCTGGAATTAATCAGCCTTTAAACTGTGCTTTAATTCACTGATTTTTTTCAGGAATGGTTGGGATATAATAAGCAGCTTCTCTGAATTGTCTCATACCACTCTCCTATTTACTGATAGTAAATTTGGCTACATCTTTTTTCTAAAATGCTAGGAAAACAGATAAACATTAAAGAGATTCCTACATTGCATTGGAGGTTGGGCCAAGTGATTTCTGACTTCTCAGAAATCTATTATTTAGCATTATTAAGTACTTCACTTACATTTTAAGTTTTTTAATCAATTTTTAGTTTAAAAAAGTAGCATGGTAGGTCAAAATGTATGAAAATGTATACAGAGAGAACTCTCTCTAACCCTACTTCCTCTACTTTATTCATCCCCTAATATAAATAATTATTATTTTTGTCCTAGTATTTTACTTTATTTTATATATATGTATATATATACACAAATACAGTCATGTGCTCCATAACAACATTTTGGTTAACAGTAGCCTGCATTATACAATGCTGGTCCCATAAGATTATTTGTTTTTATTTTTTTGAGACGGGGTCTCCCTGTCACCCATGCAGGAGTGCAATGGTGTGATCTTGTCTCACTGCAACTTCCGCCTCCAGTGTTCAAGCGATTCTCGTGCCTCAGTCTCCTGAGTAGCTGGGATACAGGTGTGTGCCACCATGCCCAGCTAAATTTTGTAATTTTAGTAGAGATGGGGTTTTTACCATGTTGCCCAGGCTGGTCTTGAACTCCTGACCTCAGGTGATCCACCTGCCTAGGCCTCCCAAAGTGCTGAGATTACATGGGTGAGCCACTGTGCCCAGCCTCATAAGATTATAATACTGTATTTTTACTGTACGTTTTCTGTTTAGGTACATATAAATACTTAGCATTGTGTTACAGTTACCTACAGCATTCAATACAGTCACTGTACAGGTTTGTAGCCTAAGAGAAATATGTTATACCATATATCCTATTTATGTAGGGGATGGTTTCAGGGTGAAACTGTTCCATCTCAGATCATCAGGCCACCTTGGCCTGATTCTCATAAGGAGCGTGCAACCTAGATCCCTCGCATGCGTAGTTCACGGTAGGGTTTGTGCTCCTATGAGAATCTAATGCGGCTGCTGATCTGACAGGAGGCAGAGCTCAAGCAGTAATGCTCCCTTGCCTGTGCTCACCTCCTGCTGTGTCACCGGTTCCTAACAGGCCACAGACCAGTACCATTCATCAACTCGGGTTGGGGACCCCTGGCCTATACCATCTAGGTTTGTGTATATATACTCAATGATGTTTATACAAGGATGAAATTTTCTAAGGACTCTACCAGGATGTTCTCTTTAAGTGACTTATTATATACCGATGCGCTCATTAGAATGTTAAGTAGATATTTAAAGTCATACATATAAAGACATATAAATACGATACTTATAAAGTGATATACATGGAGTGTGGAAAATAACCTGTTACAAGCATAGAGAGAGTTGTATATAAAATGTTATGGCCATTATTACTGTAGCTGTGTAAACTATGTCTGTGCCAATAAGTTCATGGGCCAGGTGGCTCACACCTGTAGTCCCAGCACTTTGGGAGGCCGAGGTAGGCAGTTGGCTTGAGCCTAGGAGTTCAAGACCAGCCTGGGCAACATGGCAAAACCCTGTCTCTCCAAAAATATACTAAAATTAGCCAGGCATGGTGGTGCGTGCCTGTAGTCCTAGCTACTCAGGAGGCTTAGGTGGGAGAGTCGCATGAGCTTGGAAGATCAAAGCTGCGAGCCGTGATTGTGCCACTGCATTTCAGCCTGGGTGACAGAGCGAGACCCTGTTTGAAAAAATGAAAAAAAAAAGATCATGGATTAAAGGTGATATTTTTTCTGTCTTCAAACTTTCTGAAATAACTTCGTTATATTAACAAATTATATTAAGCAAATATATGCAAAGTAAATAATTTTGAAAAATACAAAGTATATTAGTGTATTTTTCTTTTTTTGGAAACTAAAATTGGGATATTAACTGAGTTCCTAAATTGTTGTTACAACTTTCTTTTTGTTTTTTTTTTTTGAGATGAAATCATGTTCTGTCACCCAGGTTGGAGTGCAGTGGTATGATCTCTGCTTACTGCAACCTCTGACTTTCAGGTTCAGGTGATTCTCCTGCCTCAGCCTCCCGAGTAGCTGGGATTACAGGCACCTGCTGCAATGCCCAGCTAATTTTTGTATTTTGAGTAGAGACGGGGTTTCACCATGTTGGCCAGGCTGGTTTTGAACTCCTGACCTCAAGTGATCCACCTGCCTCGGCCTCCCAAAGTGCTGGGATTACAGGCGCGAGCCACTGTGCCCGACCCATTACAACATTTGAGAAGATAAATTTTAGACTAAAAGAGTTCCTATAGAATAATTCAGACCCTTTAATTTTATAGAATCCCTGTGAAGTGAAAGACCTGGTTAAAGGTGGTGGCTTAGCTGAAACTACTTCTCTTGACAGTTAGGACAGAGTTTTCTCTTAGACTGTGGTTTCTAATCTAGAACCTAGAAGGAATATGAGGTGTCTCTTTAAAGTTCTTAAAATTTTATACACTTAGACATTTTAGTGGCCCTACATTGAGAAGGTGTGTAATGTCAAAATGTCATTGTTACAGTAATGTATTAAAATGGATGTTTCTATTAACCACAGTAATATGTAAATACAGATAAAAATATGTCATAGTTGTCACAGATACAGACAGTGTTTCCCATACATAATGTGTTTTCACATGGTGTGCTATACCCCAAATTTTAATATATTGTTGATCGTGACATTCTGGAAAAGTCTTTCTGGTTGGCCGGCTACATTGGATGTAAATGTGTGATCACAGTCATACCCTTCAGGTTGGGAATCACTGTTGTGTATTCTTTCTTGTAGATTAGAACACCACTTCTGGGTTCATGGCTTGCCTGTACTTCTCTTAGAATACTAAGAAAAATAATTTTGTTAGTCAAAGCTTCTTGTGAAGCATTGGCTACATGGATTATGTGAGATTGGACTGAATGTGTGCTGCCTCCTTACATATTCTAAAAACTGTTTAATCACTTTTAGTTTACCTTCTCTCTCTCTCCCTCTCCCTCTCTCTTCTCTCTGTGTGTGTGTGTGTGTGTGTGTGTCTGTCTCTCTGCCTTACATACACACACCCACACACACATACACACACACACAAGTCAAAACAATTCTGCTATTTCAAAATGTTTATGTAGTTAAAATTTTAATATTTGCCAATCACAAAATTCTAAAGAAGTCTGATTGGGCTGCTGCGTTGGATGTAAATGTGAAATCACCGTCATCTGTTTATTTTTGTTCTTTTACTTTTCTAATTCAAAGTAACAAAGTGCACATGCATTGTTTTTACCAGAACATTTTTGAAATGAAATTTTGTGAGAAATTACTGAGAATGAGGATTTTTTCTTTTGAAATTTCCTAAGATATATGATAAACAATTCTTGGTAATTGATTGCTATATGTAGAACCCTAAATTGTTTCACTGAATTACACCAGTGTGGGTTTTATAAAAAAGTAAAGGTAGTTTTGCTTCTGCTTTTGAATTCTAGTAAATTATGTTATGACTAAAGAGTGACTTGTCACTAAAATTGTCAACATGCATTATTGAATGTTGTGTGCTGTTCATATGGATAAAAATGTCATGATCTGGATAGATGTGTGGGCACGTTGGACTATGAAGTAACCTGGCCGTTGTTGTTTCAGAATCTTAGATTGTCATATTTATGTATTTAACTGTTAGTCCTTCAGAGAGTTTGATAAGTAACGTGAAGGGATAGATACCACAAATTTGTAGTAGTTTAACAAGTTTGTATTAGTTTAGCTATATAGGGTTTTGTTTTTTTGTTGTTGTCATATATTGTTTGTTGGAATAAAAAATGTTTTATTTAGGTATGAATTACTTGGAATAAAGTTTACCAATTTAAAATGTATAATTGATGAATTTTGACAGGTATTTAAACCATGATCAGAATCATGATACAGAACATATTCGTTACTTAAAAAGTTTTCTTGTGTCCATTTGCAGTCAAGCCCCTTCCCTTGCCCTGATCTCTGAAAGTACTAATCTCCTTGCTGCTCCTAGTTTAGCATCTTCTGTAATTTTAAAATAAATTGACTCATACTATGGGTAGTCTTTTGTGTCTGACCTCTTTCATTTAACATAATGGTTTGAGCTTCATCCATATTCATGTTTCACTAGTTTCATTTTATTGGCATGTATTTTATTTTATTGCTGAGAATAGTATTTATTGTATGACTGTTTCACGGTTTGTTTATTCATTAGGTGATGGTCATTTGGGTTTTTCCATCGTTTGGCTTTTATGCATCACTTCTGTGACCATTCACACACACCTTTTTGGCAATGCATAATTTTATTTCTCTCAGGTAAATAGTCAGAAGTAGAATTACTGGTTTTATCCTGTGTGTTTAGTTTTGTAAGAAACTGCCAACTGTTTTCGGTATCATTTTGCATTCCCACTAGCAACGGATGAGAGTTTCAGGCGTTCCACATGCTTACCAACACTTGATAATATGAGGTTTAAAAATTGTAGGCATCCTAATGGATACAAAGTCATATTTCATTGTAGTTTTAGTTTACATTTCATATGTGTCACCTGTATATCTGTTTTGATGACTTGTTTATTTGAATTTTTTCCCAATGTTTTTCTTAGAATCTCATCTCATTGAGTTGTAAGGTTTTTTTTTTGTTTTTTTTTATATTCTTGATACAAGACTTTTATCTGTTATACTTGGTAAGTTTTCTTCCACTAAATGGCCTGTCATTTTTCTGCCTTATAATTTGTTTTGAAGAACAAAAGTTTTTTATGTGAAGACTGATTTTTTAAAAATTTACATATTGTTTCTTTTTTTTATTATACTTTAAGTTCTAGGGTACGTGTGCACAATGTGCAGGTTTGTTACGTATGTATACATGTATGAAGACTGATTTATCATTTTTTTTTCCTTTTATGGTTTGTACCTTTTTGTGAATTTTAGAAATTTTGTTTTACCCCACAGTCAGAAAGATTTTCTCCTGTTTTCTAATACTTTTGTAGTTTTTATATCTTATATTTAGGACTCTGAAGTATTCTGAGTTAATTTTTATATATGTTGTGAAAGAGAATAAAAAATATATTTGGTCTTTGCCCTTGTTCTTGGTACAGAGCTCTTAAAACCCTGGGAGTTTCCTGAATGGTCCAAGTGCTTTTTGTTGTGTAATGAGATGACCCTAGATAGCTTCAGGATGGGGGGGCAGCTTGTCAGAAAAAGCAGCCATGGGTTAGAGGATTAGAACTTTTAGCACCCTCTCCCCCCAGAGGGGAAAGGGGCCAGAGATTCAGCTCAGTTACCAGTGGCCAGTGATTTAGTCATTCATGTCTCCCTATGGAGGTAATGAAACCTCCATAAAGACCCTTAAACAGCGGGGTTCAGAGCCAGGCACGGTGGCTCATGCCTGTAATTCTGCCACTTTGGGAGGCTGAGGCAGGTGGATGGCTTGAGTTTGAGACCAGCCTGGGTAACATGGCAAAACCCCATCTCTACCAAAACAAACAAACAAACAAACAAACAAACAAAAAACCCTCTTAACTGGGTGTGGTGGCACATTCCTGTAATCCCAGCTACTTGAGGGGGCTGAGGTGCAAGGATTGCTTGAGCCTGAGATATTGAGGCTGCAGTGAGCTGTGATTGTGCCACTGTGCTCCAGCGTGGGTGACAAAGTGAGACCCTGTCTCAAAAAAACAAAACAAAAAATGGGGCTCAGGGAGCTTCTAGGTTGGTGAACACATTGATTTTCTAGGAGGTTGGCACTCCTAAAGAGGGCATGGAAGCTCTGTACTCCCTCTTCCCATACCTTGCCCTATGCATCTGTTCCATTGGTCTGTTCCTGAGTTGCATATAGTAAATAAAGTGTTTTTTTTTTTTTTTTAAATTCTGAGTCATTCTAGTGAATTAAGTAACCTGAGGAGTTTAGGGGAATCCCCAAATCTATAGCTGGTTGTTTCAGACATATGGGTTGCCCCTGGGACTTGTGAGTTGCATCTGAAGTGAGGGCAGCCTTGTGGGACCCCTTAACTTGTGGGATCCCACTAATTTTGGATGGTGGCAGAATTTAACTGAATTGTTGGATACCCGCTTGATGTTGAAGAATTGGTGTGGAAACCCTCAGACATTTGGTGTCAGAAGTGGTGTTAGAAAAAAAGACGTCATAATTGGTCTCAGGAATGGGATTTGCTAGAGCATCTCACGAAACTCAGGAAAGTGCTTTATTTACTATTACCAGTTTATTATAAAAGAGAAAACTGAGGAACAGTCAAGTGGAGGAGGTACTTAGAGCAAAGTTAGGGTGGAGGGTTGCAGAGCTTCCATACCCTCTCCAGGTGTGCCACTTACCCAGCACATCCATGTGTTCACTAACCTGGGAGCTCCCTAAGCCCTGTTTCAGGGATTTTTTATGGAGGCCTCTTTACATAATGATTGATTACATCATTAGCCATTGGCGACTGAGCTCAATCTCCAGCTCCTCTCACTCCCTGAAGGTGTGGGTAGGGCACTGAAAGTTCTAACCCTCTGATCATGGCTTGATATTTCTGGTGACCAGCGCCTGTCCTGGAGCTATCTAGGGGCCCTCTAAGAGTCAGTTCATTAGCATAAACTCAGGTTTGGTTGAGAAGGGCATGTTAGGAATAACAAAAGACACTCTGTCACTCAGGAAATTCTGAGGGTTTTAGGAGCTTTGGGCCAGGAACCTGGAATAAAAACGACGAAGTATTTTTTTTATACACAGGTGGCTTTTTTTGGGGTTTTTGTTTTGTTGCATTTTCAATTCTCCCAGCACCATTTGTCAGACCAACTTTTCCCCCATTACATTATTTTGGGACCTGTCTAAAATATCAGTTGACAGTATATGTGTGAGTTATGTCAGGGTTCTCTGGGTACTTTTTTTTTTTTTTTTTTGCGATGGAGTCTCACTCTGTCACCCAGGCTGGAGTGCAGTGGCGTGATCTTGGCTCACTGCAAGCTCCACCTCTTGGGTTCACACCATTCTCCTGCCTCAGCCTCCCGAGTAGCTGGGACTACAGGGGCTCGCCACCACGCCCGGCTAATTTTTTGTATTTTTAGTAGAGACGGGGTTTCACCGTATTAGCCAGGATGGTCTCGATCTCCTGATCTCGTGATCCACCTGCCTCGGCCTCCCAAAGTGCTGGGATTACAGGCGTGAGCCACCACGCCTGGCCTTCTCTGGGTATTTTTAATGCCAATACCGCACTGTCTGTTACCATGTTCAGGTCTTAGACATGTTTGGTTAAATTTATTTCTAAGTTTTTCATATATTTTGATGTTACTGTAAGTGGCATTTCTTCTTAATTTTACTCCCAATTTTTTATTACTAGTATATTGCTAGTATATTGATTTTTGTATATTGTCTTTGTATCCTGCAACCTTGTTAAATGCACTTTTTACTTCTAGGACTCTTTTTTGTAGATACTCTGGGGTTTTCTACAAAGGTAGTCAAGTCATTTGTGAATAAAGATAGTTTTACTTCTTCCTTTCCTATCTGTTCACCTTTTATTTTTTTTTATATATCCATTACATTTTCATTATAGAGTTGACTAAAAGCAGTGTGAGTGTTCGTCTTTGTCTTTTCTCAATCTTATGGGGAAGGCATCCAGTCTTTTACTACTAAGTATGATGTTAGCTGTAGTTTTTTCACAGATGCAGTTCATCAGGGTGAAAAGTTTCTTTTTATTTGTAGTTTGCTGAGGCATTTTTTTTTTTTCATGAACATGTATTGAATTTTGTCAAATCTCTTTTTGGCATCTATTAAGATTCTCATATTATTTTTCAGCCTGTCAATATGGTGAATGATTGATTGATTATCAATTATTAACAATTGTGTATTCCTGGAACAGACCTCTCGATCATTAATCCTTTTTATATACTGCTGGATTTGATTTGCTTAAGTTTTTTAGGATTTTATAACTTTTCATAAGGGAAATTGGTTTGCCTTCTTTTATTGTAAGGTCTGTAGTTCTGGTATCAGGATAGTGCTGGTCTCATAAAATGAATTGGGAAATGTTCCTTCCTTCTATTTCCCTGAACAAGTTTGCATAGTTGTTATTATTTCTTACTTAATTGTTTGGTAAAATTCACCAACGAAGTCATTTGGTCTAGGAAGTTTCTTTGTGGGAAGATTTGTAACTATGAATTTGATATCTTTAATAAATACAGGGCTACTTGAGTTTCTTCTGTTTGAAAAGTCAAATTCTGTAACATATTCGAAGAGATTTATTCTGAGCCAAATATGAGTGACCAGCCCCAGGAGATCATGAGAATGTGTGCCCAAGGTGTTCAGTCTACAGCTTGGTTTTATACATTTTAGGGAGACATAAGACATCAATCAATACATGTAAGATGTACGTTGGTTCAGTCTGGACAGGTGGGACAACTGGAAGCAGTGAGGGATAGGGGGCCTTCCAGGTTATAGGTAGATTCAGTGATGTTCTGATTGGCAATTGGTTGAAAGAATTTATCTAAAGACCTGGAATCAGTGAAAGGCAGTGTCTTAGTTGTGGAGACCAAGGTTCTTATTATGCAAATGAAGCCTTCAGGTGGGAAGCTTCAGAGAAAATAGATTGTAAATGTTTCTTGTCAGACTTAAAGGGCCTGTTCTGTCAGTCTTCAGGTCCTGTGTTGATGTTAATGCTGGTCATCTGTGCCTGAATTCCAACGGGAGGAGAGTATAATGAAGAATGTCCTACTCCCACTCCCACTTTCCATCATGGCCTGAACTAGTTTCTCAGGTTAGCTTTGGATTGCCCTTGGTGGAGGGGAGGGTCCATCAGTCAGTTGGCGAACTCAGAATTTTATTTTTGGTTTACATTTCTTTTTGAGTGAGTTTTGGTAATTTGTGTCTTTTAAGTTGAGTGAGTTTTGGTAATTTGTGTTTTATCTAAGTTTTCAAGTTAATTGCCATAAAATTGTTCATATTATTCCTTATCCTTTTACTACATTGAATCTATAATGATATCTGATTGATTATTTATTTATTTATTTTGAGACAGGGTCTTGCTCTGTCACCCAGGCTGGAGTGCAGCAGTGTAATCTCAGCTCACTGCAACCTCCGCCTCCCGAGTAGCTGGGATTACAGGCATGCACCACCACACCTGGCTAATTTTTGTATTTTTAGTAGAGATGGGGTTTCACCATGTTGGCCAGGCTGGTCTCGGACTCCTGGCCTCAAGGCCGCCTGCCTCAGCCTCCCAAAGTGTTGGGATTATAGGTGTGAGCCACTGTGCCTGGCCGATGTCTGATTATTTATTTTTGATATTGATACATTGTGTCTTTTTTCTTAAATACTAGCAAAACATTAGTCACTTTTGTTTATCTTTTCAAATAAGTGGCTTTTGGTTTCCTTTATTTTGCTTTTCTTTCTATTCATTGATTTCTTCATTATTTTCTTCTCTCTGTTTGCCTCGGGTTTAATTTACTCTTATTTCTAGCTTCCTAAGGTGGAAGTTTAGATAACTGATTTGAGGCCCTTCTTTTCTTATAGTTGACCCTTGAGCAACATGAGAGGTTAGGAGAGATGACACCTCCACCTGCACCCCTGCCCCCACCCCTCACAGTTGAAAATCCTCCTATAACTTGACTTCTCAAAAACTGAACTACTAATAGTCTACTGTTGACTGGAGGCCTCACTGGTAACATAAAGGGTTGAGTAACAAACATTTTGTATGTTATATGTATTATATGCTTTATTCTTACAGTAAAGTAAGCTAAAGAAAAGAAAATGTTACTAAGAAAACCATAAGGAAGAGAAAATACATTTACTATCAAGTGGAAGTGGGTCATCACACAGGTTATCCTTGTCATCTTCATGTTGAGTAGGTTAAGGAGAAAGAGGAGGGGTTGTCTTGCTGTCTCAAAGGGGTGGCAGAGGTGGAAGAAAATCTGTGTACAAATAGACCTGATGTTGTTCAAAGGTCAGCTGCACTTAAATTTTAATGTTTTCATTTGAGCACGTCAGAGATGCCGTTAAAAATGACTCAGAGTACTCGTGCCCTTTCTGTGTAAGTAATGATTGATTGGTTGTTGCTAATTCATTTCTGACTCTAATTCCATTTTTTAAAAAGCCTACCTGTATAATATTTTAGGATCTGTAGAGATTTTAAGGAATAGGAAATATATATTAGTAATAACCTGCTGACTAATCTGCTTCCACTCTTGCCCTTTCCCCACACAGCAGCCCAAGTGATCTTAAAAAAGTTAATGGATCACATCACTCTGCTATTTCAGACACTGTTCAGAAATAAAGTGTGTGGGAGGCAGAAATGACCCCCAAAGTTGTCCACGTCCTAATGCTGGAACCTTACATGGAAACAGGAACTTCGCAGATGTGAGGAAGGTGAAGATCTTACGATGGGGAGATTTTCCTGATGTATCCACTGGGCCCAATGTAAAGACAAGGGTTCATACAAGAGGGAGGCAGGAGGACTCTGAGCAGGAGAAATGACAACAGGAAGCAGAAGTTGGAGAGAAGCAAGGAAGGGGCCATGAGCCAAGGAATGTGGACAGCCCCTAGAAGCTGGGAAAGGCAAGGGAGCTCATCTTCCCTAGTGCCTCCAGAAGGAATGCAGCCTTGCCAACCCATTTTAGACTTCTGACCTAGAATTGTCAGGTAATCCCTTTAAGCTTGTAGTTATTTGTCCAGCAGCACCAGGAAACTGATACCAAGTGTGTCAGGTCTCGCCTACTCTGGCCACATTGCCTTTTCCCACCAATTTCCCACTGCCTTTCTTACTCTCTCTGCTTGACAAAGCTCATTCTTCTCTCCAACTCGTTGTGCTCAGTGTTCTCTTTGTGTTCAGAAAGGCCTCTGCTCTAATGTCATCTTAAATAGCTGTTCCCTCATCACTTAAACCAAAGCAGGTCTCCCTGCTTCCCCCAGCCTCCATCACATTTTTCTATTTTAGCTTCATCTCTGAACGTTTCTGTTCTTGAATTTATTTTTTACTTATTGATTATCAGTCAGCCTCCCCCGCAGATAAGCTCCTTTCGTTGGCATTAGGACAGAGGCCTATTGCCAGAACAGTGCCTGGCCCATAGAAGGCACTTAGCAAATAGTTCATGGGATGACTGTGAACCATTTTGGTTGTTGAGGAAGTAACATTGGCAAAATGTCATGGTTAAATAAAACAAGCTTTGATACAGAGCATGCGTAGGTGGCTTGTGTGGTTAAGAAGAGTGATTTGTTCTTGAGATATTGTCAGTCTTATAAATAGAAGGTTGTATCTAGGGTACCAGTAAATTTAACCAGTGGAGATTAAAACATTAGCTTTATGACTTACCGTTAAACCTGTTTCAAAGATATGGCTTTGATGTGTTCCCAGATGGACTTCAAGTTCTCTCTCCCACCTGCTACCACAAGGGATGTCTTGGAGGAGCACAGCTGCCTCTGTTGGGGTGAGCAGAGAATGGGCCCCCCCTAGTGGGTGGGCAGCTGGTCAGAGAGCCTAGGTGGTTCTCTCAGTCCCCTTTCTCCAAGGCTGCCCAGTTATGTGGTGAGGTGAGCATTGTGGGCAGTGGGAGGCTGGAAGGGGTCCTTCCTGCAGGAGACCCCTCTTGCATGAGGCCAGGGGAGTGGAATTCAGCTCTAGAACTTTGGTCAGCTTGAGTAGAGCTCCGGCAGTTAGAAAGGGAGACTTCAAAAGTTAGAAAAAATTAGATTTTTGTCAGTCTGCTTCTGGAAATTGATACTCAGTAGTAGTTTGCCTTCTCAGGGCTTTCTCTGGGAACTGGCATTAGTCTAGACTGAGGTTAGTAAATTTTGTGTGTAAAAGGCCAGATATTTTAGGCTTTGTGTGCCTCTTAACAATTTTTGTCACATATTCTTTGTTTTATCTTTACAACCCTTAGAAAAGATGTAAAAGCTGGGTGCAGACTGGCCTGCAGGCTGTTTTTTGCTGTCTTCTGGTTCACACTCCAGTTTTCTCTGTTTGTTCCAGCTGGAGGAGCAGGGGTCAGTTACACTGGGCTTTGCAGGAAGAAGCTGGAGAGGCTTGGCCATGGAGGCTGTTTTTCTTGACATAAAAATAAAAATGTTCATTTTTTCTTGTGTGCTTGGTGAGTGATCTGGAAACAGTTGTACAACTCATAGTTTGAGAAGTATTTTGTTCAGTGATAGTGTCATTTGGGTGAATGCTAGATTTGAAGGCCAGCACCAATTAGGATGATCTTGAGGTTTATGGTTCTTAAAAACTCCCTGAGTTGAAGTTTCATTTGAATAATGTATTGCTTTTCGGGGTAAAATAAGGTTGAAAGAGATGGAGGTAGTCAATATTTTTACATTCTCTAAAGAAAAAGGCAACATGATTAATACCAGTATTATTTACTCATTAAATTTTATATTAATGGATATTATGTTTGTTACCTTTTTGTGACTGTAAACATTTGGTAATTTTTTTTCTTTAGAATTATGTGAAATAACTGTCAATTGGTTTTGTTTTGTGACAGATAGGACACATGCCTATTAGGTATCTTTCTTATTCAGTGTGGTTTTGCTGCAGAAGGTAGTTACTGTCCTGGAGGATCAGTCCAGCTGGACATAGGTGTTGACAAGTTCTCTCTATTCCTGCTGGTCATAGCGTGAATGCCTTTCAGCTCAGTGTAATCTCTAGGATTTGTTCATTTCATAGCTCCCTGGTTGTTTTTTCTTTCTCTAGTAATTTTCTATGAATTGGGAGTTTACTGTTCAGCCTAAGCATTAGGGAACCCTAGTGCATTTTACTGGAGCTCTTCCTCTGAGAGGTTACCCCACCTTTCCATTTATCTGCCCTGTAAATTCCAGCCACCTCAGCCTCCCTGCACGCTGATCTCGATCAGCAAGACCACAGTGCTTTGTTGGGGTACCCCTGCCTTCTACCAGTCTGTCAGGTGTCTTCAGGAAGAAAACAGGGACAGTCACAGGATCCCAGATGGTAGTCTTTTACTGCCTGTTGATCAATAGCTGAGCCATTTCATATATTTTGAGGGAGGGGATCCAGTACCAGTTACTCCATTGCAGCCACAGGTGCAAGTTCTTAGTTCCTATTAGTGGGGAATGGTATTGAAGAACCAAGATCTGGGTACAACATGTGCTCACTGTTACATGGGTGTCTTTGCTTCTCAAGACAGACCTAAGAAATAAGTAGATAAATTACATTACATATTCACACACACATGTTTACAACCATTTCTGTACTTACATGTTGAAAACCATGAGTTTATATTGTTACCTCCATTTCCAGTTTATCACCACAGGGTTCATTGTTACCTTCTCCCTTTCCATATTTGTAGTACCTGCAGTATATTGACTCATTTGCTCAATCCTGTAACTTACTGAAAGTAATTTCAGAGTTGCTGATCCATACCACTGTGGTAAACATACCTTTTATCCAGAGCTTATTACCTATTGACAGTACAGTCCCTCACTTAATGATGGTTTGACTTAGCGATTTTTCAATTTACGATGGTGCAAAAGTGATACGCATTCAGTAGAAATTGTAACCCCATTTTAAGTTGAGGAGCATCTGTAAAATGCATTTTCCAGTTGTGATATTTTCAACATCCCATGAGTTTATTGGGATATAACCCCATTGCAAGTCAAGGAGTAGCTGTACTTTATATCTTTGGACTGAAGGTATGTAATACTGTAATATACAATACTAAACATATTGTGTGAAGAGTTACTTAGGTTATTTCTTTATTGTGGTTGTGTTTTATTCATTAGAGGTAATGTTAGGTTTCCTCACTCCTATTTATTTTATTTTGATATATGAAATATTAATATGGTTTCAGAAGTCTAAACTATTCAAAGAGATATAATCATAGAAGTGTCAGTACCCACTTCCTCCCTCTAATCTCTTCCCTCCAGTTCCCACCCTTGAGGGTGTTAGTGAGTCTCATTAGTTTCTAGATTATCCTTCATGTTTCTGTCTGCAAAATTAAGGCTATACCTATTTGTTCAACTATTTCCAATCTTTCTTATGCTAGTAGCATTTTATATATATTCTTGCACTTGAGTTTTTGCAGTTAACAATACCTCTTCCCAGCACTTTGGGAGGCCCAGGTGGGTGGATCACCTGAGGTCAGGAGTTCGAGACCAGCCTGGCCAACATGATGAAACCTCATCTCTACTAAAAATACAAAAATTAGCAGGGCGTGGTGGTGGGCACCTGTAATCTCAGCTACTCGGGAGGCTGAGGCAGGAGAATTGCTGGAACCTGGGAGGTGGATGTTGCAGTGAGCCGAGATCGCGCCATTGCGCTCCAGCCTAGGCCAACAACAGCGAGACTCTGTCCCCCTGCCAAAAAAAAAGTACCTCCTAGAAATCAGTCTCTGTTAGTTCATTAAAATGTAGTGATGGCTGGAAGTGTATGAGGGATCTATGAGACTTTTTCAGGATGGAGGTGTTACTATAGTTTGCATGCTGATGAAACTAATCTGATCCTATTGAAGAGGGAGAGGTGTCATCACGTTTCAGAAAGAAGCCTCGAAGTAGGCCTTCAAGAGGGGCTGAGACGCTGGACAGAAATGGAGGGTTTTGGTTTTGGTTAGTGAAAGGACACTTCACTTTGAGGAAAAGTGACATCTGATTTATTAGAGCCTTGAATTCTAATAGAAATCCTGTGGCAGAATAGTCCTTTTCATCAAATGGGCAGGTAAAATTTTACTGGTTGAGTTTCCAAGATAGAAATTTTTTATTTAATTGGAGTAAAAGGTGGGTGCAGGTTCTGGATGAGGATATAAGTGAAAGCACTTACAAGTTGGTATTCTTATTGAGGATCTAGTGCTCTAGAAGCTCTGACAGTAGTCATGTTATACCAAGAAGGTCATGCTCCTTAATCTCACTTGATCCTCTCCAGACATTACCTAGAAACTTTCTGTAATCATTAGAGCTAATTTTATATCTCCACCAATCAATTCCTTCCCTTGAGAACAGATGTGGACTGAAGCAGAACCAATTTGTAATCATTTCTAATATGTCATCTAGTTAGATAATGAGCTCTCACCTCCATCTAACAAAGCATTTTCACAAATTGACTTAAACTATAAGCCTGTTAGGATTGCCTGAATCCAGTCATTTTGAATTTTTCTGAAATTCCTGTAGTTTACTCTGTTTGCCAGCTTTATATATGGGTTGGTGGCCTAAAACTTCAGTTCTGGGCCCCATATCCATGCATGACTTTCTTGAAAGAAAGAGAATACTCTGCTGCAATCCAAGCTGGAGCCCTTCAATTGAGCTTGATTTGATTGCTTAGGGGAGTGGACCATGCTGGTTAGCTCAAACTAACCATAGTCCACTCCTGGATGTGGGGGTAGATTCATCTTCTTCCAAAGTATATGGACTGTGGGGAGTTGGGAGGGCACCAGAACAAAAGGCTGCCATCAGGAAATAGGAGGAGGTAAGTTGGAGAGGATGTTAAGGTAAATGGTTAGTATTCATACCTCTTAAGCATTTTTACTGTAACTCTTCATCAGATCTCAACTACAAAGAAAACACATGAATTTCATTAATTAATTCATGTATTTAATATTTTTTAGAGAGAGCCTGCCATGTGTCAGGTACTGTTGAGGATATAGCAGTAAATAACAGAGAAATAATCTCTGCTCTGTGGGCAGTGGGGAGGGACCATCCCATTTTGCCAAGAGGATGTGCGATAGTATTGTTGGATCTCATATGATGTTTATATGTGAACATTTACTTGATACAGCTTGTAAATGATGTGTTGAAGGCCCTTGTGTATACAAAGGTGATAAGAAGGAAATAGATGGCATAGAAATGAAAACAAGTCATTGGCTTGATCATTCTGACTGATGTTTATAAATCTAAAAATGAAAGTATATTGCAATTAGGGAGCAAAGAATATGGCTGTCCTCTTTAAATTAAGAGCCATCAGTGTTTTCAAAAACATTGCATTTCTACAGTGCAAGTCCAAGAAGAACCAGAAGTAGTGATAGTAATGATGATCTGCTAGAGATGTATTTGAAACCTAGATTCAGCTTTTATAAACCTGTGCAATCCAGGTTCATTTCTTTTTTCTTTCTTTTTTTTTTTTTCTTTTTCTGGAGACCGAGTCTGTGTGATGGAGGTTCATTTCTTTTTTTTTTTTGGAGACCGAGTCTTGCTCTGTCACCCAGGCTGGAGTGCAGTACAGTGGTGCAATCACGGCTCACTGCAACCTCCGCATCCCAGGTTCAAGTGATTCTCGTGCCTCAGCCTCCTGAGTAGCTAGGTTTACAGGTGTGCACCATCACGCCCAGCTTATTTTTGTGTTTTTAGTAGAGACAGGGTTTTGCCATGTTAGCCAGACTGGTCTCAAACTCGTGGCCTCAAGTGATTCACCCGCCTTGGCCTCCCAAAGTGTTGGGAGTAGGCATGAGCCACCATGCCTGGCCAATCCAGGTTTATTTCTGTCTGTTAACAATTTCGTTCAAATGATGTAGCCTTTTTCAGATGTGTTTGTGTATGTATGTGAGTATATATTTGTATATTTATAATATGTATGTGTTTGTATGTATGTGTGTGTATATACATATATATGCATATGCCAGGAAAATATAAAATAGCAACGTGGGTTTTTTATGTTTAAATTTTTACTAAAATTTCTAATAAAGTTGTTTTTTCACTATTATTTTTCTTTAAATTGTTTGTAAATTGACCTAAATATGAAATAAAGATCTAAGGAGTCCATTGGCCCCAGCTGATAGAGTGTTGGTTACTTTTCCTGGTCTACTGAGGGTTAATGTAATATACCTTTGTGGACATTCATCCACAGTGGTTGATGGCTAGGCATTCGTTTCAGGCACACATGGACTATTTATGAAAATTAGCCATCTGCTAGGCCATAAAACCTCCACAGATTTCAGAGGACAGCTATCATCAGACCACATTCTGTCACCACAGGCAGTTGTTAGAAGTCATTAACAAAAAACGTAATTAGAAAAAGTCCCCTACATTGGGAAATTTAAGATAACTTCTAAATAACTTACAGCTCAGCAAATGAATCTTAATGGAAATTAGAAAGCATTCAGAACTAAATGCTAACAAAAAATACTTTAAAAATTGTATAAGATAGCTAAGGTTGGACTTCAGGAAAGAAAAAAGGCTGAAAATGAATAAACTAAGCATGTACCTTAAGTGAAAAAATAACTGCAGAATAACCCAAATAGGGTAGATGAAAGGAAATGAAGTGAGCATAAACTAATGACATGGAAAACACATTAAGTAGTAAGGATAATAGAGCCTAGAGCTGCTTCTTTGAAAAGCCAAATAGTCAGACTTTTGGCAAGATTAATTGTGAGTGAGGGAAAAAATACACAATATTCAGATTGGAAAAGGGAGCCATAGATATAAATTCCACAGAGATTAAACTGGTAAGATAATGTTAAGAATGTGCAATAAAGTCAAGATTTTAGGTGGAATAGATAAATTACTAGAAAATAAAAATTAACCAAAACTGACTTAAGAAATAGAAAACTAGTAATACCAGAGCAATGTGGAAATTGAAGCATCAGTTAAAGATCTTTCCACACAGAAAGCACCGGGCCACAATGACTTCAGAAGAATGTTACATTTACACCTAAGCATTCATGGAGCAGATAATTCCAGTCTTTATATACTCTTTGAGAAAATAGAAAAAGAGAGTCTTTTCCAGCTCATTTTATGAAGCTAGGGTACCCCTGACAACCACCACGTAAGAGCAGCGGGAAAGAAAAACAGACTAGTTTCCTGGTCCTAGTTGGAGATATTCCAGGACTCAGGAGAATCCCCGCTTTATCCAGATTTGCTTGCAGGTTAAGATGTGGATTTAGCCACATGGAAATCATTGGTTATCTTGACCTGATTATTTGGCTTTATTGGAGAGAATAAAAGCCTGTTTGGAGTGGGATCAAGAGACCAGGGTGTTCGAATTGGCACCACATGTACAAAAATTGGAACGATTGAAATCATGACTTTAATCACTGCGTAATAACCCCCTACAATTTTGTGAAGCATTTCATCTTTTACTTCTGAGAAAAATGCAACTTAAAATTACCATTTCTCATTCACTAGATTGCCACAATTTAATAAGTGTATTAGGGTTCTCCAGATAAATAGTATCAATAGAAATATAAAAGATTTATTGTGAGGAATTGGCTCACGGGATTATGGAACTGAAATGTCCCACAGTCTACATCTGCAAGCTGGAGACCCAGGAAAGCTGGTGGTGTAATTCAGTCTGCGTCCAAAGGCCTGAGATTCATGGGAGCCAGTGTAAATCTAGTCCAAGGGCAGGGGAAGATGAGATGAGATGTCCCAACTCTAGCAGTGGGGCGGAAAATAGAGGCCAGTTCCTTCCTCCTTCACCTTTTGTTCTATTGAGGCCCTCAGGGAATTGGATGATGGCTACCCACATGGGAAGGGCTGCTTCTTTGCAGTTCACGAATTCAAATGCTAGTCATCCAGAAGGACCCTTACTGACGTACCAAGAAACTGTATTTTATCTGGGCACCCTGTGGCCCAGACAAGTAGACACATAAAGTGAGTCATCACAGCAAGTATGACAATGCCGTGTACTGGAGGCAGTGTGTGGATGTGCAGCCACTTTGCATTCCATATGACCTGGCAACTGACTTCTGACTGATGTGACTTAAAAACAGAGATCCCCTGGCTGGGGCTGGGATGTTTCTAGGCCTCAGGAGGTGCACACATCTGTCTAATACATAAAGGGTCTGTCTAATACATAACGTGTACCCTGTCATAAAACTCTTCAGGCTGAACTGGAGGTTCCAGTTCTCTTTCTCTTCATAGTTGCCTCTTCCACAATGGAAAGTTATTCCTGATCTTTGCTTTGTTGCTACAGGGAGGGGAAAAAAGCCTATGAATTGCCAAAAAAGAGGCCTTTAAAATATTAATGTTGAGAATTTCAGCTGAGATTCTTATTCTGGCAGTTTCTGGTTCTTTGCTTTCAACATAGTTTGAAGACAGTTTACTAGAATTGTTGGGAACTTGTTAGATGTTTCTTGATTACGATGTGATTTTTTCACCAGAGTGCTAAAGGAATGACATTGCTGTAGTAAACATCTTCCTTGTTTATGTGAAAAGGTTTTCTCAGCATGAGTAAAATTGATGGTAAATCCTGCCTCACTCTAGCAGTAAATAATACTCATTCATGAATATATGAAATAATGAGAGGAGGGAAGGTAGTCCCATCTATCTCATTGTGATGCATGTCTAATAAAAGTTTATATTTAGTATTTAATAGTTATCAAATTTGAAATATATTTTTGCTTTTGTCAGTTCTGTGCTAATAATACTTGTAATGAAAATTCAATCCAGAAGAAAACTTTTAAACTTGGCACTTTATAGGGAATTTAATAAAAATTAATTTAATTTGCATACACATTTTGTTGCAAAGAAATGTGACAGAATGACAAATAAAATATTTTAAAGCACAAATACCAGTTATATCAGGAAAAAAAAAATTGAAAGCAGAGCAAAAATACCAGTTAATGAAGAAAGGAGATAATGTAACATTTTTTATATTGAGAAATAAAAATGAAATGCTAAGCCAACTGACTTGGACAACTGTGACCTCCTTTTGGCCGAGGAAAATCTCAGCCATGACAGGATGGGAGGTCGGACATCTCTTGTAATACCCCCTCCCTGGAGAACTGCCATTAGGCTTTCTTTCCTGAAGGTTAAACAAACCAGCCCTTTGGAAAGACTTGCTCCACTGCTGATATCTACTGCCTGGTGCTGCCCCTGCCTTTTGTAGTTTTAACTGCTTACCAGCGTTCTTTCCTGATAAGAGAGCGAGAACCGCAGAGTGGTTCTGGGAGGTCTACGAAGGATGCACAGTGAGGGTTTTTGTGTCCTCTGCTTCACCTTTGACAGCAGAGGGCTGAAAACTCTGCCCTCGGGCCATGCTCACGCCCCCATTTTTTGTACATGACCCATGAAAGTGCATGAAGCTCAATTGTGCGCACGCATTTCTCCTTTTATAATATTCATGACTCTTAGAACTTGTTAAATATGTATATTCAGCCACCTCGTTCATCATAAATTCCACTTCCCTTTGCCTTTCCCTTGAAGTGTCTGTTTCTGGCTTCTGGCCAAAAGCTGTGCTCCCCAGCCTGTCAGTATGGCACAAGCCGCAACCATTTATGAGAAATAAAACTCTCCTTTCCAAGTTTATGAACCTCCTCATTCTTCAGTTTACACTTTTTAAGGATAGGTTTGTTTGTATGTTTTATTTATTTTTTTGAGACAGTCTTGCTCTGTTGCCCAGGCTGGAGTGCAGTGGTGCGATTTTGGCTCACTGCAACTTCCACCTCCTGGATTCAAGTGATTTTCCTGCCTCAGCCTCCCAAGTAGCCGAGATTACAGGCACCCGCCACCACTCCTGGCTAATTTTTGTGTTTTTAGTAGAGTCGGGGTGTCGCCATTTTGGCCAGGCTGGTCTTGAATTCCTGACCTCAAGTGATCTGCCTGCCTCAGCCTCCTACAGTGCTGTGATTCCAGGCGTGAGCCACCGCGCCCAGCTTGTTTTAAATGCGGTATGTTTTAATGCGGATGATTTTGAGAACCAAATCACTGATAGTGTAGGTTCCACTGGATTCATTGAAAATGGCATATGAGTTTTGTTTAAAAATGTGAGTGTTCATAGTACATTGAAATCTTTCAAACTACTTAAACTTAGATGAAAAATTTCAAATGTCAGCATAAAAATGTTCAAAGGAGCACATACTTCAAAATTCTTTTAGCAATAATAGGAACAAAAAGGTTGAAGATCACTGGCTTAAAGCATTAGATCTCAAGGGGACGTTAACACCCACTGTGGAGCCTTTTGGAATTTGAGGGACGTTTTTGGCTGTTGAAGAGCTTTATTGACATATGGTTAGTGGGGGCCAAGGAAGCTAGACATCATGCAGTGCATAACAGAGAATAGTGTGTTTTCCCATAACTTCTCTAAAGTTCATTGGAGTAGTTTACTGCAAATATAAGTATAGAAATTTAATACATACTAATCCTAAAGAATATTTAAAAGAAGGAATTTATTAAAACACTGAAATTTTAGGAGAGGGCCATTATAGTGGGTGGTGTTTAAAATATATGTTTTCTCAAAATTGTTAAATAATGTATCAATTCCATGCGTTGTCTACTTAGTGTATTATACATTTCCAACTATATATTTAAATGAAAAGAGTTTGCAGTAGATAATGCAAAAGCAATACAAGTTATTACTGGCAAGTTACATACAAATATGTAACAGGAGATATAAAGTTCATTTAAAATGTCTGAGAACCAGGTATTAAATTATTAGATACACTTGAAATACAAGGAACATATGAAATCTTATTGAATCTTATTATACTTTCTCTTAGAATAATCTCTCCTCAGATAAACCTCATTGGCTATGATACTGCCATTCACAAAGCTTATTATACATTCTCAAATAGAATGGTATTTATGACATCGAATATTGTGACATGGTCACCACCTTTAATACCCGTCTGTACTTTCTTCACCTTTTTCTCCAAAACATTTATCCCCTTCTATGTAGATTACTAATTTGTTATGTTTATTTTTTACTCTTTTTGTCTCCCTTGCTTGGAGACAGTATAGGAGGAGAGCATGGGAGGCAGGTCTTCTGAAGAGTTTGGCGTAAAAAGGAGGAAAAAATTGGCAGCTGGAGGGGGTAGGGCGTATGGAATCAGGAAACTTAAAAAAAATTTTAACTGAAGTATAATGTGGACATACAGAAAATTGCACAAATTAAAAGCACATAATTCTGTAAATTTCTACAAAATGAAGTCCCAGCACACCACAGTCGTCCCACATGTCCCTTCCTTATCATTACCCATCTCCCACCCAAAAGACATAGGCAATTATTATGACTTTTATCGCCAAATACTAATATTGCCTATTTTCAAACTTTATGTAGTTGGAATTTTGCAGGCTGATCTCTTCCATTGAACATATTTGCAGGATTCAGCCTGTACCATTCGTCTAGGAGTAGTGCAGTCCTGTTCCTTGTAGAAATATTTCATAATTTGTGTCTTCTACTGTTTGCTTGTTGTTTGAGGTGTTCCCAGCTTTTAGCTGTTTCTAATAGTGCTGCCCTGACTATGCTTGTACATGTCTTTTAGTACACATCATGCATTTTTTGTTGAGTGTGTATATTTGGAGTGGAATTGCTTTCCAAAATGATTGTACTGGTTTTACTCCTAGCAGTCTTAAGTCAGAGGTCTCATTGCTTTACACCTTCACCAATACTTTATGCGGTATCTTGACTGTTGTTGGCACTTTGCATTTTCATCTTATTAATTTTCAGAAAAATTGGGATTTTTATTGGAACAACATTTAATCTATTAATTTGGAGAGAATTTACATCTTTTAGTATGAACTATTCTAACACATGAATGTAATGTGTTCTTTTATTTGGGGCTTCTTTATTTCAGTAAGATTTTTCAGTTTTTGTGTCAAGGTCTTATGTTCCTTTTGTTAGATTTATTCTTTCACTCCTTGATTTTTGGATGTTTTGAAAGTGATATCTTTTCGAGATTTCACATTCAAATTTCTTTTGCTAGTATATAGAAATACAGTTGATTTTTGTATATTGAGCTTATATCCAGCAACCTTACTAAATTTACTTATTTTCATGGTTTGAAAATTCTTTAGGCTATTCTTCATATACAGTTATCTGCTAATAATGACTGTTTTATTATACCTTTCAATCCTTGTAAGTTTTATTTTGGTCTTATCACACTCGCTAGTACATCTGTTACAGTGTTTAAAAGTGTTAGGGAACACCCTTGTCTCTTTTCTTGGTCCCTGGGAGGAAGCTTTTAGTAATTGACTGTTAAAGATTATGTTAGCTATAGGTACTTTACAGTTACTTTTTATTATAAAGATTCCCTTTTCTTCCTAATTTGCTAAGATAATTTAATCAGGAATGAGTGTTGATTTTTAGATATTACCAGAAAAGCACAACTGATAAAAATTTATAATTTTGATTAATTTTAATCAAAATTAAAATTTGTGCTTCAAAAATCACCAAGAAAGTGAAAGGCAAGACACAAAAATGAAGAAAATATTTGTAAATCATATATTTTAGAAAGGGCTTGTATCTAAGTTATAACTTACAACTCAATAAGGAGAAAACAAATTACCTGATTTTAAAAAAATGAGCAAGATTTGAATGGACATTTCACTAGAGCAGCTGTTTGAATGGCCAGTAAGCACATGAAAAGTGTTTAACCTCATTAGTCATTAGGGAAATGCAAATTAAAATCCTTATAGGTACCACTTCACACTCACTAGAATGGGTATAATAAAAAAGACAGACAATTGTTGGTGACTAGGAAAACAGAGACCCTCATGCATTGCTGGTAGGAATGTGAAATGGTGCAGCCAACCTAGGCAAACAGCTTGGCAGGGTTTTTGTTTTTTTTTTTTCTTTTCTCCAAGTTAAACAAAAATTTACAGTATGACCTAGCAATTCTACTTTGTCTTTATCCAAGACAAATGAAAACATTTGTCCACCAAAAACTTGTAAGTGAATGTCCATATCAGCATTAGTCATAGTAGCCAAAAAGTAGGAATGATATGAATATCTGTCATCCGATGAAGGGATAAGCAAAACGTTTATATGTTCATACAGTGGAATACTTCATGCTTATAACATGCATGAACCTGAAAAGCAAGCCATATGAAAGAAAACAGACAAAAAAAGACCACATATTGTATGAATTTATTTATAGGAAATGTCCAGAAAAGACCAATTCTTAGGAACATAGATTAGTGATTACATGGTGCTGGGATGGAAACAGGGAGCAACTGCATATGGGCATGAGAGATCTTTTTGTGATAATGGAGGTGTTCTAAGATCAGATTGAGGTGATGGTTGTACAACTCTGTAAATTTAGTAAAAATCCTTGAATTCTATACTTAAAGTGGCTGAACTCTATTTTATGTAAATTATTCTTCAGTGAAGATGTTAAGGAATGAATATTGAATTTTATCAAATACTTTTTCTGTAACTAATGAAAATGTATACGATTTTCACCTTTATTTCATTAATTTGGTGAGTCCCTTTAGTGGGCTCTCTTGTTGGTAGTTCCTTTTTCTCCGAGATCTTGGCCTCAAAGTTCTGGCTGAGCCTGTAGTCTTCACTGCCAGTGTTTGTCTCCCCACTTCCAGGAGATTACAGAGATTTCTGAGCTGCTGCTTCGTGCTACGGCTTTTATACCCTCTTTACCCGACCAGTTTATAACTCAGTGTATGTTTTGGGAGGAAAGCAGAGGCTTACCATAGTTTCCCTTCTCTGGCTTTCCAGCCTCTTACATCCTGGCTGCCTTAGTTGCTCAAGCAGCTGTCTTACATATTTTCTGCAGTATTTCATGGAGGAATTGGTCTGATGATGACCTATTCCATCATAGCTAACAGTGGAAGTCTATGTGAGTTTTTTTTAAGATGTCAGTATTACAGCATTGCTATATGCTGATGGGAACGAACCTCTAAGGAGGGGTAGTATTGATGCCAGCCAAGGAGAGCGCGTAAGTGCTGGAGTGAGTGATGTCCCCAAGGAGATTAGAAGGGGTTGAATCCAGTGCACAAGGGGATGGATTGGCCTCCCTCATGATGTTACAGGATTCCTTCAGTGCCACTTTGCCAGCCAGAAATCTTTGCTGCCCCTGCCACCTCTGTCTGGGCCTTGCTTGGGCCCCCTGGCCTTACTCCACCCTCTTGGCCTGGCAGGTTGTGCTTGGTTCGCGCCCACTTGAATCCCGTGCCTGCTGCACCTCCACACTCAGCTTGAGGCTGGACTGGGCATGCCATGAATGACTTCCATGTCAGGCACCGGTGTCTAGACAAGGGGAATGTGGTGTCACCCAAAAACTCAGAGATAAAACCAGCATTCATGGAGCCCCAAGCAGTGTTACAACTCTTGCTCGGGGAGTCCTGAGGTCTGGGACCCCAGAAATGTTGCAGCTCTTCACTCCCATAGCTTGGCTAGCGGGAGCATGTTACAGCTCTTTTATTCCCGTTGCACGCAGCTTGGCGAGCCGGCCAGGGGCATCACAGCCCTTTCATTCCTGTCGCCTGCAGCTCAGCGAGTTCCAGGTCCTTGTCCCGCGACCAAGAGGAATGAGGTGCGTGGACACCAGAGAGTGAGTAAGGCAGAGAAGAATTTTATTGAGTGACATAAGGAAAGCTCTCAGCTGTGAGAGGGGACCCAAAGTGGGTAGCCACCTGAGAGGGTGAGTCTGGGGTTTTTATGGGTTAGAATGGAGGTGTGTGTGCTGATTCATCCCTGGGTGGGCTTGGAAAAATCACTGTTTGATTGGTTAAAAGGCATCATCCAGAAGGAACCAATCAAGAGAGTGAGGGTAATATGGGGATAGAAGTTCTCTCTCTGTTTATGGACTCTCTCAAACCAGCAGCTCGGTTTTTAGACTTTAAACTGTCAGTGGCTTGAAGGTTGGGTTTCACTGGGGACACATCCCTGTCTGCTGGGGAATTTGTCTGTCTTCTGTCACTCTCAATGAGTTAGTTCATTCATGGTAACAGGAGGCAGGGCGGAGTATATAGGTTCAAGTCCTGGATGGATAGCTTTGGTGGTAAGTACTGGTAGAATGTCTTTTCTGGCTTTTCGTAGGATTGATAGGAGGTTTTAAGATTCGTGGAGAGGGAAGTTGTGAAGTGGTCTATATGTGAGTAGGAGAGTGAATGAACTCAGGAAATACAGTAGGATTGCTGGGCAGCAGAATGGCCCACTTGAGATGAGTGGTCATAAATGTAAAATATTTAAATTTATGAAGTAATGGAACTGAGAAATACTGGGCCTCAAAGAACAGTTTGGCACCAAGTTAAGCCAGTTATTTGTTTTTGGTTCTGCCAACATTTTTCTTTGTTACATATTAATTCTTCATGGAAAAATTAATTACAAAGACATGTATCAGGCATTCCAAAACATTTAAAGACTTGCATATTTAGCACCCACCACCCAACCTAAGCAATACAATATTACAAATAAAATTGAAGTCCTCTGTGTACCCATTGCCAGTCATACTCCAGCCCCCATAACCACCAATTGAATTTATCATTTCTGTGTGTTTTATATCCCTGAATAGCATTATTGTTTTTAAAATTTGTGTTCATTATCCTGTGTATCTTTCTGTAATTAATACTTTTTCAATAATATTATTCATTGGATTTATCTGTATTTACTCTTAATTCTTTCACCTTCATGCTTATACAGGTAACATTCTATTTATAATTATGTCCTTGTTTTATTAATTCTCCTATGGATGGATATTTAGGTTATATCCATTTTTTTGCTAGTCTTTGTATGCTCCCTTGAATTTTATTGTACATATTTTCTTGGGTATTTGAGAGATTTTCTAGGGTATACATATCTAAGATCTGATGGATGCTGGGATATGTGCTTTGTCAACTGAGGTTCTCACTCCCCTGGAAGTGTGTGAGATCAGAATGCCCCTGCCCTAGCCCTTACTTATATTATGTATCAGCATGATTGATTTGTAATAGACTAATAAGGGTAAATAGCTGAGTGTATGCCTTCTATACTGTAATTTTACTTTGTTGTTCGTCTGTTTGTTTAATTGGGGACCCATCTTTTTTCAGATTGTTAATTTTGCTAAAGATCTTCTTTGTTCTCAGAGTTAATTATCCCTTAAGGAATTCCATGTGTTTATTTTTCTCTGTTCCAAAGTTACGATTCTGTGCTAAAGTCATAATTATGAAATCATCAGTTTGTTCATACTTTAAATCTATGCTTCTCCCTTGTGGTTGACAGTCCCCAAGGCAGGCATCCATGAAGTCAAAAGGACTGACCAAAGTGTAATCTGCCCTTTTTACTGGGTTGGCATTTGTGCTAATACACTGCAAAAGCAGTGGTGGATAAACTGACAGCACCTTGCAAAGCAGCAAGGTGGTGTCACCAATTTGTCATTATTTATGTTAACATTAATGGGTTCATTTGTATTTTTAAATGAATAAACATTTAAACAATTTCTTAGTTTTGATTTCTAATAGAGTAACTATAGATCAGTAGATGCCAACTATAGTGTCTTCCTTTAAGAGCGTGAAGGGGCCTGAGACTGGAAAGCTGGAGAAGCACCGCTTTAAGCACATGGTAGACGTATGAATAGACAAATACTTTATTCTTGTTGAACATGGTCATTGGGAAGGAAAACTGAGGTAATGTCATTCTATTAAAAGATGAATTAGGCTGATCTTGAAGTTGTATACTAATCTTAAGTAAATTTTCAATTCTTTGCCTTAAAATTTTGTTTACAACTAGATTATATTTGTAAATAAAATACTTTGCAGGTGCTGACCTTAAGGAAAGAGCCAAAATGAGTTCCAGTGAAGTTGGTCCTTTTGTCTCCAAAATAAGAGCAGTGATTAACGATATTGGTAAGCACTATTAAGTTCTTCTTTCAGCATGCCGAAGGGGTTCTTAAATGTCACATTTAAAAAGTTACACATTATATATAAGCATTGGTTAAATATTTATATAATTAGATAATCATGACCTATAGCTGTTTAACGTGACACTTAATATATTTAATTTGAAAAATTATGTAAAATATTTAATAATTACAGATGTCTTATGTATGATAAAATATGAAGGTATTTATTTATTAGACAACAATAATAATTTGCCATAAGCCTTTGACTTACAATATCTATATTTAACTATATACATGCAAACATACGTTTGGGATTCCTTTGTTTTTTAAATATACAGGATCATACTTTTTTAAGACTTACAGTAACTATCAATTTATTTTATTTTTAATTTACTGCTGTATATTAATCCAGTCTTATCCAAAATTTTATATTATTTCTTCATTAATGAACATTTTTTTCCTCTGTTTATGTTATTTATAATAAGGTAGTGAATACCCTTGTACATAAGCATAGATTCTTAAACAGGGAATCGCTGTTCCAGTTATCATTTGTTCATTTTATATTTTAGTATTAATAAATTCTACAAAATTATATTCCCATCGGTTAAAGACAGTATATGTTTCCTCACATTCCTGCCAGCATATAATGTTGCTATTTTTGAAGTTTGCCTAGGTTAAAAAAAAAAAAACTCAACATTTTAATTTGTATTGCCCCAAATGCTTATGTGATGTTTTATCTTTTCAAATGAGATTTGGCTTTCTTTTTTTTTTTTTATTTGGTTTTAGTTTTTTTTTTTTTTTAATTTTTGATTTTTTCTAGAGACAGGGTCTCACTTTATCACCCAGGCTGGAATGCAGTGGCATGATAATAGCTCACTGTAACCTCCAACTCCTGGGCTCAAGAGATCCTCCTGCCTCAGCCTCCTAAGTGGTTAGGACTACAGGTGTGAACCATCAGGCCTGGCTGATTTTTAATTTTCTTGTAGAGATGGGGGTCTCACTGTGATGCCCTGGCTGATCTTGAACTCCTGCCTCAAGCGATCCTCCTCCCTCGTCTTCCCACAGTGTTGGGATTACATGCATGAGCCACATTACTCAGCCTTTTCTTCATTTGTAAATTGCCTTTCACATCTTCATCCTCCTTTTATAGGATTATTTAATAACTACTTGTTTATTTAAAAGGCATTTTTATATTCTTTGTGTTTAAATGTGTTATAGATATTGTCCTCTAATGTGCTTAATTTGATTCCAGTATCTTTAAATTTAAAACTTTTAATATCTAGATGATGCTAGGTTCTCTTTATTATTCTTTTTCCTTGAAGGTTTTCTCTGTTGATTCTCGCACATCAGTTTTTCCAAATGAATTTAGAATTATTTTTTTAAGGCAAAGAGGAAAAATTTCTGTATTGCAACTGTGATTGGAATTTTATAAATTTTGTTAAGAAAATTTTGACATTTTTATGATAGTAAATCTTTCTATCCATAGTGTGCATGGCTCGTATTTTCTGGGGTCATTCATTTTTTTAATGTCTTTCAAGGAAGTTTTATACTTTTCTTGGTCTTATATCTTTTTTTCCCCCTCAAATATATTCCTAGCTATTTTATAGCATTTATTCCTTTGAATGAGACCCTCCCCTTGTTTTCGTTGTAGTCTTGTTATTATAGTCTGTAGGAAAGTTATTAAGTTTTTTTTTTTTTTTGAGCCGGAGTCTCGCTCTATCACCAGGCTGGAGTGCAGTGGCACGATCTCAGCTCACTGCAACCTCCGCATCCCAGGTTCAAGCAATTCTCCTGCCTCAGCCTCTCAAGTAGCTGAGACTACAGGCACGTATGACCATGCCCAGCTAATTTTTGTATTTTTAGTAGAGATGGGGTTTCACCATGTTGGCCAGGATGGTCTTGATCTCTTGACCTCGTGATCCACCTGCCTTAGCCTCCCAAAGTGCTGGGATTACAGGTGGGAGCCACCACACCTGGCCAAAAGTTAATAACTTTTATGTGCTTATTTTATATCATGTCAGCTGGATAATTACTTGTGTTAATTCTTCTTTAATTTTCTTGTGTTTTCAGTTGAAAAGTACAATATAGGTAATTACCTATAAGTAATGCAGTTTTTATCTCCTCCCCCAACATTTTAACCTTACATATTCATATTTTTTCATATTGGTTCAGGCCCTCATAGAGTATTCATTTGTTAAGGTGAGCGTGATCATCCTTATCTTTCTTTGACTTTGGTGGGTGCCTTTAATATTTTGCCAGTAATTATGATATTCAGGCAGTTCTCTTCTATTTCAACTTGTTAGGAGATTATTTCTGTTTTTAATCAAGAATAAGTATTAAAGTTTGTCAAATGCTTTTAAAATATGCATCGGGATTATAATTGATGTATGTTAGCGTTTGCCTTATTTAGCCTTTATTATACTGAGTTGTGTTAATAGATTTACTAATGCTGCGGTGGCCATACATTACTAGAATAAGCTCTGTCTGGTCATTGTGGTTAGGGGTGGTGTTGGTTTTTAAAATATATTGCTGGATTCAATAAAATGCTTTTGGTAGAATCATAAAGGAGATTGAGCTTTTAATTTTGTTTTGTGTTATTCTTTTTTGGTTTGGTGTGAAGGTTATTTGTCTTCATAGAATGAGGTGAAAAGCTTTCCATGTTTTTCTATGCTATATACAGAACAAATCATTTTACTTGAAAGAATTGTAGAATTTGACCATTTGACACCTTTTTGCATCTTCTGTGGTTTTGTTACTGTTTTCTCACTTTCTTAGAATTAAAATTTAAAAAATACGTGTTTTGATTTCTATAATGTCTTTGGCTTAGCTGTCTATTCTGCCTCTTCTCATTCTGTGCTGGTATTGTTTTAGGCCCTGCTTCTCTCCCCAGCTTCAGCCTCATGTTTATGTACCTTCTGACACAGAGCATGAACTTTGTTTAGAAGTTGGTCAGAGAGCTTGATTTTAGAAGTAAAAGTTGATGCTACCTGTAAGTTTATATATATGCAAGGGGGTGGCTAAGATTGGTTTCATTGTTCAAATTACCTTGATGTTTGTTCCAGAGTGTCTTTCTGTTCTGTGGATTCTGAAATTGGGATTTTTCTGGAACTCTTTCTGTCTTTGCAATGTCATTTTCTTTTTTGTGATTGTAGCTATAGCTTTTCTTTTCTGGGCTAGTTCTTATCTCCATTTTTTCTTGGGAGTTCCTCCATATTTATTAATGATACTTTTTATTATAACATTACAGTAGACTTACTGTGATGATTCCAGACATTTTGAAGGACATATGGAAACTAAGTATCTTAATAGTATCTTAATAGAATCCACTCATTTAATATGTTAAAAATCACAGGCAGGCAGGCTTTATCTTGAAGGGTCATATAGTAAATATTGTAGGTTTTATGGTGCCATATGGTCTCTGTTGCAGCTATACAACTCTGACTTTATAGTATGAAAGCAACCATAGATGATGTATCAACAAATGTGTGTGGCTCTGTTCCAATACAGCTTTATTTATGCATACCCAAATTTGAATTTCATTTGATTTTTATGCATTTTGAAACAATTTTTTATTTTGATTTTTTTCCCCAGGCATTTAAAAATGTAAAAACCATTCTTAGCTCACAGGTTTGTACTAAAACAGGCAGTGGGTCTGATTTTTCTTTGAATGTCATTTGTCTCCTATCTTCATTTTTCCTGTTGTTTGGAGTTAATTCCTCTATATTTATTCAAGAAATCTCACTTCAGTTCTAATTTGAACAACTTGATGCATGCTTGGCTTATACCTTTGTCATTGGGTTTTGCTTTTTGGAGTCATAAAGCTTTTAATTTTAAGGTCTTCGCTTTGATAGGGAGTTTAAAATATTGCATCTGGGGGTTTTGTATTCTTGATAAAATTCAAAGAAAACAAAACAAAACAGTTCAAGAAAAAACAAAACAAAAACCAAAGATAAGTTCATCCAATCTTAAAAAAATGTAAAGAGAAAAAATAGCATAAACTTAGAACATCTTGAATAGTAAGATGTTGAAATAAGTCAAGTACTCACTATTAATGTTAGTTGATTAAACTTGCGGTTTAAAGACATAGATGTTCAGATTTGACTAAATAATTGACATCAGCTGAATATTGTTAAAAATAGCCACATCTGGGATACCTCTTTTTGTACCTGAAGATTACTAGCCAAAAAAAGATATATCAGTATTGATATTGGTCAAAATACATTTCAAAATAAAAAGCATTACTAGAGAGAGAGTTGCTGCATGTGATAAAAGATTCAATTTTTCAAGAAACATACCCTTAAACTTGTATGCACTTAAAAACAAAAGTCTCAAGATACACACATAAAATGATATGGATAAATTGGTAATTTGTCATCACTGACAAAATTATCAACCCATCTCCCTCAATTTACCATGAGGTCAAAAAGACAAAAGTTAATAAAAATTTTTTAGTGATTTGAACAACATAATTATCAAGTTTGGTTTAATAGACTCAACCCCAACTTATGTATTCTCATGAACACAAGAAATGTTTAAAGATATGGGTCACGTGCAGGACCCTAAGGTCTCTGTTAAATTTCAGAAAATTGGTGTATAGAGACCATATTTTCTGTCCACGGTGGAATTAAGTTATGTTAAAAGAAAAACTTCAGCCAAATTAAGTTTAAAGGAGTTTAATAGACCAGTGAACGATTTATGAATCGGGCAGTCCCCAGAATCACAGTACATTCAGAGAGACTCCAGGGATGCCTTGTGGTCAGAACAAATTTATAGACAAAAAAGAAGGAAGTGACATACAGAAATCAGAAGCGAGGTGCAGAAACAGCTGGATTGGTTACAGCTCAGCGTTTGTCTTATTTTAACACAGTTTGAACACTGGGCAGTGTATGAGTGGTTGAAGTATGGCTGCTGGGATTGGCCAAGCCTCAGGTACTGTCACAGGGCATACTCCTAAGTTAGGTTTTCTGTCTTTTCTACCTATTAAGTTAGGTTGCAGTTCATCCACAAGTATAGAAGTACAGAGTCTTTCTAAGGCCGTATTTAGTTTGCTTTAACAGTTAGAAACAAGATATGCATACGTACAGATTCTAAAACCGTATATTTGTAAACTGAGAATACTGAACAGCTCATGGGTCAAAGAAGAAACTATAATGGAAAAGAATACTAAAACTGAATGATTATACAATTACCATATGTCCAAATATATGAGATTTGATTAAAGTGGTACTGTTAGCTGTGATGTATCCATGTCATGCAGCACAAGTATGTTAGCATCAGTGAATCTGTACAGGTCTGTAGCAATCTCAGTTCTTGCCTCCTCAGAAGAAAGAATTCGACCCAGGGGCATAAGGCTGGAGGAGACACTGGGGCAAGTTTTAGAGCAGGAGTGAAAGTTTGTTAAAGAGCTCTAGAGCAGGAAGGAGAGGAACTTGCACAAGGATCAAGTAGACGACTTGAGAGATCAGGCGCACCGTTTGACCTTTTGAATTGGGGTTTTATATGTTGGCATTCTTCTGGGGTCTTCTGTTGCTTCTCCTGTGATTCTTCCCTTGGGGTGGGCTGTCTGCATGCGCAGTGGCCTGCCAGCCCTTGGGAGGGGCTGCACGTGCAGTGTGTTTACTAAGTTGCAGGCCTGCCTACTTGAGGCACCTTCCCACTTTGCAGCCCCGTGTTCCTAGAGGGACGTCATCCGCCATTTTGCCTCAGTGCTCATGCTCAACTGCACTTGCCCAGCTCCTGAGATCTTATCAGGAAGCTGCTGATCACCAGTTTCAGGTATTTCTATCTGGAAATACCTGATATTTCGAGGAGACTGCCTTTCTCTGGTGTTGGCTGTGACCAATTATTATTTTAGAGAGACAGTTAACAGCCGCCTGACAATTACATGGTCACCTGACATTCCTGGTGTGTGTATTTTGTGGGGAGCCCTTTCCAACTCTGCTCGTGTCTGATTAGCTACCTACTGTAACAGTACTTGAGGGGAATTTACAACATTAAATCCATAAGTTAGCAAGGAGATGTCATTGATGATAAATAGCTAAGCATTACCTTAAAAAGATTTTTAAAAGTTTTAAGTTCAAAGAATGTTGAACTAAAGCAACAATACAAGGAACAGAAATGAGTAAAATGGAAGACAGAGATGCAGTGCCTAGGGTCAACACAAGGCCGTGCTCTTTACAGTGGAGTAAAAAGTGTTTTAACAATACGTATTACAAATGAAAAAAAGGTGTGATTATAGATACAGGAGAGATTATAAAGATAATAAGAAAATACTGGGAAAAAACTTTATGCCAATAAATATGAAACTTCTGTCTCAAGAAGAAATCATGGGCTGGAATAGTCATGTAACCAAAAGAGGGTCCAACTTCTCGCCGCTTGTAGAAAGAAGCCAAAATAACAAGAGTGAGGTATGATAAAGAGTGTGAATTTTATTAATTGTTGCCAGCAAGGGGGAAAGTGGACAGAATCCTTTCCCAAAACTGCCACTTTCCAATTTCTGGAGAGTGCAGGGGTTTAAGAAGAGGGATTTGGAATGCAGGAGAGGCAAGGGGGCTGGGAGGTGCCCAATGGCATGACTTGCTCCTATGGCTTATCCTGAATTATTGTTCCATCTGGTGAAGGGGCCAGCACCATCTTGGGCCCAACCATGCCAAATCAGTCGCAGTCAGTCTTGCTGTCAGTCTCTAGCCGGGAGTAACTCTGGCCTTGAAGTAATATCCTGCTCGGGAGAGAATTCTGGAGGTGCCTGGTTTGCATCAGGATTTGGCCCCTGAAGCTTCTAAGGAAACATAGGACCAGATAAGTGAGCATGGTGTGAGCTTAACAAACATCCAGGTAAATACATGTGCATCAGGCATGAAAGCATAAGGTGGGAAAGGGAGGGGAGTGGAGTTTTAAAGCACATTCCAAGGCTGTATTTAGAGACAAAAGAAAACACATCTGTAGTTTGTCTCAAAGCTGTGTCTTGAGACTGGGATGAAAAGAGGAAAGGAAAAAAAATTTCTAAAAGCAGTTTGAAGCTAAGCTGCTTGGTTACAGTCATATAATCACTGAAGTGATCAACCAATTCTTATAGTAAACTTTTTCACAGAGAAAGCACCAGACCCAGTTTTTTGATGATAGAGATTTACTTTTAAGATGTTTTACCCAATGCATAAGGAACAGATTCTTACAATCTTATACAGACAGTTCCACAGGATAGTAAAGTGAGAGTTTACTCCTAACTCATTATTTCAGACTAGTGTAATCTTTATACCTAAATCCGAGAGAAACAATGGAAGAAAGGAATAGGAGGAGACAGCCTCACTTGTGAGCATACATGAAATCCAGCAGATTGTAACAAAAGACCAAATTGGGCTTTCCCAGGAAGGCAATGGTGGTTTCCACTGGAAAATATTAAATTTTAACTCATGATGTTAGCCAATGAAAATAAAGTCATATGTGTATCTCAGTAGATTGAGGAAAAAGCATTTGAGAAATATCAACATGTATTCATGGAAAATGTTCTCAGCAAACTAGGAATAGAAGGAAACTTCCTTAGCCTGACGAAAGGTATCTCTTTCTTAACAATAAAATATTAGAAGTCATCTCCTAAAATCAGGAACAAGGCAAGAGGACCCACTGTCACCACCTCTGTTCTATATTATTCTGTAAATCCTGGTTTCTGTAGTAGGCAGGAAACAACAATAAATAAGGACCGAAAAAGAAATAACAGAGTCCTTCTCATGTGGTATGGCTGTCTCCATCAAAAAGCTAAAAGAAACAATAAATTATTAGAAATAAGAGTGTTGCAAGATGGCTGGAAATGAGATCCATATTCAGAATAATCAATTGCCTTTCTTTATACCAACAACAGACAAAAGATGTCAAGTAAGGATACCCTGGAAAGTAGGAACAAAAATGAGTCTAGGACTACATGTAGCATATTTGGAGAAATTATAAAACTTTATTGTAACATGTTTAAAAAAATAAATGGAGACAAATTATCCTCTTGAATAGGAAGATTGAGTATTAAAAAGATGATTCTCACAAATGGTGTAATTCAGTGTAATTACACCTAGACTCTCAGTATTGATTTTGTGAGGGACTTGATGAGCAAAAAGAGACCCCCAAATAGCCAAACACTCATAAAGAAGAAAATGAAGCGTCTTGCCATTTCAGCACTCAAGATTTATTATAATGACATAGAAATGAAGACGGTGTATTATTCGCTTTCGGATAGATAAGTATACCATTGGGTTGAAATATAGAACCCCCAAAAGACCACCCAAGTGGGGAAGTTGATATGTGACAGAGGTGGCATTGCAGATCGCTGGGGAATGGCAAAGACTTAATATGTTTAGAAGTGGAAACTAAAACTTCAATGATCTTAACAGAGAGAAGAGTTTCTTAAAACATAAAATATGACACATAAAAGAAAACAGTGATCAATTTTACCAAATTAAACTTAAGAACATCAATTCATGAAAACATACTATAAATAAAGTAGAAAGAAAAGACACAGACTGGGAGACAATATTTGAAACACATAGTGGCCAAAGATTCTTGTATGCATTGATAAGTACATACAGGAATCAATACATGCATACATATGTACAGCCTTGAAGTCAGCAAGAGGACATGACAGAAAAACATTTCACACAGAGGTAGAGGAGTGAGGGTAGACATAGGAAAAGATGGTCAGCCACAGTAGTAGTCATAGACCTGCAATTAAGACCACAGTGGGATGCCATTTTACATCCACCAGATTAGCCAAAAATTCTTAAGCCAGGTCTTACTAAGAGTTAGTGAGTTAAGTGGATTACCAGGCAGGAAGATTTATACTTCTAATGGGAGCTGAACTGGTGTAACTGCTTAGGAAAAGTATTTGATATTGTCTTTCAAATTTGAATATCCACATTCCATAAGACTCGGTAGTTCACTTTTTAAGGGGTATTTACATAGAGGGATAACTTAAAGACTGTTTTTATTGGACCTGTAGTAAGAAATATATCTACACTCTGGCCCAGTAAACACATAGGGGTGGGAGAGTATCAAAGGTTATGGTTCTTCTGTCTGTACACTCTAGTTTGATACTACCCTGTGTCATTAAAAAAAATTCCTCATCTTGACTAGCTCATGAATGGGTTGCTACTTGGATTTGAAACCACATTGTTCTGCAGACATTTTGCACATGTGTCCTAGGGACACTTAACATTGTTAATAGCAAAAAGCTGAAAAACAACCAAATTTCTATGACAGGAGAATGGAAAAATATTTTGGTATATTTATACAATTGGATAGTAGAGAGCAGTGTACATAAATGAATAATACACACATGTACCAATATGGATAAATCTTTGAAACACAATGTTGATTTGAAAGTATGACTTATTTTTTATAAAACTAATAGCATTCAAAGCTAAACAGTTTGTGTTTAGGGATGTGTAAGTGTGTAATAAAATCAACATATACACACACACACAGACTTTACAAGGATGGTTATCTTTGGTTTGGAATTCAGGTGGAAGGATAGTTGAAGAGCTCGGTGGCAGACAGGTGTTAGTTCTGACCTAGATCTAGCTTTGAGTGGTGATTGTGTTGGAGTTTATTATGATTATGCTTTATTACATGTATATGAATATATTCTTTATATGTGCCAAATAAGACCAATTTTTAGAAGATTCATCTATCTTGAAACTTGTGGACATTTCTTATTTACTGTATTTTTTTTTCTTTCTTACTGTCAACTGAAGAATGACAAGGTTCATAACTTTAGAAAGGAGAGCTTTATGTCTCATAAAGGGTTACAGCCTGCAAGGTGGCTATTCCCACACTCTGGGAAGCACAGCCTCTGGCCAGAATCCAGAAACTGCCACTTGGAAGGTGGGGTAAAGGGAACAGGAATGTATGCTGAGCAGGGTGGCCAGGTATACATAGTCAATAAGCTGCAGGAGGAGTCATGAATATTTATGAAAGGAGAAACAGGCACATGCGCATTTGAGCTTCAGGCCTTTCCGTGGGACCCATGTGTAACAAATGGCAGCCAGAGCAGGATCTGAGGGTGGAGTCTTGGGACCTCTGCTGTCAAAAGATGAAACAGAGGGCTGGGCGCGGTGGCTCATGCCTGTAATCCCACCACTTTTCGAGGCCAAGGCGGGCAGATCACCTGAGGTCAGGAGTTCGAGACCAGCCTGGCCAACGTGGTGAAACCCTGTCTCTACTAAAAAAATACAAAAATTAGCTGGACGTGGTGGCGCACGCCTGTAATCCTAGCCTGTAGTGCCAGCTATTAGGGAGGCTGAGGCACGAGAATCGTTTGAACCTGGGAGGCGGAAGTTGCAGTGAGCCGAGATCATGCCACTGCACTCCAGTCTGGGTGACAGAGTGAGACTCCGTCTCAAAAAAGAAGAAGCAGATGACACGAAAAACTCTCATTGCGCCTCCTCTGTAGATGGGCCAGAACCACCCTGTGGTTGGTAGTCTCTTTATCAGGAAGAAATGCTGGTTGGTTGTTTTGACAGAACGGCAGAAGGGCGGGGCAGCATTCAGGCTGTTGGTTGAAATCAGCAGTGGCATCTTTCAAGGGCTGGTTTCTCTTTAGCCCGTTAGAAGAAAGCCTAATGGCGGCTATTGAGGGAGATGGTCTGACCTCCCATCACATCATAGCTACGAATTCAGCCTCTGAGGTTTCTCTGTGGTCCCCTTGGCCAAAAGAAGGTCAGTTCAGTTGGTTGAGGGGCTTAGAATTTTTTTTTTTATTTCTCATTATTTTCAAGGGAAGCCAAGATTTTACATGTCTAGAAAAATAGCTCTTGGGCTTTTGGTTTTAAGGTGTTTTTTTTTTTTTTTTCCTTCTTTGAGAGAGGGTCTCCCTGTGTCGCCCAGGCTGGAGTGCAGTGGTGCGATCTCAGCTGTCTGTAGCCTCGACCTCCGGGGCTCAAGTGATCCTCCCACCTCAGCCTCCCGAGTAGCAGGGATGGGCTCTACCATGCCCGGCTAAGTTTTGTGTTGTTTCGTCATGTTTCCCAGACTGGTTTCGAACTCCTTGACTCAAGTGATCCTCCCGCCTTGGCCTCCTGAAGTGCTGGGATTACAGGCATGAGCCACTGTTCCTGGCCCCCTACTTTTAAGGTTTTTGACATTAAAACTTTTCTTGAAACTTTTTCTCTTTGATGGGAGAGAAAAATCCTTTTGCATGTCTAACAAAATGCGTTTATGGGCAGGCACAGTGGCTCATGCCTGCAGTCCTAACACTTTGGGAGCCTGAGGCGGGCAGATCACCTGAGGTCAGAAGTTTGAGACCAGCCTTGCCAACATGGTGAACCCCCATCTCTACTCGAAGTACAGAAATTAGCCAGGCGTGGTGGCACGTGCCTGTAATCCCAGCTACTCAGGAGGCTGAGGCACGAGCATCACTTGAACTTAGGAGGCGGAGGTTGCAATGAGCCGAGATCGTGCCATTTGCACTCCAGCCTGGGCGACAAGAGTGAAACTCGGTCTCAAAAAAAAAAAAAAAAGAGCGTTTATGGACCAGATACTGCACAGAGGCCTCCATCTTTCTTTCTGGCTCTCTTTTCACTAGTTCTTCTCATAAAGTTTGTTCATTTTCTTTTTTTTTTTTTTTTTTTTGAGACGGAGTCTCGCTTTGTCGCCCAGGCCGGACTGCGGACTGCAGTGGCGCAATCTCGGCTCACTGCAAGCTCCGCCTCCCGGGTTCACGCCATTCTCCTGCCTCAGCCTCCCAAGTAGCTGGGACTACAGGCGCCCGCCACCGCGCCCGGCTAATTTTTTGTATTTTTAGTAGAGACGGGGTTTCACCTTGTTAGCCAGGATGGTCTCGATCTCCTGACCTCATGATCCACCCGCCTCGGCCTCCCAAAGTGCTGGGATTACAGGCGTGAGCCACCGCGCCCGGCCAAGTTTGTTCATTTTCTGAGAGAAGAGCTTCTAGGCTTATTTTTGTCTTGGGAGGAAGTGACTTGGCCAGTGGATGTTCATGGATACTGATGGTGGAGGATCCTGCATTGTACTGTTAAAATTATGGGAGGCCATTGTTTTGGACTGAGCTCCTGCTCAAATCCCCAGCAGACCAGATTAAATTGATATAGTCACTCCTGCAAAATGCCACATAATCAAATTGAAACTTTATTAAGGAAGCAGACGGATTCCAAAACAGACCGGTTTTTCCTGAAAGCAGGAGATTCCAGTCTACCTGAATCAGCTCAGTAAGTCTACTCTGCTTTAACCCTTGCCAAAAAAACAACCCCCCCCGCAAAGCCTGATGTAACCTGTTAACCAATTAGTTTTTTTTCCTCTTGTCCTGTTTTCTTGTTTCTACCTTACTTTAAAACCCACTGTTCTGCCATTGCCTCATGGGAACTTTTATTCTATTTTGTAGAATGGAGGCTGCCCTGCCTCATGAATCACAAATAAAAGGCAATTGGATCTATAACTCAATTTGTTAGATTTTTGTCTTTGACAGTACTTACGGGCCTGCTTCCTATACAGACCCTCCAGTAATTAAATGCCTTGGCAGTGGTGTACTGGGGCCTGCTCACACTGACTCCAGGTGATTGTTAAATTTTCAGGAATTTTTTTTTGTTTGTTTTAAAAAAAAGATAGGGTCCCACTCTGTTGCTCAGGCTGGAGTGCAGTGGCACGATCTCGGCTCACTGCAGCCTCCACCTCTTGCGTTCAAGTAATTCTTCCACCACAGCCTCTTGAGTAGTTAGAACTACAAGCGTGAGCCACCACGCCGGCTATTTTGTATTTTTTGGTAGAGACAGGGTTTCGCCATGTTGGCCAGGCTGGTCTTGAACTCCTGGCCTCAAGTGATACCCCCACCTTGGCCTCCTAAAGTGCTGGGATTACAGGCATGAGCCATGACTCCCAGCCTAATGTTCAGAAATTTTGTGAGCTGGCTGTTGAACCATAGGCATCTTTAAATTGTGGCAGTATTAGTACTGATACAAATCAGGGTTCACCCTTGTCTGTTGGGTACCATTTTCCCCTCTTGCCTCCTGTTATATTCACATTTTCTACAACTGGAGAATTGATGGGATCTGAAAGGCAAATGTATTTTCTCTTTGGCAACCGTGATTTCCTGTACTCTGTGTGTTTTTAATGAAAGAGAGTTTATAAGCAACTTACAGACATGACTTATTTGAAAGCTCTTCTGTTTTATTAAAATAGAGATCAGAAAGCAGTTCTGTATTTCATTCAGAGTCACTAAATTTACTTTATTGTTCCTAGTATCTTAGAAAGTCTGTTCTTAAACAGTAAAATCCTAGAATAAAATTGAGTTCTTTTGTTCTTTAAAAAAAAAAAAAAGTCATGTGACTATTTTTGAGATGTTTCATTCAAAGGAAATGGTGAATTTTTAGATTTCTAAAATGTTAATCATTGTTACAAGTCCCCTTCCCTCTTGAAGTTTAGGTTGCCTGGATTAGAAGCAGTAAACTGATTATTTTGAAATATTAGGCATCAGCAAGGCTACACAGCAATGAAATTATCAGGATCTATTAACAGCTGTTGTTTCTTACCATTCCTTCTAGGGCTTCCTGGTGTGCACCTTCCTTCCAGTAGTTCGTGGTGGCAGTGTTGACATCACTATTGGGACCCATATTGTGCACATTAGCAGTATAGAATATGGGGAGTGGACATGTTAATTACCTCACTGAGGGCCATTCTTGCCCTTAGTAACATTTAAATTAGATGATATTTCAAGATGAGATAGAAAACATTTTTAGAATTCTCTAAGTGGAAACTCTAAAGGGATAGACCTAGTTCTCTCAAGTTGAGACATCAAAGAATTGTTACCTAATGATAAAGAAATATTTAAAATAGGTTTTCATTAGAATTTTAGATTACAGAATTTAGTGTGAGGCAATCATGTTTTTGTAAATGATCTTCCACAGTAATCCTTTAAAATGCCAGCATTCATAACTTCTTTTTCTTTCTCTGATGAAATAAAATTGCAAAAGCTTTAATTTAGCAGTGTAAATGCAAAGCTGAATTGAAATACAGGTAATTATGTTAAAAGGGACAGCTGACAAAATTCATGTATTTAACAATTTTTTTCTTAACATTTATAAGGTTTTATAGAAAGAAATAATTTAATTTTGGAAATTTTCAGTCTCTGGATCTGTTCTTCATGTGATTGAAAATCTACTGTCCATATTCATTTTTCTATGAAAAAAGCTCTCTCTTTGAAATACAAAGAATATCTTTGTATAACTGAATGAAAAAATTCTGTGTGAAAAATCTGATGTAAGTTTTATGGTATAAACCTCTTTTCAAGCAGTGCTTCTCATTTTATTTTTGTTAGCATGTCTTTCAGTTTGAGAATTGGGATACATTTGAATTTTATTATTGAAAGGCTCAAAGTAATGCAAAACAAGTCACTAATAATTAACAGACCCACTACAGTATAATAGATGCACATACATATCAAACTTTCATCTTGGCCTCTCTTCTGCAGAGGTTTGATATTGGAATCAAACTCTTCTGTCCTAGCCTAACTATCTTTGTATAAATGAGTGTTCTTTAATGTTTTGGTAACCACATGATCTATCTTTCTGTCATCTTTATCCTAAGCTTGAAGTTCCATTATATTTCAGCATGTAATGATACTCTTAGGAGGTCACAAGATCTGCTCAGTTTAACATTTTCTCAAAGATAATGCCATAGGATGGTTTATTTTGTTATAGACAGTTTAGATTTTATACATTGTTAAAATGTGATGAACTCTTGAATTATTTTGGTGTAAGTTTATTGATCTTGATCTCTTGATGTGGAATCAGAAAATGTGGATTCTCTCTACCATCTGGTACTTTCCATATCTCCCCATTGCAAGAACCATGAGTTGGCTTTTTCTTCACTTATACCTAGTGTCTAGTAATGAGCACATGGTAGGTACCTGATTGAGAGGGCAAATTGGCTTATATCTTATTGGTGTAAACATGTTAGCCATACTGTAATTATTTCATCTTATCTTCAGGCTGAACCTTCTCTTGCAATCCCTTTCCTGTCTGCCTCTACCTAAAATTCCAAGAATGCTGCTCAACTTGCCTGAGTTTGATCCTCTGTCTTTTCTACCCAAGCTCCTGCTGCTCTTAGGACATGACTGAGAATGATAGAATGAACATGAGTGGAGCAGTTGTTGGAATGTCTATTGTGGTAAATTAGGACTGATCCTTTGCTAGATTGGGATGGAAGGTCTCGCTCAGGAGTCCCAAGTTTGATATGTGAAGGTAGTGATGCTTAGTGGACATCCAAGTGCAGATGAATTCGGAGTTGAGGCAGGTTGACCCAGGTGAACTTGGGAGTCATCAGAATGTTAATGCTATGTGAAGCCATGACCACTGGATGAGACACCTAGGGGGTTACTGTAGAGATAAAAAAAAGTCTGAGGACTGTGAGGCATTATGATATTTAGAGGCTGGAATGAAAGCGGTAGATTGAGAAAGGCCACCCAGGGTAGGAAGGTGGGAAGAAAACAATATTCTTAATTGTTTGTGCTTATTTTATGTTAGATCCGGGGATACATGTGCAGGTTTGTTACATGCATGTATTGTGTAATGGTGAGTTTGGGCTCCTAGTGAACCCATCACCCAAATAGTGAATGTTGTATGCAATCAGTAATTTTTCACCTCTCACCCTCTTCACCACTGTCCTCCCCTGTGGAGTCCCCAGTGTCTGTTATTTCCATCTTTATGTTCATGTATACCCATTGTTTTGCTTCCACTTATAAGTGAGAACATGGCAGTATTTGATTTTCTATTTCCGAGTTATTTCACTAAGGATAATGACCTCCAGCTCCATGGGGCAGCAAAAGACGTGGTTTCATTCTTTTATTATGGCTGCATAGTATTCCATGGTGTATATATACCACATTAGGAAGAAAACAGTATTCCAAAAGCCAAGTGAAGAAAATGTTTCAAGAAGGAGAGTGTGATTAAATGCTGTTGACAGGCCAAGTAAGATGAACAGTAAGAACTGACTACTGGGTCTTTGAGACAGTTTGTGTATTTGGCACCACCCAAATCTCATGTTGAATTGTAATCCCCAGTGTTGGAGGTGGGGCCTGGTGGGAGGTGTTGGAGTCATGGGAGTGGATCCCTCATGGGTTGGTGCTCCTGACCTCAGGTGATCCACCCACCTCTGCCTCCCAAAGTGCTGGGATTACAGGCATGAGCCACCACGCCTGGCCAGCAATTCTTAACATAATACATTTAAGATAAAAGTTAAGACCAGGCGCCGTGGCTCACGCCTGTAATCCCAGCACTTTGGGAGGTCGAGGCTGGTGGATCACCTGAGGTCAGGAGTTCGAGACCAGCCTGGCCAACAGGGTGAAACCCCATCGCTGCTAAAAGTACAAAAAATTAGCCGGGCATGATGGTAGGCACCTGTAATGCCAGCTATTTGGAAGGCTGAGGCAGGAGAATCGCTTGAACCTGGGAGGCGGAGGTTGCAGTGAGCCAAGATTGTGGCATTGCACTTCAGCCTGGGTAACAATAGCGAAACTGCGTCTCAAAAAAAAAAAAAAAAGAATTGCTTAATAAGGAACATTTTCAAAGTTTGCAGAATTTTTTTGTCAATCCACCAAGTTGACCTGAATTGTTTATTTATGTTCACTGTGTCTTTTTTGTTTGCTTGAGGGTCAAAGAGATTTCTAAAAATATGTAATGTAGCTTATTAGATTGAATCCAGCATATATTTTACTTTTTATTTTCCTAATTTGATGTAATTATTAGAAATTTGAAGTGCCGAATTATGGTGTGTGAAAGATTAATTGGTAGAACACTTTACTGTCTTTGTTTTCTGCATGGTGACTTACAGATCTTAGTTTTAGTTTTCTTTATCCTCTCATCAAGAATGGTGGAGAATGAAAACAAACATCTGGGAGTCAGTTCTTTTATGAGTTATTAACATCCCTCTCCTTTTGAATCATAGTTCAGTATGTAGTTTTCTTGTTTTTAGAGACAGTGTCTCGCTCTCTTGCCCAGGCTGAAGTGCAGTGGCACAGTCATAGCTCACTGTAGCCTTGAACTCCTGGGCTCAAATGATCCTCCTGCCCCAGTCTCCTGAGTAGCTAGGACTACTCAGTCCACCATGCCTGGCTAATCTTTTTCTTAGTGGATGGATACAGCTTCTTTAAATATATTGATGTGTTTGGTATTAGGCCTGTCGTTATGCTTTTCTTTGTCTTCTGATTTTGGCAATTTTACATTTTAAAAATAATCTTAACTATGTTAGGTGCTTCTCTGGTTTGTTCTGTGTGTGGGTTTATTCTAATAATGTTAAGCGTTGTATTTTGGTACTACCTTATCATCATTATTACACTTACGTAGTGTATTTGATCCACTGTTTCTTTAGAAAGTTCTATTGAACAATGACAGAATTTGTGTATTTCCTGTTTTAAATTATTCCTTCCCACCTTTCTCTTCTCCCACCCTTTTTTCTTAGTGTTTTCTTTATGCAATAGTTGACCCCTTATTATTAGGGGATGCACTCCAAGACCCCTAGTGGATGTCTGAAACCACAGATGATACCAAACCCTGTATATACTGTTTTTTCCTGTACATACACACCTATGATGAAGTTTAATTTGTAAATTAGGCATAGTAAGATATTAGCAACAATAACTAGGAATAAAACGGAACAATTTGCAACAATATTCTGTAATAAAAGTCATATGAATATAGTCTGTTCTCAAAATATTTTACTGCATTATACTCACCCTTATTGTGTTGAAGAAGGGATGGAGCAGGATGGTGCGAGATTTTGTCATGCTACTCAGAATGGTGTGTCATTTAAAACTTATATGTTGTTTATTTTTGGACTTTTCCGTGTAATATTTTTTAACTGCGGTTGACCATGGGTAACTGAAACCTCAAAAAGTGAAACCGCACGTAAGGGGAGACTACTATAATTTTAGATTTACTTACACCTCTGTTACTTGGTGTACAAATTTTAAATTATATCTCTGCATCAGCCCTTGTTCATGAAAGCTCAAGAAACCAGTGTACTTTCTTTTGTTGACTTTATGATTTTCAGATCAATTAGATCATATAATTCTTTAAAATAGCTTTATTGAGGTGTAATGACATAAAATAAATTGCCCATATTAAAGTGTACAATTTGGTAACTTTTGACTTGTGAAAACAGCACCACAATCAAGATAATGAATATGTCCATCACCTCCAGAAATTTCCTCATGGCCGTTTGCTGTCTCTTTCTTTTGCCCCTCCCTGCTACCCTCAACTTATCCTCAGGCAATTACTGAACTTGTATCACTATAATTTCCATATTTTTGAATTTCATGAAAATGCAACAGTATGTATTAATTTTTGTATGTATTCGCTTTTTTTTGATCAATAGTTCTTTTTTATTGATGAGTAGTATTCCATTGCCCAGATGTACTACGTGAAAGACATTTGGGTTGTGTTCAGTTTTGGGCTGTTACACATAAAGCTGCTACAGACATTTGTGTGTAAAGCCTTCACTACCCTTACGTTTATGGATCAAGTTATGGCCGTTGCTTCCTCAGTAGCATTTTCAATGTAGTGGATCAGCATATTATCCTATGGATGGTGAGACTGTCAAGTTCCCTGTGGATTAGCTTAAGTATCCAGAGCTCCTCAAACTGTATTGTGTGTATAAATCACCTGGGTTAAAAATGTGCATTGTGAAAAATGTAGATCCTGCTTCAGATGGGTCTGCGATAGGACCTGGGAGTCTACATTTATAAAAAGCTTACAGGTGATGCTAATCCTGCTGTTCTACAAACCATACTCTAAATAACAAGGTTACAGAGCCTGAGAGTTTATGAAGCAAGGCAATAATGGTGAGGTTTTTTCCTGCCAAGTGAAAGTAAACTACTTATGGTATGTTATCTTTTTATCAGAAATAGAAGTGACTGCATTTACCATGTTAAGCAGCATTTTAAATGCCAAGAGTTTTGTTAAATGTGGAACAGCAATCAACAGAAGTCATCACTCAGTTCTACTAGTAAGTGTAACCTTCCAGATAAGATTGCTGAATGGGCATGGACTTCCCTGCCAGCCTGTCATCTGTGCATTTCCCTTAGGGAGGGTTTTTTGATTTGGAATTTTGGTAGGAAGGAAATATTCTGGGGTTGGCCCTTTTTATTTTAATAGCCTATAGAGTCGTGTACTGGGGGGCACTGCCACACTGTGGGTTTTGGGGGTTTCCAGAGAAAACTCAAGTCAGAACTCGATTACAGTCAGCTGACTGGTGCTTTGCATCCAGTTCCCAAGGTTTCCCCAGTTGAACCCAGTGAACTGTGGTGTTGCCGTAGGTCTCAAGGAATTAGTGGCGCACAGAGCCAGTGTGCTGTCGGGCTTCCTATTGAGTTTCAGCATTTCCCTTTTCTCGGGTACGTGGTCACAAGTCCTTAGGGGAAGGATGGAAGGATGGCTTACGGTGTTGGGGATCTGGGGTGTGAGAACTAGTGATAGGCAGTAATGGTTAAGAGCAAAACCCTGAAACCAGACAGCCTGTGCTCAGACTGTACCAGGCAAGTAACAGCAACTCCTTTGTGCCTCAGTGTGTCATCTATAAATTGAAAGTCATGAGTTCTTACAGCATAAGGCTGATAGAAGTTTAAGTAATCTTTGTAAGGTTCTTAGGACAGTGGCCACACATAGTAAAAACTTTTTAAGTATTTGCTAGATACATAAGCGTATATATAGAAAGGTAGGAAGGCAGGTGGGGAAATGATAGGCTTAGAAAAATTAAGCAACTTTTCTCAGGGCTCACAGTGGTAACAGTGGTGGCATTGAGCCAGGATTTGACATTTGAACTCCCCACAGTTGCATTCTGTAGCTTCACTTAAATCATTCAACATGGTATGTGGCATATATTTGATGGAAGCAGTGACTGAATTTAGGACTTCACCAGTTTACTAATTTGTTGAGACGTGAAGTGTCAGCATAAGCATAGTATACCAATTTAACATCCCTGAACTCAGACTAGACTATGTCTGTGATGTTCTGGCTTGGGTCGTGTTAGTAATAAAGTAGAGAATAAGCTCATGTGTAGTTATATTGTTGACCCTTAGTTATATTAAAGAATACGTCCTTTCTAATAACTGAATTTTTTTTTAACTTTTCCTGGACATAGGTATATATGAATTGCTTTTTAAAGAAATTATAGGTGTTCTCTTCTAATTGACTAAGGAAGTCATCTGATTTATATCAGATCAGATTGTTTTATAAACATTCTATCATGTTGTTTTAAAGATGCTAAAGGAAATAATATCCTAGTATGGTATTAAAATAATATATTGCTGAGTTTTTCCAAATGAATAATGTATTGCTGAAATTTTCCAAATTTTTCCATGTAATATTTTCAAACTGCAGTTGACCATGGGTAACTGAAACCTCAAAAAGTGAAACTGCACGTAAGTGGAGACTACTATAATTTTAGATTTACTCACACCTCTGTTACTTGGTGCACAAGTTTTAAATTATATCTCTCCACCAGTACTTGCTTATGAAAGCTCAAGAAACCAGTGTACTTTGTTTTTTTGGCTTTTTTACTTCATTAAGCTGTTTTACTTAATTCTTTAGTTAGAAACATTTTGTAGACGGCTTTCTACAATGCTAATTTGTTAATTAATAATTTAAAGTACCAGTGCTTAACCTATTTAATGATTTGAGAATATTAGTATCCCATTTTTCTTGTTCTTTTTGTATGTGGAACCCAAATTTCTTGTCATTTTGTGTTATATATTTCCTATAAGCTTTAGGTACAAGGTGCTGTTAAGAGTTAAGGAAGGTACTTTCTGCCTTCATCATTGAGTATAAAATCTGCAGCACTGCAGTGAGGCTGTCCTCATGCTGTTGCCACTCATGGTCTTACTCTGCATCACTCGCAGTATTAGGGAGGAGTTGGACCCTATTCCATGTTGCCCACATGCCTTTGGTTTTAGCTAAATCGAGGATTGATTACTTATTTTATGCTGTTTCTAGGCAGTTTTTCTCTTTTTTTCCTAGTAAAAAAGTAAATTTAGTCCTCTTTTCTGTGTGAATCCATACAGCCTGAAATTACTATGACAGGCTTGTATAAAAAAGCATGTGAGAGGGAATGCTAGCTTCCAGCAATTTGTTCTTGGTATAATGACCCTTTCTGTAAGGAATGTTGCTGCTCTTCATCTGTTAGTTTTTCTTCACAACAACTTGTAGAATTTTTCCATTTCATTTAGATTTTAACCTAGTGCTAGAATCGAAGTGTCATATTTAAATACTGTTACTTTTGGCTTTTGGATATGTGTTCCTTTTAAGGTCTGTGGTGCCTGAGACTTCTCACTTTGAACTCCCATCTCTCACCTGTGGTATTATGTTTGCAGCAATGACCCTGGTGTGGGCCTCCAGGGAGCAACAGCCCAGCCAGCCTGCAGGCCTCACTCAGGGCTTGTTTTGTTATTGTGATTTTTTTTAAACCTCAGTGATGGGAATGGGAGAATATACATTAGGATGAAGGTAAAGTTTTAGCCAAAATGAAAGATAATTAGGTATTTATTGTAATTTTCAGTTAACTTAGATTTTATTTCTATTCTTCTTGAAAGATTTTAGTATTCAGACTTCCAGCATAATGCTACATAGGGCCTTTCCCTTGAAATGCTTGATTTCACTGCTTTCTGTAGGAACACTATTCTTCAAGCAAAACCAAATTTAAAAATCCTGTGGGGCTGGGCGCAGTGGCTTACGCCTGTAATCCCAGCACTTTGGGAGGCCGAGGCGGGTGGATCACGAGGTCAGATTGAGACCATCCTGGCTAACACGGTGAAACCCTGTCTCTACTAAAAACACAAAAAATTAGCTGGGCGTAGTGGCGGGCACCAGTAGTCCCAGCTACTCGGGAGACTGAGGCAGGAGAATGGTGTGAACCCGGGAGGAGGAGCTTGCAGTGAGCCGAGATTGCGCCACTGCACTCTAGCCTGGGCGACAGAGCAAGAGACTCCGTTTCAAAAAAAAAAATCATGCGTCTGACACTAACATTTTCCTTTAATAATCAAATTGTTCATATTTTTCTAGAAGCATCAAATAACCTACATTATGTGTTGTATTTATCTGAGAATCGAAAGTAGATACTTTAATTTTCCCCACTTTCATAGTCCCTTGAGTCTAATTATCGTAGGCTGCAGGTCCTACAGACTACTGAAGTGAACCAGGGGCCTGCCTTACAGTTGCTTTTTTCCCTCTTAAAATAGCAAACTGTTTAATTGTTTGCTTTAATTATATTTTTAGGAGCATTTCAAAGGATTATTATCTTCTTTGTCATACCTGGCTCATTTCCTGGTACGAAACTGAAAATAGTATCTGATCCTATTGGTTGCATAACATACTGAGTCATAATTTCTTCCTCTTGCTGTTGGGAATAGCCATTGCTCGTTGGATTCGCAGTTCCTGTTTCATTTATTTGTGCTTATATACAACTGTCATTTTGCTATTCCTTTAGATCTTTGAAATTCATAATCTACCTTTCTAAAGGTGTATTTTATTGAGTTCCTGCTATGATTATTAACATTTTTTTTCCTTTTTTTTGAGACAGAGTCTCACTTTGTTGCCCAGGCTGGAATGCAGTGGCACGATCTCAGCTCACTGCAACCTCTGCCTCCAGGGTTCAAGCAATTCCCCTGCCTCACCTTCCCAGTAGCTGGGATTACAGGCACGCACCACCATGTCTGGCTAATTTTTTTGTTTGTTTGTTCGTTTGTTTTTTTGAGATGGAGTTTCACTCTTGTTGCCCAGGCTGGAGTGCAATGGCGCGATCTCAGCTCACTGCAACTTCCACTTCCTGGGTTCAAGCGATTCTCCTGCCTCAGCCTCTTGAGTAGCTGGGATTACAGTCATGTACCACCACGCCCAGCTAATTTTGTATTTTTAGTAGAGATGGGGTTTCTCTATGTTGGTCAGGCTGGTCTCAAACTCCTGGCCTCAGGTGATCTGTCTGCCTCAGCCTCCCAAAGTGCTGGGATTACAGGCGTGAGCCAATTTTTGTATTTTTAGTAGAGATGGGGTTTCACCATGTTGGCCAGGCTGGTCGCCAACTCCTGACCTTAAATGATCCACCTGCCTTGGACTCCCAAAGTGCTGGGATTACAGGCATGAGCCACACTGCACCCGGCCCCCTCTTTGATTATTAAGTGCTCCCAAGTAGAAGAAATACTAGATGTAAAGAAACCACATATATCAGACTGGCATGTGCTTTGAGATGATGCATACTTTCCTGGATAAAATTTACTACGACAGACATCTTTTAGGGAATAATTAGGATGATGTATAGCCTTAGAATTTATAATATTGTAAAATGACTAATATTTAATTACCCATTGAATACGAATTAAGCTGTTTTACTTAATTCTTTAGTTAGAAACATTTTATAGACAGCTTTCTACAAGGCTAATTTATGTTAATTAATAATTTAAAGTTCCAGTGCTTAACCTATTTAATAATATGAGAATTAGTATCCCATTTTTCTTGTTCTTTTTGTATGTGGAACCCAAATTTCTCATCATTTTGTGTTACGTATTTCTTACAAATTGTAAGGCATATGGTGCCTGAGACTTGCTCTTGGAGCTCCTGTCTTCCATCTGCAGGCCCTGGTCCTCACCTCTGGTATGTCTCTTGGCACCTAGGCTGGCTCTTTTTGCAGTGACCCTGGTGTGGGCCTGCACAAAAGGAAACAAGCCCTGGAATTGTTAAGCTTCTCAAGGGCACACAATTTTCATCCTCTTTAGAAACATAATTTCTCAAATTCTTTCTTAAAAAATCAAGACGAGGTCTCACCATGTTTCCCAGGCTGGTCTTGAATTCCTGGGCACAGGCAATCGTTCGTCCTTGGCCTCCCAGAATGCTGGGATTACAGGCATGAGTCACTGTACCTGGCTCAAATTCCTATTAGACTTAAAAATAGTTTTTATTAATTCCAAAAAGTATAAACTTATTGGAGAAATAAGAAAGATGCATTTATCACTCCAGAGATTCCAAGGGTTTTAAGAGCTGTGTGTCTGGAAACAGGGATGAAGACCAAATATGTATTTCATAATATCACGGCCTCCAGCAGCTACTTGCTGAGTGACTTCAGCACTTACGTAGCAGGGAGGGAGCACCCACTCTTTCTCTGCTTCTGCTCTCTCCATCTTAGAACTCTTGGCAATTTTTCTTTTCTTTAGCTCCATAGGACTGCATATGTTTATTTCTTTATTAAACAAAAGAAGTTAATAAAAAAAAGAAAAGTAGGCAAAATACCAGGATTAATATAATAAAGGAGGAAGAGGCAGTGAAAAACCGTGAGGTTTGTCCCAGATTAGTAAGAACGTTATTGAGTAGCATTGATGTGATGTTAATTTTTGTTTCATATGGGCTGTATGGTAATGAATGTTCTGATAGAAAAGGTTATGCACAGAGTGCCATGTAAGCATAGAGGAAGGGACATTTGAGCCTCGACAGACAAGTAGGGGCTAGCTAGGCATTCTAGGCAGAGCTGCACCTTGTATACAGATATTGAGTCTTGAATGGAGACTTTTGGAGCTGTTTTAAGTAGTTTGGGGCTGGAACAGAATATCTGAGGTTTTGGAAGAGATTAGGCAGGTGTGCAGAACTTAGTTCCAGGTGCCTTCCTGTGCCATGCTAAATGTTTACACCATTTCTATCCTGAAGGTAGAATAAATCATTGAACAGTTTTAAATAGGGGAATAGCATGACTGTGTTTACATTTTAGAAAGATTACCCTACAGGAAAGGTAGAAGATGCATAGAAGGGTGGCAGATTGCAGGTGAAGGAGATTAATTAGGTACTTCCTGCTGGTGAGAAATGATGGGACCCAGAACTTGGGTGGTAGAAAAGGGCATTGGCAAGGAGGACATCTGGGATGACTTCTGAGTGTCTTGAGTAACTTGATGAATGGAGGTGCTACTAACTGAAATACAGCCTAGAAGAAGGATTGAGAAGAAATGGTTTGGACACATGAAGTATTTAAGTGGGTATGTCCAACAGGCAGGGGGCTGTTTGGGTTTGAGGTAGAGATCTGGAAATCATTGGTGGTAGTATAGGTGGTAAAAGTTGTGGATGAGAATGAGATCTCCTGGGAAGAGCTTTTATTGAGAGGGGAAGAAGGCTGAGAAATTACCAGAGGTAGATGGAAAGGCAGGAAAAATGAGGGACCCAGCAGGCAGTGAAGGGAGGAATACAAGGAGGGAGTGTCCAGGATGGATGTCTCTGATCTTTTGAGGCAGTACATTTAATAGGTACTGAATATTGTCCACTGGCTATAGGACAATCTTATAATGTCATTGGTAACTGGAACAAGAATGGTCTTGCTTGTTTGGAGGTGAATGGGTATGGTGGCATGGGTTTACTCTACTCCTCTTAGAAGCTGGTCTGTAAAGGAGGTGAGCTGGAGGGCCTTAGCAAGGCCTAAGGAAGGCTTCTGACGGGTGAGACTTGAGGTTGGAGAGATAGTAGGTTGAGGAGGTCTAGAAATAAATGATCTCTAGACAGGTTTTTAGGAAGGAAGAGGAGTTGAGAGTCGGTAACCAAAGTCATTACATTCTACTTGTAGTAGCTCAGGATGACCTTGGGAAGGACTCAGTTTAACTTGCTGTTTTATATTTTTATTGATTTTTCTTTTCTTTTTTCCAGATAAAATTCACTAGATATTGTTTGCACATTAAACTCATTTCCAGACTGCAAACCCTGACATAGCTGTTATTTTTTTCACTAAGTGTTCTGGAAAGCACATTTTGAATTTGTCCTGTCCTTTCAAGTCCCTCCCCACCCCCAACCCCTAAATGTTCAGACAGGTACAGATAGTGAAATACTGCCTGTGCAAAAGCCCCTTCCACGCCTGCTCTTCTGGGAGTGCTTCAGGCGGCAGCTGTGTATATGTGCTCCTTCCTGGCCTTTTCAGACTTGATCTTCAATAAGTGATGAATTCCTTTATTTATGAATAAAACTCAGTGTACTTCAGCAAATTTGTATATTTTAAAAGGAGTCAAGGAGTGAGCCTCTGGGGGATTTTACATATCAGAATGGAAGAGAGAGATTTTGGGGGATAGTACCTTTTTATTGTTTTTGTTTGTTTGTTTGTTTTTTGAGACAGTCTCACTCTGTCACCCAGGCTGGAGTGCAATGGCACGATCTTGGCTCACTGCAATCTCTGCCTCCTGGGTTTACGCGATTCTCCTGCCTCAGCCTCTTTGAGTAGCTTGGATTACAGGCACCCGCCATCATGCCTGGCTAATTTTTGTATTTTTGTAGAGATGAGGTTTCACCATGTTGGCCAGGCTGGTCTTGAACTCCTGACCTCAGGTGATCCTCCCACCTCGGCCTCCCAAAGTGCTGGGATTACAGGCGTGAGCCACAGCGCCCGGCCGATATTACCTTTTTAAAATCCACTTTCTGTTATATATTAACATTGGCCAGCCTTGCTTCACATTCCCATAGTCAGAAATAAAATTAATAGAGTTCTGCTTTTCAGAATAACTAATAAAACCAGTCACTTTTTGAACTGGTTATGAAAATGAAATCTGTATGTCATAATTTACAAAAGTTGTATTAAAATAATACTCAATTTCTGGATTCAAGCAAGTTGAGCTTTTAGTTCTGTGACTGGCTGACCCCTTTCCAGGCATGCTTGTGAGCAGGTTCTCAGGGCATCTTGCCTCTGAAGTGGAAGAGCCTGATTGTTTTCCAGCTCCCATTCATAATGTTAGGGCTCCTCACTAAATGACAGCTCACGGGCCAATGCCACAGCAACTACTTGGACAGTTTCTTTCTTGTTTGAGCAGATGTCTTTCTTTGAATGAGACTCTGTCATTCCAAGCACTGAAGTAGCCCATAAAGGATCATAAATTTCACAATTATGTATAAGTCATTTCAATTTGAACTTTGTATGAACCAAACATCTTGTGAAAGACTTCTGGCTCTAAGATTAAGAAATCGTAGAACTGTGATTCTGTTAATTCAACAAAAAATGTTTATGAAAGTAATTCAATAATATGGGAAGATTTAAAGATATTGCACATACATGTGATGGAACACTATACAGTAATTATATAATGTTTTGAAGAATAATGATGGAAATGCTTATATTTTGTTAAAGGTAAAAGGGATACAAAAGTCTGTATATGATCTCCCATTTAAAGCATAAATTCACAGAAAAAAATTAAAAATGAATTACACAGTGAGATAATAATCTTATTAAGGAAGCATAAAATTTTCTTTCCATTTCAGCTAATCTTCCAGTACCAACAATTGCAGCAATAGATGGACTCGCTTTAGGTGGTGGTCTTGAACTGGCTTTAGCCTGTGATATACGAGTAGCAGGTAAGAATTAATCCTGTTAAAAACATAATTTAAAAAAGTGAAGGTTGTGTTTACTCTTCAGGTAATTTTAAATATTTTATTCTGCTTCCTGTTGTTGAGTAGAATATTTTCAAAAAGTCACTTGTTGGTCCTAATGGTGTTTTCGAAATTCCCACCTGAAAAAAGTCTTGTGTTGTTTCTTGCCAGGATTTGGGTCAGGTAGAACTGAGTTTGAATCTTAGGTCCTGGACCAGGCGCGTGGCTTGCACCTCTAATCCCAGCACTTTGGGAGGCTGAGGTGGGAGGATCACTTGAGCCTGGGAGTTTGAGGCTGCAGTGAGCCATGATCGTGCCATTACACTCCAGCTCAGGTGACAGAGGGAGACCCTGTTTAAAAAAAAAAAAATTAAAAAGGAAAGAAAAAAAGGAAAAGAATCTGAGGTCCTCCCTTTTTTAGGCCAATATCTTCCTCTTTAGAGGAAATGGGGGAAATGACTGTTGCTGTTGTGAAGATTAAGCAATTAATCTGTGGATGTTAATCTAAGTACTAAATCACCATTTGCTACAGTAATGATAACTGAATCTCCTTGAAGTCCACTTTCTTCCTGAATGGTTTTCTGAGGATCTTATGAGGTGAATAGAAAAAGAGTGAAAAGAATTAGTGCCCACTGCTTACTGTGTGCAGTCCAGGCACCCAGTGTTATTCTAGCACTTGACATGTATTCACTCACTCCATCTGCATAACAACCCTCAGAGCAGGTACTTTGGGGCACTGGAGGAAACTGGAGAAGGGAGAGAAGCCCCAAAGAAGTGACTGAACTGAGATTTGAACCCAGACTGTTTGGCCACAGCCCACACACCTGTTACCTCATGAGAGCAACGTAGACTGATCTCCCATATTCATCGTTGTGGACACTATATCCATAGAGACTCAGCTCTGCCTGTGTCCTCGGGCTCTGAGACTGAGAACTGGGCACAGCAGACGGCACAGAGTTGTCACTGTTCTTCTCTTGCTTTCCATTATCGTTTCTGATGTGGCTGCATGTTAAAAGCAGAGCTGCCAAGGCAGAAGGATTGATTGAGGCCAGGAGTTCAAGACTAGCCTGGGCAGCATAAGGAGACCTCATCTTTATAAAAGATTTTTTAAATTTTTAGAACAATGTAGCGTCAACATGATTCAGTTTCTTGGGATTTCTGGTTGCTAGTCCATGTGTCCTTTTTCCTCCTTTTCACTTCATTTTAGGAACCTATTTTCTTGTAATGAAATCATTGGATTTTAAATTGAAAAGCTAAGGTACATGTAATCCATTTCTGAAAGAATACAGGTTTTGGAAATTAGAATATGGGAAGTAGTCTAAGTATATTTGGATATGCAAATAAAGAAGTTATTAAGATGTTTTAAAGTAGCCATGAAAACAGACATGAAAAGAGGAACCCTGTCCACCTGTCAGAATAGTAAAACTATTTGTCAGAAGGTAACTAAAGACTTGGTCTTGAAAAGTTGCCATATCTGATATGACCTATTAAGCTCTTTGGTCTGGGGGACTATATTCAGGCAACTGAAGAATTTGGGCTTGTCAGATACTGACAAGTCTGCTGATCCTGAATAATTAATAGATCTATGCCTCCAAATATGTCTTGGCAATATTGGGTCTAATAATGGAGTTACAGTCCTGGTCTTGTGAATCAAAAATTAATTCACTGCCAAGCAGTTTTTAACAGAAAATGTTGTGGGACTCTCCTAATACATGTCATTTAGAGTGCTTACTTATTTCCATAACAATGCCTTTTAAGTGATTTTTTTTAAGAATTTGTGATATCAATTTAATTAGTAAACAATATTTTAGTATATCTCATAACTTTTTCAAGTTGTCATATTTGAATGTGATGATATGGATGATACTTAATTTTCTTTCTTTCGTTTTAGCTTCCTCTGCAAAAATGGGCCTGGTTGAAACAAAATTGGCGATTATTCCTGGTGGAGGTATGAGTAGTTCACGCCCATTCCTCAAATCCTTGATTTGGTCCTAGAAACAGGGCATAAGGCAAAATCATGTTAATTGGAAAGGCAACATTTTGCGTAAAGAGACAATGGCATATTGTTTGCATCCCTAGCAAAGTCCCCATTCAAGTTACAGGCATACCTAACAGATTTTCCCCACCGCAATGAAACAAATACTGCGATAGAGCAAGCCACACAAATTTTTTGGTTTCCCAGTGCATATAAAAGTTATGTTTACACTATCTGCAGTCTGTTAAGCATGCAGTACCATTATGTCTAAAAACACAATGTACATATCTTAATTTAAAAATACTTTATTGCTAAATTTTCTAATGGTCACCTGAGCCTTCAAAGAATCATAATCTTTTTGCTGGTAGAGGGTTTTGCCTTGATGTTGAGGCTGCTGACTGATTAGAGTGGCGGTTGCTGGAGTGTGGAGGTGCTGTGCCAATTTCCAAGGACAGCAGTGCAGTTTGCCACATCAGTTGACTCTTCCTTTCACAAGAGATTTCTCTGTAGCATGCGCTGCTGTTTGATAGCATTTTACTCATAATTCTTTCAAAATTGGAATCAATCCTCAAACCCTGCCACTGCTTTATCAACTAAGTTTATGTAATACTCTAAATCCTTTGTTGTCATTTCTGCAGTGTTCACAGCATCTTTATCAGGAGTAGATTCCATCTCAAGAAACTGTTTTCTTTATTTGTCCATGTATTAGTCTGTTCTCATGCAGCTAATAAAGACATATGCGAGACTGGGTAATTTATAAAGGAAAGAGGTTTAATGGACTCACAGTTCTACATGGCTGGGGAGTCCTCACAGTCATGACAGAAGGCAAAGGAAGAGCAAAGGCATGTCTTACGTAGAGGCAGTCCAGAGAGAATGAAAGCCAAGGGAAAAGGGAAACCCCTTATTAAAAAAAGCATGAGATTTCCTGAGACTTATTCACCACGACGAGAATAGTATGGGGGAAACCCGCCTCCATGGTTCAGTGATCTCTCACCATATCCCTCCCACAACATGTGGGAATTATGGGAGCTACAATTCAGGATGAGATTTGGGTGGGGACACAGCCAAACCAGATCAATCCACAAGAAGCAACTCCCCATCCATTCCAGTTTTATAATGAGACTTCAGAAATTCAGTCACGTCTTCAGGTTACTCTTCTAATTCTATTTCTCTTGCTCTTTCCACCACATCTGTAGTGACTTCCTCCACTGAAGTCTTGAATCCCTCCAAGTCATCCATGAAGATTGGAATCATCATCTTCCAAACTCCTGTTAATATTGATATTCTGGCCTCTTCCCATGAATCATGAATGTTCTTAAAGGGATCTAGAATGGCAGATCCTTTCCAGAAGGTTTTCAATTTAATTTGCCCAGATCCATAAGAGGAATCACTGTCTATGGCAGCTATAGCCTTATGAAATGTGGTTTTTGTTTTGTTTTGTTTTTTTGAGACGGAGTCTCGCTCTGTTGCCAGGTTGGAGTGCAGTGGTGTGATCTCGGCTCACTGCAACCCCTGCCTCCCCGGTTCAAGGGATTCTCCTGCCTCAGCCTCCTGAGTAGCTGGGACTACAGGTGCACACCACCGTGCCCAGCTAATTTTTGTATTTTTTGTAGAGACGGAGTTTCACCATGTTGGCCAGGATGGTCTTGATCTCTTGACCTCATGATCTGCCTGCCTCAAGCTCCCAAAGTGCTGGGATTACAGGCGTGAGCCACCACGCCCAGCCTGAAATGTGTGTCTTAAATAATAAGACTTGAAAGTAGACTGATCCATGGGCTGTGGAATGGCTGTTATGTTATCAGGCATGAAAACAACATTCATCTCCTTGTCTGTCTCTGTCAGAGCTCTTGGGTAACCAGGACATTGTCACTGAACAGTAATATTTTGAAAGAACTCTTTTTTTTGAGCAGTAGGTCTCAGCAGTGGGCTTTAGTATTCAGTAAACTATGCTGGAAACCAGATGCACTGTCATCCAGGTTTTATTTGTTCCATTTATAAAGCATAAGCAGAGTTAACTTAGCATAGTTCTTAAGGGCTCTAGAAGTTTGGGAATGATAAGTGAGCAGTGGCTTTAACTAAAAGCCACCAGCTGCATTAGTCCCTAACAAGGGAGTCAGTCTGTCCTTTGAAGCTTTGAAGCCAGGCATTGACTTCTCTTCTGTAGCTATGAAAGTCCTGGATAACATCTTCTTCTAATAGTAGGCTGTTTTGTCTACACTGAAGATGTGTTATTCAGTGTAGGCACCTTCATCAGTGATCTTAGCTAGATCTTCTGGATAATTTGCTGCAGCTTCTACATCAGCACGTGCTGCTTCACCTTGTACTTCTGTGTTACGGTAGATGGCTTCTTTCCTTAACCATGAAGTAGCCTCTGCTAGCTTCCAACTTTTCTTCTGCAGCTTCTTCACTTGTCTCAGACTTAACTCTAGAATTAAAGAGAGTTAAGAGTTATAGTTAAAGAGAGTTAGGGCTTTGCTCTGGATTAGGCTTTGGCTTAGGGGAATGTTGTGGCTAGTTTGATCTTCTTTACGGACCACTAAAACTTTCTGCATATCAGCAATAAGGCTATTCTGCTTTCTTCTTATTCCTGTGTTCACTGGAGTAGCACTTCTAATTACCTTCAAGAAACGTTGCTTTGCATTGGCAACTAAGCCTAAGTGGTGCAAGAGGCCTAGCTTTTGGCTGATCTCAGCTTTTGACATGCCTTCCTCACTAAGCTTAATCATTTCTAGTTTTTGATTTCCAGTGAGAGACGTGTGGATCTTTGCTCTACTTGAACACTGCAGAAGTCACTGGAAGGTTATTCATTGGCCTAATTTCAATACTGTTTTGTCTCAGGGAATAGAGAGACCCAAGGAAAGGGAGAGAGATGGGGGAACAGCCCGTTGGTTGAGCCGTCAGAATACATGCATTTATTGGTTAAGTTTGCCATCCTATGTGGGCGTGGTTCATGGTGCCCCAAAATAATTACAGTAGTAACAACAAAGATTAATGATCACAGGTTACCATAAGAGATACAATAATGAAAAGGTTTGAAATATTGTGAAAATTACCAAAATATGGCACAGAGACATGAAGTAAGCACATACTGTTGGAAAAATGGTGCCAATAGACTTGCTTGATGCAGGGTTACCATTAATTTGTAAAAATGTAGTATCTGTGAAGTACAATAAAGGGAAGCACGACAAAATGAGGTATGCCTGTATGCCCTATTTTTAGCTTACGTAGACAGTGAAGATGGTAGTTCTTAAGTTTTAAGTTACTGTGCTAATTACATTTTTGTCACTGTTTGGATCTATTTTCCTAAAGGATTACACAAATATTTTAAAGCTTTTATGCGTGCATTTAAATGTGTGTGTCCTCACCAACAGCTTCATGCAGACAGTGAAACCCCAAGTGGAAGAAGAAGAGAGGTGCCTGGGTGCGGTGTCTTATGCCTGTAATCCTAGCACTTTGGGAGGCCGAGGCGGGTGGATCACTTGAGGTCAGGAGTTTGAGACCAGCCTGGCCAACCTGGTGAAACCCCGTCTCTACTAAAAATAGAAGAATTAGCCAGTCATGGTGGTGCGTGCTTGTAATCACAGCTACCTGGGAGGCTGAGGCAGGAGAATTGCTTGAACCCAGATGGTGGAAATTGCAGTGAGCCGAGATCACACCACCGCACTCCAGCAGCCTGGGTGACAGAGCGAGACTCCGTCTCAAAAAAAAAAAAAAAAAAAAGAGGGTTCCCAGGCTTTGTACCACCTTTCTTGTGTTTCTCTGCAGTGGGACAAAAGTTGCGGTTAGTGGGTAGCCTGAACTTAGAGCTGAAGAGGTGTTGTTTCTTCTATTCCTATGAAAAAAATAGATGAGCTTCTGTTCTTGAAAGAGCCGTTTAAGAAAACATCTTTCCAAAATTGATAATGAAATCTTGCATCACCCAATAAATCTGAAATTTTTGGTCTTTTGATTCAGAGAATTTGGAGGCATTCCCATTTTGTGAAGTCATTCTTTCAAAAAGTAGACTTCATTTAAGGATATGCATGTTATAGTAACCTTCCTTGGAACTTTTTTTTTTTTTTTTTTTTTTTTGACACGGAGTCTCACTCTGTCGCCAGACTGGAGTGCAATGGCACAATCTTGGCTCATGGTACCTTTTATGTATGCTAAATGATGCTTAGAGTATGAATGAAACAACAGTAACAATGTAAATATTAAACTCAGTGTTGAACATGGAAGACATACTTGCATATGAATTGGTTAAAATTGTGTGGTTAACCTTATCATTAAAAGAGTATTTATTCTGATAGGTAGAAATTTAAAACATAGGTTACAGTGAAATTGAAGACTGCCCAGATGAATGTGTAAGACTCCCCATGTTTTCTACTTTGGTAATTGATGAAAATGTTATTCTTGTAGGCCAAAACATTTAATATATACTTACTCTATTATGCCTGCCTTTTTCACTGTGACTAATAAAAAACACCAGAAGGATTTATAAGACAGTGGATCAATTTAAAAAGAATTCCCAGATAACTAATATGTGAAATAAAGCAAAATTTAGCAAAAGGGTGATGTGACATATTTCTGAAATTCTTTTGAGAAGTAAGCATTTGTTGGTAATGAGGATGTGATTAATCCTAGAAGATAGAAAGATAGTGGCTGTAGTGGGTTGGATGGCATGCCGCCTCCACCCCCACCCCCCCAACAGACACCAAGAGATGTCAGCCTGGAAGGAAAAGCATCTTGCACGTGTAATTAAGGATCTCAAGATGAGATCATCCTGAATTATCTGAGAGAGGCTTAAATCCAAAGACAAGGGGTCCTTATAAGAAAGAGGAAGGCACAGAAGAAGAGAAGGTGATGCGAAGACAGAAACAGAGTGCAGTAATACATCTACATGCCAAGGAATGCCAAGGGTTGTCGGCAGCCACGGGAAGCCATGGGTGAGAGGCATGGAACAGATTTTCTCACAGAGCCTCTCGAAGGAACCACACTACAAACACCTTGATTTTGGATTTCTGGCCTCCAAAACTGAGAGAGAATAAATTTCAGTTGTTCAGAGGTACCAGGTTTATGGCAATTTGTTATAGCAATGAATACAGCGACTTTTTGGTGATGTTTACATGATTTTTGGGGACAGATGGGGGTTAGTAGGTGGCAGAAATTTGGGGAGGGAGCAAGATGAACTTGGTAATTTGGATATTTACTGTGACTTGATTATGAAAAGTTTTGTGTTACAACTACCAGAAGATAGAGAGCAGTGTTTGGTTTGATTAGATGAGAAAAGATAGATTATGCTATAACAACCTCTTCTGTCTTGTCTTGTGAACTCACTGTGCCATACCATATGAGGTCTAGAAACTAGAATTTTTTCCCAATATACTTAAGTTCTTTAGAGTCCTCTGCAATAGTGGCTGCATTAATTAGAACCTACTTTTTGTAGGTTTGATTGAATTTGGACTACATATTCTGACAAATAGAATTATTTTTCTAGTTTCTATTAAATAAATTTGTCATAAAAGTCAGAATGCTTTGACATATTCCCATGTACTTACAAAGGATGGTTGTCTTTTTCTTTTCTTTCTTTTTTTTGTTTGGAGACAGGGTCTTGCTTGGTCACCCAGGCTAAAGGACAGCGATGTAATGATAGCTCACTGCAGCCTCAAACTCTTGGGTTCGAGATCTTCCCACCTCGGCCTCTGGAGTAGCTGGGACTATAGGCACACAGCACTGCACTCGGCTAATTTTCTTCTCTTTTTGTAGAGGCAGGGTCTCACTATGTTGCCCAAGCTGGTCTTGAACTTCTGGCCTCAAGCAATCCTCCTGCCTTGGCTTCCCAAAGTGCTGGGATTACAGGCATGAGCCACTGCCTCTGACCTCTTTTGTCCTAAGTGAGTTTGAGGAATGTATTTTAGTTCCTCTTTTAATACCATGAAGCTTTCAAGTTCATAGCTCATAAAATGTTATGTAGCTTTGAATTTTTTAATGTAAATGAAAATCAGATTCATTTTCGTTATTAATAAAAATTTCAATAGTATTCACATTTAGATAAGAGATGCACAGAATTTTTGGTCTACTTTTAAATTAATATTACAGTTCTTAAAGTACCCTAGGTGATGCCTGTTCTTTTGAAACAGCAGAGATTTTATTTTAAAAATACGTTTTTGTGTTTATTACCTAAAGGAGCTATTCTGAAATTTTTATGTAGAAAAATCTTCTTCTGCTCCATCCACAGAAGATTTTTTATCCATAGATATTTTTGCCATCTCCTTTCTCCTCTTTCCTTTGTTGTAGATGATATGAAAAGACTGCTTTTTTCAAAAATTGTGTTTTTAAATTGGTGAATTTTGCCATGCCTAAAGTGATCTCTGAGATATCCTCCTTTTGGGTATAAACATTTCTGTTAAATGTTGTAAAGAGCTTTCTATAATAGACACAGTAGACTGTATTTAATTTTTTTCTCCCTTCTTGGTAGATCTCTTTTGGTTAAAAGAAAATGCGTCACTTGCCTCCTATTATAGAAGCTTGTATGAGCAGCCAGGGGTGCACTCTGCAGGGAAGGCTTGGCCATTGCCAGTGAGCCTTGCTCCACTGTAGCTGCCTTAGCTCTTCCTCTTTTCCAGATGAGCAGGTGCTGACAGCCAAAAAAATAGAAAATAAGTGGGGAGAATTCAAATATGGGGAAAATATTGTGGAAAAAATAGATGCTTAATTTTTCTTCTTAATATTATGTAGAAAGTAAATATCTTTGGGTAAAATACATGAATTGTAGCCACTCTAGAAAACAGATGTTTAAAATCTGGCAAATAATCTTCTGCTAAGTTATTACAGGTCCATGATTTCATACTGGCCAGCATTTGTAAGTTAATCCAAATGAAATTGTATCTCCTTATTTGAATTTACTGTACATTTGATAAAGACAAGAGAATTAATGTGATGCTATTGATTGTCATATCATCACTTCTGGCCTTTTCTGATAGCAGTTCACAGCAAAACAATTTGTCAAAAAATAGTGTTTTGTTTTGTTTTGTTTTCTTTACCTGAGCTTTGACCTGCGTAGCAATATGTTGATTTTTAAGGTATGTTTTGTAAATTAAAAAAATGCTATTATAAAATAATGACTTTGAAGAGATGGTAATATTTCTATTGAACATATTAATGGACCACTGCTATCATGTAGTTTTTAATTTAGAAGGCTCAATTTTAGTTTTTATTAGAAAGAATATTGTTTAGTATCAAATGACTATTAAAAGTATATAGTGCAATAAAAAGAAAGACGTGAAGGAATGTGGAAACATTAAAACAAAATCGAACCTCCTTAAGTAGTAGTTATATCAGATGTAATTAAAAGATGGGATGTAATTTGACTATCAAATACTTGAACCAATGCTTTTATTTGTAATATATATATGTGTATATATGTTTTTGATTACCAATATTAAACACAAAGTGAAACACTATTGATTTGAAGCACTGGCCCATTTAAAAATAATTTAAATGGTTACCCCAGAACCTTGTCGTAATTTTATTGGGGATTTTTGTACAATATATAGCCCTAGTTTCGTCTCCAACGTTCTCACCTTTAAGAAAGCATTTACATTTCCTATCCTCTCCCAACTGGGAGAATATGCAAATATTATAAAATAAAATTCTCTTTTAGAAATAGTTCCTAAAACAGTACTTTCCTTTAATACATTTGCAAGGATGAAATACAAGTTCAGAGGATTAAGATCCTTTTATTTGACAGTATCTCTTTAAATTTACAGAGAAAATAGTGGCAGATTTTCTAATTCCCGCTCTTTGTTCTTACCTCTTCTACTGGAGGTTTTGGGGTCTGTGTCAGGAAACCTTATTATTACTAAGGTAATTTGTTAAGGCTTTTTGCTTGGGTGTACACCACTGGGATTGAGATGCTTTGTATTTCCACTGCTCTGTGAATTCCTTTTTTATTCCCCCCAGCTTCTGGGGGGAGGCATATTCAAACTAGGAAGTTTGAATAGCAGTAAAACACACATTTTTATACCCTTTACAAAGATCTATTCCTTCCATTTTCTTTCTCCTTCCATTCCCCAAATCCTTCTTTCTCATAGAAACATTTCAAAATATAGATGAGTCTTTCAATATTTCAGCATACGTTTTCTAAGAATCAAGAATGGTCTCTTACATAATCAACACTATTATCACACCCAAGAATATTAACAGGAATTTAGTAATATTATTTAATATATGATTCATAATTGGATTTCTCCAGTTGTCTGTAGCCGTCTTTTTGTATTTTGTTTTTCCAGTTCAGGATTAATTTTTCATTTGGTTAAATCTGTAGTTTTTTCAAATTTGAAAGAGTACCTCATTCATGTTTTTTGTTTTCTATAACACTAATTTAACTTTTCATGTTGCAGTAATTTCAGATTTACAGAATAGTTACAAAGATAGTATAAATCACTCTTATGTACGCTTTACCCAGCTTCCTCAAATATTAACATGTTATAGAACTGTACCACAGTTAACAAAAGTAGACAGTTAATACTGGTATGTTATTACTAACTAATCTGTAGACCTTACTCAAATGCTGTCACTTTTCTCACAAGTGTCCTTTTTCTGGTTCAAGACAGTTGAGGCCTCCACGTTGCATTTAGTTGGTGTGTCTCCTTTGTCTCTTGTATTTAATCAGTGTATAAATTTGTATTTAATCATCTTGACAATTTAGAAGAGTGCCAGTCTGTAATTATGTGGAATGTCTTTTATTTTTGAGTTTGCCTAATGTTTCCTCATGAATAAATTAAGATTATTCATTTTTGGCAAGAATTTGTGTTCTTCTCAGGGCATCCTATTGGGGTTGCATGATGTCCCTGTGTCTCATGTTTGGTGATGGTAACTTTTCTTTTAACCTGAAACATGATACTTACCCATTTTTTTTAAAGGATTAAGTATTTTATTTTTCTAATTGACAAGTAAAAATTCTATGTAGAGTGTTTTTATATATATCTACACACACACATTGTGAAGTGATTAAATTAAGCTAATTAGCATGTATTGCCTCATATACTCATTAGTGTGTGTGTATATATGGGGTGAGAACATATAAGATCTACTCTTAGCAATTTTCAGGTATATAATATGTTATCATTACCTGTGGTCACCATGACATACAGTAGATCTTTTGAACTTATTCCTCATGTCTAAAGTTTGTGTACTTTGGCTAACATCTCCTCAGTGTCCCCATACAAACACGATAGGTAGTTAGGTAGGTAGGTAGATAGGTAGATAGATAGATTTTTTTTTTTTTTTTTTAGAGAATTCAGGCGATTGTCTGAGTCTTGCTCATTCTAGATTTAACTTAATATTTCCTCATGGTTAGGTTTAGGGTAAGACATTTTGCCAACAACATTAAAATGTCAATGCTGCATGTTTCATTTTGTGTTTATTATGTGATTCCTAATGTTAGGTCATCCCACTTTGGGTGATAATATCTTTGATCATTTGGTTGGGGTAGTGACAAATGTGGGCATATTTTTAGGATTATCTTAGAAACTTTTCAGGAAAAGAAGCTATAGTAATTACCATTGGCTGACTATTTCCAAATTTAAAAAGAAAGGAAGAAGGAAAATTAGAGCACAGAGGTTTCATGGAACCAGAAAAAGAGACCAACTCCAGTTTTGTCTTTTTTTCCCCTCCCTGGGTGAGGGATCTGGGGGCATTACTGTACATCATTGTTGGCTGTGTTCAGCAGTAGGGCAGTCTTTTGGCATGTTTTCCTGGAACTCGATTTTAAATCCTGTGAGTGTGTGTAGTCCTGAACACAGTAGTCATTTTGAAAGGCTTTGTTTATAACCTTTGTTGAGATCCTTTTAGAAGTTCCGTCAGAATCTGAGCTTATTCTTTTAAATATCCTCAGCAGTGACTCATTTTTATCCTGTGAGGGTAAATTTGATTTTCATAAATATCAAAAGATCATTCTGTGCCAAATATGATTAATAAGGTCATACTATTCCAGGAAGAAAAAAAAGCATAACAAAACGATTTTTTTTAAAAAAGAGGCTTACATAATGTTGACATTTTACCGATGTGAAGAAAGAACAGAGTAGTTGGGTTTAGTGTAGCACTTCCCCAGGTGACTTCCTTAAAGCTGGCACTGATTCAGCCTTCTGAAGTCCAGTGTATTTATTAACATATTAACATTATTAACATACCTTGCGTATACACGAGCACACACTATGAAGTCTCATCTTTTTATACATTAAAGTGTAATTCAGTGACTAGTTCTTTTTGTGTAATTAGGGTGGTTTGGGAGTTATTTGCTGACTTTGTACTGTGTACAGACCATTTTGTTAGTAGCTGTGGAATAAACAGGTTTATGTAGGACTTAGTAATGCTCCCTTGGAATTGATCACCTAAAATCTGTTAGGAGAGATGAAACGTGAGCAAACATCATAACTGCCCTTTATAATACTGTTGTTGTAGTCAAACAGGGATAAGGCAATATAAAGCTGGGAGTCAATGAGTTCAGAAAAACAGTGTGGCTTCTGTCAGCCATCACCAAGATTTTTTTTTTTTAATACTTTAAGTTCTAGGGTACATGTGCACAATGTGCAGATTTGTTACATATGTATACATGTGCCATGTTGGTGTGCTGCACCCATTAACTTGTCATTTACATTAGGTGTGTCTCCTAATGCTATCCCTCCCCCCTTCCCCCACCCCATGACAGGCCCCAGTGTGTGATGTTCCCCTTCCTATGTCCAAGTGTTCTCATTGTTCAGTTCCCACCTATGAGTGAGAACATGTGGTGTTTGGTTTTTTGTCCTTGCAATAGTTTGCTGAGAATGATGATTTCCAGCTTCATCCATGTCCCTACAAAGGACATGAACTCATCATTTCTTATGGCTGCATAGTATTCCATGGTGTGTATATGCCACATTTTCTTAATCCAGTCTATCATTGATGGACATTTGGGTTGGTTCCAAGTCTTTGCTATTGTGAATAGTGCCGCAATAAACATACGTGTGCATGTGTCTTCATAGCAGCATGATTTATAATCCTTTGGGTGTATACCCAGTAACGGGATGGCTGGGTCAAATGGTGTTTCTAGTTCTAGATCCCTGAGGAATTGCCACACTGTCTTCCACAGTGGTTGAACTAGTTTAGAGTCCCACCAACAGTGTAAAAGTGTTCCTATTTCTCCACATCCTCTCCAGCACCTGTTGTTTCCCGACTTTTTAATAATCACCATGTTAACTGGTGTGAGATGGTATCTCATTGTGGTTTTGATTTGCATTTCTCTGATAGCCAGTGATACAGCATTTTTTCATGTGTCTGTTGGCTGCATGAATGTCTTTTGAGAAGTGTCTGTTCATATCCTTCGCCTACTTTGTGATGAGGTTGTTTGTTTTTTTTCTCGTAAGTTTATTTGAGTTCATTGTAGATTCTGGATATTAGCCCTTTGTCAGATGAGTAGATTGCAAAAATTTTCTCCCATTCTGTAGGTTGCCTGTTCACGCTGATGGCAGTTTCTTTTGCTGTGCAGAAGCTCTTTAGTTTAATTAGATCCCATTTGTCTATTTTGGCTTTTGTCGCCATTGCTTTTGGTGTTTTAGACATGACATCCTTTCCCATGCCTGTATCCTGAATGGTATTGCCTAGGTTTTCTTCTAGGGTTTTTATGGTTTTGGGTCTAACATTTAAGTCTTTAATCCGTCTTGAATTAATTTTTGTATAAGTTATAAGGAAGGGATCCAGTTTCAGCCTTCTACATATGGCTAGCCAGTTTTCCCAGCACCATTTATTAAATAGGGAATTCTTTCCCTATTTCTTGTTTTTGTCAGGTTTGTCAAAGATCAGATGGTTGTAGATGTGTGGTATTATTTCTGAGGGCTCTGTTCGATTCCATTGGTCTGTATCTCTGTTTTGGTACCAGTACCATGCTGTTTTGGTTACTGTGGCCTCATAGTATAGTTTGAAGTCAGGTAGCATGATGCCTCCAGCTTTGTTCTTTTGGCTTAGGATTGTCTTGGCAATGCGGGCCCTTTTTTTTTTTCCATATGAACTTTAAAGTAGTTTTTTCTAATTCTGTGGAGAAAGTCATTGGTAGCTTGATGGGGATGGCATTGAATCTATAAATTACCTTGGGCAGTATGGCCATTTTCACAATATTGATTCTTCCTATCTATGAGCATGGAATGTTCTTCCATTTGTTTGTGTCCTCTTTTATTCATTGAGCAGTGGTTTGTAGTTCTCCTTGAAGAGGTCGTTCACATCCCTTGTAAGTTGGATTCCTAGGTATTTTATTCTCTTTGAAGGAATTGTGAATGGGAGTTCACTCATGATTTGGCTCTCTGTTTGTCTGTTATTGGTGTATAGGAATGCTTGTGATTTTTGCACATTGATTTTGTATCCTGAGACTTTGCTGAAGTTGCTTATCAGCTTAAGGAGATTTTGGGCTGAGACAATGGGGTTTTCTAAATATGCAATCATATCATCTGCAAACAGGGACAATTTGACTTCCTCTTTTCCTAATTGAATACCGTTTATTTCTTTCTCCTGCCTGATTGCCCTGGCCAGAACTTCCAACACTATGTTGAATAGGAGTGGTGAGAGAGGGCATCCCTGTCTTGTGCCAGTTTTCAAAGGGAATGCTTCCAGTTTTTGCCTATTCAGTATGATATTGGCTGTGGGTTTGTCATAAATAGCTCTTATTATTTTGAGATACGTCCCATCAATACCTAATTTATTGAGAGTTTTTAGCATGAAGGTTGTTGAATTTAGTCAAAGGCCTTTTCTGCATCTATTGAGATAATCATGTGGTTTTTGTCTTTGGTTCTGTTTATATGCTGGATTACGTTTATTGATTTGCATATGTTGAACCAGCCTTGCATCCCAGGGATGAAGCCCACTTGATCATGGTGGATAAGCTTTTTGATGTGCTGCTGGATTCGTTTTGCCAGTATTTTATTGAGGATTTTTGCACCGATGTTCATCAGGGATATTGGTGTAAAATTCTCTTTCTTTGTGGTGTCTCTGCCAGGCTTTGGTATCAGGATGATGCTGGCCTCATAAAATGAGTTAGGGAAGATTCCCTCTTTTTCTGTTGATTGGAATAGTTTCAGAAGGAATGGTACCCGCTCCTCCTTGTACCTTTGGTAGAATTTGGCTGTGAATCCGTCTGGTCCTGGACTTTTTTTGGTTGGTAGGCTATTAATTATTGCCTCAATTTCAGAGCCTGTTATTGGTCTATTCAGGGATTCAGCTTCTTCCTGGTTTCGTCTTGGGAGGGTGTATGTGTCCAGGAATTTATCCATTTCTTCTAGATTTTCTAGTTTATTTGCATAGAGGTGTTTATAGTATTCTCTGATGGTAGTTTGTATTTCCGTGGGATCGGAGCCATCACCAAGATTTAATAGATGACATGTCCTGCAAGGTGGGTCCCTGGCTACTTCTCTGACCTCAGCTCCTACCACTGCTCCTCCTGCTCACATACTGTTTTCCAGGCATGTTTACTCACTTGCCTTAGCAGACATTTGTTGAGTCATGTGCTGATGTGGACACTGGGGATACAGCCGTGAACAAGCAGAGGAAGATCCTGCCACCAAGCAGTTACCTTCTAGCACAGGAACAGTAGACCTAGCACATGATAAATTGTGTATTATGGCAGAAGTGGAAGGTGCTATAGAAAAAAAAAATAGGGGAAGGGGTCCAAGGAGAGTGTGGGTTTGTAGTTTAAAACCAAGAGGTCAGAGCAAACCCCATTTAAAAGGTAACATTGAAATAAAGACTTAAGGGAGTTGAGGAAATTAATCATACAGATCTGAGGAAAAGCATGTCAGTCAAAAGTATCAACTAGTAAAGAGGCCTTAGATGGGAGTGTGCTTGGAACATTCACCACATCACCACAACCAGAGCAGAGAGGAGGAGGAGGAGAGCAATAGGAGATACTGTCAGAGAAGCAATAGGGGAGTCAGATCTAGAGGTCTTATAGCCACTGTCAGGACTTTTAACTTTTACCCTGAGTGAGAAGGGGGCTCACCGTAGGTTTTTCAGCAGAGGTGTGACGTGCTGTGACATGCTCTTAGATATTTGAAGGTTCATTGTCATCACTGTGTTAGGAGCAGACAATAGTAGGGCCAGGTTAGAAGGAAGAAGCCTATTCCTGCCACGAGCCTGTTGCTGTAGTTGAAGTGGAATGTGATAGGGGCCTCTACTGGGATGGGAATGGTGAAAGTAGTGGGGTATGGTTTAGATTCTCGGTATCTTTTGAAGATGGAGCCAAAAGAATCTCTTGATAGACTAGATGGGTAACATAAAAGAAACCGATGTAAAGAATGACTCCAAGGATTCTGGCTGCAGTAACTGAAAAGAGAGGTTGCCTTGTACTGAGATGTGGAAAGCTATTCAAAAAGCAAGTTGGGAAGTGACAATCAAGAATATTGTTTTGGACGTGTTGGCTTCAAAATGGTCATTAAATATCAAGTACACTTTTAAGTAGACTGTTACACAGATGTGGAGTTTTCGAGAGCAGCCTGGGTGGAAAATAAAAAACCGTGGGATTCATTTTTTTCCTGCCTTCCAGAGGCCTGTTCTAAAGGCATCCTGAAACACAGAAATGGACATTGGTACAGACAGAGAGAACTCCAGGAGAGTAACTCCAACAAATAAAAATCTTAGGATTAAAAAATAAAATTGCCAAAATAAAAAACAAACTGGATGGACTGAATTGCAGAATGAAGATGAACAAAAGAGAGAGTGAGTGAATCTGAAGATAGAGCAATAGAAATTATTATTCAGTCTGAACAACAGAGAAAAAATCATTGTGTAAAATAAATGAACTGAACCGTAGGAACCTGTGGGATAATACTGAAAGGTTAAACATTTGTGTCTCAAGTGTTCCAGAAGGAGAGGAGAAAGTGTATTTCAGGGGGGAAAAAATCAAAGAAATAATGGTTGAAAACTTTCCTAATTTGGTGAAAGATATAAGGATTTAAGAAGCTGAGTAAACCTAAACAAGCCCAGAGAAATCCGCGATCAGACACATCATAAATAAACTCCCTAAAATTCAAGACTTTTAAAAAAATCCTGAAAGAGGAAAATGCACAGGCAATTCAATGGAGAAAGTGTGTTGTAGGAAAAATTGGACTTCCATGTGCAGAAAATAATAAAAAAGAACCTTGATGTAAACCTCATAATTTGTGCCAAAATTAGCTCAAAATAGATCATAAATGTAAAACTAAGTTTTTGAAGCTCATCTCTTGTTCTCTCGAGTGTAAGACCAAGGGGCCTAGCCCACTGGTAAGTCCTCAGTGTGTATATTTGAATGCGTAAATTACTGCTCCTGGAGAAAAGAGAATGAGATTAACTTCAAAGGATAGTTATACAGAAAAGATTGGAGAATTAATAATATGAGTATGTTATTTACTTTAACTGCCCTTTTTTCATTAAAATTAGCTTTATTTATGTGTTCAAATTATGTAAGTAATGGAATCTAATTAATTGGTGATTTTGGTTATGAGTATTTTAATTTCCTCCTTATAACCTCAAATTTATGTCAGTGTTTATTGCTCTCATTTTTAAAAATTGCTAGTAACTTGCTCTCTTAGAAAAAACAGGTTATTCATTTTATGAGTGGCAGGTTACTTTCTTATTATCCAGCAGTAATCAAGGTGGTCTTATTTACATTTTAATATTCTATAGTGTTTATTTTTGTATCAAGTTAAATAAATGGTCTCAAGAATCACTTTAAGCAGTCTAGAAAGCAGATGTTGAAAGACCTACCTTTTTCTCAGAGTCATTAAATAGAATATGTAGAAAGTTAATCAAGGAAGTTAAATTAGTTCTGCCTATAAATTAAGAAGAGCGGCAGTTCATTTCCCTTATCTTTTAAAAATAAAACTGAATTCACTTTTTACAAACCTTCCAGTTTGGTGACTGCTTTTTTGAACCTCTAGTGCCTGTAATGTGAAAAACAGGGTGTGAATTGTTTGGACTTACCATCAGAGAGATATTTCAGTGTGTACCTGTCAGCATGCCATCCGACAGACGTAAATGTCAAGTCTAATGATAACAAGAACTCTGATTTGGAATAATAGAGTTAAGCTTACATTCCTTTAAGAAAACTGAACACACTAGCTCAGCAGTAACATTTATGGTTAAACATCTGATGACTAGCCATGTCTACCTGTGGAGTCGAATAAGTAGCTCATGGCATGTGCTTTGGAGTGAGGTCCCTCTTGGCTTGTGATAGAGTTTAGATATTTGTTTCCACCAAATGTCATGTTAATTGTGACCCGCAGTGTTGGAGGAGGGGCCTGGTGGGAAGTGACTGGATCGTTGGGGCAGATTTCCCATGAACAGCTTTGCACCGTCCCCTTGGTGATGAGCGAGTTCACAGGTGATCTGGTTGTTTAAAACTGTGTGGCACTTCCCCCTCCTTGCTCTCTTGCTCCTGCTCTCACCATATGAGATGTCTGCTCCCCCTTTGCCTTCTGCCATGATTGTAAGCTTCTTGAGGCCCTCACCAGAAGCAGATGCTGATACAGCACTTCCTGTACAGCCTGCAGAACTGGGAGGCAATTAAACCTCTTTTCTTTATAAATTACTCTCAGGTATCTCTTTATAGCAACACAAATAGCCTAATACTGTTGGAAATCCCATCTCTATCACTGAACTGTATTTCTTTAGACAAGTTATTTCTCTGTATTATTTATCTCAGTTTCTTTTGTACAATAAAGATAATAATAATGCCTATATCATAGGTTGTTGTGAGAATTGACTAGGATAATACATGTAAAGTGCCTATGTCATTACCTGGCACGTTGTAAGGACTAACACTTTATTTTTGTTGTTACTTAATGGTTGTTTGCGATAATTTTTCTTCATTTTTAATATCTTTAACAGCTTTATTAAGTTATAATTGATGTACAATAAACTACACATATTTTAGCATATAATTTGATAAGTTTTGGCATATATACACCCATGAAATCATAACCAAGATAATGAAGAAGAGAAAAAACTCTTAAAAGTTTTTTCATGCCACCACTGAACTGCTTTCTGTCACTGAAGATTAGCTTTTGTTTCCAGAATTTGACATAAATGTTATTATCCCTTACGGAATCTTTTCTTTGCCTGGGTTCTTTTCCTGAGCATAATTATTTTGATATTCATCCAAGTTAGGTTGGGCAGTCTAAGGGCTCATGTCGCTTGTTTCAACAGTTACTGTCCTTTGTTGCCTTATCCAGTGTCTTGAAAACTGTTTTTTGAGTTTTTCAGGTAGGAAGGTAAATCCAGTCTTTGCTACCCTATCTTGGCTGGAAGAGGAAGGGCTATGATTCATTAAATTAATAAATGCACTATTCTTCAGTTGCATTATTTTTGTGAAATGACCAACCACTTAATCAGAAAAGTTATCTTACTGTATATCCAGACTTTCTATTTTTCCATTCGTTGAAATCGCGCCAAACTACTTCCAAGATTTGTTACCCACAAAGGTGAAATCAGACTTAACAGTGACGATCTTAAAAGGCATTTGGTATGAGTAGTTTAAAGGACCACTTTTCCTTTGAAATAGACTTACTGGTTTTTATAGTTACTTGTCACTCAGAGTGAGCACCATCTGTCAAGATTGTGGAAGAGATGGAAAAAAAATCCTCAGTGTTCAGGTTTCTTTTCTTTACTACGTATGTAAAATTGACTTTTATAAAATAATCTTTTTGCTACGCGTAAGATTACACTGTGAAACTAGAATGTTTTTATATTTGTGTGTCTTGCTTTCCCCGTTATTTTTTCATTTTAAAGTAGGACTTTGTGACTATATTGCTGGATCCTGTGGTCGCTAGGCATGGCACCCTTGTGTGGCAGTGCTATTGTGTGATCTTACTTCATGCAGCATGTTGCCAGCCCTCCGTTGTTTTCTTTTCCTACAATTTCTTCCCCTTGGTCTTCTACCTTCTGCTGTTTCTTTCCTGACACCTCATCATTAAAACTCACCTGCTGCCTCTACGATGCCTCCTCCAGTGGGGAAACCTTGAGCACCCTACCCTCAGAGCCTGTGTCCCCTTGGTGGGGAATCTTGCATACCAAACTGTTTTAATCTCAGTTAATAAGAAAGGAATAGCATTACTTCCAAATTTAACTCCCAGAGCATTCAAAGACAAAAGTAATATTGCTACCTTTTTTAAAAAAAGGAAAATATATAAACACTAATAATGTCTGATTAGGAAATCAGAATCATAGTTGGAAATAATTTTGAGGAATTTCAAAATTTCATCTTTTAGTAATTGAGGATTTCTTAAAAGTAGTTGTCTCATGTCACTTGATTTTGATTCAAACAATAGGGAAAACAGCCCCAATAAGTAATTATTGTTAATGATTTGATGCCTGCCATTTAGAAATTTTTAAATGCATACACTGATATATTCATACATACATACATACATAGATTTTTTCCCTAAAATTATTATATTATACATTCTCTTCTGCAGCTTGCTATTTTGATTTAATGTTAGGTTTTAGATACCTTTCCTTTTCACTTACAACTCTTACAAAAAACTTCTGTTTTACCATAAAACCTTCTCCTGGCTTTTAGTTTGAGATATACTTCCTTAATCATGTTAAGGAACTCTCTTGAAATGTTGATAATACTACATTTTTTGATACTGGAATTATTTAGATAGATTTTCCATTGTTGACAGAGTCTAGCTTTTCTGGAATGAACTGTACATGGTAGTGGTATATTATTCTTTCATGCTAAATTGTAATTCTGGATTCTGTATATGCTTAAATTGGAATGGTATTTTATGCATCCATTTTTATAGATGAGATTATTAGCCCTTAACATTTTAAAAGGTATGTGGAAATCTTAGTATTAATTTTTAGAGATAGGGTCTTACCCTGTAACCTGGAACTCCTGGGCTCAACTGATCTTCCCATCTCGGCATTCCAAGTAGCTGGGATTACAGGTATGCCCTACCACACCTGGCTGGTTTTTTAAAAAAATTTTTGTGGAGATGAGTGTCTTGCTATATTGCCCAGGCTGGTCTTGAGCTCCTGGGCTCAAACGATTTTCCCACCTCAGCTTCCCAAAGTGCTGGCATTACAGGTGTTGTATAATACATTTCTTTTAAGAGGTGATTTTATCCCATTTTCACATTCTTTACTTGGGGAAGAAAACCACATGGCAAACATATTTTATAAACCCATTGTCTTCCAGACTTGTTTCTTGTCCTCTATGTTCTATAAGCTATTGTTCTTGAGTCTTGCCAGTGTATAAGGTGACAGGTTTTGTTTCCATGGTGCTATGTTGTAAGTTCAGTGTTTATGTTTTTCTGTGCATATCACATAAAGATCCTTTTTTAAAAAAAGTTTAGTGTTTCATTACTTGCATTTTTCTTTAGATGTGGCGCTGCAAAGTGAGTCAGTAACCTTTGTTGAGTTTCGAAAAAATAATGACCTGTTACAGTGTTTTGTTCTCGTTTGTTATTGTTTGGAAAAAGAGTCCAAAATAATTTTATTAAAGTCACATTACTCTGTAGATAGACATAGGCCATATTTTTGAGAATTCACATTAATAACAATTTTGTATATGCAATACTCTTTTTTTTTTTTTTTTGGGAGACAGGGTCTTACTCTGTCATCTGCAGTCTCAGCTCACTGCAACCTCTGCCTCTGGGGTTCAGTGGATTCTTGTGCTTCGCTTTCTCAAGTAGCTGGGATTACAGGCGTCCGCCACCACACCCGGCTAATGTTTTTGCAATTTTAGTAGAGATAGGGTTTCACCATGTTGGCCAGGCTGGTTTCAAACTCCTGGTCTCAAGTGATCCGCCTGCCTTGGCCTTCCAAAATGCTGAGATTATAGGCATGAGCCACCGCGCTCGACCTGTTCCTAATTTTTTTTTCAAATTTTGAAATGCAGATAATATTATGTACCCCATTAGCTTATGGGGTACGTAAAGGAAATTTGTATTTGATATTGGCTCTGGTTATTACTTTTGTCCTTCCATGGACAATCACTTAAAACCTTTAATGCATGAAGCTGTATTTTAGAAAGCTATTTTGGTACTAGTCTCAAAGGATAGATTGCTCTATCTTTCCCACCCTAATGAAACTAGGTCACTGGCATTTGGCACATCTCCATGATGTGAGATTTGATGTTCAGATGTGCTGTCTAGAAATGATAATGCATTGTCAGCAAGACCACTTTTCATTTCATCAACATAATTTCCACTGCCCTGGAATCAATTTATTCCTTGACCTGTTAATAATTACACTTGATCACTAGCATTTCAGTGGCAGAGAAAGCCTCTGGAAATGGCCATAGTCATCCTTTTGGGTGATAAGTTATGGGATTTCTGTTCGGCTTGGAGATTTGGCCTGTTGAAGTGGTTGACATTTTATGAAAACAAAGGAGCAAACTTTTACCTGATGCCGTGTTAAGATTCACTCTGTCAAGTGGTTGAGAACACTTATTTAATTATCTAACTGTACTTTTGCATTACCTTTTTTTATGGCCAACTTTAAACATGCCTAGGGAAGTTCCCGTTCTATTCCCAGCCAGAAGCAAGTGTTTGAAAAATGAGAAATCACCATAGAGCTCCTCTAAGATTAATTTTTCACAGGTCCAAGAATGCCTAATATTTAAAATGAGCTACTTTGAAATCAGTCATGTATCACATCAGTGTTTCAAAAAGAGATTGAGAAAATATGGGCTGTTACAAAACCACTAACCTCACCTGTTGCTCCGTGGTGATTTGGAGCCCTGGAGCAGGGCTGCCTGGATCTGAAACTTTGCTCTGTGGCCTTTTGGGAAAGTGACTTGCCTCTCTGTGTTTCTGTCCTAATCCTTAAGTGCAAGAGTGGTCATGCATATTTTATAGTGGCATTGGGAGGATGACAGGAATGAATACATGTAGAAGGCTTTGAAAGGGTTCTGGTAGATCACCACCCAGTGTGTGTTGTACTAGTCATCATTGTTACTGTAACTTAATGTGTTTTAGTGTTAATGGATGTCCTTTTTTCTCTTTTGCTATCCCAGCCCCTTCCTTGCCTAATTGTTACTCTCTTCTGTGTGGTTAGGAGCAACTAGTTCAGTTTAATTTCCCTTAGAGAGCAAGTTTCAGATATAGCATCATTTTGAACTACTAAGGAAGTTTAATTCTCCTAGGATTGGTCATATAGCCTTCTTTAGCAAAATTGAACAGGAACCTTAGGTGAAGCTTGGTTAGCCAGGTTTATGGATCTGGGGCCTTTTCTATGCTTTAATTTTATATATTTGACTGTTTAGTAGATGTTTATCTTCCTTATCTGAAGTTCACTTTCATCTTGTTGTTGTTAACCTACATAAAGATTTATTTAATGTGGATTAAGTCCTCTGTTATTTAGAAATATAAATTGAGTTGCCAATCTGATATTTACTTTCTCAATTTTTATACACTTGACTTTGCAGTTATACATTTTTTGCTAATTATTCATAAGGCTTACAACTACTACTAGTAATTCAACAGAAAATAAGTACTGTATTGTAAAATCCTAAAGGATTTGAGTTTTTAATTCAAGTATATTAAGAACACATCCTTAGGTATTGAAATAAGAACCTTATAACATCCTGTCATCTTCCAGTTTGCAGTTTCACCTCTTTGCTAGTGCTGATGAGGTCATTGATGTGTCATCATAACACTCTGAGTGCCAGTAGGGAAGGAACTGTTTCATTTGATTGACTACTGTATTAACAGTATCTAGCCCATTGCTCATTACATGATAGGTGCTTAGTAAATATTTGTTAAATGAAATAAAATGATTTTCTCTATATTTTGTATTTTCTAGGATTTTTAGGAGGCATACCCAGAAAATAGGCTTATATATTTTTTTTGGATTTGTTTCTGCTAATAATCAGTATGCTTTGCACGTTTGTATTCTGTTTCCATTTCTTTTGTTGCTGTAGTTTGCTTTTCAATAGGCACAGTTTCAGTACCTGTTTCCCTGCCCTACATAACACCTTGAGAGAGACCTTCTCTTGTGTGCCCGTTATTTTTAATCCTTAGACTCAAAAGAACAGATTGTCTTTCTTAAATTCAAATATACCTGGTCAGCCCTTTTCCACCTCTGAGAAGAGAGAAAAGAAAGTATATTAAGATTCTGGAATTATTTGTGTTTTATGGCTGTGCAGAATTAAAGTGGCAAAAATTGTTCGTCAAAGAGCTCAGATCCTTTTAAGATGCAAACCACTGAATTTGTTTGTCAGTGATTGCTCTGGAACTGGAGGTATCCCCCTGCCAATGCCTGGTTTGGGGGCCACTGTGTAATTATTTTTTACTGATTTGCCTCATGAATGTACACATATGCATGTTATTTTTGATGCCTTAAAAACATCTGTTATAAAGACAGAGGGTTTTAAATACTTCAATTTGGTACCTTTATTTTGAGCGACCTTAAATAAATGTAACATTTTCAATGCCAGTTGATATTGCAGAAATCTAAATTGCTGTTCAAATATGTGAAATTTATCATAGTTTTTCAACTATTTTCACTTACAGTGCTAATTAATAGCCACTGAACCTTAACACTTTCATACTAGTCAGTTATAGTGGAATCCTGTCATCACCAATAGCTCCTATAGCAGCTATTAGGAGATAACTGTGTTACAAGGAATACCTGGAAGAGTTTTCTCTTTGATGTTTATACTAAGTACTCAAGTGAAGGGTGTTGTACACCATGACTATAGTGAACCTTTTTGTGTGCATGTGTGTGTTTTTAACCTTGCCGGCATCTTAATCCCCCTTTCCAAATCTCTGGGTCCCTGCTGAGTTTCAGCAGCTTTGTCTCTGCCCAGGGCAGCAGGGTCCTTATCAGAAGTGGGCCTCTCGGGTGTGGCTTGGGGCTTCAGTCCTGCTTCATGGTGTCTTACTGGTTTTTGCCCTTTTTGAACATAATTCTTCAGCATTCCTGGTAGTTTCGGGGGCCACCCAAAAACCTTTCAGCAAATTCTTCTTCAGCTAAAGTTGGTATCCATTGCTAGCTGCCAAGAAACTTGACTGATACAGCTGTGTATTGTTCTGTTCTCCTAAATCCCAGTCAGTGATGTATATTGATGCTAAAGTACAAATGTTATGTAGTCAGTATTTTGCTCTCCTATTTCTTTAGAGTATGTTCTATGCCTACTAGGTCTTACTTGATTTTACAGTGAAGTTTTTTTTGGTTTGTAAGTTTGTGAAATATATTCAGCTATAATTATTTTATTGAGTACTGCTTATGCACCAGATACTTGTTAGTAATGGCTGGAAATACAGTAGTAAACAGAGACAAACCCCCAGCCTTCATAGAGCTTACATTCGAGGAGGCAGACGGATACATAAAATATATACTATGTTAGACCATAGTAAATGTGGTGATGGAAAAATTAAGCAGAAGATGGGAGAAAGAATGTGAATGAGAAGGTTATTAGAATGGGTATCGGGTGTTTTCAGATGAATCCTGATGGTCTTAAGACAGAGGTGGGAGGGTGCTGGGCACTGCTCCCATTTCTGCTGGGCCGAATGGAGGCCCAGGGAGGAGCAAGGCAAACGCACAGTGCTCTCGGCTTCAGGATTTCCCTTGACTCCTAAGATGTGCTGATTGGCCCAGGACACTGACGGGATGTGTAGAAAGCAACATTTTAAAAGAGTAGCAAGCTGGGGGAGCATGAGAGCACCTTAAGTGTACTTCAGCAGGCACAGGTGTAGTGGGATTAAATAGGCAATTATTGTGGGATGAAGTTTAAAAGTACATTTGGATACAAGAATTGACATTTTAAATACTTTACTATAAAAATTGAAGCACATGGCCTATTAAATCTGGACCATATGTTCGTTATCCTAATGTCTATTTTAGTTGTGACACCACATAAAGAATGTGTAGGAGCACCAGCTTTTAGAATAACACAATTTCCAGGGGGAGCTGCTGTTGTGTTTCCTTATTTAACATACAAAAGCATTTGATGCCTGATACTCACATGCTTGTGCAATATATATAGAAAAGTCTTGGAATTATAGAAAATTAGAAGCATATTTAGGCCGGGTACGGTAGCTCATGCCTGTAATCCCAGCACTTTGGGAGGCCGAGGCGGGTGGATCACCTGAGGTCAAGAGTTCCAGACCAGTCTGGCCAACATGTTGAAACTCCGTCTATACTAAAAATACAAAGAATTAGCCGGGCGTGGTGGCGGGCGCCTGTAATACCAGCTGCTCAGGAGGCTGAGGCAGGAGAATCGCTTGAACCTGGGAGGCGGAGGCTGCAGTGAGCTGAGATTGCGCCATTGCACTCCAGCCTGGGCAACAAAAGCGAAACTTCTCAAAAACAACAACAACAAAGCATATTGAAGATTTTGTATTGCATTATAGAAGGACTAATATAATATCTTATTATGCAGAAAGGCTACATATATTTGAAGTAATTGTCATAGGACAAGCCCTACTAAACGTAGTCTTCTTTCCTCACTTACATTTTTTACTAAATGCCTTAGACTGAATATTTATTTTTGTCACTGTGAATATTAAAGAAAACTAAGCAGAAGCAGTCTTAATATCTTGTTGATTACATTTCAGAAAAAAAAGAAATGGCAGAACATTAAGCCTGAATGCCATTTGCTATAATTACTCTGTGTGAAATATAACTGGTAGCTGTCAAGCTTTGATTGAAATTTACGGAAGGTTGACACCAGCTGCATGTATTAATTGTCTCTGCAAGCAAATGCACATACCACCATTACCATTTGGAAGCATGCTCTTTTCTATTGAATTTGTTGTAAAGCATTTTTTGATTGTGTTTTGATGAATGCTGCTCTAAGTTCAGATTTATCTTTTGCTTCGTTTCTAGCAAACAAACAAATGTCCTTTTAGCTAACTCCTGAGTACATCTATATGAGGGATATTTCCAAATTTGTAACACTGACCATTTGGAGAAGGGAAACTTAAAAATTATTATTTTAAAGAAGTGTTTTGAAACATGTTTCTAATAAAAATTTATATATCTTCCCTATTTGGACTATTAATATTTGACTCATTCTACATGAAATTCAATTCATGCATTAGTATTTTTATAAGGTAGTTTGATCATATTAGGACAGTTATTTTTTCATCCTTTTTAATTGGGCAGTAGCAACCTCCAACTGAAATTTTTCTATGCATACTATTCATAAAATATATTTTTAAAAGCATTGAAACAAACTTATTCTTTATATCAAAGTGATAAATACAGGTGTGCAAACTTATTTGGATTGTGTACAAGTGTATTTTGGTGGGTGCATTGCTACCTTGTTTGGTTTGATAGGTACCACATATGGCACCGGGTAGGTCAAATACTGATTCTTTATTCATTTTGATCACAGTCAGAATTGAACAAAGATTCTAGGTGCAGCACAAGCAGAAGGTGTTTATTCCCTTTTTGCTCTACAAGGGGTGTCTACTTTGAGTCTTACAGAAGCCAAAACAGTGTGAATATAACCTAAATTCATCTGAAGACTTATACTGAGAAGTATATTGGTATCATTGGCTTATTGAGAATCTACAGTAGACGTTTGTTGCTTTTTAGCTGTCCAGGATCTATTCTCCTTCCTGAGAACACCCCAGTTTCTATGAGGAAAGCACAGGGCTGTTCCCACTAGGGAAGCGAACCAGGGCCCCCTCCACCTCCTTTCTCTTTGGGTGTGGAACTTTGAGTTTCTGCAGCCTGGGGCTCTTCCACAGGGCTTTACAGTGGGAGGTGGAGCCCAGCAGCCCTGGAAGTCTCCATGGAGATGTGCTGACCCTTTCCCTGCATGTTGCCAGTTGGTCTCTCTGGTCTCTGTATGTTATCTTTTGGAGCCTCCCTTTGATGGTCTCTGAGAGTCTTCCAAAAATCCCCTTTCCTTATGCTAACCAGAGTCAATTTTAGTTGCTTACAACCTTCACAGGAACTTTAATTGGCTTAAGAAGCATATCCTTTTAAAATCTAAAATGGAATTTTAATTTTAGTAAAAGTGTTCTTCTGGCTCACTTGATAGAGTTTGATGCCAGTTTAAACTCCATTGCTGGGAGACAGTTCTTACACTAGCTCTGTAGACCCAGCCAGGTAAACACTTTGTTTCTCTTTGTAGTTAGGTTTTGAAGATAAGGTTTGTACAGATCTGGGTATCATGTCATAAAGGGATTTGGCAATGTTTTTTTGTTTTGTGGAATAGTATTTAAAATTTTAGGAACGTTTCCCAGAGCACGAGTGTTTAAAGCCATCATTGGTGACTGGATGCTGTGTGTCATAAAGGGGTAGCTGAACTCAAACATTTCTTCAACTGCATTTTGTATCATGTAGTTTTATTAAAATGAACAAAATATATCCCTCTTTTCCTTCTCGTAATTTTAAAGTGACACGGTTAGAAGTATAACATGACTAAACTTGAAACATTACATTTGGAAATTCATTAATACAGAATAAAATGTACTTTTCTCATTAAAGGCACTTGGTTTCTATTGAAATTAGAATATTACTAGCAGAATCATATATTGAAAATAATTTAAATGTTTATCTTTCAATCTAAGTATGAACTAATGAAATGGAAAATTTAAACGTTTATATTTAGATCTGTCACTACATAGTTTTTGTATTAGACTACTGTCTGTCTCTATCATATTTTCACTGTAGGCCTTCCAGACACGTAAGTGTTTCTGTGAATTAATCTATGTTTTATGAGGGAGTTCATGAAGACTGGTTTCTTAGATGCTTAGAAAATATTAATTATCTGGCTTGGCGTGGTGGCTCACGCCTATAATGCCAGCACTTTGGGAGGCTGAGGCAGGCGGATCACGAGGTCAGGAGTTCGAGACCAGCCTGGCCAATATGGTGAAACCCCATCTCTACTAAAAATACAAAAATTAGCTGGGCATGGTGGCGCACGCCTGTAGTCCGAGCTCCTCAGGAGGCTGAGGCAGAAGAATCGTTTGAACCCAGGAGGTGAAGGTTGCAGTTAGCCAAGATCGCACCACTGTGCTCCAGCCTGGGTGACAGAGCGAGACTCCATCTCAAAAAAAAAAAGAAAGTGTTAATTATCTGAATCATACCACCTCAGTAGGATAAACCTTGATATAATAGTAGTCATGCCAGCATCTTGTTTTATATTCTTGTCTATTAAATACATGCTTAGATATTGTATTATGCATATCCTTGAATATATTTAGAAGCATCACAATTGAATATGTATGGATTTACCTCAAAGAAGACTGGGAAATAGTTACAACTGGCATATTGTCATAAAAACTAGAAGTATTATGGGTTTTAAAAAATAGGTCTATGGGCCGGGCGTGGTGGCTCACGCCTGTAATCTTAGCACTTTCGGAGGCTGAGGGAGGTAGATTGCCTGAGCTCAGGAGTTTGAGACCAGCCTGGGCAACACGGTGAAACCCCATCTGTACTAAAATACAAAAATTAGCTGGATGTGGCAGCGTGCGCCTGTAGTCCCAGCTACTCAGGAGGCTGAGGCAGGAGAATCGCTTGAACCTGGAAGGCCGAGGTTGCAGTGAGCCGAGATGGCGCCACTGCACTTCAGCCTGGGCAGCAGAGTGAGACTCCGTCTCTTAAAAAAAAAAAAATGTCTAGGAAGTGTTATGTTTTTCTCAGTGTGTGTGTGGTCCTTGCACTTTCATATGGCTGCAAACACTTTAAATTTTGTGCCCTCCCAACATAGATATGAGTTATGTTGGAATGAGTTTATTTTAAACCAGAGTATGTTCTCATTATAGAAATGTTACATAGGATGAGAAGACCTATGGAATACTGCTGAAGCCTAATTTAACCCAAAGTTTAGGTGGAGCACTTTGTGCTTTCATGTATAAAAGAAAACTGTTTCTGCGTGAATAAAGTTTTAATGGTAAAAAGCTACTGAATTTGGAATGATGATGTTTATTACGATTGTTGGTCCTTGAGTGGAGGTTGACTCTGTGGGGTTTTAGTCTGGTCTTCATTTTTTCTGCTTGAGAACATCCTCCTGGTCATCTGGAGTTAATGTATGAAGACCAGAGCAGCCCGTAGCTGAAACTGGAAGTTAGGAGGATAGATCTGTGAGTCCAGAATTAGGGGCTCTGGGCAAAAGTGCAATATCTGTGGGTGGAGGGGCTGGAACCAGCAAATCCGCGTTGTCATCTTCCAACAACTCATATGGAAAAGGTGGTAGTAGTGTTAGGTGAAGGAATGCATTTACAGAGTAGAGAAAAGGGGCTAGGAAAGGGGAAATGAGCTCCCTACATCACCTTTCTGCCCTGCCTGCCTGGAGTACTCAGTACCTGAGAGAAGAAGCAACCAAATGTTTCTGAATCATAGACCGAGGCTCCCTTAAACCACTAACAGCAAGGATGCAGCATTTCAGTGGAATGCTTTTACCTCTTCAGTTGCAACCACTACCAAGGGAGAATGCTGTGTACTCCCTGTGGTAGCTTCATACTTGCTTTCCACTTGCGGAAGACTCTGAGGGGCAAGCAGATGCGGCCCAAAGGAATAAAAGTGCAGGCAACTGAAGACATACATTGGAAAACCTTGAGTTAACCTACTCGGCTGTTAGAGCCATTAAACAAGAGCAAGACACCGTAAGAAGGGAGCAGGTGAATGGTGAAAATGAAAAACATGGGCCTCATCCTACATTGTAAAGGTTTAGAGTTAAGGAGACAGGGTTTAAACCATTAACTAATTGTGTGACAGGCTGCTAATTATGGCAAGGTACTTGGGTCTCTGATCTTTTCTTTCTCTGTAAAATGAAGGTGATGATAGTATCTGTATTGCAAAGTTTTTTTTTAAAGACATTATATTTGTTACCTTTTAAAGACTGCTTTGTAAACTGGAAAGTGCCATACACATGTTAGTTATCCCATGGCTTTTTACATTAGTAGCTGGGGCACCTTTCTAGGGCATGCATTGCTAGTTCTAAGTTTCAATGATGCATCTGTAGGCTAAGCTGACACTTCCCTTTCTGCCATCTGGACTGATAATCAAGAGACCTGGATTATAGTACTGGAGATCTGGTTTTGCTCCTGAGTAGCTTTGTGCTTCTCAGACTTCTCACCAAAATATAACATACACACACGGAGTGCACTAGCAGTCTGTCACATGGGCATACTTTGTCTAAAATGTCAGTTTAATAATTTTTTATAAAGTTTGCTATCTAACCCTTAAAATATATGTTTATGTTCAACTATACATACCTCTAAGTTACCTGTGATTAAGATTGCCTGAGCCTGTTCCTTTATGTGCCCCAGTCATAGGGGCATACACACCCAACTCTTGAATTTTTATTACTTGTTAAAGAAGAGTACTGGACTCTGTGAGGCCTGGTGTACCTTTCTGGACCATTATTCTGTGAACCTGTGTAGCAGATATTGCAAAGAACTCTTGACCTGGTTACAAAATCAAATTATATGACACTCATTTTTATCAACTGGTTTCTAGATATTGTGTAATCCTTACCCATATGAGCCAGTTATAGAGGGCTTTGCTCAGGGTTTATTATTGTAGAGGCCACAAATTAACCAATGTTATTGGCTTACAGATATTTTTGAAGGTTGGCCATCAAGTACATGACCTTTCATTGTGGTCTTTACCCTACTTTTGTGTGTGATTGTAACTTTCCTTTATTTTTTATTTTTATTTATTTATTTATTTATTTATTTATTTTGAGATGGAGTCTCACACTGTTACCCAGGCTGGAGTGCAGTGGCGTGATCTTGGCTCACTGCAACCTCTGCCTCCCAGGTTCAAGCGATTCTCCTGCCTCAGCCTCCCAAGTAGCTGGGATTACAGGCGTCTGCCACCACGCCCAGCTAATTTTTTGTATTTTTAGTAGAGGCGGCTTTTCACCATGTTGGCCAGGCTGGTCTCAAACTTCTGACCTTGTGATTCACCCGCCTCAGCCTCCCAAAGTGCTGGGATTACACGCATGAGCCACCGTGCCCGGCCGTAACTTTCCTTTATAAGCTTAAAAATCATTAAGGCTCTGGGTCAAGAAAGCAGACTAGTTACTGAGCATTGTCATCTGCCTTCTCATTTTAAGGCTTCACCAAAATGAAAACATAAACTATAAAAGAGAAAAAAAAAGGTATAATTACAAACATGAATACCAAAGAAAACGGGAAAGGAGGCATCAACAAATGAGATATATAACTCTTTAGGAAGAGGGGATTGATTTTACAGATGAGACGGGTTGAAAAGCCCTAGCCTAAATGTACTGCAAAGAGGTTTCTGAAGATATGCAAGTTTTCAGAAAAACTGACTTCTTTAGACATGAGACGAAATTCAGAAAACTAAGACTCCTGATGATATGGATTTTGATGTTGCACAATAAAATCCTTCTCATTCTGTGGAGTCTACTGCTCGATAGTCAGACTGTTTTCTGTTCATATCAAGTAAAGCCTGCCTATTGGGGCAAATAGAGTTCAGAATTCCCCCTTAAGGGAGGAGGCCCTCCCCCAAAATATGCCAACTGACACGAGTGGAGGAGAACAGTTCCCACTCTCCTGGTGTTACTATCTTAAAGAACACATAACCAAGAGGTCATGGAGTACATGAGGAGAATTGACAGTGTGAAAGAAAAACAACTGAGCCTTAAGGAAACAGCTAATACAGAAACAATGATATTACAAAAAAGAGCTATTAGGTTTTTTTTAAAGGATTGCTGAAATGAAAATTTAAGTAGAAATGTGAGAAAATGAAGTTGAAGTAACCTTCTAAAATGTAGAGCAAAGACCAAAAAAAAAAAAAAATGCAAGAGCAAATATGTGGGGAATTAACCTCTGAGGTTTGACATTTGACTTAATGAAGCTAGAGAAAAGGAAAGAGAGGAGAGGAAATTATCAAAATAGTGGAGGAAGATAATTCCCAGAGATGGAAAAGACACACATCTTTATATTAAAAAGACCCACTGAAAGCCAGAACAGTTAATGAAAAAGAGTCACTGTGGGTGTGTATTTGTGAAATTTCAGTGCTCGGAGGATTAAGAGAAGATCATAAAAGATTTCAGAGAGGAAGAAAAACAAGTTGCCTGTGTGTGAAGAAGTATTAAGCTGGCATCAGTTGTTTCATCAGCAACATGGATGCTATAAGCATTGCCTACAAAACCCAAAGGTAAATACACTTTTAAACCTAGAATTCTGTACCTGAGGTGTATATAGATATATATGAGATAGCAAAGATATGTCTAGATATAAGATAGCAAAGTTAAGACATTTTCAGATGTGCAAGGCCTAGAAAAGTTAGCTTCCCAAATACCTCTTTTTGCTTTTTAGAGATAGGATCCCACTATTTTGTCCAAGCTGTTCTCAGTCTCAAACTCCTGGGCTCAAGCAGTCTTCCTGCCGTGGGCTCCCAAAGTGCTGGGATTATAGTTGTGAGCCACCATGCCCAGCCTCCCAAATACATTTATCAGAAAGATAGTTGAGTATGTACTCCAGGAAAACAAAGTAATAACCAAGAAAGAGAGACTTGGCCTTCAGGAATTAGAGGAACCAACCTAATTGCACAGTCAAAGCAGGTCTTTGAGGTAATAATGGCTATACAATAGTCCAGAAAACAGCCATTCCAAATTGGAACAGGAGTACAAAAGACTCTTGAAGCAAAACAATGGTTGACAACTTGGGGATAACATCTATCTCCACTTCAACCTTATGCTCCCAGAAAAAAAGCAATTAGAAATCCTAGGAGAACCTCCACTCATGCCTCAGTTTGTAGGGGAAGGTCAGGCTTTTAAGCAATCAGCAAGAAAAGTGGGTCCATTTAATCTTAAAACTAGATTTTTAAAATTTATTGTAGTGGTCAGATTATGACATTAGATTTGTAAAGAATGAAATGTAATTTTAGTATACCTCTTGGCCTGGTATTAAATTGTGTATATACACACACACATATAACACATATATGTGTGTGTATATATAATATTGCAGATACTGATTACTGATTTTCAACACAGCTAGTCTGTGATAAAGTCTTGATAGTGGTTATAATCTTGATGTTATAGGAAAAGTGAAGCTTACCTAAGGTGGGTTGTGGAAGCTCAGAGGAAAAGTGTGTTGTGGCTCCAGTATCAGTGAGAAATTGATATACATGGTGGACTTGGTGAAACAGAGAATGTAATCATATTCTGTATACTTACAATCACAACTAGTAGAAGAGCTAAAAATTGGGAGAGGCAGTTGAAGATTAGTGTAGATGAGCTAAATTCTAATTTTTAAATTTAGGAGAATCAGTAGACATTATGTAAAATTATTAAATCCAGAAACCTAGATACAAGTTTACTATTTAGGGATATAGAGATGACTACCAGAAGAATGAAATACAAGAATAGTCAGAAAATTTATTCTGAGGAATGGGTCATGGTATAGGGAGGGAATGTGGAAACAGAAATTCTCTAGTGTTATTGGATTTATTCTACATTTACATATTTTGAGAAAACAAAACACTTAAAATATTTCCTAATTTGGCGTTTCACTAATCTAGACCTATAATGAAGTTTTGTTAAAGAGTTAGTTTAAATAATTGTCTGAACTCTTTGATACTAGCCTTAAATAAAATAATATGAAAACTTTTTCTTCACACTTGGCTTTTAAAACTGAGTTATTTTGGATAACGACAACAAAAAGTCACATGAACAATTATTTTTCCCATTATTAAACCTAACACTTTTTCCTGAAAACATTTGTGCTTTTTTACTATTAGTTGTATAGATATAGAAACAAGTGAATACAGCTCACTTTTAATAAGTGTGAAATTCAGCCCTGAATCTGGTAGACTAAGTCATTGATGACACAAATCATATCCTGTGGTAAACCATGGTATAGAAGTGAGGATGGGGCTTCAGAATCCTTTCCAACAGTGTATTCCAAGCATCAAATAGACATTTGGTCATTTGCAGTTGACTCAAAAGCAAAGACCTAGTTTGCGTTCTTGGCACTGTTCTGCTTCTACTCTAAAGATAACCCATAGTAGAGTGACCTGGGGAGAACATGTGGAGTACCATCTTAAAACACAGCAACACTGCAGTAACTGCAGCAGAACAAAAGTGCCTGCAACACTCAAGAAACATACCTGTTGCCATGGCCACTTGCAACTTTTGTGGCCTGTAAGTGAGATCGATAATTCCTATTTATCCCTCCCCAAGCAAATTTCTACTATATGACTATATCTGAAAGTTCTGTGATTTTTTCATCCTGGCAGAAACAACTTATTCACAAAACAGGCAGCTGGTTCACTGACCATAGTTTGCCAGCCCTTGATGGAGTAGTTACGGAGTTTTGAACTAGATCACCTAGGCATGAATGTTGTCCCCACCCCACGCCCCCACCCCACTCCAATTGTGGGACTTCGTTTTCTAATCTTTAGTGTTACCGTAATGGATGTGTCAGTGCCATAGAGTTTTGTGAGGATTAAATGGAGTGTATAAAGTGCTTGAGAATGGTGCCTGGCTCATAGCAACTGCTTTTTAAGTTTTATAATAGCTGTTATTGAAATAGGGTACAAGTGGCTAAGTTTACTCTCATATGCTGGCTCAGCCTGGTCACAGTGTTTGGGGCCATGTTCATGTTCAGTGGAAATAATGCTGTCTGATTAGCTGTGTTGGAGGGGCGAGGGAAGACCGTAATAGCTGGTCTAGGTCTTTGGTACCTCTTGCAGATGATCCTGTCATCCTCAGATAACCTCTTCATGATTAGGAATGCAATACTACATTAAAATATTTCTATTAGAAAGCAGATTTAATTCAAAATTATCTCAGGTACACTGGGTTTTACAGAAACATAACTGATGTAAATTTAAGGTTGGCGAGTAATGGATGTATAAACTACTCTTTAATGATGTTAGTTAACTCGAATTTATCTTGATGACATTTTGCAAAAATAATATTTAAAGAACAAAGCAGTTTGTTGAACAGTATGAACTAAGTGGAGTATAAACATGAAATGCTTTTATTTTTCTCTAGTTATTGCCTTCAACTGAACTTTTAAAAATCTTTTTTTCCCATTGGTTTATGTGTTGTTGACTGACTCAGTAACTTTCTAGTCATTTTTGGTTATTCAAGAGAAAGGTGCCTGCTTAATTTGGCTCAGTTCAAAACTTCATTCTCAAGTCTAATTCAAAAGTACCCTTTTTCTATTTCCAGAGAAATAGAAAGTAACAGAGTAACAGAGACCAAATGTGTCTTTCTACTTTAAATTACTAGAGAATTGGGCAAATATATGGAACAGCTGTTTTCATACACTGGATTACAGGTAGCACAGTTCTGTGATCCTGAGAGAAAATAATCTACTAAGGGAAGTCCTAAAATCACTGCTGCTTTCTGCCTAGAGGCATTTTCCAGACTACAGTGAAAGAAAGAGGAACCTAGGAATTCTGAGGAGGCTGAAGTGGATTAATATGTGAGATACAACACAGGATAGGAAGTAGCTACACAGAAGAACAGAAATTTGCACGAGGGTGACCTTGAGTTGGTTGGTGATTGCCAAGATGTGCTTTCATTTGATAAAACTCAACAAAGCCACAAAGGAACTACCAGAGAAAGAGAACTGTAAGCAGACTAATTCCCAGAGTTCACACAGAAGTGAACTGGGAACATTTAAAATTCTGAATAGCAGATTAAAGAGGCTTTGTAGGACACCCTGAAGAAAGTAGAAACCCAGAAGGATTATGCTTTGGTAGGGCCATACTATCCTTAAAATAAAGAATTCTCTAGGCCTGTCTTAACAAAGCTTAGAAACAAGTCCCAAAAGGATCCACCTGCTTGGCAAAGAATTTAACTGCCTTTGGTACATCATTCAATATGCTTTGAAGAAATACAGCATAATCCAGCACAGAACAAAATTACATAATATCTAGCAACCAATAAAAAAGTAGTAGAGATGATGAAGCAGGAAAATACGACCCAGGAGCAGAAGCAGTCAGTAGAAACAGAGATGATGGAATTGGCAGAAAAGGATCTCAAAGCCACGACTACGTTTATACTCAAGGATTTAAAAGAAAAAAACTAATAAGAGAAATGGAAGATATAAAACAACTATTTGAGATGTCTAGGGGTAAAATGTACAATCTCTGAAGTGAAAATTTTGCTGCATTTATTTACTTCAGAAATTGTAAATTTTGGAAGTAACAGCAGATTAGGTACTGTAGAAGAAAAGTTTAGTGAATCTGAAGACACAGAAATAGACACCGTGGAAACCAGAGTACACAAAGAAAAAAGACCTAAAAACTATAACGAACAGAGCCTCAGTGACCTGGGTCTATTGTATATACATATTATCAAGTGGTCCAGTGGATATAACAGTAGAAGTGGGGAAAGAAAGAATATTTTAAAAAGTAATGGCCAAAACTTCCCCAAATTGAGTGAAAATTAATTTTTACTTCTGCAAGACTTCTATTGTACATAATGAATTAACTTCTGTCCTGTGCATCTAAGAGGTATATGTACCATCATTGGGATATTTTAAAGTATTCATATTATTTCCTGTTAGCTGTATTCTCTCATAAAGCCCTAGCTGAGAAAGGCCACTGTTGATCAACCACTAAAAATGGAGAGAAATACAGCTAGTAAGCCAGTAGTGAGGATAGAATGGAATACTAAAAACACTCATTCCAAAGAAGACAGGAAAAGAAAGAAGAGCAAGTAACAACAGGTGATAAAAATGGAAAACAACAAGATGGTAAGTTTAAACTCATGTGGATAGTTACATTAAATGTAAATTTTGTATACAATACAGTTAGAAGGAAGAGATTGTCAGATTAAACCAGTAGATTCAATGGCATGCTGTTTATAAAAGACACACTTTAACCATAAACATACAGTATAGGTTTAAAACTAAAAGGATAGAAGGAGATATGCCATGCTAACAATAGAAAAGAAAGCTGGAGCAGCTATGTTAACACCAGACAAACTAGGCTTCAAGACAAGAAATATTACCTAAGATAAAGAAGGGATGTTTCATAACAATAGAACTTCAATATACATAGAATGAAAATTTCCAGAAATAAAAGGAAAAATAAATAAATCAACTGTTTTGGTTGGAGATTACATAATTGATAGAGCAAGTAAAAAGAAAATCAGTGAGAATATAGAAAACTTTAGGTGTATTAGGAAACAATTTGACCTAACATTTTCGGAGAACTCAACAGAAGAACAGAATTCACGTTCAAAATGCACGTGGAATATTTATCAGAATAAAATGATGGACCATGAAACCTCAAATTTAAAAAACTGACATAAGAATATATTCTCTGACACCAGTGGAATTAAATTAGAAATAAAAAACCGAAAGACATATTTAAAATCTCCAGATAATTGGAAAATAAAAGAATATACTTCTAAGTAGTCTGTGGGTCAAGTAAGAAATCACAAGAGCAATTTGAATGTATTTTTGAATTTAGTGAAAATGAAAACATTAAATTTTGTGGGATGTAGATAAAACAATGCTTGAAGGAAATTATAACTTTAAAATCTTAGGAAAAAAGGTCTAGAATCAGTGATCTAAACTTTTACCTTAAAAGAGGAAACTAGTGAAATAGGTTATGCACAAATAGAGAACAATCAGTAAAACCAAAGCTGATTCTTTGAAAATGTTTAAAAAAAAAAAGCCAACCTGATCAAGGAAATGAAAGGTGGTAGGTCAGAGGTGAGGTCAGAGGGAGACAGGACACAAATGACCAAAATCAGGATTGAAAGATCATTCACCACTACAAATCCTACGACATTTAAACAGTAGAAAGAGAATATTATGAGAAACATTATAGGAGCAAATTCACCAACTTGCAAGACACAATTACCAAAACATGACATGAGAATAGGGAATCTGAATACTTCTGTACTTTTTTAAGAAATTGAATTTGTAATTAAGAATTTTTCCACAAAGAAAGCTCTGAGCAGATAGCTTCACTAGTGAGTTCAGTCAGCCATTTAAGGAAGAAATATTATCATTTCTACTCCAACTGTTTCAGAAAATAGAGAGCATACTTCCAGACTCATGGTTTGAGGCCAGGCCAGCATTACCTTCCTACCAAATACAAAAATAGTTAATGAAAGATATATACAGACAAGCATCCCTCATGAAAACAGGTGTAAAAGTCCTAACAAAATTTTAGCATATCAAATCCAATAATTCATAAAAAGATAATACATCATAACCAAGCAGGATTTATCTCATTTATAAATCAATACAATTCACAATTTTAACAGAAACAAGAATTGTGTGGTCATCTCAATGTTCACAGAAAAAGCATTGGACAGAATTTAATATTGACTCATGATTTCTTAAAAATTTCATAAAATAGAAACAAAAGGATACTTCCTCAAACTGACAGAAGGCCTTTACAAAACATTTACAGTTAGCATATTTAGTGATGAAAAACTATATGCTTTTCTGCTAAAAGGGGAAGTAAACAAGCCTGTCCACTCTCGTCACTCTTATCCAACATTGTCCCATAGGTTTTTGCCAGTGCAATAAGTGAGCAAAAGAAATAAAAGACATACAGAGGCTGGGCACGGTGGCCCACACCTGTAATCTCAGCACTTTGGGAGGCCATGGCGGGTGGATCACCTGAAGTCAGGAGTTTGAGACCAGCCTGACCAACATGGTGAAACCCCATCTCTAACAAAATACAAAAATTAGCCAGGTGTGGTGGTGCATGCCTGTAGTCCCAGCTACTTGGGAGGTTGGGGCAGGAGAATCCCTTAACCCAGGAGGTGGAGGTTTGCAGTGAGCCGAGATCACACGATTGCACTCCATCCTGGGCTACAAGAGTATAAGAGTGAAACTCCATCTCAAAAAGAAAAAAGAAAAATACAGAATGGAAAGAAGAATTTAAACACTGTCTTCACACATGTCATGATATGTTCAGATAAAATTTTAAAGAGTCTACCAAAACACTTTTGGAACTAATAAGTGAATTAAGCAGGGTCATTGGATACAAGTTCAAAATATAAAATGAATTGTGGTTCTATGTACTAGCAATGACCATTGCAAAGTAAATTTTTAAAAATCACTAAAATTTACAATAGCATTAAAAACCATGAAATACTTTAAATTTAACACAATATTTGCAAGATCTGTAGACTCAAAACTACCAAACATGACTGAGCAAAAATGAAAGAAGACTTAAATGGAGACATAATGTGTTCGTGGATCAGAAGATGAAGTATTTTGAAGATGTCCTTTCTCTTTGAACTAATCTGTAGATGCAGTGCAATCCTGGATAATATACTTACAGCGATTTTTGTGTACAATGGCAAGGTGGTTCTAAAATTTTGATGGAAATGCAAAGAGCAAAGTTGGTAGATTAAACACTACCTGATTTCAAGACTTACTATAAAGGTACAGAAATCAAGACACCAGGATACTAGTGTGAGAACAGACATAACAGAGCCATGGAACAAAATAGAAATTCCAGAAATAGACCTGCACATACATATATGATGAGGGACCCATTGGTGGCAAGGGGCTGTGATCTGTTTGTTATTCTCCTCCACTTTCAAGGGAGTGGCAGTCCTCTCCAGGACCCCCTTCACCCCATTCTAGATCTTGATTCCTTCTCTCTGTTGGGGTGGGAGGAGGCTGGATCAAGAGGCTCCTCGCACTGCTGCTGCTCCTGTTCTCTGGGTGGCATGTGTCCATTGCTGGCTCTCCTATGGTTTCTGTTGGTGCCACCGCTCCCTGAGGTAGGAGGTCTGACTACAGATCCCCATCTTGCACTGCCACTCGTCTCTGGCAGTGCCCAGTAGTCTCTGTGGCAGAGTCTCTAGTAGTCTCTGTGGCAGAGACTACTAGCTGTTTCCAAATAATGGCTGGATCTTTCTTCCTTTTAGTAATAATACTGCTACCCTGGTTCAGATCCAGCTAGATCAACGTAACCATTTTAGCTCTACATAACCATTTTAGCCTCCCATATAGCTTGGAGATGGCCTTATGGCAAAGTTTCTGCCCACATAGATGGCTGCAATGTGAACTGGAGAACATTCTCATCAACCTCAGAGACAAGAGCAACACCCAGCGGGTGGCAGAACAACACGAGAGATAACCCAAGAATACCTACAAGTTTGGGATATTTTAAAAGGAGAGAGAAGCTTTGATGTTTTTTAAGCCTATGTTATTTTTGTCCGCTGAATAATCGTAACTCATGTCTTTGCCTCATAGGCTGTCTCTCTGTGTAAGGGTCTGGCAAGGTAGCTGCAGCCCAGGTACCTTCCATGATGTTGAGGAGAGACTCTCCTATCCTCACCACACCAGAGAGTAGGTATGCAGGTTGCCACCAGTGTTCTCCTCCCTACCCACTCCCTCACTTTTCTTTTCATTGGTTCAGTAGAAGGAGGGGCTGTGCAGTAAGTCTGCCGCTTGAGCACAGGGACAGCTGTCACTGCAGTGCTGGTCTCCTGTTCTTGGAGGCACCTCAGTCTCCTTGACCTCTTAGACACCCTCCTACCCCCAAGGTGGGGAAGGAGCAAGCAGAGGCAAAATCCCAGCCCTCCTTGTTAAGACTACAGTGACTTTCCTCCTCTCCCTTCTCCGTGTCCGTAATGCATAGCTGGAAGGAAGTGTCTGGGTGGTGATGCCAGTAGCTGTGCTGGTGCCATGCCAGGTGCTCTTCATGAGCACCAAAGGAGGGCAGGCTCAGGTTTGTTGCTGTCTTTAGAATCTGGGGTTCTCGATAGTCTTTGCCCTCAGGTTGGATCTCAGTCTCCAGATTGTGGGTAGCAGGTCAGTCCCACTTCCTGTCTCATTACAAGATGTCATATTTCAGAATAATCTTGTTAATGGTTTTATTAACAAATGTTATTTTAGGACAGATTTCATGAAGTGTTATTTTATGCCACTAAATAAATCATAAGCTTAATTGCTACAGTCTGGGTAGAAGCATATTTGTTTTACAGTATAAGCCTCACTAACTGATTTAATGGAGTAGCCAAAAGCAATTTCAAGTACTTCCATATATTACAAATGATCAATCTTTGTTGTTTCTAAGATAAGATATAACTGAAATAAAATGTTTACATGACATTATTTAAATTTAATTATATTTAATTCCTATAAAATGGAAGATAAAATGCCAGAACTTAGAGCTTATGTATTTTTAAAATAGAGCTGCGTAACTTATAGAGCCTCAATTCATGAGCAACTAGCTTGCTTTTTGAAAATGAAAAAGAGAAAAAAGATGACAGTTTCCAAGTTAATTCACATTATACTTTTGATTATAAATAATAAATGTCATTTCTAAATGATCACTTTGCTGTGTACCAAGTTAGCACTTGATAGTTGAAAATAAAAATTATTTTATGACTACTAACTTGTAAGGAGGCAGTATAAATAGCTTTTATATGAAAAAATAGATATATATGCCCAGGCATATTTAATCACTAAAAATTGCTTATCAGGACAGTCATGGAAATATCCTTCTGTAACAGTTTCTCTCAGATCTATTTCAGACTTATGCATCTGTTACTATATTTATCTTTATCTTAATCAGCCCTTGCTGTGAGGTTTGGTTATTTTATTACAAGCAGCTGGGCAAAGCTTTTTCTTTTAAAAACTACATTCTTTTGTAGTGCTGCCATCACTCACATTACACACTTGGACAGCAAAAGCACGTAAACAGTAGAACTAGATGAAATACTTGATGTCACTATATTTCATGATACTGTAACAGAAACCACTCCTTCGGGACGATATAACATGAAAGCATTACAATTTTTAAAAATCTTAACAAAAGATACAGTCAGTGTATGGATGATCGCTCTTAGAGTTTTTGAACATGAAACTTCTTTTCTTATGCTGGGTTTAACTGTGACTATATTTACTCATCTGAGGGTTAATATCATGCCAACATTTAACTAGTTTGCTCTGATACTAATATATACATACTAGTGTTTAGTGACTTTATAAGATTATTAGAAGTCTACAATTCCAAACCTCTGGCCGAGATGAGAACTTTTTAAATATATAAACCCTTTTATAAATCTAACCTTACACTTTATTCCAACTTTGGTATGACAGTTTGAAATGTTTTCAATTCCAGGCTATAAATTCCAGATTCAGTTTTCCTTTGAGTTTATGCTGTATACCAGGTCCTGGGGTAGGAATTATTCCATTGTCTCTTAGTTTTATGTCAAGTCTAAAAGGTAGGTTACTCCCATATCAAAAATATGGAAACTGAGTCTTAGAACCTTTTCCAAGGTCACATAGGTAATTAAGGATATATTGATTGTCCCATTCTGCCATTTAGGATTTTTGTTAGTTAAGAGATGTGCTGTGATATTAGGAAAATGATGTTCAGTGTAAACATATTGTTGCATTGATGTCATACGAATGGTTGCCAATATAGGCAGTTCTTGACATGTTTTATTAACTGAAGAGATATGGACAGCTTGCTATTTTAGATTACCCATCTCTTATGTTTAGAATTCGTTTTTGTTTCTACTATCACACTTTTAATTTAGTCTTCTGTTACCTGCCCTCAGAGCTAATCCAGCATCTTACAGTTAAACTCTGGAATTCTATCCTCCATACATTTATATCCATGATTGCTAAATGAACTTTACATCAAAACCAGTGGTTCACATTGCTTACTAAAGAAAGCATAAGCTCATCCTGGCATTGAACACTTTATTTTCATTGCTCAGTTTTGCCCTTCCCATCCTGTCTGCACCCCGTCTCAGCCATTTGAGGCCCCTGCTGTTGTTGGGAGAGGCCTTCTTGTTCCCAGTGCCCCTGCTCAGGGAAGACTTTCCGCAGCTTCCTCCCATAGTGCTTTGTTTAATCCTCTTACATTACCTTTATTTTAGCCCCAAGTTATAAAATCTGGGAAATTCAAGTCAACCAGTAAGTTTGTGCACACCATCCAGAGATATTCTTCACAGATGTGCAGTCTTCCTGTGTCTGCTTTCCGGGAGAGGCCTGTGCACTGAAGACAATTCAGATTTACTTTATTAACGTTCTTTCTGTGAATTTGTTTATGGATCAATCTTTAAGTATGCCAGAAAGGACATTAGTTTTATTTCCATCGTAATTAGTTGGAAATGTAATTAGTTGGAAATGTAATTATTTTCACTCTGTACTTAGCTTATTTATTTGACTTAACGTTAATTTTTTCACAACATATTTATAGCTTGTCTCCTTAAATTGTGCTTTATTTCATACCATTAAAATACAATTTTGTATGCAGAAGAATTACTTGTATTAACACTTTAAAGTATACAAAGATTATCCACCACATAGTGATATATTTAGATAACCTTGATAGACTAATCTGAAAGGAGGTGCTGAGTGTTAATTCACATGGAGCCCCACAAGGGGGTACAGAAACTGCTTCAGTGAGCAGCTTGCAAGGCTCCTGATGACTGCAGTCCTTAGCTCTCTAGATACCAAGATAAGGGATCAGAGAAGAGCCACAAACCCGTGAAAGTCAGCTCCTCATTACACTTGACAAAAAATTTGGTTCAATGTAAATAGAAAGGTGTTTGTTCTGGGCTAGGAGGTTTACTGTGATGAGCATGCAGTACATACAGCCTTAGGCCCATGAAATAATACTGTAGGTTTACCTCTTCTTGGGTGTTTTATTATACCCCATAATTTATTTTCTGCTTTCACAGAGTTTGGTGGGATGTGTTTATAAATTTAACATCATAACAAAAATATTATTTACAAGTTTAGTTTTTAGGCTGTAAGTCATGATTTTCTGATAAATATGAATCTCTCAAATCAGAGTATCTGATAAATTTCCAGAGTTCTAGTTAGTTGCTCACTTTACATTATACCATGTAGAAAGCCCTAATCTGTGCATCTATTAAACATTAGAATGGTAACTAGTAAATTAATTTTTTCAAATTTCCCTTGAGAAAGAAGTAATTTGTCATGTAGTCCGAGGTTGCAATGTTTATTAGGTACGAGCTTACTTTTCATTCTGTATTTATGAAAGATTATTGTAGAATCTTGGTAAACTTAATCATTTCAAATAGTGAAAGGGCTTTGTTTAAGAAATTGTATGATGAATTATTCTCTGAAGAGTAATGGACCCTAGCATACTTTCAAAAATTTTAAACCATATGTTGGATGTATAGAAAAAGACAACCAAAAAAATCACTGGTATTAACAACTACTACAGAAGCAAAAAGTTTGCGTATTCTCATTACATATACAGCTATATCATATGTGATTATGGTCCAGTAGTAAAAATGTAAAAATTAAAAGATTGTTTTGGTACCTCCATGTCAAAAGGTCAATGCTACTGGCTTTGTTTCTTTGCCTTAAGGCTTTTATGATAGCTTTTATTCTAATGTAGTCAAAATATGTATTATATCCACATCCACTGATACCTTAGTAGTGTTGCACTTCAAGTATTCTTTTGCTGTCTATTTCTAATATCTTGCCTCTTTGGTAATCCAGGTGCCATCCTGCCCTTTATGCTACTCTAGCTGGGTGGGGTTGGGAGTCAGTGAAGATGGCCACACACAGTCTTTGTTGTCATGAGAGAGAGGTAGCGTAGTGATGGATGTGGTCACACTGCCAATGACAGCCTCTTGGGGGTTCTGCAAAATGAGGGTGATGGCACCACCTCAGAGAATTTATGTGAAAATTAAAAGTTGATAAAGTTCTTAGGACAGGGCCTGGCACATAATAAGAACTAGATATGTGTCACCTGCTGCTGTTTTATGCTTTTTTTCCAAGGCATCATACTAACGTGTAGCTCTTCCTTGACCATATGTACAAGTTTTGTTTTTAAATGCCTACTACTTTTTTCCTAAAAAAAAAAATTCGGCCGGCTGCGGTGGCTCAAGTCCGTATTCCCAGCACTTTGGGAGGCCGAGGCAGGCAGATCACGAGGTCAGGAGATCTAGACCATCCTGGCCAAGATGGTGAAACCCTGTCTCTACAAAAAATACGAAAATTAGCTGGGCATGGTGGCGGGCTCCTGTAGTCCCAGCTACTGAGGAGGCGGAGGCAGAAGAATCACTTGAACCGGGGAGGTGGAGGTTGCAGTGAGCCGAGATCGTGCCACTGCACTCCAGCCTGGGCAACAGAGCAAGACTCCGTCTCAAAAAAAAGAAAATCCTGAAAAGTAAAAAGAGATTAAAAAAAATAAAAAGGTTGACCGAAGATTGATAGATTTTGTCAACAGCATCTGGAGCTCAGTTAGACTTGAACCGTTTAACAGTAAGGAGGCCTTTGAAGGTACTGGAATGCAGGAAATATTTATCAACCCCTTACCACATTATAATTACATAATCACAGCACTTAAAGGGGCAGCGTGAATTATTCTTTGCTTGATCAGTATAAGAATTTATCCGAAGAGTTGCTAGAATAGATGAGGGCTGTTGGGTTATGAGGGAATGAAAGAGAATGCTCAGGAGCAGCAGGAGTAAATGGAAAGTTTACTCTATCCTGGCATTCACTCGACATTTGGCTCCCTTTCCCTTTTTCTTTTACAGGCTCTTTGGGAGCTTATATCAATGGAAACCACAGCTTCTGGCTTTTATAATGAATACATGATCAGCCAGTGATTGACTTGTATTTACCATTCTCCAGTGACTCCTCTCAGAAATCCAGCTACTTTGTAAATAGTAAAGACCCATCATGAGTAAATCTCCTATGAGTATTCACACTCTGAAAACACACAGCAAAGGCATAAATTTCACCTTGGCAGCCTCTGCATTATAGAAAGACCTGTGAGAGGAGGTGAAACTTCTTTACTGGAGAAAGATTAGTTTCAGCTTAGGAGAGAAGAGCTCATTTTCATGTCTTGATAAGAGCTCAGCACCTCAACCATGTCATTGCACTCCAAATGTTGGAGCACTGCTGCTGCACCTAGAGGGGACTGGCAAGGAGAGGACATGGCGACCTCCCGGAATGTTCATAATGGCAAGCCCATCCTGTCTACCTTACCTAGGAGGTGATAGAAATAAGATTCCCAAAGGTAAAATGCATCTTTGTGGTACGTCGGTAACCCCTGGTCTGGACCCTAGGCTGGTGCCCTATCTCTTCTGCTGCAGCCGTGTGTGGTGGGCTCACAGCTCACCCATGTGCTGAAGGAAGCTGCCACTCCACCCACGAGTGGTTTCTTCTCTTTATCAAATACTTACTTGCCTTTACAACACCCAGGGGATGTGCTGATGTGTAATATTAGAAGTCCTCTAGAGCAGAAATCTGTATCCCTCTCTAAGTTGAAGGAAACAGGGAGCTCACACTTGGTCATCCGCAGTCTGACAGAGGCTTGTCTTGAGGGCGACTCTCTGCCGTCAAAAGACGGAGGACATCAGTGATTCATTAAATATTGGAAACTAGAAGTTTCTGTTTACTGAGCTTTAAATGATGGGTGCTGTACTCCAGAGAGAAGAAAACATAATGAGTATGTCCTCAACATTTTCTTAGGGTTTTAGTTGCCTGAGCAATAAAATACGGGTATGCAGATTACATAGTTGCTGCAAATATGTAGCAGTGGCAAAAAATACTCTGTAGTGATTTAGAATCACATACTAGCAAAAATACTGCTTAAGCTAATAGGTCACACATCTGGCAGCTCCCTGGGAATATAAGAGACTCACCTGTCTCCGTGTGTGGAAAAGGCAAGGGGCAAGTTCTCCTGCTGTAACTGATCCTCAGTCAGGACATGCAGTGAACAAGAAAATGTAATAAATAGACACTGTGTTTGCTGAGTGATACAGTGGCCTTTAGGGCCCTTTACAGAATGCTTTGGTATGAGTGTGGTATCAAGAGAATTTTTCAGAGGAGTGAGAAAAACTTGCACACCATGGCAAGCTGGGATGGGTGAGTCGTGAGGAGTGGGTGAGGTGGGTGTGCACTGGGAGGGCTGCCATGTGCTGGGCAGCAGGTGCGGTCTCAGACCTCCGGGACTCCAGGCTCGCCCTGGCAGGTGGAGGCCAGGTTCTTGACAGCTCCTCTGTCCTTCTGCCTGGAGACAATTTTTTAAGTTTTTCATTTTTTTTCCTTCTTTCTAAAAGAAGAATTTAGTGGAGAATACAACTGGAACCCCTGATTTTTTTTTTTTTTCTTGAGACGGAGTCTCACTCTGTCTCCAGGCTGGAGTGCAGGGGCACTATCTCAGCTCACTGCAGCCTCCACCTCCCAGGTTCAAGCAATTCTCCTGCCTCAGCCTCCTGAATAGCTGGGACTACAGGCACGCACCACCGTGCCCAGCTAATTTTTTTGTATTTGTAGTAGAGATGGGGTTTCACCATGTTGGCAAGGATGGTCTTGATCTCTTGACCTTGTGATCTGCCTGCCTCAGCTTCTGCAAGTACTGGGATTATAGGTGTGAGCCACTGCACCCGGCCAGAACCCCTGATTTAAAAACAATTGCAAAGCCTTTTTGTTTAAAATGAACACAAACAGTAGTTGATGAATACCTTTTTGAACATGGTCTTTAAGTGTACTTTTACCTGCTGTATTCATAGTCATGAGCAAAGGTACAGAAGATATTTGAGTATTAAGTATGCTTTGAAAGTATCTCTTATATTGCTGATCTTATGTCGGTGTTACCAAAAAAAAACTACCGAACAAACAACTTTTGTGTAATTAGCTCAAAGAATAGCCACAAGGGTGAGGTTACAGGAAAAGAGGGCTTTATAAGATGATGTGTGAGATATTGTTTCTTTGGTATGTCACAGAGCCATGTGGGTCCAGTGTTCCCCAAACCCCCTCTTACAGAACTCCAGGTCAGTGTTCAGAAATATTGTGTTCTTTTTTTTTTTTTTTTTTTTTTTTTTTTTTTGAGACAGGTTCTCTGTCGCCCAGGCAAGAGTGCAGTGGTGCAATCATGGCTCACTGCAGCCTCAATCTCCCAGGCTCAGGTGATCCCCCCACCTTAGCCCCCCAAGTAGCTGGGACTACAAGTGTGCATCACCAGGCCTGGCTAATTTTTGTATTTTTTGTGGAGACAGGGTTGTGCCATGTTTCCTAGGCTTGTCTCGAACTCCTGGGCTCAAGTGATCTGCCCACCTTGGCCTCCCAGAGTGCTGGCATTACAGGTGTAAGCCACCGTGCCTGGCCCAGAAATGTTGTATTCTTTACTCATTTCTGTTTTTCATAATTTACATGGAGGTATCCACTGCAAACATAGAAGCCTAGTCACAGTATCACAGTGTTGACCGTGAGCCAAAAATGCCATTGTGCTAGCCTGCTAATAATAACAGTAAGTCCTCGCTTAACATCATCATTGGTTCTTGGAAACTGCAACTTTAAACAAAATGATGTACAGCGGCTCCTGAAATCACATCCTTTTGTTCATCCTTGTTCCTTTATAATGTTGTTGTGAGGGGAAATGGTTTTGTTACATGTTGTTTCGCTTGAAGTCCCAGTTTCCAGGAACCAACAATGTTATGTGAGGACTTACTGTACATATATAAGTGCATTTTGATATGAAACAGTGAGGACAAAAACTGGTATTATAAGCTTAAGATTTACGTACTAGTTATTTAAATTTCCGTGTCCCACCCCAGAGCTCATATATGTAATCTAGACCATATTCCCACTACCCCTGGGGGCACTCCCGCTTCCCACAGGCTTCCTTTGTATCACTCCTTTTAGGTTGTGCTTTCTTTGTCTAAAATCCAATATTGTTAGGAACTTATGCCCATATTTTTCTTCCTTATATTTCTAATAGTTGTAGGCATTTTTAGGAAAAAGTTATGTCCTTTATCTTGAGATGTTTTTGGTAGACTCCTTAGAGACAAAAATAACACATAATACAGAGTTGAACATTGAAAAATAAAGCCTCATGCAAAGGCAGTTAATCAAGGAAAGAACAGGCTTTTCAACTATTGGTTGTCCGTATGCAAAAGAATGAACTTCAATCCATAGTTCTCACAATATGTAAAAATTGATAAAAATGGATCACAGACTTAAAATGTAAAACCTAAAAACAGAAGTGCTTAGAACAAAGTTCAGGGAAAAATATCTTTCTCATTTTGGGTTAGAAATCTAAGGTTTCTTAGATGAGACACCAAGAACATGATCCACATGAGAAAAAAATAGAAATACTGGACTTACTGAAGTTAAGAATGTCTTTTGTCAGGACACTGTTAAGAGAATGGAAGTACGAGCTCCAGAATAGAAGAAGATATGTGTAAATCATATTTTTGATAAAGGACTTGTATCCAAAATTTGTAGAGAATTCTCTAAACTCAATAGTAAGAAAACAAAGCAACTTAGTTAAAACATGGTCAAGATATTTAAGCAGACACTTCACTAAAGAAAATGTAAGTATGGCAAATATGCACATAAAAAGATGCTCTACATCAGTAGTCTTTAGGGAAATACAAATTAAAACCACGATGAGACAATACTGAACACCTATAGAATGACTAAAATTAAAGACTAGTAAATGTTGGCAAGGATGTAGAACACTGGGAACTTTCACCAATGCTAGCATTATTGGTCACTAATTCAGAGAGAATACTAACAGTTTGGTGGCTGAAGGATTTTGGCCCTGGAGGACACAATGGGATTTGTTTTAAATTGGAGAATAGATTCCTTGTGCCAGAGCCCCATGTGTCAGGGAGGAGGGAGGGGGCAGGACAAGATGTGATCCAAGGAGATGGAGAGGCTGGGAATTGAGGTACTGTAGGCGTGCAGCTGTGAGAGTGAGAAAAATGGACCAGTGGGAGTGGGAGAGACAGGAGAGATGATCTGCATAAGAGTGTGACTGACTGAGGGGCGAGGCAGGGAAGGGGAATGGTGCTGTGGCAACCACCTTTATGGGGAGTGAGAGTTAGCTGCCCCCCTTACCCTCTTGCAGAGTAGCACTATCGGTTGAAGTTGATGGGTCTCTGCAGCAGTGTTTCTCTGTCCGGATGTAGACTCAGAAAAGGTTAAAAGGGTGATGCAGTGTACGGAGGAGAGTTTGCCAGCCATGTGCAGTGAGAGAGGAAAGAAGGCTTCACTGCAAAGAATGTGGCTGAGCTGTTGCAGCAGTGGGAGGAGGCTGTATGGAAGGGAATTGAGTGTGAGTAGGCTGAAGGATTGTCGGGGAAAGGAGGCAGGTAACAGAAGACTCAGCTGACTGTGGCTTAACAAGGCCTTGGGTATCTTTTTATAAGAAGTCTGGGAAGGCATTGCTGGCATGGCTCCGCTGCTGGCATGGCTCCGCTGCTTAGGCATGATGGGGACTACCAGACTTTCCAGCCTGCTGTTTTGCCATCCTCATCATGTGGCTTTTCAGCCATAGACTTGTCTTCTATTCCTAACTCTTGGATTTTGTGCTTTAGAAACAGCAGTTTTCCTTGTTAAATAGTCATTTATCCTTTATGCCTATTCTCTTAACGTTTATTTGCTTAGCTTCTAACTTCATTGTGTGCATATACCACCTTTAAACAAGTGTTTTGCCTTTGGCGTGATTTCTGACTTTAGCCTTATTCCTTCTAGCATGCTATTTCTAATTCATTTATTAGTTCTGTATTTATGTTATTTTGGTCCTCAGTGTTTCAGTTGCTCTGCAATCTTGTTTTTCATTTCAGCGTGTTCATTTGCCATCGCCTCTTTGAGTCTCATATATTGATTTTATGTCATCTCTAAATTATTTCATAGTAAGCACTTCTGGGAACTTTTCTTCAGTTATTAGTTAGGCTTTCTTAAATAAAAGACGGTGTCTTTAGGATGCCATGTGTGTGCCTTTGCTGTCCTCAGTAGGGGGCTTGTTTGGTTTGGTTTGCTTTGAGGAGTGGGGAGGCTGGCCTGTCTTGTCCAGTAACTATGCCATGTCTTTTGTTAATCTTCCACGTGGTTTTTTGTTTGTTTGTTTTTTTAGCATGAACCTCTGTCAGTATTCTTCTTCTTTTACACAGCGAGTGAGCTTTGGGTTGATTCTGGTTGAGGGCTCAGAATTGTTGTGGTGTTTCTTTTGCTTTTCCTCTTTGTCTGAGAGAATGGGAGGAGAGGAGGCAGGAATCACCCAGCAGGGCGGGAGGCCATGATTCAGCTTTGTAAATATCTTTTCCCAGGCTGCCTCCACCGAATCTGCTCATATCTGTTTCCTGTGAGACACACCCTTTGCTTAATATGGTTTCCCAGCTCAGGACAGGGGTCTGGCATTTTAGGACAGTAGGTCTCTGGTGTTTATGGGCCCTGCTCCTGTCCCCATCCCCGTCACATCTTGCCAGCTTTAGACAAGAAGGATGGGCACAGTCCATGAGTGTTTTTAGGGACAGCGCAGGGGTCAAAGGTGCACTCCCTCTAGAACACAGGGGAGGAGAGGGCCAGAGCAGGCTCCCCAGGCTTGCATCCTGGCTCCAGGCCCTACCTTAGGCCTCCGTTTTCTCATCTGTGTGGAGGAAGATGATAGTCCCTACATCCTGGGGTAGGTGGAAGGATTGAATGAGATAATGCCCATAAGTCACTTGGCACCCGTTTGCTTCTATCAGCAGATGTCAGCTCCAGTCATTGATGCTTCATAGACTTCTCACTCAGGCACTTCCTACTCAGTCATCTTGGTCCCACTGATCTTGTTTCATTTATTTTCACTTTTGCTTTACTTTTTACTCAACCCTTGCTTAATTGTTGGGGGTGATTAGTGATTAGGTGATTTTGATATTTTTCTTCTTTCTCCAGCTTTCCTCTTATCAGATAAAAACCAAAATGGCTGTCTTCTGTGGGACTCCCTGCTGAGAAGTGGGGCCTTGTTTCTCAAAAAGCGTTCTGATTTTAAAACTTTTCATTGGCTGCCATTGCACCCCTTTGTCTTCTCATGGGAAGAGGGTGTAATAGTCTCATACTTTTCACAGTTCTGCCCATTTGCCAACTCTGTGCCTGGGGTAGGCCATGCTTCCCCACGGGGCTCCTGGGGTGGGCCGTGGTTCCAGTTCCCACCTGCTGGGCCCACACTTGAAATCTCTTGTGTGTGCTCCCAGCCCTGCTCTTCATGCTTGTGCCATGCAACTGTGTCACTTCCTCTCTCGTTGCTTTTTTCCTCCCCACCTCTCATCCCTTCCCTCTCTGGTTATTCAACTAATTGTTGTTGCTCTGATTGAGTTCAAAGAGGGTGTCTAGGAATTAGTTGTGAGCTAGCTAAATAGAGAAATCTGCAATATACATTTTAAATTTGTAATCAATGCATATTTTGTTTTCAGTGTTTAAAGAATTTTTCATTTAAAATACTGACAGTATGGCTTACTTTTAACCTTTAACCTCTGCATCTCAAATAATTTTTCAGAGGTGCACCTTGGTAAATCCATTGTTGCCATAAACCATATTTTGTACAGTGACAATACTTTGATGGTTCTTGCTAGGAGAGCAGTAATTAATACTCGTCATGTCTAGAACTTCCCTTCACACATTCTCCTGGAACAGGATACAGGACAGGGATTGCCCCCTCTGGAACCTGCCATTGTGGGTTTAGAACCCTCAGGACACTGGTAAGCGGAGTGAAAGGAAGTCACTGACCTTCCTTACCAACATACTTAACAGTGCCTGTAGGAAGCTAGTTGGGAGATGTGGATGGGAAGGAAAAAGTGTCAACATTTATATGAATTTCAAATGTATCTTACCTCTAGCTGTGCCTTAAAATGTTTTGAAATATGAAAACTAAAAAATTTGTTAAAACATGTTTATTAAACTTGCAGCTTAAGTTTATATTCAGTTTAATATAACTGACTACATTAAGTTTATGTGCAAATTCAGTAACTAGGAAGTCTACAGGTGGCCAATTTTGTGAAGTTATCCCCCAACATTTTATTATGACAGCTTTGGCCAATGTTATTTTAACTGATATTCTATTAATACTATACAGTGAACCTTTTACAAATATTGGATGATTTTTATAAATTACCCAACTGAACCTAAAGAAGCAATAGTTGTTGGTGAATACATTCATTTTATATGTTGTGGGTAGTTTTTCTTGCTGGTTTAGATAGAGATTTTAGTTGTTTTATGGTATGCCTTGATTTTACTTTTGTTTGGGATGGGAGGGAAAGATCGTTTGGTTTTGTTTTGTTTTTCTTGAGATATGTCTTAGAGTTTTGAAAAACTGACTGGATGTTGGATATGTTTTATAATATAATTTGTTTCCAGTAAGTTAGAGTTTCTTTGCTATGCTAAGAAGAATGGCTCATTCCACTTTCTTAATATGAAACAGTTGTTGACTAGTTCGTTAAATAACAAAATCTTCTAATGCTGTCCTTTTACAGAGTGTTTGATGATTTTCCCGATGAAGAGTAAAGCTATCTAGTTCACCTTTATAGCTTTAGTTATAGTCAAATATCCTGCTTGTTTTAATTTGCTCATTTTGCTGCTCGTTTTCTGTTAAAGGTTACAAAGAAAAAAAAAAGTGGGCTGCTCCACCCGGGCTGATCTCCAGCAGGAGACCCCAGAAGGTGCAGGGTGGGACACATGACACATCGGCTCAGGCCCCTCTGCACAGGTTCTGTGCTTTGTGGTCAGTTCCACATCTTTCACGTCTCAGGCCTTTTCTTGTAGCACTAGCCCTAAAAACTGCAAGATAAGATTGAGGTGGGCCAGCACAGAGAATAGAAAGCGAGGAGGAAGATCTGCAGCGAAGTGAGGAGGCAGAGTGTTGTGCACCCTTCCATCACACGGGCCTTGCCGTGTAATTCATTTCTCTCCAGCAACACCTGCCCAACCGGAGCTGACTGCTGTGTGATTTTGTTTTGAAGCTTTCTGCCATTGTCACTGCCTCTGATAACAGATGAGATAGGTAATAATTCATTTTTCCTTTTGTTCTGATTACCCAGTTATATTCGTATGCTTATTAAGTCTCGCTGAGGCTTAGCCCTGGCAAAGATAGCTAAGGAGCTATGGGTCTCAGGTTTCTGGTCTCTGTTAGTGGTAGGTAGCTGACTGTTAGGAAAAGCAGGTGACTTGCAGAATGAGACATAGCTAATCCACCACTGATTTACTAGTGCATATGGATCTGGTGGCCACCTTACTGCTCTGAGCCTTCAGTTTTCAGATTTGTCAAATGAAGATAATTATGATAGTGACCTCATAGGATTCTTTGAAACATTATAAGAGTAATGTATTCCATTACATAGTACCTAGTAAGTTCTCAATACGTGGTAGTTATTTACCTGTTAATAATGGTGTTGCTATGCCCAGAATCTTTAAATTTTCATCATGTGCCCTACTTTTGATAAAGAATATCAGAAACATTCTTGTCTTCATGTCCACTCCATTCTTTGGTCATTTCTAGGTAACATGAAATATTTTCACATATTATTTCTTTTATTCCTGATATTTTACTATCTGATAACACCTGGTAAACTTAGCCAGATGTTTTGTGTTTCTAACATGCAGTTAGTAAGGATTTCTCACTTACATCTTAAGTCTTTTATTAGAACCCTCATTTAATGAAAACATGAAAGTTCAGTTTTTATGAAATGGAGTGTTCACTCTTTATTGTTACAGTTATTACAGTTAATTCAGAAACACAAGAAAAACGGTTGATGTGAGGGTGTCACTTCCTTCACTTCTGACTGTGGTTGGCAAGTACGGTGTGTTTTTCATGTGTTGAGCTTTCCAAAAGGATTGTTTTCCATAGTATTCTCTCCACACTTTTCCTCCTCTATTATTTTTTCAAGATAAGTGGTTCACATATTCTTTTTTACTTCCTCCTTGATTTGGAAAGAATGAGGGATGATTTTGAACTTTGGGAAATACTCTCTGAATGTTGTCTTGAAAAATACTGGGGTTTTTTGGTAAAAGAAAGATGAGTGGAAGAAAAGATGCTCCTTACAGTGTGTGCTGCTTGATCAATCTTTGTCCTCATGGTAGGCAGCCTCTAACCTGACTGCCTGGTGTTCACACAGTGTAATGCTGCCTGTGGAGTGAGGCTGGCCATGTTGACTTAGAAGCAATGGGACGTCACCTCTCAGATAGGTTGTAAAAAGACTATGGCTTCCTTGACTCACTCGCCCTGGCAATGCCTTGTCAAGAGGCAGCCCTGCAATGTAGCTTATGTGTGCAGGACCGAGAAGGCCTGCCAGCCGTGGGGAAGGGAGCCTGGAAGCAGGAGAGCCAGCCAAGCTCTTCCTGGATTCCTGACCCCTTAGAATCTATCAAAGAGTAAGTGTTTGTTTTAAACCACTGAGTTTTAGAGTAACTTGTAGTGCACAATAAATAACTATTATTTAAATCATTAGACATGATGACATAGTTTCTTTCTTAAACAGACTACATGGTTTATGCTTTACCATATTCAGTGTCCAGTTGGGCTAGGAAATATTACATAGTTGATTTGTTTTCACCATTTAAGAGAGTTTGATTTTTTTTTAAAGTATAAAATGTTAAATACAACTCTTAAGGGGTGGAATCTGTAGATATCAAGGTATTAAGTTTGACATTTTGCTTTAGTAGTTACATGATTTGTCTAGTAAGGTAAACATGAAACATTATATCTCTGGCAAATGTTACTGCATTAAAATAATGTAATCAAGACTTTTCTTTAGGGCTGGCTTATGTATTCATGTTCATTTGACACAAGTATATATGTATTACACATACATAATACATATTATGTACTTACCACAAAACCTAATAAAGGAAAACCTAACACAAAATCTCAAAAAGGAAAAAATATCCAGCCTAGCCATAATCCTTATAATACATTTGTAGATACTAATATGACTTTAAATCAATCACATATACTTATATATAATATATAACATATTGTCTATATAAATAACTAGGGATTAGAATGAAAAAGTGCAACACATGTAAGACATAGTTGGTTAGGCATGTTATGGCATGATATTTTTACTGTAGGTAGGTAGATGTCTTACTGCAGCCCTAGTAATTGATCTGATACATGTATGCTGCTACAGAAGAGTCCATTGGATCCCCTCTTTCTATTAGTTTTGTTTCTCTGGACAGTTTCCATGTACCTGGGATAGGTGTTATGTTCAGAAGTCTGTTGGGAAGATCTCAGTTTAGATCAGGCTGGCCGATACCACTTCTCTTGTGTATGTTGAGCAACTGTATTGTAAGATTATCATTTAGATTCTGAATGTCTTCCTTCTTAGGTCACTTTTGTGTGACCCAGGTTGTCTAGACCACAGAACGCACTTATCGCTAGGCATCAGCTGGCTGTTTTCCCACTTTGTGCTGTGCAGCATCCTCCTACCCTGGCCATGAACTGTAGAGATGTTGTGTAGACCTTCTCCCTCAGCTGCATCATTGACTAAGACATTGGGCATGTTGAAATGAACTGTAGGTCATGTCAAGTTTCTTTGGTTTTGAACAGAAACCAGTGTTACCACCAAAAGGGAGCTCATGGGAGGCTAAAGGGCCCCCAGAGACTCTCTCAGTGGCAGGAGACTCTAGACCTGTGCCATCTAGTATTGTAGCCACTAACCACATGCAATGATTTAAATTTAAATTGATCAGAATGAACTAAAAATTAAAACTTGAGCCATACTAGTCACATTTCAAGTGTTCAGTAGCCACATGTGGCTAGTGACTTCTGTATTACATAGTGCAAACACAAACCCTTTCCACCATCACAGAAACTTCTCCCTGGAAGTACAGCTCCAGATAGCCTTACCTGGAGGCCTTCACTCCAATTTACTAGCCCAGCCATTCCTTCCATTGCTCTGTTCAAGATCCACGCTGAAGGAGAGAGAGTTGATTGGTCTGACTTGAGTCATGTGCTCACGTCTTGGTCATATGGGTGTGAGTGAGGGTTGGGCAGGAGAAGCCTCCAGAGACCTCTCAGAGCCACCAGGGCAAGCATCTGAGTTCACAGCCTCAAGACAGCACTCAAAGGCGGAGGGGTGCACAGTGCTATTGGTGGGAGCTGGCCAAGAATGGACAGATGCACACCATGGCAGTCTTTAAATAAAAGATTTTGAAAGGAAGATTTTGTGTTCCTCTGGTAGGTAACAATACATCTTCAAAATTTTTTTTAAAAAGATATCACAATGTATCAGCAAATATTTGTTTTTAAAGGTGCATGTAAACATTGAAAAATAAGCGTAATTTTGTTTTTAATGATTAAGACTTGGGTGTGTATGTTTCTCTAACAGTGTGTGGCATAATAGTTGAAAAAGCTTTCTATAATAAATATTAATGAAAGCTGTATCACAAAAGTGTTTAATTGTGGCCAGTTTGCTTAATTTGCTCTGGAAAAACGTTTTTGCTGTCCAGCCTTCCTTCCCCATTCCAGTCCTGATTGCTAAAGGCTTCTCTACCATAATCCACAAAGAGCTCAAACTAATATGCTTCAGGCAGGTTCTGCTGGGGTTGAGCCAGTTAGGTTTTTCTCCTTACATAGCCCTCTGTCTTGTGCGTGCGTGTGTGCATGTGTGTGTGTGCGTGTGTGTTTTCATTGCTTTACAACAGGCCTCAGTGAATAGGAAGCATTACAACACTTTAAACATTGGTCACAAATGGAAGGATAAATATTTTTATGGTTTTTGTATGATTGTGACACAATTTAAGACTAGTAAACATGCCATGTTTGTTCACATAGCTCACTCCTCTTTAACCCTGATGCTTTCATTGTAAAGTGAGAGGAAGTTAGTTTTGTAAGCATCAAGCCCTGATGCATGAAGAAAGCTCTTGCCTAGGCCATCTGACACAGAGTCCCACAGGAATCAGCTTGCAGTGGGCTTTATAATCCAAAGTTAGCATTATACTGCAGTGTTTCCTCCCATGGTTCAAGGAAAAAACAACCTGAAGTGGGGCTTTTCTATTTATGAGAGAAGATTTATAAGTAATTCAAAAGTGGTATTTACTATCAGAAGTCAGAGATCACTTCTAAGCATATCAGTAAATGCCCTCAATTTGGTATCCACATACTTTTAACTTGGAAGATTTGTTATGAGCATCCCCCTTTATCAGTATGACTTCTTTCTTTGTGCTCTCTTGAGAAGGGAAAAGATGAAGGATAAAAAAAAAAAACAGAACAAAAAGCTTGGGTTTTCCACCGTTAAATGTTACTAAAACATACTTTATAATCCAAAGTCATAAGGTATGGTCAGTTCTTTACACATTACATTGTAATTGAATGTGAAATGTCAAAGCTTGCTTTAGATTATTTTAATACATGTAAATATAAAAAGGGGGAAGTAACATCTATATTTCACATTATTCTGTACTTTGAATTTAGGTCTTTTGGTCTTGGAGGAAAGGGGAGAGTAGTCTCAGATTGCTGCCAACATCTCCCCATGGCATTGAAGGTTCTCATGGCTCCCAAGAGGCAGCAGGGAATACAGGAGATAACCAGATATTTTAAACATTTTACTTCTTGCCTTCTCTGGCAAAAGCTTGCTGTGCTTTAAGCCTCTGCTAAGACAGGTTGCTACCTCAAAGTAAGTTGTGTTTTAAGTAGTATAATCGCAGGAGATTATTACCTAGGGAGAAAAATTCTTGATGTCTTCTCAAAAAGATTAAATGAAGGAAAAATAATAAACAGTAATATTACATTTCAAGTATATCTTTATTCTATCCAAGTGATACATGAACATGAAGACATTTTGTTGCATGATGAAAACAGTTTTGCCACTTGTGGTAGTGTCTGCTAATTGCCTACCCATTTTCATTTTCCCTTAGTGAGAGAGTCCCAGTTTTATTCTCTATGCTATGGCAAAACACTCAGCAAGGAAACTACATTTCCCAGCCTCCTCCAGCTACACATGGCCAAGTTCTAGGCAGTGAGATGCAAACAGATACTGTTGTCCAGTACTTAGTCAGTGGCTTTGAAAATGGAGCACTCCCTTCCCATTCCCCCTTTTCCCTTCCTGCTATTTGGTTTGCAGACCTGATTGCAAGGCTTCAGCAGCCTTTTTGGACCATGAGATAATCTGAAAGGACAGAAGATGCAGCCTGAGAATGACAAATGAGAAACATTGAGGGAACCTGGTTTCTAACAGTGGTCATTTGTGATATTTATGCAACCCTGAAAAAACTGGTCCCAAAATTTTGTTTCTGACTTTTAAGCTTTCAAGAAAGTGGTTAAATCAAAGCAATAAAATTAGTATAAAACGGACACTGAAAATGTTGGCAATCCAGTAGCCCATGTAGTGAAGTACTGACTAGCAAAAAACTCATTCCCCATACTCCCTTGGTAATGCTCATCCTCAGTGCTCGTCATTTGTTAGAAAAGAGAAGCTTTGAATCTCAATGCAAAATCTTTAAAAGAATTCAGAACATACCATATGAAATCATTGCTATTGTAAATAAACTTGATCATGATGTGAGCAAAAGCGTTACATTTAAAAATGTAGCTCCACTAAAAGGAATCAAGGTCTGAGGAGGAAAGGTACAAGATGAGCTTGGAACATTTTGTGATACCAGGTAACAGGAAGTTATTGATGACTATTTTGGTCATGTCAAAAGGACTTCACAGCCAATCTAACTAAGTCCTCACTGGTCAAAGATGGGGTAGTTTGAGCATCAATAAAGATTTTAACTGCAGTGGGTTGTCATACATCAAATAGGCTAAAATCTATAAGTTAATTATGATTTCCAAAGATTAAAAACTTAACTGTTCAGCGTTAGAGGATACTAGGGAACCACCTTGTAATTTTGAAAACTAGTGAATAAATGAAAAGAGTCAACCGCTTATAAACTAGAAACTCATTTTAATATTATTTACAGATCACAAGCAAAAGAAACAAAGATATCCATTTTGAGTGTTTTTATCCTCTTACTTTGTCTGTGGCTTCAGACAGTGAGTCAAAGCCATTCACTCCCAGGATCTTGAGTACCAACGAAAGAAATTCATTTGAGTGTGAACAGTTCTCACTCCTGCCCCGGCACACAGCTTTACCGCATCACCAGGGAGCAGCAGTGACTCTTGCCTCTCTCTCTCCCTCCTGTACCACCAGACTTTTCATTTGATAAGTAAACAGTTTTGAAATTCTTTGTTAATTTTGCTAAGCATTATTGGCATTCATCTTTTACCTATAACATAGCTTATTGTTTATTTTCATCACATTATCTGTTTAATGCCACATAGGAGGAAACATAATCTGTAGCTGATAGATTCATTTTCTGCACATACACGTATCCCCTAAATAATTCATTAAGAATTCAATAAGTAGGTAATTGGTGTTTAAAATGCTAAATATTATGTAGAAATTGTGGTAGACTGTTACATAGCAGTTTATGGGGTTTTTTTTCCTGCCATTTTATCGATTTGTGGGGAAATTGATTGGAGCTTTTGGGTGGGCTAAGAATAAATTACTATTTTTCCTATTTAAAAATGATGGGTTCTCAGTATTCAAATATTTGCTTTTCAGTGGCTTTTAAAACACAGAAAATTTATTCCAGAAACCATGATGAGCATTATCTATACATTGTCTCATACTGTCCATGAGCTGAATTTTAGCAGTCTGTGACTGCACCTGCAGGGATCTCTTCCTCCTTCCCATTCAGCCCAGTCACCCCACAACCTCCAGTTATGCACACCTGCTCTGTTCTGAATCTCGATTTCCTGCCTCTCACTCTGCAGCATCCTAACCTTCCAGTTCTGTTCAGACCTCACTAAGTCCTCAGGTCTGGGGCCACTCACTCTCAATCATTTCCCTCTTTTCCTCTCTTCTCTCCTCACACAGCCTAGATTTCATGGTTCTTTGTGATAATCACTTTCTTACAAATGACCTTAGCTACCTTCCCACTAACCTCATAGGGGAATTGTAAGGATTAAATGAGTGAATACTCTTGGAGTACTTGGGAGGATTTACGTAGTGTTATGTAGTATCTGCTCAGTAATGTCAACGGTTGGTATTACTGAGCTCTCTCCTCTCTTCTTGTACTTGTCTGGCAAAGTTCCAGACCCCCACCCCGATCCCCCCAACCCCTGCCACCAGTTAGCTAGAAATTGCTAGGGATGGAAAAAATAATCATGCTAACTCATCTCCTGATCACACATCTCAAGTGTGTAGTTAATTTTGCCCAGCAACACTGCCATACTTCCCTAGTATGTTTGCTTTTCCACTTTCTGAAATGCATGTTCAAATCTCTTTCCTCCATCCATCTGTACTTCCTGATGTTCTTGGTACAAATTACAGGAAACCCTATTTCAGCTGGCTTAAACAATAAGAAAATACTCTGTAGCATCACAAGCAGTCACAGAGTAAGGCGTCTTCAGGATTGATAAGGTCAGCAGCCTAGTGCTGTCTTTCTGCTGTGCCATCTTCAGTTTGGAGACTTTGCCCTTGCCACCTTCCATCATGGTCACAAGGTGGCTGCCATAGCTCTAAGTATCACATTTAGAGGTGACAGCATCCTGGAAGAAGACCTGTGTATTCCTGAATGTCTTTATTTCAGTGAAGAATATCTTTCCTAGAAGACCCCTGCAGACATAGCTTTATTGAAGGAAGGGTAGGGTGAATAGTGGTAGAACAGGAACAGGTGACTTATAAAATGTGGTTGGCTGCACCTGAGCAGCTGAACAGCCTCAGTGAGCACCTGTCCAGGTCTTGCTGACATTTGTCTAAACAGTCTCCCTAAGTGATCTTATTCAGGACCTTGGTTTTGAATGCTACCTGTATGATACTAATCATTGGTAAACCTTATTCTCTGTGTCCAGTCTCACACATGACTGCTCCACTCTTATGTGTAAAAGATACATTATACTTACCTTGGCCAGAGCACAGCTTCCCCCTCCTCCATTCTTGTCAGTGTTCATAATATCGGACACTCACACACTCAGGCTAAAAATCTAGCCATTAGATTGATTTTCCTTTCTCCCAGCATCCATTTAACTAGCATTTCAGACAACACTTATTCCAAGTCCTCCACATCTCTCTCCCTACCTTGCGCTGTCTCGGTCCAAGCTGCCATCCTGTTGTACTTGGGTGACAGCAGTAGCTGCCTACTGGGCACCCTGTTCTGATTTTGCCCCTATCATCTCTTCTCCCCCAATCTTACAAATGATCTTTTTAAAGTGCAGATCAAATTATGTCACTTGCTGCTCAAAATCCTCCAGTGCCTTTGTGTCACTTTGCCTAGGGTAAAATGTAAACTTCTACTCCGCTTACCCAAGCTCCTGTCCTGCTCCTCCTCACATCCTTTCCTATGAGCCACAGTGGTCTCCTTCAATGGGCCATACTCTGCCTCATCTTTACATCTTTGTACCAGCTGAGCTCATCACTGGGTGTTCTTCCTGATCTTCATTTGGATGTCTGGTTATATTTCAGACATTGGCCTCACCTTTATCAAGCAGGCCTTCTCCAACCACCCAATCTAAATTAGTCATCTAGTGTGCTGTCTCAGAACTCTCTTCCCTGCCTGAAATTCTCTGTGTAACACTCCTCACAGTCTCTTCTCTCTGGCCCATTGCTTCTTGCCATTTGTCTTTGCTCTCCTTCTGCAGAATGGTAAGGAATGGTCTATCTTACTCAGCACTGTGGGTTCAGCACCTAGGACAGTGCCTGGCACTTGTTAGGTTAATCAATAAATTATTTATTGAACTTAAATAAGCTTTATTTGGAAAAAGTAAAACGGATAAACTCCCATTCAGTTTCATCTGACTTTTTTAAAGAGAAAGAAAACTAATAGCTCTATTATTGTATGATTCGTCTTTTTGGAGAGTAAGCAATAGAAATTGACTCTGGCTACCCTAAATGAAAAGGAAATTTATTGTAAGTCTCCTGAAATCAATAGATGGATAGAGATTGAAGCTTAGAGCACAAACTGGAACCCAGGAGCCCCAGAACTAGACAGTCTATACCATGGCAGGTCTGCACGTCACTGCCCTGTGCTCTTTGTGAGCTTGGCAAATCTCCATGCCATGAGGTTGCCCATTCAGACTGTCAGTCCTGGAAGCAGCATCCAGCAGGCCAGACCTGATGTAGACGCCTGTCCAGCTGTGTCAGGGCAGAGGAGGCAGCTCTGGCTCTTGGGCTTCAGTTGCAGGGATCCTCTACTGTCCAAGGCTGATACAGTGGAGAGAGGGGTGGCCAAAGGGGTCTCCAAAAGCAAGACCGGGATTTTAATGGGGGCAGTGGATGTTGAGCAGCCAAAACATGGCCAACATTCAAATCATTTGGGGAACTTGTTTAGAAGTCTCTCTCTGAGCTTGTTGGAGCTCCACCACAAATAGTACAAACATCTGCCTACCCCCGTCTTCTTAGTTCATGACCATAATTCTCCCTCAAATCTCTGAGGAATCAAAATGGAATCACTGGTGTTAAAAATAACCCTGACAAATAGAATTGAGAAGCCCATGAAAAGAGGGTTCTTATGCTTGTATGCCTGATAACTAAAACCATCACAAAACACTCTGCAAAAACCACAACCTTACATGAAGGCCATTGTAACCTTATACAGAAGACACTTCTGCAAGGATGTCTGTTCAACTGCCTGTCCAGCCTCAGGCTGGCGTTACTTGTTATTGATCTTTGTAGCCAAGGATAATTATTTTGAAACAGTTACGTAATCTTCATTTTTTCCTCTAAAAACCTTTGTCTTCCTTTATCTCCCTGAATATACACATTGTTTATGGCATACGCATTCCTGTTGCAATGCTTTATTCCCAGATTCCTTTTAGAGGCCCTCTCCCTGTTTTTTATTTAGGTTGACAAGCTCAAATCTTCATTAGAGAATGACAGTCCCATACCACTGTTTCTCAGAAGATGCTCTCAGATGTTCAGTGGCTTCTTGTCCCCCTCAGAGTAAACCCCAGGTCCTTTTGGGCCCATGGGACCCACAGGATCTGCCCCTGCTGTGCACTTCAGCCACACTGGACCTCCTTGTGCTCCACAAGTGAATCAGTTGCAATTCCCACAAAACCTGTGCCCTTCGTGTTCCTCCTGGAGATGCATTCCCCAGACCTGTGTGGGAATCCTTGCTACCTCCTGCCTCAGCTCCAGTGTCACCTGCTCAGAGCCCTTCCCTGGCCATCCTGTCTTAACTGTGCCCATCCCCACTCCATCTCCCCCCGCTTTCTTACTCTCTGTGTGTATTTCTTTCTTTATTGCGAGGCTTCCCATGACAGTGTTGAACGCCAGGGGCCAGGGGCTTTGTTTTGTTCATGGATGTATCCATGTACCAAAACAGGGTCCCTCCATAGTGATGCTTCAATGAGTGAAAAAATGGGTTGTCATCTGTGAAATTAGTTTTAAAGGAGGAATTCCAAAATGGTCCTAAACAACAAGTAGACAGCATGTGAGGTGATGATTGCAATTACTTACTTGGTTATGTAAATTCTGTTGCTTTAATTTAAGAGAATTATCTCTCCACCTCCTGTTTTAGAGCAGTGGGTTAGTAGATTCTGCTGCCTCTTCAGCTGAATGTTGGAGCCTATTAGAAATGCAGAACCTTAGGTTCACCTCATACTCACTGAATCAGAACCTCCAAGTTGACACAGCCAAGGCAAAAAGCCTTAGAAATCCCCTTGTATATTCTAAGCATTCACACATTAGAAAGGGAAGGGCAGTGGCCAAGGCGCTTTCTTTCTTCATAGCATAGTAATGCAGCTTTGGAACTCAGTTTCTGCTTGCTGATCTGGACATAGCGTCATGTAGGTACACGAAACTTCACATAGTACCTTTGGCTGGTGGGGTGTTGAAATGGCAGAAATATTATAGTTGCTTTTCTGTGGAAGGAAAAGTGCTATAAATTTACTACCCCTAGGAAGGTTTGAGGCACTTGTTTTTTAAAATTTATTTTTAACTGACAAATAATTGTATATTTATGGGGCACAATGTGATAATTTTGTTTTCATTTTTATATTTTTAGAGACAGATCTCGCTCTGTCACCCAGGCTGGACTGCAGTGGCATAATCATAGCTCACTGTAGCATCCACTTCCTAGGCTCAAATAATCCTCCTGCCTCAGCCTCCGTAGTCAGCATGCGATGCCTGGCTGATTTTGTATCTCTATGTGTGGTAGAGACAGAGTCTTGTTACGTTGGCCAGGCTGGTCTCAAACTCCTGGGCTCAAGCTATCCCCCTGCCCCAGCCTCCTAAAGTGCTGGGATTACAGGTGTGAGCCACCACCATGCCTGGCCATAGTGTATTGATCTATGTAAACATTGTAGAAAGAGTCAATCAAGCTAATTAACATATCCACGACTTCACCAACTTATCTTTTTTTGTGTGGTAAGAACATTCAAAATCATATAAGTACATACTATTATTAACTGTGGTCGCTGTGAGATCTTTGTTTTTTAGTGGAAGCCTTGTGAGCTATCCTGTAATTTTCAGCTTATCTTCACATTTCTCCTCATACTCTGTAGTACTATGGAGTATCTGCAGGAGTGTCCTGGGAATGTGTTACTTGCTGATGTCGTAATCCCTGAGTATATAGCTCCAGCCCAGGGAGCCTCAGAGCAGATCCTGACCAGGAGTCAGGCTCTGCATTGGAAGCTGTTGGGATGGACAGTGTGAGTTTGAATAGTTTTGTAGACCTCTGTCACCTTGAATGCATTAGGGCTGCTTGTGAGACTGAAACAATTATAATTTCACCAAGGACAATCCTATTTTTTTAATTCCACTGCTTAATGTCATCAGTCACCAAGACTGTTTAGAAGTGGCACTTTAGATGACCGAATAGGAACAGCTCCGGTCTACAGCTCCCAGCCTGAGCTACGCAGAAGACGGGTGATTTCTGCATTTCCATCTGTGGTACCAGGTTCATCTCACTAGGGAGTGCCAGACAGTGGGCGCAGGTCAGTGGGTGCGCGCACCGTGTGTGAGCCGAAGCAGGGCGAGGCATTGCCTCACTTGGGAAGTGCAAGAGGTCAGGGAGTTGCCTTTCCTAATCAAAGAAAGGGGTGACCGACGGCACCTGGAAAATCGGGTCACTCCCACCCGACCCGAATACTGCGCTTTTCCGACGGGCTTAAAAAACGGCGCACCACGAGATTATATCCCGCACCTGGCTCGGAGGGTCCTACCCCATGGAGTCTCGCTGATTGCTAGCACAGCAGTCTGAGATCAAACTGCAAGGCAGCACCGAGGCTGGGGGAGGGGCACCCACCATTGCCCAGGCTTGCTTAGGTAAACAAAGCAGCCGGGAAGCTTGAACTGGGTAGAGCCCACCACAGCTCAAGGAGGCCTGCGTGCCTCTGTAGGCTCCACCTCTGGGGGCAGGGCACAGACAAAAAGACAGCAGTAACCTCTGCAGACTTAAATGTCCCTGTCTGACAGCTTTGAAGAGAGCAGTGGTTCTCCCAGTAGGCAGCTGGAGATCGGAGAACGGGCAGACTGCCTCCTCAAGTGGGTCCGTGACCCCTGAGCCCCGAGCAGCCTAACTGGGAGGCACCCTCCAGCAGGGGCACACTGATACCTCACACTGCAGGGTTCTCCAACAGACCTGCAGCTGAGGGTCCTGTCTGTTAGAAGGAAAACTAACAAACAGAAAGGACATCCACACCAAAAACCCATCTGTACATCACCATCATCAAAGACCAAAAGTAGATAAAACCACAAAGATGGGGAAAAAACTGAACAGAAAAACTGGAAACTCTAAAAATCAGAGTGCCTCTCCTCCTCCAAAGGAACGCAGCTCCTCACCAGCAACGGAACAAAGCTGGACGGAGAATGACTTTGACGAGCTGAGAGAAGAAGGCTTCAGACGATCAGATTACTCTGAGCTATGGGAGGACATTCAAACCAAAGGCAAAGAAGTTGAAAACTTTGAAAAAAATTTAGAAGAATGTATAACTAGAATAACCAATACAGAGAAGTGCTTAAAGGAGCTGATGGAGCTGAAAACCAAGGCTCGAGAACTACGTGAAGAATGCAGAAGCCTCAGGAGCCGCTGCGATCAACTGGAAGAAAAGGTATCAGCAATGGAAGATGAAATGAATGAAATGAAGCGAGAAGGAAAGTTTAGAGAAAAAAGAAAAAGAAACGAGCAAAGCCTCCAAGAAATATGGGACTATGTGAAAAGACCAAATCTACGTCTGATTGGTGTACCTGAAAGTGATGGGGAGAATGGAACCAAGTTGGAAAACACTCTGCAGGATATTATCCAGGAGAATTTCCCCAATCTAGCAAGGCAGGCCAACATTCAGATTCAGGAAATACAGAGAACGCCACAAAGATACTCCTCGAGAAGAGCAACTCCAAGACACATAATTGTCAGATTCACCAAAGTTGAAATGAAGGAAAAAATGTTAAGGGCAGCCAGAGAGAAAGGTCGGGTTACCCTCAAAGGGAAGCCCATCAGACTTAACAGCGAATCTCTTGGCAGAAACCCTACAAGCCAGAAGAGAGTGGGGGCCAATATTCAACATTCTTAAAGAAAAGAATTTTCAACCCAGAATTTCATATCCAGCCAAACTAAGCTTCATAAGTGAAGGAGAAATAAAATACTTTACAGACAAGCAAATGCTGAGAGATTTTGTCACCACCAGGCCTGCCCTAAAAGAGCTCCTGAAGGAAGTGCTAAACATGGAAAGGAACAACTGGTACCAGCCGCTTGCAAAATCATGCCAAAATGTAAAGACCATCGAGACTAGGAAGAAACTGCATCAACCAACGAGCAAAATAACCAGCTAACATCATAATGACAGGATCAAATTCACACATAACACTATTAACTTTAAATGTAAATGGACTAAATGCTCCAATTAAAAGACACAGACTGGCAAATTGGATAAAGAGTCAAGACCCATCAGTGTGCTGTATTCAGGAAGCCCATCTCACGTGCAGAGACACACATAGGCTCAAAATAAAAGGATGGAGGAAGATCTACCAAGCAAATGGAAAACAAAAAAAGGCAGGGGTTGCAATCCTAGTCTCTGATAAAACAGACTTTAAACCAACAAAGATCAAAAGAGACAAAGAAGGCCATTACATAATGGTAAAGGGATCAATTCAATAAGAAGAGCTAACTATCCTAAATATATATGCACCCAATACAGGAGCACCCAGATTCATAAAGCAAGTCCTGAGTGACCTACAAAGAGACTTAGACTCCCACACATTAATAATGGGAGACTTTAACACCCCACTGTCAACATTAGACAGATCAACGAGACAGAAAGTCAACAAGGATACCCAGGAATTGAACTCAGCTCTGCACCAAGAGGACCTAATAGACATCTACAGAACTCTCCACCCCAAATCAACAGAATATACATTTTTTTCAGCACCACACCACACCTATTCCAAAATTGACCACATTCTTGGAAGTAAAGCTCTCCTCAGCAAATGTAAAATAACAGAAATTAAAACAAACTGTCTCTCAGACCACAGTGCAATCAAACTAGAACTCAGGATTAAGAATCTCACTCAAAACTGCTCAACTACATGGAAACTGAACAACCTGCTCCTAAATGACTACTGGGTACATAACGAAATGAAGGCAGATATAAAGATGTTCTTTGAAACCAATGAGAACAAAGACACAACATACCAGAATCTCTGGGACACATTCAAAGCAGTGTGTAGAGGGAAATTTATAGCACTAAATGCCCACAAGAGAAAGCAGGAAAGATCCAAAATTGACACCCTAACATCACAATTAAAAGAACTAGAAAAGCAAGAGCAAACACATTCAAAAGCTAGCAGAAGGCAAGAAATAACTAAAATCAGAGCAGAACTGAAGGAAATAGAGACACAAAAAACCCTTGAAAAAATTAATGAATCCAGGAGCTGGTTTTTTGAAAGGATCAACAAAATTGATAGACCGCTAGCAAGACTAATAAAGAAAAAAAGAGAGAAGAATCAAATAGACGCAATAAAAAATGATAAAGGGGATATCACCACCGATCCCACAGAAATACAAACTACCATCAGAGAATACTACAAACACCTCTATGCAAATAAACTAGAAAATCTAGAAGAAATGGATAAATTCCTTGACACATACACTCTTCCAAGACTAAACCACGAAGAAGTTGAATCTCTGAATAGACCAATAACAGGATGTGAAATTGTGGCAATAATCAATAGCTTACCAACCAAAAAGAGTCCAGGACCAGATGGATTCACAGCCGAATTCTACCAGAGGTACAAGGAGGAACTGGTACCATTCCTTCTGAAACTATGCCAATCAATAGAAAAAGAGGGAATCCTCCCTAACTCATTTTCTGAGGCCAGCATCATTCTGATACCAAAGCCGGGCAGACACACAACCAAAAAAGAGAATTTTAGACCAATATCCTTGATGAACATGGATGCAAAAATCCTCAATAAAATACTGGCAAACCAAATCCAGCAGCACATCAAAAAGCTTATCCACCATGATCAAGTGGGCTTCATCCCTGGGATGCAAGGCTGGTTCAATATACGCAAATCAATAAATGTAATCCAGCACATAAACAGAGCCAAAGACAAAAACCACATGATTATCTCAATAGATGCAGAAAAGGCCTTTGACAAAATTCAACAATGCTTCATGCTAAAAGCTCTCAATAAATTAGGTATTGATGGGACATATTTCAAAATAATAAGAGCTATCTATGACAAACCCACAGCCAATATCATACTGAATGGGCAAAAACTGGAAGCATTCCCTTTGAAAACTGGCACAAGACAGGGATGCCCTCTCTCACCACTCCTATTCAACATAGTGTTGGAAGTTCTGGCCAGGGCAATTAGGCAGGAGAAGGAAATAAAGGGTATTCAATTAGGAAAAGAGGAAGTCAAATTGTCCCTGTTTGCAGATGACATGATTGTATATCTAGAAAACCCCATTGTCTCAGCCCAAAATCTCCTTAAGCTGATAAGCAACTTCAGCAAAGTCTCAGGATACAAAATCAATGTGCAAAAATCACAAGCATTCCTATACACCAACAACAGACAAACAGAGAGCCAAATCATGAGTGAACTCCCATTCACAATTGCTTCAAAGAGAATAAAATACCTAGGAATCCAACTTACAAGGGATGTGAACGACCTCTTCAAGGAGAACTACAAACCGCTGCTCAAGGAAATAAACGAGGACACAAACAAATGGAAGAACATTCCATGCTCATGGGTAGGAAGAATCAATATCGTGAAAATGGCCATACTGCCCAAGGTAATTTACAGATTCAATGCCATCCCCATCAAGCTACCAATGCCTTTCTTTACAGAATTGGGAGAAACTACTTTAAAGTTCATATGGAACCAAAAAAGAGCCCGCATTGCCAAGTCATTCCTAAGCCAAAAGAACAAAGCTGGAGGCATCACACTACCTGACTTCAAACTATACTACAAGGCTACAGTAACCAAAACAGCATGGTACTGGTACCAAAACAGAGATATAGATCAATGGAACAGAACAGAGCCCTCAGAAATAACGCCGCATATCTACAACTATCTGATCTTTGACAAACCTGAGAAAAACAAGCAATGGGGAAAGGATTCCCTATTTAATAAATGGTGCTGGGAAAACTGGCTAGCCATATGTAGAAAGCTGAAACTGGATCCCTTCCTTACACCTTATACAAAAATCAATTCAAGATGGATTAAAGACTTAAACGTTAGACCTAAAACCATAAAAACCCTAGAAGAAAACCTAGGCATTACCATTCAGGACATAGGCATGGGCAAGGACTTCATGTCTAAAACACCAAAAGCAATGGCAACAAAAGCCAAAATTGACAAATGGGATCTAATTAAACTAAAGAGCTTCTGCACAGCAAAAGAAACTACCATCAGAGTGAACAGGCAACCTACAGAATGGGAGAAAATGTTTGCAACCTACTCATCTGACAAAGGGCTAATATCCAGAATCTACAATGAACTCAAACAAATTTACAAGAAAAAAACAAACAACCCCATCAAAAAGTGGGCAAAGGACATGAACAGACACTTCTCAAAAGAAGACATTTATGCAGCCAAAAAACACATGAAAAAATGCTCACCATCACTGGCCGTCAGAGAAATGCAAATCAGAACCACAATGAGATACCATCTTACACCAGTTAGAATGGCGATCATTAAAAAGTCAGGAAACAACAGGTGCTGGAGAGGATGTGGAGAAATGGGAACACTTTTACACTGTTGGTGGGACTGTAAACTAGTTCAACCATTGTGGAAGTCAGTGTGGTGATTCCTCAGGGATCTAGAACTAGAAATACCATTTGACCCAGCCATCCCATTACTGGGTATATACCCAAAGGACTATAAATCATGCTGCTATAAAGACACATGCACACGTATGTTTATTGCGGCATTATTCACAATAGCAAAGACTTGGAACCAACCCAAATGTCCAACAATGATAGACTGGATTAAGAAAATGTGGCACATATACACCATGGAATACTATGCAGCCATAAAAAATGATGAGTTCATGTCCTTTAGGGACATGGATGAAATTGGAAATCGTCATTCTCAGTAAACTATCCCAAGAACAAAAAACCAAACACCGCATATTCTCACTCATAGGTGGGAATTGAACAATGAGACCACGTGGACACAGGAAGGGGAACAATCACACTCTGGGGACTGTGGTGTGGTGGGGGGAGGGGGGAGGGATAGCAGTGGGAGATATACCTAATGCTAGATGACGAGTTAGTGGGTGCAGCACACCAGCATGGCACATGTATACATACATATGTAACTAACCTGCACAATGTGCACATGTACCCTAAAACTTAAAGTATAATAATAATAATAATAAAAAAAAAGAACTGGCACTTTAGGAATCCTGAATTCAGATGCCTAAGGGAACTAGCAGATTATATCATCTAATCTAATGAAGCAAGCCTGGTGTAAAATAGTCAACTGACAGAAATAGGATACGCTATCTTCACTTTTACCCCTAACTCTAAGTTAATATTGGAGTTTGATATTCAGAATTAAGAAAAGGTGAACTGAAGTAATTTTTTTCTAGTTCTCCTCTTTACATTTGGAGCTTACAGTCTGATGCCAGGCATGGCATGCTAACTAGGGAGGCTGAGGCAGAAGGATCATTTGAGCCTAGGAGGTGGATGCTACAGTGAGCTATGATTGCACCAAGATTTTGGCACATCTCATCTTTTGGATTGGGATGTTTTTCTGCACTATTTGACTTCCTTAACCAGCAAGAATACTGAGTTTCATTTAGTTTAATTATAGAAAATGCGTGTTCATAAATTTAAGTACTTTCAAGCTGGAAAAGAATGTTGGCATAAAAAGTTTTGCCATTTGGGGTAACTATTCCGGAGATATTTGTAAAAATCTTAGATTCCATATCAATCATGTTTAGTTGTCCAATATTGCATTGTAACTTCCATTTGTAAAGTTCTTTGCTCATAGTATCATTAGTAATTGAGAAAGGCAGACTGAACAGATTATATCATTTTTATAAACCTTGAAATCATGAATTTTGTATGCCTGAGGGGTGGAGGGGACAGTTTACTTTCAGTTTCACACATGTAAAAATATATATAATTCAGGCCATCAGTCTTAGATTTCTGCAAACTGGGATAATTTCTTGCCAAACAAATGTTCTAAAAGTTAAAATTTCAGTGGGAATGAGTGAATGAAATCATGTATTTGTGTAATCATTTAAGAATGTCCCTTTCAGGAAATAGTGTTAGGAATACTTTATACCCTATGCAAAAATTAACACAAAACTGATCAAAGACCATAGCATAAGAACTAAAAGTATACAACTCTTAGAAGAAAGCATAAAGAAAAAGCTTTATAACATTGGATTTGGCAATAATTTCTTGGATATGACACCAGTAACACAGGCAACAAGAGAAAAAAGAGGTAAATTGGACCAAAATTAAAGACTTTTATGCATCAGGCACTATCAACAGAGTGAAAAGGCAACCCATGGGATGGGAGAAAATATTTGCAAGTCTATATCTGATAAAGGATTAATATCCAGAATATATAAAGAACTCCTGTAACTCAACAAATGAAACAACTCAAGACGCAAATTAAAAATAGGCAAATAACTTTAAATAGACATTTCTCCAAAGACAATATATGGATGGCCAATAAGCACATGAAAACTTAGGCGCTCAGCATGACTACTCACAATGAAATTGCTACCAAAACACCAGGGGTTTTGTCTAGGTCCTCCTGTTCACTGCACAGAAAGCCCATCACTGTCACGACAAGTATTGCCAAGGAAGAAGGCTTTAATCGGCTGCTGCTGCTGAGATGGGAGCTCAGCCTCAAATTCATCTCCCTAACCCACTAAAACTAGGGGTTTATATAGCAGGGAAGAAATGTAACAATGTGTAAGAAAACAAGAACTAGGGAGGGGCAAGGAGTCATCTGGTCTGGTGATCAGCTGAGTTTTGGTTCTTTGATACTTTTTTTGAAAGGCCTGAAGGTCCTTTTCTGGGGAAGAAACTCAAAACAGATGCAAGTTTCAAACTTTAACAGCAGAAGGGTCAATTTCTTTGTTTATCCAAAAAGAACTGTCTATGGGACTATTGGGTGGGTTTCAAAATGCTACTGCACACCCATTAGGATGGCTACTATAAAAAAAAATAGTAAGTGTTGGTGAGGGTGTAGAGAAATTGGAATTCTTGTTCTCTGTTGGTAGGAATGTAAAATGGTTTGGTGACTATGGAAAACATTATGGTGATTTCTCAAAAAATTAAACTGGAATTACTGTATGATCCAGCAGTCCCACGCTGTATATATTGAAAGCAGAATTGAAAGCAGGGTCTTGAAGAGATATTTGTATATCCATGTTCATAGCAGCATTATTCACAATAGCCAAAAGGTAGAGCAACCCAGGTATCCTTCCAGGGGTGAATGGATAAGCAAAATGTGGTATATACGTACAATGGAATGTTATTCAGCCTTAAAAAGGAATGGATTTCTGACACATGCTACAACAGAGGTGAATCTTGAGGACATTACGCTAAGTGAAACAGGTGAATCACAGAAAGACAAATACTGAACGATTCCATTTATATGAGGCAATAAAGTAGATGGCTTGTGATGTCATCCAAAAAGATCAAGTCCTGGATGCAGTGTTAGTGGGTGAGCCACGCCAAGGGTTTTCCCCTGGTTCCTGTGATGCATTGTTTTCAATGGGTCAGAAAGTTAGCTCTCTTCTGCACCATACCTCTAGCCTCCACCGCAGGCCCGCCAGCCATCTGTTGTGTTATGCATCCAGCTTAAGAAACAAAGCATCCAGCTGTCTACCCCTCAGCTTAAGGGACTGGGTCTTTTTCCTAGTGTTAGTTACCACCTACATGACCATTACTTTGTTAAGTTTCTGCAAAAATCCTCATACCTCAGGATCATGCTATAAGTGGAACAATATGATGAACGAGTTTGAGCTTCCGGGACTTGGAAAATGTTGTTTCTGTTGAATAAAAAGTGTGACATTAACAATGTGGGTCACATTTGTTAATTGTGACCAGTCTACATTAAACTTTTCATAGAACATGAGAAAGAACCATTTCCTAATATGCTTATCATGAATAATATATATTCATTAAGTTCTTCAGTCTCATCAAAATTCTCATCAGCTCCATGAGTAAATATAGTTATCTGAGTTATATTTATATCTGTGTTCTAATCAGCTGCCATTGGAAGCACCATAAATAGCTTGTCTTTTCCATGCAGCTTATCCCGTAAGTTCTCAGACCTATCTTTACTACACTGAGCAACATCATTGTCGAAAGTTAAATTTAAATTTGTCAATAATTCATTGTCTTCAGACACATATTTTCTGCCGTATCGAGTAAACACTTATATAAACTCACCATCTCTAACGGCTTGGGCAGCTTAAACACGTAATAACTGCATTTTGCGGTAGCATTATTGTATTTGTTTGAAAACAGTCTGTATTGAAAATATTAGTCCTTTTACAATTCATTCAGGGTTTCTTTTTCTAAGTGTTACCTGTGTTCTAAATATTAATTACGGTTCTTAACATGGTTTGCTTAATAATGGCATCTTAAGCTCTGTTCTTCCAACTGAGGCATACTTTGTTAAACATGTGCCTTCTTGTGGTCTTTAATTTTTTTCCACTTTTCATAGAGGTGTGAACAAAAAATGATTTTGCTTTCCTTTAAAGGAAAAATACTGGAGGTAAATTGGTTTTTTTTTTAAGATAAAATCACTCATCTAGTTTTAAATGTTGCTAACTAATGCAGAAAGAAAAGTTTTAAATTTTGTAGGTCAAGTAAAACCCAGTGAACTTGTGTAGATGGTGGGCGTCAGTTTGCTTTTCCTGCTCTGCAAGGGGGCAGTCTGCTGCTCCTCTGCCTCTTGGCACAGCCATTGATAGGGTGAGATTTAGGTGAATGCTGATGTTGAAGCTGTTTTCATTTCTTCTTGGTAGACATTGAGGCTAGACCTGTGTTACCTGCTTTTGCCCAACTTTGTATTTAATGAGATCCCGTCCTCATCACTGGAAGATACTGAAGTGAATACATAGATGGATCTAGTGAGTTAGGCTATCTTCAACAAAATAAGCATCTTTTGCTGTAGAACTATTCTGACCTACATTTACCCTAAATCATGCTAATATACCCACTGTTTTCCCTTGGAGTTGAAGAGTTAATGAACTCCCGAAGTCCCTAAAGTAGTAAGTGACAACGTCAAAACCAAATGCATGGCTTCTGACTCCACACACAGTGGATTTTCCTCACCAGCTGGAAAAGGGGTGTGTTTGTGTGAGAGAGCGTCTCCGAGAGAAGAGCTAACGGAGATGACCAGGACTTGCACTGAGAAAATACCACCAGGACAAAGCCTGTTTTCATGAGTCATTGTCTGGTTTTATTTCTAGATTAAAATGTGTTTACAATGTATTCGCCATAAAGGATTCTTTAAAAGAACAGGAGTTGAATGTCTCACAATGTGTTAAGATTTATTTAAGCTGAAAGAAGAATGCCAAGCTTGGTGGAACTCTGCCTTTCTAGTCAGTGGACTTACTGGCTGGTACTGCCTATCCACTGCTGTTCACCTGATGGTTACTGATGGGGTGATGACTGTGGATTGGACTCAGTGTATACCAGAGAGGTTGCAGGTGATACTCAGTGCCAAAATCACTTAATAAGGATGTAAGGTTCTCAAGTCCTTTTTTGGTGTTATTAGTTTTATAGGGGAATTAAGAAATTAGATTCTGTTCTGAAGTAGTTTTCCAGCTACTAATTTTAACATATAAACTTCTGGCCCTGGTTTATTTTTATAAATGAAGATATGAAACACTGAAGTGTTAAAACTAACAGGTGTCAAATCATTGCCTTTTCTCTCTCTTTCACCCCTCAGGGGGGACACAGCGATTGCCACGCGCCATTGGAATGTCCCTGGCCAAGGAGCTCATATTCTCTGCGCGAGTCCTCGATGGCAAAGAAGCCAAAGCAGTGGGCTTAATCAGCCACGTTCTGGAACAGAACCAGGAGGGAGACGCGGCCTACAGGAAGGCCTTGGACCTGGCGAGAGAGTTTTTACCTCAGGTATTTCTCATTAAATGAGTTTATTTTTTCTCATTTTAGGAAACATTATAACACTTTGACTAAAACAGCAGTCATCTTGCCTATGGAAGAAGTCCCTGGCTTGCTTCCAAGTAAAGGGATGCGTGGGCTCTGTAAAACTAGAGCAGTTACACAAGATAAACACTATGATCCTGTGGAATTCTGATGACGCTTTGAAGATGCTCCAAGGGTCTTATTGTAGCCACACTTTGATAAAATATCCCTTGACAATGCTTGTCACATGTGCACAACTTCCTAGCAAGGTGTTTTAATTTGCTCACCAGCTGAGCACTCTAATGGAAGCCATAGCCATGGAAAGAAAGAGTGATAGGGCTGGCTGTCACACTGGGCCACCCCAAGTCAAAATACATTGAAATATGCTGTTTTCTAGTAAGGGACTGTAGTCTGTTGTGCCAGAGTGGACTTCCATTGCAGTGGCTTCACTTGAAAAGTGAAAAGCCTGCTTGAAAAGCAGCAGTTGTTTGTCTTTCTGTGTGTTTGCCTATGGTGGTGTAGGCGTTGTTTTGACTCCATTGTGCTTCCTCACAACTACACTTTCAAATCTAGAACATGATGCGTATGGCTGACTCAGGAGTGATATCAGTGGCCGTGCACTGACAGTCCTGCTTTAAGCAATTCTTTTTGTCACCCGTTCAGATATATTTTTCAAATATGCCTTTGGTCTGAAATCACAAGATTAAAGGGCTTTAAATTGAGAGAAAGAGTCTTCTTTTGCTGTGTAAGCAGTAGTGATCTTCTTTATTCCTAGTGGAGTTTGAAGTTTTATAACCCCCTAACCATTTCTAGAGTCAAAATAATTTTTCTCTCTAACTCAGGGTTGCTTAACTCAAACAGGTTTCATAACCTTTTTTGTGGGCTGTGGATCTTTTTGGGAATGCCATGAGATTCCAAATTCATGCATTTGATTCTTTTTAAAAATGCATGAATGCTCACATTTGTTCAGAGTCTTGCATCCAGTTTCAGAAAGTGTTCTTGGCACTCAGCACAGGAGCCTTTGCTGACAAACCAGTCCCCACTCTGCTGGTATGCACCTGCTGAATCGGTTTTTAAAACCACACTGCCTGGCATTGATGCTTCTGGTCCTTCTTAATTAACTTAGGAGCTGTTAGCTCTTTTAGGGAAGGACCATTATATAATTTATTCCCCACATAAGGTAGTGCAGAGCCATACATTCAGTAGATGCTCAATAAGTATTTGTTGGATTGATGGAAACAGAGCAAATAAAAAAAGATTTTTGCCTTAAAAAGATAAGATTCTCACTACAAACTTATTTATTCTTCCCAAATATGAGAGAAGTCTCTACCTAAAGACAAATTAAAGGTACAAGTATCAGGAGAGTATAATCTGACTGAATATTGGTGTTATAACTTACCTTGGCTTAAAACTTTATGACCAGAACATACCTCAGTTGAAAGAAAGGGGTGTGTTTAAGAAAGGTTATGACACAGTTCCAATTCTGATGATCTGCAGAGCCCGCTCCTGGCCTCCTGACATGGATGTTCAGCTCTCTACTTCAGAGCTCCCTATAGGCAGCTTATTAGCCCCTTAGGGCCTGACTTGCTCTCTCTCCCATGATGCTTCTGTGGCCACCATGCAGCAAATGCCACCACCGTCCACACACCGCCCCGCCTGAGAACGTGAGCACTGTCCTCTCCTCTGCTCCCTCCTTCCACTGCCAGTGTGTCGAGCCGCATCCCATTGTGTGGTTACCCAGCCGTCATCACAGTCCCTGTGCATGTGCCTTTGTCACCTTTCATTGGAAGGACACTCCTTCAGAATGTTGATTGTTAAAATTAATTTTCCTCCAGGTCAAACAAATAAGAAGATGTTGATGTATAAGAAGATGTTGAGTTACTTCAGAAAATATGTGACTGCAAAATTACATGCACGAGTCACCAAATGAAGTTTGAGTGGAATCACCTTTATTTTTATGTTTGTTACTTTGTTGCCAAATGATTAGTCCTCCAGATAACTGAAAGCTTTTGTAAAATCAGTATTTCTAGGTGATATCTGTATTATATATTACTTCCATTTATCTGAGAAAAAAAGGCTTGTAAAGAAGAAAAGGCACTGGAAATGTTTTAAGGAGGAAACAAATTAAATCAAGCACTATTTCTAATAGCATTTTGAATTTTCCTGTTTTTCTCATGGCTTTCTAAACTTTACTTCCCAAAGTGTGGTCTGTGGACCAGCAGCCTGGGCATCTCCTGGCAGCTTGTTAGACGTGCAGAATCTCAGGCCCATCTCAGACCCACTGAGTCCACATCTGCATTTTAACAAGGAGGATGGGGATTTGTGTGCATCTAGGAGTTTGACAAGCACCTTTTCTTGGTCAGTTGACAATGAAAATGGAAAAATTAGAGGAGCACACCATTTAATAAAATGGATTGATTATCATGAAAAAAATGGTGGTGGTGTCTATGATATATACAAATCACAGTGGGAAGAATTATCAATAAGATATTTGTCTAACAACTATAGCCTTGGAAATTGTGGCCTTTGAAAAAGATTTGTAAACATGATTTGGAAGAAAATTTAGATAGGTCAAATTTAATAATAGAAACTCCTTGATAGGAAAACATGTCTTTTCATGCATTTATCCATGTCACCATCCAAGAGTCCTTTGCTGTGCCTGTTGTTTAGAGCCTACCTTGTGTTTTAATTCAAAAGAGCATTCAGTTCAAAATATAGCATTGAATTCACATTTATTACCCATAAATGGTATTTTAGGACTTTAAAATGTGATCCAATAATGAAATTCCATCTGAGGGATTCTGGTTTTTCTGCTTGGTAAGAGTTTGGCTTCTGCAAGACACAGGTAACATTCTCCTTCTCACAACAGATATCCAGTTCATTCCTTGTGACTCTTCTGCATCCTGAAAGACTTATGTAGACTTCATATTTATGTGTGCTGTGGGAGCACTGCTTAGAGGACACTGTTGATTAATCCACCATCATTGCTGTTAGTTGTCAAGGCGAATGGAGGAAATATAGCCAGTGTCTGAAGGAGATGATATCAGAACCCTACCTTAATCAATAGCAACAGCCTCATCCCCAGCCCAAGCTTCTTTCAAAACCCCTAATTGGTGTGGTACTGAGGCAAAGACTACCTCCTTTTCCTTCCTCTACTTAACTTCTAGGAAGTGTTGCTGAAGAACAGCAAGCTCACAGCTGGACATGCACTACCTGCTCACCTTTAAGGATCCGGAGTTTGCAGCATAACAAAACATGTGGAATCTAAATAATGTGCTGATGTGGTTGTTGCAGTTGCTCTTTAATTACAGCCTTGCAAGGCTCAGAAAATTTTCCATCTAGTATCTGACAGCCATTGCTGGCTGTGCAATGGATCCAGTGGTGGGAATTCTGAATTTTACTGAGATATACGACATAATTTGCATAAAAAATAATTGAAGTCTGTTTCTTTAATTTGAATTTTAGGGACCTGTTGCAATGAGAGTGGCAAAATTAGCAATTAATCAAGGGATGGAGGTAGGTTCCTTAATGCTTGAGTTTGTTTTGGGAATGGAGAGTGGAGATTTAATTTAAATGAACCATGTTTAGACTTCTACATTTTTTTTAAAGTTCTAAAATATGGTTGTTTAAATGCTACTATTACTGAAAGCTACTGAAGTTCCTTGCAAGTACGTCATTTATTTCATTCTTACAGTTATTGCTAATTCAGTATCACAAGCACAGAATTCAGTAATTTTACCAGTGCCCTGAAGCTTATGACATGCTCATTATTCTTGCCATCCAGTTAACAGACAGATTTATTGGCTAGTAGTTCATAGAAAACCAAAATAACAGGGCATTCTGTGCATTTTTAGCATCAGTATTATATTATACAAAACATTCCAAGAACAGCTAGCTCTTTCCACCTTTAGCTTCTCAGTGTGCCTTCTACAAGGAGGCACACGCAATGCAGGTATAAGGTGAATCCATTGTGTGTCCTGGGGGTACCCCAGGGAGATGACTCCAAAAGAGTGAAGGCCCCAGGCCTGGGAGGAGGGGGTGGTGCACATACCCATTTATTGGACTTTTCATGGCAGTTATTATATTTTGGGTAACTTATGGGTATTTTGAAGAAAAGTGCTTCCTTCTTGGTAGACTAAGGAACCTCCGCATCTTCCTGGGCTGTATAGCAGTAAAAAGAGATTGACTTTATACAGTCAATACTGTATAACAGTAAATACAGTTTCATAAATTTGCAAAAGTATTTGATTGGTTTATTTAAATATTTACATAATGGTAACAATACCAATAGCAAATACCTTATATAGCCCTTACTATGTATTAAGCATCGTGTGTGTGTGTGTGTGTGTGTGTCGCGACATAAAGGCCTCACCTAGATTAACTCATTTAATCCTCACAATACTCCCATTTGGTGAGCATTATAATTAGCCCCTTGTTCAGACATGCCTCTTTGAAGCACAGAGAGGTTAAATAACTTCCCCAAGGTAACTCAGCTCCCAAGTGAGGGAGTCAGGACGAACCCAGGAAGCCTGGTTCTGTGTCTCATGTTGGTCACACTCTGATCTGCTGTACTATATCAAAGGATTGGGTGCTTTGGGGATAAGGTTATTCAATTTGAATTTCTGTTGAATATACCACATTTCGCAAAGTTATTTCTGCTGAAATGGATTATGTTTTTATTCTCAGGTCGATTTAGTAACAGGGTTAGCCATAGAAGAAGCTTGTTATGCTCAGGTATGTAATGCAATCACAAATTCAATGAGGATGACCCTTACAAATTATATTTACCTTCTGTATAATTCAAATGAATTTCACTGAGCAAGATTACCCTTGCGCCCATTCCAAAATCATACAAATGGGTTGAAATTAGTTGTTTCTGCTATTTGTTACCAGCTCTTATGACTGATTCTGTTCCACAGGAATGCCTCTTGTCTATATAATCTAGAAAACTCTTAGAGTAACTGAGTCAGTCCTGGGTGTGCAGGAGCTGTCTCTCTAGGCTTATGCTTTCTTTTGTGGGATTGGTCCTGGCCTCCCACTGCAATGTAGAGAGGTAGAGGAGAGTGGTGATGAGCGTGTGCCTGCCATGCAACCTGGGGTGAGACTGCTTGGCTTTTCCTGAACCTCTGATCTGTCTCTCCTGACCACTGAAAGTTCACTAATGAAATTATAGTTTTATTTTTTACACAGTCGGCCCTTTTCATCTGTAAGTTTTGCATTTGTGGATTCAACCAAGTGTAAATTGAAAATATTCAGGAAAAAAAAAGATGGTTGCATCTGTACTGAACATGTACTGACTTTTTTCCTTATTATTCCCTGAACAATATAGTATAAGAACTGTGTACATGCCATTTACATTATATTAGGTATTATAAATAATCTAGAGATGATTTAAAGTATACAGGAGGATGTGCGTAGGTAATATGATATGCAATTTTATTAATATATAAGGGACTTGAGCATCTGCAGATTTTGGCATCTGCAGGAGGTCCTGTAACCAATCCCCTGCAGATAACTGAGGGATGACTGCATACAAATTATTAGGTCTTCCTGGAGAGGAAAAAAAAAATGTTTTCCCTTTTTTGTCTTTCTCTGAAAGATAGAACTTTGTTTTAGGGCATCTGAAATAGCAAAAAAGTTTTGTTCTACCTTTCCTGGGAGTTGGAAACTGCATGAGCACTCGTTTAAAGGAGCAGTATCTAGAGTGTGACTCTGTGCCCAGCTTGTATATATAAATCACCACCTGTCATTGATGAGTACGTGCCATGAGGAAAGTGAATTACAAACGTCTTAGAAATAGCCTCAGAGCCCAAAGAAAAATTTTAAAAGCACATTTGGCCATAAATTACAACTTACTAAATGTAAACACCAGAAATTATTCAAGGTATTCTTCAGACCACAATGGAATTAAACTAGAAATCAATAAAAGAAAGACTGCTGGAAAAACCCAAAATATTGGGTGATTAAACAACATCCTTCTAAATAATGTTATATGTCAGAGATGTCTTGAGGAATTATAAAGTATTTTGAATTAAAATGAAAATACAACTTCTCAAAGTTTGTGGGATATACTGAAAGCAGTGCTTAGATAGAAATAGCATTGGATGTATATAATAGAAAAGAGAAAATATCTAAATCGATAATAACCTTCCACCTTATTAGGAAACTAGAAAAAGAAGAGCAAAATGGGGTAGAGGACCACTTGGAGTAAGAAGGATGAGTTTGGTTACATAATTAGGAGAATTGTTCAGGTGACTGATTTCAAAATTTTAGAATGTGGTTCTAAGTAGTTTTCTTAGATAGTGCTTGATAAACTTTTACAGTTGTTTTAACATTTTTGACATATTTAATATTTTGTTTTTCTTAGACCATTCCAACAAAAGACAGACTTGAAGGTCTTCTTGCTTTTAAAGAGAAAAGGCCCCCTCGCTATAAAGGAGAATAAAAGGAACAGAAATTCTTAAGATGCCAATGTAATAAATGTACTTCCTGGAAGTGTCTTTCGGATCCACTATATGCCTCAGCACATGGAACCTTAATGACCAAAGTGAAGAGCAGATTATTCATACGGTGTAATAAGCATCTGGAATGGACCCATCCGTGTACTTCATTCAAATGTGTAAATGTCATATTCATTCAGATTTATAAAGCTAGTAGTGTATAGTCAGAAACAGAATCAAAGTTAGATATACATTTTTAAATATTTACTGCATATGAGGCTTTCTGTTAATTTTTTAATGTGAATAATTTATATATTGCACATTCTAGGGAATAATATTGATTGTATGTCTACTGTGCTGCATTAAGAAAATAAAATTTCTATATACCAAAAATGTGAAGTTATACCAAATAAAGTTTCTAAGTGATTAATGCATACGAACAGCTACATATACATATATCTAAACCTGAAAAATGAATTGATATTCTGAGTGAAAACTACCTAATATAAATAAAATTAGTGAAAAGAAAACATGGGAATTTTTCTCTTACCCCATTCTTTTTGAATTGACTAAATCATTGCATGCTGGACTTTAGAAGAAACAACCCTTTCATTGCTGCTTCTATCAGGCAACCTCTTTACATGGTCAGTCCTGTAATACAGTATTGAAGGTGAAGAATGAATCCAAAGACTGAAGCCAAAGAACCAAAGCGGACAGGAGACCTAGTGCAGTGGGACTTGCTGGGACCTCCTCCCAGCAAGTGGTGTGGTCGCCGACTGGCCTAGGAAAGGCGATGTTTGCACACAAAGGAGGAAAGAAAATGGGGCAGCCAGGATTGGAGCATGGAAATGGCTTGGGGTCATGGATTAAAGTGGAGACTGTTCTCTGCTTCCCTACCCTCTGCTATTTGCCTCCAATTTCTGTAAGGGAAAGAGGTGAACTTAACAACCCTTTGTCCTAACAAACACCTGCCTTCCTACCCAGGCCAGGTCAAGAAGCTGTAAACGGCCTCCAGGTTGCATGCCTGAGTAGCCACACCTGGGGAGTAGGCACTGGTGGGAGTTGTGTGGGACATTGGGAACTGGAGAATTCGCTGTGGAAAAAAGGAGAACATTCTGATGCCTTTAAGTAATTTGAGATAGCTCTACTTTACATTCATTTTACCAAACCACCCTGCCTTCCTAGTTTGTGTCAGGTCTGAGTCTGGTCATGCCAGAGACAACGTCCCCGGGAGTGCCCCTGCAGCAAGCTTCACTGTGGTACAGCCCAGCTGTGTCCCTAAGGTGTCCTCCTTTCACATTTCCATGTATCAGATAAACACCCATTTTACTGTGGATTTACATCCTCATTGTGGCGACTTCATTGCTATTTGAAGGCATGTAGGCTTCATTTTTTTAATTCTGAAACTTACATTTTTTAACTTAGGAATTTGAACTCAACCTCAATTCTAAAATTCTTATAAGAGGCAAATGTGGACTGGCTGGCTGCTGATGTCTGTCCTGACAAAGGTAGGCGGTGTCTTCACTCATGTTTGGACACTAAGGTGAGCGCTATTTTCTTTATGACCTTTGGTGCTGAGGCTCTGCGGATTTATGATGATTGCTCAGCTGATCATCATACTATAAAGAGGGCTTACTAAAATTCACATTTGGCACTCTCTGTGGTGGTCGTATCGGGTGGCATGCATACTAAACTTGCTGGGCTATTCGTTTTGTGCGTGATAATTTGCACCTAAAATGCTGGTGGTGGTTTTCATAGCCTTTTAAAGGTTGCAGGGCCAGTTTGTCCTATCCATGACATGCTAAATACCACTTTCTCTTGAACTGAGCAGGAAATAATTATGTCGTTAGGGAAAAATATTAAGAGTGTGCTGTGTGAGTCGTTTCTCTTGGATTCATACTCTAGTCTACTGTCACTGATCGAGCACCATTTAATTTCCTAACAAGTTCTGATGAAGTCACTGGAATGTATCTGAAAGTAAAGTCCTGTAGTGACTTAAGGTATTGCAGACTTCATGTATTATGGCAGAGAAAAGTGCCTGTCCAATTCTCTGAATAAATGTTTGCCTTTCTCTTGATTTTCCTTTCAGTATCGGTCTTGCTGCTAAGCAGTCCTGATCCTCCCCCAAGTCAAGCTCACAGGGCTCTGGATAGGGCCGTGCTACCTAGGGAGGGTCCCCTGCATGGGCTGCTCCTCTTTTCTCCAGCACACCGCCTGTTGGTGCACAGAGTTGGAAATGCAGTAGACGTATCCATGTGTTCAGACTAGGTTAGAGAAGGCTCTCAAGGAGGATGAGTGATCAAGCACAGATAGAATTCAGAAGATGAAAGCAAAATAAAGAAAAAATTTTCCGTTATCTCAGAGCATGAGGCCTACTGGTTTTGAAGTAATTTAGTGCTGGTTAATTTCTAACTTGTCTATGAAAGGAAAGGAAAAGAGGTCTCCAAGTTTCTGAAGTTCTGAGGCAAGAGAAAAGTTCTAGTAATGGCCAAAATAAGAGTCAGATTTTCTGAGACTGATTTCTGTAATGTAAAGGATCATTTCACGTTTGCTTTGTTCTTAATAATGATGGATCTGGTTTTCCTGTTAATCATTTTTTTTGTTGTTTTTCTAGCAATCAAAAATTGGCTTGTCACAAAGTGTTACTTTTCTGATAGCACTTTTCTAAGTGTGAATAGGCCAAAGTAGTGGAGTGTCGATTCATGGATCAGCACTTAGAAAAAGTGTGTACCTGCACATGGGTGTGTTGCTGGCCCGCCATCGGCCCTTTTCCTCACTTGACCTGAACTTCTACCTCTGGTGATATGCCCTACATTTGCTCTTATTCGGGCTCCAAGGATCCTGGCACACACATTCAGAAATAGTTAATCATGCCATTATTTGTCTACCGATCTAGTAAAATATTAACTAATACTTACATCAGTACGTATTGAACTTTATCAGAATAGCAATAGAAGTTATTTTCTCATAGTATATTAATAACTATACATGTTTCACAAAAAATAAAACATTTTAAAGTTAGTTGCTAATATTCTGGTAACACAACATAAGAGGTACTTTTCTGCATAAATGAAGCAGGATACAGATTGTGATTTGGGGTATTTTGGGAGGTGGAAGGTGGCTGAATCCTCTGTTCAATTGTATTTGTGTCTCAGGCTCCAAAAATATCACTGTTTCAAATGCTTGCCTTTGGATTTTCACAGTCTTCTTTGGGACCTCCAGAAATTCAGCTACCCCTTAGAGGGTTAGCACCTAATAAGCAACCCAAAATAATTCTCAGGGCAGCATGAGAGATCTGGGGACCTGGTGGGGAAAATAAAGGATGTCAAGGACAGACCAAGACATGCACCCATGTGGCTCAGGAGCAGCCCAGGAGACGCGCCTGTGTGGCAAGACATGAGATGGCCCCTTTTCCGGGAGCTGGCAGTTCCCTCAGGGGCCCCAAAGTGAGCTCCTAGGAACCAACATGTAAGGTCCTTTTTAAAGGCCTAATATAGAAACAGTACTGTGTGGTGTTTTGATTTAAGGAAACATTTTGACAAGATCACTGAAAATACCCTCTAAATAAGATGAGTGAATAAGAGCTGGGTATTATGGTAATACTGAGTAACATTTATGAAGCCATTCATACCTACCAGATGCTTTACAGACACTACATCCCCGAAAGGATAGGCACTTTGGTTATTCTGTGGCACAGAGGAAGAGAAAACCATAGAGGGATCACTTACCCACAGCCCCACGGCATGTACATGCTGGAGTCAGGAATTACACCCAGGGCTACTGGCCCTTTTGTCACTGTTGAGCTTGAAAACAGCCAAACAGCATAACAGAAGGCTGCTGATACGTGTGTTTTCGTCAACCAAGAGGGAGTAGTGTCCTTTGCTCTGATTTGGTCAACAATTTTCTCATTACTTGGAAAGATACCAAAAGTGTGCTTATCAGCAGATCTGATGACACAGGCAAGTAATGTAACAATTAGAGCTAATGCCCACTCAGCGCCTCCTCTATCAGACACTGTGCGTTTTCACACCTAATACCAAAATCTTATGAAATGGGTTTGCTGATTTATAGTTTAAGAAACTGAGGCAGCAGGATTCATGCTGGGCATTCTGTGTTCTGGGTTCCAATGTTTAACGGCTATACCATCAAGGGCACGGAGCCAGTCTTGGTAGATGTGAATGATGCTTGGATCTGTCAAGATGCTAGTAGTGATTGGTGTATGTCCTCACAACTCAGTTCCCCCTAAAACCAGCAACTGGAGTATAAGTGTGAAGACTCATGGTTTGATAGCAATGCTTGTCAAAAAGGGGGCAAGATGGCCTGTAATCCCAGCACTTTGGGAGGCCGAGGTGGGCAGATCACGAGGTCAGGAGATCGAGACCATCCTGGCTAACATGGTGAAACCCCGCCTCTACTAAAAATACAAAAATTAGCCGGGCATGGTGGCGGGCCCCTGTAGTCCCAGCTACTCGGGAGGCTGAGGCAGGAGAATGGCGTGAACCCAGGAGGTGGAGCTTGCAGTGAGCCGAGATCGCGCCACCGCATTCCAGCCTGGGCGACAGAGCAAGACTCCATCTCTAAAATAAAATAAAAAACAAAAAGGGGGCAAGATGTGCTCCCTGTGGGTCAAGAGTGTCCCAGACAGCTTTTGGGAAGGGTGACAGGTGTGTTGCTCTATTTGGCCCTGGTCAGACTCATCTGGATTGTTGTATTCAGTACTCAGCATTGCAATTTCAGGTGGTCATAGATTCACTCTGTAGTTTTCTGTAAAGCACACAGGAGCTCTTTGGCCAAGTTTCAGCTCCACCGAAGTCAGCGATGAGACCGTGGACAAAGTGCCTCATGTCCCTGAGCCCATTTCTTCATTTGTAGAAGAATCCAGTAGTTCAGGATGGTTTTGAAGACCCAGTCACATTGGATGTGATCTGTATAAAAGTGCTTTATGTGGTGGTCGTGTTTTATTTGTTTCATATTTCAGAAGACGGGAAGGTGGGTCTCGCAACCATGGCTGGTTTGGAGGCATGTACAAGAACCTGGGCTCTTCACTCAGGAAAAGAGAAGTCTAGGGAAACATGGTAGCTGCCTCCAGTAGAACTGCAATATGAAACAGGTCTTCAGAGGCTTCCAGGGCGAGGGGAAACCATGCAGGGCTCCTCCCCACCTCCCCACTTCTGCTTGTTGCTCTGCGCTTGTCCAGAGACAAGAGATGTTGACTAAAGTCTATGCAGGGAAGTTACTTACACCCTCCTAGGTCCAAAAGCTGCCCACTGCCTCTGGAGTGTTAGAGCAGAAAGTGGGCAGGCATGGGCAGGGCCATTGCTGCGGGAAGTTAAGAGGCACCAGAGGACAGTTCTTCCAACTTAGACGGTTTTTGTGAAGTGAAAGCAGACTGCAGGCCTCCAGCACTGGCGCAGACTCTGACTGGTGCAGGCCTCTAACACTGGCATGGATTTAGCAGATGAGAAAGATGGGTCTCCTTACAAATACTGGTCACTAGTGAGTTGGGCCTTGAGAGACAGAGAAAACAGGTATCTGCCTAAGGTGTGTCTGGTTAACTATATTGGCCCTTGAGGTAATCTACAATTTAAGGAGTTTTAGTTCCTCTAACATTTTAAGAAATCATTCTCATGTTTGAGTGCCATGTTTATAGTACCAATTTTGGGGGCCAGGGTGGGAAGATTGCCCTGAGCAAAGCTGTCCATTTTCCCATCATCTAGTTGGTTTTCATGGAGCGGCCCACCTGCTCCCCACCTCAGGAGATACTGGAGGACTCTAGCCCTGCGGTGGCTGTGGTCAGGCCAAGGGCAGGCCAGGCTTCCTTCCTAGGCTTCAGTTCATTCCCCCATCTTGCTGCCAAGGTACCTTTAGATGTTTTGGTCCCCTAAAGCATTTAAACAGACTGTCGTGTAAAATGCTGTCTGAACAAAGTCTCCCATGAACCCACGGCACAGTGTGTACCTGAACCTCCCAAGAGAAATAGTAAAATCACCACATCATCAAGTTGCAGCTCAGGGACTACGTAGCTTTAGTGGTGATGTTTGCAGGAAAAGGTTTCAGAGAAATTTGAAAATTGGCAGGTGCACTTTCTTGACCTTTCCAAAAATAGTCTGAGTCACTTTCACTTTCAGCCTTCAAACTGTGTTGAATGAAACCTTTGTGCAGTTTACAGAAAGTGAAGAACTGTTTGGCAAGAGAGAGAAGTTCGAGCTCCTAATAGCCTCGGCTGCATTGAGTAACATTTCTTTTGAGTTGTCTATTAACACTTTCCTGAAACATGCTTTTTATGACGCCTAGAACTTGTGTAAGAGTGACTGTAATTTGAGTTATTTAAAAATGTAAGTACAAGAAATGTGTCACACGCCATAAGAGCTAGGAAATGACAGCTCACATTCATCTTGGTGGAAGGAAACTCTAATTATTGGAAGATGTGATTGGAGTATTTGTTCTTAATACCTACGGTGGCTCTGTTATATGCTTGCCTAACACCAGTATTGGCTTGCAAATAACACTGAAAAGCTCCTTTCTTTTCCTCTGGTCTTTGTGGGAAGGCATGGTATGAGTCGAGATTGCTAAACCACTCTTCTGAGAGGACTCAGAGAGAGTGTTTATCCTAGACTATCCATGGCCCTGGTACTTCTGAGTTCAGTTGTGGTGTGATCTCATTAGTCCAGGCTCAGAATGGCTCGGTAACCTCAAAACTCCAAGCCCTCGGTGCTTGCTTTGCTTCCCTAGACTTGCAGCTTATGTACGCCCACATGTGCTTCATGCGTATTAAAAATGCTTGCATGTGTAGATAGGAAGATATATGTTGACTGTCCTGAAAAACTTGACATACCTAACATTTAAAATTGTTTTGAGTTTCCCCCGGGGATAAACTAGTCTTCAAATGTAAACGTGATGAGCAGCGTAGGGGCTATGGTACCAGAGAAAAGAGCCGAATCTCGGCCCTGGTCCAGCCCTACCTCTCGTGCTCTGTCACCTGCAGCAGAGGTGGAGTGGGGGCCATGTCTGTGAGCGGGACCTCATCTTGTCTATTCCTCAGACCCACCCAAGGGCAGGGATTCCCAAAACTGCTGGTACCTGTAAGAGGTATTGTATTCTTGGACTCCATTCCATAACCTCTCATCAGGATTCTGGGTTTGGAACTCTAGAATCAATGTTGAGGAAAAATAGAACTTGGCGATTTTATTTTTCTAGATATAATTCACATACCATAAAAGCCACTCTTTAAATTGTACAATTCAGTGGTTTTTTAGTATATTCAGAGTTGTACAGCCATGACCACTAGCTAATTCAGAATATTTTCATTGCCTCCCAACAAGCCTAGTACTCATGAGTAGTCACTCCCTTGCCCATTCCCTCCACCCCCAAGCCCCTGGCAACCACTAATCTACTTTCTGTCTCTATGGATTTGCCTATTTGAGACATTCATATGAATGGAATTATATAATATGTAGACTTTTGTATCTGTTTTTTTTTCATTTAGCATAAAAATTTTCAAGATTTGTCCACAGTGTAGTGTGTCTCAGTACTTCTTTCCTTTTTATCACTGAAAATACTTCATTGTATGTATATGTCATATTTTGTTATCTACTCATCAATTGATGAATACTTGTATTGTTTCCACTTTGGCTGTTACAAATAATGCTGTTATGAACATGTGTGTACAAGTATTTGTGTGGGTACATGTTATTTCTCTTGGGCATACCTACAGATGGAATTACTGGATCATATGACAACTTTATGTTTAACTTTTTGAAAAACTACAAAACCAACAAGCTGTACCATTTTGTAATCCCACCAGCAATGAATAGGGTTCTAATTTTTCCACATCTTCATCAATATTTGTTATTGATCTTTTTGATTATAGCCAATCTAGTGAGTGTGAACTGGTATCTTATTGTAATTGTGATTTTGATTTGCAATTCCCTAATGATGTTGAACAGATGTTCATATAATTGTTGGCCATTTATATAGTCTTTAGAGATATATCTGTTTTGCCCATTTCTAACTGAGCAAAACAGACAAAAATTGAGTTGTGAATGTTCTTTATGTATACTGTATACAAGCCCCTTAACAGATATATGATTTGCAAATCTTTTCTGTTCTGTAGGTTGTTTCTCCATGTTCTTGTTGGTATGCTTGGAAGCATAAAAGTTTTTATTCTGGTGGAGTCCAGTTTATTGTTTCCTTTATTGCTTGTACTTTTGGTGTCGTATCTAAGAAACCACTGCCTGATCCAAGGTGATAAAAAGTTTTCATCAAAGAGTTTTATAGTTTTAACTTTTATATTTATGTTTTTGATAAATTTTTTATATATGGTGTGAGGTAAGCATCCAGCTTCACTCTTTTGCACATTGATATCCAGCTATTCCAGCACCATTTGTTGAAAAGACTGTTTTCCCCCATTTATTGTCTTGGTACCCTTGTCAAAAAAAAAAAGTTAACTATAAATGTAAGAGTTTATTTCCAAACTCTCAATTTTACCCCATTGATCTTCTGTCTGTCCTATGCCAGTACCACACTATCTTGATTACTAGAGCTTTGTAGTAAGTTTTGAAGTTAGAAAGTGAGAGTCTGTCAACTTTTTCAAGAGTATTTTGGCTATTCTGGTTCCCTTGTGTTTTCATATGAATTATAGGATTAGCTTGTTGATTTCTACCCCGAAAAACGCATCTAGGATTTTGAAAGGCATTATGTTAAATCTGTAGATCAGTTTGGGGACAGATGTACCCTCAACAATATTGTCTTATCTATGAACATAAAATGTTTTTTTCTATTTAGTTCATTGATTTCTTTCATCTGTTTTGTAGTTGCCTCTGTATGTCTTGTATGTCTTCAACTTCTTTTGTTAGATTTATTCCTGAATATTTTATTCTTTTTTTTTTTTTTTTTTTTTTTGAGATGGAGTCTCACTCTGTCACCCAGGCTGGAGTACAGTGATGTGATCTCTGTTTACTGCAACATCTGCCTCCTGGGTTCAAGCAATTCTCCTTCCTCAGCCTCCCAAGCAGCTGGGACTACAGGCACTTGCCACCACACCCAGCTAATTTTTGTATTTTTAGTAGAAACGGGGTTTCACCATGTTGGCCAGACTGGTCTCAAACTCCTGATCTCAAGTGATCCTCCCGCCTCAGCCTCCCAAAGTGCTGGGATTACAGGCATGAGCCACCATGCCCAGCTAGAGTATTTTATTCTTTTTGATGCTACTGTAAATGGGATTGTTTTTTCTTTTTTTTTTTATACTTTAAGTTTTAGGGTACATGTGCACAACGTGCAGGTTTGTTACATATGTATACATGTGCCATGTTGGTGTGCTGCACCCATTAACTCGTCATTTAACATTAGGTATATCTCCTAATGCTATCCCTCCCCCCTCCCCCCACCCTGCAACAGGCCCCAGTGTGTGATGTTCCCCTTCCTGTGTCCCTGTGTTCTCATTGTTCAATTCCCACCTATGAGTGAGAACATGCGGTGTTTGGTTTTTTGTCCTTGCGATAGTTTGCTGAGAATGATGGTTTCCAGCTTCATCCATGTCCCTATGGGATTGTTTTCTTGATTTTATTTTTGGATTGTTCATTGCTAGTTCATAGAATTACAACAGATTTTTATATCTTGATGTCTGGCAGAAGCACAGTTATTTACTCTGAACTGATTTTTTAGTTCTAATCTTCTTTTAGTGGTTTCCTTAGGAGTTTCTATAGGATCCTGTCATTTGCAAAGAGATAGTTTTACTTGTTCCTTTCCAATCTGGACGCCTTTATATTTTTTTCTTGTGTTATTTCCCTGGCTAAAACCTCCAGTGTAATGTTGAATAGAAATGGCAAGAGCAGACATCTTGTCTTATCCCTGACCTTATTCCTGACTATTACTTATAATGTGAACAGTGGATTTTTTTTTTATGGAGGCCCTTCATCAGGTTGAGAAAATTCCTTTCTATTTGTACTTTCTTGAGTGTTTGTTTTTTTTTTTAAATCAAGAATGGGTGTTATGGGTGTTGGATTTTGTAAAAATGCCTTTTCTGCATCTATTGAAAGGAGCATGTTGTGGTGGATTTGTCTTCTATTGATAATTGTTACCACACTGATTAACTTTCAGATATTGCACCAACTTGCATTTCTTGGATAAATCTCTTGGTCATGGTGTATACTCTTTTTTTTATGTTGCTGGATGTGGCTTGCTGGCATTTGGTTCAGAATTTTGGGGTCTGTCTTCATAAAAATATTAGTCTGCAGTTCCCTTGTGATGTCTTTCACTGGTTTGGGTCTCTGGGTAATACTGATTTCATAGAATGATTTAGGAAGCATTTCCTTCTCTATTTTTAGAAGCGTTTGTGTAGGATTGGTGCTAATTCTAATGTAAACAGTTGATAGAGGCCGGGTACAATGGCTCACGCCTGTAATCCTAGTACTTTGGGAGGCCGAGGTGGGCGGATCACGAGGTCAGGAGATCAAGCTCATCCTGGCCAACATGGTGAAACCCCGCCTCTACTAAAAATACAAAACTTAGCTGGGCATGGTGGCAGGCACCTGTAGTCCCAGCTACTTGGGAGGCTGAGTCAGGAGAATCGCTTGAACCAGGGAGGCAGAGGTTGCAATGAGCTGAGATTGCACCACTGCACTCCAGCCTGGTGACAGAGTAAGACTCCGTCTCAAAAAAACAAAAAAATATATATTGGTAGAATTCACCAGCAAAATCATGTGGATCATATCTTTTCTTTGTTGGAAGTGCTTTGATTGCTAACTCAGTCTCTTTATTTGTTACAGCTTTCTACTTATTTTTTATTTCTTTTTGAAGAACTTTCACTAGTTTGTACCTTTTTAAGAATTTTTCTATTTGATCTAGGTTATCTAATTTGTTCACATATACTTGTTTGTAGTATTCCGTTATAATTCTTTTTTATTTCTATAAAGTCAATAATAATCCCCCCCACTCCCACTCCCAACTTTTCATTCCTGGTTTTAATATTTCTATCTTTGTTTCTTGGTCAGTCTAGCTAGGTTTATCAGTTTTACTGATCTTTTCAAAAAACCAACTTTTCATGTCATTGATTTTTCTTGATGGTTTTTCTTATTCCATAATTCATTTATTTCCATTCTAAACTTTATTATATCCTTCCTTCTGCTTGCTTTAGGTTTAGTTTGCTTTTATTTTTCTAATTTCTTAACATAGGACATTAAGTTATTGATTTGAGATCTTTATTCCTTTTAATATAGACATTTGCAGCTATGCATTTCCCTCTAAGCACTGCTTTAGCAGCATCCTGTAAGTTTTGGTATGTTGTTTGTAGAAAAGAGTTAACATAGCAGACCTGAATGGCTATCACTGGGAAGGATTGATTGCAGGGCTGGTCCTTGGCTGGCTTTTGGGAGCTTATCAGCATTCCCAGACCTTATAAGAGTTATATCTAAACTGTACAAACCATATGGTTTATACTAAACACATGCTTTCTTTTTAGGAAGATGGAATTTGGGTATTTGCCAGGTGGAATATGCCTACATGGCTAGCCCCCAGCAAAAACTCTGGGCTTTCAGTCTCTAATGAGATGTTGGCAACATTTCACAACATTTCATGTGTTGTTACATTAATAATTTGTTGCTGGGGAATTAAATACATCCTAGGGACTCCACTAGGAGAGGACCCGTGGAAGCTTGCAACTGGTCTCCCCCATCTCTACCCTGCATTTTTTCCCTTTGCTGTTTTTACTTTGTATCCTTTTGCTATAATAAATAATAGCTATGAGTATGACTGAGTCCTTTAAGTCTAACTAGTGATTTACTGAACTTCTGACACGTGGTTTTGTTTTCATTCATCTCAAAGTATTTTTAAATTTCTCTTGTGATATTTTTTCTTTGACTCCCCTTTTTTTAGGATTGTGTTCTTTAATCCACATACTGGTGAATTTCCAAATTTCCTTTTTTTACTGATTTCAAATTTCATTCCATTATAGTTGGCAAACATACTTTGTATAAACTTCAGTCTTTTTCATTTTATTGAGACTTGTTTTATGGCATACCATATGGTCTATCCTGGAGAAGGTTCCATGTGCACTTGGGAAGAATGCATATTCTGCTATTGTTGGAGTGTTCAATAGATGTCTGTTAGGTCTTCTTGGTTTTGTTGTTTCATTCTTTTATTCCTTGTTGATCTTTTGTCTAGTTGTTCTATCCATTTTTTAAAGTGAGATACTGAAGTAGGCATATTATTGTTGACTTGTTTATTATTCAACCATAATAGTTTATTATTATTCCTGTAATTCTATTAGTATTTACTTCATGTATTTTGGGGCTTTGCTGTTAGATGCATATATGATTATAATTATGTCTTCTTGATGGATTAACCCTTTTATCATGATAAAATATGCTTTTTCTCTAGTAACCATTTTATCCATTTTAACCATTTTATCCTTAAGTCTATTTTGTCTAATATTAGTATAGACACTTCAGCTCTCTTTTGGTCACTTTTTGCATAGTATATTTTACCCCGTTTTTACTTTCAGCCTATTTGAGTCTTGGAATCTAAAGTGATCTCCTGTAGACAGCATAATGTCAAGTCATGTTTTTAAATGTAAAGGCTCATTCTGCCTTTTAATTATAGTGTTTAACCATTTACATTTAATATAATTATTGATGAGGTAGGGTTTATATCTGGCATTTTGCTATTTGTTTTCTACATGCCATGCCTTTTTGTTTCTTTCTCCATTACTACCTTCTTTGTGCTTAATGGATATTTTCCTGTGTACTCAACTACCATTTTAATTCCTTTGTCATTTCTTTTGCTATATGTTTTTGACTTGTTAATAGCTTTTCTGGAAATTACAATTACCATCTTGACTTACACAATCTTATGGAGTAATACCAACTTAATTTCAACAGTATACAAATTCTTTGCTCCTATGTAGCATTGTATCTTCCCCCATCCTCTGTGCTTTTATTGTCATACACATTAAATCTTTATGCACTGTAAGTTCATCAGAACAGTTTATAATTATTGCTTTATGAAGTTGTCTTTTAATTGGAGAAAAAGAAGTTACAAATGAAATGAAAGTTACAAATGAAAAATATACTTACACTGTCTCTTATATACATAGTTACCTTTACCAACACTCTTTTTTTTAAAAACTGTGGATTTGAGTAACTTTCTAGTATCTTTTCATTTCAATCTGAAGCACTCCCTTTAGTATTTCCTGTTGGGCAGGTCCGCTAGGGACAAATTCTCAATTTTTATTTATCTTGGAATGTCTCAATTTTTCTTTCATTTTTGAAGGATGATTTTGTTAGTCATAGGGTTCTTGATTGAAGCCTTTTTCCTTCAGCACTTTCAATATGTCATCCCACTGCCTTTTGGCCTGCATGGTTTCTGATGAAAAGCTATCTTAATTTTATTGTGAATCTCTTGTGCATGATGGGTCACCTCTCTTGATGCTTTCAAGATTCTCTTTTTGTCTTTGTCTTTTGACAATTTGAGCATAATATGTCTCAGTGCGGATCTCTTTGAGTTGACTCTGTTTTGTTGGGCTCTTGGTTGTGTAGACTCATGTCTTTGTCACATTTGGGAACCTTTTGGCCATTATCTTCTCAAATACTTTTTCTACCCCTTTCTCTCTTTCCTTTCTCTCTGGAACTCCCATTATGCATATGTTGGTATACTTGATGGCATCCCATAGGTCTCTTGACCTTTGAACAAGACCTTTGATTATTTTCCTTTAATCTTATTTCTCTCTACTCTTCAGATTTAGTAATTTCTATTGATAAGCCTTTGGGTTTACTCCTTCTTTCCTCTGCCATCTCAAATCTGCTTTTGAGACCATCTAGTGGGTTTTGCATTACAGTTATTGTCATTTCAATTTTAGAATTATTCTTTGGTCCTCTTTAAAATGTTTTGTCTTTATTGATATTCCAAGTTGGTGAGGCATCATTCTCATACTTTTCATTAGTTCTTTGAATATATTTAAAATAGCTGATTTAAAATATTTTCTAATACATTTAACATCTGAGCTTTCTCAGGAACAGTTTCCATTGAATGTTTCAGTTCCTTGTATGAGTCATACTTTATTTCTTTAGATTTCTTACAATGTTTTATTGAGTAATGAACATTTTAAATAATATAACATGGCAACTCTAGAAATCAGATGATCCTCTGTCCCATCCTAGGTTCACAGTTGTTTGTTATTGTTGCTATTTGTGTATGGACTTTCCTGAACTAATTCTGTGTGTTTTGTTGTGTGTGGTTCCTGAAGTCTCTGCTTGGTTATTTTAGTGTTCAGCTCTTGACTGGACTCAGATTTCCTTAAATGCCTTGAACCAGTAAATCTCCAGCTCTTGCTGAAGGGCTCTCTATGTTGGGGCATGCCTTCAATACACTGACAGGCAATTGGCAACTCGGCCTTAGCCTTCACTTCCTCCTTGTGCAGAGCCTTAAGGTCAGCCAGAGGTGAGAGCTAGGGCCTTCTCAAGTCTTCCCTGAGCTTGCATACAGCCCTCACATGCACATGGCCTTCTAGATTTCTAGGAATATGTCAGAGCTTTTCATAGCCCTCTATGGACATCTCATTCCCCAGTTTCTGTTTTTATGTTTTTTGGTCAGCTTCTTATTTGCCCCAACTCAGGCAGCTTTGATGCTAAACAATCATCACTGATTTTTTTCCTTAAACACCCTGCAGGAAAAAGCTCTCTACAATGAATGAGGTCCTAAGTTAGGTCAAATAAAGACAAGCCGTGTGAATGGGGGTTTTCCCCATTATTAAAACACCAGAGAACTGCTGGACATATCAGATAATGACAAGTTTCTGGGAATAGGGCTTTGGGGATGCCACAAAGACATTCATTCTCCTATGGTGGCTGCTGGTTTTCATGGCTGCCGTAAGTGTGAGACTATTAGTTTTCAAGGTGTGTGTGGCTCTGGGAAGAGGGAGTGGAATAGGGCAAGTTAAAATTCCACAAAGTGGCTCGGTGTGGTGGCTTAGGCCTATAATCCCAGTACTTTGGGATGCCGAGGCAGGCGGATCACCTGAGGTCAGGAGTTTGAGACCAGCCTGGCCAACATGGTGAAACCCCATTTCTACTAAAAATACCAGAAATTAGCTGGGTGTAGTGGTGGGCGCCTGTAATCACAGCTACTCAGGAGGCTGAGACAGGAGAATTGCTTGAACCCAGGAGGCGGAGGTTGCAGTGAGCCGAGATCATGCCATTGCACTCCAGCCTGGGCAACAAAAATGAAACTCCACCTCAAAAAACAACAACAATAACAAAACAAATAAAATGCCACAAAGCTTGTTCTTACTGAGATTCAGCCACTTTTCGTGAATGAATGCTTCTCAGGTTGTTGCAAGCTTTTGGCTAATTTCTGGGGTTCTGAAAAAGTTTTGACAATTTTTTTTTTACAATCTTTGGCGATGTTCTCATTGTTTATATGGAGGAGCAGATTTTCTGGAGGTTCTCACTGCACTATTCCCACTGACATCCCTTCCCCCTCCCCAGCTGATTCTAATGCAACCAGGTATACCATGGGCTGTTACTGGCAAGGTGTACAAGGTAGCTTTCTGACTTCTGGTACATCAAAACTGATATTTATTGAATTATTATTACAGCCCAAACTATTGACTATACCTCACTTCCCAAATGTCAGGTTTAGTTGTAGTCAAGGTAGGAGAGGATTTACTGCTGTATTGTCTTTTAAATGTCTGCTCTGAGTCTAGACCCAGGAAACAGAAATAGGCTGCTCCAGCTGAGGCTCCCCTTGCCTGGTCATGAGGTTGGATGATCTGTGAGGGATCTGTTCATTCAGCCCTTAGTTGCTAAACTAACAGCCATAAACCAAAGCAAAGCAATGCATAAATGCAGCATTCAAGTAGTAAAAATAAAAAGTATTGAAATCCCAGCACATATAGATGTCTTATGTTTTAGGACAACTTTTCTTCCACACTGTTAAATTCATGTTCCACTGTTAGACATTTAGATTATGATGACAAAATCATTTATTAATTTGAGCTTTCAGACCTTGAACAGGATTTCATGTACAGTAAGAGTTTGCTAGTAATCAAATCGAAGAGTCCTTTCCTTAAAAAAAAAAAGTAAAATGAAGATGAAATTTAATTTCCAATATATGTTAGGGAACCAGATATATTCTAGTTGGTACTAGAATGTATAATTAGCCCTTGGTGAAATTTCAGAAGACTTTCTAGGTTAAGATATTATTGAAAACAGTCCCTCTACACCAAGGCTACTTTGAGGGTAGAAGATAACGCGTGAGTCATCTCACCTCCGGCAGCACTGTTACCTCTCAGAGCTTCTCAAACACAGTGGCCATTGTTGTTACCACGGCTAATTATTAGCCTGCTCCAACAGAATTTGTGTTGATGTTACAAAAACAGTTTATGCTACACAAGCTCTTTATTCATGTAATAATTACAGCATGTTTGTCTTAAGTATTTCGCAAGTGTTCTCTTTGGATAATACTAGCAAGATTAAGTAATAGTTTCTCGCTAACAGTATTGCTCAAGAACATCAAACGTGATGGATTGGGATTTGATATATGTATGTCTTTGGCTTCTAGCGTCTTTGACTTTTTGCGTTGCTTACATATAAAATACTCTTCTTGTGGGGGTATGTCTATTGTTTCTAATGCAAATGCCAGGAACCACTTGAGCAAAATATTTGATATCAGTTTTAATGGAGAGTTTTTATAATGATCAAGAGTAATATAACCAAGCCAGCAACAACACTGTGCCAGAAGCCAGGGACTTCAAAGAGTCTTCCTTTTAGAACTCCAAAAAAAAAAAAGAAAGAAAGAAATTTATGTTTCTCCATATCATCCAACTTAATCATTGGCAATAAGTGACTTGGCAAGAAGCATGCATCACATGGTTCGAGTTCTGCATTGGAAAAGGTCAGCAGGAGGCACAGACACTGGCCTGCATTATGCAGCTGTGTACTCTGATCCCATGACACGTGCTTTGGAGCACGTTATGCAATGTTACACTGCTGATTAATGGCCGCTTGCACAAGAAGTTTTTCATTACCCCTACTGCAAGCATCCTGGGAATGATTAACTTTGTGACATAACTTTCATCATACAAATATGGAAGATTTAAACAGAATTTCAAAATAATGTGCTTCAGAAATAACAATGAGTTTTGGCTTCTTAATGCATACATGATTAAGAACTATTTTAAAGCCACTGGGTGAAATCAAGACACCTATTTGGGAGTTGCCTTTTTTTTAGGACTAGGGTTTCATGTGAGATTGGATCATGCATGAACACTCTTCTACCCTATTTTAATTTTACCTTTATTCTAGTTTGATGTTGAAGATGTCAGACGTATTTTACAGTGCTTAGCTCTTATGAGCTAAATATTGAATATACTAGTTGCTTTTTTAAACATTTTTGGAGCCACAAAGATATGACTCTTATATTGTCACACACAGTGGAAAGTTATGGTGATGCTTGTTTTTGAGTCCATGTAACTAAAAAGGTAAACAACTAAAATTCTGCATTTTGTTGAAGTTTGAATCTTAGCAGTTGAGTGCAGTCTGAAATACTGGGTGCACGAAGACTGTATTGTGATGGCAGAAAGTCAACCAAAGTAGCTTAGACGAAAGGAAACTTCATTGGCTCTCAGCCCCAAACTGTGGAAAGACAGGGGAGCCGGAGTCACAGGGCTGCCAGGACACTCCACTCCCCACCATGTGTTTGTAGTCTCTGGTATGTGGCTCCATCCTTTGGGCCTGTCCCTGTAGACCAGCTCCACCTGATGACAGCTCCCAACTGCATGGCCCCCCAGCAGGAAAGAGGGGTCATGCTCTTCACTCACTTTGAACTCAGAAACTCCCAGGAAAGGCCTCTGATAGGCCTAGCTCAGATCATATGGCCTCCCTGTGGCCAGGGTGGTGGGGTACTATGATTGGAGGAGGGAGATCTCTTCAGGAGAAGAGAGGGCTGCTGTCATGGACCCAAAAACAAAGCAGCCACCCAGGCCAACCTTGACTCAGTCAGCCGTCCTTTCCCCCAGATGACCCCTACATGCCTTAAGGCCTCTCATAGACACAGTCACAAACCTGGGCATCCTGCTCAGTAAGCATCACCCCAGGGTTCTGCCCAGCTCTGAGTCCAGATCTCTAGGTCACATCCATTCCTCTAGAGGCCAGGCGTGGCTCTGCAGAACAAAGCGGCCTATGGCCTCAGTGCCCAGTGAGGGAGGCAACCGCCTACTGGGGGCAAAGCATACAAGGGCTCCAGCCCACACCGCATTTCACATCACGGGAAGGGACTAGAGAGTTGATTGATCCCTTGGCCAATCTCGTGACCAATGTTCTTGCTGCTAGGACTCTTTCCTAGAGGAATATTGGAGAAAATTTTTCCGCTGGGGTCTTATCACCTCATTGGTCCATGCACTACTTCATTTTTGTTCGTGCAGTCTTAGAGAGTCCTGGAGGTTGTCAGGGGCTGAGAACAGACCTCTTAAACCTTATTTGGCCTTTCATAGATTTCATGTGGGGAGGGAGTCCATAGTCCACCCTCTCTCCAGATGTCAGCCACATGGCATCTAAGAACCACAGGAAGTAGGGCTTCCAAGAAGGGACTTCTGGTCTACCCTAGCACGTGGCGTCCCCCAGCAAGGGCCTGGACCAGCCCAGATCAGGGGAGGAGCTCAAGGCACTGTCAGGGAAGTGGGTCAACCATGGAGACAGGGCATTGAGAAGGTGCCAACACCTGTATCAAAACTCTTCTGGAGGCAAGTAACAGACCCAGCTTGAACTGAACGAGTCAGGAAAAGGGACTCCCTGTGCCCAGCCAGGGAGCCACTGGACTGCTGTCTCAGGACTCTGGGAACTCAGTCTTTCTTCTCCCATCTCCCCATCTCCTCTGCTATCCAGCTTCCCCTGTGGTAGGAGGATATGGCCCCTGGCAGCTCCCAGGCTCCCAGCCACAGAGCAGGGTGCTCTTAATTGCCACTCTGCTCAGAGATGTTTGGGGAGGATGAGGGCCCTAGGCCAGGGGGGAGGTGTGGTAATTGGTAGTTGGTAGCCCTCATTAGGACGTCGTGATTGGGGTGGGGTAGAAGCCCACCATACCTGGCTTTCAATTCTAGCAGACGGCTACATGGGTATTACTGGGCTTGTTCTTGTCCCTGTGTCTCTAGGTTATTAGTGCATTTCTTTGTTCACCTTTGGACATGCAGGATGGCCAGACACCCGATGTGTGGCTTGTGGACCCCAGCAAACCACAATGCAAGATTCTCCAAACCCCTATTGCCACCAACTGAGTAAATACGCTTGGCACAAAATGGGCTACTGTCTTCCTGGTGCTGTAAGAGTTGTGTTTAATGAAATACCAAGTCATCATTTGATTCATGTTGGTTGTTTGTCATTTTGTTTTCTCAGAGGAAGACAATTGTCCAGTTACTCTCATGTTGGGCTCCTCAAACTATTTTGAAGTTCATATTCAGAAAAATGGGAGCCCGGCTGGGCACAGTGGCTCACACCTGTAATCCCAGCACTTTGGGAGGCCGAGGCAGGCGGATCACGCAGTTAGGAGATCGAGACCATCCTGGCCAACATAGTGAAACCCCATCTCTACTAACATACAAAAAATTAGCTGGGCGTGGTGGTGCGCACCTGTAGTCCCAGCTACTCGGGAGGCTAAGGCAGGGGAATCGCTTGAACCCGGGAGGCGGAGGTTGCAGTGAGCTGAGATCGTGCTACTGCACTGCAGCTGGGCGACAGAGCAAGCCTCCATCAGAAAGAAAGAAAGAGAGAGAGAGGAAGGAGGGAGGGAGGGAAGGAGAGAGAGAGAAAGAAAAAGAAAAGAAAGAAAGATGGAAATGGGAGCCCCTACTTTTTGTTGCTTGAGGAGCAGTTCTAAGATTTTCTGCTGCAAGTGATCAGGCAACACAAGTGAACTTGTCCTAAACAACAGAGCCTGTTTCTAAATACAACTTCTACAGAAGAGAATACTTGTTTTTCTTTCTTCTGAACAGTTGACACGGCCCCGAAGTTATGTAAGATGAGTTAACCTGCAGCGCTGCCACATGTTCTTGTGAGAAGTTAAACAAGGAGAGGAAAACAGGAGGGAGGAAGCGGTAACTTACCAACTTCCTCCCGTCCGAAGTCCTTGATTCCAACTCTTTCCTTCGAAGAACAGACTTTGTGATAACCTTTACTCTTGATTGCTACGTGACAGCAGTGGCGGGGTGGGGGGTTGTAAATGGCACAGCGGCGGGTGCGGCGAAATTCGGGGTGCGGCCCTAAGCCACACGACTTTCCGCTGCATCGAGAGGGTTGTGCATGTGCTCAGCTGAGCCTCGGTGCTTGGAGCAAGCGTGTGCAACCCCAAGGCCCCCGACCGCGACTCGCTGCTAACATTCTGGCTTCACCGAAAGCCAGTGAGTGGTTAAACACTGACTTCTGACCCCTGCTCCTCCGGCGATCTGTCTTGCCCCTCGCATTCCTGCGGGTCCCGGGCTGGGGGACGCTGCCTACGTGCGGCGGCTGCCCTTGCGCGGCCGAAACGCCGGCTGCTTCCTGGAACGCGGTGCAGATAAGAAGCCGCTGCCGGGCTCGGGTTTCAGAAGCGCGCCACCGCGGGTTACAAAACCCTGTGTCATAATTTCACTTCGGATTTTTTTTTTTTTCTTTCCTAGTGCTGGCTTCCCGCAGAAGGACGTTTTGTGTGTTAGGTCCATGTGTGCGTGTGTATTTCCTTTTGGTAATTATTTTGGAAAACGTTCAGAGGCTAAAAATAGAGAAGCCAGAAGCCTCCTTGCTGCGCGACTCGCGGCCCCAAGCTCTCCAGCGCACAGGGTCCTGCTGAGACACAGCGACGACCACCGTGTGTCCCCGAGTGCCCGAGCCCCGTGCCGGGCCTGGCCGCTGAGGACGCGCTCCCCGCCACCGGCTCATTTTCTCGGTTCTAAAACCTTCAATGCCCGTCGCTAGCAACTTAATCTGCGCTCTAACTCGCAGAATTCTTTTGACCTGTTGGAGAAAAATAGCATTTTAAGATGTGGGTTATTCAAGAGGGTGGAGTCGGCTAAGTTTAGTGGACGCTAAAAATAGCCCAGCGGTGCGGGCGGGTCAGGCCTGGGGGCGCCAGGACCTCCGCCCTCACCCTGCCCCCTACGGGCCTACGAGCCGCAGCCCTCCCAGGGCCTGTGCGTAATTCTAGCCAAGGCCCAGTGTCATTTCCAAGAGGTGCCTCTCGGCCGGGTTACTCATATGTCAGATTCCCATTCTCACGTTGTGTTTCACGCAGCAACTGCATTTCCAAAGAAAAGCGTGAGTCACTACCAAGTGGCTGCAGAGGGAGGGGAGGGCCACCATACACCGGAAGAAAGGGGGGGGGGGAAGGGGCCTTTTTATAGCGTTCTGAGCTGGCTTTCTTTTCCATAGGTTAATTTTTATCTTAACTACCAAACTTAGGCTGGATCGCCTTTTTATAAGAAATCTATTTAAATACAAGGGATTATTTGAACTTCTTTTTAAAAAGCCAAGGGCATTTTTTGTGTGGTTCTCAGCTTATAAATAAAATATATTAATAGTTGTTTAATGGGCATTTAAAATGCCAACTGCCTGTGACTGTTTTTAGTGCATTCTTCAAACACCACTTGGAGACCTGAAACTGCCCCCTCGGTTCAGTCCACAAGGGGACTGCCACCTTGCCATGGGCCAGGTATACCCAGCCCAGCGAGGCCAAGCTCATTGCTCTGAACAGATGGTGATTTTCAAACTGAATGCTATTCTGGTGTACTTATTTAGGAACAAGATCTAAAAATAGACTTGAATGAGCATAACCTGCAAAAATAAGTTGTCAGCTTCTTTTTACTCCTGGAGGGTTGAAAACAAAGCTGTCAGCAATTTCTGCGAGCTGAGGAATCTGTATACTTTCTTATTTTAGAGAGAGCTTTTTCAGTGGGACTGTAATTGAGTCCCCTTAAATCTTTGTGTCAACAAATTACCATCTGTTGTTCTAGAGACTCTCAAATTGGTGAGACTCGCTGCTGCTTACTGCCGGGGTGGAGGGGGATGCTATCGTTTGCCCTTGTGGACATGAGCTTTGGAGAGGGAATGGGTGCCGCTGGTATCCGACGTCATTGCAGGAATGAGTCCAGGCTCTGCCAGCCCCCATTACCCAGACCCTGGGGTCTTGTAGAGGTAGTGATTGAGAGATGCCTGGGAGTATGGGCTTGGAGACAGGGGTGGCACTGAGGTGGAGAGGAAACCCCAGCCAGTTTTGGCGGGGCCTCAGGGGAGTCTCAACACCTGTTGGTGGCTGGGGTCATAGTAGCCCAGAGCGCTGGGTTTTGAGTAAATCCATGAAGCGCTCAGCCCTTCTTTATAAGGTACTTGGTGTAGCCTTTGTGGCAGGAAACCACAGGTAATGGGGACAACAGAGGGCCTTTGTCCCCAGTCTGGCACATCCACACCATTTTTCTGTGAAGTGACCGCACGTGCTGACCTAGAGAGAAGTCAGAAATGGAACTGAGCCCTTGTTTCTTCTTGGAGAGGAGTTCCCCTGAATATGGGAAACCGAATGAGGATGGAAATGGCCCCTCTCTCTGGATGGAGGATGGTGTGCAGAGTGGTCCCCAGACTCCGTACCCTTTGGAGGTCAAAAGTCTAGGCCCCAGCAAGCCCTAGACTTGGGATGGCTGGCCCTGGGGCTGCCCATCCCGTCCAGAGAGCTTGCCTGGCTCCCAGCAAGGTTCTGTGCCTTCAAGCAGGGGAAACGGGCTCTGGCCAACAGAAAGTGAAATGAGTGGCATTAAACTCAGCAAAATCAAGTCCTGCAGATCCGCCCCCAGAAAGCCTTTCTCACCCTGGTGTGTTTAATTTTGCAGGTGCGCCTCAACTCCAAACAGCTCTTTTAAAACAATTTGCCCACCAATAGGATTTGCGATTCTGGGGATTAGAAACTTTCTCCATTCAGCATTTACTGTATTTTAACCTCCATGGGAATGCTGTCTCAAAAGAATGGAAACAAATCCTGGTTCCTACTTCCTATGCTCCCAGGAAGCACAGATGTGCACGCATGCGCGCGTACACACACACACACACACACACACACACACACACACACACACAATGTGGAGAAGAGTGATTTCTCCTGGGTTGGGGATGGTGACATATCTGAGGACAGAAAGGAGGAAGAGAGCTGCCCAGGGGCTGGGAGGGGCTCCAGAGCCAGGCAGTGTCTCAGAGGGTTACCTCCACCTTGGGCTCTAGGAACCACCAACTCTCTGCAGTCATCAAAAAGGACAAGGCCGAGGTGCCTGCGAGGTCTGGGCAGATGTCACTGGGGCACTGAGGGGCCTAGAGAAAGTGTTGGCAGCTCCTGCCTTTTCAGTCCCATGGGAAACTGCCCGGCCATCAAATGGTCTTGTGTTAGCTGGTAAATTAACTTAATGTGACCTGTTTGTAAAAGGGGCTGGGGGGTGGGGGGAATTATGTTCATTACGTTTCTCAAGGGCTGAGTTGGGACTGAAGCCCCCACCCCTGCCCCGCAACCTATGCCCATGCATATTCTTTTTAAAGGCAGACATCACTAGATATTGCCAAGAAAAGCCCCAGGTTCCCGAGGAAGCTGCAGTGTGGTCTGGACACCCTTGCTTCCAGCGGGTGACACTGAGGAAGACAGTGGGGAAATGCCATGTGTCTTTCTGACCTAGCAGGATGAATCTCACAGCCCCTTCTTCAGACCAAAAGCACATCAGTGAATCAAAGATTTTTGAATATTTCAAAATAATTTTAAAAGATGCCATCAATAAGTCCAGTTCCTAAATGCATCATCTTTAGAGAAAATGAAATTTTTAAAAGGAATAAAAAGCACATACACAGTGACTGGGCATGGTGGCTCATGCCTGCAGTCCTAGCTACTTGGGAGGTTGAGGCGGGAGGATCATTTGAACCCAGGAGGTTGAGACTTCAGTGAGATATGATGGCACCATTGCCTTCCAGTCTGGGTGACACAGCGAGACCTTGTCTCAAAAAAGAAAAAAGGGGGAAAAAGGGACATAATGCTTCACAAATTAAATGGAACAGGCCAATGAAGCTTTGATGGTCTTTGAACTCTTAAAATAATGACTGTCTTGGCATGGACGGGGCAGGCTGATCCTTGGGCTGCTTGCTGTGGTCCAGAGAGCTTACCACCTGTGCTGGGACTGGGGACTGCTACCTGCCTCAGTGATGTGGTTCTGGAGAGAAAGTGCCTGGCAATGGAGAGAGGCGTGGGAAAAGAACCTGCCTCAGAAGATACAATCATGCTGAGATCCGTACAAAGAAATGAATGGGGATGATAATGATGGTGCGTCAGGGAGGATCCCAGGCTGCAGCCCCTGGTCCTATGCAGGAAGGGTTATGTGTCAATTCTGCTATATGTCAAGCGCCATACATTACAAGAAAGTATCTAGGTTTTGACAAAACAATTTAAATTCTAGGAATTTGCCATAACCCAGTATGTACACAGAGAATGTTAATCTTGGAGTTAGGGGAAGCCTTCGTCAATGGGAAAGATGGGATAAATGCATTAAAGTTCATGCACTCTATGCAGCAATTGAGAATCATGTTGTAGGGGTGTCCATATAATTATCATAGGAAAAAGTTTACTATGTGCTGTTATATTGAAAAAGCAGGTTACAGTTCAGTAAGCACAATATAATCATATTTTCATGTAATAAATATAGTACATGCACCTATTCTAATTTTTCTACAATTGTATTCATTTTCTATTGCTGCTGTAACAAATTACTACAAACTTAGTGATTTCAAACAACACAGATGCATGTATCATTGAGAGTTCTGTAGTTTAGAAGTAAGTGGTTCTCACTGATGAATGTGACGGTGTTGGCAGGGCTGTGTTCCTTGCAGAGGCTGTAGGAGAATTCTCCCCTCATCTCTCTGGCTGCCTTCGGCCACCCTGTCTCGTGGTCCTCACCTCCAGCTCAAAGTAGCAGCAGGAGGTCGAGTTCTTCCCACACCACACCAGACACCCCTGCCTCCTCATCCACAGCTGAGGACCCTGTGGTTACACTGAACACACCTGGGTGATCCAGGATTCTCTCCCCACTTCAGGGTCAGCTGATTAGCAACCAGAATTCCATCGGCCACCTTGACTCCCCCGTGCCACGCAACCTAACATTCACAGGGTCCAGGGATTAGGGCATTGCTATGGTGCTGATGTGTGTCCCCTCCACATCCATGTTGAAATGTGATTCCCAAGGTTGGAGGTAGGGCCTCGTGGGAGGTGTTTGGGTCATGGGGGCAGACTCCTCTCAAGGGACTTGGTGCCCTCCCCACAGTAAGAAGTGAGTTCTCGCTCTGTTAGTTCAGGTGAGATGGAGTTGTTTGAAAGAGTCTGGGACATCCCTGCTCTCTCTCTTGTTCTCTCTCTTGCCATATGACACACCCGCCTCCCCTTTGCCTTCCACCATGATTGTAAGCTTCCTGAGGCCTCACCAGAAGTTGAGCAGATGCTGGTGCCATGCTTCCGGTACAGCCTGCAGAACTATGAGCCAAATAACCCTGTTTTCTTTATAAATTACCCAGCCTCAGGTATTTCTTTATAGCAAGCAAAACAGACTAATACAAGCATGGATATATTTGGGGGCCAGTGTTCTGCTTACCACAACAATATACATGTATTCATTTTAATTAGACAAGAAGAGCTAGGAAAGCCAGAAAGCTCTTGTCATTTTGTATCAATTTTCATTTCAGCATTAACATTCCCCTTCATTTCTGTAACCGTAATTCCCATAATTCTCAGTGTTCTAAATTTACATTAATCCAATCTCATTCACTTCATATCATAGCTTTTCCATTTCTATGTTCTTGATTAATTAGGCAATTTTATTTTACTTTTGTTTTCCTAAAATGTTCTGTATTTCTTGAATCCTGGCAATTTTGAAAATACGTGTCTATTGCCTTTGACTAGAGTAATTAATGACTTACCTGGGTGTCAGATTCTTGGGCACGATTTTTTCCTCTCTGATGATCCTGAGGATCTTTTCTCCTGGCATTAAATATTGCTGGTAAGAAGTCTAGGGATAATTGAGCCCTCTCCCCACAACAGTTCTGTGAAGAATTGTTCATTTGAAGCCACTAAGACTGTTGCAGTAGAAAACTAATATGGTCATGCTGCTGAGGACCCTTTCTGGGATTCCTTAAGCCCAACCATATTCCAGACTGGGTTGAGGTTGTCCAGTCATGCTGTCTCAGCGTGAGATGCAGGCCTCTGCCCCAGACCTGCCCAGCCCTGGGTGGATGCCCAGCTTTGTCTACTGCTCCCACTTCCTTCACAGCTTAGGGAGGGAAAGGACAAAACTATATGGATTTTAGCCCAGAAATGGCTCATCTGTGGGAGAAGGGACCCTTAACACAAGACGCTTAGTGTGGCCTTCTTCCTGGGCTGCCCAGGGTTCTGGCATTGCTTTCTTTCCCCTGTGGTAAATTTCTCTGTGCTCAACATAATGAGCTCAGGGTGGCCAACTCCAGCCATGCTTGCCACCAAAGACAGTCAAGCGGGGGTCCTGACGGTTGTTCTGCCCCTGGGGAGAAGGGGCCTTCCACTCTCAGTGGGAGTTGGAGTCTCTCCCTACGTGGCCTCTGTTCCTGGTGGGCAGGGTGTGTCCACCTCCCTGAGGTGCGTGGCCTTCAGGGAGGAGCCCTGGGATCTTCTCACCAGCTGTCTCTAACTTTATGGTGTGGGGCTGATCCTCTTTCTCACTGTGAGTGCAGCTGGCATTTTATTTTTCTGTTGTTGCTCTTCTGTGGATATGTACTTTGTAAGGTTTGGGGCGGAAGGTTTCGTCAGCGCCCATCTTTCCTGGAGGACGACCTGAGTTTGGAAGATCTGGAAAGCTCAGTGCCCTGCACCTCCCCCGGGGGCTTCATTCCTCCCTTCCTGCACCTTCCTAGGGACTCCATCTCTCCAGCCCCCCCGAGAGGCTGTGTTCACTTTTTATCCCTCCCATTTCACCTAGTGAGAGACGACATGCATTTCTAATCCATTGAAAGGAAGATTTTACAACTATTTTCTGACTCCTCTAACTTTTAGAAATGAACTTTACCTCAAATATCTACAACTCTATTCCCCAGTTGACAGCTAAGAAGAGCACATAATCTCTTTACAATCAAATAAGCACCATATAACATGGACTGTGCAGTCGGGCAGGTGGGAATTCAACCTGCCTCTCCCATTTGCCAGTTGATAACTTAGTCTCTTGCCTCTCTGGATTTTGATTTCTTTGTTAAAAATTTAAAAAGGTGGTAATAGAATGACTCATGGCTGCAGTGCATGGGAACTGCCTCACATCCTCCTGGCAGGGTGGGGAGCAGGAGAGGAAGCTGAGGTGCAGTCACAACAGTGGCCTTAGCTGACCCCACAGGGAACACCAAGCTGGATGGCCCTGCAGAGGGTTCCTGAGCTTGGTCAAGGGGCTTTAGGTCCACATGAACTAGTCGCTGGAGGCAAAGGGCCCCCAGGAAGGGCTGAGTCATGGGACAGTTGCCTCTCTCAGTGGAGGCCAACAACCTCCCCACCCTGGGGAAGAAATTCTTTGTCCCCAATGGAGAACCTGGGTGGCTCCCAGTGCCCATGAGTAAGTAGGAAGCTGTTATTCCTTCTGAGAACTCCCCTGCTACCCCAAGTCTTCTGCTGATCCCCTCAGTGACCTGGCTGGAGCCAGAGGGCACGGGACTCCAGGTGATCAGCTTATGGTGGCAGGACAGAAAATGGGTCTGGGCTCAGGGCAGGCAGAAAACAGCACACCCAGCATTGAGGGCCACCTGGCTTCTCCCCCGGGCCCGTGCCTGGTCTTCAGGCTGCTCACCTGGAGCAGATACTGCTGCCTCCCTCGTGGACACATCACTGGAGGCAGCCGAAGGGCTTGTCATCTAAAGGGCTTCATGAAATGAAGCTCAGAGTTTGGCTCTACCGAGTGCCTCTGTGGGAGCTGGGACATTGACAGTGTGCCCGGGTCATCTTTGCAGCCAAAGCCATGTCCTCCCATTTCTCACTTCATTAGCAGAACACTATTCCCAAATGTTTGATTTCCCCGGGAGCAGGGTTGCAAGACTGCTCCTAAACTCATTTCCAACTCTTAATAATAGAAAGCCATCTCTCTACAGGGAAGAAATGACTTTTCTTGGAGATACTCTGGGCTTTGCAAACATTAAACAACTATTAATAAATATGAAGTTGGCCTTCGGTGGCTCACGCCTGAAATCCCAGGACTTTGGGAGGCCGAGGCTGGTGGATTGCCTGAGCTCAGGAGTTCGCGACCAGCCTAGGGTACACGGTGAAACCCCGTCTCCACTAAAATACAAAAAATTAGCCGGGCATTGTGGCATGCACCTGTAGTCCCAGCTACTTGGGAGGCTGAGGCAGAAGAATGGCATGAACCTGGCAGGTGGAGGTTGCAGTGAGCTGAGATCACGCCACTGCGCTCCAGCCTGGGTGACAGAGTAAGACTCTGTCTCAATAAATACGTACATACATACATACATACATACATACATACATACATACATAAAATGAAGTTGCTGGACCAGATGAGGGCTTTAGGCAAAGAAGCAGGAAGGCTTTTTCTATCTGGCTTGCTGGGCATGTGGCCATTTCTCTCAGTTGTGGAGAAGCCCAAACCTGTGTTTGCTCTGTGAGGGGCCTGAGGGGCCTCATCTCTGGGCCATCACTTTGTTCTTGGTAGAAGGCTTTTGCCGGCATCTGTGACCTGAACCTTCAGCACTTGCATGATGCAGGTAATAAGCAAAGTGGCTTCTAGGGCATCTATGATGTCTGGCAGAAGAGCTAGGGAGCTGTGGGCTTTGGCAAGTGTGAGGACTCCTGAGACTGAGGAACCAGCCACTCGTCAGGCACAGGGGCTTGCATATAACCAAGGCTGCTCTGTGTAGCAGTGAAGAGAGCAGGTGATTTTTTTTTTTTTTTTGAGACAAAGTCTTGCACTGTCGCCCGGGCTAGAGTGGCGCAATCTTGGCTCACTGTAACCTTTGCCTCCCGGGTTCACGCGATTCTCCTGCCTCAGCCTCTGAAGTAGCTGGGATTACAGGTGCACACCACCACACCTGGCTAATTTTTTGTATTTTTAGTAGAGATGGAGTTTCACTATGTTGGCCAGACTGGTCTTGAACTCCTGACCTTGTGATCCGCCCACCTCGGCCTCCCAAAATGCTGGGATTACAGGTGTGAGCCACCACACTCGGCCAGTGTTTGTGTTTTTAAAGTGGCTTTGTGAATCGTTTTTTGGGGTTTGCTTTTTGTTGAGGAACTTTTGAAATGGTATCTCTAACATTCTGGATTATCTAAATATCTCTGGATTTTTCTCTTTCTACTGAGTTTGAGTTGAACAGAATTGTTTTTGAGCTTCAATGTCCTATTAAGAGGTAGGATTTGTTTTCTGTAATTTAGTCTTGAAGATAAGCAGCCGGCCCCTCTGGAAGTTGTCCCTCAACTGCCATCTTCATGCCCTCATCCCGAGCTCTCTGGGGTATCACCAGGAGCACCTCATTGGTGATGTGAGTGTGCTGTTGTTATCAGAGTGGAAGCCCCTGGAAACACTCCGTTAGGGAAATGTGTGTCTGTTTCTCTGGGTGCCCGGGGTCAGCAGAGCACCTATAGGCACAGGGGAAACAGAGGAACCTTATGGCATTTCAGTTACTGCTGTGTAACACAACATCCCCAAATATCATGTGTCAAGCAATACAACCTTTTCTTTTTTTTTTTTTTGAGATGGAGTCTTACCCAGGCTGGGGTGCAGTGGTGCGATCTGGGCTCGCTGCATCCCCACCTCCTGGGTTCAAGCGATTCTCCTGCCTCAGCCTCCCGAGTAGCTGGGACTACAGGCGCACACCACCATGCCCAGCTAATTTTTGTATTTTTGGTAGAGATGGGGTTTTGCCATGTTGGCCAGGCTGGTCTCGAACTCCTGACCTCAGGTGATTCACCCATCTTGGCCTCCCAAAGTGCTGGGATTACGGGCATGAGCCACCGCACCCAGCCCACAGCTTTTTCTTTCTCGTAATTCTGTGGATGGGAATTTGGACAGGGCTTAGCTGGGCAACTCTTCCACCCTACTTGGTGTGGGCTGTGGCTGATCCTATGGCTGCATTCAGCTGGGAGCTTGAACTGGCTGGGACATCCAAGCTGGCCTCCATCCTCCAGGGCCTCCTCCAGATGGCCTTGGCTTGTCCATGGATCTAGCTTGGCTTCCTTGCAGCATGGTGGTCAGGCTCTAATCGGGAGAACATAGAGCTCAAAGCATCTGAAGAATTGGACTTGAAAGGCCCAGAAGTTCACATTCTATTGGCCAAAGAGGAAAGGAAGGAGAGTCTCGGCCTCACAGACCAGAATAGGGATTAAATGAGTTGTTGTGTGGATGTGTCTGGCATTAGTAAATATCCTGTACACCATAGCTGTTTGCATTGTTATGCCCCTTTAGTCATTAAGTCATTAGATAATACTCATGGTGCAGGGGTGGAGGAAACAGCCTGTCAGAGGCAGTTTCGAGGGTCAGGAGGTTTGCTCAAGGAACTCCATGTGCAGAAGGACTCAACCCTGATTGCATATTACAATCACCTGAAAATCGCCCGGCCAGAGCCCCACCCAGGTGACTTCAACCAGTCCTGGGGTAGGATCCAGGTGTGGGTATTTTTTAAACTCCCCAAGTTAAGTTATTGTCATGATACAGCTATTGACCATGACTGGTAAGAGTTGTTGATTCAGTGAATGAAAGTGTGTTTAATTTTTTTTTTTTTCTGAGACGGAGTTTTGCTCTTGTTGCCCAGGCTGGAGTGCAATGGTGTGATCTCGGCTCACCGCAATCTCCGCCTCCCGAGTTCAAGCGATTCTTGTGCCTCAGCCTCCCAAGTAGCTGGAATCACAGGCATGCACCACTATGCCCGGTTAATTTTGTACTTTTAGTAGAGATGGGGGTTTCTCCATATTGGTCAGGTTGGTCTCGAATTCCCTACCTCAGGTGATCCGCCTGCCTTGGCCTCCCAAAGTGCTGGGATTACAGGCGTGAGCCACGGCGCCCAGCCTTAAATTGTAATCAAATAGCACTTTTCAAAAAGCTAACTATAGACAAGAAGGTGCTGGGTCCCAGAATGTGAAAGTACAGGAGGCTTAAGTTAAACATCGACGGCCCCTGAGCCCTGCCTTTCCACCAACAAACCAGCCAGGCTCCCAAGAAAAAAAGATGCCCCTTTGTTACATGAGATGAACATCTTAGACTGATCTATTAATGAAATAAATGTACAATTTGAGACTAAACAGCTGGACAGGAAGATGGGATGGGTCTGACTTCAGACACTATTGGCTGGTGCAGGAGCAGGAGGGAGGCAGAGTGGCGGTCTGTGCCCACTCGTGCGTTCATTTGTGACTATTATACAAGTAGTAGCACTCCAACATTTATAGTGTAGCCTCGGAATTATGCAGAATATATTTGCAATCTATTTTTGGTGGCAGAACTGGAAATAGAAATTTAAAAACCTGAGAGAGAGAGAGAGAAGAAAAGGAGGTGGGAAGAGCAGGAGCTTCATATTCCAGGTGGAAAGTTGAAGTCATGAAACCAGACAAATCTCTCTTTCTTTCCTCTAATTAATTAAAGGTTGTAAAGTCAGGGTGTGGGCTGGGTGTATTCCCTTTATTTTTTAAAACCATGTTTGACAGCTCCAGGCTCCCAGGATTTCATCAGGATCTCAGGTGCGCTGCAATTCATGTGTCATGCACCGGGTTGCGTAACTGCATTGTTACACGGGCAGCGTTTCTCTATGGAGTCCATTTGCATCATCTCATCAGGAGAGAGGAAAGCCCACAGCACCATCTTGCCCTTAAGGAAAAGGTGCAATTTCTTTCATGTTTTAAAGTAATCGCCTGAAAGATAAAAATACAAAAAGAAAAAAGTAAAAAACACCCATAGTGCCCACCAGTTAACAATGTTTAACAGCACGCTTCACCTTGCCTTTCCTATTTTGAGCATGGCGGCAAAACAGAAAGATTCTGGTCATGGACTTTGGACACAAGTTGCCTGACTTCAGAATTCAACTTAGGTTGGTCGCTTGCCTCAGTTTCCTGATCTGTGAATTGGAGATAACAGTGGTAACCCAGTTGAGGATTAAGTGCATGACTACAGTATCTGAAAGGTGCCGTGTCTGGCCCTGATAGGACACAGTACTGCTATCCTCACTACCATGACGACTCCTGACTTCTTCCTGTACTTACAAAAGACACATGCACACACACACATGCATAGACACAAACAGGAACACACGCACCATGCACCCACATTCCAACAAGTCAATGCTTGTGCTCATTTGCACACACACACAAACATGTACATACCTGTGAACACACACATACTTTTTTCCACAAACAATAACGTACTTACTCTACGTAGAGGTCTGCAGCTGCACACACATCACAACATGTCATGGATATTTCTTCCAGTCAGCAACCATACACTTTCCAGCAAGGGTGCCATTCTTATTAGCTGTTCCTCCCTGGATGGTTGGGGTTGTCCTGAGCCTTCACTGTGACCCAGACTTACCGCTGCAGGGCTTGCTGTGTGTTGGGGATGCAGAGTTTTAACTTTCTCAGATACTGTCAAATCGCTGTCCCAAATCCACGCCACTTTGCACACCTCCTGGAGGGCCTCTCTCTACGTCCTGGTCAGGAGTGCACGTGGATGCTGGACTCTACCAATCGGATCATTGAGAAATGCTCTCTCATTAATTTGGATTTCTGTAATTATTATTTATGCAAAGACTTCTAATACATCTTGCGCAGCCTGTAAGCACCATCGTGAACAATGTCAATCTATTCTTGGCCTGCACAGTTTGTTTTATAGCTTTGCTACAAACAAAAACTGTACAGACAACCCACAGCTCACTCAGACCAGTAATGTGCCAAATTAGCTCATGAGGCGAAGAGGAGTTCTAAACGTGGAACACTGTTTCCAGTTGCAATATGTTGGAAATGCCCATCCTCATCCTACCAAGCAAATAATTCAGCATCTAGTCATTCATTCAAAAATTGTTTCCTGAGCACCTGTCTGTGTCAGGCTTATACTGATTATAGGCTTTTGAGTGGCATCAGTAAACACAAATTTTTAAAAATCCCTGTCCTTGTGGAATTTATGGTCTATCCCAAATCTTATCTGAATGTGGGCACCTGAGATGAGGACCCCACAGCATATGGTGGCCGCTGCGTGTGGGAGTCCATAATGGCTATGGACCCACTTGGTGTCCCACTGCAGCTGTGACCAAGGCCACTCAGGGTGGGTGGGCAGACAGTGCCCCTAGGACCATGGGACAGGATCAGCAGAGAGTGTCTCATGGCCCTAGAGCAGTTCCTTACACAGATGGGAAAAAGGAAGCCCAAGGGTGCCTGCCTGCCCACGGCTCCTGGGAAGCCCACCTTCCTGCCTTCCTCCACGGGAAGGTCTGAGGAGCCCTGTCAGGCCCCCACTGTTCCCCGGCACCCATGCACTGAGGTCCCGCTCTGGGGCTGGTCTCCAGGCCGGTCCCTGCTGAGCCCGGGCTGGGGCAGAGCAGCGAGCAGAGGTGCAGGAAGGGCCCAGGCAGTGGGACCCACTCTGTGCCGGCTGGTGTCTGCCTCTTACTCAAGTTAATGGGACTGGCCCTTGGTTCCCAGTTCCTATTTGAAATATACCAGGAAAGGACTGTGATGCCTTGTCCTTGGCCGAGACTCTTGCCTCTGGACCAAGCAGCCGGCCAAGGGGGGTGGCAGCAGTCACTGGGCCAGCGTGTTTGGGGGGGCTCAGCCTGGACAGGTCACCAGTGGGGTCGCTGAATAGCGTGGCTGAGGGAGGAAAGCATTCCCCAAGTCCTCAGGGGCTTTTCCCTGAAATGGAACCAAGCCATGGATGTCCACAGCACCAGCATGCAGTGGCCATTTGCAGGCCTGTGGCGAGGGCTGACTGAGTGATGGAGCCACTCACAGTGGCACCCCAGCCTCATGGAGCTGGCACCAGGCCTGTGCAGCTAGGGAGTTTCAGACACAGGCCCAACACGGGTGCAGGGCTGTCCTGGAGAGAGGGCTGCTCATTCGGACAGCCAGGCGCACTTCCCCAGGGTGCTGATGGGTGATGTTTGAGTAACAAGTGACCACTGACTCGGTGGCTTAGAACAGCACAGCTTTGTTCTCTTACTGTTCTGGATGCTAGAAGTCTAAAACCAATCTGACTGGGTTAAAGTCAAAGGTGGGCAGGGCTGGTTCTTTCTGGAGGCTCTAGGGGAGAATCCATTTCTTTGCTGTCTTTCTGCTTCTGGGGGCCACCTGCATTCCTTGGCTCTTGTCTCCTTCCTCTGTCTTCAAAGCGCATCGCTGCAGTCTGTGTTCATCAGTGAGTCACCTCCTGCTCTCTTCTGCTCGGACTGTCTCAGGAGGACCCTTGTGACTACATTGCCCTCCTCCCCCAAATAATTCTGGTCTTCATCACATCTGCAGAGTCCTGTTTGCCATGTAAGGTCACACCCACGGGTTCTGGGGATTAGGATATGAACATATTTGGGGGCCGCTGTCATCCTGGTACGTGGAGAGACACAGAATGTTTCTCTGGGCAGGGGTGTAAAAGATAGGATTTGCAGGCAGAGAGAGCAGTGCCCAGCACCTGTGGCCCACTCTGGGCCAGTGAGTCAGCCCCGACCTGTTTCCAGCCTGGCCCGGCTCTGCACTGGGCAGGTCCGAGTGTGGCTACTCTCTCCAGGAAGTGTGGGTCCCTGTGGGGAATTGCAAACCCACCAGGTTGGCAGGAGCCAGGGACACAGGGCAGGCAGCAATGGTGGGATGGGAAGGCCGACCTTGTGCGTTGCAAGGGTGTCCCCACCTAACCGTGCAGAGCTTGGGCACACAGCATGGGGGTGCTGTGGGGCACTGGCGGCATAGAAGGTAAGGGAGGATGCCCTGATGGGATGCACATGATCTCGGTGGAAGTAGAATGAACAGACCGGGGCGAATGGAGCCGATGTTGGGATCGTAAGAGCCACCAGCCTAAGCCTGGATCCCTCGGAAACGTGTGTGTTGGCTCCTCAGCCAGCTGCGGGTTCAGCTCACGCCTTCCGGTCCTCTTTCTTGCCTGCTCATTGTATGGTCATCTGCAGGGAAGTCTTTCCCTTCTCGGCTCCATGAGGCCCACATCTGCACAAGTGCACCTCTTTGTCCACCCTGATGACTCCCTGCAGCCCCACAGCCCTCTCCTCTGAAGGCCTGTGACACCTCCAGGTGGCAGACAAAGGGGCTGGCTGCTCTGAGGCAGGGGAGGCGGGGTCTCCCCACTGCAGGTGAATACACTTGTTTCCAGATGGCACCAGGTGGTATGAGATGCCCGGGAACCACAGAGTGACCTCCTGTCCTCCACTCTGCGGCTTACTCCATGCTGTGCAACTTGACAAACCTCAGTAACTTTACCTACAAGATGTTGGTTTCAGGGCAACTCTGACACAACCCTACCTTGCTCTCCGTAGGCCTTGGGCTGTGCCCAACAATTCGTCTTCTGTCATAAATGAGGTATCCTCTGTCACAGATGAGGTCCCCTGGGACTGGCCCCTGGGAGCAGCAGGAACTCACCTGCCTCTCCTAAAATGTCCCCAGAGCGGGACTGAGCCCCAGACAGGAGTCCCAGCAAGGCCTGCTGGGGATGAGGGAGGCTCACGGGCAAGTCCTGGTGTCAGGCGGGGCATGTCCACACGTGGGGCCCCACCAACACAGGCCCACATAGGCAGGCTGCCTGTGCGCCTCTGCTCACTCCACACCCTGGACAGCCCAGCCATTTCCATCCTGGGGGTGTTTAGCCCACAGCTGAGAAGGATGGGGGGGTTCTGTGGGCAGGGCCAGGCAGCAGGGCTTGGCACTGTGGGCCGTGTGGGTGGTGTCCGAAGTTTCCAGCCACACCCCAGTGCTGCCCACACCCCTGCTGGCTGCTGAGTTCTGGCGCTGGGGCGTTGTCTCTCTGAGCTGTGCAATACCTGGGACCCCTCCTCTGTTTTCCTGTTCATCCAGACTTCTCATGGCCTGAGCTATGTTTCCCCTGGTTCCCAAATCCATCCAGCTCAGAGTTTCCCTTGCCAAACCACAGAAATAATACACAGCTTGTTTCCTGGCAAACACACCTTCCAGAGCCAGACTCAACTTGCCACAAGATGGGCTTATCATGAAATCAAATCTTAACACTGCCGTTCTCTGGGTTTTTGATCGTCCTCACAAAGGTGGGGAAACTGGAGTTGGCGTGTTTCAGAGCAATGGAAGCAGGCCACAGTCTGTTAACTCTGTAAAATAAAACCTTCTGGGAAACAGAAAATTTACCTGACCACCAGTGGGTGTGTGACCACAGGACTCTGGCTGGGGCTCCTGCCTGCTCACCGTAGAGATTGCAAGGGAACAAACAGTGCATCGTTTCCAGTTTGCATCTGTAGGTAACCACGTTTGAGTGAAGCTGGGAGCTGTCTCAGAAAAACGAAGCTTCTGAGCCAAGCGCGATGAATCCCTGTGCCCTCAGCAGGCCTGCCAGGCACAGCCACGGTGCCCGGCCAGCACCGCCACCACATTCACCGCTGCAAGGAGCTTCCTGGCTCTGCAGCAAGATCACACCCAGGCCTGTGGGCCGTGGCAGCCCTGTTTCCTCATTGCCGTCCCTGGGAGTCCTCTCTCCACCTTTTCATTGTCCCAGCAGGTCAGGCTACCCAGGGATGCCCTGGATTTTGGATCTCCTGGCACACTGACCGAAAACCCTTCTTTTTCCCTCAGAAAACACATTGGAAATGAGAGGGTATGAATCAGATAAGCTTAGGGACATCTCTGAAGTCATTAACATCTATTTTAAGCATCAACTGTGGGGTCTGAGACCCTAAGTATCATCTGTGGCTAATTGTCTGCAGCTTCCCCCAGAAATGACCGCCAAGCCACACTCCAGAGCTGCTGTCCTGGAACAGCCTGTAGGGAAGGAGCAATTTTTTGTAGTTTTTCCCCAATCTGTCTTGGGCCAGTGCTTTTGTAAAACACAGAGGACATGGATTACTGAAACACAGGCACACACTTTGATGCCACAGTCCTGTCAAATTGCCGTGAGAGTTCTGAACACGTACACTTCCTTGCACTCTGTTATCTCATCATGGGGCAGAAACCAGCAGCTCACAAGTGACCTGGTCCACGGACTCTACTGGGAGAGAGCTGGCAGCCCCATACCCTAGATTCTCTGTGTGTTCCTATTTCAGCCATAAACAACCTTCTTATTGTTCTTTTTGTTTGACAGACAGAGTCTCCCCTCTGTCGCCCAGGCTGGAGTGCAGTGATGGAATCTTGGCTCACTGCAACCTCCACCTCCCAGGTTCAAGCAATTCTCCTGCCTCAGCCTCCCAAGTACCTGGGATTACAGGTGTGCGCCACCACGCCTGGCTGATTTTTGTATTTTTGTAGAGACGGGGTTTCACTATGTTGGCCAGGCTGGTCTCGAACTCCTGACCTCAGGTGATCCATCTGCCTCGGCCTCCCAAAGTGCTGGGATTACAGGTGTGAGGCACCACACCCGGCTGTTATTATTATTATTTTTTTAAATAAACCACAGGTGCTGTCAAACTGCCAGCCAGAAAGTCCTTTGTCAGACCATGCAGCCTGATCTTCAGCCAGAACACTGTCATGGTGGCTCTTCTACAGCCCCTGTGAGCCAGCCTTTTAGGGGCTCCTGATGCAGTTCTTCTGTCCACCGCTCCGCAGTCTTGACTCTTGGGCGTCACGTGAGCTTGCCGATGTTCAGGTGGTCAGAGTCTTTCTTGGGCCTGACTTTTATACACCATGTAACATGCTGATTCCTAATCACTAAATATGTCCTAATCCAACTGTCACAGATATTCTGAGCAGGATGGCCACTTAGCTACAGGGTGGAAACAAAAATGAGGACGTCCGCCAACACAGAAACTGCAGTGCCTTCTTCAAAGATTTCACCTGGACATGCTTGTCAAATTCTGTACAACATGCCACCGAAAATGGCAGAAGCCCATTTTCCTTCTTGTATTTTTCTTTTCTTTTTTTGAGACAAAGCCTCAGTCTGTTGCCCATGCTGGAGTGCAGTGGTGCGATCTTGCCTCACTGCAGCCTCTGCCTCCTGGCTCACTGCAACCTCCACCTCCCGAATTCAAGCGATTCTTATGCCTCAGCCTCCCGAGTAGCTGGGATTACAGGCATGAGTCACCACACCTGGCTAATTTTTGTATTTTTAGTAGAGACAAGAGTTTCACCATGTTGGCCAGGCTGGTCTCAAACTCCCAACCTCAAGTGATCCTCCCGCTTTAGCCTCCCAAAGTGCTGGAATTGCAGGTGTGAGCCACATCACCAGGCTCTTCTTGAATTTTTCTACATCCTTCTTCACCTACAAATCCCTTCCCAACATACATGGTTTTCCCAGGGTCCTAGTTAATATATTTGAATATCTTCCAAACCGATAATTTGGTTTTCTGTGTTTCTTTGTCTAGATTTAGCTTTTCTTTCCTTTTAAAAATTAATTTATTACCAAATTTGGCAAGCTCTTAAAAATACATCGTGGAATGGAGTTTAACATTATTAAGTTGGGAGCTGATTTTGGTTCTCATTGGCTTAAATGAGCCATTTCTTCCACAATGGAGCCTGCATACACTTTGCAACTCTCATAAAAGTATTAATTTGTTAACTTTAGTGTTGTAAAAAAGTTCTTTTTAGTGGAGTGGAGGGGGTTAATGTTTTGTTATCTTTTGATGCGAGGTTATGCTGGTCCCATGAAACATGGATGTGTTCCCTCTTCCTCTATTTCCTGGAAGAGTCTGTGTACATTTGGTGCTATTATGTCTTTGAACGTTTGATGGAATTCACTTGTGAAACAATCTGGGCTGGTTTCCTTGGTGGGAAGGTTAATGATGACAAATTCAATTTCTTTCATGGATACAGGATTATTCATATTTTCCCTTTCATCTTGTGTAAATTTTGGTAGATCGTACTTCTCAGGAAATTTGTTCAGTTCATTAAGTTGCCAAATTGATTGCTATAAAGTTGTTCACAAAATCAGCTTATTATTCTTTTAATATCTGAAGTGGTAACCAGTGTTTCATTTCTGATATTTGTCATTTGTGCTCTATTAATAATTTTTTCTTATTAACTAGTTATGACTTTATTTTGTTGCTTTTAAAGAACTACGATTTAGCTTTGTAATCTTTTTCTTTTTTAAAAAAGATTTTTTTTTTCACTTTGTTTCTTTACAATCCCTTGTGTTGAGGGCGATTTTCAGTAGATCACAGCGAGGGAAGCTGTGTAATCTTTTTCTAACATTTGTTTTCTCTCTTGTTGACTTCTGCTCCTTCCGTCTTCTTTGGGTTTACTTTGCTCTTCTTTTTTTAGCTTTTTGAGGTGAACTGTTCCGTCTCTGAGGTCACATGTTTCCTCTTTTCTGACATAAGCCTTTAAAAGTGTAAATTTTCCTCCTCACACTGCTTTAACGCATCCCATACATTTTGATATATTTATTGTATTTTTACATATCTGTCAATTAGAAATATTTTTAAAATTCTTTGGGATTTTTTTTTGAAATGTGCATTGTTTAGAAGTGTGCAGGTTAATTTCCAAATATTGGGGTATTTCCTTGATCTGTTATTATTTCTAATTTAATTCTGCTGTAGTCAGTGAACCTACTTTGTGCTATTTCAAATATTTTTAAATTTTGGGGACTTGTATTATGGCCCAGCATATAGTTTGTCTTAGTGAACTTTCTATGTGTACTTGAAAAGAATGTGTAGTGATACAGAAATAGCAATTAGGTAAAGGTAACTGATGATAATGTTCACTTCCTCCAAATGTTTACTGATATTTTTGTAACTGATCAATAAGCTGATGAAAGAGAAGTGTTAAATCTCTTAATATGAGTGTGGAATTGTTTCTTTCTCCAACAAACTAAGCAGAGAAAGGGACTTCTTCCACCTGATAAAGGGCATCTGTGAAAAACCTGGAGCTAACCCAATACAATACTTATTGTTGAAATATTGAATACTTTCTCTCTAGGATCAGAAGGATAAGGAAGTAAGTGCATGCATTCTCTCTCTCTCTCTCTCTCTCTCTCTCTCTCTCTTCTTCTGGTTAATTGTACTGAGAACCTAGCTATGGCAATGAAGCAAGAAAAACATGTAAAGGCATAAATATTGGTGGGAAAGAAGTAAAATTGTCTCTATTTGAACATAACATGATTGTTTACATAGAAAACCTCAAGGAAACTACAGAACCACTAGTATAAGTCTGCAGGATACAAAAATCAATAGCATACATACATATATACTAGCAGCAAACAATTGGAAAATGAAATTTTAAAAAATTTATTTACAACAGTACCAAATAAAATATTTTTAAATATTTAACAAAAGATGCAGAAGTCCTTTTCACAGAAAACTGCAGAATATTATTAAGGGAGACATTTTAAAAGACCTGTACAGGCCGGGCATGCTGGTTCACGCCTGTAATCCTAGCACTTTGGGAGGCCAAGGCAGGCGGATCACCTGAGGTCAGGAGTTCGAGACCAGCTTGGCCAACATGATGAAACTCCATCTCTACTAAAAATACAAAAATTAGCGGGGCATGGTGGCACACACCTGTAATGCCAAATACTCGGGAGGCTGAGGCAGGAGAATCTCTTGAACCTGCGAGACAGAGGTTGCAGTGAACTGAGATCGCACCACTGCACTCCAGCCTAGGTTACAGAGTAAAACTTTGTCAAAAAAAACCAAAACAAAAAAAAAACCTGAATACATGGAGAGGCATTGTTCCAAATCTCAATTGGATAAGAAGACTCAATAGTGCTATCAGTTCTCCTTATTACTACCTTTTGTATAAATTTATGGGGTGCAAGTGTAATTTTGTTACAGGCATAGATTGTGTAGTGGTGAAATCAAGGCTTCTAGGATATCTGTCACCTAAATAACATACATTATACCCATTAAATAATTTTTTGGCATCCATCCCCTCACACATCCTCACCCTTCCAAGTGTTTGTTGTCTATCATTCCACATTCTGTGTCCATGTGTACACATTATTTAGCTTCCACTTATAAGTGTGAACATGTGATACTTGTCTGTGTCTGACTTATTTAATTTAAGGTAATGGCCTCTAGCTCCATCCATGTTGGTGGAAAAGATATGATTTCATTATTTTATGGCTGAATAGTATTCAATTATATATATGTGTGTGTGTGTGTGTGTGTGTGTGTGCATATATATATATATATATATATATATATATATATATATATGACATTTTCTTTATCCAGTCATCTACTGATGGATACTTAGGTTGATTCCACATCTTTGCTATTGTGAATAGTGCTGAGAGAAACAAGAGTGCAGGTGTCTTTTTGATACAATGATTTATTGTCCTTTGAGTAGATCCCAGTAGTGAGATTACTGAATTGAATGGTAGTTCTATTTTCAGTTCTTTGAGAAATCTCCATGCTGTTTTCCATAGAGCACTTACTAATTTACATTCCCACCAATAGTATATAAGTTCCCTTTTCTCTGCATCCTTGCTAACATCTGTTATTTTTTGTCTTTTTAATAATAGCCATTCTGTCTGGTGTAAGATGATATTTCATTGTGTTTTTAATTTGCGTTTCTCTGATGATTAATGATTTTGAGCATTCTTTCTTATGTTTGTTGGCCATTTGTATGTCTTCTTTTGAAAAATGTCTATTCATGTTCTTTGCCCACTTTTTAATGGGATTATTTGAGGTTTTTTTGTTGAGTTGTTTGAGTTTCTTATAAATTCTGACTGTCAGTCCCTGTCAAAATGCATAGTTTGCAAATATTTTCTCCCATTTCACTAGTTGTTTGTTCACTCAGCTGATTATTTCCTTTGCTGTGCAGAAGCTTTTTAGTTTAATTAAATCCCATTTGTCTGTTTTTGTTTCTGTTGCCTGTGCTTTTGAGGTCTTGGTGATGAATTTTTTGCCTAGACCAATGTTGAGAAGTTTTCCCTAGGTTTTCTTTTAGTACTTTTATAGTTTCAGATCTTACATTTAATTCATCTTGAGTTGACTTTTTTTATCTGGTGAGAGAATACGATCCACTTTCATTCTTCTGCAAATGACAATCCAGTTTTTCTAGCACAATTTACTAAAAAGAGTGTCCTTCCCCCAGTATATGTTCTTGTTGACTTTATCAAAGATCAGTTGGCTATAAATATGTGATTTTATTCCTGTGTTATCTACTCTGCTCCATTGATTTGTGTGTTTATACCAGTTCCATGCTGTTTTGGTTACTGTAGCCTGGTGGTATAATTTGAAATCAGATAATATGATGGCTCCAGCTTTGTTCTTTTTGCTTGGGATTGCTTTGGCTATTTGGGCTCTTTTTCAGTTCCATATGAATTTTAGGACTATTTTTTTCTAAATCTGTGAAAAATGATGTTGGTATTTTGGTAGGGATTGCATTAAATTTGTAGATTGTTTTTGACAGTATGGACACTTTAATAATATTAACTCTGATCAATTAGCATGGGATGTTTTTCCATTTGGGTTATCTACAATTTCTTTCATCAGTGTTTTGTAGCTTTCTTGGTAGAGGTCTTTCATCTTCCTGGTTAAAAATATTCCTAGATGTTTTAATTTTTTGGTAGGTATTGCAGATGGAATTGCCTTCTTGATTTGGTTCTCAACTAGATCATTATTGATATGTAGAAATGCTACTAATTTTAGTAGATTGATTTTGTATCCTAAAATTTTCCTGAATTTATTTATTGAATTGAAGAGTTTTTGATGGAATGTTTAGGGTTTTCTAGATGTAAGAATGCATCATCAGTGAACAGGGATAATTTGACTTACTTTTTTCCAGTTTGGATGCCTTTTATTTCTTTCACTTGATTGCTCTAGCTAGGACTTCCAGTACTATGTTGAATATGGGTGGTGAAAGTGGGCATCCTTGCCTTGTTCCAGTTCTTGGAGGGAATGCTTTAGACTTTTCCCCATTTAGTATGGTGCTGGCTGTGGGTTTGATGTATATGGGCTTTATTATTTTGAGGTATTTTCCTTCTGTGCCTAGTTTGTTGAGGTTATCAATTTATCATGTAAGGGATGCTGAATTTTATAAAATGCTTTTTCTGCATCTGTTGAGATGATCATATAGTTTTTGTTCTCAATTCTGTTAAGTGATGTTTCACATCTATTGCTTTATGTATGTTGAACCATCCTTGCATTCCTCATGTAAAATCCACTTGATCAGTTCTCAAATTGATCCATGGATTCAATGCAATCCTAATCAAAATTTTAGCAAAGAATTTTTTGTAGAAGTTGAGAAACTGATTCTAAAATTTACTTGAAAATATAAAGGACCTACATTAGTCAAAGACATTTTTAAGAAGTTGGAGGGCTGACACCACTTGATTTTAAGACTTCCTACAAAACTACAGTAACCAAGTAGTATGGTAATACTGAAATGTTAGATACATAGAGCCCTTGAACATAAGAGGGATAGTCATAGACAGGCAAAGATAGCCATAGATAATCAATTTTTAACAAAGATACCCACTCAAATTAATGAAGAAAGAAATGTTTTTTTCAACAACTGAGTATATGCATAAGGAAAAAATGAACATCAACTCTTACCTTGCTCTGTATACAAAATTCACTTGAAATGACCATACACATAAAAATCCTAGAAGAAAACATAGGAGACAATCCTTGCAACCTTGAGTGGCATATGTTTTTTACATAGGATACATAAAGCACAATCCATAAAAAATTGATAAACTGGACTTATCAAAATTTACAGCTTTTGCTTTTCAAAGGCACTACTAAGAAATGAAGGCAAGTCACAGAATAGGAGGAAATATTAGCAATACCTATATCTGATGATAACTTGTAATCACAAAACATAAATTGTGCTTAAATCTTAATATTATGGCTGGGTATAGTGGCTCACATCTGTAATCCCAGTGTTCTGGGAAGCCAGAGTGGGAAAATAGCTTGAGCCCAGGGGTTTGAGACCAACCCAGGCAACATAGTGAGACCCCATCTCTACAAAAAAATTAAAGATATAGTCAGGAGTGGTGGTGCATGCCTGTAGTCTCAGCTACTCAGGAGGCTAAGGTAGGAGGATCACTGAAGCCCAGGAGCTCAAGGCTGCAGTGAGCTATGATCATGCCATTGTATTCCAGCTTGGGCAACAGAGTGAGACCATGTCTCCAGAAAAGAAAAAGAAAAAAACCTCAAAATAGTAAAAGGACAGGCTTTTTTTGCAGATGCTGCCACCACCCAGGGCCCCCTGCCACCAACCATGATGGACATCACCGATAATGGTGAGCCCTTGGGTTGTGTCTCCTTCTAGCTGTTTGCAGACCAAGTTCCAAAGACAGCAAGAAACTTTTGCACTCTGAGCATTAGAGAGAAAATATTTGGTTATAAGGATTCCTGCTTTCACAGAATTATTCCAGGGTTTATGTGTCAGGATGGCGACTTCACAGGCCATAATGGCACTGGTGGAAAGTCCATTCATGGAGAGAAATTTGATGAAAACTTCATCCCAAAGCATACAGGTCCTGTCATCTTTCCATGGCAAATGCTAGACCCAACACAAACGGTTTCCAGTTTTTCATCTGCTCTGCCAAGACTGAGTGGTTAGAAGGCAAACATGTGGTCTTTGGGAAGGTGAAAGAAGGCATGAATATCTCAGAGGCCATGGAGCACTTTGGGTTCAGGAATAAGAAGACCAGCAAGAAGATCACCATTGCTGACTCTGGACAGTCTAATACATTTGACTCGTCCTTTATCTTAACCACCAGACTACTTTTTCTGTAACCTGGAGACCACCCCTCCACCCCATTTGCTCACAGTAGCCTATCATCTTTTGCTATCGATGCATTTTTTTTTTTTTTTGAGATGGAGTCCCCTCTATTGCCCAGGCTGGAGTGCAGTGGCACGATCTCAGCTCACGGCAACCTCTGCCTCCTGGGTTCAAGCGATTCTCCTGCCTCAGCCTCCTGAGTAGCTGGGACTACAGGCAAGCGCCACCATGCCCAGCTAGTATTTGTATTTTTAGCAGAGACAGTGTTTCATCATGTTGGCCAGGCTGGTCTCCAACTCCTGACCTCATGATTTGCCCGCCTCAGCCTCCCAAAGTGCTGAGATTACAGGCCTGAGCCACCGCGCCCAGCTGATGCATTCTTTAGGTTCCATATTTTCCTTATTCCCCTCCAGTTCTAGCTGGATTGCAGAGTTAAGTTTAAGATTATAAAATAAATATTAAATAACAACAAAAATAGTAAAAGGACAAAGAATACAATGTATACATGGGCAAATTATTTGAACAGACACTTCACCAAAGAAGATATAGAAATGACCAACAAATATAACATATATAAATGGCCAAAAAAACCATGAAAAGATGTTCAACATCATCAGTTGTCTGTGAATTGCAAACAAAACTGCAATGAGAGATCACTACACGTCCACTAGGATGGCTAAAATTACAGACCGACAATACCAAATCAGTCTTGGTGGGAGTGTAAATGATGCAAACACTTTAGCAAACTATTGGGCAATTTCTTAAAGTTAAGCATATACTTTTCATATGACCTAGTTTTGCCACTTTTGGGTATTTTCCCAGAATAAATAAAACATATGTTCACACAAATACCTGTGGGTGAATGCTCATACCAGCTTTATTCACAGTAGCCCCAAACTGGAAAAACCCCACACGTCTATTAACAGGTGAATGGAGAATCACTGTTGTATATCCATACAATGGAATACTATTCAGCAATGAAAGAGAATGAACTCTTTATACTCCCCACAGCATCAAGGAATCTCCAGATCACTATGCCGGGTGAGAGAGGCTAGCCAGAAAAGAGTATATCCTTCATGATTTCTCTTACACACAAATTAAACAACTCAAACTAATCTATAGTGATTTAAAAAACAGATGTGTGGTGTCCTGGTGTCCAGGGTGGTGGGAGATGAGGCAAAGGTGACCAAGGTGTGTCCCTTGTGGGTGATGAAGGTGTGTTGCCTCCTGATTGTGACCTTGGTTTGTGACCTGAGTGTGCACATAGTCAAACTCACTGGACTGGAAGCTTGAAGTGGACACAATTTACTGGACAGAAATCATACCCTCAATAAAGTTTCTAAAACGCTGCCTTGCCTCTGGTTGGGGGTAATTATAGACTGGGATGGATAGCAAGGAAATCTGGGGAAGCTGAGTGGTGCTCACGTGAACGTATACATGAGCAGATTCAGTGAGTGGCACACTTCAGATCAGTCATTTCACCCACTGTGCTACTATGCGTGTACATTTCAAACCTCAATTAATAGAAACTGTATACAACTCACTGTTTTAGGCTGAGAATAATTCCTAGAAATTTTACAAAACGATTTACTCTTTTTTTTTTTGAGACGGAGTCTCGCTCTGTTGCCCAGGCTGGAGTGCAGTGGCGTGATCTCCGCTCACTGCAAGCTCCACCTCCCGGGTTCACGCCATTCTCCTGCCTCAGCCTCCCGAGTAGCTGGGACTACAGGCACCCACCACCATGCCTGGCTAATTTTTTTTAGTATTTTTAGTAGAGACGGGGTTTCACCGTGTTAGCCACGGCGGTCTTGATCTCCTGACCTCGTGATCCACCCGCCTCGGCCTCCCAAAGTGCTGGGATTACAGGCGTGAGCCACCGCTCCCAGCCAAAAAGGTTTACACTTTTGGTAAAGTAAAAACTCATTTTCTTTTGAATTAGAGTTTTATGCATCAAATTTGCTCTAAATGGCACAAAACAATTAATAAGGGAAGGAGAGGAAATCCACATCTCTTCATGTTCTCACTGGGTGCATCAGGGAATGTTGGCATTAAGCCCCTTCTAGCTTTGCAGGTAAACTTTTCCCTCTAGGAAATTGGTGTGAGAGATGCCCTCCAGGAAACTGGCATGAGAGAAAGAAAATAATGCTAAATATAAACAGTTCGTTTTCTAAGAAACATCACCTGTTTGTTTATGAAATTTTGCCTTGGAGGTGCAAAATACTAAATAATTGAAGTTGCTGCCGCGATGAAGTGTTTTCAGTGAACATAAAATAAATGTTTCTAAAGGTTTTTGTTTGTTTGTTGTTATTTTGCTTGACCCAGTGTGTTCTAGGAATCTCCCGGCCGAGCCCGGGCAGTCTAATGATAGAGACACCTGGGCCACCCCAGGCATTCTAATGGGAGAGACTCCCGGCTGACCCCAAGCATTCTAAAGAATGCAAATTAGACTTGGCTTTTAGTTCAGTTTGCTAAATCGAGGCCTTACTTTTTGTTGGCCTCTCTCCATAAATCCTGTTGAGTGAGAAACTGATCTCAGGTTCTTTTCTGATTATGTCATTGAAGATCACCCACTTTAGTTGTGTAATGGTTGTTGCATTCTTATCGGGCAGTTTTTGCCTAAGGCACCCATTTCCCACTTATGGAGGGCAGAAATCTAAGGTGGCCCTGGAACCAGAACCAAGCCCCCTGGCGTTATTCGCATGATTATGTTATCTTGTATGGCAAAAGACTCTTTCAGATATAATTAAGGTCACTAATTGTCTGATCTAAAAATTGGAAGATTATCTGGGGTGGGGCCTAATATGAGTTCTTATTTATTTATTTATTTATTTTTGAGACAGAGTCTCGCTCTATCGCCCAGGCTGGGCAATGGGGCAATCTCGGCTCACTGCAACCTCTGCCTCCAGGTTGAAGCTATTCTCCTGCCTCAGCTTCCTGAGTAGTTGGGATTACAGGCACCTGCCACTGTGCCTGGCTAATTTTTGTATTTTTTAGTAGAGACGGGGTTTCATCATGTTGGCCGGGCTGGTCTCAAAGTGCTGACCTCAGGTGATCCGCCTGCCTCTGCCTCCCAAAGTGCTGGGATTACAGGTGTGAGCCACGGCACCCGGCCAAGTTCTTTAAAAGCAGAGTTTTCTCTGGCTGGTAACAGAGCCGGAGTTAGATTTGACACCAGGGTGGAGTCTCTGTTGCTGGCTTTGAGATGGAGGAGGCCCTGGGAGGTCCCTGTTACCGAGAGCAACCCCTGGCTGACAGCCAGCAAGAAAATGAGGATTTCAGGGGACTGCAAGGAAGTGAATTTGCCCAACAACCAGATTAAACTTGGAGGTAGATTTTTTTCCCCAAACCTCCAGATAGGAGACCTTGACATTGGCCTTGTGAGACTCCAAGCAGAAAACCCCATTAAACCCGCCTGGACTTCTGACCTGCAGAATTATGAGACCATAAATGGGTGTTGTTTTAAGCTATTAAGTCTGTTATACAGTAATAGGAATTTATTATTTGTTACACAGTTATAGAAAATGAATATACAGGTGGGTGGGGTGGGGGGGTATAGCTCACACCTGTAATCCCAGCACTTTGAAAGCCTGAGGTGGGCGAATCACTTGAGCCCAGGAGTTTGAGACCAGCCTGGGCAACATGGCAAGACCTCATCTCTACTAAAAGTACAAAAAATTAGCTGGATGTGGTGGTGCATGCCTGTAGTCCCAGCTACTCGGGAGGCTGAGGTGGGAGGATCACCTGAGCCCGAAAACTCGAGGCTGCAGTGAGCAGTGACCATGCCACTGCACTCCAGCCTGGGTGACAGAGTGAGACCCTGTCTCAAAAAAGGAAAAAAGAAAGAAAGAAAAAAAAATTAATATATAGCTCTGATAATACAATCTCAGTAATAAACCATTTGATTTATTTCCAATGTTATTGCTGTTTCCTGGAACAATGAGTGTGGTTCGATTTTATTTTTATTTTTTAGTTGTGGACAAGGTCTCCATTGTCTAAGCCACTGTGAGAATTCAGGTAAATCATGGCCCATCCTGGGACAGTTCCTCCACATTCTTGCTACTCAAAGTGTGCTTCATGGACTAGTGGCTTCAGCCTCACCCAGGAACGTGTTAGAAACACAGAATCGTGTCACCGCCCCAGACCTCCTGATGCAGAATCTTCATTTTAGTAAGCGACCCACTGCCCCCGCGCCCCCTGATGATTTGGGTGCTCATTAAAGTTTGAGAAGCACTGTTGGAGCTTGCCCTGAAGTTGTAGTGCGCTCTTACGGATTTCAAACCAAAAAGCATTACCTCTGTGAAGCCAGTCTGGAGCCTGGCTAGACCTTCTCCACCACCTCGGGGGCTTCTTATGTTCCAGAGTCTAACACTCTGGCCAGATACCAGGGACCTTTCACCCTCAGAACCTGTGCTCACATGTGGCAGTGAGCAGTGCCTGCACCTCAAGGCACCGCATCTTCCCAGCTACAGTGGGCCTGGCTGCTCCAGCTGCGCCCAACATGTGTTAGTAGGGGAATTAAATACCCCTCTCACTCCCAGTTTTGTGTATTTAAAAAATCCTCGGAAGAGAGTGGTATATGAGGTTTGAGGCTTATCAGCAGCTGCAGCAGCACAGGCCACGTCGTAGCTGTGAGTCATAGACAAGCATGCACACTGTGGCTGCCTGAGGCCTCTGAGCTGCCTTCCTCAGTCCTTCCCTCTGCAGGGCTTGGGCGTGGCGAGGCGGCTTCTTCAGCAAGTGCTGCGGTCAGCGTAGCGGGATTCAGAGTGCAGCTTGTCTGAGTGTCCTCTGCTTCAAGTTCACCTCGGCTGTCATCCCCCAGCAGACCACACATGCCCAGGGGAATGACCCTTTCTTACCACTGCGTCTTCAGACTGGGGTTGCTTTCTCTCCATCTCACCTTCTCCTGTACCACCTGAGGTACTAAATCTTCCAGGAAACCTTCCTTGAATGTCTTCTGACATCCCAGTGAGGGGCTCCTGATATTCACTTCCATAGTGCTTTGGTCACCTACTGCAGCATAAAACCACTCCAAATTGAATTGCTTTGCTCACAATTGCACAGGCCAGGGATTTGGGCAGGGCTTGGCTAGGCGCTTTTCACAAGGTGGGTCTCCTTTGTGGATGCTGTTTGATGCTGTCCTCTGAAGCCTCCACTGGAGGCTGGAGCTGCCTGTCCAAGCTGGTGGCCTGACACTGCTGCGGGGAGGCACAGGTGGCACTTTGATGAAAGCACCTACACGTAGCCTGTCTCTGTGGCTGGGGCTCTCTCACGGCGTGGTGCCTGGGCTCTGAGAGAGGGGGTCCTGAGAGCAAGTGCTCCAGGAGACACAGCCGAAGCCACGGAGCTCGCTGTGGCCTGGTCTGGAACTTTCACACACCACAAATGCTGCATTTCTGTTGGGTCAAATGTGTCACATAAGTCTGCACAGACTCGGAAGGAGGAGACTTACAGCACCATGCTGTGGCAGGGACAGCAAAGACTGTGTGGCCACGCTTCCTCTATCATGCGTGGCCAGGGTCTTCCCCACCACGACTCCTCCCCTAGGCTGTGCCATCTCACAGGGCTGCCTCCAAGCACATGCCTTCCCCAGCACCACACTCAGTGCTGGCCCTGTGAACACATCTGTGGGACTGATGGAGTAGAAACCTGCTTCAGCAAAAGTCGGGGAGTGGCAAACCTGGGAATGTAGAGAAGCACTCTGTGTGCAACACGTATTTCTTACGTACGCAATGATGGCTGAAGTCCATGCGGAGTTTATCACTACTGGTCAGTTTCAGAGTGTAGGTCAGAACCCGTGAGCCTTCCTTGCCAGAACAGTTTGGAGTGTCACACGAGGACTTCAGCCTGGACACCAGAACCAGGTGGGCAGTGGGGCCCATCACGTGCCACTGTAGTGTGAAGGGACAGGGTCTGCCTGCTGGTCTGCCCAGGGAGAAGATACTCCTAGCTCTTCAGGCTCCTACTCAATCCCCTGACAGCACCCCTTAGCGAAAAGGCACCACCCTCGGCGTCAAGCGCATCTCTGAATGAGGGTCATGGTGAGCTTGTGTTAGGAAAATAGCTCTCTTGCCAATACGCAGGCAAAGTAAGCTTCTGCAATTCTCAAAGTCCCGAGTTTGCAGAATTTTATTTACAGCAAAATGTTGGTTTACCCACAAACATCCTGCTTGGCTAAATATATCTCCTGCTCCTAGAACAGGACCTGTGGTTTTCAAGCATGGGTTTTGGCCTCCCTTCAGCATGCTGGCATGCATGTGCCCTGCTCTTTCTCCTGTGATCATCGGCATGATAGGAGGCGAGTGAGGAACTCAGTGTCTTCTGACACAGGCATCTCACAACACCAGTGCAGCCGGACCGTTGTCTGGTAGGTCTCTGTGCACCCAGGAGGACCTGGGCCTGCGAGAAGTCTGGGGCCCACTGCTGGGTATGCTCGTTTCTTGAGCATCCGAGTCACCTTTACAGTCTGCGATGATTGACGAGGTCAAACAGGACTCACTTGCATTGCCGGGTCTCTGTGGCGACAGGGAGGACTTGGAGGTAGGTGTTCAGGTCAGAAGGGACAGTCCTGACTTCCTCCACCGCTGTCTGCAGAAGCAGAGGCTGAAGCCACAGGCTGCGGGGGTGGGGAGCATGCTCCAGGAAGTGGCTCTCGGTGCTCCTGTCCACAGCCTCTGCAAGGAGAGGCACAGGCCCAGGCAAAGAACACAGTATGGCAAGTGAGGAGAAGGGGAAAAAATCAAATTACACGCTGTTTCTCCTTTGATAGTAGGAAGGCAGGAGGGAAGGGAGCTATGTAGACACAGGAGACGCTCCCAGTTCTGCTGGAGCTTAGGCTGGCCCTGGAGCTAAGCTTTAGCAATCTCCAAGGGAAAAGGATTGTTTAACAGAAAAATGGGGCCGAGGAAATACTGGACTTCAAATGAGAAGAAACTTTTTCAGAATCTTCGTGGCCTTGGGGCTGGTTGTCCTTCCCAGAACCATACTTTGTGGCAGTGGGGAAGTCATCTCTGATCTGAATCCTCCCCGGCCAGGATGTCAAATGGTCATTTACAGAGAATTAGTAACTGACAGGGAGAGGAGAGAACACCCTTCTTTGCCTGTGAGTGATGGCTGAGTCACACGCAGTGTGCGGTGATGGGCAACCATTATTTTTTGTTTGCTGAAATAATTTCATGGTGCAGATTGGTAGGGAGAGTTCATTTTTGAGAAAAGTCAGTTTCCTGTATTTGAGCAAAGAAACCACAAATCATTCTTTAACATTAGTAAATTTCTGTAAAGCACGAGTTGTCCTAAGTGAGGTGCGAGTGACACGAATCTTTTCCTCAGGCACAGAACTGTCATTCCTGCACTCTTGCGAGCCAAGGGTTAAATATTCAGGAATGTTCTGCCACCTGTTCTCAGGCAGCAATTTGAGCCTGGGAGGCCGCCCAGACAAGGACATGACAGCCCCCTCATGCCCCTTGCAGTTCTGAATGCCTCTCATCAATCCCGGGGTCTTGGGGGAATGGCAGAAGGATCCCCATCACAGTGGGGTCTCCCTTTTCACTTATAAATGCGGCGGGGCTGTGCTGTGCCTTCCGAGTGAGGAAGGGCTCTCTTCAGCCCACTTCACAGAAGCCTCCCTGGCAATCCAAGACCCCTAGTCCAGCTGCAGATGGCAAAGGAGACCCAAAGCACAGGAAAAAAACGCTATGGATAACCCTCAACAGCACTGCAGTGGTCTGAGGCTACTTGAGGCTAAGGGTGCAGAAGACCAGCCCAGGCACAGGTGTCAGGGAAGGCCCTGTCCTCAAGCGTTGGGAAGGAGGTGCTCTTCCAATCAGCCTCTGTCCCCCAACTGAGGGAAAGAGTCCGGCCAGGGGCCACCTGGGACCACCCAAGCCCACTGCATCTTCTCCTCCTTTTCCATCTGGTGACAGCTGCATTTCCGTGGGTGGCCAGGAGGAGAGTTTTTGATTCCCTTGCTGCCATGAAGACATGTGTGAAGAAAAGAAGCTGAGCTCACTCTGAGCCAGGTGTTAGAGGGCTATGGAATGAGGGGCTTTGGTGCTGGTGCTGCCTGGGGATGTTGAGTGTGTGATGGCTCCTAGGATCTGAGCAGGGCCAGGAGGACGCACAGGAGGGCCGGGGCGCCACCAAAGGCAGGGAGAAGCCCACGTGGACGTCATCAGATCCCCTCTTTGTTATTTAACTGAGACTCTAGTCCAAGAAGGACACCGTGTTGCGGGCCTTGAGAGACCCCTGGCATTGGCGCTCCAGCCAGGCCCCTCTGTCCTGTTGCTGTGTCTGCACTGCCCTGGCTTCCGTATGTTTTTGCTGTATGGCCAGGACCTGTGGCTCCCGTGGCCTGCCCTTGAGCTGCCCTTGAGCTGCCCTTGGACTCATGGAGCTGTTTTGCTGGCAGGCGCAGAGGCAGGAAGGACCCAGGGGTTTTGATCCTCATCGCCGTCCTCCCGGCCTCATGCCTTTGGCCAAGAGGACCAGAGTGGGAGTAAGAAGCCCGGGCAGACGGGCAGACTTGAGGGTGTCATTAGGATCCGAGTTCCCCTAGGGGTTGGGCTCCACCCACCCTGCCCCGGAACTGGCCCGAAATTGTGCCCTGCCTGCTGCTCCCCTCTGGGCCCTGCTCTGACTCGCCCTCCCCAGTATCCCCTGGAGCCCCCTTCGTCACTCCCTGGGTGCTCATCTCACGGCGTGCTCCTGAGGAACCAACAGCCCCTGCCCAGACAGCAGGGAAGCCTCAGCAGAGCCCTGGGGGCAGTTTGGGTGGTGGGGGGGAAGGGGAGGAAGGATGGAAGCCCACAGAGGGGATGTGCAGTGCGGGGGCGGGGGCTGAGCTGGGTAGAGCCGAGGCGCCTCTGCTCAGGCGTCTTCTGAGTGGGGCTCCAGGGCCTGCATGTTCCCCCCCGGCCCGCCCCCTCCACCCCGTGCAGTAGTAGGAGGATTCCCCCGCAGTGCGGGGGCTCCTGCCCTGGACAGGTCCCCAGGCCTCTCGCCCCGACCAGCAGCTTGGGCTGGAGCTGGAGCCGGTCAGATATTTTTCTTTACTAGTGAACCTTGCCTAGCACTGCTAGGTTCTCCAGGCAGGACGACGGCCTTTGGGGGCTGGTGGACGGGATTGGATGCCTCCCTCTCTGCTGCAACCGCTTTGGGTCCGTCTTGATTGTTCCCCCCACCGTTTGCCACGTGCTCCCTGCGCTTCTGGCGCTGGGTTGGCCGCGGGGACCCCCGCACGGTCCGCGCACCCCTGGGGACCCCCGTGAACAGGCCAGGAGGTGGGAGCTATGTTAGTCACTGCGGGGTTACAAATCAGGATGTAAAGTGGGGGCCAGGGGCCAGGAAGGAGAACCAAGGGGCGCCGCGGGGTGGGGGTGGGGGTAGGCCTCGCGGGAGGGGCCGCGGAAGCGAGGCCAGCAGCACCCTGGAGAGGGGCGGGGAGGGTGCTTGGCCCATTCTGGGCGCTGCCAACGGGTGACAGACTCAGGGTCTAGCCGTGAGGGACGTGGGCTGGGGCAGCAATGGAGCAGGAGCCCGGCAGGGCGGGTGCGGGCCGGGCTTACGCAGGCCAGGCCGAGAGTACGCGCGTTTGGGTGGGGGTGGGAAGGCGGGGCGAGGCCCAGGACAGCGTCTGGTGTCAGAAACTGGCTGGGCGGGGACCATTCCAGAGGCCAGGAGAGCAGGAGGACGGACGCAGTGGGGAGGAGGGCCCTAAAATTGACTTTGGAGCGGGTTACCTGTGAGATGTATCAGGGAGGAATGTCCAGCAGACAATTGGCTACGGAAATCCGGAGCTCAGCGAAGAGAATGGGGCCGCGTGACCATGACATTTACCCAAATGATCCTCAGCAGGCCTCGCCAATTCCTGGGGACACCAGTCTCTCATAGAGGATCTTTCTGTCTTCTCAGAGTCACTTTTACAAATGTTGCCACAGGGTTATATTGCTTAGCTTCCTTCCTTCCTTCCTTCCTCCCTCCCTCCTTCCCTCCCTCCTTCCTTCCCTCTTTCCCTCCTTCCGTTCCTCCCCTCTTTCCTCTCTTTCCTTCCTTCCCTCCCTTCCTCCCTCCTTCCCTCCTCTTTCTCTTTCCTCTCTCTCCTTCCTTCCTTCCTCCCTCCTTCGCTCCTCTTTCTCTCTTTCCTCTCTCCTCCCTCCCTCCCTCCTTCCCTCCTCTCTTTCTTTCCTTCCTTCCTTTTTTCCTTCTTTCCTCCCTCCCTCCCTTCTTCTTTCCCTCTCTTTCTCCCTTTTCTTTCTCTCCTTCCTTTCTTCCTCTCCCTTCCCCTGCCCCACCCCTTCCCCTTCCCTTTTATAGACAGGGTCTCATGCTGGTGCCCAGGCTGGAGTGCAGTGGGGCAATCATAGCTCACTGCAGCCTTGACCTCCTAGGCTCAAAGCGATTCCCCCCACCTAACACCCCCCACCAGGCCTCCCAAAGTGCTGGGATTACAAGCATGGGCCACCAACCATGCCCAGCCCACTTAACCATTTCTTACATATAACTTGTAACTGACCTAAGATAAATTACGTGAATGCTACTCTGGAGGGAGGAGAGGGTGTCAGTGGAAGTCGTATGACTTTTGCATATCTGTGCCATCAAATATAGGTAAAAGTATCAATGGTGCAATTCTGCTGTTAAAATAGCATCCTTGGCTCTAAATAAAAGGGCTGATATTTTAAGTTGATTCATATATTGTAAATTAATCCAACCTAATTTTTAAAAAATTGGGGGAATGTTTTTCTTGTTAAGTCATGTTATAGAAATAAAAACTGGAAATTCTTGGCTTAAAAAATAAATAAAATTGAAACAGATTCTTAAAATAATCCTCAGCTTAAGGTAAGCAATTTTGTCTGTGACATATCACGAGTTTGATAAACTGGAGATGTTCTATTAAAAATATTGAAATAGAAATGTCTGTGACTCATGCCTGGCGGCATCTTGTATGCTGCACTCCTTGGATTATGAGCCTAGCCTTTTGGAAATGGATGGACTTGGGCCTCAGGCACAGGGTTGCTCATTTCTAGCTGCAGCTTCTTAAGCTTGGAGATTGGTTCCTCCTCCGTAAAATGGGAATTCCTAAGCCTCGCTCATGGAACTGTGAACTTCTTGGAGAGGCCAGTGTAAAGGCCGTGGATGGCGCCAGCACACACTTGTCCTGTCATTCCTTATCCACACATGTCATTTCCTTTGTGTGATATGGAGGAGACAGGGCCCCCATTTACTGGGCTTTGTGTAAAATACCTGGTGAGAGTGTTTGAGAAAGATTACTTGATAATCACGCACAAGGATGGTATCAATGAGCTGGATGTTCCCTAAGATGTGACTTCAAGCATTCCTATCTTAGGATACATATTCAGTTTGCCAAGTGTCCTGTAGAAAATTGTGTGGAAGCTCCACAGCTGTCTCACCAGCCCAGGTAGAAGATAGCATTCTTTGGGCCCTTCCTACAAAGTGAGGTCCCTGGACTGGCAGCATTCTTGTCACCTGGGAGCTTGTCTGAAATGCAGGCTTTCAGGCTTGATCCTGTGTAACCATGACTATGGCCACTGGAAATGTGGTTAGTGCCACATGATGAAAGCATACTCTTTTGGGTATATTCGATTAAATAAAGTATCTTATTAATATTAATTTCACTTTTTTTTTAACTTAAAGTCTCTACCAGGAAATTTTAAACTTCATATGTGACTCCCATTATATTTCTTTATTTTTTGAGACAGGGTCTTGCTCTGTCACCCAGGCTGGAGTGCAGTGGTGCAATCTTAGCTCACTGCAGCCTTGACCTCCTGGGCTCCAGTGATCCTCCCACCTCACCCTCCCAAGTAGCTGGGACTTCAGGCGTGTGGTACCACACTCAGCTAATTTTTTTTTTTTTGCGATGGAGTCTCGCTCAGCTGCCCAGGCTGGAGTGCAGTGGTGTGATCTTGGCTCACTGCAACCACCGTCTCCCAGGTTCAAGCGATTCTCCTGCCTCAGCCTCCCATGTAGTTGGGATTACAGGCACCTATCATCATGCCTGGCAAATTTTTTTATTTTAGTAGAGACGTGGTTTCACCATGTTGGCCAGTCTGGTCTTGAACTCCTGATTTCAGGTGATCTGCCCTGATCGGTCAATTTTTTTAACTTTTATTTTTTTAATAGAGACAGGGTCTCACTATATTGCTTCAAGTGGTCTTGAACTCCTGGGCTCAAGTGATCCTCCTGCCTCAGCTTCCCAAAGTGTTGGGAGTACAGGAATGAGCCACCTTGCCTGGCCCCATCATATTTCTGTTGGACAGTGCTGCACTCAAATCCATGTTCTCAGAATCTGTATTTTAACTAGATCCCTGAGTGATCTCTGTGCTATTAAAGTTTGAGAAGCACTGCTCTCCGGTAACTACAGCCTGTGGGCCAAATCCGGCCCAACGCTTGTTTTTGTGAAGTGAATATTACTGGAACGCAGTCACACCCTTTGTTCACACACCATCTGTGGCTCTTTGTGCTTCAGGGGTGGAGCCGAATAGTGGTGAGCTCACAGCAGAGCCTGAGAGGCCATCTAGCCCTTATAGATAGTTTCCTCAACCCTTGGCCTAGGCCTTGTTCCTGCCAGCATCTTATGGTGTGGTCACCAACCCTGATGTGCCTGTTCATGTCCTTGTCAGGAAAGTCCCTAGGCACAAGTGCCTGTGGTAGAAAATGCTTTTGGAGGCCTGCTTCTTTCCTGGAAGTCACAGAGGAGGCCGAGGATCCATGGGATGGAAAAGATTAAAAGATGATTTAAGATCAAAAGTCCCTAGTGATATTGGAAAGGCCCTTCGAGGCCACCTGACATTATCTTGCTTGTTGATGGGTGAAGCAAGACCCCAATAGGGGGTGGGTGGTGAGTCCTTTAGGTGCCGGGTGAAGGAGCCGGTGGAAACCTGGGTGAAGCCGGATGGGTGCCACCTCCAGTTGTTTTTGCAACAGGGTGTTTTCCCAGATTGTAGGTGTTGGTGGGATGGGAAGGCCCAGAAGTGAGTTGTGCAAACAATGCAGAATTTTGTCCCCTCAAATTAACACTTGGTTTTAGTTGCAATATTTAATTTACTGTGCAGTTTTCAAATAATATTAAAAGAAGGCATGGGATTTGTACATTAATCAGTGGGAAGCATAGAGTTAAAAAGACAAGACAAGACTAAGAAATGCTGCTCTATTTTTCTGCTACTCAAAGCGTGGTCCACAGACCAGAGGCATGAACATTGCCAGGAGATTGCTAGCAATGCAGAATTTCAGCCGGCCCCACTGAGTGAGAGTCTGTATCTTAACAAGGTCCCCAAGTGACTCGCAAGCACAGGAGCGTCGGAAACCCATCATTTCAGTTACTTTTAGGCTTTGGTGTGTCTTGAAATCGCTTGGGAGGTTTCAGAATTCTGAAGCCCAGGTCCCACTTCAGAGCTCTGCCTGGGGAGAGGCCAGGTGTGGAGCCATCTGAGGGTCTCCAGATGGTTTGAACGTGCAGTGGAGGGTGAGAGCCTCAGTCAACACTGGCCTTGTTTTTGCTCTGAGTTTCACAGCCCTGAGCCCCAGTGTGCCATGTTCCAGGTAGAGTCATCTAGGAATTTGCTCCTGAGTCAGGCTGCTGAAGCCCACTGTTTGTTCCCTCTCCCTGGAAGGGTGGAGATCCAGCCCTCTCTGGATTCTCTGAACCTCTGGTGAAACTTTTGGAAGGTGTGACAAGGATTCTGACTCCAACTTCCATGGCCAGGCACTTGCATGGCAGTGAAAGAGCAACAGGATTTGGTGCTTCCCCCACTGGGTGATGCAGGAATGTTCTGGATATCAAACAGGGAGTTAGCTTACTGAGACATGATTTTCAAATCCATGAGCAGTATGCTTTCTTTAAGAAACACTTGTATAAATTGCATTACTGTGAGGAATGGTTCTCAGCACTTTACAGATATTAGCTCATAAATAACATGACAGTCCTGTGAGGTGGCTTTACAGCTCCACCCACCGAGAAGTGGAGTCAGTGTTGGTCCCCTTGATTCTGGGCCTGACTTAGTGGCCTGTCCACCAAAGTTACGGTGGAGTGATGCTACGTAACTTTCAAGGCCAGGTCATGAAGAGGTGACAGCTTCCTGCTGGCTCTCTGGAATACTCCTGGGCCACCGTGGAAGCAGTCTGACTGCCCTGATCGAGCATGGCCACCATGCTGCAAGGAAGCCCAACCAGCCCACAAGTGGAGAAGTGCTGAGGTACTGAGGTGCTAAGTGACTGTGATGGGCAGAGCCCCTGAGATTGGCAGGCCACTTGTTCCTGCATCAGATCTGGTTCGTCCTGACCAATGGGCCTTGTTTGTCATGGGAGGGGGCCACAGAAATTGGGGCCCCAGTGTAGCTGGTGTTATTCAAAGTCTGACTGGCTGAGGCCCCCTGAAGTCAGGGTAGACCCTGGGCTCTGTGCTCTCCCAGCTGCCATTCATGCTACACTTTTTCACCCATCCTTGGCCTCAGGTAGGGTCAGAGGCCTTCAGGGTGTCCACCTTCCCTTCTCCCCAAACACCTGCTGAGCATCCCACTCAGCCACACCACAGAGCTGCAGTAGGCTTAGGGGACTTTTCTGCCTGGGTTCCTTGTGGTCAGCCAAACACCAACTCTGACTCCTCATAGTGGGAAGGGTGGGATGGAAGCCAGGGGATGTCTGTTGGCAGGCACACAGCTCTGCAGGCATCTGCCAAACAGACCTTATCTGACAGCCACTATTGGGCAAAATGGTTCTCTAGACCTCAAAATATGCCCAAGAGGGGATGCCGGGAGTCACCAGCACCCAAGAGAGCACCCCGGGGACAGGGCTTCAGTTGTCGGTGAACTCCTGTCCCTTCTGCCACTGAGTCCTCCTCAACTAGGGCAACCATAGCCCCCGGAGACAGGGTGTAAGCATCTTAGCAGTGCGTTGCAGTGGAGCAGTGATGTAAATATATAAGGGAATATCTTAGAGACAATAGCATTAGAACAAGGCCGAGCCTTCAGTTTGAGACAAGGACTGGATGCACAATGGGCCCTTTAACAACATAGGTTTGAACTGTGTGGGCCACTTATATGCAGATTTTCTTCCACCTCTGCCATTCCTGGGACAGTGAGACCAATCCCTCTTCTTCCTCCTCCTCGACCTACTCCACTTGAAGACAGGGATGAAGACCTCTATGATGATCCGCCCCCACTTGGTGAATAGTAAATATATTTTCTCTTTAATGATTTTCTTAATTATATTTTCTTCTTTCTAGCTTACTTTACTTTAAGAATACAGTATATGACATATATAACATATGAAATATGTGTTAATTGGCTATTTATGTTATCAGTAAGGCCTCTGGTCAACAGCAAGCTATTACTGTAAAGTTTTGGGGGGAGTCGAAATGTATACGAGGATTTTTGACTGCATGAGAGTTGGTGCTCCTAACCCCTGCATTGTTCAAGGGTCAACTGTACTTCGAGGTACTACAATTTTAGTGATTAATTTGTCTTTCTTGTTGGTGCTTTATTGTGTGGGTTGATTTGTTTTCATGAATATGTATTGGTAAATAAAATAAAAGAGTTTTAAAAAAGGAAAGCCTAGGCTGGGTGCACTGGCGCACGCCTGTAATCCCAGCACTTTGGGAGGCCCAGGCGGGTGGATCATGAGGTCAGGAGTTCAAGACCAGCCTGCCAAGATGATGAAACCCCATCTTTACTAAAAATACAAAAATTAGCTGTGTGTGGTGGTGGGCACTACTCAGGAGGCTGAGGCAGAGAATTGCTTGAACCCGGGAGGCAGCGGTTGCAGTGAGCCGAGATCGCACCACTGCACTCCAGTCTGGGTGACAGAGCAAGACTTCGTCTCAACAAAAGCCTGTGTTAACTGCACCCATTAGCTGTGTGCTCTTCAGCAAATAACTTACAAGGGGCCCTCCACCTTTCCCTACTCATTCCCTCTGAAACTGCATTTGCAAAATTTATGACAGTGAGAGAAATCTGACTTAGTTGATTGCATCTTGCTTCTGACCTCCAAGCTGTCCTTGGTCAAGGCAGCATGGGCCAAGGTAACTTTAGGAGGAATATAGTTTATAGTTTAACTTAAAAGCAAGGGTAAAAGTAAATCCCTCCATAAAACTAACCCCCTCCTTGCTCAGGGACCAAAAACCGCCTTTGTAAGACTAATGAAGGATGACAAGATTAGAATTGTGGGAGAGGCCTGAACTCTGCCTAAATGATGGCATAATTTCTATAATCCCTTACTGCTCAGGGGTCATGTGGCCAGAGGTCACAAGATTTGTGACGTTCCCCAATTGCTCCTGTGGATACATCACTATTGTAGAACCTAAGATTGGTTTTATCTGATTTTTTTCAGACTGACTTCACCTGGACCCCTGACTCATAACTCAGCTGGTCCTGTGGTTCCACCCAGAGGTGGACTCAGTGCACAAGGATTGTTTTCCACCCCTTTATGATTTCCTCCCCAGCTAATCAGCAGCACCCATTCCCTAGTCCCCCAGCCCACCGAATACTTGAGTAATAACTTCATTTCTCCTGCATGGGCCAGCCTTACGTCAGTTAAACTCTTTCTCTGTTGCAATGCCCTGGTCTCAGTGGATGGATTTCGTGCAGTGGGCAGGAAGAACCCATCAAGTGGTTACACTTTTACCTCAGTTCCCTCCAGGACTCAGGAACTCCTCTCTGGGCCATTGTAAAGATGAGAAATAATACACATACAGCCTGGAGCTCAGTGTTATTTGGGCAAGGTTGTGGGTAAATGTTTGTAGGTAAAAGATGGGAATCAGATCTACCCAGACAGCTCTTCATGCATGCACGTTGGGGAGACAGAAAACTCACCATCCAGGGAAGGCTTTCACCCATGTGATGACTTATTTTATGAGTCAATTTGAGTGGACCGTAGGTGCTCAGATTAAACATTATTTGGGTGTGTCTGTGACAGTTTTCTGATGGGATTAGCATTTGAACCAGAAGACTTAGTGAAGCGGATGCCCTTCTCAATGTAGGTGGGCCTCATCCAACCCCTTGAGGGTCTGCACAAAACAAAAGACAGAGAACAGAGGAATTTGCTCTCTTCCCCCCTTTCCTCCATGCTTGAGCTGGGACATCTCATTTCTTCTTCTTCTGCCCTGGGATTGGGATTTACATCATCTGTTCCCCTGGTTCTCAGGCTGTTGGAACAGGAGTGAATTGTAACACTGGCTTTCTTGGGTCTCCAGTTTGCAGATGGCAGATCTCAGGGCTTGTCAGCCTCCATAACTGTGTGAGCCAATTCCTCAGATAAATTTCTTCCTGTGTACATACCCTGTTGGCTCTGTCTCTGGAGAAGCCTGTCTAATTCACATGTGGTGGGCAGGGATGGTTAGCTGGCTGAGCTCCTCCCTTTCCTCACTCCATGTTGTCCTGTGCTCTCCCTGGGCCATTGGGGTGACAGAGGGGAGGAAGGGAGGGAGGAGACGCAGTGGAGAGGATGGAGGAGGTTTGCTGGGGAGTGCAAGGGGCAGTAAAGGGCAGCAAAGGGCAGCAAAAGGCAGCTGAGCTGTGTGGGAGGCAGGGAGTGGGAAAGCAAGATGGCGGCGGGAGGTTGAGGGATGTGGTGGGAGCTCAGTCCCCTTGTGTGGTTGGAGACTTGCAGAGCTGGCTTGATTATCCTCAAGTCCCCTTTGGTCCCTGGGCAGCAACACCCACGAAAAAGTGCTGATTTCCCCAGACCATGGTGCAGCTACCACCCACTGAACCAGGGTTGAAGCTTTTATACTCAAGGGAGAGTGGAAACTTCTAGAATAGGGAACAGCTTGGTGAGCAGGTAAATATGGGCAGGCAACATTTCCGAGAGTGGGTGTGCAGATGGTGGGCAGTGGGGGGGAGGCACACTATTTTTTTTTCCCCAAAAGAACTAACTCATTCCTTAACTCATTCCTTAGAGAAAACTTCATGAAAACAGAAACAACGATGCTCCCAGAATCACAATCATATGTTGGATTTACTCACTTGAAGCTTCTCTCCAGATGTGGTTAAGGAAATATGACAAATAGACCTTGTTCTGATTTTTACTTTCTCTAAAGAACTAATATAGCTGATGGATTTATGATGAGAAAGCCATTAACACCATGAGCTGGATTCATAGTGCTCCTTGTCTCTCAAAAAATTGAGATACTTTGAAATAATAGGTATGTTTCTTTAAGAACACATTCTAGAAATTCAGGGCAAGAAGACCCTGCATCTGAAAGAACACACAAGTGGACATTCTGTGTTCAGAGAGACGAGAAGTTCCTGCCCTGGGGGACTATTTGGGTACTCAGTGTTCATAATGATAAGATTCATTTAAAAGGCAAAAACCCACAAACTAAAATGCGGTCAAACTGTTGCAGAGAGTAGGGGTGACGTACAAGGTGAAGGAAACAGAAGTTTTGTGGTTTAATAGCTGGTTTCATGATGAGTTATGGTATTTCTTCAGAAAAACTCTGCAAGCAGTTACGTGGTGCTATTAGACAGCTTTGGGAACTAATTCAGTCATGGTTTTGTAACTCATCTTCAATGGTGCTTGTTTTTTTGTTTGTTTGTTTTTGGTTCGTCTTCACAGTCACAGCCCAATATTTTTGTTTGGAGGTGGGGAGGGAGTGGGTTCCAATTATCTGCTGCTGTGTAATAAACCATCCAAAATGCAGCAGCATAGAGCTACCATTTTATTATTCCAGTTCTTCAGATTGCCTGGGGTCAGCAGGATGGTTCTTCTGCTGACCTCCTTTGGGGTCTCTCCTATTGGCAATGACTGGTAATAGGGCTGAATCACCTGGCCCTGGGACTAGGAAATGGAACATGGACAGCTGAGCCTCTCTCTTTCTCCTTGTGGCCTCAGGACTTCTCCATGTAGTCTCTCCAGCAGGTCGATGGTCTTTTAAAATCAGGGGTCAGCAAACTTTTCAGTACAAGACCAAATATTTTAGACTCTTTGACCATATAGTCTATGTCACAAGTACTCAACTCTACCATTGTAATGCAAAGGTAGCCATAAATGCCCATAAACAGATGGACATTGCTCTGCTGCAATAAAGCTTTATTTACAAAAATAGACAGTGGGCTGGATTTGGCCCATGGGCCATAGTTTGCCAACCCCTGTCTTACATGGTGGTTCAGGACTCCCAAGAGCACAAGAACAAACATTGCCAAGCTCTACAAGTTAGGCCCAGAACAGGCACAGAGTCACCTGATACACTGTTGACTAAAGTGGGTCTCAGGCTTAGTCCAGACACAATGTTGGAAAGCAGGGAAGAAAGAATGTTTCTTCCGCCCTTTTAGGTTTAGTGACTGTGGCCTGCAAATTAAACTAACAAAGGACAGATTAACAGGAGAAAAAGTATACAAATTGTATTTGATGTTAATATCTTAATTTTTGGGCTGGGCATGGTGGCTCATGCCTGTAATCCCAGCACTTTGGGAGACTGAGGCAGGCAGATCACTTGAGGCCAGTAGTTTGAGATCAACCTGGCCAACATGGCGAAACCCCGTCTCTACTAAAAATACAAAATTAGCTGGGCATGGTGGTGCACACCTGTAATCCTAGCTACTCAGCAGGCTGAGGCAGGAGAATCGCTTGAAGCCCTGAGGTAGGAGAATCGCTTGAAGCCAGGAGGCGAAGGTTGCAGTGAGCTGAGATCGCACCCACTGCACTCCAAGCCTGGGCAAAAGAGCGAGAGTCAGCCAGGCATGGTGGCTCATGCCTGTAATCCCAGCAGTTTGGGAGGCCAAGGTGGGCAGATGACCTGAGGTCAGGAGTTCGAGACTAGCCTGACCAACATGGAGAAACCTCGTCTGTACTTAAAAAAATAATAATAATAATACAAAATTAGCCAGGCGTGGTGGCACATGCCTGTAATCCCAACTCCTTGGGAGGCTGAGGCAGGTGAATCGCTTGAACCCAGGAGGCGGAGGTTGCACTGAGCCAAGATTGCACCACTGCACTCCAGCCTGGGCAATAGAGGGAGATTCCATCTCAAAGAGTGAGAGTCTGTCTCAAAAACATTTTTTAAAAAATTTTTACATGTAAACAAGTATCTTACAGAAAGTGAAAACCCAAAGAAAGAGTTATGACTGAGAACTCATATACCATTTTAACAAAGACTGTAAACTTGTGGCAAAATGACAAGGCAAAGACAAAGGATTTGAAATTCTAGTGGTGATAAACCGTGGAATGTCAAATATGTGGGGGAAAACTAATGGAAGATAAGGTTTATTTAGTAAGTTTGTTTATGCAGATTGAAGCCAGTATCATGTCAAGGGATAAGCATTGTCTCCTTTTCCTGGCAGAGGGGGACCCCTTCACAAAGGGAAATTTATGCCCTCCTTTACACAGGTGGGAAATAATAGAGAGATTTTCCTGCTTCTGCTATTTCTCATTTGCCTTCAGCTCAAAATAATCCTTATGCCAAAGTGGTATATTCTGGGGTGGCATGCTCTGACTCCCTTCAGGGATGACTGCAGAAGGGCAGTTACAAGGATTTGGGGTTCTTGGGGCCATCTTTGGAGACACATGGCACAGGGGAGTGAGAGATGTAAGGTCACTCTTTGGTGTTTGATTTTAAGGAAACATTAGTGTATGCAAACTTTGTGTTTAAACCAAAGAGCAGAATTTATCATTTGAAATGAAAATTTTATAGCTACTAAAGTAAAAATAGGTGAGTTTAGTTATTTTCTGTTGAGTGCTACTCCACCAAGGTTAACAAAAGGACTGAAGTGCAAGGATTTCGTGGTGGGAACGCTTGTCTCCTTTGCCTGCTTCCCCTCATTCATTATTTTTGTATCCGGATACAGGAAACAGAAATGCTACATGACAATTACTCTCAGATGCAACGGTCTTTCGGACATCATGTTTTGCTGGGGTCAGATGGGGACCTTATTTTCTGTGTGTTCTGGTTCTCCTCTCTGGTAAAGGGGTGTCCCTAGGGGCAGCTTTTAAAGGGCTGAGTGGCTTCAGGCACAGGCAGGGGCCCTCCTGCTGGGGTGATCCCCTGGTGAGACAGAGCCCCTTTACTCTGGTCTGCACTGTTTTACAAACCTTGACTTCCCAAACTCAGGTTCTCCCACCTTAGTTCCAGCCACGAACCTGTTTCTATAATACAATGGATCATGTTACTGCCTTTTGGGAAAACCCCCGACTGCTCCTCCTGATCCTCCTGACTGACTGCAGTGGAAGCATCATCTATATTCCAGCTGAACCATCTTCCTGCCCACCCAGCACACACTGCGCAAGACCCTACTCTATAATCCCCTGGACTCTTCAGTCTTCCCAAAGGAGTCCCGAACCTTCCTATCTTCTCATGTTTACTCAAAGCCTGAAATGCTTCCCCCATTTGAAGATGATTCTCCAAATCTCAACCTAAGTGCCCCTTTCTCCAGGAAGCCCTCCTTAGTTTCTTTTTAGTTGGATCAGTTGTTCCTTCCTGAATGAACCCGAGAAGGAGAGAGAGAGAGGGAGAGAGAGAAAGCAGATTTTTACTATTTTACTGAAACATATCCTAGAAGCCCCATGAATACTTTCACATGTAAACTTAGAACACATTTACCTTTGCAGAGTGCAGAGAGTGCAAGAAAGTTTAACTGAAAACTGTGATAGTTTCTGCTTCTTGATGATTCATCTCTTGCATGATGAGCAATTCTGTACCTGGAAGAAGAGTTGCTGAAATATGTTCCCCAATTGCTTGTTCTCATTTCCACATAATGTGTGTGTGTGTGTGTGTGTGTGTGTGTGTGTGTGTGTGAATGCATTAACAAGTTAGCCAGTATATAAGTTTACATGCTGCTCTTCAATTTCTCCAAAACTTTCTTACGGATCATTTAAAAGCTCAATGATGTCCCTTCAATAGCTCAGCTGGTAGAGCAGAGGACTGTAGCTAATTCCTCATAAAATCTCAATGAGATTAAAAACAAGCAAGCAAGCAAGCAAGCAAGCAAACAAACAAACAAACAAACAAACAGCCCAGAAAGGCAGATGCAAAGAAGCAGCTAAGCCTTCCCTGTGGCTATATGAATGGATGCTCAGGAGGGGCCTTTGCCTGGGGTTAGGGAGTACACAGGCTTCTTTTGTTAGTTTTTGTTTTTTCTGTAGTGAGGTTGGCAAAGCTGCCTCCTCTCCCAGCCTTGAGCTGGTGCCTGGGCCTAGGTGGGTGCTACCGAGGTGTAAAAGAAGTCGGGGCTCTTGTGGACAGAGGGACCACCCACCCCAGGATTTGAAGTTAGGACAGGCTCTCCAGGTGAATTTGGGGGGCCTCATGGCAGCAAAGTGCTATGAGCTCAGGCACACTTGAGGGGCACTGGTGCAGGTGAAACAGAACAACCTGAGGATCTCAGCAGGAGGGACAACACGGAGCTGTCCCTGCACTTAGGGGCACAGCCTGCATGCAGGTCACTGTTCCTACACGGCTGCTGCCCCTGTGGGCATGTCACAGTAAGCCGATCACTGTGACTTATGGATTTTGCAAAAGAGTAGGAGTTTATTCACGAGGCAGTCAAGAGAGGAGGCGGGAGGACAGGTCTCAAATTTGCCTCTCTAAAAATAGGACGTGAGGGTACTTATGGGCTAGAAACCCAAGTGGTCTTGAGGTGAAGGGGGAGGTAATGGGAGTTCATGCAAGCCTGGTGGGGCTGCACGGTTCTTCACCGGACACATGCAGAAAAGGGTGGCACTAACCTGATCTAAGGGTGGAGATTTTAGCCCTCTGACGTCAAAAGGTCACTCTTTGGACACCCACACAGGTTCAGCTGAAGGGCTGGTGGACTCAATGAGCTTGAACTGGACAAGTACTGCCCATAGTTCCTGAAAAACAACTCTAAGTGCTGGTTACTATAGTGACCTATAGTCAGAGCCAGTGTAAGGAAGTCAGTGGGAGTTTAGTGAGTACTGCTCAGCTACGTGGCGTTTAGCTATGCGGATTTTTAGATCAACTAGAAGTATGAGATGAAAAGTAAGCAACTTAATCAAGTGAGCCCTCAGCTTCAGGCACATCCTCTTTCTGCCTCTCATCTCTGCATCTTCCCTTCTTTTGCCCAATTGGGCCCAGCCAGAGAACTCTGCCCCATCTGCTGTTTCACACTGTGAGGGCAGTGCACCAGGGTGCGAGGCCCTTGGTATGCGCAGGCTGAGCTGGTGGTTTGAGCACAGGCCGGGGCATTTTCCACAGTGTGGATTGGGACCCCTTAATGGTCATGGACTTAATTTAATAAGATGTGACTGACATTTTAAAAAATGAAATAAAAATAAATTTTAATGAAAGAGTGCATAATGCTAAGGTTTTTTTGTTTGTTTGTTTTGTTTTTTGTTTTTGTTTTTTTTGAGATGGAGTCTCACTCTGTCCCTGAGGCTGGAGTGCAGTGGCGCTATCTCAGCTCACTGCAACCTCCTCCTGGTTCAAGCGATTCTCCTGCCTCAGCCTCCTGAGTAGCTGGGATTACAGGCATGTGCCACCATGCCCAGCTAAGTTTTGTATTTTTAGTAGAGACAGGGTTTCGCCATGTTGGCCAGGCTAATGCTAAGGTTTTTTTGTCCTTGCTTTTTTTCCTGCTTTCTCCATCATTGTACTTATCAATGTTCATACTATGCAGTGCGTGCATACTGTATCCAAATGCATATTTCATCATGCACCTTGAGATGCTCTTTTCTTTCACTTTCTCCGATGTCACTATCTCTTGGGTTTCTTCTTCCTAGTTCATACAATCAGTAAGTTTTTATTTCTCATTTACTCCTGAAATGCTGGGTTCTCAGGGCTCCTTGCTTTGCCTCGTGATCCTGGTGATGAGAGCTGATGATCTCCATCTTCCTCCTGCCCCAGGCCTGCCTTTCTCAGGAGGGCTAGACCTGCAGGTCCAGCAGCCACATGGTGTCCCTTGGATGCCCCCCGGGGCTGACCCTGGGCCCCATCTCCGTTCTGCCATCCTGCTTCCCTCCTGGGTTCTCCGTCAAGTTGCCTAAGCCTAAATCTAGGCTCTTCCATCTCCATTAATGTGCCACATCCAACTATTCACCAGATGTCATCATTGCTACTGCCTTGGTAGCAACCACCTCTCTTGTCAACCCCAACCCCACCCCAGCTTGGGCCAACATCATGTCTTAAGAGATGCCAGTGGTGGCCACACTAATGTCTGTCCTCCAGCCTCTTTTCCCCCCACCACACTGCGGAATGCTGAGAGGTTCAGAGTGTGCTGCCCCAAAATATGCTACTCTGGCTTAAGGATTATTTTGAGCTGAAAGCAATGTAAAACAACAACGCAGGACAAACCCTCTTTCCTCCTTTTCTCTACCAAGAAGAGCAGGGAGATTCTTAATCATGGGAGACAACTCTAGACTCATCAGGCTGGGATGACACCAAAGGAATCTATATCACAAATCTTTCAAACTAGTCCTTATCATCCCCTAGCTTCCCCCTATGTTTGTCTTCCTACAATTTGCTGTCCTTAGAAGCTCAAAGTCCTTTTCTTTGGTCTTATCACTTCTCTACAAATTTATTATTCTTTGTTAAGATGCTATGTAATGCTGAATTGTAACCACCCATTTGAGTTACTCATGGCTAAGTGATCCCACATGTGAGCAAAATGCACATTAACAAACTATTTTCCCTTGCTAATCCAACGGCTCCAGCCAATGAAACTAAGATGAGTAGAAAATAAATCTTTTTTTTCCTGCTCTAACCAAATGTGACTCTGATCAGGATTGTAAGTGGGTGCTAGAACCATTTGCGTAAGTGATGCAGAACTGACGGTCCCTTGGTGCCAAAGAATCACACCCTCAGTATTGCACTTGCAAAGGGGGTGTTCCTTCATGGTGCATGGATCTTGGGGTCCCCATATTGTCCACATGATCAAGTTAGCATCACTAAGAATGGAGCAGCCTACATTCTGTGCCCCCTGAGGTGAAGAGACACAGAGGCTATAGCGTCATCTATGAAGTGGTCTGGACAAAAATGCTTAATCTGAATTGCATGAAGACTCCAGGGTTCCTTTCAGTTTACAAGCAATACAGGGGCTAAAGAAAATAACCAAAGGGCACTGCAAGAAACAGTCAGACAAATCCAGAATATGGGGCATTCTTAAGACAACTGACCCAAACTGTTCAGAAAGCCAATGTCGTGGAGAAAAAAGCTTGGTTCTAAACTACAAGGGACTCAAGAGACCTGATATCCACATGTAATGGGTGAACATAGATGGCATCCTACCAACACACACACCTCCCAACTCTAAAGGACATTCTGGGAACAACTGGGGAGACTTGGACATGGACTGGGTATTGAATGTTGTTAGTAGGGAATTGTCGTCAGTTTCTTTAGTTGTAATAGGCTGTGTGGGAGAGTGCTCTTCAGCAATGCATGTTGAGTGTGTAGGAGTAAATTATAATGATGCCTGCTCCTTACTTCAAATGATTCAGTAAACAAACAAACGAAAATGCTCACAGAAACAAATGCAGCACAATTAAAGAGTTGTAGAATCTAGGTTGGAGTGTCTTTGGGTATTGATTGTATTATTTTTCCAAATTTTTTCTGTATATTTGGAGTTTTATAATGACAAAATGATAGGGAAAAAATAAAATGCAAAACTAAGCCTGCTACTCCTGGGACTGAAAACCTTCAAAAGCCTCGGGGTAAGTCCAGAGTCTCAGCCTGCCTGGCTGGCCCTGCTGCCTGGCTCTCCCTGGCCCCTTCCTGCCTCTCATGGCTCACCATGGCCACCTCTGCCTGGGGCCGTGGGTGTGGTGGGTGCTCCACCTCTTCTGGACTTTTGCCTTCATCATTTCTCTGCTTGGAAGGCCAGCCTGCATTCACACTTCGGCCCTGAATGAGGAGCCCCTTGTATATACTCCCACAGCTTGTACTCATCACAACCCATTAGGCATTTCATTCAGTAGACTGCAAACTGTTGAGGGGAAAATATTGTGTCCCCAGTTCCTAATACATATTTGGTGTATAGTAGGTGTCAATGCATGTACCTCAAGAGTGGGCCACTTTTGTGCACTTTGCTGTAGTCTGGGAAAATATGGAACTCAAAGTCTATATTTCTGGACACTGTAAAGAGTTGAGCAGGCCATGACATCAGTTGGGTGCTGCCAAAGCTTCTGGAGCCGGGAGAGCTGAGCAACTGGCATCCTCTGGAAGTTATTTAGGCTCCTGGTCTTCCTTTGGTTTAGACAGAACAAGTCTGAATGGGGAAGGATGACTGAATACTTTCAGATGCCTCTGACCCGTCTGAGATTGAGGGTGGGGCCCGCGTCCAGGCTTAGTGCAACTCTGGGATGTTACTTGTATTGCTGAGTAGAAGACAGTTACAGACAATTTTTTTTTTTTTTTGAGATGGAGTCTCACTCTGTTGCCCAGGCTGGAGTGGTATGATCTTGGCTCACTGCAACCTCCACCTCCCGGGTTCAAGCAATTCTCCTGCCTCAGCCTCCAGAGTAGCTGGGACTACAGGAGCATGCCACCACACCTGGCTAATGTTTTTGTATTTTTAGTGGAGATGGGGTTTCACCATGTTGACCAGGCTGGTCTTGAACTCCTGACCTCAAGTGATCCGCCATCTTTGGCCTCCCAAAGTGCTGGGATTACAGGGATCAGCCACTGCACCTGGGCTGCAGACAATTTTTATTTGGCATGCTGGATGGATGGACAGACGGATGGATGGATGGATGGATGGATGGATACAGGTATAGACATGCTGCTGAGTATATTAATGCTGGATATTTTGCTTCCTATAAAATGAAATAATGTCTTACTTACTAATTTATGTCCCAGCCCTCCAAATGCCTGAAAATTAACTCTGAGTTCCTTTGCCAGAAATAGCCACCCTGTGATGGATTCAGGGTTCAGGCATAACGGGGCGAGTCTCATCTTGAGGCAAGCTCACAAACGAAGTTTTCCAGAGAAAATTATTTTGCTCAGATACCATTTCATCATGACATAGGCTTGGGCATCTCCCAAGAGTTTAGGATTTATGTGGCTCAAGAATGAAGTCATTGTATTTGGGGCTGTGTTTACTGTTGCTTTTTGTTCAGAATCCTTTCTTCTGAGGTGTGAATGGTCAGACTTGTAGGGATAGTGAAGTTGGAGATTCTCGGATATCTTAGATAACCATCTGAGGCTTAGTGAATATATGTGCACTGAGAGATATCTGATGGAAAGCATCCAGCCATCAGCCCAGGAATAACAATGTAAGAAGCACTGATTCCACAGTCTCCCTAGTTGTAGTAGATGGAGCTATAAGACAGGCAACTAACTATGGGCCAGACAAGTCTTCATCTGGGGTCCCTTGACCGGCACCACTTTGACCCATCTCAGAATAATGACAAGAGTAGGGATAGAGAGGAAAGTGAGGAGTCAGGAGCTTAAATCTTTCTCCTTGTTACTGTGGACAGCAAGGAGGAGAGACAGAGGGAGGTTCCCAGCAGGTGGCAGGGATTTCAAAGGAGCTACGGCGGGTTGGTGGGGGCAGGTTAGGTAGGAAGAAGGAGAAATACTGGAAAGTGCGGTGGTTAGACTATAGTAACCCGCCATTTAATCAAACATGAATTTGGGCATTTTGTAGATGATAGATATGGCTAACCTCTATAATCGGTTGAGTTTAAGTAAATGAGCTTGCCTGCAATAATATGGGTAGGCCTCATCCAGTCTGGAGAATGGCCTTAAGAGCCAAAATCTGAGGTTTCCTGAAGATGGAGAAATTCTGTCTCAACACACCAGAATGAACTCCTGCCTGAGTCTCCAACCTGCTGGCCTGTAATGAAGATCAGAATATGCCATGCCAAAATATGACATTTGGCATAGGAATTATTTTTAGCTGAATGCAGCTGAGAAAAAGCAGACACAGAAAGAGCTCTCTGCCTTCCTCCTTTCTGCCTAAAAGCAGGGGATAAATCTCCCTTGTGAAAGTGCCCTACCCTGACCTCCTGTCTTCAGTCCCCTATCAGAAAGAGGAGAACAACCCTTATCAGCAGAGATGGGGAAGGCGATGACATGAGGTAGCATAAGCAAACCTTACAAAATCATCCTTATGCACCATTAGTTTCCCGCATATATTTTCTCTCTCTCTCTCTCTTTTTTTTTTTTTGAGACTAAGTCTCACTCTGTCGCCCAGGCTGGAGTGCAATGGCATGATCTGGGCTCACTGCAACCTCTGCCTCCCGGGTTCAAGCATTTCTCCTGCCTCAGCCTCCTGAGTAGCTGGGATTACAGGCGCATGCCATCACGCCTGGCTAATTTTTGTATTTTTAGTAGAGAAGGGGTTTCACCATATTGGTCAGGCTGGTCTCAAACTCCTGACCTCGTGATCCACCTGCCTTGGCCTCCCAAAGTGCTGGGATTACAGGCGTGAGCCACTGAGCCTGGCCGGTTCCCCCATATATCTATCTTCCCATAATTTACTGCCCCTCAAAGCCCTAAACACCTTTTCCTTTAGCTAGTCACTTCACAATTTATCATATTTTGTTTAAATGGTATATAAACCCTGAGACAAACCACTTCTTTGGGGTTTCACTTCTTTTCTGTGGAGCCCTCCCATGCACATAACATTGAAAATAAAATTTGTGTGTCTTTTCTCCTGGTAGTCTGTCTTTTGTCAGTTTAATTCACAGGCTCTCAGCACAGACCCTAAGTGCGTAGAGGAAAAGTTTTTTTTTTGCTCTCCTATACCTGCCCTACAGATTTTATACTTGCCAGCTCTCATAATCATGTGAGCCAATTCCATGAAGTATGTATTTTAATATATATCTAGGATATATTCACGTGTGTGTGCGTGCGTGTGTCTCAAAATATTTTCTCAGCATCTTTCAAGACAGCTTTGCTAGGCATCTGGTCAGAGGCTGGAAAAGTGACCGTAACAGGGCATTGAATTGTTCAAGAAGAGCATTGCATGTATTTTCTCATTTGCGTTTTAAACCTGTCAGCATGTGCCCTCCTAATAAACATCTTGAAACTGTCCGTCCATGTCCTCTGTGTGTGTGTGTGTGTGTGTGTGTGTGTTTGCATGTGTGTTTCCATCTGCGTCTGAGTAGACATGCAAGATGTTACACAGTAACTGCTCAATGAAATGCTTGCAAGTTTTCTGATCTATCTAGGCTACATTGCTGAGGAAGTCATCCTACTGTCTATAAGCTCTTTTATTTATTTATTTATTTATTTACTTTTTTGAGACTGAGTCTCACTCTGTCGCCCAGGCGGGAGTGCAGTGGTCTCGGCTCACTGCAACCTCCACCTCCTGGGTTGAAGCAATTCTTCTGCGTCAGCCTCCCAAGTAGCTGGAATTATAGGTGCCCGCCACCATGCCTGGGTAATTTTTGTATTTTTAGAGTAATATTTTGTATTTGTACAGATGGGGTTTCACCATGTTGGCCAGGCTGGTCTTGAGCTCCTGACCTCAAGTGATCCACCTGCCTTAGCCTCTCAAAATGCTAGGATTACAGGTGTGAGCCACTATACCTAGCCTATAAACTCTTATTCATTATTATTATTATTATTATTGTGATTATTTTTGCAGGGAAGTGTGACATTTAAAAATATTTATTTTGTTGCTTTCTTGTTACATACAGAACAACTCATGCAAAGAAAACCTAGTTGAATAAATTGCTTTTGTTTAGTAGCTGGTGAAAAAGAGCTTCTTCAATTTCTGAAAAGTATTGAGTAAATGAAATTAACTAGGTGCCATATGAATCTTATTCATTTATTTATTTTTTGAGATGGAGTCTTGCTGTGTTGCCCAGGCTGGAGTGCAGTGGTGAGATCTCGGCTTGCTGCAACCTCCACCTCTTGGGTTCAAATGATTCTCCTGCCTTAGCCTCCCCAGTAGCTGGGATCACAGGCATGCATCACCATGCCCAGCTAACTTTTTTTTTTTTTTTGTATTTTTAGTAGGAACATTTCAATATGCTGGCCAGGCTGGTCTCAAACTCCTGATCTCAGGTGATTCACCTGCCTCGGCTTCCCAGAGTGCTGGGATTACAGGCATGAGCCACGGTGCCCAGCTATGAATCTTTTCTTTTGGGGAAAAGTTATTCATTAAATTCCCTAATAGCCTGACATAAATGAAGCTATGAACATTGTAGAGGAGTGTTGCAAAAGCAAATGCCATATATTACACACCGCAGAAAGCAAAATTAGGGCAGACCTTGGGAGCTATGAATGTAGCAAGTTTTTATAACTTAAAAAATATAGATAACCACTGTTCATTAAAAAATTAAAACTCTAGAAAGATCCAGAAATAAAAATAGAAATCAATCATCAATGTGATCAACATATTGATGTTTTTTCTTTCTACCCCCAGGTGATTTTTCCAGTGCTTGATAATTTTAAAGTAAAAACTATGTAAATATGTAGGAAAAAAACAACTCCTTGAAAAAAGTATCTGGGACCTGCTAACAATCAAGAGCAACAGAGTGCTCCAGCTGGAGGGCCTGGGGGGCGGGGGTCAGAAGTAGTATGCTCACACACACACACACACACACACGCACACACACATGCATGTATGACATGGACAGACAGTTTCAAGATGTTTATTAGAAGGGCACATGATGACAGGTTTAAAAGGCAAATGAGTAAATGCTAGCCTTAAAAGCAAGTGCAGAACTTCATGTCTACAATGGGACCATTCACCAGTACTGTTTACGCAAACGCATGATTCACCTACCCAGGATCGACTCAGGAATAAAAATTAATTATACCAAAGTGAGTAGGCATCCAAAAAGGCTTTTTGAGCCACTGAGTCATTGTCACTAAAAGTCCATGTTCTGCCCTTTGCCATACTGAGAACATGGCAGTAGGGGACAGAGATAAAGATGGCAAAAAAAAAAAAAGGAAACCTCTCAAGGATGAATAACAAAGGGTGGTGCAGGGGCGAGAAGACCCCATCAAGGGCCTGAGCACCTCTTCACAAAAAGAGAAAGGAAGGGGAGGCAGGAGGGGGATATTCAGTTGGGAGTATCCTCTCTGAGAATGTAGAAACGGTTGGGCGCAGTGGCTCACACCTGTAATCCCAGCACTTTGGGAGGTTGAGGCAGGTAGATCATCTGAGGTCAGGAGTTTGAGACTAGCCTGACCAACATGGAAAAATCCTATCTCTACTAAAAATACAAAATTAGCCGGGCGTGGTGGCGCATGCCTGTAATCCCAGCTACTCGGGAGGCTGAGTCAGGAGAATCGCTTGAACCCAGGAGGCGGAGGTTGCGGTGAGCCGAGATTGCGCCACTGCACTCCAGCCTGGGCAACAAGAGCAAAATTCCGTCTCAAAGAAAAGAAAAAAAGCGTAGAAACTATGTGAAACATTTTGAAGAATTTACATCTCAAAATTTTATTTGTTTTCTTCTATTATGTGTCTTATTCTACACAACTTTTTACCTGCTTAAAGTGTACAATTCATTGTTTTTTTTTAGTATATTTACAAGCTTGTGCAACCATTACTGCAATCTAATCTTAGATTTTTGTCCCTTCAAAAAGAAACTTCGTATCTGTTGCATTAGCATTTTCCATCTCACCCCAAGCCCTTTGCAACTGCTAGTGTGGTTTTGGCTTTATAGATTTGCCTATTCTGGACAGTTCATATAAATAAACCATACAGCGTGTGCCCTTTGGGTCTGACTTTTTCATTTAGTGTATGTTTTCAGGTATATTCATGTTTAGTATGTGACAATATTTCATTTCATTTCATTATCAAGTAATGCCCACTGAATGGATATATCACATCTTAAAAATCTGTCAGTTGATGGAGATTTGAATTGTTCCTACTTTTTGGCTATTATGAATAACACTGCCATGGACATTTGCTTATAAGTTTCTGTGTGGATATATATTTTCTTTTCTCTTGAGTAGATGCCTAGGAGTAAAATTTCTAGGTCATATAGCAACTCTACATTTAACATTTGAAGGAACTGCCAAATTGTTTTCCAATATATCTGCACCATTTTACATTCCTCCAAGCAATATATGAAGATTCCAACTTCTCCACATCCTTGCCAACACTTGTTATTTTTGTTACAGCCATCCCAGTTGGTGTGAAGTGGTATTTCATTGTGTTTTTGAATTGCATTTCCCCAATGTCTAACGATGTTAAACATCTTTTCATGAGCATATTGGATGTTTATATATCTTCTTTGGACAAAAACCTACCAAATCCTTTGCTCATTTTTAAATTGGATTTTTTGTTTATTGTTGAGTTATAGGTTTCTTTAAATATATTCTAGATACACATCATATGTGTTTCTCAAATACAGGATCACGTCCCATTCTGTGGGTTGTGGGTTGTCTTTTTATTTCCTTGTTGGTATTGCTTGCAGCACAAAAGTTGTTAATAGATCAAGTCCAATTTATCTTTTACTTGTGGTGTTGCATCTAAGAAAATACTGCCTAACCCAAGGTCCTGAAGACTTACTCCTATATTTTCTTCAGTGTTGTGGTTTAGCTCTTACATTTGTGCCCATGATCCATTTTGAGTTAATTTTTGTAAGTGTTGTGAAGTCGGAAGTCCAACTTCATTCTTTTCAGAGGGGTTATCTAGTTGTGCCAGCACCATTTGTTGAAAAGACTGTGCTTTCCCCCACTGAGTTGTCTTGATGCCCTTGTTGAAAACCAATTGACCATAAATGTAGGGTTCATTTCTGGACTCTTAATTCTGTTCTGTTAAACAATATCACTATCTTTCTGCCAGTACATGCTTTCTTGGTTACCATAGCTTTTTACTAAGTTATGAAATATTAAAGATTGTTTTGGTGATTGAAGTTTTGGCTGTAGTTTAAGAAACAGATATAGAACAATCAAATGAGCATGTTTCTCACAATTAGAGAATTAAGCAGCAATATTTCCCAAGGATATGAGATTCAGGTGATATGGTTTGGCTGTATCTCCATCCAACTCTCATCTTGAATTCCCACATGTTGTGGGAGGGACCTGGTGGGAGGTAATTGAATCATGAGGGCAAGTCTTTCCCATGCTGTTCTCATGATAGAGAATATGTCTCATGAGATCCGATGGTTTTTAAAAAGGAGCTCCCCTGCATAAGTTCTCTCTCTGTCTGCCACCATCCATGTAAGATGTGACTTGCTCCTCCTTGCCTTCGCCATGTTTGTGAGGCTTCCCCAGCCACGTGGAACTGTAAGTCCAATTAAACCTCTTTCTTTCATAAACTGCCCAGTCTTGGGCATGTCTTTATCAAGAGTGTGAAAATGGACTAATACAAGTGGGTTACTGTCTGTGTTTTCACACCAGCAGCCTCCATGGGGCAGGCTCTGTGCTGGGCATTGGAGATAAACCTGATGTATAAATTCCACATAATCACCCAGGGCTCAGGGTGTGGTGACTGCCCTCAGGTCCCACAGCTGAGACCCCGCAGAGCCAGACGTGGAAGTCCGTCTGTCTGACTCCATGCTCTATGCTGTTATTACTTATTTTCCAATAAACTAATACCCACCTGCAGGCAGCATGGGGAGAGGAAAAGCACACTGCTCCCACTCAAACAGTTAAACACTTTTTCTTGTGGTAAAACATACATAACAGGACACCTATGATTTTAATCATTTTAAGTGTACTAATCAGTGGCATTAAGTACATTCACACTGTTGTGTAACTATCCACCATCATCCATCTCTACAACTTTTCATTTCTCAAACTGAAACTCTGTTCCCATTAAACACTAACTCCTCACTCTCCCCTAGCCCCTGGCAACCCCCACTCTACTTTCTGTCTCTGTGAGTCTGACTACTCTAGGGACCTTATATAAGTGGAATCATACAGCACTTGTCCTATTGCGACTGGCTTATTTCTTTTCTCTTCTTTGTTTTTTAGATGGAGTCTCGCTCTGTTGCCCAGGCTGGAGTGCAGTGGCACGATCTCAGCTCACCACAACTTCTGCCTCCTGAGTTCAAGCGATTCTCCTGCCTCAGCCTCCCAGGTAGCTGGGACTACAGGTGTGCGCCACCATGCCTGGCTAATTTTTGTATTTTTAGTACAGACCGGGTTTCACTATGTTGGCCAGGCTTGTCTTGAACTCCTGACTTCAGGTGATCTGCCCGCCTCGGCCTTCCAACATGCTGGGATTACAGGCATGAGCCACTGCGCCCAGCCTTCAACTGGCTTATTTCAGTTAGCATAATGTCCTCAGGGTTCATCCATGTTATAGCATGTGTCAGCACTTCTTTCCTTTCCAAGGCTGAGTACGATTCAACAGTACATAAATATAAATATATATACACTATATATATATGTACACACACACACACACACACACACACACACCACATTTTGTTTGTCCACGTGTCCACTGATGAACTCTTGGGTTCTTTCCACCTTCTGCTTCTTGCAAATAATGCTGCTACGAACATGGGTGTACAAATATCAGTTCAAGTCCTGTTTTCAATTTTTGGGAAATATACCCAGAAGTCGAATTGCTGGATCATGTGAGAATTCTATGTTTAATTTTTTGACAAATGTTCACACAGCTTTAAAATGCTACTTTAAGAAACATGTTCGGAGCAGGCAATATTTTCTTTTGACTATGCACAAGAGGGGAAATTTTTGTCATCCAGAGATTGACATTTTTTCTTTTTAAAACAATAAAATTGTCATTCAAAAGCAAACCTGGTGAATAAGGTAGAGGGTGACTTTGAGAGTTGATTTGTGGCAAACATTTAGATGTGAGATTTACTTTTTGTGAAGTGCCTTCTAGTTAAGTGAGCAATATTTACTCTGTAGGGACTGATCATTCCAATACAAATATTCACCAGAGGCAAGAGTAAGAAATACTTAAGAACCAGAATAATATCTCCCTCAGGGGCTTTTAGGAGACTAGAATGAGAGGTTCATAAAATTCACCTAGCACAGCACTTGGCACAGAGCAGGCACTCTGCAAACGCTAGCTCCTTTTCTATCTTATTCCGGAGTAGAAGAGATGCAGGCCTGGGAACTGGCAGGTAGAAACCTGTTTTGTTAAAGGAAACAGGCCCAGATGCCACAGGCAATCATGAGGCTCTTTAATCCAGGTTAGATGTCAAAGGTCATGCAGCAGAGACGGTTCCATGATAAATTGCCTATATGTGTAAGACAATTTGTTAAAACCCAATAGCAATGATTACATTTGGCAACAAAATACTGTTTCCCTCCTTAAAACCCAACAGCAGGCCGGGCGCGGTGGCTCACGCTTGTAATCCCAGCACTTTGGGAGGCCGAGGCAGGCGGATCATGAGGTCAGGAGATCGAGACCACGGTGAAACCCAGTCTCTACTAAAAATACAAAAATTAGCCGGGTGTGGTGGCGGGTGCCTGTAGTCCCAGCTACTCGGAGAGGCTGAGGCAGGAGAATGGCGTGAACCTGGGAGGCGGAGCTTGCAGTGAGCCGAGATTGCGCCACTGCACTCCAGCCTGGGTGACAGAGCGAGACTCCGTCCCAAAAAAAAAAAAAAAAACAACCAATAGCAAGTATTACATTTGGCAACAAAATCCTCCTTCCCCCTCTTCCTTCCTTCCTTCCTCCTTTATGAATAATACTTATTATTATAGATACTTACTGAAAGTTTACTATGTGTATTAGTCTGTCTTCATGCTGCTGATAACGACATAACAGAGACTGAGTAATTTATAAAGAAAAAGAGGTTTAATGGACTCTCAGTTCCACGTGGCTGGGGAGGCCTCAGAATCATGGCGGAAGGCAAAAGACACGCCTTACCTGGTGGCAGGCAAGAGGGAATGAGAGCCAAGTGAAAAAAGGAAACCCCTTATAAGACCATCAGATCTTGTGAGACTTATTCACTACCAGGAGAACAGTATGAGGGAAAACTGCCCCCATGATTCAATCATCTCCCACCAGGTCCCTCCCACATTATATGGGAATTATGGGAGCTACAATGCAAGATGAGATTTGGGTGGGGACACAGCCAATCCATATCACTATGTGCCAAGCTTAGGATACAATATTGAAAAACCAAACAAAAATTTTCGCCTTTATGGAGCCTTATGTGTAGTGAACTAAACATCAGAAATAACAGAAAATTTGATTTTCTATTTGCAGATGATGTGATTACATATTTAGAAAACCTCAGGGCTTTTGCCAAAATAAATAATAGAATTAGAATATTTTAAGAGGTAGCTGGAAACAAAATCAACAGTATCTTCTCTTTTTTAGTAGCAGCTAGTTTTCTCATGGGAGTGAGATTAAAACATCTCCCCAAACCTAAAATCCCTAGAAAATAAATTTTACCAAAAAGTTCAAGACATACTCAGAGAAAGGTATAAATCTCTGTGTAGGATGTAGATCAATTCTTGAGTAAATAGAGAGCAATTCCATACTTCTGGAGGGGAATATTTAAATCTTAAAAATGTGAATAGTTGAAAAAATATATATATATTATACAAAACTGAAGTTTGTGCTTATACATTTTGAAGATATTTAACATACTGAAAACATTAATAAATTGTATATCTTTATTTTACACATGTGATGCAATATGAAATATAATGCCAATAAAATGTATTTGAGTTGAGCGGAAATTATTTTAAATTTCCTAAAGAAAAATAAATGAGTAAGAATTGCCAAGAAAACTTTAGAAAAGAAACATGGTATTGGGCAGCCTGCTCTACTTAATAGTAAAACTTATTATACTCTAAAGCTACTGTAATCAGAGTAGAATGGGTAGGAAAAAAATGAAAGAGGCCCATAGACCAGAAATAGGTCCAAATATATATGGGATTTTAATATATTTTCTTTTCTTTCTCTTTCTTCCTTTTTTCTTTCTTTCCTTTTTCTTTTCTTTCTTCCTTTCTTTCCTTCCTTCCTTTCTTCGTTCCTTCCTTGCATCCTTCCTTCCTTCCTTTTTCTTTCTTTTTCTTTCTTTTTCTTTCTCTTTCTTTCCCTTCCTTCTCCCTTCGCTCCCTTTCCTTCCTTCTCCCTTTCCCTCCCCTCCCCCCCTCCCCTCCCCTCCCTTCCCCTTCCTTTCCCTTCCCTTCCTTCTACACAGTTTTGCTCTATCACCTAAGCTGGAGTGCAGTGGTATAATCCTGGCACACTGCAACCTCCGCCTCTTGGGTTCAAGTGATTCTCGTGCCTCAGCTTCCTGAGTAGCTGGAATTACAGGTGCACACCACCACGCCTGCCTAATTTTTGTATTTTCAGTAGAGATGGGGTTTCGCCATGTTGGCCAGGCTGGTCTTGAACTCCTGGCCTCAAGTGATCCACCTGCCTCAGCTTCCCAAAGTGCTGGGATTACAAGCATGAGTTACCTTACCCGGCTGGGAATTTAATATATGTTAAAGCAACATTTTAATTGAGTGAGACACAGTCGGCCCTGCAAAAAATCCTTGCCGAATGAATGAAGGCTTGTGAGAGTTTGAGGGAAGAAAAAGGCTCTCCATGCATTGCTAGTGGGAATGCGATTGTTAAAATAGTTATGGAAAGTAATACAAGAGTATTTATTAAAATAAGAATGTTTCATCATAACAATCCTTCCTTTTAGAGACTGTTCTTCAGGAACAAAAATGCCAATAGATAAAGATATATTTATTGCTTATAATGGCAAAAAGTGGAAATGATACAAATATTCATCAAAAAAAGATTGGTCGACTAAACCAGAATACAATCATACTATAGAATATCGGAATAGAATGCAGCTCTCTAAACGTTAGGTAGAATTCTATATCTCTGTATCCAAGAAATACCCATGATGAATTGTTAAATGAAAAAGCAAGTTTCAGAATATGATAATATTTGTGATCTGAGTCCATTTCTCTGTGCGTGTAGGAGAGAGAACCACAGGCCTCTGTGGTCCGTATGTGCACGGTGAGCGTGCAGGAGGCTGCATGCCAATGCTGTCAATGGGGTGGGGATGAACTGTGGCAGGATGAGTCATTTATTGCTGTTTCCTTTATACATGTTCTTTCTTTGACTTATTACAATGAGCACGTACTACTTTCGTCATTTCATAAAATCCAGTAACAGCTTCTCTGCAAAGCCCTCCAAATAAATAAAAAGTCTGTGTCCTTCCAAGAGCGGTACTGAAGTGGTTTAAAGCTCCCCAACTCTGGCTGGCACTGGACAGGAGCCTGGGGGTTGACCGGGGGAATGGGGAGAAGGAAGATTCAGGCTCTATCCTGGTGACAAGGGAGCATACCTGAGCTTGCCTGACCCAGATGTCTTTTTCTGTAGTAACTTTTAATTTTGATATACTTTTAGACTTACAGAAAGGTTGCAAAAAAAAAAAAATCAGAGTGACTATATAACCTTCATCTATAAAAAATCAGGGGCCAACACTGGTGTAATGCTATTAACTACAGACTTCATTTAGGTTTTCCCATGTTCCTGTAACATCATTTAGCTGTCCCAGGATCCAATCCAGATCCCACAGTGCACTGAGCTCTTGCTCCTTAATATACTCCAATCTGGGATAGCTTCTCAGTCTTTCCTTGTTTCTCTTGATCTTGACACTTTTGAAGGGCACTGGTCAGTTATTTTGAAGAACGTCTTTCAATTTGGGTTTGTCTGATGTTTTCTTATGATTTGATGGAGAGTATGAGTTTTAGGCAAGAAGACCTCAGAAGTGCCTTTGTCAGTGCAGTGCAGCAGGGGCACGTGATGTAATATGTGTCATTGTTGGTTTTGTTAGCCTTGATCATTGGGTTAAGGTAGTGTCTGCTTCATTGCTTAGTGCACAAGTAGTAAATATCAATAAAAAATGTAAGACATAAGAAATACAATAAGAAATTATAAAGTAAACATAAATAAGAACTAGTTTTCCTTTTCTATTAATTTTTCCCTTTGTATGAATAGACATCTATATTTTTCACTCTGATTAATAGACATTTTGTGGGGAGATACTTTGGCACTAGGCAAATATCCCTTTTATCCACAAACATTTGGCAGACTTTGCCTGCAACCACCATTACTGTGGTGTTCACCAAATGATGATTTTGTATTTTCCTTATTCTTTCTGCATTTGTTAGTAGAATTCTTCCATATGACCTCTCTCTCCTCCCCCATTTACTTACCCATTTTATTCTGTTATTTATTCTACTCGTATGGACTCAAGATATTTATTTTATTCTATGTGACAAAGACATCTTATGACCAGTTTAAGTAAGGGACTTATGGACTATCTTCAATTGTCTCTCTGTGTGTGTATGAGTGTGTGTATAAGAGAGAGAATATGTAAATGGCATTTATGCAAGGTTTTATAGGGACACATCTCATTGTGATGAAAATACAGAACTTGCTTTCAAAATCAAAAGAATAGCTTTAAAATTGTGAAAAACTCTATCATAATAGGGGGTATTTTGACATATATGATTATATCCCATTAACCTAAGAGATCTGAGGTTACAGGAAAATAAATGTGTAACTGGACTCGATGCTGAAGGGCTTAGGAAAGCCCTGAAAGGAACAAATTGGTTTAGAAGGCACTTCCTGAGCAGAAAACAACCAGGAACATAGAAAAAGTGAAGAGCGAGCTTGATCCTGCTCATAGCCCCGTGCTGTGCTATGGTCCTGGGGCCTAGTTCACAGGGTAAATTCTGGGGTCAGGCTGGTGAGTGCCTCTCCTCTGGTGCCTTAACCTCCTCCTCTGTAAGATGGCAAGCATAGTATGATCTACTGCATGGGGTGTTGTGAGACCGGATGGGAATTATTGCCTACAAGGTACTTACAAGAGCTCCTGGCACATGGCCGGTGCCCAGTGCCAGTAGCTGCTAGTTTTTTTTTTTTTTTTTGAGATGGAGTCTCACTCTGTTGCCCAGGCTGGAGTGCAGTGGCTCTATTTCGGCTCGCTTCAACCTCCGCCTCCCGGGTTCAAGTGATTCTCCTGCCTCAGACTCCTGAGTAGTTGGGATTACAGGTGTGCACAACCACCCCCACTAAAATTTTTGTATTTTTAGTAGAGATGGGGTTTCACCATTTGGCCAGGCTGGTCTCGAACTCCTTTTAATACCCTGCCATACATCCTTGCTCACTTGAAGTGGCTTGAGTGAGTTCTGTTCTTTGCAAGTGAGCACAGACAGGTCATGATAGACTTGGAAACTTCTCTTGGCATTAGCTACATATCTGCATACCAGCTGTACAGTTTCATTAAAATACTGACAAGACGATGGCATTGCATGTAGACCTGCTTATTTTGTATGATGATCTTGGTTCCACTTACAATGAAAATATGCCTCCTTTGTGGCTGGGTGTGGTGGCTCACTTCTGTAATCCCAGCACTTTGGGAGGCTGAGGCAGGCAGATCACGAGGTCAAGAGATCAAGACCATCCTGGCCAACATGGTGAAACCCGTCTCTATTAAAAATATAAAAATTAGCTGGGCGTGGTGGCGGGCGCCTGTAGTCCCAGCTACTCGGGAGGCTGAGGCAGGAGAATCGCTTGAACCCAGGAGGTGGAGGTTGCAGTGAGTCGAGATCGTGCCATTGCACTCCAGCCTGGGCAACAGAGCGAGACACTGTCTCCAAAAAAAAAGAAAAGAAAAGAAAAAAGAAAATATGCCTCCTTTGCTGATAAACAGATAATAAATGTAGTACTCAAATTTCTGTCTAACTTTCTATAGGCAGCTTCTCCAATTCCAGAGAGTACTGAATATTAGGCCATAATTGGATTTTACAATAATTGGATTTTACAATAATTTTGGAGGAAAGAAGAGCTCAGGGAAGAGCCCATAACTCATGCCAACTTGGAAAATGGATGAAATAGATGGAAAGAAAGTTGATTATAACTTTAAAAGGACATTAATATTATGCAAGATGTTTAAAGGGCAATTGCCTCTATAGATTATGAAGCAATTTAGGAAACAGATCCACAAGTATTTTAGAAATACATTTTTTCTTTAAGAAGAAATTATTAACTATGCCTCGCTCCCCCTCTGGTTGTCAGTCACTTAACTGAGTTGTCTCAATATTTTATTTAAATGTGATCCCCATTTGTCAGACTTGAGTGTTTCAAGAATTGTGTTGTGGAGTCTCTTGAGAGAGAAGCCCATTCTAAATGGTCCCACTAATGTAATATTTATGCTAATGCAAATGCTATAAAGACAGTTGGAACATCCCTTTGGACACTGTGTGAATGAGTATCAGCATAGCTGTACCTGACAGTGATTTTTGTAAACTGAGAAACTCTGTGAGACCTAGGTAGGGCTGAAGGAATGAGATGCATAGATTTACACTCTGACATCATGTGTTATCCCCCAAAACATATATAAACACACACAATTATGCACATTTGCATACACCCTTACACACTTACATCCACAAAGATATATACCATTCATGTATACATACACACACAAGCACGTATACATGGAAAAACACGAACATACACATGTATATACATTCACATTTATATACATCCACATACATACCCACAAACATGTACATGCACACACTCATATAAGCATATATAGTCATGCATTGCTTAACGATGTGGATCTGCCTAAGAAATGCATCATTAGGTGATTGTGTCCTTGTGCGAACATCATAGTGTACTCACACAAACCTAGCTGCATACACACTTAGGCTGTCTAATATAGCCTATTGCTCCTAGACTATAAACCTGTTCGGCATGTTACTTTATTGAAAATTGTAGGCAACTGTAATACAATAGCAAGTATTTGTATATTGAAACAATATAAACATAGAAAAGGTACAGTAAAAATACAGTCTAAAAAATAAAAAATGGTACACCTGTATAGGACACTCACCATGAATGGAGCTGGCAGGGTTGCAAGTTGCTCTGGGTGAGTCAGTGAGTGGGGGTGAATGTGAAGGCCTAGGACATTACTGTATACTCAAGCAGACATTATAAATACTGTACACTTAGACTACACTAAGTTTATTAAAAATTTTCTTTCTTTAATAATTAATTAACCTTAGCCTACCATAACATTTTTACTGTCTAAACTTAAATTTTTTTAAAAAACATTTTTACTCTTTTATAATAATTCTTTGCTTAAGACACAAACACATTGTATAGCTGGACAAAAATATTTTCTTTCTATCCCTATTCTATAAGCTTTTTTCTATTTTAAAATGTTTAATTTTTTAAACCGTTTGAATTGTTTTGTGAAAAAAAAAAAAAAAACCAAGACACAAACACATACATTAGCCGAGGCCTCCACAGGGTCAGTATCATCCATATCACTGTCTTCCACCTCCACTTCTTGTCCCACTGGAAGGTCTTCAGGGACAGTAACACGCATGGAGCTGTCATCTGTGCGCATGGAGCTGTCATCTGTGATAACAATGCCTTTTTCTGGAGTCCCTCCTGCAGGACCTGCCTGAGGCTCTTCTTGAGGAGATGTCACTCTTTTCAGAAACACGATCATGATGGTTTGCTTGGTTTGTTTCTTCTTTTCATCACAGATTTGCGTCAGCAATGCGTTGGTCACTAGATGATAGGAATTTTTCAGCTGCACTGTAACCTAAGGGACCACCGGACCCTATGTGGTCCAGTGTTGACCCAGACGTCACTATGCGGCACTTGACTGCACACACATAAAGCATGAACACACACATCGCATTGCCTAGTTTGACCTGGGTGCCTGTATTTTTTGTATCTGTAGACAGCAGCATTTTAAGATTTATGTTTACATCAGTACTTAGGCTGTTCCTGGTGACTCCTGATGATGCAAGCATCCAAACTTCATCCTGGAATGTGCAGCTGGTGGTGAGGACAGGCACCTCAGGGGTTGCAGTGAGAGCAGCGGTTGCAGCCTACAGAGTGCTCATAGGGTGCCAACCCTGGCCTTGAGCACCATGCATGTGATTTACTTGTTACAATGGAACCATGAAGCAGACATGGCTATTTCACCATCTCATGGTTAAGGACATGCAGTCTGCAGAGTCTCAATAGTTTGCCCTGGGTCACACATGGAGAGTGGACATTGGCTCCAAACCCCTAATCCACTTATCCAGGCCACCTTGGCACCCTGACCCCTTAGAACCTGGGGCTTTCTGCTTAAAGCCCATAAACAGATCGCAGTTCCCATGGGGCCTGAGCCACAGGTACAAGGGCCCCTGGTTCTATCACTTACTTTTGGTAAATTCTCCACTTTAAACAAGAGCTGCCTGGTATGTACCTAGGAGACCACATTTTTATTTGAGGAAAATATTACTGGAAATTGGGGCAAGGTTGCTCAATGGAATAAAGGGTGCCCACTTTGTGTGTGTTTTGTGGTGGTGTTTTGTTTTGTTTTGTTTTTGAGACAGAGTCTCACTCTGTCGCCCAGGCTGTAGTGCAGTGGCACCATCTAGGCTAATTGCAACTTCCACCTCCCAGTTCAAGTGATTCTCCTGCCTCTTTTTGTATTTTTAGTAGAGACAGGGTTTTACCATGTTGGCGAGTCTTGTCTCAAACTCCTGGCCTCAAGTGATCTGCCCACCTCACCTCCCAAAGTGTTGGAATTACAGGCGTGAGCCACCGCGCCAAGCCTTAAGTATGCCCTCTTTGGGTGGCAGGGCAAACCTAAATTGAAGAGCTACTGGATGCCAAGCCTGGCCTGTCTCCAGTGTGATGTATATTTGTGCTTTGCTCTCTGTTTAGGCTGGGGATCTGCTTAGAAGAAAGTGCATATTTTAAATGGTACCAGAAACAGAGAACATAAAACATAGCCAGGGGAGGAAAAAAACCCACAGAACAGGAATCAGCCTATTCCTAAGCCCAAATGGAATCACTTGAAAACTGTTACTGCTCTATACATTTCTAAAGAGTGAATTATTGATTTTTCTGTTAAAAAAGTTGTATATGGAATTATGATGACTGACTGAACTCATGTATCTACCATCATTTCAACCCCAATTCCCACAAAATGACAAGAAAAGAAAATTTTAAAATAAAATCCTTAGTGATGCAGGAAAATAAAAGAGTGCCATGGGGTAAGAGAGATCTTGAACAGTTTCTGAAAGACAGAACGCAAACAGGATGAACTCCCATGAAAAATAAAGCCAGAGCAAAATGAATACTGGAGAAAACAATGTGAGGCAGGAGGGTTTGGGGAGATCAGGCCCAAGGTCAGTGAAATGCAAAACTATAGCAGACAAACAACAGACATTGTTAGGCACCAAGAACTCAGAAAATGTACCACTGATGGACCGTCTATGATGGATTTTTTTTTAAAGAAATGTGCGTGAGCAAAACAAAAATAAATACAAAGGAAACATGAAGACTACACCAGAAGCGGTGAGCAAATAAACTTGAAAACGAGTAAACATGCCTAATGATCACAAGATGGCTGCCATAGCTCTAGATCTTATGCTCTTACATCAGTGTCCTATGCAGGAGCAAAATGTCAGCAAGGCCTCTGTTAAGAAATGCTGGCTTAGATTTAATCATCATTTGTCTCCTAGCATGGGCATATTGCTACCCCTGAAAAAAATATCAGGGTGTATGGGCAAATAAAGTGGAGTGGAATAACTGCTGGGTGGGCAGTTTGACAAGGGAGACAAAAAAAAAAAAAAAAGGATGTAGAAGAGTAGAATAGCATAATTAACAAGCTTAACTATAAATGTATATAAATCTATACATACAGACACATTTCTCTTATGCCAACAAAGACCATACCCTCTTCTCAAACACAAACAGAATATCCACAAAAATTGTTGCTAAGGTAGAACACAGAGAACATCTTAAGAAATTCCAAAATCAAAAAATCAGATAAGCCACCTTTTCTGAACAGACTGCAGAAAAAGTAAGCATTAATATCAAAAGGCTGGCAAAATGGTTCTATTTCAATATTTTAAAACACCCCTTAAGATAAAAAAGAAAATAAAAACTAAATAACTGCAGTTAGTTATGGATTGAAAAATGAATGTCCATGAGAGTACCACGTCATGAAAGACATGGACAAAGCAGTCATCAGAGGAAAATTTGTAGCTCTCAATCCTGGTGCTAGAAAACAAGAGAGGCAGAAAAAAATAATAAAATAAGTGCAAAGATAGCAAAAGTAAGAAAATAATAAAAATAAAAGTAAACATCAGTGAAAGAGAGTATAAACAAGCAGAATGGTAGTGCTTTGAAAATAAAAAATAATTTAAATAAATTTCTGGCCATTCTGAACAAGTAAAAAACAAAAACAGTAAGCAGACCCAGGCATAAATGAAAGCATTTGAAGTGAAAAGGTGTCCAAAATTGAAGTTATAAAAAGATTAGAACTGAATACAGCTCTATGTCAATATTTTTGAGACTTTAGATGAAAGTAATGCTAATCCAGGAAAATATAAATTACAGTAGAATCCCTCTTATCCAACACAGTCCAGGCCAATAATCAGTTGGTTAAGTGAAAAAAGTGTTTAAAGTGAAGAATTATAAAGAAAGTCATTATGGATCTCAAACTTTTACTTTAATTGAAACCATAAAAACATATATTCACTCACCAATGTTTTATGCAGGGTTAATGCCTTCTCTTTAAAATTGGACTTCTGATTGGATTTCTACCTCATTTTTCTTATGTAAACACTTATAGTTCACTTTTGATATTTATGGGTTTTGATTTTTGAAACAAAGGGAAAATGTTAAAACATATACTGTTCAGTAATGCCACCTAATCCATGCGGGATATGTCCCAGGACCCCTAGTGGATGCTTGAAACCACAGATACCAAACATGATTACTGTCAGTCGGAACATTTTTTTTTTTTTTGGAGACAGAGTCTTGCTCTGTTGCCCAGGCTGGAGTGCAGTGGCGCCATCTCGGCTCACTGCCAGCTCCGCCTCCTGGGTTCACGCCATTCTCCTGCCTCAGCCTCCCAAGAAGCTGGGACTACAGGCGCCCGCCACCAAGTCCAGCTAATTTTTTGTATTTTTAGTAGAGACGGGGTTTCACCATGTTAGCCAGGATGGTCTCGATCTCCTGACCTCCTGATCTGCCCACCTTGGCCTAGTCAGAACACATTTTTGTTTAAGTCTTCCATCCACAGATGTAATGCCTTTCCCACCTTAACTAAATACTTATCAACACTGCGGCCATAACTTTTGCAGCTGGAGGTATGACAGCAAAAGTAGCACAAATTTCTTTTTCCCTCTTTACAATTTTACAGATAGCAGGTTCATTCTTACCGCAGATCTTAGCAACATAAGCATAGTATTTGTTAACCTTATTAAGTTGAGAACTTTCACCTTTTCACTTAAAGGAAGCACTTTATGGCTTCTCTTTGGCATATTTGAGTTGTCAGCATCACTACTCTTGCCCTCTGGGGTCACTATTAACCAAAATAAGAGTAACTTGAACACAGGGCACTGTGATGCTGATACCATGACAGTCAATCTGCTAAACAAGATGGCTACTAGGTGACCAACAGGTGGGGAGTATCTACAGCTGGATAAAAGATTATTTAAATCCTGGGCCGGATGGAGTGGGACAGCAAGAGAATTCATCATGCCACTTAGAACAGTCTGCAACTTAGAATTTATAAATTGTTTACTTCTGGAATTTTCCACTTAATATTCTTGGACCATGGTTGACTTTGGGTAATGGAAACTGAGGAAAGGGAAACGTCAGATAAAGGGGGCACAATTGTACTCCAATTGTGGAATTCTTGTAAATCAGAGCTTCTCAAACTTCAATGTGCAAACAAGTGTCTTGGGGATCTTGTTAAAATGCAGAGTCTGACTCAGTAGGTGTGGGTGGGGTTCTGAGATTTGGCATTTCTAACAGGCTTCCAGGTGATACTGGTGCATGGGCCACACTTTGAGTAATAAGGATATAAATTCCTGCATCCACCCATTGTTTCCAGTTGTATTAGAACATTTAAGTACCAATCATTTATCTAAGTGACTCAATTATATCTAGTCCTCCTAAAGTATTCAACTTAGTCTTCATGAAAATGAAAACTCTTTTTTTTGGCAACTATTCCATTGGTCTATATAATGTTAAATTAAATAAAATAATTATACAGGTATACTTGTAAATAAATTTGAGAGCAAACACAGCTGAAAGCTGTAAGCATTCATCTTAAATCATGGAAGCAGAGGGTAGAATTATAACAGAAAGTAACCTATAGGCCTACCAAAGTATCCAGCTTGTTGTGAGAATCCTCCCTTCAAAAACACTTTACCCTGTCCCTGAAAAAGTCCCAGACCCAGAGGTTATAGGTAGGTTTTACCAAATTTGCAAGGAATAAGTATTCCCTATCTTACATATGTTTTTTTCAGTAAGTAAAAAATGAGACATATGTTCTGCTTTGATTTGAATGCTTGAGCCCTTTGAAACTCATGCTGAAATTTCATTGCCACTGTAATAGTATTAAGAAGAGGGGCCTTTGAGAATTATGTCATGGGGGCACCATAAGTGGGTCAATGCTGTTATCTCGGGAGTGGAATGACCCTTGCCAGAGGCCATCAACATGCTATTGGACTTACCAGCCTTCAGAACCATGAGCCAAAAAACTTATTTTCTTTATAAATTATCCAGTCTGTGGTATTCTGTTACAGCAACAGGAAATGGACAAGACATGTGTATTAGTCTGCTCTCATGCTGCTAATAAAGACATACCCAAGACTGGGTAATTTATAAAGGAAAGAGGTTTAATTGACTCACAGTTCCACATGGCTGGAGAGGCCTCATAATCAGGGTGGAAGACAAAGGAAGAGCAAAGGAACTTCTTACATGGCAGCAGACAAGAGGATGTGTGCAGGGGAACTGCCCTTTATACAACTATCAGATCTTGTGAGACTTATTCACTATCATGAGAACAGCATGGGAAAGACCCCCCCCCCCCATGATTCAATTACCTCCCACCGTGTCCCTTCCATGACACCTGGGAATTATGAGAGCTACAATTTAAGATGAGATTGGGCTGGGGACACAGCCAAACCATATCAACATGTCCCAACTCATTGTATAAAGTTCATATAATCCTTATCCCAAACTAGGTAAGAGTACAAGAAAAAAAAATCATATAATTATGGTTTATATAATTATGAACATAAATATGAAAATTCCAAGTAAATTTTAGCTCACTGATTTTAATTTTATAATAAAGAAGTAAAATATTATGAAGAATCAGGACTAATATCTCGAATGTAAGAATGGTTCAATATCAGAAAATCTACTGACATAGTTTATCCCCTTCATGGACAAAGGAGAAAAACTATGTATTCTCTCAATGGATATAAAATTATTTTAAAATATTCAATATTTTTTCCTAATTAAGGAAAAATCCTTGCTCACTTATTAATAGAAAATATTCCGGCCGGGCGCGGTGGCTCACGCCTGTAATCCCAGCACTTTGGGAGGCCGAGGCGGGCGGATCACGAGGTCAGGAGATCGAGACCATCCTGGCTAACACGGTGAAACCCCGTCTCTACTAAAAATACAAAAAAAAAATTAGCCGGGCGAGGTGGCGGGCGCCTGTAGTCCCAGCTACTTGGGAGGCTGAGGCAGGAGAATGGCGTGAACCCCAGGGGGCGGAGACTGCAGTGAGCCGAGATTGCGCCACTGCAGTCCAGCCTGGGCGACAGCGAGACTCTGTCTCAAAAAAAAAAAAAAAAAAAAAAAAAAAGAAAATATTCCCTCAACCTAATAGAGGCTATCTATTGGAAATCTACAGTTGAACCTTAAAGAACACAAATCATTTTGAATAAATAGAAAGACCTATCATTTTCCTGAAAGGATGCCTGAATATTATAAAGATTGCAATTCTTCCCAAATAATATAAACTCATTTCAATCACAATAAAAATTCAAAGATTTCTCTTTTTAGTTGGAATTGTCAAATTGATTCTCAAGTTTATATGCAAAAGAAAATGCACAAGAATAGCTGTTCGGAAACATTTGGAGAAGACAAGTAACAGACAGGGAGATTTTATCAAACAAATAAATAGTATCCGGAATGTATAATGAGCATCCACAAAACCATAAGAACAATGCAAACAACGAAACAGAAAAATTGACAAAATAAATAGGCTATTTACAGAAAACGAAATACAGGTAGCTAATAAACATATATAAAAATGTCCAGTCTCAGGAAATTGCAAATTCAAATCAGGGCTCGTTTGTTTGGGTGTTTAGCCATTGGATTAGAAACAACAGGAAGAATTGTTAAATACATTATATTCCATCCACTTAAGGAAAAAGATATGTTAAATAATTGTATTCCATCCATTTAAGAAAAAAGATAGCTCTCTATCAAATATAGCAAACACACAAAGAAGAACATGTACCTGTAAACTCTAAGTGTGTGTACATAAGAAAAAAGTCAGTGCATCTAGACATGCCAGTGCCCAGCCTAGACACACTGGGCTGTTAACCCAGGCCCAGTGGGGCAGAAGGGTGGGCCAGGCACAGTGCCTTGTACAATTTGCTCAGGACACTAGTATGTTATTGAATCTCTGGCATGAGGATCTATTAATAGATTTTTTTAAGTGCCCTAGCCAAATTCTATGTCTTCTAGAAAAATATTCTGCTTCTGTTGTTCCTTTAGAGAGCTGTTCAGCATAGAATCTAGACGTTTCCTTCTGAAACAAATCCAGTAACTATTCAACTATCAAATTTAGCATTCTGGCTGTATAGAAAAATAACAATGCTATATTAAGTTACCACTGTGAAGTAGGTGGCCAAACTGTATATGTGACATTCTTAGTTTTTCAACAAACTGAATATGCCTGAGGCACGTTTCCTGAATGCTTCTTCTTCCAACAGCCAAAGCATGATATTATCATCTACACAATTTACATTCCCAGAATGGAAGTTTGCATTCCGACAAGGGAAAAGGCTCTGAGGCCCAGGCCCCTGCCCCGCTGCATGCCATATATTTTGGGAGAGTCATCCTTTCTCAGGAACATGGTTTGCAACTATGTTCAGAGGGAATAGTATGAGTCACCTCCTCCCAGGGCTTTTCAAGAATCAATAAAATGAATTTGAAACAAACAAAGATTTGATCCAACATGAATACTGATTTTAACAACTTGTTTTGATTCCCTTGACTTTTTCCATTTCTAATTTTAGAACGGAATGAAATTATTTTTGAATGCATGTTTATGAATTTTCTGGCCACTTTCAAGCCTTTAACTATTTCACACTTTCTCTCTAAAGATCAAAGAAACTCTAGTAACGTGGAAATTCATGCTCCGAGTAGTGACAAGCCAGTGACTTTTTCTATAGAAAGGGTACAAGACTCCAATTTGAAAATCTCAAGCAGCTTTATATTCAAGCAAGTTCAATCCAATCTCTTCCTGACTCACTGTCTCATCAACATGCAAAGCTCTCGAAGAGAAATCATCTCTTACTTGCCTGAGGGAGTTCTGGCAGACGTTTTGAATGTGGATGTGGAAGTTCTTTCCTCGTCTCCATCCTGTCAAGAGCCGTGGAGCAAACAGCAGGATGAGGAAGACATGGAAGACAAAACTGATAACGCACGTCACCTCGCTGCAGCGGGAGACAGAATGTAACTTCAATTCAGCCTCTTTGGGGTTTGGGTTCTGACCAAGTAAATCGGGAATGTTGTTAACATATCAAGCCAGCCTTTATTGTTTGTCTTAACCCAAGAAAACACAAAATGACACTTACTTTGTTGCTCATTTAGGTTTTAACTTGTTGATGTCCTCCCCACAAAAATCAAACTTGAAAATGCCTGGCAGGGACCCCTGAGATCTAGGGTTTGAAATGCTCTTTTGACAAGTTAAGAGGTTAAAAAGAATTCAGGAACATACTGTAGAGTCTCATGGGGGATTTTAGAAAAAAAATATGCAAAGCATCTTTAAATATGTGGAAAATCCTTAGGAGTGAAATTGCACTGAAGTCAGATTGTTTTCCTATTGAGGTTGCATTGCTCGGCTGCAAGAGGTGGGGTGGGCACATCGTGGGGGGAGAGCAGAAGTGCCTGTTAGGGTGCTGCCAGACCTCAGTGTGGAATTCTGCTTCTCACAGTTGGCCATAATCAATCAATCAGACTCTCTCTTTCTCCTCCCTTCTCCCTCTCCCTTTCTTTCCGTGGTTGAAGGGCCCCTCTTAAATCGCTCTTGAGCCTGCATTCTAATTTGCTCTCTCTCCCACGTGAAATCCACTTCTCCCAGCTAAGCTGCGTTTTGCAGCTTTATGACGGTACTGAAAGCACTTTATTTCCACTTAAAGAGCTGCCTGTTCTATTTACCATCACTCTCGGGGTACTTAACCTCATTTAAAAGGCTAACTTTTCTCCTGCATTATAAAGTTGCTCGGGAGTCTCAAAGCCTCTTTCTCTGCCCAGCCCGCAGCCAGCCCTCTCCAGCCACCCCAGCCTCGCCCTCACCCCTCCCAGCCTCTGTTCCAAGGCCCAGGCGCGCCCGCGTGGGGCACGTGTCCCTGAACGCCCCGCCTCCGGCCAGCCTGACCGCTCAGTGCTCGGTGTCACTTCTGGCACGTCTCCACATTCCTCAAATCCCAGAGAGGACCTCGAAATAGGATAGAAAACAAGAATTTAAATAAGAAGCAACAGGGCTGCCCGCTCTGGCTGGGGAGGGCCTCGGCCCCCGCCTGCACCTGCGGCCCTTGTTTCTTGCGCGGTTTTGCAACGTCAGAGCCGTCCACACTCGCAGGCCATTTTTAGCGGCCTGTTGGAAAGGGAAGACGATGAAGTCGGGCTAAGCAGGGCAACGCCTTGCCCTCTGAGAGGCGTGGAGGGCCCTTGGGAAGCTCAGAGAGCTACGATAAAATGGCTAAACGACCTTCCTCTCCTCCAAGTCACCAAATACGAGGCAGGTGGGCACCAGATGGGCAAACTGAGCTTGGTAGAAGCTTGCGCCTTCCCCTTCGTGTCTTTGGTTGGGGGTGTTTCACTGGGGACTGGGCCCGTTAGACAGACGACAGATGCACCGCATCAGAGAGGAAAGTCACCTGTCTCGCAGGGAGGATGGCAGGATGGCTGCTGGGGCAGGCGGAGCCCACGAGGGTGGGGCCGGGAGATCCTGCTCGTTTTGCCGGGTTGGCCTCTGCCGAGCCCGGCACCCGCAGTGCAGAGAGCACCCCGGCTGGACTTCCCTGACCGCGTCCCCGGAAGGCAGGAGCCCCTTCCCACGGCGGCCCAGGCCCCGGCTCCCTTGTGCTCGCGGGATAAGCCTCTTGGATGGATGAGCGCGCCTCCTTCCTGCTCACACTCCCAGCGCAGGCCACGGCCGGAGCTGTTTGCCCTGCACACACGGGGAGGGGCGGCCAGCTCACGGTGCAGACCAGCGGGATGGGGCTTCACTGCTTGCTACCGTCTCAGTGTCCCCTCAAATCATACCTTGAAACTTACTCGCAAATGGAATGGTATTAAGACCCAGCACTTTGGGAGGCCAGGGCAGGAGGATCACTTGACCTCAGGAGTTTGAGACCAGCCTGGACAACATAGTGAGACCCCGTCTTAAAAAAAATACAAAAATTGGCCAGGCATGGTGTCGGTACCTATAGTCCCAGCTACTTGGGGGGCTGAGGTGGGAGGATCACTTGAGCCCAGGAGGTCGAGGCTGCAGTGAGTTGTGTTGGCACCACTGCATTTCGGCCTGGGGACAAAATGAAACCCTGTCTCAAAAAAAAAAAAAAAGAAAAAGAAAAAAAAAGTGGGTCCTTAGGGGTTGACTGAGTCCTAAGTGCAAGCCCTGGTGAATGGGAGGAAGGGCTTCATAGAGGCTTCCCATGGTGTTCACCCCATTGCCTGCAAGGACACAGGTTGGAGGCCCCCTGGAAGCAGACTTGCAGACAGGGAGCCTGCAGCGCCTGGGTCTTGGACTTCCCAGCCTCCAGAACTGTAAGAAAGAGACTTGTCTTTTTCATACATTACCCATCTCAGGTATTTTATTACAGCAGCACAGACGGACTAAGACACCTCTCTTCCCTCGTCTTCCAGTTTTCTGTGTGTAAATCCTCAATGGGTGTGAAGCGCAGAATGGGAAGGCAAGGTGCGCAGAATGAGCTCACTAGAGAAATCACACTTTTCTTCTCCCTTGTGGTTTCACCTGCAGTCCCTAGTCTCCTACTGATGAAGAAGGGGCCTGGCCATAAGGTGTCCTTCCACCCCTTGGTTCCCTCCATACTGTCTCCCTCTTCGACCCCTCTCCTAAATATGTTTCCAATGACACAGGAGGTTAATGCTGGCTGCCCCAGGACTGAGTGAGAGACAGATTCCTTCCATGCCCAGAGGAGCCTGGCTTCAGGGTGAAGGGTGAGCAAAGTTCCTGTTGAACTCGTGGCTTCTTGGAGCAGGATTTCCAAGAATTGATACTCCAAACCAGTATCCCAGGACCTGGTCTGCCAGGCACACAGCCAATGTGTGTTTCTTTGCCAGCTGAAAAACAGCAGGCAGCAGCCACAGCTAATGTTTTTGAGCATTTCCTTCTTGTCTGTCTCTCTCCTCAAAGCCTAACAGACAGTGTCAGGGGCACGTTGTACAAAATCATGAACTGAAGCATTTTCTCAAAAGCTCCTCTCATCTAATGCATTTAGATATTGCACAAGGGAAAAGATGCAGACACCAGCCTCACACTCCCTGCTTTCTCTAACTGGGGACATCTCCTACAGGTGACATTTGAAATTCAGTCTCTCTTGGTGCCACCTCAGGATTTAACCCCAGCCTGAGTCCCCCTCCCCATCGTCTCCTTTCAAAACCTGGATCACCTAGGAGATGAACTTTCAGTTTTCTGGAATGGATCAGGGAGGTGAGCCACTGCATCAGGGGAGGGTGTTGACATGACTATGTGCCTTCTCTTTTCTGGTGGAGCCCTTTGTAGCAGAAAATAATATTTACTATGGAAACAACATAAATGAGTCTTGGATGAGGACTCTAGGTTTGCATTGTTAAGATAATAGGCTGAAATTTTTGCACTATTTTTTGATAGTTCTAAATAGTCCAGGCATTTAATATGCATTGAAGTAAGCAGGTCACAGCCTGTGGCTTAGAAATAATAGAGCCAATTTGTACTCCTACCAGCAGTGTAAAAGCGTTCCTATTTCTCCACATCCTCTCCAGCATCTGTTGTTTCCTGACTTTCTAATGATCACCATTCTAATTGGTGTGAGATGGTATCTCATTGTGGTTTTGATTTGCATTTCTCTAATGACCAGTGATGATGAGCTTTTTTTCATATGTTTGTTGGCTGCATAAATGTCTTCTTTTGAGATGTGTCTGTTCATATCCTTTGCCCACTTTTTGATGGGGTTGTTCATTTTTCTCTTGTAAATTTAAGTTCCTTGTAGATTCTGGATATTAGCCCTTTGTCAGATGGGTAGATTGCAAAACATTTTTTCCCATTCTGTAGGTTGCCTGTTCACTCTGATGATAGTTTCTTTTGCTGTGCAGAAGCTCTTTAGTTTAATTAGATCCCATTTGTCAAACCTGCATGTTCTGCACATGTATCCCAGAACTTAAAGTATAATTAAAAAAAAAAAAGAAATAATAGCACCATTCCATGACTCGTGTTGCATGGGGCCATCATCGCTTCGGCCTCTCTGTGCAGCACTTCAGACTTTGGGAATGTGTGTCTAGCATTGATGCTGAGCGTGGATTCAATCAGAAAGACCTATGTTCAAACACTGGCGTTTGTTTGTGTGACCCAGGCAGGTTAACGCTCTTAGCCCTAATTTCCTCAGCTGTAAACCAGGCAATAATGACAGTCCCTATTGTATAGAGTTCTGAAAATTAAATATGCTCAGTGCCTGACAAAAAGTAAATCTTCAACAAATGTCAGTTCTTATTATTAAGGTTTTTACCGCATCCTTGCTCAATGATTTGGAGCTTCTGTGTTATTCTCTGCAGAGGAAAATTGGCTTTGTGCTTGATTAAAACCTATCTTGGTTACCCCAATGTCCTGATGCTGTTCAGATGGTAAATAGTCTTCCCAGGAACAGGTAGCTCTTTAATTCTAGAGAGAAGAAAAGGAGGCTGGAGGGTTCTGAGTTTCTCCAGGGGTGTGCGGGGTTGACTGGGTGTAGGAATCATCATTGACCACTTTGTTTTCCAAGAAGGCCCACAAAGGGCTCTACAGTTAATGTTTTATCAGAGATCAATAGGGAGTCTCCTCCATTGTACATTCAGTGAACACTTGCAAAGGAAATGGATGAATGAAAGAATGAACAAATGAATAATTTCCTTCTTGGTTTTCTCTTGAAAGGAAATATATAGTCATCCCTCTGTATCCAAACAGGATTGTTTCTAGGACCTCCCACTCTCAACCCCATGGATACCAAAATCCACAGATGTTCAAGTCCCCGTTTGCATACACCCTATGCACATACTCCGTTATACTTTAAATCATCTCTGGACTACGTATAATACCTAACGCTATGTAAATAGTTGTTGTGTTACATTGTTTAGGGAATAATGATGAGAAAAAAGCCTGTACATGTTCAGTACAGATGCAACCATCTTTTTTTTTTTTTTGTAATATTTCTTATTCACAGTTGGTTGAATCCAGGGATGCTGATTCCAGATTTGGAGGGCCAACTGCACTCCATGGTTAGCACATATGCAGAGAGCTGCATGAAGCTGGGTCTAGATCTCAGCCCTATCATTGACCTTGGGCATATTGCATGGCCCCTTTGTACCTTCCCACCTTCATTTGTCCACCTGGCGTCACACCCAACTCACAAGGATGGTGGGGTTAAATGAACCATTAATGCCAGGCACTCAGCACAGGGCTTGGTGTGTTCATAACAAGCATTACCAGCAGCAGCTGTGTCATCATGATCAGTTTTCTCTGCCTCACCTCTCTCCACCTGAAGCAGCTCTTGGATGGGAAAGGTAGAGATGGTGGTCAGAGCCAGCCTTGGTGCCATTGTGAGTTTCAAATAGTGGTGCCCCATAATTCCACATATGTCTGTTGGCCGAATGTATTTAAATGAAGTATCTATTTATGCTGAAGTCTATATTTGAGTATCTGTGTGTATCTGCCCTACAGAACCCTCATCCCTTCTGTACGGAGTCGTATGTATTTAGATCCGTTTTCTTCCTTACCATGCCCCTTACTGTTGAGTACTTTTCATGCTGGTGGAGATGGTTTAAATTCTTGAAGATTTTGAGTGAGTGAAGGGCATCCAATTGTTTTTCTCCTCTATCGCATTTCCCACTGGGGAAAGAAAGGCTGAATGAATACCTTTTTAAGCTTTCCCCAAATAAGTCATTTCTAGGCTCTAAGATAGCAGGAGAAATGTCAGCACAAATGCTAATTAAGAAATAAGTAACATCGCAGACCAAAAAAAGAAACAGAAAACTAATCCTCCCTATTGGTGGTGGAAGTGTAGGTTCTCCCCATCAGACACCAGTCCAAGAAAAGAAATAGGGTAGAAATGATGTGTTTATATTGTAAGGAAGCTGTGGGTCAGGCTTTTACACATCTGATATCTGTGCGCTGGTATCATAAGTTGTGGGAACGAGAGACATAACCTGTGTTCTTTCTGGTAACCAGTTGTTGTGGTCTCTGGGAGGGGGCTCTGAGGGTGCTCTGGGAACCATCTTCCTGTCATTTTCAGAGGCTTTGAAATGGGAAATGCACTGTGTGATGTGATGCTGTTTTAACATTGCCCAGGGTTTGAATGATGAATGTTTACAAGTGCAGGAGGCTCTGCAGAAGCCACCAAGCTGTGTACCTATCAGTTGCCTGGTTTATCATTGCACAGAATCTGGGTTCTTTGGAGGAAGAGGCCAATGGAAGCCAAGGTTCTTAACTTCATTTTGGCCGATTCAATGATGTTATAAACCTGAGGCAGGGTCACATCTAGGAGATATACGTCGGTCCCCAGACTTGAGTGAGTTATCAGAGAACAAAGCTTGGCAGGACTCAATTTGGCTTGAATGGAGAAGACTGGGCTGGACTTTTGGGAAGCTGCAGGATTGGCTGTGCCAGAGAGTAAAGAGGAGGATGTACCAGTGGGAAATAGCTCATGAAACACACAGGGAGGGGAGGGGAGAGAGCTTGGCACCTGGCAAGTCTGCCGCAAGAGCGGCGCTATCCAAGGGAAATGTAACGTGAGCCACATATATACCTTATTCTCCCGTGTTGTTTTTATTCCTTGTTTTCTAAGTGGAGCTTTTCTGATGTGCAGACATCCTTGGTCTAGTTTGTGTTTGACCAGCTCTTGGGGACACCTTGACCAGCTCTTGGGGACACCTTGACCAGCTGTCATGTGTGATTTTAGGGCTTTCACCTTTGCAAAGGGCTATACCAGCTGCCCAGTCTTCCTGGAGCTCCAGAGTTATTTTAACTGATGACTTTTCAGAAATGCAGGAAGGATGTAGGTCACCTGATACTCAGGAAGCCATGTGAGGCTTGGCAATTGGATGCTTGGAGCCAATCCTTTGTCACTCACGGAGCTTTTGTGGGAATGTGGCATTATTTAATTGAGCTAACAAAGCTCATTACCAGAAAGATCTGGGGAAGGACTGGCCAAGGACAGGTAAGATGAAGCCTCACCAGGAAAGAGAAGCAAGGAAATCATAACAGAATAAAACCAAAATGAAACACAGTACCTGCCTTCATTCTGAACTAACTCGTTCCTGACCTGCAGCCTAACCTGGAGCCCTGGTCCCTGTGCTCTGCCAGAGGAAGCCTGTGAGCTAGGACAGAGCAGATGCTGCCTCTGATTCCAATGCCAACACCCGTGACAAGCATGGACACTGAGCAGCCTGCACACGCATGAATCCAAAATCTGGCTCTGGCCCGACGGACAGTCAAGGAAAGAAAGAAGTCACAACATAATTTAATACTCGATAAGTACAGGGATACCCTGCTTTATTGCACTTTGTAGATATTGCATGTTTTATGAAGGCTGGTTTTGTGGCAACCCTGCATCAAGCAAGTCTATTGATGAGCACCATTTTTCCAACAGCATATGCTCATTTTGCACCACACTTGGCACTTGGTAATTCTCACAGTATTTCAAGCCTTTTCATTATTATATCTGTTATGGTGATCTGTAATCAGTGATCTTTGAAGTCACTGTTATAATTGTTTTGGAGGCACCACAAACTGCACCCGTATAAGATGGCGAACTTAATATACGTAGTGTGTGTTCTGATTGTTCCACACACTGGCCATTCCCCCATCTCTTTCCTTCTCCTCAGACCTCCTTATTTCCTGAGACAAAGGAATAGTAAAACTAGGCCAATTAATAACCCTACAATGGTCTCTAAATGCTCAAATAAAAGGAAGAGTCCCCCATTTCTCACTTTAAATCAAAGCTAGAAATGATTAAGCTTAGTGAGTAAGGCATGTCTAAAACTGAGATAGGCTGAAAGTGAGGCCTCTTGCACCAAATGGTTAGCTAAATTGTAAATGCAAAAAAAAAGTTGTTGAAGGAAATTTAAAGTGCTACTTCAGTGAACACATAAATGATAAGAAAATGAAAGAGCCTTATTGCTGATGTGGAGAAAGGTTTAGTGACCTGGATAGAAGATCAAACAAGGCAAAATATTCCCTTAAGCCAAAGCCTAATCCAGAGGAAGGCCCCAATTCTCTTTAATTCTAGAGTTAGAAGCCTGAAGGAGGTAAGGAAGCTGCAGAAGAAAAGTTGGAGGCTAGCAAATGTTGGTTCTTGAGGATTAAGGAAAGAAGCCATCTTCATAACATAAAAGTGCAAGGTGAGGTAGCAAGTGCTGATGTAGAAGCTGCAGCAAATTATCCAAAAGATCTAGCTAGGATTATTGATGAAGGTGGCAGTTCTAGACAACAGATTTTCAGTGTAGACAAAACAGCCTTCCATTGTAAGAAGATGCCATCTAGGACCTTCTTAGCTAGAGAGGAGAAGTCAATGCCCGGCTTCAAAGCTTCAAAGGACAGGCTGACTCTCTTGTTAGGAACTAATGCAGGTGGTGACTTTAAGTTGAAGCCAACACTCATTTACTATTTCCAAAGTCCCAGGGCAGTTAAGAACTCTGCTAAATCAACTCTGCCTGTGCTCTGTAAATGGAACAACGACACCTGGACGGCTGCATATCTGGTTTACACCATGGTTAACTGAATATTTTAAACCCACTGTTGAGACCTACTGCTTAGAAAAAAAAAAAGTTCTTTCAAAATATTACCACTCATTGACAGTGAACCCAGTCACCCAAGAGCTCTCATAGGGAGTAACAAGGAGATTAATGTTTTCATGCCTGCTAATACAACCATCATTCTTTTTTCTTCTTTCCAGCTTTTAGGTTCAAGGGGTACATGTGCAGGTTTATTACATGGGTAAATTGCATGTCACAGGGGTTTGGTGTACAGATAATTTTGTCACCCAGGTAATCATCAGAATAGCCAATAGGTAGTTTTTTAATCCTTACCCTCCTCCCACCCTCTTCCTTCAAGTAGGCCCTGGTATCTATTGTTCCCTTCTTTGTGTCAATGTGTGCTCAATGTTTAGCTCCCACTTATAAGTGAGAACATGCAGTATTTGGTTTTCTGTTCCTGAATTAAATTGCTTAGGATGATGGCCTCTAGCTACATCCATGTTGCTGCTAAAGACATGATTTCATTCTTTTTTATGGCTGCATAGTATTCCATGGTGTAAATGTACCACATTTTGTTTATCCATTCTACCACTGATGGGCACCTGGGTTAGTGCCATGTCTTTGCTATTGTGAACAGTGCTATGATGAATGTATGTGTGCATGTGTCTTTATGGTAGAATGATTTATATTCCTTTGGGTATATACTCAGTAATGGGATTGCTGGGTTGAATGATAATTCTAAGTTATTTGAGAAATCTCCACACTGCTTTCCACAGTGGCTGAACTAATTTACATTCCCACCAACAGTGTATGTATTCCCTTTTTTCTACAACCTTGCCAGTATCTGTTATTGTTTGACTTTTAAGAACAGCCATTCTGACTGCTATGAGATGGTATCTCATTGTGGTTTTGATTTGCATTTCCCTAATGATTATTGATATTGGGCATTTTTTTTCATATGCTTGTTAGCCATGTGTATTCTTCTTTTGAGAAGTGTCTGTTCATATCCTTTGCCCACTTTTTTTGCTTATTAATTTGTTTAAGTACCTTATAGATTCTGGTTATTAGATATTTGTTGGATGCATAGTTTGCAAATATTTTTTCCCCATTCTGTAGGTTGCCTGTTTTCCCTGTTGATGGTTTCCTTTGCTGTGCAGAAACTCTTTAGTTTAATTAGGTCCTACTTGTTAATTTTTTGTTGTTGTTGTTGCAATTGCTTTTAGAATCTTCATCATGAAGTTTTTATCAGGGTTGATGACCAGAATTGTATTTAATAGGTTTTCTTGTAGGGTTTTTATAGTTTTCAATTTTACATTTAAGTCTTTAATCCATCATGAGTTGATTTTGATATATAGTGAAAGGTAGGACTCTAGTTTCAATCTTCTGCATATGACTAACCAGTTATCCCAGCATCATTTATTGAATAAGGAGTCCTTTCCCCAGTGCTTGTTGTTATCAACTTTGTTGAAGATCAGATGGTTATAAGTGTGGGGCTTTATTTCTGGGCGGTCTAACCTGTTTCATTGGTCTATGTATCTGTTTCTTTACTAGTAGCATGCTGCTTTAGTTACTGCAGCCTTGTAGTATAGTTTGAAGTTGAGTAGTGTGATGCCTCCAGCTTTGTTCTTTTTGCTTAGGATCGGTCTGGCTATTTGGGCTCTTTTTTGGTTCCAAATGAATTTTAGAATAGTTTTTTCCTAATTCTGTGAAAAAAGCATCGTTGGTAGTGTGATAGGAATAGAATTGAGTCAGTAAATTGCTTTAGGCAGAATGGCCGTTTTAACAATATTGATTGTTTCTATCGATGAGCATGGAATGCTTTTCCATTTGTTTGTGTCATCTTTGATTTCTTTCAGCAGTGTTTTGTGATGCTCATTGTAGAAATCTTTCACCTCTCTGATTGGCTAGGTATCAGAAATAAAATACATAGGTATTTTATTCTTTTTATGGCCATTGTAAATGGGATTGTGTCCTCGATTTAGCTCTCAGCTTGGATGTTATTGGCGTATATAAATGCTACTGGCTTTTGGACATTGCTTTTGTATCCTGAAACTTTGCTGAAGTTTTAAAATCAGATTTAGGAGCCTTTGGGCAGAGACTATGGGGTTTTCTGGGTATAGAATTATATTGTCTCCAAAGAGAGATAGTTTGACTTTCTCTCTTCCTATTTGGATGCCTTTTATTTCTTTCTCTTGTCTGATTGCTCTGGCCAGAAGTTCCAGCACTATGTTGAATAGGAGTGGTGAAAGTGGACATCTTTGTCTTGTTCCAATTCTTGATAAGAATGTTTCCAGCTTTTGCCCATTCAGTACAATGTTGGCTGTTATTATTTTTTATTCCATTTTGTATGTCGTCTGTTTACTCTGTTGATAGTTTCTTTTGCTACAACATCATTCTTTCTTATAATGTTTGCCCATGTTATTTTGAGGTATGTTCCTTCAATGCCTAGTTTGCAAAACCACCATTCTGCAGCCCACGGATCAAGAAATAATTTCAACTTTCAAGTCTTATTGTTTAAGAAATGCATTAGGCTGGCCGGGTGTGGTGGCTCTCGCCTGTAATCCCAGCACTTTGAGAGGCTCAGGTGGGTGGATCACGAGGTCAGGAGATCGAGACCATCCTGGCCAACATGCTGAAACCCCGTCTCTACTAAATATACAAAAAATTAGCCGGGCATGGTGGCGGGTGACTGTAGTCCCAGCTACTTGGGAGACTGGGGCAAGAGAATGGCGTGAACCTGGGAGGCAGAGCTTTCAGTGAGCCGAGATGGTGCCACTGCACTCCAGCCTGGGCAACAGAGTGAGACTCCGTCTCAAAAAAAAAAAAAAAAAAAGAAAAAAAGAAAAGCATTAGGTAAGGCCACAGCTGTCATAGATAGTGATTCCTCTGATGTATCTGGGCCAAGTAAATTGAAAACCTTCTGGAAGGGATTAACCATTTTAGATGCCATTAAGAACATTTGCGATTCATGAAAGGTGGTCAAGATATTGATATTCTCAGAAGTTTGGAAGAAGTTGGTTCCAACCCTCACAAATGACTTTGAAAGGTTTAACACTTCAGTGGAAGAAGTCACCGCACATGTGGTGGAAACAGCAAGAGAACTAGAATTAGAAGTGGTGCCTCAAGATGTGACTGAATTGCCGCAATCTCATGATCAAACTTGAATGGATGAGGAGTTGCTTCTTATGGATGAGCAAAGAAAATGGCTTCTTGAAATGGATTCTACTCCTGGTGAAGATGCTGTGAACGTTGTTGAAGTGACAACAAAGGACTTAGAATATTACATAAATGTAGTTGATAAAGCAGCAGCAGGGTTTGAGAGGACTGACTCCAATTTGAAAGAAGTTCTACTGTGGGTATAATGCTGTCAAACAGCATCACATTCTATGGAGAAGTCTTTTGTGAAAGGAAAAGTCAATCAATATGACAAAGTTCACTGTTGTCTTATTTTGAGAAATTGCCACAGCCACCCCAGCCTTCAGCAATCATCAACATCAAAGCAAGACCCTCCATTAGCAACAAGATTATGGCTCGCTGAAGGCTCAGATGATCATTAGCATTTTTTAGAAATAAAGTATTTTTAAATTAAGGTATGTACATTTTTTTAAGACATAATGCTATTGCATGCTTAATAGACTATAGAACACTATAAACATAATGTTTGTATGCATTGGAAAACCAAAATATTAGTGTAACTAGCCATATTCTGATATTTGCTTTATTGCGGTTATCTAGAACCAAACCTGAAATATTTCTGAGGTATGTTTGCAACATTCTCAAAAAATGCAAACCTTAAACCCTGAATTTGAGTTACAGAAAGCCAGAGACACATATATACTTACATATGTACATTTATTCAGATTTATCGAAGACCGAGTTATTCTGCATAAAGTTCCAAGTGGCATTAAATTTCATTTAGAAATAAGAATTTTTGAAACAAATGTTTATAAGCCATATCATAATTTTCCTTCTCTTTTTAAAAAACATTTTCTGAAAACAACTTGACCTTTTGCTTAGTGACTTAGCATTTTTTTTTCCCAGGAGAGGTGCCCGATGAGCTCCCAGTCATGTGGTTCAGGGCGGGCTCTGGAAGACTCACAGAGGAGACTCCTCCGAGAAACCAAGAAGGTTTCTGTCCAAGTCGGGATCTGCTCTGCTCAGGATGCTCCTCCAACACACACAGTGAAAAACTGAGCACCTAGAGAGCAACACCAAAAACCCATGGCCAATAATGGAGAGCCAAATCAGGTGACAAGTTACCCCCAGACCCTAAAATGCACGCGGTGGTGATAGGGCACCAACAACCACAGAGTCCCTGGAATTGACATCCATGAGGGAGGAGATGGGGGGAAGTAATGAGGCAGAGCCCAGCCACCTAAGGCAGGAGACCCCAAATCGGCTAACCAGAGAGGGCGGCTGGTGGATTGAGAACAGCAACTGTAATATGCTGAGTGAGTCCATGACCCTGCCTGAGATGAACCCAGGCTACGCATGGTTCCTACCATCAGGTCACATCATACTGGGTGACATGCAGGCACTTTGACCATCCTAATAGTCCAAGGGGCAGTGGAGCCATTAGAATCAGCTCGGCCTCCAGGCATGCCTTCATCCCTGGGTCAGTGTGAAGGTGCGGAAGCTGTGGTTTTGCAGAGGAGATCACTTAAGAAGGCCCGGGCCTCACCTAAACTCTTTAATTGAGGGCCTCTGGGGCGGAGTCCCAGGCCTGCTGATTTCTTCATGCTCCCAGGCTAAGTCCAGAAGTAGTTAAAGTTGAGGACCACTTCGGTGAGGGAGAAAAAAAAGCATACTTTTTGAGGACTCTTCCCAAATAAGATTCCTTTTTCCTCTGGTTTGTTACTATTTGTTAGCATCTGTGAGTGAAAGGGATGTGAGGGTTTGATTTGGCCTAAATTCCCCTCTAGAAAATTCCCTTTGGGAAGAAAAAAGGCTCTGATCACCAACCAAAGGCCATATATTCTAGTCTCGGCCCCCACCACTTGCTGGGGTCCTCTGGGGAGCTGTGGAAAGTTCTGGCATCCTGCCGCACCTCAAGGCTCTGCTGTGGTCATCTTGGGTTCTAGATGCCCCCGAGGGTGGTAATGTACAGTTAGGGCACCCTGGACTCCACGCAGCCTCAGTAAGCCTTTGCAGGGCAGGACACTCTTGTCCCTGTGTGCAAGTCATTGCTTCATGTAATTTGCGTAAATACAGGCTCTTTTCTACCCAAGATTAATCTTTTTAATTAGTTAAGCTGCTATGTTATAGGAAACAAACATTGACCCTTAAGTACATAATTGGCACAATTGAAACAATTAAATTATTTTCCCCAGGAGAGCATTCAGCAAAGCAATTCTTGCTGTAGAAGGAACAGCACAAAAAGCTGGAAGGAAACTGAGGCATGCGTGAAAGATAACTTGTCAGTGTTTGCAGTCTACTGAGATCCCCGCTGCAAGAAAAGGCAGGATTTCCACTTGCTTCTTGGCCCGCCTCTGTTGTCCAGAATCCAGGACAGGTGACAAGAGAAGCAGATGTGATCTGCACAAGCTGGCTCAGCTGGGTTGGGAGTTGCTCTTCCTGGACAGGCCGGGAAGGGTGCTGGAGGGGAGGGAGGAGGAGAGAGGTTTTAGGGGAGGGGTGCTGAGCAGTCAGGGACCTGTAAGGTCACATTTCTTTCAGGTATTCTTTCTAGGTGTACTGAATGGGAACATTGTCTGTCATCCCTAGACTGCATTAAAGACCTAAACTGCTTCCATTTATCTTTGGTTGTTGGACTGAAGTTTCTAATGTACCTGGTGACACAGAGCACAGCTCTGTGTTTTTATGGGTTGCTTAGTTCAAGATCTGGATGAAAGAAGCCTGAACCCATTTTTGTGCAAAAGCCTAAGGGTGTACAGCAGGGATGCTCAAACTTTTGTTTTTATAAGAACCCACTTTTATATTAAGTAGGTTTTCTGTGTGTGAGAAGAAATGCTTGAACATGGAAATGAAAAGTTCTAACTGTAGGATGGAGTTTACAGTGAGTATGAACCTCCCTCCCCACCTCCAATCCCAGGGCCCCTTCCATCTGTACTCACACCTGTAATCCCAGCCCTTTGGGAGGCCGAGGCGGGTGGATCACTTGAGGTCAGGAGTTCATGACCAGCCTGGCCAGCATGGTGAAACCCTATCTCTACCAAAAACACAAAAATTAGCCAGGTGTGGTGGCACATGCCTGTAATCCCAGCTACCTGGGAGGCTGAGGCAGGGGAATCGCTTGAACCTGGGAGGTAGAGGTTACAGTGAGCCGAGATTGCACCACTGCACTCCAACCTGGGCGACAGAGAGAGACTCCGTCGCAAAACAAACAAACAAACAAACAAACAAACAAACTTGTGAAAGAATGAAAAGCTTTTCCAATTATCAGAAAGGAAAGACACCTACAACCCATAATATTGTCGACTCTCTACTGAAGCAGGCATTCACAGAGGCTATGAGTGGAGTATAAATTATTGCCATCTCTTTGGGGGAAGATGAGACACTATCTAAAAAAAATTTAAAAGAAATATGTCACTTCCTGGAACTTATCCAACAGATCTACTTACATAGTTCTTAGGAGAAAAGGCTCATGGCATGTGGGCTCATAGTTGCATAGGCAAGGGGGCTTTCCCCAAGGCCATCTTTGTGCCCCCAGTGGCTTAGTGTGTTACCTTCCTTGTAATTTGCATTTCATAATTATTCATTCTAGCAAAATTCCTTTCATTTTGCCACTTTCTAGTTGTTTGGCCTTGGAAGATCATTGAGTTTTTCTTCATCTCAGTTTTCTCATTGGAAAATTGAAGTGTGCACTATTTGCTGTCTAAGACTACTCTGGTTACCATGACTCCATGATAAATTACCCCAAAATATGGTGGCATGCAACAATTGTTTTTTATGTGCATGAATTCAGTGGGTTGGGAATTCAGACGGGAATTCAACTGAAAGACACTGAGGCTGGGGGCTTGCATACCCTCTAGCCTTACTCATGTTATGTGTCTGGTGATTGGAGCTGGCTGTTGGCTTGGGGGCCTCAGTTCTTCCCCGTGCTGTCACTCGATGTCAGCTAGCTGGGGTTCCAGCAAGCATCCATGAGAGACAGAAAACCAGGTGTAAACTCTATGGCTTTTCCACAACTCCCCATTTAGCTTTGGAAGTTATACAGTATCATCCCCACTGCATTCTGTTAGTTAAGATACTTATAAAGTTCTGCCCAGGCTCGAGGGAGAGGTACAGCAGTGTACTAGGGCTGCCATGACAAAGTACTATAGACTGGATGGCTTAAACAACAGAAATTAATTTTCTTACAGTTTTGAGAGTAGAAGTCTGAGATAAAGGTGTCAACAGGGTTGGTTTCTCCTGAAGCCTGTCTCCTTGGCTTGTGGATGCTGTCTTCTCCCTGTGTCTTCATGTGGTCATCCCTCTGTGTCTGTCTGTGTTCTAATCTCCTCTTGTAATAAGGACACTGTCATATTGGGTTAGGGCCTACCTTAAGGACCATATTTAGCCTTACTTATCTCTTTAGAGACCCTGTCTCCAAAGGCAGTCACATTCTGAGATACTGGGGGTTAGGGCTTCAACATATGAATTTTGGGGGAATACAATTCAGCTCATAACAGGAGGGAACATAGATCCCACCTCTTGAGAGAAGGTTAGCATCACACGATACAGAGAGCTTGTGGGATGGCTCATACCAACATCATTGTCTTTGGAAAATAAAATCAGCCAACATGACCTACAACACCATCCTGATACAATTTAAATGACATAGATGAAGGTGATTAATAATGACAGCATCATACTGGTGTAATGTACGTGCAGTAACTTACTGGCCTCAAGGATAGGCCTCTGGTTGAAGTGCCCACATGCCCGGGATACATCTCATCACCTAGGTGGATGATCTGAGCATCTACTGTGTGTAAAGATACACATGGCTGGGATTTTGAACATGAATAGACGTGACCCTTTGAATTAACCTTGAAAACAACTTGTGACTCTAATGAGGTTTTTTTGTTCCTATCTCCCATGACATAGGGCTCAACTCTAAGCTTTCAGAAAGCATCTCTTGAAAATAAAATCTTGGATGTTGTAGCAAGTGCTGTGTACATGCTCTTCAGCTCCTAGCCCCATCCTACTACTGTGAAAGTGCATGCCTGTAAACTGCCACCCTCCAGCATCTTTTTCTGGCCATTAGAGCCTGATTTTCCTGAAGATTCAGCAGGTTGGAATGCCAGAGAAGTAATGCCCTACCTGCACCCAGCAGTGTTCCACCAGTGGCTATGGGAGTGGCTCACACACTCCAGCTACCTTCCTTCATGGGACTGGAACCTGGAGTTCCCAAGAGGGATTAGGCTCTAGTTGTCCATGGGGCAGCTGTTTTACTGTCACCTTCCCTGTCCTGTCTCTCTTCCTGTCTCCACTCCCTACAGTGCTCCCAGAGATAACTTCCCAAATTTGCTGCCTGCCCTTGGATGTTATTTTAGGGTTGGCTTCTGAAGGAACATAAACGAAGACAGACAGATGTGCTGGGTAGCTATGTGTAAGATCACACTGAAACATAGCCAAGAACAAGGCACTCAGCCACTCCCAGGTTTAAAATCAAGTTTCCTACTTTGTCTCTCTGGTCTGAATCTGAGTGAAAGCCCAGGCTCCTGCGTCACCTGGGCCACCTAAGGATCTCCCTCCAGCCTCTGGGTGCTGAAGCTCCACCTGCCCTCACCACATCACAGGAAACCGCGAGCACATCCTCCTGCCTTCTCCAGCAGTCTCTTCAGTGAGCGCCTGCAGAACTGCATCTAGAGCACCGGGCCAATATTGTCACCTTCCCTGTCATGGCTTCCTTCCTGTCTCCACTCCCTACAGTACTCCTGAGAGCCGGGAGCACTCCCTGGAGCACTCCCTGATTCGTTTTATCTTCTGCACAACTGTTTGGCTGGAATAGGAAGCAAATGGCATGGAATTTGCATATGAAAAGCCATTCCCACCTGTGTCCTTGTGTCTGTAAGGATAGGAGGATCCAATCTTCTTATCTGGTAATTGGTCAACTGGGACTGAGGGTTAGTGGGAAACCTGTGTGCCCCTACAGGCAGGAGGGGGACGGGGTGACCCTCTCCGGTGGCTCTCAGTCTGCCAGTGTCCCTGGACTGTTTCCAAGCCCAGGGTTCATCTGGGACAACTGGGCAGGGGGCTATCGCTGCAGCCAGCCCCTTCCTGGGTGTACTGATGAATCAGGCTTCCCTGGGGCTCTGGGGAGGGTGATACCCCTTGCCCTCCCCTTCCAGAGCCTTGTGCACTCCAGGTGCTCACCCTGGAGCTGCCTCCCTCCAGTCTTCCAGACTCAGGCTTAGCTGCCTCTCAGCAGCATTTCCCTTTGCCCACAGAGGCCTCCTCTCCTCTCCCAGCTGAGTGTTCACCACTCTTTATTTTATTTTAAACTTTGTTTGGGTTAAAGTGTTTTCTTTCCTCCCTGACCGTTTTTCTCATCTTCTGCTGCCTTTTCCTTCCAGTTGCGGGTTCTTAGGTTCTGAGCCTGGGAAGCTCAACAGTCCATCTGGTGTTTGTAGATGGCCTCAGGGGACCTGACGCATGTCCACATGCCCTTTGGAGCTGAGGGGTGGATAGGACACCTGGGGGCACACAGTCCCCCACCCCGTGCTGCTGGGACAGGACACACTGACCCGAGGCCCCTTCCGGCTTCCTGTGTGGCTCCTGGCCTGGCCATGGGAGTTATGAAATCAGAACTGGTGACTGCCACATGCCTGGGGCCTCAGCCACAGCCAAAACCTAAACCAAATGAAGTCAAATCCCCACCTTAACCCATCTGGAAACAAAAACAGTCCCAAAGAAGAGAGAGACGTGAGCCATTTTGGACAGGTGTGTGATTCTGAAATTGAGGGAATGAGCAAGAAACAGAAATGCGCTCACCAGACCAGTTGCTGCATCCACTGGGCAGTCTGGAGCCGTGTGTGTGTGTGTGTGTGTGTGTGTGTGTGTGTGTGTGTGACGCTGACGAAGAGTTTTGAAACACTGAACTGACAGGGACTTAGAGGTGGAACTGTGTGACCAAATGCTTTTAAAAACGATTAAACTAACTTTACAGAATTCATCCTGAGGAGGGAGAAATGGGCCCTGTTGTAAGGCTCTGGATGTGGGAATTAAAATGCAGGTACTGGCTTGGCCCAAGAGCTGAATGCACTCTTAAGGAAACTGAATCTTTGCCACAGTCGGCAAGCTCAACAGCGATGATTAAACATTTAATCAGACACATGATACTTTGTTGTGTGTTCATTGTGGCTACAGGAAAGGGTGCTGTAACAGATCTTTAAATAGCAAACCCGCGGCTAAATTTCACTTCATCCATCAAAGGCTGCTGCTATGCAATGACCTAATTTTAGCAGCTTATCAATCCCCCAGTGCTTGTTAGTTGATGTAACTTTGATCCTCTGATGCTAGATGACTTTTGTGCTGAATATAGCTAGAATTTAATATGAATCACTTGGATGGCTGCCCAGCTGAGCTCAACTGTATGAGAGAGAGAGAGAGAGAGAGAGAGAGAGAGAGAGAGAGAGAAATAGAGGATTCGGGCTACCGAGGTGAATAATAATATACACATAGGCTTCCTTTTTTTTCTGGGGCAATCAACTCCATATCTCTAGGCATGTATTTCAAGCACAATACCCTTGGACTTTTGCTTTATTTCTCCCTCCTAAACAATGAGACTCTTCTCCCGGCAAACATACATAGGAGGTAATAATAAGCTGCTACTGCCAAGATCTGATGACAGTGTCAATAATTGCAAGACATTTTAAATGAATTTTTTCTAAGCAAATCATTGCCTTTTGCAGTGAGCGTTTATTTCTACATAGGAAGAGAGGAGCTGAGATGTTACGAAGGAGCAGAGAATATCTTTAACAGCCCTCCTCCTCTTTCATTTTCTAAATTATTAGATTGTGCTTTTTTGGCTTTCCTACTGTCTGGCTTCTCATCTGAATTTTGAGATTTCCTTCCATCCTTCTGGCTCTTTGGCAGAACCACCTGTGTCCCAGGCATCCTTCCTGGACGGATGTGGCTGTTGCCTCACTCTTCTCCATTTGCCCTCATTGACATTATTTCTACCCATAAAATAGGGTCCTGTGGTTTATGTTCTTCATTTTCTGAACCTGGCAGGAAAGCTTCCTAGACAGGAGGCCTGGGCAGACACTGAAACACACCGGACTCCTGGATGGGCCTGGCCCCGGACAGCTTGCTGGGGTCTTGCCCACCCTGTCACTCCACCACTTTCTCATCCAAGTTGGGAGAGTCTTTTCATTTCCTCTAATTTCTCCTTCCAGGATTTAACCACTGCCTGCTTAAAACCTCCTCCACTGCAGATTGGGGGTGGGGGGGTTGGGAGGAAATACAGCTTAATCTGACTTGGCCACTGGTTAGCAGCTTGGTAGAGGAGGAAACAGGACTCCCCATCTCAGGGAAGTCTGTGGATCTCAGGGTATTTCATCTCCCTGGGATTCCTGTGCTATTATCTAGGGTGTCCTTTGAAGAAGCTGTCATGGTACAGGAGGCCTTTTCAATGGATATAAGATGCCTTAAGATCCTGAGAAGAAAGATTCCTTTAAAAAGAGATAATAAGCTTCTGTAATAAAATGTCCCAAATGAAATTTACTTTAAATACACACACTGTTCAAACTAGCTTCTAGGTAGCTTGAGAAATGGCAGTGCCACAGCAGCGGTCCCCAACCTTTTTGGCGCCTGGGACCGGTTTTGTGGAAAACAGTTTTTCCATGGATGGGGGTAGGGGAAATGGTTTTGGGATGAAACTGTTCCACCTCAGATCATCAGGCATTAGTTAGATGATTCTCATAAGGAGTGCACAACCTAGATCCCGCTCATGCTCAGTTCACAGTAGGGTTTGTGCTCCTATGAAAATCTAATGCCACCACTGATCTGACAGGAGGCAGAGCTCATGCGGTAATGCTCACTCACCCGCCACTCACCTCTTGCTGTGTGGCCCAGCCCCCAACAAACCATGGGCCGATAGTGGTTCATGGTCCAGGGACTGGGGACCCCTAATCAATGGGACATTGTGGCTAGAGAGGAACAGAACATTCTATTTTACACTCTAACATTTCAGTAATAACAAAATACTATTTCTACAGACCAGCCCTGTCAACACCTTCATCTTGTTTCACATTTGTGAAGGTCGGGGAGGCATCTGGAGCTTCTTGATGTGTCAGCTCGGAATGCTGCCTGTGGGCTGGGTCGGCTTCAGGCCTGCAGGTCAAGGTAAGGGTGCATCTGTGAGTGCCTGTAGAGCCAGCTCATTCTGAGATTCTGTCCTGGGAAAATCCCGCAGTGGGAGAGTTGGGGAGGGGCAAGGAGGGTCACTTGAGATTCACAGGAGAGGATCTCCGATGTTCATGCCATCCAATGCTCAGACTCATTGGTCATGGTTCAGCTATAACTGTAACGGGGCCAGGTGCTTTGCCTTCTACCCACCAGAACAGATAAGGTGGAACACAGTTTGAGAGGCAGATGAGAAACTCCCTACAGTGAGTATGAAATAATGATGCAAGCACCATAATAATTCAAAGAAACACTTATAGAATGCTTACTGTACCCTCAGGTGCTCTCTAAGTGCTGTCTATAGATAATCTCATTTAATCCAATTCCCTTAGAAGGTAAGTACAGTCATCTCTCAGTATCCATGGGAGACTGGTTCTGGTACCCACTGCAGATACCAAAATCCACGGACGCTCAAATCTCATATAAAGTGGTGTGATATTTGCATATGACCTATGCATAGCCTCCTGTATATGTTAAATCATCTCTAGATTACTTATGACATCTAATACAGTGTAAATGCAATGTGTGTTGTACTGTATTGTTTACATACATTACATACAGTGGCAAAAAAAAAAGTCTGTACATGTTCAGTGCAGACTCAATCATTTATTTTTTTCCCCCAAATATCTTCTATCTGAGGTTGGTTGAATTCATGGATGCGGAACCTGTAGATATGGAGGGCCAACTGTATTATTGTTTCTACTTTATAGAAGAGTAATTGGAGGCCCAGTGAGGTCAGGTAATGTACCCTAGGTCACACAGCTAGGAACTAGAAGAGTCAGGATTCAAACTTAGGCAAAGTCCAGAATTTGTGCTTTGGGACCACTAGGCTATACGGTCTCTAATTGACTAGCAATCTCCAACAAATGTTTTTTGACTCCTCCAAAAATGACCTGCTACACCTCAGTGAAAGCAGCCAATGGCAGGCTCTGTGTTAAAGCCCTGGTCAGTAGTTGCTGTTGGCTATGAGGGTGGCATTGTGCTCTGGTGCCTGATGGCCCCAGATGTGTTGAAATCCAGGCTGAATCGTGGCCCTGGTACGAATCAGAGGTTTCAGTCTGAAGGTAGTTTTAGTCCATGGGTTTGAGCTGAGAGTCTGTGTCTGGGCAGTGCCAGCACTGATATTGACAATACTGTTGTATCTGGCTTAAGTTGGTCATCCCAGTGACATTCCTCAGGATTGGCTTGGATTTGTGGGGGAAAAGGGCACCAGTGGGGGAGAGGTTTTCTGCTACGTTGAAGGGACCACAGCCTGGAATCATGTGGGAGACACTGGAGTAATCCATCTCCAAAGCAGGATAGGCAGACCCCAGCACCACAGAGCTCAGCTCACAGAGCAGCCCAAGGCAGGGGAAGGCTCTCCAGGTTGCAGACTTCACTTTTTGGTGGTTAGCAAAGGATAATAGGACCCTTAAAAGATCCTAAAACATAGAACAGAGACGAAGAGTTCATGAACGGAAAATGATCAAATGCCTGGAATGAAGCCTATAAAAGGAAGGAGTATTGAGAACATCTCAGAGGAAGCCAAAGCAGGTGAATGCAAATTGGAAGAGAGGTCAAGGGGTGAGAGCAGAGGGAGGGAACTGCCTGTGATGTACTGAACTGTGTCCCCCCTAAAATTCATATGGTGGACCCCCAACTCCCAGTACCTCAGAATGTGACTGTGTTTGGAGATAGGGCCTTGAAAGAGGTGATTAAAGTGAAATGAGGTCATAGGGTGGCCCTAGCTCAATCTGACTGGTCTCCTTCTAAGAAGAGGAGATGAGGACACAGGCACAGAAGAAAGGCCATGTGTGGACATAGGGAGAAGATGCTATCTACAAGGCAAGGAGAGACCAACCCTGATGACAACTTGATCTCAGACTTCCAGCTTCCAGAACTATGAAACGTTATATTTCTGTTGTTGAAGCCACACAGTCTGTGGCACCACAGCCACGCAGCTCCAGCTGATGAATATACCGCCCTTCTCACCTCTCCAGGGCCAGTTGGTGTCTTATGGAGCTGCCTTTAGGACTCACAGGTGTAAGCTGTGCTCCTAGAAAACTGCTATCGCCTTTTAAGAAGAGGGGCATTTGGCCCATTTCCACTCAAATGCATAAACACTGCAATCTCAAAGTGCTTGTTCATTGGTTCACTTGTTCACCAAGTTCCTCTAATGGCAACCCCAGTCCACACAATTTTCTGCCCCTTGCCAGCCCTGTTCTTACGACTCAAAGGTGTGTGCTGGTGGAGTACTGGCACAGGAGGCGAGGGGCGTGTGGCATCCTTTGGGATACCAGGAGGGAAACATCAGTAGCATCTGGGTAGAGTGGGCTTTTCCAGGGGTAAAGGAAGCCTGAGTGTGGTTCAGCCGGATGCAGGCTGTTTCTGAATGTTGGAGGAGAAGGTTTGTGGTCACTGCTGAAAAGGAGCAGGAAACGGCCATGCCGGTCCAGCATGAGCAACCGAGCTCCCCGTTCCGACTGGACATTGATCTTGTCCCTGTGGGCCATGCATGTGACTCGGGGGCAGGGCTGTGGGGCCTGGGCTCTGCAGGCATGCATGGGCACGTGGTCATAGAGACTAGACTCCACCTCTCTGTCTCTCATTCCACATGGGACTGAGGGTGGTAGAGGGGTCAGAATTGCCATTCTGAGTCGGGGACAGAGAGCCCACAGTTCCAGAGAGAGGGACACCGAGTATCAGCCAGCAAGCTGCAGCCATGACCCAGGGGCTCATATCTCACTGGCAGGAGTCTCAGCCCTGCAGCTGGCATAGCCAGGTGTGAAGTGGGGGGCTCCAGACAGGGCTCCCTGCCCTCTGGATTCAGGGCTGTTCCCAGCTACCTGAGCATGTCAGTTCTTCGGGCAGCCATTGCTGCCTGGAACCCAGAACTTCCTCCACAGTGAGCTGGGACCTATCCCCACCTGCTCCCCACTTGTGCGACACTCTTGAAGCTCACGAAGCAAGCATTTAAGGCAGTTTGGGTTAGAAAGGCTTACATCTCAAAAAATAATAGCTTCTCTGACACCTCACATGGGCCCAACTATTCAGAATTCCTTTTTTTTTTTTTTTTTCCATTTGGCTGGTTCTGTGTAGTTCTTCAAACCTTGGCATGCTTATTTCACTTGTTGGGATAGACAGACCAATAAGCTTGCTGATCCCACCACTGGGGACAGCAGCATCCACCAGGGACTGGCATATTCAGGTGAGCTCTCTTGATGGATTGATATCCACTGTATGTTTTTTGGTTTGAGGTTACCATGAGGCTTGCAAATACTATCTTATAATCCATTATTTTAACCTGATAACAACTTAACACTATTTGTATAAACAAACAAACAATCAAAAAGAAAACTAATAAAAACTCTACATCTTAACTTCATTCTCTCCACCATCCCCCCACTTTTTAAATTTTTATTGTTTCAATTTTACTAACTATGTCTTGAAAAGCTGTTGCAGTTATTTTTGGTTGGTTCATCTTTTAGTGGTTCCACTTAGGATATGAGTAGTTTATGCACCACAGTTACAGTGGTATAATATTTTGTGTTTTTCTGTGTATCTATTATGACCAGTGAGTTTTGTACCTTCAGGTGATTATTTATTGCTCATTAATGTTCTTTTCTTTCTGATTGAAGTACTCCCTGTAGCATTTCTTGTAGGACAGGTCTGGTGTTGATGAAATCCCTCAGCTTTTGTTTGTCTAGTAATGTCTTTATTTTTCCTTCATGTTTGAAGGATACTTTTTGCTGGATATACTATTATAGGGTAAAAGTTTTTTCCTTCTGCACTTTAAATAATGTCATGGCACTATCTCCTGGCCTGTAAGCTTTCCACTGAAAAGTCTGCTGCCAGGCCTATTGGAGCTCCATTGTATGTTATTTGTTTCTTTCCTCTTGCTGCTTTTAGGGTCCTTTCTTTATCCTTGAATTTTGGGAGTTTGATTATTAAATGCCTTGAGATAGTCTTCTTTGAAATCTGCTTGGTGTTAAATCTGCTTGGTGTTGTTCTACAGCCTTCTTGTACTTGGATATCGATATCTTTCTCTAGATTTGGGAAGTTCTCAGTTATTATCACTTTGAATAAACTTTCTATCCGTATCTCTTTCTCTCTCCTCTGCAAGGCCAATAACCTTAGATTTTCCCTTTTCAGGCTGTTTTCTGGATCCTGTAGGTGCGCTTCATTGTTTGTTATTCTGTTTTTGTTTTGTCTCCTCTGACTGTGTATTTTCAAATGGCCTGTCTTCAAGCTCTCTAGTTCTTTCTTCTGTTTGATCAGTTCTGCTATTAAAGGACTCTGAAGCATTCTTCAGTATGCCAGTTGCATTTTTCAGCTCCCAAATTTCTGTTTGATTCTTTTTAATTGTTTCAATCTCTTTGTTAAATTTATCTGATAGGATTCTGAATTCCTCCTCTGTTATCTTGAATTTCTTTGAGTTTTCCTCAACACAGCTATTTTGAATTCTCTGTCTGAAATATCACATATCTCTGTTTCTCCGGGATTGGTCCTTGGTGCTTTATTTAGTTCATTTAGCGAGGGCATGTTTTCCCGGATAGTGTTGATGCTAGCAGAGGTTCTTCAGTGTCTGGGCATTGAAGAGTTAGGTATTTATTGTAATCTTCACTGTCTGGGTTTATTTGTAGCTGTCCTTCTTGGGAAGGCTTTCCAGATACTTGAAAGGACTTGGGTATTGTGATCTAAGCTGTATCTGTTTTGGCGGATGCTCCAAGCCCAGTAGCACTGTGGTTCTTCCAAACCTGTAGAGGTACTGCCTTTATGGTTTTGGACAATATCCAGGATAATTCTCTGGATTACCAGGTAATCCTTCCCTTAATTTCTTCCAAACACACCATTTCTCTCTGTGTTGGGAGCCACCTGAAGCTGGGGCAGGGAATGACACAAGCATCTCTGTGGCCACCACTACTATGACTGTGCTGGGTCAGATCTGAGGCCAGGAAAGCACTGAGTCTCTCCCAAAGCCTGCTGTAACCACTCCCTGGCTACTGCCTATGTTCGCTCAAGGCCCTGTAGCTCTAAAATCAGCAGGTGGCAAAGCCAGCTAGGCATGTGTCCTTCCCTGTAGGGCAGCGAGGTCCCTCAGGCCCTGAGTGGGTCCAGAGGTGCTGTCTGGGAGTCAGGAAGTAGAGTCAAAAATCTTAGAAGTCTATCTAGTGTTCTGTTGTATTGCGGCCGATCTGGCACTCAAACCACCAGATGCAATCCTTCCCACTCCTCCCTCTTGTATTAGTCTGTTCTCCCACTGCTAATAAAGACATATCTGAGACTGGGTAATTGTTAAAGGAAAGAGTTTTAATGGACTCACAGTTCCACATGGCTGGGTAGGCCTCACAATCATGGTGGAAGGCAAAGGAGAAAAAAATATGTCTTATGTGGTGGGAGGCAAGAGAGCATGTGCAGAGGAATGGCCTTTTTATAAAACCATCAGATCTCATGAGACTTATTCACTATCACCAGCACAGCATGGGAAAAGACCTGCCCCCATGATTCAATGATCTCCCACCGGGTCCCTCCCACGACATGTGGGAATTATGGGAGCTACAATTCAAGATGAGATTTGAATAGGGACACAGCCAAACCATATCACCTCCCCTTTACAAAGTCAGAGGAGCTGTAGCTTGCTTAATGTTCCACAGAGCTGCCAATGACTGGCCAGATAGCTAGGGAGCCCCTCGCCCTACAGCCCCTGCCACTCCAGGCCACAAGAAATACTGCCAGATTGTCTCCAATGTTCCCTTAAGGTCCAAGGGCTCTTAAGTCAGCTTGTGGTGAATGTTGCCTGGCCTGGGACTCACCTTTTAGGGCAGTGGGCTCCCTTCTGGCCCAGGGCAGGTCCAGAAATGCCATCTAAGAGTCAAGGCCTGGAATCAAGGACTCTAAGAGCCTAATTGGTGCTCTACACCCCTGTGGCTGTGCGGTTACCTAAGGTGCAAGAAAGACAAAGTCCCCTTTACTTTTTCTTCTGCTTTTTTCAAGCAGGAGTTTTGCCCTGTAGCCACCACAGTTGGTAATGTGCTGAGTCTCACCTGAAGCCAGCAAATATCAGAGGCTCACCAAGGTGCTCAATGTAGTGCCTGGGTATTATTGCTGGTTATTCAGGGCCCAGGGTCTCTTCAGTTAGCAAGTGATGAATGCTGCCAGGACTTTTTTTTTTCTTCTTCTTCAAGGCAGTGGGCTCCCTTCTGGCCCAGGGTGTGTCTAGAAATGTCGTCTGGGAGCTAGGGCCCGGAACAGGGGCCTCACAACTCTGACTGGTGCCCTATCTTGATGTGGCTGGGATGGTATCCAAGATGCAAGGCAAAGTCCCCCCTACTTTCCCTCTCCTCTCCTCAAGTGGAAGGAAGGGGTCTCTTTTGGAGCCATGAGCTGTGTATCCCGGGGCTAAGGGTTGGGTGATGCTAGTACTCCCTTGGCTGCCCCAGCTGGTATCTCAGTATGTCTCGTCCCCAACATCCCTGTCCACTGTCCCTGGGTCTAGTTCAACACTAGGACCCACCTAAGAGTTGCAGTCCTTATGTCCTAGACTTCCTTTCAAATTTACTTGGAGACACAGAGCACTGTAGCCCTTGGTGGCAGTGGCGAGGTTTGCAGGCACTTAAGTTGGTACCATTCCCCTCTGGCTAGGGCTGGTTTAAACACTCCCTCAATGGGTGGGCATCAGCTGAGTTTGATTGGGTTTTCCTTTCTCCTCTAACAGGATTGCACTGCGTTCAATGTCTCACAATTGCTGTGTTCTCTCTCCCACGGCATCTAGAGACACTCTCTGCACCAGGCCACTGCTGCCCAGAGTAAGGGAGGGGTGGTGTCTGTGATCCAGGACTGTTTCTCTCTTTTTTTTTTCTTTTGAGATGGAATCTCAAGCGATTCTCCTGCCTCAGCCTGCCGAGTAGCTGGGACTACAGGCACGTGCCACCATGCCTGGCCAATTTTTGTATTTTTAGCAGAGATGGAGTTTCATCATTTGGCCAGGCTGGTCTCGAACTCCTGACCTCGTGATCTGCCCACCTCGGCCTCCCAAAGTGCTGGGATTACAGATGTGAGCCACTGCTCCTGGCCTTTTGTTTTGTTTTGTTTTGTTTTTGAGACGAAGTCTCACTCTGTCATCCAGGCTGGAGTGCAGTGGCATGATCTCAGCTCACTGCAACCTTTGCCTCCTGGGCTCAAGTGATTCTCATGCCTCGTCAGGCTCCGGAGCAACTAAAATTACAGGTGTTTGCCACCATGCCCGACTACTTTTTGTATTTTTAGTAGAGATGGGGTTTCGCCATGTTGGCCAGGGTGGTCTCGAACTCCTGACCTCAAGTGTTCTGTCTGCCTCAGCCTCCTAAAGTGCTGGGATTACAGGAGTGAGCCACCGTGACTGGCCCCTCATGGTGAGTTTTGGAACAGTAACCTCAGGATTCACCTGTCTACCTGTGTGCATGGAGGAAGGTGTGTTCAGGGCCAGCCGGCATGGCAGGGCATGTGTTTTTTGACCTCACCTCCTCTCCAGGTGGGAACTGCGGTGTGGTTGGTGTCACTGCTGTGCTGCCTTTTCTGTGTTCGCATGAAAGAGAAGGAAGGAGGAAGAGACAGGAGGTGGCTTACCTGGGCATTCTGCTCAGGGGATGGGGTCACCAGGACTTTTTCAGCAGAACTTCCTCCACCAGTTCCTCTCTCAGTGACAATCCTCACCCTACATGGGGTTTCTGATCTGGGTAGTAAGCCTGCACTCTGCAGCTGCCCAGAGGTCCATCTAAGAACATGCACCTTGTGATCAGCTTCTTGAAGGCCCCAGTGGGGCTTCTAAGTGGCCACCACCTTCTCGATACCCATCAGCTTTCAGTGCCACCCTGTAACTTGCTTGATGTTCTGCAGAGCTGCCAATGACTGGCCAGACAGCTAGGGAGCCCTGCAGAGTACCATGACCCAGGTCACCAGGTCACCCCTCTGTCCTGGCTGATCATCCTTGTGATGGTCATCTAACCTGGCAATAGGTTATATGACCTGGCAACAGGGGTTATAGAAAAAATGCTCCCCACTCAGTTGATGGCATGTTTTATACCCAGTGATGCCTGTGTTTACAAGAGCAGAGTTGATGAATAAGCCTGTGCTGACCTCCATGGGGAGACGGCCGGTTTTTGAGGCTCAGGACACCTTCTATTTGTTGTGGACACCTGGCCCCGCGTGCCTCCCTGCTCTGCATTTTGTAGTAGCAGCCCAGTGTCGGCTGAGACATTAGCCCTTAAAGCATGCCCTCTTTTGGGAAATGAACTGCTAGTTGGCTTGAAGGTAGGAGGCTGGAGCAGCTGCTGATTTAAATGTCATCAAAGTCTCAGGACACTCATGTAGCAGGCTAACATTTATGTAGGAGTAACAACCGGATGGATATAGTCAGGGCAATATCTTCAGGAGGGAATGTGCAGTTTTCTTCTGGTTAAGCTCTAGAATTACTGCCACTTTATTTGTTTAGGAAGCATCAGAAAAAGGGCGACTGAAACATCGTTGGTCATCCTGTGGAGTGAGAGCTTGATGCCACTGCCTGCTGAAGTGCACCCTCTCTTGGCGAAGGCACACTCTGAAGCCAAATGCACTCTCATCTCTTTGAAGAGTCCCCTTCTCTTCTTACTAAATGTGAGCTTGGGAGGACCTCTCCCTCCTGCAGAGTGCTGGAGACAGGTTTCCCAGAAGAGCCATCTTCTTCAGCAACATTTTCTTTTCCTGTGTAATCAGAGCCCTGCAGGAGCTTAATGCAAAGGAGAGAGAATTACACTTTACAGCAGTAGTTCATGCATGGTTTCTGTAGCTGGGGGCTGTGCAGGCCGTTTGCTCCCAAGCTGTAGTATTCTGGGGAAAGGTGTCAAAGTGAGGCTCGTGGGCTTGTGCTGTCAAGGGGCTAAATTGATCAAATCCCTCCAAATACTGATACATTGAAGAGGAGAAATCTTGCCTCTCTGCAAAGCTGGCCCCAAATGTCACTGTCCATTGCTGTGACAGGGGACCTGGTAGATGCAGGGCATCCACTTAGAGGAAGGTGGCACCCCTGAGGTCCTTCAGGGGGACATTTGAATAGGGTGGTCCTGAACTTTGGCAAAAGGACTTAGGTGTGAGCTGAAGTGTGCTGCTGGGAGGACTGTCCTTGCATCTGCAAAGGCCTGTCTACTCTCAGTCGCTGCCTAGCCCTGTCTGCCTCCTGCAACAGCAGGAAGATGCCATGAAAGAGGCATGGTGCCTTCATTCACCCACCTGAGTGAGCTGGGTCTCCCAAGAGTCTCCTCTGTAGGCACATGACTACTTTGAGAGGGCAAAGGGAATTGTCCTGGCTTTAGGGGGATTCAGGACTGAGGGAGGATGATCAGAGAGAGCGATGAAGACATATGGCTTCTCTTGAGGCAGAGCTCATGGGCTGAGAGCTTCAGTAAGAAGAGCAAGAGGCCCTGTAAAGAGATGAGATTACATCACAAAAGGACATGATGAGAACGAACGCATGAATTCTGATTTCCAAGACATTGGCAGATAAATAAAAAAGAGAATCACCTTTATTGAAACTAGAATTTCTGGTTTGAAAGATGGAACAGTACAAGCCTCTCATAAAACAGAGCCAAGACAGCAAGTCAGTGGGAAATTCTGAGCAAGAAGATGAGAGATGCCAGGACCAGAATGCCAGACAAAGATATCAGGAATCTGGTATGGAGAAGGGAACAGATGGACAAGCAATAATTAAGGCACCAGCACAAGAAGACCACCCCGTGGGGGAGAAAGACTTGACTTCTCACTCTGAGAAGTCTCACTGAGACTAGAAGACTCAACATGAAAAAATGTTGATTGTCCCCAAACTGATCTATAGATTGAATTGTAATTCCAATCAAAATGCTGATAGGATTGTTTGTAGATATGAACAAGCTTCTTCTAAAACGTATGTGGAAAAACAAAGGAACCAGAATAGCTAAAACTGTTTTGAAAACAAATAAAGATGGAGGAATCACACTACTCAATTTTAAGATATTATTTAGCCCTAATAATTAAGACAGTGGAACATTGGAAAAGGGGCAGACATACCAATGGAACAGAAGTCAGAAAGTCCAGAAGACCCACAAATAAGATTGATTGACTTTTTACCTACCTCATGTCAGGCTTAGTTTGCAAAATGTCCCAATAGGGATTCAGGGCTTCTATTGTCACCAACTGGAGAGGAAAGCAGCTTAAAATCTTAGACATGCATGTCCAACATGTATTATATGGTAAGAAAACTAAAAACTGTATGATACCCCTAAATAGAAGAAATATTAAAAATACGGATATTGGACCTTCAAACAAACAAATGGATCATGGGAATTCAGTATTTCTCTCTCTCTCTCTCTCTCTCTCTCTCTCACACACACACACACACACACACACACACACACACACATTTATATGTTACATATTTTACCAATCAAGACCCAATACATGGCTGAACATGTTAGCTGGCACCTATAATCCCAGTGTTTTAGGAGGCTGAAGTGGGAGGATTGCTTGAGCCCAGGAGTTCAAGACTGGCCTGGGCAACATAGTAAGATCTTGTCTCTACTAAAACAAAACAGAACAAAACAAAACAAAACAAAACAACTGATAACACGGAGATACTATGCTAGTCCATATTTATGAGTAGCAATTTCAGTAACCTCTGTAAGTAAACAAGAATGGCCCAAATGATGCCTATTAATATTGAAGATAAAACCTGTCAGTTCCATGGCATTGCAGCCAGTCTCCAAGATGGCACCAGATCATTACAACTTCCTGGTATTCACTCCCTTGTGAAGTGTTCTCCCACACTGCAGCATGCCTGGACTGTGTATGTAACAGAGTGTGGCAATTATAAAAGGCATTACAGTTTCCAGCCTGGTCTCTCTCCTGGGTCACTTGCTCTTGTCAAAGCCACTGCCATGTTGTGAGGACACTCAAGCTGCCCTGTGCAGAGGTTCTCATGGTGAGGAGCTGAGGCCTCTTGCCAACAGCCAGCATCAACTGGTTAGCTATGACACTGTTTCATCTTGGAAGCAGATTGTTCACTTCCAGTCAAGCTTTCAGATAACTGCAGCCTGACTAACTCAACTCTCTTTTTCTCTCTTAAACAAGTTTACTGAGATATAATTTACTTATCATTAAATTCACTGATTTCAAATGCATAATTTTACACTTCCAGTACATTTACAGAGTTGCACAACTATCACCACTATCTAATTTTAGAATATTTTCATCATGCCCTAAAGAAACTCCCTACTCATTGCAGTCATTCTCTCTCCCTACCTTCCTTATCAGGCAAGGCAGAATTGTCTTTTCTGAAAACTTAATATGAGTGGAATCATACAGTCTGTATGCATTTGAGAAAGGAAAAAATAAACCAAAGTGTTTTTCCTACTCTCATACATTCAATACAACACAGAACTCTTCTAAGGCCAGAGGTATGGTAGGTTTTTCCTCACAGAGCTAGCAATTCTCCTGCAGACACAGCTGGGCATCCTATAATTCAATTCTGATATGAACTGCCTGGAGATAGCATCAGATCCCACAGATCTGGTGGCTCAGACCCACAAGACTGCCCCTCTTCAGACACCAATCACAGGTAGTAGGTTGTCACCTATATATATGGCTGATTGGCTATAAATTGGAGTTCCCATGACCCTCTCTTTGGGTTTGATTAATTGGTGAGGATGAGTCACAGAAACACTAACTTGTGTTTACTCATTTATTATAAAGAATTTACTCATTTATTATAAAGAATATTACAAAGAATATATATGAACGGCTAGATAAAGAGATGCACAGGTATATTAGTTAGGGTTCTCTAGAGGGACAGAACTAATGGAATATATATATAATGGAATATATATATATATATATATATGAGTTTATTAAGTATAGGCCATCTGCAGGCTGAGGAGCAAGGAGAGCCAGTCTGAGTTCCAAAACTGAGAAACTTGGAGTCCAATGTTTGAGGGCAGGAAGCATCCAGCATGGGAGGAAGATGTAGGCTGGGAGGCTAGGCCAGTCTCTCTTTTCACACTGTTCTGCCTACTTATATTCAAGCTGCTCTGGCAGCTGATTAGATGGTGCCCACTCAGATTAAGGGTGGGTCTGCCTTTCCCAGCCCACTAACTCAAATGTTAACCTCCTTTGGCAATGCCCTCACAGACACACTCAGGATCAATACTTTGTATCCTTCAATCCAATCAAGTTGACACTCAATATTAACCATCACAAGAGGATGAGGTATATAGGAAGGGGTGCATAGCTTCCATGCCCCCTCTGAGTGTGCCACTGAAACTGTCTTTGCAGAATTATAAGTAATGTGAGAAATTGAATGTGACTAATTCCATCTTGCTTCTAACCTCACAGGCTAAATTGTTTTGTTTTGTTTTTGTTTTTTGCTTTTTCTAGCCCAGGGACCAAGATAACTATGAGAAGGATTTAGTTTATAGTTAAACTTTGAGTCAAGGAAAACTGATCCCCACCCCACCTTATTCAGAGATTGAAGCTGCATTCCAAAAAAAGACTTACAATAGGGGCTTGAACTTTGCTAAAGAATAGGCATAGTTAAACAATATCCTGTCATCCTGTAGTGTGCTCTTCTGTAGTGCCAACTGTCTGGGAGTCGAGTAACTTGAGGTTACAAGATTTGTAACTTCCCCAACTGCTCCTATAGATTACATCACAATTGTGAAACCTAAAGAACTGGTCTTTGAGATATTTTTCAGACAGTATTTTGGCAGACCAAATGACGCCACCTGGACCTGTGACCTTATCCCAGGAACTCAGCTGCACAAAGACAGTTCTGACAGCCCTGTGATTTCATCCTCAATGCAACCAATCAGTATTTCCCATTCTCTAGACCCTTGTCTACCAAAGTGCCCTTAAAAACCGTAGCCTCTGAATTCTTAGGGAGACTGATTTGAGAATTATCTTCTGTCCTCCTCACTTGCCTGGCCCTGTGATTATTAAACTCTTTCTTTGCTGCAACGCCTGCTGTTTTCAGTGCACTGACTTTTCTGGGCTGTGTGCAAGAAGAATCTGGTTGGGTGATTGCACCATCCTTCAGGAACCTTCATGGGTTCATCTATACAGAAGCTCTCCAAAACCTGTCCTTTATAGAGTCCTCATTGCATAGGCATGATTGACTCAATCATTGGCCATTTGTGATCAACTCAACTTTCAACCCCTCTCCCCTCCCTGGAGGCTGGGGATGGGGCTGAAAGTCCAGATGCTCTAATCACAAGGTTGGTTCCCCCTGGAAACCAGCCCCTAACCTGAGGCTGTCCAGAAGCCTCCAGTCACCAGTCATCTCCTTAGCATACAAAAGGCACTTATCAGTTGGGAGGTTCCAAGTGTTTTAGGAGCCATATGTCAGGAAAGAGAGGTAGTTGAAAACCAAATATATGTATTGCTTATTATAAGTCACATTATCCCAGTGTGTTTTTGTGTTTGGCTTCTTTTTTTTTTTTTTTTTTTTTTGAGACGGAGTTTCGCTCTTGTTGCCCAGGCTGGAGTGCAATGGTGCAATCTCAGCTCACCGCAACCTCCGCCTCCCGGGTTCAAGCGATTCTCCTTCCTTAGCCTCTCGAGTAGCTGGGATTACAGGCATGGGCCACCATGCCTGGTTAATTTTGTATTGTTAGTAGAGATGGGGTTTCTCCATGTTGGTCAGGTTGGCTGGGACTCCTGACCTCAGGTGATCTGCCCGCCTTGGCCTCTCAAAGTGCTGGGATCACAGGCGTGAGCCACCGTGCCCAGCCTGGCTTCTTTTTTTTTTAGCATTCACTTGACATTTAGGCCGCAAGCACATGTAAGAACCTGACAAGAGCCCCCCAGGTAAGCCATACCTGCATTCCTTATTGACAAAGGCTGTGAGATAATAAACATTTACTGTTGCTTTCAGCCAATAAATTGTGGGATAATTTTTTAGACAGCAATAGATGTAAACCAAACATAAAATCCTAAGCCTTCCCCTGACTGTCTGAATGGACTCGCTGTAGGCCAAGGGGACCCCAGAGAAACCTATAAAACAGAATTCCCGACAGGAAGGGGGGTCAGACATGCCTCATTATACACCCTCTATTCTGGAGTTCAGGCAGAACTGATCAGCATTAACATCAAAATAGAGATTAAGAGTCTGACACCTTTTGAGGTCTGAAAAGAGACATTTACCCTCTATCCTTGGCTCTTGAAACCCCCTTATCTTAACTCAGGCATTTTTTTTTGCTGCTGGGTTCAAGTTCTTAGACAAAGCTGAACTCTTTCAATCAATTGCAAATCAGAAAATCTTTGAACCCAACTATGACCTGTAAGCACCCCTACTCTGCCCTGACCCTCTCCACAACTTTACAGGCTGAGCCAATGTAAACCTTACATGTATTGATGCCTGTAACTTCTGTCTGCCTAAAATGTATAAAACCAAACTATAACCCAACTGCTTGGGACACACTTTCTTAGGACCTCTAGAGACTATTCCCTTGGGCCATGGTTATTCATATTGGTTCAGAATAAACCTCTTTAAATATTTGACAGAATTTGTTTTTTCCATTAATGTAGAGAACGAATACATATGAGCATGTGAATACTGTGAGGCAACTAAGTCCCTTTGATATTCAATGTACCATCAAGTCCAACTCCAAAGGTGCAAAATTTGTTAAATTGTCCACTATTAAAACTTGGGGACATGAGAAATATATTACCAGTTGTATTAGCATGTTTCGTTAATGGGATGAAATTTGTCCCTTTTTCTAATTTTTTAAAGAAAGCTGTATCCAGATCAAAAGACAGAATCCCCAATTTATTTTTAGGTCCATGTAACAGGTTGGATGAATAAGAAAGAAATTACATTGTGGACACTGTGTCCCAGCGGGTGACCAAAGTAACTTGCCCTGTCAGTCTGGGACAAGCCTTCGTTGGTCAGACAGGACAGTTGTAATCCCTGGGAGACTCAGTCGGCCAGCCCCGACTTTGAGATACACTGTCAAGAAGCCATTGAAAGGACCCGCAAGGGGCTGGGCACAGTGGCTCACACCTGTAATCCCAGCACTTTGGGAGGCCACGGCGGGCAGATCACCTGAGGTAAGAGTTTGAGACCAACCTGGCCAAAGTGGTGAAACCCCGTCTCTACTAAAAATACAAAAAAATTAGCTGGGCGTGGTGGCTGGCATCTATAACCCCAGCTACTCAGGAGGCTGAGGCAGGAAAATCGCTTGAATCTGGGAGGCGGAGGTTGCAGTGAGTGGAGGTTACAGTGAGCCGAGATTGTGCCATTGCACTCCAGCCTGGGCGACAGAGTGAGACTGTGTCTCAAAAAAAAAAAAAAAAAAAAAGGAAAGATCTACAAGGGAAAAGGGAAGGGAAAGAGGCAGATGCAGACCTCACACTCCAAAAGGAAGAAGGAGGAGGCTCACACGTCACAAGTGTGTGAATATGTCAACACATCATGGAAGGCTGTAAAACAAGAGCTCTTGGTGAAATGGTTTAAATAACGTGGGACTGGTAATGCTCTTGGCAACCTGAGTATGATTTGTTGTCTGCAGATGGTTTTGGCCTGTGTTCTCCTGTAGTGAAGGCTAACAATTAAGAGATCCATCTAGAGTCCACTAACAACAATGGTTTCAGGCTTTGAAAATATTTCTGGCAGGGCACGGTGGCTTACGCCTGTAATACCAGCACTTTGGGAGGCAGAGGTGGGCGGATCACGAGGTTAGGAGATCGAGACCATCCTGGCTAACACGGTGAAACCCCGTCTCTACTAAAAATACAAAAAATTAGTCGGGCGTAGTGGCGGGCGCCTGTAGTCCCAGCTACTCGGGAGGCTGAGGCAGGAGAATGGAGTGAACCGGGGGAGGCGGAGCTTGCAGTGAGCTGAGATCACGCCACTGCACTCCAACCTGGGAGACAGAGCCAGACTCCGTCTCAAAAAAAAAAAAAAAAAAAAAAAAGAAAATATTGCTATAAGTTTTCAGGGTAAATATTAGAACCTTTATGACACTTAAAAACAATGTTTGTGACTATGAAGTAGTCATTATTCATGAAATCTTTGGATTCTGAAATCATTTCCCCAAGTTTTCTCCTGCGACTTGCTGTGCATTATTATTCAGTAAAAGATTTGCCTTTATGCATGAACATGATGTTGGCATTCCTTCAAATTTATTGTTTTTTCTGTTTGCTTTGTCCCATTTTTTAAAATTAGATGTTTTTATTTTGAGATAATTGTAGATTCACATGCAGTTGTAAGAAATAATACACAGGGATCCTGTTGTACCCTTTTCCCTAGTTTCCTCCAATGGGTAGGATTTTTCAACGCTAAAATAAAGTATCTCAACCAGTGTATGCACATTGATAGTCAGGATCAGAACATTTCCAATACCACAGGGTCCCTCCAGTCACCCTTTAATAGCCACACATGGTCCCCCACTCCACTGTCCTTAACCTCTGGCAACAACCAATCTATTCTCTATTTCTATGATTGTGTCGTTTCAAGAATGCTATATAGAAATCACGTAGTGTGTAACCTTTTGCAGTTTGCTGGTGAAGACCCAGCACCATTTCCTGGAGATTCATCCAAGTTCAGTAGTTTATTCCTTTAGATTGCTGATTGATACACCTTGTGTAAATCAAAAATAAAATTCTAAGCTCTCCTACCAACTGAATGGACCCCTCGTCTCGGCCAAGGGCAGTTGAAAGTAAACCTGCAACATTAGTTCGGCCGTGATGGAACTAGGTGGTTGGACATGTCTCATTATACCTTCCTCCCTTTGGAATTCAGGCATAGCTGACTGGCATTAACATTAAAACAGAGACCTTAAGACTAACAGAGCGGACTCTTTATAGCGGCAAGGTACCAACATGACAGTGGGCCTTGAAAGAAATTGAAGTATTTTTCCCAAAAATAGATTTCTTTGACATATTTTGAGATGGTCCTGCAAAGCTGTCTCTTGTGGGGAAAATCTACATTCTGTAGAGAATCCCCTTCCCTTTCCCAGGTCATTTTTCTGATCCAGGAGAGAATTTAAGAATTTGGCAACTTTTAAAGTCTGATTAGAAACATTTACAATCTATTTTCTCCGAAGCCTGCTACCTGGAGCTTTCCTATGCGTAATAAGAACCTTGGCCTCCACAACCCCTAATCTTTACTCAGACCCTCCTTTCTATTGATTCCAAGTCTTTAGATAAACTCAACCAATTGCCAGTAAGAAAATCTTTGAATCCACCCGGAAGCCCCTTACTTCGAGTTTTCCTGCCTTTCCGGACCCAACCAGTGTACATCTTATATGTATCAATCGATGTCTTATGTCTCCCTAAAATGTATAAAACCAAGCTGTAGCCCAGCCACCTTGGGCATATTCTCAGGATCTCCAGGGGCTGTGTCATGGGCCATTGGTCACTCATATTTAGCTCAGAATAAATCTTCTGAAATATTTTACAGTTTGACTCTTTTCATTGACACTTTGTATAAATATACCATGGTTTGTTTAACTATTCACTGTTGATGGATATTTGGGTTTTTCTAGTTTTAATTACTATAAATAAACTGCTATAAACATTTCTGTGCAAAGTTTTGTGTGGACCTCAGTTTTCATATCTCTGGAGAAAATGCCCAAGAGTGCAATGGCTGGTTTGTATGGGTAATTGGATGTTTAGTTTCCCAAGCCACTGTCAAACTGTTTTCCAGGGTGCCTGTACCATTTTCTACTCCAACCAGCAGTGTAGGAGTGACCCAGCTTCTCTGCATCCTCTCCAGAATTTGGTATTGCCAATGTTTAATTTTAGCCTTTCTGATAGGTGTGTACTGATTGCAGTTTTAATTTGCATGCCCATGAAGGCTGATAATATTGAACACCAATTTTCAAATGCTTATTTTCCATCTGCTCTGTCTGCTGGGCACCCCCTGATGATCCCTGCTGATGGTGCCTCAGGATTACCCCAGTGAAGGACAGGTAAGCTGGGTCTTCATCCTTTGGCCCTCATCACTCTCTGTCTGAGCAATCCTAGCGTGTGGACGGAGCAAGCTTCGGTGTGCAGCAGGAGGCTCTGGTTGCCCAAGAATACGGGGCAGAACACCAATGATGTTGGCTGTGGCTCACCTCAGTGCCAGCTATGGTTGAGGTTGGAAGTGTTCTAGCACGTAAGCCCCACATGCTCACTTGCCAGGGAGCACGAAGGACACACTTCCTCTCGCAATCCTCTTTCCATTTCTAATCTGAGTTATTACTAAGATTGCAACAAATGCTCTAAGGTCCTGTATTCTGACCTTTATGAAACTCTTTGATCTCCCTTGCACTGTCTCTAAATTTATCACCCATTTCATAAATCATATAATTTCACGGAGAACCCAGGAAGGCCCACCTGACATTGCTCCTGTATTGCGCCTTGTCATCTGTTGGTAGGATCTAGAACAAAGGGAGAGAACTGGCTGGAATGGGTCCCAATGCTACAAAGGGCCACACAGATTCCAGAGCCTTCAGGGAACAGAAATGGAAGAGCCTGGAACTGTTCACTAGTTCTCATCCCTGATTACCCAGTGATCCTTACAGCCTACTGAGCAGGGCAATTCCAGCTCTCTGTTGGGTTGTGTTTCTCCAACTGTAGTTGGAGGCCCATCCAGTTGGAATCAACTGGCACATTTCTGGTTCTCACTTTTAGAACCCCTGATTCAGCAGATCTAGGGGGGTACCCGCAACTTAGCAAAGAACCCAGGTGGTTCTCATGCACACTGGATATTTTGAACCACACTTCTAGGGCTGCAGCATGCTGATGTGTGGGACATTTATACCGTACTGTGTTTGTCTCTTACCTTTGTCAATGAAAAGAGTCAAATTCTGTAAAATATTTAAAGAGATTTATTCTGAGCCATATATGAGTGACCATGGCCCATGACACAGCCCCTCAGGAGGTTCTGAGAACATGTGTCCAAAGTGACCAGGATGTAGTTTGGTTTTATACATTTTAGGGAGGCATGTGACTTCAATCAAATACATTTAAGAAATACATTGGTTTGGCTGGGTATGGTGGCTCACGCCTGTAATCCCAGTACTTTGGGAGGATGAGGTGGGAGGATCATTTGAGGTCAAGAGTTTGAGACCAGCCTGGCCAACATGATGAAACCCCATTTCTGCTGAAAATACACAAATTAGCCGGGCATGGTGGTGTGTGCCTGTAATCCCAGCTACTCAGGAGGCTGAGGCAGGAACCCAGGAGGCGGAGGTTGCAGTGAAACAGAGCAAGACTCCTCAAGGAAAAAAAAAATACACTGGTTTGGTTCAGAAAGATGGGACACCTTGAAGCAAGGGGGTTGGGGATGCTTCCAGCTTATAGATAGATTTTAAAATTTTCTGGTTGACAATTGGTTGAGTTTATTCAAAGACCTGGGATCCATAGAAAGGAATGTCTGGGTTGCCATAAGAGGTGGTGGAGAGCAGAGTTTTATCATGCAGATGAAACTTCCAGGTAGCAGGCTTCAGAGAGAATAGGCTGTAAAATGTTTCTTATCAGACTTAAAGTCGGTGTTGATGTTAATGTAGAGAGGTGTAATGAGGCATGTCTGATTCCCATTTCCCTTTGGGCCCTGACCCAGTCTTTCAGGTTAAATTTTAAGAGCACTGGCTGAGAAGAAAGTTCATTCAGATGGTTGGGAGGCCTTAGAATTTTATTTTTGGTTTGCACCTTGCACCCCAAATCTGGTAGGACCACAGAAACATCCTGTGGTACATTGTGAATAACTCTAGCATCTCTGGCTATGGCTATAAGTTATTCACTCCCACCAGTAAAATTGGAAGCTAACTGAATATATTCCTTTTGCTATAGAGAGAAGCACAGACAAAGGCACCACAGAGATGCACAGTGACACTCAAAGAGGCAGCGAGACAGAGATGAAGGCGTCGTGCTGTGAGAGCCATCGCCCGGCAGCATCCCCTCTCCTGGGTGTGAATTATGTCCTCCAAGGGCCTCAGCCACTGCAGCTTGAAAGTTACTTTTATGCTATTTCCTTAAAACCAACAAGAACACTTGACATTTCTAGGAGGCTTTGAGTAGAGAACACTGGTGGTTCTCGTTGGTTGTGTAACTCTGCCAGGAATTTAGAATATTGTTAGAATCTTTATTACATTTCAGCCTGATAAGGAGATGAAATAGCTAATGAATCCACTAAAAAAACTGCCAAGTAGCAAAGCTGGAAACTTTGGCCTTTGGTTGTCGTATAATAACACACCCCAGGCACAGAAGGTTTAGCACATTTTTCCTTACTAAAACACAAAACAACAACACCAATAACCCAATGAGGAGTCTTCAACTCCTCCCACCCCATAGCCCTGGGCTGTTCATCTGCAAGTCATTGTGTTAATAGTTTTTGTTTGTTTGTTTTTTAGCATTTGGTCTTCTAGATTTGCTTAGAAATCCATGGATTGGGGCAAGCCACGGGGAGCAGTGCCGTGCCTTTGCCTTTGTTGTGTGGAGTGACAGTCCCCGTGGCTGCAAGTCCTCACAAACCAGAATGGGCATGTTCCGGTGGAAAGGGAAGCATTGTCTGCCTGGAAGAACCAGTCACCTCCAGTGGCTGGGAATGTTTGTGCTTACCCACAGGGCATGGGAATGTATGTGCTTACCTAGCCCAGAAGAGCTAGAGAGAAGAGCCTAGGTATAAGACAAGGAGGCTTGTGGCAACTCCAAAGGGTCCCCTCTGGTTCTGGAGTGGAACTTACTAGAAATGAAAGGGAAGTTAATAGCTCCCTCATCAGGGATCTCAATGTGTGTTTAGGTCCAGAAAATCAAGGTTCTGGGTGCTCTGATGGCAACTGTGCTGAGTGTGGCTGTCTGAACGCACCAGGGCTCATTTGCTGAGCTTTTGTTCCACCTTCCGTGTCAGTTTGGAGGTTTGTTTCTTCATGCAATTATGTCAGGTTCATTATTTTTCTTGGGCATAGAACACACTTCCAACCCACATGTTGTGGTTTGAATATGTCCTCCAAAAAGCATGTGTGGGAAACTTAGGCCCCATGCAACAGTGTTGGGAGGTGGGGCCTAATGGGAAGTGCTCAGGCCATGAGGACTCTGCTTTCATGAATGGAGTAATGCTGCTATTCCAAGGGAGTGAGTTCCTTATAAAAGGACAAGTTTGGCCCCCTTTTCCCACTTTCTTGTCCTCTCTTGCCCTTCCACCTTCTGCCATGGAGTAATGCAGCAAGAAGGCCTCGCCAGATGCTGGTCCCTCGATCTTGGACTTTCCAGTCTCCAGAACCACAAGCCAATAAATTCCTGTTGATTATAAAATTACTCAGTCTGTGATATTCTATTAGAGCAGCACAAAGCAGACTAAGACACTATATCGTCCCTGGCTTTGAAAGGTTGCAGCTGATGTGGCTTTGCTGACAAACACAAAGGCCCTCTTCTGAGTTAACTCATCTCTTGCAGCATCTGAGCCCACTCTTTAGTGGACTCCTGGATAACACGCCCTCCTGTTTTCCTCCTGCTTTGGTCTCTCCCCACAACCCCTTCTCTCTGTTTCATCCTTACAGGCTGTGGAGCCCTGAGGGGCTTAGGTCTTGGCTTCTCCAGAGACTCCTGTCCAGTTCCTTGTCCTTAAATGTCATCTTAGTGCCAATAGCTCCAGGTATGTGTCTGCATACTGGCCTCTCCTTGAGCACCAAGCACATGACTAACTGCCTTCCTTTTTTTTTTTTTTTTTCTTTAGAGACAGGGTCTCACTTTGTTACCCAGGCTGGAGTGTAGTGGCATGATCACAGCTCCCTGCAGCCTTGACCTCGTGGACTCCAGGAATCCTCCCAAGTAGCTGTGACCACAGGCTTACGCCACCATGCCTGGCTAATTTTAAAATTTTTTGTAGAGATGGAGTCTCACTATGTTGCCCAGGCTGGTCTCAAACTGCTGGACTTAAGTGATCTTCCTGCCTTGGCCTACCAATGCATTAAAATTACAGGCATGAGACCCTGCACTTGGCCCCAACTGCCATCTTGACACTGCTATTTGAAAATCCAATCAGGATCTCATATTTAATGTGGCCAAAAAGAGACTTAATTTACCCCCAAGCTTCCAAACTTGCTCCTTCCTAGACTTTTCCATCTCAGTAAATGACTCAAGCCCAACAGGCAGCCCTTGCCCTTGATTCTGCTCTTTTCCTTGCCTTCCACATACAATAAACCCTCACATTGTCCTGCAGTCTTCACCTTCTCATTTCAAAATACATTTTGCATCCATCCACCAACTCAGTGAGAGGCCACTGGAGGTTCTTCATGACCTTGACCAGCCATTCCAGAGGGTGGAGGGGGCAGTATGGGGATGGGGGATGGCCGTGCAGGAGCTGGAAGCAGAGATAGCACAGATAGCATCTGCAGACAGCACTGTTTGGTGCATAACAGGTAATGGCAAAATAGGGCTATTGGTGGGGGAAAATGCGGGGTCAATACAAAATGAAAATTTAAAAGACCAACATAAAGCATGTTTTCTTGCTATTGGAATGGTCTGGTAGAGAGGGGACACAATGGTGCAGGAAAAGAGGCATCTCTGAGAAGATGGTGGTGGGGGATGCAGAGTTCAGCACCTGGAGAAAGGGCTGCTCTGCTTCACTGTGTCCAGAGGTGCCTGGTGCATGGAAGCCCAGAAGTCAGGGGTTGGGGGCCGATGATGGACAAGACAGCCACTGCCTGCTGGCTTTGGTTTTCTCCCTGAAGGGCAGCTTGTGGGTGGTGGTGGGGGGGGCGCTGTGAGGCTGAGGACAGAGGCTTTGTGCAATGGTTGCTCCGGAGAGTGGGAGAGCAAACTCTTTAGGAGAAGAGAGTAACCCTCCTGGGCAAGGAGAGCGCTTGTTTTGGGTTTTGCAGTCTTCCGTAAGACACCAGGCACAGCATACTTGTCATTCCCAACTTGCCTGATCATCTTAGCGGTGGTGGCCACTGGGTAGGGCCCAGAGGGTACTGCAGGCAGGGTGCACTCGACAGGGTTGGGCGGTCCCAGGGCAGGCCCAGGACACAGTAGCAGTGGGCATGGGGGGAGGAGGAGCCACCACGCTGGGCAGCAGCCAGAGGGGCTCATTAGGAAAAGAGGGAGAGAAGAAAGGAGGCCAGGATTAAGTAGAAAAGGGAGTAGATGTTCCTGCAGAAAAGAATGTTCCAAGTATTTTATTTATTTTTATTTTTAACATAGGCTCCCTGGTGAGACCTTCTGGTTTTAGCTGTTGTTTTCTTTGCTTCTGTCAATACGGTCTGGAGTTGAAATCGCAGACTGAACTGTTGTGCTCTGCGGGTGGCGATATGGAAGCACGAGGCTGTCTCTGACAACCACGTCACGCAGGCCGCTGTCCCTCCTACCCGGATGGGCTCTGTGCTGGGCCGGGAATTCTGCCCCCAGGGCTGATGTGAGGACGAAGTTCTTCACTTATCTGTTATGAGTTTTCACCGTCAACTACCCCTGCTCTTCTTTTGGGGTGAGAGATGGGACTTGTCTTGGAAAGAAGGCTTTGCTTTGCCCTTGGGAAGGTGGAGAGTTGCGAAAAAGAATGTGAATGGCTGGGCTTAATGGTGCGAGTTGGTTTTGTGTGCTCTAGGGTTAGAAGTCTGTTTTTCCCATGGGAGAAGGGTTTTGTCTTTCTGGTCCAAGAACTCGAGGACCTTGCTAGAAGAGCGTTCCAGCCACATTCTCTTTTCACCTGCTTCTGGAGTTTGGGGTTGAGCAGCCTGGAGTGCACAGAACCTTGGCATCCCTGGTTCGGGGTTCCGCAAATGGGCCAAGCCCACTCTCAGAGCTGTGCGGGTGAATCCAACAGTGCCTGTACCCTGCCTGCTCTGGAAATGAGGCCCCTGGAGAAAGGAGGCCTGGACTCTGGAGAGGGGACACCAGTCCTGGGGCCTGGCCAATAGACAAGGACACAGGGATCTTTGATAAACAGGGTTTGGCTTTCTCCTCAGAGTTGTGATTTCTTGCCTGGTTCCCAGGAGCCCCTGGGAAGCTGGACCTGGAACACTGGAGCCTGATATTCTCTGTTGTGGGGAATCCAAGGTGAAGTGTGGCCACGCCTTGGGCTGTTCTGGAGAGCTACAGCGGGAGAGAAGTTCATGGAGTTCTGTGACACAGTGACTGGCCAGGAAGCCCAGAGCAAGAGGCGACAAGACACAGCCAGATCAGGGAGAAGGCCTGCCAGCAATCCAGACATCCACGCCGTGAGCTTTCTGCAAGCCCTCAGGCAGGGCTCCGGAAGGCCACCTCTGGGATGGTGGGGTCCTACAGGTGGGCAGAGCTGGGTTTACTTTAGCAAGATCATATGTTCAGAGGTAAAGCCCATGGGGGTGAAGACTTGGCAGGTGCATTCCACCAATCTGGCCATGGGAGGAAGGACACCTGTGCTTTTTCTGAGTGGCCACGTGTTTTTGTGGCTCTAGGAGTCAGGGTTACAGCCAGATTAAGAAAAAACAGAACCCCAAATGCTGTGAATTTCAGGCTTCTTTGGCCATTCGGGTAAAAAATAACCTGTGCCAAGTGGATCAAGCTTGATGTGGGTGCGAGGGAAGCAGCATGGTGCTGTCATTTCAATCAGGGCACAAACACTGGAGAGAAAATAAATACTTTAGAAGGCACTTGACCTTTTAATGTGGAGTTCTAAAAATGGAGATTGAACACAGTGATGCTTAACAGAGGCAAAGAGAGCCAGGCTGCTATCAGATTCTTTCTACCCAAGAGTCTGGCTTTCCTCCCTGGCATTAGCAGGGCATCCCTGTTACCCAGGTGAGCACAAGAACAGCTGTTACCTGGATGAACCTAAGAACAGCCCTATTACCTGGGTGAGCACCAGAACAGCCTGTTACTTGGATGAACCTGAGGTTAGTTCTGTTACCAAGGTAAGCTGGGAACAGCCCTATTATACAGGTGAACCTGAGAACAGCCTGTCACCTGGGTGAATCTTAGAACAGCCCTGTTACCTGGGCGAACCCGTGAACAGCCCGTTACCTGGGTGAACCTTAGAACAGCCCTGTTACCTGAGTGAAACTGAGAAACCTGTTACCTGGGTGAACCTGAGAACAGCCTGTTACCTGGGTGAACCCGAGAACCCTGTTACCTGGGCGAACCCGAGAACAGCCTGTTACCTGGGTGAACCCAAGAACCGGGTTACCTGGGTGGCAGCTCTCCTGTTGGCTAGAGGAGCTGAGGCTGGGCGGGGCACCCTCTTGTTGAGTACAGACGGTTTTGTTTCTCCTCCTTGCTTTGCTTCGTTACTATGTTAATCTCTTCCTCTGTATGTTTTAGCAGCAAGTGTATTCTCCTGGTTAGAAAACAAGAATCTCTTGCCCAGCTGGGCCTTGTCCAAACCCTAACATTTTCTTTAAACTTCTTTCAAAGCGCTGGGTTGCAGTCTGTGGTGTGGGACGTCCCTCATCCCAAAGCACTCTCCTGGCCCAGGGGAAGAGAAGATGGGAAGGGCTGCTCTCCTTCTGGTCCTCCTTTCTCCAAAGTCCCTCTCACCCTGCAGGGAGAGCTGGCCATACATGTCCTGCTGGGCTAGACCTCTGATTTTTTTTTTTTTTTTGAGACGGGGTTTCGCTCTTGTTGCCCAGGCCGGAGTACAATCAGGCAATCTCGGCTCACTGCAACCTCTGCCTCCCAAGTTCAAGTGATTCTCTTGCCTCAGCCTCCCAAGCAGCTGGGATTACAGGCATGCGCCACCATGCCCAGCTAATTTTGTATTTTTAGTAGAGACGGGGTTTCTCCCTGTTGGTCAGGCTGGTCTTGAACTCCCGACCTCAGGTGATCCACCCTGCTTGGCCTCCCAAAGTGCTGGGATTACAGGCGTGAGCCACCACGCCCGGCCGACCCCAGTGCTTTTTGGAGTCACGTGGGGCCTGTGCAATCAGAGGGCCTTTTGTGGGGAGTTATCTGTATACAATGGGCTTTCTCTTCAGGCATAATTTTAGCACATTTTAATAGGAAAATTCTGTCTGAAAGTATGCCAACTAAAAAAATCAGATTGTACAGAGTGGATAAAAATACCCTGGCTACTCAGCCAAATGCCAGCCCTCCTAGTCCTTATGGCTCCAGGGAGAGTCCCATTTGCTGGGCGCTGCCTCCTTTCCAGCACCAGGAGAGTGGGGGGGTCAAAGGCCGTTTGTCCTCTGACTGCCTTTTTCTGCAGGCAAACTAAAAGTGACCTGAGTGCTCGGCCAGGGGCATGTGGAAGGGACTGGGAGTAGCCCTTGGCCACCGAGGTCCAGTGGAAGGGAAGGCTGGCCACGCTGCTGCAAGGTGTCCCAGACTCAGCCTGAGTGTCAGGCCCCTCTCCTCCCTCACTCTCTCCCTCCCTCCCTCTGCTTCTCTTCTCTCCTCCCTGCTGCGAGGGACTTTTCCTCGATAAGGATGCTGGGATTTTGAACTTGGGATAGGGAGGTGAGCCGCTCTCTGAGCTCTGTGGAGTTGATCTCTGCATCTGCCTGTGTTCAAGGCTGTTTTCATTGACTGTCTCTGTGGTACCACGAGCCACAGGATGGGATCAGCTCTTTTGTTTTCATTCAGATTTCATGACTAATTTCTGCACTATCGATCACCCCCCACAAGCTGGTGACTCACTCTCTCATCAAGGAGGCCGGACCCCACATCCCTCTGCCTTTTCTGATCTGTTTACGCAGCACTGACAGAGGAGGTGAGAAATCCAATGAGCATTTTTCTTTCTGAGTCAATTGTCTGATGAAGCAAGAAGCTGGGAAGCAAGTGAACATCCTTTTCTCAAAGTCTGGAAAATGACAGGAGCTTGCCGTGCTGCGTTCCCTGGAAGTGCGAGTAGAGCAGGTGTCCTCCTATCTCATGGTAATCTCAGGCCGCTCTTGTCTGCAGAGGCCCAGGGAACTCTGAGCCAAGTGTCATGTGTCTGCAGACGCATCCGCAGCAAGGGACAGCTCAGATGCCAGCAGCTTCCGGTGTGCTCAAGGGTGCCGGCCAGGGCCAGAGGGGAGGCAGCTTCCCAGTGCTGGCCGTGACTTACAATTTATAACTCTGTGAGCAAGCCATGGGGTGGTGCCCCTGTTGGGGTCCCTGCCTCTCTGTCAGGGAGAGTTTGTCACCCTCATTCCCATAAGAGGGCCTCAGGCCTGACCACAAGATGGGTGTGGCAGTGCAGAGAGCATGTTGGCAACTCGGAAATGGGAGAGGTCAGGGTGAAATGTGACCGCAGAGGTGTAGGCCGCCCCTATTTGCAGCTTACCCTTGACTGAGATTTTTTTTTTTCTTGAGATAATGCCTAGCTCTGTTACCCAGGCTGGAGTGCACTGGCACAATCTCAGCTCACTGCAACCTCCGCCTCCCAGGTTCTAGCCATTCCCCTGCCTCAGCCTCCCGTGTAGCTGGGATTAGAGGCACCCACCACCATGCCCGGCTAATTTTTGTATTTTTAGTAGAAAAAGGGTTTTGCCATATTGACCAGGTTGGTCTTGAACTCCTGACATCAAATGATCCTCCCTCCTTGGCCTCTCAAAGTGCCGGGATTATAGGCGTGAGCCACCGCACCCAGCCTTTACTGAGATTTTTAAAGAGAATGCAGGCCGGGTGCGGTGGCTCACACCTGTAATCCTAGCACTTTGGGAGGCCAAGGTGGGCAGATTGCCTGAGCTCAGGAGTTCGAGACCAGCCTGGGCAACATGGTGAAACTCCGTCTCTACTAAAAAAAAAAAAAAAATAATAATAATAATTAGCTGGGCATGATGGCCTGTGCCTGTAGTCCCAGCTACTCCGGGGGCTGAGACAGGAGAACTTCTTGAACCTGGGAGGCGGAGGTTGCAGTGAGCTGAGACGGTGCCACTGCACTCCAGCCTGGCGACAGAGTGAGACTCTGTCTCAAAAATAAATAAATAAATAAATAAATATAGATAGAATGTGTTTGAAGTCCTTGTGATGAATTTAGGACAGTAAGCATGTTGATAGATCTGCCAGGCTACAGTTCAAATACTGTTGAGTTCCATGCAATAAACAGTTGAGCTGGTTCTCTCCAACCCTCCAGAGGAATAAAGCCATTACTTGATGCTGGGTTCTCACTGCCTGTGCCGTGCACCCCTCTGGCAGCGTGGTGAACCTTATGGATGCCTGATCAGAATGATGTTTCTAATATATGAAATAAATAAAATAAATGATATAGTTTGGATGTGTGCCCCCACCCACCCCTCAAATCTCATGTGGAATTTTCATCCCCAGTGTTGGAGGAGGGGCTTGGTGGAAGGTGATTGGATCATTGAGGTGGATTTCCCTCTTGCTGTTCTCATGATCGTGAGTGAGTTCTCATGAGATCTGGTTGTTTAAAAGCGCATAGCATCTCCTTCTCTCTCTCTTTTCCTCCTGCTCTGGCCATGTGACATGCCTGCTTCTTCTTTGCCTTCTGCCATGGTTATAAGTTTCCTGAGGCCTCCCCAGAAGCAGAAGCCTGTACAGCCTAAAGAACTGTAAGCCTATTAAGCCTCTTTTCTTTGTAAATTACAATCTCAGGTATTTCTTTATAGCAGCGTGAGAACAGACTAATACAATAAAACACATGGGATGGGTGTATTGTACTTTCTAAAGGTAGTGTGATGGTGTCCCCCAGGCCACATGCTTTTCTCTCATCTGAACTTGTCACTCCCCCACCAAGTCCATTTCTCTACCTCCTGGAATTCAGGAAGCCCTGAGAATCCCTGGACCAATAGAATATGGAGGGAGTGATGGTGTAGCAGCTCTGAATGTAGCTCTTGACCGTCCCAGCACCTCTTCCCTCTTTGTGAGAAGCAGGCTTGTGTAAGAAGCATGACCGCCTAAGACCACCACACTGTGGGAAGGCCAAGGCCCGTGTAATGAGGTACCATGTTCAGAGGAAGACCAAGGAGCACCAAGGAGGCAGCAGACTGAGTGGAGAGGAATATGCAGGGGATGCTGTGTAGTCAGAATCAAGCTTCCCAGGTGAGTCTCCCTCAATCTCCTGATCCACAAAACTGTCAGCAAAAGAAAGTGGTTGCTCTAGGCCATTAAATTTGTTTTTATTTTGTTTTCTTTTTGTTTGTTTGTTTGTTTTTGGAGGGGGTGCTGGTGTCACTCAGCAATAGAAAACCAGAGCACAGGATTATCAAGGAAATGAATTCTATTAAATTACAAGAGGTGATGGTTAATTTTATGTGTCAACTTGACTTGGCAATGGGGTGCCCAGATATGTGGTCAAACATTATTTTGGATGAGATTAACATTTGCATCAGTGGACTGAGGAAAGCAGGCTCTTCCTAATGTGGGTGGGCCTCAGCCAATCCATTCAAGGCCTGAATAAAATAAAAAGGCAGCCCTTCCCTTGATGAAAGGAAAATTCTTCCCATCTTATGGCCTTTGGTTTGGGACATTGTTTTTTTGTTTTTTTTTGAGAGGGAGTTTCACTCTTGTTGCCCAGGCTGGAGTGCAATGGCGTAATTTCGGCTCACTGCAACCTCCGCCTCCCAGGTTCATGCAATGGCACAATCTCGGCTCACTGCAACCTCTGCCTCCCAGGTTCAAGCAATTCTCCTGTCTCAGCCTCCTGACTAGCTGGGATTACAGGCATGCACCACCACACCTGGCTAATGTTGTATTTTTAAGTAGAGATGGGGTTTCCCCATGTTGGTCGGGCTGGTCTCAAACTGCTGACCTCAGGTGATCTGCCTGCCTCGGCCTCCCAAAGTGCTGGGATTACAGGCATGAGCCACCGAGCCGGCTGGGACACTGGTTTTTTTGTTGCTTTTGGACATGAATGGAAAACTAGCTCTCCCTGGGTCTCAAGCCCGTGGCCTTCAGACAGTAACTGACACCATTGGCTGCCCCGGGGTCCAGCTTGCCCGTTAGCCCCACCGATCTTGAGGCTTGCCTGACTCTCTCTGTTTTTCGCTCTCACCACTGCCCCTACCCCCACACCCTATTGGTTCTGTTTCCCTGACTAATACACAGGTTAAACCAAGAATGCCAAAGGGACTCTTAGAGTTTATGCACTTGGTTCTCACTTATCAGCAGGCAAGAACAGTAGTCAGAAAATACAGTTGTGCATTGCTTCACAACAGATATACGTCCTGAGAAATGCATTGTTAGGCAATTTTGTCATAGTGCAAGCATCCTGTAATACACTCACACAAACCTTGATGGTAGAACCTGCTATGAACCCAGGCTATAGGGTTCAGCCCATTGCTTTTAGGCCATAAACCTGTACAGCATGGGACTGTACTGAGTACTGCAGGCAACCAGACACAGTGGTATTTGTGTATCTAAATCTATCTAAACGTAGATAAGGCACAGTAAAAATATGGTATAAAAGATAAAACATGGTATCCCTCCATAGGGCAGCTCATTAAAAACGCCTTTGTATATGCAGCCTGTCCTTCGCTGAAATGTTGTTGCATGGTGCTTCACTGTACTTAGCACCTCAAATAGGTAGAGATGTGTGCAGGTCTTGGGACAATAACAGGAACTCTGAGACAAGATTTCTGCCCTTTAGGGAGCTTTACATCTTGCTTAGAAAACCCATAGAAGGAGTTAATGATGCACATAGATGCATAGGAGAGAGCTAAAAGGCCAGCCCCCCAATTCCAAGCTTCAAGAATTTTGAACCCCAGGCCAGGGTTTCAGGGCAGCTGGATCACTTTCCCTGGAAGGATGCACTGTAGCAAGCTGGAGAGGCTCCCACCACCCAGGAGAGTGACTGGTGGTCTTTTAGCAGCAGAGATGGCTTGTCTGCAAACATAGTGAAAGATGCAGGTTGTTTATGTCCCTGGGGCAACCCCTGCCAACAAAGGGACAGGTGCCAGTGGAGAAGGGTCAGCCTCCTCTAGGAGAACTCTGGGAGACTTTCTGTGGGAATCCCAGGAGGCCCTCCAGGGCCATGCCTGTCTGCTCACAGCAGTGACCTTGACCAGGCAGTTCGATAACCTTCTTTCCTGAACACTCCCAAGAAAACTAGCTGATGGCCGAAGAAGCTTTGCTTCCATTCTTCTGTCTGGACTGCATTCCCATGGGCATTCTTGGAGAGGACATCCACATCCACGTTTCAACTTTGCGTGTCTCCAGCTTGCATGTTGCAGAGATTTGTAGACTCCATCTTCTACCACTGCTTTTGCCGCTACTCCTGCGGGCAGCTGCTACTGTAGGCCTGCTAGGCACTGGGTGCTTCACTTACGTGGTCTCTAATCCTCACCGCAGCTCAGCAAGGCAGGTGCGAGAGGTTCCATTTAACAGAGCAGCCAATTATTTAAGGTACCACTGGTGATCCCCGAGTCCCATCTGCCCCAGAGCTGGTGTTCTCTGTAGCCCTCCCTTGCTCAAGTGCTGCCTGCCATGTGCAGAGCATGGGTTCCCAGCTGGATGAGGCATCAGCCTGTACCTTTGGCCCCCCAGACCATGTCCTCCTGGTGTGGGTGCAGTTGGCTACACCCTTGTGCTGACCACTTGCTGTGCCAGAGGGGATTTCTGATACTGCCAAGACTTAGACAGCAACATGCCCTCCCATTATTGAACAGGGATGCTTTCTTCCAGTGTCACTCAAAGAAGCAGCAAGACTCTGTCTTAACGTGGCTTGCTGTTGCTATTATTTCCCTCGAAGCCATGAGACACTGGATGAGAGCAGCGGCTGGGCGTGTGAGTTAACATCGCATGCTTTCCTGACTCCACTGCCCCACTCATGGTAAGTGTCCAGTATGTGTTGTCCAAGGCATGATTGCATTTTTCATATCTTCCGTTTAACCTTCTTGTTGACTGTGGTACATCAATCCAGTTTGATTTTTCATTGCACACAGAGGTCATAGCATAGCTTCTTGAATTTGTCCTTCTCTGAATGGAAGCCACTTGGATCCTCCAGGTATTTCTCCAAGGGGCAGGGCTTTCAGCACAGAATCAACAGGAGAAACCATCTGGAAAGCCCAGAGGCGTGTTCGGCAGCGTGTGGGAGCAGAGCTGCAGTAAACGGTGGCTCCTTGTTCGCCCATCTCAGCTGTTCAGCTGACTTCTTGCCGTCTCCAGCTGTCTTCTCTATCTCATCCTGATGACTCCTTCCCACAACTCTTTCCCTGGCTGCCGCAACGGTCCAGCTGCAGCCTGCATTCACAGTTACTTACCTGTGGGGCTTTCTTGTTTCTGAGATGGCCGAATTGTCTTCTGAAATTTACCTCCATGACTCTGGTTATATATTTTGGTTCCTAGTGGGTGCCGACATCACAGTGGGCTGATTAGATGGTTTGCATTACTTGTTGGCAGGCCTTCGAGCCTCCTGTGCAGTTTCCCGAAAATATTCCATCTGCAGGTGGGAAGCCCAAGCCCCTGGGCAAATTATGCCATGAGTGTGTCTTGGCAGTCATTCTGGGTTCCAATGACTTGGGCCGTGGTTCAAACATTCCCTGGGGATTGTCCGGATCTGAGCTCCTGGTGGTGGGAAGCCAGCCTTTGGTGCCAGCCTGGCCCAGCACCATCTCTTGACTCCTGACCCCACCAGAGGGTGAGGACTTGGTGTGAGCAGGGACACAGCAGGTCCCAGGAAAGTCTGCTGAGTGAACGGGTGAATAAAATAGTCTCAAACCCTGTATGTTATTCCCTCCTTGCCCCTACTCAGAACTCCTCCTCACTTCCAATCGGAACTTGTCTCCTCTCTGCCAGAAGGTCAGCCCTGGTGATTCCTGGAGTTCATGCCTCCTGTCCCGCCATGGTTCTGTGGACTGCTGGCTGTTGTGGGGAGCTATCTTCCTGGTGAGCTTTGCAGGGCAGGGTCCCAGCAGGAGAGCAGAAGCAAGATGCATGGTGCAGATGAGGGATTCTTTCCAGTGGTTAGACCCTGCAGGACCATGGGGGAGCTGGGCAGAAAAGTACAAGGGGTGTTGGAGAATCTGAGAAAAGGCATCAACCAGCCTTCCTGAATCCCTGGCCTGTGGCAAGAAAGGCAAGTCAGAGCATGGGCCATGGGGCACAAAGGGGAGTAGGTGGGGTCTATGGACTGCCACCACCTCTAGCATAAAGTCCAGGCTCAATGTCTGCTGCTGGGCCTGGGGCCTCTTGTGGTCAGTGGGAAGGGTCAGGCCCAGAGGAGGGAGGGCAGCTCTGTGTTTGCTTGTCACTGTAGAGGCCATGACAACCTTCAGGGTACAAGCTGCTGCTTCACTTCCATTTTGCAAATCTCAGGCAGAACCCCTCTTTTGGCCAACTCTCTACATGGAAGAGGGTTCTGGAAAGATAATCCCAGTTACATCATGTGTGACCCAGGTTCATCATGTAATACTAACTGCCGTGGCTGGATCTCAGATTTCTTTGTGTGCCATTGAGTGTTTTACCCAGGGCAGATACAAATGAGTGATGGGGAGGAAACAGGCTAAGGGGGCAAATGCAATGCTTTTGTTGACCCAGCCTTCATTATGGGTTCACTACTGATCACCATACCAGCAAATGCTGCCTCCTGCCCCAAGGCCGTGATAAGGAGCACTTGAAAGCAGTCTGTCCATTTCCAAAATATTGTCACTTCAAGAATGATGTGTAAATGGCATCATACAGTGTGGAACCTTTTGGGATTGGCTTTTTTCACTCAGCATAATTCTCTGGAGATTCATCCAAGTTTTATGTATCAACAGTCCATTCCGTCTAATGGCTGAGTGGTGTTCCACAGTCTGGGTGTGCACACAGTGTTTAACCATTCACCTGTGAGCTGAAGGACATCTGGGTTGACGATTACACATTTTTGACTACTACAAATAAAGCTGCCATGAACATTCATGGTGCAAGTTTTTGTGTGAATGTAAGTTTTCATTTCTCCGGGATAAATGCTCAAGAACACAACTGTACGGGCGTTGCATATTTAGTTTTATGAGAAATGACTAAACTGTTTTTCGGAGTGGCTGTACCAGTTTACAGCTCACCAATACTTTATTATTCCTAAAATAAAATATTACTAAGTTAATTGTCGGGGAGGGCAGTGGTGGATGTGGCCATGAAAGGACAGCAGGAGGGATCCTTTGGGTGATGAAAATGTTCAGTATGTTTGGTATCTTGACTGTGGGGGTGAATACACCAATGTATATGTGAGAAGATCGTATAGAACTAAACACACACACACACACGAACACACACACACAAACACATACACACAGATGAGTCCTTGTGCATATATAACTGGGCAATCTGAACATGACACATGGGTTGCATCAATGTCAATACCTGGCGGTGAAATCGTATTCTAGTTTTGCCAAGATGTTACCACTGGGAAAACTGGGTAAAAGTAACTGCATGTGAATCTACAATTATCTAACAATTTAAAAAATTAATTAACAAGTGTCTAAAATACATGATATTTGTTAAAAGGCAAGCCTATGAAAAACATGATACATTATTAAGAGTTAGGCAAATGTTGTTGTTACTTGCTTTTCTGCTTTTGGGGGCCAAGTACTGGTTACTAAGATTCCTAGCCTCTTCCGAAGGCGGTCCTTCCTCCACACAACTGCAAGAAGAGGCCTTTTCAGTGTAGACCCTTACTTTACCCCTCCACCCCAGGGCCCATTTTAGGGAATAGAAAAGCAATTTGGAAGGATTAGACTGAGGGACCCGTGCCTCCAGCAGATAGGCCAGCGGAAGAGCAGTCAGTGCTGTGGGAGATGCTGCGGGGAGGAGCGTGTCTGCGAGGAAGGACTGCTGGCTTCAGCACTTCCCGATTGGAACTTCATGATGGAATCCTTGGCACACCAATGCTAAAAACCAAGTGTGAAAAAAATCACCCTAGAACCTGCTAGAGTGATACTGTGGAGGATCTGTGGGCTGCACCGCCCACAGGGACTGCCCTGTATCAGCATGGAGAACTGATATCCCATGGCAGGGCCACTGGGTAGCGGCTGCTGCTAAGTGGGGGTGCCGGATGCGTTCCTTGGTTCATCTTCCACTGATGTTTTGGAAATTGGGCTCCGTAAGAGCACCCAGAAGTGCTTATTAAGAACCACCCGTGCTCTGCTGGTTCCTGAGGTGCCAGATTCCCTCCAGGGAAATGTTGACCTTTGTGATAGACTATCTTATGACCAAAAGCTTCGCAGCATTAAAATGTGATCCATCTCATTAGGTTGTCATATGAAGCCTATAAATAACTCCAGAAATGAGATCCTGTGACAGCTATTTATTTTCACTCTTATTATTTAACATAAATATTGGCTATTTATAGCCAGGTCGTCAAGGCAGTCATTGCTTCCCCCATCTTATTATTTCTCTCACTCTGACTTGGGAAGTGGGGACTTGAACCTGGAAGAGGGAGAGAGGTCCAGTGGGGGTGGCCCCCGCTTCTTGGAACCTGGTCTCCTTAGGGACAGAAATTTTCCTACCCCATTTATACTCTGGTTATCTTGCTGAGAAGCTTATTGCGTCTTCTCCATCTTGGTATTCTTATACGTGCATGTTTTCTCTCCCAGTACGTTTGAATTTGAAAGAACCGTGAAGGCTCTGAGATTTTACCCTTCTTGCAAGCTAGCAATCATTTTCACTGGTGCTGGCAGAAGATAGGAGATTCCTGGGTCAGAGACAAAGGACAGTTTTTTACTGACAGCAGTAAGAGTAGCCAAGGTAGCTGCACTTTTGTGCTGGTTCCCTGAGCCCCAGATCCCCCAGGGCAATGTGAAGAGGGTCAGGTGATGCCTGCATGTGCATCGACCGCAGGAGAGGAAGCCTGAACTCAGGGAACCCAAAGTTTCTGTAAGCAGGTGTGAAAGGAAAATAAAAACTTGGGACCCCAATTACTCTGTCAAAGGGAAAAATTAAGCTAAAAGCTGAGTCATGCAAGAAACTGCCTTTCCTTTTGTTCCTAAGCAGACAGCTATAGACGAAAGGTAAAAATATCTCCAATGTGTTTTCCTGAATTAGCTCCTCCCTGAAATTGTGCAAGTGATGGCCTAGTCTCACCTCTACTGCTACCAAGCCATGTGGCTGTGTGTTGCAGCCATGGATAAATGACATTTGGCTCTTCCTTCAGGAAAGACATGCTGTTGGGCTGTGAGGAGCACACGTAGCTGACAGCCTCCAGCTGTGACACCTTCAGGAGCCCTTGCAGCATTTAAGCTGAGGCTGTATTTTTCTTAGGCAGCCCTCAACCAATGCCTGAAGATGACAGGGCAACAAGGCCTGGACATCTCTGCCCACTGTAGGGCTTCTCTATGTTCTCTCTGTGCTGGAGCTTCCTGTGGGCCTGGCGAAGACTTTCTCTTGGCTGCACCACCAGCTGAGGCTCTCCTACCCCATCTTTTTTCCTTCACTCTCACCTGTTAGAGGTGTCAGCCTGCACCATGGTGTGAAGGTTTTCTTTCTCTGGATATCTTGCTTTCTCTCCGCATATCTTAGGTGTTACTTCCAATAAATCTTTTGCACTTCAAACTCTGTCTTGGTGTCTGCTTTCCAAAGGACCAAACTGACACACTTGATAGAAACCACCACTCAACTGAGTGGATTAGAAGAATTAGCTAATGAACGTGAGGCAGAGCGAGGTTTCCCCTAAGACTCCCTCTGAGCTTCTGTGGGGAATCTCTGAAGTATTGCCCATCTTAGCGATATTCTAACATTGACTTCCTAGTTCCTAAGTAACCTGTTCACAACCCATCAACTTCTTCCACGAACCAGGGACAGACTGTTTGAGCCCATGTCCACAGACTTCTAGAGTTGCTTTTTGCTCTTGCTCCTTAAGGGTTCAGCTCAAGGTTGCCTCCTTGCCCAGATCCCCCAATAACTTCCTCTTTCATTACTCTAGTTTGTAAATATCCACATCCTCTGTTAGATGGTAGCTTTTATGGATGTAGGATCCACATTGTTGCCAGTGGCCAGAACAATGCACACAGTAGGTGCTACATAAAAATTTGCTAAATGAATAACAAATGACAGATGCTCCAAATGATTAATTTGCTATGTCCTGAGTCTAAAAAATGATTCCAACTGGCTCCTTATACTCCTCAATTCTTTTTGCTTACTCCTCTCTCAAATATCCTCAGGGAGTTATCCTATAAAACATTGTCATCCTTGTCTTAAAAATTAGCAGTATTACTTTGCACTCACAGTGAGTTATCAATTGTCACTCCTGCAGTGGAAGAGAATCTGAGTAACCTCCTAGTTGGTGACATTCAGGAGCTGTGGATGTCACACAACAGAATTTGTAGCCTCTGGAAAAAGGTTTATCAGCATCTATATGGGAGTCATTCCAGCCCAAACTGTGCTGAGACATGAACTTTCACGTGATCGCCTCTGGAAAAACCCACAAAGACGAGAAAGGAAGTCCTTAGCCTGAAGGACTTCCCCAGAGAAGAAACAGTTGGATTTGTTGGAACTCTATTTGTTGCTGAGATGTGAAAGTTCTTTGATCAGTCCGATGGCCATTTCTGAAACCACAGTGATCCTCCACTCCCCTGTTTTTTCCTGGAATGGGCCCTGATAATTTCAAAACATTCCTATTTTTTTCTGCAAGCCAACACCCTTCCTAAGTACACAATGTTTATGGGCAGTCAGATGGTTTGGCGTATTTCTCAAACCTCTGAGGATGGCAAGTTCAAGTTGTCTGTGCTGTTATATGGCATATCTAATAATCCACACCTCAACACTTGATTTTAAGGTTAGCAAGCCACGAGAATGCTCTTTGAATCCCCCTGCATGTTTCATCACTTCATCTCTATTTCCCTTTAACTATGGCCAGCCAAACTGTAACCTGAGATTAGGGTTGCTGTCAGAGAAAACAAAGGAAAATAAACAAACACATTGGCCCAATGCCCCATGCTACGATTTTGAAAGTCGTGGGTATGCTTGCTCAATGAAAAAATTCCCCATAACCAGTCATGACTCATTCCCACTTGCTGCTTGCATGGTTTGGGAAAATAGTCTTTACTTATTTTTTTCTATATTAACATGAAATAGCATCATTCAAGCTCATCATCAATACTTCATTTTACAAACTCCCTGACAGCCACCTTCAGCCTTTTGATCACTAATCTTGTGTTGCTTCACTACCATGATCATTACTAATGCTGAGGTGTTTGGGCTTTATTTTTCCTTTGCATTTAGTCAATTGTTTTAAATAAATAAATAATGTGATTTTACTGTATGAATTGTTTAATATTCTGCCTTTTTTCCTCAGTATTTTATTGTGAGAATTTCTCCATTGCTGCTAGATATCTTCAACATATCACTTCTATTTTTTGTAAGATATTTATTATAGTATTATACCATGGGTCATAACTTATTTGGTCATCTCTTATGTTTTGACATTTAGAGTGTTGTTAAAATTATACTGTTATAAGTAATGCTACAATGAATCTCATTTGATATAAATCTCTGTGTAGTTGTTAGGATCTTCTAGGCTTAAGCTGATAAACATCCTTTGTTGGACATCTTGTTCACATCCTTTGTAAGAGAACAAGAAATAAAGCTTTGTTGTGTTAAGCCACTGAGACTTTGGGGCTGTTTGTTATTAGCTGTATTTTGCATAGTTAGTCGGTGACCAGGCTGAAGAAGTGCCAGCATTGCCATCCTCCCTCTAGAATTGGCACAGAGAGCCCAGAGTCAATGGGAACTCACAAGTGCCAGGCTTACCATGTAGGAAACGCTTCCTTTCCACCCACAGCCCATTGGCCCATGCCAGTCACCTGGCCCCATCTACCTGTGAAGGAGGGGGGTTTGTATTTTTCTATATACCCAACACAGAAGAGAACAGGATGTGCCTGGGCAATGATAACATTCTGCCTGTATGAGGGTATGGCTTTTACTTAAGGTAGATGTCCTAGAATGGGAGTTATTGAGTTTTGCCAACTTTTTTTTTCTAAGACACACCATTTTTATAGTTCCACCAGCTTGTTTTCTGCCCTTGTAAAGCCACAAATGTTACCACTTTATACTCTTTGCTGATCTAAGAGGTAAAAAATGCTATCTCATTGTTGTTTTCATTGTTCAAATTAAATCTTAATTTAAAGTTTTGTAGATACATTATTATTTTGTAGCTACATTATCATTATTATTGAGAGGAAAGATTATTTTCAGATGTCTGTTATTCATTTGCATTTTACAGGTGTTCAGTAGAGTTATAAAACAATTACCCTGAAAATTCTCCGAGTATCTCATGCCCGTGTCACTGTTAGACCTTAAATATTTTAAAACAATCCTGGCAGCTCGGTGCGGTGGCTTATGCCTGTAATCCTAGCACTTTGAGAGGCTGAGGTGGGTGGCTTACCTGAGGCCAGGAGTTCGAGACCAGCCTGGCCAACATGGTGAAACCCCGTCTCTACTAAAAATTCAAAAATTAGTTAGGTGTGATGGCTTATGCCTGTAATACCAGCTACCCAGGAGGCTGAGGCAGGAGAATTGCTGGAACCCAGGAGGCAGAGGCTGCAGTGAGCCAAGATTGTGCCACTCCATTCCAGCCTGGACGACAGAGCAATAGAAGGAGACCCCATCTCAAAACAAACAAACTAACAAACCCTGGCAATGGTCCTAGCACCACTCACCCTTGCTCTCCCTATGGCAGTACTGGCTCTGGAGTGCAGATCTGTCTCTGGGATCTTCCTATGTCTTGTAACTTACCTTGGGTCTCAGTTCCCTCGCCTTAGCAAGGCTTTAAAAAAAAAAAACTTCTGACAAAAAACCCACTCCCTATTGTTTGGGTCCTGTGAGAAGAATGGAAAGTTCAAGAATGTCCAGAACACTTCTGCAGACAATCTGGGTTGGACGGAAAGGGAATGGTGGTTTAAAGGAGGAATTTTGTTAATACCCAATGAAAGTCCCACAGAAAAATTTAATTTTAGAAGACAATCTCAAAGAAACATTTGTGGATATATGTGGAACTCAGCATCTTCTCAGTTACGGGATTGAGCAGGCATAGCCAAGAATTTCAGAAACTAGAACTCTCAGATAGAGGTTAATTGCTAGTGAACAACTCTGTGGATGAGAGAAACTACGGAATAGACACAGACTGATCTAAAGGCCAACTAAAAAATACGTACATTGTGTTCAAGCAGCAGACATGGAATATTTGTGGCAATTAACCATGTCCTAACCAGAAAACAAGTATTTATTAAACAAAAAGTTAGTAGTTACACAGACTCAATTTTTCTGATTATAATGAACTTAAGTTAAAAAATCACTTAGTATGTACATATGCATATATATGCATACATATATTTAGAATGGAGTGATAAAACATTATATTTTAAAACTTTGGAATTAGTTTGTTCCTGCATTGCTATAAAGAAATACCTGAGACTGGGTAATTTATAAAGAAAAGGAGTTTAATTGGCTCACAGTTCCACGGCCTGTACAGAAAGCGTGATGCTGGCATCTGCCAGGCTTCTGGGGAGACCTCAGGAAACTTACAAACATGGCAGAAGGTGAGGTGAGGATCCAGCACTTCATGTGGCTGGAGCAGGAGGAAGAGAGAGACAGGAGAGGTGTTACACACCTTTAAACAACCAGACCTCACAATAACTTACTCACTATCACGAGAACAGCACTGAGGGGATGGCACTAAACCATTCATGAAGGACCACTCCCATGATCAAATCACCTCCCACCAGGCCCCACCTCCAGCAATGGGGATTACAACTGAACATGAGATTTGGGTGGGGACACAGATGCAAACCATATCAGGAATGCAGCTAAACTGGTATTTGGAAGAAAATACATATTTATTTCGGAGAAGAAGAAATGTTCAAACTTAATAGCAAAGCAGAAAACTCAGGAAGACATAAAATTTTAAAAACCAAGTAAAACTACAGAATATAGAAGGATGAAGGCACAAGAAATAAGAGGAAAATGGATGAAATAGAAAACAAGTATGAAATAGAGAGAGTCAACAAATCCAACAGCTGGTTCTTTAAGACAACAAATAAAATAGACAAATTTAGTCAACATAGATTGCAAGGGGGGAAAAGAACCCAAATTGAGAAGGCACAAATAAACCACTCTAGGAATAACCAAAGGCACAGCATGAGAGACAGAGACTAAAAGTAAGACAGCAATAAGAACAACAGCAGCAACAAAAACTACAAAAACACAGAGAGAAGACTAATCACCTCCAAAAATGTAACTCAGCAAAACTAAAAAAAAAACTAACCTGAATATATTTTAACCATTAAAGAAATGGGTTAAAAATCTGCTCTGGTTAATATCATACACAAAATGCTAGGACCAGATGTTTTCATAAGAGAATTCTACCAAACATTCAAATAACAGTTATCCCAATATCATACAGAATGTTTCAGAGAATAGAAAGGAGGGCCTGCTCTCTGACTCATTTTCTGAGGCTACTTTATTTTTTATACAAAGCAGACAGGAAAGGGAAGGTCACCTTCCTTAGAAACCCAGGCATGAAAATCCTAATAGATACTAGCAGAGTCCAGCAATTTGTAAACATAAACAGATCATGACAAATCTAAGTTATTTAAGGAATGTATTACTGGCTTTACATTTGAAAATTTATCAGTGTAATTCACCACATTAACAGTTTAAAATTCTACATCTATTTATAATACAAACTTATAGAAAATGGGGAAGAGAAACAAAGGGTTTTAACCTGGTAGAAAGCACCTACCAAATAAATGTACAGCCAGCAGCGTAAATGGTGAAACATTGCACAAATCTCTTTAAAGTCAAAAAAACTATGAATGTCTGCTATCATTCTTTTTATCCAATATTTTACTGAGCTACTGTCATAAGATATTAAAAGGAAATAAGTATAAGAATTTCCAAAGGGGAAGCAAAACTGAAATGATCCGTAGTTGGTAAGATTGTTTACATAGAAAATCCAAGGGTATCTACAGACGAATGTATAGAATCAGTGAGGATGTTTAGCTATCTCGCTGGATATGTGTAATATATATGAAAATCAATGTGCTATCCATTGCAGCAGATAACATAAAATGCAATTTAAGAAACATACCATTTATAGTGGCAACAAAAAAATATAGTAACTAGGAATATAGCTAACAAAAGCCATGAAAGGTATTTATGAAGAAAATTTCAAAATGTTATTGGATTACATAAGAGGAGTACACAAAAAATAGATGAGGCAATGAAGATGTTCATGGATGAAGAGACTCACAGCACAAAGACGTCCATTTCCTCAAATTTTTCCAAGAATTCATTGAAACTTCAAACAATGTCCAACAAATAACTTTTGGAAATGTAACAAGCTAATCAAAAACTCACATGGAAGAAGAAATGGTAAAGAATAATCAGGACTGATCAAGGTGGGAAGATTTGCTTACCATGTGTTTGGACTTCTTTAAAAAATAGATCAGAGGAACACAATAGAAAACTTAAAAATAGACTAGTACATACGTGGAAAATTAACAGGACAGAGGTGTCCTTATGAATCAATGAGAACATGACGAACAGCTTAGTCAGTACTGCTGAGGGAAGTGTTGGAAAAACAATTAGATTTTCCCCTTACACCACCACCAAACATAAGGTGGATTAAAGAACTAAAAGTGAAAAATGAAATGAAAAAAATTCGAAGTCTATATATAGGAGAAGGTATTTATAATCTAGAATTGACAAGTATTTCCCAAAACTCAAAAGGCAAAATGATAAAACAAAAACTTTATTCATTTGGCTATATTAGAGGTAAAAACAGGCATAAAATACAATATGAAAAAGGTGGAGGGCTGGGCAGGATGGCTCACACCTGTAATCTCAGCATGTCAGGAGACTGAGGTGGGAGGTCCACTTGATCCCAGGCATTCAAGGCTGCAGTGAGCTGTGATCATGCCACTGTATTCCAGCTTGAATGTCAAAGTGAGACCCCATCTCTAAAAACAAACAAACAAACAAACAAACAACCTCAATGGAAATACAAGTTTTAGTCCAGGAGATATTTGCAAACATATAACTGACCAATAATTAGCATCTAAGATATATAAAGAACTCTTTCAATTTCTAAGAAAAAACCAACAATTCAATTGAAGAATGGGCAAAAGAATATAGGCAATTCACAGGAGACATATCCCCAAAGACCAATAAACGTGAAAATCTGCTCGCTGTCACTGGTAATCAGGAAGATGAAAATTTGAAATAGCAAGTAGATTGGAAAAAGTAAAAGTTGGCAGTAATATATATGGGTGGGGACATAGGGAGTCAGGAACTATCTGACTTTGAGAGTAGGAGGGTGAATTAGAAGACCATGGTGATAGGCAATTTGGCAATATCTGGTTGGACATGCATCCCTTACTGAGAATTCCACTGCCAGGTGAAAACCTAGAGAAACTCAAACAGATGCCCAGAGAGTCATGCTCTAGAATGTTCATAACAAGGTAGATTATAATAGTAGAAAATGCATAAACAATTTAAACATACATATACAGGAGAATGTGTCAATAAATTGTAGTGAGGTCTATGTAACGTGAACTGTTTTCTTTTTTTTTTTTTTCAAAAAAACTTTTATTTTAGGTTCAGAGGTACATATGTAGTTTGTTATATAAGTAAACTTGTGTCATGGGGGTTTGTTGTACACAATATTTCATTACCCCGGTACTACGCCTAATACCCTATACTTATTTTTTCTGCTCCTGTCCCTCCTCCCATCTTCCACCCTCAAGTAGGCCCCTATGTCTGTTGTTCCCCTCTACATGTCCATGTGTTATCATGATTTAGCTCTCACTTATAAGTGAGAATATGCAATATTTGGTTTTCTGTTCCTGTGTTAGTTTGCTAAGAATAATGGCCTCCAGCTCCATCCGTGTTCCTGCAAAGAACATGATCTCATTCTTTTTATGGCTGCATAGTATTCTATGGTGAATATGTACCACATTTTCTTTATCCAGTCTACCATTGTTGGGCATTTAGGTTGATTTCATGTCTTTGCTATTGTGAATAGTGCTGCAGTGAACATACACGTGTATGTGTCTTTATGGAACTATCTGTTTTTCTATTTAGTAAAATGAATGAATTAACATTGAGAAGCCTCAGAAACGTAATGTTGATGAAAACGTGTAATTTACAAAGGGATATTTACAACATGACAACATGTATAATTTTATAAGGTAAAATATTATATATCGTTCATGGATACATAATAAAGAGTAAACATAAAAAATATGTGTGGGATATATGAACTCCATAATTAAGGTGGCAGTTACTTTAGGGTGTGGGTAGAGGGGATGTGATTGGTGAAGAGTATTCAAGAGTCTTCAACTACAATGTAAAACTTTATTTCTTATGCAATAAAAGATCTGTCGGAAGCAAATATGATGAAATCTTCAGATCTTACAAAGTTTAGTAGATTATGGATTTTGTTATATTCTTTTTCTTGTTAAGTGTGGGTACAATGCCATATAGTAAGTATCTAAAACTTACTCATTTTCTATAACTGAAACTTTGTACCTCTTGAACAGCAACACTTTCCATATCCTGCTCCCCTTACCCCTGGCAACCACCATTCCACTCTCTGTTTCTATGAGTTTAACTCATATAAGTGGAATCATGCAGTATTTGCCCTTTTGTGCCTGGCTTATCTAATTTAGCATAACATCCTCCAGGTTCATCCATGTCATCACAAATGGCAGCATCTTCTTTATTAAGGCGGAATAATATTTCTTTGTGTATATGTGTACCACATTTTCTTTATCCATTCATTTGTTGATGGACCTTTAGGTTGTTTCCAAACTGGCTGTTGTGAATAATGCCGCAACAAACTGATGGTATGGATATCTCTTTGAAATCCTGATTTCAATTCCTTTGGATATATACTCAGAAGTGGGATTGCTGAATCATATAGTAGTTCCACTTTTAGTTTTTTGAGGAACCTCCATGCTGTTTTCCATCACAGCTGCACCAATTTACATGCCCACTAACAATGTACAAGGATGTCAATTTTTTCACATCCCCACCAACACTTATCTTCTGTTTTTTTTTTTTTTGATTAAAGTCATCAGAAAATGTGTGAGGTGATATGATTGGCATTTCCCTAGTTATTCATGAGTAATGTTGAGCATCTTTTCATATACCAGTTCACTATTTGTATATTTTCTTTGGAGAAATATCTATTTAATTTTTTTGCTCATTTTAAAATTTTTTTGGGGGGTTATTGCATTGTAGGAGTTTCTTGCATATTTTGGATTTTAACCCCTTATAGATATATGGCTTGGAAATATCTTATTCTATTCCATGGTTTGCCTTTTCACTCTGCTGTTTGTCTCCTTTGCCATGTGGAAGATCTTTAGTTTCGTGTAGTCTCATTTGTCTATTTTTGCTTTTGTTGCTTGTGCTTTTGGTATCATATTAAAGTAATCACTGCCAAGACCAATGCCATGGAGCTTTTCCTGTACATTGTCTTCTAGGAGTGTTACAGTTTCAGGTCTTATGCCATCTCTTTAATCCATTTTGAGTTGATTTTTTGTATTATGTCAGATAAAGATTCGATTTTCTTCTTTTGCATGTGGATATCCAATTTTCTCAACACCATTTGTTGAGGAGACTATCTTTTTCCCATTGTGTATCCTCTGCACTCTTGTCACAGGTCAGTTGAGTGTGTATGTGTGGGTTTATTTGTGAGCTCTCTATTCTGTTCCATGGGTCTGTATGTCTTTTTTATACCAGTACCATATGTTTTAATACTATGGCTTTGTAATATATTTTGAAATCAGGAAGTATTATGAAGGCAGCTTTGTTCTTCTTTCTTAAGATTGCTTTGACTACTCAGGATTTTTCATGGATCCCATGAATTTTAGGAATGTTTTTTCTGTTTCTATAGAAAATGCCGTTGGGATTTTGACAGATTGCATTAAATCTGTAGACCACTTTGAGCCATATACTATTAATGGGAACATTTTAACAATAGTAAGCCTTCCTATCCATGAACATAGGTTGTATTTCCATTTATTTGTGTCTTCTTTAATTTCTTTCATCAACATTTTGTAGTTTTTAGTGCATAAGTCTTTCCCCTCATTGCTTAAATCTATTTCTAAGTATGTTATTCTTTTTTATGATGTTGTAAATGGATATTTTTTCCTTAATTTTTGGGGGATAGTTTGTTGGGGGATAGTTTGGGGGATAGTTGTTGTTAGGGGATACTAGTTGTATATTAAAATACAACTAGTTTTTGTAGGTAGATCTCATATCCTGCAACTTTACTGAATTCATTTATTAGTTTTAACCAGTGTGTGTGTGTGTTTGTGTGTGTGTGTGTGTGTGTGTGTGTGTAGTCTTTAGGTTTCTCTACATATATCACGTCAACTGTAAATATGTAATTTTACTTCTTCCTTTCCAATGTGGACATTTTTTTCTTCTTCTTTAGCAATTGTTCTGACTAGAACTTCTGGTACTATGTTGAATAGAAGTGGTAAGAGTGGGCATCCTTGCCTTGTTCCTAATCTTAGAGGAAAAGCTTTCAGGTTTTCACTATTGAGTAAGATGTTAGTGATGGGCTTTTCATATGTGGCCTTTATTATGTTGTGGTAAATTTCTTCTATACCTAGGTTTTTGAGAAGTTTTATCATGAAAAGGTGTTAATTTTTTCAAATGGCTTTTCTATTTCTGTTGAGATAATCATGTGATTTTTATCCTTTATTCTGTTAGTATGATGTATCACATTTATTGATTTGCATGTGTTGAATCATCCTTGAATTCCAGGGATAAATCCCACTTGATCATAATGTATGATCCTTTTAATGGGCTGCTGAATTCAATTTGCTAGTATTTTATTGAGGGTTTTTGCGTCTATGTTAATCAGGAATGAATGTAAAAATACAGGATCTGTAGTTTTCTTTTCTTGCAGTATCTTTGTCTGGCTTTGGTATTGAGGTAATTATAGCTTCTTAAAATAAGTTTGAAAATATTTCCTTTTCTTCATTTTTTGGGGAAGAGTTTAAGAAGAACAGGTCCTAATTATTTAAATATTTGGTAGAATTCACCAGTGAAGTCGTGTGGTCCTGGGATTTTGTTTTGGGAAGGTTTTTGATTACTGATTCAATCTTCTTAACTTATTATTAGTCTGTTTAGATTTTCTAATTCTTCATGATTCAGTATTAGTAGGTTGCCTGCTTCTAGGAATTTGTCCATTTTTTCTGGGTTATCCAATTTATTGGCAGAAATTTGTTCCTAATAATGTCTTATAATTCTTTTTATTTCCATGGTATCGGTTGTAATGTCTCCTTTTTTATTTCTGATTTTATTTAATTGAGTCTTCTCTCTTTCTTTCTTAGTCTAACTAAGGGGTTGTCAATTTTATTTATCTTCCCCAAAACCAAACACTTAGTTTCCTTGATATTAAAAATGTGTTTCTGTTCTCTGTTTTGTTTACTTCTGCTGTAATAATTATTATTTCCTTCGCTTTGCTCACTTAGGCTCAGTTTGTTCTAGTTCCTAGAGCTCTAAAGTTAGGTTGTTGATTTGAGATCTTTCTTTTTTAATGTAGGCATTTATTGCTGTAAACTTTCCCTTATAACTGCTTTTGATGCATCCCGTAAGTTTTGGTTTGTTGTGTTTTCATTTTCATTTGTCTTGAGATATTTTCTTATTTTCCTTTCGATTCCTTCTTTTACTCAATGGTTATTCAATATTGTGTTGTTTAGTTTCTACATATTTGTGAATTTTTCGGTTTTCCTTCTGTTATTGATTTCTAGTTTTATCCCATTGTGGTTTAAAAAGATACTTGACATGATTTCAATCTTCTTAAATTTGTTAAGGCTTATTTTTGTGACCTAACATGTGATCTATCCTGGAGAATGTTCCATCTGAGCTTGAGAAGAATGTGTATTCTGCTGCTATTGGATGAAATATTCTGCACATGTTTATTAGGTTCATTTGGCATGTAGTATTGTTAAAGCCCGCTGTTTTCTTACTGATTTTCTGTGTGGATGTTCTATTTATTACAGAAAGTGGGGTATTGAAGTCTCCTACTATTATTATATTGCTGTCAATTTCTCTCTTCAGACCTGTCAACGTTATCTATTTAGGTGCTCTGATGTTGTGTGCATACAGTGTATATTTACACTTGTTACATCTTCCGAATGAATAGACCTTTTAATTATTATACACTGACCTTCTTTGTCTCTTTGGACAGTTTTACCTTAAAGCATATTTTGTTTGTTATAAATACAGCCACCCCCACTCTCTTTTGGTTTCCATGTGCGTGGAATATTTTTTTTCCATCCCTTTACTTTCAGCCTATGTATGTCCTTAAATCTAAAGTTAGTCTCTCCTAGATAGCACAGTTAAATCTCTAATCCATTGTTATTTAAAATCCATTCAGCTATTTTATATCTTTTGATTAAGAAGTTTAATCCATTTTTATTTAAAGAAATTATTGATAATCAAGGACTATTGTCATTTTATTTGCTTTATTTGTTTTGTAGTTCTTTTGTCCCTTTTTTGTTTTTTCACTGTCTTCTTTTGTGATTTGATGATTTCTTTGTAATGATATGTTTTGCTTCCTTTCTCTTTTTATTTTGTGTATCTACCATAGGTAATTTCTTTGTGGTTATCATAAAGCTTACTTATGTAAATCATCTTATTTCAAGCTTTCAATCATATACAAAAACTATACTCTTAGTCTCCCCACATTCCACATTATGTAAATGATAGCACAATTTATATCTTATATATTGCATATCCATTAACACATTTTGGTAATTATAGCTATTCTTTTTTTTTTTTTTTTTTTGAGACGGAGTTTTGCTCTTGTTGCCCAGGCTGGGGTGCAATGGCGCGATCTTGGCTCACTGCAACCTCCACCTCCTGGGTTCAAGCGATTCTCCTGCCTCAGCCTCCCAAGTAGCTGAGATTACAGGCATGCGCCACCACGCCCAGCTAATTTTGTATTTTTAGTAGAGATGAGGTTTCTCCATGTTGGTCAGGCTGGTCTCAAACTCCCGACCTCAGGTGATTCGCCTGCCTTGGCCTCCCAAAGTGCTGGGATTACAGGCATGAGCCACGGAGTCTGGCCTAATTATAGCTATTCTTAATACTTTTGTCTTTTAACTTCTATACTAGAGTTAAAAGAGATTTACAAGCTTTTATTACAGTATTACGGTATTATGTATTTGTTTCCATATTTGTCTTTACCAAATTTACATTTGCATATGCCTTCATGTTATTGTTTAGCACCCTTGCATTTCAACTTGAAGAATTGCCTTCAGCATTTCTTGTGGGGCAGGTCTTGTAGTGATGAGCTCCTTCAGCTTTTGTTTATTGCCTCTAATAGATTACTTTGTGAAGTACTTAAAATCCTTTATATACAAAGTCATATCATCTGTGAATATAGTTTTACTTCTTGTTTTTCTTTTATTTCTTGTTCTTGCCTAGTTGTGCCAAAAGAACATCTTTGTCTTTTTAAAAGACACATTCTCTAGGGTAAAACAAGGGTAGCCTGGTGCCTCATTGACTCAGAATTGAAAGGAGTCTTAGAAATCATTTACTCACTCATTCCTTTATTTGTCAAATATTTACTCAGTGGTCACAAAGGGCTAGATGCTGGAAGGACAGCAGAGAGAAGACCCCTGCCCTCGTGGGATTGACAGTCAGAGGGCAGGGATGTGCATCCTCCCTTTGTCCAGCACCTCCCTGCCTCCTGCCCATTAGTTGCTTAGCAGCTGGCTGGGTAATTGGATCAGTTGTCATGGTATTACAGGGCTTGTGCACAAGAAACCCTTATTTTATTTAATCATGGCCCCAAACGGCAAGAGTGGTGATGATGGCAATTCATATATGCCAAAGAAAGCCTTAAAGTGCTTCCTTTAAGTGAAAAGATGAAAGTTCCAATAGTAAGCCAAGTAAAGTATTGTATGCTGAAGTTGCTAAGATCTTTTTAAGAACAAATCTTCGTCCTGTGAAATTGTGAAGAAGGAAAAACAAAGTCATGCTGCTCTTGCTGTTGCATCTCCAACTGCAAAAGTTATGGCCACAGTGCAGATGAGCGCTTTATGTAGGGGTTGGTACTATCCGCGGTTTCAGGCACCTACCGAAGTTCTTGGAACGTGTCCCCTGTGGATAAGGGAAGACCACTGTAGTTATTACTGTCCGCAGTATAGAGTTGGGGATTCTGAGGCTTAGAGATGTTAAATGAATTGCCTATAAATACAGCCAGGAAGGGATGTCACAGAGAACACGTGTCCCCTGCTAGTAAGAAACTTTAGAACCCAGAAAAAGTTTTTGGCATTTCCATCAGAAACTCCATTGGATAACCTTTCACACAGTGACAGACTGGAAATGCCAATGGGACAACTCACACTTGCTTATGCTCTTGAAGTGGAAAAAAAAGTACAACAAAACACAACTCCTGCTGTAAGGCAGACCTCAGGCACCGAGAGAAGCCTGCCATCATCCTGTCTCTCTGATGACTCAAGTGTAGAAACGTACTAGATTTTTGGATATGTGGGTTTGATTTGTGACAAGTTGCTGATGTTCTTTGGCAACATGTCTACTCATTCCACTCAATTAGACAACTAGAAATTACCGATCAAGCATGGAGGGATTTTTGTGAAGTTTTTAAAGAGACTCAAAACTGAAATTTAAGTATGGCAGTAGGTTGCAAAAAAAAAAAAAAAAAGGAAAACTAGCATATCATTTCCTTCTTTTGATGAATTAGATTTGAACTTTAAAGTAAAGGAAACCAATCTGGTTTCTTTCTTCTGAAGTCTTTCTTATCCATATATAATCTTCATCGTGTAGAAAGTGAAAGCCCCAGGCTAATGGTGGAGTCAATTGTGCAGTGGTTTGAAGCAAAACTCTGGGCTGTGCCACGTGGACTTGAATCTCTGCCACTCACCTGCTGAGTGACGTTGGAGACGTTACTTAAGCAACTTGTGCCTCAGTGTTCTCATCTATCACAGAGGATAATAACCCTCCCAGAGTTACTGTAAAAGTGAAATAAAGAAAAATATGTAAAGTGCTCAGAACGGAGCCTATCATAGAGGAGCACTTTATAAATGTGTGTGATTGTAATTTCATCCTCAGTTGGAGGACACTGGCTGATTTAAACTCCAAATGTATTATTGCTGATACTGTGAGTGGGTGAGATATTTTATAACATTATCTTTTAAAAGAGGCACTTTAATTGGGTGAAACAGGATACTGAGATCCTTCCATACTTGTCACCTTAAAACTCGAAGACTGTGTCACTGAGGGGTGGTTATCCTTACCTAAAGGTGGTCTCTCCACTCCTGGACCTGGAGGAATACCTTAAGGTTCATGAGGAAAAGAATCCTCAAGGATAGATAAGTTTTTACCTGCCTCTGGGAATAATTTGAAATAGCAATCTTGGGATTTCTTTTTTCTTTTCTTTTCTTTCTTTCAGAGAAGGTCTCACTCTGTCACCCAGGCTGGAGTGCAGTGGCATAATCTTGGCTCACTGCAACCTCCACTTCCCGGGTTTAAGTGATTCTCCTGCCTCAGCCTCTCGAGTAACTGAGATTACAGGCACGTGCCACCACACCCAGCTAATTTTTATATTTTTACTAGAGACAAGGTTTCGCCATGTTGGCCAGGCTGGTCTCAAACTCCTGACCTCAAGTAATCCTTTCACTTTAGACTCTCAAAGTGCTGGGACTACAGGCGTGAGCCACTGTGCCTGGCCAATCCTAGGATTTCTGTAATTTCTCAGAGCTATTCATTAAAAAATTGAGCATCTACTTCTAATATGTTCCAGACACTGTGCTAAGTGCCAGAAACCATCTGAAGTCTCCTAACATTTTAAAATATGTTTGTGATTATGTTTGTAACTCAAGGATCCTGGAGGTCAGAAACCTGTTTTTTTGTTTTGTTTTGTTTTTTTTAAGACGGTGTCTCGCTGTGTCGCCAGGCTGGAGTGCAGTGGCACCATCTTGGCTCACTGCAACCTCTGCCTCCTGGGTTCAAGCGATTCTCCTGCCTCAACCTCCCGAGTAGCTGGGACTACAGGCATGCACCACCATGCCCAGTTAAATTTTTGTATTTTTAGTAGAGACGGGGTTTCACCATGTTGGTCAGGATGGTCTTGATCTCTTGACCTCGTGATCTGCTGGCTTCAGCCTCCCAAAGTGCTGGGATTACAGGCGTGAGCAACCGTGCCCAGCCCCTGATTTTAAATATATTTGTCCAAAGGAGTTAATTAACTTTTGGGTAAGTCTATATGCCTATCTCTTCTTCCCATCTATAAGTTCCTCCTCTTACCTGGGGTCTGCCCCCTGGCCATCAATGACTTGCCCTAGGGATGGATTTGTACCCAAGCAGAGATCATCAGATTCTCTCTGCCAGGAAATGGCAATAGAAACTTGGACAGGGAGAATCAGTTGGGCACCATGGGCATTTGAATGGAGGGGCCACGCAGAGCCTTCTTGGCTGGTCTGTAGGGTTCTGGGCAGGTCAGGGGGAGCAGAGAAGCCACCAGTCAGAGAAGGAAGTTGTTTGCAGAGAGAAGCACACTAGGAAACCTAGAAGCCCCATAGAAGACCTCAGGAGTACCCCCAGGACTGGGTTGGGACTGTTTCAGTCTCCAGGGCACCTTGGAGACCCTTGAGACTGACTCTAAATCCTTGCAACAATCTTCCTCCATAGCTGGGCAGCCCAAATGCCTTGTCTAGGGCAGAACACGCTTCCAAAAGATTATCTTGTCCTTTCAGGGAAGAAGAAACAAATACATCTTGTTTCCTTGTTATTGTTGATGTTCTATTTGTTTTTCTCTTGCTTTTGGAGAAAGAGAATGTCAGCTGCCCCATAGAGCCTACCCAAGCAGTAGAAGCTCCTTGCAGATAGGCTGAAAATGAAAATAAACAAAATATACAAATCTTTCCTAATTTTTCTTGCCAGCCCTCCCACCACGGAGATGGCCACAATTGTAGTCTATATATTGATAACTTGTGATGACACATACAGCTAATTCTAGACTTCTCATTCTCTCCTCAGCTCACGAATGGGCTAAATTTTCAGGTGCTCATGGATTCTGGTCCAGCAAATCTGCATTCCTGGCAGCTGCAGGGCATGTTGGAGCCTCTGTGAGTAGGAGGCTCCAGGCATGGGTGATCCTTGAACAGCTGTGGTCTACCTGAGGGGGCTGATGCATTCTGATTATTGTCCCCTGCTCCCAGGAAGACCAATCCAACTTAAGAATATCATATCAGCTACACAACATTTAGAGTAACCTGCTGACTTCAGTGATGGCGTAGAGTGTGTAGAGGAATGCATAAGAATACTATTCAGAGAGAGGAGTGTTCCACTCCCAGCTCTGGTTCCTGTGAGCACAGGAATGTCATTGACCTAGAGGGAGGGAGAGAGGGGGAGAAAGAGGAGGAGAGAAGGAGAACAGGGCAAAGCATTAACAACTACAACTCTGGGATCTAGTGAAGGGCACACAGGGGTTCATGTTGCTATTGAAATTTTGCTGTATGACGTTTTTCAAAATAAAAAGCAGAAACAAACAAAAATGGGCCGATAACCTAGTGGGGAGCCCACATATGAAGACACGGCTGCAATCACCGTTGCCAGACTTAGCAGATGAAAACACAGGTGGCCCAGTACATTGGAATTTCAGATGAGCACGGAGTCACCTTTAGTAGACATGTGTCCCAAACACTGCAAATCATTCTTTCCAAACATTTAAGGTGGGAAGCACTGCAACGCAGAACCCTGGAGCTCAAGGGGAGAAACTGGGAAGGGGGTGCACGCTGCTGGCTTAGGGAGAGTTTGGGGAGGGCTCTGCTAAGGGATTTGCATTTTCATCCTAAGGTAGGCTGAGAAAGAAAAGGCTTTGTTCCTGTTAAAAGAACTTGCTGTACAAAGAACTTAAAGTTGCAGACTGAGGAGGGTGGGTTTGCAGGAGGCAGGATTGGGGTTCCCCACTCACACCACAAAGGTCGCTGCCTTCTCCTTTTTGGCCTGGCCCAGGGGCTCTGCCCAGCATCCCTGGCTCCCCTTCAGAGTGATGCCGTGGCTCACTTTGACAGCCTTGTTTGGCATTTCCATTGTGGACCTTGGGCATCCCTGGCTCAGCTGACGTCACTGGAGTGGCACAGAGTGGGAGGATGTATGGTGGTTAAGAGCACAGTCCTGGAGGCAGAGTGCTCTTCACTGGTCCTGGGGTGCAGCTCATGCTGTGATACATGGTATATGGGACATGAGCATGCGCTATGCTGGTGTCCATCTAAAGAAAGAGACTCAAGCCAAATTAATTTAGAGAGTTTATTTGGGCCACGGTTGAGGACTGCAGCCTGGGACACACTTCCAAGTTGCCTTGGGGAGTGCACCAGAAAACAAAGGAAAGGCTCGAGTACATGTGTGTGTGTGTGTGTATGTGTGTGTGTGTTTTAAAAGACAGTGAATCAGGAGGGGGACCATTACAAAGTTGTTCCTGAGGAATTCTCATAGGTTTATAGAAGTAACATTGGTGATTGGCTGTACACGGTTAAGCTCTAGGGTATGAATTATTGTGTCCAACGTAAGGCATTTTATGGCTCCTTGGCGTCAGTCTGGAGTGCACACTGCAAGAGCCTTCAAGAAGTAATTACTTAGCTCAAGGGGTGAGTGAGGCGTGACTGCAGTCACACACGGACATATTTCAGCACCTCTCTGGGCCTGATAATTAAAGGGGGCTTGCATTCCATAGACTAAAAGTTTCTTTCCCTTTTCACTGGTCACTGAGCCTGTTTCTTCTCCTGCAAAAAGGAGGCTGGTGGTGAGGACTAGGTGGGTGCATGCACATGAGGGCCTGAGCTCAGCCTGATCCTTCCTGTGTGCAGGGAGTGTGAGTTATTACAGTACTTGACTTCCTCTTGCTCTCCGGCCTTCTAAGGAAAGTTTGGGTTTGCCTACTTAGGTCCCAGGCCCTGTAAGGGGCTGCTGCAGCCCGATTGGAGAATGGCGGGATAGAAGCAGTGAAAGTGATTGGCATTAGGAACCACCAGGGGCATGGCTGGAAGGGAGGAAGGTGCGCTGGGAGTGGAGCCAGAGAGAAGGGTAGGCAGGAGGGGTTCTGAGCAGCGGCTGTGGGACTCGGTGTGGGAGGGTGCGGAAGGCTGGCGTCATGTCTCTGCAGGGGCAGCAGCTCTTGCAGCTTATGGGGGGCTCTGGAAAACACCCACGTGCTTTTCCCAGGTGTTTGCAGATGGCTGTGCGGTCCTGCCACGGGAGTCGGGAGTGGTTTGGCCGCATACCCCCCTCTCCCATATGGAGCCCCTTTGGCAGTCAGGCACACTTGGCTTCCAGATTTTAATTCTTCTTTTATTGTTCCCATAACTCCAGAGCATGGATGGAGAGGATGTAGAACAGAACGTTCTCAGAGAAACCATGGGAGGACAAAACGTCCCAGCAGCCGCCTGCTGGCGTGTTTTCTTCCTTTCTACCCGAGTACATATTGCATTGAAATACTATTGACCTTGATGACTGAGTTTCTTGCACTCCCTCACCCCTCCATTAAACTTGACTCCCAAGGCAAGTGCCTCACTCATCTCACCCGAAACCCTGAGCTGATTGGTCAAGGCAAGGCCCCGGCCAGCCTGGATTTAAGGGGAGGGGGTGGGCTCCCTGTTGCCTACAGTGGTGGGAGGGGGTGTTGAAGGCCATGGCTGGATCCCAGAAGCCCGAGCCTGCTGAGGGGAGGCAACCTCAGGGCTAGCTAGCTCCTCACTGGCGAGACTTCTCTTTTTCATTTGTACCTAGTGCATTGTTTCTGCATTTCAAGAAAGGAAAGTGGGCAGGAGAGAATCGCAGGGGAGCTGCCACATCTTTGGACATGACAGAAAGCAGAACTGGAAGGGATGAGTGAGGGATTGTTCCAGCCATGGCCTTCAACACCCCCTCCCACCACTGTAGGCAACAGGGAGCCCACCCCCTCCCCTTAAATCCAGGCTGGCCGGGGCCTTGCCTTGACCAATCAGCTCAGGGGTTCGGGTGAGATGAGTGAGGCACTTGCCTTGGGAGTCAAGTTTAATGGAGGGGTGAGGGAGTGCAAGAAACTCAGTCATCAAGGTCAATAGTATTTCAATGCAATCGTTTAAAAATCAAAATTAATGCAAATACACTCCATGATGGTTAAATAGAGAAAAACTCAGTGGTGGGGCCATGGAGGAAAAGGAAATTGGCTGAAGCAAAAGGAAAAATGAGCAAAACCGACCCTCTCTCTGCTCCACAATCTCATCTACTCGGGAAAATCATCAGATAAACACACACGAAGGGACAAGCTACAAAATACCTGCCCAGTTCTCTTCCAGAGTCAAGGGTACAGCAGCTAAGGACAGGCTCAGGAACAGTTCAGGAGAAGGAGGCCAAGGAGAGGGTGACTGCAGGCCCTCTGGTCCCAGAGCAGCAAGGGACACTGGTGTGACAACCTGAGGTTTGGGTAGGGTCTGGAGTTTGGCTCATAGTACTTTACCAAAGTTAGTTTCTTGGTTTTGATCACTGCCCCATGTTATGGAAGATGCCGATGGTAAGGGAAGTTGGCTATAGGTTATGCAGGAAATCTCTCTACTATTTTTGCAACTTTCTGTAAGTCTAAAGCTGTTTCAAAATAAAAAAGTAAACGCAGACACAGTAGTCCCCCCTTATCCGTGGGGGATAGGTTCTAAGACCCCAAAGGGGATGCCTGAAACTACAGATAGTACTGAACCCTGTCTGTACTACATTTTTTTCCTATACATACACACCTACAGAGATGTTTAATTTATAAATTAGGTACAGTAAAAGATTAACAACAATAACTAATAATAAGATAGAACAATTATAACAATAAGCTAGTATCACTACTTTGCACTTTGAGGCCATTATTTAGTCAAGTATGAGTTACTTGGGCCGGGCGTGGTGGCTCATGCCTATAATGCCAGCACTTTGGGAGGCTGAGGCGGGCGGATCACCTGAGGTCAGGAGTTGGAGACCAGCCTTGTCAACATGGTGAAATCTTGTCTCTACTAAAAAATACAAAAATTAGCCAGGCGTGGTGGTGGGTGCCTGTAATCCCAGCTACTCGGGAGGCTGAGGCAGGAGAATCACTTGAACCTGGGAGGTGGAGGTTACAGTGACCCAAGATCCTGCCATTGTACTCCAGCCTGGGCAACAAGAGCAAAACTCCGTCTCAAAAGAAAAAAACATAGAGTTGCTTAACACAAGCGCTGTGATGACACAACAGTCAATCTGATAACCCAGATGGCAACTAGGTGACTAGTTGCAGGGCAGGGGCATCTCCAGCTGTAGATACTGGGCAAAGGGAGGTGGGATACAGAGGGACTGCCTGAGAATTCACCAGGCCACTCAGAATGGCACGCAATTTAAAACTTATGGATTGTTTATCTCTAGAATTCTCCAGATTTATTATTTCTAGACCACAGTTGAATGTGAATAACTGAAACCAGAAAATGAAACTTTGGATAAGGGAGCACTACTATAAGTCACCTGACCTGGCGGGGCGCAGTGGTTTACACTTGTTATCCCAGCACTTTGGGATGCCGAGGTGGGCGGATCACTTGAGTTCAGAAGTTTGAGACCAGCCTGACCAATGTGGGGAAACCCCGTTTCTACCAAAAAATATACACACATAAAGGAAATTAGCCAGGCATGGTGGTGCAAGCCTGTAGTCTTAGCTACTTGGGAGGCTGAGGAAGAAGAATCGCTTGAACCTGGGAGGCCCAAGTTGCAGTGAGCTGAGATCACACCACTGCACTGTAGCCTGGGTGACAGAGGGAGACTTGGTCTCAAAACAAACAAACAAACAAACAAACAAAATCACCTGACCTGGCCAAAAAAGAAGGAGGAGGAGGAAAGGGACTTCTTGTACCCATGGACATCATGAGTTTGACCTTGGGTGTGGGTGGCGTGAGGACATGTTTGATATCCAGAGGAGGCTTTGAGGAGATCCTTGGGCACATGAGTATGAGGTTCAAGGGAAGGGTCTGCCTAGAGTTACGCCGTGGGCCATTGCTGGCCTGGAGTCCCCTTCAAGCTGGGAGCCTGGCTGAGGGCACCAGAGAGCAAATATAGACAGGGAAGTCAGCGGGTGAAACTTGAACAGCAGCGTTCAGAAGGCAGGCTCTTAGATCTTGCTTCTGGGTGAAGAAGCAAAATGAGGCATGATTAGAGTAACTCAGTGCCGATTCAGTCTACGGAAGGCGGCAGTGGGAGGCCAACATGATGATGTTTGAATATGTAGGATCGCTCTGTGGTGAAACTCCAGGCCGGCAAAAAAGACCTCTCGGTCTTCCAGTTGGCATTACAAGTATGTTGTTTTCATTATGGAGATAAAACTGTTTAATTTTAAGTGATCGTGCATTCATAGCAGCACAAACTCTGGCCTACCGGTATTTTGAGGGGTCTGAGTGAAATTTTCAGGCTGGTGCTTAGCCCAGTCCTCGCTGCATCTTGCTTTGTGACAAGCCTCAGGCAGGAGCTCATCACAGGGGAGGGGCGGCTTTGAGGCACGCTTGCCATGGATGAGGTGGAATGTTCAAGAAGCCCTGCTATTTCTGAGCAGGGACCCCCACCTCCATCTGTTCTGACCGGGAGCAACTTCCCAAGCGTGGCCGCATGGGGCAGGCACTGCCACAGCACGTGGGGAGTGGGCAGTGCGGATGCTTCTTTGGTCCTGAGGAGAAGAAATGGGGCCAGGAAATGGCTGTGTGCAAGCTGACACCACAGGCAGGAAGCCCCCATGGGGAAGGGTGGGGTGTGTGACCCCAGCAGCCTTGTCCCTTCTCTTGGGGGCGGTGGTGCCCTGAGTAGTGGCAGCCTGTCCTTATAGGCACCAGGATGCCAATGGGTGGCCCAGTCTGGAGTCCCTGAAGACAGTGGTGGAGGCACCTTGTAAGTCAGCAAGTAGAAGATGAGGGGCCGGGGTCTGCCCCCTCCTCAGACAGCAAGGCTAGGCATGGGATGAGGTGGAAGTCCTTGGAGTTGGGAGGTGTGGGACTGGTATGGTCTTGCTGAGGACTGGAATGTGTATGTTGTGAATGCATCCATGTGTGTGCTGTGAATGCATGCATGTTTGTGTGTGTCATGATGTATGTATGCATGTGTGTGTGCATGAGTGTGTGTGAGCAATGGCATGAAACACCTGGCCTGCGCTGGGTCCTGCAACACAAGCGAGTAGCCTGTGGCCCCTGCCCCCGCACTGGGAAGGCCCCATCCTTTTATTACCACAGCTTGTCTCCAATTCTTAGGCTCACCGCATCCCTCCAGCATGGCCAGTGGAGCTGAGGTCATCTGCCCAAAGGGGCACAGTGACACCACAAGGCCTACACAGCTCAGAGCTGGGGCCCCCACTGACCAGGAGTGCTGAGACTCTGGCAGACAAAGGTTGGAAGCAAAGGAGGCAGAAAGCCTCTCCGACAAGTGAGGCCATCCGGCTTCAGCAGCAGAGGCAGCCCCTCTCCTCCACCGGTCCGTCTGCTCACACTGTGCATGAGGATTGGACTTGCAGCATCTGTTTTTCAACAAAACATGAAACCAGTCTGAACTTCCCAGGCAGAGACAGGGCTTCACAAGCCTTGCTCCAGCAATGCGTGTCTGTCTCTGTGTGCATCCTTATGTGCACGTACACACATCCTTTCCTTATGTGCTTTCGACATTCCCCTCATAAATAAATCCACTTCAAATGATACTTTCTTCAGTTAAAGATGACTTTTTGTGACCCTAACCCTCAGGAGCCCCTGGGTGCGGGTCTGTTGTCCTAAGTGTATGTGCACAAAGACATGTGTGTGTGTGCACATACCCCAAACACACCACCCATGCACACACACCCACCACTCACAGGCTCACACGTACATACACAGCCACTCACACACCATGCACACAAACACTGCGCATGCACTCACTCACAGGCACACAAGCATACTCACACCCACTCACACACCATGCACACACACCACACATGCACACTCATACGCACTAGCACACATGAACACAGTCACACACCACACATGCATGTGTATGCACATACTTGCACATACCACATATGCATCCACCATACACGTGCACATGAAAACATTCACACATCCTTTCTGTCTTTCATTTGGACACGAATCTGAAAATAGTTCATGATCTTGATGAAGAAACTCTGTCCAGCCTCAGCAGGACTCTGGTTTCTCTTCCACACAACCAGCTTTGCCTTCTGAAGGCGGACCGTGCACTGAGAATCATACCAGGTTGCCTGGTGACTCGAGCCGACCACCTTCAGTGGCGCTTCTGCGGTCAGAAGAGCAGGTCACTTGCAAACGTGCAGCACAGGCGCTGTGCCATTTCTTGTGCCAGTCCTGAGTCCCTGGCTCTGTGGGCAGTTCCTCTCCTTGGAGTTTCCAGGAAGTCCCAGCCTGGGTCAGCCTCGTGGACTTTAACAGCCGTTCTTGTGGAATCCGTCCACCACCCCTTTGTTTTTGAAAGTCCTGGCTGCGAGGCAGGCACGGCACGTGTGAGTCATCCTGCAGCCTTTGAACTTTGGCTCATTTATTTATTAGTCGGCCTCCATTTCCTCTAACTTGCCATTTTGTAAGCAAATTTTCTCTGTTTATTAATGTTTCAGTCCAAAGGTATTGCAATACTGCCTTGAGGTATTGTTTCCAGTTAATTAAAATGCTGTAGTGAGAAGGAGGAAGAATCCTAAGCTCTAATGAGCACTGTTTCAATGCCTGCTGCTGCCTGGAGGAGGTTTACCCCAGTGCTGTAGGCCTTCAATTTCATTTGCTTAAAGCCCAATCATCTTGTAACACAGAACCATACACTTTTCCTTTGCTGAGAGAGGAAGTATTCCTAGAAGCCTATCAGGGGTTATTGAGGGAATGAGAGGAATGACAAGGAAACAAAGCTGTGTGTGCATGTATGTGTGCGTTGGGGCGGGAGGGGGGACAGCAGTGGGGGGTGTTTCCCTGAATCCACTTAAAACAGTCTGTCTGTGACTTTGCTCTCTCAGCTCGCGGGGTCAAGGAAAGGCTGTGATTTGTGCACCCTGCCGCCTGGGAGCTGCAGAGATTCTCTCCGGCTGCCCGGTGTGTGGCCCAGGACCACGCTGGTGTGCAGGCTGCAGCACCCGATGGCCTTGTTTGCTTTACACTCAGTGTTGCCACAGAGCATCCTGGAACCATCAGATAAGGGAGCCATTCTCCGCTGAGCGGAAGCTGGAGCAGAGGACGGAGTTGTGTGGTGTGTCGGATGACTGCCCCCCAGTGTCCTGGTATGAGAGAGGAGTGCAAAGGGGTGTGCAGGATGCAGCCGTTGCAGCGGGAGGGGAGCCCTGGGGCGGAGGGAATTGTGTGAACAGAGGATACAGGAGGGTGGTTTTTTCAGAAGCAAAACGCCCCAGCGGCAGTTCTGGAGCGCTGCCAGGTGTCAGCTGTTTGCATTGCCCTCCGTGGTACAAACGCTGCCGCGTGGCATGTGTTCTCTGGGCGCCTGGGTACCCCAATGGTGGTCGTGGGGTCCACGCTGCATCTTGGTGCCGTGTTCTACCTCGCGGGAGCTGTGTCTGGAAGGACAAATGTCTGACCTTTGCTGGCTCCCGGGGCCGCCCGCTGGCCCACATCGCACATGTGTATAAACCTCTCAAAGGCCTCTTCCCAGGAGACTTCCCCTCTGCTGGACACAGCCAGGTATCGGGGGCTGTGAGCCGAACCTGGTGAGCCGAGCACTACGGCTGTGTAAAAATACAGTTGCTTCCACGGAAGCCCTGCAGTACCCTCTCCACGGACTCTTCACCCATGCTAACTGGTGGTGGATGTGATCCTCAAACAATTTAAACGTGGTTTGAATTTTGCCTCACTCTTATTCAGAAGGCCGTGCTGGCATTTCTGGAAATGGTGTGAGTGAGATGGGCGAGGGGGCTGGCCTGCACTCTCATGAGCGGGCGGCTGAGCATGGTGCTCTGAAGGGCATCTTCCTGAGCCTGGGTGGCTAGGGGTGATGGGGCAGGAGGAGGAGGGCTTGATATTGTGGCTGGTGGTCCCTGTAGTCTCACAGGTGCCTTCAGTGGAAGGGAATGTTGGCCCACGTGGCTGAGGCATGGTGAATCGGGGAGCGGTGGCTGGTCTGCTGGACAAGCAGGTGCTGCCAGGCTGTGACGGCATCAAGAAGTCCAGGGTTTATTTGCTCCTGTGGGACCTGAGGCATCCAAAGCTGCCCTGAACTGCCCACCTCCTGCATTGCTCTAACAACTCGCGCCCAGCCCCCAGGAGGGGAGGGCAGAAGGCAGCCCTGCTCTGAAACAGGGGTTTCAGGGGATAGTGAGGATAGTGGGGGCAACAGTATCAGGAGACTATCCTGAGGAATTAGTTTCTGAGTAAAAAGAAAAATAGAATATGTATTCTTTCTCTCCCGTCCACACCTGTCTTTGCTCAGGACAGAAAACAGGTAGAACCTGTCATTTTGGAGCCTGTACCTCACCGTAAACAAATACATTAGCATTACGGTTTTATGCCTCGTCTCTTGTGATGGGCAGGGGGACCTGGGCCCATCTGCTGTTGGCCATGTGGGACAGACTCCGTCCTCCAGGCCTGGGGGCCACACCTGCTGGACTATGGCCGTGCCTCCCTCGGGTCCAGCTGGAAGTGGCTTCGGGGCAGCTACGGTTCTACATGCCAGAGAGCCCTTGTGTGTATTTGATGGCCAAACCTTTCAGGTTTTTCTTGTGCGTTTGTGATGTTGGGGTGGGTTTAGGAGTAGATTATACAGCAGGCAGGAGGAAGTTATTTTTTACAGTCAGCAGAGGCCGAAAACTGTTTTGTTTTGCAAAACAACCCCAGGCGCTATTTTGGTTGAGGAAAGATGGTTTCAAAAGTAAAATTGTGAGACGAGAAGCTAACTTCTTCCACTTGTGGAACATCCTGTGTCAGGCATGAGAAAGGCAAGAGGGGCCCATGAGCTGAAGAGGTGGCCCAGAATGTTTCTGTGGCCAGGCAGCGGCGGAGGGCTTTTAGGGACAGGTGCCTGCTGGCCAACTCTTAGGGTGGCTGGGACATGCAGGGTGCTGTCCTGTGGCTTCCAGATGTTCTGCAAAAGTCTGGGACATATGACTGTCCTTGTGGGAGGATGCCCGGAGGAGTTTTGTTTAGTGAGCGGCATGCCATATTTGGGTTGCCAATTTGAAGACAGAAGAAGACAGCCCTGGGAGATGGGAGGCTTGAGGGCCTGAGAGGCACCTGTCCTTGAGCTTCTGCCCCTCAGGAAGACAGCACAGGGCTGTTAACTGTCACAGAGGCCCGGGTTTCCCACGTGCTGGGCTGTTATTTTCACAGCACCCAGCAAGAAAGTGTCAGCGGCTGGCTGGGTGCGGTGGCTCATGCCTGTAATCCTAGCACTTTGGGAGCCCCAGGCAGGCAGATAACCTGAGGTCAGGAGTTCAAGACTAGTGTGGCCAACACGGCGAAACCCCATCTCTACTAAAAATACAAACATTAGCCAGGTGTGGTAGTGTGCACCCATAGACCCAGCTACTTGAGAGGCTGAGGCACGAGCGTTGCTTGAACCTGGGAGGCGGAGGTTGCAGTGAGCTGAGATCACGCCGCTGCACTCCAGTCTGGGTGACAGAGTGAGACTCCATCTCAAAAAAAAATTTATAATAATAAAAAAGAAAGTGTCAGAGGCTGCTTTTTGCAGAGGAGGAAACTGAGAATGTGGGAGGCTCCCTGAGTCACTTGACCACCTGGGCAGGTAGGAGGATCAGATTCAGGATCAGAGGAAGGCTGGTTTAATGTTTCAGTAGCTTATTTTGCTTCTGGACATGATCACGTGCATGCAGTCTGTGATAAACACTGCGTCCTTGGTGAGTGAGGAAGAAGGAAGGACACCTGCTTGTGACTGAACAACGAGTGGCCTACATGTCTGTGGTGCTAACCCAAGCTGGTGGGAAAGCTGAAGCTGCTCCTGTGTCCCCAGGCAACTGCGTCTGTCCAGCACTGGCAAGGCTGGGGAGTGGAGGCCGGGGAAGAGGAACGACGGAGGTTCTCAGCGCGCTTCCCCAGATGCTCCCACCAGCATCTGGGTCTGCAGCAAGGAAAGATGGTTCTCCAGGGCCCACTGCAAAGTCCCTGTAAATCTCTCTCTTTTTTTTTTTTTTTTTTTTTGGGATGGAGTCTCGCTCTGTCACCCAGGCTGGAGTGCAGTGGCACGAGCTTGGCTCACTGCAACCTCCTCCACCCAGGTTCAAGTCATTCTCCTGCCTCAGCTTCCCAAGTAGCTGGGACTACAGGTGTGCACCATCAAGACCAGCTAATTTTTGTATTTTTAGTAGATACGAGGTTTCACCCTGTTGGCCAGGCTGGTCCTGAATTCCTGACCTCAAGTGATCCACCCACCTTGTCCTCCCAAAGTGTTGGGATTACAGGTGTAAGCCACCACACCTGGTCAAAGTCTTTGTAAATCTCAAGAGCCTCTGGAGGCCCCGCTACCTCTCAGCTGACAGCACTGAGGGGGTGGTTACTGAGGAACTCACTTGGAAGGCCCTGGACCCATATGTGCTCACACCTGCCTGCAAACCACCTCCAGATAATAATAGCAAACCTCTCTTTGCTCACATCTTTAGGCTGGATCAGCAGCGCCTCCTGTTGGTGGGCACTAGCTTGGCGCATATGAAGAGGGCCAGGAGAGGCAGGTCTGGCTTGCCAGGCAGTGGGGCCACTGCAGGGTGTTGGCCATGCCCAGTTTATAACAGATGAGGCAGAGATGGAGCAGTTCAGCTGCCCTGGGCCTCCTTTGTAGTGGTGTCAGGACAATCTGCTCTTCCCAGGGACACATTCATGCTGTAGACCAGGGGTCGGCAAATCTTTTTTACAAAGGGCCAGATAGAAAATAGTTGTCTTGGCCAACCAGCTGACCAGATAGTTCCTGTCGCATATTCCTTAAAAAAAAAAATAAACAAAGCTGTAACAACCATTCTTAGCTGACTGGCCACACACACTCAGGCCAAGGGTTGGGTTTAGCCAGTGGCTATTGTTTGCCGCCTCCTGATTCGGGCCTTTATCCTGGTTGTGGTTCAGGTGGGCCAGCCTGGGAGCCCTTCCATCTGCTTCCCTCTGCTCTGCCATGCCGAGGCCAGAGAGGATGCACATTTGTCTTTCCTCACTAGCTTCTTGTGGGCATCTTGAGGCCAGGGCCTCTGGGATGTGCAGGTAACTCCAGGGATGACCTTTCGCACCTCCTGGAGTGTGCAGTGTTCCCGTGACAGCTGCACCCAGATGCCCTACTCAGTTGCCTGAGTGTCTCCTCCATGGACAGGCAATGGTCTTTTCTACTTTTATAGTCAAAACTTAAAAAGTGAGTATTAGTTTTAGAGATGGAACTAAGTGAGTGCTGCTAAAAAAGAAGGTCATTTTCCTTTTATCTTTGCACATAAGTCCATTCAAATTGCAAGTAAATGCATGCTTGTGGGTGAACAAGAGTGAATTTGGAGTCTATTATGACAATCTGTGAAGGGATCATAAAAAGAATAATTAGAATGTCAGCTCATAGGGGGCCCCCTGTTTTCCAGCCTTTTGAGACTTAGTAATGCAATAATTGTATCGTAGGGCTGGACATGGTGGCTCATGCCTGTAAGCCTAGCATTTTGGGAGGCCAAGGCGGGCAGATGACTTGAGGTCAAGAGTTTGAGGCCAGACTGGCCAATGTGGTGAAACCCCGTCTCTATTGAAAATACAAAAATTAGCCGGACGTGGTGGTGCATGCCTGTAGTCCCAGCTACTTGGGAGGCTGAGGCAGGAGAATGACTTGAACCTGGGAGGTAGAGGTTGCAGTGAGCCAAGATCGCACCACTGCACTCCAGCCTGGGCAACAGAGTGAAATCTCATCTCAATTAAAAAACAAAATTGTACTGTGTATCCACTCCAGGCTGGCCCTGGGGTGGGTGTTGGGGAACCCACCATATAGAGATGTTAGAGCTCCTATACTCCAGGCAGTAAAAACCATCTTGAGAAAAGGCAGCTAATGACCCCAGGCTGCAAGTGACCACAGCCCCAGGTGAGCAGGCATGAGAGTGAACAACCTGAACACCGCTCCATGAAGAGGGATCCCCTTTGAGGTTGCATCAGTTATGAGGCTCCAGGAAAGTATAGACCTGGAAAAACCACAGACTGCAGCACATTCTCAAGCCTGGAACTGCTCCAGGAAGAATCTGCCACTGGTTGTCCAGCAAGATGCAATGCTAACACTGAAGCTGTGTCGGGCTGTGCTTCCCTTCAGCAGAAGGACAGCTTTCTCTTTCCCTCCCAACCTGCTGACATCTTTTAAGTACCTCTAGTGATGTGATTGAGGACTGGGCTGCAGTCGTCGGTATCAAGGACTCCTAGGTGTTTGCCTGAGCTGCCCCACGCAGCCTCCTCTGCTTGTTGGCTGTCCTGATTCTCTAAAGGGAAGAGGCTGCTGTCCTGGCACGAGCCACCGCTGGCTGTAATGCAGGCTGAGTCTCACCAGCTTGGTGAAAGCGACCACAGGGAGTTGGTACTTCAGTCATCTTGGCTACAGGGCAAATAGAGAAGGAAAGGAAAGAAAATGTGTGAACCTGGGTTGCTTACTTAACTTCTTGGATTGCGTGTCTCATCTGCAACATGGGTAAATAAAACCTAGTCTAGAGGGTAGGTAATGCATGAAAGTGCTGAGCATGGGGCCTGGGTGGTGACCACCACCAGGATATGCAGTCCTGTGTGCATACAAAACCTGCAATTGGTCAAGAGTCTGGTTCCTGTGGTGTAGATGGAGCAAACACTACTGCTCAACACCAGGCTGAGCCGCAGGGAGCCTCTGGGGCCTGCAGGTGTAGGGTGGGAGGCTGCGGGCTGGCAGAATCCTTCAAGCACTGAGGCAAGTTAAGAGGAGCTGGGAAAACCCAGCAGTGAACTGGGAGCCAAAGGACTCCTGGAAAGGGAAGTCTTAGGTTGGTGTAAAAGTAATCGCGGTTGGCCATTACTTTTTAAAAAAATGGCAAAAACTGCATTACTTTTGTACCAACCTAATAGTACTTTTTGAGAATCTGTCAAATATTGGCTTTATCCTCATCTTGCACATCATCGGTACCCCCAGGGTGATGTGGCAAAGAGACATCACAGAGGCAAAGAAGAGTGAGAATGTGTGCACTATCTCTATAGCTCTGGCAGTGCCGGGTGACATTCCCATGTGGAGAAGCAGCCCACGGGTGTGTCTGCTGAGAGCGCGTGTGTGCTTCTGCACATTCACCCAATACACAAACGTCCACACACAGTGTTAGTCCACTTGTGTTGCTACAAAGGCATACCTGAGGCTGGGCAATTGATGAAGAAAAGAGGCAAACTCCACACACAGTCTTAGTCTACTTGTATTGCTACAAAGGCATACCTGAGGCTGAGCAATGGATAAAGAAAAGAGGTTTGTGTGGCTTGTAGTTCTGCAAGCTGTACGAGAAGTATGGTGCTGACATTTGCTTCAGAGGAGGACCTCAGGCTGCTTCCATGCATGGTGGAAGCGGAATGGGAGCTGGTGTGTGCAGAGATCACATGGCTAGGGAGGAAGCCAAAGAAGGGGAGGTAGTGCCAGGCTTTTTTTCTTAAAACACCCACCTTTCTCTGGAACTAATACAGCAAGAAGTCACTCACCTCCAATGGAGAGCATTAATCTACTCACGAGGAGTCTGACCCCCTGACCCAAACACCTCCCACTGGGCTCCACCCTAACATTGGGGATCAAATTTCAACATGAGCTTTATTTATCTTATTTGTTTATTTATCTATTTAAGACAGAGTCTCACTCGATTGCCAGGCTGGAGTGCAGTGGCATGATCTCAGCTCACTGCAACCTCTGTCTCCTGGGTTCAAGCAATTCTCCTACCTCAGCATCCCAAGTAGCTGGGACTATAGGCACCTGCTACTATGCCCAGTTAATGTTTTTTGTATTCTTAGTGGAGATGGGGTTTCACCATGTTGGCCAGGCTGGTCTCGAACTCCTGACCTCAAGTTATCTGCCCGCTTTGGCCTCCCAAAGTGCTGGGATTACAGGCGAGAGCTACCCCGCCTGGCCTAACATGAGCTTTAGAGGGCACGGATACCCAAACTGCAGCACATACACGTGGCTTTCCACTGAGGTCTGCGACTAGATGGTGCTTGGGGTTTTTAGCTGCCTGAGGTTCCTCTTTATTTTAATGTCCACACAAAATAACTTGAATGTGTGTTTTAAAAATGACCTAAGCCAGCTTAGTCTTTCAAAGTTATTTGTGTTTTTTTTTCATTGTTAGTATCAATAGCTGGAGCTTGGTAAGGCTTACAGTACCTCCTGACATCCTCACAACCGGTTGTGAAGCAAGTCTCAGACCGGATTCTGTCCCACAAGCACACCATCTACAGAGCATGGAAAGTTCATCCAAGACAAACAGGACTGGAATCATTTAATGGGGTCAGACAACCCTGGACGCTCCAGACCAGGGCCTGGGAGTCACCCGGGACAACATTCATGGGCATTCAGGCCACTGGAGTCACAGCACTCTTATGTTCTACGCATGCAAATGAGAGACTGCTGCCATCGCATTTCTAGCCAATTTACATCTCTTAAATACAATTTCGCATGTCTGACCTCATGCATGAAAATGATGTGCTCACATCTATTTTACTAATCTCAAAGCCACCAGTGTGGATCTGCCACAGGGAGAGCTGACGCCCTCACGGAAGCTGCCTCTGGAGGGAGCAGAGGCTGTTGCTCTCCCAACAGGACAGCGGTGGCCCCCGGGGCTGGAAGTATTTAGAGCGTATTCCAGACCAGGCGACAGTCCTATCGCATAAGACGCATAAGACGGAAAGTCCTGCCCTTGCCCCAGGGTGCCTGAGGATGTGGGGAGAGTCTGCATACCCTGACACTGTTTTCCTGCTCTCATCCGAGACACAGCCGACATCCTGGCTGTTCACCTCTTTCTCCTGCAGCTGCACTTCAGGCTGCCAAGCTCTCTGAGAAATGATCCTTCAGGTATGGTGTGGTCTGTCTGTTGATTCCCCAAAGCCTGAAACTCAAGAAGTGGGGGTTTGTTTACCTGATGCTATTGAACATTTGTATCAAGGAAAATTTCAGTGTAAACAAACAAACAACAAAAGCAAATATAAAACGGAGCCCAGCTCTCCATCCTAGTAAGGTCCACTGGACGTGTGCCAGCACACAGAGCCTTTAGGGGCCTGGGCCTCCTCTCCTCTCCTCCTAGACCTGGCCAGCACAGACCAGCTCAGCATGTTTACACACCCTTCCTCCAAACCCTCTTTTCCTCAAGTTCCAGCTTCTTCCAGTGGAGAGAATTGAAAATCCATTGACATGAAAAAGTTCGCCCCTCAGAGCTGGACTCACCTGTAAGGACACAGCCTTGTATTTTTCCACAGAATAATTACAGTGTTCCATCTTGAATTTGAGTCGATCCTCCAATGGTGGGGCAGCCCCCTGTGGGTGATACATGGTCACATTGAATCCTCCCTGGGTCTCCAAATGCCTCTCTCAGAAGGACAATGTCGACATCTACCCTCAGGACCACAGGAAGGAAAGTTCTGGTAATTTTAGAGTGACCATTTTGACTTAGAGTCAACCTCCGATGTTCAGAAACGTTGAGGCTCAGTCTCAAAATAAATAAGACACATTCAGTTAGAGCCATGCGGCATCATGCCCCACAATGCCGGGAGTCCCTTTGTGGTTGACTTCTCTTCTGGGCCCAGCTGCCCATTCTCAAATGGGAGAAGAGGAAGCATCTTCTCATGATGGGGATGGTGGGCAATAGGAGGCTGCTGTAGTGATCCTAGAGCTGCTGTGCAGCGAGAACTGTGGATCTTAGTGCCTTATCTCTCGTGGTCTCTGCTGGGCAGGAATTTGGGAAGGGCTCAGCTGGGCGGTCTGACTCAGGGCCTTCCAAGTGGTTCCAGCTGGAGCTGTATGGGAGCGGGATGGAGCAGCTGGGGGCCAGCCAGGCATCTCTACATATAGCCTCAAGGCCGCTCAGTGTGGTCTTTCCACATGGACGCATTTGGGCTTCCTCTCAGCATGGCGGCTTCAGGGAAGCCAGAAAGCTACTAACAGCCAGGCAGAAGCCATGTTGTCCTCAATGACTGGCCTCAGAAGTCCACAGCAGTCTTCACCAGAGCCACCAGCCATCTCTTTAAGGCAGAAGTATCAAAATCACATTGTCAAAAGAGCATGCGGGAGATGTTGTGGCCAGGTGGGAAAATTCCATTTGCCTTAGTGGGGAAACAGCAGGCAGCCCTTCCCAAGAGGTGGGGAGGAAGGGGAGTCCCTGTGTTCTTGGTATTTTGGCCTAATGTCCCCAGAGCAGTTTGACAAAGTAGGCATCAACTAGTCAATATGTCTCCAGAATTTTGGCACCATCTTTGATGTCTCAGAACTGTCCCCACTACCTCCAAGTGGCACTGCACCACCTCCAGGCTTGTGTCAGATTCAGCTCAAGCATCTTCAGAACCCCCAGGTGTTAACTGTCCCTGCTCACCCCAAATATTTAATCCGCTTTGCTACAACACTGGCCCATATTACATCACTGAGGTTTCTGGAACACACTCGTTGTATGATGGAGGGTTTTCCTGAAACATTTTTTTTTTTTTTTGGCAGAGTCTCCCTCTGTCGCCCAGGCTGGAGTGCAGTGGTGTGATCTCAGCTCACTGCAACCTCTGCCTCCCGGGTTCAAGCAATTCTCCTGCCTCAGCCTCCCGAGTAGCTGGGACTACACGCTGCCACGCCTGATTAAGTTTTTTTGTATTTTAGTAGAGATGGGGTTTCACCGAGTTGCCCAGGCTGGTCGCAAACTTCTGAGCTCAGGCAATCTGCCCGCCTCGGCCTCCCAAAGTGAAGTCTGGTGTTTTAGAGTGCTTATAGTTTATACTCTTACATTATCTCAACAAAGTCATAGAAAGATAACTAAAAAACAACCTGTTATCTGTGCATCTATTTTCAATTAGTGGATGCACAAACCTTTTCTTGATGCCTTTAATGAGAAAAATGAAAAAACATTACATAAAAAGTTGGGGTTTTATTAAATCAGAGATACTATCCATATAGACTGTGAAATACTTTGCTAATCGATCAATTAATATCAGGTTTCTATTGAAACAACTGTGTATGAGCACTCAGACTAGACAATCAATTATGCACTTATTGGTACAAAGTGTAAATACACAATGTAAACATAGTGCATTTAGTTCTTCATTTCATGCAACACAAAAAAGATGCAAGTGCTGGGTTCAAGGAGCATAGGGGCCAGGGAGGAAAATTAGACCACTCAGGGATGGTGCACAAACTGACTGGCTAGTTGTGAAAGTCTGAAGATCAATACTTCAGTACATGTCTGCAGCAGCAACACTAAATGAGCCCATGCAAGTTTTGCCCGACCCCATGCTTCTTCCCGTCGGTGGTCATCACTTTGGACTAGCTTATAAGTTTGCATGTGATCAGCATGCCTACTGTCAGAGCATTGTCAGAGGGTCTTTTCCATGCTACCCCTGCTCTCCTGACCCTTCTACTCCCTCTCTTCTTTTTCTGTCATAGCTGATTAGAACCACTATACTCTCTCCCTTAGGATTGCCAGTCTCAAGGCTTGGGGATGAATTATCATTTAGTCATTGAACTGCAATTGCAATTACACCTAACTGGCAAGCTCAGAGAGGAGCCAAAGAAGGAGGTGGGTGAACAGAAAGTCATGGCAGGTCGATGGCCACTTTGAACCCTGTGCAAGCTTATGCATCAAGGTGGAATAGCCAGAGGGAGTAGATGCTTGGAAAGAAGCAGGGGAGAGAGAGAAAATGTAACCCCTGAGACATGGAAGGCATGACCCCAATTACCAAAGACTTTATAGTTATATTCTGGCTCAGTCCTGCAGCATTTTTGATTCTTAGAGCACCAGTACCTCCAACTCCCTAGCCCCCACCTCCCTTAAGTTCTTCTGGTTCTTGAAATCCAAAGATATTGACTAGAACCAAATGCTAATGCAGCGTTTTCCCCTCTGACTTTTCTGGGTGTAATTGTCTCATCTCAACCTCATCGTGCTTGGATCAGTCAGTGGGAGCAGCTGGGTAAGTGGTCCACACGCACGAGGTATCCAGGCCCTGATGTTCCTAAGTCTTTGAGCCACACAGTGGGCTCCACTGGCGCTGATTCCACAGGTTGTGAAACGTGATGATGCTTCTCGGTCCAGGGATTTTCCTCCATCGTGCTGGGTGTTCTACAGGCCCTTTCAATCTGGAGATTCATCTCTCATTACAGGAAATGTTCTTACATCAGTTCTTTCCTCCTTTTCTATTTTTTTGCACCACATAGGGTTTACTTTTCTCGCACAGATGATTGCAATGTGAGGTCCTGAGGGGCAGTGGCCATTGTGTCACCAGTGTCTCAGCTCTCTTCTATCCTTTGTCTTCTCTTCTGCCTTCCCCCTCATGGTCTCTTCTGATCAAAAAATGACCTCTGCATCCCAGCCCAACCCCTGTGTCAGGGAAGCAGGAGGAAGGGGCAAGGAGTAAATATAATAGAACCTCTGGTAGACTTTGATAGAAGTCCCATTGGCTAACACTGTGGGGCAGGGCCACCTGGGGGCTGCAAGAGAGGCTGGGAAATGTAGTTCTGTAATTACAAATAGCGCTGCCCTCTAAGAAAGAAGAGACTTACTTGTTAATAAAGAAGAAGAGGCCAGGAGCGGAGGCTCACGCCTGTAATCCCAGCACTTTGGGAGGCCGAGATGGGCGGATCACGAGGTCAGGATTTCGAGACCAACATGGCCAAGATGGTGAAACCCTGTCTATACTAAAAATACAAAAATTAGCTGAATGTGGTGGCGGGCGCCTGTAATCCCAGCTGTTCAGGAGGCTGAGGCAGAGACTCACTTGAACCCAGGAGGCAGAAGTTGCAGTGAGCCGAGATCACGCCACTGCATTTCAGCCTGGGCGAAAGAATGAGGCTCCATCTCAAAAAAAAAAAAAAGAAAGAAAGAAAGAGAGAATGAATAGTGGGGAGACAGCAGGGAGTGTCTGCTCCAGTCTCGTCTTGTTCATCTTGAAGAATGATGCTACCTCCTTATTTTCCCAACAGGATATCTAATATGAATGGCCACTTATTAAGTACCTATTATAAATTAGAAAGGTCATCAGATCCTTCATATTCACTTTTTCCTTCAATCTTTGCAATAACCCTGAAGGTAGAGTATTACCATCCACATTTTACAGATAAAGACATGGAGGCTGAGACATGTGTCTTGTCCAAGGCTTCACACAGGCCTTGGACTAGGTGACTAGGTGACCAGTCTAAATTGTAACCCTAGGTCTAAATTGTAACCCTGATCCCTCTGTCCCTAAAATATAACTTTCTGCTATAACTCAATATATGTCTTGATTATTACCTCAGAGGAAGGGCTGATTCGAAGAGATTTTCACGTCAAAAATTCCTTGTCCAAATCCAGCATCCATTGTAATCTGCTTATGTTCCTCTGCTTCTTTGTTTCACGGGTCAACTCATTGATATAAACAATCTGGTATCCAGTCTCAGATGGCCATCTGCTTTATTTTTGATTCTGAAAACAGTTTCGTAGCAAGAGTCCTATAAACACAAGTGCTGGAAAACTCACTTTTCTTTCTTGGGGTCCAGGGAAGCCTGAATTTTAAGGAAATGGATCACTCAAGATTCTTAGTTCCAAGCAAGATGAATGGGCTGAGTTCTCCTTCATGTGATTTTTCTCAGCCTCCCAGGTAGCTCTCTTCACACCAGTGTTGGGACCCAGCCCTTCATGAACCTTCTGCTAAGGCCAAGCCTTGGTGCTTTTCAGCTCAGATGAAGAGATAAATAGGGCGAGGGATGGGGGAAGGGACGCGGAGCTTCCATGCCCTGCCTGGATGCCCCACCCTCCACGAACCTCAGCTGTTCGCAAGCCCTTCTTTTTTCTCTGTTCTTTCTTCCTGAAGCTCTTATTAATTAGATGTTGGGCCCACATAACTGATTCTCTTATTTTATTTTTTCCCTCTTACTTGGCACACATTTGATTTACTGTTCTGTAGACATATCCTTTGGTTTACTTTCTGGTAGATGTCCATGATTTTTATCTTTCAATGTTTCTATTGAAATGTTTTTTTTTTCAGCAGTCATAATTTGAATTTTCAGAAGCTCTTTTCAATATCTAATTGTTCTCTTTTATACTACTCTTTCTTGACTTACGGATGTAGCATCTCCTATTTCTCTGAAGATGTTAATGACAATTTTTCTGAGGTAGTGTTTTGCTTCTTGTCTTGTTTCTATTTTCTCTGGTTTGTTCTGCCTGCCTTCCCTTCCCTGGCCTTTCTTTCAACTTTCTCTTTCCTCTTTCATATTGGAAGCCTTCCTTAAATGTTTGGGAAATACTTATCTATTCATGTTAAAGAGAGAGTGCCCAAAAAGCTGACTTTTTGCAACTGTTGTTAACAAGAAGGGGTAGGTTATGCCACCTGGGGCTGCACTGCACAGAGGTGGCATGGCATGCTAGTTTTCTGTACATATGTGCAGGTAGAAACCCATATGCCACTCTTGTTCCACAAAGCTGAATATGCCAATAGCTAGCCAGGGACAAGTCTTACTGTTCCCAGTCACGGAGCAGAGTAGAGGGCGGTGGGGGGCGGATCCTACAGCAAAGGGCCGGGAGGGGTCAGGGAGTCAGGCTGCCAGGATGGAGAAGGGCCCTGGTGCTTTGTCTAACACTGTGATCCAGCGCCCTTCCACTAAGCCTTCCAAGAGCCTTTGTGCTTCAAATTTCTGAAGCTTTCTGGTATTTTGTGGTGCATTTGACTCACCTTAAAAAATAATTATTTTTAATTGACACATAATAATTGTACATATTTATGGAGTAAAGTATGATTTTTTCATTAGTTTTACTTAGTATCTATTTACCATGGTCTTTGATCCCTCACACCCCACCCTTTCCCCTGAGTCCTCAAAGTCCATTGTGTCATTCTTAATGCCTTTGTGACCTTGTAGCTTAGCTCCCAGTTATGAGTGAGAATAGATGATGTTTGGTTTTCCATTCCTGAGTTACTTCACTTAGAATAATGGTCTCCAATCCTACCCATGTTGCTGCAAATGCCATGATTTGATTCCTTTTTATGGATGAGTAGTATTCCATGGTGTATGTATATACCACATTTTCTTTATTCACTGGTTGACTGATGGGCATTTGGGCTGGTTCCATATTTTTGCAATGCGAATTGTGCTGCTATAAACATGTGTGTGCAAGTATCTTTTTTGTATAATGAGTTATTTTCCTCTGGGTGGATACCCAGGAGTGGGATTGCTGGATCAAATGATAGATCACCTTTTAGCTCTTCAAGGAGTCTCCACACTGTTTTCCACAGTGGTTGTACTAGTTTACATTTCCACCAACAGTGTAAAAGTGTTCCCTTTTCACCACATCCATGCCAACATCTAGTATTTTTTTTTATTATGGCCATTCTTGCAGGAGTAAGGTGGTATTGCATTGTGGCTTTGATTTGCATTTCCCTGATCATTAGTCATGTTGAGCATTTTTTCATATGTTTGCTGGCCATTTGTAAATCTTCTTCTGAGAATTGTCTATTCATTTCCTTAGCCCACTTTTTGATGAAATTGTTTGTTTTTTCTTGCTGATTTGTTTGAGTTCCTTGTAGATTCTGGATATTAGTCCTTTGTCAGATGTATAGATTGTGAAGATTTTCTCCCACTCTGTGAGTTGTCTGTTTACTCTGCTGATTATTTCTTTTGCTGTGCAGAAGCTTTTTAGTTTTATTAAGTCCCATCAATTTATCTTTGTTTTTGTTGCATTTGCTTTTGGGTTCTTGGTCATGGATTCTTTGCCTAAGCCAATGTCTAGAAGGGTTTTTCCATTGTTATCGTCTATAATTTTTATGGTTTCAGGTCTTAGATTTAAGTCTTTGATCCATCTTGAGTTGATTTTTGTATAAGGTGAGAGATGAGGATCCAGTTTTATTCTTCTACATGTGGTTTGCCAATTATCCCAGCACTATTTGGTGAATAGGGTGTCCTTTTTCCACTTTATGTTTTTGTTTGCTTTATTTAAGATCAATTGGCTGTTAAGTATTTGGCTTTATTTCTGGGTCTTCTATTCTGTTCCATTGGTCTATATGCCAGTTTTTACACCAGTACCATGCTGTTTGGTGACTGTGGCCTTATAATAGATTTTAAAGTCAGACAATGTGATGCCCTTAGATTTGTTCTTTTTGCTTAGTCTTGCTTTGGCTATGCAGCCTCTTTTTTGGTTCCATATGAATTTTAGGATGTGTTTTTTCTAGTTCTGTAAAGAATGACGGTGGCATTTTGATGGGAATTGCATGGAATTTGTAGATTGCTTTTGGCAGTATGGTCATTTTTACAATATTGATTCTACCCATCTGTGAGCATGGAATGTGTTTACATTTGTTTGTGTCAGCCAAAATTTCTTTCAGCAGTGTTTTGTAGTTTCCCTTGTAGAAGTCTATCACCTCCTTGGTCAAGTATATTCTTAGTACTTTATTTTATTTTATTTTTTGCAGCTATTGTAAAAGAGGTTGAGTTCTTGATTTGGTTATCAGCTTGGTTGCTGTTGGGTACAGCAGGGCTACTGATTTGTGTACATTAATTTTGTGTCCTGAAACTGCTGAATTTATTTAGCAGTTCTAGGAACTTTCTGGATGAGTCTTTAGGGTTTCCTAGGTATATGCTCATGCCATCAGCAAACAGTGACAGTTTGACTTCCTCTTTACCAATTTGGATACCCTTTATTTCTTTCTCTTGTCTGATTGGTTGCTCTGGCTAGGACTTCCAGTACTATGTTGAATAGAAGTGGTGAAAGTGGGCATCCTTGTCTTGTTCCAGTTCTCAGGGGGAGTGCTTTCAACTTTTCCTCATTCAGTATAATATTGGCTGTGGGTTTGTCATAGATGGCTTTTATTACCTTAAGGTATGTCCCTTCTATACCAATTTTGCTGATGGTATTAATCATAAAGGAATGCTGGATTTTGTCAAATGCTTTTTCTGTGTCTATTGAGATGATCATGTAATTTTTGGTCTTAATTCTGTTTATGTGGTGTATCACATTTATTGACTTACGTATGTTAAATCATCCCTGCATCCCTGGTGTAAAACCCATTTGATCATGGTGGATTATCTTTTTGATATGCTGTTGGGTTCAGTAAGGTAGTATTTTGTTGAGGATTTTTGCATCTATGTTCATCAGGGATATTGGTCTATAGTTTTCTTTTTTTGTTATGTCCTTCCTTGGTTTTGGTATTAGGGTGATACTGGCTTCATAGAATGATTTAGGAAGGATTCCTTCTTCCTCTATCTTGTGAAATAATGTCAATAGAATTGGTGCCAATTCTTCTTTGAATATCTGATATAGTTCAGCTGTGAATCTTTCTGGTCTTGGACTTTTTTTTTGTTGGCACTTTTTAAATGTACCATTTCAATCTCACTGCTTGTTATTGGTCTATTCAGAGTTTTTATTTTTTCCTGATTTAGTCTAGGAGGCTTGTATATTTCCAGGAATTTATCCATCTCCTCTAGATTTTCTAGTTTGCATGCATAAAGGTGTTCATTGTAGCCTTGAATTATCTTGTATTTCTGTGATGTTCATTGTAATATCTTCCATTTCATTTCTTATTGAGCTTATTTCAATCTTCTCTCTTCTTGGTTAATCTCACTAATGGTCTATCAATTTTGTTTATCTTTTCAAAGAACCAGCTTTTTGTTTCATTTATCTTTTGTATTGTGTGTGTGTGTGTGTGTTTCAATTTCATTTAGTTCTGCTCTGACGTTGATTATTGTTTTTCTGCTGCTGGGTTTGCATTTGGTTTGTTCTTGTTTCTCTAGTTCCTTGAGGTGTGACTTTAGATTCTTTATTTGTGCTCTTTCAGACTTTTTTTTTTTGAGACTGAGTTTCACTCTTGTTGCCCAGGCTGGAGTGCAATGGTGTGATCTTGGCTCACTACAACCTCTGCCTCCCAGGTTCAAGCAATTCTCCTGCCTCAGCCTCCTGAATAGCTGAGATTGCAGGCATGCACCACCATGCCTGGCTGATTTTTTTTTGTATTTTTAGTAGAGATGGGGTTTCTTCATGTTGAGGCTGGTCTCGAACTCCTGACCTCAGGTGATCTGCCCACCTCGGCCTCCCAAAGTGCTGGGATTACAAGCGTGAGCCACCGTGCCCAACCTCTTTCAGACTTTTTGATGTAGGCATTTAATGCCATGAACTTTCCTCTTAGCACTGAATTTGCTGTATCCCAGAGGTTTTGATAGGTTGTATCACTATCATCATTCTACACAAAGAATCTTTAAATTTCCATCTTGATGTCATTGTTGACCCAATGATCATTCAGGAGCAGGTTATTTAATTTCCATGTATTTGCATGGTTTTGAGAGTTACTTTTGGAGTTGATTTTCAATTTTATTCCACTGTGGTCTGGGAGAGTACTTGCTATAGTTCTGGTTTTCTTAAATTTGTTGAGACTTGTTTTGTGGCCTATCTTATGGTCTATCTTGGAGAATGTTCCATGTCCTGATGAATGGAATGTATATTCTGCAGTTGCTGGGTAGAATGTTCTGTAAATACCTGTTAAGTCCATTTGTTCTAGGGTATAGTTTAAGTCCATTGTTTCTTCGTCAACTTTCTGTCTTGATGACCTGTTTAGTGCTGTCAGTGCAGTATTAAAATCCCCCACTATTACTGTGTTGCTGTCTATCTCATTTCTCAGGTCTAGAAGTAATTGTTTTATAAATTTGGGAGCTCCGGTGTTAGCTGCATATATATTTAGGATTGTGATATTTTCCTGTTGGACTAGTCCTTTTATCATTATATAATGTCCCTCTTTGTGTTTTTTAACTGCCGTTGCTTTAAAGGTCGTTTTGCCTGATGTAAGAATAGTTACTCCTGCTCTATTTTGGTGTCCATCATGGAATATCTTGTTCCACCCCTTTACCTTAAGTTTATGTGAGTCCTTATGTGTCAGGTGAGTCTCTTGAAGACAGCAGATACCTGGTTGGTGAATTCTTATCTATTCTGCCATTCTGTATCTTTTAAATGGAGCATTTAGGCCATTTACATCCAATGTTAGTATTGAGATGTGAGGTACTGTTCTATTCATTGTGTTATTTGTCGCCTGAATACCTTAGTTTTTTTTTTTTTCATTGTGTTGTTGTTTTATAGGTTCTGTGAGATGTATGCTTTCAGAAGATTCTATTTTGGTGTATTTGGAGGATTTGTTTCAAGATTTAGGGCTTTTTTTTTTAGCAGTTCTTGTAGTGCTGGCTAGGTAGTGGCAAATTCTTTCACCATTTGTCTGAAAAGGACTGTATCCTCCCTTCATTTAGGAAGCTTGGTTTTGCTGGATACACAATTCTTGACTGATAATGTTTTGTTTAAGGAGGCTAAAGATAGGACCCCAATCCCTTCTAGTTTATAGGATTTCTGCAAGAAATCTACTGTTAATCTGATAGGTTTTCTTTTATAGGTTACCTGATGTTTTTGCCTCACAGCTCTTGAGATTCTTTCCTTTGTCTTGACTTTGGATAGCCTGATGACTATGTGCCTAGGCAATGATATTTTTGTGATGAATTTCCCAGATGTTCTTTCAGCTCCTTCTATTTGGATGTCTGGATCTCTAGCAAGGCCAGGGAAGTTTTCCTTGATTTTTCCCTAAAATGTGTTTTCCAAACTTTTAGGTTTCTCTTCTTGCTTAAGAACACCAATTATTCTTAGGTTTGGTCATTTAACATAATCTCAAACTTCTTGGTGGCTTTGTTCATTTTTTAAAATTATTTTTTCTTTGTCTTTATTGGATTGAATTAATTCAAAATCCTTGTTTTCAAACTCTGAAATTCTTTCTTCTACTTGTTTGATTCTATTGCTAAGACTTTCCAGTGCATTTTGCAATTCTCTAAGTGTGTCCTTCATTTCCAGAAGTTGGGATTGTTTTTTATTTAGGCTATTTCACTAGAGATCTTTCCATTCATATCCTGTATCATTTCTTTTTTTTGATTTCTCAAATTTGGACTTTACATTTTTCTGGTACCTCCTTGATTGGCTTAATAGTTGGCCTTCTGAATTCTTTTTCTGGCAATTGAGATTTCATCTTGGTTTGGATCCATTGCTGGTGAGCTAGTGTGATCTTTTTGGGGTGTTAAAGAACCTTGTTTTGTCATATTACTACAATTGTTTTTCTGTTTCCTTCTAATTTGGGTAGATTGTGTCAGAGGGAATATCTGGGCCTCAAGGGCTGCTGTTCAGATTCTTTTGTCCCACAGGGTGCTCCTTTGATGTGGTGCACTCCCCTTTCCCCTAGGGATGGGGCTTCCTGAGAGCCTAATTGCAGTGATTGTTATTTCTCTTCTGGATCTAGCTACCCATTGGAGCTACTGGGCTCTGGGCTGGTACTGGGTAGTGTCTGCAAAGAGTCCTGTGATGTGATCCATCTTCAGGTCTCTCAGTCATGGATACCAGCACCTGCTCTGGTGGAGGCAGCAGGGGAGTGAAGTGGACTGTGTAAGGGTCCTTGGTTGTATTTTAGTTAAGTGTGCTGGTTTTGTGTTGGCTGGCCTTCAGCCAAGAGATGATGCTTTCAAGAGCACCTCAGCTGCTGTCATATAGGGAGGATCAGGTGGTGGGCAGGGCCATAGAGCTCCAAAGAGATTAATGTCCTTTGTCTTTGACTACCGGGGTGGGTGTAGAACTATCAGGTGGAGGCAGGGTTAGGTGGGTCTGAGCTCAGACTCTCCTTGGGTGGGGCTTGCTGAGGCTGCTGTAGGGGATGGGAGTGTGGTTCCCAAAAGATAAGTGTGTGAGGTAATACGTATGTTAATTAGCTTGATCTAGGCATTCAATGTCTACATATTTCAAACCATCATATTGTACTTTATACATAGGCACAATTTTTATTTGTCAAGTTTTAAAAAGCTAAAAATCCGAGGGGGGGTTACAGCTGCCTCTGCTGTGTTATACATGTTACCAGGGAGATAGGGGAAAGCTGGCAGCCACAGGCCTTGCCAAGCTCCCAAAAGGCTGGTCTCACTCTCACTGTGCCCCTCCAACAACACTGAGTTTATTTCCAGGCACCCAGTGAGCAGGGCTGAGAACTTGCCCCAGGCTACAAGCCTCCCAGCTGAGAAAGCAAGCAGACTTACACTTCCTCGGCTGTCCGGCGGAGCCCGAAGCAGCAATCCACCTCCTTCAAAGGGTCTGTGGATTCTCTCGGCTTTTTTGGTATGTTTCTGCAGTAGTTCTTGGAGCAAAAGTTTACAATGTGGGTCTCCACACACTGCCCTGTCCAGCCAAGTAGGAGCTGCAAGTTAGTCCTGCCTCCTATCCACCATTTTTCTTCTACTCCAGTGTGATATTTTGATACTTGTATACAATGTGCAATGATCAAATCGGGGTAATTAGCATATCCATCAAACATTTATTTTTTGAGTGTGTGTTGAAAACATTCAAAATCTGCTCACCTAGCTATTTGAAAATGTGCATAAGCTGCTGTTTATTGTAGTCACCCCACAGTGCTGTAGAACCCTAGAACTTGTTCCTCCACCCTAGCTGTGCTTTTAGATCCATTAATCAGCCTCTTCATTTGGCTCACTTCATCAGAGTCCTCTGCAGGATTATGGCTTGTGACTTCATCTAACTTGCTAGTCAGTTACTACTTTTGCTTTAATTTTTTAAAAATAGCTTTATTGAGATATAATTGATATATAATGATGTACATACTTAAAGGGTACAATCTGAAAAATTTTGACATAGATAAACCATAAAACCATCAGCACAATCAAGCTCTCTCGTTTGCTAACTGTATCCTACTAAGTGACTGAAGACCTCTTTATGGCACTTGTAAAATGGAAAGGATGATAGCAAGCTCTACAGCATATGGGTTTTATAAGGTCCAAAGAGATAATATAATGCAGTACTTAGCACAGTGTCAAGCACACATTAGGTGCTCAGTAAATAGAAACCTTATTGCTAAATAAAAAATTAGAATTGAAAATAGAACTACCTCATGATCCAGCAATCCCACTGCTGGGTACATATCCAAAGGAGATGAACTTGGTATGTCGAAGAAATATCTGCACTCCCATGCTCAGTGCAGCATTATGCACAATAGTCAAGATGTGAATTAACCTAAACGTTCATCACTGGATGAAATAATAAAGAAAATGTGGTATACACTCACAATGAAATATTGTGTACTCAACCATAAGAAGAAGGAAATTCTGTCATTTGCAACAGCATGGGTGAACCTGGAGAAAGTTACACTAAGTGAAATAACCCAAGTGCAGAAAGACGAATACCACAGGATCTCTCTTATATGTGGAATCTAAAAAAGTTGAAATCACTAGAAGCAGAAAGTAGAATGGTGGTTACCAGAGACTGGAGGCAGGGAGACTGGGGAGATCTTGGTCAAAGGATATAACATTTCAATTAGACAGAAGGAATAAATTCAAGAGATCTGTTGTACAACATGGTGACTATGGTTGATAGCAATATATTGTATACTTAAAAATTGCTAAGAGTAGATTTTAAGTGTTTTTGCCACAAAAAAAAGGTAAGTGTGTGAGGTAATACACAGGTTAATTAGCTTGATGTAGGCATTCAATGTCTACATATTTCAAAACATCATATTGTACATTATACATAGGTACAATTTTTATTTGTCAAATTTTAAAAAGCCAAAAATGCTACTAGATGTATAATGCTGTGGTATCTAGGAATCTGCATTTTTATAAATATTCTAGTTAATTACAATGCAGTTATTCCTCAGAAAACACTTGGAGAAATACAGATATGACTCCTAAAATGTAAAAATGTCCATTGTACAGCACAATTGCCTGCAATGGGGATTCCTGTATTTTTTTATAATTTAATAGAACAAATTATATATTGAGACAATTTAAGAATCAAAGAGGGCTTTTCATGTTAGGGAACATGCTAAACTTTTCTTCTTAACATGCTAGCAAAATTTGCATTCCAGGGTTCTTTTAGTCCTAAGGGTATCACTTATGAGAACCCATGTCATGTCTTATTAAAGTTGATCAAAAAGTTCGATTTTGTGGCTAGTAGGCTTAAAATACCAAGGCTTCCTGTGGAAACAGAGAACGAGACTCTCCACGTTCCAACTTCAAGGGTAATGCAGGAATCAAATGTTTTGGAGTTTTCAGAGTGAAACGATTCAGAGAGGCTCTATAAAATTAATTGCCTTTCACCACTCTTAAAGCAGGTAGACCTACAGACATATAAAAACCCACTGAATATTTAAAAGTTTCCTTCCAGCTCTAAAATGTTATTTTTTTAGAATTAAATTCAAAATTATCTAGGGCAAAATGCAAAATCCAGTAAAAATAACATCAGATGAGGTAGTAAATGGGCAAGGTCTGTTTTTATATGCTTCACAACTTACTGACTCATGTCCTCCTTACTTCATCCCTGTGAAGTCGGTGTTACTATTAATTTCATTTTACAGATGAGAAAACTGAGCCACAGGGAGACTAAGCAACTTGTCCAAGGTCACAGAGGGAGTACTGGAAAATCCAGGATTGGAACCGGAGCAATGGGATCCTGGTGCCATGCTCTTGACCTCTCTATGATAATATGCTCTGTTCATATTTTAACCTCTTTGCTTGCTCCTAGCTCTGTCAAATGTGCATATCAGAATATTAAAGTATCAGTCATGGGACAGGGTGCAGTGAGAATTTATGAAACTAAATTATCATAGAGTCTATTGTGTTTTACTTTTTAATGAAAAAGGTAGTTGCTATATAACAGGCTAAAACTTAGCTTGAACCATGTGACATTGCCAAGAGTTACCTACTGTTGTCATTTTTGACCTAAATTGATAATTTTTTAGTTGACTCTTGGCTACTTTGTATGGTTCAATCAAATATATAATTCACCATTGAATTGTGATGTACAGTTTATGAGAATATTACCCCACTCTTCTGTTTGCTCCTCACAGTCTTGGGAGGTGGAGAGAACTCTGTTATTACCCCTGCTTCACAGAGGAAGAAATGACGGTCGCATTGAAGAGACCTGCCCCAAATGGTGCAAGGTTGGATAGTGACCAGAACAATCCTTCACCACTGCTCGGTTCCTCCCGTCACCCTCTTGTCCTGGTGGCAGCCAATGGCTGCTTTTCAGTGGCCAATATGCAGGGGTTTTAGGCATCACTTTGGACAGGCATATTGAATTCATCAAATGCAACTTGATAGGAAACTTGAGCAGAAGATATAAAAGGAGGGTGCCTACCAGCCAACAGCAAGGGCTGAGACAGGAGCCAGTGCAGTGCACATTATATCGTTTCCAGAGCTATTGGCAGAGAGGGAATGTCCTCCCTCCTCGTAATTTTGATTCCTCCACGCTCCTTCCTGTCTCTGCATCTGATGACTGAGGGCTGGTCTCTCCTGGGTCGCCCGCAAGCTGCCTCGCTACAGGGAGAGCCAGGTGTGAGGCAACCTGTCTCTGGTTTCCCATGAGGGTTCTCCTGCTTCTCTGTGGTATCTGGAGATGACCCTGCCTGGTTCCTGTGTGAAGTACAGTGAAACAACCTCCTTTCAATAAGGTGTGTAAGACCCAGCTATCCCATACATGACATGATACATACACACAGGCTGTTGTTGATGACCATTCAGGGCTTCCTTAGGGGACATGTGCCTTGACCACAGGTTCTGCCCCATCTTCTTCCTCTGGGGAAGAGAGGTGAAGGAGCCAGACTCCTGATGCCAGCCCCCTGAGAGCTGAGAGCGACAGGGTAAGAGCAAACATGCAGAGGAGGGGCTCAGGCAATCTCCTGGACCACAGCTGAATGCACATGGACCCAGCATGGCTGATGGCAGCCCATGGGGGACACAGTAGCACTGTCTCTGTGGCTGTTTGTGTTGTTTTGTTGAATTGGAGGCATCCGTTGAGGATGATGTCATTTAGATGAAAAACCACTAAAGTGAGAGCCAGCAATTCTGGATCTTAATCAGGGTTCTGTCTACGGGAAGCTGTGTAGTTTCCCACTGGCCTTAGGTAATCCCTGCCAGGCTGTGCCACCCTCCCCAGATTCATATCTACCCACTTTCCCCTTGAATCAAAACTGTCTAGCCATTCCAGGCCATGTCAGCTCCTAGGCCAAACCCCTTCTTTCCTTCTTGAAGGCCTCCACAGGTTCCCTTGCCCTCTGACTGAAGTGCTCCTGCTCCAGTCATGGCCAGGTGAACAATTATTCAGTTTCCTAACTCCTCCTCCCCTCCCTAAGTAGGTTTTCATGCTCTGCTATTTCATAGCAACATTTTTTTTGTCTGTCTTCATACCTGTTTCAATCATCTGTTGATGCATAACAAACCACGTCACATGTAGTGGTTTTAAAACAACAGTTTATCATTTTTCATGATTCTTTCCAGGAGAAGCATCTGGTTCATCTACTTGGCTGGGGCACTGGGATGCCCCATTTCAAAGTGCCTGAGTCTCATGGCTGGTGGTTGGTGTTAGCTGCGGCTAAGACTCAGCTGGGGCTGTTGGCTGGGGCCTTCAGTAGTTTCCCTTGTGATCTTTTCTGGGTACTTGGGCTTCCTCACAATATGGCAGCTGGATTCTGAGGAGGAATGTTACGTGAAGTGAGGCAGAGGTTGCCTGACTCCTGAGGCCCAGCCTCACAACTGCCCAGCATCTGCCACATCTGTTATTGCTTGAAACAGATCACAGGGACAAGGAAGAAGATTCTATATCTTGATGGAAAAAGAAAAATTTACATTAGAAAAGAAAACAGGATGTGCGAAAAAAGTGGCAATCTTTGAAAACTTGGTCTATTTCAGTACCATGAATCACACGATCATCTCTTTTGATCTTTATGTTCTTCCTTGAGCTGCAAATATTTTGAGAGCAAGGACCATTTATATTTGCTCACCACTGTTTCCTCAACCTCTTGTACTGTTTTTTATATACTTGCAGAATAAATGGAAGGTACATTTATTGTGCCTTGTACAAATCACTTCACCTCGATAACCAACTTACATTCTATAAGACAATAGAGCTAGATCACATGATTATATGTAAGGCTTCAAGTTTTACTCATAAAATTATATGACTTTTTACTCAACTGAGATAGCCTAGCAATATGCTTATGGATCCTTTAATAACTGGTATACAGCTGGGCAACTATCATCTAATTTTAGCCTGAGAGCTCTCTGGAAAAGCCTACTGTTGTTCTGGCACATGGTACCTATTGAATAATTCCATTTTGTAGCAAAGCCAAAAATAATAATCATGTTTCATAGTTGAAGGCTTTGCAAACCACACCATAAATGTCCATACCCTTTGGTCACCCCAGAGATAGGTCATTTTTAAATTGGTAGTCTTGACAATAATGGTGATCATACAAAGAATGTAGCTTCCTTTGAAACACCCTGAAGCATTCTCACGGAAATCTTTTTATCTTCACTGTATCCTTGTAAAGTAGGAAATGGACAAGTAATTGTTTGTGTCAAATGACCATTTCCTTAAGTTCAGTGGATTGGGCTATTGTGCATTTCAGTGGTACAATTTCCATTTTACTGCTGCTCTTGTCGTGATGATGAACTTCGTGGATCCTTGATAAGTATATTTTCCACTGCCTCAAAAGTACATATTTATTTGTTTCAATGAAACCATTTAATAATACCTTTTTATGAATAATATTGATTTGAAAATATAATTTGAGCATGAAATATGATGTGATGTTTACAAGAATTGGAATGCTTTCTCTAAATTTGTACTTTCTCCCCAAATGTTAAAATTCTGGGGCCTGTGTTATTATTATTATTACTTTTTTACAGAAGAAGCTTCTTCAAAGAAGCTGTTTATTCAGGCAAGAAAACACTTTTGTGGTACTATGTGCATTAGGAAGCACAACATGATAGCGCATTGAGAACATGTCTCAATTAATAAAATATAATTTTCATGTTACTCAAACTGTGGCAGATCACAGGAAAAGAAGAAAATTTCTCATTTATTTTATATTTCGCTCATTATAATTTTAATACAAAAATCTGACTTTATTGATCTTTATTTCCTTCTTTTTTATTTATTATTATTATTTTTTACTATGCCTTGACTTTGTATAGAATAAAATCTGATTTTAAAAATAACAAAGTAAAAGGAAAAACAATGAATCAATTCCCTTTGGGAATATAGACACGAAACCAAAAAACTGTACAATATTAGTGAATCAAATTCAGCAGTAAATTAGAAAATGAATCCTGCTTGACCAAGCAGGGCTTGTTCCAGAAATGAAAAAGAGGTTTAACATGCTTAGCGTACTCATTATATGAACACAGTAAACAAACATATAATTAAATCAACAGATTTAAAAATCACATTTGACTAATTTTTAGTTATTTATTGCAAAAGCTGTAAATAAAATAGAACTAGGAGGAAGCTACTGAGAGATAATGAAGGTGGTTCGTAAAAAACTACATATTTTGAAATATTAAACAACTGAAATGTGGAACATGACTGCAATGCCCCAATCGCCATTATTAAACAACATTATTTTTGAGAGTCTAGCTAATGTAATAAAATATAAAACAAGTAAGTCATACCAAGGTTAGGATAGAAAGATCAAAATTAACTTTATTTGTAGGCAATAGGATTACAGGCTTGGAAAATACAATAGGCCAGATTTTAAAAACTGTTGCATTCAAAAGATATTTTGTACACAAAATAAAACATAAAATTAATACCTTTAAAGATAACATCAATAGATAGAAATTAAATGAAAAACTGCCAATGTATAATAACAATAAAAGCTATCAAGTAAATGAAAATGAATTTAACGAGACACATTTAGACATAAAGGAAGGCTGTTCCTCAGTTTTAAGGAGGATGGAACCGTAGAGATGCAGGCCTTCAGAACAGGGTTTCTGATGGCTCTGCCTCCACTCCCAGAGAGTCTCTCAGTGGTGCCTCTTCTGTGCCAGACCCTTCTGCATAGGCGGGCAGATGCCATAGCACCCCCAGGCCTCACACCCACTCAGGGCCCCTTCTCTGAGGAAGAGAGATGATAGCATGTCACGTGGACCCAGAAGAGCAAGGGAGAACCTTCCCCAAATCCCCCAGCACAGCACTCCTCACATCTTTTCCACCAGAATTGGTTCACGTGCCAATTTTTGAGCCAGTCTCTGGAAAGAGCTATGAGCTTAGACAACCTAATGTAATCTCTGGATTAGGATTATCTTTCTCTGAAGAATATGGCAGAGAGTTTATGTTCTGAACAAGTTTGAGATTTCGTTAGTAAGGAGGAGGTGGAAATGAATTAATTCTAAGTAAACAACAATCAGTCACTTGAAAGAAAACAAAGATAGACTCCTACCTTGTTCCGTGCACAAAAAGTCCAAGTTTAAATAATGTATTAGTTCATTTTTGCACGGCTGTAAAGAAATACCCCGAGACTGGGTAATTTATAAAGAAAAGAGATTTAATTGGCTCACAGTTCTGCAGGCTGCACAAGAAGCATGGTCGGGGAGGCCTCAGGAAACTTACAATCATGGCGGAAGGCAAAGGGAGAGTAGGCATGTCTTACACGACAGGAGCAGGAGCAAGAGAGAGAGCAGGGAGGTGCCACACACTTTTAAACAACCAGATCTCATGAGAACTCTATCATGAGACAGCACCAAGGGGATGATGCTTAACCGTGAGAAACCATCCCTGTGATCCAATTACCTCCCACCAGGCCCCACTGCCAAACATTGGGTATTACAATTGAAAATGAGATTTGGGTGGGGACACAGATCCAAACCATATCAAATAACTAAGTGTAAAACAAACCCATACAAGTATTAGAAGAAAATATAGAAGAATGTTGCCTAATCTTGGGGTGAAAAAGGCCTTGTCAAGCAACAAACAAAACTCAAAGGACATACAGGCAGACAGAGGCTGGTTTCACGATGGAAGTTAATCATTTCTATATGGCAAAAAAACAGAGAGAGTCAAATAGCAAGTGACAGGGTAAAACATTTGAACTATATGTGGAGAAAGGTTTAATATCTCTCATATACAAAGAACTTCTTCAGAAAAGGAAAAATAAAGGTCCAGTTGAAAAGTATCAAAGGATATGAACAGGCAAGAGAAAATGCAAAAAGTAAGAGAAAATTAAAACTCTCGACCTCATTAGTATGAGGACAATTAAAATTAAAACAACAAAATGCCAAATTTACTATCAAATTTTAACAAATTAGAGAAAGTTTATAGGATCCAATATTGGAAAGGATTTAGAGAAACTGTACTCCCTGATTTTACAGATGGGAGTGTGCATTGCCCCAAATGTTAGAGGAAGTAATCTGACAGTATCTGTTAACTCTATGATGGAGAAATCCCACTTTTAGCAATATGTTTTACAAAAATTAAAAAAATAGAAATATGCCCAAAGATATTCTCGTGCATTTATTGTAACAGAAAAACACAGAACACAATCTGAATATCTATCCATGGTGGAATTGCTGTAAAAACAATGCAGCATACATACTGTGCACTAGCATTGATATTAAAGGCGTGGGTTAAACCCTGAGTAAGAAGGCATAAGAAGGCAGCAGTGGTGGCATAATTGTGAATGTTCTGGAAACCCTCAACAAATCCAACCAGAGCAATTGAAATAATAAAAACTCATTATCTATGAATAACATAACAAAATGAGTTGATAAGGTGTCTCCCAAACCACAAATAAAAGCGGGTGGAGTCAGACCACAGATGGCAACAAGGCCTATGTGATACAGGCTGCTGGGCAGGAGGTGGTGAGGGAGGACAGGACACTCTATGAATGCTCCACACCAGCCAGCCAAAGTTGACCTCCTGACAAACCTCCACAGTGAAGAGGACCCTGCCACTTTGCTCTCGAAAGTCTCCTGTCTCTCTCAATCATCACTCGTTTATTTAAAAAAAATGTTGTTTGTATTTTTGTTGATATATCATGGCTATACATATTTTGGGGCTACATGTGATATTTTGATACCTGTATCCATTATGTAATGATCAAATCACGGTAACTGCAATATCCACCATCTCAAGACTATATTTTCTTTGTGTTGGGAACATTACAATTCTTCTCTTCTAGCCATTTTGAAATATGCAATAAATTATTGTTAACTATAATTTCTCTGCTGTTCTATAGAATACTAGAAGTTATTCCTTCTAACGATATTCTTGTACACATGAATCAACTTTTCTTCATCCCTTCACCTTCCTTCCCTTCCCTGTAAAAAGTATTTTTGCATCTATATATATGAGAGGAATTTGCCTGTTCTTTTCCTTTCTTACAATGATGTTGCTTGGTTTTGGTGTCAAGGTCATGCAGGCTTCAGAAAACAGGTTCCTGGGGGTTTCATTGATTTCTGTTCTCTGGAGGAGTTTGTGTAAGATTTGCATTAGTTTTTCACTGGGCAGCCATTTGGGTCCGGAGTTTTCTCTAAGAGAAGGTTTTAATTTATGGTGTTAATTTCTTCAATATTAAAGGATTATCCTTGTTTATTATTTCTTCTGGAGTCAGCTTTGGTGAGTTGGAGTTTCCTAGGAATTTGTTTACTTTTCTCTTAAAAATTTAAGTTTATTGGTTTATTGTAATTATCATCTTACTATCACATTCCTATCTCCAGAAGCTATAGTGATGTGCCCCCCTCCTGACCTCCATTTCTGATTCTTGGGATTTGTGTCCTCTTTTTTACATTGATAAGTCTTAGCAGGAGTTTGACAAGTTGCTTCTTTCAAAGAAAGAACTTTCGCTTTATTGAGCCTTTGTATTAGATGTCTATTTTCTATTACATAAATTTCTGTCCTCTCATTTTATTCTCTTTCTCCAACTTTGCCTTTTTTTAAAAAAAAATTAATTTGGTAATCTCATTCTAATTTCTTTAGATGGATACTTAGACCACTTGGTATTTAGTTATTTATGTTCCTTCATGTATCTGTTTAAGTTTTAAAATTTCCCTCTAAGCACCGTGTTAGCTGCATCTCACAAGTGTTTAGATTTTTGTTATCAAGTTCAAAATAATTCCTAATTTCCATTGTAATGTCTTCATTGATCCTTGAGTGCTTTAGAAATTTATCCCTTACCTTCCAAACATATGGGAATTTTCTAATTAGCGTTTCATTATTATTTTCCAGATTAACTGAGCAGTGATCAAACAGCTCCATGGGACAAGGAGAAGCTGGGCTCACCTCATGGAATATGGCCAAGACCTCAATGGGCCTGGAGGTGATGTGGTGGCAGCTGGGGCAGAAGCAGCTGGGGACCTCTGCAAACAAGGGGTGCGGGTCCCTGGAGTCAGGAGAGGCTGAATGCATCTGATAAGGGGCATAAATTGTGTTCAATGAAATATCTTTCATTAGTTTGGGGAAATCTTCACCCAGTATCTCTTAATGTTGCTTCTGCTCCAGTCTGTGCTGTTACCTCTGAACAGGACACTGTATTCTCTTGTTTTTCACCCTTTCTTTTATGTTTCACATCTGTTTGTCTCTTTGTGCTTTATTTGGAATCTTTTCTTCTAGTTTATATTCCTATTTACATATTTTCTCCTTAGCTGTATCTCTTCTGCTATTTAGCCCATTATAAGCTTTAATAGCAACAATTTTATTTTTCAGAAGAATGTCCATTGTTTTTCTTTAAAAGTTTCCAGTTTTCTGTTGAAATTTTCAGTCTTATTCATAATCTGCTTAAATATATTGAGGTAGTTAATTTATAGACTGCGACTCAAACTGGATTTTAAATGCTATTGAAAAATTTTTGTTTATTTTCTTAGGTGTGATAATGGTATAATGGTTAGGTCATTAAAATTGTATAGTGAAGTCCTTAGAGGGGAAATGATATTATGTCTGTGATTTATTTTTAAATACTCCAAAAAAGTGTGTGTGTGTATATATAACTGGTGAGGATGCATAATTTGTACATGGGAGCTCATTCTGGTATTCTTCCTTTGATGTAGGCTTTAAAAAAGTTTTTAAAAAGTCAGTTCTGATAATTCCATTATGGGGGCAATGCCAGAGTTTGCTTCTATCGTCTTTCTTTTCTTAAATTTGTGTATATTTAAGGTATACAACTTGATGATTTGATACTGCTTCTATTTTTTAAATTGCCTTTCTTGCTTTATATTCCCATGCTTTGGTTTTGAGAATATTGGGTTATTTCTGACTGAATTGCAATATTGTTTATTAAGAGTAGTAGAAACAGTTTGAGGCCTAGTCTGATGTTATCTCCCTCAGGCAAGATTTATATTTTCTCCTGGTTGGCAGCTGGGGTCTGAGCAACTCAGGTTCCCCATAATCCAATTTCACAAGAGATTTGACACCGGGATTCAGTGCCCACAAGGGCTGATTCACAAATGGATCACCCTTGCTCATAGGATGTAGCCTTTCATGGTCCTGACTGAGAATGGATGGTTTAGGAGCCTTCCCTGCCCTTTGGTGGGCCCTGAACTCCAGACCTTATGCTCGCTGCACTGAAAGGCTGCCAGACGCTCTTCTGCTCCCTATCCCTGCCTCTGGACTGCTTCTGGAAGCAGCAGGTGTCTCTGGGAAGATTGGCCGCAGGTGCTAGGCTCACTCTCTGTCCTTCCTTTTGCTCCCAAATCATGTTCTGTAACAATTTATTGGCTTGTTTGTTCTCTGGTGCCTTCAAGTAGATGGCTTTCTAACAACAACAACAAGAACAACAATTACCATCTTTTCTTGTTATTCTCATGTGGCAGGAATGGACTAAGTTAGTCCTCCATTGCCATGTGCCATCTATCTTCTCTCTTTGTCCCTCCTCCTTTGATGGGCCCCTCCCGTCATCCTGACCATCTCTCCTGCCTGGTGGGAGGCTTTTGCTTCCATTGATGAACAGAGTGCTACTCTAGAGTGTGTTGATACTGACAAAGCCCTGGGTAGTCCATTCTGCATACAACTCCAGAGTGTTTGTGTCTCTTCATACCAAGCCTATGTCCCTGATAAGCATGGATCCCTGAGTGAGGTGCGCTAAGACATTATATTATATGGTTGCCTGTGCTGGGGTTGCCTGAGCTCGAAGGAAATGTCTGTGGCAGGAGAGTGGCCTGCCTGAGAACACCGAATACATCCCAGGAAAACAGATGAGGGGGATAACTCACTACAGGTCACTGTGCCTGGGACCAAGCACATTTCTTTCAGCAGCTCTTTGGATGCTTTTGGGGAGTGTGGCTTGAATTAGAGTGTTTTGGACTTTCTAGAAGATAATATGGAACTTCTGCTGGGATTCAGTTTAGTTTAACAAATGTGAAGAGTGGAAGGGAGGAAGGGAAGAAGGAAAGAAAGGAGAAGGGCTAGGAAGAGAGATGTCAGTGGAATGGGCTGTTCTCCTATATTCAGGCCCGAGAGACACCTAGAGGCCACCTGAAAGCTAACCACAGCTCCGTAATGCCTGTGCCTGGAGCATATCACCTGAGCGGGTGGCAGAGCTCAATGTTTTCTACTGTGGGAGAGAAGCTCAATTATTAAAGACAGAAGGATTGGCAGAGCAGGGGCAATCCCATCCAAACACCCCTGCAGGGATAGGTGGAGCTCGGGGGAGTAAGGTCCTCCCTCTACTACTCTGCCTTCGTCTTCTGGGCCCCCGTTCCTGCCCTGTCGCCCCGTATAGATGGCGTAGCTGATTCAGTGAACTCGCCATGTGCCGGCCACCACTTGCAGTGTTTCACATGAGTTAACTTACTTAATTCTCTAAGCAATCCTGTAAGTTAGGAACTCCCTCATCCTTATTTTAGAGATGAGGAAACTCAGACACAAATTAAGTAATTTCTCTGGGAAATGTTGGAGGTGGGAATTCAAACTAGTTTGTTTCCAGAGTCTGTGCTTTTTTGCTGAACTCATTTGTGCTGGAGCACAAAGCCATTCCTGTTAGCTGCATTCCTTCCTGCAGGGACAAACTCCATCCTCATCCCGGGCAGTACTAACCCATTCTGCAGAGGAATAATGACACTGGCATAGTGGGGCTCACGCCCGGACATGGGTCTCCCCTAGACCCGGTTCTGGGCCCGGGTCTCGCCTCCCCTGCTTCACACTTCTTCAGAATTGAGCCTTATGGAATCTGGCTGTGGCAGATAAATCATTCCAAATCACAGAGACTTACAGCCTTTCTCAGAGTTGGAAATCACAATGGTTCCATGATAGGATACCATAAATCTTCAGCTAAATAGATTTGTGATTCTTCAAGGGACTCTGGTTCTGGCTGTTGACAGAAAATGCCTCATAAGGCCTATTTACCGCTGGCTTTGTCATCTGTCCCAGCAAAGAGACAAAACCCCAAATAGTGCCAACTTAAATTCCAAATTTTGAGTTTGCCATAAGCACTGAAATACAACAAAAACACAGTTTTTCATAGATATCAGTCATATGTAAATAGGAGAAGAAATCAAGCATGAAGTCTGTGTTAAATACAATCATAGTTCTTTTATTTAACAAATTAAAAAAGTAAAAGCTAGCTTTATATTCCTGTCATAGTCAGTTGAGTGATGGATTCATCTGATGGTGGCCTGGACCTCTAACTTTCCTTCACAAGCCTTAACTCCAGAAGAATTAACTCTGCTGTCAGTGACAAGATGAGAGTGACCACCATGACCAGCATCAGGGCCAATGGTGGTGGGTCAGGATGGTTGGGCCCAAAGGTTTCCAGGGTGGGGTCACGGTGTCCATGAAATCAACAGACAACCTATCTGATCTATAAACTGAAAAGCACTTGAGTTAACACTCCTGAATCTGAGTGAGCACACACTATGGAAAGTCCCTGAGAGAAGAGGTGGTTTGTTCCCCTTGAGCCCAGACCCTAGAGAAACTGCCACAAGAGCATACTCTATCTTCCTCCTACCATCCAAGAAATTACCTGAAGCCATTAACTAGGGTGGCCATGCACAGGGGAAAGGGAGAAACTCAGATTTTCAGGGATACATAGGCACAGGCTCTGGGCTGATACGAATCCAAACCAGATTGGAGATTGATGTGGGAGGTGAGATGGTCAGGGGAGAAATAGAATTTTGGCCGAAGTCTATTTCACAGTAGGCCAGTGGCTCTGGGAGCCCATCTTGTGGTTATTTTTCTAGCTCCTGAATGTAAAGTTGAGATAGAAATACTCGACAACTGCTCAAATCTCTACACTGATGTCCTTATCAATGTGGAGGGTGGGGCTAGGGTCCCTCTGGTAGAAATGGTCACATGGAAACCCCTGGAACTACCTTTCCCTATAAAACCAAAATCAACAAGCATATCTGGTGAATTTCAAAGATGGTGCACCATCAGAAACTTGCAAGATGCAGGGGAGGCGACTCTCGTGTCCTCTTCATGCAGAGGACAGGCGATTCTTGGAGAATGACAATAAATTGTCATACGTGTAATAATATATGACTACAACTGTAGCCATTCTTCAAGAGGTAGCTTTTTTGGTGGAGCAAATCAACACAGCCCTTGTCTCCTGGTATGCACCTTTTGTATTGGCTAACGCTTTCTCTACATTCAAATAAATAGAAAGCAGCAGGAGGGATGTGCTTTCATCAGACAGGAATGTGGTACTCCTTCATGGTCTCAGGAGCATTTAATTAGAAAACTAAAAAATACATTTTCAAGACTCCTTTGCAGCTAGGATTCTGGAGGTCAATTAGTGTCATTTAGATTCACTAGAGTGAAGATTGGCTAACTATGGCCCAGGGACCAAGTCTATTTTTGTAAACAGGTGCACAGAATACTCATTCATTTACTTATTACTTTGGCTGTTTCAACACTGTAATGGCAGAGTGGAGTGGCTGTGACAGAGAGTCTATGGCCCACAAAGCCACAAATCTGGACTCTCTGGCCCTTTCTAGTGCATGTTTGCTGGCCCCTGATGTGGAGCAAGAGGTGAGCCAGGGCTGAAGCTGGGCCTCCCTACAGCTTCTGTCTTTCACTGTGGGTTCAGGAGAGTCATGGATTTCTTCTAAGTTTTTCCAGTGTTTATCTTTGATTTCCTGAGTCTCAGGGACAGTCACATCTCGATGTTTTGGGTGTTAGTCCCTAGAGCTTCCAACCTAGACTGCCTGGCTCCAGTGTTGACCTCAGAGGCAATAATTCCCCCACTGGCCGGTTCTCATTGTTCTGAGGGTCATTTGAAGAGTCACAGCCTAAAACCTGCTTCTTCAATAATTTTTTTTTTTTTTTTTGGGATGGAGTCTTGCTCTGTCGCCCAGGCTGGAAATGCAGTGGCACGATCTTGGCTCACTGCAACCTCTGTCTCCTGGGTTCGAGTGATTCTCCTGCCTCGGCCTCCCGAGTAGCTGGGGCTACAGGTGTGCACCACCATGCCTAGCTAAGTTTTGTATTTTTAGTAGAGATGGGGTTTCATTGTGTTGGCCAGGAAGATCTCGATCTCTTGACCTCATGACCTGGCAGCCTCAGCCTCCCAAAGTGCTGGGATTACAGGTGTGAGCCACCGTGCCCAGCCTCTTCAATAATTTTTAAAACATTAAATTCCAAATATTAAACCTTCTTCAATCAAGTACCTAGAATTACTTTGGTTTCCTAGACTGAATCCTGGATATTACATTCCTCGAGCCTGTGTACCAGTGATTGGCATTTAAACACACAGAGTTCTTCATATATATCAATTGTTTGTAATATGTAATAAAAATGTATATGTTATATGTATAAATCGAGACAAAGACGGTGTTGAGGATATTATAAGATTTTAAAATTTAATAAATTAAATGGCAAAGACTAATGTTACTGCACAATCACAATATGTTAAATGGAAAATCCCCTACAGAGTGATTTGATTTGAAACATCATTAGGCCCCAGCTTTTCCTGACTCTGAGGCTCTGGCCCACTCAGGAGGTTCTGCCATGGCTGGAATGTCTGATTTCATAGGTACAGAAAGATTGCTGATAAGAGAGCTTCCTGATTTTTTGGTGTGGGTGCTGTGCTATCTCCAAGGTCTGTTGAAAAAGAGTGGAGGTGGCTGAGCAGCAGAGATGTTTGTTATGCAGCTCAGCTTCCTCATGAGGTCATCTCTGAGGGCAGGTGTGGTCTGCTTCATCAGGATATCTCAGGTCTGAAAGAAACCATTGGCTCCAACCAGAGAAGATCTGAGAGTGACAAACCTGAAGTCAATTATGACAAGATGACATCATGGCTTCTGTCTCAGGTAACAGCAGCCATGCACGTCATTATGATGATCTGACTTGGTTTTCTGAGTTTGCCCTGGGGCAGGGTGAGGGTTGGGCAAGGAGCCAGAATCCAGGCATGCTCCCTGGGCACCTTGCCATTATTCAGTTCCTAATGAAGCTTAGAAGCATTACCTCTCCCTGAATCAAAGCATGGGTTTCCACCTCCCTAGCCCCACCCTGAATCCTCCATGCTTCTCAGTTCATTGAGAAATAGGTGGAGAGCCCTCTGATGATTTCGGACTGACTCATTCAATTATTTTGCAAAAAAATGAGTTCAAATTCAAGAGTCTAGGTTTCTTTGAGTTTCTGTTTTCTTCTTCTTTCATTCTATTCTCCCATTTGACCTTTAACTTTTCTTCACAGCTTTAGGGGGAAAATGAGCAAATTCCTCAAAGGTTTCCACTAGAGGAATAAAAAAGACTAATTCCTGGAAATAGAGATGACAGGTTGATCCCTATTCTTTTGGCACAGAATCTATATTTAATATGATATTGAGAACTTACTGTCTGTAAACATGATAGAACTACATTATGTGTTAACTTGGAAACAAAATCTGTGTTTACCATATTCCAGAAGAGAGATTTCTATTCTTGTCCAAGTGGGACACACTGGGCTCCTGACCAGATGTGGTTTTCTAGAAAGACGAAAAAATGGGAGTAAGACTTCCAAACGGTTTTCATGGTGGGCCCGCGATTTATACACGATGATGGCAACATGGTGGTTCTCTCCTCTGGGATTTATTTGACATTACACACAATTAGAGCTATGAAACAAAAACCTTTCCCTAACAAACAGAAAATGGGACCCCAGGAAGCTGAAAAATAATGGAGGGAGCCAAAGATGGGTAGTAGAAAAAGCTGTATCTTATAAAAACTAATCTGGCCATGGGGCTGTTCACAAACAATTCGTTATCATTTCTCTTGTGGTCTCTCTGAGGGCTTTCTGGCTGTTTGAATGCTGTATTTTCATAAGATAGTTTCAAACAAAAGGCCAGAAGGACAGTGGGAGCAGAATAAAAATTAAACATGTTGACTTTGTTTGGTGCCCTGTAGGTAAAATGTCACATCTTGTCCTCAGCTCCTGAAGATGTAATTACCCGGCTCATTTCCCAGAGCTGCTGTGCAATTCGTATTGCTTCCAGGTAACAGATTATGCAAACTCATGATTGCAAACAGGAACCGAGCTGTTTTGAGGATGAAGTTTTGTTAGTTCAGGGTATCTGCAAATGCAGTTGTTTGGCTTCTCTATCATACTCTGGCACTGATGGTAATTGTGCCGTGTAGAAAATGCAGAATTGTTACGAGCGTCACACGCCTAGGCTTGTTGGCAGACGTGGGCCCAGGCTGGCTGGACGTGTTTCAGCCCTGTGTTTCTGCCGCTCAGGGAAGACAGCTAGGAACTTGATGCACTATTCACAAAGGTTTATCACAGGCCTACTGTGTGTTGAGTGAGCTCCAAAGGCTAACATTTCCTACTGGCTTCGGGTAGGATGCGCAGTGTGGCTGTTGGTCTCTCGGGTGGCCTGCCCGGGCTATACTATTCCACTGGGCACTGCAGGCAGAAGCATGTTTTACTTTTGTGGTTAGAATACCTCAAGTTTTCTATGAAACTCCAGGCACCAAGTTTCAGTACCCAAGGAAAAGTAGGGTGCCACACAGTGGCATGGACTGAAGTGGCCAGTGTTTTCCCATCCCATCATGGGATGGGAAGCAATTGGCTTCGTTGCTCCTGGCATCAGTCCCTCCAGTAACATAAGCTATTCACATTACAAGCAAGCAACTGGACAATGACACACATCTCTTCTCATTTTATTGCATTTGCTTTTGTTCTGCATGCACCCACACACACGCACTCATACACACACACATTCACACACACACACATATGCACATACATACTCTCTTTTCCCCCAGGCCTCTGAGTCCAAAGCAAGAGTTACTGACTAAACAAACTGGCTTTTCTTTCATTCTTTCTACATGATATGAAAGCAAATGAGATTATTTCTGAAACACACCAAAACTAAATTGCCAAGTGAGAGTTTTGCATAAAGTCCACATGTGAGGCAATATACATAATGTTACTTTTAAAGAAATTCCCGAAACTCTTTTCTTCCAAGATAAACAGTGTGTGTTTATCACAGATTCTAGGGGATTTCGATTCACTATGATATTCCAGAAGTATTCAGCTTTGCTCTTGCTTTAGTTCTATGCATCCCCTTACAAAGTTCTGTTTTGTTTTGTTTCTTTCTAAGTTTACCTATATCATCTTTTTCATCTTTCTACCCGTTGTTTTACCCAAAGCCCTTGCTTGGGGGCTAGAGCACGTTGTATTTGCAAAGATGGTCACACTAATATATACTCCATCCCATGACTCTTCCTACAGTGCAATGCTAGCCCCCACTGAGAGGTGTGAGGGAGTCTCACCCTCACACCTGGGGACACCCCTATTACTGCCTGGACCAATAGAATACAGGGAAAGTGATGCTGTGGGATTTCCAAGCTAGGCCGTAAAAGGCAATATGGCTTCTACCTGGCTTTCTTGGGTGCTTTTCCTTGGCTTCCAGCCACCTCATTGTGAGGAAGCCCAGCCTGCAGGGAGAGGTCATGTGTGGGTGTTCCAGCCAAAAACCGGAAGCCTGTGTGGACTGCCACACCCACCAGTTTGTTTGTTTTGTTTTTCATTTGGTGATTAGATTCTCCAGTTTATGTGCCTGCAGATGGTCCCTGCTACTGCTTCGAGTGGCTCAGCGGAGACTCCAGACGCCATGAGGCGGCGACAAGCCACCCTGCCTGAATTCCTGACCCACAGGAACTATGACAGGTGATAAAAAGTCATTATTTTAAGCTGCTAAATGTGAGGGGAATTTGTTAGGCTGCCATAGATAACCGATACAGGACCTCTTGTATCCCAGCCGAGTGGTTTAGCTGCCACGTACAGTAACCTCAGGAATCACCGAGTGGAGGTTCCTCAGCTCTATTTCCAATTTCCTCCTTTAAAAATGTGTCTTTTACGGTCCCCTTTACTAGCCAGTTATGAAATTGCTGGACAATACAACAGATCTAGATATGTGACATACATTTGTATGACTATATGTTCATATATAACATATATATTATTCATATACCTAACAGTAATATAGAGAAGCAAAAGGAAAATAATTCTTCATAAAATAACATGAAATTCAATATATGGTCATTTCTTCTGCAATGTGTTCCTAAAATCACTTGCTATGGAATTTTGCATAATAAAAATAACAGAGCTTGTGGGGAAATGAGGTTAGTGACAGAATACCCAACACCTATACAGTAAGTTTTTCATGACGTTCATAGGCTCTTGGAAACAGTGACTGTAAGCAAAACTGCATAGAAAGAAACCAATTTCCCTATAGGCTAATTGATATCCACAAGAGTTAAGTTCCTGTAGCATATTTCTGATAGCAAAAACATCACCAAACTTCTAAATGAAGACCCAAACACTTGTAATATTAAACATTAAAACAATAAAATAAATGTAATATTAAACATTAAAATAAAAGCTATAACACATTTAAGACAAATTAATAAAAACAAGTAAGAGAATTGTTTACCTGCTTATTCCAGTTCAGGGTTGAGGGTGGCCGAAGCCTATCTCCAAAGCTTAGGGCGCAAGGCGGGAACCAGCCCTGAATAGGACACACTCCCATCGCAGGGCGCGTGCACACCACCTGCACTCACTCATACTGGGATGTGTAGACATGGCAGTTCACCTCATAGGCACACCTTTGGGATGTGGGAGGAAACAGGAGTAGCCAGAAAAAACCTACACAGACCTAGAGAGAATGTGCAAAGTTCACACAGATGGTGGCCCCACCAGGGGGAATTCATTTTTTTTTCTCTTCAACATTATAACAAAATGACTTTGAAATAAAATGATGTTATTCCAGGACCTGCTATATAATTTTGTAATTAATTCATTACAAAATAAATAATAAACTTTATTAAAATTCTGCCATAGTTTGAGACACCTTAAATTCTCAGTCAATAAATATATATGTATATATATATATGCATGTAGGTATATATATATATATATATATATACGTATATATATATATACGTATATGTATATATATATATATACACACATACATACACACACACACCATTTACCTTGACAAACACATGCAGTTTGGAGGGTGGATGTGGTTTTGGAGAAGGGGTGTGTATTAGTCTGTTTTCATGCTGCTAATAAAAATATACCCAAGACTTAGTAATTTATAAAGGAAAGAAGTTTAATGGACTCACAGTTTCACATGGCTGGAGAGGCCTCACAATCATGGTGGAAGAGCAAGGGACATCTTACATGGTGGCAGGCAAGGCAGAATGAGATCCAAGTGAAAGAGGTTTCCCCTTATAAAACCACCAGATCTCCTGAGACTTATTCACTACCACGAGAACAGTATGGGGAAAACCACCCCCATGATTCAATTATCTCCCACTGAGTTCCTCCCACAACACATGGGAATTGTGGGAGCTACAGTTCAAGATGATATTTGAGTGGGGACACAGCCAAACCATATAGGGGTGGATGGAAAGGCCTGTCATTTATGGAATGAAATATTTCCATACAAGAATGGGCATTGGCCTATTTTGGTGCCTTCTCACTGGTTTAAAATAAAAATTCTGCTGCATTCAGTGGTAGTTTTCATCTTCAACCCACTGCAAGTAATTTTTGGCCATATTTCAGACAGCTGATAACTCTACTATTTCATTTTGTTGTTGCTCTCAAAGCCACTTCCCTGATGTTGTGCAATGTGGATTCCTACAGGTGCGATGCTTTTGCAATATCACGTGATCTTTGTGTTTCCAAATATTTTATTATATCAAGCTACTCCTCAATATTCAAGGCTTTTCTTTGACATGCATACTCGGATTCTTATAACCCAAATGATTGCTTATGTTTGAGACTCTGTAATGGATACTTCTATCAAGAACATCTAACACTCAGGAGACCAGCTCTGTGCGCTTGCAGGGCTCACCATGGGCCAGCTTGGTAGCAGGCGGGAGCACCTCAGCAGGAGACTGCTTTGAGCCAGTGGCATTTCTCATGCACACCACCTGGTGTTGCAGCAGCATGAAACTAACCCCTCATGGAAAATGGCTGGGCTTTTCTGTTTTTCTGTTTTTGTTTGTTTGTTTTGTTTTTCATTTGGTGATTAGATTCTCCAGTTTATGTGTCATGTATTGTGATGGTTAAAGATGGCTGTAAATTCCTTGCCATGCCCACTTTGAAAAGTGGAGCCTCTTTCCCTTCCCTTTGGATCTGGGCTCGACCTGTGATTTGCTTTGAGCCATAGAATGCAGTGGAAGTGACGCTCTGTAACTTCTGAGGCTAAGCTATTCCACACTGGGAACGTTGTCTCTTTGAACTCCCACATAATGAGGGGAGAAGCCCAAGCACCATGGAAAGGCCATTTGGAGGGAAACTGAGCCTCTCCAGTCTGCAGCAAAGTGAAGCTACTAGCTGACGTGGTTGGCAAGTGCTGTGTGCCCCATCTTAAATGTCCCAGCCCAGTCAGCCTCTAGATGACTGCAAGTGACACTATGTGGGTCAGAAAAACCATCCTGCTGATTCCAGTCAACTTACAGAACCATGAGGCACAATGCACAGTTTTGTTGTTTTGAGCTACTATTTTCAGGGTGCTTTGTGTATGCTACATAATTGAAGCAGCATGTGAACAAATTCTTCACAACATGTGTTGTAATAGAAGAATATTTCAGGCCAATATCCCTGATGAACATTGATGCGAAAATCCTCAATAAAATACTGGCAAACCAAATCCAGCAGCACACTGAAAAGCTAATCCACCATGATCAAGTTGGCTTCATCCCTGGGATGCAAGGCTGGTTCAACATATGCAAATCAATAAACGTAATCCATCACGTAAACAGAACCAATGAAAAACCCACATGATTATCTCAATAGATGAAGAAAAGGCCTTTGACAAAATTCAATAGCCCTTCGCTAAAAACTCTCAATAAACTGGGTATTGATGGAACGTATCTCAAAATAATAAGAGCTATTTATGACAAACCCACAGCCAATATCATACTGAATGGGCAAAAACCGGAAGCATTCCCTTTGAAAACTGGCACAGGGCAAGGATGCCCTTTCTCACCACTCCTATTCAACATAGTATTGGAAGTTCTGGGCAGGGCAATCAGGCAAGAGAAAGAAGTAAAGGGTATTCAGTTAGGAAAAGAGGAAGTCAAATTGTCCTTGTTTGCAGATGACATGATTGTATATTTAGAAAACCCCATCGTCTCAGCCCAAAATCTCCTTAAGCTGATAAGCAACTTCAGCAAAGTCTCAGGATACAAAATCAATGTGCAAAAATCACAAGCATTCCTATACACCAATAACAAACAAACAGAGAGCCAAATCATCAGTGAACTCCCATTCACAATTGCTACAAAGAGAATAAAATACCTAGGAAAGCAACTTACAAAGGATGTGAAGGACCTCTTCAAGGAGAATTACAAACCACTGCTCAACGAAATAAGAGAGGACACAAACAAATGTAAAAACATTCCATGCTCATGGATAGGAAGAATCAATATTGTGAAAATGGCCATACTGTCCAAAGTAATTTATAGACTCAATGCTATCCTCATCAAGCTACCATTGACTTTTTTCACTGAATTGGAAAAACTACTTTAAATTTTATATGGAACCAAAAAGAGCCAGCATAACCAAGACAATGCTAAGCAAAAAGAACAAAGCTGGAGGCATCACACTACCTGACTTCAAACTATACTACAAGGCTACAGTAACCAAAACAGCATGGTACTGGTACCAAAACAGATGTATAGACCAATGGAACAGAACAGAGATCTCAGAAGTAACACCACACATCTACAACCATCTGATCTTTGGGAAACCTGAGAAAAACAAGCAACGGTGAAAGGATTCCCTATTTAATAAATGATGTTAGGAAAACTGGCTCGTCATACACAGAAAGCTGAAACTGGATCCCTTCCTTATATCTTATACAAAACTTAACTCAAGATGTATTAAAGACTTAAATGTTAGACCTAAAACCATAAAAACCCTAGAAGAAAATCTAGGCAATACAATTCAGGACATAGGCATGGGCAAAGACTTCATGACTAAAACACCAAAAGCAATGGCAACAAAAGCCAAAATTGACAAATGGGATCTAATTAAACTAAAGAGCTTCTGCACAGTAAAAGAAACTATCATCAGAGTGCTCAGGCAACCTACAGAATGGGAGAAAATTTTTGCAATCTACTCATCTGACAAAGGGCTAATATCCAGAATCTACAAAGAACTTAAACAAATTGACAAGAAAAAAACAAACAACCCCATCAAAAAGTGGGCAAAGGATATACACAGACACTTCTCCAAAGAAGACATTTATGCGGCCAACAAACATGACAAAAAGCTCATCATCGCTGGTCATTAGAGAAATGCAAATCAAAACCACAATGAGATACCATCTCATGCCGGTTAGAATGGCAATTATTAAAAAGTCAGGAAACAACAGATGCTGGAGAGGATGTGGAGAAATAGGAATGCTTTTACACTGTTGGTGGGAGTGTAAATTAGTTCAACCATTGTGGAACACAGTGTGGCGATTCCTCAAGGATCTAGAACTAGAAATACCATTTGACCTAGCAATCCCATTACTGGGTATATACCCAAAGGATTATAAATCATTGTACTATAAAGACACATGCACATGTATGTTTATTGCGGCACTGTTCACAATAGCAAAGACTTGGAACCAACCCAAATGCCCATCAGTGATAGACTGGATAAAGAAAATGTGGCACATATATACCGTGGAATACTATGCATCCATAAAAAAGGATTAGTTCATATCCTTTGTAGGGACATGGATGAAGCTGGAAACCATCATTCTCAGCAAACTAACACGAGAACAGAAAACCAAACACTGCATGTTCTCACTCATAAGTGGGAGTTGAACAATGAGAACACATGGACATGGTGGGGGTGGGGGGGCGGGCATCACACAACAGGGCCTGTCAGGGAATGGGGGGCTGGGGGAAGGATAGCATTAGGAGAAATACCTAATGTAGATGACGGGTTGATGGATGCAGCAAACCACCATGACACTTGTATACCTATATAACAAACCTGCAAGTTCTGCACATGTACCCCAGAACTTAAAGTATAACAAAAAAAAGAAGAGAGAGTATATCACTAGGAGACAAAGAGATAACTATTAATAGATTATTGTAACTACTTAAAATAAAAAGGTTTAATTTGAAAAAAGGAAACCAATATTCAACTAAAAATTTGTTTCTATATTTGACATTTTGAAATAAATACACACACACACACACACACACACACACACACACACACACACACACACAGAGATAATCATTTTGAATGCCCAAGTCATGAATGCAGACTGATGATACAAGTGTTGTTTTTGTGACTCAAGCATCACAAGTAGTTTGGTCATCAGGAATGTGATTTTCTAAAGTGATGAGCCACTCTTGGTAAAGTTCCAAGGAAAACAGAGCACAATCTCTTCTTAATTTACACAATGGATATATTCTTGGAAAAGTCAATGAATTTTAAACCCATGTAAAAATATCCCTTCTATTTACATGTAAAGAGTTAGATTATTGGCTCAGATCATTATAAGCAGGTTGCTCCATCTATGTGAAAATCCAAGTGGGCATTCAAAATTCATATGGGATGAGGGGAAGTTTGTTATTTTGTGGGATGTCTAGCATCCCTATTTTCTTCCTACCAAATGCCAGAAGCACCCCCAATTGTTGTAGCAAATGGTTAAACTCAGAGTCTGATTCTGTCATGGCTTAATTACAAAGCAAATTGAATTCATTAACTCACAATTTGTCTTTTGTGAAATTTAGAGCACTGACTGGGAAGAAGTGGGATTTTGAAAACTGGAGTATGGACATAGGAAGAGATGCAAGCAAACTGGGGGCCTCAAACCCCTAAATTCTACCATGTCTTCATTGACAGCTGTGTAGGAAAGAGTTTTAACAGAGCAAGGCCTGAGAATGCTCTCCTTAGAAAGGTCTGCTTATAAGGTTGAGCCTTGGTTGATTTCTGGGAACTTGGATTTTGGGAGAGTTTCCCTATTCCCTAAATGGCAAAGGTTGCTCACGCTGTTTAACCTGATTGTGCAAACAATTTGATCTAGGCTGAGATTGATTTTCCTTCTGGGACTCTGGAATTTTGGTATGTGCTAAGCAGACAGTGGTTGTGTGAACAGCCCTCAATAAAAACCCTGGTCTGTCTCTCTGGTAGATGATATTTTACAGGAGTTGTCACAACTAGATGCTGGAGAAATTAGTCCAGGCTCTGTGACTCTGCAGGGAGAGGACTCTAGGAAGCTGTGCCTAGTTTCCTCCAGACTTTGTCCTATTGACCTTTTTTCTTTGCTGATTTTGCTTTTTTATCCTTTTGAGGTAATACATTATAACAGTGAGTACAACTGTATGCTGAGTCCTCCTAGATAATCACTGAGGTGGGGAGTGGTCTTGGGGACCCCCAGTACAACAGTAGAAGCAGCTTCTTCCCCCTGCCTGAGGTTATCCCCCCTTTACTGAAGACTTATGATGAGCTTTTCTGACCTAGTGACCCTATAGGCACTGCTGATCCTCCTCTGGACCTAGAGACCTATCGTGAGGCTCAAGTCCCAGTAGATCCTAAGGTGAAGTACAAGTTGTGACCCACAGAGAGGTGTGATGGACACCAAAAGAACTATGTGATGTTTCTAGCTTATAGTGACAGAAACCTGGGGAATATGTGTGGGAATGGATCTTAAGGGTGTGGCATCAAAGTGGAAGGAATATAAAGTTGTATCAGTCTGAAATTACTGATACAGGCTCACTGAGAGTATGGACTCAGTGTTTTAAAGTGATGGGTTAGAAAGGACTCTAATAGTTTGATTGGTTGACTGAGATATGTGTGTTAAAGACTCTGCCAGTGAAGTCTCAGAAAAAAGTGAGGAGCATTATAGAAAAAGCTGAATCACTTTAAACAGATTGCTAGTAGAAATCTGGACTTTAAGGATACTACTGACATGGGCCAAGAAGGAAGTGAGAAACACGTTATTGGAAACCTGAAGAAAAGAGATCCTTGTTATATAATTGCAGAAAGTTTAGTGAAATTGTGTCCAGTTGTTACATAAAAAGCAGAACTCATAAGTAATAAACTGGAATATATAGCTAAGGAAATTTCCAGGCAAAGTGTTGAAGGTGCTGCTTGTTTTTTTCTTGCTTTTTATGTTAAAATGTAATAGAAGAGAGACATATTGAAGGAAGACTTATTGAAGGGACAACGACTTGATAATTTCAAAAGTTTAGCCTCTCCAGGTGGCAAAAAATACCCCTAGAAGTCAGAGATGGATGCCAAAATTATGACATAGAGAAAAGGCTGAATATGTGTTTGTGCAGCTCTTTGCTGAAACCCTGGAAAGCTCAGAGGTCTTGTGTATTCAGCCACATAATGACTCTTCCAAGGGATTAAGAGTGTTCCATGTAGATCTTCTAATCAAACCAGAGAGCCTCTGGGAAGCTTAAAAACACTGGTGTTCAGCACTCCAAGCAGAAGCCAAAGATAGAGAAGAGATTATTAGAGAAAGATTTGTGTGTATAGCTTTTGTCTAATGCAGAGAAACCCAGTGAAAATACACACAAGGCCCACACACTTTAGAAAAAAACATTGTATTAGTGGAAATATTTTAGCAAAACAGATTAGCAGAAAATAAAGATGCCAACTAGGACTAAATGGAATATAGATATTACAAAATGGCAAAAGCAGACTGATAAAATTCCCCAGCTGCAAACACCTGTCACCTTTTGTGAAAAACGGAGCATGACTCTAAGAGCTAAAGCAGGAGCCCAGAAGTTGAAGATGAAAGCCCAGAGCAGCTGAGAGACACAGGTTACCTGGCTTTGAGACCTGGTGGATTTTGCCCAGCTGGGTTTCAAAACAGATTGAAACAAATGACTCCTTTTTACCTTCCATTTCCCCAATTTTGGACTTGAGTTCTATAACTGTTATTCTTTCCACCATTGTGTGTTGGGAGTATTGGAGAAAGATACCTTGTGTCTTTTATTTCACAGGTGTGTAGGTGGAGACAAATTGTGCCCCTGGAGCTGTACTTAATGGGTGACACTCAGAAGCTTTATCTACACCTGATTCAGATAAGTAGATAATGAGTTTTGGGCTTTTGAGCTGGTGAGATTCTGGACTTTATCTAGTGTGATAATGGGATGAGACTGTTGGAAACCTTGGGGAGCAGGTAAATGTTTTCTGCAAGTGAGAGTGAATTATGGGGCCAGAGTTTGTACTCTGGTGGACAGAACTGTAGGTGGCCCTAATGATCTCTGCCCCCATTGCAGCATCCATGATTAGGTTAAGTGATATAGCAAAGAAATCCTGCCTATGTGGTTACGGTCACTAATGAGTTGATGTTAAAATAAAAATATAATCTGGGTGGGCCTAACCTAACCATATGAGCCCTTTAAATATAGAGTTTTACATAGATGGACCTGGAATCATTATCATAAGTGAAATAACTCAGAAACGGAAAGTTAAATACTGCATGTTCTCACTTGTAAGTGGGAACTACACACTGGGTATGCATGGACATATAAAGTGGAATAGCAGATGTTAGAGACTCCAAAAGATGAGGAGATGGGAATGGGGTGAAGGTTAAAAAACTACCTATTTGGTACAATGTTCACTATTTGAGTGACGTGTACGCAAAAGTCCAGATTTCACCATGATGAAATATATCCACATACATGTAACAATACTGCACTTGTACCTCCTAAATCTATTTTTTTAAAGTGGAGTTTTATCTGATTGGTAGAAGAAGAGGAAGTCAGAGAGATTCCAAGTATGAGAAGTATTTGATGAACAATTACTGGCTTTGAAGATAGAGGAGGCCATGGAGCAAAGAATGCAAATGGCCTTAGGAGCTGAGAATGGCCCTTGACTGACAGCTAACAAAGAAATGGAGAAGTCAGTCAAGCAATAGCAAAAAATGGAATTCTCCCATCAACCTGAACAAGCTTAAAAGCAGACTCTTCCTCAGAACCTTGGTTAGAGCCCAGCCCAGCCAAAATTTCAGCCCTGAAAGACCCTAAGTAGAGACCCCAGTTGAGCCCACTTGGACTTCTGACCTACAGAACTGTGAGATAATGAATGGAAGTTGTTTGAAGCCATTAAGTTTATGGTAATTTGTTACACAACAATAGCCAACTAATAGACTCCATAATCCCAACAAACAACCTTAACTTCCATAAACAACTATTTATTGAACACTTACTGTACTTAAGGTATATGAAAGGGACATAAAGAGATAGCAACTATAAAAATGTAATTAGCTAATATTTATGGAGCAGTTCTACAATGTGCCATATAGTCTCCTGATTATGTGTGAATTATCTCATTTAATCTCCACAATCTGTGAAGGATGTAGTAGTTTATTACTAACAAAGGAGTAGAAACATGAAGGGTACGTAGATTGTCTAAGGTTTATTTATAAAACACGACAGACAGTAAGCACAACCAGTATAATTTCCGTATTTTCTGGGGTAGTGCTGATTTAAAATATTCGGTCTTCTTGCCTCCTGATTGCATTTATAATTGTCAAACCACATTCCTGGGTCTGTGGTTCAGAAAATATGGTCATCCTGCTTATAAAATAAAGACATATGTACCATAGGAGCCCTGACTCTCAAGGCAGCCATCTGTGTCCAGTGCAATGGGTCAAACATAGAGTGTTTCTTTAGTAAACACCACAAACTTGCTGTCTGCATGCTTCCTTAGAGGACACAGCGACTAATTGATGGTCAAATGGCATCCTTCAGTGAAGATTGGGATTGGGCAAAACTGGGATAAACACTGGAACCTGTTTTAGTTATCTATTGCTGAGTCATAGGAACCTCAACAAGCCAGTAATGGCTTAAAACTCATGATTTTGTGTGTCTGAAATATTTCAGGGGCTTGTCTGGGGTGGTTCTTCTCTGCTCTGCCTGGCTAGGACTGTCACTTGATGCTGCTCCTTGCTTTTCCCTCTCCACGTGACATCCTCATCCTTCAGGGCCTGTCAGTGGAACCTGGACTACTCACAGGTTGGTGGTCTTCAGATCGCCATACCTCTTTCATGGCGCTTGGCTTTCACAAAGCAGGAAGTGAAAGTTCCCAGACCTGTTAAGGACAACCACGAGTGGAACAGCATTCTCTCTGCTGTGTTCTATTGGACAAAGTGGTCAAAGGGTCTGACCGTCACATTGCAGGAGAATCTGTGGATTGGGAACATATTGTTGGTGTCATCTTTGGAAAATACAGGCCACTGTAGTGTTCCTTGAGAAATGTTATTTCTTCAGTCGCAGGGATATACTCCCGTTCTGAGAGTTAGGAAATAATGGAAATAAACTGAAGAGTAACAATTCAGACACACGTTGATGAGAACAGAGCATTTTCTTCCTGGGTTTCCCATTATATAAACACACAGAGGATCAGGTCATTATGGAGAGTGTGGGCCTACCAACCAGAAGGGTTTTATACCTCTTCTTAACTGCAACAGCTAGTTAGTCATTGCCTGCCAACTACCTCGTATCTGATCTTCCATCAGTTCTGGAGAGTTGCTGGAAATGTTCCCAAGCAACTGTGGTGCTGTTTCTGCAGGTAGAGGAGGGAAGAAAACAAGTAATGACCATTGAATTTTCCCTTTATTTTATATACTTATCACTATCATGCCATGGTTATTCATGCCACCCACAGCAAGTCCACACACATGTAAGGGAGAAGATTTTATGACATTCCTGCAGCCCTCATCACAGGGGGCTTGTCCTGTCCAGTATCTTCATCCTTTTGCATATAAGGACTGCTAACTGGATGAAATAGGCCCTGTTAAACCAGAGATAATTATTCATTTGAGAAAGACTATCATGTCTTCAAGTTATGCCAACATATGCATCAGATGCCAGCAGTTGCGTGATATATTATACTTGGTTCAGATTCAATCTAGATACTCTACATTTATTTCCTTATTTCCTGCCAGGAGACAAGGACTAGTATGATTTTCTGTCATGAGCTTCAGGGGAAGTTTCCATATTAAATGTTGTTATCATTTATATTAATTATTAACATATTAGTACATAATATATCATAGTAATATATTAAAAATATTGGTATATATTATTTTGAAATTACCATTTGAAATTATTTTGAAATGTGCATTAAATTGATGGTTATATGGAGCCAAGGTTCCTTATGCTTTTCTACATTAGTAGGAAGTTTTGGAACCAAATTTTTGGACCTCCTGGGTGTATAACATAGATTATCTCTCACTGTGCTCTGTGATCTTGTGGAGGTTGATGGCCTAAGAAAGAAACAGGATTGGGCTAACAGAAAATACCCTGCTGGAATAGGAAGATGGGGAGCTCACAGGGATGTCCCAGACCTCAGTACTTCTGCATAACAAACACCCAGACTCAGAGGCTTAAAATACAAACAATCATTCATTTTGATTGCGAATCTGCTTCACAGGTCACCCAACCTGTTACTGTCATCTTCTAGAATAATGTGGCATATTCAGGCTTTTTCAGAACCAATTAAAGTTGTCCTGAGGGGTTCAGTAAACATATAGCAGTAGGCTAAAAAGTATTAATCAAGACTGTGCCATGAGAACATCAGGCCAGCGGTTATCATGTAACTTGGATTTCCACACTCGTATTCAGCTTAAAATTATTCATTCAATTTTCCTTTAAGGGCACCTATATTTTAAGGGCCGTGGCTTCTCCTTTCTGGTCTGATAAAATAATAAAATGGTCACCATATTTTAATCTGGGTGCTTCGATGGACCTAGCGGAGGAACCTCCCCATTCCCAGCAGCATTATGATGTGGTATGTGTGAAGCCAAAGGCTGCAGGGGATGCCTGGAGACACGTGTGTGTGTGTGTGTGTGAGTGTGTGTGTGAGATTGTGTGTGTCTGTGGCTCTGCCCAGTGTAATTATTAGCTTGGAAATTACTCTAATCTGGTGAGTGCCAATGCAGTCATTCAATAATAAGTCAGAGAATATTTGGACAGGTTGAGGAGGAAGTTGACTCTGATGTCAAAAAGAGTGTCAAGGAATAGGAAGCCCACAGAGAAAGATGAATGTAGAGAAAAATATTTTTTCAAGCACAAAACAATGAATGATGTAGGAAATACATAAGATTTGTGCTGGGTTAAACGGGTGCAAGAAATAAGAAAGCATATGTTCAGGACCAGACACAAATTATAGGCAACACTGCTTCCCTTCTAGCTTCTACTTTTATATTCCCAATACGGCTTGATAAAAATGAGTTTCTCTTAACAAAGTTAAAGAAAAATTGAATTGTTGATTCCCATTGTGTTTTCCCCATGGCAGTTTAAAATAGATCATCTTCTACTTCCTTTTGTAACTGAAGAAGAAACACAGCTGGATTTGGGACTTGTAAGGGCAGGTTCTGACAGTCAGGACAGTGAGTGGATGAGATGAGATAATTGTTTTCTACACATTCAGACAGAAACCATGTGCCTGTGAATCCACCGTGAAAAAGCCGAGAAGGGAAATCATTTGCTCAACTTAAGTGTGAGACATCTCCCAAGATAAGGTGTTTCCAGTCCCAGAACCCACAGGAACATATAAGTCCCTCTGGAAGAACTGTCACATGGCCAGACCAGAGCAGGCATCATGTAGATTTTTCCAGAATAGCACGCTTAAGGAAAAATCAGTGCTCTTACCTATTAGGGAGGAGAGCTAATAGCAGCAAGGGTTAGTGTGTGCATCGACAGGCCACGTAAATCTGGGCTATGTGTTGGACCACATACATCTTCGTAGTAGAAGATCTTGCCCTATTTGTCCAGTATGTATGACTATCTAGAGAAAGGTTCAGATCTCCGGGGACGGCAGGGAAAGGAACCCTCTGCTGGACCCACAGCTCCTCCTACTGTGAGGTCTAGAGCAGGGCTGCTTGGCCTCACACTGGTAGGTGTGGAGCACGTACGAGCTCTACATCCTCACTCTCCATTCCTCTCTACACTCACATGGCTCCCACATCCGCTGACAAGAACCATCCTTCCAGATGAAACCCCATGTTCTTTTTTTTTTTTTTTTGAGATGGTGTCTCGCTCTGTCACCCAGCCTGGAGTACAGTCGCATGATCTCAGCTCACTGCAATCTCTGCCTCCCGGGTTGAAGTGATTCTCCTCCCTCAGCTTCCCAAGTAGCTGGGATTACAGGCATGCACCACCATGCCTGGCTAAGTTTTGTATTTTTAGTAGAAACGGGGTTTCACCATGTTGCCCTGGCTCGTCTGGAACTCCTGACCTCAGGTGACCCGCTGGCCTCGGCCTCCCAAAGTGCTGGGATTACAGGCGTGAGCCACCGTGCCTGGCCCCCCCATGCTGTTTCTAAAAGGAGGTGTAGCAGTAGTGTTTTCTCTCTTTCTTGATCTTGGATGATTCATTGGCACCCCTTAATGATTGGAACCCAAGGAAGTTCTCTGAGAGCCATTTACTAGACACCAGTATAAATTTTAAACTCAGGAAGGAATTGGCACTTCCAGTTGTATTCAATGTATTCATTGTTGATGCAGGACAGCTATAAATAAATGAGATTCTGGAATTCCTATGAAAATGGGATCTCTAAGAAAGATTCCTAACAACTGGCTTTGGAGACGAGTAAGTGTGTATTTTCACCTTTAAGTCCATGAGCTGCAGGGAGCCACTTCATGGGAGGATTTTGATGACATTTTACTTTGTGCATGCTCATTTTAACTGTATGACATTAAAACAGCAATTACACATATCAAAAGAGAGAACGGATAGCACTGGGGACCAAAAGGCTCACTTTCCCACAAATAGTCCCTTCTTCTGGATTTCATGGGTACCCATTAGTACCAGAATTTCCTGGGTTTGGCTATGGAAAGTTTCAAGTATATATTACATATATATTATAAGATGAGGACAACTTGAAGCCACTACCTGTCGTCAGTGTGTAAGGAGGGAGGTAGTTTTTCTTGGGAGGGTGGAGGTGGGAGGTAGCCCAGGGAAAGGCATGAAGGGCAACAGGCTGGGAGGAGGGAGGAAGTGCAGTCAGCCTTGGAACCTTAGACAGACTGAGTGCTGCATCTGGGCACAGGCGGTCAGCCTGCACTGACTCCTGAAGGCAAAGCAAGGGAGGGGAGAAGCATGTGGCTAAACAGAGAAGGGGAGGATTCTAGCCAGAACACACTGTTTGCTTTTATAAATGCCAGGGGTGGTGCATTGGTAAGCACCCTGCACAGAAGAATGGGGTGGGAGGGCTGGAGGAATACCTGGTCCAGTCCATCCAGGAGTCCTCCCATACCTGCATTCCCTGCCCATGATGCGATTTGATGCTCAGCCTACATCAAATAACACTATGTGCTGAATGGGAAATGAGAGGAAAATACGAGGAGGCCTTATTATTCTTCACAATTTTGCCTATGTCCAATTCCATTCAGCATGATTGCTTTTGGTGCCCAGAGAAGCTGAGTTTCTATCAAAAACATGTATATATAGGTGAGTGTATCTGTGTGTTTGTACATGTATGTATATGTGTGTGTATACATGTATATATAAGTATATGAAGATGGTGGTGTTCCTGCTGGCATCCTATGGCCAACTTGACTTCAGAGTACCCAGGGGAAGGCCTGGCTGGCCGGATGCCCTTGCAGATGTCAGCTCCAGTGTGGACATGGTGCAATGACAGCCAGGGGTGTGGGAGCATCCTGAATGTGTCCCGTGGGAGGGCAGGGCCTCTGAAAGGGTCCTACTCAGGATATGTCTCCTGAAAGCCACCAGGGGGTGGAGAGAGAAGTAGGAGCCCAACAATGGCTCCATCCCTGCTCTGCTTTTGGCGGTTGTATAACATCCCTGAGTCCCAGATTATTTGTCTATCAAAAGGACAAATGAGGTGGCTCATGCCTGTAATCCCATCACTTTGGGAGGCCAAGGTGGGCAGATCATTTGAGGCCAGGAGTTCGAGACCAGCCTGGCCAACATGGTGAAACCCCATCTCTACTAAAAATACAGAAATTAGCCAGGTGTGGTGGTGCATACCTGTAATCCCAGCTACTCAGGAGGCTGAGGCAGAAGAATCTCTTGAACTTGGGAGGTGGAGGTTTCAGTGAGCCAAGATCACACCACTGCACTCCAGCCTGGGCAGCAGAGTAAGACTCCATCTAAAAAAAAAAAGAGATAACAATATCCCCTTTGCAGAATGGTGATGGGCATCAGACATGACATATGTAACATGTCCCATGCACGGAAGGGTGCTCCATGACTGCAAACCTGGATGATGATGACAACGACGATGGAGATGACTAAGACTGTATTTAAAAATGGTATGAATAATTTTAAATTATTAAATTAAAGAGTCATAAGAAAGATAAATCATGGGCCTTCCTCAACTTTCCCCTACTCTTGAAAAATGAAAAAACAAAGGAGCCACAGACAAGCAATACAGTCTCATTGTAAAGATCCAAGCCACAGACCAGGAAACAGAATAAAAATTCACTTTTTGGAAATGGTTCTGGCTATGAAGCCTTCAAGTATTTTCTTCTGCCTTAATAAACCTGTACATGTGCATATACTTGGATCATTTTTTACATGTATTAGATCACATAGTACATAATGTTTTATACTTATCTTTTTAAAAATATAGCTTGGAGATTGTTTTCCATGTTAGTCTGTAGCCTCTTCCTTATTATTTTAAAGAGCTGAATAATATTGGATCATATGAGTATATCATATTTTACGTAACCATTTTCTTCTTGATGAACATTTGAGTTATTTTCAAGTTTTCAATACCACAATGTTTGTGTTTCAGTATTTTTGTAGATATACAAAGCTAGAAGTATCAGTGGGTCACTGATATGCATATTGACAGTGCAGGCTTTACTTTTCTATACTCCTGCAGACAAAATATATGACAGTGCTTCAAACTCTTGCCGACAGTGTTTATTTTCAACTTTAAAAACTTTCTTTGTTGGCCGGGTGTGGTTGGCTCACGCCTGCAATCCCAACACTTTGGTAGGCCAAGGCAGGTGGATCACATGAGGTCAGGGGTTCAAGATCAGCCTGGCCAACGTGGTGAAACCCCAATTCTACTAAAAATACAAAAATTAGCCAGATGTGGTGGTGCACACCTGTAAGCCCAGCTACTCGGGAGGCTGAGGCAGGAGAATTACTTGAACCCAGGAGGCGGAGGTTGAGGTGAGCCAAGATTATGCCATTGCACTCCAGCCTGGGCAACAGAGTGAGACTCTGTCTCAAAAAAAAAAAAAATTTTTTTTTCTTTGTCAGTTGATGGTCTTTGATTTGCAATTCATTGAGGATGAGCAAGATTGAACGTTGAAAGACACACACTGGCCACTGGTATTTCTCCCTTTTGGTGACACTTGTTCATTTCCTTTGCAGTTTTCTAGGAGTTATCTTACATTTACTGATTAGTCAGAGTTCAGAAAATATCTATGGGTATAAACGCTTTCTTTTGAAACCAACATTTATCTTTTTAATTTTTCTGTTTTTCATTGTGCAGATGGTTTCAAACTTTATGTGGTTAAATTAGTCAGTTTTTCCATTTATGGCTTCTGGGTTTTACACTTTCCTTAGGAAAGCCTTTCCTATGTTCTATATATTTTCTTCTTCTTCTTTTCTTTTTTTTTTTTCAAGTTTTAATGTAATTCATAGTGAGGGCTGTTAAAATGCCCACTGTTATTTAAGCACATTTTCTGTTTCTGGGCTTTTAAACTCTATTCAGTTGATTTATTTTCCTTTTCTTGTTTTCTTTCTTTCTTTCTTTCTTTTTTTCTTTTTTTTTTTTTGAGACAAGAGTCTCACCCTGTTGCCCAGGCTGGAGTGCAGTGGTGCGATCTCGGCTCACTGCAAGCTCTGCCTCCTGAGTAGCTGGGACTACAGGCGCCCGCCACCGCGCCTGGCTAATTTTTTGTATTTTTAGTAGAGACGGGGTTTCACTGTGTTAGCCAGGATAGTCTTGATCTCCTGACCTCGTAATCCGCCCGCCTCGGCCTCCCAAAGTGCTGGGATTACAGGCGTGAGCCACCGCACCCGGCCTTATTTTCCTTTTCTATGTCAAAATCCCCTCTTTTAATTATCATGGCTGTATAATATGCTTTCATAGCTTTCATATGCTTCATGTCTGTGAAGATCCCCTTCAGAGAAATTTCTACTTGGCCATTGTACTTTTTTCTTCCCATATGTACTTTAGAATTAGCTTGCCAAATTCCATTTAAAACCTGGATGACAAATATCTCAGGTATTCATCAGCAGTTGAATGGATAATGAGACTGGTTGATTTATACAGTGGAGTCTTACACAGGAATTAAAAAGGATTGAAGTATGGATACATGCAACTGCTTGGCTGAATCTTAAAATAATTATGCTAGGGGAAAGAAATCTGACACAAAAGAGCACAGACTGTAAGATCCCATTTGTATGAACTTCTAGAGGAGGCGAAGATAACCATGGTGGGAAAACATCAGAAAAGCGGTAGCCTCAAAGCCGGCTTGGGGATTGACTGGCAGGCACATGACAGCGCTTTCTGGTGACGTTAATGTTTCCTACGTGACACCAATTTGTGTCACCCAGGAATATCCATCTCAGGTCTTAGGAAATGTTCACTTAGGACTTGTGCATTTGACTGCATGTAAATTTTCCCTTAAAAACTGTAAACAAATATTGACTCTAGTTAATGGGATGTATATGAAGCATTTAGGGGTAAAGTGTACTGATGCCTGCAACTTTAATATGGACTAAAATGATGAATTGATGGGTGGATAGAGAGATGGATAAACAGAGAGTTTGTGATAAAGTAAATATGGTTAAATGGTAATAGCAGAGTCTAGGTGGCAGTATATGTGTACTCACTGAAATTCAACTTTTTTGTGTTTAAATTTTTCATAAAATATTGCAGAAAATCATGTTGAGATTTTGATCATAATTTACAGATTCAGTTGGAGGAGAATTGGCATCTTTACAATATGGATTCTTCACTAGGATAGATGTTTGTGTGTCTCCATATAATCAGGAATCCTTTTTCTGCCTTAAAAATTTTTTTTCTAGTAGGTTTTGCACATTTCTTTTTGGTATCTTATGGTTTTGTTTCTACTGTGAATAGAATTTTTTCCTTACATTTTCTGCGTGATTATTGCTGTGCAGAGAAGAGCTTGATTTTTATTTGGGGATCTTTCATCTGGTGAAAATATTGAACTCTCTTACTAGATGTAATGAGTTGTCAGGGATTATCCTTTATTTTCAAGGTATGCAATCATTTGGTCTTCAGAAGATGACTGTATTTTTCTATTCTTTTCCACTATTGGTTTCTCATTCTTTTTCTTATCTAATTGACACAAAGTGTAGAACTGTGGTTGATAGCACAGGCTCCTGTCCTTGATGGCCCGGGTGCCTATCTTAAGCTCTTTTATTTACCAATTGTGTGAACTGAGACCTGCTGCTAAGCGTTGGGGTGTTTCATTTTCTTGTCTGTGAAGTGGGAGTATCAACGGCTTTTCCCCCTCTGGTTATTGTGAGGTTGAAGTAGGATGGCAAGTGTAAAATGCTAACACAAGGGCAGGGCGGCCAAAGGGGACACAGGAATTCTGTGTATTCAGCAGCTCTTCTGTGAGTGTAAAACAATCTCAAAACAAAAGCTTTAAAGAAACACAGAATGAAACACACGTGATTGAGCCAACAAGAGGTGAACAAGACCAATCTGCAGTCAGAACTCCTTTCTCATTCCTGATGTTCCTTACTGATGGGCCCCAGGGTGCAGGAATGAATGAAGCCAGGAGCCTGACCTCATGGAGCTGACGCAGTGTCAACATCAGGTGGGGCTAGGGGTAGGGACAGGAAACAAGCCAGCACAAAGGAGGACAGAGAGGGTGGGGCTGCGGCACACAGACAGCCGGGAGATGGTCTCCGAGGAGGCCACACATGTATGGAGGCGAGGGAGCCTCCAGGCAGGGGCCTGGGAAGGAGCACTCAGGGAAGGACAGTGACTCACCATGCCCAGCACTGGATTTGACACTGTGCCATCAACATTACCTACCACAGCAATCTTAGTGGGTGATGGAGGTGAGAACGTGGTGGAAGTCTGGTCGAGAGAAAACAGGAAATGGATGGTGAGGACATTAGGACTCACTTTTGGGTGTTCCTCCCTGCCCTGCCATGAATGGGTGCAGAGAAGTAGGGCAATGAGGGTGATGTAAATAAGGGTGAGGTTTCCTTGTAGGGTGATGGGAGTGCTATCTTGCAGGCTGATCGAGATGTCCCACTGACAAGAATAAAGCCGGGGATACGGGACAGATGCAGGGGACACTGCCAGACTGTCACATGGCCAGATCGGAGCAGGCATCACGTAGATTTTTCCAGAATATCATGCTTAAGGAAGAGTCAGTGCTCTTGCTGCTGCTAACAGTAGCAAGGGTTAGTGTGTGCATCGACAGGCCACATAAATCTGGACTATGTGCTGGACCATGTACATCTTGGTAGCAGGAGATCTTGCCCTATTTGTCCAGTATGCATGAATATCTAGAGAAAGTTCCAGATCTAAGGGGGACAGCAGGGAAAGGAGCTCTCTGCTGGACCCACAGCTCCTCCTACGGTGAGGTAGGTCTGCTTGGCCTCACACTTGTAGGTGTATGTATGCCGGGGGTTCTATAAGTGGAGGGAGGTGGCCGCTGAACAGAGCACAGGTACTTCACCCATGGGGGTTAGGACCTGTTAGAATTTTATGTATACAGTTGGCCCTTCATATCCATGGGTTCCAAATCTATGGATTCAACCAACCATGGATTGGAAATGTTTGAAAAAAATAAAAAATAAACTCACGACAATAAAAAATAATACAAAATTTTAAAAATACAGTCTGACAACTTCATATGGCATTTACATTCTATGAGGTATTATGAGTGTTTTAGAGGGGATTTAAAGTACACAGGAGGATGTGCCTAGGCTATATGCAAGAGCAATACCATTTTATATCAGAGACTTGAGCATCTGAAGATTTTGGCACCTGCGGGGTCTGTTAACCAACCAGTCCCACTTGGGTACCGAGGGATGACCATAAAATACCCTCTTGAATCTTCTCTGAGGATATTGATGAGGCTAATTTTAACATATTTTGCTTTTCATCAATTCCATTCTTGGGTATTTTTTTTGTTTGCTTGTCTACTGGATTGACACATCTTTTTCTTAATGTCATTTTCTCCGATGTGCAGTAATTATCCTCAGTTTTCAACAGCTAGTTTGACAATCCCTGCTCTTCTCCCAAGGAGAGCTGGGATCTCAGGAATGGGACTCTGGTGGTTGTGGAAATGCTGTTTGGGTGGGTGAGGTGAACTGGGGGCTTACCTTCTAGGGGAACCTCCTAGGTGAGCCCTCCTGCTCTGCTGTGCTCTGACCCTGTTCTCCTCTGGAGCCTGGGGTGGGAATCTCTGTTTCACCTATCACTCAGCCCGCAGGCTGGGGCAGAAGGCACCACTGCTTGGACCAGCCACCCTGATGTGATGAGTAATGTTATGTGTCAATTTGACGGGGCTAAGTGATGCCCAAATATCTGGTAAACATTATTTATAGGCGTGTCTGAAAGTGTTTTGGGAAGAGATTTACATGTGAATTGGTAGATTAAGTAAAGAGGATATCTTCACCAAGGTGGGCTAGTCTCATCCAATCCATAGAGGGCCTGAGTAGGACGAAAAGGCAGAGGAAGGGCTTCTTGAGCTGGAACATCCATCTTCTCCTGCCCTCAGGCCCTGGTGCTACTGGTTCTTGTGCTCTTGGACTTGGACTGAAGCTAACATCATTGGTTCCCCTGGTTCTCAGGCCTTTGGACTTGAACTGAATCCCACCACTGAACTCTAATGCTGGCTTTCCTCGTTCTCCAGCCTCCAGGAGGGAGATTGTGGGATTTCTTGGCCTCCATAATCATGCAAGCCAATTCTTACAATATGAGATTTATAAAAACCTATCCCCCATCTCCAACAGGAGGTATCTCCTATCAGTTCTGCTCCTCTGGAGAACCCTGGCTAGTTCACCCGGCTACGACTCCCTGCTCCACCGCCTTGCTCTTAGGGTCACTGCTCTGCCCTCCCCTTCCTCCCCCTGCCCCTGAATGTTTAGGCTGCTGTTGTCTCTACTTTTGTTTCTTCAGCAACGTGGTTCTTTTCTCCTTTCTATTCGACAGGAATTGCTGTTGTTTCCTGGCTTCCTGATGGTCCTGTTTTTTACCTTCTGCTGCTTTTTACGGATTTATTTTTTGTAAGTAACTCTTGTTATCTCAGAGATTCTGGGGGTGCACGGAATTAAGTGAGTGAGTGTAATTGGCTGTTTTGATCCAATGTTTTTCAACCTTCACTTCCTTAGAGAGTTTTTGTCCTACTCTGGTGTCAACTCTCACCCTCCAGATCAATGTTCCCACCATCGTCTCAGTCTTCAGGAGTCCCCAAAATAAATGAGAGCTCTTCCTCCCTCTGTGGCACTCCAGCAGGCCCGCAGCATCCTTGCTCCTTTAGAAGCCCTCTTGGGGGCTTCACTGCTCTGTTTTGACACCTCCAGCGGCTCCCACTGTCCACTGGTCACATCCTTGGTCTAGAAAATGTGAAAGGAAGAGACAAAGAGGCTCCTTGGGCAGAAGAGGTGGGAAAGAAATGTGACTTTCCCAACACACTTGTCAATAAATTTTTTTTTTCCTCAAGGATATTAGTGAAAATGTTTTTTACCAGCCCTGAGAACTTAAAAAAGAAATTATTCTTTAGGTCAAATGGGCTTTATCTAAGAATAGAGGTAGGGTGCTAATTGACTTGAGATCTGAAATTGATCCGTAAGAGAAAGGTAGAAACCACGTTACAGGTGTGAGTGAGAGCTCGTTGGGGCGCAGGGAAGTCTGTTTCTGTCTGGTTGCTGCAGGGAAGCCGGTGGCAGGCGACAGTTAGACCCTGGCAGGCAGGCATGTCTCAGCTCACATGGGACGCATTTGAGCCCGGGTTCCCCTATAATTAGGAATCCCAGATGCTGCGGTCCCGGCCTGGCCCACCGCAGGCAGAGTTCCTGTGTGCCTCCCCCTGAGGATATTTTAGACGTGGGGTTTTGATTTTATTTTTGCATGAGATTCACCTTGGATGGAAACCCCAGGGTTGATTGATGGCCCACACCACGCTGCCTTTTTTATCCCTTCGCCTGAGATGCAGGCCCAGGCTGTGGCTTCAGTCAACGGCAGCAGGACGCCAGCTGAGATGGCTGCGGAATCCCACAGACAGGGCCTGATTTCCGGCAGATGTCCCAGATACCAGGCAGGAGAGCCCACCACAAAAATGGTTGCGTAAAAAAATGTCTGCCCAGTGTGACCTGCCAGCAACAGGATGATAGCACACAGCTCGGAGCCTGGAGAGGTGCAGGCAGATCTCTGAGTTCACCCCCAGGAACATCACTTCATCCAGGCTGGCCCTGGCCTGTCTGATGGGGCCAATTCTCAGATTCCCTGCGAGTTCTGGCCACCAAAATGAAGAAAGCAAGCTGTGGCCGGAAGCTCCCTCCTCTGTCTGGTGCCAAGTTTGATGTTGAGAGCAGGAATCGCAGATGACATTGGAGTCTGTAGCCTTCAAATGCACCAGCAACTGTTCACTGTACGCCCCATGCTCTGCATTCATTAACCAGTTCCTTCAACACATGCTGGTCAGCGGGGGCCATGAGCCAGGCGGGTCCCAGGGCAGCGACGCAATGGGGAGTGCAAGACAAGATCTCTGCTCTTGGGAGCGCAAACTTTAGGGGTAGGGAGTGGGCACCTCTCAATACACAGATAAGTGAGTTTACTATGTAGGACATCAGATGGTGTCACATGCTCTGAAAAACAGTGGAGGGAGAGGGAGTCGTGATAAGGGAAGGTGCAAATTCAGCATGTTGCTCAGAGAAGGCTGAGAAGGTGGCACCTGTGCATAATAAGGGGGCGAAGCAGCCGGGTGCTCTTGGGGGATTGATGCTCCTTCCATCCTTCACACAGCCCTTGTTGTATGAGGGACTGAGGCTTTGCAGATGGGGAAGCCAGGTGGAGGGGCTCAGGCCCTGCGGCTTGGAGACTGTGGGTGGGATTTGAGCCTAGGTCTCCCTGGTCCTGGAGCCTGTTGTGAGAAGACACAGGAAGACAATTGCTCTGAAAATAGAAAGAACCATTGACAGATGTGTGGGATTTGTGATTGTGATGCAAGATGTTTACTCCAGAGATACATCAAGTCGAGGCAATCCCCAGGCCAGGCCCCGCTCTCAGGGCCTCAGTTCACTGCCTGCTGCCTCTCCTGCGTACTTTCCCCCCCTCCCGCGTTCTCTCATTCCTGCTGCCCATGGCCTGTCTGCGTCCTCCTCTTCTCACTCTGCTCTCTCTCCCCTGGCTGTGGCTGCCTGTTCCTGTCTCTCATCTCTCTTCGCTCCCATTTGGCCAGCCTGTTTCTCAAGCACCTGAGTCTTTCCCCTTTGGGCATTGCCTCATTGGCACACTCACCCTTTTTAGTGGTGCCCACTCCACAGCTACATTTGTGAAATGGGCTGCCGTGGTTCTCCCAGAAAAGCCACAAGGCTGTGATGGTGCAAGACAGGCTGGCAGGGGTGCAGGCTAGAGGACTGAATAAGCGATGGATCTGTCAATCCAAGGCACTTAATAGAAGATTGGATTCCCATTAAGGGAGCAGATGAAAGACAGAAAGACAGAAGGACACAGCCCCTCTCACCTTCACCTAAGAGAGGGATAAATGTCAGCTGAGAGAACGTGGGTAAAGGTGACAAACGCTCCCTTCACTGATCAGCAGCTGTGTGACCTTGGTCAGCTCACCAAACCTCTCTGTGCTTTAGAGCACCGAGAAGGAATAAAACCTGCCCTGTGTTTACCTTGCCTCCCTGGAAGATTTGTGATGAGAATAAAGTCTAAAAATACTTTGAAAAATACACCGCACCCTACAAGCTCCATCATAACTGGTGTTTCCAGAAATGCAAACATATTTCCTGCCTAACTCAGCCGTGTTTCTGATCTCTTGTAGCTTGACTGATTCGTACCTTTTTGAGCAATGGGAACCTTTGGTGGTGTAAAGCCTAGAAAAGACTCGCAACAATATTAAAAAATGTGTATGACACACATGGTATGTCGGAAGAAACCCAACCATATCTGTGTTTGCAACAACTGCAGTGTACCATGAAGATGACTGGAGTTCTATGGCAACAACATTGCAAGCACTGCTAAACCCACTGTGGTTTCTTGCCTACATTCCTAGCCAAAGTCAACACTAAATTTCTGTTAGAGGTGATGAAAATAAAAGTTTATTTTTCCCCATCTATGCTCATATAGTCCTCCCCCAAATTCCATCTATGGACTTTTGGGAGATCCATGGACCCCAGGTTAGGAATGTTAGAATTAGATGCATTATTTCTTTATAGGTATAGATAAGGAAAAGATTAGAAGGATCAACTGATCTGGCCATTAACTAGTTCAAATACTAAGGAGTAAAATGAAATAAAAGTTTTATGTTTTTACCAGAGATATTTTTGGTTTTGTTTTTAAGTTATTTGCAGAGGAAACGCCTCTAGCTATAAGAGTAAGTGCAGGCTTACTTCTAAAAATAAAAGGAGGGCCGGGAGTGGTGGCTCAAGCCTGTAATCCCATCACTTTGGGAGCCGAGGTGGGCGGATCACCTGAGGTCAGGAGTTTGAGACCAGCCTGGCCAACATGGTGAAACCTTGTCTCTACTAAAAATATGAAAATTAGGCCAGGTGCGGTGGCTCATGCCTGTAATCCTAGCACTTTGGGAGGCAGAGGCGGGTGGATTGCCTGAGCTCCGGAGTTCCAGACCAGCCTGGGCAATACGGTGAAACCCCGTCTCTACTAAAATACAAAAAATTAGCCAGGTGTGGTGGCATGCACCTATAATCCCAGCTACTCGGGAGGCTGAGGCTGGAGAATTGCTAGAACCCGGGAGGCGGAGGTTGCAGTGAGCTGAGATGGCCTCACTGCACACTAGCCTGGGTGACAGAGCGAGACTCCATCTCTAAAAAAACAAAAAACAAACAAACAAAAAAACTGAAAAGTAGCTGAGCATGGTGGCATGTGCCCGTAGTCCTAGCTACTCGAGAGGGTGAGGTGGGAGGGTCACTTGAGCCCTGGAGGCAGAGGTTGCAGTGAGCCAAGATTGTGTCACTGCACTCCAGCGTTGGCGACAGAGTAAGACTATCTAAAAAAAAAAAAAAGAAAAGAAATGAAAGAAGAATGCATGCTGCTACTTTCATATGATAGCTGACTTCCTAAAGGGATTTTTCCATGCCCATCTGAAGAGGTAGAATGATCTGTTTAACGAAGTGGGGACAGAGTCAAGCACTTCCCTGGAACAGGGCGGGGGCTGGGGATGTAAGGTTGTGTCTGTCCATTTATTGAAAAATGTGCCACGTGCTTAGGCAGACAACTTGCTTGGCATTTCTTTCTTTCTTTCTTTCTTTTTTTTTTTTTGAGACGGAGTCTTGCTCTGTCGCCCATGCTGGAGTGCAGTAGCACGATCTTGGCTCATGGCAAGCTCCACCTCCCGGGTTCACGCCGTTCTCCTGGCTTGGCATTTCTATAGCAGTTGTGTGAAATGTGATTCTTCCTTTCTCACTTCTCACCCCTATAATTTTCATTTGCTTATGAGACTTTTTGAGGTCTAGCTACCCCTGTGCTCAGACAAGTGGCCTACATATGTTCAGTTAAAGGGGGACCCAGTTGCCCAGAGACAAGCCCTCCGACCAGAGGGAGCCACAGTTCCTGGGTGGGCTCATGAGTAATGCAGCTTTGTGTCCTGCTCTGCCCCTCCAGAGCTTGGAGACCACCCCAGCTCCCTTTCTGCTACTGGTTCCAGTTTCTTTTTTCCTGTGGGTCATAAGCTTTCTACCGCTCATGAAACAAAAGGGGTAAAAAGGTTTCTGGCTGTCAGTTTTTCATTTTTTTCTGGTGAGACAGTTTCATAGTTGCCATAGGTGGGGGGTGGAAACTAGCCTTGTTGGTGATGCTAGTTCTGCTTTTCTTTTTTCTTTTTTAACTACGAAAGAACTTGATTTCTGATTCTTGGTAGCAGAGCCTTTCTGCCTGAATGGCAGGCGTGGCCAGGACTCTCATCTATGCTTGCACCTGTAAGACAGGACACCAGGATCCCCAGCCTTGTGAGGCAGTGCCACCCTTGGGGATTAAGAACACGGGTGCCGGGGTGCCATCTGTCTTGGATCTGCGGGCTGAATGGGTCTGGGTGCAGCCAGGTGTGTGGAATCTCACAGCCTCACAGTGACTGCAGCACAGCCAAAGGCGAGGACAGCTGCTTGCTGTATCATTTCTTCCATCACACCTCAGAGGATGCGGAATCCTATTCCCACTCTATTCCCCTTTACAACATCCGATGTCAGCGCCTTCTGAGCACTTTGAATCCCGAGACTGCCTACGTAAATCTGGAGATGGGACTAAACCATAAATATTGATTACTTTTTTAATCACCTATTAACTAGATTCAACCACTCCTAAAAACCTAGCTGCATTCTCAGAGTTGATTTGATCAGCTCAGTTAGAGGGCACATATGTCCACACTGTGGGGCAGCCATTGTGTGATTGTTTCTTTGGCCACCCTTCTCAGCCAGCTCTTCACCCTCCTGATAAGAAAGTGCTGGAAGGCACAGGGCTGGAGCTGACCCACAGTGAGGCCTGCTGGCCGTCAGCCTCTCTGGAGGCCTTTGAAGCAGGCCCAGAGTGGTTTAGATTGGCCATGGGCACCAGAGCATTTAAAGGGACTCTGCCGCTTATCTTCCTCCTCCTCTTCTGAGCAAGATTGCAATATTCCTGCAGATAATTTTGCATTTTCCATGCCCATCTTCTTGAAGAATTGTCATAAGATGGAGGTAGCCTGGGCTGTCCCCAACCTGCTCTGCCATCCCTGTGGCAGGTTGTCTGGCTGTGCCTCAGTTTCCTCACCTTTCCACGTTGGTCAGGCTGGTCTCAAACTCCCAACCTCAGGTGATCTTCCTGCCTTGGCCTGCCAGCGTGCTGGGATTATATGCATGAGCCACCACACCTGGCCTTCATTCTTTACTGACTAAAGTAACCATGAATAAAAAATGCATATAAGCCACCTGTCCCATAGCAGGTACTTAATACACGGTAGCTATGGTTATTTTGTGTAGGTCTGAGTGAACATAGACCACGTTTCCCATCAAAATATATGGGGACAATCAAACAAATAACAGAATCCCCCAAGGAAGCATCCAAGTGTAATTCGATTTCTAGCGTTCACTGTTTATGTGAATGAACTCTTGTAATGCAGCGCCAGGCCTTTCTTAGCTACTAGAAAAAAATGACTTCTGTATTTCTAGGGTAAGGGATGCCGCTTTACACCCGGGTTGAGACTTGCCAGGCCTCTTATGTGTCGAGAACAATGGGGCTGGAAGGAGGCTGGCTGGGGTAGGAGCAGGCTGCAGCAAGTCCTTCCCAAAGCCGCAGGCGTTTCTCCACTCAGCACTGAGGCCATCACATGTGGCTGCCTGTGGACATCAGCAGGGCCAACGAAGTGAGTCAGGTGTTGAGGGATGTGTGTGTCATGCCATCATAAAGCCAGGATCAAGACATCTGCCCTCCCGGGATGAAGAGCAGTGTTATCCCTTAATGCAAAGCTCAGGCTCAGTGGTCCTCTTTCACGTATTTACCTTCCTAAAATTTCACCAGGTGCATAATAGCACAATTAATAGCGCTGCCTCGTATCCCTAATACTAACACCCTCTGCCTTGTAAGGATTTGTGAGTCAGCTATAAAATTTCACTGAAGATTGTTTTGCCCAAGCTTGATTTCCTTCATGCCCATAAGCTCTTAGACACCACTTTCTGTTTTTCTATTTTCAGACTGAATTGAACAAAAATATTTAACTTTTACTCAGTGCTAAGTCTTTGCTTTCACTTTAAAATACATGATCTTTTCCAAACCATACACATATATTTTAATGGGTTGTTACTAGTTCATACTTGATCCATATTTTGTAGCTGAAAAAGTCCAAAGGCTGGAAGGTTTGGTTTCCAGAGCCCTGGACATCCTTGGAGGCAAATGCAAGCCCACTGTAATGAAGCAAGAAGGGAGTCTGGCTGTACTGGGTGCAGCCTGGTGCTGAGGCCTGGCCCTTTGATTTCTATGTGTGGGAATGCTCAAGTTGTAACTACTCTAAGTGGAAATTAGGAAAATGGGGACCCTGGGGGGATGGTGATCCAAGTTGCCAATTGTCCTTTAGGACTGTCATTGTTTTTTCTCACATTCTTGTCTTAGATTCTGCAGATGTGGTGATGTGGCGGGAGTAGTTAATAGCAGTAGTCATGGTATTTAACATCTGTGAAATCATACACACTTGGTAACCTTATGTTGATTCCACACCACACCATCTAATCACCATTTTCTCTTTCCTTTTTTCCTTCTCTCTTTCTCCCTCCCTCCTTTTTTCCTTTTCTTCTTCTATTCCCTGTTTTTTAAAGGCAATGTTGACATCATGATGGTCAGTAAAAAACAAACATTTACTCCAGCTTAAACAGCCCACCAAATAAGAATCCTTGAGTTCTGATTAAGTTCTGTATCTTACTCATTTACAAAATAAGAATGACAAAACTCCTCTCGGGGGTGTTATGGGCATTAGACAGATATTAGGGATGATGGTTAATTACAAGCAAGGCTGCTCCTATGGCCAGGAATAAAAACGCTTGTACCTACTTAACAGGCTGGCATGATTCATGTCTGGTGAGTTCACCCTTTGATTCAGGTGCCAGGTGTGATCAGCTCTTTCATATACATTATCCAATTAGTGGGATGAGCCTCTCGGCTGGCAAGTTCTGCTGGCTGCTCACTGCAGGCTCTTCAGGGTTGTCATGGAGACCATTGGAGCAGATGCCTTAAGCTGGCTGAGGTGTTTCTGAAAGATGGGAATCCCGGCTGGGGGACCCCAGATTCTAAACGAGGGCCATGTGACCTGAAGAAGATAACCCCCAAATCCCAGACTCCTACAAAGCCAGAGTGTCTAGCCAACATCGCAATAGTCAAGCATGCCACCACATGGCTCACAGGGAGAAGGCGTTCTGAACTCCCCCGGCTCATCTCTGGGTGTCTAACTGCACGCGGAAGCCAGGTGCTGGCTGCTGTGTTCCCAAGAGGCTCAGCCTAAGCTAGGAAGGCCAAAGTCAACTGAGGTAGGGCTTGGTGGGAAGTCTGTACCCTCTTTGGGGCAGCATTGGAAGAATGAATTGACTCAGACTTTCCAGTTGCACCTCAAGCCAATGTGGTGGGTGAGGCTGGCCCTAGAGGTGGACCCAGTAAGCACTGGAGAGTCAGCACAGGAGGCTTCTGGAGGTCCCCAGGGTCTCCTTTGCCACAATTGACACAAATCTGTTGATCAGACTGGCAAACCAGGCTCTTATAGAGTATGTCCTTCCTGGTAATGGTAATGGTTAGGACCCTTTTTTGAGTTTCTATTAAGTGCCAGGCACTGTGCTTCACCTACATTCTTTCACTTTACCCGCACGTTAACCCTAGGCAGCAAGTAATAGGGTATCTAATTTTTAGGTGAAGAAACTGAGGCCCCCACATAGCTATTGGCAGAGCTGGGATTTGAACCCAGTTGTATCTGGCTCTAAAGACTAACAGACTGTTACAGAGAACCAATGACCAAGAAACAGTGGACATTCAGTCCACAGCATTTGTTTCTTACAATCTTGCTCATTTAGAGACATCACTTATGCAAAGGGTAGAGAAAAAAAGATAACATTGTGGGTGGCACCAGCCAGTTAGTGTGGTTGCTGTGGCAACTTGTATCCCTGGTCCATAACAAGTGCTACCCCATAGCAATTCCCATGATCTCTGCTTCTTCATGGGAAACCAAGAAGATAAATGTATTAGTGCAGGACAGAGATAGCCAACTGTTCCCAACATCCATTCATCTTTTCTTCCTTTTAGGAATAGAAACCCTCAGAATTTTAATTGCATGCCTAGACTTTCATCTAGAGACTGCATTTCCTAGACTCCTTTGCTGCTAGACATGTCCATGTGACCAAGTTTGGGCCAATGAGATGAGAAAAGAAGCGATGTGTGCCTTAGGAAAAAAGGGAAATGTCCACTACTTCCTCCCCCTGACCCCTCAATCTAGGAAATTGGAGTAGTTGCCTGGAACCCAGAAATAGAAGCCATGTGTTGAAAGTGGCAGAGTAGTCACACTGGCCCAGGCTGTTTGCCTTTGTCGTCTTGTATTTGAGGGAAATAAATGTATTTCTGCCACTGTATTTTCAGGCCTTTGTTATAGCCATGCAGCCTATATCCCAACTCATGTAGTCCAATGGTGAAAGGTGACCTAAAATGGATCATTACTATAAGAGAATTCCCATTGTTTCCCTGCCTCCCCACTCAATGTTAAAACACTGAATATCTTTCAATGTCTGACTCCATGTGAGGGGCCTTTCTTTACAAAGCCCAGTTAATCAGGGCCAGGTGGATTCACTAAATGCATCCACGAAAGAGCAGATTAAGGAGATTGCAGAAGCAATGCAGGGTATGGCACTGACTTCTCTGTTAACAAGCCAGGGTGCTTGTTTGACTCTCATTTAAAAGATAAAGCCCAATCTTCATTTTTATCTTAAATAATCACTGGGAAGAAATTGTATGCATCTAGGACATACCTGGAATAAATAATAAATGGGCTTTCTTCATTTGATCTAGAGAACACAGAAGGCAGAAAGAAAAAAAAAACACGTGAAGAGAAACATAAAGCAACTTTTCTTTGAAATGTAAATGGAAGTGTGTGTGGCCTGGTAGAAGCAGCTCTGGGCGGGGGCGGGGGGTCTGGAAACCCAGGTTCCAACTCCTACTCAGAGCCTCACAATGTGTAAAAGGAGAAAGGGAGGGTCCTAAGTCCCTTCCCACGTCACCATGGTCAGATTCTGGGGAAGCTCGCATTTTCCAAAGCTGACGTCAACATCTCCCATCTCACGAGCTCTTCTACAATATGGGCCTTCCCTTCCCTTCCCACAAGAGTAGGGGAGACTAAAGCCCTTCCCTTAGATCTGGCCTAGCTGTCATGACACATGGCTCCCCAGGTCAAAGGAGGCCATGTAGCTTTTACGTGGGGACCTGGAAATCATAGTCTTCAGAAGCTTTCTGTCTGGGTCATGCTGTGAGAAGCTGGAGGCATGGGAAAGGCTGCATGCAGGTTCTCTGGTGCATGGTCCCAAGGAGCCCAGCCTCATGCAGGAGAGCAGCTTCTAGATGATTCCAGCCCCAGGCATTGGAGTCTTACCAGCTGAGGCCCAAGCATCATGGAGAAGAGGTCACGTCCCCCATAACCACTCCCAATGCCATCTCTGCCCCACAGAATCTGTGAGCGTGGGCTATTTTGTACCACTAAGTTTGTGCCCGTTATCCCGCAGTAATAACTGGAACAGAATTGAATATCCTTCCCGCGGTGCACACTTACAGAGTGAAATGTAAAGCACATCTTGAAAAACATGTCTTAGTTATTAGTCATCTGGAAAGTTCCTCGTTATAATATGGGTGTGGAAAGATCAGCCCACATGTAGATGTTTCGTGGGTGAAAGAAAAGTCATCGAACAGTAAGATCAAAAGGGCCCCTTTGGATGAATGCAGACACTCAGCGCCGTGGGGTCGGGTGGCACGCTTGTTCTGTGCTCACTATCCCAGTTCTTAAAACAACCACAGTCCCGTCACAGGCCAGAGACCAGGGCGTGAAAACGGATGCAGATCCCGCAGGCTGCAGCTACTGCTGCGGCTCCTCTCACAGGCCTGGCTGGGCCTCGGGACCCTCCAGAGCCCAAAGGGTGAGTGTAGCCATTTGGTGATTCCTGGATTCTGCCCTCACTCCCTAAGGATTGATGAAAATCTCAACTCCCAATATGTTGTCTGCTTTTTAATTTTGGCTCTGTTTTGTTTTCCTTAGGATAGATTTGAATCGTTAGGTGGGCAAATCTTCCCATGGAGAAAGTAGAAATAGGGTGTGCTGGGTTCCCTGGGGCAGCAGTTCACAACAAAATTTGTTCTGTTGTTTTAACTAGGGATTTGCTTATAATTCAACCCCTTTTGACATTTTGCTGTTTATTCAACAAAGCAAGCTCGTAAGTCATGTGGCTCGTAAGTCAAAGCAAGCTCTGAGTGAGTGGCTTCCTTCCCTTGGAGCTGCCTGTCTGGTGACCACCTCTGCCAGGTTTCCACTTCCATGAACTCTGTGTGTCTCCTTCCTGATTTTCCATATGCAAATGCAAGAAACGTAGTACCATTTCCTTTATTTTCCCTTTTGTACACAAAGGGTGACATTCCCTGCCTCTGTTTCTAAGGATGTATTGAACCATAAACTTCAGGCTATTATTAAAATGAAACCACTCTGAATGGTAATGTGATTGTGATGGTTAATGTGTGTGTCACCTTGGCTAGGCTATGGTATGCTCAGCTGTTTGATCAGCACCAGCCTACATGTTGCAGTGAAGGTGTTTTCTAGATGTGATTAACATTTAAAGCAGAGACTGTGAGTAAAGAAGTTGACCTTCCCTAATGAGGGTGGGCCTTATCCAATCAGTTGAAGGCCTTCCAAGCAAAGACTGAGGTTTCCCAAAGGAGAAGGAATTCCACCTTAAGGATGTAACACAGGAACCCTGCCTGAGTTTTCAGTCTGCCAGCTTTCCCTGCAGAGATCAAGTTTAAGAAGGCAAAATCAACACGCTTACATTTCCAGCCTGCTGGAACCAACTAGGCCCCCTGGCAGGCCCTCCTTCCAGGCTCCACAATCACAGGAACTCATTCCTTAAAAGGAAATCTCTCTCTCTCTAAATACAGACATACACATGCATCCTATCGGTCTGTTTCTCTGGAGAGCCCTCATACAGTAGTTACATCTTTATTCTTAGGAGGCGCCTGCTGAGGAATGCAAGGGTGAGTTGTTTTGACGTCTGTAACTAGCTTCCAACCGGTTCCACGAGAGAAAGCGGGCGGAGGCAGAGAAATCACAACATGCTACGAAGCGCTGGATCCAGGTGACATGTCGCAGTGTTTGTTGTCTTCCAACTTTTCAGCGTGTGAAAACATTTTCACAAGAACGGAGGCATCACTTCCCCACCTGCATCTCTACTTAGGGTCTTGCATGCGGGGAAAGGGGCCAGCACAGTCCGTGGGTCTCCCAGGCAGTCCGTAGGTCCCGTCCTGAGCACCGCAGCATCAAGAACAGGCTGGGGTGAAAAGGAAAGTAGCGTTCTAGGAAAGCCCCAGGCCTGCTGGTGCTGAGGATGCAACCGGTGGGGTTCTTTTCTCCCAGGCACCATGGCCCTGCCAGGAGGACCCCTTGGGGGAGTGTGAGCAGAAAGGGGGCGGGCTGGATTTTGTTGCTCTCCCTTAGACCAAGGTCACACCCAGCTCAAGAAGGTCAGGCTCGGGACCTCTCCCTGTCAATCCAGCCTCCGCCAGCGTTTTCTAAACCTGTCTCTTCTTCCCTTCCCCCGACTGACTCACCCTCCACGCAGCCTACAGAAGGCGGGTTGGGGGGCGGAGGCCGTGGGGACGGGAGACCGGATGTGTCTGGGAAAGGGAGATGAAGGGGTCGTTCCGTCCCCTGGGAGATGATGGCTTGTGCCAGGCTCCTGTCCGCCCAATACTTCCAGCTGCATCTTACGTCTAGTCTTTTCTGGAGGGTCCGAACACCAATCTTTTCATCTCTTCCTGCAGAGCTAGCTCACTAGGGAGACAACTGTGTAATTAGAAGCAGGCGCACAAAACAGGAAGGGAGAGCCTAAGTTTGAAGAGCAATCTTTGCTGAGTGTGTGCATGAGGGTGTGAAAGTGGCCGACTGTTTACACACCACCAGGGGCAGTGGCGTGTGAAGGAGGTGGCTCCTGGTGACGGCCTCAGTCTGGGAGCTAGGCGGTAAGCTGACAGCGGCGGTGTGTTGCCACCCTTGGGCAGCGGCTCTCTAAAGCCTGCAGTTCTGCCATGAGAGCCTTAAGCACACCACTTCCCCTTCCTGAGCCTCAGTTTCCTTATCTGTAATGTGGTAATTACACTTTTGCCTATCCTAGGATTATTATGAGTCATGATTTTGAAGCCCTCAGTAGAAAACCCGCCCCACTCCTAAGCACCCAGTCAGTGTTATCTGGGTTGTTTTTTAAAGAACAAAACATTTTGTGTCTGGAGAATTGTTACTCTTAAGATAAATAAAGATGGAATTGGGCTCTGCCAAGAACAGCAATATGCATTTTTAGATACTTGTGAAAATTAGACAAGCAAGGTTTAAGTAAAATACGGAGATTTCGTTTAACAAAATACCAATTTCTAAATGACAAAAAAAATGAGATGGAACTCTGGTCATGAATTTGCTAACCAGAGTCTACAGATTGTAGCCATTGTAGCCAATATGGAAAACCTTTATTGCTTTTTTTTTTTTTTCTGCAATGACTACGTTGGACAAAGCAGTTGTCTCTGAGTGTGAATGTAGCTGAGAGAAATGATAAGACATCAAACTTTTGTCTGCAACTGCTCCTAGTTATAGATTTTTTTTTTTTTTTTTTTTTTTTTTTTGCTATTTCCTTTATTTGCTATTTGGCTGCTTGGACCAGCTAGAATTGGAAAATTGGTGTCTTTCTTCAAAGAAATTCAGTTCCCTCTCGGTTACCATACTTATGTGGTTCCTCCTCTTCTGTGCTCATTCTGGTGATTCATGAAAATAGGTAAAAGAGATGTGTTAATATTTATAGGTATATGAAAACCTGAATAGCTGTGATCAACTGAAATGAGTGCGATGGTTTCCTAAATGGAATTGGAGAAACACCCTCAGTGGCCTCTTTGAAAGAACCTTAAAAAGACACAGATACCCCAGCTTTCCCTACAGAGGCACTATTGGGAAGGGGCAAGCCCAGTATACTGGTTTGTTTTCAAACTGCTAATAAAGACATATTCAAGACTGGGTAATGTATAAAGAAAAAGAGATTTAATGGATCCACAGTTCACATGGCTGGGGAGGCCTCACAATCATGGTGGAAGGCAAAAGAGGAGAAAGGCATGTCTTACATGGAGGCAGGCAAGAGAGCATGTGCAGGGGAACTGCCCTTTATAAAACCATCGGATTGCATAAGACTTATTCACTATCACGAGAACAGCATGGGAAAAACCACTCCCATGATTCAATTATCTCCCACCACGTCCCTCCCATGACAAGTGGGGGTTATGGGAGCTACAATTCAAGATGAGATTTGGGTGGGGACACAGCCAAACCATATCACCCAGGAAAGGAGGGTTTCACCACGTGGCTGTGCCATTCTAGAACAGAGGGCCTGTTTCTCTCTACGATGCAAGTACCAGTGCCTCTGAGGATAGAAGAAAACAAATGGTTAATACCCAGGGACACTAACCAATGAAGGGGAGACAAGACATCTTTGAGTAAGAGGGCAAGATGGAGAGCACCTTCCAGCATCAGCAGCTGGGCCCTGCTCTCAGAGCTGCTTAGGGCAGCTGCTCTGAGAAAGAAATGATAGCTGCTATGATCTAAATGTTTGTGTCAATCCAAAATTCACAGGTTGAAATCCTAACCCCTAAGGTGAGGGTATGAGAAGGTGGGGCCTTTGGAAGGTGATTGGGTCACCAAGGTAGAACCCTCATGAATGGGATTTGTGCCCTTATACAAGAGGCCCAAGAGACACTGCTCACCTTTTCTGCTATGAGGGGACACAACAAGAAGATGTCTGTCTATGAGCCAGGAAGTGGGCCCTTCCCTGACACTGGATCTGCTGGCATTTTGATCTTGAACTTTCAGCCTCCAAAACTGTGAGAAATAAACTTCTGTTGTTTATAAGCCACCTACCCAGGTTATGGCATTTTGTCACAGCAGCCTGAATTGACGGAGACAACAGCTGACGCAGGTGGAGAATGCAGGCTGGTTCTTGTGCATTGTGTCTGGATAAGGCTGTGTATGCAGAAGGCATGCCAGGAGTTCCATGTGGGAAAAGCGTGGCCGCTGGGACCCCAGGCTCCTCTTCACCTCCTTCTGGTCACCTTTTCTACCCTCCCCTGGTGATTCTGTAGTAATTAAGCACCAACTGGGGAAAGTGGTAGTGGGTCTATTCTGGGACTGTGAGGAGCAGGAGAGACAGCAGCCTCACTGAGAGAGTTGGGGACAGATAGGGGATTTGCTTTCTGAAACGGGGTTCCAGAGAGGCAGCACCCCATTGTGTGATGCGCATGGATAGAGTGAGGTACAAAATCTGTTTTTTCCCTGGCTTTTTCACACTTGAATCAGTCATGAGTGGCTTGTGACAGAGGTTGCAGAGAAAAATTTAAACAACAATTTCATCCAAGGTAAAGCAAATCCCCAAATCTGTAGGATGATGGGCAAGGGACAATAGTTTAAGAAGTCCATGAAGTAGCAGCAAGGATGGAAAGGAAGAACAGTGTGCAAGCTCAAGCCCTCTGGGAGTGTGCAGCCTAGGGGATGGCCCACCCAGACACCCAAGGCCAGGGAAGGGTGCGTCCTGAGAAAGTGCCCATGTTCACGGGGTCCGTGTGAAAGGAGAGAAAGCAGCCCCTTTAAACAAACACATGACCTGCTTTGTATTGTGCTGTGTCAGCGACGACAACCCAGACGACCTGGCTTCCAGCCAGCTGTCTACGTGGGGCAGCTCCCAGCTCTCCTGCTGGGACCATCATGCCCAGAACCTGCAAAGCGGGTGCTTGGGGCCGCATGGTCATGCTGTCGGCAGAAACGCTCCAGGGCCAAGTGTGCTCTTGTTTCAAAATTTGGCTCTTAGAAAAACTATGTGACTCAGCAGGATCCAGACAGAGAAAGTCATCATTGCCCTACTTGTAGATGGGCAAGGCACAGAGGTGTTTGCCAAAGTCAATTTTGTGGGTCCATGAAAATGACCAGCAGATCTTCTCATGATTGTAGACATGCCTTAAAGGCAAAGAGTGGAGTCCCCCTCCTTAAAACTTCCTTAGGGTAATGTCTGCCACCTCTCCTCTTGTGTGTTTTGGGTGGTACTCAGGCGCACACATGGGCCCCATTTCACGGGTGAACATGGAAGAAAGGACATCTGAGGAAAGGACATGGTTACTGTGGTTGCAAAATGCCACAAGCTCAGTGGCATAAAACAACACAAATGCATCATTTCACAACTCCACCGAGAATCCAGGTCACATGGGCCCTTTGCTTAGTGTTTCACAGGCTGAAATTGTGAGGTGGCAGATCTCTGCTCCCTCGATAGCTGTGGCCTAGGGGGCACTCTCCGCTCCTAGAGCCACCCCATGGGTAATTTACAACATGCTTCTTCCTCCTTTACCCAGCCCAGCAGGAATGCCTCTGTCTGGCTTTCTCCTGTGCAGTCAGCTGGGGAAAATTCTGTGCATTTAAAGACCTCACATAATGGGATCAAACCCAGCCAGGACCGTCTCCCTGTTGCCCACCGTGGTCACAGGAATGATGTGCTGTCAAGTCCCCAGGGGACCTGTGCTTAGGGGAGGAGATTTCACAGGCAAGCACACCAGGGTTGAGGGCCTTGGGGTCCACCTTAGAATCCTGCCTACTACAGGTGCCTGATGCAGGAACAGGGTTTCAGCCATCATTCCCTCAGCTATGATGGCGCTGTTCTATCTTTTTATCCAGTATACCTGGGTTCAGCTGTTTGCACCTCCAAACATCCAATCACTGTTTTCACATTTTTGAGTTTTATGGAATGTGGACAAACTGGAGATCTTTTGTGCTCAGAAAACATTTCAAATTTCTGCACATCACCTGGCCCTGTGTTTATGTGGGGCTTTGCTCTGTCACATTCTAGAAAGCTCTGAGCCCCTGTGTCAGTTGCCGGCCCACCTGACTCATGGTCCTGCTCCTCCTCACAGCAGGGTGTGGACTCAACAGACCCAGAGTTCCCTCCTGGGACCCTCCTTGGGCCCCAGAGGTCCCCATTGTTTCTGCAAGGGTAAGGGTGGATTGACCCACAGTCTCATTTCTCAGTGATGGAGTAGGGAGAGAAGCCTGCCCCACATGGGTTTAAAGACATGATGGGAGCCCAGGCATGGTGCCTCATGCCTGTAACACCAGCACTTTGGAAGGCTGACGTGAGGATCATTTGAACCTAGGGGTTTGAGACCAGCACGGGCAATATGGTGAGACCTCATCTCTACAAAAAACAGGAAAAAATTAGCTGGGTGTGGTGCTGCACACCTGTAGTCCCCACTACTTGGGAGGGTGAGGCAGGAGGATCACTTGAGACCAGAAGGTCGAGGCTGCAGTGAGCTGTGATAGCACCACTGCACTCCTGCCTGGGTGACAGAGAGAAATCCTGTCTAATAAAAAAAAGAAAGAAAGAAAGAGAAAGAAAGGAAAGAAAGAAAGAAAGAAAGAAAGAAAGAAAGGACATTTTGAGGATTTAATATGTTTCCAACTAGTCCTTAGCCATGAGTTTTTCTCCAGCCTCTGAAAGAACACTTAATAAACACTGTATTGATTAACTATAATTTGTTCCAATTCCATAAACTATACATAGAATCAGATGTCTTTTTTTTTTTTGAGGAGTCTCACTCTGTCACCCAGTCTGGAGTACAGTGGTGTGATCTCGGTTCACTGCAACTTCCACCTGCCGAGTTCAAGCAATTCTCCTGCCTCAGCCTCCTGAGTAGCTGGGACTACTAGCACATGCCACCATGCCTGGCTAAGTTTTTGTATTTTTAGTAGAGATGGGGTTTCACCATATTGGCCAGGCTGGTCTCGATCTCCTGACCTTAAGATCCACCCACCTTGGCTTCCCAAAGTGCTGGGATTACAGGCGTGAACCACCACACCCGGCCCAGATGTCTCTCTTGTAAAAGGGAGTGCTCTGGAGCTGACATAGAAAGATTCTTCTTTTGGACTTTATGGCAGCTACGGAGTCCAACGTTTGCTATGCCAGCATACCAACTTTATCCTCAGTCTAACATTTTACCTGAAATAGATTCTTCCTCTATAATCTTATAAAGAAAATTTTATATCACTACTGAAGGCGTAGGTTTGCTATACCAGTTCTATTGTTTATAATATGCTCTAAAATAGATATACAGTTCTTAGGGTATAATATTTGTCAGTGTAACATCTGAAACATTTTGGGAAACCTTACTTTAATATGAAGAATAGATTGGTTTCAGCAAATTTCACTAGGAAAACCCCATATAGTTGTATTTCCTTTGCTATATCTAGGGCAATTTGTTTAGAAAGTATTCCAGTGAAAGTTATTCTCGTGGAAGAATAAGGTCATACTGACCTTGGGTTCCTTCCCAGCTCCTAGCATTTCCCTCCTTGCCGAGCAGAATTGGAACTAGGTATTTTCAAGAGACCCATACTGTGACACTGACAAGAGATGTGCACTTGAGGCCCACTGATGTTCCTGATGTAAAGGCTGTCTCTGTTGTTGAGGAAATGGGCCTTTTACACACTGAGCTATCATGCAGGTGATTGGGAGTTTCATTGCTGATTGAAGATCTGGGTCCTTTGTGCTGTGTAATACATTCCCAGCCCTTGACCCCCTGACTTGCCTCTGTTACTGTCAGCCCTTGCCTTTCCCCAGGCTGGTGTGGGGACTGCCTCCTCCCTTGTCTAGTAGGACACCTGCTTGGCATGTCCACTCTCAGGTCTCCCTGAGGCTGCTCACAGGTGCTGGGGGTGGTGCAGTTCCTGCCTGGTGGGGCTGGCAGGGTGTCCATGTGGACGATAAGAACTGGGCCCAAGGGCATTAGCTGAATGCCTCCAAGGAGGAGAGGAGGCCTCTGTAGGTTTGAGCAATGACTGTGCTGACAGCAAACACAAACCTCCTCTAGGTGCCTCAGTCCTCTCAAGAATTCATACTCACTGTTTTGTTTAGAAGGCAAAAATGCCAACCAGGTCAAGGTTCCGGGACACCACCCACTTTCTTTTTTGAGCTGAGAATGTCACTGTGTTTGTAGCCCAGGTGAGCCCCACCCTACCTCCCAAACATGTGTCAGGGTTGAATGTACGTTCTCTGTCTTCTAAATTGTTGTAAGTTGGAATGACTTGTGGTCCTGCTAGGTGGGTATCGTGTACGTGTAGTGTTTTAGTGTGGAAGGAGCGCTCAGGCCACATCTCCCTTCCTTCAGCAGGCACAAACACCTGGTCAGCTAAGCGGGGGTGGGGGCTCTGCACACAGCCAACTCTCCACCCCTCTACCCCTCCGTTTAGTCAGGTCAACGGGGGTAAGCTGCGGGAGCTCTCTGTGCCTGTTTCCTTGTCTGTAAAGTGGGAGAGGTAAGGTAGCTAGCTTAGCACAGGGTATTTTGTCAATATCAAATGTGTGAAACGGAGAACAGGGCTTCCTTGGTGTGTAGTCAGTAAAATGCTAGTAAAAACATACTGGCTAGTCTGCTGAGATACAATTTTACCCAATACACAGTTTTAGCCTGAAGTTTTTTGGGTCCCAGAACTTCCTACTTCATCTCTCAAAACATCTTGGATTTTCCCTTTTGGAGTTCCAAACTTGAAAAGATTATAATTTGCCATTCCTCAAATCCCTGTTTCACTTTGCTTAAATTAAAAAACAAAAACTTTTACCTCCACTTTGGCAAACCCTTGTGGGAAATGATATAAAGGTTAATGGAAGTTATTTGCGGACAAGTTGGCTTGGAGTAATTGTAAGGAGGACCAGGAGCCCTGCAGAATGGAACTTTAGCGATATTAAGTTGGTGCAAAAGTAATTGTGGTTTCCGCGTTGTTGGAATTTGCCATTTGATACTGGAATACATTCTTAAATAAATGTGGTTATGTTATACATCATTTTATTGTGCAGTTCTCACTTTTTTTTTTGCTAATGACTTATTCTTCGCTGTTTATTTTATGTTTATTTTAGACTATGGAAATGATGTTAGACAAAAAGCCAATTCGAGTGATTTTCTTTTTTGAGTTCAAAATGGATCATAAAGCAGCAGAGACAACTTGCAACGTCAACAATGCATTTGGCTCAGGAACTACTAATGAATGTACAGTGCAGTGGTGGTTCAAAAAGTTTTGCAAAGGAGACGAGAACCTTGAAGCTGAGGAGCATAGTGGCCGGCCATTGGCAGTTGACAAGGGCCAGTTGAGAGCAACCATCAAAGCTGATCCTCCTACAGCTACATGAGAAGTTGCCGAAGAACTCAACATCAACCATTCTACAGTTGTTCAGCATTAGCAGCAAATTGGAAGTGACAAAGCTTGATAAGCAAAAATTTAAAAAATCATTGTTTTAAAGTGTTGTCTCCCCTTATTCTATGCAACAATGAACCATTTTTTGGTTGGATTGTGACGTGCAACAAAAAATGGATTTTACACAATGACCAGCAATGACCAGCTCTGTGGTTGGACCAAGAAGAAGCTCCAAGGCACTTCCCAAAGTCAAACTTGCACCAAAAAAACGTCATGGTCATTGTTTGGTGGTCGGCTGCCAGTCTGATCCACTACAGCTTTCTGAATCCTGGTGAAACCATTAAATCTGGGAAGTCTGCTCAGCAAATCGATGAGATGCACCAAAAACTGCAACATCTGCAGCTGGCATTGGTCAACAGAAAGAGCCCAATTCTCCATGACAATGCCTGACCGCACATTTCACAACCAACCCTTCAAAAGTTGAACAAATTGGGCCACGAAGTTTTGCCTCATCCACTATGTTTACCTGACCTCTTGACAACTGAATTACCACTTCTTCAAGCATCTTAACAACTTTTTGCAGGGAAAATGCTTCCACAACCAGCAGGATGCAGAAAATGCTTTCCAAGAGTTCTTTGAATTCCAAAGCACGATTTGTATGGTACAGGAATAAACAAACTTATTTCTTGTTGGCAAAAATGTGTTGATTGTAATGGGTCCTGTTTCTGATTAATAAGGATTTGTTTGAGCCTAGTTATAATGATTTAAAATTCATGGCCCGAAACTGCGATTACTTTTCCACTAACCTGGCAAAAACCTGGCTCTGGGCATGTTGTTCTCATGGCAAAGGGCAGGGCCAGACCTCTTCACTGCTGCTTCTTGGGTTGGTGGTAATGACATTGGAATGTCTGTATCCCCAGGGTCCAGCACTCACTGGTCTCTTGCACTGCATAAGCACTTACTCCTGGAAAGCTCACCCAGGACCATGGCTTCTGTTCCCTCTACAGCTGATGGCTTCTGAGTGCAGGCCTCAAACTCATATCCTCTGGTCACCCTCAGCTCCACTCGGGTAATTCGAGAACATCAGAAACCGCACAAGCCCCAACCAGACTCAGCATTCATGGTCTGCACCCTGCCCTCCCAGTCCGGGAATGGCATCATCCTTCGAAAGGTTGCTCGCCTCCAAAATAGAAATTGCTCCTGATTCTCCTCTACCTTGGAAACAGTTCCAGAATACAGCTACCTCTTGTCGATCTGGGCCACACTCAGGTCTCAGCCACCCAGCCTATCACCTGTCTCCTCAAGTCTCCTTTTGGTCCCCTTTGGTGTTTCTCTGTGCAGCAGGCAGAGTGAGCTTCCAAATATATGATTTATACTCCAGACACACCAGTGGTTTCTCATATCACAGTTAAACTCTGAATTCCTTGTTGTGAGGTAGACCCTCTATGATTTGTCCCGTGTGGTCAGATCTCATTGCTGCCCGGTTGTCCGTCCTGTGCTCAGCTCTGCCCTCACTGGCCATGTGGCGACAGGTCCAGAATCCTCATGCCCCTGTCTGGACTTCTTTTCCCCAAGCTCTTTGCAAGGGGAGGCCTTCTGCAACCCGTCATCAGAAAGAGCATCACCGTTGCTCTTGTCTTCCTACCTGCTTTACTTTCTTCATCTCCATGATTATTCTCTGAAGCTACATGACTGATTATCTTGTTGTCATTTCTTCCCCACTGTAACAGAAGCCCCAGAAAACCAGGCATATCGTCTTGTTTACTTCTGTAACTCTAGCCCCTGAAAGTATGGCTAGCAGAGTAGGGACTCTGTAAGTATATTTTGAATGAACAAATAAATGAATTGATAAATATATTTTGTATGAATGAATGGCACATTCTAGTACCAATAAGGACACTGTAGTCAATTCTGTTGATTAATCAAAGTCTATGAAATGTCAAAAATGAGACATTTCAGATTTCATTGTTCATACTGTCTGTAGTATCTGCCTTTGGTAAAAAAAAAAAAAAAAAGAAAAAAAAAAAGAAAAAAAGAAAAGAAGCCCATGATCAAGAGTATGAAAAAACCTCTGGAACTGTAGAATTGACCTTTGAGTACAATTCATTACTCTGTAAGAGGAGCTGCCCCGAGAGTGATATTCTACAGGCTTGACCTGCAGGCAATCCCCACCCTGATGGGGTAGCTGGATCTGCCATCACTGTGTCTGTTTGGAATGAAGACAGATTTTGCCAAGACAGTTCCATTTTAATACCCCATTAATCCCAGGCTTGACATACAGAAATTATTGTATATCTGCTGAGAATTAAGGACATTCACATATCAAAGTGATTCTGTGGAGACCTGGTCAGTATGGTGATAGGATCCAAGGTTGTGCTCTGCACTTTCGCTTATGGGATGTTTTCTGCACACCTCCCAGCAGATTAGAATCTCTTGAGATCAGGTCCCACCACACGACACCTCTTCTTTCTGAAGACTCCTCTCCCCTTCCCCTTCAGAATAGTCTCATCAATCTGTAAAGATGCATCTCCTGGCCCACTGTCATTCTTTACAACACGACTACTTTCTTAATGTTTGCTGATTTCAGTGCCATAGAGCAGAGCTTTCAGATTACACTGCCTCCCTCCACACCAGTTCTGGGCCTCCTTCCTTTCAATGTTCCTATTCTCCACTCCACCTCAGCACTCTCTGCCAGGGTAATACTATGATCATGATTACTCATGTTGTTACTAGGAATTGTCCAGCAATCCTGCCACAGTTGCCATTTCCAGCACCCTGCTCTCCTAGCGTCCCCCTCTCATCTTCCCAGCTCACTTGCACCTGTGTGTCTGCTGTTATGATTCTCCAGCCTCAATGGACTCTCCCATTCACTGCCTCCTTCATGCCTCAGTTGAATAACCCATTACGATCACACCTTTACATGCATCGTTAACTCACGCAACTCACCTGTTTTGTTGCATGCCTGTCTCTGGAAAGAGCCCTGAGCTGGATGAATCCCATTTTCCCAGGACTGGCATTTTGGCTGGTTCTTGGTAGTACAGCCATAGTCCGTCCTGGCTGGCCAATGCCTGTGCTGTCACAGCCAGCATTGCTGGATGCTCTGAAGTTCACCAGGGAACTTTCCACCACTCTGCACTGCATTCATGCACCTGCTGGTGGCAGGAAAAATAACCTCCAGTATGCTACTGGCCTCACTTTAATTTCATAGTATCAAATGGGTCCTCGCTGTTTCCTGCCATCACTTCACGTTTCCTGGCCAAATTAATCTCATGTCCCACATGATCATTTCATGACTCCTGTCTTTACACCTCCAAAACTTCCTCTCTGTCTTCTCTCTCAGCCAATCACCTTGCTTCCTATTTCACTGGGGGAAAGAAATGAAAGGAGTAATCACAGCAAACTTCCACCACAGAAATCAACATGCTCCCTGTCCATTCTTATCTAGAAAAACCTTTCCTCTTGTTTGCTAGATCCTATGCTTTCTAGCATTTTGCTCTAGAAAATTTTCCCTTCTCCTGCATAATAAAAATTTCCCACAACAGTGAGACATTAACATCAGCATAACAGTGCACTTTAATGTTTATCATTTAAAATAAAAACAACAACAGCAACAGCAAATTTTTGACTTCACAGCCATCTCCAGCTACAACCCATGCTGGGTGTGTATTTTCTATGTTTTCCCGTGTACTCCAGGACATGGTTGCCTAGGAGCTACATTTCCCCAAATCTCTGCTAGAGGGCTCTGGTTTAGATGCCAGCAGTTAGAGGCACTCTCAAGGTACATGGAAGGGAGAGGAACATGGAGTGTTCTTTTAGAAGCAAGTAGTTCCGAAGCCTCAGACCTTTGCAAGCCTCTGGGCCTTTGCAAGTTTTCTTTCCTCGGCAGGGAGCCTTTTCTCCCCCAGAGAGACACACTTCTCACCCATTTACATCTTTACTCAGATGTATCCTTCTCTATTAGGCCTTCCTAACCGCCTTATTCAAACCCACTATGCACATTTTAGTTCCTTTCCTAATTTATTTTCTCCTCTAACACTAACACTGCATGACCTACTACGTAAATACAGTACTTATTTATTTCCTTCACTAGGATGCACACTCCACAGAGACAGGCGTTTCAACCTGTTTTATGTACTGCTAGAATAATGCCTGACATAGAATAGGTATGCAATGTATTTGTTCATTGATCAAATGCATGAATATAGCACATTATTCCAGGCCCTGAAATTTCTTCTGAGCACTTCTTTAGGGATAACCCATAGGTTCTGGTTTGTCAAGCTTTTATCATGGTCATAGTCTACATTCTGCTATTTGGTTTTAGTTTTCTTTTTGAGTTAGGAGTTGGTTAAGATATGGGTTAAGAATGTCCAGATCGGCCAGGCACGGTGGCTCACGCCTGTAATCCCAGCACTTTTGGAGGCCGAGGCAGGCGGATCACGAGGTCGGGAGATCGAGACCATCCTGGCTAACATGGTGAAACCCCTTCTCTGCTGAAAATACAAAATATTGGCCGGGTGTGGTGGCAGGCACCTGTAGTCCCAGCTACTTGGGAGGCTGAGGCAGGAGAATGGCGTGAACCCGGGAGGTGGTGAGCTTGCAGTGAGCCGAGATTGCACCACTGCACTCCAGCCTGGGCGACAGAGCAAGACTCTGTCTCAAAAAAAAAAAAAAAAAAAAGAATGTCCAGATCATAGGGATTGTTTGCTTGCTTGTGTGTTTGCTTTGGCAGTTTTCAAATATGGCTTGTTTTTCTGATGCCAAAATCACACCAGTTTTTTAAGTACCTGAGCAAACTGTGTTATATAGTAAAGCACATCTCACATTCTGTTTCCTGCCCAGTTGCATAGGGATGGGTGGGCTGGAAGCTCAGACACACCACTTCCCCTGAGAGGCCTTCTCCCAGGTTTCTGATGCCTTCCCTCCCTATGTCTTCTGACATCCCTTTTGACCTTGCTCTTAGCCATTCTCCCTCTTATGTCAGAGTTTGCGGGTTTAACCATCTTTAGGCTCATCAGAGATGCAGTTTTCATTTCTGTTCCCTATATTCCTTGTTGCCATTGGGTGATTTGCCAGAAAGAAATATCGTTGGGCAAAATAGCCAAGAAATTAAGGAAAGGAAGAAAACAAAGATTTTGTGCTATCATGTTAAAACCAGATATTGTGAAGTTTAGACTACATTTGGAATAACTTGTTTTAGTGTACAGTTGATCCCCTCTACCTTATTGGACCCCCACATCTATCCTAGTCCTTCACAAACAACCTGAAGACAGATTAGATGTATTCATTGATGTCTTTCTTACAGCCACTATTTGTTAGTAGGAATGGATTTGCAAATACATCACAGAGACTGAGTGCTTCCTCCTAGATAGCGCTTCCTCCTTCTTCACTTGAAGCAGTTCCCATTAGGAGAATTATTGTACTTGCTAAGGCTACATAAACCTGATGGATAAATTTAATCAAGAAGTGATGAATTGAGGTGAATAAGGCCAAATGGCAATTTTTCTATGAAACTCCCATTTATAATTAAAACAAAAGTATAAGAATGGTTATAATTGGCCAGGCGTGGTGCCTCACGCCTGTAATCCCAGCACTTTGGGAGGCCGAGGTGGGCGGATCACGAGGTCAGGAGATCGAGACCATCCTGGCTAACACGGAGAAACCCCGTCTCTACTAAAAATACAAAAAATTAGCTGGGCGTGGCGGCAGGCACCTGTAGTTCCAGCTACTTGGGAGGCTGAGGGAGGAGAATGGTGTGAACCCGGGAGGCAGAGCTTGCAATTAGCCAAGATTGCGCCACTGCACTCCAGCCTGGGCGACAGAGTTGAGACTCTGTCTAAAAAAAAAAAAAAAAAAAAAAAAGAATGGTTATAATTATAACCTGAAATATAATTAAATATACATTCAATATATGTCAATATTTTAAGTAATTACGATTGCAGCACTTATAAGTTTATTTTACATTCTTAGAGGATAGCATCATTGTATTCAAAGTACATAGAACCTGGCACATAATAGGTGCTCAATAAATGCTTATTAAGTGCATAAATATAAGAATACATATAATCTGACTTATATCTAGTAGCATTTCATCATTTCATGTGTTTGATTTGCAAACCTACCTCTGCACAGTTCCATAGGGTACAATTTTCTGGAGTGTTTGTAAGGACACTGGGGCCACCTATGCCTTCATGCTTATCTTATTATTCTAGTCTCAATTTCATCTCCCTGACTTTTCTAATTAATATGGGGAAGGGCTTCCCCAGGGAATTTTGTTTCTGATTGTTGAGAGACAGTAGAATTCTTGACTAACAGTGGCTTCGTGTTTTCACTCAATGTTTTCTGCCTTCTTGCCTCACAGATAATTGAAGAAAATCCCTTAAGTAAACACAGCAGGAAGCTTCATCCTAACCATTGTCACGAGACTATTTTTTCCTAATAGACATCAACATTTATTTTTGTTATTCTTATTGGCCTTATTTATTGACACCAATTGTGTCTCTTTCTAAGGATTAGTAATCCTTACCAAATATCACACGGACTTTCTTACCTAAAACCAGCTCCCAGTATTTAAAAACAAAACAGAACACTTTCTTCCTTAGATATTAGATCAACAATGGTTTCTTCCTTTCAAAAAAACTCAAGTATTTTAGGCAGATCAGAACATTTGTCAGAAACACATTTTCAAGTGTGTTCTTATAGCGCTATCAGGACTGTGGAGCCTTTGCATACCACTGACTTGGCCTTTCTGCACTTCAGTTTGCAGGACTGTGAAAATAGGTATAATGATATGTTTTTCAAGTGTTTTTTGTGAGAACTAAGTCAGGGAATAAATAAAGCATCTGGCATATAGTAAGCTCTCATAAATTGTTAGTTCCCTTCTTTTGACAAAATGAAAGGACTTTTTAAGCACATTTATTTGTTGTTTAAACAGTTCTGCCAGCATCAGTCCTGAGGCACAGGCTAAATAAGACGCCATGATTTTCCCTGCATGGAGACCAAGTCAGGGAAACGATGTGGCATAACAGCTCAACCAGGCAGGCAGGGATCAGAGACTGTGGTGGGTATCTTATGGTGGCTCCACGAACAACCAACAAGAGGAATAACTCAGCAGCTTGTAGCTGTTTGGAAGCAGCAGTAGCAAACAGTCTGGAACCCTGGCCAGCCACCCCATCTACAGGCACTGAATGTAGAAATGCTTATGAGGGAAAGTGGAGAAGGAAGCGTGCTCCAGAGGGTTACAAAGGAAGTAGCTGCGGGGTGATGGAAGATTTGCAATCCAGATTTTGAATGGTCCAGACACTTTCCTCCCCAGACTGCATGGCCCCCTCGTCTAAGGATGATGCCTTATTTCTGGGCTTTCTCACGTCCTGTTTGTTCAGGTGAATTTCCCAGCAGTTCCTACTGTCTTCTGTGGTTTTCATCTCAAAATACCAAAATACCAAGACAGGGATTTCTAGTAGTGGGGCAGGCTGAGGGGACAATGCAGCAAGGAGATTGCTCTGAGAAGTTCAGGAAAGGTGTTGAGGTCAGAGCCAGCCTTCCAGGAAGGTAACTGGAGTGCCCAGGCCCTGGGCAAGCCCATGGCACCTCAATTCTCCTCCCATTGCACATTTTTTGGAGGAGCTGTGTCCTTTAATGTTAGGTCCCTGGGACCTGAGACTTATTTTGGATCTCCCACCTCTGAGGTTTATGAGCATCACAGTGTTCATAAAAATGCCTAATCTTAGGGAAAACTTTCTAAGCAGTCATGCTGCAAATGGAGAACATGTGCTAAAACTGGTAGAGATTTGATCACTAGTAAGCTGTTGGTCAAATTGACAAACAAGGGAAAACTTTTACAGAGATACAGAAATATTTTCCAAGTTATTTTATTGCTCTATGCATTTCTGAATATATGCATTTGATTATTCCCATGTATCCGTGATGGGCTTATTTTCGTGGCCCTGATGATCCCTGATATTCACCGCCTTGTGCTGTCCTTCCCAGTGACCTTGGCTTTTGACTTGATTTGGCCAGTGGATGTCAGAAAGCATGGCCCAGGCTTGATAAGAGCATGCAGGTTGGGCTTATATTCCTGGGACACCCTCTCTTACAGTGCTGAGCCTCAGGTAAGGAAATTCAGTTACCCATCTGGGAAAATGGCCACATGGAGAGAAAGGATGTCCAGGCAGCTCCCAGCCAAGTGAAGAAGCCATCCTGGATGTTCCAACCACATCAGACACTATTACCCAGCCCAGCTGAGCTCAGCCCAGATTGCCAAGTCATGGGGAATAATCAGTTGTCATTGTTTCAATTCAGTAAATTGTAGGGCTGTTGTTTGCAATAACAATAGATAGCAAAGACAGTGCTACTTACACAAACTGAAGCAACATTACTTATCACAATATACGTATATATAACAAGAAAGAATCAAATGAATCACTGAGGAAGTTTTATAGAAAAATGAGGAGTAGAAGAAATAATAAAGCCCAAAGTAAGTTTGTCTCACAGAAGGGCTTGCAGTTGCATCCTGAATGGTTGCAGTTGCATCCAGGTAGTGCTTAGCTTTGTGTGCCGAAATCAAACCCAGAGACATGATCAGCCATGAGATCCAGCACCTAGAAGGAAATGCAGCAGCGTCTATATGTAGACACTCGTGTCGATGTTGGCATGGAGTGTAAAAAACCAGGCAGAGCCTATTCCCAAAGGCTTCACTGAATGAGGGTTGAGTGTCAATTTTCCTTTTATCTTCTCTTTATGGTGAAATATAAAATACAACCAGAAAAGTACACAGGACCAAGATAATTTATCCACAAAGTAAACCTGCATAACCAGTACTCAGGTCGAAAGGATAACTTTGCCACTCCCAGAGGACCTGCCCCGAAAGGTAACAATTATCCCAACTTTTATAGAAATCATTTCCTTGCTGTCCCTTAGCAACTGAATAGTTGACTTAGTTTTGCTGGGTTTTGATCTTTATCTTAATGAAATTGTGCAGCAAGCGTTCTGGTGTATCTGGCTTGCTATGATGTTTAGCTGTAGATCATTCTTGTGTAGTTCCATACCTAGGAATACATCTTTATTATTGATTTGCATTTGGATCATTTTCAATTAGGGGCTGTAGAAAGCACTGCTGCCACAAGAATTGTATTTACCTCTTGGTGTACTTGTCCATGCAATGCTGTTCGGAACCGACATACCCAGAGGTAAATGTGCTGGGTCCTCCATTCTTCATGACCTTGGTTTTAATAATTTACACCAAGCAGTCTTTCCAAGTGGTTGTACTGACTTAAACCCTTTCCAGGGTGGTAGGGCTCTATAACTTTACACCTCAACCAAAGCCTTGGTGCTGCCAGGCTTTTTTGTGTTGGCCATTCTGATGCATGGGGCATGGTGATTTTCATTTAATTTTCCTTGATTACCTATTCATATCTTTATTGGTCATTTGAAGTCTCTTGTTTCATTTTCTACATGGTTGTCATTATCTTAATAATTTGCAGAAATCTTCTTCAAGTTAAACACACTACAAATATCTCCTCCCACTTTGCTGCTTACGTTTTTCTTTCTTCCTGGTGTCTTCAATGACTAGGGGGTCTTAGAATTATTGTAGAATAATTTATCAAGTTTTTCCTTGTATGGGTCATGCATTTTACTGCTTGTTTAATTAGTCTTTCTCTAGCCAATGTTCAAGAAGATATTCTTTTACATTTTTATTCAAAAGATGTGTTCTGACTTTCATATTTAGACCTGCAAATGTGTGTGTGTGGTATAAGGTAGCAATTTTCTCTTATTTCCATATGGATCTGAAGCAAAGCCACTACCACTTATTGAGAAGATTTTTCTTTCACGACTGCATGGCCATCTGCCTTGGACATAAATAAAGTATCCCTCTCTACCACACTTCTCCTTGGCTTCATGCTCTGTTCCCTCCTTGACTTGGGAGACTGTTCTCTGAGCCTGTTGAACCTGTTGCCCTGCTTCTCAAATGCCCTCTTAAAACTGTAAAATGCCCCCAGGGAAAAGCAGCCCCAATGCTGAGCTCACCTGTTGGGATCTCCATCTTTACACAATCCTGGCTTTACTTTATTCTCTATTTTTAGTTTTCTGATGCCCTTAGACTGATGATTTGATATTTTATTCTGCTTTCATAGTGTCCTCAGCAAGAATTTTGCTTCAAATAACCGAATTCATCATTACCAGAAGCAGAAGTATGGTGAGACAGTTTTTATTTTTTATTTTTATTTTTTTTAGAAAAAAGGTCTCTGTCACCCAGGCTGGAATGCAGTGGTGTGATCATAGCTCACTGCAGCCTGGAACTCCTGGGATCCTCCCATTTCAGCCTCCTGCGTAGCTGGAACTACAGGTGCATCCCACCATGCCTGGATAATTTTTTAATTTTTTTTTTGTAGAGATAGGGTCTCGCTATGTTTTCCAGGCTAGTCTTGAACTCCTGGCCTCCAGCAAGAGTGATTCAGTTTTAAATAAAATTTTCAATATCTTTGGACATGATAGGAGAAATTGTGAGACAATACAGGCCAATGGGAAGACTTTGAAATTGAGCCTAGGTTAGCATCAGTGTGGGAAGGAATCCAGGATGTTTAAGACTGAGAGGGAACCTCTAAGAGTCAGAGCAGGTGTGCCTAGCGGAAAGAAGGCCCCTGGGTCCAGGGATGGTGTTTCATTGGTGGCAGGTACTTCAAAGCTTGTTTAAGCAAATAACATGCAAATTAATTTAAAATAGCTTAAATGAACAAAAAAGTACATTTTCCCACAAATAACAAATTCTGGAGTCGGTGTGATTCCAGAGTCAATTAATTCATCAGCCTGCCAATATCATCAAGAATGCAGGTCTCTCTATCTCATGCTGGTGTTGGTCTGTGGTGGGCTGCCTTCCTACACACCACCTGCCACTGTCCAGGCACCATGTCCAGCCACAGTGGTGGAAAGTGAAGTGGTCAGTGCCATCCCTTCCCCTGCCCTCTTCTCAATAGGAAGGACAACCTTCCTCAGAGGTCCTTTCTGCAGATGTCCCCTCATGTCTCCTGGATCAGAATTGTCTTTCCTGTCACACCTAATTCAATCACTGGCAAAGGGAAGAGGCCCCATGCTTGACTCCAACTCCTATTATTCATCCTTTGAGACTGGGATGTGCCCACCAATGTCTCCCAAAGAGCTGCTATGAGCTCCTTTAGGTGGTGGCGGGACGGTCCTTATGTTTGAAGAATGCATGGATAGGCAAGGAGAGGAACGAGAGGCTCCTGGACACACAAAGGCTTGTTAATACAGTCCAGGCCAGAAGTGAGGGCCCTGAGTGCATGGAGAGAAAGGGAGATTGGGTGGAGGGATGGAAGGAGGACAACAGAAAGGAAAAGAGCCTGATGCCACCAAGCAAGATGTAGAGAGACCTGAATGCAGAGTTGCTTCACTTCTAGGAAAAGTATTCTTAGCCTTACCTCCCAGTTCTGTTTTCATCACCTGGGCAGCTCCATGGGGACAGTCTAAAGGGTTCTGGCCCTGAGCTGCTAACACTTTTGTGCAGGCAGTCCAGTTCTACTCCCAGCTTGCAGACCCAGAGGCTTGGGAGGTGATGGGATTAGCTCATGTTGAACAAAAGCAGGGGGTGGCTCTTAAGCTGCACTAGCCATAGTGACAGCCCCAGTGTTACTGGATGGAAGGTCTTGACTGTGAGTTGTCCAGGTTCTTGGCGTGTTGAACAAAGAACTCAGCAAAATGCACAAGCAGAGCAACAAAAGAACGAAGCAATGAAAAACAAAACAACAAAAGAAAGAAGTGACAAAAGCACAGATTTAGTGCAGTGAAAGTACAGTTCACAGAGTGGGAGCAGGCTCCAGCAAGCAGCTCAAGAGTATCCCCCAATTAGGGTTTTTATTAAGCCAAAAAAATCTGGCAACACCCCTAGGTGCTCTTTAGACGCCTCCAATTGGTTGCACCCCATGAAGGATTGGCCTGAGACCAATCAGAGGCTGAAGTGGAGACCCTGCCCATGGTCAGAGGCTGAAGTGGAAACTTCTGTCAATACAGGAGTGAAGATGTGGTCCACACACTGCCGAATCCTGCCCAGAACTGGCTCCACCCGCCTTTCCTTTGCTTATGACTTAACACTTGGTTGCCCTAATTCCCTATTCTCCTGTCTCACCAAGATCATCCAGATTGATGTGAGCCCTTGTATAAATCAAGCCTGAGAGGGGCCCCTGGTCCCTCTCTGGCCTTTTCAGACACAAGCATACATCAGGGACAGCAGCAACCCCAACAGCATGGGCATGTCTGGAACCAGGGAACCGTTTGTGCCTGAACTTAGGTTGTGACCACTTTGGGTGTAGCCTTCGGGGCAAACTGAGTTTCCAAAGGGTCGACCTGCCTGATTCTTTCACCCTCTAGCAGTTCAGGTCCTCCCCGAGCATAACAGAGTCTCATCTGGGGCAGTTCGTGACTCAAGGAGTAATTCTGGTTCAGAGGTGCCCTAGCAAAAACAGGAGCATCAAACTGCACCATTGCTTTAATTTGGGCTTGCAGGCAGACTGTCGGGGCTTGAGTTGAACTGGTTCTCTGAGATTCTAGCTAATTGGATTGAGAAGGGGCACATTCTGCATGTTCTCCAACCTGGGGATCAGCTGGATCTTGATTCTATGCTGTTCAATTCAGCAAACTCTCCCTGGGAGCACACACTGCTCCATGCACCTGGAGGATAGCATGTCACACTTGCCTCATGTACCATGCAGACCGATGGACTGGCCACCCTCTCCCTATCCTCCATATCCCAGGACCTTTACAGAACTTGGTATTCCAGGAAGTAGACCAGTTCCCAGCAAACTTTGTCTGTACAGGGCGAAAGAGTAAATAATTTAGGCTTTGAAGGTCATAGGGCCTGCATTCCCACTACCCAATTCTGTTGGTGTAGAATGAAGGCAGAAATAGACAAATCATGAATGAATGAGTGAGGCTGTGTTCGCATAAAACTTTATTTACAAAAATAGGCGGCAGGTTGGATTTGGCTCCAAGATATGGTTTGCCAACCCCTGATCTAAATTACTCAGCTATCCTGTTTTCTATGAGAGAAAGAACTTGACAGAATTGTGCACTAATTGTTCTTTCATCATCATGCACTATTTGATTTAAACACTTGTTAATGATGGTTTTTAATTGCCATTTTTAGTAAATGTAATGCATTATATTTTAATCTTTTTCTAATTGGCTAAAAACAGGAAAAGGCAGTCTCAAATCCTTCCTACCAGGTAAGGCATTTGGGTTTTTAAAAATTAATTAATATATTTTTAATTCACAAATAAGAATTGTGCATATTTATGTGGCACAATGTGATGTTTTCATCCATGTATACATTGTAGAAAGGTCAAATCAAGCTGATTAACATATCCGTCATCTCACCAACTTTTATATATATATTTTTTGTGGAGAGTATGTTAAAAAATCTATCCTTTCAGCATCTAGTCTTTTGAGTGTGATTTGCTGCCTAAGTAACTGCACTGGAAATTTCTAATGGAGCCACGCAGTGGGTGAGTCAGCCTCTAATCATTGTTTCTGTTTTTGTTTGCACTCTAAGAGAGTGTGGACTTTCGGGCTTGTCACCCACTCTCTTTATATCCACCAGCCCTGCACTTTTCACGGTCGCCACCTACACAGTTCGAAGGTATGCTCAGGGTGTCAATCAAATGTCACCAAAGAAGAGCAAAAAGCCTGCCTGAACCTTCATGAGGACAGTTGTGTTTAAGCCCAAAGCATGGCACTCCTCATTTGGCATCGATACTTAAATCTAAGCTGAGCGTTTTTAGAGAAAGAAGAGACAGCCTCTGTTGTTGGGATGCGGTCAGTGCAGTGTACAGTGTACAGTGTACAGCATTTGCATGAGGGTACAAAATCATTGCCATAAACCTTGGATGAAGTGGTATGGGGGAAGGTTCTTAACATCAGCAGGTTGGTGAAGAAAGTCAGCAACTAACATTAGAGAGAGCTTGCTGCACCCTCAGAACTGCTCACTGAGAACTGAGCAGTGAGTTCGGGGGCAGGCAATCCAAGTTCAGGTCTTTGAGCACTGTGACCTTGGGCAAGTCATTACATTTTCTGAGTCTCTCTTTTTGTAAAATGTGAACATGATGGATTGATTGCAAAAATGTCCCCACTTTCCATCCCTTCCTTGCGTCCTTTCCCGTGTGACTCTTCAGCTCCTCCTGTTAAGAGGCAGAGTCTAACTTCCCACCCCTTGAGATGGGATGCTTCATGGCTCACTTTGTCTAACAGGATGCATAGTTCTGAGCTGGGCCTCCTGAACCTGGTGCCCTTTGCCAGCTCTCACTCCTTGGTCTCTGCCTGCAAACAAGTCTGGGCTGGCCTGCTGGGAGAGAGACGGTGTGTGGAGGAGAGCAGAGGCGTCCCAGCTGACTGTGAGCCACGTCACCAAAGCACACCCTCTCGCTGACCCCCAGCTTCCCAGACAGGTGCGACATGAGGGAGCACAGCCCAAACCACAGTAACCGCCTGGCTGCTTTCAGTCGAAATTGCTGATCAGCTGAATCATGAGCTAAATAAGTGGTTGTTTGAAGCTAGCAAATTTGGGGATGGTCTTCTTTGCAATAATAGCTGTTACAGGGGTGCTGACTCTCACTGTATCTCAGAATGTTGCGGGGAGCAAACGAGGCCATGTGCGTTAGAAGCTTTGTGAATCCTAAGCAGTACACAAATATAAGCTGCCCATTGATTGCATAAATTTCTATCAGTATTAAGACCAAGAGGAGGATGCAAATCAATATAAAGAGCCCCTTCACCCCGCCGCTCAATACATGCAGGAACTCGCTTCTGTCTTTCTGATATCTCAGCCATGTGCAATTCTCTCCAGCTTCACATACTCATCACTCGTGCACCCACCCCATGTTTACTGGCTACCTACAGCATGCCAGGAACAGCTTTTGACACTGGGGATGTTAAGGTAGGTGGGGTAGAGAGGCAAATCCATAAATGACTAAAACAGTGAAAAATAGCGATGTAAAAGGCAATGCAGAAGACAAGTGCTATGGGCAGAATGTTTGCTACCCCCCTCACTCATATGTCAAAGCCATAATCCCCAGTGTGACTGCATTTGGAGACAGGACTTGTGAGGAGGTGACAATGGTGGAATGAGGTTGTAAGGGTGGGACCTGATCCCACAGGACTGGTGCCCTTATAGAAAGAGGAAGAGACACCAGCACTCGCCCCCTTTCTCCCTTTCCCCTGTGTGAGTACACAGTAAGAAGGCAGCCATCTGCAAGCCAGGAAGAGAGCCCTCACCAGAACCAACCCTGCCAGAACCTTGGTCTTGGACTTCCGGCCTCCAGGGTTTTGTTGTGGCAGCCTGAGCCGACTGAGACAATCAGTACAGGGAGACGCAAAGGAGTCATCAGGTAGCTTCTTTAGGAAAGGTGGTCAGGTGACCATGAGGTGAGGAGAAATGAAGGAAAGAAGCCAGATAAAATCCACGGGAAGAATGCTCCAGAAAGAAGGACTGCCAGGGGAAAGGTCTGGTGGCAGGTCCAGCTGGGGTGCACTCTGAAGGCCAGGGAAAGCAGTGGATTTTACTCTCCAGGTAACAGGAGCCCACAGGAGCGCCTGAGGGAGGAGTGCTAGGATGGAATTTATGTTAGGCCCTTCTGGCTGCTGTATGGAGCCAGAGAGGAAGCCTGGGTGCCTTTTAGGAGGCTGCTGCAGTTGTCCATGGGAGAGACAACCCATGGGTTGTCCATGGGTGTGGTTTTAAGATGGAGAAAAGCAGGTCAATTTGGGATAGGTTTGAAGGTGGCTGTAGCAGGTTCTGTTGAGGTATATTTTGGGATATAAGAGGAAGAGAGGAATTGAGGATGGTACCTCTTTTCGTGATGTATACATAAGGCTATCAGAATACACAGGGCTTTTGTGGGTCCTAACCATGGGCTCTTTAACACCTGGAGGATGGTAACACCAAAAGTTGGGAGCTGCTGAGCTCCTTGGGGTCCTGCTACTCTGTCATCGACTGGTGGAGCAGGTAGTGTTACTTACTTATTTTTTACTGCCAGAGATGGTGCCACGTCCTACTAGCATCACTCTTTTTAATACATGGAAATAGGGTGAAGAGATTTATATGGGCATTGATGATCTATTGCCATGCAAAAAGTCACCCGTAAACAGTGTCTACAGGTTAGGAATTTGGGATCAGCTTGGCTGGGTGCTTCTGTCTCAGGATCTGGCTCATGCAATTGCAGTTGGATGTCAGTTGGGGATGTGGCTCATCTGAAGACTCATCTGGGGCTGAGGATCCACTTCCAATGTGACTTGCTCACGTGGCTGGCACATTGATGCTGGCTGCTGCATGAGGGCCCCTCTCCTCTCCTTGTGAACCTCTCCACAGAGCTACTTGAATGTCCTTATGACATGGCGGCTAGCCTCCCCAGAGTAAGTGATCCAAGAGACCAAGGTGGGGGCTGCAAGACCTTTTATGACCCAGCCTTGGAGGTCACACAACATGATCCTGCCACATGCAATTTATCACAGTAGGCCAGCCTCAATTCAGTGCAGGAGCAAATACCAAGAGGCAAAGTGACCACAGCATACTCTGATTTGCCTAAAAGGCAAATAACATTGTCACTACTGGCTGGAAGGGCACTCAAATGACTTGTCTGTGGTGTGATTTATCCCCAGGTCACCCACAGGGCTGGATTTGAGTCAGACCACCTGTGTCCAGTGCTAGCTCTTCCCACTTGGGAGAGGCATTTAGCCTCTCAGGGTCCTCGTCTGTGAAATGGGCTCTGACTCCTGCCTTGTGGTGTGATGTGAGATTTGGGTCAATTGCTGACACAAGCTGGTGCCTGATAAGTGTTCTTCACTTGCTCCTCTTAGCCAACTACTGTTTGCTGTGCAGCACAGACTTGAGCACAAGTCTTTGAAATGAGTACTTTGATTACTATAGACCGTTTAGTAACCTTTGCACCTTGTCTATGTGGAGATTGAACGGGTGGATTCTTTTCTTGGCTTTGCCTGACACCTCTGGAATGATAGGCACTGGAGAGAACATCGCTCAGATCCACACATAGGCACACGTGGGCACGTGCGTGGCTGCAGGTTCAATACGGGCTAGCTCTGATTTTTGCCAACTTTCAGATATGCCTACAGATTAGATGTCAGTTATACAATTTGGTTTAAATTATTTTCAATCAGCTTTATGCTGTAGAAGCTGGGAGCCACAGATGCTGTTGGTCTTAACGTGTTCTACAAATTAGTTTGTAGGTCAGGGTAAATAGTGATTCAAAACCTCTTTGTCTCAGGTGGGCATTAGGTAAGTTTCTTTAGAGCAATGTCATTAGTATCTCCTCCACATCAGAGGATGTTTTTAGACACCTTGGTTTAGCTTGTGTGGGTGAGATGGGGAATAACATTATATCCCCCCAGTCTACAATGCCAGAATGGGTCCATTTCAATGAAATGCAATTCCTGGGTGGCCAACTAAGCTTAAATAGAAGTCAGCCACACTCTGTCCGCCACCCTACCCTTGGGCCCTGGCTACTCTCATTTCAACAGCCTCATAAAGCTGCAACGGGGGACAAACAAGATCTAATTGGCACTTTGGTTTTCACAGTGAATTGGTTGTGCTAGATACGGCTGCCAATAAAAATTCAGATTAAACATTCTGAAGCCATCTGTATGAAGCCTTGATGTTCCTGCCAAATATACTCATGGATCTAAAGATAAGTTATCTGATCCAGTGGCCTTGGCCATCTTAATTTACTTAATTATACAGTTGAACTCATTGTCAGACATGGGTGCAGTGATGTGAAGGCTGCCATGGAGTGATTCACATCGCTCGTGAGTTGGGTAATAATAAGTGGTTCTGTGCTGCAAGTTTGGGGTCTACAGAGTCTGGTTACAACAGGCAGGTGTCTTCATCTTATTAAATGGTCAATGTCATGCTCCCTCTTTTCCTTAAATATTATTTAACTCAAAAGCTACCTCTCAGTGGAATACTTGAAGTTAATTGAATTACTGTGTTGTAGTCGGCTCTGCTGCCATAACAAAGTACCACACGCCAGGGGCTTAAACAACAGGAATGATTTCCTACAGTTCCGGAGGCTGGAAGTCTGAGATCAAGAGGTTGGCAGGGCTGGTTCTCCTCAGGCCTCTCTCCTTGGTTTACAGATGGTGTCTTGTCTCCATGTCTCCTTATATTGCCTTTCCTCTGTGTGTGTGTCCTAATCTCCTCTTCTTATAAGGACACCAGGCCATCCTACGGACTTCATTTTAATGTACCCCACTCTTTAAAGGCCCTGTCTCCAAATACAGTCACATTTTGAGGTTCTGGGAGTTAGGACTTCAATGTTTGAACTTTCGGGGGAACACAGTTCAGCCCATAGCACTCTGCTTAATCCGTCCCAGCACTATATTTCAACCATGCAGAAAAACTTTTAGAAACTATTATTTAAACACGTAGTAAGGCTATTGCCTCCATATGATTTGGTCTCTGATGGATCCTGTAATTGGCTTGTCCTGGGGTTAGAAAGAGATGAATTCTGGCAAGATCCCAGAGAAAGGGATACCTGAATGGGCAGGCCGCACCTGTGCTAAAGTCTATGTGTGTCCAACCTCAGCATTCATACAAATAATCGGGAAACATGTGAAAGCACAGACTCCTGGGCCACCCCTATGGTTGCTGCTTCAGAAGCTCTAGGGAAGGATTCTAAAATGTGCATTTCTAGCGAGTTCTCAGATGCTGTGATGTGGGCCCACTACCCTGAGCAATACTGGGGTAATTCATGCCAAAGAACCAGGCAACACCCCAGCAGAAGTAGCCACGGGCAAGAGGGTCTTAAACAAGGGAAAGCAAGTGGCTTTCTCCTCCTCAGGCACTGACTTTATAGCTGAATGCTTTGTAACAATTGTTAGGAAAGGAGGACAACATGAGGGAGTTCTAGTAGATGCTAGGCACTGAGCGGAGTTTAGCACTGGCCCTTCAGCACCTGCCATGACAACTAAAGAGTCATCCGACTGTCAGTTACTTACAAGGTGGAACATCCTTCAGTCTTGGTGGACAGTAAGCTTCAGTTTACTCTCTCTAGGTTTGGGAGATTGTGGGGGCTCCACACCCTGAGAGTGGAAGGAACATGGAGCAAACCCCACCCAGGACTTTCCCTCAGAGGTCTGCTCTGCTCCACATTTGCTTGAAGGTAAGAGTTTGGGAAAATCTCCCCCACCGGTGAACTCGAGGGTCCCCGGGTGTTTATCTCCAGGTGCAGCTAATATTACTAATGGAATTACAGCTGACCCTTTAACAACATGGGTTTGAACTTTGAGGGTCCACTAATATGCAGTTTTTTTTTCACGCAAATGTGGATAGCAGAGAGACAACAGTATTAAAAATTGTCTACTGTTTTCCAGAATTGAAGGGTGAGTTAGGAAGAGAAATGATTAGTGCCCTTTCTGTGTAATCTGACTAGAACATTGTAAAGCTGTAAAACAAGGTGCTCTGTTATCCGCGGACCCTTATCACCAAGGCGAGGAGAAAACCCAGTGACTCCACTTTCACCTCCCCCACTGGTGACTCCAGGTTCACATTCCGCACCAGAGGCACCAGGTTCATCTTCCCCACCAGAGAAACCAGGCTCATCTTCCTGACCGGTGACACCAGGTCCACCTTCCCCACCAGTGACTCCAGGCTCACCTTCCCCATCCAGGTCCACCTTCCCCACTGGAGACACCAGGCCACCTCCCCAACTGGAGACACCAGGTCTACCTCCCCTACTGGAGACACCAGGTCTACCTCCCCCACTGGAGACACCAGGTCCACCTCCCCCACTGGTGACTCCAGGCTCACCTTCCCCATCCAGGTCCACCTTCCCCACTGGAGACACCAGGTCCACCTCCCCCACTGGAGACACCAGGTCTACCTCCCCCACTGGAGACACCAGGTCCACCTTCCCCACTGGTGACTCCAGGCTCACCTTCCACATCCAGGTTTACCTTCCTCACCTGGGACACCAGGTTCACCTTACTCCAGGTTCAACTTCCCCACTGGTGACTCTAGGCTTACCTTCCCCACTGGAGACACCAGGCTCAACTTCCCCACCAGTGACAGCAGGCTCACCTTCCCCTCCAGTGACACCAGGTCCACCTTCCCCACCAGTGGCATCAGAGACATGGGGCCCCACTCCCCACTGTGACACTACTGACCCCTTACCCACCAGTGTCACAGGCTTCCCTTTTCCAGAATTGGCCCAGGCCTTCCTTCCCCACTGCAGTGAGAGGGCAGAGCTCCCTGGGCAGCCCTTCCCATCACTACTTCTCTAGGCTCCCCTTAGAGACCCTGCTAAGTGATGGCCCCGCTCACAGAAGTGTCCCAGTCACTTGCCTGAGATTCTTCCATCCTTCCCATGGATGACCCTGACTCTAGAAGAGAGAACATAGTAAGCCAGACAGTTCTGTCCAAGCCATCCCCAGTAGGGGCTGAACGTCCAGTCCAGCATGTTAGGGGAAGTTATTTATCAGAGGACGGCGCAGGCAGCTCAGTCTGTGTTGCTCTGTGGTTCTTGGCATCAGGACCACATGCCGAGAACCACAGAGCAACACAAATGCCGAGGTCTTTGAGCTTCCCACTTCCCCTGGGGGTGGGTGGTGTCTTAGTCTTTCCCATCCACATTGCAGCAGGGTTTGATCCAAGTGGGAGGAACCTGAGGATAACCAAAACCCTCTACCGATTCCCTGCAAACCAGGCCATGACTCCTAGTCCCCCAGGCTGGTACCCAAAGCCTGCTCTGCATCATTGCCCGAGGTTTTTCCTGGGTGCCTCGGGAGCTTGTGCACGTGTGCAGGTGACCCAGAAGTACCAGTTGTGTAACTCACCAAAGGCATCCTCAGCCAAGGAGTGACAAGAGGGAGTAGATAACCCCAGAATCCCATCTTATGGTAGGATGATTTAGGGCAAAGTCCAGGTCACGACTTGGAAGGTCCCCCGGGCACTGAGCCCAGTTGCCCCAGCAGTGACCTGTTCCTGAGTGCACACTTTGTGGCATCCTTTCTATCCCTGTCTTGCATTTCCTCTCCCTGCTTGGGTTTCCCAGATCACTGCTCAAGTAAACCACCTGCTCTTTTTTTTTTTTTTTTTGAGACGGAGTCTCGCTCTGTCGCCCAGGCTGGAGTGCAGTGGCGGGATCTCGGCTCACTGCAAGCTCCGCCTCCCGGGTTCACGCCATTCTCCTGCCTCAGCCTCCCAAGTAGCTGGGACTACAGGCGCCCGCCACTATGCCCGGCTAATTTTTTGTATTTTTAGTAGAGACGGGGTTTCACCGTTTTAGCCGGGATGGTCTCGATCTCCTGACCTCGTGATCTGCCCGCCTCGGCCTCCCAAAGTGCTGGGATTACAGGCGTGAGCCACCGCGCCCGGCCAACCACCTGCTCTTGAGTCCTTGTTGTAGCATCTGCTTTGGGGGACACCTAAACAAAGATGAAAGCTTGGTGTGGAGCTCTGGAGAAGACATGTAGTCAGTGTCCAATAAGTGATAGCAATTATTACCATCACTGCATTCTGGAAATGCCTTATATCATAATATGGTTAGTTTCATAACCCAGTTGTAGAAAATTCCAAAGAAATGTAAGGACCTGATTCCTGGATGGATTTTATACTTAAACTGTGCTTGTACCTGTCTAATGCTCAATTCTCCAAGATCTGAGAGACCTCACCCTCCTTGTGTAAACCGCCTGGCCACCTGTCGCTATGAGTCACTGCCCCACAGCTTGTGTGGGATGAGGTTAATGTCGTGGCACCATGACAACAGCACATCTCCGTCATGCTCAGTGGAAAAGCCTTCAAGGTGGAACAATGCCAGACTCACGGTCAGCATGGTGGGCTCCCCAGTTAGTGGCCACGATGTCTTTCTGTGGTTTTGTTCCCAGGAGACGTACATAGAGATGCTTATAGCCTTGTTATTGCAGAGCTAGCTTTTATTGAGTACTTGCTTCTCAGGCAGCTAAAGTGCTGAAGGCCTTCATGAAGATTTTCTCTTAATTCTCACAATGCCTCCCTGGCATTTAGTAGAGGAGGAAAGCAAGGCATAGGGAAGCCAAATACATTGCTTACTGAATTCAAGTTTCCAACAAAACCTCTTTCTCCTGGTTCTGTCCCCACAGCCTTCAGTTCCCATTGCCGTCTAACACACAGTCACATTTGCACACACATACACATCCTTGCTTTCTCTCTCATCCCTTTAGAAACCAAGAAGGGAGACTTTGGCTCACAATGGTTATGTTCTGAATTATTCCAGCTTTCATTCTTGAGACATGCTGCTCGATTTTGGAGATGTTATACCAGAATTCAGTGGAACTTGGGGGCAAAAAAATAACATAAGGGCAGTGAGAAGTGCCATCCCAGCAGAGCACCAAGGACGGGGTGAGCAAGGGGTCTGCCCTGGCGCAGGCTAGAAGGGGGCTCATCATCTGTGGGGGATTTTAAAACAATAATAAAACCAAGCACCAGTGAGCCTGCTCTTTATTGTCACTGCACACTAGGAATTCCCCACAATGTCAATCATGACATGCTCTTTTCCCACAAAATCTTTTCTGGTGAGAGTTCTGAACAATTGCTGCAGTTACCAAAGCTTCAGTGATAGGTACATGAGCTTCAGGTGAGCATGTAGTCATTACTGATAACTTAATAAACACCGTGTCAGTTCAGAGAACTCCCAGCAATATGGTCATCTCTGACACACATGGACTGAGCTTCCACAGGCGCATCATGAGAGACGTTTGTCAGGGCCCTGGATCATTCAAGCTTGCTTCAGGCACTGCTGGGATCCTCAGCCCTACGGAGCTACACATTCCTGTTCCTGCATGGATGCAGCAGATATGACCTACGCAGCGACTGCACAGTGAAGGTAAAGATGAAGAAACACATCGGAGTTCCTTCAGTGTGACCACTTGGAATCTGCATTTGTGTTTAAAATTCCAGACAGCGACATAGGGTTAGAACTGTGAGGTGCACCATATTTATTAGGTAAGTTCAGATTTTAGCTCATGCATATTTATTTCATGTCATGATTATTACTGACAATTTTGTCTTATGGAAGAGAGGAGTGTTGGCAGTAATCAGGGTGTCAAATATGCCAGGTCTGTCTGCTACATCACACTATAACAGGGGCAGAAATTCAGGTCCTTTTTGGGTTTTGTTTTTGCATACAGTTTTCCCACACCTGAAAAGCAGATGGTATATTACACATACTGTTACGTTTTCTCTTGCCAAGGTGCAGGTGTCCTTTGTGTGTTGTTAAACCCTCACAATATATACTTTATGCAAAGTGTACATCCCAGTCAAGCCCATAGGAAAGGCATTACCCATCGACACTTCTGAAATCTTCTGCCCCTGTGGTTCTAGCAATACAAGAATGACTGCTTGAGAATCTCTAGCCTGGCATCTCCAGGCCCCTGGCTTTCTTCTGTGCTGGAGACAATAGTGCTCCATAGGACACTCCTTTGTGGCTGGCACCCACATCCGCCTCCTGCTGGAGCAATGCTACTGAAGTCTCTAGCTGAGCCCTCCCCAGGGCCTGCCCTCAGCCAGGTTCTACCCCATCCTTGAGCTGCCCCCATCCAATGGCTGGTTTAGGAGGTGCACGAAGGTCTAGCCTGGTGCATTAGGACAAGCCTGAAGTGCCCCCAGCTGAGCCTTTCCTTGGGCCTCCACAGCTCAAATTCTCCTGCTACCCAGTCCTGTCTCCTTACTCCCTATGGGCATTGACCCTCGGGGCACCCCCAGTCTACTGCCTATGCACAAGTCAGAGGCTGTTCCTGGGAACTCTGTTATGACACATCCCTCCTCCCCAAACCCACACCTTGCGTGGATTTGGCCTTCTGGCCAGTGCCCTCTTCCCCAAATGCACCTGTAAGTCCCCATCTTGGTCCCTGTAGCAATCAGTGCTGTGCATTAAGTATGTCCTTCTGGGCTTGTGGGAGGCTTCTGTTCCTGGCCCCTGTGTCTGATAAGCTGGGGAAACATATGACACGTGTCAGTTCCAAGGGAACTGTTGGTTACAGCAGCACCATACTGAACATCTGACTGATAAAGCTCCTTTGGGTTAGAACCTCCCTCTCTGCATTTTTCTGGCCATTTTTACCTTCCAAATTCTGGACAAAATGCAGCCCTCTCTGTAGACCTCCAAATCCAGTAGGGATCCAGTGTTCGTCTTTGTTCTCTTGAAGTCCGTCTTCCCCAGGAGACTGACAATGTCTTCAGGACAGGAAGTGCATCTTAGTGACCCTCCATCCCTCACAAGGCCTTGGTCTGAGTAGAGAGGTAATGCTTGCTGAGAAGACAGGGGACTCATGAGGACCTGAGTGAGGTGCCCAGGATAGATGATGAATAGGCACGTGCGAAATAAGTTTGCCAACAGGAGAGCCATTCCTGACACCGGTGCTAAATGTCACACATCACGTTCCTTTCATCAGCCATAGAGCAAAATCCATGGACTCTCACTTATCCACTGAACACCCCACATTCTTAGACAAAAGAATGATTTAAGTGGGTCTGCAGTATTCTGTAACATATTGTTCTCGGCACCACATGCTTAATACTGATATCAGGTGTTTGCTCCCAGTTACTTCTGCAGGCTCATGTATTGAGCAAACATCAGTATCCTGGGGCCCAAATACTGCTGAAAGCAACTGAAAATATGACAGTGACTACCATTAATATCAGCCCTAATGAACTTTCCATTGTATCCAGAGTACCAATACTGTCATTTCAGCACCTCTGCATGGGTCTTAAAGGGCAGATCTACTATCCCTGCCCTCTGCAGAGGTTCAGGGAGGCTGACTGCCTGTAGGCGAACCACAGCTGGAATGGGGTACCTGCTGGGGGATTCTCACAGAGCAGCGTTCTGCTGTGGGGTAACCGCCGTCTCCTGCCGCTCTTCTGCCTCTGCCATTACTGGTCCTGTTTTCTGACTCACTTACAATATTTCGAGGAGAACCTGAGGGTTTCCCTCTTCATTCTGTTCCTGAATTATTTCCCCCAAATTATTTCAGATTATGTATTTACTTTTAATTATCTTTATATTGATTATTTGTTCTAAAACTCTGTTATGTTGATTTATTTCAGCCTTGGTATTTTGATAACACCACTTAAGCCTCAGCTGTCTGGCCAGTTAAATGAGACAAATCATATGAAGCAAGCACATGCTGATTTGTAGGTCTGCCTTCTCACTGACCTGCTGTGGGGCAAGAATTGGGTTGCAGCCCCTGATCTGCACAGGAGTGCACAAGCAGTCTGCCACCCAGGCAGCTTCTGTGACTTCACAATCAAAGACATTTCTGAGGCTGAAGATTCTTCCTTGACCTCAGCATCCTCCTTCACAGTACCTACTGCAGGGGTGACTACTGCTGAGTACAGGAGCTGGGGGAGATCTCGCAGGCAAAGAAGAGAGACAAGTGCGGTCCCATGAGACCCGGAATGCTTATGGTCTACCCTGCAGTCAATTGACAGCAATTCTTGTTTGGAAATCAATGCATCTGCACTCTGAGTTGCACTGGATCCTGGCGGACCAGAGCTCTGCACGCTTTCTACTCTCCAGCCTGTGTGCAGAAGTTGTAATACTAAAAATGACATTCTCCAAACTCCCTTGCAGCTAGATTCTGGGCCTGATTTTATTTCATTTTGACTAGGTGCACTTACTTGCCATTTACAGGACAGAAGGGAGTGGGGGCTGCGCTTTGCCGTGTCTGCCATTTCCATTGTGAAGCACAGTGGAGAGGTCCTGGTTTTCTGCAGCAGTTTTAGCAAGAGGTCCTGATTTCTGGGCAGTGGCTCTGTGAGTGTCAAGAGCAGGGCTTGGAGCAGCCATTTTGCTCATGAGCAAGTAGCAGACACTCATAGTTCTGGGCCTCTTTTTGGTCCCTAGCTCCTAAGGCGAGGTATTCCTGAAGCATTTGGTTGTGGCTGGTTTTCCAATTTCCTAATCATAATAAAGGTGGGTGATCTGAGAGCCAGAGGAAGCCCAGCATCCTTTCTCCCCACTCCATTGTCTAACTTCTTGCTGGAAGCACCATGGGTGGAGTCATCCGGCATGTCCACTAGGCTGCCTAGAGTAGCTCTTTGCACAATGGAACACAATCTTGAGTGCAGAAATGATGCATCCATCTAGAAGACTCTTCAAAAGAGGTGCATTTCTCATGAGTCAGTAAGTCTCTATGCGCAACAGGTCACAATAAATTGGAAATGCTAGTGTTGGGATGTTCTTTATTATTAATGATAGGAATTTCTTCATTGGCCTTTAAAAAAAACTCCTGGAAGGTGAGTATTAGCTGGAATCGGATTTGCTGTCCTGCCCCTGAAATTCAGCCTTTCTTCCTCCTTTCCCTCCTCCATATTAGATTATTTTCTAACTACAGCACAAAGGCAGCCCATGGATTTAATTACTTGGAACCATATTTCCTTTCATTAAAGGGATTTCCTTTAAGTCCTAAACACGTTTGACATTCAGCCTATCTACTTTAAATAACAAGTGATCTTCTTTGTTCTCCAAGGTTGCTACAATAAACGTGTTATTTTTAGGTTTTAAGTGTCAAAGTTTAACATAATCTCTATTCACCCCCTGCTTCCCAAGAAGGAAATATTTTTGCATATACAATTATATACAAGCATATTCTTCTGTTTTACTTTATCTTTACACAAGTGGGACTTTAGAAAGCTTACTATTCTGTAACTTTTAGCACTTCTTTATCACTTCTGTAACTTTTAGTACATCTTGGACTTCTTTGCTTAGCAGGACAGATGATGGAAAGCCATCAGAATAGCAAGGATATATTGAGCATTTCTCATGTGCTGTGTGTTAAACTAAGCCCTTTAAGTGGATTGATACCTTTGATCTACACAGCAGATAGGAAGTCGGCACTTTCTAAATCAATCCTGCTCTTGGAGAAGGTTATGCATGTAAACCCACCTGGCCCCAATTCCTCACACTCTAACTGCCTGTTATAAAGCCAGCTCCTGCTTTATAACAAATACTTGTATCTACTTGGTAAGTGCCCTCTCATCTCTTTTCTTGTTTAGACTCTCTCCAGCTCCATTACAGGGACATATTAATAGATTCTATTAGTGCTTAGGATATAGAGTGCATAGGAAGAATGGACAGTTTTATAATATTATGCCTTTTATTCCAGAAAAAGATGGAGATTTTTATATAGTGAAAGAGAGACTGGGTCAAAGACGCCTCTGGGTATGTTGTTGGCTCCTTTCAAGTACTTCTTATGGCTCTTAGCACAAAGACAAAATTCCTGCCTCTGTGCCAGGTTTTTGCCATATGTCCAGCTTGTCTCATCCAATATGGGCACATGGCCCCTCAGTTCTTTGAACAAGAAGGCTCCATGCCACCACAGCACAGGCCTTTGGACACAGTGTTCTCTCGATCTGGGATGCTTCCGCCCTCTACCCAAATAACTCCCACACGCCCTTCAGATCCCAGCCTGAACACTGTTTCTTCAGAATGCCTTTCATGGCATATACTGGCATTACCAAAATTTTTGTCATTTTGATAAAAGAAAAACTACATACAATAATTTTATCTACATTTATTTGTGTTTGAGTTGAACATGTTTCTTGCCCATTTTTGTTTCCTCATAAACAGCTCGTTCGTACTTTTAGATCATTTTTATGGAGTTGTTTCTTTTTATTTATTCACAGGAACTTATTTATATTAAAGAAATCATTTGTCCTATTTCTTCTATATATCTTTCAGTTCAAATACCAGTTGGTTATTTGACTTTTACATTTGCTTAAGGCATTTTTCTTTCTCAAAAGGTACTGGTTTTTATGTAGTCAGAGTTGTTAATGCTTTCTTTTAATGTTTTTCGTGTGGAACTAAGAAAAGGCTCCATTTCTCCAAAGTTAGTAGTAGAACAGGGAACCAGTTTTGTTTTTTCTTCCAAATGGCTATCTAGGTGAGCCAAGATGAGATACTGATAAGCCATCTTTTCTAAGTGATTTGTTTTTTGTTTTCTTTTTTGAGACAGAGTCTTGCTCTGTTGGCCAGGCTGCAGTGCAGTGGAGTGATCTCAGCTCACTGCAATCTCCGTCTCCTGGGTTCAAGCAATTCTCCTGCCTCAGTCTCCCGAGTAGCTGGGACTACAGGTGTGCACCACCACACCTGGCTAATTTTTGTTTTTTTAGTAGAGACAGGGTTTCACCATGTTGGCCAGGCTGGTGATTTTTAAATGGCAGCTTAGTCTATACACTTAGTTGTCATTGGTTTCTGTTTATTTCTGTATTGCGTATTATTTCCTTGATGTGTGGTCTAATTCTGTTCCATTATCAGACTGTTATAACTAATGATGCTCTAGAACAGACATTGGCAAACTCTTGCTGGAAAAGACCAGATGGTGAATCTATCAGACTTTATGGGCCTCATAGGGTCACACACAAGTTTTTAAAAAAAAATGCTTTAGGGCCGGGCGCGGTGGCTCACGCCTGTAATCCCAGCACTTTGGGAGGCCGAGGCAGGCGGATCACGAGGTCAGGAGATTGAGACCATCCTGGCTAACATGGTGAAACCTCGTCTCTACTAAAAATACAAAAAATTAGCCGGGCATAGTGGTGGTCGCCTGTAGTCCCAGCAACTTGGGAGGCTGAGGCAGGAGAATGGCGTGAACCTGGGAGGCAGAGCTTGCAGTGAGCCGAGATGGCGCCACTGCACTCCAGCCTGGGCGACAGAGCAAGACTCCGTCTCAAAAAAAAAAAAAAGCTTTAAAATTGCAAAAAACATTCTTTGCTCATGGGACATACAGAAACAGCTCATGAGCTGGCTTGGCCAACTCCTGCTTTATAACAAATACTCATATATACTTGGTAAGAGTCCTCTCATCTCTTTTCTTGTTTAGACTTTCTCCAGCTCCATTACAGGGACATATTAATAGATTCTATTAGTATTTAGGATATAGAGTACATAGGAAGAATGGACAACTTTATAACATTATGCCTTTTATTCAAGAAAAAGAGATTTTTATATATTGAAATAATCTTCTTTTATGTTCACACTGGGGACTTAATATTTCCTTCTCATCACATGTTCATATTTCTTAAATTTATTCCTAGGACTTTGGTTTTTTAGTGTTATTCTGAGTGGCATTTTTCTTCCATTATATTTTCTAAAGAGTTGTTATTTGTATATCAAAAAACTATTTATTTTATATTAATTTTGTAAGTGCCGCCTTTTATTATTATTATCTCTTAGTGTTTCTAATTGTTTTTCAGGGTTTTCTTTTGGCTTTAAGTATATTGCCCACAATGAATAACAGTAAGCCTTTTCTTTTCCAAAACCTATGTTTCTTATGCTATGATCTTGTTTTATCGCACTGGTTAGCACTTCCTGAATGATGTAGTGAAACTGAGCATCTTTGTCTTGTTCCTGCGAGGCCTGGACCTGCTACCCCAGATGAAGCCCAGCCTCAGGGGTGAGGCTGCCCAACAAGTTCCTGACTCAGAGGAAGCCACAGCTTGAGTTGTCATCGATGTTGCTGTTGGCCCAGGGGTGAGTTGGTACCACCTAACACCCCTCAAGAGGAGACCCAGCCTCCTGCATGAGAATGGAGTATTCCTGGGAGATAGCATCAGCAACTCCCTGAACACAGACGGGACCTGGCAGCGAGGACCGCAGTGCCTGAACCCTGTGAGTCAATACCTCCAGAACCTGAGACTTCAAGTCATTGCCCATTGAGGGATGGACTGCATCACGTCTCAAAATTCAACCAGATTTCCAGCTGGAGGCCAGGGGAATCTGGAAACATTAATCGCCTCCCCCATTAAACAGATGCATTTGCTTTTGTATTTATTGAATTAATTTACAAAATGCTGCTGTCTTGAGGGAAGCATTCCCTGGAGCTTGCAAATACCAGCTAATACCACGTAGTTAATATTCATTCAACTGAAGCAGTAATGTCAGGGTTACATTAGCACCAACTAAAGAATACAAACATCCAGACTTTTGAATTCTCCAACCTCCAAGACCTCTGTGATTTACTGTCTTTTAGGGTTCAATCTAGATAGGGAAATTGGATTTCCTGTCAGAAGTTTCTGTGCAGCACATTCCTGAACTTCCTTGAATGGTTTGATGTCTTTCTGAGGTTTCTGGCGTCAGTCCCTAGGGCCGACTGCTACCACCTTGAATCCAAGGGGACTGTTTTGGAGGAGAGGATGGGGGAACCTAGTTGCATCTTCCTGGTAGTGGGACAAGTTAGTCTATGTGTTTTTCACAGTCTTCTAGATGAGAGAAATGCCTGTGGAGTCCAGCATCCAGGTGTTTCTGAAATTGCTCCCATGAATGAAGGCATTTGCCTGCCTCCGCCATCCCAATCCTGCCTACCCACTCTTTCCTCTTCTGATGAGATCTTTCAGCAAATCAAGGCTGGGGCTTGGTGGGTAACTTCCCAAACACCACTAGCTCTCTGTATTTTAAGGTCGTCATCCACACTGCCTGCCCTGAAAGGAAGAGAAGCTGGGCAGTACCCAAGGAATATAGAAACAAACTTTTCCTCTGCTCCTGTGCTATCTGGGTAAAACTGATCAAACAGCACATTTTCTGAGGCTAGGTTTGCTTCATTTCTTTCTTTTTTGTTGTTGAAGAAGTTTGGTGTGGTTTTTGTTCTGACTTACTTTTATACTTTTTTATTATTGACACATAATAACTGTATATACTTATGGTGTACAATGTACTTTTTTTTTTTTTTTTGAGAAGGGGTCTCACTCTGTTGCCTAGGCTGGAGTGCAGTGGCACGATCATGGCTCACTGCAGCCACTACTTCCCAGGCTCAGGTCATCCTCCCACCTCAGCCTCCTGAGGAGCTGGGACTATAGGTGCATGCCATCATGTGTGGCTAATTTTCATATTTTTCACAGAAACGGGGTTTCACCATGTTGCCCAGGCTGCTCTTGAACTCCTGGGCTCAAGCTATCCATCTGCCTTGGTCTCCCAAAGTGCTGGGATTATAAGCATGAGCCAGCACACCCACCCTGATGGTTTAGTACATGTGTGCATTGTAGAATGATTAAATCAAGCACATTAGGATATCCATCATCTCACATACTTGTCATTTTTCCTTGGTGAGAGCATTCAATATTTACTCTTTAAAAGCAATTTTGAAATATATAATACATTATTATAACCAGAATCACCATGCTGTCCAATAGATCACAAAAATGATTCCTCCTGTCTAACTGAAACTTTGTACTCTCTGACCAACATCTCCTTTTCTCCATCTCCTCTTCCTCATTTGTTCCTTAAATTATTTGGACAATACCAGCTTCTTTGGCCTGAAAATACTCTCGGAAGCATCGTGCTTCACACCAGCTAGTAGGAATAAGTACAGGAAACCATGTGACTGGCCCTCAGCAGTGGAATGTATAACTGAGTCATGGTCTGTTCCCACCAAGGAATGACTACCAGATGGTGATAAGAAGTTGATGATCTACAATGATCTGAGATAATGTGTATGAGAATCTTGCAAAGTAAATTGAGCCAAAGAAGCAGGACAGAATAGTACAAATTGTACTATTCCATTTATACAAGGTATAAAATCCAGTAGAACTAGGCTATGCTGTCAGAACTCAAGATAATGCTGGGCCCAGTTGTGACTGGGAAGGGGCATGTGGTGTGCTTCTATATGCAGTGCGGGTGATCCACTGTTCTTCTTCAGAGGCTGGATACATGGACATGCTCAGTTTGTGAAAATTCAACAAACTGTACACTTAGGAAAGGTGCTGCATTTATGTGTGTGTACGTGTGTTTATATAACTTAAATGTGCATCTATATACCTTAATTTTTTTTTTTTTGACGGAGTCTTGCTCTGTCACCCAGGCTGGAGTGCAGTGGCATTATCGCGGCTCACTGCAACCTCTGCTCAAGCGATTCTCCTGCCTCAGCCTCCTGAGTAGCTGGGATTACAGGCACACGCCACTACCCCTGGCTAATTTTTGTATTTTATTTTTTTTAGTAGAAATGGAGTTTCACCATGTTGGCCAGGCTGGTCTCAAACTCCTGACCTCAATGATCCACCCACCACGGCCTCCCAAAGTGCTAGGATTATTGGCATGAGCCACTGCGCCAGGCCCTTAAATTCTTTTTGAAATGGGCTCTTGTTCTGTCTCCCAGGCTGGAGTATAGTGGCATGATCATATCTCACTGCAGCCTTGACCTCCTGGGCTCAAGCAATCTTCCTACCTCACCATAAATTTAAACATGAAAAAGAGCAAGGACAGTTCTGCTGTGGGGCATGCAGACATAAAGCTCCAGTGGGCCTTGTAAAGGCAGAGCCGTCTTCAGACACCACCACCCTTGCCCCACAGCACTTCCCTCACTGCCCTGTGCTCTGGTCCCTATGCCCCTTCTTAGGGAATGTGAGTGCTTCACTCAGGGATAAGAGGGCCTGGCACTTGGCAGAGGCCACCGGCCCTGGCCCTTGAACTGTGATGGGATCCCTAAGCGCTTTCCCTACGGTGTCAGGGCTCTGAAGTTGCCAAGAGGACAACAGAAAAACGTGTTGGTGTGGTGGTGGTTGTTTTCAACATGAAAACTCCAGATTATCCGGAACAATGGTAACCCCCAAGAGCATGTGGACTTTTGACGAGGAGGATCCAGGGATTCTTCTAGAAGGTATTCAAAAGGACAAGGAGAGCAAAGTTTATGAGATCAGAGAGATCAAAGACCTGAAGGGCAGTGCTTGGTCCCAGGGTCCTAGGAGGAGAGAACCCCAGGAAGAGGAGGGAATGTCGCAGAGCCAAGGAAATATGCTCCCAACTTGCAAACTTTCAAAAGTTATAATCCAGCATTTAAAAAATTATTACTGATACATTTGATTCATGAAAAACTGACTGTTCCTGAGGAAGAAACTCAATTACCTCTTAGAAACTCTTAAAAAAAAATCATCCCTAGACAAAAGAAGAAAAACCAATTCAAAACTTCCACTTCCTCATTTCTTTGCGGCATCTCAAGTGCCCTTAAGGAAAACACACACACACACACACACACACACACACACACACTGAGACACACAGACCTATTTAAAAACAACAGGTATTTTCACATTGGTGCTCTGACCTATTTCTGGATTAGAAACTGGATTGCATGTCCACAAAGCCATCTCCCCACCTGGTGTTTGCTCTACACAGCGGTTGGGAAAGTACAGCCTCAGGGTCTAACAGAAAATGCATCTCTTCTTCTTTTTTATGATCGAATGCCATGAATTTACTAGTTTATAGCATCTACTTTTGCATTATATACGGAGGCCAAGATTGGAGCTTAGCCCAGTCTTTTCTGGAAATGGTTCTTTTGAAATCAGCAAGTCCGCTTAAATAAAAGAAATATTCCTCTGCCTTCCCTGGTGACTTGCATCCTCATTTTCATTCTTTTTCAAGACTTTGTCAAGAAGTCAGTAATAGGAGGTCTGTTCCCATTAAAGAGTGTGGTAGTGTGTAAGTCCCTGTGAGTCTATCTGCCATGAGGACCCTTCCATATGTAGAAACATGACAAAATAAATATTTAGGAAGGAATTTCAAAGAAGTTCAAATCTAGATATCCTCATCAGGGATAATACAGGAGCTTGAAATACATGTGCAGATCACCTGGTTCATTAACTGTTGAGACATGGGCTGTGAGGATCCAGGATCGCTCAGCCCAGCAATCACAGAGAAGGCCCACTGTGTGGTGAGGCTGCAGAGGGAACACCAAGGGTCCAAGCGGGCACCTCTAGGGTTGCAGGGCATCTCTGCCTCAATTATTGCCTTTCCACTGTGGATTTACACACTGTATTTCCACAAATAAAATTTTATTTTACAACATTTATCTATGCTAAAAAGAGTTGAAAACCACTGATCTATTTGAGGCCTTTATTTCACTTGAGCAGGGAGAAACATGACTGGTCAGGGATTCTCAAAGAGGAAGATAATCAGATAGATGAGAGCTGTCAAACATGTCAGCAAAATGAATGCTACGAAACAGTGGCATTCAACTTCAACAAACGGAACTCTCCCTGCTCAAGGAAACAGCTAAACACAGCAGTTTAAAGTTTTAAAGGTGATCATATTTAACATGTTTGAGAAGATTAGAGAATGTAAACTATCCTTGAAACAAGAAGAGGCTGTTACAAAAAAGAACTATAAAACTTTGAAATTTAAAAGATGATTGTTAATGAAACCTAGCAAAACAGACGTGATTGAAGAATAAATTAGTGAACTGAAAGACCAAGGGGTTCTTGTAGAATGTCATTCATGGGGACAAAGAAATCCAAGTAAGAGACAATTGACACGAGCGGGAGCTAGACGTTTCTTTATGTATTTACTAGGAGTTCCAGGAGGAGAGAACAGAGAGACTTGAGGGAGGAAAATAATTAAATAACTGATAGAAGAAAATTGATCAGAACTTTTCCAGTTCAAAAGCAGGGCCAGCTTCCTGGATATGTGGCCCTTGTGGTCACGTAAGGCTCTAAGCTCAGAAGGACTCTATGCTTGTCTGATTCTCATCTGTTGCCATCTTGAAATGCTTCATAATTTGATCTTTGAACTTGGGTTTTGTAAGTGAAGTCCGACGGAGCCACAAACCGTGTGCATGTGCAGAGACACAGGTGATATATGTGTCCCCGTTCCTTGCTGCTCCATTCACGCTCCCAAGGCCCATGCATACAGAATTCCAGTGGATTCCGGTGCAGTTCAGCGACACTGAAGGCGAGTAGAAGGTAATCGTGCTCTACCACAGAAGGAGGGGCATATGGAAGCCGTACAAAGCCACACACGATCTGTTGGAACCAGAACTTGTTTCAAATGCCTAAAGAAGGCAAAGGCCTTCTAAGAAACAGAACAATGAAGGCATCCTATCCCATCCCTTCTTACCTGGGCTACTTCCAGTATTCGACAACCACGAACTTTGAAAATGATGACATACGAGGAAAGATGAGGACAGGGCAACCCAGAGTTCCTGTCCTTCAGTGCTTTCTCCCTCATTAGTCAGCTGAAGATAAGAGGGTGCTGGCGCACGTGCATGTAGCAAGAAGTAAAATACAAACAGTTGAGCTACTTTTCAGCAGCATTGTCGCTGTTATGGTAGAAATGAAATACACATGCATGCTCGAGCCACATAACACAAACCATAATTTCAGTGATTCCTCATGTGAGTTAAACACTTTTGTATTTGCATTTAAAACTAGCATTGCACAAATGATAAAATTCATGCTAATACTTTAAAATTTTAACTTGGAATGACATTAAATAACATGAAAAATGCAGCACATCAAGAAAGAGACTCTGGAAGAGAGGAAAAAGCTGTATATTTTAGTATTGTTATGCCTTTTTCTTGCTTTTTGAACAGGACTTCCACATTTTAGTTTAGCACCAGGTTCTGCAGACCAGATAGCCAGTCCTATTTAAAAGGGCCCACCAACGCATGGCAGAATGCATTTTAAAAAGATTTATTTTGGAACTTCAAAGGTAAAGAGAAGTTTTTGAAGTTTCCAGAGAGAAAGAAGGGTTAATTTACAAGAAATGAAGTGCCTGCGGCCAGCAATGTGGAGCTGGGTCAAGAGCGCTGTGGCTCTTTGAGCATAGGGCACCGACTGTGGCTGGCCAGGGCTTGTGTGTGGCCCAGGGCTTCTGAGCAGGCTCATCCCTTCTGAGCAGGCTCATCCCATGTCTTGACCTGGTCTGGAAACCAAAGGAAGGTGCAGCGGACAGCAGCTGGGGGGCAGGGGTAGACTGGGCACACGAGGCTCATTGTGAAATCCCAGGGCGTCTCCTGGGAGCTTGTCTGCACAGAGCTGGCAGGGCCAGTGCTGGAGCCAAGCCAGGTTCCAGAAACGTGCCCAGACACAGCTTGGCAAGGTGGTGGGCTGCAGCATGTGAGGACAGGAGGAACACAGTGTCCCTGAGCTCTGCTGCTCCAGAGCTGGGCTCCGTGGAAGAACCAGGAGGCTGAAGAGGGTGAGTGCACCAGCACTGAGGTGCGCCATGGGCTGCTTTCGAGGCTCAGGTTTCCTGTGTCAGTGGATGGGCAGGGCCAGCTCTGTGTGCTGCGGGTTTGTGCGCTGAGACACAACACATGCAGACACACACAGACATACAGATACATGCAGACACACAGACTCATAAGACACACATGTACATACAGACACACAGATACATGCAGACACACAGACTCATAAGACACACAAGTACACACAGACACACAGATACCCAGATACACACAGATACACAGACTCATACAGACACACATGTACATATAAACAGACACACAGATACATACAGATACAAAGACTCATACAGATACACATGTACATACAGACACACAGACACACAGGTACATAGATACACAGACTCATACAGCCATACATGTACATACAGACACACAGACACACAGACACATGCAGACACACAGACTCATAAGATACACATGGGCATACAGACACATAGATACATACAGATACACAGACTCATACAGACACACATGTATGTAAGACACACAGACACACAGATACAGATACATGCAGACACAGACTCATAAGACACACATGTATATATAGACACACAGACACAGATACATGCAGACACACAGACTCATACAGACACACATGTACATACAGACACACAGATACACGCAGATACACATAGACATGGACATACACATGTACATACACACACAGACCCATAAAGGGACACTTAGACACACAGACACACATACAGACATACACGCAGACATACATGCAGACGTATATACGGACACACACACAGACACAAAATGGAAACTTTTTCCTTGGCTCTTCAAATACAGAAAAATCATCCAAACAATTCATTTTGGCCAAGCCAACTCATGCCGGCATTAGGAGTTGGGGGCCAATGCAGAGAGTGCAGCTCTGCCTGCTGTCCTTCTCCTTTACTGCCCTGGTAGAAGCGCTGATGAGCACGGCAGCCAAGGCTGTCCAGGAGGGGATGCATGGAGCACAATGCTTGGACACAGTCCAGCCAGCAAGGAGAGGCTGGCTGGGTCCCTCCCAGGGCACCCAGACTGTTCCAGGGCTGTGGGAGGCCCAAGAGAGGAACAGAGCGACCCGTTTCCCGAGAGCTTGGCAGCCTCAAAGTAGTGGGGACGTCATGTTCTGGGGCCCGAGGGAGAGGTCGTCAGCCATAGAAAGAGGGAAAACTATGTGGGGAAGGAGCCATGGGCTAAGGTTTCAGGCCCCAGGAAGGACTCGCTGGAACAGCACGGGCTGAGTGGGAGCCCATGCCAGGCCAACAGTGAGGCCTGGCATGGGAAAGTGCCTGTACAGCCGCCTTGTGAGGAGTCAAAGACGTGGAGGACATGCCGGGAGAAATGAGCACAAGCAGGTTTCCGTGCTGCCGAAATTCTGTGCATCCTGAAGATGCTTCATTCCAACGGAGGGAATGCAAGTCCACAGAGGTTTCCAGAAGTCACCAACCATGGAATGCTTTCTCTCTTCCACTGACAATACCCATGCAAGAACACGGCAGAGGCTGAAATGGTCTTGGGGCAGGGGAGAGACTCCGGCCTCGGAGGGTCTCACCCTACTGCACAGCACATTAAGCCCACCCTGCGAGGTCGACAGAGGGCTGAAGCTGAAAGCCCATTGTATGGGCAACAAAGGACGAGCACCCAGGCTGGGTTGCCTCCAGTCTCTTTCCTCAGTGTGGCTTCCTGGGCAGAAAGCACATGGCTGGGTTGATCCCTATGGCAGGCCCAGGCCAGGTGAGGCAAGTGAGTGTCCTTAAGCTACGCCCCAGTGTCCCCTTCTCTCACCTCAGCCCTGGCCCTGGCTGAGGAGAACAGGTGGTCCTCAGCCATCTGGGGGTGATGGCAAGCCTGGAGCGGGTTCCGTGCAGATCACATAAGAACAAGGCTGAAGTACTAGGGACACTCACACAGCCCCGGCTTCCCAGGATGGACCTGGGGGTGGCAAACGGCTCTCCATCCACAGGGACCCCTGGGCTGGGCCATGTAACTGTAGGGCATTGCCAGAATCAGGGTCACCATGGGCTGGGCACTCAGAGGCTGTTCCAGGTGGGAGTCCACACTCCAGGCCCAGGGCAGTGCCTGCCCTCCGTGGTAGAAAGAGCTCATGCCTTTCTAGCACAACTCCTGAAGGGTAAATAGCTACAAGTGAAGGGGCACCCTATGCAGGGAGGACAGTCATCAACTGTCATCAACACTGACTTTTTGTTTGTTTGTTTGTTTTTGAGATGGAGTCTCGCTCTGTTGCTTTGTCACCCAGGCTGGAGTGCAATGGCACAATCTTGGCTGACTGCAACCTCTGCCTCTTGGGTTCAAGCGATTCTCCTGCCTCAGCCTCCTGAATAGCTGGGATTACAGGTGCATGCCACAGATGGCTGTGACATGGCTGGTTTCATACCCCCACAGTGAACTACGCACATGCGGTAACTGTGGCTCAGGTGGTACGGAAGGCACAGTAGGAGGCTCAGGTCATCTGGCCACTAAGTCCTACCCTCACATATCTGGGTGCTTTGGTTATACAGAACCCATGTCCTGAAGAATCCATATCGGGCTTCTGTCTAGGAAGATTTCACACCCTGCGCATTGCAAAAGGCCATGGAAAAATGGTGGCTGCTAAGAGTTATTACTTATAGAGGCAAAGTGATGTGCAAATATTATAGAAGGTCAGTATTATTATTATCATCATCAATATCTTGTGCAGAAGAGGAAACCAAAGCTCAGAGAGGTTGAGCAACTTGCTCAGTTTCACACAGACAGTAAAAAAGCATTTTTAAAAGATCCTCAAATTGAGGTGCTCTGGAATCCATGGACATAGTCCACCTTCCTGGAGCATCTGAAAATCCACTGGGTATAATATGGAGACCATGAAGGTTTGCTGTGCCTCCCTCCCCAGCCTATCCTACTCTCCTTTGACAACCGTGGCCCGAACTTCAGCTCCAGCGTCTCCAGTGATGTCTACATCATGACAAAACTGAAAGTTAAAGGTAAAAGCAGTAATTATCTGCAAAACAGCTAATTTTTGTTTCGCTGAATTTGTTTAATTTTGCAGCTGTTCTGGGGATCTCATGATTCATAAGGAGCCCTACAGATCTAGAAGGTTGTGTGTCTTCTGCTCTAGAATCAGAACCAATAGGACATATATAGATATGTGAGACATTATAGGAATTGGCTCATATGTTTATGGAGGTGGAGAAGTCCCATGATCTGCCATCTGCAGGTTGGAGACCCAGGAAGGCTGGTGGTGTAACTCAGTCTTAGTCCAAAGGCCTGATAACCGGACGAGCTGATGGTGTGAGTCCCAGTTAGAATCCAAAGGCTCTAGAACCAGAAGCACCAGTGTCCGAGGGCAGAAGATGGATATATCAGCTCAAGCAGAGAGAGCGGATTTGCCCTTCTTCTGCCCTTTGGCTCTATCCAGGCCCTCAGCAGATTGGATGGTGCCTACCCACATTGGTGAGAGTGGATCTTCTTAGTCTACTGATGGAAATGCTCATCTCTTCACAAAATGCCCTAACAGACACACACAGAAACAACGTTTTACCAGCTATCTGGGCATTCCTTAGCCCAGGCAAGTTGACACATAAAATTAACCATCATAAGTCCACTTCTTGTCAACTTAACACCAAAAGGCATCTTCTTAAACTATGCTAATCTTCAAATAAAGACAATACCAATGTCATGCTATCTGCCTATCTTGCATACAACCCAAAACTCACTAATCCCTTCCCCACAAGAGAAGGCAAGGGCCTTCGGTGATGTTTACTCTTCTCCTTGATATCTCATAATTTAAATACTATAATGTAAGATTGACAATACTTAAGTATTCATATAAAGTCAATGTATTGTGTGTTACAGGATAAGGGAATAAGAGAGGAAAGAAAAAAAGATATTTGCTTACTTTGCATACACACAAATGTATTCTTAACAAAACAGGGAGAAAGTACTCATAACAGTTACAGTCCTGGTTTCTGTAACTGGTCACATGGCCACAGTAAGTATCTATAACCACTTTATTCCACCGACGCATTCTGTATTCCCTTTGCCTTCAGCAAGCCCCTCAGGTGGTTATGAGTTTTTACCTGGTGCAGTGACCCAAACCTTCATTCCTGAATTTTCCATTGAGCTTAATCACAAGGCATAGTAATACTAAGAGACGCCCTAAGGAATTTCCTATGTTCTAGACATACTCTTCCTTACTTCCATTGTGGAGCAGCAATCCAATTTCCCTTTGATAGTCAAGATCAATCACCCCAGCCAGCAATATCATTCTCTTCTTGGCCTGTTGACTCAGAGACACGAAGAGCCCACAATGGCTGGATGACAGTCTTCATTTCCAGTTGGAAGTTGTGGAAGTTGTAGAAATTATGGAATCATTGTTGCATCTCCTGGTGGAAGCATTCTTCCCTCTGGAGCTAAGACATTTAGGCTAGCAGGGCATAAAGTTGTGGGAACAGGAAGCAAAAATGTTGCCAGTGGCTCACTAGGGGTGATGGTGAGTGGTGTATCTCCCATTTCCACTGCCTGATTCCCGGACCAGTGAGTCGTGGCTATGGGACAAACAACACCATCGATTGGAGGCTGATTCAGAGTGTATAGTTTATGTCCCAGAGTCATCTCCCTGGGCATGGATGGGAACTTCCCAGAAGAACTATGGGGAGCTGGTTATTTGACATATTGAGCAACATGTTTGGCTTCACAGTAATGTGCCCAGGTAAGTCCCTTACCTCTGTTTGGTGCTGTCCATAGGCCGCCTTGTCAGTTAGCTGAAAGGCAGTGAGAATACATGCGTAGGAATACATAGCTTCTCTGTAATCCCAGCACTTTGGGAGGCCGAGCGGGGGCGGATCACGAGGTCAGGATTTCAAGACCAGCCTGGCCAATGTGATGAAACCCCGTCTCTACCAAAAATATAAAAAATTAGTTGGATGTGATGGCATGCACCTGTAATCCTAGCTATTCAGGAGACTGAGCAGGAGAATTGCTTGAACCCAGGAGGCGGAGGTTGCAGTGAGCTTAGATCGCACTACTGCACTCTAGCCTGGGCAACAGAGTGAGACCCAGTCTCAAAAAAAAAAAAAAAAGAAAAAGAAAAAAAAGAAATACATAGCTTCTTACCACCCAGGAAGGACCGCCAGTCACTCCTTTTGACATTCCTCAAAATTTCTTTTGGATGTGTCAAGAAAGTGGCTCACCTTTGGCTTTGCTTCACGTCTGGAAATCAAGAAAAGCTGTGAGCCAGCCCTGAAGTGGGATCTACTCAAGACTGCCGATGGCGCCCCCCCTGGGAAGGTGCTAGAAGGCTAGGCCGGGACTACAGTGGAGCTCAGAGCAGGTGGTGACGGGATCCCTGCTCTCAGTCCATTGCAGATTTTTGAAAATTAACTGTCCTCACCTGGAAAGCAGAGGCTGGATTAGATCTGAGATTCTTTTGTCACCTCTTTGGACCCTACATTCTGTAAGGTAGGGTCCCTCCACACCATATTGATTCAGCAGTACATAAATTCATTACTTTGTTTTCACATCTCCCTTAATCAAAGCCTGGACTAGCAAGCTCCAGGTGGGGAACCTGAGCACTCCTGTCATCCGGAATGCCTCCGGGAAAAGTGTGACGAGTCCTTCAGTTCCCAACAGCCCAAGGACTCCAGGCTGGAGGCTAGCAGGCCTGGGCGAAGGCTCCCTTCTAGCTAAAGCACGCTACATCCCACCTTCGGAGACCAAAGACTCCAAAATGACTGCATTTCAATGTCAAACTAACAGAACAAGTCCACACCAAGCTGACCTTTAGCAAGTGGAGTTAGAGAAACTCATTCCAATCCCCTCTGCTGGACAACACTGTGATCTCAAAGATTAGATATGGGTTCTCTGAATAGAGCAGTCATTTGCCAGTCACTTATTTTGAATATAAATCACTTAATACATTATTTCTGTACCTGTTGAAACGCGATTCCAATTGTGCATGCAGTTGGTGTCTCTTCCACTTTCATAAAAATAGGCATAACCTAGGAGGTAGGTAGCCTGTCCCTTTCCTGCCAGGTGGATGGCTGGGACCAGCTCATGCCCAGGTGTTGGCTGCCATCTAGTGGGCACTTGAGAAGTAGCCCTGAGCTGCTGTGCAGTCCAACTCTCAGTTGTCTGCCCCAAGTGGGCCGTCCCCGTGCGGAGAGGCACCCTGCAAGCTGCCTCCTTCCTGCCCTGGAGAGCAGCACTCTGGCCAGGCCTTCCCACCCCATGTCAGGGACATGGCTCCATGGCCAACCCCCACTTCTTGTCCTTTCCCTTCTTTTTCCTTCCCTCTGTCCTTCTGGTAATGTTTGCCTTTTAAAATTGGCAAGCCAATTTAATTCCCAAACCAAGGAAATTAACCCCCCGAAGTGAGAGAGAGTGCAGCAGCAGTGGGCAGTATTTGCCACTACTGCTTACTTGAGGAACTACCCTGAGGATGGCCATTCTTTATGTAAACCCCAGCCCTGGGGGGTCTACACGGTGAAACCCCAGAGCTCAGGGTCCCTTGTCTTACCTTGGGGCTTCAGGAATAAGCACTCATCAGGGATTGAGATTCACATCCTGGGCCCAGGAGCTCTGGATGGGAGGCTGCCTTGGGTCACGTCAGTCGCCGCTCATTATAACACGGTACTTGGGGCTGGGCACTGGGCTGGAACACAGTGGCTTTGGAGGGGCCCACAGCGTGGGCCACGTGGTGCTTCCCTGACTTAGCAGTGAGCCAGCAGCCATGCCCACATCCAACAGACCCAGAGTCCATGCTGCAGTTGTTGCTGGATGCCTGTGACCTGGGCTGGTGGCCAGAGGGACGGCACTGGAGCGGGAGACGTGGTGCCACGCCGGGCTTCCCTCAGCTTCAGGCTCTGGTCAGACTTCAGGGACAGCATCTCCTTTGCTCCTCCCCACGGCACCAGGCAACATGGGTGGAGTGGGACTTAGCGATGCAGCTCCGTCCATGGGGCTTGTGTGGTGGGGGCAGCTCTGGGATTATAGCTGCCCACCTTGGGGTACCCTGGCCTTGCAGGGTTAGAGGACAGAGCCAGAACATGCCAGCTGGACCTGGCCTGATCTTTCTACCAGTCTGTCTGGACAAACCTACACAGACAGGTCTGACCCCCAGGGAGCGGAAGCTGGTTGGGACATGGCCCTGGGCAGATATGACCCTCATTCTGTCACTGTTTTTTGAGCAGGGACTTTGGGAAACACCCACCTGTGCCTTTCACCTGCCCATTCCCCAGGAACGGTCTCACGTTGGGCGTCGGGTGTTGTTTTCACAGGGACCACCAGGTTTTTCAGCAGACAGCAGGGCAGTCTCAGAGCCCAGCATTGCCCTCCTGGCCTCCCCGGGTCCCAGCACAGCTCCATGCCTCCATGTGGGCAGCTTCATGGGTCCTGTCCCTGAAAAGCCCATGGAGTCTGCATGGGGTGGGGCAGTTCCCGAGCATGGAGGGGGAGGAATCTGGCTTCTAAGAGAGATCCCCCACCCCCATCCAGGTGACTTCTGGGCACCTGTCCCAGCCACCGAGGAGAGTGGTTATGAGGGGACATCTAGGATGTTATACAGCTGCTAAGAGATGAAAGTCAGGTGACTCGGAAGATCCTGATTCTCTGGCTGACGATGGGCACCCTGGGGCCCATGCAGGCTTGAAGTTGGGGCTGGGGGAGAAAACAGGGGCTTGGTCTGCTCTGGAGGGAAGTGGCATGGTGTCCTGCCAGACTGGCTGGTTTGAAAGTCGTCAGGAAAGACCCACAATAAGACACATTTATTGATGCTAATTAGCCATGGCTGAGATTGGCTGAATCAGAGTCTCTGAATTCAGACATCCTCACAGGCCAGTGTTTCTCAGCCCCAACACCACTAGGCAGAGGTAAACAATGGCAGAGGGATAGGACACTTCGAGTACAATGTTTGCACCTGGAATTCTCCCACCTGCCTTGCAGTGACCTGGTCATCTCGACAGGCCAGAGATGAGCAAGTCTTGGCTACACACGTGGGTGATGCTCCCCACGCCCTGCAGGCAGGGACCAGGCAGCTGGGGTCACCCAGGAGAGAGTGGCAGGGCGGGTGGCCCAGGCCCCTGGCTCTGAGATCATGCCCTCCTGAGCTCCATTGCTAAGGTGGCTCTGCTGAGCTGCTACTACCAGGACTGAGGTGTCGGGACAGTGAGTTCTGGCTGGGTCCTCTCCCAACACCCCCCACTTCCACACCGCTGTACACAGAGCCAGGGGCTGCACTGCCCTCCCCTCCTACCTGTGTGTGACTCTGACCCTGCAGGCTTGGGTGTCTGTAGTGGCAGACAGTTGTTTCTTCTCCTCTCTTGGGCCTCAGCGGACCCCAAGTGGTGGAGAGAGCAGGAGGGCATGGGGCTGGGTGCTCTTGTGGACTGATGGCGGTGTCCTGGGGACAGTTAGGCAGCTGCTATCATTTTCAGTGAGGATATGTGCCCTCTAACCCAGCAACAGTCAACGCCCAACTGCAACGCACAGCACACAGCACAAAATGGGTGAGCGTCCAGCTCCCCCCACAGAGCTGGAAGCAGCTTGTGGCAGCTGGTCCTGGGAAGCTGGCTCTGGGAGGCAGTGGAGATCAGGGGTTCATCCAGGACAGCCCCTGGCGTCCATGCCTGCCACAGCAGAAGTGAACAGAAGCTTTGGATACCCTCACAGGGGCTCTGGAGCTAATGTGATCCAGCAGAGTTGCCCCAGGTGGCCCAAGATGTGCACAGCTGTACACACCTGCACAGCCCCATCTCCAGCAGAAGCACCCCCATCAACCCCGGCCTCTGGCAGGAGGTCCAGCCTATGACGTAATGCTACAAGGTGGTTTAACATCTCACCAGAAGAATTCAGGGCCCTAATGAGCAGACCCCCCCTCAGGCTCTGGGAGAACCCAGGAACGTTTTCGGCTCAGTCCTGAGTGCTCCTCCCAGTGGCCCTGCCTCATGGCTATGGGAGGGTTATTGTACAGCTAAAAGCACTCAGGCTGGGGGCCCTCTTCTGCCTCTTCCTAGGATGTATGATCACATGAATATATATTTGGTGCTTGTGACCTGGGCTGGTGGCCAGAGGGACGGCGCTGGAGCGGGAGACGTGGTGCCACGCTGGGCTCCCCTCAGCTTCAGGCTCTGGTCAGACTTCTTCTGGTGAGATGTTAAACCAACTTGCAGCATCACGTCATAGGCTGGACCTCCTGCCAGAGGCCAGGGTTGACAGGGGTGCTTCTGCTGGAGGTGGGGCTCTATATATTTGAGAATAAGTGAGGCATTTTGGCCACAGGCCGTTGAGCCGCAACCTCTCTCCTGCAGCTTCCTGAGTGGTGGTATATTCACATTTGTCTATTCTTACAAATGGCCCCAGACTGGAGGAGGTGCAGGCCCCACAGAACTGGAGTGCTTACCACCTGAACCCCTGGAAGTGTCTCCCTCCTGAAGGCCCTGGGTCTCAAACCAGCTGCTCATTTGACTTGCCCAGGGGCTTTAGACAGCTGCCAGGCCACAGCCCAGAACCAGGAGCCAGCCTCATGGACTTTCACAGGTGAGTGCCCAGTGCCTGTAGTCAGGTAGGGCCCCATCTACATCACCCAAGAGCTGAGAGAAATGCAGCCCCCCAGCCTCCACTGTTGCAGGACCTTTCCTTAGTTCAGCTAAAGACTGGGTCCTTGTCTGTCCCACGGCCATGAAAATTTAGGCTTGCAGGCAGTTGGAGAGGGTGAGTAAAGCAGGGTTTTACTGGATAAAAAAGAAGAAAAGGGGGAAATGAGGACTCTTGCGAGGCCAGAGTCCCTGCTAGAGGGCTTCCTGCTGCCATTCAAATCTCAGGTTCTGCACACGAAGAGGAAGGGCCAGGCTCCTCCCAGCTGCAAACATCATGAACTTCCTGAGGCTCCACCTCAGTGGACAGGCTGGTAGGAGTTTCTCGAGGGACCCCCTCCAACCTGGCTGACTCATTATGACCCACTGAGGCAGAATCTGCTTTTCAATAAGATTCCAATAATTGTCAGGTACAGGGAGGTGTGAACTGTGAGCCCTGGAGTCCTTCGCCCCCTTTCCGGAGTCTCCCTGTGCACTTACCTCAGGGGCCCGGGGAGGTGGGGGCATGGCTAGCATGGTGGGGCAGCCGACCTGGGGCTTCCTGTCAATACCTGGATTCACTTTCTGGTGGTGGGGACTGGGCGGCTTAAGCTACAGAAGTTGATTGTCTCACAGTTTGGAAGTTGGGAGTTTCTTCTGAGGCCTCTCTTCTTGGCCTGCAGATCGTGTCTTCATGTCTCCCAGTGTGTATGCCTATGCAGGTTTCCCCATCTTCTAAGGACACAGAGTCCTACTAAATTAGAGACCACCTTATGGCCTTGTTTTAACTTGATCTAAGATAAGTTATAGGTCTGCAAAGACCCTATTTCCAAATAAGGCCACATCCACAGATACTGGGGTTAGGACTTCAACATCTTTCCAGGGCACACGATTCAACACCACTTTACCCAGAATGACTCAGGGTGGGCGGGCCTGTGCATCCCCTCCTCCTGATGTGCAGGGGCCACCCAAGGCCAAGACCAATGAAGCCAGTCCCCTGGAAGGCCCCAGCCTCATTCCTGCTCCCCCTAGGTCTTCAGAAGGCATCTTCACCAACTTGCTGCACAGCCCCAGGGTCCAGCTCTGAGGGAACCAACCACACTCAGTCACCTAGAATCCTCTCTGAGCTAGGAGTGAGGCCTTAATCTGGGTCCACTGGGGGTATGCCATTCACAGGCACTTGAGATGAAGCAGTGCACAGAAGGACAGGGTCCATCCGCACAGTGATATGAGATGAATTATGTCTGCCCCCAACTCCCTGCCAAAAACATATGTTACAGTCCCAACTCCCAGAACCTCAGAATGTGAACTTTGCTGATGTAATTTGCTAAGATAAGGTCATACAGGAGTAGGACTGCAGGAGGACACAGGAGAAAGGCCTTTGCAAGTCAAGAAGAGAGGCCTCGGAAGGAATCAATCCTGCCAACACTTTGATCTCAGACTTCCAGCCTCCAGAGCTGAGACCATGAATGTCTGCTGTTTGCACTGCTTTGTCTTGGCAGCCCTATCAGACTACTACTGGCGGAGAAGCTGACAGGGAGGACTAGGTGTCACTGGATTCAGGGGATGCTGGAGACATGGGACCGGCATGCAAAACAAGACCTTGAAGCTTGGCCTGATCACCACACCCAGCTCTATGGAGGTACAGCAGACACAATCTGAAGAACTGGGACTGAAGTCCCAAAGTGCTGGGACTCCCAAAGTGCTGGGATTACAGGCATGAGCCACTGCACCCAGCCCCCAGTACACTTTTAAAGATTTTCAGTGCCTGGTCTCTGGCCCCAGTCCAGACCCATTACACCAGGCTCTCAGGGAATGGAGCCTGGGCACCAGCACTGTTAAGGCTATTGCTGCTTTTAATGGGCACTTGGGCCTGAGAACCAGCGATGTTCTAGGAAGAAATGGGAGTCTGCTGCTTCTTTTTGGTGCTGTCTACTTAGTCAGCAGTCAGCCTACTTACTGGCTTTTTCATTTGTAAAATGAGGAGTTAATAATAGCAACTATCTCTAAAGCTGGTTGTTTTTAGACTTAAAATAGAAAATTTACCTGAAAAGGCTTTGTGAGCTATAAAATATTATGCAAATGCAACTTCCGTTAAAGTGTTCAAAAGTAACATAGTATGCATCTATTCTATCACAGCAAGCTAATGCATTTGCACATGTGAGCAACGCTCTGGGCATTCACATGTTTTGATTGTAAAGTCATTTGCATGTTAGCGATGAGCTGCTGGAGGGCATCGAGTGTACTTTGATCCTTGGGTACTCACCTGTGTACTCACTCTCCAAAGGCTGAGAATGGGGAGGCAGGGAGACAGTGACAGCCAGACTCTAATGTCACTGTCAAATGAAGTGGATGAATAGTCTAACTGTGGTTTTTCTCCTAGAGAAGCCTGTTCTGGCTTTAAGAAGGCATCTCCAAGAACTGCCAGTGGCCTGAAACATCAGCCGAAACCTGGGAAGGGTCCCTGCCCCACCAGCTGTACTGGGAGCCTGGCAGGGCATGATTTTGAGCCATACTGGGCCCTGGCAGCTGCTGACACTACTGAGTGCTGGGAGCCATTGGGCTGGCGCCCCTCCTTCAGGCCATGCAGCAGGAGACCATGTAAGAAACAAGAGAGATGGAGTCTGTCTCGAGGCTCAAAGCCCGCTTCCCGCTCGGCTGCTTTCTCACTCCGGGCTGCGGCAGGGCAGATGCTGTCTGAAGGAGAACAGGCGGTCCTGGCAAGCCCAGCTTCCATGAGAAAGCACCCATGGGTGTGATGTGGGTGCTGCTCAGTGCCCTCCCACCCTCTGCACGCCCCAGAGGGGCAGAGGCAGGGTCCTTATTTAGGCTGTGCGGGAGAGGCAGACCTTTCGCTGTGAGTGGAGGTGCTTGGCTCTCATGAAGACTTAGGTAAAAGTGTACTGGCCTGTTTTGGGCTTCAGGGACCTAAGTAATGGCCTCTCCATTGTTTTATTTTTACTGTGGTAATGGTGGCGTCTATCATAGAGCCAATCGCAGGTGGTTTGAGATGGGAGTGGGGGTGTCATGTCCAGATCCACCGGGGAAGGGCTAACTCCCGTGGATGCCAGTGAGATGGAAAACCGGTTCTACACACCGTGACCCGAATGGGGAAAAATGATGACCAAGCTGGTTAATAATAAAAGGTCATTTTCACGTTGGCAGTAATGTTGAGAGCATAAGAAGATCTGAAAAATGAAAGGACAAAGACATCTGCTTAACAGAGACACATATACACCACACACAAACACACAGGTACACATACACACACCACACACACTACACATACACACATACATGCAGGTATACACATGCAGATATGCATACACACAAGTACACAAATACACACCACATACAGAAGCACATACATAGACATATGCCACACAAACACACCACACACACAAATACATACACACACAGATACATAAACATGCATACATATGTATACACAGACATCCCCACATACCACATGCACACACTACACACATAGACACACACATGCCACACATATACAAACACAGATACACCACACAGAGATACACACATATACACACACCATGTATGCATGCAAACATACAAACACACATGGACACACACAGACACCTCCCCAAACCACATGCGCACATCATGAACGGACACACACATACTACAAACAGATGCACACGTACACCCCCTCCCACACACACACAGATTCCTAACAGGATGAACCCTCCGGCCCATTAGGGGAAGCCCTGGTAGCAAATGAAAAAAAGCATCCTCTAGAAAGCTACTATTTAGTGATCAAGATTAAAGAACTGGGGTGAGGCTGAGAAAAAAATTCATAGCATGACATTAAGGAATGGATATCTCATTAATTTTAAAAGAGAAGATTGAATGAACAAGTGTCTAATATTTTGACTGTAGAAAAATAAATAAAATGGCTGTTTGTTCACGGCCATGCTTTAACTGGGCGATATTTTTCTCTTCATGAATCTCTTCTACTTAAATTCTCTCCACCTTGGGAGGTCTGCCTTATTTCCAAGGCGAGCAAATCCTGCTCAGATCCTGGTCCACTGAAGTCTGTCCGAGGAGTCTTTTCTCGCCCCTGTTCTGTTGAGATTTCCTGCCATGTACACGGTAGTGTGAGGTAGAAAGTCTCGGTAGTTGAGATTGGCTTGACCAAGCATCTTGTTTTCTTTTTTATTTCGAGGTTGAATAATGAAGGAAGCAAGAAGAGGGGGAAGAGAGGTGATGGATGGAGGTGCACTGGGCAGCTTGTGTCCCTAAATTCTGACCGATGTAGCGAGGGACAGCGTGCTGCTGTGTAAGTCTGTCCACCTGGATGCCACCGGCTACAGGGAGCTCTCTGGCATCCCTGGGAACACATCCGGTGTCCAGAAAGTGTGCTTTACCAGGCGCTTTTGGTACGAGAGGAGCCATTGCTATGGGTGTGACCTTACACCTCCGGGTTCATCAGGAAATGGAAAGGTCATGTCCTGTACAGTTGGCGAGGCTGACTTGCCTACTCCTATGATGATCACTTTCTTTCTGGCACAATCCACTTGATAAGGACTCTAGCAAAACCATTTTCTTGATAGTGATGGGCCTCCATTTGCTAACCTGTTCACTACGCTTGGAGGCTGAGGTCTTCCCTCTACTCTTGTTTCAGGGAAGGAAAGAACTAAAGCAGCTGTTCACAAGTGGGGGTGTGTTCACCTCACTGTGTTCCAGTGGGCTTGGTTGACAGAAATTTATGATGTCATTTGATATGAGCTGTGGAGAACAAACAGTATGAGACACTGGCTCTTTATTTTTATGAATGAGGATGAGTTGTTTATGAACAAAATACATTTTTCACTCATTGTTCCACAGTTTGATGATAGTCGTGGAAAACTGAGTTATTCAAAGACCTCAAAGATTTGCAGATGTTTAAAGTCTTATGACTCATGGCTTTGGTAAAATAATGCTTAACTAATAAGGAAAAATAGCTCCGGGAAACATCGCCAGCTGAGCTGCGTGGGGGCTGTGAGCATCTCTTAGCTGTGTGATGCGCCATAAGGGAGTGGTGGCAGCAACAGGCTGTGAGGTAGGGGTTCAGGCAAATGCTGGACATGTGACATCTGTTGGGATGTGATGGGCATCGCAGTGCAGGCTCGCTGGGTTTGGTGGGCAGGGCTCTGAGAAAGTGTTCTTCCTTTCACCACTTAATTTTGCAAAGCTATAAAATAACAAGTGGCCTTAAAAAGCACTCTCTAATGAAACATGAAATTATGTACCCTTCTGTAGGGTCCAGCCCTACAGGGCCTGTGGATTTTTTAAAGTCCTGAGGGGGCCAGAGGAATATTAAAGAAACAGTTTTAAGATCAATGATGATAAATGGCCAATACTCAGGAATCATAGTGGGGGATGGCAAGTTGGGTTGCCATACGTTGAAGGACAGCATTTACTGCCCTAAGATCAGTAAGCATTTTCCACTTACCAGATTTCTTTTGAATAACAAAAACAGGTGAATTCCAAGGAGAAAAAGATTGCTTTATGTGTCCCAATTTTAATTGTTCAAGGACCAAAATATGGAGTGCCGCCAGCTTATTTTTAGGGAGCAGCCACTGATCTACCCAAACCGGTTTCTGAGTTTTCCAAGTTAAGGGGATGGGATCTGGAGGCTTGATAGTGACTGCTTCTAAAAAGAACAACCAAGTCCTGTTGAATCAGATTTATGAGTAGTTATAATAGTATCAGTAATACCTTGTGCTGATTTTTCCAGAACCATACCTTGAACAAATCCCATTTTTGCCATAATGTCTTTACTTTGTTAGCTGTAATTACCTTGTGGGAAAGAAATCTGTGTCCTCCATTGTTGTAAAAGATCTCTTCCCCAAAGATTAACTGGAATAGGCGTAATGAGGGGGTGAACAGTACCAGTCTGTCCCTCTGGGCCCGTACAGTGTAAAATAGTGGAATTTTCATAAACCTCTGAAGCCTGACCAACACCAACTAAGGCTGTGGATGCATATTCTTTGGGCCAGTGTCTAGGCTATTGATATGAGGCTATAATGGTGATATCAGCACCCGAGTCAATCATTCCCTCAAACTTCCTTCCTTGAATATGTATGCATGGAGCACACAGGACGAGTATCAGAAATCTTGCTGGCCCTATAGGCTGTTTTGCCCTGAAAGTCTGTGCTTCTGAAACCTCTGGTTCTCTTACAAGAACTAGATCCTAGTGGAATGTAACGGAGTATAAGAAGTTGAGCAATGCTGTCTCCTGCTGCTGCATACCAAGATACTGCAGAGCTAATGACAATGTGAATTTCACCTGAATAATCAGAGTCGATTACACCAGTATGTACTTGAACACCTTTTAAATTTAGGCTTGAGCGACCAAGAAGCAAGCTGACAGTGCCAGGTGGCAAACGGCCAAACACACCTGTGGAAACAGCAATAGGTGGCTCTCCGGGTAAGAGAGAAATATCTCGAGTGCAGCAGAGATCTACAGTGGCTGAGCCTGTGGTGGCAGGGGACAAGCATTGTACTGAGATTTGTGTTGGGACTGAGTCGTTAGATCCTGTGGTACAAATGGCTGAAGTGGGAACTGGGGGGCAGGTTGAATGGATTGGGCTGGGAAAGTGCTCATCTGGCTGGCTGCCAAAGGCTGTGAGTTGAGGAATTCCCCATTGTTTGGAGGGGCCTGGGGCTGGCCCCTCTTTCCATTTCCCTAGTTGCTGAATGGCTTTAAAGGGTTACCATCAATGTCAAATTTTGCGCGGCACTGAGCAGCCCAGTGATTTCCCTTACGGCATCGTGGGCACAGACTGGAGGGCAAGATTTGTTGCTGTATAGGGTTTTGTTGTTGGCATTGAAAAGAATGGCAGCCTGAAAGCCGAGGACAATTTTTTCTACAATGCCCTGATTGGCCGCATTGAAAGCATTTGCCAGAGAATCGTCCAGGCATTCTAATAGTGGCCATGGCTTGTGCCAGGACCATTGCTGTATGTAGAGTTCCCCCACGCCTTCACAGGCTTTAATGTAGAAGAGTATATCACCTCCTGGTGGAATTTTGCCTTTAATGGGGCGAATAGCCACTTGGCAGTCTGCATTTGTTTGTTCATAAGCCTTAAGTTCTACAACAAGTCGTTGGCCGTGGCTATCAGGGATGGTTTTCTCTGTCGCATCTTGAAGATGGGCAATAAAGTCTGGATAGGGTTCCTGCTGTCCCTGTGTAACAGCCGTAAAAGATGGACATATTTTACCATCATTCTGAATGTTATCCCAAGCATCTAGGCAACATTTTCATAATTGTTCAATAACCTCATCATTTAGTATAGCTTGGTTTCGAATTCCATCCCATAGTCCCATTCCCAGTAACTGGTCAGCCGTAACATTAACAGGAGGATTAGAGACCTGATTAAGATGAATGCATTCCTGGACAGCATTAACCCACCAAGTCCTGAATTGTAAATATTGGGATTTAAATAAGACTGACTTTGCTAGAATTTTCCAGTCATAGGGCACCAAACGTTTACCTTCTGCTAGGGCCTTTAATGTGGAATGAACAAACGGGGAGTTGGTGCCGTACTGCTTCACTGATGCTTTGAAATCTTTGAGGAATTTAAAAGAAAAACTTTCCCAAGTAGCAGGGCGTAGCCAAACCTGGCCTGGATGAATAGGATCTGGTTGGACTGCTGCCTGGATGTATACCTGGAACTGGCTGTGCCACAGCAGCAGGCAGTTGTGGGGGCTGATTATTTGCCTGAGGAGCCTGATTCTCGGGCTGAGGGACCTGATTCTCAGGCTGTAGATCTTGAGGAGCCGCGGGGTCAGCCTCCTGCTGAGCAGGGTCAGCGGGCTGTGGCTGATTTTGTGCTGCAGGGACGGCAGGTATAGGAGGTTGTAAAATTACAGGAAATTGCCAGGCCTCAGGAGCCCCATATTCTCTGGCCTGAGTGATGGCTCTCATAAGAGGAGTATCATCTTGAGGGATGTATGTAACTTGTTGCTTATGAGCGGCAGTAGTGACCAGACCAGAAGGAGAAACGAAGTTAGGATTTTGAACGGAGGAAGAATTGAGAACCTGTAAGCCAGGTTGAGGTGAGATTACCTGCTGGGCAGGTCCTTCAGGGGCCTGAGGTCCAGGCTGCAGTGGTAACTGCGGGACAGGCTTCAAGGGACCCTGAGGCTTCAAGGGAGCCTGATTTGCTGAAGGAGAAACAAAAGTGAGAGATGGATAATCAGGCTGCAGAGGGACAGGTTTGAGGGCCTCATTGCCAGGCCGAATAGATGGAAAGTTGAGGGCCCTGCAGCAGGGCTGAACAGGGACAGAGTTGAGAGCCTCATTACCGGGCTGAACAGGTGGAAGTTTGAGGGCCCTACAGCAGGGCTGAACAGGGACAGAATTGAGAGCCTCATTACCGGGCTCCATAGAAAGGTAGTTTAGAGCCATTTTCGGGCTGCGCAGATGGAAGGTCGGGGGCCCTACAGCAGGTCTGAGGAAAGACAGGAGGGTCCAGTTACAACAGCTGTTGAGAATGTATTTCGGTTGGATTTCTCTGGTTTGGGGAAATGAGATTATTTAAATCATGTAAAAGTTCATCATAAAGTGATAATGGGGGCGCGGTAGGCTCTGGTGTAGGTGGCAGGGTCAAAGGAATGTCAGAATGGAGGTTCATCTGTAAAATGACGGCCTCAATCTGTGCAGTTTCCTCAGGGGAAAGAGAACTGAGGACTTCCTCAACCTCCTCAGAGGACAGGAAACAGGGGTCAGTCTCCATGTTGTTCTCCTGAGTCTGCAAGGACTCTAGAACAGAGTGAACCAAAGCCCAGATTGACCAAATGGTGGGAGGAATATTTCCCCCTTTATGAGCAATTTTGAATTGTTGGCCAATCTCATCCCAATCTTTGAGTTCTAAAGTTCCGTCAGTAGGAAACCAAGGGCAGAGGAGATCTATGACCTCAAACACTGCAATTAACTTATCAGTAGAGACTTTTACACCTCCTTCTTTAAGGAGAGTTTTTATAAAGTTTAAATAAGCCGAGTACTTAGTACTGGCCTGTCCCATGGTGTCCGGGGATACTCTGAGTGCCCAAGCCTACCACCAAGCGTATTGACTGCAGTTCTCAGGAATCTGTCATTGATGCTCTCCACTGTGTTCCATGCTCGAAGCGCGCCTTCACATAATGAAAGAGAAATCCTCGTTGGGCGCCAGATGTAGTGTCCAGCCCTACAGGGCTTGTGGGTTTTCTCTTCATGTGCAGAGACAAGAGATTGTAGAAATAAAGACACAAGACAAAGAGATAGAAGAAAAAACAGCTGGGCCCGGGGGACAACTACCACCAAGATGCGGAGACTGGTAGTAGCCCTGAATGCTTGGCCATGCTGCTATTTATTGTATATATGGCAAGGGGGCAGGGCAAGAAGTGTGAGTCATCTCCAGTGATTGATAAGGTCACACGAGTCACGTGTCCACCATACAGGGGGCCTTTCCCTTTATGGCAGCCGAGGCAGAGAGAGAGAGGACAGCATACATCATACGTCATCATTTCTTCTAAGCACTTAACAGAAAGATCAAAGACTTTAATACTTTCACTAATTCTGCTACTGTTATCTAGAAGGAGGAGCCAGAGGTACAGAGCGGAACATGAAAGTGGACCAGGAGCGTGACTGCTGAAGCACAGCATCACTGGGAGACGTTCAAGCTTCTGAATGGCTGTGTGTGGGCCTGGCTAATGTCAGGACTCCCACAAGAAGTGGTGGAGCAGAGTGTTCTCTAATTCCTCCAGGGAAAAGGAGATTCCCTTTCCCGCTTAAGTAACAGGTGCCTTCCCAGGCACTGGCGTTACCACTAGACCAAGGAGTCCTCTAGTTGCGCTTATCTGGGCGTGACAGAGGGCTCACACTCTTACCTTCTGGTCACTTCTCATCGTGTCCCTTCAGCTCCTAACTCCGTATGGCCTGGTTATTCCTAGGTTATAATTCTAGAATAGGGATTATTATAATAACAGAACAAAGAGTAATTCTACAAACTAATGATTAATAATATTCATATATAATCATATCTATATTCTATTTCTAGTATAACTATTCTTATTCTTATTATTTTCTTTATTATACTGGAACAGCTTGTGCCTTCAGTCTCTTGCCTCGGCACCTGGGTGTCTTGCTGCCCACACCTTTCTATACCAAAGTGCTGTCATCGTTTCTTCTTTTTCTTTGGAGGAAAGATTGAATCTATATGCCCTGGAGAGAGAGAGAGACAGAGAGAGAGAGAGAGAGAGAGAGAGAGAGAGAGAGAGAGAGTGTGTGTGTGTGTATGTATCTGAGAGAGAGAGAGTGAAAGAACATATCATGTGTAAATTAACCTTTGAGAACTGACAGGACAGGGCTGGCTTTCCAGTTAATAAGAACACAGATACCTGCTTCCTTGGTGTGATTTCAGGGTTGGACCAAATGACCATTGCCCTTTAGAGATGCCTCCCTAATTCTCCTTAAGCACATTTCCCAGTGAGTGTGGGGGGAACAGCACTCTATCATGCTAATAGGTATTGAGCACCTAGTGGTAGTGGCAAAAGAAGTCAGGAGAATGTTGAGCTAGAAAAGCTCCATGAAAAGATCTTGGTTGCAGTGCTCTTTGGAGCTATTAGTAGATTAATGTGCACTGTGAATGTACTTGGCCATGTTTTCTAAGTTAGTTAATCAGGGAAACTGCGTGCTGTAGAGCGTGTCTCCACCTTCCAGACTCATATCCCGGAAGACACTTTGTGAAATGCCTTTTTTGGGGATGCTCTTTGGAAATGTCAGGCCACAGGAGACAGAGCATGGAGCAGGAGGGGGTGGGAGGTCCCACAGCACAGAGGTGTTGGTCCCTGTTGCAGCCTAACACCAGAGAGGAGGTAATAATTCGGTAGGGTTGCTTGCCCAGAAGCAGGGATGAATTTCCACCCTGAGACCACCAGCGAGTAACCAAGAGAGGAAAAGAGACACGGCATTGTTTATCACAAACTAAAACATAATTTAAAAACCAAAATCTGCCTTTTTCAAAGTGCTCCCTTCCTCCCTAAAATGAGAATATATTTATCTATCAGTTCTAAAGTCCCCTCCTCATCTCCGAAGGACAAGCCCCGGGGTCTTAAACCGCTTCTCTGCTGCAGCTCAGGCTAGTGGTAAAGCCATCTCACTGCAGTGCAGTGATACATTATCACAAGAGTTTTTCCCTCCCTGGGGTTGAAGCCAAAGGCCAGTGCTTATTTCCAGAGCTGTCCTAGGGCCTGCGCCGTCTGCTGCCTGCAGCATTCCTCCCAGCAGATGGCCACTGGCATGAACAGCACAGACCATGGCATCTGCTGACATTTTTAGAATAAGGCCACTGTGCTGGCACTTACATGTGTCAGCATAGGCACCCTCAGCTGAAATTGTGGTGCTCAGGGGTTCAATTTATAGGACATGCCTAAGGTCAGTGCTGGAGCCCAGTGGTCTCTTGTGTGTTGTGTTCTTCTCTGACTTCAGGGCTCTTCACCACCCCACTGTATTTGGAGCAGCCCCCCGCAGGCCACTGGGCTACTGGGCAGTCTGTGTCCTTCCCATCTCCCAGCTGACCCAGGGAGCCTTGGCCCAGCCAACTTAATTGTTTCCTCCAAACCTAACTTGGCTTGGCAAGAGCAGAGGGGACCCAGGGGAGGCTAGGATGGAAGATTGTGAGGAGAGTCCCTTAGTGCTTGACACCAGAGAGGGTGGTAATGAAGATGGATACAGACACGAGGGTGTGTCCACTGCAGGACCACTGCCTCACATGGATTTTTAAGTGGTTATTTGGAGTAAGGTTCAGTATGTGCGGTGGTGTGTGCGTTTTGTGTGTGTGTGCTTGCGTGGTGTGTGTGTATGGCATAGTATGTGTATGCGCAGTGTATGTATGTGTGTGGTGTGTGAAGGTGTATGTGGTATGTGTTTGGTATGTGTATATGTGTACTGTGTGGTGCATGCATGTTCTGTGTATTTGTGTGCATGTGTATGTATGTGTGCCCGTCTCTGCATATGTGTATGTATATGTGTGCATGTGGGTACAGGTGTATGTACATGCATGCACATGTGTGCACATGTGTGAATGCATGTGTACATTTGTGCATGTGCTTATGTGTGTGGATGCATGTGTTCATGTAAATGCATGCATTTGTGCCCATGCACATGTGTATGTACATGTGTGCATATACATGTATGCACTGACATATATGCATGTGTGCATATGTACACGTGTGCATGCCTTCTGTGCATGTGTGAATGCATGTGTGCATGTGGATGTATATGTGTGCATGTCTGCGCATGTGTGTAACCTCCTTAGAACAGGCAGAAATTGGGGCTCTGGAATCCTTTCTTTGCCTACCGCAGTTCCTTTTAGGCTGTCTTCATAGAGAAAGGGATAGCTCAAAACCCACAGCCCTGCTTTGGCCTGATGGGGGATTTCTGGGTCTCCTCAGTCTGTCTTTTATTAGGCAGGCCATGGGCTGTCAGGCCCTGGCTGGGTAGATGCTCTGCTCATGAATAAAAGATAGAGGCAGGGCAGGACAGGGCCCTCCCTGATGGGCCTCCCCGCCGTTCTGTGTGGTGGAATCTCACAGTCAACTTTGACCTGTGCACATCCACTTTTTTTTTTGAGATAGGATCTTGCTCTGTCACCCAGCTGGGAGTGCAGTGGTGCCATCACAGCTCATTTCAGCCTCGACCTCCCAGGCTCAAGCAATCTTCCTGCCCCAGCCTCCCAAGTAGCTGGGACTACAGGTGCATACCACCACACCCGGCTAATGTTTTGATTTCTGCAGAGCTAAAGTCTTACTATGTTGTCCAGGCTGGTCTCAAACTCTGGGCTCAAGAGATCCTCCTGCCTTGGGCTCCCAAACTGCTGGGATTACAGGCATGAGCCACTGCACCCGGCCAACACATTCACTTTTTTGGGACATGGCAGGGACTTAATGTTTTAGAAAACATTTAGCTACCCCTTTGACAATGCTGCTTGACACTATTTGACAGTGTGACTTACCACATCCTAATAACTTCCATGAAAATCATCACAAAGCAAATTTTAAATTTTTATTAAAAATCACAGTTTTTAAAAATGTCCAGTGACACAATGTAGCTCTTCTGAAATGAATGGAAAACACAACACACTGCTAACCAGTGGAGGGAGCTCTCTGCAGGGCTGGGAGACCTGACAATGCAGCTGTAGCCTCTGCAAGTGAAAATCCAGGCCGACTTGCAGTCATTGGACTGATGTCCAAGTGCAATCACCATACAGCAGCTACAGGCAGGGCTGGCTGATAGGGAGTATGGGAGAAGGACACGCTCAGATGAAAACATGCATGCAACGATTTTCACCACTGAACACACTGTTTTCTGTGATAGAAACTGTCGGCCCTGCTGGGGGACAAGATATTCACGGCCTCACTAGCCAGTGTGATGCCACCAGGGCAGCCTGCCCCTGATGCTCCTTTGTTACCTGCTAAAGAAGGACCATAAGGTAAAAGGCACCTTACCTTATGGAGTGAGCCCAGACCCCAGGGAAAAGCTTGGGTAGAACAATCCAAGGGGCAGCCTGGGTATGAGAATCCAGCCCAAGCTAGCTGCTCTAGAAGCCTGGAGGCCTTTCCCAGCTTCCCAAATGTAGCCCTTTTCACATGACCAATCCTTCAATTAGGTTACCTTTCTCTATTTGCCCTCCTTGGTGGCTACAGGGGAAAGGATAATTATTCCTGACCACAAGACACATTTTCACTAGAAAAGACTTCCTCGTGCTGGCCACAGTGGGAATTCTGCACACAGGTGCCTGCTCCACCAAGCAGAGAGGCTCAGGAGATTGTCCAGGGACAAGGAGACCTGGCCGGACCTCTGCAGGGAGGTGAGGCCCCTGCCCCCATCTTGTCCCATCACATTCTGGATGTTTGGCATCCCCAGGCTCCTGGGAGGGGAGAAGTGCTGATAAAAAGGCCAAAAATCACACAGAAAGAAGACAGAAAACTCCACGCACTTCCTACATAGGTGCTACCGTATTCCTACGAGCACGGGGCCTGTGTTGAAGACTCCCTCTGGAAGTTACAGAAGGAAGCCACCAAGAGTTCAGCCTCACAGCCTCTTTCTCAGATGCAGTCACCACTTTACCAAACTTGGCACATCCAACCACTCCTTTCATAATTTTACACCTGTTTGTGGCCTGGCTGACAGATATTTTGTCATTGATCTTTCTAATTTCAGGGATTCTAAATGTGTTTTGAGAATCTGCTCAGCACTCAGGGATTCTGTCTTTAAAAATATGATTAAACCACCAGATAGTGTGATTTCAGAAAGTGTGCGTGGCTACCAAAAACTTCTAAACACAAGTTATATGAGTGACTCCTGTCTTCTGTGGCTGAGCTTGGGTACTGATTGTCTTTCTCCATGCCTTGCATCCCCTGTTAGAGGAGGGCCTGCTGTCCATGGCTGTCCATGCACTTTAAAATGTCTCAGGTTTAGCTGAAGACCAGATGGGTCCAAGTTTATTTATATCTGCTGGCATAAGAATGATGGCTAAATTACCTCTTTAAGTTGTTTTTTTGTTTGTTTGTTTTGACAGAGTCTCGCTGTGATGCCCAAGCTGGAGTGCAGTGGCATGATCTTGGCTCACTGCGACCTCCGTTTCCTGGGTTCAAGCGATTCTCCTGCCTCAGCCTCCCGAGTAGCTGGGACTACAGACACATGCCACCATGCCCGGCTAATTTTTGTATTTTTAGTAGAGATGGGGTTTTACCATATTGGCCAGGCTAGTCTCAAACTCCTTACCTCAAGTGATCCACCCGCCTCGGCCTCCTAAAGTGCTGAGATGTCTCTTTAACTTTCAAGAGGTACAGCAAAACTGAAATCAATGGGTGATGACTTCTTAAAGATCAAACATGAAGATGAGGATTAGTTAAGACCAGAAAATCATTCTCCGATCTTGTATCTTCAACTCAAATTCACACTCCAAAAGGCCTGTTTGTGGTGAGGCTCAGGGTCTTTGGCTTGTTCTGAATTAATACTTTCTTTGGAAACTCTTTAGATGGCTTTGATCCCTGTGCTGCCCCCCATTGCAGACACAGAAAGCGACAGGGGATTCTGGCGGCACCCTCTCTGTGGAGGAGAGGAAGGTGTGGACCACGTTCAGAGGAAGGCAGCCTGAAGCTGTCCTCAGTGAGATGCTGGGGGATGGGCCTCTTGCCCCTGCTGTGCAGCCTCCATGCAGGGCTTTATTTACCAGTCACCAGGTCTTCAAGACAGTCTGCAGGAGAGAGGATTTCAGGGGGAAAGTAAGCCAAGCCAATTCATTCTCATGGTCCCCTTTTATCACAAACATGTAAGTCTTCCATCTCATAACAGAGACAGCAAAAGCAGTATCCAGGCCTTTTTTTTTTTTCTTTCTTTCTTTCCTTAACTGGCTACATGCTTAGAAACTGCACTGGTCAAACTTGATTTTCTTTTTAAAGCCTCAAAACATTTTTATTGTCAGGAAAGCTTTTCAGTGGCCAGGGATCAGTCTCATGGCCGTAGAAGCAGCCAAATTCCTCTGCCTTTGCCTTCCCTTCAGGAGTCACATGCTAAGGCATCCTTGGGCATTTGGAAAAGGCCGCTTGGGGTGAGAGTGCTCTAGGCCACTCTGCAATGTCCCTGGGCCCGATGAGTAACAAATGCACCCCGGGACCCAGAGAAGTGGAAAGACATGAAAGGGATTTGGAAACAGATCGTAAAAATAACCTGTATGAAAATCACACAGACAAGAAAACAAACAAATCCAGCTAGCCCCTTGGATCCTGCCATCCGTCTTTTCTCCCGGGACTGCCTTTGCTTTGTGGAGGGTGAGTCCTGGGACAGGCTTTGGGTGACAAGTTGTGGGCATGTTCCATCCAAGCCTGGCTCTCCCGACTGGCAGAGGGAGGTGGCTGACAATCAATTCCTCTGGATACATTTTCCTGTGATTGCTCCTGTGATCAAAGGCAGCCACCGACAGGTGCGGGAGCGGTTAGTTCACCACGTCATAGTAGTAATTGCGCAGCCGCAGTTCCACTGCTGCGAATCCGGGCCTGTTTTCCACACTGGAATGGAAGAGATGCATTCTTGTTTGTCAATGTGCTTGTGAAAAATTGCTGATCACAAGCAGGGCCTCTGCAGGCTGAGTACCAGTGGTGCTGCTCCCTGGTGGCTAACTCTAGGGCCTGCAGCTCACAGCGTGGTCCCTGTGCCCCCCACCCCAGGGTGACCACAAGGCTGTCAAAAATAGTGTCGGCCTACTGTAGACCTAAATAACCCATATCTGCACTTTAACAAGACCTCCCGGTGATTCATGTCCACCCTAAAGTAGGAGACTTTTTGCATTAGAACTGGGAGTGTTTTAGCCCCAGGTTCAGATATGCGGCACACAATATGCTTCTGTGCCACAGGCAACACGAAGAGGCTGTCACTCTGTGATTTTAGCAAAACAGGTGTCTGAAAATACTTGGCAAATGTTCTGCAGATATAGTCAACATCTGACTCATAATCTTGTTAAGAGAAGAAATACGAACATAACTTTAATTCTCCCTTTCCACGCTCTAATCGATGGCTCTGGATTTTCTGAAAATGGGCTGTTGATATGGGTTCTTAGGAAAGCTCAAAACATGTCATGGCAGGAGCAAAGACCCAGGGCTTGTCTATGATCCACCTTAATATAGCCAGTCCTTACTGCCACTGCTGGCCAGGGAGGCACTAATGTCAGTAAACTATGGGCAAAAGCATTAACAGTTCGCAGTCTCTAAACAAACACTTACAGACACTTCTGTTTTGTCTTACACAGACATCCTGTACAGATCAGTTGGAAGTAAGTACTAAAACCCTGATAATCGATCCTCACTTAGAAGTTATTTTTCTTATTTTGCAAGATTTCTGGATATATTGCAAGTGGGTGAAGTTGAAATACAATAAGTGAAAAAGTGAAACAGAATGTGAGGTTAAATTGTAGGAAACCGTCCACATTCAGCCATTTTGACCTATATCAATGGCAATTTCATATGATTCAATGTCGACACAAGAGAACAGCCATAGAACGCGCATCAGGACCAAGACTCACTCATCATTATAAGAGCAGAGTGGCTTCTACAAATCAAAATGGGTAGCTTTGTCAAATGGCATCAAAATACATGGTTTCTCTTATAGCTTTCAATAGTGAGCAAAATGATAAAACTGCTCGAATTGATCAGTGTGGTCAGCCATCTGTGGTCATGTCTGGGGACACGGGCCTCCCAGGGTGTCACTGAGAGGGGCTTTGTCTCTGGCCACCAAGTGTGTTCCGAGAGGGGATATGGTGGCCAAGCCTCTGGTACAGGAGCATGTGTCCACCCAGAGGGACAGCCTCTGTCTTGCTCCTAAACTTCTACAGTCAAAGAGAACACACTTCAGCATCTTTGCAAAACAGGGGGCTCTGCTCCAACTGTGGGGATCCAAATGGTACAAAGAGCACCTTTGGATCTTGCTCTGGGGGTTCATCTGCCCAGCAGCCAAGGAGCAAACAAATGCAGGGAAACAGGAATACAGACTCGTCCTCAGGAAAAACACCTGGTCAGGTCTCCTAGGAAATCTCTCCTGTACATCCATGGGAGATGCTGCCTCCAGGAAGCTGGGACACAGCTGTGCTTCAGCAGCAGGAGGGTGATGCAGTGCCCTTGCGTGCCCAGCTTCCTGGCCTGCCCTGGCCTGCCACTCTGCTTTCGGGCCAGAGTGCAGATTCTGCTCTGCTCCTTGTACCCAGTGACCCTCCTCCTCTCCCCTCATCCCTGCACTCAACCTTGCTTCTTAGCCTGCAGGTCTCAGCTGCAATCCCTAAAGGCGGCCTATCTGGAGCCCCTGCTGGAAGTGTGAGGCTTCCCTCCCCATAATTTTCTGTTCTCTTTTAAAGTTTCCAGTGTGTGATTTTATATAAAGAGATATATGGTCTTTATCCTGGGTTCCTGGCACAGAGCTCCTAAAACCCTTGGAATTTCCTGATTGTTGGGCTGAAAGCAGCATCTTTTGTTACTCATAATAAACCCCCTTCAACCATACCTGGGTTTGTGCTAATGAGACTATTTCTCTCCCTCCCTCCCTCCTTCTCTCCCTTCATCTACCTCCCTCCCGCTCTCTCTGTCTGTCTCTATATATCACCTTGGAGAGAGTGGCTGTTTACTACTGAGGAAAAAATGAAAAAACAAAGCAAAACAAAACAAAACAGAGAATATACTAGGACCACCTGTAGTCCCTTCATTGAATCCACCACATTCTAGAAGCTCCAATGTGCTTCTGTGCTGCAGGCAACTGTGAGAAACTACTTCGACACGAGAGGGCTTAAAAAACCCCATATATACACGTGATATCCTCCAGGCCCCTGTGCCCTCCTTGCTTAGAATTCCCACTGGAGTCATCCCTTTCCTAAGACACATCATAGGACACACTTATTTTTAGCTTATTGTTTATTGCCTGTCTGCCCCAGCCCCAACTATAAGGTCTGATAGGGACAGGGTCTGAGGCTTCTGTGAGGCTTGCACCTGGGGTGGCAGCCTGCATAGCAGGAGCTCCGGCAGTGGCCACCGACCCTGTGAATGACCCAGGGCTCTCAGAGGATGTGCCGCTCAGAGGAAAGCCTTGGAGCTGAGGTTGTGCAGGGAGCCAGGGGACATCTCACCAAGGTCCTGGGAATTCATGTTTTATCTTGGGCTTGTTGATCTTTAAACAGGAATTTGAGCCGCATCTAGAGCCTCCCTGACTCTCAGAGAACCTGGAGAGCCCAGGAAATTTCTCCATTCGGCAGAGGCCCCCACTGGAGGGCTGGGACTATTAGGAAACCGTTTTTCAGGATCAAGAGCACCAACTTCTCTCCATTTGCAAGGGCTTTCCCCACTGGTGTCTTTAATCACCCCAAGCATGACTTGGCTCTGGAAAACACTACAGTGGAAGGCTTCCTGACTGATTCCTGCTTTTCTTAGGGCCAGTGTTTCCTTCCTGGCTTTCACGCTGCCTCCTTGAGTGACCTGCACAGGGCAGGACTCTGATGTTGTGTTTCCTCTTTGGAAAGTGAGAGGGGGAAGGAGTGAAGCATGGGCCATCCCAAAATATGCCAGATTGGGATATTGATTATTTTGAGTTGAAAATATTGGATACATTGTAGTTTCGGATAGGACTAACTGACCTGTCTCTTCATGCCTGCAGCAAGCCATAAAGATTCCTCTGGGAAGGAGACCCTTCCTGTAGCAGGATGAGAAAATGCCCCTTATCATCAGAGACTGGGCATTGGAGCTGCAATGGGCCTGAGTAAACATATTTAACACAGTATCCCTTATCTTCCACTGGTTTTACACCCTCCTCATATCTCCTAGCGCCTTCTCTAGAAAATTTACTCCTTCTAGCCAGATTTTATTTGTCCTGTCATTTCTCCTTAAATGTATGGTTCTTTGTCTAAAGATTATAAAAGCATGTTGTTTTGGCCACTTCTTTAGACTTCACTGTCTTGTGAGGATCCCCATAAACATGTAAAACTAGTAAAATTGGTAAGCTTTTCTTTTGTTAATCTGGCCTGGTATCAATTTGGTTTCTAGGTCCAGCTGAAGAGTCCATTAAGACTAAAAAGGGGTTGGAGGTAATCTCTGGCTGTCTTACAAGGGTGAGGGATGCTGTCTGCCTTCTCAGGGCTTTGTCATTGAGGCTGGGAAGTCCCTTTGAATTCCCTCCAGGACCACACCCTGGAACTGATGACAATGCCTGCAGTGAGGGACCCCCTGCATCTTCTGGAGGGCCTCAAGCAATAGCCTGGGTTACCAGGACCAGCCCTTGGCGCTTCTGAGTTCTCCTTGTGGCCCTGCTCCAAGGAATCTTTTCCTTTTTTTTCATTCAACTGCACCTCATTGAATTTCTTATGTTTAGACAAAGTGATTCAGAGCTAGAAAGAAATTATTTAGGCAGATAGTGAGGGTAACAGAGTCCTCTGTAAGGTTTCCTTGCAATAAAAAGCAGCTCCTAAATCATGTCTTTTATAACAAAAAGCAGCCTGAAAAATCAAGCTGCAAGCATAGCTAAGCAAGCTAAAAGCTCACATAGGTAAATGCCGGCAGCTGTGTCAATAGAAAAGGGATCCCTGGAGCCAGGGATATTCAACATGGAGGTTCCCTCTTCCACTTTCCTTGTTGCCACGTGTGCAGTAAAAAAGCAGGCAACAAGGCTGAGGCGGGCGGATCATGAGGTCAGGAGATCGAGACCATCCTGACTAACACGGTGAAACCCCGTCTCCACTAAAAAATACAAAAAAATTAGCTGGGCGTGGTGGCGGGCGCCTGTAGTCCCAGCTACTCGGGAGGCTGAGGCAGGAGTATGGTGTGAACCCGGGAGACAGAGCTTGCAGTGAGCCCAGATCGCGCCACTGCACTCCAGCCTGGGCGACAGAGTGAGACTCCGTCTCAAAAAAAAAAAAAAAAAAAAAGCAGGCAACATGGCGTCGGCCAAGGAGAGACCTCATCTGCATAATAAAAGATTAGGGTGGGGCAGCCAGTTTCTTTTCGTGTTATGTAAATGGCCTGGCTGTCCAACCGATCTTTGGGCCCTATGTAATCAGACTCAAGCTCGTCTATAAAACCCTTGCATTTCCACACGGAGCCGGAAGAACCACTTGGGAGCCCTTGTCTCTCTGCAGGAAAGAGAGCTTTTCTCTTTTCTGTTGCCTATTAAACCTCTGCTCTTAAACTCACTTCTTGTGTGTCTGCATCTTTGATTTCCTTGGCGTGAGGCAACGAGCTCAGGTATTACCCCAGACAAACACAGCTGCTTCAAAAGTTTCAGAACATCTCCCCACCTCCCCCAACCCTGTTTGAGGTCACTACTAGAAACACTGTAACCTTCAGAAATATAGCTTTGTTGGGAAATAAATCAAAGTCTGATAAAGAGCTGTGATTTCTAATATGGGGCATGGGCCATTGTCATGATTTCCTTTTGACTGGGGCTTGTGCCCTGGAGCTGACTCCTCCAAGCCTGCAGAACTCACTGAAATGCACCCCTGCAGAGCGGACTGGGGTGGGAACCAAGGGGAAAGACATTGCCTGCCTGTGAACCTCACTCAGGTTCCATCTTAAATCTCCAGGCGGGAAAATACGTTTAGAAAGAATACTCTCTTAAGGAGACTGTTCTACTGCTCTACTTTGCTGTAATTCTGGTGAACATCCAGTGAATATCACGTAGACTGCTTTCCCTCCCCGGTCTGCCCCTGGTGGACCACTCTGGAAATAACTGCCCACTGTTACGTGCGTCCATGGAGGACAGAGGTCGGCCCAGCAGCCCCTATCCTGATTCCTTGAGTCACAAGAATACACCACGAGCCCAAAGGGTATTCAGCAGCCTCACTGCACCCACCTGGGAGCCAAGTGGGAGGTGGTGCCCCTGGCTGCGCACCCTGCTCTCTTCCCACCCACCTTTCACTCCTCACTGTTAAACACACACCACAAAGAAGAATCGACAGAAGTACATAGATCAGCATCAACGTTAAATGCAAAAACTCCCCCACTGCGAGTTCATTTTTAATTCAAAGTTTTTGCATTTGTATCACAATGTTTTAAACTCTACCCTCCTCACCCTTCTACAAGAAGGGAAGCCTTGCAAAGGGAGCTGCAGGCTGGACCAAAGAACACTTTCAGTAAAGGGTCATAGGCTGCCACGTGCCCAAGGGCTGCCCTCCCCAGGGTCCAGTGCTGCCAGTGCCTACCTGCCAATGGTTCTTACGATTCTAGTTTAGGCACTGGGAGAATTAAGCCAAGACTTAGGAATAAACATCCTCTTAGATCCATGAGTAGCACTTCCCTCTTGCTGACACTTAGCTCTCCCTGTTGCACTAACACTTGGGGTTGGAGAAGATGCTCCGGGGCCCAGGCCAGGCTCCTCTCCTGAGCCACGGCAGCAGCAGGGGCAGGGAAGCATATACCCACAGTTTGCCTGCTGCCTTTGTGGCTGCCCCCTGGGTGGTTTCTAGATACAGAATGAGATTATTTCCCTGTCACTCACAATTGTGGTAGAGTGATACTCCCAGGGTGGGGAGGGGAGGTCTCGGAATCCCAGGTGGCATCTGCAGCATTTGGAATAGCCCTCATCTTTCAGAGGCTCTGGCAATGTCAGCTGTATCTGAAGGCAAACCTGATTCCGCAAAGCATCAAATCCATGGCCAGGATTTGTGATGTCCTCCTGATCACAAACCACATCGATTCTCAGCTGTGTGGGCTCTGTGTGCACAGTTCAGTACCAGGGAACTGGAGATGGCGGCTTGGGGTCACCGTGCTATGCACGCACAAGCAGGCTGCTGAGCCTGGCAAAACTGTACTCCTAATTTTCAGTGGCAATGCATTTTCCTTCCTTGCTGAGCTGCCCTGAACATCACCTAAGAATAATGCCAGGTGTACTTTAAAAGCATAACAGCACCTGGGATCCACTAAGCGAGACGTATGACGGCAGTCAGGGTGGACTGAGGCCACCACTTCAAGGATGAGGTAGATTCTAGGGAAGTGCAACCTTAGCCAATGTATCTGTGAGCTGGCCAGAGTCCGAGGTCACCCCTCACTGCTCATGGTAATCAGGGAGTCAGGAAAGTATACCATCCCCTACCGAGTGCTTCTGCCATCCTCTATGCCAAAAATGGCATCCAGCCCCAAACTCTTACAAACACTTTTTTACTTTGACTGCCCTTGCCCCATCTCTCCACCATTATCGACATTTAAATTTGGACACTCGGGTTAGAGTCCCCATCTAAACTTGCTCTTTAGGCTCTACTACATGTAAGTGCATGGGCCAGAAAGCAAGGTCTCTAAAGCAAGACCAGCCCCCACCGTTGTTTGTTTAGAAAGCGGGCACATTCCTGATTCATGAAAAGGTGAACTTTATCCTTTTTTTTAGACGCCCAACCATTTCACCTGTTTCCAGAGCATCTGAATACATCACAGTCAGTGTCAGGTACTCACTCGTATGTCCAGCACAGATTCATGAGATCGTACATCTCTCTTGGACACCCTGCAGGGCACCCCATCCGCTCTCCTTTCTCTAACATAGCGGTGACTTCACTTCCTTTCATCCCCTACAACATGCAAGATATGCATAAGCTTTTTTTTTTTTAAAGGTGTTAGTCAAACAAAACAAAACAGCCACTCCAAGACATGAAGGAGTACACATTGTATGATTTCAATTATACGAAGTATAAAAACAGGAGCACTTAATCTGTGATGTTGGAGTCAGTTGGGTCACCCCTGGGGAAGGCTGTGTGTGCAGAGGAAACAGGCTTCTGGGGTTCTGTTCTTCATCTGGGGGCTGATTTCATGGGTATGTTTCATTTGTGGAAAACCACTGTACTGCATGCTAAGAGTTGTGCCCTTTTTGGTATATATGTTTTAATTAAAAGATCTAAAAAATGTAATTAAGATACTGTAAATAGTCATTATTTCTATTTCAACTCTAATGAGTAATGATCTGGGTTATATTTTGTGTATATTTACATGTGTTGACACACAATGGGAAAAACACACTCTTCAGTGAGCATCAGATATTTCATTCTCAGTTTGGAATAGACTGAGGGCACATTAACTGCTTACTGGTAAAAGATAATGAGAGACTCAGATTAGGATTTTCAGGTTGTTGTAAAGACAATCTGGTGCTTATCTGTTCTAATGGCCCCACAGTGAGAAAATGAAGCAGGACTGGCTCACTCGATATGGCTTCTGCCCATAGGAGAATGCTTCCCACATCAACACTCCAAAGCTCCAGACATCGCTTTTGCTGGAGAACTTGTAGTAGTTGATGCATTCCGGAGCGTACCACTTGACAGGCCACTTTCCATGGGTCTGGGCCTAAAAGCAAAGCAGAGGGAGAAATTCCATTAAGAATAAAATTGTGGGCCGGGCACATTGGTTCATGCCTGTAATCCCAGCACTTTGGGAGGCTGAGGAGAGCAGATCACTTGAGATCGGGAGCTTGAGACCAGCCTGGCCAAGAGGAAACCCCATCTCTATTAAAAATACAAAAATTAGCCAGGTGTGGTGGCGGGTGCCTGTAATTCCAGCTACTTGGGAGGCTGAGGCAGGAGAATTGCTTGAACCCAGAAGGCAGAGGTTGCAGTGATCTCAGATCACACCACTGCACTGCAGCCTGGGTGACACAACGAGAGACTCCATCTCAAAAAAAAAAAAAAAAGAAAGAAAGAAAAGCATAAAATTGTGTACATTCATGTTCATAGCAGCATTATTCCCAATAGCTAAAACATGAAAGCAACCCAAGTGTCCTTCAGCAGATGAGTGGATAAACAAAACACCCTCTATATAGACAATGGAATAGCATTCAGCCTTCAAAAGGAAGGGAATTCACTACAATATGCATGAGCCTAGAGGACATTATGCTGAGTGAAATTGAGACAGGAGAATAGGGCCTGGAGGCAGGGAACCTAAGGACTTCCTAGAACTAAATCAAATGGAAACACTTCAGCTATGACAGGAAATATCCTCTTCATTTACACAGGGTGTACACTCAGTAAATGACTTTGTAACATTACTTCATCCTCCTCATTTACATAGGGTGTACACCAAGTAAATAACTTTGTAACTTCACTTTAGCCTCTTCATTTACATAGGGTGTACCCTAAGTAACCAGTGAACACCTCTAGAGGTGTATATATATATATACACACCACATTTTCTTTATCCATTCATCCATCCATGGACAGTTAGGTTGATTCCACATCTTTGCTATTGTGAATAGTTCTATGATAAGCACGTTGAGTGTATGTGTCCCTTTGATACAAGTTTATTTGCCTCTGGATAAATACCCAATAGTAGACTTGCTGGATCATATGGTAATTCTATGTGTAGTTAGTTTTTTTTTCTTCTTTTTGTTTTTGAGATGGAGTCTCACTCTATCGCCCAGGCTGGAGTGTGCAGTAGTGTGATTTCAGCTCACTGCAAGCTCCGCCTCCTGGGTTCATGCCATTCTTCTGCCTCAGCCTCCCAGGTAGCTGGGATGACAGGCACCTGTCACCAGGCCTGGCCAATTTTTTGTATTTTTAGTAGAGACAGGGTTTCACCGTGTTAGCCAGGATGGTCTTGATCTCCTGACCTTGTGATCTGCCTGCCTCGGGCTTCCAAAACTGCTGGGATTACAGGTGTGAGCCACCGTGCCCAGCCTGTTTTTGTTTTGAGAAGTCTCTCTAATATTTTCCGTAGTGACTATACTAATTTACATTCCCACAAACAGTGTATAAGAGTTCCTTTTTTTCCTGCATCTGCAAAGCATTTTTTTAAAAAAAGTCTTTTTAATAACAGCCATTCTAGCCGGGGTAAGATGGTATCTCATTGTGTTTGTAATTTGCATTTCCCTGCTGTTTGGTGATATTGAGCATTTTTTCATATACCTGTTGGCCATTTGTATATCTTCTTTTGAGAAATGTCTATCTATGTTCTTAGCCCACTATTTAACAGGATTATTTGTATGTTTGGTTTACCAGTGAGTTTTATACTTTTGTGTGTTTTTATGATGGTAAATATTGTCCTTTTACTTCCACGTTTAAGATTCCTTTGAGTATTTCTTCTAGGATCAGTCTAGTGGTGATGAATTCCCTCAGTGTTTGCTTACCTGGGAAAGGCTTTATTTTTCTTTTATTTATGAAGAATAGTTTTGCTGGACATGGTCTCCTTGGGTGGCAGTATTTTTCTTTCAGCACTTTGAAAATGTCATCCCCTTCTCTCCTGGCCTGTAAGGTGTCTGCTGAGAAATCCACTGTTAGTCTAATGGTGGTTCCTTTATGGGTAATTAGAAGATTTTCTTTTGCTCTTTTTAGTATATTTGCTTTTGCTTTGACTTTAAGTGGTTTGATTATAACGTGCTGTGGAGAAGATGATTTTGCATTGTATCTGTTTGGGGACCTTTGGGCCTCCTGCATCTGGATGTCTAGGTTTGTTGTTATATTTGGGAAGTTTTGATCTAATATTTCATTAAATAGGATTTCTAATCTTTCATTCTCTCTTCACCCTTGGGGACACTGATGATTTGAATATTCAGTTGCTTTACACTGCCCCATATATCATGAAGGGTTTGCTCATTCTTTTTTATTCTTTTCTCTTTATTTTTGTCTGAATAGGTTGTTTCAAAAGACCTGTCTTCAAGTTCTGAGATTCTTTCTTTTGCCTGATCTAGTCTATTGGTGGAGTTTGGGATGTATTTTTTATTGCATTCAATGAATCTTTAGTTCCAGAATTTCTGTTTGGTTCTTTTAAAAATATCTATTTCTTTGATAAATTTCTCATTCATATCCTGAACTGTTTTTCTGAATTCTCTCTATTGTTTTTCAGAATTCTCTTATATCTTATTTAGCTTCTTTAAAATCAATATTTTGAATTGTTCATCTGGGGTTTTGTGAATTTCTTTTTGATTGGGATTTTTTTGCTGGAGAATTGTGTGTTCCTTTGGAGGTATCATATTTCCTTGCTTTTTCATGTTTCCTGTGTTCTTACATTGATATCTGCCCATGTGGTACAACAGTCATTTCTTCCAGTTTTTTGAAATTGCTTTTGTAGAGGAGGTCTTTTTCCTGAAAATATATATATGTTGTTGGGTATATATATGTTGGGTATATATATATATACACATATATGTGTGTATATATATACACATATGTGCATATGTATATATATGTATATATACACATATGTGCATATGTATATATATGTATATATGTATATATGTATATACACACATATGTGTGTATATGTATATACACACATATGTGTATATGTGTATGTACACATATGTGTATATGTGCATGTACACATGTGTATATGTGCATGTACACATATGTGTATATGTGTATATGTACATGTACACATATGTGTATATGTGTATATGTACATGTACACATATGTGTATATGTGTATATATGTACATGTACACATATGTGTATATGTGTATATATGTACATGTACACATATGTGTATATGTGTATATATGTACATGTACACATATGTGTATGTGTATGTATGTACATGTACACATATGTGTATGTGTATGTATGTACATGTACACATATGTGTATGTGTATGTATGTACATGTACACATATGTGTATGTGTGTGTATGTATATGTACACACATATGTGTATGTGTATGTATATGTACACACATATGTGTATATGTATGTATATATACACATATGTGTATGTATGCATATATACACGTATGTGTGTATGTATGTATACACGTATGTGTATGTGTGTATATATACACGTATGTGTATGTGTATATGTGTGTATATATACACGTATGTGTATATGTGTGTATATATACACGTATGTGTATGTGTATGTGTATATATACACGTATGTGTATGTGTATATGCGTGTATATATACACGTATGTGTATGTGTGTATATATACACGTATGTGTATGTGTGTATATATACACACACACATATATATATGTAGGGCACTTTGGGTTTGATTTGGGGTGAATGCAGTATTTAATCTATGTATAATTTCTATGGCCATAAACAGCCTCAGTGACACCTGTGATTTTCTCAGTGCCTTAGGGTATGGTTATTAGTGGAGGCTGTTGTGAAGGTGTACTGTGAATAGGATGCTAGGTGGGCCAGTCTTCAGACCCCAGTGGTGACAGCAGTGAGCTGAGTATGCCTGTCCTTGGGCCCTAGGGCGGTATACACTAGCACTGGTGTTAGTAGGTCTAAGAAGGCTGACCCTTGGGCTTTCAGGTAGATTGTGTGGATGCTGCAGTGGCTGGGCATGTGGGCAGGTTCTTGGGTTCCTGGGGAGTGGGTGTGATGTGGGTGATGGCAGTAATGGTGGTAGGGCAACTCACTGGAACCCAAGTGGTCCATGTTGGTGTTGGCGGTGGCTGCAACAGGATGTCATGCTCAAGTATTGGGGCATGTGACTAGGCCAATGGACTTGTGCTCAGGCTCCCTGGTGGTGCATTCAGCTGCTGGCTGTGATACGCAGGGAGGGGTGGTCTCTAGGTTGCCAGCAGTGGCTGCCCTGAAGGCCTACCACCAGAAAGGGTAGGGCCACTCTCAATAGGTGCAGAGTAGGCAGGTAGCTGTGGGATATGCAGTCTTCTTGAGCCTTGGTCCCACAGCAGCCCTCAGCAGTGGTGGTGGTATTTGTTTTTGTGGCATGTGAAAGTGCCTGGCCTCCCTTCTCCCTATGTGGCGGGGCAGTGGCAGCATCAGCCCTGGCCCAAGGAAGGACACAGACCTTTGGAGGCTTGGCTCTCAGAATGGCGCTGGCTATGGGCCTGCTCCTGGGGAGGCTGCGGACATTCTCAGGGGGAGCAGTGTAGGCAGGCAGCTATAGGGGGTGTGATTTGCTTGTGTCTCAGCCCCACAGCAGCCTGTAGCAGCAGGGGGATCTGTCCCTGGGGTGTGTGAAGGTGTCCATTCTCCCCTCTGTCCTTGGCCTGGTGATGGCAGCATCAGCAATAGTCCCAGGGCAAGATGCAGTCCTTTGGGGACTTGGTTCTCAGTATGGCACCAAGCTGCAGCTACTCAGAGCTTGGAAGCCTGTGGGACTCAGCGTGAGTTCCCTCTATGGAGCAATGCCTCTGTGTGATCCCTAGGCAGCTCCCTATGTTAGTCTTAAGGCCCACGTGGGTCGAGGGGTTCTTCTGTCGCTAGGATTGTAGAAGTCCTTGGCTGGAATGTGGAGCCCTGGGGATCTCTCATTTATGCTTTCCCCATATCTGGAAGCTTCTCCCAGCTCCCAGTCATTCCTGGCCAAGCAGGCTGCCTTGTTTCCCTGTGCTTTGCTTTTGGTGCTTCCTGTCGCTCCTTGGTTGCATCTGTGTTCTCTCTTAGACCATCTATTGGAAGTGTGAATATGTACTTGTTATTTTGGTCCGTCTCTACGGAGGAGCATATACTAGTTGCATTTAGTCGTCCATCTTGATCAGTTCTCCACCCAGGTCAATTATTTTAGCATGCACTACTTGCTAGCATCATTAAAAAATGATCTAAGCATTCTAATTTCCTAATTTTAAAAAGCAAGTGATAGTACAGAGGTCAAAACTGCATAGCAAAACCCTCTCTCTGGGTTTGGGATTCAGGGGGCACACAGCGGAGTCTGGTTATCTTCTGCTGATGTCACCTGTGTGAGGTCTCATTGGGGTGGAGAGGGGGACATGATTTCAGTGAAAACTGATTTCATGACACTACAGTGGATCACAAGGAGACATTCAGGACATCAATCTGGAGACCATAAGGTGCCCTGGCACTTCTCTTCCAAATGATACAACTGATTATACTTCTGTTTCCATCACCTTGTGTGCTATTTTAAAATTTTGATCTTACAAGTCATGAACAATACAACCATGTGTGTTATTTCAGGTTTCTTCTGAATTTTGAACTGATGAAAAAAGTAAACCTTTGACAAATCTTAAATGCAATGAAATTTAGGCTGTCTTCAGAATAACCTAGATACATGCATAAATAGGTAGTGTATACTTTTTTCTGGTCATAAAACTAGGGGCATATTCTTTGAGCACTGTACTTTTTAATTTTTCTACCTAACCATGTATAGTAGACATATTTCTAGGTCAGCACATGCAAATAAGTCACTTTTAAAAGGGTTGCATTGTGAGCTTCCTGTGAATCTGCTATGACTGATTGGACCAAACCCTGCGGAGCAGTCGTCAGGCAGTTTCCAGATTTTTGCCGTGGCAGCCCGTGCTAGAGTGCACATTACCAGATGTGTGTGTTTGCTCTCGGAAGGAGCTGCTGGATCAAAGAACACCTGTGTTTTTCAGTTGTGATGCTGCACAAATCTACCCTGTCACGCATGGTTTCCCGAGTGCCAGCGTTCGTTTGCTTCCACAGCTAGCACTTTTCTTTGATCTTGTTTCACTTTTTATTCCTTTTTTTTTTTGAGACAGAGTCTTGCTCTGTTGGCCAGGCTAGAGTGCAGTGGCACGATCTCAGCTCACTGCAACCTCCACCTCCCGGGCTCAAGCAATTCTCCTGCCTCAGCCACCAGAGTAGCTGGGATTACAGGTGCCTGCCACCATGCCTGGCTAATTTTTGTGTTTTTAGTAGAGACGGGATTTCACCATGTTGGCCAGGCTGGTCTCGAACTCCTGACCTCAGGTAATCCACCCACCTCAGCCTCCCAAAGTGCTGGGATTACAGGCGTGAGCCACCACGCCCGGCCCACTTTTTATTCTTTTCCATTTCACTTTGCTTTGTTTTCATACAGAAATCTTCCACTACCCTATCTTTTCGGTAGTTTTGTCTCTTTTTGCTGCTTCCAAGATGGCTTTTATTTCCCTAGTGGCTTTTTTTCTTCATTGATTGTCCAAAGACAATCTTTGGTTTACTTTTTAGTTTAGTTTACTTTTTAATGGTATGCTGTTTAATATCTACAGCAGTTTTAGAATTGGCCCCATGTTCTTTGACTCTTTGACACTTCTCCTCAAAAGGGTGGTTCTATCTATCCCATCCTTTGAAGCTGGTGGCCTTGGCTGCTCTGACCAATAGGATCAGGTGGAAGTGACCCTGAGGTAGTTTCTGGGCCTGGTTTTATAGGCCTGGCAGCCCCCACTTCCTGCCTCTTGGGTAACTGCTCTCAGCCCGCAGCTGCCATGCTGCCCAAGGGAAGCATGGGCCCAAGGGAAGCCCAAGGGCCCCAAGGAGAGGCCATGTGCAGGTGAGCTGGCTGACAGCCCCGCAGAGGTCTCCAGCATGGGCTGTGTCTAACCAGCTGCTCAGTGGCTGAGTAGTGTGAGTGAGCAGAGTGGAAACGGTCCTCCTGTCCCTCGGGCCACTGTGCAATCCCCTGTGTGAGCAGACGCACTGAACCCTGCCTACCTGGCCCTGCCCACACAGCAGGACGGCAGGGAAACCAACACCTGGTGGTGTTTTTGGCAGTAAGTTTGGGGTGATTTGTTATACAGCAGTGGATAAGGTGCCCAGCATTCATGTTTCATTTTCTCTATCTCCTCTGTGTCCTTGTTTCAGACAGGCTGTCTTCTTTTCTGTAATGATCATGATGAGGTACATCCAGCATTACAACAGGCTTCTTTCTCCAGCATGTCCCATGCTGGTCATCCTAGGCTGCTGTCTTCCTTGCTCTGTTTCCCTGCTATTTCTATCCAGGCCCATGCTGATGCCTTTCTCACAGTGGTTCACCTCTGAAGGGGCTTCCTTCTGGGAAGCTACTGTATGAAGAATGGGGTGAGGAGGGCCAGCCTGACCCCTGCTGTACTCTCGCCTGGCCTTTGTGCTCAAGATGGTGGAGTCTGCCTGCCTGCCTGGGAGCTTGGCTCTTGTGGCTTACCCTTCATGCAGTCCCTTTGCTGGCCGAGGTCCACCATTCCCCATCACCTACCAGTCCATGGACTGCCTCTTAGGGAAAGGTGAGTGGGTGGGTATTGTCACTCAGGGTGGGGTCTCTGACCACTGCAGGGCATGAAACACAGGATCCTATCTGCCACCCACTAGGTAGATTTTGAAGGTCTGCCATCTATTTCTGAGCATGTGGACTTCACCAGAGACTAGCAGGGTTGTTAACCTGCCTTCGGCACCCTCTTTGACTCAGTGGGATTGGTGCCATCACGTTTTCCAGTTGGTTAACATAGACCCTAGGTATACACCACAGATGAGTTAATATGAAGATAGAGCTTTCTTATCTTTTCTTCTTTTAGTTGTTATTGGTTCATTTGAGGGTTCAGAGAGGGGTCAAGTTATATTAGCAAGGGGATTGGTCACTGTGAAATTATTTTTTAGGAAGTCCAAACCTGCACCCAGAACTAGTTTCTACTTTATGTTTTGCTGGAAGTCCACCCTTAATTCTTGATAATCTCTGCCTCACCAAACCAAGGGGCATATTTCTTTTAGCTTCAGTCACATAACTATCTAGATCTCTTCTTTCCAGCACTGCATCTATTTTTTGACACTTCAACTCTTCTGGATACCAGTTAAGCCAATAGAACAATTTCTACATATGTAGTGGACATACACAGATGACGAGTTTATTTGGTAAATCTTCACTTTCTAACTTTTGCATGTATAGGTAGGTGTTCATTAGAAAGTTATTTTGGAATAGCTCCAAGCTGCAATATTGGAGCTCTGAACTGCAGTACTGGAGCTCCAAGCTCCAATAGCTCCATGCTGTGGGACAGTGTTCCACCACATGTTATGAAATGTCCTATCAGAAAAGGATGCCATGGATGAATCTGGTTTGAGAAATGCAGTGCAGTAAACCCTCTACTGAGATTCGTAATGTTAAGTAGCATGAAAAGGGCTTCGGGGAAATCCTGCAAGAATCAAGCTGTCCAATGCAAACTTTTCAAATTAACTTAATGAAGGAATCCCATTCTTCTTTTTTCAAAACAAATCTTCACTTAATACCTCGATTCCTGATCATTCCATGAAACATAATTTAGAATATACTACTTTGAGTAAATCTCAAGGTGTGATATTATTTTTATTTTTTAAACAGTAAAATCAAAGATTATAAGAACATATCTTACATAGTTATTTTTCAGTAGCAAAACTGCTTTTTGAAACCATACCAATAATAAAATAAAGAAAACGTACATTTATCTTGCATTTTTTACCACCTGCTGCTCTGAATATTAGCTAAGTTGTACTTACCTTGTAGTAGTTTTCATCAGCACGCAGTGCTTTGGAAAGTCCGAAATCACTGATCTTGGCGTAATGTTGGGTAACTAGCAACACATTTCTTGCAGCCAGATCTCTGTGCACAAAATTGCTCTCCTCCAAGTACTTCATGCCCATGGAAACCTGATGAACCAGTTCTATGATGTTCTTATCCTTGACATGTCTGAAAGTCATAATGATCTCATCAGCTATAACAGACAGTGACCCATTTCACAACAAACAACCATGCTCCTCACGCAGGCAGTGGGTGAATCTACTCCTTCCCTCTTCTTAAACAACAAAACTCACGAGTGGTGACAAATAACTTTGTTAGCATATAGCTCTTCAGGACTCAATGCCATATTCTCCTGGTGTTCAATGGGATTGAGTTTCCTGGCATGCTTGGAATTGCAAGAAAAGCAGTATAACAGAGTAGTCAGGCCTGGCTCACAGATAGCCAGGCACCACCTCAAATCCTTGTTCCAGTATCACACAGGTCACAGAACTAACCCTGAGAATCAGTTTCTCACCTACAAAGTCAGGGTAAGAACACCTCCCTTCCATGGAGACTAAAGAGACAATCTAAGTACAAACGTAGCACAGCAAATGAGGCAAGCTCCTCGGTGGCCATCATTCTGTCTTACTCCAAGTGAGTTTCTTCATCTCAACAACAGCTTTAGATGAGAAGAACACAATTACTCCCTTGATGGATGTAATCAATTAGCAGTGATTGGTATTTTCAGAAGTCATCACTCATGAGAACATAAGGTCAGCCAAACAGATAAGACTTAACTGTCACCTCTTAGAAAAGCATTTATTTAAAATGTTTCTTTAAAAAGAAAGTGTTCTTCCCAGTGAGAAAGGAGATTCCATGTCAAGATATTCTGAGGCTGAGTCTATCACTAGGCCAAGACTGAATGACTACAGGAAGAAAAAAAAGACAAAACTGTCAAATGAGTTCTTCTCTGAACAACTAGAGCTAACAGAGCTGAATCCAAAGACTATGTCTCCCTGTCCCTCTGTCAAGGTCCCTGAGTATGGACCAATAAAGGAAGGCACAGGAGGGTGGGAAGGCTTCCCAAGGAAATCAGGCTGCTCGGCCCATCCAGGGGTGGGCCCTGTCCCTTAGGGGATAGCTTCCAGATGTGTGGGGGCACCTGACAATACCTGTTCTGCTGCAAATACTTATTGAGGGGACCAAGTTCTGCCATCTCCATAACCAGCATCCAGGACTCGGCCTCGCATATCCCGATCATCCGCACGATGTACGGGTTGTCCAGCTGCTGCATGACATTTGCTTCTGCTAATAACTCATCTTTAAGAGCGGGGTCATTGGCCTCGTTTTTCAGTATTTTCACAGCCACGGTTTTCACAACTCTGCAAGAGAAATCATAACACACAAGAAACTTTCCAAAATGCCTCACTTCTAGATAATCTTATCCTGTGAAGCATAATCCCCCTGTGGAAACAGTCCCACGGAAATACCTGCCACAGAGTGGCAATGTGTCTTCAGAAGCCTGTAATGGATGGCTGGCCTTCCAACCTATATTCCCTTATTTTATAGACAATGAGAGTAATACTCCATTACTAAAAAAGAATGGTGGGGGCTGGGCATGGTGGCTCATGCTGACAATCCCCATACTTTGGGAGGTTGAAAGGGGAGGATTGCTTGAGGTCAGAAGTTCAAGGTCAGCCTGGGCAACATAGTGAGACCCCCATCTCTAAAAAAAATCACCCAGGTGTGACAGTGCAAGCCTGTAGTCCCAGCTGCTCGGGAGGCTGAGGTGGGAGAATCACTTGGACTCAGGAGTTCAAGGCTGCAGTGAGCTTCTTGCCACTTCACTCCAGCCTGGGTGACACAGTGAAACACTGTTTCTAAAAAATAATATAAAATAAAAAGAATGGTGAAGAACAGTACTGAAGAATGTCCCAACCAAGCAAAAACCCTAAACTGTAAAATATTTAAATAACTTGTAAATAAACTTCACCAACGATGACATGTACGAATTCCTGTAACATCTTGGGATTCACCATCTCAGATTACATGTAATGAATGTGAATATAAAATGCCTTTCATAATTGTTGAAAGTGAATTTCTAGGTGCAGAATTTAAAAGCATATATTTCAATGTAATACATTGAAAAGGTAAACAACTCTCCTGAGAGAGGCTGAAGAAGACCTGGTAAATGGAGAGATGGGCTGTGTTTATAGATTGAAAGACTCAGTATTGTAAAGACATCATTTTGCCCCAAATTGACCGAGAGAGCCTCTCCTCTCCCCAAATTCTCTAGTTGAAATTATGTCCACAGTCATGTCTATGTTAATTCACAAATTTAAGCACAGAATAAAGATCACAACCTTTCATAATCTGAAAAAGCTTAGGATTAATACAGAAACATTTTTACTCATTGTACAAAATGACTGTGATATACAAACATATATTTTAAAATAAGTATCACAGCCAATTTTGATTGTGTGTGTATATATGTGCGCATGTATATACTTGTGAATGTATACATATGTGTGTATGTTTGTGTGTGTATACATACATGTATGTGTATCTAATTTACACACACACACATGCACAAAAACAAATCGAAGGGACAGATTGGAAAGCAAGCATTTCTTTTTTCTTTCTTTCTTTTTTTTTTTTTTTTTTTGAGGCAGAGTTTCACTCTTGTTGCCCAGGCTGGAGTGCAATGGTGTGATCTTGGCTGGCTGCAACCTCTTCCTCCCAGGTTCAAGTGATTCTCCTGCCTCAGCCTCCTAAGTAGTTGGGACTACAGGTGTATGCCACCACACCCAGCTAATTTTTTGTATTTTTAGTGGAGACGAGGTTTTACCATGTTGGCCAGGATGGTCTTGAACTCCAGACCTCAGGTGATCCACCTACCTTGGCCTCCCAAAGTGCTGGGATTATAGGCATGAGCCACGGCACCCGGCCGGAAAGCACGCATGTCTGTGTATATTTTTGTCTATATTTTTAACCCTTGAATCATAAAAATTACCTACTCACGAATTTTTTTTTTACAAAAATCCCTTACATTTGAAATACCATGAAGCTACTAAATCTAACCACATTCATATTAGTATCATACCAATTCAAACAGAGGGTGTATTTCAAAGGACTTTAGAAACCAGTAGTTTTACTTGTACATTCTATGTTGGGTACCTTCTAAAGACCAAAAGAAATACAAAGATATTTTCGAAATTTAGCAATTTTAACTGTTGTATAATATGTATTGTTATCTGAAATCATAGGATAAAGCCAATAAATAATTATACTAATCATATTTGGAATCAATAATTTTCATGTAAGAAAAATGAGATGTAACTATAAAATTAAAGAAAATAAATGTAAAAACTATTGTTATAATGGAATGATTTTGTTTTAATTAAATAATATCTGTGTGTACAAATAAAGATCTAAAAATATATACAATAAGATTAAGTTAACAGTAGTAATGTTTAGTTAACAGTAGTAGTGTTGGGATGGTATTATACAAATATGATGTTCTTCTTTTCTTTTTTTTGTTTTGTTTTTTGAAACAGGGCCTTGCTTTGTTACCCAGGCTAGAGTGCAGTGGTGCAATCATGGCTCACTGCAGCCTTGGCTTCTTGGCCTCTTGAGCAGCTGGAAGTATATGTGTGCACTACTATGTCTGGCTAATTTTTTATGTTTTATTTATTTATTTATTTATTTATTTTTTTTGTAGAGACAGGGTCTTGCTATGTTGCCCAGGCTGGTCTCAAGCTCCAGGCCTCAAACAATCCTCCTATCCCAGCCTCCCAAATTGCTAAGATTACAGGCATGAGCCACCATGCCAATTTGATGTTTTTATTTTCTTATGTTTCTGCTTGTTTCTATTTCCTAATTTTCCATAAGGTGCATGTACTATTAGGTTGGTGCAAAAGTAATTGCAGTTTTTGCCATTAAAGGTAATGGACGCTTTCATTATAATAGTACCAGAAATTAACAAGAATGGTAGCATTAATAAAAAAAGGGTTTAGTCATGCCAGGTTACATTTTGTTATTCTCAGTCATGTCTAGAACCTGAGCTCATGTGAGGGTGAGGCTGGTGGAACATAGCAACTTACTTTTTCATTTGGTAGTAGCCCTTTTTCACAGTTCCAAAATTACCAGAGCCCAGTTCTTTGTCTTCCAGCGTCAGCAGCTTTCGGTCCAGGTAAACCTCCTTGGGCCTGATCTCCTCGGGGTCCGCGTAGGGGCTCTCGTACACCTCTGTGTCCATGGGTAGGGCTTCTCTCTGGGGGCCTGCAATGCAGTCAAGAAACATACGACCTGGGGCTGGACCCCACACCAGGATTCATCCTTCCAAGAACATGATCTTCATGGGAATATGAACTCAGAGTAGCATCAATGTTGCAAGGGATGAGAAATTCTGAAGAGTGGCAGGGACATTTCCAACGTCGTTGGGTGAGGGAGGTGGGAAAGACCATTTCATTCAATAGCACCATCACTGCTCATGGGCATGTGGTGCCTGCTGCCTGCCACTAGATGTGAGTGTTTCCATGGCTAACTGTGGCTGTATTGCAATCACGGACGTGGTGTGGATTCGTGAACCAACTCTACAAACTTACAAGTGACCACGCACTTTGCTCTGTGAATGTCCCTTGAATGAAAGGAAGTCTCACCTTTGTCTGCAGCCCAGGGTGCAAGTTCTGGCTCATACGGATTGAATGACACAGTACTCTCTTGCCGGTTCCCTTGGGCAGGGGAGGACTAAAGTACATAAAGGACAACAGGTTGTTTTTCTTCATCCACAAAACTGTTAAGTTGATCTGCATAATTATTTTTATTTTCCAATAATCACAGTTTAACTTTTGCAGGAAAGACAAAGGAAAGAATTACGAAAAACAGGGAAGAAAATAAGGCTGATCTCATTCTTCGGGCAATTATTTGGATCTTGCAAGGGCTAAAGCAAGCTTGTGCTGCTACAACTCAAGGGACTCTGTGAGGTGTTCAGAGGGTGTGGTGAGAGTCAACTCTACTGGCCTGGATAGAGCTGCTTCCCCACTCACCCCCTTGCACATCCTATTCCCACCTACCAAAGATCGCTGATGATTTGCATGTTCGCCTTGGAAGCATTTTCCTTCTTTAACTTGTGCTCTTCAATTTCATATTACATGGACATTATTTAAAGAGGAAAATTAGTACTCATCAGCTGCTCCTACCTACTTCCCAACTCCAACGCACATATGTTTTCCAAGTCTCCACCCAAGTCTTTATCTTCGGTGGAGATGCAGCAGCATTGGGGTGGATGGCAGAGGGTGGCACTGGTCAGTAACTACAGGTCCCAAGGGAAGGCCAGTTGCTGCCACCTAGGCCAGCAATGCTCCAGCTGCCACAGCTAATGCTGGAAATCAGTACCCCTGTGAGACAGGTATTTATTTGGTCCACATCAGTTTATATCATGAAACAACTGGGGGGGGAAATCTACTCATTATCCTAAGGACTTTCCCTTTTGAAAGTCTCTATCTTGAGTTTTCCTGACCCACCCTTTCTTCCAAATTAAAACAAGATTCTTGCTACTAAATTTAATTCACAGGAGAACCATGATTCAGATGCTTTTTTTTTTTTTTCAGCGTGAGTTGAGTCACAATTCTATGTATTGATTGACCTTTTCAGTGCCCAAACACTGGCCACGAAGAAATGAGATACTGCCAGATTATGGAGAAAGTTACAGAAACAGAGACATTAAGCTTAACGTGACAGTCACTTATCTTATGACACACACTAAATCCTCATGTGCCTTATTCATATTACAAGGCGAGAAACCAAAAGCAGAATAATGAGGTCACAATGCACCACTACCGCCACTCAGCCATTGTTTCCAAACACCCGGACCTTCTTCTTTCACACGGTCTGCTGAGCACTTCAGAGGCAGACATTGTTCACCATGGCCCAAGCCTGTTGACAAGGCTAAAGGACATCTGGTCTTATTTGTAAAAATGATGTCGATGGGATCTGTTTTGTCACAGAGTATCTCAGCACTTCTACTGAACTGATTAACAGAAGTAACTATGACACATCAAAAATAAAAATAGAATATAAGCTCAAGGAGGGGGAGACATTTATTCACTGCACTCGGAACTGTGCCACGTCCACAAGGACGCTCAATAAAAATGTGTTGAACAAACACATGAATGAATGGATGGGTGAATGAATGAAAATCACTTCTAAAAACTAGGAGATGTGAAGTATAATCTAATGTGCTTTAAAAATTAGCTCTCTCTCAAGCCTTTATGCTGATGAAGAGAAATAAGAATGAATAATTCCAAATGACAATCTATTTCTTTTAAACATTTACATATGATTACAGGACTGTGCTGTGGTTTCACTTCTGATTTATAATATAATTATCCTGCCTCTGGAAAACTGTCCTGACAGAAACTGGGTGATCCCCTAGGCTTTCTGTCCTCCTCTTTTGCCCAGTTTTCTCCCGCAACCAATTCTAGGCTGAAAATAGTTTTATTTTTTTTAAAGTCTCTTTCAAGGTTAATATTTACTGTCATTTCAACTCCTTTGATTTTCCCTGCAGGCAGGCACATTCTGAGATCCAAAGACAAAACTTGAACAGATGTGGAATTAAAGGATGTCCTCGGACTAGCCATCACTGGTGAGGAGAGGGACCATCACCTCTTCTTGACATAAGACCTCCTGTCCCTCCCACTGAGGACATTATCCTGGGGTTGCAGCCTCTCTACCTCACAGAATGTTCTCCAGACCAGGAGGACTTCCAAATGGCTTGTTCCAATTAAACCAGAACGCAATTCCCTGACATATGAATCCTGCAGGGAAGAATTTTAAAACAGAGATGGGGTTGTCAAAATATGCTGAAAGGGATACTAGGGTGTCAGGAATGAGTAAGAATTAGTAGCGATGGACACAGAGAATCTAAACCCCTGGGCACAAATAATTTATACTCTCACTAGCAGTGTGTTGTTCACCCCTAGTCTATCTTGGCTTATGGATAGGGAAACAGATGGGAGATCTTCCTCGGAAATTAGAACTCCACGTTTATAGCCAATAAAGCTTGGGGCTTCATTTCCATGCTGCCCAACACAGACCACTATGTGATTATAAGCCTTTTAAGCCAAGCCACAAAGAACCCTCATGTCTCTCAACAACCCCACATCAACTCTCTCCTACCCAGATCCCTGGGCTCCCTGCCCCTATCTCTTTCTGGTGACTAACAGGACTGGAGCAAAGAATGATGCCACAACTGGAAGAATGTGGAAGAAATGGGAGGTTTCCTATTGAGTCAGTTAAAAGAACAGTAGTTACTTTATGATAAAGATGAAGATGCAAAATCCATGCTTCATCTTTCCCAAAGCACTTGGTGAATATGCCACTTAGTAGAACAATAACCAAAACAATCTCTAAAAGAAAATGCTCAGTTAAAAAGAAAAATTTGAGGAGTTTGTAAAGAATGAGCACAGTGGCATAATGATAAATTGTAAAAATACTATTCTTAAAAAATGTAATGACATTTAATTTTAATAAAAAATATATTTCCGGTCTACATTACTATTAACCTTTTATTCTTTATGTTTGCATTTGAGAGAGCCATTCTGTCCCAATCAATAAGTGTCATCTGTTCTGCACAGTGAGCAACAAGGTGTAAATGAAATGTTGACCATTCCACTTTCTTCATTTTTGCTAATACTCAGAACAGGCTCAAACCTTCAGTCCACCGCTAGATGGCATTAGCCACCTTCGCTTTCTACCTTCCAAAAGAACAACTGGTGACTTTTCTTTAAATTTTATAAATTCAGGTAAGGATATCACTCTGCAATAATAAGTCCAGTTATAAATTATTATCCCTGATTTCCTATTGGTAAGGTTTAACTGCGAATAGAAAATGTATTTGACAAGCATTCTTTGAGTGCCTATGTTTAAAAGCTGGTGATCCAAAAGTGAACAAAAGAGGAAAAAATTATTGGTCTGTGGAACTGATAGGTCCATTCAGAGTTTCCTGATTCCAGAGTATTGCCAAGTGTCCTAACATCCATTTACTAGATCTTAATTTTTACTCCCAGATTCTTGGGCCATTTTCAAATTAGGCAACAGCAGTAATGCAGATGACAATACAGTCATTAGTCATCACAATAATAGTGACAAAAGAGCCAGCTGGCTTTAGAAATATTGGCTGCAATAAACTAGGTTTGGTTTCCTTTTTTTGGTGGAATTACCCTGGTTCAGTAGACCCCCACAGGCGAGGGCAGACTGTTGGCTGGGGAATAGGCTACTATTAGCTTTGCTCTGAGATCCATGAAAATAACACTTGACCTCTGCAATTACTGTTCTCTTACAGTGAAGATCTAAAATCTGTTCCTTTATAATTATATGAAAACACATTTTCTCAAGGGTCTGGTCTACTAAGGCATTACCAAGCAACAGGGTACAACTTGAGGATGTTTCTTTCTTTTTTCTCTTCCCACTGAGCCCTGTACTTAAATGTAAGTTTTAAAATATTATAATCACCAATGTATGTGTTGGAATAAAACATGAAAAATGGGTTTTAATTGGAAATTCTGGGACACATTTCAGTTTAATCCTCTTAGGGGATGTGCCTTTGAAATGCAAAGCTGAAAAGTTCCCTGGAAGTCTTTTTAGAGATGTTGCTGTTTAATTTCCACCTATTTTCCATAAAAGAAGGATAAGGTTCTGTGCTTAAAGCAGCAGAGAAAGAAATTCCAGGACTAATATTGGGAGGGGTTTAATTCATTTAAAGACTACTAGTTGTATTCTTAAGTTAATTTTGTTTATACTTTATAAGTATGTTACTAATTTCTTTTCTTTTCTTTTCTTTTTTTGTTTTTGAGACAGAGTCTTGCTCTGTCTCCCAGGCTGGAGGGCAATGGCACGATCTCTGCAATCTCCACCTCCCAGGCTTAAGTGATTTTCCTGCTTCAGCCTCCTGAGTAGCTGGGATTATAGGCGTGTGCCACCACGCCTGGCTAATTTTTGTATTTTTAATAGAGATGAGTTTTCACCATATTGGCCAGGCTAGTCTTGAACTCCTGACCTCAAGTGATCCACCTGCCTCGGCCTCCCAAAGTGCTGGGATTATAGGCATGAGCCACTGTGCTTGGCAGTAAGCTACTAATTTCTAAAGACAAGTTTAAAATGCATCAGCCTGTTAGTAATTTTATGAAAAATTTAAATTATCTGATTCATAATCATCTTCAAATCTAAACATACTTTTCATTAACTATCTAGATGCTATAGGTAGTTCAAGTTCTAACATGTATTTTTTGTGCCTGAATTATTAAAACAACTATGTACACTGAGCAAATTAACAAGTTCAAGAAAGTTATTTATCTCTTAGCTAACATGATGGGACATTTGACATAATTCTCACAATTCTTTTCTCATGACTGATTACATAATGGAAAGTTCCCCATTTGTTTGTGAAAATATACATATTAGCTCTAAAATATTTCTGATAAGCAATTAAAATATTTTTAATCTATAGCTTAAACCTTACAACCTTGATCTTTTAAAAATTATCTGTTGATATTTTTGGCCTTATATATGTGTCATCATTAGTAATATTTATTTCCAGTTTCTTATTTCTATAAAAAATTCAATGTATACTTTAAAGTTCTTCTAAACTTAAATAGAAAGCAAACTTTTTTTTTTGCCAGAAAGGTATTTTCACAATATTAATCAGATTAATTACTCTCTACTATTTAATTTTCTGTTTTAAAAAAATTGATTAAAATTTCTTAACAGGTTCAAATTTAAAAAGATACAACAGAGTTTACAATGAAAAGTGGGATTTCTTAACATTCCCATCTCTTACTCCAGAGGCAACCAGCATTGCCAGCATTTTCTGTATTTTTCTAGGATACTGTATACGATATCAACACATTCTGCATATATGTATGTGTATGTGTGTGTTGCAGGACATTGACTTTTACACTTAAAATTATATTTTGAAAACAATTCTAGATCTCAGCTGCCTCCCATAGTAGCAATTTTACTGTAACCAATTTCATTTGTTTTCCATTGATAGGCATTTAAATTATTATCAGACTTTGTCAATTATACAATTTTGGAAAAAACACCTTCACATGTACATGATTTCACACAAATGCAAGAATATCTGTACATACTTAGAAATAAAATTGCAGAGCCTTTCTTACAGATTGCATCATTTCAGACTTCCCCAAGGAAGAGTGAAAGTGCTTATCTACCATGCCTTTACTACAGTGTTATCAAGCTTTTAAAATTTGGATCATAGGTGGACACAGTTAAGCACCATAGTTTTAACTTGCATTTCTCTTCTCATGAAGTTAAACAACATTTCATATGTTTAAGAACTATTTATATTTGCTTTACTATAAACTACTACTGATATTCCCTGCCAATTATCCTAGTAGACAGTTAATATTTTTGTTAATTATTTTTAGAATCTCTTTGTATATTAAAGCTATTAATCTATGTGTCAGCATTAGTGCTACTTACTCCCAGTTTCTCATTTCTCTTTTGATGATGTTATGGTTGTTATCTACACATATACTTCTTTATTTTTAGGTGGTCACTGATATTTTCTTCAACTTTTTTCTGACATGTTCTCCTGTAGTCTAAAGATGCACCAAAACTTATTTTCTAGGTATTTCTTTAGCCACTGTGAGTAATCTGTGGGGGTGTTTTGCCTTGGGTAAACATGAAAAACAGACATAGTTACTTTATTCAAGTGTAAAATAAACCTTTTCTTCCTCTCGAACACTGCATTAAATCTTTCTGTTCTGTGGTCAACACGATTGAGAACTTCTTGAGTATGAGTAAACTTGGAAAATTATTACTAAATAAAATCTCAAGGGTTTTATGTCTTTTATTTCTGTTGTTTCTAGTAAATACTTTAGGCAATCTATTTCATGAGTGGATGCTCAATTATATGCTAAAATGTCGGTAAAAACACCAAGTAATATGAAAATAAAAAGAATTACTGATAAAAGAACCAATTTTACCCCACTGATAATAAAAGTAGAATGGAAAAAAAGCAATTCAAACACATTATATATACATATTTTGGGGGAAGGAATAAATAAGTCATTATAAATAAAAGTCATGAAAAAGAACTTATTTTTATTTTCCCTCAAAATCCAATAATAGAACAAAACATGGAAATCAATGAGATGTCAACATTACTGCCTCAAAAAGAAAACTGGTTTTTCTAGACCTCAGATTACACCTCTTCTTTACATGTCACATTTGCAGTTCTATGTTAGACGTCTAAGCCATAATGAAGTTACCATGCACTGCCTGACCTCACTGTGCAGCGCGCCTCACAAAACCTTGGTGTTCCCTCCATCACAACGTAACTTACATAATCAATTACCAGAACACTGCAACACGTGAGTCTGGCCACCAAAAAGTAAGTGGGCCATCTTTGAAAAGATTTTCGGACATGATAATTAGCTATGACGGATGACGCCAACTGAAACGACTTTAAAATGACGCTTGAGCACAGAAAGCATGCTCACACTGTTGGACTTCCAGCTGACGGACTGAGGACCCACATGAAAAGCACATGATGTACCTGGGGCGCGGCTGCCCAGGAACAGCAGGTGTGAGCAAGGGCAAAGAGGCCTGGAAGCAGAGTGGCAAGAGATGGGGGGCAGCGCACACACAGGGCAGACTGGGCGGGCGGGAGCTGAGTGCGCGTTGGTCCTACCACTTAGTTGGACAGCAAGCAGGGGTTGCTTTAGCACCTTTCTGTGGCCAGGCTTTGGGAAGGAGTATGATTTGATTCTTGAGATTATTCCACCCGCTGACCAAGTCTAGAAACCACAACGGCAAAGAGGAACAGTAAATGTTTCAGAAAACAAATACAGGATCCCTTCCACGACATGCTACTTAAATTTGCTTCTATAATCGCACCACTAACCCCCTCCTGTCCCTGCCAATGAGATCGACCACGGGCAACACCTGATCATTGGGAAGGCTTCTGGAAGGGCCTGCCACTTGGGAAGAAGGATCTAGAAATATATTTGGGAAATATGTTCCACTGAAGGCTACAAAATTAGAGCTGTTACATTCACTAGCTCATGCTTCACGTGGAATTATTAAGTTGTAAGCTCAAGACAAACCACCGAAAGAAACTACAAGTAGATCTGAGTGCTCAGTTGTGTTGCTTCTTCATGGTGGGTGCTGGTTCCACGGTGGAAAATTTTGTGGAAATTAATTGAGTTGTACACATAGGGCGTATGCCTTTTTTTTCCCGTATGTATCTTACCAGTCAATTAAAAAGTTATTCCAAAATATCTAACTTCTTGTAGTCATTGGGTGATGATGGCTAAGCACAGGGCTTGACATTCTTTTAAGAGTTCTCAGCCCTAAGCCCTCATCCATCTGAAGGGTGTATGGATCTGTCTCACCGAGCCTATAATATTAAGATAGAGTTGCCAGGCCTGTGAGCCCTGTAAAGGGCAAAATAAAGTCACACTTCCATAAAGGCATTACATTTTGATCCCAAAGGTCACTGGTATTTTAGCAAATTCACGTTCCCTGCATTTGATAACAAGTGCTGCCCCTGGACAGCCTCCCCTGTTTCAACCTGGGCTCAGCTACTGGGCAGCCAATTGTCCCTACTGGAGGCAGGATGTATATTTGGCTTTCTGCAGATTTTGTTTTTCAAGGGTTACCAGGCAAAAAGTGAGGTGCAGAGGGCGCACTTCACAGATGGCATTAAAGGGCATAAAAAGTCCATATGGGCCGGGCACGGTGGCTCACGCCTGTAATCCCAGCACTTTGGGAGGCCGAGGCGGGCAGATCACGAGGTTAGGAGATCGAGACCATCCTGGCTAACGGGGTGAAACCCCATCTCTACTAAAAATATAAAAAAATTAGCCGGGTGTTGTGGCGGGCGCCTGTAGTCCCAGCTACTCGCGAGGCTGAGGCAGGAGAATGGCGTGAACCCGGGAGGCAGAGCTTGCAGTGAGCTGAGATCGCGCCACTGCACTCCAGCCTGGGCAACAGAGCGAGACTCCGTCTCAAAAAAAAAAAAAAAAAAAAAAAAAGGCCATATGTAGCCCCAAGAAAAGAGCAGGAAAATAATTCCTGCTTAGAGCATAAATCTGTACCTGACTTCCTAACAGGCTGGAGGGAGGAGACAGCTGAGGTCCTGTGAATTACGTGTGTTAACATAGACGGCTCAAGGATGAAGTTAAAAAATATGTTCCCATTTCTCAAATATTGCAAGAGGCCTACTTCTGATTTAATATTGGGTTTCATTCGCATTGTGTATATTCTCCAAAAATGAAGAGAATTTCATCTAGACAAGAAGTTAAGAAAATGTGGCTAGGCAGAGTGTGGTGGCTCATGCCTGTAATCCAAGCACTTTGGGAGGTCGAAGCAGGAGGATAACTTGAGGCCAGGAATTTGAGACCAGCCTGACCAAAATGGCAAAACCTCGTCTCTACTAAAAAATACAAAAATTAGCCGGGTGTGATGGCAGGCACCTGTAATCCCAGCTACTCGGGAGGCTGAGGCATGAGAATGGCTTGAAGCTGGGAGGCAGAGGTTGCAGTGAGCCGTGATTGCACCAGTGCACTCCAGTCAGGGTGACAGAGTGAGACACTCCATCTCCAAAAAAAAAAAGCAAAAGAAAAAAAGAAAAGAAAATGTGGTTAGTTTATCACTAATAGGAGGCTGATTCTGCCTAACACTCACTAGCAATCCCAGCTCATCACGGAGTATGTTTTGAAGCGCAATCAAAATATCAATGCCTACTACTCCTGTTAGCTAAAACATGCTTTTCATTTGTGAAATATGCAACAGCTTCTCATTCAGTGGTATTCCTAGTGACACTTACCGCAGGATGGGAACCTGGAAGTTGTGGACGGCCTCCAAAATTAACATTTCCTGGTTAGAGAGAGCATGGACAATTACTGCTCTATCTGAGGAAACCACTTCCTTCCCCTCCCCACTGCAGATCAATCAATGAGATCAGGATGTGCTGCTGCTTGAGAAGTGAGCACGCTTTCTGCAGGTACTTCTTTCGACCCTCTTTTACTTTTTCCCGCATGCAATGAAGACAAATAAATTACAATTTTTTTAAAGTTAAAGCAACTGGCTATTTTTTGATTCACGATATACAAAATCGGAGTGCTCTGATATCATTATTAATCAACCCGTAAAAAGAAGTCCTCATCCAACCCAAATCTGCAATCAGCTAAGTCTAAAATGAGGCTGATTGTCACTGATACCTCAAACACTGAGACTCCAGTGTCTTGGGAACTCACCCTGTGTGCCGATTTTTTGACATGGGACAGTAAGAACTCTTAACAAACCATCTGCTTTATAAGAATAATGCTCGACTAGCTGAAAGAGAAAAAAGTAAGAAAGTGGTAAATACCAAGGTCAGGAAATAGACAAATAGTGACTGAGAGCTACTGACTGACTGTTGGGCTTTCGAAGTGGCCCCAAGACACATAAATGCTTTTATGTGCTTAAGTCCACTCCACAAGGGTGGCTGGGGAAGTGGGCCCACAGCTAGGGATCCCCCCTCTTGGGCTAGGGGCAGCAAATTTTTTCTGTAAAGGGCCAGAAAGTGGTATTTTAGGCTTTTGTGGGCCTCATACCGTATCTGTGTCCTTTGTTTATTTATTTATTTATCCAAAACAACACCTTTAACAGCATACAAACCATTCTCTTCAGGGACTACACAGAAACAGGCTGAGAGCCAGAGTTGGTCTGTGGGTTTGCAGATCCCTGGTCTACAGTAAAGAATATTGAAATAGGGTATTATGGCAATCACCAACTCTCCGTGAAATAGCACTGGGGCCCTGGAGTTGGGTAGGGTACAGAAGTACCTTAGAACGCTGTCAAGAAAAATCAATGAAATCATGCATGGGAAATTGGAACGTATTGCTGGCATTTTTGACGTAGTTTCCTAAACACAGTGCCTAGAAAATATACAATGAGGAATATTTAATTAGGGATGAATGCTATGATCTACCAGGGGAATCAATACAAATAGTAAAGATTCTTGGGAAGGACATTCTCAATAATTAGAGATGCTTAACACTATGGTGAGTGCTCAGCCTTTGAAATGGTGACAGAACGCCACACACATAAAATGCCCTTTCAGGAGAAGGTGAATGAATGGCTGTTTATAAGTGATGGGGCCTGGGACCTTGGAGCATTAAGCTGGCATAGAGGACTCCAGGTGCCTTTGCATTCCAGAAGGCCACATTCCCTACTCACCTCCCTGATGTGCTTTGGGGCTTTGAGTGTAGAAAGGTTAAATACTCTTTCGAATCAATATCGTTAAAAGAAAGAAGCCTGTGGTTAATGATGACAAATGGCAATGAGCCACAAAATCAAAAGACAATGTAAATGTTGTGACTAACATTTTTTAATATGATCATATCCAGCATTCAAAAAAGGAGTATTTTTTTTTTCCAATTACAGCACTAGAAAGCAAATCACATTTGGAAGTAGTAAGTTTAAGTGCTTTAAAGGGGCTAAGGCTCTGTAGTCTCAGTTTTTGAAAAGACAGGATTTTGAGTTGAGTCCTTTCCTCAACATTGACTGCATGTGTGGCCCCAGCTGGGCTTGGGTGAGGACATTGGAACACGCCCTGATTATGCCCCTCACCCACACATGTTCAAGGTAGCTGGTGCTCTGGGGCGGTGGGGTGGTGGCAGAGTCGGTTGGCTTTCTCCCTGTTTCTGAACCTACTACAGTTTATAGGATGCTCTGCGAAGATGATGCACGAAGTACTGTTACGGTTATTTCCTTCATCATCAGCCAGTGTAGCTGTGATGCAAAATTAAGACAAGCAATCTGTGCTCACTGCGATTCAGGGAAAGCAGTGATGAGCATTATTTTAGTGCTCATTAGTGCCTAAGGAACTTCCAAATTGGGAGTTGTTTCAGGGTTTTCTAGTAGCTGGGTCAGGAATAAGCACTTTTTAGACCAGGGCTGTGGCAATCAGCATAAGCAGCAGCCTGGAGCCCAGGGAGTATGCTTCCTAAATTGCCTTAGTTTCCACAGAGAGAGACTCGATTTACAATGAGGAGGGCACCTGACATTTGCTGTCTAATTCAGCCTCTCACACCACCAACAAAGTCCTGCTTGGCTGTTCCTAGGCCTCCTTCCCCAGGCATCCATTCCTTTATTTTGTGTGTCTTTGTCTGAAAGGCTGTTCTGGGCTCTAGTTAGAATATCCTAGGAAGAAATATTTTCTAGATCTCCAAAGAGAGTGTCTTGTTAAACTCTGAACACAGCCCTGCACTTACATCACCTTGTGGCACTGAGGGCTGAGTGGCCCTGAACAAGCCATGGAACCTTCGTTCACCTCACATGACGGCCTCTGGACCAGTGCTTCTCAAACACAGAAGCCACCTGGAGGCTGAAAGTGGGGTCTGATGGGCAGGTGGGGCAGGAGCCCAGGTGTGGTCCAGGTGTGTGTTTCTCATGAGCTCCAGAGCTACTGCTGGCCTGGGGACCACACTGTGGGCAGTGGGTGGTCCAGTTCCTCTCATGTCTAAGAGTCCATGGGACAAGGAGCCCCACGTGCCCTGTACTCTACCCACAAGGTGGGGAGAGGAGGCTGGGTACCTGCCAGAGCGTGTCGAACTTCTTTCCCTCGGGGATGGAGAGCTTCCCTGTCTTGTCTTTGTCGATGCGATAGTGCAGCACCTTCCCTTCGTGCAGCAGGCACAGGGCGTAGGAGCCGTTGTTGTCTCTGGCTCGGATCCTAGAAGAGAGGATGGAACTGCATCATCCCCAGGCCCGCCAGTCTCCAGGTGGGACCCTGGGAGGAAGCACCCTGGCCTGAATGGTCAGCAGCCGCTCTCTGGGGCCTGTCACCTGGCAAGGCAGCTGGAGGGCAGAGTTTGGAGCCTCAGGGTCAAGGGCTTTACCCAACCCAGGAAGGCCCAGTTTACCACTCAGGGATGATGCCAGTGGGCAAGCTTGCAACAAGGAAATGCTAGCAGGTTGGTGATGAATGGACCATGGCTAAGCTCTAGCAGGGCCCAGGAGCTCTGGGCAGTGGTCAGGAGAGCCTGGTGCTCAGTAGCAGTGACGCTTCTCAGGGTGATGAGCACAGGGGCACCACGGGCCCTGATTATCTGTGGAGCACTGTGGACTCACCTTTCTTCACCAGGGCCTGCATTTGGGTTAGATCCAAGATGGACAGCTCTACCACCTAGCTTGGAGTGTGGGTGGGGGTGTTTGGTGGGCATTTTAACCAGCCATCTTCTGGACCAGAGATGGAGGGTTATGGAAGCCTCCATCCCCCGGGCCTTCCTCAGTCCCTCCCATGCTCCCACTGCAGGAAAGGGAGGCAGGGCTGGACTTCCACTCTCCCACTGCAGGAAAGGGAGGCAGGGCTGGACTTCCACTCTCCCACTGCAGGAAAGGGAGGCAGGGCTGGACTTCCAAGCTCCCAATGCAGGAAAGGGAGGCAGGGCTGGACTTCAAACAGTTTCAAATGATGATATTGTCGGGTAACACCCCCAGGAGAAGAAAATGACATCCACTGTGGGGTGAAGAGACAGAGGTGAAACCAGAGCTGTGCTGGCCGTGCTGAGCAGCCAAGGCTCTGTCTTCATGGTAATGCTGGGCGACCCTCAGAACAACCCCCTGCCCTGGGTCCTGGTGAACAGAAACACAGGAGTCTGATGCCAGGCAGGGAACAACACCCCCACTGCAGTGCATGCCACGTAAGGCTTATGACTCATGGGGAGGTGAGAGATCCCCTGGAAGACCTGTGGGACTTGGGGAGTTCGAGGTCCCAGTGGAGGCTGAAAAGGCACGAAATGGGTGCGAATCCCCCAGTTTAGCTTCGTAGTCACACACACTGCCCCATTCTCCCCTCTCCACAGCTGCAGCCCTTTGGTTCATGAGATCTTAGGTTCTGAGGGTGAGTCATGAAGTCCCAGGAAGCCTCTTTGGCCCCTGCATTTTCTAAAATGAGGAAGCTGAGGTCCAAAATTGTTAAGCCACGTGCCCAAATGCACTGTACTTGGGGCAGAGTTCAAGTGTGCCCAACTGCCTTGGGACGTCTGGGTACTGGGGAAATTTCTGATGCCTCCTCCTGGTTGCAAGAAGTCAGATACACGACCACAGGGAGAGTTGAGATGGCCTTCAGAACTGGACATGGCCATGCTTTCCTGTCCCTTGCCATGGAGACTTATCTCAAAAAGCTAACCCAAGACTTGAAAGCTGAACGATGGCATGGGAGGAGTGAAATTCAGAATAAGTGTCTTTTCTAGCGGTGCTTGGCCATGCACAGCACCCCACAGCTCAGGGCAGCTGGCCAGGGTACAGGACACATATCTAGGTTCTCTGTGGCCTCAGCAGGTGGCTGTGCTGAAACCTCCCCACTGTGAGAACAACCTCTTCTTCCCAAACCAACCGAGTTGCCAGCGCCCAAGGTGTGAGCTCCCTTTTCACAGCCACATGGCCGACTACAGCCAGCAGTTGGTGACTGTTAAATACAACACAACACAACACAACAAAAAACCACATGGTAATCTTTTCATATAAAGAGAGAACTGAGTCTGTTTTATAGGGAAAGTATCTTATAAAGTGAGACTATTTATGTTTATTCTATACATATCAGTGGCTTATAGTTTGAGGGTATAGAGAGCTATCCAAATACTACAGCAGTAAGAGTGGATGCATATGCCTATAAAAGTTGGCCTTGAAAGAATGGTGACAATATGTCACTCCAAAGTATTTCCTATAATTTAATCTTTTACGTCTGTGACCTCAAGGTCATGGAGATAATACATGGGATCTGAACCAGGTGCAGTGGCACACATCTGTAATCCTAGCACTTTGGGAGGCCAAGGCAGGAGGATTACTTGAGCCCAGGAGGTGAAAGCTGCAGTGAGCCAAGACTGCACCATGGCACTCCAGCCTGGGCAACAGAGTGAGACGCCATCTCTCCAGAAAAAAAGATAGTAGTAATAAATGGGATCTGAACTCTGGTTTCTGAATCCATGTCCAATCTGCTGTACTCCATCTTACCCTATGTCTTGATTGACATTTTCTTGTTAAAAACTGAGACAGACAAGCACAGGTTTCCCTGAGAGATGATGCCATCAACCTCATTAGGCATCTGGCAAACATGAATGAAGACCCCAGGGAAGTACCATTCCACGCTCTTCAGACTGGTGGAAGTTAGAAAGATCATTCTAAGTGCTACTGAGAGTGGGGAGCAGCAAGGCCCCTCCTACGTTGCTTGTGGGAGCATAAATGGGCTCACCCACTTTGGAAAACAATTTGGAACAGTCTCCTGAAACTGAACTTATTCATTCACAGACCTCGTGAATGAGCAATTCCACCCCTAGGTGTATGAAATGTGTGCACTATGCACCCCAAGGCTACTTATAGCAGCTTCATCTGTGCTTATCAAAAACTGCACACAACGTAAGTGACCACAGAGCAAGTAAATTGTAGGAATTCACACAATACTGTATTCTAAAGCAATAAAATGAGCAAATGGTAGCTATACAAAGCACAGATGAGTCTCACAAACATAAAACTCACTCCATGCTACCATATACACAAAGTCCCCAAACAGACAAAAGCCACCTGTTTTATCTAGTGATGTACACCTAGGTGGTAAAACTAAAAAAACAAACAAATGAAAAATAACAAAAAAAGCAAGGGCGTGATGAACACAAGAGTTCAGGAGGTGGTGCCTCCCAGGAGGCCAGCTGTACAGATGGGTATGAGTGTGTGAGGGCGGAGTGGTCTCCTGCAATGCTGGGTGCATTTCATTTCTTGACTGGGTTGTGTTTGCTTGATAATCATTCATTAAGTTGTACCTATTTAGTTATGCACTCTTATGTGTTTGTTTTATATTTCACAATAAAAGCAGTATAAAAAGAGAGCTGGTACCAGGAGGAAATAGAGAGCAACCCAGAGGAAACAGAGAGTGCCCTTTGCTTTGGAACAAGCAGTTTCTGCAAAGGCCTCACTTCCTTGAGGCTCTTCAAGAGGACAGGTTCTGCAGGCGATCCCCTCTCTTCCTGTGCTCCACCAAGCAGCCCTGGCCAGTCCTGGCAACAGGTAACTGGAAGGTATAGGTAGTGACCATGGACATGTGGCCTGGGCAGCCCCCTGTGGCAGGTGGCAGGAAACAAGAGCAGAGAAAGGAAACCCACAGGCCCAGCATCTGTAGGTGGCAAAGACCAGAAGGCTCGCGACATTAACCACCAGCAACTGTGAGGTATCTGTTGGCTGCAGGCAGATCCTGGACCAGGCCATTTTTAATTAAACATAGGAGACAAACTGATTTGGAAGGCTTGCTCCTCCTCTTGGCTGTGTCCTCTTACTGAGAGCTTTGCCCTGGTGGTGGCATCAGGACACCCACCCAGGCTTATGGCTCTACAGACACCCAGAGAGGGCGTGCACACAGGCAAGGCTCCTGGCTCCTGTCTGGCTTGCTGCCTTCCGCCTTCAGGGTCATCTGGCCTCAGGCTGTTCACAGAAGCCTTTGAATATTTACAAAATATTTTTTCCCAGTAATTGTCTTGGGAGGAGTAAGTTAACAGATTTGTGTTTTGCTATTGCAAAGCCTGAGATTTCCAGGGCTTGAGCTTGAGATGATGCTGAGAAGCTGTCCTAACTGGTCTTGAGACAGTCCTTGACCTGCGGCATGTCTACTTTCCCAGGGTAGGCAGCCTTGGCCTCTGGGGTGAGCAGGCCTTGTGCCTCACAGACACTAGAACACTATCCAAAGGTGAGGCATGTTGACTCTGCTGGGGCATGGCCTGGAAGGGCTGGACTCCTCTACTCTCCTGCACCCTCCTAGGGGAGAGAGAATATACAGAGGTGATGCCCGGGCACCAAGGGGAAAGTGAGGATGTAAGAAGTAGTGAGGCACTCAAGGTGGCCTCCCCAGGGCTACGGGGACACTGCCTGTATCTGCTGTAGACGGAACAGAAAAGCCGGGCACATTCCAGCCCACTAGGTGTTCTCATTCTCCCCTGCCATTTTTTTTCCATGGCAGAGTAGAGTATCACCGGGTCAGTTGTCAGACTCATACAAGGGGAAGGAAGATGCCTGGGATTGGCTGTGTGCATTAGATGTGCAAAGGATGAATGCTCACTGTGGCTAAGGTGGGCTGGGCAGATGGACAGAGGGGGCCTGTGCTGGGTTGGGTGGGCAGTTCTCACTCAGAGCCATCTCCCAACAGTGGTTTCTCAAAGAGAGCTGGGAGAGGGGAAGAGGAGGATGTGGGAGCGAATGAGGTCCTGAACAGTGTGTATGTCAGCAAGAGGCAGGAGAAATGCCAGCTTTACTGATCCATGAAAGATATAGATAATGCAACTTCTGAGTGCTTCTGCCTTGCGCCATAGCACTACTGAGGCACATGTGCATTCCACACAAAGAAGAGCAAGATCAGTACACAATCCCTATCTGAGGCCACACCAAGCTGTTTTAACACACCTGTCGTTTAAAACATTTTATTACAAACGCCCTCTCATTCTCTCCCTCTGCTTTAGTTCATGAAGGTGGAATTATTTAACGCATCTTGTCTTTCAGCTTCAAGGAGACTTTGATCAGCATCAATGAAGTGATATTGACATCAGCCCACAACTCTCTTTGAAGTTTTAACTTCAGACAGGTCATGACTCTTTATGATGACCTAGGTCTGCAAAACCACATGTGTCAAATAAAATGGCATACTTTGATCAATTACGGCAGCATATGAAAGCACTGATGGAACAGAGTTTTTGTTGTGGCAAAGGAGGCTCGTGACAGCCTAACACAGTCTCATTCCTCAATGAACAAGGAAAAGGTTTTTCCTAAGCCGCAAATTCACTTTTGAAATTGAAGTATAGGACAAAAAGTGAGTTGAAACTTGAACAGCAAAAAGTGAGTGGCAAATGAGAGCAATTAAAGTGGGTTTGGCCAAAGGGCCAATGCCAATATCAGCACAGCTGTGGACAGGGACAGAATCTCAGGCCAGCAGCCCAGTGAGCACCTGGATGTGGGATTCCCACCTTAAAGCAAGGACCTGTGAAGAGGAAATCCCCTTCAACTCTGGAGGAAAGTGTTCCCAGCATCGAATACTCAGGATTCCCACAGATTAATATCAATCAGGCATAAGCTCAGAAAGATCACTGAAAACATAAGGAAGCATGAGTTATGAGAAAAGGGGTAGGGAGGGAAAGAGAGAGAGATTTACATCCTCCAAAAGTTTCGGTAGTAGAATAATCAGATATAGAATATAAACTATGAAATGTTTAACAAAATAAAAAACGGAACCATGGAAATTAGCAACCAATAAGATACTCTAAAAATGCCCCAGAAATATTTGAAAAAACAAACAAACAAACAAACAAACAGAACTGCTAGAAATTTTCTAAAAAATGTAATTAAAAAAAATCAGTGAATGAGCGTAAGAGCAGATTGGACACAAATGAAGGAAAAATTAGTGCGCTGGAAGAATAATTCAACGACGTTACTCATAGCACAGGACACAGAAAAGGCAAGGGAAAATAAAAAATATAAAGGATGAATTGAGAAGGTCAAACTGTATTTAATAGGAGTCTCTGAAGGAAGAAATGGGCAAGAACAACAGAGAGCAATATTTGAAGAAAAAAGTAGCAAGATGTTTTTCAGAACTGATGAAAGAAAAGAATTCATGGATGTAGGAACCACAGAGACATGAGAACCATTGGCTTAGCTTTATACACATTACTTAAGTCATCTCCATAATGACTCAGATAAAACATCAGTCTCCCCATTTTATTACTGAGGAAACAGAGGCTCAGAGAGCAAAATTAAGTTGTCCAAATCACAGAGCTATTAAGTGGCAGGGCCTGTCTGACTCATGGCCTGAATTTCTTTACTATCTAACTTAAGTTTCTAGAAATAGAGGCATTTTCAAAGATAACTTTATCGGAACCAGTCCAATAATACAGTATTTGGGCATTTTGCAGGAATTGCAACTGCAAATGCAGTTACAGACCCTCCAATGAACTATGAAAATCTCAAATGATCATAGTTGTTAATCCAGCCCAGGTAGGTAACAGGTATCTCAAACAGGCTCACACCATATCCCCAGACCAGCAGCATCAGCATCATTTGAGAACTTGGCAGGAATGCAAATGGAAGAGTCCTTACACAGACCTGTGAATTAAAAACTCAGGGGATGGAACGCAGACATCTGTGCTTTTGCCAGCCCTCCAGATGGTTCTTTCTTTTTCTCTGTCTGTCTCTCTCTCTCTCTCTCTCTCACACACACCCACACACACACACACACACACATATTCACTCAATAGCTCATTTGTGCATCTTAAGTTACGGGCTCCATGGGTGGCCCTGCAGGATAAACCAATGAACAATAAGAATAGACAGTCCAGAGAAGTTTTGCACCCCATTTTTTTATGCAGCTAAGGACTAGAAGATACAGTGATTCTGGCTTTCTAAGAAAAAGGGTTGTGTCCACCAGAATCAGGGGTGTGCAAATCAGAGCCATACAGCCCTCGTCCAGGAGCAGGCCCTGGGTGGGACCCAGCCTGGGGACACCAGATAACATACCTGTCACCTTGAACATGAGAACAACACCTCTCACCAATGCTCACACCCTTCACCTCCCCTCCCCAGCAGGTGGCTTGCATGGCAGGTGACGCCTTGCTTTGGAAACAGATGTTATTAATCCTTTGCAGTGCAAGTGGGACTCAGTATAAGGGAATCATAAAAATTTTATTCACGTATATCCCATTTCTCTAAGAAATTGAGACAGTTCCTAAAGACATATACTTCAGTATTCTATATGACCAGGAAACAAACCTAAATTAGGATAAACCACGGAGAATGGATGCAGTACTTTAAGTTGGGCCCCACAGGTTGTGCACAGGTCCACAGGAGATGATATGCAGCCGCGGTTCTCAAGTGTGTGTGTGTGTGTGTGTGTGTGTGTATGTATGTGTGTGTGTGAGAGAGAGAGAGGCGGGCTGTAGGGGGAAGAAGTGAGGGGATGGGAGTGTGTGCAGACATGAGGGAAAGGAAGGGGAGAAGAGAGGTGGAGATAACGAGTGTGTCATGCTGCACCTGGAACTTGGCTAGTACAAAAGGGATGACTCAAAGATTACACTGCTTATTTCTTTTCAAAATGGACAGGGGAAGGAAGGTCAGGAGGGCACCTGAATTTCAGCTGCAGGGCATATAAGAACAAGCCACATGGGGATTCAGTGGTGGCATGGGGGTTGGGAAGGGGTGACTACCAAGGCCTCTGAGGGCAAACTGCACTCACCGTCGGTCCCTGCTCTGAGGGTTTCTGCGCTTTTTATCTGATCCTGCATACTTGGAACAAGGGCTTCCTGGGAATCGTTTTAACTAATGTATTAAAGAGCTATCATGGAAAGGAGCACTTCTAGGGTCCCAAGAGATCATGTACAGCAACTGTGGCCTGAGTGGAGTACATCAGGCCCACTTAGCTGCAGGGGACAGTGATGTTCTTGCAACTTTAGGACCCACCAAGCCTGCAGGCTTCCCATCCTCCTCACTCACTCTTCAACATGCATGCCTCTCAGATCGCTGAGGCTCACAACCTCCTGGGCTTCCTCTCTGACTCAGTTTCTCTCCAGACATCTGCAAACTACTGGGCCTGATCACAGCCCAGCTCTCCAGGTGCCTCTCCTGCTGTGAGCCGTCAGAGCAGCCGCCCCTGCTCCATGCTGCACACTCGGGGCAGCTGAGCAGCCAGGATCTCTCTCAACACCTCATGGTGTGGCCTGGGGCAGCCACGTGCCAATCCCTCCACCACCCGGCCAGTCTGCCACCATCAAGGAAAACTCTGCCACCATCCATAGAATCTCAGGGCACCAAAATGGTCTCAGGGCACCACGTGACCATGACATGGTGCTGCCTCCTGGGGCTCGGACTGGGGTTCTGTAGATGCCCGGGCTCCTGCACACCCACTCGGCATCCACCGCTTCACTTCCCTCCCTCTCCTGCAGGCATCCAGGCCTGCCCTGGCCACCATACCCATGCTACCCCGTGAATCTCTTGCTGCCCTGCTCTCTTTTTTTTCTTTTTTATTTTATTTTATTTTATTATTATTATACTTTAAGTTTTAGGGTACATGTGCACAATGTGCAGGTTAGTTACATATGTATACATGTGCCATGCTGGTGTGCTGCACCCATTAACTTGTCATTTAGCATTAGGTATATCTCCTAAAGCTATCCCTCCCCGCTCCTCCCACCCCACAACAGTCCCCAGAGTGTGATGTTCCCCTTCCTGTGTCCATGTGTTCTCAATGTTCAGTTCCCACCTATGAGTGAGAACATGCGGTGTTTGTTTTTTTGTCCTTGCGATAGTTTACTGAGAATGATGATTTCCAATTTCATCCGTGTCCCTACAAAGGACATGAACTCATCACTTTTTATGGCTGCATAGTATTCCATGGTGTATATGTGCCACATTTTCTTAATCCAGTCTATCATTGTTGGACATCTGGGTTGGTTCCAAGTCTTTGCTATTGTGAATAGTGCCGCAATAAACATACGTGTGCATGTGTCTTTATAGCAGCATGATTTATAGTCCTTTGGGTATATACCCAGTAATGGGATGGCTGGGTCTGCCCTGCTCTTTTGTTGCATCTGCCTGGTGAGGTGTCAAGCTCTGCCAAATCCAGTCAGCCCACTTGCTCTGAAGGCCACTTCCCAGTTCCTATAGTTAGCGACACACTAGATGATAGTCCAGCCTGGGCACCTGAGACAGGCCCGATGAACCATGTTGTCCCTCCTCCTATCCAAGTAGTGGCCACCATTCAAGTTAGCAGCCAGAATGTTCCTTTACCCAGAGAGATTTTTCCCACCAAGACCATGTTCTAGGTGCTGGGTTGCACTCGTGAAGGCAACAGCCCCATCTCTGCCCTTGTGCATCCAGCACAAGTGGGGGTGGGGACTATAAACAAGTAAATGAAAACAAAATCAAGATCATGCTGCGTAGGCCCAGTGTCGTGGTGGAGGGGACCTACTGCCATGCATTGCAGACTTTGCAGCACATCAGCTTGCGTTTGTCATCTTCCCCCTGCAGTCAAAGTCCGGTGAGGGCAGGGACTAAGGTCTGACTTATTCCTCACAGTAGCCAAGTCCTATCACAATGCCTGCTGCATGTCTGGTTGAAAACATGCCTATTTTGTTGAATGAATGACTGTTTTTGTAACTTTTTTTTCTAAAGTCAGAAGGTAGAAACTGTAGTTAAAATAGCATTGGTGACTTACTGGTTGGACGACTCCATCCACAAATCTGAAATACTACCTTTTATTTTTAACATTAATCGAGCTATTTGGAGAGCAGCCACTTATGTGTCTTAAAGGTCACCTTGAAATTGTTCTTGGCTTTGTAAGATTTACAAGGACTCTTAGCCAAAAACAATACACTTAATACAAAGAAACAATACTTCCATCTTTAAAATTTTGCCTGGCATGGACTTTTTAGAGCATTTCCATTCTAAGATCATTTATAAGATGAAATGAAGGCCACATCCCATTACATTTTAGCAGAGCGATGTGTGTGGGAGAATTGGCTGTGCACAATGGCAATAAACCACATTGTGTGAACCAAGTGGATGAGGGTCAGAGAGGAGTTGATCACAGCCTCCTCCAGACCAAGAGGAGCCCAGCAATGTGACTGCACGGCCTTAGGTTTTGTACAGATTGCAAAAGATATTTTAGTCACAGCCAGGGAAGCTCACTCTGTTCTACTTTATCTTCCCCTCCCAAATTTGACAAGGATTCTAAAAATGTACATGATATTATTAATAATGAAGTGTGAACCTAGAGGAAGGAATGAATAGTCTCTTTTTCTATATATAGACAAATATATTATTAAATATTGTTGAACTAAGATGTAGTCAAACACAGTGAAGTCAAGGACATGGAGGAAACAAAAGGTGTTATAGAGACGTGTCAGGCAGTTAATTAAAATATTACATTATCTTTTCTAAAGTTTGTATGCTTGTAGTATTGACCAGCCTTTAAAAAAATTCTAATTTATTGAATTTTTTTCCTTAGTCCAAAAAATACATTCTATTGTATGCCTAATTTTATATTTTTAAAAAAATAAGAGAGTCTTCAAATTGTATATGCTTCGGACCCCTCAATCCTGGATCCTCCCTTTTGGGGAAGGGATATATAATTTTTATAAAGTAAGCTTTGTTTCCTTTTCCTAACAAATTCATTTTTCACAGACAGCTGTGACTAGCTTCTCAAAATAGCAAACTGTGCTGCTATACAAGGCCTCTGGGGGCAGGGGATCTCCTTCCCCACTCAGCTCCTCTCCCTTGCCTTGGTCCCTGACGTCACCAACAAGGCAGCACTCTGACCCTCACCCACCAAACGTGGGCTGGAGGACTCCCCCTCCAGTGCTCGCTTCTGGCCAGCTAGACCCCAGACAAGGGCAGTGCTTATATAGCAAAGGCCAGGTGATGAACATCACCTCCAGAAATGCCACAGGCGGCTGTGAGGGACAACCACTGACCCACACTGCCCAGCCCCTCCACAAAGAGCCTCTGTTTATATTCGTTATTCTTCAAGCACATGTGCAAAGGCCCTGTAACTACCTTCTCAAAGTCACTCCTGAATGGTGTGGGTAAGCTCTGTGGACAGGACACAAGAGAGGGGAAAGCTGATGGACGCCTCTGTGTGTTCTGAGATTTCACATGGACATGCCCTGGTGCTGCATCTTGCATGGGGAATAGGGAGGGGCCTGTGGTTGTGGAGATGGATCCATCTGGAGATGGATTTGGTTGCTGGCTGCTGTTTCTGCTTAGCCCCAGACAACATCAGGGACCTGGTTTTGCCTTCCTGCCTTGGACAAGCTCCTCCACACCCGAGTTCTTGTTTGAAAAACAATAAGTTTAGCCCCCTTAAGTGGTAAATGCCCTCTAGCTCAGGTGTACTCTCACTGTAAGTGGATTTCACATATAGTTCTGAGGAGAGAAAACTGGGATCCGAGTTGGACAGCATCTCCCAGACGTAATCTGCTTCCATCATCTGCATTTTGAACTGCATTACCTAGGATTTATAATCAGATTTTGATCTCCAAAATATGCTGCCTTACCCTCAGTGTTTTCAAGGTCTGTTTGAGCAAAGGCATTTTGTGATGGCTATGGAGGTGCATGCATTTCAGGAATTCTTTTTTTTTTTTTTTTACCTTTTAGTCCAATTCTTACCAATGCCACTTTCCACGTAAAGCGATTCTCAGACTGAAATGCTGGCATCTGAATGGTGGAGACAGCATATTGGTACTCACGATGAAAGTGTGAAGAGTAATCGCTGGGATTTTGTTTACCCATATTATCCACCAAACTAGTAAAATCCTCTTGATTAGTTTATGGCTTGCAATGCAAAAATAAACTTCCAACCCCCTCTGTGAAATAATAATAATAATAATATATATATTTTTTGAGATGGAGTCTTGCTCTGTTGCCCAGGCTGGAGTGCAGTGGCACAATCTTGGCTCACTGCAACCTCCGCCTCCTGGGTTCAAGAGATTCTCCTGCCTCAGCCTCCCAAGTAGCTGGGACTACAGGCACACACCACTATACTCAGCTAATTTTTATACTGTTAGTAGAGATGGGGTTTCACCATGTTGGCCAGGATGGTCTTGATCTCTAGACCTTGTGATTGCCCGCCTCAGCCTCCCAAAGTGCTGGGATTACAGGCATGAGCCACCATGCCCGGCCGAAATAATTATTCTTTATTTAAGTCTGTCACTTCATAAAAGCAAAAGCCTAGTGTGAATCCTTTTATGGCCAGTGACTCTCACTCTATCTATTCATAGCCACAGAGTGGAAATAAACACACCTACTGCAGACTGAAGAAGAGAAGGGAAGGATAAGGGGGACCTGCCTGGTTTTCTCACCTGCAGAAGAATGACTCACCTGCAGAGGTCATGGTACACCTGTGATGCAGGGATGGAAAGAGTTTGCATGGAGGACCTGACCTTCAGTGTATGTTACTGATGTATCCAAGTGTGGTCCAGGCCACTGCAGGAGTGGGGTGAAGCTGCTTCGTTCGGTGCCAAGCACCGTGCAGCAGGCCTTCGGTTTATGATACTCTATAACCCTCAATGACTCTAAGAGTCAGAGATGACATTAAAGCCATTTTACAGACAAAGAAATGAAGGAAACAGACCACTGAGTAACTTGCTCAAGGTCCCATAGCTGGTGATAAGGTGGAGCCAGCATTTGAGGCCAGACAACCCGAATGGTATGTTGTTAACAGGCCACACTGCCTCCTACCCAGAGAAAGTGAATCTTACAAACCATAGAGTGCGCAGTGTCATGTTTTTATATTTCTATATCTATTGCTGTGTCCCTGCATCTGTCCATCAGTAATGATTTAAGAGGAGGTAGAAAGAGGTGCAAGAATCCCCATTCCCTCCCCAACATAGACAGGTGTGGAGCTGCCCCCATACAGAACTACAGTGGTATTACTACATGTCAGGAAGTGGAAAGCAAAAACGAGCTGGGAGATGGAGAATGGATCCAAACAATTCATTGATTTAGGTGACAAGCATTCATTGAAAACCTCTTAAGGGCCAGCCCACAGGCCTGTACAGGACCCAGGTAAAAGCACGGTGGGTGGGGTGGACAGGAGATCAGAGCGGAGACAAACTGACTGATGCTCAGGCATGAGAAAGTGAAGGCCCTGAAATCACGATAAAAAAATCAACACATTTGGTTTGCAAGTATATGTACAGGCACAACTCCCCACAGCAAACCGATGATGTGGCAGCCAGGCAGAGCCCACCGAATGTCAGCTGGCCCTGGCCCTTTGCTTCCTAAAGACAGCCCCCCCAACTTGCCCAAAGCAGGGTCCTCCCAGTGCCGTGAGTGCTCTGCAACCTGGCCCTCAACTCCACCCTTCTCCACTCACTCTCTGCCAGTGACACTGGCCTCTGTGGGTGCCCTGCTCCCCAGGCACGCTCCTGCCACAGGGCATTCGAATTTGCCATTCCCTGGGTGGGGATGGTTCCTCGCTGCCTTCAGGCCTCTTCTCAATGGCCTCCCTCACAGCAAGGTCCATCCTCCCCACGCAGCAGAAAGAAGACCCAGCATCCATACCCCAGTGTGCTCTACGCCCTTACTTAAATGCAGTTCTTTCCTATTGTTCAGCGTCTTTTCTCCCACTGAAATGCAGGGTCCATGAGGGCAGGTGCTTGCTGATTCACTTCTCCCTTCCCAAAGTCCAGAATGGTGCCTGGCACTTAGTGCTTCATGCAACTACAGACTCCAGTAATGTTGGTCCATGGATGGATTAGCTGACATGATGATTGGAAAGTAGACATGAGCACATTCGTTAGGAGAATCTGAATGAAGGCCCGAGAAGAACAGTGGGAAAAAAACAGCAGCTGGCTCAGTGAGGACATCCAGCAGTGACTGGAATCTAGTTCTGACTCCAAAGACCTTGTGCTGTGGCTATTCGTTGCAAATAATGTGCATTTTATAAAACTATCTGCAAGTAGGGCAGATTTGGATGATTCAAAACCAGGTCTGGGACTTCCTGCAACGTTGGCCTGACCCAACAGGGGAATATAGGACAGACTCCCACAGTGAATCAGGAGCTGACGCACTCACACTGAGAGGGCAGCCACAGGATCTGGTGATGGTTTACAAGAGTTCCCTGGAGCCTTTTAGCTCTATTTCCCATGAAAGAAACACACAAACAAACACTTCTAAAGATGAAAGAATCTGGACCAACGTCTAGGCAACCTGGACTTGGGAGACGTTGTATTCAGGGATGCAGACCCTGCCCCGTGCTGGAAGCATGGTAGACTTGGACTGTATCCAGTATGCTGGCAAACTCTCCCTGCTCTCCACAAGCATACACAACCATATTCAAACACTCACAGTATAACACGCCCACTACACTGCAACAAGGAAGGTTTACACACCCAGCAACAGCCAAGAACCCCAGCCAGGTTCTGTAGGAGATGAAAGGTTGTCAAGAGGTGAAATTGCCAGGTGGCAAACCCCTCCAAGGTGTTTCCTCACACTTTCTCTGTTAAAAACACCATAAGATACCCTGACAAGGAGACTTTCCTGGTGCTCATGATGGAGAAAGAGCACTGAAGAGAGAAGAAAAGCTACATCAGTGATGACCACATGTGCTGTGCGGTGTACGTGGTGTGTATTTTCATTGAATCCTCAAGACAGTCACAGACCCAGAGGAGCAGAGCCTGGGGAAAGTTTCCCTTAGTCTAAGGTTCTACAACCATCATGGGAACATGGGTTCTGAAGCTGGGTCTTGCTGCCCAGGCTTAGCTCTGCTCTTCCCTCTCACTAATACCCTGCCTGATGCCAGGCCTGGGCATGGGGTGCTATGCACCATCAGTCCACAGGTGAGCCCTGCAGGTGTGGAGGGAGCACGGGAAGGTGTGGGACTGAGCTGTGGACAACACAAGGGAGAAAGCCTTGGAAGCTATTATCTGGGAGGTTGGCAATTATGGGGTGATAACTGGACAACTGCAATATAAAGTGGAATAAGAACCCAGGAGAATAAGAACCCAGGAATAAGAACCCAGGAGAAGAAGACAACTAAGGAGAGGGTGCTCGATGAAAACACAGAAGCCCAGGCCCCTCTCTCACAGGCCCATGCCTGGTTAGCTCTGACACCAGCTGAATAGGAAGCACGGCAAGTTTGAGACTCTCTTGCATAAACCATAAGCCTCAGTGTCAGGGACATGTGCTGTGAGGACACATGAGATGTCAGTCTGTACAGGGCAGATAGGGAACAAGGCATGTTCATCAAACAAGAGCTGCACCTCCCAGCCTTCTGCATGGGGTTTATATACATCTCCCAGAAAGGAAGGAGAGAGCAAAAGTCATGGCCATGAAGGATGCAACTGCTGTTTTCGGGAATAGACAACTCCGAAAAAAGAAACAGCTTCGTGGCCAAAGAGGCTATGAGCAGGCTTCTTAACCAGCAGAAGTTGGCCAGCCTCATCGTGTGGATTATGCTATTTTGGGTTGACTTCACATGCCAAGATGCTATGTGCATGGTCCCATGACATTCATGTTGGAAATTATTGCTGAGATGGTAAGAAGCCAAACCTCAGCAAAAATAGCCATAGGTGCCTCCACTGAGGGGCAATGTCTTCCCTCCCCACAGCATTCTGCTGCTGGCTGGGGCTGCATCCCACTAAAGACCATCACTCTAGGCACTGCCGCGTGGCAACCTGGGCCACTCTTCCTTCTTCCTTTTTTTTTTTTTTTTTTAAGAGTATTGTGGTCAATTTTTCTTTTCTTTTTTTCTTTTTTTGAGACAGGGCCTCACTATGTTGCCCAGGCTGGTCTCAAACTAGCCTCAAACGATAGTGAGATCATAGTGAGGATGAAGCGATCCTCCTGCCAGGAGTAGCTGGGACTACAGGTGCGTGCCACTGCACTCAGCTAAGATCATTTTTAAAATACAAGGTATGACAGTGAAGTCTGAGGAAATTCCTTTGAATAGATGGACAGGCAGAGAAAACGCTTCTAAATCTAGGAAAAGTTTACGAAGTCGGCTGGGGATTCACCAATTGCCAAACCATGAGGCTGCATCGCTGTTTCTGGTTATGTTTCCAAGGTAAGCATCTCTGTAGGGACACTGAGAGGTGACCAGGGGATCATTTCCCCCAGGGACAACTGCCCCACTGAGCCACCTTGACCAGACCCCCTCGAGGGAACAAGGTTGACACCTCCCAAAGACAGTTCTTTACCTTCTCTGGACAACTGACTGACCACGTTGGCCTGTATCTCAGAACCTTCTACAATTTAGATTTACACTGAACCACTGAGGATAGCAAACAGAACCCAGGATTCAGACAGACCCTCTAATGACTGTGGGCCTAAGGCTGAAGTCTTCAAACCTGCACTCACCACTCATGGATGCTACTCCCAGGAACTTTTCCTTAACATCTTTCCTGTTGGCATCTTGTTTCATGTAAAATAGAAGTAAAGTCTGAGATCAAGGGGGTAGTTTGAGTAAAAAAACTGCAGTATTTTAATTTTAGTTGGATAACCACAGAATGTGCTATGCAACCTATAATTTGCCATTAAAAGGAGAATATGGGGCTGAATCACATTTTCTTTAAATATTACATCCCTCGGTGCCCAAAAAGAGTGTTCATTTTAGAGTTAGACTGGGCAAAATAAACACTGGGTCACAAGTGATAGCTTTGGTTAGAAATGTCTTTAGAACAGGCCAGCATGCATGTTGTCAAATGGCAATGCATGGCCTCTTCCCAGGGTCATGTGGGGCCAGTCACAAGGAAGCTGAATTATTCCCAATTGTCCACACAGGCCTGGTGGCAGGAGGTGAGGGGGAAGGCACGATACTCACAGGAACTTTCCATTTGTCTTTGATCCTATCAGGACAATTTGCTCAGATTCTTCCCGAGAGATTTTTCCATGGAACCAAGGCATTTTTTCATGGGCTGTGGTAGCGATCAGCTTCTCCAGCTGAGGCTTCTGACTGATGATGGCCTGCTCCAGAGCCTGACCCTGCCACATGGAGAGCAAAGCAGAGTAAACCATACCGAGGAAAAATGAAAATGATGCAGAAGGCATTTCCAATCTATCTCGAGTCCTGGCATGGTAAAACAGGATCAAAACTTATTCACTCATTCATTCAGTAAATAAAACCAGAAAGACCTTTACACATTACTTAAGTACTTTCAAGTGTATAAATAAAAATAACATGGCCGGGCACGGTGGCTCACGCTTATAATCCCAGTATTTTGGGAGGCCAAGGAGGATGGTTCACTTGAGGTCAGGAGTTCGAGACCAGCCTGGCCAGCATGGTGAAACCCCATCTCTACTAAAAATACAAAAATTAGCCAGGTGTGGTGGCACATGCCTGTAATCCCAGCTACTTGGGAGGCTGAGGCAGTAGAATCGCTTGAACCTTGGAGCCAGAGGTTGCATTGAGCTGAGATCATGCCACTGCACTCCAGCCTGGGTGACAGAGCAAGACTCTGTCTCAAAAAAATAAAAAATAAAAAAATAAACACACATATCCTTTGCTGTGGCAATCCCAACCCTTTCAAAGTTTATCCTGCAGACGTTGCATACAAGTGTAGTATACGATAGGTCTAGAGCAATGTTGTTAGCAGCGTTTATTCATAAACAGCAAATGTGTCCATCAATAGGTACTAGTTAAATAAATTGTGGTGCATAGCAGGTGATACCAGATAGCCAAAGAACGGGTGATGCAACTATATGAGTGTTGACACAGAAAGTTCTGCAAGAGATATTAGGAAGCCATAAAATCAAGTGCCTATCAGTGTGTATGGTAGGACCTTGTCAGATAAACAGAAACCAATCAACACCTATCAATGCCTCTCTGAAAAGGCCCTCCTTGCACTGGGTAACAGTGGTTCCCTGCTGTGGAGAAACCCACACTGCTGGCACAAAGGGACCCACCCTCTCAGCTGTGGCTGTGAAAGAGGAAAGGCTCTTATCAGAGAGAGGCATTTTTTGGCCAAAATTGATGCTTAAGGAGATGGTTGTGTTATTTGGGCACACAGGGCACATAGGCACATGTGTTGCATGTAGCCAGGAAGTCTGTGTGGGGTCACAGGGCCCCCTGGGCCCAGGGAGCAGGACCAGCTGTGGCCCACCTGCAGGTTCCATGTCTGCTTCACATATTCCCTGATGAGGTTTTCCTTCAAATCCTCAAAGGGCCCAGTCTTGGGCTGCACCCCTTGGGGCCGGTTGAAGGGCTTCTTGAGGAGGCAGACCAGGCCATCAGACTCCTGGGAGTGGTAGTGGCAGAGGTCGGCGGGGCTGGCATGGGTCCTGCCACCGGCGATGGCGTAGGTGCCATTCAGCTCCCGCTCGATGGTGTAGTGGTGTGCCTTCCTCCCGTGGGCCACGGACAGGGCGAAGCCACCCAGGTAGTTGCGGCTCTGGCGCAGCAAATAAAGCCCATCACTCATGCCCCCCTGGACCAGGTAATCTTCTGCCTCCTCCCGGGTGATGTTGCCGAAAAAGAAGGGCAGGTGGTTGGCGCTGTCAGCCATGCCGCTGCTGGCCATGCTTCAGGGGCCGGAGGGCACACACCTGCGCAGGTGTCCACCTGGGCAAGACAGAGACAGAGAACTTTGGTGAGGACCCCACGTGGCAGGGAACGTTTGCTAAAACCACTCAAACCCTTTCAAAGTGGAGACAAACCCTCCCATCTCTGAACAAAGGCACTTCCCTCTTTGGCCCTCCCAACACACAGTTGTCTTTCTGTTCACATCATCATTACAGTTTTCAGCATGCCTTCTAACTAAGCTAAAATCAGAGCATTTGATGGAAGTGACCAAATTAAATAATTCTTTTTTGGGGGGAGTGGGGAAAGACAAAGAATTCTAAAAATAAACATACCGCAAAGAGAAGCAAACAGAAGGGCTATTGCAAAACAGGACTCTTGGGCTGACCCTCAGGGTCCCAGCAGCATACAGGAGGCAGAATCTACATGAGAACAAACCAACTGCTCCTCCTGAGTCCAGACAATGTTAGAGAAGCCTTGCTCCTCATCACAGTGATATTACCAAGGAGGACGCTACCACCACCTCACCCACCTGAGCTGCGAGACGCTGCCTCGAGCAGTCAGTCACACGCTGGTGCTGAGCCCCAGAGGTGAAGTGAGGCCACGTTGAGGGCCCACACGGAACTGTGACTTGTGGTCACCATAAGGCCTTCCCACCTCCAGCCCGGGGCTATGATAGCAACAAGCCACTGCCTGAGACATGAAGAGTGACACCCTCCCTGGCTCCCGAGGCCTGGGGCCCATAGGCTGTCTTCTCCCCGCTTCTCCAGACCACTTCCTGGGCAACGCCACTTCCCATCTGCAGGGCCCGTGCTAAAGAGATAGTGCCGGTTCCCAGCCCACGAGGACATCTGACACAGGAGAGACACTGCTTGCAGTAAATAAATACATTTCAGAAGCAAAAAGAAAGGCGGCCAATGCATATTTAACATGGAGAGTATTCCCTCTCAATCATGGTTGTAAACTAGAAGGATACATATTGCCAGCCCCAAAAGTATCCAAGGAGGCACATTTTAACCAAAAGGGGCTGGTCGTGAATGGAAAATTATCTACATGACTCCATCCATTTATCCAGGGAGCAAAGCGCATGTCCCTCATGGTACACACACACACACACACACACACACACACACACACACACTCTCTCCATACCACATGCACACTACATGCATGCCACACACACTATGAACACATGCCACACCTGCACTACACACACACCATGTACTACATGCACACTATGCACATCACACACACCAAACACACAAACTACATACATACCACACACACGAAACACACTACACACATCACATGCTACACTACATACATGCTACACACACAAAACAGACATGAAACACACCACTGCATGCACACAACACACATCACACACACTACCCCACACACATACACATACACACAAACTACATACACACCACACACATGAAACACACCGCACACACCAAATTCTACGTTACATACACACAAAACACACATGAAACACACCACATGACTACATGCGCACTACACACATCACATACGGTACACCACACACCACACACATCACATACACTACACCACACACACACACTCCATACCACATGGACACTACATGCATGCCACACACACTACGAACACATGCCACAGCTGCACTACACACACACCATGCACTACACGCACACTATGCACATCACACACACACCACACACACAAACTACATACACACCACACACACAACACACTACAAACAACACACACTGCACACACAACACAAATTACATACATACCACATACAACACACTACACACACTACACACACCATGTACTACATGGACACTACACACATCACACACACCAACTACACGTACACCACACACACAACACACTACACATATCACACACTGCACACACAACACACAAAAACTACATACACTCCACATACAACACACTACACACACCACACACACTACACACACCATGTACTACACGGACACTACCCACATCACACACACCACAGACTACATACACACTACACACACAACACACATAACACACTGCACACACAACACACAAACTACATACACACCACATACAACACACTACACACATAACACACTACACACACCATGTACTACACACATCACATACACCACACACACAAAATACATACACACCACACACAGTACACACTACACACATCACACATACTACACACATATCACACACAAACTACATACACACCACACACCATACTAAACACATGCTACACTACATACACACTACACACACAAAACACACACGAAACACACCACACAACTACATGCACACTACACACATCACACACACTACACCACACACATACACCCCCATACTACATGCCCACTACATGCATGCCACACATATGGACACATACCACACATGCACTAAACGCACACCACACACACACAAACTACATACACACTACACACACAACACACTACACACATCTTACACACACTGCACACGTCATACACAAACTACACACACACTGCACACATACTACACACAGTATACACAAACTACATACACAGTACACACAACACACTACGTGCAGCACACAAACTACATACACATTACACACATAACACAGTACACACCCACACACACTGCAAACACACCACACACACAAACTACATACACACGACACACAACACACTACATGCAACACACATACTACACACTACACATAAAAACACACACAAACCACACCACATCACTACATGCACACTACACACATCACACACACTGCACACACACCACACACAAACTACATACATGCCACACACACACCATAGTACACACAACTAACACTACACTACATACACACTACACACACAAAACACACACATGAAGCACACCACACCACAGATCCTGCACCACGATGATGTGAAGCGGCTTCTTCTCAACATGCACTATCCTACAAGGGGCTATAAAATGTAAGAGCATCAGCCTGACACAGGCGACAGAGTTTTCCCCAGACGGTGTCTATCCACAAGTCAGTACTCCTGGGCGAGCCCCTAATGAGGCATGGGTTTTATTATAATTTGAGGGTATTAATCATCATTTCCTGGCTTGCCTCTCACAGCAGTTGACTATCAATGACTTTTCTTTGTCCAACAAGTTTCTAAAAATTCATCTCTTAGCAAGGTGTTTTTGTTTTTTAAAGTATATCTACATTTACTTTTGAGTCTAAGAATGCTGTTAACAGAAAGACATCTCTGGAAACACAGTGTGCTGATGAGTCTCTTGGAAGAAATACTTCTCTTTGGACTGCTTTCCCCTTTCTACAGTTTTTTTTTTTTTTTTTTTTTTAGAAGAGACGGGGTTTCACCGCATTAGCCAGGATGGTCGCGATCTCCTGACCTCATGATCTGCCCGCCTTGGCCGGGCGCGGTGGCTCACGCCTGCATTCTACAATGCTTTTGTTGCAGGCCAGCCACTGCCCCCAGCCTGCTTTTCCCCCACTCCACCCTTTTCCTGCAGTGGGTCTTCTCGGGCCTCCAACCTCATTTCCATTGTTTCCCCTGCAGCCCAGCACGTCTCATACTTCCACGTGGCCTGGGGGCTCTGACACACCCAGGGCCTGAGACGCTGCTGCTCCTGCAATCCTGGTGATGCGGATGCTGGGTTCTGATGCCACCTGAGACCAGGTTCTCCATCTTCTCTGCCTTCCCTGCCCAGGCGGTGTCCCAGCCAGGAACCCAGGAGTCCTCCGCAGGACTTGCGTTCTCTAAGGTTCGTTTTCCAGGCGCCCTTGGTGCATGTTCCTTACTGCCCATATCCATGACCACTGCTTGGCGTAACCCTGTCCTTTCCACTGCTGCCCTTCACTCCTCACCTTCTGCCCTCCTGCTTCCTGACGCCTCCCTCTCCAGCTGCCCGGTCCTCCCTCAAAGCGCACATCAGCCCTTCCTGCCTATTCCAACATGCCCAGTCCACAGACCACACTGGACTGCACCGGGATGCTGTGGCTTTCCCTTCTTGTTCTCACCACGTGTGCTTTCTGCTGAGGCGTGCAGCTCTTCCTCCCAGCCATCTCAGTCATCCTTACAGACCCAGCTCAAATACCCCTGTCACTGTGTACCTGGCCCCGATGCTTGTGTCCCCTCTGCAGGGCCCAGGTTACTTTTTATGTAGTTGCAGAACAGCAGACTGCACCATCAGCTCAAACTGAGACAGTAACTTTGTAGGAACAAAATTTTAAATAAAATGAGAGCAAATACTTTTTAATTCATATAAATCTTAACATAGCTACTATTTTAAAAATTCATTGGCTTGTCACTAATCATTACATCGGTGCTGGCACTTGGGCATGAATCCCATATTGAAGTGAATGGAAAGGAAGTGAGACAGGCTGTGGTCGGGTCTTGGGGAGCATCTGCAGACCCGGAGCAACCTCCAGGCACACGCCAGGGACACTCTGTGTGGCTTTGATGGTGCATTGCAGATATGTTCGCAAGCAGGTGGCAGAAGAATGTGCTGCACTCAGTGTCAGCACCGATGTGGCTGATGGCCCTTTTCTGGCCATGTGACTTCCTGTGCCGGAGTTGACCTGGGTATGTTGGTGGTGATGGTTTGGGCAGAATCACTGGTTCACTGCAAGGACAGCTTATGGCACATTTTTGGGCTACTTAATTGGGGGAATAAACAATGTCCATGGTGTTCCTGTGCATACCTTCTCAGGACTGGCACCCACCGGCACCCACCCGGGGCCTTGTCCTGGTCTCCAACCTCCTCTTTCTCAGGCCACCTTGGCAGGAAATGGCCATCTCCATTCCAGTCACTGCCCACAGTGGCCCAGGCTGCTGTTCTCAGCTCCACTTTTCAGATATCAGCTTTCAGTCAGTATGGCAAATCCAGAGAGTCTCACTTTTCACCCAGCGTAGTCTTGGCCACGGCTGTGGCATCTCTGCCACCCCCACCAACTGAGACAGGGACGGAGCCCGTGACTTTCCCCTGCAGGCATTCCTCCTGCACACACAGACTCAGTCCTTCCCGCCTGATGCTTTTGCCAACTCACAATGCTTAACTCTGACTACAGGAACAGCTCATGGCTCAAATTCTCTTTAGCATTCCCAGGGATCATTTTCTTCCAAATAGTGTTTAGAACTTGCTCCCTATTTTTTCTTAATTCAACATTCCCAGTTATTTTTTTCCATGTGTGACACTACTTCATTCCAAAGCACGAAACTGAGAAACAAACCAGGCCACTTAGCTCCTCCTTAACTCCACCTGTACCCCTCAGCCTGCTGGGTCTGGCACCTCAGTGAACACCTGGGCAGGTAGTGGTTCAGCAAGGAGGGTTTTCAGGTGTCTGGTGAGCTCCTGAAAACACTGCAAATCCCTTGCTCTTTTGAGACCTTTTTTGTGACACAAGTTAAATGTGCACTTAGTTGTAGAAAAATGTTTTTTGACATGAAATAATCTTCTGTAATGTCCTGGGCCGCATACCTCCCTTCCCTGCCTAATTTTTCTCTGCAGCACATCTCCATAAGGCAGCAGCCCTTTAAATCATGATTCACTGTTGAATTTGAGTATTGTCTTGTTCTTCCCACCAGAGGGCCAGCTCTGGGAGGTGAGAATAGGATGACCTTGTTCACTGCCATATCACCATGCCTGGAACAGCTCCTAGTGCAGAATAAGTCATCAAAAATATTTGTTGGTTAATGGGTATTTATTTCTCTCCACTGAGCTCCTGATCTGCATGTCTGCTTATCTGACGTCCCCCCTTGGATGTGTAACAGACAAGTTGACCTCCACATACTCCAGATGAGGCTTTTGACTCCTCCTGCCACTCCCTCAGCAAATCTCTTCCTCCCTCAGTCTCTCCTAATTGAGGAAATGACATTGAGCACCACAGTTGCTGAGGATGAGACCCTGGCTGCTTTCAGGAGTCTTCCCTCTCACCAAGTCAGAAAGGAATGTGCTTTCTACCAGAAGCATTGGCCACTCACAGTGATGCAGGGAAGCCATGAGCTTGTGCAGGAGCTGAGCTCCATCTGATGCAGTCACAGGGATGGAGAATCTTGAAGCAGGTTAGATGAGCTGGTCTCCAGGTCCTCTGAGTAGCTTTTCTTTAAAATATATTCCCAAGCCATCATGTCTCCCCATAGCTCCTGAGGCTGCCCTCGTGGAAGCCACCGCCATCTCTCAGGTATTGGAAGTCTCACCTGGTCCTTCCTTTCCTTACTGACAATTCCCTACCCTGAAGGTGGAGTGAGGCTCACAAGGAACCTCTCCATCCACATCACATCGCAAATCTTCATTGCTCCTCCACAAGGCTCTCCTTGACCAGGCCCGAGACCTGCAACCTCACCTTGCTCACTATCTCCACCACACTGTGCTTCTGCCTCCAGGTTGAGGCCTCTCCTGCCTCCTGCTTGGCTTCCTCCTTCTCAGGCCTTTACTCAGAGAGTTGCATCATGATGATCCAGTCTCAGGTGCTGCTTCGGCCTACCTTGGCCACCCCCGCACATAGTTAACTTCTCAAAAGCATCTATTACCTTTGTAGCATCAACACAAACCTGCCCTTTCCCTAAAATGTGAGCCCCAAAGGTCTGGAGATTTCACTGCCTTGCTCAGGCTTCAGGGTTTAACCAGAGGCTGGCAAAATCCTGCTTGATGGAAACATGTTGCTCTTTGCTTTTTAGGATTTCCACAGTGAATATACAACTGACCCTTGAACAATGTGGGGATGCTGACCACCCACCCTGTAGTAAAAATTCATGTGTAACTTTTGACTCCCCCAAAACTTAACTAATAGTCTACTGTTGACCAGAAGGCTTACCTATAACATAAATAACTGATTAACACATATTTTGCATGTTATATGTATCATATACTATATTCTTATAGTGAGGTAAGCTAGAGAAGAAAATGTCATTAAGAAAATCATAAGGAATAGAATATATGTTTACAATACTGTACTGTATTTATCAATACCATAAATTTACTGTCATCTGTTTACAAGATGACTCATCCATCTGAAATGGCAGGCAACCATGGCTACAGTCCTCCATCTACAATCCTCATCAAGCAATTCAGCTTTTTCTTATAATGTCATGACTTCTTGGGAGCACTTCCAGCCTCACTGTGACCCTTCACATGGGACCCATGGTGTTATTCAGGTTGTACGGTATTGCACTAAACATTATGAAAAATACTTGAGAACTGCAAGAGATCACTTATTAAAGATCACTTTTTACTGCAATATGCAATTTACTGGAGAGATGAACTGCTCACACAGAGATGATGAGCATCACACAGTGATTTAGGCAGGTACTTGCAACTCTCGAGCTCATCACAATAGCAACAGGAAGTGGCTATGAAATTATTACAGCAGTACAGTGTGTACTGCAGTTAATTTTATGCAATTATGATTTAATACTGCATCTTTATATTTATTTACATTTTCCTCGACTGTGAATGGCATATAAGTATTTATGTGTAAGTTTTGATAAATTTTAATTTTAATAATAGAGTTGTACACATTTTATGGTAGTAAATGAAAAAATAGACTACATATATTTTGTGCATTCAATATACACTTAACTTTTTCTTAACTTTTTTTTTTTTTTTTTGAGATGAAGTCTCGCTCTGTTGCCCAGGCTGGAGTGCAGTGGCACAATCTCGGCTCACTGCAAGCTCCGCCTCCCCAGTTCACGCTGTTCTCCTGCCTCAGCCTCCCAAGTAGCTGGGATTACAGGTGCCCACCACCACGCCTGGCTAACTTTTGTATGTTTAGTAGAGACGGGGTTTCACCTTGTTAGCCAGGATGATCTCGATCTCCTGACCTCGTGATCTGCCCTCCTCAGCCTCCCAAAGTGCTGGGATTAGAGGCGTGAGCCACAGCGCCCGGCCAACATTTTTTATATTTCTGGGCTATGGAGTTCATCTGCAAGTTTTTAAAATTGTCAAAAACCTTCAAAACTTTTTTCCAATATTTTTGTTGAAAAAAAATCCGCATATAAGTGAACCCACATGGTTCAAACCTGTAACGTTCAAGGGTCAAAATTGTATGTTGCTTTTGTAATAAAAATGCTAAACATGCAATTGCTGTGTGTCCAGATGGAGGCTAACAGGGCCAGAATCAGAGAACCCTGGCAACTAATCTGCGAGATGCTCCAGCCCTGTGGCTGCTTCAGATGGAGCTTGGTTCCTACATAAGCTCCTGGCCTCTTAAGGGAAGGGAACTCACTCCAATGTGTGCCGATGCTTCTGTTGGAAAACACTTTCTTATCTGATTCCCCATCTCTCCTTCCCCATCTCTCCTCCTCCATTTCCCGTCTTCCAACTGTGCACAGGACAAAGAGAACACAGCCAGTTCTGCTTCCCCAAAACAACCTGCAAATGCTTGCTCTTGGCAGCCACTCCAAGTCAATGCATTCTTCCTGCCTTGACATTATTTCAAGACCTCTCACTCATTTTGTCCAAACAATTTCATATCACCCAAGCTCCTCTTAAAAGTGCACCGGCCCCAGTGACGCTGCCAAGATTTCCTGGGCCCGTGTCCAGCTGTCCATGAATGCAGCTATGGGTGGCCCCATCCATCCAACATCTCCGCTGGGCTTCTGGAGAATGAACAGCTTCCCTTTTCAAAAGCATGTGGTCAAAACACATCCCCCACACTCAATTTACAAATTAAGATGGTTGCCTTTACCCTGTTCCCCCTCCTTATGATGGTCCCACCCATTTCCATCTGGCACCATTCATCACATTAGCTCGGGGTTACTCAACCTTGGCACTCTTGACATTTGGGCTGGATCCTTCTCTGTTATGTGTGTAGGGTCGGGGGCTGTCTCATCTAGTACAGACTATTGAGCAGCATCCCTGGCCTCTCCCCACTAGATGCCAGTAGCACCCCATTCCCCAATCATGACAGCCAAACATCGTCTCCAGATATTGCCAAGTGTTCCCTAAGGGTAACTTACCCCTGACTGGAAACCACTGTGTCAGCTGTTGTGGACACAAATCTGATGTGCCCATTTTATTGCTCTAGCCCAGGGGTGTCCAATCTTTTGGCTTCCCTGGGCCACACTGATAAAAGAAGGATTGTCTTGGGCCACATATAAAATATACTAATACTAATGATAGCTGATGAACTACAGAAAAGAAGGGAAAGAAATCTCATAATGTTCTAAGAAAGCTTACAAATTTTAGTTGGGCCACATTCATAGCTATCCTGGACCACATGTGGCCTATGGGTCATGGGTTGGATAAGCTTGTTCTAGCCTTTTTACCAATAAATTAGATGAACAAATATTCCCCTATTTAATTTGTTAACATCATTGCCAATGAACAAAAGACAAGGCTGGAAAGGAATGGTACCCCGTGGAGGTGGTTCCACTGGGCCAGAGAGCAGGAAACCCAGGGACACAGAGGTGAGAATCGGGAACGCTGGCGACCCGGCCCAGCTTTGTGTGACCTGGGCACTATAGCAATAGAGTTCTTCACTGGTGAAAGGGGATGACAGTATACCAAAGCCACTGTAACTAATTTCAGTCATGAGTGGGGAGTGTGGAGGGGTGCCCAGGGCAACTGGACCCTCTCAAGTGGGAACTTTGAATAGAAGAGGGAAGGATAAGTCATGGTGAGATGAAGGAAAAAGCACGGGCAGCCAGACCCACACTTCATAAGAAGGCATGCATGTGTGTGCATGTGTGTGCACACATGTGTGTGCATGAGGCTGGGAGACAGACGGACATGCCCACCCCCACCTGAAGATGGTGGAAAGTCAGTGAGGGCTTGGACTGAACCAAAGACAATGCTTCCTTACCTCAAAATCCTCCCTAGTGCCAGTCAGGCTTCACCTTGCACGTGATACACCATGAGGAGTTAAATCTAGAACGGAGTCAGATTTATTCTACAGGCTTTGATTCTTTCTGCCCCACACCAAAGAAGCCCTGCCAGCCACCCTCCTGGAGCCTGCAGAAATGGATGAGCCCATCATATCCCACTAGCATCCTCATGTCTTCCATGTGTTTTATTTAAATTATACTGTATCCTTTTGCACTTACTGGCATGTTTCAATCTTCTCTTCCAACTAGACTTCCATAGTCCATTTCCCCTATGCCAGGACTAAAGCTGACTATACAACCTTTGCCCTTTAAAATGCATTTAGTTGGGAAACTATCATTTGTGTAGTTCTACCTTATCAGGCAGCAACTTTATAGATGAAGAGCAATAGATCCATGCTTGCCACCATAAGTACAATGTTTCAGATACCCTTTCAGCTAATTAAGAAATGATGTTTCTAGGGCAGTCTGACTGGAAGATTAGGCACAGATGCTCACACCTGAGCAAGCAGCTGAACAAGCTGTCCAGAGCCCATTCTTCTGGCAGGGGAAAATTTCATCCCCTACAGAGGAACAGCCAGCATGAATGCCAACATGATGAAGGGGGGCTGAGCTCTATAGGCCCACCTGACACTAACACTCCCAGCTCCCTGTCCCACCTTAGAGTTTTAGTTCTGTTTTTTTGTCTATATTCCCCAAAGCCACTAGAATAGACACTCCATTAGTGTAAGTACGTTTACATTTTGTTCTCTACTGCCTGGAACAGAGGCTACTTTAAGTATGGGTCTTCAGTCTTCAAATTTTGTTTGAGAGTTAAAATGTATACATGGCAGGCAGCCTCCAAGATGGTGCCCAGTGATCCTCACTTCCTGGTACTCCCATCCCTTGCACACAGAGTGGCTGACTGCAGAGTGACAATGTTGGGTCTCTGAAGCTAGCTCATGAAAGCCCTTAACACTTTTCCTCAGCTTTTGGATTGCTCACTCTGGGGAAACCAGATGCCTCATTGGAAAGATGCTCAAGTAGCTCTTTGGGGAGGCTCATGTGGTAAGGAACTGAGGCCTCTAGCCAATAGCCAGCAGTAAGTGACCAGCCGTATGAGCAGCCACCTTGGAATAGTATCTTCCAGCCTCTATCAAGCCTTCAGATGAGACTGTAGCCCTGGCCCACACCTGACTACAACCCTACAGAGGGCCTGAGCCTACCCAGCTATCTCAAATGCTTGGCCCACAGAAATTATGAGCAATAATAAGTAATTATTGTTGTTTTAAACCACTAAGTTTAGAGTGATCTGTTATGTAGCAACAGATAACTGATATAGCATGTGCAATGGAGTTGGGCGAGAGAAGCAACAGTGCTTAATGGATATTTAAGTAAATAAATATTTGAATGAATTGTTGACAAAAAAGGCTGGTGAGTGTATGAGCTAGGTTCTAGGAGCTGGGCTCTGGCAGAATCAGAAGAAGACTTTCTGGTATTGAAGAGGTACGTGGAGCTAAAATAGAGGTTAGGAAGGAAGGAGCTGAGCCCAGTGTGTGCTTCTGGAAGCTGCCTGCCTCACCCTGGCTTCTTTCATGTCCACGTTTACCTGTAGAAAATGGTTAGAGGACTAGCTGCCCAAACCCTGCAAGGGCCACATTATCTGAGCCTGGCACTTAGAGATTATGGGAACCAGGATCAAAGGCAGAGGCCAAAGTTCTGATTAATTTATTATCACTAGTAACATTTTAACTAATAAATCTTCATAGTGTCATTTCTTTCTTTTCTTTCTCCTCTCTCCATTTCATCGATATCATACTTCTGGTTCTGTTCTCTTTCCATCTTATGCATGAAACAAAATACAGTTGCTTCTTGTTATTCACAATAGTTATGCTCTATAAAATCACCATGAAAGCTGAATTTGCAAATCCTGAACAGTTGCTCCTGGGGAAATATGGTGTTAGGTTTTTGTGATCCTCTGGTTACAACTTTTTTGTCAATCAATCAATACAGAACCTTGTTTTATGTGTATTTCTATTTAAAGATATTTATTTCATATATATTGTTGATTCATTAACCTTGAACTCATGGTCAACAGCACAATAACTCATGCCTGAAAGTAGCTTCCCTAACACACGTATTTTCTCTGTAAAGCACATCACAACCTTCTTGCACTTAGAGACACCAGACAGTAAGTACTTTAGCATTGTGTTTGGGGCCATTTTTAAATAGCAAAATCACCCCAGAAAAGCACAAAAATGCAAAAACCATGGACTAAATGGGCCAAGAGAAAAGAAAATGTGTTTATAAGAGCTAAAACAAGAAAGCAGAGTGTCACCTTGTGCGACCTCAACGTATGTGTTGGGTGACTTAAATTTTTCACTGCTTTGTGCACGTCACAAATGACTGCAAAAGTGCTGTGAGTATTGATTTTGGGGTTGCAAACAGATTTAAATGAATAGATGAATGCGGAGATATGGAATCCATGAATCATGAGGACTGATAATAAGTAATTTCCCTTCCGTCTCCCCAACCTTCCCTGAAAAGACCCAACCTCATCCATAAAGATATATAAATTTACCTTGGATGTTTTGGGAAAATAGTTATCTCTATGTAAGACTGTGTTCTTAAATATATTACTCCTATCTCATAAATCTGTGTTCATTTCAGGATTTTCTAGCTTGGCATTGAACCAGAAGAGGTAGCCTATGTCTCTGTATCCCTTTTTATTAACCCATCTGTCCTAGTTATCAAGGGGCCTCAGCCCTGAGATTCCAGGCTTCTGCTTTTCTTGAGACCCACTGAAGCATGGCTCCGGCAGGTGCTGCCTCCTCCCCTCCAGCCCCCTCAACTTCCTGTAGTTCACATTTCCAGCAGTCCTTAGCGATTGAAGGTGTCTCACTTTCACATCCCTGGGCCATTAGAGCCCTCCTATCATACAGAGACAGTGGGGGAAATAAGTGGTTCTCTGGGAAAAGATCACCTGCAAACAATTGTTGCCAAATCCATACCATTTAAGGGAACAAAAATCAGCATAGTGCAGAAAGATATCCAGGCTTATCACGCTCAAACCACACAGCCCCCTCAATGCAAAGCAGCCCTGTTAAGATGTGCCTAGGAATTTCCTCTGCAGCTTGAAGCTGAGAAAATTGTCAAGACTTGGGTGAAAGGAAACTTCATCTGTGGGTTAATTTTCATAAGAAAGAGGAGGCCGGGTGTGGTGGCTCACGCTTGTAATCCCAGCACTTTGGGAGGCTGAGGCGGGTGGATCACAAGGTCAGGAGATTGAGACCATCCTGGCTAACAGGGTGAAACCCCGTCTCTACTAAAAATACAAAAAATTAGCCAGGCGTGGTGGTGGGCGCCTGTAGTCCCAGCTACTTGGGAGGCTGAGGCAGGAGAATGGCATGAACCTGGGAGGCGGAGTTTGCAGTGAGCAGAAATCATGCCACTGCACTCCAGCCTGGGCGACAGAGCGAGACTCCATCTCAAAAAAAAAAAAAAAAAAAAAAGAGGAATGAGTCCAACCAGAGGGAGAATTGATCTTGCTGGTTTGGTCAGGGACTGGCTGATTAATTACAGAGAAATGACCAAGGAAGAGGTGATGTGATGGGACCACCCCACCCAGCACCAGGCTCTGCAAACAAGCATGTTTGACTCATCTGCAAAGGGCTGGGGGCACTGCCTTGTGCGGCAGAATCCCACTGTACAAAAGAAAACATGTGGACACAGACCTGTGGCCTCAACACTGAGGAACAGAACCCCAGCTGCAGGGCCTGAGTTGGCCTTGCATCCACTCCACTGGCTTCGTCAGTAGGTATCACTTGCCCTCCACGGCGCCATCCTGAGGCCTGCCTGTGCATCACACTGCACAGGGTGCCTGGTCTCCAAGGCACAGCCTTACATTGTGCACATTCTGCTGAGCGGTTGACTCTCCCATATTTGCAGGCATACATGGGGGACTTCTTAGTATATAGAGATACACAATTCAGAAACACAAAGTGAAGCTAAGGATGGTAGCATGAGGCATGATTTTTACTAATGTTTAGAAATAGAGGGATATTGAAATACTTGAAAACATTATCCAAACCTTCAACACCAAATTCTCTTGCTGTGCCTTCAGAACTTAAAAGATTGAAAGTGCATCAAGTAAAGGCTGATCTATCTCAACCAACACATAGACATTTTCAAGCTCTGCAAAAGACACTCAGAAATCTCTTCTCTATGCCCACCTTGCCATAATTAACACAGAAAACAGATATTACGCTTTGGTGTTAACATTATGTTAATATAAATGTTAACTGTGTAGTTATAAATAAACAACCAGCCCATCTGGTGCATTTAATTTACAATCTAACTGATTGATTCATTCAATATGCTTGTTGAGCATCTATCACGTGCAAGTCATTATGTCAGGCACCATGTGAGAGAAAAATGAACCTCCTGCCTCCCTGACAACAGGTAGGCAGAAATGGCTCACGAAAGTAAGAGAATAAGGATCTGGTCCGAGAGTTCCACTTTCATCCTGGGGACTGCGTGATTTCCAGGTTCTCTACTATCCTCACGTCTTCTTGCCTCTAAGTGGGACTGGCCAAAGCCACCTGCAGATTCTAGTTCTTGGCAGGACTCTGGCTCATGAAAGCTCACATGTCCGGTTCTTCCTGAGTGTGGTCTTCAGGGCACCCCACCCTCAGGCTCCCTTCTGGAAAGCAGGGTTCTGGGCCCACCTCAGACCCAGCAAATAGGGCATACGGACAAGAAGGGTAAATTTTAAACAGCTTCCTAGGTGATTTTTTTTTTTTTTTGAGACGGAGTCTTATTCTGTCACCCCAGCTGGAGTGCAATGGCACGATCTCCACTCACTGCAACGTCTGCCTCCTGGGTTCAAGCAATTCTCCTGCCTCAGCCTCCTGAGTAGCTGGGACTACAGCGCACACCACCACACCCAGCTAATTTTTTGTATTTTTAGTAGAGACAGGGTTTCACTATGTTGGCCAGGCTGGTGTCAAACTCCTGACCTCATGATCCGCCCACCTCGGCATCCCAAAGTGTTGGGATTACAGGCGTGAGCCTCTGCGCCTGGCCTGCTTCCCAGGTGATTTTTAAGCACTCTAATGTCTGAGAACCTCTGCTATAATCTAATATTGCCCTATTCAAGTGCTACAGTGTGACAGGGAGGCAAGTTGACCACGTTCAGTGTGAGCGAAAGCAAGTTGCCACTTGCCACGGGTGGGGAAGGGAGCCAGGGAGGACAGTCAAGTCACCGTGCTGTGCTGGTGACCGGGCCAGGCTGCAGGCTCAACCTGGGAGACATCTCTGCAGTTCTTCTCCACCAGGAAGAAGTACATGCCTCATCATACAGGTGTGCTCAGAGAAGGGGGAAGGGACGCACACGCAACGCACACACAATTGGTAATTAAAAAGAGAGCTAGCTTTTGTGAATAATTAACAGAACACTGGGTTGCAACCAAAATTGCCACTTAGCAATGTCCCTTGCATGCTCTTTTGAGCAGAAGAGGACAGGGTGGGGTTGCAGCCAGCGGTGTGGGGCGCATATTGACCCTGAGTGGGGCCAAGGATGTCTCCCCAGTGAACTGCACCATCTACCATGTCCCAGGGCCACCTCATCACTCACTCTTCTCTGGGGAAAAACACAAACAACCAACAAGATGCTAGAAAAAAGAACTCACGTTGAATATGCCTGATAGATCTTACTATATTGCTTTTATCTGGGCAAACCACATATGGATGATGAGAAGGGCAGCGCAGTTGCAGGCTTTCCTTGATCCTGCCCTGGTACCCATCCCAAGATCCTTTCCTACTCAGCTGTGAAGGCCTGGGCGGGGCGGGGGGGGGGGCGGGGGTGAGGCCACAGCAGACTGCAATGACAACAGCCGGCAGACCTAACATCTCTTGTCTGTGCCTTAGTGCCTTGCTGAAGTTTCCCGCTTTCAGGCTCTATTTTACTTTTCCATCACTACCTTATGAGCATAATCTTTATGGGGATCCTGCAGCTGCTAGAGAAACCAAAACACCTGACTTAAGCAAAAAGGACACAGTAAATGTGGATTAAGAAATATCTAGAGTTTTACTGAATGTCTATTTAAAAAAAATCGCTAGCATTCTTTTTCCTAGCCAGTTAAAAAATAATTGTGGGTGACTCAGGACTGCAAGATATTACAGGAGCTTATGATGGTCTCCTGAGATTTTATAATTGTCTTTCATAAACCTGAGACATAAATATACTCAATGCTTAAAGCAAAGTGGCATAGGTTATAGGAAGGAGAGAAGGATGCTTTAGCTGCATCATAACTGCAGGCAAGACAAGATGGCAAACCGCTAAACCTTCCAGCTCAAGATGGACATGTGCTCAGTGGAAGAATGTTAGCGGCAGAGGAGAGGAAACGCAGATGCAGGCATGAAACCTAAGTATCCCTCCTACAGACACCCACAGATGCGCAGAGCCTGAGGTTAGGGTTTCTAAATATGCTTGATTCCCACAAATTTGACCTACCTCCCTTTCCTGGATTCAAACGCAGATCTGGAATCCCAGGCGCTGGGCAGTATAGAATGTGGGAAGGGAAGAAGCACACAAATCTGAGAGGAGTATCTTAAAAGGAAAACAGCTGAAACAGAGAGAAAGCACAAGACAGGCATCAACAAGCCAGAGTGCTTCCTGCTGCTGGACGATGTCTGTAATTAGGGAAATGGGCTTTTCCTCAAAGTGTCAGCATGCAAAACAAACCAGAAAGCAGAAGTGTGAGATCCCCAGCAGCACGGGGCCTCTTTTAATTGCACATTCAAAATGAAGTAATGCTCTGAGACATGGATCCCTCCAGAACACACACCAGTTGAGGAGGGAGTCAGTGGACAGGGCTGTGCCATTTAGTGCTTAGCCAGCCTGGAAATGCCCTTTCCCAAGTGTTTTTACCAAAAATGAACTTGGTCTTGAATTGCTGGAATGGGTATAGCGAGGTTTTCCTGATTGTTTTATGTTTTTTTAAAAAGTCCTACATCATAACATGTATCAAATTCAACCAGAAGATTGAACCAAATAGGAAGAGCATCCTTGAAAAGATCTTAATGGAGACCTCAAGATGCTAATTGCCAGCCAGGAGACTGAAAAAGTCAAGCAGAGATGGTCTTAATGGCGGAAAGGCCAATGTGTAGGGCAGAGGAAAGAAGGGTGCCAGCTCTCTCTGTCCCTGTTCCCAGGCCTCCTGGTCAGACAGCTGCTCATGGTGCTAGCAACAGATGCAACTTTACAGAGCACCTCTGACCAGCTCCCTCAGGGTACTTTTCAAGCATCTACTAACATTCCCTTACTCTGTGAAGCAAGCAGCTTTTTAATTTCCCACTGCAGTCTGTGACATCCTCCACACTCAAGAAGGGCCAGAAGCTCAGCCAGGGCCCACTCCACAAAAGGCCGTGAAACATCCCTGGAAACGCAAGATAAAAAGGAACCCTCTCCAGAGCTGTAGAAGCTGGAAGGAGTCATGTTGATGAGTTTACTGGGGTGGGGTTAGGAGCCTCGCGAGGGAAGTGTTCAGAAACACAACAGTAGGCAATCTGCACCTGCACCCCAAACTTGTGAAAATGACAGCTTCATGAAAAACAAGTTCTCATTTTATAGAAGATAAACTTCAGCCACAGAAGAGGTTGGCTGTACATCTTTAGTGCTGGCCAGAATGGCCATGATGATGAAGGTGATGAGGATAATGCAAAACAGCTATTCCATGAGTACTTGACTCAAAGGTTATCAACTGATGTGCACAACATCCCTAATGGTAGATACTATTGTTATCCTCAATTCACAGACCTGGTCATCGAGCCTCAGGAGGGTCAACTGGCTTGCTGAAGAACACACAGTATGTGGTGGAGCCAATATTTGAAGCCTGCCTCTTCTCTTAGCTACCATCTTCAGGTGGCAGTGCAAAGGCCCTCATAGTCAACCCATCCAAATGTAAGCTTGGGGCTTTCCTGCCTAACTTGGAGCTCCTTCTTGTTCCCTGGAGCTGGGTTCTCAATGTGCGTCTCTGGACCAGCAATGTCAGCATCACCAGGAAACATGGAGGATATGAAAATTCTTAGGGTTCCACCCTGACCTGCCAAATCAGAAACTCTGGGGTGAAGCTCTAGGTTTTGTATTTTAAAGGCTCAAGTTTGAGAACCTTGGCCCAAGAGCTCCATCCATTTATGAAGATGAAAATCCAAGCTCTCTTAGATCATTCCCTTCTCTACACTGCTGAAAGTCAACCCCTTGCCAATCCCTCCCATCTCACGTCTCAGCCTCCCACACATGCCTACTTGTCTCCAAAACCACATAACATCCTTTTCCTCCACATCTCTTTTGAGTAGCTCTGGCTGTCAGTGCCCCCACCTTGCTCCCTTCCTACATGTTCTAAGCTGTGGCCCTTTTCTCTGCTAAAAATCCTCCACTGTCCAGGCTACCCTTTGAGCTCAGGATAAACATGTCCCTGTCCCCACAGTCAAAACTAACATGCTTTCCTTTTGTACCACTGACCACTGTTTTGACTTAATTTACCTTTACTTTCTAGCATGTGAATTTTTGATGAATGTCTGTTTGTCCCATAAGGGCAGAAATTGTATCTGTTTCTAGTAAGACTTGAAATTGAGTAGTGTGAGTCCTCCAACTTTGTCCTTTTTAGTGGGTATTGTGTTGGGTATTCTAGATCTTTTACCTTCCCAAGTAAAGTTCAGAATCATTTCATCATTAGCTACAAAACAGCTTGCTGGGATTTTGATTGGGATTGGGTTGAATCTACAGATCAAGCTTGGCAGAATGAACATTTTAACAACATTGAGTCTTCCAATGTACGAACATGGACTACTTTTCCATTTACTTACATCTTCTTTGATTCTTCCATCATTATTTTGTAGTTTTCTGCATACAGATCCTGTACATATTTTGTTAGATTTATACCTAAGTATTTTCTTGTGTTTTTTTTTTTTTGTCTTTTTGGTGCTATTATACATGGTAATTATTCTTATTTCAAATTTCAATAGTTAACTACTGGTATATAGGAAAGCAACCGACTTTTGTATATTGATCTAGCATCCTGTAGACTCACTTATTGGTTATTAGAGTTGTTTTATGGATTCTTTGAAGTTCTCCATATGGACATGCATATTATCTGTGAAAAAAGATGTCTTATTTCTTCTTTTCTGATCTGTATAAGTTTTGTTTTGTTTTCTTGCACTAGCTAGGGCTCCCAGTAGGATGTTGAACAGAGTGGTAAGAGAGGACAGTCTTACCTTGTTTTCAGTATCAGAGGGACAGTGTTCAGTCTCTCACCATTAAGTATGATGTTACCTGTAGGTTTTTTTTTTTAATGCTCTTTATCAAGTTACAAAAGTTTTCCTCTATTCCTAGTTTAAGATTTTTTTTTTGACATGAAAGAGTGTTTTGAGTTTGTCAAATGCCCTTTCTGCCTCCATTAACATGGTCATATGATTTTTCTTCTCTAGCCCATTGATGTGATGTATCACATTAATTTATTTTCAAATGTTGAACCTGTTTTGCATACCTGGAATAAATTCCACTTGGCTGTGGTACATAGCTCTTTTCATACGTTGTTGGGTTTGATTTTCTAACATTTTGTTGAGGGTTTTTGTATATATAAGTAATATTGCTTTGTTTTCTTGTAATGCCTTAACTGGTTTTGGTATTACGTGAAATCTGAACTCATAAAATGAATTAGAAACTGTTTCCTCCATTTCTATTTTCTGGAAGAGATTATGGAAAACTGGTATTCTTTCTTTCTTAAGTGTTTGACAGAATTCACTAGTGGACCCATCTGGGCCTGATGATTTCTGTTTTAAAGGTTATATTAATTTAAATTTTAAAGATATAGGGCTATTCAGGCTACCTATTTCTTCTGTAAGTTTTAGTAGTTTGTGTCACTCAAGCATTAGTTTATTTCACCTAAGTTACCACATTTGTGAGTACAGAGTTGTTCATGATCTTCCTTTATCATCTTTTTATATCCATTAGATCAACAGTTATGACCTTTCCTTCATTTCTGATATTGGTAAATTGCATCTTCTACATTTTTTTCTTTTTTTTTTCTTGGTTAAAGGTTTATCAATTTGGTTGATGATTTCAAAGAACCAACATTGGTTTTATTGACTTTTCTCTACTGTTTTCCTGTTTTTAATTTCAATGATTTCTGCTTTCATTTTAATTATTTCTTTTCTTTTGCTTGGTTTAGGCCTAATTTGCTCTTCTTTCTGTAGTTTCTTAAAAGTAGAATCACAAGTAATTTTCTTTATATATTTTTTACCTAATGTGTGCACTTAGTTCTATAAATTTCTCTATAAGCACTGCTTTTGCTACATTCCAAAATTTTTGATAAATTATATTTTTATTTTTATGCACTTCAAAATATTTTTTTAGATTTTGGAGACTTCTTCTTGGAAACATAGGTTATATAGAAGTCTGTTGTTTGATTTCCAGATATTTGGGAAATTTCCCAAAACCTCCATCTTTTTGTTGTTGATATCTAGTTTAATTATACTGTGTTCTGAGAACATAATTGGTATGACGTTTAGTCTTTCAAATGTGTTAACATGTTTTCCAAGAATGTGCTCTATCTTGGTGAATATTCCAAGTGAGCTTGAGAAGAATGTGTATTTTTCTGTTGTTGAATGGAATATTTTATAAATGTCAATTAGATCAAGTTGAGTGACAGTACTGCTTAGGTCATTTTTATCCTATCTATTTGGTCTATCAACTTTTGTGAGAAAGAGATTAAAATCTCTAACTATAAGACAGGATTTGTCTACTTCTCCTTTCAGTCTTACCAGTGTTTGTCTTGCATATTTTGATGCTCTGTTGTTATGCACATACACATTTAGGATTGTTATGTCTTCTTGGATATTCGACCCCTTTACCATTCTGTAACAATTTCCTTGAAGCGCTGACCCCTGTTGACTATGAGTTTTTTGTCCTTTAAGTGATAAAGTGATGAGGGTGCTGGAACTTGAGGAATTCCCTTGGGAATTCCCAGCTGAGACAAGGCTCTTGCAAAGTGTTTTCCCTTGGAGAGTAACCATTGTCATGGAGAAAGCCTAGGGGTATTTTACAGTTATCACTCTTCCCTCCCATGCCAGGGCCATGAGGAGCTCTTTCTCAGATCTTCACAATAAGAACCTAGTGAGGCTTGTATTAATCATGCCTTTCTATTTCTTTTATTTTCTGGTAGCTATGTCTACAGTGTTATTCAAAGAGATGATTAGCTCCAGGTGTGGACCTCAGGGGCCTTGTACCTGAGCTGTGTGGACTGCAAGTAAGACTCCCACTGAAGGCAATGCTTGAAGCTGCTGTGCAGTGAGGCAGAGCTTTCTGTCTGATAGCCTCTGAGTGAGCCTGTGCCCAATATCACCTGGACTCATCCTGTGGGCCTAAATATTGGGACCCAGGAGGACCGCCTGGTGGATGTGCACTATACTAAATCATCACCTATCTCCAGCATCCGCAGGTGCAAGTAAATCTGCCATACAATCGGTCTCTGCTAATGAGAAAGAGACATTATATTTTAGAAATATTGACTATGAAAAATTATTCTTTCATAAGAAAAGTGTGTGATAATTAGCAGATTCTCATTTTGAGAATTCAATGGGCTTGCTACTAAGTTTAAACGAAATATCACATTGATGAGACTGCTTTTAATCCTGAAGGCTGTGATCTGTCTACTTCTGGACTTTTTTTGCAATGCCCTTTTGGTACCAAAACAGTGCCAGTCACATCACAGGAGCCCAAGAAAAATCTGCTGACTTAATTAACTAATATAAAATGTAAGGCAAAGAGACTTTCTCTGTGTTATAAAACAGTTCAACTGTTTCGAAAACATATCTCTTACAAAAACAGTAAAATTTAACTTGCTTTTAAAAATTATTTCCTTGCTTTGTAAAAGAAGTAGAATATAGTTTATTCTCATTATTTCAGGTTATACATTCCACAAAGTCACCCCCAAAACTGAATTAGCAAGTAGTAGCCCATCGCTTCTCAGGGGTTATGTGCCTGAGAGCCTGCCGTCACCATATTTTCATCAACTGATCAATGCATCACTTGTTTTATGTGTTTCTGTGTAAAGGCACCTTATTTCATATCTATTGTTGATGCACTACCATTGGACTCACGGCCGACAGCACTAACTATGACTCATGCCTGACAGAGGCTTCTCTAACCCACATATTTTCCCTGTAAGGCACAGCACAGCCTTCTTACACCTAGGGACACCAGATAGCACTTCAGCTGGGGGTACTCTAAACAGCAAAGTCACCACAATTTGAAAAAAGGAACAAAAATGCAAAAAATACGGCACTAAGTAGACTGGGGAAAAAGACACTTACTTATAATATGAGGTGAAAGGAGGAGTTGGAGCGTCTGGAATATGCATGTGGCTAAAATTTTGTGCCACTCTGTGATATGGTTTGGCTGTGTCCTCACCCAAATCTCAACTTGAATTGTATCTCCCAGAATTCCCACATGTTGTGAGAGGGACCCACGGGGAGGTAATTGAATTACTGGGGCCAGTCTTTCCCATGCTATTCTCATGGTAGTGAATAAGTCTCATGAGATCTAATGGGTTTATCAGGGGTTTCCACTTTTGCTTCTTCCTCATTTTCTCTTGCTGCTGCCATATAAGAAGTGCCTTTCACCTCCCTCCATGATTCTGGGGCCTCCCAGCCATGTGGAACTGTCTCTTTTTCTTCCCAGTCTTAGATATGTCTTTATCAGCAATGTGAAAATAAACAAATACAGTAAATTGGTACCAGAAGAGTGGGGTGTTGCTGAAAAGATACTCCAAAATGTGGAAGTGACTTTGGAACTGGGTAACAGGCAGAGGCTGGAACAGTTTGGAGGGTTCAGAAGAAGACAGGAAAATGTGGGAAAGTTTGGAACCTCCTAGAGACTTGTTGAATGGTTTTGACAAAAATGCTAATAACGATATTAACAATAAGGTCCAGGCTGAGGCAGTCTCAGATGGAGATGAGAAACTTGTTAGGAACTGGAGTAAAGGTGACTCTTGTTATGTTTTAGCAAAGAGATTGGTAGCATTTTGCCCCTGCCCTAGAGATCTGTGAAACTTTGAACTTGAGAGCGATGATTTAGGGTATCTGGCAGAAGAAATTTCTAAGCAGGCAAAGCATTCAAGAGGTGACTTGGGGACTGTTAAAGTCATTCAGTTTTATTAAAAAAAAAAAAAGAGCATAAAAGTTTGGAAAATTTGCAGCCTGACTATGTAATAGAAAAGAAATATCCATTTTCTGGGGAGAAATTCAACTCAGCTGCAGAAATTTGCATAAGTAGCAATGAGCCTAATGTTAATCCCCAAGACCATGGGGAAGATGTCTCCAGGCCATGTCAGAGACCTCCACAGCAGTCCCTCCTATCACAGACCTGGAGGCCCAGGAGGAAAAAGTGGTTTCGTGGCCTGGGCCCAGGGTCCTCATGCAGTGTGCAGCCTAGGGACTTGGTGCCCTGTGTCCCAGCTGCTCCAGCTGTGGCTGAAAGGGGCCACCGTAGAGCTCAGGCTGTGGCTTCAGAGGGTGAAAGCCCCAAGCTTTGGCAGCTTCCACGTGGTGTTGAGCCTGCGAGTGCACAGAAGTCAAGAATTGAGGTTTGGGAACCTCTGCCTAGACTTCAGAAGATGTATGAAAATGCCTGGATGACCAGGCAAAAGTTCGCTGCAGGGGCAGGGCCCTCATGGATAACCTCTGCTAGGACAGCACAGAAGGGAAATGTGGGGTCACAGCTCCCACACAGAGTCCCTACTGGGGCACTGCCTAGTGGAGCCGTGAGTAGAGGGTCACCATCCTACAGACCTCAGAATGGTAGATCCACTGACAGCTTGCACCATGTGCCTGGAAAAGCCACAGACACTCAATGCCAACCTGTGAAAGCAGCCATGAGGGAGGCTGTACACTGCAAAGCCACAGGGATGAAGCTGTCCAAGACCATGGGAACCCATCTCTTGCATCAATGGGACCTGGCTGTGTGACCTGGAGTCAAAGGAGATCATCTTGGAGCTTAAAAATTGACTGCACTGCTGGATTTCAGCTTGCATTGGCCCTGTAACCTCTTTGTTTTGGACAATTTCTCCCAGTTGGAATGGGTGTATTTACCCAATACCTGTACCCCCATTGTATCTAGGAAGTAACTAGCTTGCTTTTGATTTTACAGGCTCAGAGATGGAAGGGACTTGCCTTGTCTCAGATGAAACTTGGACTGTGGACTTTTGGGTTAATGCTGAAATGAGTTAAGACTTTGGGGGACTATTGGGAAGGCATGATTGGTTTTGAAATTTGAGGACATGAGATTTGAAGGGGCCAGGGGTGGGTGATATGATTTGGCTGTGTCCCCACCCAAATCTCAACTTGAATTGTACCTCCCAGAATTCCCACATGTTATGGGAGGGACCCAAGGAAGGGGGGTAATTGAATCATGGGGGCCAGTCTTTTCCATGCTATTCTTGTAATAGTGATTAAGTCTTACAAGATCTCATGGATTTATCAGGGGTTTCCTCTTCTGCTTCTTCCTCATTTTCTCTTGCTGCCACCATGTAAGAAGTGCCTTTCACCTCCTGCCATGATTCTGAGGCCTCCCCAGCCATGTGGAACTGTAATTCCAATTAAACCTCTTTTTCTTCCCAGTCTTGGGCATGTCTTTATCAGCAGTGGGAAAATGAACTAATACACTGTGTGTATGACCTCAAATGGTCTTGAAAGCATCATGGTTATTGATTTGGGGATTACAGATAAATGACTGTGATTGTGAGTAGGCAAATTCACAAATTCAGAAGCCATGAATACTGAGGATCAACCATATATTATCTCACATAAGACTGCTATGGGTGACTCACATTCATTCTTTATCCATTTTGAGTGACTTCTAAGATATTCACCAAGGGCCTCAGTGGTCACAAACAAGCTGGATGGGAAAGTACAAATTACTGTAAAAATCAATACACAGATACTAGTACTTGGAAAATTATAATATCAGTCTCAGCTCCTGATAGCCATATCTCCCTGTATTCATTTGGTTTTCTAACAAAATGTTTCCTGCTACTCTCAAAAACATAGGTTTTATTTACATATACCAAAAATCAGCTGATAGCATGAGAAAAATCTGCCTGGTTTCCTATTAGAGGGGTTGATATTTGCAGTCGCCAACCTGCACAGCTGAGCCAGCATAATTCCTGCAGGGTAGAGAAGGCCATGAAGCCTAAATCAGGGGCACCAGAGGGGCCTGAGCCAGGCCTGCTGCTCACCAGCTAGCCAGCCTTGAGCAGATTACTCTCCACTTCCTCATCCATAAAAGGTTATAGCTTCCACTTTATTGGGACTGTTCTTTTAGGAAAAATAAAGGCATAAATGGTAAAATAACAACATTTATTAATTTGGGTGGTACTGCACTGTTCTGTATTTTATAATTTTTTTCACAAAGAAAAACCCTATGGTTGCTGTCACTAATAAATGAGATTATGCATGAGCAGAGCCTGATGCTGGGCTCCCATGCTTCCTTACGATCTGACCGTAAACAAGTCAAGTGCAGGGAAGCATCTCAGCTGCTGCGACAGCCCCCATACCTCACCCTGCTCCTGACACGTGGGAGGCGCCCCATAACTCAATGTGCTGAACGGATCAAAGCCAACAAAATGGCCTGGTTGACCATCAGAGAGGCTGGTGGAAGCTAAGAGTGCCCCAGGAACTTTTTTGGTCATTCTGAAGTTGTTTCCTGCTTATTTGTTGATTTTTAACCATTGGTTTCAATGCCACATACTCTAAGTCACTCTGTAAGATAAACATCAAAATATCAGATTGCTTGGGTGTTGGCAGAGATACTGCCCCCTCCTCTCTGAAATGACCCTGCAACAAGAACCAGATAAAGAAATAAAATGGAACCAGTGGGCACCCCGATCCTGAGCAATAACATGCCACAAGCGGAGCCCAATGCAGCTATGTTTGCCCTGGGATCATGAAGACCCTTAGTGGGGACTGGCTGCTGTAGACTTCAGACAAGGCCTGCAGAGTGGAAGGATATACACAGCAATGGAAAGCCAACCATTTCTTAGAGTGTTGAAGAGAGGAGACTGAATGGCTGGCAGCCTCACTGGGGAGAAATATGTATTAAACCAATTCATTCTCTCTCTTTCACCCTCTCTCTCTCTCTCTCTCTCTCTCTCACACACACACACACACACACACACACACACACACACAACATTATTGAGAAGGGAGGAAATATTCTGGTAAACTGGAACACATCCAAGGCCCTTCCATGATCTATTTCAAAGATGAGGATCCTACCTTGGATTTGTACAATGATGCTGAAATAATTAAAGAAGAGAAGTAACAGGAGAAACAAATGGCAAAGGACTTTCATGAGAAAAATGTCCCAAAAGGCAGATGAAGGCATGTCCACACACACAGATATGGAATCAAAGAACTTAACAGAATAATCACTTGGTTAAAATAACAGCTCAAAAGGGAGGAAGGGGCCAAAAAACAAAAAACAAAAAACAATGATAAGCCAGCAGAGATCAGGAGAAAAGGCCAGAAAAGAAATGTTGGCTATTATATCAAGCAGGGAAAAATGAATGGATATTAACACTGCAGGCAGCATGGGGGACAGGATCTGTGGAGCTTGAGAAAAATGAAATAGGAATTAACAAAGACTTCAGGAATTCAACAGAAAAATTGAGAAAGACAGGGGTGATCTAAAATATATAAAATTAATGTCCCTGAAATAGAGAATTAAAATAAAGGAGTAAAACACATGTTTAAAGTTATAAAATTTCCAGAAATAAAAAAAGTCTTGTCTACAGGGGTTAAAAGAGCATCTTATCCAGGAACCTCTAGAGCAGGGATGTGCAATCTTTTGGCTTTCCTGGGCCACACTGGAAGAAGAAGAATTGTCTTGAGCCACACATAAAATATACTAACACTAATGATAGCTGATGAGCCAAAAACAAAAAATTGCAAAAAACAAAACAAAACAAAACAAAAAACTCATAATGTTTTAAGAAAGTTTACAAATTTATGTTGAAAAGATATCTGTACTCCCATGCTTCACTGCAGCACTATTCGCAATAGCCAAGATACAAAATCAACTTAAAAGTCCACCAAGGAATAAACGGCTAAGGAAAATGTGGCACACACACAATGGAATACTATTCAGCCATGAAAAAGAAGGAAATCCTATTGTTTGTGATAACATAGAAGAAGCTGGAGAAAGTTATGTAAAGTGAAATAAGTCAAGCACAGAAAAACAAATACCTCATGATCTCACTCATATGTGGAATCTAAAATGATTGAACTCATAGAAACAGAGAACAAAATAGTGGTTACCAGGGGCTGGGGAGTGATGGAATAAGGAGATGACAGTCAAAGACTACAAAGTTGCAGATAGAGAGGAGGATTAATGATAAGCATTTATGATGATGGGTATGTTAATTGGCTTGATTCAACCCTTCCACCTTGTACAGATATAATATCACTGTGTACCCCATAATTATGTAAGATTAAATTTGTCCAAAAAATTTTTAAGTATTACTGGGCCTCAAGCTTCTCCTTGGAAACACAACGAGCCAGAAGACAGAAGAGTTACATCCACACAGTTCTCAGAGGTGGCAGACGTGTCCAACCAGAGGCATATAGTCCAGCTAGACTCAGGGCTGGCAGTGAACGATTTCAGGACTTAGACTAAAATGACTGTGGAAGGTTCTGATGTCTCTGTCGAAAATCAGAAGAACAGAAGCACAGCTATCTGCCTTCTAAACACATGCTTCTCTGTAAGATAAACATCAAAATATCAGATTGCTTGGGACACATCTAGATGTGTCCTAAAACTGCCAATGCCCAGCCCAGTACAGCCCAGTGAAGCAGATTCTAAGGGCAGGCTCCGCTGCCTAGGTGGTTCTCACGATCGCTAAACAGAACAAGCTCCTGCTTCCATTAGTAAGCTCAATTCACAAGCAAAACAAAACAAAACAAAACAAACAAACAAAAAACAATGAAAAGCTCCAGCTGAGAACAGTGGTTCTGCATTTCAGCTGCAGGTTAGGATCACACAGAGTGCTCTTTTCCCAGCCCTAACACTCAGAATCTCTCCCTTGTAAAGCTCTCTAGAGAGCTTAGCATACAGCCAGATAGAGAAGCAGTTGCTCTAGAATTATCTAGAATTATCACCTCTATGTGGAAGGTTCTGGGGTTCAAAACTGATCCAAACAGAGCTGACTGCAGAAGTGAGCAGCAGCGCAGGCTCCCAAACAGAGGGGAACAAGCACAGAGCCGAGCACATTCCCCTTTTCACGTGGGACTATAAAGAAGTCACATGAAAAGCATCATTCAGGAAAACATTTTTAGTGAATGAAAGTGTTAACTCAATGTTTAGACGTATCAATTTTGTTAAGACAATAATTCAGGAAGAAGAATCTTGATCGCGCCTTTTGCAGTAAGTGGAGCCTGAGTGCTGGTGGTGGGGCGAAGCTCCCCTAGGAGGGCAGCACGTGACTGCACTTCCTGGAGTCAGGCTGAATCATGAAAGGAAGTCCTATAATTCACAAACCCTTCAAAACGACTTCTCTTGTGGCCTTTTATCTCTACTCAAATTAAGCAGCACAGGAACTCCAGAGACAGGCCAACCACACATCTCTGCCCCAGCGCCTGGAGTGAGGCAAGGTTGGAGCCGAGGGGCCAGTGGCAGGACCCCACCTCTGCTCACTGGGGTGCCTCAGAAGGCTCCCCTCTCAGCCTGCCTTGATTACTTACAAAATGAGCAAATGGAAGGCATTCCCAGAAACAAACGCCTTATTTCTTGGTCTTGAAGGTACAAGGGCCACTTGCTTGGCATCTTATTTTTTTGTTTTGCCTTCGTGAGAAACACGTTACCTCTCTACATCTTCTTTTCAAAATGGACAAAACCTCAGGTTCCAAATGTTTCAAGGAAACTATGTTGGATTTTTTTTTTTTAACCGAAGAGAAAGGAACAAGCACTAAGGTTTTCTCCAGTCCCTCAAAACCCTCTTGAGCAAAAACCTGGTTTGTTCTTTCAGAAACTATTCTGAACCAAGTGTGCTTACCCCAAGGATACATGACTTAGTAGCTTTCTCCAAGGCTGTGTTACCGCTTGGAGGGCTGCTGCAAGGAAATAACTGGGAACCATGTCAGTTCCCGGGTGACTGAGAAGTAACATTATTTTGTGTGTGTGTGTGTGTGTGTGTGTGTGTGTGCACGTGTGTTGTGTTGTGCAGGAGAATGTTACAGCCTTGGGGATGAAAAGGGCCAGGCCAGGGCCCCATGGACAAGACTCAAGGTCTCATGTCAAAGGAGAGGGCACTCCTGGTGCCCTCATCAGTTCCCAGGGTCAGATCCTCTTAAGAAAATTGGGAGCTGCAGGTATCAACACATGAAATAGTGGCGAGTGTTACCGTGCACTTAGGCAAGGAGTGGCACTGAGAACTGGGAAAGGGGAGAGGTGGGTGGAAGTTCATATCCCTTCTGGGCTCCTCAGGGGATGGGCTGAGAGCAGCTTGGTGTCTGGCAGACCTTGCTACAGCAATGGAAATACCTGTTCTACTCTGCCTGACACACACCTTCCACCCACGTGTGGCAACTGGTCCCTGACACCTGGCCTGTGTGACTGAGAACTGAATTTTAAATTTTAAATGAAATTCAACATTTATTTTAAATGGTTTTAAGTAATTGAGCGGTCAGTGGCCACATGTGGCCAGTGGTTCCATAATGAACAGCCTTAGCAGGGATGACAGAGACCAACATGATGAGCTGCATCTTATAAACACACCGCCAGGACCAGAGTCTGTGTGGTCCTGGTACTTCCCCCTTCCAGAAATTCCTTCTAGTTGGGCCAAACTTGAAGGCTTTGGGTTTTCTTTTGATAATGGGGGTGATACATTTTTCACTAAATATCTAGTTGACTATATCCAAGTCATATCTGATATATTACAATATGAGAAATAACTTTAAGAGTGCCCACAATATGCAAAGAGGGTGCCATGCTGGGAGCAGAGTATACAAAACTCTCCATGCCATGGTCTCTAACTGGACATTTTAAAAGAGCAAGGGCCAAAGTCATGCAACAAAGTCTTTTAGAGCTTCTGAGTAAGATGCCCCCCGGGGGAGTGACCTTGTCTAGTGACTGGGGATGTGAGAGTGGAGGACAACGCACCCCCTATGTGTTGCTTATTAAACCCAGCAGAGCCCTAAACACATGATTAGGATCTAGACACAGCTTATTTGCTTATGATACTGTTGGGCAAGAGTCACTCTGTTTCTGTGACCCTCTTATAAAATCTTTTTGCTTGTAAAAGAACCCTGTCTTCAATTCCCTGGTAACCAGTAGCTATTTATCCTTGACATCCCGCACTCAACCATGAACATTTGACAGAGGGCCTATTCTTTGTGAGCCAGTCTGATTGGTGCTTTGCATACAGCATCTCTGAGCTTGATAGCAACCCAAGGGTTAGGTATTTTTAACCTCATTTTGCAGATGGGGTACTACCAGCCCCCAGCAGTTCCAGTGAAGGATGGAATCTAGACCCCGAGGCCTGGTCTGCTTCTGACAACCACTCTGCCCCCAGAGAGGGCTTTAGAGCCACTTCTTGGAACTGGATGTTTACAGGTCTAAGCCACAATTCTAGAGATTTTATTAAAAAGTGTAAACATGGGGGCAGGCGATGAGTCCAGGGGCCCTTCTGGGCGAGTATGGCACAGTGCTGATGGAGGTGGCTGGGGTGGGGAGGTAGCAGCAGCGGCCCATCCCCTAATGACTCACAAGAACAGCCCTTCTGGTCACCATCAGCTGCAGCCAGCGAGGCCCAGAAGCCAACCCACAGACACCAAGAAACTATGGACCAAACTCTCAACCAGGAGCGAAATTGCTTACGTCCTTCTCACGAGAAAAAAACATTTCTCATGAAGCATGCAGATGGCAAATGGTCTGACAGAATAAAGCATGGTGGACTAAGCATAATGTTAAAAAAAAATCTTAAAGACGAAAACCATTCAAATCCTCTTGTGTAGAAAATGTTACAGGTCAGTTTTGCTATCTGACCAGTGCACATATTCTTCCTCTGAGAATTATTTCATGTGCATTCACCTCCTGCAAGTCTTACAGTTGCACGCTGAGAATGCACTGACATTCTCACTCTAAAGCCTTCCTCCAAAAGTTCTGCAGAGTGGCAAACCTTAGGAGAATATAAGTTCCCGTGGAAAGGACTGTTCGCAACAGAAAAACACGAGCCCTCTCTCTCTCAATCTCTCTCTCTCACACACACACACACACACACACACACACACACACACATATCAAATGGGGAGGAGCCACTCTGGCCTGCCCAGTGTCTTTGCAGTCAAAGGCACACACAGCTGCCATTATACCCAGCATACCAATAAATCCCAATTTGGTGGAAACCTCATCAGCCTTTAAAGATGTGTTTGTGTGCTATGAAATCCTATGAACTAGCTGTCAAATGGTGGTCCTCAATCTTGGCTCCTGCACTGGGTGGGGTGGAGTAGGAGTGGCTTTAAGAAACATCTGAAGGCAGGCTGCACCCCAGAGCACCCCAGTGTCCTTGGAGGTGGCCTGGGCTTCAGGACCTGAGTGACAGCAGGGTGCAAGCATGTTTGAGACCATGGCTGTACACCTTTGGGTGAGCTGCTGAACCTCTCAAAGCCTCGCTCTTCATTGGAGGACAGAATGGTGCCAGCAGTCATGATGCATGATGTGTTTCTAAGTTACTTCTCTTCCTGGTCTCATCCTACTTACCCTTTCCCCCCAAGCAAACCTTATTATTATCATTTTTCTAAATTGAAAAAAGTACACACTCCTGATCGTTGTAAATACTGCAGGCACACTGAAGTAGGCAGAATAAAAATGTTAATTTCACCTTTTTCTCTAAACCAATTCTATTCCCCTCCCCCCAAAGCTGCTGTTCTTAATTTGGTGCTTACACTTCCAGATCATGCTACATATTTACATACACATGTGTACACACTGGATAGAATATGTATAGGCAGAAATGCATGTATAAGTAGTAAACGACAATCCAATATCACTTAAATTATTATGTGCATGTGGGAGATTTTTAGGTTTTTTTTTTTTTTTTCACTTATTATTTTTGAGACAGGGTCTTGCTCTGTCACCCAGGCTGGTGTGCAGTGGCATGATCTCAGCTCACTGCAGCCTTGACCTCTTGGACTCAAGTGATCCCCCCACCTCAGCGCCCCCATGTAGCTGGGACTACAGGTGCACACCACCAGTCCAGGCTAGTTTTTTTTTTTGGTATTTGTCATAGAGGTGGGGTTTTGCCATATTGCCCAGGCTGGCTTCAAACTCCTGAGCTCAAGCAATCCACCCACCTTGGCTTCCCAAAGTGCTGGAATTACAGGCATGAGTCATTGCACCCAACCCAGCATGAGTTTTTTAAACAAATACAATGATATGTTACATCTTGCTTTTTCACTAGTAGAACTTGGACATTGTTATATTTGGTGTATGAAATAAATTCCACATTTTTTAGAAGACTGCATAGGATTCCAACATATGAATCAACTGTACTTCCCTTAGTGATTTTTTTTTGCTATTATAAAATAAAATGTTGCAATGAATATTTCTCCACTTTTGTCAATTTATATGTGTGATAGGTTCCTAAAAGTGAAGTTGTTGAGTGAAAGCACTTGTGTTTTAAATTTTAAAAGATATTACCAAACGGCCCTGTCAGCACCCATCTGTGTCTTTTTTCTTATTGATTTGAAAAAACTCGCTGCATATTAAAGCTATTGATGCTTTACCACAAGTATTGAAATTAAATATATCTTACCATTTTTTTCACTTATTTGTATATTTTTTCATTTTATGGGGATTTGCTTAAAATTTTAGGAAATCATGCTTATCAATCTTGTGATGAGTGTGAATATAAATTCATATGTTTTATCACATTTAGACAGGCCTCTTCACAATTATTTTAAAACTCACCTAAGTTTTCTTTTAATAGCTTCATTATTTCAATGCTATATTTTTATTCTTTGTTCAGCTTGGAATTTATTTTGATATAAAGAGCAAAGTTTTGTTTTTTTTTCCAAACGATTTGCCGTTTTCCCAAGACCATTCATCCATGGCCCTGCACCTCCCCCGCCTGGTGTGCAAAGCCTCCCTTGGACCCATGCCTGCATATTATCTGGGTCTGGGCTCTACTCCCCACAGCAGCTTCACTTTACAATTTTGTGGAGTTTGTCTCCCTTAACACCTTTATCTTACATTTCTTCCCTGAGTCTTCTCATAAGTCTCTCTCTCTTTAAGTTTTTGCACATCTAAAGTGAAAGAAACACTTTACCGTAAGTATTTTAATGTGCTTAATTGTGTTTGGTCTTCACACTGACAGAGTTCTGGAATCATCTGTACAGCAGGCTCATTTCAGGGGCCTTAGACATCTGTCCATCTCCATATCTGGAGAGCTCCCTGGTGCTCTTGATGGCATCACAGAAAGGCCATCGTGGGGAGGTGCCAGTCTTCACTCACACATTTGTTACAGGTTGAATTGTGTCCCCCCAAGTTCAAATGTTGATGTCCTAACTCCCTAACCCCTCTGAGTGTGACCTTATTTAAAGACAGGGTCTTTACAGCAGTGATTACGCCCCATTGAAGTCCTTAGGGTGAGCCCTACTCCAACATGACTGGTGTCCTTACATGAAAAGGAGATCTGGACCCAGAGACAGGCACACAGGGAGCATGCCATGTGGAGCTGGAGATGGTCACCCACAAGCCAAGGAGATGCTGGGGGCACATTGTCCCACCCAACCCTTGGAAGGAGCCACCCTGGGACATCCTGACCTCAGTCTCTTTGGCTCAGAGTTGGGAGGCGACACATTGGGCTGTTCAAGCCGTTCAGTATGTGGTGCTTTGTTATGAAAGCCTGATCGGACTGATACTCCATTCCTCCATAACAGACACTGACACAGCTTCCAGAGTCTTCTGAGAAGAAACAAGCTCCGGGGAATACCTTACACACTGCTGGCTTCTTTGGGGAAATCATCCCTCACAAACGCTTGCCTTTCTAGCCTGAGCCCTTCTCCCCAGCTGCCAAGCTGCCTTTCCTTGACCAAATCATTGAAGTCCCACCTGCCTCACAAACATTTCCATAACAGGAGGGAAACGGGTCTGAGATCTGTCCACACCTGTCCACTCCCAACCCTCACGACAGCAACACAAGCAGAGAGCAGCAGTTCTGCCCCGTAGGGGGACAGCCACAGACATGGAGGTCTGATGTGGGAAGGACAGAGACACTCACAGCTAGGGGCTCGGCACTCACTTTCCACGAGGCTCTAGTTCACTCTGGATAGTAAATTTATCTCTATGGAAGGAAGGCATGCATAAAAGCTTCAGCTCTTCTCACTTGAGTCTCTCATTGGTTTGGGATTGTGTCTAATTCCTATTGTATATGCTTAACTTCTCAATGCAAAAGCCACAAAGATCAAAACAAGTTTTGTGTAACCATTGGTGATGAGTAAAATTGGCATGTCTGACACTGAGCCTGTGTCCTCCCTCTGCCTCTCCAGGCTTTCCTGAGCTGCTGACAGGACTCCAAACCTGCCCACCAATTAGGCAGGACAGCAGATCCTCTTTTACGCCTTATTAGAGTAGTGGATAGGGATTCTGGTTCTGGATTAGAAACACCTAGTTTTGAGAGTTCTAATCCCAGCAGCATCACTCAGTGGTTGGACAAATCCCTTCACCTTTCTGAGCCCGTTTCTAATCGGGTTGAATTAGATACTCTGCATATTTAAACAGGCTTCTAAGAATCTATGAATTTGGACCCTCGGTATCCTAATAAGCAGGACAGACTTCATGACAGAGCTACAAGATCACCAGCAGTGATTTGGGGAACCTAACGCCAAGGCCTGCGATGCAGCCTGCTCTAGCCAGGCTCTTCCTGAGCCCTCACTGTGAGTTCCTTCACGTAGCCATGACCATCAGCTGATTGGTGTTGTTAACCAAAAGGAAGTGGTGGCCTTCCACCTCAAGCATATGCACAGCTATAAATGCAGAGAAGGGGAAGAAACATGAAAAACAGTATTACAGAAAATGAAGTCATAGCACGCTGAGGATCTGAGGAGATGTTCCATGAGTAGCTTGGCAATGAATGCTCTCCTTGAAAGGCATGAAGCAGGTCAGGCTCACACTGAAGGGGGCAATCACAGTCCCCCTGTGCAGGCAGGCAGCAGTGTGGGGGGTGCAAGGTGGGAGAAGACCAAGGGTGGAGTGCCTTAGAAGCGACAGAGACCTGAGGGAGGAACAGGGAGGAGCGGGAGGACAAGGGAAGAGTAGATGCTCCCCAGCTCCAAGAAAGCAGCAGAAGACGCCTCGCAGGAAAAGACAGGTGTGTGGCTTCGTTTGAATAGGGAAGGCATGGCCATACCCACAAAGAACAGGGAGTTCCTGCCACCCACACACCACACAGACCAGTTATGGGCCCATCCTGCCCTGTGCACATCCAGGTCTTGCCCTCCTCCTATCTCATGTGGGACAGGCTGCAAGAATGCAGCCTTAAAAGACTAATGCCTAGGGTACCTAAAAAAAAAAAAAAACCAACACACACGTGGAAATACCCAGCACATCAGGAAAGCTGACAGCAGGAGAGAGAGGCACCAAGCATGCAAGCAGATGAACTGATACCCCGGGAGACGGGGGTAATGGTGCACTCAAACAAGTAATAAAATACACAGAAAACTAATACATCACTTAAAAAAATCCCAAAGAAGTAACTACATTCCTTGGAAATTAACCACCTGCTTGCTAAAATAATCATAGGAAAACTAAGTGGATGGACTGAAGAACAGGATGGACAGGGATGAAGGGCTTCCTTGAGATAAAGATTAACCTGATGGTTTCATGAAAACACAGTGCAAATGGCAAAGGAGAGGGAAAGAATGAAAAGAAAAAGTGCATTCATTGCAGCACTGTTTATAATATCAAAAATTAAAAAAAATCGACATGCCTATTCTGGACTGTCATAAAAATTACAATAATCACTGAATATGGAGACCTCCCCGCACCCCAACATATTAATAAAAAGAAAGTTCCAGAGTGATAAAGGTATTAAGAAGACATACACAGCCCACCATTATATCTTCTGAAGACGTGCACACATGCACACATGAATGCACAGGACGAAAGAAGAGAGGTTAGAGCTCCAACTGCTCCCCAACAGTGGGACTGGGGGCAGGGCTGGGACTGAGGGTGGAGGTTAAGAAGGGCTTTTCTGTTGCTCGCTGTATCTGAATCCTGTACTAAAGGATATGTACTCGTGTATCAGTTATGCAATGGACAACTTTCCTAAAAGAAAATATTAGAAAGTTCTCCCATCTTGGAGGTCAGAGAAACTAACTTTGGCAATTGTAGTTGCTCATCAAACCTATCTGGACGTGCCTTCCCTCCAAGACTGCAGGGCAGATTCCCAGAGTCAGCCCGCCTGGGAGAGGCTCTGACAGTTATGTCAGTTTTAACCACATACCAGGTACCGAGCACTGCAGGCACGGTCTCCATTAGGTATCAGAGTGAAGCCCCCTGTGACTGCTCCATTTACAAAAGAAGAGCTTACAAATAAAGAAGGGGGACTTGAACCCAGTGGGGCCTCAGACCCTTACTCTCAACCCGTAGCTACAAAAATATTCGATAAATGTCACTTTGAGGCAGTGTATCCACCACATAATTCATATATTGTTAGCATTTAAGATGAAAACAACCACAACATTCTGCCTCTACCAAGCAAAGCCTAAGGAGCTTGGTAAGGAGCAGCAAGAGGTCATGCATGGTTTCCCAAAGAGGCTGTGGCAGAGCCAGCCCTGAAAGCCACTCTAAGAACAAACGCACTGCAGGGTCATGGAAGTGTAGGACCACTGGCTGAGACTGACTCTCTCAGAGAATCTCTGTGCATGTTACCTGCACAAAGGCTCTGAAGATGCCCATGATATTTATCCCTGCTTGCTGCACTTTATTTCATTCAGCATTTCTCATGCTTACTTACTTGAGCAAGCTTCCCAGGGAATTCCACTTAGCACTGCAGTTCCACTTCAGGAATCAATCAAGGAAATCGAGGAGAAGGCCAGCAATCTGCTTAAAGTCTCATGAGATCTCCATTTCCACAAAAATAAACATTCTCATCACTCAGATAATAAAATGTTGGTGTCGTATATAATACAAAAGTGACATTGACACTGATGTAAAACATAGATGCTAACTGTTAAAGTGGAGTTAAAAACCATCTCTCACTAAGCATGATTCAGAATGCACCCTGATGGAAGAAATCATAAAAGTTCTATACTACAATAAATAAATAACCATAGAATTAAAAAGCTCTGGAGAAATATTTTCAATAATTATGACAGTGGATTTACAACAGGTAAAATGTAGGTGAGTGTTAACAAGAGGCATATTAATGCCACAGATGTTACAACAAAGAGTATGATAAGCAATTTACATAAAACATATTTAGTCAACAAATATTCCCCATAGGGCTGGGCACAGTGGATCATGCCTATAATCCCAGCACTTTGGGAGGCTGAGGCAAGAGGATTGCTTGGGCCCAGGAGTTTGAGACTAGCCTGGGCAATATAGTGAGAGCCCATCTCTACAAAAAAGAAAAAGAAAAAAAAAAAAGAAAAGTCCCACACCAAATATCCTCCAAACATTCTTCAGGTATTACTGTATGTATAGCAAGACTGAAGAGCAACTGTTAGACAAGAAGAAGATGGAGGGTTCTAGAAAAAAAGAAAGAAAAATGGAACCGTGAGATTACTTGGTATATCTGACACTGTAGAAAATTGTGTCAATAGGGCTTTCATCTTTATGTCAGAAAGTTGGGAAGGAAATGATAATAGGCACAGTGCAAACTAAGAAAACACAAAAACAAAGCAAGGGTTTACCCCAGGAAGAGCAAAAAGGGGTACGAGATAGAAAATGGAATGATATACCTTGCTTTAGCAGTAAACTATATTTATATAACCATAATAAAATAAACCAAATAACTTCTTAATCTCAAATGAGAGAATAATTATCCTGGGATGGTGTGAGAAGGAGTAGAAGGTGATGGTGGTCTAAAACTCCAAAGTCCTGAATTCTCAGTGTCAACAAACACTGTTTAAAATTAGTACACCAAAAAACTTTGAAAATATGCCAATCATAAGGAAATAGTGAGAATTCTAGAGGACATAACTCAAAGCAGTACCAAAGGATGGGCAGAATGAAAAGAGGAACTCATTACAAATTAAAATTAAACAAAAAGAGAAATTAACTTAGGTCACACCAAAACATTTTCATGTCAACTCAACAGGAACTGATAGATGTAATATTAATAAACTACCAGGTTGACCATGGGAAAATAAAGATTTATCAGTTAAGACAAACCAATGGAGGGGAGAAATGAAAGGTCATATGTTGAACATTCAAATGCTACTTATAGTCAGGCAGAGTATACTTAAGTAAAGCAATATTTAAACTGTGGATATTCCTAAATCTCTGCCCTGGGCCCTCCTTCTGTTGAATTTACTTTCTCTCCCTAGTTCACAGTATCCAGGTCGAGAGCCTCCCTCACCCTGCTCGGTAGACCTGCAGCTTGCCTGCAAGGTTTTCACTCAGGTCAAGACATCTCTCATCTGCATCCCAGGCTAAAAGCCCACTGTCTCCTCACACTTATGCTCCCTTCCAGCGCTCCAGGACAGCAGTAACTGGAAGCGCCTCTCCAGCTCAGAGCCAGGATCCCAGTTTCAGAGCTAGACACCTCTGAGCAGAGGACCAGAAAGCTCACAGTACTCCTCAGTAATCCAGTAATCATCAACATTCTTAACTGTCCTCGCTTGCTCCACCACCATCTGCCTTTGGCCAGCTGCCAGAAATCAATACGTGGTGTCCCAGAAAGAAAAGAATCAAGGGAGCCATTTGGATTTATTAAATGTACTGTAACATAAACAAAATATTCTTTCTTTGCATATCTTTGGTCTTGGCTAAATTCAACTGTCTTTAAGATTCCAGTTTAACCACCTTTTAAGAGATGTAGGGCAAACCTTGCACAATTGATTCATAAAGGAAAAAAAAACCTCAAATTGATACAAGCTAATATTGGTCAGATAAAATTATAAGCAAATAGAAAATGTCCCTGATAACATCATATCAAAATGAATGAACTTTCCTAAAATCCAATCAGACTAGTTCTTAAAACATCTTCCCACAATCCCTCAGTAGAAAACCCTTTTTTCCTAGTATTCAAATCCAACCTGTTCAAATCTAAGTAGAAGAGGAAGGTGATAAGACACAAATGAGGCAATTTGATCATAATCTCTCATTAGGACTCTGCCTTCTGATTTTAGTTGCTTTAGAAGAAAAAGTAATGCTCAATGTGTAGACTTCTAAAACAAAACAAATTCTTCCCCAAAGGCCTAAATTCCTGTTGTTGTTGTTGTTTTCTCCACCCAGTTATAGCTAAACCAATCCAGAAGTAGTGGAAAATGTTAAAACCAGCAAAGCAAGAGTAGAAAAGTCAGGGGGTAGCTGGAAAAAAATCTATACAGGGAAAGTTGAGAAAGTAAAAATTAGCCATCACTTAGGCTTAGATAACTGACACAAACCCAGCTGGTTGCAAAGTTAACAGGAAATAATATTTCTTCCATGGACAGACTGCAGCTGTAAAGGGTGACAGTAACCCCTCCTGTAAGTAACTTCTGCTCTGTTTCTCTAAAATGGTAGACTGTCAGAAACTATGCTGTTTGAAATTATATTACAAAGATGAGACATCCACTCTTACTTGAAGTACCTCTATTTTGATCGGTATGATTGAAAATTCAGTAAAATCTTGCTATTTAAGACTCCCTAAAGAGAGAGGAACTGCCCTTCTAATTACTGGAAAGTGTGAAGTATTGAACAACATAAATGCACTTTCCTTTTAAAAGCAAACCGTAGTTCAGTGGAGTCTAATACAGACTCAGTCCCTCAGCTGCAGCTCTAAAAAGCTCTGAAAAACAACACTTTTTTTTTTTTTGGTAAGTCTTAGAGAAGCTCTCGTAGTGATAACACCTGCTCTAAACAGACACACAGCTCTTTATAGTCTTTATTTATTCCACTTAGTGAGAATATTCATGTTCTTAAATGTAAAAGTACAGAAATATTAATGCATGGAATTACAGGATTCTCTCCAGACTATATTGGAATGGCATGTAACCAGCAGGGTCAACATGTATGTTTACCTTTCTAAATTCTGAGCAATGTCTTTCTCAGTTCTGAAATTTAGATTCTAAATTTTAATTCCAAATTCTGAAAAAGCTTGAATTCCAAAATACGTCTTGGCACAAGCATATTGGATTATAACCATGGGCAAACAATGTGCTAAATAAGTGAAGTTCTACTAAGAAGTCTTCCATTAAAAAAAAGCAGAGAGATTAGACCTGCATTTAGAATATTAAATAGGGGCCTAACAAAGATCAGGGTGATTCATTTCTAAAGTGAAATCTAGCAATAAAATAACGTTTCTACCAATTTCATCTCTCAGGAAAGATAAAGACCTAAAGTATACACCCCATTTTTATCCTAGCTTAAAACTTTCTAGTTATTAAGACTATTATAAAATCCTATTTTATATTTCACTTCAAATACAGAGGCTTAAAAAAAAATCTTCCCACAATCCCTCAGTAGAAAAATCTCTTTTTTCCTAGTGTTCAAATCCAACCTTTTCAAATCCAAGGTAGAAGAGTAAGAGGATAAGACACAAATCAAGTAATTTGATTATAATCTCTCATTCAAATACACTTTAAAGTGCACTTCAAATACAGGGGATAATACAAATCAATTTCTGTTTTAATGCAAGAGTTTTCTAAATACGTTAAAACAAAAGTGCCGTTCAGAACAAAAATGATTTGATAAAATAATTTCAACTGACAAAGATTTCTCACTTAAAACACTTAATAATTTACATGTATTTAAGCCTTTTTGAGAAAATATAATTCTATCTATGCACTGCTCGGACTTTCACTGGGGAGAAGGAGGACATCAATGTATTTAGTTGCATTTAATTAAAATGCTGCCTGTGTGAAGGCAATGAATTTGTCCCTACTAAGACAAAGAAGTCAGATGGTAGAATCAATTCCATTTCTTCCAGGAACTCTTAGGGATTAAATGGTTCCTTTTTTTATTTTTAATACCAAGAATCAGATATGGCACAACATCTTCAACTCTTTTTTTTTTTTACTACACGCTGCAATGCTTTGAACTCTACTTGAGTTCGACTGAATCTTTGCTAAGTCAGGCAAAACTCAAAAAATATTTTGCAACACTGTTTCCAACGTAAAAAAAGATTCAAACTCTCACTTCTCCAATTGTCTTTCTAGTCCTTGAACATTCCAACAAAAGAATGGATTGCATTTATATAGTTTTTAGGTGGGCTTAAGGTTTTGGAGCCACATTGCCAAAAACAGACAAACAGACAAAAAGAAACACCCTTAACTCTTAACTCAAATTTACATTTTACTACATAAAACTTTCTTGCTCTCCAAGTTCATTGGCTAAGTAAATTACTTGACAATGAAAATGTATCCACAAGAGTAATTATGCTAAATTTTAGTAGTGGTTCAGAAGGGTTGTTGTTTGAATGCAACTGCTGTTTCTTTTTGTAGTAAAAGATTTGTCTAAGCTCATAAGACGTCTGGACATTTCTACTTTGAGTAACTTTGATAAACACTGCGGCATTTTCCAGTGGATTCGTGTAAATGGCCAAAGGAAAATGTTCTAGCTCCAAGATCGACTTCCTCGCGCTGTGCCTGATCCCAATCCCGCGTCTCCCGAGGGCCGGGCCGCGACCGCACTTTCCGCGCTCCCTGGGGGCCTGGGCGCCCTGGGGTGCCCGGGTCACTTTCCGCACGGTCTGACCTCCGTCCCCTCCGCCCAGGCCTGAGCCCCTCTCTCCCGGCGCAGCTTCTGGATCCCGAGCGCGGGTAGGTTCAGGAGCGAAGCTGGCGGAACCCACCTGTATTTTATTCACATGGTTTCAGCACTTTTACCTCGGCCGATGAAGGTAGAACAAGAAAGGGCATGAAAGCAGCGCGTCGTTCCCCGTAACCTCCTCTCCTTACCAGAAAGTCCCGGCCGGGTAGGGGACGCGGCCACACCTACCTGCGCCAGGTGAGGCGAGGGCGGGCGCAGCGCGGGGCCACCCGCTCCTCCTCGCTCTCCAGCCGCCGCCGGGGTGGCCTCAGCCGCCGGGCCCGCGGCTCTTCCTCATTTTGGGCAACTTCCTTAACGCGCCCGGGCAGGCGGCCCGCACTTCCTCCCAGTGTCGCGCCCCGCCGCCCTGGCCCGCCCTGCTGACCGCGCCCATGAGCCCGGAGCTGGGCGGGAATCGGCTGAAGCGCCGGGCGAGGCCCGCGGAATCGGCCCAGGCGGCGGCAGGTGTAGAGGAGCCCGGGTGGGGCGCGCCTCTCTCCTCCCGCCGGACAAGGGCCCTTCGCAGGCAGAGAAGGTGGGGCTGCCCGGGACATGGACCGCATCGGTCCCCCTCCTCCCCGCCAGCGCGGTGGCTTCTGTGACTGCCCAGGACCCACAGACACCCAGCGGCCCTTTCCTTTTGCTATGCAGTGCCGGGGAAGAGACTCCACTGCATGGCATATTCCCTGGAGTGTATCTTGGTCACCAAACCAACAAGCTCCAAGCTACTGTGCTGGAGCACTCGGGAGGCCTGGGCAGTGCTGAGAGGGACCCTGTAGGTGAACACCAGACTTCACGGCGCACTAGTGGGCAATGGGGCACGCTGCTTCTGAAGGCTTTAATTATTACAAAAGGCTTTGCTTCCTTCTTACCATGACGGCTCTGACGTCCACAACCAAATAAATTAAACCTATAGCCCTAAGAATGGTTTTGAGATACCCGCCTGATACCCTTCTCCCAACCCATCCCCCTTTTCCTTTTGGACATTCCTCTTTAAAATGTTCCCACAAAACGGCATCCAGACCTTCTTGATAACACTGGTTGGCAGTGCCTGTTTTAAAAAGCTTTACCCTAAGCCAAAATGCGAGAAGCAAAAAAATATATATATAATGTGCTGGATTGTAATTGCCATGGAGAAAATATAGGGATGGGACTATTTACACTTATTGGAGCCCCCAGCCTTTTCTGCTTCCAGGGTTATTGGATTTTCATTCATTTTTGCCATTATTTTTTCTAAACCTGTTAAAAGAAAACTTCAGCAGAATTAAATTTAAAGCAGTTTAATTGAGTAATGAATGATTTGCGAATGGGGCAGCTTCCAGAATCACAGCGGATTCAGAGACTCCAGGGATGCCTCATGGTCAGAACATATTTATAGACAAAAAAAGGGAAGTGACATACAGAAATTGGAGGTAAGGCAGAGAAACAACTGGATTGGTTACAGGTTGGCTTTTGCCTTCTTTGAACACAGTTTGAACACTCAGCAGTGTATGAATGGTTGAAGTATGGCCACTGGGATTGGCCAAGACTCAGCTATTGTTAAAGGCACATACTCCTAAATTAGGTTTTCAATCTTGTCTGCCTATTAAGCTAGGTTACAGTTCATCCACAAGGACTCAAATATAGAATACAGAGTCCTTCTCAGATCATACTTAGGTTGCTTTAACAAACATAAATGGAAGATTTTGATAATGGTTATATTTGCTTATCATTGGACTTAATTTTGCTTCAACTACCCGAAAAAATAGCCATTGTTCCTGAGATGGAGCCTGCAGAATGTCTACAGATGGTTTTCAGAGTTGTCAGCATTATTGGAGATGAACACTAGGGGACCAGTGTGTACAAAGCAAACCCAGCCTGCACAAAGATTGCAGTTTTCTCAGGCTTTCACCTGATGGAAATGAGGGGGAAATTCTAGATCCATCTACAACCTCCTTCCTTTACACTGCTGTGTTCCTTTCCCCCTTTGAGTCACCTTCCGCATTACTTAGTATCATGTAGTAATTTTTTTTTTTTTTGAGACGGAGCCTCACTCTGTTGCCCAGGCTGGAGTACAGTGGCCCGATCATCTCAGCTCACCGCAAGCTCTGCCTCCTGGGCTCACGCCATTCTCCTGCCTCAGCCTCCCGAGTAGCTGGGACTATAGGCGCCCGCCACCATGCCCGGCTAATTTTTTGTATTTTTAGTAGAGACGGGGTTTCACCGTGTTCGCCAGGATGGTCTCGATCTCCTGACCTCGTGATCTGCCTGCCTTGGCCTCCCAAAATGCTGGGATTACAGGCGTGAGCCACCATGCCTAGCCTAAAAGATGGTTCACATTATGTATCATCAGGGAAATGCAAATGAAGACAGTAAGATATCAGTATGGCCCAAATTCGGAACACTGACCGCAGTGAACACTAGTGAGGATGTGAAGCAATAGAAATACTCATTCATTGCTGTTGTGAATGCAAGATGGTACAGCCACTGTGGAAGACAGTTTGGCAGTTTCTTATGAAACTAAACATCCTCTTACAACATGAGTAATTATAAGAGGATTGTCCTTCTTGGTATTTACCCAAAGTAGTTGGTATTTACCTAAAGTAGTACCCAGTAATTGTGCTTCTTGGTATTTACCCAAAGGAGTTCAAACCTTATGTTCACACAAAAATCTGCACACAAATGTTTACGCTGGCTTTATTTACTAAGTTTATTGCCAAAACTTGGACACAAACAAGATGTCATTCAGTAAGTGAATGGATATATAAACTCTTGTACATCAGTGTAATGGAATATTGTTCCACACTAAAATGAAATGCACTAGCAAGTTATGAAAAGAAATGGATGAAATCTAAATGCATATTACCAAGTGAAAGAAGCCCTCTGAAAAGGCTACATACTGTATAATTTCAACAGGTGATATTCTGGAAAGAGCCAAACTATCTGGATAGTAAAAAGATCAGTGGCTGCCATGGGCTGGTGGGGAGGGCAGGATGAATAGAAGGAGAACAGAGATTTTTTAGGGCTGTGAAAGTATGCTGTATGATATTACAATGGTGGATACACAGCACTATACATTTGTTAAACACCATACAATATACAACACCAAGAGGGAACATCAGTGTAAACTTCAGGCTTTGGGTGATTATGATGTGTCAAAGTAGGTTCATCAATTGTAACAAATGTACCAGTCTGATGGGGCTGTTGATAATGGGAAAGGCTGTGCATGTGTGAGGTCAGTGGGTATATGGGAAACCTCGGTACCTGCCTCTCATTTTTACTGTGAACCTAAAACTGCTCTAAAAAATAGTGTTTAATTTAAAAAAATAGTTTTTTTGGTAACAGTGGCAAGTATTCCTAATAGGCAATCCCTTAAAAGAATAAAAGCACAAAGGAAATAGAAACATCCCAAATTTCAGACATAATCATCATTACCGTTAGGTGACCCTTACAAAATTATCTCTTTCTATATGTACACATGGCAATAGATATAAAAATGGGCATCATTTTAAATATAATACATTTATTATACATTTTATCCATGTTAAATATGATATTTAATTCTACTTAAATTTAACAGAATAAAAAATTCTGAAATGGGATCTAAAGAATTGCTGATTTTATAGAAATGATTCTTTGCCACAAATGTATCATTTCTGAAATGACCCCACTTTGATTAAAGGAAAAGAAAAGTGACAATAATAAGCAGTTTTCGTCATTTCTTCTAAACCATGAGCTTTAATTTCAGACAGTATCAGTAACTCTGCTATGATACATGAACCAATTACCTCTCTCACTCCACTTCACTTCAGCTCACCTCTCACGTTTCCCTAGTTATATGAGTTTTACATAGTTAAGTTTAAAATTTTTGATTTCTGTAACCATAAACCCTCAGTGGTCTCTTCTTAGTTCTCCATTTAAAAGGATACCTTATGCACCTCCAGACCTTTCTACCACCATATCTCATTCCTACTTTCTTTGTTGATGAGCTGGATGGACTCTGTGAAGATGTGATCCCACATACTGCATCTATCAATGCTCTCCACTTTCAGGATGTTATTCTGTTGCTGTTGTATTGCAGTGACATCAAGGTGGGCACATTGTGTCTCCATCCTACTTCCCTTTGGCCTAGACTCGGTTGATTTTCCTCCCTTGCCCCTTTGGCATTGAATGTTGTTTTGGAGAAATGTGAGAACAGCCAGTCCTTTGTCCTCTTTTAGGTGACTTGCTCTTCTTTCCAGGCTGCTGGAGGAAACTTTCTTTAACTGAGATATTAAGAAACTTGACAAGGATATATACTGATACAGATCAACCAGCATCTTTTATTTCTTTTTCTTTTTTTGAGATGGAGTTTCACTCTTGTTGCCCAGGCTGGTGTGCAATGGCGTGATCTTGGCTCACTGCAACCTCTGCCTCCCAGGTTCAAGCAATTCTCCTGCCTCAGCCTCCTGAGCAGCTGGGATTACAGGCGCCCGCCACCAAGCCCAGCTAATTTTTTGTATTTTTAGTAGAGACAGAGTTTCACCATGTTGGCCAGGCTGGTCTCGAACTCCTGACCTCAGGTGATCATCCTGCCTTGGCCTCCCAAAGTGATGGCAGGAGTCACCACACCCGGCCATCTTTTATTTCTTAAACACAATGCACTCTTTAATGCACATCATAATCACCCAAAGCCCAAAGTTTGCATTGAGGTTCCCTCTTGGTGTTGTATATTGTATGGTGTTTAACAAATATATAATGCTGTGTATCCACCATTGTAATGCGCAGATTTAGATCTTCATTCAAAGAATTTTTTCTTGTGTGATTTTAAATACCTTTTTATTTGTTAAGTGCTTTTCTTCAAGGATATTAATTAACTTTTTATCATCTAAGTCTATTATCTTTTCTCTGATTGTAGTAATCTACTTTGTTTTTTCTTCCTGGTTCACAGTGATTTTCTCTCTCTCCCTTTCTTTTTTTTCGGGAACTAAATGTTTAGCTGGGTCTGCTTTATTTCTTGTTATTTCTAATTTACCTGTAGGTAGGTTTATTGGTCCTCAAATTATTTCTTTGTCTCTGGTTCTCTCTATCTCACTCTTTTTAGTTATTTTCTCTTGGTTATTCAATCGGTTCTTGAGTTTTTTAAAAAATTGAATGCAGGCTCTTATCAAATTTTGTAGCCTGTGCACTTAAAAATTCTTTCAGACTGGATTTTATTTTTAATTTGTGCATGTTATTTTCTTTTAAGGTTTGCATAGCTGCTAGTTCATTGATTTCATCTTGTCCATACTTGGCAGCTTTCTTCAGACTTTCACTTTGCTCTGCCCCTTTGTGTGTGGCAGCTCCTAAATCCTCATGTCAGAGCCTTTTCTTACCCCTTTTCTGGATTACATATGACGGCTTAATATTCCTTTTGAGCTTGATTTTCTATAACCTTTGAGCGTGGGAATGGTGGGGGTGGGCTTAGCTGGAGTTGTGTTGCACAAACTGGGCCCCTCCTTCCAATGTGAGACTGTGAGGAACATGCAGGCTTCGCACTTCATTGAGGGAGGGAGAAGGCTGAGCTTACTCTGTCCAGCGAGGTTGGGGGCATCTGTGAGTTTCAGCTCATTCCCCCAATTAATGTGGGTCGTTGGAGTCCTCACACTCTGACAAAATCATGCCACATTGCTGCTATTTCCTTTTGCACTAATCTCCACTGCAGCCATTTTCACTACTCCACAGTCAAAAATGAGAAAAACTAAGGATAAACAATGGCCCCTTCTTCTCTCAAGATCTGAGTGAGAATTGTTCAGGATTTTGTAGACGCACAATATATGGTTTCTGGGAGGTTGGAGTGTGGCCTCATTGTGATACTCTCAAACTTCTGGTTTTTATATGAGCCAGCGCTTTTCAAAGTGCATTTTGTTAAGCGGTTCTCCTTTTCTTGTTTGGTTACCACTTGTAACTTTAGCACTTTTGTTTCTTCCCGCTTCCCTTTTTTCTTGAGGTAGAAAGATGAGGAAAGTAAGGATTCTTTTCTTCTAGATGGTGAGGCCTTGATATTCTGTAAATGTTTCACTATGTTCTTTCAGAATGTAATGGCCCACATGTTTTTTACTATAGAATATACGCTGTACTTTTTTTTTTTTGTGACAGGGTCTTACTCTGTCACTCAGACTGGAGTGCAGTGGCGCAATCACAGCTCACTGCAGCCTTGGCTTCCCCAGCTCAAGTGATTCCCCCACCTCAGCCTCCTGAGTAGCTGGGACTTTTTGTATTTTTAGTAGAGATGGGGTTTTACTACGTTGCCAGGCTGGTCTCAAACTCCTGGACTCATGTGATTGCACATTTTAATATTTAGAATGTAAGGTCCTCATTTTTGTCTCTTCTAAATTAAAAAAATACACAAGTTACACATGATATATCTGTTAAGGTGCTTTAGGTTGCAAGTAAAATAATAACCAACTCCATGTATTGAAATAATACACTTTTATTGACACACAAAGGAGAATATTGCATAGTTAGGACAGCATCAGGTGTATTTTTATGCATATTACATTAAATTTAGATAAAATTAATTATTTTCATATGTAGGTATACCTTTAAAAAAAAAGTAACAACCCTATTGTGTCCTATGAAGGGAAGTTAATTTTGATAGACCAGCATGATGGAGGTGAGTGGCTTCTCTCAGTGATTTTCACCTTCTGATCACATTCATCCAGTTGCTGAAATGACACAGGATGTAGCCAGAGGAACAACTTCCTTCTGCTGGTATTCCCTAACCAATTCAACCAGATATAAAAGTGACTTTTCACCTACAAATGGTAAACTTCCTCATTTTTCTTTTGTTAGTAATCTTTTGAACAAACAAAACAGAAAAGTTACTTAAAGACCAAAGATAGTGTCTGAAGTGTGATCACATGTGTTTAAACCCAGCGGTAGGTGCACTGGCCACGGGTCAGGAAGCACGGGCCATAGTAGTCTCAGCTCTGCTACTTTTTGTAGGTGTGCAGCTCTGAGCAAGTCAAGTTTCCTCTGTGTACCTGATTCCTTATTTTTTTGTGAAATTCCAGGGAGCAAACAATTCAATAATTGAATTAGGGTCCTTTACTTGCCAGACATGACCCAAGCCACTGGAGATTCAAAAGGATGGAAAAAACTTATGCTCAAAAATAACTCCTCCCTTTCATCTATTTCAATGGGTAGCTAATCATTTGCTTAACAGAGTACTCTTTTAAAATATAATTATATAATTAGAAGGTAGTTCAGCTGTTATTTTTCACTGTAGTGAAAATTAGATGGTTTTTCTCATACCAAGATCTTTTCATTCTTTTTCTTTTTTATATTTTTCAAAGTGCGGTTCCATTTTTAAGTTTTCAAAAGATATAATTCACATAACATCCAGTTTACTTGTTGAAAGTATACAATTAAATTGTTTTAAGTGTATTCACAAAGTTGTACAACCATCATCACTATCAATATTAGAACTTTTTTAAGCACTTTTTTTCTTTTTTGTGAAGAATGGGGTCTCTTTATATTGCCCAGGCAGGTCTCAAACTCCTGGGCTCACACTATACTCCTGCCACTGCATCCTTAAGTGCTAGGATTACAGATGTGAGCCACTGCACCTGGAAGAACTTTTTTAAACCACAAAACAAAACCCCATACCCATATCACTTCTCATGCTTCCCATCCCACACAATCCTTTCCCTCCTCCCCATCCAAGGCCCTAGGAAAACCTCCCATCTACTTTTTGTCTCTGTAGACATGCCTATTCTGGACATTTCATATAAATTGCATGATGTAATATGTGCTCTTTGTGACTGGCTTATTTACTTAGCATAATGTTTTCATTCATGTTATAGCATACATCAGTGTTTTACATTTTTAGTACCAAATAATATTCCATTGTATGGATAGGCCACATTTTATTTATCCACTCATCGGTTTCTGCTCTTTGGCTACTATAAATAATTTTGCATCAACCATTCCTATACAAGTTTTTGTGTGGGTGTATATTTTCCTTTTTTCTTGAATATATAACTAGGAGTGGAATTGCTGAGTGATATAGTAAATCTATGTTTGTCATTTTGAGGAACTGATAACTGTTTTCAAAAGTGGCTTCACCATTTTCAGGTTTCCACCAGCAAAACAGGAGGGTTCCAATTTTTCCACATCTTTGTCAACTCTTGTTATTGTCTGTCGTTTTGATTATAGCCATCCTAGTGGGCGTGAAGTGGTATCTGATGACTTCATTTTCATTTCATTTATGACTAACAATGCTGAGAATCTTTTCATGTGCTTCTTTGTCATTTGCATATTTTTGGAGAAGTGTCTATTCAGATCATTTGCCCAGTTTTCAATTGAGTCACTTATCTTTGTATCATTAAGTTGTAAGAGTTCTTTACATATTTTGAATACAAGTCTCTTATTAGATATAGAATTTCCCAATATTTTCTCCTGTTCTGAGAGTTGTCTTTTCACTTTTGTGATGGTATCATTTGCAGAATAAAAGTTTTTAATTTTGATGAAGTTCAATTTATCGACTTTTTTCTTTTGTTGTTTATGCTTTTGGTGATGTAGCTAAGAAACTACTATCTAAGGTCATGAAGATTTACTCCTATGATTTCCTCTAGGAATTTTATAGTTTTAACTCTTACATTTATGCCCAACATCCATTTTGAGTTAATTTTCATGTACAATATGAGGCAAAGATCCAATTTCATTTTTTTTGCATGCAGATTTCCAGTTGTACCAGTTCAACAGTAGTTGTTAAAACAATTATTCTGTCCTAATTGAGTTGACACACTTTTTGAAAATCAATGTAAAGGTTTATTTCCAGACTTCCAATTCTATTTCATTGATCTGTATATTTATCTTTATAAAACTACCTTTTCTTTATTTTATTTTATTTTATTTTATTTTATTTTATTTTATTTTATTTTATTTTATTTTATTTTATTATACTTTAAGTTTTAGGGTACATGTGCACAATGTGCAGGTTAGTTACATATGTATACATGTGCCATGCTGGTGTGCTGCACCCATTAACTCGTCATTTAGCATTAGGTATATCTCCTAAAGCTATCCCTCCCCGCTCCCCGCACCCCACAACAGTCCCCAGAGTGTGATGTTCCCCTTCCTGTGTCCATGTGTTCTCATTGCTCAATTCCCACCTATGAGTGAGAATATGCGGTGTTTGGTTTTTTGTTCTTGCGATAGTTTACTGAGAATGATGATTTCCAATTTCATCCATGTCCCTACAAAGGACATGAACTTATCATTTTTTATGGTTGCATAGTATTCCATGGTGTATATGTGCCACATTTTCTTAATCCAGTCTATCATTGTTGGACATTTGGGTTGGTTCCAAGTATTTGCTATTGTGAATAGTGCCGCAATAAACATACGTGTACATGTGTCTTTATAGCAGCATGATTTATAGTCCTTTGGGTATATACCCAGTAATGGGATGGCTGGGTCAAATGGTATTTCTAGTTCTAGATCCCTGAGGAATCGCCACACTGACTTCCACAATGGTTGAACTAGTTTACAGTTCCACCAACAGTGTAAAAGTGTTCCTATTTCTCCACATCCTCTCCACACCTGTTGTTTCCTGACTTTTTAATGATTGCCATTCTAACTTAAAACCACCTTTTCAAAAATTATAACAGTGGGAAAATTATGACAGTGGAAAGTATCTGATCTAACCAAGTTTCATCTTGCCATTAGCCTCCAAACTGCCCTTAACCATTCTTGGGTCTGAGCTAAGTTATCCTGGGGAGACATTTAGTTTATAGTTTAAATGACAATAGTCCTTTCCCCAAATTAAACCACCTTTGTAAAGCTTGTGAAAGGCCACCAGGTTAGGAGGGTGTGAGGAGCCTGAATTCTGCTAAGGTGTAGACATAAATGATTACCAGCTATTATTTAGAGGTCACAAGTTTTGCAAGTTTCCCAATTACTCCTGCAGATAACATCACCGTTGCAGAAACTAAGATTCGCTTTTTGAGATACCTTTTAGGTTTTTGAATTTCTGACAACCAATGGCTTCACCTGGATCCACCAACCCTGCTGACCCTGCTGGCCCTGCTGACCCCACTGACCTCCCTGACCCCACCAACCCTACGGACCAGTCATGTGCTCCCACCCAGAAACAGACTCCTTAGCCTGCCATACTATCTTTGAAAAATCCTAGCCTCCAAATTTTCCGAGATTGATTTGAGTAGTAACTTCATCTCTCATGTGGTGTGGCCGGCCTTGTGTCAATTAAACTCTTTTATTGTGATGGTGTGGTCTCAATAAATTGGTTTTGCCTGTGCAGTAAGCAGGAAGAACCCATCAGGCATTTACAAGTACTAAAGAGTTTTTAGTACTGCAACTTTGTAGTAAGCTTTGAAATTAAGAAGTTTGAGTCCTACAACTTTGTTCCTTTTCAATATTGTGTTGGCTATTATGGTTCCTTTGCATTTTCATATGAATTTTAGGATCAGCTTGTCCATTTATGTGAAAACAAAAGCTGAGATTTTGATAGGGCTTGTGTTGAATCTCTACATCAATTTGAGAATAAATATTAAATATTCTTATCAATGAATGTGGTCCTTTTGTGGATCTTCTTTAGCTTATTTTTTAAAGCATGGTTTTCGTTACTTCTTGGAACATATTATAAACCAAAAGTAAATTCTAAGCCTCCCCTCCTCCAACCATCTGAATGGACCCCCTCCTCTTGGCCAAGGGCATTCCAAAGTTAACCTGAAAATCCCATTCAAGCCATGATAGGGGGTGCTGTACATACCTTATCACACCCTCCTCCTTTTTGGAATAGTACTAAAAGACTCTTTAAGTCTAATAAGAAACATTAACAATCAATTCTCTCTGAAGCCTGCTACTTGGAGGCTTCATGTACATGATAAAACCTTGGTCTCCATAACCTCTTATCATAACTCAGACATTCCTTTCTATTGATAATAACTCTTTCAACCAACTGTCATCAGTAAAGCTTTGAATGCACCTATGACCTGGAAACTCCCACTTCAGTTGTCCCACCGTTCTGGACCAAACCAATACACATCTTACACATATTGATTGATGTCTTATGTCTCCCCAAAATGTATAAAACCAAACTGTGGCCCAATCACCTTGGGCACATGTTCTCAGGATCTCCTGAAGGCTGTGGTCACAGGCCATTGATCACTCATATTTGACTCAGAATAAATCTCTTCAAATATTTTATAGAGTTTGACTCTTTTTGTCAATAATATTTATAATAACTCCTTTGAAGTCTGCTAAATGCACCATCTGAGTCCTTATAAAGGCAGTTTCCATTGCCTGTTTTTTTATGTCCCAGTGATATGTTCCTGATTCTATGAGTGTCTCACTATTTTGTTGTTGAAAACTCAACATTTTAGGCTGGGCATGGTAGCTCATGCCTGTAATCCCAGCACTTTGGGAGGCCGAGGTGGGCAGATCACTTGTGGTCAGGAGTTCAAGACCAGCCTTGCCAAAATGGTGAAACCCTGTCTCTACTAAAGATACAAAAAAATTAGCCAGGTGTGGTGGCACACATCTGTAGTCCCAGCTACGTGGGAGGCTGAGGCGGGGGAATTGCTTGAACCCAGGAGGCAGAGGTTGCAGTGAGCCTAGATCACACCACTGCCCTCCAGCTTGGGCAACAGAGCGAGACTCTGTCTCAAAAGAAAAAAAAAAGAAAAGAAAAGAAAAGCCAACATTTTTGATAATATATTATAGCACGTCTGTTACTGATTGCCCTCTGAGGGTTTGTTGTTGCTTGCTTTAGCATGTGTTTAGGGTCTTGGCTGGACTCCAGTGAAATCTATTTCCCTGACAATGTGCAGCCTATGATGTTGCTCTTCCGTGAGTGCCATCTTGGGTGTGGAAACTGTCTCTCTGACCATCAGGATGACTGTGGTCTGAGTGGGGATCGCTTTGGCTCTCTCTGTCTCTAATCTCCTTGTTGAGCTTATGTCCGGTTTGTTATTGGTGTCACAACAGATCTTAGCCTGTTCTAGTGGCCTGCTGATTTCTCTGTTGTTCTCAACAATGCCCTAAGGTATAAATTCCTCCAGTCAAATCCCATTAAAGTCAGTGCTGTTTGCAGGACAGCTGTTACCAGTCTTTGAGGCTTGCTCCCACATCGGGAGACCTCCGAACTGCCTCTTTTCCTCTGTTAGTGTTCCAGCTGGTCTATGTTTCTCTTGTTGCTCCTGGCATCATTGTTGCTCCTGGCATCTATGTTTTACTTGTTGCTCCTTTTAATTGTTAAGGACCTTCTTGTTTTTGAGAATACTTAGCTGGGACTTTGTCCTCTATTTCAAATAAAGTCGGCCCCCTTAGGGTGAGCTAGGGAGCTCTCTGCTCTTACAACCTGCCTTTCCACTGGGAAGAAACTCTGCTCTCTTGCACCGGACCTGGGAGTGGAGACAGTGGCCTGGTTCTCCTGGGCTGATACCCTGACTCTACTAGCAGGGCACTGGGTGGGGTCAGTAGCCTTCTATGAGTGGAACTTCTGCCTTATAAGGGTGCTAGGGAAGTGGCAATTAGAGTCCCTGGGGTAAAGCATCCACTCTACGAGTGGGGGCTTGGTGGGGGAAGGGAGCCCCAGTTCTCTTGATGCAGTTTCCTGGGATGGAGCTTCTGCAACCGGGAGATGGGTGTCCTGGGATGCAGTTTCTGCAACCAGAAGATGGGGGTGAGGGGATGGGAGAGGCCCAAGGCCTGCCCCTGCTGGGGTAAAACTGGAGCTGTAGACTGGAGCTGGGGGAGAGCACACCCATCTTCTTGGCAGCCTCCACCCAGAGTAGAGCTTGTGTTATGCTGAACACCGGGGAGGAGATGAGAGCAGGTCATGGCTCAGATGATGCGGGCTCTTGTGTTCTTACTGATATTTTATCATTTTTCTCAAATAAATAGTTTTCTACTTGCTGTGTGTCTTTAGGACAATTCCCAGAGATTTTTACGTGTTTTATTTTTTATAATTTTTGCCACTCAAAGAATTGTTTCATTGGAGAGAGTTTCGACGAAACTATCCACTCTTTCATTCAAGAACTGTTTCTCTTCTTTTTTCCTGAGGCACTGAAGTTAAAGGGTTTTTATTGATGGGGTTGGGGTGGGGAAAGCAGTGTGTGCCTCTCTGGGCAGGCAGGACAGGGCATGGAAAATACCAGGTGGAACACTTTGGCCAACCAGATTCCAAGGACCTGAGGAACATGGGCCAGGATATAGGCCTCCTACTGTCAGATTTTCTTGGGGCTGAAGTATTAGTAGCAACCTCCTCATTCCTGACCCAGACAAATAATCTTTGTGCCCTCCTTGGAGCCTATGCTGAAGATTACAGATGCCTATCCCAGACAGCAGAAAATTAATCTTACACAACCGACACTGTGTGACAAATAACTAGTCTTTTTCTTTCAGTTTGACAGTACTCAAATGGATTTGCTTATTGAAGTTCATACATGGTATGATGAGTGACCCACAGGGGAAATTTAGCTAAATATAAAAGAAAAATGAGAAAAATTATAACATTATTTTGGAGAGTCTTCTAATATAAAATATTAAATGAATGGATGTTAAATTCTGTTACATATTACTACACTGGGATTTTCTTTCAGTTTGACGGTACTCAAATGGATTTGCTTATTGAAGTTCATACATGGTATGATGAGTGACCCACAGGGCAAATTTAGCTAAATATAAAAGAAAAATGAGAAAAATTATAACATTATTTTGGAGAGTCTTCTAATATAAAATATTAAATGAATGGATGTTAAATTCTGTTACATATTACTACACTGGGAATCATCATCTATTTTAAGTGTACTCGGAAAAAACTGCCTAGAAACAAGGAACAGAGATTATATTTTCTGACTCAAATATGTTTCAGTATGAATAGGCATTTCCTGCTTGTCCATACACATCTGTTTTATTGAAAAATGTTTGAAAGAGTTGATTGATTTCAATTTCCAAGTTTGATCTAGGGTCGAGGTTGCTACCGTGAAACTAAATTCAAAATGACAAGATTATTAAGTTATGTATATTTTGTTATTATTAACCCAGGTAGCTGTAAAACTTGATTGCCAAGTAGATATGGAAGAGATGATTGATTGACCATAATTGTCCACAGTTTTGAACTCTTGGCTACACTTTCACCTCTGGGTCTGTGAGTCCTCAAGATGCAGCTCACTCCTCTCCAAACGGGGTGCTCTGTGATTTGTGTCAAAGACAAAATAGATCTCAAGGAAACTCTGGGGGCTTTGAGGCCAGGTAGGGATAAATGAGTGCAGAATTTGTAAGTAGAACAGACTTGATAAAGAACCCTCTGATGTTTCAAAAATAATATATAATAGAAAAATTAATAAAGGGGGTAAAATATAAGACACCCCAAATCCCAATCTTAGAGGCAAATATGCTCCAACTTTTGTTAATATTTTAGTATCTGTCTCTACATACAGAAATGTAAGTGTAAATGTTGTTACATATGTGATTTAGTAAGCTGACTATTGGATTAGATAGCATGTTGTGGAAATACTTCCATACTGTCTTCTTATTGACTATATATCATTCTCTTGAATGCATGAACCATGAGGTTATTAACCAACCCCTGACTGATACACAGTTGTTTCCAGGGTTTTGTTATTATGACCTACTATACAGGGAACACTCCTGTTTATACATCTTTGATCCTTGATAAATCTCTCTAAGAGATAAATTCCTAGGAGAAATGTTGAGAGTCAGAGGAGATGCTGTTTTATTTGTGACATTTGTTGCTAAATTGCACTTAGGAAAGATTCAATTCTGGTTTATACTTCCACCTGGTACAGGCTGTGCTCAGCACAGGGGTGCTCTCTGAGTCTGGTGGGGCTGAAACCTAGACCACCCTCTGTTTGACCAGCAGGGAGCTGCATCTGCCCCAAGGAAGGGGTGCCTGTCCCTTCATCATACACAGTTTCTATAGGAACAGGCAAGCTCCTGGTGTCAGGCTGTGAGGGCAGGCATTTCTGCTACCTAGAGCCATTAGTTCTAGGCATTATTAATGTTTTCATTCTGGGGTAAAAGAGATCTCATTTTTGTTTTACCTCTCATCCTAGAGGTAAAAGAGATCTCATTTTTGTTTCTAATTTGTATCATTTTAACTATAGAAGTTGAAAACTATTTTATATGTTTGTTGACTGTTCATATTTATTTCTTTTGTAAAATCCTTATTCATCAAATTTCTCAATATTTTTTATGAGATACTAATCTTTATTGATTTACAAAGTTTTAATGGATTATATGTTCATCAATTATGTTATTAACATTTTCTCGAGTTCATTCTTTAGTTTTCTCTTATTTATTCATTTATTTGTGCCAACAATATGATTTAAACGTTTTATATGGAAAAAAAATCAACTATGATTTCTAGCTTTGATACCTTTGTTATTCCAAATATATAAAAATGTTCACTCCTTTTTTTTTTTGAGTCTTGCACTGTCGCCCAGGCCAGAGTGCAATAGTACTATCTCAGCTCACTGCAACCTCCACCTCCTGGGTTTAAGCCATTCTCCTGCCTCAGCTTCCCAAGTAGCTGGGATTACAGACGCCCGCCAGCATGCCTGGCTAATTTTTTTGTATTTTTAGTGGAGACGGGGTTTCACTATGTTTGCCAGGCTGGTCTCAAACTCCTGACCTCGTGATCTCCCCATCTTGGCCTCCCACAGTGCTGGGATTACAGGCGTGAGCCATAGCACCTGGCCACCTTTTCACATTTAATTATTTGTAATCCATTTGGGATTTTGTTTGGTCATAAGGAGCAAGATAGAGATTCTATTTCTTTTTCCCTAGTGGTTAGTCAGTTTATCCAACAATCCATCTTCTCCTCACTGATTGGTACTTAAGCTTTATCAAATGCCAGATTGCTTAAACACCTGGGTTTAGTTCTGGTGTTTCTTTTGCTTTTCATTGATCTATCTAATATCCAATAGGATGTTGCTGCTTTAATTACTACAGCTTTGTAATTTTGCTTCATTATAATTTTTTTTTTCAGGATTTGAGAAACTCTGAGGGCAAAAGCTTCTCCCCTCACAAGATGAGATTTTAACTTTTATTATCAGTACACATAGAAAATACGTATGTGTATGGATTCATAGACAACAGATTCTCTGATTCAGTTTTGAGAATAACTCAAACCCACCAATCATTGATTGGCACCATGTTGGGGGATTCACGCTTCTATTTTGAGAGTGGGATGGATAGCACTCAGCATCTCAGTGTGTGCATCATCACTGGTGCACAAGTCCCCTCCAGATGTCAGCTTTGCTCTGGGACTGGTTTGCTCCATCCCTGGGGGCAGAGGTACATCCAGCAATTTTGCTCCGGGGTCCTGTCTCTAGGATAGAAGAGGTTTTAGAATCTCTAAGTTACAGTTTTGGAGAACTCCAATATTTATAAAGTTCTTTCACACGTTTTACTTCCTAAGACATCTCTCTCTCTCTCTTTGTGTGTGTGGGTTAAAGCTGCTTTCTGAAGTTAAGACTTTGTCCTTTATTGTCACACAGTTTAGGTGTTTGGAGACTACTATTACCAGCATGGCAAAGTGGCCTACAGCACTGACCGTGGAGCCAGATTTGGTTCAACTCCCAAGTTTATAACCTACTAGCTGTGTGACTTTGTGCAAGTTACTGAGCCTCTCTGGGCCTTGGTTTCCTGATGTGTAATAGACTCTCCCTCTTGCATCTGGGCTGCCCTATTACTGCTTTGACCAAGAGAGTGTGGCAGAAGTGACGGCATTTTTATTTTAAGCCTAGCCTTTTAGAGGATGGACAGCTTAGGTCTTGGTCTCTTGGAACCCTGAACTGCCATGTAAGAACTCCAAAGATTGCTGGAGAGGCCAAAGGGTGGGGCAGAGTTGGAGGTGCAAAGCTGAGCCCAGTCTTCCCCAATCTTTGCCAAGGCTGTGTTAACAGCCTGAAAGCCAGCTGAGTGCCTAGTTAATGCCATGTGAAGCAGAAGAATCACCTAGCTGAGCTCCGCCTGAGCTTCTGAGTCACAAAATCGTGAGATATTTAAGAATGATTGTTGTTTCAAGGCACCAGGTTTTGGGGTAATATGTTACATAGCTTACCTAGTAATAGCTAACCAGAACAGGTAGTGGTGTGAGGTTGTGCCTAGGGCCAACTTCATAATCTGTGGGGCCCAGTACAAAATAAAAAATGGATCCTGGTTCAAAAAGCAAAATAAAATGGCCATTAAAGGTATTAAAATATAAAACCTTTTTTCTCTTCTGTTGTCTCTTTCAAGATGTCAGTGTTTTTTTAAATTTGCTATTGAATGTCATTCTAACTAAATAAAAATAGAAATTATAAATTATTAATACGGACTTTACCATTTATCTTTACATAGAATTTGTTATGCCAGTTTTAAATGTAAACATAAAAACATTGGACTCGTATGCGGAATCACCAAAATTACACAATTTGCACTTTGTAGTTCTTATGTGCTTATATAGTTCATTCTTTACGAGAACAGTGGTGATGCTGCACAAAACAAACTCAGTCATTTCTATTTCACTTCTTGCTATGTGCACAAGCACCAGCACCCTCTCAGCACCAGCAGTCTGCAGGCAGAGTCTGCCATTAAAGGGGTCGTGACTACCTTGGGAAATACACTGTGGTCCATTAAAGGGGTCGTGACTACCTTGGGAAATACACTGTGGTCCAGAGCACACCAGGCACCAGGAATCGTGACCTTTTATCTGGATGCAGGAAAGAGAAATGATCTTTGAGGTCCAGGGTGCATATTGGAGTGGCGTAATAGGAGCTAGGGGGAGAGAAGTTATCATCCTTCTTGTGGGTGTTAAAGAAACATCCAAATTAGGATGGCAGTCACGTGTATATTTCACATTCCGCGGCTATTTTCATGGCCTTACTGGGAAATGTGCCTGGGAATTAGATTTTCTTATACACGTGTCAAGCCCTGGGAGTGTTATTTGAAAGCGTGCTATTTCTTTATGAAATTTAATACTTTTGTCCTTGGAAAATGTCTGAGATATTGCTGACCAAGGATGTTTTTAGTATACAGCTGATAACACTGTTATTGTTGTACTCTGATACATCTCGATAGCAAGCCAAATTAACATGACATTCTGCACCTTTACGATCTACCATCTAACTTTCCTAGATAAATTCTGAGAAATAAAAATAAAATTCTAAGTCCCCTAACTAACTGAATGGACTCCCTCTTTGTCCAAGGAGCCTCAGAGAAGCCTTAAAAACTGAGTTGCCAGCCATGCCAGGCACACAGGAGGTGGGACACGCCTTGTTATGCCACCTCCCTTACTGCCATCAATCTTCCTTCTCTAACAGACAGAAACCAGCTCTTTTGAAAGACTCGCTTCACCTCTGATTTACACAACAACTGACTGGCATTCCTTCCTGATAAAAGACCACTGGCCGTAGACTGGCTCTGGCAGGTATTCACAGGCTGCAGACAACATGCCCCTGTGTCCTTGCTTTCACTTTGTGACATACAGAGTGAAATTATAATGCAATTAAATGTAAGTCTTCACCCCAAATGAATATGAGATGAATGTAACATGGATGTTTGCTTGCTATGAATGTGTGCACCCCCTTCATAATTATTCTCAGCCCTTCCTATAACTATTGAATATGTATACTTAGCTAGCCCATTCAGCCCAAATTTCTGTCTCACCTTTCCCTCTTTCAAAGTGCCTGCTTTTGGTTTCTACCAGAAGCTATGCTTCCCAGCCTGCACAGTGGGCAGCCTGCTGGATGCAAGCCTTTATAAGAAATAACACTCTCCTCTCCAAATTTATGAATCTCATGATTCTTTAGTTAACAATTACCCAAGCCAGATACTTCTTACTTGATGAATATTTCTTAGGTGAAGAGCAGCTGAACTTTAATACAAAATTCACATATTTATTTGTCTTTAAAACACTGTGTAATTGGCTGGGTGCAGTGGCTCACACCTGTAATCTCAGCACTTTGGGAGGCTGAGGTGGGCAGATCACCTGAGGTCAAGAGTTTGAGACCAGCCTGACCAACATAGAGAAATCTCGTCTCTACTAAAAATACAAAATTAGCCGGGTGTGGTGGTACATATCTGTAATCCCAGCTACTCGGGAGGCTGAGGCAGGAGAATCGCTTGAACCCAGGAGGTGGAGGTTGTGGTGAGTGGAGACTGTGCCATTGCACGCTAGCCTGGGCAACAAGAGCGAAACTCCATCTCAAAACAAACAAACAAACAAACAAAAAAACATGGTCTAATCCATTCTACAGCACATTTCTACAATCATCAAAAGTGGAAGCTCAATATGGAGAAACAGAGACATACCTGCAAAAATTTTTGTATACAGTTTTTTCAAGATCTCAGCTTTCCAATATAAAACATACATACTTTATGTTGACAAAACAATGAGAAATTGTCCTTACATCTCTCTGCCAACTGCATCTTCTTCCAACATCTATTATATATGCAATGTCTACTGAGCATTATGCAGGCCTAAGCTCTGGGGGTGCAGGACAGGCAAGGTCTCTATTTTGCAGAAGCAAACAGTTTAGCAGGCAGATAGGCAATCAACAGTAAACTGATAAATATGTGATATGTAAAGGCATGTTTAATAAGAGCCCTTTCTTTTGAAACAGGACACAATTGCAGGTGCTGGTTATTATACCAAGGCTTTGACTAGAATAACATTATTAGGTGAAGCTCCAGCAAAGTCAACTTGAAAAGAGTCTCTATGGCCAACTGTAAAAAGTAAAGTAGAGGTTCCTCTTCAAAGACTTTCCTCCCCGTCTAATTAGGAATAAATAGTAACTTCTCTTAGAAGCAAAATTTATTCAAAGACCTGTGCTAACATTCTTAAATATCTGCTAGCCATAATAAAAAAATCAATATACAATTTATGTTCCTAGCTCCCACAATTTAGCCTAAATATTTGCCCTGGCATGCTTATACTGGTCCAAGCAAGCATTAGGTCATAGCCTGTTCCTCTTCCTTATTTAAAAGTGTTTTTACCTTTCTCAGCCTTCCACTAGTTACTTCCTCCTTCCTTTGTTCCCCTCTACCTTTGCCTCTTTTAAAAAGTTCTAAGTTGCTAGCCAATCAGGACAAATACAGAATGCGAGCTCTTGTTCCAGCCAATGGAAACTGGACACAACAGTAGGGTGGACACGTCAGGTTATAAATGACCCTGTCTCCTTTGTTCAGTGTACTCTCATGGCAAAACTGCTGGCGAGTGTACCCTTTCTGCAGGAAGTAAAAGTGGCCTTACTAAATAAATTAAATTTATGTTCAAGTGCTATTTCTTTATGGCACCAAAGAACAAGCATTTCAAACCAAGTAATTCCTGCTGCGCTTTATGTGAATAATCAAGCCAAGTGTAATAAGCCAAAAACTTATTCTGCACACAAATTGGTCTTACTATAATTTCTCTTTAGTAGAAAAGGAGGGCTAGAGAATCAGAGAAAAATTGTTTCAAGGGAAAACTGTAACACCCGTTACTGAATTCCAGCCCCGACTTGTTTTAGAGTGCAGATCGAATTACATCTCTTCCTACAATAATCCTCTAAAAAGTACCAGCTTATAATTTTCTTCATGTTTTTAGTTGTTGCCCTAATGAAATAGTTTCCTTTTTCTGTTCTGACACACAGATTCTGTTTTGATTAGCAAGTTTACTAATGTTATTTATCTCATGTAGTTTTACTTCTGAGAAAATTAGAATCATATATTCATAAGACTAGAGATAATTTGACAAAGCCTGTGAATCTCCCTCATTTGGAATCCCACCGGGCCCCATCTGTCTTTCATTGCAAATGCCCTGCTGCTAAAACTATACAAGCACCCTCCCTCTAGGCCCAGGGACTATCACGTAAGACGTCAGTGTGTGAGATTGCAAGGGCCAGTTTTGTGGGATAGAATTAGTTTAGAGCCTCCAAATCACAGATACCTAAACAGCTGGTAAAATAAGGGACTGTGCCTCCTGTGTTATTATGTATGTGGCACCCTTTTGTCCATCCTAACCGTAAAGAATTTCCTGCTTCCCATAGAATTAAAAGAAAATTACTGAGAGGATATAAAGACACTTTGTGACAAAGCTTGCTGGGTATAATACTCCCAGTTATGAGATTTATGCATATATATATATTTTATTTATTTATTTATTTATTTATTTATTTTTGAGACAGAGTCTAGCTCTGTCACCCAGGCTGGACTGCAATGGTACAATGTTGGCTCACTGCAACCTCTGCCTCCCAGGTTCAAGCAATTCTCCTCCCAAGTAGCTGGGATTACAGGCACTCACCACCATGCCTGGCTAATTTTTGTATTTTTAGTAGAGATGGGGTTTCACCATGTTGGTCAGGCTGGTCTTGAACTCCTGACCTCGTGATCCACCCACCTCGGCCTCCAAAAGTGCTGGGATTACAGGCATGAGCCACCACGCCCGGCCTATATATATATATTTAACGTTTATTATCAGCCGTCTTGGGACAAATTAGTAAAATACTGCAAAAATCATTGAGGCACAGCAAAAGTCTCTGAATTCCTTAGCTTAAAAGGCTTTAATAGTGCTTATGTTTTGTATAGCTAATTGCAATAAGTCTGTAACTAAAACCAAGATCACAGTAGCTCAACATATAGAATTGAGAGGTAGATAAGTCAATTTGTAACCTTGTCTTTGGCTTTTTGTTTGTAGGCTCTTGCATTACTGAAAAAATGTTTTAAGGACTAGCGAACACCTGTCTACATCCATCCCTGTCTGGCCTAGAACGTTTACATTGGCTATGCATCTTTTGGCTCTAAGTCCCTTGGCCATAGGCGTCCCACTGAGGGACAGGAGGGACCCAGAGCAGACAGCCATGCCACTTTGGCAATGCTATGGGACACAGTGAAAGTTTGGTGTCCATTGATGTTGCTTCTGGCAAATCTTGGCCAGAAGAGGGAGAATGTATAACAAATACAAAATTCTAAGCCCCCAATCAGGACCCCTTCTCTCAGCCAAGGGCATTCTAAAGTTAACCTGAAAAACTAGTTCAATCCATGATGGAAGTAGGGGTTTGGTGGGAAGAGGGTGTTGAACATGTCTCACAGCTGACCAGAATTAACATCAACACAGAGACCTGAAGACTGGTAGACTCTTTAAGTCTGAGAAGAAACACTTACAATCTATTCTCTTTGAAGCCCTGCTACCTGGAGGCTTCATCTGCATGATAAACCTTGGCATTCACAAACCCTTATCATAACCCAGATTTCTTTCTATTGATTCCAGGTCTTAAGATATTAACTCCCCCAACCATTTGCCAATCAGAAAATCTTTGAATCTGCTTATGACCTGGAAGCCCCTGCTTTTGAGACTGAACCAATGTACATCTTAAATGTATTGATTAATGTCTTAGGTTTCCCTAAATGTATAAAACCACCTTGGGCACAAGTCCTCAGGATGTCCTGAGGGCTGTGTCATGGACCATTGGTTGCCCATATTTAGCTCATAATAAAATATTAAATATTTTACAGAGTTTGACTCTTTTTGTTTGGATTGGTAACCATCACTGTGATCAAGACATAGAGAATTTCCATCATCTAAGAAATTGTCCCCTTGCAGCCAGTCCCCAATCCCCTAGAGCCTATTAAAAAATACAAAAAAAAAAAAACAAAAAAACTTAACCAAGTGTGGTGGCACATGCCTGTAGTCCCAGCTACTTGGGAGGCTGAGGTGGGAGAATAGCTTGAACCTGGAAGGCAGAGGTTGCAGTGAACTGAGACCACGCCATTGCACTCCAGCCTGGCTGACAGTGAGACTCTGTCTCAAAAAAAAAAAAAAATTGATTTCTGTCATCTGAGATTCGTTTTCTCTGTTCTTGAACTTTATTTAAATGAGATCCTTACATTTATGTAGTTTTTTTTTACGTCTCCCAAGGCTCTGTCATTCACATTTATGTACTCTTGTGTGTCCAGTTTCATCTGCTCAACTTCATGGTTTTAAGATTCAGCCATGCTGTTTATTTATTTTTTGTTGATTGTGATAACTGTGACTTATAATAAGAAATACACTGTATTTGGTCTTGTCCCTGTTTTCTGGCGTACAGCTCCTATCTGCCTTGGAATCTCCAAAATGGTAAATGCCTTTTTGTATGCTAAGGAGATGACTGATGGGGGATGGGGAGCTCCTAGATAGCCTCAGGATGGGGCTGGTTGCCATGGGAACCAATCATGTGATTAGCAGCTTGGAACTCTCAGCCCCAAGTGGACTTCTGGGGAGAAGAGTGGGGCTGAAGTCTGACTTGATCACCAAGGGCCCATACATTAATCAATTATGCGTATGTAATGAAACATTACAATGAAACATTCACAAAAACCCAAAAAGACAAGACTTGGAGTTTCTGAATTGGTGAACAATGGAGAGTGGTGCCCCAGGAGTGGCAATGGAAGCTCTGCGCTTCTTCTCACATACATTGCACTATGCATCTCTTCCATCTGAGTATTTATCTGTATCCTTTCTAGTATCCTCCATAATAAATGGGTAAATGTGAGTAAAGTGTTCCCCTGAGTTCTGTCAGCTGTCCTAGCAAATTATCTAACCTGAGGAGGGGGAATCCTTATATATTTATTTATTTATTTATTTATTTATTTATTTTTGAGACAGAGTCTCCCTCTGTCACCAGGCTGGAGTGCAGTGGCGCGATCTCGGTTCACTGCTACCTCCGCCTCCTGGGTTCAAGTGATTCTCCTGCCTCAGCTTCCCGAGTAGCTGGGACTACAGGCATGCGCCACCACGCCCAGCTAATTTTGTGTGTGTGTGTAATTTAGTAGAGACAGGGTTTCACCATGTTGGCCAGGATGGTCTCCATCTCCTGACCTCGTGATCTGCCCGCCTCTGTCTCCCAAAGTGCTGGGATTACAGGCATGAGCCACCGCACCCGGCTGAAAATCCTGATTTATAACTGGCTAGAAGTGCAGGTCACAACCTGGGGCTTGGGTCTGGCATCTAAACGGGGAAGAGTTTTGTGACACTAAGCCCTCAACCTCTGTGATCTGATGCTATCTCCAGGTAGATAGTATCGGATTAAAACTGAGTGGAAGGACACCCCGCTGTCCTTTGATGACCAGAAGTGTTCTGTACTGAGTATGGTAGGAGAAAAACTGTTCGTTTGTTTTTTTCAACTGTAATTATACAGAGATATATATTTATTTGTTTGTTGTTCTGTTGATGGATATTTGAGCTATGTCTAGTTTTTTTTTTTTCTGTTTTGAATAGGGCTGCTATGAATATTCTTGTGTGAGTCTTTTTTGTGGACTTACATTTTAATTCCTCTTGGATAAGTTCCTAGGATCTAAGAGTAGAATTCCTGAGTTATAGAGCAGATGGCTGTCTGGGAAAATGCCAAGAAGGTTCCAAAGGGGTTGTATCATTTTGTGTACAAGATTTGTGCAGTGTATGAGAGCTCCAGTTGCTTCACATCCTTGCCGACACTTGATGTTATCTGACTATCTTTTAGTGAGGGGATGGTGATATCTCACTGTGGTCTTAGTTGTCCTGATGACCAATGATGTTGAACATATTTTTATGTGCTTATGAACTCTTTTCTGTTATTTTTTATGAAGTGTTTGTCCAATATTTTGCCCATTAAAAATTAGATTGTCTTTTGATTATTAATTTGTAGAACTATAAAAGATATATTCTGGATTGAAGTCATTTGTCTGATACATATTTGGCAAATATTTTCTCCTAATCTACTGCTACCTTTTTCATTTTCTTATCATTGTCTTTTGATAAGCAGAAGTTAATTTTGATTAAATGAAATGGAACAATTTTCTTATTTTTAGATGAGTGCTGTTTTTTACCAGCCTGAGAACACTTTGCCTACCACATTAGATATTCTCTTATTATTTTGAGAAATTTTATTGCTTTTATGTGTAATAGAACTCTGATGCATCTTGAATTAATTTTTTGTATAGTGTAAAATAGGAAGTGAGTTATTAATTTTCTACACAAATATCCAGTTGTTTCAGCACTATTTCTTGAAAGGACTTTCCTTTTCCCTTTTTCATTGCTTTGATGCTTTTGTCAAAAATCTTGTAATTGTATACATGTGGGTCTACTTCTGGAATTTCTATTCTGTTTAATTATCTATTCATCCTTACACCAATACCATACTGTCTTGATTACCATACTACATTAAGACTTGAAATTAGGTATTTATTTCCCTATTTTATTTTTCAAGACTGTTTGGGTTATTGTAGGTCTTTTTCATTTCCATATAAATATTAAAAAATTAGCTTGTTAATTTCTACAAACAAGCCCTCTTTGGATTTTGGTTGGTATTGTATTGAATATATAGGTAAATTTGGGGAGAAATGATACTTTAACAATAGTGAATCTTTCCATCTATGAACATAGTATAACTCTCCATTAATTTAGGTCCTTTTTAATTTCTTTTAGTGATGTTTTATAGTTTTCAGTGTACAGGTCTTACACATCTTTACTTATTTCTAAGTATTTTATATTATTATAAAATGGTATGTGGTTTTTTTGTAAGTTTCATTTACCATTTTTTATTGATATTATATAAGTATGCAATTGAAATTTATATATTTACTTCGTATCCTGAGACCTTAGTAAGTTCACTTTTGTGTTATAGTGGTTTCTTTGTAAATTCCTTAGTTTTTTTTATGTAAACAGTCCTGTCATCTGCAAATGGAGGAAGTTTTATTTTCCTTTTCCAGCTTTATATTTTTTATTTAATTATTTATTTTTCTTGCCTTATAGCAATGCCTAGAACTTCCAGTACAACCTTGAGTAGAACTGGTGGATGTGAACATTTCTACCTCCTTTTTCATCTTAGGGAAAAGTGTTCATGTCACCATCAGTATGACACAGGCTATAAGTTTTCTATAGATGCTCCTTATTGGGTTGATAAAGTATCCTATTTCCTTATTGTTAAGTGCAATTTCTCCAAGAGTCTTTGAGGTCTCTTTTCAGTTGAAGGACTTTTAAAATGCCAATAAATTCAAAAAGCATTATTTCACAAACAGTGCTAATTATGTTCTGTTCTCTAAGCATCAACTCATTTAAATCTGAAATAAGGTCAGGGTGCTATTCTTTACATTTTCTGGCAGAGGAAACTGAGGCACAGGTTGGCAGAAAAGGTTCTCAAGATCAGACATCTAGGAAGTGGCAGAGCCAGACAGTCTGGCTCCTGAGATCATAGGCTAGGCTGCCCCTATATCCTTACGCACGTGGTTACTGTAAATCACTTCTGCCATCACTTGACCATCTGAAAGTAGCAGATGCTACTGAAAAACACCTTCTTTTTCGGGGTGGGGAAGGGATGACTGCTGAGGGTTTTAGTAGGAGTATATTTCTACAGCATGGTTACAGCATCCTACATTGCAGAAATGTAAGTTGACCTAAACTATGTATTCATACATGTGATTTCTCTTTTATTTCCTCAGAATATTAAAAAAATGAGGATACTGATTTTATTCCTCAAAAGAAGTTTAAGTCTTGCTTTTAGTTAGTAGCTACCTCCATAGCTTTCCATAAAATATATATTTTCCTTAACTCAAGAGATAAGAAAGCAACTGTCTTCATGACCCAAAGCAGTATCTTTTCAAACGTTGTATTTGGCAAGATAAACATATTTAGTTTTTATAATCTCTACAGTGTATGTTCTTTGCGCTTTTCCAGTATAATACTATATATTTTATATACAGCAACAGAAATTGGCATGCATATTTTTATATGCATCAATATGTGTATGTGAATTTATACATATACTCTGTCCATACGTGTATTTCGTTTAGGTGTGAAATAGTAACAATGGCTCCTATTTCCTCAGTGTCCACTTTGTGTAGGCAACCAGGGGCTTTATATTTTCTGTCTTTAATTCTTACAAAAATTTTGCAAAATAAGTATTGTCACTCGCATGATCCAATGAGAATTTGGAGACAGGAAAGATTAATCACTCCATTGAAGGAATACCGGTAGTAAGTAGTGAAGCTGGGATTATTTCTGGAATTTCAATCCAAACCCATTAGTGGTGGCGATTTGAATGATTCTTGCACAATGGCCCTAGTGCTGTGTGGCTGTCCAGAAGGAAGGACACAGGAAGGACAAGCGCTGGTGTTGAGGCAACGTGTGGGCAACCCTTGCTAGCACATGTGTTGTTTGGTGGCATGAGGTTCTCAGTTAATATGAACCACACCTGCTCAAGCTTGTTTACTGGAGGCACTGCTCCCTCAGCAGGATCTAATGGGAATGCCCTCATTTGGTTTTGGTCACAGTCCTGAGAGTGTGACAAACCACATAAAAGGGGAACCAGGCCTCCTACCAGGTGCCCAAGGGTGTTGCAGACCAGGGCCACCTCTTTTCTTCGATGTGAGTGCTGAGAAGACTTGCTTAGCATGTGCTGCTCAAAAAATACTTGGGAGTGAATGAATAGAAAAATGGACAAATGGACTTTTCTATGGTTCAGTCATTAATAGCCCCTGCCCTCGAGCCTACCGCCCCAGCCCAGCTGCTCATGGCCTATGGAATTTCCTCCTCACTTTGACAGTTGCACTAGCTTCACATGGCCTTTTGGGAATAGCACCTGTGCTACCCTCCAGGTGAACTGCTCTGTAGGGGGCAAATGTGAGCAAAGCGTTAGGCCCAGCCCACAGGGAATGTTTCCTTGTGTGGGGCAGTGGGGTAGGCCAGGCGCAGTGTCCAGGACACATGTCCACTGAGATGGGTTGTGACTGGGGGATGGAGCTAAAGATGCTCATGAAAGCCCAGGATGCCTTGGGGACAGTGGGAGGTTTGGCCTGGGATGACTCCCCTCCTCATCCCTAGGCAGACATGTGACTTTGGGTCCCTATGTCAAGTCCTGAGAGTTTTCAGTTTCTGCATCTGCAAGGAGGAAGTTGGAGCAATAATAACCAACATTTGTTAGAACACGAAGTGTCACATACTCTGCTTACAACTTGATGTGCATTTTATTCTTTAATCTTTGGATAAGTGGCCCCAGGGATTATCGCATCTCACATATGAGAAACTGATGCTTAGAGGGGTTGACAACTTGCCCAAGATGGCACAGCTAGTACCAGCACAACGTGAGCCTGACTCCAAACCCACACTTCCTATGTGACCCTCACCATCCCGATAGTTCCAAGTGCACTTCTGACCTCCTGATTTTGCCCCTGGAGAGTGAGAGACTTTGCAACTGTAACAACCTCACTTCACCTTTTATGCAAATCTCATGTATAATTTTCATAAACTTTATTTTTTTAAAATGTAATTCCCCAGAGGCCTTCCCTACCTGACTTGGCCTTGGATGGGCAGCAGAGGGCAATGTAGTCTCAGGGAGGCACCCTCCCTTCCCCTGGGCTGGGAACTGTGAAAATCTAACCACTGCTAGCAAAAACCAGTCTCAGCTGGAAATGGTCTAATCTTCTTGGAGGGGATGTTGGAGAATACATAGCAATAGATTCAGATGAAATCCTGTCTCAGTAGGCACACTTAGAATATTGTTCCTTGGATGGCATTAGAAAGGGAATCTTTTTTTTTTTTTTTGTAATATAGAGTTCTCATTTTATTCCATGCATGAAAAGAAGAGATAAAGGTTTTGTGCTTTTCCTCGCCTCTATTAATAGAAGTTATTAACATGCCTATAATAGAAACCATTTCACCTTCGCTGGAACTGATGATGATGCTTCATGATAGCACAGTGGTGCCCTGTTGCCAAGTATTAGATATGGTCCAATGTCTCAAAAATTACCAGTCAAACGGATTTGTGAGTGTCACAGGTTGTTTTTAAGATCTTTATAATTATTATTTTTAGACTTGGTATCTTTTATATCCATACACTGCTAGGATTCAGATCTGAAAGTCAGATTGCCCTAATAAACTAGTAGGGGCTCCTTGGGTGACAAAGCCACTCTGACAGTGACTTCATTGGCTGTTCATTGGCCACATACCCTCGCCTGGTTCTCTGAAGAGACATCACATCGCAGGATGTGATGAACACTAGTTTTTATTTTCTTAGCAATATTTCATTAATTCTTGGTGTGTCGTAGTGAATAAATTACTGTCAACATCTTTTGAGCACCCAACATGCCAGAGCATTTCTAAACAAAGGCAATTGACAAAAGATGTAGAATACAAATGTTTGAGCGCTTAAGGGCTGGGTGCTTTTTAAGTGCTTTATCTGTATGACTGTGTTATGTCCTCACAACAGCCCTACAGGTATTATCATCATCCCCGTTTTACAGATGGGAAAACTCACCCAGAGGTGCTACGGAACTTGCGCAAGATCACAGAGCTATGAGAGCAGAGCAGGGAAGCAGCCCCGGATGGGCGGATTTCAAAGTCTGCACTCTCCATTCCTACTCCTTCCTGCTTCTCAGTGTCAGCAAGAGCAAATCTCATGAGCTCTAGAGCATCCTGGCAACCTTCTGGGAGGGATGCTCTTTACCTTGATCTATCTATGTTGGGTTCCAGAATCTTCTCCCTAAATGTAAATGTAACAGGAACTGTTGGTGACTCACTCACACCCCTCTGGCCTGGGGGGTTCTATCTGAGTTGCAACTTCTTCTTTGCCTGAGGACATTCTCCTAAGCCTCAGGAGGCCTCTCTGCCCATGTCCAGGGTGGTTTGAGTGCTAGGGAATTAATAGCCCTGGCAGCCCTCCACCAATGACTGACAGGCCGGTGTCTGAATGTCCCAGCTCCCTCATCCTTCAGGAAGAAGCACAGATTTTTCTGCAGTTTCCTTGTGCTCCAGCGGCTCACAAATGCGCTGCCTTCCCTTCCTGGTCTCACCTTCCCCTCCTGGTCCCATGTCCCTGCTCCCTTGCTGGGGTACCTTGCACCTGCCAAATAAATTCTTTCTACTGGGATCTCAAATCTGCGTCTGCTTCTGAAAAAGCCAAGGTAGAAGGGATGAAAGTGTCCACATTTAACAGTAACTTGGGACTTCCTGAAGATATCCAAGGATTTTTTGGGAAAGACTGAATTTACATTCTGAAATGAGAGCTGGCATCAGTTAAATGAACATACTAATTAAAAAGCTCCCCTTGGCAGGGAGCTGGTTCTTCCTTCTTGTCATGATGGTTAGGGGAGTGGGGTCTGGGTCGCCTCTTCTCGTGACCTAAGTGCTTTGTGATCACTTACATGGCTTGCCCACTTCCCTCTTCAGTGCCTGGTTCTGGATCCTGGTAGCACCTTCATCTGTGCTTGTGGCCAGGAATGGGCATTGCTGCTACAGCCATGGCCCCACCCTGCACACATGGATCTACCTTCTCTTCTTTGTGGCCCACCTTCCTGGCTCAGGGACGCTGCTTCTGCTTGAATTCCAAATGGAAAATGGATGCTCCCCTTGGAGACTGCTTTTCTGTGTAGCAGAGAGCACATTGTTTATACTAACAGTAAATCCATGGATTCTGTCTTCTAATAACAGGTTGGTTATTTACAATGTGCCAGGCATTATTAGAAGTGCTTTGCTTATATTAATTAGATTGTCATAAAACTCTGTGAAGTATGTGCTATTATTTTCTTCATTTTACAGATAAACTGAGGGACAGAGAATTCAAACAACTTGGCCCAAGCTATACATTGAGTAAATGGTACTATCTTGTGTCAGATCCAGATTTGTAATGGAGGAAACCAAAATATTTCACCTCCAAATATCCTTCTTTGACATATTTTGAGGTGGCTGTTCAGAGGGCCTGCAAACAGAGGTAGCCTTGCAAAGCTGTCCTTTGCGGGGAGATTTGCATCTGTACAGAATCAGCATGGTGCAGCCAGGTTTTCTCTGAGGCTAACCCTTGTCCAGATCAAGAAAAGATTAACAGAGTCTGACACCTTAAATTTCTGAAATAAACATTTACCATCTATTCTCTCTGAGGACTGCTACCTGTAAGGTTTCACCTGTATAATAAGACCACATTTGCAAGCCAGACCTCCTCTTCTCTTCCTCCCATAACCTGCCTTGACATCATAACCTGATTTACCACCGCAACCAGTTTTTGGCCGTACTCCAAGCCCACATTTTTTCTGTAACCTTAAGCTGTGTATAGGCTGGATGTGGTGACTCCTGCCTATAATCCCAGCACTTTGGGAGGCCAAGGCAGGAGGATCACTTGAGGCCAGGAGTTCAAGTTCAAGGCAACATAGCGAGACCCCCATCTCTACAAAAAGTGAAAAGAATTAGCCAGCCATGGTGGCACAGGCCTACAGTTCCAGCTACTCAGGAGGCTGAGGCGGGATTGCTTGAAGGACTGCTTGAGCCCAGGAGTTTGAGGCTACAGTAACCATGATCCTGCCATTGCACTACAGCCTGGGCAAGAGAGTGAGACCCTATATCAAAAGCCTTTAAAAAGATAGTGTAAAAGTCTCAACCTCCTTACCATTTCTTGGAGATCTTTGTAAGATTCCTGTGCACATTAATAAATATGTGTGCCTTTTCTCCAATTAATCTGTCTCTTGTCAGTTGATTTTCAGTGACCCTTCCAAGGGCAAAGAGGAAGTTTCCCCTTGGCACCCACAGGAACAACTGCCCCTCACTACCTTCTGCTTCACAGTTTCAAATGACTGGCCACTCACCAAAAGGCAGAAGAGGTTCATGAGTTCCTCTTTTTCTCATTTGCACTTGACCTCTTTCTCATAACACACATCCAGCCATGTCTTCTACATATTTTTTTCCCCAGTAAAACATCTGTGACTCATAGTTGTAAAAAATCAAATGAAATAGTAAAAATGTTTTAAAAGTACATCTCAGGGCTGCTTCCCTTAGAGGCTGCTGCTGCGCAACACTAAAGGACATACATGAAGGTGTGAGAGAGCAGCGTGACATGTGTCCCATGGTCCCCATGGTTTATACACTTGGTTTTCCAGAAAGCATCTCTGGTCAGCACAGATGCAGAATTTCTGGTTCAGTGCAGTTGGCTGAGCACTTGTGCTTAATGCCCCACCCACAAGAGACCCCATTGAAAACGATTTTGAAAGAGGGAACAAAATGTCACTGCAGACACCACTGGAGGTGAGGTGGCAGGTGGGATTTCACTTCGGGCCAGATTGAAGACTGGTTGAAACAGGGAAGAGGCATGCCTACCAGCACCATGATGGTTTACGACTGCCGTGCCAACACCTGGAAGTTACCACTTCTGTTCTAGAAATTTCTGAGTAACCCACCCCTTAATTTGCATGTAATTAAAAGTATGTATAAATATAACTGGAGAACTGCCTCTGAACTGCTACTCAAACACACGGCCTTTGAGGTATCCTGGTTCTGCAGAGGCAGTCACAGAGCTGTAACACTGTTGCCCCAATAAAAGCCATTTTTTTCTACCACCAGCTCATTCTTGAAACCTTTCCTGAGTGAAGCCAACAATTTTCCCAGGCTAAGCCCCAGTTTTGGGACTGGCCTGCCCTGCATCAAGTGGCATTCCTAGCTGCTCTCACAGAAGGCCTATGCCCTCCCTGGAGCCTCCTCAGTGCCGCCGTTCTGAGGAGGGTCCTGCCAGTTCTCTAACAAAGGATTCCATCCCAAGGTCATCAGGCACCTCTCCCCCTTATCCAGCTAGCTCCAGCCTATACTTCTTACTGCTCAAAAGAGTAAGCCCAACCAATACCTCCAGAAGTGGACCCCATATCAGCCCCTAAAAGTCAAACCTGTGTCCCTTGCAAGAAGTAGCTGATGAAAATTGGGGAGCACTTAGAGTACATGTGCTATTTTCTATGTCTGATTTGGCTGTATTTAACAAAAAAAATTTGGCTAGTTTTCAGAGGATCCAGAAAAGTTTATAGAGGAGTTTTTTAAGTTGACCATGTTCTTTAATTTAACTTGTCATGACTTGCAAGTATTATCATTTACTTGCTGTGCTATGGAAGAAATGCAGTGGGAAACGGGTGTGGTTTAGCCAATGAGTTATGACAAGGTTAGAGAAATAACTCAGGGAAAATATGAAAGTCCCACTCTGTTTCAGGGTCGTTTGGTTGAGGCACTCAAGAAATATACTAACACAGATCCAGACTCCTCAGAAAGGCAGGCTCTCCTGGGTATGCATTTTATTACTCAATCTTCCCCTGACATCAGGAAAATGCTACAAAAAGCAGCAGCAAGGGGGTCTCACACCCCCATAATCCAACTCCTAAAGACGGTTTTTGGAGTTAAGAACAAAAGTGACAAAGGAGAAGAAGAGGCAAAACCATAAGAAATAGCCAAAAAGTGCAATTATTAGCATAAGCTTTAAGCCCTCTTCCTCCTCAGGGTTACCCATCCCAAGAAAGTGTCACAAGATCAGTGTCTGGAATGCCCAGATGAGAGCCCCAAACTGACTGGCCCCTGGGTCAGAATCAATGTGCCTACTATGAACAAAAGGGCTGTTGACAATGAGACTGTCCTAACTGTCCCTACTGACAGAGAGAAAAAACTCTCCATCAATTCTAGAGCTAACCTTCTTCCACTAGCCCCAATGAGCTGCTTTGCTCAAGTAAGTTTACTAGGGATCTTAGATCCTTTACCTGACAAACAGCTTCCTGCAGTGGCAGACTAGAGGCTGCCTGAACATTTTTCTTCAGTGTTCCACTGCTGGGTGAGCTCTCCAGCAGCTCAGAGACTCAGGTCTCCCCTTCAGTAACACAGTTTGCCCCCTCCTTTCCTTATTGGCTGCTACAGGATCCCCTTCCCTGCCTCTTCCTGTCTTCCATGCCTATTGGGGCAAATAAAGTTTGGTCAGGTAGACAGGTCCCAGTTTTGTAAATAACTTGGATCCTGTTATCCTGCATAGGCCCTTTGTTTGAAGTGTTTGTGTGTATAGACAGGTATTGTGGCATGTCCTGTGTCTAGCATGCTATCAGATTGGCTTATAAATAAAAGAGCAAGAATAAATTAAACATGTAAGTCTAGTCTGAACTTGTTAGTTTGAAAATAATATAGTGCCTTTTACAATTTAACTTTAAGGTAAACCACTGTTGTTTGTAGGTTTTGAACTGGTTAAAATGGCTTTAAATAGCAAGCTTTTTGTGTAGTTGAAAACCTTAAAATTGTGAAATGGTTCTTATCTACAGAATGCCAATGTCTGTTGGGAAGTTCAGGATTTCTTGCCTCCTAGGTTTATATAAAATGTGCCAGGGAAAATATATTCTTTATTGGGAAAAGGAGTAATTTTTGTCAAATTCAGAAGTCATTGAAGGTGAGGTTCAAATTATGAAGCAACCATGAGTGGAAAAAAAAGAGATAGAAAGAAATCTCTAGATAAAAAATGTATTTTTTTTTGCAAGGAAGGATATAAAGAAAGAGTAATTTTGTATAAAAAGATATTCTACAGTAAACTCTTGTCCTAGAGGAAAATGAATGGTTATTTAAGAAAGAGGTAGTATAGGACAAGTCAAAATGTCCAAGCATGTGGTAGATGGTATATGTAAGTTGTGATAAGGTTCATAAAGGGGAATTTATGAAAGGAATTTTATGTGTGATTAAGCTAGCTGTAATTAAAAGAAAATTGTATATAATAGACTTTCTAAAAATAGTCTCCATGTCAAACCAAATTTTCTTACAGTATTAATTTGCTAAATTACCCAAAATTTTGCTTTTCGATTTCATATTCTATTTCTTTTAAAAGCCTCTTGCTTCTCAGAGTCATATAACTGTGTCCTTTAGCCTTTTCATCAGCTCCTGTGACATTTTCTCTTCTGGTTCTGAGTGTTATTGTGGCCTGATACTAAAGTGTTTTGTCTCAGAGGTCTATAAAAGCTGTGTTTTTCTCCAATATAACTTGATTCTATACTCTTGGTTTTTCTTGATGTTTCTAAATTTTCAGTGTAACCAGAAAACTTTCTCAGTTCCCCTGCTACACTCATAATCTTAAATACACTTTTCCTGCATCTGATTAAATTCAAGTATTATGTTTTTCTTCATCAAACTCAACTTTCAGGTTATTTAAGTGGAGTTCCCATATGGAGAGGTAATCACAGTGCCAAGGATATTTAACTTTGGATAAATAAGTAACTATTGCTTACAATAACCTGTAGTTCCACACTGATCAAATATTTTGGGCCTTTAACCCCTTTGACAAATGCCCTTAGAATTGAATCCTAGTTTAAATCTCTTGCTTGTTGCTGGAGTTTATCAAAGCTATAAAAATTAATCACTGCAATGTTATAAAATCTTTTTACAGCTTCCAGTCAGGTCATGAACTCCAGTATCACTACCTCCAGCCCTCTGACAAGTTCCTTATCAGGTGCTATTAACTAATCCATGTGCTGTTAAATTACAGGGCTTTTATTCTTGGGTATGCATAGCTCATCTAGAGATGGCACCAATTCCTGCCAGTATCTAATATCAAACTCAAGTTAACCAAAGCCTTGTCTTTAAACCTGGGCAAAGGAGACAATCAAAGTAAACTGCTTTCATGAGACAAGAGAAAAGCTTGTATTCATTTAATAATCTTGCCTCTAACTGAATTAATATAACTTATTCTATGCCTTGACACCAAATAATTTAAATGTTTAGCTACCTGTGAGCTTTCTTTATTGTCATTCTCAAAACTAGGCAGGGCTTATGAACTTTTTGCTTGAAACATTGCTAATTCTCTGTTTTGTTTTACATCTAGAATTTAAAATGATTTAATTCCTTCAGGCCTGGGAACTATAGTGGAATAAGTGGGCATGAAAGACTGCAAGGGCTGGGTTTTGAGGGATAAAATTAATTCAGCCCCTCCAAATCAAAAAAAGGCACACAGATGCCTAAACAAAATGCTTGTGTTTGGTATAGCTAATTGCTACAAGTCAAGATTACAGTAGCTCAGTGCACAGAATGTATAGATAAGTCAGTTTTAAAACCTTATTTTTGGCTTTTAGTTTTTGACTCTTATAGTGCTTAAAATGGTTTTAAGTACCTGCCTACCTCTATTCCCAACTGGCCTAGAATGTTTAATTGACTATGAATCTTTTGATTCTAAGTTTGTTGGCCAAAGGAAATCCCCCTTCCACACACACAAGAAAATTCTAAAACAACTAATTCAGTCCATGACACAAAACAGGGGATTGGAGACACCTCACTATGCCCCCTTTACAATTTAGGCCAGGTTTGCAACACCCTTTAAGAATATAGAAATAAAGTAATGCCTCCTCCCAGAAGACTTAGTCTTACTAAAAACTGAAGAAGAAAAATCCTCCAAGGGATTACAACCAAAACAGAAGGGTGCTTGCCAAGTGTTGCTGAGTACCCTACTCATGTTAAACTCCAGGGAATAACTAGTTGGGTACACCTGTCCAGGATTAAACCTATTTCTTTTGCATTTTATGCAAGGCATAAAATGAGGACACCATGATGACATCTGTGAACCTTTAAAAGACCTCCACTACTTACTTAAAAGAATCAACACTCAGCCAGAAGTGGTAATGTGATGCTGGGAATGGGAACAGGCATGTTAATTTTTCTCTTTTTCCCAACTGCAATACATTTTTTCCATTGCTTTGGCCAACCACGTCTTCCTGGGAAACACCTCTTTTGCAGTTGTTGGGTGTAGAAGCCACTCTAAGGCCCAACCAGATACCATGCTGTCACTGTTAATTCTGTTGGCTCTCTCAATTATCCTGATCCAGTGTGGGTGGGAACATAACTCTGTGGTAAGTATTTCAAAAATTATGGCATCAGGGAATCATCTTTGTGGTTGCTGGATTTTTCATCAACATCCCCAGGATAGAGAGTTCCACCTTATGGTCTATCTGGAAAATCTCGCAGTCATATTCCCAGACCTCCTAACTAACCATATGATCCCAAAGTTCCCAGACCCCTACTTGCTTTGTGGAACTCTCTCCCACCTAATGGATTCCACCTGAACCTCCCCAACCACTATCACCTGCACCTGGGAAGTTGTGTATCCATATCTCCAGTACACTAATGATTCTATCTTTTGCACCCCCTATTGTGTTAATGACGCAAAAGCAGAAGTTTCCCTGTGAAGCTCTGGTACAGCTCTAGTTGCCAAGTTCCCAAGGCTGCAGCAAGGTAAATGGAATTCCACTTGTGAGCAAGGAGACCATATATGGTGGCGTCTCCCAGATCAGAACATACAGGGGAAGAACAACTGCCTAAGCTGGGAAGGTGGGAGTGCTGCCCACCTCTGGAAAATAAAGATTGCTCAACCACCTCCACGGGAACAGGGGAGGAATATTTCCATAGACCCAGTTTGGCAGCAAAGGATAGGTGTCATACCCTGAAGGGCCTCCATTTGAGCCCCAACAGGGCTCATTTTTGTCTGTGGCCATGAATGGGAAGAAGTCACACCCCATAACCATGCCCGACTCTCCAAGGAGCCACCTGTTCTTTTAGGAGTAGCTTTCCCTTGTATATCAAAGCTTGAAGCAGAGGTGAATGTATGTTGACCACCCTTGCCTCTTCAGGGGTCACAGTCTATAACCCCATAAGACCCAGGAATACCAGAAAGGAGCAAGCAGGAGGATTAATTCTGGCAGGAATCAGGGCAGCAATAGGACTAATGGCATCCAGGGGGTAGCTTTGCCTACCACGAGTCAACCCTAAAGAACTTGACTGAAATCCTAGAATCCTTAGCCACCAACACAGGTCAGGCAGTAAAGGGAATTCAAGAGTCCCTAGACTGTTTGGCAAATGTAGTTCTCAACAACAGACTAGTATTGGATTATTTACCAGCTGAACAAAGCAAAGTCTATGCAGTTATTAGTAAAACTTACTGCACATATATTAACAACTCTGGGCATGTTGAGGTTAACATTCAAAAGATCTATGAGCAAGCTACCTGATTACATAGATATAACTGGGGCAGTGAACCCAAATATATCTGGTCCACTATTAAAATTGCCATCCCAAGTCTCACCTGGTTTTTATCAATCCTAGGACCTCTGATAGCTGTCTTGTTATTACTAATCTTTGGCCCTTGCTACTTTAACCTCTTAGTAAACTTTATGTCTTCTAGATTATAACAGTTCCAGGTAAACACAATGCTGGCACAAGGCTTCAAACACATTCTGTCTACTGATACAGAGAATAAAAGCATCCTGCCTCTTGGCCCCCTAGATAAGGTATACAGACATTTTTACTCCTCTGATGCCAGGCAGGGCGTATGCCCCTAAAATCAGCAGAAAGCAGTTACGGAAAATGGGCCTTCACCTTTCTGCAAGGAGAAGTATCTAATCTCTGAGCAGGGAATGAGGTAAGAGGCAGGACCAGATGAAAGACATCTGGTCTTTCATCCAGACCAGATGAAAGACATCTGGTCTTTCATCCAGACCAGATGAAAGACATCTGGTCTTTCATCCAGACCAGATGAAAGACATCTGGTCTTTCATCCAGACCAGATGAAAGACATCTGGTCTTTCATCCAGACCAGATGAAAGACATCTGGTCTTTCATCCAGACCAGATGAAAGACATCTGGTCTTTCATCCAGACCAGATGAAAGACTGGCTGGAACAGTGGCTGGAACAGCCACTGAAAGCATCTCTTCACAAGACATGCTCACCAGTGCCATGGTGGTTTACCATTGCAATGGCAACACCTGGAAGTTACTGCCCAAAGAAATTTATGAATAAACCACCCCTGAATTTGCAAGTAATTAAAAGCAGGTATAAATATGACTGCAAAACTGCTTCTGAGCTGCTACTCTCCAAACACCACCTATGGGGTAGCCCTGCTTTGCAGCAGCAGTCATGGAGCTGTGACACTGCTACCTCAATTAGGCTGTTTTCTACCACCAGCTCACTCTTGAATTTGTTCGTTAGTGAAGCCAAGAAACTTCTTGGACTAAGCCCTAATCGTGGGGGCTCACCTGTCCTGCATCAGAAGGGCATCATCAGCTGCCCAGAGAGGTTCTCTGAGAGCAAAACAAAGTTTTACCCAGCAGGGACTCCAAAAGATGACCTCCTCTCTTTGGATGTTTTACTCCAGCAAAATAAAAGTGCAAACAAACACAGGGGGGTGAGGCACCCCCCACGATGCGGGGAGTAAGAGCCAGCCCCTCTCCCCCCCGGCTCTTAGGACCCCCATCGCAGGGGGGTGAGGCACCCCCCGCGATGCGGGGAGTAAGAGCCAGCCCCTCTCCCCCTCTGGCTCTTAGGACCCCCATCGCAGGGGGGTGAGGCACCCCCCGCGATGCGGGGAGTAAGAGCCAGCCCCTCTCCCCCCTCCTGGTTTTTAGGATCCGCGGTGGACTCACAGCCTGTTTACCATATTGTGAGTAATATCATCTCCCCCTCTGGAGATTATGAACTTTTTCACAGACGGGTGTACACCCTCGGTGTACAGACGGTGTACAAGCGTCTGTATTGGGAGTAATATCATCCTCTTCCTCCCTGAATATTAAGAACAGTATTACAGGGGTGTTTCTACTCCCTACGATATCGCGTATCATATCCTCCTCTCCCATGTTGCAATTAGAAACAATATCAGTAGGGGCGTGTCCACCTTCTGTCGTATTGAAAGTAATACCATCCTCTTCCCTCCAAGATCATGGGAACAATATCCCTGGGGGGTGTCCACTTTCTGTCATATATGTAGTCATATCACCCCCTCCATCTTGGAATATTATTAAGGACCATCTCACATGCGGGTGTATACTTCCTGCGATATCGGGAGTAATATCAACCTCTCGGCCTCTGAAGATTAGGAAGAATATCACAGGGTGGGTGTACACCTCCTGCTCTATTATGGGGAGTCATATCTATCTATTATGGGGAGTAATATCATCCTCTCCCTTTCAGGATATTAATAACAATTTCACAGGCTGGGTGAACACAGCCTGTGATGCTGGAATTATTATCATCCTGTCCCCCTCAGCATACTAGGAACAATATCACAGAAGAGGTGTACACTCCCTGCGATATTGGGAGTAATATCATACGCTTCTTCCGTGGATGTTAGGAGCAATATCACCGGGTGGCTGTACATTCATTGCTCTGTTGGCAGTCATGTCATACTCTACCCGCTGGGTATTAGGATCGGTGTCACAGGGTGAGTGTACACCTACTGTGATATGAAAACTAATATCATGCTCTCCATCCCTGACTATTAGGAACAATATCACAGGTAGGTGTACACCCCCTGTGGTGTTAGGAGTAATAATATTATGAATTATTAAACATCAGTCTTATTAAGAATTATCAATGGTAAGATTAATAGTATAATGTCATTAATCATTAATGCTTATTTTCAAGATATGATTATGCATGATTAAAATAATTAATATTAATGTCACTTTTAATATTAGTTATTAATTTTAATACTAATTATTGTTTTATTACCATCACTTATGATTGAAGTAACATTAATTACCGATATCATTATTTTATTATTAATAGTGATATTGCTATTAATTATTAATAGTAACCATTAATATTTTAATCCATACTGTTTTACTGTCTCTACTGTAATTATTAATATCGATGATTACTATTAATTGTTATTGTTTATTAATATTAATAATTAATGTAACTGTTCCCGATATCTGTGGGGGAGATGATATTACTCCCAATATCGCAGAAAGTGTACACCCCTCTATGATGTTACTCCTAATAGCCAGGGGGTAGAGGATGACATTATTGAAAATATCGCAGTGGGAGTACGTCCCTTCGGTCATCTTGTTCCTAATATCCTGGGTGGGAGCGGATGATATGACTCCCAATATCGCAGGGGGCGGAGACCTCCCCCGTGATACTGTCCCTAACATCCAAAGGTGGAGAGGATGATATTTCTTCCAATTCGCCGGGGGTGCACACCACCCTTGTGATATCGATCCTAATACTCAGGCGGCGAGAGGATGATATTAGTCTGAATATTGCAGGAGGTGTACACTCCCTAGGGATATTATTCCTAATATCCAGGGACGGAGAGGATGATATCACTCCCAATATAGCAGGGGGGGAACACCCCTTCTGTGACGTTGCTCCTAAAGGGCAGCAGGGGAGAGGAAGATATTACGGCCAATATCGCAGGGGGTGTACACCCTCTTGTGACATTCTTCCTTATATCCTGGGAGGGAGAGGAAGATACTAGCGGCAATGTCGCAGGGGCTGTACACACCCACTGTGATATTGTTCCGAATATCCCAAGGGGGAGAAAATGATGTTACCTCCAATATCGCAGGGGGTGTACATCCTCCTGTGATATTGTTTCTTATATTCAGGGGGAGAGGATAATATTAGTCCCAATATCGCAGGGGTTGTACACACCTCCTGCGATATGGGGAGTAAGAGCCAGCCCCTCTCCGCCCCTGGCTCTTAGGAGCCCCATCGCAGGGGGGTGAGGCCCCCTCCGTGGTAAGGGGAGTAAGAGCCAGCCCCTATCCCCCCCTGGCTCTTAGGACTCCCATGGCAAGGGGATGAGCCCCCCGCGATGCGGGGAGTCATATCACCCCCCTCTCCCCCGCTGGATATGACGATCCACGGTGGTCACACAGAGTGTTCACGTTATTGTCAGTAATATCTTCGTCCCTGGAAATTACCAACTATGTCACAGACGGGTGCACATCCTCTGCACTTTTGGAGTAATAGCATCCTCTTTCCCCTTGATATTAAGAACAATATCACAGGAGTGTTTTTACCCCTAGGGGCATTCCGTGTAGTATCATCCTCTCCCACGTTGAAATTAGGAACAATATCACTGGGGGCGTTTCCACCCCGTGCGATATTGAAAGTAACATCATCCTCTTCTCTCCTGGATCATGGGAACCATATCACTGGGGTGGTGTACACTTTCTGCGGTATTGGGAGTAAGATCATCCTCTCCACCTAGGAATATTAAGGACCATATCACAGTGGGGCTGTACACACCCTGTGCTATTAAGAAGAATATTATCCTCCCCTGCCCTGCACATTGGAAAAAATATCACAGAGTGGGTGTACACCTCCTGCGATGGGGGGGGGGGGGGGGGTGATATCATCTTCTCTTCTTCTGGATAATAGCAACAATAGTACACGGGTTTGTACACTTTCTGTGATATTGGGAGTAATATCAACCTCTCCGCCTTTGAATATTAAGAACAATATCACAGACTGGATGTACACCCCCTGCGATATTGGGAGTCATATCAGCCTCTCCTCTCCATGGATATTAGGAATAATATCCCAGGATGGGTATACACCTCCTGCTGTATGGGGAGTCATATCCTCCTCTCCCTTCCTGGCTACTAGGAACAATATCAGAGGGTGGGTGTACACAGCCTGCGATATTGCGAGTAATATCACCCTCTCCCCCTCCGGATATTAGGAACAATGTCACAGAAGGGGTGTGCACTTCCTGCGATACTGGGAGTAATAGCATTCTCTTCTTCCGTGACTATTAGGAGCAAAATTACCGGGTGGATGCACACCCAGTGCTATATTGGGAGTAACTTCATACTCCACCCCCTGGAGATTATACTCGGATCAATATCACTGGCTGGGTGTACACCTACTGCGATATTGAACGTAATATCATGCTCTCTCCCTCCCTGGACATTAGGAGCAATATCACAGGTGGGTGTACACCCACTGAGGTATTAGGCTTAATAGTAGTATGAATTATTCCTCATTTATTATTAACATGAATATCAATGACCGATATTCATATTAATATTAAGAAATAATTGCTAATAAAAATTTTTCAGATTAATATTAATATTAATTATTAGGAGCTAATATTACTGTTTTCTAGTGAATAAGATCAATATCAGTTATTAATATCGGGCATCATTAATCATTAATATTAATCATTTATTGTTATCATTAGTATGACTATTTAATATTAATCATCATTATTATTGGTATTGATTTTAAAAATTATATTATCAGTTATTAATATTGATAATTATTAGTGTCAATTAATAACTGAGATTATTAATTGCGGTAAGTCACATTGCGCCATTCCACCCCTCCCTCGGCAGCTCGTTTACGACCCAAAACGGGGATACAAATGCCCCTGAGAGAGCAGCGGTATACTGGGATAGATGAGGATGGTCACGTGGTGGAGAGGCGTGTTTTTGGGTACCAGCCCTTCACCTGCGTCGACCTTCTCAACTGGAAAACCAATACACCGCCCTATACCAAAAAGCCACAAGCCCTAATTGATTTGCTCCAAACTGTTATCCAGACCCACAACCACACCTGGGCTGATTGGCACCTGTTGCTCATGTTCCTCTTTAACAGCGAAGAAAGGCGGAGAGTCCCCAAGCAGCAACTAAGTGGCTAGAGGAACATGCATCAGCTGATTATCAAAACCCCCAAGAGTATGTAAGGACCCAGTTACCAGGAACCGACCCCCAGTTGGACCCACATGAAAGAGAGGATATGCAAAGGCTAAACCGAGACAGGGAAGCTCTCTTGGAAGGATTAATGAGGGGAGCTCAGAAGGCCACAAATGTTAAAAAGGTCTCTGAGGTCATTCAGGGAAAAGAAGAAAGTCCAGCACAATTCTACGAGAGGCTGTGTGAGGCCTATTGTATGTATACTCCCTTTGATCCCGATAGCCCTGAAATCAGCGCATGATTAACATGGCTTTAGTCCGTCAAAGCACAGAAGACATGAGAAGAAAACTGCAGAAACAGGCTGGGCTTGCAGGGATGAATACATCACAATTACTAGAAATAGCTAGCCAGGTGTTTGTAAGCAGGGATGCAGTAAGCAGTAAGGAAAACGGCAAAGAGAATGGAGGTCAGGCCCAGCAAAACACCGACCTGTTTGTTAGCTGCAGCAATCAGAGGGCCCCCCACCCAAAGAGGCAAGGGAAGGGGGGCCCTGGGAAAGAAACTCAGCTTGGCTGTCAGAGTTTGCAGCGTAACCAGTGTGCTTATTGTAAAGAAATAGGACAGCGGAAGAACAAATGCCCTCAGCTCAAAAGAAAACAAGGTGACTCAGAGCAGGAGGGCCCGGAGAAGGAGGAAGGGGCCCTGCTCAACCTGGCAGAAGGGTTATTGGCCTGAGGGAGACCGGGCTCAAGTGTCCCCAAAGAGCCTCTGGTCAGAATGACAGTCGGGGGTAGAGACATTGATTTTCTTGTAGATAGTGGTGCTGAACATTCGCTAGTAACCGCCCCGGTCGCCCCCTTATCCGAAACAACTATTGACGTCATCGGAGCCACGGGGGTTTCAGCAAAGCAGGCTTTCTGCTTGCCTCGGACTTGCACTGTAGGAGGACATAAAGTCATTCATCAGTTTTGGTACATGCCTGACTGTCCCTTGCCCTTTTTGGGAAGGGACTTGCTCAGCAAGCTGAGAGCCACTATCTCTTTGACAGAGCATGGCTCTTTGCTGCTAAAGTTACCCGGAACAGGAGTCATTATGACCCTTATGGTCCCCCGAGAGGAGGAATGGAGACTTTTCTTAACTGAGCTGGGCCAAGAGAGAAGACCAGCTCTGGCTAAGCGGTGGCCAAGAGTACGGGTGGAAGACAACCCTCCGGGATTGGCCAGTTAAGACTGGGGCCCAGCCGGTTAGGCAAAAACAGGCCCTGGTCCCCAGAGAAGCTCTTCAAGGTATCCAGGTCCATCTCAAGCACCTAAGAACTTTTGGAATTATTGTTCCTTGTCAGTCTCCATGGAACACTCCCCTCCTGCCTGTTCCCAAGCCACGGACCAAGGACTACCGGCCGGTACAGGATTTGCACTTGCTTAATCAAGCTACACTGACTTTACGTCCAACAGTACCTAACCCATCCACATTGTTGGGGTTGCTGCCAGCTGAGGACAGCTGGTTCACCTGCTTGGACCTGAAAGATGCTTTCTTTCCTATCAGATTAGCCCCTGAGAGGCAGAAGCTGTTTGCCTTTCAGTGGGAAGATCCGGAGTCAGGTGTCACTACTCAGTACACTTGGACTGGACTTCCCCAAGGGTTCAAGAACTCCCCACCATCTTCAGGGAGGCATTGGCTTGAGACCTCCAGAGTTTCCCACCAGAGACCTAGGCTGTGTGTTGCTCCAGTAGGTTAAGACACCCCACGGCGGTCGGGTGCGCCAAGGGAACAGATGCCCTACACAGGCACCTGGAGGACTATGGGTATTAGGTGTCCAAGAAGAAAGCTCAGATCTGCGGACGGCAGGTACCTTACTTGGGATTTACTATCCGAGAGGGGTCGGAATGCAGCCCTGGATCAGAAAGAAAGCAGGTCATTTGCAACCTACCAGAGCCTCAGGGCAGAAGGCAAGTGAGAGAATTCTTAGGAGCTGTGGGGTTTTGTAGACTGTGGATCCCAAACTTTGCAGTATTAGCCAAGCCTTTGTATGAGGTCACAAAGGGGGCAGGGACTGGGAACTTTTGGAATGGGGATCCCAACAACAGGAAGTCTTTCATGAGTTAAAGGAAAACCTTCTGGCAGCCCCAGCCTTGGGGCTACCCGATCTGACAAAGCCTCTTCCATTGTATGTGTCAGAGAGAGAAAAGATGGCAGCTGGACTTTTAACCCAAACTGTGGGGCCCTGGCTGAGGCCAGTGGCCTACCTCTCTAAACAACTAGATGGGGTTTCTAAAGGATGGTCCCCCTGTTTGAGGGCCTTGGCAGCAACTGCCCTGCTAGTACAAGAAGCTAATAAGCTGACTCTTGGGCAAAACCTGAACATAAAGGCCCCCCATGCTGTGGTGACTTTAATGAATACTAAAGGACATCATTCGCTAACGAATGCCAGACTCATCAAGCACCAAACTTTGCTCTGTGAAAATCCCTATATAACTATTGAAGTTTGTAACACCCTACACCCTGCCACCTTGCTCCCGGTACCAGAGAGCCCTGTCCAGCCTGATTGTGTAGAAGTGTTGGACTCAGTTGACTCTAGCACACCTGACCTCCGGGACCAGCCTTGCACATCAGTAGACTGGGAACTATATGTGGATGGGAGCAGCTTCTTCAACCCCCAAGGAGAGAGAGATGCAGGGTATGCAGTGGTAACCCTGGACACTGTTGTTGAAGCCAGATTGTTGCCCCAGGCCACTTCAGCCCAGAAAGCGGAACTCATTGCTTTCACTCGGGCCTTAGAACTCAGTGAAGGTGAGACTGTAAACATTTACACTGATTCTTGGTATGTCTTTTAACCCTTCAAGTGCATGGAGCATGATAGAAAGAAAAGGGCCTATTGAACTCTGGGGGAAAAGACAGAAAATATCAACAAGAAATCTTGCAATTATTAAAAGCAGTATGGAAACCCCACAAGGTGGCAGTCATGCATTGCAGAGGACACCAGCGAGCTTCCACCTTGCTGGGTTTGGGGAATTCCCTCGCTGACTCAGAGGCTCGAAGAAGCAGCATTTGCCCCCTTCTGGGCATCAGTGCTCCCTCAAGCACCTGATCTTGGACCTACTTCTTCTAAAGAAGAAAAGGACTTTCTCCAGGTAGAGGGAAGGACAAGTGATGGAGGGAGGATGGATTCAGTTACCAGATGTGAGAATAGCTGTGCCACAGTTGCTAGGAGCTGCAGTTGTACTGGCTGTGCAAGAAACCACCCATGTAGGTCAGGAGTCACTGGAAAAGTTGTTAGGCCGGTATTTCTACATCTCACATTTGTCAGCCCTTGCCAAAATGCTGAGGCAGCGGTGAGTTACCTGCCGAGAGCATAATGCGAGGCAAGGTCCAGCCGTTCCGCCCGGCATACAAGCTTATGGAGCAGTCCCCTTTGAAGATCTCCAGGTAGACTTCACAGAGATGCCAAAGTGTGGAGGTACCAAGTATTTACTAGTTCTTGGGCGTACCTACTCTGGGTGGGTGGAGGCCTATCAAACACAAACTGAGAAAGCTGGTGAAGTAAACCCTGTGCTCCTTCGAGATCTGATTCCTAGATTTCGACTGTCCTTACGGATCAGCTCAGATAACAAGCCTGCGTTTTTGGCTGCCTTGGTACAGAAGACGGCAAAGGTATTGGGGATCACACGGAAACTGCGTGCCGCCTCCCAGCCTCAGAGTTCCAGAAAGGTGGAGCGGATGAATCGGAGTATCAAAAATAGTACTATTGTCTTCCCCGCTGGATATTTAAAACAACACCACAAGGGGCGTCAAACCACCTGCTAAATTTGAGGGAATGTTATCCTCTCCCCCGCTCCCCTGGCCCCGGATATTAGAGACAATAACACAGGGGTCATGTACACCCACTGCTTTATTGGGAGTAATATCATCCTCTCCCTTCTTGGATATTAGGAACAATATCACACTGTGCATGTACGCCTGTCGCGAAATTCAATGGAATGTCATCCTGTGCCTCCCTGGATATGACAAACAATATCACGGGGGATGTACAACTTCTGAGATATTGGGAGTGATATCATCCTCTCCCCTCTGGAAGTTAGAGACAATATCACAGGGGTAGTGTACACCCTCTGGGATGTTGGGACTAATATCATCCTCCCACCCACTGGATATTAAAAACCATATCACAAGGGGTGTGTACACACACTTCGATATTGGTATTAATACCATCCTCTCCCTCTTTGGATATTCGATGCCATATTTCAGGTGGGGTATACACCACCTGCAATATTGGAAGTAATATGATTTTCTCCCGCCCGGATATCAGAAACAATATCACAGGGGGGTGTCAACAACCCCTGTGATATTTGGAGGAATATCATCGTCTCCCCTCATGAATATTAAGAACAATATCATAGGGGTGGGTGGTGTACACCCCCTTTCATATTTGATATCATCCTCTTCCCCCCTGGATATTAGGAACCATATCAGGATGTACAGACCCTGTGACCTTTGCTGTCATATAATTGTCTCTCCCCTAGATATTAGGAAAAATGTCACTGGGGATGTGAACAGCCTTGCAATATTGGGAGTAATATCATCCTCTCTCCCCTTGCATATTGGGAACAACATCACAGGTGGGGTGTACTGCCTCTGCGATATTGGGAGTAAAATTTTCCTCTCTTCCCCTGGACATTAGGAAGGGTATCAGAGGGGGAGGGTGTACATTCCCTGCCATATTCAAAGTAACCTTATCCTCTCCCTCCCAGGGTATTCAGAACAATAGGACAGGAGGGGTGTACACCCCCTGCGATATTGAGAGTCATATCATCCTCTTTCGCTCTGGATATTAGGAACAATGTCACAGGGTTGTGTACACCCCCTGCGGTACTGGGAGTAATATCATCCTCTCTTCCTGTGGATATTAGGAAGAGTATCACAGGGCTGTGTAAACCCCCTGCGGTACTGGGAGTAATATCATCCTCTCTCCCTCTGGATATTAGGATGATTTTCACAGGGGTGTGTACACCCCCTGCGATATTGGGAGTAATATCATCCTCTCCACCCAGGAAATGACTAACAAGGTCATGGGGGAGTGTACTTCCCCTGCGATATTGGGAGTAATGTCATCCTCCCCAAACCTGGATGTTTGCAACAAGATCACAGAGTGGGTGTACACACCCTGCGACATTGGAAGTAATATGATCCTCTCCCCAACTGGGTATTGGGAAAGATATCACAGCGCGGGTATACATTTCCTATGCTGTTGGGAGTAATATCATTCTTTCCCTTTCTGGATATGAGGAAGAATATCACAGGGGTGCTGTACAATTACTTCGATATTGGGAGTAATATCATCCTCTACTTTCCTGGATATTGGGCACAAAAACACAGAAGGGTGTACGACCCCTGCGATATTGGGAGTAATAGCATACTCTCTTTCCCTGGATGTTAGAAAACAATATCATCAGGGCTGAACACCCCCCGCGATAATGGGAGTCATATTTATTCTTTCACAGGCCATTTGGACCAATATCACAGGGGGTGTTTACAAACAGGGGTAGTGTACACCCCCTGTGATATTGGGAGTAACATCATTCTCTCCACCTCCAGATATTAAGAACAATATCCCCGCGGGAGGCGGTACACCCCCAGTGATATTGGGCATAATGTCATCCTCTCCTTCCCTGGATATTAGGAACAATATCACAGGGTGTACACCCACTGTATTATTAGGAATGATATCTCTGTAGGATATTACAATTAGTATCACAGGGTGTGCAGCCACTGTGATATTAGGAGCAACATCTTTCTACGATATTACAGACAATATCACAGGGTGTACGCCCACTCTGATGTCAGGAGCAATGTCTCCCTAGGATATCCAAAATCATACCACAGGGTGTACAATCTCTGCCTTCCAGGTTCTAAGGGATTCTCCTGCTTCGGCCTCCTGAGCAGCTAGGGTTACCCGCCACCACGCCTGGCTAATTTTTTTTTTTATTTTCACTAGAGATGGGGTTTCACCACGTCGGCCAGGCTGGTCTGGAACTCCTGACCTCAGGTGATCCGTCGGCCTCGGCCACCCAAAGTGCTGGGATTACAGGTGTGAGCCATGGCACTTGGCCAAGAGTTATATATTAAATTAATGTGGAAACACAGCTCCCATATTTGAGTGTGCATGTACTTTTATGAATAAATGATGTCAGAAAACCTAAGGATGATAATAAATATGAAAAGTAAGTGGCATGTTAAAAGGTCTTCCGATTAAGAACTCTAAGGTTCTATTTTGTTTTTAGATAATGCGGTCCTAGCTCTTGTATCATCCTTTTACATATTCTACATCAAAGGAATTTGTCGCACGGTGTCAGAATAAAACAGAGTGTATTTCACTGCTTCTTAATTTCTTTCAATTAGACTGAGATCTTTTTCTTAAAGAGAGAAGAGCATCTTCATTGCATTTTATTTTTTCTGAAAAGAGTAGGCCGTATTTTACTGAGATCATGGATTTGTTGTATATTATGTTTTGGACTTCTAAAATTCTTCAGTGGATTTTCTCTAAAGTAGTATGTACAGAAGGAGTTGAATAGCAAAAAAGTAAATCATGTAATAATTCTGAGACTTTTGGGCTTGTCACAACTGAGAAATATTGCTGGCGGTGTATGGTCCTCAAGTGTGAAAATGTTCCTTGTGAATTGCTTGCATCCAAAATATACACACAGCATTAAGGGCTGGTTTTTATCTTTTATTTTTCCAATCCTCTTTTCTTCCCAAGGTGTCCAAGTCACACAGAGCCACGGCATCTCACAGGTGTCTGAGAATTCCTCCTCCTGGGACTCTCAGAGGATCCAGAACTGCAGCCTGTCCTCGCTGGGCTGTCCCCATCCATGTATCTGGTCACAGTGCTGAGGAACCTGCTCGTCATCCTGGCTGTCAGCTCTGACTCCCACCTCCACACCCCCATGTACTTCTTCCTCTCCAACCCGTGCTGGGCTGACATCGGTTTCACTTCGGCCACGGTTCCCAAGATGACTGTGGACATGCAGTCACATATCAGAGTCATCTCTTATGCGAGCTGCCTGACACGGATGTCTTTCTTGGTCCTTTTTGCATGTATAGAAGACATGCTCCTGACTGTGATGGCCTAGGACTGCTTTGTAGCCATCTGTCGCCCTCTGCACTACGCAGTCATCGTGAATCCTCACCTCTGTGTCTTCTTAGTTTTGGTGTCCTTTTTCCTTAGCCTGTTGGATTCCCAGCTGCACAGTTAGATTGTTACAATTCACCTTCTTCAAGAATGTGGAAATCTCTCATTTTGTCTGTGAGCCATCTCAACTTCTCAACCTTGCCTGTTCTGACAGCGTCATCAATAGCATATTCATGTATTTCAATAGTACTATGTTTGGTTTTCTTCCCATTTCAGGGATCCTTTTGTCTTACTATAAAATTGTTCCCTCCATTCTAAGGATTTCATCGTCAGATGGGAGTATAAAGCCTTCTCCACCTGTGGCTCTCACCTGGCAGTTGTTTGCTTATTTTATGGAACAGGCATTGGCATGTACCTGACTTCAGCTGTGGCACCACCCCCCAGGAATGGTGTGGTGGCGTCAGTGATGTACGCTGTGGTCACCCCCATGCTGAACCCTTTCATCTACAGCCTGAGAAACAGGGACATTCAAAGCGCCCTGTGGAGGCTGCGCAGCAGAACAGTCGAATCTCATGATCTGTTCCATCCTTTTTCTTGTGTGGGTAAGAAAGGGCAACCACATCAAATCCCTACATCTGCAAATCCTGACCCTTAGTCACATTATTTTTGTGGCTTGATGGCTTTTATTCCTTTCTGCATTTCCTATGTGGATATTGTTTTCTTCGTTGTGCCTTTAACTGGAGTGGGTGAGGATTCTGGGATCCTTTGTTTAGCAGAAACCTCATGACTGAATCCTCTATACCTAGGCGGCCTCCTTTAGTTTCTGAGCAATAACCCTGTCATCCAGGTGGAATCACAGCCATCTTTTTATATACATGAAGTCCGCACTTCGTTTTGGAATTCCCTGAAAATTGACTTCATGGAAGCAATGTACAGCAGGTCCTCCAACACCATTGGTGCGTTCAAAGATGTGTAGTTATAATGTTGGTGAGGAATAAGTGGTTTCACTATACCTAATCTTGCTTAAAGGTGAAGTTTCCAAGAGACTTTCAAAGACGATAAGTGAGGACATACTGTACATCAAATTCATATCCTCTTCAGAGTTCATGTGGAATTTCTTTATAAACTGCTTCTAAAGAATCTATTTAGGCAGGTTATGTGTAGCGATCCATGTCACCGGTCCTCAATCTTGGCTTTGAGTCAAATCACCTGGGGAGCTTACAAATGATGAGGCCTGGGTCTCATTACCTCAGATTCTGATTTCCCTGCACCTATGTGAGTATGTGGATTTTTTTTTTTTTTTAAAGCACCAGAGGTGGTTGCAATGACGAAGTTTTTAGAGGCATCAAGCTCCAATGAGTAAGAACAGATGTTAATTGTAATATGATTTCTTCAAATATTATCTTCAAATGCATTGTCCATCAACACCATACAAATGTTTATTATGCTGTTGTTTCTTACCATTTAGCATTTTCTATTTTTTTCTTTTTCTTTTCTTTTCTTTTTTTTTTTTCGAGGCAGAGTTTCACTCTTGTTGCCCAGGCTGGTGGCACGGTCTCGGCTCACTGCAACCTCTGCCTCCCGTATTCAAGTGATTCTCCTGTCTCAGCCTTCCAAGTAGCTGGGATTACAGGCATGCACTACCATGCCGGCTAATTTTTTTTTTTTTTTTTTTTGGTATTTTTAGTACAGACAGTGGTTCTCCGTATTGGTCAGGCTGGTCTTGAACTCCTGACCTCAGGTGATCCGCCCGCTTCCGCCTCCCAATGTTCTGGGATTACGGGCATGAGCGACCGCGCCCAGCCACTACTTAGCATTTTCATTTTACATTTGTTGAAATTATAGATTTATACACACTTTGATGCTGCTTTGTTATACACTTGCATATACATAAGACGGGAAATAGAAAAGAATAAAATAGGCACAGTATCCCTGAAGTTTCACATTCCGAGACATGTTAAAAATATTTGCTTTTTAGAAATTTGTTTCAGTTGAGAAACTGTGGTATACACACACAATGAAGTATTATTCAGCCTAAAAAGGAATAAACAAAATCCTCTCCACTGCAGACAAAATGGATGAGATTTCAGGTCTGTATATTAAGTGAAATAAGCCAGGCACAGAATGAGAAATATTACATGTCCTCACTTATGTGTAGGAAGAAAAAAGAAAATCTTGGCCAGGTGTGGTGGCTCAGGCCTGTAATCCCAGCACTTTGGGAGGCCGAGTCGCATGGATCACTTGAGGCCAGGAGTTCGAGACCCGCCTGGCCAACATGGTGAAACCCCGTCTCTACTAAAAACACAATTAGCCCGGCGTGGTGATGCGTGCCTGTAGTCTCAGCTACTCGGAGGGCTGAGGCCCAAGAAGTGCTTGAACTCAGGAGGCGGAGGTTGCCGTGAGCCCAGATTGTGCCTGTATACTCCAACCTGGGCAACAGAAAGAGACTCCATCACACACCTACACACAAAAGGAATCTCAGGAAGGTGGAAAGTATAAAGGTGGTTAGCAGACGGTAGGAAGAAAAGGGGTGGGATGGGGAATGAAGAGAAGTGGATAATTGGGTCCCAAAATACAGAAAGATGGAATAAGTGAGTTCTAGTGTTTGATAGTACAGTATGAAAATTTTAGTTCACAAGAATTTCTTGCATGTTTCCAGATGCTTTAGTAAGAAGCTTCCTAACTTTCTCATTATGCTGGTTTTTCAGCTATTCTCTTTCTGCTCTCGAAATCATGCTGGATTTTTTGTTTTTGGTTTTTTGTTTTGAGACAGAGTTTCGCTCTTGTTGCCCAGGCTGGAGTGTAATGGTGCAATCTTGACTCACCGCAACCTCTGCCTCCTGGGTTCAAGCGATTCTCCTGCCTCCATCTCCCGAGCAGCTGGGATTACAGGCATGCCCCAGCACGCCCAGCTAATGTTATATTTGTAGTAGAGATGGGGTTTTCTTCCTGTCTGTCAGGCTGGTCTTGAACTCCTGACCTCAGGTGATCTGCCCGCCTTGGCCTCCCAAAGTGCTTGGATTACAGGTGTGAGCAACCGTGCCTGGCCCACGCTGCATCCTTATCTGTTGTCTGTTGTTGTTTGTTTGTTTTTCAGCCCAGAAATAACTTCTCACCTATATGTTCAAATGATTTTTCACATGAGTGCTAAGAAAGTCCATTGGTGGAAAAGCAGCCTTTTCAAGAAATGGTGTTGGGGAAACTTGATTTCCACATGCAGAAGAATGAAGGTGGACTCTATGTCACACCAGGTGCAAAAATTAACACAAACTGGATCAAAGACCTAACCCCAAGTGCTGAAAGTATAATATGCCTAAAAGAAAACATAGGCCACACTTTCATGACATCAGATTGGGCAATGCTTTCTGGGATATGACACCAAAAGCATAGGCAACAAAAGAAAATTAGATTCCTTGGATTACATCTAAATGACAGACACTTTTGTGCATCAGCAAACACTGTGAACTGAGTGAAAGGATAACCCATGGATTAGGAAAAATATTTGCAAATCATATCTCTGAAAAGAGGCTGATAGGCATCGTATACATAGAACAGCTAGAACTGAACAACAAGAAACCCAAAGCATCCCATTGACAATGGTCAGAAGACTCGAGTAGACGTGTCCCTAAAGAAGATATAGCAATGGCCAATAAGCGTCTAAAATGATGTTCAAAATCACTAATCATAAGGAAGTGCAAATCAAACCAAAATTGTGATACCACACATTTGGATGGATATGATAAACAAACAAGCATTGGTGAAACTAGAGGGAAGTAGGAATGCTCGAATCTGATTGGAGGGAATGTAAAACCGTGAAGGAACAGGGAAAATAGTATGGCGTGTACCGGAAAAAGTAGAAACAGGATTAGCGGATGTTCCCGCAGTTGCACTTGTGGGTACCTGCCAAAAAGAATTAGAAGCCAGGAGTGGAAGAGAGATTCGTACACCCAAATTCATAGCAGCAGTATTCACAACAGCCAAAATGTGGAAGCAACCCAAGGGTTCGTGGACAGATGAACGAAAAAGTGCACTGCAGTTCATTCATGCGATGGAAGACTTTTCAGCCTTAAAAAGGCAGGCACTTCTGGCCGGTGCGGTGGCTCACGCCTGTAATCCCAGCATCTTGGAAGACTGAGGTGGGCGGATCACCTGAGTTCAGGAATTCAAGACCAGCCTGGCCATTCTTGGTGAAACCCTGTCTCTACTGAAAATGCAAAAAATTAGACGATCGTGGTGGCGTGTGCCTATATTCCCAGCTACTCGGGAGGCTGAGGCACAAGAATCGCTGGAACCCGGGAGGCGGAGGTTGCAGTGAGCCCAGATTGTGCCACTGCACTCCAGCCTGTGCGACAGAGTGAGACCCCATGTGAACACAAAACCAAACCAAACCAAACCAAACCAAAAGAAAAAAGAAAACATCCAAACACCCAAACAGCCAGACAGGCACTTCTGACACAGGCTGCAACACGGATGAACCTTGAAGACATTCTCGTCAGTGAAATAAATAAATCCCAAAAGGATAAAGACGACCAGGCTCAGTGGCTCGCACCTGTAACCCCAGAACTTTGGGAGGCTGAGGCAGGCGGATCACTGAAGGTCAGGAGTTCAAGACCAGCCTGGCCAATATGGTGAAAGCTCGTCTCTATTAAAAATACAACAATTAGCTGGGCGTGGTGGTGCATGCCTGTAATCCCAGCCACTCAGGAGACTGAGACAAAAGAATCGCTTGAACTCACGATGTGGAGGTTGCAGTCAGCTGAGACCACGCCACTGCACTCCAGCCTGGGCGACAGAGAAAGACTCTGTCTCCAAAACAAACAAACCAGAAAAATTAAACACGCTCTGATTCCACTTATATCACGTGTCTAGAGTAGTTAAACTTATACAGTTGCAAAATAGAATGGTGGCCCCCAGGGGTGGGCGAGAGAGAGAGGAATGGAGAGTTTGGTTAATGGGTGCAATTTCCATTTTCAAGGATAAAACTGTTCTGGAGAGGATGGCGGTGATGGTTGCTAAACAATGTGAATGTACCTAATGTGATTAAACTGTAAACTGAAAAAGAGTGGAAATTGTAAATGTTTATACTGGCCATTCTATATGAAATAATCTACATTTATAATTTTTAACATTTCTACATGGTATATTTTCCCATAATAAAAGATGAAAATTAAAGCACTTGGATCTTGTAAAAGAAAGGAAAGAAGCGAATAATACACACAAGGTCTCTCCTGATTAGAGGAAGAGCTCCAGAGCTTCTATGGACACTCATTTTCCTCTTCTTCTTGCATGATGATGAGGAAATCCTTAGAGCTTGGGGAACTTGGGGGACTCTGGCTAATGAGGAGCTCTGTGCTTGAGCCCCCCACGCCATAGAATAGTAAATACTCTGTGCCTCCAGCCCTGCAGTATGAGGTTGCAGTCCTGTGGGCTCCACCCCCGTCACCCGTATCAGGAGGCTCATATCTCACCCTCCCTTCTGGCCGGCCTTGAGGACGGAGTCTGAGCCTCCAATGTGCACCATGCAGGGAGGACAGTGGACCTGTTCTCCGTGGTCATGGCCCAGCAGAGGGGAAGGGCAGTTCAGTGAGTGCTGAGGGACCGTCGGGAGCCTTGTTTGTTTCCTCATCCTCAGGACAAACAGGAGAGTGCCGTGGGCAGATGGGAGGAGACCAATGTGCAAACTGTCAGCTCAGCAGACTGTGGAGTTTCAGTTCTTGGTTGTGGTGGGGGGTCTCTCTCAGGAATCTTCTTCAAAATTTTGCTTCCCTCCCCCACTGGTTGTCCTTTTCATAGACATCTCACCCACGATAGCAGGGAATGAGTCCCTCTAAACTATTCCCTTGGAACAACAAAAAGATGATGAAGGTGATGATGAGGATAAAGAGGATGATGACAGACACCATGGCATCATGAACCCTTACTGAGGGCTTCCTAAAGGCCAGGCTCTGAGCTCTGTGCTCTATGCAGCTTGTTTCATTTCATCTGCTTAGTCTCCCAGTTATTAGTGCACATTTCATGATTATTTTACAGACTAGAAAAGGAGCAACACATTTTCATATAACTTGCACCAGATCATGAAGTCAAAAAGGGTGAAGCCCAATTTGAACCAGGCAGTCTAAGGCCAGACACATGGCATTTGGCCAGTCCTCTCCCTGCATCCAACCTGCCCTCTCAAATCCTTGTCACTCAGGCCGATGCCCCTGCTCACTGTGCCCTTCCCTTTGGGGGTTCCTTGTAGGCCACAGCTAGACCAGTGGGTGCCACAATCACTGTGTCAAGTATGGAAAGGGCAGCTGAGATGAGATCACATCAAAGATTCCAGAAAGAATTGGCACAGGATCATTCGGGAGGCATCTCTCCCTTGCCCCTGTTCCTGGCTTTCCTTACAGCTCTCGACTTCCTCAAAGGAGTCATAAATTCGGGGTTTGGCTTCCATTCCTATTGAGGAAGCTGGAAACCATTTCAAAAATGCTCCTCAGATGTGCCCATGGTTAAGACCTCTGAGCTCTGTTGAAAACTTTTGGAAGCTGGGCGCGGTGGCTCACGCCTGTAATCCCAGCACTTTGGGAGGCTGAGGCAGGTGAATTACAAGGTCAAGTGTTCGAGACCAGCCTGGCCAACATGGTGAAAACCCGTCTCTCCTAAAAAGAGAAAAATATTAGCCGGGCGTAGTGGCTGGCGCCTGTCATCTCAGCTACTCGGTAGGCTGAGGCAAGAGAATAGCTTGAACCTGGGATGCGGAGGTTGCAGTGAGCCGAGATCACTCCACTGCACTCCAGCCTGGGTGACAGAACGAGACTCCGTCTCAAAAAACCAAAGAAAAGCAAAAACAAAAAAGAACCCACAACATTTTGAGGGTTGGGAGACCATCAAGCATAGTGCCCGGGTCTTAGAGTCTGGCCATTAATTTTCAGTACCACCCTTTCTACTTATCTGTATGGCAAGGGGTGAGACGTCCATCCTCTGAGACTCAGCACTCTCATCTGAGTTGATTTCTAGTTGATCCAATGGAAGTGAGCGATGATTAAACCGATCGTGGGTGCCCGCTGCATGATCTCCATGTGATGGATGCGTAAAGTAAAGGCAAAGTGAATTTTAGATACATTTGTTAATATTTTAAGCTTAAACTCCATACGGTTCAACGGAAATATCCCCTGACCAGAAGTTCTGGTTTCTCTGCGTTCCAGACAGGACATTTTCTTTTGTCCTTATCTCAGTAAGTACTGAGTATTGTGAGAGGAACAAGTGAGTCTCTTTTGTTTCTGATTCCCCAGAGCCTATATCTTGCTTGGCACAAAGGAGATAGCAAAAGTAAACATCTATGTGAATTATCGAATTGACACTTCCTTGGTTCACAAAAATTGGCTGTCATCAGTGTGACAGAGAGTGTGTTTTTGGTTTTTTGTTTTTTGAGACGGAGTTTTGCTCTTGTTGCCCAGGCTGGAGTGCAGTGGTGTAATCTCGGCTCGCTGTAGCCTCTGCCTCCCAGGTTCAAGCCATTCTCCTGCCTCAGCTTCCCGAGTAGCTGGGACTGCAGGCGCACGCCGCCATACTGGGCAAAGTTTTTGTATTTTCAGTAGAGGCGGAGTTTCACCATGTTGGCCGGGATGGTCTTGATCTCCTGACCTCGTGATCCGCCCTCCTCGGCCTCCCAAAATGCTGGGATCAGACGCATGAGCCACCGCGGCCGGTCAAATGTTCTGATGAAAACTCTAAGTCCACCGAAGCTAAGGACAGGAGTTATAGCTTACATTAATTTTAAAACCAGACCCACCGATTTGAGTAAGCAATTACTCTCTTGAAGGAGAAAAGTCAGAAAACATAATGATGAAATCACTAGGACCTAACTGGCCTGTGGAACTATTTTCTGCTTATGAACTATCAACTTTAATTTCATTTCCAGATGGCATGGTCTCAGCAGTTATACAGTGTTTACAGATGTTCTAAATCAAGGGAATTTGTATCAATCTATTCGAATAAAATAAAATATTTGAGTTCTTAATTTCCTTTAATTAGGATAACCTTTTTCTTAAAGTGAAGAGAATGGTTTTATTACATAGTTTCCTTTGGTAAAGATAGGCTGTCTTTTCTAGCAATTACGAATTTGTTATATATGATGATCTGGTTCTTGGAACATCCTTGAATCTAGTGTCTCTGGGGCAGGTGTGTAGAGCAAGAAGTGAATAACACAGAAATCAATGATGAAAGCATTAGAAGACAGTTGAGTTTGTCAGAACTGCAAAATATTGGTGACTGTGGATTGCTCTGAAATCTGAAAATATTACTTGTGATTTGCTTCTATCCAAAATGCAGACATGATGCTGGGTGTTGGTTTACTTGTTTCCGATTTCTCAACCCTCTTTTCTAGGCAAAAGGTGTCCAATCTCTACAGACCCACAGAATCTAATAGATGTCTCTATATTCCTCCTCCTAGAACCTCAGAGGATCCAGAACGGCAGCTGGTCCTTGCTGGGCTGTTCCTGTCCATGTGCCTGGTCACGGTGCTGGGGAACCTGCTCATCATCCTGGCCGTCAGTCCTGACTCCCACCTCCACACCCCCATGTACTTCTTCCTCTCCAACCTATCCTTGCCTGACATCGGTTTCACCTCCACCACGGTCCCCAAGATGATTGTGGACATCCGATCTCACAGCAGAGTCATCTCCTATGCAGGCTGCCTGACTCAGACATCTCTCTTTGCCATTTTTGGAGGCATGGAAGAGAGACATGCTCCTGAGTGTGATGGCCTATGACCAGTTTGTAGCCATCTGTCACCCTCTATATCATTCAGCCGTCATGAACCCTTGTTTCTGTGGCTTTCTAGTTTTGTTGACTTTTTTTTTTTTCTCAGTCTTTTAGACGCCCAGCTGCACAACTTGATTGCCTTACAAATGACCTGCTTCAAGGATGTGGAAATTCCTAATTTCTTCTGTGACCCTTCTCCACTCCCCCATCTTGCATGTTGTGACACCTTCACCAATAACATAATCATGTATTTCCCTGCTGCCATATTTGGTTTTCTTCCCATCTCGGGGACCCTTTTCTCTTACTATAAAATTGTTTCCTCCATTCTGAGGGTTTCATCATCAGGTGGGAAGTATAAGGCCTTCTCCACCTGTGGGTCTCACCTGTCGGTTGTTTGCTGATTTTATGGAACAGGCATTGGAGGGTACCTCAGTTCAGATGTGTCATCTTCCCCGAGAAAGGCTGCGGTGGCCTCAGTGATGTACACGGTGGTCACCCCCATGCTGAACCCCTTCATCTACAGCCTGAGAAACAGGGATATTAAAAGTGTCCTGCGGTGGCTGCACGGCAGCTCTGTCTAATCTCAACATCTTCTTATCTGTTGCATTCCTTTTGTAGTGTGGGTTAAAAAAGGCAGCAAGGTCAAATAAGAATGATATCACAGGGTGAACACCCACTGTGATATTAGGAGTAATACCTCCCTAGGATATAGAATATACTGTCACAGAGTATACACACATGGGGTACACCCACTGTGATATTAGAAGCAATATCTCCCTAAAGTATGAGGAAAAACATCACAGGGTGTGCACACTTTGTGATATGAGGAGTAATATTTACCCTGGATATTACGACTATTATCAAGGGTGTACACACACGGGGTACACGCACTGTGATATCAGGAGTTGTATCTCCCTAGGATATTATGAATACTATCACAGGGTATACACTATGTGTGTACGTCCACTGTGATATTTGAAGTAATGTCTCTCTATGAGATTATAAATAACATCAAAGCCTGTACACCCCTGTGACATATTAGGAGTAACATCCTTCTAGGGTATTCAGATAACGTCACAACGTGTACACCTTCTGTGATGTTTTGTACACTCTTTGTGACATTAAAAGAAACATCCCCCTAGGATATTATGAATAATAACACAGGAGGGGTACACACATGGTGTACACCGCCTGTGTCATCAGGAGTAACATTCCCCTAGGATATTACGAATAATATCACAGCAGGTGTACACACATGGTGTACACCCCATGTGACATTCGGAAGAGCATGCCCCTAGGATATTAGGAATAGTATCACGAGTGTTGAATACGCATCTTTAATGTGCAATGTCACACCCGGTGACATTAAAAATAACATCCCCCTTGGATATTACGAATAATATGACAGGGAGTACACCCCGTGTGACATTCCCCGAGGATATAACGAATAATATCAGAGGGTGTACATGCATTGCGACCTTAGTAGTAACATCTCTTTAGGATATTACAAATAATATCACAGGGTGTACAGGCATTGTGACATTAGTAGTAACATCCCGCTGGGATATGACAAGTCATATCATAGGGTGTACACTGCCGTGACAATAGTAGCAACATTCCCCTAGAATATTAGAAATAATATCACTGGAGGTACAGCCCCTGTGATTTATGAGTAGCATGTCTATAGAATATTACAACTCATATCACTGTGTGACTCTGTGTACACCCCGTGTGACTTTAGGAGTCACACATCACTCTGACTTTTAATTTTTCTGTCTCCCTCCTTCACTTTAAGAACTCTAGCACTGAAGGACTTCAGGAAATACCACCCCTAACACCTGCCAGTTTCATATGCTGATTACTTCAAACTGAGGGCTCATGGGGAAGAACAAATGCAGACAAGGGCTTTCTCTGAGTTCCCCTTGTCTGCTTAAAGACAGACCTCAATTGTCATGAATTCCCTCCCTGGGAATCTTATCAACCAGAGATGAACTCTCCAGGGAAGATGAATACCATGCCCACAGTGACTATCACATGTTCTTCCACCAGCTGCTTTTATTACCTGAGAGGCTTTTATCTTCATAACAAGACAACCTTGACTCACCATACAATTCCTCCCCTAACCCTCCATGACTTGTGTTGACACCACCCCCACCCTTGCTAGAAGGCCCACACCCCCATACTTTTTTTGTAGTTCAGAATGCTATAAAAACATCAACCATGGAGTCTCATATTTGGTGGGACTCCCATGTGTATGTACTGATATGGTTTTGTTCTGTGTCCCTACTCAAATCTCATCTTGAACCGTAATCTGAATTGTAATCCCCACATGTTGCGGGAGGGACCTCGTGGAGGTGATTAGATCACAGGAGCATTTCCTCCATGCTGTTCTTATGATGGTGAGTGGGTTCTCATGAGAGATAATGGTTTTATAAAGGGCTTTTCCCACCTTCGCTCTGCACTTCTCCTTCCTGCTGAAAGTGAAGAAGGTGCCTTTCTTCCCATTTGCCTTAACCATGAGTGTAAGTTTCCTGAGGCTTTCCCAGCCATGTGAAACTGTGAGTCAATTAAATGTCTTTCTTTTATAAATTACCCAGTCTTGATAGCAGCACAAGAATGAACTAATACAGTAACTTAGTACCAGGAGTGGAGTGCTGATATAATAATACTCGAAAATGTGGAAGTGACTTTGGAACTCAGGAACAGGCAGAGGGTAGAAGAGTTTGGAGGGCTCAGAAGAAGACACAAAGATGTGGGAAAATTTGAAACTTCCTAGAGAGTTGTTGAACAGCTTTGACCAAAATGCTGATAGTGATATGGACAATTGTTGGGAACAGTCCCCCCAAAATCTGGCCATAACTGGCCCCAAAACTGGCCATAAACAAAATCTCTGCAGCACTGTGACATGTTCATGATGGCCATAATGCCCACGCTGGAAGGTTGTGGATTTACCAGAATGAGGCCAAGGAACACCTGGCCCACCCAGGGCGGAAAACATCTTAAAGGCATTCTTAAACCACAAACAATAGCATGAGCGATCTGTGCCTTAAGGACATGCTCCTGCTGCAGATAACTAGCCAGACCCATCCCTTTATTTTGGCCCATCCCTTCATTTCCCATATGGATACTTTCACTTAATCTAATATCTATAGAAACAATGCTAATGACTGGCTTGCTGTTAATAAATACGTGGGTAAATCTCTGTTTGGAGCTCTCAGCTCTGAAGGCTGTGAAACCCCTGATTTCCCACTTCATGCTTCTACATTTCTGTGTGTGTATCTTTAGTTCCTCTAGTGCCACTGGGTTAGGGTCTCCCCGACCAAGCTGGTCTCAGCAGACAATGGCATCCAGACTGAGGTGGTCTCAGATGGAGATGAGAAACTTGTTGGGAAATGGAATAAAAGTGACTCTTGCTATGCTTTAATGAAGAGACTGGTGGCATTTTGCCCCTGCCCTAGAGATCTGTGGAACTTTGAACTTGAGAGACATGATTTAGGGTATCTGGGGGAAGAAATTTCTAAGTGGCAAAGTGTTCAAGAGAAAGCAGAGCATAAAACTTTGGAAAATTTGCATCCTGATGATGCGATAGAGAAGAAAAACCTATTTTCTGGGGAGAAATTCAAACTGGCTGGAGAAATTTGCATAAGTAACAAGGTACCAAATGTTAATTGCCAAGCAGTGGGAAAAATGTCTCCAGGCCATGTCACAGACCTTCATGGCAGCCCTTTCCATCACAGGCCTGGAGACCTAGGAGGGAAAAATGCTATTGTGGGCCCATCCTCGGGCCCTCTTTCTCTATGAAGCCTTGGAACATGGTGTCCTCTATCTCAGCTGCTTCAGCTTCAGCCATGGCTAAAAGGGGCCAACATACAGCTCAGGCTGTTGATACAGAGGGTGCAAGCCCCAAGCCTTGGTGACTTACATGTGGTTTTGGGCCTGTGGGTACACAGAAGTCAAGAATTGAGGCTTGGGAACCTCCACCTAGATTTCAGAGGATGTATGGAAATGCCTGGATGTCCAGGCAGAAGTTTGCTGCAGGGACAGAGCCCTCATGGAGAACCTCTGCTAGGGCAGTGTAGAAGGGCAAAGTGGAGTCAGAGCCTCCACACAGAGTCCCCATTGGGGCACTGCATAGTAGAGCTGTGAGAAGAGGGCCACTGTCCACCAGACCCCAGAATGGTAGATCCACTGACAGCTTGCATTGTGTGCCTGGAAAAGCCTCAGGCAGTCAACACAAGCCCATGAAAGCAGCTGGGAGGGGGGCTGTACCCTGCAAAGCAACAGGGGTGGAGATGCCCAAGGCTGTGGGAACCCATGTCCAGATAACTCAAGATATGTGCAAAAATAATTGCAACCTAATATATTGACATAAGGCAGATTAATGGGGAAAAAGCATTTTAATTATGTACATGTATTAGTCCATTCTCATGCTGCTCTAAAGAACTGCCTGAGACTGGGTAATTTATAAAGGAAAGAGGTTTAATTGACTCACAGTTTGGCATGGCTGGGAAGGCCTCAGGAAACTTAAATCATGGCTGAAAGCAAAAGGGAAGAAAGGCTTCTTATTCACATGCCAGCAGGAAGAAGAAGTGCAGAGCAAAGGGGGAAAAAGCCCTTTATAACACCAACAGATCTCAAGAGAACTCACTCACTATCATGAGAACAGTATGGAGGAATCATCCTCATGATCTAATCAACTCCCATGAGGTCCCTCCCCCAACACATGGGGATTACAATTTGGATTACAATTCAAGATGAGATTTGAGTGGGGACACAGAGCCAGGCCATATCATTCTGCCCCAGCCCCTCCCAAATCTCATCCTTCTCACAGTTCAAAACACAATTATGCCTTCCCAAGAGTCTTCCAAAGTCTTCATTCATTTCAGCATTAACCCAAAAGTCCAAGTCCATAGTCTCATCTGAGACTAAACAAGTCCCTTCTGCCTGTGAGCCTGTAAAATCAAAAGTAAGTTAATTACTTCCTAGATACAATGGGGGTAGAGGCATTTGGTAAATACACACATTCCAAATGGGAGAAATTGGCCAAAACAAAGGAGCTACAATGTCCAGAAGTTATCCTATGTGGTCTGAAATGGGGAGGAACCCTTAGTTCCAGGAATTTCCCACCCCCTTCCCTGAGAGCTCATGAATAATCTAACCTTTGTTTAGCATGTGATCAAAAAATAACCATAAAAATTGCAAACCAGCAGACTTCAGGGCTGCTCTCCCTAAGGAGTAGCCACCCTTTTATTCCTTTACTTTCTTAATAAACTTGCTTTTACTTTATCAACTTGTTCTTGAATTCCTTCCTGCGTGAAGCCAAAAACCCAGGTGGCCTCCCAGGCTAAAACCCAATTTTGGGGATCACCCTATGATCCATCCTGGGGCACAATTCCTCTACAACCGTGGACTAAAGAAAAAAGTTATCTACTCCTAAAATACAATGGTGGGATATGCATAGGATAGCAGATAGAGATATTCTCACTTAAAAAGGGAGAGAATTGAAGGTAAAATGAGTTACTAGTTCCAAGTAATTTCAAAATCCAACCTGACAAACTCCATAGGCTTCAAAACCTTGGAATAATTATCTGTGGTTCTTGACTCTGTCCTGAGCTCACAGCTCCATTCTCTGAGTTTGCTGGTCTTCCCTCTGTGAGGTTTTTGTTGTTGTTGTTGTTTGTTTGTTCTTTTTTTATAATCACAAAAGGCAGCACATGCTTGCAGCTGATCAGTTTGCTTCTGATCCCTGTTTTCTGTCTGGAGAAGCATAAAGGTCCATCAGCCATCTTTTAGTCTGCTCTTTTTGACTTTTTTGGTCCATGATGGCTATATTTCTACTGATATTATAGTCTCAGGAACTTTGTAGGCCTCTTGTATGTCTCACCAGGATTCACTTCATTCCACAGATCATTCCTAAGTAATCCCATATCTATTTTTGGCATCTGCTAACTAAGGGGAATCTATAAGTTACACCCTAAATTTCTCAAAGATTGAATATTCTGACATCCTGCTCTTTCTCTGATATTAGCAAAAGGTTGTGCAGCTACATTCCAGACTTTTTCTCCAGAGCATTATTTTTTAACAGAGAATCTCTTCACTTTAGCATCATTTGAAATTTTGGAAAGTTGCAAATTTCACCAATTGTCATGACCTGGTCTGACTGCTCTCCTTCCCTGCTTTTTAAAACAGTTCTTCCCTCAATTTATTTCTTTTCTTTCATATTTTACTGTATGCAACAAGAAGTAACCAGGCTTTGTCTTCGAAACTTTGGAAATCTCAGATAAGTAAACAAGTTTGTTGCTTAAAGTTTCACTTTCCACATAATTATAGGACACAATTTAGTTGATCTTTCTGTCACTATACAACAAAAATCCCCTTTTCTCTAGTTTCCAATAATACATTCCTCACTTCCTTCTGCACCCTCCCCAGCAGCACCTTTAACATCCATATTTCTACCACCAATCTGTTTCTGATGATGTAGGTATTCTCTAGATGATGTATATTTTCTCCACCCTACATCTTACTTCCTTCTAAGTCATCCATAACAGAGTCATTAATGTTTATATTTATATAGGTCTGTACAAGGCTGTCTAACTTTTCCTATTACGTTCCTTAAAATTCTTCCTGCCTAGTTCTCAATTCCAAAATTACTTCTACATTTTTAGGAATTTGTTACGGTAGCACTCCACCTCCAGGTACTGAAATCTAATAGTTGCCTATTGCTGCTGCAAAAATTATTTGTTTATTGCTGCTGCACATGCTTAGTGGCTTAAAAGAGCATGAATTTATTGTCTTATGGTTTTCTAGGCCAGAAGTCTGATAAAAGTCTCACATGATTAAAATTAAGATGTTGGCAGAGATGCATTCCTCTCTGGAGTCTCTAGGGGAGAATTCATTTTCCTGCTCTCCCCAGCTTCTAGAGGCCACCTGCTTTTATTGGCTCATTGCCCATTCTTCATCCTCAAAGCTGCATCCTTATCACATCAAATCACTCTAACGCTGACCCTCCTGCTGACCTCTTTCCTTTCTAAGGATACTGGACTCCCCTGGATATTTCAGGATAATCTCTCTATTTTAAGGTAGGTTGATTAGCAAACCTAATTCTGCTTTGCCATGCAATATAACATATTCTCAGGTTCCAGGGATTAAGATGTGGCCACTTTTTTGCAGGGGTATGGTGCCTTGATTTGCCTTTTGCATAAGATACATAAAGACAAAGGCATTACCCACACTCCTGGGAGATATGAAGTTAAAAACACCACCTTGGGAGTAAAGCTAAATGCGCCCACCACCACACTTGGCTACTTTTTTGTATTTTTAGTAGAGACAGGGTTTCACCACGTTGGCCAGGCTGGTCCCAAACCTCTGACCTCAGGAGATCCACCCGCCTTGGCCTCCCAAAGTGCAAGGATTACAGGTGTGAGCCACCGCACCTGGCCCATGTTAACCTTTTATAGCCACACCCACTTTCCTCCTGTCCCAATCCTTGACACCTGGCAACCACTACTATGTGCTCCATTTCTATAATTTTTTCATTACCAGGATGATATATAAATGGAATCATACAGTGTGTAACATTTTGGGATTGATTTTTCTCACTCAGCATAATTCTCTGGAGATTCATTGAGGTTGTTATGTGTATCAACAGTTCTTTTTATGGCTGAGTAATATTCCATGGTATGGCTATTTCACAGTTTTTAAATCATTCACCTACTGAACAACATCTGGGTTCTTTCCAGTTTGGGGCTATTATACATAAAACTGCTATGAACATTCATATGCAGGTTTTTGTGTGGAAATAAGTTTTACTTCTCTGGGACAGATGGCCAGGAGTAAAGTTTCTTGGTCACATGGTAATGCATGCTTAGTTTTTTGTTGTTGTTGTTGTTGTTTTTTTGAGATGGAGTCTCACTCTGTTGCCCAGGCTGGAGTGCAGTGACGCGATCTCGGTTCGCTGCAACCTCCACCTCCTGGGTTCAAGGAATTCTCCTGCCTCAGCCTCCCAAGTAGCTGGGACTGCAGGCACATGCCGCCATGCCCAGCTGATTTTTTGTATTTTAGTAGAGATGGGGTTTCACCGTGTTGCCCAGGCTGCTCTCGAACTCCTGAGCTCAGACAATCTGCCTGCTTCGGCCTCCCAAAGTGCTGGGATTACAGGCATAAGCCACTGCACCTGGCCTGTGCATGCTTAGTTTTAAAAGAAAATGCCAAACTGGTTTTCAGTGTGGCTCAACGGCTTTACATTCCTACCAGCAACGTGTGAAAGATCCAGTTTCTCTACACCTTTGCCAGCATTTGGTGTTGCCACTACATCTTATTTTAGCCATTCTGATAGGTATGTAGTAACACCTCATTGTGGCTTTAATTTCCTTAACGGTTGATGATGCTAATTTTTTAGCACGCTTATTTGTAACCTGTGTATGCCCCTCAGCAAAATGTCTGTTTATCATTTGGCCATTTTCTGGTTGTAATGTTTGCATTTTTTAACTGTTGAGTTTTGAGAGTTTTTATACATTCAAAATACTAATCTTTTGTTGAATATGTGGCTTTTAAATACTTCCTCTTATTGTAGCTTGCCTTTCATCCTTTCTAATGAGGTCTATGGCAGAGTACAAGATTTTAATTTTGACGAACTCCAGTTTATCAATTTTTTTTTATGGATCATACTTTTGGTCTTAACTTGAGGAGCTCTTTGCCCAGCAACAGATCTTAAAGATTTTCTCCTACTTTTTTTTGGAAAAATTTCATACTTTTACATTTTATAATTTAAGTCATATTCATTTTAAGTTAAATTTTACATTATGTATGAGACTTGGTTCTTTTTTTTTTTTTTTTTTTCAGACAGAGTTTCACTCTGTCACCCAGGCTGGAGTGTAAGGGCGCGATCTCCCCTCACCGCAACCTCCACTTCCTGGGTTCAAGTGATTCTCCTGCCTCAGCCTCCAGAGTAGCTGGGATTACAGGCATGTACCACCACTCCCAGCTAATTTTTTTTTTTTTTTTGTATTTTTAGAGATGGGGTTTCACCATGTTGGCCAGGCTGGTCTCAAACTCTTGACCTCAGGTGATCCACCTGCCTTGGCCTCCCAAAGTGCTGGGATTACAGGCATGAGCCACCATGCCTGGCCTTAGTTGTTTTCACACTTTTGTGTAAAAAATTAGTTGGACATATTTGCATGGTTTTGTGGATTAGGTATTCTAGCATATTGATCTATCTGTGTTGATCTCTCTGCCAAAATCTATATAGCCTTGATTAGTGTGGCTATAAAGTGATTGATAATTCTCTCATGTTACTCTGTATTTTCAAAATTGTTTTAGTTATTTTTGTTTCTTTGTATTTTTCACATAAAATTTAAATAATCTTGTCTATATAACGAATGCAGTTGGCATTTTGATAGAAATTGCATTAAACTTATGAATCAATTTGGGGAGAAATGACATCTTTACTATGTTGAGTCTTCCAATGCATGAACACAGTATGCCTCTTTATTTATTTAGATGTTGGTTTTCTTTCTTCAGTGTTGCACAGATTTTTGCATAAAAGTTCTATGTTCTATACAAGTTTTGCTAGAGTTATACTTTAGTATCGAGACAGCCAAGTATAAAGGGGTCTCTGAAGAACCTCGGACCAGCCCACAGACTGGGAGAATGGGGTGCAGCTGTGGGAATTTGGCGCCCTTTGCAGCTGGGAGGAGCTTGGCCTCTCCTGTTCCAGGGTGGTATCTGGGATTCAATCTGTGAGGTGGGAAACTGGCTAGCAGGACTCTCGCTTTCCTGAGAGTCGCTGTTTCCTTTTCTTTTCCTTTTTGTCCAATAAATCCCATTTTTCTCACCCTTCAAACTGTCTGCAAACCTAATCTTTCCTGATTGTGTGACAAGGACCCTAAGGAAAAAGTCCTACCACAGTATTTATTTTAGTTTTTTTTTTTTTTTTTTTTAGCAATTATAAATGGCACTGTTCATTGTTAGTATAGGGAAATACAATTGATTGTTGTGCATTTATCTCTTGTATCCTGTGACTTATTGAATTTGCTTACTATTTCTAGTCATTTTTTGGTAAGTTCTTGGATTTTATAAATAGAAAATTATGTCATCTACAAGTAAAGAAAGTTTTATTTTTTCCTTTCTTATCTCTATGTATTTTATTTCCTTTTCTGTCCTTAGTGCACAGCCTAGAACTTCCAGAAGTAACAACTGTTGAAAAACAGTGGGAAAGTGGACGTCCTTACCTTGTTTCTGATCTTAGGGGAAAAGTATGACATATTTAATCACTAAGTATAATGATATCTGTAGGCATTTTGTAGGTGTTCTTTATCAACTTGAGGAAGTTTTCCTCTATCCCTGTTTTTCTGAAAGTTTTTCCCATGAAATCCAATGCCTTCTCTGTACGTATTGATACAATTATGTAATTTTTCTTGTTAGTGTTTTAATATAGTAGATTACACTGATTGATCCCATGTCTGTCCCATCTTCCCAGAAGGAGAAATCCCCAAGCAGGCAGATTTTGGCAAAATTCTCAGTAAATTTGAAAAATACATTTTCTGATGAGAGATTAAAACTAATCTTACCAATTTCCAAGGAGAACAATAGATGAAGGTCAAAATCTACCTCAGTCTTCAACATCCAAAGGTTCAATCTTCACAAGAAAATTATTCACAGAAAAATTATTTAAAACTTTAAGGAAATGGTTAATTCTGATAACATTTACATTTTTTGTAAAACGAAAGAATACACAGTTTTTAAACTAAAGTTAAAATATTACCCCATGACACAGATATAATAAAAATAAATATGTGCAAATTACAAATCCTTTTCACTTATGCATGTAACACTTAATCACATTTAACAGATCAAAGAAGAAAAATAATATGATGATTTTAGATGCTTAAAAGACACTGAACAAAATTGCACATTCAGGATAACAGACAAATAACCACTACCAGCAGAATTTCTGTGAGAAAAGGATGCCAAATATCTTCACTGCAGGTTCATATTTTTTCTGGACTAGTTTAAACATTGCTATTGCAAAACAACAACCAAAAAAAAAAAAAAAAAAGAAAAAAGAAGAAGAAGAAGAAGAAGAAACCACAGAAATGTATGGAATGGGCAAAGCACATAGAGAAAATGTGGAAATGTGTTAAAGAAGTTAGGATAACAGAAGGATAAATATGATTTAACGGTAAAGACATTCTGGAACACTCACAGTCCAGAGGTAAAAGGAGAAACTACTAAGAAACCATGATTCGTTGGAGTCACCATGAAAATTAGCATATATGGAAGCAAAATAGAAGCTGAAAACCGACCCAAAATCAGTGAAATAGTGAAGAATGAAAGGGTGGAGAAAGAAGGAAAGGGGAAAGATATTATATCACATAGTAATTGGCTAAAAAAAAAAAAAAGCAAAAAAAACCCACAAAATCTCAGCGACATCTCAAAGTTGCTACCCCCTCCCCACACACACACACAGGATCTGAAAAGCAGGAAGATAGAGCTGCTGTCTAGATGGAAAATAGCAGCTCCAACTAGACGATCTCTGAATTGATTCCATTAAAAGACAATTCTTTAACTGTGTGTGATATTTTTGTTTTACAGGTGCCTTCATAGCAGTGAGGAAAGATCTAGGGACATATCTGCTCACATCCATGAGAAGAGTGATCATTGAATTTGTCATCGAAACCAGGACATTTTTGAGACTGAAAGAGATGAGTATTAACAACTCATCTCCATCATATTCCAGGACAGCAGGTGTAAACCAGAAATGTCTCAGGTAAACGGGTATCTATCTGTGATGATTTAAAAATTTTTCCATTTTGAGAACATCAGCATTATTATGTATTTTAGATATTTTGCAAAAGTCATTAGCATTAGAATTAATATAATATCATAATTCAGATAGGGTGGTAGGTAATTTAAATATGAAATGTTTATGAAAATCAGGCTCTTGAATCGTGTGTTTATGATATATAATTTTGTAATGTAAGATTACTATGAACTCCAATTTTAAATTTAATTCATTCTACTTTTATATACTCATTTCTACTTTAGTTCACATTTTAGACAATGTTAGAAAATAATGGAATTAAACAAAAATCAAAGTTAGAAGAGGCATCAAGAAGTGGAATCCTCCAGCCCTACATTTTGAGCATGAGTCCTATCTGCAGGGTGTTCCATCAGTGGCTGTCTGGTCTCTGCTCCTTTAGAGGACCATACTCTGTCCTTCCCCATGGAGTGAGGAGTCCAGGCAGAAAGGGTGTGGGCCCTCCTGGAACTGGGGAGCCAGCTCGTTGGCCATTGTGTGCACCCTCGGACAGGCAGTGGCCAAAGGGCAGCTACTTATGGGCATTTGGGTGGAGTTTGGATAAGTGGGCTGGGGTCTCCCTGTGGCTGTGAGAGGTCCCCCAGACCTGGGGGAGGGAAGAAAAGGACCTGAGTGGGGACAGGGAAGGGGGAACCTCTCTGAGCCACAGAGTTCCAGAATGGAACCCAAAAGAGTATAATAGTCTAAATGTGAATCTGGAAATGTACCATGTCCGGAATTGGTGGGTTCTTGGTCTGACTTCAAGAATGAAGCCACGGACCCTCACGGTGAGTGTTACAGTCTTTAAAGGCCGCATGTCAGGAGTTTGTTCCTTCTGATGTTCGGATGTATTCAGAGTTTCTTCCTTCTGGTGGGTTAGTGGTCTCGCTGGCTTCAGGAGTGAAGCTGCAGACCTTTGCGATGAATGTTACAGCTCATAAAGGGAGCATGGACCCAAAGAGTGAGCAGGAGCAAAATTTATTGCAAAGAGCAAAAGAACAAAGCTTCCACATTTTGGAAGGGGACCCCAGCGGGTTGCCACTGCTGGCTGGGGAAGCCTGCTTTTATTCCCTTATCTGGCCCCACCCACATCCTGCTGATTGGTCCATTTTACAGAGAGCTGATTGGTCCGTTTTAACAGGGTGCTGATTGGTGTGTTTACAATCCCTGAGCTAGGCACAAAAGTTCTCCAAGTCCCCACTAGATTAGCTAGACATGGAGCACTGATTGGCGCATTTACAAACTTTGAGCTAGATACAGAGTGCTGATTGGTGTATTTACAATCCCTTAGCTAGACACAAAGGGTCTCCAAGTCCCCACTAGACTCAGGAGCCCAGCTGGCTTCACCCAGTGGATCTGGCACAGGGGCTGCCTGCCAGTCCCGCGCCCTGCGCCCGTACTCCTCAGCCCTTGGGCGGTCGATGGGACCAGGTGCTGTGGAGCAGGGGACGGTGGGGCAGGCTCTGGCCTCACAGGAGCCCACAGCGGGGTTGGGGGGTTGAGGGGGTGGGAGGGGGCATGGCGGCAGGGGTGGTGCTCAAGCATGGCTGGCTGCAGTCCGGAGCCCTGCCCCGCCGGGAGGCAGCTAAGGCCCAGCGAGAAACCCAGTGCAGTGCCGGTGGGCCAGCACTGTTGGGGGACCCTGTGTACCCTCTGCAGCTGCTGGCCCGGGTGCTAAGCCCCTCACTGCCCGGGCGGGCAGGGGTGGCCGGCCACTCCGAGTGCGGGCCCGCCAAGCCCACGCGCACCTGGAACTCTAGCTGGCCTGCAAGCGCCATGCACAGCCCTGGTTCCTGCCGGTGCCTCTCCCTCCACACCTCTCCGCAAGCGGAGGGAGCCGGCTCCGGCCTGGGCAGGCCCAGAGAAGGGCTCCCAGGGTGCAGCAGCGGGCTGAAGGGCTTCTCAAGCGTGGCCAGAATGGGCGCCGAGGTGGAGGAGGCACCCAGGCAGAGGAGGCACCGAGAGTGAGCGAGGGCTGTGAGGGCTGCCAGCACACTGTCACCTCTCAGTATTATGAAGGTTTATTTTTCAAGGCAGGAGGATAGCACATATCTTATTTGTTTTTAATCTTGATTTGTATCTTTTAAATATTTAAATACAAAATATGGCATTTGGGCCAGCATTTGTACTCTTGCCCAGAGTGTGCAAATGTGAGGAGCCTGTCTTGAGTGATGGGGAGCTGGAGTTAACCTGAGAAATTCCATTATTGGACATGGCTAGTGGTTAAGAAGCTTTTTTAAAAAAGTAAGCCAAAACCCATTTTTTATATCTACTCTTTGTATCCCCAAACTATATTTATATAAAACTCTTTAATAATTCAATTTTCTCCTTAGAACATCTTCCTTAGCTTTTCTCAACTTCATGTTGATTTACAGTCAAAACCTGTTCCTCTGATTCCTGTAAGAAATCAGAAGGAAAAGAATGCAAAATCTATGAGCAGTAACATGCAAATAAAATCTTACAGTTACAACACATTACAATTAAAAAGCAAATTCCATTACAAAATTTTATTTGCTCGTTTCATCAGATGTGAAAGGCAGGTATATTGTTATTATTTCTATTTTATAGATAAGAAAAGAGGGGTTTAAATAAAGGTGATTTCCATAAGGTCCCCAAACTGGCAGATCTTCAGTCTGGTTGTACTTTAACAGCTGTTTGAGCACAGAAAAGTCATTATTTCTTAATTCCAGTTTCTTCATTTGTAGAAAGCTATGATCTGTTTGCCGAAGCTGCCTCTAAGCTTCACTTGGCCCGTGTGGATGAAATGGGGTCAATATCTGTATCCGCCATTGATTGCTGCATGACAAAACACCCCACAGCTTAGTGCTTCAGACAAAGACACATGCTTTCTCATGAGTCTGAGGGCTCACTGGTCTTTCTTCCAGTGTTCTCGACTGGTCCCTCACGTGGCTGCAGTTGGCTGCAGTCGGCTGCAGTCTCAGCTGGGACCTGGCTGGGCGGCTGGGCCTGGCTTCCACATGGTCCTCCATTCCAGGCTTTCTCCTGTGTTTCTGGAAGTGTTCCAAGATGCCAAGGTGGAGTGAGCAAGGCCATTGAGGCACCTGGCCTCAGGCACTGCACCCAGTCCCTCCCATCAGATACTATTGCTGAAGGCAACAGGTAAGGCTAGCACAAGTTCAGAGGATGTGGACAATATCCTCCTCCTCTTAAAGAAAGCAGCCACCAAGTCTCCTTGCAAAGAGGTATGGAGGTGAGATTCACTGGGGGCCATCAAGGCAACAATCTACCACCTGCTACATTCTGACCCCAATAACTCGCATGCCTGCCCAAGATTCCCAAAGTCTCATCTTACCCCAGCACCGGGTCCCTGCACATTTCAACAAGCCTGAGATCTGACGTAACATTCTCCCATTTAGTTGTCTGGGTACAGCAATAAAACCCAAGATCCCTAAGTCTACCAAGGAAGGCTGCTAACTTTGGGAAGGGTTCTAAAAAGAATTGTACAGTGACGCCCAGTGTGTTAATATAGTTAATGCTCACCTTAAATATGCAGTCATGCAGCCAGTTGAAGGCAGCGCAGTGATTCACCTTCTCCCAGTGCGGCAGGACTTCCCTGATGAGTGATCAATGCTCTCCATTAAAGGCTTCCTGTTTCCTTCTGACCCTGAAAACTTAGTATGCAAGAGCTACGCATTCTGTGCACAGACAAAGAACAACACTCCACGGTGAATTGCTTTTATAACCTTTGGCTTTATTTTCCAGTGAATCGTATCCTGTAAACAGGAACCTCATGAGAAAACATAAATGAGCAATAATCTTTTCCTATATTGGTAATCAGATAAAAGTCCTGATTCACTTTCCAATTGTTTTAACATGCATAAAACTCTCAGTGCATCTATATCAGAAAGGCAATTCCTGGATTCATTTATATATGTGTGTACACACATACACATACATAATGATACACACACATAATGATATGTATACATATATACATGATATACATACACACATATACATAATGATATACACACGTATATACATAATGATATATATGTACACATACATAATGATACACACACATAATGATGTGTATACATATATACATGATATACATACACACATATACATAATGATATACACACATATATACATAATGATATACATGTACACATACACATATAGTTACTTAATGATGCACACATGCACATTATATGTTCATGTATCATATGTACATAATGACATGCATACCTCTAGTACATACGCATATGTACATAATGATATACATATGCGTACATGGTTATACACATACATATGCATAATGAGATATACACACATACATACATAATGATACACATGCACACACATATACACACATAATGATACACACACATGTATATACAGACATCCATCATACACATATACACAGGTTTTGGGGCTCCAATACTTTTCAATTTTAGCTAGTCACCAGTTTTACAGAAACACACACATGCATATTTGGATGGCTCACTTTTAGGGCTTCAGACAAACTACACTTCAAGCTGTCAGCTATGTCTTTCTGAGAGGGCCAGTGTTTCCTAAGTGGATGCTTGGAGATTGCAACCATTAAAAAAATGGCAGTAAAATAAATGGCAGTAAAAATAAAAAGGAGACACCCTGTGGTGAAATAATTTGGAAGTGAATTCTATAAGCATGGTGCAGATGGTAGGACAGCTTTATTTCAAAGGAGATGATCAACCTCCATGGAGTCTGTTACCATTGCTCAGGCAAGGGTGTTTAATTGCTTCATCACTGACACAAAATCCTTTGCAGATTAGGGACTCTCACTTAGTGTAATGGGCTCTCACCTGGGGCGACAGGGCTTCTCCCTGGTGGTCAATCGCTCGCCTGGGGTGACAGGGCTGTCACCTGGTGGTCTCACCTGGTGTGACAAGGCTGCCCCTGGTGGTTAAGGTCTCACTTGGCGGTCAGTTTTTTTTTCCAGTGTTCCAGTTAATGTTGATCAATGTGAAAAAATTATTCTTATTAAAACTAAAGCTACCTATTGGTTAACACATATTAAACTGTAGTGCCTGTAACGTGTAGTATAGGGTGAACCCTATTGTTGGTTCCATGGAGGAAGCAAACATCTTTGAGGTATTTTTCAAATAAATAATTTTTAAAACACTGTAGGCATTTGGTTCCAATCTATGCAATCAGAAGGATCGTCCCTCTAAGGAATGGGTGGTTACCTGGAAAAACATAAAGGGATTTCTAACTGTAAAAGCTACCTTTACATCTTGACAGCTGAGTTTGCAGGCCTGAGAGTAGAGTTTATTTTAAGCCTAAGAAAGAAAGATCTCAGGATATGATGTAAGGGAACTCTTCGTGCTACAAGCAGCAGCATAGAGACACTCTGGATTAGAGAGGTGAGAGGAAGGCAAGGAAGTTGGCAAGTGGAGCGCATGGGGTGGGGAGGAGAGAGAACTAGGGTGGAAGCAGCCAGATGACTTCATGACTGTGTGGGGGCTCTGTGCAGGGTCGTGGAATATGGGTAAATCCCATTGGTGGGTTTGAGGTTGTGGCTGTCACCCTCGGGCTGCAGCGTGCGGCTCTGGGAAAATTCAAAAAGCCCCTGGGGCCTTGATGCTCTGTGGCTGCGGAGGAGGGTACTCAGTGTGGAGCAGGTGACCATGGCCAAGAGCAGGGAGGAAAGCAGCTCTGAAAGAGGACTCCTTTCTGGGTATCTTTTGCAGATTCATTGCTGTTTAGCAAATATGAATGCAAATTCAAAAGATTAATGAGTTGTGAGAAGACTGCTCTAGGGAATTCTGGAAAATATTGCTGTCTAAGCACCAGTTCCTGCTCCATTTTCCACATGCCCACTTTTTATGAAGCAATGCAACAGCAGGGCGGGCGTGCTGGTGCAGACAGAAGGGAGCCCAGAGCCCCAAATCCTCTCACTGTCTACAGGAAGGAGGGAAGGGCTTTCTTTTCTCTGATGTCAGGAGAGAGCTGGAGAGTTGGAGGTGGCGGAGGGCATGGGCCTCTCTCAAGGCCTGCAAATAAAATCATTCTCCATCCTCACTTGGGGTGGCCCCACAGCACAAGAGGGTGGCCCACCTGCTGTGAGTGTCCCTGCAGAAGCCTTCCTGTCCCTGTCTAATGTTCCTCTAGTGGCCTTCCTTTCATTCCTGTGGCCCTGTCATAGCTACAGCGTGAACCTGGTTGGAGGAGCCCGCTCCTCAACAGAGAGGAACTGCAGGCTTCCCCCGAACCCGTTCTGCTCAGCAGAAACTGCTGCCGTCCACCACTTCCTGGTTTGTCACAGCTGGAGGAAACCTAACTGTCCTAAAGGCCACAGGTAAATAAGAAAAAAAAAATGGAAGTTAAGGAAGCATCCAGGGGGATTTCTTGGGAGGGCTGGAGGAGAAGATATGCAGTGACGGCAATCCTCCCTCGGCTATGTGCATAGAACAATAACTTTGTTCCCCATAACTCTCACCCCACACCTTTGCTTCACTCGTAGAAAATCCTCCCCAAAGTGGTGTCTCTACTTGTTGCCATGATTTCTCATCTCCTCTTTTCTGCCTAACCTCCTGCCATTGAGTTTGTGTCCCTACTGCTGCTTTGCAAAGGCTCCCATCACATCCTCCACCATGGTCATCTTTTCAAGGCCAGTGGCCTGAGAAGCAGGGAAGCTGATAGTATAAGTCCCAGCCTGAGAATGAAGGCTCCAGAACTGGGAGAGCTGATGTCCAAGAGCAGAAGGTGGATGTCCTGGCTTAACCAGAAGGACAGAATCTGTCTTTTTGCTCTCTTCAGGAACCCAATTGATTGGAGGATGCCCACCAGTACTGGGAAAGGCGGTTAGGTTTACTGAGTCCACTGATTGAAATGCTGATCCTTTCCAGAGACGCCTTCACAGTCATACCCAGAAATAATGGTTTACCTGTGATGTGGGAATCCTTAGCCCAGTCAAGCTGATACCTAAAATTACCCATCACACTCTCAAATGTGCACTCACAGGCAGATGTCTCAGTGATGCGTCATCCGGAAGGAGCAGTTGTGTGCTGTGGAGCCATAAAAACGGTACTTATGAGAAGGCTTTTAATCATGTGAATATTGCTTTAGTAATTGCACAATTGGAAGACCCAGAACTGTATATATAATAGGAGTTAAATACAAAGAAGTCCACCAAATATTAGCTCGGCTTATTTCTGGGTCGGAGAGCGATGCCTTTCATATACATAGTACCAACTTTGACTTTATATATAAAACAGGTAGATAAATAAAGGCGTAAGTTTTGTGGAAACTTCCACGTAAACTGGTTTCTGGTCCTGCTTTTGAGTCTAACAAGGTGCATGTTAATCTGCGACAGGAGAATCATGTTTCTACACTTCATGCTTGCCCTGCCTTGAACTTTTCATTCTTCTGCTCACCTGAGACAAATGTGTATCTGATTGCTTCCTCTGATGTAGAAATGCAGATTTACTGGGCCAGACAAAGGCATAGGTGACTATTACTCTACCCACCTCTCACACGTAAATTATGTATTCCGCGAAAGGCTGATCAAAGACTCAAAAGAATTCAACCATTTGTCTCTTATGTACCCCCAGCTTTAAAAAATTTCTTCCTTTCCCCCCAGTATCCACCCTTTCCCCTTTAAAATACTGAAGTCCTCAAAAACATCTTTGGAGAAAGACACAGATCTATCTTCTGGGCATGCATCCTTAACCTTGGCAAAATAAACTTTCTTAATGGATTGAGACCTGTCTCAGGTACTTTTTGGTTTACAGCATCTATTAACATAATCACATGATTTTTCTGTCTTAATTTGATTCTGTAATGAAGTATGCCAACAGTTTACTATTATCTAACCATCTTTGTACAATTGATTATTCTTGCGGTTATTTTTGTTGTTAAAGACTGCTAGATTCTATTTTTGAACTTTATTCATAATTGAGATTGACATGTTTTCTTTTTAAATTTATTATAACAGCATAATAATGGCTTCTTAAGTAAATTGAGGTACTTTACAATGTCTTTTCTTTTATGGTCTTGAATATTTTAAATATCACTGGAATAGTCAGTTGTTTAAACATTAGATAGAATTCAGTTGTGAAACAATATGTGTATAGTGTCTTTTTATGAAATGGCATGCTTTGCCCCATTTCCAATCTTTTATGAAAATTATATTTTCTTCTTCCAATGTACATTTTGATAGGACATTGTATGTTGTGTTGCCATGGAGTTGTATGTGGCATTCTCTTACAATTCTTCAATCAACTGTATTTATGACAGTGTCTCTCTTTTCATGTCTTAACTTGTGTCATATTTATCCCTTCCTCTTTTCATTCATTGTCTCAGGGGAGGTTTATCTATTTTGTTGGTCTTTTCAAAAACAAAGTTTTGGTCAGGCCTGGTGGCTCACGCCTGTAATCCCAGCACTTTGGGAGGCTGAGGCGGGTGGATCACCTGAGGTCAGGAGTTGGAGACCAGCTTGGCCAACGTGGCAAAACCCCATCTCTACTAAAAATACAAAAATTAGCCAGGCGTGGTGGTGGGCACCTGTTATCCCAGCTACTTGGGAGGCTGGGGCAGCAGAATCACTTGAACCTGTGAGGCAGGGGTTGCAGTGAGCTGAGATCGCACCACTTCACTCCAGCCTGGGAGAAAGAGCGAAACTCTGTCTCGAAAACAAAAACAAACAAACACACAACAAAGTTTTGAATTTATTTGTAGCTTTTTAATTTCAAATTTATCAATTTCAGCTTTCATCTTTGAAATCCTTCTTTTTTTATCTTTATTGCTCATTTCTATACTCTTTAGCTAAGTACAGAATTCTTTTATTTTTAGTCTTTTTTTTTAAGTAATGAAGGCATATAAGACTACACATTTTCCCTTGAGCACGGTAGTCTCAGGATTTGTTGTGATTTTTTTCTCCCTTTATTGCTTTCTGACAGTTTGTGGAACCTAAGCCCTGCTTTGAAGTCCTCTATGCGTCACGTGGAGAAGTCAGCAAGGTCTGGTCTCAGGAGTCAGCAGCAGCCCTAGAGCCAGATGTGTGCACTGTGGCCCCTGCCTTTGAAAGACTCTCATCCACTTGCCTTAAATTATAGCTTTCTGAGCTCAGACAGTTTTATATACAATTCTCATTCTGTCAAGCTTATGCAAGTCATTTGGGAAGAGTATTTGGCAGGAAGCAATGTTCAGAAAGGCAGCCCACAGAGATTGCCTTGAGGGGCAGCAAAGACAAAGAACTTTTAGAAAAACTATGAAAGATATCCCTTAAGTTTTCTGTATTTTACATTTGCACACCTTGGCAATTGCCACCTATTTTACTCATAAGGGACTGTCAATCAGATATAGATTTCTTTTCTTTTTTTATTTTTCCCAAAATAGACCAGTTTGTAAACATGGCATTTTTTTCTCTTTTTGAGGTTAATTCTGTATGTTTTTCCCTGAAATTACTGAGCTTCAACAATTCTGTACTTTTAAAACTCCATAGTCTTTACTTCAAGGGAGACATACTGCTTATTCTAACATTCTATATTATTTTAAAAATATTGATGGTAATTAATACCATGTAAGATTTAATGCCACATAGTCCACGACTTACAAAAGTAGCTGTATTTCAAAATCCTGAGCATCAAGAATACATCAAGAGAAGCCCACACAGAATTGATGCTCTGCCCTCATTTATTGCAGTTTTACTCTCATCTAGCTGTGAAAAATTCAGACTTGACTTGACATGGCAAACAATAGGGAAAGAAATCTTTAGTTTGCCAATCATTTTTGCCGAAATAACTAAGTTCAGGCTGCCATTAAAAAGTAATAACAGAAGAAAGGAATGATGAATGACTATTACTATGAAGTTGTGCTCTTTCAAAAGCATGGTCTCAACAAGTTTCTCAATCTTGCATGCAGGAGAAGCTTCTAAAGAACAAAGAAGCAATACAGTATGCCAGAAGACATTTATTTAAATGTCACTTATGCATTGGGTAATGAGAAATGAAGGAGCTCCATTTGAGATAATAAACCAATTTTTGCAAGAGAAGATGAAGTAATTAATTATTCAAGGGCAATAACTTCTCCTTGGACTTCATTTTCTCAGACCACATTTACCCTTAGCTGTTGGAATAAAAAACAGACTGTACACTACAGTCACTTGTACCTACTTAAAGAAGACACCAATTGTAATTCAATTCAGGAACTCTTATTTTGCGTGTCTGTTATTCTCAAAGGATGTGGCCAGGCATGGGGATGACATCTGGGTGAGGTGGGATCCCTGCCCACCCACTGTGATAATGGTAGTGTTTGAACAGGCTGTGGTTCCAGCAAGGTCAGAGTGACAAACAGAGGAGGCATTCTTCAGATCCCCAGCAAAAGGAAGCTTCCTCTGCCTTTCTCTGGGATACCTGGGCTCTGCCATTCTGATGGCAGCTCTAGCCCACAGTGGCTTCATGTCTGAAGGGGCTGTGGCATCGGATGGATTCTGCAGCAGGAGGCTGACAAGCCACAGGCCCATCAAAGGGATCCCAGGCTTACTTTGTTTTTTTAAAAACTTCTGTTGCAACAGTTTTGGGAGAACAGGTGGTGTTTGGTTACAAGGGTAAGTTCTTCAGTGGTGATTTCTGAGATGTTGGTGCACCCATCACCCAAGCAGTGTATACTGTACCCAATGTGTAGTCTTTTATCCCTCACCCCCTCCCAACCTTCCCCCGAGTCCCCGAAGTCCACTGTATCATTCTTTTTTTTTTTTTTTTTTTAGACGGAGTTTCTCTCTTGTTGCCCAGGCTGGAGTGCAATGGTGCTATCTTGGCTCATCGCAATCTCCACCTGCCGGGTTCAAGTGATTCCCCTGCCTCAGCCTCCCAAGTAGCTGGAATTACAGGCATGCACCACCATGCCCTGCTAATTTTTTGTATTTTCAGTAGAGACGTGGTTTCTCCATGGTGGTCAGGCTGGTCTTGAACTCCCAACCTCAGGTGATCCACCCACCTCGGCCTCCCAAAGTGCTAGGATTATGGGTGTGAGCCACCGTGTCCAGCCCACTGTATCATTCTTATGCCAAGCTTGCTTTCTAATAGTCTCCCGAGGAAACTGTTGCTGGAAGGAAGGATTCTTAGAATTGAGAATTGAGTTTGGTCATTATTCATCTTTGCTCTTAACAATATCCTCTTAGGCTTGCTGGTTGCTGAGGGAAAGATGTCTTAAGGATTTGGAGAAGTTATTTCATATAGAGAGGATGCTCCTGGGCTCTAAAAAGCAAATGATGTCAAGCATGCTCTGCTTTGCCAGTTGAACCTGCCATTGACTTTCTCTAGGGCTTAACATTCTGAGGGAGTTCTACAAGATGAGTTCTGTGTTCTCTTTTAGTTCCAAATACAGGACTTTTTGGATGATGTAAAGATGTAAAGCACAAGACTTCCTTTTAGTTAAACATGAAAGAGTAGACTGCATTTACCTATCCATTTTTCTACAGAAAACCTACTGTATTTGTCAAGGTTCTATTTATTTATGTATTATGAGAAATTAGCTCAAATGATTATGAAGGCTGACAAGTCCCAATATCCACAGGGTGGATTGGCAAGCTGGAGGCCCACGAGAGCCCATGGTGCAGTTCCAGCCTGAAGGCTGGCAGGTTGGAGAGTCAGGAAGAACTAATGTTTCAGTTTCAGTGTGAAGGTAGGAAAAAGCTGATGTCCTAGTTCAAAAGAAGCAAGGCAGAATGAATGGCCTCTTATTCAGGGAAGGCCAGGCTGGTCCTCTATTCTAGGCCTTCAGCTGATGGGATGAGACCCATTCACACTGGGGAGGGCCATCTGCTTTCCTCAGTCCACTGATTCAAATGTCAGTCTCATCCAAAGCACCCTCACAGACACACCCAGAATAATGTGTGACCAAATGTCTGGGCATCCTGTGGCTTAGTCAAGTTGACACATAAAATTTACCATGACACCTACCAGAAGAATAGTTTAAAAGGACAAAAGGAGAGTGGGGAGAATCAGAGAGCTGCAAAAGTGTTGGGTACAGGATGGGGAGACTGGCAAGATTCTAGTGACTTTCTCGATGACCTGAGGCTGATGAAATAGTCATGGTGGTGGTAACTACAGATCAGCGCTTCATAGACAAGACTGGAGTAGTGAGAGAAGTTTCTCTCTGTGGTGACCCCCAGGGTCAAGGGGTGTGCAGAGGAGAAGCCTAAACCAAGATAGTTAATTGAAAAAGGTTCTCTGCAGACAGTTGCAAGAGTCAGCTTTCTCCACATTGAGACGGAACAGCCAACTCCAGGAAATAATCACTAAGAAAATGGAATGATCTCCTGGTAGGAAACTGGAGTCAAAGAGTGGGGCCCTGTGCCTCCAGGGAGCCTCCTGCTGGATTTGGCATCTTGTGGGGAGCCCAGTCTACGCCTGTGGGCTTCGCCCATGTCTCCTACAGGGAAGCCTGGCAGGGTACTTGCCCACCTTCATCCACAGGGCCATGGCCAGCTCCTCACCCCTAGAGGAAGCACCCATATTGATTAGCCAATGTTTCCATTCATGGAAACGACGTCTTCAGAAAAAAAAAAAATGCCTATTGTTCTCTCAGGAATACTAGACACATACACTCCGGTATTTATTCCCCAATAAGGTGAAACCCAATCACACAGGTAAGATGTAAACCTATCAACCTCTATCCAAGGTGGCATGTGAGTTCTGGGCACTTCTGTTAACTCAAGGGATAAGATCTGTAACCGCATGTAAGATTTTTGGAGTTCAGGCATTTGTAGGAAAGGAAGAGAAATACTTGCTGACTTCCCATGACATTTTAATGAGCTTTTGATGATTTTCCCATTTATTTTGAGATGAGATCAGACAATCCTTTTGGTTTTACTTATATAAGTTCAACCTCCTTTGCATCCTCTCCTTTCCCACAGAGGTAATTTCTATTCCTGATCCTGAGACCTTTTGCTTTCTTTTTGCCTTTTTCATCCATTCATGTCATTCTCATTCCTTACAGTACTTTTTCCAGGATGGTGTTTCTGACCATGCTGGCCCACAGTCACCATTCTTCCCATACTCTGAGCCATCCTTGCCATCCCTGGCACCATGCTTTTCATCCAACTGACCCACTGGGCAATCCTAGCATCAGTGGCAAGGGAGATGCCTCAGATGATTTGGTGTTCCTCCCAGCACTCTGTGGCATTGTGATCTCTCCCCCTCAGCCCTTAGACTGTCTTTTATTCCAGAGCATGGAAAATGCTTCATAGCAGCAAGACTGGGCTGCTGTGAGGCTCTGCTCTCCTGGAGCCTGGACTTCTGTGAGCAGTGTGGAGATGCTGTGCCTATGCTCATCTGCTCTCATGCTGCACCTGCACTGCCCTGAATGTGGTGTTTGTAATTCTCCCACTTTTCTTCATATTTCAACTATGTCAGTTCTCCTAAATGATAGGACCCTTCCAATATTTTAAAACATTATATAAATATTATCATACCGTGTATGATTTTGCAACTTTCTTCACTTACCATTTCATTTGTGAGATTCATCTGCAATGATCTATAGTTGATTCATTTTTTGCTTCTGGATAGTATTCCTCTCTTCCTAATATTTCAATTGGCGTATTATTACTTTTAGCTATTTCCAGCAATGCCTATGTGAACATTTTTTCACACGTCACTTTGTAAATGTGTGTGAGAATCTAGAGTCCATCGCAGGTGTGCATTGCTGGAGAGCACCTCCTCAACCTTACACAACAGTGCTAAATTGCCTTCTTTCCAAATGGTGGCACCAATTCATGTGCTTGCTGCAGGCATTCATGCGTTCAAGCTGCTACACATCCTCTTTGACACTTGGGATTCTCTGACTTATAATTTGTTTTCGGTCTGATGAGTAAGAAATGCTATGTGATTATTGAAATGCTCATTTCATTGATTATCAGTGTGGTTGACCTTTTAAAAAATATTTTTACTGGTCATTTGCTTTTCTTGTGAATTGACTCTTTAGTTATCCTACACATGTTGCTTCCTTTAAAAAAATCATTTTTGAAAGTCTTCATATTAATTTGTTGTTAAACTTTTCTTTAGGGCATTAAATATATTTTCTTCCAGGCTGTCTTTGCTTATTTATTCATTTGAGACAGAGTCTTGCTCTGTCACCTAGGCTGATGTGCAGTGGCGAGATCTCAGCTCACTGTAGGCTCTGCCTCTCAGGTTTAAGCAATTATTGCGCCTCGACCTCTTAGGAAGCTAGGATTACAGATGTGCACCACCACACCTGGCTAATCTTTGTATTTTTAGTAGAGATGGGGTTTTACCAGGTTGGCCAGGCTGGTTTCGATCTCCTGGCCTCAAGCAATTGGCCCACCTCAGCCTCCCAAAGTGCTGGGATTACAGGCATGAGCCACTATGCCTGGCCTATTTTTATGTTATTTTTAAAAATAAATTTTATTGGTTTCATGTGGATGAATCAATTTTTTTATTGTTTTCTTTTCTTTCTGTGCCTTTTCAGTGAAACTCTACACTATGTTGGAGTTCTCCTGGAAGAATAGTATCCCTCTCTTCCTAATATTCCGATTGTTGTGTTAATTATTACTTTTAGCTATTTCCAGCAATGCCTGTGTGAACATTTTTTTACACATCACTTTGTAAATATGTGTGAGAATCTACTGTCCATCGCAGGTGCGACATTGCTGGAGTGCACCTTCTCAACCTTACACAACAATGCCAAATTGCCTTCTTTCCAAATGAGAAGGAAGAAAAGAAAGAAGAAAAATATTCTTTTTCTCAAAAGAAGAAAAGTACTTCTTCCAGGAATTCTCAAAAGTTGACATTCTCCTGTATTTATTTGTGAGCATTTGTATTAGTTCATTCTTGCACTGCTGTAAAAAAAAAAAAATACCCGAGACTGGGTAAATTATAAAAAGAGGTTTAATTGGCTCATGGTTCTGCAGGCTGTACAGGAAGCATGGCAGCATTTGGTTGGCTTCCAGGGAGACCTCAGGAACTTTCAATCATGGTGGAAGGCAAAGGAGAAGCAGGCACGTCTTACCGGGCCAGAGCAGGAGAAAGAGAGTTGGGGAAGTACTGCACACTTTTAAACATCCAGATCTCACAGGAACTCTTATCATGAGAGCTGCACCAAAGGGCTGGTTCTAAACCATTCATAGAGGATCCATGGCCGTGATCCAATTGCCTCCCACAGGCCTCACCTCCAACATTGGGGATTGCAATTCAACATGAGATTTGGGCAGGGACACAGATCCAGCTCGCACTAGCATTGGAAATTTTTTCATTCCGTATTTGAGTTTGTGATCCATGTTGAATGTCTTTTCATATACTTTTATGAAGATGTCAGTTAGGGATCAAAATGCACTTTTTCTCCATACAAATAAACAACTATTTTAGCTCTATTTTTTACTCATAAGGCCACCTCTTTCATTGATCAAGTTTCTATATAGGTTTGTGGGTCTATTTACAGACTTTTTATTTTTGTTTTAGGTCAATTTATTTCCTGAATCAAAGTCCCATTGTATTAATTAATATACTATTATTATTATCTTATTTTTTTTTTTTTTTGAGATGGAGTCTCGCTCTGTTGCCCAGGCTGGAGTGCAGTGGCATGATCTCAGCTCACTGCAACCTCCACCTCTTGGGTTCAAGTGATTTACAGCTAATTTTAATATTTTTAGTAGAAACGGGGTTTCACCATGTTGGCCAGGCTGGTCTTGAACTCCTGACCTCAAGTGATCTGCCCGCCTCGGCCCCCCAAAGTGCTGAGGTTACAGGCGTGAGCCACTGTTCCCAGCTTATTAATATACTATTATAATATGCTCATATAATATAACATAATAGTTCTATAATATAGTAGGTCTTAATATCTGGCAGGGAAAAGACACTCTATATTTCTCTTATTTTTTTTCCCAAAATTATCTATGGCCTTCCTAGCACTTTGCTCTTCCTTATCAATTTTAGAATCTGTCTGTCCTGCTCATAAATGTTTTATCAGGACTTTGTGGACTTGGATTGAATTTATGGATTGATTAGGGGAAAATCAACCTCTGGTGGTGAGTCTTTCTATTTTTGAATATGGTATATTTATTGCTCAAATGATTTAGGTCTTCTGAAATGACTTTTAATAAAGTTTCATAATTTTCTCTGTAGAGGCTTATTTTTTATTGCTATTGTAAGAGTAACTTCTTAAATTAAAATTTCAGACAGATGCTTACGTATAAGGGTACATTCAATCTAAATTTATTGATTCTGTATTCAGCCAATTTGCTAAACTCCCTTTTAATTCTGATATTATGCCTGCAAATTCTTTTGGACAGTTTTTGTATATGTAACTAAATGTAATTTTGTTCAATCTTCTCCGATTAATTATTTTTCTTTTCTGACAGGGATCTTAAATAAATTGAAGCATTGAGTCAATTACATTAATTGTGATTATTTTGATAGTGGAATTTTAAAAAATTTTCATTGTATATTCTATATATGCTCTTGCTCTTATTCCTGGGGCAGGCCAGGTCTCCCTAACGGCTGAACAGGCAGGCCTCCATAACAGATGTTTCAGCACTGACTGAGTGGTTAAGCTACTCAGCTTAAGTGGTTAGGATTAAACAAATTTTATTGGGGGTCTGAAGGAACTCCCCAAACCTCCATGATTTAGCAGGAGACAAGATAAGGGTAATCACCGCAGCACCTGGACTCATTTAGATTAAGTAAATTTACTGAGGCTCCAGAGGAAGGTCTTGAGGACTCGGATCTTAGTTATAGATTAGAAGAAGTTAATTGCTTATGTATTTAGATGCATGCACATTAACAGATAAACATATAGCTTAGAAGGTATATAAGCTCTGGAAAACTTTGTAATTTTGAGTTGATCTGGTGATAATTTCCAGGCTTTCTCCCTCTAATTGATTACAGAAATAAACTCCCTCCTTTCCCAGTTCATCTGCATCTTGTTATTGGTCCACAAGAATAAACAGCCTGACCCTTGGTTTTGTCTGGGAACACTTTCTTGAATTTAAAGATCATTTGGAATTATTCTTTTCCCTCATTCCATTTTCCCCCTGTGTTTATTTGGAAGTTTTATGCTATGTTTCTGTGCATTTAGTGGTTACTCTTGTTCTCTTGTTTCTGTGTGTGTGCTTGTGTGTATTTTAATTCTGAGCTCCTTGGTTATGGAGAAGCTCTCAGTAGCACCATGTGAGGTCCTGGGTGTAATTTTATCCTTCAGAGGGTTTGCATTCACTCCTGTGGGTACCATGGTGGTGCTACCTACCAGAAGCCACTGTAATTTGTTTACTTAAAGCTTTTGTACCACAAAAATAGTATGATTCAGTCCAAAAACAGCTTGGGGGTACCTTGGGCTTACAAATTATCAGCGGCAATTTTACTTCCTTCAATTGTCAAGGTAGAGATGATCAAGTTCTTCACCAGGCATAGGTGATTTCTTCTTCACCCACACTGGGAGCCACATCACTGGGGCCTCCAGCTATCTGTGTGCACTGTCTCCTCTGTTCTACCTCTCCTTTTCCACACACCTGATGCCCTTTGTGTAGAAACTTGAGGTCTCCAGGGAATTGCAGGTGGCCTTGAGGAAGTTTTCTTTGCTGTTCTCCTTTCAGGATTCTTGTCCCCTCATTCCTCCTCACCACCCTTCCTTTCCTTTGGCTCTGCAAATTCCTTCTTTTGTGCCTTGAAATTAATTTAAGAAAATGTTTCATAAAGTATGCATTTTATTTTGTATTTAGTTGTTTCATTTGGAGGGTTGTTCATGGCATCCTGCCATAATCCTGAAATTTGAGAGTTGAAACATACATGATGAAAAATGGCAAAATTTGCAGCAGAAAGGCACGGCATGATCAATTTTAATGTGTTGTTTCTTGGCAACATTTGACAACACTCTCCTTTTCTAAGGCGGCAGTGTGTCTGGAGCCAGGACATCCTGGCTTGTGTGTTACCTTCACCACTTGCTGGCTCTGTGACCTGGGACAAATTTCATCATTCTTGTGTCCTCAGCTTTCTCATCTCATACTTACTGTTTATTCCAAGAAACAAAACGCTGTATGAATACCCTACTGATGAGGACATTTAAACTTTTTCCAGATTTTGGCTTTTACAAAGAGTAGAAACATCATTGTATGTGTCTTTTTGTGTACATATGTACACAATTTCACTGGATTTGTAGCTAGGCATTAAACTGCTGGGTTGTGGGGTATACTATGTTCTGCTTTAGCTGGTATCGCCAAACAGTTTTCGCAAGGGGTTGTACCAATTTACATCCCCAAGAAAAGTGTCTGAGAGCTCCTACAACACCACATCTTCACCAACAATTGGTATTGTTGACTTTTAAAGTCATTCTTGTGGACGTATGATGATTACACATTGCAAGTGTAATTTTTATTTCTCTATTTGCGAAGGAAATATGTTTACTGGCCATTTGGGCAGTCTGTTTTGTGGTGTACTTGTTCAAGCCCCTTGCTTATTTTTCTACTGGTGAAATATATTTTACTTCTTGATTTGTAGGAGCATATTTGTTCTACACAGCAAGGTATAACTGTGGTATAATTTTTAACAGCTTTATTGAAGTATAATTGAGATAGAGTGACCTGAACATCTTTAAAGTATACATTATGCTAAGCTTAACATGTATGAACCTATAAAATTTCTACTATAATCAATATAACAAACATATCCATCACCCCACAAGGTGTCATCAAGCTCATTAGTAATCTTTCCCTCCCACCATTCTACAGACCACCCCATACTCAGGAAACCACCAATATGCTTTGTGTTGTCAGAAATTAGTTTGCATTTTGTAGCATTTTATATAAATGAGATCATACAGTATGTGCTTTTTTTTGAATAGTTTATTTTACTCAGCATAATTATTCTAGTAAGCATGAGATGCCACAGTGTTTGTCAACAAGCCTTCCTCCTTTATTGCTGAGTAATATTCCTTTGTATAGGGGATATATCACAGTTTGTTTACTCTATCATCTGCTGATGAACATTGTATTTATTTCTAGGTTTAGGTATTACAAATAAAGCCGCTATGAACATCTGGGTACAAGTATCTACATGGATATATGCTTTCATTATTTTTTTGTAATGTTCACTTTCATACATATAGTTGGAATGGCTAGGCCATAGGTGAAGGTTTAAAAAATATTTTTTGTTGTTGTTTAATTATTCTAAGAGATGAGGTCTCACTATGTTGCCCAGGTTAGAGTACAGTAGCTATTCATAGGCACAATCATCACATACTACAGCCTTGAACTCCTGGACTCTAGTGATCCTCTCACTTCAGCCTCCCAAGTAGCTGGGACTGCAGGCATGTGCCATGGCACCCAGCTTAAACTTTTAATAAACCATTTTATGTTCTACCATTTTATGTTCCCTACAGCAGCCTATGAGATTCCCAGTATTCCAAATCTTCACCAACACTTAAAATGCTCAGTCTTAAAATTTTAATCATTCTATTAAGTCTATAGTGGTGTCTCACTGTTATTTTTGTTTTTATTTCCCTAGCGAGGAATGACATTAAGCATCTTTTTGTGATCTTGTTTGTCATTCGTACGGCTTCTTTGGTGAAATGTTGGTTGAAGATTTTTGTCAATGATTCACTTGATTGTTTGTATTCTTATTATTGGCTTTTTTCCCCTAAACTTTCATTTTGGAATAATTATAGATTTTTGCACATAGAGAGAGCTGATATATTCTTCATGCAGTTTCTCCAAATGGCAAAATGTTGCATAACTATGTTAGAATATCACAACCAGGAAATTGACATAAATACAATTAATTGATCATAATCAGACTTTACCAATTTTACATGTATTCAGTGTGTGTGAGTTTGTGCACGTTTGTTTAGTTCAACCAGTTTTCTTCTATGTATAGATTCATGTGACTACAGTCACAGTCAAAACACAGAACAGTTCCATTGTGAGGAGCCCTCCTTCCTTTTTTTTTTTTTTTTTTTTGAGACGGAGTCTCGCTCTGTCACCCATGCTGGAGTGCAGTGGCGCGATCTCGGCTCACTGCAAGCTCCGCCTCCCAGGTTCAAGCAATTCTCCTGCCTCAGCCTCCCGAGTAGCTGGGACTATAGGCGCCCACCACCACACCCAGCTAATTTTTTGTATTTTTCGTAGAGACAGGATTTCACCGTATTAGCCCCGATGGTCTTAATCTCCGGACATCGTGATCCACTTGCCTCGGCCTCCCAAAGGGCTGGGATTACAGGTGTGAGCCACCACCATGCCCGGCCCCTCCTTCCTTTTTATAGGCACAACCACCTCCCTACCTTCCTCCCCCTATCCTCTGGCAAATATTAATCTGCTCCTTCTTTATAATTGTGTCATACCAAAAATATTATATGAATGGAATTATACAGTATGTAGCCTTTTCAGATTGAAAAGGCTTTTGATCACTAAACATAATTCTTTAAGATTCTTCCAAATTGTTTCACTTATCAATAGTTTGTTTCTTTTTAGTGCCGAGTAGTATTCCACAGTATGGATGTGCCAAAATATGTTTATTCACTTGTTAAAGGACATTTGGGTTGTTTCCAATTTGGGGCCATTAAATATAAAGCTGCTACGAACATTAGTACACAGGTTATAGTGCAAACATTTTTCTGTGTTAAATGCTCAAGGGTACAGTTGCTTGGTTGCATGGAAAGCATATGCTTAATTTTGTAAGAAACTGCCATATGCTTTAACACAGTGGCTGTGCCATTGTACATTCCCACCAGCAAGGTATAGGAAATCCATTATTGGTTCTTATGTATCTTGGACATAAGATACATATAACTATATTGCCTAGGCTGATCTTGAACTCTTGGGCTCAAGTGATCCTCCCACCTTGGCCTTCCAAAGTGCTGCGCCTGCCCTGATTTCTGTTTCGATCCATGGATTTTTGTTTGTTTGTTTTTAGAAATACTTGGGAATTTTCCAAATATCTTGCTTTTATTGATTTTTATTTTAATTTCATTGTATTGGGATAACATTAATATGTATATTTTGAATTATTTTAAAGTTGAGATTATTTTTATTGTCTAGATTATAGTTTATCTAGTTAAACATTCTGTGTCTGCTTGATAAGAATGTGTTGATTAGAGTATTCTAGAAATTCAATTAATTAGTTGGTTCATAGTGTTGTTAGCCTTTTATATGCTTATTGATTTTTGGTCTACTTGTTCTATCAATTACTGAGGGACAGGTGTTGAAACCCCTGACTACAATTATAGATTTGTCTATTTTCCCCTGTAGTTCTATCAGTTCTTGTTCATATATTTGGAAGCTCTGATATTAGATGCATAAATGTTTAGAATTGTTATGCCCTTTTGAAGAATTGCCTTTTTTTAATAATCATGAAACATGACCCTTTTATCCACGGTGATATTTTTGGTTTCCAATTTACCTTGATATTAATATAGTCACTCCAACTTTGCTTTAATTACTGTTAACATGGCATATCTTTCTCACAAGGTGGTATATACATATGTATATGTATATACGTATAAATATAAATTATAATTGTGAATTAAAAAGGTGTTTTAAATTTTGATATTAAGTATTTATATTTTAGGCTGATTTCGGATATATGATTTCCTATTTTAATAAAAAATAAACATTACTGTATTATCAAAAAGTAGTTATATAAAAAGTATGTTTTCCCTTTTCACTGTTTAACACACACATACATGCACACACACTTATTTTGACTTGTAAACTGAGAAAGATGCATAATTGTCTCTCATGAAAATAGTCAAGGAAGGAGGTGGAAGAGATAAAAAGTTTGAAAATGTTATACATGGGCTGGAGGGTCCTGGCTCTTCCCTTTGTTCTCCTGTTGTTTCACCATCTCAAAGGCTGGTTGATCCCTCAGACTTTTGAAAGCATTCAGAAGGAAGGGAAGCTTACGTTTTTTGTCAAGATTATTATCCATTCCAAATCTGAAGCCTCTTTGGAGGGCCTTGCACTGTTTTGGTTGAAACTTCTCTTTAATAGAGACTCACTGAAAGCTACAGCTTCAGAGAAGGGGCCCCGGGCAGCCACCCAGTGGAGCTCTTCTTCATACAAGTTCTCTCTTTCCTTAGGAGCTTTTAATTCAATGGAATCTCCTTCTCTGAAGACATGCCTTGTTTGGAGATGGTTAGGGGGGTGGCTGCTGGAGTCCTGCTTGGAGACTGTGCTCTGTGCAAACAGGAATTGAGGATGGGAGAGCTAAATTACTTGAAAAGACTATTTAAGGCCACAAAGACAGAAATAAAAGTATGTTTTTAGTCTAAGCTTAGCTTATCTCTTGAGCATGTGTGAATCTCAAAATAAAGGCAGTGGTCTTCTTCATGATGTGGGAAAGTTCTGTTTTTGAGACTACTGAGTGCTCTTTTCTACCAGGATAGCCTCGACTGATTAGGGAATCTACCTCCTTAAACACCTGCATGATAAACGAACAGGAGACACTCATGTCTAGAGTGCTTTGGATATGTCGATTCATTTATTCTTCATAAAAACCTTGAGTGATTATAATTTTGTTTGCACCTAAAAAGTAAAAAGAGAAAGAGTCTGAGGCTCTGGTAGGTGAAGACTACATGCAAATCTCAGTACTTGTAAATGTTTAAGCAGGCATTGGAACTCGGATCTGGCTGCCTGCAGGGCTTGTGACGTTTTTACATTTCTCCTGCAACAGCCATAGGCCTTGCTTTGGGCTGGGGTAAAGACTCTTACAAGACATTTACACAAAGGGCCAGGAGATATTGGCACCTCATAATAAAGCTGATGATGCAGTAGATTTGTGAGCCTGAGGAAGCAAGGACTTTGGCCAACTGGACAGTGGCTGATGGACACCCCAGCCACACAGTTAGCACCCGGGCAGGGAGGATTCTGTTGTTTCCATGTGCACTACAGATTAAAGTGGAGGAGATGAGCACCTCCCTTCCCGAGCACAGGCCCCTGCTGGCCATTGAGGCTCAGAGAACAGCACTGCGTGGCCATGCGCTCTTGTGGGTGCCCAGCTTCTCTGATGGTTCCTTCGCAGCTCTTTCTGAAAGGATGCATATGCAGTTTGCTAAAATCGAATTCAAGGCCTTGGCCGCTGTATTAGTCCATTCTCATATTGCTATAAAGAAATAACTGAGACTGGGTAATTTACAAAGGAAAGAGATTTAGTTGGCTCACGGTTCCACAGGCTGTACAACAAGCATGATGTCAACATCTACTCAGCTTCTAAGGAGGCCTCAGGAAGCTTCCAATCATGAGAGAAGGCAAAGAGGGAGCAGAGATCTTGAGAAGAGGAGTGAGAGAGACTGAGGGAGAGGTGCCACACACTTCTAAATGACCAGATCTCAGGATAACTCACTATCAGGAGGACAGAACCAAGAGGGCTGATACTAAACCATTCATGAGAAATTCACCCCCACCATCCAATCACTTTGAACCAGGCCCCATGTCCAATACTGGAGATTACAATTTAATCTGAGATTTGGTGTGGACACAGATCCAAACCATATCAGTCACAAACTTTTGATTCTTTCTGTGGGAAAAGGGAGGTTGAAAGTGACCTGGGATTTGAGAACCTTTGAGCTGTTCCAGGATGGGTGGGCTTAGTTTGGGAGGGGTGGATGTGTGGGGAAGATGGTTTGGGGAGCACTCAAAGGTGATGTGATGGTTTGGGGCCTATTAGCTAAAAGGAGTGAGATTGTATACCCCGCTTCAGTTTTTCAAAATTAAATCTCAACATGCACATAGCTTATAGAGTCAAATAGTTCTACTAGATTTGTTTAAAATGCATGGTAGTTTTTTCTCTTCATGTTCCTTTCTTCAGAGGTCAATCCTTCTAATTCTCTCTCTTTTTTTTTTTTTTTTTTTTTTTTAGACAGAGTCTTACTCTGTTGCCCAGGCTGGAGTGCAGTGGCACCATCCTGGCTTGCTGCGAACTCCACCTGCCCGATTCAAGCGATTCTCCTGCTGCAGCCTCTCGAGTAGCTGGGATTACAGATGTGTACAACCACGCCAAGCTAATTTTTGTGTGTCTTTAGTAGAAATGGAGTTTCACCTGTTGTCTAGGCTGGTCTTGAACTCCCAAGCTCTGGTGATTCACTCGCCTCAGCCTCCCAAAATGTTGGAATTACAGGCATGAGTCACCACTTCTGGCCCTTCTAATTCTTTTAACTGATGATTTTGGTCTTTATCCCCTTATCTCGAAACACTGCACCTGCTTTGCTGCTTCATGATTTAATTTCCTCCCACTACGGAAAGCTAAGGTTCTGCCTGTTTCCTCCTTCCTCCTGCACTGCACACTGGCCTTCTTCCCAACACAGGCTGCCATATCCAGTGGGCACCACCTTACTGCCAGGGAAACACTGGTCACAATGTAGCCTCCTCATTGGCATGCATATTTTTCCTTTCCCACTCAACTCTTTGATTTTCCTGGAAAACCTGTCATTAAGTAGGAGCCCCACATGATAAATAATGCTCCTTTCTGTCCAGCACACACCCCCACTACTTGTTGTTTTCCATACAACTATGGTAGTCATCATTAGTCAGGTGATCTAAGAACAGCAAGAGCCAGAGCAGAGCTAGAGATTTAGAAAACCATGGCCCAGGTCCAGCCTATTTTCTCCAGGTGGAGATATTTGGAGAATGGGCAAAACAGGGCTACAGGACAGGAGACTTGAATGAGGGGTTTGCTTATACCATGAGGAAACTTAAGGGGGAAGCATTCAGATGACACCCCCTACTTGAGGGGTCTGCCCTTATTGAAAGTGAGGAAACATCTAAATTAGCTGGAATTTTCTTTTAATTTTTTTTTTCATTGTGGTAAGAACATATAACACAAGACTCACTCTCTTAACAGGTGTGTACATGAACAACACACTCTGATTATCTATAGGCACAATGTTGCACAGCAAGTCTTTAGAACTTGTTTATCTTGCACCGCTGGATTTTATACCTGTTGACATTATGCTTTCCCCTAAACCATAGCCTCCCTGGGATCGCCCTGTCCTTGGCTTAGGAATGGGTATACTTGCAGTTTAAAAAGCTGGTTTTCTTGAGTCTGAGATGGCTGCATAGTCAGTAGAGAGATGGTTCTGCTGAATCCTTTTTTAACAACCTGCTCTGCCAAGAAAGGGAGTGATGACATTCCCTAGAGGCCGCAAGCCATGACAGGCAGCCCACATCCATGGCCCCAGAGGGGTCTGGGAGTCCAGGAAAGTGAGATGCAATTCCTTTTTCCTCCTGTGATTATTTATTTTTCCACGCTTTTGTATTTTTTATTGATATATAATTCATATGCAGTAAAGTGGACATATTTAAAATGTAGAATTTAATAAATGTTGACATATGTGTACTGGTGTAACTGTCAGCACAATCAAGATGATGATGTGTAACTTGCAAGCAAAACTGGCATTGGAGACATGTATACTTTTATCTAAGGATGCACATAATATTCCATGTGCACATAATAGTTGGGGGAAAAATCCATTTAAAATTTTAAGTCAGTTTTTCGTGGAGGCTGCAGTACTGTCTGCCAGGCAGATGCAAAGACTTAAGGATTTGGTAACACATTTGATGATTAGCTTAAAAGTTGACCAATATGAAAGGCCTGTGCCAAGCCAATCGTGCATATTCTTCCCTTCCAGAAACCTTGCACAATTTGTGTCCTGTCAATTTTAAACAGAGCAACAAGAAAATAATAACACTTTTGACATCTGGTAATTGGGTGTTCACTCTTCCTCAGGTTAAAATTTGCCCAATTCTTTTCTTTTTTAATTTAACTTTTAAGTTCAGGGGCACATATGCAGGTTTGTAATACAGGTAAACTTGTGTCATGGGGGTTTGTTGTACAGATTATTTCATCACCCAGGTATTAAGCCTAGTATCCATTGGTTATTTTTCCTGATCCTTTCCCTTCTCCCACCTCCCACCATGTCTTTTGTTCCCCTCTGTGTGTCCATGTGTTCTCATCATTTAGCTCCCACTTATAAGTGAGAACATGTGGTGTTTGGTTTTCTGTTCCTGTGTTAGTTTGCTGAGAATAATGGCCTCCAGCTCCATCCATGTTCCTGCAAAGGAGATAATCTCATTCTTTTCATGGCTGCATAGCATTCCATGGTGTATATGTACCACATTTTCTTTATCCAGCCCATCATTGATGAATATTTAGGTTGATTCCATGTCTTTGCTGTTGTGAATAGTGCTGCAATGAACATACATGTTCACGTGTGTTTATAATAGAATGATTTATATTTATTTGGTTAAATACTTGGTAATGGGATTGCTGGGTCAAATGGTAGTTCTGTTTTTGGGTCTTTGAGGAATTGCCACACTGTCTTCCATAGTGGTTGTACTAATTTATACTCCCAGCAACAGCATATAAGGCTTTCATTCTAAACCTCATCTCAAGAAATCTTCCTGCAATTTCAGCAGAAGGAATACAGAAGCACAACTCTAAAAACCCAGAGCAACGACTCATGTGCCTACTTCATCTGTTGCTGGCCACTGGATTCACTCTGGGGAATTAAAGAAAACCGTGTTATAAGTTTTGCTACTTAAAAAAATTAAGCCCAACTCCTGAAGTGTAAAATTTTTTTATTTGTAAAATAAGGAGCTTGAATTACATGACCCCAATGGTCCCTCCAGTTTAGACATTTGGGGGTTTGAGGTTATACTGCTGGAGTGTGTGCCTTGGTCATGAGATGGAGCAGGGACACCTCTAAGGACCCTGCTGGGTTCCCCAAGCATGGAAATAAAGGAACAATCTTGATTCCCTTCAAGGGAAATTCTGGGCATCTAACTAGCCTTGGAAAGTAAATGAGCAGCTTGATAAGCAAGAAGATAGTAATAATAGTCACCCAAGCAAGCCAGAGTCACCAGGTATTTTGGTTCCCTATAAAAACTAAATAATAACATATTAATGTATGTGATTGACTTGTTTCTCAGAATCCCCAGCAGGTAGAAAATGTTGACCACTATCACATAGACCTCAGAGAAGGGGGAACGCAAGGCTGAACTCGGACTTCCAGTTTTTGTTCTACATTTCTTTTTGCCAGGTCTGGAGAGAGTTACACTCACATAGGGGCATAGCCTCCATGTATTGGTTTACAATTTTGCCTGAAATTTCTGTTTTCCTGAAATGTACTCTTGCCTTTAAAAACTCTTGCTTGTAATCCATTGAGGAATTTGAGTTATAAGTGAGGCTGCACATACTCCTGCTTGGCGGCATGCGATAAATGCCCCTTTCTCCTGCTGCAAATCTCAGTGTCAGTGTCTGGCTTTACTGTGCTGGATGAGTGGACCCCAATTCAGTTTGGTAACATTCACACAAAACATTCTCTACTACCTCTTCTAATCATAGTAACTGAACGTGACAGTGTATCATGCAGAAACGTCCATATCAGCACATTTAAAGAGGCCTCATTCAGCTGGGTGTGGTGGCTCACACCTGTAATCCCAGCACTTTGGGAGGCCGATGTGGGTGGATCATCTGAGGTCAGGAGTTCAAGACCAGTCCGGCCAACATGGTGAAACCCCGTGTCTACTAAAAATACAAAAATTAGCCAGGTGTGGTGGTGTGCACCTGTAATCCCAGTTACTTGGGAGACTGAGGCAGGAGAGTTGCATGAACCTGGCAGGTGGAGGTTGCAGTGAGCCGAGATTGTGCCGTTGCATTCCAGTCCAGGTGACAGTGTGAGACTCCGTCTCAAAAAAAAAAAACAAAAACAAAAACAAAAAAAAGAAGAAGCCTCATTCTCCTTAATTGCTGCAAGGCATTCCACTGTATTGAGGTATTGAGCACCTAATGTTTACAAGAACTCGTACCTGTTGGCTGGGGGAAGGAAAATGAGGAGCTGTTGTTTAATGGGTATGGCATTTCTGTTCGGGAAGATAAAAGTTGTTCTGGAGCTGAATGGTAGTGAGGGCTGTACAACAATGCGAATATACTTACTGCCACTGAATTGTATACTGAAAAATGGTTAAAATGGTAAATTTTATGTTTTATATATTTTACCACAATAAAAAAATTTTCTGCTCCCTCTTTGCCTCAGGAAAGAAATAGTTCCTGTCCTCAAGAACTTTACACTTTAGAAAGATGGGTACAAGTTAGGAAATAAACATGAAATCCTAAGTCCCCCCACTGACTGAACAGATTCACTCTTGGTCAAGAGGACCCCAGAGAAACCTCAAAAACTGAGTTCCTGGCCATGATGGGACGGGAGGTTGGACACACCTCATCATACCCCCTCACTTCCTCACTTACTGGCGTTAGGACTTCTTTCCTAAGAGTTAGACAGAAACTAGCCCTTTTGAAAGACTTGCTGCACTACTGATTTCAACCAACCACCTGACACTGCTTCTCCCCTTTGCAGTTTTGACACAACAACTGAACAGCATTCTTTGTTGATAAGAGACCACAAACCATGGAGTGGTCCTCGCCAGTCTACAGAGCCTGTGCACAGAAGACCTTCTGTTTCATCTTTTGATGTATAGGGCCTGATTATAATATATTTAAATGTTAACTCTCCACCCAAAAATGAACTTAGGATGCATGTTGCCTGCATGCTAGCCTACAGTAGCCTGCCCATGGTTCCCCTTCATGAATATTCATATCTCCTCCCATAACCTGTTGAATATGTATGTTTGGCCATCCTGTTCAGCAAAAATCCCTTTCATTCTTTCCACCTTCTAAGTTCCTGTTTCTGGCTTCTGGCAGGAGGCTGTGCTTCTCAGCATGTCACAATGGCCTGCAGGCTGCAATCCTTTGTGGGAAATAAAGCTCTCCTTTCCAAATGTATGAACCTTGTTATTCTACAGTTGATAAAATGGTATACAGTTATGAGGCAGGATGGGTGTTGAAATGTTCTTTAACCAAGGTATGGATAAAATGCCCTTAGAAAACAATTCTGGCGGGAGATCTGAGAAGACTCCCCATGGCAGGAAGACAGACACAAAGAAAGGAGGCTGGCCCATCACACACATGCTTAATACTGCCAAAGGCAATGCTGGGTGCTGTACTAGTTGTCAGGCACAAGCTCAGAAAGGACAGGTTAGGATGGTTCTCACCTTTGCTTCCAGGTAACAAATAATTCTTTAATACAGTCAGGTCATATATGAGGAATCCACTCCTTAAAATTGATTTCAGATAGTGGTTCTTGTGTCCAGATGTTAGAGGAGGTTTCTAGCCATCTCTAGTTGTATCACTGGCTCATTTTCATACCTCCCTTCCATTTGTAGCTAACACCATGTGAACATGATTCGTTTTTACATAGGAACAAACTCCATACTTGAAAGTGTTGATCTGGTGATAATGCTTTTGCATAAAGTGCACATGCTATATACTAAACACATGATACTGAAACATCTGGACAGAGGGAGAGTTCATGTTGATTTTTTGGTTTTCCAATAATTTTATAACATTTATGTAGGTATTCAAAGTCTTTGGATTGATTTGGGGTAGATAGAATTGACTTCAGAGTTGGAAGTTATGCACCACTGTCTGCCCGTCTGTTTAGTTATCATCTATCTCTCATCCCTCACCTTAGAATACTCTTCCCCTAGATATGCATGGCTAGAGCCTTCACCTTCTCCAAGTCTTGGCTCAAATGTTACTTCAGTGAGACCCACCCTACCTCCTATTTAAAATTGCAAGCTTCTCCCTAAACACCTTCTTGTGGATTCCTGCTGCACTTTCCCATCACCATAATCACCCTCCAATATACTCCATAATTTACCTTTCCTCTTACTGTTGTCTTCCCACACAAGAATACAAGCTCCTGTTCTGTATCATTCCAAAAGTTAAGCCAAGTTCTAAATTAGTGCCTATTACCTAGTGAATTCTTATTAAATATCATGAATTAATCTCTCAAGTTTTATTGATCTACCATCTTTTCTGTGCAGATGGTGTATTTTAATATTTTGGATCTACTACTGCCAGAAGAGGCAGTTGGCTGTGCTGGTTGATTTTTGCCAAGAGGGTAACTGTGCTGCAAATATTCTAACACAAAAGTGACCACTTCCAGTAAACATTCTCATCAGTGCACTGTTTATCAACATGCTGTATTACCTCTCAATCAAAAAGAAAGTCCTGCATCTACTTTCCTCTTCCAGCTACTACCTTATAGCTCCAATCTTCTTTAAAAGCAGAATTCTCAAAACCCTGCCCATTCCCACCATCTCCACTCTCTTGCCTCTATTCACTGATCAGAAGGTTTAATGTGGCTTTTCCCCACTGCCGTGGAACCGGCCTTCCCCGGGTCCATAGTTCAGCTCCCAGCCCTCGGCTCCCTGTCTGCAGCACCCTGTCTTCTTCTCTACCTGACCTCTCCATGGTGAAGCTCCTCAGAGCCGGAGTTTGATCTTCTCTGTTCTCTATTCTGTGGTAATCTTCATGAATTCAAATACCACCCTTATGTTAATGACTCTAAAATTGTATCTGTAGCTCTGAGCTCTCCACTGGAAGCCACACTAGCATACAGTACAAACAAGCTTTACACCTCCATTGGGTTTTTGCAGATAGCTCATTTCTAACTCTTCAACACAGAACCCTTGAGTTTCACCCCCAAATGCCCTTGTCTCATACTGAGATGAGGAATCTCAGCAAAGGGCACCACCATGCTCTCAGTTTTCAAGCCAAACACCTGGTGTTACTGCTTATCCCTAACAGGTGAATAAGGACCCTCAAGTGCATTTCCCATAGAAGATTGAATCAGCTGCCTCTTCTGGCTCTAGGGCCCCTAGCTGAGCCCGCATCAGGAGCACCTGTGCTAAGCTCCAGCCCGCTCATTAGTGGCCACATTCCACACTTGCTACTCTTCAATCCAAGCGCCACCAAGCTGCAAGAAAGCTTCTTTTCAAGTACAATTCAGGTGATATCCTGCTTGAAACACTCCGGAGCGCCGGAAGGCTGAGGCAGGAGAACGGCGTGAACCCGGGAGGCGGAGCTTGCAGTGAGTCAAGATCGCGCTACTGCACTCCAGCCTGGGCGACAGAGCGAGACCCCGTCTCAAAAACAAACAAATAAAACAAACAAGCAAAACAACCCACTCCTGAGTGCTTCTCAGCAAACATGGAATAAACTTCACTTTTCATTATGATCTCTGAGGCTCTCCCTCCCCAGAGCCTCTGTGCTACCTTCCTCCCAGATCATCATTCTCCAGATTCAATGTTGGCTCGTAGCTCCTTGACCATCATACGCTCTTTGCCAGCTCAGGGACCTCACACATGCTCCTCCGTCTGTGTGGATCTCTCTGCATCACCAGCTTCTTCGATAGCTTTCCATCTCAGTTTCAATGTCCTGTCTATCTTTGGAGTGCCCTTTTCCTGACCACCTCAGCACACCACTCACTGTGGAGACTTTCTACATCAGTCCTGCATTGTTTCTTTCTAACACATACCATAACTTGCAATTATTCCATTTGTTTACTGGTATTTTATTGTCGGTCTTCACCTCTGGAACACAAATGCATGTAAGCCTGGAAAGGCTGAGGCAGAGTCTCTGTTCCTTGCTGAATCCCCAGCCCCAAGAACAGTGCCTGATGTGGACAAGGCACTCACTAGATAGCTGTTAAATGGATAACGTTCCAAGAAACCTTCACTGTCAGAAAATGTAATCAGAGCTCTACATTGAGTTTCACATTTTATAAGTTGTCAGAAATACTTTCATTTAATTTAAATCTTTTAAGAGATGGCTGCAGCAGAAAAGCAGCAATTATAATAACACTTTCAACCCAGAAGGGACACCAAGCTTTTAGATAGTGAGAAACGAGAATAATTTAAAGTTGGAAAGGAAAAAATAAAAGTGTGCGTGTGTGTGTGTGTGTGTGTGCGCGCGGCGGGGATGGGGGCAGCAAAACAATCAGTGAGTTGAGTTCAGTTATTTGTGAAAGGATTTACAATAATTCTATTCGCAACTATCATGACCTCCTACCCTAGCCATGATTTCGGACGTTCCACAATGACATAGATCGTGTTTTGTGAAACTTATATGAACACAGAGGTTAAAGTATGTCATGTAAAAGAGATACATTTATATATCTCTGGTATTTTCCTATGACGGAATGCTTTTCAACCTTAAAAAGGGATGAAATTCTGATCCATTACAAAACAGATGGGCCCCGAGGCCATTATGCTAAGTGAAATAAACCAGTCATGAAAGGGCAAATATTATGAGATTCCACTTATATGAGGTGGCTAGAGTAGTCAAATTCTTAGAGACAGAAAGTAGGATGATGGCTGCCAGGGACTGAGGGGTGGAGAATAGGGAGTTAGTGTAGTTAGTGTTTAATGAGCACAGAGTTTCAGTTTTGCAAGAGGAAGAAGTTGAGGAAATGGATGGTAGTGATAATTGCACAACACTATGAATGTTCTTAATACTCAGTGGTACACTAAAAATAGTTGAGTCGGTAAATGTTATATTATGTGAGTTTCACTGCAGTGAAAGAAAGCACCCCCTTCCCACAAACTTCTTACTACATTCTTTACTTGGTACCCTCATTCTCTCTTATCTCTCTCATTAATTTTACATTTTCTTACTGCATTGTATACAGTCATTTGACTCCGCTTGAATCTTTTCTGGAACTAAATATAGAATGCATATCTTTTTAAAAAGTTGCACTGAACTGACGTCAGATGTGATGGAGTAGAAAGGACAAATGCCACCTTTATGGATGAAAATTAGCCACTGATTCCACAAAGAGAAGCTTTTACACTTGGGACTTATGTTGGTGACAAAGGATATTTTGCAAAAGTTCTCTCTCTTTTTAACCTTTAAGTTCAGGGGTACAAGTACAGGTTTGTTACATAGGTAAACTTGTGTCATGGGAGTTTGTTATACAGATTACATTTTATCAACCAGGTATTAAGCCTAGTACCCATTAGTTATTTTTCCTGATCTTCTCCCTCCGTCCACCCTCCACCATCCACCCTCCAGCCTCCACCTTTTGAAAGGCCCCAGTATGTGTTGTTCCCCTCTATGTGTCCATATGTTCTCGTCATTTAGTTCTTTCTACAAAATGATGAATATAGAGTCCTACCATGTGAACCAGAAACTGTTGAAGCTGATGACCTCAGAACCAGTTTGAGGGTTGCAGTCTTGGAAAGCCAATGATTACAACTGTCATCATTGTCAGCTGTCATCTGCTGTCAGCTCCTAAGGGGCGAGGGACCTCAATAAATGCTTGTAGACTGATAAATAGGACTTCCTCTTAATGGCATGCATGATGATTTTGTGATATAGGTGATTAGAGAAAAGATGGTAAGCAATTAATACAGTTGATGGCAACCGGAATTATGTTCCCCTCTTAAGCAACGGTGTGTGGGCAGGCTCTGGTACAAAGAGAGGAACTTTGAGAAAGAGGGTGCAGGCTGCTGTGCTGATGATGCTCAGGGAGCACACAGAGCAGCCCTCCATGGGATGCCCAGCCAGACATGCTCCTCGACAGGGTCCCCAGCCCTTCCTCTCTGCTCTTGGGACCACGCCCCATCCAGTAGCAGAAAGCTCAACTGTTGCTCCCAATGTCAACATGGCCCCCATGCATGTGCTGCAAATCCCTTAGAATTTGGCATCTTTATACCAGTGTGTGCTCCACAATGACACTGTTCTCTCTCTTCTGGCTTTGCATTACCAAAACAGCAACAACAACGATAAAAATCCTTTGTATAGTGTTGCTTGAACATATTTACGCATGAAGTCATCCTGTGCATTTCTCATTAGTTTGTAGCAATTAACACTGCATTGCTGACATCAAAATGCAATTATTAAGGAACAGTGTGAGAACCGAAGTTGTTTGGTTGTGCTAGTTAGCTGCTTGGGTGATCTATTAGAAGAAGCACATAACGTACATGTTGGGAAAAAAAAAAGGGCACACTGGAAATGGCCCAGGTAGAGGATTTTGCTCTTGGGTCCAGACGTTTCTGCTGAGCAGTCCCATCCCTCATGACCCAGCAGTGGGAGGGGCGTCCTATGATGGAGGTGACATCCCTGGAGAGGTCACAGCCTGGACTTTATGAAAGGCAAAATTGGGATTTTTCCTTGGTTGAAAATAAAGAAAGTGTTATTTTTTATTTTTTTAAAAATCTTACACTGTTTCTGTTGGAGAATTGATTAGAGACCAGTGGCTGTTGGCTCTCTGAACAGTTCTTTGAAAGACGTCACTGGGATTTCTAAGCAGCTCCTTTGATTGGCTTTTTCCCTCCATTTGGCCACGCCATACCTTTTGTGATCCACGTGGTCACAAAAGCTGCTGTTTTTGCTGCTAGCAGAGCATGGGAAGAACAGGCTGACAGCTCTATTTGTGCTTAGGCCTTAAGCCCAAAGTGAGGATGTTCAACTAAGATGTTTTAAAAAGTGTGACATCCTCTTTAAAAAAGGCTACTATACAGAGAAAATAATGGAAATCACAAGAGGCGTAACTCAGGGCTGGGGGCATTGTGCTGACTTAGATTGGAGAGTCATCAGGCATGCAGGCAAAGGTGACCTCTGAAAGGCAGGGAGGACTGTTAGGTTCTGAATGGAATAGAAGGAGGTCAGGGAGTTATAACAGCATGTGAAAAGGCCAGGACTGTGAAGGAAAGGGCTGGGGGCACTGGGGGCAGAGGTGCTGGGAAGTGTGGCTGAGGAGGAAGAGTCCTTGTTCTTAGTTTCTGAGCTCTTACTAGGGGCTTTTCTTAGATTAGCCCATATAATTTTCACAAAATTCCTAGAAAATCAAGTATGATTTTTATCCCCATTTTACAGATGGGATAACTGAGGCTCAAGAAGTTAAGCAAATTTCCCAGGTCACACAGCTGGCTAGTGGTGGAGCTGGGCTTTCTCTCCTGGATACTGCAGCGTAGGTGATTAACCACTAATCCCATGCAGGGATGGTGCAGAGCCTGAGGGAGCACGTGCAAAGCTTTCCATGTGCATTTGTTAGAGGCCACTCTGGCTGCTGAGTAAATAATGGATGAGAGGCCGGGCACAGTGGCTCATGCCTGTAATCCTAACACTTTGGGAGGCTGAGGCAGGTGGATCACCAGAGGTCAGGAGTTCAAGACCAGCCTGGCCAACATGGTGAAACCCCGTCTCTACTAAAAATACAAAAATTAGCCAGGCATGGTGGCTGGCGCCTGTAATCCCAGCTGCTCTGGAGGCTGAGGCAGGAGAATCACTTGAACCCAGGAGGCGGAGGTTGCAATGAGCCGAGACTGCGCCATTGCACTCCAGCCTGGGTGACAAGAGCGAAACTCCTTCTCAAAATAATAATAATAATAATAATAATAATAATAATAATAATAATAATAATAGATGAGAGAGGGGTAAGTGGGGACAGTTGGGGAGTTTTATAAGCCAAGCAGCAGATCACGGGGGGTGGGAACATGAGGGCTGTGACGGGGAGGAGGGAAGTGGGTGTGATCAGCATACACCTGGTGGTAGATGGTGCCCATAGGTGAAGGACAGTGACAGCAGAGATTAGAGGACAGAGGCTGTGGAGGGATGACAAGGTGCTCCGGTTTGAACTTGACGAGTCTGAGATGCCCGAGGGGTGTCCACGTGGAGATGCCACCCTCTCTGTAGGTATGCGACAGCCACAAAAAGTGTGGACCTAGGTACGCATTTGGGGAACATCAGGACAGATTTAGGAGTGGCTGAGACCACAGGAGAAAATGTAGAGTCAGAAGAGGACACGCGCAGGACTGACACCAGGCAGTGAGCAGAGCTGCCCGGCAAAGTACCTATGGCCAGAGAAAGAGTGGCTTAGGGACGTGACCAGGGACTAGCAGCACAGAGACTTTGCAGCAGCCTGACTCATGGTGAGAGGCAGCTGACCCTGGTCAGCACCGTGCGAGGTGACCTGATGGGCTCCACCAGAACCTGCACCCATTGGTCCATCTGTCTTTCTCTGACCCAGCACATTCTCAAAGGGCCTGACAGTGCCTTGCCGCGCTGGGCAACCCCTTCCAGCCAGTGGGCTTTGGCCTGTTTTCTCCTCACCATATGCACCAATATTACCCCGTTTTATGGTTGAGGAAATTGGGGCACTAAGAGTCAAATAACTTGCCCACTGTCCTGTGCTGGTGGCCAGCTGGGAGTTGGCCTCAGCTCTCACTGTTCCTACCCAGCACTCTCATGCATGTTAGAACAACACCCTGGACTCCATGCATGTGAACTGTCCTTGGAAAGTTCTAGAACTCCTCCAGTTTTCAGCAATTCTGTTTTCCCTTTTGGTCTGACTCTCTTGTGGGGAATCCTTTACTAATTGCCTGTCTACGTTTCTCCATCCGCCTCTGGGTTTACAGGAGCGCCATACACACACACACACACACACACACACACACACACACACACCCCACACACACATATATTTCCCCTACAAATTCACACACCCCCCCCACACATACACATATACCCACACACAAATCCACACACACACATACAGACACATGCACATACCCATGCACTCAGCCACATTCACAGATACAAACAACCCCCCCACACACATTCACACACATACACTCACACAGTCACATTCACACACATGTGCTCACAGTCACTTCACACATATACACTCACACACATTCAGACACAAATACATTCTCACACACATACACCCACACATTTATAGTCACACACACTCACACACTCACATTCACACACATTCTCACATATACACACTCACATTCACACACATACATCCACACACTCACATCACACACACTCATACACATTCACACACATACACACACACCCACACATTTACAGTCACACATATACTCACACACATTCATACACATTCTCACACATACACACTCACATTCACACACATACACCCACACACTCACATTCACACACTCATACACATTCACACCCACACACACATTTACAGTCACATACACACACTCACATTCACACACATACACACTCACATTCACACACATACACCCACACACTCACATTCACACACTCATACACATTCACACACCCACACACATTTACAGTCACACATACACTCACATGCACACACATTCTCACACATACACACATTCACACACATCCACCCACACACTCACATTCACACTCATACACATTCACACACATACACACACACCCACACATTTACAGTCACACATACACTCACACACTCAGATTCTCACACATACACACTCACATTCACACACATACACCCGCACACTCACATTCACACACACTCATGCACATTCATAAACATACACACACACCCACACATTTACAGTCACACATACACTCACACACTCACATGCGCACATACACTCAAATTCACACACATGCACTCACATTCACACACACACATCACATATACCTATGCTCACACACGCATTTACCCCCCCACACACCACCCATACACACGCAGATACTTTGCATGTGTAGTTTACATATTTTACATATACTTTTTATTAATTATGTTTAGTTACAAATTTCAGAACCCATTTTGTTAGGAGAAAATACACATTCTCCTATCGTCCTTGCTGTAAGTTTTGTCTTATACAGTAAATGGGTCTTGAGAGTTGAGGGAATTCTTCAAACACCCTAATTGATGTGCTGAAGCTCTGCTCTGGTTTGAGAATGTGCTCTGAATAAATTGACGAACTTTGCTTTCTTCACAAAGGACACTTGATTGGTGGCTGCCATCTAATTATTCTGAAAATATCATGGGGCTACAAACTTTAGAAGACGTTTCTCTGGCCAGATGACTAAGGTTTTACAACCCTGTCACATCATCCTGAATAGAAGGAAGAATTTTCTTTTATTTAAAGAACTATAGCCAATAACAATAAGTTGATTAATTTAATATAATCCATATTTAAATTGAGCTGGATGATAATTCTTAGTCTTGCAGTATAACAATGTAACTGAAGGGCGTAGATTACTGTTTAGAAGGGAACTTTATATTACATAGATAAAATAATTTACTGGTAATTTTAAACAGTCATATAAAGGAGATATGAAAAGTACTTTTTGTTTTTTTTTTTAAAGACCACACGTTCATGCAATGTGTATGCGTGTGTGCACATGTGTAAAATTCTGGTAGAATAAAATACATATATAAAAATTTCTTTAACAAAATGATAATTCCACCCTATGGAGATCTCTTGTACAGCATGGTGCCTATAGTTAATAATAATGTATCGTACTCTTGAAATTTACTCAGAGCAGATCTTAAGTATTCTCATCTCTAGTATTCTCATCTCTCTCTCTCTCTCACACACACGCACACATGCGCGCACACACACACACGGAAACTCTGTAAGGTGATAGGTTAATTAGCTTGATTGCAGTAATCATTTCACAATGTATGTCAAACCATCACATTGTAAACCTTAAATATATACAACTTTTGTCAATTATACCTCAATAAAGCTTGAGAAAATGATAATCATACCCCAGGTCACTTTTTTTTTCAACATTGCCATTTGCATATGGGATTAGTAAAATTACATAAATTAATTTGATTTGAGTCTTACTTTCACCAAATTAGCTTGATTTAGTGTGAAAACTGACCGATTTTACTGGTAGTTTGGAAGCTGGTAAAAATTACAGCTTTTAGTTTGAGTGTGTGAAAGAAACTTTTGTTTTTCAATATGCCAAATATATTTATTTATTTATTTATTTATTGTGTTAAATTTCTTTTTTTAAAATTATTATTATACTTTAAGTTTTAGGGTACATGTGCACAACGTGCAGCTTTGTTACATATGTATACATGTGCCATGTTGGTGTGCTGCACCCATCAACTCGTCATTTAGCATTAGGTATATCTCCCAATGCTATCCCTCCCCCCTCCTCCCACCCGACAACAGTCTCCGGTGTGTGATGTTCCCCTTCCTGTGTCCAAGTGTTCTCATTGTTCAATTCCCACCTATGAGTGAGAACATGCGGTGTTTGGTTTTTTGTCCTTGCGATAGTTTGCTGAGACTGATGGTTTCCAGCTTCATCCATGTCCCTACAAGGACATGAACTCATCATTTTTTATGGCTGCATAGTATTCCATGGTGTATATGTGCCACATTTTCTTAATCCAGTCTATCATTGTTGGACATATGAGTTGGTTCCAAGTCTTTGCTATTGTGAATAGTGCTGCAATAAACATACGTGTGCATGTGTCTTTATAGCAGCATGATTTACAATCCTTTGGGTATATACCCAGTAATGGGATGGCTGGGTCAAATAGTATTTCTAGTTCTAGATCCCTGAGGAATCACCACACCGACTTCCACAATGGTTGAACTAGTTTACAGTCCCACCAACAGTGTAAAAGTATTCCTATTTCTCCACATCCTCTCCAGCACCTGTTGTTTCCTGACTTTTTTTTTTTTTTTTTTTTTTTTTTTTTTGAGATGGAGTCTCGCTGTGTCTCCCAGGTTGGAGTGCAGTGGCGAGATCTCGGCTCACTGCAAGCTCCGCCTCCCAGGTTCATGCCATTCTCCTGCCTCAGCCTCCCAAGTAGCTGGGACTACAGACGCCCGCCAACACGCCCGGCTAATTTTTTGTATTTTTAGTAGAAACGGGGTTTCACCGTGTTAGCCAAGATGGTCTCGATCTCCTGACCTCGTGATCCGCCCGTCTCGGCCTCCCAAAATTCCTGACTTTTTAATGATCGCCATTCTAACTGGTGTGAGATGGTATCTCATTGTGGTTTTGATTTGCATTTCTCTGATGGCCAGTGATGATGAGCATTTTTTCATGTGTTTTTTAGCTGCATAAATGTCTTCTTTTGAGAAGTGTCTGTTCATATCCTTTGCCCACTTTTTGATGGGGTTGTTTGCTTTTTTCTTGAAATTTGTTTGAATTCGTTGCCGATTCTGGATATTAGCCCTTTGTCAGATGAGTAGGTTGCAGAAATTTTATCCCATTCTGTAGGTTGCCTGTTCGCTCTGATGGTGGTTTCTTTTGCTGTGCAGAAGCTCTTTAGTTTAATTAGATCCCATTTGTCAATTTTGGCTTTTGTTGCCGTTGCTTTTGGTATTTTAGACATGAAGTCCTCGTCCATGCCTATGTCCTGAATGGTATTGCCTAGGTTTTCTTCTAGGGTTTTTATGGTTTTAGGTCTAACATTTAAGTCTTTAATCCATCTTGAATTAATTTTTGTATAAGGTGTAAGGAAAGGATCCAGTTTCAGCTTTCTACATATGACTAGCCAGTTTTCCCAGCACCATTTATTAAATAGGGAATCCTTTCCCCATTGCTTGTTTTTGTCAGGTTTGTCAAAGATCAGATAGTTGTAGATATGTGGCATTATTCCTGAGGGTTCTGTTCTGTTCCATTGGTCTATATCTCTGTTTTGGTACCAGTACCATGCTGTTTTGGTTACTGTAGCCTTGTAGTATAGTTTGAAGTCAGGTAGCATGATGCCTCCAGCTTTGTTCTTTTGGCTTGGGATTGACGTGGCAATGCGGGCTCTTTTGTGGTTCCATATGAACTTTAAAGTAGTTTTTTCCAATTCTGTGAAGAAAGTCATTGGTAGCTTGATGGGGATGGCATTGAATCTATAAATTACCTTGGGCAGTATGGCCATTTTCACGATATTGGTTCTTCCTACCCATGAGCATGGAATGTTCTTCCATTTGTTTGTATCCTCTTTTATTTCATTGAGCAGTGGTTTGTAGTTCTCCTTTAATAAGTCCTTCACATCCCTTGTAAGTTGGATTCCTAGGTATTTTATTCTCTTTGAAGCAATTGTGAATGGGAGTTCATTCATGATTTGGCTCTCTGTCTGTTATTGGTGTATAAGAATGCTTGCGATTTTTGCACATCGATTTTGTATCCTGAAACTTTGTTGAAGTTGCTTATCAGCTTAAGGAGATTTTGGGCTGAGACGATGGGGTTTTCTAGATATACAATCATGTCATCTGCAAACAGGGACAATTTGACTTCCTCTTTTCCTAACTGAATGCCCTTTATTTCCTTCTCCTGCTTGATTTCCCTGGCCAGAACTTCCAACACTATGTTGAATAGGAGTGGTGAGAGAGGGCATCCTTGTCTTGTGCCAGTTTTCAAAGGGAATGCTTCCAGTTTTTGCCCATTCAGTATGATATTGGCTGTGGGTTTGTCATAGATAGCTCTTATTATTTTGAGATATGTCCCATCAATAACTAATTGATTGAGAGTTTTTAGCATGAAGTGTTGTTGAATTTTGTCAAAGGCCTTTTCTGCATCTATTGAGATAATCATGTGGTTTTTGTCTTTGGTTCTGTTTATATGCTGGATTACGTTTATTGATTTTTGCATGTTGAACCAGCCTTGCATCCCAGGGATGAAGTCCACTTGATCATGGTGGATAAGCTTTTTGATGTGCTGCTGGATTCGGTTTGCCAGTATTTTATTGAGGATTTTTGCATCAATGTTCATCAAGGATATTGGTCTAAAATTCTCTTTTTTGGTTGTGTCTCTGCCCGGCTTTGGTATCAGGATGATGCTGGCTTCATAAAATGAGTTAGGGAGGATTCCCTCTTTTTCTATTGATTGGAATAGTTTCAGAAGGAATGGTACCAGCTCCTCCTTGTACCTCTGGTAGAATTCGGCTGTGAATCCATCTGGTCCTGGACTTTTTTTGGTTGGTAAGCTATTAATTATTGCCTCAATTTCAGAGCCTGTTATTGGTCTATTCAGAGATTCAACTTCTTCCTGGTTTAGTCTTGGGAGGGTGTATGTGTTGAGGAATTTATCCATTTCTTCTAGATTTTCTAGTTTATTTGCATAGAGGTGTTTATAGTATTCTCTGATGGTAGTTTGTATTTCTGTGGGATTGGTGGTGATATCCCGTTTGTCATTTTTTATTGTGTCTATTTGATTCTTCTTTGTTTTCTTCTTTATTAGTCTTGCTAGCAGTCTATCAATTTTGTTGATCTTTTCAAAAAACCAGCTCCTGGATTCATTGATTTTTTGAAGGGTTTTTTATGTCTCTATTTCCTTCAGTTCTGCTCTGATTTTAGTTATTTCTTGCCTTCTGCTGGTTTTTGAATGTGTTTGCGCTTGCTTCTCTAGTTCTTTTAATTGTGATGTTAGGGTGTCAATTTTAGATCTTTCCTGCTTTCTCTTGTGAGCATTTAGTGCTATAAATTTGCCATTTGCCTCTACACACTGCTTTGAATGTGTCCCAGAGATTCTGGTATGTTGTGTCTTTGTTCTCGTTGGTTTCAAAGAACATCTTTATTTCTGCCTTCATTTCGTTATGTACCCAGTAGTCATTCAGGAGCAGTTTGTTCAGTTTCCATGTAGTTGAGCGGTTTTGAGTGAGTTTCTTAATCCTGAGTTCTAGTTTGATTGCACTGTGGTCTGAGAGACAGTTTGTTATAATTTCTGTTCTTTTACATTTGCTGAGGAGTGCTTTACTTCCAACTATGTGGTCAATTTTGGAATAGGTGTGGTGTGGTGCTGAAAAGAAGGTATATTCTGTTGATTTGAGGTGGAGAGTTCTGTAGAAGTCTATTAGGTCCTCTTGGTGCAGAGCTGAGTTCAATTCCTGGATATCCTTGGTAACTTTCTGTCTCGTTGATCGGTCTCATGTTGACAGTGGGGTGTTAAAGTCTCCCATTATTATTGTGTGGGAGTCTAAGTCTCTTTGTAGGTCTCTAAGGACTAGCTTTATGAATCTGGGTGCTCCTGTATTGGGTGCATATATATTTAGGATAGTTAGTTCTTCTTGTTGAATTGATCCCTTTACCATTATGTAATGGCCTTGTCTCTTTTGATCTTTGTTGGTTTAAAGTCTGTTTTATCTGAGACTAGGATTGCAACCCCTTCCTTTTTTTGTTTTCCGTTTGCTTGGTAGATCTTCCTCTGTCCCTTTATTTTGAGCCTATGTGTGTCTCTGCATGTAAGATGGGTTTCCTGAATACAGCACACAGATGGGTCTTGACTCTTTATCCAATTTGCTAGTCTGTGCCTTTTAATTGGAGCATTTAGCCCATTTACATTTAAGGTTAGTATTGTTATGTGTGAATTTGATCCTGTCATTATGATGTTAGCTGGTTATTTTGCTCGTTAATTGATGCAGCTTCTTCCTAGCCTTGATGGTCTTTACTATTTGGCATGTTTTTGCAGTGGCTTGTACCGATTTTTCCTTTCCATGTTTAGTGCTTCCTTCAGGAGCTCTTTTAGGGCAGGCCTGGTGGTGACAAAATCTCTCAGCATTTGCTTGTCTGTAAAGTATTTTATTTCTCCTTCACTTATGAAGCTTTGTTTGGCTGGATATGAAATTCTGGGTTGAAAACTCTTTTCTTTAAGAATGTTGAATATTGGCCCCCACTCTCTTCTGGCTTGTAGAGTTTCTGCTGAGACATCAGCTGTTAGTCTGATGGGCTTCCCTTTGTGGGTAACTTGACCTTTCTCTCTGGCTGCCCTTAACATTTTTTCCTTCATTTCAACTTTGGTGAATCTGACAATTATGTGTCTTGGAGTTGCTCTTCTCGAGGAGTATCTTTGTGGCGTTCTCTGTATTTCCTGAATTTGAATGTTGGCCTGCCTTGCTAGATTGGGGAAGTTCTCCTGGATAATATCCTGCAGAGTATTTTCCAACTTGGTTCCATTCTCCCCGTCACTTTCAGGTACACCAATTAGACATAGATTTGGTCTTTTCACAGAGTCCCATATTTCTTGGAGGCTTTGTTCATTTCTTTTTATTCTTTTTTCTCTAAACTTCTCTTCATGCTTCATTTCATTCATTTCATCTTCCATCGCTGATACCCTTTCTTCCAGTTGATTGCATCAGTTACTGAGGCTTGTGCATTCGTCACGTAGTTCTCGTGCAGTGGTTTTCAGCTCCATCAGGTCCTTTAAGGACTTCTCTGCATCGGTTATTCTAGTTATCCATTCATCTAATTTTTTTTCAAAGTTCTTAACTTCTTTGCCATTGGTTCGAACTTCCTCCTTTAGCTTGGAGTAATTTGATCTTCTGAAGCCTTCTTCTCTCAACTCATCAAAGTCATTCTCCATCCAGCTTTGTTCCGTTGCTGGTGAGGAGCTGCGTTCCTTTGGAGGAGGAGAGGTGCTCTGATTTTTAGAGTTTCTGGTTTTTCTGCTCTGTTTTTTCCCCATCTTTGTGGCTTTATCTACCTTTGGTCTTTGATGATGGTGACGTACAGATGGGTTTTTGGTATGGATGTCCTTTCTGTTTGTTAGTTTTCCTTCTAACAGTCAGGACCCTCAGCTGCAGGTCTGTTGGAATTTACTGGAGGTCCACTCCAGACCCTGTTTGCCTGAGTGTCAGCAGCGGTGGCTGCAGAACAGTGGATATTAGTGAACCACAAATGCTGCTGCTTGATCCTTCCTCTGGAAGTTTTGTGTCAGAGGAGTACCCAGCCATGTGAGGTGTCAGTCTACCCCTACTTGGGGGTGCCTCCCAGTTAGGCAACTTGGGGGTCAGGGGCCCACTTGAGGAGGCAGTCTGCCCATTCTCAGATCTCAAGCTGCGTGCTGGGAGAACCACTACTCTCTTCAAAGCTGTCAGACAGGGACATTTAAGTTTGCAGAGGTTATTTCTGTCTTTTGTTTGTCTGTGCCCTGCCCCCAGAGGTGGAGCCTACAGAGGCAGGCAGGCCTCCTTGAGCTGTGGTGGACTCCACCCAGTTCAAGCTTCCTGGCCACTCTGTTTAGCTACTGAAGCCTGGGCAATGGTGGGCGCCACTCCCCCAGCTTCGCTGCCACCTTGCAGTTTGACCTCAGACTGCTGTGCTAGCAATGAGTGAGGCTTTGTGGGCGTAGGACCCTCCGAGCCAGGTGCTGGATATAATCTCCTGGTGTGCCATTTGTGAAGCCCATTGGAAAAGCACAGTATTAGGGTGGGAGTGACCCTATTTTCCAGGTGCCATCTATCACCCCTTTCTTTGACTAGGAAAGGGAATTCCCTGACCCTTTGCACTTCCCAGGTAAGGCAATGCCTCGCCCTGCTTCGGCTCACGCACGGTGCGCTGTACCCACTGTCCTGTACCCACTGTCCGGCATTCCCCAGTGAGATGAACCCGGTACCTCAGTTGGAAATGCAGAAATCACCCATCTTCTGCATCACTCACACTGGGAGCTGTAGACTGGAGCTGTTCCTATTTGGACATCTTGGCTCCATCCCCACCAAATATATTTATTTTTAACTCAGGGAAAAAAACATTTTTCTTAAGCTTAAACATGATGTATACTGAAGCAGAATTTGATAACCTATTTGGATTCCCCCAGTGGTTTTAAATCTGAGATTGGTCTCCCCTCATTCTTAGTCAAAAGTGTCTATGATGTATAATATCTTTTTTTAATTGCATTTTCCTGGTTGCAAGAAGAAAAGGAGAAACCAGGAGGTGATCTGCACTCCTCACCAGCCTGCAGTCCCAATTAGGATAAGTGATTGCTCTGTGCCTGGTCCTGAGTTCCAGCTGGCATGACTGAAGGGAGTTGCTGACTCCATCTTGGGCTTAAGGCACATTGGAGTTTGTGCTTGATGGTTGAAAACATGCTTTTAACATCAAGTAACATTTTGATTTTCAAAAATAAAAATTGTCCTCTTTCCTAGCTGCTCAATTTGCTTTGCAAAGCTAGGGAAACATAAATAGGGAATCATGGCTTGAGCTTTTCAATGTTAGGAACATTTTAACATTATTTATGGCTTGTCTAGGAGACTTTCTTTTAAAAAGAAAGAGAAAAGAATGCGACTGATTAATGAACAAAAATAGCTTATGCTTCACAAAGGTGACTGTTCTAGAATGTTGTGTTTCTTTCTAAACCCATGCCTGGGGGATATGGTTCCAAGATAGTCATGAAAATGGAGAACTGGATTCTATATCCCTATATTTCTACAGTCTTCTAGATATTTCTAGAGCCTCTTGTTAAGCCTCCATAATATCCTCAATTCTGTTTCCTGATGCTTTTCGCTACACACATTGCCCAGGTCTGCTCCTCTGCATTGGAGCTCATTGGGTGACAGAGGAGATTCGAGAAACTGACGTTTTTGAATGCTGGTTGTGCCAAAATAAGGCCAAATGTGCTTTTTAGTGGAGTAGTAAAGCTCTACATCTTTTGAGCTGGGTGATTTTGGACAAGTTACTTAACCTCTCTGTACCTGGTTTCCACATTATTAAAATGAAAGGATAATGATAGCTTCTTCATATAGCTGTCATGGAATTTAAACAAGATAATACAAATGCTTAGAGCAATGCCTCTGCAAAGCAGAAGTTAGTGCGATGAGCTTTTTTCTTTTTGTTTCACTCTTATAGTGCCAAGAAAGATTTTCTGAAGTGGCAACAATTAGCGTGAGCCCTGACTCTAGGATCCTCGTTTACTGTCCATGGTGCAATGTACTGATACCCAAATCTTGTATGCAATCAAACACAAGGCAGACAGATGCCAGCGAGGTGCCAGGGGATGGGGAGCCAGCCTGCTCTGCAACCCTCCCACACCCTCATCTCTTCCAAGTCAACACTTGCTAAAGGCATCATCACAACGTCAAGGTTTTTGCACTCACTTATATGAGCCAGGGCTCTCCAAGCTGCCTATTTAAAAAGGAGACATACTGGGATATAAAAAGCTTCAGAACATAAAATGTTAACTGCAGGGAAATGCCAAATGCTTGTATTCATAAGAGAATCACATAGAAACAAAAATACGAAAGCTCAGCTTTTGACCATGTTTCCAGGTCTTGGGACCGCACACTGGTATTATTAGCCAACAACACATTTTTCTGCTAAAGTGATCAACCAACACACCTCTGGGACTAAAAGCATGTAGTCTACTGGGTTCTGCAATTCAAGTCATTTTATTAATTCAGATTATGAGTACTAATCAGCTTTTAAAAAAATGTTGTTTTTCAAAGCAGAGTTTTAAAAAGTGTTAAATCTGGGCTATTATGAGGATGGTGATGAAGCACTCCTTAAAAATCTTTACTTATGCAAAACTATTGACAAAATTATAAAAGAAAAATTAAACAGAGGATGAGGCTTATGGGGCAGGGGACATAGGGCAACCAAGCAGGCTGCAGATGGGCACGATACCAGCAAGCAAAGAAGAGCCAGCTCACACACTTAAGGTACTTGGAGCCAGAAAATTGCTGCTGCACCCAGGGCCAGGACCTGGGACCCAGCTTGCTCTCCAGTTGGCATCCCTTGGTTTCAGATCTGTGATCTTAAAGCAGTAGCAAAGATTACCATAATTGCTGCTTATCCACTGAGATGAGTTTTCTTGTAACAAATGAGATATTATTTAAATTTATTTTAGCTGTTTTGTGGAAATTGCTTTGTAACTCCATGGTGTCATTATTGGTTCATATAGCAACACAATTGCTGTGTGTATTCTCTGTAAAGAAACTGTGAAGGAAATGGGTACGTGTGTCATGGGCTGTTAATAATAAATGAGGCAAAAGCAATTTACTTTGCACATATGCACATAATCATTTATATGCCCTTGCAGCAGGTGTGTGTGTGTGTGTGTGTCCTCTTGTAATTGTGCTTTTATACCAGAGATTTCTGCATGTGGCTCCTTTCAAACCTGATCCCCAGTACCTGTTTCAGCATAATGATGCAGTGGTTTTGCACAAAACATTTCTTTTCCTACAGGCCTCAGTTTTCTTATTTGTAAATTCAGAACTAGTTAGATCCTGAGGCCCTTTTGCACCCCTAAGCCTGTGTCGTGCAGGCTGTCCTGACTGCCCACTCAGCTGTGTGAATGCCGGGACTCTTTTCCACAGTCACCACAGGAAAGCTGCAGATTTGGAGCCTGCCTATAGTCACAAGGATTTCTTTATCCAGATCATAGCTTTAACACATTTTCTCTTAGCCATAGCTTCCTATCCCAGGTGGAAATTTCTGTACAAAATTTAAGAAATGCTTCCATAATTGAGGTTTTTTAGTAGAAGTGAAGGTGACTAGAGTCTAGATAATGGAACACAATGATTCAAAGCCATAAATGGCAGTTTTCAAGGCAGGACTTTACACCTTGCTCTTGGCTTCAGGTTTCTCACCTGGAAAAGGTGCAGACATGGCCTCCTAACATTAGACAGGCACCTGAACACTTTTACTCTGAAGGAAGATACAGTTTGGGGACCGGGACCACACATGCTTCTGTGACACATCAACAGAATTTCTGGCTTCAAGAACTCCTAGCTACAGACTGAAAAAGAGGCCTAAGCCCCAGCCTTCTGGTGTAACCGAGTCTGTTTTCCAACCAGCAGCTGTCCACCAACCTTCACATGTGAGTGCCAATGACCAGGCCCTCCTCCTGGAGCCTTTTAGGAGCTGTATGAAGAAACTGTGTTCACTCATTCCCCTCCTGATTTAGAGACCAACTGAAAAACACAGGGATTAGAGAACAAATCATTAGCTTAATTACTGAACAAAGCTGGCTTGGAAAATGTGGTGAAGATGGGCAGTCCCCATGGCCCTGGGGCTCAGGCCTGAATTAAGCAAGGTGTATGCATACACCAGGACACAACCTCCTGTGTTGCTTAGGGCAAGCAGACCTGAAGGTGTGGGATCAATGATTTCTTCCCAGAGCACTTGCCTGACACATAACTCCTGAGCCCAGCAGGAGAGGCTAGTAGAGTAGGCACGAGCTCTCCATGAGGAATCCTGAGTCCAGGAAAAAAGAATGAAGTGTCCTTGAGACCTCTCAGTGCCATACTGTTTCCTCAAGCCTACCTTATAGATTTCCTACATTCTGACCTGGCCGCTGCAGACCAGCCCTCCTGTGGTCCCGGAGAGGGGATTTGAGCCTCTGCATTAGTAGTTGCCTTGCTGTTTGTGTGAAGCATCAACTCAGATCCTCTGCATTTGGTGCACAAAGATTTCCAGAGAGATGTATCCTCCTCCTCTGTCTTATTTGTCATTCCGCCTTGACCACCATCTGCCTGGGATCCTCTGTGCACACCTCTTCTTTTGTGCATCTCTTTGCTTTGTGCATCGTGGCTCACCCTGGTGCTGTACATAGCACAAGATTGGTTTGCTTGAGCATTTTTTTTTTGAGACGGAGTCTCGCTCAGTTGCCCAGGCTGGAGTGCAGTGGCCCAATCTTGGCTCACTGAAACCTCTGCCCCCTGAGTTCAAGCAACTCTCCTGCCTCAGCCTCCCTGGTAGCTGGGGTTATAGGCACCCGCCACCACCATGCCTGGCTAATTTTTGTATTTTTTAGTAGAGTCAGGTGTTGCCCAGGGTGGTCTCGAACTCCTGACCTCAAGTGATCTGCCTGCCTTGGCCTCCCAAAGTGCTGGGATTATAGGTGTGAGCCACCATGCCTGGCTTGCTTGAGCAATTTTTAAAAAGGAATGGGTTAATTATCTTTAGATTTCATTTGATCTACTTACATTTTTGAGGTGAAAAGCATGTTTAGTCTTAGATCTGCCATTTTTATGGTATTTTTGTCTGAAAGCTTCCATTTTTGCATTTTGCTATTTGATCTCTGCTTGTTTTATGTATAGAGGATTGCCTATGTCTGATTTCTTTCAGAAAATTTGGAAGTCATCTATCTACTGAAAAAAAATCAAAATATTTTACAGCAACATATATTTCTTTGACTTATTTTGAGATAGCTGCCAGAGGGCCAGAAAACAGAAGTGGCTCTGCAAGGCTGTCTTTTGTGGGGGGAAATTTGCATCTCTAAATAAGCTGCATTAATACGGTTGGGCTTTCCCTTATCTGGATCTAGGAAAGACAAACTGAGTCTAACACCTTAAGTATCTGAAATAAACATTTACCTTCTATTCTCTCTGAGGGCTGCTATCTTGAGGCCTTATCGACATAACAAGACCACCTTTACCAGCTAAGCCTCCTTTTCTCCCCCTCCCACACCCTGTCATGCCACTAAAACCTGATTTACCACCATAACCTGCTTTTGGTTATGCTCTGAGCCTGCATTCTTTCTCCCGATTCAAGGTAGTATAAAAGCTTCTGAACCCCATTGACGGATTGGGTCTTCATTCTGAAGCCTCCTATGCAGACAACGTTAAATAAATTTGTATGCCTTTTCTCTATTAATCTATCGTTTTGAGTTAATTTTTCAGTGAAACTTCAGGGGTCTAAGAGCTCCACCCTGTTAAAGTGAAACAAGTATGGCTTGAGAAGGACTCTGGTACTTCTATATTTGAGTCCTTGTGGACGAACCATAACCTCACTTAATAAATAGAAAAGATTGAAAACCTAACTTACAAGTATGTCCTGTAACAATGGCAGAGTATTGACTAATCCCAGCAGCCATACTTCAACCACTCGTAGACTGCCGAGTGTTCAAACTGTGTTCGAATAAGACAAACACCAACCCGTAACCAATCCAGGTGTTTCTGTACGTCACTTTCCTTTTATTGTCTATAAATTTGTTCTGACCACGAGGCATTCCTGGAGTCTCTCTGAATCTGCTGTGATTCTGGAGGCTGCCCGATTCATGAATCTTTGTTTTTTTCTTGCTTAATTATACTTTGTTAAATTTAATTTGTCTGAAGTTTTCTTTTAACAGATCTGGCTTCAAAAGTGGGATTCGAAGTAAAACTTTGGCAACCCCCAGGAACACTAGGTGACCAGGCAAGGTACCTGTGGAGCCCATTGTGCTCACTACTCTCTTGATTGTAACTGGAGGACATGGGTGAGTTTTCTCTTGGATTCTGAGCTCCACTAACGTGTTTTGAGCTCTCTGAGTTTACTTGAGCAATATTTACATTGGACTGGGTTCAAGATAGAATTGGATTTGATAATTAACTGGATTGGATTCAGTTAGAGGCCTCGGACCTCGGTTAGGTACCTTATTTTTAAAATCGGTTCATCTCAGTCCAAGGAGTCTGGGACTCCACTTTCCGGGACTGTAGCTAATATCATGTATAAAAATTATGGGCCCAGAATGTGTGCATTTTTAGAAAAATGAGTTAATCTCACTAAAAAAAAGCTTAGAATTAAGATGGCCACAATGGGGAAGTTTTAATTTGGATAAAATTATTTGTTTGTGAGGCATGTTAGAAAAGGGGGATCAAAAACCCCAGAAACAGTGGGTCATATTCTTACATATTCATATTCATTGGTATGCAGAGGCCTCTAAAAGACTAAATGAATCAAAATTTGCCTCCTTAAAAGATTCTTTGCAAAAAAAACAAATGAAAAGCTTAAGCCACAGACTAAAGACATGACAAAACTACTCTGACTGAACTAACCCCAACTGTTCCTTCACTTTATCCGTCTCTACCTACATACTCTGAGTCCACTAACCGTCTAGTTAAATTACCTTTTTCACCCTGAAGATGATGGAAAAAAGGGAAGTTAGGCAGATGCCTTAAAAAGTGAGACCTTCTGATCAGCCAGGCCTGTCTGCTGTAACTACTTTCACTGCATGGTCTAAAACAGCTTAGAGCCATTGTGAAGGACTTCCCTGAGCCAAGGAAAATCCTCAAAAATTTACTAAGGAATTTAGAACCCTCCTAGGAGCTTACTATCTAGGACTTCCTGACGTTTACCTATTTATTCACATGATACTGGGGTTGGTGAAGCTTGGAAATGGATGGCAGCAGCAGAATGGGACGGACCTGAGGAGGATATTAAAGACCCCTCCAAAAACTCCTCAGGAGAAGGATCAAAAGCAGCTAGAAAAATTGCTGAAAACGTCTTAAATTCAATTTCTAAAATTTTTCCACAAAAAAATTGATTGCTCTATCATCCAATCTTGTAAACACAAAAAGGATGAACTAGTTTCATATTACAGAACTTGCTTAGAATCATCGTTTGTGAAACATTCTGGTCTCAAAGTACAGCAAGGAGTATTTCCTGTAGGGACTGAAATGGCATTAAGTGCTCTGTTTCTAAATGGACTTGGTCCTGGACTTAGCTGTTTAATTAAAAAACATAAGCTGGGATGAGAAGTTACAGATATGACTGAATTGGTGGCCTTGGCTGAACATTTTGAGAGGACTCTACAGCAAAAAAGAACTCAAAAGGCTAACATGCTTATAACCCTTCAATTATTATACAGCAGTTACAAAGGGACCAAAGGGACCTTCCCTTTCTCATTTTAAATCACAACCAAGAGGTCCTAAAACAAGAAATTCTTTACCCCAAGATGTCTGCCTTTATTGCAAACAGTCAGGACACTAGAAAAGGGATGTCCACTTTTCTATCAGTCCACCAATAAGCCTCCGTTTAGGCCAAACTGTTTAACCACAGAAGGAGCCCAAGACACCTTAGTCCTCCTGATAATAACAGGACAAGGCTCTGAGGGATTCTCCAGTAAATTGCTCCCTGTATTAGCTTTAAATGAACATGCAGAAACAGAAGTTAAAATAAATAGGGAGCCACGTACAGTCCTGGTGGATACCAGAGCTACTCTATCTACCATAAACCCTACTTTAATAGGCAAACAAATCCTGCAGAGTAAAAGGATCATTTCTGTGGTGGGGGTTTCAAATCAAGTTCAAGAGGTTCCCGTATCTGAACACATCCAATTATCTTAGAGGTTCTTTTCAGAAAAACACAGTTTTTTACTATGTGATACTGCTCCAGCAAACTTGTTAGGGTGATATTTACTTTCAAAGCTAAGAGGGCACATAAATTTTTTTCTCAGAGAGAGAAATAATCTTAGCACTTCTTGATTCCCCTGAACCAGAATTGTTATGCTGTCTACAGGCAGAAATTAATAAGACAAAAACTCAGGCCTGTAATACCCCTGATCTTTCCAAAATACCTAAATGTTTATGAGCCTCTTCCCCAACTAATATAGAAAGAATTAAAAGTGTGGAACCAATAAACGTCCAAATAGATTATTTTAATCCTTGGCCTAAATTATTCGAGTATCCACTAAAACCTGAAGCAATTCAAGGGCTCTCACCAATTGTAGAAAATTTAATTAAGCAAGGATTCAATCTCATGCACTAGCCCTTGTAGCACTCCAATCTTACCAGTTAAAAAACCAAATAAGTGAGGTTGGAGATTTGTTCAAGATGTACAGGCAATTAACAGAATTGTAATACCAAGATTTCCTGTAGTCTAAAATCCTAATACTTTATTCTCTAATGTACCCACTTATTACAAGTGGTTCAGAGTAATAGATCTCCGCTCAGGCTTCTTAGCATTCCAGTTCATAAAGAGAGTCAATACCTGTTTGCCTTTACTTGGAAAAATCAGAGGTATACCTGGACTGTAATGCCATAGGGGTTTATGGAAGCCTCTTCCTATTTTTCTCAGGCATTGCATCAGGACTGAATAACACAACAGTTTCCTCAAAATTCTACTCTCATTCAGTAAGTAGATGACTTATTGTTATGCTCTCCCACTGAGTGCTCTGAAATTGACTCAGTTTACCTTTTACAGCAACTCAAATATAAAAGTAACAAGGCTTCAACAGAAAAACTTAAGTTTTCAGAGGAAAAGTCTACTATTAGGGACATGACTTGACTGCTGAAGGAATTTTCCTCTTACCTGAGAGGATAAAAACTATCCAAAGTTTTTCTTGATCTGCAGCCAAAAGACAATTAAGAGGCTTTCTTGGACTTGCAGGATATTGCAGATCCTGGGTTCTGCAATATCACCGTTGTATGAACTCACTAAAAATGCTGTACCAGAGCCTTTACCTTGGGAAGATAGTCATGAGCAGGCTTTCAGCTAAATAAAGTTGGCCTTAGAACAGCCCCCAGCTTTAGGACTTCCAAATTACAATAAACCTTTCAGCTTGTTTGTTCATGAGCAAAAAAATCAGGCATTAGGAGTCCTTACTCAAGAACATGGTGATAAACATAGGCCCATTGCATACTATAGCCTGCAGTTAGACCCAGTCACTAAGGCATATCCTAATTGTTTAAAAGCAGTAGCAGCAGGGGCCAGGCTGGTAGAATCTTCATCAGATTTGGTTTTAGGAAATACACTGAATTTGCAAGTCCCCCAAGCTGTGTGGAAAGTCTACTAAATTCCAGTCAAACCCAGCAGTTTTCAGTAAGTAGACTAACATCTTATGAATTACTTCACCTGTCTCCTTCTAATCTAGATCTAAAATGCTGTAATCTACTTAACCCTGCTACTCTGTTACCTCTGTCTGATGATGGTAAAGACCACAGTTGTGTGAGTGTAGTGTCAGAAATAGTGGTCCCTCATGTTGATTTACAAGATACTCCACCAGATAATCCTAAATTGATACTTTTTGCTGATGGGCCCTGTGCTAAAACCTCAGAAGGAAAATATCAGGCAGAATATGCTGTTACCACCCAAAATTAGTAGAGAAGGGAACTCTCCCTCAACTTAAGTCAGCCCAACCTGTGGAAATTTTTGCCCTCACCTGAGCTTGTCATATAGCTAAGGACCAATCAGTAAATATTTATACAGATAGCAAACATGCTTTCAGAGTAGTACATTATTTTGGCATGATATGAAAACTACCAGGGTTTCTCACCTTTAGTGGAACCCCCATCAAAAATGGACTCCAAGTAGATGAACTCCTTCTGCTATTCTGTTACCATTACAGATTGCTGTTATTACAATTGAAGCTCATACTTGTAGAACTAAACCTAAATATCAGGGAAATGCTTTAGCAGATTTGTATGCTAAATCAGCTACTCACATTGTTAAGATATGCAGTCTGAATGAACTCCAGAAGGTTAATACAAGCCAACTTCTTTATGATGACTTATTTCAGAAACGGTGTAATGCCTTTGATTTGGAAAAAAAAATTGGTATCTAAAAAGATGTAAGTTTAATGTGAAGCACAGACTCACAGAGGGCCCAGGCAGCTGCCTGGTCCTCCCTGAGTCTTTGAAGCTTCCATTGTTGAAAGCTCTGTACTCCACAACTCATTGTGGAACAGATAAAATGGTCCAAATTATGAAAAAATACTGATTGGGTGATGGTTCCAAAATTGCTAAAATGGTTTATAACCAATGTTTTGCTTGTCAAACTCATAATCCTGGAAAAACAATCAAAACTTCAGGTGGTATATGTCTACCACCTGATGGATCAGTTGAACATTTACAGATGGACTTCATTCAGTTGTCACCTTCAAAGTGGTATCAGTATTGTCTTGCAATAGTTTGCATGTTTTCTAGTTGGATAGAAGCTTTCCCATGTAAGAAAGCTAATGCTGTGACAATAACTAAGAAATTATTAAAAAATGGTTTTCCTGGCTGGGCGTGGTGGTTCATGCCTGTAATCTCAGTACTTTGGGAGGCCCAGCCCGGCAGATCACCTGAGGTCAGGAGTTCAAGACCAGTCTGACCAACATGGTGAAATCCCGTCTCTACTAAAAATACAAAAAAAAAAAATTAGCTTAGCCTGGTGGCGGGCACCTGTAATCCCAGCTACTCAGGAGGCTGAGGCAGGAGAATAGCTTGAGCCCAGGAGGCAGAGGTTGCAGTGAGCCGAGATTGCATCATTGCACTCCAGCTGGGGCAACAAAGCGAGACTCTGTCTAAAAAAAAAGAAAATGCTTTTCCTTTATGGGAGATCCCTGGAAAAATTTCCAGTGATAGAGGAACTTATTTTAATGGGCAAGTTATAAAGCAGTTAAATAAGGTGTTACCAACACAGTGGCACTACCATTGTCCCTACCACCCGCAGTCTTCTGGAAAGGTTGAAAGAACAAATGACATATTAGAACCTATTGGCAAAGTTAACTGCATCAATTGGGTTGCCTTGGCCAAAGGTACTACCTTTGGCTTTAATGGCAATTAGATTCACTTTCATTGGAAAATATAAGTTGACCCCTTATGAAATAGTCACTGGAAGGCCTATGTCCCTAATAATAGCACCTCATGTTTCTCCTACTCTCTCATACTCTGATATGACTAAATACTGCAAGGCTTTAATGTATTATGCCAAAGTATACTTCCACCAGGTAAAGAAAGCTTTTCAAGATCCACCAACTGAGGATAATCAAACCTTCCATGATCTGGAACCTGGAGACTGAGTCTTCTGGAAATGACATCACAGGAAGACTACTCTCATTGGAAGGGACTATACCAAGTCCTTCTCATCACCTATACCACAGTGAAGCTTCAGGGCCTTGAATCTTGGGTCCATGTCTCACAACTCAAAAGGGCTCCTTTCAAACTCCTGGAACTGTACACCTGTTGGAGACTTTCAGGTAAAGCTGACCAGGGAAATCTCTCCCCAGAAGCAGACAGCATCCTAGCAGTGGACAGCTTTCCCAAGATCATGGATCAAGACTTTGCTACCACCATAAACCCTTACGTATTTTTCTGTTTTCCTCATGTTTTGTTGCCCTAATCCTTTCCTAGAGGAAAACCCATGGCTTTAGCTTGAGCTTATGCTGTAGAACAAAACCAGAGTAACTGTTGGGTTTGTGGGCTAATGCCAAAAAAATCAGGAAACTATTTCACTGATGCCTATCCCTCTTTGTGTTCCCAATGAGAGTCACCCTGAAACTCCAAGGAAAGAATGAAAAGCTTTTTTTTTTTTGGAGACAGAGTATTGCTCTGTCACCCAGGCTGGAATGCAACGGCACGATGTTGGCTCACTGCAACCTCTGCCTCCCAGGCTCAAGCAATTCTCGTACCTCAGCCTTACAAGTAGCTGTGACTATGGGCATGCACCACCATGCCCAGGTAATTTTCATATTTCTTGTAGACAGGGTTTTGCCATGTTGGCCAGGCTGGTCTCAAACTCCTGACCTCAATCAATCGGCCTGCCTCAGCCTCCCAAAGTGCTGGGATTATAGGCATGAGCCACCGCACCTGCCCTGAAAGCTATTCTTGATATTCTAAATATCACTGCTACTTGCTTTCCTACACCCACTAAAAACAACACTCTAACTTTTCCAGCTGAAAACTCAATCATTACCAAATATAAAAAGCCAATTCAAGTGATTCCTGCAAAAGGCATATTGTGCTTCCAGGCATCATGCACTCAAGATTTTGGAACTACCTGTGTTGGTACAAGTAATTGCTTGTATAATGTAACTGGATTAAATTCAGTATGGTCTTTTTTTACTAGATATGTTTATACACCCTTACAGCATGTTATGAAGAGGCCACAAAAAAGTAAATTTCTCACTGGACATTGTTCAGGAGCTATGCAGATTTATGGATGAACAAACCTGACTGACCACTGCTTAAATGCAACTAGTGGCCCTCTTCTCAACCCCTGAGGGTCTATATTCGGTCTGTGGAGAACATGTATATTCCATTCTGCCTCCTTGTTGGTTTGGATCTTATTATTTGGCTTGGATTGCTCCTGCCTTTTGAATAGCTTCCCCTGAAAATTCTCATGATAACTCTTACAATTGGAGGCCCAAATGATCAATAACTGAAATTAGCACTGGCCTTGAATGAGACAAAGATAAGCTAGTTTCCACTGAGGAAAGATTCTGGTGGGATTCCTGGGAGCTCACTCTTGGTGGTAGTGAGGTACCATTTGTATGGAATTTAAAGCTAACTCATAAATTGGGAAAATCATTGGATTCTGTAGCCAACCAGACCTCCCAGCGTTTCAGGCAGGTAGAAGCTACTCTCTAAAAGGTAGATGACAACACATATATTCAACAAAAACACTTAATGAAACATGATGCAGCTTTAGATCTTCTTTTTGCTCAAGCTGGAGACCTGTGTTTGGTGTTAAACAAAACTGAATGTTGTACTTACTTCTCCCCTTATTTTGTTACTATGGAAAGCCTAATTTAAAAGGTGGCTGATACTGCTGTTTCCTTAGACACTGCCACCAAATAGATTAAAGAAACCTCTCAAGAGAAAGGAACCCGTGATGTATTTACAGGACAACTAACGGTTGGTTTGCAGGCATCCTAAGTGGGGGTGACAAGCTTGGGCTTTCCAAGTGTCTCTAATCTTCATATTTCTCCTAGTAGGTTTCCAAGTCATACTAACTTGAATGAAATGAATACTTCTTTAAATCAGCCTATCTTATAGTGAACTATGGTCTTAATTGCTATCACACTCCAAATGAGGACTATGGCCAATTAGACCCTAATATTGTTGAACTGCCTATATTGTCTGAACTTGGTTACTTTGGTTCGGTTCATTTCATAAGAACTATTATTAAAGAGTATGCCTTGGCATTTTGATATTATCCTCTTGATAGTCATAATCATAGTCCCCCTGTACACTGTATCCTCTCAAGTCTTAAATGTTTTGTGGCCGGGTGCAGTGGCTCACGCCTGTAATCCTAGCACTTTGGGAAGCCAAGGCGGGCAGATCACCTGAGGTCAGGAGTTCCAGACCAGCCTGGCCAACATGGTGAAACCCCATCCCTACTAAAAATACAAAAATTAGCCAGACATGGTGGTGGGCACCTGTAATCCCAGCTACTCAGGGTGCTGAGGCAGGAGAATTGCTTGAACCCAGGAGGCGGAGGTTGCAGTGAGCCGAGATCACACCACTGCACTACAGCCTGGGTGACAGAGTGAGACTCCATCTCAAAAATAATAATAATAATAAAAGTTTTCTATGCAGGCTTCCATTGAAAGTTGAATGGTCTCACCCCAACTGGGTCAGCAAGTACATAAAGAATCATTCAGCTGGTACAAAATGTGACTTGTGAATTCCACATTGACACCAAAGAAGACCTGTGAAGCACCATACTAAAACTAAAGAAGACCTGTGAATTCTACACTGAGACCAAATAAGTCTTTATGATGGTGACAGAGAGTGGCATCGATGCCTAAAGTTTTGGCCAATCTCTCTAAATTGAGAGGGTGATCAAAAGGGAGGAATTGTTAAAGTGAACTAAATATGGCCTAAGAAGGACTCTGTACTTCTATATTTGAGTCCTTGTGGATGAACCATAATCTAATTGGATTGGTAGACAAGATTAAAAACCTAACTTAGGAGAATGCATCTGTAACAGTTGCTGAATCTTGGCCAATCCCAGCGGACATACTTCAACCAATTATACACTGTTGATTGTTCAGACTGTGTTCAAATAAGGCAAACGCCAACCTGTAACCAAGTCAGCTGTTTCTGTACCTCACTTCTAATTTCTGTATGTCACTTTCCCTTTTTATCTATAAATTTGCTCTAACCACGGGGCATCCCTGGAATCTCTCTGAATCTGTTGTGATTCTGGAGGCTTCCTGATTCATGAACCGTTTTTTTTTTCTTGCTCAATTAAACTCTGTTAAATTTAATTTGCCTAAAGTTTTCTTTTAACAGATCCTACACTACCTTTAGTCCTTCTCTTGGTTAATTGATTATCTTTAAAAAATTGATTAAGCCTCTGTTTGAACTTAAAATCAAGATAGGTCTGACAATGTCTCCTGACTCCATTCAAGATAAGGAAATATTCCAAGGACTCTCGTCTTTTCTCCCCATTACACCTGCAATTTAGTTAATTACATGATTGTCTTAGTTTATTCAGTGTTATAAAGGACTACATGAGACTGGGTAATTTATAAAGTAAAGATGTTTTATTTGTCTTATGCTTCTGCAGGCTGTACAAGAAGCATGGTGCCAGCATCTGCTTGGCTTCTGGTGACAGCCACAGGCTATTTCTGTACTCACGGTGGAAGGTAAAGGGAGCCAGCCAGCATGCAGCTCACATGGGGAGAGAGGAAGCAAGAGAGAAAGAAGGGAGGTGTCAGGCTCTTTTGGACCACTAGCTCTCACTGGAATGAGTGGAGTAAGAACTTGCTGGCCCACAGGGAGGGCATTAATCTATTCATGAGTAATCTGTCCCCATGGCCCAAACCCCTCTCATTAGGCCCCACCTCCAAAATTGAGGATCAAATTTCAACATGAGGTTTTGAGGGGACAACATCCAAACTATAGCAATAATGCTTTCTTGTTGTTGTAATTTTATAACATTTACATGTCATTTTGCAACCATAGTTCCTGTACATTTTAGCTTGAGTTCTATTGCCTAGTGTTCTTACAGATTTCCTGTTGGCCTCTTGGTTTTCCGAAGTTCTTTTTTGTTCCCATCCCCCACTCAAGAAGGATTTGTGTTAGCTAGTATTTGGCTTTCTCTTTGTGTAAAACTTCGGTTAGTGTCATTTTATTTTTGTGAATTAAAGATAGGTAGTCTAGGGTAATATTCTAGATCTAACTGTTATTTTCCTGAAACTTCTGTATACAGTGTTCTCATTTCCTTTCTTGAATTTTGCTGTGGAGAAATCTGCAGCTGGTCTGCAAGCTTGAGTTCCTTCATCCCAGGTAGTTTTGACTTTGCAGGAGGGAGAAAGGTTATATATTATTCAGATAATTTGATTGTTTATTTACATTTAAAAGGCTATTACTATTAACAGTTGATGTTCCAGGTTAATTATTCTGTGTCTACCTTTGCTGTGACATGTTGTACCCTTTAAATATGTAGATTTAGATTGTTTCAGGCAACTTAAAATTATGTCTTTAATACTCGTTATTTTCTGTTCAGCTTTTCTAGGGATATTTATTATTCCTATGTTAGTATTCTATTGTCTGTCTTCCAGATATATACTTTTTCTTTTTCTCTATTTATTGGTGGACATGCATTCAGTGGCAAGAAAAAAAAAACCAACAGAAAATGACTAAATATGATAAAACACATAGCTGCCCGAAAGATTTATATAAATTATTTTTGCAAATTGCATTCATGATTGTGTCCTTTCTCCTCTTCATTCTTTCTTCCTGTAGTAGCAGGGCCAATGGCTGCCGGAACTCCTTCTCTTTTTTTTTTTTTTTGAGACGGAATCTTGCTCTGTCACCCAGGCTGGAGTGCAGTGGCGCAATCTCGGCTCACTGCAAGCTCCGCCTCCCAGGTTCACGCCATTCTCCTGCCTCAGCCTCCAGAGCAGCTGGGACTACAGGCGCCCGCCAACACGGCAGGCTAATTTTCTGTATTTTTAAATAGAGACGGGGTTTCACTGTGTTAGCCAGGATGGTCTCGATCTTCTGACCTCATGATCCACCTGCCTCGGCCTCCCAAAGTGCTGGGATCCGAACTCCTTCTTACCCTTTTAGTATAGCCCAGGGAAGATCTATCAGTGGCTGGAGAAATTAAATTTAGAAGGGGAAGTACCTTGCAAAAGTGAACCCTCTCTTCACTTTCCCATGTGTACCCCCCAGTACAGCCCAATGTATCCTTAAACTCATTGTAACTGTGGAGAAAACAGAAGGGAGACCCTCTATTTTTCTCCCAGGGCCTAAGTTGTAAAAGAGAATTTCAATAATATCACAAATTCAAAATATTAAGTCACACGTGGTTTTCAAATCATTCTTTCCCTAGGATGCTATATTGAAATTCTGAATGCATTATAATTTAGAAACAGCTTGATGAACACCATTTATTATAATGGTAGTACATTATGTACAACATGTTCACTATTAGGGTCATTACTCTGATACATATTAGTGAGTTGAACTGGTAGTCTCACCAACTTAGAAATGAACTTTGGTAGCACAGTTCAATCAAATGTTAGACAAGACCTGTGTATCTGGATGCTCAGAAAGAGCCTAAGCATTGGTTTCAGCAACTAATATAGGTGCTGGAGTCAAGCAACATAAAACTGGTAGTTTAGGTACACTTTCCCATCTTTGCAAGCATATTTATGGAGGTGAGCATTTAATTTTTACAGCTGTTTTAAAAACTGATGCCACTGAAAGGAGTGACATTAGCAAAATTGCAGGCTAGGAAGCTCCAAGCTATCATTCTTACATGGAATGTCAAAAAACAATGAGAAATGAGCTGAACTAACCTTATAAGAGCTCTGGAAAACAGCAAAAGTCCTGTAGTATCCAAGAAAACACCCAAACAAGAAAGAGCCTCATTCAAAATGATAGAAAACTTTGTGTCATTTTTATATACCCTTTTCCCATTTCCCCTTTTAGCACAGAGTGGTCTTGGTCTGGAGGAGGTAGGACCCAGTTCCCAATTCCATCACTCAAACCAGAGACAGCAGAGCAGACCTCACTTGCCATGTTCTAAACTGTCTGGGGGCTGTCGAAATAACTGGTCTCTGTACTGTTTAACTTCGATCTCAGATGAGGAAGGCAGCCAGAACTGCTTATGAAAGCTTCAGAAAGACTACAGGCACCAAATGCCTGGGGTGGGAGATAATAGTAGAGATATACAATAGACCATTTAAGATCTTATGAAGATATAAATATTTCTGGTAAGTTAAGTACCCGGGGAAAACATAAATATCAGTTTTATTATAATTTTGGTTTGAAACTCAACTGTTTATCTTCTTTAGAATTAAAAGAAGCTAGGATAAGACTTTTTGGGATATTAAGATTTTCAAAAGCCATAAATACTGGGGAACTGAGAAAGCAAGACATACGCCCGTGTACAAAGCATGTTCAGAAAAAGATATGAGAAGACCTTGAGCTTTCAATTCAGGCTAATCCTTAGGCTCAGAGCACAACCAGTGAAGTAGTCATGGACTGCCCTAGCAAAGAGTCAGTTTGTGAAGACTTGGAGAAGTGCCTGCTTTTTGTTTTTGTTTTTGTTTTACAAATGTTCAATTTTAAAAAAAAATCACAAGTCATATAAAGTAATAGAAAAATGTTGCCTACTCAATGCAAGAAAAGAAATTAACAGGAACTGTCCATGAAGAAGCATAGATGTTGACCTTACTAGAAAAGACTTTAAAACAACTGCTCTTGAATATGCTCAAAGAGCTGAAAAGAGTAAAAAGAACTAAGGGAAATCAGGAAAATGAAATGCAAACTAAATAGAATATTAGCAAAGAGATGTGAATTATAAAAAGAAACCAAACAGAAATTCTGAAGCTAAAAAATACAATTATTGAAGTAAAAATTTACTATAGTGGCTTAACAAAAGATTTGAGTAAGCATAAGAAAGAATCAGGGGCCCAGGCGTGGTGGCTCACGCCTGTAATCCCAGCACATTGGGAGGCTGAGGCAGGTGGATCACTTGAGGTCAGGAGTTCAAGACCAGCCTGGACAACATTGTGAAACCCCATCTCTACTAAAAATACAAAAAATTAGCCAGGCGCAGTGTTGGGCGCCTGTAATCCCAGCTACTCAGGAGGCTGAGGCGGGAGAATCGCTTGAACCTCAGAGGCAGAGGTTGCATTGAGCTGAGATTGCGCCACTTCACTCCAGCCTGGGCAACAGAGAGAGACTCCATCTTTAAAAAAAAAAAAAATTAAAAAGAGAGAAAGAATCAGTAACTGTGAAGACAGGAAAATTGAAATTATTGAATCTGAGAAGCAGAAAGAAACAAAAAATAGAAGAAAAGTAAACAGAGCCTAAGGGATTTGTGGCGTACCATCAAGCTAACCAATGTACACATTGGGTCAGTTTTAGAGGAGGAGAGAGAAAAAGGGCAGAGAGATTATTTCAAAAAAATATTAACTGGAAACTTTCTAAACTTAATGAAAGATGTGAATCTATAAATCAAAGAATCTCAATAAATTTCAAGTAGAATAAATTTAATGAGACCCACACTATGACTAATTATAATCAATCTGTCAAAAGCCACAGACAAAGAAAGAATCTTGAATATGGCAAGAGAAAAGTTAAATGTCATGTTCAAGTGACACTCAATAAGATTATTAATAAATTTCTCACCAGAAACCCTGTAGGCCAGAAAAAAATGGGAAGATACAATAAGTACTGAAAGAAAAACAACTGTCAACTGAGAATTATGTACTGAGAAAACTTGTCCTTCACAAATGATAGAATTATTAAGAAATTCCCAGATAAATCAATGGCAGAATTGATTATCACTGAATCTGTCCTGTCAGACACTCTAAAGGAAGTTCTCAAAGTTAAAGTGGAAGGACAGTAGACAGTAAAGCAAAATCTTTCAAAGATATAAAGATCCCTAGTAAGTTAAGTATCTAGGGAAACATAATAACCAGTTTTGTTGTAAATTTGGTTTGTAACTCAACTTTGTGTTTTCTTCAGAATTAAAAGACAAATGCATAAAAATAAGAATATATACCAGTGTGTTTACTGTGTATAAATATATAATTTATGGTAGCAACAGCATGGTGAAAAAGCACTGTAGAGGAATAGAGTTTTGTATGTGATTGAAGTTGTTACTATTAATAAGATTGTTATAAATTTAGGATATTATATTTAATCCCATGGCAACCAAAAGAAAATATCTATGGAATATACACTGGGAATTGCATAGACAGACAACTGGAAGCAGCTAATGTGCATCGATGTCATGAAGAGGAATGGAAGGGGCAAGTAAATACAGCACCTTCAACTGAAACATCCAGGGACTCTCATTAGGACTAATTGAGGAAACAACTCAACCCACAGGGAAGGGAGAAAAGCAAGGCAGGGCGATGGCCCACCCAGGAGTGACATGGAGCCAAGGGAAGCTCCCTTACCCAGAGAAGTGGTGAGTGAATATGCAACCCCAGGGTCTCACACTTGTTCCATAGATCTTTGCAACCCTTAGGTCAGGAGATCCCCTTGTGAACCTACTCCACCCGGACTATCAGTTTGATACACAGAGCTATGTGGAATCTCACAGAGCAGCTGCTCAGGCATGCACAGAGACCCAGGAACTTTAGATACTCTGGCATTTCAGGCATCTCAGCAAAAGTAGCTGCAACTCTGGAAAAGTGGAAAGTTAGACCCCCACAATACTCGTAAGAAAGAGGCTGAATCCAGGAGACTGAGCAATGATGGTCTGTTGGCCCCACTTCCACGGTGCCTCACAGGATAAAACCTACTGGCTTGGAATTTCAGCCAGCAACCGATAGCAGCATTTTGCCTCCCTGGGATGGAGCTCCTCGAGGGAGGGGTGGAAGGGGTGCCACTTCTGCTGTTTGGCCACTTGGCTATTACATCCTTCAGGCTTTGGAGAGTCCAAACTGACCAGGGGCAAAAGGGATCCTCCAGCACAGCACAGCTACTCCTCTAAGACATGGCCAGACTGCTTCTTTAGGTGGGTCCCCAGTGCTATTCCTCCTCACTGGGCAGGACCTCCCAGCTGGGGCCTCCAGCCACTCCCACCAGTGTTCTCTGGCCAACAGGGATTTGAAAACTCCCTGGGACAGAGCTTTCATAGGGAGGGGCAGGTCAACATCTTTACTGTTAGGGTGACTTAGCCTTTCTAGCCTTCAGGCTTTGGAGAGCCCAAACCAACCAGCGGTGGAAGTGATACCCTAGCACAGCACAGCTGCCCTGCGAAAACATGGCCAGACTGCTTTTGTAAGTGAGTTCCTGATCCCATTCTTCATCACCAGCCATCACTCAGTTCAATCAGCCCACGGTGCATGGTCTCTGCTGTGGGCCCAAGCCAGGGGGTCTCTGTGTGGTGATGAGCAGTGGGGGGTGTGTGGGACCCATAGGAGACAGACTGACCTCCTCTCCTTGGGCTGACTGCAGCTTGTTGGAGGTGTGGATAAGGCACTCAGGGTCTTTTCACTAGGTGGAGCCTTCCAGTCAGGGTCTCTGGCTACTCCCACCAGTGTTCTCCAGCTGACAGAGGATTCAGACCTCCCTGGGATGGAGCTCCCAGAGGGAGGGGGAGGATGCAATCTTTGCTGTTTGGGTGACTTAGCCATTCCAGCCTTTGGGCTTTGGAGTACTGGAAGCATTACCCCAGCCCAGCACAGCTACCCTGTAAAAACCTGGCCAGGCTGCTTTTATAAGCAAGTCGCTAATCCCATTCCTCATCACCAGCAGTCACTCAGTACAATCAGCCCAGGATTCAGGGTCTGTGCTGTGGGCCCAAGCCAGGAGTTCCCTGTCTGGTGATGAGCAGTGGGGTGTGTATGGGACCATGGGAAACAGAATAGTGTCCTCTCCTTGGGTCAACTGCACCTTGTTGGAAGTGTGAATAAGACACTTAGGGTCTTTTCCTGCACATTCCCTCTCCATACATAATATAATATATAATAGCAGCTTCCCCTGAGCCCATGACAGCTTCTCACATCACTTTTCTGGCATGTGTCTGCATGGGTGGGTTTTGCTTTACTTGCCCCATCAGCATGCAGGAGTGCACTGTGCCCCACAAACCCCACCAACCACCATTGCAGATGGAGCCTTGGTGGGCACAGAGCCAGCAAGACCTGCCTCTGCCAGCACCCAGCTCTTGTGCTCATGCTGTGCAGAGGACAAGGAATCCTCCCAGGCCCTGAGTAACTACTCCTGCTTGTGGGGCACAGAGAAGGCACCCAGACCTGCACTAGCCAGCACCCCACTGCAAATCAACACCACCTCCAGTGCAACAGCACAGTCTCCTCCAGCAGGGGCCCCCGTTCTCCCTGCAACCGCCTTGCCTCTGTCACTGTGGCGAATGACTGCATGGTGGCAAGCACTCCTGCATCTGCTAGCACTCGGCTGCAGCTGCCACACCTTGGTCTCCTCAGTGTAGTAGGTCCAAACCTCAAGGAGCAAGAGAACAAAGTTAGGGCCCAATACAAATTCCCCAGAGTTAGAGCATGCAGTCCAGAAGTTAGGAGCTGTATATTGTCTCCTTAAAATCTTCCAGAAATGAAGCCAGTTGGCTGAATCTACCTTATACCACAATCAAACCCTCAAGGTCATCAAATAGGATAAAAGAAAAAAAAATATTCAAAGGTCAACAGCCTCAAAGATTGAAGGTAGATAAGCACACAAAAATGAGAAAGAATAAGTGTAACAACACTGAAAACTCAAAAAGCCAGAGCACCTTCTTTCCTCTAAATGACTGCATCACCTCTCCAGCAAGGGTTTCAAACTGGGCTGAGGCCGAGATGGCTGAAATGACAGAAGTAGAATTCAGACTATGGATAGAAAAAAAGTTCACTGAACTACAAGAGTATATTATAACCTAATGCAAGGAAGCTAAAAATTATGATATAATATTGCAGGATCTGACAAACAAAACAGCCAGTATAAAGAAGAACATAACTGACCTGATAGAGCTGAAAAGCACACTATAAGATTTCATAATGCAATCACAAGTATTAATAGCAGAATAGACAAAGTGGAGAAAAGAGTCTCAAGCTTGAAGACTGCCTTTCTGAAATAAGACAGGCAGACAAGAATAGAAAAAAATGAAAAGGAATAAGTAAAACCTCCAAGAATTATGGGATTATGTAAAGAGAACAAATCTACAACTGATTGGTGTACCTGAAAGAGACAGGGAGAATAGAACTAACTTGTACAACATATTTCAGGTTATCAACCATGAAAATCTCCCCAACTTAGCTGGAGAGGCCAACATTCAAATTCAGGAAATGCAGAGAACCCCAGTAAGATACTTTACAATAAGACCATCCTCAAGACACATAATCCTCAGATTCTCCAAGGCTGAAATAAAAGAAAAAATGTTAAATGCAGCTAGTGAGAAAATCAGGTTACTTACAAAGGGAAGCCTATCAGACCTCTCAACCCTACAAGCCAGAAGAGACTAGGGGGGGTCAATATTCAACATTCTTAAAGAAATGAAATTCCAACCCAGAATTTCATACCCAGTCTAAGCTTCATAAATGAAGGAGAAGTAAGATCCTTTTCAGACAAGCAAATGCTAAAGGAATTTATTACCGCTAGACCTTCATTAAAAGAGCTTCCAAAAGAAGCACTAAATATGGAAAAGAAAGACCATTAACAGCCATCACAAAAACACATTGAAGTACACAGACCAGCGACACTATAAAGCAACCACATAAACAGGTCTGAGAAATAACCAACCAGCTAACATCATGACAGGATCAAATTCACACATATCAATACTGCCTTAAATATAAATGGGCTGTGCCTCAACTGAAAGGCACAGGGTGGCAAGCTGGTTAAAGAAACAAGACACATTTGTATGCTGTCTTCAAAAGACCCATCTCACATGCAATGACACATATAGGCTCAAAATAAAGGGATGGAGAGAAATCTACTAAACAAATGGAAAACAGAGAAAGCAAGGGTTGCATTCCTAGTTTCTGACACAACATACTTTAAACCAACAAAGATCAAAAAAGACAAAAAAGGGCATTACATAATGGTAAAGGGTTCAATTCAATAAGAAAATCTAACTACCCTAAATATATATGCATTCAGGAGCACCCAGATTCATAAAGCAAGTTCTCAGAAACCTTCAAAGAAACTTAGACTCCCACACAGTAATAGTTGGAGATTTTAACACCCCACTGACAATATTAGACAGATCACCAAGACAGAAAATTAACAAAGATATTTAGGACCTGAACTAAGCACTGGACCACATGGACCTAATAGATATATACAGAATTCTTCCTGCAAAAACAACAGAATATACATTCTTCTCATCACCACATGGCACATACTCTAAAACTGATCACATAATCAGAAGTGAAACACTTCTCAGTAAATGCAAAATAACAGAAATAATAACAAACAGTCTCTCAGTCCACAGCACAATTAAATTAGAAATCAAGACTAAGAAATTCACTCAAAAGCATAAAATTACATGGAAATTGAATAGCTTGCTCCTGAATGACTTTTTGGTAAATAATGAAATTAAGACAGAAATCAAGAAGTTATTTGCAACTAATGAGAACAAAGATACAATGTACCAGAATCTCTGGGACACAGCTAAGGCAGTGTTAGGAGGGAAATTTATAGCACTAAATGCCCACATTAAAAAATTAGAAAGGGCTGGGCACAGTGGCTCACGCCTGTAATTCCAGCACTTTGGGAGGCCAAGGCAGATGGATCACGAGGTCAGGAGATGGAGACCATTCTGGCTAACACAGTGAAACCCTGTCTCTACTAAAAATACAAAAAATTCACTGGGCTACTTGGGAGGCTGAGGCAGGAGAATGGTGTGAACCTGGGAGGCGGAGTTTGCGGTGAGCTGAGATCGTGCCACTGCACTCCAGCCTGGGTGACAGAGCGAGACTCCGTCTCAAAAAAAAAAATTAGAAAGATCTCAAGTTAACAACCTAACATCACAACTAAAAGAACTATAGAACCAAGAGCAAACAAGGCTTAAAGCTATCAGAAGACAAGAAATAATCAAAATCAGAGCTGAACTGAAGGAAATAGAGACATGAAAAACCATTACAAAAATCAACAATTCTAGGAGCCATTTTTTTTGAAAAAAGTTAATAAAAGAGATAGACCACTAGCTAGACTAATAGAGAAGAAAAGAGAGAAGATTCAAATAAACACAACCAGAAATGACAAGGGGGATATTACAAGTGACCCCACAGAAATACAACAACTATCAGACAATACTATAACCACCTTTATGTACATAAACTAGAAAATATAGAAGAAATGGATAAGTTCCTGGACAAATACACCCTCCCAAGACTGAACCAGGAAGGAATTGAATCACTGAACAGACCTATAATGAGCTTTGAGATTGAGGCAGTAATAAATAGCCTACCAACCAAAAAAAAGCACAGAACCAGATGATTCACAACTGAATTTTACCAGATGTACAAAGAAGAACTAGTACAATTCCTACTGAGACTATTCCACAATATTGAGGAGGAGGGACTTCCTACAACTCATTTTATGAGGCCGACAATATCCTCATACTAAAACCAGGCAGAGATACAGCAACAACAAAAAGAGAAAACTTCAGGCCAATACCTATGATGAACACTGATGCAAAAATTCTTAACAAAACACTGGCAAATCAAATTCAACAGCATATCAAAAAGCTTATCCACCACAATCGAATAGACTTTATCTCTGGGATGCAAGTTTGGTTCAACGTACACAAATCAATAAATGTAATTCATCACATAAACAGAACTAAAGACAAAACCCACATGATTATCTCAATAGATGCCAAAAAGTCGTTGATAAAATTCAACATCCAATCATGTTAAAAACTCTCAATAAACTAGGTACTGAAGAAACATACCTCAAAATAATAAGAGTCATCTATTACAAACCCACAGCCAGCATCATACAGAATAGGCAATAGCTGGAACAATTTCCCTTGAAAACTGGCATGAGACAAGGATGCCCTCTCTCACCACTCCTATTCAACATAGTGTTGGAAGTTCTGGCCAGGGCAATCAGGAAAGAGAAAGAAATAAAGGGAATCCAAACAAAAAGTTAAGAAGTCAAACTATCCCTGTTTGCAGATGTCATAATCCTGTATCTAGAAAATCCTATTGTTTCAGCCCAAAAAGCTTCTTAAGCTAATAGACAACTTCAGCAAAGTCTCAGGATACAAAATCAATGTGCAAAACTTTCTAGCATTCCTATACAGCAACAGTCAAGCCGAGAGCCAAATTAGGAATGAACTCACATTCACAATTGCCACCAAATATCTAGAAATATATTTCTAAAATATCTAGAAATATAGCTAACAAGGAAGGTGAAAGATCCCTACAATAAGAACTGCAACCCACTTCTCAAAGAAATCAGAGATGATACAAAAAAATTGGAAAACATTCCATGATCATGGATAGGAAGAATCAATATCATTAAAATGGCCATACTTCCCAAAACAATTTATGGATTCAATGCTATGCCTATTAAACTACCACTGACATTCTTCACAGAACTAGAAAAAAACTATTTTAAAATTCATATGGAACCAAAAGAAGGCCAAATAGCCAAGACAATACTAAGCAAAAAGAACAAAGCTGGAAGCATCACGTTACTTGATTTCAAACTATACTACAGGACTACAGTATCCAAAACAGCATGATACTGGTACAAAAACAAACACGTAGACCACTGGAACAGCATAGAAAACAAAGAAATCTGACCACAAAGCTATAACTATCTGATCTTTGACAAACCTGACCAAAACAAGCAATGGGGAAAGGATTCCCTGTTTAATAAATGATGCTGAGATAACTAGCCTGCCATATGTAGAAGATTAAAATTGGACCACTTCCTTATGCCTTATACATAAATTAACTCAAGATAGATTACAGACTTAAATGTAAAATCCAAAGCTATAGAAATCCTGTAAAACAACCACAGACAAAGATTTCATAATGAAGACGCCAAAAGCAATTTTAACAAAAGCAAAAATTGACAACTGGGATCTAATTAAACCAGAGAGCTTCTGCACAGAAAAAGAAACTATCAACAGAGAGTAAACAGGCAACCTACAGAATGAGAGAAAATTTTTGCAAACTATGCATCCAACAAATGTCTAATATCCAGCACCTATGAAGAACTTATACAAATTTACAAAAAATTAACCACCCCATTAAAAAGTAGGCAAAGGACATGAATAGACACTTCTCAAAAGAAGATGTAGATGTGGCCAATAAATATATGAAAGAAGCTCAACATCACTGAGCATTATAGAAATGGAAATCAAAACCACAGTGAGATAACATCTCAGTGAGTCAGGATGAGTCAGAATGGCTATTATTATAAAAACAAAAAATAACAGATGCTGGACAAGTTGTGAAGAGAAATAATGCTTATACACTGTCAGTGGGAATGTAAATAAGTTCAGCCATTGTGAAAGACAGTGTGGCAATTCTTCAAAGACCTAAAGACAGAAATACCATTCAACCTGGCAATCCCATTACTGGGTATATACCCAAGGGAATGTAATTTGTTCTATTACAAAGACATGTGCACATGTATGTTCATTGCGACACTGTTCACAATAGCAAAGACATGGACTCAACCAAATGCCCATCAGTGATTGACTGGATAAAGAAAATGTGGTACATATGCACCATGGAATGCTATGCAGCCATAAAAAGAATGAGATCATGTCCTTTGCAGGGACTTGGATGGATTTCAAAGCCATTATTTTTAGCAAACTAACACAGGAACGGAACACCAAATACCACATGTCCTCACTTATAAGTGAGAGCTAAATGATGAGAACACGTGGACACATAGAGAAGAACAATAGACACTGGGGCCTATCAGAGGGTGGAGAGTGGGAGGAGGGAAATGATCAGGAAAAATAACTAAAATAACTGAAGGGTACTAGGCTTAATACCTGGGTGATGAAATAATCTGTACAACAAACCACCAAGACACAAGTTTACCTGTGTCCCAAACCTGCATGTGTAGACCTGAACTTAAAATAAAAGTTAAAAAAAGCAAATACACAGAAAGAAAAAAAAGAAGTAAAATGTATCACTACAAAGATTAACTAAACACAAATCAAGGCAGTAATGAAGAGAATGACAGACAAAAGGACTGTAAGACATATTAAAATCAAATAACAAAATGGTAAAATTAAGTTCTTTCTTCTATTAAATATAAATAAATTACACTCCTCAATCAAAAGGTGTAAATTGGAAAAATAGATAAAAAAAAAAAAAGCAAAACCAGATTTCAACCATATGCTCTACATAAGAAATTTACCTTAGATTTAGGAACACATATAGGTTGAAAGGGAAAGGATAGAAAAAGATATTCCATGCAAATAGTTACCAAAGGAGAGCTGTGGTCCCTATATTTATAAGAGAAAAGAGACTTTAGGTATAAAACTGTCACAAGAGACAAGGAAGGACATCATTTATGGATAAAGTGTTAACACACCAAGAAGATATAACATTTAAAAATATATACGCTCCAAACACCAGAGCTACAAAACCTATAAAGCAAATATTGACAGAAATAAAGTAGAAATAGATTGTTTCGCAATAATGTTTAAAAGGGTCAATACCCTACTTTCAATAATAAATAGAACAACCAAGCAGAAGACCAATGAGAAAATCGATGACTTCAACAACAATACGAACCCTTGGGACCTAATGGACATATATAGGACATTGCCCTTAATAACAGTAGCATACATATTTGTCTCAAGAGCAAATATAAAATATGCCCTAGGATAGACCATGTGTTAGGTCACAAAACAAGCCTTATTAATTAAAAAATTGTAAATATACAAAGCATCTTTTCTGATAAAAATGGAATGAAACTGTAAAACAATAATAGAAGTAAAACTGAAAAATCCATGAATTTGTAAGAACTACACACTCTTAAATTGTATCAAAGAAATCAAAAGGTACATTAGAGGGGATTAGGGAAGAAAATGGTAGATAGAAGACAGGACTAATATGCAGCTTCCATTTGGACAGACAGACAGCATGTGGAGACTCACATTGTAAACTTTTGCTCCAAGAACCATCATGGGAACATACCAGGAAGGCTGTAAGAATTCACAGATCCTTTGAAAGAAGCAGGTTGCTGCTGCAAACTCTGTGAGATAGCCAAAAAACTTCGAATTCCCTAAGTGTGAGAGGGGGAAATGTCTGCCTCTGAACAATATCCACCCTGGGGAATCTGACAATCTACATTACAGGAGAATGATTTAACCTTACCTAGAGCTGAAACAGTTCAGGCATTCAGGACCAGCCTGGCCAACGTGGTGAAACCCTGTCTCTACTAAAAATACAAAATTAGCTGTGTGTGGTGGCGTGTGCCTGTAATCCCAGCTACTCGGGAGGCTGAGGCAGGATAGTCACTTGAACCCAGGATGCGGAGGTTGCAGTGAGCCAAGATCACACCATTGCACTCCAGCCTGGGCTTTAAAAAGAGCAAAATGCCATATAAAAACAAAAACAAAAACAAACAAAACAAAACAAAACAAAACTCATAGGAGAAAATATAGAAATAAATCCTTGTAATCTTGAATTAGGCAATGATCTCTTAGGTACAACACCAAAACAGGCAATAAAAATGTAGATAAATTGAATTTCATAAAAATGAAAACCTTTTGTTTCTCAAAGGCCAGTATCAACAGAGTAAAAAGACAACACACAGAATGAGAAAACATTTGCAAATCATGCATTTGATAAAGGATAAAAGATGATAACCAGATTATACAAAGAAATCCTACAACTCAATGACAAGAAAATTGTTTATAAATGGGCAAAGAACTTCAAGAGACACTTCTACAAGTAAGATATATAAATGGCCATTAAGCACATGAAAAGATGTTTGACATCACTAATAATTAGGGAAATACAAACCAAAACAGCAATGAGATATCACATTTGTTAGGATGGCTAATATAAAAAACAAAACAGAAAATAATAAGAGATGTCAATGATGTAGAGAACTGTTGGTAGGAATGTCAAACGGTGCAGCTACTGTGGAAAATAATATGGCAGTTCCTCAAAAAATCAAACAGAATTTCCATATAATCCAGCAATTCCACTTTCGAATATCTACCCAGAATTGAAAGCAGGGAATTAAAAAAGATACTCATACACCAATGTTCATAAAAGCATGCCTATGAACACAATAGCTAAATGTGGAAACAACCCAAATGTTCATTGACAGGTAACTGGGTAAGTGAATGGGTTGTATACATATGATGGAGTGTTACTCAGATGTAAATAATTTTTTTTTTTTTGAGATGGAGTGTCACTCTGTTACCCAGGCTGGAGTGCAGTGGTGCAATCTCAGCTTACTGCAACCTCCACCTCCCTGGTTCATGCAATTCCCCTGCCTCAGCCTCCCAAGTAGCTGGGATTACACGCTCACGCCACCATGCCTGGCTAATTTTTTTTGTATTTTTAGTAGAGATAGGATTTCACCATGTTGGCCAGACTGGTCTCAAATTCCTGACCTCAGGCAATCTGCCCGCCTCAGCCTCCCAAAGTGCTGGAATTACAGGCATGAGCCACCGCGTCCAGACAAATAATTCTTACTCATACTATAATACGGATAAACCTTAAAAATGCCTAGCTAATTTTTTATATTTTTTTGTAGAGGTGAGTCTCCTTATGTTGCCCAGGCTGGTCTTAAACTCCTGGACTCAAGAAATCGGCCTGCTTCTGCTTCACAAAGTGCTAGGATTACAGTAATTAGATTTTTTTTTAAGAAAATTCCTTAATGTTAAAAAATTATACAGTAGAGAGTGAACATCTAGAGTAACCAAATCCTTCTAACTAGTTTTAATTGTACCAGGATCTATCCAGCAAGGCATGAACTTGAGAATACATTTGTGCTCTCCCATCTCTGACCATCAAACCTTGGACAGTCTACTTCCTTAAGTATCAATTCTGCCTGACTTCTGTGTTCTGTCGCTGCCTCAGTTCAGCCCTTCATCTCTCCCTTCTGCGATTCCTGATGTCTCACCTGACTTGTCTCTCTGTCTCTAGTCTCTTCCCTTCCTAATCCACTTCAGAGTTCCAGCAAGCCCAGAAAACAATCAGTCCAAATTAGATCAAGTTGCCAGCAGCCTTCCGAAAAGAGATCTTTGAAAAAAATATATATTTCCATAGCAAGAACGAATAAAAAATGGATAAGCTATGTTAAAGAAATGTTTCCTTTCACAAAGAGAGAGATGGGAAGAAAGGGCCAACGTAATTAGAATATCTGGGTGGGGTGGAAGCAGGGGTGGAAGGACAGTATTAACAAGGTCATGGTGCAAAACAGAGACAAATTATACCAAATGCAAGAAGACATCAAATGGCACTCTCCTCAATTTCTAGTCTCCCTTTGCTTTGAGTCCAAATTCACCTTGAAGTCCCTTGGACTGTGGGAAGCATATGTTTTCTCTTCTGCTCCTCCCCACTGAGAGTTTTACAGGGCCAGGTCCCTAGCGGGACACAGCTGGCAGGAGTTCCAAGCAGCCTGTGGTTGGGCAGGCAAGTCTCTAAACTCAAGAGTTCAGTAGTATAACAGTAAGCTCACTTGTCTGAAGATATAAGACGTATTTGGTAATACCAGCCTTAAATGATGATAGTGCTATTTTGTTCTCTGCTTCACTTCTGTATAAGCTTTTAAAAGAATTGTAAAATACACATAAAATTCACTACTTTAACTATGTTTAAATGTACAGTTCAGTGGCATTAAGTACATTAATATTGTTGCACAGCTATTGCCACCATTAGTTTCTAGAACTCGTCATCTTGCAAAACTGATACTCTGTCTCCATCAACCTATAACTTTTTGCTCCCCCTTCGCCCAACCCCTGGCGACCACAATTCTATTTTCTGTCTTTATGAATTTGACTCTTCTAGACACTTCATGCAAGTGGAATCACACAGTATTTGTGTGTTGGCTTTTGTGATTGGCTTGTTTCACTTACCTTAATGTTCTCAAGGCTCATCCATGTTGTAGCATGTGGCAGAATTTCCTCTTTTTGGAAAGATTAGTAATAGTTCATTATATATCTATACTACATTTTGTTTATCCATTTGTCTGTCAATGGACATTTGAATTTTTTTCCACATTTTGGCTATTGTGAATAATGCTGCTATGGACATTGGTGTACAAATATATCAAATATATGCTCAACTTGCTGCTTTCAATTTTTTGAGTATATATCCAGAAGTGGAACTGCAAGATCATGTGACAAATCTACACTGAAGTTTTTCAGGAACCATCATACTGTTTTCCAGAGTGGCTGCATCATTTTGCATTTCCAGCAACAGTTCCCCACATCCTCACTAATAATTGCTATTTTCTGTTTACTTTCTTTTTCTTTTCCTTTTTTTTTTTTTTTTTTTGAGACAGAGTCTTGCTCTGTCACCCAGGCTGAAGTGCAGTGGTGCAATCTCGGCTCACTGCAACCTCCGCCTCCCAGGTTCAAGCTATTCTTCTGCCTCAGCCTCCCGACTAGCTAGGATTACAGGCGCCTGCCACCACGCCCAGTGAGTTTTTGTATTTTTAGTAGAGACGGGGTTTCACCATGTTGGCTAGCCTGGTCTTGAACTCCTGACCTCAAGTGATCTGCCTGCCTCGGCCTCCCAAAGTGCTGGGATTACAGGCATGAGCCACTGCGCCCGGCCCCTTTGTTTTTGTTTGTTTTTAAATTAGCCATCCTAATTTATTAATCCTAATTTATTAATGCTAATTTAAATATATAACAATTAATCATTTAAATTAATTTAAATGATTTTCATTTCATTTTGATTTGCTTTTCCTTAATGATGAGTGATGTTGAGCATCTTTTCATGTGCTTATTGGCCATTTATATATCTTCCTTGGAGAAATGTCTATTCAAGTTCTTGCACATTTCTCCATCATTTGTTGTTATTGTTCAGGTGTAGAAGTTCTTTAGATTTTGGATATTAATCCCTTATCAGATGTATGATTTGCAAATATTCTCTCCCATTCTGTGTGTTGCCTTTTTACTCTGTTGATTGTGTCCTGATGCATAGAGGTTTTAGTTCTAATGTAATCCATTTATCTATTTTTCATTTTGTTGCCTGTTCTGTTGATGTCATATATTTTGGTGTCATTGCTAAATTTAATGTCATAACACTTTTCCCTAATTTTTTCAAATGTTTCTTCTGTTACTTTCTCTCTTTCTTCTTCTGGTATTCTCATTATGCATAGAGTATTCTTTCTGTGTCGTCCTACTGTCCTTGGCTATACAGTTTTGTTTATTTCAGGCTTTGTTTCTTCACTTTTCAGTTTGGAAGCTTCTATCGTCATATCTTCAAGTTCTGGTATTCTGTCCTCAACTGTGTCCTGTCTACTAATGAGCTCATGAATAGTACCCTTTGTTTCTGCCACAGTTTTTTTTTTAAATCTAGTATTTTTTTTTTTTTAGTTATGCCTTAGGATTTTCATCTCTCTGCTTATATTGCCTATCTGTTTTTGCATGTTGTCTACTTTGCCCATTAGAGCCATTAGCATATTAATTATAGTTGTTTTAAATTCCCTGTCTAATAATTCCAACTGAGAAGAATTGGCTGTTATGTATTTGTTAAGTTTTTGCTTACTGATCAAATCTCCTCATTAGTCATAGGTATATACAGATTTCCTATTTCTTCATGTTTCTGTCTTATTAGGCTGTGTTTCTAGGAATTCATTAATTTATCTTGGTTATCTGATTTCTTGGCATACAGTTGTCTATAGTACATTTTTATAATCCTTTGTATTTCTATAATATTAATAGTAATGTCTTTTCTTTCATTTCTGAATTTAGTAATATGAGTCTTCTCATTTTTAAAATTTATCAATGTAGTTGAAGGTTTGTCAATTTTGTTTACCTTTTCAGAAAGTCAGCTCTTAGTTTTGTTAACTTTCTATTGTTTCTCTCTTCTCTATTTGGTTGATCTCTTCTCTAATTTTTATTACTCCCTTCATTCTGCTAGCTTTGGGTTTAGTGTGTTCTTCTTTTTCTAGTTCTTTAAGACATGATATAGGTTGGCTTTGTCCCCACCCAAATCTCATCTTGAATTGTAGCTACCATAATTCCCATCTGTTGTGGGAGGGACCTGGTGGAGGTAATTGAATCATGGGGCGGGTGCTGTTCTTATGATAGTGAATAAGTCTCATGAGATCTGATGGTTGTATAAAGGGGACTTCCCCTGCAAACGCTCTCTTGCTGCCACCAGGTAAGATGTGACTTTGCTCCTCATTTGCCTTCGGCCATGATTGTGAGGCCTCCTCAGCCATGTGGAACTGTGAGTCAGTTAAACCTCTTTTCTTTATAAATTACCCAGTTTTGGGCATGTCTTTATTAGCAGTGTGAGAACACACTAATACAAGGCATAAAGTTTAGGTTGTTAATTTGAGATCTTTCTTCACTTTTACTAGAAGCATTTACAGCTATAAATTTCTCTTAGCACTGTTTTTATTGCATCTCATAACTTTTGAGATGTTGTGATTTTATTTTCATTTATGTTAAGTATTTTATAATCTCTCGTGATTTTTTCTCTGATCCACTGGTCTTTATTTTGGGGATTTTCCAGTTTTCCTTCTGCCATTGATTTGTAGTTTCATTCCTTTGTGAATATAAAAGATATTTTTATGGATTTCAATCAACCTTTTAAAAAATTATTGAAACTCATTTTGTGACCTGATGTATAATCTAGTGAGAAATTTGCATGTATACTTTAAATTCTGCTCATGTTGGGTGGAGTGCTATGTATATGTTTGCTAGTTCCAATAGTTTTACAGTGTGTTCACTCTCTGCTTTTTTATTAATCTTTAATTTAGTTGTTCTATTTTTTATTTAAAATGGAATATTGAAGTCTCCTACTATTATTGTAGAGTTGTCTATTTTTCCGTTAATGTTAATATTTGCTTTTTATATTTTGGAGCTCTGATGTTTGGTGCATATATTTTTATAATTGTTATATTTTCTTAATAAATTGAATTTTATCATTGTATCATATATTTATCTCTTATAACAGTCTTTGACTTGAAGTCTATTTTTCTAATTTTAGTATAGCCACCTCTGCTCTCTTGGTTACTATTTTCATGGAACATCTTTTTTCATTATTTCACTTTCAACTTGTGCATGTCCTTAGGCCAGAAGTGAATATTTTGTAGATAGCATATAGTTGTGTCTTATTTTTCTACATATTCTGCCAATCTATGCTTTTTGATTGGAGAGTTTAAAGTAGTTATTGATAATATAAAACTTACTATTACCACTTTATTTTTTTCTATATGTATGATAGGTTTTTGGGGGGCCCTCATTTTCTTCCTACTGCCCTCCTTTGTTTTCAGTTGATTTTTTGTAGCAGCATATTTTGATTTTTTTTCTCATTTTCTTTTGTGCATATTTTACAGATATTTTCTTTGTGCTTACCAGGGGATTACATATAACATCCTAAAGTTATAAAAATCTATTTCAAACTTGTAACAACTTAATTTCAATTGTGTACGACAAAAGAAGTCCTCTAGTCATTTACAGCTCTGCCCTCACTTTATATTATTAAATGTACTGAATTACATCTTTATGTATTTTGTATCCATTATATACAGTACTCATTAATATAGATTTGTAATTATTTTATGCTTTTGTCTTTTAAATTATATAATAGTAAGGGGAGTCAAGAACTCCCTTACTTAAAAAAATTATTATTAAAATTATTTAAAAAATTAATTTTGTCTTTTAAATTAATAGTAAGGGGAGTCAAGAACCAAAATTACAATAATATTATTAATTTTTTTCCTTAGGTATTTAACTTTACCAAAGATTTCTAAATTTTTGTGTGGCTTCAAGTTACTGTCTCACATCCTTTGATTTCAACTTGAAGAATTTCCTTTAGGATTTCTTTTCAGGTAGGTCTAGTGATAATAGACTCATTCAATTTTTGTTTACCTTGGAATGTCTTAATTTCTCCCTCATTTTTGAAAGAGAGTTTTGGGAGATACAAAGTTTTTGTTGACAGTTGTTTTATGTTTAGGACTTTAAATACATCGTCCTATTGCCTCCTGGCCTGCCAAGTTTCTGCTGCAAACTCTGCTGATAATCTTATTGGGGATCCATTGTACATGACATGTTGCTTTTCTCTCACTACTTTCAACATTCTTTGTCTTCAACTTTCAACAGTTTAATTATAATGTGTATCAGTTAAGTCTCTTTGGATTTAGTCTACTTGGAGCTCATTGCCATTCTTGCATTTATATATCCATGTCTTTCTTCAAATTTGGGAAGTTAGGTCATTTTTTTTTTTTTTTTTGCTCCTTTTTTTCTTCTGAAGTTCCTTTAATGTATATATTGGTCTGCTTGATGGTGCTTCATTAATCCCTTAGGTTCTTTTCACTTTTCTTTATTTGTTTTTCTTTTTGCTCCTGAGACTTGATATCTTAAAATGATCTGTCTTCAAGTTTGCTGAATCTTTTCTCCACTTGTTAAAATCTGCTGTTGAAGCCTTCCAGTAAATTTTTTAATTCAGTAATTGTATTTTTTAGCTCCCGAATTTTGATTTGGTTCTGTTTAACAATCTCTTTACTGACATTCTAATTTCATTCATATATCATTTTTTTCTGATTTCCTTTAGTTCTTTGTCCATGCTTTCTTTGGCTCTTTGAGCATATATAGAACAGTCTTTGTCTAGTAAGTTTTTGTCTAGTAAGTTTGAAGCCAGTGTTTCTTTAGAATCTGTTTTTATAGATTTATTTTGTTCCTCTGAATGGACCATATTTTCCTGTTTCATTGTATCCTTTGTGAATTTTTGTTGAAAATTGGGCATTTGAATAAAAACAGCCACACTGCAGACTTTGCAGACTGCCTCTGTGCAGGATAGATCCTTATTAATCAGCTTGGCATGGCGATGTAAGGTGTTCTGTGGCTCTTCTGGGGATGCATCTTCCCTAGGACTGTGTATGTACCGTTTTCCCAGTACCCCTATATACATGACTATTTTTACATGTCCTGATTTTCCTAGGGGTTTCACCCCTTCTTCTTCCCTGGCCTTAGTTGTCATATTGTGGTCCTCTGCCTGTAATATCTTCCTTCCAGATATCTATGGGTCTGAAGTTCCCCTGTAGTTTTCAGGCATTCCAACACACATCGCTGCTTTCAATATCCCCTGACCTACTATCCAAACTTCCATTATTCTTGTGTGATTGCTGAGTCAGGAAAGACAGAAACCCCTTCCTTGGACGGTCCCCAGACAAGCTAGAACACTGCAAACAAGTTATATTCTTTTACTTCTTTCCCAAGAAAGATCCCAGGAATTGAGTGGCTTCCTTTGGCACTCTGCTAGGGAGGGAATGGGGCAAGGTGAGCACAAACACATTGCCATTTTCTACTATTTAGGGTTTGCTTTTTCTTTATTGGGCATTCACTTGGTTGCTACAGATCCTTGACTGGTTTCTAGAACTTTCACTAAGCTGTTCTCTCAGTCTGTTATTGCTTGATATTTCTACATGGAACAAGAAACTGGAGTTCCTAGTTTGCCATCTTGCTCAAGTATTTTGATTCCTGTATATTAGTGTGTATATTCTTTATTGCTTTAGAGTCTAGGTAGTGAGGGAGGTAGCAGTTATGTACATCCTCCCTCAATTTTTTTTTTCAACCTGACATGCTGAAGAAATGATGAGAGAGACTCATGGTGTCTAACTTCATATAGCTTATAGAATAAAGGGGAAGACAAAAATAAGCATATAAATGACGAATATACAAAAATAAAGATATCATAACCTAGACTATAAAGGAAGCAGAAACTAGGGACTGCATGATCGAAAGTGTCCTGGGCAGTCCAGGCTGCTATAACAGAATACTATAGACTGTGGATTAAACAACAGAAATTTAAACCTCACATTTCTGGAAGCATGAAACTCCAAGATCAATGTGCCACGAGATCTGGTGTCTGGTGAGGGCTCTCTTCTAGGTTTGCACATAGCCACCTTCCTGCTGTGTCCTCATGTGGTAGAGAGAGAGTGTGCTGGTGTCTCTCCTCATATGAGGCTCTCCCATCATTGTCTAATTCCCTTCCAAAGTCCCTATCTCTAAATACTATCATATTGGGCATTTAGGCTTCAAATATATGAATTCGGGGGAGGGTTACAAATATTTAGTTCATATCAGGAAGTATATTAGTTTGCTAGGGCATCTGTAACAAAGTACCAAAACTGGATGGTTTAAAAAAGATAGAGGTATTGTCTCACAGTTCTAGAAGGTTGAAGTCCAAAACCAAGGTTTCAGCCTTGTTCCTTTTAAAGCCTTGGGGAAAAATCCTTCCTCACTTCTCCCAGCTCCTGGTGTTTGCTGGCAATCTTTGGCATTCTTTGGCTTGTAGATGCATTGCTACAGCCTTTACCTCCATTGTCACATGATGGTTTTCTCTCTGTGTGTCTCTTTGTCTCTTCTTATAAGAACATCAGTCATGTGTTCTATAAGGTGCGTTCCCTGTAGTGGCACATCCTACTCCAGTATAACCTCTTCTTAACCTATTCTATCTGTAACAGCCCTGTTTCCAAATAGTGTCACATTTTGAGTTACTGGGGGTTAGTATTTTATATATCTTTTTTTGGAGGACACAATTCAATCCAAAGCAGAAGGTGATGCAACTTTAAACAAGGTGATCAAAGAATGCCTCTCTGTGGACAAGATTTTTAGGGGTATATTGGAGGCAAGGAATCCAGTGAAACAGCCAGGGCCATAACAGCACACAGAGCCAAGTAATGGTATGTGCAGCAGCCCCAGTAGGAGGAGGGGGCAGGATGAATTTTGAGAATTGAAAGAAAGCCAGGCTCGTTGGCACCTGTGAGTAGGGGAGATGACCTGAGATAAAACTGGAGATGTAGCAAGCAACTGGATCATGAGAGCTTTATAAGCCAGATGAAGGTTTGGACTTGATTCTCAAAGCTCTAGAATATCCTGCTCTGCTCATCCTGGCTGCTACGGGAACAGACTGGAGATCACATAGGTCGGGGAGACCACTTAGGAAACTGATACTTACCTGGTAATTCCTTCAATCTTTTTGATTTTTCAGAGGGGACAAATGAGTGAGAGAGACAGAAAATGTTTTTGCTACCTCTTATAAAAATGGAGAAGATCTAACAGTGAGAAGTGAGGGTGTGGAAGAGACAGACACTTAGAAAGAAGAGATCCTGAGCACAGGGGAGACATAGGCCTGCTGAAGAGGAGGCATAGCTATGTGACTGGACTGGAATTAGGATGCTTGAAACCCATATTCTATTGTGATGCCAGGGAGCAGGATATGACTATTGGTGGGACAGCTGGACTGTGGTGCAGGAAATGTCAATGAGGAAAAGGAGAACCATGACAATAGAGGCCAGACATGGGGCGAATCTTTCAGGCAGCCAGGTAGAGAGGAAGACCACCAGGCCAAAAGGATGGCAGATGCCGACAGGATGAAGGGAAGAGAATGACATCATCCAAAAAGATGCAAGATTTTGCAGCTGAGAGGGGAAGATATGGCCCAGAAAAGATCATGTATCCAGAGGAAGGAGAACTTCTGCTTGAGATGTGACCAGAAGCAGGGACCTGGAGAACAGTCCTTCCCCAAAGAAGTTTAAATTTCCAAGGAATTTGATGAATAGGACATAGGCATTCCAGAGGATATAGTGGAAGGTCTGGGGAGGAGGGAAGGAGAGGAGTGAGATGAGTTGGATCCAGGAATGCACAGAGCAATGTTAGTGCACAGAGTTACATTTTATACATATAATCATCTGTTCATGCTCACTAATATTTTGAGTAGGCCAAGAAAACTAGGTCAACCTCATATAAGGCAGGGATGAGAAACTCTCTGAGATTACAGAGAACAGATGTCAGCTTTAGCATCTGTGTAGCTTGGGTAAGCTGAAAAGATTAAGAACACGTAGAAAGCATGGTGCCTCATTCTTAGTGGGGCACACATGGTATCAAAGGAAGGAAGGAAGAAGAACGGTGAAACCTTGTTAAACTTAAGAGCACCTAGTACAGTTGGATGGTACAGCCTGAAGGGATGATTAAAAATAGAGAATCAGGATTGAAACCAGTGGAATAACACTAGCTTTATCTGCTGCAAAGAAGACCTACCTCTGAGATTCTTTATTTGCAACAAAATGACACCATCCTCTAAAAGTCACTCTTGGGCACTCCGGGGGATGCCATAGGGCACCACCTTATCCATCATGCAGGACTGAAGCTTTTATTGCACCAGTGGCAATACAATAGAAATACACATTTCAGTCCCACTCCGGACCTACTGATTCAGAAACTCTGAAGGTGCAGCTCAGCACTCTGCTTTTTAGCAAACAATCCAGGTGATTCTGATGCACAGAAGAGTTTGAAACTCATTGCACTAAAATTAGTTTATAAATATATCACACATCTATAATTTTGGAGTATCACTGCCGAAGGCTCTCAGGTAACTCCCTTCCTTGACATTATCTTCTACCAAAGACAGCCAACTTGCCCAAGATTACATTCCTAAGGAGTGAGGAGAGACAGCACACAGAAAATGACTGATCCAGAGTGGCTTTCTTGCCTCAATGTGGGCTATCTTTGAAGGGCCACCCCAACTTCAGAGCTCTTATGTTTGGACCAGTAAACTCATGGACAAGAATGAAAAGAAAATTTTATTTTATTCTTCCTTTTTGGGGGGAAGCCTTTATGTGCTTCCTTTCTCCACAATCTGCAGAGCGTTTTGCACTTCAGGGCTGTGACCTTAGTTTCCAGGATTTGGCCCCTCCAGAGATTAGGATGGAGTGACCCTGTTGAGGAGGGCATGGTGACTGGGGCTTGAAGTACAGAGAGACCTAGGCCAGTCCTGGAGGTGGACATCCTGGCTGGTGCCAAGACTGCTGGGAAATGGAGTGTCCTCTGGGCAGCAGAAGAATGTGCCCCACCCTTGCATGGTAGAACTTTAGAAGGGACAGCTGGGAAGAAACCAATGTTGTGATGTCAGGAAAATCTGCTGAGTCTTCACTACCAGAAACATCACAGCAGATGGGGTGCATTGTTCCCTTGAGCACATTCTACCAGCATGGTAACTTTTCAAGAATTTTACAGGAGATATGTTGATAGGGCATTTGCTAAACGTATAATTAAAAAAAATTGTAGTGCAATGAGTTTCAAACTCTGCTGTGCACCAGAATCACCTGGAATGTTTGCTAAAAAGCAGATAGCTGGGCTCCACCTTCAGAGTTTCTGAATCAACAGGTCCAGGGTGGAGCTGACATGTGTATTTATAACAACTTACCAGAATTGCTGATACTGCTGGTCCCCAGAACCACTGTCTTAGGGAGAACAGGATAAAAGTAAGACAAAGAAACCATGGAGAACATAGTCCAAAGGTGTGTATTTTCATTCACTGCATGCTTGCTTGCTCAGCACCTGATCAGTACATCTGCTGCCTTCTCCCTTAGTTTGTGTCCCCAGTGTCAGAATTTGGCTCTTCCTCTTTGTTGGCAGTGTCTGGCACTCTGTGGACTAAGGTCATAAATGGAGCTATGAGCCATCACACAGACCATGCTGGCCTGGTAGGGGAGCAGAGCTGATGTGTACCTTGAGGGATGTGCAGTTTGTATAACATTCAAGGTGACCAGCAGAGGGTGAGAGTGGCCTGGGGCTCAGCAGGTGCATCCCTCACCCAGCTGGGTATCCAGAGTGTCTGCACCTGTCCAGGAAGTTCTTTGCACAAAGGGTCTTCTGCCCCTCAAGCCACGCACTGTCTGAGCAGAGGGAAGGGTTGTGTCCACCAAGAGAGGGGACATCTTCTCATTTGCACAAGGGCCAAGTGTAAGCTTGCAGAGTCCTAAGCTGTGAGAGCAAAGCAGGAACTCGGCTGAAGAGGCTCTTTTTACAGCCACCTAAAGACTCTGGGGAAAGTGCATCCGTGAGACTGTGGAGAAGGATGGGGCTTCCCCAAAAGGAGTGACACTGGATTGATTTACTTTACAAAATGGAGGACCGTTATACTTCTTCCACCTGAGGATTGAATAGCCCACTACCATTTGCTGCTGGTGTCTGCATGACCTGAGTGGCATAGCTCATCTGGATTCCTGCTCTAAGCAGCATCAGCATTACCAGGGACCCCACCCCGGACCTACAGAATCAGAAAACCAGGCCATGGCCCAGCTGGAAGTGTTTTAACAAGCCCCCTCCTCCAAGGCGATTCTGATATATTGAAGCATTTGAGGTACTCTGGCTTGGAGCTTCTCCACTTCTAACAAACTTGGGAATCTCCTGGAGATTTTATTAAAGTCAGAATCTGAGATTGAAGTTCTGGAGTGGGGATTGAAAGTCTGTATTCTTAATAAGTTGCTTGGTAATGTGGATGCTGCAGATCCGCGAATTCACGTTGAGTAACAAAGGTTTATATTAGATTAATGGTTCTTGACCTTAACCTCTGTTTTACTCTTGGCTGTTATTAAAAAACAAACAAACATAGACTGGGTAGCCTATAAAAAACCAAAATTTATAGCTTACAGTTCTGGAGGCTGGAAAGTCCAAGATCAAGGCAGATTTGGTGTCTAATGAGAGTCTGCTTCCTGGTTCATAGACGATGCCTTAGCTCTCTGGGCCCTCTTTTATAAGGGCACTAATCCCATTCATGAGAGCTCTGTGCAGAGGTCCCACCTCTTCAAGTTGGTAACTAGAATGTCAGCATATGAATTTTTGGGGGACACGAACAGCAACTTCACATAAACACGTTGAAATATATGGATGTTTGCATCCCATCCACGGAGGTCCTGTGCCAGTTGTGGCATGAGCTGGACTGGAAATTGGACCTTGTTTTAAAATGTATTTATAGCTCCCCTGCTGATTCTAATGTGCAGGCAGATGTCAGGAGCCCCTAGCCTAGAAGCAAATGGGTCAGGCTCTTAGAAGGATGTAAGTTAAGGGGAAGTTAAAAGAGGAATTTGGGAGCAATCTGCTCCTTCTGGCTGATGAAAGTCTAGGGATTGTGGGGAGTGCCAAAGGGGCCAGAGACATCATATTAAGTGAGTTGCTCCTTGTTTAAATGAGGCCTTTGGGCCTCTGCTTCACATTCTCAGAACAAATAATGATGGCATGTGGCAAAAGGCAGGCTTCTTCTGCATTGTGGGATATTCAGCATAGAACTGGCTCTCTTTATCAGCTCCTGATTTGCTCTCCCTGCTTCCATACTAGCACTGGATTTTTGCTTATTTAATCTTTTTACCCTCCTTTGTTTAGTTCTTAAATTCCATTTTGTCATTTAACCTGATAACCTACATTTTGGTTGTCATGGAAAACAACATCCTGACTTATAAAACTGGAAGGTTGTTTCAGGACCCAGAAACTGCATCAGGCAGTGCTCAGAATCCACTGTCATCATATTTGGAGCCTCCTCTGGGATGGGTTTCTGAGTGGCCATATATTCCTTTGCAATGAAGAGGAGACTGTGGAGGACAGGGTGACCACTCTGCTTTTAGACATCATTAGTGTAGGGGCAGGTTTGTTGAAGTAGCCTTAAATGACTTTAGTAAAAAGAGTGTATTTTTATTTTTATATTCCAATGGCTGTAGGATCAAGGCCAGAATTAGGATGAACTGGGGAATAAAATAAGTTTTCTTGACTATAAGTTGTAAAATGCGTAGTTTTTAAGTATGATTTTTAAAAAGCATATTTCCTGTGAATAGCAGGGCAGAATTTTACTATGGAAATGAACTTCAAAGGTTAACATGTTTTAATTATTTAGAAAGTGAAGACGGGATTAAAACAGATAAATAGGATTCTACAACAAAAATCAAATGTAAAGAACTACAGAATATTAATTTTGCTCAAGTCTTTTAGCATATTTGGTATTACAAAAGAATGAGTAATATAACCAAGAGAAGAAATCTTCCTTCAGTCTGTAGTTTAAACTTAACATGGATCAATGTTATGCTCAAGCACTTTTAAAAATGCCTGCACAGAATTGTTAGCCATTAATATTTTTTCTTGCTGATTCACCTGTTTTTTAATCAACGCGTCTTTGACAAAATTGTTTATCAATGTCAGGAAATAAACGTGGTCATTTGCTTGAAATGCTAATGTGAAACCACTCAGTGAAAAAGCAATTCTAATCCAAGCTTGCCAATGGCGGTGTTGTCATAGGATCCTATTAAATTAGAATATATTAATCTACACTGTGTGGTTGGCTATGGTATGGGGCAGGGCATTTCGTCTGCCTTTAAATGAGTCGGTTTTTAAAAGTTAAAATCTGGAAATGGAAAAAAAAAGTCTATATGGTTAGTAGCGATTATAGTTCGCAATGCGAACAAAAGAATCTGGTTCCCTTTCAATGGAATTATTTTAATTCATTAAATTATCAGAAAATTCCAGTCCTCGCCATCTATTCCAAGAGCATGCAGTAGGTGGCACCTAAAAGCTCTTTGGAGGCGAACAGGCGCCATTTAAGCAGGAGCAGCAGCCTCTGCAGCAGTTGGCACATCTGAGAAGGCAGAGATTGAAGAGAGTAGGAGGAGCGTGCAGCGGCGGTGACAGTGCCAGGCCGGAGCGGCTCAGGCCAGCGCAGGTGCAGGGGCTGCGAGCGGGTGGAGCGCGAGGGCGCTGGGCGCAGGGAGCACGGCCGGTGGGCGGTGCAGGGCGCACGGCGGGCGAGCAGCTGACAGCATCGTCACGGCGGCGGGAGGGAGTGCGCTGCGCCTGCCTCCGGGAGGAGCCGCATCCACACACCCTGCGCTGCCCTGTCCTGCGCGAGTGGAGCTCTGAAGAAGCTCTGAGCGGAGTTGTGTTCTTCCCCAGGTAACCGATTTCCCCCTTCTGCCGTGGCTTCGCTGCGTCCGCATTGGGGCACGGGCGGCTTTGGCATGATTGTTTGCCAGCCCCTGGAAAGGGATTACCGCTCTCAGGGAGGGCGAGTCAGCGTGTACTGGAGTTGGTAAGAGGGGAAGAAATCTGCATTTCTGTATCCTTGTTAGGGAGGGTGAGCATCATGCTGTCCTTGTCTAAAACATGTTCTTTTTTAAAAATCTGTATCTTACGTATTATTAGGGATTCCTTCCAAAACAGGATTTACCGTTTTGGAAAATTCTACTGTGCAGGTGTTTCTGTTAATGTGGAAGTTTAATGGATTTAGGAAAAGAGTAAGAAGATGTGGTCTAAAGTGAGAAAAAAGCCAAGCACGCTAGGGACTGCCGTTTGGTTCGGCATGCTTTCATCCTCGACTCCTTCACTTCATGCGCTTGGCCGAGACCTGTCTAAATCTTTTGTTTGTCTTCTTAAAGAATGTGTTTCATGATATCTACATGTGCTCCTTTCCGCTTCCTTGTTGTAAGAGCAGAAGATGGGCAAGGGGCTGCATCCAGTCCTTAGTTGTAAGACTGTGGTTTCCCATCAGATGACAATGACTGCTGACAGCTCCCAGGCTCGCCTGAAAAGCAGTGCTGGCTTCTGGCGTTGTGGGAACCTGCCTCTCTCCTTCTCTCTTGAAAAATGCTGTTTTTCCTCTTTAAAACTCCAATTCACATTCTATGTGGGTTTGGGAGACTTTTAAACTAGAAGCTCTGTGAATCATCTGTTACATCCATTGAATGCTGGAATACAACATTGTGGTGGAATTCAGTTTCTTCCTACTGTGCAGAGACACAGCTTGCCTTCCCTAGGAATTTATTTTACATATTTGCCCTCGTTATCTTTTAAATGGATCCCTTCAGATGTGAGAAGCTAGTCCAGCATATCAGAACTTTTCTGCTTCAAACTAAAAATTTTCAAAAATATTATTTTTGAGGAAGATTTTCCAGGTAACGCTAAAAGTCTGGAGCATTTTACATTTCAAATCAGTCACAATGTGCTCCATTTCCAGTGACATTTGGATTTGAGGAGGTGGAGGGGGAGGGAGAGAAAAGGGGAGGATAAAATTAGAATAAATTTAACAAATTTGTAGGGGAATCATACTTTTTTTTCTTCTTGGTTGTTGTCTGAAATTGAAAATTGTCCACAATTTTATCTATCTCTGGAAATGCAGGAGGCTTTGTGGGCTGGGGACAGGAAGACACATAGTTCATTTTATAGAAATAAAAGATACAGTGGCAAGGAAACATTTTCATCCCATTTAACATATGGCATTTAATTTGGTAATAGTCCCGGGCAAGCACAGGGAAAGGAAGGAGAAAGGAGGGGGTATTGCTGTCTATACCAAGGCACAGAACTGCTGCTCACACTTCAGTGATCCCTGCAGATGGGAAGTATGTGTTCATGGTTATTGTAGAAACCTCCAGAATCTTTCTTTGTTACAGCTTTAATAGAATTGTTCCTAAGAGGCGACTCAGAAAACATACAGATTGAATGCCAAGTTGTGGAAGTCACTTTTCAGCTTGTGTCTAACAACCCAGCATTCTCAGCAAAGCAGTTTCCTCATGAGAAGAGTGGAGGAGACCTTTTTTTTAAAAAAATTATTTATTGTATGTTGTTCGTATCCTATACACCACACATGACTTTTACTGTATTGGAAATGTATTATTTCAGTGGTAAATACTGCATATCTTACTGAAAAATTAAAACCTTTTAAAAAACAACTGGGGTGCTTTTGTCAAAAAGAGAGTGTATCTGTGATAATAAAAAGTATTGTTCATTCTTCTTCTAATTTGGAGACCAGAGTTGATATGTTGAAAATTAACCTATTTATTTATGCAAAATCATCATTTCCCTGTGACAAATGCCATACATTTTTCCACCAGAGAATTTCTTTGTGAGAGGACCATTCAGTTGTCTGGGGTGGAGTGGTTGCCTGCCAGCTGTTTTAAGTAAAAAAAGTGTTTGGTGTTGATCTGCAACTTTCAATTCAGATAACAACCATCCCCAATTCTCACTCATATGGTGGATTGCCTCTATCTATCATCAGTCTATCTACCTGGTATAAGTATTGACAGTGGACAGATGTCTTTTTAAGAGCAGAACTGATTTGTAGGACACTGATTTTGGTTATGATTTTTCCAGGAAAACAGCTGCTCAATCAAAAGGGAATACGATGGTTCTTATGTTGTCAAAATTGCTGATGGCTTTTTAAGAGTTAAATTTACTAATTCATACATATTTAAACATGAACTGAAAGTTATTTAACTGGTGTCAAATAATGCTTTAGTTTTCATTATATGACATGGCTTGCAAGCCTCTCCTCACTGACGGGGAAGGACTCTATGAAGTAATAAAAACAAATGCTCCCTCATTCTCTCCTTCTTTGCTCTCAGCCACTGGCAAATTTAGGAAAGAGATTCCTTATAGCTGTCTCCTAAATGCAGTGAAGTGTTTTCTTATAAATCTGTACTGTACAATAGAATTGAAATGTGTGAGTCATATGCACAGTTTAAAATGTCCTAATGGTCGTAATGGAAAAGTAAAGAGAAACAGCTGAAATTAATTTTAATGATATAGTTAAGCCAGCATATAAAAAATGACCATTTAGATATAATCCATACAAAATACTGGTAAGATATTTTACCTTTTTAAATGCCTGCTGACGACTTACAAGACATCTCAATTTGGATTAGCTGTGCTTCCAGTGCTCAATAGCCCACACAGCTGATGGCTACTGTATTGTCCAGCACAGCTATAGATCATTACTCAATTGACGGTAATTTAAAAGCTAACATGTTCGGCGCCATCACCAACTAAGCGCTATCAAAAATAAATATACAAATGATCTCAGATTGCTGTGAGTTATGTGTCCTTCTCTTTCCTGCCATTAACTGTGGTGCTGTCTTGAACCTATTACTTAGTTCTTTATCAGAAAGACAAAAGGATTAGATCAAATAATTCCTGTGATTCTATGAAAAATAACCAGTGAGTAGATACGAGGGATCCAACTCACATGCAGCCTAGGGGTTTATTGTGGCAGAAACAAAGGAAACAGGTATGCCTGATGGGCATCATCATTTTGCACCACTACTAACTTCTATCCCAAGAAGTACTGCCCCCCCGGGTTTGCTTCAACCTTATTCTTGATTGCAGAGGTCAGCAACTTAGCCCGCAAGTCCCATTATGGGTCATTCAATTCTCATATAATTTCTTTTACTGAACAAGCAGCAGCAAACCCATTATAAAACTAATGAACAGCTAGTGGGCTATTCTGTACTATGCAATAAAATATATTTCACAGATCTTTTAGTATTATGCTTTACTGGTATGAGTATTTTCAATGTTTGTCTCTATTTGACACCATTAGATAAAGTTTAGGGTGAAATCTCATGCTTTATAATTGACCCATGAATACCGGATTCTTGAAACACAGAAATTAATGACCTTAATGAAAATATGTCCATTTCTTTATCTAATCCCTGAACACCTCCATGATCAGTGAGTGCTCGTGGGGTGGGTACAATTTCCATCACATGGTTCTCTGTCTCAGAAATTATGATAGGAGACTTAAAGAGGGCAGCGTTTTGTATGAGAGGATCTGGGGCAATATTTTTCTAAAGCTAATTAATGTCTGCAAAGTGATTATTTTTCTGAGAAAATAAGAACGCAAGAACTTTCCATTAGGCCTTCTCATAATAAACACACACACGCCCTTCCTCCTTTACCATCTTTAGATAATCATCAGAGCTCAGACAAAGGAGCCTTTGAAGGAGGAAGATTTCCTTCCTCTGTCATCCTTACACTCTGTTTTATTGGAGCACTTTTGTGCCTTTTGAGTTTGGGAGTTTCTCTCTAGAAGATGCGGAACAAAAAGGAAAAGTGATCAGAATCCAGGTTTCTTCATCGAGGGCAAATCCAGGTGGAGTCCACTCAGCTCTCTATTTGCATAAAAAAAATCCAGCTCAGTGCCATTTTTGTACAAACTTAGACTCATCTCCCCAGCCTTATCACCCAGCTACCTACCACCCCAATTACGTGCACACACACACACACACACACACACATGATCAATGGAGTATTTCATTGCCTCCTTGCCTATAAAACAATCATCTGACACTTAAAAAGGGATTGACTAAGCCTTTTGCTTCCTTCTCTTTACCTTTGTGCTTCTCTCTTGGGACCTCTTTGGCCTTCACTGGGTTCTTATTACAGAAGGAATGGTAGCAGACCACAAAATGTAAAACTGACATTAGCTTTTGAGTAAGGTCTGTGTAAATGTTTGCAAGCCAAGAAGAGATAGAACTACTGGATAATAGAAATGGCTGGGTAACCTAGATTTTGAAAAGAACTTGAATTTCTCTGAATATCATGAAAACCATGTGCTTATCTATTTTTTTAATTTTGCCAGATTTACATATAATGCTTTGTGCCTCTCTTTTTTGTTCTTCCATTCTTTAAATGCTAGTTTAAATTCCTCCACATACATAATAGTTTCAAGATGCAGAAATAAATCAAGTTGTTGTAACAAATATTTAAACATAAAAAACGAAGAGGTAAATATGGGAGAATTTTTAGTGGTTTCAGAGTAGGGGAGGACTTTTTAAGGATGAACTCAAACTGAAATACTAAAAAGGAAAAGTTTGTTAAATTGGATATACAGAAATTTTAAATTTCTGTCCAGAAGACAATTAAAAATAGATAACATCAAAGGAAAGATATTTGCAACATATTTCAGATGAGGCCTAATTTTTTAAAATACAGTGGTTCTCAAATTTTGTAAGCATCAGAATCACCTGATGGCCTTGCTAAGCCTGAGACTGCTGACTTCAAACCCATGCGACTCTGATTCAGCTGATCTGACTCAACGGGGAACAGGCTTTCTAACAAGGTCCCAGTGAAGGGGACAGTGCTGATCTTTCAAGCACAGCCGGAGAGCCACGGCCTTAATCTAAGATAATACCATCCCTGCAAACTACTAAAAACCGAGCAAAGAACAAGAACACACCGGTTTCAAAGATACAAATACCAATCACTTTTAACAGAAAAGACGCTCAATGTCACCCAAATTAAGCAAATGCAATTAATTCAGTAATGAGAAACAGACATCTTGTTTCAATGGAAGGGATCAAAGAGTTTGATAATACACCATATTATGCAAGGTTTGGGGAAATAGCACTCATACACCTTCATGGGACAGGTGATGGAGAACTTGATAGTAATTTTCAACAGCAACAGGCCATCTCTACCCAATTTGAAGTGTACCTACCGTTTGATTCTGCAGTTCCATTTACAGGAGTTTTCTCTACAGATAGGCTCAGAAACATGAAATATTTAAGTATAAGGTTTTCATTGAGCAAAAGACTGAAAATAGCAAGAAAGTGGTTAATAAATGATAGCTTATCCCTCAGCAGAGTCTTCTGAAGCTGTTAAAAAACACAATCTGGCTCTATATATACTAATATGAACAAATCTGTAGATGGCTCCTAACTTGCAATGTTTCAATGTATGATGTTTTGACTTTACAATGGTGGGACTACTACATACATTCGGTAGAAACTGTACTTCAATTTTTGATATTTTCCTGGGCTGGTGATATGCAGTGATATATTTTATGATATTCTCTCACTATGCTGGGCAGTGGCAGTGAGCCATAGCTGTTAGTTATCCTCATGATCACCAAGGGAAACAACTGATACTCTATAATTGACTATGTTGCCAGAAGACTTTGCCCAACTGTAGGCTAATGAAGGTGTTCTGTGCACGTTTAAGGTAGGCAAGGCTAAGCTATGGTATACAGTAGGTTAGTTGTATTAAATGCATTTTTGACGTGATATTTTCAACTTATGAGGGGTTTATCAGACTGTAGCCACATGGTAAGTTGAGGAGCAACTGTACATGAAACACTGTGTATACCATACTTCCATGTATTTGTCTATCTCTCTGACTAAATAGCTATCAATTGATATCTGTCTCTCTTTGACTATGTACCATTTTGTTAACACTTGATCACAATTCTGCTCCCTTAGCAATGACCACTCAAATCATTTAGTCACATGCTAAATGTTCCACTACCATTCAATTTATGCTTTTGACAAGAGACCATTTCTGGTGATTGAGAAAAAAATCATGTTGAGTAAGTTGCCATTGTGAGTTAATGTGAAACAATGAGCCAATGAAGTTACCACATTGTAGAAATATTCAAGTTTGTCATATTTTGTTGCATTTCAAACAAAATATTGTTGATTTTTGCATGGTAACTTTTTGGTGATATGTTTATTCTTACAGAGGCATTCTGTAAGAATATTCAGGGCCGGGCACCATAATTGCAAACCATCTTATCCACACCCTTGGCTTCCATCCCTACCTCAATGCAGGTAGCTCACGCCTATAATCCCAGCACTTTGGGAGGCCAAGGCGGGTGGATCACGAGGTCAGGAGATGGAGACCATCCTGGCTAACACCGTGAAACCCCATCTCTGCTAAAAAATACAGAAAATTAGCCGGGTGTGGTGGCGGGCGCCTGTAGTCCCAGCTACTCAGTAGGCTGAGGCAGGAGAATGGCGTGAACCCGGGAGGCGGAGCTTGCAGTGAGCCAAGATCGCACCACTGCACTCCAGCCTGAGTGACGGAGCGAGACTCTGTCTCAAAAAAAAAAAAAAAAAAAAAAAAAAAAGAATATTCAGTTGTATTCTCTATCCTTTAGGACAATTCCAGATTCCACTGAATTGTTCCACTTCTATTATATAAACAGAAGCTATGTTCGGGGCAGAAGGGTCTTGCCCTGGAATCCTGAGACTGCAGATGGAACCCAGACCTCTTGGTTGTAGCACTCGTACTAAATAGGAAACTTATACTAATTAGAAACTGTGAGTCTTTTACCCCAGCATTGAAAGACATGTAAATACTAAATATTATCTTGTCTTCCATTACCTTCTCTTAAGACCGGCAAAGACTGACAAATGAGACTCCTTATTCTGACTCTAGTCTCCCATGGCCTGGGCCTTCTCTGATCAGGCTTATGAGGACACTTTTGCCCCTAGTGTTAAGGCTACATCCAAATCATGAGTTAAATATCCCATGATGTAAGTATAACCCATGTTTTCCTCCAAACATGTGTTTTCTTGACCTCGTGGTGTAGTTGTTCAGAGTTCAGCTTTTGGTGTGGACCTTACATGAAGCATGTAGAGCATTTCTGATGTGTCAGAAAACATACACAGTTATCCATTATAAGCTGCCTAACATTATCATTGCATTTTTTTAAATGAATATTTTATGAGTTTCAAAGTTGCTTCGCAATATTTTAGGTTAGTCTGAAAGGCTTCCTTCTGCAACAGTTTAGAATCCAGCGCTCCTTGTTCAGTTCTTACTAATTTGGGTTGGTTTGAGTGCTTTCCCAGATTAGCTATGATTACTATGCTTAGGTGCACTAAAACATTAATGAAGATTCTGTCCCCAGATACCTGCATGGCGTGAAATGTTCATCCAGAGCTTCCTTGTTTTAACCGAAGCCTAGACCACGTTTCTGGTCCCCTAGGCTCTTGTGATTGTCTGCTCCTCTTCCATGTGTGTTTGGACTTACCTAAACTTGAGTTCAAATGTGGATTCTGTCACTAGTTGTGCAACAATTCTCTGTGACTTTAACCATCCAGAGCCTCAGTTCTCTTATCTGTAAAACGGGGCTATTAAGAGCTAAGTAAGTCAAAAGGTGTCTTAAAGATGAAACTTGCCTAGAACCTCTGGATTCTAGCTAGGTAATAAGGATTCAGGCTGTTTGGGTCGTTGCTATCTGATGAATATTTGAGTGGTTCCTCTTTCTCAGTGTCTCAGGTTTATTCCTCTCTTTTACAACTTGGCACGAAGCCCATTGTCTTAGAGTTGTACTTTATTTCTGGATGGAATTCTGGCTTCAGCTTCAGCCCTTTCTAATTTACCAGAGCTCACACTCTCAAATGAATGTTCAAATGTTCCCTTTTCTCCTATACATCTTTCTGTTTTCATTGGACCAACTGGGACTCTATTTTTTATCTGGTTAAATCCACTTTCCTCCTTTTGCCAATGTTCCTTTCCTCTGTTGACTAGACTCATCTCCCCATAGGAGTTCCTGACTCTGAATTCATATGGTTTTGGATATGAAAGAACATGTCTTCGTTGATATTCTTGTTTTTCTAGCCTTGAGATGTTCATCTGTGTAAAGATCCTGGGCATCCTGGCCTTGACTGGAAGCCTGCCAAGAGCTCCTCAGGTATTAGGACTGTATGAGGTTATTGATCATTGGATTCTAGACACATTGGTAATTATTCCCTCCTATTGCTAACCTGCCCGGTCACCATGGAGCAGACGCAAATAAATTTTCATTGATTAATGGCTCCTAGGTCCTTACTGTATGCCCTTGCTCTCTTCTGACCTCCTGGAAATTGTTCTTCACTCAGCAAGGGTGTGGGCCCCTGGTTCATTGTCTTCCTTCTGACCTCATGTTCAGATATCATCCAAGGTCACTTCACTCTTTTTCCATCACTCTTCTTATGCTCCACAGGCACAGGAGGACCTTTTCTGGACTGGACACCCTTGCATTTCTAGGGGGACCAGAGGGAGCCTCCCCACTCTGACCATAGCACTTCCTTTTGACCCTCAGCAGGAACTTACACTTGATCTTGCTAGTAAATTCAGCTGTTACCTTCTCTTTAAAAAGTATACATGTCTATATATCTGTATTTGAAAATTAATTTTTAAAAACTTAACAAATCAAAACTGTGTACCATGTAGCCACCAATTCAAATCTTTCCTTTGATTCACAACCAAAGTCTCAGGAAGTGTTTCTGAGCTGCCTATCTCAGTTTCTACGTTTTATGCTTACTTCTCAATCCACTGCAATCTTCTTCTACCCTGTGGTGCCATTGAAGCGCCTCTTGCCAGGCTCACCAGTGACTTGCATTGCTTTGCATCCAGTGGGCACTCGCCAGTTCTCATTTGACTTCACTTCTTAGTGCCATTTCACAAAAGCAGATCCACTGCTTTTACCAAACATCAAATTATGGAGTCTCTTGAGGCTGTGTCCAAGTCATCCACTCCTTTCTCTTTGTTCTTGCAAACGATCTCATCCACACACTTGGCTTCCATCCCTGCCTCAATGCAGGTAGCTCCCAAATGTGCATTCCTATCCCAGATGCTATAGCTAGCCCTGGACATGTATCCACCTGTCTACCTGATGTGAGCCCCTGACTGTCCCAAAGGCACTTGGAGGGCTGCATCCTGAAAATTAAGCCAATGATTCCTCCCATAAAACCTGTCTTTTGTCCAGGATTCTCTCAGCAAATCATCTCATCCTAGCTATGCAGTTCTGTAAGTTGGAAACCTTAGGAATTTTCTCTGATGCTTCCTTCTCCTCCAGTCTACCTCAACCCCTTTTCCCACCGACCCATCACTAGTTGCTGTTGATGTCACCATAATTGTTTTCTGCCTCCTCTGCTCTCACCTTAGCCCAAGCTGCCTTTGTTTTTGACCAAATTGTCCACTTGACAGGGAAGCCAGGGCCCCTTCAGTGGCTGCCCTCTGCCCTCTACAAGCCGCCTGTGATGTCAGCATGGCCTCTTTTCCAGACTCTCCTCACATGGCTTCCCCTGGCAACCCACGGTGGCACTCTCCTTCCAGTATGTGAAAGGCTCCGTGCTGTCTCCTTCCCCAGGGCCTGCCTGGGGCACGTGGTCTTGGTCTGGCTTCACTAATCCGTCTACAACAGAGAGCCATGGATATCACCAAGTAGCAGCACTGCCCTGTCAGTGAAATAGCCGCATGTTCTGCACTAGTGTTCTGTGGTTGCAGCCTGGAAGCCCCATCTGAGATCCTGCCCAGCCCACAGAAACACATGTTACAGCAAAGTAGAGGTGAAGCCAGAGATCTTTGCTTACGTTGTTCTGGCCTAAGGCAAGTCGCTTAGCCTGCCCTTCCCAGTGTGCTCATTAGAAGCAAAACACAGATTCATGCATGGACTGAACAAATGCTTCTTGCACACTTCTTATGGGCCAGGCAGTGTTCAAGTACTGGGAGACAGGAATGAATGGAACAGACAAAAAGCCCTTAAGGAGCTTTTAATATAGTGGAATTAAACACAAATTTTTTAAAAAAGGAAATTGCATACTATGTTCTAAAACAAATGTAAGCTGGAGAAAATAAAGTGGGAAGATGCCACAGACTACTGGGTTGAAGATAGGGTTGAAAATTGAGATAGGGTGGTCAGGGAAATTCTCATTGAGCCAGTGATATTTTAACACAGGCCTGTGGGAGGCAAGAGAGTGAGGCCTTTGATTACCTGGGGGAAGAGGGTCTGGGTAGTGGGAGCAACCAGGGCAAAGGTCCTGAGGCAGAAGCATGCCAGGTGAGTCCAGGAGCAAGGATATAGTGTGGCTGGAATTGAGTGAGCTGGGGGATAATGGTGGGAATGAGGGTAAGGTGTGGAGCAGAGCCCCTTAGCTGTTACTGTCAGGGAGACAGGGCCAATGATGGAGGGTTTTGAGCATAGGAATGACGTGTCCTGCAGCCTGAGTGGAGGATTGACTGGAGTGGCTCAGAGCCTGAGGCAAACTGATCACCCAGCAGGCTGCTGCAGTCATGCAGGTAAGTGATGATAATGCCTGGAGAGCCTGCTAACAATGGAGAAAGTGATTCATGGTGGAGTCTGGAAGAGTTTGGAAGATATCACTGACAAATGTTGCTGATGGAGTGGACTTGAAGTATAAGAGAACAAGAGGAGGTAAGGAGGACTTCAAGGTTCTTGGCCTGGGTGACTGGAGGGATAATGTTGCTACTGACTGAGGCAAAGAAAACTATAGGGGAGCAGTTTCGGGTGTTACAGGGTGTTTAGACTTGCACATGTCCTATTTGGGATGTGTGCATGGCACCCAGGGGGAGATGTTGAGGCAGGAGAGGGGTATATGAGCCGGCAGTTTTAGGGAGAGGTCCTGGCCATGGGTTTGCAGTTGAGGGTGCAGGTATATGAATGATATGGCATCTCAGATGCCCCCACTGACTGAGTGAGTAGAGTAGCAGCGAAGGAAGAGTAGCAAAGATAGGGTGTGGGCTCTCTCATGGGCGAGCTAGTTGCAGTGATGGTGCTGATCTGCCTCTCCTGCTGCCTCTACCCTGGTACAAGCCACCCTTGGCACGTATCAAGATTGTTGCTGGAGACTTCTGACTGGAATCCTGCCTCCGCTCCTGACCCTTGGCCTGCAGGCCCTCAAAGGGGTACTTTTACAATGGAGGTCCCACCGTATCACTTCTCTGCTCAAAACCCTCCAGCTGTCTCCTGTTCTTCTTAGAATAAAAGTTGACCTTTTCCCTGTGCTTACAAAGCTCTACATGACCTGCCTGTCCCGGCCCCTTTACTTTGCTGACCTCATCTGCTTTCCTCTCTCCATTCAAGAATTTATCCATGTGTCTTGAGCATGTTGGACAAGCGTCTGTGTTTGTACCTGCTGCTCTCTCTGCCAGAAGAACCCCACCACCCACACACAGGTTTCCACAGAGTTCATGCCATTACCTCTCTCAAATTTTTGCTAACATATCAACTTTTCAGGGAGTCCTTCCCTGGTCTCTCATCATCTTCGATGCTCACTACATATTTTTGATACGTAATAAAAATATATTTTATTCATGTATTTTTGTCAAATGGTTCCACACTCAAGGAAATCCTGCATTTGGACAGCCTTTAAAATTAGTTTTTAAATTTGATTTTCAGGTTCTTAATTGTGCTGATTGGAGAGTTAATTTTAAGAACACATTTACATTGCTGTGGGCTATCTCATGTAAGGGTGGAATCATTTTTATATGTCCCTTTCCAAAACGCTGTCTCTATAGGATGATTAGGTTTCCAAAGCAGGTACTGTGTCTCTCACCTTTCAATTACAGGGATGAAGAAAGTATGCATATTTTTGGAAAATACCTGCTCTGCTATATAGCATGCTACTGAAGACCTACCTAGCAGAAAACATCAATAAACTTAAAACAGCGCTTTTTGTATAAAAGAAAAATACGCACCTTGATATTAGTTCTGCAACTCTTTTTTTTGTTGTTTTGCTACAGAGTAACTAGCAAACCATTGTGTGATAGAAAATGTTTTCATGGTTGCTGCACATCTCCATGTAAAGTATTGGAAAGACTCTATTGTATTTTAAAAGTCTGATTTTTATAAATGAAAAATAACATATCCAAGTGCATGCTATCCAGTAGCTTCTGCCTACTTTTGGCTTCAAGATCTTTTCTGTAATAGTGCAGTGATAAATGATGCAGTAAACTCACCTCTATCACGTTATCACATATCTTTGTGTAAGTTTTTATTTCAATTGCCGTTGCCAACCTTTGAGTGGTTTTAAGCAGAGTTTTTCAAAACACTTTATTTACTTTTTTATGGTTGAATTCTCTTCGCTGCTACAACTTTCCTTTGTTGGATCACACACACAAAAATGTATTTCCACAGCAAATAGTCAATATGTGCTGAGTGTTTCTGATGTACCTGACATTGGGCTAGAGGCATGGAAGTGCTGGAGAATGAACCAAAAGTCCCTGCCTTCCTGTTGCTATTGACTGAGACAAAGATATTGATATTCGAGTAGGGAGTAGGAGAGAGAGAGAGAAAAAGAACAGAGGTAAGTGCATAAATAAGCACTGAAAGAAGAATATATGTATCAAAGTATCTTATTGTTGAAAGAGAATCATTCTAGCAAATCATAAATGAGCTGAGGTTTATTGGGAACATTTGTACTTTTGCCTAACTATTTAGCAAAGCTCTGTGTGTAACTTCTAATAGGGTTGGCCCCTCTGTATCTGTGGCATCCGCATCTGCAGATTCAATCAGTTGAAAAAAAAATGGGAATAAAAGATGGTTGTGCCCGTACTGAACATGTAGACTTTCTTTCTCATGTCATTATTTCCTAAATGATGCAGCATAACAGCTATTTACATAGCATTTAAGTTGTATTAGGTATGATAAGTAACCTAGAAATGATTTAAAGTATCCAAGAGGATGTGCATAGGTTATAGGCAAGTACTACTCCATTACATATAAGAGACTTGAGTGTCACAAAGTTTGGTATTCACAGGTGTCCTGGAAACGATCCCTCGCAGATACAAAGGAACAACTGTATTGGTTTTTTTCACACCGTCAGCAGTTTTTTTTTTTTCTATATGTCTTCCCATAAGATTTTGAGAAAGAAGTGAATTTTAGTTTGTACCATACATTCCGGTGGATTATTGTATATATTTTACCACAGCGGGAAAATGTTTTTCCAGTGGCTCGTGGATTTTTGCCTTTCACTATTAATAGAAAACCTCAAAAGAGGATTCTAAGCATTTTTTAAAAATCAAGCTTATTTAAATTTTGTAACACATTGGACTAAGCATTATGTGTTATTAAACTGTGCTGGAAAGAGTATAGAGATTTGTTTTTATGTTCTCCAGCAGTACCGACCGTGTGAACCACATATGTAATTTTGTATTTGTAGTAACCACATTTTAAAAAGTAAAAAGATGAAATTAATTTTAAGTAATATATTTTTGGCCAGGCGTGGTGGCTCACGCCTGTAATCCTAACACTTTGGGAGGCCGAGGCGGGCAGATCACGAGGTCAGGAGATCCAGACCATCCTGGCTTACACGGTGAAACCCCGTCTCTACTAAAAATACAAAAAATTAGCCGGGCGTGGTGGCGGGCGCCCGTAGTCCCAGCTACTCAGGAGGCTGAAGCAGGAGAATGGCGTGAACCCGGGAGGCGGAGCTTGCGGTGAGCCGAGATTGCGCCACTGCACTCCAGCCTGGGCGACAGAACGAGACTCCGTCTCAAAAAAAAAAAAGTAATATATTTTTAGGCTGGGCAAGGTGGTTCACACTTGTAATCCCACCACTTTGGGAGGCCGAGGGAAGTGGATTGCTTGAGCCCAGCATTTCGAGACCAGACTGGACAACATGATGAAACCTTGTCTCTACAAAAAATACAAAAAGTGAGCCAGGTGTGGTGGCATGAGCCTGTAGTCCCAGCTACTGTGGATGCTAAGGTGGGAGGATCACCTGAGCCCGGGAGATTGAGGCTATAGTGAGCCATGCGTGAGGCACTGCACTCCAGCCTAGGCAACAGAGTGAGACCTTGTCTCAAAAAAAATACGTGTGTGTGTGTGTGTGTGTGTGTGTGTGTATAAATTTTGTTTTATTTTGCATTTCATATATTATCCAGTTTTACATTCTCACAGGATCAGCAATGACAATGGCCACCTAGTCTCCCCAGTCTGAAATGGCAAGATGATCACAGCTGTGGGTGGCAGTAAAGTACTGATATACTCACAAATCTATGAAAGATGATCATTTCAACTTGTAATCAATATCAGAATTTATGAATGAGGTTAAAAACAATTTTTTATTCTAAGTTTTCAAAATCCAGGGCAGCACATTTCAGTTCAGCCAGCTGCATTTCAAGGGGCCAGTGGCACTGTGTGGGCAGCACAGGTCTAGGGGCTGAGTGTTAGATGCCGTGGCTAATAGTGATGGCTTCACACAGTCAGTAATACAGTAGGAACTTAAGGCCAGCATGAAGGTGTGCATTTTAATTGGTCTTCTCAAGATATTAGTTTTGTTTTGTTCATCTTGTTGGATTAGATGAGACCTTTGCTATTTTTTTTTCTTTTTCTTTTTTTTAAATTTTAAATTCTGGGCTACTTATGCAGAATGTGCAGGTTTGCTACATAGGTATACACGTGCCATGGTGGTTTGCTGCACCTATCAACCTGCCATCCAGGTGTTAAGCCCGGCATGCATTAGATATTTGTCCTAATGCTCTCCCTCCCCTTGCCCCACAACCCCTGACCCTTGCTGTTTTTACTGTATAGTGTGGATGAATAAGGAGGAGCTGTCTGCCTAGCTAACACTGCCAATTACGTTCGTTATGGACATTATCTTTAATTCATGGTTCGGTTATTGCTAAAAATGTTTATACATACAGTCATATCTTTTTATTATGGTAAAATATATATAACATACAATTTTCCATTTAAATCATTTTCAAGCATGTAATTAATTCAGTGGCAGTAAGTAAATTCACATTGTTATGCAACCATCACCACCATCCATCTCTAAGAATCTTTTCATCTCGCAAAACCCAAACTCCATACTCATGAAACAACAACTGTCCTTCTTCCATTCCCTTAGCCCCTGGCAACTCCCATTCTTATTTCTCTCTGTGAATTTGACTGCTATATGTACCCGCTATAAGTGAATTCATACAGTATTTGTCTTTTTTGACTGGCTTATTTCACTTAGCATAATGTCCTCAAGGTTCATCCGTGTTGTAGCATGTGTTAGAGTTTTCTTCCCATTTAAGGCTGAATAATATTTCTGTTGCCATAGTGCATTCTTGCATTGCTATAAAGAAATCCCGGAGACTTCATAATTTATAAGAAAAGAGGCTTAGTTGGCTCATGGTTCTGCAGGCTGTACAGGAACCATAGCGGTGTCTGCTTCTGGGGAGGCCTCAGGAGGCGTACAATCACGGCAGAAGACAAAAAGGGAGCAGGCACTTCACATGGTGAAAGCAGAAGAAATAGAGAGTTGCAAGTTGGGGGTGTGGGGAGGAGGAATGCCACAGAATTTTAAATGACCAGATCTCGCGAGAACTTACTCACCTTTGCAAAGATAGCACCAAGCCATAAGGGATCTGCCCCCATGATCCAAACACCTCCCACCGGGCCCCACCTCCAGCATTGGGGCTTACAATTCAACACAAAATGTGGGCAGGGACAAATATCCAAACTATATCACCTGTCTATGTATACTGCATTTTGTTTATTCATTCATCTTTTCTATGGACATTTGGGTTGCTTCCACCTTCGGGCTATTGTGAGTAATACTGCTGTGTGAACACGGGCACACAAATATCTACTAGAGTCCCCGCTTTCGTTTCTTTTCCAGCAAAAGTGGAATTGCTGGATCATACAGTAATTCTATCTTTGATTTCTTCCGCAGATTTTGTACCATTTTAGATTACCACCAGCAATGCACAAGGGTTTCAGTTTCTCTCTATCTTTGCTAACACTTTTTATTTTCTGTTTTTTAAAAACAGCCATTCTAGTGGGTGTGAAGCGGTACTTCATTGTAGTACTTCACTGATTTACATTTCCCTAATGACTAATGATGTTGACATCTTTTTATGTGCTTGTTGGCCATTTGTATGTATTCTATAGAGAAATATCTATTCAAGTTTCTTGTCTTTTTTTTTTTTTTTTTAAGAAATGGGGTCTTGCTATGGTGCCCAGGCTGGACACGAACTCCTGGCCCAAACCATCTTCCTGCCTCAGTCTCTCTGGTAGTTTGGACTATAGGCATGTGCCACTGCACCCAACTTCTTTGTTGGTTTTTTAGTTGGCTTGTTTGTATTTTTGTTGTTCAGTTGTAAGAGTTTCTTTATATATTCTGTATACTACATCCTTTTCAGATATATGTTTCCTCCCATTCCATAGGGTCTCTCTATTTTTTTTTTTTTTTTTTGACAGAGTCTCGTGCTGTCACCCAGGCTGGAGTATAGTGGCACAATCTCGGCTCACTGCAACCTCTGCCTCCTGGGTTCAAGCGATTCTCCTGCCTCAGCCTCCAGAGTAGCTGGGATTACAGGCACGTACCACCACACCTGGCTAATTTTTTGTATTTTTAGTAGAGATGGGGTTTCACCATGTTAGCCAGGATGGTCTTGATCTCCTGACCTCATGATCCATCCACCCCAGTCTTCTAAAGTGCTGGGATTACAGATGTGAGTCACCGCGCCCAGACAAGAAGGATCTCTTTTAATTTTCTTGGTAATGCCCTTTCTTGTACAAATTTTTAAAATTTTGATGAAGCCTAATTTATCTATTTGTATGGAATTACAAAGGGCCTCATATAGATAAAAGATCTTGAAAAAGAAGTACAAAGTTGAAGACTCATACTTCTCAATTTCAAAATCTACTACAAAGTTACAGTAAACAAAATTGGGTGGTGCTGGCATATGCACAGACATATAGAGCAATGGGATAGAATTGAAAGTCCAGAAATAAACTCACCTTTATAGTTGACTGATTTTTGACAAGGGGACTTAGACCATTCAATGGGGGAAGAATTATCTCTTCAACAAATGGTGGTGGGATAAATGGATATCTACATGTAAAATAATGAAGTTGGACACCTACCTCACACCATATATAAGAATTAACTCAAATAGATCAATGACCTAAACATAAGAACTGAAACCATAAAACTGTTAAGAGAAACATAGGAGTAAATCTTCATGACCTTGGATTCAGTAATGGATTCTCAAATGACACCAAAAGCATGAGAAACAAAATAATTCATGATTGTTTGAAAGAATCATTTTTTGTACCTTGCCAGTTTTGTAAACTTTTAGGTGGCTAACACTAGAAATTCACCTAACCAAGAATACATAGGTAGCCCACGGGCTGACAGTGAATTAAATAGTCTGAGCTGCACACAGTAGTGCATCAAGCCCTCATAACTGGCATCAAATACTTTATTTTCCATACATGCAGATTCGTGTGCTCCAGTTGACTTTATCTTTGTGTAACTATTTCCCTGCAGAGGTTAGCATGCTGCATCGGTCATTGGTCACCAGTCCCTTGACCAAGACAACAATCTTGTTTGTTATTCACATGATTTTCCTTTTTGTTTTCCTTACTCACATAGAAAATGAATAAATCAGAAAATGCCCAAAGTGTAGTTAGGCTCTGGGCAGTCTTAAAAGTGTCATTAAGCGGCCAGGTGTGGGGGCTCACACCTATAAGCCCAACACGTCGGGAGGCTGAGGCAGGTGGTGGCGCCCGCCTGTAGTCCCAGCTACTCGGGAGGCTGAGGCAGGAGATTCGCTTGAACCCGGGAGGCCGAAGAGGTTGCAGGGAGCTGAGATCGCGCCATTGCACTCCAGCCTGGCGACAGAGTGAGACTCCATCTCAAAAAAAAAAAAAGTGTCATTAAGTATGTTTTATTTGGCTCTTTGGAATTTTTGGCCATCATATGTTCCCCAGATGAAATTGTTCTAGACAAATATAAGTGAAACTTATTTGTATACTTAAGCTGTGGGCTTATTGGCCTCTTGGATATGAAATCTTAAAAATAATTTATGCTATCCCCGCCATTCCAAGAAGTGCCCCATTTATCTCCACTGACTTCATTCTTGCAGGTAGTATGCATCTTGAAATGAGCAGCTGAGACCCTCTGGATGTGTCTCTTGCTTTCGTACCTGCCCCACTGCCAGGGAAGATGTCTTTACAACACTACAATACAAGATTCCGGGAAAAGCATTCTGCTTTTCTGGATAAAGTTGATCCATGGATGTTTAAGTCTCTTTTATGATCAAACATTTCCCACTAACAAATCTATCATTTTTTAGATTGAGCTAAGAAGGAATATAAAGTAAACATTTATTTAAATCAAGATTCTAAAAATATATAAAAGTACACTTTCCTACCTAAAGAATTTACATTTTGTTGATTGTTGTTTCTTAATGACCATTATTCACCTTGTATTATTAAGACTTTTAAAGGGCTCCCATGTACCAACTTCAAATATAAGATTTGTTTAAAGCTAATAACATTTCACGGAAACCAAGTCAGTAATTGAGCAGAGACAATCTGTATAAACCTTTTAGCTTTGTAAACCTTTTAGCTTTGTAAACCTTTTAGCTTAGGCTGTAGATAGAACATTTAGGGCAGAATAGTACACTAAATTATCAACCTTTTCCAAACATTTACTCTTAAAGATCCGAATTCTTCCAATCTATAATTTTCCCTCTAGTTTTGACTGTTTGTTTAGACAGGGTCTCATTGTATCACCCAGGTTGGTCTTGAGCAGCTGGGTTGAAGCGATCCTCCTGCCTCAGCCTCCCAAGTAGCTGGAGTTACAGGTGTGTGTCACCATGCCCAGCTCCATAACTGTGTTTTGAAGCAGGATTAATTTAGGGTATAATACAGATAAAGGCTGTGGGTTTGTTTTGCCTGAGATCATGCTTCTATCTCATTCACAAGAATTCAAGTTTCTTCTAAAATATTATTGAATGGGAAACTTGTGTCACTCAGCAAATCAAAATGCATTTTCCCTGAATCTAGGCCCAATAGGCCTAATACTGATTTTCACTGCCTAGGAGGTCTCATTTTGAATTATTGACATATATTTTTGTATTTTATGCACTTTGGGATGGATTTTTTTTTATTTTCTTAATCCTTTCCTTCCTCTAGCTGTCTATGTATAAGCTTTTTTGGAGTATAAGGGAGTGTTGAGACAGTTTAGCTCAACCAAGTTCAAGAAAAGGAAAATAACAGGGGTGTGTATCAAGTCATCCCAGCCTTCCCATTCAGGGGATGGCCTGTCGATAAACAGAACTGCACATCTTCAAGAGTACTCACACTCCAGCTACCTCTCCCAGCCAATGTGATGATTCTTTCATAAATCAAATGGAAAACCACAGACCAGCAGACATTTGGGGAAATGAGCAGATGAAAAAAAAGGATTAAAATGAGCAAACAGAGACACAGAGAGCTCAGATAAGCGAGGAGAACAGCCACAACCAATGGCAATGAGCATTCTTGTTGAAATTCAGCATGGTATCACAGTTCCTAAGATAAGAAACTACTTCTATGAAAAAGGGAAAATCAGAGTACAAGAAAGTTTATTAAAAATAGAAGATGCTGGAGAAATCAAGAATAGGTACAATCAATCCATCATCTAATAGAAGTTTCAGAAAGAGAAAAGATATAGGGGTTGGAATGTTGTAATTTTTTAAAATAGAAGAAAGTGTCCCCAGGCTTTGGGAAAAATTGGGTTTTTATCCCGTCTCTCCCCGCCCAGCCCTCAAAAAGCAATTTCGAATGGATCCTTGTGAATCTTCATAAATCCAAGGTTAGAGAGAAAACTCTAACTCTTCCAAAGAGAAAGGAAAAACACAAATTTCTTACAAAGGAAAGATAATCATACTGGCTTTGGATTTTACGTTAACAAGCCTGGATGCTAAACTTAAAAATGAAATAACGTCTGAAGAAGAAAGAATTTGAACTTGGGCTGCATTCAGGACTCTATCAATCAAGTGAGAGGCCATGAATTCAGAAATTTTAATACCATCTGAAATAATTTATTAGTATTGTTTATACCAGCACATGAAATGGCTGAAAGGAGACAAATTGAAATATCAAAATTGGCAGCTAAGAGTTAGAGGAAAAAAAAAAAAACTCCGGAAAAAAGTAAGATCCAAATGTTACTGACAGAAAATTATTCTTCAATTAGCAAAGTTTGATGAAAGAAGATTATCCTTCTCTCAGTGGGTCCAGTCCTACTACCTACTCCTGCAGTGAAAAATAGTTACAGAATCCTATTAATGTTCTTTATTGATAGGGTATGTATGTATGTATGTATGAATGTATGTATTTATTTATTTATTTGAGACAGGGTCTTGCTCTGCTGCCCAGGCTGGAGTGCAGTGGTGTGATCACAGCTCACTGCAACCTCACATTCCTGGGCTGAAGAGATCCTCCTGCCTCAACCTCCTGAGTAGCTACTATCACAAGTGTGTGCTATCACGCCTAGCTTACTTTTGTATTTTTTATACATATGGTGTCTTGCTATGTTTCCCAGGCTGATCTCGAACTCCTGACCTCAAGCAATCCTCCTGCCTCAGCCTCCTAAATGCTGGAATTATAGGCATGAGCCACTGCACCCAGCCTTTTGGTAGGATTTAGAAACAGGCTGTGGCAAAGCACAGAACACATATATATTTTGAACAAACTATAAATAACATAGCTGGAAATCTTAAATGCTGATGCAAACTTTATTTTTCTTGTAACAAAAATCAGGGTAGTGGAGGAAGGAATGACATTGTGTTAATTTTGTAGATAGATATGGTCCAAAGTCAGTAAGTCAAGATGCAAAGGTCTGTTATTCAAACAATAAGTGCCTGATTTAAAATTATAATTGTGGACATCAGAAGATGATGACTAAGTTCTCATTCTTTTAAACAGTTGTTATTTCTGAAAAGAGAAACTGGGGGGCTCCTGAATGAAGGGGACTGACTATGCATAAAAGAACATTTTATAATCTCCTTACATTTTTTAACCAAATACATACATTGTGTCAATTTTTTTTTGTTTTAAAGTGTACTTTTATAAAAAATTATTAAAATGCAGTCAGGCTTTCTTGTGCTCTCTTTGTGAGTTGAGTGATTTGGCTTGGTCTGGGCAGCTTTAATTTGCGCTTCTGAACTAACACCTGCCCTCTCTTCTCTCTTTCCTCCCCTCCTTGAAGACGGACCTGCCATTTGCATCCTAGGCCCCGGTGACTCCTGCTTCCTTAAGATTTGCTCTATCAGTTATCCATCACCAGATCTATACAGAATCTTTCCTACCTCTCTAACCCTGCATTACCTTATACTAGTCATTCTTTCTCCTTTCCTTAATCTCCACATTTATTTCAAGAGAAATCTACATTTCTTGTCTTTCTAGCCATCTCTTCCATTTCCATCATTCCCAGGCCTGTTGTAACATAACTTCTACTCCCTTCACACCCCCCAATGTCACTTAACTAAAATTTTCTCAGTCTTTATTTAACCTCTGCTTTGTGAAATCAAAGATTTACTTTCTATTTCTATTATACTTGATCTCACAACACTCTTATTCCTCTAACTGGGATCTGAAAATGTATCCTATTGGATTTTTGAGTTTTCAAAGATTTTTTAAATTTGAAATTTTATTTTCATGATAATTTTAAATGAATAAGATAGGATAATCTAGATAATGGTCATATAACAACAATGTTAACATCTGTGTAACCACCACCCACATCAAGATATGTAATATTTCCAGCACCCAGCAGGCCACCGTCAGGTTCAAAGAGGTTGTTGCATGTATCATTTTTTGTATTGTTTTCTCTTTTTTTCTTTCCTTTCTTTTTTTTTTTGAGACAGCGGAGTCTCACTCTGTCAGAGAGGCTGGAGTGCAGTGGCGTGATCTCTGCTCCTGGGTTCAAGCAATTCTCGTGCCTCAGTCACCCGAATAACTGGGATTACAGGCACACAACAAGGCCTGGGTAATTTTTTTGTATTTTTACTAGAGACGGGTTTCACCATGTTGTGCAGGCTGTTCTCGAACTGCTGGTCTCAAGTGATCCACCTGCCTCAGCCTCCCAAAATGTTGGGATTACAGGCATGAGCCACCGTGCCCAGCCTGTATTGCTTTTTCTTAAGGTATTAATATGTTAATTTAGGGTACTGCTTTTCATGGTATGAATATTTCAGGGTTTGTTCATCTTCTACTGTGAATATTTGGGATATTTCAATTACTTGCCTAGTAGGAATAAAGCTGAGGTCTGTTACCTTTAACAGGTTATTTCTCATACTGGGGTCTGTGACCTGATGCTCTATATGTGTGAATCATTTTCAGTAGATAATGGACTATATGCAGTGGATTACTGGCCCTCCTCATGTCTGTTTTTAAGTAAAAGCTTTACTGAGATATAATTCCCGCATTAAAGTGTACATTTCAGCGGTTTTTAGTACATTCGCAGGGTTTTACGGTACAGCCATTACCACTGTTTTAGAACACTTCATTTCCCCCAAAGAAACCTTGTACCTATTATCAGTTACTTCTTGTTTCCCCCCAGTCCCTACCCCACCCTCCCTAGGCAACCACAAATACCCTTTCTGTATATTTGCAATTCTGAATGTTTCATATGATGGAACCATACAGTATGTGTGGTCTTTTGCTACTGGCTTCTTTTACTTGCCATAATATTTTCAGGATTTATCCATGTTGCAGTATGTACCAGTTCCTTTTTCTTGATGAATAATATTTCATGAAATGGGTAGATTGCATTTTACTTATCCATTCATTAGTTACAAACATTTGTGCTGTTTCCACTTTTTGGCTATTATGCTTAATATTGCTATGAGTATCATTGTATAAATTTTTGTGTGGCTATGTGTTTTTATTTATCATGGGTATATACAAAGGAGGGGAATTGCTGGGTCATATTATAATTCTGTTTAACCTTTTGAGGAACTGCTAGAATTTTTTCCAAAACAGCAATATCATTTTACATTTTTTGCCAGCAATGCACAATGCACAAAGGTTCAAATGCTCCTACAGCCTTGTCAACATTTGTTATTTTCTGGGTTTGTTTTTTGTTGTTGTTGATTATAACCATCCAAGTGAGTATGAAGCGGTACTTTATAGTTTGTTTTGTTTTGTTTTGTTTTTGAGACGGAGTTTCGCTCTTGTCACCCAGGCTGTAGTGAAATGACGTGATCTTGGCACACTGCAACCTCTGCCTCCTGGGTTCAAGTGATTCTCCTGCCTCAGCCTCCCAAGTAACTGGGATTACAGGCACCTGCCACCATACCTGGCTAATTTTTTTTGTATTTTCAGTAGAGACGGGGTTTCACCATGTTGGCCAGGCTGGTCTTGAACTCCTGACCTCAGGTGATCCACCCACTTCGATCTCCCAATATGCTGGGATTACTGGCATGAGCCACCGCCCCCAGCCTTTGTTTTGTTTTTTGAGATGAGTCAGAGTCTCACTCTGTTGCTAGGCTGGAGTGCAGTGGTGAGATCTTGGCTCACTGCAACCTCTGCCCCCCAGGTTCAAGCAATTCTCCTGCCTCAGCCTCCTGAGTAGCTGGGACTATAAGCATGCGCCACCATGCCCAGCTAATTTTTGTATTTTTAGAGACAAGATTTCATCATGTTGGCTAGGATGGTCTTGATCTCTTGATCTTGTGATCTGCCTGCCTCGGCCTCCCAAGTGATGGGATTACAGGCTTGTTATAGTTTTGATTTGCACTTCCCTGGTGACTATTATGTTGAGTATCTTTTCATGTTATTGACTTATTATTGGCTATTTGTATATCTTCTTATTGACTATTAAATATAGTCAATAAATTCATATATCTTCTTTTGAGAAATGTCTTTTTAAGTCTTTTGCCCATTTCTAATTGAGTTGTTTTGTTGTTGTTGAATTGTAGAAGTTCTTTGTATATACCAGAACTAGTCCCTTATCAGATATATGATTTATAACAATACTCACTTATCCTGTGGGTTACTTCTTTCTTGATTGTGTCCTTTAGTTTTGATGAAGTCACATTTACCTAGTTTTAATCTTGTTGCTCATACTTTTGGTGTCACATCTAAGAAAACACTGTTTACTCCAAGGTTATCAAGGTTTATACCTATGTTTTCTTCTAAGAGTTTTATAGTTTTAGCTCTTATATTTAGGTATTTGATCTATTTTGAGTCAGTTTTGTGTATGGTGTGAGGGAGAGGTGCTCCCCTTATTCTTTTACCAGTTTCAGCGTCATTTGTTGAAAAGACTATTCCTTCTGCCTTTTGAATTGAATTTTATTGACACCCTTGTCAAAAAACAATTGACTGTAAATATGAGGGTTTATTTCTGGACTCTGAATTCTATTCTGTTCATGTATCTGTGTATCCTGTGTTAGTACCACAATTTCTTGATGTATTATATCCTTGTCGTGAGTTTGAAATCAGGAAGTATGGGTCTGCCAGCTTTTTCACTTTTAATTTTTCAACATTGTTTTGACTATTCTGGGTCTCTTGAATTTTTACATAAATTTTGGGATCGGTTTGTCAGTTTCTGCAGAGTCGCTAGTGGGATGCTTTTAAGAATTGCATTGAATCTGTAGGTGATTCCTGGAAATACTGCTATCTTAGCAGTAAAAGTCCTCTGATACATGACATGGGGTGCTTTTCCATTTATTCGTGTATTCAATTTCTTTCAACCATGTTTGTAATTTCCAGATATGTTTTGCATCTTTTGTTAAATTTATTCCTAAGTATCTTACTCTTTTTGATGCTATTATAAATTGAGTTATTTTCTTAAATTTCATTTTCAGATTGTTCATTGCAAGTGTATAGAAATACAGTTGGTTCTTTATATGAATGTTGTATTCTGAAATCTTATTGAATGAGTTTAATAGCTAGTTGCCCTCTTGTGAATTTTTCTCCTTGTCCATCATACTGCTCCTTTATGAACCCCTTATCTGCATGGTCCTTCTTGAATGTAGCCAAAAAACTATGTGCTGAGAGCTGTTCAAGTGCTTGATTGCATTGTGTTACTCCCCACATTAGTCTCATAAACAACTTGGCATTATTATATCCATTTCCTAGCTAAAGCAACTCAAATGCAGAAAGTTTAAGTAACTTGCCAAGTTCTCTCAATAGCATATAACAGATTGGGCATGTGGTATTCTCCTTTCATTCTACATGCTCTCTCCCTGGAGAATTTTTGTTTATTATAGTGCTGTTTGTGTATGAATGGTATCCAGATATTTATCACTAGATGAGTCCTCTCTGCTGAACTTTCACACTAAATCCCAATCACCTACCAGATATCTCCCCCATTTGTCCCATAAACCTGACCCAATCACAGCTCCTTTCTCCTTGTTGTTTACTGTCATTTCTCTAAAGCTGCTTCTCTCTTCTGCCTTTTATCTTGATTGATGGTGAGTGCCACCACTCACTTGCTACCCCAAATTCACTCCTGGATGCCAGTTTACACAAGCTGTCTACCATGGCATGAGCATTAGCTCTATTTCCTCCATTTATTCCTTCCTATGAAGTTCTTTCTTCTGACTAACACGCCTTTCATCACTTCACCATCTGGCAAGTTCCAGCCCTCTGTGAAATGCTTCCTGAGGGCTCCAGGCAGAGCTAGATTCCCCACTAGGTTCTTATCCTGCCTTTGTTGATAACTAGATCACAGCATCTGCGAAGTGGGGCGTAATGTATACTTTCCTATGCTTGTCCCCCCTCTAATGCTGTGAGTGCTGTTGGGTAAGCACTGAGTTTGCACAGTATCTAGAAGACATTTTATAAATGCTTGTGAAATAAATGAATGGTTCTGACATGGAAGAAAATAGTTTACAATTTTTTTTTTTTTTTTTTTTTTGTGATGGAGTCTTGCTCTGTCACCCAGGCTGGAGTGCGGTGGCATGATCTCAGCTCACTGCCACCTCCACCTCCCAGGTTCAAGTGATTCTCTACAGTCTGGGTTTTTGTTAGTGAGTTGAAGATCACTATGGAGTTATTGGCCCAGGCCTATCTCATAAATGCACATTGAACTTTATACCCCTTCAACTTTCTGACTCCTGTTCATCTTTCAGATTCATGCTTCCATGCCACCTCCTTAGTGAAATTCTTCCTGATATCTCAAATTTCATGAAATTCCTTCAGACCTCTCTTTTGCAGCACTTGCTATGATATAATTTATTAAATATTTATGAAGTTATCTTTTGGATTGATGTCTGCTTTACTTGATTCTGAGTTTCATGAGAATAGAGATCCTTCCTTAAGTCTGTCCTCTGCACAGTTGTTTTCTGGCCGCTTGTCCACAGCCTGGTTTAGTGGAAGCTCAGTGGATATTTCTCTGGGTAAATGAATAATTGTAGCCATGAATACTTTATTTTATGTTTAGCATTTACTTCCTATGTGTTCGTTGCCAGTTTAATAATGGAGACACCTTAACATAGCTGACCACATATTCAGCAAACTCATAAAGAGTGTATGTGCTGTGAACCAAGAGATCTTTGAGATACATTGGGATGCAGAACTTGTTAAGATATGTTCTCTTCCAGCTAGATGCTTATGCTCTAGTCTGGAGCTACATAACCATAATACAAGGCAAAACGAGTGAGGAAACTCCCTTCTAAGCAAAAAGAGAGCTTCATTCTGAGGATGTAGAAAGAAGCTTAAGATTAGATTCCATTGTCCATTTTCTATGGTTTAAATGTGTTCCCTAAAAGTGCATATGTTAGAAATGTAATCCTCAAATGTGTATGTTCATGGTATTTGGAAGTGGGGCTTTTAGGAATAGATGAGGTCATGAGGAGGCTGGGCAATGCCTGTCATGGCATCAGTGGCTTTATAAGACAAGGAGAGAGACCCTAGCTGACATGCTTGCTCTGTCTTATCATGCCATGCCCTCCAGTATGTTATGAGGCAACAAAAGGCTCTCACCAGATCCAGCTTCTTCATATTGGACTTACCATCCTCCAGAACTGTAAGAAGTAGATTGCTTTTAAAATTATTTCATCTGAGGTATTCTGTTATAGTGACAGAAAACAAACTAAGACACGATTGAGTTTTTTTAAAAAAATTGTGGAAAAATTTATCACAATGCTTCACCCTTGAATTAATCATAATTATCTCATAAGCATTTAATAAACTTCACCAAACTCCTAAGCAGACTCTTCTGCCATCTTTTGGTGTTAATGAACTTCCTAACAGTCTTTTATATTTTCTGTTAGCATTGATGTTTCCTTAGCTTCTTGGAGGGTTTGGGATTCCAAAGTGCATGCAAGAACAGCTGAGTATTGAATCGAGCAGATTTGTAGGCAGACGCATGAGGCAAAATGAGAAGGTGGAATACCTCAGTCCAGGGCTTTGACCTGATGTTCTGTCTGTCAGGAGAACATATTCACTGCACAAATGCATTTCCTTCCATTGGTAGTTATGTTTAATATTTTTACTGGACTCTAAAACTTATTTGCTTCAGTAAAGCTTTTTATTGTTTTTCCAAAGTTGCCCTAAAACTAGAAAGGTGAAAAGTCAGCACAATGCCTGCTTGCTGAGAAGAATGAATTCCATGCTTCACATTACCATGTTACTTATCAACTTCAGTTTTAAAAATGTATCCAAATTGTGTAATTCTCTATTTTGTTTGGTGTTATATGTCCTTCCTTACCGAAGAAGGTACAGAATGAAAAAATTTTGATAGATTGTAAATTAAGAAGGCACATCTACACATCCCTGAATAAAAATAAATATTAAACTAGGGGTGAAGTTTGTGATGAAGAGTTGCTGCATTCTCCTCATTTTTAATGACCCTTAAAAAGTAGTTTATGCTACTATCCTGGTAATACCTGATTCCTTATGTTTCTTAAAAATAAAGCTTATATAATCATCTTAATTTTGATGAATGAAATGACTATCCACACTTATTAGTTAACTCTTCATACTTAATGGAGACAATCTATACTATGGCCTGAGTAACGCCCAAGTCACTGGGACCAGCTCTGTCTACAGACAGCTTATGGGATGGGCATTGACATCCACAATGCTTTGGTTGTATCCTAGCCTTCCCTCTTATTGCTGTGTAACATCAGAGACATTCCATTCCCGATCTCTTCCTTGTTTCCAGTTTCATCATTGTACAACAGAGCTAATGGCACCAACTCCTGCAGAGTGGTGAGGATTTCATGAGTTAATATAAACACTGAATAAATATTAGAACATCCTTTTCCCTCATTCATCTCCCTCTCCCAGTATTTCTCACACACACACACACACACACACACACACACACACACACACACACACATTATGATGACCAGTATATTGGGTACTCAGTACTTCAGGTAAAACAGCAAAGATATGCTGCTGTTGATGATGGTGATGTGTGTGTGCATATGTGTGTTTGTGTTTTTACGGGGGTAGTTAATTTATCTTCTCATTGCCTTTCCTTGGTGCTGTCTCTCGGGCTCACTTTGCATCTTTTACCTGGGCTTAGGGCCTATGTGGGAGCAAAGATGCTCATTGTCATGGTCCAATAAAGAGAAACAGATGGGCTCCAGTGAGCCCCTGAGTAGATCGTCTGTCCTTTTGAAAACGGCGGATTGACCAAATTTATTGGATTTAGAATTGTCGCTATTTTAAATGTTATCACCTCCCATTTTTAAGCTATCAAAAGAGGGTAGAGCTATCCTTATTAATGTTTTTATATTTTAATTATTAATTCTTTCAAACATCTGGTTCCTTTGCTAGGTGCGTCCTGGCTGAGAGTTGGAGCTCTCCAGCAACATGCCTGAGCAGAGTAACGATTACCGGGTGGCCGTGTTTGGGGCTGGCGGTGTTGGCAAGAGCTCCCTGGTGTTGAGGTTTGTGAAAGGCACATTCCGGGAGAGCTACATCCCGACGGTGGAAGACACCTACCGGCAAGTGATCAGCTGTGACAAGAGCATATGCACATTGCAGATCACCGACACGACGGGGAGCCACCAGTTCCCGGCCATGCAGCGGCTGTCCATCTCCAAAGGGCACGCCTTCATCCTGGTGTACTCCATTACCAGCCGACAGTCCTTGGAGGAGCTCAAGCCCATCTACGAACAAATCTGCGAGATCAAAGGGGACGTGGAGAGCATCCCCATCATGCTGGTGGGGAACAAGTGTGATGAGAGCCCCAGCCGCGAGGTGCAGAGCAGCGAGGCGGAGGCCTTGGCCCGCACATGGAAGTGTGCCTTCATGGAGACCTCAGCCAAGCTCAACCATAACGTGAAGGAGCTTTTCCAGGAGCTGCTCAACCTGGAGAAGCGCAGGACCGTGAGTCTCCAGATCGACGGGAAAAAGAGCAAGCAGCAGAAAAGGAAAGAGAAGCTCAAAGGCAAGTGCGTGATCATGTGAAGGCCCTTCCTGCGGGAGGAGCAGCTGTGTGTCCCCGGCACCTCACTCCCCCAAAATGACACCCACCGTCGTCAGGGTAGCATGTATAATGCCCACGTGTTAAACATTGCATTTAATCGAGATGCGTCCTATTGTCCTTAAGAGGGCGTTTCACACCACCAACAGTAAGCCACCCACTCTGGAGTCACAGAATCTGCCAGGCGGTTCAAGTGAAAACCAACACACTCAGCATCCCTGGGAACTGAGAGGTGCCAGCAATTGCTGAAGGTGGCGATGAACACCCGAAGGTGGGAGGGAGGACTGGTACCCACAAAGCAACATGTACCGAGAGGACTAAATGTCATCTACGTGCATGTGAGAGCGTGTTAACCTAGAGTTACCTGCACCAACCCCAGACAGAAGCCAATCACATCTTTGGGGGAGGGGAGGGGCAGGAAGAGGTGAGAAGATCAGATGGTCCAAAGTGGACCACACTTGGTCCATTTTACACTTTTTTAAAGGGGATTAAAAAACACAGCCTCTCCCCCAAAGGGTGTCCGTTCTTAATTCCCACCTGGCCTGTTAGGAGCCTTGCTACCCTGAGGGGATGTGTTCACCTTACCTAGACCTAGTTAGGAAGTATCATTTTAAGCTATTAGAGTATTTATCTTCATGTGCAGGGATAAGTGCACTAACAGTGTGCTGCTCTGTCGGAAGTTCTTCAGTTTTTAAGTGAGGATATCGTGACAGTATTAAAACATCGCAATAATGTTCCTGTGTGTTATACATCGAGGGTTTTAGAAATGTGATTTTCTTCTTTTGACCTGTGAGGAGTATAACTTCTTTCAGCCCTCAGATTTTAAATACAAGCAAATAAACTCACTATTTTTAGACGTTTTTTTCCTCCAAGGTGGTTTTCTTCTCTTAAATAACTCGATCTGTACCCAGCTGGGTAGCAGCCAGCAAAGGCCATCAGACAACCAGAAGCACATCCATTTTTGTAGTGTCACAAACATGTATATGCCACACTTTGCACCTTAATGAAATACTTTGAAACAGAAGTTATTCACTGTGTTTTTGATGATCTATCTGTATTGGAAATATGTTCCTGGAAAATGCATTTAAATAATAGTAAATTCTCTTGCATGTTCCATTATACGTGTCTTCTAAGAGCTGTTCAATACAGTATTCACTCTAGAAACAATTATCTTTTTCTCTTAATGATTTTGTGTGCATCTTTAATCTTTCAAGCCAAATTACAGCTATTTCAGGTTTCCTGTGTTAGCTTGGGGATAGGATGGTGGCTGGAGACAGGCAGGCTTCTCTGCCCTGGGAAGAGCCCACTCAGCTTAATTGCTCTGCCATCGTAGAGCCTGGTTGGACTTGGCTTCCTGAAAACTCCCACTGATAGTGCCTGTTAGATCTCCTGTTTGTTTCAGTTGGCAGAACATTTACTGGCCCCAACTGTGGCATCATCCTCTCAGCAGTCTTCCTGTCACCCGCCTGGCAGGCAGAAGGAGCTGCAGTCCCACGTGGGCCTGCCTGGGGGGGTGGGGGCTGCATGGCTGTTGGGTGGCAGTGTCAGCACAGGGAGGGCTTAAGTTGGGGATGTTTGACCAGGCCACCTCCTGCAACTGCTGTTTCTCCTGTCCCTCCTATGCAGGGCTTGCAGCAGCAGCAGTGTGGCCATCTCCATCCCCCAAAGCACACTTGCTCTCTCAATATGTCCTAGTTTTCTTCAGCCTTTTCTGGTTCAGTTCCCTTGTCCTGATCTCATCCTCTCTGGTCTCCCAATAACTCACCCTTGGGATGTGTTTAGAGCGTGGGAGGTGCCTTTGAGAACTGCTTGACTCCATGATCTCCTAGAACAAAACCGCCCTGACTTTACAGGGGGAACACTCATGCTGAGCTGAGAAAGCAGAGAAGTGGCGTGGGAGCCAGCTGGGGGTGAAGAGCATTTGGGCCAGTCCCGTGGCCCCCTTCAGATTCCTCAAGCAGGATTGTTCTGTTCTAAAAAGCTGTTGCACAGCATTCGCAATGAGATCTTTAGTTGGCGGATTTTCTGGAACATTTGTTTTTCAACTTGTCCCGACATTTTTTTTCTGTTTCTATTCTGAGAGAGAGATGATCAAGTTTTAATTTGGGTATAGGTTAAATGGAAGAAGAAACAGAACTTCATGGCCAAAGTAGACCTATAGATTTTGATTGGGTTCTTTGTTAACAGTAGAATGCGATCTTTGCCACTGACTGTAGTATTAATAAGGTTTTAATGTGAGATATTCCTGCAAACCATCCCATTTCTACTGATTGTAAGTCAGAATTTCTTTTATCCCTTTCAAATCAGTTTCTACATGTTTAAGTGTTCAGGGCTTCATCAGCATGAGAAGTTTGTAATTACTGAAAGTCTGATTTCATTCAGGACACATTTTTTCCTTCATATTTTTTCTGTGAATTTATAGGCTAGGAAGGCTATTGAAGCCTCAATTATGGGTCTTCATTTTGAGATCGTTTTCTATGAGCTGAACTGAGGATATCAATGGTTATCTCAAAATCGTCTTTTAGGAGATCCCCAATTGACTCAGAGTTTGAGGAGTTAGTATCACAGAATTAGATTTTTTTAAAGCATTTGTACGTTTCCATTCCCAAATATGTAGCTGTGGTTCTTGAAAACACATCCTACATTGCATATGGGCATAGCAGTTTTTGACCCAGGCAGAATAAGTTAATATTTAATTAAATATTGCTTTGAAGATGGCGCTCTGGGCATGAGCATGGGGCTCCATGACTTCCCTTCTATCCCCATGAGCCCCTCCTCCATCCAGCGACAAGCCATGGGCATGCATACAATGCAGCAAGACCAACACAAGAGCAATATTGAATTGTTCATTCTATCTAAAATTACATGTATATAAAATATATAATTTATCTTCCTGCATTTTTGAAGTATAAAGTCATAAATTGTACATATCTGTAAGCTAGTATATTTGTTTCACTGTTTGTAATATTTAAGAAATGCTCATTCTTTGTAGAACAAAAATGTATTAAATATTTTAAAAATTGCTCTGTGATACTTAATTTTTTTCCCCAAAATTTGTAATGTGTTGCTTCTACATAAGTTCTCTGGAAATATCTACAACTAATAGGACACATGTAAATCCTTGAAGACACATCCTGGAATTCATACCCCACAAGGACAGTGTGTATACAAAGTATTTGCAGAGCATGACTTTTATATGTGTGGGATATCAATGTGTATATTTATATTTAAAGTGTATTTATTGTTACAAGTCTATTCTCTATTATATTTTATTTACTCTGCGGTTATAAAAATCACCCTTGCATACAAGTTTCTAGTTGCCAGTGATGTTCTGGAAATAATGGGAGATATTACAATAAAGCTACAGTTATGACACCCTGGCTGGAAGGTGGTGCTATTTCTTAAGGGGTTAGCTGGTCTAGGATGACCTTGACTTGGTGACCCCTCAGCGGCTGTTATGTGCTTATGACCACAATAGGAGGATATCAGGCTCTGTGCAGAACTAGCAATAGGCAACAATAACTCACCCTGGGGTGTCCCGTGAAACTTTCCCATTGCTCCCTGTCTTTGGGTGGAAATGAAGCAGAAGATCCAGACAGGTTAAGGTGAGAGAGGGAAGGAGTAGGGCAGGGCCTTACTTGTGTCAAAATAGAAGAAGTGAAGACAAACTCCCTTCTCTTTTTTTTTAATCCTGCTTTCCTCCACAACCCCAGGCTATTAAATTGTAAACCAAATATAAAATTCTAAGCCCCCCAACTGACTGATGGATGCTTCCCTTGGCCAAGGGCATTCCAAAGTTAACTCAAAAACTAGTTCAGGCCATGATGGGAAGTGGGGATCAGACATGCCTCATTATATCCTACTCCTCTTGGAATTCAGGCACAACTGACCAGCATTAACATTAAAACATCTGAAGAATGATAGACTGTTTGGGTCTGGTAGGAGGAATTTCCTTCTATTGATTCTTTCTGCATAATAGGAACCTTGGTTTCCATAAGCCCTTATCTTAATCCAGACATTCCCTTCTACTGATTCCAGTCTTTAGATAATAATCTAACTCTTTCAACCAATTGCCAATTAGAAAATTCTTGAATCTACCTATGACCTGGAAGCCCCCACTTTGAGTTATCCCACCTTTCTGGACCAAACCAGTGTACATCTTACATGTATTGATTGATGTCTTATGTCTTGCTAAAATGTATAAAATGAAGCTGTAGCCAGATCACCTTGGGCACATGTTCTCAGGATCTCCTGGGGTTGTGTCTAGGATCATCAGTCACTCATATTAGGCTCAGAATAAATGTCTTCAAAAATTTTATAGAGTGATTCTTTTCATTGACAAAATGATGGTGTTTTAAGTCTGGGACAAGCCAATGCCTGAGACATGGAGTTGCAGCAGAGCAAGAGGTTTAATTGTAGGGTCACCCAGTGAGGAGATAGATAGGAGGAAACCTCAAATCCATCTCCCAGAGGGCTGTGGGGCTAGTGATTTTAAGGGTTTTGGAGTGGGCCACAGCATGAAGTGTGGAAATCATTGATTGGTCAAAGAGTTTGGGGTGAAGTCGTGGGATGAGGATGAAGAAGCTGCAATCTCATGCTGATTCCGTCCTTCTGTGGGGTCTTCAAATTGGGTGCTGGAATTTGGGGGCTGAAAAAATCTTAAGTGATCCTTAAACAAAAGCCTTATGATTCTAATGTCAGAGGTCCTGTCTATGGGAACAACAGGGATGCAGATCAATTCTTAAACCATCTTATAACCTTAATGCCAGAAATCTTATCTACAGGAACGAAGAGATACAAATGGTCAGGATCTAGTGCTACGTGACTTTTAGCAACAAGGAAGTGGGCCAAAGTGCAGCCTGATTAATGTTTAATTATTATTCTATTTCTATCCAGAACCTGGCATGCCATTCTTGTCAACCCTGTGGGGACAGTTTCTGCCCTAGCATTGTTGCTGAGTACTGCTTCTGTTTGGTCTTTATTTCTCTTTTTCCACACTAATTGTGAAATAAAGCTTAATTTTGATGATGCAGGAAAAATCCATCAAACACTAAAAACGAAATCCTCACTCTGCCACGGAATGGCTAAGTGACACTGGGGAGGTTCTTGCCCTCTTAGTGCTTCTGCAAAATGGGAATGATTAACGTCTGCAGGGTGGTGGCCCTGAGGGTTAATTTAATGATAAGCACAAAGCACAGAGCTGGCTTGTCATATATTGAGCTTTCAGAGGAAATATACAAAAATCTGCTGACTATGTAGCATTCTATCTGGAAGGTTGGCGGCAAAGTGAAAATCAAACTACCCAAGTACAAAAACCACCAGAAACTTCCGCTTCTTCCAGCCTCTTTATCAACAGCTTTCCAGGTCTTGCTGTCTGCATGCCCCTCCCTACTCCAACCCTCCGCCCAGCTTCAGGTCATTATTGCAACATTAGTCAGGGCTCCAATTTACGGAGATAATGACAATCAGCCGACCCTATTAGGTATCATTAAAGGGTATTCTGGTGCTTATCAAACTTTAATGTGCAAATGAAGTACTTCAGGGTCTTGTGATTCCATAGCCTCTGAGGCAGCAGGGCCGAGTGGGGCCCGGGAGTCTGCATTTCTATCAGGCTCCTAGGTGATGTCCCTGCTTCTGGTCTGAGACCACACTTTGACATGCAAGGCTGTAATCTACTTGCTCTTTAGTTTTGTTGCACATGAGAATCACTTGGTAAAGGAGTTTTGCAAACTATTGATAACCAGACCGCCTACCCCTCACAGAAACTGTGTGTTAGTAGGTAATTTTGATATGGAATTGAATTTAAGAATCACTGCTGTTAGCCAAGTTTAGTTGGGAATGCCTGCCAGCTCCCTAAGTCTTGGGGCGGGATGGAGATGGGAGTAGGCTTTGTTAAATCAAGTTCCTCTTTAGTGACTTTTTTCAGTCAGTGGTATTGAGGGTCTCGGCTTTCTCTATGTAGAACATTTTCCAAGGTTAGCATTGAGAGAAAATTGTAATTCAGGTATAGAGCATCTGCCCACATGCTCTACCCTGGGGAGTTCCATCAGGGCTACGTGGGCAGTGATGTCCCTGGTTGTGGGTCTGAGCCCCAGCAGCCATCTGGAGCACCCCTCCTTGCCCTCCTGATCTAAGCATGGCACACTCTCTATTCTTAACAACTCCTCAATCTTCTTCAATGCCTGCAAATACTGAAGACAGGTGCCCCTAAAACCATCTTTGCAAAAATTATGACAGTGAGAAAAATCTGACATAGGAAAATTATGAGTGAAAGAAATCTGACCTAAGAGACTCCATCTTGCTTCTAACCTCCAAGCTGCCCTTATTTATTCCTGGGCTTAGGCCAAACTAAATTTGGGATGAATTTATAGTTTAACTTTGAAACATAGATAATAATAGCTCCTCCTTGAGCAAACTTCTCCTTGCCTGGAGACCAGACTTTTGCAAAACTAACAAATTAACCACAAGATTAGAAATTATTATTATTATTATTATTATTATTATTATTATTATTATTATTATTTGAGACAGAGTCTCGCTCTATTGCCCAGGCTGGAGTGCAATGGCATGATCTTGGCTCACTGCAACCTCTGCCTCCCAGGTTCAAGCAATTCTCCTAACTCAGCCTACCGATTAGCTGGGATTATAGGCAAGCACCACCACACCCGGATAATTTTTTTATTTTTAGTAGAGTCAGGGTTTCACCATGTTGGCCAGGCTGGTCTCGAACTCCTGACCTCAGGTGATCCACCCACCTCAGCCTCCCAAAGTGCCAGAAGATTAGAAATTATTATGGCTCAGAAATCATGCAGCCAAAGGCCACAAGATTTCTAACCTCTCCAATTTTTCCTATATATAATAATTCTACTGTAAAACCTAAGATTGATGTTCAAGATATTTTTCAGACCCTGCATTCCCATGGACCAGCTGGTGCCACCCAGACTGGTAAACTGGCTCATCTGGTCTTGTGGACCAGCGCAAGAGGACAGCCTTGACTCCCTGTAATGCCATTCCTAACCCAACGCATGAGTACTTCCCATTCTCCAGCACCCTGTCCACCAAACTACCTTTTAAAAACCATACCCTCTGAATTTTCAGGGAGGCTCATTTGAGGAATAATAAAACCTCCAGTCTACCGCTTAGCCATCTCTATGTGTATTAAGCTCTTTCTCTATTGCAACTGCCCTCCCTTGATAAATCGGCTGTCCCTGGGCAGAGGGCAAGATGAACCTGTCAGGAGGTTATGCCCCCATCAATTCTGCCTTGGCTTTGCCGACTTGCTGTTGCCCCAGATACTTTGAATGTGGGGTCCGTGGCCGCAGTTCCTTGCATTCAGCACTCCATGGCTGCTGCTGCAGCCACATCCACAGGATTCCTTTAACCCACGGCACTGGCTCTGCCCTGCCAAGGTTGCTGCTTCAGATCTGGGCATGAACTCTCATGCCTTCACTTTTTCACATCTCTGGATTGTCCTCATTCACTTTTCCATTTCCATTTACCTTTCTTAACTACAAGGAGTCTTTGCCTATCCTAGTCTATCACAAGTCACTGAGGGGCCCGAAGAGGCAGGCATCTGCCTAAGACATTTTAACATAAATTCTATTGTCACAATGATAATAATTATCATTATTGTTGCTATTATTTGTTTGCTCTTCTAACTCCTCACAGTCTGCCTCAAACAACATGGAGTTAGCTTAGGTGTAGGAAAACAGAGGAACCCACCATACTCCAACTTAACTTCTATAAGGAGAGATGGGGAGCTCAGAAAAAAAACCTAGTGGAGATAGAACTGTTTGTCATGAATGTAAGATGAAAGTTACGCAGTTTCTTTGTTAGGGGGCAACACAGTAGATGTGAAATGTGTTATTTGCCCTTGCCAAAAATCAAGACTATATCTTTTGCAGTCCTTTTAATAAAAAGTACACATTAGCTTTCAAGAAGTACCTCTCCAAATGTTCACGTGCGCACACACGCACACACACACGACATGCACACACCCCAACAGAAATAAAACAGCCCCCGAAGTTAGATACTACAAAATATCTCAAATATCCCCATTTCAATCTTAGCATAAGGATAAGGAACTCAGAGTGGGCTGGAGAATGGGCTTTAAGATATCATTGTCACTGTAAAACTGGCAACACATAATTACAGAGTGAATGTGTCAAAATGTACTGCTTTGATTATGTTATTTCCTCTGCTTGGAAATCCCTTCTTTCTGTCTCCCTGTCCATCCCTGCATATGAACATCTTTCCTATACTAAGGCTGCCCTCAGATGGCCCCCTCTATGCTTTTCCCAGTCATTTAAGTCAAAAAAAAGGATTTTCTCCCTCTTTGAAATGTTTCTTGGGTCTTGCTTTCTTGACCTTTCTGGCTTGTAGGACGTTTTGTTATACAGAAATGATTTCTTCATAATTCTGACTTGTTTGAAATTTAACCCAAGTTCATTTTTTTTTTTTTTTTGAGATGGAGTCTCACTCTGTCGCCCAGGCTGGAGTGCAGTGGCGCGATCTCGGCTCACTGCAAGCTCCACCTCCCGGGTTCATGCCGTTCTCCTGCCTCAGCCTCCCGAGTAGCTGGGACTACAGGTGCCCACCACCATGCCTGGCTAATTTTTTGTATTTTTAGTGGAGATGGGGTTTCACTGTGTTAGCCAGGATGGTCTCAATCTCCTGACCTCGTGATCCGCCTGCCTCGGCCTCCCAAAGTGCTGAGATTACAGGCGTGAGCCATAGCGCCCGGCCCCCAAGTTCATTATTGAACCCTCTCAGCAACCTGAACTATGCTTTGGACCAATAAGTATCCCATGCACATTTGCTAGATTGAGCAGCAAAACCCACCTGACTGCTCACGGTGATAATCACCTGTGCAGTTCTCTGGGTCTTCCCATTCTTCCCCATTCTGGGCACAGAGTAAGATTGCACTTCCTGGCCCTCTTCTTGGTGAGATTTGACCATTTCTGCCATGGAGTTGTGAGTGAAGGAGGCCCCTGATTTTAGGCTGGAGCATTTCATTGCCCTCTCCCCAAGGAACAGGCAGTGTTCCAGAGAGGGGTCGCTCTCCTGACTTGCTTTTCAGAGTGAGGGCAAGGCTGAGATGGGAGCAGAGGTCCCTGCTAACCTGCGATAGATTTAAAGTCTGTGGGAGAAATAAACCTTTGTTGTTTTAAGCCTTCAAGATTCTGGAGTTGTTTGTTACTGGGGCGTAACCCAACCCATCTTGACTAATGTGTTACCTCTGTTTATAGTCTCAGAGATTAGCATTTCCTTCTTGTCAACTTTTTCCTTCTAAGATTCAAATGAGAAGTTGCTAAAATCTGTACAATGTAAATAAATACAGTACAATGGAGGTTGAAGTTCTTAAGAAATTTAAGAAATGCCAGAAACTCATAAAGTGTTTTTTTCCCCATTCCTTTTAGCAGGTTATAAAAAAGAATATTGTCAAATTTAGGCTGACTAGCGTTAGCAAGAAATAAATTAGACTACAGAAATTATGCAACGAAGTCAGTTGGATAAAAAGTACTCAGGTATTCTACACTTTTTTGTCTTTGCCTGGTAAGTCTGTATTGTTCAAGATATTCGGCAATTGAGTAGTCTGTAAGGATTTACATAGTTTCCAAGGAAAATGTAGTGAAGTTTGTTTCTTCCTATAAATTTAAAGACGTGAAATATAAAACTAATTGACATTTATCAAAATTCCATTGAGACCCTAACAGTAGTGTTGACAACAGCATTTGCAGAGACAGTGGGACCTTTGTCATGTCATTGAGGCAGATACTCTATTAAACATTATGCATTTCATCTTGGCTAGTATATGGGAGGCTTACCTGACAGAAATAATTTTTTTTTTCTTTTTCTTTTTCCTTTTTTTTTTTCTTTTTTTTTGAGATAGACTCTCACTCTGTCACCCAGGTTGGAGTGCAGTGGCACAATCTTGGCTCACTGCAGCCTCCATCTCCCAGGTTCAAGCTATTTTCCTGCCTCAGTCTCCCAAGTAGCTGGGTTTACAGGCGTGTGCCACTACACCTGGCCATTTTTTTGTATTTTTAGTAGAGACAGGGTTTCACCATATTGGCCAGGCTGATATCGAACTCCTGACCTCAAATAATCCACCCGCCTCAGTCTCCCAAAGTGCTGGAATTATAGGCGTGAGCCACTGTGCCCAGCCTGACAGCAGTAATTTAAGAAATGAAGGTTGTCATATGGAGGTTGCTGAGGAAAGGTGCCCAGTGAGGGTGCTCAATCAACTGCATGCTTTTTGCCAGTGATTGTGGTTCTCCTGTTCAGCCCACCACCACCGGACTGTCCCTGTATTTAAAATTCCCCCAAAAATACCCTATGTCTCATTTGCTGGCTTTAGGTCTCTTTGGTCTCTTGAACCTGGTGCCATCCCTACTGAAGTGAGCAGGGTTTTGACATGACAGCTAGTGTATTTTCATGTTTGTTGCATGTACTTTCTTATGTTTGTTAAACTGCATTTTTCCTTTATATTCCTAACTCATGGTTCAGTGAATCATGAAGGTCGAGATAAAATAGTAGCAAAATACTAAACTTATAATGTCATAAAGCACCGTGAAGCTTTCTGTGCCTACAGTCCATCTGTCAGTCTGTAAGTATGATAATTTTCTAAGTCAAAAAAATGTAAACTAGTACACGACCACAGTCGAAAACAGTGTGGAGATTCCCTAAAGAACAAAAAGTAGATCTACCATTTGATCCAGCAATCCCACTTCTGGGTATCTCCCCAGAGGAAAAGAAGTCATTATACAAAAAAGATACCTGCACATGCATATTTATAGCAGCACAATTTGCAATTGCAAAAATATGGAACCAGCCCAAATACTTATCAATCAATTAGTCGATAAAGAAAATGTGGTATGTGTATGTGTGTGTGTGTGTGTGTGTGTATACGTATATATGTATATGTGTATATATATATATATATGTATATATATACACCATGAAATACTACTCAGTCATAAAAAGGAACAAAATAATGGCATTTGCAGCAACCCGGATAGAATTGGAGACCATTATGCTATGTGAAGTAACTTAAGAATGGAAAACCAGACATTTTATGTTCTCACTCTTAAGTGGGAGCTAAGCTATGAGGACCCAAAAGCATAAGAATGACACAGTAGACTTTGGGGACTCGGGGGATAGGGTGGAAGGGGGTTAAAGGATAAAAGACTACACATTGGGTACAGTGGATACTGCTTAGGGTGATGGGTATACCAAAATTTCAGAAATTACCACTAAAGAACTTATTCTTCTAACCAAACACCATCTGTTCCCCCAAAACCTATTGAAATAAAAATTTAGAAAAATTTTAAATGTCCCCCATGCCAAAAAAAAAAGTGTGTATAGGAGATAAGACACAAATATCTGAAGATTTGATATTTTGGGTCTGGATTCCTCATGACAATGCATTGATCTTTATGAAAGTTTATCAATTCATTAAACTTCTACCACTACTGGTACACCAATCAAGATCTTATTTTTTAACAGAACAAATGCAAAGTAATACTGTGCAAAATTTGAAATAAATGAGTTTTTAAAAGAAGATAAATAACCCAAGTTATACATTTTGTAGCAGAAAGAGACATAAGTAATATAACAGAGACCTATGAAACCAAACTCAAAGTTTTTTGCAAAATTTCTCAGGGAGAAAGAACAATTGGTCTTTAGTTAAAATTCCTTTCCTTATTGTTGGATATCATGTAACATTAAAAGCACACAATGTGGAAGAGCACAGCAATAGGGTGTTAGCTGATTCTGTTTCATGCTTGGATCAGCTCATCATATGCTGGTGGAACATATGAGCGGTCAACAGAGAATCCACGCCACATAAGAAGATGTTCCGTTATTGTTATTTGTTTAATTAGTGTTTATTTTTTAATAGAGGATATGGGCTGAGAAAGTACACTGGGGTCAGGTCCAGCGGGGACTCATGATGACTGGTATGAAAAGGGAGGATTTTACTTAAATGCCAGATCACATGCTGCTTTATTTTGCAGAGCAATTGCTGATTAACAATATGCCTCCTGCCCTTGATGTATTATTTCTTGTTCAAGGAAATAGTGAAAGTTGTGAACATAACTAAATCATGTCCACCAACATGTTGTGGTCTGCTATTTTTAGCAAAACAGGTGGAGGGGCAGAGGATTGATCGAGCACCCTGATTTTCAGCACTGAGCATGATGACCCTTGAAGGGAAAGGCACTTACCATGGTTTTGATGTTACAGATGGGTAAAACTGTTTTCTTTTAGTTATTGATAATATCAGTAGCATGATCAAATGACATATTTTTGAGACACAATGAGTACCTTGACAGACAGGTATTATGGTTTTTCTTCTGTTAAGGATAGTGCATTATCTGTGATGAAGTCTAGCTGAGTACAACAGAAAAACATCAAATAATAGTTACTTAAAAAACAGATTTTCATTATTTGTTCCATGAAAGGAGTCCATGGTTCCACGAAATCATGAGCTATCCAGATTATTTAGATAATTCATCTTCCCCATGCTAGATAGTTCTAGGTTGTGAGTGTGGGCTGCATCCTAATGGCCCATGATGACTACTGGAACCCCAGCCATCAAATCCTCTGCAGCTAGAGGAAGCACTCAGAAGAAAGCATGCATCCTCCACAGCACTTCGGAGAGCACTGTAAGCAAGCAGCTGACCTGATTCACGTGGCCACTGCTAATAGCCAGGGAGAATCAGCAAAGGCTCGGTCTTTTTTTTATCTTGGAGGCCATACGCTTACCTAGAAGTTGGGGATTTTTTATTAAGAAGAGAAATATGGGTATTGAGAGCAACTGGATGTTTTAAAATGTAGGTTTTATTATTATTCAGGTATGGTGAAACCAACAGATCAGGAGAGGGCTACCTTTGAAAAGTTAGCTGTTACAGTTCCTAAGAGGAGGAGGCATGCAATGCCAGGTGGGGCCACCCGGGGAAGTACAAGGCTCAGTGAGGAGGCTGAGAGAGGAGGGGAGAAACCTGCACAAGAGCCTTTATCATGTGGCTTCTGCAGGAAAGGCAAGGCAAGTCAGGGCAAGCAGGTTTAGGATTGGCTAGCTTGAATAATTTCAGCAGGCTCTGGGACAGGAGGGCTATCTCTGGACATCTGGTGCCTGGCCCTGGAATGATTAGGGAAGGAAGATGGTGGCCTAGATGGTGAGAACCTGAGAGAGAAGGTGGGGGAGGAGGTGGGCGCTAGGTTGGTGGTTTGCATACACGAGGTGTGCTCACAGGGAGTCATTTACTGCTTTTAAAAGTAGGCTAATCTGCATAGGATGCCTCCAGGGTCATCCAGATATCAAAGCATCAGAAATACAGAAAATAAAAAAGCATGATTAGTAAACTGCCAATCTCTGTCTTAGATAGGACATCAAGATTTCATGAGAAGGTAAAATGGTTCAATCATCAGCATTTCCCTAATATTTTACGATTTTTCCAAATTTGTTAGAGAAATGAAACAATGCCATATTGTGAATAATTTAAGAGTGTATCCAAACGCTGAAAAAAAGAGCATGAGGAGACACTTTCTAAAGCCAAATGAAATAAGTGACTAGAGTAAGAATCCATTTGCTGCCATCTTTTCGTTGAAATTTTAACCTCTGGCTTTTGGGTATGTCATGCTCTTTGGCTACCATTAGGTAAACACTGAAAACAGGGTCCACTGAGAGGTCTTTCCCCCTTTCTGGGTCCATTTTTAATCATAGTGCCCAGAACTGCCTGCCAAAATAATCAACCACTGACTGTCACTCATAATGAGCCATTCTTCCTTTGACTTAGGAGCTTCTAATTTGGTAGGCATATATTAATAGGACCAATAAAAGACTGTGACTAGGCAATGAGATGTGACAACCTTATGAAAAGATGAGAGCACATGCTAGTGTCTGGGGACACTGCTACCCCCAAGCATACGACATTTTCCCGTGGGGTCTGTTCAATTGTCCCATGGTTGAGAGACCACAAGGGCATCCAGGTCCCGAGACCTCTGTTTAGGGGGCCTTTAAGTGTCCAGACTGTTGCATGGTACGAGTGGAGGAAGGCAGCACACCACATCCAAGGATGCATATTTCACTGTCCCTCCCAGTGGTACCCTGCTCCCTTGCAGTCAGTATGTTCTAGAGGACAGCTCCTACTGGGTCACAAACCGAAAGGTGCGCAGTTTTTCAACTGCATCCTGTGACTTGAAATGGGGTGTAGCAGGACTATTTCCACCTTGGCCAATGCTACAAATCAGGGTTCCCCTTTTCTTCTCTGGAGAACTGGTTGTTAAGATTTCACCAGCACACCATTGCTTGCAATGCACAAAGCATGTAACTCCTCCCCTTTGAGATGCCGTCATTCTTCATATCCTTCCTCTCCTGGTTCGGTGCTATCCATCTTCATCGTCCTCTCACAAGAACCTTCCTTGCAGATCTCCCAGCTTCTCAGTTACCAGCTGATTGTTAAATTCATCCTTAGGAATTATATTTGAAGAGTTTTAAAGAATTATAACCTGGAAAAAATGTGGTAAAAATTTGTGCTGCATTTTGGGAACATTTTTGGAAGCATTAAAAAAAAATTATAACCCTGTTGGCCCAGCATCCACTTTAGGCATATCTGAAACTAATGTGAAATATAAAAGAAATAATCTTACACTCAGGGATGCTCTTTGTAGCCTTAATTAGTAGAAGAGCGGAAAAAACCTAACAGTAGGATACAGCACAGAGTGGTGAGAAGCGATTGTCAGTATAGCCACCCTGAGGCACTGTCAGTGACTTAATTATCAAAAAAGTTTAAATCAGGTTCACTAAGTCAAGAAAGTGCGTGTTTTATATACTTTAAAAAATGCATTTTAATGGGAATTTTTTTTTCCGGTTAGTGCTCAATTAAGCCAGGAAATTAGATTACTCGGATCCCTCAATTAATTGAAGACTCCTCTAATTGAGATTTTTACAATCACATTTAAAACAAAAAGCCTTGTAGTGTCTTTAGAGTAGGGCTGTTTGTTTCTGCTGCAGGCGATGCAGCCTTTTTAGGTAGATAGAAAATAGCAATGTCAAAAGTCATCGAGAGCTATGATTGGGGGCAGATCCACACCCCAGTTTCCTCAACTGTCACTGGGAATTATGGTAATATCTCTTAAGGTTAAATGAAACCACACACAGGTAAAAGACTTGGCACAGTGTTGTCAATGGTAAACACTCACGTGTAACAGACATGATTATATTCACTCAGTGAGAGCTGTTCCCAGGCAGGATGCACAAGATAGTATCCAGCACCTTGCCTGATTCTAACCTGAGCACTATTTCTTTATGTCTTTATTTATTTTTCTGATTGTAACATCATGCTTTCTAATAATCAACGAGAATTGAAATATGTGGTTTAGAACGACTTTGCTATAGTTTTTCTTCCTTAGGTTACGTTTTCACTGTCTCTGTTCACATTCTCTTTTAAAATCTGCTGTTACTTTCTTTCACCCAGAACTCAAACTGGTGCTAAATATAGGTAATTTGAAATAGCTATTTTTACCCTTTCCTTTAAGGTTCCCTTTCCTTCTGAGTTCTTTGAAAGGAGGTGTGCGGTGGGCTCCTGCCCACTCTTCCTGATGGAGACCCAGGTGGCTCCTCCTGAGGTCAACAGACCTCCTTCCTCCTCCTCCGCTGCGGGACTGGCCAGGGGCTCCTGGTCACCTTGCTGTGGGCCAAGGTCTTCATGATAGGCCCTGTCCTCCCCATGACGCGGCACCTGATGGGTGTGATGCATGACAAGCAGGGGTGCCCTTCTCCTGAAGGCTTGTGCTCAGTTGCATCTGAAAGAAACCCCCAATGACAGTGGCTTGAGCACAGTTTTCCTCTTGAGTCATAAGGAAGTCTGCAGGAAGCATCCAGGGGTCCTCAGGATTTCTCTAGGCTTCTCCATCCTGGTTACTTGCAAATGGCTGCAGCAGCACCAATTGCTATGCCTTATTCTAGGTGGCCAGTGGGAGGAAAGGCAAAGGGGAAAAGAGATCCTGCCAGCCAAGTCAAACTCCTCTGCTTTCTGGAGCTTTCTGGAAGCCCCACCTAACAACCTCCACTCATCCTTCACTGCCCAGCACTGTCTCACAGGGCCACCCACCTACCGGTCTATTTATAAGACTATAAATAATCTTATACTCAGAGATACTCTTTGTAGCCTTAATTTGTAGAGGAATGGGAAGGGAGAGGGTCAGCTGTGAGCTGGGCACATTGCCACAGCTTGTGAAATTGGTATTCTGGCAGGAAAGGGGAAGGGGCCACCACTGCCTTGTCCCTTCATTGTTGACATAATCCCTGACACAACTGTGTGTTTTGATTCCATATCAGACATTATTGAACAATTGGGGCAACTAAAGGAGATTGTTTCATAGAAAGCGTCCTCATTTCCTAGCCTGGCTTGGTTGCTGCCTTTGTCAGAATGTCTCCGTCAACTCTTCATGAAACCCCACCCCATCCACAGAAGGGGGCTTGCCTCTGGACTTCACCCCCTTATTCCCTTACCCTTAGCAGCTGCCCAGTATCTGAAATATTTCCTCCCAAACAGCACTTCTCTACTTTGAGTAATGAACTGGTAACTTTGGAAAAAAAAAAAGATTGTGAACCTTGGGTGGAGATCTATATTACGTGTACTTAATGTTACTTAGTATGTCCAAATGCAGCGCTTGCTGAACTTCTTCAGCTTATAGTTTTATGCAACTTTAACACAAAAACAAAATTCCACAGCAGCTTCAAGTAAAACCGTTCAATCAATTAATATAAAATTAGCATAATTAGTCTAGTGGGAAATAGATATTTTTCCCTCCATGGCTGCTCTTGGTCAAATACAGCACCAATGGGTCTGATTCTGCAATTTTGCGGTGGCTACAGCAGATTATGCTATGTGCTAGCTCAATTATTCCAGCATATTTCTGTCTGCAAGTCACTGCAAAAAGCATTATTGCAAAGTGTATCAGATGCCATTTGGGCCCCATCTCTTTCTCACTCATGATAAAGAAAGTTAGTTTTCCTTGGTTCAAACGGTATCATAGCTACAAGGAAGCTTCAAGGTGGGATGCCACATTAGGTGATCCTCCAGTCCTGGCCAACTGTGCTCAACTCCTTCTGTCTTCCCTCCATTTCCCCACCAAAATTTCCCCTAGGCACTACCCAACATTAGAAACTTCCTAAGTACATGAAAACCTGGGAAAATTTAACTCTTGGTTTGATTAGGCTCTCAGTTAAGACCATCATCTACCAAGAATGGGGATGAAGTAGAGAAGCAGGGGAGTGGGGGAGGCCTTAGAGATTAGCAGCTACATGTCACTCATATTTTTGAGAATGAGACAACTCAATTGGGATATCCCAGTGCCTTGGGCCTTGGACATTAATTTAGCATCTGTGATGGTTAATACTGAGAGTCAACTTCATTGGATTGAAAGATACAAAATATTGGTCCTGGGTGTGTCTGTGAGGGTGTTGCCAAAAGAGATTAACATTTGAGTTAGTGGGCTGGGAAAGGCAGACCCACCCTTAATCTGGGTGGGCACCATCTAATCAGCTGCCAGCAAGGCTAGAATATAAGTGGGCAGAAAAACTTGAAAAGAGAGACTGGCCTAGCCTTCTAGCCTGCATCTTTCTCCTGTGCTGGGTGCTTCCTGCACTTGAACATTGGACTTCAAGTTCTTTGGTTTTGGAACTCAGACTGGCTCTCCTTGCTCCTCAGCCTGTAGATAGTCTATTGTGGGATCTTGAGATCATGTGACTTAATAATTAATAAACTCCCCTTTATATTATATATATATATATATATATATATATATATATATATATTCCATTTGTTCTGTCCCTGTATAAACCCTAACTGATTCATCATCTTAATTGTGTATGAAGTATGAGCAAAGCATGGCATAAGTGATCTGAGAAGGAAAAAAAGCCTATTCACTTATCAAGAGTGAAGTCTCAGGAGAGTTTAAGAGAGTTTAGCACACTGGAAAATCTGACCCTATGTATGGCAGTAAGGAACTTATCAGTCTCTTAGTAGAAGTACATTTTTACTATTTTGCTATATAATTTAACACCAAAATTTATTGACTCAAGTGGAGAAAATAATGGCCACACAGCATCCCAGCATTCTATCTGGGTTTATAGTCTCCATTAAGCAGCAACAGGGGACAGCAGGGGAAATGTTGTAGGTGTTGTTTCAGAATTATCTGTGCCATTTTTTGGTCAAATTGAATAGATTCCATTTGAATTCTGGTAGGAATCAAACTTCTCTCATCCTCCAGGAAGAAATGAGACTCTAGCTGAGGATCACTGGACCCATGAGTGCCATGAGCCACAAGGCACTGTTTAGGCCTTGGCTGCCCCACTTCATGTAACTGTAATGTGGAGTTGTTCTTGCCTTTAAATGTGACTTGGATGAATTCCTTCTCCTGGCCTCTCCTCTGCTCATTAAATGTAACTAACTCTGCCTAGTGTCAGAAAACAATTCTGGAAGTAAGTCTGAAAATAGTTCTGAAGAACTGAACTTCCTTATCATACCAGTCAGCATAGCCTATGTTATATGGTGATAACAAACAGCCCCAAATATCAGTGCCTAAAAACAACAAAATTTCATTTCTTGTCCTGCTGCTTTTCCTCTGTTCCTTAGCTGGGGCACTCCTCCAACAGGATCTAAGATGCTAATGTAGCCTTTATTCTCTGGAATGAAATGACACACATTGTTTCTGTCCATAAGTAATTGGCCAGAATTAGTCACATGTCTTTGCCCAAGCTCAAAAGAGCCAGAAAATACAGTCCCACCATGTTCCTAGAGGGAGGAAGCCAGTGAAGAAGGAAATAGCTATGATTAGCACTAATGATCACCCAAACATCCAGCATTCTAGCTGGGTACAGGGTCTCCATTGAAAGTCAGTGAAAATACAATGGGAAACTGGAATTAATCCTTCTATTGGTGGATTCTATCCTCATAGAATTCATAGTTTTTACTGAGAATATGCACTTTCAAAGGAGGACAAAAAAGCCTCTCTACTGAGAGTAGAAAATGAGACCATGTACCATTTGGGTAAGATGCTGTCTGCATAGCCAATCACCCCTGCCATTTTGGTCTACATTCACCAGTTATTTTGTTCAATTATGTTCAATTTCATGCAGCATGCAACTGGCTGTGTATTTAGATAAGATCATAATCAAAGTCTCATCAGAAGAGCTTGCTGAAGGAAGTCCCATTGCATAAGATTTTGGAGGCAGAAATATCCCTATATGAGTTAGATAGAGGAAAGATATTTTAATTTCCTGTTAATAAAAGCACCAGCTAAGGTGGGAAAGGTGAGGCAAAGGTAGGTGGTTTTAATGAGGTCCCAGGGTGCATCCAAGGCTGGAGCAGCATCCAGGCGGAGAGTGAATTCTAGATATTGGAACTTGTTGCCATGGTGATTGGTTGGAGGAAGGGGGGACCATTTTTAAGAAAAAGAATTCTAGATCATCTGAATGAAAAGAGACTTACTTAGCCTCCACATCGTCTAACTCTATGGGGAAACATAATTAGATGGCATTTGAAATTATGTACATCATATCTACTTTATTATGCAGTATCAAGAAAAAAACATGAATGCAGTTAGCAGCCATGGAAACCCTGGCAAAATTTGACAATACTTGTATTTCTACCTCTTGCAACCTCCAAAACAAACAAACAAAAAAATAAAAAGTGGGAAATGGAAACCAGTCAGAAATCAAGTACAGAAAAAAGAAACTTGATTTAAAAAGAGAATGGTACTAGTGATACATTGTATTGCATACAGTCATCCTCTGCAAGCTGCAAAAACACGCTTAACCATGGCAATAGTACCCACACTTCTTCATAAATGCAAGTTCCACCTATGTGGAAAAAACAGGTAGATAGGTGCACCAAAATACCAAAATAATCCGCCCAGTTTGAAAGATATTAATGACATGGTGGACTGATAGCACCATGAATATCTGACTGGAAATTCCTTATTAATATTAGTTTCTTATAGAATGTAGTCAATAAATGTAATAGGAATTGGTGAGCTCCTTGAGAAATATGATATGGCTGCAAAGGTGAAAAGCAAGCTTCAGCTATAGTAGTTAGGAAGTTTCAATGGCAAGTGAAAACGACCTTTGAGTTTTATAGAAAATGAATTTTTCTTTTTACATCACTCAAAATGAGTATCTTCACTTTCTATTTCAAAGAAGTTGTAGTAAATACAAATAATAATAATAAGGGAATGACAACAGGTAGGCAACAGAGGAACCTAGAGAAAATAGAGAGGAGTTGTTTGTGAACTTTGAATCTTCGCTTCACCAAATTCTGTGGATCTAGTTAAGAAATGGATCTATGGGCATCTGTCCCATTCTACACACAGTTTAGGTGGAGGAACCCCCAGGGTTAGAGTGGATGATGCCCGTGTTATGAATGAAAGGCAAGAAGATTGAGTCTTGGTTGGGCATGGCAACTCATCCCTGTAATCCCAACACTGAGAGGCAGAGGCAGGTGGATAGCTTGAGCTCTGGAGTTTGAGATAAGTCTGGGCAACATAGTCACACTCCATCTCTACAAAAAATGCAAAACTTAGCTGGGCGTGGTGATGCATGCCTGTAGTGTCAGCTACTCAGGAGGCTGAGGTGGGAGGATTGCTTGAGCCAGGGAGGTTGAGGCTGCGGTGAGCTGTGTTCATGCCACTGCACTATAGTCTGGGTGACAAAGTGAGACCCTGTCTCAAAAAAAATAAAAATATAAATAAAAAATAGAAGACTGAATCTGGGCTCCTGTGGTCAGAAGGGATGAAGGAGGGTGCTGGGGGAGGTGGTGGCACTGAGGCATAACCAGGGTGTAAAGGCTAAGAATTACCGTAGTTTCTGGTCCTATAAACAGGGTCCCCGCATGAGCACTGGTGAAGCCCAGCTTAAAAAGGTTGGTGCCATCCAGACTTTGTTTCCAGCCGTTTTAAAAAAATAAGAGCAAAAAGATAAGTCTCATTTATTTCCCCAGGAGAAACCCATCAGATTGAACCTGATGGAGTCAGGATGCATTGAGTAATGAGACCCTCCACAGACCTGAGGCCACCTGCAGGAAAGAAGGCTTACAGTCTCACAAAATATGAGAGCATCTTCTTTGTGTCAAGCTGAGACTGATGGGCTTTTCAGCCTTATTTCTGAAAGCACATATGCAACAATCCCTATTTCAACAAGGAGAAAACTCTTCCCTCTCTTTGTTTCTTTCCCTGTCCTCCCACCAACACCAAACACCTTGTTAGAAGGGAGGGGAAGACCCTCTCTGTAAAGTCTATGGATGCGGATAAAAACCTCATACCTTATGCAGAGGTGCCAACGTGCATCCTAAAACAAAGATATTTCTTTATTGCATCTTTTTGAGTTTACCTTGTGAAGACCTGGTGCCAGCAACATATATGAAATTTTTTATATGCCAAAGAATATGAAATAGACTTCCCCTAAGACCCAGCAATTGCACTTTTGGGAATTATCACAGAGAATTGAAAACTTACTTTTATGCAGACACTTGTACACAAATATACAAAACAGCTCTATTTGTAATAGCCCCACACCGAAAATTACTCAAATGTCCTTCAGGGGATAAATGGTTAAACAAAATGTTCTACTGAGTTGCTGCAAAAGTAATTGCTGTTTTCATGACTTGCAGTGGCAGAAATTGCAATTACTTTTGCACCAACCTAATACATCCATACCATGAAATACTACCCGGCAATAGAAAGAAACAGGTGAATGATACAATAGCTGAGATGGACCTCAAGGAAATTATGCTGCGTGATGAAAGCCAATCTCAAAAGGATATACAGAGGTGATTCCTTTTAGATAACATTCATAACATAACCATGGACATTGAATGACCATGAATAGGTTAGTGGCAGCCCGATATTAGAGATAGGGAGGAGGGGTTGTTGTGACTATCAGATTGAGTAGGTTTTTTGTGGTGGTAGTTACGTTAATCTACACATGTTGATAACATTGCACAAAGCTACACACACACCCAGACTCATGTGCGTGGTGCATATATACTTTGTGAAATCTGAATAAATCCCAAGGATTGTACCAATGTCAACAAGTTTTAGTATTGTATTATAATTGCAAAAGATGGAGGAGCCTGGGTGAAGAGTGTTCAGAATGTCTTGGCATATTTCTTTGCAACTTCCCTTGTATCTATAATTATGTTTTTAAAAAATGTTAAAGGCAGTGTGAAGCTAACTAATCCAATTGCTGCTGCTCATTTGGTGCTATTTTTCTGTGAAGATGTCTGAGGAGCCTCAAATTCCTGTCATTTTAAAACGTAATAGCGATAATATTTTAGAACACCATGTGAATACAGCTATCCCATGTAAATAACATTAAAAGTTACAATAGAAAATTTAACAGATATCCAAATGTTAAACAATCACTATTATTGAAACTATTGGTGAACCACTAGCCCTTGTCCAACAGACTCAGCTTCAAAATGAAATAAAAATTGTGCCCAGTGTACATTAAAATAAGAACATCTATGATTCAAATAATTAAAAATACTTTAGGATGTGATGTGATGTATTGTAAACCTTCTGAAATGTTTCCAACCTTAATTCTTTAAGAACAGTAGTCATAACACTCCGGGGAACTTGACAATACAACTTGGTCCAAATGTGCAGACTGTGTTGTGGGGGGCAATGGGGGGCAGGTGCAGTTTCATGTTTAAGGTTTTTCTGAGGATGTTGGTACCATCTCATTCAATACCAGAGCACAGTGTACGTCCATGAAATATTCTGGGTGTTAATCTACTGAAGAGAGAGAAATGAGTTCAATAACTTTTTAAGAATGCTAGAGACAGAAGCAAAATTTCCCAAGAACCACCATATATCCCAGATACAAAAGAGAAATGAGAATAAAAGTATTATTCCTGCAAAGATAAAACATTACTATTTATCTTTAGTGTTGAAGAACAGAAAGAAGGAAATATAATAATTTACATTTGACTTTGGAAAATGGCAAATTCTTTTTTTACATTCTATTTTTATAGTCTTGCATATTTGACATCTTTAATGGAAATTAATATATTTTACTAATTAAAATGATATGTTTCATTATATAACAGAATTTTATTGATATGCTTGTCTCAGAAAGAAGTTAAAATTTGTTTTGTATTCTGAACTTGTTCCCAAATGATCTACTCTATTTCAGCATTAAAAACTCTTACTTTCCAGAATGATGGAATTCATTAAATTAAGAATTATGCCTCTAGCATGATATAAGCAATTTAGAAAGCTGTAACAAATCAGGAAAAGGCACAAGAGACTCTACGTTATTTTAGATAAAAATTTTCTTTTTGTCTTAGGACTACACTTTGAATCCATGTTCATGAATATTTATTGGTTGATATCTTGATGTGCCACACTGTTCACATGAGTTTCTGCACCATCGTTCCCTTCCCACTGTAACTCAGCCTCCTGCCACATCATTATTCTCTTCCTACCAGTGCCTCTTTCTACCAAACATTTTCCTTCCTTCATTCTGCTTTGCACATCACAGTGGGCAAAACTTTATTTCATATTGGGTAGGTTTTTGAGGAACTGTTCAATTTTGACTAAGTTTAATTTACATCCATAGGGTTGTTGATGGTGTTCCTTTATTATTCTTTTAATGTCTGTGGAGTCTGTAGTGATATCCACTCACTCCTTCTTGTGTTGGTAATTTGTGTCTTCTCTCTCTCTTTCTCATCAGCTCTTCCAGAGATTTACCAGTTTTATAGTTGCAAAGATCACTGTTTGGTTCAATTAATTTTCCCTATATCTGATTTTGATTTTCATTGATTTCTGCTTTGATCTTTATTAATTCCTTCCTTCTTCTTCACTGGGGTATTTGGGTTTATTTCTCTCTTACTTTTCTGTTTCATAAGGTGGAAGCTTATTATTGACTTGATGCCTTTCTTCTTCTGTAATATAAGCCTTATGTTTATAAATGTCTTTCTAAACACTACTCTTGTTACATCTCACAAATTTTGATGTTGTATTTTCACATGCATTTTATTCAAAACATTATCTTATTTCTCCCTTTAAACATTTTCATAAGGATTGGAAAACTCACTTGGCACCCATGGTAGGCTGAATAATGGCCCCCAAAGATGTCCACATCCTAATCCCTGGAATCTGTGAATGCTAGTTTACATGGTAAAAGGGACTTTGCAGTTGTGCTTAAGATGTGGAGGTTATTCTGGATTATCCAGTAGGGCCCAGCGTAAACACAGGGTTGTTAGAAGAGAGAGACAAACAGGAAATGTGATGAGGAAGGGGTGACAAGCAAGGAGAAGCAGGAAACTGCGAGAAGATGGATCTCTCCTTGAGCCTCCAGAAGGAGGGCAGCTCTGCCAACACCTTAGTCTTAGCCCATAAAACCCATTTTGAACTTCTGATCTCCAGAACTGTAAGATAATGAATGTGTTGTTTTAAGCCACTTAGTTTGTGGTAGTGTGTTACAGTAGTCATAGGAAATGAGTACACCAACTTTTATTTTGAAAAATGTCAGGTCTCCTGATTAGCTGCAAGAATAGTATAATGCACACCCATGGGCCCTTCCCCTGCATTAACGTCCTGCTGGGTTTGAAACCCTCCATACACATGTTCTGCTGGATTATTTGGACATGAGTTGTACACATCATCATGTTGACCCTGACTATTTCAGCTTGAATTGAAGACAATCACCTCTCCTTTATAAACAGTAAACTGATGACATTCAGGTGATTTAAAGTTGCCATATACTTTACCTAACACAGAGTTCATGTCCACATTTCCCCTTTTATGCCAACAATGTCTCTTACTGCCGGGCTTTTCCCCAATATAAGACCCATCAAGCATCCCACGTTGCATGCAGTGTCGTGTCTCCATATTTAGTCTCCTAAATCGGAGTAGTTCTCAGCCTTTTTGCTTATTTCCCTCCAATGGTATTGACGATTTTGCAGAATCTGGACTGGTTGTTTTGTAGAATGTCTTGCAATATGAGCTGTTTCCTCATGACTAGATTCCTGTTCAACATTTTTTGGAAGGTTTATTACATAACGATATTATGAAGTTTTCAGGGTCTTACTTCAGGAGACATTGATACTTTTTTTATGTATGTGACTTTACATTTTATTTTTCAAAATGTATCATGTAGTGACATTTTTTGGCATATAGTTCTATGAATTTGAAGACATGATTAGATTTCTGTAATCCCCATAACAATTGGGACACAGAATAGTTCCATCCCCACAAAATCTCCCAGGCCCAACTCTGTAGCTACTTTGCCAGAATCTGCACCTTAACAGGATCCCCAGGGGATCCTCAAGCACAGTAAGTCTGAGAAGCACTGGTTTAGAGGACTTGAGATAATGTTTGCAAGTTTCATGGCACATAGCAGACTATCACATAGCAGACTATCAATTAATTATGGCTATTTTAAATTATTCTCTTTTATAATTAGACGGCTTCCAAGCTCATACATTCACGTTCCATTATGTGAGAAAGATCAACAAATTTATGGTTTCAATAAAGAAAATTATACTGTGGTCAAAGCCAGGCACAGTCTTACTGTAATCACAGTACTATATCACTTTAGTGGTCATTAAATAGTCTCCTCTTCACTGTGGTAACTTCAGAAAACTTTCATGAGTTGAGATTGTTGACACCTGCTCCCTATGTGCATGTGGTTGTGCACTAGACCCACAACCCCGTGCACACACACAGACATTCACACCTTAACTAAGGTTACTAGAAATAGCTTTTTGTTTTTCCTTATGGAAGACACTGCTATAAAAGTTAATTCTCCACTTAAGCCTTTTACTGAGAAGAACATTCTGCTGAAACTGAGAAGGCTGCGTGGAATGTCCTGGGTCCTCTGCCCATCGTCACTTCTCCTGTAGGTGATTTTAAAAGGATGGTGTAAAATGGCCTGCTGAGGGTGGGCTGGGCAGGGCTAGGTCATGGTTCATGTCACTAGCCTTTGCATAATTATCTAGAGCCCAATGTCCTTGACTTACTCTTTCCTAAATCTTGCTCAATTAGGGACTAAGACTCCCACGTCTTGAGAGGGCCTGAAAAACATAGGGCATATAGGATTCATGGTCCCTCTAATGTCATATTAATGACCAATTTCAAGATCATTTTAATACGTCAGTCCATTAAACCAAAGTGAGTATTCACATATTTGTGTGCTGTCATATTAATGGTAGGGTTCACAGTCCTCAAATGTCAGCTGTCCAGTCCCCAAAACAGACCACTCTCAAAATTCCTGTTGATCAAGCAAAGCTAATTTTGTTAGATTTATTGCAGTATGGGAAACCACCACCCCGAGAGTCACAGTGTCTCCAAAGGGGGAAGTAAGGGCAAGAGGTTTATAGAGTTTTACAGACTAGGCTGGGTGACTTAAAGGCAGTATTTCAGAAGAGGAACTGGTTGGGGTTGGACAGAGGTTATGACCAATAAGTTGGATTGGTGTGCATAGCCAGGTAAGGGTCCAGAAGAAAGTATTGATATTATAAGAGGCTGGTATTGATAGCTAACTATTTCATCGGTCAAGCAACTACTTCGTACAGCAAGTAGCCATGTTAATTTTGCCTGATCCCAGTATTATTTAGCACAGAAATGAGAAAGTATCTTTGTGCTAGAAATGTTTGGCACAAAAACAAGAAAATATGTTTGATCCAAAATTATACAGGAACACGGAGAGGAAAGTTGTTGGTTTCAATACTAGCAAGCAACATCTTGCATCCTGGATCAGTATGGAGCAGTCCTGGGCCTCTGCACTCATCTAAGATCTGAGAGTGATGGGACACTACTGATGTTCTGCCATCCTGCTGAGATGTACACATGTACATCTGTCAGGGGTGTGTGGATGCCAGGCCAAACAGGGGCATCCCTCTCAATGCTATCCTCCGTGCTCTCTCATCTGTGCTTTGCTTTGTTGCTTTGTGGGGCTGTTTTTACGGCTTTGCAAAAACTTGAACTGAACAGCACATCAGAGTGGGGACTTACTGTGTAGACTAGGAAAAGAAAAAAAATTCTATGAGATGAAATATATGAATTGTGAGAAGAATCGAGGCAACATTTAGCATAAATCACTGACAATTTTTGACTACAGTTGCATTTTCCACTTTGAGTTTCATAGAGTGCTATGTCTTTAAAAGAAGGCTTCTGTGGACCAGAGGCCTGGAGATATGGCCTGCATACTCTTGAAAGATCCTTAGTGCTACTCAGCATCTTGCCCCTAAAGGTTCTCTTAGGGAGCCACTGGTGACCCTTGCTTGCTAGTGATGCTCAAATGTATGACCACTAAGTACTTTTAACATTTAACGAATACTCTAGTCCTTCAGAAACCCATTTTAGTAAATGCTGAGCCATATTGATTGCAGAAAGTAGACAAAAGTATCTCTGTAGACCAGAAAGACAGTGAAAAGAGAAAAAAAGGTAAAAAATGAAAGGGAAATGGACGTGATGATGAGTCAACAAATGAGGACTTGTGAATAACTTTGACATTTAGGAATCAGGTTTCCAGCACCACAAGGGCCCTTTCGCTTTACTTTATTTTTTTATATTCAATAATCTTTATTTGAAAAATAGTACCTAAAATAGTACAATTCTAATGCTACCTGTCAAACTTCAATAAGAGCAATTTCAGCGTCAACTAATGAACAGTAGCTAAACTAACAATAGGTCAATCAAAAGTGCTTTAAAGGGGGCAGCACCAGCTGATGTTCTGCGGTGTCTCTGGGCATTCAGGACCTGGCTACAGGGAAAAGAGAATCAAACGAGCAGGTGCTCTGGACCCAAGCCTTCCCATCATGACCTGCCTCCTTCCTGGGGCTCCTGGCAGCCCACTGTCCCCCTGGCACTTCTGGACCCCTGCGGGCTGCAGACAGAACCTCGGGAGCCAAAGGACCTTTCAGGAAAGGTTGGAACTTGGCCTCACAGTCAGCTGGCTTCAGCCTGTTGGGGTAATTTTCTTTCTAGAGCACCTGGAGTGCTCTTTCAGGGGATGTGGCCACCATCCATCCTTCCTGGGCCCTTTTCTCTTGGAAGAGGATCACCTTCTGAAAACTACAAGTGTCTTTCTTTGATTACCTGGACCAGGTATTGGGCCATCTTCTTGTAGCAGTTGTGAGTCTTGACACACGCAGTTCAAGTACCCGCGCACCTTGGGAAGCCTTTGCTTGAGGTCCAGGCAGTAGGCGTCCTCCCACTGAGGCCCCATCATGCATTCTCAGTGTAGTTCAGGCAGAGCGGGAAGCCTCAGCTGCAGCTTCAGGAGCTCCCTCCATGGCTGTGCCCTTGTCCTGCAGAGAGGCCTGCTCTGGTCAGACTTTGGTCTTGTGTTACGCGTTCTTTACTCCTTGTTAATTCTTCCCACAATTGTACATCTGCTGTTCCAATCTCCCCTTCAGGACATTTGAAGGATGGACCTAAGTCACCATTGTCATCCATACTCTTCAGAGGGACTTGTGGCTGGGACGCTGGGGAACCAGTATGTTCTGCTTTCCTGTTCCCCTCCACTGCTAAGTCCTCATCCTCCACGTGGTCTCTACTGCCCTGGAGCAGATGCAGGATGCTCATCGGGGTGTGGGCTGGGGAAGTCAGTTACCTCACTGCAACATTTGTGGCCTGTTTGATTCCTGCCTTGCCCTGCTCTGGCCTTTCCGCCTTCTCCTTCTTTGACTGCAAGCGTTGCTTCAGTCTCGCTATTTCTTGGTTAAGCAGCTCTGCAGTTTGCTGACAGTCAGTGTGGTCATTCATATCATTTGTTCTTTGCTCCTAAAGATCTTCTCCACCATGTGGTGAAGGGTGTAGGATGTGCCTTGCATCAGTTGCTCATGGGAGTTCAGGAGGCCTGCTTTTTCATGCTCTTTTCAGAAGCTCTCCTAGATGGGAAGACCATCTTATTGGGATGGGAAGACCTGCTTATTTCCTTTACAACCCTGAAGCAGAGGGTTTGGGGTGATCAATGACTGGCTTCTAGCCTGGGTGACATGAGGCCAGCGCCAGCCTGGGGTGCTGGCTGCATCTTGGCTCTGGTCTTTTCATGGACCTCGCCCTGGGCTGAATCCCTTTGTGCTAGCTCCTCCCTTATTCTCACTGAGTGTCCTCTCCTGACCACAAAGGCCACCACGGCAGTGCATACCTGGACCACCCAGGGTATCCACAGGGTCGCTGGCGCTAGTCCCAGGATTCTGTACATCACTATCACTGCTGCCCACAGGGTGGCCAGCAGCAGCTGAACAGGCATTGTGTGGTGGGCAGCAGGCCCTCCGTGGCTCCCAAGGGCTCTGCAGCACTGCCTCCACTTGCTAGTGGCCTGTGGGCCACAACGGACCACTTGGAACCCTGCGGAGAGTTCCGTGCCTAACAGAAACAAGGGCCCACCACCAACAGGGTAGATCGTCCGTTGGGCTGGGGGAAGGGGAGGCATCCCGTGTGTTAGAAAAGTGTGTCCCTGATTTCGCTGTGCAAATTGAAAGTGGCATTACTTTTGCAGGGCCTTAGGGGAGTGAAAAGAGCTCCTGGCAGCCCTTAGCTCAGGGCACTCCAGGCCCCACCCGGCCCTACAGCACAGCTGAGGGATCAAAGTAGCGCCATGTCTAGCCCTAAGTCCACACACGATCCTCTCAGGGCAGCGTGGCGGCCCATCCCTGGTGGGGCTCATTACCCCAATTTTAAGTTTCCTTCTGCAGCAGGGAAGCCTGGTCCTGCCTGCAAAGAGTTTGTCTCCCTTGCTAGATGGAGCTCCTTGAAGAAGGGGCTGTTTTCTTCATCTACTCTGACTTCGGACTTGTCACTTTCCCCTCTTGACCTCCATATTCAGATCCGTGAATAGGAGTAAGTGGGTAAAGGCCCCTCTAGCTTTAAAACCCCTCCAATACAGAGAGAACTCTGAAACCAGAACCAGAAGCTGAGGCGCGGTGAATGGAGCATTTTCCCTGGCATGATGGATGGGACCTACGGATCTGGCTGTGAAGGCGGTATCTTGTCACTGGAATGCCTCTGCAGACTCGGACCCTTGCAACACACAGTTTGCAAACCCATTGCAAACCCATAGTTTGCAAATCAGACTCAAGAATGATCTTCAGTATTGGTGGTTTTGTGTGGGTTTTGTTTGTTATTTTTATTTGTTTTTGAGACTTCGTTATTGGCACAACAGCTTCTGGAAATCTGTTTCACAGAGAGTATGGGGGCTTCTTTGGCCAAATGGAGTGGGTACTTATGAGTTCGGTCAGTGCCTGAGGGAGCACTCACTTCCTTGCCTGGTCATATTTTCATTGGTGCAGGCTCCGTCTGCTTGGCAGCCACTGTTTGGGCCACAGCCTGTCCGCAGGGTCCTGCTCCTCTCTAATTTGTTCAGACATTGTGGTGTGTCTGGCCATATCATTTGTCATAGGTGTAAAAACAATCACAACCAAAGCTTAAAGCTGTTGGGATGAGCAGCTGCCTGGGAATCACGCTCCTTCCTGCTCTTTCCAAAAAGCCAGGTGCCGCCGGCCAGCATCCCGCTCCCTTTGACCCGCAGTCTGTGCGGGAAGTAGGCCCGGAGTGGTGCCAGCAGGAGGTGGCCTTAGAAAGGCGGAGACCCAAGGAGCAGAGTGAGTCGGCGTCCAGCTCCACCTGAAAGCGCCATCTTGTCGCCACTTCCCTCAGGAGCAGGTGAGCTCTTCCCCAGGACCCGCTTCGCGGCTTCCTTTTTCCCCCAGTACCACTGGGCAGAGGCCGCGGCCTCTCTGGCCCTGCAGGGGACAGGGCCCAGGGAGGGGAGACGCAGCCTACGGGCCTGAGGCGGGCAGACGGCCTGCGGCCTCCGGGCGCTGCCTGCTCCAGCCCAGGAGCCTCCTGGATCCGCCCTCGGCCCAGGCCTCCCTCTTTCACTTTATTGGTGTCTATGAGGCTTTAGAGATGCAACCGTTACAAACACAGCCAAGTACAATAGACCAGAGCGCTTTCCTGTATGAACGCCCCCTGGGGCAGATGTCCTGGTTTCATTTAGCGTTTAACACATCTTTAGTACCATGGCAAACACTGGAATGCTACAGGCTCTTCGAATTCATAGTTAAATAACTATATATGAATAAACAGGCTTATGAGCTACATTTCCTTGTATTGAATGCCTTTTTATTAAAAATGTATTCAAATGATAAAATACACACCATTACATATTATAATAGTACAGATTATGTCATCTCCAATCTTCTCCAATCCCATTCTTCAATTCATTATAGGTGTATATTCTTTTAAACTTAAAAAATATTTATGTGTATTCTCAATATTTTTCTTTAGTCTTAAAGAGATAAAGAAAAACAGTAATTCATTAAAATCTTAAATTGCCTTTCTCTAATTTAATGAGATCTTTGGTCAGCTAGTATATTTCATTTTATGATGTAAGTTGTTATTCTGAAAAGTATTTTATCAATATTGTTATTTTGAGTCATAATATTAAGATGTTCTCTCTGTGTTTATGATTGACTTTTGTCATTGAGTGACTTATTTTAAACAGTACTTCACTGTTATTTTCCATTAGGAACAGAAAAGAAAGAAGTCAGTTTTGCTGTATTTGATTGAGTCTGAGGATGATGATGGTCTGTAAGGAGGACACTGGTATAAGGAACCTCAAGAAGTTTTTACTCAATTCTATGGCTTGAATGTTTGTTCCCTCCAAAACTCATGTTGAAATTTAATTGCCATTGTAATAGTATTAAGAGATGATGCCCTTAAAAGGTGATTAGGTCAAGAGGGGTGCAGCCCCACAGGTGGAATTAATGCCATTGTAAGAGGATGCATTCAGGCCTTTCTTGCCTTAGCCATGAGATGACGTAGCATAAAGGTCCTTGCCAGATGCCAGCCCCTCAATCTTGAATTTTCCAGCTTCCAAAACAATGAGTCAATACATTTCTATTTACTATAAATTACCCAGTCAGGCATTTTGTTATTGCAGCAAAAACAAACTAAGGCACCCAATATGAGAATTTTATTTCCTTTCTTTTTTCTTTTATAGAGACAGAGTGTTGCTCTGTCACCCAGGCTGGAGTGTGGTGGTATGATAGTAGCTCACTATAGCTCACTACAGCCTCATACTCCTGGGGTCAAGGGATCCCCCCACCTCAGCCTCCCAGGCATGTGCCACCATGCCTGGCTAATTTTTAAATTCTTTTTGTGGAGATAGGGTCCCACTGTGTAGCCCAGGATGTTCTCAAATTCCTGGCCTCATGTGATCCTCTCACCTTTGCCGCCCAAAGCACTGAGATTAAAGGTGTGAGCCACCACACCCAGCCTAAGAATTTTATTTCTTCATAATGTGCCTGTTTTTCATTATGTTAAGCTCTAGTTGGCAGCCTCTAAAATGGCTCCCAGTGATCTCCACTTCCCAGTACTCACACTCTGTGTGATCCTCACCCCTGAGTGAGGACTGGATCATGTGACTTGCTTCTGACTAATAAAATATGGCCATAACGATAGGAAGCCACTTCTGACAGCAGCAGCAGGAGACTCTAACCTCTGTCTTGCTCAGATGCTCTCCATGGCTCTTTTCTCTTGCCCACACTGATGAGCCCCAGGCTGCTGGTGTGACTGTCCTAAAGAGAGGCCCATGTGGCAAGGAACTGAGGGATGCTTCTAGCCAACAGCAAGTGAGAAACAAAGGCCATTAATCCAACAGCCTGAAAGGCATGAATCCTGTGAACAACCGGGCCAGAGACTTTAGAAACAGAACCTGAGATGGCCACAGCCCCGGCCAACACCTTGACTGCAGCTTCCGGAGGAGCCCTGAGACACAGCTAGTCATGATTGGGTTTTTGAACCATAGAAACTGGGAGATAATAAATATTATAATCCACTCAATTTTGGAGAAGGTGGTTATGTAGCAACAGATAATTAAATACTGGCTAATTGTCCACTGATTGCATATTCTACAATGTGTAGATCTCTCTTTAGTTCACATGTGTTTTTTTCCAAACAGTACAGTTGTTTTCTTTTCTTTTTTTTTTTTTTCTTTCTTGTCAAAAAAGTCCAATTTGGGTCTGACAGTATTTTTGACATGGGAAGATGGTACAGATGCAAAAGCATCTCTTTGTGCTTTACTACTTGAGATGTTCTGTATACAATTATTAGCTTTGAAAAGACAGGCCTGTGGTTTATCTCTGTAATTCTGAGAACTTTTAGTTCTGGTTGCCCTAGTCAGGCTAATGTAGTTAAAGGCCATGTGCTGTAGTCACAAAAGTCGCAGGAAAGGCCCTCTACCCTCTGGCTTTAAAAATAGAGCCTAAAACCACTATCCCTAGAACAAGTAATTTAAATTACTCCAAGCTAAAAATGATTGATAGAGGAAAATTTATGAGACTGAATGTGGTAGAAGGAGACTCTGTGGATGCTCTAGATTCTAGAAAAAGAGGCAGAAAAGAAGGGCAGGAGAGTTGAGTAAAGAAATTGCCTTAAAGAAAACTGGCTCCTCTTCAAAATTGTCTCAGGCTTGGGCTGCTGGGTTTGGCAGGGCTATTGTTTAGGGGATCACCTTAGCTGTGTGTCTAGACAAAATGATTTTTCATTTTGTGCTGCGGTCTTGAACTTCAGAATCCATGACCAACTTCTTGAATCAGCTTAGCAGTCCTAAGTGAGCCTTTCCCTTAAAACACACAATTGCTTCTGACAGCAAAAGTCCAATTACAAACAAAAGGGTACATCATGTGAGAATGTTTAGGAATCTTAAGTGACTTGCTTTTCATGATAATAACTGCCTTGTATATTGCAAAATGTCCTCTGGACCCCATGAGAGCTCTACAGAAAATATTGTAGAAAACCTAAGCATCGTGTCCAATGCTCACAGTGGGGTATAACCAACTATCAATTTAATTACAACTTTATTACTTACTATTCAATTTGGTTCCTACAGAGTGTATGTTCCTTCCGGGAATACAAAAAAATTATGTTCTAATTAAAGTATAATTATCCATCCAGTGCAGAAGGGCAGGTGTCACAATCTCTCTGCATCCTCATTACATCTGAGTATTCATGAAGATACCTCACATTTACACTCAGGCCCCATCACCGGACATTACATGTGGATTTCCAGGAAATACAAGGCTTTAACCAAACTCTTTTATTTCAAGTTAAAGAAAGTACAATTTAAAAAAAAATCCATAGTAAATGAAATACAATAAGATTTACAGTGACTTCAAACCCTTTACATTTTTCATTGAAATGCATACTTTCTAGGTTAACATATATTGATTGTTACAATCCTGAAATCAATGTAATGCAGTTGATAAGATCCAGAGTTTATTACCAACACACACAGGTATCGTTTTCACCTTTTTGTCTCCTAGTGTCCAAACTATTTTTAACGATGAGCATGTCTCAGACTTTCTGTATTCCCTATGCCCTGCTTCACTCTCCCATTTCCTAACCAGTCATAAGATTTGTGGACATATTTTTATCTTATTGAGCGGTGTCTCTATAGTTTATTCTTTTGTTTTGGTTTTGCTTCTATGTTTTCACTTGGTGTTTGGTAGCTAATAAACAGGTGGACTAAGATTCACAGGCAGATTTTTGGTGTCAAGAATGTGACAAGGTGACATTGCTTGTGAGTTCAGTCAGTGCCTGAGGGAGCACTCACTTCCTTGCCTGGTCATATTTTCATTGGTTATATGTGCTAGAGCTAAGCTTACTTTCTAATTCATTTTTAATTGAAGTGAAAATCACCACCAATTGCCTGGACATTAAAGTGTTAAAGTGTGAGAAAACAGGATGCAACTCTGTGAAAGAGAAATGCCTTACAATACACAGGTTTCCCTGGAGGTCTGTGTCTACTCAAGGAAGTAAGAAAATACAAATGACTGTTGCCACATCCTCAAGTATGTTAGTGGAAATGAGGCATCTACAAATATTTCTGCTGTTTCACTCATTTTTCACCTGATAGTCATGCCGAGAAATATTCTACACACCTGTTTTTCTCTTGTGCTTAGGAGTTTTAGAACACAACAGACCATGGCCCCTTAAATAGCCTCCAGGGGCTGGATTTGGGGAAAGAGCAGGTTTGCAGATTATACACGGTGTCTGTGGGGCAGAGACTCCACTCATAGAGACTGACTCTAATGAGCACAGAAAGAGTGGAGTTAAAGGAGGAAGAGAAGGGCAAATCCAAAAACAGGAAAAAAAAAATACCCTCAGGGTGTTCCGTCCTTCCCTCTGTCAAGCTTCTGAGCTCTTCCCCTGGGCAAGGCAGCGCAGAGGCCATGTATGAAACAGAGGGGAGGCACAGAAAGAAGAACGTGTTTCAGGGGTGCCAGTCTAGGATATGAGATGGATCTCAGAGGGAGAAAGCTGAATATTTATAGCAAAAGCAATGCTAAATGAATTATAGGCCTAGTTTAAAGAAAGAGGCAAAACTATAGATCTAAATGGCAGCTGAATTCTAGGCAAAATTAATTAACTATAAATGAACACAGAAAACTTGAATGTATTTTTCTTTCAAGAATAAAAAATACATTAACAAGCCAAAAAGGTTTTCTGTAAAGAAACGGATATCAGGTTTGTCTCAGAATTTTATTGTATGAATTTTAGTGTATAGAAATCAAAATGAAATACCTAACCCATGTAAGTTTTATTATTTACATCCTGCAATAGTGTATTCTAGTTAGTACTCTGCTGGTCAGCAAATAATGCTAATAGAAAAATCAAGAATGGTGAAGATGAAGTTAAAAAAACTGATGACAAGTAGGAATAAAGCTCAAAAGATACTATTTCATTTCTTATATTTTTAATAGAAAAACTCTACAAAAATTTTTTTTTTGTTTGTTTGCTTTTTTGTTTTTTTGTTTTTTTTTTTTTGAGACAGAGTCTCGCTCTGTCGCCCAGGCTGGAGTGCAGTGGCGCGATCTCGGCTCGCTTCAAGCTCCACATCCCGGGTTCATGCCATTCTCCTGCCTCAGCCTCCCAAGTAGCTGGGACTACAGGCACCCATCACCACTCCCGGCTAATTTGTTTTTATTTTTAGTAGAGACACGGTCTCACCATGTTAGCCAGGATGGTCTTGATCTCCTGACCTCGTGATCCACCTGCCTCGACCTCCCAAAGTGCTGGGATTACAAGCATGAGCCACCACGCCTGGCCTACAAAAATGTTTATGTTTAAAAAAAGAGACTCAAAAAATCAATAGTAATTAAAGTAGCTTCTCATTTATAAGAATAAACCACAAATCATCAGACATTTAAGGAAATAAAAGATTTATGATAAATTAACAAAATAAAGCAAACAAAACCAAACTTTTGCTGGAGGAATAATCCAGAAAAAAAAAAAAGAAAAAAAAACATTTAACTAATTTGAATTAGAATCTTCACAGAGTTTTAAGAGGTCTGGTATTATTATTAAAATAATACAAGTTTGCCATGGAAAGAGAACAGCAGGAGAATAAATAGTAAAGTATGTTTGGAGATTAAAATATTGCCAGACTGAAAACATTTGTAAAGGGGCTGCATGAATAAGAGAAAACAGCCAGAGATAGAATCAATAATTGGGAAGATGTTGAGAAACTCTTCAAAGGTGTTAAAGGAAAAAGGAAGAATGGGACAGTAAGGGTGAAAAGCTTAGGAATGTAGATACCCTCATCCAGGAATCCCAGAGTTTATCTAAGAGGATTTCTAGATGGAGAAAACAAAACAAAACAAAAATGAAAGAAAAATTGTAAGAATAATAACAATGTCAAAAATAATAAAGTAAAACATTATCTGATATGTAAAAAGTAACTGTTTACCTGTGAACCTTGTATGAATTAAAAATTGTTGAGACAGCATTAAGGTTAAAAAAAGGAGAGAGAGACAATATAAACAATATAACAGTGTAAAAGATTTAGTTAAGGAAGAAGTGAAATAAAGCTAAAAGGAATTTTTTTAAAGGATTTATTTTAATTAGGAAAGAGACAAAACATTGTTTCCTTTCATATCCCTCAAACAATACTATGTAGTTCTACATAAATATTTCTACAGTGTTAATATTGTGATTGCCATGTTTTAGTTTTTCATTCTTATAACTAATCTATAGGCAAATTTTTAAAGAAATAAGTATAGTTTCAAAATGGAATGTATATGTTGGAAACTTTAAAACATAGTAAACAATAAAACCAACAAAAATTGGGATGGCAGGAGAGAGAAAAGGAAGAAAACAGTCAAATATGCTAGAAGGAAATGATTTAATCACATTAGAAAGCTAATAAGTCAGTAAATATAGCTATATGTAATGTATATATACATATCTGTATACATATATTTTTTAAATAAAAATTTTAATAAACATCATCTCAAGGGTACATATTATCAACATGACATCACTATTGATGTTCATTTTGACCACGTGGCTGAGTAGCATTGGTGAGGTTTCTCCGCTCTAAAGTTATGTTGTTTTTTTTTCTCTCCATTTTCCATATTGTACCCTTTGGAAGGGAGTCACTGTATGCTGCCCACACTTAAATGCAGAGTAATGCTTTATTACCCTGGGGGTGGCTATCTATATACATTATTTGAAATTCTTCTGCATAGAATATTTATCTATTCTGCATGTATTTATTATCCCATCATTTATTCATATTAGAATGGACATGTGGATATTTATTTTATACATTGTGCTATAAGCCAACATCACTTTATTTACTTATTTTTGCTCAAATTGTTCCAGTTTTGGCCACTGGGAGTTTTCAGTTGACTTTAAGATTCATGGACATACTCCCGTCATTTTGTTTTGTTTTTGAGCACTTTCTTACTTGTTTGTACTACAAGATGCTCCAGGCTTGTCTTGTATATTTTCTGTCCTAGTCCTAGGATCAGCCATTTCTCCAAGGATCCCTGTTTTCTTTTATTGAGAATGGTATTAGAAACCAAGATCTGGGCACTATATGTATTCATTGCTACTGGGGTTTGTTGCTTCTAGACCCTCTCAGCTGACAAAGCAAGAAAATACATGTGTGTGTATGATCCAATCTATATATACACTTCTGTGAATATTTCTATTTGTAACCATCTGTATTTATGTTAGGCAGAACATAATTTCTGCCTAACATATGCTATATGCCTAACATTTCTGCCTAATATTTATGCTGTGTCCACAACTCTAATGCATTATCAACGAAACATCATTCTAACCTCCTTCTCTTACTTATCTGTAACTCATGGCCCCCAGTTGTGAGCAACCTGGCTCCAGTTGTCTTCTATCCATTTGCTTAATTGTCCCATTGCAGCACACATGTATAGTAGTATCAGCATTGATAATCTGCACCCGAGTGAGAAAAAACTTTATCAGCCACAGTACAGTGTTATGCACAGTGTTTTTTTTTTTGCCTTTAGTCTTACAGACTCTATTTTTTTCCCCCAAAGTTACTTAGGTTAAAACTTTTCCCCTAATTCCCTTCAGTGACATTTCCTCATATATTTGTGATAGACTTAGATTTTGGGGGGTCAGATTCTGTATTCTCTCCAGGATCAGATTGAATAAAATTTTAAATTCATAAATCCACTCAGAAGAAACACTAAAAATAAGAATAATATTACCATACAAAAAAATGAGGGTGTCTGGGAAGAAGAGAAAGGATGAAGTAGTAGATAAGCTAAATTTCTTTTTGGTTAGTTATTATTTCTCTTGTTTTATTATTTTATTGCATATTATTAATTATATATATTTCAAACAGGAAAATACAAAAAAAAGTATTTTGATAAACACTATTACCCACCACTTAGATTTAAAAATTGTTAACCTTTAGATATACTTTCTTTAAAACTTTAAAAATTCTTATTACAAAAAAATATAAACATATAAAATAGAAAGCCTCCATATACCCATCACCCACCTTCAAAAATTATCAATTCATGGACAACCTTACTTCATCTATATTCCCACCCATTTCTCTCACCCTGTATTATTTTGAAGCAAATTCAAGGTATCATGTCATTTCAGGTATAACTACTTCCGAACATTTAAAGATAAGGATGGCTAAAAACATAGTGAAAATAATATGATCACAACAAAAAGTGAACAATAATTTATTAATATGATTAAAATTCAATTTGCATTCACATTTTCTATTCTTTCATAAATGTCATCATTATCTAGATTTTTCTTACCATGTTTGAGTCAGGATCCAAATAAAATGCACCCATTGGTCTTGATGATAGGCCCTTTACATATTTTTTATCCTTGATCTTCTTCTCATTTTCTCCCCCTTCCAATTCGTTGTTGAAAAAATCTGCCCATTTGTTCAATACCTTCCCATGTTCTGGATTCTGATTATTGTCTTTGGGTGGTGTCAAATTTAACATTTTTCCTGTCCTCTCTACTTATAAATTGTAGTTGGATCTAGAGACTTGAAAAGATTCAGATTATTTATTTTGACAGACTACTTTACAGTTGCTGATGGACTTTTCCATCAGAAGCCACATACTCTCTGATTGTCTTCTTTTGTGATATTGGCTGTTCTGATGTTTAATGTCTAAATAATTATTAGGATTATAAAATGGCACCATTCTAATTTTATCTTTCCTTCTCACTCATTAGCTGGAATATACATGTAAGGAGAAACTCTGACTCATCTACTCCTTGGCTAGCCAGCGGTAGACTCCGTATAGGAAATGAATGACTTTTCCCCTTTACTTACCAGTTTTCAAAATAGTGACTTAATTTATTTATATGCCACATGTCTTATCCTTAATAATAGCCCTGTCTGAAGTTTAAACAAGAAATAACAGAATGTGTATATTGTATTTTATTGAGTTATAGGGATCAACACCAAAAAACTGAAGATAGAAAATGTTGATAGTGGTTGTCTCTGGAGACAGAGGTTGTGAATGGCAGGAAAGAGGCTATTACTTTTTATTCGGGTCCTTTTTTAACGTGTGTGTTTTTAAAAGCATATGCAAATTTTACTACTACTACTATTGTTAATAATAATGACAATAATACTTTTATCAGGAATTTTTAATTATGTGGGAAAATACTCATTTATACTATTTAAATGAAAAAGATATATATAATATATAAACTCACGTAATTGCATTAAGATAGGCAATGAATCCAGCTCAACAGAGAAAAAAGAGACAGTTAGAAGGTAATTATAACAAAACTAATGGCCAAGAGCTTTGAGCACAAGATCGAGTTCAGGTCTTACAACAGCTCTATAGCTTAGTATTATAAAAACATTCTCAGGAGTTTAATAATTTGCCCAATATCACCTAGTCTGGCTCAACTTTTAATCTGTATACTCTTGCTACTTGTACAAAGTGTGGGCCACAGACCAGCAGTGACAGCATCACCTGGGAGCCTGTTGGAAATGCAGAACCTTGGGCCTGCCCTAGACCTACTCACTCAGAATCTGATTTTTAACAGAATCCCTCATTAATTCATAAGCACATCAAAGCTTGACAAGCTCTGCTTTATAGTCTACTTATTAGTGAGTAGGGTGAAGGGTGTGACCCTAATTGTCTATTTCTCTGTCTATGTATCTATTTGTCTATCAATCTATCTATCTATCTATCTATCTATCTATCTATCTATCTATCCATCCATCCATCTCCTTTTATCTGTATCTGTGCATCCATCCACCCAATGTTCAAATTGTAAATTGTCTTACAAATGTGGTTCTCTTACACTTTGATTCTTTGAAATGATTATTTGAAATTTATTGAAATCCAAATAATGTCCATTGCAGCTTCCTCCTCCAGTTTTTATTTCTTGTATCTTTTGATATTTATGTGTGCATGAATCTGGATTGTTTCCTGATTGTCTGGGATATCATTTAATATGTTTCTCTGTCCTATGCATTTCCTGTATTAGATAATTGAGTATGGAGGCTAGATCAGATTCGGGTTTGATTTTCTCAGAAAGACTATTTCCTAGCGAGTGGTGTTTGCTCTCTCTCTCCTCTCTTCCTCCCTTCCTCTTTATGTATGTACATATCTTGTTCCAGTATCTACCTAATGAAATAATGGCTGTATTTCAAAAGATTAATAATAGGTATTACAAGAAACACTTTCAAATTGTTTTCCTAAAAATAAATAAAATTTAAAAAGCACTGGTTCAGTGCAAGTTAATATAATATTTGAAGAATCACTTTCAAGTAGTAATGTGAGCAATAGAGCAAGGAGGTCATGTTAGGATAAGAAACTGAAAAAATAAGGCCACAGATTACGCCTGGCAGCTTTGCCTCAGCAAAGCTTCACATAGTTCATAAGAGCCTCTTCTCCTCTCTCTAACTGAAGATCAAAGAATCATGTATTTAAATGCCACATGGCAGAAAATGGACACCATTTAAACCAACAAAGCAACAACAGCATCAGCCCTGGAGTGGAAGAGGCTGAGAATGGTGACGCACACCTCCATTGCCTTCAGCACACCTCACAGAGGAATGTAGAGCAGGGACACAGAGGTGGTGTGGCCTGTGACCTGACCTGAAGACCCACCGGGATCATTGGTGTGTGTGTGTTTATGAGAAGCCAGAGCAACATTTATGCAGCTTTCTACCTATTAGGGGGCACATTTTCTTCGAAGTTGTAGAGGAAACTTGTGAAGTTAAATGTAACATGACCTCTTTATCATGAGGCAGAAATTCTAATGATTGAAGTGTGGGTGACCCAAATTCTCCTCTCTCCTTCTGTATTTGTTCTCTATTGTTGCTGTAACAAATTGCCACAAACTTAGTAGCTTAAAACAATATAAATTTATTCTTGTACTGTTCTGGAGATCAGAAGTCCAAAATGAGCTTCACTGGGCTGAAATCGGCAAGGCTGGCGCATTCCGGAGGCCATGAGGGAGAATCTGTTTCCCTGCCTCTTTCAGCTGCAAGAGGCCACCTGCGTTCCTTGGCTTGAGACCCTTCCTCTCATCACAATAGCTTTTTCTTCTGTTGTAGCATTTCCTAGTAATCACTCTGATCCCATGTGCCCTTTCTACAAGGACTCTTGTGATTACATCAGGCCCAACTGCATAATCCAGGATAGCCTCCCCATATCAAACTCTTTTATTTGAATCACACTTGTAAGTCTGGTCCTTCTTCATTCATCCCACATGGCTGTGCCAGCTGACCTGTTCCTGTGGGCACTGCGAGATGAAAAGGAGTACGCTCACTGACAAACTGCTTTCATGGCAGGGAAAGCATGAAAGAGGATTGATGCCCATCAATAGTGGAATGGGTAGATACAATGTGCTGTGATAGGATAGAGTAGTTAAAAGGAATACATTATACAAATGCATAAGGATAAATACATAGAACTCAAAAGCCATGATACATAAAAAAGTAAGTTGCAGAACAGTATTAGTTATGTATATTATTTTATGACAAAAACATACATATCTTCATACATATGCAGACATAATAATATCATAATAGATTAGGAGGATGAATAATAAACTCATATTAATGCTTGCCTGTGTGGAGTGAGGGAGATGGATCTGGGAAGAATTGACAAAGGATACAACAGCATTATTTATCATATTTTATTACCTTTAAAAAAGTCAGATATGCGGAAGTACAACATCTCTACAAAACAGATACAATTCATTAAATGTATTGCTCAATGGATTATCACAAAATTAACCCAACTGGTTACAACCAGATCAAGAAATAGAACATTTTTAGACTCCAGAAGGCTTCTTCTTACTCCTTCTAATCATGACCCCTTCCTCCTGCTCTGTAATGCCAGAAATTTGATTTGCCTAATTTTGAACAATGTATAAATGGAAATAGAGTCATAGGATATATAGTCTTTTACATCAGGCTTCTGTCACTTAACATTATGTCTGTGAGACTCATCCCTGCTAGTCCTCATAACAGTATTCATTAATTTTCAGTGCTGAGTAGTATTTCTGTACATAAATATCTCACAACCTATTTATTCATTTGTCCTCATAGCCATGTGCTGCTTCCAGATTTTGGCTACTAGGAAGACTTTTGTATGCACCTTTTGGTGCACACATGTATACATTTCTTTTAGATATGTGCTTAAAAATGGAATTTCTTGATTATAGGGCGTGCATATGTTTGGTGTCAGTTATTTCCAACATTGTTGTACCAGCTATCATGCTCACTAGTAATGTGTGTGTGCATATAAATACATATATTACATATATACATTTTTTTTTCTTAAAGTGAAACAATAAAGAGGGGATACAATGGAGGCAGAAAATTCCTTTGAGAAATGTTGCTGAAATTGGGAACAGATAATTTCTCATCAGGGAAATAATGAATGGATAACATTTCTCTGCTGAGAGAAATGACACAATGAAGGGAGAGAGATGACAATGCAGGCAGAAGGGCCATCTACAGTAAAAAGTCCTTCAACAGTTAGAGATAGGACCCACAACACAACTGGTGGAAGTTTGCTGTGATGGGAGGAGGGACACTTTCATCACTTCACAAGTGATTAGCCCTAAAACATGCGTTCAGATTTGGTGAGGCAAAGGGGTTGACTTGCTGGTTCCTGTTTCTCTTTCCTCAATGAATTATGAGAGGAAGTTGAGGAAAAGGTGGTGTTGGCTTGAGGCCAATAGGGAAGACACTTGATTTAATTAAAGTAACACCAGCTGCTGTGACAAAAATAAATGCAATGAGAAAATAAATAATTTCCCTTATAACAAGAAGTTAGGCAATACACATTTATATTTTGTTCAGAATTAATACACCTGTTTCTGGGGAGGCTCTGCTCCACACAGGGATTCAGAGACCCAGGCTCGTATGCCTTACTGACCTACAATCCTAAGCACATGTCCTTTCAGGTCACTGAAGAAGAAGAAGTATGGCATCCCACACATGGGGGCTTGGGAAGCATAAGCCTCTGTTAACATTCACAGGGCTTCTCCTGATACCAAGGGAAGTGCCGTGTGAACTCGGTAAAGTGGAAAGAGATGCAGTTGAGCAGATCAGGCTCAACTTCAGCTGTATCTTCCGGTTTTCCTCCACACAAACACACACTCATCCCTCTCCAAAGTCAAGGGCCAACAGCCCCTTTCTGCTTTCATTTCAGGTTTACAGCCTAATTCCTACTCGTACAATTTGAGAAGCTTAAGAGGTGTTTTAAAGCTTGAATGATCAAAAACTTCAACAGTCAAATGCTTTTTACGTTTTGCCTCCTTTTTCAAAATTTAATTTCCGCTGGAACCAAATAGGCCTTTGAGCTATGTTTTTTTGAGCAGAATTATATATCATACATATCAATAGGTTTCCTAAGCATAATTCTCAGGTCTCTTTTATTTTTCTGTTTCCTCAGCCCTACATCCTTTTTTTTTTTTTCCAAACTAACAGTAGCTACCTGGAGGACGTCCAAAACAATGAGCTTGAGTAGGATGAGAGGCTCTTAATTGGGTCTTTGTGACAAAGTGGAATTGCTTTATGTAACGGAAGAATCATAATGGGCCTGTTTTGTTCAGTGCATTTTACAGTCTACTTTTTGAAATTTGAGTTGAAAAAATAGTTTATTCTCCCTATGTTTCAAGGACCTAGCTTTCTGGATTCTTTCTATTGCAAACTGAATAATCCTTTCCTAAGTTCATTTCTTCCTCAATGTAACTTGCTAAATGCAGAAAATAAAAGTTAATGCATTCTGTCGGCATGACGCTTCCAAACATGTTGCTGAAGGTCCGAGCTTGATGGATGGCTTTTTAGGAGCCGTACCTGAAAGGCGTGCACATCACCTGCTCATGTTCAATTTGCAGAAGCTCAACCACACGGTTGCATCTAAGTGCAAACTCTTCAGCCTTACAAACACAGAATTTCAGGGTTGCTAGCATGAAAATGAGGCTGCTGTGTGGGTGGGAGAGGTCTGGGGGTGATAATGGGGGATGGGAGATGGGTTCTGCTCTCAGTTTCCCTATAAGCAGTAGCTTCTAACTATTGACCTCCTTATTGATTACCTAAGAAGCAAGCAATTTTTCTAAGTGGGCATTACTTTTTCCCAGGAAAAACACATCTTAGTTGTATATGTGGAAAACATTTTCTTGTTTATATAACTTGTTTCTTGTGAAAAAAGGTACTCTGACATTATTATTATTACTATCATTAATTATTTGAGACAGGGTCCTACTCTGTTGCCCAGGCTGGAGTGCAGTATTGCAATCATATCTCAGTGCAGCTTTGACCTCCCTGGCTCAAGCAATCCTCCTGCCTCAGCATCCTAAGTAGCTAGGAAGGTTAGTCTGACTCTCTTCTCAAAAGAAGGAATGTATGCTGTGCACCTCAATCCTGTTTGTGCCACGGTATTATCTCAACAAGAAGAAAGGCAGGTTTACAGAGAAACGTGGTATATAGTCATGCGGTATTGGGAGCTCCTTCGAGATTTGTGTTTGTGGGATTCAAAGTGATTGTGTGATTTTCTTTCCAACCTTTCTGTTGTTGGGTTTCAGGCATGGAGAAAGTAGAGAGTTAAGTGTAACCAGTGTTGGGATCTTGGCCAAATGAGTCTAACAAGGTTTCAAGATGGCAATGATGTTGAGTGTCTTAGATTGGTGAGTATACTGATGAATGGAGGAATCCAAGTAGAGAAAGGAGCGAAATGAAGGCGGGAAAGGTGAATAGATTGTGAGTAAACAGTGTGGTTAACCAACTGGGAGTATTAACGGGGTTGAAGAATGATTGCGTGGAGGTGCAGTTATTGAGCACGTGACCAGGGAGTACAGGCAGTGATGGTTTGCGAGTTCTGAGTTGTTGCAGCCACGATGGACCATAGGGAAGAGACAGAAATACAGGTTTGTTTTGTTGCAAGTAAGACAGGAAATAGAGAGGCCATGATATCAAATGCACCCTCCACATGGAAGCTAAATATCCAAGTTTGTTGGGGTTGAGAGGATTCCTATAAGCCTGGTAGGAGCAGGGAACAGTGGTCATATGAAATTCTATTGGCACCAATGACCAGGAGGAGGGGACAATGTTATTTCCAGTGAAACAGGCTTCCAATACGCAGGCAGGTTTGTTGTTTAGTTGTTATTGTTGTTTTGTTTTCAGGAAGAAGAAGAGATTTTGGAGTAGCAATGGAATAATGACTGGAGACTGCAAGAGGTAAACTGAAGGGAGCTAACAAGAAACAGGACACGGCGGGCACGGTGGCTTACACCTGTAATCCCAACACTTTGGGAGGCTGAGGCGGGCAGATTGCCTGATCTCAGGAGTTTGAGACCAGCCTGCCCAACATGGTGAAACCCTGTCTCTACTAAAAATACAAAAGATTAGCCAGGCGTGATGGTGGGTGCCTGTAATCCCAGCTACTCGAGAGGCTGAGGCAGGAGAATTGCTTGAACCCAGGAGGTGGAGGTTGCAGTGAGCTGAGATTGCGCCACTGCACTCCAGCCTGGGTGACAAGAGCAAAACTTCATATCAAAAAAAAAAAAAAAAAAAAAGCAGGACAGCAGGTCTTAGCCAAAAGAAGGAGAGGGCCACTTTCTGAGAAGGCGTTGAAGACGCAGGGTCATTTCTTAAACGTAGAGTGCAAATTCCAATGTGGACAGCAGAAAGAGGTGAGGGAAGGCAGGAGGCCTGGGTGGGGTGAGGTGCTGGCTCAGTGGGTAGGCAGAACCCAGATTATGCTGGAGGGGGTCAGGCCTGGAAAACTGGTGGTTACTCATGCAGCTGAGTATTATCCCCGAGGTTCTCTTCCCAGTGGGTGGGTAAATGTTCCAGCATATTTCTGCAGCATTATCTTTAAGCCACCTTATCTGAAGTACCATCATGTTCTCTTGGGAAACTTTCCCTTCCTGCTAGAAGAAGTTCTACTCTTCAGCTTTATAAGTAGGAGATTTCAGTGTTGCTATCATGAGAATGAAGCTGATCTCTGGGTGAGAGAGTTTTGGGGGTGGTGATGGGGGAGGGGAGATGGGTTCTGCTCTCAGTTTCCCTATAAGCAGCAGCTTCTGACCATTGACTTCCTTGTTAATTACCTAAGAAGCAAGCAGTTTTTCTAAGTGGGCATTGCTTTTTCCCAGGGAAAACACAGCTTAGTTGTACATGTGGAAAACATTCTTGTTCATGTGACTTCAAACTTGGCTTCTTGTGAAAAAAAATAACTCTGACGTTATAGTTATTATTATTATTGGAGACAGGGTCCAACTCTGTTGCCCAGGCTGGAGAGTAGTGTTGCAATCATAGCTCACTGCAGCCTTGACCTCCCTGACTCAAGTGATCCTCCCACCTTGGCCTCCTAAGTAGCTGGGGCTACAGACACAGACCATCACATTCAGTTAACTTTCTTAAAATTTTTGTAGAGATGAGGTCTCACTATGTTGCCCAGGCTGGCCTCCAACTCCTGGGCTCAAGCAAACTCTGATATTATTATGTCATGAAATGTTTTATTTTTCTTCAGCTTAATTCAAATTATGAGAAAAAAATATGCACTCCTACCCACTCTTTTTGGCCCATCTTGGATGAGTGATACCAACCTGAACTAAATTCTTATTCTTAAATTGCACCTGTGGTAGGTAGCTTCTGAAATGACCCTCAATGGTCCTCACCTCCTGGTATTCACATACTGTATAATCCTGTATAATATGAGTTGGCCTTGGTGACTTGATCGTGATGGACAGTAGTGATGGGATGTCGCTTTGAGATTAGAGTATAAAAGACCAGCTCTGTCTGTGGTTCTTTCTGGGGAAGCCAGCTGCCATGTCATGAGGCTATCCTGGGAGAGGCCCATGTGGCTCAGGACTGAGGCTGAGGCTGGCCTACTGGGTGCAAGTCAGCCAGGAGATGGCTCTGTATGACAGCTGCACTGCACCATCAGGAGAAACCCTGGGCCAGAGGCATCCAGCTGGGCCATGGCCAGATTCCTGACTTATGGAAGCAGACAGATAATGAATAACCATTCAATATTACTTTGTTGAGTGCTAGGTAATTTGTTTTGTCCCAATAGAGAATTAATATACCATATCTGATACAAAGGGATTCAGTGGAGTAGGGAAGGGGAGAAGGAGGAGGGAGGAGAGTGGCACATACCATAACAATACTAAGAAAGTTAAATGATAAGTGAAATGCTGGTCAAAGCTTAACTTTTAGTATATAATCAGAGGGTCTCATGACTGGAAGTTTCCCCATGGTCATAATACTAAAGGATTATTTATGCAGAGTAAAACGATGCTCCAGGAAGTCTCCATGGAACACAGAGGTTTACTTTGACCCTAATTCCAACCTTTGCTGTTTCCTGCCATTGTAAAGAACTGTTTTTTCCAAAAAATATTTGGAGCACCTATATTGTGCATGTACTGTGCTAAGCTCTAGTTATCAAAAAAAAAAAAAAAAAAAAACTTGATATGGACACTTTCTTTGGAGAACTAAAGGTCTAGTGTGAAAGATGGAAATTAATTAAACAAACCCCAAATTAAATGTAAAATTACAACTATACGCTGTGTTAGAAAGGAGAGAGCCATGGCATTCCAAAGAGCTTGAAATGAGGGGAGTTGGGAGAATGGAGCATGTGCAAAGGCCCTGAGATAGCTGTATGACATGGAAGGAAATGATGGCATGCAACAATGACACAGAGAAGAAAATAATTAGTTAAATAGAAGGGGCCTGAGAATTGGAGGGGGCATGCAATTTGAGGTCTTGTGGCTTACAGTATGGGATATAGGTTTATCTGAGTTTTTTTATTCCATTGCAGATTAAACAGCCTTTGGAAAAGTATAACAGTAAGATAAATCTGACAGAGCTGACTCCATCTTGCCTCTAGCCTCACAGGCTGGCTGTCTTTGCTCATTTCTGGGCATGGGCCAAGCTCACTTTGGGAAAAGTTTAGTTTATGGTTTAAATGATAATAGCTCTTCCCCAAACCTAAACTGCTCTTGTAAAACTAATGAAAGACCATCAAGTAAGGAGGGTGAGAGGGGCTTGAGTTCTAAATAATTACCAGCCATTTTTCCAGAGTTAATAATATTTGCAACTTCCCCAATCACTCTTGCAGATAACATTACTTTTATAGAACCTAAGATTGGCCTTTTGAGATGCCTTTTCAGGCTTTTGCATTTCTGACAACCAGATGACCCCACCTGGACCTACCAACCAGTCCTATCATCCCCACCCAGGAACTGACTCAGCACAAGAGGACAGCTTCAATTCCCTATAATTTCATCTCTGACCCAAAAATTCAGCATGCCTCCTACCTTAGCCCCCTGCCCTCCAAACTATCTTTGAAAAACCCCTAACCTCCCAGCCTTCAGAAAGATTGATTTGAGTAATAACTCTGTCTCCTGTGTGGCATGGCTGGGCTCGCATCAATTAAACTCTTTCTTTACTGCAATGCCATGGTCTTGGTGAGTTGATTTTGTTTGTGCAGTGGACAGAAAGAACCTATTGGATGGGTGGTTACACAGAGGTGGGAGCAGGGAGTGACTTTGCCAGATTTGCATTTCAGAAATACCACTGACAACAATGTGGAGAATGCATTTGAGAGGGGATAATCAATGCCTGTGGGCGAGTTGCATCATAAAGCACTCGACTCTCTGGTAGCATAAAGCAGCAACAATTTTCTTATGTCCATGCATAAGATGGACCCACGGAAGTGGGTCAGGAATTCAGATAAGGCAGAGTGGGCATGGTTCGTCCTATCTGTCCCCCATAGGTGGTTGGAGATGGAGATAAGGGTGGTTTGGGTATAGGCCTACAAAAATAAAACAGTTGGAATAGGTAACGGATTTGCTGTGAAGGGGCATGGAGGGAGATTAAGAGATTGCTGGTTTGCATGGCTGGATGATTGGTGATAACACTCATTAGGATAGAACACTAGAGAACAGGGTTTTAGTAGGAATGGAGGATGGTTATCAAGAGTTTGGTTTTGGGTAAGTTTTAGCTATCCAAGTTGGCGGAGAATGATAGCTAAATGGCTGACCCCCTGGGTTTTGAGCTTGTAGATTGTGGGCATTTAAATATAGCATTGTGGTTCATTTCCATTAAGATGAAAACTGCAGTTATGAGTGTGAATATGATTGACCAAGAAAGTAGAGTAGGATGAGAAGCCAAGAGATTCATAGGCCTATTATTGGCAAAATCCAGTATTTAGTCGACAGGTAAATAATGAGCCTGGGAAGATATGTCCAGAGTGTCAGGAGGAAAACCAGGGTAGCATAAATCACAGATGCCAAAATAAGAGGGCTTACTCAAAGGAGGACGTGGTCAACTGTGCTGCCATTTTGTAAAAGCACAAAGAAGATGACCTTTGAAACAAGGAAAGTTAGGCTTACCAGTGTTGTTCCATTGGCCTGGTGGAGGCAAGTGAGATTGCAGATGGCGGAGGAGTGCACATGAGGGGAGGAGCTGGAGGCACTGAGTATGAACACTCAGGAGAAATTTGGTGCAAAGGGAAAGAGAGAGTAGGCTGGCAGAAAAGGAAGATCGAGAGATTTTATTCTAGATGTTTGTTGTCTAAAAATTCAACAGAGCTTCATTTAAAAGCTATTTTAAAATTTTGGGAAAATATATTGCAAATATTAGAGAGAAACAAGACAATGATAAAATGATAGTTGAGAAGGGAGGGAGAGAAGAAGGAGGAGAGGAAGGAGAAGGAGAGAGAAAGATGGGCCTTATGTAGAAAGGAGCAGCTGCTGCAAAATTAAAGAGGGAGGGAGGACTGGATGGGGTTGAGGGCCGTGTGAGTGACAGCAGGCTCTGGAGACATTGCCTTGTACACTCTCTTGGGCACTGAAGGCAGTGATACCCACTCATTACTGATGGTACAGCCACCTGCCCCCACTGAAAATGTCAGGTCGTTTAGGTGTGGCTTCAATGTCCCATTGTCATGATCCCTCACCTCTGGCAGTTGACCAGTCATGTGCTGCTGTGGCCAAATATTTGGAAATATTTGTTAGGCAGAGAATGATTCACCTGGCAAATCCAGTCTGAGCAAGAATAAACTTTGATTAATAATGCTTTAATTAGATACGGCAAACTCTGAAAGGAGCCGCAAAGATGGTTAGAGAAGCAGATGCTGGGTCCATGTGCTAAACAGGGAAACTGGTTTGATCTTTATCTGAAAGTAATGCATCTGAAATATCATTTTTCAAGCAGTATGGAGGATTGATCAGCTGGCCATGGCATCCTAAACCTGAGACAATATAGGATATGAAAGAGGAATATATGATATAAGTGGGAAAGCTGTGAGGCCTTGAAATTAAGAGATGAGAATCATCGTTGAGGAAGTATTATTTGTAAAGAAGTAGAATAGAATATATATATATATAATCATGTGGAGGGTGAGTAAAATGAGAGAGTTTGGATGAGCTAATTGATCTGGCGAACACACAGGTGCATAACCTTCACAGTGATGGGGAATATAGGTAAGGCGGTAGGTTTGGAGAGGGAAGGATGAAAGGACTTAAGTTTTAGGTGTGTTGGGTGTGATCCCCTTGAAGTCTTCCATGATGGACTGGGCAGTTTGGTCTGTGGATCTAGGGCTTTGTGGTAAGATCTGGGCTAGAGGTACATCAAGGGTTATGGACAGCGGATGTGTTCATTTCCTATTACTACTGTAAAAAATTACCACAACATTAGTGGCTTAAAAACAAGACACATTTATTCTCTTGCAGCTCTGGAGGAGGAAGTCCAAAATGGGTTTCACTAGGCTAACATCAACATGTTAGCAATATTGGGTTCCTTCTGGAAGCCATAGGAGACGATCCATTTCCTTGCCTTTCCCTGCTTCTACAGGGTGTCCATGTGCCTTGGCTCATGGTGCCCCATCACTACTGTGTCTCCAATTCTATTGCCACGTGTCCTTCTCCAGCCACTCTGACCCTCTTACTTCTCTCCTATAAGTATGTCTGTGATGACATTAATACTCTCCCAACCTCAAGGTTCTTATCTTGATCTGCAAAATATTCTTCTACCATGTAAACTAACATATTACCAGGTGCTAAAAATTAGGATGAGGACACCTTTGGAGACCATTACTTTGCTTGGGATTCAGCACTACAAGATGTGCATTTTATGCCTGATACACTGTAACCCTGAGTGACCCTTATTTTCAGTTAGCCTCCAGTTTTTCATATGCAAAATAGAGATGACATTTATATTTGTTACACTTCTTTCGACAGATCAAAAGGACCTAATGAAATGTTTGTGGAACCTGTGTAAAACATGCTGCACAAAGATGTAAATAAATCAACCCATGAACTCCTAGTACCCTGACCGCAGCGTATGTAAGATCAATAAATAGCTGTTGTCATGAATGCCACCTGTCGAGAGTTGAATCTAACATTCAAGTGAGACAGATCACATGATACAAGATAGTTTCTTGAAGCCAGCACTTGGCATCAAATTGAGGAAAATGGATGTGATGACACAGAGCCTCTGAGGCTGTGTCCCTATTTGCTGGTTATTTTCTGCCATCAACACTGAGGAGTTGGGTGCACATTTGCCCGTGAAGAGGCTCGTGTGACAACTCGCACCCTTTCCTGTTCTTCTAAGTAGAAAATGTCTCCATATCCAAATGCAGATGTCGTCTTATCCTCAATGAAAAGAAAAGATAAGCATGCTGGAGGCCCAACCACAAGCCAAGCATGGAGACAACGTGGCAAGAGAGGACGCACTGAACATCCTGGGGTGGACACGTGCAGAGACGGGGGTGGACACTTGCAGTCCTTATTCTGTTTCTGGAGACACATTGAGATTCTTTCTCCTGGTCCCTTTCGACCCTCTAAAAAAGCAGAGCCATATCAGGAAGAGTTTTTTTTTTAAGAAAAGACCCACCACTACTTTATTTTATTTTTATTTCAATAGTTTTGGGGGAACAGGTGGTGTTTGGTTGCATGGATAAGTTCTTTACTGTGATTTCTGAGATTTTGGTGCACCCGTCATGTGAGCAGTGTGACCTGTACCCAGTGTGTAGTCTTTTACCCCTCACCCACTTCCCACCCTTTCCCCTGAGTCCCTAAAGTCCTTTATATCATTCTTATGCCTTTGCTAGGAAAGACATTTTTGATGCAATTTCTTTTAGATTTTTACCAAAATCATATTCCTAACAATTTGAATTCTTACTCATTTGGGAAGTGCGATAGGCAGATAATGGGCCCTAAAGATGTCCGTATCATCATGTCTGGAAGCTGTGAATATGTGACCTTGCATGGTAAAGGACTTTGGGGATGTGATTAAGGTAGGAGCCTGGAGATGGGGAGAGGATCCTGGCTTATCCAAGTAGGCCCAATCCAATTATGTGTCCTTAAAAGAGGAGAACATTTCCTGGCTGTGGTCAGAAAGAGATGTGACTATGAAAGAACAGTGCAGGAGATGCAACATTGCTGCCTTTGACGACAAAGGACCAGGCCATGAGCCAAGGAATGCTGGGGCCTCTGGCTGCAGGAAATGGATTCTCCCCTAGAGCCGTGGGAAAGTACGAAGACCTGTTGAACCTTGATTTTAGCCCAGTGGGAGCCTTGTCAGACACCTAATCTACAAAAGTGTAAAATAATAAATGTGTGTGGTTTTAAGCACTAAGTTTGTGGTAACATGTTACAGTATCAATAGAGAAGATATGCTGGATGAACAGCTCCGCCCATCCCTGCTCTGGGTGGGGCCTCTGACCACCTCCCTGAAGTCCATGCCCGAGCTCTAGCAGTGAAACCTGAGTTCAGCTTTACCTTAGCATTTCTCAGTCCTATTTCTCAACACTTAGGGCTCTTGGTGAGGCGTCACCTCTCATCTTAATAGCTCTCCATCCTGATTCTCTATTTGAGTGCTTTCTTTTAGTTTCACTAAAACGCTCTCTGAGAGAAATATACTTCCATGCTTTCACTCCATTACCCAGTGTTCATCTCCTCTGCCTTGTGGACCTCCCAACTAAAGGACATGTTCAGCAGGGCAGGGCCATAGGGGAGGGATCCTGGTGGGATGCAGGCCAGGTCTTGGTGGGCAGAGATCCCACCTGTGTGCAGCACTGTAGGGGAGGTGGCAGGGAAGTGGTCTTCTGGCTAGCGCTGACATGCACAGGGTTGGCGGAGGGGCCTACCCTGCCACCACCTGCAGGTTCACTCACTGTGAAATGGTGGAGAACACCAGCTCACCTAGGCTAGCTGAGGTTTCCATTCCAGGAGGCTTCCTTCCAGCTCCAGCCAGTCTCCTGTGGGCAAGGGCAGCCCCCTGACCCCCAGCCACCCTCTTCACTCACAGTTCCTTAAGCAGGGCCCTCCCACAGCCCACCCCCGGACCATGCCCAGTTAGGGGAACTGGGACCCCATGCACATCCATGGTTTTCCTATGCTCTTTCCTTTCAGAGTCGTGTGCAACCCATCACAACTATCTGCACACTTCCCCTTTGGATTTCACAGCCATTCCTCCTTTCCTCTTCCCGCCTGGTCAGGATGGCCACACTCCCCTAGGTGGGATTTATAACCACAATGCAGCAGAGCATGTTCAAATTCATTACATTTAAAAAATTTTCCCTGAAAACTATCAAAGTGATGAAAGAGTCCGCAGTTTCATCTTTGCCACCCCCATCTCTCTCTTCTGATGTTGATCTAGGCTGTTCCTGAATCCAAAATTAGATGGGGAGAGATAGGAGTTTCAACCACACTGAACAAACTTAGCTAAAATCTTGAAGTGAGAAACTTGCAGCATTCAGTGCATCCGGAGGAAATAAACTAACTTACTCTGTCATCTTGCCAGCTTTTTATCACTCCTCTGTCAAAATACTGCAATTGTTGCCAGAGTAGAATGAAATAAAACTGAAAATCTCATAAGAAAACTCTGTAACAAGAAATTATTTTCATGGTGCTATTATTCATGTTAACTAATAAAATGACTCTAAATTACTTAAAAAATAAAATATTCTCTGCAATATATGACAACCTTTTGCTAGAACCAAATAGATACCCACAATCTATCCAGGCCCTGCACTGCATTCTGCCCAGCAAAGTAAATGGATGTGACAATTTTTAGAATTTATTTCTATTCCATCTAGTTTTATTGCCAAATGGATGTACAGTAGCTCTTTCTCTCTCTTTCCATCTCTCTCTCTCTCTTTTTCTCTCTCTGTATATATATATATATATATATACATATATATATATACATACATTCACAAGTAGACACATTAAAAAAGCAAAAGGACACTCAATCATACAATATCATCCATAAAGATGTGTGACTTCCAACAGGATATCTTTAATATCTAGATGATTTTTTTTAGCAATTATTATTCCACATTATAAGCTTATTTGTGTCACCGAAGGTTTAAAAAATAAAAATGAGATCTCTGTGGAAATCATATGTTTGAAAACTGTGCTGAAATTGGTATTGGAACTTCTAAATTCCTGTCATGAGAAAGAGGTAAAGTCAATTACCTTTATTAAGATTAGGGTGATGCAAAGACGAGCAGCCTGCAGTAGAGAATTTGTGCTGTAAAGGGAAAGCTGGAACATTTGATTGGAGTAATTTTACAGAACCCAGGCTTTTTTTCTGTGAAAATGGAAAGGCATTAGAGGTAGTTGGGAAAATAATGTGACATAATTATTGTGAAGGTTTAGGAACATTAAATTGACGATCTCAAGCATGATAAAATAGTTAGTTGCTCTATCTGTCAATGTTTATTTGGAAAATGTGGTTTACTCATTAGAGTAACCAACAATGGAAAGGTATGGAGAGATTCTAAAAGAAGCCTTTACTGAACTATGCCTAAAACAATTTTAGTACCACAATCAGCTAGGCAAACAGTCCCATCTTTGCTGATTAATAGTCTCACGACCTTGGGAAAGTTAATTAACCTCTCTGAATCAATCTAGAATTGCCCCTGGCACATAGCAGACTTTCAATAAATTGAACTCCTTTCCCCAATCTTCTTCATGAATTCATAAAAATTTTCCATTCCCTTAGAGTATTAGGCAACTCTATCTGTGTTGAAGATGGCAAACCGTCTTTAACTCACGAGGCAGCTTCACTGTGAACCAGTTCATAATGGACCAAGATGGCAAAAATGATGTGCTAGAAACATCATTTTTATCTGCTATCCATATTTACTCAAGGAGAGAAGATGGGTTTGCTTTACCTATGCTTTCAGTGCATTTAGCCTTAACAGTGCTTCCTGTAGCTCCTTCCTGTAGCATTGATGAAGTGTCCCTGAATACCTGGACCCCTGTGTACTCAGCATGACTCACAATGTTGTGCATAGATCATGTTCATTGTAGCAGTAAAACAATACAATGACCGTAGGAAAGAAATGTAGAGACCCACAGAAAGGTTAAGCAATTTGACATTAGGATTTTATTTCACCAAATTATTTTTTCCTGATTCCTGTGAAAACATCTCCTTTTAATTCATATGGCTGAAAAAAAGTTTCTCAAACGGATTGGGTTTTATGTTAGCAATGTTAAATTTTTTCATGGTAAAAAATATATTCATTTTTAATTTTAGAAAAAAGGAAGTATAAAGGAATGCTTAATTCAGTGAATAGTTATAGGTTACCCAGTACGTGCTAAGGCCTATGTCCAAGACTCGTGCTCTTTTTGCCCCTCTCTAGACACAGTGGATGGTGGGTGAAGATGGTGGCTGCTTTACCAGGTAGAAGGGTTTGTTAGGCCAAGTACAAGCTTCCAGAAGTGCAGAGGGAAGTTGTGGAGGTTGGATGGTGAGTGTTCTAAGGGCTGATACCTGAGTCTAGCTGAAGTTCAGCCAGATGTGACATTGGCTTTAGGATAGGTGTTCCAGAAAGAAGGACCTACATCATCCATCTTCTAGAGACATGAAACATGGCAATAATTCATGGAAACACACTGTCTATTTTCATAGACACGTAAGGCAGTGAGACTATGGGGCAAATACACCATCAGAAGCCAGGACCTATAATAGAGCCTTAGTTGACACAGTATGGACTTTAGCTATTAATGGATTTTCAGCAAGATTGAGAGTTGAATTTTAGATTGGTTACTCTTTAGGGAAAGAGGATTAGATTTTAGGCTGGGCAAGACTGGATTTAGAGATCTGGGCAAGGGTCTGGATTAGCACAATAGATAGAAAAGGAAGAGATAGCTTCAAGAAGCCCTTGGAAGAATGATTTACAGGATTTAGTGAATGACTGGTGATGTGGAGGGTGTGGCAGTGAGGAAGAAGCTGGAGTTCAGAGATTGGGTGGGTGACACACTCTGAGATCAGTTTTGGACACGGAGATGGTGAGGTGCCAATGGTGAAGTCTCAGAAGCAGCCTGCTTTGATGCTCTGCCCTCGAATGGGTGGTCTCAGTGGTTGTTTACTTTTGTTGATGTTGCTTTAGTTTGAGTGTCTAGAGCTATATATGTTCAAATGTTAAAATTTTCTTCCACTCAATCCTAGTTCCCATGTGTGATGATTAATTTTATGTGTCAACTTGGCTGGGGAGCCGTGCCCAGACATTTTGATCAAACACTATTTTGGATGTTTCTGTGTTGGTTCAGAATTTGCTAACTTGGTGTCCATGGAAATTTTATAGAACACAACTATTGCAGATAGTAAGAATTAAGAGTACTGTATTTATTTAGTGATTTACTTATGGTCATATATTTAAAAGTTTTCCCTGTAACAAAGCAAACATCTTTGTACATTTATTATTGCACGGTTGAACAAATATTTCTGTTGGTTAAATTCCCGGGAGTGGAACTACTTGGTCAAAGTATGTGTGGATATTGAACTGTCATGAATGTTGACAAATGACTGTCCAATGAGTTTGTACTTCATTGTTTGACAAACTCCCAAGGAAACTCCGGCCTTGAGTTCCAGCCACGCTGTGTTCACTGGGCCATGGCCACGCCTGGGAAATCTCTCCATACTCTCCTTTAGTTTGATGGTGGCTCATTTGTGTTGCAGTTCACATTTCACAGTGAATTGACAAATATTACCATAACCCTTACACCTCCATGACAAAAGAAGAGAAATAACAATGCCTCCTGGTGCACTTAGGGAATGAAGGCACAAAGTGATGGACGTCAACCCTGGCCTCCTGCCATGCTCTCTCATAATAAGAGTTCAATTTTTCAACACTCGTGGGAAAATAATGAAAGAAAATATAGAAGTTAACATTTCTTACACAATAGTTCATGTTTAATGTGTTCCTCAGCGACTGTGAGCAGCCTATGTGACCAGAGGAGAGGGTCATCCTCCACTGGCATTTATCAAATACTCTTAGTGGTTCAAGTGGAAAACAAAGTTCTGGTGAACCACGTGCTTATGCCAGCAGGCCCCACATTCACTTCCTTCAGCATTGTGTTTCTTTGCCTCAGCTCTCCGTCCTGCCACCATGGCCTATGCTTGATGCCACACAGAGTCCATTCCAGACACTGTCCTTTCCTCCTTGAGGGCAGAATGCCTCAGTGCCCAAAGCACAGGGCTTGTATTTCAGTCATTCATCAAATATGGAGAACCCAATGTTGAAGGAAGAAAAAAGCCTTAGTTGATATTGGTTGATAACCTGCCGTGTGTACAAAACAAAGTGGGGCTCAGGCTGGAACAGGGTGGGCCAGTTAGGAGATTTCTAGAACCTAGAAGTTGAACTTGGTTTCAGAGACAAAGCAAGTGGTTGCGGCAGTCCCTGGCGTGGGAAAAGTGAGGGAGACATAATCAGCAGGTAATGGAAATCTGTGTGTATGGTCTGGATTTCAGAGAGAGAATTTACATGTCTGGAAAGCCAGACCTTAGCTCTGGAGGAAGTGGGTTACTAGAAAGAAGAGGTAAGCAACTCATCTACTTTAACAGTAACTGCTAGCATTTGTTGCCAGCACAGTGCAAAGCTATTCATGACCACAGATAGGCAGGAGCTTCATTACAAGGAAAGAAACACAACAACTTATTATTGCAATTAGGATTCAGCATCGGACTGGGACAAATGGAAGTCAAAGGCACCATCTCCATCACTTTCTCAAGGGACATGCCATTTCTCTAATCAAGGGGTGTGTTGAACAAGGAGGTGAAATAAACAGGCCCCTGACTTAGAGAGCAACAGTGATAAGGGCTCCAGCAAGTCACATTGTCTTTATTTCTTCAAAATACCAATAACAATACTCAGCCAAACTCCCACTTAGTTCAGAGGAACTGATGAGCAACACCTGGGAAAAACAAATGACAACTCAAAAACAACGTTATCACCTAACATGGGAAGAACTCCCACAAAGCTGCTACATAAAAATAATGATTCTATTTTTTTTTTTGAGACAGAGTCTCACTCTTGTCACCCAGGCTGGAGTGCAGTGGCACGATCTCGGCTCACTACAACCTCTGCCTCCAGGGTTCAAGCAATTCTCCTGTCTCTGCCTCCCAAGTAGCTGGAATTACAGGCATGCGCCACCACGCCCATCTAATTTTTTTTGTATTTTTAGTAGAGATGGGGTTTTACCATGTTGGCCAGGCTGGTCTTGAACTCCTGATCTCAGATGATCCACCCACCTCAGCCTCCCAAAGTGCTGGGATTATAGGTGTGAGCCACCACGCCTGGACAAAAATGATGATTCTTGAACACAAAAGGTTACAGAAAATGGTTTTCCACTGTGCTCAGCCAGTTCTGATGCTCACCAGCAAATACTTGGTTCAGTTAGGAGGAGGAATGATTAGGTATAGGAAGAAAAGCCTTTCTAGCCTTCAAATTAAAAATTAAGACCTACATTTCTGAAAAAATAAAATTCTCTTTTCCCAATTTATAAACACAAATCACTATATAGTTTACAGGTATGCATGTATAAATCCATATATATATTTATCTGTTTATTGTCAAGAGTTGTCTGGTCAACTCCATGAGCAGGGAAGGGGAGGAAGCCCACGTGTGTGGGGGCCCAGACCAGGTGCACCCTCTGTGGGCTGTTAAATCAAGTGTGGTAAGCTGAATAATAAGCCCCTAAAGATGCCCAGGTCCTAATCCCTGGAACCTATGAACCTTACCTTACATGGTAAAAAGAAATTTGCAGATGCGATGAAATTAAGGATTTTGAAAATATGCTGGGGAGATTATCCTGGTGGAACCTAAATGTAATCAAGAGTGTCCTTATCAGAGAGAGGCAAAGGGAGCTTTGCCTACAGAAGTAAGAGATAAGCAAGAGGTTGGGGTGAGGCAAAGAATGGGCCACCAGCAGAGGAATACAAATGGCTTCCAGGGGCTGGAAAAGGCAAGGAAACCATTCTCCCATAGAATGAGATGAGCCAGCCATGAGAACATTTTTTTATTTTAGTACAGTGAGACTTCTGGTTTACAGGTCTGTAGGAGAACAGATTTGGTTGTTCAAAGCCACTGATTTTGTTTGTTGCAACAATCATAGAAAACTAATAGACCAGGGAAACAATAGAAGTTCTCCTCCCCCAAAACATGAATTGTTTCCAATAGCAGATATATTCAGGACATCCAAGACTAGCATTAAGCTTTGAAGACTTACTTTTATCATTAAAATCCTTCATCCAAGGGGATGGTAATTCACAATGCAGAAATTTTGTAACCCTCTAGGCACCTGGGACTTGGCTTCTCCCATCTTAGGTGGGTGTCCTTAGGCTTAATCCCAAGCTCTTCACTTACCTGTGTGAGATCAATCCTTGCTGCCATACTGAATAGTACCAGGCATAGAACTAGAAGTCCAGGCAACAAAACTCACTAATAAGATGACAAACCTCACAGGGTGCCTAATTCAGCCCACAGCAATGCTTGAAAGAGTGGCTTTGTGGAGCTGCCACAGGGGCTGTGGCTGAGAACATCTTCAGGCTGAGCTGACCTCCAGCCTGAGCTAGGCCCAGAAATGCTGAGCTGCTGCCTGGCCCCAGCTGCAGACATGAAACCTTCTCCTCACCCACCAGCACCGTTCTCTTGTGCTTTCATTTCCTTTCACAACAGAAATCACATGGTTGATAATTTTCCCATAAGGAGATACTGCTCCTAATGTGTGTATGTTGAAAACTAAATTCCCCTTCTATTCTGAAAAATTCCAGAAAAAACTCTCGGTTCCTACGACTGCTCTAGGGTGAGAAGATGGGGAGTTTTAAAAGAAACTGCCTTCAAAATCATTCGAGCCTTCTTGTGGAACTAACATGCTTATATAGTCCAGTCTTCATCATAGACCCTAGGAGAGGATCCAACACCAGGTAAATCCTCAGGAGAACACCTTATCTAGTTCCAGCCCTCAAGAGGAACATGGTCAGTTCTTAAGATCAAATAGAGAACTCAATAATATACAATTCCTTGCAGGCACACAAAAACTCAGAGTGTCTTATAGAGTTCCCTACTGGGGCATTTTCCTTGTATTTTGCCTGAATCCTTCATAGCACAATTTATGTTTGAATAGTATTAAGTTGCTGTGTAATTATCTCAGCTATAGGAAATAAGGCATTCTTTTCTAATTCACGAATCTTGGCTGTGGCTGGGTTTTGAACTATCTCTCAATGTGTATGTGTATGAGAGTCTATCTACCTACCCATCTATTGTTTATCTATGTCTATCAAATCTATCATCTATCTACCTACCTACCTATCCATTATCTATCTATCTATCTATCTATCTGTCATCTATTATCGAACTAATCTATTCTCTATACATCCATTTAATCTATCCATTATCTATCTATTCATCATTTATCTAATCTATCCATTATTTATTTATTCATCATTCATTTCATCTATCCATTATCTATTATCTCTCTATCTATCTATGTATCCATGTATCTATCTATCTAATCTATTCATTATCTATCTACCTGTCTATCCGTCTGCCCCCGGCCTCCACCCTGGCTGTAGAGCATACATGTGAATAGATGCCATCATCTGACTTAAGGATGGCCAGACTTAGTGTGGTCCCATGATGACATGCTTGCTCCTCTGTTTCAGGAGTCAATTAATGAATTTTAGAAGGACTTACCTCCTAAGTGGGAGGATTTAGTTTCATTTGATGATACACTTTGTGCCTATTTCTAGTTAACTTATGCCCAGATTTATTGTTTAACTTTCATTACTAGAATTTATTAGTCTTTTCTTGAATACAGCCATGGCTTTTTGCTTTTTTTCCTTTCCTTTTAAAGTATACATTTTTAAAATTTTAAAATCACACACTAATAGAAAAATGCATAATCCATAAAGAGCATTTTAATAAAATTAATAACCTTGTTACTTCAACCTAGGTCAAGAAAGAAAAAATTGTGAAGCCCTTGCCAGAAGCACTGATATTGTTTTTTGTTTTGTTTTGTTTTGTTTTGTTTTTTGAGATGGAGTCTCATTGTGTTGCCCAAGCTAGAGTGCAGTGGTATGGTCTCAGCTCACTGCAACCTGCATCTCTCGGGTTCAAGCAATTCTCCTGCCTCAGCCTCCCGAGTAGCTGGGATTACAGCACCTGCCACCATGCCTGGCTAATTTTTTGTATTTTTAGTAGAAACGGGGTTTCACCATGTTAGTCAGGCTGGTCTCAAACTCCTGACCTCGTGATCCGCCTGCCTCAGCCTCCCAAAGTGCTGGGATTACAGTCGTGAGCCACCACGCCAAGCCTCAGCACTGGCATTGTTAGTCACACACCCTTCTTTCTGCCTTCAAAGATAACCACTGTCCTCTCTTTTGTATCAGTCACTTTTGTGCTTTTATTTTTAGATATTTCATCTAAGTACTGCTAAGCTTGAGAGTTTACTTTTGCTTGTGTTTGGACTTCATATAAGTGGAATCAAATCATGTGCATTCTTCTTCTTCTTTTTTTTTTTTTTTGAAGAAATTGGTTGCTTTTACTCAAGATTCATCCAGGCAGCTGTGCAGTGAATGCTGTAAGGGCATTAGTTTTTATTGCTGTAGAGTCGTTCATAGTAAACACATATGACAAGATAGCTATTCATTCTAATGCTGATGTCCATTTGTGCTGTTTCCACCTCAGAACTATTAAGGATGATGCATATATATACTGGAATGTGTCTTTTGGACCTTATGTGCTCCATTTCTGTGGGGTACATATGTAAAGGTGGAATGACAGGGTCTTCAGATGTGTGTATTTTCAATATTTCTAGATAACTTTGGAGAGTTTCCCCAAAGTAATTGTTACAATTGAAACTCCCACCAGTAAGTAGTGTACAAGAGTTCCAGTTGTTTCACATCTTTACCAAAACCTAGCATTATTAGTTTTTTAAGTTTTACCCATTTTCTGTGTATATAGTGGTATCTTACTGTGGTTTTAATTTGCAATTCCCTAATGACTAATGAATTTAAATATCTTTCAAGTACCTTATTTTTAAATTGTTTATTTTACTTTTGCAACTGACATCCAATAAAATGGACTTTTGTTTCTAATGTGTGTATCAACTTGTGCAACCCCCTTCATAACTAAGATACAGAATAGTCCCATGATGCCAAAATAGTCAGTCATATTACTCCTTTGGGGTCATATCTTCCCCTCACTTCTAACCCCTGGCGGCCACTGATTTATTTTCTGTCAGTATAATTTTGTCTTTTCCACAATGTCATATATTTAACCATAGCCAATGTATTGCTTTTCTGTCTGCATTCAAGTTTTTTCTTGTCTTTAGTTTCCAGCAGTTTGAACATAATGTGTCTGAAATGGAAGTATTTCAAATTTGCTGAGCTGAATTCCTTGTGTGTCTTTTAGCCAAGTGCTCACTATTGCTCATTTCTTAACCTATGCATTGTCTTGACCAAGCTTTAGTAAGGCTTTTTTCTTTCCTACAGGCCCAGGAACTCTTCTTGCACTCAAGCCTGAGCAAGCACAAAAAAGTGTGGTGTGACACCCCCGCCCCATTAGTTTCTCTTGGGAATCAGCTGACTACAGTGAGACTCTTCTCCTGTCAGACTCAACTTTCCCTGCAAAGATGCTGCTTATCTCTACCCACATACTCCTTTACCTATGAAAGAAGAATTTTTTCCCCACAGGATTTTGAGATATCACAGATTTTTGAGCTTGGAGTGTTCTTCCTATTGAACTAGTCTTACTTTCTAATTAAAGCCTCTCCTTTTGTAAGTCCAGCTTGCTTTTATTTGACACTTTTGACAAATTTTTTGGGGGGGAGTTCAGTTACTAGTTCTTCAAATTTTAATTTTCTACATTGCATTCTTTCTCCTCTGCTGTTGCACTCCTTCTCCTCTCCTTTGCCCTGGCTTGTTTCTTACATTTAAGTCTTATTTTTAGGTTTCTGACAGCCTCAAGAGAAGCAAGGGGAATGTGAATCTCATTGTCTAAAAATATTTTGACAGTTCTATCAAAATACTTTGCATCAAAAACATTGCAAAATTAAAGGTTATACAGCCTTATATATTTTTTCAATCTTATATAGCTACATAGATAGATGGGAGAACTTGGAGGCAACACAGCTTGACATGAATGTTAAATCTCTTGGTATTTCCACATAGATATCTAAGAATCTGTTTAGCTCTCTCTTTAAATCTTTTCTCTTTCTTTTGCACAATTGGTTAATTTCTATCTTCACATGTATTGACTCTTTCCTCTGCCATCTTCATCTGCTGCTGTTGAGCCTGTCCAGTAAATTTTTAATTTTGATATTATTTTTCAACTTTAAAATTTTCATTTTTTTATTATATTTTCTATTTTTTCCTGTTATTTTCTAACTTTCTATTCATTTCAATAGTATTTGCCTTTACACCTTGAAGCATATTTATAACAGTTGTTTTGAAGTTCGGTTTTCAAGTGTTTGCAGTGTTCTTGGGATAAGTCCTGCTCTTGGACCACCGGCTAGTTGACAGTCTGGAGCAGCATTGTACCTTGTAGCTCAGTTCTCAAACTCAGGGGTGAGACCATATTTTATATGTGGTATTATGGGATCACTCTCTCAATCTCCCTTCTCTCTGTGACCTATCTGACAGTTTCCTGTTTCCGGGAACCTTCTTTCCCTGTTTTCTCACCAGAAGTTTTGGGTTTTATTTTTCTCATTCTTCCATACAATTGCTGTGACTGTCTGTACTCTGGGTCAAGCAATTAGAGGACCAAGAGAGAAAAATGAACAACAGGGCCTTGTCCCATATTCTTGAGATCTTAAGTCTCCAGTTGCAGGAAAAATTTATCCTCCCTTAAAGTTTTAGGGACATGCCTGGCTACCCTTGCTGTTGTCATGCTGCTACAGCAGCTATGGTATTGCCTGAGAGTAGGGTTGGGAGGCAGAAGAGAAAGGAACAAAGGCAAAAAAACCCTGAAGGATTTTTTCACTCTCTGACCATTAGGTGTCCCCTCTCCCACTCCTTAGACAATAAAGAGAGGGCTTATCATGGAGCTCATCTGCCCACATCCAATCCATACTATTGGCATTCTGTCTGTCTCTGAGTCCAGATCATGTTATCTTGGAAGAAAAGAAAATGATAAAAAATACCCCTCGGTTTGGTGATGTTTTTAACCTCGCTTTCCTTCCTCAATTAACCTGTGACCATTTATTTTTCAGAGTTTTCAAATAGCTGTCCTATGCATTCTGTCTAGGATGGAAGTTATACATCCTGGACAGAATGCATAGGACAGCTGTCTGAAAACTCTACATGAGAGAAACAGGGTAGATTGTGATTTTTCCATGTTTCCTGGAATTGCCACCAGACTTCGTTATTTGTAAAGCATTTGTTCAAGTCTTTTGAGTATTTTTTTCTATCAGATAATATTTCTCACTCAGTTTTTCCTTTTCACTTAAAATTAGCTCCAAAATTAGGTGAGTCACTTTAACTTCTAAGGGTGCTTTTGAATCCCATATTTCTCAAACAGAGTCAGATTAACATCGGCAGGATTTTTTCCTTCTACTCTGGATTCTTTTCCACTTTTAAATAAATTATTTTCAACACATATCTTATTTTCAAAAAATAAAAATTAGATATTCTCTAACACTAAACAGAAAAATGAGTCCCCTAGAGGGAGACTTGAGATAATAGCACCAGGAGACCAATACTGGCTTGTTTGCTGTACTTAAGCCTTACTTGTAGGTTTCTGACAGCCTCAAGGAGGCAATGGGAATGTGAATCTCATTGACTAGAGATATTTCTACCATGTTAGTCAGGCTGGTCTTGAACTCATGACCTCATGATCCACCTGCCTCAGTCTCCTAAAGTGCTGGGATTACAGGCATGTAATATCTGAATATTTGTCATCAAAACATTGTGAAATTAAAATTTGTACACCCTTGTACATTTTTCCAATCTTACACAATTACATACATAGATGGAAAAACCTGTAGACAATACAGCTTGAAAAAAATCATTTAAAATAGATCTGACCTTCAATAGGAAGGCAGTGTATATTGTAATGCCCTTTAATGTTATTGAGAAGTGAAGTGGATTATTATTTACTTCTCTAATATTTGTTTCTGAGTTTGTTATTCTTAGCAAGTGTTAGACATATTAACAAATGGACATATTTCTTATTCAATATCTTCTCCAGTGGATTCAATAATATCTTTTCTGTATTATTGCTCCAGGGAAACTCTAAAAATTGCAGTGGCTTCTCTTCTTATTTGAAGGATATTAGAATCTTATAAGCATCATTTTTTTTGTGTGTAGTACTCATCATAAACTTCCTTGATTTGGAATTACATGTGTGATCAAGTCCATTAATTGTGGTGATACCTCAAGATATTAAATACATAGTGAGGGGTATTATTTTTAGTTATCAGTATTCTTATGTCTAAATACGTACAGTTTTTATAGCAGTACATATCATATAATTACACTTTATTGGTTATGATGTCAATACTCTCTTATTTACTTTAGAGTATTTTAATTCAGGCCAAAATTGCAGATCTTTTCCTTCCTAATCTGCTTAAAGTGGACATAGCAATTACGATGTATGATAGAATTCTCCACCTGGCAACTGTCGTTGCCATGGTGATGACCGTGTGGGCAAGAAGCACGGTGACTCACTGCGTTTTCTCTGCTTGACTTCATCATCTCCAAAGGGGAAGAATGTGCATCTGGTCGAGGATTGCCTTTTAGGCCCTTTTGTTATCTTTTGAGCTGTCAGTTAGGAGGGGAAAATGGACAGTGTGGAGTTGCCTTATTAAAAACGGTTTCTCCCCATAAAAGGATGGGTAATCTGTTTTGCTAAAACACAATCTGCAACAAAACAAAAAATCTGATTTTAATATTATGGAGACAACATGATAATTGTGGTACAGCTACTGATGCATGATTAATACTATGTTTTTGATGATAAAATAAAAACAAATGTGTGTGATTTATGTTCTGTGCCATGTTTTGGCCACTACAGCAATTGCAAAAAGAAAGAAAATACATTATTGATAAATTTCAAGTGTACTTTGATTCCCTAGCTATGTTTGAAATATATGTTTTTTTAAAATATCCTTATCAGCTCAGAGAAGATGTGCATTTAATTTAAAGTTAGGATTTAGGGCAGAAGGATGGTTACTAGGAGCTGGGAAGGGCAGTGGGATGGTTAATGAGTACAAAAAAATAGTTCTAATGAATAAGACCTAGTATTTGATAGCACAACATGGTGACTGTAGTTAATGATAATTTAATTGTACATTTTAAAATAACTAAAAGTATAATTGGATTTTTTGTAACACAAACGATAGATACTTGAGGGGATGGGTACCCATTCTCTCTGTTGTGATTATTACACATTGCATGTCTGTATCAAAACAATTCATGTGCCCCATAAATATATATACCTAGTATGTATCCACAAAAATCAAAACACAAAATTAAAAAAAAAATAGAGGATTTAATGGCTGCATCCTCCACCTAACAGCTCTGAGACCTTCAAAATGTTATTCAACTTCTTCTGGCTTGGTTCTCTCATACGTAAAAAAGAAAGAGTAGATTGGAATGTGGGCTTTATGTGAAAATATGTTAGTATACTTAAATTAGTTTCTGAAATAATATTCATAAAGTGAATATTTGTCATTTTCACTGTTATTAAGTACCATAGTTCCTTGAGGATTAGAATGCCTACATTTCTCCGGGTTCCCTGAGGAGCGATTTCCACTAAATATGAAATCTCCTGACCCATGTCTTAACTCTCCCCTTGACATTGGATTGAGATACAGACGGAGAAGACAGCTGTTGTTCCCAGTTTCTCACTTAGATGGAGCTTATCCGCCAACAACACTGAGTTGGGGGCATTCTCCTCTAATGGTGGGAGGAAGAAACATGGTAGGTGTGTCTCTCCTATTGCCTGGAGCTTTCTCCTGAGAGACAGTTCCAAGATCCACCTTGGAGAGAATACTAGCCAGCCCATTGATCTTAAGCTGAGGTGCCCTGCTACCCAGATTAATCAGTAATATGGAGGTCATTTGGCTTTGCTCTTTTAGTTTTTATGAAAGGCAGTGCTCAGGTGGAAAGATAAGTATTTATTGGACGCTTTCAAAAACCTACCCTTGTTAAAAGCTTAATTGACTATTGAATACATATGCAAATTTATCAGGACAGGCTATAGAAATTCAGAGTTTGCTATACAAAATTATACAGAAGATTTTTTTTGTAATGAAATTATGCTATTTTATTTTATGGAGGTATTTTAGAATTTTAGGCATTGAATTTTATTTTTCCATTTATAATATAGTTCAAGACAGTCAAGGACTCTCTGAATCATACCAGTTTATTTAGTGATTGAGTTATATCTTAATGGCCCCAGGGAATTTATCTCATGTTGTAATAAGAGAGGATAAAGCATTTAGGTCGGTTACTGGGTATGTGCATCAAAGAAGAGAGATGCAATTGCAAGAACACGGTGTTTAAACTGCCATAGACTGTCTGGGAAATTTAGAAAGGCTCTTATATAAAGCTTATAAGGTGAATTGAATCCAGTGATGCTAACTTCTATGGATTCTAGAAAAAGAGAATTTATCAAGGATTGATCATGCTTAAAAAGGAAAATGAATGCTCGATATATTTTTTTATCCGCTATGCTTTCTTCATTAAGCTGATGATATAGAGTAATTTCATATCCTCCTAAAATGACCACAAGTGTTCAGTGTTCTTAATTTCTTTTTTTCTTAATCTCTTTGGTAGGCACCAGTCTAATATGTTTGATATTTATCATTGAACTGCATACACTTTATACAATATATTACTTTGATAACATACACATTTAAAATTTTTTTCTAGTTGGTAACTTTTTACTATTTTTTGTTTGAAATATATTTGTTATTAAATGTACATTTAGTTGAAGAGGTCTCAAACTATTTGATGTCTTAAAAATTTTAATATTCTCTTAAAAATTATTGAGGATTCCAAAGAGCTGCTTTTCTTCTACTGTTGTATTACATCTATCCATAGTTATCACATTCTCAATTAAAATTGAGAACTTAAAAAACTATTAATTTATTTGAAATGACAATAATAAACCCACAACACATTAACACATATGTTTAATAATGTATAATATATATATTTAAAGATATTTTCTGAAAAACTTAGAAGAGTGGCATTCTTTTTCATTTTTGCAAATCTCTTTAATGTTGGGCTTAATGAAAGACACCTGGATTCTCACGTCTATTTCTGCATTCAATTTGTTGCAATATGTTGCCTTATTTGAAGAATATGGAGATATTCTGGCCTCAATTAGCTATATAACTGGACAAAAGATGAGTATTCTAATAGCCTTGTCAGCTGATTGTGAATAATCTAACAAAGCTTGACAGTAGTAGTTTCTTAAAGGTTAATTGCAATATGGAATCTGAAACCATGTCAGTCAACCTTTTATACTTATTTATATCAAAATCCATTGGTCCATCTTGGGCTTTGAATGGATCATTTGCCCAAGGGTGATATTGTAACATCATACATTGGTCACTTAACTAAACACTGATTCACTGACTAATGCAGATCTTCCAAATGATGACACATTTAGTTCTATAATATCACAAATTATATCCATTGATATCTCACTACAAAGCTCATCAGAAATGACTTTAAGTTTGGGGAAGCTGTCAAGCTCACAATGACAGATATAAGTATTCAAAAATTCTAATGTTCATTTTAAAGCTCAAATCTCATCATTGGCAACAAATGTCAGTTATTTTCCCTGAATTGACAGGCTTACTTTGTTAATTTTTGAGAACATGTCTGCAAAAATCTAAGCCTGAATAACCATAACTTGTCTTTCAGTTGTTCTATCAAGTATACAAATAGCATTCCAAGAAAAATGTGACTATGTCTTTCACCTCACAACTCAAATAACTCTGCAAGTGATTTCCTGGAGACAACTCTCATGCCACAGTGCACAGCAGACCAGTTCTATGAGCACTTCCCATTTCGTCAGACACAACAGACACAATATTAAAGAGATGTGTACCTATAGGTCAAGATTGTATAAAATTATCACCCAAGATTGTATAAAATTATCATCTTTTCCTTTTATTAAGGCCATTCTTTTTTTCTTTTTTTTTTTTTGGAAATGGAGTCTCGCCCTGTTGCCCAGGCTGGAGTGCAATGGTGCAATTTTGGCTCACTGCAACCTCCACCTCCTGGGTTCAAGCGATTTTCCTGCATCAGTCTCCCAAGTATGTGGGACTACAGGTGCACACCACCACGCCTGGCTAATTTTTTGTATTTTAGTAGAGACGGGGTTTCACCGTGTTGTCCAGGCTGGTCTTGAACTCCTGAGCTCAGGCAATCCGCCCACCTTGGCCTCCCAAAGTGCTAGGATTACAGGTGTGAGCCACTGTGCCCGGCCCATTAAGGTCATTCTTAAGCAACACTGGCACTTATTTCAATGTGAGTACATGGTAGTGGTGAATGTAATCACCACTCATACAGTTTGGTGCCACTGCTTGATTTAGTAAATCAAGTAAAGTAAAACTTGATTTAGCATTTTTACCTCACACTGCATCACACCACTGTTGCAGATATCCGTGCAGTGAGAAGAGCACCTAATACCATCACATTATTATGAAAATAGTTTCGACACCATGAACTTTTGGAAGGGGTCTCTGGAAATCCCTAGGTCTTCACTGAGAACTGGTGATTTATCCCACCTACTTAATATTATTAATACTTTGACTACATAGTTAAACCTATCCACTTCAGTAAAGGTGATGTTATTAGATGAAGTCAAGAGATCTTAGCATATCATCATAGTTCTGGGGTGCATAGTAAAAATTAGATTATTTTACAATAAATAAAATAAGTAAATGTTACTTCCAATAAACAGATACACAGATGAGCCATATGAAATAACAATGAACCGTTTATATCAAAAAAGTAGGATGTCTTAGGATGACTAGAATAAAAGACCAAAATTCATGTTACGTGACACAGAATAACAATGAATATGACCAGAAAGGACTCCCACCCTACATTTGCTTACTATTGTATTATTAGTATGTTCAAGGTAAAGATCTTTAATATCCAATTTGACAAATTATATTTTCAAAACCTCTGTGCCATCAGTCTTCACATTATTATTGAAAGGCTTTCCATTAAATGTATGGCTTATGATTGCAACGATAGCTTTAAGTCTCTCAGGCAGAATCAAAGAATTTGGGCTGACTGTCATTTTTTTTTTTTTTAACCAATGGCCTTATCTAGTTATCCTGGTGTCATAAAATTACTTGAGCAGCTCATCCTCTTTCTCTTTCCTGGAACAACCTGTACATGAGAGGAATTACCTATTTCTTTGAAGCCTGACAGAACTCATCTGTGAGCTTCCAGGACCTGGGCCTTGGAATATCTTTAATGAATCTCAATTTCTTTAAATACTATTGGCCTATATTAGTTCTACTAAATTTCATTCTGTGACTATTTTGTCTTTTTACATTTTCCCAGAAAGTTGTCAATTTCTTCGAGGTTTAATGGATACTTATTCACAACATTAAAGCAATTATATATCTGTTATCTCCTCTTTCATTTTATAGTATGTTTGTTTGTTTCCAATATGTTTGTTTGAATTTTTAACATCAATTAAAGATAATGTACTCTCTTTTCAATTGATCAGTGTTGTTAGGGCTTTGCATTGTTGATATTTTCAAAGAAACAATTTCAGTTTCCAGTAATATTTTTATTATATGGTTCTTTAATCCATTGATTTCTTCTTTTTCTATATTTTCTCATTTTATGGCATTTATGTGGGTTTTTTTTCCCAACTTTTTGAGTTGAATTTTTGCTACTCAACATTTCTGCTCTTCTGAGTTGAAAGTTTTCTTTTACTATTGCCTTAGCACCTCACTGCTCTTGATTCCTCATGTCCTTATTGTCATTGAGTTGTAGGCATTTCATAAGGTCTCTGTTAATTTTCCACCCAAGGGGTCATGTGTATTTAGTTAATTTTCACACACATATTCACATATACACAGAAATACAGTGCCAGTGCTTTTTTTTTTTTTCTTTTTGTCTTATTGAAGGAAGCTATACCTACCTTAAGGTCATGAAGATATCCTATATTCTGCAAGCTTGACAGTTTTGTAGATTTTTTTCTTTGTGCCTTTAATCTATTTGGAGTTAGTTTTATGTGTGCTTTGAGGTACGGATCATTTTATTTATTTCCCTATGGATACATAGTTGTCCCAGTACCATTTATTGGAGAGTCTTTGGCCCCAACAAATCAACATGACATGCCATTGTACATGAGGTCTGTTTCTATGACATTTATTCTGATTGGTCTGTTTGACTCCCCCCTGCACAAATACCACACACTCCTAATTACTGCAATTTAAAAATAAGTTTTGATATGTGTTAGAATAAGTCCTCTCAGCTTTTGTTAAGAGTATTTTGACTGTTCTTGGCCTTTCGTATTTTTATTTCATAAATTTCAGAATCAGCTTATGAAATCCCACACACAAAAATAGAGATTTTCATTGGGAGTGAAATTTGAGGGAAATTGATATATTTAAAATACGGAGTAATCCAATCCATGAACTTTTTATATCTTCTCACTTATTTAGTCTTACTATTTCTCAATAAGATACAACTATGAGAACCCTACTCCTAGAAAGTAAGATATTCTAGTCCTCCTTGATCCAATAATTTTCTATCATATTCTCATTTCACAAAGCCAACCATTGCTAAACAACATCATTGTCTGTGGTAAAAAGGCATTGTCCATGGTTCAAGTCTTCAGAACATTCAGCATTTTTTGACTTCCAGTACCATATTATAATGAAACTCTTTGGGCTGGAACTCTCCACCAAGGAAGCTGCACATCTCTGAGGCATCAGTTGTTCATTACTCCAATGAAACATTTACAGAACTGTTCATAAATTTGCCAAGAAATCCCAGAGATTGTAGCATAAATGATGAAATTTTACCTTTATTTTCTGTATCCTTTGCAGCATTTTTCTAAACACCGTTTACTCTGAATAGTGATACCCCTGTGTGTGTGCTGGTTAAGACTTGTGGTCTGCGCTTATGATCTAAACCTAGAAGAACAATTCAACACTTGCTCTGAGCTGCAAATTGTAGATTAGTGGGCACTAGGGGTACCATCTGGTACTGGTAGTCAGGTGAGACACTGCTTGGAACCTTTAAACCATTATCAAACAAGGGTATAGGATATCAACTTATAAAGAGTACCTTTGATTAGAACAGAATCCTGCATTTATTTTTTTGCTGATAGTTATTATGATATACATGATATATTGCATATTCAGGGATTAGTACAGAGATGGTTGGAATTATGAAACTGAGTTTTATATTTAAAACAAAACATAAAGGACAGTTTTGCATACCAATCTCTAATTGGACTTATAGAACTTTTTCATGCAAAATACTGAAAGCAAATAAACTGATGTGGTATTACCATATTTGTCAGTATTTTTTCCCCAGAGTGACTCACTGACATGAGAAATACATTTTTTTAATGCCATCTGGTAATGAACATTTTGGCAACATTTTCCTAAACACTCAACAAAGCCACTGTGAAGGAAAGGCACTGTTCTTGGCTTCTGACAGCATTGCTGAAGTGGGTCACCTCATATTAACCAGTCCTGCCATTCCTACTTCCTCTTGTCACACAAAGGCAACTCTTTAAAAGGGAATTTGGTCACTATTTAAATTTATTAGTTCAGGGCTTATGAGTAAAGTTCTGTTTGTAGGGTACTATGTTTTGTGGGGCAACATCTAGGACTTATTGATTTAGTGACCTTGTTCGATTTTTACAGTTGGGAAATGTTTTACAATTATAAAGACCGATTGTTTGATGGCCTGCTTATTCTTTGATGAGATGGTACTATTATTGCTTCTTTCCACTTTTATTCCAGACACAGAAGCTATGTGCAGAACATAAAGTACAATGAAAGAATTATCTCTTTGCTTGGGGAAAGTGATAGAAAGATAACAAATGATGAAGAGAAAGAAGATGCTCTTAAATTCATTTTTCTTTCATATAAGAGTGAATGTACATTTTATTTGGATGTTGTAAGCAAAAGAAATATTTCCCTAATACGTGTATAGACTTTGTATATGATAGAAAACTAAATGGGTCAGAGCCTCAGGTCAAAATTGTTTTACTTTGGAAAAACCATAGACATTCAAAGCTCCTGAAATCAACAAGATCATACTGAGAGCAAAAAATAAATTTTCCTGGCTGAGCTGACATTTACAGAAGATTTCGCTCATGGCTGCAACAGAAATGGACCGAGCCCAGTGCCCAAATCCAGAATGAGTGCTTTGGGCCCTTTCCTGTTTTCTAGTCTTAAATTCTCTTCTAGAGCTGGAGCTGTATTACTATCAAGGTAGATTTCAAAGTAAGGAATAGACCAGGAATAAAGAAAGTCATTTCATGGTGATAAAGGAGCCAATTCGCTAAAACACATAACCATCTGTATTAGTCCATTCTTACACTGCTATGAAGGAAGACCTGAGACTGGGTAATTTATAAAGGAAAGAGGTTTAATTGACTCACAGTTCCGCATGGCTGGGGAGGTCTCAGGAAACTTAAAATTATGGCAGAAGGCAAAGAAGAAGCAGGCACTTTCTTCACAGGATGGAGTGAGCGCAGGTAGGGGAAATGCCAGATGTTTATAAAATCATCAGATCTCATGAGACTCTCATTTTCATGAGAACAGCATGGGGAAAACTGCCCCCATGATCCAATTACCTCCACCTGGTCCTACCCTTGACACATGAAGATTATGAGGATTACAGTTTAAGATGAGATTTTGGGTTGGGACACAGCCAAACCATATCACCACCCTAAATATTTATCAATGTAGTAACAGTGCTTCTAAATACATGAAGTAAGAACTGATAGAAGTGCAAAGAGAAATAGACAAACCCACAAATACAGTCAGAGATTAAAAAACCCCCACGGAAGATGTGAAATATCTTTACATTCAATACCAATGTAAAAAATTTGTTGAAAAAAATTAAAGATGACATAAATTGAGAGATGCACTTTGCAAAAAAAAAATTCTCCTTCCCTAATAACACCAATCTTGCTTTTACCCATTTGTAATTCAAGTGTCATTAAGAGAAAATCTAGAAATAAAAATTGATAATAATAATGGCTGAGACTTATTGAATAGTTAATATATGCGTTTCAGGATCAAACAGGATAATTTATGGGATGGCTTGAAATATAGCATCTCGCATATATTTAGTGATAAATAAACATTAGTTCTTACTGTGCTTCTTAGCTTTTGTTTACAAACAACCTACTTGATAAAGTTAAAAATGAGCTTACCTTGGTATTCAGGACACAATAAAGTCTCTCTTTACCTCTCACATTTTATCACCTTTATTTTACCTCTTTTAAAGTGACTTATTGACTTCAGATTGGAGCCCTCCTGCATGTTCACACTATGACACTCTTGTTTCTGTATCGAGCTACACAGACACTCTCTCCCTCAATTTCTACTCCCGGAATTGGATCCATTCTGAGTACTTCTCCGCCTTAATCTGGTGCTTCCTGTTCCTGTTGTTTTATTTCCTGGCTTTACCTGACCCATGGTGTCTGCACCTTTAGTGGTCCTGACTTTCCTTGTGTCCGTTTCACATATGCACACTTTGTAAGACTGAAGCCCCTTGAAGCAATATGATTTATTTTTCTTTTTCATGCAGGCTATAGCCTAGCAAAAAGTCAGATATATAATTTATGATCAAAATCACTGAGTTTAATTTTGTAATGGATTCCTTTTTAGATCATAATTGGGTAATTCACAACTATTTTTAAATTTTCACTCTTTAAGATAATGATATTTTATTTCACAAACTTCTTTGGAACGACTTCTCTGTTGTGTTTTCTTTAGGCAGGATTTATGTTTGCATTTGTTTATTCAGTCAGCTATTCTGAAAAACACAGTGTCTGACTCACAGAGAGGTGTTTAGCTGATTTTTTTTAGAATAAAATGAAACAGGGCAAAGATTCATTTTGGGGACCTTAAGGTAAAGATGCACGCTCATCCAGCTCTATCCTTTATCCTAAGAGTCTTCTATTCATAGAAACAAGCACATTCATGAGAGACACAGTGCACTACCTGCTTAGTTTTCAATTCTGGGAGGTACCTTATCAGACTCTTCATATTTTAATTATTATATGCCTCCTTAGCTAGCAGAACAAGCAACTATCACATGCTAGCCATCAAAAAAGATGCCAACACATCTAGAAAGATTATATCTATCACTAAATACAGTATGTTAGATTCGAGTTCCTAAAGAAACTTGAATTTTATTTTTATATTGTAAACCTCCAGTTTTGCAGTAAAACTTTAAGGACTATTAACACGGCAGCTTCTGGGCTCAGTCCTCATGTCCGGAATTTCTTACTCACCCTGGATTGATTCTTTTGAATTCTAGAGCCAGCTGGAAGTTGCCTAAATGTTGAAGCTACATTGAAGAGGTAATCTACAGAGAAACACTTTAAAAGCTATAAGCTGTGAAGTTCCAGATAGATGTCAGACTTTTTAAAAATTGTCTTTTGTAAGGTCCCATGCACCTTCATAACTTCATACATAGGTAAGAAATGAAAATCATGATTTACAAGAACCTTCAATAATTGAGTTTTGTCTGCTCTCAAACCCTGTCTCCTGATAAGATGTTATCAATGACAATGTGTGCTGGAAACTTCATTAGCAATTTAAATTTTGCCCTGGTCCTATGGTCCTGTGGTCCTGTGATCCTGTGATCTCGCCCTGCCTCCATTTGCCTTGTGATATTTTATTACCTTGTGAAGCATGTGATCTCTGTGACCCACACCCTATCCATACACTCCCTCCCCTTTTGAAAATCACTAATAAAAACTTGCTGGTTTTGCGGCTTGAGGGGCATCACGGAACCTGCCGACATGTGATGTCTTCCCCTGACACCCAGCTTTAAAATTTCTCTCTTCTGTACTCTTTCCCTTTATTTCTCAGACTGGCCAACACTTAGGGAAAATAGAAAAGGACCCACGTGAAATATTGGGTACTGAATTTGCCCCAGTAAAGTTCAGCAAAAGATGAGAAGAAAACATAGCAGAGCAAATGATATGAAAGCTATTTGCTCTGATAGCTTTGATCTAGTGATATAGGAAAACCCCAAGCATATCAAAGTAAGGATAGACAAATGAATATCTAAATTATCTTACTATATCATACAGCCTTAGTTAAATCAAAAGTAAGATTGGGAGATTTATTTCCTTCTGTAGGGACACCACTGGCAGGTTAGTATCTTGATGAAAGCCAACAGCTCCTTTCAGGCAGGTTTTAGTAACTGCTTTGCACCTTGACCGTTTAGGCAGGAATAACTCTCTCCAGTTACTAGCTTTAGGTTACAGCACTATCCTCCCACCCAACTTGAGTATCAGCTCTTTCTTTCCAGGATCCTGATAGATTTATGGAGTCATAAGACATGTCAGCAGAAATGAACTGTAAAATTTGTAATTTTCTCACTCCTATAAAGGGGATATAACCACAAGATATTATTTCTTAAAAGAAATAAGATAGACATGTTAGAGCATCTAACACAATTTCTGTTCCATAGAGAGTATTTAATAAATTTGACTAAAGCAAAATATCAGTTAATAAGTGCTTTAGGAACTTAAATTAATCATCTTAAACGTGCTGTTCTATTCACATATTCTGGTCTTTTCTTTCAAATGTTCTCATTTCTTTTTTCCTTTTCTGCAATTTAGAATACATGTTTTGCTCTAAAAATTTTAAATTAGTATTTTAAATAACCTGTGTTATCATTCCATGTCAAACTCTAAACAACACGGACATTTCTGAACAGGGCCACAGGAAAATGCAGTTTAATGAAGAATAAAGGTTTGGGGTCCTTCTGCAAGGCAGAACATAGAGTTGAGAAAAATTAGAAAGTACATGGTAATATCCATTGAGTATTAGGAAAGGAATATGGATTTAAAGAGACGATGACACAGTATGTTTTATGAACAACCCAGCTAAGCTAGTTCTGCTTAACCCATTCTTTTTATTTCAATCATGTTCACTTTTACTTGTATCTTTGGTAATAAGGAAAACATTGCAAACTAGATTTCCCGTGAAGATGTTTATGGCACTCTCCAGGTTTCCTTGCCCTTTGTTCAACATGTGGATTTCATGAACTAATGATGCTCAGTGATGAAAATCTAGGTTAGTGGCCATTGCTTTGGTAAACTCTCTGACTCCCATTGTTATTCACCCCTAACCCATAGGAGATTACATCATCCTCTATGCTGCTTAGACCTCTCCATACCCTCTATTACATTGCAGTTGTTCATATGATGTGACTTCTTTATTGGACCGTGACCCTTTGGACAGCACTTAAAGCAAGGCATATAGGAAGAGCTTCGTCAATATTTACGAAATTTAAATAAGGTACCTGCAATGACAACAATAAAAGTACTCACGAACATAGACTATTTAATGTCAGGGCATCATCTTAAATAAGATTATTGACATTTGCTCTGATACCTTTGACCTAGTTATATAGAAAACCCCAAACATTGCGAAGTAGGGGTAGCAAAATGAGTACCTAAATTACCTTATTATATTGCTTGGCCTTAGTTAAGTCAAAATTCCTGGAGAACAACATGGCTTCAGAATTCAAAGACCTTGGTATCTTTCTTGTGGGAGCATATGTTATAACAAAAAGATAAAGAATATAAGCCAAGTAAAAAATAAAGTATAAGCCTGGGAAAAATTAAAAATCCTATTTTAATTTCTCTGGGATAAATACCTAAGAAACTAATTGCAGGGCCATATGGTATTTGCAATTTTTTTTTGTAAGAAATTGGCAAATGATTTTCTAGAGTGACCATACCATTTTATATTTCCACTGACAATGTATAAGTAATCCAGTTTCTCTGCATCCTCACCAACATTTGGTGTTGACATTAATTTTATTTTATCCATTCTCCTGTTAGGTGATGATATCTAACTTTGATTTTAATTTGTACTTCTCTGATGGCTTGAACATATTTTTGTGTGCTTATTTGCTATCTGTATATTCCTTCATTGAAATGTTGTTCATGCCTTTTGCCTATTTTATAATTGGGCTGTTAGTTTCCTTTTTTAATACTACATTTTGAGAGTTCTTTACATATTCTAGATAATTGTTCTTTATATACTCTAGATAATAACTCTGTGATTTATGAATATTTTCTCCCAGTTTGCAGCTTGCCTTTTTATCCTCCATACCCGGTCTTTCAAACAGCAAAAGTTTCTAATTTTGATGAAGTTCAATATTTCAATTTTTTCTTTTATGGATTGTGTTTATTACGTCAAACCTAAGAACTATTTGCCTAGCTCCAGATCTTGAAGATCTTTCCCTATGTTTCTATTTTTTCTAAAAGTTTTATACTTTCATGTTTTACATTTAAGTCCATTATCTAATTTGAGTTAATATTGTTGTAAGCTGTAAGGTTTAGGTTAAGGCTTCTTTTGGTGGTTGTTTTTACTATGATTGTCCAATTGCTACACTATTTGCTGAAAAAGCTATCCTACTTCCATTAAATTGCCTTTCCACTTTTGGGCATATTCATGTGAGTCTATTTCTTGGCTCTTTATTCTGTTTCATGGATCTATGTGTCAATGTCTCTGTCAATACCACTTGATTATTGTAGCTATAAGTCTTGAAATCAGGTGGGGGGGCGGATTTCTTTTGTTTTATCCTTCTTTGTCAACATCGTTTTAGCTATTCTTATCCCTTTGCCTTTTCATATGAGTTTTATAATAGCTTCGGTTATATCTACAAAAACTCTGACAGGGATTTGATATGAATTGCATTAAAATTGGATGACAATTTGGGAAGAACTCACATCTTTACTGTATTGAGTCTTCCAGTTCATGAACATGGTTTGCTCTAGGTATTGTATGAAATATATACTACTTATTACAGTTTACTAGTGTCAACATTGTAGCAGTTCATATGAAGTGCAGAAACTTTACCCTTCTTTATGTCCTTTTACCCTCTCCAACTTGTAATTGTCATACATAATTTCTTTACACACATTTAGGACCATATAAATGTGTTATAAATTTTTCCTTGATCATCAATCATAGTTTAGAAAACCCAAGAAGAGTTTAAAGAAAATATATTGTATTCACTGATACTTTTACTCTTTCCATTGCTTTTTCTTCCTACGGATGTTTCAATATTTCTTTTATTATTTTCCTTCTGTTTAGAGAGCTTCTTCTAGTCATTTTTTGTGGATGTATACATGTGTCATATGTCAAAATGTATCAAAGTGTACACTTTAAATAGGTGCAGTCTATTGTACGTTAATTGTACCTCAATAACTTTGTCCAAAAGAATATATTTGAAATGGCATCAAAGATGCCTAGGGATAAATTTAATGAAATATGTGCGTGATTGCCACCATTGCTGATAGTGATAGTTATTAAAGTAGAAGTAAATGAATGGAAAACATATCACAGTCATGGATATGATGTCAGTGTCAGTTCTCCCAAAATTGATCTATTGCTGGATGCAGTCTTACTCAGAATCACTGTGAGACTTAAAGAACATGGATAAATTGATTTTAAAATGTATATGAATATTCAAAGGCTAGAGTCATCAAAACTTCGAAGAAGAAAGCAAGAGAGCTCACTCTACTAGATATCGAAACTAATAATAAAGTTCCAGTAATAGAGTGTGGTATTAGTGCATATATAGACAAACAGAATGGAAATTCTAGAAATAGATAATATGTAACACAAATATGTAATTTATGACACAGTTGGTGCTGCAGAGCCACAGGACAAGAATGACCTTTTAGTAGCGGTGCTGATTCTTATACACAAAACCAAAACTAAGTTGTATGTAGATCAAAATATTAAAGGAAAAATTGGAGATCTTTGAAGATAATATAGGGTAATATCTTCTCAATCTAGGGTGGATAAATATTTTAAAAACAAAACACAAAATTAACTACCCATAAAAATTGACACATTGAATACAAAAAGATTTCAATAAGGCAAGAAAATCACTAACTATAAGGGAAGTGTGAGAAATTGAACTGTATTAGAGTTAGAAATCTTGATCCATTAAAGATTGTTTAATCTAAAGATGAAGAGGCAAAGGTTGAAGTGAAGTGCTAAACAATACTAGTTTGGATATGATTTGTATGTGGAAAATCGTTGTTACCCTATTTTCAGATGGCCTATGATGATAGAAAATCTGTTTCTGAAACTGTAGTAGGAGACACTGGATAAAATTTTAGGTGAACTTATTAAAAGACTCCAGAAAACTTACCCAAATATTCTTCAAGGTTAAAAACCAAACCAAGTAAAATGACAATTTACTTCTCTGGAGCAGTTTAAATGACTAAACCCACGATAGCCTGTTACTGCTAAAAACAAATAAATTCATTTGAAGTAATGGGTTTTTCACCGATCTCCTGATACATTCTCTAAGCTGTTGCCAATGTTAATCAGACATATTAAAATTCACATCCATATTCCTAACAGAATAATAAACCTAATAGCATTTTCTATCAAATGACTATGGTTGAGACAGTAATCTAATCCAGTTTCCCAATGAGTCTCAAATTGGAGAAGACAGCAATGGGAAAGTGACCCATAGCAATGTAGTGGCATTAGGGAGTCATGCATTTTTGCCAAACATTTGTTTGAGTTAGGAAACATTGACAGCATGGGAGTTCAGCTTTCAGTCAAGAAGAAGTAACCATGAAACCAGACGAAATATGTGAAGTAATGCCTTTTCAGAATGGATAATGGAAAAGAGACACAGAAGGTTAGATTCAGAATGAATAATGGAAAAGTGACACAAAAGGTGAGATTCCCGCTCACTTCTTGGAGGCACCATGAGACTGTGGGAGAAGATGGAGCCCAAACGGCAAATGGTGGTCTCGCTCAACTGAGGAGGTAAAGATTGAAATTTGGGATGGCTGAGGTAGCACAGGGAAGTGGAGAAGGAGCTGTTTAGAAGCCCTTACATGAGTCCTCATAATAAGTTCTTTCACTCCTGTAATCCTAGCACTTTGGGAGGCTGAGGCGGGCGGATCACGAGGTCAGGAGATCGAGACCATCCTGGCCAACATGGTGAAACCCCACCTGTACTAAAAATACAAAAATTAGCTAGGCGTGATGGCGCATGCCTGTAATCCCAGCTACTCGGGAGGCTGAGGCAGGACAATTGCTTGAATCAGGGAGTCAGAGGTTGCCGTGGCTGAGATTGGGCCACTGCCCTCCAGTCTGGTGACAGAGTGAGACTCCATCTCAGAAAAAAAAACAAAGAATAAGTTCTTGAGTCCAGGCACAGTGGCTCAGGCCTGTAATCCTATCACTTTGGGAGGCCGATGCAGGCAGACCACCTGAGGTTGTGAATTCGAGACCAGCCTAGCCAACATGGTGAAACCCCATTTTCTACCAAAAATATAAACATTAGCTGGGCATGGTGGTGGGCACCTGTAATCCCAGCTATTTGGGAGGCTGAGGCAAGAGAATCGTTTGAATCGGGGAGGTGGAGGTTGCAGCGAGCCAAGATCGCACCACTGTGCTCCAGCCTGGGCGTTAAGAGGAAAACTCTGTCTCAAAAAAAAAAAAGTTCCTGAGTGAAGGCTTGGATGTGTATGTGTAGGGTAAGACTCTGACCCCTAAGGGTCTCAGAGAAATATTAAATTTAGTTAAATTAAAATATTAAATGGAATATTACATTTTGTCGAATAATAATATTCAATTAAACAAAAAAGGAGGAAGAGGAGGAACAACAATGGAAGGAAAACAATAGCAAGAAATTGGGTATAATCTCAACTACATCAATAATAACATTATAGTAATATAAGCTAACCCCTCCAAATAAGAAGTCATATATATATAAAGCCAGGAATCTAAAAACCTGCACTCAATAGAAGTTTTTGTTTTTATAAGTTGTAATCATAGACACTAGACAAATTTGTAAAAATTAGCATCATAATAAAGAATAGATGGAAAAAATGTTACCTAATTTTGTGCTTTCCATAGGAGATGCATTTTAACTATAAAGACACAGATAAAAAATGACGGAAAAAATTTTATGCAATGGTAAGTGTAAAATTGCTGCTATGATCTTATTAAAACCAGATATGAATTTCAAGACAAGCAATATGACCAGAGATGAAAAGGTGTCAATTTATCATGAAGATATAAAAGTATTAAATGTTTATGCACATTTAACTTCTAAATACGTGAAGCAAATCCTGGTGGAACTAAAGAATAAATAGAAAATCCATATTAAGAAATAGAGATTTCTATACCCTTTTGCCAGTGATAGGCAAATGAATTTGAAAAAAAAAAAGAGTAAAGTTTATATCATGTAACCCACACAATGAACAAACTAGACCTAATTGACATTTGTGAAATATTTTACCCAAGAGTAGTGAATATACATTCTTTTCAAAAGCACATGTTATATTCACCAGATCGGCTATATGTTGGGTCATAAAGTAAGTGTTATTACATGTCAAGATTGATTATATTACTGAATATATTCTCTGACTGCAGTTGTATTAAATTAAAAGTCAGTGGCAATGAGATATCCAGAATATTATATAATATTTGGATAACACACTTATAAAGTAACACACTTTATAAGTAACATACTTATAAAGAACAAATTAATCAAATAAGAAATAAGAAGTAATTAATCAAATAATCAAATAAGAAATCCCAAGGTAAATTAGAAAATGCATTGAAATGAATGAAAATGAAAAGAAAACATATTAAAAAAACTTATGAGATACAATTCAATCAATACTTAGAAGAAAATGTATAACTTTAAAAGCCTGTGTTAGAAAGCAGAAAAACTTAAAATTAATAACCTACATTTCTAACTTAATACAAGAATCTGTTCATGTCTTTGCCCACTTTTTAATAGGCTTGATTTTTGTTTATTCAATTGTTTAAGTTCCTTATAGATTCTGGATATTAGACCTTTGTCAGATGCATAGTTGTGAGTAGTTTCTCTCATTCTGTAGGTTGTTTTTTTACTCTGCCAATAGTTTCTTTTGCTGTGCAGCTCATTAGTTTAATTAGGTTCCACTTAGCAATTTTTGTTTTTGTTGCAATGGCTTTCAGGGACTTAGTCATAAATTCCCAAGGCTGATGTCCAGAATTATGTTTCCTACATTTTCTTCTAGGATTCCTAAAGTTTGAGGTCTCACATTTAAATATTTAATTCATCTTGAGTTAACTTTTGTTTATGGTGAAATGTAGTGGTCTAGTTTCATTCTTTTGCTTATGGCTAGCCAGCTAACCCAGCATCATTTATTGAGTAAGGAGTCTTTCCCCTATTGCTTATTTTTTTTTCAACTGTGTTGAAGATCAGATAGTTGTAGGTGTACAGCTTTATTTCTGGGTTCTCAATTCTGTTCTATTGGTCTATGTGTCTGTTTTTGTTCCAGTATCATGCTGTTTTGTTTATTGTAGTCTTATAGTATAGTTTGAAGTTGGGTGATGTGATACCTCCAGCTTTGTTCTTTTACTTAGGATTGCTTTGACTATTGGAGCTCTTTTTAGGTTCCATATAAATTTTAGAATAGTTTTTTTTTTAGTTCTGTGATAAATGACATAATGACATTGGTAGTTAGGTAGGAATGGCATTAAATCTGTAGATTGCTTTGGGCAGTATGGCCATTTTAACATTATTAATTCTTCCATTCCATGAGCATGGAATGTTTTATCTATTTGTTCATGTCATCTATAATTTCTTTCAGAGTGTTTTGTAGTTCTCCTTACAGAGAACTTTTACATCCTTGGTTAGGTGTATTCCTAGGTATTCTACTTTTTTTTTTTTTTTGCAGCCATTGTAAATGGGATTGTCTTCTTAATGTGGCTCTCAGCTCAAACATTATTGGTGTATAGAAATACTACTGATTTTTGTACATTGATCTTGTAATCCCAAAACTTTACTCAAGTTGTTTGTCAGTTCTAGGAGCCTTTTGGCAGAGTCTTTAGTGTTTTGTAGGTATAGAATCATATTTGTGGAGTGAGGTATTTTGACTTCTTCTTTTCCTGTTTGTATGACTTTTCTAAAAATCAGAAAAGTGCAAATGAAAATCACAATGATATACCATCTCATATGAGTCAGAATGGCTATTATTAAAAAGTCATAAATGGTGGTAGGATGCTAGTGAGGCTGTGGAGAAAATGGAACACTTATACACTGTTGGTGGGAATGTGAATTAGTTCAGCCACTGTGGAAAGCAGTCTGAATATTTTTCAACTGTCTTAAAACAGAGCTACCACTAGATCCAACAATCCCACAACTGAGTATATATGCAAAAGAAAATAAATCATTCTATCATATATCATCTATCAAAAGGATGCCTGAACTGATATGTTCATCACTGCACTATTAGCAATAACAAAGATGTGTAATCAACCTAGGTGTTCATCAATGGTAGACTGGATAAAGAAAATGTGGCACATATACACAATGGAATACTATGCAGCCATAAGAAAGAACAAAATCACGCCCTTTGTAGCAACATGGATTCAGCTGGAGGCTATGAGCCTAAGTGAACTAATACAGGGACAGAAAACCAAATACCACATGTCCTCACTTCTAAGTGGAAGCTAAACATTGGGTACTCATGGGCATAAAGATGGGAACAATAGACACTCAGGACTTCTAGAGTAGTGAGAGGGAGGAGAGAAAAAGACTGAAAAACTAATTACTGGGTAGTATTCTCAGTACCTGGGTGATGGGATCAATCATATCCCAAACCTCAGAATTATGCAATATATTCAGGTAACAAACCTGCACATGTATCCCCTGAATCTAAAATAAAAGTTGAAATTATAAAAAAAAGAAAAATTAGAGTAAATTGTCCCAAAGAATTATTTCAAAGTAATAAAAAGAAAGATACATAAATATAGAGCAAAAAACTATGATTTTGAAAGCCCAACATAATACAAATCATTAATATCAGGAATGAAGACATGAGCTGATATACATAAAAGACATGCCTGTTACATGTCACATAGCAGATACATAAATGGTGCATAGAGAATGCACAAGTTTTACACAGAAGATGTGCACAAGAAGTTAGGTTCTACCCTCCATTCCTAATTCATCTCACAGAATCATGACAACAATAGAGTCATCTCTAGTGGTAAAAAGTAATTTAATAATAATCATATAGTGCAAAAATTAAGGACACAATTATACAAATATATAATGGCCCAAGCAAAATATCAGTCTATTTCTCACTCACATAATTTCCAAAGTGGTACTCTTCATTGGCAGGTGCATCCCCTCCAAGTGGTCATTCAGGGACCCAGACTCCTTCCACCTGTAGCTCTGTCATTTTTCAGCACACAGCTTCCAAGGTTATATTCCATGTTGTCTCTATGCCAGTCAGCTGGGAAGGAAAACAGCTTGGAGAGTCATACCTGACAAGCTTTAAAGTGCCAGGCTAGCAGGAGTACATACCACTTCTATTCACATTCCATTTGCTGGGACACAGCCCAATGGCCACATCTAATTGCAAAGGAAGAATGAAAATACAGTCTAACTATATTATCAGAGAGAAAGTAAGGCTGGTAAACAGTCTCTATCACATCTATGAAGAGCTAGGATAGTAAGAGGGGATTTCTCTTTCTTTCTTTCTTTCTTTCTTTCTTTCTTTCTTTCTTTCTTTTTTTCGTTCTTTCTTTCTTTCTCTCTCTCTCTTTCTCTTTCTTCTTTCTTTCTTTCCTCTGTCTCTTTCTTTCTTTCTTTCTTTCTTTCTTTCTTCATTTCTTTCTTCTTTCTTTCTTTATTTTCTTTCTCATTTTCTCCTTTCTTTATTAGTTTATACAGAGGAAAATGTGCAAACTGTCCCTTGTATAAACCTGAATGCTGACTGCTACTTATTCTTAAGTAATAAGCTGAAAGCCAAATTGTAAGGCATATGCATGAAGCCGTCACATGTTATGTTTGCTGGGAACAAGAACCCAAGAAAAAGGTCTCCCTAGTATGACCCAGAGGGCCCTGGGATCCTCAGAAAAATTTTTAAAATGTCCATGAATCTACATGAAATCGAAGTAATCATTGTCTGCAGAGTATTTAAATGACATGTTTTACACATTCAGGTCTTATATTTTTAGAAATAGTAGCACATCCTAATTAATGTCTTAGTGAAATCAAAGTAGTTTTTGTTTTGGTCACTATACATTCTTTCAACTGCTTTTTTTCCACTTTAGAATGAGGTTCTTAAATAGATAAGTTTGTAAGTCACATTTTTCTAGACGATTAGCAGTTGTCCTCATTTTGAGGCCAAAACAACAGAGTGTTTTGAGACATGAGTTAATTCAGATTTTTAAAAAGTCAGTCACATTAGTTCCCAGTATTAAAATATTTTGAATTCTTAAGCTCTGAAAAATTATTTTTTTCTGGATTTTTTAATTTCAAGAATTAAAAGGCATCAAAGAAAAGTTCCTTTTGGAAACCATCTAACCATCTGAGAACATCATACCAAGACCTTTGACTTGTTGTTATAATTGCAAATTTACTCTCTGGCCAGGGACTATTCCTCTCTATCACTCACCATTCTTTTTAGTTCTTTCTTGAGCCCTGAGATAAATATTGCACAGTGCATCCAACCTCTGAGCCTTCTCAAATTGACCTTCATACCAATAAAATCATCTCACAATCTGGTATTCACGATTCTACCTGCTGTTTACACAACACCAACCCACCAACTCTCACGTCTTTACAATTGCCGTGTACAGTTATGTTAGTTATATTATTAACCCTGTATAAAAATACAACTTCCCTGAACTCACATTCACATCTCTACTGAGGGGAGGAAACATTGCCTCCTACACATGATTAACAGGCAAAACTGGGAATCCAGAAAGTTATGGCGCCTTTGGCTTCTCATCCAGCAGCTAGCATTTCATTTAAAACTGAGAAATTAGGATCTGGCTTTGAAGGCAGTAGACATGGAAGATATTTCCCAAATACTAGGATTTTTAAAAAAATCTTTCTCCTTTTGTCCCTGGAGTAAAGTAAACACAAATTGCTATTTAGTTGTAAATGAGTGCAAGATTAGTGTTTTGGCATCTTCATTAATAAAGGAACTAGTTGATGAAGGCAGAATATAAGATGTCATGAAGCCGGTAAGTGGAACTGAGGAGAAACATTTCAAGACCTTCAGTGCCAGGCACTGGAAGTGCAGACTCTTCTCATGACAAGTGTATGATGTTCAGAGAGGGATGGCAGTATTTGAATAAAAGAGAGCAAGATAAGTATTAAATGAATTAACAGAGAGTCATCCTGAGTTACTTCATTATTAAATAATGAGCTCAAACCTCCATTAAAACATAACCAAAACGGGTTTCTAAACGGCTCCTATCTAGTATTAGATAGGTAGTATAATAGATATCAAGTTTGTTTTTATGAAGTTCAAAATGCAGTATATTAAAAAAATCACAAAATAGTTCATGACCACCAGACATGAACCCCCTTAAAAAAGTTGAAAATTTTAAAAATCTTCCAACTCCAACTCCTCCAGGAGCCGCGGCTGCTGATATCATTAACTTGCCCGCTTGACTCTAAGTGAATTACTCTGGCATGAAAGCTGATTTTGTTGCCTGAGTGGAAATGAGAAAATGCAAAATCATCAATGACAACTCTTAATAACAAAATGCTAAAATGCAATGTCTCCTAACACCCTCACTAAATTACCTCTTCAAAGTCATTACAAGTATTCTTCTCTTCCAAGTGCTGGGTTCCCTTTTGTGTCTCCAAATAGATTATGGGGGAAAAAAATCTGCCAGCATTGCTGTCACTGTTAATTAGTGTCTCCTGAGCAGGGCTTCCTGCCTGAGGTGCTCACCAGACCTTGCCAAGCCCTACAGGGACTTCCAGAAAAACCTTGTTTATGACCCAGCCCCAGCGTGCCTCTCCTGCTTGTAATATTTTATGGCATTATAGAGAAGGACTCATCAACAATCTCTCTGTAGGAGTGGAAGTCAATTTTATATGAGGTGAGAACTTCACCTAAGCTAATCTTGGCATGATGAGTCCTCAGCTGAATATAAAATTTTACCAAAAAAACCCCCTGTGAGGTGAATTATCAATCAACATGAATTAGAAGCAGTGAAAACCCTTCTATCGAGTTATCTTCATAAATCTATTTTTATTCAATGTCATCTCACACATTCTTTATTTTTATTTGTTTTCACTTTCTCAAATATCGGATTGTTGCTCATGAGAATAATGGCTGAGGGAGCTGGCACGGCAGTCTTCTCAGGCTCCCTGGATAGCTAAATTTATGGGTATAATTATTGAAATTCTTTCCCTGGTTTCTTGTAAACTCAGACACATACTATATTAATAAGCCACAAGTAAAGTCAGACACATACTATAGTAATAAGCCACATTGATCCATATTTTCCACCCAGGGTGTTTGAAGGTGTCTATTGTTTGTGTGTTCTCTCCATTCCATTTTTCCTTCCCCTGGTAACTGGATTCACCCCCAGACATGGGTGTGAGACCCATCAAGGCCTTGTGACCTTAGCCAGGGCTTTTCCAGCTGCAGTGGGGAGGGAGGAAGCATGTTTATCCTCTGGTTTCAAACCTGAGATGTGGGGAGCTGAGGGCTGCCCAGTCATGGTCCCTCCTGAAGGAGACATGATGTTAACCAGGGAAGAGGCTCGGATGGAACAGAGGAAAGAGGCTGGGCTTGGTCAGTCAGCATTGTGGGTAAGGCAGAAATTCCCCTTCTAAAAGTACCATTATATCAGGTGCTGATCCCTTCTTTTTATTTAAGAATATTTGAAGTAGGTGTTCTACATGCTGCCTTGTTCAGCCTGAAAACCCAGTGACTTTCAGGGGTTTGGAGATGAAAACTCCCTACCAAGTCTTTGTGGGAGTCCACCTTTCTAGTTCCTATCCCTACCTGCTTAATAACTATTAGAAATAAATCATTGCTCATATTGATTGAATACTTGCCATACTGGCGTGGGAAAGAAAAGAAAATTTTTGTTGAGGACTGCGAGCCCCTTTAAATGATCAGGCACAGTGAGGGACTGAAAAGTGACAGCAGTTCCATCACTCTCCCTTGAGCTGGGGCATTACCTCTTGAAGCTACTTGCTATGTGGGCTTTAGACTCTAAGCCAATTGCCATAAATTGCTGTATGCTGGACGCCATAACTTACAGTTCGACGATGCACAGCCTATCACAAATCAATGTTATCCTTGTAAATCAATGGGAATCCCTTTCAAACAACTCTGTTATCAATCGGCCCACTCCTTGTCCCTTTTTACTTTTAAAAACCTGCATGGAACAAAGGTCAGAGGGAGCGCTCCCCAAGGCAACTTGCAAGTATGTCCCAGGCAGCTGTCCTCACTTTGACTCAAGTGGACTCTTTAAAATTGTATTTTGTGCCCCAGCATCTTCCTTTAGGTCACCAGTAGTCACTGTGCTAAGTACTTTACAGGCATCATCATATTTAATTCTTACATTTAATTCATTCCCTTTTCAGAGATGAAGTTACGCAAGGCACACTACCAGGAGGTGGCTAAGCCTGATTCAAACCCAGGGGACCAAGTGCCAGAGTATGTGTTTCTAATTTCCCCATTGAGTAAGCCTGGAAATCTCAACTGTAGGCTGTACTAGCGAGGAGTCCCCCTAAAAGGAGAGCAGAAGGTCATGCGGCTTTCCTTATTCATCTCGTGGTCCGTGTTTCTCTGATTTCATTGAGACCAAACCACTGTCAGGGTGGGTGGCCTCTGACTTATTTCCATGGCTTTCTTGTTCACAAAATGTAATTTGAAATCTTTTCTTATGTTATACCTAGAAAAAATAAAATTCAATTTTTTGAGGACCAACTACAGATTTTTCTTAGAAAACTGAATATTTATTGCTTTGCAGAATGATAGGTTTATAGTTTCCTGTATGCTCAATATTTCTGGGAATTGACATAAAGAAGTGATTTCTCAAACACCCACGGATGCTATGTGCACAGTGATATTTACGACATTACTAACATTCACACTATCTCCCACTTCCTGAGAAGGAGGAATGAGAAGGCTGGTGCATCAGTGTTAATAATTGAAATGACTTGAGATTTTCCTTTTGAGATCTCTGGGTGCTTTGTTTGGAGTCCATAATTCAGAAATTTCTTTTGCCAGATAGTTAGGCTCCTGGCTCTGCTGCATGGCCTTAGCAAATTTCAGTAATTTTTCTGAGCGTTTGTTTCTCTACCCATAAAATGGAGAAAACAATGAGTATTCACATTGCATGGTTGTTGTGAGGATTAAAGAGTGACATCAAACATGCAATAACAGGTGTCTGGCACATTAGTAAAATACATAAAAGCTGCTGTTGCTATTGTATTATTAGCTTCCTCGATTTAGGCTTACAGACCTTGTGTTGGAGGATCGGTGATGGTCTGTGGACACTTTGCCCCACCAGCTAAACAGTGAGAAGCTGTGGCTTTCAGGGAGACAGATAGCTGGAAAAGAACACAAGAACAGATCTTTGTGCTTAGGTCCTGGGAAGAGTAACTGAGAGCTAGTTCAGAGAAGGGAGTAGGAGGAGGTCTCCGAGGTGGGACGTACCTGCTCCTAGAGAGGGCTGCATGAATTGTCTATGAAGTTATCTAAGCAGTGTGGACAGTTGGAACTCATCTGAGACATTGCATTGCCAACTCTTTCTACAACATCAACAAATAGTTTGGGCCAAGAGCAGTAGGTCACACCTGTAATCCCAGTGTTTTGGGAGGCTGAGGTGGGAGGATCACTTGAGCCCCAGAGTTCGAGGCTGCAGTGAGCCATTATTGTGCCACTGCACTCCAGCCTGGGAGGCAGAGCAAGACCCGGTCTCTCTAAAAAAGTAAGTAAGTAAATAAGTAATATAAAAAATAAGCAAATAGTTTGCAGCTCCCAGCACTAAGGACTTGGAAGTCATGCCATGTCTGGAAGACTCAGGGGGCCTGGCATGGCATGGTGGCCAGAAAGGTCTCTGAGAGAACTCAGAAAAGGAATGACTTAGGGGAATGAATTCAAAGATTGAGATGGAGTCATATTTTTCAGAAAATAATGTAACCAAAATCAACTCAAGGGGTAGAGAATTTTAATAGAAATTGTAAAAGTAGTCCAGGAGCTCTGCAAATGCACCAGGTGCAGCTGAACAGGTGAGTGTTATGACCTTTTTAAGAAAGAGTGGCGTCCAATGTCATGAAGCTGTTCTATAGTATGGCAGAAAAAAAATGAATTGACTCAGCTGACTAAGTTTGCCCCAAAATGATAATAAATCTATACTATGTAAAAAAAGTGATGTATCTTTTAAAGATACAACAAATACAAAGACAGAAAAATAAGGGTCTTATTTCTGAAAGGTACATTCAAAACTGGCAATTCTCAAACTGTTACATTTAATGTAATCCTAATCAAAATTCCAAGAATATTTTTACAGAACTTGACAAGTTTGTTTTAAAGTTTCATGTTAAGGAGAAAATATAGAAGATTAGCTAAATAAATGATGGGAAGAGAAGAATGAGGGGTACCAGCCCCAGAAAATATCACAACATATCATGAAACACATAAATAAATAGGAATAAAAATATATGGATGATAAGAGTAAATAAATAATTTGGAGAACTGAATAGAGAATTCAGACAGACACACACATACATGGTCATATTGCAAACACGAATGTCGTGGTGTTCAGAGTGAGTGCTGATTATGGAAGTATGGTAAGATCCACCTGTCACCTGATGTCAGCCATCCTTTGGGGGAGGGTATGAGATTGGGGGACAGTACTGAAAAGTCCCCATGCACTTCTAAGTGTTTGAATCTTTCATACCAAGAAATATTATTTAATGAATTATATAATTTTAAATATTCTTTTAAAGCTTTCTGAGATTTTGTATATTTTCTGTTTCATTCACTTGTTTTGCCATTAAGTTCATTTTGTAAAATAGAAAAGAGAACTTTAAGAGCAGAGACTTTCCCTATGTTGAAACTGCCTAGGTTTAAATCCTGGCTGTAGGATTTTCTAGTTGTGAAATCCTGGGTAAGTTGTTTAATCTCTTTCTGACTCAGGTCCCTCACCTGTAAAATGGGGCTATAATGCTTTACGTGGCTGTTAGAGAGGTAAAGGAGATAAGATAAGCTATGTGCTTAAAATAGCTTGTTCATGAAGCTCCTTGGGATGTTAGCATGATGCAGAAAGAAGACAGGCACAGTTGGAAGGTATGGAGTTTGTGAGGGTAGTGCCAAGAGAAATATTTCAAATTTTAGAATGATTCTTAAAGGCAATGGGAAGCATCGAGATATTTCTATGCAATAATCAGCTTTGTTCTTTATAAAGATTCCCTTTGCAGATGAAGTTACTACATTATAACTTATTTTATATCTTAATTCTGAACTATATAATTAAATTTACTGCATACTACACACCAAAAACCTTAGTTTATAGTCACTAGGAGCACTGACATGTGAAATAATATATGTTTTGAAAACTTATTAAGTATAACTGTGATCATGACCTCTCCCAGGAATACATTTTGGGGTTCACTCAGCCAATCTGAAGGTCTTGCGGCCCACCTGATTGTTTGTGATCAGGAACAGGATATTTATGCTACTGGTGAACTGTGGGAATATCAGCTCCTCAGGCAGCTCAAGAAAAGTCTCCAGAACTCAAGTTTATGACTTTGTGATGCTTTAGTCTTGAAACAGAGTATACATTTTGTACTTTGTTATTCTAATTTTTAATTTTGTTCTTTTTATTTTTCTAATTAATTATTTCAAGCAGCATCTATTTAAAATATATCAAATACACATAAGTGAATATTAGATATGTTAGGACAGACCTAGTTCTCTGAATAGATACTATAATAAGTTGCTATGAAATAATTTTATATTATCAGAAAGCTTAGAGAGAATTTTAATGTGCATTCAAGGTTTTGATAGTATATAATTGAATACTATAGATATTGTTGGTCTCTGAATGCAGCATAAAAGCTTTAAAAAGACAACATCACTAATATGCTTCTTTTTCACTTATCCTGAATAAACATATGTAAGTCTTACATCATGGAGGGTATTGAATGAGGCTGTGTTTGTTTCCAGTGACTCTTGTTCCCTCTGCCTTTGACATTTTAATCTTTCCAAACATTTGTGGGATTGGCAGAGAAAAACAATTCCCTCTTATAGTCCTAGGAAGAGGGGAAAAAATCTCCTGAATAATAATCTTGATGTAATGGGTATTTGTCTACAGAAGGTAAACAGAGAAATATTAATGTAACTATTGAACTAAGGGAACAGATAGGGTGAGGTAGGCTGAGTACTTTGTTCATAGTTTTGATGTTAAGATAAAGATAGATGCATGTAACAGAGCACTCGATTAAAGGTTCAAAAATACATTTTCCAGTTGTTTTTAAGAAGAGCAAGGGGATTATAAGGCATATCATTTCTACATTTATGTTAGATGACACAAATATTTTGTCTTACATTAGAATTAAAATGTTCATTAAGATTCAGAGCTCTGTTTTTCTGAGATAAATTATGGTCTTAAGCGTGAAATCTCTCCAGTCAGAGTCCTGGAAGAAGAAATTGCTTCTGCCTAGGCAAAGATGCAAATGCAACCTTCGTTTAAGTTTTGTGAAATTGAATGAAATAGAATGACATGAAAGATAGTTCACTAAATTCAATCATTGAGGCTTTTCATTTCTGTGAAGTACTGGTCTTTGACTGCCAACATTGCTAGTCATTGGAAGATCAAGTAATTTTTAAAATTTTTATTATAATTTTGAATATTTTTAGCCTTGTTAATGCACCTTAAGTACAGACATTTAAAAATTTGTAAAGGCATATTTGCTAGTTTACATTTAATATATAAAATTTCAAAGGAAAAATCAGAGCCTAACCAAATCCCAGTGGCACCCACGGTTCACTTGCCGGCCTCTATTCACTAACCCTCCAGAGAAGAGCCACTGGGAACATCAGGAAGAAGTTTTACCTGTTTTCAGTCTTCATATCTGCTTTAGCCAATGAGAGGTACATAGGATAAGACGGAAGAAGAGGACCGTGGCTATTGATTTAGACCTCAGGTCCAGTGTCAGACAAGAATGATAGCATCTGTGTCATCTTCTCCTCACATGCCTGGAGGATCCTCATGACGGCTGAGTGTCCAGGCATTTGGTAAGAAGGTGTCCAGTAGCCCTTTCCTGTCAGTGGTTACGTTAGCCGAGGACGTTCATGTGCTCCCTGCTTGGTCCTGACAGTATCTGAGAGCGGAGGCGCAGGAGGAGGAGCTGGACATTCGTCCAGTTGCCCCTCAGTCCATTCTCCACCACACTTCTCCATCCCGCTCCCCGTCACAGGAGCTGATTTTACGAGTGGACCTCATCAGCAGGCTCCCACTCTGGTTCCCATGTATGTTTGCCTAGTGGGAAGGGCTGATGGGAGACTAGGAGGCAGAAGGACAGAGAAGTCAGTTATTGATTCCCTGACAACTTTCTCTGCAGAGATGCTGTTAAAGAAAAAATTCTTCAAGCACTTGTTAAGATGGTAAAGAAGATTTTATTCAGTACTATATCAATAGGTATCCAGGCTACGCCAGTAGCAGAGAGAAATTGGGCTCAATGCCAAAGGCATATTTATAGCTAAGGAACAGAATAAAGTTTGCAGATTCTTGTTAAACTCGTCTATCAGGATTTTCAAAGCAGGCCAGGGTGATCAGATATCACCTGCAGGATGGTGGGGGATGAGGAATTCAATGGATTTGGGCTGGAAGGAGGTGATCAGATATCAAGGGTGGTGGGAGGATTCTCTAAATTGACTTAGCAGGATTCTTGTTAACACTGGACTCTGCAAGGACAGGCATGCAAGCCCAAGGTCAAGGCCTAGTTGGGAAGAGGGCCTGGGGAGCCTGTCCAAAGCTTGGTTAAGGAGGGTCTCTGTTCAGGACACCAAGGGCCTTATTTTCAAGCTACTGTCTAACCCCCCCAGGCCTGGGATTCAAGGTGGGTAGTGTCAGAATGGAATTGTCAGGCCTGGGATTACAGGTGTGAATAACAGTTGGTATCTGCAGAGGACTGGAGAATTGCGCAGCAAGTGGAAAAGCCACACATTTGATGTCAGAAGTGTTCTGTGGATAGAAATGGATGATAGTAGTAGAGTAGTAAGCAAGTAAGCACTTAGTAATTTTCATTTATGCCCAGCTAATTCACCGAATTCTTACCTGGAGTGTCTTGGCTTATCTAGGATACTCTCATATCATCAGAAAAGAGGAATACTTTTACCTCCTGTATTCCAATAGGTATATAATTTTTGTCAGATTCATTGAAACTGACCAGACAATGTTGCAAACTAATGGATAGAGTGACCTTACACGTCAGTTATTTTTCCATTATTTAGGTATACTATTTACTTTTGATTTTTAATATTTATCATTGTCATATTTAAGAAGTTTTTTTCTATTCTCAGTGCTAACATATTCTTTAGAATTTTTACATCTATGCTCATTTTTTTCCCCTGTACTACCTTTATATTTTGGGCTTAGAATTATACTAACCTTGTCAAATAAATCTTAGGCCTTCTTTCCTTTCCCCTGTCTTGTCTGTGGAAATATCCACAAAGATGAGAGGGGATCTATAGGCCTTATTTGTTTGTAAAGAGTTGTCCTCATTTTTTTTTCTTCCATGAAAATTGGTCTTCCTCTTGGGTCAATTTAAGTATTTTATATTTTGCTAGAAAATTGATTGCAGAATGTTGCCTGTAGAATAATTCATTTATAACTCTACTGACCACCTTGCCCGTCTCCCCCCTTATTTAAGGTAAAGGCTCTTATATCATTCCTAATTTTGCACAGTTTTTGCTAATGTTCTTTTTTTCCTAGTTGGGCTCATGTAGGGTTAGTCTCTCCTATTTGACTTTATAATTTTTTTTCATTTTATAGATGAGATTATCCTATTTTACAACATCGATGTAACATATGTTTGGTCTTAATTTATCACCTGATTCTAAGCTTTCTTTTATTTCTGTCTCTTGCTGTTGACCTATCTTTACTATTTTAGGGTTGTTTTGTGTATGAATATGTGTACATGTATGTCTGCCTCTTGGTAATTTGGAAGTCATATATTTTGTTTTTGGTTTTTGTAGTCATTCTTTTTATAATCCTTTATATTATACTTAACCCTCTGTTTCTGAATTTAGCACTCTTACAGAGCATCTGTTGACTCTGTTATGACTAAGAGAAAATTACTGCTCTTGCACTTCCTCTCTCTTCCCCCTCCACCTCCAGTCTTTTCTTGGTTTCCTTCTTATTTTAGTTCTTCTGGTGGTTCCCTTTACAGCTCCAAGTCGTCCTCACAAGGCTCGGTTCTTGGTTTTCCCGCTCGCCCCGTGACAGATAAGGAAATTACAGCCCTCACATGGCTTCTTCCTCCCTTGACTCTGGTTTGTTTGATAATGAGTTGTACCTTCTTGAGGTTCATAAAATGTACCTCTTGGAACCAAACTGCCTTTGGAAATTTTGTTTGGATTTTGTGTTTCAATGTTTTTCTGTTTGCTACCACTCCTTTTACTGGCACTTCTTCTGTTACTGAATATCCAGATTCAAGCTTTTCTTTTTACAAACAACACGCAATGGTAATTGCTATGGTCTGAATGTTTATGTGTTTTCCGAAATTCATATGTTGAAACCTCACCTCTAAGGTAATGGTACTGGGAGATGCGACCTTTGGGAGGTGATTAGGTCATGAGGGCCAAGTCCTCATGAATGGAATTAGTGCCTTTATAAAAGAGGCCTGAGGGAGCCTGTTTAACCCTTCCACCGTGTGAGGACACATACAAGGCACCCTCATGACAACAAATATGCCAGTGCCTTGAGCTTGGACTTCCCCGCCTCCAGAATTGTGAGAAATGAATTTCTGTTGTTTAAAAGCCACCCAGCCTGTGGTATTTTGTGATCACAGCCTGAACAGACTAAGACAGTCATAATTCCTAAGACAGAAATTACCTCCTGTGTGAGCTGACCCACATTGTGACTTGTCCTTAAATGACAAGTTGCCTGCATGTGGCACCCCGGATCTCAGCTTCCCCCCCTGCAGCATGCAGAAAAAGCTGCTGCATTATTTTCTGGGAGAGACTGTTGTTTGGTCCCTGCTCTTGCCAGTTATTTTGTTTTGTCCTACCAAGAGGTCTGAATTGTTGTATTTTAAAAATTACATTTGAAAACTTAACTAGTCCTTGTGCTTTTGTAGATCATTTTGTGCTGGTTTGGGAGGGTTATGGTTTGCTGTTTAGATTTGCAGACTCTATTCTTCCTCAGATCTAGGAGAAACTTTTTCCATTGTACCTTTGAACATATCCGTGTTCCCTACACAGGGTCCCCATGCATGGACAACAATGACCTTTGTATTAGACGTGCCAGCTCTCCATTCATGTTAGCTTCTCTCCAATTGCCTGTGTCAACTTGGCTTTTTCCTTCTGTATTCATGGGGAAAGCCTCATACCTTTCCTCTTCATAAACGACTTGGCTTTGCAGCAAGCCTATTATACTCCTTACTATTTCATTAATCAAGCATACTTTGGGGATGTTTTGATTCAAAATTTTTATCTCAGCTGCCTCTTTCCTTCTGGAATAGATCTTTACATATACAATTTTATATTATATTTTCTTTGCATCACTCTTTTTTCTTCTTTTAATCATTTATGTTGCACTATAACTGTGTAAATACCATTATTTTTTCCATATTGCCCATGCTTAATGTGGGTAGTTCTGTCTCGGTAAATTTTTCCATCCAGATTCAGTGTAGATGGGTTTTCCCACGTGCCTTCTCTACCCTCTCTGAGACCTAGCTGTCTTCCTCTTTGAATTTTAGGGTTTCTCTGAGATTTCCCTGGCCTTTCTGGGTTTTCTGAGGTCTCTGCATCAGAAAAGTGCCAGTGTGGATGGCCGGGCTGGGCTGGCTTTGGGTTTTCTGCATCAGGAGGGTGTAGGGGTGGATGGCTGGAGGGTGCAGGGGAGGATGGCTGGGCTGTGCTAGCTTTCCTGAGGCTTCCTTCACTGTCTCTCATCCAGCTTCCTGTAGCCTGCTGGGGTCAGAAACACCATCAGCACCTCTCTTCTAGTACAGGATACCTTCAGCTTCTGATGGTTCTTTCTACCCAACCCCAGTTGTCTTAAGGGAGAGCGAGGTTGCTGGTAGTGTTTCCCTACCTAGCTTCTCTCACCTCTCTCCAGCATGACCTTAGATCTACTTGGAGCAGAAGACTGGAAAGGCTTATGGAAGTAGACTGGGGCCCCAGCGATAGGCCCACAGAGCCTGCAGGGGTTTTACTTGCTTCTTTCCTGGTCCTATTCTCCCATTTCCTGCTGACAGAGAATTTTCCTGTCATTCATTTTCTCTCTGACTAATTGCTATTTAATTTTAGGAGATAATTATCTCTGCTTTTGTGGCCTTTCTGCTTGTACTCCTCTGCTCTGATGGGAAATGACGAGGGTTGGGGAAGTTTGCCCTGTGTGGACATTTTCTAGTGAGTTCTCAGTCCTGCCTGAGCCACACCTACGTGTCATTTCTCCAAGGTGGGGGTTATTTATGATTTTCCACCCCCCAGAATTTTGCTTCTAACCTCTCCTTTGTAGTGGTCCCTTCAAATGCAGAGTTGAGACTGTGGTAAGACGTTAAACCAACCTGAGGGAAAGCCTCAAAATTTCTGCCTTTCTATGTGGTGGGGTAGATGCCCTTTCTTTTGTTGAGTTGCTATTGTTGGGACTGGCTTCTGATTTTTCTTATTTGCCATTCTTTGTTTTAGGTTTTGTGAGAGGTAGATTTAGATTTCTCACTTCATTCCACCATCTTAAACTTGAAGTCCCTAAATCTGGCTTTTGGAGAGTCACAAGAGGACATTCTCCCCCATGACGTTAGGCATCTTGAGATTGCAACTCTCCCTGTGTCTCCATTATGGGACTTTATACTGAGGGGATTCAGCAGAAAATGCAACCCAACAGGCATCTCTCAAAGCACGTGCAATTTTAAAGACACCATTGAACAGATTTATTACTCACACATTGTTATGTGCTGTTGTTAAATTGTCAAAAAATCAAAATTCTTAAATTATGTATTTTTAAAGGAATTGAATAAAGTTAAATAACTCTTTAAAAGAATAGACAAGATGGTGCAGATTCCAGAAACAATGCTGCAGAAGACCAAGGGGTCACCAACCCAAATGCCTGGAAGGGTAAGTAGACCAATTGACACTTGTAAGTGACCAGGTACAAGGCAAAAAGTAGGGGTAGGGAAGTGCAATGAATTGCAGTACGCATGCTGCTCCTAAAAGCATTCATACTAAACAAGCTCATTTCTAATCACCAGTGTGGATTAAGGTTTGATGAGCCAACTTCATGCCCTGGGTAAGGCTCCCACAATCATGTGGTTGATAGTTTTGACAATATATCTCTCAAAATTTCTTGTATAACTAGCTAGATGATAAGATCATGTATTATACACATGCATTTTAACCACAAATTTGTTGAAAAAAAATCACTTTTTATCCATAAATCATTTTCTTAGGCTTTGTATTTATTAATTGATTTAATATCAACAACTAATTTTTCAGCTGCCCCTGGAAAGAGGTGTTGTTTCCCCTTTGTTTTGAAAATGCTATTGCGGATAAGTGGAGGTTTTGGAAATGACACACTGAGAAGCTTCTGACTCTAGCCTCTCCCTGGTGGTGAAGGCTTCACTTGTCATGTCACCAAGGAGGCTGGTAATATGGTCAAAGTAGTTCCTTGTCCACAGAGATTCCCATATAGACATTCACTAAAGGGATTGTTAACAGAAGTGCAAATAAAATTTAAAATATGAAAGGAAAAAAATGGGCCTAGAGGGAGGAGAGAAGAGAGAATTTTCTTTAGGGAAGAATTTCTTTAAAGAAATTCATTAAAGAATTTTCTTTAAACCTGGAAACCCCTTTGGTTCACCAGGTTGGTTTTGTCTTCTGCAAACAAAATACAACGAAATGGCTATTATCCTTTATTAGGTGTGAATAGTGGGCCTGTTTGTCAACATCGTGTTAGTCTGTTCTCACATTGCTATGAAGAAGTACCTCATTAGCAAAGCTGGTGGCACATACCCGTAGTACCAGCTACTTGAGAGGCTGATGTGGGAGGATTGCTTGAGCCTGGGAGGCAGAAGTTGCAGTGAGCTGAGATCACGCCACTACACTCCAGCCTAGGCGACAGAGCCAGACTCTGTCTCCAACAACAACAACAACAACAACAACAACAACAAAAACAAAACAAAACGAAACAAAAAACCACTACCTGAGACTAAGCAATCTATAAAGAAAAGAAGCTTAATTGACTCACAGTTGTACAGGCTGTGCAGGAAGCATGGCTGGAGAGGCCTCAGGAAACTTACAATCATGGAGAAAGGTGAAGGGAAAGCAGGCACATCTTACATGGCCAGAGAAGGAAGTATAGAACAAAGGGAGAGGTGCTACACACTTTTATAAATAACCAGATCTCATGAGAACTCACTCATTATTATGAGAACAGCAGGGGGGAAATCCACCCCCATGATCCAATCATCTGCCACAAGGCCTGTCTTCTAACACTGGGGATTACAATTTGAGATTTATGTGGGGACACAGACCCAAACCATATCACACATTAATCATTTTATTTAATGCTTATCTTCGGCCAGAAGATGAGGAGTTGGGATCCTCATTGCACACAGGGCAACTGAGGCTGAAGCATAGTAAGTTCATTCCTTCACTCTGTGCCAGTCACTGGCCACTATGTACTGGGGTGCCTCTAATACCTAGCTGGGTCTAACACTGATTTGATCCTTTAATTAAAATTTTTGGTTGATGAAGAATAGAGCTAATAAGCAGCAGAGGCACTATTCAAACATAGGACAGTCTGACTCCTAAAACAGTGATCAGCCGAGTGTGGTGGTTCATGTCTGTAGTCCCAGCATTTTGGAAAGCTAAGGCAGGAGGATTGCTTGAGCCCAGGAGTTCAAGATCAGCCTGGGCAGCACAGTGAGACCCCCCATCTCTACAAAAACTACAAAAAATTAGCCAGGCATAGTGGTACATGCCTGTAGTCCCAGCTACTTGAGAGGCTGAGGTGGGAGGATCCCTTGAGCCCAGGAGATTGAGGCGGCAGTGAGCCAAGGTCACGCCACTATACTCCAGCTTGGGGCACAGAGTGAGATCCTGTCTCAAAACAAAAACAAAAACAAAACTGTGATCTTATGATAGTGCCTGGATGTTTCTCCCAAATTCTTTACAGATTGTCTCCATGAATTTTTCTTCAGGCTCCAATGTTGGATAACTACAGGTCATCATAATCATACAGATTATGTATGCAATTATACAGTTCTTTGGGTTGACTTCAGCTGGGCTACTCTGCCTTGGAATCTCTCATGCAGTTGCAGTATTTAGAAGAAATATATTTGAATACAGGAAGACACAACTAAAGAAGTTGAAAGGGTTTGCTCTAGTTCTTTGATATGTTGAAATAGCATAACTTATGGTGTGCAATATAAAATATCTCTCCTTTTAAAATTTATTTTCTGGAACAAGTTTTTTTTCCAGCCTTTGATGAAAACTTGAGCAGGCCCACAAATTTGTTCTTTCTTGGGTAACATGAAATCCTCTGATCAATAATTAACGTTGTCAGTAACATGTAACTAAAGCATTGAATGTCTGCTGCTGATAGGGCAATCCAGTCTTTCTGGGAATGAGGTCAGGTTCAGTCTCTCTGTGATAATTTAGAGCTTCTACTTCTCTTTGGAGATGGGAAAGAGCATGAGACATTTTCACCTACTTGGTGTTATTATTATCTGGGCTCAGGCCCTGTGTCTGGCAGATGTTTTAAATTAACTTCATCTCTAATGATTGTTTTTAATGGTTCTTCGAAGTGACTTGTTTGATGTGTAACAAAACATCTCAGAATATAACTGCTTAAAGTAACCATAATTTTATTATATCTCATAGTTTGTGGGCCAGAAATTTGGGCAGTACACACTGTGATGACCCCTCAGCTCATGTGGCATGGATTGGGGTCAACCTGTATTTGCCAGATCACAGGTACTCAATCTCAGGTCTCTGTTTGAGAGATGCACACTCCTACCACTCTTCACTTCCTCCTGCCCCACGCTCTAGACATCCTGCAGCATCTCTCTGCTGAAATCTGACTTCCTTTTCCTCTGACCCTCGTGAACAGGACCTATGATGATCCAAGCTGGTACTCTCTTCCATCTGGACAGTCCAGAGGAAACATTTATGCAACTTTTGCCTGGCAGTTTTCCTGATGCAACTGTTACAGGAAAGGGGTCTCGATCCAGACCCAAAGAGAGGGTTCTTAGATCTTGTGCAAGAAAGAATTCAGGGCAAGTCCATAGTAAAGTGAAAGCAAGTTTACTAGGAAAGTAAAAGAATAAAAGAATGGCTACTCCATAGACAGAGCAGCACCGAGGGCTGCTGGTTGTCCATTTTTAATGGTTATTTGTTGATTATATGCTAAACAACGGGTGGATTATTCATGCCTTCTTTTTTTAGACCATATAGGGTAACTTCCTGGCATTGCCATGGCATTTGTAAACTGTCATGGTGCTGGTGGGAGTGTAGCAGTGAGGATGACCAAAGGTCACTCTCATGGCCATCTTGGTTTTGGTGGGTTTTAACTGGCTTCTTTACTCCAACCTGTTTTATCAGCAAAGTCTTTAGGACCTGTGTCTTGTGCCGACTTCCTATCTCATCCTGTGACTTAGAATGCCTTAACCATGTGGGAATGCAGCCCAGTAGGTCTCAGCCTAATTTTATCCAGCCCCTACTCAAGATGGAGTCACTCTGGTTCAAATGCCTCTGACACAACCACTTCCCCTTGGCTCATCCATTGGCTATTCTCCAGACCTTCTCTAACTCTTTAGATTTTCCAGGCTGGAGTCAGACACCAACCGCAAAACATTGTTAAGCCAGAAGGCAAAGGCAAGCCCCTACTCCATATCTGAACTGGGAGGAGGGGAAACCCCAGCCCTGCTCTAAAATTCTTCTCCTCTGAATTCTTTCCTTTTGCAGCATGCCCAGCCTCTTGCATAGGAAGAAGTGGTAAGCTAAGGAGAGAAATGCAGGGTTCCTAGTACACCAATTTTCCAACTTTTTCATCTTGGCCCTGCTTTAAAATGATGCATCTACTGTCTTCATGCCTCAGCACAGCAGAGGTAAGAAAATTCCCATTCAGTTTTTATTAGTGTTTTTTAAAAAAATCGTGTGCATGGTTGCTTCAATAAAATTCGAACTAATAAGAAAAAAGCATAGCTTTGTTTTATAGCCATGGCTTGGTTAACACAAGGACATTTGGGCCACATAAATGCATAACACATATTATAACTTCTTTAGTTCACATTTAACACACACGTTGGAGCTGCATTGTCCATAAATAAACAGCATATTGTAAGTTTGAGATGTAGCCTTTGGAGCAAAACATACCAGGATTGGATTATCATGTCTGACACTACTGGCTTTGCGATCCCTGATCCTACAGTTCCTTTTAACTTTCTCAGCCTCACTTATCTCATATGTAAAATTGAAAAAGTAACATATGCTTCATAAGGATTAAATTAGGGAGATATGAAAAATACTCTTGTACTTGATGCTTTCTTCTAAATGGGGCAATAATGATAATTAGTGATTGCATTTAATTAACTTTTCACACATTATCAGTTAGAAACTGCTTTTAAAATCTTTCTCTGGAAATTATCTTGTTTCAAATGCAGTGTTATGTCATTTTATCATATTTCACATGAAACTTCATTGTTGGCAATTAATTAGGTGTTTTGTGTTGAGTTGCCCAGTCTGTCTATCAAGTTGATTTAATTTATATTTTATCAGTATCATTTTCCTAGTAAAAGCAAGAGGAACTTGTTTTTGAGGGGAATTATGCAGTTTTTAAACATTAAAAGGTCACATTAGCAAAATTAGTTCAACCTCAACCTGTTTAATTTTTCAAACCTCACAGCCAAAAAAAAAATCACAATTCTGCAATATCACTGTGACTCATTATCAGTTCACAAAATACAAGGAAGCAATAAAGAGTCGTGCAATTAAAATAGTAGTGATTTTTGTATCCAGTGGCTTTAAGTCCATCCAAGAAAACATGTTGGGTTTGTGAAATATGGTCACTGTAGTGTGGACAAGACTTCCCATATTAGAAAGTGCAATAGTCTGTGTGGGCCTCAATTTCCTTCCCTTCAAGGAGCGGTTGGGATGGCAAAAGATCTTTAAGGCCAAATGATGAGTCCATTTATTAATTTTGGATTCACCTATTTATTTAATCAAAAGAGATTGGCACCAGCAGGTTCTAGTGGAAAAGGCTTGTCTCTGAAGTACACAGACCTGAATTTTAATTCCATCTCTACTATGTATTAGTTATGTAACTATACAGGGCATTTTTTCCCCATTCTGAATCTCAGTTTTCTTTTTGTAAACTGGAGCACTGTTACTCTGAGGTTGCAAAGATATGAGTGGTTGTGAGATATCAGTGGTTCCCATAGGAGGTAATATCTCCTCTTCAGGGAATTTTGGAAATTTTCTGAGCATTTAGAGAATGAGGACTGGGACTTTTAGTCAGTCCACATCTAGAATTCTCCAAAATCGAGATATACCTTTCTGTACCCTAGAAAACCATGCTGTGTTCCAGTTTACTTTGAATGTTTCAGTGAAAATGATGAAGCTGAAAAAATGACGGAGGCCCGTTTTACATGTAAGTATGATGCTTTCACACAATTGTAATATGTGTTGAACGTCACACAAACGGATCTACCATAGAAATTAAGGGAAAATTACATATTGCTTTATTTGGCACTTTACCAAGAATTGTCCATTATTTTGGAAAAGCATGCTGTCATCAAGAATTTTATTCCTGGTATTTGACTTACTGATAAAGCACTCTTTATCAATTTGCACTTGTAACTCTCCTGATTATGGTGATCTACCTATACAGGAAAATATGCAAATTTAGATTTTATTTAAAATGTTAAATATAAGAATAAATTACCAAATAGCATTGTTAGATTCTCAGTAGTGATTTTGTTTCAAAATTTATTTTGAAAAAACAGAATAAAACCATAAATTAGGCAAACATTTTCCAAAAATACTTTGATAAAGAGAGATGTCAAATATCTATTGAACTTACAAGATATGAAGACATGATTTTGTCAGAGAGGTTTGAACCAGAGCAACTCTATCTTGAATAGGAGCTGGGTAAAATAAGGCTGAGACCTATTGGGCTGCATTCCCAGACAGTTAAGGCATTCTAAGTCACAGGATGAGATAGGAGCACAAGATATAGGTCATAAAGACCTTGCTGATGAAACAGGTTGCAGTAAAGAAGCTGGCTAACCCCCACCAAAACCAAGATGGTGATGAGAGTGAGCTCTGGTTGTCCTCACTGCTACATTCCTACTAGCGCCATGACAGTTTACAAATGCCATGGCAACGCCGGGAGGTTACCCTATATGGTCTAAAAAGGGGAGGCGTGAATAACCCACCCCCTGTTTAGGATATAATCAAGAAATAACCATAAAAATGGGCAAAGCAGCCTTCAGGGCTGCTGTTTCTATGGAGTAGCCATTCTTTTATTCTTTTACTTTCCTAATAAAGTTGCTTTCACTTTACTGTATGGACTTGCCCTGAATTCTTTCTTGTGTAAGATCCAGAAACCCTCTCTTGGGGTCTGGACCAGAACCCCTTTCCTGTAACAATTTGACAAAAGTAATAATGTAACTAAAATATTGAAGGCATTTTTGGATCAGAAAGAAAGAAGATATTTCATTGCTTCTTAGGTAAAACTAAGGTAAAAAATTAATGTAAAATATGGCAAACTATATAATACTAGAGAAAAGTTATCATATTAGCTGTATGAATGATTATTAATACTAAATGGAAATAAATTCCAAGGAGATAATTGTTTTCTTTTTCAACAAGCAACTTTCATGCTTCAAAAAAATTTTGAGGTGGGGAAAGATTTAAATACAACTTAATAATGTACTGCCATTTAGTAAATTTGCATTGTAAGTGAAGAAAAAGAAACACCTCAGGTGATAATGAAGGTTTACTGCTTGCATATGTCAAATTTGTAAGGGATGAAAAGCCACAGAGGAAATGTTACTTTCAAAATTACTGACAATGAATATAAACACATTTCCATTGCCTGAAACTCTTAAAATTTATTAAAACAGTGCATTTCTCAGAGTCATCGCCTCTGCTGCAGATGGAACAACAGCCATGGAGAATGAGGTGAGTGGATTGCAGGAGGACTTTAAAAAACTGCACCAGGTTTTTAAGCAATTGCTTAACTTATGCTCATCAACACAAAGATGTCAAGAATCCTAGTGAAAGGTCACAGGAATCTCCAGCGTTGCTAGTGCACCCAGTAGCATGGAAAATGCACCTCCGAATGACAGATTATTTTATGAACTTGCAGTGACAATAAAGACGTATTTGGATGTCTTATTCTGTATAGCAAAGGAAGTAGCTCTGCTAAGGAGAATGCTTAAAAAACGGATCTTGGCTGGGCGCAGTGGCTCATGCCTGTAATCCCAACACTTTGGGAGGCCGAGATGGGCGGATCACGAGGTCAAGAGATTGAAACCATCCTGGCCAACATGGTGAAACCCCATCTCTACTAAAAATGGAGATGGCAGGCGCCTGTAGTTCCAGCTACTCAGGAGGCTGAGGCAGGAGAATCGCTTGAACCCGGGAGGCAGAGGTTGCAGTGAGTCAAAAAAGCGCCACTGCACTCCAGCCTGGCGATGGAGTGAGACTCCATTTAAAAAAAAAAAAAATAAGATCTTATTCACTTTTTGTTGCTGTTGAATAACTTTTAAATTTGTCTTAAAAATTATATGTTAAAGCTGAATTATTGAGAAAATATGGGACATATTTCTCAGGCACATTTAAAATGTTAAATAGATCCTTCCCAAGTTCTAAGGAAATTAGATACTTCAAAGGAGCTATCAATATGTGTATTGTACATAAACTTGTTCACTGAGAATTGCATGAAGATACACTTAATGGTTTTTGTTTGGAAATATATTGGTTATAATATTACTTAAAATGTATAATAATTGATTTAAATCTTTCTATTAGCTTAATATACTAGACCTGATCATTAATTCATTTAAAATGGCCAAAGAAACATGTTAATGATTTACAGGAAGTTAAATAAGTGACTTTGAGACCAAAATATCTTTCAACTAGTATAGTTAGAAAAGATTTTGCATTTAAGATCTTCACACCTACTCATTTGGAAAGAAGCTAAATTACTTATTTAGCCCTATTTCCAACTCTGTATTTTGCTAAAGATGGTTTCAGTGCAGTAGGGTGGTTACTAAAAAAAAGTGATGGAACCAATTGCAAGAGCTGGGAGAAGATTTGAGACTTCTTTTAACAAATGGAGAGTCAAATGTTACCAAGCTACTGGAAACACATGAAACATAGGGATATCAGTGAATTCCATCAATGCAGCTTGCTTTAAAGGTTTTCACATTATTTCTACCACGTATATGTAATACAGATACACACAGCTGTATAGAACAACAATAACAAATATATGTTTTGAAAAGTGAGTACTGGATTAGGTTAAAAGTTGTGCTACTTGTCAGTCCTTCTCTGACTTGTCCTCCATGTCTTTTGCACCATCTTTCCATATACTCTTATTTAACTATTTCTCTGTCCTGTATTCCCTGTTACTCATTGAAGGATATAGGCCCTAAAACATAAACACCAAGCAGGATAAATAAAAACAACACATCTAGGCCTATCTTAGTCAAACTGCAGAAAATCAAAGACAAAATCTTGAAGGAAAAATACATATTATATATAGTGAAACAAGAATAACAATTACAGCAGTGTTCTCATCAAGGTCCATGCAAGCATGAATAGAGTACAATGAACCACACAAAGGTTTGAAATCTTTTTTTCAGCAGCCTAAAATTCTATATCCCAGAATTCTATATTCTAGATTCTATATCCAAAAAGTAATTTTTTTTTTCAAAAGTGAAAGAGAGAGTGCCATCAGCAATATGGTGGAATAGGAAGGCCCCACCCCTAGTCCCCTGACAGAAACACCAACTTAGCAACTATCCATAGTTGGGAATGCCTTTGTGAGAATCCAGGAGCCCAGTAGAAAGGCAGTAGCATGCCAGTGGAGCCCAAAAACTGCATCAAGTAGGGTACAATAAGCAGATTTACTTTGTCTGTGTTGCTTCTCCCCCAAGATGACACAGCCACACACTAAGAAGGACTCCCTTGACCCTTGATTTACCAAGTGGGAGAAAGAGAGACTAAGGCTTATGTTCAGTTCTCCTAGCATTTGGGGGCAGTAACTAAGAGGTGCACCTCTGACTTGCCTCATGTGAAACACTGGGAGAATTGGCATGACTAGAGCGTGGGGTTAGCTACAAATGGGGAAAGAGGCAAGGACTCATAGTGACAGTTGTGCAGATCTTAGCAGTGGCTCTGCACCCCCATCAGCAGCCTTACCCATACAGGACCTTCTCTAAAGGCATTGCTAGACTGAGGAGACAATCTAACCAACTGAAACTAACCATGGAGTATGGAAAGTGGGGAAAAGTAGCATTACAGTGGAGAAATCTGACAAACACTTTGTTGGCCAGGTCAACATCAACAGTATAAGTCATGTTGATAGCATGTATTCTTGACATGATGTGTTGAGAATAGCAATTTACCTCCATGGTTTTCCTTTAAAAACTTCATAACCCTAGTCTAATTATTTTAAAAATGAGATAAATTATAATTGAGAGACATTTTCCAAAATATCTGACCAGTATTCCTCAAAACTGTCAAGGTTATCAAAAACAAAGAAAGTCTAAGAAATTATTACAGCCAAGCAGGGCCTAAGTAGACAGGACAACTGCATGTAACATAGAATTTTTTTTTTTTTTTTGAGACAGAGTCTCACACTGTCACCCCGGCTGGAGTGCAGTAGCACAATCCCAGCTCACTGCAACCTCCGCCTCCCAGGTTCAAGCGATTCACCTGCCTCAACCTCCCGAGTAGCTGGGATTACAGGCATGTGCCACCACACCCGGCTAATTTTGTATTTTTAGTAGAGACAGGGTTTCTCTATGTTGGTCAGGCTGGTTTCAAACTCACAACCTCAGGTGATCCGCCTGCCTCAGCCTTCCAAAGTGCTGGGATTACATGCTTAGCCCAACCTGATTTGACATTTTACCTTCTTTAGGTTATGTCCTCCTTCCTGGGTAGGAACTTGTACCTGCAGCCTCTCTCCAGCTGAATGGACTGATCCCTGCCCTCACCTGACTGTTCCATCCCCACACCTATTGCCCCTCCTGGAAGCAAAAATGGCTTTGATGGAAGGTGACTGGGCCCCTGTGAGAGGACTCCACAAGGCCTTTCTGAGATGTTCTCTCTGTGTGTATTTCTTACCTACAATCTATTCCCCTAATTTTTAATTTATTACTCAAGATAAGTAGGCCCTTTTGTTCCCTTTTTTCCCTGTTTTCTCCCTTGAGGAAGTCACCAGTATAGACTCCCTGAGGGTTGTGTTTTGGTTTTGCGGTTGTTGTTCCTATAGAATGAGGAGTGTGGAAAAGGTCACACGCACCCCTCTCCTGTTACTTCTCCCAGTCCAGGGATCACATGAGCTGGTCAGGACCGTCTTAGCTCTTTCCAAGCACAGCCAGGAGCACAAAGAGAAGAGCTATGTGGAGCTGCACCATGCTGTGTTTTGAATATTTTTAGATAATTCGTTGTTCTGCTTAATGGTGAGCCACCTATTCATCAAACAATTCATTTTAAATGTGTGCTGGTGTCCTTTCTCCTGCCTTCTTTCACTGCCTCTTCTTTCCTCTCATTTCCATTATAGCTCATTCTCTGTTCATGTTGTGAGGTTCTGGGATAGGAAGGCTTTCATGTGCAACCTCACTTTACCAATTTAAGTGTGAAATCACACAATGCTTCCTGGAATTCCTCAGGCTGCAAGGCCGGATGGCAATTTAAATACAGTTACCGAAGTTAAAATCCACACAACAGTTCTGCTCCTCCATGTGGCCCAAAGGTACTTTCAAAAAGCTGATAGTGAGCATGTTTATTTCTAGCCATCCCTGGAGAAGCAGCAATAGCTTTGGAGTGTCACTTTTAGATTTTTAGAATGCACTTTTAACAAAAGCAAACTTTTTGCATCCTTTCAGGGTCACCTGAATGTGGAAAAGTTGAGTTGGAGCAAAACTGGCACGGCCATACTGGATGGACCTCAGCATGACCAGGACACATTTCAGCTCAAATCCCCTGTGCCAAGAACACATTCTGCCAAGGACCACCACCTCTTCCCACAACTGTGAGTGGATTTATGTCATCACAGGAGGTGCAAAAACGTGTGGTGAGGTAAATGAATTGGGATGTCCTTGGCTGCCTGAGCAAGAGGGCAACTTTCCTGCCTTTAGAATAGAGAAAACACAGCAGGATAATTAAGAGGATGAGACTTTGGTTCCAACAGACAGTGGCTTCTCCTTCCCTAAATTGCCCTTATTTTGTAGTAAGTTATAATATGTTTATTTTCTACCACCTTATTACTTCACTACGTGAACCAAAAATAAAATCCTAAAGCCAACCATCTGAATGGACCTCTCCTTTCAGCCAGGGTATTCCAAAGTTAACCTGAAAAACTGGTTCAGGCCAGAATGGGAAGTGGGGTTCGGGCAGGCCTCATTATTCTTTCCTCCCTTTTGGAATTCAGGAAAAGCCAACCACCATTTGACATCAACACAGACCTTAAGTCTGACAAGAAACATTTACAATCTATTCTCTCTGAAGTCTGCTACGTGGAGGCTTCATCTGCATGAAAAAACTTTGGTCTCCACAACCCCTTATTATAATTCAGACATTTATTCCTTTCTATTGCTAATAACTCTTTCAATGAGTTGCCAATCAGCAAATTTTTAAATATACCTATAACCTAGAAGCACTTCCCCCAGACAACACTTCAAGTTTTCCTGCCTTTCCAGACCAAGCCAATGTATATCTTACATGTACTGACAGATGTCTCATGTCTTCCTAAAACGTATAAAACTAGGCTGTGTCCTGAGCACCTTGAACACATGCTCTCAGGATCTCCTGAGGGCTGTATCACAGGCATTGGTCACTCATATTTGGCTCAGAATAAATCTCTTTAAATATTTTACAGAGATTGACTCTTTGTTGACAATTACATACGTGATGCTACTATGTATCATATACTTCTTGTGTGCCAGGCCCTATATTAGATGTTTTATCAACACAATTTCATGTCATTTTCACAACAACCCTACGAATAAATACCATGTATTTGGTTGTGAGACACTGAGGCACTAAGTGATTACGTCACTTGTCTAGGTTCACTTATCTAGTGTTGGGGCCTGGATCCAAGCCTAGGCAGGCTGACTTCAGAGACAACCCCACTCTGGGCTATATTCTTAGAAAAGTCACAGCTCTTAGCACATGGAACACACTGGAATCTGAAAGACCCAGCATGGCAAGCCTTCAGCTTCATGGGAATGAGCCTATCACAGTTTCTCTGAGACTACAAAATGGCACCATCCTATCCACATTGCAGGGTTGAGCTGTGAATTCCAGAGAATCTCTGTGGGGTATCTGTGCCCAGCACCTCCTAAATAGTTGCTTATTCATGGACTCTGTGTAGGATTTACATCATCTACATTTTAAAAAAATACATGAATCCCCAAAGAAACAATTCTCACACATATTTTCCAGATGTGAAACAACTGAAGAGGAACGATTGCAGTAAATATAGTCAGCAGAAAATATTTTAATATATATTTCAGAATAATGCTGGAAGATAAATGGTATTCAAAATGTAAAGGATACACTAACATTTTCAAATGGTATGATCTAAACTTGAATTATCCATCCACAGCTTTGGTAATTACTTTAGCAAATTGCAGCCCTTTCCTCTGACCAAATTTCCAGTTAGGGAGAGCAGGAGGCCTGGTGCCTGAGGAAATGAGTTATTTATAGGGACCTGTGAAAGTGAACTTCAGCTGTTCCTGCCTCTGTGCAGATGAGAGAAGGTGGCACTTGGGTTTCAGTCCTGTAGACATCGCCTATTGACATTCTTCTTAGTCAGTGAGAAAAGAAAATTCAGCATTCTTGACCGCAAAGAACAAAAATGGAGTGGTCTAGTATGGGATGAATTTTGTCATCCCAAAAGATATTAAAGTTCTCACCTCCAGCACCTGTGAATGTGACCTTATTGAGAAATGGTCTTTTCAGATGATCAAGTCAAGCTGAGGTCCTATGGGTGGGCCTTAATCCAGTATGACCAGTATCTTTATAAAAAGGGAACTTGGACTCAGAATTTAGACATCCACACAAGAGATGTGCAGATGAAGACAGAAGTTTGCAAGCCGAGGAACACCAAAGGTGGCCAGCAAAACACCAGAAGCTGGGAAAGAGGCCTGGAGCAGTTTGTCCCTCATAGCCTTGGAAGGAACCAACACTTTGGACACCTTGCCTTCAGACCTCTGGCCTCCAAAATTGTAAGAGAATCCATTTTTGTTGTGGAAGTCATCCAATTTGTGGTGCTTTGCTACACGAGCTGCAGGGGATTAACGTGCAGGCTTTGACAATGAGCTAAATTCTCCCTCTTGCACACTGCAGAGGTCAATGCAATAAATGCTTGCAATGCTGGGTCTTTCAGATTGCAGTGTGTTCCATGTGCACTAAAATGCTGTGTCAGATTCTGAACTTCAAAAGACTTAGTTTGGAAGAGTTTCAAATGCAGATATGAAAACATAGCTGAAAGGCATAGGCTAGAAGAGCTGGAGTGAGGACAGACTGAAGACGGCAGTATTATTGTATTCTTGAATAGTTGAGAAGCTAGTGCTAGCTAGTTAGGAAGGGATTAGAACTAGAGAAGCCAAGGAAATGTCTCCAAGTCTCCATTTCCAGAGATTCCTCATGGATTCAACTCAACCAAACTTATTCCTCATGTGCAAGACCATCAAAGGTTGACAGAGAAAGAAGCTGCACAGTTAGAGCACACATTTGAGAAAGACAAAGAAATGCATTAAGAAAAACTTGGAGCTGGGCACGGTGGCTCATGCCTGTAATCCCAGCACTTTGGGAGGCTGAGGCAGGTAAGTCACTTGAGATCGGGAGTGTGAGACCAGCCTGACCAACATAGAGAAACCCCATGTCTACTAAAAATACAAAAATTAGCTGGGCATGGTGGCGCATGGCCGGAATCCCAGCTACTCTGGAGGCTGAGGCAGGAGAATCACTTGAACCTGGGAGGCGGAGGTTGCGGTCAGCCGAGATTGGACCATTGCACTCCAGCCTGGGCAATAAGAGTGAAACTCTGTCTCAAAAAAAAAAAAAAAGAAAGAAAGAAAGAAAGAAAAAGAAAGAAAAAGAAAAACTTGTAGAAAATTGTGGCAGAGGGGCAGAAAGGTGACCTTTTCTGATAATGTTGAATTATTCATAGGTTTTGGCGTGTTCTCCCTGAAAATTCAATGCAACTTTAAAAACTGCAGAAATTATTATCCACATTCAATCAAAAAACTTGTTACAAGGAAAATAAGAGAGTGGGTATGAACCTACAAGGAGATATCTTGCAAGTGGGAGGACTTGTAGAGAAAAGTTTGAATGATACTGACAAATCAAAGGACATCAATAAAGCATGAAAGCCAATTCCTGCAGGGAAACAAAGAAGAAAACTAGCCTTATTAACATTAACCAGGCCCATACATAGGATGATTATTTAACTCTCAGGATAGAAAGGAATATACAATAATAGCATAATAATATAATAGCAAGAAAGATATGAATTATCTAAAAGAAAACTGATGCTCAGAGATCTTAAGTGATTTGCTTCAGGTCACAAAGCTAGTGCGATTCAAAATCCAAAAATGAACACCAGTAAGTCTAACTTTAAAAGCCAGGATTTTGGACTATGAGAAAATCACTGGAAAGAACATGACTTCCACTTTTGAATCAATAATTTATATTGCATTGAAAGCTTTGTTATTTCTGTCTGGAATATCCTTGTATCTACACATTCTGAAATCCATTTTTTTTTAATAAGAAAGATGAACTGTGTAGAAATAAAGTTTGAAATAAAGACTGACTCAAAGTCATTGAGTTCAGGGGTATTTCTTGGAAAAATAAATCCACTTCCATCTGGGTCCCACACCATCTGCTTCTCTAGCTATGGTCCAGGATATCAGATAACCAATGGTTTAAAGTTGTTGCCAAATCCAGTGAATTTTAAAGGACATTTTAATCAGAAATAGGCTTCCAAGAAGCTGTCATATATTGTCAATATGATTAGAAGCTGGCAGGCAAGAGAATGTCTTGAAAATTGACAGAAAAACAACCTCAAGTAGAATAACACCAGTGCCACAAAATGGTTGTGACTTGGAGGCTGGCCAGGCGCAAGTGCCTATGTTATGATAAGAACTCTAGAACTGGTAGTCACCTCTCTTTATAAAATTGCCAATAAGTTTATAATAAAATATTGTCTTCAAGGATGTTACAATATTTTAATCAATTGGCCAAAAGAACAAATTATTGAGGAAACAGAATAGTCTGACAGAGAATTTTGCTGAGTTTTATTCTCATGTGTGCAGTTGACTTTCAGCCTTATAGTTGGAATGGGATTTTCTTTTTTCTTTTTTTCAACTTTTATTTTAGATTCAGGGGTACATGTGCAGGTTTCTTTTTTGTTTGTTTGTTTTATCAACTTTTATTTCAAGTTCTGGGGTACATGTGCAGGATGTAAAGGTTTGTTCATATGTAAATGTGTGCCATGGTAATTTGCTGCACAGATCAACCTATTGCCCATGTATTAAGCCCAGCATGCATTAGCTGTTTTTCCTAAAGCTCTCCCTCTCCCCAACCCCCTGACAGGCCCCACTGTGTGTTGTTCCCCTCCCTGTGTCCATGTGTTCTCATAGTTCAGCTCTCACTTATAAGTGAGAACATGTGCTGTTTGGTTTTCTGTTCCTGCATTAGTTTGCTGAGGATAATGGCTTCCAGCACCACCTACGTCCCTGCAAAGGACACAATCTTGTTCCTTTTTCTGGCTGCATAGCATTCCATGGTGTATATGTACCACATTTTCTTTATCCAGTCTACTGTTGATGGGCATTTGGATTGATTCCATGGCTTTGCTATTGTGAATAGTGCTGCAATGAACATACACATGCATGTATCTTTACAACAGAATGATTTATATTCCTTTGGGTATACACTCAATAATGGGATTGTTGTATCAAATGGTATTTCTGCTTCTAGATCTTTGAGTAATTGCCACACTGTCTTCCACGATTGTTGAACTAATTTACATTCCCACCAACGGTGTAGATGTGTTCCTTTTTTTCTGCAACCTTGCCAGCATCTGCTGTTTCTCGAATTTTTTAATAATTGCCGTTCTTACTGGCATGAGATGGTATCTCATTGTGGTTTTGATTTGCATTTCTCTAATGATCAGTGATGTTGAGCTTTTTTTCTTATGTTTGTTGGCTACATGAATGTCTTATTTTGAGAAGTGTCTGTTCATGTCCTTTGCCCACTTTTTAATGAGGTTGTTTGTTTTTTTCTTGTGAATTTAAATTCCTTGTAGGCTCTGGATATTAGGCCTTTGTCAGATGGATAGATTGCAAAAATGTTCTTCCATTCTGTAGGTTGTCTGTTCACTCTGATGGTCGTTTCTTTTGCTGTGCAGAAGCTCTTTGGTTTAGTTAGATCCCATTGGTCAATTTTTGCTTTTGTTGCAATTTCTTTTGGTGCTTTGTCACAAAATCTTTGCCTGTGCCTATGTCCTGAATGGTATTGTCTAGATTTTCTTTTAGAGTTCTTATAGTTTCGGGTTTTACATTTAAGTCTTTAATCCATCTTGAGTTAAGTTTTGTATAAGGTATAAGGAAGGGATCCAGTTTCAATTTTCTGCATATGGCTGCCAGTTCTCCCAGTACCATTTATTAAATAGGGAATCCTTTCCCCATTGCTTGTTTTTGTCAGGTTTGTTGAAGATCAGATGGTTGTAGGTGTGCACTCTTATTTCTGAGTTCTCTATTCTGTTCTTTTTGTCTATGTGTCTGTTTTTCTACCAGTACCATGCTGTTTTGGTTACTGTGACCTTATAGTGTAGATTGGAGTCAAGTAGTTATCTCTTAATGAGTATCCAACAACCAGGTACCTGCACACATTCTCGTCAACTGTCTTATCAACAATGGAAGGGACAGGCATCATTTATGACTTCCTCAATGTAGAAGAGATAAGAGTCTCTGAAATGAACAGTTCGCAGAAGGACAAATATTACCACAAAAGATGGAAGAGAGTTATTTTGGAGGCAATGACTTTGTGTTCATATGAGTTCTCAAAGTCACCAGCAGTGACATTTCTGAAATGTGGTTTAGGTTCCAGTTCACAGATAGACTTTGCTTCCAGAAAAGCCGGTCTGATGTTGAAGTCTCAGCTGTAGGTGTGCATGGTCTTCATTGTGCCAGGTGCACCATCTTGCAGAATAAAGGACACATATTATTTTATTATGGAAATCACACACACAAAAGCAGAATGTAATGAGCTGCCATGTACACATCACCCAGCTTCAACAGTTATCAACTCATGGCTAACTCAAAGCGTGATGGTTTTATTTAAAGAAAAATCTGGGTGCTCGCCTGTCTCAACTTTTCCTGTGTATTAGTTCACTCACATGCAGTGACCAATATTTTTAGATTTAGGTTTAAGGGGGAGAAACTGCTGATTCAGAAAGGCAGAAGTTCCTAAATTGAGAGTTAAACCGATCATTTTTACTAATAATAGGCTAATATGGACAAAATATAAAGCATGTAACAACTATATACATTTGTCCAGATGTATTCGGATTGGATACAAAAATTGAACATCATTTTTAGCAAGAAATAGTCTTCCTTGGGCAGGGCATGGTGGCTCATGCCTTTAATCCCAGCACTTTGAGAGGCTGAGGCGGATGGATCACATGAGGTCAGGAGTTTGAGACCAGCCTGGCCAATGTGGTGAAACCCTGTCTCTACTAAAAATACAAAAATTAGCTGGGCATGATGATGGGTGCCTGTAATCCCAGCTACTCAGGTGGCTGAGGCAGTAGAATCACTTGAACCTGGGAGGCAGAGGTTGCAGTGAGCTGGGATCGAACCATTGCACTCCAGCCTGGGTGACAAAGTAAAAAAAAAAAAAAAAAAATTCTTCTGTGTTATTTCTTCATTTTACACTCTCTCATTACCTCCCTTCACACCATGGCCATGACTTGCTGAATGAGCCTGTCAATTCATCAAGGTTCTTATATCAGATGTTTAGACATATCCAACAAACAAAACTGAGGGTCCTAGATGGGGTACTGCCTCCTGGGGACCATAGTGTTTCTTGAAAATGAATGTTTATCTCACCTTCCAAGCCAAATCCACTGTGCAGGCTGCATTTGTCCTGCAAGTTGCTGGTATGAGACCCTGCCTCACCTCAGTCTTCTCATTTATTACTCATCACAATTGTGCATGCATGCATTTTTGTTCCTATTTAACAGATATTCCAGTGGAAGCTCAGCCTCAAATCTGATGACACAAATCACTTTTATGTCCTTACATCCTTGTCACCTCAGCTATTTCCAAGACCGCAACCTAGAAATTGTGAGAAGCCTACCCATGACCACAGTGACAACGCAGTCTTCAGTGGTTCAGCCTCCTGCCCCCTCCCAGTGCCGGTGTTCCCAAATGCAAGGGGATTTCAGACATTCAGCTTTTCATTTACCTCCAAGGCACAGATGCCGAGATGTCCCCATGTCTGTCTTCAGAGTCTCATTTGCAAATTGGCAGCTTCATACCACTCTCGCTATCTGCATTGCTATATTTACACCTGAGCTGATGTGTACCCGGGGAAAGTGTGCTATGACCCAGTGCTTGGGTGGCTCATCTAAAGCCATCCAGAGTCTCTGACTCCTGGTGCATGGGGAGCCTTTCTGGGTCATCTTCTCAGCTCTGCGCAGCCACTAATGCTTGCCTTTTAAGACTGTAGATGAAAAGGGTCAAACTCTGAAAAATATTTGAAGAGAATTCTTCTGAGCCAAATATAAGGGACCAATAGCCTGTGACACAGCTCTAGGAGATAATGAGAACACGTACCCAAGGTAATTGAGCTACAGTTTTGTTTATACATTTTAGCGAGACATAAGACATCAGTCAATACAAGTGAGATGCACATTGATTCTGCTCAGAAAGGCAAGACAACTTGAAGCGGGGAGAAGGGTTTCCAGATCATAGGTAGATTCAAAAATTTTCTGGTTGGCAATTGGCTGAAAAAGTTCATCTAAAGACCTGGAATCAATAGAAAGGAATATCTGGGTTAAAATAAAGGTTGTAGAGACCAAGGTTTTACCATGTAGATAAAGCAAAATGAAACAAAAGTAAGAATTGAACTTGAGAGGCTTTGAATATGGAAGAGGCCCAAGCCCAGGAATACAGGAGGACCCTAGAAGTAGGAAAAGGCGTGAAAATCATTTCTGCCCTAGAATCTCCAAAAGCCCTGCTGACACCTTGACCGATAAGAAATATAATAAATTTATTTCATTTTAAGCCACTGAGTTTGTGATAATTTGTTACAGCACCAATAGGAAGATAAAACATCCTGCCCCATCACCCCTCTTCGATTAGTCCCCTTTTAACTCAATTGCTCTAGCAATAAAGATTTTAAAAAGCAACAATAAATTCAATGAGGTATTACGTACATTTATGTAATCACAATAGCTTTTTCATATATTTGAAAAATAATATATTTATATAAATGCATATGTATAAGAGTGTCATTAGAGTTAGGATAAACCATATGAAACTACTATCTATATAGGACAGGAATGGAATATTAGCAATCTGATATACTTCAATCTTATATATATGTGGTAGACAGCATTATTTCATGTATCAATAATGGCTGGTGCATACTTGGTTGTGAGGACAGCTGTTAGGTACTCTATAGCCCCACCATAGTTTTGGTCCATACTTTGGTCCAGACTTTGGGAATCATCTCTCTGAGGATAAAGATAGCTAGAAGATAAACATATCTATAAACCTATGTTTATAGTTCCTACTGCTTCTTCCTAGAGCATATAAGTGATCAACTGGACTGTGAGGGAAACAAAAAGCATGCTTTATGACAAGTGACACCACTCCTTAGCGTGTCAATAGATTTGCCTTAAGAAGAAATGTTTCCTCTCAAATTAGTGCAACTGAATCTTAATGTTCCTATGCTGATATGTGTTCATGTGTGTGCACATATGTGTGAAGTCAGTGAATTGGAATCCACCTGCAGAAAGCCCAGAGTAAGCCTAAGGAAATGAACCTTTGGGAAAGTCAAAGCTTTCTCTAACAAGACATCTATGTGTTTAAATAAACCAGGGCAATGAGACAATCCCAACCACTTTCATTTTCCCCTAACTCAACAGGAGAAAAAGAAAGCTAGTTAAGGGAGAAAAGAAGATGATGTGAGAGAGAAGGAAGAGAAAAAGGAGGAGGTGGAGGAAGAGGAGGAAAGGGAGAAAGGAACAAGAGGAAGGAAAGGAGGGAGGGAAGGAGGGAGAGAGAGAAAATATAGAGATCAAAGAAGAGAAGCTGTTAGTGTCACACAGTTCACATTCCCTTCAGATATATTGTTCCTTTCGAAAATAGGCTTGTGATTCCCAGATAATAATATTTGATATTATTAAATCACTGATAATGATGTATTAAATTATTTGTTTTGCTACTGCTATTGAATACATGTTAGTTAACTAGTGCAACAGCCTAAAACTACAGTAAAAGCCATTGGATCTGACTAAGTTTACTTTTTAGCATTATCTGAGAAATGACTGATTTAGCTTTGGCAGTAAAGTATATGTCTAATTTGTCACTGTCAGATTCAGAAAAGCTGGGTTGTTCTTTGATTTATAATATAATAAAGGACTCTGTTTATCATTGATTTTAAAAACCTGAACTGATGTGCACCCGAGGAAAGTGTGATATGTCCCACTACTTGACTCAGTTTCTTTAACAAATCAATTTCTTCAAAAAAAAATAGGAAATACGCTGAATTAAAAAGGATCAATGGGATAAAGCAAAGAAAGTTTGTGGAATATTCTCCATTAAGAGTCCACAGAATCATTCTGCTCTTAGGTTCAGTAAATAACATGACTATTAACTCGCTCAGGCACCTTCTCTCTCCCTTTCACTGCCCCTGCTCATAGGCCTACTCTTTAAAAGCTGAAGCTAATAACCTAATTTATTGAGCACCTACTATAGTCCCAGACACTCTATCATTTTATATGCCTTATTTCACTAAATTCTGATAACAAAACTACATGGATGATTTTAACATCTCCATTTGCATTAACTGAGGATTAAAGAAGTTCAAGTGACTTACCCGAGGCCACATAGCCACATAGTAAATAGTAGCAGAATAAAGATATAAATCTATGATAAAGCATATACATACACATACACACATACATTTACATATGCATACATATAATATTGAATTATGATTAGGAAAAATAAAGTAAGGTAAAGAGAAAGAGAGTGAAAAGGGATGCTATATTTAGAAGTCAGAGAAATCCTCTAAACAGATGATACCTAGGCTGAAAGCTCAATAAAGTGAGACCACAGGCCATTTGGCTGGCAGACTAAGAGTGGCCCAGGTAGAAGGAACAGCAAATGATGATGCCTCAAGCTTACATTAATTATAATTTATTGAGGTAATATTCACATAATGTAAAAGTTTGTTTTTTTGTTGTTTTTTTTGTTTTTGTTTTTTTGAGATGGAGTCTTGCTCTGTTGCCTAGGTTGGAGTCCAGTGATGGATCTCGGTTTACTGCAACTTCCGCCGCCCAGGTTCAAGTGATTCTCCTGACTCAGCCTCCCAAGTGGCTGGGACTACAGCCACGCCACCACACCCAGTTAATTTTTTTATTTTTAGCAGAGACGGGGTTTCACCATATTGGCCAGGCTGGTCTTGAACCTCTGACCTTGTGGTCTGCCTGCCTCGGCCTCCCAAGGTGCTGGGAATATGGGCATGAGCCACCGCACCCAGACAAAATAATCATTTTAAAGGAAAAATTTCACTGTCATTTATTAAATTCACAGTATTATGTCACCACCACCTCTGTCTAATTCCAAATAATTTTCATCATTCCAAATAAAGCCTCTTGCTCATTACACAGATTTTCTTCAGTACCCCAGCCACTGGCAACCACCAATCTGCTTTCTGTCTCTATGGATTTATCTATTCTGGATATTTCATTAAATGGAATCATACACTTTTTGTGTTTGGCTCCTCTAATTTAGCACAATGTTTTGGAGGTTCATCCACATTGTAGCACTTATCAGTTTGTCAGTCCTTTTTTATGGCTAAATAATATTCTATTGTATGGATATGCTATAATTTGTTTATCCATTCATTTATTGATGGACATTTGCATTGTTTCACCTTATGGCTATTGTAAATAATGTGCTGTGAACATGTGGGTACATGTACTTACTCAAGTTCCCATTTTCAGTTCTTTTGGGTATATATTGAGGAGTGGAATTGCTCCTCAATATATACCAAAATCATATGGTAATTCTATGTTTAACTTTTGGGAAATAATGAAGTTGTTTCTCCCAGTGGCTACACAATTTTATATCTTCATCAACAATGTATAAGTGTTCCAATTTCTCCACATTCTCATCCTGAGATTAGATTTTTATTGATGTTTTCAATTAAAAGATAGGAGTTCACTAAATTGGAACTGGACAAATGAGTAGCAGAGAATTGGAAATGAATGTGGAGAGTAGTCTGGGCCAGAGCTCATTAAGGCCTGAGTGAAGAATACACAAGAACTAATTGTTCAGAACAATGTCAAGAAGCTTTTCCACTGTGTTTTCCTGTAGAAGTCTTATAGTTTTAGATCTTACATTTAAGTCTTTAATCCAGTTTGAATAGAATTTTGTGTGTGGTATGAGATAGTGGTCTAATTTCATTCTTCTGTATGTGGATATTCAGTTTTCCCAATGCCATGCGTTGAAGAGACTGTCCTTTCCCCATTGTGTGTTCTTGGTCCCCTCCTTCAAGTTTAGCTGATTGTATATACATTGGTTTATTTCTAGGCTTTTAGTTCTGTTCCATTGGTCTATATGTATGTCTTTATGCCAGTACTATAATGTTTTAATTACTGTAGCTTTGTAATATATTCTGAAATCAGGAAGTGTGAGATCTCCAGCTTTGTTCTTCTTTCTCAAGGTCGGTTTGGCTATTTAGGGTATTTTCTTGTTCCATATGAATTTGAGGGATGATAGGAAGCTAAGTCAGGATGGTGAATCAGACAGCAATATATGATTCTGGCTGTTTTATGTACATAGAATGTAGAGCGGCAAATTTAGAAGCAAAGAGACATGGTATAAATCTATTACAGAAAGCCACGTAGGACAGAAGGGCTGCTCAGTGCAGGCTGGTAGCAGCTGGAGGGGTAAGAAGAGGTTAGATTTAGGATGCACTGGAAGTATCTTGTAGCAGCAGACACTCATGACTTTCACACATATTCCTCCTGTTCTGATCTCTCCTGTCAACTCATACTCCTACTTGCTATTCACCATCTCCACCCGGAAATTCAAAGGGTGACTCAAACTAAAAGTTGTTTTTCTGCACCACTCCTCCCACCCTCAGCCTCCCATCACCTTCCTCCTCTATGGCTGTTGCTCCTCATCTCACCTCCTGGCATCCGAACCTTGCAGCTGTCATTGACTCTTCTTTTCTCCTCCACCCCACTTCGAGTTCATTCACAAAACATGCTGGCTTGATCTTCAAAATACACTCCCAAGTGTATACAGCCAAGATTTGGGTTGCTTCTTACGACCTGTGGGAGTGACATTTAGAAACGTAAGCCTGGTTATGCCACTCTTCTGCCGACTATGGAAGCGTTTCTTTTTTCTCAGAATGATGTTCAAACCTGACCCATGATCCGTAAGGACCTTCCTTCTGACCTGGGCCTGGATTCCCCTCTGATGCCATCTTCCCCCTCCTTGCTTCCTGCTCGCTGGCTTCCTGCTACCCTGGGCATGGACACCTCTCTGGTGCCATCTCCCCCATCCCTGCCTCCAGCTCGCTGGCTTTGGACAGGAACCTGCAGCCCTCCTCTTACTGTTTCCTCCCGCTGAAGCATCGTACCCCGAGACAGCTCCGTGTCATGTCCTTGCTGACATGGGACATTTTGAGAAGTGCTTTTCTGTCCTCCATCCCCTTACCCTCCTTTATTTTTGTTTGGGTACCTATAAACTATATATTTTTATTTTCTATTTCCCTCTAATAGCGGGTAAATTCTATGAGAACAAAGTCTGTTTTAATCACAGCCATGAGAGACTTACAAGAGTGTTAGGTATAAAATAGCTACCCAATCAATATCTGCTGAAGGAATGGATAGATTAGTATACATTTGTTTTTGGAAACCCCTCAAACCATGCTTTTCCTCTGCCCTCACACCAACACAACAAAAAATCAACACAGAATACTTCTGTGACTAATGTGGGCAGGGGTTCCCCACCAAGTAGCTGGGTGTTGTCCAATTCTGTTCTGACAGTGGCAGATTCCACAGACTGAGGGCTCAGTCCCCAAGACTGCCCCCCTTCAGACAACAGTTGTGATTCCAGGCCTCCAGATCTGACCAACAGACTTCAGGCTGGGGTTCCCACCATCCCCTCTTTGGGTTTGATTAATTTGCTGAAGCAGCTCACAGAGCTTAGGGAACCACTTCCATATATCCATGTACTATGCAAGTTATTACAAAGGATACAGACGAAGAGATGCATAGGATGAGGTATAGGCGAAAGGGGCACAGAGCTTCCATGCCCTCCCCAGCTCCACCCTCCAGGAACCTCCAAGGGTTCAGCTCTGCATAAGCTCCCTCAACTCTGCCCTTTTGGGGTTTTGTGGAGCTTCCTTACACAGGCATGACTGAAGCATGGACAACTATATCAAAATGTGATTGGACAAAAGGGTATGATCTAAACCCAGCGAGCCCTGTGAGTTCAGATTTTACTTGGCCTCTCTGTGCAGCCTTCCTTCCTCCAGGGTATGGGGCAGGACCCTCTTTGGAATGAGGATTTCATGACCCACAGAGTCCTGCCTCAGGCAGGTGAAAGGAGGGCAGGAGAAGTTCAAAGAGAAATTCTGTTTATTGTTGCAAGGGTTGTGGTCTGTCCTCCAGCTCCTTAATGTCCTTTATTTTTCTTTGCATACCTACACATTTTATATTTTTATTTTCTATTTCCCTCTAATAAGATGGTAAATTTCATGAGAACAGAGTCTGTTTTATTCATAGCCATGTGAGACTAATAAGGGTTAGGTACTAAATAGACACTAAATGAATGCATGAATGTACAGTGTTTAAAACCATGGGACCAGATGAAACTTACACTAAGTAGTAAGTATAAATAGGAAAAAGAATAAGGCCAAGGACAGATTCCTAAAACATCTCAACATTTAGAGACTGGAAATAGAAGGTGGATCTGGAGAAGATGGAGCAGCACTCTGGGCACAGTACGGAATCCAGACAATGGTCTAGGAGCCCAGTGGACAACTGTTCCCGAGAGAGTGATCGACGACTCTGTCAGGTGCACCTGAGATGACTGTTGAGAAAAAGGCTGAGAGTTAGCCCTTGAATTAAAGTATTAGAGCATTTTCTGAATAACCTACACCGGTGTTCTCCTACTTCTGCTATACACAGTGTGTCTGGGGGAATCTCTGCTTTGCCATGTCCTAAAACTCAAGGTTATATCTGTGGGAGCAGCCTCTCTTCAGCCTGAGTACACAGGCCTGGGTGTTCTGCAGGTCTTCACAGTTAGTATGGCCAGAGCTATAGTACGCTCTCTGCTTCCTCACTTTTTTTGCTCTCTGATTCTTGACATCGTTTAGCAGAATTTCTCTCTCTCTCCCATGTTAGAAATCCCAGTGTCATCCCCACCTTCTCCCTTGAGCCCCCACCAGATCCCAGCAGTTATTTACCAGATCCTCCTCGTTGCTTCTTCTAAAACTTGGCTGTGATGCAATGCTTGAGCTCAAACTGTTATTATTTCTTGCTTATGTTATTACAGTAGGCTCTTAACTGATCTCTTTATCACCATCTTCTTCTCACTCTGGCTTATCCAATACATCACAATCATCATTATATTGATGAAATTTAAAAAGAGCTAAAACCTGATGGGTTTATAATTCAAGTTTCTAAGATAAATCTTTTTTTCTGGTGAATTTTTGTATTTTTAGTAGAGATGGGGTTTCACAATATTGGCCAGGCTGCTCTCGAACTCCTGACCTCATGATCCTCCTGCCTCAGCCTCCCAAAGTGCAGGGATTACAGGCATGAGCCACCGTGCCAAGCCGATAAATATTCATAATTAAAAGTCATATATGTTAACGACTAAGTAAAAATTTAAAAGAATGCATTTTGTAATTGATAACATTGTAAATCTTTAGCTACGTATGCCAGGTGCTTCACAATCCTGGCCATCTTATTATCTGACACCATCTTCAGTCTCACCATTGCTTCTTCCCCATATGTCCATGACCCTGAACCAATTATGGAGAAAGAAGAGGTGGTTTTCATGGAGTTCCTCTGCCTGAATGTCACTCACTCTCTCTTTAATTGCTTGGTAAACTCCTACTCCTCGAAGAGTCAGTTGAAATAATATCTCACTTGCCTCCCCCAGTGTCACCAATTAACTCTCCTGCCCTTGTTGCCATGATGACACTTTACTTGGGTCACATCCATTTAGGACGTTGCTCCTCAGCATCTTTTTATCTCACCTTGTCCTCAACGAAGAGCTGAAATTTTCTATTACCTGACTTTGTTTCACCGTTCTGGCCACAAACACTTTATACGCATTTATTCCATGGGTGGAATGTTGGCGAGTAATTTATCATATCAACTAATGAATAATAACTATGACATTACAGTCCCGATCTAGGAGACACCAATAACATCTCTGAAAGTATAGGGATTGTGTTGATACAAGCACTTAATCCACTGCTACCCAACGACTGCTCACAAAAAACAAAGCCAGAAACAGCGGAACAACCTATGTGTTGTCTCACAACTCTTATTATTATTTTTTATTATTATTTTTTCTTGCGATGGAGTCTCGCTCTGTTGCCCAGGCTGGAGGACAGCGGCGTGATCTCGGCTCACTGCAAGTTTCGCCTCCTGGGTTCATGCCATTCTCCCGCTCAGCCTCCCAAGTAGTTGGGACTACAGGCGCCCACCATCATGCCCGGCTAATTTTTTGTATTTTTAGTAGAGACGGGGTTTCACCGTGTTAGCTGGGATGGTCTCAATCTCCTGACCTCGTGATCTGCCCACCTCGGCCTCCCAAAGTGCTGGGATTATAGGTAGGAACGACCACGCCCGGCTTCACAACTCTTTTCTGTCTTTCTTCTCAACAATTTCCAGGTCTGCCTGGGGTTCCCACTTCTGTATTTTTCTGGAAGAAATGGTGGATTTCTGGATCATTGATTTCCTCTTGAATAATTGAATACACTTTTGAGAACTCTCTCAAGAAGAGGATAAAATTGTCTGAAGCTATTATCAGACAATTGTTAGACTTTGACTCAGTAGATAGTAACTTGCCATGGAAAAATCAGGATGTGCTTAATACAGATCCCACTCATTGCTTTTATGGCAAATATGTATTTTAATACCACGCTAGCATCAAAGTAAATAGAAATGCAAGGACAGCACTTTATTGACAAGCTCAAACTCTTGGTTCATATTATTTATATCTTAATGGTCTAATATTACATACACTGCAGTGAAAAACAGAAAATAAATGCACACACATTTGTGTTTATGGCACTGATGTTTGTCATTGACATATCTGAGCTAGGATACACACCATTCCAGGAGGATCCCTGCTAAGTAGGAACAGTGGTCAGACTCTGGAAGAACAGTTCTATATCAGAAAATAGAGGTTATATGAAATATATAGAAAGATATATAGTCACACTGCCGATTTTAATAAATCCAAAGAAAATATACATGGGTTGCAAATATAGTGCTCTAACATTTCCTGCAATTCAGTAATTATTTCAATCCATCTCATGAAATAATCTTGGGAAAATGGTAAGTAGCCAACTAATGTGTGATAATGTTTGTTGTTGTTGTTTGTTTGTTTTGAGACCAAGTCTCACTCATGTTGCCCAGGCTGGAGTGCAATGGCACAACCTCGGCTCACTGCAACCTCCACCCCCTGGGTACAAGCAATTCTCCTGCCTCAGCCTCTGGGGTAGCTGGGATTAGAGGTACCTGACACCACGTCCCACCAATTTTTGTATTTTTAGTACAGATGGGGGTTTCACCATGTTGGCCAGGCTGGTCTCAAATTCCTGACCTCAGGTGATCCACCTGCCTCAGCCTCCCAAAGTGCTGGGATTATAGGCACGAGCCACCGCACCCGGCATGTATGATAACTTTATTTTTGAGATATTATTAATTAACTATTCTGTTAATTCTTTTGTCTAAAATTATAAAGTATGTATCTGCTATCCACCAGGCATTAGGGATCGATACAGCAGAAACAGAACAGAAAAGCCTATTCATGGGTTCATTGATCTTATGCTCTGGTGAGATGATAAAGTCAATTGAAGGTACAAATAAGTAATATATCAGAGGATTGTTAAGTGCTATGAAGTACAATAAAAAATTAAGCTGTGTAAGTCAGAGTAGTGAATTCTTAGTGCTATTTGCCCACAATTTGGTTGAAGAAAAAATTAAATAAGTCCTTTATGAAACCTGTGACCAGTGTCATGATGGAGAGGTGACGGGGGCCAATGGAAAGCACTACAAAGAGAAACACACAATATTAAGTGGAGACCCAAAAAATAAATTCAATGTATTTAGCAGAGGAAATACCACTTTTGAAATATCATCTAAGGCAGGAGGGAGCTTGTGGTGAGAGACTGAACTTTTAGGCAGAGGCTGATTATATTTAATGATCTGGTGAGGCACCCTGTTGGCTTTGTTCCATTTGTGATTGCCTCCAGGTGATGGGCATCAGAGGGAACCCTGGAATGGAGCCATGTATTTGGAGATGGCAATGAAGGTACTGGACTAGATGAAACACCTCCCAGGGAGAGGACCATGCGTGAGAAAAGAAAAGGGACTGGGCAGGCTTTAGCTAACTTTATCATTTGTGGCACACAGAGGAAGAAGTCTACGCAAAGAAGGCTGATAAAGGGCCGCAGAGTAAGGAGAGAACCCTGAGAATACTTCATGAGAAGTATTTCATGAGAGTACTTCTAGAAAGAGCTGTCAGCATGGCCCAATGCTTCCTGGAGGTTAAATAAGAAACAGGCTGACAAATATCTATTTACCCAAAAGAGGTCTTTGGTGACTGCTATAGTCTCAACGTTTGTCTCCCCGCAAAGTTTATATGTTGAAATGCTAACCCCTTAGGTGATGTTATTAGAAAGTGGGGTCTGGTGGGCACGGTGGCTTACGCCTGTAATCCCAGCACTTTGGGAAGCTGAGGTGGGCAGATCAGGGGGTCAAGAGATCGAGATCATCCTGGCCAACATGGTGAAACCCCATCACTACTAAAAATACAAAAATTAGCTGGGCATGGTGGTGCATGCCTGTAGTCCCAGCTACTTGGGAGGCTGAGGCAGGAGAATCGCTTGAACCCAGGAGGCGGAGGTTGCAGTGACCCAAGATCATGCCACTGCACTGCAGCCTGGGTGACAGAGCGAGACTCCATCTCAAAAAAAAAAAGAAAAGGAAAGTAGGGTCTATGGGAGGTGATTGGGTCGTGAGGGTGGAGCCCTCATGAATGGGTTTGGTGCCCTGTCTATTGAAGAGACCCCAGAAAGGTCATTGGCCCCTTCTACCATGTGAGGGCACAGCAAGAAGGTATAATCTGTGAACCAGAAAGCAGGCCCTCGCTAGACAACAAATCTACTGTACCTTGATCTTATACTTTCCAGCCTCCAGAATGGTGAGTAACACATTTCTGCTGTTTCTAAACCACCCAGTCTATGGTATTTTGCTGTAGCAGCCTGAATGGGCTAGGACAGTGACCTTACAGGAGAGCCAATTTGATTGAGAAGTCGAGTGGAGGTCAGATTGCTGTATAGAAAGAAGTAGCTGGTTAGAAGGTTAGAAGATGAAGCGGAGATCAGGCTCTCAAGAAGTTACCGTGAAACTGATGGACAGGGAAGGCATTTAGCTATGTGGGCATGAAGGACAGGAGGTCAGGGAGCATAGCCTGCCCTCTTAGTATTTTTAAACACTGTACATCATCCTTCCTACATCTGCCAGACCTGTAGGACATAAGTTCTCCCTAATTACCAACCTTATATTGAATTAAGAATCATGAAAAGATCTAAGCTGCAGCTGTCGCTAAATGAAATTGCCTTCTCTGGTACTATGCAAGGTGCTAGAAGAGAGATTCTCACCTGGGCAGTCTACCAGCCTCTTGAATGAAACTGTCCTTTTAATTCTGGCAATCCCATGCTGCTGGTGCCTGGTTTTCTTATGTATGAAATAAGAAGGCTTGATGAGTTGATTGATTAGTTTTCTTTTAGCCTCAAAACTCTATGCAGATATCACTATTTTATAACAGTTTGACTGCATCAATACAAAATAATTCAGTTTCCTCAGAACATAAATTAGAACTCATTATTTATATTTCAGAAATGCTTTAAGAAATGCTCTTTCAGATAACTTGAAAAAGGCATTAATTGTGTGTGTGTGTGCACGCGTGTGCGTGTGTGTGTCTGTGTGTTTTAGGGAGATTGGAAGTAGGAGGAATAAAGAAAGACCAACTTAAAATATTAAGAGACACTACCCATTGAAACATAATTTAGGAGAAAATAAGGTATTAAACTAAGTTAACTAGAAAATATTCCAGTTTACATAATTTTATTAACACACACCTATGTGAAGATATATTATCCTTGCATCATGTGAAATACGTGTCAATTCACACAAGTTTCTCAAAATAATTACATGGATCTTTGCCATGAAAAAAGTCATATATAACAATTTAGCTTACTCTTTTGATAAGATAAAAAAGCACAGTCTCTGAAGTACATTAATAAGATAATAATTTGAACTGTAATTTCTCATTCAAAATTTGTGGCTGTTTTGGCATTCTGAATGTTCAGCATAGATATTTAAGTAGTTATTAAGATTTTATCATGACAAGTGTTTGCAACATAGACAAAAAAACTATTAGTGTCATGCAGAACTTCAGGTTACAGAACTTGGTATTCCAGACGTGTTTTGATGGTTTAAAGTACTTTTATCTGAATGCTGTAGGGCAGTCTTTTAGAAGCATTATTGTTCTATTGACAGTGGTCCTAGAGAAATGGCCAGTCTATTCAAGAATTTCACAGGGTTCTGAGAAGTACCACCTTTCAACCTGAGAGTGCCCATAGTAGAAATGAATTGCCTTATACAAGGTATGTGTAAATAACAGACACGTTTGACTAGCAATCCTAGATTTTTGAGATCTGGGGATATAATTTAAAAGGAGAAATAAAAACAGTCCGATCAGGTATTATAACTTGAGATTTTTGAATTTTTCTATCCAGGCACTATCTTTGGATAATAAGCCCTAACTCTGAATTCCAGGCTAACTTTTGGACAGTGAAACATATCCAGTTGGATTCATTTCCACTTAGTTTCTCTAAGTCTTAAAGAACTTTTCACCAAGAGTTTATGACTTGTTTTTATAAAATATAAAATGGATATAGTTAAAGGGTTCTAGATGTGTGTTTGTTTATTTTAAACTACAGCTTCTTTGTTTCTTTTTAAAATTATTTATTATTTTTATTTTTAGTAGTTGTGGGATCTCATTATGTTGCCCAGGCTGGTTTCTAACTCCTGGCCTCAAGCAGTCCTCCCATCTTACTCTGTTTCTTATTTGGTTATTTTGATTGATGTCTAATGGGCTGTTTTCATCACCAAGATGTTGCAGAACTTTTTCCTTAGTTCAGCTAAAACTGGGCTCTTGTCACACAACCAGGAAAGATTAGGCTTGCAGACACATAGAAGGGTGAGGAAAATGGAATTTACTGGATGAAAAGGAAAAAGAAAATATAATTCTCAGCAAAATGAGAGAGAGTCCTGCTAGCAGGTTTCCCACCTCACAGATTGAATCCCAGGTCACCACACAGGAACAGGAGAGCCCAGGCTCCTCCCGGCACAAAGGGCACAAATTTTGCATGGCTCCACTCCGTCCTCCAGCGCGTGGGTGGGCATTATTCAGAAAGAGTCAGTTGGGTGGTCAGACGTGGTGGCTTGTGCCTGTAATCCCAATACTTTGGGAGGCTGAGGCAGGTAGATCACTTGAGGTCAGGAGTTCGAGACCAGCCTGACCAATATGGTGAAACGCTGTCTCTACTAAAAATACAATAATTATCTGAGCATGGTGGCACGCACCTGTAGTCCCAGCAACTCAGGAGGCTGAGACAGGAGAATCGCTTGAACCCGGGAGGTGGAGGTGGCAGTGAGCCGAGATCGTGCCAGTGCACTCCAACCTGGGAGAGAGACTCCATCTCACACACACACAAAAACAACAACAACAACAACAACAACAACAACAAACTCGGGAAGGGTAGGCTTCATCCAGAACCAGCAGTCTGGTTTTTCAGCCTTCAGGTTGTTTTAGGCTTGAAGGCAGGGTTTCACCTAGGACCCTTTACTCTCTCCTGTCTCTATTAAAGAGAAATCCTGAATTACTATTAAACACACTATTCTGTGTACCGCCACATTCAGTTAAGTGAGAATAGACACTGTGCTTACTTCTCAAGGTTCCTGAGAGAATAAATATAATAAAATCAGGACCTGTCATATAAGAAGCCTTGGGCAAATGTTAGCTACTTGTAATGCGTAGGCTTTTATAATTATTTCTTCTTTTGCTTGTGATTTTTCTAAGCTTTGTTTTGTTTTTCAAAGATGTATTGGTTGTTTCTTTTCTTTTTGGCATCACCAGTTGCAGATGACTAGTGGGGTCATGTTACTGTGGTCACATAGCCCTTTCCTCAGAACACTGTAGATATCTCTCCATTGTCATCTAGCATTAAGTAAATATTAATATAATGAGTTGTGAGAGCAGCCTGATTTTTTTTCTCTTTAGATGATTTGTTCCATGATTAGCAATTTTTGTTTTGCCAGTCTTGAATTGCAATAAGTTAGCTACATTATGTTACAGTATTAATCTTCCTGTTAGAGAAAGATTTGGTTCTTCTAATTCAACTCAAGGAAATTTTCTTGCTTTTTGTCTTTGAAAATTTTTTCTTCTCTGTTAGTTTTGTTCTTTGTTTCATAGACTTGAATTATCCTAACATCAGATCAATTTTGGTGTTTTGGAGTTCTTTTCATTTTCTTCTGGTTAGTTAAATTTCTGTCCTTTTCTTTTACTATTATCATAATAGGCCTCTCTGTATGTCATTGATTCAGTTTTCAGGATTGTTTAGTTTGCTCTTTGCAATTTTTAATTTTGGTTTCAGTTTGTTTTCTTAGCTCTTTATTGCCCCTTAAATACTGTTTTGTTAATTGTTTGGCCTTTGAGCACGCCTTTAAAAAAATATGTGTTCATTCTCATTAAAGTGTTTTCTGGATTGAAATATTATCAGGAATTCATTTCTGTTCCTCAGGTTAGGTTTTCTTCTATAAACCCAGAAAATTTGAGACAGGTCTCAGTTAATTTAGAAAATTTATTTTGCCAAGGTTGAGGATACATACCCGTGACACAGCCTCAGGAAGTCCTGACAATATGTACCCAAGGTAGTTGGGGGACAACTTGGTTTTATATATTTTAGGGAGACATGAGACATCAATCAATATATGTAAGAACTACATTGGTTCCGTCAAGAAAGGCGGGGACAACTCGAAGCAGGGAGTGGGGCTCCCAGGTCACAGGTACGTGAGAGACAAATGGTTGCATTCTTTGGAGTTTCTGATAAGCCTTTCCAAAGGAGGCAATCAGAATACACATCTATCTCAGGGAGCAGAAGGATGACTTTGAAGAGAGTGGGAGGCAGGTTTGCATTGAGCAGTTTCCAGCTCGAATTCTCCTTTTATCTGTATGATTTTGGGGGCCCAAGATATTTTCCTTTCACACTTCTATACCAAGCTCCTAGGAACCACTTTACGTTTTTGCATTTTTATGCTGTTTCTCTCACCTGCCTTTATGGCTGTGCTGCTTCTGTTTTGCAGTCATGCTGGCTCTTTTTCATCAGACTCAGGCTGGGGCAGCTCTGTCCAAGGTGAATGCTATGGGTCTGGCTGGTGACCACTAACTCATTTAATTCTTTTCCCTCCATCTTTCAGCATCAAGACCAGATACTGCAAGTTGTAGACACTTTCGAGTGGCCGGAAGGAATGAGAGTGGAGTGCGGGAGAGGCTCTCCTCTCCTTTCTAGTGAAATGTTGTTAAACGTCCTGGACCAGAGTTTACAGAAACCACCACAATGGGTTTCCTAGGGCCATGAAATGGATCCTTGGACTTTGCACACTCCCTAAAAGTCAGACCCTTTCATAACAATCATATCCACTACGCTGAACTCCAATCAAAAAAATCTACCTTCTTTCCAGAATTGAGGGATGGGTAAGGATTCTTGGGGTTTTGTGTCTACCTCAATGTGCACCTGTGCACCTGAGGTGTCCGGAGACAGAGTCTGGGGTAGGACTGACAGCAAGGCATGCCAGAATATTCTACATTATTACATTACATTAAACAATGGCATGTTTTTTCCCCCTTTCTATATGTATTTGCTGCTGCGATTTGCTTCCTCTTTGTTGATTTTTCTTACTTGGGTCATTTTATTAGGGACTGGGTGCCACGCAGGCAACAGCTTGGTCTTCAGCTTCAGCAGGAATGCGAGGGATGGCTGTGCTGGGCATCATCTGCCCACCCCCTGCATCTTCTCCACCCTTTCCCACCGGCTCTTGGCTCCAGTTATCTAGTGCTGCATAACAATCCCCCCAAAACTCAGTTGTATAAAATAACCATTTTATTTTTCCTCATGATGTTCTGGGCTGGACATTCACACAGGTCACAGTGGGATTGGCTAGTCTCCTGAGCTTCCTATAGGGCAACTCTAATGGCTGGACAGGGCTGGGATGCTTGACTGTGGCCTTGTGCCCGGTACAGGACTAGGTTCCTTTAGTACTCTCCATCTGTCACCTGCTGGAGTTGGAATGTTGGAGACAGCTTTCACTGGCTTCTGCACTCTTCACTGAAGAGGGTGGTTGGGCTGGGAGGACAAGGACAGCTGGGGTCTGGTCAGGCATCTGTCTCTCCATGCAGCCTCTCCAATGCTCATGCCTTGGCAGCCCAGGAATGGCAGCCTCCACGGCCCTACTTCTTACCCTGTAGCTGGCTTTTCCCAGAGTGAGTGGCTCAGAACAGGGGGTGGAAGCTGCTGATCTCTTATGGCCTCAAACTGGAAACCTGCACTGTGTCACTTCTGTTTGGTCAAAGTCACACAGACACAATCATCAATCCAACACACTCCCCTTAAATTCAGGAAGATATACTTAATGAAATGGAGAGAGGTCCAAGACATGGCTGGAGATGACATCCACTTTTTCCACTCCAGGTGCCCTATTATCTCAAAATGATTCAAAGTTCAATACTTTTTAAAATGCTGCACATATTGAGACATACAAAAGACAGTAGTGTAGGTGAATTGCTCAGATGTTGGATTATTTGGGCTAGAAGTGGTCTGAAGAGCATATGCTGTAGCCCCATTATTTCAGAAATAAGTGAGCCACATTCATCTAACTCTCGCTATGTTTAAAGTCTTGGCAAGATTCGCTGGTATTTCCATTACTTACAATAGTATCAAAAAGAGAAGCTCCATTCAGAATGTGTTCCATGAAAGAACCACTGCATTGTGATGCTCAAAGGCGTCTCTGGATGATGCTTATTTTATTCTTCAGCAGTTGACTTCTCAAGTGTACAAAAGGATAAAAGTCCTAATAATAGTGTATACCCTAGAAAATATATTTTCCAAAGGATGGCAAGAAGTTGTAAAAATTAGCTGTCTGTTACAGGAGGATCTTCATTTTTATCTGGAGTGGTCCATGTAACTAAAGCATCAGCGGAGTACTTTTTGTAGCACCTGCAAAAGTGGAAGTTTAGTGTGTACCATGGACTTTAGACTCTGCTGCACGCATTTTGTTTGTTCTTTTATTTATTATGAAAGATTATGTCTTCCTCTTTTCCTTTCTTTCCTCTTTTTTAAAGTTTGGACTGAATTGTATTTATTTGTTTGTTCTTTAACTAGTTTTTCTTTTTTAACTTGAGAAATAATAAGTGAATATAATAAAAGGAAAATGCCATTGTTAAAGATAGTTGCCCTGTAACAAAATAATTTTTTCACTCCCCAGAGGCAACTATAGTTGCCAATTTCTTGTGGGTCCTTTAAAAAAATGCTGTTTCTGATTGGTATCCAGACACTAGACATGTGTGTGTGCATACAAATGTGTGAGTGTGCACCTCCAATTCCTTTTCTAAAAATTTGGGGACTAGATAGAACAAAACACACAAATTGTGTACATTACTTTTTAAAATCCTAATATTTGTTGGATAAACTGCTGTGATCACTGTAGAAGCAGGAGGATTCCCACACAAAATTTGGTTCAAATATTGACATTGATGACACCATCACACCCTAGGCCAGGAGCATGTGAAAAGGTTTATCACTTAGATAACTGCTTTCTGGGGAGAACAATGCAGACCTCTCAAGCAGATCCTGGCCTGAGAGAGCCAGGAAAGGACATTGGCCTCAAAAATTAAATTATCTTTTTCTTAATGATTTAAAAAATGTATTCTGAGCATTAGTCTTTTGCCACCTACATATAATATGTATCACAAATCTCTTCTACTCTGCAGCAAGCCATTCCTTTTTTATGAGATATTTTGGTAAATAATGCTTGATTTTAACGATTCTAATTGATCAATCTTTTCCATTATGTTTATCTTGTTTGAGAAATATTGCCTTATCATAAGACCATATGTTATTTTTTGAAATGTTGTTAATTTGTTTTTCACATTTAGACCTATAATCTATGAAGACTTAATTTCTCTGTATCCTGTGAAACAGAGTGACCATTTTTATTTTTTCTCTATTTATATTCAATTTACTTGGTACTTTTTTTTAAAGAACCATACTTTCCCCTGTCCCATGGTGTTACCACTGTCCAAAATCAAGTGTCTTTTTATGCTTGGGCCTGTTAATAAACGTTCTATTGTGTTCCATTGGACTATTTATCTATCCTTGTCCCCACACTACACTGCCTTGTCAAAAGACAAAATGCAACAGATTTAGTTTAAGAATTGAACTGGCTTTTGTTAGTGAATCTAGAATGGGACAACATCTCATTTTACCAAACAAAATGAATGCTCTGATGAGCTGAGCAGAGAAGTCTGGCTTTATTGGCAATAAGAAGAAAGCTGAAACAGGAAACGAGATGGGATTCGTCTTTTCAAAGTTACGTTCTCTGTAGGGTTAAACAAGGGGGACTTCTTGATTATGCTGGCTCAGGTAAACTGGGCCCCTTTTGACAGGTGAATCTCCCATTTCTCGGAAAACTGGCCCATTTCAAAGTTCAGTTTGATCATGTGGTACCTAGACTTGTGACTCCATTCTGATTTGGTCTGATCAGCTGGGGCCTAGTGGAGGAGTTCAGTCCAAAACAACTGCTTCCCATGAATTCTATTTAACAGTCTTTACAATATCTCATATCTGATCGTATAAGTCCTCAAACTCTGTTTTTCTTATTAAGATTATTTAGGTCATTTCTGGCTTCATATTTCTGTATGGGTTTTTAAAATGAGCTTGCTAATTTTTGCAAAAAACGAAAAATGTAAACAAAACAAATCAGGGAAGATCTGCACAGGACCAACACTGATTCCTTAGTCTCAGTACAGGGAGAGCTGACATTGCTACAGAGTTGAGTCTTTTAACCCTTAAGTACTATATATTCTTCTATTGGTTTAGGCCTTGCTTAATTATTCTCAATAATTTTTTTTAGTTTTTTTGTGTAAAATTCTCGTGATTTTGAGAGTGTTTTATGCTTAGGTATTTGATTTATTTTATTTGTTATTGTAACAAGTAGAATTTTAAAGCAGCATTTTCTTATTTCCTCCTGTTGGCATGTAGCAATACAATTTAGTTTTGTATAATAAATTTGTATCTAGAGACTTTGTTAATTTCAATGATTAACATGCTAAATTTATTTGTGGATTCTTTTGGATGTTTTCCTTGCACAATCATGTCATCCTTTCTCAGAATGAGGACATTCCTATCTGTTACATGTGAGCTGAGAGTTTTAATCATAGTGAAGGGTTTGTAAACCAACCAACCAAACAAACAAAAAGAGACTGAGGCCAAGTCTCAACTGGTTTTGAGGTTTATTTTGCCAAAGTTGAGGACACACTTAGGAAAAAAGAAACACAAGTTACGGTTGGTTTTGTGACTTGTGATTCTTCCAAAGAGGGTTTTGAGGACTTCAGTATTTAAAGGGGGAAAGAGTGAGCAGGTGGGAAAAGACAAAAGGCAAAAAGAGAGTAAGAGTATAGGCAATGAGGAAGTGGTTACATTCTTGTTAGGCTTTTGTTAGCACTCACTGAATCCACATTTTACTTATGGAAGGAGGGGATAGAGCAAGCTTGTACAACCCACAGCCTGTGGGATGCGTGTGGCCCAGGACAGCTTTCAATGTGACCCAACACAACTCTGCAAACTTTCCTAAAACATTTGTGAGATTTGTTTGTGATTTTTGTTTTTTTGTTTTTGTTTTTGTTTTTAGCTCATCAGCTATTGTTAGTGTTAGTGTATTTTATGTGTGGCCCAAGACAATTCTTCTTCTTCTTCCAATGTGGCCCAAGAAAGTCAAAAGATTGGATATCCCTGGGGTAGAGGAACAGTCTACTATGCATTCCTCCAGTGCTTGGTAACTCTACATTTCACATAAGATAAAGTAAGCATATGAAGTTACAGCTATCTTTCTGAGAACAAAAGGAAGGCAGTTTTTGTGTGGCTCAGTCCCCAACCTTAACATTCCCTTCGGTGTAGTGAGTTGGGAGTCCTGAGATTTTATTTTCCTTTCACAGGTTGGATTTTAATTCTTTTCCAGCATTTTTAGGATTATGTGATTTTTCCCCTTTATTCTGTTACTATCGTGATTTTATTTATTTATTTATTTTTGAGACAGAGTCTTCCTCTTGGTGCCCAGGCTGGATGCAATGGCGCTATCTTGGCTCACCACAACCTCCACCTCCCGTGTTCAAATGAGTCTCCTGTCCCAGACTCCCGAGTAGCTAGGATTACAGGCCTGCACCACCAGGCCTGGCTACTTTGGTATTTTTTTTTTTTAGTAGAGACGGGGTTTCTCCATGTTGCTATGTTGCTCAGGCTGGTCTCGAACTCCCAACCTCAGGTGATCCACCCTCCTCGACCTCCCAAAGTGCTGAGATTATAGGCTGAGCCACCACGCCTGGCCTATAGTGATTTATATTGATTAATTTTCTAATATTAAACTGACATTGCACTGCTGAAATAAACAAAACTTTGTTATGATCTAGTATCATTTTATGCATCTCTTTATTTTGTTTGCTACCATTTTACTTGGAATATTTGTATCTATGTTCACGAGAATGATTGGTCTACATTTTCCTTCCTTTTAATGATACATACATATTTTGATCATCAGATTATATTGTTCTTATTATTTAGTGGAGAACCCCCTTTTGCTATACTCTGAAAGTATATGTGTAAGGTTTATGTTATTTCTTCATTAAGTGTTTTTTTTTTTCCTCAAGGCAGGGTCTCAAAATAATTATCTGCTGAAGCCATCTGGTGTGGAAGTTTTCTCTGTGGAAAGAATTTTAATAATGGGTTTCTTTAATAGTTACAGGACTACTAGCACTTTTGACTTATTGTCACTTATGTTTGGGTTAGTTGTGTTTTTCTAGAAATTTGTCTAAAATTATTGCCATGAAAGTTTTATAAGGATCTCTGATTATCATTTCTGTCTGTATTTGTAGCTTTGTTCCCTCTTTCACCCTGAAGTATTTATTTATTCTTTCTTTGCTGTAATCAACATTGCCAGTCATTTATCAATTTTTTAATCTTCTGAAGAGCCATCTTTGTCCGTCTCTATTAAGTATTTTTTCTTATTTTGTAATATTCTGCTCTTGTTTCAACAATTCATTCTTTTTACTTTATTGGAGTTTAATTTGCAATTACTTTCTACTTTCTCAGCCCTTACTGATTTTCCAACCTTTCTTCTTTTCTAATATGCACTTTTAAAGCTACACATTTTTCTCTAGACACAGCTTTAGAAAAATTTCATGTTTGATCTATTGGATCTTCATTATTATGAAGCCATTGTGATTCTTTTGACTCATAGACTATATCCAATGTCATTGCTTAATATTTCCACATTTAGAGATTCTCCAGTTTTCTTTTTATCATTGACTTCCAGCTTCATTGTGATCACAGAATCATACTTGGTATAATTTCAGACCTTTGAAATTTATTGACTTTTATGGCAGATCATATAGTCAGTTTTGACAAATATTTAATGGACATTTAACAAGAATTAACATCCTTTGTGTGTGTGTGTGTGTATGTGTTTCTTTTCTTTTTTTCTTTTCTTTTTTCTTTTTTTTTTTTTGACACGGTGTCTTGCTCTGTCACCCAAGCTGGAGTGCAGTGATGTGATCATAGCTCATTGAAGCCTTGAGCTCCTGGACTCAAGCCACCCTCCCTTCTCAGCCTCTCAAGTAGATGGGACTACATGTGAGCACCACCATGTCTGGCTAATTTTTAAATTTTTTTGTAAAGATGAGGTGTTTCTATGTTGCCCATGCTGGACTGGAACTCCTGGAGTAAACCGATCCTCCCTTTTATTTGTTCCAATACTTACAGCTTTTCTGTCTCCTTCTTAAGGCTTCTCAAAGTGCTGGGACTATAGGTGTGAACCACCCCACCTGGCCTAGAATGAATATTTTATGTAATGGCTTATTTCCATCCTTTGCTTTCTTTCCTTGATTTTGGAGGCTGGTTGCCCTTCCCACTCTTTATACTCTTTTGGTTGAAATTTTTGAGATAATTGTTAATTCATATGTAGCTATAAGAAATAAAACAGAGATTTCTTGTACTGTCTGCTCGGTTTTCCCAAACGATGACATTTTGCAAAGCAGGAGTATGTCACAACCAGGAATGACATGAGTGTGGTGCTACTCCCCCTGCCATTATCCACAGGCAGACCTGCTGTCTCTGGGCAATGGAGGAGAGTCTCAAGGCCAGTGGGGACAGAGCAGCTTCCCCAGTCACGCACCTTGCTATGGCTGTGCCCCTCCTCCTGATTTCACCTGCCTTCCCAGTTATCTTTCTTCAGAAAAGGGAGTTTCAGGCCCAGATTGGGAGGAACATGTCTCCACTGGGCATGTATTTCTGGTGGGTCCCCAAACCACTCCACTTGCCAGTGGTGTCTGATGGAGTCTTCTTCCATTGGTGTAGGAATAAGCCTGCTCAGATGGCCTCTGCTGTACGTGGGAGTTGGCCTTCTTCTTTTAGAAGATGCTTATGCTGTTGGGCCAGTCCTGGAGTCCCCAACCAGTCTGCTGTCCTGTTTCTCCCTTTCAGAGTCCTGCCGTGCTTGTCTGGTGCCATTTCCAGGGTCTACGGTTGTGCATTGCAAGGAGCAGGGGGAGAAACCAGTCTGTACCATCTTGTCTGGACCAGAAGTCTCTGATTTTTAAAAAATATATTGTCTGGATTACTAGTTGTTTTCAAAAAGTCAGAGAGGAATAAAACTAGAAAGCCAAAAACAGAAGAAAAATGGGAAAATCCACAAGTATGTAAAAATTAAAAAGCATACTTTTAAACAACAAATGAGTCAAAGGAGAAATCGTAAGAGAAATTAGAAAATATCTTGAGATAAATAAAAATGAAATGACAACATGACAAAACTCACGGAATGCAGCAAAAGCAGTACTAAGGGGGTAATTTATCACCATAAATGCTTACATTTAAAAAAAGGTGTTAAATCAACAACTTTAAAATGTAAGGAATTAGAACAAGAAGGACTAACAGGGGCTGGGTGCGGTGGCTCACGCCTGTAATCCTAGCATTTTGGGAGTCCGAGGCAGGTGGATCACTTGAGGTTCGAGACCAGCCTGGCCAATACGGCGAAACCCCGTCTCTACTAAAAATACAAAAAAATTAGCCGGGCGTGGTGGCGTGTACCTGTAATCCCAGTTACTCGGGAGGCTGAAGCAGGAGAATCACTTGAACCAGGAGGTGGAGGTTGCAGTGAGCCAAGATCGCTGCCACTGCACTCCAGCCTGGGTGACAGAGTGAGACTCCATCTCAAAACAAAAACAAAAAAACAAAAACAAAACAAAAAAACAAACAAAAAACAGAGGAGAGAAAAACAATAAAGAAAATAAGTGAAACCAAGGGTTGGCTCTTTGAAAAGGTCAACAAAATTGACAAATTTTTAGCTTAAGAAAAAAAAAGAAAGAAGACTATTTAAATTCTAAAAGGCAAGACTTTCATGGCTTAAGATGCTCTGTGGAGTCACTCCTGATCCGTTCCTATGTTATCCTTTCCTTTATTATCGCTCTTTGCTACATTCCCTGTTTATACCTGGTCTTCCGCAGAGCCCCACTTCAGTCTGTCCCAGCAGCTTACCAGAGGGTTCTCTCAGCACAGGCACTCTCAGTACTCAAATCTGCATTATTCAAACACGCTTCAGGAAAAAAAAAAAAAATGCATTGTATCTAGAAACCAGAGTCTGAAGCTGTGAAGGCAAATGAAGCCATGGAGGATCTTTAAAAGGATCTGGGAGTAGAGGCCCAGGGCACGGTATGAGCCGTTCTGTACAGGGCTGCCTGAAACCCAACCCTCTGCAGAAAGGAGCCTCCAAGGTTCTGCTGCTGCCCCTTAGCCTTGATAAATTTCAGATGGCTGAGCATAAACAACCAGGGATGCCCCAGGCCACATTTTGCCTTTATATTTTTTCTTGGGGGAAAGCTTGTTTTAAAGGCACTGTTACATTTCTTTAGTCCTTTCCCTGTAATATTGAGCTATTATTAAAATATCCCCAAATCTTGATAAATTTTTTAAAATGTAAGATGAAGGGTTTTTTTGCCCTTCACCATTAATGATTCTATAAAATTGAATTGCAGAGCAAACTGATTTTGAACCTCCCAGACTTGATGTACATGTTAATGTTCAGCTAACTCAGCGTTTCCCGAGATACCACCGGAATTGAGAAGCTGCCGCTGACCGACATTTCTGCTGCTCACCACGTCCCTTTGCCTCATTAAGAACGGCCTGGGAGACCCAGGGGAGTTCTGAAGCATAGGGTCGCAACTGAGTTGGACTTCAATTCATGTAATTGCTTTACCCTTTGGTGGTTGATTTAAAATTTTATACAAATGGTAAATAGTAGCCCTGAATTCCCTCAAATGACATTTTTTTGAGTACTGTTCTAAGCATATCTCTTATGTGTAAATAATGCTAAAGCTCTCAGCCTTTGATTCTATTAATACGGGATATACTTGTGGACAAAAATGAATGTGCGGTTTGTTTCAAGATGGTGGAGGCAGCGGGAGGTAGGGTTTAGGCAATTAAAAATGCCAGGGAAGGCTGGATGTGTTGGCTTACACCTGTGATTACGGCACTTACGGAGGCCGAGGTGAGTAAATCATTTGAGGTCAGGAGTTCGAGACCAGCCTGGCCAACATGGTAAAATCCCATCTCCACTAAAAATACAAATATTAGCCGAGTGTGGTGGCAGGTGCCTGTAATCCCAGTTACTCAGAAGGCTGAGGCATGAGAATCACTTGAACCCGGGAGGCAGAGGTTTCAGTGAGCTGAAATGGCGCCACTGCACTCCAGCCTGGTAGACAGAGCAAGACTTTGTCAAAAAAAAAAAAAAAAAAAAAGCCACTAAGGAAGTTTGTCAAAAAGTCCCTCACTTCCTTTCAAAATCTACTCTTGTAATTTTTGTAAGAAAAGTTCCATCTCATATAAACTAGGTGTTTTCGTCTTTAAACCTACCATTATTCCTCTGAACTTTTAATATTGAAGCAGCTGGCAGAGCTCTAAAGTACTTTTGATTATTTAATGCAAATTTTTGCAAGAAACCCCAGCAGGCTCTCCATTTTAGTGGAACACAATTCTTTCAAATTATTGCTGAAGCTGCTCACATTTAAACTAAATGTGCATAAAATTTAAGCAAACGCCACATTAAAGTGTAACTGCACATTGTCAATCAGGGCAAGGTAATCACACTGCTTGGGGAAGGGTGATGGGGTGGGCCTTGGGGAGGGACTAGGCACAGGCCCTGGGAGGATTAGTTGCTGAATATACTCAGCAGGTGTGGGCTGGGAAGAAGTCCAGTTGTTGGAACTCAAGATGAGCCCAAAACTGCATACTGGGGGAGGAGTGTGTCCTTATTGGTCACAGATCTCCTTTGGGGACCAAAATAGGCTTCAAGTGCTCTGCCCTTGTCTTCTGGGCATTCAGTTCTCAGCACCTGGGGCTCCTAGTGAGAGCTTTGTTTTGCTGACTGATCCCCCTCCAACCCATCCACAGCAAGCTGGAAATGCCCTCCAATAGTGCAGGGCAGGAACTGTATCTTGCTAGCTCCTGGCTGGGATCAGTCTTACAGGTGCTCCACAGCCCCCACAGCCCTAAAATGTAACTTTCTCATTAACTGCCCCCCGCAAGTCTGGGCTTCCTACTCTGCCCACCTCTCAGACCTTCCTGGGCTCATCTCTCAAATACGGTCCCTTGAAAACAATTATTCCCAACCCTTGTTGGAGATGGTAAGACAGACTTGATCCAAGCAGGCCACAGCGATGGGGAACACAGCAACAGGGTTGTGCAGTGGAGGAGAGATTGGACTCAACTCCAACTTCAACAAAGACAAGGGGGCTTTTAGCCAAGCAGCAGGGTGGGGTCAAGGGGTGGGAAGTGATGTAGAAAAACACCAAGAGTAAGAAGTAAGAAGTAAGAATCCCACCGACTCAATGGGATTCTTGCTGAAGGCAGGCCAGGGTGATCAGGTACAAACAGTGTAGTGAGATACTAAGGGTGAGGTGTCTTTATTGAACTGACTTCGCAGGATTCCTGATCAAACTGGATTCAACAAGACAGAGAGGGAAGCCCAAGGTCAAGTCTCTTGGAAAGAACTCACAAGGTTGACTCAAGTTCTGGTCAAAGGAAAGAGTGTTTGCCAAGTCACCTGCGCTTGCCATGAAAGCTCAAATTTGTGCCAGTGGGACTGATGTACAGTCATGCATCGCTTGACGATGCAGACACGTTCTGAGACATGTGTCGTTAGGTGATTTCATCATTGTGTGACCACTGCAGAATGCACTTACACAAACCTAGATGGTGTAGCCTCCTACACAAGTAGGCTACATGATGTAGCCTCCTACACAAGTAGGCTACATGATGTAGCCTCCTACACAAGTAGGCTACATGATGTAGCCTCTTGCTTCTAGGCTACAAACCTGCAAAGCATGTTGCTGTGCTAAACACTGCAGGCAACTGTAACACAATGGGAATATTTGTGCATCTAAATATATCTAAAGATAGATACAGTAAAAATACAGTATTATAATCTTATGGGACCACTGTCATATATATGGTCTGTCATTAACCAAAACATGACTATGAGGTACACATGCTTAGGTATGTTAGGTAACATTTAGGTAACTATGAGGTATACAACTGGGTGTAAGTGGGCTTTGAATTTGCTTTTACTATGATTTACAAGACGGATGCCAGAAACAAACACCAGCTGACTGGCACTGAACAGGAATCTAAGGTTCCTGCCTGCATTTCCAACACACCCTGGCTCCCTGAGCACTGTGCACCTCCGGCCTTGCAGCTCGGGGCCACCAGTAGCCCTTCATTACTGCTCAGTGGCTCCAGGCTGTAGTCCACACCCTCTGCCCACTCTAATTTTCCCTCTTTCCTCCTGTCCTAGTTCTATCCATCCTCTGTTCTTTCTTGCTCTCTCTTTTGTTTTCTTCCTCTGGCACACAAGACATAAGAGCAGCATAGCCACAAGCAAGGCTTAGTTAGGTCTTTTTCAAGGTGAGATGCCATGGGTACTATAACGCTTTTGTACATCTTAACTGTATAGCATGGAAAAACTGTGTTACTATTGTTATTAGCTTTCTGTCTTTTTATGTGTCACTGGCAGTCATGGAGTGTTGTGCCAATAACCCCATTTTCCCATCTGCCCTGCAGCTTTCACTTAGTGACTTTAGGAAGGCATGTGTGCATTATGGCAAAAGTGGCTTTCAACTTGGCGACTGAATTTTTGGCTCAGCCTCTTCTCAGCTAGCTTAGTATGCTCCGTTACAAGGGAAGAACTGATAGGCTAATTGGGCTAAATTATAAATGTCTGCTAAAGATTTAATGTCTTCTGTCCTCTGAAGGGTGTTTGGAGACTCCCACAGAGAACCATGGGAAAGCATAAGCAATACATTTCTGAGATTGGGAAGGATACTTGCAAATCATATATAGGAAGCATTATGTTATATAACCTCTGTACCAGGAGGAAGTCCTTTCAGATCACTTACTTGGAAGTAGATCCAATCTCTCCATGCTCCTTCTCTCCCTTTTTTAAATTTAGGTGTGCAGGAAAGCAGAAGGAAGGAAAGCCAAAAGGAGAGATTCTCCAACCACAGAACAAATCCTTAAGCCACATGGAGCAAATATCTGATAGTGAATAGTCTAGAAAGCTGTTGAGGGGAAATAAACAGAACTGAGCTAATGCTGGCTGGAAATAAGCATGAGCAGTGTGTTTCAGGGCACACTGGGAAGTCAGATTTCCTGTGGTCCTGATTGAATGGACTTATGCAGTAGTGAACCAGGAACAAGAAACTCTATGGAAAGAATAAGACTTTAAGAACTATTTTTACATGCAATTTGGAAGGAATAATACTTTGAGGACTATATTTAAATAAGTATGGCCCTTAAGGAATCACAGGTAGAGTTACCAAGACTACCTTAGAATAGGCATGGGAGCATTGATATCATGAAGTCTCCTGCACACTGTAGGGTTGCATGGACATGAACATGGCACTTCTTGGCATTCAACACAGAGGATGTGAGTAGCATAGGGATGGAAATCTCTTCTGATCATATTTAGCTCAAGTGCTTCATTTTTATGCTCAGTCCTTAGGCAGACAATATTAATCCCAGGAAAACAAAAGAGATTATATATGATTTGATTTATACATGTTAATGCTGCTTTTATCATTTTAGTAAAATGCATTTACAAGTTCTCATTTAAAAATATAGGTTCAGTCTAGTCATTCTCATTCTTTTTGATATTTTTACAGAATAGATTATTAATTATTAATGATTCCTGAGATTTTGGTGTTCAAAATGAACATAATTTATGATTCTGCCCTAACATATTTGTTTTAAGAGGACATCTCCTTGATGTGTGTGTGTGTGTGTGTGTATATATATATGTATATATATGCAAATGTATATTTGTATATGTATATGCTTTTGTTTATTTGCTCATGTGTATACCCCCCCCACACACACATATGTATTTGGTTTTTAGGCATAATTTGTTATATAAGAAGGGTTTGCTGTTTTGTTTGTTTTGTTATTCTTATTTGGTTTGCTTTTTCTTAATGAAGGACTCTGAACACAGCATGGTACAACAGAATGCCTTAGGGAATTTTAGCTCCACCAGTCTCCATCAGACCTCACCAGTCATTCCAAATAAATCATGAAGAGGAAACAGTGCAGCTGCTATGCAAATATGATGTCAAGAGAAGAATTCTCCTCTTTCACACACCCAATATGCTGCTACTGCCCCAAGACTTCGTTAGACAGAAATCCCTGAGCCATTGATTGCATCTGCAAACGATGTAATAATATTATTTCTAAATAATATTTGAAGAGTACTTCATATTTTACAAATTGTATTCATGCATCACCTTTCTGAATTTTTACAACAGTCTTGTGAATTAGATAATATCAATGCCATTTTACAATAGACTCTGGTGACTTTGTGCTTTGATGAAAACAACACGTTTGCAGGCAGATAGTGAACTGGAATTGGATGTCATTTTGGTCACCAATCCCACTTATTTTAGGATGAATTTAGAATTCAAAGATTGGAATAATGCATGTATAAGAAGGGGATCTTTCTCAAGACCCATTTGCAAAACAGACATGAATGCTGATTATTTTGAGGGTGGAAAACAGAGGTGAACTATTACTTGTTGCAAAGTGTTAGGAATTTTATGTTTATCTGAATCCTGTTAGCCTCTGGTTAATGGGGATCCTAGTCATTTTTTCAATTTGCAATTTTTTCAGTTTGTATAGGAGTTGCCAGACTGTAAACAAAGTGAGAGTGTCTGTGCCAGTGCTGGGCTCGGCAGTGTGTGCTGCTGTCAGGTTGTAGCAGCTGGCTAAAGCTAATGTTAAAGGAGTTTCACCTTCTTCTCATAAAACCACTAGTAGCTAGGCCACGCACGGTCGCTCAGACCTGTAATCCCAGCACTTTGGGATGCAGAGGGAGGCGGAGCACAAGGTCAACAGATCGAGACCATCCTGGCCAACATGGTGAAGCCCCCATCTCTACTAAGATACAAAAAATTAGCCAGGCATTGTGGCACGCACCTGTAGTCCCAGCTACTCGGGAGGCTGAGGTAGGGGAATCGCTTGAACCCGGTAGGCGGAGGTTGCAGTGAGAGGAGATGGCGCCACGGCACTCCAGCCTGGGTGACAGGGCGAGACTCCGTATCAAATAAATGAATAAGTAAAAATAAATAAAAAATCCCTCTCTACTAAAAATACAAAACTTAGTCAAGTGCAATGGCCCACGCCTGTAATCCCAGCTACTCAGGAGGCTGAGGCAGGAGAATCGCTTGAACCCAGGAGGCGGAGGTTGCAGTGAGCAGAGATGGCGCCACTGCACTCTAGCCTGGTGACAGAGAAAGACTCCATCAAAAACAAACAAACAAACAAAGAAAAAAAAACATTAGTAGCTTGAAGTTGGCCATAGTGGGAGAAATTACATCATGAAAACTGGCAAATTCTTCAAATGAGTGCTTTTTATTTTTATTTATTGCAGAGAGCTGGCTTACCAGAGCACCGATGGACTTGGATACCTGAGATATCTGCTTGGGATCCCACACTTTCAAGGTCTCTCCTCTGGCCTTCTTCTGGTTCTGCGACTCCTTACAGCGCTGGGAGTTGGTGATGCCAACAGGACATACGCTCCCAGAGCCTACCTCTCCCAGATCACTTTAAAAGGCACCCAGGACCCCAGAATTCTCATCCTCAAAGGCATGGAGCTCAGCTCTTGGCCCTCAACAAATCTCTTCCCCATAAAGATCCTTTTGAGAGCTTAGGATGTCCCCCGGATGGTTTTGGTTGCAGATTGTGGTGGTGGAGGGAGCTATACAATTTAATCTATTGCCATTAATTGGATGCGCTAATGGCAGATTGGGTAGTGATAATGCCATAAGAGGTAGTGTGTGAGCCGTGTGCTGCATCTGTGCTAGCTCAGGTAAGTCAGCACACAGCACCTGCAGCCTCCTCTCACCTCTTCCCTGAGCAGCACCTTTTCACCTGAACATGCTGATCCCCTAGTGCTTCATCTTGACAGCAACTTAACAAGCCCTGGGCAGCTTTTTAAAATAAATGACTATGATATTGACTATGAATCTACATAAAAGCCACTTGTTTTTTAGTCATAATCTGTGTCTAACTGCAGAAGAAATTCACACCTTTGAAAAACAAATAAAAATGTAAAAAGTGAAAATTGTTTGTAACCACAATATTCTGAAATAGAACCTTTTTGTTAGATCATTTTCAAGAGGATTTTTCATACTTTCCTACAGTAATACCAATGTATATGCACTTGTATAAATTCTTGGTTAAAATATTCATAGGGTGTATGTGTCTAAATATAGAATCATACCCTATTGTACAGTTCTAGTAAATAGCTATTTTTTTGCTTTTAACTCAGAAAATATATATTTGTATTATGCTTTACGTTCTGGGATACATGTGCGGAACGTGCAGTTTTGTTGCATTGGTATATACGTGCCATGGTGGTTTGCTGCACCCACCAACCCATCATCTACATTAGGTATTTCTCCTAATGCTATCCCTCCCCTAGCCCCCACTCCCTGACAGGCCCCAGTGTGTGATGTTCCCCTCCCTGTCTGTGTCCATGTGTTTGCATTGTTGAACTCCCACTTATGAGTGAGAACATGCAGTGTTTGTACCTGTGTTAGTTTGCTGAGAATTATTGTTTCCAGCTTTGTCCATGTCCCTGCAAAGACATGAACTCATCCTTTTTTATGGCTGCACAGTATTCCATTGTGTATATGTGCTACATTTTCTTTATCGAGTCTATCATTGATGGGCATTTGGGCTGGTTCAAAGTCTTTGCTATTGTGAACAGTGCTGCAATAAACATAAAGTATGCATGTGTCTTTATAGTAGAATGATTTATAATCCTTTGGGTATATACTCAGTAATGGGATGGCTGGATCAAATGTTATTTCTGGTTCTAGATCCTTGAGGAATTGCCACCCTGTCTTCTACAATGATTGAACTAATTTACACTCCCACCAACAGTGTAAAAGCATTCCTATTTCTCCACATCCTCTCCAGCATCTGTCGTTTCCTGACTTTTTAATGATCGCCATTCTAACTGGCATGAGATGGTAGCTCATTGTGGTTTTGATTTGTGTTTTTCTAATGACCAGTGATGATGAGCTTTTTTTCATATGTTTGTTGGCTGCATAAATGTCTTCTTTTGAGAAGTGTCTGTTCATACCCTTTGCCCACTTTGTGGTGGGGTTGTTTGCTTTTTCTTGTAAATTTGTTTAAGCTCCTTGTGGATTCTGGATATTAGCCCTTTGTCAGATGGATAGATTGCAAAAATATTCTCCCATTCTGTAGGTTGCCTGTTCACTCTGATGCTAGTTTCTTTTGCTGTGCAGAAGCTCTTTAGTTTAGTTAGATTCCATTTGTCAATTTTGACTTTTGTTGCCATTGCTTTTGGTGTTTTAGACACGAAGTCTTTTCCCACGCCTATGTCCTGAATGGTATTGCCTAGGTTTTCCTCTAGGGTTTTTATGGTTTTAGGTCTTAAATTTAAGACTTTAATCGATCTTGAGTTAACTTTTGTATAAGAAGTAAGGAAGGGGTCCAGTTTCAGTTTTCTGCATATGGCTAGCCAGTTTTCCCAACACCATTTATTAAATAGGGAATCCTTTCCCCATTGCTTGTTTTTGTCAGGTTTGTCAAAGATCAGATGGTTGTAGATGTGTGGCATTATTTCTGACACCTCTACTCTGCTCCATTGGTCTATACATCTGTTGTGGTACCAGTACCATGCTATTTTGGTTACTGTAGCCTTGTAGTATAGTTTGAAGTCAGGTAGCGTGACACTTCCAGCTTTGTCCTTTTTGCTTAGGATTGTCTTGACTTGACATTCATGCAAAATATTGTATATTTAAGTTCTTTATTTGCAAAGGATACATAAATTTCATTTCAAAAGCAATACAACAAAGTGTTCCAACAAAAACAAGGTAACTTAACTTTTCCAGGATAAATGATTCATGCTTTTATTAATTTATACATTTTCTTCTGAGAGCAGCTTCACATAGTCAAGTCTCCTTTTCAAGGCACCTGTTGGTTATATTGCTATTTAACCCTCAACCACATGCTCCTTTGGAATATTTTTTATGTGATTGACATGCACTTTTACTTGACTTTAAGGAATTTTTCTTGCTTTTCTAACCAGATTGTGTCATGAGGTCAAGAAACTTGTAATATCTTATTCTATTATCTGTGGAGCTTAAAACTCTACTATGTGATGGTAGTTTTATTGGATAGGAAACATGTGAGGGTAGGGAACAGTATAAACACTCAAAAGTTTCCAAATAAATAAATGATGGGTGCTCTATAAATGAGCACCAGATATGAGCTGCCATCACAGGCTGTCTCAAATCTGGAGGTCATTTCAAAGCACAAATAGACCCAGTGCCCTTAGAGATCTCAGTATGACCAAGGGTTGTAGGAAAAAGGAATCTGTGTTTTGAAAAGTGTTTTTGGGTCACTCTCATTTACCTGTTTTTTGTTTGTTTACTTTATTTTTTATCTTATTGAGATCAATGAGCTGAGATTATCATGCGCAGTTAGACCTCAAAGGGACTTCAGGGATCCCTCAACATTTCCCAAACTGGTGAATAGTAAAAATGTCCACCTTGAATTCTCCGGTCCTTCCCTGGAGATTCTGACGTAATAAGTCCAGGGTGGGCCTGGGTCCATCTACTTAAATAAGGACTCTGGCTGCTCTGTTTATGGGGCATTTGAAGCATGTGAGGAAGCACGTCCCCAGGAGCACTGGTAGAACAGACAGAAGGCATGCATGGCAACAACAAAGGTTGCTCTGGCGTTTGCCAAGGTTTATTGTGTCACTGTAATTACAGGTTGAGCACAGCTACATTCCTCAGCACAATAAAGTTGTCGGAGCCCACTCCCGAGGCAATTGTTTCCCATTAGGGAAATGTTGGGTTTCCTTTAGTGATGAAAGGCAATAACACAACATGTAATTCCTGTAGCTGTAATATAATGCGTCCAGAACCAAAACACAACCCTCCCGGGAGCCATATCTACAGAGTGCCCAGAAAGGTGAGATGTTCTCTCAGATTGAGAGGTGACCTCTTTATCTTTTGCTGATGTGAATTGACGTCTCTACTCCCCAGAAAGCTGAAATGTGACAGTCTTTGGACCTCATTTTCTCCCTCACAACAATTAAGCAACACGTACATGCTGAGATTCACAAGGCTTCAGGCTTAGCTATGCCAAAAGAAAAAGATGGTTTTTGTCTGATTTTTTTTTTTGCTGAAATCTTTATAAGTATTGCAGATAATTCTAGTCCTAGAGGTTTTGTAAAAGTGATCTGAAATTTCTCCTTCTGAAGCTTTCAGTATTATAGATAATTATAGCTCTGCAGTGATCTGTAGAAATGATAGTGGACACACAGCATTTTCCCTGCCTCTCTCTCTCCTCTTTACGGCCTACTCTTTCTTTGGGAGCTTTAGCCTCACTCAAAAAGACTCAGGCCTATATCTTCTTATAGACTCTTACAAAATGAGTAATGAATCAACAAGTGGACATAAATTAATAGTAACTTAGGCCAGCTTAAATATAGAGAGATGCAAACTTTTATGTTAGAATCCTAGTATACCTTTGTTTTATGTTTGTAGGTAAACACGTTGTAATAAGAGGATAACAAGGGAAGTTGTTGAAGGTGGAAGGGAGAAGATAGTAGGTCTTAGGGCCTTTGTCAGTGTCATCTGCAGACAGCTGCACACACTGTAGATGTTTGCATAAACTTCTGATTTCTGATCTACATGTGCCTCGTGGGCTAGTTTCAGAAACTCATCTCTAACTGAAACCAGTTTCACAATTTCATGTTGTGTTCATGGACAAGAGACAAAATGGGAGTTGTTTGCCTCGGATTTGTGGGGAAAATCGTTTTGGAAAGATCTTTGTCAACTATTTAAAAAATTGATTTCCAGCCAGGTGCAGTGGCTCATGCCTGTAATCCCATCACTTTGGGAGGCCAAGGTGGGTGGATCACGAGGTCAGGAGATCGAGATCATCCTGGCTAACACGGTGAGACCCTGTCTCTACTAAAAATACAAAAAATTAGCTGAGCGTGGTGGCGGACGCCTGTAGTCCCAGCTACTCAGGAGGCTGAGGCAGGAGAATGGCATGAACCCAGGAGGCGGAGCTTGCAGTGAGCTGAGATCAGGCCACTGCACTCCAGCCTGGGCAACAGAGCGAGACTCTGTCTCCAGAAAAAAAAAACAAAAGAAATTGATTTCCAAGAAATTTATATTGTGATTTGACCTGGCAAGTGAGGGTCAGAAAGTGTCATTTGGAGTCTATATAAAAAATAACTTTTGCTTAAATTGTTTCCAGTCCAATCCAGTCCAGTCCAACCCAAGTGTTACTGAAAACAAAATATCTCTTTATGAAAACCTCCACAGAATACTGAGAGCAGAAGGCTACGGCAAGACTGGCGCCTGCAGCCTTGAAGGGTTGTACCCAGCAGCGGGGAAGGGGAGGCAGGGATGGTGCTGCTGACATCCATCAGCAAGCTAGCCCAGCTGTGAGGTCTTCCTTGGTCACCAGCAGGTGGCCACAGGGACTCTGGCAGTACACAGGAAATGACCCTTGGACTCCATAGCTATCAATGGGCAATCACTGCTTCAGAGAGGCTGGGAGCAGAGCCAGGGAAATACTATGGGCATCCAGGACTGCTCTGCACACCACGTTGCTGTGTCATGGAAACAGTTTTAAAATTTTGAGAAAATTAGATTTTCTATTTTGCAATAAATACCAAAAATAATTTCTGCAGGAAATAAACCTTTTTTTTTCTTCAAAATATTTACCAAGGGCCTTCTTATATGTGCCTCATATGTTTTGGGCTTAAATTAAAAAAAAAAAATAACCTCCTTATTAAATACTGCCTTACTTAATTTTTATTCACTTCTATTTCAGAATTCTTCTGAGATTACTTAATATAACTTATTACTTTTGCAGAATTGTACAGTCTCCTAGGACAATGTAATAGCAAAACCTAAAAAATAAAAATAAAAGTCAAAAACAAAAACCCAACCCAATCCATCTTCTACTAGCAGCTGATAAAATATACACTGCCGAGACTTGAGTATTATTTATCACTTCTTTCTCCTAGATACACATCACAGCACACACACACACACACACACACACATCCCCCATACAACACACATATTCCCACACACACAAACACCACATGCACATCCCCCACACAACAGAATCTTATAGACAGGCATTAATCAAATAATTCTAAATTGCATGGGAAATTTCCAGAGTGATCAGTGCTATGTAAGGGAGACCATCGTGCCCTGAATACATGCAGTTGAGTCATCTAATTCAAGAAAAATGCCTCAGGGAAGGTTTTCCTGAGGTAATGAGGAATAATCTGGAATCCAAAGGATGAGCCTGGATTTACTAGGAAAACAGAAGTGAAAAGGGCCTCTGACCACAGGAAAAACAGCACGTGTGCAAGTACAATGGCCGTGAAGGCTGACCAGCTCGTGGGGCCCGAAGGGTGTGGACACATGGCTGGAGAAGAAGGCATGGGCTGGTCCTGGACCAGCGGGTCACATGCTGCCAGGGTAAGGACATTTATCCCTAAGAGCAGTAGCAACACAGAGCCATTGGGTGTTTTGACAGGCACAGCAGGAGGACCTGGAAACTGATGGAATCAGGCTTGCATTTCAGAGCATCAGCGCAAAGGATGCAGTGGATGTGAGTGGGAATGCATCCTTGTAGACCCATTAATGGGGCTAGGGAAGGAATGATGGTAGGTAGAGGTAAGGTGTCAGCACCTATTCCCTCTACCCGAAATTCCCAACCAGATCATCACATGACTGTCTCTTTCTCATCATTCAATCTTAGTTCCAATATATTCACCTCAAAAAGACCTCCTTTCACCACTCTATATATTGTTGCTCCCTCTTCTTCTCATGGTGTTGCCAGACCTTTGGTCTTGAATTTCTTATTCACAACACTTGCCATGATCTGATTCAGCAGGGCCTCAAACAGCATGGTTTTGTTACAACATTGATAAGAAAAACAAGTGGCTCCCGATTTCCAAGGGCCACTGAATGTGTGGCGTTTGCAAGTTCTCCCTACAGAGAAAGTGGCTCTTCTCAGGGTACTCTGGTTTCTCCCATATCACAAAGGTGCGTCCGTTAGGTGGATGGGTGTGTCCACACATCCCAGTGTGAGTGAACGGGTATGGGTGGGTGTGAGTGCACCCTATGATGGATGGCATCCTGTCCAGGGTGGGCTCCACCTTTCACCCTGCATTGCAGGGACAGGCTCTGGCCACCCACTACCACAAATTGGAATAAATAAGAGGACTCAAAAAAGGAATGAGAGGATGAATACAAATTATTGTAAAATAAAAATGTGCAAGGTCTATGATCATCACGCAGATGTGTGACAAGGACCGATGAGGTACGAAGATGCTCAGCGGGCCCGTCAGATTGGTTCTTGCTTGCTTTTGAACTGAGTTGTGGTAGGAGGTGCTCCTGACAATTTTTGCCTTGCAAACACTTATTGCCTGATTTAACCAACCACTACTGCCACTGCAGTCCCTTGCTGATTCACCAAAAATGGAATAAAAAATTATCTTAAATATGTGTATATCTCACATGTATTTCAGTGTTTAATATTACAAGTGTTTGGGTCTTTCTATTATTTTTTTCTTATAGAGTCTCGCTCTGTCACCCAGGCTGGAGTGCAGTGGCACAATCTCCGCTCACTGCATCCTCCGCCTCCTGGGTTCAAGTGATTCTCCTGCCACAGCCTCCCGAGTACCTGGGACTACAGGTGCCCACCACCATGCCCAGCTAACTTTTTTGTATTTTTCGTAGAGATGGGGTTTCTTCATGTTGGCCAGACTGGTTTCAAACTCCTGACCTCAAGCGATCTGCCTGCCTTAGCCTCCCAAAGTGCTAGGATTGCAGGCATGAGCCACTGCGCCAGGCCATGTTTGGGTCTTTATTTAGAAATTTGGTGATGTTTTTGTGACTAGAAATGTGTCATAGGAATTTAACTCTTGTTTACATAAATTAGCTTATGGCAAAATTGGTTTAGTTGTATATCATTTTGCTTAAAGTCACAGTTTCCAAGAACCAGTTGATGACATTAAGTGAGGACTTACTGTACTCAAATGTTTGCTTCTGTGAGTTCATGTTTTTCTCCTCCCTAGAATGTAATCTCCAGGGAGCATGAGCCTATTCTTCTTCCTGTATCACTGTGTCCCCACTGCGTCGTAAACCCCTGGGACACGAGAGATGCTCACTGACTTATATTTTATGAATAAACAGAGACAAATAAGCATATTCTAGAGGTACCAGAGAGGCCACACAGGCAGGTGTCAGCAGTAGATTGGCTGCAGTGAGGAAGGAAGGCATTAGGGGCTACTTTTAGGCTTGCATCGCTGGTAGAAAGAAAATGTTAAGATCATTTAGGGGGTCCGGGGGACAATGAGTATTTGGAATAAACAAACAAACAAATAAATAAATAAATAAATGAGTAAATAAGTCAATCAATATTTGTACCTTATGGCAAAACAATGGCAGTTCGGAATTGATGGAATCGTAGGAGCTCTACTCTAGGCCAACAGTTTTGGGTTTTGGCAGACCTGATGTTCCAGTTTCGATCAACCTGCCCAGCAAAACAAACAGGAAGGAGAGCTGAGGGCCCTCATATTTTGCTGCTTACTGGCTGTGTTTCTATCTCTGGCCTTGCCAGGGCAGCCCGCTGGAAATGATCTAAGATAAGTCCTCTGTGTTCTCTAGGAAGTGAGGTCTCAGAAGCCACTGGATCCTGGAACACCTCACTCTTGCTGATTAAATTCTGCAGCCTGCAGAGAACCCCCTTGTCTCTGGCAAGCACCTTCTGAACACAAAATAGAAAAGACCTCAAGCAGAGCTGTGGGGAGAAAAATGTTCTGCCTTCCAGTGATGTGAGAAAAGAAAACACAGTGAAGGCCAGGGTAAAGGAGAAGATGAAGTTGTTTTGATTTTCCCACAGGGGATATTCAGCAGATGAATTTGCCTATTTTCTTTCTCCTAAACAGCCAGGCTACCTTGAGAGAAGCAAGAGATCCTCTCCCTTTTGCCAAAATCTGCCTCCCCCAGGAGACTGTGCTTTGCTCATACACATCATTAGAAATTATCCTTAAATATTAAAAAATAAATGAATATTCAATGAACGACTAAAGTTTCTCTAGTTTGAAAGCAAAGCCTGTAAACCTTTATATATTCGATTATACAAGGAAGATGAAAATGAACTGATTCATGGGCAACCCTAATTAATAATGAAGAAGGCCAGAAAAGTGGCCCTGTCATTGGTGGTGGCTGGAAGTGATGGGGAAAGCCTAAGGGAACTTTCAGGAGTGATGGCAAAGTTCTATATCTTCTTGGGAATTCGGTTACACAGGTGTATACCAAATTTGTCAAAACTCATTGAAATGGTCCCCTCAAGTTTTGTGCATTTCCCTCTCTGTAACTTTAACTAGAAAAAAACATAGAATAGGTACATCTTGAACTCAAGTCAATGATATGTACCCCAAAGTATTTAGGGTGAAGAGGACTGACCTCTACAACTTATTTTAAAATGTATTAATAAGTGAGGTGGCCTGGTGGTGGCTAGAGGGAAGGAGGGATGAATAGGTAAGTCAAAGCAAGGGTAGTAACATGAATGGTAGGTTCTGAGTCCTGGTCATGTTCATGTTCACACTGCCATGGCTTTTCTGTGTTTGAACACTTGCAAAATGAACTGATGGGAAAAAATGAACTAGTTAGAATTGTGCCCAATGACCATTTCCCACCATATGAAATATCTCTTTTCTTAGAAATGCAGGAGTATAATCACAAGGGGTATTTCTGCTTTGAACTTCTGACTTAGATATTGAATTTGTATGTTACCCCAAATCCAATCAAATGCTAACAAAGGCAAGTTCCTTGCTGCAGAGAGACCAGATAGTATTGTTAAGGGACATTATCCTAAACTAGTCTACAGCAGTGGGTTCAAATGACAGTGCTGTGGTGTTTACAGTTTTAATTCTGCTCTCTTCCCTGAGTTATATTTATCCTCACTGAAACAAGTTTTGCAGCATGAGTCCTCATGTTCAGATGCATTGTTTTGATTTAGTGAAGATATATTCCATGTATCTAAAAGTATCATGCAAGTATCTAAAAATATATTTGAAGAAATGCTTATTATTATCTCCAATTTATAGATGTGTTTATACTGGACAACAGCATCATTACCATTAAGCGGAATGAAACTTTTTAGCAGCAGCTCATATATTAACAAAGAAGCTTGCATAATTATCATGTAGACAGTAAAATGCACAAATATAATTCATCTTTATAATTTTATGTTTGTAACTCTGATTTGCCTATAGTAGCCCTGAAATGGACCTGTTCGCCCACCCGTATGATCGCAATGGCTATTTCCTGGTTTAAATTTATTGTCAGAAATCCAGGTTCCCATGATAGGTGGTTTCAGGCACAATGTGTGCAAAGTGGCTGCAAAGGAACAGCAGTTAGACTGAGCACTGATGGTAAGCACATCTTAGCCAATGTTTGAACTAGGGTGTCTGGAATGAGAAAACTAGTAATGATCCTCCAAGTATGAGAAGGCCTAGAATTCAATGAAGATAGTGTGGCAAAATTCAAAGTAACCTTTATGTAAGCCCTTTTTCATGCAAGCCAGGAGTGGTTGAATAGTGACCTGTGCAAGAACCCACACAGCATCTCAGATGGATGTTCAAATAGTCCAATGCTCTAAAAATCTATGCTGAGTGGTGGCAGGGACAGCTTCATGGGCTTACAAATTGTGCAAGCATCATAGGCTTGCAGCAGGGTCCTGCTCTCGGGAGGGTCCCCATGTTGGTTTAATGATTTGCTGAGATTCATTGGAACTAACTTAAACTTTTACCTTTAAACTCATGTTTTTTAAGTGAGGCATGGACATTGGAGAACACACATGAGTGAAAAGCTCCGCTTGGGGACAACGCTTCCACACACAGGCTCAGGCTTAGGAACATGGCTGCAGTGTGTGCACCAAGCAGTTGCCCTGAGCACACCTGGGGCAGTCCGGGGAATGGTGGGGCCTCAAAAGCACAGGCCGGTCTGGGATCTGGGTCCACACTGCTGGCGGGTACTGTGGCAGTAGACAAAGGAGGAATTCTTCACAGGCAACAGTGGACTCAGAGGAGGAAACTCCAGGGCTCATGATGTCAATTTTGTCAGCAAATTGTTACCAAAAAGTGCACATATGGGCATTGCAATAATGCATATCAGAAAGTTATGAGGTTCCTTGTAAGGATTTAGAACCCATAGTTTTAAAAATTGCCGCAACATTGCAAAGCAAATACTCGTAGTACCAGAAATAAAAATTACATTTAAAGTTTATCACATTGAACAGAAAAAGCCACATTTCCATAAGGGGCTTCTGATGAATCCATTATGAAGAAGAGAACAACGTTGGAATTAACTTTTCCCTGTAACTGAAGTTACAAGGATAACTTGCAAAACAGGCCTTTGAGTTATATACAGATCACAAAGCCACTTAGCTCTTCTTGTACACCCTCCGCAAGCTATCAGAGAATGTTGCCATTGCATTTACATTTGAAGTTAAATTCAGAATTGCATGAAGCCTGTTTGTGTCAAGAGTTAAACCATTTTAGAAAATTTATTCCATAGGAATCATCAACTCCAGATGGCCTAAAATTAATATATTGAAATCAGTTATAAGAAATTTATCCCAACATTTTATGGAAAATTTCCACAATTCCCATAAACACACTTAACAGCCTCACTAATATTTTCATTAGCATAAAGGTCCTTCTCACTTTAAGCCATGAGTAAAAATTATTTGCAACCTTGTATTTGCCAACATTGACTGACATTGCTTTCAGTTATATCAATCATAAACAAGTTGCAAAAGTAAAAATTTTGATGAGATAATAAATGAATTTCAGAATAACAGGTCAGGAAAATCTTACAATCAATCAAAATCTCACATTAATAAAGTATTACTTATTATATTAAATTATGACACCATTATATATAATTTTTTCATATGTATATATGTATATATATATACACGTGTATGTATGAATTTGCAAGTGAATTTTGTTGTTACTCAGGTAAAACTATTACCCCTTGTGAAGGTTAATTTTTTGTTACAACCCAACTATGCTGTAAGGTGCCAAGATATTTGGTTAAACATTATTTCTAGGTGTGTCTGTGAGGGTGTTTCTGGATAAGATCAGCATTGGAATTAGCAGATGGCCCTCCCAGGTGCAGGTGAGCATCATCCAACCTGTTGAAGGCCTGAATAGAACACAAAAGGTGGAGTGACAGAACTTGCTTTCTTTGCCTGTCTTTGCACTGGGAGATTGGTCTCCTTCTGACCTCAAATTCAAACTTGGACTGGAACTTACATTGTCAGCTCTCCTGGGTCTGTAACTGCTGACTGCAGATCTTGCAACTTCCTAGCCTCTGTAATTGTGTGAACCAATTCCTTATTGTGTATCTCTCCTCTTCCTCTTACTATTTACCTGTATTACTTCGTTCTCACGCTGCTATAAAGAGCTGCCCGACACTGGGTAATTTATAAAGGAAAGAGGTTAAATTGACTCACAGGGCTGGGGATACCTCAGGTAACTTATAATCACGGCAGAAGAGAAAGCAAACACATCTTTCTTCATGTGGCGGTAGGAATGAGAAGTGCCAAAGCAAACGGAGAAAAGTCCCTTATAAAACCATCAGATCTCGTGAGAACTCACTCACTATCATGAGAACAGCATGGGGTTAACCACCCCATGATTCAATTACCTCCCACTGGGTCCCTCTTATGATACATGGGGATTCTGGGAACTACAATTCAAGATGAGATTTTGGTGGGGACACAGCAAAACTATATCACCATCTATCTTCTATCTATCTGTCTACCTATTTATTATCTATCTATCATCTACCTATTAACCTATTGGTTCTGTTTCTCTGTAGTATATTGACTAATCACCCTCAAGTTTTATCAGTAATAAAATAGTTTTAAAAGAAAATGCTTTACATTTTAATACCTTTAATTATACCTTTTTCTATTTTGTGAATGAGGAGCCCCACATTTTCTTGCATGGAGTCCCCAGTCATGTAGCAAGCCCCTGGTGGAGGTTTGAGAATGGCTTCTCAACACTAGCCCATATTCCACTTTGTTCAGTTGCTTGTCTGGGTGGGCTGGGATGGAAGGCAGGGCACTTCGTATTCTGAGGCTGTTGGAATAAAGAAAGAGGTTCTTGGTTTTGTTTGGGATCAAAGCGATTGTCTAAAAGATTTCACAGGACTAGGATTAAATTCTTAAAGATTCTGTGTCTATTCTGGTAAAAGTAGCTGTCTCCTTCTCTGCCTTGAGTTGCATCATAGAAGGGCCCTCTCTCCCATCTTCTATTTCCACCAAATGCATCTCATTTCATCATGACTGTCTCCCCAGAACTTCCCTGGGTCTGAACAGATCTAGGTGAGGAATACAAGCCCCTAGAATGATTTTCCTACAATCTCTGTGCTAGGCTGGAAGACTTTTTTCTGGACATATACAGTAATCATTGCAGCAAATACATTTTGTTGCTTTGAAGTCAAGCTTTGCAGACAAATGACAATGGGGGTTATTTTTCTGGATTTTCTGGTCTGAATCAACTTGGCATGGGTGGATTTTGTGAGAAACACTTTCCACCAAATACGGAAGGTGCAGGGGGTCAAGTTTATTTTCTTCTCTATCTAGCTTCTATCCCTAAAGAACTATATCCCATTTATCTTTAACATCAATCCTTTCTATTTTCTAAATTAATTAGCATTGTGGGGTGGTATTTCTCAGGCAGCATCCACTATTTCCAGAGCAGGTGCTGCAGTAATCTCCATAGCATTCCCTTATTATCAGTGTTTTCTGTGGGCAGAAGCTTAATGACCGGGGAGGTAGTCTGGATCCACCTTCTTCAAGAGCTGTCTGACTATCCCACATCTGGTCCATGGCAGCAGCAATGGGCTCAGTGTGAGGGATCCAAGGCCAGCATCTCAATAGCCTCTGGGGAGGGCCCAGGCTCTGGAATTGCCCTGGGTCAAGGTGGCCCCTCTCATAGCTCAGCAATATCCATGCCGGCCTTCAGGGGGACATGCATGGGGAGCTTGCCGTCTTACATGGCTCTTCTCTTATCTGAGTCATTTTCAGTGCTAATATATCTACTTTACGAGAGAGAAGCATTGGGCCTCTCTGTTAGACAGGCCCCCAAGTGGCCAAGGGCTTTTGCTGTTATGCGTTCTTATGACACATGTCAATGATTCTCCAAGTATGGTCCCCAGACCAGCGACATCCATGTCACCTGGAGCTAGTTAGAAAAGCAATCACTTGGGCCCTCCTCAGGCCTTCTGAGTCAGAACCTCTGCAGGTGGGCCTCAGCAAGTATGTTTTCACAAAGCTTCCAGATCACGCTGCCACACAATGAGGTATGAGAACCACTGAACCACTCAATGCCCACACACCTTCCATCTATCACTTTGTACCTGAAGAACTGGAGTCATGTGTCAGCTCTGCAGCTGTCAAAACAATTTCCCATGATGTCAGCCCCCTGGCTTCCTCTGACCTTTCCCCAGATGAAGTCAGGGCTGATGGGATCAGCTCTCCTCAAGATCCCAGTTCATCTGAGGCCAAGCCCCAGACCCCTGAAGTGTTGCTCTATCAACCAACAAGCTGCCCTTCCACATATCAGTAGCAGGTTTTCCTGTCTGCTGTGTTTACTCTGCAAAATGATGGCATGGATTAATGAGCAATTCTATCCAAAAGTCTAGGATAGACTAAGGACCCAGGGCATTGGTGTGCTATGTGCGGTTGGTTCACAGTCTGACATTCCACACTCATCACACTTGTTAATGTTTCCTGCCACAGGCCCCTCACTGAGATGTGGTTGGAGTTTTTTGATGTGATTGTTTGATGTGTCTGTATCCGACAGCAGACTTCCTAGGAGGTTCCCTAAAGCACTGCTCATGAAGGAAGAGCCCTCAGGTCATCGTATGTAGTTTTCTTTTCATATCTCCTTTCATTTCTCAGACTTCAGGGAACATGAAAATTCTGATGTCTTCTGCCTCCAGATACCCTTCGCTGAAGAGTCATGAACAACCCATGGGGTGAGCAGGCCTCCCTCTGATGGGTGCACTCACATGGATGCCTGTGTCACTAGGAAAGGGCCAATGTTACCCCCAGCAACCCCAAGAAGGGGATCCCCAAAAAGTCCTTGCTCCAGTTGGGCAACAAGGTCCAGAAACACCACCAAAGCAGAGGCTCCGGTTACCTCAAGGCACCCCAACATGGTAGCTCTGCACCGAAGCCGCACGGAGACCCCTTGTGAGTTTGCAGAGGGTGAGGATCACAAGTTACCCCATGGACTGACTGAAAATTGGCAATGATATGAGGTTCCAGTTTTTAGCATCCCGGTGGGAGGCTCCTGCTTAATCTTAGCTGGCGTGTGTCCCTAGGGCCTCGCCAATCCCTGTATCGAGAGAGCTGGGAGCTGCTCATGACCACTGGGGTTGGGGGTCGCGCCTGGACAGGGTTAAGCCCAGGTCAGCTGGGGGCAAGCTCTCCTGTCTGAAGCCCCAAACCCTTTCCCTGGCAGGTCCCAGCCCATCTGAATTTCTATCCAGGAGGAATTATCCCACTGAGGACAGAAGTGTGAGTCAGTAGAGAGCACACGGCTCATCCCCTGGAGAGGGTGGGGACTTGGGGAAATTCAGTGTCCCTTGTCTGAGAGCATGCTCCTGCTTCTCACCATGGCTCTCTGGTGACACTGCACTGCCCACCACTGTGGCAGATGGCAGCCCAGCTGCACAGGACATGTATACAATGTTAGCACCACTGGTTTTCTCCTCTTTCCCTCAGCCACAAAGGCCAGAAAAATTCTGAGGGTTCTAAAGGAGATAGCATGCAGCCTGATGCTGGTCAAGAAAGCTGGGTAGGAAATTACCCCAGGGCAAAATGAGCTGGGAACATAATCAGAGATTGTGAGTGGTGGTGTCCACTGCTTGGCCTGTAGCTACCAGGTGGCCAAGGATTCAGCAAACGCTTTTTGGACATCCTGTGCCCTCACCAAGTCTTACTCTAGAAATAAGAACCATCATGCATCAAACAGGTGCTTCCTTCCTGACTTTCAACCTTCGTCCCATGCAGCTCTGAAGCATTCTGCCTTGCTCCTCAGCCTCTGACCTTCCTCCTCCATTCTGGGCTGAACTCCCAACTTCAAGTACCCCAGTGGAACTCACATAACCATCTCAGGCCTTTGGTACTTGACAGCACTCAGCAAGGGCTGCCTCCTCAGACTTACTGCCGACCCAGGTCCTCGGGCCATGGTTTTTGAGAAGCCACCATTGAATCCAATATCTGCCTGAGTCCTTCTGCCAGCTCTTCCAGTGTATGGCTTATCATGGACCTTCTCTTTCAATACCACATTCTCTAAACCATTTTCATAGGTCACTGTGGGATTATAAGCTGCTCTCTGAGGCTTCCCCCTCTCCTACTTGCTCATGGGATCTCATATGGAAATTGACCCAGTAAACAAACATCTTGCTCAGCTGTAAAAGCACCTTCTCTGCTATCCACTGTATCCAGTGGCTCTCGAGTGGAGCATACATCTCTTCTTGATCCTCTTCACACCCTCAGTCCAGCACTAAGGGAAAATCTAAGCCTCATTATTTCTCTTCTGGGGACATTGTCACTTCTCTTCTTAACTGTGTAGACATCCGGCATCTAAATATTCCTTGACTCATCTCTAGAAACCCTTCTTTGGTCCTCTAGCAGGTATCTTGCAATCAGTAGTCCTATCCTAGATGAAAGCCTCATATCTCTCCTCAACATAACCCAGCACAGAGCTCAGGATCTTCAGGGGAGGCAAGACCCCTGAGCACTGGCCTCAAAGTGGATTATTTCAGACAGAGCCAACCTCTTTACACTTCCCAAATTAAAGACTGTTTAGTCTCTTTTGTTCATTTTTGTGCAAAATAATGTATCTCTTTCCCTGCCTCAAGTTTTATTGCTAAAGAGCCCTTCTGTCGGCCGGGCGCGGTGGCTCACACCTGTAATCCCAGCACTTTGGGAGGCCGAGGCAGGCGGATCACAAGGTCAGGAGATTGAGACCATCCTAACCAACATGGTGAAACCCTGTCTCTACTAAAAATACAAAAAATTAGCCAAGCGTGGTGGATGGTGCCTGTAGTCCCAGTTACTCGGGAGGCTGAGGCAGGAGAATGGCGTGAATCCGGGAGGCGAAGCTTGCAGTGAGCCGAGATCACGCCACTGCACTCCATCCTGGGTGACAGAGCAAGACTCCATCTCAAAAAAGAACCCTTCTGTCATCTGCCTGTGCTGTGTACAAGGCCAAGGGGTGGCAGGGAGCTTTCTGTCTCACAGACAATGGACATATGTTTAACAAAAAAGAGACAGATGCTCAGTCAGAAAGCTATAAAGATAATTATGTCCTCCAGGCCAGGGTCACAGAGCTGCTGCAAGTGATTCACAGGTCACTTGGGAATGTTCTCAATAAAAGCTTGATGCATTTCTGACCTGAGAAAGCAACACAGCCTGTGCCCTGTTGGCATTTTATATGATTTAGGGCAAGAAAGGAGATTCAAATACCATCACCAGTGCAGCTCAACTATAGTCAAATTAATTAACATGACTGCGAGAATGTGAGGTGACATGAAACGTATTTGCAGGGAAGCCACTTTTTAGTGATAATTAAATGAGAGGAATTTAACACATTACAAATCAGAGACGAAAAATGTCAGAGCATAGCTTGCTGATTCCTGGAGAGAACACGTTTGCAGACACCTGGTGAAAGGCCTGATGATCCTGTACAGAACAGGAGAACCAGAGTGAGATCTCATAACGTGGACATTACTGTCATGATGTGATTTTCTGTGTCACTACCTTAGTCATTCCATGTGGCCTGTCAGTGTTTCCTGGTGGGTTATATTGCTTGATTTTTATAACATTTAAAGTAAATGAATGCTCTTCCCTTTAGATGAATTCTTACAAGGTTGAGTCTCTATATAAAGACACAAAACAGAATTGCTGCTAGAAGGAAACCGGGTTGGGGAAGGAGGACCCAACCTGCCCTGGACCCATAGAGTAGCCCCTAAGACAAGAGAGGTAGGGGCCGGGCACAGTAGCTCATGCCTGTAATCCCAGCACTTTGGGAGATGGAGGTGGGTGGATCACCTGAGGTCAGGAGTTTGAGACCAGCCTGGCTAACATGGTGAAACCCCATCTCTTCCAAAAATACAAAACTTAGCTGTGCGTGGTGGAGCACACCTGTAATCCCAGCTACTCAGGAGGCTGAGGCAGGAGAATTGCTTGAACCCAGGAGGTGGAGGTTGCCAAGAGCCAAGATCATGCCATTGCACTCCATCTCAAAAAAAAAAAAAAAAAAAAGGGTGAGATGTGTGTGTGCATGCTCAGGTAGGGTTGTGTGCATGAACATATGTGTGTATGTAAATTCCAAAACAGAATTGCATTAGCTGCAAAACTTAATAAAAATTTCTACCGAGAGTGAGGTCATGTCTTCCCGGACCTCTGCTTTAGAGGCTGCACAAGGGAAAAGGTGTAGAATTTAAGTGACTAGGACAGTGATTCACTGCTTGGGAAAAGGGCGGATCATAGGTTGAGATAAGCTCTCTCTGGTCTGCAAAGCTGTCTTCCTCCTTCCTGTGTTTGAACAGATCATTTTTTCCCCCTTGAATATCAGCAGTGAGTGGGTATGTTTTTAGAAGCCATGTGGAAAGAAAATCATATATCTTCAAATCCTCTATTCACACATAACAGGGAAGTTTATGCTGAAATCCTGTAAGATGCACGGGAACTGACAGGTATAAGTGGCAGATCCCCATCTGGCTTCTCACAATCCTTCTGGGCAGACACACTCTGGGTGGGATGGGGCAGAGCAAACCTGCTATGTTGCTTCCCACTGCCCAGGGGTTTAGCGATTGTGTGGCTTCAGTGGAATTCACAAACAATGAATCCACATAGGGATCCACTGTGCAAATCAGTCGCGTGCCCTGACTGCTTTGGGGACTCTATTCATCTAATTCTTTATTTTAAAAAGTGACTAGGTCCACAAAAATTCTACTCCACAGCTTCTGAGCATAAAATGGCATTTTAGAAACTTGAAAAAGAGCTGATTTATGGTGTCTTGCAGTCTGTTTCTTTGAAATGTGCATAACTTATACTAAGGAGCATGCTCACAAACTACAATAAAATCTGATTCAACACTTCTGAATAAACATTCGTCCAAGAGCCCTTCAAAGGCAGTTTTGAATCTGCAAGTCTTTCTCTGTCTTCCTTATTTATCACACAGCTCCAGTGGGGACCCTAAGACTAGAGGCTGGGGCGGTCTAGCAGTTGACATTCCGCCGAGCATCCTAAGAAGATCAGAGAGGCTCAGAAGCACTTCAACAGTTGATGATCTCAGTAGCATCTTTGGCTTTTTCATTTGCTAAGTGTCTGATAAGGAGAATGGATAGCAGAGTGTTGATCTTCTCTTTGCATTTACAAAGCAGATAAGGTGTTAATGCTTCCACAAGTCAATGAAAATTATGTCAGACAAACTTCTCTTCAGGTTCTCCAGCATTAAAGAATATGGTTCAGAGCTGTGCCTTCTCCGTATAAGTAGTGATGTTTGGAGCCTTGCAAAGTCCATTGGCAAAAAACAAACCTTGAAAAGGTGTCGAATGCATCGGGGGCTTTGTAGCTTCCTTGAAAAATAGGCCGCGGACTTCCATGACACTGATGCACACACAACACTGTCCTGTAGACCCAGCTTTCACAACGTTCACCAAACTCCTTAACACAACCAAGCAAGCACCCTTATCTTACTAATCCTGACACCCATGTTGCAGCTCTCGTCTCTATCTGGGGCAGCACCTGGCCTCAAGTGTGCCCCACCTGCACACAGAGTCTACCTGCACGGAACTCTAGAGTTACATGGTGCACCTGCTTGCTGTCACTAAATTTCACTAACACTGCTTGGAACAGCTAAAGCCTCTGGGATGCCCTCGGGTTGTAAAGCGGAGGCTACCATATTCTCAATCTCAATTGAGCAAATATCCTGTGGTCACACATGGAAGCTGGACCAAGAAGAAGTATGTTTTCCATCAACAAAAGCTGATTTGTCTGCCATATGCATGTCCAAACATATGCTGAGAAACTGGAGACATCAAATTTGCTTTAAATATCCATTCTGATTTTCCCCAATATTAGCACCATATTTCCAGAGGTGCCAGACTTTGTCACTTGTTGCCTTAAGAACTTTGACCTGGAAGAGAGCACAACAGCCTTTGGAAGCCTACGTTGGCCATAAGGTTCAGGTCCAGAGGAGATCATACATACAAGGACCTCTAGATGGGAAAGGCGGAGCTCTGGAGCTAGGAGTCAAGAAGCAGAGAGGGGCCTGGGGAACTCGAGCAATAATAGCACTTGCAATTACTTCTGCTTCTCTTGGTAGAGGTTAGATCTCAGAGATGCTGCTGCTGTTGTGATGGTTTTACAGGAGTCAGAGCACTAAGAGTGGGATTTCCTGGCTCATAAAATATTATTAAAAGCAACAAACAAACAAAAAAACACACAAAACATATTTCCAGCCAGACCGAGTGCAGAAATGGTGTGTTGTCCTTGAATCGAGTAGGCATCTAGAGGTGGTCTCTCCATGTCATGGGTGGCGTTTGCGTAGCCCACAGCATCGCCAAACTGTCAGTGCCCAAATATCACACACACACACACACACACACACACACACACATACACACACACTTCTGGGATGTAACTGACCACACAAGGTTTTTGCAGTGCTGATGCCAGTAGCAACCAGGATATACTGGAGGATGGAAGCCTTCTCTCTTCATCTGCAGGGACCAAGGAAGCCTCCAGGATCTCATGCGTCTCCTGGGAGAGACCCTGGGGAGAGATCCCAATTGTCATGGGCATAGAATCTTCTCATGAGGCTGCTGGGACTTAGCATCAGAATATAAGCTGATTTAAGTGATCGAAAGAAGAGGATATTTCTTGCCTACTGAGTTAAGAGTTAATCGTGCCCGGCTCATCATCTTTTTTAAAAGCCGATCTTTTTAAAGTCAGATAGCTAACTATAATCTCGTCATTTCCAAAAGTTCTCTTCACAGGCTTAGCACCAGGAATGGCTTTTGGCAGATGTTGTCAGGTATTTTCTAACTTCAGTTGGTTGTCTTTCTAAATCAGGGTGGTGGTAAATTGCTCTCAGATTAGAAACAAAGCCAAAGAGTGAAGACCCAGACAGGAACACACTTAAAATAACAAAAGCCTGTTTGACGTTACAGCAACACAGTTTGCCTCAGGCACTGAGGGTTCGTAGCTTGGACTTTTGATTTTCCAGAGGATAATTTAATTCCAAAAGGGTCTTAGTTTAATCTCAAATTCTTTTGATAAACACCTACATGGAGGGAAAATGTTAAATGATGGGGTGGCGGTTGGTGGACAGAGCTTCCTATTTTCTAACAGGGCAGGAGGAAAAGAAAAGAACATAAGGAAGGATATGGGAAATATATTCCCTGGACATGAGGCTGGGAAGCCAAGCTTCACTCTAATAAAAGAAAAGGGAGAACAGTCCTCAGTATCCTTATGTCCTCATTTGGAGCAACCAACACGCCACTACATTTTGCTAAAGAAAAACCAGAGCTAGACAGTAAAGTGGTGAGAAAGAATTATTCAGGAACTACTGCAGTCAGGGAAAAGACACCTCAGTGCAAAACTGGGCTTAATTCCAAATACAAGGAAAAGTGAGAATTTATAGCTGAGAAGCAGGATGGAGGGGTCGGAGGATGAAAAATTACTAAGAGGAAACAGCTGGGGTTGGAAGAATTCTATTCTCTAAAAAGATCTAACAGGATTCTTGCTGAAGACAGGCTGGGGTCACCAGACATCACCTGGGGGAGGGGGAGGATGAGGAGGCCGATGAGATATGGAGGGTGGGGGGTTCTCACCGCACTGACTTGGCAAGATTTCTGTTGTAACTGAGCGACTCAGTCCTGACAAAGATGCACACCATGGTAGAAGCCTGCAGTGCTTAGAGGATGCTGACTAAAGTTAAGTCAAGCAGGTGCGGGGTCTTGTTGATTAATTCTTTGTTTGTAGACTATAGTCATCTACTCTGGTTAATTATTACAAAATAGGTATGTGTCAAAAATATCAGAGATACCTCACAGAATGAGTCACAATCTGGAAATCCACCCTGGCAGAACACAGGGCAGTGCCAGGGGTGTAAGTGGCAGGTGCCAACACTTAGCCATCTCCTCACGGCTCATTTGACAATTGCATGAGCATTACCTCTTGTCCTTGTGTCAATCCATTCAGCATCTGAGGGCCTCACCCAGCCCTTTGCTAAGAGAGAGGAAGGCATCTTAATTACACCCCCACCAGACAGTGCACACTGGGAGGAGATGATCCCACAGGTTTTCTGAAAGATGAGAAAACACTCATCCTGGAAATGGGCAAAGGGGTGCTATAAATAAAAATAAATAAAATAAAGTAAGATTAAGTCTCTGAAAGAAGCCTTTAAATCATGACTTCTCTGCAGAATAGTCTAATTTAGGGGCTAGACAAAGACCCAGATTCCTGAACCCTCAGGTAACTATTTACAATGTGGATGATAGAATCAGCTACAGCCAACATTACCTGAGACATGCACACTACTGGCTTTTGCTAATTGCATTTAACTTTTTTTTTTCTACAGACTAGTAAAAGAGAATATCAGCAGAACTTTAAAGATGCAGACTTGAGCTTGGATCTCAGCTCCATCATATACGATTTTTTGTGAGTTTAGGCAAGTTAATCTGAAATTTTGAGACTCAGTTTGTTTTTCTGCATAACATGATCCTGCCCCAGAATCATGGGGATTAAATGTAATAATGCATGTGCACTGCTGTATGTCTGGCACCTGGTAACAAATTGATACATGTTAAAGGTTATTAAGGTTATTTCCCCCTCTTTTATAACTGTTTGTCAATAATATGGTTTAAATGTGCCCCCTCCAAAATCCAGTTGTTGCCAATGTGGCGATGTGAAGAGGTGGGACCTTTAAGAGGTGATTTGGCTATGAGGGCTTCTCCATGTGAATTGAATTAGGGCTTGTTAAAGGGAGTCCATCTCTTCTCACCTTTCTGTCTGCTATCATGCAAGGACACAGTGTCCCTCCCCATTAGAGGACTCAGCATTCTAGACACCATCTTGGAAGCAGAGAGCAAAGTTTCTGCAGACCAACGAACATGCTGGTGCCTTGATCTTGAGCTTCTAGCCTCCAGAATTGTGAGAAATATATTTCTGTTCTTTATAAATTACCCAGTCTGACACCCACCATCCCAAGACTGAACCAGGATGAAGTTGAATCCCTGAATAAGCCAATAACAAGTTCTGAAATTAAGGCAATAATAAATAGCCTACTAACCCAAAACAGCCCAAGACCAGATGGATTTACAGCTGAATTTTACCAGCGGTACGAAGAAGAGGTGGTACCATTTTTTTCTGAAACTATTCCAAACAATTGAAAAGGGGGAATTCTTCCCTAACTCATTTTATGAGGCCAGCTTCATCCTGATACCAAAACCTGGTAGAGATATAACAAAAAAGAAAATGTCAGGCCAATATCCCTAATGAACATTGATGCAAAAATTGTCAATAAAATACCAGCAAACTGAATTCAGCAGCACATCAAAAAGCTTATCCACCACGATCAAGTTGGCTTCATCCCCAGGATTCAAGGCTGGTTCAACATACACAAATCAATAAACATAATTCATCACATAAACAGAACTAAACACAAAAACCACATGATTATCTCAATAGATGCAGAAAAGGCCTTCCTATGTTGAATAAAATTCAACAACCCTTTATGTTAAAAACTCTCAATAAACTACATATTGATGAAACTTACCTCAAAATAATAAGAACCTTTTATGACAAACCCACAGCCAACATCATACTGAATGGGCAAAAGCTGGAAGCATTTCCCCTGAAAACTGGCACAAGACAAGGATGCCCCTCTCTCACCATTCCTAGTCAACATGGTATTGGAAGTTCTGGCCAGGGCAATCAGGCAAGAGAAAGAAATAAAGTGTATTCAAACAGGAAGAGAGGAAGTCAAATTGTTTGCAGATGACATAAACCTATGTCTATAAAACCCCATAGTCTCAGCCCAAAAGTTTCTTAAGCTGATAAGCAACTTCAGTAGTCTCAGGATACAAAAATCAATGTGCAAAATCACAAGCATTCCTATACACCAACAACAGACAAGCAGAGAGTCAAATCATGAATGAACTCCCATTCACAATTGCAACGAAGAGAATAAAATACCTAGAAATACAGATAACAAGGGAAATAAATGACCTCTTCAAGAAGAACTACAAATCACTGCTCAAGGAAATCAGAGAGAACACAAATGGAAAAACATTCCATGCTTATGGATAGAAAGAATCAATATTATGAAAATGGCCATACTGCCCAAAGTAATTTATATATTCAATGCTATTCCCATTAAACTACCATCAACATTCTTCACAGAATTAGAAAAAACTATTTTAAAATTCATATGGAACCAAAAAAGAGCCCATATAGCCAAGACAATCCTAAGCAAAAACAACAAAGCTAGAGCCATCATACTACTTGACTTTAAACTATACTACAATGCTACAGTAACCAAAACAGCATGGTACTGGTACAAAAACAGACATATAGACCAATGGAGCAGAATAGATAACTCAGAAAGAAGACCACACACCTACAACCATCTGATCTTCAACAAAGCAAGCAATGGGGAAAGGATTCCTTATTTAATAAATGGTGCTGGGAGAACTGGCTAACCAAATGCAGAAAATTGAAGCTGGATCCCTTCCTTATATCTCATACAAAAATTGATTTGAGATGGATTAAAGACTTCAATGTAAAACCCCAAAACTATAAAAACTCTAGAAGAAAATCTAGCAATACCATTCAGGACATAGGCACAGGCAAAGATTTTATGATGAAAATGTCAAAAGCAATTGCAACAAAAGCAAAAATTGACAAATGGGATTGAATCAAACTAAAGATCTTCTGCACAGCCAAAGAAGCCATCATCAGAATGAACAGACAACCTACAGAATGGGAGAAAATTTTTGCAAACTATGTATCTGACAAATGTCTAATGTCCAAAATCTACAAGGAACTTAAACAAATTTACAAGAAAAAAACAAACAACCCTATTAAAAAGTGGGCAAAGGACATGAACAGGTACTTCTTAAAAGAAGACATTTATGTAGCCAACAAGCATATGAAGAAAGCTCAACATCCTTGATGTGTTTTCATGTACCCTCTTCCACCCACTGCTTCAAGACTTATCTGTTTTTCATGTCTGTGCAGGGGAAAGCTGGGGGAAGAAATAGAGTGTCTGATTAACTTGCAAACAGGAGAACACCAAAGAGTCAAGAGGTGTTCACTGCAAAGAGAGGATGGTGCTAAGAGGAAGAGGCATCCATCACTAATTTGGAAAAATCCTTGGCCATTATAAATTCAAATATTTTTTCTGCTCCATTCTTTGTTACTTCTTTTATTCTAAGAAGGCATATGTTATACTCATGCCTTTGGAAAATGTCCCACAGCTATTGAATATCTGTTATTTTACTGTTTTATTCTTCTTTCATTTTGCATTTTAGTTTGGGGGAGGTCTCTGTACTATCTTCTTTAATTTCAAAATATAAAGTTATATAAAATAGACTCAGTTTGAACTACAAAGTGCCAATAAAAAAAGAAAGAAAAGAAATGATGAAAGATGTAAAAATCTTTTGAGAAGGTGACATAATTGAATGTAGGCAAGTAAGATGTAACATAGATGTAATAAGAATCCTTTAAGAAAAAATAGAAGCAAGAACAGAGCAAATAGTAAACACTGTAATTTAAGATATTTTCTAAAAATTGAAAACAAAATGATTTTAACCTAAATAATGAAATACTACATATCTGCAAATATTGACCCAGAATGACCAACATAAAAATATTCTAGTAAAACAACTAAAATTTAGAAGCTTCTAGTCACAAAGGGTCTGTGACTTAGAAGAAAATGTATTGGGCTATCATCAGGCTTATGAAAAAGAATGCCAGAATAAGACAGACTAACATAGTCAGGAAGGTCAGGGAAAGAGAAAACCGAGCTTCCAGTGTCAAAGGCACACATTATAATCAACATATAAGAATCTGGGGAATATTATTTCTGTGAGCCTTTCCTGAGAATTCTACTAGAGAAAGAACTTTAGAAAACCTGTGTAAGAGTGTTAATGGTGGTAAACATTGAATGTGTAATTATTTGTGGACATCTAAATGAAGGTTAAAAGTGAGTGATTAGATGTCCAATGAGACTGTGGTGTGACAATGCAGATTTAATATAGCCATTTAAAAACTATGGAAAATGGAGATATCTATTAAAAACCAATGGTTTCCAGTGATTATAATCAGTAGTGGGAGAATTAGCAGTGTTATTTTGAGTTTATTATATGTGTAATGTAGAATTACAAATGGTAATTATGAGATATTCTAATTCTGTTGTCCCCTGTGTCTTTGGGCACCAAGGTTTTCAGTGTGGAAGAAAAGAAATGTTAATATAATATTAAAAAGGTCAAATAAAGTCCTGCAGTCCTGAATTTGAATTGGGAATGGTAGTAGGAATTTACAAATTGTTTCAGCTTTATGTATAACAACAATAGATTAAACCGTCAAAAACTTAAATCCACGAATACATAATGATATTCCAAAATAAAATCGATGAATTCCTGAAGATGATAAGGAATCAATTCACTAGGTTGAAAATGGGGAAATGAAAGGATCTGCCTTCATCCTCTCTTTCCGCTGTGCTATTGATTAAGCAAAGTATAGAAGAGGGACTGCAAGCCCTAATAATGTCATTCATAAGGCTCCTGATGAAATGAAACACCACCAACCCTGATACTCTGATCATCATCTTCCTAAAGAGGTCCATCCCGAGTCTATTTGAGCCTCCAGATCTAGAGGCCAATGTGCAAGGAATACAGAGGGCAAAGGAAATGCTGAACTCAATTTGAGTTTGAATTAACAAAGCCAGACTGTGGGAGAGTACAGGTTAAGTAACCTGGATTTTCCAACACATAAATTGTAAGAGTAAGAGTAGATTGAAAGGCTCAAGAACAAAAAAAAGACATTTTGAAAATCAACTAAGCCATAGAGTGTACAGAAGTACACCAAAGTGAAAAAACTGGGAATGGACACACTAACTGTGAAATTCTTATCCTTGAAGTTCACATGAGCTCACTTTGGCCAGTGGAAGTATCTGCCAGTGGCTCCTGAGCCCTCCTGACATGAGCTTGTGACCACTTTCTTGCATTCTGATAAGACAAGATGCTCCAGGTTCAACTTGTAGAGATCCTGGTGTAGACCTAGAATCAGCCAGGTCTCCAAAGAGCCTGGGTGCCATTCGGTTGGCAATACTAGTTTAAAATCACAAGCGGGGTGCTAGTTTTCTAGTCCTTTACTGTGAAGAGGGCTAGGGCTTTTTAGAGATAAATACATCATGAGTTTATACTAGTACTTTCAATTCAAATTCAGGACTATAGGTTTTTTTATATAACCTCTTCTGTGTTATATTTTTATCTACTTTCTCCCATGCTGAGTACCTTATGAAGACCTATTTAGATGCTAATGAGCCTTGTCTGATAGAGACAGGAACAACAGTGTGGGGGTTAAATTCACAGGCTTTGGATTCAGAATGAACTGCATTCAAATACTCCACTTAATTTGGGCAAGTTACCAAAGTATTTTAAAGGATTCGGTGTTCTGATCCATAAACAATAATACTTCTATCATAGTGTTGTTATGAAAATTACAATTAACCTAGAAGATAAATACTTCCTTTAAGGGCGTCTTGAAGGATCATGCAGCTGGATCTAATGATTGCATTCAAATTATTGCTTGGACTGTATGGCTCTTCCCATTTTAAAATGTCCGTAGGAGGTTACCAATGATTTCCTAGCAAGCAGACAATCTTGGGTTAAGTTTGAACTTCTGATGTGAGAGAACATAATTTCAATTAGCTAACTCCTAATTTTTCTATTCTACTAACTTCAAAATTCCAGCTAAATTGTAACAAAATAAAATTGCGCACTTAAAATTTGTTAAAATGTTACATTTTATATTATGTATATTTATCACAATAAAAATATGTATGATAAATATTTAAGTGATTGGAAAGTAAATATCTTTAAAAAATGAAATAAATGATAAAATTTTCTTTTTAAAAAATTTAACTATTGGATGCAAAAGTTAGGGATCAGATCTGCATTAAATATTATAAATATAGCTATTGTTAAAACAAGATAAATAATCAGATTTAGGATAGTAATGTTTGGGTTATACATTAGAATTGCAATTATTCATCCTATAAGAAAGAAAATAGTGCAAATAAATTAAATTTTTAACATGCAAAGTATTGCCATTGGACCTCAGTCAACTTCTGTCTCCATCTTTTCCTTGCATGAAACATAGCTGATAGTATTTTCTGTTTTTTTGTTTTTCTGGTGGCCCTTCTCTAGATGGGGGATGTTAATGGGAAAGCCTGTTGAGGAAAAGCCAAAAGGTAGTTTATGTGCCTGCAGATAGGAAGAGTAACTGCTGCCCTATGTGCTCCCATTCCCAGGAGAGCAGTTGAGTATTTGGAGACACTCAGGACCATTCTCCTCTGCCCCACTGTCTCTGCGGGAACTCATACATTCCAGGGAGGAGAATAGTGGACTCACATTAACCCCAAGAAACTCTTCTGTGAAAGCGAAGCATATCTTCTTGATTTCCAGAAGGCAAGCACAAGCTTAGCCTTGGGAAAGAGTTCTGCAAGATGCTCCCTTTTTGAGGACTGGGAAATTCATGTGTGGGAGTAGCGGAGAGCAGGACACCAGGTGCTGCTTGATCAAGATGGCAGTAAACAGATCATCAGAAGTGAGATTTTATTTTTCCATTTTAAGGAGTTTCATGTATGTTATCTTTCAATAGCTCTCAATTCCGGGATGCTCTGCTGCTCAGGGAGCACATCAGATTTTTGGTTATTTCAGTGACTGGAGAGAAATTCCTGGCATATACTGAGCAAGATGCTTGCTAATAAGGCTTCAGCATAGAAAAATAGTCCTGCCATAGAAAGACTACTGCTGCCCGAAATGTTTCCCTCGACAAACTCTGATAGATGAACAAAATTTAATTTCTTTTAGTTGCTTGACATAAACCTTGATCTTTTAATGGTCTTTCCTGCTGTCAATTTTTTTGAAATAACAGAAGACTGAGAGCATTTATAGAAATATTTAGTTTTATGCAGGTCAGAAGCACTGTGCTATGCCAGGAATCAGTGAAAAAAGAGAGAAGTACAAAGCCTGGTGCTTTTGCTGTCAAACACAGGTCCTCAGCTGAAGCATGAAATTATCAAAATTGTTTTTTTCCTCTTTCATCTTCATTTATTTACATCTTCAGAGAATAGAGACAGTTTCTGAAATTTTCTTGTGAATACCAAAATTTTATGTTAATAAATAAATAATACGCAAATAAATAATATCCACAGTAACCATGCATACGGCAAATTGATTAGTAACTGTTTTCACATTGAAACCAGCTATAATGAAAGAACTGATTATCATTAAGTATTCAATTGCTTTTAGTATTTGAGATATCGGATGTTAGAACTAAGCTTAGAAGTCTAGTTTGGTAAAGATGAATCATTTTTTATTTATTCTTTCACTTGCTGTTTTCCCTGTTTATAACAATTTATTTTCCTATTCTTCTTAATGTTCTTGTATGTCTATGATCGCTTGTTAGTGTGCTGTAAATTTTTAAGAGTGTAAAGAATATAATCTCATATTCTAAGGAAATGAGGAATTGTGTAAAATTGGTTTTAAAAACTCATTGACCTTTCAAATTACTTTTGAGCTCAGAAGTAGAATTGGCTATAAGCGTACACTCCTTTTGGTCCATTACTGAACCACAGTGATGACTTGTGCAATAGAATTTTAGTTCCGGGATGACCGTTTGAAATGATTTTACCCATCTCCCTCATCGCATGTGTGATATCATTCGTTCTGCATGGAAAGTTGTGTCTAATCAAACTATTGGATTTCTACTTTCCTGATTGGTAACTCCAGGGAAGAGATTTCCCATGGAGCTGGGTGGAGGTGAGGATGGGGGGATGTTTTCAGGATGAAACTGTTCCACAGATCATCAAGCATTAGATGATTCTTAAAAGGAGCACGCAACCTAGATCCCCCGCGTGTGCAGTTCACAGTAGGGCTCCGCTGCCATGAGAATGGAATGCCTCTGCTGTTCTGACAGGAGGCGGAGCTGGGCGGTAATGCTGGCTAGGCTGGGCTGCTCACCTCCTGCTGTGCGGCCCGGTTCCTAACAGGCCACAGACAGGCCCGGGGTGGGGGAGGGGGATCCCTGCTTTAGTTGAAAGGAGGTGAGTCCTTATATAAATAGAAACTAACAAGAGGAATCTTCAGAAAGTGGGAAAGCCAGTGAAGCTCGACAAATGACCTCGGGGAAAACGTCAGCATTCCTCAAAACCCCTCCCAGCACAGTAGTGCACTCCCAGCTCCCTGAGGGCCTGGCTCTAAGTCTGAGGAAACACACTCTCTCTCGAACTTGAACTTGCCAGAGAGAACTCAGGCACTGACTGTGACGACGCGGGTGGGGAGAGACTGTGCACCTACACGTGTCACTTCACAAAGGCCTCCAGGTAACAAGCACAAACCTGAGTCCCAGGAGGAAGAAGAACGGCCCCTGGGTTTTTTCGTTTGTATATTTGTTGTTGTTGTTTGCTAAAGAGCATATGATTTGTGAATTGGCAGTAAGAGAGACGGAGGATTTCTTTTCGGAGTTCCACCCTGAATACAGTCCTCTCAAAGGATGACTTAGACTGCTGCTGTGAGAGCTTGAATTTAATCACAGCCTCTGTCATCCTACTCCACCTTCAGGATGAGACCAGGTCCTTCTGAGCACATGCAGTGCCGTGCATGTGTGTGCGTATGTGTGTCTCAGTCATACAGGCCTAAGTCAAGGGATAACGTTACTCCTAATCTGCTTGTACACCTCCGCCCGCCTCCTGACCAGCGTGGTCTGTTTTGCTAGTCTAAATATCCACAGAGAAAACTGGTTCATGAGGAAGAATATCTGTTTAAGGCAAACCCCTCTCCACCCCCATATCAACCCACTCAGCTTCTCCGCTTTATGGATAAAAACTTAAAATGGAGGCTTTCTGTTAACTGCTTTCAGTCTTAAGGCAGAAACAACTCCATTTCATACATTTGGAACTTGGCACTAGCATCAAAACTGGGTCAGGGAATTTAAGCCTAAATCAAGGACCCAGCTCGGAAGCTTAATTTTAATAAATCCAGATTATGGGAATAAATATCAATGTGTATTCACTCAAAGATGAGTGTCTCTTTATAATTAAAAAATATCAGATTGTCACAATACATAGTGTTGTTTGATTTGCTATAGGTATGTTTGTATTTAGGAAAATTATAAAGTCATGGACAAAAAGAATCCCAGCCAATCTGCGATATTTATTACATCTCAGGGGAATGGGGAGTGTTCACCTAGTTTTTAATTTTGAGAAGATTTCTCAAATGCTGTTATTGATGCATCAGATCTTTGCCTAATGCAGGTATTACGTGACCTGATTGCATTACTACTAGTATTATATTAATTTGGGGAAGAGAAAATAGACATCAGATTTTTGTCTAATCATCACCTATGAGAAACTTTAATACCATGAGTACACTGTATATCTGCTTATGTAGTGTACATGTCTGTGCTTCATACGAAAAGAAAAAGACTAAGTACAAACCTTACTAATTTTATTCATTGCCAGGTTAAGAATGACTAAATAAAATGCTTAAGTTAAAACTTAAAATTAAAAGCTATAACATTTAACTTTCTCTTTTTAGCCTAATAACTATTAATGTAATTTATTGCTTTATACAAACTGCAATGGATCACATTGTTTATAAATATATAATAATAGCAATGTAATATACATTTTAAACATCATTCATAACTGCTTTTTCCCATCAAAGGTGAATAATTGAAAAATTAATTTCTTCAAAAATTTAGTGAAGTTAACTTTTGCTTGATAAGAAAAGATACTTTTTAACTATAATTCATCACTGCTTTTTTTTTAGCACTTGACATAGTCAACAATGAGTTGAATAACATTTTTATAATTAAATGATAAAATACAAACAATTACATTTAATTCCCAAAGCCTAAGTCACACATAAAATCACTGAGATCATGTGAGAAGCAATGCTTACAAGGTGACCAGGGCAGCCAACAGCACAGGCCAGCTCTCCCCATGTGACTTTGAAATGGAGCAAGGGATGGAGAAGAAGCCCCCTACTCATGGCCATTTGCCACATTTTTGTAACATGACCTTGGATACGTTTTGGGTCTCTGCCAGGAACTCAGTGTCCATGCTGCTTTTGTGATATCTAAGAAAACTCAATAGGAGAAATTAAATACTAGAGAATAAGGTTGGTTCTCCTGCCTTAGTCTCCTGAGTAGCTGGGATTACAGGTGCCCACAACCACGCCCAGCTAATTTTTGTATTTTTAGTAGAGACGGGGTTTCACTAAGTTGGTCAGGCTGGTCTCCAACTCCTGATCTCAAGTGATCCACCTGCCTCGGCCTCCCAAAGTGCTGGGATTACAGGTGTGAGCCACCACACCCTGCCAGAGAAAATAAGGTTTTGTTGGGTAAGGTTGAGCTTTGGAGAGCCACAAATAAATATCATATCTAATAATTTTTTTGCTTCCGGAATTTTTACCTCCTAAGGAGTGATATTGCCTCTATTGAAAATGCATGCTGTAGTTATATTTATGTTATAAAACTGGAGTATTTTGATTTCCTTCTTTTATTTATCACATAATTATATTACCACTATTCTTAGATCAAAAGGAAGATTACTTGAATCTTCTATACTTTTCTACCTCAAAAAATGAAGCAAACAAACAAATTAGATCTGTTTACTTAAAAAATACTGTTTGGGACCTTGAATTCTGTCTTTTTCTGAATTACAGTCTATTGATTTAAAGCACAAATCTTCACCTTTACTTTGGAGTTGCCAACTACTCCCTAAGAATTCTGGAGCATCTCATCAAACCATTCCATTTCCTGAACTATTAAACTCCAGTGCCTCTCCTAGAATACAAACCCTCAGTTTTCCAACCTTAAGCTCACTTATTCTCCCTGTCCTTTTGTTCAGAAGGCCCTGGGCAGCCACATTTCCTTCCTGCCCTGATCCCATTAGTTTAACACTGGACCTGACTGTTCCCAGAATCCTTAACTCCCTCAGCACCTTATTTCTGTACTGTGCTCAATTCTACGAATCCTGATTTCATACCAGCGCTATCATCTGTTGCTTCATGGCAGTTAATCCCGAGAGAAAATTCTACAACTCTACTAAAAATTTACGTTTCTAGACTTGGTTGGGGCCTCAAACTACTAGTCCATCTCTTTACTTGTCCATGATTCTAAAGCTTTTTTACTCTAAAACCATCCTATTATAAATGGACACATGTATAAATGTATTAGATTCTCACTACAATTGTTGAGACAGATACCATTTTAATTGCTTTTTACAATTTTTATACGGAAGCTGGAGCACAGAAGGTGTGATTTACCCAAGGTCAAACAGCAAGTGACTGCCTAATGAGACTGGACTCCAGGCAGTCTAATCCCAGAGTCTATGCACTTAACTACATTGCCTGTCTAGCTACTGTTTGCCCAACTTTTAAGTAAATAGATCAACATATGCAACAATTTATTCCTTACAGGATTTATAGTCATCTGCTGCTTGAAAATTCAGGCAATGGAAAACTTATAAGGGGAACGAGGACTTTTGAGTTATGCTGGTTTAGATTCCTACCTTTTTTATCTCTCTTCCTTAAAAAGCTATTATTGGCTTTTAAAATCTTGTATTTTCGTGGAACCAAGATTCTGTAAAGGAATTTTGGAAAATAAAAGCACAAAAGTCTTTGCATGGAAATTTAGCCTAGACATTCCATCTGGGTGAGGTGGCATATATTCTCTGACATATTCATTTCCAATTATGAGATGAAAATAGGGAAAAGGGGATCTGGTCAGGCAATGGCTTCCTTATTGGAATAGAGGGAGACCCTTTCTTCCCCTGTTTCCTTAGCAATCGTTGGTTTCTGATATTGAGAGGATTTCATCTCCACTGGCATAAAGCATGGTTGAGGTTTTGTTTTTCAGATAATGAATTGCAGCCTTCTAGCCTTCCAAGAGACTTACTATTACCTTGACAAATTGCCCCATATGCTGCGTAACATAAAGAAAGCATGTTTGGCTGAACTGTGAATAGATTTTTTTCACCGTTATTCAGAAAGAGCATATTGAGCAGACAGAAGTAGCTAGTGGTGAAGTCTCCTTAATTGTCCACTGATACCATATGGGAAGTCTAGGACCTATACAGTGTGTGGGTCAAAAAAGAGCATCACACAGGGACACTGTGACAGGACAGGAGATTGGAGTTGGATCTGTAATCCAACTGTCTTCAAATGGTATAACAAAAACTCTCCCAGGTATGAAACAGGCATTAGGGACTGCGCAGGTGAAAGACTTCCCTGCAAAATGTGGAGAGTTTGACTGAAATGGTCAGTGATTCAAAGAAATCCATATGCAACTGGATTGGTAGATATTCTTCTACTTTACAACCTTTATTCCTCCCTCCAGAGAAGTCCCTAAGTCTGCTGTATGCACATTTTATTCATATATACATTAAACATATATAACTATATACATCTATGTGCAAGTAGATGTATATACACACATGATGTAAACATGCATACATTGTCTCAGCTGGATTGAAAGGCAGGAAAAAGAGAGGTCATTATAATAAAACAGGCCAAGGGTAAAAATCGAATATAATTTTTCTACACCTGTGAAAACAAAGTATTGCAGAATTCTATTTTCTAATAGTCTTAGTTCTCTTCTGAGAAGAATCCAGGAACCCAGGCTGGTTTTCCCATGTGAAGAGCTCACCTTTGGCTTCGGGCTGGTGTCCCGCTCTCAGATTCAGAACTTGGCTTGGACCAGGATGATGAGAACAGCGGCATTTTGCAGAGAATGCTTTGTCATAATTAAACAAAAGAGACCAAGATATGATGTCAGAATAGCAAGCGACATCTTAGGAGATGCAGAATCTTCTCAGCAGGCTGGCTGGTATAGCTGCAGGGTGACCCCAGTCCTCCATCTGCACAGATGTCGGGGGCTGCCCGCGGAACATGGGCTCAGAGTGGGAGTAGTTAGTTGCACAGGCCCAGTGTCCAAGGGCCTCAGGCCGAGGGGACAGCTGCAGCCACTGCATTCCAGGCTGGCTTTCCTTGCCACTGCTGCTCGGGGAGTGGGGTCTAACCAAGTGATGGAGCTGTTTGCTGCTGTCTCTCACTTTTTCCTGGCTTCCAAACCTGGCCAGACACTTGACTGACACACATACTCTTACGGTAATCTGGTGTGGGCGACCAGTTAGCAGCTCAGCCTGCCGGTCTGTCTGTCTTCAAGGCGCTCTCGAGGTTCTTTCTTCACCTTGCCTGATCTTTAGGGACTTTAAGAGGCTCATCTGATGTCCCTTCTTTTCAAGTCTTTGGGAAAAGCCTGTCTATAGTCTAAATGCAAATACCACAGATTAGTTACTAGTAGATCATGTGCTAAATTATTCAAGTAATTTAATTACTTAATGGGAAGAATAACACCCTCCCCCTCTTTTGGGAGGGAGTAGACCTTGAGGAGGTCAGCACATACCCAAGTCTGATACATTTTTAATGTGAGAGGTGTGTTAGTAGTGAGAGGTGAAGCCAGCTGGACTTCCTGGGTCGAGTGGGGACTTGGAGAACTTTCCTGTCTCACAAGAGGATTGTAAAACGCACCGATCAGCGATCTGTAGCTAGCAAGAGGTTTGTAAAATGCACCAATCAGCGCTCTGTAAAAATGCACCATTCAGCGCTCTGTAGCTAGCTCAAGGTTTGTAAAATGGATCAATCAGTGCTCTGTAAAATGGACCTATCAGCACTCTGTAAAATGGACCAATCAGTGCTCTGTAAAATAGACCAATGGGCACTCTGTAAAATGGACCAATCAGCAGGACATGGGCGGGGACAAATAAGGGAATAAAAGCTGGCCACCCCCCAGCCGGCACAGGCAACCCAGGTCTCCTTCCACATTGTGGAAGTTTTGGTCTTTCATTCTTCGCAATAAATCTTGCTGCTGCTCACTGTTTGTGTCCGGCCCATCTTTAAGAGCTGAAACACTCACGGCAAAAGTCCGCAGCTCCATTCTTGAAGTCAGCAAGACCACGAATCCACCGGAAGGAACCAATTCTGGACACAATAGGTAGAGAAGAATTCTTACCACTGTATGTTTATAAGAGTGCATTTAATTTTTTAAAACATTTTTCTTCTGTCTCTTCTTTACTGTTATTGCTAATGCTCCTTCCTGTGGGCTTTTTCTCAAGCCTTTCTAGGTTTTCAATATTCTTATGACTACTATTCCCACTCCCTGAAAAAAAAAGCAGGACTATCTCAGAGCATTTCCCCTAGCAGGTGTGCAGTCCATGGCGAGGCTGGGCCTCTCGGGCCAGTGGAGTAGCCATGTTTATGACATGGTTTCACTTCTTACACCATCAGGCTCTCTTGGTCCTGCGTGTCTTCTGCTTTTTAATCTGTGGAGACAAGTGATCTCTATGTTCTCATGCCTTACCATGCCCCACACAGAGCCTACCATCGAAACAGATCACCCTGGTTCATGTAACTACTAAACATCAGTGTTTTCTTAATTAGCGCAGCTATAAAGATTTATCATCTCTTGGGAGAGTAAGAGTGAGTCTGATTAAATAGTTCTTTGCAGAACAGCCACATATGACAACTGAGCTTTTGAAAATGTGTCTAGTGCCACAATTGAAAATGCTATTACATTGAATATATTGGGACAAATGAAATAGCTTGTAAAAATTAATTTTACTTGATTAATTTTACTTTATTTTTTAAAAATTGGGTCATTAGAAAGTTTTAAATTGCACAGGTGGCTTAGAGTGTCTTTCTTTGGATGGCACTGACTTAGAGGGTTGTAGTTAATTCTACCTTTGGAATTTACTGGTGAAACCCATTTGGTTACTGGACGAGACCACTGAGATGGGTTCTTGTGAAGCACCCTTACTGGTACCACTCTTTGCTCTGATCTAAATGTTCTGGCTGGGTGTTTGTTTCCCAGGGCTACCTGGTTAATTGACAGTTCTCAGTCATTGCTTATTCTTGCTCACATAGAAACTAGTACAAATAAATTCCTTACACACAGACATATACTAACTAGATGCAACCAAAAACGCACATGCACAAATAACTCTATAACTTACTAAAATCAATAATGAATTAAAAATGTCTATCATACTCATCTTTTTTATTATAATTATCTATTTCCTTTTTCTTTTCTTTTCTTTTCTTTTTTTTTTTAAGATAGAGTCTTACTCTGTCACCCAAGCTGGAGTGCAGTGGTACGATAGCCCACTGCAACCTCTGCCTCCCAGGTTCAAGTGATTCTCCTGCCTCAGACTCCTGAGTAGCTGGGATTACAGGCACCCGCTACCATGACCAGCTAATTTTTTTTTTTTTTTTGTATTTTAGTACAGACAGGGTTTCACCATGTTGGCCAGGCTGGTCTCGAATTCCTGACCTCAAAGTCCTGAGATTACAGGTGTGAGCCACCATGTCAGGTATCTCTTTACGTTTTTAAATCAATAGTTCTCTTTTGTCATTATGAGATCATGCCTCATCAATTTAATTAATATAAGTTAATATGCCATTAACTATTATTATTTTGATGTTTCCTCAAATTGTCCAAATTTGGCTGTCTACTTTCAGCTCTTCCAGTAATAGTCTTAAAGGGTGGAAGCTCCAGATTTTCTGGAAACATCTTAAATTTTTACATGAATTATGTAATTATGAATTATGAGATAAATACCCATCAGGAAGTCCTGATCTCTTCCAGGGGAGGAGAGGATTAGAGATCAATATCTGGGCTCATGAGAGCTGGTATTGGGTAGAGAGCTGTCCTTGCTGCAGCTGCTATATTTGGAAAATATATTTTGTGTTAATGACTTGGAAAAGACCATTTCTTTTACATTTTTATTTCACATTGATTTTCCAGTTTGATATATCTATTTGTTAGAGAATAAATGTAATAAATGGTTTCATCTGTAGAAAAGACTGAGTTCTCTACTAATTCATATGATGACATTGCTCTCTTCTCCGTATTTGTTTAAGTATAGAGGGAAAATGGAGAGGCAGAGAGTTGAGAACACACACACACTCACACATATATACATGCAATGCTCGTGTGACTCCACTGCCCCAAAAAGCAGGATCTAGGTCTTTCAAACACCTGTAAGGAAAGCCTCAGCAACTTGAATTTATATTTAAGATTCAGTGGATCAAGATTTTCACAAGTCAAATAGGTGCTGCCTGACTGCAGAGTGATAGTCACGTGAGTAGTTCCTATTATTTCTTCAATTGTGATTAGGAGCACTTCCTGGGATGTGTCTAATTTTACCACAGATCACCTCCTGTCGCACTGATTATATAAAACTTCCAGGATTTAGCTGGGACTTGGGGAAATGTATCTCATTGTGGATGAGAAAATGACTTCTGTATTTTATATACATATATCTCTTCTCTCTCCATTTCTGTCATATTGAATCTTTGAATCTGTATAACAAAATGCAACTTCCATACTTTATTTCCTTTAATTTTCTTGACTCTCCTCTGAGCCAGATATTACCCTCTCTGTTTTTTGTGTGAGAAAGCTGGGGCCCAGATTGGTTAAGGACTTGCTCAAGAACTTACAAAGAAGTATCAATTCTCTTTGAAGTTTCCTCATCCTAATCTTTTTAAGAAAAACCACAGAACCTACCAGAAAACTACTAGATGTTGACTGGTTCATACCTCTAGAGTTTGAACCCTAGCCAGTTGCTCCTTCTGAAAACTGAATCATTTCCAGATAATTCACAACACACCTGTAAAAGAAAGGGCACACACAAAAGGGTTTCTGGACACAGCCCAGAAAATGTGAATAAAGCAAATTTTTCAGCCATCTACTGAGGCTACTTGATTAGCTTGGCTTGGAGTGAAGTACTAAGAATCATATGTTGGAACTCAATATTGCTGCCTGATAGTCTAGCAAAAAAAGGTGTGTTGATCCCAAGAAGATGGAATTCCTAGATGAAGATGGTTAAAAGCATCTTATCTGCCCAGAACAAGTGTGCTTGTGGATGGGTTTTGAGTTGTTTCTGAAATTAGCAATTTTTCAAGGATTGCACTTTATTTTTAGTTCTTCTTCATTATATTTGCTAGTATTATTTCATTTTTCAACTCATGATTTTCTTTTCTCAATGGTAAATCTAAAGTAGCTGTCACTCCAAACATTGTTAGTTTTCTTCCATTAAAGGATATTAATAAAGAATTAGAGATAGTGTAGAAGTGAAAACAATGTAGATTCAGAGTTATACATGTATTCATTCATTTGACAAATATTTCTTGAGTCCCTGCTATGAGCCAGTTATTATTTTAGATGATGCACACAGCAATAAATAATGAGACAAAAGTCTTGTCTTTATGGAGTTGTCATTCTGATAGGGGAAGTGGACAAAAATGAGATAATAGGTAAAAGATGTAATAAGTGAAGTTGAGTAAAAGTAAAGCAGTGGGAGTCTAAGGGCATTGAGAGAGTGGCTGCAGTTGTGAAAGTTGGCCACAGAAGAGACTTGTTGTGAACATGATGCTCAGACAAAGGTCGGAATGGCGAAAGGGAGCCCTGCACATACACGGGGGAGAAGCTCAGGCAGAGGGAACAGCAAATGCACTCTCAAGGCAAGCGGCTGCCTGTTAGGTTTAAGGGTTAGCAAAGAAACTAGTGTTGCTGGAGCAAAGCAAGCACGTAGAAGAGAAAGTAAAAGAGCTAATGTGTGTGAGTGTGCAGTGAAGGGGGAAGGGGGAGCCATAAGGCTTCCATATTTACTTTGAATGGGGTAGGAAGGCCGTGGGAGGCTTAAGCAGAGAAGAGAGTGTTGAGTCAGGAACTGTGAAGGATCTGAACTTTGACCCTACTCACCTGCCACGATGTTTTACATGTATGCTGACCAAAGACGTGCACCGTTAATTACTCACAGCAAAGTCAGCAGCTGCAGAAACATCTTGCCGTTTCCTATGCCCCAAGCTCTGCAAGGAGTGTAGTGAGGACCTCACATAACTTGTATGGGTGGTGGGATCTAACGGGGCATCATGGCAGAGGAACCACACAGTTAGGTGACTGTGAGCTTTTATAGCGCTGCTATGTTTGCTTTTTTGCCTTTCCTCCTCTCTGAAGAGAGATGACTTACTACCCTGGAATGTAAGCGGGTATCTCCGGGAGGAAAAGAAGAGAGCTTTATCTTTACTACCGTGGATGTCTCTGTGGTGGTAGGTTCTTAAAATTTCTGTACAGGGATACACCACCTCTAGCTTCCAAAGCTGTCTACTATTTAAACATGTCTTTGCTCAGAAGGCCCAATCTTTGCAGAAACAAAAGTGATCCGTGGAATTGTCTCCCAACAGTCAACTCTCTCAGCACAACATGACAAGTTTTTAATAGCAAGCTCAGTGCTGGATGGAGAACAAAGTGGCAGAGGTGAGACAGAGTGGAGAGGGGAGACCAGTTAGGAGGCTATTATAAGGACTCCGAGCAGGGATGATGGTTTCTTTCAATTTGTCTGTCTACTGTTCATGTGAGATTGGCCAAGTGTCTTAAGCGCTTTGACTCTCAATTTCCTTGTGTGTACCATGTGGACAAGAGTACTTTCTAGGGCTGTTGTCGTTTATAAAGTAATGGACATCAAGTAATCCTGCATCTAAAACTTAGTATTTCTGTCCCTATTCATTTAAAGTAGCACCACTCATATTTCACTTTGGAAAACAAGCTACATGAAAAATGTTTGAATTGAAAATTAATACTTATTCTGGTAACTCAAGCATTGCATTAAATAAACAATACTAGACTTACCCATAATTACTTGATAAATCTTTACCACAATTATGATTCTCTGTGAAATCATAATGAATCTATGAATTTTATAATATAAATTTCATAATTAATCTATGAATTCTATGAATGAATCTATGCATTCATATGAATCTATGAATGAAATTCTATAAATGAATCTATGAAATCTATGAATTTTGTAATTTATGAATTTTAAATTCATAGATCTCTACAAAGAGTAAATTAAGCAATTTTCTTTGCAAAAATAATTTCATTTGCATCTTTATCAGAGAAATGTTCAAAAAAGATAAACCAAAATATTTTGGTGTATCTTTTAAAAAGAAATGTCTGAACATTTCTTTTGAGGTAATTATTATATTTCCAAGTTTAAAATATGTGATGTTTTGAAGGTTTATTTAAGATGGAGGAGTAGAAAAGATTCATCTACCCTACGTCTGGAAAGCAACAAATAACAAACAGAAAGTATAAAAGCAGAGGAGACATAGTTCAAAAAGCAGGAAACAGGCACAACACGACCCCAAATATGAATAATGAAGAGTGCCTGCCAACTATGTGCAATTTGGACCAAATTTACGGTATTTCCTCCTACCAGATGCATTGCAATACACCAGAAATAATGGCGGGTACAGATCTGAACACCCCACAGTGCTTCCTTGGTGGTCAGTGGACCTGCTATTTGCTCATAAAGGGTGAACTACTAAGAGTTTGAAATGCTGAGGACAAAAGGTATGCCTAGATGTGCCTCGGACATCATGCACAGCACAGTGGACCAGGAAATGATCAGACATAACAGCATTTCATTGAGATGGCTGATACACCTTGTCATTCCCTTGACACTTATTTTTCACTCTGTTTTCTGAAAATGCAGGTCCAGAAAGAAAAATTTTTCCTGAGTACTAGACAGAAGAGTGCCACTAGGAGATAGGAGTTTACATGCTGATCCATTAACACAGACAAAAAGCAAGAACCTAATACCCAAGTAAAATTCCTGCAAGGAAAAATGATTAAGGAACACAGTGCCTCGTTCCAGAAGAGATGACTGCCAAGCATTTGGCCCTCTCTGCCTTGACAAATAGAAACAAAGCCCAGTGATTACTGAGACCATCTGGCATTGGCACTCTTGCACACCCATGCAGAGCTCTTGATGGGACCCGTCTACCTTTGAGTGGAGCCCCCACCAACCCAGTTTCCTAGAGACCCTTCAACTGGCCACCAAGGCCACCTTCCCCGTGAGCCCCACTTTACCACTTGAGTTACAGGTCTTGGTAACATCCTTCCCAACTCCCCATTTGCCAATTAGACCCTATGGCAAAATGCACGACCACTGGCCAGAGGACCCTGCTGCACTTTGAGACCCATAAGCTCCCAGCATTGGCTAAAAATTATACACCCTTTCAGAGAAAATTACTGTCCTGTTCTTGGGCTTTTGTAAATATTGAACACGTAATCCATGGTTGTAAAATAATCTTAAAATTCCAAATCCCTATTATATTGTGAGTCTAAAAAAAGTCTCAAAATACTAAGTGGGAACAACTCAGATATTTTCTATAGTAAAACAAAAATGATACCCACAAGAGCAGGCATGACTTAGGCTAGCTGGGATACTGCAACTTCATGGAAAGATCTCAGGAGTGTCCCTTCACCTCCGCTGCACATCACCTAAGGAGATGCTGTCTCCACTGGCTCAGATATAGAGACCTCTCTTACCACACGTGGGCCTGCTTCACTGATGGCTCCTCCCAGGTAACCTTTGCTGGGCTGGAACAGGGTGTGCCTGTCATCTGGCCTAAAAGAAGCCTGTCTCTTACAGAGCATGGTAAGGGATATTCAGCTCCATGGCAGAGCTTTGTGGGGTTCTGATGGCTATACAGGCCACCCACAAAGGAGCCCTGTTGTGGTTTCGTGGACTCATGGGCTGTGGCTCAGCCCCAGACTGACGTCAAACAAGCCACCCTGTGGGGATGAGACATTTATATAAAAATTAGCTCCACTCCTAATAAACGTTTTGTTGCCAATGTAAATAGTCTCTAAAAAGGCTGCTGAGCCAACAAGAGAAAACATAAGCAATGAGCAGACTGCTTGCCAAGGAAATGAGGAGACTGAAGTGTCTGCCCCAGAGCGAGCAGATGTGTGACTGTTCGCCTCCTGGATCCACAGGAAGGTGGCCCAGGCATATCCAGACACTTGGTAGACTCGGCATCCAGCCACAATGGCCACTGTCCTCAGAAGCTGCTGGATCAGCATAGAAAAGCCATACTCCTTGCCAGACTCTGGCCTAGGCTACAAACACGGCCCAGGCATTCTTGGCAGGTGGATCCCACTGGGCCCTTCTTCCCACCTTTGGGGCTCCTCTGGATGCTGACTGTGGTTGACACTTTCTCCAAGTTCAGCCTCACCATCTCCAAACGTTTCACTGGCCTGGGCCACACTATTCAGGCCCTACAAGATCACGTTTGTTTCCTGATCAGGTTTCCTCAACACATTGCATCTGATGATAGCCAATCATGGGGCATGGAGTGGACTGTCTTATCTCTACATCACTCCCAAGTTGCAGAGATGATGAAATATTTTAATAAACGATTTACAAACAGGCTTAAGTGGCTGCTAAGAGGAGACTAACCCCAACCTGCAGTACACATCTCAGGTGAGCAGTGCCCCAAGAGGGCACTTCTCAGCTGTGGCACATAGTTGGATGGGCCTGGCTGCCCATCCTTTACCTGTGTGCCCTCCTACAGTCACTGGCCCTGTGGTTTCCGTGGAAGACCCAGCAGGGGCCTTCTATCCCCTTTGACCCATTTCTAAAGACTTTATATAAATTTTTTAAAAATGTTTTTTAAACAACAGAGAGTGAGAAGTTATGGAAACTCATTTAAAAATTTTTTAAAAAGTGAAACCTCTGTGCTAGCCAATTCTTAAACATGGTGTGTTTTCCTGCTTAAGTTATATAGAAATATTTTCCTGTGAAAATACTTTGTCTCTGTGACAATTCTCCCAAACAAAAAAATCTAAATAAAAATTAAAAAATAATTTTAAAGAATACGAAGTTTTTGTTAAAGAAGACACACTAATGACAGCAACAACCAACACCAAACGAAACACAAAACCCCAACTCCTAGAAAGGTACGGGGGAGAGAAAAAGACGTTAATAATCTTTGTTTTGTCAAACTACATGCCCTGTAAAGCTTTCTCCTCATTCCCATGCCTCCAAAACAAACAAAAACCAAAAACCTTGCCACACTGCCTCTCCCAGCAGCGGTGAGTGCTGTGGGTTCAGACAGACTGCTGAGCCTATACCCACGCCTGCAACCCTGACCCTGAGAGACAGTCTCAGCTGCCATGCAAAACATCTCCAAATGACATCTACACTCCCAAGGCTGATAAACTGATGTCACAGACAAACAAAACTGTGAAACCTACTGCCTCAGGCAGTTCCTCTAAAGCCAGGGACTAAATTATTCAGATGAAACTAAAAAGCCCAGGATAAGGGGCCCCGTGATAAAAGACTCCATTCAAAACCCTGTTAACTACTTCATTAATAAATGTCCTACTTGGGGTGCCATGACATTACAGACTCTTTATTTCCAAGCAGAGGAACCATGTGTGCCCTCTGGGATTACACTTCTCCTGTATGAATCTGATTTTCATGACAACGCTTCAGCCCTGGGAGACATACATGACAGCTTCATCTTACTGGTCAGAGCTCACTTGCCTCAGGCCAGCTAAAAAGGTTCATATAAAAACTTTTTTTTTTTAAGCTCTTAACTCTCTAAAGCAGAGCCAGATAGTCCAGGAGACATCTTTCCTGGTTTGGCAGACACTGTATTGAGACACAGAGCTCATACTGAGACCCAGTCCTCCAGGTGGGCCTCATCATCCTACGTAGAGTGACTGTGATCCCAGTCTGGGTCTTTGGTCCCCTGTTGGCTCTAATTAATTACCCAGTCCTTGACAGAGCCCCTCAAAGTCTAACCTATTCCAGTCCATGATAAAATAGCCCATGTTTCTCACTTCAGTCCTAAAAAATCCAGGAGTCGAGTGGAAGAGGTGAGGCCAGAACCCTCTGTGTCATCTCTCGGGTCCCACGTGGGCAATCACAGAGGCACTGCACAGCAGACTTGGGGGCCCTGCCCTGCCCACATCAGACTGGGGGGCCTGCCAGGGCATGGCAGGCTCTGCAGGGAGCTGCAGTCAAGGACTCAGGCCTCCTGCCCAGCCATGCTGTCATTCATAGCTATATTTCCAGCCCAAGTGGCCATATATGGAGGCCAGCTGCAGAGGCATCCTCAGGCATTTTGAACAAGACCTTCTTCTGAGGGGAGGGGTGACCTGAAAGACACTTGCCCTACTCCAACTCAGAACTCAGTGCTCTTCTACTCCTAGGCTTCCCCCAAGCCCTGCTCTCAGCCCCCAGGGCCCACAAAACTGCAGAAGCCTTTCGTGTGGGGCTCCCTCCAAAGTGAGATGACCCCCTAGACCTTCACGTCTGGGCTGGTTCACCTGACCCTCTACCCACAAGCTGTTCTATGGGAGACAAAGAGAACAAGGGGAGGATCAATGCCTTCCCTGATTTAGCCTCTTGGATGGAAAATTCCAGAGTCTTAAAAAAACTCAGTTGAAAGATGCAAAGTCAACATACAAAAACCAGTCATCTCTGTATATACTAGCAGTGGAAAATTGGAAACCAAAATTAAAAGCACCATACCATTTATTTTCATGCGCGTCCCTGTGAAGAGACCACCAAACAGGCTTTGTGTGAGCAATAAAGCTGTCTATTTCACCTGGGTGCAGGCGGGCTGAGTCCGAAAAGAGAGTCAGCGAAGGGAGATAGGGGTGGGGCCGTTTTATAGGATTTGGGTAGGTAAAGGAAAATTACAGTCAAAGGGGGTTTGTTCTCTGGCGGGCAGGAGTGGGGGTCCCAAGGTGCTCAGTGGGCAGGAGTGGGGGTCGCAAGGTGCTCAGTGGGGGTGTTTTTGAGCCAGGATGAGCCAGGAAAAGGACTTTCACAAGGTAATGTCATCAGTTAAGGCAAGGACCGGCCATTTACACTTCTTTTGTGGTGGAATGTCATCAGTTAAGGTGGGGCAGGGCATATTCACTTCTTTTGTGATTCTTTAGTTACTTTAGGCCATCTGGGCATATACGTGCAGGTCACAGGGGATGCGATGGCTTGGCTTGGGCTCAGAGGCCTGACATTCCTGCCTTCTTAATAAGAAAAATAAAACAAAATAGTGTTGAAGTGTTGGGGCGGCGAAAATTTTTGGGGGGTATGGAGAGAGAATGGACAATGTTTCTCAGGGCTGCTTCAAGCGGGATTAGGGGCGGCGTGGGAACCTAGAGTGGGAGAGATTAAGCTGAAGGGAGGTCTTGTGGTAAGGGGTGATATTGTGGGGATGTTAGAAGAAACATTTGTCGTATAGAATGATTGGTGATGGCCTGGATACGGTTTTGGATGAATTGAGAAACTAAATGGAATAACAGAAGGAGAAATACAGGTATAAAAGGTCTAAGAATTGGGACGACTGAGGATATCTGATTAGAGAGTGCCTAAGGAAATTCAGCATAGTCCTGCCAGCAAAGATTATTTATTTACTTCAAGAGTTAAGAGTGGCAGTTTGGGGATAGCACCAGGAGATATCAGCTGTGAGGGCTTGGAAAAACAGTGTAAACCGGCAGTGTAAACAAGAGCAGGGCATGTATGAGTAGTTGAGAATGGTGAATAGGAGTATGACTAGACAGAAGGTAATAGGGATGACAAGTATTTTTTGGGGCACAATCTAAGTTGGTCTGGTGTCTGGAATGAGACTGGGGCCTAATAAAAAGGAGTGTCTATACGGAGCTTAAATGGGCTGTACCCTGTAGCATTCCGAGGACAGGCCTGAATTCTGAGAAGGTAAAGTGGTAAAAGTATTGTCCAGTCCTTTTTAAGTTGGTGACTGAGCTTGGTGAGGTGTGTTTTTAAAAGACCTTTAGTCCATTCTACTTTTCTTGAAGACGGAGGACCGTAAGGGATATAAAGGTTTCACTGAATACTAAGAGCCTGAAAAACTGCTTGGCTGATTTGACTAATAAAGGCTCGTCTGTTATCAGACTGTATTGAGGTGGGAAGGCTAAACTGAGGAATTATGTCTGACAGAACGGAAGAAATGACTGCGGTGGCCTTCTCAGACCCTGTAGGAAAGGCCTCTACCTATCTAGTGAAAGTATCTACCTAGACTAAGAGGTATTTTAGTTATCTGACTCAAGGCATGTTGAGTAAAGCTAATTTGCCAGTCCTGGGTGGGGCAAATCATCAAGCTTGATGTGTAGGGAAGGGAGGGGGCCTGAATAATCCCTGAGGAGTAGTAGAATAGCAGATGGAACACTGAGAAGTTATTTCCTTGAGGATAGATTTCCACGATGGAAAGGAAATGAGAGGTTCTAAGAGGCGGGCTAGTGGCTTGTACTATAGCATAACCTGCCTTTGCTGGTGTGTGGCGATTAGGCCTGGTGGAACCACCATCAATAAATCAAGCGTGATCAGGGTGAGGAACAGGAAAGAAGGAAATTTGGGGAAATGGGGTGAATGTCAGGTGGATCAGAGAGATACAGTCATGGGGGTCAGGTGTGGTATCAGGAATAATGTGGGAGGCCGGATTGAAGTCTGGGCCAGGAACAACGGTAATTGTGGGAGACTCAACAAAGAGTGAGTATAGCTGAAGAAGCCAGGAAGCAGAAAGTATACGTGTCAGGTATGAAGAAGAAAATAGATTTTGGAAGTTATGAGAACTGCAGAGAGTGAGTTGAGCACAGTTTGTGATTTTGAGGGCCTCTAAAAGTATTAATGCAGTGGCAGCCGCTGCACGCAGACATGAGGGCTAGGCTAAACAGTAAAGTCAAGTTGTTTGGACAGAAAGGCTATATAGGGTGTCGTCCTGGCTCTTGTGTAAGAATTCTGACCGTGCTAACCATGCCTAGGAGGGAAAGGAGTTGTTGTTTGGTAGAAGGTGCTGGGGTTTGAGAGATCAGTAGGACACAATTGGCAGGGAGAGCACGTGTGTTTTTATGAGAATTATGCTGAGATAGGTAACAGATGAGGATGAAATTTGGGCTTGATTGAAGTAATGGGGGCTGTCTGTGAAGCTTTGCGGCAGTACAGCCTAGGTAATTTGCTGAGCTTGATGGGTGTCAGGCTCAGTCCAAGTGAAAGCGAAGAGAGGCTGGGATTAAGGGTGCAAAGGAATAGTAAAGAAAGCATGTCTGAGATCTAGAACAGAATAATGGGTTGTAGAGGCAGGTACTGAGGATAGGAGAGTATATGGGTTTGGCACCACGGGGCGGATAGGCAAAACAATTTGGTTGATAAGGCGCAGATCCTGAACTAACTTGTAAGGCTTGTCTGGTTTTAGGACAGGTAAAATGGGGGAATTGTAAGGAGAGTTTACAGGCTTTAAAAGGCCATGCTGTAGCAGGCAAGTGTTAACAGGCTGTAATCTTTTTAAAGCGTGCTGCGGAATGGGATATTGGCGTTGAGTGGGGTAAGGGTGATTAGGTTTTAATGAGATGGTAAGGGGTGCATGATCGGTCACCAAGGAGGGAGTAGAGGTATCTTATACTTGTGGGTTAAGGTGGGGGGATACAAGAGGAGGACACAAAGGAGGCTTTGGATTGGGAAGAAGGGCGGCAATGAGATATAGCTGTAGTCCAGGAATAGTCAGGGAAGCACATAATTTAGTTAAAGTGTCTCAGCCTAATAAGGGAACTGGGCAGGTGGGGATAACTAAAAAGGAGTGCTTAAAAGAGTATTGTCCAAGTTGGCAGCAGAGTTGGGGAGTTTTAAGAGGTTTAGAAGCCTGGCTGTCAATACCCACAACAGTTATGGAGGCAAGGGAAACAAGCCCTTGAAAAGAAGATAATGTGGAGTGGGTAGCCTCCGTATTGATTAAGAAGGGGATGGGCTTACCTTCCACTGTGAGAGTTACTGGCAGCTCGGCGTCCGTGATGGTCTCGGGGGCTTCCGAGGCGATCGGGCAGTGTCAGTCTTCAGCTGCTAAGCCAAGATCTGGGAAGGAGTCAGTCAGAGAGCCTTGGGCCAGAGTTCCAGGGGCTCTGGGAGTGGCTGCCAGGTGAGTTGAACAGTCAGATTTTCAGTGGGGTCCCACACAGATGGGACGTGGCTTAGGAGGAATCCCAGGCTGCGGGCATTCCTTGGCCCAGTGGCCAGATTTCCGGCACGTGTAGCAAGCTCCTGTGGGAGGAGGTTCTGGAGGAACGCCTGGCTGCTGCGGTTCAGTCGTTTGGAAGTTCTTGTGTGCTGGAGATGTGGCTGGGGTTTGTCTCACAGTGGAGGCAAGGAATTGCAACTTTTTTCTATTATTGTACACCTTGAAGGCGAGGTGAATTAAATCCTGTTGTGGGGTTTGAGGGCCGGAATTTAATTTTTGGAGTTTTATTTAATGTCGGGAGCAGATTGGGTAATAAAATGTATATTGAGAATAAGACGGCCTTTTGAGTTTTTAGGGTCTAGGGCTGTAAAGAGTCTCAGGGTTGCTGCCAAATGAGCCATGAACTGGGCTGGATTTTTATATTTGATGAAAAAGAGCCTAAACGCTATCCGATTTGGGATAAAGAAAAAGGAGCATTAACCTTGACTATGCTTTTAGCCCCAGCCACCTGTTTAAGAGTAAATTGCTGGGCAGGAGGGGGAAGGCTAGTCACGGAACGAAACTGTAAGCCGGACCAGCTGTGAGGAGGGGAGGCGATAAAAAGATTATAGGGTGGAGGAGCGGAGGCTGAGGAAGAATTGGGACCTAGCTCGGCCTGGCGAGGAGCAGCCTGGGGAGGAAGGGAGAGGTCAGATGGGTCTGTAGAAAAGGAAGATTAGAAAGACTCAGTGACGCTTGGGGTTGGTACTGAGGGGACAGGCGGGAGGGAAAGAAGGAAGATTTTGGACGAGTTGCACTGGGCACAGAGACTAGGAAGGGACCGATGTGTAAAAGAATGCCTGGACATCAGGCACCTCAGACCATTTGCCTATTTTACGACAAGAATTATTTAGATCTTGCAGGATGGAAAAATTCAAAGTGCCATTTTCTGGCTATTTGGAACTACTGTCGAGTTTGTATTGGGGTCAAGCGGCATTGCAGAAGAAAATAAGGCATTTAGGTTTTAGGTCAGGTGTGAGTTTAAGAGGTTTTAAGTTTTTGAGAACACAGGCCAAGGGAGTAGAAGGACGAATGGAGGGTGGAAGGTTACCCGTAGTGAAGGAGGCAAGCCCAGAGAAAAGAGTAGAGACACAGAGAAGGGGTGGGGGGTTCTTGCCCTCCAGAAAAGCAGAGAAGGGGTGGGGGCACGGAAATAAGGGATTGGGGCACAGAGATAAGAGGTCAGGGTGCAGAAATAAGGGATTGGGGCACAGAGATAAGAGGTTGGGGTGCGGAAATAAGCGATTGGGGGCTTCTTGCCCCCTAGGAAAGCAGGACTTGCCGCTAAGGGTGAAGGACCAAGGCAGGTGTCCCTGCGTGGTCTGACACCCTTGAAACGTGAGTGTGTAATCAGAGAGGTGTCCCTGCAATGATTAAACACCAAGGGAAGCCTGCCTTCCCAGTCCGGGACTGGCGCTGGAGTTTTGGGTTCATGGATAAAACATGTCTCTTTTGTCTCTACCAGAAAATGAAATGAATTGAAATTAAGAGAAGGGAGAGATTGAAGTGTGGTGCCAAGATTGAAAGGAGAAAGAGGTTGAGGGATAGTGAGGGAGGTTGGAGAAGAGAGTAAAAAGAGGCCGCTTACCGGATTTGAAATTGGTGAGATGTTTATTGGGCTGGTCGGTCTGAGGACCTGAGGTCGTAGGTGGATCTTTCTCACGGAGCACAGAGCAGGAGGACAGGGGATTGATCTCCCAAGGGAGGTCCCCCGATCCGAGTCACGGCACCAAATTTCATGCACGTCCGTCTGAAGAGACCACCAAACAGGCTTTGTGTGAGCAATAAAGCTGTTTATTTCACCTGGGTGCAGGCGAGCTGAGTCCGAAAAGAGAGTCAGCGAAGGGAGATAGGGGTGGGGCCGTTTTATAGGATTTGGGTAGGTAAAGGAAAATTACAGTCAAAGGGGGTTTGTTCTCTGGCAGGCAGGAGTAGGGGTCCCAAGGTGCTCAGTGGGGGTGTTTTTGAGCCAGGATGAGCCAGGAAAAGGACTTTCACAAGGTAATGTCATCAGTTAAGGCAAGGACCGGCCATTTACACTTCTTTTGTGGTGGAATGTCATCAGTTAAGGTGGGGCAGGGCATATTCACTTCTTTTGTGATTCTTTACTTACTTCAGGCCATCTGGGCGTATACGTGCAGGTCACAGGGGATGCGATGGCTTGGCTTGGGCTCAGAGGCCTGACATTTATAGTTACTAAAAAACCCAAAAAGGACATAGCTAAAATATATATTCTAAAAAAGCCTTCTCAGATTCTGTTTAGTGAAAACTACAAAATATAAATGAAATAAATCAAAGAGTAACAAAATAAACGGACAAACATACTGTGTTTATCTTCATAGTAAAGGTGTCAGTACTTCCCAAATCTGTAAGTCTAATGTAATTCTTATCCAAATCCCAACAGAATTATTTGTAGATATAGAAAAGCTGATTAGAAAATTTACGTGGAGAAGCAAATGAGAGAGATCAAATAGTTTCAGAAAAGACTAATGCAGGAAGGATAACATTATGCAATTTTTTTTATTGTGGTAAAATATATATAACAAAATTTGCCGTTTTTAAGTATTTTAAGTGTATAACTCAGTGGCATCAATTATATTCGCAATGTTGTACATTTATCAACACTATCTACAGTTATTTCAAAACATTTCCATCACTGTAACAGAAACTTCACACCTATTAAGTGATACATCTCCATTCCTCCCTATCACAGCCCCTGGTAATCTATAATCTGCTTTCTTTATCTATGAATTTGCCTATTCTAGGTACCTTATATAAGTGAAATCACATAATATTTCTTCTTTTCTATTTGGCTTTTTAAACTTAGAATAACATTTTCAAAGTTCATCTATGTTGTAGCACATGTTAGCATTTCATTCCTTTTTAAGGCTGAGTAATATTCCATTGCATAAATAGATTGCATTTTGTTTACACATCTGTTAGTGGACACTTAGGTTCTTTTTACATTTTATAATGCTGCTATGAACGTGGTGTACAAGTATCCATTTGAGTCTCTGTTTTCCGATCTTTTGGTTATATTACTAGGCAAGGAATTGGTAGGTCACATGGTAATTCTATGTTTAACTTTTTGAGAAACTGCCAAATTGTTTTCCACAGTGCCTTTACCACTTGACATTTTAATCAGAAATGTGTAAGAACTTCAATTTTATTGTATCTTTGTCAACGCTTGTTATTTTCTGTTTTTGCTTTCTTTTATTGTAGTTGTCCTTGTAGTTGTGAAGTGGTATTTCATGATTTTAATTTGTATTTTCCTAATGGCTAATGAAATTGGCAATTTTTCATTTGCTTATAAGCCATTTATTTCTTCTTTGGAGAAATTCTATTCAAGTCCTTTGCCCAATTTTTAATTGAACTGTTTGCTTTTTGGCTGTTGAGTAGTAAGAGATTTTATATATTTTTGGTATTAGGTCCTTAGCAGACATGTGGTTTGCAGTTTTTTCCATTCTATGGTTTGTCTTTTCACACTCTTCATAGTGTCCTTTGAGTCACATAGATGTTTAATTTTAATGAAGTTTCATTTATCTTTTTTCTTTTGTTGTCTATGCCTTTGATGTTGTATTTAAGAAAACATTGCCAAATCCAAGGTCATGAAGGTTTGTCCTTGTTTTATTCAGAGTTTTATAATTTTAGCTTTTGAATTGAGGTCTTTTTATTTCATTTTGAGCTAACTTTTGTATACAGTTTAAGGTAAGGTCAAACTTTATTCTTTTGCATGTGTATATCCATTTTTCTAGAATTATTTCTAGAAGACACTGTTCTTTCTCCGTTGAATGGTTTTGGTATACTTGTCAAAAGTCAATTGCACTTTTTTTTATTTTTTTAAGACGGTTTCATTCTGTCAACTTAGGCTGGAGTGCAGTGGCACAATCACAGCTCACTGCAGCCTCTGGTTCCTGGGTTCAAAGAATCCTCCCTCCTCAGCCTCCCAAGTATCTGGGACTACAGGCACGTGCCACCAAGCCTGGCTAATTTTTGTATTTTCTTTCTTTTTTTTTTAATTGTAGAGACAAAGTTTTAACATGTTGCCCAGGCTGGTCTTGAGCTCCTGGGCTCAAGAGATTTGCCCTCCTTGGCCCCTCAAAGTGCTGGGATTACAGGTGTGAGCCACTGCACCCAGCCTGAACATCTTTTAATGGTCATTATAACTAAGTTTTGTCAATTTTATTGATCTTTTCAAAGTACTAATTTCTAGTATTGTTTATGGTATGCATTGTTTTCCTATTCTTTGTATCATTTCTACTATAATCTGTATTATTTCCTTTCTTTTATTTTGATTTAAGTTTGTATTTTTTTTTCCTTAAGGTGACAATCTAGACTACTGATTTGAGGTCTTTCTTCTTTTCTTAATGTAAGTGCTTTGGGCTATACATTTCTCTCTAAGCACTGCTTTAGCTGCACTCCAAAATAAGGATTAACTGCTTTCACTTACGTCCCAATTTTTGGCATTTTGTGTTTTTCATTCATATCAAAGTATTTTCTAAGTTTTTTTTAAAACTTCCTTCTTAATCACAGGTTATTTAGTAGTGGGTTTTTAATTTTCACATATTTGTAATTTTAAAAAATTTCCTTCTGCTGTTTATTTCTAGCTTTATTCCACATGATCAGAGGAGACACTTTATGTAATTTCAGCCTTTTTAAATTTATTGAGACTTGTTTCGTGGCCTAGCACATGGTCTATTCTGGAAAATGCTCCATGCATACTGAGGAGATAATCTATTTTGCTGTTCTTAGGTAGACAGTTTTAAAAATGTCTGTTAAATGGTGTTGGTGCCCAGTGTTGTTGAAGTCTTCTATTTTCTTCTATTTCTGTCAAATTATTCTATTATTAAAAATATGATATTGAAGTTACTAACTAGCATTGTTGAACTGTCTATTTCTCTCTTCAACTCTATCATTTTTCTCTGTGTATTATGGGGCTCTGTTTTTAGGTTCATATATACTTATAATTGCTATAATTTCTTGATGGACAAATACTTTTATTATTATAAACTATCTCTCTTTATGTCTATTGACATCTTTTGTAAAAACTCTATTTGTCTGATATGTATAGCTATTCCAGCATTCTTATAAAGTTTGCATAATGTATTTTTCCACTTTTTTACTTTCAACTTGTATGTCTTTGAATCTAATGTATGTCTCTTATAGACAACATATAGTTGGATCATTTTTGTTTTGTTCTATTTTATCTAATCTTCTCATCTCTGACCATTTAGACTTAATGTAACTTTTAAAGTATGTTTTGTGCCTGTCGTTGTGTCATTTAGTTTCTCTGTGTAATATGTGATTTTTGTTCATTTAATACTCCATTACTATATTCTTTTGTATTAAATCAATATTTCTACTGTATCATTTTAATTCTTCTGGTTTTTCTTTTACTACATTTTTCAACTTATATTCTTAGTGGTTGCCTTGGTGATCACAATTAACATCTTAATTTATAACATTTTGTTTTCATTAATGCTGACATAATATTATGGGTATATAGCAGCTTTGCTCTTATGAAGCAAAGCTGTGGTGCCATTATCATACAAATGACCTCTTTATACATGATAGGTCCATCAACATAGTTTTGTAATTATTACTTTATTCAGTTGTTTTTTTAAATCAAGTAGAAAAAGAAAAGTTACAAAGAAAAACAAAAATCTATTTATACCGTCTTTTGTATTTACCTATGTAGTTACCTTTAACGGTATTCTTCATTTTTTTATGTGGCTTTGAGTTACTGGCTAGTGTTTTTTCTTTTGAGCTAGAAAGAATCTCTTCAGTATTCTTGTAAAGCAGGTGGTCTAATGATAAATTCTCCAGTGTTTGTTTATCTGAGACTATCTTAATCTCTCGTGTTTTTGAAAGGTTTTTTTGATGAATATAGAATTGTTGTTGATAGCGTTTTTCTTTTAGTGCTTTCACTATGTCATCTACTGCTTTTTGGACTCCATAATTTTGAATGCATAATCAGCTGTTAATCTCATTAAGGAGCCTCATAGTGCTATTTTGTTCTCCTCAGTTTACCTGTTGCCACAGGGGCTCCCTCTAGTTACCACTGGTCGTGCCTAAGGGGCCATATGGGGTTTCCCCTGGCTAGGCCACCAGTGTCTTTCTGTGAGGGATGGGAATCTTAGGCCTATGGAGATAAGGAGACATCCCTAATTTGGGGCTTGCTGTGGTAGGATCCTCTTTGTCTTTGGGCATGGAGAATGCATCTGTGCTCTTGTGCTTGTTCTGGCAGAATACTCCCTGGAGGTGCCCATTGGCTACTCTGATGTCTCTAGGTGGTGGAGTGGCATCTCAGGCCTGTGAATACAAAGCAGCTTCCTGGGCTAGGCACTTGTTGTAGTGTGGTTTCTCTTTCTAGTGCCATCTGGGCACCCTGTATCTCTTAGTGGTAGAGGGGAATCCCAGGTTCAATGGTAAAAAACACTACCCCCTGGCTGCTTAATGTTAGCAGTGGTGCTGGACTGACTTGCCCTTGTATTCAGGACTCTCACTCAGTTTTGGGAGAAATATGCAAATAGGGGCTACCTTCATATTGGTAAGAAACACCAGGGTTGGACAGCCTGTGTTCTTGTGTTGGGTGAGGAGATGAGAGACTCCAGTTGTCATGTTTCTCCTTCAGTCTTGTCATTCAAAGCAGTTCACCTTCCTCTTTCTACCCCTCAAAAATCACATGTAGTCACATCTTGCATTATTTCCAAGGTATACAGTTGTAACTGCTGGAGAGAAGAGGGTAAAGGAGTCTTCAGAATCTTATCTGGACTGGAAGTACCCCAACTGATTATTGACACTGGTGCAAAAGCAATTCAATAAAGAAAGGGATGCTTACTCAACAAATGATGTTGGATCAATAGGACCCATAGGTATAGAAAGGAAACCTCCAACTAAACTTTGCATCCTATATAAGTATTAACTCACTATGGATCACAGACTAAAATTAAAATATAAAACTCTCAGTTTTGCAAAAAAGATAAAAGAAAATTTGGGGAATTTGTAAAAATAAATGAAGAGTACTTGAACTTTACTCCATATGTGTGATTCATATAAAAATATGACAAATTGATCTCATCTAAATTAATAACTTTTGCTCAGTGATAGCCAGTGTTAAAAGGATGAAGAGACAAATTACAGATAGAGAGAAAATACTTGTAAGCCACATATCTGACTAAGAACTGGTATATAAAATACATGTAGATGTATTTTATACATTTTATACAAACTGCACTCTTTGGCATTTATTCCTGAGTAATGAAACTTTACACAAAACCTGTGCATGACTTCTTTAAGAAGCTTTATGCAAAATAGCCATATCCAGAAACAACCTGAATGTCATCAATAGATGAATGATCAAACCATGATTCATGTATACCTTGGGATAGTCAACAATAAAAAGAAACAAATTATGGATACACAACTTGGAATAATCTTCAGGGAATTATGCTTTGTAAAGAAAGCCAATCCCAAGAGGTTACATACTATATGATTTCATGTATTTAGCATTTTTGAAGTGATAAAATGTTATAATTGGAGAAGAGATCAATGGCTTCTAGGGTTTAGGGATGGGTGGGGGTGGGAGTGGACATGAGGGAGGTAAGCATTATTATCCAAAGGCAACACAAGACATCCTTGTGTTGCTGAAACTTTATCACGACTGTAGTGGTGGACACACAAACCTACACATATAATAAAATTGCGTAGAAGTAAACACACACGCATATGCACACGGGTAGTATGAATAATACTAGGAAAATCTGATCAGTGGATTCTATCAATATACTGTTTGTGATATTTTACCCTGATATTTTGAAATGTTAACATTGTGAACAACTAGGATAAAAATATATGGGACCTCTATTATTTCTTCACTTAATCACAGTAAATGAGCTTTGCGTCTCTCTGGAATTTGACCTCAGAGGTCCTGGTTGACTAATACAGATGTTTTGTGTATTTTCACCTAACTCTTCTAGTTGCTCTCAGTGAAAGTATTGGTTTACTATAAGTTACTCTATTATAGTCCTGTTCGATTGATTTTTGCAAGATGATTAAAATAGAAAACTTGAAAAAATGACACTGTTAGATGAAAATCTATGTTTTTGCAAAATGGCTAATTGTCTAAGAAGTAAAGCTACCTGGTTTCATTATCCTCATCTACCCATAAAATTTGAGGTTTTATAACACAGATGAAATAAGGCATAGGGATTATAAACATTATTTTATCTTTGCCTAATTATGTTCAAACTTCTAGCACACAAAGGACACACCACACCACTTAGATGAGATCATTTCCGAAGTTCCTTGGAATCTTGTTCCAGTTTACAATGGGATAAGATCAAACTGGTCTTCACATGATTGATTTTAGTTTTTTCTGTAAAAACAATAAAGTAACTACTCTTTAAAACACACACACATGCAGGCATGCACACACATTTTGCCCACTGACAAATATTTTTATGTGAATAACTTGTTATTGTAGTTTTTTCAAATGACACATTCAGCAACCATATTTAAGCAAATGCAGAAGACTTAATTTAACTCCACCATCTGTCCATACAACTTTGAATAAATTTCATTTGTTCAAAATATCTTTAAATATAGATTATTTTAAACATAGATTATTTGTCAGGATCCACCCATTCCTCTGGTCTTTCCACTCACATAAATTAAAATTTTTCGCATGTTCTCTTGTAATATTTTTGAGAAGAAGAAGTGTAATTTACCTCCTGTTGTTTGACAGCCTCCTTCCCCCAAATGCTAACTAGATGGAGGTCAGAGTGAACACATTCTATTTGTACTCATGGGCCATCTATCCTACAAGTTTCACTTCACAAAACCCTGCATAGAATCATCCAGCAAAGGCAGAGAGTTAAAAAGATCTGATTGTCACGGTAAGTCTAGGAAGATTGGCCAAGAAAATTTGGGTAAGGCTATTATGAAAATGCACCATAGAGTTCTCTTATGTACAAGAGAGTATAAAAGCAAAACTTACCATTTTCTTCCTTGCAGCATAAAGCTGGGTGTTTAAACAAAACAGTGGGAGGGGATTCCAAATATATTCTACTTGAGTTAATTGTTTAATAATGGGCCAAGAAGTATTCTATCTTTCTTCCAAATATTTAAATTAGAAAAAAAAATTCCTTTCAGCTATTTAACAAACATTTTACTAAGAATAGTATGTAATTCAAACGATGATGAATTGAAACAGCTCTACAGAGCCAGATAACAATAGCAACAACAATGAAGGGTGAATGAATGCGCTGCATGAATCAGTACTAAGTAGCATTTGGGGAAACAAATAAAATGTATTCAAAGAGCATGCACTTCCTAAAATAAAAGGATGTTTCACGGAAACATAGCAGCTGATCTGTCTATACAGATATAATATATATAATCTGTTTAACATTAGTGCAGGACTTCTTCAACCACTATTGTTTAAGGGGCTATAAAATAGCCAATGAACTGTTCGCATTGGGAAAACATAGTGTATTGATCCAGGGGTCGGCGTTTCTGGTCAGACCTCCTGGGTCCAAGTGCTGTCACTAACATGGTTTCCTTGCAAGAAGGGCTGCTTCTCCGCCTGACCCCTAGATTCCCTATCTGTAAGATGAGGAATCTTATGAAATCTTTATGAAAAGTCACTGAGACACTGTAGACAAAGTGCTTGTCACAGATCCTGACAAAGTGGGGCAAGATGGACCCACAAAATTTGGTGCTGTGGCAAGTGTCAAGTTACTTTGGTATCAGTAGGCGTCATCATATAGACGTTCTATCTCTACAGCCTTGGCTACCAAGAAGTAAGTCACAGTGGAAGCAGGTTTTGGTGCACATCCTGCCAAACACACACGTGCAGAAGCAAGCACGTGTAGGAGCCATGCCCACTGCCATCAGAACCTCAGAGGCACTTGGCATGAAAGGCTCTTCTCAGAGAAAATGTTCTAGATGCTAATGTCAAGCTCAGCAGGCAGGACTTACACCTGGGTCTGGTGGCAAAATGCAAACTGAAGTGGAAGCAGCAGGGTCAGCCCGGGACCCTTGTTTCTTATGTCCTGTGTAGGCGAAGGTGACAAGCTCTGCCATACCACTCTTTCCAGTCACGGGTGCAAAAGGACAGCAATTGCACCAACTAAGAAATTAGTTTGAGTACCCCTATGTGAATTATCTAAGCTTAAGGTATTGATTCAGAGAAAGGATACTTCATAAATGGATTAACCACCACTAAAGTGTTTATTAGAATGCCCTTACACACATGCATTACAGAGTGTTTTCAAGTAATTTGCTCCACAACAAATATTAATATAATGGAGGGTAACAGAAGGAATAGTGTAAGTCCTTACTGTGTACTGGGAATCTTCTAAAAGTTTAACATGAACTACTTTATTCAAGCCTCACCATCCCCTACTGTGCTAGATATGTTTATTCACATTTTACCGATGAGGAACGTGAGGCTAAGAAATTAACAACTTTGCAAAGTCGTGAGGCTAGTGAATGACAGAGTCAGGGTTTAAATGCAGACAGCTTTAATTACGTCTCTCCAAATGACTTTCTACTTTACTAAACAAATAGCAATTTTATCACACTGAATCATATATCAAAGTAGCTTGAAAGCTATAACTGTTATATGAACACAAATTGTATGTATTGTTATTATTGTTATTATTAATTTTACTATTATGGACATCATTTTATTGCCATAATATAGTGCCAATTAATAAATGGTAGCTATTAATACTTTCATCAATCTAACTTGTGTTCCAAATCTCAAAAGGCAGAAAATATCAAAATATAAAACAAAAATAAAAAAAAGCTACTAGTTTGGCCCAAATACTTGTGGAATACTCTGTACTTTTATCTTCCAAATGGACAAATTGAAGTTATTACCTAATGATAGAAAAACACAATGGAAAATGTATCCCACCGCTAACATGGGCCTCATCAAATGACTGCCACATTAATTGCACTTGCTTGGAAATGTGTATGTATAAAAACAGTGAACGAACCCAATTTATGTAAAATTATGTTCTTAATAGTAAAATTAATGATAATAACACATACAATTTGTATTCATATAACAATTATAGCTTTTAGGCTATTTTGATACATGATTTAGTGTGATAAAATTACCACTTGTTTGGTAAAGTAGCAAGAGTGAATCATTTGCAGAGATATGCTTAGAAAGCAGTCTCATACCTGCTAGCCAAATTCCCTTTCTACTGTTATTATTAGCAGGTTAAACACATTTTCAAACAAAATTGTGGTCATATACAGTGAGCAAACCAAAGCTAAATACATAGTTTGGATTATGTGATTCAGCTTACCAATAGAATAGCTTAAACATTATTATAGTTGTCTGGGAGCTGTGGCTCACACCTGTAATCCCAGCACTTTGGGACGCCGAGGCAGGCGGGTCACTTGAGGTCAGGAGTTCGAGACCAGCCTGGCCAATACGGTGAAACCTCATCTCTACTAAAAATACAAAAATTAGCTGGGCGTGGTGGTGCACACCTGTAGTCCCAGCTACTTGGGAAGCTGAGGCAGGAGAATCACTGGAACCCCAGAAGCAGAGTTTGCAGTGAGCCGAGATCACACCACTGCACTCCAGCCTGGGTGTCACAGCAAGACTCTGACTCAAAAAAAAAAATATATATATATATATTATAGTTGCCATTTAAAATTTTAATATAAATTTAATGTCATGCACATCTTATTTAACTTAACTTTCCATATTCATACCATTTAATATAGCAGAGTTATCATTTTTGTGGTGAGAACATATTATACCCCTCTCTTGGCATTTTTCAACAATACAATCTATGGTTAACTAACTATAGTCAGCATATTGTACAATAATTCTCTTAAATTTATTCCTCTTATCTAAGTAAAATTTTGTATTCTTTGACCAACATTTCCTCATCTCTCTGCCCCCAACACCAACCACTATCATCAAACACCCCAGATCCTGGTACCACCATTCTACTCTCTACTTGCATGAGATTAATTTTTTTTAGATTCCACATATAAGTGAGATCATGCAATATAAGTGAGATTTGTCTTTCTGTGCCTGGCTTATCTCACTTAACCTGATATCCTCTGGGTTCATTTATGTTATCAAAAACAACAGGATTTCTTTCCTTTTGGTGGCTGGATAGTATTCCACTGTGTATATATACCAAAATTTCTTTTTTTTTTTTTTGAGATGGAATCTTGCTCTGTCACCAGGCTGGAGTGCGGTGGCGCAGTCTTGGCTCACTGCAACCTCTGCCTCCCGGGTTCAAGCGATTCTCCTCCCTCAGCCTCCCGAGTAGCTAGGATTACAGGCACGCACCACCACGCCCAGCTAATTTTTGTATTTTCACTAGAGACGGGGTTTCACCATGTTGGTCAGGATGGTCTTGATCTCTTGACCTCGTGATCCACCCGCCTCAGCCTCCCAAAGTGCTGGGATTACAGGTGTGAGCCACCGTGCGCAGCCCACAATATCTTTATCCCTTCATCCATTGAAGGGCCCTTAGGATGACTCCGTCTCTTGCCTTTTGTGAATAGTGCTGCAAAAATATGGGAGTGCAGATACCACTTTTATGTACTGATTTCCTATCCTTTGAGTATATACCACGTAGGGGAATGTCTGGATTATATGGTAGTTCTGTTTTTAATTTTTTTGAGGAAACTCCATACTATTTTTTCATAACGAGTATACTAATTTACATGCCCACCAACAGTGTGCGAGGCTTCCCATTATTTTTGCTTTAAACAATTGCCTTAACAGAGATTTTAAAATGAGAAAAAATTTGTGTATTTAACCATATACTTGTGATTTCTGATTTTCTTCATTCTGTCTATTATAATGTCTTGTGACTTTGAAGGGCTTCCTTTAATATTTCTTGTACTGCAGGTATGCTAGCAATTAGTTCTCTCAGATTTTGTATGTCTCAAAAAGGTTTTATTTAGCCTTTGTGTTTTAAAAATATTTTTCTAGGTATGGAATTTAAAGATCATGTTCTTCCTTTGCTACTTTTAAAAGTTGCTTCATTTTCTTCTGCTTTACATTTTTTTCTAATGAGACATTTTTATTTCCTGTTATATAAAAAATCTTTTTGCCTGTTTATGTAATATGTCCTTTTTCTACAGCTGCTTTTAATATTTTCTTTTTTTAAACCAAGTTTTCAGCAATTTTATTATGAGGTGCCTGGTATGACTTTCTTCTTGTTTCTTCTGCTTGGATGCTTTTGGGTATCTTGGAACTTTGGGTTTTAACAGTTTTCATCATATTTATAAAAATAATTGGCCATTATTTCTTTAAATATCCTGCCCCCAACCTTGTCCAGACTCTAGTTACTCACATGCTTTGTCACTTGTGCTGTCCCACTGCTCACTGATATGCTTTCTGATCTTTTATTGATCTCTGTGTGTCATTTTGGGTAGTTTTTATTCCTATGTCTCTAGGTTCACCCATCTTTTTGTCTATAATGTCTCATGCTGTTTATTCCATCAAGTATACTTTTCATTTTGGATATTGTATTTCATCTCTATAAGTTTGTTTGGGGCTTATTTTACATGTACCATTCCTTCCCTCATGGTGCTCATATTTTCCAACCTTTTTGATCATATGGAACACATTTATATCTGTTTTAATGTCCTGACATGCTAAGTGTATTCTTTGAATCACTTTGAGATCTGTTTCTGCTGATTGATTTTCTCAAATGTATGAGTCCTGTCTTTCTAATATTTGATTCGTTGTTGAACATGAGGAATGTATGCTGTTGAGTGGCTGGTGTTGTTGTTTATAAAAATATATTTGAACTTTGTTCTGGGATGCAGTTAAGTTACACCTTTTAAGTGGCAATCGCTTTGTCCTTTTTAAGATGTACTTTAAATTCTACCTTTTCTATAGATGGAATTTAATGTCATTACTGACTCACATATTCACATCGCTAATACTTTCTGTACATAGCTAAATTCCATTTCATTTTCCTGAATTTTGCTTTTTTAATAAATTTTCTTTTCTTTTCTTTTCTTTTTTTTTTTTTGTTTGTTTTTGTCACTCTGTCGCCTGGGCTGGAGTGCAGTGGCTGGAACCTGCCTCCTGGGTTCAAGCCATTCTCCTGCCTCAGCCTCCCAATAAGCTGGGATTACAGGTGCCCGCCACTATGCCCAAATAATTTTTTGTATTTTTAGTAGAGACGGGGTTTCGCCATGTTGGTCAGGCTGGTCTCAATCTGCTGACCTCATGATCCACAACCTCAGGTTATCTGCCCACCTCGGCCTCCCTAAGTGCTGGAATTACAGGCGTGAGCCACCGTGCCGGGCCAACATTTTGTTTTATTTTCTAACTGTATTGGTGATATGTAAGAAACTTTGAATTTTATGTATTAATTTTGTCATGTTATAACCTAACTTCTGGCTTATCACATTCTCAGTGGTTTGAGATTTCTCCCCAGTTATTCCATTCTTTCATTTGCAAATAATGGCCACTTTAATGTCTTCTAACACTGCCCCCTCTTTTTTATTCTCTTGCTAGAGTTTACTGGTATGTGGCTGGGAATCTTTGGATTGCCACTAATGACAGTGGAAAAGCATTTCATGTTTAATAATTAAGTATAGTGCTGACTGTTGATTTGTGCTGGTGGATGTGGTGGAAAACAGAGCTTCAGATCATGGCCTCTGGAGCCATATTTACAGCATTCCATCCAAGTTTCGTTACTGCAACTCTGCGGCGTCACAGAAATTATTTAAACTCTCTGTGCCTCTGGCGGGCGCAGTGGCTCACGCCTGTAATCCCAGCACTTTGGGAGGTCGAGGCGGGCGGATCACGAGGTGAGGAGATCGAGATCATTCTGGCTAACACGGTGAAACCCTGTCTCTAACAATACAAAAAATTAGCTGGGCATGGTGGTGGGCGCCTGTAGTACCAGCTACTCGAGAGGCTGAGGCAGAATGGCGTGAACCTGGGAGGCGGAGCTTGCAGTGAGCCAAATTGCGCCACTGTACTCCAGCCTGGGCGACAGAGCGAGACTCCATCTCAGAAAAAAAAAAAAAAATTAACTCCCTGTGCCTCAATTTCCTCATCTGTAAAATGGGACAATGACACTTACAGAGTTTTCAGAAATTAATATTTGTAAAACACAAAGAGTTCCTGGCACATAACAGGTGCAAAATAAGTTTGCTATTTATTATAGCTTTCTACAAAGTATTCTGTTAAAATAGTTTAATAGTTGCTGAACTTTAGCTATTTTAAATTTTAAAATGTTTTAGGTTTTTTATGTTTTGTATATTTTTATTATCTTTTATTCTGATTAGTATTGTGATTTGTTTTATTAGATTTTGAAAAAAAGAAGTGATGAATTTGTCAAACCTCTTTTTCTACTGTCAATTAATTTCTGTTTTTCCCTTTTTGTTATAAATGTCATTCATAAATGTGTTTTAGTTTTATGAAATACGCAAAAAATCCATATACAAAAGAAAAATATAGAAAAGTAGAAATTTCCTCTTCAATTCTCAGTTTTAGTCTGCCTGGAAGTTTCCATAGCCACAAATTTGGTTGGGATCACCCTCTTTTACTCTAATGAATGTGCGTACATATTTATGTATTTATGCATCTACAAATGCATTTTACATGAATATATATTATTCTAAAACTCTCCAGTTTACAATATGTCTTAGCAAGATACTTTGTTTGATATAAAAATATCTGCCTGTTTCTCTCCAACAGCTACCTAGTGTATTCCATAGACAAGATGCAGACTCTGCTGTATAAGCACTTCCATATTCACAGCTGCAATAAGTATTCATGCACTTGTTTCTATTAACTCATGTGCAATTAATTTCTAAGGGCAATTCTGGGAGTGAAATTATTCTATAAATGGCAAGCCTGTTTCATGACGTGGTACCCAGAGTAATACTACTTCCCAATGAGTTTCTACCATTTACAGAACCACCAATACTTCGTGAAGAGAGTACCAGTGCTTGCATCCTTTCTATTATTAGGGCTTATTAATGATTTTAATTTTTGCCAATGGATGGGTGACAAATGTTTCCTTCTTACTTAGGTATCATTTTCTGTAAACACTGGAGAGTCTAAGCATCTTTTGGTATAACCAGTTGCTTTTGGGTGTGGGCTCTTTTTGACCCCACTTTCAGTGGAGCAGGTTGCATGTGTAAAGTCTAGTTTACAGCAATTGATCACAGTTCATAGGGTTTTTGCTGAGTGGGTCAGTGAGTGCTTTCTTTTGCAGGGCCGCCTTTGATCAGCAGATGGATTGTTGACTTGGCTCCAATCACACTTTTCAAGTTAATTTTAGGAGACAGACTAATTTAAAATCGCTCCTTTCCTGGTCCCTCTCTAAGTTCACTCACTGCCAATCTGAACTAAGGTGTCCTTCTCTAATGGGTGTCCATTCCGTGTTCATATATTGCATTTGACCCCTGACAAAGATTCTCTTCTTGACCAAACTCACCTCAGGGTCTTCTCTGCTCATTTTCAACTGGACCTCATCTTTGGGTATGTTCTCAATAGCCCAGTGTTAGCCGTAATTCTGTCAAACCCATTTAGCCAGAATCTGCCACCATCAAAATCTGATCCCTGTGAAAAGAGAGTAAATCTTGGGACCCCAAAAATCACTAAGCCGAAGGGAAAAGTCAAGGTGGGAAACACATCAGGCAAACCTGCCTCCATTTTATTCCTAAATAAGATAATTGCAAAGGTAAAAAAGCTGCATGTCTCCCTCACAATTTGCCCACAGTGAAACTCCTTGTGGGCCTCATAATCTTTACCCTAAAACAGTTCTGTTGAATGTCACTGTCAATGTAAAAAAAATTTTTTGTGAGACAGAGTTTCTCTCTTTTTGCCCAGGCTATAGTGCAATGATGCAATCTCAGCTCACTGCAACCTCTGCCTCCTGGGTTCAAGTGATTCTCCTGCCTCAGCCTCCCAAGTAGCTGGGATTACAGGCGCATGCTACCACACCTGGCTAATTTTGTATTTTTAGTAGAGATGAGGTTTCACCATGTTGGCCAGGCTGGTCCCGAACTCCTGACCTCAAGGGATCCACCCACCTTGGCCTCCCAAAGTGCTGGGATTACAGGCATGAGCCACTGCACCCGGCCTGCCAATGTAAATTAATAGCTTATCTTCACAGGTATGGTACAAAGGACATAACTCAAAGTCATCTTTCTGCTCACCTGAGACAAACGCATATCTGATTGTTCCTCTGTCCTATTGTTTATGCAAAAATGCAGATTCACTGAGCCAGACTAAGTCATAAGTGACCATTTCTCTACTCCTTCTCTCACATATAAACTGTGATTCAACGAAAGGCTGATCAAAGACTTGAAAGAATGCAAGTGTCTCTCATCTATCTATCCCCTGGAAGTTCCCACTTTGAGTTGTCCTGCCTTTCCAGACTGAAACAATGAACATGTTATAATTTATTGACGTCTGCCTAAAATGACACATAATTGATTGATGTCTCATGTCTCCCTAAAATGTATAAAACCAAGCTGTACCCCCAACTTGGGCACCAGTCGTCAGAAACTCCTGAGGCTGTGTCACAGGTACATCCTTAACTTTGGAAAAATAACATTTCTAGACTGATTGAGACTTGGCTCAGAGACTTTTGGATTTACATCACTATCCACATCTGATCAAATTCCTCATGCTCACTACCCCCAGGTGATCTCTGGTTACCCTGGGCCTGCTCTCAGATAGATCCTGTTAGATCAGTTTAGCAAAGCATTACCCCACCCTCTTAATAATTTTTAATTCACCCCCACCCCCACTTTGATCCTTGTCTATACACCCCCAAGTTTTCCTTCTTGTATTCATAGTTGAGTCCAATCTCTCTCTTCACTGCAAAGCCCTACTGTAGTAGTCCCCGGAATAAAGTTTGCCTTTCAGTCCCTTAACAAGTGTCAAGAATAATTATTTTCTTAAACAAAAGGTCAGCTCCCACTGCTGGGGTAGGGGTGCCTTCAGGGATCCATTGAGCTTATGCTTGGCATCATGAGGATTTTATCAGCTCCAAACAGTTTCTTTCAATTTGCTTCAAAACATTATTATATCAGGCGCAATGTGCTGAGAAGTTGCCAGTATGAAGTTTTAGTCATTTCCTAGTTAGAGTAGAGGAAATTATCTTCTTCAAAATTCATTTTAAGGAGATTTGCAAGCAGGCTTCTGTGTTGGTATCCTTCCTAGAAGTCTGAAGTCAATTCTTTATCACTGAGGGTCAGATTTTTATTCTATCCTAGGCTAGTGGGTTTTCCAGTAGTTTTGCTACTTACCAGTTCCGATGAGGTGTTAATATTAGTCAGAACCAGGCCTAAAACAAGGAACACTGGTATATTGCCCTTTGGTTAGTAGAGAAATCTGTAAATTTATACTTTTCCTTTTTTCTTTTTTTAGATGGAGTTTCATTCTTGTTGCCCAGGCTGGAGTGCAATGGCGTGATCTTGGCTCACCACAACCTCCTCCTGGGTTCAAGCAATTCTCCTGCCTCAGCCTCCTGAGTAGCTGGGGTTACAGGCATGCACCACCATGCCCAGCTAATTTTTTTGTATTTTTAGTAGAGATGGGGTTTCTTCATGTTGGTCAGGCTGGTCTCGAACTCATGACCTCAGGTGATCTGCCCGCCTCGGCCTCCCAAAGTGCTGGGATTACAGGTGTGAGCCACTGCACCAGGCTATACTTTTTCACAGTAGTAAGATGATTCAGAAAAGTTGTTCAGTGACGTAACCATCAGACGTCTGAGTAAATCAAGCCCAGATGGGAAGTCTGAGTGAAATGCCTGCCTGCTGGCAAGGCTGGGGAGGGCACAGGAGAGTGGAGGAGCAGGGCAGGTCCAGATGGGGTCTGGGAGAAGCACAGGTCCAGGAAGGGAGCTCGTCTGAGCAGAAAGGGCATGGAAGTGAGAGGAGATATTGGAGTGAGGAGGAAAAGGGGGTGTCAAGACGGGGGAAGGTGAAGCAACAGCAGGGAGAGGAGTCCCAGGAAGGGCAGCTGGGAGTGACAGTGGGGAGGAGAAAGAAGGGGTACTAGGGGAAACAAGCATCAGACTGAGGGACAAGGAAGAGTGCAGGTGGTGGAGGAAGGCAAGAGAAAAGGGACGAGAATGAGAGATACAGTGAGGGAAGTGATGGTAGGTGAGGGTGTGGTGGGGGGTGTCTGTCAAAAGAAATTTGGGGCTGCTGCTGAAATACTTCTATTTAAGTCCACCTCACATTACGAGGAAATTCTCCACTTTTTTAGCTTGCAGTGAGTCTCCATTGTTAATGAAAAAACCAAACACTGAAATATTTTAAAGAATTTATTCTGAGCCAATATAAGTGACTGCAGCCTGGAGAAAACACAAACTCAAAAGCCTTGAGTAAGTGTTCCCTAGGCAGTGGGGTTACAATTTGGTTTTATGCATTTTAGGGAGACAGAAATTGTAGGTAAAATTATAAATCAATACATGAAAAGCATACCTTGGTTAAGCCCAAAAAGGCAGGGCATCTTGAAATGGAGGCTTAGAAGGTATAGGTGGGTTTTAGAGATTCTTTAGTTGACAATGGGTTGAAAGAGTTAAGCTTTGTCTGAAGACTTCAAGTCAGTAGCAAGAAGTGCTTAAGATAAGGGGGTCTGCTATCTGCCATATGATGTTATACTAGAGTCAGGTTGGAAAGTAAGCCACATTATACTCGGTTAATTAAAAAACCCATTTAACAAGATTTTATGGTTTGCAGGGCATGACTCAACTCTTTCCTTACATAGCTTTAGGTCTTTTTTATGATTTGCTGTCTTATTGCCACAAAGAGTCTGTTTAATATTTAATTTTAGTGGTGTAAGCTAAAAATAAGATCCTAAGCCCCCAGCCAACTGAACAGACTCCCTGTTGGTCATGGAGATCCCAGAAAAACATTAAAAACTGAATTCCTGGCCATGACAGGAAGGGCGGTCAGACATGCCTCGTTACACTTTCCACCTTTTGGAGTTTAGGCACAAGCTACTATCATTAATGTTAACATAGAGATTATAAGATTTAATTCATCTTAGATTTTCTGGGGTCTCCTTGGTCAACAGGGAGTCTGTTCAGTCTGTCAGGGGCTTAGGATTTTATTTTTAGCTTACACCATTAAAACTTAATATTCACTGTGGGGCAATGAGTAATCTGCCCCTAAGATGAATTAAATCAATAGGGATAATGCATGCAAACAGTAAGTAAAGAGTAGGTTGGATGAAGTTAAAAAATAAAAGCAGGCCGGGCGCAGTGGCTCATGCCTGTAATCCCAGCACTTTTGGGAGGCCGAGGCGGGCAGATCACGAGGTGAGGAGATTGAGATCATCCTGGCTAACACGGTGAAACCCTGTCTCTACTAACAATACAAAAAATTAGCTGGGCGTGGTGGCGGGCGCCTGTAGTCCCAGCTACTCGTGAGGCTGAGGCAGGAGAAAGGTGTGAACCCGGTAGGCGGAGCTTGCAGTGAGCCGAGATTGCGCCACTTCGCTCAGTCTGGGCAACAGAGTGAGACTCCGTCTCAAAAAAAAAAAATAAAATAAATAAAGATAAATAAATAAATGAATAAAAACAAAAGCTATTCTGGTCCTGAGTGTTAAAAATAAATTATCTTTAACTCATACAGACTGTGTAAGTGCAACTTAATTAATTAATAAAGTAGTGTTTGAGACTAAGGAAACTGAATTGTTTGGGACGCCTGTTGCTCTCCCATCGGGAAGCTTGGAGTCGAAGGCTCGCTGCAAGCTGATTGAGAGTCTGGCATGTTCTTTCTGCTTCCTCAGTCTTTTGAGCCACATAAAGCAGGAGGTGGCTCTTGGAGAACTGAGGAACAAACCTGGAATTGCCTCCCTGAGTTCAGCACTTATAGGCATGAGCTTTCTCAAGTTGAGTGGCAGCAGGAAGAAAGTTGCGTCAGCTCCATTGAACTCCATGTGACACCAGGAAGTGTTTCTACCCAGGAGCGAAAGCACACCTTAATACTCACACGGAAAGGTTAGGTCACCTGCGCCCAGTCTGATTCGTGTTCGGTAGTGACTTTCTTAGGCTATGCTGGGAAGTTTAAGGCCAAGTCAGGACCTAAAGGGAGAGAGGGTGGTCCTCACCTAGCGATGTATGAGTATCTGTATTTTAACTTTGTAAAATGTTTTCATTTAAAGTTGCTTAAGGAAAATGTAGTTAAGTAGTGGCTGATATATAGATATTTTAAAAATTACTCACAACATGACCATAAGACAAAAATGCAAGTGTCTATCTCTCAGTGTCCTTTGGGGGCAATTTAACAGGCCCAGCAAGGGCTTATTTGGAGGAATAGACCTTGTGTGACTCATTGCTAGCTAATGGTCCCCAGTTAAATGAAGTTACACTTTAACTTGTAGATTTTTGGCTGATAGAGATACAAATAGTTTCTGTCTGGTAGAGAACATATGTCCCAAGGTGTCACAGACTCTGGACCAGTAGGATTTTAGCCAGTTTTCTATCCAATTTAACAAACTTAGAATAACATTACTTTAAATTGGGTATACAACCTACCTCTTTAAGGCCGGGCATGGTGGCTCACGCCTGTAATCCCGGCACTTTGGGAGGATGAGGCGGGCGGATCACGAGGTCAGGAGATCGAGACCATCCTGGCTAACACGGCGAAACCCCGTCTCTACAAAAAATACAAAAATTAACCTGGCGTGGTGGCGGGCGCCTGTAGTCCCAGCTACTCAGGAGGCTGAGGCAGGAGAATGTCGTGAACCCGGGAGGCGGAGCTTGCAGCGAGCCGAGATTGCGCTACTGCACTCCACCTTGGGCGTCTCAAAAAAAAAAAAAAAAAAACCTCTTTAAATACTCTTTGAACCAGCTTTATAAGCTTACTGACTCCCTCATTAATAAGTTGAATAAAATCTTTGATATCCTTTCATGTCTTTGCGTGTATGTTTGTGTTTTGAGATAGGGTCTTGCTCTGTTACTCAGGTTGGAGTGCAGTGGCATGATCACAGCTCACTGCAGCCTCGACCTCCTGGGCTCAAGCGATTCTCCCACCTAAGCCTCTTGAGTAGCTGGGCCTATAGGCGTGAGTCACTATGCACAGCTATTTTTTTTTTTTTTAATTTTTTGTAGAGACGGTGTCTCACTATGTTACCCAGGCTGGTCTCAAACCCTTGGGCTCAGTGATCCCCTTGCTTCAGCCTCGCCAAGTGCTGAGATGACAGGCATGAGCCACCTCTCCTGGCCCTGCATTCATTTTATATTTGTTTGATGGTCATTTTTTTTTTCACTTTTGAAAGTTATACTTTTAACATGAACATGGTATCAAATTGTGCCTAGATATTTGCATATCTCTGAATCTTCCTTAAAAACAGTTTTGCAAATGCTTAATTTTTATTTTAACAATTTTTCAGCTGAAGCATGATTATTGACAGAAAAAAAGTTTAGCATGTTTTATTCCTCTTAGGAGAAACCTGGTTATAGACTATATGGCTATTGACGTATATAACAGAAAATGAGTGGTAACTTTTTAATGCGTCTTCATAAGAAACTACAAGGAATAGTGAAACATCCTGTTGCTGGGATTAGGAGACAGGATAAAAAGTTGAAAAAAAATACTTTTTTAAAGAGATAATTTAAATATTTCTATTTGCACTGCATTGGAGGTAGATAAGTCTTCTTGTCATTGCAACCCAAACTATAGTTTTGGCATTTAAAAAATGTTTTTGAACCAGTATAATGATTCTTAGTCTTTGTGAAACCCTGGAATCACTTGAAGGACTTTGAAACTGCCAGTGCCTGGTTCCGTTCCCAGCACATCCAATTTAATTGATGTAATCATGGCCTTGACACTGAGATTTTAAAGATATATTTAATTCACAAATAAAGAATTGTATATATTTAAAATATACAACATGATGATTTGATATACATGTACATTGTGTAATGATTAGCACAATCAAATTAATTTACACATTGTCTAGGTGAGAACCATGGCCAACATAGACAATCACCAAGATGTTCTCAGGGCCTTATTAAAAACCAAAATTCATGGTTCCCACCACTCAGAGGTTCTCATTCAGGTAGTTTCAATTGGCAACAAAGAATCCTCAGTAAATGCTAATGATCAATCAGGTCTGGGATTTTAGTAGAATTGGTAACAGGATTGATTACACAAACCAGAAATTTTTGCCTTATCATATCCAGCTCCAGCTATTATCCTTAACTGGCTTTGTTCATTCACATGTTGGAAATTTAGTTTTCAATATTTTAGTAGGGAAATCTTATTTTGGGAGAGGAGGAGGTTCAATGTAATATTGAGAGGAGACAAGGTATTTTCATAGGAGGAAACAATAGCTCCATAATTGAAGTACAAAAATTGTATTTTATTGAACTTATGTAATTTCCACTGGCGTATATTTGTTAATTGGGGAAATGAATTCAATCACAAGGGGAGAAAAATCATTTCTCGGTTTTCTAAATTGAAATCTTCCAGAAATACTGAAGACTGATAAAACCTTGGCGCCACTACAACATCACGATGTGGAATGGGGCTGCTGCTGCCCTAACACTGGATAATTATAAACATCTCTCTGAAACGCACAGAAAGCTTTCAGCATAGGAACCTGCTGTCTCTAAATTGGGGACTAAGAAGCACACTCCAGCTGGTGAGCGGCAAGCTCCATCTAGCCCTCTCTTTACCTGTTTGACTGTTTCTCTCAAAGGGGATGAACATGAAAGTTTACTTTCAGAAACAATAAACATTAATCGAATTTGTTCCACTTTTTAAATTTTATGTTCTCATAATGGTATGGGAACTCTGTTGTCCCCACCCAAATCTCACCTTGAATTATAATAATCCCCAAGTGCCAAGGGTGGGACCAGGTGGAGATAATTGAATCATGGGGACGGTTTCCCCCATGCTGTTCTCGTGATAATGAGCAAGTGCTTACAAGATCTGACGGTTTTATAAGTGTCTGACATTTCTCCTAATGGTTCTCTTTTTCTCTCCTGCTGCCCTGTGAAGAGGGGCCTTCTGCCAGGATTTTAAGTTTCCTGAGGCCACCCCAGCCATGTGTAACTCTGAGTCAGTTAAACCTCTTTTCTTTGTAAATTACTCAGTCTCCAGTATGTCTTTATAGCAGTGTCAGAACAGACTCATACACATAAGGAAATTAAAAGAACATTAGAGTTGCATGCTTAACATTGATGCTGGTTGGAAAATCAAATTTTCATTCAGGTAGAGATAGAGGATATAGAACTTGGGATTCACTGAGTTAAACAGAATTGCAAAAAGTAACTAAGTTAATCATTCAAGGTCAGATATTTCTTGTTTGCAAGATAGTTTTTATTTTTATCTTATAACTTGACCATTTCAGGCTTCTCAAGGAATTTTTATGATAAGCATGCATTTACACAAGCATAAATAGTATATAATGAATAGCATAGAATTATATAAGTATAAATGCTGTTGAAGCAAACATGAATAGAAAAAAATAAACTTATATCTACATGCCACCAAACTACAAAATCTTAATATAAAATTGTATTTGTTTTGTTTTAGATTTTACAAATATTAAAACTAGATATAAAATCGAGGCTCACAGTGTTTCTATCAGAGATCCAGTTCCATTTATTCTATCCCCATGTATAACTTCATGCATATATGTTTATATAAACATATATGTTTATATACATCTATAGGCATACACACATACATGCACATATATATGTATATGTATACAAGAATGCACTGCATTCTTTTGCAGGCTTTTATCTTTTATATAAATAATATCATACAGTGTGGACAAAGAAACTTGCTCTTTTCTCTTAAAATTGTTTTTGAAATTTGTACATGTTGATCCAGGAATCTCTAGAATTCATTTTAATTGCTCAGTTAAGTTTCATTTTAAGAATATTTTGCCAATATTTATAAAAAATCTTTACATACTTAAAATATTATATATTTTCATTTATTAGAGTACTTTGTGATGTACATTTTCATCAAACCAAACTTATCGATTTTGCTATCCCAACAGTCTATAGTATTTCCAGTGTATTCTGATTTTTCTACCCATTTCTGAAATTAGTCCATTAAAAATCTCCTATTATGATTGTGGGTTGGTCCATTTCTCCTTAAATTTCTGGCAGGTTTTGCTGTATGTATTTAAAGGTTGTAAATATTAAGTGCATATAAATGTGACTAACATGGATACTGGGCGGATTTTTCCATGTATTAATATGTAGTGATTGTTATTGCTTTTTGACATAAAATCTATTTTGTCTGTTATTAACATTACCATACTGGTTTTTTGGTCAATACTGATATAGTATTTTTTATTCCACCACTTTATTATTTTTTTTCTCTGTGTGTATATATAACAGGGCTCCTTCAATCAGCTTATAGCTACGCTTAATATATCCAGTAAGATGCTTTCTGTCTTTTAATAGATGACCTTGAGTGCATTTCTATTTATGGTGATTCCAATATACCCCAAATTAACTATCATGTATGGTGGGTTTTCTTTTAATATCCTTTTTCCTCTTCCACGTTGCATTGTTTGTTTGTTTTCTTTTTCCTTATCTTCTTTTGGATAAAGTCTTTTTTCCTGCGCATTCCATAGTTTACCCAGTAAGCATTAAACCAGAAGTCACCTCTTATTCTAGAATAGTCTGATTGTTCCGTATCTAGGTTACCCTTGCACTTTTAAAAAAATCGACAGATAACATTGTACATTTTTATCATGTACAACATGATGCTTTGAAGCATGTATATACATTGTGGAATGGTTTAATCTCATCATCAACAAATACATTACCACACACGGTTATTATGTTTTTGGTGACAGCACATGACATCCACTTTCTTCACATTTTTCAGGCATACATTATATCATCATTAACTTTAGTCACCTTGTGGTACAGCCTATCTGTTGAAATGTATTCCTCCTATCTGTGATCCTATATCCTTTGACCAACATCTCCCCATCCTCTGCTCCCTGCTAATAACCCCAGCTTCTGGTAAGCACTGTTCTACTCTCTACTATGTGCTCAACTTTTTCCATATTCCTCTTAAGTCTTTGTATGTCTGAAAATGTTCTTTTTTTTTTCTCTTGCTGTTTTTAAATTCTAGGCTAACAGTTATTTTCCTCAGCAATTTAAAGATTTTTGAACTACTGAAATTTTCCTCCATTGTTGTTGAAAAGGCAGTCAGCTGTCTGTCCAGTTAATGGCCTTTGTACATAATTGGCTCATTCATTTTGATGTTCTACAGTTTTGCTTCAATATATCTAGGTATGGACTTAGTATTATTTATTCTGTTTGGGGCTTGACATACCTTTTTAAAAGCAAGGATTCATGTTATTAGTTCTGGAACATTCTCAGATACTATTGCTTAAAATACTGTTTTTTTCTTAATTAGAGTTATGTTGTATTTTCTCATTTTATCCTCCTTACCTCCTACCCTTTCTTCTTTTTTTCTTTGTTGTCTCTGTGATGAACCTCACGTAGTTCAGACTGTTGTATTTTTATTCCACCACTTCTCCCTTCAGAGATATCTAAGCTGCTATTTAGTATACCTGTTTACGATTTAGATGTCATTATCTATATTTTTCTGGCCAGAAGTGGCAGCGTCTCCAGCCATTCTTCATCCCCAGCAGGTCTCAGCTGCACTGGGGACCTAGGCCAGGAGCACCATGATCCTCTAAGAATAAACAGAACCAAAGAGAAGAAATCCAAAATAAAATAAACAGAAAAAAGTAGAATAAAAACTTCATATAGATGAAGACCCAAAATGATGAAATCGTATAGAAAATAGTGGTAATTTTATTTAAAAATACGAAGTTACTTGTATTTTGGTTATTTATATTGCTTGAAATAATCAAGGAGCGAAAACCTTTGACAAGCCATTTAAAATGAAAGAAAAACCACACTTCAGAAATAATAACGGTCATATATTAATATGCAGCAATAATAGGATTATTAGGTTGATACAAAATGTAATAGTTTTATTACATTGAAAGTAATGGCAAAAACCACAGTTACTTTTGCACCTACCTAATAAAAAGCAATAAGGTTTTTTTGTATAACGCTACAGGAATAACTGGCAAGTCTGCATAAAACTAATGGTTTTGAAGAAGATGTGCTGTCAAAATTAACTCAGATGTAAGAAAAAAGTGAATAATAACACATGAGTAATAGAAATTATGTTAATGCAAAATAGTAAACGTAGTAAAAGTTTCAGATGTAATACAAGAAAGAAACTTGTGGCGGGGGGCATTTCCTGATGAGAGATGGGGACAATATGGCAAAGCATTGGCTGGTTCTTGCTGCAGGAGGGCTGAGGCTATGGTGTCAGAGTCTTTTTCGGTTGTCACACCACCCCTAACTCCACTCAAGAGTTTTTTTTAAAAGCCACGTGAGTTGCTACAGATTTGCAAAAACAGTTGGTAAAATTCTACATGCCTTCGTGACTAACAGTTATCATGCTGGTATCAGAAAGGTACATTTTAAAGAAGCTTGCCAATAGCTTTGTCTTGATAGGCAAACATTAGACATATTCCCAGCAAAATAAGAGACAAAGTGGCTAACATCACCACTTCAATTGTGGCTTTTATTTATTTTTTGAAAAGGCTCCACATCACTCTTGGTTCGAAAGAATCCTGCTGCAACTTTCCTGAAAATGATTTTACTGGAACGCCACAGAATCTACACAATTCAAGAGCAGCACTATTTAAAACCTGGCAGAGAGCATCCATTTAAGTTTCCTTTTCTCCTTTATGCGGAAATGATTTTCTGGGAATTACTGATAATTCATATTAATGAATTTTTCTCAAAATTGTCGCCCCCAGCTGGCCCCTGAGCTCTGGCTGTCCGGTGTTCCCAGAGCCACCTGGGCCCAACCTTCTACATTCCTGGAAATTGGGGCTCTGACAGGGCCAGTGTCAATATGGAGTGATTATATTGGTGCCATCCTGATCTCTTTCAGGGCAGTTTTATATTATCCACCATGAAACCAACTGCAGCCCTTTAAGGGAGTGTGGGTGGTGGATACAGGCTTCAGTGGGAGCGTTGACTTGCCTAGCATCTCAGGTGGGAGGGAAGAGCTGTAAGCAGAACCCAGGTCTCTGACCAGCCATGCCTGCTCCATGGGGCCTCCTTCCACTCGTGTTGAAGCCAGGAGGAGGAGCAAATGCAGCCAGCAAGCTGCTTGGTGCCGGCCCCCTTGCCCAAGTCTACCCTGCGGTGCTCCGTGTACTACTACCTCTGGTCCTCTGGGCACTATGTCACTGTTTGCCATGTGGCTCCATCAAGACTGTTCTCTCCTGCTTTAATGATTTTCTTGATAGCTATGATTCTTCTGTCATACAATGAGGTTGATGATAAAAACACATGATTGTAACAAGTATGAGTTATTAGTAACAGCTGTGATTCAAAGATAAAATTAAGAACAAGGAGAGTTTCCACTGTTTTCTGATGATTAAAATAATTCTGCATTGATGGATTCTTTGTCATTGTTATGACTAGTGTTAGGGAATAATTTTATGTGAACAAACTCATGAATGAGTCCAGTCAATGTGAAAGTTGTCAAAGAGGATGGCTTTCTGAAAGGATTACGTAACAACAAAAACAGCAAACCAGCAGCAGAGAAGACAACCATTATTTATTTAATGTGTACAGTTTGCTAGGAAGGCAAAGTGTTGTGTTTTACTTTAAAATCTCACAAAAATATATGAAAAGTTTATTTTATTGTTCCCATTCCACAGATGGAATGGATTCTCTGTTTCTTCTACTAAAGAAACAAAGCTCTGATATAATATAATGTGCTCCTTCATGCAACAGCAACTGTGTATGGGCCCGCTTTGGAAAGTTCACAAGCTTTGTGTTAGAGATGGAGGGATTTTAAAGTGAGATGTGTCTTGGAAAGGGCATTTCTTTAATTTACACCCATGTTATTTCCGCTCTGTCATGAGTATGACAAAAGCCAGCTAATGCGGAGTCTGCCAACATACGTGGACTAGATTGTGTCCACATGAGGAGCTGAGTCTGTGCAATTAGCAGTGACACTTTGTGATTAGTTAGGATGCAGAAGTGGAAATTCTGGGTCTGTTGCATATTAGAATGGAAAATCGTTTCTTCTAACACAAGTACAAAAATAGCTATTCAGGTGGTAGCTTATGCTGAGGAGGAATCATATAATTCCAAATTTTAAACACAAATATCATTGCAAGTATTTTGAGACAATGTCTAATTATCCTACAGTAATCAAGATGTTTGAGAAGATTCTACATCATGCCTAACGGTTCCTTATTCACTTCTCCCTCCACCCAGATTCCAACAAGTTGACAAACGGTGCAAATGTCAGAGATTAAAATATCTCCTTCATTGCTGATAAGGCTGAGTTGGCGAATTCTTCTTGGATCCAATACAAAAATGAGATTGTTTCCATTTCTCACCTGAATTAAACTTACAGGGCAGAGGTGACCTGCTTAGTGAGCAGGCCACGTTCAGCAATAGCAGATCAAAGACCCGTATGTCTTGTGATCTTCATGAAGTGGCTGGCAAGGCCAGAGATTCTGATCCCATCACCACGTGTTAATCTCCTGTCAAGAGAAATAAGGAGCTACTGAGAGAAAAGCAGATCCTGACTCCCCTCTACTTGTGAGTGACTACAAAATCCTATTTTGTGGCGTGAGGCAGGAGCCTAGAGAGATTGGAGAAAAAAGCTGCTCCTCTAGAATATGAAAATACCGTTTAAAGGGAAAGAGATTAATTAGTGATTGAGCGCATTCAGTGCTGTCTCTCCTCCTATTTATCTGGCTGCCTGTTGTCTGCATGGCCTCCTGCTACTCATTGTGGGTAACATCGGAGACCTTCATCTGCAGGAAGATAGAAAAAGGTACGTGCACGCAAACATTGAATTCAGTACTCAAATAATAACACAATAAGCATATCACAACACACCAGATGCTCTCGAAAAGCAGAAATTTCATTGTATCCATATAGATGAGAAGCTTATGAATTCTGATGAGGACAAGATCATTACTGACTGAGTCATGAGGGGGATTTCCATGGGGCTGGTGCTTCCTTAGAAAAATGTGTTCTTGAAGGGCAGGCAAGGTCGTGTAAGAGAGGCTTGTAGGAGAGAGGTTGTATGGAGTGTAAAACTAAGGAGTCTTTGGGGATCACTGATGAGAATGACACGTTTCAAAGTTTCAGGCAATGCCTTAGGAAAACCTGAGGAGCCTGTGCCTTGTTCACTGGGAGAGGTAACTTGGGCAAAGAGGACTTTGGGAGGGGTTGGAAACAATAGCCTATGCAGGGGGTCATATCCTAAATTAGGAGAAAGGGGAATGGAATTAAAAGGGTGTTGGATGTGGGGATTGTTACACAGGTGGCTTCTATGTGATTCCATTCTCTTCAGATTTGTGATGCAGAGACTATTAACAATACAGTATCAGGGACAGGAAAGTGTCCAAAGGACTTGCTGAGAAAGATAACTGGGAGGCACAGTGGGTCACAGCTTCTCTGCACCATAGAGGGAGTTGCCTTGGAGCCTTGCAGATCATGGCCACATTCACACTGTCTATATTGGTTGGGGTTTGGTCTGTGTTGTGATGACTTGAATCAGTTTGGGACAACTTAATCTCACCTGGCTCATCTGCCATCTATTCATCCTTCCTCAAGGAAGGCACAGCATAGAACTGCACCTCACACAAAATGGGCATTGATTATTTGTGGACTCTGGATGCATGTAATGGCAGGGATTGGTTGAGACATCAGAGAATTCTGGGGACAAATCCTGGCTTTAACACTTCCTAGAGAGTTCACCATACATAGACAAATACAATTTCTGTGAGTTCTTGAAATAGTGAAAATAATACCTCTCTCAATGAGTTGTCTTAAAAAATAAATAATGTAATGGAAAGTGCCTGGGACAAAGCATCAATGAATTGTTGTTCAGAAAATGCCAATTTACCTCTGAATTCCTTTTCTATGTATTCCATGATTTGTTGCTACTTGTGGCCTCCATGACCTTGAACAATCTCATCTATAAAATCCTTCATCTCTGTGCTTTTCAGTTCCGTTTAGATAATTATGTACTTTTAGTGAATTCTCATAATATGCCAGACACAGCACTAGGTCCTGAATACACAGAGCACAGTAAAATATGGTCTCTCTCTGCTTTACAGGGGCTTATGATCAGGCAAAGGAGACACCAGGAAAGAGGAGCAGAGTGGCTAGGGCAGTGCACTGCAGATGCATGGACGAAAGCTCGCAGCGACACAGGTATGGGGTGTCTAATCAGGGATGAGTGTGAGCAGCAGAATGAGGAGCATGCTTTCCCAGAGGAAGAGAGGAAGCCACTGGAGAGATGAAGGATGCCATGGACAGGTAAAAGAGTGTGGAGTGGCATTTGTTGCCTACCACCACTTTCATATTCTATGCTTGTAGAGGGAGTGGCCTTGGAGCCTTGCAGATCATGGCCACACTCAAGCTGTTGATCTTGGTTGGGGTTTGGTCTGTGTTCTGATGGCTTGAATCAGTTTGAGACAACTTAATCTCACCTGGCTCGTCTGCCTTCTACTTGTCAAACAAACATTTTGCAGCAACTCTATATTCTGCTACTTTTTTTCTCCTATGCTTGGTGCCCACAGAGAGCGACCACAGTGACAAACATAAAGGCAAACAAATATCAGTATATTGAGCATTAACTGGTTCACCCACTGTTTTAGATACTTCATGTATACTCTTATTTAATTTTCACTTTTTCGTACAAAAATTGGTTCAGAGAGGAAAAGTGAGTTAGCCAATGTTATACATAGTAAATAGTAGAACATGTAGATTGGTCCACACATTAGGATTCCAAGTTCAGCGTTCTTTCCACGGTGTTATATCATATCTTTACTGTGTTCCAATGAGGACATTTCTGTGAGATGGTGCAAAGCTATAATGTATCTTGTGTATGTGTGTGTAATACATGAGTTTTGCCTAGCTAATGTATTTAAACAATTTTCATATAAAAAATTATCCATTGTAAGTGTGCAATTCAGTGACTTTAGTTACTTTAAGTTGTTTAGTCATCATCACAGTCCAGTTTGAGGCATTCCCTCACTCTGAAAGTGGCCCCTGCTCATTTGCAGTCATTTTCTGCTTCCACACCCAGTCCCGTGCAGACACTGATCTGCTTTCTTTATATATAAATTTGACTGTTATAGATATTTCATATAAATGGAATGTCTAATAAGTAGTCTTCCTTCTTTCCTTCCTTTTTTTTTTTTCTGAGACAGAATCTCTCTCTGTTGCCCAGTCTGGAGTACAATGGTGCAATCCTGGCTCACTGCAGTCTCCAATTCTGGGGGTCAAGTGATCTACCCACTTGAGCCTCCTGAGTAGCTGGGACTACAGGCACATGCCTCCATGTCTGGCTAATTTTTATTTTTCATTTTTAATTTTTTTAGAGATGGGGGTCTTACTATGTTGCCCAGGCTAGTCTTGAACTCCTGGGCTCAAATGATCCTCCTACCTCAGCCTCCCAAAGTGCTAGGATTACAGGCATGAGCCACTGCACTATGTCTGTAGTCTTTCTTATACAGCTTTTTCTGGCTGCAGTTAATGGAGCTTCCTGTATGTGTAGATTAATTCATTCATCAAATTTGTGAAGTCTTCAGCCATTATTTCTTCAAATAACTTTTCCTCCTCTTAGAGTCCTTTTTCTGGGACTCTCATATGCTTATGTGGGTATACTGGGTATATTTCTATAGGTGTTTGAGACAATGTTTATTTTTACTTTCAATTTTTCTTTCTCTGTGCTCTTCATATTGGATACTTTCTATTAATCTGTCTCTAAATTTACTGATTACTTCATCTGCCATCTCAAATTGCTGTGAAGTCCCCTCTGTAGGAAACTTCATTTCAGGTTAATTTACTTGTCAACTCCAAAATTTCCATTTGGTTCTTTTTTATAATTTGTATATGTTTATCGAGACTCTCGATTTGTTAATTCATTGTTATCATACATTAATTCTTTAAACTTGAATAACTTCAATGCTATGAATGTATTTATAATAGTTACTCTGAAGTCTTTGATTACTAAATCAAAGACTGGGTCAAAATAACTTGTCTTCTGTGATGTGCAGCCATTGATAATTCAGCTTAAGTGCTTTTTGTTGCTGTTCTTGAATTTTTGTTTTCATACTTACTTCCTAGGGTTTGTACCTGTGTCAGCCTAGCTTAGTAGTCTATTGCTCAAATACTTTCAGCCAACAAGGCTTCTATCCCCTGCTCATGGATCAGAGATCAGGTCATTTTCAAGTCGCCAGGCTTTGGCTTTTCATGGGGCCCCAGAGAGTCTCCTGTGTACACATGTGTAGCCCCAGGGTCAGCCAGGAGAGTGTATATAAACTGAGCCCTCTGTTCTTCACTGCATACATGTGCAGCCTGAACCAGGAATATGTGCTTCCCAACCATGACCACAAACTCAGGCTCATAGAGACAAAAGTTAGACTCCCACTTGCCCCCAACCTCTCCAAAGTCCCTTCCCCAGAGGACACCTTGGCAGTGGGCATCACTGCTGCTCCACGTCAAGTGGACTTCCTTCCATCATGGCAGAAGACAGAGAGCCCAGTCCTAGCAGAATCTCCATAGTGACTGATCCGGGGCTGAGTCCCCCAGGCCAGAATGCCACACATCACCACTGATCTTATTCAAAATTGAGTAGTTCACCAATTTCCAGAGCAACAAATGGTGGTTATTGAAGATTTTTTTCACCTTATATTCGCTTTTTGGGGAGAGAATTCACTGATCTTTTCTCTTGGCCATGGCCACTCTCCTTACTATTTTTGCAACTGCTCTGGACATCTAAAATTATCTCAAATAAAAAGTTTAGGCCAGGTGCAGTGGCTCATGCCTGTAATCCCAACACTTTGGGAGGCCAAAGCAGATGGATCACAAGGTCAGGAGATCGAGACCATCCTGGCTAACATGGTGAAACCCCGTCTGTACTAAAATTACAAACAATTAGCTGGGTGTGGTGGCATGCGCCTGTTGTCCCAGCTGCTCGGGAGGCTGAGGCAGGAGAATCACTTGAACCCGGGAGGCAGAGGTTGCAGTGAGCTGAGGTCACGCCACTGCACTCCAGCCTGGGCGACAAAGTGAGACTCCATCTCAAAAAAAAAAAAAAAAGTTCAATTAATTATGACATTTCTTCCTTCCTTTCTACTTTTTTTTTTTTTGTCGTGAAATCCTGGAATGAAGGAGGCAGAAGTGGGTTAATAATTCTGTATAATTCATCCTCTGCAAGTATGAATCTGGTAGAATTCTCTGGAACACTGACTTTGCTAGCCATTAAGAGTCCTAGGCTCTGTCCCATCAGCTGGGGGTGGGGAAGTTGGAAGGTGGGAAATATCTGCTGGAGCCCTTTCCCCACAGCAGAGGTAGATTAGTAAGATGATCCTTTTGGTCATAAATTTGGGACATCCTTCAGCATGTCTAGCAAAAATAGTTTAAATAGAGGAGATAAGGTAAAAACTTAATAAAACTTCTTATTTGGGGGATTATAACAAATGGGTGGATATACAAAAAGCCTGCCACATTCTGTAGATAAATGTCCAACTTTAGGGACACCCAAAATTCAATAACATGACATGAAAAAAAGTATCTGAAGTGTATAAAGCAATGATAAACCGGACAGAATCACTTACTGTCTCCTAGGAGATGAGTCCTGGTCCAGCCTGTAATAAGATGGAAATGAAGAGAGCTGCCGAATAATGAAAAATCACTCAAAAGGGGCAGATTCTGATGACGGCACAGGGGCCACCAAAGACTGGAGATATGAAGAGTGGCTGTGAGCATCAGGGAAAGGGGAGTGTGCCTGAGAGCCCCGTTCATCTCCTTGCTCGCCAGGGCTCCACTATCTGACTGCTGGGTTTGAATCCCAGCTTTGCCCCTTTACTGGCTATGTGACTGTAAACAAGCCACCTAAGTCCTCAGTCTAATCCTCCATGAAAATGGGGATTAAAATGGTACTTTTCTCGGGGGTGGCAGAGTGTTGTGCAAATTGATGATTTAATACATGTAGTGCTTTGAGGTAGAGCATGGTGCTTAATACATGTTCCACAGCATTTGCCATTTTGTGATGAGCCAGGCTCTGTCCTGTGTGTTACCCAAAGAGCCCCATCCTCAATCAGAGCTTACATTTGAGTCACGACCACCAACCAGGCACACCCAGGATGACATGCTGCAGGGGGGTGGCTGCCATAATAAGGTCCAAAAACTGGCTGGCTTAAAGCAACAAAAATGTATTGTCTCACAGTTCTGGAAACTGCAAGTCTGAAATCAAGGTGCTGGCAGGGCTGTGCTTCCTCTGAAAGCTTCCTTGCCTCCTCCTAGCTTCTGGTGGCCGGCCAGCCATGCTTTGGTGGTCCTGGCTCGCAGTTGCGTGGCGGTATTCTGCCTTCCTGGTCACAGGGCAGTCTCTGAGTGTGTCTGTCTTCACTTGGCTGTGTTCTAATAATGACTCCAGTTACATTGGATTAGGGGCCCCCCTTACAATACCACCTCATTTAAACAAATTATATCTGAAATGACCCTATTTTCAAATAAAGTCGCATTCTGAAGTACTAGGGGTTAGGACTTCAACATTGATTTGTGGGGGGCACAATTCATAACGTGTTGTTGAAGGGACTAACAACGATTACAGCAGATGTAGAAAGAGATCTTAACTGAACTTCTCCTGTCAGACTAGAGCGGAGACTCCAGAGAATTCAGCTGCCATAAAGCCCGAAACCAGGGTTTCCAGTCAGGGAGACAAATGAGTCCTTTAACATCATGACATTTCAAGTCAATGGTGTTGGTGTCAGCAAACCTCATCAGAACCTTCCATTCTTTCCCTAACCCTCTCTGCCCTCCCTTCTTCAGTCAAGCTCCTATGTAAGCCACAGTCCCTAGCTGTTCAGAGATGTACTTCTTTGGTGTGCTGCTACATGTGTGCAGAGAAATTTTGTCTTTTCTGCTGTCAATCTGTTCATTGCCATTTAATTCACAGGCTCCTGACCACTGGGGTCTAAACTGATAGAGGAAGATCTCCTTCCCAACATGGTAAAGAGAGAGCCAAAGGGGACATTTGAGCAGAGGCCTGAAACAGGGACAGCTGGGCATCAAGAAATACTCACCTTGTGCTAGAAGCCTTGTGCCTAGACTTGTGATTCATCCCAGGTTTCCTAGGTTACAAAAATACATGCTAGTGGGACTAACGTGGAGATTAAATTGAGGGAATTTTATTTTTTTTGACATGGAGCCTCGTTCTGTTGCCCAGACTGGAGTTCAGTGGCACGATCTTGGCTCAGTGCAACTTCTGCCTCCTGGATTCAAGCTATTCTCCTGTCTCAGCCTCCCAAGTAGCTGGGATTACAGGTGTGCACCACCATGCCCGGCTAATTTTGTATTTTCAGAAGAGACGGGTTTCATCAGGTTGGCCAGGCTGGTCCTGAACTCCTGACCCCAAGAGATCCACCTGCCTTGGCCTAACAAAGTGCTGGGATTACAGGCGTGAGCCACTGTGCCCGGCCCACTAAATTGCAGGAATCTAAACCCTGAGTTGAAAGAATCTGATTATCTCAAATGCAGAAATTTAGGTTGCTGCAAACATCTTGCTTGTACCTAGCTTGCTGAAAGATGCTGATCAAGAACAATTATGAAAATACAGAGTGTGCAGTATTTAATCCCTTTTATCATTTCATAGTTGTGTGTCAATTAGATTTTGTTGCACAATGAACCATCTCAAAATTTATAAGGTGTGAAACAATATATTTTTATGATTGGCCATGGGGTTATGGGCAGCGGAGTAGTTCCTCTGCTATGGAGCTACTTGGGTAGTTAGCTGTGGGTCTGGTAAATTGGGTAGAGGGTGGGTCTGCTGAAATGGCTTAGACTCTGTTGTGTGTTTGGGGTTCATTTTTAAACAGGCTGGGGTCTCAACTCTCCTTTTCTTACCTTCCAGCAGGCTAGCCCAGGCTTGTTCTTATGAGATGCAAGAAAAGGAGCCAAAATGTGCAAAACCTCTTCAAGTGCAGGCTTAGAACAGGCATGCCATTATTGCACCACATTCTATGGGCTAAAAAAATAAAAATAAAAAGCACGAGGACAGCCAAATGTAAGGGCTTGGGAAATAGAGTCTACTTCTTGATGGAAGAGTTACAAATTCACTTTGTAAAGAGCATAAATATAGGAAAGAAAGGTGAGCTCTCTTTGCAATCATTTTACACCAGCGATTATAGCTCCAAGTGTACATCAGGAGTTGACAAGTGTTTTGTGTAAAGCGCGAAAATAAGCATTTTAGGATTTGAGGGCATATATGTTCGTGGCTGCTTATAATTATTATATTTCTGCTTTTTCTCCTTCTCTTTTTTTTTCTTCTTCTCTGTTTTCTTCTACTTCTTTACCCTTTAAACTTGTAAAAACATTCTTTGCTCAATGGCTGTACAAGAACAGGCTGTAGGCCAATTTTGGCCTGTAGACTCTCATTTGGAAACCATTGTAGATAATTAAAAAGGCAACTGGCAAGGCAAAGTTTAGTTCTCTATGTATTTAAGAATTGTGAGTTGAAACTGGTACAATTTGAAGCAAGAATTTTTAAAAATTTTATTCTAAATATGTGCTTATATTCAGCACTGAGAGAAGATGCTTATGTGAATAAACACACAGTGTAATTTCACCATATGATATGTCCATTTGCAAGTCTTTAGTTGAAAAATCGTTGCATGGATAACACCTGAGGAAGAACACTGACAGGTCTTTGTTCTGAAAAAATCCACTGGTGTTATGCAGGTAAGCACTTTGATTTCTGTAGCTTTGTAACAGGTTTTGAAATTTGGAAGTATGAGTTTTCCACATTTGTTCTTTTTTCAAGATTGTATTGGCTATTCCAGATCCCTTGGATTTCCATATAAATTTGAGGATAGATCTTGTCAATTTCTGCAAAGACTCCAGCTGGGATTTTGTTAGTGTTGGTGTGAAATGTGTGTATCAGGGCAGTATTGCATAGAAGTGCCAAGAGTGGACAGCACTGCCTTGTTTTTAACCTTAGTAGGAAATCCTTCCATCTTTCACCATTAAATATAATGTTAGTTGTGAGTTTTTCATTGATGCCCTTTTTAAGGTGGAAAAAGTTCCCTTGAATTCTTAATTTGTTGTGTAAAGTCTTATCAAGAAAAGGTGTTGGATGTTTTAAAGTGCTGTTTCTTTGTCTGTTGGGATGATCATGTAGTTTTTGTTCTTTATTCAGTTAATTGATTTCTGAATGTTAAATTCGTCTGACATTCCTAGGATTAATTCCATGTGGCCACGGTGTATGTTGTTGGATTCTATTTAAAATTATTTCTGGAGAATTTTTGTCTGTATTCGTAAAATACATTAGGCTATAGTTTTGTTCTCTTGTGAGGTCTCCATTTGATTTTCTATCTAAATAATACTGGTCTCAAACAATGAGTTAGAAAGTGTTTCCACCTCTTATGTTTTAGAAGATTTTGTAAAAAAAAAAAAAAAAAATTGGTACTAATCATTTTTTAAGTGCTTGGTAGAATTCATCAGTAAATTCGTCTTAGACTGGGCTTTTCTTTGTAGGAAGTTTAAAAATTACAAATTCAATCTCTTTACATGTTATGGTTCTTACTGAGTTGGTTTTGGTAGTTTGTATGTTTCTAGGAATTTGTGTAAGGCATCTGTGTTATCTAATTTGTTGTCATTGATTTTTCATAGTATTTTCTTATAATTCTTTTACTTCCATAAAGTCAATATAATGTCCCTTCTTTTGTTCCTAATTTTAGTAATTTGAGTCTTTTTTCTTTTTCTTTTTTTTTTTTTTTTTTTTTGAGACGGAGTCTCGCTCTGTCGCCCAGGCTGGAGTGCAGTGGCGCGATCTCGGCTCACTGCAAGCTCCGCCTCCCGGGTTCACGCCATTCTCCTGCCTCAGCCTCCCCGAGTAGCTGGGACTACAGGCGCCCGCTACCACGCCCGGCTAATTTTTTGTATTTTTAATAGAGACGGGGTTTCACCGTGTTAGCCAGGATGGTCTCGATCTCCTGACCTCGTGATCCGCCCGCCTCGGCCTCCCAAAGTGCTGGGATTACAGGCGTGAGCCACCGCGCCCGGCCGTCTTTTTTCTTTTTCCCTTGATCATTATTGCTAAAGGTTTGCCAAATGTGTTGAACTTGTCATTGGTTTTTTCTACTATTTCCTCATTTCAATTTTATTACTTTCCACTCTAATCTTTATTATTGTCTTCATTTTGTTTGCTTTAGATTTAGTTTACTCTTGTTTATCCAGTGACTTTGCAGGAAAATTATGTTATTCATTTGAGATCTTTATTTTTCTTTAGCAGAGGCATTTACAGCTGTAAAATTTCCTCCAAATTCTGCTTTAGCTGTATCTGATGTATTTTCATATGTTGTCTTCATTTAATTTATTTTAAAGTATTTTCATCAAGACCAGCCTGGCCAACATGGTGAAACCTCGTTTCTACTAAAAATACAAAAATTAGCCGGCATGGTGGCAGGTGCCTGAAGTCCCAGCTATTTGGGAGGCTGAGGCAGAGGAATCGCTTGAACCCGGGCAGGGGGAGGTTGTGGTGAGCCGAGATCATGCCACTGCACTCCAGCCTGGGTGACAGAGCGAGTCTCTGTCTCAAAAAAAAAAAAAAAGAAAAAAAAAGATATATATATATATATATACAAATTTCCATTGTGATTTGTTTTCTGATTCTTTGTTTAGCAGTATCTCATTTAACACATATGTTTGGATTGCTCAAATTTACTTTTGTTATTGATTTATTTAATTCCATTTTCATCAGTACACTTTTCATTATTTTAATTCTTTTTCATATGTTGAGGCTTGATTTGTAGCCTATTGTATGGTTTGTCCTGGAGAATGTTCCATATGCTATTGAGAAGAATGTATATTGTGCTGTTGGTGGGTGATGTGTTTCACAGATATCTCTTAGGTCTACTTGCTTCATGGTGCAATTCAATTACTCTGTACCCTTTTTGATACTTTCTTAGTTGTCCTGTTCATTGCTGAAATTGGGATATTGAAGTCTGCAATGATTATTATTGAATTGTCTATTTTCCCTTCATTTCTGTCAGATTTTTTCATGTATTTTGGAGCTCTGTTATTAGGGTACATATATGTCTATAATTCATTTCTTCTTGATTGATTCATTCTTTTATTATTACTGTGTGTTCCTTTTCATTTCTAAACACAGTTTTGGTCTGTTTTAAAGTCTGTTTTGTCTGATGTTAGTACCACCATTGCAGCTTTCTTATCTTATGGATGCTTTGGCACGACATATTACTTCCATTCTTTTACATTTTTTTTTTTTTTTTGAGATGGAGTTTCACTCTTGTTGCCCAGACTGTAGTGCAATGGCGCAATCTCGGCTCACTGCAAGCTCCACCTCCTGGGTTCAAGCGAGTCTCCTGTCTCAGCCTCCCATGTAGCTGGGGTTACAGGTGCATGCCACCATGCCCGGCTAATTTTTGTAATTTTAGTAGAGACGGAGTTTCATCATATTGGTCAGGCTGGCCTCGAACTCCTGATTTCAGGTTATCCGCCCGCCTCAGCCTCCCAAAGCGCTGCCATTCTTTTACTTTCAACCAAAAATAAAAAGATAAATTGTGTCTTCTATAGACAGCACATAATTGGACTTTTAAAATCAAGTCTCACAACACTGTCTTTTCGTTGGGTTTTAAAATCCATTTAAATTTAATGTTCTTTATATGCTTGAATTTACACCTGCCATTTTACTTTTTGTTTTCTATATTTGTATATTTGCTCCACTATTCCTCCTTTCCAGGCTTTTTTTTTTTTGCATAAAGTGAATATTTTCTAGTGTAATATTTTAATATCTTTAACAATTTTTTCACTATGTTTTTGTTATTATCTTATTGATAGCTCTAGGACATACCATATCCTTCTTAAATAATCAGAATGTATTTTAGATTTATACTAACTTGATTCCAGTGAAATATAGACATATCACTCTTCTGTAGTTTTCGTGTCTCTTAACCATCCTTTGTGTTGTCATTAGACATATTACGTTTATATATTTTGCAAACCCCAAAATACATTCTTCTAATTATTATTTTTTTACTTTTACAATTTTATGTCTTTTAAATAAAACTATGAGAAGGAAGATAAGTAATACATACTTAGATAGTTTGATGTATTGATTTTCTTACTTTCCATTTCTGGTTCTCTTCATTTGTTCCTTTGGATTCTAGTAACTATTTGCTGTCACTTCCTTACCCCAGTTCAACTTTAGTGCCACTAATGTCCTCTGTACTGAGACTGTAAGGTACACATACATACCCAGAGATATTGTAGGTTTGGTTTCAGACCACTGCAATAAAGCAATATTGCCATAAGGCAAGTAACACACTTTTTATTTTATCTCCCAGTGCATATAAAAGTTATGTTTAAACTACACTGTAGTCTATTAAGTGTGCAATAGCATTATGATGAAAAAAGTATGTACCTTAATTTTAAAATACTCTACTGCTAAAAAATGCTAGTGATCATCTAAGCCTTTAGTGAGTCTTAATCTTTCTGCAGGTGGAGGATCTTGCCTTGATGTTGATGGCTGCTGATTGATCAGGGTGGTGATTGCTGAAGGGTGAGGTGGCTGTGGAAGCTTCTTAAAATAAGACAACAATGAAATTTATCCCATCAATTGACTCTCCCTTTCACAAAAGATTTCTCTGTATTATGCAATGCTGTTTGATAGTATTTTACTTATAGTAGAACTTCTTTGAAATTGAGGTCCGTCCTCTCAAACCCTGCCACTGCTTTATCAATTAGCTTTATGTAACATCCTAATCCCATTATTGTCACTTCAACAATGTTCACAGCATCTTTACCAGGAGTAGACTCCATCTCAGGAAACCATTTTCCATGCTCATCCCTGAGAAGCAACTCATGTGTTCAGGTTTCATCATGAGACTCAGCAATTCAGTCACATCTTCAGCCTACACTTCTAATTCAAGTTCTCTTGCTATTACTACCACATCTGCAGTCACTTCTGCTGAAGTCTTTAACTTCTCCAAATTATCCATGAGGGTTGGAATCAACTTCTTTCAAACTCCTATTAATACTGATATTTTTACCTCCTTCCATGAATCATGAATGTTCTTAATGGCATCTAAAATGATGAATCCATTCCAGAAGATTTCCAATTCACTTTGCCCAGATCCATCAGAAGAATCACTATCTATGGCAACTATAATCTGACAATATGTGTTTCTTAAATAATAAGACTTGAAAGTCAGAATCAGTTCTTGATCCATGGGCTGCAGAATGGATGTGTTATAAGGCATGAAAACATTAATCTCTTTGTACATCTCCATCAGAGCTCTTAGGTGAGACTAGGTGCATTTTCAATGAGCAGGAATATTTTGAAAAAATATCTTTTTTTCTGAGCAATAGGTTTCAATACAAGGCTTAAAATATTCAAGAAACCATATTATAAATAGATGTTTTGCCATCTAGGCTTTATCTTTTTATTTATAGAGCACAGACAGAATAGATTTACCATAAATTTTAAAGATCCTAGGATTTTCAAGAGATAAATAAGAATTGGTTTCAACTTAAAGTTACCAGCTATATTAGCCCCCATCAAGAGAGTCAGCCTGTGAACCTTTGTAGCCAGTCATTTACTTCTCTCTAGCTATGAAAGTCCGAGATGACAATAGCATATATAAGGCTGTTTTGCCTACATGAAAAACCTATCATTTAGTGTAGCCACCTTCATCAATTATCTTAGCTAGATACTCTGGATAACTTCCTGCCGCTTCTCCAGCAGTGCTTGTGGCTTCACCTTGTGCTTTTATGTTATAGAGGCAGCTTCTTTTATATTAAACCTCATGAACTAACCTCTGCTAGATTTAAACTTTTCTCATGATGCTTCCTCAACTCTCTTGGCCTCCATAGAATTGAAGAGAGTTAGGTCTCTGTGTGAGACTTTGGCTTAGGGGAATGTTGTGCCTGGTTTGATCTTCTATGCAGACCCCCAAAACTTTGTCCATATCAGCAATGAGGCTGCTTTGCTTTCTCATCATTCATTTGCTCACTAGAGTAGCACTTTTCATATTCTTCAAGAACTTTCTGTTTGCATTCAGAACTTGGCTAACTGGCACAAGAAACATAACCTTCAGCCTATGTTGACTTTAAATGGGCCTTCTTCACTAAGCCTACTTATTTTCTTATTAAAGTGAGATATGTGTGACTCTTCCTTTCATATGAACACTTAGAGGCCATTGTAGTGTTATTAATTGGACTAATTTCAATATTATCGTGTCTCAGGGAATAGGGAGACCTGAGGAGAAGGGAGATGGGAACGGCTGGTTGGTAGAGCAGTCAGAACATATACAACATTTACTGATTAAGTTTACCATCTTATATGGGGGCAATTTGTGGCACTCCAAAGCGATTACAATAGCAACATCAAAGGTGACTGACCACAGATCACCATAACAGATATAATAATAATGAAAAAAGTTTGAAAGTTTGCAAGAATTACCAAAAGGTGACACAGAAACACAAAGCGAGCACATCCTGTTGGAAAAATAGCAATGATAGATTTGTTCAACTCCGGCTTGCCACTAAACTTCAATGTGTAAATACCAAGATATCTGCAAAGTGCAACAAAGTGAAACTCAACAAAATTAAGTATGCCTGTATTACATTTCTCTATATTGTAGACCTAACGATGAAATTATAAACATATTGTTTTATACAACTGCTTTATAAATAAGTTAAGAGAATGGAGGAACAGAAATATGCACTTAAACTGCTTTTCATTATTACATTTATTGGTGCCCTGTGTGTGTGTGTGTATGCATGTGTGAGCACATGTGTGAATTTATGTTACTACCTGGAGTCACTTGCTTTCAGATTGCAGGATTTCCTTTAGGATTTCTTGTAAGGCAGGTCATATAGTTACATATTCCCTAAGTTTTGTTTATCTGAGAATGTTTTTATTTCACAGCGATTTTGGAAACTTACTCTCATTTTCATGTAAGAGTCTCGATTAAAAAGACTTTGTACGTGATGAGTTCCTTATCTTTTTCTGCTTTAAATATTTTTCTTTAAAAAAAAGTTTGAGTGTGAAATCATTACATTTCTCTTACTTGGAGTTTGTTGAGCTTCTTGAATGTGTAGATTCATGTTGTACATCAAATTTCAGAAAATGTTAGCTATTTTTTTAAAATATTTTTACTGCTCCTTTTTCTCTTTCCTTCCTTTCAGGTAATCTCATTAAATGGTCATCTGCTTAAGGGTATCCCACATTTTTCTGAGGCTTTAGTTCTTTTCTTTCGTTCTTTTTATTCTCTGTTCTTTGGATTTTATAGTCTTTATCTATCTATTTTCAAGTTTATTGATTTTTACTTCTGCCAGCTAAACCCTGCTTTTGAGCCACTGTAGTGATTTTTTAAAATTTCAGTTACATTTTTCTATTTTTAAATTTCTATTTTGTTATTTTTTATATTTTCTATCATTGTATTATCTTCTATTTGATGAGACATTATCATTATACTTTTGTTTACTCCTTTGAGAATAATTTCCTTTAATTTTTAAATTATATTTATAATGACTGCTTTGAAATCTTATAGTAAGTCTGTCATTTGGCCCTCTCATGGGAAGTTTCTGTTTCCTGCTTCTTCCTGTATGAGAAAAAATATTTCATATTTTTTGTTGAAAACTGGGAATTTTAGGTAATTCACTGTAGCAACTTTGGATATTTATCATACCACATCTTCTAGGACTTGCTCTTGATGGCTTCTGCTTGTGTATTGTTTAGCAACTTGGTGGAATTATTTTAGTGATGTCTACTGATCTCATTATGTGGAGAATCTGATGTCACTTCTCCAAGAGCACACACAACCGTGGACATGAACGCAGCTGCCCTAGGATGGCAGTCTATGGATGTGGGCTCTTTCTGAATAGCGCTTTCCTTTGTCCCTCTGTCAAGCTGTCTGCCTCTACTGGTTTTGAGCCCAGGTTTACTAATTATCAAGTGATTACTCTTTTTTTTTTTGACAATTCCCTGGAACATAATTTTCTCTATAGCCTGAGTCAATTAAATATTGTCTCTTTTTAGGGATAGTTTTTGAGACCAGTCTTTGAGGTTTGTTCTCAAAGGACAGTAAGGAAAGCTGTGTCATTCTCTGGTTCTCCCTAGTAAATTAACGAGCTTATAGTTTAGCCCATTGCTCTCCTGGAGAGAACAGCCTCCTCTTCATTGCTTGACAACAAAATCACCTTTGGTTTTAAGAGAACACTTAGGCATGAATTTCTCCATATTCTTTTCTAAATAATGTTAGTCTCTTTGTGGAAAGCTTTGGAACTCTGTTCTGTGACCTGCCTCTCCACTTGGGCTAAGTTTCGGAGCCCCTGCTCAGGGATTGAGCCACTTTTCTCAGAGTGGCCACTGCTTTGAGTTGTGTGCTGGACTGTGGTGACAGCCTCTGGTCCTCTTGGATTAACTCTACCAGCAAGAAATGTTTGCTCTGTGACTGAAATGTGCCAAGGATGATCAGGGCCCTAATATTCTTGGCCTGTCATGCTCTTGGCAGAACCTTCACACTCTGGTCTAGGAGTAAGAGGGAAGCCCCAACCCTCTCAGTCATGCTTGCTTGAAATTTAGCCTCTACAGCACAGAGCTGGCGGGGGATGAGTGATGCTGTCAGACTCCCTGTCCAAGGAGGAGACCGCAGCCCTCAACTTGGAGCCTGCAGAAGAGGGAGCCCCATCTCCTTGGCCACGCCGACTTGTGGTGGAATTTCCATTATGCTAAGTTGGAAGATGAATGAGGCAAGAGGTGGGCAAGTCTCAGGAACCACAGGAATCTGCTGTTTCTACTTAAGATTTGGTAGATTTTATTGAATAAATGTGTATTTTCACTTGGTGTTGATCTGAGAACAATTTCCAGAGATTCGAAATAGTTAAAAAACATGTTTTCATTGGTGATAGTTGATTTGATTGGAAGAGCGTTCATGCAGTTCCTCATGCTGTCATTCTAAGTCTTGTTCTGTAAATAAGCATTTTAAAACTGCAAAGAAGAGAGAGAGAGAAAAATCAATAGTTTGACATTTATTTGCTTGTAGCTACAGTTGATTTACTTAGTTGTCTTTATCCCCTTGATCTCTAAAATTCTTCAACAAAAGGCTCTTTTATACCTGAGTACTAAATATAATTAAGAAATTATTGTAATTTATGCTTGGCTTAATAAGCACTTACTAAATGAGAAGCTATCCTCTTAGACAATGCAAATCCACACATGAGTGTAGGTGAAGAGTGACAGGTACATTCTGTAAACAGTGGGAGTGAATAATTTAGCCAGAATCTGCATACTTTGTGGGAACCTGAAGCTGGCAGTTCTTTTTAAGAAATATCAGGCTAAGAATTCTAGAAGAGATAAGCAGAGTTATTAAGAACCTTGTAACAGTTGAAGCTGTGCCACACACATATTTGCATTTCAATGATGTCAGCCCCTGGCTCACATTCCTATTTCATATTCACCTGCCTACATTCTTTTAATACTCTCATATTTTAGTCAAAATCCACTGTGGTCTTTGATTTGGAATTTTTCTTTAGAAATATCTTAATATAAAATACAGACAATATTATAATAATCATCCTTATACCTCCACCCAGAATAATTTGTTTTAGATCTTCATTTTTAAAAAGGGATATTAGCTTATGTATACTTTAAGATGCCTTTGTTTTTGTCTCCACTTCAATTTCCCTCTTCAGAAAAAAGATCAATATCATAAATTTGATATGTGTTCTTTCTATATATACCTCTACATACATACATATGCACAAGTAAGCATGTGCATACACACACATGCATGCACACACACATAGAGGTTTGCTTCAATGTTACCTGTTTATAAATGTGCTTACCAAATTTCTGTCAACAGTCTAATGCCTTCATTTCTTTCTCAGTGAATGAAAATTTAAAGTTAATGCCTGGAATTTGGCATGTGTGACAGGGATATGGTAATTCCACTACTGTGAGCAGAGAAAGTAACAGGCAGACATATTTAGAAGGAAGATATTAAGCCTGGGTTTTTGTGTTTAAAGTGCTTCTGAGGCATTCAGCAGGTTATCTCTGAACATATGCACACATGTAAATCTGGGAAAAGAGCTCTGTCTAAAAAAATCTCAATTTTGGAGACAAAAAATAAGTAATTATGAAAATAATTAGTGTGAAGGAAAACACATATGGGTGAAAACTTTTCTAAACCTCAGAAATGCTTGTACCAAACACCTCTAGCAAATGAAGTATTAATCATAAATCATTTAAAATACTCTATTAGAAAATCAAAATGAACAAGTGAGGTATGGTCTCTATCCCAGCTAATGGTCAACATACACCCCACTGAAGAAGGTAACCATGACAGTAAGACAAGAAATGCCAGCAGAAGAGTAAATATTGCGCGAAAGAGACAATAGCACTATCATTATTCATAGATAATGCAACATTCTATGAGAATAACCACCAAAAAACGAAAAAGTGTTAATCAATAGGATAATTAGTAATCCCAGCTTCTTGGGAGGCTTAGGCAGGAGAATCGCTTGAACCCAGGAAGCGGAGGTTGCAGTGAGCTGAGATCGTGCCACTGCACTCCAGCCTGGGTGACAGAGCAAGACTCCGTCTCAAAAAAAAAAAAAAAAAAAAAAAGAAAAAAAGAAATATGCAACATCCCAGTTTCTTGTAACTCAAGAGCAACACGTTTGAAAATTGACAATGTGACAAATGAACCATATTTAAAATAGAACAAAATGTCTAAAGTACCTAGAAATATGCTTAACCATAAATTTTAAAAATTGTAGGGAGCAAATTATGAAATTACACGGAAAGACAGAAAATATGATTTAAATAAATCTAGAGGCATAAGCATACCCTTGTTTTGGGAGGTGACAGTTCTCCTCAAATTGTCTTACTAAGTCAATTAAGTATAATTCCAATAAAAGTCCCAACAGATTTTATTCATGGATCTTAGAAAACTTTTCAGAAAATTAACAAAGTAAGGAAATGTACACACTTTTATTTAAAACAATTTTATAAAAGTAATCAAGAAGGCAAGTATATTTGCTTTTTTAGATAGCAAAATGTACTGAAAACAATTGTAAGTAGACCAGTGTGGGTATTGGTGACAACACTTTACAAATAGAGAACAGAGTAGCTGGGACTACAGGCGCCCGCCACCACGCCTGGCTAGTTTTTTGTATTTTTAGTAGAGATGGGGTTTCACTGTGTTAGCCAGGATGGTCTCGATCTCCTGACCTCGTGATCTGCCCGCCTTGGCCTCCCAAAGTGCTGGGATTACAGGCGTGAGCCACCGCGCCTGGCTACAAATTCTTAAAAGGAAAATTGTTCTTGCTTTGATAACAGTGTGTGGAAATGCCTTTTCCAATTAGCAATGCTTTCGGGAACAACAAACAACACATGATTAGGAAGCTTACTGACAGAACATTTCTTTGTTTTTGAATCAATATGTTTTTTGCACTTTCTCATGTAATGCAAGTGTAGTACACCTCTCTTTATTTTCTTTTTTTAAAAAAAAGAAAAATATGGTTTTTTTAATTAGAAAGATTACCTTCAAATGTTACCATTTTAACACAATATTTGTCCCCACATTCTTCATTCTTTTATCTATACGGATGTTTTTCTAGATACTTGAAAGGAAAATAATTGGGAATGTAGAAACAATGCAAACAGTCTGCGGATAATGACCCACAGAGAATATTAATAAACTAGATAGCATCATGAAATGTAATTTCCAGCAATAATATGATGATCATGTAAACTATAAAAATAATATCATGTTCTAAAATGGTATGATAAATTTTGAGTAGAAAAGCATAAATAGGATAGCAATAAAGTGGATATCATGACATCTTATTGGGAATATGAAAATTATTCTATTGCTTAACTTAATTGCATTTTGGTGGTGTGCCAGGAAAAGCTGAGTTTCTGTAAACATGCCTGGGCTAATATGAGTTCAGGCTGCTTTCACTGCATTCAGCACTGTAGCATAAGGGCACTAGATAGCCTTGCCCCCACAGGCGTTGAAGGAGGCTTGTCTATCTGTCTGTTACAACATCTCTTTCATCTATAGACACATGGTCTTCGTAAATTTTCCCCAGGAGAGTTCAGTATTAATGCACTTGGGCCACTCTATTTCCACAAGGTCATGTAAATTATTTAAAAAAGAAAAAGGTGGGAACGGGATGGTCTTGGGCAGCTGATTAGCATCTTATGCATAATGAAGAATTTTGCATGTTTGCGGCCAGGCACAGTGGCTCACACCTGTAATCTCAGCACTTTGGGAGGCCGAAGTGGGTGGATTATGAGGTCAGGAGTTCAAGACCAGCCTGGCCAAGATGGTGATACCCTGTCTCTACTAAATATACAAAAATTAGCCAGGCGTGGTGGCAGGCACCTGTAATCCCAGCTACTCAGGAGGCTAAGGCAGAGAATTGCTTGAATCTGGGAGGCAGAGGTTGCAGTAAGCCAAGATTGCGCCACTGCATTCCAGCCTGGGCGACAGAGCGAGACTCTGTCTCAAGAAAAAAAAAAAATTGATTAAATAGGATACTGAGTATCTTAATATAATGTCCAAAATGTGAAATATATAATACAACAAACACTCATAATACCAAGAACTAGGAAAATCAGAACATGATCAAGAAAAGACAGCCTTACAAAAACAACACTGATATGAATTAGAAGCTGAAATTATCTGAAAATGATTTTAAAGCCACCATTATAAAAATGATTTCATAAGCAAATATGACTTCTGAAACAATTTGAAAAGTAGGAAATTTCAGCAAAGAAATAAAAACTAAAGAGAAGATCCAGTTGGAAAGTATAGAACTGAAAAATTCAATCACCAAAACAAAATAACCAAACAAAAGCTCACTGAATAATTTTAATATAAGGTGGAGAGATGACAGAAGATAGAATCAGTGAACATGAGAACAGATGAATAGAATTTGCCCAATTTAAACAATAGAAAAAAAACTGAAAAAAATTATAAAGTATCAAGTACCTGAAGTACTATAATGAAAAAGCTAACCTTTGTATTATCAGAGACCCAGAAGGAGAGAAAAAAGAATGAGATTGAAAAACTTCATCCTAAAAAGTAATGGCTATAATTTCCCCAAATTTGAAGACATAAAGTAGTAGATTCAAGAGGCAAATACACCACAATGGATATACCCAAAGAATCACATAAAAAGACATCATCAAGATGCTGAAAATTAAAGGCAAAAAGAAAATCTTAGAAGTAATCAGAGAAGTAACATATTACCTATATGGGTATGCCAATTCAAATGTCAGTAAACTCATTTGAAATTTGGATGCCAGAAGAAAATGGCACATTTTTCAAGTCCTGAAGGACAGGGAGTGTCAACTGTGAATTCTATATCTGGTTAAAGTATACTTACTTCAGGAATAAAATAAAAATAAACACATTGTCAGATGAAAAAAACTAAGAGAGGTTGTTGCTGGCCAACCTACCTGTAAAGAATGGCTAGAAAAAAAATCATAACAGAATAAATCATATAACTTCAGAAAGAAAATAATAAAATTAGCATGTATAAAAATAGAAATAAATATACAAGAATGTGTGTGAGTTTTTAAATCATATTTTATGGTTGAAGTAAAAGTTATAATGTCAACTAATGTGATTCTCAGTGACCGTAGATGAAATACTTAAGATAATTACATTTAAACATTGTACAGAGTAGAGGGACTTAAATGGAAGTAAGCTTTCTATGCCTCGCTCAAAGTCTAAAATGTTCATACCTGTCTCTCTCTCTGTGTCTGTGTGTCTTTGTGTGTGGTGTGTATATACATAGATATAAATATAGGGTGATAATTAATAATCTCTACAAGAACTCTCCAAAGAGATATACATAAAATCATTATAAATAAATGAAGATTGAATCAATTAAAATGTTTAAATAAACAACAGAAAGGCAAGAAAAGAGAAAGATAGAGGCTACCAACAGAAAACAAATAAAATGGCCAACTAAAACCATCAATAATTACTCTTTGTGTGTGTGTATTAGTCTGTTCTCACAATGCTATAAAGAGCTACCTGAGACTGAGTAATTTATAAAGAAAAGAGGTTTAATTGGCGGGTGGTTCCTACAATCATGGCAGAAGGCAAAGAGGAAAAAGGCATGTCTTACATGCCAGAGAAAAAGAAAGATAGAAGGGTGGGTGCTACATACTTTTAAACAGACAGATCTTGTGAGAATTCACTCACTATCATAAGAACAGCAAGGGGGAAATCCACCTCCATGATCTAATCACCTCCCAGAAGGCCCCTCCACTAACACTGGATATTACAATTTGACGTGAGGTTTGGATGGGGACAAATATCCAAACCATATCAGTGTGGATGGGATAAATACACCAATTAAAAGACAGAGATTGAGTGCATAAAAAAAAGATGCAACAATACATAGTCTACAAAATAACTCACTTAAAATACATGGTTATATTGAGTAAAAGAATAAAGGAATAAAAAAAGATATGCCATGTGTATTATTCAGGGTTCTCCAGAGAAACAGAACCAATAACATAGGTATGTATATTGGCTCAAGTGATTATGGAGGCTGACACATTCCAAAATCTGCAGTTGGTGAGCTGAAGACCCAGGAGAGCCAATGGTGTCATTCTAGCTCAAGTCTGAAGGCCTGAGACCTAAGAGAGCTGATGATAATTTCAGTCCAAATACCAGCAGGCTTGAGATCCAAAAAAAGCTGATGTTTCAGTTTGAGTCTGAAGAAGGGAAAAAACTGAAGTCCCAGAATGAAGCAGTCAGGCAGGAGGAGTTCTGTCTTACTTGTGGGAGGGTCAGCTTTGTGTTCTTTTAAAATTTCCAGCTGATTGAATAAGGCCCAACTACTTCAGGGAGGACAGTCTGCTTTACTTGATCTACTGATTCAACTGTTAATCTAATTTAGATGTACTCTTACAGAAACACCTAGAATAAGCTTGTCCAAATGTATGGTCACCCCAGTTAAATAGATACCTAAAAATAATCATTACACCATCGATACTTTAAACAAAAAACATAAAAGCGGTTATGTTAATATCAAGCAAGATAGATTTCAGTGCAAAACAAAAATGTACTAGAGACAAAGAGGTACATTACGTAAAAAAAAAAAAAAAAAAAAAAAAAAAAAAAGATACATCTATGTGGATCCTAAATGTGTAGGTGCTGAAAAACAAAGCCTCAAAATATAAGAAGAAAATACTGAGGGCTGAAAGGAACAATAGAAACATCTACAATGATGGGTGGAGGCTTCTACAATCCACTCACATCAATTAAGATAAACATTGAACAGTAACGATGAGGAACTAAACAACACATTCAGCCAAAAGGATTCCATATATAGAACACTCCTCTTAATAGCAGCAGAGTCTACAGTTGACTCTCCAACAACACAGGTTTGAACTGTATGGGTCCACTTACGCATGGATTAAAAGTGACACTGAGTGTGCTTGCCTTTCCTGCCTCTCTTTATACTTGCTCCATCTCTTCTGTCTCTGCCACCCCTGAGACAGCGAGACCAACCCCTCCTCCTCCTCAGTCTACCCCATATGAAGATGAGGATGAATACCTTTATGATAATCCACTTCCCGTTAATGAATAGTAAGTAGATTTTCTATCCCTTATGATTTTTAATAACATTTTTTCTCTAGCTTACTTTATTAAGAGTACAGTATATAATATATATGACATATACAATATTTGTTAATTGACTATGTTATTGATAAGGCTTCTGATCAACAGTAGACTGCTAGTAAAGTTTTTGTGGACTCAAAATTTCACGTGAATTTTCTACTGAATGGGGAGTTGATGCCTCTGAACCTTGCATTGTTCAAGGGTCAACTATATATATATTTTTTCAAGTGCCCATGTAACTCACTAGATAACTCATAGCCTTGGAAATAAAATGAACTACATAAATTTAAAAAATATGAAATCATACATTGTATGGAGTGTGTCCTATGGTTATATCTGAATCAAATGAGAAATCAATAACATAAAAGGAACAAATCTCTAAGACTTAGAAATTGAACAACACATTTGTAAATAATACATGAGCCAAAGAAAGTCCCAGGGGAGATAAAAATGAAAACATAAAACTAAATAAAAATGGAAATATTACATTTCAACATATGTGGGTACAGCTAAAGCAAGGCTGAGAGGAAAATGCATAGTACTACTTGCTTTTATTAGAAAAAAGGACAGGTCACCAATCAGTCATCTAAGTTTCTAGCTCAAGAAACTAGAAAAATAATAGCAAAGTAAACCCAATGCAAGTATAAGGGAGAAAATAATAAAAATAATTACATAAATCCATGCATTTGAAAATATGAAACAGTAGAGTAAATCAATAAAACTAGAAGCTGGTTCTTTAAAAATCTACAAAATTCACAAGCCTCTAGCAAAACTGACAAAGAAAAAAGAAGGCACAATTACTAATATGAGAGATAAAAAAGGAAATATCAGCACAGGCATATATCAAAAAGATAAGAGAATACTACCAATTACTCAGCACATATAAATTTGACAACTTTCGTAAAATGGAACAATTCCTCAAAAGGTACAAACTTCCACAACTCACCAAATATGAAAAAGATCTGGACAGCCCCAAAACTATTAAGGAAATTAAACTTATAATTAAAATACTTCTTCAAAAGAAATCTTCAGACCCAGGTGATTTCACTGAAGAATTCTATCAAACATTACATGGTTCAACATTTAAAAATCAATGAGTGTAATCCACAAGATAACAGACATTGATCAAAAATTAATATATATAAATAAACACAGAAGAATATTTGACAAAATCTATGGTAGAAAATTCTCAACAACTTAGGAACAAATTTACAGAGTTCCTAAAGCACCTTGCAGTAGCATCATTCTTAAAAGATTGAAGCTTTTTCACTAAGATTAGAAATAAAAACAATTTTAATTCTCACCGCCCTTATTAAGCATAGTACTAGAATTTCTAAAAAACCCATTAAGACAAGAAAGGAGAGAGAAGGAAAAAAAATTGGGAAAGAAGAAATAAAACTTTTCCTATTTTCAGGTGGGCATGATTGATGCAGAAAATTTCGATGAATCTCCAAAAAAAACTCTCGTAGAACTAATAAGTGAGTCCAGCAAGGTCATAGGATACACTATCGACATACAAAAATCAATGACATTTCTTTATACACAATGAACATGTGAAAACTGAAATTGAAAACACAATACCATTTAAAATTCCTTCAAAGATAACAAAATATTTAGGCATACACATAACAAAAGAAGTACAAAATCTGCATTTTAAATATTAAAAAAACTAATGAAAGAAAAAAATACCTAAATAAATGGCGAGACATACTATGTTCATAGGTTGGAAGACTAAATATAGTGACAATGTCGGTTCTCTTTAAATTGATCTAAGATTTGATGCAATTATATCAAAATTCCAAAAATGATTTTGGTAAACACAGACAAGCTTATTATGAAATTTATATGGAAAAGTACAGATCTTAGAATAGCTAAAACAATCTTGAAAATGAGGAATGAGGTGGGAGCGTCCTCCAAAAGGTATATACAGATGGCAAATAGCATCTGGAAAGATGATCAATTTTATTAGCTATTGGGAAAATGCTAATTTAAACCACAATGAGATATCACTATACACTTATTAGAATAGATAACATTTAAAAAATAGGGAAAACATCAAATGCTGGCAAGGATGCAGAGAAACTGGACCACTGACACATTGCTGATAAGAATGTAAAACCATACAGCCACTCTGGAAAATGGTTTGTCATTTTCTTATAAAACTAAATATGCACTTATCTGGTAAGCCAGCAATTTCACATTGGAGCATTTATCACAGAAAAGCAAAGATTCATAGTCACTGAAAAATTTCTACAGAAAGATTCATAATAGCTTTTGATTCATAACCCTCATAAACTGGAAACATTCCAAATGTCATTAAATAAATGGATGGTTAAACAAACTCATGCATATACACCATGGAACACTACTTGTCATTAAAAAGAAAGGAATTATTGACACATGTAATAATTTGGATAAGCCTCAGAGAGCCTCAGAGAAATATAGTACATGAAAAAAGCCATTTCAAAGAGGTTATATAGTGAATGATTCAAATTATATTACATTTTTGAAATGACAAAATCTAGAAATGGAGTATAGATTAGTGGTTTCCAGGATCAGGGATGGCTGGGAGGTGGTTGGCTATAAAAGAGTAACACAACAGATCCTTCTGTGGATGGCAATGTCCGTACCTTGACTCTGAATGTCAATATCATGGTTGTTACACTGTGGGATAGTTTTGCAAGATGTTATCATTTGTGTAAACAGTGCATAAGATTTCTGTATCTTTTTTTTACAACTGCATGCAAATTTACATTTACCTTAAAACAAAGTTTGATTTTAAAAAGGAAATTTGAAACAAAACAAACGTTAACTTCTTTCCTGGGGATTTTGTTCCTGTCAAGCAGCAGGAATTTTATTTTATTTATTTTATTTTTTATTTTTTTGGCCAGGATCCACTTTCATTGCCAATGACAAGTACATGCTCATCCTTGTATCCTTCCCAGGTTATTTTGAATAATTGGGTCTGGGCCGGCACAGTTGTGATAGGACCACATTGTTGGTTATGACAGCTGCTAAAATGGGACTACCGCAGAATGGACACAAAAGATTCTAGTGATGGGCACCGTCACATCAACAATGAACATTGATTGAGTATTGGATTAAAAAGAACATACATATCATGAAATTCAGTAAGGACATTAAAGATCATTTTGTCTTTCCCTTTAATATTGCAGAAGATTAAATGGAGGCCTAGATTATCTCATCCAAGATTAAAGCACTAGGTATTGGCAAACTCACAACTAAAAGCAAAGTTCAGGAATCTCAATGTTCCCATCTTTAAACCAGAAAAAGATGAATTTCTTTGCTCTCTCTCTTTCCCATCATCAGTGCATTCTCGTTTTGATAAAGAGATCTAAGTATCTGTAAGTTTCCCTCTCATCACTATATATCTACAGTAAGGATCCATTTTAATGTGTTTTCATCTGTAAGTTTTATACATGCTACAAAACTAAAATTTTGAAACACATAGCATAATGCATTGTAAATTGTTTACAGAGATAAATGGAACAAATATTTGTTCAATGATTGAATTATCTTCAGAGTTCATCTATCCTTTGCTTTACTGTTGTGTCTTTTTACTATGTTTGTCTTGGCTGCTTTTCTAATTTTTCAATTTAAATAAATTTTACTATTTCTTGTGCTTCTATCTCATCACTATCTTGAAGTCAACTTTGAACCAACCAAATGCATTTTCTATGTCATCATCTAGATCACTAAACGAAAGGAACATGAATCGATCTTTCAGTATTCTTAGGATCACTATGATCCAGACTAGTCTCTGAACCATCTAGGATGCACTGTTTTCAGTCTAGAAGTGTCTTTCCATGAGTATAATTTTTCAAGGAAAGAGTAAGGAATACTTCCCGGTTGTATACAGGGAGATGAATTAATGATGGTTTTTGTAAAGACTGCTTGACTGTAAGTTCTGACTCTGATGAACTATAAAAAATGAAATCATCGGATACTAAAATAGGACAATTAATTTTTTTATATCTGTGATATTTTAACACCTTTATGAAGTGTAAATCCTAGCTTTACTTTTTGCTTTAAAAATAATTTAAAAGAGATTCTTAGGTCCATCCTAACTAAAATAGTTACAAATGACAAATAAAGATAAGTGTATTATTTTGTTTTTTAAAAAAGGTCTGGCAGATGGAGTGAAAAAGGATAGAAGTTCTCATTTTCTCACTTACCTCCTTCCCCTTCACTCCTACTTCACCTCCTACTTCTCGTGCATAGATATTCATAGACATTTAGCAGAAAACTAACACGCATTCTAGGCTTTCTTCCTAATTCAAGCAATGCCATCTGTACAATACATACAGAGGTATAGGTGTCTTCAAAATGAAATTTATCCTTATTTTCATGAGCCAGGGACACACAGTTTTTTTATGACTGCTTAATACAATACAATTTAATTTGTTGAAAACAAGAATGTTGCGGATACATGGATTCAAACAGACAGACATTTTTTGCACCCCTTTGCAGTCAACCTCTCTCTCCACTCCCAGCCACTCTGCACGCTGCTCTGTTTTCTATCCCTATAGTTCTGCCTTTTTTTTGCAATGTCATATAAATACAATCAATTTGACCTTCATCTATGAAGTTGTGTATCAGTAGTTTGTTTATTTTAATGCTGAGTAGCATTCCTTTGCATGGATATACAACAGTTTATTCACTCGTTGAAAGATGGTTTCAGTGTTTCCAGCTTTTGGTAAGATGCATAATGCCAATAGAACTATCATACAGGTTTTTTAGTAAATATAAGTTTTTGTCTTGAGAAAATATTTAAGAGTAGGACTGCTGGGTCATATGGTAAGTGTGTGTTTAGCTTTATAAAAAAGTTGCCAAACTGTTTGCAAAGTAGCCGTACCATTTTGGATTCACACCAGCAATGTATGAGAGTTTCAGTTGCTCTACCTGTTTCTTGTCAACATTTGCAACACTTGATAGTGTCAATTATTTTTTGCCGTTACACAACGCATACAATATTTGTTTTTTAAATTTGCATATTCTTAATGCAAATTTAAATGAAAATATTTTTGCGTACTTATTTGACATCCATTTATCTTCTTTCAAAGATTCTTTCAAAGTGTCTGTTCAAAACCTTTGCACATTTTATAATTGGAATGTTTGTCTGATAGTATTGAATTGGAGTTATTCATATATTCTGGATACAAGTCTTGTATATTTGGCAGATATTTTTGCTTAGCCTCTGCCATTTTTTATTCTGTTAACTATGTCTTTCATAGGGAAAAAGATGTAAATTTTGTCCATTTAACATTTTTTTCTCTTCTAAATAATGCTTTCGATATATGTCAGAGAAATCAAAAATATGTTCTCCGTTTTCTTTTAGAAGTGTTATTGTTTTAAGTTTTACATTTAAGTCTGTAATCTACTTTGAGTTAATTTTTGCATATAGGGTGAGGTGTGGTTCAAGGTTTGTTTTTATAATTACATAGAACTTTTCCATCACCGTTTTTTGAAAAGATTATTTTTTATAAATTATGTTTTCAATTTGTTTAATACCAATTGACCACATATGTGTAGATCTTCTTATAGACTGTCTATTCAGTTCTATTTATCTGCTTGCCTACCCTTTCAAAAATACCAACTGTCATAATCAGTGCATCTTAGTATGTCTTAAAATTATGTACTGTGAATTCTTCAACATTGTTCATTGTAAAAATTATTTTGGCTTTTTTAGTTCCTCGCATTTTCATATGAGTTTTAGAATAAGCTTATTGATTGTTATCACATTTTCTACTGAAAATTTGTTTTGTGGTTTTCTTTAGTTTGTAGCTCAATTTGGGACAGTTGACATTTTAACAATATTGAGCTTTCCATTCCATTTACATGGTGCATTTCTCAACTTTAGGTCTTCTGTGATTTCTTTCATCAATGTTTTGTAGTTTCTAGTATTTTGCACGTATTTTATTAGATTTATATTTAAGTATTTCATTTTTTGTGCTAATGTAGATGATAATTTTAAGAATAACTGTCCATTACTAGAATATAGACATACAATTGATTTGTATATATTGACATTGCATCTTGCAAACCTACTAAGCTCACTTATTACTTTCAGTAGCTTTAGAGAAATATTTCATGGGATTTTCTCCATGATAATTATATCTTATATGAATACAAAAATTTTTATTTCTCCCCTTCCAATCTATATTCATGTTATTTCTTTTTCTTCTCTTGTTGCACTGGTTAGGACCTCCAGTATAATGTTGAATAAGAGTGCTGAGAGCAAACATGTCCCCCAATCTTAGCTGAAAAGCATACAGGTTTTTATTAATAGTCGTATTATATATAAGTCTGTGTAGATGTTCATTATCAGGTTAAGGAAATTTCCTTCTACTCCCAGTTTGCTGAGAGCTTTTATCATACATACACACAGTATTTAGTAATGTGCTTTTTGGCATTTACTGAGATAATCATATGTTTTTTTTCTTCTTCTTTAGTCTATAGATACAGTAACTCACATTTTTTTTTATGGTCAAACAGGCCTTGCATTCCACGGATAAATTGTGTCATAATGTATTGCCATTTTTATACATCGCTGAGGTTAATTTGCTAATATTTATTGAGGAATTTTCATCCATGTTTATGATAGCTATTGGTCTGCATTTTTCTTATAATTTCTGTGCTAGTTTTGGTGTTAAGATAATACTGGTTTCTGTAGATGATTTAGATGTGTTAACTCTACTTGTTTTCTCAAGGAGTATATGTAGAAGTGGTAATATTTCTTCCTTCAATATTTTGTAGAATTTGTCAGTGAAACCACCTAGACTTGGAACTTTTTGTTTTTGTTGCTGAGAGGTTTTAAATTATGAATTCAGTGTCTTTAACAGATGCACAAATATTCAAAATATGTATTTCTTTAGTAGTCTTTAATAGTAGGTAATTTCGAAGAAAATTGTTTATTATATTTGTTGTTGAATTTAGAGATATAAAGTTGTTCTTAATATATCCTTATTATTTTAAATTTTATCTAGAGTAGTGATGAGGTCTCTTTGTTATCCTTGTATCAGTAATCTCTCTCTCTCTCTCTTTTTCTCTCCTGTTTTCCCTCCTTCCCTTTCTCTCTTATTTTTAAAGGTCAGCCTAGATGTTTTTCAGTTTCATTAACTTTTTTCAATGCATCAGCTATTGGCATTATTTATTTTCTCTATTTTTTTTTCTGTCTCCAGTTTTGCTTTTTTGATTGTTATCTTCATTATACATTTCATTCCTCTTCTTTTGATTTTAATTTGTTCTCCTCTCTTAGTTGTTTATGGTGGAAGCTTTTATCATTGTTTTACTATCTGTGTGCCTTTTTAATTTAAGCATTTAATGCTATACAAGTCCCTCTAAGCATTGCTGTAGTAATATTTAACATGTATTATTAGGTTAAGTTTTCATTTTTATTTCATTAAGAACATTTTCCAATTTCCACTGTTTGTTCTTTGACTCCTATTTAATTGTGTTATTTTCAATTTCTCAATATTTAGGTATTATCTTCATATAATTTTTATTCCTTTTTAAATTTTCTTATGATCAGAGAATCATATTTTTACAATTCTCTTTTTAATTTGTTAAAATCGGTTTTGTGTTCATAGCATGTTCTATCTTAGAAAATATTCTGTATGCACTTCAAAAGAATGTGTACTCAGTGGTTGTTAGAGTGTTCTATAAAAGTTAGTTAAATCCAGATAGTTGATGAAGTTGTTCAGTTCTTCCATAACCTTACTGACTTGCTGTGTATTTGTTTTACCTATTACTAAAACAGGTAGATAAAACATCCAAGAATTTCCAAGTACACAAATTTAGGATTGATATCTGTCTATTGCATTGGCCTCTATTATTAGATAATGTCTCCTTTCATCTCTGGAAATGTTCTTGTTTTGAATTCTACTTGTATGATATGAATATAGCCACTCTAACTTTATTTTAATTCATTTGTATGGCATACGTTTTTCTATTCTTTTATACTTATTATATGTTTTTCTCATCTTTAAAGTTAGTTTGTTGTAGTTAAATATTGCTTTTTGTCCATCCTGACAATTTCTGTCTTTTAATGAATACATTCAGACCATTCCCATTATTACTGATATAGCTAAATTAAAATCAACCATCATGATTTTTTTTTTAATTTCTATTTAGTCTAAACAGATTCGTTTGTACCTGCTTTTCTGCCTGTTTCATATTTTTTAATTCTAATTCGACTTTAGTATTGGTGTATTATGTATAATTGTATAAAAATACTTTATTAATTGCTGTGGTATTTGAAATACATATTTTAATTAATCATGATCTAGCTTCAAATAGCATTGTAGTTTCACCTGCAGTATTAGAACAATATAACTGCACACAGCTATTTCCTCCTTCATGTCCTGTGTGCTCCTTATCGTACATTTTGCTTTTACATATGCTATAAACCCACAATACATTGCTATTAATTTTCCTTTAAATAGTCAATTAACTTTTAGAGCCATTAAACGTATTGCTCTAAATTTTTTTATACTTTATACTTACTCTCATTTTAATGAGTTCTGAATATCTTCATTTATTTGTGTTGATCAAAGTTTTGATCTGATGCCCTATTTCTTCTGCCTGAGGAACTTTTTAACATTTCAGGTAGTGTAGGTTTGTTGGTAATGAATTTTAAAGTTCTGTTTGTCTGAAAATGTATTCACTTTGAAGGATATTTTCACAGTATAGAATTCTGTTGACATAACAACTTTGTTCTCACTTACTGTCACTTTAAAAATGTTGTTTCACTCTTTTTCAACTTTCATTTTAGGTTCAAGGGTACATGTGCAGGTTTGTTATATAGATAAATTGCATGTCACAGGGGTTTGGTGTAAAGATTATTTTGTCACCCAGGAAATAAGCATAGTACCTGATAGGTAGTTTTTCAATCCCCTCCCTACTCCCACCCTGCAGCTTCAAGCAGGCCTCAGTGTCTATTGTTCTCCTCTTTGTGTCACTATGTACTCAAAGCTTAGCTCCCACTTATAAGTGAGAACATGTGGTATTTAGTTTTCTGTTCCTGTGTTAGTTTGCTTAGGATAATGGCCTCCAGCTCCATCTATGTTGCTGCAAAGAATATGATCTCACTCTTTTTATGGCTGCATAGTATCCCATGGTGTATATGTACCACATTTTTTAATCCAATCTACCTTGATGGGCACTTAGGCTGATTCCATCTTTTGCTATTGGGAAGAGTGCAGTGATGAACATACATGTGCATGTGTCTTTTTAACAGAACAATTTATATTCCTATGGGTATATACCCAATAATGGCATTGCTGGATGAAATGGTAATTATGTTTTAAGTTCCTTGAGAAATTGTCAAACTGATCTCCAAAATGGCTGAACTAATTTACATTCCCACCAGCAGTGTATAAGTGTTCTCTTTCCTCTACAACCTCACCAGCATCTGTTTTTTGAGTTTTTAATAGTAGCCATTCTGACTGCTGTGAGATGGTATCCCATTATGGTTTTGATCTGCATTTCTCTAATGATTAGTGATGATAAGCCTATCTTCATATTCTTGCTGGCCACATGTATGTCTTCTTTTGAAAAGTGTCTATTCATGTTCTTTACCCATTTTTTAATGGGGTTGTTTGATTTTTGCTTGTAAATTTAACTTCCTTATAGTTTCTGAATATTAGACCTTTGTCAGACGCATAGTTTGCAAATATTTTCTCCCTTTCTGTAGGTTGTCTATTTAGCCTGTTGGTAGTTTCTTTTGCTGTGTAGGAGCTCTTTAATTAGGTCCCATTTGTCCATTTTTGTTTTTGCTGCAATTGCTTTTGGTATCTTCATCATGAAATCTTTGCCAGGTCCTATGTCCGAAATATTTCTTGGGTTATCTTCCAGGATTTTGACAGTTTTAGATTTTACATTCAAATCTTTAATCCATCTTGAGTTGATTTTTATATATAGTTTAATTAAGGAGTCCAATTTCAATCTTCTGCTATGGCTAGCCAGTTATACAATTTATTGAATAGAAAGTCATTTCTCCATTGCTTGTTTTTGTTGGTTTTGCCAAAGATCAGATGGTTGTAGATGTCCAGCCTCATTTCTGAGCTGTCTGTTCTGTTCCATTGGTCTGTATATCTGTTTTTGTATTAGTACCATGCTGTTTGGTTATTGCAGCCTTGTAGTATAGTTTGAAGTCAGGAATGTGATGCCTCCAGCTTTGCTCTTTTTGCTTAATTTGCTTATGATTGCCTTGGCTATTTAGGCTCTTTTTTGGCTCCATATGAATTTTAAAATAGTTTTTCTAGTTCTGTGAAGAATTTCATTCATTGTTCGACAGGAACAGCATTGAATCTGTAGATTGCTTTGGGCAGCATGGCCATTTTAGTGATATTGATTCTTTCTATCCACAAGCATGAAAAGTTTTCCTATTTGTTAGTGCCATCTGATTTACTTTAGCAGTGTTTTTAAATTCTCATTGTAGATGTTTTTCACCTCCTTGGTTAGCTATATTTCTAGGTATTTTATTGTTTTTTGGCAATTGTGAATGAGATTGTGTTCTTAATTTGGCTCTCAGCTTGGATGTTGTTGGTGCATAGGAATGTAACTGATTTTTGTACATTGACTTTGTATCCTAAAATTTTGCTGAAATTGTTGATCAGATCAAGGAGCTTTTGGGCAGAGAATATGGGGTTTTCTAGGTATAGAATCATGTTGTCTATAAACAGATATAGTTTAATTTCCTCTCTTCCTGTTTGGATGCCTTTTCTTTCTTTCTCTTGCCTGATTGTTCTGGATAGAATTTCTAGTACTATGCTGAATAGGAGTGGTGAGAGTGGGCATCCTTGTCTTCTGCTGGTTTTCAAGAAAAATGCTTCCAGATTTTCTGCATTCAGTATGATCTTGGTTGTGAGTTCGTCATAGATGGCTCTTATTATTATGAGGTGTAGTCCTTCAATCCCTAGATTGTTGAGAGGTTTTAATATGAAAGTATGTTGAATTTTATCAAAAGTCTTTTATGCATCTATTGAGATGATGATGTGGTTTTGGTTTTAGTTCTGTTTATATGATGAATCACACATACTGATTTGCATGTGTTGAACCAACCTTGCATCCCAGGGATAAAGCCTACTTCATTGTGGCAGATAAGACTTTTGCTGCTGGATTCTGTTTGCTAGAATTTTATTGAGTATTTTTGCATCTATGTTCATCAAAGATATTGGCCTGAAGTTTTCTTTTTTTCTTGCATCTCTGCAAGATTTTGGCATCAGGATGAATGAGTTAGGAAGGAAATCCCTCCTCTTCAATTTTTTGAATAATTTCAGCAGGAATGGTACCAGTTCTTCATACATCTGGTAGAATTCAGCTATGAATCTATCTGGTCTTGGGCCTTTTCAGTTTGGTAGGCTTTTTATTATTAATTCAATTTTGGAACTCATTATTTGTCTAATCAGGGATTCAATAACTTCCTGGCTCAATTTTGGGAAGTTACATGTTTCCAGAAATTTATCCATTTTTCTGGGTTTTCTAGCTTGTGTGCATAGAGGTATTCATAATAGTCTCTGAGTGTTTTTTGTGTTTCTGTGAGATCAGTGGTAACATCCCCTTTGTCATTTCTGATTGTGTTTATTTTTATCTTCTCTCTTTTATTTCCTTTATTAGTCTGGGTAGCAGTCTGCTGATCTTACTAATTCTTTCAAAGAATTAGCTCCTGAGTTTATTAACTTGTTGTATAGTGTTTTTGCCTCAATTTCCTTTAGTTCTGCTCTGATTTTGGCTATTTCTTGTCTTCTCCTAGTCTTGGAGTTGGTTTGCTCTTGTTTCTCTAGTTCTCTAATTGTGATATTAGGTTGCTAATTTGAGCTCTCTGTAACATTTTGATGTGGGCATTTAGTGCTATAAACTTTGCTCTTGACACTGCTTTGGCTGTCAAAGAGTTGTGCCTGCCTAAGAGTTCAGGCAGAAGCAAGTCCAGTTGGTTGGAAGCTGTAGCAGGTATGGCCCATCCGGATATGACAGGTGGCGGTGAGTAGAGTTGCTTGTCCTGCCATCCAGGTGTTTCCATGGCAACAGGCAGCTGCACCCCTTAGGAAATTTAGGCAGAAGAAGGACCACTGTGCCTAGCAGGCATGGCTCACCTGGCTACCAGCAGTAGAGGTGGGTGAGGATGCCTGCCCTGCCATCTGGGTATTTACTGGGACAACAGGAAGCTGTGACCTCTAGTGGAGTTCACATATAAGTGGGGCCATTGAGCCCGAAGCTCTAGCAGGTGCTGCCTGCCTTCCTGCCTATCAGTGGTGGGAATGGGTATGATCATGCACCCTGTTGTCCAGGTGTTTTCTGGGACAACAGGAGGCTGTGCCCACCAGTTGAGTTCCCATAGAAGCAGAACAACTGGGCTGAGAACCCTAGCAGGTGTTGCCTGCTTGGCCATCAGCAGCAGGTGTGGGTGAGGTTGCTGGCTCTGCCATCCAGGTGCTTCCTGGGACAACAGGAGACTGTATCTGCTAGCTGAGTTCAGACAGAAGTGGGGACCACAGGACCGGAAGCTTTAGTAGGTGTTGCTCACCTGGATACCAGTGGCAGGAGTGGGTGGAGTGGCTGGCCAAGTTCAGGCCAAAGAAGGACCACTGGGCCAGAAGCTGGCACCATTCTCCATCTGACCAGGAGGGGTAGAGCAATCTTGCTGCTCATGGGCACCACAACTGCAGCCTCTATTGGGGATACGGCTCCTGTGATGGTCTGCTCTGGGTCATGAGGCTTATAGAGGTCCCCTTGGACTCAAGAGTTGCATCTGCAAAACAAATGGGTGGCTCTCTGCCTCAGTCTATAAGTCTGGTGGGGAGTGGGTGTGGGGAGGGGTGGCCAGGGAAATTCTCCCATTTCTAATCTTGCACAGGTGGAGAGCATGAATCCCCTGAGGGCTCTCACTCACTCAGTATTTCCCATGTTAGAGAGGTCCTCCTGGCTGCATGTTGAGCCTAGACAGGCTGATGTCCAGCTTCTCTCCTCTCTGCTCTCTGTGTCTGCCTGCTGTCTTGATGTATCCCAGTGTGGTTTCTCAGATGATTGGCCTGCAGAGTCACTGCTCACTAGTACTTTTGTTTCCTCTCTCTGAGAGTGGTGCACATGAGCTGCTTCTAGTCTGCCATCTTGACCTTGCCCCCTCCACTTTCTTCTGGATTGCATGGTTTTTTATTAAAAGTCTCCTATAATGCTTATCATCGTTCCTCTGTATGTCATGTGTTATATTTCTCCAGCTGTCTTCAATAATTTCTCTTCATCTTTTTTTAACCATTTAAATATATTTATATTCCTCCTTTCCCCTTGGATATTTATCTTACTTTACATTCTCTGAGCTCCTTGGGTCTATGTCAATATGGCTAATATATCTTTAAATATTTCTTATGTTTTATTCTCTCTGCTTCTCCTGAAAGTCCTATTACACATAGGTTAAATTATTTGGTGTTATCCCATAGCTCTTGAGTGCTTTGTTCTAGATTTCTTTAAACTTGTATTTTTCTCTTCGTATTTCAGTTTTGGTAATTTCAGTTGGCATATCTTTATGTTCACAGATTTTTTTCCTCAGCTGTCTCATGTCCACTGACGACCTTCTCAACAGAATTCTTACTGGTTTTTATTTCTAGAATTTCTGTTTGATTCTTGCTTTTAGTTTCTATCTTTCTGATAATACTCTACAACTGTTCATGTATGTTTTTCACTACAGCCTTTAACATATTACCTATAGATTTCTTAAAAATTCCCTGGTTGATAGTTTAAACATCAGGTTTATACTTGAATTTAGTTTTGTTGATTGTCTGTCGACAGTAGTATTGACAGTGGTTTATTTGTTCATGCTGTCTTGTGTGTCTCATAATTTTTGGTTGAAGGGTGGACATTGAGCATAAAATAGTAGGAAATGAGGTAAATAGTATTTATGCCTGAAAATTGGCATAGCTCTTCTTCTTCTTGGTTTTAATATTGGGAGTGGAAAAGAGATTGGATCAATTTATCACAACTTTAACTGGGTTACATATTTTGTTCTTATGGTTACCATCAAACTATCACTGGATTCACATTCCTCTAGTGTTAACTCAAGCTTAGCGTGGGAGCCAATTTATCACCTTCAGGTTTAGAACTTCCTCAAGTACCTGATCCTCAAGGGGAATCTCTCTCCACAGTCTCGCCCTCTCCTCTGACTGTGGAGTGCTATATTCTCGGTCCAGAATGTGTTAGGCAAGTCCTCTATCTCTGGGTCATAGTGGTGGAGCTTTGTCAGTAGCCCTGCCCTTCTGCCAGCAGTAGGCAATCTCTAATTCCCTGAGCCCAGGATGGTTTCCTACCTCTCCCCAGAATTAAAAGGTTTCGTTTTTTCCTATTTTCAACCTTCAGCAAATTTTCACCTTTGTTTTGGGGGCAACATGTTTTTCCTGCTCTTTGACCAGTAGCCTAAGGCTTTTGCATTGTATGGATGATTGATACAGGTGAGGCTATCTGCATTTCCTGCAGTAGCAGATCCTCCCTTTTTTCAGACCTATACCTCCAAGGGAATCTCCCTCTGGTTTCCTGCTTGACTCAAATTGGTTTTTATGAGGGCCATGGAGAAGAGCCTGCAAGGGAGTGTCTGAGACTCTTAAGGTCCTCTCATGTTGATCTGCTGTTGGCCTTTAACAATTCATTAAAAATGTTGGTTGCCATCTTACCTGCTTATATGGCTTGCATGGCAGTCCTGTCTACCTCTACCTCAAGTCAGTGCTCACATATCATCAATCCTTGGAAGTGCTTCTCTTTCCTTAGATCTCAGGCTGCTTGATTGCTCTGCCACCTCAGCTCTCTGATTGATTCTAAAAACATTGATTTTGTCAATATCTGGATTTTCCTTGTTGTTACAGTAGAAGTGTAACATGGTTTCCATTTATTTTACATCCTCAAATAAGCCTGCATTCTCTCACTATATTTTAATAGAAAGTAAAATTTCATTTGTCAGATCTCTTACTTAAAAGTTGTGTATAAGACTTTGAAATATATTTAGGTCAGCTATATAATGGCATACAAAATATTACCAGTCTCATAAAGAAACATTGTAATGTCTAATAATATTTACCAAAAAAAAAAAATAAATAAATAAAATTTAAAACTTAAATAGAACAGCCATGCCAGCTTGCAACAATTTGTGAGAAGCCGTGTTCACACCTCGGGCTAGAGTATAAATTTAGAATATTCCTAATGTCTCTTTGCCTGTTCATCAAGTTCAACAAAATTAGATCTGTATAACTGACACATTTGTTGAGCATCATAAAAAATGTGCCTTGCAATATCCATTCATTCCTTCATGTGACAGGAGGGAATGCAAAAGAAGTTCAGCAGAGTCAAGATGTGTTTACTCAGTTGTACTTTCTGCAGCCTACCAAAACTCATAAGGCAAAAATAAAAATAAGAAAAGGAATACTAATTTCGAATATTATTTGCCAAGAATCATATCCCCAAGCTTAAGACGCTAAAAAATATCTGCCAAATATGGAGGCTCCTCAACATGTAGAATTTCCACTAACAAACTCTCACAAATGTGCATTGTACCAATTCTGCAGTTTACTGATAGTTGGAAACAACCTTCTCACCATTGCTCAGAGTGTTCAGAAATTTTGTTCTCTGTGTGCCTTTTGGTCTCACAAATCAAAAAGCAATGGGAATGTTAAAAGGAGAAGAGGGACATGATTAAAATTAACATGAAAATAGATCTACAGAGAAATTTAAAAGAGAAAGGAAATAAGAATATTTGATGTACTTACGGAATTAATTATTTAAAGTAGAAACAATTCAGAGGTCAGAATGATTCAGATGCCACATGAAAACGATTGTTAATGTGCACTCAGAAGAATTACAAAATACAAGACAAACTGACCAACAAAATGAATGTCAAAAATTTAAATATATTTTCACATCTTTGGTTAGTCTAGCAACCAGGGATTGTTTGATGTCTTTTGGCCTAATATTAATTGAAGAGTTTATATTTTTAAAGATGGGCTTTCAGTGAGCCTTTCAGAACTTGCTTTTTTTTTCTTTTTGGTAAGAAGAAGCTCTTCCACATAGTTAAATTTTGAACCATAGTGAGTGGGGTTGCTGAGAGACAAAATGCAGCCCTCCAAAATGTGAGCAGGATGCAGCATATATACACACATATGTTACACTACCAGGTAAGCCTCAAACAGCAGTCCTTCCTGAATACAGTGAGATACAGCAACATGAGTGGGGGGCCTGAGAACATCCCCCTAAGTATTGAGCTAAATACCACAGAATGGCAGAGGAAATGGGGTCACAATTATAAATTCTGCAGATAAGCAACATTTTAACTTCCTGTGACCTGACTTCCTTACCTGTAGAAGTGGATTAAACAGTGGTGAAAAGAAGAGGGGAAGAAATCAAATGGATACAAGTACATGCTGCTATTTAGAATCAGACAAGCAGAAAAAGTAAGTACTCAGTCACCCAACAGAGACCTGGGCTGGAGGGGTATGACTATGGATCGTGTCAGTCTCATCTCACTGCCAAGCATGGATGGGAATTGTGAGGCGGAGTGAGTGCCCTGGGCTGTGCTCGCATCACATGGGGAGAAAAATGAATCTAGCACAACCGAAGTCGCCACTGATTCTGTTCATTTTGTCTCCCTCCCCATCGCTACCACACATGATTACCTTAGAGACAAACGGCCAATGTCAGAGAAGCAAAGGCAGGCACACAGTGACCTTGTGTAAACCAGTGTAAACATGTACCAGTGTAAACACAACACATACAAACACACACAAGAAAGAAAGAAAGGTGTAAAAAACAATAGTAGAAGCCTGGCACAGTGGCTCTCGCCTGTAAACCTAGCACTTTGGGAGGCCAAGGCGGGAAGATCATGAGGTCAGGAGTTTGAGACCAGCCTGACCAACATGGTCAAACCCCATCTCTACTGAAAATACAAAAATTAGCTGCACATGGTGGCGGGCACCTGTAATCCCAGCTACTCAGGAGGCTGACGCAGGAGAATCACTTGAACCCAGGAGGCGGAGGTTGCAGTGAGCTGAGATCGTGCCACTATACTCCAGCCTGGGTGACAGCGAGACTCCATCTCAAAAAAACAAAAAAAAAAAAGTAGAATATGATTCTGAAGAATCACAATAGGAAACAGAGATTTTGAAATAAATATCCCTTCCCTTTAGGCAATTAAAGTAAACATGAACTGTGTGAAAAAATATGACAAAGATTTAAAATCAAAAAAGAAAATGTGGGCAATTGAAGATAATATGCAAGCTGGGAGAAAGAAATGTAAAATAAAACTGAAAGCATTACAGAAATGAATTGCCCTGAAGACTCAGTCAGGGTCAGGGAGACTAGACTTAGGTGAATTGCAGAGGAAGAACTAGAAAGTGGGAAAAAACGAAGAGAGAAAATATTGCAGAGAAGTTGATTGATATGTGAGTCTGGCAAAAAAAAAAAAAAAAAAAAAAAAAAAAAAGCCAGTTCCATATAACTAGTGTTTTCAGAATGAAGAAACAGAAAATATATTCCTTGTTTTAAAAATAAACTACGATTTCTTTAGTTAAAAAAAAATCACTACAGTCTGGGTTATTTAAAAGTAACAATAGATCTGGATGATCAACACTAAGTCGTATCCCCATGAAGTTACTGAATTGGAAAGATTAAATAAATAAAAATAAAAATTCCTTGATCCTTTTAGCTAAAATCTCAGTCATCTCTAAGAAGGAAATATAACTGACCTCATACTTTTCCATTGAATTTCTTAATAACCGAGTGAGGACAGTAATATCTCCACAGTGGGTAGGGAAAGAATATAAGGAAAGAACATTCTTTGAATTCCTCAGTTCACTAGCCAGATACATTCTTTTTATTTTCCAGTCTGACTCTTTTGTTTGTGGGAGAAATCAGAAGATGTAGGAGGTGTCAAAACTAGTTTTCTGGGCAGGATACAGCATGAATCAGTGAAACAAAAGAAAGCAGAATTGTTTCAAAGCAACCCATGGTAACAACAGCAAAAAGTGTTTGTGGGGTTGGAACAAAGATCATTTGCATAGAAGCAGCACACCCTGTGGCCTTTCCACTTGTCTGACTTATGCTTTGCCTGGGAGATGGACTCAGCCAAGCACCCATTTAAACAACTAGCATCATTCATGAGGCTCTGATGGAATTAAGTGACCGTATATCCTCTTGAGCTGCTCTGTCCTAGGAAAATAGAACTTGGCCAGTCCTTCCCCAAATGGATCTGGTGATGAATGATGATGGGGAGAAAGTGAAAAGGATGCAGCAGAATTTGTCCATGGATTAAAATTTAAAATTAGAATTTTATTTTACATAAATGGAAAATAATGAATCAGCTGGGAAAAATAAGAGTCTGTTGAACAACTGCTGTTTTTCTTTAAAAAATGTATTATGGAGCTTAGGAGTTGGATTGATTGGAGTTGGAGGGAGGACAGAGAAGAGTAAAAGAGACAGAGATAAAGGCTAAGAACAAAGAGGCAGAAAGGTCAGTACATTGGACAGCAACAAAGGAGTGTTAAGGGCAGATGTTCGAAGGCGAATGGAGCCAGAGTTGGTGACCAGTTTAATGATCAGTGAAGACAAAAGCTAGTGTCTGCAGAGAAGCTTAGTAATGACACTTAAGCTAATTAGGCCTGTAGATCCTTTGAAATGGTCAGGGGTTTGGCTTAGGCTCACGGAAGGCTGAGTTGAGAAATTGGACTGAAAGCAAATACTAATGACTTGATTGAAAGTCAATGAATTAAAATGGCATCTCTCTACACTACTACCCCATTGTCATCCTGGGAAGGAGGCTGCAGCTGGCCTGGTTTCCGATGTTTAGAAAATGAGTTGGGCCAGGTGCGGTGGCTCATGGCTGTGATCCCAGCACTTTGGGAGGCTGAGGCGGGTGAACCACCTGAGGCCAGGAGTTCAAGACCAGCCTGGCCAACATGATAAAACCTCATCTCTACTAAAAATACAAAAATTAGCCAGGCATGGTGGCAGGCACCTTAATCCCAACTACTGGGGAGGCTGAGGTGGGAGGATCATTTGAACCTGGGAGGCAGAGGTTGCAGTGAGCCGAGATTGTGCCACTGCACTCCACCCTGGGTGACAGAGTGAGACTGTATCAAAAAAAAAAAAAAAAGGTTGAAAGAAAACGAGTCAGGGAATGGGAACATGAGGCCCAATTACTTCCTAGGCAGACCTGTATTGAACTATCTTATTTTCAGCCCTGTGCCTCACTTCTGCTCTCTGCCACAAATAGTGTCCTCATGTCCCCACACTTCTCTTTCCCATATCTTCACAGATCAACCTCCATATTCTGCCCAACTCAGAGAACATTACTGGTGGGGCTTTAGACCCAAACAGAATATGGAAGAGTGTTCTCTGCCGTAACTCAATGGCTTCTCAGAATAGACTTCCGTATCCTGATATTGGAGCATTCTGCAAAGAAAGAGTTGACTCCTCTTCCGATACTTCTAGAATGAATCTTAAAAGTCAATTAAATGTTTCAACATATTGACAGACAGAATATGGAAGAGTGTTCTCCGCTATAACTCAATGGCTTCTCAGAATGGACTTTCATATCCCAATATTGGAGCATTCCGCAAAGAAAGAGTTGACTCCTCTTCCAATACTTCTAGAATGAATCTTAAAAGTTAATTAAATGTTTCAACATCTTGACACACTTTCTGTTTGGTTCTTTAATGTCTTACTCTTAAATATGTAAAGACAGCTGAAGATAGCCTCATGTATTGGGTTTGGTTTCCCAGGAAACAGATGGAGATCTACATGCAGAGAGTTGATTGAAGAGTTCCCTTGCAGTCCACAACTGTAGGAGGAACAGGAGGGAAACATTGGGCAGAGAGATCAGTCAGACTCCCATACATGGTATAGGGTACTCTCAGATGATCCCACAGAGAGCTCTGGGCTAGGGAATCTTTAGGGTCATCCCAAATGGAGAAAAGAGGGGCAGACTTTTGACCCCATATCCAGTGATTGGAGGTCAATTGCCCTGGAGTGGAAGTATAACTTTGGATGATGTGGGTCCCTTCAGCCGTGTCCACAGAGGTCAGAATTCATCTCCTCCCAAAAAGATCCAAGGTTATGTTGGACAAGTTGAATCAGCTGTCAACACCATACAAAGATGTTCTTCGATTTGTGTAGTTCTTAAGTTATCTATGCCTTCTCACTGAGGCTTCTTGGTCCCACGAATGCCACTACATCACATTCCCATCTTGCTGAGGCTTCTAACCCCAGATTTGCCAAGATTTTGGTTTGTGCTTGCATTATGCATCATGATTGGTACCTCAGTTTCTCAATTTTGATGGAGACCACAGAGGATTTCTAAGCATGCAATCTCCTGAACACTGTTGGCTCGATCAGTGTTTTCTGAGTGCAAGGGCAGTCACTTAGTGCCATTACCAGAAAATCTTCTTGTGCTGCAGTGATAAACTCCATTTACTTTTCTCCTTTTCTTGCTCCCATCCAAAAGTTAATGAATCAGACCATGGTGTACTTTAAAAAGTTGGAATTATTTGGTACTCCTGGCAAGGGAAACCCACCAAGGGGATTGCTTGTATTCATTTAAGCCTTTAAGAATTACCTTCTAATTTGGAATTTTAATTCATCCCCACTGGATGATATACTTTGATTCCTTGGCTCCTCAGTAAATAGGTGCTTTATCTCTTTTATTTATACAAGTTCTCTTTAGAGTATACAGGAGGAAAAACAGATGGCAGAGACTCCAGACATTTGGGGTTGAAGAGCAACATTTTGGGACTCTCTCAGACGAGTTGCAGCAACTAGTAGCAAGAATGCTTACAGGAAAGCAAGTTAAGAAAGTAAATGTCACATCTGTTTTCACGTCTTTTCCCTTCATAGAAGTGCTTTCCTGTAATATTTCTCTCAAATAGTCATATGCAAAAGTATAGGAATTATGTAACAGGAAACTTGAGAATAGTCTAAATATGCATGACAGCCAATAAAAATGATACTCTGGGTATGTATTTACTGGAGTAGAACAATGTTCATATAAGGTTCCGTGAATAAAGGAGGTTTAAAGAAGAGGAATTAATGAATGATGAATAAAGATTTGCATTGTCTTCTTGGATTCAAAAAAGAGTATTTCTGAGATAGAAAAAAAAAATAAGCTTTCACCTGTCAGAATCCTGCAGCAAGTATTTCAGAGGGAATGAAACCTCCAAGATTAAAACTCAATATTTTAGAATGACATTTAACCTTCCAAAATGGTATTATGAGTACAAGCTTAAATTCTTATAACTCTTGCAAAGTGAGGCATTTACAACCCTGTTAGAGATCCTAATGAAATTTTGACTACATCTTCATTTCAAGATACAGTGTAGACTCTGGGGCCAGACTGCCTGGCTTCAAAACTGGGCTCCTCCACTAGCTGCTCATGTGCCATTAGGCATTTTCTTAATTTATAAAAGAACAAAAATAACAGTTGCACCAGATGCTGTTGACAGCCTGCTTGTATTGCATCAGTCTCTCTGAATGCCCCCCCATCCTGACCCCTCTTCCTGTATTACTCTGCCTGAAAGTATTCTCTGGCCACAGGCCATGCTTGCCCTCTCTCTAGGCAGGCAGAAGTGCAGGAATCAGTGCCTTGAGAACACCATCAATCAACAAGAGCTGGACTTTCAGCAGGGAGACCCCCTGTCTTAATGGAGGAGGTGTGACTTGTGTTTCAAACAGTCTTACAGAGGGTCCTCGAAGGATTTGAGCCCCAGTCGCTCACAGCGGTATTATGCTCATTATTACACTTTTCCCTTCTTTTTCTTGTTTCACTTGTAATTCTTCTTATCACTTTTCAAATCATCTTTTTGCATCCAAAGCTCTTCTCCAAGGGGAATCCAATCTAAACCTTATGGAGTCGTGGTGAAAACTGCATGAAATGATGCACATTTAGAAATAAGCATGGTGCCTATCCAAAGCGAGTGGCCAATAAATATTGACTATAATTATCACCATAAATATTATACAATCAATATTACACTGGAATATCTAACATAAACAATTATATGAAAGAAGTTTGTAAAAATATGCATCCAGGCTGGGTGTGGTGACTCACACCTGTGATCCCAGCACTTTGGGAGGCCAAGTGGATGGATCACCTGAGGTCGGGAGTTCAAGGCCAGCCTGGCCAACATGGCGAAACCTCGTCTCTACTAAAAGTCAAAAAAATAAAAAATAGCTGAGCATGGTAGCAGGCACCTGTAATCCCAATACTTGGGAGGCTGAGGCACAATAATCGCTTGAATCCAGGAGGTGGAGGTTGCAGTGACCTGAGATCGCACCACTGCACTCCAGCCTGGGAAACAGAGAGAGACTCCATCTCAAAAAAAAAAAAAAAAATGCATCCATTATAAAACAATTTTAAATGTATTTACTAACAATTTTAAAATGCAAAATTATTCAAATTCCTACATGGCTGTAGATGAGATAAAATATAAACACATTTATCCTTTAAATTATCTTAAGTTTTTAGACTCCAATTTTTACAACCACAAAACCAATCCCTGTATTTCAAACTTCATCTACTTCAGTCTACTGATTTTACAGATAAAAATCCTGAGGCAAAGAGATGAGTTATAGTTTGTATATTTGACTCCTCCAAATGTCATGTTAAAATGTGATCCCCAATGTTGGATGTGGGGCCTGATGGGAAGTGTTGGGTCATGGCAGTGGATCCCTCATGAATGTCTTGGTGCTGTCCTCACAGTGATGAGTTCTCACTCTGTTTGTTCCAATGAGAGCTGATTGTTTAAAAAAGCACCTCCAGCCCTCTGGCCCCATCATATGATCTTTGCACATGCTAGCTCCCCTTCCCCTTCCAGCATGAATGGAAAGAGCCTGAATTGATCACCAGATGCAGATGTTGGTACCATGCTGCTTATACAGCCTGCAGAACCATGAGCCAAAAAACCTCTTTTCTTTATAAATTACCCAGCCTCAGGTAGTCCTTTGTAGCAAAACAAATGAGCTAAAATAGGGTGTTACATAGTTACTTGTCCTAGACCACACTCCTAACGGGGTTTTCCAACTTTCAGCTCCTGGTCAAGTGTCATTGCCATCATACCACATCCCATACACTTTATTAAAAAGATAACCAAGAAAGATAAAAACACCGAATAACCAGGTCATGCTGATCCTGGTGTGATTGAAGGGGTAGGGGGATAAGCTATTGATTGACATTAGTTCATGGACAGTAGCTGTTTTAGTTCATTTATGCTGCTATAGTAGAATACCTGAGGCTGCATAGTTAAAAAGAACCGAAATTTATTTCTCACCGTTCCAGAGGCTGAGAAGTCCAGTGTCAAGGTGGTGCATCCTCTGGAGAGGAGAAATATCATGTCCTCACATGGAAGAAGAGCAGAAGAGAGACAGAGCCCAGTCTTGCATGCCCTTTTTATAGGGGCACTAACCCTTTCATGAAGGCTCCGCCCTAAACACCTCCCATTAGGCCCCACTTTCCCAAGCCTTGCATTGGGGATTAAATTTTTATCATGTGAACTGTGGGGGACACATTCAGACCATAGCAGTAGTTAATCATTTGATCAGTTGTTTTGGGACTTAGAAGTAGCATACTTAGAATATTTGTAATAAAGAGGCCTGGGGAAGAAATGGGTGGACAGATTCTTGGGAGGGACACCAAGTGTGAAGATACCCATTTCAGAGGAGGCACCAGATAAGTAGAGGAGGCATCAGATGGTGAACATGATTCTGCTGTGAACAGTAGTTATCTTTCCTTATCCACCCCAGCACCTGCTGCTCAATGGGTTCTTTGGCAGAAGGATGGAGGTTATACATGGAAATAACTCCCTTCCCAAGGCTGATATAACTGCCATTACCATGGAAATCAGTGCTGAGCTTCTTTGATGGTGCTAGGTCCTTGGGGGGTACCACAAGTGAGTAGCAAGTTGGTTATATGGGATTCCACCTGTCCTATGTGGATAATACATGTGTAGTGATATCTCATTGTTGTTTAAACTTGCAGTTCCCTAATGACAAATCATGTTGGCCATATGCTTATTTGCCTTCTGTGTATTTTCTTTCTTTGGTGAGGTTTGCCTGTTTAGATCTTTTGCCTATTTTTTACTTGGGATTTTTTTTTATTCTTAAGAGCTTTTGCATATTTTAGATATATGTCCTTTATCAAATATGTGTTTTGCAAATATTTTTCCCAGTCTGGGTTTGCTTTTTTGACTCCCTTAAGAGTGACTTTCACAAAAAAGAAGTTTTCTGTTTTAAGAAAAATTATCAAATCTAACTTTCATGGATTGGTGGAGTATCTAAAAACTCATCACCAAACCCAAATTCACCTAGATTTTCTCTGCTGTTTTCAAAGTTTTGTAATTTTGCATTTGACACTTAAGTTCATTATATCTTTTGAATTAATTTTTGTGAAAAGGGTAAAGTCTGTCTGGGGTTTATTGTTTGTTCATATAAATATCCAACTGTTTTAGCCTCATTTGTTGAAAAGAGAATCCTTTCTTTGTTGAATAGTTTCAGAGCCTTTGTCATAGATAAGGTGACTAGCCTGTTCCTTTGATCTGTCTATCTATTCCTTTGCTAATATCATGTTGTCTTGATGCTTGGAGCTTTATAACAATCTTGAAATTGGGTTGTATGCATCTTCAACTTACATTTCTTCTTCAGTATTGTGTTAGCTATTCTAGGGTTTTTTGCCTTTATGTACATTTTAGAATTAGTTTGTGGATACATATAAAATGGTTTGTTGAACTTTTCATCAGGATCATGTTGAATTTATTAAAATTGAGAATAATTGACATTTTAATTTGAGCTTCAGATTAAGAAATATGAACTATCTTTCCATTTATTTAGACCTTTCTTGACTTCTTTCATCAGTTTTATTTTTGTATATAGACCCTATACATATTTTATTAGGCTTATACCTTAAGTATTCCATGATTTTTGGTGCTATTGTAAGTGGTATTTTTAAAAAGTAATTCTAATTCCAATCATTTATTGCTGGTATATAGAAATGCAGTTGCCTCTACTATATTAACATTACAGTCCACAACCTTGCTACAGTCGCTTATCAATTCCAGAAGTATTTTTGTTGAATCTTTAAGATTGTCGACACGTATAATTGTTAGATGTGAGTGAAAGTAGTTTTATGTTTTCCTTCCCAATCTGTATGCCTTTTATTTTATCTTCTTGTTTTGCTCCCTTCACTAGGTCTTCCAGTGGCAGGCAGAATAGGAGAAATGGAAGTGGACATCCTGCCAGTTCCCAGTATTTGGGGGAAAACAACCAGTTTCTCACCATTAAATATAATGCCAGAAGTAGAATACTTATAAGTATTCTTTACCAAGATGAGAAAGTTCCCTCTGTTTCTAGTGTGCTGAGTTTTTTTTTTATCCTGAATAGGTATTATACTTTGTCAAATGCTTTTCTTTGCATCTACAGATATAATAATACATTTTTTCCTTTAAGCCTGTTGATATAAAAGATTAACTATACTGATTTTCAAATGATAAAATAGCCCTGCATACCTAGAATAAATTCCTCTTGGTCATGATGAATAGATTTTTGATACATTGCTGGATTTGATTTGCTCATATTTTGTTGAGAATGTTTGTGCCTGTGTTCATTGAAGATATTGATTTGTAGTTTTCTTTTTTGGATGTGCCTTAGTCTGATTTTGGAGTCAAGGTAATCCTGGACTTATAAAATGAATTAGGAAGCATTACCTGTGCTTCTATTTTCTGGAAGAGGTTGTAAAAAAATAAAGTCATTTTCTCCTTAATGTTTGGTAAGATTAACCATTGAAACCATCTGGGCATGGTACTTTTCTTTTTTGGAAGATTACTAATTATTTGTCCAATTTCTTTAATAGCTATAGGGCTATTCAAATGTTCTGCTTCTCCTTGTGTGATTTTGGTATTTTTGGGTCTTTTTTTGGTATTGATCATATATAAAAACTATCAATTTGTGGACATAAAGTTGTTCATAGTGTTATTTTATTCTCCTTTTAATACCCATGTTAGTAGTAGTAATGACCACTCCTGCATTTCTTGTGCTCTCTCTCTGTCTATCTCTCTCTCTCTTTTTCTGTGCTAGGCTAGCTAGATTTTATCAAGTGCATCTATCTTTTTAAAGAACTATCTTTTGGTTAGTTTGATTTTCTTCTTTTTTCATCTTTTGTATTTCTACTTTAATTTTTGTTATTTTATTTACTTCCATCAGATATATATTGTACTTCTTTCTCTTATTACTAAGGTGGAAGCTTAGATTATTGCTTTTAGTCCTTTATTGATTTGTAACATATGGACTCTGAGCACTCCTTTCTCTACGTCTCCCAAATTTTGAGAAGTTGTATTTTCAATTAGGTCAAAATACTTTCTGGTTTATCTTCAGACTACTTATTTGGCATGGCTCATTTACCAGGATATATTTACATTTTTTAATATTTGTGGCTTTTCTAGCTATCTTTCTGGTATGTATTTTTAGTTTAATTCCATTTTGGTCTGGGAACATACTTTGTATGATTCTAATTATTTTAAACTTCTTATGATGGGTTTTAGGACCCAGAGTATTATTTATCTTGATGAATATTCGACATAAGCTTAAGATGAATGTGTATGCTGCTGTTGTTGGATGGAATATTCTATAAATGTCCATTTGACTAAGTTAATTGATAGTGCTGTGCAGGTCAACTATATCCTGAGTGATTTTCTGCCTGTTTGACTTATCAATCAATTGCAAAAACAGGCATGTTGAAATCTCCAACTGTGACAGTGCATTTGACTATTTTTGTTTTCAGTCCTATTAGTTTTTGCTTTATGTATTTTGATGCTCTATTGTTAAGTCACATATACTTAGATTGTTACATGTTTTTGGAAAATTGACCTTTTTGGCAGTACGTAATACCTCTCTCTATCTCTAATAACTTGTCTTGCTCTGAAGTCTTGTTTAATATTAATATACATACTCCAGCTTTCTTTTGGTTAGATTTACCATGGTAAAATTTACTTTACCTTTTTACTTGCAACCTATCTGAGCTGTTATATTTAAAGTAGATTTATTTTAAACAATATAATTTTATTTTTTATTCATGATGACAATTTTTATTGGTTTATTATGAGTATGATTGAATCAGTTTCTATCATTTTTATGGCTAGTCTCTATTCACTACATTTGTTCTTTGTTTTCTTCCCCTCTTCTTATGCTTTATCTGGCTTTAATTGAACATTTTTATGATTCCATTTTATCTTCTCTCTTGCCATATCAATTATACTTTTTTAAAAAACATTAGTTGTTTCACTAGAAGTGCAATATATGTTTTTAACTAATATAAGTCCACCTAAATTATCACTATGCTGCTTCAAATATAGTTCAAATGTAACAGAGTTTTCACAATTGCTTCTTCTTATCTAGTACAGCATTGCTGTCCTTTTGCTTAGCCCTTGGCAGTAATAACCCAATACATTGTTGCTACTATTACCTTAAACAAAAATGTATGTACTAATACATTAATTGTATTAATACATTTGTATGTACTAATATGTTTGTATTAATTAATACAATTGTACAATTATACAATTAATACATTAATTGTAATAAATTAATGTATTAATTGATACATTAATATGAATAAGAGAAACAAAAGATTTATTCTCATTTGTTATTTAAGCGATGATCTTCCTTCCTTTATATAGATCAGAATTGCTGAACGATATAATTTTTCTTTTCCCTGAAGAACTTCTGTCAACACTTCTTGAAGGGCTGGTCTACCGGTGAGAAATTCCCTGAGTTTTTGTTTGTCTGAGACTGTTTTTATTTCTCCCTCACTTTTGAAGGATAATTTTTCTGGGCATAGACATTCTAAGTTGGTGATTTTTTTTCATCTAGTATGTAAAGTATTCACTCCACTCTCCCTTGCTTGCATGGTTTCTGATGAGGAGTAAACTGTAATATTTATTTTGTTCCTCTACTTGTAAGGGGTTTTATTTCTCTAGTATTGTTTCAAGATTTTCTCAGGTTTCAATTTTTTTTTAAATTTATTATGCTCAGTGTTTTCTGAATTCTCTACAGCTGTGTTTTGCTGTCTGTCACTAATTTCTGGAAATTCTCAGCCATTATTTCTTCAAATATTTTTTCTGCTTTTTTGTCCCTTTCTCCTGCCATTTGGGGTGCATGGTTTATGTTTTTTCAAGTTGTTTAACAATTCTTGGACCTTTTGGATCTTTTTTTTTTTTCACATTTTTTCTCTTTACATTTCAGTTTGGGAATTTTTTATAGACTCCATCTTTAAATTCCTTTCTTGGCTGTTTTCAGTATGCCGATGAGTGCATCAAAAGCATTCTTTATTTCTTTTGATTCATAGCATTTCCTTTTGATTCTTTTATGTATCTTCTGTCTCTCTGCTTACATTATCCATCTCTATATGGTGTCTAATTTTTTTATTAGCATCTTTAGCATATTAATCATAGTTTTTAAATTCCCTGTCAGATAATCTAGTATCTGTATCATATCTAAGTCTGGTTCTGATGCTTGCTTTGTGTCTCGGACTGTGTTTCTCTTGTCTCTTAGCATGCTTTGTACATTTTTATGAAAATCTGAACACGATGTGCTAGGGAATAGAAACTGAGATAAATAGGCCTTTCCTGTGAAGTTTTATGATAATCTGACAAAGAGTTGGGCTATGTTTAATGTTTGCTGTAGCTGTGGGTGCCAGACCCTTCACATTCCTTCAGGGTTCTTGTCATTGTCTGCACTGTTAACTTTGAGCTTCCTTGTATGCTTCTCAAACAGAACTTTTATCTTGCAGCTCTTTTTGCTGTAACCCACTGTTACTGGACTGGACCCCTGTTGGTGAGATGTTAAAAAGTTATAGGGGAGAGAAACTACTGTATAATCTTATGATTAAATCCCACTCTTTTAGTGGCCTTCCTGGTATGTGGCCTCCTTGGTATGCGACCTTCATAAATATTTTCTAGTTTTGTTTTGTTTTGTTTTTGTTTTGTTTTGTTTTTCTCCCTCAGATGACACAGGAAAGCTAGAGGGGTCTGGAGTCAGAAAAATATCCTTCCCTCAGGTGGGATAATACTAGGTTATCCTTCACTATGGAGAGCAGGCCTTTGCTAGGGAGAAAGTTCTAGGAGTATTTCACAGTGGTGACTCTTCTCCCACTGCCAGAATCTAGAAGGGAATTTTCTTTGCCTTTCTCTGTTGAGAATTTCTTGCTACAGTTTATGCAGCATTTCTAGGTGTTTTTTAAGAGAGATTTTTAGATTATCTAATCTGCAATTGTGCTAGAAATGGAAGCTTCTCAGTTCTTTCTCTAACACATATATATTGAGCAAAAGCTCTGTGCCAGTCATTGTGTTAAGCTGTGAGAAAAAATTAAAAAATAACTTAGATATGTATTTTGCTTTTCCAAAATCTATAGTTTTAATAAAAAAAAGATCTTGCACAAAAACTATAATGGAGGAAAATAAATGTTTATTGGATAAGCATCCCTTTGTGGCCATCTCCTAATGTAATCACAGTAGGTCCATTTTTCAATACATACAGCAAGTCAGGATGCTGAGACACCGAGTTGCCACAGAGAAAGAGGTTTAATCACAAGGTTGCCAAATGAGAAGATAAGAGGAAATCTCAAAAATGTCTCCCCCAGGAGCTGGGGCTAGGATTTTAAGGATTTTGGAGTGGGCTGAAGTGTGGAAATTATTGATTGGTCAGAGTGCAGGGTTGAGTCATGGGACAGGGAAATGAAGAAACTGCACTCTCATGCTGATTCTATTTTTCTGTGGATGTTTTCAAACTGGTTTGCATCAGCTGTTTCACTGGAATTCAGAATCAGAAAAACATCTTAAGCAATCTTTAAACAAAAGCCTCAGGATTCTAATGTCAGGTATTTTATCTATAGGAGCAATAGGCATGCAAATCAATTCTTAAACAGAAGTCTTATGATCCTAACATCAGAAAGCCTGTCCGGAGAATCAGTGAGGAGAGAGGTGGTCTGCATCGAGTGCTACCTGACTTTCGGCAACAAGGAAGTGAGCCAAGTGCAGCCTGATGAATGCTTAATTAGAGCTATATTTCTATCCAGAACCCAGCACGCAATTCTTGACAACGCTGTGGGGATGGTTTTACTAACAGGCTCTATATTCTTTCATGGAATTTGCTACTGACTCAGAGTACTCAAGTTACTTACATATCCCAGGTCATTTTCACTCAGCTATGTTAGCTCATGTCGACAAAAAGAGTCAAACTCTGTAAAATATATTAAGAGATTTATTTTGAGCGAAATGTCAGTCACCAGGGCCCATGACTCAGCCCTCAGGAGATCCTGAGAACATGTGCCCAAGGTGGTCGGGGTACAGCTTGGTTTTACACATTTTAGGGAGGCATGAGGCATCAATCAAATACATTTAAGAAATACATTGGTTTGGTCCAGAAAGGCGGGACAACTCAAAGCAGGGGCTTCCGGGCTATAGGTAAATTTAAACATTTTCTGGTTGACAGTTTGTTGAGTTTATCGAAGACCTGGGATCAATGGAAGGGAATGTTCAGGTTAAGATAAAGGATTGTGGAGGCCAACTTTTATTGTGCAGAGGAATCTCTCAGATAGCTGACTTCAGAGAGGGAGCAGGTTGTAAAATGTTTCTTATCAGACCTAAAAGGGTGCCCGGCTCTTAGCTGATTATTTTCTGAATCTGGAAGGAAAGGAAAAAAAAAAAAAAAAAAAACAAGGGGGAAAGGGGGTTATCTATAGGATGTGGATTTTTCCCACAAGAGACTTTGCCAGGCAGTTTCAAAGTATGGCAAGGAAATATATTTTGGGGTTAAATATTTTTTCCTTGTCCCGCAATGTTATTCCAGAGTGAGATTGAAAAGTAAGTCACGATACATAGGGTCAAATAAAACCCATCTGATGAGAATTTTTGGTTTGTAAGGCATGATTTCTTAGACCCCTTAGATAGGAATTTGGGCAAAATAAAAAATCAGAGCTTAGTCCTCACTTGGAAATTTCAAAGATTCTTTCCAGTTCTCAATCTCCTGACAGGTATCCTCCATCTTCCTGCCACTTCCTAGGCTTCATAGGCTTAGCCCCTTTTATGCGTAGATTTAAGGCTTTTGCTTAATTAAAAATAAACTTTATAAATCATAATTCATTTGGATATCAGAGTTTTTCTATTTATGATATATATCATAAGTTAATATATATTTATGATATATATTTGATATATACGATAAATTTAAATTTTTTCTCACACACATATTTGTTTATATTAAGAAATGAGTTTAAAAATAAAATGAAACTTTTGTATAAATTGTATTCTCTCCAGTTATAAGAAATATAGTCTGGTATATGACAAATATATTCCAGAATACTTTTTTTTTGCAACTACTCATTACATCTCCTGACAATCTGAGCTGATTTTTACATATCAAAGGGATTTTCTTTTTTACAATAATAAGTTCAGATATACAAAGAAAATTAAGAATCGAGAGTTTGTCTCTTTTATTCAGAAAATTACTCTACTTTTCAGCCTTCCTTTAATTAGTAGAAAATGATGCTCTTTCCATTTTATGCATTTTACTAAATTAAGCAAGCAAAGTGATAAAAAGCCAACTAAAAGCTTTGGTTCCAGTTCATCAAATTTAATTTTAATTATGAGTGGTTAATCAAGATAAGGCCCTGGAGGGAAGGCTCAAGCAACTGGGATTGCTTAGACAGAAAACAGAAGCCTCGGGAAGGTGTGGGGACAGAGGATGATGACAAGGCCGTCACAGCCTCTGCGGGAAGAGTGGCCTGGAGGCAGACCAGCAGAGATTTTAGGTTAGAGTTATAAATGGTTTGTCTGATGTTCTTACTGAATTATAAAATGAATGCATTGGTCAGAAAGTTGCTTTAAGTTTCTTACAAGAACTCTGTAAGTTGAGTGTTTTTACCTTATAAAGGCAAGAAAAGCGGAGAAAGTTTCCAAAACTCACACAGTTACTCTATAACTGGGCCAGGATTTTTACCTAGATTTTCTCATTCCAAGACCTAAGGTCAGTGGGTCTTACTAAACTTCCCACCCTCATTCTGCCCAAGGGCCGGTGAATAAACTCGTGGACTTACCCAGTGCACTAGACTCTGTTCATTGATGAGAGTCCACCAAAACCATCCCCAGGAACTTTTGCCCAGTTCACATGGTTCTGGAAAGTTGATGGGATTGGGGGCCCATTTTCACCCCCACATTTATAGCCCTTTGGGGAAAGACTGGTGGATGTTCTCATGGATCATGGAAACCCTCAAGAAAAAAAAGTGAAAATCTGCATATTTCATAAAGTTTCTGACCTCTTTATAATGCAGAGTGATCCATTTCTAGAGTAATAGTCAATGGATGAAAACACCATTTAACACCCAGTGTCAGATTTTCAGGGTAAAATTATCACCAACTGATTAATAGAAATAAAAGAAATGGCCTGTAATCCCAGCACTTTGGGAGGCCGAGGCGGGCGGATCACCTGAGGTCGGGAGTTTGAGACCAGCCTGACCAACATGGACGAACCCCGTCTCTACTAAAAATACAAAAAATTAGCCGGGCGTGGTGGTGCATGCCTGTAATCCCAGCTACTCAGGAGGCTGAGGCAGGAGAATTGCTTGAACCTGGGAGGTGGAGGCTGCAGTGAGCCAGATCGTGCCACTGCAGTGGAACCCAGGTGACAGAGTAAGACTGTCAAAACAACAACAAAACAAAACAAAAACCTCAAAAAAGCAATTTTTTATGTTTACAAGATTCTTCAAAACTGTAACATCATCTATCTTATAATTAAATATTTATTGAGTGTTGATAGTAAATACTAAAGAGTAAATTTCAGAGTGTTCTATTTTCCTCAGTAGGTGACCTGGCTTCCTAAATTTCACAGTGAAAATAGGATCTGTGTAGCAAATGAGGTTTTGGTTTAGTTTTATCATGGTATATTTAGGCCATAGCAGTAATGAAGTGGAGGTTCTCTCTGTCAGTTTTATATGGCTCTTTGGCTTTTGGCGGTACCAGAGATTGCAATTAAAACCGGTGAAATCTGCATAAAGTCAGTAGGCTGTACCCATGTCAATTTCCTAGTCTGATGTTGTAGTAGAGTTACATAAGATGTTACCATTGGCGAAACCTGGGCAAAAAGTACAGGACATCACACTGTACTATTTTTGAAACACCTGTTATTTATATCAACATTAAAATGTTTTAAATGTCATAGAGGCACTGAAATAAACACTGTATAATGTGTATATTCATTGGCCCACCTTCAGTAAATCTACCAGTTGATAATGCCTACATGAGGTAACCAAGTTATATGTTTGCTGCTAGCATACTGAATAGTGTATTCTTGGCCTTGGGGTAGTTTTCAGAATGGGGATGATGGATAGCAATATTAGTGGTGCTAGTATGAGAATCCATGAATCCATGATAATGGAACTGATAGTGGTGGCCAAGGCCCCTGGGCAGCCCCAGGGACAAGTTGAACAATTGAGAGACTCTGGGGATGGTGGTGTTCATAAGAAAGGTGATTGTGTCTTAAACACTGGCATCTTTAGAGGTGAGCTAAATCCATGGGGCACAGGTGGCTGTGAAACAGCCTCACAGATTGCAGTGGTCTAGGCGCTGGCTGTAGCAGATAGAGAGATGCTATTGAAGGTGGTACTTGTTGTAGAATGAAGGAAAAAATACAAACTATAGTCTCATTAAAAATTCCTTTCATGTAAAATAAAAAAAATGTTTTTAAATATCTTACCCAGAGGTTGGCTAGTTTGTGAAAGCCAAAAATTAACCGAAACCATATGTTAGAAAGGAGACAGACACTTAAGGCTTAAACTTTGGTTCTTGGAAAATAACGCATATTTTAAAAAGTGCAGATGAAAAGGCAATCTGGAGAATGGAAAAAATATTTTAAATAATATTCCTGATAAGGGTCTAGTATAAATAATATATAAAGAACTCTTACTCTTACAATTAAAAAGACAAATAATCCAATTAAATATATAGGCAAAGAATTTGAATGAGTATTCCTTCAAAAAAAGATATACAAGTGGTCAATAAGTGCATTAAAAGGTGCTCAACATCATCAGTTATCAGGCAGATGCAGACCAAACCCACATGAGATAGCATTCACATCCACTAGGATAGGTATGATTATAATGTTAAAAAGAAACAACGAGTGATAGCGAGGATGCTTTAAAAATGGAATTTTAAAAAATAGATTGGTGGTGGGAATGTGAAATGGCACAGCCACTTTGGCAGTTCCTCACACAGTTAAACATAGAATTTTATATTCTAAACATAGAAATAAAAGTTTAAAATAGAATTACCATATAATCCAGCAATTCTGCTCCTTGATGTATGTCCAAAGTACTGAAATATGTGTTCTTACCAAAATTTCTACATGATTGTTTGTTGCAATTACTTATAATCACCAAAAGTGGAAACATTCCAAATGACCATCAGCTGATGAATAAACAAAAAATGTGATAAATCTATATGAAGGACTATTATTCATCCATAACATGAATAAAGTACTGTTACATATCGATCCTTGGATACAACATAGGTGAACCTTAAAAACAATATTCTAAGTGAATGAATAAAGACAAAACAGCCACATATTGTATAATTCCACTTATACGAAATGTCCAGAAAAGGCACATCAGTAGAAAGTAGAGTATAGCTTGTTAGAGGATGAGAAGTGAGGTGTCTTTTGAGGTGCTGAACATATTCTGGAATTAGAAAGTGGGATAATTGTATAATGAATATACTACAACTCTTAAGATGAATACTTTAAGGGGATAAAATTTGTGATATATGAATAATATCTCAATAAACTACAAAGGTTCATTTGTTTTTACTAAATGGATGCTAAAGTTAAGAAGTATGAAGGCACATTAGTAAATAGCTAAGTCAGATATGGGAGAAAAGTAAGACAATTTAACATTGTCTTTTGCTTACTTGGTTTTTTAAGCCAAATTGTACTTTTCTAAAGAATAGAGTACATTGGCTGGGCGCGGTGGCTTACGCCTATAATCCCAGCACTTTGGGAGGCCGAGGCGTGCAGATCATGAGGTCAGGAGTTTGAGACCCGCCTGACTAACCTGGTGAAACCCCATCTCTACTAACAATACAAAAATTAGCCGGGCGTGGTGGCACATGCATGTAGTCCCAGCTACTCGGGAGGCTGAGGCAGGAGAATCGCTTGAATCCAGGAGGCAGAGATTGCAGTGAGCTGAGACTGTGCCACTGCACTCCAGCCTGGGTGACAGAGCAAGACTCCATCTCAAAAAAAAGGAAAAAAAGAATATAGTACATTCTTAAATATTTCATGGTTTATCCACTTTGGGGATTTTTTGAAGTCTTTATTTTTCTTCTCACTATGTCTCAGTTGTACAGTAAAAGAAGCATGCCAGAGGACAGACAGCAGACCATGAACATCAAATCAATTAATTTGGCTTTTAAGTGTTGTCATAAAAAATTCAACAGTAGAAACTCAAGTTGACATATTTTGGAGAAATTTGTGCTTCTCTATTCGTGCAAGCTTTAGTCATTGTGATGGATTATATATGATTACACTGGACATTTGGCATCTTGCCTTGTTAAAACATGAATTCCCCAGGTGCTATATAAAGGACCTCCGATACTGTTAGTTCCATTAGGAAGCCATGAAATGAAAACACTGAACTACTGACTGATCCCACACTAAATGTGCTGAGTCACAGTGTTTTCATTTTTTTTTTTTTTTCTCCAAGTGTAAGGACTTATGGGCTAAGATGTTGGCTTGTCAACTCTATCAGAGAAGTCCATCCTAAGTTACCAATAAAAGAGCTATGGGAATACATTTTTAAAAAACCTTCACAATTGCATTCAAGCAAGGAAAGCTAAACATCATATGCTACAATCTGGGGATAATTTCTATAGACTCTAGCAAAAGAAAAAAAAGCCTTGAGGAATGTCACTGTGGACTACGCATGTCCCTCCTGGGACCCAAATGATCCTTCCGGCTGGCGTTGTGAGAATACAGACAAACTGGGCTAGACTTACCCCAGGAAAGGCATCACATTCCTGAATTGCAATATTTTCTGAAGGAATATTTGGATGGGAATACGTGTGTGTGTGTGTGTGTGTGTGTGTGTGTCTCCCACTAATGCTTTCATATTAGTAGATTTTGTTCAGAGGCCATAGAATGCTAAGAAACTGAAGTTAGAGACTGAAACACAGTTTATACTGGGGATATACTATAAATCAAAAGAAAGCATTAGCTGAAAAGCAGTAAAGATTTCAGATTGAACAGATAAAGTTATCTTCTTTTTTAATCAGAATCTCATAGGAAAGGCAGAAAGTGTCTAAGATAGGGAATAGATTCATAACAACTTGAAAAATATTTTTAAAAATCATCAGTAGCGGCCGGGCGTGGTGGCTCATGCCTGTAATCCCAACACTTTGGGAAGCTGAGCGGGGGTGGATCACGAGGTCAGGAGTTCGAGAACAGCCTGGCCAACATAGTGAAACCCCATCTCTACTAAAAATACAAAAATTAGCTGGGCATGGTGGCATGTGCTTGGAGTCCCAGCTACTCGGGAGGCTGAGGCAGGAGAATCACTTGAACCTGGGAGGCGGAGGTTGTGAGCCGAGATCGCACCACTGCACTCCAGCCTAGGCAACAGATTGAGACTCTGTCAAAAAAAAAAAAAAAAAATCATCAGCAGCATTTTTAGGATTTTTAAAAAATATGGGATGAAATAGAAACTGAGAAAATAAAACATTACTGAAAACATATATGAGCCTATCAATTTTATCAGCGAAGCCCAGGAAAAAGTCCAAGATAGAAATTACCAATGTCATGGGAAAATTACACTATTTTTCAACAAATGATGTTTGGAGAACTAGATATACACATGCAAATAAGAAAAGATAAAAATAGGCTGGAAACGGTGGTTCAGGCTTGTAGTCCCAGCACTGGGGGAGGCTGAGGTGGGTTGATAACCTGAGGTCAGGAGTTCGAGACCAGCCTGGTCAACATGGTGAAACCCTGTCTCTACTAAAAATACAAAAATTAGCCAGGTGTGGTGGCACGAGCCTGTAATCTCAGCTACTTGGGAGGCTGAGGAAGGAGAATGGTTTGAATCCTTGAATCCGGGAGTGGAGGTTGCAGTGAGCCGAGATCGCACCACTGCACTCCAGCCTGGGTGACAGAGTGCGTCTCCGTCTCAAAAAAAAAAAAAAAAAAAAAAAGAGAGAGAGAGAGATAAAAATATACCTTTATTTTATACCATACACAAAAATTAAATCAAAATAAACTGAAGCCCTAAATATAAGAGGTAAAGCTCTAAAACTTTTAGAGGAAACCTAGGAGAAATCTTTGTCTTTAGATTAGGCAAACATTTCTTAGATATGACACCAAAAATAATATATAAAAATATGATAAACTTGATCAAAATTAAAAATATTTTCTCCTGGACAGCTGTTAAAATAATTAAAGATAAGCCACAGACTGGGAGCAAGTATTTACAAATCACATGTCTGACCAAGGACTCATATCTACAATATATAAATAACTCTGAAAAACCCAAAATAAGAAAGCAAACAACCCAATTTTCAAAATTGGGCAAAAGATCTGAACACATACTTCACCACAGAAGATATATGGATAGCAAATAAATACATAAAACACTCAATGGCCAGGCACGGTGGCTCATGCATGTAATTCCAGCACTTTGGGAGGCTGAGGCGGGTGGATCACGAGGTCAGGAGTTCAAGACCAGCCTGGCAAAGATGGTGAAACCCCATCTATACTAAAAATACAAAAAATTAGCCAGGCATGGTGGTGGGCACCTGTAATCCCAGCTACTCAGGAGGCTGAAGCAGAGAATTGCTTGAACCCAGGAGGCAGAGGTTGCCCTGAGCTGACATCGCGCCACTGCACTCCAGCCTGGGCGACAGAGCGAGACTCAGTCTCAAAAAAAAAAAAAAAAAAAAAGAAAGAAAAAAACGCTCAACATAATTTGTCATTAGGGAAATACAAATTAGTAAATACCTCGGTGATACATCACTACACTCTTGTCGGAATAGCTAAAATCCAAAAAGAACTGATGACACCAAATGCTGGCAAGAATGTGGAGCAATAGGATTGCTCATGGGGCTGCAAGATGATACACTGCATTTGGAAGACAGTGCGACAGTTTCTTATAAAGTTAAATATGTAGTTACCGTAGAATCTGCCAACTGAAATCCAAGGTATTTACTACAGAAAATCAAAAACTTAAATTGGCACAAGCTCTGTATTTGAATATGTATAGCAGCTTTATTTGTAATTGCTAAAAACTGGAGAAAAAATCAACAAGATGCTGTTCAACCAAGGAATTGATAAAGTGTGATACATGCATAAAATGGAACGTTATTCAATGATATAAGAGAGAACAATGATTGATTCATTCAACAACATGAATGAAACAAACATATTTTGCTAAGTGAAAGAAACCAGTCACAAAAGGCAATATATAGTAAGATTTTATTCATATGATATTTGGGAAAACAGAAAAACTATAGGATGAAAAATACGTTGCTCATTGCCATTGGTTGTGGGCGAAGAGGATGGCTGACTACAAAGGAATTGAACAGGGGGAAATTTTAGGGTGATAGGAATGTTCTGTACATTACTAGGATAGGATACATGACTCTGCATTGAACACAAAAGTGAACTTTAATGTACGCATATTTGAAAAAAAATCAACCAGGATGTTCGGGGATACCAGGATGAAAATCAGACCGTGGCAGATGAATCTAGCTATATTACAAATGTATGGCACAACTTAACTTCAGGAGAGAGTGGAAAATGGAACTTTGGAAAATAGTGTTTTGACTGGAAACTACATATCTGAAGACAAAAAGAACTGTACATAAACAATGTGCTCCAGCTGGTGAATATTATTTCATATAAATGCAAAGATCTAGCCAAACAATCCTGAAAAATAAGCTGGAGGACTCATATTTCCCAACTTCAAAAGTTATGACAAAGCTACAGTAATCAAAAGAGTGTGATGCTGACATAGAACAGTCGTATAAAACAAAGGAATCAAATAAAGAATTCAGAAATAAACCCATACATTTATGACCAATTGATTTTTGATAAGAATATTATTTAATGGAGAAAGAATAGTCTTTCTAAGAAATAATGCAGGGACAACTAAATATCTGCATAAAAAAATGAAATTAGATCCCTGTCTCACACTGTATACAAAAACTAACTCAAAAGGGTTCAAGACCTAAATGTAAGAAGGAAAACTATAAAACTATTAGAAAGAAACGTAAGTCTTTGTGACCTTAGGTTAGGAAATATTTCTTGTTTACAACACCAAAACACAATGCACTAAAGAAAAAAAATCAATTTAGTCACAATTTTTAAAAAATTGCTTCAAAAGACACCCTTAAGAAAATAAAAAGACAAGCCACAGACTGGGAGAAAATATTTTATTTTCTGATACTATATCTGATGAAAGACATGTCCAGAATAATTCTTGTAACTCAGTAACAAAAATCAAAAGGGCTAATGAAAAGGGCCAAAAGATTTGAATAGACATGCCAGCTAAGAATATGTACAAGTTGCCAAAAGGCACACGAGAAGATGTTCAACATCATGAGTCATTCAGGGAAGGCAGATTAAACTGCTATGAAGTACAGCCTGCAACCTCTAGAATAACTATAATCAAAAATACAGATGGGAACAAGTGTTAGCAAGGGCATAGGGAAAATGGAACTGTCATACATGCTATTAGGAATGTGAAATGGAAAACAGTTTGGTAGTTTCTTAAAAGATTAAGCATAAATTAACTCCACAAACCAGTAAATCCATTCCTAAAAATCTACACAAGAAAAATGAAAATATATGTTCACATACAGGTTTACATATGACTGTCCCTAGCAGAATTATTTATATTAGTCCTAACTTGAAAAAAAACCGAATGTCTATCAACTGCTGAATGGAGAAAATACATCCATTTGGTATATCTATATGATGAAATATTATTCAGCACTTTAAAAATGCACAAAATAGTGGCATATGCTCAAACATGGAAGAACCTCAAAATCATTATGCTAAGTTAAGGAAGGTGGACATAAAAACTTACATATTATATGATTTCATTTATATGTAGAGAAAAGGTAAATCTATAGGCACAGAAAATGGATGAGTGATTGTCTGGGCCTGGGGCAGGATGGGAGGATTGGGGAGCGACTGCTAATGGGTAGAGACGGGGTTTCACCATGTTGGCCAGGCTGGTCTTGAACTCCTGACCTCAGGTGATCCACCCACCTTGGCCTCCCAAACTGCTGGGATTACAGGCATGAGCCACCACGCCCAGCCCTTTTGTCAAATTTTTAATGGAAATGTTTGCCTTTCTAACATTGAGTTGTGAGAGTTCTTTATACACTTCAGGTATGAGCCTCTGTCAGATGTGTGATATGCAAATCATCCTCTTCACAGGGTCTTCCTCAGAGAGGAACATTTTAATTATGATGAGGTCCAATGTGTTGAGTTTTTAATAGATCATGCTCTTTTGGTGTCATGTCTACACTTTATCCAGCCCTAGGTCTGGAAGATCTATGTTATCTTTAAAAAATTTATAGCTAATTCTTTAAATCTGTGATCAACTTTGAGTTCATTTTTTTTTAAAGTCATGAGGTTTATGTCAGGGCTGCTATTTTTATTGCCTATCTATATCCAATTGCTCCAACATGATTTGTTGAAAATACTATCCTTCCTCTTTGCAACTCTGTCAGAAACCAATTAGTCAGCCTGGTGCGGTGGCTCATACCTGTTATCCCAGCACTGTGGGAGGCCAAGGCAGGTGGATCACCTGAGGTCAGGAGTTTGAGACCAGCCTGGACAACCTGGTGAAATCCCATGTCTACTAAAAATACAAAAATTAGCCAGGTGTGGTGGCAGGCACCTGTAATCCCAGCTACTCGGGAGGCTGAGGCAGGAGAATTGCTTGAACCTGGAAGGCAAAGGTTGCAGTGAGCCGAGATCGCGCCACTGCACTGCAGCCTGGGTGACAAGAGCAAAACTCCATCTCAAAAGACCAATTAGTCATATTTGAGTTACTCAATTTCTAGGTTCTTTATAATGTCCTGTTGATCTCTGAGTAGCTCTCTCCACCAATACTATACACTCCTGGTTACTGCAGTGACAAAATGTCTTGAAATTGTTAGACTGATTCCTCACATTTTATTCTTTATTCTTTTTCTTTTTCAGGATCTAATTTCTTTGCCTTTTCATGTAACTTTTATTTCCTTTTAATATTTTGTATTTGCCTTTTGATATTCCTGAAATATCACCATGTAACTTTTAAAATAATCTTGTCTATATCTACAAAATATATTTTTGAGATTTTGATAGAAATTCTGTTAAATCGTGTACTAATTTGGAGAGAATTGACATCTGTACCATATTGATTCTTCCAGTCCACGAAGGCAAAATGTCTTTCCATTTATTTAAATATTTGATTTTTTTGTCAGCACTTTGAGTTTTTAGTGTTCAGATCCTGTACATCTTTTATTAGATTTGCAACTATTTTTTTAATGTTGTGTGCCATCACAATTATATATGCTATTGGCATTTTAATTTCAGTTTCCACATGTTCATTCTTAGTGCATTCATCTCATATATAGATCACGTATCTTATAAAATTGTGGAACTCATTTGTTGTAGGAGACTTTTTTTGTAGATTCCTTGTAATTTGCCATTTACATCATTATGCTATTTACAAATAGGCTGTTTTATTTATTATCTGTAAGTAGAAAAAGTTATAGGTCATTCATTTATTACCTAATCACCTCCTAAAGGCCCCACCTATTAATATTATTGCACTGGGGTCTGGACATCAACATACAAATTTTCCAGGAACACATTCAGACCATAACACAATTAAAAAAAGAGAGACATCAATTTAAAAATTCTTGATAATAGAAGATTGAAGAGATATTATTTAACTTTGAAAAGGAAGTAATTCCACATCTGCCAATATTTTAATGAGGTTCACCAATTGTCTCATTCTTGGTTCCAGGTCAGAGGTAGGAGCTATTGGTCCAGTTTCAATTGTGTGAAATTGGCCAAGTACTTTCACTTTCTGGGCCTTAGATTGTTTTACCTGTAGGTTTCTCTAAAATTGTAAGAAGGTATTTTTCGAGATTATAATTGGAATGTGTAAATTACAAAGAAAACGTAAAGCAAGTTTATGTTACACCAGCAGCTTTTCTTTGGTAAAAAAGAACATTTTGATCAAGCTGTAAATACTATGATTTCTCTATTCCTAAATTTCTTTTATAAGTTTGCATTTTACTGGTAAATTTATTGTATAGGTTTGCATTGGCAAAGTGCAGGTTAGTGACAAATTCCAGTGTACTTTCCAGGGTAATGAAAGCTGTCATTTGTTGATGGAAGCCAAAATAAAAAAGGTTAAGCAGGGATTTTTGAGGTCATTCTATTCTTTTCTTGTTGAGATTGATTCTAATTTTAATGCATTCTCTGCCCAGCTTTAAATATGGCAAGGGATTAAACAAAGTAATATTGATTGTTGCATCTGTGTCCAGGACTTTTGCACTGAATGTCCTGGAACCATGAAAACCACCTTGGGTTAGGACAGCTCACCAGGGACAACCTCTCTTCTGTGGATGATTATTTTATCTTTTGAGATGACTCTAATTTTTTTTTTTTTACGACAGAGTGATAACAATAGCAGGGACCTGTGGCAAAGCCGCATGGCCAGGTGACCAGGGCCCCACTGACAGTGATATTTTGTTGGACCCAGATGGTTTGCAGCCACTGTGAGATGGCCCTACTTTGTTTTATGAGCGTGGAGCTCAGTGCCTCACCCTCCCTGATGCTACCCACCTCTGCTTCCTAATCGCAGATATGCCTCCTCACCTCTCCCTACATAGAGTATCTTAAGGCTGAGTTTGCTTTGATCAAGTCATGCTTATAATTGAGCAGACACAGCCTATGTTCTAATAGGGTGGCCCTTCAACTTTAAAGATTTCTGAGTTGCTGCTTTTCCTCGGCTCAGGTCAAAATGAGTAAACTCAGCTGGTCAGCAAGGAGTTTAGAGTCTGATGGTGAAGAGGCAAGTGTTCAGGGCATGAAAGAGTCAGAAACAAAGGCCAGGACTCTGCCAGAAGGCCCACAGCACACTTGCCCAGTCTCTCTGCCACTGCTGGCTTCCAGGCAAGTGAACTCTGACTGGAGTTTCTTGGATGCTACTTGAATGTGGATTTGGCACCTTTAATTCAGAGCAGCCTCTGCTTACATGCTCAGCTCCACACTCTACCATCCACCTTCCAAATTATTATTATTATTTTTTTTTAAGACGGAGTCTTGCTCTGTCTCCCAGGCTGGAGTACAGTGGTGCAATCTCAGCTCACTGCAGTCTCTGCCTCCTGGGTTCCAGTGATTTTCCAGCCTCAGCCTCCCAGGTAGCTGGGATTACAGACACATGCCACCACGCTTGGCTAATTTTTGTATTTTTAGTAGAGATGGGGTTTCACCATGTTGGCCAGGCTGGTCTTGAACTCCTGACCTCAGGTGATCTGCCCTAATGGACCTCATTTATTAGCTTCTGATCACTGGGCACCCCCTGCTGGAGGCAGTCAGGACCATCCTTCACACCCTGGCAGCTGGGAAACAGCTTCCATCCTCCAGCAGCCAGTAAGGACCTTAGTCGTGGGAAGCCCAACAGGTATGTTAAATTCTACACTCTGTCCTGATCCCAGTTATCCAATTGTATCTACTCCAGATGAAGAGACAATGTTTTTACCCAAAAGACAAGGGCACTGACACTTTACAATGTTACTAGAAAAATAATTAACACTCAAACCAGTTATGCAATTTCTTAAAATTTACATTAAATTTACAACTGATGAAGCTCATTGCATTTCTTTGAATGTTTTCGCTCATTTTAAATTCTAATATTAAGCTATGATAGATGATTTTATTAAGAGCTCAGTGAGCTTACATATTTGGAGAATCAAGATCTTTCCTCATCTAAGATCCGGTAGCAAAAGAAAAAAAAATAAACATGCACAGCATCCATTTGTTAATGCAGGCTCTATGGTCCTTGTAGCAGGAGAGGATGTTATGGGAGCTCTTTTGTTTGACAGGTGAGTCCTATGGATGTGGCAGAGCTATAGTCTAGCCAGAAGCAAAATTGTTCCTATACCATTACATGCTTCCTACATAGTTTTAATCTATGTTGATTCTACAAAGCACATGTTTCCTAAAAAAAATTCTACCATATTTTGAATAGTTATTTGTTTGTTTCTCCTACTGCACTGGGCTATGTTATGAGGCTCATTTCCTCTGGGAATACATGAACCCACCTTATTTCAGCATGTGAAATGCACAAATATAAAGGTTGTTCATCTCTGACAGCCAGTTGGTCATCTAGCGCTGGGTGCTGGAAGTTCTGTGTACCACCTGCTGCATCCCCACGAGGATTTTGACACTGAAGCAGGTAAATGGGTACCAGCCAACATGTGAGGAGTCTTGCCATGATCATCAGTCACAAGGAATTTACGTCTGAAATCATTGGGCTAGTGTGTCTTAAATAACTTAGAGAAGGCTTTCTTAGAGCATTTCTCTGGGATCTATGCATGCAGGGGCATTTGTGATGCAAATGATACATTCCCAAATACATGAGAATTTGTGTGCAAGTTAAGAAACCTCAGTCACAATCACTTCCTTGCAGATGGTTTAAGTCGAGGGTAGAAAAAGAGTGAAGAGGAAATGAAGGTAGAGAGGCCCGCATTTTGTCTAGGAATAGGGAGCAGCTTTTGTGGAGGAGGTTTTGTGGTGGGAGAACACCCTGGAGCCCAAAGGTGAGGGAAAGAGACCCATCTGACTGGCAGATGGAGCGGAAGTTATGGAAAAGGTTGAATCTCGCCTGCAGGTGCAGAAGAGGAACCAAGATAGTTGATCCCTTGATGAACTAGAAATAAAAGAGAGACATGGGAAAAATGAGACTGTGTTAGAAGCGAACAGAAAACCCCCAGGCTCCTCATTTGAGCTGTGACGGAATTCACTGTAGGGGATATATAGCAGCTGAAGTTGCACAGATGCTGCATGTGTTGGGTACAGAAAAGGACTGATTCCTTTTTATTTATTTTTTATTTATTTTATTTTTATTTTTTTAGAGACGAAGTCTCTTTCTGTCCCTAGGCTGGAGTACAGTGGCACGATCTTGGCTCACTGCACCCTCTGCCTCCCGGGTTCAAGCAATTCTTCTGCCTCAGCCTACTGAGTAGCTGGGACTACAGGCACACGCCACCACGTCCAGCTAATTTTTTGTATTTTAGTAGAGACAGGGTTTCACCATGTTGCCCAAGCTGGTCTCAAACTCCTGAGCTGAGGCAATCTGCCCTCCTCGGCGTCCCAAAGTGTTAGGATTACAGGAGTGAGCCACCACACCTGGCCTGATTCCTTTTTAAATGGTGAGAAAAGAATTATGATGAATGATGTGATTGACAGTCTGCTGATAAAATTGGCTCCCTGGCTGGGTGCGATGGCTCATGCCTGTAATCCCAGCACTTTGGGAGGCCGAGGCAGGTGGATCACGAGGTCAGGAGTTCAAGACCAGCCTGACCAACATGGTGAAATCCCATCTCTACTAAAAATACAAAAATTAGCTGGGCATGGTGGCAGGCACCTGTAATCCCAGCCACTCAGGAGGCTGAGACAGGAGAATCGCTTGAACCCTGGAGGCGGAGGTTGCAGTGAGCCAAGATGGTGCTATTGTACTCCAGCCTGGGCCACGGAGCAAGACTCCGTCTTAAAAATAAAATAAAATAGAATAAAATAGGCTCCCAAGTCTACCAGGTTGTCTGTGAAGACAATAATGCCTCGAATCTTATTTTCAGTCATTTAAATATAAAATGGGCATAGTAGAAGAGTCACGAAGCTTTATTATTTAGGGTAATTTAAAAAAATTTACCATTCTAATTGTGACATGAATCTCTTTTGGATTTGTCCTTTTGGATTAAAATACAAAGCATCTAAATTTCACAAAAGTAACAACGCAATCACCTTAGAGACAGAAGAATGAATTGATAAGACCTCTGATTAAACATGGCAGATTGGGCTTCTGAACCTAAATCTGCTTAGATCAAGTAAGGAGGGGAATGTGTAATGCCCACAAAGACAAAGAGCAGGAGAGGAGACTACCCCGGGAAGGCGTTCGGAAATTAGAAATCAGAGGGCAGAATGGTTACTTTCCTACCTGACAGACAGGACTTGCAGAGAGAAGCCCTAAGGAAAGCCGACTCCAGGGACGGGCGCAGTGGCTCACGCCTGTAATCCCAGCACTTTGGGAAGCCGAGGCAGATGGATCACGAGGTCAAGAGATCGAGACCATCCTGGCCAACATGGTGAAACCCTGTCTCTAACTAAAAATACAAAAATTAGCTGGGCGTGGTGACACAAGCCTGTAGTTCCAGCTACTCGGGAGGCTGAGGCAGGAGAATCGCTTGAACCCGGGAGGCAGAGGTTGCGGTGGCTGAGGCAGGAGAATCGCTTGAACCCGGGAGGCAGAGGTTGCTGTGAGCTGAGATCCTGCCACTGCACTCCAGCCTGGGTGACAGAGTGCGACTCCATCTCAAAAAAAAAAAAAAAAAAAAAAAAAAAAGAAAGAAAGTTGTCTCCATTCAAGAAAGTTGACTCCAACCATGGGGCTGGAGATGCCCAGCAAGGAAAGCAACACTTCCCATGCCTTGCACTTAACTAGGGAGATAACCAGAGATCAGCAGGCATTTGAGGAAGAAAGACCAGCTGAAAGGACCAGAGTGGAGAAACTCAGAGGAAACAAACTGCATGAAACAGAACAAAATGACTTTTTAAAACTGTAACTAATATTCTCAATAAGAACAGATTGAATGTATGAACCAAGAACATGTAGCTATAAAAACATGCAAAAAAACATATTATTTTTTTAAAACCCATACGTTAAAATAAAATCTAATTGAATAATTGCAAGCTAAAGTTAAGGAAATCTATCAGAAGTCAGGGCTAAAAGAAACAGACATGGAAAATATGAGAAAAGTAATAATATTAGATAATATTTCTAAGGGGTTCAACTAAACACTCAGTATTTCATAATGTAAAAAACAACAAAAAAGGAAAAATAGAAAAGCAAACATTAAAGAAAATTCTCCACAATAAAAGCATATGAGTTTTCAGATTTAAAAGGATCCCTGAGGCTGTGCATGGTGGCTCATATTTGTAATCCCAGCACTTTGGGAGGCTGAGGTAGGAGGATTGCTTGAGCTCAGGAGTTTGAGACCAGCCTGGGTAACGTGGCAAAACCTCATCTGTACAAAAAATACAAACATTAGCCAGGCGTAGTGGCACGTACCTGTAGTCCCAGCTACTTGGGAGGCTGAGGTGGGAGGACCTCTTGAGCGTAGGAGGTCGAAGCTGCAGTGAGCGGAAATCACAGCACTGCACTGCTGCCTGGGGGAGAGAAAGACTGTGTCTCAAAAAATAAATAAATAAAAATAATAAATAAAAGAGCCACTGAAAAAGACAGAACAAAAAGTCTAAAATTTCCCCATATATAATTTCAGACCATTAGTGATAATGACTAGATCATAAAATCTTCTAAAGAAAAGGAAAAGAAAAGCTCACATAGATAACTTTGTAAGAATCTGAATGACATAGGACTTCTCAATTGCAACTAAAAAAGACAATAGTTCAACATAACTATATGTAGGTCATTAATTAGCTCAGTTATAAATAATATTTACAAAGCCTCTGTACTATAAACCTTGAATATTTACCTAGCAACAACCAAAGTATATATAATGTATTAGTCCATTTTCGTAGTGCTATAAAGAACTGCCAGAGACTGGGTAGTTTGTAAAAGAAAGAGGTTTAATTGACTCACAGTTCCACATGGCTGGGGAGGCCTCAGGAAACTTAGAATCATGTGGGAAGGGGAAGCAGGCACTCTTACATGGCGGCAGGTGAGAGAGAGCATGTGAGGGAGGAATTGTCAAACTCTTACAAAACCATCAGATCTCATGAGAACTCACTCACTATCGTGAGAACAGCATGGGAGAAACCCCACTCCCCATGAGCCAGTCACCTTCTACCAGGTCCCTCCCTCGATATGTGGGGATTATGGGAATTACAAATCAAGATGAGGTTTGGGTGGAGACACAGAGCCAAACCGTATCAAATGTGTTGCTAACTTAGGACCTTAGAACTAAGGCATACAAGAAATAAGTTTTTGGTGATGTATTTAGAGGACTGGAGTATGTTCACCTCTCACAGGGAGGAAGAAGAATGTCATATCCACTTGGCTTAGCTTAGAGAGACCTGAAGTCTGATCAGAGAGATCTGAGTGGCTTCCTTGAATCTAAATGGAGGCAATTGGCCAGTGTTGAGCTTATACTTGAAAAAATTTCGGAGTAAGAAGTTGTGGACATTGAGAGAAAAGAAGCACTTTATATGGGATGTGTACACTTACAGATGCAGGTGATAGAATATAATTTTTAAAAGGTCTGAAGCATGACTTCCATAGAAGCACATAGATGAACGCACATCAGAGATTTGATTCAACTCATTAATCTGTGAAGGAGCCAGTGAGATGATAAGGCTGGCACAAAGAACATTTAAGGAGTGGGGTGTATCTAGAAAGCATGATAAATGAGCATGTGGATAAGATGACTGGGTGGACTGAGGCTCGTTTGACATTGAGAGAACATGCTACCTACTTTAAACAAAATAATTTCTATATTCTTAGTAGAGACGGGGTTTCACCATGTTGGACAGGCTGGTCTCAAACTCCTGACCTCAGGTGATCCACCCACCTCGGCCTCCCAAAGTGCTGAGATTACAGGCTTAAGCCACTTTGCCAGGCCTACTAAAAACAAAAAAATTAGCCGGACATGGTGGAACGTGCCTATAGTCCCAGCTACTCAGGAGATTGAGGTAAGAGAATGACTTGAACCCAGGAGGCAGAGGTTGCAGTGAGCCAAGATGGCACCATTGCACTCCAGCCTTGGCAACAAAAGTGAAGCTCCATCTCAAAAAAAAAAATATTTCTAAATGTAAAACAGTTTTTTAAAGAGACAGAGTCTCCCTCTGTTTCCCAGGCTACAGTGCAGTGGAGAAATCTTAGCTCACTGTAGCCTCCAACTCCTGGGCACGAGCGATCCTCCCACCTCAGCCTCCTGAGTAGCTGGGACAACAGGAGTGCACCACCATACCTGGCTAGTTTTTAAGTTTTTGTAGAAATGGAGTCTCCTTTTGTTTTCCAGGCTGATCTCAAGCTCCTGGGATCAAGCAATCCTCCTGTCTTGGCCTCTCAAAGTGCTGGGATTACAGGCATGTGCTATCACACCTGGCCTATTTTCTTAACATAAATGTACATTTCCAATGGACTAGATATGAGCTATTTAAGAAGAAGGAAGTCTAATGATGGTTTCAAGTGGGACTCACCCAAGAAGAAAGTTATTTTAGCAGAAGAAGCTGAAGGCATTAAATGTGGGTCAAAGGAGCTCTGAGCACAAAGCACCACCCAGGTCAAGGGGCTGAGTCAGTTATTTTCAATGGGAAAATCCATGAAGAAGTCACCAGGGGGACTGACAGAGACAGGGAGAGAGACAAAGACAGAGACAGAGACACCTGCCAAGCTTGGAAATCAGCTGACAAGTTCTAGCAATGGCAGTACAGCAAGACCCTTATCCATCAATTAACCTTCTCCAAATGATTAATAATGTTTTACTCCACAGGGGAGCTGTATTTTTTCCTGGTTGGAGGGAGAGGGGCAGAAAAAGGAGAGAAAAGGACAAAGAAGAGAGAAAGTGAGGGGTCAGACCCTGTTTTCCTTTCTCACTGCAGTCTGGCTGTCCTGGAAGAGGAGGCATGGCTTTAACTCTGTTGAAGTTCTGACTACTATACTGAACTAAACATTTTCATCGTGAATTTTATTGGGTGACATAGAGTAACCAGAATTCTTTTTGGTATCTAAAAATGATGTGAAATATTTTGCGGTTACTCTAGATTTCAAGGAGGAGTGAATAGGAGAAAATTGCAGCGTGGGTTGAAGGAGCAGTGAGGGAGTATAAAGTAGTTTCCTCCTGCCTTCCCCGGATGGAGGCCCACTCATTCCATACAATTCCCCTTTTTACGCCATAGAAATGAGAAGGTTGTGGGCAAAGGAAGAGTGAGGGTTTAGGGGTGCAATGGGGTGAACAGTATCAGACAGCAAAATCTTCGTCTTTAATGTAAGGAAGTCAGCTGATAATATCTACAACGAAAAGATAGGAAATGGTGAAATAAGAGAAGCAAATAGCAGAGGAAACACTCAAGATTATTTCTGGAAACTGAGGGTGGCAGTAGGGGTGAGAGGAACCTCTTTCTCCTTGTAGACTCATTTGACTCACTTAACCAAACGGTCCTGCACTGCATGTGTTTCAGCTGAAGAATGTCACATTTAGCACATAGAACACCTGCAGGAGGAGGGGTGCTTCAGGTGGGGGAAACAATTTCTAATAGAAATGATTTTCTTTTTTTTTTTTTTTGAGGTGGAGTCTTGCTCTGTCACCCAGGCAGGAGTGCAGGGGCGTGATCTTGGCTTACTGCAACCTCTACTTCCTGGGTTCAAGCAATTCTCCGCTTCAGCCTCCCGAGTAGCTGGGACTACAGGTGCGTGCCACCATGCCCAGCTAATTTTTTGTATTTTTAATAGAGACGGGGTTTCACCGTGTTAGCCAGGATAGTCTCAATCTCCTGACCTCGTGATCCGCCCGCCTCGGCCTCCTAAAGTGCTGGGATTACAGGCATGAGCCACCGCTCCCGGCCTAGAAATGATATTCTTCTATCAGTGAGTTTTAAGATGTTAACTAAATGTCAAACTCTTGGTTTAGCTCCATCATCTAAATCACATAAGTTTAAGGAAGAAGGGAAAAGACAGTGTCATAGTATGGGAGGGGCAGGCTCTTGGATTTTGTTTAAACAGTCAACTTTTTAATTCGTGAACAAAACGAGTTAGATGCAAACGTAAATTTACTAATGTAATGTGACATTAGAAAATCGCTTAACAGCTATTAACAAAGTACCATAGACATTAGCTAAACTATTTACCATTTCATTTCATTTCATGCTTTGACTTCTAAAATCTAAATCAAATTTTATGAAACATTTTGAGTAAACCTCCTCAACTCGTCTACGAAGGTTTGGTATACCAGGCAGCTTTTCAATGTAAATGATTTTGACATTTCCAGGAAAGATTTTTTTAATTTTTTAAACTACCAGTCTTTCTTCTCTTCAGTCTTATAATGAGGTAGAACAATGTATTCAAAAGTACAGATATGGCTGTGTATAATGCTGATAATTCAGAAAGAAATTACCCAATTCATTCTTTCCAGTGCTGGACAAAGTTTAACAGGAAATAAACAGGGTATCATAAACTGTAACAGTGGACTCTAGAACTATATGGCAGAAAATAATATGTTTCTGCCCCAAATGGGCTGTGTTCTCTATTAGGGTGAAAGTAGAAAATAGCTATTTTATAGCGGGAATTTGAATGCTAAATCTGTAACTTATGACACAAGTTCTCACTCATTGTCTTCTGCTCAAGCACAGCTTAGGCCTTGCAGATGAGGTTACATTACATGCAGAGGCTGCCTACTGTAGATGGTGAAGCCACCATCACCAAGCCGTGTGTGCACAGCTGACTCTGACCTGCTGAAATCGGTCACATCAGCCACTTCTCCCATTACAGTGGATACAAGAGCTTTGCCATGATCTGTTCTGCTGCTATGAACTGTCGTGGGCTCCCTGTTACGGGCTGTTTATGGCTTAATTCTATGAGTGCTTTGGCTCTGAGGTTCTGTTAATGATTATGGTTCTATTCCTTTCTCATGAGTAAATGTGACCCAGCCCTTTGGAGACATGTAATGGAGCTGAAAAGATGCTGAAGATAGCATTTTCACCACTTTCCCCAATCCACGGAAATCAAAATAAAGCATTAAACATTTACTAGCTGAAGGGTAGATTCTACCCCCACCAAGGTATTGAGGGAATCAACAGCTGCAGCACCAACAACACGGCTACTGTTCAAAGAGCTTTCTCTGTGCTACACATCGTGTTGGTGTTTTATATACATAACTTCCTTTAGTGCTCATAACCACACTGTTAGTTCAGCCTCATCAGCTCCAACAAACAAATTAAGAATTGCCAAAGTCACACAATTAATTGAGGGCAGAACCTGGATTTTTATTTAGATCTGTATGAAATCATGAGAATGTATAGCTTATACACAGTGCTATGGAGCCCCTGGAAATCGCACGTCAAGACACTCCATTTCAAAGAGCTAACCATTACTTCACGTTCCCATAGGAGGTCTACATTTGCACTAGGACTTCTAGATATAAAGATTACAAGAGTAAAAGGGGGCCAGGCGTGGTAGCTCATGCCTGTAATCCCAGGACTTTGGGAGGCCGAGGCGGGCGGATCATCTGAGGTTGGGAGTTCAAGACCAGCCTGACCAACATGGAGAAACTCCGTCTCTACTAAAAATACAAAATTAGCTGGGTGTGGTGGTGCATGCCTGTAATTCCAGCTATTTGGGAGGCTGAGGCAGGAGGATCACTTGAACACGGGAGGCAGAGGCTGTGGTGAGCCAAGATTGCGCCATTACACTCCAGCCTGGGCAGTAACAGCAGCAAAACTCCTTCTCAAAAAAAAAAAAAAAAAGTAAAAGGGAAAAGATAGCTGTAGCTGTAGCTCAAAAAAATATATACACCATACACAGTGGATGTTTCTTGCTATGCCTAGCAGTCAGGGTTCAACCAGATAAGAGGAACCTGCAGGGTATATGTATTTATGTACATGTGTATGGTAAAACATTAAGGAACTTATTACATCAACAGATTGATGACCAGAAATGAAACGATGCAGTTGTGGTCCCAGGACAGGCAGGGAGGGAATGCCATCAGCAATCTACACCCTGACAGGCACGTGCTAAGCCTGTTGTCCACGGGCAGCAGTCAGCAAGGAGAATATGGAAGGATGGAAGAGCAATTTCAGATGCAGCTGCTTTTCAGAGTTGCTAGATCAAGGAGCTTAAACTCTCTTTTAAAGACTCCAGCTGATTCTGTCAAGCCACTTGGATGATCTCACTTTGGATTAACCTTTGGTCAAGCCATGAGGGATTTTAATGGCACTGGCGGAGTCCCTTCACAGCAGCACCTAGGTTCATGTTTGATTGAATGCCTGGGAGAAGATGCCTGCAGGCTACACGATGGGCTGCTTCCTCCGGGTCTCACAAGGGAATATCCCTTGGAGCCTGCCTTAGCCAGAAACATACTAGGAAGGGAGTTCTGGGACTGTATTGTAGCTAAGCCAAGATGATACACCAAAAAGCCTGTGCATGATGTGCTTAGAGCTGTGTTCTGCACAACTCACGTGTGACCTACTGTTAACCTCAGAATAATCCATGAAGTAGGAGCTATACGCTCATTCGCTTTACAGGGGAGGAAACTGAGGGCTGGAATGATTAAACAGTTTGTCCAAACTTCCACCAACTGGAAATGATTAAGCCGGGAATAGAACAGAGCTGTGAACTCTGCTGGGCAGGGATTGGCTTCTCAGGACCTGTCTAAGTTTGACCATTGGTCTGTCTTCAATATCAGATTCCTTTCAAGGCTACACACAATACTTACCTGGTCTCTATTTTCAGACCACCACTTTGAAAAAAGATGTACAGCCTTCATATAAAGAAAATAAAGATTTCTGGGATTTACAAAGAGGGAAATAATCCAGATACACATGTTGGAGTTTAAATTACTTTTTTCTAACTCTTGGAACAGGATCAAAGAAAAAATGTTTTCCACCTATTTCCATCCATTACTAGTCATTTTCTGTTTGTTTCAAAAAAGCATTTCTTTTACCGGAGCATGCTTTTGTTTCTAGTAAACACTGTGTGTGGGAATAAGGGCTCTGCAGAAAGACATGCTTTACAGACTGAATTCCAAGGCCTGTTCTCTGCCTGCACTTCACTTTATAGCTCTGTATCTGTACTAATAGTTTTGTTCTGAGTGTAACTCGTGAGTGGAGAGCCAGGCAGCCCACTCATAATACGCACTGTCAGCCTCCTGTCAGAACACTACTACGTTTTATTTTTTATTAGCCACCAGCTTGACTTTTTCAAGTCCTGATGTATATTTTTTAAAATTCCGTAGATGGTCAAAGCCTGCAGCAACCATTTGGGAGTCCAAATGTGAGGTTTTAATTTTTTTTAATGAGGGGTTTAAGGTAGAGCATCCTTCAAGGAGGCTGTTAGTAGCAGGAATGATGAGAGATCATTTTCACCATGGAGGTTTTACCTGGCAGTTTCCTCAGCTGCTCCTATAGCCTGGGGTTGAACAAATGTCCTCAAGGCAAAAATGTCAGTGGCCTTGTCAGCATCTCCCAGCTATGTGTCCTGGTGACACGCAGCCTCCAGGCTGTTTGTTGATCCCAGGTGCTGAAGAAGCACAGATTCTGGGAAGCAAAGCTCTTTTCTAGGATGTATTCTAACTCCAGTGTTCTGCAATATGCTGCCTGCAGCTCCATTTATTGGTGACTGTACAGACCCTGCTGTGTGCGATTCAGAACAGTCCCTTGTAACCGCAGGAGAAGAGGCTAAATGGAAAAATGTCTGTATACCCCACCCCAAGCTGTCACTTCAACATTTTCCTAAGTGGCTCCTAATGGCTTCTCCCTCCAGCAAATCAGCCACATGGAGCTGAGCCAGGCCTACTGCTTTGTCTGCAGCTGTTTGGGGTAATGCGGAGGTCACCACAGAGAGGGGATGTGAGAGGCAGCCAAGCACCAACATGCATAGGTCAGACCTGGGAAGCAGAAAACAGCCCCAATTCTCCAGTTCCCTTGGCACAGAGAAATCCTGATGCCCCCTAGGCATCACCATTCGACCTAAGGACCTGCAGGTAGAGCTACAGTAGGAGACAAAGAATAGAACATTGGGGATGGCTATGTTGATTGGCAGATTTCATCATTTCACAATGCATGTATACATCAAAGCATCATGTTGTATGACAAAACGTATACATTTTAAAAATTTGTCAACTATACCTTAATAAAGCTAAAAATAAGGAAATGGAATCCACAGTGCTTGCCAATGGAGTGGCTATGAAGGGTGTAGTGAAGGAGAAATCGACGTTGACCTCCTGGCTCCTGCAATCTGATCTGTCTTTCCTGAGCCTCCCTCATCTCTTGCAGGGACTGCTCTTCCAAAATTCCAAGTTGGCCAGGCGCGGTGGTTCACGCCTGTAATCCCAGCACTTTGGGAGGCCGAGGTGGGTGGATCACAAGGTCAGGAGTTCAAGACCAGCTTGGCCAACATGGTGAAACCCGTCTCTACTAAAAATACAAAAATTAGGCAGGCGTGGTGGCGGGTGCCTGTAATCCCAGCTACTCCTACTGGGGAGGCTGAGGCAGATAATTGCTTGAACCCGGAAGGCGGAGGTTACAGTAAACTGAGATCGCACCACTGCACTACAGCCTGGGCAACAGAGCGAGACTTTGTCTCAAAAAAAAAAAAAAAAAAAAAAAAAAGCAAAAAAACAATAAAAACTCCAAGCTGGCCCTGTCTTCTGTCATTTCTCTCTCTATAATTCAGTTCCCATAGAGAAGCCAGGGCTATTGCTTACAATGTACACCCAATCCTGTCATGGACTTGCTGAAAATCCTGCAATGGCACATCCGCTGCAGCCCCGCCCCCTCGGCCCCTCACATTTCACACACGCTCCGCTCCCTCCACCCAGCCGCGCGGCTTCCTTGGCTCCACAGGCCGTCCCCAGAGCAGCATGGGGCTTAGCTGTGGGAGCCTCCAGCCAAGAGGAGACCACCGTTTTTGGCAGCCAGGGGACCAAGGAGAGAAGGGTTCTGTGCTTGCTGCCCACCAATATTCATGCCAGGTGACAAGGTGCCCAGGGAGTGTCCAGGAGAAAATCAGGGAGGAAGTGAAGAAAAGAGTGGCCAGAACCTGAAGCAGCATTGTTTGAGGGTGGGGAAGAAACCGGAAAAAAATTAAACTCAACCTTGTGTCCGCTCCTGGAAGTAGGTGGGAAGGGAGGTCAGGCCAGCTTCTACCTGAGAAGGCTGCAGGGAGGTGGGTCCTCAGAGGAGAGTTGGGACCCGTGAAGGCCAGGAGGTGAAGCCTGGGAGGGGTTGGGAGCATGGGGGAGTTTGTTAATGACAGGAGTTCAGAGGTCCTGGTGCAACAATCTGGGAGTCACTGGAGAGCAAGTGCATTGCTGTGTGTGAAGAGGGAGGGCCTGTCACCTCCGATTCTACCTCAGGCAGGAAAGGAAGTTACAGAGACCCCATGAGAGCCATTTCTCCCCAGAGCAAGGACAGCGCCACGGGCATCTGCTCCACTCTGAGGGTCGGAGTCCACTCGATGTCACGGTGTCTGTGAGCTATACCTGAGGGTTGTGACAATGTGGCTTCAGCAGCATCCATGCAGACCACTGGGAGACATGTCACCCTGAGCACCAGGATTCTTATCTCCACTGTTCCAGGGAACTGTGTTAGGTGACATTTTTGGTTTGGTGAGCCTTGCAGTTCTTCTGTTTCAATGAGTTTAATAAAAAATCAGTCGCCAACTCTCAAAAGAAAGTAGATATTGGTGTAGCAGGAAGTATGTTTTCTGAAATGTGTCAGCCATGTTTTCATGTCCTGTGAATATTATTTTCCTGAGGTGGGTTCCCACCAATGGAACCACGGCCTTCGTTTAGGAAAAGCCGGATACCAATGAGAATAACAGAGCCATTCCCCAAGCTTGAGAGATGGAGAATTTTGAGTGTCTAGCAGGACAGTGAATTAAAAATCAGCCAGGATTTGAAGTAAAAAGGAATTCTACATGTCCAAACACGGCCTTCACATACCAAAAACAAAGCTTTCACATTGGAGCAATATGAGCTAGATATGCAGTGGGTAGGGGAATTCAGGATTTGATGTGAATGAGGAAGAGGAAAGTTGATGATACTCGGCATGGAGCACATAGCAGATACATGTGTCCTGGACATCCCTCTCTGGGGCAGAACCCTGGATCCAAGAAGTAACAGAAACATCAAGGGAGGCTTGAAGGAATCGGGAGCTTCAGGATCAAGGCCATGTTTCTGCCTGCATGGCCTGGGCAGGCTTGGTGTTTCTCATTGGGTACCTTCACCCAATGCCTCCACTTTCTGCCTATCCAGGAACTGTAGTAATGTTGGAGGAGCAATGTCCCTAGAGAGACTGACAACTGGGTTGGCTCCCTGCACATGGTGTCCCAGGCACCCAGAGGTTTCTGTGTACCATCTGAGGGATGTGCTAGTTACCAACGTTGCATAACTGCCTCCAAACTTAATGAGCTAAAAAGACAGCTGAACTTCTTTTTCTCATAAATCTGCAATCCGGAAAGAGCTTGGTGGGGACCGCTCATCTCTGCTGTGGTGGCTGGGCTGTTCTGGAAACTCCCTTGCTCATTCGTGGGGAGCAGTGGGGTTGGGTCAGTGGGTACCTTGAGTGCCCCTCCTGTCTCCATGTGGTCTCTCCTGCCTGGTGGCTCCAGGGTGGCTGGACTTCTTACATGCCAGCTCAGGTCATTCAAGGCACATTTCCCGAGAGAGAACCAGGTGAAAGCTGTCTTACCTTGGTTGGCCTAGCCTCTGAGGTCACGTCGTGTCGTCCCCTGCACATTCTGTTGGATGAGGCACTTATAAGGTGCACCAGCCCAAGGGGAGGAACACAGACCTCATCTCTCAATGGAGGAGCACCACAGGCTCTTCATCAGCAAAGAGCTGTGGGCTGGGATATATATGGACGTGACCTTTTTGGGAAAATACAACCTGGCACAGAGTGGTGGGGTGGGATGTTGTGGCGTTGGCACAGGCAATGGACAAGACAGGTCTGGGGTTAAACTGACAAGTTATAGGCAGGGCAGAGCTGTGACAACTGGAGGCAAATGACCAGACCGTGAATTTCAGCAGAAGATGCAAACCACAAAAGCCAGTCCCTCAGGGGACATTGACCCAGTGACAGACCAGCGGAGCCTTCCTGGCTCTCCATAGGAGCCAGGCCCAAAGTGAACTCCCTCATCTTCCCAGAGACGATAAAGGGAATGCATGAAAATGCTTTGAAAAATGGAATTGTTACCTTAAGATGAGGCACCTTTACTTGAAAGACCTTGGCACGGGAGGAAGCTTGATGCGGCAAGTGTAGTTTCCTGCTTCCTGTGGCTATGAAGGAGCACATAGGTCCAAAGGCTAATAGTGACTGCCTATAACAAAGTACAGATCAGAAACAAAAAATAAAGGGCTACACTTTCCTGAGCACTTGGATGTGGGTGGGAATCACAATTTTTATATATGGCAGGAAGAACTGACATCTCTCTCCCACCCACAATTGAAAGATACAAAAAATCAAAATAGATTAGTGAAGACTGTCCCCCTAACTTTGGCCACAAAGAGAGGGTCTTTAGAGGCCACGTGGTTTCCAGGTGGCTGTCACATCCCAGATGGTCCCTCGGCAGGGGATGAGGACCTACTGCCTCAGCACAAATGGAAGCTCCACTGTTCCTCGAGGTCAGGACAGAGATGGAAAATAAAACACTGTTCCTTCTTCAACACATAAATAGTTTTGATCGTGCCTGTTAACAACAAAATTCATAAACCAATAAAAAATAATCAGATGTAAGAGTGTCATGGTTAGGGAGAGAACCAGCTGGAGAGACAAGAGTTAATTTCAAGAACATCTGAGGCACAGGACAGGATAGGAAGGTCCTAAGTAAGAATGTGAAGTTACTTAAGAGACTGGTTTAACTTCTGCAGGACACCGACCCCATAGCAACCTTAGGGACCCCTTCTCCACTAGCCTGTGAAAGGGTAATGACTCACTAGCCTCTGCATCCACCTCTGCCCTGACGGGCCTGTAAAGCAACTGTGCTTTCTGGCTGTTAATAGTTAGTCAAATACACTTATAGTTCAATTGTCTGTTCCTCAAAATCCCACCACTAAGTCAAAAGCTGTATGAAAAAATAGGTCCACTCATTTTAATGGGAAAAATTATGAGATAACCTAAACTATTTCATGTAGAGGAAACATACATTGATTGGCAATGGAAAGACATTCACAGACATAGTAGACTCCAGTTACAAGTACTAAACAGCAACATAGAGTCTGTTCAGTGCTGTAATTGAATGACAGTTGATTGTATTCTACACAGGAAAAAGGCATGATAGTGAGTGGGGCATGGTGGAGGAGGGCATGGGGAATTTTACCCTTTGGAAGGTAAATACTTCTTTTTGCACCATTTCTTCAATAATTTCCCATCTCCGTGCAGTTTATAGTTGTCTTACACCCTGACAGCATTTAAAACTAAAGTTAGAGCAAAGAAAAACATCTTCAGTGCCTGGAAACATGCAAAGAACACACTTTGTACACATACTGGAAATCGTAGCGGATCCTCCCCCTCTATCACTGTCTGGGCTCACCTAGGTAGAGCAAAACACCTTGTGTTCATCACATTCATCACACATGGCACAAACGCAACCATGTGATGCTCTCTGGCCAGAAAATGCTGGGTGGAATAAATTCGTAAGTGTGTCCTTGCCTGAAACTGTCGTGTTGAAATAGCACTTTTTATAGAGTATTTATGTAGTGTGTTTTTGTATGAAAATGCCATTATATTCCCCAAAAAGTAGTCTTCCAGAAAGTGGTATAATTTTTCAAGAGCTGCTATGCTAGAATGTGATTATGTAAGCTGGTCTTTATTTAAAGGCTTTCGTGTGCCCTTACAGCAGAGACATTCCCTAGGGGTGTTCAGTGAGAGTCAAGCAGGCCTAATGGAAAATCATGGAATACTAAACAGCCACAAAAAAGAATGAGATCATGTCCTTTGCAGGGACGTGGATGAAGCTGGAATCCATTATCCTCAGCAAACTAACGCACGAACAGAAAACCAAACACCTCATCTTCTCACTCATAAATGGGAGTTGAACAATGAGAACACATGGACATAGAGAGGGAACATCACACACCGGCACATGTCGGCAGGTGGGGAGCAAAGGGAGGGAGAGCATTAGGACAAATTCCTAATGCGCTGGGGGCCTAAATCCTATCTGACAGGTTGATAGGCGCAGCAAACCACGGTGGCACATGTGTAACTATGTAACAAACCTGCACAATCTGCACATGTATCCTGGAACTTAAAGTAAAATAAAATATAAAATAAGAAAGAAAGAAAGAAAAATGCCCCCATGGCAGGGGTCCCAGTTTTGCTCAAGAGGAGGATGGCCATCTGACTGAGGAACATCCAGAAGGGGTCCTGACTAAGGCTCAGATTTTGAAGGGTCGTGCAGTGGTGGAGGCAAAAAAAAAAAAAATGTGCCTTTGCTAGAACTTCAAACTTTCTTCTTTATGCCCATAGGAGGTGGTGTCTCTGGAGCCGCCGAGCAGCAGCCTCATTGCTCAGAAGATGAAGATGCTGACGAAGACCCAGACAGGAAAAAAGGAAGAAAAAGCATCCTGATTGTTCCATTAGCAAAGCCACAGTCCCGGAGAGCAAGGGGAGGGGCACAGCAGGCAGCCGCACCCATGGGATGCATCTGCAGCTTGTGAGCAATGCATGAAAGATGAATCACACAGCAGCAATGCCTTCAGCTTCCGTGTGCTATGGCTCACTCAGCACCAGCTCTGCAGGCTGCCTAAGCCAGAAGTCAGTCTCTGCCTTTAGACTTGCTCACTTCTTTTAGGAACGGAGATATCCTCTGATCCCTTGTCCTACAACCTCGATTAATATCTTTCCAACAGCCATCTGCCAAACTCAAGAAGACCCTGGAACAACCTAATTGGAAAAGTTTCCATCTTATCCCTTGGAAAACTATAGAAAAGTAGTGTCACACAAATGTTTAATTTCTGATTTCTACAATTTCAGATACCAGAGTTTATCTGTTACCATGACAACTAACAGCTTTATAAATGTTTTCTAGCCTCTGCTATTTTCTGGAACTTATCTACATTTCAGTATTTGCTTAATAATTTTGAGCTGACACTAGCAACATAATTGTGTCTGGATTGTGTATGTGTATGTCTTGTGTGTGTTGGCAGGGGGTGGGTATAACCTATGTCAGTGTTTTTCAATGTGAGCAAATTTTAATAAACTTTTATATTTAATGTGAACATTAACTGTCACATTCCCTCTGCCTGGATTCCAGTTAATTCATTGCCTGCCCGTTTATTATTCCCTCCAAGCTGAGAAATCATCACTAATGTGATTGTTCACTCCAGGCATTTTCAGGCCATGGACACTTGTGGGGAGAGGCATTGTCAAAACGACTACCAAACTGAGTTTATCAACACTAGCTGGGTTAATGACAACTTGTGGGAGACAGACAGTACAAGCAGCGCTTTAGGTGAAATTTACAGCCTTAAGTATTTACAGTAAGCAGTAGTAAAGCTAAAAATTGATGGGCAAAATGACTAAACTAATTAGTAATGAAAAGCAAAATAAACTCAAAGCAAAAAGGAGGAGGTAAAATTGTGAAAATAAAAAGCTATAATAGAAAATCAACAATCAACTTTCAAAAAAGTAATTGTCTGTTCTGACTTGCCCAGGATAGCCCTAGTTTCCCTGCCATCTGGCGTCATGTTCCAATTAGCTTACCTTGTGGATTATTTGTTATTGAAATATTATTAATAGTTGAATTCTGCTTATCCAGGATGAATTTGATAAACCTCTCTTTTGTATTTCTAGCTTGTTTCGTGGTCTCATCTCGCAGTGTGTGCAATTAAGCAGAAATCTCATTGTAACATGTGTTTTTAAGTCTGAGAGACGACCTGTGATAAACTGCCTCTCTTTTTACAATCTTTTCCAGAGAGGACATGATTAGCACCTCCCCTAGAGGAACAGCATGCCTGCAGGGTTAGCTGATCAATCGTGTGTGCCGAGACACAAACAGTTAGGGACAGATAACTTCTCCTGATGGTGGGGACATGCTTGGCCCTGCCACTTTTGCCACACATTTGGTGTACCAGCTAGTTGGTACACCAGGCTGCTTCCTAGTGAGGACAATCATTAAACATGGGAAATTAAGGGTCAGGTGTATGTGAAATATACATGGGAAATAGAAGTAAACCAATTCTTTTATAGAGTGTAAATAGCCTGAACATGCTTGTTATGGCATTCTTCTCATCTTATGTAGGGTAAATCTATAATTATTTATTATATTGTTTGGCAACACTATCTCCTTTTGCAATTAAGTACTTTGTTTTGCAACAATGAGCTAACAACTCCAAACGTTTATGTTCAATTAAAAAATATATACAGAAATTCTATTCCTCAAGAAGATTGATGATGGATAGTTAGTTACCTTGCACAGAATATTCAGTGGCACAGACCTCCCGCCGTGGGGTTCATGGTGAACACATGAAAATGAGAAGTGACAACATGGGAATCAGAAGACATAAATAATTCAAAGGTTAAGAGTTATTGTAAGAAGACCATACCTGAAAGTGAAAATTGAACACATCTTCAGAAATGTGTTAACATAGCATGCTATGAAGGAAGGCTTTTCATTTAGATCAAATAGCTGTTTTCACTTTCATGTTCAAATTTTCATAGCATCTATAAAAAGTGAAGCTATAGCTGTAAATGTTTTGCCTCCTTTTTTTTTTTTTTTTTTTTTTTTTTGTTATTGTTGTTGAGATGGAGTTTCGCTCTTGTTGCCCAAGCTGGAGTGCAATGGCACGATCTTGGCTCACTGCAACCTCTGCCTCCTGAGTTAAAGCAATTCTCCTGCCTCAGCCTTCCGAGTAGCTGGGATTACAGGTGCCCGCCATCACATCCGGCTAATTTTTTGTATTTTTAGAAGAAACAGGATTTCACCGTGTTAGCCAGGCTGGTCTCGACCTCCTGACCTCAGGTGATCCACCCACCTCGGCCTCCCAAAGTGCTGGGATTGCAGGTGTGAGCCACCACATCTGGCTGTGTTTTGTCTTCTGTTAGCAGAAGAACATGGTCAACAATTGAATAATGCCAGATTTCTATCGATGAATTGGATTCCTCAAATAGATCATGTATTTCATTCCAATACTGGCTTTATTGTTTCATCTAATCTATGGAATCAAAGTAGGTCTTTGGAATTTCATTTTGTTAAAGGTGAAACATCTGATATTATGTGAATGCTATCAGGATTTTAGTTAAAAAGTTCAATCATGAATACGAAAGTATTTGTATCCGTGATAATAATAGAATTTTGTTGGTGCCAACGTTCGTGGAAAAAACAATTTGTTGAGTTAAATCTTACAGCAGAAATATACTAGAAAGTGATTGTGGACACAAAATTCATAATTTGTTCCAAATAAATTTCAGTGTTCTGCCAACTGGAATAAAAATATAGTTCACAAAATTTACAAATATTTTATATATCCACAGCTCAGAAGCTGAACAACAAAATGTGTGAAGAAGCTGACAATTAAATTAAAAATAGCATAATGGAATGTGCTTTATTCCTCTTTTTCACTCAACACAAATCTTATTTTAAATCACTGAACCTTTGAAGTAACAATTTTATGAAGTAATCCAAGTAATCAACAATGATATTTAATTTTTATAAATGAGTCTTTCAAGTTTAGTTCTGTATTTTATTCCAAATGAGTGAAAAATCTTAACACACAAGAACATCTACAAAAAATACTCAAAGAAAATGGTTTGACTGACAATTTTGCAGCATCTAAATTTGGCAAAATATACCCAAAAATGTATAGAGACAGTTTGATAAGTTTATCTTGTAAGATATTTGTCAATGAAATATATTCTGAGGGAAAGCACATTGTAGTACCATACCTAGAAAAATACTTGAACTAAAATATTTACATTTTAATTTAAAAATTGGAACTGCGAATAACTCCTGCCAAACTCTGCTGACACTTTAATTTCAGCCTGTGAGACACTGAACAGGGAACCCAGTCATGCTCTGCCGGATTCTGACCCACAGAAACTCAGATGAGACATTTATGATGTTCTAAGCTGCTGAGTTTGTAGTAATTTGTCATGCAGCAAATTAAACAATAAAATAACACGATAAAAAAAACCCTAGAAATAAATACTTAACAAAATACTCCGAAAGACAAAAATGGCATTTCATAAGGAAAAAGACATACATGGCCAATAAATATATGAAAGATATATTTAAATTTAACCTCTAACAAGCAGTGCAAGTGAAGCTATGATGAAATAATATTTTATATCTATTAAATTGCCATTACTTGAGAAAACCATCAATACCAAGATTTGCAGATGATATAAATCAAGAATCTTGTATATATTGTTCATAGAAATGTAAATTAATATAACTACTTGGGTAAATTATGTAGCATTATGTAGTAAAGTGGAATATTTGCGTATCTTATTATGACTAGGAAATTCTCTTCCTGGGAACATTCCCAAGAACTTTGCAAGTGTGCATTAGGAATGACGTATAAGTTCAAAACAGCACGGTTTTTGTTAGACATACCTTGGAAATAACCAAAACCCCTGTTAGTGGAAGAATGTATAAATTAACTGTGGCACAGTCACACATGAAATATTATGTAGTAGTCAACATGGCAGCCACACAGAGCCATAGAGTTCAATCTTAGCAATATACAGTAATAAAATGTAGCACATTTCTGAAGGTTAAATATAGCAGGATGTCATTTTGATAAAGTTAAGAAATTAATTATCATAAGAACTTTTAAAAAGGTTTCTAGAAACTTTCATGCTAAAATAGTATTTTGCAAAAGCATCAGAATGATAAACACAAATTTCAGGAGAGTCATTACCTCAGATGGCAAACAGCAGGAGTTTGGGTAGGGAAGGAACACAGGGGAAGACGTTAAAGTGGCAATTGGATGTAAAATTAATGTGGCCTCTGGGAAATTTCTAGTAAATAGAATATTCAATTTAGCTTTCTTTTTTTCTATCTAATTTGCTTATAGTTCATAATAGCAATATAAAAACTTTCAAGGAAATAAAAAACCAGTTATCCCACTATGAAACAAAATACTTAATTTTCTTAATTTTTCCATGTTTTTTTCATTATGTCCGTCATATGTCAATAGATATTTTTTAACAGTTTAATTATGTCAGTAATTTATTGCACATTTTCTCTCTCTTTATAATTGGCTTTTGGATATAAACTGAGCGCCACAACCTCTGATGATTTATAGTCACAGATGCTCTAGAGGATTAATGCAGTATATCATGCTGTGCGTCAAATTTCTTGGAAGAAATCTACGAGGAAATCACTGAGTATTATTAGGGGATCAATCATGTGACTGAGTCTAGCTTTTAGCACACTGTTACTGCATCAGTCAATTGAAGAAATAAAACTAGTACCTCACATCTGTGTTTGCAAAGATGTTGGATTTGTCTGTACTGTGCGTAGCTCAAAATACTGGGGAAAACCTGCCTTCAGTCGTCTGCAGCGACCCAGCTGTGTGCACTGAGACTGACCACATGTCTTCCAGGGCAAGGGCTTCCTTATGGATGAAATGAGAAACTGGATTTGATGAGCTCTAATCTTCTTCTAACATCTCAGGTTTTGTAAACCTCAGAATGAAAAAGAACACTTCCAAGCAAGTTAATGCAAATACTGTCACTTGGAGACGTTTTTACTTTTGTGGTTAAATTTTTGTTGCTAGAAAAACAACACACAATTCTAACTCACTGCATTTTGGAGGCACAGAATATTAAACATTGATAGTAAATGGAAGCCTCTGTTACTCGCTCTTAAAAATGAAAGAAGGAAAGGCTAAGACAACATTGGCAAACTGGACAGTTACAGAAGGAGTGTTTAGCCACTAAGACAAAAATATGAGGACATTATGTGAATAAGGGAACTGGGTGTGCTCCTCAAAAAGAACTGGTGGTTGGGGCAGAGACATACAGAGTCTGCCTTCAAACATTTGAAATATTGTCCATAACTAAACAGGATTAAACCTTCCCTATGCAATTACAGAGACAGAATTAACACAAATAAATAGAATCAGACAGGCTAATAATAAATATCCAAATAAAAAAATAATCTTTTAAATATTAAACTTATTCAAAAACGAATTAGTTTCTCATGAAGCAATGTAATTAGTTGCATAATTATCAGAATTTATGGAGAAATATTCCAAAATTGGCTTAGAAGTTTAATAAAATGACCCTGAATTCCTTCCAATGTTAAGATTCTTTATATTATTTTGACATTAGAACATTATAAAACAGTACATAATCTTTTAACCCTCTTTATTTTTGCATATGAAACTTAAACACATCTTTTATGTAATCTCACAGACAACATGTATGTCTTTTTCCTTATGAAATGCCATTTTTGTCTTTGGGAGTATTTTGTTAAGTATTTATTTCTAGGGTTTTTTTTTATCGTGTTATTTTATTGCTTAATTTGCTGCATGACAAATTACTACAAACTCAGCAGCTTAGAACATCACAAATGTCCATCTGAGTTTCTGTGGGTCAGAATCCGGCAGAGCATGACTGGGTTCCCTGTTCAGTGTCTCACAGGCTGAAATTAAAGTGTCAGCAGAGTTTGGCAGCAGTTATTCGCAGTTCCAATTTTTAAATTAAAATGTAAATATTTTAGTTCAAGTATTTTTCTATTTAGTTCAAGTATTTTATATTTTGTGTTTGAATTTTGAATGCCCACCTATTTTCTGGAAAAAAAAATCTGAAAGGGTAAACATTTCCCTTCAATGTGACACTGAAGCAGAATTAGTATGTTAAACAAACGTGTGTTCCTTTGGTTCGAGATATTTTCTAATTTTCCTTGTGACCTCTTCCTTAACCCATTATTTAACAGTGTGTTACTTTCCACATATTAGTGTTTTTTTCAGCTCTCCTTTTGCTATTGATTTCTAGTTTTATTCCCTTATGGTCAGAAAAGATACTTAGTATGATTTTAATCTTTGTAAATTTTTCAAGACTTGTTTTATGAACTAAGACGTGGATAATCTTGTAGACTTATTTGGAAACTATAAAAAACTCTTACAACTTAATAATATGAGGACATATAACCCAATTAAAATGGGGCAAATAATAGATATTTCTTTAAAGAAAATATACAATGGGCCAATAAACCCATGAAAGATGCTCAACATCATTAGTCGTCAGACAAAAGCAAATCAGAAACACAGTTCTATACCACCTCACTCCTACTAGGCTATTAAAAAACAAAACAAAACAAACAAAAAACAAAAAAAAAAAAACCAGAAAATTAAAAGTGTTGAGAGGAAGTGAAGAAATTGGAATCCTCATACATTGGTGGTGGGAATATAAAACCGTGCAGCCACTTTGGAACACAGTTTGGCATTTCCTCAAAAAGTTAAATGACCTAGAAATTCTACTTTTAGGTTTACACCCAAATACAAAAAAATGTGAAGATATATGCCCCCACAAACACTTTTGCATGAATGTTCCTAGCAACATTACTCTTATTATTCAAAAATTAGAAGAAACCCAAATTTCCATCAATGAATGAATTGGTAAAAGGTGACATATTTATATAATTAAATATTATTCAATAATAAAAAGGAATGACATGCTGATACATGCTACAATATGGATGAACCTTGAAAACATAATGCTAAGTAAAAGGATGCAAGCCAAAAAAAAAAAAAAAAAAAAAAAACAAGCTACATATGGTATGATTCAATATATAAAAAATATCCAGAATAGACAAATCTATTAATGGCCGCTTAGCACCAAGGAGAGGGGTTGAGGAAAATGAGGAGTAACTGCTAAATGGCCAAGTTTCTCTTCGGAATGATGAAAACGTTTGAAAATTGATCATGGTAATGGTTGCAAAACTGTGGATATCCTAAAAACCATTGAATTAACCATTTAAATGGGCAATTTATATATGAATTATATATCAATAAAACTGTTACATAAATATTATGTACAAAAATATTCATGGGGCATTGAGAAAAAAATGAAAAATCAATAAAAATGTCCATTAGTGACAACTACATTGAAGAGCATCTTTTTAATGGAATATTATGTAGTCTCCCAAAAGAATATGGCAGAGAATACACCCACTGATGTATTCTGAATACACTCACTGATGAGAAGCAAGCTCTGTGCAACGAAAAGCCGGTTTTCTAAAAATGTATGCATACCATATTCCAATTTTTAATTTAAAGTGTATATATTTAGGCCAGGCGCGGTGGCGCATGCTTGTAATCCCAGCAGTTTGGGAGGTCAAGACGGGCAGATCACCTGAGCTCAGGAGTTCGAGACCAAGCTGGCCAGCATGGTGAAACCCCATCTCTACTAAAAATACAAAAATTACTTGGGCGTGGTGACACGTGCCTGTAATCCCAGCTACTTGAGAGGCTGAGGCAGGAGAATTGCTTGAACCCGGGAGGCAGTTTGTGGTGAGCCCAGATCACACCATGGCACTCCAGCCTGGGCAACAGAGGGAGGCTCCATCTCAAAAATAAAAATAAAAATAAATAAAGTGTTTACATTTATTAACTATTTGTGTAAGAGCACTACAAAATAAACAAAAGACAGAGCTATTTGCCAAAATCATCATTGGAAAGTATGGTGAAGAAGAAGAAAAGAAGAAAATATGAGAATGGGAGGCCATCTGAACCTTTTAATGTTTATTTTACATACTCTGAAATTGCTGGAATGTTTGAGGATGAGAATGTATTTTTGTATGATGTGGATAATGAGTTATAAACAGATAAACAAATAGTTAAATAGGAACACCGAGTGTGTGGAAATTAAGAGTTTGACAAAGGCTTACCATTCATTCAGTGTCCTCTGACCCAGCCAAGCAGGGCCACTGCTGCCGGTACAAATGGCTTCTGCCAGGGACTGTACCTGCAGGCTAGTCAGAATCATGGTTTTGAGGAGGACAGAGATTTTTATTCTGAGAAAAGAAAAGAGGGGCTATCCCAAGGTTTTGTGTTTTTTTGTTGTCTTTACATTTTATTGAATTATTTTCTTCTTCCTTTCCATTTTTTTATTTCTTGTAATTCATTTCTAATTTCTATTTTCATAATTCATTTCTATTTCTTGTGATTTATTTCTGTTTTTTTTTAATTTAATTTTATTTTAAGACAGAGTCTCACTCTGTTGCCCAGGCTGGAGTGCAGTGGAGCAATCTCGGCTCACTGCAACCTCCGCCTCCTGGGTTCAAGTGTTTCTCCTCCCTCAGCCTCCCAAGTAGCTGGGATTACAGGCATACGCCACTACGCCTGGCTAATTTTTATATTTTTAGTAGGGTTGGGGTTTCACCATGTTGGTCAGGCTGATCTCAAACCCCTGACCTCATGATCCATCCGCCTCAGCCTCCCAAGGTGCTGGGATTACAGGCATGAGCCACCATGCCCAGCTCTGTTTCTGTTTTTAATCGTTTATACCTGTTGATAAAAGAGAACATACCAAAGTCTATTAGTCACGTGCCAAATTAGAATTAGTTAAGGAGGATTTATTCCTAAAGAGAGCCTTTGATGTATGCAAGAAGATTGCAGGGTTGCCTCAGAGATAGTGCAGCTGTATTTTATATCAATATGTACATTTATCTATATAAGTTTATTTTAATATATTGGCTTACTTGACTACAATGGCTGAGAAGTTCCATGATCTACCATCTGCAAGCTGGAGACCCAGGAAAGCTGATGGTGTAGTTTGAAGGCCTGAGAGCCTCAGAGCAGATGGTATGGATCCCAGTCCAGGTCTGAAGGCCTGAGAACCAGCTGAGTGCAGGACAAGATCAATATTCCAGCTCAAGCAATCAGGCAGAGAGTTAATGCAACCATCCTCTGCCTTTTTGTTCTATTCCCACCCTCAACCGATTGGTGATACCTATGCAAATTGGGGAGGGCCGTCTGCTTTACTCCATCCACCAGTTAAAACACCAGTCTCTTCCAGGAACACCCTCACAGACACAGCCAGAAATCATGTTTAAGTGCTATCTGGGCATCCTGTGGCCCAATCAAGTTGTCTCATAAAGGCAACCATCACAGCAGCGTGAGAGCTATGACCACCCTTAGATCTAGCAGGACTCAAGGAAGAGCTGGTTCAGAAACTGAAATGAGAGTTTGAGGAACAGTGGTGTTCAGCAGAGGAATCCATCCTCCAAAGGTTACCTCACTTTGTGAACACCAGAGAAGCACCTGACCTCTCTCTGCTCTCCCTACAATCTCTTGCCAGAGGTCCCCACTGGGAAATTTATGGGAATCCCACAGACATTGGCCTAGCCTCCTGGGGCAGAGAATAAGATAAGAAGAGTCTGAATTTGGAAAATAGTGTAAAGATCTGGATAGAACATTTTGACCTCTATTTGCTGTACAGCGTACCAACTTGCTGTGTGAACTTGACATTTCTTGCAATTCTTCTGAATTGCAGTCTGTTCTGATTGGCATTTTAAATGTCAAGAATAGCCTTAAAACAGATTCAGCCCAATTGCTCCACAATAGAAAGTTGTATTTAGTTTAGGCAAGGTCTCTCGTGACTACAATTTGCATAGTACTTTCTTATCCAAAACTGCTTTTGAGAGAACTCTTGTAGGCTTAATTTAACCTTTATCTCAATAGTTTTAGAAATGAAGCACTCTTTTTCAAATACTGCCCACAATTCATTTTTAATTGCTCCTTCAAAAGCAATACTTGAAAATATTCCCACAGCAAAAACCAAATCACTTTTTTTTTCCTTCTCAGAAGATGGAGAAGGGAGGAGTCCTTTGGCAGAAGGGACACATTCAGTCAGCCACGTGATTGTGAGTCTTCAGGGAGACCTTGCTGTAGCTCTGTCTTTCCAAACCAAGCATGTTCCTTCTGGTGGGCAAAACAGGGCTGTGCTTTAGCCCACATGGAAAATAAACATCCTCCTCATGGCCTCCACACGAGCAAGACAAGAATGGTTTATGATGTCTACTTCATGTCCATGTGAGGTATAGGTGCAAATCTAATTAATTTTGATTAGATTGTTCTGATCTTTTTAGATTTGAATAGCTGGTTTCATTATGCCCATTTACCAATGCCAGCCATACCCAGGCTATCTATGCATATATCATTGCCTCACATATAAGTAAATTTTAGGAAAATGCTTATCTCTTTAGAACCAGCGTGTAACTCATGTGGTCAAGATAATGCTTGACTGGGATTCAAGTTATGTGAGTCACATACAGTGTGTTTTTATGTTACCATAAACATTGAAATCCACTGCAGAGTCCCTTAAGGCAGGCTTTTCCAAAGCAGAGGACTTGTCCGAATCACCTGAGAACCAGATTTACTCCAGGCTGATTGAGCCAAACTGAACCTAGAATCTATCTTTTTAAAGAGCTTGTCATTTGATTCCAATGTGCGGCATGTTTGGAACACTGCAGTACAGAATACTTTCTTTAATCAGTAAAGAAGACATTCTATTTTCTACAGGATAAGTACCATGGAAGTATATGTGTGCATACACACACACACTTACAGGTGTTATGTCGGGGCAGTAATTGGTGAGGCTTCTGTTAGGAACACTTTGGAGGGTATTTTTCTGGTGCTTCCTCACATAATGACCTAAGGCAGGTAGAGAGATGACTGGCAGTAGATGGGTAACTGCAGAATAATTTTTAATATTATTTGTTAAATGACTAATTTTAATTTCAGGAACCTGAGGAAAATGTGTTGACCCTATTTAAGTCCTCAAACTTTTTCTCTGGTAATTAATCATAACTTCCAATTTTATTTTAAATCTATTTACATTTTGCCCCCAAGATGATAATAGTACCCAGGGAATATAAAACAGGTAGGGTAGGATGGTAGATGCAACCCCCAAATATATCACTAATTTCATTAGCCGTAAAGAGGATAATCTGTTATATTAAGTGAAAAGTGAATACTCCAACTAAAACTAGGAGATTTTCAAACTAGATTTTTTAAAGTACCTAGTTATATATGGCTTACAGAACATATGCTTTAAATATAAGGCTGTATGCAGTACCTGTTAATGGGATGCCACATTTATAAACTAAAGAATTTTCTCCGGATGAAATGGGAGTGTTCCGTTATCCCCCCTCACAGGGCTTGTGGCAGGAATATGGCTTGCTTCTTTAGTGCCCCACTGCTCAAACCCCTAGGGGGAGCATGCAGACAGGCAGGCCATGGGGAGCGTGGGCTCCGACCCCACGGCAGCATCTAGGGTTGAGTGTTTACAGCTCCTGGAGCCCCAGTGGGTGTGTGTTACAGTGCACTCTTTCAGCTTTACTGTCTTCAGGTGGCTTGTGTTAATCTGCTCAATTAGACCCTCTGCCTTATCACAAAGACAGAGGGCTTTCTATATCCTGGGTTCTTGCCCTAGTGTACAAGAAAAATTGGATCACATGTGGGCTTGGAGGATGGGTGCAAGGTTTTACTGAGTGGTGGAGGTTGCTGTCAGTAAGGTGGATGGGGAGCCAGAAGGGGGATGGAGTGGGAAGGTGGTCTCCCCCTGAAGTTGAGCCACCCAGTGGCCAGAATCTCCTCCAACCACCCTTGACTGAATTCCACATTGTCCTGCCTTGATGGCCTGCCAGTGTGTGCTGGTGTCTGTCAGTGTGTTGTTCTGCCCCTCTTGACATCCAGCCACTTGTGTCTGTGCCCACTAGGGTCTTGGGATTTTATGGGCACACAGTGTGGGGGGTGTGGTGGGCCAGAGTAGTCTTGGAAAATGTAACATTTGAGTGTGAAAACGGGAATGCCTGTTCTTACTTACATCTGTGGGCACAGGTCCAAGGGTGGAGACCTTGACAGGGACTCTGCCCTTCTCTATCCAGCATTTCCCTGCCTTCCTGCCATATCAAAAATATGTAGAAAATAAAATAAAATAAAATATTCATTAGTGATAAGCACTTTTAACAAACTAGAAATAGCAGGAAACTTTCTTAATTGGATACAGGAGATCTAAAAAGCAAATAAAAATTAAAGCAAACATAATTAGAAGGTTTAAAACATTTCCTGTAAGACCAGAAACAAGACCAAAATGCCTGCTATTTCCATTTTCATTCAATTCTATAGTGGAGATACCAGCAAGTACGATAAGAGACATAGGAAAATAGAAATAAAAAAAATAAAAACTGAAAAGGAATAAATAGAATTGTCATTATTCTGTATGTGGATCACTCCATGCAGAAAGTTCAAAATAATCTATAGTCTACTCAAACTAATAAGCAAATTTGTTAGGGTTATAATATGAATATATGCAAATCTACTGTGTTTCTATATACTAGCAACAAATCATTAGAAAATAAAATTTAATGCAAAGAGACCATTTATAAAATTATCAAAAACTTGAAAAACAGGAATAAGTCTAAACGAAGCCTCGCTAGTGAACTCAACTCAGGTGGTGAGAAGCTGTGTCTGTAATCCCTTAGCCTGGGCTGCCTCCAGAAAGGAACAACCTCCCATAGGCTCCTCCAGTGGTGTTTCTTTGCTGCTGGATCCCATCACTAAAGCCTCTTAAACTGGTGCTATGGACTTAGTGAGCCTATTTTCTCCCCTACTGCAAATCCCCAAAACACCATAACCAATTGACTTTTGCCTAGCTAGGACAGCAGTTTGCTTTTCTCATATCATTTTCAAGGATATATCGCCTCTTTAGCTTGGTGTGACCTTGATTACGTCATCCCAGTTTATCATGTTGATACCCTACACTGATAAAATTGAAGTTTTTTTTTAAGAGGGAGCATCTAAATCACATGAAAAGAGTTAGTGAGCTTATTGGGAGTCCTGTGGTCTGGGACTTATACCAATATCCTCTGCAAAGGTAAGAATCTTGTATGCTTTCTGCCACAGAGAAGGTAGCCTGATACAAGGGGGCCTCTGGATTTACTAGGCAGCCAATTCCACATTTGCTGGCTGCGCTGTGGTCTGCCTGGCTGAAGGGTTTGAGCATCTCCCTGGGTAAGAAAGAGCTCTCCAGCTGGTCAGACTGCAGTGCCACTCAGCCCTGTCACTTGGCCCAAGCAGACCCCGAGGGAAAGAGTTCCAGTAGAATAGGATGCTGTCTCTGTGGCTGGGGCAGGCTCTGATGGGAAAGCACAGTGGAAGGCCCCAGAATTTTTTTTTTTTTAACAAAACTCGTTGTTATGGCTATTTTCCTTCTGAGAAACACCTCCTAACTTATCTAGTGGAGAGTGTGTGTTTAACTATGACACACGAGGTGAACAGGGGAGCCAAAAGGTCCTACACGAGCTGCATTCTGCCTGACTCAGCTGCCATAACGTCAGTAGGCTCAGAAGCATTCCAGTGTCAGGTGGAGGTGTCTGTTGTGCAGGGGACCTGCCTCAGGCTGGCCCTGAAGTGCTAGCATGATGTCCTTACAGCACTGCAGGCTGCCCTCAGCCCGCCCCTGAGCTTTCTGGGGATTCCCTATGACGGCTTCACAGAGAAACTGAAACTTCAGGTCTCTTTTACAAATGGCTCAGGTCGATATCCAGAGCAGCTGGAGAGCATCCTGATTCTGCAGGCTTCTCATTTTAACTCAATGTCACCTTCTCGGAGACACCCCCTTTTCTTAACTTTTCTATCCAAAGAAGCACCAACTCCATACCTTTCCGTCATACCACACAGTTTTATTCTCATCATACAACTTAGTATATTAAATGGTCCAGCTTGTTAATTTCCTTTGTTTTTGTCTGTTTCCTTTGTTTAAAATATAAAACACCTAAATGTAGGGAGCTTATTTGTCCAGGCACATAGAAAAGTGTTTGAATTCACACTGTTCAACCCCAGATATGTAATTTTAAGGTTCCTACAAAATATTTTTTAAAGTTTTTTAAAAAAAAATTATTTAAATAACATATCTTGTTTAACCTAATATATATCAAAATATTATCATTTTAACGTGTAATCAATATTAACATTTCTTTAAATGAGATCCAGTGTGTATTTTACACTTACAGCTTATCTCAATTTGGACTCTCTACGTTTCTGGAACTCAAACGCTGCAGGTGACCTGTGGCTGCTGTAATGCACAGGGCTGATCGTCGATACTCAGTAAAACGTGCTGAATGCATTAACGCATAAAGCATTCAGCACTGTAACCCGAATCAGAAGAAGCCTTGAGGCAGTGTGACAACTGATACCCTTAGTTGGTCCATATGATTTTATAACAACAGTTATGCTTTGTTTCCCTTTTTTCTCCCATGCCCTATTTTTGTTGGGTTCATTGTGTTTCTTTTCCCTCCTCCTTTACATTTTGAGTCTAACTCTGCTTTTCAGTTCCACCAGCATTAATATTTTCATTCTTGGCCGGGCCCAGTGCCTCAAATCTGTAATCCCATCACTTTGGGAGACCGAGGCGGGCGGATCACAAGGTCAGGAGTTTGAGACCAGCCTGGCCAACATGGTGAAACCCCGTCTCTACTAAAAATACAAAAATTAGCCAGGCATGGTGGCAGGCGCCTGTAATCCCAGCTACTCGGGAGGCTGAGGCAGGAGAATCACTTGAACCCAGGAGACGGAGGCTGCAGTGAGCAGAGATCGTGCCACTGCACTGCAGCCTGGGACAGAGCAAGAATCTGTCTTAAAAAAAAAAAGTTTCTTTACAGTCAATTTCTTTATAATAATATAAAAATAAATAATTATCAGACCACTCACTAAGATGCCTTATTACACATTTCTGTTTCCACCAAAAGGCAGCATTCAAACTCTATCCCTTCTCTGTTCTTCCCCACGCAAGAACTCTGATTAGGAGCCCTCACTTATTCCACCATGCACATTTGTAAATCTTGAGATTGGTTGAAGAGGTATATTTTTGTGTCAAGCCACTATTAAGATTCTTTTATCATATAATATGTTTCACTTCAGAAATCCGCAATGAATCTTTCCCCCTCAATCCCAGCCTCATCATCACCATCTACTAACTGTACCTATTGTAACAGTCTGTGCTCATCACTGCTTGCTAATTAACCACTGCTGTTTTGACATATTTGTTCTGCTCCAGTTAACATTTGGGTTAAGAGCTTCAAGCATCTTTCTCGGATAAGATTCACAAACTGAATTCTCTCTGAATCCCTACATTAATAAAAATGCCTTCATTTTGCCCTGACAGCTAAATGTTATCTTTTTTTAAAAGCTTCACTGAGTTATAATTAACATAATATAAAATTCATCCTTAAAATTACAGGTAAATTGATTGTATTATATTCACTGAGTTGTGCAACCACTACCCCAATCAATTTTAGATCATTTTTGTCACCTCAGAAAGAAACCCTATATTATTACCGGTCAATCTCCATTTCCTCAGGCAAACATTAATCTACATTCTGTCTTAGTAGATTCGTCTATTCTGGAAATTTCATGTAACTGCAGTTATACAATATGGTGATTTTTGTGACTGGCTTCCCTACATGGCACATTTTTCAGATTCACCCATGTTGTAGCATGTATTCGTACTTTTTCAAATTGATTAATAATGTCCATCGCATGAATATACCACATTTTCTTTAGTCATTCCTCAGTTGGTAAATGTTGCAGTGCTTTTCTACTTTGAGTTGTTGTGAATAATGCTACCTTGAACATCTGTGCTTAAGTTTTTGTGTGGACATAAATACATTTTCCTTTCTCTTAGGGATATACCTAGGAGTGGAATTGCTGGGTCATATGGTAACTCTATGTTTAACCTTTTGAGAAAACACCAAACTGTTTTCCAAAGTGTTTGCACTATTTTACATTATAAGAGGATTCCAATTTCTCCAAATCCTAACCAACCCTGGGCAACAGAGTGAGGCCTTGTCACACAGACACACACACACACAAACCTCATTGTGGTTTTGATTTTCATTTCCCTGATAGCCAATGATTGGAGCATATTTTTGTTGTATATATAGGTCATTTATGTACCTTCTTTGAAAAAAAAGTGTCTCTTCGAATCCTCTGCCCATTTTAAATTAGATTATTTACATTTTAGCATTGACTTGTAAAAATTCTTTGTATATTCTTGATTATAAGCACCTTATCAGATATATGATTTGCAAAAATTTTATTCCATTCTATCAATAATTTTTTCATTCTCTTAATGGTGTCATTTGCAGCACAATTTTTAAAATTTTGATAAATTTAATGTATGTATTTTTTTCTGTTAATGCTTATGCTTTTTATGTCATACATTGCCTAAACCTAAGTTATTAAAATTTGCACCTAAATTTTCTTCTGAGAGTTTTACATGTTTAGTTTCTGCATTTAAGTCTAGGATCTACTTTGAGTAAATTTTTGCATATGATGTGAGAGAAGAGTCCCAAATCTTTTTTGTGCATGTGGATATCCAGTTGTTCCAGCACCATTTGTTGAGAAGACTATTTTTTCCCCATTGAATTTTCTTGGCACGATTGTCAAAAATCAATCGCCAGGCCGGGCACAGTGGCTCATGCCTGTAATCCCAGCACTTTGGGAGGCCAAGGAGGGCAGATTGCTTGAGGTCAGGAGTTCGAGACCAGCCTGGCCAACATGGTGAAATCCCATCTCGGCTAAAAATACAAAAATTAGCAGGGTGTGGTGGTGCGTGCCTGTAATTCCAGCTACTCGGGAGGCTGAGGCAGGAGAATTGCTTGAACCTGGGAGGCAGAGATTGCAGTGAGCCAAGATTGCACCACTGCACTGCATCCTGGGAGACAGAGGGAGACTATGCCTCAAAAAAAATAAAATAAAATAAACCCAAAATCAATCTCCCATAAATGTACTGCTTGATTTCTAGGGCTTGTTTCTCTCAGTTCAATGATATACGTGCCTATTCTTATACTTATACTACAGTCTTGCTGACTGTAGCTTTGTAGTACATTTTAAAATTGGAAAGTGTGATTTCTCTAGCTGTTTTTTTTTGTTAATTTTCAAAATTGTTTTGGCTATAAGTGCATCTAGCATTTTCATGCGATTTCAAGTGCATCTGGCATTATTATTAGCTCAATTTCTTCAACAAACATTAGCTGACTGGAATTTTTATAAGGATTGTGATAAATCTGTAGAACAAGTTGAGGAATAGTACTACATTAACAATTTTTTTCAATCCATGAAATTTGGAATATCTTTCCCATTTATTTAGATCATATTTAATTCTTTTAACAATGTTTTGCAGTTTTCAGTGTATGTTGGGCCCTTCCCTTTTTAATTTGTTTCTAAGCATTTTGTTCTTTTTGATGCTATTGTGAGTTAAATTGTTTTCTTAGTTTTACTTTCAGATTTTTAAAAATTGTACAAAAATATAATTGAATTCTATAAGCTGATTCTATCCTTCAACATTTATAACTAATTTACTCACTATAATATTTTTTGGTGGATTCCTTAGGATTTTCTGTATACAAGATGTCTTGTATACATCTTGTATACATCTGCAATTAAACATAATTTTACCTATTTTTTTCCAATCTAAATACAGTTTTTTTCTTGCCTAATTGCCCTGAATAGAAATTTCAGTATAATATTGAATAAAAGTGGCGAGAGGGCACATCCTTGTCTTTTTCTTCAGAGTAAAGGAAAAGTATTCAGTTATTCACCAAAAGCATGGTGTTGTCTGTGAGTTTTTCATAAATATACTTTATCAGGTTAAAGAAGTTTATTTTTAATCCTAGACTGTTGAGGGCTTTTACCTTGAAAATATGTTGAATTTTGTCAGATCCTTTTTCTGCATCTACTGAGTTGATGTGGCTGTTTTCCTTTATTCTATTAACATGACATATTTTACTATTTATTTTTAATTGTGATAACACACATAAATGTATTATTTATAGATTTTTTAAGTGTAGAGTTCAGTAGTATTTTTTCACGTTGCTGTGCAGCCAATCTGTAGATCTTTTTTATCATGCAAAACTGAAACTCTGTACCCATGAAGCAGCAATTCCCCAATTCCTCCTCCCTGAGCCCCCTGCCACCATCACTCTACTTTTGATTTTTATGAACCTGACTCCTCTAGATACTACATATAAGTGGAATCATGCATTATTTATCTTTTTGCAACTGGCTTATTTCACTAAGCATAATATCCTCAAGATTTATCCATGTTGTCGCATGTATCAGGATTTCTTTAGGTATATACACATTTTGTTTACCCATTCATCTGTTGATGGATACGTGAAGCCTTCTGTTTCTTGGCTATTGTGAATAATGCTGGTATGAAACTGGGTGTACAAACACCTCTTCAGAGCCCTGTTTTCAATTCTTTTTTATATGTACCCAGAAGTGGGATTGCTGGATTATATGAGCTTAATTTTTTGAGGAATCACTATACTGTTTCCCACAGGTGTACACCATTTTGCTTTTCACTGACAGTGCACAAGTTTCCAATTTCTATGCATTCTCACCACCACTTGTTATTTTCTGAGTTTTTTGGTGTGTGTGTGTGTTTTTTTTGTTTGTTTGTTTGTTTGTTTGAGACAGAGTATCACTCTGTCGCCCACGCTGGAGTGCAGTGGCGCAATCTTGGCTCCGCCTCCCGGGTTCAAGCAATTCTCCTGTCTTGGCCTCCTGAGTATCTGGGATTACAGGCATGCACCACCACACCCAGCTAATTTTTGTATTTTTAGTAGAGACGGGGTTTCACCATGTTGGCCAGGCTGGTCTCGAATTCCTGACCTCAAATGATCTGCCCGCCTTGGCCTCCCAAAAGTGTTAGGATTACAGGCGTGAGCCACCGCACCAGGCCAAGTTTTTGGTTTTTTGATAGTAGCCATTTTAATGAGTCTGAGGTGATATCTCACTGTGGTTTTAATTTGCATTTCTCTAATAATTAGTGATGATAATCTTTTCATATGTCTATCGGCCATTTGTATATCTTCTTTGGAGAAATATCTACTCAAGCTCTTTGCCCATTTTTTAAATCAGGTTATTTGCTTGTTTGTTTTATTGTTGATTAGTTGAAGTTCTTTATGTATTCTGGATATTAACCCCTTATCTGACATATAGTTTGCAAATATTTTCTTCCAGGCCACAGGTTGCCTTTTCAGTCTACTGAATGAGTCCTTTGATGCATAGAAGTTTTTCATTTTGGTGTAGTCCAGTTTATCTATTTTTAGTTTTTTTGTCTGTGCTTTTGGCCAAAAAATTTATTGCCAAATTCAATGTCACATCACTTTCCCCCTATGCTTTCTTCTGAGTTTTATAGTTTTAGGTCTTACGCTTAGGTCCTTGATCTATTTGAATTAGTTTTTGTATATGATCTAAGATAAGAGTCCAGCTTCATTTGTTTACCTGTGAATATCCAGGTTTCAATACCATTTCTTGAGGAGCCTCTCTTTTCCTATTGAATGATCTTGGGATCCTTATGGAATAGCGTTTGACTATTTAAGCGAGGCTATATTCTGGGCTCTCTATTCTACTCCAATTGTCTATATGACTCTTCAGGGCAGTACTGCACTGTTTTGATTACCGTAGCTTTGTAATAAGTTTTGAATCAGGAAAACTGCACATTTTTTCCTTTTTCAAGATTGTTTTGGCAGTACAAGATATTTTGGAATCCTTCAGATTCCTTAAGAATTTTTTGATGATTTTTTTCCTTTCTTCAAAAACACCTCTGGGATGTTAACAGGGATTGCTTTGAATCTGCAGATCACTTTGGGTGGTATTGCCATCTTAACAAAATTAAGTCTTCCAGTCCATAAATACAGAATATCTTTCCACTTATTTGTGTCTTCTTTAATTTCATCAGCAATGTTGTATAGTTTTCAGTGTACAACTCTGTAGCTACCTTAGAGTTCATTCTAGTTTTATGTTGCTGTAAACAGAATCATTTTCTTAATTTTCTTTTCTGTTCCTTGTTAGTCTATTAAAGCAAAACTGCTTTTATGTGTTGATTTTATATCCTGTAGCTCTGATGATTCTGTTTATTAGTTTCAACAAGTCTTTTGTGGAATTTTTAGTGTTTTCTATATGTAAGATCATGTCATCTGCAAACAGAGATAATTTTACTGTTTCTGGCTGGGGCTTACAGTACTGTGTTGAATACAAGTGCTAAAAGCAGGCATCCTTGTCTTGTTTCTGATCTTAGAGGGAAGACTTTCAGTTCTTCACAACTGAGTATGATGTTAGCTGTGGGTTTTTTTGCATAGCCTTTATTATGCTGAGATAGGTTCCTTTTATTCCTAGTTTCTTAAGTTTTTTCATCATTAAAGGATGTTGAATGTTGTCAAATACTTTTTCCATATCATTTAGGTGATCGTGTGTTTTGTTTTGTTTTTCTCCTTGACTCTGTTTTTCTCATGATTCTGTATTATGTTGACTAATTTTCATATGTTAAACCATTTTTGCATTCCAGAAATAAATCCCACTTAGTTATGATGTATAATTTTTTTATACATTGCTAGATTCAGTTTGTTAATATTTTGTAGGTAATTTTTGCATTTACATTCACGAACAATATTGATCTGTAATTTTCCTTTCTCAAAATGTGTATCTAGTTTTGGTACTAAGGTACTAAGTTGCCCCATACAATGTGCTAGGAAGTTCCTCTCTACTTCTATTTTATGGAAAATATTGTAGATAATTTGATGTCTTTTTTTAAGTAAGTGTTTGGTAGAATTTACCAGTAAAACCACTGGACCTGGTGCTTTCTTTTCTGAAGTGTTATTAATTATTGACTCATTTCTTAAACAGATATAGGCTTACTATGATTATCTATTTCTCCTTGTATCAGTTTAAGTGCATTGCATTTTTCATGGAATTGCATCTTTTACCTAAGGGTTGTGGGAATAGTGTTGTTCATGATATTTTTATTATCCTTTTAACAGTTATGGGATCTGTAGTAAGGGTCCCTCTTGTATTTATGATATTAGTTATTTGAGTCTTCTATTTTTTTTCTTGTTAGCCTAACTAGAGGTTTATCAATTTTATTTATCTTTGCAAAGAAGAAGCTTTTAGTTTCATTGGTTTTCTCTAGTGTTTACCTCTATTTCATTGATTTCAGCTCAGATTTATATTATTTATTTTCTTCTTGCTTGCTTTAGGTTTATATTATTTGTCTTCCTCTAGGTTCCTAAGTCTGAAGCTTAATTTATCAATTTTTGAAATTATTCTTATTTTCTTTCTTTTCTTTTTTTTTGGAGATGGAGTCTCACTTTGTTGCTCAGGCTGGAGTGCAGTGGCGCAGCCTCAGCTCACTGCAACCTCCACCTCCTGAGTTCAAGCAAGTCTTCTGCCTCAGCCTCCTGAGTAGCTAGGACTACAGGTGTGTACCACCGCACCTGGCTAATTTTTGAAGTTTTAGTAGAGATGGGGCTTCACCATCTTGGCCAGGCTGGTCTCGAACTCTTGACCTCAGGTGATCCACCCACCTTGGCCTCCCAAAGTGCTAGGATTACAGGTGTGAGCCATTGCGCCCGGACTAAAATTATTTTTCTTTTCTGATGTATGCGTTCAATGATATGTTTCCCTCCAAACACTGCTTTCTGTGATGCAAAATTTTCACAAATTGTATTTTCACTTTCATTTAGTTTAAAATATTTTTTAAAAATTCTTCTGCCACTACTTGACTGTGTGTTATTTACTAGTGTGTTATTTAATCTCTAAATATTTTTTGAATTTTTCAACTATCTTTCTATTACTGTTTTCTAATTTTATGCCATTATGGTCTTAGAGCATACTTTATTTGATGTCTAGTCTTTTAAAAATTTTAAGATGTATTTTGTGGCCCAGAATATGTTCTATTTTGGTGACTATTTCATATGTATTTGAGAAGAATGTGTATTCTGCTATTATTGCATAAAGAATTCTATCAATGTCAATTAAATCCAGTTGATGGATGGCCATAATTTTAAATCTATTTACATTTTGGGGTATTTTTTAAAATAAAATCTGTGATTATCTATCTTTTAATGAATGCCTTAGATCATTCACATTAAAGTGATTGTTGATGTAGTTGTGTTCATGTATACCATACTTATAACTGTTTTCTATTTGTTGTTTCTGTTCCTTTTTTTCTTTTTCTTTTGTCTTCCCTGTTTTTTTTTTTTTTTTTTTTTGGCTTTTTTCTATTCAATTTTAACTCCTCTTAATGTATCAATTATATTTGTTTTATTTTTAAGTATTTACCCTAGAGTTTGCAATATGTATTTACATCTAATCTAAATGTAATAATTCTCAACATTATACTGCTTCACAGGTAGTGCAGGTAACTTCCAACAGAGTATTCCCAAGTCCTCCTTTCTACCCCCTCTAGCAGGGGTGTCCAATCTTTTGGTTTCTCTGGGCCACACTGGAAGAAGAATTGTCTTGGGCCACACATAAGATACACTGGTACTAACAATAGCTGATAAACAAAAAATCTCATAATGTTTTAAGAAAGTTTACAGATTTGTGTTGGGCCATTCAAAGCTGTCCTGGGCCACAGGTTGGACAAACTTGCCCTACGGTATTGCTGTCATTCATTTTATTTACACATAAGCGATAATTACACAATGTATTGTTGATACTATAATGTTGAACAAACCACTATCTATTAGATCAGTTAAGAATGAGAAAAACTAAAGATCTTTATTTTACCTTGTTTCTTCTTCAATTCTCTTTCTCTCTTTATGTAGATATGAGTTCTGACCTATATCATTTTTCTTCTTTCCAAAGAATTTAACATTTCTTCCAAGGTAGATCTTTAGTGACAAATTCTTTCAGCATTTGTTTGTCTTGGGATGTCTTTTTCCTTTACTTTTTATTTTTATGTTATTTTTCATTTTACTTTCCTTTTGAAGAACAATTATACCAGATACAGAATTCTCAGTCGATAGTTTTTCCCTCAAATCTTGAAATATTTCACTCCACTCTCTTCTTGCTTTCATGGCTTCTGATATCATTCTTATTTTTGTTGCTCTGTAGGTAAGGTTCTTTATCTCACCTCTGGTTTCTTTCAATATTTTCTTTTTCTCTTCGGCTTACTTCAGTTTAAATATAATATACCTAAATGTAGATTTTCTTGCTATGAATCCTTCTTGGTGTTCTCTGACCATCCTAGGCCCTGAGTGCCCTGTTTTGGTGTCTGTCATTGATTTTGGAAAACTCTCAGCCATTATTCTTACTTCAAAAATTCTTATGCTCCTTACTTTCATTCTTCTCTTTCTGATATCCCCATTATGCATGTTATAATTGTCCCACAGTTCTTGGATATACTGTGTGTTATCTTATTGCTGTTCATCTTTTTTTTTTCTCTTTGCACTTTAGTTTGGGAAGTTTCCATTGGCATATCTTCAAGCTCACTGATTCTTTCTTTGATCTTCTCAAGTGTACTGATGAGCCCATCAGAGGCATTCTCCATTTCTTTGACATTGTTTTTGATATCTAGCATTCTTTTGATTCCTTAGTGTCTTCACCCAACTGCTTGCACTACAAGTCTGTTCTTACATGATGCTCACTTCTTTTTATTAGAGTCCTTAGCATATTAATGATAGTTATATTTCTCGTCTGATAATTCTAAAATCTCTCCTAGCTGTAAGTTTGGTTTTGATATTTGCTTTGGGTCTTCACAGTTTTTTCTTATGTTGAAGCTGGAAATGATGGATACAGTAATAGGAGCTCAGGTTAACAGGCCATTATTGTGAGGTTTTATGTTTATCTGGGTAGGAGTTAGGCTGTGTTTAAAGTTTGCTTTAGATATAGACGTAAGAGGCTTCCATTTCCTTTAGTTTCCCTGTTTTGATCTCCTCTGTTGCCTTTGGGTTTTCCTAAAAATTCTATCTTAAGTAGAGTTCGTGTCTTGCAGCTCTCTCATTTGTAACCCGCAGTTACTTTACTGGAGTTCTGTTGATAACGATGGTAAGATGTTGGAAAGGTTAAGAAGGATTCTGTAATCTCCTCATTAAATGTCTGTTTTTTTAGTATGCCTAAGTCCCTGGATTGTGACCTTCAGAGACATTTCCTAGTCTTTTTATCCCCTTATGTAAACTAGAAAGGCCAAGGCCAGAGAGGGCTTGAGACATCCCTTCCCACTGCACTCCCCCTAGGTGAGTAAGGTTCCAGCAAAGTATTTTCCCGGTGGGCAAACTCCCGCCTCTGAGAATAGGAAGCTCTGGTGCTATCTCAGAATGGTTGCTTTTCCCCGTGCCCTGCCTGAAGCATAAGAGGATTTTTCTGCCACCTTTACCATGAGAGCTTGGTCACAACAGTGCGGTGCCCCTGCCTACCCCAGGAAAGTTTTAACTCTCAAGCTAGTATTTATTTCAGCCTCTTGCAATTTTCCAGTTGCTGTTGAAGTGCCCTTTGCAGTTTCTGGCTCCAGTGATGTCTGTGGTCCTGGTAAGCTATGACTCTCCATATCACCTGTCTTTTCATCTTTTGACACGCAGTAGACCTTCTAGTTTCTAGACCATTTATGGAGAATTGTTGTTAATCCATTTTGGAAGTTTTTTCTTGATGTGAGGATTGGAGTGAGAACTTCCAAACTCATAGTGGAGTGGAAAGAGGATGATAATTTTAAACAATTCTATTTCCTGATGTACAAGGGTAAACCTCGTTCAAAATTACGATCTTTATGTTAATTATTTACCCCATAAGTAAATTAAAGGTAGCCTGGTGTTCAGCCTCCACTTCACTCTTTCTATTGTTCTTTCTTGAACTGCAGAGGGTGAAAAGCCAAAAAATGTTATTTTCTAGGCTTCCTTGCAGTTAGGGAGCTGTAGGTGATTTCAGTTCAGCTAAAAAGTTGTGCTCACTTCAGATCTGGAAGGGGAAAGTGAAGCTGTATTTCCGCTGATTCTACTGTTTTGACTGCATTTGGTCATGAAGACATCTGTTTTTTGTTTGTGTGTGTGTGTGTGTGTGTATGTGTCCTTTTTTCCCTGTGTTAGCAATACCATCATGCCCTGCATAGTAACATTTTAGTCAACAATGGACTACATATATGACTGTAACCCTGTAAGATTATATAGTAGAGATAAAAAAAATTCCTATCATCTGGTAACATCTTGATGATCCTGACAATGTATAGGCCTATGCTAAGGTAAGAACTTATCTTGTAGGGTTTTTCTTAAGTTTAAAAACTAAAATGAAAAAATTCAAAAATAGGGAAAAGATTATAGAAAACAATACAAGGAAAAAAGATATTTTTGTATAGCTGTAAAATGTGTTTGTGTTTCTACTTAAATGTTATTACAGAGTCAAAAAATTAAAAACATAGTGTATAAAGTTAAAAAGTTACAGTAAGGTTAATTGGTTATTGAAAAATTTTTTTTAATTAATTTAGTGTAGCCCAAATATCTAGTTTCTATAAAGTCTACAGTAGTGCACAGTAATGCCCTAGGCCTTCACATTCACTCACCACTCACTTACTGACTCACCCAGAGCATCTTCCAGTCCTGCAAGCTCCAGTCATGGCATGTGACCTATATGGGTGGACCATTTTTTAATTTTTTTTTTTTTTTTTTTTTTTTGAGATGGAGTCTCGCTCTGTTGCCCAGGCTGGAGTGCAGTGGTGTGATCTTGGCTCTCTGCAACCTCTGCCTCCCGGGTTCAAGTGATTCTCCTGCCTCAGCTTCCCAAGTAGCTGGGACTACAGGCACCCACCACCATGCCCAGCTAATTTTTGTATTTTTAGTAGAGACGGGGTTTCACCATGTTGGCCAAGCTGGTCTCTAACACCTGACCTCGTGATCCGCTCACCTCAGCCTCCCAAAATTCTGGGATTACAGGCATTAGCCACCGCACCTGGCCTTTTAAATCTTTTATACTATATTTTTACTGTACCTTTTCTAGGTTTAGATATGTTTTGATACACATATAGTTACTATGGTGTTACAGTTGCCTACAGTATTCAGTGCAGCCGCATGCTGTACAGGTTTAACCTAGGAGCCATATATAGGCTCTATAGCCATATAGGAGCCAGGTTTAGCCATATAGCCTAGGTGTGTAGTAGGCTACACCATCCAGGTTTGTATGAATACACTCTACGATGCTCACACAAGGACAAAATGGCTTAAGGGTGCATTTCTCAGAATGTATCCCCATCCTTAAGCTATGCATGACTGTAATTGAGTTCTACTATCCATTCACTAGCTTTCAGATGTCAAGACACAAGAAATCTACTTTGTTAGTTCAGTTCATGCTGGAGCTGGTGGTAGGATCAAAGGCTGAGATCTGTGTGAGGCTGCTCATGATGATAGCATGATATGGAACCAGCAATGCCCTCGTGTAGAAGCCGCAGCAGCTCCCCTGCTGGCCTGACTTGAGTGTGATTCTTGGAATCCTGAATGTTCAACCTAGAGCAGTAGTTCTCAGCCTGGCTACAAACCAGAGTTGCCTGGAGGGGTTGTATGAATCCCGCCATCTGTGCCCCAGGTGGCTACTATTTTACACTTTGGGAGTGAATTCAGCACCTCTCTTCGGTGGATACTCATGCAGAGGGATGGAGGGCTTCTGATCTAGAATCTATCTCTTGGGCCCTCCCAACAAACCTGTAAGCTATTTGCTTTCCCGTAATACTTATTTTCTTACTGAAACTAGCTGAAGTAGATTCTGTCTTCTGCAACTAAGCCCTGACTAATACACGTATTTGGCAGACTTCCAGGTTTTATATAATGACTTATTTTCTCATCTAGACAATTGCTGATTTAAATAATGTTTCAAGCTACAAACTTAAAGAACTTAAAACATGAGAAGTTACAAGAAGGCATTAATATGAAGAAACAGAGTGTTGTCATTTTTCCCCTTGTCAAGGATAGGACTTACATTATAATTTTATATCATCGTGTTTCCTGCAGTTTCACTCTGGTGTAGCTTAAGGATAATGGCACACTGCGGTATTAAATAACAGCACTACAAGGCATTTTCAGTGCAATGATGCAGTTCCCACCATAAACAAGAGCAATCAAGCCTGGTCCTCGGTCAAACTGAAGAGTGGTCCCAATGTCTCTGTCATTCCTCAGTGGTCCTTCCTGACTCCAGGAGTTAATTTGCTTTCCTTCAGGAGTCATCGATTTATCCACTAAGTTGTTAGCTAATGATGCTCTCTGAGTCTTGGCCCTGCTGAAGGCATTGAGGGAACATTTATAGAAATAAAGTAAAAAAAGAATGACTCTTGACTTAATAGAATTTTATACCTTGGCAAGCCAATGAAAGAAATTGTTTTGTGTGATTGAGGGTGAAGACAATATGTCAACATTTCCAATCCCTTTTCAGAGTCTGTTTTGACAGGAGCTTCTTCTTCTAGCCATTAATTAAGTTGCCCCTAATATGAGTGGTCCTTATAACATGCTGAGAAGTTTTGGATACATGACATGAATTTTCCAAAAGAGTAGTTCATAGGATGCAACTCCTTTGTGCAGCATACAGTCTATGTAGTAAAGGACCTTTGCCACCTGTCACTTGCCTACATTTCTAGGATTAATTATCAATATTATCTTAGTTAAAGCTTAATGAAAATGTAAAGTATCGTTGCTCTTTTACCCCTTTGTATGATTGCACATGCTATTCTCACTCCTTGAAATACATATATATTTTTAATATTTGAACACCCAGGACATTCTTGCATGGTTGAAGTTCTAGTCAAATGTGACCAACGTTGGGTGGCTCCTCCAGAATGTCCATCTTTCATGGTGGCAACTATTAGATTGTAAGGTTGGTTGGATGCTGAGTACACTTGTGCAGAGCAGACATAGAGAAAGATGGGCAGAGATGACAGGCAGCTGGTGTCTCCTAGATTTTCCTGAGAGCCTTCTCCAAAGTGCTGGCTTTGTGGTGGCTGGTAGGCATGTGCACACCGGGAGGCACAGCTTCCCGACCCAGGCCTGCCTTCATCAGCCTTTCTGGGGGCCTCCAGCCAGTTAGTGAACAGCCTTCAAAGAATGTACTGATGACCTGAGTGGCTTGCAAAATTCCATCACTGCTGCCAGGGAGCCACATTGCCTTCCCTGTCAGCCATCCTGCATTCATAACCAGTGGGCCTTTCGAAACAAAAAGAAATAATGTGGTAGCAGCTCAGCTTGCAGTGGTGATGAATCTGCATCTCATACCAAGCAGCAGATGCCAAGTGAACTATGCTAAATTTCACTTGTTTTTCTACACTATGCTGCAGCAGAACAGAAAGCTTGGGTTTGCGAATTACTCTCTGTTCCTCGGTTACATAACTCACTTGAATAAGGTAATGTAGGCAGAATAATTGTCTCTTTAACATTAAAAACTTTTTAATGCATTTTTAGTGTCAGCATGGACCAGCTTCTCCCCCACAAGGATGCAGGGAAGAGGGACAGAGGTGTGTGTGAGGCTGGGATCCCCCACTGATGACATGGAATACCTCATCAGCAGTGCAGGGACTGTCCTCGTACAGTTCCACTGGGATGCTTCCCTCCACTTTCCTCTCACATCCACTCCATCTCATCTATGTTGAAAGTGTCTTCCAGGAAGCATCCCCAAGACAGAGTCACACACACACACACACACACACATGACTGGTAAAGGGTAGGGAATGGGAGAGGCAGGGAGAGCCATTGGCATGATGTGGGTTGGACAGCCCTGAAAGGAGAGTAGGAAGGAAAGAAGATGGGAAAAACCTCAGCTCACAGCGGAGCTCTGAGAAAGTCCTGGCCGGCTCGGTGGTGAGCTCCAATGCAAAGGTTGTTTAGAGAAGAATCCCACATTGCATAGAAATAACCAGACCCAAGGACATAGCCATGCTAAGTCACCAGGCTCCTTTGGTACAGTATGTTCTCAGCTCCAGTGTTGCAGCCAACAGCTCTCCTAACAGCTGAATGGCAGGTCACTTCTTGATGGTGAACCCACATGGCACATGCCTGGGGCTGCACAGCCTCCTGTGGAGTCCCCCGTGGAGTGAATGCAGCACTTTCTACCTGCTTCCTGCTTCCCAGAGCACCTAGGATTCTCTAAAATACTATGCACTTGAAGTGTTTGTTGTTTTTGCCCCTTTCCTTCACAAACACTAGAACAGCATTTCCATGAAGGAAGAATTTTTTTGGGGGTTGCACTTTCCCCTGCATCAAGAACTGTTCTTGGCAAACAATAGGTGCTCAAGAATTACTTGTTAAATAAATACAGAGAAAATGCCCGTTACTCGGTTCCTACAAGGTCCCTGGGCACGTGTTAGATTCTCCATACACATTTCTTATGATCACAAGTACCATGCAAGGAAAGCATTGTATCCATGAAACAGAGGAAAAGAGGAGGTCATAGAGTTTAAGTCCTCTGCCCGAGGCCACACAGTCCCGGATCACAGGTGAACATTGCCTCTGAGGCTGGCACATTTCCCATATTCCAGGCTGGCACACCATCAATCTGCATCAAGACAGCAATTTGGGAAGAGATTTTTCTCTTAATGGCACATTTCTTTGGGAGAGAAGCTATGTTATGTATTCCTCACATCACACATTGAGGAAGCACTCAGTTATTTTCTTTTCATTTTACAGGCTAGTATTTGTTCTCAATATATTCAGAAGCCATGGAAGCAGTTTGCCTGCTGAATCCAGAATGCTGTCTTGTGTTGTTATTTATTTGCCAGTGGTCTAAGAACCACATTTAAGCGGTTTAATTTTCTGCCACAGTTTTAGTTTGCCTCTGGGTAAATCCTCTGGATTCTAAAAATCAAGAGTTTTCCAATTTTCAGACCTGTCAAATCCACATGACTTATTTTCTTATCTAGACAATTGCTGATTTAAATAATGTTTCAAGCTACAAACAAGATAAAAAATGTATTTAATATTGATTTAAAACTTCAAATCTACAACACTTGTGTCAATACCTACCTAAAGAGATTTTTCCTTAAACATATAACCATGTTCCACAGTTTCATAATAAAATGAACTTAAGAAGTAATTTAAGGCTAGTTACAGATATTAGCCTACACGTGACCACACAAGGTGAATGTGACTATATTCCAGCAAGTGTAATAATTCATGAATCATCACCATGGTCTATGAGGGGCAGTCTGGCATCAAGGAATATATTTATATATACTGGGAAGGAATCATTTGTTTTCTCTCAAGTCTTTTAATAAAAAATTTTCAGTTAATGATTCCTCATCTTATTTCCTGCTTTCCCACATAAATTTCAATCTCCAGCTCCCCAAATATTTTTACCACCTTCTAGCAGCTTTTAAAGGTCTCTTACACAAAGAGGGAACACTAGCCACCTGCTGGAGGGTGGAGGTTGGAAGGAGGGAGAGGATGGAAAAACTGTCTATCGGGTACTATGCTTATTACCTGGGTGACAAAATAACCTGTACACCAAACCCCCACAACACATAATTTACCCATGTCACAAACCTGCACATGTGCCCTCGAACCTCAAATAAAAGTTAAAAACAAATAAAGATTTCTTTATCACTATTCCTCAGATAACCAACCGTTAGGGGCCTCTTGCTTCTATCAGACATTGGTCTGTTCAGCAGTAAGAGCCTGAATGAATATGTGCCCATGCTATGACTTAGCATGCTCATCAATCATAAATCATAACAACACACGTTAGCCATAGTAGCCCAAAACTCAAAACCACTCAAATGTCAAACAAAAAAAAAAACACTAGGCAATAGACTGTGAAGTGTTCATACCATGGAATTCTATTCTGCAGTGAAAACCAACAAGCCACTGCTGATACCACAACACAGTTGAATACAAAAAATACTGAGTGAGCAAAGGCAGACCAGAGGAATGCACATTTCATGTTATCATTACAAAGTGTGTAAGAAGACAAAACTAAAATGCAATGTTTAAAAATGCGTAAGTGGTACAAAGACTGTTGGTTTTAAAATGTGAACATTAATAGCACAACAGAGAGAGTGGTCACCTTTGGAAAGAGTAAATAGTCCTTTTTGTGTTGCTACAGAGGAATACCTAAGACTCAGCAATTTATAAAGAAAAAAGTTTTACTTGGCTCACAATTCTATCTGGAAAAGTTGAGGATTGGGTGTCTGGTGAGGGCCTCGGGCTGCTTCCACTCCTGATGGGAAGCTGAGGAGAGTCAGCATGTGCAGAGATCACACAGCAAGAGAGGAAGCCAGAGACAGGGGAGGTGCCAGGCTTTTGTCTTTTGTCTTAAACAGCTAGCCTTCATGGAAACTGAGTGAGAACTCACTGACCCCAAGAAAGACCATCAATCTATTCATAAAGGATATGCCCCATGACCTAAACACCTCATATTAGGCCCCACCTCCCATATTGGGGATTGAATTTCAATAGGAGATTTGGTGGAAACAAACAAACCATATCCAAACTATAGTAGGGAGCAAGAGTGGCTTCTTCTGCAAGGCTGATGAAGCTTATTTCTGGACCAGAGGCTGTGGCTACATGTGCACATTCACTCTGTGATAACTTGTGGAGGTGCGCATCGGCAGTTTGTGCAGTTTTAGGTATGCATGTTTTACTTTCTGTATGCAGAGTTTTACAAACTCTGACACTTGCAAACTCCACTGTGCTTACTCTCTCACTCTCCCTCCCTCCCCTCCCCTCCCTCTCCCTCCCCAGTTGTTTCTGTAACAATTTCCTCATCACGACATAAAGGAGGTGGATTAGATGATTTCTAAACCCAACTCCAGTTTTAGCGTTTTATGATTCCAATATGCTGACGATTATTTGTAAGATATTATTCTGCAAGAAAACTGCATCTGTTTCCTAATAGATATTTTAACTTTTCTGGGGATTTATTTTCTTGATTTCTGTCATGATACTGCTGAGGCAGTTATCAACTGCTCTTTCAGCTTGCTTGACAATTGGTGAGATCATGCACAAAGGTGGTGGTGGCAAGGGAGAAAAGCTATTTACTTCATTTTCTTCTAACAAAATGTCAATTGAGACAGAAACTGGTGGTGAGGAGAAAGTAAGAGGGTGCTTTCTCCTTTCAGTATCTCAAGTGCACCAGGACTGTTGGGAGAGGGAGGAGGAACAAGGGTCAAGTTTCAAAGGTGTCCTGAAGAAAGTAGCTAACAAAAAACCGATGGGAAAGTAGTTTTAAATTTTGCTTTGTTCTTTAATTCATTCATTTATTTATTTTGAGTTCAAGAAAGGCTCTAGTTTTATTAAGGAAAGAGTCTGCTGCCATTTGATGAAGACAGAGAAAGGAATAGACTAGGGGCCATCAGGAAGGTCTGAGGGTGCTGAGGCTGAGGATCCTTGGGAGGAGCCCAGTGCAGGGTCCCAACCTTAGACTTGGTGGTACAGCACCGACGGTCTGCCTGGCTCCATCTCCAACAGTGGACTCACACTAACATGGCTTTCAGAGGCTGACAAGGCAAAACCGGAAACCTTCCCTTCCTTTCCAGTGAGAATTGCAAGTTGTCAAATGGACTGAATGGCCACATCTACAGATGCCACGTGGAAAATCCAACATCAGCACATTAGAGCACAGGGATTCAGGGAGACATCAGCAGTTTTTCTCAGTTGTGCTACATGGAGGTCCTGCAGTGATCTTGGCGGCAGATAGGCAAGCTATTTAGGGAGGTGTCAGCTTTGTTGAGGGGCTTGCTTCTGAGACATTCTTGATTCTCTGCATCTCCTTCTCTTGACTGTTTCTTCCCAAACAAGAATAGTGCAATTGATCGGGCCTCCACTTAATCACAGCCAGATTCTGGTCTCGGCCCCTCAGCCTCCTCATTGGCATGATTGGACTTTGGGTCCCACCTTATAGTAGTGCCTTAGCTTGGGCTACTGAAAGAAAATATCTTAGACTGGGTGGGTTACACCACACACAAATTTTTTTTTTTTTTTCACAACTCTGGAAGCTAGAATCTGACGTTAGTTTCTGGTGAGAGTCTTCTCTCGCTTATAGATAGCTTCCTTCTTGCTGTGTGCTCACATGACAGAGAAAGAAGGAGCAAGTCTTTCCTGTCTCTTTTCATAAGGGCACTAATCAGATCATATCAGCTCCACCCTTACAACTTCCTCTAACCCCATTGCCTCCCAAAATCTTTGTCTCCAAATACCATCCCACTGGGGATTAGGGCTTCAATACAGGAATCTGGAGGGGTGGATACAACTCAGTCTTTAACAGGTAGTTTATTTTTCAGAAGGCCCTGGAAAGGAGAGTGGGAGGCACCTCGCTGGCCAGTTCCAGCCCCCGTCTTCCGGACCTTGAGCTGGTCTTTGCAGACAGCTTGAGGAGCATGCTGGGGATACTGTCCTGGCCCAAGGAGATGGGTCCAAGGGCTCGTGCTGACATTTTAAAAAGGGATGGCCCTTCATGGAGAGAAGCCAGGGCTGACTTCTTTCTCCCAGCCAGAGATGTCAATGGGGTCCTGGTCTACCAGCCTGCCTGGGGGCCTCTCCTGAGGAGGACTCCTGGGGTCTTTCTCAGCTCATGCCTGAGGACAAGTCCAATGAAGAGGCACCTTGTCCAGTGAAGAGGCTGCCCCGCCATTGTCCTGGGCCTGCTGGAGAGTGGCCAGTGCAGCCGCTGAGTCTGTGGTCTCCTACAAGGGGAAGGAGAGCAGGAGTGGGGAGAAAAAGCACAGATGAGGAATTTCTCTTATGTTTTTCTATAAGTTTTACAGTTTTGTGTTTCATATTTAAGCCCTTGATTCATTTTGAGATTGTGTGTGTGTGTGTATATGTGTGTGTATAAGATGTGAGAATTAAGTGAAGGTGTTTACTCTGCTTGTTTTTTGCCTGAGTATGTCCACTTCCTCCAGCACCATTTGTCAGCAATGTTATCTTTTCCTCTGTGAATTCCCCTACCAATTCATGTGTACCTCTGTCAAAAATCAGTTGCCTACATTACTGACTACCCTAACTCTACCCTAAATCCTATTTCTGGATTTTCTTTTCTGTCCTTTTGGTCTACGTGTCTCTCACTCTTCTTTTTTTTATTATTATTTTTTATTATACTCCAAGTACCCACAAAAGGGAAGCCCATCAGACTAACAGCAGATCTCTCCGCAGAAACCCTACAAGCCAGAAGAGAGTGGGGGGCAATATTCAGCGTTCTCAAAGAAAGAATTTTCAACCCAGAATTTCATATCCAGCCAAACTAAGCTTCATAAGCAAAGGAGAAATAAAATCCTTTACAGACAAGCAAATGCTGAGGATTTTGTCACCACCAGACCTGCCTTACAAGAGCTCCTGAAGGAAGCACTAAACATGGAAAGGAACAACCGGTACCAGCCACTGCAAAAACTCTCACTCTTCTAATAGTCACACCTTCTTGGTTGCTGTAGTTAAATAATAAGTGCTGAAATTGCTGCACTTATTGACTGGTTTCTTCCACTTTATTCTTTTTCAAAAACATGCTTTAGCTATTCCAAGTCCTCTGCCTTTCTATGTAAATTTTAGAATAATCTTGTCTATATCTACAAAAAATTTTGCAGGCATGTGTATAAGAATCACATGAAATCTATTTATCTGTTTGAGGGAATTGGCACTAGAGGAGAGTCACTATGTTGACTTCCAATGCATGAACACTTATTTTGGCCTCCTCTGATACAGCTCCAGTGGAAGTGTTACGGACCTCCTTCTGGCCTGGCTAGGCTGAAAATCTCTTTGCTGGGGCAGGCGGCATTGGGGGCCATAGATTATACATTATTTTGTGTTGTATTTGGCTGGAGTAGAGTGGTTACCATATAAAAGTGTTCTGTCTTGCTGGGCTGCCCCTTTCCTGGTCCTTTGGCTAGAGAGAGAGCGGACTTTTCTTGCCTGCATCCAGTAACATTTCTAGGTTGCTGGATTCTCTATTATCCAATCTAGAACATATGAAGCAAAAGAAAAAGAAAAGAAGGAAGGAAGGAGGAAGGAAGGAAGAAAGAAGGAAAGGAAGAAGGGAGGGAGGAAGGAAGGAAGGAAAGAAAAAAGGAAGGAAGGAAAGGATGGAGGGAGGGGAGGAGGAGGGAGGGGAGAAGGGACGGAATGAGGGAAGGAAGGAAAGAAGGAAGGAAGGAGAGGAGGGAGGACCCAGTGAACTTACCTCCAAGTCGTTCCTCAGGTCCCAATGTCCTTAGCTGGTCTGCTGTCTTTTCTCCACCTTTCAGAGTCTTCTTAAGTTGATTAAAATACCCAGGTTATTTATTTGCACTTAGTAGGAGCATGAGGGAAAAGTACATCTACCTCATCTTCCTGTGTAGTTAAATTTTATTGTTTAAATGGGATGTATATGATTTAGCTCAAAGACAGAGACTGAAATAAAACTTGCTTAAGATAGGCAAAGATGTACAGAAAGAACTGCAAATAATTTATCCAAATTAACAGGCAATCATAATGCATATTAAAATCTATGATAACTTTCTCTGGTCTGAGTCACTTTTCTCCTTGAATGTGCTTGATGTTTCCTACTCTAATGAATTTGACAACTGTAAATCCCTAACTGGATATGATATACACTGTTGAAAAATCACACAATGAAAACCTGATCACAATTGTGTTTTAAATGGAATGCAATTAGCTTCACCACTAATATGTTTTGGTTTGTTTAGAAAAGGACATTTACAAACAGAAATATGAACTTGAAAGCAAACCTGTCTTGAAATCAAGAATTGTGTTCATTTAAAAGCTATGGTTTATGTGTTCAGAGGCGAGTTTTATTACAAGCCAAGAATGGAGAATGTGGCATGAGGAACATTTCCACCACACAGGAAGAGGGGACACAAAGGGTACAATTGCATGGGGGATATTTGGAGGGTTATCAGGGTAAGGATGGAAACTGGGTCCCTGAAAAGGGATCACAGACTCAGTCATCCTCCAGATTTTATTGAAAGCAGGGGTGGTGAAAAGCAAAAGCTCTGATAGAAACCTCAGAGAGATTAAAAAAGAACCCAAGAATCCTGGCCAAAGGATTGTGCTTCATTGCTATATCTAGCCTGGAGCAGGAATAAGACAGTAAATAAGGGAAAAGCTAGTTCCTGTTGTCATGAAACTCATGTTCTAGTGAGGAGCAAATCCACAAATGACTAATAATAGATGTAAAACATTTTAAGACACATGATAACATACACTACTGAAAAAAATAAATTATAATGATTAGAAGGTAATGAGGAGTGTGGCAGGGGGAACAGGTCAAATTTGAGCAAAAGACCTGACAAAAGTGTATAAATAAGCTAAGTGAAGACCCACAGGAAGTACAGCAATTGTAAAGGTGATGTGGTAGGAACATTCTTAGACATTGGAGGAATAGCAAAAAGACCAAGGTAATGGGTGCAGTATAAGTGATGGGAAGAAGAACAGGAGATGGGGCTGGAAAGATTAGCAGGGGTAAGTCACATCGGGCTGAGTGGATCGCAGTGAGAAGGCTGATGATTTTTGTTTCACTATAATGGGAAATAATTGCAAGGTTTTGGGGGGAGGAAGTGGATAATCATATTTGCTCTTTTGAAAGGCCACTCTTTCAAGAATATAGAGTGAATCAAAAGGTGTAAGGAGGGCCAGGCGTGGTGGCTCACGCCTGTAATCCCAGCACTTTGGGAGGCCGAGGTGGGTGGATCACGAGGTCAGGAGATCGAGACCATCCTGGCTAACATGGTAAAACTCCGTCTCTACTAAAAAATACAAAAAATTAGCCGGGCATGGTGGCAGGCGCCTGTAGTCCCAGCTACTCGGGAGGCTGAGGCGGGAGAATGGCGTGAACCCGGGAGGCGGAGCTTGCAGTGAGCCAAGATCACATCACTGCATTCCAGCCTGGGTGACAGAGCAAGACTCCATCTCAAAAAAAAAAAAAAAAAAATATGGTGTAAGAAGTGCCCTTTGGAGACTATTTCCAAGCCCAAGTGAGACAAAATGTAGGCTGGTTAGGGTGAGAACAGTAAAGTTGGTGAATGGTAGTTGGGTTTGAGACATATTTTGAAAGTGGAGCTACTAAGACTTGCTGTTGGATTGGATGAGTGTGAGCCTGGATAGCCAAGTGAAAATGATGCCATTAACCAAGATATAAAGAAATGGGGTGTGGATAAACCAAGAAACCATCTAGATGGAGCTGTTGAGTGGTCACTTGGCAAAATGAGGAGAGGTAGGGTGGTGATAAAATTTGGGAGTCATTAGGGCATTGTTGGTTTTTAAAGGCATGAGACTGGATAAGATCACCCAGGGAATGTATGTCAAGGAAAAGAGAAGAAGACAAAGGGCTGAGCCCTGGGGCCCTCCAACATTCAGATGTCAGATGAGGAAATGTGTACGCAGCAAAAGAAGCCGCTAAGGAGCTCTACTTCAGAAGCCAAGAGCGAAAATATGTCCAGGAGAAAAGCATGGTCCATTTGCTCCAGGTCTCACGGTACAGCTTATGTAAGGTGAGACCTAACAACTCACCACCCAGGAGTCATGGGCCACTGGCAAGGGGTGATTTCAGTGATCTGGTGGGAATTCCTTACTGGAGTGAATTTAACAGAGACTGAGAGCAGACAATGGGTATGTAGAAAAACGGACAACTCCTTTGAGAAGTTTTGTTGTAAATATGAGTATAAAGAAAGTGTGGTGGCCAGGAGGAGATATGGAAATCTAGGAAAAGTTTGAGAGAACTACTGCATGGGAGAACTACTGCATATTTTATGTTAAAGTCTCCAGTGGAGACTGAAGAACTTATTTCAAGTAAATAAGGAGAAGATGCAAGAGCAGAGGGTCCTTGAAAAGGCAGGAGGGGTTAGAGCCATTCCCATGGGTAATGGGGCTGGCCTCAGAGCTAGGGTTTTTCTGTCTGCATGGGAGGAGAGGTGGCACATAGGAGTGCAAATGGAGAGGAAATGTGAGAATGAGAGATGATTCTGCTCTGATTGCTCCTAATTTCTCAGCAAAGTAGGAAACAATGCAGAGAGAGATGAGGGGAGCAGTCATTGGAGATGTGAGCAAAGGAGAGAAGGCATGAGATAATTATTTCAGCGGGGTAGCAGGGAGAGGAAAATGTTTAGGGAAATGTAAGTCTGTTGCTGGACAGCACCACGCTTTCTTAACATTTGGTGAGAAACAGAATGTGAATTTGATCAGCATGGGGTTTGTGCTTGTCTTTCATTATATTCACTTGCTTGAGTGTAGACTAAAGTGGGTGGGAAATTGCATCTAATCAGGGTTGAAATTATGTCAGGGAAGTTTAATAGAAGTTTGGAGGATCTTGAGATTTGAGAGTATATTTAAAGGAATGATTAACAAAATAGATAAAAGAATCTCCTGTGGTTAAAAAATTGAAAGTGTAGTGGCAGAGATGAACAGTCAAAAAGTAGAAGGAGGCCTATGAATTGGAAGTGTGAGTGTTTTTGAAAATTGTTGGAGTAGAGGTTTTAGAAACAGTGAACTTGAATACATTGAGATTTTTTAGGTGATTAGATGATTGTAATGACAAGTTTTTGTGGCATTTCTAAGGGAGTGGATGGTTAAGGTGGTGTAGAGGGGAAAATTATTAAAAATAAAGAAATCAAAGTGTTTGGTGAATTGTCCATTGGATTTTTAAGGCACCAAAAATGATTTTCAAGAAGAGGCCCGACCATGATGATATTTTTATAGATGACTTGTGAAATAGCAAATATTTATAAAATAATTTGCAAAGTATTAATTATATAGTATTGGAGCTTTCTTACACTTGCCATTTAATAAAATGCTTCTATCATTTTGAATAACATAATTGCCCCAAGTGAAACCACCTTTGCAAAATTACAACAGTGAGAGAAATCTAACATAAATGACTCCATTTTGCTTCTAGCCTCACAAGCTAACTGTACTTGCTCATTCTTGGGCACAGGCCAACCTAACTGTGGGAGACATTTTGTTCATAGTTTAACTCTAAAGCAAGGATGATAATAGATTTTCCTGAAATTCATACCCTCCTTGTTTGGGGACAGAAACTACCTTTGTAAAACAAGTGAAAGACCAGAAGGTTAGAAATATGGCAGGGGCCTGAGTTCTGCTAAGATATAGACATAGTTGAGTAATAACCAGCCACTGTTTCCTAGCTTGCTTTTCTATAATCACTTACTGCTCAGGAGTCATGTACCAGGAGGTCACAAGATTTGTAACTTCCCCAATTGTTCCCATAGGTAACATCAGTACCGTGAAACCTAAGATTGGTCTTTGAGCTATTTTTCAGACTATTGCATTCTGGCAGACCAACAGACAGTACCCAGGCCTGTGACTCATACTGAGCAACAGACTCAGCCCATCCTGTGCCCCACCACACCCCACCTAGAAACCGACTCAGCACACAAAGACAATTTAGACACTTGTATAATTTCATCCCCAACCAATCAGCAGCACCTATTACCTAGTCCCTGCCTTAGCTTCCAAGCTCTTAGAGGGGTGGATTTGAGAAATATCTCCTGCAGTTCCACTTAGCTGCCTTGTGCTAATTAAACTCTTTCTCTGTTGCAACACTGCTGCCTCAGTGTATTAGCTTTTCTGTGCAGCAGGCAAGAAGAACCTGTTAGGTTGTAATGCAAGTAAATACTGAAACCGTAGGTCATGTTTTATTTTTATTTCCAGTCAATCTTCTCTATGATCCCAAAAAAGAGTTTCTCATATAAAATTAAGGAGGATATAAACACATAAATTATTCACTACTATTCTAACAAGAGCCACAATATTGATATTATTGAGCATCCTTTCATCATCATAACCAGCATGGGCTCACATAGGAGAGATTCTCCATAGAAGACAAATGCTGAAACACCACTGAGATGTTCAGAACTGAACAAAGTGGATATAGAAAGATTTCATGAGAAGGGATCATATGAAGACCTTTCTCAGGGACTAGAAAAAAGCAAAAAAAGAGGGAAGAAGAGAAACAACAAAGTTGAAGATTCTATAAAACCACTGCCAAAAACCCCCTGAGTGTTGGCAAAGGCACCTTCTTGTTCTTAGTACTTTCATATTTCCTATTGTGGATTTATGGGTAGATTTTTGTTACCCTTATTTTCTTGCTCTATGGAAAGTCTTCTGTGTTCAGGAACTATGTCCAGCTATGCAGAGAGCATGTGGGTGCTGTCCAGATTTCTATAGATGTGGAATAAATGTTATAGAGTGATAACATCTCACATCCTGTGCACCCAGTTCCTGGACAGTAGTTCACAATCTCCTTCTTCTGGAATGCTGGCCTCATGGGCTAGAAACACCTAACTGAGAAAAGAGGCAGAGATGGTTAGCATAACAAAAGACTTCAGTCGTGTGAGAATAGGGAACCCTGGCGATAGAAAGGTACCATTGTCTTTTAGCTTCTCCACTTTGAAGCTGGCCTTAAAAGGACTACTTCCTTTATCCCTTATGCACTGGACTTGAGGACTCATCTTTCCTACACCTCCAACCCTTACTTCATTAAGGAGCAAACCATGCACCTAAATGATCTTGTTTCTCTCTACTTTTCCAGGTAGCCAATGCTGACCTTCAATTTACTAGAACAGGTCAAGCTATTTGCCACTTTTGGGCCTTTGCTGATTTTCTTTCCTCTTCCTAAAACATTCTTCCTGGTGCTTTTTGCTTATCCTCCAGCTTCTTCTCACTTTCTGATCTCATTCTCAATCTCAGCTTCCATGTCACTTCTTAGAGGAGTCTTCCCTCACCCCCCAGTGTAATGAAGATAGCCCCGTGTTAGCCTTTTCTCCAGCACACAGTTTGTTTCCCTCATTGTCACTCACTGCTTCTGCAATTGTTTCCTTGTGTATAGTCCTTCTAACCAACTGGAATACCATAGCCATGAGAGTCAGGCTCACATCTGTTTTTCTCATGTTAGGATCTCACTTGAAACAGAGCCTGTCACACAAAGTCAACAGTTGATAAATATGAATAAGTTATAGGTTTCTAAAAGAAGCTCCTTCTTTTAGTGATATTATACCCACATACTAACTCAGTTTTTCCAAGGCAGAAACCTTTTCGTCCCCAAGCCACTTCACTTTATTTATAGCTGAATTCTACAGTCCACAACAAATCTCAGTATTTACAGTGTGACTTCCTAATCTGTCCAATCCTTCACAGTCTTCTTTCATTTCACATCACATACATCCACCCCCAGAGAAATCCTAAAATATCAAGAAAGCTACATGCTGTATACTGTAGACTTAAAACCCATGTCTGTGGTGACAATGACTGTAGAAGTGCATGCTTTGAATAAGTGTCTTGCATGGTTAGTGATCAACACTGGTATGGCTTTCAATGTGTTTCTCTATGTCACACCCCTGTAAAGAAACAAATGAAAGAGAATGCAAAAATCAAAAGCTTTCCCTTTCCAGATGTTCAAGAACTACTTTTTGTTCTCTTTCGATTCAAGACAGAAACTGCGTTTTAAAAATACTCTTTATTACTCTCTATTTCAATGCTCTCTGTTCTTCACATGGTTCTTAGAATAAGCCAGTGTCGTACATAAAATTATCCTGTTTTTGGCAGGAAGGAAACTAAAACTCAGAAGTTAAGTAAATTACTCAAGATCAGAAAACCAGTAAGTGACATAAGATTTGAAACAGACCCCATCTGATTCTAGTTTTGAGACTCTAAACCTGCAATGCACTTTGTTTTAGTCACTTCATCTGTCCCATATCGCCTGCCCCTAGTACTTTAGGCTATTTTGAATGAATTACCCCATCATATTATTTACACCAATAATGTTCAGGAAGATCATGTCTAACACTTATGAAAATCCCAACCACCAATGTCAAACCTTACTGCTTTTGCTCTCTTAATCATCTAGTTTGGAATCATCTTGACAAAAAGTCAAGATGCTCAGTGTGAGTCACTTTTGGGGTCAAGTGAAAGGAGACATTCCCATAAGCCAGTGCACATCACAGTCTCTCTGCTCGCGAGTGTGCATGTGATCTCTGACATCTTCCAAGCCCACGTGGTATATTTCAAAAATGGTTGGTTAAGTGAGGCCCTATTCCCTCTGTTCCAAACTGGAACACAGAAACCTTTAGCTCAGGCTCCTTGACAATGATGTTTATAGGGTTCAGCCCTCCCTGGGCAGCTCACACAACTATCCTTCCATCTAGATTGCTGGGAGGCAGTGATGCTGAGGTCTAAACTTTTCTGGTCTTGGGCAGGCAGCACAGCCCCTTACCGTACATTGGGCCATTGCCATCTCTTATCCTCTAAACATTTACATCTATCACATTCTTATTTGGAATGATCCATAAAATTTTTCCCAGGAGAATGGAATGCAAAAAGCTAAAAGGGGAGGAACATAAAGAACTCCCAGTATTTTCAGGCATTGCAAGGTGGCTCATGCCTCTAATCCCAGCGCTTTGGGAGGCTGAAGAGAGCAGATCATGAGGTCAGGGGATTGAGACCATCCTGGCTAACATGGTGAAACCCCGTCTCTACTAAAAATACAAAAAATTAGCTGGGCGTAGTGGCGTGCACCTGTATTCCCAGCTACTCAGGAGGCTGAGGCAGGAGAATCGCTTGAACCCGGGAGGTGGAGGTTGCAGTGAGCCAAGATCGCACCACTGCACTCCAGCCTGGGCGACAGGGTGAGTCTGTCTCAAAAAAAAAAAAAAAAAAAAAAAAAAGAACTCCAATATTTTCAAAGAATGTAGGTGTTCTGTTCTGGAAAAAGTGTGGGAAAAGATGTGCTTTATTTTGACATAATAAAGACACCGTATTAAAACTTAACAGTAATAACAGCAAAGGTCTCAGATTACCGTAATAGGTATGATAATGATGAAAAAGTTTAAAATATTGCCCAAATTACCAAAATATGACACAGAGACACAAAGTGAGCACATGCTGTTGGAAAATGGTGCTGATAGACTTGCTTGACACAGGATTGCCACAAACATTCAATTTGTAAATAACACAGCATCTTCAAAGTGCAATAAAGTGAAGTGCAATAAAACAAGATATGTCTGTATCTGCCCAAAGTTCCTGTACTTCTTTTCCTTTTAATCATTTCTCAGCTCGCCCCAAATAAGTTTCTATTTCCACCGCTCAACCTAGAAGAAATTACTCTTGTCTGAAGAATATATCTGTGTCACAAATGATGTCCATGCAGCTAAGTGCAATGGGCCTTTCTCCATTGTTATTTTATTTGACCCTCAGAGACATTTGTCACACTGACTAGTCCCTCCTTATTAAATTTTCATTATATCCCCAGGAAGCTACCAATTCCAAGGTGTCTGATTTCCCCAGCTCCCTTTATTTAATATGTAAAGCTGTATCGTTAGAACTCACTATGTATGTGAGTCTGAAAAATATAAAACAGAGAGATTTTATTTTTCTATTGTTTTATGTTATGGTGAGCATATCACTAACTTGAGAGGACTTTTGGCCATAAATACTACCCTTGTAATACATATTTCTTCACCATCTTAAGGAAAACCTTATTACACATCCATAAACGCCCAGCTCCAGTCTGGGTTCAAATCCCAGGCCTATACCACTTTTTCCTCATGTAAGAAATAATAGTAATAATTATCTACATCTTAAGGTTGTTTGAAAATGGAATGCATCCATAGCAGTGTCTCTTGATTTCATGATTATATGAGGAATGCACAACCATAGTTTTCTCCATTGGAACCAGGTTCTCATAACTTAAAAAAAAAAAAAGGAGATTATGGTGAACTCCAATTTCCTCAGTTAGTAAAAAGATAAATCAAAGAAGAAATTAAAAGAGATTAAAAGTGCTCACCAGTATTGTTAGGTGGGTATCACAAGTCACCTTTATTCATGCACATTTACTACCAGGCAGTGATGACTTTTTGGTGTTTAAAGAGGTCTTTAGATAAAGCAGCACAGAAATCAAGATCATCAAAGAAACTGGGCACGGTGGCTCACGCCTGTAACCCTAGCACTTTGGGAGGCCAAGGAGGGAGGATCACCTGAGGTCAGGAGTTCGAGACCAGCCTGGCCAACATGGTGAAACTCCATCTCTACTAAAAATACAAAAATTAGCCAGACATGGTGTCATGAGCCTGTAATCTCAGCTACTCAGTAGGCTGAGGCAGGAGAGTTGCCTGAACCCAGAAGGTGGAGGTTGTGTGAGCTGAGATCATGCCACTGCACTCCAGCCTGGGCAACAGATCAAGAGTCTGTCAAAAAAAGAAAAAAATCAAAGACTCTCTTCCATACATAACAATATATCCGTTGATACATCATATATTAGGTGTACAGCTGCATCAAAGAGAAAATCTAATTGCTGCATATATAAAGTTTTAACGTAGCCATAAAAAGGAAATGCATATCTTCTTATATTTTGATGATAATAAAACAATAAAAGGCTGGGTGTGGTGGCTCACACCTGTAATCCCAGCACTTTGGGAGGCCAAGGCGGCAGACCCCCTGAGGTCGGGAGTTCAAGACCAGCCTGACTAACATGGAGAAACCCTGTCTCTACTAAAAATACAAAATTAGCCGGGCATGGTGGCACGTGCCTGTAATCCCAGCTACTTGGGAGGCTGAGGCAGGAGAATTGCTTGAACCTGGCAGGTGGAGGTTGCAGTGAGCTGAGATCGTGCCATTGCACTCCAGCCTGAGAAACAGGAGTGAAACTCCATCTAAAAAAATAAAATAAAATAAAATAAAATATACTGAATACTGTCTGCATAAATAATAAAGAGAAATGAGCTGATGAGAAGCAAGTACTGGCAGAGTGGGCTGTAACACATATTACACATCAGTGGGTTATCTACGGTTGGTGTCAAGTTAAGAATTCTGCAATAAGTACGAAACAGCAGAAAGTGTCTCACAGGCCCATAAGCCCTCAAGCTGCACTGCACTGTTTCTGGTGGGAAGTCTGACTTAGTGTTTGCTGTGGAAACAGATGCCTGAGCTCTGCCCTCCTCCTCCTTCACCTCCTCTTCACTATTTCACCATGTTCTGCTTGTCAATGTGATTCTCTCAGATAAATGAAGCCACAGAGAATACAGAGGACACAATTTCATGTTGACATTGAGAAAGCAATCTTCCTTATGATTAAATAATAAAGGCTTTAATTGTAAAGCTAAATGAAAATAACAACTCTTGGGACAGAAAACCCAAAGATCATTTCTTAAACTTATAGATGGCTAGATTCAAAATAACAAACATTTCAGACTGGGTGCTGTGGCTCACGCCTGGAATCCCAGCACTCTGGGAGGCTGAGGCAGGTGGATCACTTGAGGTCAGGAGTTTGAGACCAATCTGGCCAACATGGTGAAACCCCATCTCTACTAAAAATACAAAAAATTAGCCAGGCGTGGTGGCGCATGCCTGTAATCCCAGCTACTTGGGAAGCTGAGGCAGGAGAATCACTGGAACCCGGGAGGCAGAGGTTGCAGTTAGCCAGGATCGCACCACTGCACTCCAGCCTGGGTGACAGAGCAAGACTCCATCTCAAAACAAAACAAAACAAAAACATTTCAAGTCATTTTTTTTTTTGCCATGAACACACATTTTTTTAAACAAGAGGGAAAACTTTGCTTCTTCCTCTCAGAAGCTGCAATGTGTGAGGACCGTGACCTGAGAGTCCACCACCAGCTACCTATTTAGCAATGGGATAAACGGTGACCCAGTTCCTTCCTGTGTGACACCCTTTGAGGAAGAAAGTCAAGTTAAAGTAAGGTACTAGTTAAAGTAAGGACTAGTTGAGACTGTGCGTTATTAATGCCAATAAATTTTAGACCCCACAAAGTCTGGAGCCATCTCTACTGAAAACACACTTCTCAACAACCACATGAAAGTTCAAATGCCGTTGAAATGTCTTTGATATTGAAGATGTTATGCTCCACATAAGAACTGTGCCCCTTGCCTATCTATCTATAAGTAAATTTAAGTATTGTTTGTATACAATAAAAAGCGATAATAATGATATCTAATCCATGGAAATTAAAAGTACAGAACTAAGCACTAGGAAAATAGTATGCATGTGAGGAAGTAGTTGGAATCAATTTTTGTCTAATTTTCTAGTGCTTTAGGGCAGGGTTTATGGTACTGATTAATTTTAGAATAGCTAAGAATGCCTGATACGATTTGAAAGATAAGCACTAAAGAATATAAATAATATTGGGTTAACTTCCCAATGAGAAAAGGGAAAATAAACTAAAACACAATTCTGGTTGTATTAAAGACTTAACGGTTAATACTTTAAAACTTGCCAATATTTAGTGGAAAGCACAGGAGAATATGATAGTGGGGTAAGGAAGAATTTCTTAAATAAAATACCAATAATAAAAACTATTTATAAAGTTGATTGAATTCAATTTAAAACTTACCTTCCTAAAAGACAGAATGGGATGGGCGCGGTGGCTCACTCCTGTAATCCCAGCACTTTGGGAGGCTGAGGCGGGTGGATCATCTGAGGCCAGGAGTTCAAGACCAGCCTGGCTAAGATGGTGAAACCCCATCACTACTAAAAATACAACAATTAGCCGGGCGTGGTGGTGGGCGCCTGTAATCCCAGCTACTCGGGAGGCTAAGGCAGAGAACCGCTTGAACCCGGGAGGCGGAGATTGCAGTGAGCCGAGATCATGCCACTGCACTCCAGCCTGGGTGACAGAGCGAGACTCTGTCAAAAAAAAAAAAAAAAAAAAAGAATATGAAAAAGAAAAGTCACAAATAGTGTTATGTTTGCAACATGATAATTCAAAAAGAACATTTTAGAAAGTTTACGACTCAATAAGGAAAAGAGAAACCCAATAAAAATTGCACAACCATGACCAGTGATACAAATGATGAAGAAACATATAAAAAAATGCCTAGCCTCATTTTTACTCAAAGTCTTACTAATGTAAATTACAGTGAGATGCCATTTCTCATCTGTCAGAGCAGCTAGATCAAAAGGCCAGTTAATAAACCTGAGAATGATAGTGAAGCAATAGAAACCCTTGGGCCTAGGTGGTAGATGTAAAAAGGCCTGATCCCTTTGGAAAACAATTGCATTGCATAATCATCCCACTCCTGAGTTTTTGTCTTGGCAAACCCTTGCACATTCCCACTAAGATTAAGAACAAAAATGCTCATATATCTGCATATCTTCTGAAGAAAAACAGAATCTGCTCTGGGTAATTTTGACTGAAGGAAGATAAATCACAGAATATTTCGAAGCTTGGTGAACCTAGGAAAGGCCTTCAGAAGCAGACTAAATCAAACTTCCAAAAATGTTGGAGAGAGACCTACTGCAGAAACAGTCTGCAGAACCAGCCAAGGCAGAAGCTGAACCGGCTGCCACAAGCTCCAGAAACCCACAGCAAATGGCCTGGGGAAGGGCTGCTGCAACCTGCGCTCGGCTCCAACAGTGACAGCAGAAACGGCTACCTTCTGCAAAACCTGCACATTTCCGAGCTCACTTCCTCACGGAAAACTTCATGGATGCCTTCTTGACCTGCACTGTAGCTGCAAGACATATTTGCGGAAAACAAAGCTAGCAACGTGAGAAATTTCCAAAATATGAAAAAGGAAGAATGTTATTAACAACATTAACAAAATGAGAAAAAATCATATGATCATCTTAATAGATGGAAGGAAACATTTGACATAATCCAATACCCATTTATGATAAAAATTTTCAGCAAAGTAGGACTAGAAGGGAACTCTACCTGAAAAAGGGCATCTAGATGAAAAGCCCAGAGCTAAAAATCATACTTAAAGGTAAAAGGGTGAATGCCTGCCCCTTGGGACTGAGGCATGGATATTGGCTGCCACTGCTTTTATTCAGTCAATGAAAAGAGTCAAACTCTGTAAAATATTTGAAGAGATTTATCCTAAGCCAAATATGAATGGCTGATGGCCTGTGGCACAGCCCCAGGAGACCCTGAGAACATGGGCCCAAGGTGGGCAGGCCACAGCTTGGTTTTATACATTTTAGGGAGATATAAGACATCAATCAGTACATGTAAGATGTACCTTGGTTCGGTCCAGAAAGGCAGGACAACTCAAAGCAGTGATGAGGGGGCTTCCAGGTCATAGATGGATTCAATAATTTTCTAATTGCCAATTGGTTGAAAGAGTTACATTATTGTCTATGGACCTAGAATCAATAGACGGGAATGTCTCAGCTAAGATAAGGGGTTGGGGAGGCCAAGGTTCCCATTATGCAGATAGAATCAATAGAAGGGAATGTTTCTTATCAGACTTAAAGAATCTGTTCTACCAGTCTTCAGATCTCCATTTTAAATGTTAATGCAGGCCAGCTGTGCCTAAATTTCAATGAAAGGTGGGTATAATGAGGCATGTCTGACCCTCACTTCCCATCATGACCTGAACTAGTTTATCAGGTTAACTTTAGAATGTCCTTGGCCAAGGGGAGGGTCCATCAGTTGGTTGGGGGTGCTTAGAATTGTATTTTTGGTTTTTATCAGTATTGTGCTGAAAGTTCTGACCACTGCAATAAAGCAAGAAAAAAAAAAGACAAAAAGATTGAAAAGGATAAGTTAAAATGTTTCTATTTGTGAATGGCTTAATTGAGTACGTAGAAAACTCTAAGGACTCTTTGTGGCAGCTACTAGAACTAATATGCAAATGTATCAAGGTTATGGGATACAAAGTATACATACGAATAATTATATTTCTACCTACTAGCAACACTGAACAGAAATTGAAATTGTAAGAAATACCATTTACAATAACAACAACAACAACAGCAAAAGCCCTAGGATTCAATTTAACAAAACATTTGCAAGACCTGTACAATAAACACCACAAAGTATTGTTCAGAGACATTAAAGACACATAAATGGAAAGATATAGTATGTTTCTAGTTTGGAAGATACAACATTATTAACAGGGGTTTCAATGATAATTGGGGTTTCAATCACCCCAAATCAATCAATAGATTCTTCACAGTAGGCATTTTTTGGTAGAAATTGGCAAACTGATATACAAATTTGTATTGCAAATGACCTAGAATAGCCAAGACAATCTTGAAAAGTAAGAACAAAGTTGGAGAATATGCACTACCTGAGTTCAGACTTACTGTAATGATAAAGCAACCATGACAGTGTGGCACTGGTGAAAGGATAGGCAAGTAGGTCAACAGAATAGAATAGAAAATTGAGATATACAGGATAGCCAGCAAGTCTTGGAAAAATAAGTAAACATATAATAAATTAGTACTCCATAACTATACATGATAAAATAATTATACATGTCAAAATTTTACAGAAACCCTATAAGTCTACACATGTGCAATGACTAGATTTTCAACAAATATGACAAGCTAGCTAACTAAAAGAGAAAAATATTTTCAAAAACTCATGCTGGAAAAATTAGATATCCACAAGGAACAAAAGAACCTTAAACTAAAAACCAAAGATAACTTCAGATCAATCATAGATTAAATGTTAAATCAAAAAATATACAGTTGTTAAAAAATAGAAAATATAACTTTGTAATCTTTTATGAAGTAAAGATTTCTCAGATGAGAAAACACTAATCATGACATTAAAAATAGAATTTAAAATATTGCTTTGCAATCTTTTATGAATTAAGGATTTCTCAGATGATAAAAAACACTAATCATAACATTAAATATAATAGAATTTAATAAAATTAAAAATTACTGCTCATCAAAAAAATCATCATTGAAAGAATTGAAATACAAACCAAAGAGTTGGAGAAAATACTTGCAATACATACATGCACTAGGAATTGCATCCAGAAAATATATTCTTATAAAGCAATAATCAAATTAAAAACAACCCAACTGAAAAAAAAAAGGCAGGGGGAAGTGTGGGCAAAAATCTTAAACAGACATTTCACAATATAATCAACATCATTAGTCATCAGTAAGACAACAATTAACATTACAATGAATAACCACTTCAAGGTACTAGAATGGCCTTTGTCTGTGACAGACAATGACTAAATAGTGGTGTGCACAACTAATGGAATCATGCATCAATGAAGATGAACTATTTGAAGTACACACACCAACATGAATGGATCTCTCAAACATAAAGAGCCAAACAAAAAAACAATTTCAGAAGAATACATGTGCTGTGAATCCACACTTTTTGTTTACAATTAAACAAGAAGTAAGCAAATCAAATCAGTTTGTTTGAGGATATATGACAAAAGTATAATAGACTTAAACTGTAAGAGTGTGGTTTCCCTGTTATGTGGAGGAAGACGATGGGGTATGAGCACATCCTTCAAGGAGCTCCGAAACTATTGGTAATAACCCATTTCTTCAGCTGAATGGTGAATACACTGGTGTTTTTGTCACTTCCTTTCCTTTACAGATTATTACTCATATACAATATCTTGTTCTTATGAAGTACACAATAAAAAGGTAGCTTAGAAAAATTAAGTATGAAAGTACCTATACAGCATATGCATAACAATGGCATACATATCCATAGGACCAAAAAGTAGGGTGCATGTAGATTTTGATGAATCTCATAGTATCTGTGGAAGATTATATTTTCTAGAGGTGGCATTATCTTTCTTTTCTTTTTTTTTTTTTTTTTGAGCTGGAGTCTCACTCTGTTGCCCAGGCTGGGGTGCAATGGTGTAATCTTGGCTCACTGCAACCTCCGCCTCCCGGGTTCCAGGGATTCTCCTGTCTCAGCCTCCCAAGTAGCTGGGACTACAAGCACGCAGCACCACACCTGGCTAATTTTCGTATTTTTTAGTAGAGACGGGTTTCACCATATTGGCCAGGCTGGTCTCGAACTCCTGACCTCATGATCCACCCACCTCGGCCTCCCAAAGTGCTGGGATTACAGGCATGAGTCACTGTGCCCGGTACATTATCTTTCATCTTACACATTCTTTTGTCATTATGTCTGGTCATTTAATTCTCATGTGGAGGATCCATTCAAGTCAACAAACCTGCATCTCAATACCTCAATTTTCTTAAGGCCAAATATATATTCTATCTTCAGAGCTACTAACTACTAACTACTAAATCAGTCAATAACTTTCAAAAACCTCAATTTCAGGCCTGCAATTTTTCTGATCACCTTCTCTATGCTTTCCAGCTCACTCTCTCCAAGACTGAGGCACCAGCTATCCTTTGAACTCACTGCACCCTCTCCACGCCTATGAGCCCTCTCACAGCCATTCTCTCCATATTGTGTCTACATTCTGAGATCTTTCATTATAATAAATCTTGTATTTACCTTGCTAATATCTTCAACTTATTTGCCTAGCAAAATGATTACTCTGTTCTCCATTGACTTCTCACTCACACTCAAGCAGCTAAATATAATTGGAATATGTGTGTGTGTGTGTATATATATATATGTATGCTAATTTATCTCCATTTAAATATATGACCCTAAACTTAAGGGGATCTTAATGCTACCCTACAACACATTTGATCACCACCAACCCCCCCAGTTTCATTTCACCTGTATCTTCCCTTCCCTCCTGGAAAAATAGATGAGCTCTCCTGCTTTGTCCTGAGGCCAATGGCCCATTTGTTTAATGGGGCCCATCCCTATTGCCTTCTTGTGACATTGGCTCCGGCAATTACCTGCCCTCCCTCTGGCATCATTATTTTTCTCTCCGTATTGGATCATTACTGTGGACATACAAGTGGACTTTAATATATCACATATTTTTAAAAATAACCTATTGTCTTAACATCTCTTATCAGCTACTGACCCATTTCTTGGAACTCTGGAAAAATGAACCCTTTCCCATGAGTCCTCTGTAGCTGCTGTTTTTAATTCCTCTTCTCACATTGTCTCCTGAATCTGGAACATTTGGACATCTGTGCCAATGCTCAGCAGAAAACACTCTTTTCAAGATATACTATAATTTTTACATGGCCAAACTTCAATGAATATCCCATATCCTTATCTTACTGAACATCTCAGGAGGCTTTGAAACAGAGTGCTAAACAGATTTCTCCACAAATATTCAATACTACCTTCTTGAAACACTTTTCTCCACTGGCTTCTGAAACAACAGACTCCTAATTTTCCTTCTACATCAGCAGCCACTCCTCATTCTCCTTTGCTGCACCATCCAATTCTTCATAACCTCTAAATGATGTTGTGTCCAAGAGCCCAATCTCTGGATCTCTCCTCTGTTTACTCTTCCTTTCTGTGTGATTTCATCATGTCCCTTGGCTCCAAACACCTATAGAATTGCATCACACAGAAATAGTTATCTCTAGCTCTGATTCCTCCCTCTGAGACACCTCTGGGATGGCTTTACTCAAAATAAGCCCTCTATCACTTTCTATTATCTTTTTATTTTAATTTTAGTTTTTCTTTTAGCCCTTATAACTATCAGATAGTATGTGTGTGTCTGTGTATATGTGTGTGTGTCTGTGTATGTGTGTGTCTGTGTATGTGTGTGTGTGTGTAAGGGTTTAATATCTGCCCCTACACTGCAAATATATGCTGCATGAGAGTAAACCTGTATTCATCATGGTATGTTCCTAATGCCTAAAATAATGACTATTAACCACATAGAATAAATACAAACACATATTGAGTGAATGAATAAATAAATAAATGATTGAATCTATAAATGACCAGAAAAATGATCTGGAAAAATAGCCTTGATGAGAGTAGTTACATCTCACAAGGGGAATCAAACTTAGCCCAAGTTAAAGTTGGAATTGGGGAATGTTCAACAAAGACATGGCACTGTACCTCTAAGGCTGAACTTTACATAGTGATTACATTTTCATGTAGCTATTATATTACAAAAAAGTGACTCTATAATATAAAAGAATGTATTAGTTAAAACTCTTCAAAGTTCTGAGAGTAAATATCTTTGATATTAGATTCTCTGAGCAACCAAATCATCTTTCAGGATGGGAAATTATTATTATTTTTTAATACAAGAAGTCAGAAATGGTAACCAATTTGCAAACTGCATGGTAGTAAAACTGAAAATAAATCTCATAGGTAGATTTGAAATACAAGTAACAGTGGTAAAGCAAAAAGGAAGTAAAACTGAAGTTTAAGTAAATGTGAATTTAAATGCTGGTGAGTAAGAACCAAAATCAATAAAAATCGGAAACTGGTTAACAGAACTTTATGGTCCTTAAGATAGCTTTAGGAGAAGTGGCTCTTGTAGAAGTGAAGGATTCCCTGGCTCTTTTCTCTTAAAGGAAGGGATTATAAATACTGAAGGGCTAGAGAATTTTAGAAAAAAATGACAAGTTAAATATGTGCTAAAATTTGATTACCATGACTGTAAAATGAAATACTATATGACATGTCCAAGATTTTAAGAAAAGAGTAAAACTCAGAAAACTTTAACAATTCAATAAAGTCCAGTCAAGGAAAAAAAAAAAAAAAGACAGAAAAGAACAAGAAAGCATGGTAAATAGAAAATATAAAATAAGATGATGGGAATAAATTATATATAGCTACAGTCTAAATAAACACACTTGGGTGAAGAATATTTCTCAAAAGACAGATATTCTATGATTAAATATTTTTAAAAATAGCTATTTCATTTACAAAAGACAGGCCTACAACAAAACGACAAATGCATGTCTAAAGAAGGGGATTGAAAAAAGCCACTAAAAAGATAAAAAGATATTTCATATTGATAAAAAGCTACACTCTACTAGTAGATATAGGAGCTATAATATATCTGTGCCTAATATATAGCTTCAGAATATATTTTAAAAATTAAGTTCAGAGTGAAAATAAAAAATGTGTAATTCTAGTGAGATAACCCTTTTAGTCTGAAATGAACAGACGAGATAAAGTAATTATAAAGTACAGAGATGTTAATAACACAATTAAAATACTTGAACATAAGTACTGTGTTGATAAACCATATGCATACTTATAGTCATCAATCAACTGGAATACACATTATTTTCAAACACAAAATTATAACTACATGCTAGGTTGCAAATTTAAAAATCAAAAAATTATGTAATATAAATAAATTGTGGCAAAAGCAATGCTTTGCATCAATGTCGACTATGTAGATGATTAATGAGTTAGTGTCAGGTTCATGCTCATGTAGGGGAAGAGTTATATTCCTATATTACACTCTGTACAAAATTAAAATCAAATGGAAATAGAGTAAAATGTAAAAATATGATATTAGTAGAAAATACAGGAAAAATTTTACGCTCTTGGTGTAAGAAATGCCTTCTTAAGCAAGATACACACATACAACAACATAAGTAGTTAATGGAAAGATTTAAATTCAAAACTCCCTTATGGGAAGACATGATATACATAAGAATAAAAGAAGAGCCACATGTCACAGACATTAAAATATTTACAACAAATAAACTATCAACACATGAACACTGAAAATTTGTTTAAAATTTCATTCATTCAACAAATAGTGGGAGATTTCCATATGCAAAGCAATGTCTGAGGAGCTGAGCATTAGTAGTCAATGGGAAAGCAAACTTCTTGCTTTACTGCACCTTTCATGCAAGTGGGAGAAATAAGAACCAAACAGAAAAGCAAATTATTATAGTATATTATTAGGAAGTTGTGAGTGATATAAAAGTAATAAAGTGGCTGGGCACAGTGGCTCTCACGCCTGCAATCCCAGCACTTTGGGAGGCCAAGGCAGGTGGATCACCTGAGGTCAGGAGTTCACGACCAGCCTGGCCAACATGGTGAAACTCTATCTCTACTAAAAATACAAAAAATTAGCCGGGTGTGGTGGTGGGCACCTGTAATCCCAGCTACTTGGGAGGCTGAGGCAGGAGAATCGCTTGAACCTGGGAGGCAGAGGTTGCAGCGAGCCGAGATCATGCCATTGCACTCCAGCGTGGGCAACAAGAGCAAAAATCCGTCTCAAAAAAAAAAAAAAGAAAGAAAAAGAAAAAAGTAATAAAGTAGGGCAGGACAAGACAATAGCAAGTGAGAAGAGATACAATTTTAGATAAAATGCGTCTCTAAGTATTGATAAAAAAATAAAAAAAGCAGAGCCACCGAATGATTTGTAATAAGAGGCCTTTATAGGATTGGACCCTGTGCAATTGTGCAAGCTGGAGGAGAAGCCTAGACAAGACCTGTGGCTCTAGTGTCAGGACTAAAATCACCAGAGGTCAGTTGGGATAACCTGGACATGGAGTGGGAGAGGACAAGGATAGACTAGAATCCCTGAGGACAAAGTGAGACCCAGGAGGACAAAGCAAGTTTCCTTACCCCCAACCTCAATGAGGCAGATGGCTTTCAGGAGAAGCTGAAGCTCCTCACTGTAGAACTGCAGAGTTACAAAGCCCAGGACCTGCAAGAACTAAAGCACCGGCAGTGTGGACACTGCCTCACCAATGACATCAGAGACAATGTGCAAAACCTGCAGTAGCACCTGAGGTCTTACCCCAATCTTCAGAGCATTGAAATGGCCTCTGCTTCCCTTCAGCCTTCCACACTTCACATACATTTCTAATGTATGTAACCACAGCCTGGAAGGATACTGGGAAGAGAATCTGGAAAATATAGCTCCTGATTATCTAAGGTGACACAGTGCACAGTCACCGTGCAGGGTATCTTCCTTCCTGGGAAATCTGATATGCAAGCAGAAACCTGGATGAACAGAGAGTAATTCATTCTGATGTCTGAGAGAAGAGAGCAGACAGAGGGTGAAGGCCTAAGATGAGGCATGCTGATAAAGTATCCAGGACAGGAAGGAGGCCAGTGTAGCGGCAGTAGGATGAGTGGGAGAGAAAGAGGTCATCAAAAAGGTGCCCCGGGGATCAATTATTTGGAAACTTTGATCAACATCAAACTCCAGTTTCTGTGCATAGAAGACATCCAATAAATACAGGTAAGTAACTAATACATAAATAAATATTTTTCTTCAATAACATTGGGAGCTAAAGAAATTCAGTTGGTTTAGAGCAAAGCTCTAATGTAGAATATTCAAGTTCTTGAACTGTGACTTCAGGTGTTTGTATGTGGCAGCTACAATATCTTTATACTGTATATATCTTTATCATTGTAATATGAGGGTTGCCTTATTTGTTTTTCCACAAAACTTAGAGAGACAAGGGTGCAGATGACAGGGCCAACTTCTGTACAGTAATCCTATCCAAGACAAACATCTTAGACGATATAGACAAGGATTATATGAGAAGGGTTAACATCAGATGATAGATTCAATTCAGACCTAATGCAAATCCCAGGTAGTTTCTGAGATGGGTATTTACAGGATGGAGAAGCAGAAGTTAACCCCAGACAACAGCTCAATGGCTAAACCATGAGAAGACTATAAAGAAGCAAAATAACCTATGTAGTTAAGAATGAGAGCAAGGGCCTATACTGATTCACATACAGAATATAAACAATTATCTGACTTACGTGTGGGTGATATTCTTGTTAGAACCCATATAAAGGCAGCACCTCTCCAGGAAAGAGCTACACTGATTGGGGAACCCAAGACTGCCATTAAATAAACTACTCGAAGCAGTCGAAACCCTAGAGGAATGTTCATTACATAGAAAATATAAATTAAAAGTACAGGTGTGGCTGGGTGTGGTGGCTCACGGCTGTAATCTCAGCACTTTGGGAAGCCGAGGCGAGCAGATCACCTGAGGTCAGGAGTTCGAGACCACCCTACCCAACATGGTGAAACCCGATCTCTACTAAAAATACAAAAAATTAGCCGGGCGTGGTGGCGTGCGCCTGTAGTCTCAGCTACTCAGAAGGCTGAAGCAGGAGAATTGCTTGAACCCAGGAGGTGGTGGTTGCAGTGGGCCGAGATCATGCCACTGCACTCCAGCCTGGGTGACAGAGCGAGACTTCTTCTCAAAAAAAAAAGTCCAGGTGGGAAACTATCATATTCCAAGCACTGTAAACCAGGATATATTTCTACTTTTAGGTCCTTAAAAACCTGATCCTAAATGGCTGAGGATTCAGTGAGCTACAGAGAAAGCTCTTCACTGATAAAATAAGTGATAAAATAAGTTCTTCACTGATAAAATAAGTGAATAAGTAGGACAGCCCACTACCCTTATTTGAACAATGGAAACACCTGCCATGTGGACAGGTAAGCCCCATGAGACAGAAACACAGACCACACCTGGATAAATAGCACAATTGAGGTCACACACTAAGTAACCTCCAAAACAGAGGCAAAGGGAGGAAAAGAGACTCTGTTCACCAAAGAGAAAGTTCCCAGGCGGGTAACTGAGAATCTAGGACTTTGGATGAGCAGGTAGATGGCAGATATCCTTGATGGACTGAGGAGGGCAGGCAAGTCAGTTATGTCAAAAGTAACACAACCAGGAAAGAGGCATCACATGCAGAAAGGCACTCTGAAATGATCAATTCTTGTTCGCGTGAATAACATTCAATGCCCTAACAATTTGGTCCTCAAAGTGAAAAATAAATAATAGACTAATGGACAACCAATGTGGAAAAAGCTAACAGGAACAGAAATACACCAAATAGAACCAAGTAACCTACCAATCAGATATGTTTCAATGCCCCAGAAAGATGACTCAAAAATCAAAATAAAGAACTAATGAAACTAACTAGAGTTATAATATAAATTAACCAATTGGTAGAAATACTAACTAGATAGGTCCATCCAAAGTTGGACATTTGCAACAAACTTACCAATTGCATGGTCAAGGGAGAGAAGTATTCATAACAACAAAGCATGTCATAGAAACAGTGTGAGATATATCCACTATCCAAGGAATATGTAATAGAAAAGGTACCACAAGGAAGATACACTGGGGAAATATGACAGATAGACTAATTTTAACCTGCGATTGAACCACAAAGACAAAAGTATATGCTATGACTTAAGACTAGGATTTGCACACCCGATTGCACCCCAAAACACTGTAGTCCTTGCTTAGAACATCAAAGAAGCAGACCAGGAAACATTTTTATAGCTAGAGAAATGGAGGAATGAGCCCATTAGAAGGTATATTATGGAAATTTCATAGTCTTTAATCCAGCTACAAAAGAATAAATAATTGAAAGGTTTAATGGCTATAAAAGAAACAACTACCCAAAAAACCAGGAATTGAAATAAATGGAAAACGGAACAGTGCCAGAGCCTCTCCACAATCATAAAACTATTAACACAGTCAAAATATAGTCCCATAACTTTGTTGTATGACATCAAAATTGCTTATAAAGGTAAAAGGGTAGGGATTCATTAACCCAAGCAAAGTTCAAAAAATGGGCAGAAATGTATAGAAATGAGGGATAAAATTTTCTTGTTACCTCACAAATATCTCAAACTAAAGAGACTTGGAGGAGAATAATAATGTATGCAGTGACAAATTGTTAGCAACTATCTTGACTTATATCATCAATTTTTATTGTAAATTGAATTAAAAAAACATAGTATGGAAAGGAAGTTTAGTGCTATGACCCACTCTCTTGACAGTAGAGGACACCATAAGGATTATAGGGACCCAGCTATCCTGACATGGCAGGTCACTGCACTAGCAGTAGACCCAATAAGAATGATAAGACCTTTTAACGTCCCAAGGACATGAAAGTCCCGCTAAAGCAACATTGCTGAGAGCCATTGTAAAAGCAGAAGAAAAGAACAGAGGTAACAAAGAATATCTAAATCTTCATAAACATTAAACATGGACTCATTGAGCTGACAAGACACTTGGAATGATTGAAACAGAGATGCAATGTATAAAGTTAATGCATTTTTTTCAGGTTTAGGGACTGGGTTGGGTATATATGGGTCTCTTTTCTCTTCTCCTTCCCTCCCTTCCCCTCCCCTCTTCTCCTCTCCTCTCCTCTCCTCTCCTCTCCTCTTCTCTTCTTTCTCTTTTCTTTTCTTTGAGACAGAATCTTGCTCTGTCACCCAAGCTGGAGTGCCGTGGCACAATCTTAGCTCACTGTAGCCTCTGCCTCTAGGGTTCAAGCAATTCTCCTGCCTCAGCCTCCCGCATAACTGGGATTATAGGCACATGCCACCATGCCCGGCTAATTTTTGTTATTTTTAGTAGAGATGGGGTTTTACCATGTTGGCCAGGCTGGTCTCGAACTTCTGGCCTCAAGTGATCCACCTATCTTGGCCTCCCAAAATGCTGGGACTACAGGCGTGAGCCACCAGGGCCTGGCCTATATGGGTCTCTTAACAGGAATTGAGTTGAGTCCCTGGACAGGTTAGAAAATTAGACACACCTAAAAAATATGTGATTATGACAATATGGATTTGGGTCTAGGGTATGGCATAGCATATTGGATTGACTGTGAGGCAGGACTGAGTTTTAGATTGAGTTTTAATTGTGTGTCTGAGTCCCAGTGTGTGGCAACCACAATACTTTCTCAGCATCAACATCTGGGAGCTGTCTAATTTTTATTTCTGTAAAAGCTAAAGCCAGTTTGGTGAGAGAGGCAGAACTTTGCAGTAATCATATCTAGAGTTGACGCCAGAGGCTCACTAGATTGCATATTGCCAGTCACAGTGAGGGCATGGAAGGTAAGGTGATCAGAGAAACAAATCCCCAGTAAAGGAGCTCACCACACAGCCTAGAAGGACCTAAGCCTTTATAACTCAAAACTACTTGCCCAGCTGCAAGAAGAAATGCAGCCCCTCACCTCTAATGCCTGAAGGTTGGATTTATGGCCTGAAGCTGTCTAGATGTTGCTCTTGACAAGTGCTCTTATAATAGAATCTGATCCAGAGCGATGCCCTTGGCAGACCACCAGGAGAGTGTCAACCAATGGACAATTACAGACACCACCAAGAAAATACAGCATTGCAGCTTAAAGAGGTGCATGTGTGTTGTATGTATTAGTAGTTTCTATTCAAACCATCTTTTTATTGGGTTCCTTTTTTTTTTTTTGGTTCCATTTAGATTTAGGTATATTTACTTTAGAGAGCAAACATATTGATAAAGACCTGACTTATTCTTCACAGTCCTGCTTCAGACCACATTGTTTGGGACTGCATGATTTATGTGATGGAGCCTGATACGACTCACCTTTCAAAGATAAAGCGAAGATCTCACAAAGTTTTCTAGAGAAACAGGAGGCTGAGGAAGCTTTTACTAAAATGAGAATTCAATATGAAGAGAAATTATTTGAAAAGTATCAAATTATTCAGACTGAAAAAAAAACTTACATAAAAAAGTGCCTCTAATATATATTTCAGGATTAGCTCTAACATCTCTGAAACTTTTAATAAAGATGGAAGTTTCCTGCCATGTCATCTGATTGCCGTTGATTGCCTTATGTTTACAGAAGAGCAAGGTCTCTCTGTAGAGGAAAATGAACCTTTAATTTTATTCACACTTCATCAAACTCATTGGGGATTCTAAAATCCTTTCAAGTTTCCTGCCAGTAGGAATTACTTTTTATGCTAGAAACATCTTCTTAATACAAGTTATAGGCTACAGAGAAAGAAAAGGCATGAACATAAAGTAAGGCCATGAGAAGAAAATATGTTTCATCAAAGGAGTGAACATCACTTTGAATGATGAAAGAAATAGAGAGTACATAGACCATGGCCAGAAAGGAGAGATAAAAGAAAAATAAGACAGAGGAACAGGCATTTTGGAAGACTATTGAAAAAAATAGCATGTGAGTGTGACTGTGTGTGTATACCCATGTGTGTGTGAGGTTTGTCATGTTTCAGCAGCCAGATGCAAGAGATGAGGCTGGAAATCCCTCACCGTGAACGTCCAGTATTTCCATGCTGGATACATTTGCATAATGTACTCTGATTGTTCCAAAGGGAAAAGGATCTTATAATGACAAGTATGTCTGAATCAGAACAGTGAGAACAGACACGCAGTCACAATAGACACACCCTTAGGGCTATGGAGGCAGTTATATGAGAATGTCAGCAGGATGGCGAGGTGGGAGAAATCTCCAGTGGAGGCAAGACTCAAAAACCGTTCATGCCATTGTAGGGCCGTCTTCGTGAAGGAGGCTCTACTAGACACGGTGGACTTGGAATTATACTTGGAAGCAGAATGGGAACAAAATGCACAGGAAGGCTCTCACAGCCATGGATTTATTCACATACTCTCAGCAGTGCCATTACTTTATCGACTAACAGATGCCGTTCTCATGCTGCTTGAGGTCCATTTCCATAAGAGTCGACATCTGTCCTTTACATTTGGTACTTGTTGGGTTAAACACTATAGATAAAAATTCTACATGGACTCTGCAACTAAAATATCAGGCAGGGAAAAGAAATGAGAAACATGCAATAAAGTCTGACGGCAAACAACTCAACTCCCAATCTTTTTAGTACTTTGATGTTACAAAATTTATATTAACAGACATGTACTATCCTGGGTGGATTCACCTACTGTGAAAGTGAGGCAATGGGTGGAATTCAATAGCTGCCTTTACAAGTATGTGGCATGCGTACCAGTCCTGTTTCCTACATCTCATAAAGACAGCAGTGATAGCTGCGGTGTGTGCTTCATAACAGACTCAGGGATTCCTCAAACTCCAAGCAGCTCTGATCTGCCCTGGGCAGTACTTCAGACACTCTGCCCAAAGAAACATGCAAATCATTTCTGTGAAATATCTGAAATCTACTTTCTTAAAATCTACAGAACATGAGAAGACAGTCCATAATGTCCCTATTTTTTTCTGATGTGTTGTAAGATCCAAAGTGCAAAATCACTGTGAACTCCAGAAATTCCTCAGTACTCTGTAACTCTTCATATGAGAATTAAGCACAAGATAGAAATTTTCCTTTTCAACTACTTCATGCAAAAAAAAAATTATTGTCACCTTAAGGAGTAAAGACTATAATAGATTTTTCTGGCTGGGCATGGTGGCTCAAGCCTGTAATCCCAGCACTTTGAGAGGCTGAGGCGGGCAGATCACTTGAGGTAAGGAGTTCAAGACCAGCCTGGCCAATATGGTGGAATCCTGTCTTTACTAAAAATACAAACGTTAGCCAGGCATGGTGGCAGGCACCTGTAGTCCTAGCTACTCCAGAGGCTGAGGCAGGAGAATCTCTTGAGTCCGGGAGGCAGAGGTTGTACTAAGCCAAGATCGTGCCATTGCACTCCAGCCTAGGAGACAGAGAGAGACTCTGTCTCAACAAAAAAAAAAAAAAAAAAAAGAGTAAAATAAATTTTTCTGCCAAATGACTATTCCACTATTTCTTCCTCTTTGAAACCCCCCTCTTTCATTACCTAATCGTGTTTCAAAGTCAGGTTTATAATCTGTAAAGAAGGCATTATCCATCATGCTTGGCCTTCTCTTACCAAGAAACCAGCTCCTCATTCTTCACTCTAATAACTCTTTTCCCTTTCTACCCTCAAGAATGGGATTAAATAAAAGTTAAATATTTGAGAGACTATATATTCCAAATATATAGTACTACTTTCACTATCCTTTGATGAGAAGTGCATTTTTCTATTGTCTATACTTCTAGTGTAATATTCAGCGTAAATCCAATTTTATCAGATATTAGAGATCTTAGATTTTATTTACTTCTTTGAATCACCATATTGATTTCACTTTATTACTCTCCACTCAACACCAGTACATAGAGACCTAAAGCCAAAATCTATGTGTTTGGTCCACATTCCTATGATTTTCTACTGATGGTTACTGACCAACTAAATAAGAATTAAAAAAAAAAAAAAAGAGGATAGCTTTGAGCAACAAGGTTCCCTTTTATGAACTTTTCCCAAACATCCCTATAAAGGCCCCAGAATGAAAGCATCAACCTCATGACAACATGTTCTGACCAATTTTTGTGATGCACTGTCCTCCTCTTGAGAATCTCTTATTCTAACATGGTAAACTGTCAATCAGAAAAGGAAATCCCGTTCTAGACAATCCGGTAGCTGTGGAATCATTTTCTACATCCTCCTTTCACTCATCCAAAAACAACACTTCCAATTTTGAAAGAGAAAAAAACTACAACTTTTCAATTCCTGGGGAGATTGAAAAATATCTAGAAATATACTTTAAACTATTATTATTGTGCTTATTCTCATTGAAATTTCCAGAAATGAGTAGCGATGAATTTGTCCCTCTTTGTCAATATAATGTGGCGTCTATTCGGGATAATTTTAAGGGGAACATAATAAAGCATACAATAGTATTTGTTGAAAAAACGCGTCAGTCCCATAAAAGAAAAGAAGTAGAATCATACCCTTAATGAGGCGTCCAACAACCAAGCCTGTAGGCACGCAATTTGTTATAAAAACTTTAGGCACTATTATAATCTAGCATAAGTCACAGTGTTATGACACATATGTTAAAAGAATGTTGTCTGTAACAGAGGCTCAGAAAATGGAGTGAATTTTTTTTTTTTTTTTTTTTTTGAGACGGAGTCTCGCTCTGCCGCCCAGGTTGGAGTGCAGTGTCGCAATCTCGGCTCACTGCAAGCTCCGCCTCCCACGTTCAACGCCATTCTCCCGCCTCAGCCTCCTGAGTAGCTGGGACTACAGGCGCCTGCCACCAGGCCCGGCTAATTTTTTTTTTTTTTTTGTATTTTTAGTGGAGAAGGAGTTTCACCTTGTTAGCCAGGATGGTCTCTATCTCCTGACCTCGTGATCCGCCCGTCTTGGCCTCCCAAAGTGCTGGGATTACAGGAGTGGGCCACCGCACCGGGCCGGAAATTTTTTCTCTATAAGGACAATACATAAAATTCAAATGTGTAGTTCAAATGGAAGCAGAAATGTGAACTCATGCTCTTGTAAAAAAAAAAAAAAAAAAAAAAAAAAACTCAATTTCTAGCTTTGCCTCTATTAACTTAAAAAAATTAATAAATACAATTTACAAATTTAGAAAAAGAGAGGAGACATTATTTCTTGTAAAAGGTGACCATCCCTCAGGCTAGAAAGTGGGCCTCCAGCCAAGCCCAGAGACAGGCACTCTGAAGGAGGAGGGGTTAGGGCAGGAGCTTTATGCCAAATAGGTTGGATAAATATAAATACTCAACAGGTTACAGGAGGAGCTATGAATATTCATGAAGGTGGTCCTGACACATGCTTATCGAGCAAACATGCATGTAACATGCATGTTCACTTTGGGGTGGTGACTTAACATTTAAATGTATTATAGTAAGGCCCTGCACATCAAAAGGTTTTTTAAGAACACGAATGCACGCAAGAGCACAGCCAGCCAGGGCCAGTCCATGGTCAGTGGTCTTCTTATCAGGAGAAAGTTACTGAAATCAGTCTCTTGTCCAGTCAAAGCTGTAGCTATGGCTAGTGGAACAGGCGGTAAGTTAGTCAGCATCTGGTGGAGCTGCAAATTGTTTTAATATTACTTATCTCAAGAGCAGTGCTTATTTACCTGCTGGAGAAAAAGAAAAACCTGTGGCAGCTAGAACATAGTTTGTTCATTAGGTGTAGAGATGTGTAATTTAACCCTTGCCTGGTATGGTCTTAGATCTTGTTTATAATTTGGTATCTTATTGTCACAAAGAGTCTGTTCTGTCAGTCTTATGATCTCTATTTTAACATTAAGGCTGGTTACTTGTTGTGTCCAAACCATAAAAGAGAAGGGGTAAAAAAAGGGCCTGTATGACCTCCCATCCCACTGTGGCTGGGAACTAAGTTTTTAAGTTTTTCCTGGGGTCCCCTTGGCCAACCGGGGATCTGTTCAGTCAGTGTGGGCTTAGAATTTTATTTTTAGTTTACATCTCTAAAATTACTAAAAAGTGATTTCAGCTATTACTTGTGCTCAAGAAAAACAATCAGATCGTTGTTTCCACTAAATGAAAAGTGTAGCTCTGTGAAAAGACTATAGGCATTTCCACAGGCAGAAAACATCAAGTTGAGGCTACACATCTTTTTATTGGAAGAGTGAGAATAGTTTGAAATATATCCTACATAATTCTGGAGCAAAGATGCTCCTTGAAGGGGCTCCGCCACCAAGTTCAAACCATTTGAGCAACACAAAGAGAATAATAATCCCATGAAAATCCATGAGCTCATAAGATTTTAAAAGATCAACTGCTATAAAATATCCCAAAGGGTGAGTATAGAAGGATTTTTAATGCACAGAAATAAGGCATAATGATCAACACAATCATGTGTATATTGCATAAAGTTTTTAGTAAATAACTAACACACCAATGAAAATCAATCATTAAGAGATTTGCTGACTTACAAGAAACTCTGGGACACAGCTAAGGCAGTGTTAAAAGGGAGAGTAATAGCACTAAACATCCACATCAAAAAGTTAGCAGGATCTCAAATTAACAACCTAATATCACAACTGAAAGAATTACAGAAGCAAGAGCAAACCAACTCCAAGGCTAGCAGCGGACAAGAAATAACAAAAATCAGAGCTGAACTGAAGGAAATTGAGACACACACAAAAAAATTCAAAAAACCAATAAATTCAGGAGTTAGATTTTTGAAAAAATTAATAAGATACATAGACCACTAGCTAGACTAACAAAGAAGAAAGAAGATCCAAATAAACACAATTAGAAATGACAAAGGGGATGTTACCACTGACCCCACAGACAGAAAACTAACTATCCAAAACTACTACAAACACCTCTATGTACAAGAACTTGAAAACCTAGAAGAGATGGGTATGTTCCTGGACATATAAACCCTCCCAAGACTGAACCATGAAGAAATTGATTCCCTGAATAGAACAATAATGAGCTCTGAAATTCAATCAGTAAGAAAGCCCAGGACCAGATGGATTCACATCCAAATTCTACCAGATGTACAAAGAAGAGCTGGTACCATTCCTATAGAAACTATTACAAAACATTGAGGAGGAAGGACTCCTCCCTAACTCATTCTGTGAGGCCAGCATCATCTTGATACCAAAACCTGGCAGAGGCACAATAAAAAGCAAAAACTTCAGGCCAATATCCTTGACAAACATTGATGCAATAATCTTCAACAAAATACTTGCTAACTGAATCCAGTAGCACATCAAAAAGTTAACCCACCACAAACAAGTAGGCTTCATCCTACTTGGTTGAAGGTTGGTTCAACACATGCAAATCAGCAAACATAATTCACCACATAAACAGAGCTAAAGACAAAAACCACATGATTATGTCAATAGACTCAGAAAAGGCCTTCGATAAAATTCAGCATCCCTTCATGCTAAAAGTTCTCAATAAACTAGGTATTGAAGGAATGCACCTCAAAATAATGAGAGTCATCTATAACATCAACCAATATCATACTGAATGGGAATGGGCAAAAGCTGGAAGCATTCCCTTTAAAAACCAGTAGAAGACAGGGATGCCCTCTCTCACCACTCCTATTCAACATAGTATTGGAAGTCCTGGCCAGAGCAATCAGGCAAGAGAAAGAAATAAAAGGTGTCCAAATATGAAGAGAGGAAGTCAAACTATCCCTGTTTGCAGATGACATGATTCTACATACAGAAAACCTCGGAGTCTCAGCCCAAAAGTTCCTTCAGCTGATAAACAACTCCAGCAAAGTTGCAGGATACAAAATCAATGTGCAAAAATCAGTGGCATTTCTAAAAACCAGCAACAGCCAGGCCGAGAGCCAAATCACGAACCCAATCTCGGCTCACTAGGTTGGAGTATACAGGCACAATCCGGGCTCGCTGCAACATCTGCCTCCCGAGTTCAAGCGCTTCTTGGGCCTCAGCCCTCCGAGTAGCTGAGACTACAGGCATGCGTCACCACGCCCGGCTAATTGTTTGTGTTTTCAGTAGAGACAGGGTTTCACCATGTTGGCCAGGTGGGTCTCGAACTCCTGGCCTCAAGTGATCCGTGCGACTCGGCCTCCCACAGTGCGGGGATTACAGGCCTGAGCCACCACACCTGGCCAAGATTTTCTTTTTTGTTCCTACATGGAAGTGAGGATATGAAATATTTGTCATTCTGTGCCTGGCTTATTTCACTTAATAATACAGACCTGCAATCTCATCCATTTTGTCTGCAGTGGAGAGGATTTTGTTTATTCCTTTTTAGGCTGAATAATACTTCATTGTGTGTGTATACCACAGTTTCTCATTTGAAACAAATTTCTAAAAAGCAAATATTTTTAACATGTCTCAGAATGTGAAACTTCAGGGATACTGTGCCCATTTTATTCTTTTCTATTTCCCGTCTTATGTATATGCAAGTGTATAACAAAGCAGCATCAAAGTGTGTATAAATCTATAATTTCAACAAATGTAAAATGAAAATGCTAAGTGGTGGCTGGGCGCGGTCGCTCACGCCTGTAATCCCAGAACATTGGGAGGCGGAAGCGGGCGGATCACCTGAGGTCGGGAGTTCAAGACCAGCCTGACCAATACGGAGTACCACTGTCTGTGCTAAAAATACCAAAAAAAAAAAAAAAAAAAAAAAAGCCAGGCATGGTAGCGCATACCTGTAATCCCAGCTACTTGGAAGGCTGAGACAGGAGAATCACTTGAATATGGGAGGCAGAGGTTGCAGTGAGCCGAGACCGTGCCATTGCACTCCAGCCTGGGCAACAAGAGTGAAACTCTGCCTCAAAAAAAAAAAAAAAAAGAAAAGAAAAGAAAAAGAAAAAATAGAAAATGCTAAATGGTAAGAAACAACAGCATAATAAACATTTGTATGGTGTTGATGGACAATGCATTTGAAGATAATATTTGAAGAAATCATACTACAATTAACTTCTGTTCTTACTCATTGGAGCTTGGTGCCTCTAAAAACTTCATCATTGCAACCACCTCTGGTGCTTTAAAAAAAAAAAAAAAAAAAACAAAACCACATACACAGGTGCAGGGAAATCAGAATCTGAGGTAATGAGACCCAGGCCTCATCATTTGTAAGCTCCCCAGGTGATTTGACTCAAAGTCAAGACTGAGGACCGGTGACATGGATCTCTACACATAACCTGCCTAAATAGATTCTCTAGAAGCAGTTTATAAAGAAATTCCACATGAACTCTGGAAGAGGATATGAATTTGATGTACAGTATGTCCTCACTTAACATCTTTGAAAGTCTCTTGGAAACTTCACCTTTAAGCAAAATTAGGTATAGTGAAACCACTTATTCCTCACCAACATTACAACTACACAACTTTGAATGTACCAGTGGTGTTGGAGGACCTGCTGTACATTGCTTCCATAAAGTCAATTTTCAGGGAATTCCAAAATGAAGTGAGGACTTCCCGTATATAAAAAGATGGTTGTGATTCCACCTGGATGACAGGGTTGTTGCTCAGAAACTAAAGGAGGCCGCCTAGGTATAGATGATTCAGTCATGAGGTTTCTGCTAAACAAAGGATCCCAGAATACTCACCCATTCCAGTTAAAGGCATAACGAAGAAAACAATATTCACATAGGAAATGCGGAAAGGAATAAAACCATCAAGCCACAGAAATAATGTGACTAAGGGCAGGATTTGCAGATGTAGGGATTTAATGTGGTTGCCCTTTCTTACCCACACAAGAAAAAGAATGGAACAGATCAAGAGATTTAACTGTTCTGCTGCACAGCCTCCACAGGGTGCTTTGAATGTCCCTGTTTCTCAGGCTGTAGATGAAAGGGTTCAGCATGGGGGTGACCACGGTGTACTTCACTGATGCCACCACACCATTGCTGGGGGGTGGTGCCACAGCTGAAGTCAGGTACACGCCAATGCCTGTTCCATAAAATAAGCAAACAACTGCCAGGTGAGAGCCACAGGTGGAGAAGGCTTTATACTTCCCATCTGACGATGAAATCCTTAGAATGGAGGGGACAATTTTATAGTAAGACAAAAGGATCCCTGAAATGGGAAGAAAACCAAACATAGTACTATCGAAATACATGAATATGCTATTGATGAAGCTGTCAGAACAGGCAAGGTTGAGAAGTTGAGATGGCTCACAGACAAAATGAGAGATTTCCACATTCTTGAAGAAGGTGAATTGTAACACAATCTAACTGTGCAGCTGGGAATCCAACAGGCTAAGGAAAAAGGACACCAAAACTAAGAAGACACAGAGGTGAGGATTCACGATGACTGCGTAGTGCAGAGGGCGACAGATGGCTACAAAGCAGTCCTAGGCCATCACAGTCAGGAGCATGTCTTCTATACATGCAAAAAGGACGAAGAAAGACATCCGTGTCAGGCAGCCCGCATAAGAGATGACTCTGCTATGCGACTGCATGTCCACCGTCATCTTGGGAACCGTGGCCGAGGTGAAACTGATGTCAGCCCAGCACAGGTTGGAGAGGAAGAAGTACATGGGGGTGTGGAGGTGGGAGTCAGAGCTCACAGCCAGGATGATGAGCAGGTTCCTTAGCACTGTGACCAGATACATGGACAGGGACAGCCCAGCGAGGACAGGCTGCAGTTCTGGATCCTCTGAGAGTCCCAGGAGGAGGAATTCTCAGACACCTGTGAGATGCCGTGGCTCTGTGTGACTTGGACACCTTGGGAAGAAAAGAGGATTGGAAAAATAAAAGATAAAAACCAGCCCTTAATGCTGTGTGTATATTTTGGATGCAAGCAATTCACAAGGAACATTTTCACACTTGAGGACCATACACTGTCAGCAATATTTCTCAGTTGTGACAAGCCCAAAAGTCTCAGAATTATTACATGATTTACTTTTTTGCTATTCAACTCCTTCTGTACATACTACTTTAGAGAAAATCCACTGAAGAATGTTAGAAGACCAAAACGTAATATATAACAAATCCATGATCTCAGTAAAATACGGCCTACTCTTTTCAGAAAAAATAAAATGCAATGAAGATGCTCTTCTCTCTTTAAGAAAAAGATCTCAGTCTAATTGAAAGAAATTAAGAAGCAGTGAAATACACTCTGTTTTATTCTGACACCATGCGACAAATTCCTTTGATGTAGAATATGTAAAAGGATGATACAAGAGCTAGGACCGCATTATCTAAAAACGAAATCGAACCTTAGAGTTCTTAATCGGAAGACCTTTTAACATGCCAGTTACTTTTCATATTTATTGTCATCCTTAGGTTTACTGACATCATTTCTTCATAAAAGTACATGCACACTCAAATATGGGAGCTGTGTTTCCACATTAATTGAATATATAACTCTTGGCTGCGTGCCATGGCTCACACCTGTAATCCCAGCATTTGGGCGGCCGAGGCCGACAGATCACCTGAGGTCAGGAGTTCCAGACCAGCCTGGCCAACGTGGTGAACCCCGTCTCTAGTGAAAATAAAAAAAAATTAGCCAGGCGTGGTGGCGGGTAACCCTAGCTGCTCGGGAGGCCGAAGCAGGAGAATCCCTTAGAACCTGGAAGGCAGAGATTGTACACCCTGTGATATTATTTTGGATATCCTAGGGAGATATTGCTCCTGACATCAGAGTGGGCGTACACCCTGTGATATTGTCTGCAATATCCTAGAAAGATGTTGCTCCTAATATCACAGTGGCTGCACACCCTGGGATATTAATTGTAATATCCTACAGAGATATCACTCCTAATAATACAGTGGGTGTACACCCTGTGATATTATTCATAATATATTAAGGAGATACGACTCCTGATATCGCAGTGAGTGTACACCCTGTTTGTACACCCTGTGATATTATTTGTAACAACTTAGAAAAATATTACAGCTAATATCAAAGTGGGTGTACACCCTGTGATGTTCTTTGTTATCTACTCGGTAGATATTACTCCTAATATCACAGTGAGTGTACACCATGTGTGTACACACTGTGAAATTATTCATAATACCCTAGGAAGTTATTACTCCTAATATCACAGTGGGTGTACACCCTGTGATATTATTTGTAATCACCTAGAGAGATACGATTCCTAATATTCCAGTGGATGTACACTCTGCGATGTTCTTTGTAATGTCCTAGGAAGATATTACTCCTAATATCAAAGGGGATGTACACCATGTGTGTACACTCTGTGATATAATTCGTAATATCCCAGAGAGATATTTCTCCTAATATCACAGTGGATGTACACTCTGTGATATTCTTCGTACTATCCTAGAGAGATCTTGCTCCCAGTATCACAGTGGGTGTACACCCTGTGATATTATTCATCGTATCCTAGAGAGACATTACCTCTAATATCGCAGTTTCTGTACACCCTGTGGTATTATTCATAATATCCTAGAGAGATATTATTCCTAACATCACAGTGCGTGTACACCATGGATGGACACCCTGTGATGTTTCTCATCATATCCTAGGGGGATATTAACCTTAATGTCACAGTGGGTGTACACCACGTGTGTACACACTGAGATGTTACTCGTAATATCCTAGGGAGAAATTACGCCTAAAGTTACACTGGGTGTACACCATGTGTTTATGTTCTCTGATGCTATTCATAATATCTTAGAAAGTTATTAGTCCTAGTGCCACAGTGGGTGTATACCATGTGTGTACACTCTGTGATGTTATTGGTATTATCCTAGGGAGATAGTTCTCGTAACATCACCGTGGGTGTACATCATGTCTCTACTCCCTGTGGTGTTATTGGTTTTGTCCTGGGTTGATATTACTCCTAATATCACCGTGGGTGCACACCATGGGTGTACATTCTGTGATGTTATTCATAATATCCTAGGGAGATATCACTCCCTGTGTCATAGTGGGTGCACGGCCTTGTGATATTATAGGTAGTATCCTTGGGATGTATTACTCCTGTTATCACAGTGGGTGTACACCCTGTGATAGTATTTGTCATATCCTAGGGAGATATTACTGTATACCTTGTGATATTATTCGTGACATTTTAGGGAGCTATTTCTCCTAAAGTCAGAGTGGATGTACACCCTGTAATATTCTTCCTAATATCACAGTGGGTGTACACCATGAGTGATATTTTTTCTAATATCCAGCGGGGAAGAGGATGATATTGCTTCCAATATCACAGAAGGTGTACAGCCCCTGTGATATTGTTCCTAATATCCAGGGAAGGAGAGGATGACATTATGCCCAATATCACTGGGGGTGTACCACCTCCCACCGGGATATTGTTCTTAATATCCGGAGGTGGAGAGAATGATGTTACTCCCAATATCACAGGGGGTGTACACCACCCCTGTTTGTAAACATCCCCTGTGATATTGTTCCAAATGGCCTGTGAAAGAGTAAATATGACTCCCATTATCGCGGGGGGTGTTCAGCCCTGATGATATTGTTTTCTAACATCCAGGGAAGGAGAGTATGCTATTACTCCCAATATCGCAGGGGTTGTACACCCTTTTGTGCTTTTGTGCCCAATATCCAGGAAAATAGAGGATGATATTACTCCCAATATCGAAGTAATTGTACAGCACCCCTGTGATATTCTTCATCATATCCAGAAAGGAAAAGAATGATATTACTCCCAACAGCTTAGTAAATGTATACCCGCGCTTTGATATCTTTCCCAATATCCAGGTGGGGAGAGGATCATATTACTTCCAATGTCGCAGGGTGTGTACACCCCCTCTGTGATCTTGTTGCTAACATCCAGGTTTGGGGAGGACAACATTACTCCCAATATCGCAAGGGGAGTACACTCCCCTGTGACCTTGTTAGTCATTTCCTGGCTGGAGAGGATGATATTACTCCCAATATCGCAGGGAGTGTACACACCTCTGTGAAAATCTTCCTAATATCCAGAGGGAGAGAGGATGATATTACTCCCAGTACTGGAGGGGGTTTACACAGCCCTGTGATACTCTTCCTAATATCCACAGGGAGAGAGGATGATATTACTCCCAGTACCGCAGGGGGTGTACATAACCCTGTGATATTGTTCCTAATATCCAGAGCGAAAGAGGATGATATGACTCTCAATATCGCAGGGGGTGTACACCCCTCCTGTCTTATTGTTCTGAATACCCTGGGAGGGAGAGGATAAGGTTACGTTGAATATGGCAGGGAATGTACACCCTCCCACTCTGATACCCTTCCTAATGTCCAGGGGAAGAGAGGAAAATTTTACTCCCAATATCGCAGAGGCAGTACACCCCACCTGTGATGTTGTTCCCAATATGCAAGGGGGGAGAGGATGATACTACTCCCAATATCGCAAGGCTGTTCACATCCCCAGTGACATTTTTCCTAATATCTAGGGGAGAGACAATTATATGACAGCAAAGGTCGCAGGGTCTGTACATCCTGATATTGTTCCTAATATCCAGGGGGGAAGAGGATGATATCAAATATGAAAGGGGGTGTACACCCCCCACCCCTACGATATTGTTCTTAATATTCATGAGGGGAGACGATGATATTCCTCCAAATATCGCAGGGGTTGTTGACACCCCCCTGTGATATTGTTTCTGGTATCCAGGGGGGAGAAAATCATATTACTTCCAATATTGCAGGTGGTGTATACCCCACCTGAAATATGGCACCGAATATCGAAAGAGGGAGACGATGATGGTATTAATACCAATATCGAAGTGTGTGTACACGTCCCTTGTGATATGGTTTTTAATATCCAGTGGGCGGGAGGATGATATTAGTCCCAACATCCCAGAAGCTGTACACTACCCCTGTGATATTGTCCCTAACTTCCAGAGGGGAGAGGATGATATCACTCCCAATATCTCGGAAGTTGTACATCCCCCGTGATATTGTTCATCATATCCAGGGAGACACAGGATGACATTCCATTGAATTTCACGACAGGTGTACACGCACAGTGTGATATTGTTCCTAATATCCAAGAAGGGAGAGGATGATATTACTCCCAATAAAGCAGTGGGTGTACATTACCCCTGTGTTATTGTCTCTAATATCCGGGGCCGGGGGAGGCGGGGAGAGGATAACATTCCCTCAAATTTAGCAGGTGGTTTGACGCCCCTTGTGGTGTTGTTTTAAATATCCAGCGGGGAAGACAATAGTACTATTTTTGATACTCCGATTCATCCGCTCCACCTTTCCGGAACTCTGAGGCTGGGAGGCGGCATGCAGTTTCCGTGTGATCCCCAATACCTTTGCCGTCTTCTGTACCAAGGCAGCCAAAAACGCAGGCCCGTTATCTGAGCTGATCCGTAAGGACAGTCGAAATCTAGGAATCAGATCTCGAAGGAGCACAGGGTTTACTTCACCAGCTTTCTCAGTTTGTGTTGGATAGGCCTCCACCCACCCAGAGTAGGTACGCCCAAGAACTAGTAAATACTTGGTACCTCCACACTTTGGCATCTCTGTGAGGTCTACCTGGAGATCTTCAAAGGGGACTGCTCCATAAGCTTGTATGCCGGGCGGAACGGCTGGACCTTGCCTCGCATTATGCTCTCGGCAGGTAACTCACCGCTGCCTCAGCATTTTGGCAAGGGCTGACAAATGTGAGATGTAGCAATACCGGCCTAACAACTTTTCCAGTGACTCCTGACCTACATGGGTGATTTCTTGCACAGCCAGTACAACTGCAGCTCCTAGCAACTGTGGCACAGCTACTCTCACATCTGGTAACTGAATCCATCCTCCCTCCGTCACTTGTCCTTCCCTCTACCTGGAGAAAGTCCTTTTCTTCTTTAGAAGAAGTAGGTCCAAGATCAGGTGCTTGAGGGAGCACTGATGCCCGGAAGGGGGCAGATGCTGCTTTTCGAGCCTCTGAGTCAGCGCGGGAATTCCCCAAACCCAGCAAGGTGGAAGCTCGCTGGTGTCCTCTGCAATGCATGACTGCCACCTTGTGGGGTTCCCATACTGCTTCTAATAATTGCAAGAATTCTTGTTGATATTTTCTATGTTTTCCCCCAGAGTTCAATAGGCAGGCCCTTTTCTTTCTATCACGCTCCATGCACTTGAAGGGTTAAAAAGACATACCGAGAATCAGTGTAAATGTTTACAGTCTCACCTTCACTGAGTTCTAAGGCCCGAATGAAAGCAATGAGTTCAGCTTTCTGGGCTGAAGTGGCCTGGGGCAACAATCTGGCTTCAACAACAGTGTCCAGGGTTACCACTGCATACCCTGCATCTCTCTCTCCTTGGGGGTTGAAGAAGCTGCTCCCATCCACATATAGTTCCCAGTCTACTGATGCCCAAGCCTGGTCCCGGAGGTCAGGTCTGCTAGAGTCAACTGAGTCCAACACTTCTACACAATCAGGCTCGACAGGGCTCTCTGATACCGGGAGCAAGGTGGCGGGGTGTAGGGTGTTACAAACTTCAATGGTTATACAGGGATTTTCACAGAGCAAAATTTGGTGCTTGGTGAGTCTGGCATTCGTTAGCGAATGATGTCCTTTAGTATTCATTAAAGTCACCACAGCATGGGGGGCCTTTATGTTCAGGTTTTGCCCAAGAGTCAGCTTATTTGCTTCTTGTTCTAGCAGGGCAGTTGCTGCCAAGGCCCTCAAACAGGGGGACCATCCTTTAGAAACCCCGTCTAGTTGTTTAGAGAGGTAGGCCACCGGCCTCAGCCAGGGCCCCACAGTTTGGGTTAAAAGTCCAGCTGCCATCTTTTCTCTCTCTGATGCATACAATGGAAAAGGCTTTGTCAGATCGGGTAGCCCCAGGGCTGGGGCTGCCAGAAGTTTTTCCTTTAACTCATGAAAGACTTCCTGTTGTTGGGATCCCCATTCCAAAGGTTTCCGGTGCCCGCCCCCTTTGTGCCCTCATACAAAGGCTTGGCTAATACTGCAAAGTTTGGGATCCACAGTCTACAAAACCCCACAGCTCCTAAGAATTCTCTCACCTGCCTTCTGCCCTTAGGCTCCGGTAGATTGCAAAGGACCTGCTTTCTTTCTGATCCCGGGCTGCGTTCGGACCCCTGTGGGATAGTAAATCCCAAGTAAGGTACCTGCCGTCGGCAGATCTGAGCTTTTGTCTTGGACACCTAATACCCACAGTCCTCCAGGTGCCGGTGTAGGGCATCTGTTCCCTTGGTGCACCCGACTGCCATGGGGTGTCCCAGCAGAAGGTCATCAACCTACTGGAGCAACACGCAGCCTAGGTCTCTGGTGGGAAACTTCTGGAGGTCTCGAGCCAATGTCTCCCTGAAGATGGTGGGGGAGTTCTTGAACCCTTGGGGAAGTCCAGTCCAAGTGTACTGCGTAGTGACACCTGACTCCGGATCTTCCCACTGAAAGGCAAACAGCTTCTGCCTCTCAGGGGCTAATCTGATAGGAAAGAAAGCATCTTTCAGGTCCAAGCAGGTGAACCAGATGTCCTCAGCTGGCAGCAACCCCAACAATGTGGATGGGTTAGGTACTGTTGGATGTAAAGTCAGTGTAGCTTGATTAAGCAAGTGCAAATGCTGTACCGGCCGGTAGTCCTTGGTCCATGGCTTGGAAACAGGCAGGAGGGGAGTGTTCCATGGAGACTGACAAGGAACAATAATTCCAAAAGTTCTTAGGTGCTTGAGATGGACCTGGATACCTTGAAGAGCTTCTCTGGGGACCGGGGCCTGTTTTTGCCTAACCGGCTGGGCCCCAGTCTTAACTGGCCAATCCCGGAGGGTTGTCTTCCCCCCGTACTCTTGGCCACCGCTTAGCCAGAGCTGGTCTTCGCTCTTGGCCCGGCTCAGTTAAGAAAAGTCTCCATTCCTCCTCTCGGGGGACCGTAAGGGTCATAATGACTCCCGTTCCGGGTAACTTTAGCAGCAAAGAGCCGTGCTGTGTCAAAGAGAGAGTGGCTCTCAGCTTGCTGAGCAAGTCCCTTCCCAAAAAGGGCAAGGGACAGTCAGGCATGTACCAAAACTGATGAATGACTTTATGTCCTCCTACAGTGCAAGTCCGAAGCAAGCAGAAAGCCTGCTTTGCTGAAACCCCCATGGCTCCGATGACGTCAATAGTCGTTTCGGATAAGGGGGCGACCGGGGCGGTTACTAGCGAATGTTCAGCACCACTATCTACAAGAAAATCAATGTCTCTACCCCCGACTGTCATTCTGACCAGAGGCTCTTTGGGGACGCTTGAGCCTGGTCTCCCTCAGTCCAATAACCCTTCTGCCAGGTTGAGTAGGGCCCCTTCCTCCTTGTCCGGGGCCTCCTGCTCTGAGTCACCTTGTTTTCTTTTGAGCTGAGGGCATTTGTTCTTCCGCTGTCCTATTTCTTTACAATAAGCACACTGGTTACGCTGCAAACTCTGACAGCCAAGCTGAGTTTCTTTCCCAGGGCCCACCTTCCCTTGCCTCTTTGGGGGGGCCCCTCTGATTGCCACAGCTAACAAACAGGTTGGTGTTTTGCCGGGCCTGACCTCCATTCTCTTTGCTGTTTTCCTTACTGCTTACTGCATCCCTGCTTACAAACACCTGGCTAGCTATTTCTAGTAATTGTGATGTATTCATCCCTGCAAGCCCAGCCTGTTTCTGCAATTTTCTTCTCATGTCTTCTGTGCTTTGACAGACTAAAGCCATGTTAATCATGCGCTGATTTCAGGGCTATCGGGATCAAAGGGAGTATACATACGATAGGCCTCACACAGTCTCTCGTAGAATTGTGCTGGACTTTCTTCGTTTCCCTGAATGACCTCAGAGACCTTGTTAAAGTTTGTGGCCTTCTGAGTTCCCCTCATTAATCCTTCCAAGAGAGCTTCCCTATCTCGGTTTAGCCTTTGCATATCCTCTCTTTCATGTGGGTCCAACTGGGGGTCGGTTCCTGGTAACTGGGTCCTTACATACTCTTGGGGGTTTTGATAATCAGCTGGTGCATGTTCCTCTAGCCACTTAGTTGCTGCTTGGAGGACTCTCCGCCTTTCTTCGCTGTTAAATAGGAACATGAGCAACAGGTGCCAATCAGCCCAGGTGTGGTTGTGGGTCTGGATAACAGTTTGGAGCAAATCAATTAGGGCTTGTGGCTTTTCGGTATAGGGCAGTGTATTGGTTTTCCAGTTGAGAAGGTAGATGCAGGTGAAGGGCTGGTACCCAAAAACACACCTCTCCACCACGTGACCATCCTCATCTATCCCAGTATACCGCTGCTCTCTCAGGGGCATTTGTATCCCCGTTTTGGGTCGTAAACGAGCTGCCGAGGGAGGGGTGGAATGGCACAATGTGACTTACCGCAATTAATAATCTCAATTATTAATTGACGCTAATAATTATCAATATTAATAACTGATAATATAATTTTTAAAATAATACCGATAATAATGATAATTAATATTAAATAGTTATACTAATGATAACAATAAATGATTAATAGTAATGATTAATGATGCCTGATATTAATAACTGATATTGATCTTATTCATTAGAATACAGTAATATTAGCTCCTAATAATTAATATTAATATTAATCTGAAAACTTTTTATTAGCAATTATTTCTTAATATTAATATGAATATCAGTCATTCATATTCATGTTAATAATAAATGAGGAATAATTCATTCTGCTATTAAGCCTAATACCTCAGTGGGTGTACAACCACCTGTGATATTGCTCCTAATGTCCAGGGAGGGAGAGAGCATGATATTACGTTCAATATCGCAGTAGGTGTACACCCAGCCGGTGATATTGATCCGAATATAATCTCCAGGCGGTGGAGTATGACGTTACTCCCAATATAGCACTGGCTGTGCATCCACCCAGTGATTTTGCTCCTAATAGTCACGGAAGAAGAGAATGCTATTACTCCCAGTATCGCAGGAAGTGCACACCCCTTCTGTGACATTGTTCCTAATATCCAGAGGGGGAGAGGGTGATATTACTCACAATATCGCAGGCTGTGTACACCCACCCTCTGATATTGTTCCTAGTAGCCAGGAAGGGAGAGGACGATATGACTCCCCATACAGCAGGAGGTGTACCCCCATCCTGGGATATTATTCCTAATATCCATGGAGAGGAGAGGCTGATATGACTCCCAGTATCGCAGGGGGTGTACATCCAGTCTGTGATATTGTTCTTAATATTCAAAGGCGGAGAGATTGATATTACTCCCAATATCACAGAAAGTGTACAAACCCGTGTACTATTGTTGCCATTATCCAGAAGAAGAGAAGATGATATCACCACGCCCCCCCCCCCCATCGCAGGAGGTGTACACCCACTCTATATATTTTTTGCAATGTGCAGGGCAGGGGAGGACAATATTCTTCTTAATAGCACAGGGTGTGTACAGCCCCACTGTGATATGGTCCTTAATATTCCAAGGCAGAGAGGATGATCTTACTCCCAATACCGCAGAAAGTGTACACCACCCCAGTGATATGGTTCCCATGATCCAGGAGAGAAGAGGATGATGTTACTTTCAATATCGCACGGGGTGGAAACGCCCCCAGTGATATTGTTCCTAATTTCAACGTGGGAGAGGATGATACTACACGGAATGCCCCTAGGGGTAAAAACACTCCTGTGATATTGTTCTTAATATCAAGGGGAAAGAGGATGCTATTACTCCAAAGAGTGCAGAGGATGTGCACCCGTCTGTGACATAGTTGGTAATTTCCAGAGGCGGAGAAGATATTATTGACAATAACGTGAACACGCTGTGTGACCACCGTGGATCGTCATATCCAGCGGGGGAGAGGGGGGTGATATGACTCCCCGCATCGCGGGGAGCGCCCGCCCCCCTGCAATGTGGATCGTCATAGCCAGGGGGGGAGAGGGGGGTGATATGCATGCCTGCATCACAGGGGCCTCACCCCCTTGCGATGGGGGTCCTAAGATCCAGGGGCGGAGAGGGGCTGGCTCTTACTCCCCGTATCGCAGGAGGTGTGTACAACCCCTGCGATATTGGGACTAATATTATCCTCTCCCCCTGAATATAAGAAACAATATCACAGGAGGATGTACACCCCCTGCGATATTGGAGGTAACATCATTTTCTCCCCCTTGGGATATTCGGAACAATATCACAGTGGGTGTGTACAGCCCCTGCGACATTGCCGCTAGTATCTTCCTCTCCCTCCCAGGATATAAGGAAGAATGTCACAAGGGGGTGTACACCCCCTGCGATTTTGGCTGTAATATCTTCCTCTCCCCCGCTGCCCTTTAGGAGCAACGTCACAGAAGGGGTGTTCCCCCCCTGCTATATTGGGAGTGATATCATCCTCTCCGTCCCTGGATATTAGGAACAATATCCCTAGGGAGTGTACACCTCCTGCAATATTCAGACTAATATCATCCTCTCGCCGCCTGGATATTAGGATCGATATCACAAGGGTGGTGTGCACCCCCGGCGAAATTGGAAGAAATATCATCCTCTCCACCTTTGGATATTAGGGACAGTATCACGGGGGAGGTCTCCGCCACCTGCGATATTGGGAGTCATATCATCCGCTCCCACCCAGGATATTAGGAACAAGATGACCGAAGGGATGTACACCCACTGCCATATTTTCAATAATGTCATCCTCTACCCCCTGGCTATTAGGAGTAACATCATAGAGGGGTGTACACTTTCTGCGATATTCGGAGTAATATCCTCTCCCCCACGGATATCGGGAACAGTTATATTAATTATTAATATTAGTAAATATAAACAATAGTAATCATTTATATTAATAATTACAGTAGAGACAGTAAAACTTAGTACGGATTGAAAATATTAACGGTTACTATAAATAATTAATAGCAATATCACTATTAATAATAAAATAATGATATCAGTAATTAATGTTACTTCAATCAATCATGAGATGTTGGTAATAAAACAATAATTATTAAGATTAATAGCTACTATTAAAAATGACATTAATATTAATTATTTTAATCATGCATAATCATATCTTGAAAATAAGCATTAATGATTAATAACGTTATTCCATTAATATTACCATTGATAATTATTAACAAGACTGATGTTTAATAATTCGTAATATTATTAGTGCTAATACCGCAGGGGGTGTACACCTACTGTGATATTGTTCCTAATATCCAGGAATGGAGAGCATGATACTAGTTTTCATATCGCAGTAGGTGTACACTCACCCTGTGACACTGATCCTAATACCCAGCGGGTAGAGTATGCCATGACTGCCAACAGAGTAATGAATGTACAGCCACCCGGTGATATTGCTCCTAATATTCACGGAAGAAGCGTATGATATTACACCCAATATCGCAGGGAGTGTAGACCTCTTCTGTGATATTGTTCCTAGTAGGCCGAGAGGGAGAGGATGATAATAATTCCAGCATCGCAGGCTTTGTTCACCCAGCCTGTGAAATTGTTATTAATATCCTGAAAAGGAGAGGATGATATTACTCCCCATAACAGACAGATGTGACTCCCCATCATAGAGCAGGAGGTGAACACCCACCCTGTGATATTCTTCCTAATATTCAGAGGCCGAGAGGTTGATGTTACTCCCAACATCGCAGGAAGTGTACACCCGCGTGTGAGATGGTCCTTAATAATATTCCAAGGCGGAGGGGGTGATATGACTACATATATGACAGAAAGTGGACACCCCCCCAGGGATATTGTTCCCATGATTCTGGAGGGAAGAGGATGATATTACGTTCACTACGACAGAAGGTGGACACGCTCCCACTGATATTGTTTCTAATTGCAACGTGGGAGAGGGGGATATGACACGCGATACCGCAGGGAGTAGAAACACACCTGTGATACTGTTCTTAATATTCAGGGAGGAAGAGGATGATATTACTCCAATACTGACGGGTGTACATTCTCTGTACACCGACGGTGTACACCCCTCTGTGAACCAGTTCATAATCTCCAGAGGGGGAGATGATATTACTCACAATATGGTAAACAGGCTGTGAGACCACCGCGGATCCTAAGAGCCAGGGGGGCGAGAGGGGCTGGCTCTCAGTCCCCGCATCGCGGGGGGCGCCTCGCCCCCCTGCGATGGGGGTCCTAAGAGCCAGAGGGGCGAGATAGGGGTGATATGACTGCCTGGATCTCGGGGGGCACTCGCCCCCCTGGAACGTGGACGGTCATATCCAGAGTGTGGGAGGAGGGTGTTATTACTCCTTGCATGGCAGGGGGCGCCCGCTCCCATGCGATGTGTGTCGGCTTATCCAGGGGCGGAGTCGGGGGTGATATTAGTCCCCTCAAGGGGGGAGGTCACCCGCCCCCCTGTGATGTGGATCGTAATATCCAGTGTGGCAGAAGTCGGGTGACTTTAGTCCCCGATTTTTCCTAGGATCCTTTCTGTACTGCCACCCTCGGTTCCCACCCTGGGACATTATCTTCCATATTCTAGCAAGATGCGGCTGCTAAAGTCGCAGGGGTATAAACCCTTCATTATTATTCGTAATTTTGTAGGGGAATGTTAAAGCTGATGTCACAGGACTCCGTACACTGTGATGTTATTCCCAATATCCTAGCTTTCCCTTAATAATAATGTCACATTTTGTGTACACCTTGTGGTATTATTCTTATTCTCCTAAGGGGAAGTTGCTTTTATTTTCACACGGGGTATGTTCCTTTTAATATTATTCATAATGTTCTAGAGGGATGTCACTCCTTATGTCACAGGGTTTGTACACCTTGTCAATTTACTCGTATTATCCTCATAAGATGTCACTCCTCATATCACAGAGGGTGTACACTCTGTGATATTGTCGTCATATTCTAGGGAAATGTTACTTTTAATGTCACAGAGGGTGCACACCTTGTGAAATTATTCGTTATAATTTTGTGGGATGTTACCCCTAATGTCACACGGCATGTACAGACAGTGATGTTACGTGCAATATGCTATGGAAATGTTACTCGTAATTCACACTTCCTGTACACCCTTTAATATTCTTCGTAATCTTCTAGGAAAACGTTACTGCTAATGTCACAGGGCCTGTAGACCCTGTCATAAAATTCCTAATATCCTAGCGGGAGTTCACTACTAATTTCACAATGCGTGTATACCCTTTGATATTATTCGTATTGTCCTGAAGAGATGTTACTACTGATGTCCCAGTGCAGGTACATTCTCTGATCTTATTGGTTATATCCTCGAGGGGGTGTTACTTCTAATGTCACACGGGGTGTACTCCCTGTGTTCTATTTCGTAATATCCTAGGGCAATTTTACTTTTAATGACACAGGTGGTGTACACATTGTGATATTATTCGTGATATTCTAGAAAGATGTTACTCCTAATGTCACAGGGCTGTACACCCTGTGATAGTATTCATAATTTCCCAGGGGTCTATACTCCTATTGGCACAGACGATAACACCCTGTGACATTATTCATGATATTCTAGCGAGATGATACTCCTCACGTCACAGGGGGTGTACACCCAGTGTTATTATCCTTACTATTCTAGGGGGATGTTACTCCTAATGTCACAGAGATGTACACCCTGTGATATTATTCATAGTGTACCAGAGGGATATTAGCACTAACGTCACGATGCGTGTACACCTTGTGATATTATTTGCCATATCCTAATGTCACAGGGGGTGTGTTCCGTGTGATAGTCTTCCTAACATCCTAGACGGATATTGCTCCTGACGTCACAGGGTGTGTACACCTTGTCACATCATTCATAATACCCTAAAACTACGTTATTCCTCAGATCACAGGGCGTTCACCGTGTGATATTTTTTGTCATAGTTTTGTGGGATGTTACTTCTAAAGTCACACGGGGTGTACACAGAGTCACACAGTGATATGAGTTGTAATAGTTTATAGACATGCTACTCGTAAATCACAGGGGCTGTACCTCCTGTGATATTATTCGTAATATTCTAGGGGAATGTTGCTACTATTGTCATGGGGGTGTACACCCTGTGATATGACTCATCATATCCCAGTGGGATGTTACTACTAAAGTCACAATGCCTGTACACCCTGTGATATTATTTGTAATATCCTAAAGAGATGTTACTACTAAGGTTGCAATGCATGTACACCCTCTGATATTATTCGTTATATCCTCGGGGGATGTTACTCCTAATGTCACACGGGGTGTACTCCCTGTCATATTATTTGTAATATCCAAGGGGGATGTTATTTTTAATGTCACCGGGGGTGACATTACGCATTAAAGATGTGTATTCAATGCCTGTGATACTATTCCTAATATCTTAGGGGCATGCTCTTCCGAATGTCACATGGGGTGTACACCATGTGTGTACACCTGCTGTGATATTATTCGTAATATCCTAGGGGAATGTTACTCCTGATGACACAGGCGGTGTACACCATGTGTGTACCCCTCCTGTGTTATTATTCATAATATCCTAGGGGGATGTTTCTTTTAATGTCACAAAGAGTGTACAAAACGTCACAGAAGGTGTACACGTTGTGACGTTATCTGTAATACCCTAGAAGGATGTTACTCCTAATATGTCACAGGGGTGTACACGCTTTGATGTTATTTATAATGTCATAGAGAGACATTACTTCAAATATCACAGTGGACGTACACACATAGTGTATACCCTGTGATAGTATTCGTAATATCCTAGGGAGATACAACTCCTGATATCACAGAGCGTGTACCCCTTGTGTGTACACCCTTGATATTAGTCGTAATATCCAGGGTAAATATTACTCCTCATATCACAAAGTGTGCACACCCTGTGATATTTTTCCTCATACTTTAGGGAGATATTGCTTCTAATATCACAGTGGGTGTACCCCATGTGTGTATACTCTGTGACAGTATATTCTATATCCTAGGGAGGTATTACTCCTAATATCACAGTGGGTGTTCACCCTGTGATATCATTCTTATTTGACCTTTCTGCCTTTTTTAACCCACACTACAAAAGGAATGGAACAGATAAGAAGATATCAAGATTACACCGTGCTGCCGTGCGGCCGCCGCAGGACACTTTTAGTATCCCTGTTTCTCAGGCTGTAGATGAAGGGGTTCAGCATGGGGGTGACCACAGTGTACATCACTGAGGCCACCGCAGCCTTTCTCGGGGAAGATGACACATCTGAACTGAGGTACCCTCCAACGCCTGTTCCATAAAATCAGCAAACGACTGACAGGTGAGACCCACAGGTGGCGAAGGCCTTATACTTCCCACCTTATGATGAAACCCTCAGAATGGAGGAAACAATTTCATAGTAAGAGAAAAGGGTCCCCGAGATGGGAAGAAAACCAAATATGGCAGCAGGAAAATACATGATTATGTTATTGGTGAAGGTGTCACAACATGCAAGATGGGGGAGTTGAGAAGGGTCACAGAAGAAATTAGGAATTTCCACATCCTTGAAGCAGGTCATTTGTAAGGCAATCAAGTTGTGCAGCTGGGCGTCTAAAAGACTGAGAAAAAAAAAAGACAACAAAACTAGAAAGCCACAGAAACAGGGGTTCATGACGGCTGAATGATATAGAGGGTGACAGATGGCTACAAACCGGTCATAGACCATCACACTCAGGAGCATGTCTCTCTTCCATGCCTCCAAAAATGGCAAAGAGAGACGTCTGAGTCAGGCAGCCTGCATAGGAGATGACTCTGCTGTAAGATTGGATGTCCACAATCAACTTGGGGACCGTGGTGGAGGTGAAACCGATGTCAGGCAAGGACAGGTTGGAGAGGAAGAAGTACATGGGGGTGTGGAGGTGGGAGTCAGGGCTGACGGCCAGGATGATGAGCAGGTTCCCCAGCACCGTGACCAGGCACATGGACAGGAACAGCCCAGCAAGGACCAGCTGCCGTTCTGGATCCTCTGAGGTTCCAGGAGGAGGAATACAAAGACATCTATTAGATTTTGTGGGTCTGTAGAGATTGGACACCTTTTGCCTAGAAAAGAGGGTTGAGAAATCGGAAACAAGTAAACCAACACCCAGCATCGTGTCTGCATTTTGGATAGAAGCAATTCACAAGTAATGTTTTCAGATTTCAGAGCAATCCACACTCAGCAACATTTTGCAGTTTTGACAAACTCAACTGTCTTCTAATGCTTTCATCATTGATATCTGTGTTATTCACTTCTTGCTCTACACACCTGCCTCAGAGACACTAGATTCAAGAATGTTCCAAGAACCAGATCATCATATATAACAAATTCGTAATTGCTAGAAAAGAGAGCCTGTCTTTACCGAAGGAAACTATGTGATAAAACCATTCTCTTCACTTTAAGAAAAAGGTTATCCTAATTAAAGGAAATTAAGAACTCAGATATTTTATTTTATTCGAATAGATTGATACAAATTCCCTTGATTTAGAACATCTGTAAACACTGTATAACTGCTGAAACCATGCCATCTGGAAATGAAATTAAAGTTGATAGTTCATAAGCAGAAAATAGTTCCACAGGCCAGTTAGGTCCTAGTGATTTCATCATTATGTTTTCTGACTTTTCTCCTTCAAGAGAGTAATTGCTTACTCAAATCGGTGGGTCTTGTTTTAAAATTAATGTAAGCTATAACTCCTGTCCTTAGCTTCGGTGGACTTAGAGTTTTCATCAGAACGTTTGGCCGGACGCGGTGGCTCACGCCTGTGATCCCAGCATTTTGGGAGGCCGAGGAGGGCGGATCACGAGATCAGGTGATCAAGACCATCCCGGCCAACATGGTGAAACTCCGCCTCTACTGAAAATACAAAAACTTCGCCCAGTATGGCGGCGTGCGCCTGTAGTCCCAGCTACTCGGGAGGCTGAGGCAGGAGAATGGCTTGAACCTGGGAGGCCAGAGGCTACAGTGAGCCGAGATCACACCACTGCACTCCAGCCTGGGCAACAAGAGCAAAACTCCGTCTCAAAAAACAAAAAACCAAAAACACACGCTCTGTCACACTGACGTCACACTGATGACAGCCAATTTTTGTGAACCAAGGAAGTGTCAATTCAATAATTCACATAGATGTTTACTTTTGCTATCTCCTTTGTGCCAAGCAAGATTTAGGCTCTGGGGAATCAGAAACAAAAGAGACTCACTTGTTCCTCTCACAATACTCAGTACTTACTGAGATAAGGACAAAAGAAAATGTCCTGTCTGGAATGCAGGGAAACCAGAACTTCTGGTCAGGGGATATTTCCGTTGAACCGTATGGAGTTTAAGCTTAAAATATTAACGAACGTATCTAAATTCACTTTGCCTTTACTTTACGCATCCATCACATAGAGATCACGCAGCGGGCACCCACGGTCGGTTTAATCATTGCTCACTTCCATTGGATCAACTAGAAATCAACTCAGATGAGAGTGCTGAGTCTCAGAGGATGGACGTCTCATCCCTTGCCATACAGATAAGTAGAAAGGGTGGTATTGAAAATTAATGGCCAGACTCTATAAGTCCCGGGCACTATACTTGATGGTCTCCCAACCCTCAAAATGTTGTGGGTTCTTTTTTGTTTTTGCTTTTGTTTTGTTTTTTTTTTTTTGAGACCGAGTCTCGTTCTGTTGCCCAGGCTGGAGTGCAGTGGAGTGATCTCGGCTCACTGCAACCTCCGTATCCCAGGTTCAAGCTATTCTCTTGCCTCAGCCTGCCGAGTAGGTCCCATGACAGGCGCCCGCCACTACGCCCGGCTAATATTTTTCTCTTTTTAGGAGAGACGGGGTTTCACCATGTTGGCCAGGCTGGTCTCGAACACCTGACCTTGTGATTCGCCTGCCCCAGCCTCCCAAAGTGCTGGGATTACAGGCATGAGCCATCGCGCCCAGCTTCCAAAAGTTTTTGACAGAGCTCAGAGGTCTTAACCATGGGCACATCTGAGGAGCATTTTTGAAATGGTTTCCAGCTTCCTCAATAGGAATGGAAGCCAAACCCCGAATTTATGACTCCTTTGAGGAAGTCGAGAGCTGTAAGGAAAGCCAGGAACAGGGGCAAGGGAGAGATGCCTCCCGAATCATCTTGTGCCAATTCTTTCTGGAATCTTTGATGTGATCTCATCTCAGCTGCCCTTTCCATACTTGACACAGTGATTGTGGCACCCACTGGTCTAGCTGCGGTCTACAAGGAACCCCCAAAGGGAAGGGCACAGTGAGCAGGGGCATCGGCCTGAGTGACAAGGATTTGAGAGGGCAGGTTGGATGCAGGGAGAGGACTGGCCAAATGCCATGTGTCTGGCCTTAGACTGCCTGGTTCAAATTGGGCTTCACCCTTTTTGACTTCATGATCTGGTACAAGTTATATGAAAATGTGTTGCTCCTTTTCTAGTCTGTAAAATAATCATGTAATGTGCACTAATAACTGGGAGACTAAGCAGATGAAATGAAGCAAGCTGCATAGAGCACAGAGCTCAGAGCCTGGCCTTTAGGAAGCCCTCAGTAAGGGTTCATGATGCCATGGTGTCTGTCATCATCCTCTTTATCCTCATCATCACCTTCATCATCTTTTTGTTGTTCCGAGGGAATAGTTTAGAGGGACTCATTCCCTGCTATCGTGGGTGAGATGTCTATGAAAAGGACAACCAGTGGGGGAGGGAAGCAAAATTTCGAAGAAGATTCCTGAGAGAGACCCCCCCACCACAACCAAGAACTGAAACTCCACAGTCTGCTGAGCTGACAGTTTGCACATTGGTCTCCTCCCATCTGCCCACGGCACTTTCCTGTTTGTCCTGAGGATGAGGAAACAAACAAGGCTCCCGAGGGTCCCTCAGCACTCACTGAACTGCCCTTCCCCTCTGCTGGGCCATGACCACGGAGCACAGATCCACTGTCCTCCCTGCGTGGTGCACATTGGAGGCTCAGACTCCGTCCTCAAGGCTGGCCAGAAGAGAGGGTGAGACATGAGCCTCCTGATAACGGGTGACGGGGGTGGAGCCCACAGGACTGCAACCTCATACTGCAGGGCTGGAGGCACAGATTGAGTATTTACTATTCTATGGTGTGGGGGGCTCAAGCACAGAGCTCCTCATTAGCCAGAGTCCCCCAAGTTCCCCAAGCTCTAAGGATTTCCTCATCATCATGCAAGAAGAAGAGGAAAGTGAGTGTCCACAGAAGCTCTGGGGCTCTTCCTCTAATCAGGAGAGAGCTTGTGTGTATTATTCGCTTCTTTCCTTTCTTTTACAAGATCCAAGTGCTTTAATTTTCATCTTTTATTATGGGAAAATATACCACGTATAAATGTTAAAAATTATAAATGTAGATTATTTCATATAGAATGGCCAGTATAAACATTTACAATTTCCACTCTTTTTCAGTTTACAGTTTAATCACATTAGGTACATTCACATTGTTTAGCAACCATCACCGCCATCATCTCCAGAACAGTTTTATCCTTGAAAATGGAAATTGCACCCATTAAGCAAACTCCATTCCTCTCTCTCTCGCCCACAACTGGGGGCCACCATTCTATTTTGCAACTCTATAAGTTTAACTACTCTAGACACGTGATATAAGTGGAATCAGAGCGTGTTTAATTTTTTTGGTTTGTTTGTTTTGGAGACAGAGTCTTTCTCTGTCACCCAGGCTGGAGTGTTGTGGCATGGTCTCAGCTGAATGCAACCTCCACATCGAGGGTTCAAGCGATTCTTGTGTCTCAGTCTCCCGAGTAGCCGGGATTACAGGCGTGCGCCACCACGCCCAGCTAATTGTTGTATTTTTAATAGAGATCAGTTTTCACCATATTGGCCAGGCTGGTCTCAAACTCCTGACCTTCAGTGATCCGCCTGCCTCAGCCTCCCAAAGTGCTGGGGTTACAGGTGCGAGCCACTGAGCCTGGTCGTCTTTATCCTTTTGGGATTTATTTATTTCACTGACGAGAATGTCTTCAAGGTTCATCCGTGTCGTAGCCCGTGTCAGAAGTGCCTGTCTGGGTGTTTGGGTGTTTTTTTTGTTTTGTTTTGTTTTGTGTTCACATGGAGTCTCACTCTGTCGCACAGGCTGGAGTGCAGTGGCACAATCTGGGCTCACTGCAACCTCCGCCTCCCGGGTTCCAGCGATTCTTGTGCCTCAGCCTCCCGAGTAGCTGGGACTATAGGCACGCGTCACCACGCTCGTCTAATTTTTCGCATTTTCAGTAGAGACAGGGTTTCACCAAGATGGCCAAGCTAGTCTTGAATTCCTGACCTCAGGTGATCCGCCCACCTCGGTCTTCCAAGATGCTGGGATTACAGGCGTGAGCCACTGCACCGGCCAGAAGTGCCTGCCTTTTTAAGGCTGAATAGTCTTCCATCGCATGAATGAACTGCAGTGTGCTTTTTCATTCATCTGTCCACGAACCCTTGGGTTGCTTCCACATTTTGGCTGTTGTGAATACTGCTGCTATGAATTTGGGTGTACGAATCTCTCTTCCACTCCTGGCTTCTAATTCTTTTTGGCAGGTACCCACAAGTGCAACTGCGGGAACATCCGCTAATCCTGTTTCTACTTTTTCCGGTACACGCCATACTATTTTCCCTGTTCCTTCACGGTTTTACATTCCCTCCAATCAGATTCGAGCATTCCTACTTCCCTCTAGTTTCACCAATGCTTGTTTGTTTATCATATCCATCCAAATGTGTGGTATCACAATTTTGGTTTGATTTGCACTTCCCTATGATGAGTGATTTTGAACATCATTTTAGACGCTTATTGGCCATTGCTATATCTTCTTTAGGGACACGTCTATTCGAGTCTTCTGACCATTGTCAATGGGATGCTTTGGATTTCTTGTTGTTCAGTTCTAGCTGTTCTTTGTATACGTTGCCTATCAGCCTGTTTTCACAGATATGATTTTCAAATATTTTTCCTAATCCATGGGTTATCTTTTCACTCAGTTCACAGTGTTTGCTGATGCACAAAAGTGTCTGTCATTTAGATGTAATCCAAGGAATCTAATTTTCTTTTGTTGCCTGTGCTTTTGGTGTCATATCCCAGAAAGCATTGCCGAATCTGATGTCATGAAAGTGTGGCCAATGTTTTCTTTTAGGCATATTATACTTTCAGCACTTGGGGTTAGGTCTTTGATCCAGTTTGTGTTAATTTTTGCACCTGGTGTGACATAGCGTCCACCTTCATTCTTCTCCATGTGGAAATCAAGTTTCTCCAACACCATTTCTTGAAAAGGCTGCTTTTCCACCAATGGACTTTCTTAGCACTCATGTGAAAAATCATTTGAACATATAGGTGAGAAGTTATTTCTGGGCTCAAAAACAAACAAACAACAGACAACAGATAAGGATGCAGCATGGGCCGGGTGCGGTTGCTCACGCCTGTAATCCAAGCACTTTGGGAGGCCAAGGCAGGCGGATCACCTGAGGTCAGGAGTTCAAGACCAGCCTGACAGACAGGAAGAAAACCCCATCTCTACTACAAATACAACATTAGCTGGGCGTGCTGGGGCATGCCTGTAATCCCAGCTGCTCGGGAGATGGAGGCAGGAGAATCACTTGACCCCAGGAGGCAGAGGTTGTGGTGAGCCAAGATTGCACCATTACACTCCAGCCTAGGCAACAAGAGCGAAACTCTGTCTCAAAACAAAAAACCAAAGACAAAAAATCCAGCATGATTTCGAGAGCAGAAAGAGAATAGCTGAAAAACCAGCATAATGAGAAAGTTAGGAAGCTTCTTACCAAAGCATCTGGAAAAATGCAAGAAATTCTTGTGAACTAAAATTTTCATACTGTACTGTCAAACACTAGAACTCACTTATTCCATCTTTCTGTATTTTGGGACCCAATTATCCACTTCTCTTCATTCCCCATCCCACCCTTTTTCTTCCTACCGTCTGCTAACCACCTTTATACTTTCCACCTTCCTGAGATTCCTTTTGTGTGTAGGTGTGTGATGGAGTCTCTTTCTGTTGCCAATCTCATTCACAATTGCCACAAAAAGATAAAATACCTAGGAATACAGCTAACCATAGAGGTGAGAGATCTCTACAATGAGAATTACAAAACACTGCTCAAAGAAATCAGAGATGATAGCCCGGTGCAGTGGCTCACGCCTGTAATCCCAGCACTTTGGGAGGCCAAGGTCGGTGGATTACGAGGTTAGGAGTTTGAGACCAGCCTGACCAACATGGTGAAACCTGAACTCTACTGAAAATACAAAAATTACCTGGGCATAGTGGCGGGCCCCTGTAATCCCAGCTGCTCAGGAGGCTGAGGCAAGAGAATTTCTTGAACCCAGGAGGCAGAGGTTGCAGTGAGCTGAGATTGTGCCACTGCACTCCAGTCTGGGCCACAGAGTGACCTGGTCTCAAAAAAAAAAAAAAAAAAGGAAAGAAATCAGAGATGACACAAGCAAATGAAGAAAGAAAAAAACATGCCACGCTCACGGACAGGTAGAATCAATATCATTAAAATGGTCATACTGCCCAAGCATTACAGATTCAGTGTTATTCCTATCAAATTATCAATGAAATTCTTCATAGAACTAGAAAAAACTATTTTAAAATGGGCGTGGTGGCTCATGCCTGTAATCCCAGCACTTTGGGATGCAAGTTTATCTCTTCAGGTCAGCCTGGCCAACATGGCAAAGCCCTGTCTGTACTAAAAATAAACAAATTAGCTGGGTGTGATGGCTATAATCCCAGCTACTCAGGAGGCTGAAGCAGGAGAATTGCTTGAACCCAGGAGGTGGAGGTTGTGATGAGCTGACATCACGCCACTGCACTCCAGCCTGGGCAACAGAGGGAGACTCCATCTCAAAAAATACTAATTAAAATAAAAATAAATAAAATAAAATTCACTTGGAACCAGAAAAAGAGCCCAAATAGTCAAGAGGATCCTAAGCAAAAAGAAAAAATCTGGAGGAATCATATTACCCAACCTCAAACTATACTACAGGGCTACAGAAATCAAAACAGCATGATACTGGTACAAAAACAGACAAATAGACCAATGCAACAGAATAGAGTCTGGAAATAAGGTTGCACACCTACAACCACCTTATTTTTGGCAAAACCGACAAAAACAAGCAATGGGGAAATGACTCCCTATTCAATAAATGGTGTGAGATAACTGGCTAGCAATATGCAGGAGATTAAAACTGGAACCTTTCCTTATACCATATACAAAAATCAACTCAACATGAATAAAAGGTTTAAACTATAGAAACCCTGGAAAACAATCTAGGCAATACCATTCTGGACATAAAAGCAGGTAAAGATTTCATGACGAAGATGCCAAAAGCAATCACAACAAAAGCAAAAACTGATAAATGGGATCTAATTAAACTTAAGAGCTTCTGCAAAGCAGAAGAAACTATTAGCAGAGTAAACAACCTACAAAATGGTAGAAAATATTTGCAAACTGTGCATCTGACAAAGGTCTAATACCTAGCATCTATAAAAAACTTAAATTTACAAGAAAAAGACAACCCCATTAAAAAGTGGACAAAGAACATGAACAGACACTTTTCAAAAGAAGACATACATACAGCCAACAAGCATATGAAAATGTTCAGTATTACTGATGATTTGAGAAATGAAAATCAAAACCACAATGAGATACCATCTCACACCAGTCAGAAAGACCATTATTAAAAAATCAAAAAATAACAGATGCTGGCAAGGTTACAGAGAAAAGGGAACCCTTATACACTGTTGGTGAAAGTATAAATTAGTTCAACCATTGTGGAAAGCAGTGAGATGATTCCTCAAAGAGCTAAAAATAGAACTATCATTCAACCTGGCAATCCTATTACTGAGTATATGCCCAGAGGAATATAAATCATTCTACCATAAGGACACATACACGTTCATGTTCGTTGCAGCACTATTCAAAATAGCAAAGACATGGAACCAACCTCAATGCCCATTAATGACAGATTGGATAAAGAAAATGTGGTGCGTATACACCATGGAATACCATGCAGCCATATGAAAGAATGAGATCGTGTCTTTTGCAGGAACATAGATGAAGCTAGAGGCCATTGTCCTCAACAAACTAACACAGGAGCAGAAAACCAAATACTGCATGTTCTCACATATAAGTGGGAGTTAAATAATGAGGACTCATGGACACAAAGAGGGGAGCAACACACACTGGATCCCACTTGAGGGTGGAGGGTGGGAAGAGGGAAAGGATCAGAAAAAAATAACTACTGGGTTCTAGGCTTAATACTTGTGTGACAAAATAATCTGTACAACATACCCGTGACATGAGTTTACTTATGTAACAAACCTGCACCAGTACCCCTGAACCTAAAAGTTATAAAAAAGATTTGTTGAACTTTGTTCAGAGTATGTCTATGAAGAGTAGGTTATGCGGCAATAACAAATAGTCCCCAAAGTATGAGTAGATCAAAGTTCAAAAAGTGCATTTCTTTTTCTTTTTCTTTTGTCTTTTCTTTTCTTTCTTTTTTTTTTTTTTGAGATGGAGTCTTGCTCTGTTGCCCAGGCTGGAGTGCAGTGGTGCGTTCTCAGCTCACTGCAACCTCTGTCTCCCGGGTTCACGCCATTCTCCTGCCTCAGCCTCCCTAGTAGCTGGGATTACAGACATCTGCCACCACGCCCGGCTAATTTTTGTACTTTTTAGTAGAGATGGGGTTTCACCATATTGGCCAGGTTGGTCTCGAACTCCTGACCTTGTGATCCACCCTCCTCAGCCCCCCAAAGTGCTGGGATTACAGGCATGAGCCACCACACCTGGCCCTTCTTTTTCACAAATCAGTTGCAAGTGGTTTTCGGAGGTTGCCAAGGCACCTCTCAGGCATATGATCATACAGGAACTGATGTCTGCTTTGCCACATTTTTTTTTTTTTTTTGAGGCGGAGTCTCGCTCTGTCACCCAGGCTGAAGTGCAGTGGCATGATCTCGGCTCACTGCAAGCTCTGCCTCCCAGGTTCACGCCATTCTCCTCCCTCAGCCTCCCAAGTAGCTGGGACTACAGGTGCTTGCCACCACGCTCTGCTAATTTTTTGTATTTTTTTAGTAGAGATGGGGTTTCACCATGTTAGCCAGGATAGTCTCGATGTCCTGACCTCGTGATCCACCCGCCTCGGGCTCCCAAAGTGCTGGGATTACAGGCGTGAGCCACCGCGCTCGGCCGCCACCCTTTTTTATAACTTCAAGCTTTGTGTTACATTTCCCAATCGGCCCAGGGAGGAAAAGCTGAACATAGACATATCACTCCTGCTCACCTTGCACTGGCTAGAATTTAGTCACATGGTCAACCCTAAGTGCAAGAGAAGCAAGGAAATGTAGGTTATCTGTATGCTGAGGATGCAGAGAAAGTGGGTTTGGGTGACCAGCTTGCCACTCTGCCTCAGTGCAGAATAGCATCATTTTAGTCAGGAAACAGTTATAAAAGGGGTTATGGCTGGCCGCGGTGGCTCATGCCTGTAATCCCAGAACTTTGGGAGGCTGAGGCGGGTGGATCACTTGAGGTTAGGAGTTTGAGACCAGCCTGACCAACATGTTGAAACCTCAGCTCTACTAAAAATACAAAAATTAGCCAGGCGTCGTGGCTCGTGCCTGTAATCCCAGCTACTCAGGAGGCTGAGGCAGGAGAATCCTTTGAATCTGTGAGGCAGAGGTTGCAGGGAGGTGGAGGTTGCAATGAGCCAAGATCGCGCGACTGCACTCCAGCCTGGGTGACAGGGCAAGACTCTGTCTTAAAAAATAAAAATAAATCGGCGGAGGGGAGGCGGATTATGGTAAAATGTGTTAGAAGTGGTTTCAGAAAAAAAAGAAAAGATTGTAAGAGAACAATTTATGATGTACCATGTTGCAAGAAAATGTAACTTTGAAATGTCCATTAAAATAAGGGCTAAGTCCAGTTTAGGTCAAGTAAGTTTTTGTTTATTTATTTTTTTAACAAGTCTCAGACCTTTATTCCAAATTTCCAGTTGATTACCTAAATATTTTCTCTCAGTGGCTCTGGAAGCCTGAGATGGCAATTCTCTTTCTCTGGTTCGGGTGAGTAAAACTGTGTAAACCTGAGTGATGAAATAAAGCAAACCCGTAGCCCCAGTCCTGTTGTGTATGATGTATCCCACCGAGAAGGCAACAGCTTTCTAATCCCGGTGCTCCTTTAGGGCAGGCTTTGCTTTTAAGATGTTTGAAGCACTTTTTATATAAGTGCAATTTCTTAGAGTTCTAAAAGCTGCTTAAGTGATCAATAAAGTTTTGTTTCATTTGTAAGTCTAGGTAGGTGTTTGAAGGTCTTTAGAGAATCACATGTGTTACCTTTGTGGTTTTAGGTTTGTGAAGTCACGATCAGAAGAGAATGTTTTTAACAATATCTCTTCGCTAGATTTAAAAATGAACTGTTAGTTGAATACAAAAGTTCATTACCCCAAAGTTAATAAATTATTAACTGAAAACACTAGTACCAATAATTATAATTTTCTTTGGACATACGTTTTCCTCAGACACAAAAATTCCAGTTGGGACAGAATCTTTTTTTTTTTTTTTTGAGGCAGTCTTGCTCTGTCTCCCAGGCTGGAGTGCAGTGTCACGATCTCGGCTCACTGCAAGCTCTGCCTCCTGGGTTCACGCCATTCTCCTGCCTCAGCCTCCTGAGTAGCTGGGACTACAGGCACCCGCCACCACGCCTGGCTAATTTTTTTGTATTTTTAGTAGAGACGGGGTTTCACCGTGTTAGCCAGGGTGGTCTCGATCTCCTGACCTCTTGATCCACCCGCCTCAGCTTCCCAAAGTACTGGGATTACAGACGTGAGCCACCGTGCCTGGCCCCAAGACAGAATCTTAGACCTGTTACAAACATCCTCTACTCTCAAGTAGTCAGTTCAATGACCGAATCCCCCACTCTATGGAGACACCCGCTGTGAAAATGCACACCTGATAATAGAGAAGAAACTGCTCACAAATACTCTGAACACAGAGAGATTTCTAGAATGACACTTGTGGGATGTGCCAGAGAACAGGCTCTACACGGGAGGGGACACAGTGTGCACACCTTCTAAATTGGGTTGGAAGGAGGGAAAACTGGATTTTGTTTTACCCATATGACCATCTTTGTGATAGAAATAAGGGATATATTAGTACCTGAACTATTGATTGCAGGAGGTCAGAAGAGCTACTAACTACCCCCCACTCTCTTTTCATGCTTCGGAGACTGATCATAAAATAGCAATTACTCATTTGAATAGTGAATATTGCTTAAGTTCAGAAGATCCAAAGGTCTTACTCTAGACCATGCTGTCCCCTAAGCACAGGAGTGTGACTTTTGGGCAACAGGGCATCGTTTGTCTGGGAGCAGGTGAAGGGCACCTGGCTGGACAGGAGGAGGACTTCTCCCTTTCACGACTCCCCAAGGCCTCATCTCTGGTCTCAGGGGACAGCAGCATTCTCGTCTGTGGTTGCAGCTTAGGTTCGTACCAATGCTCTTTAAAAAGTTACCTGCTAATGCACCACCAACCTGGTGGACCATCATATTGAAAACTCCTTTGACATTTGTGGAAAAGCTCTTCTGGAATATCAAGAATTAAGGAAACATGCCAAAGAAATGGATAGAGAAAAAAAATGTTCTTGGCTTATTTCTTGTCCCATCATTTTTATTTCAACATTTGTCTTATGCCTGCTTTACTTCTCCATTCTGTCCCCACTTCAGCCTCTAGTGGAGCCTTCACTCCTCTTTGGTTTCTCTAACGCTACCAACAGAGTTGCCATGCAAATGTCTGCTGTTCGATGCTGTAAGAGACTCAGTGGAAGATGCTAGGTAACTAACCAAGCAGAAGCTTAGTTCTGCTCTAAACTAAGCTCTGGTTATCTACTCCGGATGCAGGCTGTCTAACTCTCCTCTAAAGTATTTATTTATTTATATATTTATTTATTTATTTGAGACAGTTTCACTCTGCTGCTGGAGTGCTGTGGCACAATCTTGGCTCACTGCAACCTCTGCCTCCCTGGCTCAAGTGATTCTCTTGCCTCAGCTTCTTGAGTAGCTGGGATTACAGGCATGTGCCACCATGTCTGGCTAATTTTTTCTTTCTTTCTTTCTTTCTTTTTTTTTTTTTTGAGACAGAGTCTCACTCTGTTGCCCAGGCTAGAGTGCGGTGACACATTATCAGCTCACAGCAACCTCCGCTTCCCGGGTTCAAGTGATTCTCCTGCCTCAGCCTCCTGAGTATCTGGGATTACAGGTGTGCACCACCACGCCTGGCAAATGTTTGTATTTTTAGTAGAAATGGGGTTTCACCATGTTGGCCAGGCTGGTCTTGAACTCCTGACCTCAGGTGATCTGCCCACTTTGGCCTCCCAAGGTGCTGGGATTACAGGCATGAGCCACGGTGCCCAGACAATTTTTTTCTATTTTTAGTAGAGTTGGAGTTTCACTGTGTTGGCAAGGCTAGTATGGAACTCCTGACCTCAAGTGATCCACCTGCCTTGGCCTCCCAAAGTGCTGGGATTACAGGTGTAAGCTACCATGCCTGGTCCTCTAAAGTATTTATGAATGTGCAGTGGAGGTAAAAATTTACAACACTGAAAAATAAGCCCATCAGGCAATAATTTGCCAGAATCTTGCAGGCATTTCCATTAGCTAAGATGCCAGTATTTCTTCACTTAGCAATAAATCAGAGTCTCGCAGAAAAATTTTACACAGGGGTCTCCCAGAGGTGGCCTTGATTTGCACCTGGCTGAGGTGATGGCATTGGATTGAAAAATTTAGGCAGCAGGATACAGTTGATGTGGAAATTAAAACAGAGCACCTCGCCAGCCCAAAGTGAGGCACTTCCAGAAAGTTAGAAGTATGGTACAGAAATGCAAACTCCACACCTCCCATGCTTCCCGCTGCCTTCAGAAGTCAGCCTGCTGCCTGCTCTCTCCCCAGCAACACTCACCTGCTCTCCCCATTGCTGTCAACCAAATGCTCTCCATAGTCATATGGAAACTGCACCAGACACAAGACAGGCAGACAGTAGGTGAAGAAATATGTAGTGGCAAATTGTGCCCTAGGAACTGCAGTCTCCACCAAGGAGCTCCCTAAGAATAGGGCTACCAGGGAAAGAGGCTCAATTGATGTATAAAAATGATTGCAATATGTCATGCAATGTATTTCCTCAGTGCATCAGGAAGCAGCCCACGGGATAGCAACATTCCTCATTTTTCCAGAAGAGCAGTTGTAGATGAACACCAGCTGGATACCAGGAAGGGGGCTAGGATGTAAGTCTAGTGCAAGGCATGCAGCAGAAAAGCAGAGCAGAGTAGTAGAAACAGGGCTGACAGTGCTAGGTGACAAAAATAGTGTCTTACATGACAGCATCTTTTTTTTTTTTTTTTTTTTTTTTGAGACAGAGTCTCACTCTGTTGCCCAGGCTGGAGTGCAGTGCCACGATCTCGGCTCACTGCACCCTCTGCCACCAAGGTTCAAGTGATTCTCCTTCCTCAGCCTCCCGAATAGCTGGGATTACAGGCGCCTGCCATCGCATGTGACTAATTTTTGTATTTTTAATAGAGATCGGATTTCACCATGTTGGCCAGGCTGGTCTTGAACTCCTGACCTCGTGATCCGCGTGCCTCAGCCTCCCAAAGTGCTGGGATTACAGGTGTGAGCCGCCGCGCCCAGCCGACAGCATCTCTTTTGAAATGAAAAGAAGCTGGTGAGGCACATGTTGAAGTGTTGCAGATTTAACACATTAAAAAGTATTTACTATAGGAATCTAAAACTATAGGAATTTTAGAAAGTGCAATTAATATATTTAAGTAAGCCATGTCTAAAAAAATTTGAGCCAAAAAATCATAGTTGAAATAAGTTAATATTAAGTGGGAGATGGGTGAGACAGCAAACCATGTAGGACAATAAGAAACTGAGGCAACTGGAGGCTGAATTACAGTGTGGGATATTGTGTCATGGTTTGGTGAAATAAATATGAGCTTTTCTAGAATATAGAGTGCCCCTTTCAAATGCAAACCAGTCAGGGCCCAGGGTCTTTCTATCGTTATTCTTTGTCATGTGGTTTTTATTACGGTCACAAAATGCCTGTAGCAACTCCAGGCTTTGCTTCCAAAGTCCAGGCAGGAAGTAGAAGAAAGGGTAATGTCAAAGGGCAAAAGACATTTTTTTCCCTCAAAGTGGTTTGATGTTCTATAACTATGTTGCCACTCACTGAGCTACCCTTTGCAAGAAAAGTCCCAAAGCCCTGTGGCTTCTGCCTCATATTTTATACAGCTGAAACTAGCAGAGCTCTTTCCAGCCTTCCTCAGGGACTCTGAAATTCTCAGGCACGGAACTTGTGAGCTTGATGAAAAGACAAACTCTGCTGGAAATAAACACCATGTTGTATTCAGAATAGCAGCTCCTCCAGCCACCTGAAGTTTGTGATAGAGCTGAGCTCACAGCTCTTCTGCCTTTCTTTCTTTTTTTTTTTTTTGAGACAGAGTCTCGCTCTGCCACCCAGGTTGGAGTGCAGTGGCGCGATCTCGGCTCACTGCAACTTCCACCTCCTGGGTTCAAGCGATTCTCCTGTCTCAGCCTCCTGAGTAGCTGGGACTACAGGCAAGCGCCACCACACCCAGCCAATTTTTGTATTTTTAGTAGAGACAGGTTTTCACCGTGTTAGCCAGAATGGTCTCGATCTCTTGAGCTCGTGATCTGCCCATCTTGGGCTCCCAAAGTGCTAGGATTACAAGTGTGAGCTCTGGCGCTTGGCCTCTTCTGCCTTTCTTTTCTGAGAAAGCTTCTGTCATTCAAGCATACAGATTTTGGGTAGACCAACCCCACTGGTTTACCCTCTGAGTCCTAACCTGTAGTTGGCAATATATAAGATGTCACTTCCTAAACAATGACGAATTGTTTCCATTGTGATTGTTCTTTTTTGTTTTTGTCCTAATTTAATGGGCCTTTGACATATAAACTAAGGAGTAAGATTTACAAAATATTTTTAAAAACTAATGATCTTGCTGAGAAAAGTATATTTCCCTTTTTCTATTCCTCACATTAAGAACAAATAAAAACCTGACATTATATATAAAACAAACACAGGAAGACTCTGAAAAAGTGCAAGAAAGCAGAGCATCTAGTGACACAGAGATCCAAGGAAACACTAGTGAATTCCCCTGGTATTATTTTTGCCTTATATATCTTACATTAGGTAATGCAAAATTTAGTGACTTGGGAACATTAACAGGCACAGACAAAAAATGCCCCAATAAAAGCCTGCTCTCTATAGCCAAAGGACCATGAAAAGGGCATCCCAAAAGGAGAGAAAACTTTGGGATAATAGTTATTCTGCTCTAGTCAAACACAATGGAAAAAAAAGGCATACCGATCTGAAAGGAAAGCATAAAACTGCCCCTATTTGCCATGACATAATAAATCTCAAGGAATCCGCAAAATTAACTCCATGAATGAATAAGCGTGTTCATTAAGGTCTCAGCATACAAGATACACGCACACACAGTCAGCCCTCCATATCTGCAGGTTCTGCAGTCACAGATTCAACCAGTCATGGATCAAAAAGATTTGAAAAAATAAAGATAACAATAAAATAAAAATCAGTGCAAATGAAAATATAGTATAAGAACTATGTATGTAGCATTTACATGGTATTTGGTATTATAAGTAATCTAGAGACAGTTTAAAGTATATGGAGAATAGGCACTGATTATATGTAAGTACTATACCATTTTATCTAAGGGACAGAAGCAGCCACAAATTTTGGTATCCATCTGGGATCCTGGGACCAATTCCCCATGGATACCAAGAGACAAATCTACTAACATATTGGCACCAAAATTAACAATACAATATCATTTAATATCATTTGAAAAATACTTAAGTATAAGTTTAACAAAGGACTTATGTGCTGAAAACTAAACAATGCTGATGAAAAAAGATCCAAACAAATGGAGAGACATACCATGTTCATGTTATGAAAGACTTAGGACTTAACATAGTGAAGATGAAAATTATCCAAATGAACCAAATTGATACACAGATTTTATGCAATATCTATTATAATCTTAGCAAGATTTTTTATTAAGACTTTATTCCAAAATTTATATGAAAAGGCAAGTAAACTAAAATAGCTAAAAGAACCTTGAAAAAGTACAATAAAGTTGCATTAACCAGCTTCCACAATCTCAAAATTTATTATATAGCTACAATAATCAAGATTGTGTAATATTGGTCAATAGACAATGGCAGACACATAGACCAATTGAAAGGAATAGAAAATCGAAAAATAGAATTACACAAATATGCCCAACTTATTTTTGAAAAAGTTGAAAAAAAGATTCAAAAGAGGAAAGATAACCTTTCAACAGATAGTGCTAAAACAATTGGACATTTATAGGCAAAAAATAAAATTCAACCTAATTCTCACATTTTTTACAAAAATTAGATGATGAACTTAAATGTAAAACATAAAAATTTTAGGTAAAAAAACATAAGAGAAAGTCATCAGGATCTCGAGCTAGGCAGAGTTCTTAGTCTTGAGACCAAAAGCACAATTCATGGAGAAAAAATTAATGTCAGATTACACTAAAATTTAAAACATTTTTCTTCGTTAAAAAAAAAAAAAACCCTGTTAAGAGAATGGAAGGAAACTACACACTGGAAGAAAATATTTGCAAACCACATATCAAACAAAGTACCAGTATCTCAAATCCATAATAAACCTTTAACACTCAACATTAAAGAGAAACATCAGCAAGATGGTAGAACAGGAAGCCTCAGGTCCTCATTTTTCTACAGAGACACTGACATAACAACAATATGTGGACCAAATTGTCTTTGTGAGAATTTTAGAATTCAATTAAGGGATTGCAGCACTCCAGATGGGCACAAAGCCAAGAAGAGGCTCACTGAAGTGGGTAGAAAAATGTATAGCATTCCCCTTCCCCACAGTTCTCTCTTCCCTTGGCACAGTGTGGCAACTTCAGGAGTGAGTAAACTCCCAACTTCTAGTTTCTCCCTGATTAGGGAAGGAAAAGAGCAGAACGTTCATTCAATATTCTGGCTTTTTTTTGAGGCGGGGGCCCAGGGGGCACTGCTGGAGGGGGAGGGCGCTGCTTGGGCAACTGGTTTCTTTCTTGCATAACTTGAAGTAGTTACAGGAATCAGCATAGTTTAGACGCCAGTTAGGGGGCCACTGAGAAGAGAGGTGAGTGCTGTGGATGGTTATAGTTCCAGAGATACTGCAGTACTATAGAATGACACAAGGAGAGATTGTGAAATACTGAGAAGAAGTAGGGACAAATAGCTTTAACAGAAAGTTATTCACATAAGCCCAGAGAAGACTTATCCCTAGAAAGGCTTTGAGAGGTCTCCAGAACCTCTAGCTGGGTTTATTTTTGAGGGCCTATCCCTTCTACAAAACCCGTCAGGGAGAGGTGGCTTTTTAAAAATATTCAAATCTAAACAAAAGATCACAAAGTATATAAAGAAACAGAGAGAAGTAGCCAAATCAAAGAAACAAGGTAAAACTCCAGGAGCTGACCCTAAAAAACCTAAGAACTACGAAGTACCTGACAAAGAACCCAAAATGCTTATCATAAGTATGCTCAATGAGATAAAAGAGAACATAAACAACTAAATGAAATAAGGAAAATAATGCATGAGCAAAATGAGAATATCAACAAAGAGTCAGAAACTATACAAAAAAATAACCAAATAGAAAATCTGGAGCTGAATGATAAAATAACTGACATAAAAATGTAATAGAGGAGTCAACAGCAGATTTGATCAAGCAGGATCAGAGGAAAGAAACAGAAAACTTGAAGACAGATCGTTTGAAAGTACTGTGTCAGAGGAAAAAAAAGAAAAAAAGAATAAAGAAAAGTGAAGGAACCTAAGGCATTTATGGGGCACCATCAGGCAGACCAATAAATGCATTATGGAAACCCCAGAAAGAGAAGAGAAGCTAAAGAAGAAGAGAGTTTGTCTGTTTGGTTTTTGTCCTTGTGACAGTTTGCTGAGAATGATGGGTTCCAGCTTCATCCATGTCCCTACAAAGGACATGAACTCATCATTTTTTATGGCTGCATAGTATTCCATGGTGTATACGTGCCACATTTTCTTAATCCAGTCGGTCGTTGTTGGACATTTGGGTTGGTTCCAAGTCTTTGCTATTGTGAATAGTGCTGCAATAAACATACATGTGCATGTGTCTTTATAGCAGCATGATTTATAATCCTTTGGGTATATAGGCAGTAATGGGATGACTGGGTCAAATGGTATTTCTAGTTCTAGATCCCTGAGGAATCGCCACACCAACTTCCACAATGGTTGAACTAGTTTACAGTCCAACCAACAGTGTAAAAGTGTTCCTATTTCTCCACATCCTCTCCAGCACCTGTTGTTTCCTGACTTTTTAATGATAGCCATTCTAACTGGTGTGAGATGGTATCTCATTGTGGTTTTGATTTGCATTTCTCTGATGGTCAGTGATGAGCATTTTTTCATGTGTCTTTTGGCTGCATAAATGTCTTCTTTTGAGAAGTGCCTGTTCATATCCTTTGCCCAATTTTTGATGGGGTTGTTTGTTTTTTTCTTGTAGATTTGTTTGAGTTCATTATAGATTCTGGATATTAGCCCTTTGTCAGATAAGTAGATTGCAAAAATTTTCTCCCATTCTGTAGGTTGCCTGTTCACTCTGATGGTAGTTTCTTTTGCTGTGCAGAAGCTCTTTAGTTGAATTAGATCCCATTTGTCAATTTTGGCTTTTGTTGCCATTGTTTTTGGTGTTTTAGACATGAAGTCCTTGCCCATGCCTATGTCCTGAATGGTATTGCCTAGGTTTTCTTCTAGGGTTTTTATGGTTTTAGGTCTAACATTTAGGTCTTTAATCCATCTTGAATTAATTTTTGTATAAGGTGTAAGGAAGGGATCCAGTTTCAGCTTTCTACATATGGCTAGCCAGTTTTCCCAGCAACATTTATTAAATAGGGAATCCTTTCTCTATTTCTTGTTTTTGTCAGGTTTGTCAAAGATCAGATGGTTGTAGATATGCGGCATTATTTCTGAGGGCTCTGTTCTGTTCCATTGGTCTATATCTCTGTTTTGGTACCAGTACCATGCTGTTTTGGTTACTGTAGCCTTGTAGTATAGCTTGAAGTCAGGTAGTGTGATGCCTCCAGCTTTGCTCTTTTGGCTTAGGATTGACTTGGCAGTGTGGGCTCTTTTATGGTTCCATATGAACTTTAAAGTAGTTTTTTCCAATTCTGTGAAGAAAGTCATTGGTAGCTTGATGGGGATGGCATTGAATCTATAAATTACCTTGGGCAGTATGGCCATTTTCACGATATTGATTCTTCCTATCCATGAGGATGGAATGTTCTTCCATTTGTTTGTATCCTCTTTTATTTCATTGAGCAGTGGTTTATAGTTCTCCTTGAAGAGGTTGTTCATGTCTCTTGTAAGTTGGATTCCTAGGTATTTTATTCTCTATGAAGCAATTGTGAATGGGAGTTCACTCATGATTTGGCTCTCTGTTTGTCTGTTATTGGTGTATAAGAATACTTGTGATTTTTGCACATTGATTTTGTATCCTGAGACTTTGCTGAAGTTGCCTATCAGCTTAAGGAGATTTTTCAGCTGAGATGATGGGGTTTTCTAGATATACAGTCATGTCATCTGCAAATAGGGACAATTTGACTTCCTCTTTTCCTAATTGAATACCCTTTATTTCTTTCTCCTGCCTGATTGCCCTGGCCAGAACTTCCAACACTATGTTGAATAGGAGTGGTGAGAGAGGGCATCCCTGTCTTGTGCCAGTTTTCAAAGGGAATGCTTCCAGTTTTTGCCCATTCAGTATGATATTGGCTGTGGGCTTGTCATAGATAGTTCTTATTATTTTGAGATATGTCCCATCAATACCTAATTTATTGAGAGTTTTTAGCATGAAGAGTTGTTGAATTTTGTCAAAGGCCTTTTCTGCATCTACTGAGATAATCATATGGTTTTTGTCATTGGTTCTGTTTACATGCTGGATTACGTTTTTTGATTTGCATATGTTGAACCAGCCTTGCATCCCAGGGATGAAGCCCACTTGATCATGGTGGATAAGCTTTTTGATGTGCTGCTGGATTCGGTTTGCCAGTATTTTATTGAGGATTTTTGCATCGATGTTCATCAGGGATATTGGTCTAAAATTCTCTTTTTTTGTTGTGTCTCTGCCAGGCTTTGGTATCAGGATGACGCTGGCCTCATAAAATGAGTTAGGGAGGATTCCCTCTTTTTCTATTGATTGGACTAGTTTCAGAAGGAATGGTACCAGCTCCTCCTTGTACCTCTGGTAGAATTCGGCTGTGAATCCATCTGGTCCTGGGCTTTTTTTGTTGATAAGCTATTAATTATTCCTTCAATTTCAGAGCCTGTTATTGTCTATTCAGAGATTCGACTTCTTCCTGGTTTAGTCTTGGGAGGGTGGATGTGTCAAGGAATTTATTCATTTCTTCTAGATTTTCTCATTTATTTGCATAGAGGTGTTTATAGTATTCTCTGATGGTAGTTTGTATTTCTGTGGGATTGGTGGTGATATACCCTTTATCATTTTTTATTGCGTCTATTTGATTCTTCTCTCTTTTCTTCTTTATTAGTCTTGCTAGCGGTCTATGAATTTTGTTGATCTTTTCAAAAAGCCAGCTCCTGGATTCATTGATTTTTTGAAGGGTTTTTTGTGTGTCTATTTCCTTCAGTTTTGCTCTGATCTTAGTTATTTCTTGTCTTCTGCTAGCTTTTGAATGTGTTTGCTCTTGCTTCTCTAGTTCTTTTAATTGTGATGTTACGGTATCAATTTTAGATCTTTCCTGCTTTCTCTTGTGGGCATTTAGTGCTATAAATTTCCCTCTACACACTGCTTTGAATGTGTCCCAGAGATTCTGGTATGTTGTGTCTTTGTTCTTGTTGGTTTCAAAGAACATCTTTATTTCTTCCTTCATTTCGTTATGTACCCAGTAGTCATTCAGGAGCAGGTTGTTCAGTTTCCATGTAGTTGAGCAGTTTTGAGTGAGTTTCTTAATCCTGAGTTCTAGTTTGATTGCACTGTGGTCTGAGAGACAGTTTGTTATAATTTCTGTTCTTTTACATTTGCTGAGGAGTGCTTTACTTCCAACTATATGGTCAATTTTGGAATAAGTGCGATGTAGTGCTGAGAAGAATGTATCTTCTGTTGATTTGGGGTGGAGAGTTCTGTAGATGTCTATTAGGTCGGCTTGGTGCAGAGCTGAGTTCAATTCCTGGATATCCCTGTTAACTTTCTGTCTCATTGATCTGTCTAATGTTGACAGTGGGGTGTTAAAGTCTCCCATTATTATTGTGTGGGAGTCTAAGTCTCTTTGTAGGTCTCTAAGGACTAGCTTTATGAATCTGGGTGCTCCTGTATTGGGTGCATATATATTTAGGATAGGTAGCTCTTCTTGTTGAATTGATCCCTTTACCATTATGTAATGGCCTTCTTTGTCTCTTTGATCTTCATTGGTTTAAAGTCCGTTTTATCAGAGACTAGGATTGCAACCCCTGCCTTTTTTTGTTTTCCATTTGCTTGGTAGATCTTCTTCCATCCCTTTATTTTGAGCCTATGTGTGTCTCTGCATGTCAGATGGATTTCCTGAATAAAGCACACTGATGGGTCTTGACTCTTTATCCAATTTACCAGTCTGTGCCTTTTAATTGGAGCATTTAGCCCATTTACATTTAAGGCCAATATTGTTATGTGTGAATTTGATCCTGTCATTATGATGTTAGCTGGTTATTTTGCTCGTTAGTTCATGCAGTTTCTTCCTAGCCTCAATGGTTTTTACAATTTGGTGTGGTTGTGCAGTGGCTGGTACCGGTTGTTCCTTTCCATGTTTAGTGCTTCCTTCAGGAGCTCTTTTAGGGCAGACCTGGTGGTGACAAAATCTCTCAGCATTTGCTTGTCTGTAAAGTATTTTATTTCTCCTTCACTTATGAAGCTTAGTTTGGCTGGATATGAAATTCTGGGTTGAAAATTCTTTTCTTTAAGAATGTTGAATATTGGCCCCCACTCTCTTCTGGCTTGTAGAGTTTCTGCTGAGAGATCAGCTGTTAGTCTGATGGGCTTCCCTTTGTGGGTAACCCAACCTTTCTCTCTGGCTGCCCTTAACATTTTTTCCTTCATTTCAACTTTGGTGAATCTGACAATTATGTGTCTTGGAGTTGCTCTTCTTGAGGAGTATCTTTGTGGCATTCTCTGTATTTCCTGAATTTGAATGTTGGCCTGCCTTGCTAGATTGGGGAAGTTCTCCTGGATAATATCCTGCAGAGTGTTTTCCAACTTGGTTCCATTCTCCCCGTCACTTTTAGGTACACCAATCAGACGTAGATTTGGTCTTTTCACATAGTCCCATATTTCTTGGAGTCTTTGTTCATTTCTTTTTATTCTTTTTTCTCTAAACTTCTCTTCTCCCTTCATGTCATTCATTTGATCTTCCATCACTGATACCCTTTCTTCCAGTTGATCGAATTGGCTACTGAGGCTTGTACATTCATCACATAGTTCTCGTGCCTTGGTTTTCAGCTCCATTAGGTCCTTTAAGGACTTCTCTGAATTGATTATTCTAATTAGCCATTCGTCTAATTTTTTTTCGAGGTTTTTAACTTCTTTGCCATGGGTTCAAACTTCCTCCTTTAACTCAGAGTAGTTTGATCATCTGAAGCCTTCTTCTCTCAACTAGTCAAAGTCATTCTCTGTCCAGCTTTATTCCATTGCTGGTGAGGAGCTGTGTTCCTTTGGAGGAGGAGAGGCGCTCTGATTTTTAGAGTTTCTATTTTTTCTGCTCTGTTTTTTCCCCATCTTTGTGGTTTTATCTACCTTTGGTCTTTGATGATGGTGATGTACAGATGGGGTTTTGGTGTGGATGTCCTTTCTGTTTGTTAGTTTTCCTTCTAACAGTCAGGACCCTCAGCTGCAGGTCTGTTGGAGTTTACTGGAGGTCCACTCCAGACCCTGTTTGCCTGGGTATCAGCAGCGGAGGCTGCAGGACAGTGGATATTAGTGAGCAGCAAATGTTGCTGCCTGATCATTCCTCTGGAAGTTTTGTCTCAGAGGAATACCTGGCCATGTGAGGTGTCAGTCTGCCCCTACTGGGGGCTGCCTCCCAGTTAGGCTACTCAGGGGTCAAGGACCCACTTGAGGAGGCAGTCTGTCCATTCTCAGATCTCCAGCTGTGTGCTGGGAGAACCACTACTCTCTTCAAAGCTGTCAGACAAGGACATTAAGTGTGCAGAGGATTCTGCTGCCTTTTGTTTGCCTATGCCCTGCCCCCAGAGGTGGAGTCTACAAAGGCAGGCAGGCCTCCTTGAGCTGCGGTGGGCTCCACCCATTTCCAGCTTCCTGGCCGCTTTGTTTACCTACTCAAGCCTTGGCAATTGTGGGTGCCCCTCCCCCAGCCTCGCTGTCTCCTTGCAGTTTGATCTCAGACTGCTGTGCTAGCAATGAGCGAGGCTCCGTGGGCATAGGACCCTCTGAGTCAGGTGCAGGATGTAATCTCCTGGTGTGCCGTTTGCTAAGACCGTTGGAAAAGCACAGTATTAGGGTGGGAGTGACCCAATTTTCCAGGTGCCATCTGTCACCCCTTTCTTTGACTAGGAAAGGGAATTCCTTGACCCCTTGTGCTTTCCGGGTGAGGGGATGCCTCGCCCTGCTTCAGCTCTCGCTCGGTGGGCTGCACCCACTGTCCTGCACCCACTTTCTGACACTCCCCAGTGAGATGAACCCAGTACTTCAGTTGGAAATGCAGAAATCACCCATCTTCTGCGTCACTCATGCTGGGAGCTGTAGACTGGAGCTGTTCCTATTTGGCCATCTTGGCTCCACCCCCCAGTACCACGCTTTTAAGGATTCATAGAATAACCAGAGTGAAGATGTAAAAGGAAACACAGGACTTAAATAATTCCAAGACCAGTTGAATCTAACAGAAATACACAGAACACTCCACGCTGTAATAGCAAAACAGACATTCTTTGCAAGTGCACATAAAATATTCTCCATAATTGACCACATGATAAGCAAAAACAACAAATTTTAAATGATGATAAATATTAAAAAGTATGTTTTCTGACCACAATGGCTCAAAATTTCATGGAATTTTAAAAGAAATTTTTAAAATGCTAAAATTCACAAGCAATCTAAAGGTACTCTGAAATAGCCAAAACAATCTTGAAAGGAACAAAGCTGAAGGCCCCACACTTTCTGATTTTAAAACTTATTACAAAGCTACAGTAATGAAAACAGTATGCTATTGCCATAAAGACAGAGCTATAAACAATGGAACAGAATACAGTCTAGAAACAACTCCTCATGTATATGATTAAACAATCTAACAATCTTTGACAAAAGTACCAAGACCACACATAGGAAAATTAACAGTTTATTCAACAAATTGTGTTGGGAAAACTAGGTATCCACATGCAAAAGAATAAAGCTGGATGTTTACCTTACAGATTTACAAAAATAAACACAAAATTAACTACAGAACTAAAATTAATACCTAAAAGTATAAAATTTCTAAATGAAAAAATGGGAGAAAGCTTCATGGCATTGGATTTGGCAGTGAGTTTTTTGATATAACCCCAAAAGAAGAGGCAAAAAAGTAAAAATAGACAAGTGGGACTGTAGAAAACTTTAACTTCCGCTCATCATAAGAAGCAATAAAGTGAAATGTCAACCTGTGGAGTATGAAAAAAGATTTTTGCATTAAGCAAGAGGTTTCAGCAATCCAAATGTCCATCAATGAATGAAGGGATAAACAAAATGTGGTATATACATCAAGCAGGATCAAAGGAAAGAAACAGAAAACTTGAATACAGGTCCTTTGAAAGTACTGCGTCAGAGGGATAAAAAGAAAAAAGAAAAGTGAAGGAACCTATGGCACTTATGGGACACCATCAGGCAGACCAATAGATGCATTATGGAAGTCCCAGAAAGAAGACAAGCTAAAGAAAAAAGAAACAATATTACTACTCACAAAAATGAATACTGCAAAAAGAACAAAGCTGGAGGCATCATGCTACTTGACTTCAAACTATACTACAAGGCTATAGTAACCAAAACAGCATAGTACTGGTACCAAAACAGATATATAGACCAATGGAACAGAACAGGGGCCTCAGAAATAACACCACACATCTTCAACCATTGGATCTTTGAGAAACCTGATCAAAACAAGCAATGGGGAGAGGATTCTCTATTTAATAAGTGGTGCTGGGGAAATTGGCTAGCCATATGCAGAAAATAGAAACTGGACCCCTTTCTTACACCTTATACAAAAATTAATTCAAGATGGATTAAAGACTTAAATGTAAAACCCAAAGCCATAAATAAACTAGAAGAAAACCTAGGCAATACCATTCAGGAAATAGGCATGGGCAAAGACTTTATAACTAAAACACCAAAAGCAAGTGCAACAAAAGCCAAAATAGACAAATGGGATCTAATCAAACTAAAGAGCTTCTGCACAGCAAAATAAACCATCATCAGAGTGAACAGGCAACCTACAGAATGGGAGAAAATTTTTGCAATCTATCCATCTGACAAAGGTCTAATATCCAGAATCTACAAAGAACTTAAACAAATTTACAAGATTAAAAGAACACTCCATCAAAAAGTGGGTGAAGGATATGAATAGACACTTCTCAAAAGAAGACATTTATATGGCCAAGAAACATATGAAAAAAAGCTCGTCATCACTGGTCATTAGAGAAATGCAAATCAAAACCACAATGAGATACTATCTCACGCCAGTTAGAATAGCAATTATTAAAAAGTCAGGAAGCAACAGATGCTGGCGAGGCTGTGGAGAAATAGGAATGCTTTTATACTGTTGGTGGGAGTGTAAATTCGTTCAACCATTGTGGAAGACAGTGTGGCGATTCCTCAAGGATCTAGAACCAGACATACCATTTGACCCAGCAATCCCATTACTGGGTATATACCCCCAAAATTAGAAATCATCCTACTATAAAGACACATGCACATGTATGTTTATTGCAACACTATTTACAATAACAAACAGTTGGAACCAACCCAAATGCCCATTAATGATAGACTGGATAAAGAAAATGTGGCACGTATACACCATGGAATACTATGCAGCCATAAAAAATAATGAGTTCATGTCCTTTGCAGGGACATGGATGAAGCTGGAAGCCATAATTCTCAGCAAACTAACACACGAACAGAAGAACAAACAACGCACATTCTCACTTGTAAGTGGGAGTTGAACAATGAGAACACATGGACACAGGGAGGGGAACATCACACACCGGGGCCTGTCAGGGGGTGGGGGGCAAAGGGAGGGAGAGCATTAGGAAAAATACCTAATGCATGCGGGGCTTAAAGACTAGATGATGGGTTAATAGGTGCAGCAAACCACCATGGCACGTGTATATATATGTAACAAACCTGGACGTTCTGCACGTGTATCCCAGAACTTAAAGTAAAATTAAAAAGAGAGAGAGAGAAAAAAAGAGCCTGACACCCCCTTGCCCTCTCTCACTTCCTCTCTTACTATGTGATCTGTGCACAGGCCAGTTCCTCTTTGCCTTCTGCCATAAATAGAAGCAGCCCGAGACCTTCACCAGATACAAATGCCCAAACTTAAACTTTCTAGCCCTCACAATTGTGAGCCAAATGACCCCATTTTTTTTAAAATAAATTACCCAACATCAGGTATTCCTTTATAGCAACAAAAACTAGACTACGACAGTGTCTTTAAAAAGTAGACCTAGACTTACTACATGACCAAGCAATTGCACTCCTGGGTACTTATCCTAAAGAAATAAAGACTTTTATTCACACAAAAACCTGTACACACATACGTATTATGTTCTTATGTGTAATAGCTAAAAACTGAATATAATACAGATGCCCTTCAGTAGGTAAATGGTTGAATCTGTGGATGTACTTGTAGTACATCCATGCCATGAAATACTACTCACCAATAAGAAAGAATGAACTATTGATATATGCAGCAAGGCAGATGAATCGCTGAACTATGCTGAGTAAAAATGCCAATTTATGAAGGTTGCAAACTGCATAATTCTATTTACATAACATTCTTTAAATGAGAAAAACATAAAAATGGAGAACAGATTTGTAGTTGCCAAGGGTTAAAGAGAGGGTAGAGAGGGACAGGCAGGAAGTGGTTGTGACTATACGATAGTAACATGAGAGATCCCTGTAGAGATAAAAATATTCTGTATCTTATCTATTTCAAGGCTAAGATTCTGGTTTGCTATAGTACTATAGGTTTGCAAGATGTTACTGTAAGAAGGAACTGGTTAAAGAATACACAGGATCCATTTGTAATATTTATTACAGGAAAATGAATCCATGACCTCTTAAAATAAAATGTAAAAAAAAAAAAGAAAACTAATTGTACTAATAAGAATAAACATCTTTTTTATTTACCATCCATGTAGTTATCCTTTCTGGATGTTCTCTATTAAATTTTGTCAATCCATATATCCAACCAGCATCATCTCTTTCTGCCCAAAAGATTTCTTTCAATATTTGTTATAGTAAATATCTGCTGATGATGAGTTCTGCCTCTTGCATATCTTTATTTTGCCTTTGTTTTGAAAGTATTTTGCTAGACAAAGAATTCTAAGTTGTGATAGATTTTTTTTCTTTCAGTGCTTTAAAGATGTTGCTTTTTTGTTTTGGCACATTTGACGATTTCTATAAGAAATCCACTGTTATCTGTGGATTATCTGTACCTTTGTTATCTGTATCTTTGTGGCACTATATGTAGCATGTCATTTTTTTCTCTGCCTAATTTTAAGAACTTCTCTATACCACTAGTTTGAGCAATGGAAATATCATATGTTAAGTTACTCGGAAATAGTTTAATCTTTTTGCCTCTTGCTTTTAAAATTTTGTAGGCAGGATAGAAACAATTATCAATTTAGGACTAGTAACTCCCATCTCCCCAGGCAAGATCATTTGTGTACTCTATCCAGTGTCCTTTGGATAGTGATGTTTTCCGCTCTGATTTTGGTGAGAAAAGATACCTTTCTAAGGCTTATGCGAGCACCAGCCACCATGACCTCTAATCTTTTTGAGTAGGTTTTCCTTAGCCTTCCTCACATGCATCCACTGAGCAATACTCAATTCAATATTCAACGAGAATCCTTGGCTAATGTACACAGTTCTATCTTTGTCAGCTCTTTTGTCCAGTACTCAATTCTGTGGGTTTCATATGCCTTGGCTTTCTGAGAACTTCAGATCCTTCCCCTCAAGTCAGGGAGTTGGATGATCTCTGCCTGGGATCCCTCTCCTGTGTGGTGGCGATAGCTAGGGCAATTATAGAACTAATCTCATTTGCTTTCCTTCACTGAGAAATAAATGTCTTTGTTATCTCGCTTCTATCTCCGTGCATATTTGTTTCATATATTTTATTCATATTTTGGTTGTTTCAGGCAGGAAGGTAAATCCAGTCCTTGTTAACTCCATTTTGACCAGAATGTAACAAAAACAGGTGGCACAAGTAGGTTGAATAAAAGACAACATTTTTGCTTCCAACAAGAAACACCCTTGAAATATAAAGCACAAATAGGTTGAAAGAAAATGGATGGGGAAAGATACATCATGCCAACAGGAATCAAAACAAGTCTGGAGTGGTTACATTAGTACCAAAGTAGATTTCAGAACAAAGCACATTGCCAGGAATAAAGTGCATCATTTTAAAAGTGTCGAATAATTAAGGAGCCATAACAGTCCTAAACATTCATGCACTCACCAGCAGAGCCTCAAAATACCTGAGGGAAAACTGATACAACTGCAAAGACAAATAAACAAACTCACAAACGTCAGATTTTTCAATACTCCTCTCTCAATAATTTGTAAGTTAAAGGAACTAGAATACAAACAACCATTTTATATAAAACAAGTAGACAGAAAATCAAACAACTTGACCTAACTGACATTTACAAAAGACTCCCCCAAACAGCAAAAAAAAAATTTCAATTGCACACTAAAACTTGACCATGATAGACTATATTCTGAACCATAAAACTATTCTTGATAAGTTCAAAACGATTGAAGTCATATAAAACATATTCTCAGCCACAATGGAATTAAATTTGAAATAAGTAACAGAAAGACCCTGTAAAATCTGTGAAGATGCTTAAATAAGACTTAAGTCAAAAAACAGATTATGATAGGCAATAGCAAGTTGGAAGAGTTGGGGATGGGAAGGGGGTGCATCATGAGAAATTACCCAGTGGGTACAGTGCATTTTATTCGGGTGGTGGATACCATAAAATCCTTGACTTTGCCGCTATGCAATCTATGCATGCAGTAAAATTGCACTTGTACCCATAAATTTATACAAATAATAAAAAAGAAAGAATGTGGTTATACACACACACTAGAGAATACTACTCAGCCATAAGAAAGAATGAATGTGGTTATACACACACTAGAGAATACTACTCAGCCATAAGAAAGAATGAAATCATGTCTTTTGTAGCAACATGGATGGAGCTGGAGGTCATTATCCTAAGCGAAATAACTCAGAAACAGAAAGTCAAGTACTGCATGTTCTTACTTATAAGTGGGAGCTAAACAATAAATACATGTGAACATATGGAGTGGTGGGGAGGGGCATGAGAGCTGAATTACTTACTGGGTACAGTGTTCACTATCCATGTCATGGGCATGCTAAAAGCCAAGTTTACCGCTATGCAATATATGCATGTAAGAAACCTGCACTTGGACCCAACAAATATGTAAAATTTTAAAAACAAAAATAAATAAAATAAAATAAATAAATAAATGCAAATTTAAAAAAGAAATGAAAAGGGAATCTTATCCAGAGTAATAGGTTAAGGAAAGTTAAAAAAAAAAAAAGCAAAGAAAATAAAAGCTGTTTTTATGGATGGTATGATTCTCTAAATCCTGATGAAAATATGATGAAATCAAAAATCAGGATTCTAGAACTAATAAATCACTTTAGCAAAGTTGCAGATAAATATGCAAAAACTGATTTTATCTATGTAAACTGATGACAATTGGATGCTGAAATTTTTTAAAAGAGGCAATACCGTTGACAATAGCATCTAAAAAATAAAATATCTGCAGACAAATGTGACAAAATAAGCTAAAGACTTATAACACCAAAGACTATACTATATTGATGAGAAATTAAAGACGATCTAAATAAATGGAGAGATGTACATCTTCATGGTTTGGAAGATTCAATATTGTTAGTATGTCAATTCTCTCCAATTGTAATTATCTATTTGACACGATCCCTATCAATATCCCATTAGGCTTTCTGTAGAAATTAATCACTTGATTCTAAAATCCATATGAAAATGGAAAAGGCATAGAATAACTAAAACAATTTTGAAAATGAAGAATAAAGATGGAGGACTAATGTTCCCCAATTTCAAAACTTTACTATAAAACAACAAGAAGGTCATGGCAGTGTAGTTTTGGTATAAAAATGCACAAATAAATCAATGGAACAGAATACAGTGTCCAGAAATAGACTTGCACACACACACAAACACACATACATATAAATGATTTTTGACAAAGTTTCTAAAGCACTTTGGTAGAGAAAGGATAGTTTTTCCAATAAATGGTGCTTAAAAAATAGATATCTATAAGCAAAAAAATGAACTTGGATCCGTATGCTTTGCACCACGTACAAAAACTAGCACAGAATGGATTATATACCGATACGTAAAATTTGAAATTATAAAATTTCCAGGCGACGACACAGGAAAAAATTTTTGATGCTGGCTTAGGCAAAGATTTTAGATCTGACATCAAAAGTATGATCCACAAAAAAAGAACACACACTGGTAAATTGGACTTCATCAAAAGTAAAAGCTACTGCTCTTCAAAACACACTTTTAAGGGAACAAAAACACAAGCCACAGACTAGGAAAAATATTTGCAAAGGATATATGTGTTAAAGAACTTGTATCCAGAATATGTAAAGAAGTCTCAAAACATAATAAAAAGAAACAATCCAATTCAGCTCGCTAAGTGAATTGGTGAATTGGACAGATACTTCTTCAAGGAAGATACATGGATGGCAAACTGGCACATGAAAAGATGCTCAACATCATTAGTCATTAGAGAAATGCAAATTAAAACCTGAATGAGAAACTACTACACACCTGTAATGGTGGCTACAATATAAAAGTCTAACCACACCATGTATTGATGAGGATGTGGAGGAATTGAATTCTTATACACTGCTAGTGGGAATGTAAAATGGTACAGTCATTTTGGATAACAATCTAGCAGTTTCTTAAAAAGATAAGTGCACACCCATAGTATGCTCCAGTCTATTCCTGAGTGTTTACCCAAGATGAAATAAAGCATGTCTCCATACAAATATTTATACACTAATTTTCACAGCGTCTTAATTTGTAATAGCCAAAAGGTGAATGGATAAACAAACTATGGAATAACATTCCATAAAAAAAGTAATGGAAGAATGGTAGTTCCACAACATGAATAAATGTCACAATAACTATGAAGACAGAAGGAAATCAGGCAAAAAAGAATACATCATGTATGATTACATTTATATAAAATTCTAGTAAATTCAAAATAATGTACAGTAATAGCAGATCAATGATTGTCTGGGGCTGGGTGAGAGCCATAGAAAGAATAGGATTACGAAGAAACGTTAGGAAACGTGAGGGGATTGTTGGTTATCTTCATTATCTTGATTGTGATAATGCTCTTGCAGGTATATACATATGTCAAAGCTCATCAGATTATATTTTTAATTATGTGCACTTTATTGCATGTCAATTTTATTCCAGTGTAGCTGTTAGCAAAAAGTAACATGGGTTTGTATTGTCCTAATAACGAAAATCCCCTTACTCAGCCACAGTCCCTATGAGTAAACTACAATTATGAAATGAAATTTCTTGTTTGATGAATGTAGGTCCAAAAAGCCACTTTGATTTTTACTACCGCTGAAATGTTAATAGAGTAAACATAAAAATCTGTGTTCTAAACTAGCTTTGGGCTTTTACACAAGGGTTCTTTGAAGAAGTGTGACAGTTTACTTTTTAAAGTGGACTTTTGTTTCTTTTAATGATACCCTTAACCTCTTCAAAAGAAATCGATGGCTTTTGAGTGTAAGAAGTTAATAAAAACACTGATAACAACAAGTACTTGAAATTGACATACTTAAACACCACTTGGGTTTTTTGCAGATTTAAAATAGTACCCAAACATTCTGTGATGCTAAACATATGTTTTAATATATTTAAGTTTTTAAAGGTAGAAGAGGCCAATACTCTTTAAACTCAATGGCAGTTTAAATTCTGGGCTCCGAACAAAAGCACAAATCTCCAAGAAAAAAAGGAGACCTTTTAATCAGACCTCCACTGTCTGATTCCCCTAACCCCGCAGCATGTCCTGGCCTTCTTGAGGGTGTACTGGTCAGCAGGAGCGTGTTAGCATTCATCCCTTCCATGGGAAGAAGAACTGCAATGCAGAAAGAGGAGAAGGAGAATGTAGCAAGGGGAATACATTGCCTTGTGGCAAAACGGGTACCGGGCCGCCAACATTTAACACTGCCGACATTGCGTATGCTCACAATGTGTGCTCTGTGTGTGTGTGTGTGTGTGTGCGTGTGTGTGTGAGAGAGAGAGAGATAGAGAGAGAGAAAGAGAGAGAGAGAGAGAGAGAGAGAGAGAGAGAGAGAGAGAGAGAGAGAGACAACCCTTGAATATAGGTACTGGTGACCTCCAGAGTAGACCAGAGAGCATATTTATTAAAAAGCAAGATCATTGAACAAGAAGTAAGGGGACAGACCACGTAGGGAATGGAGTGGATGTTTTGGAGTCAGGGGCAACTTACCAGTTCAGGGCCTGGAAACCACAATACTTTTAAGGGCTCATGAAAATGTTTTAATTTTAATTTCTCTAAATATAAGAAGAAAATGAATATATAACAAAGAATTTAGCCTAAAAATATTTGATTTTCTACCAACATAGCCATGATTTTTAATTTTTTTTCCATAAAGGAAGGTGCTCACAAAGGCAACAGTGTCTCAGTGCCGCCGAAGTTATAATGTAGCCCTGAAAGAAGGAATCTACTAACAAAGTTTCATGTCTTATGAAATGCCAAGGCTGAGGACCTAGACAATGTCAGAGGTTTGTGGACTGTGATGAGATTTTCCTGGGTTAAGAAACAGAAGCCAAGGATGGAGTAAAAAAGATGTGTTTGGTGTGGAGTCCTCAAAAAGTGCTGTGACACCCACTCCCTGGAGCAGGTGCACAGCTGAGTAAGGCCAGGCAAGAACTGGCAGTATCTGTTCTAAGGTGGACTGCAGTGTCGTTTTAATATCCCACTTGCTAAACTAAAATGTGGATGTCCCCTCCACTACAGGCTAAAGTTATTTAAAAAAAGAACCCCAGGAGGACTTGTAATATCCAACTCTAGCTTATCATTTCTTCTGTATCTCCAGGGGAAAAAAAAAACAGAAGATAATTATGTCTAGGAAAAAAGTGATAATTTATTCAAAAACTCATTAAGGAATGAGGAGGTGGACTGTGCCATGATGAGAGAGAACAATGTCAAGGTCCACAATAAAAACAAATTTCACAGGAAACTCCAACCAAAATACACTATTTATCCAACTTTTAGAAGGTTTTCTTGAGAATTGCAAAATAGCAGTATCTACAGAAAATATTAACATAAAGTTCTTTAAGTCTCTAAACCCACTTAATGCTAAAACACAGTGTTTGTGGCATATTCAACCCATTCCCAAGTTTCCTGATGTAATTGCATCTCCCAGACTTGATTTCTGCTGCAACTGATAAGAATGCCGTATTGTGCCACTACGGTTGTCTGGGGCTAATGGATTCATTTTCTGTGAGGGTCTCAGTGTGGGCAGAATTGGAACATGGGTTTGTTAGTGGATTACCCTCCGTAAATTGAATGTGAATGTAGAAGCTACTGCCTTTGGAATTCAGCTCCAACACAATCTTAAAAAGGGTTTCACTGACTTTTGCAAAAAAATGTAAGTGATTTTAAAAATAAAAAAGCAAAATATAAACTTCTGGTGGAATGAAGCCCAATGCACTTCAGTGACAGAGATGAAAATTCCAAAAGTCGTAACACTACTATTGATGTCTATCCATCCTCACAGTAGATGAAGAGGAGGTGAGTGGCCAGGGACAGAACCAGCATTCCCTGTCTTCTGACGCCTTCCTCCTTTGCCAAGGCCATGGACTGGTCTATGAGACATGGACTTTGGATATTTAAAACAGTCAATGTGTGTTTTCTAAATAGGAGACACTGGCAGCTAGAGTGGCAGATGCGCCATATACTGGCGTAGCTGGCCCTCCCTGTTGGTGGTTTTGCATCTGTGGATTCAACCAACCACAGATGGAAATAACTCCCAAAAAATTGCATCTGTGCTGAACACGTACAGACTTTTTTTCTTGTCATTATTCCCTAATCAATACAGAAAAACAACAATTTAGATAGCACTTATGTTGTATTGAGTATTATAGAAATGATTTAAAGTATCATTTAAAGTCATTTAAATAAGAGAGTCATTTATTCAAATAAATGATTCATTTATCCGAATCCACAAGAGGATGTGCATAGGTTATATGCAAATACTACAGTACTTTATAGAGGGATTTGAGCATTCATAGATTTTGGTATCTGCAGGGGTCCTAGACCCAATCTCTCACAAACACCAAGGGACACCTGTATTTTATTTTAATACTTTTTTGTCCTCTACATTGTGCTACCTGATCTTTCTTTTCCCTAACAATATATACAGTTTGTAAGGAGATTTTTAGTCTTTTTTGATCACTTTATTCATCCTTAAAATGATAAAATGATGGAGCTCTCTCCAGGTCAGTGGGATGAAGACAGGGTCTTTCAGAACACCTCCCTCACCCTTTGAGCTTCTCCTCTGCAGGTGGCAGGCAAGGTATCTATGTTAGGGATATAGCTGTGGCTTTAAAACTCATGCCCATGGGGGTGTTCTGAAAAATATATTGATCTTAAACCCTTCTGTATTACACCTGGGCAACAGATTTAATTTTAATTGAAAAGTTGTAGATTTTATATTTTTATGTGATTCAGCTGAGACAACTAAAATTCAGGGGCCATGTCCTTTTCTGTACAGGTGCTTGAATTGGGCAGGGTTGTTACCAAAACACCAGGCGTTCCGTCTAGGTCCTGCTCCTTGCCACACAGGAAGCCAATGACTGAGACAATGAGTATTGCCATAGAAGAAAGCTTTAATCTGGTGCTACAGCCAAGGAGATGGGAGATCAGTCTCAAATCCATCTTCCTGAACAACTAAAATTAGGGACTTACATAGCAGAGAAGAAATGTAACACATGCAGGAAAACAGGAATTAGGGAGGAGTAAGGAAGAGGAACTGGTCAACAGGAAGCAGGTACTTAGGCAACCATGGTGGGTGAAGACTCTGATGTCTCATTGTCCAGATGCAGTGATCTGGTGAGTTTTAGTTCCACGATACTATCTGGGAGGCCTGACTGTTGGTTTCCTCAGAAAGGAACCCATATAAGACAAATGTAACTTTCTAAAGATTTAAGACTGGGAGGGTCAATTTCTATGTTTATTCAAAAGAAATAGTAAACATAAGTTCTATGGGAAAATTGGATCAGTTTCAGGGTTATGGGGCAAAAGAGAGTAAGTGGATAAAAAAATTATATTAGCACTTAAAACTATCTCCTGTTTCTTTTGTGTATAACTATTTCCTAATTAAAGTATGTCACTTACACATTATTCTGTATAATTTACCATAAAGTTGTCTGCCAATACTGATTCTGTTTTATTCACCAATAGCATAACCACACGAATTCTGCTAGAGTTATTAGAAAATTAAAATAAAATACTTGGCAATCAAATGAGTTTCTTTGGAGCATTAGTATATTATTTCTATGCAGTGCCATTTGGAAAATAGTAAAAGATAAACCAAAATTGTAGGACACTTTGTACAATTTATATAAGCTTTGATAAAGAAACATTGAGAAAGAGCTTCACTACAATTATCTTCAGACTTCAGTATCTACATCTTTGTGAAAAAGAGAATGCCTGAGGGCTTTAAGTTATCATAGAAAGGATAGTTCTTTTGCTTCCATAAAGATTTAAAACTCCCACCTCCAATTCCAGTAATATTACAGCACAACCAATGAGTCTTTTCTTTTATGATTTCCAGCAGTTCTCATTGCCAATTAGGCCTTTGAATGTAAAAAGCACCCATTTATAAATTGCACATTTAAATTACTTGGCAGGCGGATATCAATGCTAGATCTCTGTCTGTGCTGGTTGCAATAAAGGAAGGAGAATAGTAAACAAAGGGGGATGTTTAGTTAGACATAAAAGCATTTTAATAAAATGATTGAGGCAGGTGCACTGAAATATGAGGACACAGGAAAATGTAGCTAAGCATTTTATAAAGAGGTGAAACTCTGAATCAAACAGAAAACCATAGCTATTTCCTGTTCTCTAATTATTTTTATCTATCTATCTATCTATCTATCTATCTATCTATCTATCTATCTATCTCTCTTTCTATTTTTATAGACAGGTTCTCCCTCTGTTGCCCAGGCTTGAAAACAATGATGTGGCCATAGCTCACAGCAGCCTATATTTTTTAAAAAAGCTTTTTGATTTTTTTGTAGAGATAGGGTTTCACTGTTTGGCCCAGGCTAGTCTTGAACTCCTGGCCTCAAGCAATCCTCCTGCCTCAGCCTCCTGAATAGCTGGGATTACAAGCCCAAGCCACTATGACCAACCTTTTCCCTAGAGACTTGCTCATGGGTGGATTTGCATCACCCACCACAGATTGCCAGGATGTCGTATTTTATTGATGTTACAACTTCAATATATTAGAGATTGGCTGCATTTCATGAGTCTGGACTGGTACTTTGCCAGTTATGCTTTTTGACTCTCTCCTTTTTTCCCTGATGTAAAAAGCAAGTTGTATGGCATCCATGTAGATAAAAAGTAAGGTTAACTTTTCCAGGGAGCTCACTGAATGGTTCTGAAGGAGCTTCTGGAATGGCTTATAGGTGTGCTGAGCGCTTACCTCCCCTGATAGCTACGTAGCATATGCCACTGAATATTTGGCATTTGCTGTTTGGAGATGGCCGGTAGTTGAAATGTTATCCATTACCAGTCAACAAAGCCAATATAAAGACTCATAGAGATTGTGTAGTTTTGCCTGCCATACAGGTGTGCTGTTTGTCAGCAGCTTTGAGAGAATGTATATAAGTACTAGAAAATAAACAAAAACATAGCTAGTTATATACGAAAAAATATATATAAGAATCAACAAAACTATGAGCCTCCCTGCTTATCCTGCCTCCCCTTGGAATCCTGCTACTGTTCACTTGCATCATTAGATAAAAATCAACCTTTAAGTAATGAGATTTTCTGCTGCTTCCCTAAGTATCTATGGTTATATTACTTTCCCTTGGGGCATGGATTTTGTTCTACATCTTCTTGATGGCAAAAGTTTCTGCTAAGGAGTATTCCAGGAGGCTGACAGGCATCTTTTCTTTTTGAGTCAATACCTTGGTCATTTATGTAATGATGAGAACCCTAGAGATTTAGCAGATGGTGTGTTCAATTTGCACTTATTTGCATATCTGTTTTGCAATCATAAAGTTCTAATGACATAGTCATGACAACCCAAAATGGAAGCACGTTTTTGTGTTGGTAAATTTGGACAGGGTGCTGAGTGAGGAAGGCCTGTGAGATGCATGGGTGTGTCTGAGGTGAGAGGAGATTGGTTCAGATGGCCAGAGCCATGCCTTTATGACGGCAAGTGTATGAATCCTAATTCTGGGTTTCTGGTATATGTGTTAGGAGCATCAGATATCAGAGATCTAGATATATAAGAGGAACAAATCAAAGAAATGCTTTAAGTCATGGATCAGGAAGTATCGGAACCAAGGTGAGGGAAGCAGGGCAGCATTTTAGGAGACTGAAGATTTAATGGGCAAGGCACATGCACAGGGAAGATTTCCAAACATATACGGTAGTGTTCAGCCCTCTCTCTCCCAGATGGCCAGCCTGGGCTGACGGCTTGTAGGTGTTCTTTTGTCCACAAAGACTGAGCACTCTTGACTGAGGGAAGGGGTATGCTCTGGAGGCCTACTTTGCATCGCTCACCACAAAGAACTGATGTAGTCCTAGGAGGAGGTCCCAACAGGATAGCAGAAAGAGCCCCCACTGCTGAGTGTCTCCAAATGCTCTTCAGCTATAATCAGAAACAACTGAGAAGCTCATTGCAGATGCGAATTCCTAGGATCTCATCCTTGACTAACTGGATGCAACTCTCCAGGGCTGTGCTTGGGGTGACTGTCGGTTGCACATAAGTTTGCAAACCACTGAGCTCTGTGTGGATGTTGCACTCAGCTTCCTATCTAACCCACTATTTGACATTGTGCTGCAGTTGCGTCTCCAGTCAAACAAGGATGATAATGTATATTCCAGCTACTGGTTAAAATAACAGGAAATTCCTTTTTAAATTTGAAAATCCTACCCAGAGATTATTATCCTATTTTTTTACTGAACCAAGGGAAGCTCGTTTCTGGCCTCCAGCTGGGAATGTCATCAACATCAGTATTCTTCAATGTATGGTAGATATGTCAAAAAATGGCTTCGTAAGAGTTTTGGGTTCATTCTCTCCACCACCACCATCACTACCACCACAAATTATGGAGTATATTCATATGTTATTCACTATGCAGGATCAACATGTGAACAAAATGCACTTCTCCAGGAATGTCTGTCTAAGATCTCTTAAAGCACACCATATAATTGCAGGCAGGGTGTGTTCATGGACAGAACATAGGCTTTGAACAATACAAGACAAAGAGAGCACCTCTGTGACAAAGGAAGTCAGGAAGGCTCCACAAAAGAGACAGGGATGGGCTGGGCCTTTCATGGTATTCAAACAAGTGGAGTAGAGGCGGGAGCAAAAGGCCTGCTGGGATGGTGTACATAAAGGCTTGCTAGTAGGAAGAAGCAGATGTGTGTTCCAATTATTCATAATGTCCAATTCGACAGTTGTATTAAGTGCAGGGTGGCTGGTAAGATGATGCTATGGTTTAAATATGGTTTGTTTGATTTGGCCAAGTCTCATGTTGACACATATTCCCAATGTTGCAGGTGGGACCTACTGAGAAGTGTTTGGGTCATGGGCTGGATCCCTCATGAATGGCTTGGTGCCATCCTCATGGTAATGATTCTTGCTGTATTCGCTCTTGCAAGAGCTGATGGTTAAAAAGAGCCTGACACCTCCCACCATCCCCTCTTGCCTTTTCTTTCATGTGATCTGCACGCTGGCTCCTCTTCACCTTTCACCATGAGTAGAAGCTTCCTGAAGCTCTCAACAGAAGTAGATGCCAGTGCCATGCTCCTTGTACAGCTTACACAACTGTAAGCCAAATAAACCTCTTTTCTTTGTAAATTACCCAGCCTCAGATACCCCTTTATGGCAACACAAACGGACTAAGACAGATGAAGCTACTTTCCTCACACATAAAAAATAATACGTTTGTTTTTTGAATAGCCTTTCTTTGAAGAAAGGTGAGCATACCATATACTTTTGTAACTCATAAATGTTTTACATTTAATTATAGCTCAGTTTATTAAATCAAAATAAACTAAGTCAAATAAGATATAAACAGAAAACATTGCAGATTCTTTTTATGTGAACAAAACTTCAAATAAGTTACCTGTGCTTGGGTTTTCCACAAGACTGACAAGATTGCACTTAGTCAAATGCAGGAGTTCAGTCCCATTCCTGGGTGCTTCCCCGAACCAGCCCACACTGGCCTCAACAACAGAACATACGCTGAATACACATCACACACGACTGTGCCAGAGAATGAGCAGGTAGCTGTGGCAAAGCAGACCAGCACTCATAACTGCTCATGGGACCAATGCAACCTCTAGAGAGAACAGCTTCTCACATCCTCCTCACCTGCAAGGGACGCCCACATTCACCACCCACCACATGACCAGAAAACCCCCAAGCCAATCTTAGGAGACTAACAGCAGAATCTGCCCCCAGCTACATGATCTGGATTTTGAGTTACATTTTTCTAAAAAGAAAAGCCAAGCTATACTGATGGTTTCAGGTTCTATTTATTTTCATGGGAGCATCTCCAAGGCAACAAACTATTGGTTGCACCCAATTTATAAATCGTATTTTAATATCTCATTGGAGAATTAAGCTTATACACACTCTGCGTTTGTCCTTAAAATCCTGGAAAGAGAATAGAGCGGGAAGGTGGAGGCAGAATACAAGCAGAAAAATTGTTAAGAGAGAGAGAACACAGTCTTAATCTCTTGCCAATGAGGCCTCACATTCCAGAAGAGCTTCAGCCACAAGCCTGACTGGTCCTGAGGAGTATTTCCCCCACTCAAGGCAAGGTTTCTTTCCTTTCTAAGCCTGGGATTCTGAGCCCAGAGTCTCTGCACTGTTTACCCACCCACACTCATCCGCCCCTACCCACCAGACCCACCCATCTCCCCAACCCCCAGATACTCCCAACTCCCACCCTCCAGATACACGCAATCCCTACCTTCCAAGGCTCATCCAACCCCAACCTTCAGGCACAGCAACCCCATCCCCCAACCCAAGGGCAGATGGTTGAAGTAAGATTGAGGGATGATTAGTGTAGGTATCATTGAATAAGCAATGCAGAGCGGTGGGAAGTTTGCTGCCCCATCCTCCTACTTGTGGTTAGAAAAAACAGGGCATGTGGAAGGAGCTGGAGCTGAGTTGGGGACACTGCCAGGGTCAGCAGAGAGAGACAGCAGCAAGGAGAGGAAAGGAGCTTCCCACTGTGGGAGAGGTGGCCCATCCTATAGTGATAATCCAAAGAGAGAAATTCTTTTTTTTTTTTTTTTTTTTTTGAGACATAGTCTCGCTCTGTTGCCCAGGCTGGCATGCAGTGGCAGGATCTCGGCTCACTGCAAGCTCCAGCTGCCGGGTCCACACCATTCTCCTGCCTCAGCCTCCCAAGTAGTGGGGTCTACAGGCACCTGCCACCATGCCCAGCTAATTTTTTTTTGTATTTTTAGTAGAGACGGGGTTTCACCGTGTTAGCCAGGATGGTCTCGATCTCCTGACCTCGTGACCTGCCCACCTTGGCCTTCCAACATGCTGGGATTACAGGCATGAGCCACCGTGCCCAGTCTCCAAGGAGAGAAATTCTAATGAAGACTTTGCTTTAATAAAAATCGCATTAACTTTAGCAGCTGTCTAGCATGAGTCGGTAATAGAAAAATAAATTAGAAGGAAGTTATGTACCTGATGAAGTGATTTTTACATCTGTAGCATATTTCAGGTATCCTGACTTTTTATCCATCCACACACCCCTGATACGTTCACCCAGTGTGGACTATCAGCAATCCTGAAACCGAGAGCCATAAAAGTGACACCTCATGCCATCAGGCTGACAAGTGAGTACAGGCTCTGCCTAGTTTCTCTTTGGTTGGCGAGCACCTTCAGAAGGAAGTAGGAGGTGGAGGCCGGGTGCAGTGGCTCACACTTGTAATCGCAGCACTTTGGGAGGCCGAGGTGGGCAGATCACCTGAGGTGAGGAGTTCAAGACCAGCCTGGCCAACACGGCGAAACTCCGTCTCTACTAAAAATACAAAAATTAGCCGGGTGTGGTGGCGCATGCCTGTAACCCTAGCTACTCAGGAGGCTAAGGCAGGAGAATTGCTTGAACCCAGGAGGCAGAAGTTGCAGTGAGCCGAGACCATGCCACTGCACTCCAGCCTGGGCAACAGACCAAGACTCTGTCTCAAAAAAAAAAAAAAAGAAAAAGAAAAAAAAAAGAAGGAAGTAGGAGGTGGTGCTGGCAACTGCCTGGAAGTGCCTGCATCTTGACAGCCATCAGCTCCAGTTCCTCTATGCACAGCGGTAAACACACCTCTGGACAGAAGCTCTAGTCCGTAGAAATGACAAAGGATATGCATATACTATCCCATTTCTTCCAGGAATTAAATGACCATCTCTGCAAACCTCACTTAAAAGTGTGTGCATCAAAAACTTGCAGAGAACAGATGTCTGAATACAGCCAGCCCACCTCTCTGCCCACTCCACCACCCACTAAGCAAGGAACTCTGGGAGGACTCTGGAGGCCAGCTTCATGGCCACGATGAATCTTCTACATAGCAATAAGGATACACTGGCGGCCGGGTGCAGTGGCTCACACCTGCAAACCCAGCACTTTGGGAGGCAGAGGTGGGTGAATCACCTGAGGTAAGGAGTTCAAGACCAGCCTGACCAAGATGGCGAAACCCTGTCTCTACTAAAAATACAAAAAAAATTAGCTGGGCGTCGTGGCACGCACCCGTAATCCCAGTTACTTGGGAGGCTGAGGCAGGAGAATCGCTTGAACCTGGGAGGCAGAGGTTGCAGTGAGATGAGATGGTGCCACTGCACTCCAGCCTGGGCGACAGAGTGAGACTCTGCCTCAAAAACAAAAACAAAAAAAACGAGAATACACTGGCTTCTCTTCATACCATATTCTACATCACATTATTCTCTAAAGTTCTGATTAGAACAAGTTTCTAAAGGAATTTTCACATCCATGAATGAAATGAAAAGTAAAGTGGCAAAGAAAACCGTTTATGCTGCAGGACAGTTCAACTTATTTTCTCCTGGATCTAGTACCTAAAGTTTTATAAGGCAGGCTCTGTGTTCTGAGACTTCTCTGAGAAAAAAAAAAAAAGTTGAATCTCCCCTACATACTTCTTTGAATTTCATGTTTGCTTTTTATAATCAGATTTTAGATGTTTCTTTTCTCCTTTGAAAGTATTTCTCTATGAAAGTCTTAAAGGCAACTGGCCAAGATTGAACATATCAAATTAACCAAAACCTGTGTGATTGATCAGCCATCTGGAACAACTAAGTAGGCCCTTCAGAGAATCATCTTCCAGTGGAAACATCAGGCCTGATCTGTGCTCCTAAACGCTACATTTATCTAGGCTACTTTGAAGCCTGGATAGCTCTTGTCAAGGATCCATCTTCTACACAACCATTTTAATCCAATATCTGAGTGCATAATATTAGGGCAAGAAATCAGGAATAAATGTTTCTTCTTAGTTAAACAAACGCCCTTTTCATTCACAGACAGAAAAAATTTTTAAAGATTTTCATTTTTTAAAAAATATTCATGACCTGAGGATAACATATCTAGGTCATTAGACTAAATATGTTAATCATGTTATTATTTGGCCTTTTTGTAAAATCGAAGGTCCGACTAAAAGGAGTGCTCTATAGTTTTATTTATCAATGGATGTCTAACCCCAGGCAGGACACAGATGGGGCTCAAAAAGTACTTGTTGGCTAATTGGTAAAGTTACATGAGACTCTGAGAGTCCTAAGCCCCATCCTGAAGCTTGCTGCCAGGTAATAAAAGAGCAAAGTCTGGAACTGGAATCCCACTCCTCTTTGCCAGGTTTGACTTAATGGCTCCGTAAGCCTAGCCCAGTAGACTAGAAAGCCTACCAGGACCCAAGCTACCCTGCCTGTCTTTGAATCAACATGATTGTTTACTGACCATATGAATACATTGTTTTATTTTACTGATTCCTCAAAGTAATTTTTGTCCAAGTATATTTGTTATTTCTTTCTTTGATTTTCATTGAAGAGCTAACCACTATTTTTTTAATGTTAGCCTTGTATTTGATGAGTAGCTTCAATTTTTTTTAATTGCACTAAGACAAGACCTTCCCCAGGTATTTGCTGAGGTCCATACCTCTCTTACCTCACTCAGGATCCATGTTTCTTTCTATTTCAAAGTATAAGGAAGTGTCACCATGTCAGCTTAGACTCCATTCTTTCTTCTGCCCACCAAAAGATTGAGGAATACATTGCCCTGACCAAAGACAGTCTTCTACTCTACCAGAGTGTCTTCTAAAATGTTGGCAGCCAGACTTATTATCAGTTTTACCCCTGCATACAAAAACACACTCCAAGAAAAAGTGATGAAACAACGGAAAGAAATCCCTGCAGATTAAAAAATCTGACCCGTCTCATTACTGCCACGCACAAAAGTTCTGCAATGACTAACTCACCCATGCCCATGGAGTTAAGGATTGATGTTTTACTGCCTTACACTTAAATAAAAACCAACAAATAAGAGTCACCAGAACTTGAGGAGAACCTTTAACAAAACCTCTAACAAAAAATATGGAAATGAAGACAAACAGAAAAAACATAGAAAACTCAGAAGAGAGATATTGTAGGGAGCCAAAGAAATCTTCAAATTAACAATAATTCTACTCCTAAGCAAGGCAAAATAAGATAATGTGTCCTTGGAAAAAGAAAGATGAAGACATGGGTTTTGGGAACCAGGATCCAATGTAGGAGAGCGGAAAAGGGAATTCCCAGGATGAAACTGGGATGTCCAGGATTGAATCTGTGCAGTAGGCCTGTGACATCAGAGAAGGGAACAGGGGCTTTTGAAGAAATGTCTCCAAGGGGGAAAAGTAATCTGACAGCTTAATTAATATGTTTGACTTTATTTGAAGGAGCTTTTCAGTTTAATCAAAGGGTTTAGGAACGATATACACATTGGGATTCATAGACTCTTAAGTGTTTCTATTATCTACAGTTGTGTAACAAACCCCAAAGCTCAGTGGTTTAAAATCATAACTTATTGTTACCTCTCAAGCTTCTGTGGGTTGACAGGGCTTGACAGGGCTCAGCAGGGCTCACTTGAGGGCCTCTCCTGTGATTATAGGCAGATATTGCTGAGGCTGGAGTCACCTGAAAGGTCAATGGCTGAAGATACCAAATGATTCACTCACATGTCTGTGCCTGGGTGCTTCCTGGAACAGCCAGAGAATGGCCAGTCTTCCGTTTCTGTTCACACAACCTCTCCACATGCTGACTTGGGCTTCCTCACAGCATGGCTGCCAGGCATCTCTTTCTGTGCACACAGTCTCTGGACATGGTAACTTAGGCTACCTTCCACTACAGCTATGGGTGGGAGGGTAGTCTCAAGGTAGTCATAATCCATCACAGCAGCTTCCTCCAGTGTATTCAAGGCACCTGCAAAGTGCCTTGTGATGTAGCCTCAGAAGGCCCGGAAGGTCACCTCCACTACACTCTTTGGTCAAAATCTAGCTCTGATTCAAGAGGCAGACTACACAAAGGCAAGAAAACTGAAAGGTGTAGTTCATTGGAGGCCATATTTGTAAACAAGCTCCAGTATTAACTGAATAATCAAATAATACAATTACCCCAAAAAATATAATGTTAATGTGAAAGAATATGTACATATGATTGCATAGATTAGGACAATTTTTACAGGAACTAAGTAAACACTAAATATTGATTTAACTTAAAAAAATGCTGTGGTTATACTGACAGAATGGGGTTAAGGATGGCATCTGTGAGGGAAGGGAGGTGGAGTGCAGCATAGAGGACCCAGAGAGGATGATGCCAGGGAGACCAGCAGGGCCCAGAATTGAGGGGGCCCATTCTCAGGTTCACACAGGGGCAGGGCGAGCACCGAGTGACCCCTTCTTCCATTCTGCTCCAACACCGTAACTGCCTTGTATTAGTCCCTGCCTAAGCAGTGAGAGGAGTTTATTTCTGATTTTCACCTTCCATGTAAGAAATCAGTAGGCCATAATAAAATTTAAAAATTAAGGAATATGGGTACAGGGTTTCAGTTTTAGAAGATGAAAATGTCCTAGAGATGGAGGGTGGTGATGGCTGCACAACATGTGAATGTACTTAATGACAATAGGCTGTCCACTTGAAAATGGTTAAAGTGACCAATTTTATAGTATGCATATTTCACTCTCTATATAAGTAGCATCTTATCTAGCATTAAGTAAAATATTAATATATTTAAATTCATCTATTTGAATATTTTTAATGGTTTTAAAAGCTTCCAACAGAAATAAAGATACCATGGGGAGAGGAAAATCCAGGAATATCTAATAAGGTATGTTATCTAAGTAAAAAAAAAAAAAAGGTAAATAGCTAAAATGGTTGAAAATTGCCTTCTCTAGAAAGAGAGAATCAGTAGTATGGCAAGAGATTACTGTTTCTTGTTCCAACATTTGTGGCACTGTTTAAGAATTTAAGCCATTTTCATGTATTACTTTGATAAAAACAAGAACTTACAATGAAAGTTAAAACTAAATCATTTGAATAGTAGGATAAATCATCCTGGTTTCTATACTTTATCTCTAGGAAAAACAAATGACCTGGATAATCTAGAAAGGGTTAATTTAAACTTTTGACTCCATTATCTCTGCTATTTACTTTCACTTACGTGGATGCTATTTCAAGGGCCTACTCCAGAACAATGACCTTCACTCTCTGGAAGACACACCTTGGTAGATGTATAATAATTTACAGAAACAAGCAAGTTGAAGAGCACAGTACACGATTCATAAGAGCAATGGGCAGCACTTAGAAAAATAAATAAATCCTTCATGGTAAAATAAGATGCTTTTCCTCATGAATTTCAAGTTTTTTTTTTAATGACAGTTATAGTGGATATATGCATTTTACTAAGAAAAAAAGATAAAGCTTCATAAACTTGCTGAAGGAGATACCAATTATTGTGATCAGTCGTATGCCATGAATCAATCCCTAAATATCATAAATCCACTCAATAAAATGGAAGTTTACCCGAATCTAGTTGGATTTTACAACATTTGCATGGCTTGGTGAATTATACCTGAAAGAATTGTGGAGGGTTTTATTACTAACAATGTTTCTAAGTGTCACACTAGGGAAGAGCACATTCTTTCTAGAGTTGATTTACCTCATAAAAGTCTATTATCTGGGAAGAGGATTGTCAATCACAAGTTGCACTTTATTAATTACTAAGTCAAACTGAAACTTTATTCACTTAATGTGGTCACAAAAACATATTCCTACCTGAAATTGAAAGGATTTAAACACAATATAGCATCCAAATATATACATTTTATAACAGTCTATTAATATTTATCATTGTCAAAAGAACATATTTCCAGGGAGACATATAAACAAACGGTACTAAACTAAGTTATATTTGCCTGGCTTGAGTATCTGTATAATCTATTCACAAGCCTGTGTAAATTTTCAATTCCAAGGGCTATATGGTTTTCATTAATAAAGGGAAATTATACTCTTTTTTACAAAAATTTTAACTAGTAAATCTCAGTACTATTCTTCCCCTGATTAAAATGGGGCAAACACATTCCAGTCTGTCTCTCCCACTGAATACAATATTGACAATAGCAAAGAGGTGGAAGCAACTCAAATGTCCATCCAGGGATGAATGCACTGCAAATGTGGTTATTAAGCATGCAACGGAATGGTATTTAAAAAGAAGAAAATCCTATTAACTTTCTCCAAAATGAATGAACCTGGAGGACATTATACTAAGGAAAATGTACCAATCACATAAAGGCAAATAATATGTGATTCTACTTATACGGAGTATCTAAAATAGTCACATTTCTAGAGACAGAAAGTGGAATGGTCATTTCCAGAGGATAGAGAGAGGGATGAATGGGGAGTTGGTGTTGAATGGGTACAGAGCCTTAGATTTGCAGGTGAAAAATTCTGGAGATTGTTGCATACTTATGTAAAGATACTTAATACTGCTGAACTATACACTTTATTATGTATGGTTAAGATGGTAAATTGAATGTAATGTGTTTTTAACTAAAATAAATAAGTAGTAAAGGGTAGCTGGCAGATTGAGAAAGTAGACCAAAATTCCAAGTACCACAAAGCTGGTGGAGAGTTTCCCATTTTTTCTCTAATATTGCCCAGCCTAAACTCAAGGGATCCTTAAGCTCAGAAGTGGGAGCTAGAGCATGGAAACAACGAGCTCCAGGAAATGCACAGCAGAGTGGTATAATTGACACTCCAGTTTCTGGCTAGGGTGCAAGAGGACTGCTGCAAAACCAGAAATTACCAGGGAGATTGTGGAGAGGAAGTAGCATGAGAAAAGATTCCATAAACTTGTTTATGAACTCTTGGCCGCATCCTCAGGAATTGCACAAATGTGGATCTGATCCTAACTAGCAGAACAAAGCCTTTGAGAACTAAACTACAGGATAAAACAACACACAGGTCCTCGGCTGGTCCCTGGGTGGTGCATGCACAGGAAATGTCTGAATGTAATGCAAAGTCTCTGATAACTGGACTTGTATAGGAATCAAAATCCAGAGGAGGCCAGTAGGAACCTGCAGCCTGAACCCAAACACGTGTGATGTCTACCAGAACACATATATGAACTATCCTGATAAGATATAAACAAGATCCAGAGTTTCATAACATAATACCCCAAATGTCCAGGATACAATAAAAACTTACATTGCCTAAAAAGAGTCAAGAAAATCTCAACTTGCATGAGAAAAAGCAATCAACAGATATTCATGTCAGGATAACATAAACGTTGAAATTATCTGGCAGTTACTTTAAAATCATTAATACAAATGTTCCAATAAGAAAAGGTGAACATTCTTGAAACAAATGGAAAGGGAAAATGGCCCAGCAAAGGAATAGAAGATATAAAGAAGAACCAAATGTAAATTTTAGAACTGAAACATATGATAACCAAATTTTAAAAATATATTGGATGTCAAATAACACGGAAGTCAGAAAGAAGTTGATGAAATTGAAGATAGAGCAAGAAAATTACAAATCTTAACAACACCAAGAAAAAAGATGGAAAAAAATAATAGAGCTTCAAAAACTTATGGGACTAAAGTGGGCCAGCCCCTCCGCACCTGTGGGTATTTCTCATCAGGTGAGACAAGAGACTGAGAAAAGAAATGAGACACAGAGACAAAGTATAGAGAAAGAACAGTGGCCCAGGGGACCGGCGCCCAGCATACGGAGGACCCATACTGAGGCGCCAGCCTCAGTATTTATTGATCATTATTTTTACTATCTTAGCAAGGGGAGTGTAACAGGGTTTATTGATCATTATTTTTACTGTCTTAGCGAGGGGAGTGTAGCAGGGCAACAGGTGGGGAGAAGGTCAGCAGGGAAACATGTGAGCAAAGGAATCTATATCATGAATAAGTTTAAGGAAAGGTACTGTGCCCGATGTGCATGTAGGCTAGATTTATGTTTCTCTTTACCCAAACATCTCAGTGTAGCAAAGAGCAACAGAGCAGTATTGCTGCCAACATATCTTGCCTCCAGCCACAGGGCGGTTTTCTCCCATCTCAGAATAGAACGAATGGGAATGGTCAGCTTTACACGGAGACATTCCATTCCCAGGGACAAGCAGGAGACAAAAGCTTCCTCTTACCTCAACTGCAAAGAGGACTCCCTCTTTCACTACTCCTCCTCAGCACAGACCCTTTACAGGTGTCAGGCTGGGGGATGGTAAAGTCTTTCCTTTCTCATAAGGCCATATCTCAGGCTGTCTCAGTGGGGGGAAAACCTTGGACAATACTCAGGCTTTCTTGGGCACAGGTCCCTGCTGCTTTCCGCAGTGCATTGTGTCCCTGGTTAATCGAGTATGGAGAATGGTGATGACTTTTACCAAGCATACTGCCTGCAAACATATTGCTAACAAGGCACATCCTGCACAGCCCTAAATCCATTAAACTTTGATTCAATACAGCACATGTTTCTGTGAGCACAAGGTTGGGGCTAAAGTGACAGATTAACAGCATCTCAAAGCAGAACAATTTTTCTTACTACAGATCAAAATGGAGTTTCTTATGTCTTCCTTTTCTACATGAACACAGTAAAAATCTGATCTCTCTTTTCCCCACATGGGACAATAACAATCTAACAATGGAGTCATTGAAGTCCCACAAGAAAAAAAGTGGAGTGAAGAAAATAATATTTCAAGAGATAATGATTAAAAATTTCCCAAATTGAGCCAAAGGTTTGAAAATTACAGGTAAAAGCCCAGCAAATGCCAAACCAGATGAACTCAAATAGTTCCACATCTAGACACATCATAAAAAACTACTGAAAAATAAACACATAGGAAATGGTCCTAAATGCAGCCAGAGAAAAATAATGCATTACTATTTTGTTTGTATGACCTTGGATTTCACACCAAAAACCAGGAAGGCCAGAGGGAAGAGGAACAGTTTTTGTTAAATGTGTTGAAGGAAAAAAACTGCCAATTCAGAACCTATATGCAGTAAAAATATTCTTCAGGAATAAAACTGAATGTAGACACTCTCAGATGAAGGAAAATCACCAGAATGTATTGCCAGGATCCTGCTGTAAAGAAAGTACTAATGTCAGAGGTTAGGGATTTGGCAGGAGGGAAGTGAGTAGGATTATAAGAGGGCAACATAGGAAATCCTCGTGCTGTGGCACTGTTTTGTATCTTGACTCTGTGCCCGCATGAACCTATAAAGACAATAAAATTGTATGTAACTTACACACTCACATATACACACTGTCACACAGATGCGTGCAAGTGAACTGGGGAAATCTGAAGGAGACGAGTGGCTTGCATCATTGTCAAGCACACCACATACCTACCACACCACACACACACACACGCACTCACACACACTCATATATTATATACTGTCTCCCCACTTCCCTGTCCCAGCAATCAAGAGACAGACTTTGAACCCTGCCCTCAGCAGCCATGAATGCACCCCACCAAATCCTTCCGTCACATCCACCCACGTTATTTTGCATTTGATTGGTCCTTCAGTGAGACCAATGGTCAGAAAGTCAGCAAAATGTTACATTGGAGGAAAATGGGCAAAGTATACAAAATACTTCTCTGTAGTGCTTCTTCCAACTACATTTTAATCTACAATGATTAATAAAATGTTAATTTTAAAATGTAATTTTTTTTTAAAAAAGTAAAAGAACAGTAACTGTCCAAGAGGCTGTCCAAAAGGAGCCTGGGGAGGCATGGTAACTGAATGCAATGCTGTATCCTGGATTCGACCCTGTGACAACAACACAGACAGACAGAAGTTAAAACAAAGGAAATCTGAATAAGTTACAGATATTAATAATTATGTATCATATGGACTCATTAAGTGTAACAAATCTACCATACTCATGTATGACATTAATGATAAGAAAAACTGTGTTTGTGGGTGGGGGGGGTTGTATATGGGAATTGTCTAACATCTTAGCAATTTTTCTGTAAATCTGAAATTGCTCTAAAATAAAAAGTTTATTTAAAAAAATAAATGGATATATATGGGCCGGGCATGGTGGCTCATGCCTGTAATCTCAGCACTTTGGGAGGCCAAGGTGGGCGAATCACCTGAGGTCAGGAGTTTGAGACCAGCCTGGCCAACATGATGAAACCCCCTCTCTACTAAAAATACAAAAAAATATTAGCCGGGAGTGATGGCGCGCACTTGTAATCCCAGCTACTCGGGAGGCTGAGGCAGGAGAATCACTTGAACCCAGGAGGCGGAGATTGCAGTGAGCTGATATCACACCACTGCACCAGCCTGGGCAACAAGATTGAAATTCTGTCTCAAAATATAAAATAAAAAATATATAGACTGGGTGTGGTGGCTCACGCCTCTAATCCTAGCACTTTGGGAGGCCAAGGTGGGCAGATCACGAGGTCAGGAGATCGAGACCATCCTGGCTAACATGGTGAAACCCCGTCTCTACTAAAAACACAAAAAAATTAGCCAGGCGTGGTGGTGGGTGCCTGTAGTCCCAGCTACTTGGGAGGCTGAGGCAGGAGAATGGCGTGAACCCGCGAGGCGGAGCTTGAAGTGAGCAGAGATGGCACCACTGCACTCCAGCCTGGGTGACAGAGCAAGACTCTGTCTCAAAAATAAATAAATAAAAAATAAAAATAAAAAAATTTATATTTTTTCTAAAAACAATCTTGCGTGGCTATACTAATATCAGACTAAGTAGACTTTAGAGAAAAGAAATTATCCAGGACAAAATGGGATAGTATATAATAATAAAAGTGTCAATTCACCAAAAAAAACTATTGTAGCCATCCTAAATGGGACACACCTGACAACAGAGCTTCAAAACACATGGAGCAAAAACTGGAAGAACAGAAAGGATAAATAGTCAAATCCACAATGGTGAGAAATGCCCACATTCCTCTCTCAGTAAATTGATAGAACTAGTACACAAATATTATTAGCAGTTCTACTCAGGATTACCGAAAACTGAATCCTTTACATGACATTCTCAAAAAGACAAAGTTATCGTGACAGATAAAAGATCGGTGGTTGCCAAGGCTTAGGGGACGGGGGAGGATATGATTAGAAAGGGGTTGTACAAGGGACTCTGGCGGTGGTCCTGTCCTGTATCCTGATTGTGGTTGTGGGTACATGATACTGTGCAATGTGCTAAAATTCATGGAACCCTACATCCAATAAAGGTCAATGGTATTATTTAATAATTCAAACATTTTTTAAAATGTTAATACAATTGGACAGAAGCTGCCTTCATACAGAGTAATTCTAAATTGTTTGACCTGCCTGGCATCTAGTAGGCACAGAGCAGAGGCTCAACAAACACTAGTGCACTCACTACTCACTCTGCCCATTCCATCAAGGTCGATGAAATATTAAGGTTCTTTCCAGCTTCTTTTGCTTTCCCTGGGGGACCTCTCTCACTCCTGGGCTTTCAATGCCATCCACATTAACATTACATATAATAATAAAATACTACGATTCTGCAAGAAGAGGCATTCTTAGATTGGGTTGGCTTATTCTATTTCAAAGGGTGGGGAAGGAGACAAGGTGAGGAAGCAACCACTGGGTTAAGAATGAGTTCCCTCCCCTCTCCCCCTCCATTCCTCTTCCTTCCTCTCGCCCTTCTTCCCCTTCTTCCTTCCTCCCTTCCTCCTGCCCTTTCTTGTTTCCTTCCTTCCTTCCTATGTTTATTTTCGTAAAGACAGCTGACTTTCTGGCCATTGCTCTCACTGAAGAAGGACCAATCAAATGGAAAATAACGTGGGTGGATGTGAGTGAAGGATTTGGTGGGGTGGAGCCGTGGCTGCTGAGGGCAGGGTTCAAAGTCTTTCTCTTGGTTGCTGGGACAGGGAAGTGGGGAGACAGTATATAACATGTGTGTGTGGTGGGGGGGTAGGTATGTGGTGTGCTTGTGTGTGTGATGTGTATGTGTGGTGTGTGTAGCATATACATATGTGTGTGGCATGTATCTGTATGTAGGGTTTGTCTGTGTGCAGTATGTCTGTGTGTGTGGTGCATGTTTGTGTGGGGTGGGTGTGTGGTGTGTGATATGTGTCTGTGTGTGTTGTGCATGTGGTACACATATATGGTGTGTGTGTGGTGTATATGTTTGTGTTGTGTTTGTATGTGCTGTGTGTTGTGGTATTTCTGTGTGTATGGTGTGAATGTGTGGCATGTATGGTGTGGTGTATGTGGTATGTGTGTTTGTGGTGTATGCGCTGTTTGTGTGTGGTGTGGGTGTTGTGTGTATAGTGTATTGTGTGTGGTGTGTGGTGTGTTCGTGTACATGTGTGGTGTGTGGTATACATGTGTGTTGTGTGTGTATTGTATGTGGTGTGTGTGTAGTATGTGTGTGGTGTGTGTGTGTGGTCCGTGCATGTGCATTGTATGGTGTGCGTGTTGTGTGTGGTATGTTGTATGTAGTGTGTATGCGTGCATGGTGTGTTTGTGTGTGGTGTGTGTGGTATATGTGTGTGTGGTTTGTGCATGTGTATTGTGTGGTGAGTGTGTGTGGTATGTTTGTGTGTACAGGATGCTCCTGTGGAGGAAGAGTTGGACCCATGAACTCTGGGGATAATCCTCTAGCTCATGGTTGGCTTTTGTTGTGCTTTGCGGTGTATTTCCCTTCCACTGATGCCAAAGACCCATTAATGTTTTTGATCAGGCTTTCGGTCAGGTGTTAGCATACAGTGGAGGACTCAGGAAGGGGCCTGTGTCTACTACTGATGTCGTGCAGGAGACTTCCTTATGTCCGACACCCTCCTCTACAGCCAGTGTAGGAAGCCATGAAGTGGAGGAAACATTTGCAAGGCGATGATGCTCCAGGTGTCTCACGACTCCCATCAAGACTGAGGAGAGGGCCAGAGTGCACACCATGGTTTGGGCAGCTGGAGGAAATGCATGACTTCCTCCCATGCCCACCTCAGATACAGGAAGAAGTAAGCAACTGGCCAGATTGGAGACAGGCTGTAAGGTGCAGCCAGCCGACTATGAGCTGCCCACACAGGAAAACGGCAGCTCCGAGGTGGTTAAACGTACCTGGGTTCCAGTGCCTGTCTTTGCTACTTACTAGCTGCGGGATCTTGGCCAAGTTAACTTCTTCTCTGTGCTTCAATATATTCATTTGTAAACAGAGACGGTAATGAGGGTCCACTACCTTTTTAGGTAGTTATGAAAAATAAGTGGGTTAACGTGCAGCAAATGGGTCAGAAGAGTCCTGAAACTCTATTACTTGTATTATTGTTTTGCAATCATAACTCTGATTTTAAATCTTTTTTTTTTTTTTTTTGAGCCAGAGTCTTGCTCTGTGGCCCAGGCTGGAGTGCAATGGCGCCATCTCGGCTCACTGCAACCTCCGCCATCCAGGTTCAGGCGCTTCTCCTGCCACAGCCTCCCAAGTAGCTGGGGTTACAGGCATGTACTGCCACGCCTGGCTACTTTTTTGTATTTTTAGTAGGGATGGGGTTTCACTGTGTTGCCCAGGCTGGTGTCCAACTCCTGAGCTCAGGCAATCAGCCGCCTCACCCATCCAAAGTGCTGGTGTGTCCGGAGTTTGTTCCTTCTGGTGGGTTCACGGTCTCGCTGACTTCAAGAATGAAGGTTACAGCTCTTAAAGATGGCACAGAACCAAAGAGTTAGCCGCAGCAAGATTTACTGTGAACAGCAAAAGAACAAACCTTTCACGGCAGGGAAGAGGACTTGAGCGGGTTGTCACTGCTGGCTGGGGTGGCCAGCTTTTATTCCCTTATTTGTCCCTGCCCATGTCCTGCTGATTGGTCCATTTTACAGAGCGCTGATTGGTCCATTCTACAGAGCACTGATTGGTCCATTTTACAAACCTCTAGCTAGCTACAGAGTGCTGATTGGTGCGTTTTACAATCCTAGCTACAGAGTGCTGACTGGTGCATTTTACAATCCTCTTGTAAGACAGAAAAGTTTTCCAAGTCCCCACTCGACCCAGAAGTCCAGGTGGCTTCACCTCTCAGTGGGATTACGTTAACTCTTTATTTATAACTCAGTTTCTTAGTCTCCCCTTACTAACTTGTGAGCTCCTTAGAGGAGGAAACAATGTGTTCTTTTTCTTTGTATGTCGACTTTTAATTATTGCCGGCATTTGGAAGGTGATCAGTAGAAATGGACTAAGTGTCAATTGTATTATTGTAATATGGATTGTACGGGCATCTATGTATATGTGTAATGTGTGATGTGTACATATTACATATATGGAATATGCATTGACTGTTATATTTCAATAAGGGATGATTGTCAACAGATTAATCTCACACTGCCTGAGTTTGTCTTTTTAAATGATGGGCTCTGAGTTAGCCAGTGCGGTGGAAACATACCCCCACCTCCAACATCCTGCTGTCACAGGGGTGTTCACTTTCTGAGACAGGATGGGCTGGTCTGGCCTGCCAGTTTCCCATGAATGATGAAAGCTGTGGATCCTTCATTGACATTTTCTATGTTCCAATCCGAGATCGATATCTCTTGTGCACTGCATTCATCCCTCCTTTATCAGAACAGCAAAGACTAAACCAGGAAGAAGCAAAGACAATGAGCCAGGCAATTCTCTCTCTCTATGAGATGATGCTAGAACCTTGGGTGCAGAGTGCACATTTATTAATAATATCTAAATGTCTGTAGGTGTGCAGCTATTTTTTCTTACAAAAATGGGAATGAGATTTAGAGCTTGCCACTGCAATGCAGCTGTCCTCATTGTTCCCTTAGCTCTTTGTAGACTCCCATGTTTTAAAGTCAGCCTCATTGACTTTTCCTTGCCTACCACCTGCTAACAAATTCTCTAGAAGAACTAAGAATCCGTTGTTGCACTGCCTTGGAAATCAATCCAATTAGATCATTCAGCAACTCTCAGAGAATAAAATACTGAATGCTTTTTTAAAATTTATTTTGAATAAACGAAGGTTTTATATCTTTATGGTATACAATATTATGTCTTGATATATGTATACCTTGTGGAATGGCTAAATCAAGCTCATTAACATATGTAGCTTATATATTTATCTTTTCCTTTTGTGGTGAGAACACTTAAAATTACTCTCAACCATTTTCAAAAAATATAATTTTTATTAACTATAGTCACCATAATGTACAGTAGATCTCTTAAACCTTACTAAAAATTTGTTATCTTTTGACTGTCTCCGCAATCCCCCCAGCCCTCGGAATTTTTGCAATTCACATTTTTCATTACTACTTTTTCTTTTCCTATGCAATAAAGTGATTACAGATTTTTAGAGAATCATGCACGTGTGCATTTGGCTCTAGTTCTTACAGAACTAAAAAAATCAGAATCTCTGAGGATAGAACCGAAGATGGATGGATAGATAGATAGATGATAGATGGATAGATAGATAGATAGATAGATAGGCAGTATGCTCATTAAGTGAGTGACTTGCCTTAAAGTCTGGGAAGGAAGAGAGGGAATTCATGTGTTGAAAAGACTCTTGGAGTCCCTGAGGTGGAATTTAAAATTAATTTCCTACACAGATACTTTTCCTCATGGAAACAAGTTCTTTTCATAAGTCTTTCAGGTCCACTTTAAAATCTTGTTTTTCTATTCATAAAACTAATAACTGTTTAAAATAATAGTGATTTATTTTTCTGACTAATTAATTTATATAGCTATTTAAGAAATTAAGTTCCCCTAAACAAGTAACCTTGACTATGAAAGTTTTTAAATAAATTTTCTTAAAATATTAAAACCATATGGACAAGTAATTTGACCCTGTAATGGTAGACCCAGATAGTTCATTACTGATATCTTGGTATGGCATCCATGGTTTTTCTGTCATTTGGGGGTTTTAGAGATGTCATTGCATAATATAAGACTCAGTTCTGACCATTTCTAAGGCACCACGCTGCCCTCCTATTTCATTTCAGATTCTTCCCCCAACCCCTCACTGGTGTGGTTGGGGTAGGGTTGCTCTGAAGTGGCCAGTCCTTCTCCCTCTAGGCGCCTGCTCCTCCAGGCCAGGAGCAGGGAGGAGGGCTCTGGAAGGAGGCAGTGAGTGCCTCACATGGCTGCTCGCCTGCTAGGGGATGGAGGTGGTCCTAGTCCTTCTCTGTTTCCTACTGGGTCTGTGTGATGTCACAAGCGTCTACTGATGTGCAGTGTGACAGCACAGTGCTGATGCCCTCCCCACTAGGATGCCTTCCAGAGAGGCAGTCACGGCTCTCTTTGGCCTGACCAGAGCATACACACCCCAACTCCTTCTTCTAGTTGGATACCCCATTTGTGTGTTCAGTTCTGAGTTTCTCTTCTGCACTGTCCTGTGCTTTTGTAGAACTGGGAAGGGAGGAGTGATACCCCCATCTTCCCTGGCACATATTTATCATCCTTCAGATCCTCCTAATACAGCCTCCTCCAGAACACTGTGACCTTCAGCAATCTTGAGACAGTGCATTGTCAGTAGCCTTAGTGTTGAATGCCACCAAGCCCCAAGCGATGCAGGTCAAGCTCCCCATGAACTCCATCGCCGGGCTACTTCATGTCTTGGCACCAGAGACTTACAGATCCCAGTAGTCAGCAAGAACTCAGCTGAGGATGGAGGTGCCAGTCTCTGCTTCTTGCAGAACACTCTGATGTTGACAAGTGATTTTCTCAATGTTCCAACAGGGCCACAGGGAGAAAACACTTCCCTTTCTCCCCTTCCATGACATGGAGAGGAACAAGAATGGCCTCCAACTGTGAACACAGCATGCCCCTCACTGTAGCCCACTTCCCAGTCTCCCTTTTATTTCGTCTAGAAGCCAGGCATGAAGCTCTGATCTATAATCTGTGAATAAACTCTTGGGAAAGCGGCTGCTTCCGTGCACTGGCTGTTCTCGTGAAATACAGAGTGGTTTTTGCCTTTAGCCTCAGCCTTATCTATCATTTCAAGACAACATGAGAAATCCCAGTAGACGTTATGCTAAAGAATTGAGTCAAATTCTTATAGCTTTCAAACCGATATCGCAAATCTAATATCAATTACCTAGTTTACATTTAAGTCACAATTCTAATTTGACAGATTATCCAGTAGCTTTGATACATTCAAATAATGTAAGTAACAATTACACAGACAGTATCCCAATGGAGATCATGCATGCCCCTAAAGTTAACACAGTGGAAACAATGCCTTTAATTGGAATAACTTCATCAGTTCCATATTCTTATGCCTTCTGAGAGTTATAAACTAAAAAGAGACTTGCCATCTTATGTGGGCTGAGGTTCCTACTCCACGGGGTGATGATAAGTTTATTTACAGGCAGATTTTGTGCTGCGATGAACTTGGAAGCTTCTCACTCTCGGTATAATTCTTCCTAAGCTGCAGATGGACATGCCCCTTCTTATAGCTCACCCTTCTGTTCTGTCAAAGGGAAACGCTCAGCTCATGCCTTTACTCAGGGTTTAATTTCACAACCCAATGCATTCTGTACACCAGGTAACATTTTCAACTTCGTGCTTATCCAATTCTTATTGTAATCTCTCCTGAATTTGGTTAGATAAAAACATGCACCTCTATCTAAGGCGCAGTTATCCTCCATGACTCGATGCAATTCAACTGACCTCTTTACTGCAGTAATTACAGGTTGCATTCTTCTTTCTAATTTCTTGTCTAGTATAATTTGTTGTCATCTTGTCTATTGCTTGCACACCACAGTTTGACAGAAATCACATTAGATATTTTGTGTACCTATTAAACCATTGATTAAAACTGATATTTAGGTAGTGGCAATCTGAAAATATCAGTAGCCTTTGGTTCACCTTCTTATCCAAATTAATTCTATTTAGTCAGAGTGTGATGCTAATAGAGACAGGCCCATGGCCAGATCTTGCTGCTACACACAGCTTCCTCTTGAAGAATGTAGTATAATAATTCAGTCACAAATCTAGCCTGTAAATATGTTTTCTTTCACCCACCTAGTGTTTTAAACATGTCTAAATTGGACCCCAGGTGACCACAGTTCCCTTCATGGCATTTTTGACTCTTTTAAGTGTCTGGCAGCCTGCTACTTACAGGAATTTCACTTTGTGACTCTCAGATTATGACGGAAAGTAGACATTACTGGTTTTCACACTTCAGTGTATGTAAGAATGACTTTGAAGAGCTCTTCATATATAAATTTTCTGTATTCTAAGGCAGTAGATTTGGAGTGGGGCTTGGAAACACATTTTTAAACTAAAATATCAGGGGATTCTGATGTCAGTTGTCAACAGAGCAAACTGCAGAAAAATTCTGCAGCACAGGCTTTGGACTTGAACAGATCTGATTAGAATTTTTATCTTCTGAGTTATTTGCTTACTGTCCTAGTGTCCTTGAGTATATTATTTCAACATGACACAGAAGCCACTAATTTCTTTGGAACTACGTAGGGCAACATGACCTCTCCATCTTCATTCTAGGAGGATGACGCTTGCTATTTTACAAACAAAGTAGGAACAATTTTAGGAAATTTTCTACCTCCTCCCCATCATACCCACTGTTTTCTGCTGCCTTAGCATTAAACTCCTGAAAGACTTAATTATAAATGCAGTCTTGCTTTCCTCTCCTTCTATTCTCTCCTAAACCCACCATGATCATGTTTATTTGACCATGGCATCAGTAAAAATCTAAAGAATGGTTTTTAGTACTCTTTTACTGTTTTTAAGCAGTATTTGACACAGTTAATCATTTCATTCTATTTTTAAGTATAATTTGGAAATATATATGTAAGTATATATGTCAATATAATACACACATACATATACTTTCCTAGAGACATATATTTTGTACATAAACATGTTTTAAAGTATGAAAGAATGTATAAAACACAACAATTACCTTGGTTTTCTTTTAGGAGTGGTTGGCATTGATAATTTGGGAAAAAGGCACTTTGGCTTATCTGTAACTTTACTTTGATAAAGAGAATAGGTTCATACATTATTTCTGCAATTAAAAATGCTTTCGATGCTGAGAAAACCAAAGCTTTCCCACTAAGATCAGAAACAAGGCAAGGATATCCCCTGTCACCACTGCTTCTCAATATCATACCAAAAGTCCTAGCTAATGCAATAAAACAAGAAAGGGGATAAAAGGTATACTGATTGAAAAGAAAGAAAGAAAACCCTCTTTGTTTGCAGATGATGTAATCTTTATGCAGAAAATCTGGAAGAATCAACAACAACAAAAAGCCTGGCAATAAGAAGCAATTTTTTTTTTATTTTATTTTATTTTATTTTTTTATTATACTCTAAGTTTTAGGGTACATGTGCACATTGTGCAGGTTAGTTACATATGTATACATGTGCCATGCTGGTGCGCTGCACCCACTAATGTGTCATCTAGCATTAGGTATATCTCCCAATGCTATCTCTCCCCCCTCCCCCGACCCCACCACAGTCCCCAGAGTGTGATATTCCCCTTCCTGTGTCCATGTGATCTCATTGTTCAATTCCCACCTATGAGTGAGAATATGCGGTGTTTGGTTTTTTGTTCTTGCGATAGTTTACTGAGAATGATGGTTTCCAATTTCATCCATGTCCCTACAAAGGATATGAACTCATCATTTTTTATGGCTGCATAGTATTCCATGGTGTATATGTGCCACATTTTCTTAATCCAGTCTATCATTGTTGGACATTTGGGTTGGTTCCAAGTCTTTGCTATTGTGAATAGTGCCGCAATAAACATACGTGTGCATGTGTCTTTATAGCAGCATGATTTATACTCATTTGGGTATATACCCAGTAATGGGATGGCTGGGTCAAATGGTATTTCTAGTTCTAGATCCCTGAGGAGTCGCCACACTGACTTCCACAATGGTTGACCTAGTTTACAGTCCCACCAACAGTGTAAAAGTGTTCCTATTTCTCCACATCCTCTCCAGCACCTGTTGTTTCCTGACTTTTTAATGATTGCCATTCTAACTGGTGTGAGATGATATCTCATAGTGGTTTTGATTTGCATTTCTCTGATGGCCAGTGATGATGAGCATTTCTTCATGTGTTTTTTGGCTGCATAAATGTCTTCTTTTGAGAAGTGTCTGTTCATGTCCTTCGCCCACTTTTTGATGGGGTTGTTTGTTTTTTTCTTGTAAATTTGTTTGAGTTCATTGTAGATTCTGGATATTAGCCCTTTGTCAGATGAGTAGGTTGCGAAAATTTTCTCCCATGTTGTAGGTTGCCTGTTCACTCTGATGGTAGTTTCTTTTGCTGTGCAGAAGCTCTTTAGTTTAATTAGATCCCATTTGTCAATTTTGTCTTTTGTTGCCATTGCTTTTGGTGTTTTGGACATGAAGTCCTTGCCCACGCCTATGTCCTGAATGGTAATGCCTAGGTTTTCTTCTAGGGTTTTTATGGTTTTAGGTTTAACGTTTAAATCTTTAATCCATCTTGAATTGATTTTTGTATAAGGTGTAAGGAAGGGATCCAGTTTCAGCTTTCTACATATGGCTAGCCAGTTTTCCCAGCACCATTTATTAAATAGGGAATCCTTTCCCCATTGCTTGTTTTTCTCAGGTTTGTCAAAGATCAGATAGTTGTAGATATGCGGCATTATTTCTGAGGGCTCTGTTCTGTTCCATTGATCTATATCTCTGTTTTGGTACCAGTACCATGCTGTTTTGGTTACTGTAGCCTTGTAGTATAGTTTGAAGTCAGGTAGTGTGATGCCTCCAGCTTTGTTCTTTTGGCTTAGGATTGACTTGGCAATGCGGGCTCTTTTTTGGTTCCATATGAACTTTAAAGTAGTTTTTTCCAATTCTGTGAAGAAAGTCATTGGTAGCTTGATGGGGATGGCATTGAATCTGTAAATTACCTTGGGCAGTATGGCCATTTTCACGATATTGATTCTTCCTACCCATGAGCATGGAATGTTCTTCCATTTGTTTGTGTCCTCTTTTATTTCCTTGAGCAGTGGTTTGTAGTTCTCCTTGAAGAGGTCCTTCACATCCCTTGTAAGTTGGATTCCTAGGTATTTTATTCTCTTTGAAGCAATTGTGAATGGGAGTTCACCCATGATTTGGCTCTCTGTTTGTCTGTTGTTGGTGTATAAGAATGCTTGTGATTTTTGTACATTGATTTTGTATCCTGAGACTTTGCTGAAGTTGCTTATCAGCTTAAGGAGATTTTGGGCTGAGACGATGGGGTTTTCTAGATAAACAATCATGTCGTCTGCAAACAGGGACAATTTGACTTCCTCTTTTCCTAATTGAATACCCTTTATTTCCTTCTCCTGCCTGATTGCCCTGGCCAACACTTCCAACACTATGTTGAATAGGAGCGGTGAGAGAGGGCATCCCTGTCTTGTGCCAGTTTTCAAAGGGAATGCTTCCAGTTTTTGCCCATTCAGTATGATATTGGCTGTGGGTTTGTCATAGATAGCTCTTACTATTTTGAAATACGTCCCATCAATACCTAATTTATTGAGAGTTTTTAGCATGAAGGGTTGTTGAATTTTGTCAAAGGCTTTTTCTGCATCTATTGAGATAATCATGTGGTTTTTGTCTTTGGCTCTGTTTATATGCTGGATTACATTTATTGATTTGCGTATATTGAACCAGCCTTGCATCCCAGGGATGAAGCCCACTTGATCATGGTGGATAAGCTTTTTGATGTGCTGCTGGATTCGGTTTGCCAGTATTTTATTGAGGATTTTTGCATCAATGTTCATCAAGGATATTGGTCTAAAATTCTCTTTTTTGGTTGTGTCTCTGCCCGGCTTTGGTATCAGAATGATGCTGGCCTCATAAAATGAGTTAGGGAGGATTCCCTCTTTTTCTATTGATTGGAATAGTTTCAGAAGGAATGGTACCAGTTCCTCCTTGTACCTCTGGTAGAATTCGGCTGTGAATCCATCTGGTCCTGGACTCTTTTTGGTTGGTAAACTATTGATTATTGCCACAATTTCAGAGCCTGTTATTGGTCTATTCAGAGATTCAACTTCTTCCTGGTTTAGTCTTGGGAGAGTGTATGTGTCGAGGAATGTATCCATTTCTTCTAGATTTTCTAGTTTATTTGCGTAGAGGTGTTTGTAGTATTCTCTGATGGTAGTTTGTATTTCTGTGGGATCGGTGGTGATATCCCCTTTATCATTTTTTATTGTGTCTATTTGATTCTTCTCTCTTTTTTTCTTTATTAGTCTTGCTAGCGGTCTATCAATTTTGTTGATCTTTTCAAAAAACCAGCTCCTGGATTCATTGATTTTTTGAAGGGTTTTTTGTGTCTCTATTTCCTTCAGTTCTGCTCTGATTTTAGTTATTTCTTGCCTTCTGCTAGCTTTTGAATGTGTTTGCTCTTGCTTTTCTAGTTCTTTTAATTGTGATGTTAGGGTGTCAATTTTGGATCTTTCCTGCTTTCTCTTGTAGGCATTTAGTGCAATAAATTTCCCTCTACACACTGCTTTGAATGCGTCCCAGAGATTCTGGTATGTGGTGTCTTTGTTCTCATTGGTTTCAAAGAACATCTTTATTTCTGCCTTCATTTCGTTATGTACCCAGTAGTCATTCAGGAGCAGGTTGTTCAGTTTCCATGTAGTTGAGCGGCTTTGAGTGAGATTCTTAATCCTGAGTTCTAGTTTGATTGCACTGTGGTCTGAGAGATAGTTTGTTATAATTTCTGTTCTTTTACATTTGCTGAGGAGAGCTTTACTTCCAACTATGTGGTCAATTTTGGAATAGGTGTGGTGTGGTGCTGAAAAAAATGTATATTCTGTTGATTTGGGGTGGAGAGTTCTGTAGATGTCTATTAGGTCGGCTTGGTGCAGAGCTGAGTTCAATTCCTGGGTATCCTTGTTGACTTTCTGTCTCGTTGATCTGTCTAATGTTGACAGTGGGGTGTTAAAGTCTCCCATTATTAATGTGTGGGAGTCTAAGTCTCTTTGTAGGTCACTGAGGACTTGCTTTATGAATCTGGGTGCTCCTGTATTGGGTGCATAAATATTTAGGATAGTTAGCTCCTCTTGTTGAATTGATCCCTTTACCATTATGTAATGGCCTTCTTTGTCTCTTTTGATCTTTGTTGGTTTAAAGTCTGTTTTATCAGAGACTAGGATTGAAACCCCTGCCTTTTTTTGTTTTCCATTGGCTTGGTAGATCTTCCTCCATCCTTTTATTTTGAGCCTATGTGTGTCTCTGCACGTGAAATGGGTTTCCTGAATACAGCACACTGGTGGGTCTTGACTCTTTATCCAACTTGCCAGTCTGTGTCTTTTAATTGCAGAATTTAGTCCATTTATATTTAAAGTTAATATTGTTATGTGTGAATTTGATCCTGTCATTATGATGTTAGCTGGTGATTTTGCTCATTAGTTGATGCAGTTTCTTCCTAGTCTCGATGGTCTTTACATTTTGGCATGATTTTGCAGCGGCTGGTACCGGTTGTTCCTTTCCATGTTTAGCGCTTCCTTCAGGAGCTCTTTTAGGGCAGGCCTGGTGGTGACAAAATCTCTCAGCATTTGCTTGTCTATAAAGTATTTTATTTCTCCTTCACTTATGAAGCTTAGTTTGGCTGGATATGAAATTCTGGGTTGAAAATTCTTTTCTTTAAGAATGTTGAATATTGGCCCCCACTCTCTTCTGGCTTGTAGGGTTTCTGCCGAGAGATCCGCTGTTAGTCTGATGGGCTTTCCTTTGAGGGTAACCCGACCTTTCTCTCTGGCTGCCCTTAACATTTTTTCCTTCATTTCAACTTTGGTGAATCTGACCATTATGTGTCTTGGAGTTGCTCTTCTCGAGGAGTATCTTTGTGGCGTTCTCTGTATTTCCTGAATCTGAACGTTGGCCTGCCTTGCTAGATTGGGGAAGTTCTCCTGGATAATATCCTGCAGAGTGTTTTCCAACTTGGTTCCATTCTCCACATCACTTTCAGGTACACCAATCAGACGTAGATTTGGTCTTTTCACATAGTCCCATATTTCTTGGAGGCTTTGCTCATTTCTTTTTATTCTTTTTTCTCTAAACTTCCCTTCTCGCTTCATTTCATTCATTTCATCTTCCATTGCTGATACCCTTTCTTCCAGTTGATCGCATCGGCTCCTGAGGCTTCTGCATTCTTCACGTAGTTCTCGAGCCTTGGTTTTCAGCTCCATCAGCTCCTTTAAGCACTTCTCTGTATTGGTTATTCTAGTTATACATTCTTCTAAATTTTTTTCAAAGTTTTCAACTTCTTTGCCTTTGGTTTGAATGTCCTCCCGTAGCTCAGAGTAATTTGATCGTCTGAAGCCTTCTTCTCTCAGCTCGTCAAAATCATTCTCCATCCAGCTTTGTTCTGTTGCTGGTGAGGAACTGCGTTCCTTTGGAGGAGGAGAGGCACTCTGCGTTTTAGAGTTTCCAGTTTTTCTGTTCTGTTTTTTCCCCATCTTTGTGGTTTTATCTACTTTTGGTCTTTGATGATGGTGATGTACAGATGGGTTTTCGGTGTAGATGTCCTTTCTGGTTGTTAGTTTTCCTTCTAACAGACAGGACCCTCAGCTGCAGGTCTGTTGGAATACCCTGCCGTGTGAGGTGTCAGTGTGCCCCTGCTGGGGGGTGCCTCCCAGTTAGGCTGCTCGGGGGTCAGGGGTCAGGGACCCACTTGAGGAGGCAGTCTGCCCGTTCTCAGATCTCCAGCTGCGTGCTGGGAGAACCACTGCTCTCTTCAAAGCTGTCAGACAGGGACACTTAAGTCTGTAGAGGTTACTGCTGTCTTTTTGTTTGTCTGTGCCCTGCCCCCAGAGGTGGAGCCTACAGAGGCAGGCAGGCATCCTTGAGCTGTGGTGGGCTCCACCCAGTTCGAGCTTCCCGGCTGCTTTGTTTACCTAAGCAAGCCTGGGCAATGGCGGGCGCCCCTCCCCCAGCCTCGTTGCCGCCTTGCAGTTTGATCTCAGACTGCTGTGCTAGCAATCAGCGAGATTCAGTGGGCGTAGGACCCTCTGAGCCAGGTGTGGGATATAGTCTCGTGGTGCGCTGTTTCTTAAGCCGGTCTGAAAAGCGCAATATTTGGGTGGGAGTGACCTGATTTTCCAGGTGCGTCCGTCACCCCTTTCTTTGACTCGGAAAGGGAACTCCCTGACCCCTTGCGCTTCCCAGGTGAGGCAATGCCTCGCCCTGCTTCGGCTCGTGCACGGTGCGCACACACACTGGCCTGCGCCCACTGTCTGGCACTCCCTAGTGAGATGAACCCGGTACCTCAGATGGAAATGCAGTAATCACCCGTCTTCTGCGTCGCTCACGCTGGGAGCTGTAGACCGGAGCTGTTCCTATTCGGCCATCTTGGCTCCTCCTCAATAAGAAGCAATTATAGCAAGGTGCAAGATTAATATACAAAAGTCAAACACTTTTCTATGGATCAGCAATAAATACATAAAATTTGAAATTAAAAACATATTACTATGTACATTTGCACCCCTAATAATGAAATTCTTAGGTATAAGCTGTAAAAAATATGTATAAGATCTATATGAGAAAGACTACAAAAAGATGATAAAAGAAACCACAGAATAACTAAATTAATGAAGAGATATTCTGTGTTCATGGAAAGAAAGAGTCAATATTGTCAAGATGTCAGTTCTTCCCAACTTCTTTCTAGAGACATATATTTTGTACATAAACACGTTTTAAAGTGTGAAAGACTATATCAAACACAACAATTACCTTGGTTTTCTTTTAGGAGTGGTTAGCATTGACAATTTGGGAAAAAAGGCACTTTGGCTTATCTGTAACTTTACTTTGATAAACAGAATAGGCTCATACATTATTTCTGCAATTAAAAATGCTTTCTATAGATTCAATGCAATTTTCATCAGAGTCACAGAAAGTAATTTTGTGAATATCAGGAAATTAATTTTAAAGTTTATTTGCTTTTAATTTTAATTTTAAAGTGTATATGCTTTAAATTTTAATTTTAAAGTTTATATGTTAAATTTTAAAGTTTATACAGTTTATATAAAAAGGAAAAGGACTCAGAATATTGAAGGAGGAGAATAAAGTTGTGGGACTGATACTGCACAACTTCAGGACTTACACTGATCAAGACCATGTGGTACTGGCAAAAGAAGATCCAAATAGATCAATGGAACAGAATAATAACAAGCCCAAAAATAAACCCACATAAATACAGTCAAATGATCTTTCACAAAGGGGCAAATATAATAAAGCAATGGAGAAAACACAGTCTTTTCAACAATTGGTGCTGGAACACTTGGACATTTACATGCAAAAAAATAAATAATGAGTCTTGACACAGACACCCTTCACAAAATTAACTCAAAATGAATCACATAAATAAGTATAAAAGACAAGACTATAACACTTCTCAAGGGTAACTTAGAAGAAAATCCAGATGACTTTAATTTTTGTGATAACTTTTTAGATAAATCACCAAAAGCATAATCCATGGAAGAATTTATAACCTGACTTCATTAAAATAAACAAAGTCTACTCTGTAAAATACACTGTCAAGAGAATAAAAAGACAAGCCACACACTTGGAAACAATACTTGTAAAAGAGACATCTGATAAAGGATTGTTATCCAAATATACAAAGAATTTTTAAAACTCAACAATAAGAAAAAAATCTGGTTTAAAAATGGGCCAAAGACCTTAACAGACACCTCAACAAAGAAGAGATACAGATGGTACATAAGCATATGAAAAGATGTTTCACATCATATGTCACTGTGAAAATGCTGATTAAAACAATGAGATACCACTATACACATATTAAAATAGCTAAAATCCAGAACAGTGACAGAAAATGATAATGAGGATGTGCAACAACAAGAATTCTCATTGCTGGTGGGAAGGCAAGACAGTATAGCCACTTTGAAAGATAGTCTGGCAGTTTCTTACAAAACTATATACACACTTACCATAAAATCCAACAATCATGCTCCTCGAGATTTTACCAAATGATCTGAAAACTTACATCGACACAAAAACCTTCACACAAATGTTTATGGAAGCTTTACTCAGAATTACCAAAACTTGGAAACAACAAGATGTCCTTCAGCAGATGAATAGATAAGTAACCTGTGGTATATCTAGACAATGGAATATTATTCAGCACTGAAAATAAATAAGCTATCAAGCAATAAAAATACACTGCAAAATCTTAAATACATATTAACAAATGAAACAATCCAATCTGAAAAGGCTACATGCTGTATGATTTTAACCGTATGGCATTCTGGAAAAGGCAGAACTACAGAGACTATAAAAAGATCAGTGCTTGCTGGGGTTGTGGGGAAGGAGGGATGAATCAGCAGAGCACAGGGGATTTTTAGGGCAGTGGAACTACTCTGCCTCTTAATGGTGAATAAATGTAATTATACATGTGCCAAAACTCAAATATACAATACCAACAGTGAACTCGAATGTAAACTATGGATTTCAGGTGATAACGATGTGTCACTCACTGTAGTTTAACCCATAGTAACAAATATTCCACTCTTGGTGCAGGATATTGATAGTGATAGTGAGGGTGCAGGATATTGATAGTGGGATATTGATACAAATATGTGGGGAGGGGTACATGTGAAATCTCTGTATCTTTTGCTCAATTTTGCTGTGAACCTAATCTGCTCTAAAAATAAAGTCTATTTTAAAAATATATATGGAGAAACCTTAAAAACATATGCTAAGTGAACAAAAGCCCACATAAAAAGACAATACACTGTATAATTCCAACTATATGACATTCTGGAAAAGGCAAAACTATGAGGACAGTTAAAAAAAAAAAAAGTTCAGCGTTTGCCAGAGGCTTGTGAGAGATATAAATAGTGAAGCACAGGGAATGTTTAGGGCACTGAAACTGTTCTATCTGATACTGCAACGATGCACACATGTCACTGCACATTTGTCAAAGTGTATAGAACACACAACACAATGAGCAAACCCTAAAGTCATCTATTTACACTATTTAATAATAATATATCAATATTAACCCATCAATTATTTTTAAAAGTACCACCCTAATACAAAATGTAAATAATAGAGAAAACTGAGTGTGTGGGGGGGATTAGGAACTTTCTAGACATTCTACTGATTTTTCTATAAACTTAAAACTTCTCAAAAAATTAAAGTCTTTTAAAATTATCTATAAAAATAAAAATAAGAATAGAAAGAAGCAGATAAGCATGACAGATAATGAAGAGAAAAATCAACCAATCAAAACTGATGCAGGTATTAGAATTAGTAGACAAGGACATTGAAACACTTATTATAAATGGATTGTATACATTCAAAATGTTACAAACATGAAAGACACAAGAACCACCCAATCAAACTTCTACAGATGAAAGCAGCATTGTGTAATGAAATTGTACTGAATTAGGCTAATGTGGATTAGATGTTGCAGAAGATTGACAGGTGAACTTGAAGAAATGAAAACAGAAATCAGTCCAGGCATGGTGACTCATGCCTGTAATCCCAACCCTTTGGGAGGCCAAGGTGGGTGGCTGACCTGAGGTCAGGAGTTCAAGACCAGCCTGGTCAACGTGGTGAAATCCCGTCTCTACTAAAAATACAAACTTAGATGGGCACAGTGGCACGTGAGAGGCTGACGTGGGAGAATCACTAGAACCTGGGACGTGGAGGTTGCAGTGAGCAGAGATCGTGCCACTGCCACTGCACTCCAGCCTGAGTGACAACAGGGAAACTCCATTTCCAAAAAAAGAAAGAAGAAAGAAAGAAAGAAAGGAAGGAAGGAAGGAAGGAAGGAAGGAAGGAAGGAAGGAATCATACAAAATAAAACACAAAATGAAAGAAAAAAATAAAAAATGTATAAAGCATCTATCAGCTATAGGAGTGTCAACTAGCCTAGTATACATGTAATCAGATCCCACGAATGACAGAATAAAGTGCAGAAAGAGACAAAAATATTGTTTAAAAAATCCCTTAAAATCTTATATATATATGATAAAAACTAAAATTCCACAGAAGCAAACAAACTTCAAAAACAAGATATGAAGAAAACAATAGGAGTTTCAGTTCTTTGACACCTTTTTTGAGAGGCCAGAAGACCATTTCCCAAGGAAGGGACTCAGATAAAACAAAAGTTTCAAGCTTTAAGATCAGGGAGTCAATTTCTATGATAAAACAAACAAACAAAAACTATCTATGGGGCTATTAGGTTGAGTTTCAAAATCATGGCAAGACAGGCATGTCCACATTCACAACTTCTATTTAACATTATACTTGAGGTATACTTGAGGTTTCAGCCAGTGTAGTAAGATAAGAAAAATAAATAAAATGCATTTATATTGGAAAGAAAAACATAAAACTATCATCATTCACAGAAGCATGATTATCTATGTTAGAAAAGGTAATGAAATATACAATTCTACAAAAGTAATAAGTGATTTAACAAGATTCAGGATACAAGATACAAAAATCAATTGTCTGGAAATACAAAGAACCTAGACCATCCAAAACAACCTGAGAAAAGAATAAAGACAGAGGAATCACAATATAGAATTCAAAGAATTATTATAAAACTGCAGTAACCAAGACAGTGTGGTTTCAGCAAAAACATGAATACTCTTTTCAGAAAATCATGTTGGAATAATTTTATATTCATACACAGGAAAGAAAAATTGGCCTATAATTTGCTCCATAAAAAAAGAACTCAAAATTGTTAATAGACCAAAATTGTTAATAGACCAAAACTGTAAACCTAAAACTATAGAACATTTTAGAAAAAAAAATAGGAGAAAACCTGTGACTTTGGCTTAGACAAAGATTTCTTAAATACGACACCAAAAATAACATCCATAAAAGAACAACTTGATAAATTAGTTTTCACCACAATTAAAACTGTCTGTTCTTCAAAGGATACTCTTACAGATACTGTCAAGAGAATGAAATGACAGGCCATAGACTAAGAGAATACATTTTCAAAACATATATACAGTAAAGAAGTTTACTCAGTAAATATAAAAAAACTCTCAAACTCGATACTAAAAAATAAATAACCTAATTTTTTTAATGGGCAGAAGATTTAAACAGATACTTCACCAAAAAAGATGCATGTTTTGCAACCAAGCAAATGAAATATCATTAGTCATAGGAAAAATCAAATTAAAACCACAATGAGAGGGTAGTATGCACCTAATACAATGGCTCAAAGTAAAAGCACGGACCACACCACATATTGGAAGAGGTAAAGGAGCTGGAACTCTCCTGCTGGTAGAAATGTGAAATAGTATAACTGCCATCAGAAACTTTCTGTTGATTTATGAAAAGGTTAAATGTTTCACATTGTTAAAAAGATTCTACATGTAAGTGAGATGTAATGTTTTTCTTTCTATATAAAAAAATGCAAGTATACAGAGACAGAGAACAAAATAGTGGTTACCAGGGGCAATGGGTGGGGGGCAGGGAGACATGGGGGTCGGGGGAGTGGTAATGGGGAGATGTAGGTCAGAGGATACAAAGTAACAGATATGTAGGATGAACAAGTCTAGGGATCTAAGGGAGAACATGAGAATTATAGGTAATAAAATCGTGCGATATATGGAATTCATGCTAAATGAGTAGATTTTAGTTGTTCTTGCCATGCACACACAAAAAAATGGGTAACTATGTGAGATGATGGACATGTTACTTTGCTTCAGTACAGTACCCTTTTTACTGGCTATATGTGCCCCAAAATGTAATGTATATCTTAAATATGCACAATAAAATTTATTTTTAAAAAAATTGAATGTGCACTTAATATATGATCCCTCTCCAAAGCATTTCCCTCAAGGGCAAAAAAAAAAAAATGGGTTTGTACAAAGACTTTCACACAAATACTTACAACAGCTTTTTGTAAATACTAAAAACATTAGAAGCTATCTAAATGTTCATCAAAAAGTGAAAGGATAAACAAAATGTGCTCTATCACACAATGACACAAAGGAATGAAATATTAATACATGCAACCATAAATGAATCTCAAAAGTGAAAGAAGACAGACATAAAAGTATATATGTAAAATTCTAGAAAAGCAAAATTAATTCATAATGAAAGAAAACAGATCAGTAGTTCCTTGGCCATGGAAGTAGGAGAAAGGAGGGAGGTACAAGGGGTACAAAGAGGTACAAGGAAAGTTTTTGGGGTGTAGTTATGTCAGCAATCTTGATTACGGCGATTGATTTATAGGTGTGTACTTCTGTCAAGGCTTTTTAAATTGTACACTTTAAATATATGTAGTTTCTTGCATATCAATTATACCTCAAAAAATTATAAAACCATAAAAAAAAGCACTGGGAAATTTTCATTTGCTAGTTTCTAATAATCACATTTTGAAGGCAAGGGTGCTTACCAACAGGGATTTTGTAAAACAGCCACAAAAGAGAGCACTATGAAGCTTTAAAGAATGATAAATATCTCTAGACTTCCACTTGTAACTGTGATAAAATAGGTTTATCAGATCACCATTGCCACCAGGAACAACCAGAAAACCTAAAATGAATATGTGTCGTTCATATATTACACAGATGTTGATACATAGATTCTATCCATCTATCTCTATATATCTATCTCTAGACAATGATGATCTGATAAAACTTATTTTATCATGGTTACTAGTGAAAGTTTAGAGATATTCATCATTTTTAAAGCTCCATAGTGCTCCTTTATTGGATCCTACCATATCTTTAAGAAGGGAAATTGTAATTTTAATACCTGTACTACAGAGAAGACATATTGTAAGCACAGATATTAGATTTTCTACTTAGTATATGTGTAAAGCCCTTGGGTCATGGTAGGAGGAACAATGCCTCACAAAAGACAGAAAATATGAGCTTGAGGAGGCCTGACTAGGAATGAAGACCTCGACTCATCATTGCTCTCGGGTCCTCACTAGGAAAGCATTCAAACTCCTACCTAAGCCGGCAAACATAAATGTAGCACAGCCAAGTGTTAAATTTTGAACATTTTCAACTTTCTGTACTCCCGTGGATGGATTCCTGCTAAACCATTGCATTTTCTTAACTCTGAGCATTGGCTGTTTTTATTCTTAACAACTTCCTTACAGCATACGTATGTCAAATTCAACCATTGCTTAGAGAGAAATCATGGCAAGAAAAATCAACATTTCTTCATCTACCTCTGTTTTATTCTAGGGCGCCATCTGCTGGCCAATACCTTTCTTCTTACTTTCAAAAATTGTTCTGATTAATGACACTGGGCAAATTCACAAAGAAGAAAAATTAGTTTGGTTGAGTCCATCAGCGTCCATCCAGGAATCTGGCCAAGCTGTTTTACCATTACCTCTTTGGAAGTAAAGTCAGAAGACTAAGACTCCTTAACGAGAAAAAGACACTGATCTAGATTTGGCGAGGGTGGCGGGGAGAGGGGGGTGGGAATGAGAGGCAGGGACCTCTCAGATATAGCTGTGACAAGCAGGTACATGCTTCATCCATTTTGTAAACAATGCAACAGATCAAGAGTCCTAAAAATGTCCATTCCTTTTGATTCTCAAATAAAATTCTGTGAATCTATCTTTCAAAAGGCCAGAGATGCGGGCAAACAGGTACATGTATGACTATAAATGTCTTATTTATAAAACCTTCACTATATCTATGGAGATATAGAGGCATATACAATATACATCAATTATAATTTTATATTACAATTTTAAAGTCTTGAGAATAATGTAGAAAAATGTCTAGGATACAGTGGTAGGTAAAATAAATTAGGGAACTAAACGATTTTTTAAGTATGATGCCAATTAACTACAAAATATATGAATTTAAAATAAATTGCAGAGAAAGAGTGGTTAGCTATGAATGTGGTATAGGCATTACAGTTTAATTTTAGTTTGTTTATCTGACTTTTGATATTTCCAAAAGGATATATAATAAATATTTTCCACTTTTGTAAAAACTCATATATTTAATGTGAGCCCGTTTACATTTGAAACACGTTGCAATGGTATGGGAAAAAGAAAATTGCATACTTTACTTCCACCTAGTGGATTTAGGAGAAGTTGCAATCAGAAACCCAACGCTTTCTTTAAAAGGTAAAACATTTAAAAACAAAACCAAATGTAAGAGCAGAGAGGATAGTGCAGAAAAGGGGAGAAGAGGGGAGGGAAGGGGAAAGGAGACTCAAGGTGGGCAGGAGAGGGGAAGGGAACAAAAAAGGTCATGTGCGCAGCGGCTGTATAGAAACATGCAAAATCTAAAAACATTAACATTTTAAGCAAAATGTCACCACTGGTATTTATACAGATTAAACAAGCTCTGTTTAAATAACAAGTCTCAATACATCTTCTTTAATATGATACTAGATTACCTCTACTTGTTCCGTCCGCAACCCCCAGCCCCCACTATCCAGCAACTGCTCCCTACTGGCTGCCCCAGTCTGCCCAGGCCTAAACAACAACGCCCTGCTGCCTCTGTCCTGACCTGTCACTTTTTGCTGGGGTGCCTGGCCTTCTTCACATCTCCTTTAAATATCCTGCTGCCCGAATGAGTTTTCTTTTGAGAGTTCTCTGTGCCCTTAAAAAGATCAAATCTATATTCTAACACGAATCCTTTCAAGTCGTTCCCTTGTTTAAAAATCCTCAAATGGTTCTTGTCACTGAAACTAACATCTAAATTCCTTAGAGTACTATCAGGGGCACGGGATGACCTCAACCTTGTCTCCGTTTGCAGATCCACCTCCCTTTACCCACGGTCCCCATCACAGCAGGCTCTCTCCAGCTTCAGGTGCTTGCCTGCGCTGTGCACTTTGCCTGGAATGCCTTCTCACTTTACCAACTTGTCATACCCCTGTGCACAGGCACCTGCTCCTTTGTGAAAACGAGTCACCTGGAGAATTGTAGATGTATCTATAATGATGGAACCCTAAGATATGATCTTTCCAATGGCTAGAACTAAGGGAAATTTTATGTGCATGTCTGTATCTATATAAAGATCTATATCAAGATCTACATGTATACTGACAGAACTAACTTTGGAATTAGAAGCTATGCTGCTGACAGGTTACATATTTCTGGAAAGTTATTTGCTAATTAGTGCCAGATATGATGTTAACATATCTGACAAAAAAAAGTGCGTTTTTTTTTCTTTATACCTGCAGGTTTTACACTTGGCTTAGAAATGAAAGCCAAGGTTATAAATTTGAGTTATAAGTACCTGACCGGGGAGAAAAACACAGAAGTGTTCAGAGAAGAAGGATGAAAACCAGGAGCCGAGAGTCCTAAGAACCAGGGAAGGGTTCCATTAAGCAGAGAGGAAGTGGTGATCCATGACAAAGCCAGGGCCCAGGAGGCAGGGCTGAGAACTCTGCACTGGGCAGCTGGTGGCATGCACAGAGAGAGGAACCTGGCAGAGAGATTAACGCAGGAGCAGATTCAGCAGGATAGGAGAGCGGCAGCTGAGGAAACCAAGGCAGCCAACGTGGGTCCCTTGCTCAAGAAGCAGGGCGGAAGGAAACAGTTCCCTTCCAGGCTGAAAGGACTATCTGAAAGATCAGGAAGAAGAGCAGTCTCTGGCCCGACTCCACTCCTCTGTCAGGGTGGGATGTGCAGAGCTCAGTGTCCCCCAGCCCTGGCTTGCAGGGGCAGGGGCTGTGCCAAGGTGGGGGCCACAGTGAGTGTAGGCAGCTCCAGAGTCCTGCAGCCCAGGCCTCAGCCCTCTGCCCAGACCCAGGCACAGCTCATAACTTCCTTGAGATTTAAAAAAATAAAAGGCCCCTGAGGGACACACAGAGTGTGTGAGGTACACTTACTGCCACCACCAAGGAAAAACAGTGAAAGAAAAAAAAAAAACTTTTACCTCTCTACCCCAAAAATGTCTTCCTTCCTTAGTATTCTCCAATCTTCACTCCCTTCACCACTGAATAAGAGGAGTGAAGACAGCCCCAAGAAGCTGCACATGATCTGTTTAAACAAGAGCTCGCTTGAAATTCAGAAAGAAGCCAATGGCCTTTAAAAAGCCAAACAACCGGCCAGCCTCCGTGGCTCATGCCTATAATCCCAGCACTTTGGGAGGCCGAGGCGGGCGGATCACCTGAGGTCGGGAGTTCGAGACCAGCCTGACCAACATGGAGAAACCCTGTCTCTGCTAAAAATACAAAAATTAGCTGGACATGGTGGTGCATGCCTGTAATCCCAACTACTCGGGAGGCTGAGGCATGAGAACTGCTTGAACACGGGAGGCAGAGGTTGCGGTGAGCTGAGATCACGCCATTGCACTCCAGCCTGGGCAACAAGAGTGAAACTCCGTCTCAAAAAAACCAAAAAACCAAAAAACCAAACAACCAAAGCACCCTATCCTGTCCCTTCTTACCTGAGGTACCTCCCTGTATTAGGCAACCACATACTTTGAAAATAATGACTTAGGAGGAAAGGAAGGAAAGAGCAACCCACGTTTCTTTTCCTTGAGTGCTTCTCACTCATTAGTCAGCCAAAGGTAGAGAGTTGGTAGAAAGTGTGCATATCATGAAGTGAAATAAAAGCAATTGACTTTATTTTGTGCAGCATTTCCACCATTCTGGTAAGAATGAAATACATATGCATGTATGAGCTACAAAATGCAACTGCCAATTTTATGTAAAGATGAATGGTAAAATGCATGCTAATAATTAATAATGGTAATTTGTCTTTACTTATTATGACATTAAATAGCACATTTGAAAACATCATGATAAGTCAAGAGAAAAACTATGGAAAATGTAAAAACATGATATGTTAGCACCTTTAACGGCACTTTTATTCATGTATTTTGTAAAAGTGTTCATATTTTCATTTTGTTCTGAATAAATTACGCATTCAGTTCTGTCCACAATCAGCTTCTTACCAAAGCCACCAGGAGCCGTACTATGTTCTTTTACGGAAACAAACACAGAGCATTACAGACAAATCCTCACTCTTGCCACATGAAATATTGGCCACAAATCCCTATCTATTCTCTTGGCTGTGAATGAAGCTGCACCACGGGTGACTTTGAGAAACTCTTAGATTAAGGCCCGCATTAAAACATTCGTGCATGCAGCCTGCTCCTTGCCTACTCTATGTGGAGCTCCACCATTCCCACTTAGCTTCCAAAAGGTGAGGGCATCTTGAAGATGAGAGGCACCTCCAGGCCCCATTTTATCACTCAGCTGCAAAGATGGCAGGACAAACTTCAGTACCCAAATGACAACCCAAGAAAGAAGTTGCCCTTGACCATTTCTATTTACAATCTCTTTCCTCTGTCCACTAAAAATACCACCACCTGCCACATCAGCTACATTATATATCCTTTTTAAATACTAATGTTATGTATTTTGGAACAGATAATATATAAGCATGATTCAAAAGTACTGATTTTAGAGGAAATTTTCTCTGACCACAGTAAAATTAAGGTAGAAATCACTAATTTCAAAAAAAACCTGAGTTTCTTTATAATTGGAAATTAAGTAATACAATAGTTATATTTTGAATTCCCCCAAAAGCAGATCTGGAGATAAGAGCATAGTATAGAGAGTCTATTTGGAAGGTGCTCTCTGGAAGCAGCAATGAGAGAATGGGAAAATCCAGACAAGGAATCTGGGAAACCCAATGATGTAAAGTATCTGGTTTGTCCAATGATGACTTGATTGCTTAGGAACCTGTGACAGGCATAAAGCACCCCAGAACTTACCAGTGAAGGAAAGAAGGCTGAGACATTTATATACCAGCTCCACTTGACCATGGATTGAGTGGCCTTAGAGGTCAATTTCCCTCCAAGGAAATTTGAAAAAGGCAAACTCCTCCAAGGAGTTTGAAAATGGTAGATAGAGATTGACTTCCCTGTATTGGACAACTGGATTTGTGCACAAGTCAAGCAGCCTCCCAGAGAATCTGAGTTGTCCTGGAGCAGAAGTAGAGAGTTACACGGGTCACACTTGAGGTGAGAGGCTGTCAACAAGAAAGGAGCTCACTGCAGCTGCAGCTGAAACCAGAGCAGACTGGGAGATGAAATGTTGGCACCAGAAGCATCAGACACAGCTTCTAAATCATCTACTGGTCAGAGAAAACAATAACAAAGGAAACTAGAAATGCTTTCAACTGAATGGTGATAAAAATACAGTGTAGAGCTTGTGAGACACAGCTAAAGCTGTATTCACATGAATATATTATAAAATTAGAAATTTTAGAAATTAAGGGGTTTAATATCTAACACTGAAAGTTATAAAGTGAAGATCAAATTAAATCAACGATAGTAGAAGGGAGGAATTAATAAAGATGCAAACTTACACTCTGGTTTCTCTCCAGATCATATAAATTTCTCGCCTTTTCTAAAGATGCAAACAAAAAATAACAACATAAAAAATAACTGCAATAAAATAGAAAATAACTACAAACAAATTCAAGAAGAGAAAGAATGTACAAATTACCAATTTGGGGATTAAAAATGGAATACTACTACAGACCCTACATACATTTAAAAGACAAAATGATTGTATGCAAAACTTTACACCAATGAGTTTGAAAAAGGTAGATAGAAATTGACTAAGGTCCAGAAAGCCTCAATTATAAAATTAACACAAGAAACATAGAACCTCTGAATAGTACTAAATCTATGAGAGAAAATTTATCAACAATTAAACATTTTTTTCTACAGGAAAAGAAATTCAGGCCTAAATGCTTTCACCAGTAAATTTACTAAAATTTTAAGATAGAAATGATACCAAATTATTCTCTATTTCTTTTATGCAAAAACATAACTTGATATCAAATCTGACAAGTACATTACAAGAAGGTGAAATCACAGATCAATCTTCTTCATAAACATAAATGTGAAATGCAAAAATCTTATAATATTGGCATCATATAGACATCATAACAAAGCTGAGTTTATTTCTAAGACTGCAATAATGGTTGAACATTGCTAATCAGTCAATGTAATTCATTAATGGAATGACAGATAATTCATCATAATTATATTATTAGATGCAGAAAATACATGTGAAAAAATTCAACATCTGTTCATCATTTTTAAATTAATAAAAAATAACCTAGCAGACTGGTAATAGAAAAGAATGCCCATAATCTGATAAATGGTATCTACATAAACCTACAACAAACATCACACTTAAGTATAAAAAGTTGAAAGCTTGCTCATTTGAAATAAAGAGGAGACAAAGATTACTTCAATTTGACATCATCTTTGAGGCTTTAACTGGTGCAATATGGCCAGGAAAAGAAATTAAAATTGCAAGAATTAGAAAAGAAGAAACACAACTGTCATTATTTGCAGACAATATGTTTGGGTATGTAGAAAATAAAAGTGACTCTACAAGCAAATTATTAGAATTTAGAAGTATATTTAGCAAGGATGCTGAATACAAGAATAATTAGCAAATACCAATTGCATTACTATATACTAACAAGAACATTAGAAATTAACGTAAGCTATTACTTATAAACCATCCTAAACTTGCAAATAGATCCAGTGAAGCAAGATTGCCTCACAACAAGCTATAAGGTATTACTTGTAATACCTTACTTAAGTAAATGGCAGGCTATACTGTATTAATGGATTTGATGATTCAATTGTATATAGAGGCCAATGGTCCCCCCAAATTATTTATAGATTCAACACCATCCAAATTATAATATCAGCAAGTAGTTTTTATAGTTATTATCTAGCTGATTCTAAAATTTGTATGTGTATAAAGTGTCAAGAATAGCCAAGGAAATATTGAAAAATAATAAAGTTGGAAAGCTTCTTCAAATATCAAAATGTATGATAAATTTACCTTAGTTAATAAAGTATAGAAATTGGCACCAGGAAAACCAAATAGATGAATGCAAGAGACCAGGGAGTATAAAAACACAACTGCACATATGTAAATTTACTTATAAAAAAATGAAACTGCAATTCAGTAAAGGGATGATATGCTTTCAGTAAATTTGATGAGTCAAATGGTTATCTGCACAGAAAAAAAAAGAAAACATAACCCACCTCATACCATTCAAAAATCAAAAATCAACTCCAGTTTATTTGCAGGTCTAAATGTAAAACGTAAAAAATATGAAAGTTCTGAAACACAACATGGAGAAATATCTTCACAATATTGTTATGAGGAAATGTTTTAACCTGACAGGAAGCAGTGAACATAAAGGAAAAGATCGATAAATTGGATTACTTTCAAGATTAAAAAGTTCTGTTCATCAATTAAGAGAATGAAAAGGCAGGTCACCAAGTGGGAAAAGGTATTAGCAACATATAATACCAAAAAAGACTGGTATCCAAACTACATAAATTGTTTATAAATCAATAAAAATACAACTAAATAGATAAATAGGCAAGAAATTTGAACAGGCACATGACAAAAGTGAATATTCAAATGACCCCAACAAATCTTGTTAATCTGTAAGGAAATGAAAACTAAAACCGCAATGAGATACTGCTACATACCTAAGGCAAAGTTTAAAATTATAAAGACTGAAAATTGTCAAGGATGTAAAGCAACCGAAACTCCCATAAACCTCTGGTGGTAATGTAAATCTGTTTAACGACTGGAATTGTTGGAAAAAATTGGAATTACCTTGTAAATTTGAAGAGTAACATACCTTAAGCCACAGCAATTTTATTGCTTGTAATATACCTTAATGCTAATTGAATACCTAATATATGCCAGAAATTCAGTTAGAGTTTCATAAATGTATACTCATTTATACATCCTAAGAAAGCTTTACCATGTATGAAGCAGCTAAATAGCTGGTTGAATGTCATACTGCTAGTACCAATAGGAGGGAAATTCCAACTTAAATCTGTCCAACTTCAAAGCTCAAGCATTACCCTGCATTCGCTACATGTGTGAATTTAATTATATGAAACGAGCATTTTCTTAATATGTTATTTGTAACAAGCAGCTATGGTGCTCACCCATATCCCTGCTCTACTCCAGCTCGAGCCTCTGCAGCTCCATCCCTGAGGGCTTCCTCTTGGCCTTCACGTGGAGCAGAGCAGAAGAGCCACAGAGCTGAAGCCTTGCCAGCAGCCCGCAGCCAGCGGGATGGGAGTTGGAGGATGATCTTCCTGCTTCCTTGTCCCGGGGGTGGGTCACGTCAGGTGTGCTCCAGTCTCCCTGAAGTACTGGAGCCCCGGTGGCCGGGCGCGGTGGCTCACGCCTGTAATCCCATCACTTTGAGAGGCCGAGGCGGGTGGATCACGAGGTCAGGAGATGGAGACCCTGCTGGCTAAAACGGTGAAACCCTGTCTCTACTAAAAATACAAAAAATTAGCCGGGCGTGGTGGCGGGCGCCTGTAGTCTCAGCTACTCAGGAGGCTGAGGCAGGAGAATGGCGGGAACCTGGGAGGCGGAGCTTGCAGTGAGTCGAGATCGCGCCACTGCACTCCAGCCTGGGCAACGGAGCGAAACTCCGTCTCACAAAAAAAAAAAAAAAAAAAAAAAAAAAAAGGAAGAGAAAGAGCCCGGGTTACCTGCTTCCCTCCCATCCTTGTCTCACCCCTCCCCTACTGTGCTTTCCGGGTATCACCTACCAAATCAACCCCTTGACTGGAATTGCTGTCTCAAAGTCTGTGTAGGAACCCAACCCAAGAAAACAATCTGACTTAAGGATAGTAACCAACTCTTTAGATTAACACGTTAAGTATTTTAAAATGCTGCACACCATTTTATATTAATAGATATCAAGACCACATTACTCATTATACATTGAAGGAATAAGAGTAATCTGTGAATTATCACCCTTTGTTCCTGTAATATCTCCTCCAGAAGTTTGTCAACATGCCTAAAATTTCTACGAAAATGTATGATGTTGGCCGGGCACCATGGCTCACACCTGTAATCCCAGCACTTTGGGAGGCCAGGGCAGGTGGATCACGAGCTCAGGAGATTGAGACCATCCTGGCCAACCTGGTGAAACCACATCGCTACTAAAAATACAAAAATTAGTTGGGCATGGTGGTGCATGCCTGTAATCCCAGCTACTCAGGAGGCTGAGGCAGGAGAATCGCTTGAATTAGGGAGTCGGAGGTTGCAATGAGCCAAGATCGCACCACTGAACTCCAGCCTGGGTGACAGAGCAAGACTCCGTCTCAAAAAAAAAAAAAAAAAAAAGAAAGAAAGAAAAGAGAAGAAAACACGAAAAAGTAAAGGTATGATGTTGCCCTTAAACAAGTAGTTTTTAAAGTTTTTTAAAGTAACATACACCTTTCAAAAAATGTAAGCAAAACCTCGATATATAATTCATAGAAAAGCAGTGATTCTTTCTTTTTTAGAAAAGAAAGTGAGGGCTCAGCATTTCAACCACTAAAGCATCATTCTCTTAAAACTCCTCTATTCCAGGGTATAAAGTCAGAACACCTCTGTGTTTGGAATTACATGACTAAGAAACTTTTGTTTTTAATGTGATACTTCTGGAAGAGTTAATGCCTTTATCTGTTAAAATGTAAAACTCCAAAGGAAAAGAGAGAGAACATTGACCACTGTGCTGATGGAATTATTACCAGAATCTTTGTTCTTTTGCACCTAAAAACTCTGCAGGATGAAAATTATCATTAAATAGTTACAAATAAGAAACAAGTCTGGGAGGGATTAAGAAACATGCCCAAGATAACATGGATGATAAAGTGAGAGTGAGACTTGGATTCTATTCTTTGCAGTTTCAAAGCTTATCTGCTTGATATTACACCACAAGAAAGCTAACTATTGTATTAGCAAGAACATGGGGAAAGGAGACCATTAGACTTAGCTTGTTATTGGGGTGATTGAGCAAACATGGAGCCAGAATTGAGCTGAAATGGGAAAGCTGAGAAAGGAAAAGGTGAGAAGGCTGGACATCAAGAGTTCTATTTTGTCTAGATGCCCCCAGGCAGACACATGAGATGCAGGATAGGCTGTTGGAAGCAGCTGTGGAGGAAGAAGGGGTCAAGGAAGATTTGTTGTTACAATGAACAATACTTAACCCAGTAGAGGAGCAGAAATGATGATGTAGGGCAAAGAGCAGATAATTGTTTGTAGAGTCTCACTTGAGAAGCTGAGGATGTAGGGCAGCCAAGATGTAAGTGTGCATTCAGAAAGGAGCAGAGATGGATCCATCATCACAGGAAATAAGTGAGAAGGCATAGCAGGCACTGATGCAGATAGGTTGGTGGATGAACAGTGCAAGTAGAAGGAGTTTTATCTTATTGCTTCATATTTATCCTACATAAATAAGGCAAAGTTATCAGCCCAGAATCAGCAGCGGAAGGAAGGTGGTGTTGAAGGATGGAGGAACAGAGAGGTGTGGAAAGTTGTTTTGGAAACTGGGTGAATGAGCACCCTAGGGTTTGTAGCAGAATGGCTTGGCAGTCGGAGAACTTACTTAAATTTGAAGTAAAAAGTTTGAAAATAAAACCATTGACTACTGACTTATTTTTTCCCAACAAGTCCAGGTCATTTGGTGTATATCTGCAATAGTTAGACAGTCAACAAGTATGACAGAAGGAGAGTGGAGGGAGGAAGTTAAAGGAGTTTTTCAGGAGTAGGTTAAGGACAGTACCATAGACTGATCTGAGTAAGGAAGAAGTGAATATCTTGGTGAGGCTAGCAATAATAAAGCCTAGACATCATCCCACTTAGATCTCCATCTCCAAGGGCTGGAGATGGAAATGAGGTCTGGGAACTGCCGGTGGAAGTATGAGGGAATGTGAGCTGGAGACTAGGGGAAAAGGTAATGGAAGGGGATTGGAGCTCTGTTCTCAGGAGTGGTGATGTGATGGTGTGAGTTGTCATACTGGAGTGAGGAGCTGATGTGGGCCGGGGAAGAGGCACTGGGAAATTATTGTGTGGGTGACTGAAGCCTGGGGACACTGAGGTTATGAAGCATGGTGGCCAGAGCTGAACAGAGAGGAAGACGCTGATTCCAACATCGTCCTTGTGTGATGAGCAGTGACCGGGCTGTGTGGGCAGTGAGGAAAGAGAGTGGAAGGGGATGTGTGTGTCAAGGAAGCTGTCACATGAAGGGGTGCGGAGGAGGAAATTGTGGACACTTACCTGTGTCTGTGACTGGAGGGATGTGGGGTGGAAGAGCAAAAATATCTCCACTTGCATGAGGGGACGCTACAGTTTCAGCTGACATGAAAAGGAAAATCTGAAAAGAAACTGAGGATACCAGATAGCCGTTGTGGACCATGTGGAATTCCAGGCTGTACAGCAGCATAGCACGTGGCAGGGAAGGGTGGGGCATGACGTCTGATGACCGTATTTCAGAATAGAGTAGGTAAAGCTCTTAATTGCGATAAAGGTGACCCCCAAGGTTTAGATTTGTGGTGGGGACTGAGGTGAACACAGACCAAAGATGCAATTAGTCTCAGAAGTCTTATTTTGAGAAGGTGAAAGTCTAAGTTTGGGGCAGCGAGGTCTCCTCACTGGGATGGCCCTCCTCTCCTCCTCTAGGCAGACCAGGGAGGCAGGATGGAGCAGGAGGGCTGCTGCGGACACTTGCATCCTGCAGAGAAGAGTTAGTGGCTCTCGAGAGCCACCACCCTGGAACGAGGTGATTTTGATATCTCACCTACATTGTACAACGTGACAGCCACTCACCACATTTGTCTTTTTACTTTTTTTTTCCTTTTCTTTTTTTTGAGACACGGTCTAGCTCTGTCATCCAGGCAGGAGTGAAGTGACACAATCTCGGCTCACTGCAGCCTTGACCTCCCAGACTCAAGAAATCCTCCCACCTCAGCCTCCTGGGTAACTGGGACTATAGGTACATGCCACCACAGTCGGCTAATTTTGTTCATTTTTGTAGAGACAGGGTCTCACTATGCTGCCCAAGCTGGGCTTGAACTTCTGGATTCAAGCAATCTTTCCGCCTCGGCCTCCCAAAACACTGGGATTGCAGGCATAAACCACCTCACATTTAAAATAATTTCAATCCTCTGTCTCACTAGCCTCATTTTGAGCACTCACTAGTGGCACACGGTGCTAGTGGTTACCACGCTGGGCAGTGCAGAAGGGACATTTCCATCACCCCACAAAGTTACACTGGATAGCACTGCTGTAAATCTATGGGCTTCTTTATCATTCCAGGGATGTTCAGAAGTCACCTAGCTGTCCTCATTTCTCTTTTCTAATTTAAAATTGCATATGTACACTGTGGAATACTATACAGCCATAAAAAGGATGAGTTCATGTCCTTTGTAGGGACATGGATGAAGCTGGAAACCATCCTTCTCAGCAAAGTAACACAGGAACAGAAAACCAAATACCACATGTTCTCACGCATAAGTGGGAGTTGAACAATGAGAACACATGGAAACAGGGAGGGGAACATCACACACCAGGGCCTGTCGGGGGTTGGGGGTGCTAGAGGAGGGATAGCATTAGGAGAAATACCTAATGTAGATGACTGGTTGATGGGTGCAGCAAACCACCATGGCACGTGTATACCTATGTAACAAACCTGCACGTTCTGCACATGTACCCCAGAACTTAAAGTATAATAATAATAATAATAATAAAACTACTTTGCACTCATTGATTTGTTTTTCATCCCCCCTCGCTTTTCCAAGGTTGGCATGCATGCTCATGCTACTTATTTCTGACCTCTCAATCCTGGGTGCTAATGTGTCAGTTAGGCCAGGCTGCCTCCCTTCCCTCTCCTCCTTCATATGTTATCTTCATGTTGGGTTTCTCCTTCCCCGTTGTGCATGGTGTCTCCTGTGTAAATTATGCTCAGGACTGTTCTAAAAGGCCATGAAAGCAGTTCTAAAGTGAACATTTTTCACGTCCTGATGCCTGTCTCCTGATAGCTTCTCCTTCCTGTCCAAATATTAAAGTAGTTATCTGCATTCATTTCAGCTTCCTCCCAATCTGTCCTCCAGCTCTGCAGTTTGATTGAAATTCTTCTTCCAGAATTGGACAGAAACCTCAACAAGGGCAGAACTTTCCCCAGCCCTCCTGCTCCTTTCCTCCTCTGGTGACTAGGCACACACGCAGCCTCCATGGATCTCTGTTTCGTGGGTTCTCCTCCATTCTTTCTGCCTCCTTTCTTGACCTGCTGCCTCTTTTGGTCTTCTTATTGCATGGTCCCCAAAGCCTCTTTCCCTCATTTCCTGAATATTCTCTAATGGAATCCTGCCAAATCCCTGCCTTTCCCTGGATTTCACTCCTGAGCACCCAGCCAGAACTTTCCTGTTGGTTTAATCATCTGGATGTGCCAGAGTGCCACCAGCTCATATACCCTCCTCTCCATGAATCTACCTTGCATTGAATGGGCCACTCCGCAGCAATGCCAGCCTGTTTTCTCTCAGCAAACATGCCCTCTGCTCTTCTGTTTCCAGAGCCGAGCCATCTGTCCTTCAGATATGGAAGCCAGAAGATCACTTCCATCGGCACAATGTCCACTTTACTGCTGACCATAAGACGAGTGGTCTCTGTGTTTGCTAATCTGTGTTATCAAGCTGTTCATGCATAAGGACCTCCATGATGCTAGATTCCATCCATTTGCACACAGTTTACCACTCCATTACTAGTTATCACTGCAGAAAGAACTTGGTCCAGGTTCTATTCCATCTGGAGCATAATTTTGAAAGACCTTCATATTCCCAGACAATCAGTCCTGAGGAATGAACAAATACATGCCCTCTATGGCCTGAGATGGCCACTAATAAGGGTCAACCCCACATGGCTGGCGCCTAGCTACAAAAGAAGGTCACACTAATCAAGGCCAGGTAGTGGTCAGACAGGAGGAGCCCAGCCCTTCTTGGGGAAGGACATGCAGACCTCTGGAATTAGGTCAGAGTGAGAGAACTAGATTGTGGGTTGTTATACAACCACAAATAAAGAGGAACAATTCCCAACATGTCATAAATAGCAACTGAAAACAAATATGTCAACTTCGATTTCCTGGGAAATACTGTCCTTTTTATCTGCTGTTTATTGTGTGCTCCAAAACGCTCGCCTGAAGACATTTTTAAAGGGATTTTTTTTAGAGTACTCTAAACAATGTAAAACTGAATACATTCTATATTTTCAACCCCTATGCCAATCTTCAATTGGAAAAAGCTTTCAGGTTAATCAGCAGGAATGTTCCCAATTCAACAGGCGATTCAGTGACTGTTTATATGGGTTGCTTTTTATAGCACACGGCTTACTATGTACATGGGCAGTGGGAACAGTAGTCCATACCAGGGACAGAGCATCCTGTCGCTGGCACTGAGGAGCCTCCTCCAGGAGAGGAGAAGGGCTGCTTTCCCACCTATCTCTTCATGCCTTGGGGCAGGATGTGGGATTTGAGTTGCTTCTCCATTTATGGGGACAGGTCACACCAAACTTTGTGCACCCTCTTGCCCTGCCCTGTTTGTGATTGAGGCACTGACCGGAATCATGTCCTTCATCACACCCAAACCCTTGGCACTGGGGACCTAAGAGACCCTCTGAGCCCCCTCCTTTCATGTGTGCTGGGGGGTGGGGAGGCTGCTAAACTCATTCAGAATAGAGAGGCTGAAAACCTCTCAGAATGGCACTGTGAGATCAAGCATTTAATCCTACCTCCTTCGCCCACATAGAAATCATAGGTAACACAAAAAATAAGGTAAAAACAGGCACACATAGTTTCATGGATCAGAAATGGGTCAGAAACATAGAGGGAAGCTTGAGGCCTGAGACAGCAAGCTGCAGCCTCATAGCCTTCAGAAGTGGAAAGAGACAGAGGTGTGATCTCTTACACTCCTGAGAGACAACCACACTGAAAGCACGCTGTTTGTGTGGAGGATGAGAACTAGGTGTACTGCATAAGGCTGCTGAAGCTAGCGCTGGTGACACAGGCCATACCCGGGGAGCGGAGGGCACAGGCTGCTCAGCAGACACATGCATAGTGCCAGGACCTGGCCAAGCCACTGCTACCTCGAGAACTTGATCTCAGATATACTGAGTGTCACTCCAGGACAGGAAGCTCAGGCTGTCCATACAGGAACTGTGGCCTTTATGAAGCCATAGGGATAAGGTGATGAGAGCAATAATGAAGCTTCTAAAACATCTGGGGTGATTACAGAGAAAAAACTAAAATTTCTTCTTCAAGATGCATTTGCAAAATAAAATTCTGACCACACAGCAGAAACCAACACTAACCAGGCAGCAAATACAGCAGAGTATTCACTCAAGACTAGCAAAGTAGCCCAACACAGCTGTATATTACAGCTGTAATATAATTTTTTCATATCTTCTGAAAGACAAAAGAGGGATATAGCTGCATTGAAAAATATTATGAAGGAAAGCACAGGGAACATGTGTACCTAAAAAGTAATCAATTAGAAATGTTAGAAATGGCAAATATAGTCATTGAAATTTAAAAAACTCTTGAAAGACAGTATAAACATTATCTATCATTTTTCTCTTTAAAAGAAAGAATATTCAGGCCAGGTGTGGTGGCTCACTCCTGTAATCCCAGCACTTTGGGAGGCCGAGGTGGGTGGATCACGAGGTCAGGAGATCGAGACCATCCTGGCTAACATGGTGAAACCCCATCTCTACTAAAAATTCAAAATAATTAGCTGGGCATGGTGGTGGGTGCCTGTAGTCCCAGGTACTCAGAAGGCTGATGCAGGAGAATGGCATGAATCTGGGAGGCGGAGCTTATAGTGAGCCAAGATCGCACCACTGCACTCCAGCCTGGGCAACAGAGCGAGACTCCATCTGAGGGAAAGAAAGAAAGAAAGAAAGAAAGAAAGAAAGAAAGAAAGAAAGAAAGAAAGAAAGAGAGAGAGAGAGAGAAAGGAAGGGAGGGAGGGAGGGAGGGAAGGGAGGGAATATTCAGTAAATAAGAAGATAAACTAAATAATATCTGCCTACACAGCACAGAAAGAGAAAACAGTTGAAGATATAAACTCATGTTTGAAAAACTCACTGAGAATTTTTCAGACTGGAGGAAGAAATGAATAACAAGGTAAAGAAAAATTAGCCTAGTCATATTGGGGTAAAGCAAAAGGCTATTAAAGAAAAAAAAGTTTTTAAAACTACCAGAGAAAAAAGACCCACAAAGGACTGGCAATTAGCAGATTTGTCATTAGTGGCAATAGATACCAGAAGACAATAAAATCATTTCAGTCTTAAAATCACCACTTCCAATCTAGAATTCTGTATGTTGAATAGAAAGCATTAACCAGAGAAAAATCTGTTGAACAGGAGAAGGGAAAAATGCATCAGGATTAGAGAAGAGAAACTGAGAATTAAAATACATAAATTCAAGAGAATCTAATCTTGGAAAGGGAGAGAAAAAGCAAGGAGGGAAAATAGGCGAAACTGGAGAGTGCCTCTCATTCTTTTCATCACTATAGAGATGGTCCCCAACAGCATATAGCGTCTCATGAAGCTTTATTACATATTCACGCTCTTTTTGACCTTGTAACTTGACCCTGCACCTTACTATAAAAGCATTATAATAATAATATGTCCACATGAAAATGAACCAAACAATATTTGGGAATTAAGCAGCACTCTGGAGAAAGGTCTAATTTGGAAGACGTTCATATCGTAGACCCAGAAGGAGATCATAAGGAAATGATATAATGTATGTGGCAAAAGGGGTAATTAATTCTCAGTGCTTGCTCACCTGCTTCATGTTTAGACAGAAACTTCAGGGCTCAGGGACAGGAAAATTCAGCTGCTTCTCTCCTGGGGCTTTGTGGAGGATTCAGAGCAATGCAAGTAGCCTGTTGTTTGAATTGCATTCTAGGGTCAGGGTTTGTCAAGAAATACAGAAGTAGAGAGCGTCATTGTTAACCCTGTACCTACTTAAACTATCTTTCAAGAATGAGGATGAAGTAGAAACATTTTCAAACATAGAAAGATACAAAGTAGATTAACATCCAGAAAACCTTCCTAAAGAGAGGGTAGAGAGTTCCAGAGAAATGAGTGAAATACAGGTAACACAAGAAAGAAAAGATTTTGTAAACCTTTTTGTAACATCTAATGAGCTCATCATAGTTTAAAAAATAGTAATAACAGCAATTTTGTTTCGAAGAAACAGTAAAATTAAAATTTTTTGAAGTAATAAGAAGATTTAGTGGATAGTAAAAGCACATAAAGTTCCTTGTTTGCTCAGAAGAAGGATCAAGGATCTAAAATAAAAATATGTTTCCCCATTTAGGCATGCCTTAAAATCTCATCAGCGACTGTTTTCTAGGTAGAACATTTAAATTTCATAGAATGAATATCTATCTGTATCTATATAGATATATATCTCATACTTTGGTTAATGTTTATATGAATAAAACTTGTATTTAGATTCCCTAAATTCAACATAGTATATTAACCAAAATGATATATAGCAAAAGCCTTGGGTTCCCTTCCAAATACAATTGGTCTAACATGATAGTCATCTTTAGCCATTTTAAAAACCCTTCAATGTGCACTAGAGATGTTGCAAATGCCAAGCAAAGACATAATGCTGAATTCAAAGCAACTGTTTGCTAATTATCATGTTAATTAGTAATCCAAAAGCAATACTTTAACAATTTTGCATCTTAACACCAACTTCATTATTTATTGGATGTGTGTGTGTGTGTGTGTGCACTTTGCTTTAGGACATTCACTAGTGGTTTTAGTTGATGTGTAACATCTTATACTTTTACCGAATGGAAATAATGAAAAGGAAAATTTGGAGAAGATGTAAGAGTAGGAAGTGCCAGAAATCTGTCTTCTCACTAGACAACAATTTCACTGGCAGAATCTGTCTGATGTAACTATCTTGCAACTCTGGAATCAATTAGAGGCTTGCAGCTTCCAGGGGAAGGCTTGGATGGTAATTTGCAGTTAATTTATGTCAACTGTAGCTCTTAGCACTGTAGCAGCAACCCATCCTCCACCCCACAGCTGTCCAAGTGTTTCTCTGCCAATTTGCACACAGCTTGCAGAAGCCAGTGTGGTCAAAAAGGACCCTGTCCTCCAAATGTTAATTTAAGAATCTATGGTCTGATCACTAGTTGCTGCTTCTGATTACCAAAGTGCAGACAAAGAGTCCAGTGGCCATGGTTGTTGCACCTTCATGGTTTGGGTCACTTTTTTCTATGGCTGAAGTGACTTTCTGGGAGTTTAAAAGACCAAGTCCCCTTGTACCTCTTTATTTCCTCTTTTGGTAGACAGATACTGAAGATTAGGAGATTCAAAAGTCTCCACTTACATGAGGGAAATTAGGGAATAACCACAAATCTCCAGAGGAAGATGAAGGCTCAGAAAAGACCCAAGATGACCTTAAGTTTATATGTCAAGATAATCCTTAGCAAAGACACAAGCTACACCAACTTTTTAAAGTAGCAAAGCCTGGGGAAGGGAGTGAATCTGATTTTCAGAGTTAACACATTATTAGATTCAAATATGCAATTTTGACAAAAAAATCACAAAGTATACAAAGAAGCAGGATAATATGGTCCACTCAAAGATTAAAAAAAAGTGAGCCAACAGAAATTGTCCCTGAAAAAGACCTGATGGCAGAGCTACAAGAAAAACTTCAAAACATTTGTACTAGAGAGTCTCAAAGAACTAAAGTAGGACATACAATGGTCAAGAAAACAATGTATGAGCAAAATGGAAATATTAATACAGAGATTGAAAACCTAAAAAGAAGCCAAAAAGAAATTCGGAGCGGCCGGGCGCGGTGACTCACGCCTGTAATCCCAGCACTTTGGGAGGCCGAGGCGGGCGGATCATGAGGTCAGGAGATCGAGACCATCCCGGCTAAAACGGTGAAACCCCGTCTCTACTAAAAATACAAAAAATTAGCCGGGCGTAGTGGCGGGCGCCTGTAGTCCCAGCTACTTGGGAGGCTGAGGCAGGAGAATGGCGTGAACCCGGGAGGCGGAGCTTGCAGTGAGCCGAGATCCCGCCACTGCACTCCAGCACTCCAGCCTGGGCGACAGAGCGAGACTCCGTCTCAAAAAAAAAAAAAAAAAAAAAAAAAAAAAGAAATTCGGAGCTGAAAAGTGTAATAACTCAAATAAAAAATTTACTAGAGGGCAGATTTGAGCAGGTAGGGAAAGAATCTGTGAACATAAAGACAGAACAATGGAAATTATCCAGTCTGAGGAACAGAAAGAGAATATTCAAGAAGTGAATGAAGCCTAAAGACCCTGTAGGATACCATCAAGCGGACCACATATGCATTGTGGGAAGCCTAGAAGGGGAAAAGACAGAGAAAGAATCAGAGAGAATATTTGAAAAAATAATGGTCCACAGCTTTCTAAATTTGATGAAAGACATTAATATAAATATCTAAGAAGCTCAGAAAACACAAATTGGATGAACTCAAAGAACCCACACCAAGGCACATTGTAATCAAATCATCAAAAGACAAAGAGAATTTTGAAAGTGGCAAGAAAGGTGGCTCATTATATATAAGGGGCCCTCAATAACACCATCATATTTTACATCAGAAACTTTGATAGACAGAAAACAATGGGCTAGTATATTTAAAGTGCTGAAATGAACAATGGCAACAACCCCCCCCCCCAAGAAAGCTGTCAACTAGGAATTGTATATCCAGCAAAACTGTCCTTCAAAAATCAAGGAAAAACTAGTCGGGTGCAGTGGTTCATGCCTGTAATTCCAGCATCTGGGGAGGCAGAGGCAGGTGGATCACCTGAGGCCAGGAGTTCAAGATCAGCCTGGTCAACATGGTGAAACTCTGTCTCTACTAAAAATACAAAAATTAGCCGGGTGTGGTGGTGTGCACCTGTAGTCTCAGCTACTCAGGAGGCTGAGGCATGAGAATCACTTGAACCTGGGAGGTGGAAGTTGCAGTGAGCCAAGATTGCACCACTGAACTCCAGCCTGGGTGACATGGCGAGACTCTTACACAAAAAATAAAAACAAAATAAAACAATAAGAATAAGAATAATGGAAAAACTAAGAAGTTGCAAAAAAACCAAAAGCTGAGAGAGTTTGTTATGACTATACCACCTCTAAAAGAAATGATAGAGGGAGTCCCAGAGGCTGAAATGAAAGGACACTGAATAGTAGCTCAAAGCCATATAAAGAAATAAAGTTCCTGGTCAGGCACGGTGGCTCATGCCTGTAATCCCAGCACTTTGGGAGGCCAAGACGGGCAGATCACGCGGTCAGGAGATCGAGTCCATCCTGGCTAATATGGTGAAACCCCGTCTCTACTAAAAATACAAAAAATTAGCCAGGCATGGTGGCGGGCACCTGTAGTCCCAGCTACTCGAGAGGCTGAGGGAGGAGAATAGCGTGAACCCAGGAGGCCGAGCTTGCAATGAGTCAAGATCGTTCCACTGCACTCCATCCTGGGTGACAGAGCGAGACTCTGTCTCAAAATAAATAAATAAATAAAGATCTTAGAGAAAGTAAGTGCAAGAGCAATTACAAAAGCTAGTTATTTAACTCCACTTTTTGTTTTCTACATGATTTAGAAGACTAATACATTTAAAAAGTAATTATTAGCCTAAAAGATAGTATTATGGTCACCTTGATTTGTAACTTCACATTGTTTTCTAAATAATTTCAGAAACTGATGCATAAAAATTATTAATTTATGTTTTTGGACAATGTACAAAGTAATAATTTTGTGACATTAACAACTGAAAAGAGTGTAGACAAAGCTGTTAAAAGAACATATTTTTGTACATTATTTAACTTAAGATAGTATATGTTCAAATGAGAGTATTATAACTTTAGGATGTTAAATGTAGTCACATGATAACCGAAAAATTGTTTGAAGAATATACACAAAAGCAAACAAGAAGTAAATTTAATTCACTACAAGAAAAAATGTAGCTAAACACCAAAGAAGACAGTAGTGCAGGAAATGAAGGATGAAGAAGCCATGAGCCAGGGCACGTGGTGGCCTCTAGAAGCTGGAAAAGTCAAGAAAACGTTTTCTTCCAGGGCCTCTAGAAGGAAATACAGTCCTGTCAACACCTTGGATTTAATCCACTGAAACTCATTTTATACTGCTGCATTCCAGACTGTAAGACGGTAAGTTTATATTATTTAAGCCACCGAGTTTGTAATAATCTGTTACAAAAGCAAATAGAAAACGAGTATAATGTGTCAACGTTCAGAAAAATAATGGAACTAGGTTCATAGTCAGCATTTTCATGACGTACATTTGGTTTTTGGCTTACTAATATGAGTGGGAAATGCCCATACAAAGTAGTCTCAGCTACTTGGGAGGCTGAGCCATGAGAATCACTTGAACCTGGGAGGGGGAAGTTGCGGTGAGCTGAGATCGCACCACTGAACTCCAGCCTGGGTGTTGGAGTACAAGTTAAAATTTTAAAGATAATCACACATACACAAGAAGTATATTTGATAACTTCCAAACCAGAATGAAAAAAAAAAGCAGAATAAAGAAGACTTTAAATATCCAATGGAAGGCAAGGAAGAAAATGAAGAAAAGCAAAACAAAAGTGAAAAAGTTTTAAAATATAAAAATATTATCAGTGATCACAATAAAGCTAAGAAGATTAGATTAATCTACTTTAAGACAGGACAGTTACTCTTAGACTGGATATAGTGACACAGATAATTGAATTATTATTTTTTTTTTTTTTTTTGAGATGGAGTCTGGCTCTGTCACCCAGGCTGGAGTGCAGCGGCGTGATCTTGGCTCACTGCAAGCCCCAGGTTCACGCCATTCTCCTGCCTCAGCCTCCTGAGTAGCTGGGACTACAGGCACACGCGAACACACCCAACTGATTTTTCTGTATTTTTTAATTAGAGATGGGGTTTCACCACGTTAGCCAGGGTGGTCTCAATCTCCTGACCTCGTGATCTGCCTGCCTTGGCCTCCCAAAGGGCTGGGATTACAGGCGTGAGCCATTGCACCCGGCCCAGATAATTGAATATTTTTAAAAAAAGCAAAATGTCAGCAAATTCTTATAGAAATAAAGCTGTTGTGCGTATATTTATATCAGACAATACAAAATTAAAGGCCTAAATTATTAAAAAGGGACAGTATACAAAAGCAAACAAAAATAAATTCATCAAAATATACAAAGAAGAACTGGTATGCATCAAAGTTTCAAAATACAAAAAGAAAAATAGAACTGCAAGGAGAATTTAATAAATCCACAGTCATCAAAGGAGAAGTTAGTTCAAATAAATCATAAGCTGATAGATCAAATACGCTACATTTTATAAAGAGGTAAGCTATATCAATGCAAATAATAAATCTGATATGTATTCATGGAGAATATATAAACATGTAGAAACCTGCCCTTATCTCATGGAGAATACTTATCTTTTCAACATGAAATATTTGCCAAAAGTGGCCATGTACTAGTTTACAAAGGAAATTTCACTAAATTTCAAAGAATTGCTATCTTTCAGATTATAATGCAATTACATCAGAAACTAACAATACAAAAATAGCCTTTTAAAAATCTATATTTAGATAATAAGATAAGTTTTTAAGGAAATAAGGAAATAAAAAGGAAATTGCAACAGAAATTATAGAGTATTTAGAAACAAATGATATCAAAATTGAGCTTCCTATACTTGCTCATTTATTTTCTCAAAAAATATTTATTGAGTATCTACTGTCAGCTAGGCACAGTGCATACTGGTGTAAACAAATCAAAGATTGTTTTCATGGAGTTTATATTCTCACATATTTGAAAGTCAGCTGATAAACGATAAATAAGTAAATATTTATTATAATTTCTAATGGTGATAAATGTTACATGGTGAGGGAAGCAGAGTAAGAAGATGGTAGGTGAAGGTTGTGCAAATTTTGGACAAGGCAGTTAGGGGAAGCTTTGGAGGTGACACTTGAACAGGCATAGATGACACAAAGCTGTAAACCAAGTGGGTGTCTGGAAGAAGAACAGTTTGGGTGCAGAAAACAGCAAGGATAAAGGCTTTGAGGAAGGAGCCAGGTTTGCAATGTTCATACAGCAACAGTTAGTCACCAGCATCCCAGCAAGGTAAGCCAGAAATTGATAGTAAATGAGGTCAGACAGAGAGGCAGAGGTTAGATGTGGGGCCTTGCAGGCTCTGGAGGAAGTGTGGATGGTATTTTGGATGGTATTTCAGTGGATTTTTACCTATGCACACATCTCAAGTCAACATATAAGATGTCCCTAACATCTCCAGTATTCCCTGAGCAACTACAACTCAAGGAGGCAACTACAATTTAGACCTTTGTCACCATCAATGAATTCTGCTTGTTCTGGAACTTCATAGAAATGGAGCCATAAATATGTGACTTTGATTTCCCACTCCTCATTATGTCTGTGAGGCTCATTCATTCTATTGTACATATCAACAGTGCAATCCTTTTATTACTCTGTAGTATTACATTGTAATATGCCACAACTAATTTATCCATTCTAATATAAATAGACATTCATATTGTTTCTGGTTTTCAGCTATCATAAATAAAACTGCTATGAACAGATTTGGACATTTTGTGTGTATGAAGATATGCACTAATTTCTCTTGATTACCTAGAAGTAGCATTGCTGGAATTAAGAGGAATTAAGTGAGTAAAAAAGGCAAGCTACAGAGTGGGAGAGGATATTAAGGATACATGTATCTGACAAATAATTTATACAGAATATATTTTTAAACTCTCAAAAATCAATACACAAAAGACAAGCTACCCTCCAAAACTGGCAAAAGCTTAAAAAGACACTTTTAAAAGAGAATATTTAAATAGTTGGCCAGGCGCGGTGGCTCACACCTGTAATCCCAGCACTTTGGGAGGCCGAGGTGGGCAGATCACGAGGTCAGGAGATCGAGACAACCCTGGCTAAGGTGGTGAAACCCTGTCTCTACTAAAAATACAAAAAATTAGCCGGGCGTGGTGGCGGGCGCCTGTAGTCCCAGCTACTCAGGAGGCTGAGGCAGGAGAATGATGTGAACCAGTGAGGCGGAGCTTGCAGTGAGCCAAGATGGCACCACTGCACTCCAGCCTCGGTGACAGAGCGAGACTCCGTCTCAAAAAAAAAAAAAAATAGTTAAGCAAAAGAAAACCATAGTTATTAGACAAATGCAAATTAAAACCACAATAAGATACTATTATCCACTCAGCAGAATGGCCAAAATTTTTAAAAAGAAAAAAAACTGTCCAACAACTGGAAATCTCAAGAATTGCTTGCGGCAGAGGAAACTGTTACAAACACTTTGAGACACTGTCAATAGCTATCAAGCGAAACTTTTGCCTACCTTATGACCTAGAAATGACGTTGTAGGGAATGTATATTTTTAAAGATCACTCTACTAGGTAGAAAACAGATTATACTAGAGCAATAATCAGAGCTGGAACCTGTTAGAAAGTAACAAAATAACTATCTAGCTAAGAAATGATATCGACTAGGATGGGTGCAAAAGATGATAAGAAATGGGTAGATTTTTTTCATATATTCTGAAAGTAAAGTCAGTAGAATATTCTGATAGTAGATTTTAAGGTGAGGAAGAGAGAAGAATCAAAATTAATCCTATGTTTTAGTCTGGACAATGCAATAAATGGTGGAGTCATTTACTGAGATGGAGAAGGAGTGAATTAAGAGTGGGAAGGGTCAAGAGATCTGCTTTTAACATGTTAAGTTTGACATATCTGTTAGTGTCTAACAGACATCCAGGTGGATTCGTCAAATAGGCAGATCTATGTGTGTGTCTGGAACTCACAAAAGAGTTCCAGGAAAAGCTAGGACTCAAGATAGAAATTTAAGAAGAGCTGGGTAAAGGACAAGATATCAAGAACCACAAAAAGATGATAGGTAGGGTGACCACATCTCCCATCTTGTTTACCATTGAACTCATCTCTTTCAACTTCAAAAATGTCCCCATATTAAATGATACATTCCTATAATTGCCTACATAATAAGTTTGAGAAATATTGATGACTTTAACCTCTGTGGCTGCTAGATGAAGCCTATGACTGCAGGAGACCCTTGGCCAGTTGACTCCACTGAATGCATCTTTGACCATTTTTTCACAGTGTGTCATAAACGTACCATTACTTTATGTAAGTGTTGTGTTACAAAAAGTTGGAAAACAAATATTCTAGAGAATGAGTGAAAATAGAGATGAGAAAAAGGCTAAAATCCAAGCTCAGGGAACTCCAAAATTTGGAAGATTCCAAAAGGAGAAACTAGCACAAGAGACTGGAAAGGCTTTTTCAGGAAGGCAGGAGCAAATCCAGGAGGGTGAGGACCTCAGACTGCAGCATTTCATAAAGGAGGGATTGACCAGATGAGCCAAATGTTGCTAAGAGATCATCAGGTGAATACTGAACAATAACCTTTTGAATTCATAATGTGGGAACTAGATTGTTTGTGAACTTAACAAAAGCAATTCTTATGGAATGGTGATATAACAAACAAGTCTGATTGTATTGGGTTAAAAAAAGAACGACTTTTTCTACTTCATTTTTATAATCAAGATTTGGTAACTGGAGAAGTAGTTAGGAGAGTAGAAAGGACATTGGGCTTTCTGGGGGTCTATATTTATTAATTAATTTGATAGGATATATTACAACATGTTTCTGTGTCCAAAAGTAGATATGATTTTACTCCATTTTTTAGAGATAAAGTAAGGAAACTTAGAGAGAGCAGGAAGGGGAGTGTTCTCATCTGTTTTGTGCTCTTTAACAAAATACCTAAGATTGAATAATTTAAAAAGAACAGAAATCTATTTTCTCACAGTTCTGGAGGGTGAGAAGTCCACAGTCAAGGTGCTGGCATCTTGTGTGGGCCTTCTTGCTGCATTCTTACATAGCAGAAGGTGACAAGGCCCAAGAGCAGACAAAATCCCTCACTGAAGCCCTTTATGAGGGCACCTAATCCATTATAAGGGAGGAGCCCTCATGGTGTAATCATCTCTTAAAGGCCCTTTCTCTTAATACTATCACATTGTCAATACCGGAGTTTTGGAGGGGACACATTCAAACCATACCAGAGAGTTTTGCAGATTTGGGGAGTAAGAAGGATGAGTTGTCTGAGAGAGAGAGAAGACAGATAAAGAATTTCAGGCAGCCTAGCCAGGTAGTGCTGAGAAATCCACTTGATGTTGGTGAACACGAAGTTAAAATGTGGCTAAATGTCATGGCTGTGTGCTGGCTGCTATCATGTTCATCTCATGGGATCCTGTCACAGATTAAGCAGATTGTTTAACCAGTGCTGGGGATTTCATGGGCAAGTATACCACAGGGAGAAAGAGGCAAGAGCATTCAGATTATTTTCAAAGGAATGATTATTGTGTGGCACCAGAACATTTAGCCAGGAAAGTGTATACATGAGCAAGATAATAGATCAATAATGGTCAATGGCTTGGTGGGTTCCATGGGGAAAAATTGTTTGCAGTTGTTGTTTCTCTAGTTGTTGAACTAGAGAAAGTGGTCTGGAAAACTGAGAGGTTGTGGTCAAAGAGTAAGAAGCTCACATTTAATAGTTTGAAGGAAATGCTGCTATTGACAATCAGGTCTAGAATTTAACCATGGGACTGTGTTTCTGAGATGAGGTGGCAGGAAAGAGCATCACAAGGGAGAAGATGCAGAAATGAAGGGATGTGAGTGTAAGACACTTTTGTCTACATGACTGCTGAAGTCGCCAATTATAATGACAGCATGATTGAGAGAAGACAGAAAGCCAGATACTAAGCTCTTTAAGGAGTAACAGGGAGCAATATGCTAATAATTACCAAAATAAGGGCCAGAAGGCTCTGGACTCCTATGGCATGGGCTTCAAAGTCAGAGGCTGGGTAGTGAGGGAGGAGTGATGATAGTCATGAAGTCTTAATAAAGAAGAATAGACACATTTTCCACTTCTGGGCCCAGGGAAGGAGAGTGAGGGAAATAAACACCACTTGAGATGACCACAGGAAAAGCAAAGCCCGTAAAGAAGAAACAGTTTTCAGTTAGTTAGTTAGTTAGTGAGAGACCCATTTAGAGCAGAGGTTGAGGCTTCATTTCTGTGGTTTCTGCAGACATGGAAGAGTCTGGGGAATGAGCAAGGCCCCTGATCATTGCAATGTTGGTCTAGGGAGGGTGGCTGAGGTGTCCAGGGCTGCAGAGCATCACAGAACTAATAAGACTAATCTGTTGGGTGTATGTGGACCAGCAGTTCTAACTGTGGCTTCTTTTGTGAAATTAGACCATATGGTGGGCAGTATTGTGGCCAGAGGAGGAACTGGAAGTGAACGACAACCAAGGTGGAGGCTATGTTGGGGAGGTAAAGAGAGAACATTTGGCAATGTTTCTAAACTGGGTCCTATGGCTCTAGACTGGGTCCTAAGCTAAAGGGACCAAGGGTGGCCTGGGGTCCACAGAAACTCCAGTTCGGCTGACTCAGTGAGTAGAAATTCCCGGCTTGTGATATGAAGCATGCATTTGCTTGGTGCATTCTCTATGATATATCTTCCTCAGAGTCTAATGTAAAGTCTCCGAGTGTCAAATGTTTGGAATTTGCATTGGGGCAATCCTTCTTCCCCCTGGGAGACACAACTAGCCCTGGGGTCTTCTGTCCTCTGCTCTCCTTTAAAGTGTATCATCAGAGGCCAGAATCATGCTCCGGCCACCCCAAAGTCATCTTAATGCCAGTGGCTCTCTCTTAAGCCGAGACCCCTCTCAATCACTCTTAGGACATGACGGATGACCAGAATGAAGGGGAACCCCAAGATAATCCTGGCTGAACCCATAGGCATGCAATGTCTGCAATGTCTGGACTTTAAATTAAACTCAAGGCCAACAAATGAACAATTCAGGGAATGAATAAGAGGGTAGGTTTGGCCAAGTTTCAAATAGCCAAGCCACACTTGCTGGTGGAACACTCAGTACTATTGTACTTCAGACTACATTTTGAACCACTGATCTAAACTACTTATGCACAAGAAATCATGCACACATTTATCAATTCAGCCTTCTCTAAACATGTATTTTCTGTTCCAGGAAACTGGTAAGTCAAAAAATATAACACAGTAGTCCCCCTTTATACACGAGGGATCTGTTCCAAGATACTCAGTAAGTGCCTGAAACCTAGGATAGTGCTGGTCCATGTATGTGTGTATGTATGTGTGTGTGTGTGTGTGTGTGTGTGTGTGTATATATAAAATGTTTCTTTGATCTGATAACTGAGATAGCTACAAAGTGACTAATGGGTGTATTATATAGACAGCATTGGAACACTTCACAAAGGGATGATTCATGTCCCAGGCAGGATGGAGCAGGTTGATGTGAAATTCATCATGCTGCTCAGAACAACATTCAATTTAAAACTTATAAATTGTTCACTTCTGGAATTTTCTATTTCATGTTTCTGGACTTTGGTTGACTGCTGGTAACTGAAACCACAGAAAGCGAAACCATGGACAAGGGAAGACCAGTCATCCAATATCTTTTCCACTGCTAAAATCAATCAATCAATCAATCAATCAGGGCCTTTGCAGTGATCTCTGAAAACAAAGTGCTAATTGTTCCAAGACTGCTTGGCCAAAGGCAATACGTCAATGTTAATTATCCATTTTAAAGGCCTCATTCCCCATTCCCAGTTGAGTCAGCTAACAGGGAACATCTCTACTACTTTCTACTTTCTCTGTGCTTATTAATGATGTCAAAGGTCACTTAGAAGCTGTCCTTTCCGAGACCTGCACATACAGAGAGCAGGTCCAACCATTGAGAGTGTTCCAGGCATGTCTGCTGGCCTAGTGGAAGTGCTCGTGATTCTCTTAACAGTGGGATGGCAAGCAAAACTTATGGCCAGTGATTGTTAGCTGTTATTTTGCTCATTCCCTGAAAACACTGCAAATGCATAACAAATCAATGGGGTTGCTGAACATTTGCTGGATTTATCTTGCTTCCAGTTGGCATCTTTATTTAGAAAGACGTATGCCAACCTTCTTATTCTTTGTTCTGCCACAAATATCTTACAGTGTTTACGCTTTCTTGTCTAATGCTTTCACTGGATTTAGGGAGGTGTCATTTATTTAGTGGAAATGCTAATAATTATCTTGGATGATGTAGATTCATGAGGTGTTAAAATTTCTCTTTAATCTGTTAGCATCAGTCTCTCCGATCTTGATGTCAGCTTCAGTGGGTGGTATTCAAGGAATAAGTATATAGAAATTTCTTCTCCCTCTCTCTTTCTTTCTTTTAACATACCCACATGCATGCACACGTCATGCATGCAGACTAACATAAGCATGGGTGTATTCTTGGTGACCGATGGTTATACCAGAAACTATGCAAGCCTCTTTTGGCACCAGGTGACAAACGAAACAATTGAGAATGTGTCAGAGAAAGGGATGTTGCTGTCTGTATCTGTTAGGGTCTAGGCTGAAAAGAGGTGGCATTCTCAAGCAGTAATTTTTAAAAATTTGATTAAGTGCTTTCAACAAATACACGGGCTTGATTTTGAAAAATTAGCACAGGAGAGTGGAGCACCCTTGGGCTATCAGCTCCAGCCCGAAGAGTCAACAGGAGGGAGTAGCTACCATCACCTGGTACCCCAATGACGGTGGCTGTTTGGAGAAGACTGTCAGACAGGGCTTGTGGCCTCCAGGAGTGGGAATTGCCAGCCTGCAGCAACCCAGCAGTGAAAAACTCAGCTCCAGCCATTGGAGTTTCTCAGAGCAACTCCCCATGGCCACAGCTGACTGGAGCCAGAAGATGGAGGAGACCCTGGTACTCAGAGAGAGTGGAAAAGGGTCTACAGTGACGGAGGGGATGTTCAACATGTGTTTCTCTGCTCCGGGATGGTATTCTGTAAGACTGGTTAGTTACTTGCTGTATTACTCTGAGATGGCTTCAAAACTATGCAGGACTGGGGCATTCAGATAAGATAACACGTGGGATCACTCTCATCTGCAACAGCAAGTTAAGAAAAGAGAATTCCTGACTCCTTTTGCTATACTCAGGAGGTCGGATCTGTTAGTAATAACAAGATGACTCAACAGCATAAAAATCCTAATAGCCAACAAAGGGTGTTAATTTCTTGGCCAAGCATCTGGGATGTCAAAACTCAGGATAGAAATGATGTCTCCAACGTAGCATTCTCTTGTTTCTAACTGTATTGCTTAGCACAAAGGCATCTCATCTGGATGCTAGCACACACACACTCAGGGTCTCATCACTTATGTTATTTCCATGATGACTAAGACTTAGAGGGCCGGACACTTTACAATGATTGGAGAAACACTGAGCACATGCCAAAGCTCTACCTCAGCTTTATAGAGAAATATAGTGTCTGGAAAGCCACCTCTTCTGCATTCTGCATTTGGAAATTAGTCCAAACCTGAGAAGACCCTGAAAGTAATGTCTCTCTTTGTAACTAAACAAATACGGAATTCCTAGAACAAATTTTGCATTAAATTTAATGGATGATATATACATAGGAGTTTTGTTTGTTTGCTTGTTGTTTTTATTTTCTGCAAAAAAAAAAAAAAGTATCTGTTGTCAATACATTTAGATCTCACTTTGGATCAAAACAGCAAAAGCTACCGAGGACAAAAATGTCCTAGCTGCACCCAGGTCTGGAAGCACAACGAGGAGATGGGGAACCTTCTCTTAGGTCATTTATTCTCCTAAGACAGCTTTACTGCGTTTCCTGCCAGAGAATGGGGAGAAGATGCAGACCTTGGGAGGGTCGTTCTGGCAGAATCAAGAGGAGCAATACTCAAACTATGTTCCTCTCCCCTGAGTGATGTCAGTAGATGTTACCAAGAAAAGTGTGCAATGGTTAGACAGGTTGAGAAATGTTAAGTTCCATGAAGTTAAAATAGATTGCTTCATTGAGAACTTTGTGAATCTCCAATAGATTGACATGGTACATACGAAATTATCCAAATTCACTTAGCTATGGAGACTTTTTATTTAATTTTTAAATGAAGCTTCTAGAAGAGAATAAGGATCCCTAAAACATGGTTTGAAAAACACAAATCTGAATTTTCTCAAGACTCTGATACTAACAGCCTGCCCAACAAACACAGCCAAGATAAGGAAAGAAGCACTTACTGTTTGTGGAAGCAAAAGAGCTGTCAGAATCGACTTCTTGAAATAGCTAAGATACAAGCATTTTAAAAGATGTTACTCATGAAACAAGGGCAAAAACATGGGACATGTGTTATACTTTTTAAATGGATGGATTAAAATATTGACATTCTAAGGCAAGTCTGTATCAGCCTTGTAAAAGTCACCTGGAAACACCTGTGTGTCCACACAGCAGCCCTGTGTAGTTCTGGGGTGGCCATTTAGATTCTCATTGAGCTCTTCTAGGCATAGTTGAGACCCCTGCACCTGGCCCCAAACAAAGAATCCTCAGCCTGATGTGTGATTTCAGCTTCAGCAGAGAGGAGGCCACATCCCTGTTCTCCCAGCCCCGTCTCAGCCTTGTGGCCATTGCATCACATGTGGCCCAGTCTCAAGTCCTAGTAAACCAGTGGTCCCTCCAGACACAAGGAGAGAATTAAGGGCACTGCATAGTGTTTTTAATTTTAGAAAAATAAAAAAAAATAGAGTGAGCTTTAATGTTTACTGTTTATGAGTATCTGAGGATTTGGTAGTAAAAAGTGTGTGATGAAACTACCATAGAAAATTCTTTCCTGAAGCCGGAAGCCTTTCATTCCTGGATGACCCTTGACGAAATTCTCCGTATAGTCCTGAAAGACTATCTTTCCTTCTCTTCAGCACATTGACCAGCTGCTGGGAATGAAAAAGGAACATCAAAAGTCTGGTTCTTGTATAAACAGCAGATGATAAGAACATGGAATATTTGCAAATTCTTTGCTAGAAGCTCTGCTTTCTCTTGAAATGATGCTTGCTTGCTTTTATATGTTTTCATAAAGCCAATTCTTAGAGTCCTCAATGAGGTTGGAGTGTTAAGACTTTTAGCATAGGCTCTGTCATCTACCTTTGGTCCCTTCTTGCTGTTATAACAAAAACACATTAGATGGGATGATTTATAAACAATAGATTGATTTCTCAGTTCTGGAGGCTGGGAAGTCCAAGATCAAGATGCTGGCAGTTTGATATCTGCTGAGGGATATTACTTCAAGATGGTGTCTAGTTGCTGTGTCCTTCCCTGGTGGAAGGACAGATCAAGAAAAGGGACAAATACTCTCTCTCAAGCCGTTTTATAAGGGCACTAATCCCATCCACAGGGGTGGAGCCCTCAGGGTCTTATCACCTCCAAGGGCCCCACCTATTAATATTGTCACCTTGGGAATTAAGTTCCAACATATGAATTTTGGAGTGATACATGCATTCAAGCCATAGCATATCCCCAAAGTAGTAAAGACAGCCAGATCAAGGGCCTGGGGCCATTGGACAATTGAAAATCCTCACCTTTTGGCAGGGGTTGTAACCAAAAATCAGGCAATATTTGCATATCATCTGGCAATGTTTGCGAGCAATAAAGAGACAATATTTAAAAATATATAATGGTGATTTTTGTCTCTTGGTGCCCAAACTTATATCTTTTTATAATAAAAATAATCAGAGTAAGGTGCAGAGAGAGGCAAATTATTGCAGATTTTAAGACAGAAGTGAATCTCCGAAAAGTGTAAAAAAATGTATATTTGATTTTAGAGATTCTGTCATTTGCCCAGAATTTATACATCACTTACCATGTGCCAGGCTCTTTTGGGTGCAAAGGAAAAGAATTAGACAATCGCTGTCCTTCATGGAACTTCCAGTCCTAGAAAGGAGAAAAATGTATTTAATAAATCACAACATATTAAGTGATGGTATACAGAAAATGCTGTGAGAATACAGACAAAGGAGTGGGAAAGCCAGCATCAAGTAACAGATAAGACTTCCTGAAGATGTCACACTTTTGGATACAGTTTGAAAGCTCTCTAGCAGTTCTTCAGGTCAAGAAGAAAGGAGCAACATTCTAGGCAGAGGGAAAGGAGGGCATGATTGAGTTTGTACTCCCCTAGAAGCAGATCCCAGTACAAGGATGTGCAAGTAGTTTATATGGGACTGTAGGGAACACAGGGAGGTAAATGAGAAAATGTTGAAGAAAAGAAGGGCAACTGGAGAAAACATACAGCATAAAGTTAGCAAGCAAAGTGAGCATTTGGAACCTAATTTCACAGGGAAACTGGGAAATGGTGAAGAGCACACACCTAGAGGAGAGGGAGCTGGGGTATTTATACAGTCATATACTGCAGCCCATTGGCGATGGTCATACCTGGCCTTTCATTAGAAGGGCAGTGTAGTTTTGACTTGGCTTTGGAGAATTCCTAAAGGCCCAAATACACAGATACTGGCAGTCAGAAGTCACTGGAGCATTCTAAATAATAATGCCTGAAAAATTTCGGCAGGGCAAGAGCAGATTCTGCTACAAAACATGAGCCACTGAGATGCAAACAAAGCAAGTGTGTTCACAGATCATTCTCTGGGGTTGGTCAGAGCAGCCCAAGATAAACCTGGAAATGCTGTTGTTTATTTCCTTCTTTATCATACTTCGACAGGTGGGAACTGCTATGGTTTGAATGTGTTCCCCAAAAGCTCATGTGTTGGAAATTTAATTCACAATGCAACAGTGTTGGGAGATGGGGCCTAATCAGAGGTGATTGGGTCATGAGGGCTCTGCCCTCATGAATGGTTAATCTTTGGAGTGGTTAGTCAAGAGTGGTTGTTATCAAGTGAGTCTGGCCTGGTTCTCTTTTGCAAGTGCTCAGTTGCCCATCCACCCTTCCACCATGGGATACCATGGGATAATGCAGCAAGAAGGCCCTCAGCAGATGCAGCTGCCCGATCTTGGACTTCCCAGCCACCAGAATTATTAGCTAAGTGAAATTCTATTCTTTATAAATTCCCCTGTGTGTGGTATTCTGTTATAGCAACACAAAATGGACTAAGATAGGGGCTCATGACTGGGGAGAGACTGCTGCTCCCAGGGCCAGCCAGTTCTCACAGACAGCAGACTCTCCTGGGAATGGGCTTTTTATACACAAACCAATGAACCCAGAGCCCATGTTCCATACCACCTCCTCTGTCTGACTGTTATACTACAGGAGGCAATGTTCCTCTGCCCTAGTCATCCCAGGGCCAGCAGCAGACAACTAGAGACATCCCTTATGCTCAGAGTTCATGGGAATTAAACTAGAAAATTCTAGGCTGCTTACTCTGCCTTGCCCATTTCTTCCTTTGAAAACCACAATAAAAGCACTTTCCCATGTTTTTCCCTCTATCCTCTCTGCCTCCTGGCCAAGCCTTGTGCCTCCCCATGTGGCCCAGCATAGAGTGCTTCCTGTTTCTAGGGAACTATGAGCAAAAACTTCTTCCTCCATATCAGTCATTTCTGTGTTGTTTGCCCTACCACACCTGCTGAAGACAAATTTCAGGTACATTTTAACACAGAAGACACAGTGCAAACAGCCATAGGGGGCCAGGGCAAAAGACCCGGAATGTCTCCTCTGTGTCCCTGGAGATTTTATTCTTGGTAAGTACACACACTTGCATAGTAATTACCCTTACTAAGTTGAAAGACGAGTTTGCTCAACTGGATACAGTCTCTGATGACAATTTTCTTGGATGTCTTCCCTCTCTAATAGCCATAGGACTCTATTTTCTTTCTGGCATTCAAGTTCCTTTGATGTGTCTAAATGCAGCCTGTTTCCTCCAACCAGCCTGTGTTTATGCTGGAAATACAGATCTGGGGGACATGGGGGTTGGGGCTGACATTTGCTGTGTCCAGGATCCTGGTCCCATATGCTGCAGTGTGAAGTTTTCACAAAGACAGTGGCTTCCCTAGATGGACTTCCTGCCTGAGCAAAAACGGGTCATCATCAATAACAACAATAAAAATCAGCAAAGTAGTCATATACACATAACAGTTTTCCTGAGTAGAAGATCAGTTGGAAGAAGGACAAGCAAAGACTCTCCTGGGAGTGGGTTTTTTATACACAAACCAACCAACCCAGAGTCCATGTTCCAAGGGCTGAGTCACTGCAGTAGGTTGTTGTAATTGTCCAGTGAGAGAGAGCGTAGCCTCTAGTGGAATGGCAGGCCTAGGAAAGAGAGGCAGGGAAACCAATGCCAAAGGGTTTAGGAGGTGTCTGCATGGAAGAGTGCAACTAGTGGGCACGTGGAAATGAGAACGACAAGGAGGAAGAGGAAGAAAGGATGATTACTAAAAGTCTTGCTTAATTAGGTAGTGCTGTTTCTAACCAAACTAGAGACTATGGAGAAAGAAGCAAGTTTAAAGAAATAAAAAAAAAATTAAGTTTTGGACGTAGGTATCTGTGTTAAAACCAAATGGTTATGTCTAGTAAGCTATCTGAATTATGAAATATGCATAAATATCCACACTTTGGCTGGAGATTAAATTTGGAAATATCCCATGGTAACTGAAATCCTGGCTGTGTACAAAGTCCCAGAGTCTGAAATGAGAAAAGAAGAAAGCAAAAGGTATTCACACTGACAGCTCTGTTGTCAAATGGAACTCTGTTATTACAGCTCCTTGGCTGAGTATAGAGATGTTCATGTTAACTGGAAAAAAAATAACATGTTAACTGGAAAAAATAAGTATGGTGTATCAGACTAGCCAGTGCTATCACGGAAATCTTTGTCATGTTGGTTGAGAATGAAGTTATTCTTACTTCAAGAGAAACAGAGGCCTGAGGAGCACTACTTTTAAATTTGTTTTCTAGGAGACCCATGCTATGTTGCTAATAAACAGTTTTGTTTTGACAGCTTCCATTTGCTATAAATATAGTTCCAAGGACAGTGTCCAATATTTCCTGATTCGAATCCAGCCTGAGCAGGTGTGTTCACTGCATGAGTCATGCCATTAGCTGCCAGGACTGTGACTTGGCCACAAAGGCACTTAACGGAATAAAAGCAAGCTGGGAAGAGAACAAGGCTTCTGGGATCACCGTTGCTTGGAATTTGGAGAGTCTCTGATAGGTTTGCTTCTTTCTTTTCATTACTGTTAAAAGCAATAGCACCAACCAGGGTTCCAAGGAGAATTTCTACATTAATAGATAAATATTTGATCAAACACAAGACCTTTCTTATTCCCTTTTTAATTCATAGTGTTACTGCATTTGCACTGATATGCTGCTCATGCTAGTTATGCCACTCAAAATACCCACTTTACCAAAAGTAGGTAACTTCCTCAGAGGAAGCTCTTTTTTTTTTTTTTTTTTTTTGAGACAGAGTCTTGCTCTGTCGCCCAGGCTGGAGTGCAGTGGCACGATCTCGGCTCACTGCAAGCTCCGCTTCCCAGGTTCACGTCATTCTCCTGCCTCAGCCTCCCGATTAGCTGGGACTACAGGCGCCTGCCACCACGCCTGGCTAATTTTTTGTATTTTTAGTAGAAATGGGTTTTTACCATGTTAGCCAGATGGTCTCGATCTCCTGACCTCGTGATCCGCCCACCTCGGCCTCCCAAAGTGCTGGGATTACAGGCATGAGCCACCACGCCTGGCTCAGAGGAAGCTCTTTAATGAAGAAGTAACATATTAAATATAACTACATTAAGAACCTTTCACTTTATTCTACATAAATATACTCACAATTTAATTAGTCATTGAAATGAGGAAGTCACATGCAATGCATTTCAGTTGAAGGTGTCTGTCTTAAAAGAGTGATGTAAGGGGGTCTTATAGTACCTTTATGGATGACAGCAGTGTCTGGGACTAAGGTCACAGAAGTGAAGATCTGAGCCCACGTTCAACAATCTTATAAATTACAAAGGAATGTTTAGACACAAAATCTAGACAGTGAAAACAGAGATGCTGCAGTAGCAGGCCTAGAAGAGAAGGAGGAATTTGCAGTCCTTTTTCAAATCACCTTTTCATAAATGAAAACAAACTCATACAACAACAAAATAGGGCATGCATTCTGATTCAGGATGCTGTTTTAAAGTTCTGTTCAGCAGTTTACATGGACTTTGATATCATAACACTCTGATTCAAGTGCTAAATATAAATAGGGTAAATATTTCTTGGCTTCCAGTGGGGTAATGGTAAACCCAAATTAGAGGCAGCACCACGGTAAAGAGCTATGTTGGATGAAATCCTGAACCACATTTGTGGGAAGGACACAGGGCTGGCCCAGTGAAGTCACTCTTCCAGTGAAACAGCAGAGCTAACATCATCCTTCCAGGAATCCTGCAAAAGAAGCCACCTGGGATGCAGTAAGATGACAGTAGCTTTCTGGAGCTAAGATGACAGACAGTTTTTTCTTTGGCCACAGGTTCTGATTACAAATCAGCAAGCAAATGTGTTCACACAGATGAAATAAGGGTATAGAAAAGGATGATGATTTGTCCCATTTATTCCAGCCCTTTTTACTGGCTTTTACAGTCCTTTTTACGTGGCTTTCATTCATTCTTCTTTCTGCCCATGAAGCTTATCCTAGAGAGAATTTCTGAGAATAAATGAAGCATAGTGAAGCTTCTAGAAAATAGTGTAAAATGCTAACATTGTTATTATTGTCAAGTCATGTTTATCAATATGTGGATCATTGATGATAACTGAACTATTCAAGAAAAGTTGTTAACTAAATGGCTGTATGACTTTTGGTGGGAGATTGTATCGTAGCTCAGGAAAAATTTATTCCCCTTGCGGTACCCGCACCCCCACGCCCAGGAGGAATGTACATCCTTGTCCCAGAAGCAATGGGCTGGGTGACTTGCTTTGGCTTGTTGGAATGTGAGTGGATGTGGATTTGCCTGTCCAAGCTAAGAGCCAAACACACATGGTGCATTGGGCTCACTCTGTGTGCTCTTATCGCATCAGAGCCATGCGTCCCAGAGAGTGGTTGTGCCTTCTGCCTGGAAATGCAGGAGAATCAGATCTCTGCCCTTCCCACCTGCGGACTTCAGTAGAACTGCCACGGCCCACCTGCAAACTCAAGAGTGAGAAATAAAGAAATGCTGGCAATTTCACACCTCACTGACAGGTGAGTCCCCACGCACAAAGGAACTTCAGTAAGCCTAATGGCTGACTACTCATAATTGTGGAGGTGAGCTGGCATACTCAAAGTGTGGAAAGAAAGAAAAATCTGTCAATGGCGAATTCTACATCCAGCAAATCCATCCTTCAAAGGAGAAATTAAGACATGCTATAATTTTAAAAAGAAAAGGTGAGCTGAGAGAATTTGTCACTAGCTGACCTTCTCCCAAGAAATGCTAAAGGGAACACGTCATGTTGAAATGGAAGGAAATTAGGTAGTAACTCAAATCCACACTAACAAATAAAAGGCCCTGTTAATGTGACAACATAGGTAAAAGTAAAAAACAGTATAAAGGTACTTTTGGTTCATAACTTCTTTCTTTTTTCCTTTTTTTTTTTTAGATGGAATCTTACTCTGTTACCCAGGCTGGAGTGCAGTGGTGTGATCTTGGCTCACTGCAACCTCTGCCTCCTGGGTTCAAGCGATTCTTCTGGCCTCAGCCTCCTGAGTAGCTGGGATTACAGGCACACACCAGTGTGCCCAGGTAGTTTTTGTATTTTTAGTAGAGACAGGGTTTCGCCATGTTAGCCAGGCTGGCCTTGAACTCCTGGCCTCAGGTGATCCACCCGCCTTGGCCCCCGAAAGTGCTGGGATTATAGGCATAAGCCACCGCACCCAGCCATTTCTTTCTTTTTTTCTGTCTGATTTAAAAGACCACTACATAAAACAGTAATTCTAAATCTTGAGTGATGGGCACACAATGTATAAAGATGTAATCTGTAACAATAGCAGCATGAAGGTGGGAGGGAGGATCAAAGATCATAGAAGCAAAGTTTTTGTATACCTGTGAAATTAATTTGGCGTTAACTCAAACTAGACTGTCATAAACTAAGATGTTTCTTAACGGGAGAAGCAGGGAGGAAAGAGCACCAGAGATTCTGGTCTACATGGTCTGTGCTGAGGTCTCAGTTGTATTCATTTCCTGTTGCCACTGTAACAAATTACCATAAACTTAGTGGTTTAAAATAACAGATTTATGATCTTGCAGTTCTGAAGGTCAGAAGTTCAAAATTAGTTTCAGTGGACTAAAATCAAAGTGTTGGCAGGCTGCATTACTTCTGAAGGATCTAGAGGAGAATCAATGTCTTTGCTTTTCTCAGTTTTTAGAGGTCATCTACATTCCTTGACTCAGACCTCACATGACTCTGATCTCTGCTTCCATCTTCACATTTTCTCTGGCTCTTAACTGCCTGCCTCCCTCTTATAAGCAATCCTTGTGATTTTATTTAGTACCCACCAGGTGATCAGGATAACCTCCCCATCACAAGATCCTTAACCAAATCACATCTGCAAAGTTCTTTTTACCATGTAATTGTCTTAATCCATTTGGGCTGTTAAAACAAACGATCATAAGCTGGGTGCTTACAAAAAACAAACTTTCAGCCAGGCGCGGTGGCTCATGCCTGTAATCCCAGCACTTTGGGAGGCCAAGGTGGGTGGATCATTTGAGGCCAGGATTTCGAGACCAGCCTGGCCATCATGGCGAAACCCCGTCTCTACTAAAAATACAAAAATTTGCCAGGCATGGTGGCACGGGCCTGTAGTCCCAGCTACTCAGGAGACTGAGGCATGAGAATTGCCTGAACCTGGGGTGGGGGCGGGGAAAGGGGGTAGTGGGGAGGGATGTGGGCGGAGGTTGCAGTAGGCTGAGATGGCTCTACTGCTTTCCAGCCTGGGCGACAGAGCGAGACTTTGTCTTACACACACACACACACACACACACACACACACACACACACACACAATTATTTCTCACAGTTCTTGAAGCTAGGAAGTCCAAAATCAAGGTACCTGGAGGTTTGGTGTCTGCTCAGGACCCACTTCCTGGTTCACAGACTGTGCTTTCTTCCTGCACCTTCACATGGTGGAAGGAGCAAGGCAGCTCTCTGGGGCCTCTCTGACAATGGTACACATCCCATTCATGAGGGAAGAGTCTGCCTGAATTACCTCCCAAAGACCCCACCTCCTGATACCACGACACTGGTGATTAGGTTTTCAAACTACAATTTTTGGGGGGACACAAATATTTAGACCACAGCAGTAACATATTCATAGGCTCCAGGCATGCAGAAGTGGACATCTTCGCGGACTTTATTCAGCTCACCACATGAGACACAAGTGGTCTATAAGTCTCCCTGTGCGATGCTGAAGTGCAACCAGGGTTTAGAATTACCCAGGCAGAGTCTGGGATGCTCACACCTAACAGAGCCTTCAAGCCTCCAGGAGCTTCATTAGCCTGACCCACACCCACTCCAGACTTCCAGAATCAGGATCTCTGGGGGTGCAGTCTGGGACTGTCACTTTTTAAAGTTCTCCCACGTGATTCTTATGTGCCCAGGGTTGTAAATCCTCTCAGAGGAGACATCAGCAGTCCATACAGCCCAACACACCACAGAGTAAAGTCCCCTGAGAAGTTTCAAGAATCCCTGGACACTTGGTGACATTCAGAGGCCAGGGTTCCAGGTAGACCTGCACCTGCTCCTTCAGGCGTGTCTTTTTGGCAGAACTTCTCAGGTAATTCTGATGCCCATGAAGGTTGACCGGTTGTCCTGTGGAGGGCAGCACTGGCCTACAGATGGATCTAAGCAGCCCCAGCCAATCAGGCTGTTTATATGCAGAGTGACGCATGTGGCCAAGGAGATGTTACACGTGTAAAGGCTTTGCTTTGGAGCGAGCTCTTAAAGGAAATGATTTCTTTCAGAGCCAAACTCAGACACCTAGCAGGGAACAGTTTGAAAAGGTCACCATATACTTGACCCTTGGTAAAAGATAGGGAGCCTCCAAAGATGGAGATGTGTCTGCAGGACTTAATTGTTGAAGAATCACAAAGATCCTCTCTAAACTATTTCAAAATAATACCATCTAGTGTTGCTGTAATTTGTGCTATTAAAGGAAAAGTTACATGAAGGGGAATATATCTTAGCATGACAAAAATGCAAATTTAGAGTGTGAAGTTAGTTCCATTTTTTTAAATTCAGAATCACAGTAGAAAAAAATGTAAAAATTATTTAAAAATTAGAGATAGAAAAAACTCTGAAGACATCTTGTAAAACAGATAACCTGCCTCATAAAGCTACATGGTAGCTTCTCAAACTTCTCTTATTCTATCTGAAAATGGAAACATGGCTCCTTGTCCAGTGTACTCATATTGAGGTGTAGTGAAGATCAATAAGGGATATACAAATTAACCATTCAAAGTATTACAAGCAAAGGGCAAACAATGTGTCTGTCATTTAAAAAGTTAGGATTGGCCTTGCGCAGTGGCTCATGCCTGTAATTCCAGTACTTTGGGAGGCAGGCCCAGGAGGGCGGATCACGAGGTCAGGAGATTGAGACCATCCTGGCTAATACAGTGAAACCCCGTGTCCACTAAAAATACGAAGAATTAGCCGGGCGTGGTGGTGGGCGCCTGTAGTCCCAGCTACTCAGGAGGCTGAGGCAGGAGAATGGCATGAACCCGGGAGGCGGAGCTTGCAGTGAGCCGAGATCGGGCCACTGCACTCCAGCCTGGGTGACACAGCGAGACTCACTCTCAAAAAAAAAAAAAAAAAAAAAAAGAATTTATCGAGATAAACAGGGAAAACTATATTTTAAAGATCATCTGCTTATTTCCACATTTTTTAGTTGGATATATGAAATGTGCAATTAACTATCAACATAAAAAGTTGACTAAGATACTCAAAACTGAAAATCCTAAAATACCTACAGAAATAAATGAAACTAACATGGTTCTTAAGCCCCAAACTTAAGCAAGCACTCACATATTTGTCTCTGGCAGCCTGGCATATCAGCCATGTCTGAACGCCGCTAAATTTGATTCTTACTTTACCTACAGGCAAATAGCAGCATATGACTGTCTCTACAACATTCTTGACCTATAAATCTTCAAAGCAACAATGCTCTACTACAAAAGGAAAAAAAAACCAAGACCACGAGTAACCCATCTTCAAACTGTCACTCTAATCCTTTCTCTGACTGTCAGATTAAAGGTTGCTGCTGTCTGGAGGTCTGTGGCTTCAAATTAGAGATGAGATCATCAAAAAAGCTTAAATTCAAACTTCAGATTGCTGGCTTCACTATGCTCCTTGGTGAGAAAATAAATACGTAAATAGTTACCCATTAGACATGCTATCAAGAATAAGAATGAATCCTGCATACATGTAAAATATCAATAATAAGATATCAATAAACTTATTGACAATATTACAGGACACTCATGTCCAGTGGTGGTTAAAAATCCAGCCTGACCTTACAGTAGACATTGAGCTACATGCCAGTCAGTGATCAAGATCAAGGGAGGCAAGCTCTAGCCCCCACATCCAAATCCAACACAGCCTACTTGTGTATACAGCCTGTGAGCCGAGATGCTCTCTGGATTTTCAGTGAATGAAAACACATGAAAAGAACAAATACACTTTATGACCAATGAAAAACAAATGACATTCAAATTTCAGTATCCTTAAAGTTTTGTTGGGACTCAGTCACGTTTATATCTTTGGAGATTATCTATGGCTGGTTTCAGGCTATAAGGGCAGAGTAGCGTAGTTGTGACAGAGACCATATGGCCTACAAACCTGAAGATACTTGCTATCTGAGCTTTTATGGAAAAACATTGGTTGACCCCTGTTATAGACCATGGGCTTCAACCCTGGCTGGACAATGCAATCATTCTGAGAGTATTTAAAAGAACTGATGGGCAGGCCCTTCAGAGAAAGCTTTATACTAATTGGTCAGTTTTGATCTGGAAGCCCATGAAAGTTGATCGGTTGCCCTGTGGAGGACAGCACTGGCCTGCAGATGGATCTAAGTAGCCCAGCAGAACAGGCTACTTGTCGAGAGAACCAGATAAGTAAGTGTAATTTCAAGTTGCCCAGCCCTCCCCTTGGCCCTCTTCCCACCACCCTTGGCTTCTGAATATTTCCTTTGTGAGATTCTTTCTACAACAATGCCTTCCCAGGGAACATCCTTTGCTGCCTACCCTCCTCCGACAGATGTGCAAAGATGTGCACACTCAAAACACACCATCTCTCAAACATGCACGTGTGCACACGTGCACATATAAACCTGCAAACACACATGCATATATATTTACACACACACCGCTTGTGTGATCTCTGGAGCTCAAAAAAGTGGAAAGAGGATTCTATTAAATTAAGATTGTGAGTTTCTTATCCAAATTACGCACATCTCCTTCCCCTCATGGAATCCTCCTGGGCCCTTGAGCTTAAAAAATAAGCAGCTGTTCCTTGACCCAGATCATACTTATTTTAAGATCCAAAGCAGGGGTGTGCAATCTTTTGGCGTCCCTGGACCACATTTGAAGAATTGTCTTGGGCCACACATAAAATACACTAACACTAATGACAGCTGATGAGTTACAAAAAAATCGCAAAAGAATTTCATAAAGTTTAAAGAAAGTGTATGAATTTGTGTTGGGCCACATTCAAAGTCAGACAAGCTCGGTCTGAGGTTGTTTTCCTTTGAACTGGCTCTCTCACATTTGAACCCTTAGGTGGCAGTGGAAACTCACAGTTGAAATGCTTCTCTTTAAATGAGTGGTTTGTGGTGTGTGCTGTGTTGTGTGTGTATGCGTGTGGTGTGTGTAGTGCAGTATGTCATGTGTGCGTGTGCATGCTGTGTGTTTTGGTGTGTGTGTGGTACCTATATGTATGGTGTGATGTGTTTGATGTGTGTGGTGTGTGTTGTTTGTGTGGTATATGGTGTATGTATGTGGCGTATGTCTGTGGTACATCTGTGTGATGTGATGTGCTTGGCGTGTGTTGTGTGCAAGTATGTATATACCACATACAAGTGTATGTGTGTATGCCAAGTATGTATGTGGTATATACATACACATACTTGCACACAACAGTGTGTGGTGTGTTATGTTTGGTGTGTTGTGTGTGTGTGTGGGGTGTGGTTTGTGTGTGTGGTATGGTGTGGTGTATGATGGTATGTGATGTGTATGTGGTGTGTGGGGTATGGGGTGTGTATGTGATGTGTGCTGTGATGTGTGCGTGGTGGGTGGTGTGATGTGTGTGTGGTGCACATATATATGGGGGGTGTGTGGTGTGATATGATATGTGTGATGTGTGTGTGGTTCGTGTATGTTGGGTGTGTGGTGTGATGTGGCATGTGTGCTGCATGTATGTGGGGTGTGTGATGTGATGTGTGAGTGTGGTGTGTGGTGTGATGTGGGATGTGTGGTGTATGGTGTGATGTGGGGTATGTGGTGTGATGTGAGGTGTGTGTGCTGTGTGGTGTAATGTGATGTGTGCTGTGTGTGATGTGGTGTGTGTGCGTGAAGCACAGGTGTTCTGGGGAGCCCTTGCCTCACAGACACCACAGGGAGGAGAGGAGCGGCTGGATTAGGAAGCAGTGCCTGCCGGGTCTCGGCACTCAAGTGAGAACAGCAGACTCAGCCCTCAGTGAGTCCAGCCCCTGGAGACCAGGGCCCATGCTTCTCAGCAACAGCACAGAGAGGCCCGAACCCTGGGCAGCGACAGTTGCCGGGCATCATTGCCGCCCAGCCTTTCACTCCCAACCTTCCCATCTGGGTCACCGTCACATGGAGAGGAGCTGGGCTGGTGTGTGTTTCTATGGAGGCTCCTCGCAGGGCTGGAGGGCCTTTCTCCTCTAAGCTCCTGTGCTTTCTGTCATTGTCACTGGCCAGCGAGAAAGCAATGTGTCTTGCCTTTAAGTCTGTTTTTATGAACTCCCATTGATTGGGGAAAGCTAGCTGAGTATGTGGCACCACTCTCCGCTCTCACCTGTGGACAGGTGAATGTGCAGCCGCACTCTTTCAGGGTTCCACTGCCAGCTGCCCTGATGTAACCTCTCTGCTGGTGGTGGGGGGTAATTATTACTGAGCTGATCTTCTTTGGAAAGGACAATGGAAAAATCTGGCCCCAATCCTTTAGCCTGGGGCATCTGATAAGAAGGTTCTGGGACAGGTTGATAATGAAGTTCTTCCAGATATAAATGCGAGCTGGTTTACAGACAAGCAAGGCGTTGGAAGAAAGGAAGGATACACCCACAAACACCTAGGTGCCTTTGTGGCCTGGAGGGGTTACAATGCCCAAGAGCACACTTTGCTTGCTGCTGTATGGGTCTCTGGGAGCCCCACTTCCTCCTCTATAAAATGGACACATTGCCTTACCTACCCCAAGAGCATTAGGAGAATTAAGTGAGATCATGTGCCTGGGAAGGCTTTCTAAGCTAAAGCAGCGTCTGCTGATGCTGCCGGCATGGACAGTGTTTTCTGGGAACCGCTGTTGCTCTGGCATCCCCTCATCCGGGCTGATGCCTGCTCTTTCCTCCTCACCTTCCAATAGCCTCTCGGAGCTCAGCCTGCAACCCAGGGAATCTGGCATTTCTGCCAGTTGGAGGGCACAGTGCATGAGCATCCACCCCCCGCCAGCTCCCTATGCCAATGGCCCCCCAGTCCATCGTCCAGTCTTGCAGGAGTTATTCTGCAGGCTCCTGGCTGCTGGCATGGCCCCTTGGTCTTGTGGAAAGTGAGACAGCATAAGCCACAGCAGCTCTGCAGAGCTGGGGTGTCAACACTTAACTGTTCTAATAGGAACACTGAGAAACTTGCCCCTGAGTGGCCTCTCGGTTCCATCCCTAGTGTGCATTTGTTTATTTTGGAGCCTGGGAGACAGCAAGCACTGTGCTCGTTCACCCACATTCTGGGCCTGGGCGCATTGTGCCAATGTTACCCCTTACCTCGGAACAAGCCTGCTGGTGCCATTGTTCCTTTCGTTTAGCCCTGGGGACGCAGCATGTCCCCATTAGCTGGACACAAAACCAAGGCTTGAAAGAAGGGACCTCCTTACTCTGCAATGCTTCTTGGCTGCTCCCAAGTGAACCTGACCTTTTTCCTTACTTATTTGTGTCACAGTCTATACATATCCGGTTTCCTCTTACTCCAGGGTCAGGCCGCAGGTGAGATGCCCTGGCTTGGACACATATAGATACACTGAACACGTTTGTTAGACTCTAGACACTATTTATCATGGAAGGGAACTTGTTCTCCCAGAAAGGCAGCTCCTGACTTCTCGCTGCCCTCTGAGGGGCTGCCAAGCATGCCAAGACATTCAGGTCTGCCGCCAAGGTTTCTTTTCAAGACAGACACCTGTCTACAGAGCTGTGGTTACTCAACTTCTCCACCCCATCAGGCGCCAAAGAGCAGTTCCCATAACTTCAAGTTCCGGAGACCAACAGGGCATCTAGAAAAACTACCTGTGTATGCATCATTGGAGGGATTCACATCTCCTTCAAGGTGCTATCTTCAACCATACAACTCTCAAGCGCAGACCATGCCCTCTTCCCTGCTCAACCAGGGAAAAGCAATCATCTGGAAGGCACTGGACCTGCTTGGAGCCATGGTTGATATAAAATGAGGTACAGGAGAATTTCACTCCTCTGAGGTGTCTTGCCTGGGGTGTAGGTAACTGTGTGGCCCCAGTGCACACACAGGCCAGTTTGCAAACTGTGTGAGCTCTTTCGGACAACTCACACTGAACTTATTTGCATATTGAACAGAAAAAGATAGTTTTCTTCCCCTCTTATTCAGCTTTTTTCCCACACATTCAAACAATAATAATACATTAATAGTAATGGTGTTTGTGTGACCTAACTCCAGCAAAGAAACTCAAGCAAAGGGGAGAAAGGTGGACAGGTGTACCCCAAGCTCGCCAGCCGAGCAACTGCTGTCTTCCCCAGGGCTGCTCCAGGACGTCTTCTGATTCCGTGAGGGGGCAGGGTCCTGAGTCACAGCCCCCCTGGGGGCCTCGCACCTATCCAGGGCTTGGAGGGCATCTGCAGGTTTGACTTTTTCTGAGACATCCCTGTTCAATGTTAAATAGGCTCTACATAAGAAAACCAACAGTGTGCAGGATGTAGTCCTCATTGTCACTAATAATTGCTACCAAAACAGAGAAAGGTGTCAGTGCCAAATTTCCTGAGAGTTATATTAAGATCAGAAGTGTCTTTGTGCAACACTTCTCTGCGAGTGTCCACAGGCAGTGGGACAGAGCTAGGGAGGAAGAGGACCTCGGGGCAGGTGCTGGGTAGCACCTGTCAGACTTGTGTCTCAGCAGCGACAGAGCGGCAGCCGGCGCGGTTTACTGTCGCGGGCAGAGAGGAGCTGTTCACGGCTGCTAGCTTAGTAATTTGTAGATAATGAGCTCCTGGTAGAAGCCTGTGGGTTTCAGAGCATATGCTTCAACAGATGGGCTGGCCTCAGCAAGGGTGGGGGTGCACTTGGACCTGTCAATCACTGGCTTCCAGCTTCCGGGAGGGAACAAGCCTGGGAGAAGGCAAAGTTAGCTGCAGAAGCACAGTTTCACACAGGCTGGCCATGGCCCACAGTGATCCCCTCACCTTGCAGGAGCGCCTGGAGCCCTGGGCTCAGCTTCAGATCAGTCCTAAGTCATTTCATGAGGGGAAAACTCTTCACTAGATCTATGGTTCTCCAAGTGGGTCCCCAGATGGGGAGCAGCCCCAGTAAACCTGTCAGATATGTGAATTCCAGCCACTCCACACCTGGTGGGTGGGAAACTCGGGTAGGTCCCTCAATCTGTGTTGGAACAAACCTCTCAGAGGATTCCCAGATGAGCTGAGGTTTGAGAAGCACTGAACAAGCTCATTATCCACATAAGGCCCAGAAGTGTGTGATCTCCTCCTTTCCACCCTGATTTCTTAAGCCCAGTGTATTGTTGGACACAAAATGTGATCCAAGTGGAATTTTTAGAGGGGCTGTAGAAGGAAAGGGACTCTGTGAAATAATTTCAGCTTCACTCCTCAAACTTATTTCAGATTGTATTAAATCCTCAAACATTGTATTAAATCCCAGAAAGAGAACATCTGGTAGGGGAGGTTATTTTCCACACTCAGCAGCAGGACCAGCACCTGCCCCTGCAAGACCCCTAGAAAAGCAAACTCTGGAAAGAAATAAAGGACTAACTTCAGCTCAGTCTTGAATTTGGGAATACTCCTTTTATTAATAAAACAAGATTAAACCTACAGTGCTATGGATCTTGCTAATTAGAAAATCGGAGCAAAGAAAAAAAACATCAGAAAACAAGCAAACAAAAAACCCAAATAGTTACTGAAGAAATTGTTGCAGAATCAGTGCTCTAGGTTGGATTGGTGAGACTTTCATCACTAACCCTGCAGCATCGGAGTCCTGCAGAGGCTGCTGCAGAGGCTGCTGCAGAGGCTGCAGGCCGTTCTCAGGCACAGGCTTTGGTTTAGCCCTGGGGACGCAGCATGTGCCCATTAGCTGGACACAAAACCAAGCCTTAAAAGAGGGGACTGTCTTACTCTGCAATGTTTCTTGGCTGCTGTCAAGTGAACCTGACCTTTTTCCTTACTTATGTAAGGGTCTGGTGGAGACCCTGAGCCGACCCAGGGTCAGGAAGCTCCTGCTACCCGCCCCCCGCCCACCCCGGTCCCGCCGCCCCACAACCCCACCCCAAGCAGGGGACATGCCCACTGCCTTGGAAGTCGAGAGAGGGACAAGAATGATATGGCGCTATATGCCAAATTGGCTTTTATTAGGTGAAGTGTTTCCCCTAGTCAGTTATACTGACTGAGCTTTTAGGTTCTTCATCTGTAAAATGGAGCTATTAATACCGCTTTCAAATACATTTTGCGGGCGTTAAATGAGACGTGCTGCAGGTAGCATCTGGCCCAGACTGATGCCGCGGTTTTGAGAATGTGGGTTGCCACCCATTAGTGGAAAGGAAAATCAATCCAGTAGGTCATTGTTCGAATTGATTTGTTGTTGTTGATTCTAAATGATTTACTGGGGGTTTGTATTTAAATCTTCTGTGTCATATTTGATGTTAACTTTGTTATAGTTTTTCTTTATCATACATAGTGAGGGTAAGCTTTTCATGACACTTTTGTTTCCATTGTATCTCATACACAAATGTATTTCTTACTTGGGGCTGTAGATCCCAAAAATGGAAAAATATTGTATTAGGTGGACAATAAATATTTGTCTCTTTCCTCCTTCCTTCTTCGTCCTTTCATCTGTCCCTCAGAAAGTCAGCGTGACCACCTCTGTCCCTCTGGCATCAGTGTTAATGGTGGATGCAGTGAAACGGAGGGAGGAGTCATCTTCACTGGGTCAGGGTGTAGATCATTACCTCGGCATGCAGCATGGCTGTTTCTCGGCTCTACGGAAGGGAAGTCGTGGGCCAGCACACCACATGTACCCAGCCAGCCCCTGAAGGGCCGGTGGGACCACAGGGGGCCCCAGAGCGAGGAACTGGGAGTGCTAGTGGGCAGCTTATGGATAAAGAAGAAGGAATGGGGTACCCGCCTTACTTACTTTCTTGCCATAGCATCCTACCATGCAGGTAGTTAGAAAAGAGTCCAAAACTCAGAGGACATCAGGAGGTAATGTTGTATGACAGAGAGTGTCTGTGTGTGTGTGTGTGTGTGAGAGAGAGAGAGAGAGACATGTGAGGGGTGTGAGTGTACGTGAAGGAGGCCAGGGAATTCTTAGCTAGGGCTGCATGGGGAATTCCAACTAGTGCTGCATCACCTGTCTTAGTGTTTGAAGAAAAAGCAAATATGAGTGGCCTGAACAGACAAAAAATGGAATGGATGGATGGGTGACAGCCCGAGATGAAGGGTCACTGGGCTGCAGGGGCACGAGCCCATCTAATTAACTAAAGACCCTGTGTTGCCAACACTCTCAGAAATAGTGACTGCCCCTGGATGGTGGCTTCAGCCCCTCCCCCTACCCCAGCCCTGCACAGCTGGGGACACAGGCCCAGCTGTCACAGCACACTGGCCTTCATTCCACTGAACAATGACCTTGACTCCTGGGAGCAGGAGCCACAAAGATTTAATACATGTCCCACTCTCCTCTTGGTGGGCCGGCAACCTTCCAGCATGGACATACTGCCGGAGCTGCCGCTCTGCCACTCCCTTCCCTTCACTTCCAGGGAAGTCGTCCCTCTCCTGTTGGTACAGTGGAGTCAGCTGGGCCTGGAGCCATGGAACAGACCATGGTCATTTGGGCAGAAGCTTCCTCCCTCCTCCTCTGCTGCTGGTCCATGGTGCAACTCCCCAGGCCTTATTCCTAAGAACTACGACCATCTATCTGGCCTGAGATGCCAGAAGGGAAGCCTGCTTTCCAGAGAATGCAGCTGGTGCCTGACCTTGTCCAGCTCCCCTAGGCTGGGCTGCGGGGCAGGACAGCATCCAGGTGAGCAGCTGAACAGCTGCTTCTGTAGCCCCTTTCTCACAGCTCAGGGCAAGCTGTGTTTTATGACTGCTGCGGAAACCTAGCACCTTGAAGATGGTGGCAGGAGACCTGGTAAGATGTTCCTCCCCACTCCGGGGCGATGCTTTTCAGGGGTTTGAGGTTTCTCCCTTTGTGGTTTCTACTAGAAGCCTGGGGGAAGCAGGATGTCTAGACAGAGGGGGAAATACATATCTTGTTTTCCTTTTATTCTTTTTTATTTCCTTTTTATTCTTTTTCTTTCTTTTGGCAGTTGGAGTTCAAAAGAAATAAATTGATATATATCTGAAGACAAAAGATCTTACCCAATACATTTTCATTGCAAAGGCATTCTGAGAAACATTTTGGGGAGAAACTTACGAAACTGTGATGGACTTACATTAAGCATTTTAAAAATGATCTGAATAAGTTAAAGTCACATCTTAGAACTTGCATTTTCCTCTTCTCATCCCATCAGAGTGTATGTTAGCTAAACTGGCAATTGACTTAGACTTTGAGATGGGAGTTAAGCTAAAACCAGACTTTGCTTTCAGGGCTGCAGATGACACACTGATATTACGACTACTTTCTGAAACCCCATTGTAAAAATCCCTTCAGTTTTAATATCCAACTCCACTTTTTTCTTAAAAAATGAATCTGAATTTTTTTGCATGGCACCCAAGAACACTTCATTATGAATCCATCCATTCAATAATATGAATGGAGTGGTGTTAACCCTTGTAATTCCAGCAACCTCCCTCATTAGCAGTGTGATGAAAACATTAGGACATCGGCTTACAATCTTGGTGGTACATCAGAACCACCTAGAAAGCCACCTAAAATTCCCAATGTTTAGGTAATCTTACCTCTGGGTATTTCCCTAAATAATTTTTTTTTGGGGGGGATGGAGTTTTGCACGTCGCCCAGGCTGGAGTGCAATGGCACGATCTTGGCTCACTGCAACCTCTGCCTCCCAGGTTCTAGCGATTCTCCTGCCTTAGCCTCCTGAGTAGCTGGGATTACAGGCAACCACCACCACAGCTGGCTAATTTTCGTATTTTTAGTAGAGACGGGGTTGCACCACCGTTGGCCAGGCTGGTCTCGAACTCCTGACTTTAGGTGATCTGCCCGCCTAGGCCTCCCAAAGTGCTGAGATTACAGGCACGAGCCACTGCGCCTGGCCTGCCCTAAATAATTGAAAGCAGGGACTTGAACAAATATTTGTACACCCATGTTCATAGCAGTATTATTTACAATGAACAAAAGGTGAATACAACTCAGGTGTCCATAGATCAATGAATGGATAAACAAAATGTGGTCTGTCTATACGATGAAATGTTATTCAACCTTAAAAAGGAAGGAAATTCTGACACATCCTACAACATGGATGATCCTTGAGGACATTATGTTAAATGAAATAAACCAGTCACGAAGAGACAAATATTATATGATTTTACTCATATGAGATACCTAGAGTAATCAAATTTATAGAGACAAAGTATAATGGAGGTTGCCAGAGTCTAGTGGGAGAGGAGGATCAGGATTTGTTATTTAATGGGTACGGAGTTTCCAATGGGTATAGAGTTTAGTTTCGCAAGATAAAAATTGTTCCAGACTCGGATTGTGGTGACAGTTTCACAACAATGTGAATGCACTTAATGTCACTGAACTGTACACTTAAAAATAGTTAAAATGGCAAATTTTATGTTATGTGTATTTTACCACAATTTTTGAAAACCTAATGTTTAGTCCCTACCCCTGATTAATTTGATTCCTGGAAACAGATCCCAGGTACCAGGCTCCAATGTACAGCCTAGATGGGGAGCTCGTGCCTCAGGTGATTTCACGGCTATGAGAGGTCAGCGGGTTTCCATGGGGCTGCAGTGGAGTTGAGGAGGCTTGCCTTGAAGAAGCTGATATGCTGCAAATAGGTAAAACAGAGGAATTCCGACCAGATCTCTGGATTACTTGTGGAAGTATTAAGGTCTTCTTTGGGGGTCCACTTCTGAATTTACATGGATATTCACCCTCAGTTACCTATGGTCACTTGATTTAATGAATGTGTGTTGAGGACCATGATGCTCCCACAAAGACCCCTGCCTGCATCCTCGTCAGGGAGACAGACAGAGTTTAATATCTATGCAAGTTTACACAGTACACTAAAAGGTGGTAACTTTAATGAAAAACATTGAGCAAGTTAAAGGGAATTAGGAATGGGAAGATAAGGTGGTAGAATGAGGCAGTTATTTGGAGGTTATTATTTTTAAAGGGGAAATTTTGACTGGATACTGTAAGGCTAAAGACAAGAGGTTTTAATTACATAAAACCAGTACTCTACAGGGTTTATGTAGAGTTAATTACATAGGACTGTACTCTAGTGAATACATTTGTTTCTCACAGGAGTAGAGATTAGCGATTCTGAAACAACTTTACCTGTGTACTAGAATTAAACAGGTGAGTAAATAAATTATAGATCATGAGACCCAGGATTCTTACCCACAGAGAAAGAAGTTACAAGTAAGCAAGAGGGGAAGAAATGCTAGGATAAACTCTATTCTTCTGGTTTGCAGTTGGAGATATTAATATGAATTCTGTTTATTTTAATGTGTCTACAAATGAATATACAGAAATAAATACATATGTATGTTTACACATGGGTTAATATACATACACTTTTTTTTTTTCTATTTCTGCCTGCTGAGAGGACTTAGAAACTGTGACATCCTAGTAGCAATAAGCACACACCAGCACCTAGAATTTGGTGTCTAAAATCATTCTCCAATAAAAAGAACCAGGACTCCACAGACAATGTCTGATGCTAGGGCTGGGGAAGGGAAAATAGAAGGTGAGCTTGGAGCATCTTATTGTGCCAGAAAGTGAGCAAGTGATTTAAAACAATTGGAGGTTGGAGGTGGTCATAGGAGTATTTCAAAAGGAACAAACCTGAAGGAGCTACCAATGGTCATAGCTGCAACAATTTTAGCAAGAAAAAGAAATGATTATTGTATTTGATTGTAACCCAAAGAATAAAATAAATAGCCATGAGTTCATGTTGATATAAATAAATGACTACATAAGTAAGATGGGAGAGAAGAAACACATTTTTCCTATTGAATAATTCCAATTAATAAATGCAAGAGGATTGAGAGAAATGGAAATCACCACGAGAATCCCACAGCCATAATTGCAGCAGGGAAGACCCACTGATGAATGCTTGATATTTCCACAATCTCAGAGTATTTACCCCCAAATATTTCCTAATTACTGTGGTAGTTTAAAAATATCTCCCCAAATACTTTAGCATTCTTCTTTTCTGGAACTGAAACTTAGTTGCCCTCCCCTAAGGAACAAAGCATGGTAAGGGAAAAATAGTGACTTTTCAGTGGAGAATAGTGACTTTTCAGTGGCTGACACCACCTTAACCAAGTGATGCGGGTGAACAGGCAAACAAGTGAAGGGGTGAACATGACATTAACATCACAGGTGGTTGATATCATTCACCCCTTCATGTATGATGATAAAAGGCAGACAGACACAGCCCCCCTATGGAATTCTCCCTCAAGATTCACGACTTCTGTGGCACCACGAGAAAACAACAGACAACCCCAGTATGAGGGAAAGTCTGCAAAATACTTGATGAGTATTATTCAAAAGTATCAAGGTCACAAAAAACCCTGAGGAACTGTCACCAATTCCAAGTGACTAAAGAGACATGACTACTAAATGTGGTGTAATATTCTGGATGGGACTCCGGAAGAGGAAAAGGCCAGAGCAAAAAGCTGGTGAAATCTGAATAGTCTGTAGTTTAGTGAATTGTGTTGTATCAATGATGAGTGCACCGTGGTTTTGTGAGATGTTGACATTAGAGGGAGCTTGGGAAGGACCAGAAATTCTCAGCACTATCTTGTAACCCTTTTGTAAATTTGAAATTATTTCAAAACAAAAAAGCTACATAAAAAGAGAAGGAACCACTGGCCTTACGGAGATTTTGACAAGTAATAAAAAATAATTGCCTGCATGAGGCCAGACTTCCGCATGAGAAAGCCCAAAGGCTGGTTCCAGATGCTCCTCTGTGAGACCAGGCCGGCCTGACCCCTTTTGTGTGGCTCTGTGGCAAAGGCTGACAACTGTGCCTCTGGTGATGGGTGAGAGAAAATGAAGGCGGAGGGACAGGTTTCTTTCCACCACAAAGCTGAATCAGGGCTGGACCACGGCCCCTTCCACAGCAGTGAGTTCCAACAGCACAAATGCAATCTGTAGACATTTTCTTGGCTGGAAAAGAATCAGGTCCAACTGGAGGCACCTGTCAACTTGAGCTGATTACAGATCAAAACGGGATGGTTGTGGACTCCTGAAACTGCTGTTGGGGTTTTCAGTTTAGTCTTGGTGTCTTCACGTTTTTTTCCTTCTGATTTCATCTCTACATCTCGGGCAAAGTAATCCATCCACAGCAAGGAGCAGATGCACCCTGCTGGCTAGTAGAGAGACGCCCTCACTCATCAAGATAAAAACCAAACTGCAGGAGAGGACTGCTGCCATCTTGACATAAGCATTGCTTTAAGTTTGACCATCAGTTTCATCTACATGAATTTCATGTAGACATAACCTTGTAGAAGACTACAGGGGCAGAGGAGGGCAGTCAGGGTTGGGGGAGGGAAGAGACAGCTCTGATGACCTGGAAAAAGATTCATTGGTAAGCTGGGTGCGGTGGCTCACCCCTGTAATCCCAACACTCCAGGAGGCCGAAGTGGGCAGATCACGAGGTCAGGAGATCGAGATCATCCTGGCTAACACGGTGAAACCCCGTGTCTGCTAAAAAAGACAAAAAATAAGCTGGGTGTGGTGGCACATACCTGTAATCCCAGCTACTTGGGAGGCTGAGGCATGAGAATCGCTTGAACCCAGGAGGCAGAGGTTGCAGGGAGCCGAGATCTCGCCACTGCACTCCAGCCTAGGCAACAGAGTAAGACTCCGTCTCAAAATAAATAAATAAATAAAATTAAAGTTTCATTGGTGATTCTAGGATTTATCAAGATACCATCTTTCCTCTTCCTCCCAAAAGATTACTGAGTGTAGACAGTCATTGACATCATATCTGTAATGGAAAGGATACAGGAACACAGGAGACCTGGCTCTAGTTTGAGCTTTACGGCAACCTGTGTCTCTGGATAAAGACCTCAACTTTTCTAGGTGTCATTTTCTCACCTATTAGCCAGCAGGGTTGAATAATGGTAACTTCTGGGGCCTTTCTCCTGGTATCTCAGGTATAATTTTAGGAACCCGTGATGGGACTCAGTGGAGTTATAAGCAGAAAATTAATGAGTATTACAGATTCTATCTAGCCCATTCTATCTAAAGTGATTAATGCACACTGTACACTACACACAAAAATAGAGGTGAGTTAATGCAAGCACTTTCTTTAGAATTTCTCAGTAAGCCCAAGATGAAAGTTGGCAGAACATTTATAAAATTTTTCCGTATGATGTCAACAGCCCTTCCTTCCTTCCTTCCCTCCTTTTCTTTTTCCTTCCTTCCTTCCCTCCTTTTCTCTCTCCTTCCTTCCTTCCTTCCCTCCTTCTCTTTCTCTCTCCTTCCTTCTTGCCTTCCTTCCTTCCTCCTTCCATCTCTCCCTCCCTCTCTCCCTCCCTCCCTCTCTCCCTCTCTCTTTCTCTTTCTTTCTCTCTCCCTTTTCCTTCCTTCCTTTTTCTTTCTTTCTTTCTTTCTTTCTTTTTTTCTTTCTTTCCTTTTCTCTTTCTTTTTTTTTTGAGATGCAGTCTTGCTCTGTTGCCCAGGATGGAGGGCAGTGGCTCAATCTTGCCTCACTGCAACCTCTGCCTCCTGAGTTCAAACAATTCTCGTGCCTCGGCCTCTTGAGTAGCTAGGATTGCAGGCTTGCCCCACCATGTCCCACTAATTTTTGCATTTTTAGTAGAAACGGGGTTTCATCATGTTGCCCAGGCTGGTCTCGATCTCCTGGTTTCATGTGGTCTACCTGCCTCCACCTCCCAAAGTGCTGGGATTACAGGCGTGAGCCATCGTGCCCAGCCAGTCTTTCCTTTCCTAACAAGCAAATATGTGGTATGTGTGTGTGAGTGTGTTAATCAAGTAGGTCAGTTTATTGCTGTCTGACAACCTCCTAGAACTGACTCTTACATAAGCAATGTTGAATCCTTTGGGTTCAAAAAGCATGATTCTAAATCTGAATGATTGGTTTTGGCCTCCTTTCTTTTCTAAGACAAGAGACAGCCCTCTAATTATAGCATACCACAATAAGAAAATCAGCCTAATTAATTTAGTTGAAAATTAATTACCTTTCTGTACCCAGGACAGGGAGTGAAAGGCTTTGCTCTCAAAAGACCACCCCTCCCACCCTGACTGAGGGCTCTAGGGACAGGATGAGGAGGCACACCCCCACTGGGCCAGGCTGCCACCCCAGTACCATATGGGCTAGAATGACTTATGGGGTAAAGAGACATGAAGCACAGGAGCCCATCACAGAATGCATGGCTGGGCCCTGCTGGGCCGTTGAGCAATATTGTGCTTGCTGTGTGTGCAAAGCAGCAAGGCAAGAGGAAGCTTGGCTGAAATCAGCGCAAAATGCAAAAACACTTCCTTAGTGACCTGGCTTACCCTCATCAACATGTGAATTCTTATTGTTAGCAAAGGGTTCCAGGGTGCTCTCAAACATCAAACACTGCACAGATACCAAACCCACACTTTGACAAGTGTTAAGGAGAAACAAACCAAAACCATTTGCTCATAAAACACAGATGGATTGAAAAGACTAAGAGGAAAATAATCTGGGCAAAATACAATTGGAGTTAGTAAACACAGCACATGCAAAAACTGTTTGAGACACTGGGAACAAAAAGACTAGGGTCAGATCACCCAGCCCTGTTGTTAAACCTCTTATCTCCTCCACGAACAGCCAATGGCAGTGCAAATCCCACGTAAGGCAGGGTGCATTGCCCATTCAATAAAGGAAAGCCTAGGATGTGGGCCACTGTGGGGCAGGAAGACCCTTCAGAAGCACAGTGCATGCACACAAGGTACTTCCAGTATGCAAGGGACGGCTGTTTCCAGCCCACCATGCCTGCCACTCATTTGTGTCCACTGTATTCCTATCAACTTATGGCGTTTATAACTAGACCAGAGGAGGGTCTAATAAATTTCAGTCTGAAAAGAGAGTCATGTAAAACAGTTATGAGAATTGCTAGATTTGGAGACCATTCTTCAAATATATCTCTTTCAAAATATTTGTGGTATTCTTAAGCATTGGGCAATGTTTTAACATTTGAGTCTCAACTTTACAACTCGCTTATTGGGAGGTCCTTGCATTTACCAATATTTTAGCCATTATGAAAATAGAGTCTGGAGGGCATTTTCCTTAATATCCTTCAAGATATATGCTATTTTATCAATTATTTACTCAGAGTAATTACACCAAGAAATCATTGCCCTTCATCGTTTTAATCCTAAATAATAACAAATGCATGGATTCACTTTGGAAGAATGTCTCAAATTTTATAGTGAAAAAACTCCAAACATACAGTCAGTAGGAATGCTAATATTTACCCTCAGCAAACCATTTGACATTCCAGATTAACTAAAATAATATGGTGGCTTAAAGTTGTAGATAATTTGATTATTTTGTGACTGTTTTCCTGCAACAAAAATAAACTTAGGTATCAAAATTGATGTACATTTTCTCATCAATAGTCTGAGAGCTATTTTGAAAATGAGCTACATACAACTCACTGTACTTGCTATACTCAACTCTACTTGCTACAAACTGCCCTCGTTACCACTTGTTCTGTAATCCAAACTGCTCTGTCACCATCTGTCAGCAAGGAGGTGGCTTGTTGAGGTTATAAAGCAGCAGGAGGCAGGACAGTGCTTAAGATAATCAGAACCTGCTGGGCGCGGTGGCTCACGCCTGTAATCCCAGCACTTTGGGAGGCCAAGGCGGGTGGATCACTTGAGGTCAGGAGTTCAAGACCAGCCGCCCAACATGGTAAAACCCGTCTTTACAAAAATACAAAAATTAGCCGGGTGTGGTGGCGCTGTAATCCCAGCTACTGGGGAGGCTGAGGCAGGAGAATCGCTTGAACCCCGGAGGCAGAGGTTGCAGTGAGCCGAGGTTGTGCCATTGCACTGGGCGACAGAGTGAGACTCTGTCTCAAAAATAATAATAATAATAATAATCAGAACCTCCAACCCCACACCCAAAATACATTATTTTATTTCTATTCTTCCTAATAAGTCTTAGATATTTATCCTACTGTATGGTCTAAAATCATCCGTCCTCAGAGCTGCCCCATCTCCTTGGAAAAGAAATGTAACCAGAGACTGGGGTTCTGATTGAACTTGCACTTGATCCTGAGGAATCCCTTAAGAAAATGGATGTTACAATCCCACATTTAGGTTGATGTTGTTATCTGTTTGATCTCTCTTTACAAATGCTACTTCCCACCATGCTCCTTCCTCCATTATTTGACACATATTTCTTGTACTTCAAGAGGCAGCTCAATATTCAGTTCTAGGAAAAATGTTCACGGTTCTATTATCTCATTCTAAGTTAGAATTTTTCTCATGTGCTTATATAAGGTGTGGTGCTTACCTCTATCTCAGTACTTAACGTATCATTTTGGAAATGGCTATTTGTTGATTTTACCCACTAATTTCAGTGGAAGTCCAAAGATAAATCATTTATTTCTGGAACTTTATGCATAAATAGTACTGAGCTTGGACTGAAAGCCTCGTAAAGGCAGCCATGCTGAGCGGCTCACTCCTGCCATATCCCTACGCCTGGTCTATTCCTTGTCGTTTGCCAGACACTGAACACATTTTTATCCAATGAATTAATGAAGTTGCACTTAGTATGAAAAGCATAATATACTTTATAATTGATGCAGGCATAATTGCACAAATCTCTTGTAGGAAAAGCTATCCTACAGCAGAGGTTGGCAAACTATAGCGCAATTGCTGCTTTTGTATCCTCTCCAGAGAAGAACCATTTGTGCATTTTCAAATGGTTTTTTTTTTAAAAAATCAAAATGAGAGTAACATTTTATGACATGTGAGAATTACGTGGAATTCAAATTTGGTGTCGATAAGTAAAGTTTTATTGGCACACAGTCTTGTTCATTCACTTGTGTACTGTTCATGGCTGCTCGCCCAGGGCAACGCTAACAACAGGGCTGAGCAGCTGCGGCCAAGACCAGATGTGCGTTCTCCTTGCCTTGCACTCTGGTGCACTACAAATTGCAGTGACGGCCTTCCAGCGCTGCTTGCGATGCCATCCTATGGCATTTTAGTCATTTAATTTCAATGCATCTTCTTACGTTTGCCAAGAGAAGAGGAGAAAAGCGGACTCCAAAAGTCACACTTTCAAGCCAGAGTGGAGTGTAGATCATTTTGTTATGAGATTAGAAGGCAAAGCATGTCTTTGTTATGCAATGATCTTATAGCTGTGCTAAAGAGTATAATATACACTGACTTTACCAGGCAGAGCACTTAGCATGGTATTCCCAACTGCAGGCAGAAAACTGATAAAATTTAAAATAGAATAATACCTTTTCCAGAAAGAACACTTGTTTGAAGAGTTGAGAACATTGAAAGGAGCCTCGAACGTTAACTAAAAAGCAAGGTAAAAAAGTATAAAAGTATTATAAGCAATTATAACAGGCAAAATTATAAACTATTAGATGATGATGGAAGTTATCTGTATCAGCTTGGGGATGAGAAAGCTCTTTAAACAAGACTCAAATTTTACAAACTCATAAAAATATTTAAAATGTTCTACTTCATTAAATGAAGAACTTAGATTGTTCAGAAAATACTAGAATATCATTATAAAATAATGCAAATTAAAATTATACCTGTTAGACTGGCAAAAAATCAACATTTCGTATCTCACTAATAGGTCAAGACTGGGAAGAAACAGGTCCTCTTTTTCACTATTGATGGGAAAATAAATTGGTCTAGCCAAGTCACTTTACAAAGTGAATTTCAAGATGTTTTCCTGCATTGTCAGTACCCGTCACTGCTCCAAGTTATGGGAGTGGGAAATCGCACTGACCCCTACTGAGCCAGGCTGGGCGGGGCCAGAGGGAACCGAATGGGGGCTGCCCCCTGTCCTGAGCCCACCTGCCCACCTGTCACCCTGCCTCTGCCTCCTGGTTCCCACCAGTCCATCCACCTCTCTGGGACCACTGGGCATTAGCCAAGAAGGAAGCATGCTGGCCATCAGCTGAGTGCTGCTGGCCACACTGCGGGCAGTGCTGGCCCAAGAGGCTGCCCTACGCTGGAGGCAGTGAGTGATGTGCTGACCAGGATACTGCATTCCCCTGACCTGTCCAGAGGGAGAACCTGAAAATCATGCCACTGTCCACTGGTTGCACAGGACTCCCAGCGCAGGCTCACGCCCCAGCAGATGGGCTGGTGTGGGAAGGAGGCTGCTTCTGAGGTTGGTGCAGCTCTGCGACTCTGGAAACTATTCTTGCTGCCGGGCTGGCTGCCCAGCAGGTCTGTGCTTTGTTGGTGGATGTTTCTCCTGAGGAGCCTCAGCTCTCCTGCTTCTGGAAGAGCCCCCTCAGTGACATTGGTTGTGAATAGAGTCCTTGGAGTCAAGGTTCTGAGTCAAAGCTGTGCTATTGCTGAGAAAGTTTCAGAACTGTCAGGCAGAACTCTTCCAGGAGCCGTGTCAGTATTCTCAGGAGTCCCAGAAGTTCTGCCAGTTGGCAGTGCCAGAGGGAGATTACTCTTTCTATACAGTGTCCCTGTGTGTCACCAACAGTATTGGGAGCAAGTTCAGCAAAACCCAAATATTAGAGGGTTATGGAATCCTGCAGTCCGACCCACCTGTCAACATCACAGTCATTGCTGTGGCCAGAAAGCCCTGCTGGCTCAACGTCACCTAGCAAGACCCCCACTCCTGGAACTTATATTTCTACAGACTATGGTTTGAGCTTTGATACCTGGCTAAATAGTCAAAAATGTTCATAACATGGATGGCCAAGGATCTCCAACATCAGTGTGTCATTCACAACACCTGGAAAGGCATGAGGCACCAGACACAGCTTCAGGCCCAGGAGGAGCTGGGGCAAGGCTTGTGAAGTAAGTGGAGCCCAGAGGTCATGGGAATCCTTTGGGCAGACTCCAGGAGTCCTCCAGCTGAGACCACCTCCATGCAAACACCTACTACTAATAAAGATGATGATAATATTCTCCCCAGAGATTCTGCAAATGCAACAAGCTTTCTGGGTTAAAGAAGACGTGGAAGTTGCAGGGTCTGAAAGAAGATAAGATCAGGATGCACTGGTTGTGTTCTTTGGGGTGGCTGGTCCTAGAGAGACCTAGAACCACCCCAGTGCTTGTTCCTCTCATCTCCCTTCAGTGTCCCCCAGCAGCCTTGGAATGGACACCACCCCCAGCCACGGCTGACCAGATGCCAGGGACCCGTGGAGGCCTTATGACATCAGCAATAGAGATTACTTCTTCCCCATATAGCAGGCCAGGTGGCACCTGGCAGGTTGGGTGCGTAAACCAAAAAAGTATCTGAGACAGCTCCCAATCAGTTTAAAAGTGTATTTTGCCAATGTTAAGAACATGCCTGGAAGAAACAAACACGGAATCATAGAAACAGTTTGGTCTATGTCTTTTTCCAAAGATGCTTTTGAGGGCTTTTGAGTATTTAAAGGGGACAAGCAGGCTGGAGGAGAAAGAGGGAGGTTATGGTCACATAACAGAATTCACATGTGGCAAGAGAAAAGGAGCAGGCAGAGGAATAGTCCATGACATATTAATCTTGGGCTCAGTAAGTCAGCACTTTACATAAGATATGGTGAACATAGAGCAGCTAACTGTGGAGATGTTTCACCTTGATCTGTAGCTGTCTGCTGAGGAACAAAAGGAAAGGCAGCTTCTTGCATGCCTCAGCTTTCTGCTCATGTTTTTCCTTTTGGCACTGTGAACTGGGGTCCTGAGCTCTTATTTTCCTTTCACAGGTGTCAGGCATGCTGCACCATGTGGATGACAGAGTGCAAACAGGCTCAGCAGAAGCTGCCTCTCACTGCCCTACCAGCTCATCTCAGAGCATGGGGCCTTCGGCTTCACTGTTGTGGAAGAGCCTGGCAGAATGTTCTAGGCCACATGAAAATCAGGCTGCTGCAGCCATTCAGAAGGAAGAAGTGGTTGAGTTTTTAAACCTGCTTTCCCAAATGCCCTGTTCAAGAGGGTTAGAGTGAGCTCAGGCCACCATGAAGAGAGTTGTATCAACACGCTGTTGGACACTCAGGCAGGCAGAGCCAGGCAGCTGGGAGCGGGGGCCTCTGTGTGAAGAAGCTGCTGGCTGCCCACCCCCAACACTTGTACACAAGCTGCACCATTGGGCAGGTGGGATGCATTTCCAGCCAAAGCCTCCCTCAGTCACCTTGCTCCTGGCCCCCTGTGCGGTTACATCTTCCAGCTCAAATTCTGAAACCTAAGTGCCTTTGCAATTCTGTTTTTCTGGGCCTGAGGATGGCTTTTACTTAAACCACCTAGACCAGAGAAGAACCTCTTTCTGCCTTTCTTCCCCACACTTAAAAAACAACTGGGGGGTGGGTGAGTGAATAATACAGTATCTCGGGGTCTAATGGTTTTAAATATGGAATTATAATTAGGTCCTCATTAGCATTTTGCTAAATGTAAATGATAATCCTAGGCATTTGCTGAATACAGAAGAAGCAAATATATTGGCTTTGGGTTTCAGGACTTCAGGAGGAGAGAAGCAGAGGAAGGAGGAGAATAGGGGACAGGGTCTTCATGGACCGCCTGTAGTAGGGAAGCTGAGAGGGACCCCAGCCTCTGAAAATCAATGTTCTCTGTCTCCCACCTTCCCCAAAGGAGAGCTGGCAGTAGGGAGGGCTTCCACCAACACTGAGATCAAAACTGCTGTACTTCAGCTTTGTTTTCAACTGAACCGGAGTAGCTAGGGAAGATATTCTAGTATTAGGGAAAATGATGTGGAAAAATAAAAGAACCTGGCAAGAATGCATTTTGATTTGCCTTTTTAAAAGACCACCAATTTCCTTCATCTTTCTCTTGGGAAGGTGGAAGATCCAGTATTCACTGTGTCAGTATAGAAATAACTTGGTGGGGGAAGCAGAGGAATCTTGTTTAGCCCAAAAGCAAGTCAAGTGAAAAAGGAGGAGGAGAAAAAATAATTTTCCCTATTAGAGAAATATTCTAGTTTCATTCTGTATTTATAGTCTGCCTCTTCTCTAGGGGAAAAGCAGTTGTGAACTCCCCAAGGTGGTTATGAAGGAAGAGTGTCCCACTCCCTGTCCTAGTGCTGAGAAGTCTTCCCCTTCTACCAGACAGGGTCCTAGAAATTCACCCCCCTGAAATCTGTGAGCCCTCAGCTGTCAAAGGGGAAGTTCATTAAAAAAAAAAAAAAGCCCTTACTTCTGTGCCCTCCCCTTTTGGTTAGGTCTTTGACTTGGATTCAGCTCAGCTAGAATGAAGCACCCATTAACTGTCCAGCCATGACACGGTGACTAACCACTTCATCTGAGTTTTCTGTCCAGGATTTGAAGATTCAGTGATATTACTGGGTACCCAGACAGTTAACCCTCAGGTATTGGGGTATCCCAGAGTAGAGATGTGATTAAAATCAGTCGCGTAACCACAGACCCAAAATTTACCAGACCACAGAAACTTCGGAGTACTCTACCCTTTTAGAAAACTAACCACCACCACCAGATGGGTATAAAAGGATGAAAATGACCCAGTCTTATTTACTGTTTGCCAGGTTCAAGCTGTTACAATCTTCCTCAAGCAGTGATTTTCATTGCTGGGTTTGTCTGTACATTTTAGACTCTGTTGCTGCTTGAGGCAACTTATCAAGTTAACAAAATTCAAGCAAGTGTGAGCTGTTTTTTTTAAAGCAAAATGAAAAATAAAGATTGGCTGGGTGAGATGGCTCACATCTGTCATCCCAGCACTTTGGGAGGCTGAGGTGGGAGGATCACTTGAGGACAGGAGTTCGAAACTAGCCTGATTGATATAGTGAGACCTCGTCTCTACAAAAAGAAAAATGTTTACAAATTAACTGGGCATGGTGGTGTGCACTTGTAATCCCAGTTACTCTGAGGCTGAGATGGGAAAATCTGTTGAGCCCAGGAGTTCAAGGCTACAGTGAGTCATGATTATGTCCTTACATTCCAGCCAAGGCAACAGAATGAGACCTTGTCTCAAAAAAATAAATAAGTAAATAAATACATAAATAAACATAAGCTCCCTGTTTCTAAACTCCTAAGAGATTGTTTTCTTTACTCCTCTGCATTAAGAAAACTGAAAGAATTTGCTTTGAGGGACACAAAATCTTTAGAAACTGTTGGTCTCCATTTATAAAGATGAGGAGATAATCACATTATTTAGGTCCCTGGAACCAGATGTCTAACACTCTTCCCAAAATTACATGAGAACTTGTTAGGGTAATTGTGGGTTTAATATAAGCTGATATCAAAGGGATGTAGTTGTTATACATTAGCAAACATTCATGACAATAACAACACAGCAATGCAGCTAACATGTATTGGACTGTTACCCAATGCCTCTCCCATAGCTAAGCACTTCATAGTGTGGGGAGAAGTGATTGGTTATGATTTCTTGATGCCCAAGGCTTTCCTCTGTAGGCACAACCACCCCATCCTGCAACCTTTCAGCTTGGTAGGATTGACACAGATGGTATTTGGCTTTCCTTCATCTTTATAAACTGACAGTAGTGTATCCCCACCCCCGTCATGGGGGGGTGGTGATCAGTGCATAAGCCAAGACAAAACAAAACATGAGAAGAGCATGAAAATATTGAAACAGACAAGCTGACAATTTTACATTAGCCTAATTTAATGCTCCAAATTATCCTCTAAAATCAGTACTGCTGTTATCCTCACTGGCAGTCAAACATTAGGCATTGACTCCCTCCTACGGCTCATGCTAGCACTTCTCAGTGCTGGTTCCTTTTCCTGGCATTCAGCATAGGACTTTCATTTCTTTTCTTTCTTTCATTTTTGTTTTTGAGATGGTTTTGCTCTTCTCACCCAGGCTGGAGTGCAGTGGCACTATCTCAGCTCACTGCAACCTCAGCCTCCTGGGTTCAAGCAATTCTCCTGCCTCAGCCTCCTGAATAGCTGGGATTACAGGCGCCCGCCACCACACCTGGCTAATTTTTTATGTTTTTAGTAGAGACAGAGTTTCACCATGTTGGCCAGGCTGGTCTCTCTGACCTCAAATGATCCACCCACCTGAGCCTCCCAAAATGCTGGGATTACAGACGTGAGCCACCGCGCCCAGCCAGGACTTTCTTAAAGCAGCACCTTCAATGTATGTGAGGTTCTCCAGAACAGGTTCTGCATCTGTTCTCCCCACTAGAGCAGTCCCACTTTCCCCTCAAGCCACGTCAGTAATTACATAGAACAGCAGAAGTCACACAACTCCAAGACCTCCAGCATGTGAGATAAGATGCTTCAGATCAATGTTTAAGATGGTGCTTTTTCTCCAGCAATAAATTCGAGTCATTGCACATTAAGAAAGTATTACACTGTCTCCATGTTATCTGTTAAGAACGAAATAACCCTTCTTTAAAGTAGTCCTCAAAATTAGGTCTTCATTGCACATTAAGAAAGTATTACACTGTCTCCATGTTATCTGTTAAGAACAAAATAACCCTTCTTTAAAGTAGTCCTCAACATTAGGTCTGCCACTTCCATTAAGGGTATAATCTTGGTATTTTATTGCCTTTTAAAGTTGCTTGTTACTTTAACTCCACCATTTTACAATTCGATGTTGCTTCTATAAAACCAAAGGTTATCATAGGAGAGGCTTTGTGAAAAGCCTCTAAAGGACCCTGACTCGTGGTTCCCTCCCTATCAGGGAAAACACCAAATCTGAAAGGACACTGTGAGAATCCCTTGAGGTGACAGGTTCTGTCTTCAGCTTGCTTGCGTAGGGCTGGTGACTTTGGCAGCCAGACCCTCATAGGAGAGAAACATAAAAAATGGAGCTTTGAAGTTTTCCTCCTGGGACTTGGCACATCTGCCCTGGGACACAGTGCCTGTGGGACTCTGGACCTCAGCACCAGATGTCCTTCTGAGAAAAGCCCAGTGGCGGAGAGAAGTTCCAGAGGAGGGGAGGGATGGAGCCAAGAGAAGAGCTGGGGAGATAATGGAGGAGGCAGCTCCAGAAGTAATTCAGAGCAGAGGGCCCTGCTGTAAGGGCGCATTAGGGACATTTTAACCAGCATATTTTCCCTTTTATGTGTGTATAACCATACCACTGCACCAGAACTCTACACATCTAAAGAAGACTAAGTAAAAGATCTCTATCAAATATTTTAAAGTAAATATTCTAAATGATCAAAAATGCATTTGTTATAGGTAAACTGGCAGCCAGCAGCTTTTATTATTTCTTTGTAATTTGTAAAATAATTATATGTCTTTTAAGCAAGAGCAACTTAGATTTCAGTAAATCTAATCTCTCTCTCAACACATGCACACATTATATTACAGATATATAATGTTTACAAATTTGGGGAAGGATATTGAAGTGTTTGCCAATGCATTTGAAAACTGAAATGAAATGAGTTATTTCCTAAAGATGGTTAAATTGGCAACATTAGCATTAAGAAGTTATAGAAAGGTAGGGAGGATTTTTAAGATAGAAAAATGAAAAAGAAGAAGAGAGTCATGTGAAAATTCTGCTTTTTACGAGATCCAGCACACATGATTTTAATGTTGGCTTCTGTTTCTTCCAGATTTTCTCCAGAGAGAGGAAAGATTTCAAGTTCATTATTCTATGAGGCTATCATAATTTGGATATCAAAAGTAGATGAGAATAGCACACAAAACAAAACCTGTAGACAAACTCTACTTCTTAAAATAGATGCAATAATACTGCCATAGATGCAACTACAAGAAAAAAACAGCAGCATAGTGAAACAATCATATCTCATGACCTAAAGGACTATCTTGGGAATAGAAAATGGCTGATTATTAGAAAGTGTATTGATAAAATCCACTATATTAAGCAATTAGAACATCTTAATAAATCTCCTGAAAAGAAAGCAATAGGTAAAATTTGACATCGATTCTCATTGTTATACAATCAAACAAGGAAATCCAGGATAAAATACAACCTCTGAACCCAATAAAATGTATATACCAAAATCTGCAGCAGACATCAAATTTAATAATTATTTAAAAAATATTCACCACAAGTGTTTAATCTAGAAATGGGATCATATCTGTAAATTAAGAAACAGCCATGTGTGTTGGAAAGAACAAGACTACGTATCCTGATTTGCAGCCAAGATTATACTTTAACAGTTCAAGAGAATCAATTGAATACATCTTAGAATAATTTACTAAGAATGTCCCATTCATGATAGCAAATAGCAAAAATCCTATCAAATACTTAGTAAGAACACAATAGCACATGTATGAGGACCTATTATGAGAAAAAATAGAACTTTTTTGACACAGCAGAGGGGAGAAAGTGTATCCTTTCGGTATATTTCGGTATAAAGCATATTTTGTTATAAAGCTTCCAGTTTAAAAAAAGAAATCTCCAGTAATGACTTCGTTTTCTGACAAAATGTCAGAGAAAAAAAAATCTCCCTTCTACTTCATTAGTTCACGCTTTCTCTCTCTCTAATGGCTGTTAAACTCACCCACTAATTTCTCTCAGTTTCAGCTGCTGTATTTTTTTATTTCCAGTATGTGTATTCTATTTTTTTATATGTTTGTCCTCTACTAAAGCATTCAATCCTGTCTTTTAATGCCTCCAACATATTAATTATATTTGTTTTAATGTCCCTGCTTGATAACTTCATCATCTGAATGTTCTGTGGATCTCTTTTCATTGTTTCTTTTCTTTTCTAGTCGGGTCAGGTTTTCTCTCCTTGAATGCCCAATTATTTTTGATTGAGTGAGAAACACGGTGATAGAAAATTGTAGTGCTCATTCTGGTCTCTAGAGGATAAAATCTTCCTGCAGGAAGATATTGCTTCTGTCAGGAAGCTAGGAAAAGAAGCATTAGCACTCCTGCATCACCTTCATCCAATTAGAGAACCAGGAATTCAGGAACCTGAACCTTTGGAGAGGGCTGTTTCCAGGGCATTCTCACTCCTAAGGTGGAGACTTCTGAGTTCCAACCAAAGCCTAGGGTGTTTACCAAGGCTCTTCCTGGTTGCAAGTTCCTGAAACCTGTGAGCATCTATAGAAGTTCAACTTGGTGCTACAACATCATGATGTCAGCGCAGGGAGTAGTTTAGAAATTACTGATGGATTTTTTTTTTTTTTTTTTTTGAGACGTTGTCTCACTCTGTCACCCAGGCTGGAGTGCAATGGTGCAATCTCGGCTCACTGCAACCTCAGCCTCCTGGGTTCAAGCGATTCTCCTGCCTCAGCCTCCTGAGTAGCTGGGATTACAGGCACCTGCCTCTATGCCCAGATATTTTTTGTATTTTTTTTTTTTAGTAGAGACAGGGTTTCGCCATGTTGGTCAGGCTGGTCTCAAACTCCTGACCTCATAATCCGCCTGCCTTGGCTTCCCAAAGTGCTGGGATTACAGGCATGAGCTACCACGTCCAACCTACTAACAGATATTTTAATCAGATAGGCTGAACTAATCCCCTGATCCTCAAGGTGGTTGGGTGATAAAATTTCCTGTTTAAATGGGACTCTGGCTGGATCTGATAAAGCAGTTGCCCACACAATACAAGTATAAACACACCACATAGGTAGTTTCAAATTTCCTAGTGGTCATATTTTAAAAATATAGACAGAAACTGGTGAAAGTAATCTTAATGCTATATTTTATTTAACCTAATATATGCAAAGTGTTATTATTTTAACACAAAACCAATCTAAAATGCATTGATGATATTTTTTACATTTTTATCTTACCAAATTATCACAATTGGTAGTTTCTAAATGACAGCACAGCTCAGTTAGGACTAACTGCATGTTAAGTTTTGAAAAGCCACATGTGGCTAGTGGTACCACAGTAGTCATCACAGTCTAGAACATTGAAATCAATGCCAAACACTAAAGCAAGGAGTTACATCAACTGTGGACAACCAGCTAAGGTTTGTGAATTTGAAACTAAGATAGTCAGGTTCGGCCAGTCACCCACTTGCAGGGTCTAAATGATGAAAAAGGCTGGCATAGTAAAGCATAATTCTTCAGAAGCTGTCACTGTGCCACTATGCACTCTCCATCAGGATGAGGAGGGCGCTTGCATTCACCCTTCCCATCAAGCAAGGGGGCTTCCAGACACCACTGAGAGACACTGGCTATCCCTCCTGGAACTTGAGAGCCATGAGACCTGGTTTCTGAGACTTGTCTGGAAAAAGCACAAAGGTCAGAGATTGTGGCTGATGATGCCCAGCTCACAAGGGTAAAGACAGCAACCTTTGGAGCAAACTGCTCCTTTTCTGATTTCGGGCCTCACTAGCCTGCAGGAGACAGTGCATTGAATAAAAGGACCCACCCACACCTGTCTCAATTCCCTTGCAACTTTCTAGTCCTGAAACAAGCCCAAGTTGGCAAAGAAAACATTTTTTTTTTTTGAGGTGGAGTCTCGCTCTGTTGCCCAGGCTGGAGTGCAGTGGCACGATTTCGGCTCACTGCAGCCTCCACCTCCCGGATTCAAGCAATTCTCCTGCCTCAGCCTCCTGAGTAGCTGGAACTACAGGCGTGCGCCACCACTCCCGGCTAATTTTTGTATTTTTAGTAGAGACAGGGTTTCGCCATGTTGGCCAGGATGGTCTTGATCTGCTGACCTCGTGATCCGCCCACCTCGGCCTCCCAAAGTGCTAGGATTACAGGCGTGAGCCACCCCATGCCCAGCCAGAAATCAATTTTAATGTGATAATAATGGAAGTTTGATCATTACATTGGACTGACCAACACAATTACTGAGATGAGACTGTTCCTATAACCAAAGGCACCAGAAAGCCACAATACCTATCCAAGATGTTAATTGAGAGGTAAGCAGAAAAGAAACAGGTTCACAGAGTGAATTTTGCATGCAGGGATTAGACACAATAAAGCTTCTCTGGTATTTTCCTGATCTGAGTCCTCTTCATTCAATAAACTGGTTACCTGAGGGGGTTTTTGTTTCACCTCTTGTGGCCGTAGGTAGGGGACCAGAAAGAGCTAAGAGAACCTGAGAATCAGGTGAGATTTGGGCTCATTCTGCACTGTGGAGGATGCTTCCCCAGAGTCATACGCTTCATCAGTGGGACCAGCACAGCACCCAGAGGGGCAGATGGTCTTATCGCACTTCAGTGGTCTGGTCCGTGTTGCCCAGGGACCAGACTATCAGCTCTATCAGGTCAGAGCCCTGGTGTCATCCAGAAGCTCCTATCATTCAGGGCTCACTTCCTGGGCTGTGGAATCTTCTCTTGCCACTTCGGAAGGTGGAAGGAGATGGGAAACTTGGAGAGAAGCAATCAATAGCTTTGACAAGCAAGTTAAAATTGTATTTTTCTATTTATTGGTGAGGGACTAGTTAAACTGGAAGAGATTCGAATTTTGGGTAAAAAACAAGTTTTTGTTTTTGCTATTAACCAAAAATAAAAAAATGCTCTTTCCTTTAACCCAAATGCCATCACCATGAGTCCAGAGAAAGATCATACCAGCTACCTAAAATAAAGGGTGCTGCACACATAGGCACAAGCTGTATTACATTTTATAAAGGAAATCAACAATTTCCTTGAGAGCGTGATATTTGAGTGGTATCAAAAGAAGCATAAAGGTTAATTTTTGTGGCAGGAGGATGAAGGAAGCAGATAATTATAGGGAAATATAGCATAAGCTATGGGAGAAGAAGTCAAGCTGTTGGAGTCAGGAAGCTATAATTTTGGAGACAGGAGGGCTCATGGTGATTGCCCAGGCACCTTTTATTTTGTAGATGAGAAAATTCTGTCAAATGATTGCAGAATGTCTCACAATTAGTAGTCAAGCTGGTGGAATCCAGTGAAACTTAATTCAGAGATTTTCTTCCCCCACCAAAGCATGCTCTAACTTTTCCCCAGGGAACTGTTCTTCATTGACTCCATTTTTCTTTTTGTAATTCAAAGGTAATTCAGCACTATATATTTGCTGTGGTTTGAACGTCTCCTCCAAAATTCATGTTGAAACTTTATCCCCAATATGGCAATACTGAGAGGTGGGACATTTAAGAGGTGATTGGGTCATGAGAGCTCTTCCCTCATGAAAGAATTATTCCACTCATGGGTTAATAGGTCAATGGGTTATGGTGGGAGGGGAACTGGCAGATTTATAAGAAGAGGAAGAGAGGCCTCAGCTGGCACACTCTGCCCCCTCACCATGTGATGCCCTGCACTGCCTCAGGATTCTGCAGAGAGACATCACCAGCAAGAAGTCTCTCACCAGATGCTCCCTGTTTATCTTGGACTTCCCAGCTTCCATAAGAAGCAAATTCCTTTTCTGTATAAACTACCAGTTTCAGGTATTCAGTTATAAGCAAGAGAAAATGGACTAATACATTATTCTATGAGATTTTGGCTTTAGGAAGCTGAGGTGGGTGGATCACGAGGTCAGGAGTTCAAGACTAGCCTGGCCAAGATGTTGAAATTCTGTCTCTACTAAAAATACAAAAAATTAGCCACGCGTTGTGGCGGGTGTCTGTAATCCCAACTACTCGGGAGGCTGAGGCACAGAATTGCTTGAACCCAGGAGGTGGAAGTTGCAGTGAGACAAGATCATGCCTGGGAGACAGAGCGAGACTCCATCTCAAAAAAAAAAAAGAAAAAGATTTTTTTCCTCTCCTTCTTCTTCTCCTTTTTACTTTTAATGTCACTGGCTTGGGAAGACTGTATTTATCAATGACAGACCCAACAATATCCTGTTATGATGGAACATTTGGGTCCTCTGAAATTAATATGCTGGAGCCCTAATTTCCAATGTGGTTTTATTTGGAGATGGGGCCTTAACTAATTAAGGCTAAATGAAGAAATGAGATCATAAAAATGGAGCCCTGATGTGATAGAATTGGTGTCCTTCTTATAAGAAGAGGAAAATCGCTCTCCTCCCTGCTGCCACCCCATGTAAGGATACAGTGGGAAGACAGCCACCTGCAAACCAACAAGAGAGCCCTTACTGGAAACCAAATTGGCCAGAACCTTGATCTTGGACCTCCAACCTCCAGAACTGTGAAAAATAAATTTCTGTTATTTAAGCTACCAACTCAACAGTTTTTGTTATGGCAGCCCAAGTAGTTTATACACATCCCATCCTCCATGCTCTTCTTCAATGTGGCCATCCTAGTCCCCACTAAAGCCACCCTGCTGAAGCTGGGCTGGCCTCAGGAACTTGGTCAGAAAGCATGGACCTCAGCCCGGTTCTCTTGGGACACTTGCTGTCTGGACGATCCCTTTTGAAACCCTCCTTTTCAGAGCTCAGCCTCCAGGCTGTGAGAAACTCAAGTCACATGGAGATGCCATGTGCAGGCACAGAGCCCCAGCTGATTCCAACCTTTGAATCATTGCATTCTGGGCACCAGACATGCGAGTGAGAAAGCTTCCAGATGGTTCCAGCCTCTAGCTGGCCAAGCAAACCACAAAGTTCCAGGTTGTCCCAGCTGAAGCCCTAGACATCGTGGAACAGAGATGAGCTATCTCTGCAGCACGTGTCTGAACTCCCAATCACAGAATCTGCAAGTATAGTCAAATGGTCATTTATGCCATCAAGTAGGGGCATTTTGTGTGTGCATCCATGGTAACTGAAACCTGACATTTCTTTCAGGGAAATTTCCTCAGTGGGTGTTGTCTGGCCAACTCTATCAATCCCACCCTGTCTGACTTGTGAGACGTAGGGAGAGCAGAGATAAACATGGGAGAGAAAACCTCCTGGGGGTGAGCTAATGACAGCTTGTAGAATAGAGTTCACAGTGTTTCTTATTTATGTTCTTTCTCCCCATTTTATTATTTTTATTATGAGATGGGGACTTGCTCTGTCACCGGGGCTGGAGTGTAGCAGTGCAATCGTAGCTCACTGCAGCCTCGAATTCCCGGGCTGAAGTGATCCTTCTGCCCCACCCTTCCAAGTAGCTGGGACTACAGGTGTAAGCCACCATACCTGGCTAATTTTTAAAAATTCTTTTCAAAATTTATTTATTTATCTCTCTATTTGTTTGCTTACAAGTTCTCACTAAGTTGCCCAGGCTTGTATTGAACTCCTGGCCTCAAGTTAATTCTCCTACCTGGACCTCCCAAGTAGCTGTTTACAAGCACGAAATACTATGACCAGCCCTCCAACTTTATTCTTGATGGTAAGTTTCCAAATTGCTTACTTTAACTACAAGTGCCTCTGAGCTTCTAACTTGGGTTATACTCAAGACTATGTTTACTCATCACAACATTGAAAGTTGAATCCGTCAAAATGTTCAAAGCACTCCATGCTGGTCCTTTTGTTCAAGTTAGACCAGCCCAAGTCACTACTCTTACCAGACAGAAACCAGAGTATCTACAAGGGAGTAAAAGCATCAAGTGGAAAGACAGGAAAAGCAAGAGTCAGCGTGGTCTCTCCTTGGAAAAAGGCAACCAGGACTCAAGAACAGGCTTCAACTAGCTACTTGCCTGGTAGTAGGTTGATTATAGTACAGTTTATTGTCCAAACAGGAAAGGGATGCTCTTCATAATTACACTGGAACAACAAGCATGCATCTGGTGTAATTCCATTTATGTAAAATTCTAGGAAATGTAAACTAATGTATAGTGACAGAAAGTATCTTAGTGTCTGCCTGGGGTGGGGAGGAGGGTTGGGCCGGAGGGAGTAAGAGTAAGCATAAGGAGACTTTAGGGAAGATTGGCATGTTCTTCACTTGGATTGTGGTGATGGTTTCACAGGTGTACACAAATGTCAGAACTTTTTGAGGTATACACTTTAAATACATGCAGGTTATTGTTTGCCAATTATATCTCCACAAAGCTATTAAACAGTCTATACCACAGCCAAGATTATGTTGCTGGACGTTCTGATAGTATCTTTTTGTAAAAGAAATGAAAATATTGCAAAAACATCTTTTCTAACCTCCTAACCTTCCCTTATTCTCTCACCTCCTACGCCATTTCCCCAAAGTAACACCTATCAAGATGGTAGCGTACTTTCCAGGCACAATTTTATACATATTCTGTGTGTACATATCCATTAAGTTTATTTGTTTTCTTTTGTGGGCGCAGAATCTTTGCATAAGTATTATCATATTGAGGAAATTATCTAATTTGTGACCACCGGGAGAAAAAAAAATTCTCCTTTTGCTGTCTTCTCTCCAGATCTGAGTGCCAGCTAGCCTCCTGGGGTTGCTTTTCAGGAGCCCTTAGGTTATGACCCCTGTTTATTAGAGGCGTTGTATTCTCCTTGGTTGCACTCCTTTTGTTTGTTTTTGCAACAGTGTATTTTCAAGAGATCTTAGAAAATATTTTTCTGCACCTTCAGAAAAGTACATAGATGAAAAGTAAACTTTCTAATCCTTCCCCGAATGTCTAAAAGTGTATTTTAAAATTTTTTTCAATTACATTTGATCTATAGTTTGACTGGGAATAAATTTTAAGTTCCAAATCATTTTCCTAAGAACATTCAAGCACTGTTCCATCATCTTTTAAAAACTAGTGTTACTGATGGAAACTTTTCTACTAGTCTTTTTCTTCTTCCATTGCAGGTAACATGCATGTTGCTTTTAGAATGTTTTAGTGTCTTTGTTTTATTCTTAGTTTTCTGAAATTGCCTTAGGATGTGCCTAAATGAAGATCTAGTTGAATATGTATATATTCCTTTTTTCTATCATTGTTTAAAACATATAATAAACTCCCCCTTTTTTCTCTCTCTTTTACTTTTGTAGACTCCTAATAGAAGATAGCATTTCTGAATGAGCAATCTCTGTTCTCTGTCTCTAGTTTTCTCTGTCTCTAGTTTTCTCTGTCATGTTTCTCATCTCTTTGTACTGAGACATTTCTTACTTTATAAATTAGTTCTATTGAACTGTTTTCTTTAGGTACAATATTTTTAATCCCATGAACTGATTCTATGTTCTGATTTTATACCTTCCGAACAATAGTCTGTTCTTAAATTGCGAATGTAATTTCTTCTCTTCTAACTCTGAATAGAGGTTTGAAAGTACCTCTTAGTTCTCTGGATTGTCTTTGTTTCTTTTCTTTTCTTTTTTTTCTTTTCTTTTCTTTTTTTTTTTTTTTTTCTTGAGACAAAGTTTCACTCTTGTTGCCCAGTCTGGAGTACAATAGCACAATTTTGGCTCATTGCCACTTCCGCCTCCCAGGTTCAAGTGATTCTCCTGTCTCAGCCTCCAGAGTAGCTGGGATTACAGGCATGTACCACCACGCCCGGCTAATTTTTTATTTTTAGTAGAAACGGGATTTCACCATGTTGGCCAGGTAGTCTTGAACTCCTGACCTCAGGTGATTCACCTGCCTCGGCCTCCCAAAGTGCCGGGATTACAGGCATGAACCACCATGCCCGTCCGATTATCCTTGTTTCTTCTGGGATCAATTCTATTCACTCCCTCCTAGACCCTGTTCTTTTCTTTCATTTTCCTTTGATTCTTTTTCTTGGAGTATGAGTTTATAAATAAATCATATGGATGATTTATTCAGAGAGTTCACAAGGTTTTCTTCTACCATTACTCTCATTTTTTGGTCCTTCTCCAGGGTCTGAGGGCTTCTTGCAAGGTCTGACTACAGGTAAGATACATCACCTGGTGACTTCTTTAAGGGTATAAATAATGATAAGGGAAATTGGCAGGCCTACTCAAGCATCAGATACAAAACTGGGCCGTATCTCAGGGCCTCTATTGTTTTAGGAGCCCTAGCTTCTCTCCTAAGCAGGCATTTCTGCCTTTAGTCTGGGAGTAAATACTGGCTGTAGGAACAAAAGGTGGAAAAGCCTACCATGACCCCAATTCTATTCTCAGAGTTGCTCTAAACTTATTCTGTTTATATATTTCAATCCCAGGATCATGACCCAAATAAACTACATGCATTGAATCTGCTCTCAGTTCTGGTTCTGGAGGAACACAAAGATATTCTCCTGAATTCAACACTTGCCTGCAGAATCCAGAGATTTCCTTTCTTCAATTCACCAACTAAGGGTTTGTAAATATATTACATGTCACTTTGTATTTTTACAGAAAAATAGTGTATATAAACTCCAAAGCTGCCAGAATCACCGCTGTCCATTTTATGACACTGTAAAATGAGGAAGGTTTTTGCATAGATTGCACTGCACTGCCCTTCTTGAATCTTTCATGCACTAACCCTGACCTTGCCTTCCACAGCAGACCAGAAAAAAAATAATTCTATAATCTAATAGTGTCCACTTACTTTTGACTTCTGGACAACCCTGGTTTTTATGAAAGATTTCCCTCCTGTGCTTTAATAATTAATAGGTTGGTGCAAAAGTAATTGCGGATTTTGCCATTAAACCTGCAATTACTTTTGCACTAATGTAATAGCTAACAAAATAATGCATTGCATTGTATCTATTCATCAAGTTAGTTAAATAATGAGTGACTGATCACCTATTTGGTGCCAGGCCTTTTAGAAGATATAACATCCATCATCACAGCCCATCACAAAGTTTATAGTCTAGTGAGAAAGACACACAAACGATAATTATGATGCATGAGATAAGGGCCATGAGAAAAGAATGCTCAGCACTGTGACAGCCCAGGAGGGATGCGGGTCCCTGACTTCAGCAGCAAAGAAGCTTCCCAGGATGAAGTGAACTGAAGGGTGAAGAATAGAGCTTTGCTCATCAGAAGGACCAGGTGTCTTGAGCAGAGAAAGCAGCATTTATGAAATACACCCTTCCATCTGCTAGATCAGTGATTTTCAATTTTTTTTTTTTAAAGAAACAGAACAGGCCAGGCCTGGTGGCTCACATCTGTAATCCCAGAACTTTGAGAGGCCTAGGCAGGTGGATCACTTGAGCCCAAGAGTTCAAGACCAGCCTGGACAACTTCGCAAAAACCCATCTCTACTAGAAAATACAAAAAAACAGCCTGGAATGGTGGCGCGCACCTGTAGTCCCAGCTACTTGTGAGGCCTAGGTGGGAGAATCACCTGAGCCCACGGAAGTCGAGGCTGTAGTGAGCCATGATCAAGCCCTTGCACTGTAGCTTGGGCAAGGGGAGTGAGACCCTGTCTCAAAATAAATAAATAAATAAAATAAAGAAACAAAACAATTGCTTCAAACACAAGTTTCTTGGAATGCCCAGTAGGTACAACTGAGAGGCTCTGGGAATTTGAGGAGTGGAGCTGAAGAACACCATCCTTCCCTTTGGAATAATCTCCTTGTCAAACTCACAGTCTCAGTTCAAAGTTTTCTCCCAACTCTGGCAGCATCACGTCCTCTTTTGTCCAAGGCAGCCCCAGTGCAAGGGCATCCCCTTGTGCTATGAGACATACACTCTCTTCACTGTGAGTCTACATGACTTAGATACCGCTCCATAAATTAAAGAAAATTACTCCTACCACCAGCTGTCCTGAGAAGGACCACTCCAAAACAACGTAGGAGGAACATTAAGAGCTGGATCAAAATGCCTTTTTGGAAGGGGCTCCATTTCCACAGCTAGTGACTCTGACTCACATGCACAGCTAGTCAGTCAGAGAGGGAACGAGTCAGCAAGAAATGGGAAAGCAAAGGAAGGAATTACTCTCCCTAGGAACATGAGATTTTTGAAAAATGTATGTTCAATTTTATTTATTACTTCTTAGATGTTGGGAACTGAGAAGTCAGAAATGGAGCAGAAAGATAGGACGTTGCTCTGGAGGCCAAAGCTCCAGCTGGCTGAAGAGGCAACAGGTCATTAGTTGTTAAGGGGCACCCATGTGTAATATTTAGTTTTAAGTTTTTTGTAAAGCATCCTGGTTGGGGCAGTGGAGCCTGAAGTCAGCGTGTACTGGGTCACAAGAGCCAATTTTAAATTGTCAGGAATTTTACAGGCTAGTCATTAAACCTAGCAAGTATTCAAGATTAAATAACAGAAATTTTAAATTAAATAAACCACATTTTTAAGAAGATAAATACTCAAAACGTATCAGTTTCTAATAATTTCACTACATTGTAAACCTATGCTTTTGAGATTACTGAAATCTATACTGTATGTCTGGGGGAAACACTGTATAATATGATAATAAAGTATTATATAGTAACATAATGCACTCTAATTCCTCCCGGACTCTGCTCAGTGATGTCATATTGGTAGCTTGAAGGATTTGTATCACAGGATTTGGCAAATGCTTCAAACCAGGGCGTTTTTGTTTGGAGAGCAGGTCATTAAACTTCCACCAGTGAGCCAGTGGGTCAAGGGCACAGTGTCTGGAAGCAGCCACTTGAAGATCTAGCTCAGTCAGTTGCTGGCTGTGTGACCTGAGCAAGTCATTTCATCTTCTTCTGCCTCACTTTTCCCATATGGTTATTTTGAGGACTGCATCAATCAAAAATTGTAAAACACTTAGAACATTACCTGGCACAGAGTACCTATTATATAATTGTTACCCATTATTGGTGCTGTTGTTGTTAGATTTATTTACATAATAATAGTAATACACCTCTTATAAATGCCTGACTCCTTCCTGAACCCTCACAAACACACACAAAAGCCTGGCTTTCCCAGTATCCATCCACTGAGTCTACATAGTTACAGGATCCCCACCTATTACCTGAAAACACAGCGCCTATCACGAGGCCAGCCTTCCCTGCTTCCTTTGACAGATCTGAGCAAAGTTTTGAAACCGTATGTGTCAAGGAACAGCTACCTATAGCCTTTCTTAAGAGATATCTGAGTGGCAGCCTTGCCTCTGCCTCTTCACCCCTCTTCTTTCTCTGCAGGCTGGATCCCACAATGGTGGGATCCCCAGCAGCCATTTTGTACTCTGAGGTGACTTTGGGAATGCAGGCTCCATGATGGAGCAACAATATGGAAGTCACCTAGGTCCCCAAGGACTCCGCACCAGGCCTTTCCTGGGAAAGAGAAATGAGTTTCTGTGTTGTTGATGCCCTTATAGTGCGTTCCTTGAATCAGCAGATCCTTTCAGGTTTTAGAATCTCACTCTTCCTCAAGTCTGCTGAGGTGCACAGTAATAAAATCTGCATTTAACACAATCATGGGGTGTTTCCTGTGCGCATTAAAGTCTGAGAAGCCCTGGTTTAAGCTGCTATAATGTCGGCCATTCTAATTCTCAGCTGAGCTCTATCCTAACTGCTTTAGCCCTGTTAGGATCAAATCTGTGCATAGCAACCAATAGAAGGGGTGGTGCACACCGGGGTTCTCAGGATGAGAAGGAACAAGACATGGCATGGTAAAGACAACTTATCAGAGGCAGGAACCTGGAGCCAGTGCCTCAGCAGAGAAAAAGTTCTTGGTGGGTAAAAAGAGGAGTGACTGGCTTTTGTAAAAATCTTGAAATACAAAGTTATACCAGTCTCCCCATTAGTCTGGCCCACGTGGCATCTGGATAACAGATTTAACATCTAATTCCCTGTTAGTCAACAAGCCACTCCTCTAGGAGCCTGGATCTTGGAAATCCAACTCCCAAGGCTGAGCCACTGTTTCTGGCACCACATTCTGACATTATCAGATTACAGTAAGTTATTTGCTCATTTCTCTCTCCCCTCTCAAGCCTGATGAATGGACTTTCTGGGGAGCTTCTCATTTTATGTCTTGAGTGTAAGTTGAATTAATTTTTCTCATCTTATTAATTTTAGTTTCTATCTAGCAACAAACTGTGGGCTTCTTCATCACCTTTCTCTCTCTTCAGGCCTCCTCATCACAGGATAATGATGCCATCTTGTTGACCATCTGGACTTCCTCCACAGCTCTCTGTCTTCCTTAGCCACTTTGCCCATCAGCTTCCTTTCCTATTTTGGGTGGAGGGTTGCACAAGACAAAGGCAAGACACTTTCCCTGGTAAAGAGAAATCCTAAAGCTAGCTTGGGAAGTGTTTTAAAACGCAGGTTTTATTATGATTCAGGTAAGGCGAGGCCAACAGATGTAGAGATGACTTCCATTAAAAAGATAGTATTTTGTACTTACAGATCCCAAGTGGGGTCACGCCACGCCACCAGGGCCACATGAGAAAGCATGGGGTCCGTAAGGAGACAGAGAGAGTGAGGAGAAAAGGTGGGTAAGAGCTTTTATTGTGGTTGTTGTGGAAAGAAATGGACAAGGCAGAGTAAACAGGCTAAGCAGATTTAGGATCATCTGGTTTGAATAATTTCAATGTGTTTCAGGTACAGGCTTTGCCTTGAGTTGTCTGGTCCCTGGTCTTCAGGTAATTAAGGCAGAAGAAGATTGGCTAGAGTGTATGAGCAAGATTGGGCTCTGGATTGGTTCTTTTGCATGAGAAAGGCACACTCTTGGGAAGTGTTTGCTACCTCTTAGCTGACTCTAGAAATTCTCTCCACAGTCAGCAGGACCCCTGAATCCAGAGCATTAAGACTACAGAAAATAAGAGACTATAATGAATACAGGAAGGCTTAGCAGAGACAATGATTTGGACTTGAAGGAGTATGTGGCCTAGAAAGGTAGAGAGATGATTCTATGCCAAGTAAAAGCGCAAAAGGCCTGTCTGAGAAAGATGACAGTGAGTGCAGGATAGGGAAGAGGTAGGTGGCAGGAACTGTCAGCTGCTTGCTAAGAGCTATGCAGCCACTCTTGTGGTGGCCAGCTAAGGCAGACAATGATAGAAGGTGGAGCCAAGGACCTTCAATCCATTGTTGAATTCCAAAAAGAAATGTGTACCTTCTCATTCCAGACTCCAAGTTCTACGACATAGCAAGCTGCCCTCTTACTGAAAGCAGTTAGTTCCAAGCTTCTCTGACATGTGAGCCAAAAGCACTGCAGACTGATACAAGGCTGGTGTAATGAAGGCAGAGGGCTGGCCAGACTGGCCATGTCTACCAGAATACCAAGCTGAAGGGCAACAGGAAGAGCCATGATCATAACATTTTAAAGAGATGACTTAAGATATTGCATAATATTTAAAATATGCATATATTTAATAATTCTTATAAAATATATAATAAATTGCATATGTAACAATGCATAAAATGGACTCAAGGGGAAATAGAATCAAGAAAAATATCAAATAGAAAGTAACTAAACTCATGAATGGATGAGCATCCAGATTGTGAAAATAAAGAAGAAAAGAGAAGTCTAAGAATGTTTTAATAGAGTGGCCACTGCACTTGGCAACATTGGATGCAGCACTGAGAAGGTAAGCTACTTGGAACTCCCATGACCAGGACAGTAATGGTGCCTTACAGCGAGAGCTGTCAATAAAACAGGCATGGCAGAGCCATCCAGACCCCAGCAAGCACATGCAGCCTGTGACTCAGGTCTTTGTGCAAGCTGACAAGCTGCTGTTCACAGACAGAAGTCTGAATATTACTTGCCATAACAGATGAAACAAATCTTTCACTCATGAAAAAAAAAAAAAAAGAAGAGACTATTTTTGAGATTTGATGATAAATATATTTTTGAAGTAAGGAACTTGGGTTTCTAGAGCAGTGATAATGCCATCTGATATTTTTTCTTACCACAGCCATGTTTGGTTATTATTATTCTTCACAACTTAATTATGAAGAAATGAAGGCTTAAAAAGTTCAAGTACAATTTACTTGTGTTCACACAACTGGAAGTTATAGAGCTGGTAGCTACAAACACATGTTTACTATAAAGACAAACAAGCGGGGGGGGGTGATGTTTTAAACTAAAAGTCTTTTTATTTCTTTAATCTGGCCTCAAAATCTTCACCTACTATTTAAATAATGTTAAAAGCTCCTCCTGAATTAGCCAGTAACTAATTTTACTCCAGTATTTATAAATAGATCTGACAATTTTTACCAGTTTGGAAAATAGAGCAGAACAGATAATCTCTATAAACACAGGGATTAACTTTTTTTTTTTAATCTTTACTGCAGGACCTGGATCAAAAGTTCCCATGAATTTAGGGTACTACATTTCAGAGAAGAGTTGGAAAAGAGCGCTTGCAAAAATGTGGGTGATATGGACCTCGACAGGCAGGTATGGAATGTGGATTTATAGGCTGTTGCTCACCTTAAGACTCCCAGAGTGGAATGTGAACCCAACTCACACAGCGGTCAGGTTAGTGACACTGGCAAACAGCCCTGACCCCACCCATGGCACACAGCACTGGGGGTTTTCTCCACGTGGATCCATGCCTGGATGGGACCAGAGACTGTCATTCACTTCATCTAGATCGGCCACCTCCTGAAGCTCTGTTCAAGGTAAGCATCGTGTCACGCTGGGCAAGTACAGCTCATCCTCTTTGCTCCTTTCTGGTGGTGCGAGGGATCTCCTGCCTGGGCAGGAAGGGACTCTGTCTTCACTGTGCATCATATATGATCCTTGCTCAGGTATGGGTCCTGGTAAAACACCAAGGAGAAGGCATCCAAAGGAGTTCTGTGATCCACATTCTTCGAGCACGGGCCACTGACCACCAATATCTACCAACTAAAATGCAGGGCACGAAACCCTGAGTGAACAAAAGACAGAACACCTTTTTATAAGGAAAGACGATTCAAAGGCCCTTTTCTAGATTAACCATGTTAAATCAGTGTATGTCCTTCAGAATATAAAACAGATAGCTCTGAATATTGATTTTTAAAATATCATCCTCCAAGCAGCTTTTCAAGGTGGCTGGCCTCACTCTCTGCCTTGTTTCTAATTGTGCAATGTCCTCATTCCCAGAGCTGCCCCAGGGAACCTGTGCTCCTCCCCACTCCAATGCATTGCTTGAAGGCTTCCATAGCACTTGACGGAAAGAACATCCCCCTCCCCACCCGAGACCCTCTCCTAGTGGGCTCCTATAATCCCCCAGTGGCTCCAGCCTTAAGCAACCCGAGACATTGCCTGATCCCTGGCTCCAGCAAAGCCACACGGGACCAGTACTATAGAGGACTCTGTTTCCTGAACCCAGAGGAGTGTTCTGCCATAAGACCCAGATGGTCGCTGCAGCCTCCTGCCTGGCTTGTGGGTCAGATCCTGCCTGATATAATGTGTCTAAATCAAAGCTTAGTTCCCAGGTGCCTGCTATCAGATTTGCCCATTTTAGTCCTACGTTTTCTGGGTCAGCCGGATAATGGACCTCATTTACCGGTTGGTTATTACCGCTTGGCTTCATCAGGCCATGCATTTGCTTCCTGTGACTGCTGTAGCACCTTACCACAAACTGGGCGACTTCACCGAAATGCACTCTGTCATACTCTGGAAGCCAGATGTCTGCAGTCAAGATGTCAGCAGGACCATGCTCCCCTGAAGGCTCTGGGGAGGACCCTTCCCTGCCTCTCCCAGCCCCTCCACGCTCCCTGTGTCAGCATCATCCCCTCTCTGCCTATCTTCACATGGCCATCGCCTCCCGCGTGTCTGAGTCTTCAAGTCTCTCCTTGCAAAGACACCCATCATTGGAGGCAGAGCCTGCTGTAATCCAGTATGACTTCATCTTAACTTGGTTACATCTATGAAGACCCCGTTTCTAAGTCAAGTCACATTCACAGGTACTGGGAGTTAGGACTTGAACCTACATTTTTGGGGAACTCAGTTCAGCCCGTTGCAGGCTACATGCCCCTGGCCTGGCCTAGGGAGCTGGAACCACTGTTTGCTGTGTGCTATGTAAAGCCATCTGCTAGCGTATCAGAGATCCATGCAGCCCTCTCCGCCAACAAATCAGGAGGGGCTATGTGGATGGGACAGATTTTGTCACTGTTTTTTGTTGTTGTTGTTTATTTCATTCCACTCACTGTTTTTATTTTTTTAGAGGGAGGAATGGGAGGAGGTGGAGGTCGGGATGACCTCTCTGGGCTAACCCGGGCTGCCCTCATGTCCCTCAGTTCCTGGGACCCAATGTGGAACCCCTGATAGCTGCGGCTGGAAATCCAGGCTGGTCGTGGGCCTGAACCCCACCCCTGGGCAGATCATAGCCATGGTCCCTGCAGCCACTCTCTGCCACCTTCACTCTGGGGATGAAGTGCAGATTCCAGGATGGGAGCCGGCCCTCATCATGACCACCATCATGGACTGTCTAGGCCCTCAGCCCTGGAGCAGTTTCTCCCAAACTCTCAGATAATAAAAATCCACTGTGGGACTCAAACAAACAAACAAGCAAACAAACAGAATAGGACGTCATGACTCATAACCTCCCAGAAGGAGCTGGGTGCTGTTTATGTTGGCATTTCTTCTCGTGATTCTCCTCATCCATGACTTTGGAACCACTCTTAAAGGAGCCTTGCACCATCTGATATGGTTTGGATGTCCCACCCAAATCTGATGTTGAATTGTAATCCCCAGTGCTGGAGGTGGGGCCTGGTAGGAGGTGTGTGAGTCATGGGGTTGGATCTCTTATGGCTTGGTACTGAGCTCCTGATAGTGAGTTCTCAAAAGATCTGATCATTTAAAAGCGTGTGGCCTCTCCCCACTCCCTCTTGTTCCTGCCTTCCTGATGTGATGCGCAAGCTCTCACTTTGCCTTCTGCCATGAGTAAAAGGTCCCTGAGGTCTCCCAAGAAGCGATGCCTGTGCTACGCTTCCAGTGCAGCCTGCAGAACCATAAGCCAATTAAACCTCTTTTCTTATAAATTACCCAGTCTCAGATATTTCTTTGTAGCAATGCAAGAATGGCCTAATACACTATCCTAAGGCCTGGGCTTCTGTTCAGTGTCACCCAGCCAAACTTTGTTTCTAAGTGATTGGAGTTTAGTCACAATAACAGCAACACCCACTCCAATAGACCATTCCTGCTGCCCAGGGCCTGTCCTGGTGCCCAACTATGGCTCTGATTTTGTGAGTGGGCCTAGGGCTTCTAATGACTGTTGAGCTCAGAATTAAAAGTGGAGTCTGGGGTGTGTGTCTGCATGCATGTGTATGTGTGCATGTGTGTGCATTCAAGAGTGTGTGTGTGCATTCACAGGTGTTTCATTAATGACCCTGTCTGACACGAGACGGGGGAGATGAAGACTGAAACAAAAGTAAGACAACCATAGTCACCCACTGCAGCCTGCTGGGGAAAGGGTGGTTTATCTCCAGGTTACTTGTCCTGTTATAAAATAAAATCCCACTGGGGGGGGATTTGGAGACCCCTGAGGCCCTGGTCTGGAAGGAGAAATGGACTGACATGGAGAGTTAAACTCCTGTGCCCAAGAGGTTAATGGCAACATAGGAACCTCTGGAGCAGAGAAGAGAGCAGCAGGGTTTGTGTGCAGTGGAGACTGTCCCATCAGCAGTCTGCTGGTGGACTGGGACCAGAGACACTGTGTTGGCCTTCCTTGCATGGAAGAGTAAATGCTGGTCTCCTGAGAGTGGAGAAAGCCGTTCCGTGTGCCTCTGGGGAGGGTTGCCTCATCAAACACAGATGTCCCTGCCTTGTGAAGCCTCCACTTAAGATTTTTAGACTTTAGGTGGTGCGAAAACGACATGGCATTCCATAGAAAACATTCTTTGAGTACTCATACAAACATTCTATTTTTCACTTTCAGCTTAGTATTCAATAAGTTACATGAGATACCAACACTTTATTATCATATAGCCTTTGTGTTAGGTGACTGCCCATGGTAGGCTAATGTAAGTGTTCTGAGAACGTTTAAGGTTGGCCAGGCTAAGCTAGGAAGGCCGGTAAGGTAGGTATATTGAATGCACTTTCCACTTATGATATTTTCAACTTATGATGGGTTTATCAGGAAGTGACACCATTGTAAGTCAAGCAGTGCATATTGGAATTTTGCGTGGAACACACCTATACAAAGACATTATGCCTTATCTATCTGGAATTCACATATCTGCCACCCTACCTGTAAGGTCCCCCAGGACATGTCAAAGACAGCCTGTGGGTGGGTACAGCCCATTCTCCTCCTCCCACTCCAGCATCCGTGGAGACCACCAGGATGGTGTGGGAACCAATTCCATTAGACTCTCCAGATACCCAGAGCTTCAACACATTTAGTATTAATAGGGGGAGAACACAAGAGGGAGAGAAAACAAACCCTGTCCAGTACCAGGCATCTCACTAAGTGAGACACCCAGCATCTCAAGAAGTCCTCCCTCGGAAGACCCCTAAGCAGAAGTGGGGAAACGAAACCTCTGCGGTAGGAGGGGATTAAGTTATTTGTCAAAGCTCACATCATTAGTAAGCAACACAGGTGAGGAAGGGGCTCAGGGTGTCTCACCTCAATTGTTTTACTCCATGACCAACCTCACTTGTCTACCACATTTCTTCTTGAGTTGCCAGCACAATGTTCCCACTCTCCAAGTGGCCCAGGTTGAAGGCTAGCTGAGGTCCTAGCTCTTGCTGTCCCCTGTCCATCATCCATTGCTGACCAGCATCCCAGGCATAGACATAGTGGAGAGAGTCTCTGTCTTCAGCAGTGGGAGAAGCAGTACATGTTGAAAGGGTGCTTTAATGGGAATATACAGAATTACTGGATGAGAACAGGACAAGCAAGTAACAGTGTTGTAGGAAGGCATGATGGAAAGATTTTCTGAAGATCTGATGTTTATGCTGAGCCTCAAAATTGACTAGGAGTTACTTGGGCCAACACCTGAGGGAAGGGGCATGGGAAGCCTGAGATATAAGGAGCAGCAGGTGCAAAGGATTGATAGGGGTAGGGGAGCCATGGTATATTCCAAGAGCAAGGCCAAGGTGGCTGAGACAAGGAGGGAGGACCTAGTGGCCAGGGATGAATTAGAGCCTCAGGGTTGAGGTTCCTGATGCTGGATTTTATTCTTAGTAGAATAGAGCCCGGAAAGCTTATAGTTGCCCTCTAGCGCCGAGGCAGGCTGCCTGGGTTGGCTGCATTTTCAGAGCTTCTGTATTAGTCTGTTTCACGCTGCTGATAAAGACGTACCTGAGACTGGGTAATTTATAAAGAAAAAGAGATCTGATGGACTCACAGCTCCACATGACTGGGGAGGCCTCACAATCATGGCGGAAGGTGAGGGGAGAACAAAATCACATCTTACATGGTGGCAGGCAAAGAGAGAAATGAGAACCAAGCAAAAGGGGAAACCCCTTATAAAACCATCAGATCTTGTGAGATGTATTCACTACCACGAGAACAGTGTGGTGGAAACTGTCCCCATGATACAGTTATCTCCCACCAGGTCCCTCCCACAACATGTGGGAATTATGGGAGCTACAATTCAAGATGAGATTTGGGTGACGACACAGCCAAACCATATCAGCTTCCCAACTTTCCATGTCTTCCTCCAGGGCCACCTGACAGGGTCTCCCAGCTATGACCTCCCACGTACCTTGGAGCTCCTGGCTGAGGGTCCTGGGCTGGCCTCTGACAGAGTCCCTGGAGCCCATCCCTATAACCTGTCCTGCCCCAGTGAGAAGGCTTCTGCCCCATGCTGGGTCACTGTCTCCTGCAGGTTCTGAGACGTATTCCTACCTTGTGCCTAGGCCTAATGTCTGATTAACCCACCCTCCTTCTGGAAAGCATCTCTAAGACTCACAGAATATCTGTCAATTTTGCATTTTTCAGAACAGAGAAGAGGAGAAAAGTAAAGAGAATTCCCCAGCTGGTTCAACATGATTCCTGGCAGAGCAGTCTTTCTAAGGAGGACAGATAGGACCATGGGCCACATAGTTACTTTTGGAAAGAGCTGTCATTGCCTGGAAGCTGGTGGCAGGATGGACTCAAAATCCCAGCAATACCATTTGCTTGTTGGATGATTTCCCAGAAATTATTTATTTTCTCTGTGGCTCATTCTCCCCACCTGTAAGACAAGGTCAACTACAATGCCTACTGCACAGGGCTGTTTTGAGGACTGAGGGCAATAAGCCAAGTGTAGCCTTTAGCACAGTCCTGGCCTGTGGTCTGCACCCATTAGACATTAACCTGGTATGAACTGGGAGCTGGCTCTACCCTAAGCCTCACATGAGGGTGAAAGACAGTAGAACAGGGGCTCCAACACTTCTATATTGTCCTGGTCATCAAATGGAGTGGAATGTACATCCTTCAGGAGAAGGCTGCAGTGGAGAACAGGATAGTGGGAGGTTGGGTCTTAGAGGAAGGGGAGATGAGAACTGCCATGCAGGGGCAAGAAAGCAGGACATTGGAGAAAAGAGATGTTGGATGTGTGAAACCTTAGCCCCTCAATTAAAAAACAAGAATCACAGAAGTGTGAAGGAAAGTGAAGAGGCTGAGTTCTGGATCCTGGCTATTCAGTCCATGATATTGCAAGCAGAGATGAAAAGCTCACCTTCCTCACCAGGGGGTGTGTGTGGGCATGAACTGACTACTCTCTTACCTAAACACCAGCCAGACCCTGCCTCCAAAGTGCACTTTCTTCCTTGAGGAACACTATTGTTCAGCTATGTGTGGAGGAAGTGAAGACAGTCAGAACAATTGACCATGGCTTGTGTCCTGTTGCATTTTTCCAGAGGCAGAAAGTCGGGGCTGCACCAAAGATGCAAATATTTATTGTAACATATTCTGTGCCAGCACTTTGCCCTAAAGCATCTAGGGATAAAAAGACCATAGAAGACACAGGCACTCCCTCATGTTGCTCGCAGTGTAATGGGGGAGACACATTACTAAACTCATCAGAAGAAAGACTGTCTCAGAAATCATAAGGAATTTGAGGCGGGCAGGGTGGTTGCCCATTTGCCTGTGGCCAAGATGTGGACCCGCCTGCAGGAAGCTGATGCAATTAATCCCAAGAAGAAAAGGTAAAACTAGTGTGACGTGAGCAATACACCTGAACCAAAAGCACAGAGTTGGGAGGCTGGAGATGGAGTGCAGGCTTCCATTTGTCCCTCTTGTTCAGGGCTCAGCAGCTCAAAGTGCACATCAGACCTGGCTGGAGAGGAGGTGGGAAGGTGCAGACAGGGGTCAAGCAGGCTTTGCACCCTGAGATGGGCACAGCCCCTACCAAAGAGTGAAGCCAAATGCCACATTGGCATTCTTTAGAGAGACCTGGACCACAGTTGTAACAATGTATGAATCTTTAAAAAATGATACAGACATCTATCATCTGGCAAATATGAGGACTTGGAAAGGGTGAAGGGCCCAAGCACTTCGACGAGGAAAGGTACAGAGATGGTGGGAAGGCCAGGGGCAGGCATGGCCACCAGTGCCCAAGGTGAGCAAGAAGGTGATGCCAGGTGCTGACAGTGGCCCCATGTGTGTTAACCCCCTGTTATAGGCTAATTGTGGCTCCCAAAGTTCATCTGTTGAAGTCTAATTCTCAATGCTTCAGAATGTGACCTTATTTGAGGATAGGGCTTTTACAGAGGTAATTATAAAGTTAAATAAGGCCATATGGATGGGCCCTAATCCAATCTGACTGGTGTCTTATAAGAAGAGGAGATGAGGACACAGACACACACAGAAGGATGACCATGTGAAGACACAGGGAGAAGACGCCATCTGCAAGCCAAGAGAGAGGTCACAGGAGAAATCAATCCTGCCGACACCTTGATCTTGGACTTCTAGCCTCGAGGACTGTGAGGCAATGAACATCTGCTGCTTGAGCGCCCCCATCTGTCATGCTTGTTATGGCAGCCTAAGCTGAGGACCACAGGCTCCTTCCAAACAGCCAAGGGCCAGGGTTCCCATGACACCACACTAGATTCATAAAAGCACATGTTTAAGATTTTATTTTAGCTCAGAATATCAGCTCTTTATCTGATTAATAAAAGAAATAGCTGTTTAATCGTATGTTACATAAACTCTCCATTATTGATTAAATAAAAGTAAATAAATATATAAAACTCCCAGAACATATTGTCCAGATGAAGGAAATAATAAAACTCTCCTTGGGGGTAAAAGAAGAAATAGAAGCTGGAAATAATTCACTTATTTGGGGACATTACCCTAAACAGATTAAGCTCTTTTAAAGATTAGAATCTCTTCTCCAAAACAATTTAATTTATGCTGTTGGTTCTACTCATCACACTTAACTCTCATAAGGAGATAGCCCAGTCCTCAGGTTTGCTCATTCCTTTTCCTTTTCCCTATAGTGATGTCCAGAAGCAGATACAAATGGAATGTATTACTGTATTGGGTTTTGCTATGCTAGGGAATTTTTTCCATCTCCCAGTTTCATCTGCTCTGTGCCATCTTCTGAAAATTCCCCTTTGAAAAACTGTATAGTCCCAGCATTGCATGGCTTTTGCTTGGCTTCAGAATAAGCTTATTTGACTTCTGCTTCTGTGGAGATGGAATAGATAGATGTACACTTCCCTATTCCTCTCAATAAGTGCAACTAAAAACCTTGCATATTATGTTAAAAAAAAAACCTAACAAGAATATGAAAAGTGAAGAGAAGAAGGCAGGCCAGCTATGGACCTTGGGACAGGAAGATCAACATGGTGACATTCCTAGGTCTTCTTTTTGCCTCATATAACTCTGAGTTGGAGTGGAAGAAGGCATCGATAAAAACAATACCTTAGCGGAAGCCTGCCATCTCTAGCCGAAGGACAAGGAAAGACACAACCTAGCCAAAAAGAACATTTTGGAAAATAAATGCTCAACTCTTAGCCAAATTCTACCAAAAAGCTGTAGCTAAAACCCCACCCATGCCAGCAAAAAATAAGTAAGAAGTGTAGACTTCCAGCCCCTCTGGGAAGAAAAGAGGCACCCCAAAATTCCCTACCTCGCCCTTTTCCCGCTAGAGTGGTGTAATAAAAAGACAACTAACACAGAAAGCTTAAATAAGATTCAACTTCTCATTCCACAAAGCCCACATTTCCAGTTTTCAATAAAAAATCACTCATCATACCAAGCACCAGGAAGATTTCAAACTAAATCAAAAGGACAAAAAAAAAGATTCCAACGTCAAGATGACAGAAATGTTAGAATTCTCTGACACATATTTAAAGGCAGTCATCATAAAAATGCTTCAATGAGTGATTATGAACAAGCTTAAAAACCATGAAATAATAGAAAGTCCCAGCAAAGAACTAAGAGATGTAAAAAAGAATCAAATAGAAATCTTAGAACTGAAAAACACAGTAACCATAAAAAAATAAATAAATGGAAGAACTCAACAGCAGATGGAGGGAGCACAAGAAAGAATCAGTGAAGTAGAAGAAAGAATGGTGGAAATGACCCAATCTGAGAAACAAAGAAAGAAGACTTAAAAAAAAAATGAACAGTTTCAGGGACACATGATAACCCTACAGATTTGAGAGGCTGATTAAATCCCAAACAAAATAAACTCAAATAAATCTACACCAAGACACATCATAGTCCAACATCTGAAAACTGAAGATAAGGAATATATCTTTAAAGCAATGACAGAGAAATGAAACCTATCCACAGGTGAAAGTATAGCGGCTTCTAAAAAATTCTTATGATGATGGACTTTTCATTAGAAACCATGGAAGCCAGAAGGAAGTAGCACTGTGTTTTTCAAGTGCTGAAAGAAAAGAATTGTAAACCCAGAATCCTATGTTTTCTATGTAAATTATATAAATGAATAGATTCTATACATGATTGAAGAGAAAGTCAAGACATCCTTAGAAGAAGGAAACTAAGCTAATTTGTTGCAATCAGACATACCCCAAAAGAATGACTAAGGGAAGTTCTCCATACAGGAAGGAAACAATAAAAGAACTTTGGAACATCAGGAAAGAAGGAAGAAAACAATGAGCAAAAATATGGCTAAATAAAATAGGCTGCCTTCTTCTTCTTACGTTTTCTAAATTATGTTTGACAATTCAAGCAGAACTTATAACCCTGTTTGATATGGTTCTAAGTAAATATAGAGGAAATATTTAAGACAATCATAAGAAAGTGATGAGAAGAGTTTGTAAGATTTCTAAACTTCATTTGAACTGATAAAAAGGCAACACCAGTAGACTCCGATAAGTTATATGTGTATAACGTAAATCTAGAGCAATTACTAAAAGAGGTATATCAAGAGATAAACTAAAAAGCACAATAATTAAGTGAAAACAAAATATTTTAAAAAATGTTTGAGTGATCTGCAGAAAGGCAGGGAAAAACAAGAGAAAGGAACTGAAAGGATAAACAGAAAAAATAAAATAATAGACTTAAATCCCTAACCTAATGATTACTTTAATTATCAATAGTCTAAATATGTCAATTAAAAGGCAAAGAATGATGAGATGGATTAATGGCATTACCAATTTATGCTATATAGATGAAGTTGTGTGCACTTTAAATAGATAATATAGACATACTGAAAATAAAAGAATAGAATAGCTTATATTATGCAAATATTAAAGAAATCAGTAGTGGTTACATTAATATAATATAAAGCAGACTTCTGAGAAAAAAACATTATTAGACATAGAGAGGGTCATTATATAATTAAAGAAATCAGCCAGGCATGATGGCTCACCCCTGTAATCCCAGCACTTTGGGAGGCCGAGGTGGGCAGATCACTTGAGGCCAGGAGTTCGAGACCTGCCTGGCCAACATGGTAAAACCCCATCTCTACTAAAAATACAAAAATTAGCAGGGCATAGTGGCAGAAGCCTGTAATTCTAGCTACCCAGGAGGTTGAGACAGGAGAATCCCTTGAACCTAGGAGGCAGAGGTTGCAGAGAGCTAAGATCTCACCATTGCACTCCAGCTTGGGCAACAAGAGCAAAACTCCATCTTTAAAAAAATGATAAAAAATTAATCTACCATAAAATATAGCAATCTGAAATTTATGTGCACCCAACAACAGTATGGTAATATATGTGAAGCAAACCCTAACTGAATCAAAAAGAGAAGTCCACCATTACAATTAGCAATTTCAACACCCTTCTCTCAACAATTGAGAGAACTAAACAGAAAATCAGTGTGAACACAGAAGACCTCAATAGCACCATCATCTCAGTTCAATTTGTGCTTTTAAAATAAAATTCCACAGATTGGAGATTTTATTTAAGAAATTATTTTGTCACAGTTCTGCAGCCTGGAAAGTCCAAGATCAAGGCATCAACATTTTGCAAGGGCCTACTTGCTGAATCATCACATGGTAGAAGGGCAGAGACAAAAGAAGGTTGGACTTGCCCTTTTATAGTGGCATTAATCCTGCCCATGCAGGTGGAGCCCTCATGGCCCTATCACCTCCCCAAAGCCTCAATTTCCAACACCACCACAATGGCAACCAAATTTAAACATAAGGTTTGGAGGGGATAAACATTCAAACCATAGAAACCATCAATCAACAAGTGCTAATCCATATTTATAGAATACTCCATCCAACAACAATAGAATACAAATTCTTTTCAAGTGCTCACATGATGTATATCAAGACAGATATCCTGGGCCATAAAACAAACCTTAGAAAATTTAAAAGATTTAAAATCAGGTAAGGTATGTTCTCTTAAAAGAATTAAAATCAGATAAAGTATGATTCCCACAATGGAATCAAATAAGAAATGAATAACAGAACAATAAGGGAAAATCTTGATATACTTACAAACTAAATAACACACTTCTTAATAATCTATGGGTCAAAGAGGAAGTCTCAAGGGAAATGAGATGCACAGAGTTGAATGAAAATGAAAATACAACATAACAAACTTTATTAAACATCACAAAAGCAGTGGTGAGAGGGAAAATTGTAGCACTACATGAATAGATAAGAAAAAATGAAAAGTCTCAAATCACTAATCTAAGCTTTCACTCCAAGATCCTAGACAAACAAGAGAAAAATAAACCCAAAGAATGCAGAAGGAAGAAAATAATAAAGATAAAAGCAGAAATCTGTCAAATAAAAAGCAGGAAAGCAATAGAGATAATGAATGAAACAAAGAACTGGATCATTGAAAAGATCAATAAAATTGACAAACTTATAGCAAGACTGACAAAAAAAAGATAATAAAATTTATAAATAAAAATAATGAAGCCAAGGATATCACTACAGACCCTACAGATGTCCAAAGCATAAGAGGATACTGTGAATAGCTACACACATAAATTTGACAACTTTGATGAAATGGACCAATTCTTTGAAAAACACAAACCACTGGAGTTCACAGAATATGAAATAGAGAATTTGAACACTCTTTAGGAAATTGAATTAGTAATGTTAAAACTCCCTCATAAAAGAAACCTTTGAGTCCAGATGGTTTTACTGAAGAATTCTGCCAAATATTTCAAGAATTAACACCGATTATACATAGTCTCTTCCCCAAAATAGAAAGAATGGAAACACTTCCCAATGAATTTTATGAATCCAGCATTATACTGATACAAAACTAGACCAAAAGTATACCAAAAGGAAAACTACAGATTAATATTTGCCATAATTATAGATGCAAAAAATTTTAACAAAATAACAAATAGAATTTAGCAATACATCAAAATAATCGTACATCACAACCAAGTGGATTTTGTTCCTGAAATTCAAAGCGAGTTCAATATTCAAAAATCAATTACAGATACTTTTCAGCTTACCATGAAGTTATGGCCCAATAAACCCACTCATTAGTTGAAAATATCGTTAAGTCAACAATGCAGTTAATATGCCCAACCTACCAAACCTCATAGCTTAGCCTCGCCTACCTGAATTGTGCTCAGAATATTTCCATTAGCCTACAGTTGGGAAAAATCATCAAACACAAAGCTTATTTTATAGTAAAGTATAAAATGTCTCACATAATTTACTGAATACCATACTGAAAATGAAAAACAGAATGGTTAGATGGTTTTGTACTATTGTAGAGTCAAAACATTGAAAAATTTTAAGTCATACTATTGCAAGTCAGGAACTGTCTGTGTGTAACTGACCACATTTACAAGCTAAAGAAGAAAAATCACCTGATGACATCAACTGATGTAGAAAAAAGCATTTGGCAAAATGCAACACTGATTCATTTAAAAAAAGAGAGAGGGAGAAACAAAAAAGAAAACTTTTAGAAAATAGTAATAATAGTAATAAGGGAGAAACAATAAAGAAAACTTTTAGAAAATAGTAATAATAGTAATAAGGGAGAAACTTCCTCAACTTCACAAAAAGCATTGGTAAAACCACAGCTCACTTTATACTGCATGGTGTGAATGCTTCCCCCTAAGATTTGGAGCCTGGCAGGGATGTCTGTTCTCATCATTCTTAGTGAATACAGTGCCAGAAGTTTTAACCAGTTCATTAAGGCAAAAAAAAAAAAAAAGAAAAAGTAAATAAAAAACAGAATGCAATGAAAGAAATAAAACTGTCCCTACTTGTAGTTGGCTTGATTGTCTACTCACAAAATCCTAGAGAATCTACAAAAGCACACCTAGAAGTCTGGGCGTGGTGGCTCACACCTGTAATCCCAGCACTTTGGGAGGCTGAGGTGGGCAGATCACGAGGTCAGCAGATTGAGACCATCCTGGCTAACACGGTGAAACCCTGTCTCTACTAAAAATACAAAAAATTAGCCAGGCATGGTGGTGCACGCCTGTAATCCCAGCTACTCAGGAGGCTGAGGCAGGAGAATCGCTTGAGCTGAGATGGCGTCATTGCACTCCAGCCTGGGCAACAGAGTGAGACTCTGTCTCAAAAAAAAAAAAAAAAAAAAAAAAAAAGAAAGAAAGAAAGAAAAAAGCACACCTAGAACTAACAAGTGGACTCAGCAATATTTCAGGTTAAAAGAGAAACATACAAAACTCAGCTGTTTTTCTGTACTCTAGAAGAGAACATGTAGTCACAGAAATTAAAATATAATACCATTTACAATAGCTAAAAGAAATGAAATACTAAGGTATAAATCTAACAAAGTATAAACAGAATTTGTACCACAGAAGGCTGATAAAAGAACTCAAAGATCTATAAAAGTAAATAGAAATACCATCATAGATTTAAATAATAGATTTAATCATGGATTCAAAGACATAAGAGAGTGAGGATGTCAATTCTTCTCAAATTGATCTATAGGTTTAAACAATTTCTTTCATAATCTCAGTAAGACTTTTGTAGATTTGGACATTATTCTAAAATGTGTGGAAAGGCAAAAAAAAAAAAAACCAAACAGCTAGTATAGCTAAAAGAACTTTGAAAAAGAATAACTTAGAAGTAATTAGTCATCAAGACCAGTATGGAAATCTGGGTTTGGCCACCCACGGGCCCCATGTGCTGCAGCAGATGGCTCGATCTCACAATCTCAGTTTCCCCAGATTTAAAACTGGAGGTAGGACAGTAACCTCTCTATCGTGCTCCTGTGGGGGTGAAGTGAAGTGATGCACGCAGAGCCCCTGTAGCGTGCATGGCCCACAGGGAGCATTCCACAGCTGCTGCTTCTTCATAAAGCATCATGTGCAGGCAGCCACTGCCCCTGGCTGTGCCCACCAGGTTACAGAACATGAGAGCACGGGCACCTCACTCGGGCACACCACCCTAAGTATGGTGGGCTGTGGACATCCCTTCTCCACTTGTCTCCCTCACACATTTCTCCAGAAGTGCTCTGGGCCAACATCAGAAACCAGGATTCCAGCTCCTGTTGGAGATGAAGACCTGCATCTGATTGCTGCTGCCTGCAGAAAGGACAGGGCTGCCTCAGTAGGACCATGCTGACATGAGCCTTGATCTGCCCCTGCTCCCTGCCTCCTTCCACCTATCAAAGAGGTGATGTCACATTCATGAAGACGATTCTTGTCAGAAAAGAGGGAAGCCAAGTCCCAAGGCACTTTCCAACTTGCTCTATCTCCCTGTGACCCTGTTTCCAATGATTTGGGGCTAGTGCATTTCTTCTTATAATTGTAGTAGAAAGCGTCTAGAAGGACCCCAGTACATTTGGTATTCACACCCTTTGTGATACCTTCTTCTTGAGTGAGGGTGGGACCCAGTGACTTGCTTCTAACAGAGACCATATGGCAAAAGTGATGGGATGTCACATCTATGATGAGGTTACAGAAAGACTGCATTCTGGCTTGCTCATCCTCTCTTGTCTTATGCTCATAACTGCAGAAAGTCAGCTGCCACAGTGTGAGCTGCACTCACAGTACAGACACACCTTGCCAAGGGACACACAGCTCCAGCCGACAGACCATGAAGATCTGAGACCCTCCATCCAACATCTGCAAAGAATGGCATCCTGCTCCTACCCAGGTGAGTGAGCTTGGCAGCAGATCTGACCTGTTCCTCAAATCTCAAGATGGACGCAGACCCACAAACATGCAGACTGCTACTCTGAGACCCTGACCCAAACCACCCAGTGAAGCCACACCTGGATTCCTGACACTCGGAAACTGAGATACTATAAACGTTTGTTGTTTCAAACCACTAAGATTTGTTATGTGGCAATACATCACTAATATCATTGTGTTAGGTCTTAAATCATCCTAAAAAGCTTCTTAGGTGAATCCTTTATTTCCACTGAAATACTCCCATTATCACAAATAAAGGGACGATGAGAAATTGACATGAAATTCCTAATGCCTATACAGTAATCTTAAGTGTCCAACACTAAACCTGTATTATATACCAAATACTGTATGCATTTCATACACGGCCCATGAGACACCCTATTGCTTCCTTAATCTACTTTTCTACTTCTGATTTATTTTTTAAATGGAGCTAGGCTTTAAAAAAAATATATTGAGTGGCCCCTTCTACAAATTGCCAGCTATCCATAAATTGTTCCAGTGCTGATAAATGGATGCATGCGTGCCCCTAGGAAGCTGCAGCCTGTGGTGAGTCACTCTGTTGCCTTCCTCTGAAGCGTCCAGGACAACTGTTCTGGCCTGAGATGAATTGATCATCATCCAGGCACACAGGGCAGAGGGAGGCCCTTGTCTCCACTGGCCCGGCACACCGGGAACAGTTACGGTTTTTCTTTCATTGTATTCCCCTGACTTTGGAGCTCCAATTTACCTTTTCATGAGTTTTTCATTCCATTGTTTGCTGTCATTTCTGTCACTTCCTCCTAGTTGTTGTAGCACAAATGGAAATGCACCAGTCACCTGCTCTCACTTCATGTCCCCCGCCTCCTGGAGTGCACAGCTAACAGACTTTAAATGACTAATTTTCTGTTTACAATCGCAAAGGAGGACAGGAAGAGAGCACTTAGTCACCTCCTTGTAAACCAGTTTCAAAATATTGTTTCCATAGACATTTTATTTCTTTTCTTTTAAATTGTGATGAAGTACACATAACATAAAATTTACCTTCTTAACCATTTTCAAGTGTACAGTTTAGCAGCATTAGGTACATTCACATTTGTACAACCAACATCGTTAACCGTTTCCAGAACTTTTTTTTATCATCCCAAACAAAAGCTCAGCACTCATTAAACACTCACACCCCATTCCTCCTCCCCCCAGGCCCTGGAAACCGTCATTCCACTTTCTGTCTCCATGACTTGAACTTCTCCGGGGTCCTCCCATGAGTGGAATCAGACAGCATTTGTCCTTTTGTGCCTGGTTTGTTTCACTTGGCATAATGTCCATGACACTTATTTACGTTGCAGCTTGTGACGTGATTTCCTCCATTTTTAAGGCTGAATATTCTCTTCCTCCTTCTCTTCCTTGTCTTCCTTCTTTTTTCCATCATACAGGTCCAAGACACTTAGCTGGGAACCAAGGGGCACAGAGATGAACACACAGCATCTGTGTCATGTGCTCTGGGTCAGAAGGAGATCACCCCTACACACACACACACACACACACACACACACACACACACACACAAGTTGTGGTTATAGACTTATAGTTGCATGGTTGCTGGGTTGAGCTCTATGGAAGAGGAATGGGCCAGCTGGGGGCACGAAGAGACTGATCAGTAACCAGAAGATGTGTGCAAGTATGGCCTAGGACCTTCACAGGAAATGAGGCCAAGACTGATGGATTTGGAATCAATGTGGGAGAGGTGGAAAAGGATAATATGGCATCCACACGATGAAGCATTGCATCCCAAGTGGCTGAAACATCAAGAAGGTGGGTAGAGAAAGGGAGGAAGACACGCCTAATGAGACAGGGAGAATTGAGCACATCAAGAAGGACTCTAAGTGTCTTGCAAAAATATCTCACTTAGACAGCAATAAAGTCATTAAAAACATTTTCTACTTTATTGCAAACCTACATGAAAGTAAAAATGAAAGTCCTTAAGGCAAAGAGGCAACTACAATAGTATAGCCCAATTAAGTGTTAAAAAGCCATCCTAACATGACTACACAACAAGCCATCAGTATCATGACACTATAACAGAGCAGGTAGTGGTGCCCTGGACTGGATCCTGGAACTAAAACAGGACATAATTTAAAAAAAACTGATGAAATCCAATAAAATCCACAGTTTAGTTAGTAGTAATGTAACAATGTCAATGTCTTAGTTTTCACAAAAGCACAGTGATAGCATCTGATATTAATGATGGGGGAAATTCAGTAAAGGGTATATGAGAAGTCTCTGTAATATCTTTGTAACTTATCTATTAAATCTAAAATTATTCCAAAATAAAATTTATTTTAAAATATTGAAGCCCTAAAAGTCCACAATGATATCCTTTAATCAAATCAATGTTTTTCCTCTTCCTGTGCTTGCCTGTAAATACGGTGCATATTCATTTTTATGTATGTGAAGAAAGATACTGAATAGATATTATAATTGGCTGTTTTACTTAACATTTATTAATATTTTATGTATTGCTTCCTTCTTCCCTCATCCTTCTAACACAACCATGGAACCAGTATTGAGGGCCTGGCGTGTATGTTACACAACTTCTGCACGGCCAGGCCCTCAGATACAAACATACACACACATACCCGTGGATCACAAATGTCTCCCCTTCTTCATCGTGTTATTTATTTATTTTCATGTTTATGTTTTTCTGAGACAGAGTTTCATTCTTGTCACCCAGGCTAGAGTGCAGAGGCATGATCTCGGCTCACAGTAAGCTCCGCCTCCTGGGTTCAAGCAATTCTCCTGCCTCAGCCTCCTAAGTAGCTGGGATTACAGGTACCTGCTACCACGCCCAGCTAATTTTTGTATTTTTAGTAGAGATGGGATTTCACCATATTGGCCAGGTTGGTCTCGAACTGCTGACCTCAAGTGATCTGCCCGCCTCAGCCTCCCAAAGTGCTGGGATTACAGACATGAGCCACCGCGCCCAGCTCATTGTTATATTTATATATCTGTCCAACTTATTTCTTTACTTCATGGCATGGGCATCCCTATAATTCGATGAATGTGGATCTAACTCAACATGCTTAATATCTGAACGATACTCTATATTAGGTGTGTAGTCAACTTATTTAAGCATTTTCCTGTTGGTGGACTTGCAATTTTGTGCTGGAATATGTCTCATTGTACCTATGATATGCGCAAATGACTTCATTTCTGCAGACTAGATGAGCAGAAATGGAACAGATGGATGTGTGTGCATGTGTGTGTGCATATGTGTGTGTGTGTGGATGGGAAAATATAATAAACAACATATAAAATGCTCTCTCCTTTACCTCCTCACCAACGTGGATAATATTAATATGATGGTTTTTCCAATATGATAAACCAAGATAGATGTAATTATTTATTTTCATTTACTTTTTGATGCTTCCATATACGACTTGATATTTTTAAAAATATGCTTATCAACCATTTGCATTCACCTGTCTGTGAATTGCCTATGAATAGGATTCACTCATTTTTTTCTGTGTTATTTCACTTTTATTATAAGTTTGTAAAAGTTATTGATATGTTGTCCATATTAACTCTTGTTATAGCTCAAGTAATATTTTCCCCAGTATCCTTGCCTTTGTTTTGTTTGGGGTATCCTTTGTTGTAATTAAAAAAACAATCCTATAGTCAAGCATGCATAACTTATTGACTAAATGGAACTTGGAGGGCAGAATTATGAAATAGACTTTTTCCCTTACACAGCACAAGTCAAATGTTTCTCCCTTCTCAGGTTCCAGAAGGCATCTCAGGCACTATCAGGATCAACCATTACGGTCATCTCCGGTTATCATTCCCCAGTCTGATGATCAGATATTGAATGTCCAGCCTAATCTAAACCTCAGTCTCCCACTCTCATCTGAGGAAGGGCTCCCCCAGCCATGGTGAGAAGTGAAGCCAGCTGGACTTCCTGGGTCGAGTGGGGACTTAGGGAACTTTCCTGTCTTACAAGAGGATTGTAAAACGCACCAATCAGTGCTCTGTAAAATGCACCAATCAGCAGGATTATAAAAGTAGCCAATCCTGGGGAGGATTGAAAAAAGGGCACTCTGATAGGACAGAAAAGGAACATGGGAGGGGACAATAAGGGAATAAAAGCTGGCAACCCCCAGCCAGCAGCTGGCAACCTGCTGGGGTCCCCTTCCACGCTGTGGAAGCTTTGTCCTTGCAGTCTTCACAGTAAACCTTGCTACCACTCACTCTTTGGGTCTGTGCCATCTTTAAGAGCTGTAACACTCACTGCGAAGGTCCACAGCTTTATTCTTGAAGTCAGCGAGACCATGAACCCACCGGCAGGAACTGACTCTGGACACAATGGCGGCTCCTGACCAGACCCTCAGAACCTGAGGACGGGGTGAGTCCTGACCTTATTCTTCCTCATGCCCATTCCCTGTGTTGGTCTCCACAGATGGCCAAGATGGTGGGCCAGTGGAGAGGGCCTTATCTCATTGGTGACATTTCAGTTGGACATTGGTGCCTGCTGGACAGTAGATGCCAACACTTGGATTCTCTTTCTTTTTAAAATTGTGATAAAATATACATAACATAAAATTGACCATCTTAGCCACATTAAAGTTACAGTTGAATGGCATTAAGTGCATTCACATTTTTGTAAAACTGATACCACCATCCATCCCCAGAAATTCTTCATCTTCCCAAACAGAAACTCCGTACCCATCAAACACCTCCCTGTTCCCCTTTCTCCCGCTAGCGCCTGGTGACCACCATTCTACTTTCTGTCTTGGTGAGCTTATCTGACTCTCTTTTCCTATTTGGAGCTCCTGCAGGTTCTCAGAAGGCAGTCCCTGTGGCCCTGTGTCGTCTAACCCTAGCAGAGTCAGGCACGACCTGGGGCTATCCCAGGCCCTGCTGGTGGCAAGGTTCCCAGGGTCCTCTGTGATCCATGCCTGAGATGCCCATCTGCTCTCAGGACACAAGTCGCTCTGTCTCTCCCACTCTGTCCTCCCAGGAAGCTCTAGGCAGCTTCTGACACTGTAAATTTTGCCAAGCCAGGGGCAGCTTTTCAGGGAGTTCTCTCCAATCATCCTCATTTGGCATGAGCTGGGGAAAACACACCTATCCCCACAGGGAAAGGTGACAGGTGAAGTATCTGCATAGCTTCTTCAAAGAGACCTCGTTGCACCCTCCTCACAGTCCTCCTTTAGGGCCCAGGAGGCAGAACAAATTTTGTTGGGGCTGCCCTTCACAAGTCTTTCCGGGAAAGCCGCTCACTCTGGTAGGATATGTGACCCTTTGCTCTTGGATGCAGCTTGAAATCAGAAGAGCCCCTGTGACTCCCTGCTGCACAGGCTATCCTATCCTTTATGGATTAAAAAAAAGAGATTTTGAGAATCAAGTCAGAGGGGGGTTCCGGGAGGCCCAGTAGGGATGTGACAAAGAACGTCTCCCCAACCCAACTCTACTCAGGCCTTCCTGAGCTCTTTTCCGACTATGTCTGACTTTGCGACCCCCATGTTCGTGTCTGCATTGTCCAGTTTTAGCAAGAAACCTGCTAAGTCAGTTTAGCCAGGAACCCCACCCTCGGTATCTGATCAGGTTCCTTATCCCCCACCACTCCCAGATGATGTCTGGTCACCCTGGTTTGTCTTCAGCAATAATCCTCTCAGGTCAGTTAAGCCAGAATCCCCCCACAGCCCTGATGTTTCTTCTGAGTAATTTTCCATCCACTGACCCCTGTCCTACTCCTTGGTGATAAATTCCCACTTTTCCTTGTTGTGTTCAGAGTTGAGCCCAGTATCTCTCCCCCACAGCAAGACCCCACCACAGTGGTTCCTGTACCTATCATAATGGTCCTAAATAAAGTCTGCCTTATCATGCTTTAACGAGAGAATGAATAACTTTGTCTTGAATAGATGTTCCAGATCTCTCTCCTCTTGCACAAGCAGGCCTCATGGTGTGGGTGTGAAGGTGCCTTCTGGGCAGGGAGCCCCAGCAGGAGAGCAGTGAGGAGGCTATTGCAATAACCCAGGCAAGAGGCTGGGAGCTGTGGCTCATGCCTGTAATCCCAGCACTTTGGGAGGCCAAGGAGGGCAGATCATTTGAGGTCAGAAGTTTGAGACCAGCCTGACCAACATGGTGAAACCCCATCTCTACTAAAAAATACAAAAAATTAGCCAGGCATGGTGGTGCTTGCCTGTTGTCCCAGCTACTTGGGAGGCTGAGGCATGAGAATCACTTGAACCTGGGAGGCACAGGTGGCAGTGAGTGGGGATCGCGCCATTGCACTCCAGCCTGGGTAACACAGCAAGACTCTATCTCAAAAAAATAAATAAATAAAATAAGTAAAAACAACCCAGGCAAGAAATAACTAGGCTTGTGGGAATCGTGTTACCCTATTCCAGAAAATCATTATTTAATCCATAAATCATACTATAGTTCCTTCAGAATCATTTTCGAATTCAAGAACCCATCAAGTCATCCTGGAAAGCGCTAGTTATGAGGACGTAAAAGATGAAGTCCCTGCCTTCTTCGGAGGAGACAGCTGGACCAAAACAAGGAGATGGACAGTCAGGGCGTGGGCGGGCCTGCCTAGCTCGGCCCTGCTCCGGAGGCTTTGACTACTGGATCCACAGCCCAGCTCAGAGCCATGCCCCTCCCCTTGGCATTTCCAGGTCCAGTGTTCTGTGGGTGATGCTCTCTGGGGGTGATGCGTGCTGCATTCCACAAACCGACCATGCTGGTTCCTCGTAAACACAGGAGGCCAAAGAGAGTGAATTAAGGAGGCTTGTTAAATGGGGCATGATAAATGTCATTTAGCTGGAGCATTTGAGCTCTGGCGCCATCCAATGAATGCATCAATTGTCTGCTTGAGGCTGTTAATTTGCTAACACCTGGAATCACAGGCCATCAACCATTTCTACCACAGACTCGGCACGCCATGAGAAGTGAGCACACCGGTGCTCGGCGGCTCTAGCAAGCTACTAAAATGCATCAAAACCTCACTACATACCCCATAAATACGTACAATTTAATTATATGTAAATTTACAAATAAAATTAAATTAATAAAATGTAAAATAAAAAATAAATAATTTTATACAGGCATTCCTGGGAGATAGTGCAGGTTAAGTTCTAGACCACCACGATAAAGTGAATATTGCAATAAAGCAAGTCACGTAAAAAATAATTCCAAAATTCTCACTTGCAGCTATGTACACATATGTATATGTGTGTTTATATGTATGTATATCTATCTATCTGTTTATCTATCTATGTCTGATTTTTGCACTGCTTACTGACACAAAGCAAACTCCACTTCTTTTCTTATAGAAGCTGGCATAAAAAGGCCTGGTTCACTCATCCCCACCAGGATCTCACTTCTTCAGTTTTAATTACCCCACAAAATAGATGTTATAAAATGTAGTCACACTTTATATATTCCTATGATGATATAGGACTATATAATCATGTGGCCAGATTGAATAGATAGAAGTGTTCCACTGTGGGGAACATGCTCAGGTTTCATTTGCACATATCAAGCATCCCCAAAAGAAAACAAACCAACAGGGAGACAGAATTGGTGAGTTGTTCCAGAATAGCTGCCATTCCCTGCCTTCAGCTGAGACAGGCATCCAGGCCTCCCTTCTACAGATGAGGAAGTGGAGTGTGGAGATGCTGCCATGCCCTTGCACCCCTGGGCTCACTCCCAGCTCTGTCTGAACCCCTTTCTCAGCCATCCCAACACCTGGACTTGAACCCCGTCTCTGCTATCAGTTTGGTGTGGGATAAATATTCTGGGATCCACAACATCCTCTTGAGCATTGAATGCTTTTGCTCTTTTATGTTGCTCATCAATGATGTTTTCTTCCTGCATCTCAGATGCCACCTCCAGCATTACTCTCATAAGAACACATGACTGCCACACAGCAGAAGGTTGGCTGTGCAAATCCTGATGCCAGTGGGAATTCTGGTAAGGCCAGCAGCAGCAGGAAGAATGAGGCAGGACTGAACCTCCCAGGGTCCTGTCCTATGTATGAAGAAGGGAAGGGCTGGCCCAGCCTTCCATGGGGAAGGGCAGAGCATGCTCTGAGCATTCTGAGGAATGCATGAGTGAGCCGCGCCATTCGGTCCTGGTAGCAAGCAAGGAAGAAATGAGATGAGATTCCAGTCTACGCGGTACCTCGGAATCAGTCGTCCTCCTGAGCGAGAAAAGGGTTCCTGGATCACGGTGGCAAACAGATGAATACAAAACTCCTCTCTTGCAAAACCCACAGTAGGGGGCAAGCAGCTGTCAGCACACCACGCTTTGGTAGAGGCAAAGCAGCTCAGAATGCTTAATGTCCCCTAAGGATCAGCAGTGCACATGGAGCCTGCTTCTGTGAAAGGGCTGGAGGACTCCACTGCTCCATGACTAATTAAAATGCACCAGAGCTTAGGTGCCATGCAAGTTGTCTAAGGGTTTGCTCACATTGCTCCCCATGGGCAGCCCCAACAGAAGTTGGAGGAGGCAAAGCCGGCAGATCCACATCCTCAGTGGAGGTGGCCTCTGCTGCCTACACAGGCCAATCCAGGGATGAGCCAGGGAGTGGTGCAGGAGCCAGAAGGTACTGGGACACAGCTTCTTCTGCAGGTTCCAGATGGAACTTCCAGAATGCCAAGAAGGTTTTTGGGAGATTGGGGACAATGTTAGTTAATAATAATTGTTAATTAACAGTGTGTATTTCTCATTCTCATATTTCTAAAAGATTAGTGAGGCAATTGCTCTATGGGAAAATCCAATCATTTACTGACTGTATATTGATTGTCAATCATTAATTGCCTCCATGAAAAACCTCTGCAAATCTCCTATAGCAATTTCTCCTGGAGCACTTAAAATATCATCAGATTAAAGAACTGTTTCTATACTATTTCACATTCAGGAATATATCTGCTTCTCCCAGGAGGTGTAGCAGTCCATACAGATATAGTCTCTACCCACAGTAGTAAACAAAATTAAAAATGTCCCATTTAGCATAAGTGAGAGAAGGGCAGGTTCCCTGGCCCCAGCATTACTGAGGGCTGGTTGACTTACACACAATGTCCATTTCCCTCTAGGAAAGTGGGAATAATAACAACTGTTTTCTCCCAGGTAAAGCAACACAAGATATGCTCAACAAAGTGTTTAGAGTTCTTCAGAGGAAAGCTACAATAAAATAATATAGTGCTTAGTGCTTCAGCTGTTTTCAGCCTAGTGCTTGTAGACTGACTTACCCACATCTGAGCTACCACACAATTTAGGAGATGAAAAACATCAGTCCTACTCAAGCATTTTAGGTGAACATTTATTTAAGGAATTTAACAGATAAAAGAAAAGGATTTAAAGAGTTAAGAGAAACTGATTGTGTTTGTGTGCGTGCATGTGTGTATGTGTTCGTATTTGGGCATATATCTGTGAGTAAGTGCACATGTGTGTGTGTGCCTGTGTGTATAGTTATATCTCTGTACATGAGTGTATGTGTGTGTTCATGTATGCATGCACACATGTGTGTGTGTCTGCATTTTTTTTTTCTCCAGCAGTGATCATTTCTGGTCCAGTGTCTTGACTGGCACCAAGTCAAGCATTGTCCTCCACGTCATCAGCTGCAGGCCAGATAATCTAAGGTGAGACCTGATCTTAGATTTCGTTTACTTTCTGGAAAAGTCTCCTGTGTCCCTTATTATTTTAAAAAGACTATTCCTTAGATTCAGCTAATTGTGTCATGTGCAAGAGTACTCTTTGTTACTGATGATGCTGACTTAGCTCTGCAAAATGCCTGGAGTTGCGAGCCTCAACAGAAGACTTTCTCCCAAGCCCTGTATCTATCCTGCAGTTTACACAATGAACACCTTGTATGCTGAATGCTGGAAGCTTCAGCACATGACTGGCTGTCCACAAATGCTACCAGCTCACTGGGCCTGCCAGAAGCCCCTTGTCCTACCCACTCCACTTCATTCTGGTGTCAGTTATAGACAGTGGGTTCTTGGCTGGTGAGAGCTTCCACACTGGCCTTCCTCGTTTTGCTAAAGACCAGGTGGAGGTACTGGCGTGGAGGACAGTGGATGAGAGGTCTTCTATAATAATAAACTTGTGAAGCCTGGGGACAGCACCCTAGTTATAGACTTCAGCACTGTAGTGAGAGAAATGCACTCTGTACTTAGGAATCATGTGTTGCTCTGTATTTCAACCAGATATATGGAATTAACTGAGTCCTATCCAACAGAGGCCACTTTATAACACAGAAGCCAAGTTAAACCCTTTAGATGAATGTCAATCCCATTAAATCCTATAAGAGGAGGGAGGTTTAGTTGAATGTTAAGGAAACTGATAGGGGCTTTTCTGCAAAGAAAAGACATAAGAAAGCTGTTCTTTGTAATGCATAGTTATAAAGAGTGAGCCCAGAAAGAACTTTATCTTAATAATTAATAAAAGGCATGTTAAATAAGTGTCACTGGCCCTTCAAATAAATTGCTTAAAATGCAATTATTGCTCTTAAATGAATAAATGGCCATAAAGACCTTCAGTAATCCAAAGGAATGAAGACTAGGGCTGATACGGATCACAGAGCACTAACAACCTTTATTTAAATAGTAGTTTAAAATAGAAATGTTTTGCTAGATGTATTGTAAAATCTTTAGCTTCAGATATTCTCAATAACTGCATTATTTATTTCAACCTGCTTATTTGATTTGTCACTTAAAACTGTTACAAATGCATATTTTAAAGGCATAGGACATGATGGAGTGAGTAGGGACATAAGTCTGAACACCTGGCTCATGAGCCCACAGGCTCGTGACCCTGAAAACAACTTTATTTCTCTGAGCACGAGGGTACCTTTCAATAAACAAAAATACTGGCCTCATTGAGTTTTCAGCGTGTTCCAATGAGGTAAGAAATGTGAAAATATCATGTGCTGTGAATATTATTAGTCAGAGTTAATATTAATCATTGCATTTTAAACATGATATATTTAACTCCCGCTCCAAACTGCCAACCACAATGGTAAACATGCTAAAGTATCTACGTATGGAACAACAAAACCAATCCTACATTTGGCTCTGAAGTTAGCACTTTCTTTTGAAGCATTGACATGCTAATAACAATCAGTTCAGTCAATTTGCAGGAAAAAAACATTTGGACATGATGTTTTGATTGACTAAGAGAAAACAACAGGTCACCTGTCTGAATCACACTGTTCAGTGGGGCAGTTTTATGTCTTCTTGTTTTAAATGCAGTTTTGGAACGAATCAAAGCATTAGAGACATAACTGCTTTTCCAGGGGCATAATATTTCCAACTGTGAAGATCCACAGGTCTCAGTAGCTGTTGACTCCTGTGATGTGAAGGAGGGAGGGGCTTCTCTACTCAGCTCATTCACGTTGACACAGGGCACTGACAGTTGAATCATCTCAGCGATTTCGTTTGTTCACGGGCTTTGCAGGCTATTGGAGTATGTAGGGCCATGTGTTCAGATTCCAAATGATTCAACTGAGGCCTGGTGAGTAAAATGAGGCCATGGAACCTCAGAGTCAATAAGGATCCAGAATCCAGTCACTAACTTTTAGCCCAGTACACTGTCTGAAGCCCTGTGTGCTGAGTCTCTGCCTTGATATAGTCAATATGCAGTCAATACAAGGCCAGTACTTGAATTTTTTAAAAAGAGATAAAAGGCCAGACGCGGTGGCTCATGCCTGTAATCTCAGCACTTTGGGAGGCTGAGGCGGGTGGATCACCTGAGGTTAGGAGTTCGAGACCAGCCTGACCAACATGGTGAAACCCCATCTCTACTAAAAATACAAAAATTAGCCAGAGGTGGTGACAGTCACCTGTAGTCCCAGCTACTCGGGAGGCTGAGACAGGAGAATTGCTTGTACCTGAGAGGTGGAGGTTGCAGTGAGTCGAGATCGTGCCACTGCACTCCAGCCTGGGTGAGACAGTGAGACTGTGTAAAAAAAAAAAAAAAAAGACAAAGGAAAACAGAAACAAGAAAAACCTGGAAGACGAGCCATATACACTTAGGACAGAAGTGGCAAGGATGGTAGGCAGGTGCAGGGTTTACTGTGCAATGCTTGCTCTAACATCAAACCTTCCCAGAGATGGACTGAGAATAGAGGACTATTGTTGACAGTCAGACAGAGCATGCTCTCAGTGTCTGCAGAAGCTGGGTTCCTGGCTGTTGGGCCAGTGAGACTCCTCACACCACCTCTCAGGAAAGTCACAGGGAGAGTATTGGCAGCTGGGCTTAGGGCCACACAGGGCTGGGTGGATTGGCAACTTGGAACCTATCCCTAAAGGGCCAACAAGTGACATGCTAACAACACCAGTATCCCACAGAGGAAAACAACACATATCTTGAATTTCAAATCTGGGTCTCATTGAGCAAACTGCAACCTCCAGTTGGCTCTAGGGGGAGGCGTCTATGATGGAGAAATGCAATATGGTATTGGACCCAGCGGTGGTGTGATGTGACCAGCAGGTCACTGTCGCAAGAGAGGAGCTGGGCCTGCCACCACCAGGAGGTAAGCTGCGGGCATGGGCCCAGTTACCCACCACCACAGCGTCACACGGGAGTGCCTCATGCTTCCCGCCTCACTTCCCCACTCTGCAGCTTTCAGTGGATTCCCCTTGCAGCTCTGTAGGTAAATGAGTTAGTGGATTCCTCTATGAGTTATTTTGTTGTTGTTGTTGTTATTTGGACAGGCAAAACTTTCCTTGCTCTTCTCACCAAAAAAAAACTGGGTTCCCATCTATCAAAAGGCATATGTCTGTAAAGCTATGAGTCAATTAAATTACAAATCAAAGACTATTTCTGACTGAGTCATGTCGATGCCTTATAAGAACTTAGAGCAGGTCCCCAGGAAGTTCCTTTCTCAGGGAAAGAACTGCTTCTAGTCAATCCTTGTTTCTGAAAGTTAGCTTTCTGTATATTGAATTATCCTGAAGCAGGGAATCCCTGGAACTGAATATTTTGTCTGAATTTGCACCCTGTAGTGGGAAGGTGGGCAGTGCCCTGCACAAGGAGCTCTGCCCTGTGGTTCGGCAAAAGGAGGGCAATTCAGGCCAGGGAGCAACGTCCTCATGTGGGGGCGGTGTGGCCTCAACAACCCCAAACAGACGCGCAGCCTAAACTACACAAACACTGACCTGCATGGCACAAAGCAGGAGATTTCTATCTCTTATGAAAACAGGCAAACAGCCAATCACCCTCCATGTTTCATGTTAGCAAGATCACCGTCCCAGCAGGTGGTTAATTGGCATGTTGTGGCATTCCTCCGTGGTCCAACCCACCATAACAAACCAGGGTTGTGGGTGACCCCAGGGGAGGCTGGCTGCCTAGAAAGGGAAGAAAGTGCATCGTGGACTCTTTATCACTCCAGAGGAGAGTCATTGGGTTTACTCCCTGCAGTGGTTTTCATTGTCATTAAAAATAATAACAATAATAACAAACAGAAAATTAAAAATAAAGCTTGCAGCACCACAGCCATTGGTGCAGCATTGTGCAGTGGCGCAATGTTAGCAACCAAGCGCTATTTACCCTCTGACTCTTTCAATCTATGTGCATTTCACAAATATTTACTAAGTATCATGGATACACAGATAGAAAGTTGTGATTCCCTACCCTTGAGGAGCAAGCAGCCTAATGAGGAGATAGATGCATAAACAGACAATTTCAACACGATGTCAATGCACTATAATAAACACATAGACAAGGCCCAGCGAGAATGCAGGGAGGGACCCCCTGAGACTATGCATGGGCAGGTGCCTCGGGGGAGACCCCCTGAGACTATGCATGGGCAGGTGCCTCGGGAAAGGCTGGTCAGAGGAGGGGAGAGGAAACGTGGCTTTTGTGGGGGACAGGAGGTCCCAGAAGCATTCAGGCTGGAAGGATTCCATGCAGTGGAACAGCTCGTTCAGTGTCTCATGGGAACCGCAGACCTGTAATGTTTGGGCAACCAGGCATAAAGGTGGCTGGGACATGGGGAAGGTGTGTCAAGCAAGTGGGAATAAGCTAGACAATGGGGGAGTCTCATACAGACCTTGATCAGGGGATGCCAATACCTTGGAAGCCAGGGTCCTCTGGTCCGGTGGGTTGGTGAGATTGGCAATTGCAGCCTCAGAAGCAGAATGCCCAAGAGGGCGGTAATTCCAAGCAACACAGCCAAGCTTCAAACCACGGCCCCCATTCCATCCAGGGCAGCCTTGAAAGACAGAAATAGAACACGAGAGACATCTGCAATTGTACGTTTTCTAGAAGCCACATTTTCAAAAAGTCTAAAGAAGCGGGTAAAATTAATTTTTATAATAAAAATGCTTTTGCCCACTATAGCTAAAATATTATCATTTCAACATGTAATCAGTTCCCAAAAAGTATTAATGTATTATTTTTCTTTGTATTTTCCGTTGTAAGTCTTCAAAACTCAGTGTGTATTTTACACATACAGCACGTCTCAGTTCAGAGCAGCCACATTTCAACAGCTCCATAGCCACACGTGGCTGATAGTGGCCATGTGGGCCAGCACAGGTCTAGAGTCTGAAGTGTCCGAGACACATGTTCTCCATTCAGGCCATAATTGGACTGAACACCATACTTGCTGGTATTTCTTTTCCAAAAGGTACATAAAAATGAAACAAGTACCCCTGCCAAAAGACATATAGTCATCCAATATTTCAACTGCAAGCTATAGGACTAAGTTGGTGGGAAAAGTTGTCTTAAAATAAACATGTACTGCATACTTCTCTTTGATTTCCAAAGCTTGAAGAGGAGAGGGTGGCATAGGATAATTTGCATTTTAATAAACACAGCCTCTTGCAAAACAATGCTCAACATTCTTGATGAGCGCCTCCCAATAACAATAATTACCATCAGAAGATGCCATGCCAGCATTCTCTAATGACTGTCTCCCAAGGCAGGCCATGTTTTGATTGACTTAAGGCAAAGCTGTTAAGTAACTTGCATGGGGCCATCCAGGGCGTTGGGTTTATGCAACTTGTTTCCCAGGAGGAAAGCAGTTTAATTTCCCTTAATTGGGCCACAATAGAGTTGGCATTAGAAGTAGGACTACAGCATGGGAATGTGTACACAATTTTTCAGTACTTAGGACCTCAGAGGGTCCCTAATTGTCCTTTAAAGCACAGGGTAATCAGTGGTGATGTCACCAGCCTCATGTATCGTGTCAACTCTGCCATATTGCCCCATCCCATGCTGGATGGCTCCGCTCTACTCAACTGAGGATGGGTGTATGTTTGGTTGAAGATTTAGCCACATCCAAGGGTCTGCTGGGTCCTGTAGGTTTTCACAGCTTAATCCCTCACGTCCTCAGGCAGGCTTGTACCTAGCTTGCAGAATTCCCATCCCAAGCGCTCTGTGGTCTTGGGCTCCTTTCCAATTCTCAGTTTTGACAACAGCACTGTGGTGTTTGCAAGCACAAGATAACCCCACACGCCCTGCCAGGGCCTTATAACAACTTTATAGAAAAGCACTCACAAGAGATGCTCACTCACTCTGAGTCACCATGCACCAAGCACCAAACCAAAAGCTGTGCCGGGATGAGATCAGTAAATCTTCTGTGCCACTCCATGAAATGGGTCTGGTCATGATCCACATCATACAGACGGGGAACCCAGGGAGGTTGTGTAACTTGCTTTTGCAGCTCAGTAAGACCTGCCAAAGCCAGTTGATTCCGGGGGGCAAAGATTTAAGCTACTAGACATGGCATGCTTTATTTGGCTGTGGTTAATTTCTTGTCTTGTATGGTTATAAAATAGAAACACCATAGCAGGCAGAATTCTACAGTGACTCCCAAGATTTCCACCCTCTCACATCCATGCCCTGTGGAATCCCCCCCCTTAGGTGAGGGAGAAACCCATGAATACGACGGAACAGCAATTTCATAATTTGATCAAAACTTGGCTGACTTTGAATTGATTAAAAGAGACTATCCAGGAAGGCCTGACCTAGTCAGGTAAGATTCTTAAAGGCCCTTTCTGAAGAAAGAAAGATTCTAAGCATGAGAGAAGCTGTGGATGGGGCCAAGTAGCAAGGAACCCCAGAAACCTCCAGGAGCTGAGAGCAGCCCCTGGCAAGCAGCCAGCAGAGAATGAGAGCCTCAGTCCTACAACTTTCAGGAACTAAAGAGGACCCTGAGCTGCAGGAATGAATGCAGGCCAGCTAACACCCTAATTGTAGCCAGTTGGAAACCCTTCACAGAGAATCCAGCCTGGATTCCTGACCCATAGAAATGGTGACGTAATAAATATATGTTGTTTTAAGCCACTGAGTCTGGGGTAATTTTTTACATAGCAAAAGACAACATATCCACATACTTTTCCATCTGCAGGTGGACTTATCTGATTATCAATACTTGCAAAAGGGGGCATTAGAAATACCTTCCTTTAATTAGTTGCTCCATTTCTGCAGGCTCTTCCTCACTGGCAATATTACTATTTTAAAAATAATTAATAAACTTTATTTTTAGAGCAGTTTTAGGTTCACAGCAAAATTGAGTGAAAAGTACAGAGATTTCCCATTTACCCTCTGCCCCCACACATCCACAGCCTTCCCCATTATCAACATCTCCCCACCAGAGAGGTTCATTTGTTACAATGGATGAATCTACATTGACATATCATTATTACCCAGAGTCCATAGTTGACATCGGAATTCACTTTTGGGGCGGTACCGTCAATGGGTTTTGACAAATGTATAATGGCATGTATCCACCAGTATAATATCACACAGGGTAGTTATTTTCATGCCCTAAAAATCTTCTATGCTCAACCTATTCATCCCTCTCTCCCTTCTAACTCCTGGCAACCACTGACTTTTTACTGTCTCTATATTTTTTCCTTTCCAGAATGTCATATAATTAGAACATACAGTAAGTAGCCATTTCAGGTTGACTTCTTTCACTTAGTAATATGCATTTAAGGATTCCCCCATGTCTTTTCATGGCTTGATAGTTCCTTTCTTTTTAGGGTGGAATAACATTCCATTGTATGAATGTACCACATTTTATTTATCTATTCACCTACTGAAGGACATCTTGGTTGCTTCCAAGTTTTGGCAATGATGAATATAGCTACTATAATCATCTATATGCAGTTTTTTTTGTGTGGACATAGTTTCCAACTCCTTTGAGTAAATACCAAGGAGCATGATTGCTAGATCTTATGTTTAGTTTTGTAAGAAACTGATAAACTGCCTTCCAAAGCGACTGTACATTTTGCATCCCCATCAGCATTGAATGAGAGTTCTTGCTGCTCCATGTCCTCACCAGGATTTAGTGTTGTCAGAGTTCTGGGTTTTGGTGTGTGGTGGTATCTCATTGTTTCAATTTGCAGTTCCCTAATGACAATGATGTGGGGCATCTTTTCACATGCTTACTTTCCAGCTGTACCTCCTCTTTAGTAAGATTTCTATTAAAGTCTTTCACTCATTTTTTAATCTAGTTGTTTGGCTTCTCATTCTCTTGATGTTGTCTTTTGCTGCACAAAAATGTTTTATTTTACTGAAATCCAGTTATCAATTATTTCTTTCATGGACTGAGCCTTAGCTGTTGTATCTAAAAAGTCATCACCATACCCAAGGTCATCTAGGTATTCTCCTATGTTATCTTCCGGGAGTTTTGTTTTACATTTTAGACTCAAGTCTATTGCCTACTTTAGTTAATTTTGTGAAGAGTACAAGATCTGTATCTAGAACTTTTTTTTTTTTTTGGCATGAGGGTGTCCAGTTGTTTCAGCCCCATTTGTTAAAAAGACATTTCTCCATTGTATTGCCTTTGTCTTAGTCAAAGTTCAGTTGACTATATTTATGTGAATCTATTGGGCTCTGTACACTGTTCTGTTGAGATGCTTGTCTATTCTTTCACTGATACCACACTGTGTCAATTACTATATGACAAGGACATATTTGTATCCCTCCAAAATCCATATATTGAAACCCTAATCCCCAATGTGAAAGCATTTGGTGATGGGGTCTTTGAGAGGTAAATAGGTCACAGAGTGAAACCCTCATGGTGAGATTAGTGTCTTTACAAGAACTGACTTGAGAGAGCTTGTCTTTTCTCCCTCTGCTCTCCACTGTGAGATGACTAAAAGATGACTATCTGTGAATGAGAAAGAGGGCCCTTACCAAGACCTTGACCATACTGGTACCCTGATCTTGACTTCAAGCCTTCAGGACTGTGAGAAATAAATGTTTATTGTTTAAGCCACCCAGTCTATGGTGTTCTGCTATGGCAACCCCACTAGGTTACATATGAGGCTGGTGTCCTGGCTGCCCCTTGTAGGGCTCAAAGGTTGGACCACAGACTTGATCGGTGTGATTCAGTAACATGTCCTTGTTCCACAGTATTCATTTAATTCTAAAAGGAATACTTTAAAAACTCACTAAAGTCTTCCATCCCTTCTTTCACACAAACCAAAGCAGCATTTTCAGCACTGCGGTATGTGATGAAAATATGGCACCCCAGGGGGCAAAAGAATCTTTTGTGCAAATGCAGATGAAACATCAGTTGTGATTTGCAGGACATAGAAGGGCCTGGATCTCAAAGATTGCTTGTTTCTTTTGCAAACTACAAAGTAAATTCTGTATCCCCCAACTGCCACCTTCTGACTTCTGTTCACAAACATTGGGCCAAGAGAGGCCTGAGGTCAGTATACATGCCTGCAAGTGGCCTTCTTGAAGGCTTGTTTGCTTCATTTTTATGCCTACAAGGTTGACATAGAATTGAGTTGTCCTCTGCATGGTTGCTGAATCATGATATATCATTTAGTAAGAAGAAAATTGTGACCAGGTGCTACAACAAAGTTAAGGGATGATGAAGTTTGTGAGATATGATTTATGAACACAGTTAAGGGTGGATGGACACACTGGAGAATTTGCAGAAATAGGCTGGTGAAGGAAGGCATTGGAATCTACCCATGGACTTTTATAACTAAAAGATTGAAATTGACTTTCACCTTTACCACCCCACCCCTTCCTCACCTCAACTCCCCTACACCATTGGAGGGTTACAGGAAGCAAAATAGAATGTTCCAGGTTGATCTACCTGATACCTTGAGGAAAAGGCACTGGTAGGTTCTCACTAGAAGAAATATCAACAGACCACAGATCCTATTCTTCCCACCCACATTTCCCTTTTAAAAGTGTAAATTTTGGAGTTAGCTCTGGGTCTGAACCCCAGCCTGTCACAGTAGGGACAAGTTACCTACATGCTCAGAGCCTCTGTTTCCTTGTCAACTAAATCAAAATAATATAGTTGTCTCTACAGCTGAACTTGAGATGTTGAAATAATATAGATACAGAGCCTGACAAATAAGATGCCTTCAAATCATTTCTCTGATTTGGACAATTTTCACTGAGTTATTTTATTTAGTATCTGTGTGGACCTGTCTCTGTGCTAGGAACTTTCATGCCACCATCTTGTAAGGTTAGTGAGCCCCCAAAACTTAAAGAAAGGGATGCTATGTCTGCACCAAGAAAGCTAAGAGGCAATTAAAAATACCTATAAACTGGCAAGCTACAGCTCCTGTTTCTTTGTTCACCTGTTTTGTTTTGTTTCCACCCAGATGATGCCAAACAGTCACTGCAGAAGAATTTGCTGCACGGAGCTGTCTGGGATGCCTCAGACCTGCCAGCGGTAGAGCTGCCTGCCTTGCTTCCTCTTGCTTACTCACAGCTCTAAGTCTGAACTTGGCTGCAGCTGTCCTGAACAGCCCAGGAGGAGCCTAGGCAGGAGGAGGCTTCTCTCCTATGCAATTTGGCTGAATTTTAGTTACTCAAAAGAGCAAAGGAAGCACTTCTGAATATTCGTCAGGAGGAGCCAACCACCTTAGCTTGCTCCCTGATGGGTTTTGTTCAGCCCCTGCCTTACTGTTGTCAGCCTGGACTGTCTTCTGGGCTTGGGTTCACCATGTGTCTGGACCACGGGAGTGTCTCTAGGTGTCTCCCTTCCTGTGCATTTCTCCTGGGCATAGACACCCATCCTGTGGAACACTGGGAGGAGGGTGCAAGACCCCACTGCACCCAGGCTTGGTTCCTCTTGGGTGCAGCAGCCTCATCCCCTTGCAAGCCTTCCTCCCACTCCTCCCAGAAGGCTCTGCTTCCTCCACTTGCTCCTCTCCTAGGTGTGAGCCAGCAGGGTTTGGTCACCCAGATATGAAGTATTAATGTTGGACTCCTGTCTGGAGTCGGGAGTCTATTAAGGAAGACGTGTGGGAGAGGCCTGTGTTCAAGGCCCTTAGAACCATTCTGCCTGAGCCATCAGCTCCTTAAAAAGAAATCACCAAAGATCCCAAACAATGGCAGAGTCCCCCTCCCACCCTTTGGGCTACTTGGTAAATAGGCCCACCAATTCTATCTCCAAAATATCTCCCATCAGGACCATGTGTATATTGACATCTTTATCTTCCATCAGGTCAGGGTTGCCACAAAAGCCTCCATCCAAATTTCCTGAAAAAGCCCAGTTTCTCTAAATGTGTGCATGAACACGGTGCTGGGCATGGCCCTCTCCTCTCAGTCCTTCTGCAACGCCCAGTGCCTTCACAGCCAAGGCCAGACTTCCTAGTGGAAGAGCAAAGTCCCTCCTGACACGGCTTCTGCTTGCATCTGCAGCCCCACTTCCCCCACACCACGCTGCACCCTGAGCTCCTCACGGAGAGCCACCGTGTTTCACACCTGCCGTGCTCTGGGCCAGGTCGCTGGGCTTGCTGGTCCTTAGACTTGGAGCACCTGATGCTGTTTGCCCATCTGTGTCCTTGTCAGCCTTTGAGAATTGGATCTGGCAGCCCCTCCTCAGGAAGCCCATGAGAGCCTCCGCCCCATACTCACACAGACCCTGAGCTAGGTGGCCCCTGCCTGTGTCCCTCAGCTCCCAGCCCAGCTTCCATGCAGCTTTAGCACAGTTTACCAGCACCATCAAGACCCCTCTGGGAGGACAGAGAGCTCTGGGAGGACAGAGAGCTCTGAAGGACAGAACACGCATGCCTTTCTGGTTGTTCCTCTGAAGCCTAGCACAACACTGACACGTGAGAAATACTGGCTGAATAAAAGGTGGAAGTGAAAAAGAACAACACTGACACGTGAGAAATACTGGCTGAATAAAAGGTGGAAGTGAAAAAGAAAGACAAGAAAGGAGGATAGAAGGAAGCAGAGTGGTTGGGAGGAAGGGAGGGGGGAATAGCTTTTCAAGGAAAAATGATGGATGGTATGAGAATGAAGGGGAGATGACTATTTCCTACAGAAAATTTCTATTGTCATTAATAATGACTTTTGGCATCACTCTTTTGTTTCTCATTTTCTAGACTCCACATTTAAGGCCTATCTAGTGTAAATCGAGGGGAGAAAAGGTACCAGTTCAATTGCCAAGCAAACTTAACATATAAGTTAGTCGCAGATCTGGACTGGAACACAGATCTTTCTCTCATTTTTGAAGCACTCAGGGTTGGGACTTTGACTATCAAACTTGTCTTCTTAAATAAGGTCATGCTTACCTGGGTTTCTTCCAAATCATCACACCCTCACTCAAACTGTGTTTAGAAAAGAAAGGGGAAATTAGCTGCTTGTTGCTCAAATATTAAGAGCTCCTTCCTGCAGATTGACGCTACTTTGTAGATCAGGCCACGCCTGGCAAAATTCTTGGCAGTGTTGTGTCTACACAGGAGAACACCCTCCTAATGGGCCGTGGGTTTACATTTCCTGTAGAGAGATGTGACTGCTATGCATGATACCCTGAAAAAGTGATGCTGTAGGTCTAGCTACCTGAACAATGCAGACTGCGTCCCTTCGCAGCTGTGGAGTGGGGAGTACTGGTCCCACACTGAGGACTGAAGGATTCTCTGCTTTCTTGCTTGAACTGCAAAGGATGCCTTGACTTTGGGCTGCCAGGAGGGGGACGGTGTGCTGGCTTTCACCTCGCCAATTGGCAAAGTTGGCTTGGCCAACCTGATGGGTCAAACACACCTGGGGTCAAAACAGAATCTCTAGCTCTACCCTCAGCCCTCAGTCCCATAGCCACATGAACAGTCTGAGCAGTGTATTTGCTGGTGTGAACTGAAATAGGAGGACAAAGAAAGAGGAAACGAGGGAGGGATTTGAGCAGAGAGGAACACAGCCCTTGGCCCCATGGTGGGCTGCCACCAAGAAGGTGAAGGGAGGGTCAGTCCCAATCTGAATCCCACCAAAATAGGTGGTAGAGGGTTGCCCTCCTTTCTTCCCTCACCTCTGACCCCGCTCTTCGAAGCCCTGGTCCTGTCAAGGCACCTATCCCATGGCCCATGTGGCAGTAGCTTGTTCCCAGCGACCACTCAGCTTTCCACTGAATGGAAGCAGAGAGTGAGTCCAGGTATCACTTACTCAAGGCAGAATCTTCCAGAACCTTCTAGACTCAAATGAGTGAAGTGGTTAAAGAGAGAAGAGAAATCACTGGGAGCAAGGTCTCTAGATGGGGTTTTCTTCCCCTGTCCCCACAAGTCCCATGCCATAAGTGACCATTTTATAAACTTGCTGCTGGGACAGCTTCATTCCAAAGATATTGTGGTTGGGCTGTGAACCCAGGAAGTTTACATGATCAACTTTTACCCAAAGGATTGTCACATGACCCCCAGTGCTGGGATGACACAGAAATACAATCTGTCAAATTTATATGAATCCAAAGGGAAATGAAACATGTAAAACTGAGACTGCAGCCCAGTTTTTTGTTATGGCTTCAACAAAGCAATGCCACATCAGCCTGTCTGAGCATAGCACATTGTCTTCATGTTGATGTGCAAGATTCCCTACAGACTGCAGACCAGGGCTCAGCAAGAACATGGAAGGAAAATGTCCCACAGCAAAAGGAGAAACAAATACAGATTAGAGTGTTTAACAGGGCCAGGCACACAGCAAGTCATCACTGGATGGCAAATCTAAACTCAGCAAGTCATTACTGCATGGTGAATCTAAGTTCTTACAGTTATCACTAGTACTGCAGACACCTAGTGGAGACGTATGCTTACTCATGCAGTGTGTGAGTAAGCTCAGGCTGCCAGCACAAAATACCATGGACTGGGTGGCGTAGACACCGCAATGTATCTCCCACAGTTCTAGAGGCTGGACATCCAAGATCAAGGTGCCAGCAAGGTAGATCTCATTCTGAGGTTTCTGCCCTTGGCTTGTAGGTGGCCACAGCCTCCCTGCATGCTCATGTGATCTCTTCTTTGTGTATGGAGGAAGAGGTGGGGGAAGCCTTCTGGTGTCTCTTACAAGGACACTAATCCTATTGGATCAGGGCCTCACCCTTATAACCTCATTTAACCTTATTTACTTCTGTAAAGGCCCTGCATCCAAATACAGCCACACTGGGTGTTCAAGCTTCCACATATGAATTTTGGGAGGATACAACATTCAGTCTATGAGATGAAGGCACAGTCCGGTAGCACTACTCTGAAGTTATCTGATGCTGTGCATCTTTATCTACATGGTGACACTTAATTCACAATTTATCCCCAGGACTCAGGCCAGCTAGGCAGGCATTATTAAAGAAAAGTCTGTCTGGTTCAGTAAAATCTTAGGATAGAATTCTACTAAGCCTATCAATTGGCTTTTGATTCCAGAACCATCTTTGTAAAAGGTTGTAGGGAAAATTTGTAAAAGGTTGTAGGGAAAAATATGTGGGGGAAAAACATTTAAATGAAATCATGGTCTCCTTTGGAAATCCAGGTTACAGAACATGGTGTGCAGGCATGAGGGTCACCAGGTCTTGCTGGATTGCAGATGCTCATGGTGAAGACAGGAGTTTACAGGGGCAGTGGGTCTGCCCACATGTCCCAGCACTGAGCCGTTGCTGACTCTCAGAACCTGGTCATCCAGGTGCTGTGTCCCCTACTCGTTTACTGTAACTGAGAAATTTTCCAGGCAAGGTGGAGCTGAAGCCTAAATATATCTTCAAGCCCTCATGCCTGTCTGCTTGCAAATATTTCACCCTTCCTTCTTGGCTATTTCCATCAATGTTGTTTTGTTCTGAGAGTGAATGCCCAGAGAGAGACATTCTGTACTTAACCGGTTTGTGTTTTGTGATTTTTGTGTTGGTACTAGCTCTTTCAGCACAGTGAAATTTTAAACAAGTAACTCTCTCTGCTTACCAGGCACTGTGCATTCCCTGCCCATGAGGAAGGAAGCAGCTTATTCCATTTTCACCCCAGCAGAACCCCTGCATGCAGGTTTAGGTCAACACTAGCTGCCAGCAGGATGGAGACCCAGCAGCATGCGGCACACGGGAGTCTCGCCGCGGGTCCTTGACAGAAGAGTAACGAGACTTTTCTTGAAATAGTGTCCTGAGTTGAGATCTGAGAAGAACCTGTTATGCATCCTAGAACACAGTGCATTTGCAAGTCATAAGATGTTAGCACCGATTATGGAGCCTCGTGTGTTCTTAGGGGCTATTTCCGTGACCTCGTCGGGGGTTCAATGAGCAGCTTCAACAGAAAACTGGATTTCCTTTTCCTCCAAGGCTGTCTTATTTCCAGATTACTCTGGACCTAATTTTAATCGTGCACACCTACCATGGCAGGCTGTTTTCCTGTCCTCCCAATGATCTCCATACAATCTCACTGCTGGGTAGCACCTCCATTCCCTTGCTTACCTAAGCCATCAAAACCTGCAACAACTCACAAAACCACAAAAAGCAACAGAAAATATCAGAAGATAATCAAATGAATCAAGACCTCCAGAAAACTGTGCATAATTCAGTTTTCATTTCATTTAATGATAATGTCCACAGTTAATCAGGCATTCCTTATCATTTGGATCTACATGTTGAATAAACACAACATCCCTAGACCTTTGAGGGTTTTCTAAATAATCTGCTGTTGATTTTCTTAGGTACTGACCAGATTACTATGAATATTCCTGATAGAATATGCTGACAAGAAACAAACAGGACAAGCCTAAAATAGAGGTTCTGGTAAACATTCAGGGAAAAGTTTATTACTGACATGTGAGAGCTCGGTTTTCAAGGTTAATAAAATAAAGTTGACAGAAGTCGTGATGCCTCACATGACTCAGACCCATTTCTCCTTTCCTTCGTAGCAGATACCAGTGGGCAGACAATTCAATGAACCATCTTTGAATTCTGATTCCTGACTCAGAAAGAGAAACAAACCCCTAGAGCAGAAAACTTGTTCAGTGACAGGAAATATTCCATACATGTTTGTGTAACACTGGAATTCTTCTAATCGCATGAGGACATGACATGACATGACAGCTGGCATGCTGGGCACTGCAGTGAGTACCACAGGAACAGCCTGCACCAGTCCACGTGCAAATAAGAAGGAAATACAACCTTCATTCTAAGAGGTTCTCCGAGGTCATGCGGGCAGCTTCTCCCAGGCTGTTTGTGAAATATGGGGGGAAGATGCTCTCGGAGGACCCAAGCAAAGAAGCCTATTTATCCTTGTTATTCTGCATGATCTAACGTATTTGACCACACATACTCACCTTTTACTTTTCTAAAACTCCTGCTACATCCTCTGAACTAAAGTTTCAGAGTACACAGAGTGGGGCTTTTGCTGCACCATAAGCAACAGCAACTCCTCCAGCTTTGTGCTTTTAAAATTCTGTCATGACACTAAAGTTTTCATTGAGAACTTTATCTTGTTAAAGTTCTTTAAGAAGCCCCAAGTCCTGAATTCTTTTTTTCTTTTTAATTTTTTAAAGACAAGCATTAAATATTTGAGGTTTATTCTTACACAGAGTGACTCTAACCTTGAGAAGTTTAAATATGCACACTCGTACATGCTTTGGTTCGCATGCACAGGGGCCTGGCAGATGCAAGCCTCATGGTAGACATTGACCAGCAGCAGCTGCTCTGTTCCTCTGGGAAGCGGGTGCCCAGGATGGCATGCAATGCATTCCCCTGCTCAGTGCCACAAAAGATCCAGAGGAGCCGACACGGTCCATCCCACTCCTGTGATGCTGCAGCTCTGGGGGCGTCGCTGGAGAGGTCAATGTGCTGGTCACGGACTTCCCAACATTCCGGCAGATGACAGCATGAAAATTCACTTTCTTTGTGGGTCATTGATTAAGGGATGGGCATAGGGCCCAATTCAATCCCATGAGTTGCAGGGAGACTCCCCTTGGAGATTTTTTTCTGGAGGGATTTATGGCTTCAGTTGGGTTCCCTGGAAATGATTTATGAGGGTGTTTTCTTGGGAACAACAACCATAAGTCAGGAAAGCAGGATTGGGCAGAGGCATTTCAGGTGGAATGTGGTCTCCACAAGGACCTCCATTCCCCCAAAGGCAGCAGTGGATCTGAGATAGCCCTTCAGAGGCCATCACAAATAGAAGCCAGGCAGTGGGCATCTTCCTCCTGCGTCTAGTCACTGGTGCAGGCTGTCCCTGGAGAGTGGGCATCACCTGGGCTATGTGTCCCCTTTCCTTAGAGAGTCTCAGCTGTGAGCCTTCAGCAGCTGGTACCACCCGCAGTGGGAGAAGGAGTAGCTACATCCTGATGAGGTTTCCTGGGTGCTGCATCACCATCCACTACAGATCCCTGCCCTGCTGGGACTCTCTTGCTTTGTATGGCAAGTCCACTCCATCTGGGAGCAGCTCCTCTGGTGTTTTTGTCTATCTTCTTCCTGAGGAAACAACCAAGAGATTTAGTGGAAAGAATCATGGCTGCAGCCACTGCAACTCCTCTCCCCACTGATGCTTCTCAGCTCCCTCGTCCACTAGCCATTGTATGTTCTCCTTGCTCTTGGTCTGCTGAGAGCTGGTCCCTGTGGCCCTCCTAATGTGGTGACCCACATCCTCTTTCCTGAAGTCTGAGGTTCTATTTACCAAGCACTTCTCAGACTCTGGCTGCAGTGCTTGTTTATTTGCCATCAAAATGAGGCAAGGGAACACCAAGTGGTGCCTGGGGATCCCCTGAGTGCCAAACATTTTCCTCCCTGCCCCTGTCGTGTGAGGCAGCCCTCTCTTCTCTGGCAGTCAGAGCCTGTGGCCCCCTCCAGGAAACGGACTCCTCTTCTGCCTCCTACTTTGTTGGATGAAAACCTCAGAAGTTTAAGCAAAGTTTAAGCTTCATGGATTCTTGCTGTGACCCCTGATGGAAGCATTCCCCCTTTGGGAAGAACATCTCTAGATCCATAGAACCTTAAATTGCTGGGAGGGGAAACAGAACTTATTCCACAAATAGGTCTGGGGAGGGATGTAAGCAGATCCATGCATACTTCCACTTCTTGGATCCTAGACCTGCGTCCTGCTACTCAGGGTTGGGGGGATGCAGCTCCATAAAGTGATGCTGGATGCGGGGTGTATTCTGCATTCTGAAGGATGGTGCCCTGGCCTTGCCCAGGCTCATCTCTAAGCTGGCACTGCTCTGGGCCTCCTCTAGTCTGTATAACTGGGCCTTCATGTCAGCAGCTTCTGGGCAACGTGGGAGGTGAGGACCAGAGGACCTAGGTGCGTGTGCCTGCTGCTGTACTACTTTTGCTATAAGGGTGTCCCTTGGTCTGAGAGGATGCTGCATAGTGTTTCCTGCAGGTCATCAGATTTTCATTCTGGCAAAGGTGCACATGCAGGAACATCAAACCCATAACTAGAATATAAATCAATTTCAGTCAAGAAAGATCTCTTTTCTTCTAGGAAAGGGATCCAAATGTAAGCAACTTGACACCCGATGATTGGTTGGCCTACTTGAGGGACGGTGCCATGTTCCAGCATCAGGCGGATGTTTCACAGAGACAGGAGCTGGTCAGCCCTGGGGAGTGGATGCCTTCCACAAGGCTCACGCATAAGCCCCATCCCTAGCACCATGGCTACTACCTGCATGTACCTTGCATGCCAGCACTGGGGTCGCCAGTATCAGAGGCTGGCTGATGCCACCTGGCTTGTCCTTCTGTCCAGCTCGTCGTTTGGTTCCTCCTACATGGCAATTGCTCTCTGGTGGGTGTTATCATAAGATACAGAGATTTTCACACTTCATGCCCACCTCCATAGACCCATCCATGCCTTCTCCCCAGACCACCTCTTTCCCACTCTCCTAACCCATCTCCCTTAAGACTCCCAAGCCAAATCACACATTACCCATAAATTCAAGTATAGTCTTACATCGAACTTCTTCTTTCTTCACACAAAGATTTCCAAGTGAGCTACTGAAAACTCCAACCACTGGGAGAATCTCTGCCCACCAGTGTTGATAAGTCCCCCCAAGGAGGGATGTAAGCAGATTCATTCCTACTTCCACCTCTTGGTTCCCAAAAATATGTTCTACGACTTTGGGAGTAGAAGGGCAGGTCTATAAGAAGATTCTGGAGGAAGGGTGTATACTGTATCCTGGAGGACGGTGCCCCAGCCTTGGTCAGGGTCATCTCCAAGTTGGCACTGTGGAGGCTACAAGGTCCTTTTTAGATCAGTCTGAATTGGTTTTGTCTTCCTTAAAGATGATAGCATTGTGACTGGTACATGTTATTTCAAAATTGAACTTAGAGAAAGCTCAAAGAATGGACGGAAAAAAACAAAAAGAGAATTAACAAGACTGATTGAAATTTTTTCTGACCTTAGTCTTGTTTTTCAAAAAAAAATGTAGAGAGGCTATAATGAAATGGGGACAATATTGTTGAAATATATTGATGTCCTTTTCTCTTTTGCATTTGTTTATACTGACCTTCTTCTTACTATGTTGGTGGCATTCAATTGCTTCAGGGATATTTAGGTTTGCTAGTCTATGAATATGAAGAAAGATTCCATATTATATTCTGACATCTAGAACATGATTTTTTAATCTGCAGCAAAACAGTTGTTTTATAAGTCAAGGATTTTCTATTTTTTTTTCTGTTTCTGCTAAGATCCAGGCCTGGACAATAAGACATTAAGTTTAGCATTATCCAGGGCTGGAGAGAGAAGGACATGATAGAATCTATCCCTTCAGATCTCCTTGAAGTGAGAGCGAGAGAAAGAGAGAGAAAGGAAATCAAGCAGAGAACCATATGTACCCTGCCATTCCTCCATGTGGTGAAGTCAGGGATGTGAGAAGGCACAGCAGACATTGAAACAGAAAGCTCAAAACAAAGGAACTGTCTCCCATTTCCATGTGGAACCCCAGGGTGCTGCTCAGTCAGCTATGAGTGACACAAGGAGCCAAAGGAGCTTGTGGGTGTAGATACCAGAGGTCAAAGAGTGACACTCAAGACCCCCAGTGAGAAGTGTGAACACACCCCCCAGGAAGCCTGTGGGAATGCATCACACTTCACCAGATACAAGCCATGGATCAGCCACAGAAGAAGAGAGACAAGATCTGATGCCCATTCCTCTCCCACTAGGAGGCTGAGAAAGCTCCTCTGGTGGCTTGCTTTCATATTGGACAGGGGAAAGGGGACGAAGGGAATCTAAAAGGCAGAGCACTTGCAAAAAAGAGACCATACCACCAAAACAATAGGATTCAAATCTAAAGAGACAGCGACATGTTAAACATGCAATGTGATGTCTGAGTATAGCTGACTCTGCAGCAGCCTGCTCAGATCATCTTAGATCCTCTTCCACTCCTAGCCAGAGCCCACTCCAGCCATGTGTGGAGCAGGTCAGAAAGTACCAGAAAATCAACACCCTGCGGGAGCAGCCCTCGGCTACTGACAGTGGGAGAGTGGGATGGGTGTATTCATACCCCAGCTCCTCACCTCAGGAAGGATCATTCTAAGGCATGTTCTATACTGTCTTCCAAAGCTCCCCAGTGGGGTTGGGCTCCAGTTGCCCACGGTGCTTAAAGTTCTTGCTAACACATATTTTACTGCCTGCTTTCCCATTGCAGCTTCCCAGGATGATCTTGCAAATAAACTACTTGCACTCACAATCTTGTCATTGAGCCTTTTTCTGAAGAACCTGAACTGAGAGGATGGACTCCTATCTCCTCTTTACCTGGTGAGATGGGAGTCAATGAAGAAGATGAAATCTTCTATTTTAAAAAGAAACTGTATTGGATCTGCACAGCCAAGGCAATGAGAGTAAACATTCATACCATTATAATAATAACCACACTTAATACAATTTTTTGAAAGCTGGAAGCATCATTCACTTGGGCGACAAATATTTATCCACTTAAAATTATGCACAAGGTGTGATTTATAGGCCAGCTTGAAATGTGTTTTGGTAACATGGGATTGAAAAGCACAAATAATCTCAGGGCCACATTCAAACAGCAGCTCCCATTGTCTTCCCCAACGATTCTCTTCTGAACTAACCAGTCTGGCTCATCTCCTTTTGGGTTTCCTGTTAACTTCTGGCAAAGGCACCATGTTGTTCAATCTTAAACGACTAAAACAAACAAAGGAAGAAAGACAAAAGTATTGAGAGGCGCTGATTAATTTATACTATCATGCATTACACACCATGTATCTAAGACCTACCATGAGACAGTCTGCAGTGGCCTGGAAATAGAAAAGTGAATAGTAGGGTCTCTCTCCTCATAGAGCTCCATCCTAGAAGATAGGTGCATGCCAACTGTAAACGGAACACAGTGTGATGAGCACCCACAGCAGACAGAGCACCCTTCCCCTCGGGACATGAAGGGTTATTTTATTTTTATTTATCTATTTATTTATTTTGAGATGGAGTCTCACTCTGCTGCCCAGGCTGGAGTGCAGTGGCACAATCTCAGCTCACTGCAACCTCTGCCTCCCAGGTTCAAGCAATTCTTTGTGCCTCAGCTTCCCGAGTAGCTGGGATTACAGGCATGCACCACCACGCCTGGCTACTTTTTTTGTATTTTTAGTAGAGATGGGGTTTCACCATGTTGCCCAGGCTGGTCTTGAACCCCTGACCTCAAGTGATCTACCCACCTCGGCCTCCAAAAGTGCTGGGATTACATGCGTGAGCCACTGCGCCTGGCCAACGTGAAGGGTTATTAAGGAGAAGAAACATATCAGTGAGCTAGTTCTACAATAGTGCTGTGGATAAAACTCAGTGGCCTACAACAATAAGCATTTATATTCCTCTCTCGCCGGTAAGTAGGCTGTGGTTTGCTGGCTGTGCCTTGAGGCTACGGCATGTGCCCAGGTGTGTTCTCTGTGCCTCACACTCCTTGGATCAGTGACTCAATGAGGCACCCTTCCACTGTGAAGGCATAGTATAATATGCCAAAGGGCAAGCCAGAACCTGCAATGCCTCTTCAGGCGTCAGTGTAGGACGGGCAGGCTGCCTTTTTGGCCCACATTGCATTGGCCGAAGTAGACACATGGCCAATCCGAAAGACCCTGCATTAGGAATGTGAACTCCACACTGAAGACCGGGAGACTGGGTGTCTATGTGCCATGATCCCATCTATCCCAAGGAGTGAAGGAAGGAGAGGACACCCCAGGTAGAAACAGCAGCAAAATGTGATCATCCTTGAAGGTTCAAGCCACATGCTTAGTAGAAACATAGGGTAGGCGTGTGTAAGCAACGCTTCAGCGTTTTTAATCACTGCATACCCACAGTTGTCATCCCCAGTAGACCCCAGAAGGCTTTTAAGCAGCTTCAAATGGTCACCTTAAAGGTCAGAGTGGCAGAAAGGTGGACCCAATGCAACAGTCCTGTTAACTTAACAAGGGGCATTTCTGTATCAGAGACCTTGAGGGCTGCCGTACTTACACAGAAGGGCACTGTCGGAGGGTGAAGGTTCATTCGAATTGGAACCATGAGAGAAGTGGGGAAGCGGTGCTGTGGGCCCCTGGACAGCTCCTGATGCTAACCTTTTGTTTTCTTCCAAGGGAGATGCCACCAGCCAAGCGGCCGAATTCTGTGCCTGGGGCACTAACACGGGGGCATATAGCCAAGACTGTGGAAGTGAACACCATCAGTGGACAGAGGGTTTTCTCCGGAATTGCTTAGGATCTGAAATTTCACCTTCCTGATGTTTCCTACCCCTTGTGCACCTATAGCCACCTGTCACCTAGCAGAAGGGAAGAGGCTACAAATTCAAAGGAGGTAAAGCGGAGAGTCGGTGAGTCCAGGAGACAGGTTCATGCTATGGCTCACCAGGTATAAAACCACCTAGGCTTGGCTGCATCGTTTCAACACTCCATCACTGGAAACTTTGAAGAGTAGATCACTCAATTTCTAATGTGTTTTAAGTAATGGAGCTCTTATTCTCAGACCACACTTCATGAAGGGTCTTCAAACAGACAACAAATGAAAACTTAGCTGCTTTAATTTGAGGAGGATTTGGGAATGTTAAAGCTCGGACTAATTCATCCCACCCCTTCCCTTGGAGGTCATGCATGTGGAATTCCAGAGTCCTGGGATCAGAAAAGCACAAGCAGAAATGCACGGGAGAGATAGCATTTTAGCCCCTTCCTACTCCTACTCCACGACAGTCTGAATGTGGAGTTCCACATTCTGCCAGGAGTTCCAAGTGATAGAAGTTAGAAAGGCTGGGCATGAGGAAGTGTACACTTTCAGTTTTCAGGGGCCTCCTGCCTTTTGTATTATGGCAGCAGGCCATGGAAGCAGGTGGCAATTTATTAACTAATCACATGCCAAAGCAATGCCATTATTCCTCTGAAAACATTGCTTATTTCCTGACTTATGCCATTCAGGCTGTTGTGGCAAAATACTGTACACTGCAAGGAATAACAAACATTTTTTACAGTCCTGGAGGCTGAAAGTCCACAATCTAGGCTCTGGCAAATTCAGTGTCTCATGAGAGCCTGCCTCCAGGTTCATAGACAGAGCCTTCTTTCTGTGTCCTCACATGGTGAAAGGGTCACAGGAGTTCTCTTAAGCCTCTTTTTTTTTTTTTTTTTTTTTTTTTTCAGAAACAGGGTTTCACTATGTCGCCAAAGGCTAAAGTGCAGTGGTGTGATCATAGCTCACTATAGCCTTGACCTCCTGGGTTCAAGCAATCCTCCTGCCTCAGCTTCTCGAGTAGCTGGGACTACGGGAACATGCCACCATGCCTATCAAATATTTTTAAAACTTTTGTAGAGATGAGGGTCTCACTGATTGCCCAGGCTGATCTCAAATTCCTGAGCTCAAGCGATCCTCATGCCTTGGCCTCCCAAAGTGTTGGGATTGCAGGCTTAAGCCACCAAACCTCTTTTATAAGGGCACTAATCCCATTCATGGGGGCTCCACCCTCATGACTTTGTCACCTCTGAAAGGCCCCATCTCCTAACATCATCACCTGAAGTGTTAGGATTTCAACATATAAATTTTGGAGGACACAAACAGACCATAGCATTTTCTGTTCTGATCCTAAAGTATTTTTCTCAAATCATATGACTTTAATCAACACATAATATAATCAATTCTTTAAAAATTTTTCTAATGTAATACTTTTTTCTTTTTTTCTAGCTCAAGTCACTGGATATTTTTTGAGTATTCATTATGAAATTTGAAATAAATCTTAACAGAGATAATGATACCAATTATGATTCTTGTATTACCACATCAGTACATTAACTGAACACTTAACTATATGCAAGACATTTCAGGGAGGGCTCAGCATCTATATTAACTCTCGTTCTCATAAAACTCTTGCTAATTACTTATCATTAATCCTAGTGTATAAAACAAAATGAGAGCTTATGACAAGTATTCATGATCATAGAGCAGGGAAACTTGAAAAAGCTATTTTGGGCCAAGCGCGGTGGCTCAAGCCTGTAATCCCAGCACTTTGGAAGGCCGAGGTGGGCAGATCACGAGGTCAGGAGATCGAGACCATCCTGGCTAACACAGTGAAACCCCGTCTCTACTAAAAAATACAAAAAACTAGCCGGGCGTGGTGGCGGGCACCTGTAGTCCCAGCTACTAGGGGGGCTGAGGCAGGAGAATGGCGTGAACCCGGGAGGCGGAGCTTGCAGTGAGCCGAGATCGTGCCACTGCACTCCAGCCTGGGTGACAGAGCGAGACTCCGTCTCAAAAAAAAAAAAAAAAAATAAGAAAAAGTTATGTTGATTCCAAAGCCTAGACCTTCTCTTGACACTCAGAAAACCAAGCCATATAAAACAGCGTAGATGCAGGGCTGAAATGTGCAGAGGGTTCAGTCCACAACCACGCAGAAGAAAACAGCTGGCCAGAGGCAATAGGAAAGTCTTCGCGCAGCAGCCTAGACTGATCCGAGGTAGTCAGTGCTTTTTAGGGGCAGAAACGTCTATGTCTTTCCCCCCAGAATGGCTCTGATGAAGAAGCAGGTGAGAAAAAGTGTGATTGCCCCACGCCTTGTTGTCTGTCTGAAGCACTGTTTGCTTTCTCTTTTTCTGCCCTGAATATAGCTTTAATTTAACTCAATGGAGTCCTGTGAGCTGCATTAACAAATGATACCCCAGATAGCTTAGGGCCGTGTGCTAAAAATGAGTTCCCAAAGAGGCTACAAACCATGGAGGGTGGAAATATTGGGAAACTCCTCATAATACATTACTTTCTTAGATATTCATATTCCACATCGTGCACTAAACATCTAAGAAGTCCTATAGTCAAGAAACTTGTTAGATTTAACTGGAATTTCCCAAACTTTCATCATGGCTGAACCATCTTTCATACAATGCCCATTCCCTGTTAATGGAATGAACACAGAATCCTTGTAGACTAGAGAAGCAAACACGCAGTGTTCTGGTGTGCCCCTAGAGGATGTAACCACCCCAAATCAAGGGCCATCATTACAAGACGAAGGGTCCATGCAGCCACACTCTGCACCCTGATGTCTGGTCGGACGCTGGCCCGTGAGTGCCCCGGGAGCCCGGGTATACCGGATGAGGTGGCTACCGCAGAGGTTCTGGATCTTCCCCCGGTCCCTCTGATGCTGGGCCCTCCTGCTGTGGTGCCGGGCTCTCTCTTCCTTGTGCTTGTCACACCTGGCCTGCATTCTCTGTGTGCTTCAGAGCAAGACTTCAGTGAGGCCACCAGACTGGTTTTCAGGTTGCATTTCTGTCCTTGGTGCCATCTACTGGGTTGTCCCTCAGCCCTGTGCCTTTAATCTCACAAATCCACCCTGCCTAACCCACCCCCAGATTCCTGATGCGCGCCGCAGACTCTACCTGCTGGAGTCTTCCGACCTTGATGGACTAACCATGGCCACCAAATATGTTTCTATAACTATCCTGTCTTCCTTAAGGGCCAGACAGCTCAGCCTTCACAGTGGAAAACATGTTTTCTAGCTGCTATTCTTCAGCTTGTTTTAACCCATGGCCCCTTTGGTAATTACAAAATATCATGCCTTTCATTAACTTCCTTTGAAACTTTAAAATTAATTAAATACAGGTTGCGATGAGCCAAGATCGCGCCATTGCACTCCAGCCTGGTGACAGAGCAAGTCTCGGTCTCAAAAAAAAAAAAAAAAAAAGCCAGTGGCGGTGGCTCATGCCTGTAATCCCAGCACTTTGGGAGGCTGAGGTGGGCAGATCACGAGGTCAGGAGTTCAAGACTAACCTGGCCAACGTGGTGAAACCCCGTCTCTACTAAAAATATAAAAATTAGCTGGGTGCGGTGGCACGTGTCTGTAATCCCAGCTACTCAGGTGGCTGAGGCAGGAGAATGGCTTCAACCCGGGAGTTGGAGGTTGCAGTGAGTGGAGATCACACCACTGCACTCCAGCCTAGTGGACAGAGTGAGGCTCCATCAAAAAAAAATAAATTAAATTAAATTAATTAAATATTACAATGAAAAACAAATGTAACTGACGTCTGCAACTTACTCCAAAATACAATGCATAAGAGGAATTCATGGGTGGATACAGGCATGGCTAGCAGCACGCACGTGTGATAAAGCAACTACTATGTAGCAAAGGAGCGATTTAGGGTGTGGGTAAATGGTGTTCACTGTAAAATGATTTCAATTTTTTGATACATATCAAATTTTTCACAATAAAAGGTTAGGCAAAAGTTCAAGTAATGATAATTCTACACTATTTTTTATCAACTGGCACAGAGCACCCACTATGCTCACAGACAGATGTGGGTTCCAGGGAGGTGGGACTGTGGGTGTCTGTCCAGCCAGGAGGAACTGCTTCTGCTGTTTAAGTCTCTGTGGGAACTATGGGACTTCCTGCAAACTGCTGTTTGGGGAAGTGTTGCACCTGCCCCAGCTGAAGCCCTGCGAGCCGTTCCAGCTCATCTGTGGGGTAGGAGGCCGACACATATGTTCTGCCAGGGCTGACCTCTGCAGACTGAGATCTGAGCTATGCTCAGCTAGCCCAGCTTGCCTGGCTGCCATTCATGCCCCCACATCTCGTTGTCCCTGAGCCTATCCTTCCAGACCCCACCTGGATCATGCACTAGGTCCCACAGGAAGAAAAGATTGTTGTTCCATGGGATGCTTTCCCAATCCAGTTTCCATCTGTTTGCCACTGGAAGGGAGAGCAGAGTCAACATCACATCAAGAGGAAAGATGGGCTCCTGCATGATGAATTTGCTTAGGAAGCAAATTGTGCCCAATCTACACCTTGGTTAATATTGGTGTGCTACAAAAATGTGCATATGGAAGGGCTACGAGAGCTGCTTAAACAATTCCTGCTGTTACTCCCTTCTGCACAAAGAGATAGAAGACTTACAGTGCAATGCATGGGGAGGGGAAGGCCCAGGAGAGGAGAATGCAGGGAACCTGCCCTTCAACGGAAGCATCAGTGATCCTTAAAATCACAGGTTCGGTGTTGTAGGGGCTCTTCTGAATTCAAGAGAACTCCTAGAACTGCAAGAGGTCACTGTATTCTCAAAAGTAACAAATGCATTTCCACAAAAAACAGCTATACGCAGCAACTGCCTAAGTCTATTTTAAGGGAAACAAAAGGTCTTAAAGGCCCACCCCCACACCCCCAGATTAAAAGCAGCTAGGTGTGGAGTGACAAATAGCCAAGAAAGCTGAGGGGACATCAGGCTCGCCAGGAATGTGTACAGAATAATGGCTATAAGGCTGGTTCCTCATATCGCTTTGAATATCTAACCAGCTTTGTATTCAATTAATACTTAATATATGGCCAAAAAAAGTCACTAAATAATTTTGAACCATAGAGTATCAAAGTGATGCTCTAGAATCTAGAGGGAAAGAGTTTGTAAGTGAGATATGGTGGTTCATTTTATTTACCAACTTGACTGGATCATGGGTCAAGCCCAGATATTTGCTTAAACATTATTTCTGGGTGTATCTGTGAAGGTGTTTCTGGAAGAGATTAACATTTGAATTGGCAGAATGACTTAAGAACATGGCCCTTCCCAAGGTGGAGGGGCCTCAGCAAATCAATTGAGGGGCTGAGTAGAGCAAAAAAGCAGAGAAAGGAGGAATTTACCCTGTGTGCTTCCTGTCTGCCTGCTTGAACTGGGACATCTCATCTCACCTTCTCTGACCCTCAGACAAGGATTCGTATCATCGGCTCCCCTGGTTCTCAGGCCTTTAGAAACAGATTGAATCACACCATGGGCTTTCCTGGCTCTCCAGCTTGCAGACCCAGGGACTTCTCAGAATCCATGATTTGTGTAAGCCAATTCCTCAACATAAATCGCTCTCTCTCTTTACACACATACACACACACACACACACACACACATACTCTCTCTCCTCTCTCTCTCTCTCTCTCTCTCATCCTCATGAAACCTTTGCTGGTTACTTATCATTAACCCTAGTTTACAAAACAAAATGAGTTACAAAACAAAAATATGTATGGTGTGTGTGTGAGAGAGAGACAGAGAGCGAGAGAGAGAGAGAGAGATCCGGTTGCTTCTGTTTCTGTTTCTGTGGAGAACCCTGACTAATACATGAGGAATTATTGGCTTCTAGGGCTTCTCTATGACCAGAAAACGCCATAGCCTGTGTGGATCCCCAGCCCAGCTTGACTGGTAAATGCTGACCACAAGTAACACTTCATCTGACAAATGGTGGGACCAGAAACCCAGAAACCAGTGTGGGGACACAGCCAGCAGGCCATGGTCTCTGGAGGGATCATAGTAGAAATCCTCTATCAAACATGAGAGGAAAACAGGCAGCAGCAAGACTCCACAGCGGCTGCTCTCTGGTTAGCTCCAGTGAAGTCATTAGCACCAGGAAAGCAGGGGAACTAGCTTAGGAATTCACCGAAACCCACCTCCAGGCCTTGCAGCCTCACAGTAGAGAGAACAACTGTGGCTCCACCTGGCCCTGCCCGCAGAGGCAGTGGAATGTGTGAGTATTTTGTTTAATACTCCACGTCGTTGCTCTCTGCCTCCCACAAGGGATTTAAGATGGCTTACAAACATGGCCACAACATTGGCAATGAGAATAAAATAAAAATAGACGATATAAGTAAAGCAGAAGGAAAATCAGGCAGGGGTGTAAGATGAAGTGAGGAATGAAGTCAGCATCTGAAGCAGCCAGATTTAACTATATGGAAGCACATGAGATATTTGTTACAAATTCAATGTCCTGGGGAAGTGGAACCCCAGTGTCCCAGTCATCCTAACATCTGAGAATTATTTAACCAGACACGTGAAAGAAGGAACCATGAACTTACTTAGTTGTGGGTTCTTAATGCAGAATTTGAATCTTCTGAAAAGAAATGAGATGCCTGTGTTCACATGCACTTTTCTTTTCTACTCAGATCATGTAAATGCTCATCAAATTATCAGAGGACTCCAGGACCCAAAACCCATTCACCATTAGTACCACTGCTAACCTTTCCAGAAAGCCATGGAAGGATGGAACCATGATCGGGGATACTAGATGTGATATTGTTAACCGCACTGGATACTTACTAACGATCAGCATCTGGGCTAAGCGTGTCCCATGCACTATCTCACTTTAGTCCTGGAAGCAAGCACTATAATCACTGCCATTTTATAGATAAGGAAGCAAAATCTTGGAGGTTAATTTCCCCCACAGTTATGCAGTTGGTCAATGTCAAGATTAATTTCCAGGCAGTCTGGCTTCCAAGCAGCAGGTACAACTGCCATAAATCCAACTCACCACATTGCAGGAGAGAAGGTTTCCTGATGCAGAAACACACCAGGGTCTTAGGGGGAAGCTCCGCTGTTCCTTATTCTGAAACCAAAAAAAGACACTGTGAACCATTGTCAAGTAAACTATTACTCTTAACTTCTGATTTGTGTTGTATCTGCACAATTCTTTGAATGAAATGGACTCTATTCTGTAATTTTCTGGCAGCTGGCATATTTTTGTCTTTTCTTAAAAATCATCTTCAAGGTAGAGCTCATTCTCAGAAGAGCTCATTCAAGGAAATATCTAAATCCCATTTCTGCCACTTATTGACAGTCTGACTTTGGGCAAGTTATTTAGTTAGCTTTGTTATTCTTTTTCTTATTCTTTGTATTATTATTATCATTCCAGTGCTCTGTGTATGTATTTTTCCACAATATAAAATAAATAAAATCAACTAACTTTATTTTGTGAAGCATGTAATACTCAGAAACTAAAATAATTTTTTAACAGGAAGAGAAATATAAACCCTTTTTAATAAAGAACATAAAGGTAAAAATTTTCCCCAAAAAGGATAGTGGTGGGAGATCGAATTGTGTAGCTCATTATCAAAGTAACTCCTGAGCTAGAGTAGAGAAGAGGCCCATGGACAGAACATATTTGTATTCCAAATAATAGCTGGGGACAAAATAATGATCCTCTGCATGACATTACTGTTTAGTATGACTGCAAATGCCCTGGGCAACACCGTGGCAGGTAAAGCTAAGTGGTGATTCTAACTGTTACACAGGAGGATAGAATGCCATCTTGTTTTCAGTCAATGTGTCCACTTAGAAAACCCAAGAGAGGTAAATAAAAATCTATTGGAATGAATAGAACAAAGAGAATTCTATACAATAGACAAATTTAAGGAAAGTATACTAAACATAGGTTTAAGGTATAACTAATCAAGATATCTATTGAGAGAAAAAAAATTCTATTAAATATAGCATCAAAATATAAACTATTCCAGAATTACTCTTAACACAAAAGTGATAATACATAAAGAAAAGTACAAAATAACTGAATGCCTACTAGAGTCCTATGAGTGTGCAGCCCCTTCCCCTGTCTTAGTTTTCTTCAGAGAATGGAGCCCCCGAGGTGTCCTGGGCTTGCATGAGGGTCTCCATTGCCTGTCTCAGCTCTGTGGGTGGGTGCTCCACTAGCCCAGGCTCCTCTGTGGGTTGCTCAATGGTGTAAGTCTGGGCCAGAGCAGACCTGACCCACAGAGAAGCATCACTACAGTGCCTACAGCCCCACTCGTTCCAGGCACTGCTCTGTCCTAATCCACTCAGTCCAGGAGAAGGAGAGGTCAAGGTTTCCCTTTTGCAGAAGAGGAGATAGAGGCACCGCCTAAGGGCTCACAGATGGTGACCATGGAGGTGTGACCTGAACCAGGCAGTCTAGTCTCAGATTTCATGGCCACCATCATACTCCATAGCTTCCTTTTTATCGGGGGAATGAAAAATGATGACAATTACGTTAAAACTGTATGTACATATAAAAGTACATAAACATCAGGATAATTTATTGGGTTATTAATCTGTAGTGTTTTTTGACTATTCCTCATTGCATATTTTCCTCCCTGGCATCAGGTTTGTGAATGTATGAGCTGTGCTGTCATATGATGTCTCTCACCTGGTTTAATACATTCCTAATGCTGTCCTGGAATTCTTAATACCTTTTCTTTTTCAAAAAAGATCTTGCAAATTATGTGGCAGTTCTTTCTCTCTCCCATTTCAAGCCAGCATTCTGGACTCCCTCACCTAAGGGGTAGTCAGGTTGCAGGAAAATAGTAGAAGTTTCCAGAAGGTTATAGCACATTCTGTCTCTGGAGGGAGACAAAAATGGGAAGGAGGGAGAAAAGAAAAATGAGGTGAGAAGCTGGGACTTAGGAGAGACTCCTTCCAGCTGGGGAAGGCAGGGAGGTTAGGGGTTCTGCCAAAGCACCACCTCCTCCACCACCACAGTATCTCACAGAAGCTTCTGGTCCCTAGTGGACAATGGCTTAGTGTCTGCAGTTTGTGTGTGTGCTTAGCCTGTCTCCTCGACACCGAAAATCTTCCAGGGGCATAGGCTCGTTCTACATTTTGTTCAACACTGCATCTCTAATATCTAGGGAAGGGTAGCCCCTGGGCCCAGAAATCTCACCAGAAAAATCTTTCCTGTAACTAAAAAGCAGCATAGATGGAGGACTTCAAGGCCCCTGTGGGCACAGAGAGTCAGGGATCACTCAGGGACCCCAGTGTGAGCCTAGGACCTGGAGCCCCCAAATACATTGTTCTGTTCAAGAACCCTGAGAAATATGTGCAGAGAAAGACACTCCAGAACTGATTGAGATTTAATTCAGAACTGGGATCTAATTTTACTTAACAAGTAAATAAGGACATAGGACATTTTTTGCACACTCATGTGTGTAGCTAAGATTTATACACCTGTCCTATCAGTAGCCCAGGGTGCCACTCCTCCTCTGTGTGTGAGGGAGCCCTTGACAGGCGAGGGGAGACAGGGAGGTCACGTGAGCTTTCTCCCTCATGGCTGGGCATGAGGTCACTGCAGCTGGTGGTCTTGAATGCACAGAGTCCTCCAGCCATGCCCCCAGCAGTCCGGGAGCTGGGGAGAGTCATCCCTGTTTATTCTCACAGAGTGCCTCCCCTCCCAGTCCTCACCTCACAAAACGCGCACCCGATTGCCTTGCTGGGGGAGACAGCATGTTTCTGATGGAACTCAGAAAGCTATTGAGCTCCCAAGGGGAAGGGTGAGATCTGGGAGAGATGGAGGCACGGAGGTTCCAGTCCCCTTGGGATGAGCTGTCCCTCCCAGGCAGGCACTCATGGTGGCTTTCCTAGACTCCTTTGATCAAAGCATGCTCTTGCAGCAGCACATGCACGGCCTTATCCTGCTGCCTGTGAAATGTCCAGCTAAGCTGCCCTCTCTCCTTCTGACCCTGGTTGTCACTACAACTCAGATGGGGACCCAGCTTCCAGAAAGTTCTTCTGAACCCCTAAATCTTCCCCCTGGGAAAAGACTACATCTAAAAATAGGTAGAATCATCAGTTTTCGATGGGGAGATTATATATCAATTATGCATATTTTTACTTAATTACTTTTGTTTGTTTTCCTGGTTTTCCAAAAGTTCGTGTCCATTTTACATTTGAAAAAGGAGAATATATATTTTGGCATCATCCTTGAATGGCATGAACAATCCCTTGTGAAGAAGCCCCAGCGTCCTCCCATGAGTCCGGACCACCACCAGCACCAAAGACCTTGCCGGAGAATCTGGGCTTCGAGTCAGCTGAAATGTTAAATGGGCCTTTTTGCTATTAAAACTTCCCCCCCGCTTTGACTTAAATATAGTGGTGAGTAGCGCTGGAATGAGGTTTTTGTTCACCAAAAGTTTCTCCCAGAATAGAAACTGCCCCCAGTATTTTTCTTGGGAAGTACATCTATCTGGCAATGGTCACTGTTGACATTTTAAGCTAATGCACTCTGCTATGCAAAGTTAAGCCCAAAAAGCAAAGAGCTGTTTGCCATTTTGTGTTTCTTTTTTTTTTTTTTACCCAAACTCTGCCAGCTGGGGTAAAGACACCCTTACTAGTCAAACGTGCTCAGCACTTGGACTCTTTGCTTGTAAATTCCTGACACTCCAGGCACTGCCCGGGTTGGTTTGGCATCGTGGCCTTCAAGCTGGGGCAAGTGGCCCAAAGCCTTTCTTATCCTTCTCTCTGGCACTTGCGGCCTCCAGCAAAAGAAAAATTAGGACAGTGTTCTTTGCATGAGGATAGAGTTTCACATGCTCTGGTCTCTTCAGAGGGGCACCACTCCACAGATGAAAAACAGCCAGCCAAAAATTAAGCAGCTGGCCCCTCTGTCAATCCAAGTTCTGGGGTCTGGGGCCTAAAACACAGCACCTGTTGCAAGTAAGCAGTTGCAATGGTCCTGCAGCTGTGGGTGCTGTTATGCAGCCATCTCGTAGCAACAACACAGCAGTCGTTGTCAGTCTGACACGTGAGGATGGCATAATAAATGCATTTTGTCACAGCTCCTGCTGCCCCCCAGAAAGAAACCCTGCACAATTTAACAGGATCACTACAAGTCATCATAGAGAAACACTCATTTGACTGGGTCGATTAGCCTCTTGGACACCTTTCTACTAGGTTTCTATGGTTACCATGTTCATTATTTTTGTAGAACAAAACAGCAATTCACAATCTGCAAACCACAATCTCCATCAGATGCTGCAAACCCAACCCCCAACCCTTCCTGCTTTCCTCTGGCATCAGTAACCAGGATGATAGGAAAGTGCCCTGGAATGAAATCACTAAGCATTTAGGCACTTCACATTCTCTGTCCCTGCCGGGGAGAAGCCTGCAAGCACAGAGACAGGCAGGGATCCCAGGATCAAGGGGGCTGGAGAGGGGCAAGGGGTCGATATCACACCCAAATCTTTGGTAATACTTGTATGTTCATCTTGGCTTGGGATCCAGAGTAATTATTTTTTATCCTATCTACCTCTGTTGACATTTTGGCTAGATTGCTTTTCAGATGAAAAAGTTTTATTAAAGAATTGCTTCTGGAAAATAATTTTCAAACCAGTTCTGTGCATGTCGTGATCAAATTCAGGATAACATTGCAAACAGAGACTGTGAATTCCTGAAAAGATTTGGAGTGTGTATTATTATCCGTGTCTCATCTGCCACTTGAATGCAGACGCGGAAAATCTTGGGCAGTGGCCCTTTTGTCAGAAGGAACTAAATGGTACCGCCCTGCTGGAAATGATCCCGGCGGCAGCCCCCAGGCTCACAGCTAATTCAAAACATGAAATGACACCCCAGCATCCAGAATTGCAGGGCCTGTGCTCTGCTGCCTGGGCCCTCCACCAGGTGCCCCTTTCTGTGGCCTCTGCTTTGTCAGAGACATGCTGTGTAGAGCAGGGAACAGGCAGCCTTGACATCCTTACAAAGCACTCTCCTTGGTATTGTTCCTCTTATTTTATTAATACAAACTCTCACGCCTGTAATCCCAGCACTTTGGGAGGCAGAGAAGGGCAGATCACAAAGTCAAGAGATCGAGACCATCCTGGCCAACACGGTAAAACCCTGTCTCTACTAAAAATACAAAAAAAATTAGCTGGGTGTGGTGGCACGTGCCTGTAGTCCCAGCTACTTGGGAGGCTGAGGCAGGAGAATCACTTGAACTCGGGAGGTGGAGGTTGCAGTGAGCCCAGATCACGCCACTGCACTCCAGCCTGGCGACGGAGCAAGACTCCATCTCAAAAAAAAAAAAAAAAAAAAAAAAAAAAAGACACTGAAAGGGCACTGTCTTTTTAATTAAGTTGTTCTCTCTCCCCCGTGTCTTTAGTTCTATACAGAAAAAATGTCATATTTTATTATGCTCTGAAGTCTCTGTTTTAGTTTACTCTGACAAAGCTGTTGCTCAGAGTAAAAGTCAGCAAGTCACCCAGCCATAACACACATTGTCTATACCAGCAGGGCAAAGGTGAAATAATCCAGGGATTGTCCCCAACTCTCTTCTGACATGACGGATGGTTGGCCCAGTACCTGATGGTAACAGGAGCTACGACAAGCAGGAGTACTACAAGATGAAGGGAGATTTGGGACGATGTTTGATCTTTGAAGGTCACCCTTCCTGCGTACGAGGCAGAAGTCAAGCTGACGTCTCTAAGCTCCTCTCCTGGTTTTGAGCAAGCATGTTCCAGGAAGCTGATTTGTTATTTTGGCAAGTGACTGTTTATCATGATGCATTTCGGGGGAGTTGGGGGTCAGGTTTCCTGTTGCAGGGAGTTCTGATAGTTCCTGATATTTACATACATAGGTCTTCAACTATTGATGAAAAATGTAATGTGGGAAGGTGAATTTCAACCCTATGTGGTTGAAACTCAACAAAAAGAATATATAGAGATAAAAAGCTGGGGAGAATGTAGTCTGTATATTACGAGGATTCTTTGAATCCATGCATAGAAATTTGTTGTCTCCATTTTTCTTCCACACAGAACACTTAAAATTCAAAAGTCAGGAGAGGCAACTTTGATGCTGAGAGATGAGCTCTCCATGACATCTCCCTGAAATAGTTCGGATTTATCCTGCAGCCGCAAATCAGAGTCATGCATTACTTCTTTCTGAAAAACAAATTTAAAACCACCCGTCATTCCTCATCATTTGTACAAAAATCCTTATGAAAATGATTAAAGAAGGTAATGGAAGCACAACTCCCGCGTTGGTAAGGACAGAGCAAAGACCTTCCATAAAAGCTAGTTCCCTTCTCCTCCTTTTGAAAACCAAACCAAACAAAAATATCTGGCTGAAACGACAGTGAAACAGCAGAAAATTATTTACCTTCAAAATTGCAGACAAAATAACCCCCCACACACAGTTCAAAGAAATGAACTTGTAAATATTGTGACTTATTAAAACAACAAGGCTATAATTCACTTCACCTCCAGAAAAAAATCAAAACAGCACTTGCTTAACCTCCACAAGAACCCTGAGAAGTTGGCAATGCAAAGGACAGCTCTTTCTGCAGGAGCAGCAGGGAGAGGGAGACTTCGCCTCATGCATGTTTACACAAGGCTTAAAATAGATTTTGAGTGCCTAACGCTGCTCAGCGCCTTAGTGTAACTCCAATGCCAGCCTTCCCAGCAGCCAGTGGACTCCGACCTTGATCCCTGCACCGGTGCCAGGCAAGCCCCAGGAGCATGTGCTACGGAGCCAGTCCACAGAGCTCCCTCCTCAGGGACCCGACACCAGAACTGGACCTTCATCTGGCTGTCCCCAGTCACTCCCAGCGCCTTCTCAGGCATTTTCACTTTCTGGGCAGAAGGAGAGGTGGGCTGTCTCTTCAGTCTCAATACCCAGCTGTCCCAGCCAGGCATGGAAAGTGAAAGCTTGCTGCTGAGAACCACCCCGACTTACAGGAAGGAGCCCTGAGGTTTCTGTGACCCCAGGCCCTTGACTGGAAAGTGGCTACTGAGGCTGAGTGTCTCCTAGCCCTGCCCTGGTGTGTGCCTCCCTGGGGCAGAGGGCACATCTCAGTCATGCCCCTCTCCTCGGGAGGGGGAAGGCCCCACATGGCCCAGAGGTACTGGGGGACCAGCTCAAGCTCCTTTTGCCACAACACTTTTCACCAGAAAACTCTAAGCCTGCAGGGGCTGCCCCTCAGCCAGCTCCTGTGCACAGGTCAGGAAATCAGAGCCGCTGTCAGGCAGGGCAGGCCTCAAGTCCGTGAGCATTTGCCAGGTCAGAGCCTTCTCAGAGCTGTGGCCTGCTACACCCTACCTGCTAAACCTGCATGGAACCCTGGGCTGATCCCCCTAGGTCCATTTAAAACCTGGAGCTCTACTACCAGTTCTAGCCCAGGCAGCGCCTGCCAGCCATCGCAGAACAGCTCAGCACAGCCTGGCAAGGCCAGCAAGCCACTGGGCAAACCGGTTATCTCAGCAGGGCCCAGCAACAAAACTTTCTGCCAACTCAGGTGAAAGAGAGTGAGTACATGTCTGTAATGTCTCTGTGTATGTGTGTGTACATACAACACACACATACAGACATATATATACATATATATTGAGGTATATCTGCACATATATATGAAAGTATATATTTAACAGTAAATGTCCCACAAGTACAGGAAGCTGCATAAAGCAAACATGAAGTTTAATGAAGTCCTATAAGGCAAAAATGCTTGTAACCCCCAGCACCCACTCTAGAGCCTTCCCACCCCCCTACAGAACCCCACTCCCAAATCTCTCCTCCCTCCTGGGGCACAGCTGGGCTGAGTCTTATGGCCATTAGTTCTCTAGTTTTCTTTGTCATTTTATTACCCAAGTGAGATTCATCCTCCATGGAGCATAGTGTTGCCTTTTATCTTTGGCTATGCCTGATAAGTCAGCAAGTGCCCACGCCTGAGGTAGACATGGATATACATATATGCATGTGTGCATATGCATGAGTATGAAAGCAGATGCTGTAACATGCTTAGAACAGAATCCACACTCCTCTCCCGTTCAGGCTAGTGCCCTGCTATTTGGAACGCCATTTATTGGATAAACAACAGACAAGTATAAATTAATACCATACTTTAAAAAAAAAAACTGCATGTGGTGCCTCAAGCCTGAGCCATTAGAACAATTCCCCGAGTATGAGTGTGAAGCTACTCCCAGAGCCAGGAGGCCTCCATGTGTATCTCCACCACTCCCTCTGCAGCCCCATGGGTGGTGAGCCTGGGGACCCCAGTGAAACCATCTCCAGCTCCTACCAGATTTCCAGCTTCTTGAGGAAGGAGGCCGGCAGGGCTCAGTACATTGGCCACAGAACGCAGCCGGAGAAGGAATCCAGGGTGGTCTAGGCCAACCCGTACCCCCTTGATGGGGTCGATTGCCAAATGTCTGTGAATTTCGGGACCAGTTGTTACACACAGCCATTATTAAAAATTAAAATGAATAGATTTGCAATAAAATAAATTATATTAAAATTCAAGATAATAACCCCCACATTGTGTTATTATCAGTGTTCTCTAGGCTGCGTGTCTGTTTATCTGTCTGGTGATATATGTACGTCATCGTACTTAAGGTAGTGGCTCTGCACACCCTTTCCAACTCTGTTTTTGGTGACATGGCATTAGCTTTCCATTGGCTGTCATGGGAGGATTTATACCACAGACAATGACAAATATTACAAACCAGGTGTCCCATACATAAACACAATATACATCCATCCATATGCATATACCAAGCACACATATACTTACATGCCACACTTATATGCATGCACCACACAACACACACACACCACACTACACACAATACACTGTTGGTTCCTCCCCCAAATCCTCTAAGATTAAGAACTGGAAGCCAAGCATCTTTTAAGGCGGCCTTCCCAACCTGAGACCTTGGGTGGCCTCCCAGGTCTGAGAGAAGTTGGGATGTCTCATCCCCACCACAGGGAGGTGGCTCTGGGCAGGGCCAGAACCTGATGCGGGGCTAGTGGAGGCTGCAATGTGGTCAGGGATGGCCTGAGAGGGCTCAAGGCCCTCTGAGCAGAGCCCTGCTCACACCCAGGGTCCTTCAGTCAGGCAACAGTAGCCCAAGGTTTTCTTGGGCGATCTATGTCCCTGGCAGCATCTGCCCCCTTGGAATTGCAGGTGGTCTGCAGCACCTCCACACCTGGAACCCCACGAGGAGCCTTGCCTCTGCCTTCACAGCCTGTTTTTTGAGGACAACAAGGGGGCTCTGCCTGGTGCTGGGGATAGATCAGGAAAATGCCCCTGTTCATCCATCTACCTCCTGATCTCTTTTCATCCCAGACTGGCACACAGCTCCTGGAACCCTGGGAGTTTGCTGTTTTCTGTGTGCTAATGAGATGGTGGGTGGCTGAACTCTAGACAGTTTCAGGATGGCGGCTAGTGGCCAAAAAGACCAACCATGATGCCACTTCATCCCCAACCCAGAGAGGGGGGGAGCAGCTGGAGACTGAGTCAGTCACTAATGGCTAATGATGTATCAATCACACCTACATCATGGAACCTCCACAAAATCCCCAAACAAAGGGGTTTGGGGAGCTTCCAGGGTGGTAGAAGCATCCACATGAAGTGGGGAGCTGTGCACTGAGAGGACAGGGAAACTCCACACTTGTTTCCCCAATACCTTCTCCTATGCTTCTCTTGCATTTGGCCACTCCTGAGTTTATCTTTCATAACAAAACCATAATTGTAAGTAGAGTGCTGCCCTGCATTCTGTGACTCATTCTAGCAAGGGATTAAGCCTGGGAGAAGGTCATAGGAGCCCCTGATTTCACAGCCGGATGACCCTTGGGCCTTGTGGCTGGTGTCTGCTGTGGGGCAGAGTCATAGGACAGAGCCCTTCACCTCCAGTGTTCATGGCATGAACTTGTTGGACACCCAGGTGGCGCCGGATAACTGGAGAACTGAGAATTGAGAATTGCCACTTGCAATGACACCAGACAAGTGCAAAGTCAGACAAAGTCCTGTGTCCTCTCTAAGAAGGCCAATGCCCCTAGTTATTCTTTAAGCCTGAATCCAAGGGTCTCTACTATGTCTCCTTCTTGGCTGTGGAAGACAGCCCCCTCCACCCTCCCATCCCACTCCCCGGCAGTCCCCAGAACATTTCCATGGCATTTATCACTACAGAGAGGTTTGGATAGGTCTAGGAAGTTAAGACCTCCATAGGCCAGGTGGACCTGGGCTCACCCATCCTTTTCCTGCCACCTGTGCCCCACCCACATCTCCAGAGCCCAGACCCCAGGTCTGGAGCCTCTTCTCACAAATACACCATGCCCAGCCGTCACACCTGGGACCCCATGATGCTGTATGTTTCCTGCTGTGTCTCCCAGCAGACTCTGCTCCACCACTGCCACCTGGGCAATTCGCAGCAAGTGCATCCAGACCACAGGCATTGGCAGCAGGGAGTCAGGCCCGGGGCAGAGACAAGAGCCAAATCCTGATGTTGACATGCAAAGGATGCCACACCTCCAGGGACATCCAACAGGCAGCCAGTTCCAGCCAGTTCCAGCCAGTTCCAGGGGATGAAAATACAGAGATCCTTTACCCGCCTCCACCCCCTCTCCAAGCAAAATTGCCCAGTGCTCCTTTGAAGACTCCGAGGTTGCATCTAAAATGCTTCTGGAAATTACTGTTTGAGGTGTCACCCACCTCCCACATCCAGCCCCTCACAGGCACCTCAGTTGTGCAAGAAGGAGGAAGAGCTGGGGGAAAGATTAAATAGAAGGTGTTGGCGGGAGTAGGGGGAAGATGAAATGACAGGAAGATAAACACGGGGTCCTACACCAATGAGACCCAGGGTTGGGGCTGGGTGACCACAGCCAGCCACTTGATGTCTCCAGCTCTCTTTAAAATAGAGACGGAGTGAAATCTTTCTTGTTGTGGCAACAAAGTGAGGGAGGCACGAAGAACCTCTGTGAATGTGATGAGCCCACTGAGGAGAGGCGAGACCACCAGGGCAGGCGGGGCTGTCCTCACCAGCTGGCCCCCTTGGGCCCAACACCCCCCTGCCTGCCCTTCGGCCCCTGCCTGAGGGAAAGAGGAGACCCCAAGAGCAGCCAAAGACACTGAAAATGAAACACAGAACAAAAACATCAAGACCAAAGCAGAATGGAGCAGTAGTGTGTGAGTCTACGGGGCCATCCTGAAGGGTGAGGCGGTCACTGACAGCGGGGGTACGGAGGCACAGCCGCAGTGTCAGATATCTGTGCCTTTGTCTCATCCTCTGTGAAGTGCCGATAAAACACACATTCAAAATGTGACTTCTGCCCTGTCAGTGACTCCCTAATCTGGGGAGGCAGGCTTCAAGATGCTTTCAGTCCCTGGGGATGTTTGCAGACAGAAGTAGAGAGACATTGTCCGTGGAAAGCCATAATCATCTAGTATTTGAATGTTTCCGAAAAGGCTTGTTTTCGTCTGAAATGACATAGCTGCCCCTGTCGGTTTTGTCCACCCTGTATGTCCTGTTCCTTTCATTCTGGAAACACAACAAACCGTGCGTAAACAAACGTGGGCAGCTCTCTACGCAGTGTTCTTTGAGCCTGGTTCACACTGAGCGGCTCCCACAGCTGATGCGGAGTCCGTAGCTATGGATCCTGGACAACAGGTCACATGTTCCAGGAGGATTCTAGCAAGTTCTCCCCATACCCAAGCAGCCTGTGAGGCTAATGTTCAGATGAGACGGCTCTGTGGGAGGCCACAGCCTGTGCTGTGGGAGAACTTTCCCAGGCATGCAGGGCAGGACGGATCCATGGAGCCCACCATTTATGTTTCTTAGTATTCTAACCAGATCCCTCAGAAGTCAGATGCAGAGAACACAGAAATCAACCTGTGTTTCACAGCACACTGATCCAGCTCTCTGCATAAGGCAGTGGTTTTCAGACAGGTGCATAAAGGGCTGTGCGAGTGATTGCTAGAATGCAGATTCCCGGCTCCTCCCCCAGAGATTCAGACTTGGCTACTCTGGAGTGGGGCCGTCCTCATTCATTCCCCGCTCCACCACTGACCTGCGTGTTTCTGTGTAACCTCTGTGCACCTGAGGTCTTCTGAATGAGGGGTACTGACTGGACATGGAGATACTAAGGGCCTTTTAAAAATCTATTTTCCAGGTGCTGCGATGGTTCAGTAATGTAGTATCTCAGGCCTGGTGCACAGTATGTGGTCAGGGTGCATTGCTTTTGTTAGCAAGATAAGGTGTCACATGCTTCTTGGATTCCAGGGATTCTTTCCTCTATCTGTCTACAACTGTCATCCTTACCCTGGTTATTGGATTGATCCCATACATGGATTTTGGGAGAAATCCTGTTGAGACAGTGTCCTTGCAGTTTCTGTCTCTTAGCCACAAGCCTGGCCCTCTGCCCCTCCCCGACAGTGACGAGACCTAATCTGCCCTTTGCCCTGTCAGGCCACCATCAGGAAATAATTTCACAATTCTAGTGGAACAGCAGGGGCCCCTTCACAAGACAGTTATGTAATAGAGCTCGTATTTGCAAACAGCCTGCCTCCCTAGCTGACTTAAGCAGGAAAGGAATTTATAAAATGACATTAGAAAGCTTCTATCTCAGGAGAGCTCGAGGATCACATGAAGACGCTCTGGGCCCTGGTGACACAGGTGGCTCAAGTAAGGGACACTCCCCTTTGGCCTCTGCCACTGCTGCCCTTGAATTTCCTGCTCCCCTGCAGGAGTCAGGACTCTGCCTCCCAGGGTGTCAGGCAATCTGGACTGGCAGCTTGCAGGGATCATGTGGGGTATGTACCCCAAGAAAAGTGGGGTGCTATTGCTAAAGAAAGGAGGCAGAGGTGCTGAGGCCACACACACATACACATTTGCACACTCTCATACACATGCATGCACACACACATACACAATCATACACCCCCAATCACAGACACACTCATACCCTCATGCATGTACTCATATACACACAATCACTCACTCATACTCACACACATACCCATACACACTCATGGATATACTCTCACACATTCATGGTCACACTCACATATACATACTCTTATACATATGTTCACACACTCCCTTACACACTCACACACACACACCTACACACTCATACTTATACACATGCATGCACACAGCCATGTACAATCATACACACACACTCATGGGCACATACTCATGCTCACACAATCCCACATGCACACAAACATATATACAACATACCCATACACACGAATGCATATACTCTAACACTCATGCTCACACTCACATACACACTCACGTATACACAATGACACACACACCCCATATACACATTCCTCATACACACTAATACACACACCCTTATGTACCCTCACACACAATCACATATACACAATCACACACGCACACATGCCACACACATACATACCCTTATACACACTTACACACATACACTTCCTCATAACTCACACATACCTGCTCACACACAGTCACAGATACATACACAGACACACACCTGCACATACACACATACACACGCTCACACTCATGCCCTCTCCAGCCCTTGCTGTGCTCCAGCCCTGGGCACGGCTCAGGTGCAGGCTACAGTGGATCTCCATGACTGGAAGCCGGTGGCTGAGGGCTGCGTGGAGCTGACAGTGAGGCAGCCGCTAGAGCTGAGTGTGGCCCTTGTGAGGACCAGAGGTGCCACTCGTTTCCAGGGAAGGAGAAACAGAGAGTGGAGCAGGATGGATCTGTACCACCTGCTGGCTTTCAGTAGACAAAGTAGGTCACACGACTGAGAGACTGTTGAAAGTCCCTCTGGGAAGGCAACAGTCGGAGACAGCACTTAACGGAGGAGGGGCCCTTGGGGCCCTGAGTGAGGGAGGAATTGCTGAGCAGGGACGAAGCACAGAGCCCAGCCCGCTTGGGACAATTTCAGGATTTTTCTAAGCTGTTTGTGAAAGTTGTCTATTGTTGAAAATTAAATTATACAAAGTTACAACTAAACACATTATATTAAAACTTCCAGCTTGGTGCTGACCTTGACCCGGTGTGGCATGTCAGCATCACGGCTCCTCCTCCCGACTCTGCCGTCAGTGAGGGAACTGGAATCACGGAAGTCAGCAAAGGCTACAAATTAGGACTTCTGTGCTCTTCTGGAGAGCCAGTGAGACTCCTTGATCAGCACAGCCCTGGCTGGAAGGCATATTATTGCAGGTTACCTTCAGCTGTCCCAGTCATTCCCATGGCCGGCTTGGGACCTAGGCTTTGGGCTCCCAGCTCCCTTCTCATGACTCATGGACTGGAGCCTGTTCTCATGTGGGATGGGGGCACTAACTCCCCTGCACTTCAGGCCTTCTCTGTGCAGGATCTGAGGGCTCCAGCATCCAGAGAAACCCCTCAGGCCAAGAGCCAGAGGCTATGGGCAGGGTACGGGCAGCTTCAGCTAAAAGGACCTTCTCCAGTTCAGCCTCCACCTTTCAATGTGCTTTCCCCCTTTTATCCCTTTTGTGTTCCTCCTGTGACCTGACACCATCCACAGGTACCATCCATTTACAGGACTGTTCACATCCACTCACCCCTACTTCACACATGTGACCCAACTGCCCATTGGCTCAGCTCCCTCCTGGCTGCCTCCTGCGGAGCCCTTTTCACAAAGGGAAATCTGTGCCCTGTGGTCACAGCAAAGCCAGACATCAGATTGTGCAGGTGGGATGGAAAGAATTGAGCTCAGAATTCTCTGGGGGCTTTACAGATCACAGTAGACCTGAGCACAAAGAATCCAGCACTTTCCATCAACTTCATATGCTTTTATGTCAAAATGGTCTCTAGCTGAGCACACTCCCACACTTCACTTACAGACACACCAGCATTGTAAGAAGACAGCAGACAGCTAGTGAGGGGCCAGGTGAAGGTGACGCTCCTGGCAGGGACCTGGCCAGGCTCAGTCTGCAGAGGTCAAGCACATCCTCTTTCAATGTATTTCTCTCTCATCTAAGAGCACAAGCTTAAGATCATTATTTGATTCAACCATGACTTTTCTTGCAGCCCTAGTGCAATGTGTTAACAAGCTCATTCCATTAACTAATTTTCTTCTTTTTACAAAGAAGTACAGTAGCCCAGGAGGAAAAAAAAAAAAAAAAGGATGCAGCACTTGACTCAGAGGAGCCACACTGGGCTTTCTTCCAATGCAACTGCAGGTAGCACTTTGAGAAAATAAGGCCTTTGGATAAATTTGCCTGAAACAAGTGATTCCAATTTCCCCTGTTACAGACGTGGTTCTTGACTCTCTTGGCAGGTGAGTGAGTCAGATGGGCAAATTAATCAGATGGTGAACGCCCAAGACCCAGCTCCAAATTCAACAACACCAGTTGCCCTGAAACTATCATTACATGCTACAAACCCAAACAGGCCTGAACTCCACAACCCATTCCCTGGGCAGGCACCAGTGCCAGGCGGAAAGTTTCAGGGAGTCAGCCCGTCAGAACGTGACCTCCCTGAGTCCACACACACCCAGGCGCCTCAGACACAATCATCATTATTATAAGAGCAGCAACAACAAAGCCTGCCTCTATAGGCTCTCTGCCTCCTCCAAGCTCGGACGCATATTAAATTATTAATGCTAATGGGGCCTCCCATGTTGCAGATGAGAAAACAGAGAGGTGGTGTTTTCTGAAGAGCAAATTGTCGATTGCATTACAATGATTAGAAATTGTGGCTGATATACCCCGTGACTAGACTCTGCAGTGATTTTAATATTTGAAGACTTAAACGTCTTAATTTCAAGTTAGAGGCCACTGCTAAAATTCTATGAGGACTTATATGCATGTATTACTCACTATCAAACTCCACTTGGTCCCTGATTTCAGAATGCAAGAGATCAGACGTCTGTTTAAGTGATAATCTGCTTTTTTATAGCATTGTGATATGGCAAAATCTATAGTAATTTTAACTTATTGGTATAAAGGGCAAATAATCACTAGTGATTTCATTCTGACCATGACTCTTATCAGTCATGCTGTTGTTGCCAAATAAACCCAGGCATTGGCTATTTGCTCCAATCAGTACTCATTTCCTTTCTTCTCCTGCATTCAGATCCAATCTTTCCACTTTCTACTTTGCCTTTCATTCTGTCTTTGTTTTGTCTTTTGACTTTCTAAGCTTGTATCCTTTATAACCTATACTCCATGGAAATAAGAACAGGTCTAAGCAGGAGATGCTGATGTGGAGATTCTGAAAGAGACTTTTAAGCCTCTTCCACACTCTATCTTCTTGGTTCACAGAAACCTTTGTTAGTCTGGAAAGTGGTCCCCGTCTCCCACAGGAAAACACTTACACACAAGTGAACAGGAGGACAAGGAGAGGCCCCCCTCTGAGGGTGGGCATCCCCTTTCTTCATGCCCACCTGCCTTCAGGAGAGGCCCTTTGTGGTTCAAGAGCCTCTTTCCCCAAGAGTGACAGGAAGGAGGGCAGGGAACGAGGAGAATTTGGAAACATGGAGGCAGAGGGGTTGGCCTGGAGACTGGGGATATCCCTGATTCTGGGAAGGGGTGTGAGTCTGGGGGAGCCTCTTGGGGAGGTCGAGGTCAGTGCTGGAACTCATAGGACCCCAAGGGGAGAGACATGGCTGCCTTGTACACCCAGAGGGCTGGACTGGGCTGCCCAGGCTGCAGACCCAGACAAAGACTTCCGTGCCCACATCAAACCCGGAAGCTCTGTCTCCCTCTGCATGGGCATCTTAGCAGCCATCCTGATGGGCCAAATACCATAGTCCCTTACTGTGTTTCCTGGGCACGGTGTCAGGCCCAGAGGTACACATGGGAGCCAGCTGCACATGCTGAGACTGAATTTCTTACCAGTCAGCTTAGTGGGACTTATAAATATGTTTTTTTGTCATTTAGAAAAATAATGTGACATTTCTTGCTTTTGAGTACAGTGGAATGTTTTAACTAGGATCAAATTCAACTACATGGAACTAGAGTGACCTGATAGCAGCTTAAAGAAGAGAGGGATTATTTTTGTCTCATATAAAGAAGTCCAGGCCTGGTGGCTCAAGCCTGTAATCCCAGCACTTTGGGAGGCTGAGGCGGGTGGATCACATAAGGTCAGGAGTTCAAGACCAGCCTGGCCAACATGGTGAAACCCCGTCTCTACTAATAATACAAAAAAGTTAGCCAGGTATGGTGGCGGGTGCCTGTAATCCCAGCTGCTCAGGAGGCTGAGGCAGGAGAATCACTTGAATCTGGGAGGCAGAGATTGCAGTGAACCGAGATTGCACCATTGCATTCCAGCCTGGGCGACAAGAGCTAAACTCCATCTCCAGAAAAAAAAAGAAAGAAAGAAAGAAAGAAAGAAAGAAAGAAAGAAAGAAAGAAAGAAAGAAAGAAAGAAAGAAAGAAAGAAAGAAAGAAAGAGAAAGAAAGAAAGAAGGAAGTCCAAAGAAGGAAGTCCCAGGTTCCTTCTAAAGTTCTTTCACCATCCTCAGCGAGTTACTTCTGACCTCAAGACTACTTCATGGACTGCTGAAGCCTAAGCCATCATGTCTGCATTCCAGACAGGAAGAAAGATAAAGGCGAGAGGACTAAGGGGAATGTGCCAGTTGCCTTTCCCTCTTTTAAGAGGCTTTCCTGGAAGCCTCAGCCAACATCTGCTACTTAAATCTCAGTGGCCAGAATTTAGCACAGTCACAAGTGTCTGCAATGGGGGCTGAGAAATTTGAATTTTGTAGCTGGACTCATTGTTATTTCAATAAAACAAGGGTTCTGTGGCTAAGGAAGAAAAAAAGAGATAGGTACTAGATGGACAAATGACACTCTGCCCACAAAATTAAAATTAACATTCATATGTGTACGTACAAGTCTATTGGCCTCAGAAGAAAACCTCCTTACTTAGTGATGGATAGTTCTTCATTACCTTACTTTATTTTTATTTCAGAACTACTTGAATTATGGTGGTATTACAGAAAAGATTCATAACATTTACTTAGCTATTGATAGTGGAAATGACTTACACTACTCATCAAAAATATCTCCAGGATTCTGTGTTGTCCTCAGTGAAGAGAAGTTGTCCTCTAAACTAGCACGGGGCCAGCAGCAGACAGCAAGACCAGGATACATTTTGTATCAAATATAAAAAAGAAGATGCTTTCAATTCCTGACATGCTTTGAGGTGGTGTGTCAGTCCTATACTTAAACCATGATAGGAGTAATATTCTGATTCAAAAATAGAATTGAGTGAGAAAAGGAAGACAGGTTTTACTCAAGTAGTTAGATAAGATTTCAAAGAGAAAAAAAATGAGAAGAAAAATATTAAAGAGAATATTTTTGCCCAAGTGAATATTTAGAAGTGAAGTTAGTTTAACTGTGACAGAGCAACAGGGGCTCAGTCATTATGTCCTTGAGGGGGAAGGGAGCAGGGAGGTTGAGGGAAGCCCCCAGGCAGAGCGCTCCCCAGAGGGTTGGTGGTGGAAGGGAGCAGGAGGTGGTGTGAGCCACTGGGAAGGCTTGGCTGCCACCCTCTCACCTGGGAACAGCCAACCCTTCCTGGTGCTCCTAGAAAAGAAAAGCCACAGTCTCTTCCCATTTACAGAAAGGAAAAATCCAGGTGAGTTTGTATTCAACCAAATGCCTTTTTGCCAACATAAACTCTTTGCATTAATTTTCTGGCATCTGATATGCCTTTGAAAATTGCCAAATACGTTCAAGGAGAAGCTATTTCTGCTCCTTGAGAAATCCTCCCCTGTACTCACACAAGAGTAGCTATAGCTAAGGGCCTCTTCTTTGTCACTGGGGGCCATGCAAAGTATCTCCTCCTCACCCCCCATCACATACGATCAGTAGGTGGCTGGACATTGCCTGGGGGCAGACATAGAAATTGACTTGCACAGCAGGCATGAGTGGGTGCCATGTAAGACGCAGGAGCCTCATTCCCAAGTCTCACCCCATAAGCTGCTGCACCTAAAACCACCTTTCCTCTTGCATGGTGAGACTATCATTGCGACTTGGAGGTGGGTTTGGGGGACTTGTTCTATTGGTTCACTAAAAGTCCTTTTATTGGGACAAATGCATACTCCCATGGAAACATCTTATTACTTCGGCACAAAATAGGAGAGTGGAAGAATAATGATAACAGAACAAAACAGGAGCAGCTAAAACTATGCTGAAGGGCCAGGAAGGACCAACTTCCTTTCAGATAAGTTTGTACTTATTTTTAAAAACCTCATGTCATAATACAGGAGTGCAGCAGGTGGGGAAACAGGTTGCCCGTAGCAAGTTCTACTCCTACCCAACACTGATTAAGAGGCAAGTGGCACCCACACCATAGGTCCAAATATTTTAAAGTTATCGATCAAACTTACAAACTGCTAAATAGAATATGTCCTTTTCTTCCACCTTGACAAATATGCCTTCATAATGACTTGGACACCCAGAGCTGAATCTAGAATTTTCTTTCCCACTGGAGGTGTCAGCATGGGAAGATCCAGTCCTCAGCTCTCTGGAGGGGACAGTTTGGTGAGGGAGAATGGTCTAGAAGGTGACTGCAGGTTCTTCGTAGGCCTCTTCCTTGGGTTCCATGGATGCCTCACTCAGTGGTCTCTCTTGCCAAGGTCTAGGGATGATACTGTCCTGGAAGATAGGATAATTGCAAGAAAGCCCGTGAGTAGCTGCCCAACCTGTTGTATATGCAAAAAATTGAATTCAGCGCACTCACCCATATCACCAAGGTTGGAGGAATCTCAAAACCCTCCACAAAAGTGATTTAGCTAGATGTTAAAGGATGGATAGACCTGAGAAGGAAGGCTTAGACCCCCAGGCAGGGAAGTGTTCAAGCAGTCTGGCTACCACAGGCGTGGTGGGAAAGCGTATTGGAATTCAGAATATAAGATGGAAAAGGAAGGTTGGAAAACCTGGTGGAGAGCCTGGGTTGCTCAACTGTGGGAGTGTTTTGAGCTGAACTGCACCTCCTCCTGAGATACGTATGTTGAAGTCCTAACCCCCAGTGCCTCAGAATGTAACCTTATTGGGAAATAGGCTTTTGCCAATGCAGTCAATTTAGAATGAGGTCCTGGCAAGTGGGTTGGTCGGGGGCAGGGGCAGAGGGGTGGGTGGTTAATCAAATATTACTAGTGTCTTTGTAAAAAATGGGAAATTCAGACACAAGGACAGACACAAACACGGAGAATGCCAAAGACAGAGACAGAGGTCAGGGTGATGCGTTCACATGCCAAGGAACCCACAGGCTGCCAGCAAACCCCCAGAAGAGAGACCTGTGCAGGTTCTCTCTCACAGCCTCAGAAGGAACCCACCCTGCCAACACCTTGATCTTAGACTTGCAGCCTCCAGAGCTGGGAGATGATGAATCTCCGTGGTTTAAACCACCAGGCTGTGGTGCTCTGTCACAGCAACCCTAGCTGACTGACACAGGGAGTTTGCCTGTGCTCTCAAAGCATGGAGAACCATGAGAGGAACACAGAGGTGACATGTGGAAGTCATTTTCTGGGATGATTCATGTGGCAGGTGTGAACAAGTGGAGGGAGCATGGGTGGAGTCAGCAGTGGTGTCTGGCTGGTCTCCCAGCATCAGCAGAAGGGTCCGTGGCTCTCTGCAGGTGGAGGGAAGTGAAGGCCAGCCATGGCCGGGGTGGTTCCTGTCTGCTCATTGCCTTCCACCATGACCATTAGCACCCTGGCAAAGAGCAGAGCCGGCAACAATGGTGTTTATAGCAAGCATAAGGCCTTGGAAATGCAGAGCGGCTCACTGCACCAGCAGTATCACAGCCCCTGATCCCTTAGCCTACAATTGCCTTCTCTGTGGATGTGGTGATGGAAGTACCAAAAAACCTTCCATAAAGCAGGCCATTTAGGAGGGCCTCACATCTTCAATAGCACAGGATTCAGGGCTGTCTCACTGCAATGTCAGTGCAACAAGAATGGAGTCTGGCAGAGAAGGGAGACACCACAATGGCATCTTACCTAAACTTGCACTGTCACAGGCTTACCATGAGGGTTACGGCTACTCGCCTCCAACCAATAAGCAAATAACTTGGGTTGACTCCCAGTGCCTGTTGGAAAATCAACTTGGTTCTCTGTCTTCACATGAATGTGGGTCCATCAAAGACTTTAAGAGGAGGGGGTTATGTGAGGATGGTTGGTATGAGGAGTTTGCAACACTCTCCTAAAGCCAGGGAAGAATCAGTAAGACCGGATTTCACAGCAAGAGCAACAGCAGCATTTGTCACGTCCCTGCCTAATGAGCGTCTCTGACCTCCATCACTGTAACAGGCACCTGATATGGCAGAAATTTGATAATGCCTTGGGAACATAGGACTGAACATCTCAGGGTTTGGAACAACCAAAATTTAATTCCAGCCCATGGAACATGACAATGCACATCGCCAAGGCTCCCTGCTCATCACTGCTGCTCAGAGGCCAGGCCAAAAGGCCCCAGTTTGAATGCTGGCCATGTGGCAGGCCAAAGAGCTCTGTGTGACCTCACATTGAAAATCAAATGCACATCCTTGAGGTGCTCTCTGCTCCTATCTCATGACCACAATGAGTCATGTGGCACCCCAACACCCCAACAAAGCCAGAAATAGCAAGTCTTTGAGTCTTCCTCATGGAGAACAGAGGTCAGCAAGGTTTTGTGATCAACATGGACAACATCCCCATAATCCTGCAAGATTGGCATTATCCTCTTATTTCACACAGGAGGCTCAGAGGAGCTACGTGACTTGCTTGAGTGAACATTTAAAGTCAGGCCAATGGATTTTTTCAAGTGCATCTTTTCATTCTAATTTGCTTCTCTCTCTCTCTCTCTCTCACACACACACACACACACACACACACACTTCATACATATACCCATATATTCTCATTTCCTTTCCTTTTCATTGTGTTTGGGCAAAACAGGATTCCTAAACTTTAGATGGGTCTCATTCCTCTGGAGGTTGCTCTGTACTGAGATGTGCATCTTTACAAATTGAAACTGATCTTGAAATACTCAAAATACTGAACTCAAAATAGCTCAGTTCAAAGTTCTGTCAACATAAGAAAAAATAAGAAGACTCTAATTTTGCACCATATCTGGGAGTGCCATAATTTTGTGTAGCATCAAAAAAATTAAGAGTGAAAATAGAACAAGTCTTAACCCTTGCAAATGTTCACTCTTTGTACAGTAAAAAGGTTGTGGCTTGGTTCTTTGGGCAATTATGTCATTCCCCACAGGACTGACTGTCTGGTTCAAGTGCTGTTTTAAAACTGAGCCTTTAGTAGATGTAAGCAGGTTTTAATTTCAAGGTAGAAAATTGTTAGGAATGATGAAATCCAAGCCAGCATGTGAAATATTAGGAGTATTTGTGCTTTAACGTGTATAGCTCCATTGTCAAGGAACCAAAGGCAGTGAGGGAGGATGACTCAGAAAATACATATTCTGAATAATCCTGACATCAGAGAGAGCTGACAGGAAAATGCCTTTGATTACTCAAAGACAATTTGGAAAATATCAGCTGTCTATTCTTGCCAGAATTGCAAAGGACTTTGAAAAGATCCTTTTGGATGGAGTGGTATGAAGGGAAACAAAATCAGGGTGGGATGGTGAGTGAAGCTCTTCTAAGAAGCATTGCTGCAAAATGTCAGAGAGATGAAAAAGTAGTGAAGGGGAAGGTGAGGTTGAGACAGGAGGTTTTCTTTTGCTGCTGTTGTTTTTTAATGAGTAATATTAGATTTTGTATTTTATGACTTCAAGTGAAATGTGGAAACCTAACTTCCATTTAGGCCTCTTTATGGTCCCATTTTTAAATATCATCTTGAGTATCAGATAGTGTTATGTTGGTTTCACTCATCAAATATGGTTTCTAAAACTCACAGATAAAAGCCTAGTCTCGTTTGTGTCTCCGTCTACCTGCCTTTTCCACTGTTCCTTCCTCCTTTCCGATAACTCCAAGATTCTTCGTTTCAGCTTTTCCTTTCTGCTTGAAGAGCTACCTTTATCAATCACTTGGGGTAGGTCTTTTAGAGACAATTTTTTTAGTTGTCCTTTATAGGAAAACGTCTTTATTTTCCCGAAGGATAATTTCAGTGGGTTTAGACTTCATTATTGACAATCCTTTTCTTTCAGCCCTTGAAAAATGCTGTACCACTTTCTTCTGGCCTCTGTGGTTTCTGATGAGAAATCTGCTGTCATTTGAGTGGGTGTTTTCCTACAACTGATGTGTCATTTCTCTCTCTCTGCTTTTAAGAGTTTCTTCTGTGTCTTTGGATTTCAAAAGTATAATTATGACGTGTCTTGGCATGGATTTCTTTAGGTGTACTCTATTTGGGATTTGTTCAAAAAGCTGAACAAAATATGTAAACAAAGAAAGAGTATTCAAACACACAACAGCAGAAAGTCCCCAAATTTGGCAAAATATATAAACCTTATGTCCCTGAATACTCATTCAGCCTCATGGTCTCCTTTCCTTCTGAGACTCCCAAAATATGAATGTTGGATCTTCTGTCAGAGTCCCACAGGTTCCTGAGGCTCTCTTCATTTTCTTTTTTCTAATCTATTTTCTTTCTGTCGTTCAGATGAGGTAAATTCTATTTCTCTGTCTTCAAGACCACTGCCTGACACACTGGCAGACTGCAATTGGGGGAACCTGAATAGGATTGGTCTGTAGAATCATTGCTCATTTGAGATTTATAGTCATGATTTAAGATGAAACCAGTCAGTCCGGTTGAGTGATTGATACTTTTAAAATCAAGTTCTGCTTGGACACAGACAGAAGGAAGAAAGATACTTACACTAAAGCAGGTTAGGGTTTGGCAGGGAATTCTACTGGAGTAGAGGGCATCGGGAAGTTGATTGTAATAACAGTCCACAGAGGGAGTGAAGGGATTGTCAAATGGAAGATCTCAGTGAAGTTTAAATTGCTTTGGAATTGAAAGAATAGGAGGTAACACTCATGTTTTGAATGCTCAGAGTTGAGATCTTATATATTGGTAAGCCCAAGATCCCAGATATGATGGAGGAGTGACTGGTGGAAGTGGGAGGGAGGAGAACATAGATGAAGAGAAAGCAGTGACAGAGGAGTAGATATCTGGCCGACCACAAGACCACCACTATAATTTATCTTCCAAATGGGGAGGCATGAGAATGAAAGTGGTGCCGATGATAATTACTTCAGGACAATAGGCCTAAGCCGGGACACTCCTAGAGAAACCATGACATATGGCCACCCTAGGCATCCATGAGGTTGGAAACAACAGTGTAGATGATGATCAGAATGTAGATCATGATCAGGATGGAGTGTGCACAAAGCTGTGGCTGGATCTAGTGTCTGAAATGACTGAGAAGGACCAAGTAAGGAGACAGTGGCAATGACCAGGGCAGGGGACGGCAGAGGCCAGTGACACACATCCTTGAGCATCAGGGACTTCTGGTTAGGAGAGAGGGAGAAGAAAGGTTTGGAAGGAATATAAGAAAGAGGAGAAACCAACTCCACTTCCTAATCCTGATATAGGCAGTGTGTGAGAAAAAAACCCTGCATCTGCAGTGACAGAATGTTCCCAGAGAACAGCCAGGTGTCAAAAGGTGAGAGCAAAGATCAGAGGAGAACTTGATGGGACACAGGGCAGAATCCTGGGGACATGCACTGTACTCAGGCTGGCCAGAAGATGGGGGTGGAGGGGAGGGATGCACCGTAGGGTCAGATGAGAACTTGCACAGGACTTGGGGGCATGACATTTGGAGTAGCACCCTCGGACGTCTATTGGGGATGGATGTAGATGGGGATGAGGCATGTGAGCCACAGATGGGATTGATCAGTCTGAATGCTGAACTCAGTCATGTGGCTCCTATCATGCTGAGCAGGAGCCAGGTGGTGTCCACCAGAAGAGCCCATGCTGTTGTGAAGGCTCAGGGTGATGTGTTCCAGAGTAATCCTGGCCTTCTTCATGCCATCTATTAACTCAGCATTTTTCTTTAAATCCTAAAGGGAAGCTACTTGGGAGTCTGAGGTGGGAGGAACACTTGTGTCCAGGAGGTTGAGGCTGCCATGAACACTGATAGCGCCAGCACACTCCAGCCTGGGCGACATGGCAAAACCTTGTCTCAATAATAATAATAATAATTATTATTCTAAGGTAATGCTCAGTTTCTGTTTTGTTCTCCAGGCATATTTTGGTTTACCTTTAAGTGAGCTATGGTGTCAAACATGTCCTCCTTGCCCTCAGGCTTTATTTTCTTAGAATTTGGGGATTTAAGACTCACCTGTTACAGCAATATAACCAAAAAACAAATTTTAAGTAAGCCTACAGGATGCTATTTGTCTGGCTGGCTGAAAAAACCTAAGTGTTCTGAGAAACCTTTCCATCACCACCAGGCATGGAACTGCTACGGAGAAACTGCCAGATGGGAAAGTGTTCATTAACAAGACTTTAGCATGTCGGGCTGCACGATATAAAAGAATATTGATGTCTTCCATCGAATGCATCTCCCAAGAGAAATCAGAATAAATAAAACCGTCTCTTACTGGCTCCAGATAAAAATTTCCTGATTTCCCAAATCACATTTGAAGGGAACAAGGCAGGGTAAATTCTGTTGGTCCCCATAATGTGGTCAGGACTTGGTGAGCAGATGGAAGGAAGGGGATGCAGTTTCCAGGAGCTGCTCCTCCCTGGCATCTATTCTGTGTGAATGGCAGCCTCTCAGACAATGGTTGTGAATGAACCTAGTTTAGGATGCTGGTCTCAAAACAAATCACTTTCTACCTGCCCATCCTCCCTAAGTCATTGAAGACACTTATTATTAGACAGATTCCTAAATCCTGAGTGTTCTTCTTCTAACCTTGTGGAAAAAGTTATAAAACTGGAAGCTCTAAATATTTAAGAACAACAAGAGTTATTTTAGCTGACTGTTTAAATTTTTCTTCGTGTTTATTTAATTTTCAAAGGCCCTCCATCATTGCCCTGTTAGCTGCTCCCACCTCCTAAGCCTGCTCAGTCTTTGTGACAGCTGATGATGGATTGTCCCTATAGACAGTTTAGTTAGCAATTGCAGATTGTAAATGGCACTCGTTCTTCCAAATACTTCAGTCGTCTAGCCATGTACACCAGCATCATTCTGCAGCACACGAATGAGGTCATGGCAATTCTAAAGGTGCCTGTTACCTGGGCATCCACTTCAACACCCACGTGATCCTAATGCTCTGAGGAGGTGTCAGGCACTGGGAATTTAGAGATGGAATACACAGCCCCCATTCCCACCATCTGGTGAAGGTGCACACCTGCTTTGTGGTCCCTGTCCTTAGTGTCTTTCTGGGACCCAATTTTAATGACCACATGAAATCCCATAGCTTGTCTGTCTAATTTCCAATGTTCGCCTCTTTAAACTGTAGTCTAGCTACACTTATCTGCTTATATGGTTCCATCTCTATTGTATTTCATCTATCCAACCCTTTTGTGTAAGAAGGCAGGATATGAATGAATTCAATGTAAACAGATACTTTCAATACAACTTGATAGCTGCTATAATAAATGAATGCCTGGAGAGATTTCAGAATCCTGGGGACTTGCACTGCACTCAGGCTGGAGATAAGGGAATGTCTTCCCTAAGGATTTCATACAAATGAAGGGTAGTGTGTAAAAGGGTCAGCTCTTGAAGACATGCTTTCATGTTGCAGTAGCTGGGAGCACTTCTGTAAGGGTGCTGTATACCGCCAAGGTAAGCAAATGGCAAGGTGGGAGTCTGGATTGGAGGACAGATCTCTGATCACAATCAGTCCTAAATGCCATTGCTAGAAAATATAAATATCGTCCAAGGGTGCAGGGCAGTCATTAAAAAGATGCAATGCAGAAGGGTGGCATCATCAGATCTGCACCTTGGGAAGATCCTTGACATCGAAGGTGAAAGGAAAAAGAGAAGGATTCATTTGCTATTGCAGAAATCACTTAGGAATTCATGCTGTACTTCCACTGCAGGTAGTGGTAGGGTAGGTAATTGGGACCATCCCCAATTGAGATTGGGATCCCACTCCAAGGAATGCACCCTAGGTTTCTCAGACACATACCAGGGAGTGGAACTGCAGTGCGTCCTGAAGGCAGTGGTGTTATGATCCACTCTAAACTAGGAACGACCTAGTGTACCCCAAGTGACAAATGGGAAAAAAGCATGCTCTGTATTAATGCCATGGAACCCTACACAACAACGACTGTGCTTCGCTGCATAGATGAATCTCAAACTCATAACTGTGAATGAAAAAATAAAATGAAATGAAAATGAAGGAAGAGAATACATACCGTTCACAGAGAGGGAAATTCAGGGCACGTGTCAGAGAGGAAACTAGGAGAAAAGTAAAGAAGTGATCACTCTTAAACTGGTCTAGGGATTGCCTTCAGAAGGAGGAAGAGGATGTTACCCAGAAGAGAAAACTCAGAACCTTCCAGAATTCGAGGAATGTTCTTTTGCTTGACCTGAGGACCGGTTACTTGGCTGTTTCTGATATACTATGAGGTTGGTGCAAAAAAAAAAAAAAAACAAAAAACAAAAACATGATTACATTTGCACCAACCTAATATATATGTGAATTTTATGCTATTTTCTTGAGTGTTGTATGTCATGGTTATTGTAAATGGTTTTTTAAAATGTGAATGGTAAGAAAGGGTGGGAACCCGTAATAAAGTAATAAAGTGAGATATTTTAGAACAGAATCCGTAGGGTTGGGTGAGTGACTGATGGAATCGAGAGGCTAGGGAGCAGCACCTAGAATCACCCTGAGGTGTGTTATTGAACAGCAGGTGGGATGGTGGCTTTACTCACCACATATGAGTTATGTGTGTAAAGGGTCAGCTTTAGGAGCAAGTCTAGTGGACTCAAACAGAGGAAATCATGAGTTAGGTTTTAACTTGTCTAGATCCAGATGCTCAGGTCTACTAAGAAATTGGATACTGGCCTAGGGCTTGAAACAAAAGTATGGTTATGAGTTTTCGATTTGAGAGGCATCAGCATTGGCAATCAACATAAGACGTCAAGAATGCAAATGGCTAAAAAGTGTGTGTGTGTGTGTGTCTAGATTGATTAATAGAAAAAATATATAAAATCAACATAAAAAGCTCTTGAAGAACTTCTGGAGTCTAAACTTCTAGTTTGTAGTGGAATGGTGGAGACAAAAACAGTATATTACAGAGCTAGAAATAAAGGATCAAAGTGAAAGAGGAGAACAAAATAGCTGCTTTTGAAGGTCCCTAAAGGGAAGGAGAGGGGAGGGGATGTACCTATGAAGGGGTATGAGTTCTCAGGAGAGTTCTTTCTGGTCTGTCTTTAGCTATGGCAGAGGCTGTTACTACTGGGCAGAGAAGATAATGTTGCAGAAGGGGCAGGAAAAGATGGAATCCAAACCTCAAGTGTTGGTGCTCCTCTTGAACAGGGAGAGAAACACCCTCTTACTGCGGAGAGAGGAACAGCAGCTTGGACAGCCGATGCAAGAACAGGAAATGGGATCCTAAACCTTTCTGGCTGATTTTAGATGGCTGCAGGAGGACAGAACGTAGAAGTCCTAGGAGATAAAATCAACAACTTAAACGACTTTGAGCAACTTCACTCCCTTCCAATCTCAAGTCTGTGTACTTCCAACATTACAATTTATGCGAATTGCCACTTTGTAAGGGAAATGAATATTTGGGAAAAGAAATAGTGTAGCATCCATGGTGACCTAGTTGTTGTTTCTAAAATCCAAATAATTTAAGTTTTGCAAAACACTAGTGTGGTCAAAGAACAAATATGCACAGTAAAAAGCAGCAGATTTCACTTTAAATATGAAATATTGAAAGAAGAAATGAGCAGCGTTGCATCTGCTCTTTCTTTCTTTTATTTCTTTCTTCTTTTTGTTTCTCCTTCCTTCCTTCCTTCCTCCCTCCCTTCCTTCCTCCCTTCCTTCCTTTTTCTTCCTTTCTTCATTTTTCATTTCTTTTTTTTTTATTTAGAAAGTATGCATTGTTCCAAATTTTCCCTTGAAGTCTATTCTCAGGTTTGCAGTTGACATGTACAGAAAAAGGAATTGATAACCTCATGAGAAAATGGAAAAAGAAAACAGATGCTTATTACTGTCTCACAGCATTGCTGTCCCCAAATTAATTAGACCAGGAAGCTTGTAGGTTGACAGCTTATCTACCTTTTAATTCTGACCAAGGCAAGACTGAAATTCCTTTGAGAGAACAGGGGCGAGGGGGCCACTGAATGTATTACAAATGACCTGCCGTTTGATGTGTTACCAAAATCACTGTCAATTTTTTATTCACCTTGGATGAATTGTATTGCAGAAAAGACACATGCATTTAATTACTGGAAGTTTGGAATCTAGGGATAAATTTTCATGCATTCATTTGCCATGATTTTGAAAAACAAAAACAAAGTAAAAACTCTAGTACTACAAACAGTTTAGAAACCAAAATGAATCACGTTTTCAGAAAACAGACCCACTGGATGGTAGAATTAAAGGTAATTTTAATTTGCTTCTTTATGCTTTTGATTATTACATGATTTTCTTTTTCAGCAAGTATTGTAACTTCTATAATGGAAAGAAAGAAAAAAGAAAGCAGCTACAGTAGCCACATTCTGGATTGCCTTCCACTCAACCAACCCAGTCAGATGCCCCACTGGTCCTCTGAGATGCTTGCACACCTGTGTTCCAACTAGCTGGGCTGCTGTTGTCCTATCCTTGTAGAGCTCCTGGATGCTGACATGCACCTACTTTGTTGGACTCACAGGCATGGACTTCAGCAGCTGAATGGTGTGCTTAGTGTGAAGGATATTAACACAGAGGTGTGCAGTGGGCAGAAGGGCCCTGCACACAGCCAGATCCTCCTGCCAGCTGAGGACACCAGACGAGTTGGCAAGAAAGCCCATGCCACATCTAAAGCCCTGATGGTGCCAGGACGATGTTCTCCAGGACTCACCAGCTGCCCTTCCTACATCTGGCTGGAGCATCGCAAACACTTATCTGAACATATCCAGCTTACATGGGTGAAGGACTTGAAGGACTATGCTAATGGCATTCACAGTCTGGGTATATTTCCACATCAATACCCATGAAGCCCTCAATTTAGGTTTCCCAAGAACTGGTTGTGCTTTTGCTAAACGCGCTTATGCTGCTTCTACTTGATATTGGTATTAATTCAGATAAGCCAATAACAGCGGTAATAAATACTGAATGAGTGCTTACGGTGTGCAAAGCTAACAAAATTCATTTAATGCTCATAACAATTCTACTATGTATGTACTATTGCTTTTTTTTCAGATGTAGCACATCTGAAAGTAACATGCCTAAATTCACATGGAGTGCCAGGTTCAAAACCCAAGTGGTCTGGTTTGAGTTTCCCCCTGAAACACCATGAAGAACAGAATTAAAGCAGTTGGGCTGTGTTGCATTTTTCCCTCTATTATGGGAGGGTGAAGGGAAGGTCCTAGAGGAAATAAATTAAGGCATAATTCTGGGCTTTGGGGCAAAAAGACTAATAATATTTTGCTTGGAGAATATCTATCTGTGGAATACTTCAAGCAAGATATCCATGACTTACAACGGCTTGTGTAATCAATTTACATTCATGCAGCATGGCTTCTGGGGAGAGGTCACACAGGACTCCCCTCTAGAGAGTATCCAATGAACTCATAACTTACGGTTCTCCCCGTTATGTACTACAGTTGTTTTTGCATCTCCTGCAGCTTCCTGTTAATTCTTAGTCTTGTTACCATTCAGGTGAAGAGTTCAGCAAATGCTTGTCTTCACTGCCCCCCTCCTTCCCACCCTGTTCTCTGCAAATGCTGTCCCCATCTCCCCAGTCCTTAGGTCCAAAGTCTGTTTTTAGGTCTGTGAGATTTCTGAAAGCTCTGCTGGCTTCTGGGCCTCTCCACAGCCTGCTTCTGTCCAAGATGGTGATGTTCTCGGCCTCTTGCCCCATCTGCCAAAATTAACAGATGTTCCAAAGTAACAAGCAGCCCATTAAAGCTCCTCTTCATGCCACACACTCCTCTCGGATGTGGGCTCTGAGGAAGTGGCTCCTGGGAGCTGCCTCTATGGCTCTTCAGGGCATTTCAACAGCTTCTTACATTTTATCTGGCTTTTTCAGTGGCTCTGGGCAAGAACATTGGTCTGCTACAAACTATTTCATCACAATCAGAAGCAGAACTCCTATATTTCAATTTGGAAAAAAAAATAAAAAAGAAGTGACTTATCTACTGTAGTACTTCTACACGTTTTAGGTTCCACGAATGCAAATATATTTCATTTTCACTTTGAGTTTTTTGTTGATACAAGGTTATTGTTCTTGTTTTGAAAAACTCACATGATCTTATTGTCCCTAAAAATAAGACAATTACTCTACGGAGTCATGAATTGGTAGGGCTGGAAGGAAACTTGGGGAAATTTAATAAAATGTTCTCATTTTTAAGGTAAGAACTGATGGGCCTAAAACACAGAAAACTGAAGCATGATAAAGCCTCAAATGTTTCTTCTACTTCTCTAGCTTTCAAGTTCTTTTCTCTCTCTTCATGTCTTATGACTTCAAACATTTGAAAAAATAGTTCATATGGGTCATGAATGAAGTCATCACGTGACTTAGCAAAATGGAGGGTGAAATACCAAATAGAATGTCCCTGTACCTCTGGCCTATTTTGCATATGCTGTTGTCCAGACACCCCTATGGCCAAACAGAGTTGCCACTGAGCACCCCTACCTGCAGACATTTGTTTACACAAGAGATCCTCTAACCCATAGGTTTAGGGAAAAGCAAAGGTGCTTAAGGCAGCCAGCATTCTTCAGCTCTTGGACTTAGAAGCAGGAGCAGGGTCTCAAGCCCACAAAAATGTGTTGTGTGTGCTGGGCCTACCTAAGCCCCCATGCTGGGGAATACAACAAAGTGTTGTAGACTAAAAGAAACAGGAAAGAAGGACATCATCTTCATCTCCTTCCTCCCTTACTTCCTGCTTCCAATTCACCCCCAAGTCCCATTTTAATTGCAAAATTAAAAAATAAAATTAAACTATATTTAAAATTAAATTACATTAAATATATTAAAATTAAAATTAAAATATATTTAAATTGCAAAATATATCTCAGGTTCCCCCACTTTTTCCCAGTACCACTGCTGCAACCCCAGATCCATCCTTCTTTATCTCATGCCTGGACTGTTGCAGTAGCCACCTAATGACCTTCCTGCTTCCATTCCTGTTCCCCTTCAAATTATTCTTCTCCCACGTTAATATTTTGTAACATATCTACAGTCTTGCCACATCCTCACTTAAATTCTTCAGAATATGCTTTGCATATGGAATATCCTCCAAGTTCACACCTTGGTCCACCCTTCCCCCTCCATGCCCATCTCATGCCACTGTCCCTGCAGGGCACCTGCGTTGTGCACCTGCCATGCCAGCCTCTTCTGTGCCTTCTGTATGCTTTTTTCCACTTCAGCATATTTTCTCTAATGAGAAGCCCTGCACCCACACCAAAAACACTCATGTGCATGCCTTGCTCCATACCCTACCAGTCTCAGCTTAACTATCATCTTCTCAGTATACCATCCTTGACCCTCCCATTGTCTCTGTCATTGACATGGCCCATTTTTTTCAGAGCCTGTCTCACACTCCTATTCCTTCACTTTATATTCCATCTAAGCCATTCATGTTTCATGATGTCAGGAGCATGTCCATTTTACCGCCTTTTGTGAAACAAGCCCCCTATTGCCTGGCGTTCACTAGGTACTCTCTAACGGAATGCACTTATGGATAAATAAATGCAGGAAGATATGGGAGGATATGCTCTTCACTTCCAGAGTTGACTGGATTGGGTAAAGTTTTCTTCCAGAAATACTGTTCAAAGGTCTGGAATGACTTGCCAAAAGATGGAAGCAACCCAAGTGTCCATCGACAGATGGGTGGAGAAACAAAATGTGGTCCATTCATACAATGGAATATTATTCAGCCTTTAAAAACATGGAAATTCTGACATATGCTATGTAACATGGATGAACCTTGAGGACATTATGCTCAGTGAAATAAGCCAGCCACCAAATGACAAAGACTGTATGATTCCACTCATAAGAGAAAAGTCAAATTCACAGAGACAGAATGTCGAAGGGTAGATCCCAGGGGCTGGGGCAGTGGGGAAACAGGTGGTTAGTATCTAGCAGACATAGAATTTCAGTCTTGCAAGGTGAAAGCATCCTGGGGATTGGTTGCACAGCAGTGTGTATATACTTAACACTGCTCAACTATACATTTAAAAAATGCTTAAGATGGCAAATTCTACATCATATGTATTTTACCACAATTATAAACAAAAATGTAAAAAAAGTGATGAATGACATAAAAACAGACATTCTACATATTACATGTTTGTAAGAATATAGAGAAAGACATAGGTCTCCTGACCTGGAGAAGGAAGATTGAGGAAGGATGAGAGGAATCTTAAGCATTTTATTTATACTGCCTATATTGTTTGATGATTACAATTTGTTTGTTCACATTCTTAGAAAAAAGTCCTCAATAAAGCCACAGATCCCATGAGAAAGTGGCAGAGGCACAAGTGAAATCAGGTTTTAAATGCATTCCTTTTACTCTCTTACCAGTAGACACACTCACAACTAATTTTTCATAACAGGCCATGTCACAACACTGGATAGGTTCTCTTGGCCTAAAAATGCCTATTTTGGTCACATATTGTATGGGCCTTCCAGTGAAGAAAGGGACTTCTCACCCCTGTCGAGAGAAATAAGTGTACTAGACTCATTGAGTAGCAATCCCCAAGTTGGAGAATATTCCTGAAGAGAAACTTCAGGAAACTGCAGGTCATTTTTTGCCCCATGTACTGATTAAAGCCCAATGCCCATGTAAGATGTATAGAGGTCTAACCTGCTACCCCACTGAAAGAACGAATCTCATTTCTCCAAAGTAATATTACCAGCAATGCAGAGCCTCCAGAACAAGTGGGCAGTAGGTATTTGAAGTCTGCCAAGGGGAGTTTGTAAGTTTATTTTTTTTTCTCAGGAGTAGGAAAATTCTATTCTACCCTACTGTTTCAAACGCAGTTTCAGGATGAGTAGATTTTCCTGCTAAACTGCTGAACATGATTTATTTGTTTTTGCTTTTGTTTTTTGAGACAGGTTTTCTCTCTCGTTGCCCAGGCTGGAGTGCAATGGCACAATCTCAACTCACTGCAACTTCTGCCTCCTGCGTTCAAGAGATTCTCCTGTCTCAGCCTCCCGGGTAGCTGGGATTACAGGCATGTGCCACCACACCTGTTTAATTTTGAATTTTTAGTAGAGACAAGGTTTCACCATGTTGGTCAGTCTGGTCGCGAACTCCTGTCCTCAGGCAATCCATCTGCCTCGGCCTCCCAAAGTGCTGGGATTACAAGTGTGAGCCACCGTGCCCAGCCCCTTAAAGTTATTAATATACGGGCCATCTCCCTGTGCAGAACTCCTGTGTAGAGATGGCAACGATTCTTGCAGCAGGGATAACCCCTGGATTAGGAAAGAAGGGAGGGAGGGAGAAAGGAATAATAGCATGCACCAGGTAAACAGGTTGGAAAGGGGGGTAATTCTGGACAGATAATCGTATAATAATCATGGTCCTTTAAGAAATCTTATAAAATAAGTGCTGCTTAGCACAAGATGTGTAGGAAAGGGAAGAAAGTTAAATGAGGCATCTAGACCCAGGCATCTACAAATTTGGCAGAAGCTTCATTTGTTTTGAAAATTAAAAGAAAATAATTTGTGGCCAGGTGTGGTGGCTCACGCCTGTAATCCCTGCACTTTGGGAGGCCAAGGCAGGTGGATCACGAGGTCAAGAGATCAAGACCATCCTGGCTAACACGGTGAAACCCCGTCTCTACTAAAAATACAAAAAATTAGCCTGGCATGGTGGTGGGCGTCTGTGGTCCCAGCTACTCGGGAGGCTGAGGCAGGAGAATGGCGTGAACCTGGGAGGCAGAGCTTGCAGTGAGCCAAAATCACGCCACTGCACTCCAGCCTGGGCGACAGAGCAAGACTCCATCTCAAAAAAAAAAAAAAAAAAAATGGTGCAGCACACCAACATGGCACATATATACATATGTAACAAACCTGCACGTTGTGCACATGTACCCTAGAACTTAAAGTATAATAAATATATATATATATATTTTTAATTCTAAAAAATAAAAAAATGTAAAATTTAGGAAGAAAACTCCCTTTGGAGTCTTAAAATTTTGTGTTAGCAATTGTTTAATTTCTAATTAGGTTAAAATTAGGAATTATCAGGGGTAACTTTTGTACTCCTAGATTTTCCCAACCACTCAAAACTTACGTTTTGTCTATTTTCAAGATTGATTGTATTTTAAAAATCTTTATCTGTAGTTATGTTTGACTTTCGTTTCTAGTGTTGTTTATTTGTGACTTACCCCCTTTTAAACTCCATTTTGCTAGGACTGGTCTGCCGATGCTTGCAGCTATCACCTTCTGAATTCCCTTCCTTCCCCATCTCCTAAGTTTGCTGGGTTGTTCATTTTCTAGTCTTCTGAGTTGGATCTTGGCCTGTGAATGTCCGTATTTCTTTTTTGGCTTCATGTTCCTCTCCACACACCTCTAGCTGCATCCCACATGCCCTGACGCAGGGGTATTTTCAGTGTCATTCAATGCTAAGTATTTTGTCCTCTGCAATTGCCATGTAGCATTTTCAGTTTCATCGCAACAAACCAGGATTTTATGACATGAGGGCTTCGTGTCTGTGAGACACGCACGTGTACGGCTGTTCCCACTTCGCTCAGCCCTTCACCCTCGCCAAGCCCTGGTCTTCTCTTTGGGCCTGGTCTTGTTTTCCACACAGATGCCTGGACGGAGCCATGTGTCCTGGCCGTATTGCTGGCCCACTGGGCAGAGTGCTCAGTCCCATCACCGAAGCGGCAGCGCCTGCAGCCCTGCCTTCATGGGACACAGCTCCCGCCTGCTCCTTGCTAGTGTCGACTAAAGGTAAAATAATCAAGCTTTTAAAGAATTAAAGTGAGTTTTATTCAGAAGTCTCGTCGAGGGCTACACACAGAAGCCAATAGCCTGGGAGCAGCTCTTTAGAGAGGATCTATCAATGGCTCTGGCCAGGGTTTCAGCCCATAGCTCAGATACAGGTGGTAAGGATTCAGTACGAGCAAAATCCCATCAAACTTGCTCAGAAGTTATATTAAAGCAGAGCCAAATCAAGGCTTAAGTGTAAGAGTACACTTACAGGTTATACTTTACAGAGGCATAATCACTCACTGGTCAGACATTATTTTCTTTTCTGAGACAGAGTCTCCCTCTGTCACCCAGGCTGGAGTGCAGTGGCGCAATCACGACTCACTGCAGCCTCAGCCTCCTGGGCTCAAGTGATCCTCCCACTTCAGCCTTCTGAGTAGCTGAGACTATAGGCATATGCCACCACGCCCAACTGGACATTATTTTATGTGTAGGAAAAGGCAAGGACTAGGATCATGTGTGTTTTGACTATAGGAATGTAGGGACTCAGGTGAGAGACATGGAGGTGCTCTGTGCTCTATTCTGTTTTGTCTTCAAAGCAACCCACCAGAGAGCTCCACGTTGTCACAGTGTCAGGGGCTTTGTGGAATTATGCTGGCCAGCAGAAATGAGCAAATGTGGCTTCTTACCTGTGCTACTGTGTCTCACAGTGAACAAGGCGGCCATGTCCCTCTCTGAAGCCTGCCCGGATGGACTCCACCCCCGAATGGACTCCACGCCTGACCAGCGCCTAGAGATTGCGGGCAGCAGCTGGAGTTTGCCACTCCAGGGCTCAGTGCTCTTTATGCTTTTGCTGCTGGGCTCTTGTGCGTATTTTTGAGGCATCACATTTTATCCACATCTTCATGAATTTCTCATAGGAGGAGGTGGGCTCATGTGAGCTCCTACTGCCCTGTGGTTACTGGAAAGTGAAGCCCTAACAGCCACCTTCCTCTGCCTCCACCTATTTGAGATCTCAGTAGGATTGGCAGTGTCTCTACACTGGGAACCTCACTTTCCATTTGATTGATATTTTTGAAGGATGAAGAGAAAAGGAGAAGATTGTAATACATGGGTGAGGATGTGTACATATGTGTGTGTGTGTGAGAGAGAGAGAGACTAACTAAATCCTTAGTGTCCAGGGAAAAGCCTAATGCTGGAAAAACAGAGTAATGAAGCTGAGCTCCCCCTCTTTCTCAGCAGCTTTATTGATTTACAGTTGACATACCATAAAGTTCACCTTTGTAAAGTGTATGGTTCAACCGTTTTGAGTATATTTACAAAGCTATGCAATTATCACTGCTTTCTAATTTTAGAACAATTTCATTACCTTGTACCAAGAAGAAACCTCGTACCCACTAGCAGTGGCTCCTCCTTCCTCTGCACTTTGCCTTCTCCAGCCCCAGCAACGCCTACTCCACTGTCTGTGAATTTGACTCCCCTATTACCTCATAGAAGTGGCTTTTGTGACTAGCTTCTCTCACTTTTTGGCTATGATTAATAATGTTTCTATTAATACCCATTTACAGGTTTTTGCATGGTTGTGTGTTTAATTTCTCTTCATGTATACCTAGCAGTGGAATTGCTGAGTCATATGGTTACTGTGTTTAACATTGTGAGGATCTAACCAACTGTTTTCTAAACAAAGTGGCTTTTTAAAAAAAAAAATAATTTTATTTTATTTTTATTTTAAGTTCTGGGATACATGTGCAGGACGTGCAGCTTTGTTACACAGGTAAACATGTGCCATGGTGTTTTGCGCACCTATCAACCCATCACCTAGGTATTAAGCCCAGCATGCATTAGCCATTTATCCTGATGCTCTCCCTCCACCTGCCCCTAACCACAGACCCCAGTGTGTGTTGTTCCCCTCCCTGTGTCCCTGTGTTCTCATTGTTCAGCTCTCAGTTATAAGTGAGAATATGCTGTGTTTGGTTTTCTGTTCCTGTGTTAGTTTGCTAAGAATGGCTTCCAGCTCCATCCATGTCCTTGCAAAGGACATGATCTCGTTCCTATTTATGGCTGCGTAGTATTTCATGCTGTATATGTACTGGCTTTGTATTTTAAGGACTGTTTGAGATTGCACCCCTCATGCACTGCTGGTGCATGTGAATGTGAAGTAATACAGCTGCTTTAGAAAACAGCCTACCAGCTCCTCAAATGGTTAGACATAGAGTTACCACATGACCAAGAAATGTTACACCTATGTATATACCCAGGAGAAGTTAGAACGTGTATCCCCACAAAAATGTGTGCACAAAGTTCAAAGGGGTATTGTTCACAATTGTGAACAAGTAGATAGCATCCAATGTTCATCAACTGATGAATGAATAAATAAAAGGTGATAGATCCACACAATGGGATATTGTTTGGCACGAAAAAGGGGTGAAGATGCTACAGCATGGATGATCCTTAAAAACATTCTGCTAAGTTAAAGAAGCCAGTCATCAAAGACCACATGTTGTATGAAACTATTTCAGGAAAATCTCCAGAAGAGGCAAATCCCTAGAATCCGAAGGTGGAAGAGTGATTGCCTAGGGCTGAGGTGGGAAAGAGGGGGAGGGTTCTTTGTTTTGACATAATGCAAATGTTCTCAAGCGAACTGTAATGATAGATACACAACTCTATGAATACATTAAAAGTCATTAAATCGCACACTTGAAATGAGTGAATTGTATGGTGCATAAATTATATCATAAACACACGGAAAAAAAAAACACAACTAAAAACCCTTCTGTTCAGTACCCTATATCCTGAATGCTGTCACCCTTATGTGAATGAACCACCCTGGATGGAAACATTCTCTCTTCCCTCTTTCACATGGGTTGAGACACATGGGAACTTGCTTTCTCTACCCCAGCAGAGAACTGCTTTTTAACCAGCATTTAGCATTGCTGGCTAACTTTGAAGATAAATCCAATTTATCCTGCATGTAAGAAAAATTGACTATTGCCAAGGCCAAGTTTGAGAGAACAAAACTATTTCTGACTGAAGCCCTCTCAAGGATATGCCAGCCCAGCTATACTGGGGGCCTGCCTTAATCTTCCCCACTGTGAGGCAGACAGTGTGAGTACCTGTGCCTGCCTGTGGGTGGCTGGCTGAGATGGGGCAAAGGAATGGGAGGAAACTCCAGGGTGATGGACCGCTAGGACCCTCACTGCCACAACACAGGACATCAAGTCCCTGTCACTGCCAGGTGCAAGAGTGAAAGCCGAGTGGAGGAGCTGATGGAAAGGAGGTGTTGGCTGGGGGCTTCTCAGCTCTCTGCTTACTGCTGCAACACAAAATTCTGGAGATGAAGACACCCCTGTTCTCAGCCACTGACTTTGCTAATGAAGTAATCAAGGCCCTGAGAGTTGACCTGAGGTCCCAGGTGGTAATACGACTGACAGTCCCAATGTGCTGTATTCCAAAGAGCGGGTGACAAAGAGGGTGTCCTGAAACACCAGCAAGTTTCCCAAGGGTTTCTTTTTAACTCTGAACATAAGAGGTCTATATCTTTCTCTCCAGATCAAAGGGATATAATAGAGAGTTTAGAAATAAACTCATCCACCTATGGTTAATTGATTTTCAACAAGGATGCCAAATGCATCCTTATTCAATGGGTAAAGAATATTCTCTTCAAAAGATGGTGCTGGGACAACAGATAATCCACATGCAGAATATGCACAAAAATTAACTCCAAATGAATCAGCAGCCTAAACAGAACAGCTAAAACCATAAAACTCTTAGAAGAAAACATAAACATAGGATGATTATTTTTGATAAATATCTCTACGAGGAAGTCATGAAATCTGAAATGACTGAGAGTTAGTGGCCAGGCCAGATCAAAAATAATTTTTTTTTTTTTTTTTGAGACGGAGTCTCACTCCTTCGCCCAGGCCGGACTACAGTGGCGCTATCTCGGCTCACTGCAAGCTCCGCCTCCTGGGTTCACGCCATTCTCCTGCCTCAGCCTCCCGAGTAGCTGGGATTACAGGCGCCCGCCACCGCGCCCGGCTAATTTTTTGTATTTTTAGTAGAGACGGGGTTTCACCTTGTTAGCCAGGATGGTCTCGATCTCCTGACCTCATGATCCACCCGCCTTGGCCTCCCAAAGTGCAAAAATAATTTTTAACAGCTTTGTTGAGATATAATTCACATACCAAACAGTTCACCCAGGTAAAGTGTCAATCAGTGATTTTGGTATAGTACACTATTAATTTTCAAAACTGTGGTAAAATAAAATGTAACATTAGCCATTTTAGCCATTGTAAGTGTACAATTCAGTGACATTAATTATATGCCCACCGTTGTGCAATCCTCACCATTTCCAAAACTTTTTCATCACTCCAAACAGAAACTATGTATCCATGAAGCAGTAACTCCCCATTCTCTCCTCCTCTCAGCCCCTAGTAACCTCGAGTCTAATTTCTGTCTCTATGAATTTGCCTATTCTAGATAGTCCATATAAATGAAATCATATCATCCTTTTTTTCTTTTGTGTCTGGCTTATTTCACTTGACGTTATGTGTTCAAGTTTCATTCATGTTGCTGAATGTATCAGAAAGGCATTTCCTTTGTTTCTGGATAATAGTTATTATATGTTTTTGTTTATCCAAGTATTTTCTCCCATTTTGTAGGTTTTATTTTCACTATCTTGATTATGTCCTTTGATGCCCAAAAGTTTTTAATTTTGATGAAGTCTAATCTATTTTTTTCTTTTGTTATTCATGCTTTTGGTGACATATCTAAGAAGGCATCGCTAAATATTAGATCTTAAAGATGTACTCTTGTGTTTTCTTCTGTTTTATGGTTTTAGCTCTTCTGTTTTGGCTGCTAATTCATTCTGAGTTGATTTTTGTACATCTTTTGCATGTGGATACCCTGTTGTCCCAGCACCATTGTTTAAAGAGAATATTCTTTCTCCACTGAACACATTTGACATCCTTGTTGAAAATCAGTTACCATAAATGTGAGTTTATTTCTGAAATCTCAAATATGTTCCATCAATCTTGATGTCTATTTTGGTTATTATATCGTTTTAAATCAGGAAATGTGAGTTTGCCAACTCTGTTTTTCCTTTTTAAGATTTTTTGGCTACTCAGGTTCCTCTTGCAATTCCATATTAATTTAAGGATTAGTTTTTCCATTTCCGCAAAATGGCCGTTGGAATGTTGATAGGGATCTGCAGGTCTATGGATCGCTTTAGGTGCCTGGGACACTGTTGAGTATTTCTAGCTATGGCATGGAATGTCTTTCCATTTATTTAGGTCTTCTTTAATTTCTAACAACTATTTTTTAAACACTTTTATGAACCCATGTGGGATCAGAGAAAATAGAAGAAACAGCCCCTGTCTTCTAGAATGCCTCTAGGAACAAGAGAGACCATATTTTTTCCTATTTAAAAGTTAAAGCCATTGTTTGTCTCAGTGCTTTTTGGCAAGTCTTTTACTTCATATGAGCAGCCAGTAATCGTTAAAGAGCAAAGTATCAAGATGTTAGCTTCCAAATGGTTATTCCAGCATTGGAGGAGCATAAATAGAACAAGACAAGAACACCAAAAGCAAGTTGCCCCACTGTTAAAAGAAGAACCCTTAGGCAAAGCCAATATGGGAAAGATGAAAACATGAGACCACATGAAAAAATTAAAGTCTGTATAGGGGAGCAAAGTTGCAAAAAAATAGTGGTCTGTAAAAAAAAAAAAAATCTGACATATTTGACAAGTAGCTATTGTTTTCCCCAAGGTGATTATACAAATCCCTGAGACAAAGATGAACCACCACAAAGAAAACTGAGTGGAGGCTATTTGCAAATGACATGTAAAATTGGCTAATAAACAAATAAAGATGTTCTAAACCTCATTATAATTCAATACATGTGCATCTTAACAACAAAATACCATATTTTACCTATCAGATGGGCCTTGATTAAAAAGTTGACTAATGCCCATTGTATGGGTGATGCTGTAAGGAATGAGCGACTCATAATCTGTTTATGGGAATATAAATTGGTGCAACTCTGGAAACTAATTTGGCAACACACATTTTTTAAAAAAAATCCTTTGACTCAGCAATTTCTGTTAGGAAGTGAACCTACAAGTATGCTCACAAAACTATGCCAAGGTACACGTGGAAGGATGCTGTTTTCGGTATTGTTTGTAATGGCACAACTAGACACAGGACGCAGGGTAACTAACAGCAGAGTTTTAGTTTTTTGTCTGTTTGTTTGCTTGTTTTTTTAACACACAGTCTCACTCTGTTGCCAGGCTGGAGTGCAGTGGTGCAATCTCGGCTCACTGCAAACTCTCACTCCCTGGTTCAAGCGATTCTCCTGCCTCTGCCTCCCAAGTAGCTGGGATTACAGGCATGTGCCACCACGCCCAGCTAATGTTTGTATTTTTAGTAGAGACGGGGTTTCACCATATTGGCCAGGATGGTCTCGATCTCCTGACCTCATGATCTGCCCGCCTCCGCCTCCCAAAGTGCTGGGATTACAGGCGTGAGCCACCGCACCCAGCCAGAATTTTGCTTTTTTAACCATGTGTTTGAGATATAATTTACATGTGCAGAAAATATTGCACATTTTATGATGAAAATTCAGTTATTTATTAACATATTTATTGAACACTTCGGTTGATACGTATGTTATGGATGTAGATGAAACTCAAAGCTAAATTATTAAGTAAAAAAAGCAAGTGGCTAAACATTGTGAATAATGGTGTAAAATCATTCAGTGAGTGTGGATTTTTGCAGCATAGACACACATGGGCATATGTACAACATTTCTCTGGAGGTTTACATAGGAGGCTGTTAAGTAATGTCTCCCTTTGAGTGGAGGGACTAGAGCTGAGAGTGGAGGGAAGTTCACGAAAGAAACTTTTCTATGTTTCTTCATTTCCTTCTGTACTCTCTGAATTTTTACCATGTAAGCCTATGATACTTACATTAAATAAAACTTTGTAAAACAGTCAGCAAACTAGCTAAAAATGACTACTTTCCAAATTTATGCAAAATAATCATAGCTTTGGGCTAATTAGTTGACTTTTTAACATGCAAAAGTTTGTAACAGGATTAAGACCTATTAATGTGATTAATTTAAATTATTAAAAGGCACATACATGTGCACATATACATACACACACATTCATTGTTCTCTAGTTGTGTTTGATCTATGACTATAAGAATGCTATGTGTGTATGCATGTGTGTGTAAGTGTGTGTTGTATGCATATGTTTGTGGATACATGTGGGGTGTGTGTGGAGATGTGGTGTGTGGTATGTGTGTAGTGTGTGCAAGCTCCTGTGTGTGTGCATGTGGTATGTGTGGTGTATGTGTACACGTGTGTGCACATGCAGGTGCATGTGGTATGTAAGTGGAATGCATGTGTGTGTGTGTGTGTGTGGCTGTGTGTGTGGCTATGTTTGTAGATAAGCATGACTGGGGGGCTTCAGGGCGAAGAGTAGGATTACCAGCAGTCCAGGGAAAGGGGCTCCCAGGCAGAGGGAGTGACCAGGGAGGAAAGGGAGGGTGCCTGGAAACGAGCACTTACCCTGTGGCTGGGCCTGGGGACCCTGGCACTGCCACCCCTGTGCTCACCGCTGAAAATGAGCGCCACATGATCATCGGCCCTTGGTGTGGACATCAGATTCACAGTGTAGGTGGCCGTGGTGCAGGAGCATGACGTGACGGTGCACAGCCATGCCACGAAAGACAAGGGAGTTATCCTGCATGTGCCTGTTCTTCCCTCTACCAACACAAAGAAATGCAACAAAAGAAAGGAGGCAGCCATGGGCAAGCTGCTGCCAGGGCTAATTTAGTCAGAGTTCCATGATGCTTTCAACCCTTTTGTTAAATGAGAAGTTGTACCGGATGGTTTCTCAAGCCCCTTTGAACTCCAAGGATAGAGAGGCAACCTAGGACTCTTAAGGAGCACAGTGACCATTTCACCACCAGTGAAAGGGAGGAGAACAGTGGCAGAGGGTAGCCCTGCTGCAGCACTGGGGCCTGTTGGGCAACACATTGATTGAGAAACTCAGCCCCAGGCCCCACTGGGGTCCCGATAGAAGCTGCAGCCACCCTGAGCCACTAAGGGGGCCCCAGCTAGGGCACAGCAGACCCTCGTCTTGTGAGTGCTAGCAGCTCCGGAGCACAGGACAGCCTTGTGACATGTAGCTGAAGACCTCAGACAAGACCCCGAGCCTCTCAGGCCTTTACCTTGCCTTCAACAAGCTGAAGTCAGTGCAGAAGCTCCCTGGGAGCACTCCATCAACTCTGTAGTGACACTAAAAATTGGTGTCATTGGTCCCCCTTGACTTGGCCTGTCACATCCACCCAATGGTGTGGACATGGCCTTGGGCACTGATATGATGTAGCTGGGACCCTGAAATCTGGAGACCTCTCCTCCATACCCCCAAATCCAAACAGGAACACTGAATGTCCCATCTTAAGGATGTAAATGTTTTCAGCAAGAAGTTAGGAGAAATGGATGACAAGTTTCACTTCCAGATATCTGTGAAGACAGGACCTCCCAGTAAACTCCCAGCAACAGCTGCAGCGGTGGACACACAATTAAGTGCTTACTGATGAGACTGGAATCCTATTTCCAGTCAGCTGCTTGGCTCTGTACATGTTTTTCTTATGGTTTATTCTGCATAATTTCCAATCTAGCTGCCTGTTTTGAAAAAAGGGAAAAAGTCAGATCTAGAATGTTATCCAAGGAGTACTTTCACTTTCACTGTGGTTTGCTCACTTAACTCTAAACAAAGTAAGCCCACAGCACGGTGTTCAAATGGGTAGTGGGATCCTGGAGTTGGACACACCACACATACCTGCGTTGGATGACTGCTGTCCAGCCCTGAGTCCAGATGCGCTGGCCTGGGAGCCCAGAGCCCAGTCCACAAGCTGTCCTTGGAGTAGCCTTTGGACCTTTAGGGCAGCCCTGCACCTTTGAGCATTTGAGGGAGAAGCAAATGTGACAAGCTCGTTTCTAGACCCTATTTCAAAGACACAGGAAGCTGTGATTCAGTCAGAAGACGGCCCTGCTGACCTACATGCGCCAAATGAAATCTCCTCACTTAGAAGACGGCCCTTGCCCCTCTCCTTCTCTTCACCTCGGTGAGAAAGAGTCCAGAGCCTCCTGGGTCCACAAGATCTGTTCTGTCTCTGCCCTAGATTGGTTCCATGGGCCTTGGCCTCAAGGTTGGGGAAAACACAAAATAAATCCCCCATTATTTTTCAAAGCCTCAGAGCATCCAGCAACATAGGGATGTCAGACAACCCAAAGAGAAGGAACCTCACGTCTACACCCACTGGGAAGAGGGTTTCCAGTGTTTACTTCATGTTGGCCCTGTCCATGCAGAGATCCCTGAGAGGCACACAGTGGCACCAACATGACCTGCACCATACCCAGCTAGTCTCCAGGCATCCACCGTGACCCCGGACTGTATAGGTTCCAACTCCAGGAGTTTACTGGATCCTGAACAGTCTCTCCTCTCTCCTGTCACGCCCTCCATTCCTGTCTCCAGGAATCCACTGTGAACCCAAGTGGGCCCCACCCCAACTCTAGACATCCACACTGACCCCTTACAATCTCCACCCCATCCCTAGGCAAACAGTGGACTTTTTTTAGCATAGACAGACAGTAAGGCTGTTACCAGGAGAACTGCAATTTGGTCCTCAAGAAGGGAGATGGGTTATGGACCTCCATGTGCAAGCCTCATAAGGGCAATGGCCCTGCCCTCCCAAAGGTTCTGTGTCTACAGAATGGAGCTGAGGCTGTCTGTGGTCCAGGGAGGGAAGAGATGGGTCAGGAAACACTTGAGGAAGCAGCTCACCTGCTCAAGGACTGGAGAAAATTCCACATCTCAACTTCCTCCTATAAATTCACATTTTAAGAATGCACTTAAACCAATACACCTTCTGTTAATTCTTTTGTTTTGATCCTTTTTTCCTTTCTGGAGAAATTTCCAAGAACCCTGAGATAAATGCCAAAATGAAAAACTTTTACATTCCCACACAACAACTTTAATTAGCTCTGAGGTTTGGCTGTGGAGAAAGAACCAGTAACTGGTTGTATTTGAACTATATGGCCACTGTTAGTCCAGCGTCTCTAGGTGTTTGCATAGGAAGACAGGCTAAAGGAGAGCTAGGGACACTGGTAGGAAGGTGTTTCTGTTCTTCCGTTTTCTTTGGGCCTCTCCTCACCCCACTTCCAAATTGGAGACAAGCCAATTTTGTTTTACCCTTTAGTTCATTTTCCACATTAAAAAAATATGTTGTCCCAACAATGCAACCCACCTGAAATTTCTATTGTCACCTGGAGCAGGTGGTGAAGCCCAGCTTGTGGGAGCCCAGGACATCCTAGAACCTTGGGCTATGTGTAGTGTGACCTCAGCGAGCCACAGGGGCTGCACAGAGACCCCGACTCAGCTGTGCACACTAGATAGGTAGGACACACCTGCATAGGTCGGTGTCCTCATCCATAAAATAAAATGGAGATGATAGTAAAGGTCACTTAAGACATATATTCTGCGGTTCATACAAATAGAGGGATAGGCTGGAAGCTGACAGATGTGAACCCTAAAGCATTTTAATTTCCCAATCACATGGCTGTGTTATACATTCAGAACACAAGTAAATAGAAATAAAGTAATACATTTGTAAAAGATAAGCCACGGCCAGAGAGATTTGCAACATTGATCATGGACAAAGCAGTCATATAGAGAATTAATCAATAATTCCCTCAAGACCGGGCGCGGTGGCTCACGCCTGTAATCCCAGCACTTTGGGAGGCCGAGGCGGGCAGATCACAAGGTCAGGAGATCGAGACAATCTTGGCTAACATAGTGAAACCCCGTCTCTACTAAAAATACAAAAATTAGCCGGGCGTAGTGGCGGGCGCCTGTAGTCCCAGCTACTTGGGAGGCTGAGGCAGAAGAATGGCGTGAACCCAGGAGGCGGAGCTTGCAGTGAGCCGAGATCCCGCCACTGCACTCCAGCCTGGGCGACAGAGCGAGACTCCGTCTCAAAAAAAATAAATAAATAAAAAATAATTCCCTCAAGCCCATATTAAAGATATGAACAGTGAATAGGAAAATGGGCAAAAGATATGAACATGAAATTTGTCAAAGAAAAAACTTTCATGTTCAATAAAATATTTGAAAAGATGTTTAACAGGCTCGCCCAGCCCTGGCCATGCCCCTAGAGAGAAGGCTCCCGGCCGCTGTGGGGTAGGACTGGGCCAGTGCTCTCCACGCTCTCTGGCAGACTGTGAGACCTGTCACTGCTCACCCATCCTCACATTTTATTTTTATTTTTTATTTATGTTTATGGTTTTTTTTTTGTGAGATGCGGCACCCCCATGGCTCACTGCATCCTCAACCTCCTGGGTTCAAGTGATCCTCCCACCTCAACCTACCAAAGTGCTGGAATTATATTCATAAGCCATCACACTCGGCATGCCCACATTTTAAAGAGATTCATTCAAGCATTGTTGTTAACAATAAGAATTTTTGAAACATTTAAACATCTATTAATAATCAATGAATACAGCTTTTATACTTGTATGATAGAATATTTGCATCAGTAAAAATAAATCATTGTGTAGCAGCATGGATAAGTCTCTAAAACATTGTGCTCGGAGGAGAAAGCAAGTGGAAGAATGATACCTACAGTTAATGCCATTTCTGTAACTTTTTAAAACGTGCAATTATTATGGACTATATTTTCTGTGACATTTTAATAACTTGCTATAGTTCCATTATAAGTAGGAAACATATTAAACCGTTGGAAAAGGACGTTGTACCAGTGGAGTGAAAATGAGGTTGTCTGTCAGGAGTTTATTAAAAGAACTTCAGGCTGGGTGCAGTGGCCCTCACCTGTAATCCTAGCACTTAGGGAGGCCGAGGGGGGCAGATCACCTGTGGTCTGGAGTTTGAGAACAGCCTAGCCAACATGGTGAAATTCCCTTTCTACTAAAAATACAAAAATTAGCCAGGTGGTTTGGCGTGTGCCTGTAATCCCAGCTACCTGGGAGGCTGAGGCAGGAGAATCACTGGAACCCAGGAGGCAGAGGTTGCAGTGAGCCGAGATCATGCCACTGCACTCCAGCCTGGGTGACACAGCGAGACTCTGTCTCAAAAAAAAAAAAAAAAAAAAATTCAGCTCTGCATGCCATGATTCATTTCTTGGAAGGAAAACATCTGAAAACAAATATGGCAAAATATGAACTCATGTGAAGCCAGGTGGTATGCATAGGCATGTTGGTTCTATTCTTTCTGTTTTCATAATAAACTTTTAAAGGGATGGTGGCATCAGGACTTGGAGATGTTTGTGAACCTGCAATCCAGATGTGGGAATAGCTGCAGGCTTCCAGATCCAGGGGAGCAGAAGGGCTTCACCTGACTCTGGGGGCTCTTCGTTTATGTCTTTGAACAACTGTTCTCTCCTAGCCCTCCCCAGGGATGCAGCCTGTGCATCACCGTGCCTCCTTAGAGCTATGAGTTCTTTGGGAATTGGGATAAACACAGAACTCGCCCCCCTTCCCCTGCCACACACACGCACATACACACACGCTCGCACGCGATGTTCCAGCATCCCGAATTTCCAGTAACACATGCATCTCGTTCTGACTCTGTCCCTTTGATCCAGGGCTCCCCTGCCTGGTACACCCTCTTTGCTCTTCAGCTGAGCCCCTGTTCACGTGACTCTAGCTAATTCTTACCAATGGTAAGAGTTAAACCAGATGCCACCTCCTCCGGGAAGGCTGCTTGGCTTCCAAAGTGGGGTTTGTTGTAAGGTGTTACCCCATTGTTGATAATGGCCTGTTAATGCATTTGTCACCTCCAGTGGGTGGGTGTTCCCTGAAGACAGACCTGTCTAAGTCACCATTGTACCATTGTACCCCAAATCCAAGCAAAGGGCCCAATGTAGTAAGCAGATTCAATGTGTATTTCTCAAATGCATGTACCAACCTTTTTCAACCTCCTGTTCCAAACATCTGCAACATGAATATGTGTCTACCTGTCAGCACATTTAAGATAAATTGATGGTCTGTAGTGAGCGAGAGCTGAAATCATCCCCAAGTGTCTACAAAATGTCACCTTCTTCTCCATGGAGGCAGCCTTTAGGAGAAGCTGTACACTAGAACCTAACAAATCCCTGGGCCTACAGGCAGCTTCATACTAGAAGTCCTCACTCTGGCCTGGGAAACTGATGCTCTGCTGTTATGTCTCATCACCTGGGACACCATTCAGAAAGAGCAGGAGCCCCTCTCTGCCTGCAGCCCCCAGGAGCCTCCCACTTTCATGCTAGCCTACCCTTGGGCTCTAGCAACTCATCAAAATTTCTAGCTTAATGTCTCTGCTGGCTTATAAGGTGACTTCTACCCAGGTACGCAAATGTCCGACTCCTGTGTCCCTTGCTGGCCCCTGTCACTCTTCACAATGGCCGTTTGTCCTGTGATCTCAGTTCTCTGACAGGTTCATGGAAAGCTGTAAATTTTCTACCTGTCTAGCTTTTTCCCCGTGGTAAGGATAGAGCTCACTACATGTGGAATTGGACTCTACCTAGAGCCAACTATCTGTGTGAAAGTCCTTTGGCCACTACAGCACTCCCAATAAGTATGATATTACAGTGGTATATGGAGGAACGAAAGGGCATCCCTGGTGCCCCATCACCCACTCCCTCAAGCCTGTGTTTACAACTTCTCACACCAGCTGTCAGAACACCATGGGTGGCAAAGTCAGACGTCAACAGGTGCCTGGCCCTGGACATGCAATCCACCTGCTTTGGAAAACAATTTGGCAGTTTCTTAAGAAGTTAGACGTACACCTATCATGTAACTCAAGAGTTCCTCTCCTAAATATTTACTCCAAAGTACTGGAAGCATGAAAGGGTTGTGCAGGAATGTTCTCAGCAACTTTATTGGAACAGCCCAAACTGGAAGCAACCCAAATATCCACCAACAGGGAGTTAATAAACACACTGTGGTGTCTCCAAACCATGGAAAACTCATCAGCACTAAAAAGGTATAAACCGGAAATACACACAAAAATGGATACATCTCAAAGTAATTATGCGGAGTGAAAGAAGTCAAAACAAAAGTACACCAGGTGTGATTTTTCTTTATATAAATTATAGAAAAGTCACACTTATCTGCAGTGTCGGAAAGTAAACCAGAAGGTGGCTGAGAGTGGAGGAGGGGATAGGAAAGGGCCCGGGGCATTTTGGGGGGTGATGAATATGAATATGTTCATTTCCTTGGTTGGTGTGACGATTTCACAAACATGTACATCCATCAAACTCATCGCATTGTATACTTTGAATATGTGCCATTATTTGTATGTGATTATAGCTCTATAAACCTGAAAGAAAAAGTGCCGGCAGGGAAAATATTTAGGTGGATGGAGGTAGAGAGGAAGGGGGTACACTGGTCAAATGGAGCCCTGCAACTGAGCCCCAGCTAATTGTTACCATACAAGACAATGGGCATAATATTGTTAGTGACCTATTTTCCAAGAAAACCTAGAAGATAAAATAAATTTATGTATGCCTCTTTAAAATTATTGCTAATTCTGTCCCCCCAAAAACACTGCAAGCATAAAAAATAAAAAGATAAAATAAAATAAAACATTAGAAGTCAGCAGGCCACCTGTTTGTGCCTTCTAATATAAATATTAATGCATGTAAAACACACTAACTTCTCTTCTAATATAAATATTAATGCATGTAAGACACATTAACTTCTCTTCTAATATAAATATTAATGCATGTAAAACACACTAACTTCTCTTCTAACATAAATATTAATGCATGTAAAACACACTTCTCACCTTGCAGAGACAGGGGCACACATATTGATATATATTTCTAAGAAGTCACTATCTACCAAAGATTTAAGAGGCAGAAGGTTCAGGCAAGACAGCAGAGTGGACATGCATGTAAGCTCCAGAGTCTAAATGCCTGGATTCAAACTTCAGTTCTGCTTCTCACTTGCTGTGTGACCTCGAACAAGTTACTTAACCTCTCTGTGTTTCACTTTTCTCCTCTGTAAAATGGAGATAATAACCATATGGACCTCCATAGAGTTATAGTCAGTTTAGAATGCATTAATACAGCTCTATTATTTGGAAATGTGCCTGAAATATTCCACATGCTCCATAACTGTTATTGCATTTTGTTATATTATTATTGTTGTTATTTCTTCCTACAGGCCTAGTTCCTATATTTCTCTTCAAGAAATGATATGCTCTCCTTTCCCCCTACTCCAACGTGAAGCAGTGTGTTCAGATATTTGGAGTTTAAATTCTTGCACCAAAAATGTGAACTTAAATGAGATGTAAAATGCCCTTCTGATAAGTTTGAGCCATGTCTCTTGTTGGGTATGACATTGGCTAAGTGTGAGATGGGAGAAGTGGGTTTGCTTTTTGATGATTGCTTCATATTTTGATCCCTCATTGCTGTAATCTCCACTGCAAGAGTGAGGAAAGAAGGTTCAGGGCTGAGTGCTTCCTATAAACCAGCCCCCTGGGGAAGGTCTTGCTCTCAGCCCACTCCATTCATCTGTTAAGAAATACTATTTGGCATTGGCTGGGCCCCCACTCAGCTCAGACATTGGCAAGGGCACATTCTCTGACCGTCAAACATCTATCTCCATTTTGCCTCGGGTTTTTAGGGCCCCTCCTCCTCTGCGTCCTTATGATAGAGGCAGCTGAGCACATTGCTCCCACTATAGTGGCCTCGCAAGTTCCAGAAACACACCCACCTGACTCAGGTCTGCAGGTAGGTAAGCCTGCTCCTCCCTATCCATTGGCTGCTGTCTGGATCCGCACTCCCCAGTAGAGCTCTCTGCATGGATGAAACTGTTCTCTATCTACCATACCTGTCACAGTACTTGCTGCTACATGTGACTATTGAGCATGGAGGTATCAGTGTTTACATTTATTTCACTTTGTCAAAAGTAAATAGCCACCTGTGACTAGTGACCCTGGTATTGAATCCATAGATGCTGAGCGCACGCTCTTCCTCCTAGCACAGGTATTTAAAGATGGCTCACACCGAGTGCTGAGATGTGCAGTTGCAGGCTCCTGGGTGTGCAGTTTTGCCCCATTAACTAAGAGAAGCTGATGACATCTGGAGTGGCACCCACTATGGCTGAGGTCTGTTCCAAGCATTTTCAGTAACTTACCTGGTTCTCCTAACAGTCCTATAGGTTATCATCTTCATTTTCTGAGAGAGGAAACAGAGACAGAGTGAGATCAGGCCATTCTCCCATCATCAGGCAGTTATGATGGTGGAGTGGGGTCCCATATAGACAGTCCGGCCGTGCTGATTTCACTGCGGCTGCAGCTCGCTTGGCATGAAGCCAGCAGGCTTCCCATTTCCTTCCCAGGCGTCTGTTCTTACGTGAAGCCGTGCTCTCTCTGAGCTGGCCTTCCCTGGGCATGGCCCAGGCTTATCTGGGCAGCATCTGGACTCTTCTTTTCAGGTCCCTTTGTCCCCTGGAGAATGTGGCTTCCACCCAGAAAGTCCCAGCAGCACTTTTGCGGGACACATGTTTGGCTCCCAATGTGGCCTCTGGGGCGTCCAGGGCCCTGAGAGAGACAGCCAGAGCCCTGGCAGCCAGAAGCATCTCGGAGCCTCCTTTCTTCTATTGTCAAGAAAAATAAGGAGGGGGGGCCTGCCTGTGCCATGGGTCTGACCCAGAGGATTCTAGAGGGAGCAGATGTCCAATCTGGGGCTTCCCAATAAGCCCCCCTTTGGCTTGGCACCTGTGCCCTGCTCGAAGGGCCCGATTAAGCAGCAGTGCCACCGAGCAGATGGACACAGTTCAAGGCAGGCCAGCAATTGCACAGTGTGACTAAACGCGTGTGCTGTGGGCACCACTCCCAGTTGGCAGGGCTGTGCAGCTGAGGGCCCCTCGCCCTGCTGACCCTCTGCTTCAGATCATGGCAGACTCTGTCTGGTGTAGATGGTTTTGGCAATCACTACTGAAACCATGTTTTCTTTCTCCAAAAGGCTTTTACTTTAGACTGTTTGTGTGTTTGGGCTTCTTTTGCTTTTGTTTTCTTTTTTTTTTTTTTATTATACTTTAAGTTTTAGGGTACATGTGCACATTGTGCAGGTTAGTTACATATGTATACATGTGCCATGCTGGTGCACTGCACCCACTAACTCGTCATCTGGCATTAGGTATATCTCCCAATGCTACCCCTCCCCCCTCCCCCCACCCCACCACAGTCCCCATAGTGTGATATTCCCCTTCCTGTGACCATGTGATCTCATTGTTCAATTCCCACCTATGAGTGAGAATATGCGGTGTTTGGTTTTGTTTTCTTATCAGGCTTATTGACACGCCCAAATTGTGGGTGCTTTCTAGATGTGGGAGCTTGGGTTGATGAATCAGAAACAGCCAATTGTCACCATTACCTGTGCTGTCCTTTCTCCTGGCACATACCTGCATGGCGTTTACCAGTGTTTTAGTCCATTTTTGTTGCTATAGTGGAATACCTGAGGCTGGGAAGTCTATAAAGATAAGAGGTGTATTTGGCTCAGGGTTCTGAAGGTTGTATAAGAAGCATGGCATCAGCATCTGCTTCTGGTGAGGGAGGCCTCAGGCTGCTTCCACTCATAACAGAAAGGGAAGGGGGAGCAGACATCTCACAACAAGAGAAAAAGAGAGGGGAGGGAGGTGCCAGGCTCTTTTTAACAGTCAGTTCCCTGGGAACTAATAGAGAAAGAACTCACTCATCACCAGGACAGCACCAAGCCATTCATGAGGGATCCACCCCCAGGACCAAAACACCTCCCAACCGGCACCACCTCCCACACTGGGGATCAAATTTCAACATGAGATTTGGAGGGCCAAACATCCAAACTATACTAACCAGCTTCCCTTGGGGTTGAGTGAGGCCATGTGCCCTGAGTTCTGGCCAAAGGAGTGTGAGCAGTAGTGTGCCCCATCTCCAAGACCTACCCATGAAATCTCTCACATGTAATCCCTGCTCTCTTTTCCCATCTGCCAGGTGAATGGAGAGAATTCCAGGAACCAAGAGGAAGGCCAAATCACAGATAGAGGAAGCCTAAATTCCTGAATGACCATGTGGAGAAGAGAATCCTCTCCAATCCACATACGACTGTGTTGTGAGTAAGAATTACATTTTTATTTCATTAAGCCCCTGCAATGCAATTTTGACTCATCTGTTGTAGCCGTTAGTCCACTCTGACTAATACTCCTAAAATCACTAATCTTGCTATGTTTTAGTCACTGTTTCTTTCTATAGAATGCTTAGAAATGAGCTTATTACAATAAGACAAACTATGTCAGCTTCAGAATAGTGCTGGCCAAATTTTGCTTTCCTTAGACAAAGTTTATTTACGTATGATCTTAACAGCAGCCAGGATGTAAGGGAGCTATAAAGCGCCTTAGTGGTTAATAATAAGGGAAGCAATTGAATCTTCACAAGAGGAAAGATGTGTGCTTCTGACCCTCAATCCCACCACTGCTCAGTCTCTGGCAAAAGACCAAATAAATTTCTATTGACATGGTTTTGGGAAAACACTATGGATATATAATACAAATGATATATTAATATAAATGATATATAAATACAAATGAATATAATATAAATGAGTTTGGAGTGGCCTTCCCCTTTGCAAGGATGTCATAGTTATTATATCTATAGAAACAAGAGAAATCACATTTCTGCAGAGCAAATATATGCAAGTTCGCTAATGTAGAAATGAGTTTGGAGTCTTCAAGCCATCCCGAGAGGACCAGGAGCTGAAATGTGATAGATACAAGGAAGAGGTGCAGCGTAGAGGTGGAGGTGGCAGGGAATACGTCATGCTGAGCCTTGGAGGTCATTTGTAGGAGTTCACACTGTTTTTCTGAAGCACAAGGAAGAACCATGGGAAGGTTTTAAACATGACTGGATTTATGATTGCAAAAGTCCAGCTGGTAACCCAGTTATGAAAGAATTTGCTGTGAGTCCAGCATGAATGTGGCCCAGGCAAGAGGCAACTTGGGTTGGGATAGAGCAGCTGGAGAAGCTGGAGAATGGGGATTATTGTTGTCTTTTAGGGATAGGAGATACTAAAGCACGCTTTAGGGGTTGAAAATGAGCCCATAGCAAGAGAAGACCTGTAATTCCTGGGAAAGCATAAAAAGAAGGGTCCTGGGGTGCATGCCGAGAAATAGCATTTTTGGTAAGAGAGAGGGAAAGTTAGTGGCAGCCAGAAGAGAAAAAGAGGTGATGCAGATAAATTCAGCTTTGAGCATCTGATGATGAGGAGGTCATCAGAAAGGACACTGACTAAGGGTGCAGAGAGGTGGTTTGAGGGGAAAAAACACAAAATAATTCAATAAAGGACCAGGAAATCTACTGGGTAATTTAGCAAGGCTCACACAGTGTTGCTGTAACAGACCAATAGGTATAGTGTCCCCTTTCATCCAGTACTTGGTTCATGCCCAGGCTCCTGGTGTAGCCCCAGCACCAGCATCTGAGTCTGTTTGCTGGGAAGCTGCCTACAGGCTGCTGGAGCCCACCCTCCCCACTCCTGGGAGCTGGAAGTGCCTGAAGAATTTGATCTTTCTCCCTGTGTCAGTGCCCCACCTGCCAGGTTTCCTTGTTTCCTGATGGGGACAACTCTGAGATGTGACTCACAGAGCTCTGTGTGGGGCTTGTTTGACTTGTCATCCAGCTTGATATCCTCACCTTCCTGGTCCTGCATCCTCAGTTTTCTCACAGGTGAGCCTCTTACAGGAATATAAAAACACCGAAGTTGAATTCTCTCCTGGCTTTAACCTTATTAAAAAGAATGATGAGTTGCCAGTTGGTATACAGAAAACCGTCCAGAGATGGATATGATTTACACAGGTCATAGAATCCTGAGTTTGCCAAGGAATTATGCCAGAGTCCTTGCAGGAATAAGAAACTTACCTTCTGCAAATAATTTCACAAGATCCCTAAACACTCTTCAATGACATGCTGAGAAACCTAGAATACATATGAGGAATCCAGTCTCCCCTGTACTCATGTAGCTATTGCAATGGAGAATCATTTTCTTGAACCATCTCTTGCATTCATAGCAAAGAGTCCCAATACCAGGAGAGAGAGGACCAGAAATCCATACAGATCATTTCTGGGAGCCAACAGTCAGAGTGATAGAGCTCCACAAATGTTGGGAGACCCTGGCTCCAACTCTCTAAAATGTAACTTTAAAAAGGGCATTTTATGCAACTATCATCTATATATTAATTGTGTCCCACACTCAGAGAGCACATGAATCTGTACATCCACTTTACAGATATGCAAAGTAGAGGGATTTTCTCAAAATCAAGACAGGCGTCATTAGAGCAGCCAGGGGCAGAACAATCCTCTTGTTCTCACCATCATAGATGGTTTATACGTCCACCCCTCAAATCACCTATGATCTTCTTAGAGCAGGGACAATTTCCATTCATCTCGCCGCCCCAGGATCTAATCTGAAAAGCAGGAAGAACTCACTAAGAGTGTCTGGGGAGGCTGTGTCTCCATAGTGGCCTTTGTCACACGGTCCTCCTGGATGTTCCATCACCAAGCCCCTCCACCACACTCCGGATGTGGTATCATTGCACGAATCACTTCATGTTTAATTATGAAGAGCTTTGGCCTGAACTTCTTTGGACTTATCCTATTTGCCAGATTTGGGGAGTTTTCAACTATTCTTTCTTCAGTTACTGTTTCAATCTCACTCTCTAGTCTCTCCTTCCAGAGCTCTGATTATATCAATGTTAGTTCTTTTGTTATTGCCCCACAGATTCCTGAGATAATTTTTGTCTTTTCCCCCAATAGTCTATTTTCTTCTCATTGTTGAGATGGAGTAAATCCTATTAATCTGCTGTCAGATTCACTGACTCTGTCTCTGCCATCTCTCTTCTTCTGTTGAGCCCATTCAGCAAGTTTGTTTTTGTTTTGTTTGTTTGTTTGGGGAGGGGAGGGGTTGGTGATAGTATTTCTTCAGTTATATAATTTTCATATGATTATTTTTATATTATCTATTTTTTGGCCAGCATTTCCAATTTTTTAATTTGTTTCAAGATAATTTGCAGTTGCTTGTTGAAGAGTTTTTATGGTGGGTGCTCAGATATTTCCAGCATCTGATTCATCTTGGTAATTCATCTGTTGGTTGTCATTTCTCATTCAAGTTGTAGTTTTCCTTGTTCTTGTTATGGTGAGTGACAAATTAATTGTAACCTCTGCCTTTGGGTTCGGACTCTGGATTTTACTGAGTCTTCTTTTATTAGCAGGTAGACCCCCTGCTAACATGCAGAGTAAGGGCCAGGTACATACATGCAGCTTCCCTCTGGGTGTTCTCTTTGTTCATAGGTGGAAAGGAAACTCAACTCTTTCCACACCCCACCAATGCTTTCCTGAGAAGTGGAGACCAATTCACACTGTCACATTGCCTCTGAGGGAGAATGCAAGTTCAACCACCCACTGGGTGCTGCTGATAACAGAGAAGGGGAGGGGAAAAAAAGCCAACCATTCCCACCTCCCTCGAACCTATTCCGCTTCACTGATGTTGAGTGGGAGTGAAGGGTCAGCTCTCCTGAGTTATGTGTGGTTCACGGATCAGCAGTGGTGGCATGGCCTTGTTAGAAATGCAGAATCTCAGGACCTGCCCCAGGCCTAGGGAATGGGACTGCATTTTGACAGCAGTCCCAGATAATTCTTGTGCGTATTAAAGTTAGAAAGCACTGATCTAAATACTTACAACTGTAAGTGAGAAGCAATGACCCATCTAAAACTTCTGCAACTACATTTACTTTTCTGCAAACAGTTGAAGGAATCTCCAGGCCACAGACACTGCCTTGCCTAAAGAAATTTTGTATTCATCTGAAGATGTCCAGAGACTGGCCTCCACTTGTGGTTGCCTTTTGGGTATTATAGAAGTTAGCAAACCTCTGCTCTCATTCACTCATTGATTCCAAATGACAGTGTTATTAAAGGCCAAATTTCTGCAAGAATACTCTCTTTGAGGTGTAATTTTTACTTTTTAAAACATCTCCCAATCTAACAACAAAAGAAAAAGTCCTTGAACATAACGTGAGCCAGAAGTTTTTAGGCCCAGACCTTGAGGCATGGGTTATTGTCCGCCTCACCATTAGTCATTATGTGGCTGATACGGTTTGTTTCTGTCTCCCCACCCAAATCTTATGTTGAATTGTAATTTCCAGTGTTGGAGATGGAGCCTGGTGAGAGGCGATTGGATCATGGGGGTGGTTTCCAGTGATTTAGCACCATCCGCCAGTGCTGTCTCATGATAGAGTTCTCATGAGATCTGGTTGTTTGAAAGGACGTAACACCTCCCTCTTCACTCACTTGCATGTTCTCTCGCTCTCTTTTTCATTTTTTTTTATTATACTTTAAGTTCTAGGGTACATGTGCACAACGTGCCCGTTTGTTACATATGTATACATGTGCCATGTTGGTGTGCTGCACCCATTAACTCATCATTTACATTAGGTATATCTCGTAATGCTATCCCTTCCCCCTCCTCCCTCCCCCCACCCCACGACAGGCCCCGGTGTGTGATGTTCCCCTTCCTGTGTCCAAGTGTTCTCATTGTTCAATTCTCACCTATGAGTGAGAACATGCGGTGTTTGGGTTTTTTTTCTCTCTCTCTCCTGCCCCACCATGTGAAGAAGGTGCTTGCTTCCCCTTTGCCCTTCCACCATGATTATAAGTTTCCTGAGGCCTCCCCAACCATGCTTCCTGTACGACCAGCAGAACTGAGTCAGTTAAACCTCTTTTCTTCATAAACTACCCAGTCTCAGGTAGTTCTTTATTGCAGTGTGAGAATGGACTAATAGAGTGGCTTTTCATGTGCAGTGTGAAGGGGAATTACTCACATCCCCCGATGGCTTCATGATCCTTTCCCACATCCACACAGCAATTTTCTCACACATGTTTGAAGTGTTCCAGAATCCAGCATTAATTATCAATGTAAGGAAAAATACAAGACTTTGGAATAAGCAAAAATATTACTGGGCATCCTCTCAATGGATGAGGGTGTCCCTCGGATGATCTGGACCTTAGGGATCAGAGACTTTTCTCCGAGCTGTTTAACACTACTGTAGATATTTTGGCTAACATGTGGAAAATTGATAGTAATGCAAATAATTGTTCATAGACATGCAAATCAATTATATCCCAAAAAGAAACAATGACTTTCCCTCCAAGCCAGTTTTGCTTCCGTTTACAAATTTGTTTCAATATTCTTAATCCATAAATTATTATTGGATTATCCTTTGAAACTTTTGTGACATTTTACTAGCTTCTTCACTTCAAAATGAGTTAAATAATTTGCACAGCCCTTGGTGATGTTATTACAGCTCATGTTTGATTTTGTCCCTGATTGTTAAGTGCTTCATAGGCACTCTGAGAGAAAGCAGTGCTATCTCGATGTAAACTCTTTGACGGCAAGAATGGGGTCTTTATGCCTACAAATGTCACCCTAAGAGTGTTGAATACAGAGGGAGACTCACCTGACCTTTCAGGTAAAATCTTATCAGTGAAAATCCCCAAAGCCCCATCGTTCACACTTGCCCTCCTTACAACCTGTGCCTGGGATCGCAAGCCTGTCCAGACATCATCACTTGTTCTCTTAACCTTTGCAAGTCCTTTGGAGGGAAATCTAGATAAGCACAACACACATTTTTGATGACCTAAGGATGACACCTTTGACAAATTTGTATTGCCCCTTAAATCACAGTATCTGACAACTCTTGTCAAAATTTGAGTTCTTGGCCTGCTGCCGATTGTTTTTGATAGCCTCCGTAGTCTTGGATTTAAGAGCTACTGTCAAGCAGTATCCTTCCTGTCTTTGTTACACAAGAAATCTGCTTTGCATTAAACTCTCTTTGAAAAAGTGTTTTGAAATATCATTAAAAAATGCTTTGTGATTGTACAGAGAACAGACTGCAAAGAACACAAACGACTCTGTTCTGGCATACCTAATTCCTCTTTGCTCTTGCATATTGAAAACATTACTGCAGGTGTCTGGATGCAGCAGCCAAATGATTCAGGTCAGCAAAATTCACCCTTGAAAACCCTCATAAGCCAATTATTTTCACCCTTCTCTCTTTCCTACTCAAATGTTGGAAGCACTGTTGGGTAAAACTCAGTGTTCAGAGAGCTATGAAAGCAGCACAGGGCCTTAGGTGTTCATTGGTGAGACTTTTAGAGCCAGACTGGTAGATATGTAAGTGTCACTTTGCAACCACTGCTTGCAGTTGCACCTCCCCAGGGATCTGACAGAAAAGAGATATGAACAGCAGAACTAGTAATAAAACCAAAGTCTTAGCATAGTTGGGGTAAGTTTGCATGTATAAGCAGCTTTCTCCTAAAAATGACAAGAGATCCATGTGGAGGAACTTCTGCCACAACCTTGAGACCAGAGCAGCAATGGGTCACTTGTTTCATCTCCTCTCTATTAGCCCATCCCTGCCTAACAGGTGGTCCTCTTGTCCATGAGCCTCTGGGAAAGACAGCCTGACAGCCTCCCCTAGAAAACCCTCGGTAGGTTCTCCAACGCCCATGTCCTATTTTGTTGTTTGATTTTTGTTTTTCTCTCCTGGTACCAAACTCTAATCATTCTGGAGCAATTTAGAGTCATTTCCTTTTGTTCATTCTTCTGTGGTGTCCAATCTTGCACTGCCCTCTGTGTGGATGATTTTAGTCCACGTGAAGATCATACAAGTAGACTCATTTCAACTTTGCATTTGAGGCAGACAACCTCACTTCTCTTAGTGTTCTGTTTGTTTTGCAGAAAACAAGGACACATTTAGCATCTTGGAGTGTCAAGTCCTCACAATGGCCTCTGCTCCCAGCTCTCTATTGGGGTGCAAGTGCAATATTTACCTTTGAGGGTCTGGTTTTCCATTTGTGAGATGATGTCATCTACACTGTCATACCTCCCAGAGATGGTCTACGTTCTCAAACAAAAGTAGAAAATGGGATCTGGGTCCTAGGGTGGCTTGTCCAAGTGATGGAACTGGATACAGGTGGAAGAGTCTTTAAGGAGGCAGCTGGGCCCTACTTCATTAGGAAGAGAAAGAAGAAAAGTGAACCACAGGGGTCTCTGGTGTGGCCTTGTGTTATCTTCCTTGTGTTCAGGGGTAGGTTTTTCAGGAAGATGCCAGGCTATCCCTCCACTTCCTGTGCACTCATGAGCTTTCAGGGCATGCATATCTAGGTGATCATAGTAGCCACCTCTGGGTGAAGGCCTACTGTGGGCTTGTTCTCCCTCCTTTCGCACAGGACCATCATGAGCCAGGCATCACCCCCTCCACTTCTGATGGTGAAGATGAGGGGAGAATGGGAGTGAGCTAGCAGCATCTGCATCTCCATGAGTAGTTGAGCTGGATGAGGCCTGGGGAGAAGAGGTGAGACCAGGCATGGTGACTGGGCAACGGGGCAGGAGAAGCTGAGGCTCCGACCGCAGTCAAACATGCCACTGACCACTAGGGGAAGCATGGTCTTGTGCGTTTCCAGACCATGCTCTGCAGAGCAGAGGAGACCCTCAAACCTTTGGAAAGGTGAATGGGGAAGAGGAAGGCTGAGGACCCCCACCTTTCTTTCCAACTGAGCCCCTTGGCCTCCAGTTCACACATTGGGCTTGTGTTCATGTTTCACCTAAAACAAAGTTCCACTGACTTAAAAAAAAAAAAAAAAAAAAAACACAACAAAAACAGTCTAAAGCACTGGGCGCAGTGGCTCACGCCTGTAATCCCAGTACTTTGGGAGGCTGAGGCAGGCAGATCACCTGAGGTCTGGAGTTTGAGACCAGCCTGGCCAATATGGTGCAACCTTGTCTCCACTAAGAATACAAAAATTACTCAAGCGTGGTGGCAGATGCCTATAATCCCAGCTACTCGGGAGGCTGAGGCAGGAGAATTGCTTGAGCCCAGGAGGCAGATGCAGTGAGCCGAGATCGTGCCATTGCATTCCAGTCTGGGTGACAAGAGTGAGACTGTCTCAAAAAATTTAAAAAAATTTTAAAAAGTGCCTGGTCTGAAGGATAAAATCCAAAGTCCCAGGGTAGCAATGCCTGGCATGCCTGGCTCCCATGCCTCAGCTGGGCCCTTCCTCTCCCTCCACCCCCCTGGGCTTTGCAGAGGGTTCCCTGCTCCCTGCCTCTGCACCTCTGTGCATGCCCTTCCTCCTCCCCTCCCCTGTGATGTCATTCTTGGGAGGCGCTCTCCAGCCTGCCTAGGATGAGGTAGCACTTCTCCCTTTGCTGCCTCCATAGTCCTCTGCAGCTTCATGGTAGAATAGTGGCTTCTCTCTGCTGTCTGGAGTGTGAGCCCTCTGTATTCCCACTCCTGGCATGGGCCTGGGACCTGGCACAAAGGAACAGCCTGTAGTTGGCTATGCATGGATGTAAGAACCTAAGGTGGGTGCATAGACTTGAGAGGGATGACACATGGACTTGCAATAGTCTCAATGGGTCTTCTATTCAGGAACCAGAAAAGCAGCCCAAACATAGCCTTTTCCGAACAGAGCTCACTAAAGAGGTTACTTACCCCAACACTCGGTAAGCTTTGAGTGACTTGCCTGATTTGATTAAATGCCTATGCTTTAATGTTATTTCTTTCTAAACATACTTGATTTATTCAGAAGGAGGAGCTGAAATCATAGAAAAAAACATTTTGTCCTACAAGGATTTTTTCAATGTCATAAATAAAATACATTTACAATACTTCAACCTTTAGATGCTTGGAAAACAGACCCCCGGGTGACAAAAAGAGTTGTAGCACATGAATATCGGTTTGTGTTACAAGCCAAATATTAAATAAAGGTAAGGAGTCATAAAATAAAAATGTTTACAGCCCTTGGCTGAGTCTGTGAATTTCACACACCTAATAGATCATCTGAAACACTCCAGAGGAAGACGAGACCCAGAGAGCAGACCTGACCAACCCAAGCCAGCAGAAAACACAGTCAAGGGTACCAGATGCTATAAGGAAACCCAGTCACCATGTGGGCTATTGGAACCTCTGCTTCTCCCCATAGCCTGTTTTCTCTAGCAAATGCCCTTGAAAGCTAATCAATAAAGAAAGTCATACATGTTATTCCTCCTGAAAAAAAGTAGCAGCAATAAGTAATAACTCCAATGTCTGGGGAGGGAAAGAGGTGCAAGGTCCCCCCAAAGGTGGGGCAGGGAGGGGGACATGATCAAAGAATCATGTCCCCAAGATCAAAGGCATCCTCTGGAGCCCTGACTGCAGGTGGGAGGATACAGCAGGAGCCCCTGTGAGTTGTGCTCTCACAACCACCACAGGCGCAAAGGATTTCCAGCTAGGATGAATGCTCAGAGGCACAGCCCCAAAGGCAGGTCCCACCCAAGGAGTCTGTGTTCCTTTTCTTTTTCTCAATCCACGTCCAGTGCATTAGAGTTGGTGCAGGGGTACACAAGACAATGCTGGGATTCCTTAGGGGGTGTTTGCTTTGCAAAGGAGGGTAGGTAACCTGACTCAGGAGGTCTTCAGGGTGCAGACACATGGAAATGCTATTTTAAGTCTAGCAGGTGGTGGAAACCACGTATAGTAGGAACAACTTCAGGGCTCTCCAGACAGCCACTGTCTTACTCAGTGGCCCATTATTCTCACCTGGCCTGTTCTAACTGCTCCTGTCATACCCCTGGATCCCTTCTCACACATGCCCACTGAAATCTATCATCACCACGGGCTCCTCCTAGAACATCTGGGCTTTTTTCGCTCTATTGCTCTAAAGCTGCTGCAGCACACACATTGTTAAAGAGACATAACCCTCCTCCTAATCTGTAGGACACTGCACAAAAAAGTCCAGTTGCTGAGCTTGGGGGAGGCTGGTTCGCACCCCGTCATTCAAGACCCTCCTCTTCAACTTCCATCTATCCACAGCCAGCCCCGCTGCGCTTCCTCAGCTCCCACACTCCAGCCTTGTGCCTCAGAGTCTGGCCCATTCCTTCTTTCCTCCCTCATCTTTCTCTCACAGCATCTCTCACTTTTCTGGATTTCTGAATTTCTGTGTCGGCCCGGGCTGCAGTCATCTTGAGACTTGCCTTGGGGAAGATCCACTCCTGAGGTTCACGCATGTGGCTGCTGGCAGGTGCTCAGGTTCTTATGGCTGTTAGCAAAAGACATCAGCCCCTTTCCACATGGGCAACTCACAACATGGCAGTGTGATTCAGTAGAGCAGGTGAGCTGTGAAGACTTGATGGGAGAGGTGGGTGCAAAGAGGGACAGACAGAGGGAAGTCACAGTCTTTCAATCACCTACTCTCAGATGTGACCTCTCTTCCCCTTTTCCGTATTCTATGTTAGAGTTAAGCCATAAGTCCTGCCCACCCCCATGGGGAGGGAACCCCAGGACTGTGAGCATCAGCGTAGCTTTCCCCGTCATTCACTCCAAGCAAGGTGTAGGGGTCTCCTTCACAGCCAAGCGCATCCTGTGTCATGCTATCTTTCACTCTCCAGTCCTTTCTGGATCTCCCTGCTTTCTCTGGGGCCAAATACCTTTCTTTATTTTTCCTTTATTTCTGAGTTTCTGGCTTCTGCCCTGCCCAGAACCCCTAGGTCTGCTAGAAAGCTGCCTTCCACACTTCCACATGGCTGGGGTGATGATAATACGACGGTGAATGTATCTGGTTTATTTCTTTTAGAAGCTCCCATACATTCCATATGTGTGATCTCATTAGCCTCCTAGCATCTCTGCAAACCAGAAGAGTGACAGGTGTTTACAAGGAGGGCATGGGCCTTAAGTAATCTCTTCAAAATTATAGGGTGAGTCACAGGGAGCACAAGGACTTAAATAGAAACTGCTTGGCTTGCAATGTGGTCCTTTTTCCACTCAGTTGATTGGCAAAGAGTTATTGCTTTTCTTCCACCAAGAAATGGGTGTTTACACCACCCAGATAAGCATGTTCCAAAATCTCCAGCACTCACCGACTGGGGCCAAGACAAAATCACCATTTTTTAGCCTGGCACAGTAGGTTCCCCATGCAATAATAGCTCTTCGTCCATGACAGGCCTCCCCACTTTTATCAGCCCCTTACCCACTATTTGAACCCTATACTACAGCTGAATTGCTGTAGCTCTTAGGGATGGTTGCTGCACCTGGACTGCCTCCCAAGACCCAGGATCATGGCAAACTGCACTCTTCCTCCAACCCTCAGCTCAGATGCTAAGCCCTTTCTCTTCCAGGACCAGTTGTAATGATTTCTGTCCATGATTTTAGTCATGAAACTGAGAGCAAAGCATGTGCCTTTTAATCTGCAATTTCAGCTTAAGCAGTGTTCTGCTTATTAGCTTTATTTTGCTAATTTGTTGTTGTTGCTGTTTGTTGTTGTTGTTGTTTGTTTTTTGTCTGTTTGTTTGTTTTTTGAGACAGGGTCTCACTCTGTCACCCAGACAGGAGCGCAGTGGCATGATCTCAGCTCACTGCAACCTCTGCCTCCCAGCCTCAAGCGATTCTCCTGCCTCAGCCTCCTGAGTAGCTGGGATTACAGGTGCGCACCACTACAGTCCGGCTAAGTTTTTGTGTTTTTAGTAGAGATGGGGTTTCACCATTTTGGTCAGACTCATCTTGAACTCCTGATCTCAAATGATCCACCCACCTTGGCCTCCCAAAGTGCTGGGATTACAGGTGTGAGCCACCCTGCCCAGCCTATTTTGCTCATTTGTGAGTCAGGAATTTGAAAAGAGCTGGCTGGGAAGCTTTAGCTTAGAGCCTCTCATGGGTGACCATCAGATGTCATCCAAAGGCTTGGTGGGCTGTCCTTGCACGATGTCTTGCTCACATGGCTGGCAGGTGCACAGGCTGCTGGGTGCAGCTGGACTGGGGCTGTCAACTACAGTGTGTACCCATGGCATGGTGATCTTAAAGTAATCATACTTCCTACATGGATTGTGGCTTGTCCTGGTCTTCAGAGAACCAGGCAGAAGCATGGCTTTCCTGACTGAGCCATGAAAGTCATTCAGCACCAATTCCACTGCATTCTGTTAGTCACGAGTGAGTCACGAGGCGAGTCCAGATTCAAGGGGATGAGAACGAGGCTTCACCTCTTGATGAGGAATGTCAAGGTCACCTTGCAGAAGAGCACATGAGACAAGAGAAATTGTTGCAGACTTCTTTGGAAAATATAATCTATGATGAGTGGCATGGTACTTTTGCTTAGTAATTACTTTATAAATATTGAATGACCATAAATGAAGCTTTTCTCTACCCTAGCCACTTGGCAAAAATGAACTGTAACAGAGTGCGGTGGTTCCAGCCATTCTAGATAGGCTTTCTCTGTGCTTGCTGCTGAACCACCATCAGAAGTCCCAGATGCTGCTTAAAAAGGCAGATTTTTAGACACCACTCCAGACTCATCAGCTGGCGCCTCTAAGGGTATTGTCAAACGTGTGTATTTTAACCAATCTCCTGCCCCAGGACAATTCTAACGTGCTACCCAGAGGAGATGGAGGAAAAATTCCACAAGAGGTTGTATTAGTTACCTATTGCTGGGTGGAACATGCCTCCAGGACTTAGCGATTTAAAGCAGCAACCACTTATTATATCCTGATTTCTGTGGGTCGGGAGTCTGGGTGTGGCTTAGCTGGGTGTCTCTGACCCTGGGTCGCTCACAGGGCCACAGTCAAGGTGTGGGCCCAGGCTGCAGTCATCTCGAGGCTTTTCCTCAGGAGGATCTGCTCCCGAGGTCACGCATGTGGGTGCTGGCAGGTGCTCGGGTTCTCACGGCTGTTGGCAAAAGACATCAGCCCCTTTCCACATGGGCAACTCATAACATGGCAGTGTGATTCAGTAGAGCAGGTGAGCTGTGAAGACTTTAGGGGAGAGGTAGGTGCAGAGAGGGAGAGACAGAGGAAAGTCACAGTCTTTCTATAATCTAATAGCAGATGTGACATCTCTTTCCTTTTACCACATTCTATTAGCGCTAAGTCATAGGTCCTGCCCACCCTCGTGGGGAAGGAACCCCAGGAGTATGAGCATCCGGAGTTGAGGATGACTGGGCCAAGCCAGAGGCTGCCTGTCATAGGGTTAGAGAAGCGTAGGACTGGGTGCAGACCACCAAGGAGTTGGTTGAAGGAAACTAGAGATGAGCAGAGCCGGGCATAGCCGAGGGCAGACTTGATTGATTCTGAGAACAAAGGGCCAAAAGGGTCTGGACACAGGAGAACCAGAGAAACTGTAGCATCTAAGACATTCCCGAAGCTTACGGTTGCAGGGGAAGTCTTGACTGCACTTTTTGAACAGGACAGGACTTGACTAGGCCGAGAGGAGAGAGAAGGAAAGGACAAGTCTCATTGATTTTATGAGGACTGCTTTCCAGATCCTGGGGGCGAATGTTAGAAACTCTGTTTTGGCATGTTAGAAGCATGACCCAGCAGTTTCTGTGTCAGAAGAAGCCCAGTGTATCATAATAAAGTTTGTGGTCCAAGTACCCCTTCCCCCACGTTCTAAAATACATCCCATTAGTAATTTGCTCTTGTGAGATAAGAATATAAGAAACCCGACCTCCTAACCTAATGCTATGAACAACAAATGACTTCAGAAAGGGAAGAAAGAGGCAGAGACTGAGAGAAAGGGGACAACGGAGCAAAAAGAACGGAGGTTTCCAAAGACCTGCCCAGGTTTGGTTTGTGAAGTCCAAGGCAACTTTCTACTTTGTGAATCAACAACATCATGAAAAATAATATTTTCATCCCCAGTGTGGAGAGAAGCAGCTCCAACACACCATTTATTTAAGCTTTCTGCAGGAAAGGAAACAGGAAAGTAAGAAAGGGCAAAGAAAGACAAAAAAACTGTGAAGAACAAAACAATCTAATCTGGAAAAAAACACAAACTGAAAACAGAAGTTTCCTCGAGTGTTCTGAACTGCAGGGTGAAAAAAAGAAAGGAATGAAAAAAAACACAAACTGAAAACAAGAAGTTTCCTCGAGCGTTCTGAACTGCAGGGTGAAAAAAAATAAGGGAATGTGAATTTAGTTATTAATAGAAGTTTCACATAAGGGATTTCTTTTTAAAAGAAGTGAGAATTTGGAAATAAGGCACCAAATTGAGGCTTAAGCCACCATTTACAGAGTTAATAAATTAATTAAGAGCAACAGTAGATAATATACACAAGTAAAAAAAGAAAATCACGTTATATTAACTGTAAAAAAAACTTGTTAACCTTCTTATTTACTCTCTCATTTTTGGGTAATGGCAGACCAGGTAATTTAGACCAACGCTTCTGTTGGAAACAACCCGAAAATGCCAATCTATGTCTCATCCATCCATATCTATATGTAAATACATATGTCTACATCTATATCCATAAATATTTATTTCTATCAATATCTATCTCTCTATAAAGGCTTAAAGGCAGTAAACAGCTAAGTAGATGGTGAGAAATTAGCCAACTGAAATCCAGGAAAGTTCTGGAATCTAGCAAATTGAGTCAAGCACTTGAAGCTAATTTTTGTCCTGGGGAAATTTCAAAGTCTGGAAGCAAGAGTTTAGAATCTGAGTTATATTCTTGCTGACCTCATGACATTAGAGAGACAAAGTTGCACAGAGGTGCCCAAGGACCTGGTAAAATAACCCCTCAAAATGACACTGAAAAACACCAGGAAAAGGTACTTTTTATGGTGTTAAAGAATTATTTACCCCTTCCCAAAATCACCAAGATTACCCAGTGTCACAGGTGAATTTTTTTAATGTTTGAAGTAACAGAATATTTTGGTGCATTTAAACTATTTCAGAAAGCATAGCAAAAATAAGAAAGTTAGCACAATTTTTTTTACAGTCAGTGTAACACAATTTTTCTTTTGTAATTAATAAGCCTTGTCTGGGCAGTAGCTCACTCTTGTTGTTTTCTTCTTTTTATTTTTCTGTATTAGACAATTCTACTAAGTGATTAAAAATACATTAAATATGCCTAACATGGAAGATCAAGGTAATTAATAAGTTTACAAAGTGGTAGGATAGGCAAGATTATCTATTCAATTTCCAAATTTGGTCAAAAAGTCATAAACTTTTGAACCACACAAATTCAAAGTATGTGGAAAATCAGATCTTAAAATCCAAAATCATGTGTGTAGAAGGTGCAAATAGGGAGGGTAAAGCAAAATACAAGAGCCTGGGAGAGTGAATGGCCTGATCAGGAGACCAGGCAGAGGTCACTCTTAGCTAAAAGCCCTGTGTGTCTGCCCAACTCCTCCACCCCAACAGACACAGAAGATTCATAAACCAGATAGTGCCTTAAAAAAGAGTGATGATTCTGCCACGGCTCTTTGACATACTTCTGGACCATTTTTTGTCCTTCTCTTATGCAAATATTAAGCTCCTTCTTCTTTCAGATAAATAATTCAGTACTTTTAAATGTCCTAAAATGATTTGATGTTAAGTCTGTTTTAACCAGCAAAACAAGCATTCAGTGAACATGCACCTTGCACCAGGAATATGCTAACCATTTAGCTAAGAACTGGTTCAAGAGGGACATAGGATCACAATTTTAAAAATCGTGGGAGCAAGGTCCGCTTGACCTGTCTACCATGGAGGGCTGTGAAAGAGCAAAGCCTGGCTGCCAAACACCCTTCACCCACTTCTTAAGCTCACTCAGGTGCTTGAAAAGAAGAAAACTACTCCATGACAGCCCCTCTGTAGTAAGAACAAATAGTGAGAGGAATCCAGAAGCTCTGTGATTGTAGTTGCTTCACATAAAGATCCATCTCAGAGACTTGGGATCCTTGGCACTTTGACCTTAGGAAGAACCAGTGAGAAAATATAAGGCAGTGACATTGACCTAACTAACCAACTAACCTTACTAGTTCTTTTTTTTTTTTTTTCCTTTTTTGAGACAGAGTCTTGCTCTATCGCCAGGCTGGAGCGTAGTGGTTCAATCTTGGCTCACTGCAACCTCTGCCTCCCAGATTCGAGTGATTCTCTTGCCTCAGCCTCCTGAGTAGCTGGGACTACAGGCATATGCCACCACGCCCAGCTAATTTTTGTTATTTTTAGTAGAGATGGGGTTTCACTGTGTTGGCCAGGTTGGTCTCGATCTCTTGACCTCATGATCCGCCCTCCTCGGCCTCCCAAAGTGCTGGGATTACAGGTGTGAGCCACCGCACCCGGCCCTAACCTCACTAATTCTTAAGAATAATAACCTTTCATCAACAAAAGAGAGACCTTTTCCCTCAACCTGCAGTTTCCAGCAAAGCTCCCACAGTTCTGGAAGATCTGGAAGATCTGCAATCTTCTGAAGCATTCTCAATCAATATCCAAAATTTGGATCATTCAAGGGCCCCAGTGAGTTCTTATGGTGTGCCTTCCTCCCAGCAGGCAAGTCAGCTCAGAATGGACAGAGTTGCCCACCCCCTTCTTTCTCTCATGGCCTGAGTTGTTTGCACTAGGCTGAGGGGGCAGCCTCTTCAACAGATGAACAAAGAACACAGAAGAGCTGCTGGGTGCTTTCTCAGGAGTGAGCAGGTTCTTGATCCCCTTGTCTGTTATACTCCTCTGTCCTCTGAATCCAGCCCAGCTGCTTTCATAAAAGCCTGAAAGCATCCTTCTATGTCTTTGCCTATTTTGTGATAAATTATGCTCAATTTCCATTTCTTCTTTTCATCAGAGCATTTGACTTCCTCCAAATATAAAACCCAAGTTCGTTTCAGTTTTAGGCTGATAAAAAGTTAGTTTCATGTGTGCATTCTTCTTTATCCACAAGCCTCAACCCAAGGTTTAGGAATAAGGGTTCCACCCTGAGTGAAAGTAGGTCAATTGAGAATTGTTCCCTGGCTCACTGACAGTGTTGATTTATCCAGGGGATGCCTTTCTGCTAGTTCAAATGAGAAGCTGATTCAGAGGCTAGTAAACTGTGTGTAGATACTGATGCCCAGGGATGGAGAGAATGTCTGTTTCTTAAACTCGTATTCCCAGTACACACATTGCTTCGGGCATTACGGCATCCAACAGGGTTAGTGGTGCCATAGCATTGAGCCACCAGGAAGCAAGAATTAAGGAAACAGAACACATCAATCATCCAAACATTGTAGGGACCTGTCCCATGTTCTTTGTCATTCCCAGTATGAGATGGAGACATTTTATAACACCCTCAGTCACTCTGAAGACAAGGAATAGGAAGAAACAGACTTGGAGTAGAACACACTGCCAACCAAGGTAGGAATGTGGGTGCATATCCTGGGCTGGTTTTTGTGACTTTGATGATTAGGTGGGATGATTGGGTGGATGTACTTGGGAAGCGACGAAGCACCAGAGAAATAGGAGCTAAGGTGGAAATTCAACAACTGGGTTTCAGAAGAGCTGGGCTCAAGTCCAAGTTCTGCCCAGTCCATGTGATCTTAGGCAGGCAAGATGCAGTCTGCATGGCCTGCAGTGTTCTCAACACTTCGCTTTCCTGGCTTCACAATGTCTACCACGACTAGTGTCTGAAGTGGGCTCTCCATTCCTCTTGGCTTTGACACTCCAGTTCTGAACTGTCCCCCATTTCCCAGCTACAGAGTTTATACAAACAAGTGGTGCTCGTCGGAGAACCTCTCCGAGTGCTTGGGCTGACAAAGCAAAGCACAGCCAGAATGCAGGCAGCTCCAGCCTCCAGCATCCTTGACCAACTTCACAAAGGACTGTAGAGGAAGCGACATTAAAGCAAGGGGCCATTGTGAAAGCTTTTCTATTGACTGTAACTCTCCCTTTGAGTTAGAAATAGACTTTGAAAGTGGGGCCATTGTCTGACCAGGCTCCCTGTTAGTGCACATTTTACCTGGACCCAACAGGTCTCTTGTCTCCTACAACAAATATTGTGCCATACTGGGCAGCTGCCAACCTCAAAGCACACGCCTTCCTGCCAGGTGTGATCAGGTACAGTCCATATTTATGTCGAGAGATGGAGAAGGGAACAGTCACCCTCCGCCTGGATTCCAACAAGTGTGCCTGGCACCCTATGCAAGAAAGAAGGGCTCGCTGTCCAGGGTCATCATGGCCAAAAGGGCAGCTGGGGCCGGGGTATTCCCAGAGTGGGCTGAGCCCCTGGGAGGGCTGAGCAGAGGACGGCCCCATGACATGCAAGCTGGCAAAGTCAGGGTTCAGGTTGTGGGTTCTAAACTCCTGACCACGGATGACATGGTGATATGACCTTGAATCTGGAGTTTGGAGAAAGATATTTCCAACATACCTCACGGAAACATGCATCAGCAGCCAACCTCATATTGCCGTCACTTTTCCCCACCCTCTCCCTCTCCTTCCCTCCCTTCAAATGTGTCTTATTCCTCTTATGCTCAAGGAATCAAGGCTTTCTTACAATAAGGGGTTGGAGCAAAAAAGCAAGAGGCATTTAGAGCTAAAACAGCCAGTGATGACAGGGAGACAGACAAGGCTGGGAAGATACAGTCACTAATGCAGAGCACAGCAGGGCTAACGAGCATTTTGGGTGGGAGTCCGGCTGCCCTGGAGCACCCTTCACCTGGTCCCTCTTCCTGGGGCCAAGTTACATGGAGGAGAACACACTGTCCAGAAAGAGGCCTGCAGAAGGATCACCTTCTCTCTGAGTCCGCACACCTGCATTTCAATCTGTCATCTGAGGTTCTGAGATTGAAGAAGGAGCTGTGCATATCCATTACCAACCAAATTATGTCTAACAGCAGGGCCCCACCTGTCTGTACGTGGTTACGGCCAGACCTGGACCACTCAAGGGGGAGAATAGGAATGTGATTCATTCATCCCAAGTTTCACAGGGAAAGGACCAGAAACATTTCCCCCTCCCAAAACACCCTTTTTGGAAACGCTTCTTCATACCTGGCCACTTGTCAGCAGTCAGAAAGTGACCTTCAATCTCCAACACGAATGCTGTGTGAATACCAAAGTCTTTTGATATTCTGGCAATAAAAAAATAACAAAAATAACAAGTACTGTAAGTGCATTTAAGCTGGCACAAGCACAAGCATTGGTGGCCAATGACCCATGTTGCTAGCAAAACAGAAACATTTTGTACCAGCATGTGCTAAGGCCAGCTCAGTCTACTCTTTTGTTTTGAGGACAACTTGGTCAGAGAGCAAACCCCTGGGTTCTGTTGGTGCTGCCTCACTAGAAATGTGCCATGGCTCGAAATCAAGGAGAAGGTTTGGGCAAAACCATCTGCCTCACAACTGTGTTTGTCACAGCTCTGCAAAGCACGGGCAAGAAAAGAAACGTCCTTACTTGGAATGCAATGTTCTTTCCCTTCTCCAAAGCCCCATGTGTGCTTGCCCTCATCATGAGCAAACTACTCCATACTGCAGGCACTTCTCTCCTCTGTGGACTTTCTCTCCTCTTCCCTATCTCACATCAGCTGTTCCCTGAGGACCCACTTACCCAATACCTACCTCCAGGACCTGTAGATGCTCAGGTTCCTTGCCCACAGCCCTGGATCCAGAGATGGAGTTGGAGTTCTCCTTGCAGAAGCTTCATTGCTCCTCCAGATGCTTATTTATGCTTCAGCCTCTCTAGGAAGCCTTTGACTCCCATTCCATTGGACCTTTGATTTCCATCCCATTCATCCCTACCACCCTCTTCACCTCCTACTGGGGGCAGAGGCCCATCCTTTCCTGGGCTTTCCCACCCGCTCAGGATGAGGAAACCTGCCTCAGAGTCCTTTTCTCCCACCATTGTCTCACATAAACTCAGCACTCCTACTGCCACCCGTCTCTTGGTGCCCTTGCATTTATCTCCAAAGACCTTATCTTCCACTCCAGAGAAGCTTCAGTTCCTCATCCTGCTCCATCATCCTGCTCAGCCATAAGAAGCAACTTCTCATACATTCAGGTTTGGTCATGAGGTTGTAGCAATTCGGTCCCATCTTCAGGCTCCAACCTCTTTGGTTTTGTTTGCTTGTTTGTTTTTGAGATGGAGTTTCGCTCCTGTTGCCCAGGCGGGAGTACAATGACGCCATCTTGGCTCACAGCAACTTCCACCTCCCGGTTTCAAGCGATTCTCCTGCCTCAGCCTCCCGAGTAGCTGGGATTACAGGCATGAACCACCACAACCGGCTAATTTTGTATTTTTAGTAGACACAGGGTTTCTCCATGTTGGTCAGGCTGGTCTCGAACTTCCGGCCTCAGGTGATCCTCCCACCTCAGCCTCCCAATGTGCTGGGATTACAGGCTTTCTCTTGCTATTTCCACCACTTCTGTAGTGTATTCCTCCCCCGAAGTCCTGAACCTCTCAAAGTCATTTATGAGGGTTGAAATCAGCTTCTTCCAAACTCATATTTATGATATTTTGACCACCTCCCATGAATCATGAATGTTCTTAATGGCGTCTAAATGATGAATTCTTTCCAGAAGGTTACCACTTTTTCTCTTGAAAGATGCTATTTCTAAGTTGTAATTAAATCAAGTCTTGACCATTTCTAGCTAGAAATCCTTTCCTTGCTGTGTTCCCTGAGAAGCTCTATGGGTTGCATTGTTGGAAGAGGAGGAAAGCTTTGCTTCAGAGAGACAGCCACTTCCTTTGCCTTTTTGGAAATGGGCAATGGCTCTGTTTGAACTTCTTTTTATGAGACTTGAATCTGTAACCTCTGGATCCTGCGTCAACAAAGACTTCTGCAGCATGGAGGCCCCTGGAGGGTCAGAGGAGAGAAGCAGGGTGGGGGCTCAGTCCCCCAGCTCCAGAGCAGGCCACACCCCACCCGAGCCTTGTTCCAGCACAGCCCCTGGCACAGCAGGCTCTAGGCCTCTGCTGTGTCCACAGACCCACGCAGGTCACGCCGTCTTCCTCAGTCAGGATGGTTCCCCCTGCTCACACACCTGTGCAACGCAAGTCTTCCCACAGAGACTTCCAATGTTGTCTTGTGGGAAAAAAATTGTATTGAAGTGTTTTGTGTGCACATATATATATGGAAAAGTATAACTGAATTTTCACAAACTAACCCCACATGTGAAACCTGCACCAGAGGAAACAGGACATTTACAGCTCCCAGAAGCCCCTCACGGCCCCTTCTCATCACTAACCCAAGGGGAACTGCTCTTCAAACTTTCAACAGCAGGATTCACTCGACCTGTGTGTGCTACATCAAGGCAATCATACAGTAGGTGCTGTTTCACTCACACCTGCCTTCCAAAAAGTACATTTTAATACAATCCATACTGTTCCTTCTTAAGGCAACCCAAGTTTTAATTCCAAGAGCAGTCATGCCAAAAGCCGCTGTGCAGAGGATTCTCCCTCCCACGTAGGCAAAATTTGAATTTACCTGCACTGTGGTCTTTCTGCCTCTCCTCGGAGGAGGGTCGTGCAGGTGATGGCACTCTTGCTCACAAAACAGACAAACCAAGGCAGACTCTCGGAGTCCGTGTGGGCTTTACTGGTATTCCAGACCTGAAACCCAGGTGAGACTTTAGGGCCTTGTGGAGACTAGAACCCCTCAAGAGGTACTGAGAGTGATAGAAAATGTAGAGGCACCCCAAACAGGAAGCCTGAGCTTCATGATGACTCCCCTCTTTCTTCCCTCCCCCTCTCACCCCATGCCTGCACTCTCCCCATGCTCTGCAGCTCTGTCCTCTCCCCTTCCTGCACCTCTTCCTGCTGCCATCTCTCCACCACGTTGCCCGGCCTCTGTCCTCGCCCAGGTTTCACCTGATGCCAGGGACCCCTCTGGCAGCCTGCTTACCACTAGGCCACCTTGCCCCAGACCTGCCGCTCTCTAGTCCATGCTCCATGGTGTGCGCAGAGGGATTTTTCTAACACAGAATCTTACCGTGTCACCAGGCCATTACAGACATTAATAGCTCCACATGCCCCTAGCACAGCCTCTTCCTCCCCAGGCCGGCCACTCATACTCCATTCTCAGCCACATTCTGCTCCTTGGCCTGTGGAGAGGCCATTTTCTCTGCCCAGCATAGTTTCCCTCCCTCATGTCCCTTCTTCTCTCAGTCCACACATGGATGCTTCAGCTTTCTCTCCACGCAGCCTCTGCTTCCTATGGGCCCCAGCCTTATGCTCACGAAGTGGCATTGTAACTGCTGGCCTCACCAACTCTCTGCACACCGCCTAAGGGCTGGGATTAGGTTTCTGTGCTTTGCTGCTTTTTCCTCCACAAAAAGTCCTGATGTATACTAGACATGCAAGAAAGACTAATGGAATGAATGAATGAATGGATGGATGTACTGTCAACAACGCATCGAAGCAGGTCAGTGCAAATCTATGCCCGGCTCTCCATCACCTGCCCAATCAGACCTTACTCCACAGGCCCTATACCTGAAGAAAGATGCACCACTTGTACCAAAAGTTATCAGAGTGAAACCAGGGTCTTCGTCAATAACATAGAAAAAGTAGTAGCCTCAGGGTGGCTGCTGGTTTCTAAGAGGCAGAGGAAGCACCCTGGTGCTGAGACAGACGGAGGAAGATCTGTGTGATGATTTCCGCCCGGTGTCCTTCCCGCTGCTGTCTGTGCCATACCCTTTAGGGGCTAAGGCTCCACAAACGCAGACAACAAGGAAATCACAAAGGATGACTGCCAGGAACAGGAAGTGGGTATAAAAATAGCTTCAATGGGACACAGCTGCCCCTAGACTGTGCAGCAGTAGGGGAGGGAGGGGGAGCAGACAGATATGTGTGTATATCCTGTGTGTTGTGACCAGCTGTAAATATCTGGCCCTATTTTTTTCCTACAGTGTCTCCTTTTCCATTTGGCAACCAGGAACTTGTGGCCAGAGGTGGGAGGCACCTGGGCATCAGCTTCCACCAAGAATAACATAAAAGACGTTACTGTTTCAGCAAATAAATTAACATCATCATGAATTTGTGATTCATTATTATGAATCACAAATGTTGCAAATTCGTGACCATATTCAGAGATTGAGTGTCTCAGAGGGAATATTGCAGAAATCGCAGCCAGGCTGTGCAAAACTGTGGGATGACTGAGCAGTGGACTTGCACTCTAAAACAGCCCTTCTCCCTTCCTCTGCCCCTGCTCCTTTCCCCAGCCCCTGCTCCCTTCCCCAGCCCCTGCTCCCTTCCCCAGCCCCCGCTCAGGTTGGATTTCCATTGACACTTCAAGCCTGGATGTAATAAATCAACTGCTGGTATAAGTAACAATCTGGAAGCCTTTGCTTGTGATCAAAGCAGGAGCTAGACCATTGACCTCCCCAGTATAACAAATTACCCGTAAGGCCTGAAGGCTGAAGTTTACAGCAAACCTCTGTTCCTCATTCTCCTGAGACTATCTTTAATAAGTAGCAAGACCCCTGACCCCATACTCCAGGCTGGCATATGAACGCTTACAGCTTGTCCTGTCTCTCCTAAGTGAAAGAGGTTGGACAGCATTCCACAGGCTGGGCCGGGGCACTGGTGGCTTGCTTTGTTTGATTGGGTTTCTGTCTGAAGACCCACTTTTCAGAGCCTTTGAGTCCTTGCTGACACTTTCACCATGACCACCCTAGAAGTGCCTGTGTCACCCAATGCATGGAGATGCATAGGAGAAGACCACCTATCACTTTTGCCTCAAATCTTCAGAGAGGCAACCCAAAGGGTTATTCAGGAATAGTGGGCTACATGGTGGAAAGGTCTGGGAAAGCTTCTGGGAGGCTGGAATTTGAATGTTTGCCCCTGCCTGCTTTGTGAAAAGGACCTTTAGCTGAGACTCAAAAGCTCTTTGTCAGTCTAGAACTATCTAGGACAAGCATGCAGACCACCTGGCTTATGAGGACAGCTGGGCTGGGTGCCAGAATCAGCCCCTTACTGCGGAGGGCCATGGTTCTGGACTGCGCTGTTCTATGCTCAGTTTGGTTGAGCTGAAAACTGGTCTCCTGGAATCCTTTCCTGCATGGACTGGGGACAGAGTTGGCCAAAAATGGACACTGGCCTAAGGTCTGGAAGCAGGGTGGGGCAGCTTATGTCTCTGGTGGACAGGTATGGAGGGGCTGGTGGGTGCAGCTCGTCATTGCACTCCTTTGCTCTGTATCTGGTTCTTCCCACCACCTGGCAGCTCCAGGCCACCCACAAACATCTATTGCCCAGTAGTGGTAGCTGCAGAGGCAATTGCTCTCCATAGACTCCTCCACCAGCACCGCTTGGTGGTCTCCTGCATCTGGGCACACCCAGCTTCCCAGATTTCCCTGCAAGCTCTGACTCGGCCACCCATGCCAGTGGTTCATGAGGTCTGCTTGGCGACTCTCCTAATTCTCCAACATTCTCTTCATGCCTTCACTTCCCCATCTTCTGCCCCAAGTGTGGGATTCCTGGTACCTATAGGAAACCCTTATTCCATGACCATTACTGGGGCTTTGCTCTCTTGATTGAGCCCTGACTGATGTGACTCCAAGCCCTCCAATGAGTTGGAGAAGAGACTGTGTGGGAGTGTTGGGCTTTCCCAAACCAGCCCCCTAAGTGTGAACATTCCCTGCCATCCCTCCCAGGCTCATGCTGCCCCACAGTTCCTAAAGCAAGTGTCCAAAACTGCAGGCTCCTTGAAGTTGGGTCCCCTGACTTGGACTCCTCTTGCCCAGATGGTTGTGTGGCTTGCACTCCCACATTGCTTGGTCTGTACCCAGATACAGTTGCTTCCAGCTGGCCCAGAGATGTCTTTGCTTTTCCAAGTCCTGAAGGTCTAGGAGGGCAAAAACCTGCCCATGCTGCCAGCCAGGAGAGGCCCCCAGGAACCCATGTCTAGAACTCTATCCACCGGGCAGCTCCTATGCCTTCCAGCATCTCTCTTTTTGTGCAGTCCATCTTTGCCAATCTGCTGAAGCTACCAACTCCATGGTTTCCTTGGGGTCTTTTTAAAAGGCTTCATTTTATTAATTTTTCAAAATAGGCTTGAATTTGAAAAATGGTGAGTGTTCCAAAGGTCTGGGGTTTCACTTCATTTGATGTGGTGTAGTCTCTGAAAGGACATCCAAAGGATTGTTTGCTTTGGCTAAAGGATGCTTCATTTAGTGTTATCCTAAGGCTTCGCTGCAACACTAGCTAGGTAAAATCAAAATATATCCACTGTTACTCTGAAAAGAAGAAGAGATGGCCAGGATCCAGAATTCCCAAACCCTGAAAGAGCAAGAGCACAAAGATCTCCACGAATCACATTGCTGCCTAAAACGGCACCATGATTCTTTGTCTTCTAACTGGGTGGATGTCAGGCACAAAATCTGCTCTGCATCTGCACAACTCCCTCATTCTGGTGCAAATCTCCAGTCCAGCCATTCCAATCAACCAGCAGTGGCATTCACGCTCTCCTTACCCTTTCTCCCCAAGCCAACCCCCTGCGTGTCACTGGTCTACAGCGGCCCTACTTTCCACAGTGAGTTTGGGAAGGGGAAGTTGGCAGGCTAGTAAGTGGAGACCCCATGTCTCCATAAAATCCCTCTGGTCCTGACTAATGTTGTCTGTCCTCAGTGGGGAGGACAGTCAGAGGACATCCTGATTGAGAACACCAAACAGGAGGGCTTGAAGACATCCATTCCAGGAAGGCTGACGGGTGATTAAAGTGTGGGGCATAGACACACTGGTGAGTAAATGCAGATGGGAGAGAGGAAGAGTGATGGAGCCATAAGATTCACAGTAGACACTGAAATTTACAAGTTGTCCCTTATCCTAGAAGCTAAAGCTTTATAACAGCTGCTGTCAATTAAGTAGCATAGTAGAGAGCTGCAGCTCAATCAAAAGCATCAGAGAAACACCGTTTCCTTTCTCACCCATTGACAGGTGCTCCCAGCACCCCTGCGCTGCCTCCTCTGCAGGGAGAAGCATAGCTGTCGCTCACCCACCTCCCACCTTGGGAACCAGGAGGGCAAGGTGTTAGTGCCCTAAGCTTCCTGCTACAAAGATAATTCCAAGATGATGCTGACAGTTGGAGAGGTAGGGCTCCAAGGAGCAGGAAGATTTCCTCCCAGTTCTGAGCATACAGGAAAAACTCCATGGGCTGATCACGCTTACAAAAAGTCAACACAAAATCCTGCCAGAAAGACTTTCCCTTTTTGTGAGCCTCCGCAAGCTTGTGTGTACACATTTTTCTCCCCGCCTTTCTGCTGTAAAGTTATGCTTCTACATTTAGCAAAGTACGTCCACACAGTGAAAGCAAAGAGTTCTAAGTAGCTGATGTTAAAAAAGTGTTGGGCCCAGTGCCCAAACCTTCCCTGCTTCATAGAGGAAAGCACTTTCAACTTTTAAAGATATATTTTCCCTGGTATCTATTTCTGCATATCTCTGTAATATACTATTCTGCTATTTCTTGATTTTTCAATATTTTAGAGTATCTTATTGGTTTTCTGTTAAGAAAGGTGCAAAGTCAGTTCCTTCACATCACCCCAACCCCAACCTCTTTGCCTCCCCTCCCCACAGGCAGAGTTTACGTTATTAATGTGAGGTGCTGATCGTACCCCACCGAGGCCAGTGGTCTGCCATGAGAATGCCTCCTCTCTCACACCACTCTATGTTTGTTTTTCCTGGAGTTAAAAATTGCCTTGGGCTTTTGTTTGCTCAGTTTTCCACGTGCTTCTTGCTAACATTTCTAAAAATTTTAACGCATCTGTTAAATGCCTAAACACACTTCCAAGTACTCAAATACAGTAGCTTTTTTTTTTCTTAGAGACTTTTGAGCCTTCCTCATCTCTCTCTTGTATTGGGTCCTCTGTTTCCAGAATTCCATGTTATCTAGTTTTCTCCCTTATTTTACTGAAGTGCATTATCCAGTAGTTTTCAAAGAAAGTACTCAGGCAAAAAGACAGATGGATAGATAGTGATGAATGAATATGTATATAAGTAGATGGTAGATAGATAGAGGATTAATAAATAGATGAATGACATAGGTAGATAGATGATTGATAGATAAATCTCATTTTCGTATTTAAAAAATATCTATATTCTCTCCAACCCTCTAGACCAATACTTAGTAATTTTATTTAGTACATTTTTCCTTCTCTACAGATGCAATACCATCTTTGATATCTGAGAACATAAAATATTGTTTTTCGATTATTTAGCCCCCTGGTTATTTTTGTTTCTTTTGCATACCTGCTTTGCGATTTTACCCCTTAGTGTCTGTCTTTCATGTAAAGACTTTCTCTACAGCTTCTGGTGACCTTCCGCTGCCCACTCACATTGCAGAATGGGACATTAAAGTAAGTGTGGATTGGAGTTTGGGTGGGGAGGTAGAAATAGCAGAGGGCTTGCAGACTGATGCAATGGGAGCTAGTCTCAAGCCAGGACCCATCCAATGCCAATTCCTGCCAATGTTTTCTCTGGGAGTTTTTCACTTTCTCCAAGGAGGAGTCCTCCACACTTCTCCCCAGGTGAGGGCAGGGTAGACCTGTGGAAGCAGAGTGGGAAGAAGAGCTGAGGGTCCCAGGTTCAGGAGGCTGGCTTGCATGTAATCTGTCTTTTTAGCCCCAAAGCTCCCCTCCAGCCCTCTCTGGGTCTACCATTCCCAGCCTAGTGGGACTGTCTGTTCCTTCAGCAAGTAAACATCCCACCTAGTTATAGGTTGAATTACGTTCCCTCCAAAATTCACAGGTTGAAATCCTAACCCCCAAGTCCCTCCGAGTGTGTGTGTAGATCTGGAGATAGAGCTGTTACAAAGGTAATTATTTAAGATAGGATTGCAAGGGTGGGCCCCAATCCAGTATGATTCATATCCTTATGTAAAGGGGAAATTTGGACATAGATGCATTCGTACACGTAGAGAATGCCATGTAAGGATTGGAGCTCTGCTGCCACAAGCCAAGGAACTAACAGAAGGTAGGAGAGAGGCCTTGGGCAGAGAGAGTCCTGGTGCCTTCACGGGGAGTGGGGCCCTGCCAACACCTGGATCTTGGATTTCTGGCCTCCAGAACTGTAAAACACTCCATTGCTATTGTTCTAAGTCACCTAGTGTGTGGCACTTTGTTATGGCATCCCCAGTCAACTACCACCTCCTATGGGGACTGTGTCCAGAGTAGCCACAGGGCATACAGAATGGGAGAGGGAACTGTGGTGCCTGAGGTCCTCCAGGCAGATACTGCAGGGGCCCTGCCATGAGCCCAGGGCTTTGTCCACCTCCGTCTGCTTGCACCTTCCAGTGGGTGGCAGGAGAGGGGACACTCCTGGTCAGGATCTGCTCAGATGAGGCACTTACAAAATGTGTTGTGATGCTTTACCCTTGGTTATCCCTGCTGTCTTTCACTCTATAAGTTAATAAGGCTTTTGTCCCTTTCTTGTCATTTTAGAGAGGCTGGGAGACAGAGGGGCGGCACCTGAGCGTAGCGAGTCCGCTCTCCCTAACTGGAGTCTTCTCTGGTCTCTGTAGAGCAAGCATCCATGGCACTAGTCAGAAGCCCCTCACCCAGAGGGTGCAGGTATCTTCACTGAGACTGCCAAAGTGGTACGGGTGACAAGGTATTACGGGTGAAAATGTCATCTTCCCACAGAGGGAAAAAGAAGCCTCATAACTAGCTCAATAACAATGACCAAAAGCATAATGTGAGCATTTCCTATTACTAGGGTGGTTTTAATGTACCTCACAAATTACACCAGGGGGTGTAGTTTCATTTCCCGCCCCTTGAGTGTGGGCAGGACTTTCACAAACATAAAAAAAGGAAAAGAAAAAAATAGTCACTAGACAGTGGAAAAACCTGGCAGATGTCGCCCAGACCAAAAGGTGAAGGTCAGCCTCCTAGGAATGAGTCACGTGGGTGTCATGCCTGCTTTGATGTGGAGTGATAAGTGAGACCGTTCACCTCTGTGCTGTTCCTCCGAAAACCGGTAACTGTGATCCAATCAGAGAAAACCTCAAGCCAACTCAGCTGGAGGAAAATCCTGCGAAACAGCTGGCCAGTACTCGTCAAAAGTATCAAGGTTAGAAAAGACAAAAGAAGACGGAGGAGCTGTCGCAGGCTGGAGGAGAGACGGGAGTCCTGACAAGTTAGTGAAATGTAGGCTCCTGGTCTGGATCCTGGAACAGAAAAAGGGAGTGAGTGGAAAGATAGGGAAACTCAAACAAAGTCTACCATTTGGCTAATCGTATTTTACCCACAATAATTCCTCAGATTTGACCAATGGGCCGTGTTGATACAAGATCTTGACATGAAAAAAGTATGTATGGAAACTCTATCCTTGTAACTTTTCTGTCTGTCCAACGTTATTTCAACACAGAAAGTTAGAAAAATGACCTTAAGCTCAAGCTCTCCGTTTTTCTTTACTTTTTTCTTTCATCCAACTGAGCTGGTTCCAGTGCGAGCCCTGCATCGTCTCCTCTCTGGCTTCCCCTTCCAAACTTCTTCCTCACCCACCATGGGCATTTCGGCCTCTATCTGGGGCTCTGTGAGCACTAATCTTCCATGCATGCGGAGCTTCTAGCTCCCTCCACACCCCCTGCACAACCCATCTCCACAAAGGGGGAAGGAATACGGCCTAGATAAAACCTCTAGAGTCTTCCTCTCACTGCATGAACCGCCCTCCCCACTTGCTGGGCTTCACTCTGGACACTCTTGCTGTGCCCCAGGGCCTTCCTGGCTGCTCCTTTGCTCCTCCTGGACAGCCTTTGGCATCAGCTCCGGGCTCCAGGGCCTCTTTCTGCAGGCTCCTCGGTGCTCTTTCCCTCCTGTAATTCCTGGTCATCGTGTTCACAGATATGTTCATTTCTTATTCCTGTGTCCCACCCAAACCCCCAAGCTTCATGACTCCAGGTTGAGGCCCATTTTTTTCATCAGTGCCCCTCACCCACCTCCTGGAAGGACCTGGAAGAGTGCTTGGCACAACAGGGACACTCACAAGTGTGTTGAGAGGATGAATGGCAGCGTGTAGGGCTGGGGAGGAGGCTGGCGCGCTCTCACAGTCTCTCTCCTGCAGGAAGTGGGTGCTTCCTGGGAGAAGCCTTCCAGGCTCTACTGCAAGAATTCCTTTGATGGTGAGGACCAGGGAAGCAGCCAAGAAAAGTGGAGAAAATGTATGTGGGGGATGTATAACGTGTGTGTGTGGTGCATATGCATATGCGTGTGTATAGGTGTGCATAGTATTGTGTGGTACGTGTATGATGTGTGTAGTGCGGTGTGTGTGCATGTATGTGCGTGGTGCGTGTAGCGCAGTATGTGTGCATGTGTGTGTATGTGTGTGTATAGGTGTGTGTAACATTGTGTAGTGTGTGTATGATGTGTGTAGTGTGGTGTGTGTGCATATCCGTGCATATATGTGTGTGGTGTTGTGTGGTGTGTGTGTGCATATGTGTGTGTGGTATGTGGTATGTGTGCATATCCATGGGTAGTGTGAGTGTGTGGTGTGTGTGATACAGTGTGTGTACATATGCACGCAGAAGTCTTTGACTTGGAACCAGTCAAAGAAGAGTTAATAAGAGAAATTCAAAGAGCTATGGCCTCCCCCAGCCCCCTGAGACCTCTAATAAAAGGCCATGCTGGCCTTGCAGGTGAGCAAACAGACACCACCAAGCTCCAGTGAGGCAGGCATTTTGGTGCCCCACTTCCAGCTGGACCTGATGTCACTCAGCCAGGGGTGAGGCACTTAGGCATGGCCCGAAGCAAGGGCAGGAGAGGATAAACAGGCCGGCCATCTGTACCATTCGAAGGAGCACTCACCACACAGCCTATTTGGAGGGGAAAGGGCTGAGGACATCCAGATACAATCGCTTTTCTCAGGCATGCTGATAAACTGTGTCCTGCTCATTAATTGCAAACTGACTTCGTGGAATGCGATGGATAGCTGAGCACTTGGGTTAATCAAAAGATAATACAGCGACTGAATGTGTTGGCCACTTTTAAAAGTTTAGAAAAGTAAAATGATGTTTATACTGAACAATATCTTGATGATAACTCAATCATTTTGTCATTTAGAAGTGTGCTCACACCTTGTAGTGGCAGAAGTACGTTATTTTGAATGTCATGCACAAAGACTAGCAAAAACTTCAGGGTAGGTGGGAGGGCACAATACTTTAACTATGAAGTACCCAGAAGAGCAATGCTTTAGCAAAACAAGTTAAAAGAGTACAGTTCATTACTTGCAAATAAAATATTGCTTTGATATTACCTCCTTCAAAGCAGAAAGCCCAATTCTCAAGAAGAACAAGTATTTTTCCGTTTTAAAAGCAGAATTCAAAAAATAGAAAGGTGTTGTGTTTCCATATTTGAAAGTTCTTGCACCCATTTCAGAAATAAGTGTATCTTGCTCTTCCTACTCTAACTGAAACAGCTTTTTAAAGAAAAATAGTAGAAGGAGACAAACACAGTCAAATCTCTGAATGACTCCCTTCATTTTAATGAGGACACATGAAGATGGCTCCCCAGGGGCCCCCTCCTTGCCTGCCCCATGTTCCTATGATAACCTGGGCTTTGTGTGATTGAAACCTTGGACCCTTGAGACGTTAGTTTTGATGGTGGTATTTCTGTTGCCATTAGCAAGGGAATTTAGAAATCCATGAACACGATGCAAGAAAGAGAGCGCCAGCATACGCGGAGCTCCGCTGCTGCCTCTGAGAGAGGCTGGTGTTTCAGGAGGAACTCAGACTCATACCCCTTTACCCCCATCTTCCAACACGAGGATCCCTTTGCACACTCACCCTGCTGTCTAAAGGTAGCGCCCTCAAATACTGTACATGCACACCGGTTGAGAAGGCCAAGTACCCCTTTTGTTTCTGTCTTGCTTTGCAAGGATTGAAAATTCTCCCTCCCTGAGCAATACAGCAGTCATCTTCAAAAGTAGGACAGATCTCAGTTGGGAAGCTCTGTTTCTGGGACACTGCCCTGAGGGTGTTTGTGAATGTGGTCGCCCTGTGAGGAGAACTGCAGCCGCCAGCAGGGACAGCTTCAGCGGATGCAGCCTGGACTCACAAGACGGGTGCCTTTTCCTTTTTATACCACTTGCCTGGCATCAATTCACAAAAGATGTTTCATGAACGAATGTTAGAACAGTGGGAGTTCAAAATAAGAGGCTGTATACCATCTTCGCCCCAGTGACACTTTCAACATTCCAGGAACGAGGCTGTATTTGTCTTCTTGGGCTTCCAGAACAAAACAGCATAGACTGCATGGCTTAAATGACAGACATTATTTTCTCACAGTTCTGGAGGCTGGAGGTCCCAGATCAGGGTGCTAGCATGGTGGGGTTCTGGTGAGGGCTCTCTTTCTGGCTTACAGATGGCTGTCTTCTTGCTTATCCTCAAGTGGTGAAGTGGGGAAGTGGGGTAAAAGGGAGGGGATAGAGAAAGAGAGGGAGAGAAAGCTCTCAGCTCGCTTATAAGGACACTAACCCCATGACAACAGCCCACTCTTACAATCTCATTTAGCCTTAATTACCTCCTAAAACCCTATGTCAAGATACAGCCATGTTGGGAGTTAGGACTTCAACATATGAATTTGGGAGTGACACAATTCAGTCCATAGCAAAAGTCTTATGACGTCTGCTCCATTTGACACTATTCAACTCACACACTTTCCCTCCTCATGCCCCAACTTAGGCTTCTCAGACAACACTCCCTGGGGCTCCTTCCTGCCTTTCCAGCCTCTCCTCCATTTCCATCCTGGCCACCGCCACCCTCCACCTGGCCTCCCAGCTGCCTTCTCTTCTCCTGCTGCCCTCCACCCCAGACGAGCTCGTTCTAACACATGGCTTTCTTGATGTTGTCTCTGGTATCAAGGAACAACATGAAGAGCTGTAGAGTCAGACCAACCTAAGCATGAATCCCAGCTCTGCCACTTCCTAGCTATGTGATCTCGGCCACATTAGCATCCCCACATCCCAGTTTCTGTGCCAGTACGGTGGGTAGAGTTCACTCCCCATTCACCCAATCCGGCATTTATTCCCTGCTGTCCACCCAAACTCCACCTTGCCACAGTCCTTGGCCTCTTGTCTCTTCCCATTTTATTTTTCAAATGTTTATTTTGTCATCATTTCCTTGCTTTTCTAATCTTTATTACATGCATATACATCCCTCAAAATATATACTGTTTAGGTTTGCATGCTTTCAACTTGAAAAAAGAATGGTGTTGTAAAGTACACATTGTTCCATGATACTGTTGATTGGCCCGTTTGTGTCTGTTTTTAAGTCTTATTCCCATGTATAAATATGTTGTTATCACTGTTTATAGGTATAACAAGCCTTTTAACACAAAATGGAAGTCAATTTTACAAAGATCTTGGTGCTTTTTCTCTACATGCCCATGGTAAGTCTGGCTGCCTAGGAAAACCACGGCTGCCCTAATGACAACACCTTCCTTGATGAGCAGCCCTGGCCTTTTCTTCAGCATTGCCTGGGGAACGCAGTGCTGGGGACTTGGCCTCCACAGCAGCATGCCATGGAGTAGGAGGAACCAAAAGGTGGCGGTTGTGAGTCAGGGTTATGGGAGGCTATATTAAGGGACCTTGAGAGGCCAACGTAAGGACATCCCAGCTCTGTCTCTACAGGTCTGGGGTGGAGGGACGGGGTGCCCAAGCAGACACAGGAAGAGAGGAGGGGATGTGAAGTAGGAAGAGGACTGCACAGGTGGAGACAGAGTGCATCAGAGCCTGTGACCTGCGAGCCGAGGGCACCAACCCAGCTGTCTGGATTTGGGACTGAGTTGAGGAGGCAGCACTAGGAGAAGCACGGCGCCATCCTATGGAGGCTTTGGGAACATCCTCTGCACTCTGCTGCGTAGGGCATAGGCTGGGCGGGAGGCTGGGGTGAAAGAAGGAAAGCCATCCCGGGCATGAGGAAGCACTCCTGCCCCGGGCAGATACCTGCTGCTCACTATTGAGTTCTCCCATGTGCCAGCCACATGCCTGCACCAACTGTCTTTTCTATTCCTCTCAGAAAGTCTCCACATTAACTACAGAATTACTTTTCTTCCCACGTTAAGGAGGGAGAAACTGAGGCTGAAAGTTTTTCCATCTGTTACTCACCGTCCCATAACTGTCCAAGGGTAGAACTAGGAACTGATTCTGTAGCTTGGGTTCCAAACCTGTCATGAAGATGCCCTGCTGGTTATGGAAAGAGGGATTGATATGTGAGATGTCAAGGGGTGATACAGACCAGGCTTGATAACCGATGGAAAAGAAAGACGGGGGAGGTGGGGCTGACCCTCATGCCTGGGTGAACCATCCTGTTATTTCTCAGGAGAGGAAAAAGGCTGTAAAAAAGGAAGGTGGGGCATTTGAGGGACTGAAGGACTTCTCTGTTAAAATGTCTCTAAAGGGGCTGGGCGCAGTGGCTCATGCCTGTAATCCCAGCACCTTGGGAGGCCAAGGCAGGCTGATCACCTGAGATCAGCAGTTCGAGACCAGCCTGGCCAACATGGTGAAACCCCGTCTCTACTAAAAATACAAAAATTAGCCAGGCATAGTGGCGGGCGCCTGTAATCCTAGCTACTCAGGAGGCTGAGATAGGAGAATTGCTTGAACCCAGGAGGCGGATGTTGTAGTGAGCAAAGATCGCGCCATTACACTCCAGCCTGGGCAACAAGAGTGAAACTCCATCTCAAGAGAAAAAAAAATGTCTTTAAAGGAACACAAAAGGGATTCTAGAGTTCTAGGGAGAGTCGGAGGTGAGCTATGAAAGACTTTGATGACTTCTCCCCCACCACTCATGTGGTACTCACTGTTGCCAGGGAGGGCACTGGATGCCCAGACGTGACCTTGCTGGACCCCACACTCCTATGAGATAGGTTTTGTCCCCCATTCATTCCCTCCACAGTGTGTGCTGGCCACTGCCCTGGCCAGGTGCTGCTCTGGGATGGGGCCATGGCAGCCGGTGAGGCAGGCCCAGCGTGTTCACCTTGTGAGGGTGAGCAGAGAGCACAGAACTTTCTGCAGAATCATCAGGACGGGCCCCTCTGAAGCAATGACTGAGTGAAGGGAAGAAGCCCGCCATGGAGGACACTGTGGTGTGGGCAATGTCCCTGAGGCAGGCGCCATTTTGCCGAGCCCGGGAACAGAAGGAAGCCTGTGAACGTGGAGGGAGCAGGTAAGCCCAGGTAGGGAATAGGATATGTGGAGAGGCAACTGGGCTGGCTGGTGGGGTCTTTGTAGTTTGAATTTATTCCAGTGTGTTGGAAAGCCATGAGAAAGTTTATGCAACAGAGACGTGATTGTAGAGATACAGTAAGAGACCAGTTAGCAGACCAGTGGGTAGTCCAGGCAAAAAATGATAATTGCTGAAACTAGAATGGCAGCATTGAAAATGAGGAATGTGGATGGATTTGGGAGGTATTTCAGAAGTAGGTTGGGATGGGAGTGTGATGTTAGAATAACAAGGTGGAAGAGCCCAGAGGAGGTTCCTTGGCTTGGGTCATGGCATATATTTATGGTATTAGTCTCATCTTATACCTCAGCAGTGATATTTCTATAAGATTTGTAACCATAACATAGCTACATTTGCATGTTACGCTTACACATTCATAGCATGTAAGAATATTTGTATAGTACTTGGAACAAATCGAATACTTCACAATTGCATTTTTAAGGAATTTAAGGTATGACAGGAAAAAACTACAAACTGTTTATGGTGGTTACCTAACTTGAAAACTAGTTGGGGCAAAAATTGAGTGAATAAGGGAAAAAAAAAGACATAATGAATGCTAAGTCCAATAAATCATGGCTAGTGTCAGTGATCCTGCTGAAGTTGATTGACAGCACGCTGTCTGAGGACCCTAGAGAGAGGCTCTGAGTCAACAGCCAGAATGGAGCTGTGCCCTGCTCTGACCAAGCCAATCCTCTACCTGGCCATTGTAGGAGAATTTCTAAAGGCTAGCTTGTTACTGTAGATCATATCACAGCAGGTTAAGGGGATATTTTAATTTTAAAAATCTTAACTACTGATCAAGTTTTTCCAACCACAGATGGTGGAGAATAGTGAAGGTTTTCTACAGCTGTGCATGTTATCTCACAAGAAAAACACTGATAAATCCCTGCCCTTTCTGACAAATCCCCTTTGTTTTTAGGGTCAGGGCCAGGAGTGAAGGGGTGGTGCAATGGTGGATAATTCTGGCATGACGGGAGAGCTGATGTGGAAGGGACCTCGAGTCATCCAATCCAATCCTGTCATTTTACATGAAATGAAAAGGGGCTCAGACACCACTGAAAACCTTTTATTTAGTAGAGGATATTTGTGGCAGAATGCAAAAGGAATCCAGACTTGAATTCATGTTATCAACAAGTCCACACTACTACCAAATAAAAGAGAAATGGGAAAGAATTAATTCACAGATTATGTGAGACCTCACCTGGATTAATCATTCTGGTATTTTCTCCTTATTTAGAAAAAAAAAAGATTGCTTTCCCAAAAAAGTCCATGAATTTTCCAAGCAGCCTTAGTACAGGAACCTGCTCCATGAATTTTTTTATTTATGCAAACCCTAGAAGAATTCAAGAGTGGAAAAGAGCAGCCACACCCAGGAACTTGGTCCTGCAGAAAGAAAATTCAAAAGAAATGAGGTCACTCCTGATTGCGGGGGAGGGGGCTACAGTGAGAACAATCATCCAGGGCCCTGCCCTTCAGAGTCCTGCTGTCCTTGTGCAGATGCACGTAGATGTCACAGAGACACAGGGGGAGCTAGGAGTGACAATCTACATTTTTAAAATACACCGTAATGGCGTGTGATGTTGTGATCTATGTGAGAAACATATATTTCGTCTCTGCCCTGGTTTCTGGCACACGCTCCTAAAACCTTTGGCATCTCCAGAGTGATAAGAATGTCTTTTGTGTGTTAATGAGAGCACTGGTAGCTGGGGGACCCTAGATAGCTTCAGGATGAGGCTGCTCTTGAGAAAGGAGAAAGGCCAAGCCATCATTAGAGAATTGGGACCTTCAGTCTCACCCAACCTCTGAGTGAAGGTTGAGTTTATCACCCATGACCAGTGGTTTAATCCAAGCTTGTCCACCCCATGGGCCAAATGTGGCCCAGGATAGCTTTGAATGCAGCCCAACACAAATTCGTAAACTTTTTTATGAGTTTTTGTTTGTTTGTTTGTTTGGTTTTTAGTTCATCAGCTATCATTAGTGTTAGTGTATTTTATGTGTGGCCTAAGACAATTCTTCTTCCAATGTGGCCCAGGGAAGCCAAAAGTTTGGACACCCTTAAGGAATCATGCCTATGTAATGAAGCCTCAAAGGACAGGGCTCAGAGAGCTTGTGGCTAGCAGAACACACACAGGTTCCTGGGGGTGGCACCTGGAAAGGGCATGGAAGCTCCACACTCTCCCCCATGCCTCAGCCCATGCATCTCTTCATCTGTATCCTTTTTACTATCTCTATAATAAATGGGTAAATGTCGGTAAAACATTTCCCTGAGTTCCATGAGCTGCTCTAGCAAATTAATGGAGGCCAAGGAGGTCGCAATTGTGGGAACCCCAATTTATAGTCAGTCATTCAGTATAGGCTGGGATCTGAAGCGGGGGGAGTCTTGTGGGACTGAGCCATCATTATCTCCAGGCAGGTCATGTCAGAACTGAATTATAGAACACCCAGCTGGTGCCCACTAGAAAACTGGTTGGTGTGTGGGAAACCCCCCACCCAACATCTGAGGTCAGAAGTGAGTGGTGAGTGGTGTGGGACAGCAGAGAGAAAAAGCAGTCAGAGGGGACCTTCCTAAACATGACTGGAAACCCATAAACCATGTAGGAAATAATCGACAATATTTTACATTTAAAATTTTAATATTTTAAATAATTTAAAATACTTTCAAAAAGTTTCAAATTTAATAATTATTAACATCAAAACATAATGAAATTTATATTAAAAAGCTAGACTGGGCCAAGCATGGTGGCTCATGCCTGTAATCCCAGCACTCTGGGAGGCCAAAGTGGGCAGATCACGAGGTCAGGAGTTCGAGACCAGTCTGGCCAACATGGTGAAGCCCCGTCTCTACTAAAAATACAAAAATTAGCCAGGCAGGTGGCGTGCACCTGTAATCCCAGTTACTCAGGAGGCTGAGGCAGGAGAATCACTTGAACCCGGGAGGTGGAGGTTGCAGTGAGCCAAGATCACGCTACTGCACTCTAGCCTGGGGGACAGTGAGACTGTATCTCCAAAAAAAAAACAAAAAGCTAGACTGAAAAATAATATTCTTACACATTTAGTAGAGAGATTTGGTGGGCTTAATACATACAGTCCTGTAAATTAATAAGGAAAGGCAGCCAGAGGAGAGTGACATGCAAATTCACAGATAATAGACAGGCTGATGACCAATTAACCTGTGCAAGGAAATTCAAAATAAAACAGCAACCACACATCATTTTTTGTTAATCAGTGCATAAAAAATTTTCAACATTGTAACAAGCTATGGTTGGTGGGAGTGTGGGAAAACAGGTCTCTCACATTATTATGGGAAAGACAATTATTGTAACTTTTCAGGAATTAGACAGAATTTAATAGTCAGAAGACCTAGCAGTCTTACCTCCAGAAAGTTCTGCCACAGAAATACAAGTGGCTATTTATAATGAATAAATAAGAATGGTAATTGCATTAATGCTGTTGATAGCAAGACCCTGGCAGCAACTAAGTGCCCGCCCCTACAGAAGACAGGTGAGTGAATTATGACATGCCCAATCTATGTCATAAGAGATTACATAATTAGTAAAAAAAAAAAATTTAAAAAAAAAGTAAAGAAGGCATATATGGATTGAATTAGAAATATTTCCTCAGGCTGGGTGCGGTGGCTCACGCCTGTAATCCCAGCACTTTGGGAGGCCGAGGTAGGCTGATGACCTAAGGTCAGGAGTTCGAGACCAACCTAGCCAACATAGTAAAACCCCATCTCTACTAAAAATATAAATATTAGCTGGGTATGGTGGTGGGTGCCTGTAATCCCAGCTACTAGGGAGTATGAGGCAGAAGAGTTGCTTGAACCTGGGAGGCAGAGGTTGCAGTGAGTGGAGATCATACTATTGCACTCCAGCCTGGGTGAAATATTTCAGCAATATTTTTTAATGGGAAAAAATTCTTAGAACAATGTATATCAAAATCCTCTATTTTGTGAAAACATAAAAAGCAGACATCTCTAATATCTCTGTGTGACTCTACATGCAACACATATAGAGAGATAGAAATGCTTTCTTTGGGGTAAGAATAGAAGATCTGCGGAAGGTTCACACCAACCTGTTGACTTTGGTACCCTTAGCAAGTTTGAAATACAGTATATTAATATTCATTAATGCTCCCTTATATCCCTGTATCATTTACACTATTTCCACAGCTGTATGTTAGTTTTATAATTCAAAATATAAAAGAAAATATATCTTGGGCGAAAGCAATCACTGATATATATGCACAGAAAAACTAGGGGGTTGGATTATATTGTTATTTTCTCTTTTTTGCCTGTATGTATTTATGAAAACATAGCTGCAATAAAAATATATTACCTTTGAAAAAAGAAAGCAATTAGTATAAGTATATACCACCCAAAACAAACGACTCATTTCTACACTGGAAGGTGCCTGCTACTTTTTGGTCCTGGTGAACAGAGGACATTACTCTCCCATGACCAGGTGTGAACTGCAAACACCTCCCAATTTTTAATGGGATGAGAGTAGTGAAAGGGCAGGTATCCTTATTCATGTCACTCACTTTTTCTGCACGAAACTTCTTCAGACACTATGCTGGTCACCTTGAGGCTGTGGAGTGGCAAGTGCATCCTCAGGGTACTGTACAGCTAGCCCTGCCACTGAGCAGCTGACAAACACAGCCCCTTCCAGATGCTTCTGAGTTTTTTTGTCTGTCACCCAGGCTGGAGTGCAGTGGCATGATCTTGGCTCACTGCAACCTCTGCCTCCAGGGTTCAAGCTATTCTTGTGCCTCGGCCTCCCAAGTAGCTGGGATTACAGGCACCCGCCACCATGCCTGGCTGATTTTTGTATTTTTAGTAGAGATGGGGTTTTACCACCTTGGCCATGCTGGTCTCAAACTCCTGACGTCAGGTGATCCACCCACCTCAGCCTCCCAAAGTTCTGGGATTACAGGTGTGAGCCACCATGTCTGGCGGTGAGTTTCTTTACTATTAGGGACAATGTAGTCATGCTTCTTTCAGATGCTCCTCGCCTACGGCAGCATGTTCAGGCTGCTATGATTCTGAGGCCACGCTGGATTAATAAACCTGGTCTGTGACTTTTGAAGAGCAATTCTGCCATGCAAGAATGAGCACTTACAGACAGAGGAATCTGGAAAGATCCTGAGGGCTCTCCAGTCCACTTTTGGAAGCCCAGGAAATAAGGCCTGGCAAGGTAACACAGCCCAAATACAGGGGCTGAACCAGAATTAACCCACATCTTCCGAATCTACATAGGACAAGGCACTATTCATCAGATCAATTGCCCTTCTCCTGGATGCAGAGCTGGCCACCCTCCCTGCTTCCTCTGCAGGCTGGAATGTGCATGATTGTGATGCTGGCCACCCTGAGGACCAGTCCTTCCAGAGCCTCCACACGAGCCCCCTGCCCTTTGCTCCTCACGTGTCCTCAAAAGGCATGTGTGAAAGATGGCGGGCCAGAGCTTGTGGGGAGGGAGCAATCACCACTGGCCCTCGGGAGTCCTTCAGCAGTTAGTGCTCTTGACTAACATCAAATGTCTCAGCATTTCCTCAGACTACACAATCACCCTCCTAGTACTGCATGAGAGTGTGGTCAGAATGCACTTGCTTTACTCCAGTTCATTCTTTCCACATGACCCATTTGGCCACACAATATGGGATGACAGAAGAAGTCTTGGTGTGTTTGCAGAAATGATTCTGACTGTAGAACCAAAGGAAGCTAACTCAGCCATCGCAGGATGAACAGTGGTATCAGACACTGGACAACCATGCAGCCACCAACCTAGTGACAAACAAGCAACACAGTCCTGTCATCTTGAAGCCACCTACAGTACTTGGTTACAAGCCCTTGCAGGAGGTGGAAATGAGGGCAAAGGAGTGAAGTGGTCCAGCTCCCCCAGCAGTCAGGAGGGCAGGTTGACAGCAGGCTGGAGCCCTGGCAGGCAGCTCGCCTCCTCCCCTTTCCATGGAGGGCCCCGGGAGGGGGATTTTAGCCCTTCTGTTCTCCTCCATGGCACCCTCAGCTCCCCTGCCATGGGGCCCTTCTGACTCCCAGCCACAACTGTCTCTCACTCTCTTCCTTCCCAACAGAATGTAAAATCAGAGCCGATTCGCTGAGAAAAGAATTATGCTTAGAGCCGATAAGGCAAAGATAAAGGAAAACTGGATGTCTATATGCAGAAGAACATGCAAATAGACCCCTATCTCTCACTATATACAAAGATCAAATCAAAATGGATTAGACTTACATCTAAGACCTGAAACTATGAAACTTCTAAAACAAACCTTGAGGAAACACTCCAGAACATTGGTCTGGGCAAAGATTTCTTGAGTAAGACTTCAAAAGCATGGGCAACCAAAGATAAAAAGAACAAATGGAATCACATCAAGTTAAAATGCTTTTGCACAGCAAAGGACACAATCAACAAAATGAAGAGACAATAAACAATGCCTGGAAGAAAATGTCTGCAAACTACCCATCTGACAAGGAATTAATAACCAGAGTATATAAGGAGCTCAAACAACTCCTAGGAAAAAAACAAGTAACCCAATTTAAAAATGGACAAAAGATCTGAATAGACATACAACTGGCCAACAGGTAAATGAAAAAATATTCAACATTACTAATCATCAGAGAAATGCAAATCAATACTACAATGAGTTATCATCTCACTCCAGTAAAAATGGCTTTTATCCAAAAGACAGGAAATAACAGATGCTGGCGAGGGCTTGGAGAAAGGGGAACCCTTGTACACTCTTGGTGGGAATGAAAATTAGTGCAGCCACTCTGGAGAACAGCATGGAGTTCCTCAAAAATGTAAAAAGAGAGCTACTGCCTGACCCATTAGTCTCACTGCTGGGTATACAGCCAAAAGAAAGGAAATCAGTATATCAGAGAAATATCTGCACTCCCCTGTTCATTGCAGGACTATTCACAGTAGCCAAGATATGGAATCAACCTAACTTCCCATCAATGGATGGACAGATAAAGAAAATGTGGTATGTATACACAATGGAATATTGGCCATATAAAATGGAATTCTATCAAATCCTATCATTTGCAATAACATAATGAAACTGGAGGTCATTATGTTAAGTGAAATAAGCTAAGCACAGAAGACAAATATTGCATGTTCTCACTCATATGTGGGAACTAAAAAAATATAAACTCCTAGAACTCCTAGAGATAGCAGAATGATTGTTACTAGAGGCTGGAAAGGGTAGTGGGGAGGGGGAAGAAGAGGGTATGGTTAATGGATGCTGAGATACAGTTAAATAGAATGAATAAATAGTTCTGCCCTGGCCAGAACTTCCAACACTATGTTGAATAGGAGTGGTGAGAGAGGTCATCCCTGTCTTGTGCAGGTTTTCAAAGGGAATGCTTCCAGTTTTTGCCCATTCAGTATCATATTGGCTGTGGGTTTGTCATAAATAGCTCTTATTATTTTGAGATATATTCCATCAATATCTAGTTTATTGAGAGTTTTAGCATGAAGGCTGTTGAATTTTGTTGAAGGCCTTTTCTGCATCTATTGATATAACCAGTGGTTTTTGACATTGGTTCTGTTTAAGTGCTGGATTACATTTATTGATTTGTGTACATTGAACCAGTGTTGCATCCCAGGGATGAAGCTGACTTGATCGTGATGGATAAGGTTTTTGATGTGCTGCTGGATTCTGTTTACCTGTATTTTATCAAGGATTTTCGCATCAATGTTCATCAGGGATATTGGTCTAAAATTCTCTTTTTGTGTGTGTGTCTCTACCAGGCTTTGGTATCAGGATGATGTGGGCCTCATAAAGTGAGTTAGGGAAAATTCCCTCTTTTTCTATTGATTGGAATAATTTCAGAAGGAATGGTACCATCACCTCTTTGTACCTCTGGTAGAATTCGGCTGTGAATCCATCTGGTCCTGGACTTTTTTTGGTTGGTAGGCTATTAATTATTGCCTCAATTTCAGAGCCTGTTATTGGTCTATTCAGAGATTCAACTTCTTCCTGGTTTAGTCTTGGGAGGGTGTATTTGTCCAGGAATTTATCCATTTCTTCTAGATTTTCTAGTTTATTTGCGTACAGGTGTTTATAGCATTCTCTGATGGTAGTTTGTATTTCTGTGGGATTGGTGGTGATATCCCCTTTATCATTTTTTATTGTGTCTATTTGATTCTTCTCTCCTTTTTTCTTTATTAGTCTTGCTAGCAGTCTATCAATTTTGTTGATCTTTTCAAAAACCAGATCCTAGATTCATTGATTTTTTGAAGCCTTTTTTTTTGTGACTCTATCTCTTTCAGTTCTGCTCTGATCTTAGTTATTTCTTGCCTTCTGCTAGCTTTCTAGCTTTTCAATGTGTTTGCTCTTGCTTCTCTAGTTCTTTTTTTTTTTTTTTTTTTTTTTTTGACATGGAGTCTCACTCTTTCACCCAGGCTGGAGTGCAGTGGCGCGATCCTGGCTCACTGCAAACTCCACCTCCCAGGTTCACGCCATTCTCCTGCCTCAGCCTCCCGAGTAGCTGGGACTACAGGCACCCGCCAACAAGCCTGGCTAATTTTTTGTATTTTTAGTAGAGACAGGGTTTCACCGTGTTAGCCAGGATGGTCTCGATCTCCTGACCTCGTGATCCGCCCACCTCGGCCTCCCAAAGTGCTGGGATTACAGGCGTGAGCCACTGCGCCGGGCCCTGCTTCTCTAGTTCTTTTAATTGTGATGTTAGGGTGTCGATTTTAGATCTTTCCTGCTTTCTCCTGTGGGCATTTAGTGCTATAAATTTCCCTCTACATGATGCTTTAAATGTGTCCCAGAGATTCTAGTACATTGTGTCTTTGCTCTTATTGGTTTCAAAGAACATCTTTATTTCTGCCTTCATTTCGTTATTTACCCAGTAGTCATTCAGGAGAAAGTTTTTCAGTTTCCATGTAGTTGTGCAGTTTTGAGTGAGTTTCTTAATCCTGAGTTCTAATTTGATTGCACTGTGGTCTGAGAGAAAGTTAGTTGTGATTTCTGTCCTTTTACATTTGCTGAGGAGTACTTTACTTCCGATTATGTGGTCAATTTTAGAATAAGTGCGATGTGGTGCTGAGAAGAATGTATATTCTGCTGATTTGGGGTAGAGAGATCTGTAGATGTCTATTAGGTCTGCTTGTTGCAGAGCTGAGTTCAAGTCCTGGACATCCTTGTTAACCTTCTGTCTCACTGATCTGTCTAATATTGACAGTGGGGTGTTAAAGTCTCCCATTATTATTGTGTGGGTGTCTAAGTCTCTTTATAGGTTTCTAAGGACTTGCTTTATGAATCTGGGTGCTCCTGTATTGGGTTCATATATATTTAGGATAGTTAGCTTTTCTTGTTGAATTGATCCCTTTACCATTATGTAATGGCCTTCTTTGTCTCTTTTGATCTTTGTTGGTTTAAAGTCTGTTTTATCAGTGACTAGGATTGCAGCCCCTGCATTTTTTTGCTTTCCATTTGCTTGGTAGATATTCCTCCATCCCTTTATTTTGAGCCTATGTGCATCTTTGCACATGAGATGGGTCTCCTGAATACAGCACACTGATGGGTCTTGACTCTTTATCCAATTTGCCAGTCTGTGTCTTTTAATTGGGGCATTTAGCCCATTTACATTTAAGGTTAGTACTGTTATGTGTGAATTTGATCCTGTCATTATGATGTTCTCTGGTTATTTTGCCCATTAATTGATGCAGTTTCTTCATAGCATTGATGGTCTTTAAAAATTTGGCCTGTTTCTGCAGTGGCTGGTACCATTTGATCCTTTCCATGTTTATTGCTTCCTTCAGGAGGTCTTGTAAGGCAGGCCTGGTGGTGACAAAATCTCTCAGCATTTGCTTGTCTGTAAAGGATTGTATTTATCCTTCACTTATGAAGCTTAGTTTGGCTGGATATGAAATTCTGGGCTGAAAATTCTTTTCTTTAAGAATGTTGAATATTGGCCCCCACACTTTTCTTGCTTGTAGGGTTTCTGCTGAGAGATCCACTGTTAATCTGATGGGCTTCCCTTTGTGGGTAACTTGACCTTTCTCTCTGGCTACCCTTAACATTTTTTCCTTCATTTCAACCTTCGTGAATCTGACAATTATGTGTCTTGGGGTTGCTCTTCTCAAGGAGTATCTTTGTGGTGTTCTTTGTATTTCCTGAATTTGAATGTTGGCCTGCCTTGCTATTTTGGGGAAGTTCTCCTGGATAATATCCTGAAGAGTGTTTTTCATCTTGGTTCCATTCTCCCCATCACTTTCAAGTACACCAATCAAACATAGATTTGGTCTTTTCACATAGTCCCATATTTCTTGGAGGCTTTGTTCATTTCTTTTTACTCTTTTTTCTCGAACTTTGTTTTCTCACTTTATTTTATTAATTTGACCTTTAATCACTGATACCCTTTCCGATTGAATCGGCTATTGAAGCTTGTACATGCATCAAGAAGTTCTCATGCCGTGGTTTTCAGCTCCATCAGGTCATTTAAGGTCTTCTCTATGCTGTTTATTCCAGTTAGCCATTCGTCTAATCTTTTTTCAAGGTTTTTAGCTTCCTTGTAATGGGTTCAAACATCCGCTTTTAGCTCAGAGAAGTTTGTTGTTACCGACCTTTTGAAGCCTACTTCTGTCAACTCATCAAAGTCATTCTCCGTCTAGCTTTGTTCTGTTGCTGGCAAGGAGCTGCAATCCGTTGGAGAAGGGACACTCTGATTTTTAGAATTTTCAGCTTTTCTGCTCTGGTTTCTCCCCATCTTTGTGGTTTTATCTATCTTTGGTCTTTGATGCTGGTGACCCACAGATGGGGTTTTGGTGTCAATGACCTTTTTGTTGATGTTGATGCTATTCCTTACTGTTTGTTAGTTTTCCTTCTAACAGTCAGGTCCCCCAGCTTCAGGTCTGTTGGAGTTTGCTGGAGTTCCACTCCAGACACCGTTTGCCTGGGTATCACCAGTGGAGGCTGCAGAACAGCAAATATTGCAGAACAGCAAATATTGCTGCCTGATCCTTCCTCTGGAAGCTTCATCCCAGAGGGGTAGCCACCTATATGAAGTGTCTGTCGGCCCCTACTGGGAGGTATCTCCCAGTTAGGCTACATGGGGGTCAGGGACCCACTTAAGGAGGCAGTCTGTCCATTCTCAGAGCTCAAATGCTGTCCTTGGAGAACCACTGCTCTCTTCAGAGCTCAGTGGAAGTGCAGAAATCACCCATCTTCTGCATCAATCACGCTGGGAGCTGCAGACCAGAGCTGTTCCTATTTGGCCATCTTGGAAAGCCCTCATCAGAATTGGAATGTTCTTAACACAAAGAAATGATAAATATTTGAGGTGATGGATATCTCAATTACACTGAACTTATCCCTACACATTATATTCTTGTATTAAAATATTGCATGTCCCCATAAATATGTACAACTATTAGTTATCCGTAATAACTAAAAAATAAAAAAATTAAAACTTTAAAGCAAGAACTAGTAAAAGTGCTAAAATGACCCCAAAAGGAAGAAATATTGGGATGGACAGAAAAGGCGTGAACCTCAGAAAAGGGGAGCCTGCTGAACTTGCACCTGTTCCAACCTGAGAAGGGGACAGGTCTCCTAGGGGATTTCTGCCACATGGCCGTTCCCATCAGACATGTGGGTGTAACTTCCTAGTGCAGTGTAGGTTACATGGAAGCATACAATTTGCAAGTCTCCTCTTGGGAGCCTGGGCACCCAGGGCAGAGTCTGCCCACTGTCACAAGCTCTGCAGGAACAATGACCTAGCTCTTGCCCTTGTCAGCTGCATGGTGGATAGCAGCAGATAGAAGTGCTAAAGCAGCTAAAGCTTCTCCCCAAGGCAATATTAACCCTCCAGTGGCTACAAAGTCAGTCTTCTCCCTCTAGGTCTCTGTCCCGTTAACCCCTCCCCACCTTCCCCAGAGTAGGCAGGAGGACTCTGAGAAAGGCTTTCCCAGCATTGAGCTAACAGCTGTTTCCTCCTCCAGTTCGCCCCCTTCCTCCTACCCTCCTAAATGGCTCTAGGGAAGACTATGAAGAGACATTGGGAGATCCAACAGGGGAGATATCCCTGGGATCTTCCACTCTGAGCAGCTGGGAAGTGTCGGGTAACAGGGTCTCCAGCATGACTCAGACCACCTCTCCACTCCTTAGAGCCTGGTATCAGCATCCCATTCGCATAAGAAACCAATTGCACACCATTCATCACTCTCTTATTGAGCAAGTTTTCTAATGTTCCAAGAATATGTGTTCCTAAAATCATATTGAAAATCCCAGGCAGACATTGAAGTAGATGAGACAGATGTGCTTGAATTGACTGGGAATATATTCAAGGTACTTTTTTCTTTGAAAGAAACAGGTTGTCATACAACATGTGTAGTATCATCCTATTATAGCATAGATGATGATGATGAAGACAGGTAGATGGATGAATAGATAGATATTTAATGTGCATACAAAAAAGGTGTGGAAGAAAAATACATAAAACTTCAGAGTGGGCAGCTACAATGACAATGGGTATGGAGTGAAAACTCCACTTATGTTGATCATTCCCATACAGTTTATATTTTTCCTACTATTTTTGCTATTACTGATTTTAAAAGTTGTAAATACTCGTCAAAAATTGAAAAAGTGCAGAATATTGTAAAGTGAAAGACGAAATTTTCTTTTCCTCCCAGGTGAAAGTGTCATTAACATTTTCTTATGTGTCTTTTTATAAAATACACAATTATACAAACCCTTACATATACATATCTTTATAGAATTAAATAAGTACATGCTCATATATAATCCGTACTATCCAGCTTTCTAATTTAATTGATAATATATCTTAAGTATTTTCCAAATGAGTACAAATAGATCTCTATACCCTTTTTTAAAAATGTGGCCTAACATTTTTTATGTATATAAAAATGTATTTAATCAGACTCTTAGAGATGGACATTTATATTGTTTCTATAATTTTAATTTTCAAACAGTGATGCAAAGTACACCCTTATACTTAAATACATGATTTTAGGGGGAGAGGGATTTGACCAAGTCAAATATATTTCAAGTATATCTTAAATCATCAAATCTGCAGAATTAAAGTTGTATGCATTCTTAACTTTGATAGCTATCGAAGAATGCTTTTCCAAAAATGTTCTGAAGTATATCCCACCCACACTATATCATGTGTCCTTAATTTCCAGTTGTTGAAATTTTAAAGTGGATCCTCATCTTTTTAGATATTCAGTGACTATGTGCATTTCTCTATAAACAATATTTTGGCACCCCAAAAAAGAAAATCTGGGTGGGATTTAATTCAGCTTTGCATACTATATGTGTGTGTGTCCGGGTGTTTCCTCAAGTTTTCTTTCTCATAGTCACTTTTATAACTATAAGTAATCTACTGTAAACTATTTCTGATTTGCAAAGTTTAGACAATCTCATCTCTATCATTTTTTATTATCAAATGTGAGTCCATCAGATCATTTCTGAGCCTATCCCATCCTCCCCACCCCTAATATCTAAATTGGGTGACTTACATTAGACCATTTTACACCATCCACGTGCATGACACTGACATTCTGCTGGGGGCAGGAAAACTGACCTCTAGTTGACGTGTCTGCATCAGACTCACTAAGGACTAATGTGGGACCTTGTCAAGTGGCTTAACCACTCTATGCCTCAGTTTCTCCTGACCTGTGAAATGGGGATAAACCAACCGCACAGATTTATTGCAAAACTAAACTTGTGGGCTGCTTGGTAAATCTTCAAACAGAATCTTAGTCCCAATGATTTAAACTTAGTTCTTTCTATGTGAAGTAAATCACCACCAGCCCACACCTATCCCATCCCTTCATACAAACTCTACCATTGCCAAGTTTATTATTTTCATTAAGCTCTTGACTCCATTTTTCATTCCAGTAGTATTTTCAAAAAGGTTCATTCATGTGACTTACGTATTGGAAAATGTCAAACAGCACCATATGCTTGCTGACCAACCATAGAATCCCTGATTCAATTTCTAACATCTCTTTAAAGAGATATTTTCTTAAGGAACCTGAAATCAGACTCACTTTTCCAACTTTTGGTGACTTTGGTTTTCTGTCTGGAAGCCAAGCCATTCCTTCTCATCCTCGACATTGACCAACTTCACAGGAGGGTCTTAGAGTTGACTGTTTTGCAGTTATCATTTCTAGCACATGACCATCCCTTCAACTTGTGGTCTATTTCTTGAACATTAATCAAATTGCACAGAAAATATTAATGAATTCTATGTAATGAAGCAAAATAATGTTAAACAGCTTTAATCTCAGCCTCTCTTTTCTCATGAACACTCAACACTCCCCATTGCCTCCCAAATTAAATAATAATAAGTAACATATATTTATTAAGCATTATCTACTTTCCAGGCATCACAACGTTGTAAGCACTTATTTTATTCAAGCTCCCAACAGCCCTATGAAACATGTCTTACTAATTAAAGAACAGAGGCCGCTGCCCTGTGCTTCTGAAAGCTGGTTGCTGTTCTGGTAGCTCATCTCATGGTGCAGGCCAGCAACTGGATAGGCTCTAGGCTCCTCCAGTTGCTGCCTGACTCCTGAGTTTCTCTGGGTCCTGGGCCAGGTTAGCAGGCTGGCCCTTGGCCAAGCACTCCACTTTCTTCTGCAGGTCTCTGGATCAGATGCAGTAAGAGAGAAGTGCGGGTGCCCACTTTGCCTTTGTGGGTCCCAGAGTGTTCTTGGGAGCCCCCAGGTTTCCCCCTCTCAAGGGCTCCTTGTTCTCCACTCTGCAAATGATCTGACAGTGACTTCAGGCTGAATTCCAGCAACCGAGCAATCCAGAGTATGGACTTCTTCCCCATAACTCTGCTCTGCTCTAATTGTCTGAGAACAATTATCTGCTCTAATTGTCTGAGCCTCCAACCAGACCCTCCCAGACCAATTGTTCAAGGTCCAATTCTTGACAGAAAAAAAAGGAAAGAAAAGAAAAAACCAAACCCTAATTCCACAGGACTCCGAGCAGTTCTGTTTTCTTGATCAAATCTATTAATAACAAAGATCATGTATTATTAATCACAAAAATGCATCACATTAAATTACAAAACTTTACCCATCTTCTTCCTTACAATGTCTTCCTTCTTATATTGTGTAAAGCAAAGGATATATTTACAACAGCCACAGGAATGCCAATTTCCCTCCCCACTGTGCAGGAAAGATGGATGACTTCCCATAGCACAAAGCCCGCCAGCACGTCTCCCGGAGCGACGGGACCAGGCAGTGTGTGGAGTGTGTTGGGGGGAGATGAGTCAATTCTGTGCTCTCCACCTCCTCCTCCTGCTACTCTCTTAAGGGAAGCTGCTCCTTGCATGCTCATCTACATCACCTGGAACTCGAGGAGAGCTCTCCATCCACAGATGGGTAGGAAGAATGTTAAAAATCAGCCCTGCTATAATGAGGATTGGACTCCAGTGCTGATAGAACAGGCTATTTCTGGGCAACACCAATTTCTGCTCTCTTTTCTTTTTCTTTTTTTTTTTTTCATTCATTCTCAAGGCTGCAAACATTTAGTGAGGAAATAAAAGTGAAGCATGAAGGATGAGCAGAGAGAGAAATCGACATCAGAGTGGGGTCATGGCTGGGTGGCAATCGTCCCCCACAGGCCACTTTCCTACAGGCCTTAGGCTACTCTCAAGAACATGTTTCAGGCTGTCAGTTTCCTTGAATTGTAACTTTGGTCATGGACCTCCATATAAGAGTAGGACCACACCCTTCCCAAGTAGGAAATGTCACCACAGCCCTTAAAACATGCAAGGGATCAGCTACAGCCTGGAGGAGCTCTGGAAGGAGGAAACCAGCTCTGCTTTTCTGCTTCCTACGAGTTAAAGATGAAGATAACCCCATTAAACAGTCATTTCTGGAGGAACGTTTAATGATGCTGGAAAGTAGACACCATATATTAAGTTTTAAAAACAAGATACAAGTGTTATAAAAATTATAAATGATGAGCACAAGGGTTTGTAAGACATCAAATACTACTATTCATTATTTCTGAGTAGTCAGATTTTGAGTTATTTTTTACTTTTTCATATTTTTAAATGTTTTACAATAAATATGTATTACTTCTATAATTAGAAAAAGTACTAAATGCTATTTTGTAAAAGAGAAAGAGAGAGATTTTTAACTTTGGAGAAATAAGACTTTACCCCTAAGTTGGGACTTAGTACCATGGAAATGTATAATTCACAAAAGTTCCAGAGGGTATTTACTTTTAACTCAACTTGTCTAAAGTTAAACTTATGATATTTTCTCCTAAACTTGGTCCTCTTCCATCTTTTCTGTATTAGTGGTTATCCTTCCACTCATTGAGTTTCACAAGCCAAAATACCTCCCTCTTCCTTACAGCCCCTTAACCAATGCAACATTATCCTGAAAGTTGACATCTTAAAGTACCTCTCAACTCCATTTCCTTCTCTTTTTACCTCCAGCCATCATTCCCACCCACCCACACCCTACATCCAACCTGGCATCATTTCTATTGCAAGAGCTCAAGATCCACTTCCTCCACTTTCCTCTGGTCAATTTCACCCCAGAGCCGTTCCACATCCCATATTGCTGCTGGTACTGATGGCAGTTCTCTACTGAACATCTGCCTCCAGTCAGGTGTCAAACCTGTTCCTTCCCTGCCTGGTCTTTACTATCTCAGAAAATTATAACATAATTCAATTAACTCATCACCAAACTCTGGAGAAACCCAGTTCATACATCTATGGAAAGGCTTGTCAACCACAACTCCAAAATATATCCTAACTCTGTCTATTTTGTTCCATCTCCATTGTTACCACCAGAATCCCAGCCAACATTATCTCTTGTCTACCATGCAGTAGTAACCTCCTAACTGATCATCTGTCTTCCATTCTTCACCCTACAATCTGCATATGATCCAGGGATATATTAAAGCAAAGTAGAACAAAAACATGATTAAAACCCTCCAGTGAATGTTTATTGTACTCACGGAAAAAACAATGGACTTCTTTTCTTGCACAATTTGTTGCTGCTCACTTCTTGGATGTCATCTCTTATCCCTTACCCCTTTGCTCACCTGGTTCCAAACACACTGATCCCTTTCTGTTGCTCAAACAGACCAATGCTGATCACAGCTAGGGAACTTGGTGCTCACTGTTTCCTCTGCCAGGAAGGTTTCCCTCTGGCTTTTTGTATGACCTGTCCTTCTTTATCTTACAAAGCTCAGAGCATACATAACTTCCTAAAAGAGGCTTTCCTGTCCTGCCTTCTTATAGAAAGGACCAACCCCCAGCCCTGTATCCCTCTCAATCACATGATCTACTTTTATTTCCTCCTTTGCATTTATCACCATTTAAATTAGTCATCTTAATCAAGGGTCTGTGATATTACTATCAGTCTCCTCCTACTGGAAAGTAAACCTCATTCTCTGTTTATTTCACTATTGTTTCCCAGGGTTTAACGAAGTGCCTGTGCTTATCAAATTTTTGTTTAATGAATAAATGAATGAATAAATTTCCCTGCCATAGATTTCATCGTTCAAATTTGGATTAATGTGTATGAGCTGAATACCTTACCACATTTTCCAAAGATCAAATGGTCTCCTTGCAGTGAGAGCTGGTGAAGACATTGGCCCCATTCACAAAAGCATGCTCAGGCTCCCTGTATTAGTTCATTTTCATGCAACTGATAAAGACATACCTGAGACTGGGAAGAAAAAGAGGTTTAATGGGACTTACAGTCCCACATGGCTGGGGAGGCCTCAGAATCATGGTGGGAGGTCAAAGGCACTTCTTACATGGCAGCAGCAAGAGAAAATCAGGAAGAAGCAAAAGCGGAAACCCCTGATAAACCCATCAGATCTCATGAGACTTAATCACTATCTCAAGAATAACATGGGAAATACTGGCCCCTGTGGTTCAAATACCTTCCCCTGGGTTCCTCCCACAACACATGGGAATTCTAGGAGATACAATTCAAATTTAGATTTGGGTGGGGACACAGCTAAACCATATCACTCCCTGGGCACCACATCTGGGAATCGACCGCTCCAAGTGGCCTGAAGATGCCATTTGCTGCTCTCTGGCATCTATGGCATGTGCTGGAGGAAGCAAACAGCTGTCACATGATAAAGCAAAGCAAACAGGAAAGGCTTCTCTTTTTGCTAGTGTGCTTCTGCCCTGATCTGAGAGTCATTCTTTGTCCTTCAGAGACGAAAAAGTTAAAAGCATTCCAGAAGATGAGGGGAAAGCATAGGTAGATGGGAGTGGGGGTAGGATGATGAGGCTTCTTTCCTATGTGCTCTGTCCTCACATGCCAATCTGTAGAGTGTTCTTACCAGTGCTAGCATTGTGCCTGGTGGGACAACTCTGGGTTGACCAGATAAGAGGTTTATAACCAGGACCCAGGGACACTGGCTTCCCATGTCCTGTCCATTCTCAGAAAGCAGCCCTCAGGGAGGTATTTTTGAGTGCAATGACCATTGTCAAACTACAGCAGCTTTCATCAGTGTGGCCAGTCATGAGTCAAACAGTCGAGACCAACAAAGCCCATTATCTCATCATTTTGCTTCTATTTCTTAAAGTGTATTTTGGACACACAAGCGTTCAAGGCATGGTGTATGAGAACAGAACATCCATGGCAGAGAACCAGACCCTAGGGTCAGAGAATAATCTGGGCCTCTTTGTCCAGAGTGAATTAAATCTTGGCTTATTCATGCCATGAATCATAAAAGTAATAGCTCCAGGTGCACACCCCTGAAGAGGGGAAGGTATCACTGAAGCAGCGACAGAGTGCTATGGAGTGACCTCCTGTCCCACCTGGTGTACTCCAAGAGTTATAAGGTCACAATCAAAATAGAAGGAAAACCACCTGGATGAAGCAGATCCAGGGGCACGAGTAGAGGCAGGTTTTCTAGATGGGTGGGGTTACATAAAACTCAAGTCCACAGCTGAACACCAGGGCCTTTCCACCCAGTAGCATGTTAGCCCCTTTCTAAAATCACCAGAATGGGCAAAATCCAGACCCCGGCTCCAGCCCATTCAGCTCATTCTTCTAGACAAATATTATTAGTCAGGGTAGTTGGCTTGTTAAAATTTGATCTCACAAGATAGGGGAGATGAGACAACTGAGGAGAATAACCAATATTATAAAAGATAATACAGGTCGGAAGTGGTGGCTCACACTTGTAATCCCAGCACTCTGGGAGGCTGAGACCAGAGGATCACTCATGGTCAGGAGTTTAAGACTAACCAAGGCAACAAAGTGAGACCTGTGTTTACAAAAACAAAAATGTAAAATTTAGCTGGGTATTGTGGCACATACCCGTGGTCACAGATGCCTGGGAGGCTGGGGCAGAATTATTGCTTGAGCCCTGGAGTTTGAGGCTGCAGTGAGCTATGATTGCACCACTGCACACCAGCCTGGGTGACAGAGTGAGACCCCACCTCCTAAAAAATATATGAGTAAATAAAAATTTTTTAAAGATAATACATTGGATAATCAGCATCAGATGAAGAGGAACAAATGGACTGAGAGAACTTAAGTATAACAAACATTCTTGAAGAGGGAAGAGAGGACATTGATGACATGACAAAGGGGCAGAAGTATTTCTAAAGAATAGCCAAGTAAAAATGCCAGGCTTGAAAAATATGAATACAAAAATCTCAATATATAGGATTAATTGTTGAATGAATGTAGCTAGAGAAGGAATGCATGAGTTGAAACATACATTCCTTTTAGGTGAAGAACTCCTTTTAGAAGGCATCATCGAGTAGCAAAAAGACAAGAAATGTAAATGAAAACGAATACATGTGATAGATTCCAATGTTCATATCTTTTTCATATACTATACAATATTTATATACTATTGAATATAGTATATACATTATACATACTACTACATATATTAGAGGAAAAATTATTGAAAGAAATAAAGAATGAAATTTTACTGACTTAAAGAAAAATGAAAGTTCTCAAGTTGAAAGGTCTGACCACATACCAAAAAAAGATACATATGGAAAAATCCATACTAGAAACATAGACAATATGTTTTCTATGTCTGTGATAACAATATGTGATAACAATATCACAGACATAGAAAAACTCCAAAAGTGTTTGATGAGAGGGGTTAGTCACTTCCAAAATATCTCAGAATCTGAATGTCATCAATCTTTCAATAATACCATGGAGAATAAGAAGACATTAGAGTAATGCTCAAATACGTGAAATAAGATAATTCAAAATGAGAATTATATATTTGGCTACACTCTCATTTAGATGAAAAGGCAAAAACAATGGTCTTAGGATTATGTTCCTCCTGGTTAAAGGATGAGGAAAAGAGTGGCTTTACAACAGAAAGTCTTTTTAACAATATAAATTACTGAATATTCACAATTTTGACCATGCTGGCCAAACATCAACAGGAAAAACCCACATCCTACTCTCCTGCCCCTGCCACACTGTGATTTCGGTGGACCAAGCTGAGAGCTGATCTTCCACTCCACATCATCTATATCTTACAGCAACATGAAATCTCTCTTCAGTTTCCCTCCCTTCAGTTCCCCTGCTTAGGAGTGTACAAGGGGCACCAGGAAAATGGGAATAACCACCAACTTTCACCTTCTGCTTGGTAGAGGCAGGTCGTGGTAGTGGTGCTTTGATTCCCCTACATGGGTAGCATCGGTAGGACGGAGCAGGCAGCTGATCTTCCATCTCCCCCCAGGCAGGGGCAGGTGGTGTTCTAACTCCCTCACCAAGGCAGTGTCCAGGTGGCAGGTGAGAGCCAGTCCTGCAAGCTCAGTCCTCTCCAATATCAACTAGATAAAATAAGGCAGTCTGAGTGGGGCCTGGACAGCACATCATTTTCCCCCCACGTTGGTATCAGTGGGGCCAGATGGGGAACCCAACATCTGCCCTCATCCAGCATCAGTGAGGCGGAATGAAGTGGTGGGAAGGGAGGCTAGTTGTCACTCCACTTCTCCCCTCTCCTGGTGTCAGCAGAGTCCAACAGGGAGCTAAGGTTTGCCATACTGTATAGCAACAAAGTGGTATAAGTCAGCCCTCCGCTTACCCTCCGCCTGGTTTCAGGGTCCAATGGTGTATTAGTCAGAGTAGCAGATACTCAACTGTTAGGAGTATCTGCTACAAATGGGGAGCTGAGCTTACACCTCTCCACTCAGAGGCAATGAGGTAACATGAGCCAATGTCACACATTTTGGGGAAAGGTGTCAATGAGGCCCATAGGGAAGCAGAACTTGCACCTCACCTTATCTGCAAAGATGCAGTGTTATTAAACAGTTAGTTTTTGCTAGAAGGATGTTGCAGAGCCAGGAGAAAGCTGAACATGCACACCCAACCAGCCCTGATGTTATACCTCAACACAATGCTACCTCGTAAAATAAATACACAAAAAAAAGATTGCATAGATTTCTGAGTTTCATAATTCAATTTCCAAAATGCCCAGGATACAACTGAAAATCACTCATCAAATTATTAACAGGAAAATCATAACTTGAAAGAGAAAAAACAGGCGACAGATATGAGCACCATGATGATTCTCGTGTTGAAATCATCTTATAACGATTTTAAACCAGCCACCATAAAAATGCTTCAACAAGCAATTATGAATTACTTTGTAACAAATGAAAAAAATAGAAAAATTAATAAAACAACTGGTGGTATAAAAAAGAACCAAAGGAAATTACAGAACTAAAAATGCAATCACCAAAATACAATTTAAAGAAACCTCGGTGGATGGACTCATTGGAAATGAGAGAGGATGCAATCAGAAAACTCGAGGACAGATGAATAGAATGGGTCCAATCCACACAACAAAAATAAAATAGACTGAAAAAAATCAGTGACACCTCAGAAAACTTGGGGGCAATAATGAAAGAAGTTACAATAACACCATCAAAATTTCAGAAGGAGAGGAGAGAGAGAATGGAACTGAAAGGGTATTTGAAGAAATAATGGCTAAAAATATCTCACTTCAGTGAAAGGTATGTCAACAGATTCAAGAGGTTGAGAAAATCTCAAATAAGATAAATGTAAAGAAATTCACACTAAAGGCACATCATAATTAAACTTTGTGCAACTAAAAACAAAGAAAAATTCTTTAAAGCAGCCAGAGAAAAACAGTATTCCTTATAAGAAAACTTGAGTTAAATGACAGTAGATTTCTCACTGGAAACATAGAGGCAAGAAAGAAGCAGAGCCACATTTTTCAGGAACTGAAAGAAAAGAACTGTCAACCCCAAATTCTAAGTCTGATGAAAACATCTTACAGTAATGAAGGATAATCTCAGACAAGAAAACTAAAAGAATGTGTTACAGCAAACCTGCCCTTAAAGAATGGCTGGAGAAATTTCATAAGCAGAAAAAAAAATAACAGAATAAATGTCAGAAAGAAAGAAAAAGACCATCAGAATGGGTCAAAATAGGGTTAAATATGATACACTGTTTTTCTTATGAGTTTTAAAAATTAAATTTGATGGTTGAATCAAATATAACACAATATAGTGAGGTGCTCATTGTACATGTTACACAAGATGATTATGTTTTTAATAGACAGATTAAAGGAACCTAAATGGAAATAAATTTTCTGTACTTAATATAAAGTAGTAAAACATCAGTACCAGCACATTATAATTATATATGTATCTTATAGTAGCTGGAGTAATCACTCAGAAAACAATACTCAAAAACACTACAAATAAATCAAGAGTATATCCTAAAAAATGTTTAAGCAACCTGAAGGAAAGTAACAAAAGAAAAATAAATGAGGGAGAAACTGAGGAAGCAAACAGAAAACAAGCAATAAAATAAAATAGAAGCCCTAACATATCAATAATTACCTTAAGTATAAATGATCTAAATATAACAATAGGAAGACAGATTGGCATAGTGGAGATATATATATATATATATATATATATATATATATATATATCACCTCATATACAAACATATAAGTAGGTTGAAAAGAAAAGAATGGAGAAAGATATACTATGAAAACAATGAAAAAACAAGAGTGGCTATAACATTAGATGAAGTAGTACCAAATAAAATTATTAGAGATAAATGGAGACATTATAAAAATGGTAAGAGAATCAACATGCTGAAAAGACTTAAACAATTCTGAATGGGTATGCACCAAAGAGCAGAGCTTCAAAATACACGAAGCAGAAACTCATATTAGCATTAGCCATTAGGGAAATGTAAATTAATGCCCTTACAAAATATCACTACACATTTGTCAACATAGCTAAAATAAAAAAAAAATAGTGATGGCACCAAACATTGGTGAGGATGTGGAGAAACCGGATCATTCATTCATACATGGCTGGTGGGAAAAAAAGTGATGCAGCCATTCTGGAAAACAGTTTGGCAGATTCTTAAAATGCAGAAGATGCAACTACCCTACAACGCAGCAATTATACCCCTGGGCCTTTATCTCAGAGAAATGAAAATGTGTGTTCACCCAAAAACATGTACCAGAATCTTTGCTTTATTTGTAATCATCCAAAACCAGAAACAATCTGGATGTTCTTTAGTGAGTGGGTCGTTAAACCATGGTCCATCTATACTATGGAATACTAATGAGCAATAAAAGGCAATGAACTATTCATATACAAAATAACTTGATGAGTCTCAAGGGAATTATGTTGAGTGAAAAAGCCAATCTTTGGTTACATACTGTATGATTCCATTTATGTAACATTCTTGAACTGACAAAATTATAGAGATGGAGAACAGATGAGTGGTTGCCAGAGGCTGGGCGGAGGCGGGAAAGGAAGAAGGGCTGTAGCAGAGTAGTATGAGGAATTCCTGTGGGGATGGGACTGTTTTGTACTTTGATTGTGGGGTAGTCACACAAATCTGCACATGTGATAAAATTGCATAGAACTAAACACACACACTTACACATACAACTGGTGAAATCTGAATAAAGTCAATGGATTGTTTCAATATAAATTTCCTGGTTGTGATATTGTACTAAAGTTATGCAAGATGTAACTATTAGAGAACTTGAGTGTAGGGTATGTGGAATCTGTATTAATTCTTAAAACTGCATGTCAATCTGCAACTATTATCTCAAAATAAAATGTGAAAGAATTAAGTATGTAGAGATCTGGTGATACAGCCTCAAACCTACATGGCTATCTAGTAAAATTAATATAACACCCCTCTCAAAACAGATAGAATGAGGATTCATAAAGTAAGCAAAGATACATGAATTGAATAATGTGATGACTAAGCTCACACTAATAGTTACACATCAAATGTGTATCAACAACAACAGAAATGGAGACCTTTGCTTTGCTCCTGTTATGAACCTCACATGCGGTGTTCTAACAGAATTCGCACATTCATTCAAACTGTTTTTCTGTGGAAAACAGATAGCAGAAGATATATGTAATATGTAAAACTGACTGGGTACACCTGGGATATACAAGGAGTGTCTACAAATGACCAAAAGATACCAATAAGCAATTCAGAAGTGAAGATGGCCAAATCACCAACAAGTGTACTCAGAGATGTTCAAAATCACTGTTAATAGGAGACGTGCGAATTACGAGAGCAGGGAGATAGCACTTTGGACCTATACACACCTCAGATTGGCAAAGCCACGAATACACTGAGTGACACCAATAAAAGATTAGTGAAAATGGAAGTTGCCATACTCATGAACAAAGCCACAAGTGTTGCTGAAAGCAGCCAGGCATTGCTTAGAAAACCAATCGTGTTTAGCACTGAGCCAGCAACTCCACTTCTGGGGTGGCTTCCTCTTCTGGAGCCTTCACCAACAGGTCTACATGAGACATCTTTGCAGACTTTCATGACTGCATTGTCAGTGGCAGTGGAGGGGAATGGATTAGCAAAGTGTGGGTGATGCAGACTATGTCAGAAGCAACAGCTAGATGTACGGACAGCCAACAGTGACATACACACACACAAGAACACGCACACACACGGTGACTACGTACACAGGAAGGAGCAGAAAAAGAAGCATAGTATTTACATTCTACATGGATTAAAAAGCAATGTAGGCCAGGCGCGGTGGCTCACACCTGTAATCCCAACACTTTGGGAGGCCAAGGCAGGCGGATCAACTGAGGTCGGGAGTTCGAGATCAGCCTGACCAACATGGAGAAACCCCGTCTCTACTGAAAAAACAAAATTAGCCGGGCGTGGTGGTGCATGCCTGTAATCCCAGCTACTCGGGAGGCTGAGGCAGGAGAATCACTTGAACCCGGGAGGCGGAGGTTGCAGTGAGCCGAGATCATGCCATTGCACTCCAGCCTGGGCAACAAGAGCAAAACTCCATCTCAAAAAAAAAAAGGTAATGTAAATGTACAAAACACCACTTAGCAAGGATACTTACACATTTATAGTGCATAGCATATGAGCATGACGGCCTCTGGAAAATGGAGTTGAAACAGGAATAGGGTATTGGAAATAAATGGGACTTTGCATGGATTGATGCTGCTGTCTCAAACTATAAAGAGAAAATAACATAAGACTATTATATAGAGGTAGAGCGGGGGAAGAAATAAAAACAGGAGTCTTTCCAAGCGCTTGCCTCTGGGTGGTTTCCCAAGTATGATTTCATAATTCTGTGTCCTCAGACACTCTCTGAATGCCACTCACTCTCTGGGGCTCAGAGAGCACACTCTCACCAGGACAAGAGCCAAGTCTGGGGTAAAGAGAAGCTCAGGGGACAGGGTTGGGGGCTTGGGGCAGAGACAAGCTTGCAGGGCAGGTAGGAGCAGGCAAGCCTGCTTCACGTCTTGGGTGTTTTCTCTTTTTCTTGCCATGACAGGGTGATGGAGACACAGCCCTGGTGTGGGCCAGAGTCCACCCTGGGATAGGAGGCCCTGCCAAGGCAAAGTGGCCTGGTAACTTGGCGCTGTTTCCTGGGGAAAATGCAACCATTGTTTTAACACAAAACATGCTTCTGTCCCTGGCCAAGGCCCATCTGTAAAAAGTTATTTTCTTCAAAAGCTTGAAGGAAAAGGCTGCAAGAAGTGTGCTCTGGCTTCAATCTCCCTATACACAGTTCCAGGCCAAGTACAGTAAGGCCAGCCAAGCAGGGTGACCCCTGACGGTGGAGGCAGGGCCAAGGCCCCCAGCAAACAGGAGCAGCATGACGTACCAGGGATCTTAGCCTGAGCTTGGCCACAGACCCATTCAAAGCCTTGGCTACTTGCTGTCCTCTGAGTTTTACTTTTCCCCACAAGCCAGAATATCACGATCAAATGGCTGGAGGCCATGGGCCCTGTGAATGCCTTCTCCAGAGATTGCCATGGTCCTTGAATGCCTATCTCCCCTGTCCTGCCCCAAACCTCCCACAAGCTGATAGAACAGACCATGGCCTCCACCACATCATCCCCAGACAAGAGCCGGGTGGGCCCTGTGGCCAGCCTCCCTTCTCATGGCCAGCCCCTCCAGGTCCAGCCAGATACGAGGCCCCACCCACCTGTCCTCCCTGTCCCTGCGGGAGGGCACTGGAACTGGGCCTCCCAGCCAGGCGAGCATTGTGAGTGATCAGATATGGAAATACTCCTACGATCACCAGGGCACAACCAGTGGAAATCCTGGTCCTGGAAAGGACTTTTAGTTACAATATTAAATTTGAAATGAAGAAATTTTACATTTTAATTCTCAGTAAGATATCTGGGTAACGCCGCGTTGCATTTTGTAAAGGACTGTGCTGCTCATAATCTTTCCTTACCACCGCCCAAGCCACCCGGCACTGTGTAGGTCAAGGTGCCAGTAGAACTGGCACCTGAGCCTGGAGGAGGGTCCCTCATGTACCAATGGGCTCTGAGTCCACTGTCATGCCCAGTGAGCCACTCAACCAGGAGCCAAGGGGCTCAGGGGCATCAGAATGTGTGACAACACCCCCAGTGGAGCAAGCCCATGGGCAAACACCCCGACGTCCTCCCTGAGGGCGGCAAAGTCAGGCGCAGTGGCTTGTCCTTCCAAGTTCCACAGTCAGCTTGGGGGGCATTCACGCCATCCTGCCTGCTCTCCTGGGCACCTAGCACAACACTGTGGTCAAGTTTGGCCTGAGCTGGTGCAGGACCAGCGTGTGGGGAAGGGCCCTGCCCGTGGCAGGCAAGGCTCTCTGGCCCCGGGTGCAGGAGAACCCTGAGGATAAGGCAGAGCAACCTGAGAGGCAGATGCCAGAGAAGGGCTCCCCAGCACTGGAGCGGGGCCTTCCAGGGGCTCCCAATTCCCAGCTTATCTATTAAAAACTTCATAACCCTGGCACAAGAGGTTTGCTTATTTACTTTGGAAATAGCCATGCCACCCGGGCTGGAAGCTCACACTGCAGAAGCCTCCATGGCTGGCCGTTTGCTCTTCTAATGACTCCAGAGTTTGGACAATCAGAGTTTCTGATGCTGACACCAGCTGAAGTGTGTCTCCAGCAGGACACCTGCCACTGGAGGCCATGCCTCGGCCCGCGTCTGTCCAGGGCACTCCTTGAGCAAGTAGGTCCAGTGAACAAGGGAAGCACCTCCTTCCACCCAGAAGTTAATGCTATTGTCCACCTCTTGGAGGCTGGGAAGGAGGACATCTTCCTTCAGCCTCATCTCTACAAACTTTCTCTCTTTCTCTAAATTATTTCCTCTTCCACCTCCACTGGGTCACCTCCCCAGGAGTGGAGGAGCTGTCAGGGCTACTACCCATCTGAGGGCCTTGGAGGGAACCAAGAGTGGGAGGAGGGAAGGTGAGGGTTACTCCCAGTGCTGGGGGAAGAGCCTGGCCGTAAGGGAGGAGCCCTGCCTTATTCCATCCCGCCATCTGCGCTTGGGGCAGGGAAGATCTAACAGTCAGCCTGGGCTGCTATAGCAAAGCACCACAGAGCTGAGGGGTGAAACTACCCGCATTTATCCTCTCAGCCCTGGAGGCTGGAAGTACCAGAGCAAGGTGTCAGCAGGGCTGGTTTCTCCAGAGGCCTCACTCCTTGGCTTGTAGATGGCGTCTTCTTCCTGCATCCCCACATGGTCATCCCTCCCTCTGTGGGTATCTGTGTCCTCATCTCCCCTTCTTATAGGACAGTGGCTATATTGGATTAGGCTTTGAAAAGGAAAATTAAAATTTGGGTCCACAATTTACTGTGCCAAAAGAAAAAAAAATTAAGCTGAAAGCTGAGTCGTGGAAGAAGTTGCCTTTCCTTTTGTTCCTAAGCAGATAGCTACAGATAAAAGGTTAAGTATCTCCACAGGTAGCTGCTCTATGTTCACCTTAACTTACATAAAGTGCTGATTTACTGAGTGCAAGACGCATACATAATTGACTATACCCCCACCAGCTCCTTTTCTCTTGCAACATGTGGATTCAGTAATGTGACCATACCCTCCCTCCTTCCCCTCCAGCCTGCTTTTCCCCTTTAAATATTGAAGCCCTCAAAATCATCTTTGGAGAAAGACACAGAACTGTCTCCTGAGTTATCAGGAGTTATGGGCATGAGTTATCAACCTTGGCAAAATACGCTTCTAAATTGATTGAAAGCTGTCTCAGATATTTTTTGGTTACAGGTCCACCCATACGAACTCACTCTAACTTAATTACCTCTTTAAAGATCTTGTCTCCAAGTACAGTCACATTCTGAGATATGGGGGTTGGAATTTCAACACAGGAATTTGTGGGGGACACAGCTCAGCCCATTGGTGGAGGATGTCTGCTAGCAGCACGTTCTGCAGGCCGGCCTCACCTGCAAACATGGTCAAGGTGACAAGCAAAAGCTGGCCTGGGGCAAAGTACTCTAAAGTCAGCCTCAAGGGTAGAGATGTTCTGCAAAGGGATTGAAAACATAATACATTTGGCAGAACTTGAACCTAGAGCATGTTTTCCCATCTTGTACACTAGAGCAAAGATCAGCAAATACTGCCCAAGCCAAATTCTACAGATCAGCAAATACTACCCAGGCCAAATTCTACAGACCAGATGAGCCACCTGTTTTGTAGGTAAGGTACTGGAGCATCGCCACACCCCTTCATGAGCCTGTCATCTGTGGCTGCTTTTGCCAAGTTGAGGAGCTGTGGCAGAGACCACACGGCCCCTGAAGCCTAAAACATTTGCAGAAAACATGCCAACCTTTGCACCGGAAGGTCAGCTCCCTATGGGCAGGGATTTTTGTCTGTCTGCCCACAGCTGTGCCCCCAGCATTTACAACTCTGTGTGGCAAGTACCAGGGGCTCAAACAATACTTGTTGGAAGAACAGGTCATTTTGTCTACATGGAACTGAAGGTGTGGTGAGGTCATGGCCCAGGAAACCCCTTGAATTGTTCAACCCAAGTCTCTTGCCTTGGTGATAGCAACCAATTGCATCTGATCAGTGTTCTGTAGTGTCCCCACAAGACCACAACAAGCACAAATGGCCCTTTCTACCTGGAAGGGCCTGGCCATTTCCTTTCTTCCCCTGTGACTGCCCCTAGTGACCCTCGGGGCTTTTGCACACAGGGTCTGGAGGTTGAAATTCCATTGCCCTACTGCTTATAGAAGACCCGCTGCCACTGCAATCATGAGCACCCCTCCAACACCTTCTGGACCCTGGAACCCAGTAATGTCACCTGTACATGATATTCTCTAAGACTCCACTTAGAGCCCAAACCAAGTATAAAAGGTGTTGGCCAAATCATTGGCTAGATCAGGTACTTCTGAACAAAGAGCCTAAACAACTTAACCTGTGTTGAAGTTCTAACCCCATATCTCAGAATGTGACTGTATTTGGAGACAAGTGGAGACAAAGTCTTTTAAGGGTTAATTAAATTAAAGTAAGGATTCTGTCCTTCCACTCAGAACCCACACATGGACACATGAGGAGGAAAACCTTCCTTCCTTCCTTCCCAGATTCCAGTCTTAGGGTGTCCTTAGGACTTTTCATTACCACAAAGAAATCCAGGGGCTTGGAGACACAGTGCTCCTCCCTCCCTGACCCACAGCTGTGGTTATGCTTGAGTGGTTCTGACCCTGCCTTGCTCACAGATAGGCTTAGAGTCCTCAAGGATGGACCTTGATTTTTCAGGAGGCTTTGCTCCTGAACCTGCAGGTAACTGGGGCCACCTCACTACAATGACAATAGTCCTCCTTCCAGGCTGGGTCACTGGCTGGGAGGACAGATGCAAATCAATTCCCAGGAATGGCCTAGAGCATCCTACAGTTCTTCAAGGTGTAATTGCAAAATAAACTCTCAAGTGCCCTGGTTCCAGAAGCCTTTGGACATGCTCTTTAGCTTGAGAGATGAGAGGAAGAGCCAAGAGGAGGTGGAAGACACAGTGCCCTGGGTGGTGTTGACATTCAGGCTCCTAGAAGTGGCCTTGGATGCTAGCCCAGAGGAGCCTCTAGGATCCCTGTGGGGCCTCCCACCCCACTTCACTAGAGAGGCCCTGCAGAAGCAAGATCGAGAGCGTCCTTCCAGAGGCAGAGGGACCCGAGCTGAACACTGGTTCTCCCGCTTCTTGGGTATGGCACTGGGGGAAGCCTCACTTTATTTGTAAAGTGAAGTTGCTAACATGGGCCTTGAAGGACTTCTGAGACAATTATGGCAAGTAGCCAATGTGAGCACTTACCACAGACACTGGCCCACAGAGGAGGTTCATAAACGCTCAACAGATGCAAAGCCTGAACACAGCACGAGAGGGGCAAGAAAACAAACAATGCTGAAAAATAAAGGAATGGGAAAGGAAGGATATTTTCTATGTATCTTAAAATTTTTTTTCCAAAGTTTTATCAGGACAAAGTGAAAGCAACTAGTTGATTTTTGTCCCCCAGGCCAACACTTACACACACACACACACACACACACATGCACACACACGTCTACAGCTCTGCACAGGGGGCTGATCATCCTCGTAGCAACGTGGTTCAGACAATTCCCTTATGGAGATGCTCCCCACCTTGGTATTCTGCTCATAGAGTCTGCACATCTCTCTCACCGAGAGGTCAGCCTGAGAATCATTTTCTCCTTCACTGCATGGACTGGCTCCATCTTAGCAAAGAGAGCCCCACAGTAAGCTTATTTTAAGACAGGTTTCAGCCCATGACAAGTGGGATCAAATAGCTGGCTCTGGCAAGGGTGTGCCAGGGCACCTTGCAGACATTCCTCGATGCCTCTGTTTATACCTTGGCTAGTCCACAGGTAAAAATACTTCATCTTCCAAGACCACTGTGACTGCATTAGTTAAGTTTAGCAGTGTGCTGTGTGAATGTGCAGTGCTTCTATTATTAAGCTGACACAAGAGAGGTAAATATTTCCCTGGTGACATGCAGCAGCCCTGGCATCCAGGGACTCCTTTCCCAAAAGCTTTTCCAAATAGGGAAGCCTGTAGCACTCTAAAAATGAATCAGGGGACCCCAAAGAATTTGTGGATTTGAAAATATTCAACACATGCTCGAAATACCTTTCCTGTGAGGTATTCAGAAAGAACTGAACTCTCAATAGGAAGATCTTATGATCACAGAAAGTACAAAGGGCCGGCTGCACCGCCAGTCCCTCGGTTCCCTGGCCAGGCACTTAAGGAAACTGCATCGCACCTGCATCCACTAGTGTGTCCTCTGGGCACTGGCATTGTCAGTTTCAGATTTAAAAGTCTCATGATGCTAGCTCAGGAACTCCAACTTACTGGGAAACACAAGAAGCATTTCTCTTCCAAAAAGACTTCAAAAATTTCAAAAGTAATGAATGGCCTGAACGTTCAGAGAAAATAAAAGAGTATAATACCTAATATTTATTGAGCATTCACTATGTTCTGGGAACTGGGCTTAAATTGTCTTATTTGATCTCACCACCATTCAATGACATAAGGATAGTTACCAATTTCTTTTCTTTTTTCTTTTTTTTTTTGAGACAGAATCTCACTTTGTCTCCCAGGCTGCAATGCAGTGGTGCGATCTCGGCTCACTGCAACCTCCACCTCCCGGGTTCTTGTGCCTCAGCCACCACACCTGGCTAATTTTTGTATTCTTAGTAGAGACGGGGTTACTCCATGTTGACCAGGCTGGTCTCGAACTCCTGGCCTCAAGTGATCTGCCTTCCTCGGCCTCTCAAGGTACTGGGATTTCAGGTGTGAGCCACCACATTCAGCCCCAATGTCAGTTTTCATTCATCCCTTCAATAATAACAAATACTTATTGAGTGCCTACTGTGTATAGCATGGTTCTAGCTGCCAGGCACGTGGCAGAGAGCAAGACGACGTCCCTCCCGTAGTGGAGTTGATAATCTAAGGGAAGGAGACAGACCACAGCAAAAGTCACAGAGTGATGATACTGTGTCAAGTGGTGGTAAGCATCTCAGAGAAAAAGGAAGCAGGCTTTGGGGTACAGGCAAAGAGAGCAGGGGCAGGAAGGACTTCTGGGAGGAGAGGGCATCTGAGCATAGGCCTGAGAAAGGGAGGCACAGCCAGTCTAGATGTGGGGAAAGCTCACCTTCTTTGGGGATGGTAGTACTCAAGCCTAGAGGCAGGAGGGTACAGAGGACTTGGGTGGAGGGCCGAGGGCCTGGTGGACACTGGGAAAGCAGCTAGGGCCTGACCATCAGGGCTCGTGGAGATGCACGACATCTTGGACTTTACGGGGTTTAGAGCATTCCAGAATTTTCAGTTCCATGCTATTTCACTCTTTAAAAAAAATGCTGATCACCCTCCACAGAGCTGACTTTACAACCAAACATACCATTGGAAAGCCACACTCTTGAGGGGAACCCTTGTTCCTGAATTATCCTTATCAAAATATAGACATTAGAAAAGAGATCTAGCAAGTTTGTTCTTTGTACAGAGGCAGAAGAATTGGCGCAAAATGATCTTGTAAACAGAACCAAATAATGACCCCTTGATATTTTACCTTCTAGGCCTGTCATCTTATAACTAAGGTAGTCTACATGGCTCGAATGCCCATGAATGGCAACTGTAGGGACTGTCAGGTTTGCCAAGAAGCCATGAGCTGTCAGACTCACCCTGTCCCTGGCAGGCAGCTGACTGCCCCAGCCCTCGTGTCAGCTCCATGATCGCAATGCCGGGCATTTGTTGGCACCAGCCCACAATAACGGGGCAGAGGAATTTAGATCTACAGATGCTCTTACAGGGGAAAAGGCTCCCTCGAGTCCTACATCTCCAATTCTGGTTGGGTTTATGGCAGCTCTTCTTATCTCAAACTGGCATTCCTCTCTGTGCCTGCTAATCACGGAATTCCTGGGTATTACAAGAATATGAAGAGTCACAACCTGGAACCCCGTGCTGCCATGGAGGGTCATGCCTGAATTCCCCAGAGCAGACGAACACAGATTGTCTCCAGACAGGGTCACGCAGCATCCACCAACCCACTTGGCCCCAGGTGTCACCACCCTGTCATAAAATCCTTCCTAGAAATGGAAGCGGGTTCTGCTATTTCCCTATTACATGTAGGCCCACTTTTGAAAAATAGCCCATCATCAGCTGCCACCCTCACATTTCCAAAACCACACAGTCTTCATTTCTCATGATTGACAGCACGGAAGACTTGAGTTTGGGCACAAAGACCTGTGGATCCAGCCCTGGAGGTTCATGTGGACCTTGAAGGTCCACTGAGCCAGGGCCTCCCCAGAGCTGGGGCCAGAGGCCTCAGCTTCCAGCCRGGGCCTGGGACAGGCCAGATAGCAGCTGCTGGCAGGACAGCCTCTCCTTCAGGTTCCCTGCCAGGAGGTGAGCTGGCTCCATGCTGACCTGGGAACACCTTGTCCACTTCGATGCTTTCGGACAGGACTTTTGTCAGAAACCACCCAGCCRCTACCCAGCCCCCAATCACCCTGTTGTGGGTTTAGGCCCGCCTCCTCCAGCACCCTCCTGCAGTGGGCATCCGTCTCCCTGCAGGAGGCTGTGTCTTAGCAATTCATGGGGAACAAAATGAAATGTCTTGGAGTACATCTCGGYCTCATGAGTGTCACTTGTCAGTGGTTGACTTCAGCCCACCGGAGAGTCCCAGGGCTATGATGGCTTCCAGGGAGAGCTGAGGAGCTGTGCACGGTGATAAGCAGAGGTGCTGCGGCTGCTCTCCAGGTGTCCTGTTCTCCCTGCAGCCCCACTGTGCCTTTCTGATCCACTCCATGTGCAAAGGCATGGTGAACCACAAACTATGACCACCCTGCCAAATATGTGACCCAACAGCACATCTGTTGGTGTTCGGTTGGGGCTCTGAATAAAAGGGCAGGAGCACACACTGCTCACTTACTATGGCAGGGCGGTGGAGGGAGGCTGCAGGAGGCAGGGCAGGGAGGTGGAGGGAGGCACTGTGGGGGGGCAACTGTGGGGAAAGGCCCCCGTGAGCAACAGGGGCCTGCTTTGCAGTGGGAGACTTGGAAGCCACTGGGCTGCAGAGAGCAGACCCACGGACAGGACTCCCTTCCCACATCTGTGGGTGTTTTGCTTCTCTTTGCTTTTATGATGTTGCTCAGGGCCTGCAAACTTCCTTTTTAAGAACTATCTTTCCGTCTGCTTGCTTTTCCTCTGCTTATTGAGTACATTGATTCATTGAGGTGACTGAGCTATGAGCAGTTTCTCACTGGATACCAAAATGTACACGCGCTTCAGGCAGTGCAGACTGTATTTCCCATGGCCGCTCAGTGTGTGTGCTGTCAGTGTGGGTTCAGACATATGGCCCAAAGTGTCTCTGAGTGTACATTTTTCACACTGCCCGCACATATGCAGAGGAGACGCCAGAGAGAATTTTTGTGTGTTATCTCCATCTCCAATGCCTCATGTTCTAGAAAAGTGTCCTGTGAGCCTGTGAGAAGGTGTGCGTGTGTGCAGTGTGGGATGTGTGTGGGGGTATGCTGTGGGTGTGCATTGTGTGTTCATTGTATAGGGTATGTGGTGTGCTGCGTGTGTGGTGTATTTGGTGTGTGTGTGGTATGCTGTGGTGTGTGCATAGTGTGGTATATGTGTGGTATGGTGTGTTGTATGTGTGTGTGGTGTGTGTAGTATGTGTGGTGTGTGTGGTTTGTGGTGTGTGGTGAGTGCTGTGGTATGCAGTGTGTGGTGTGTGGGGAGTGTGTGGTGTGGGATGTGGTATAAGGGGTATATGGCATATGTGCGTGTGTGCATGTGATATGTAGTATGTACATGGTGTGTGTATGTGGTATGTGATGTGTGTGTGGTGTGTGTGATATGTGGTGTGTGTGTGGTGTGTGTGTAGTATGAGGTATGTGGTGTGTGTATGTGGTATGTAGTATGTGTGTGATCTGTGTGTGTTATGGAGTATGTGGTGTGTGTGGTATGTGGGTGTGGTGTGTGGTATGTGTAGGGTGTGGTGTGTGTATGTGATATGTGGTGTGTAGTATGTGGGTGTGGTGTGTGGTACGTGTAGTATATGGTGTATATGTGATATGTGGTATGTGGTAAGGGGTGTGTGGTGTGTGTGTGGTGTGGGGGGTATGTGGTATGTGTGGTGTGTGGTGTGTGTATATATGGCATGTAGTATGTGTGTGGTGTGTGTGTGGTATGGTTGTATGTGTGTGGTATCTGTGGTGTGGTGTGTGTGCTGTGTGTGTGGTATGGAGTTTGAAGTGTGTGGTTATGTGTGTGTGGTGTATGGTGTGTATGGTGTATGTGTGGTGTGTGTGTGCTGTGTGGTGTGTCTGCTCTGTGTGTGTGTGGTATGGGGTATGTGTGGTGTGTGCTGTGTGCTGTGCATGTGGTATGGGGTGTGGTGTGTGTGTGGTATGTGGGTGTTATGTGTGGTGTGTGTGTATGTGGTATGTTGTATGTGTGTGGTGCATGTGTGGTATGGGTGTATGTGTTTGGTATGTGTGCCGTGTGTGTGGTATGGAGTTTGTGGTGTGTGGTTATGTGTGTGTGGTATATGGTGTGTATGGTGTATGTGTGGTGTGTGTGTGGTGTGTGCTGTGTGTGCTGTGTGTGTGTGGTGTGGGGTATGGGTGGTGTGTGTTTGTATGTGGTATGTGTATGTATGTGGTAGTTGTGTATGTGGTATGTGCTGTAAGGTGTGTGTGTGGTATGTGGTATATGTGGTGTGAGGTGTGTGTGCTGTGCGTGTGGTATGGGGTGTGGTGTGTGTGCAGTATGGAATGTGTCGTATGTGTGGGGTGTAGTGTATGTGGTATATGATATGTCCATGGTATGTGTGTGCTGTGTATGTGGTATGGGGTGTGGGGTGTGTGTGTGTGATATGGAATATGTGGTATATGTGGTGTGTGGTGTGTGTGTGGTATCTGATATGTGTGTGGTATGTGATGTATGTGTGGTATATGAGTGCTGTGTGTGTGGTATGGGGTGTGGTGTGTGTGTGGTATGTGTGGTGTGTGCTGTATGTGTGGTATGGGATGTATGGTGTGTGTATGTGGTATGTGTGGTATGTGTTTGTATGTGATATGTGTATGTAAGTGGTAGTGTGTATATGGTATATGGTATTTGTGGTATGGTGTGTAGGGGAGTGGGTATGTGGTATGTGTGTTATGTGTAGCGTGTGTGTGATATGTGTGTGGTGTGTGTGTGCTGTGTATGTGGTATGGGGTGTGTGTGTATGGTATGTGGTATGTGTGGTAGTGTAGTGTGTGGTGTGTGTGCTGTGTGTGTGGTATGGGGTGTGTGGCATGTGTGTGGTATGTGGTATGTGTGATGTGTGGTGTGTGTGCTGTGTGTGTGATATGGTGTGTGGGGGGATGTGTGGTGTGTGGCGTGTGTGGGGGGTATGTGGTATGTGTGGTGTGTGTGTGTGGTATGTGCTATGTGTGGTGTGCTATGTGTGTGTGTGGTATGGGGTGTGTGGTGTGTGTGGGGGGGTATATGTGATGTGTGGTGAGTGATGTGTGTGGTATGTTGTGTGCATTAATAAATTCCTAGGCTCTCTTCCCAGGGTCACTGGGTGACCTAGGCAGTCCCGGAGCTGGACATGTCCATTGAGGGCTGGAGTGGCCTAGCACTCCCTCCCATCCTCTGAACAGTCCCCTTCACTGTCCAAGATAGTGCCTTCCTCTAGCAGACACATGCCAGGCTCTGCAGGCCGGAACACGCATCCCTTTCACAGCCTCCTCACAGCCCTGTTCAGTGGCACTCTGCAAACCTCGGTTTTATGATCCTTGTGTCAAGCGCATGGAAACTGGTCATAGCACCAAAAAAATTTCTGCTGTGAGATAGGTTTCTTCTGTTCAAGATGGCACGTTGGGGTTACACTTTAAACTCCCTCCTTGACCGCAGCCACACTGTGGGCACACTGTTTAAAAAGAGTGCACACACATCTGCACGCACACATGTGTGTACAACACACTCACCCATCTCTAGGGTGCAGAGGGGCTCGCTGCACCTGGGCCTCCTCACACCAACGTGTGAATGATGATGAGCTTCGAAACCTTCCCAGGAAGCCATGTTTTTGAGCACGTCTCTGACTCCCAGTATGGTGAGGTGAAGTCAGAGCTCCCAGGTGACTCTCCCCACCAGGACTTCCCAGGGGGCCCCACACAGCTGCTTCTCCACGGTGCCCCGCTGACCACACGTATCACCAGGGCCGCTTGCCATGTGACACTGCCCCAGCCCAGGCCACACCCTCCAAAGCAGACTCTCTGTGGACAGGACCCTGATCTGAGCTCCAACAAGCTCCCACGGGCGAGCTTGAGCTCCCGCACCATGGGCAGAAGCAAGAGAATCATGGCCTGGAAGCCTGGCACGTGGAGATGGGGGAGAGTGCTGCTTCTCATTTTTCCTTAAACAGAAGGAAGAGTGGCTTCTACTGGGGTCCTATGCTTCAGAAGGCCCCATGCAGGTTCCCCTCGCCACCAGGAGCCCACACCCCATCCTTCCAGGAAAGGACCCCCCAGTTCTCTGCACAAATGCTCTGGCCACTTCTGTGGCCTGCTCAGGCCTTTCCGGTTCAGACACATCTTGCACAGTTGTACGCTCATTGGGTGGTCAGGAGGCAGCTGTGTCCCAGGGTGCGGACAGAGCTTGGATGTGAGTGGCCGGAAGGCCTGGCCAAAGTGTTGCACGGCAAGGAGAATTGGCCAGCTTTCTTATGGGCCCCACCCTGCCCCAGGCTGAACTGTGCATGTGGGCTGGATTCCCTGCTGCTCTGCTGTGGATTGAGGGAACTTCACCCTACGCACATGTTGATTTCTGATATCTGCCTTCCAGAACTCGGAAAGAATAAATTTCTGTTGCTTTAAGCCACCCAGGATGGGATGTTTCGTTACAGAAGCCCTAGGAAATGAATGCAGAGGCCTGTTTTGCTATTTGCACATGACTTGTCCTGCTGTATGCAGTGGTTGTCAAAAGCATGGTCCCCAGACCAGCACCATCAACATCCCCTGGGATCCTGTTGACAAAACAAGTGCCAGCCCCGGCCAAAGCTATTACATAAGAAAATTGGGGCGTGGGGGCAGTGATTTGTGTTTTACGGAGCCCTCCAGGGTATTCTGATGCTGCTCCAATCACCACCACTGGAGAGGAGGTGGGATGTCAAGGAAAGGGCAGGATAGGGACCGGAGGATGGGCCTGCAGGGGCCTGCGGCTGCTTCCGGCAGCATCCCTGGACAGCTGTGCTGGGCCTGTTGGCAGGAGGGAAGGCAGTCAGGCCTGAAGAGGTGGGTGTGCATACCCCACAAGGTGTCATCAGCTCCCAAAACTTGAGAGACTTAAGAATGCACCATCACACCTGTGTGTGGCCACACATTTTGTTCTGCAGAACTCCTAGTGCTCTGTGTCTTGGGCCTTACAGAATAATCATAGCCCACGGCCACTTTGCGTGGACAGTGGAAACAGTGCCAGTGGGGTGCTGTCACAGCCACGGATGGCCATGCCCTTCCCAGCTGGCTCCTAAAGGACACATCCCCAGAGTTTCTGCAGCTCCAGTGGCAAGGTATAGCAGGCATGGCCCCAGCTGGCTCCCAGCTGCTCCAGGCCCCCTTGGCTCTGTGCCTCTGTACACGGTGTCCCTGTCTGCTGAACTGTTCTGTCCCCACTGAGTCATCCTGTAAAGCAGCTCTCCTATGTCACCTCCCCTCGGCTGTTCTCTGTGCCCACTGCCTCCGCTGCTCACTCTATCTCAGCATGCAGCGAGGCCCTCAAGAGATCCACCCACACAGCCACCTCTTTCCCGACTGTCATCCTCCCAGCTGCCCCACTTTGTTCTCCTGGTGGCCCTCTCCCTCCCCGAATCACCACTTCTGTTCACTATATTACTTAATCATTGGGTTTCAGGATGCACTTAGTATGTACATGCACAGCCAGAAGGAAAGCTGACTCTTCCTCTTAGAAGCCCAGGCTGGCCATTCTAAAGTGGTAACAATCTCCAAATAATTCCTCAAACCCCGATTCCTTCACTGCTGTGGACACACAACCCTGTGGAGATCATATTCCTTGTTTTAACTACGACTTAGCAGAAAAATAGAAGGTGAAAGTTCATTTGGGTTATGGATGTGATAACTTTTGAATACAAGGTCACCTCCCTGGTCCCATGACAGTCCCAAACCCAGGTCCACCTCAAGCTGGAGCAGAACCAGCCTCCTCCTTCTCCCTGCCTTCTCTGGGCAGAGACACACACTTGTCCCTTGGGGCACTAGGCATAGGTCTATTGGCAAGGACTCCGAGGCCGCTTCTGCAAAGCACAGAGCCAGGACCTGCAGAAATGGCCGAAGGAGGGTGCTTTTCCTTCATCCCCTTGTCATGCACACTCATTGGAAATTTTCTTGGGCTCCTTCCAAAATAATTGATGCTTTAGGAAGGAATAGACAGATCAACAATGTGGGCGGGATGCTGAGTTGGGTCCTGAGACTGGGGGCCTGGAGTCCATGAAGAGATGTGCTCCCTGAGGAATCTTGGTGGCAAATATAACAAGGCCAGCCTCAGGTGTGGGGTTGGGAGGCGAGGTGGGGCGCTTCTCCCTGGAAAGCAGCTGCTGCCTGCTCAGGCCTGGGGAGGAAATGAAGCTTTCTGCTCATTCACTCACCTGCCAGTATGCACAGAAGGCAAACGGGGAGACAGTTTGACCGAGAGAACCATCTGTGTGGGTCAGCTCAGGCCGTGGTAATAACGTGCCACAGATCTGGCAGCTCAAACAGCAGAACTGTATCGTCTCACATCTCTGGAGACTGAACGTCTAAGACGAGGCTGTCAGCAGGACTGGTTCCTTCTGAGGCCTCTCCTCGCCTTGCCGATGGTGTCTTCTCCCTGCACGCTCACATGGTCATCCCTCTGTGTGTATCTAATCTCTTCTTCCCAGGATACCAGTCCTATTGAATCAGGGCCCACCGCAATAACTTTATTTTACCTTACCTCTTTAATGGCCCTGTCTCCAAATACACTCACATTCTGAGGTCCTGGGTTCAACGCCAACATATGAATTTGGGGGAACAGAGTTCAGCCCATCCCATCACCCCAACCCTCAGCTGGAGGGCAGCATGTCTACCCATCTAGGAGGTCACCCTGTTTCTATGTGTAAGAAGTCCAGGTGGTTTTTGGGAAACGCCATAGCTCCAGCCTGCAATGGTGCATGGAGCAGGGGCCAAGGCTGCTGATACCCTGGGCTGGCCCCGTCTTCAACTTTAAAGCAACATATTGAGAGGCTCTCTGAACTGTACACCATGTTCTTGGCCACCTGACAAGGGGAGAAATAGGACAAAGAAAGTTGTGTGATGAGGCAGAGGATCTTCACAAGCACAGGGCAAGAGTGGGGTGGGATGGGGGACTGAGCTGATCCCCGGGGGGGATGAGGGAGTGTCACACCTTCCAGACCCTGCACACCATCCTCAGCCTGCTGGGATGGCCTCCTCCCCTCTGGAGCCAACCTATCCTGCACCACTTTCTGGGTACGTCCATGCTCGTGGGGAAAAGGAGCAGATTCTCTGGCCCTTAGGATACCTGAGCTTGTCCTAAGCAGCCAGTTTGGACCTGCACAAGCCTGATTGACTTCAGGATGTAGCCAGACCACAGATGGTGGCCTTCCTTCTTCGCTCTATGTCCTTTCTTATGCACGTGGATCTGAAGCCCTTTGCAGCAATTTTTAAAGGGAAAAACATAATTTTTTAAAAAATGGCATGGAGCAGCTGGGCGCAGTGGCTCACACCTGTAATCTCAGCACTTTGGGAGGCCGAGGTGGGTGGATCACGAGGTCAGGAGATCGAGATGATCCTGGCTAACACGGTGAAACCCTGTCTTTACTAAAAATACAAAAAATTAGCCGGGCGTGGTGGCAGGTGCCTGTAATCCCAGCTACTCGGGAGGCTGAGGCAGGAGAATGGTGTGAACCTGGGAGGCGGAGCTTGCAGTGAGTCGAGATCGCGCCACTGCACTCCAGCCTGGGTGACAGAGCAAGACTCTGTCTCACAAAAAAAAAAAAAAAAAAGGCATGGAGCAATTGACAAGTCAGGATGAGAAGCTGAGAAGGTGTGGAGTGGAGAAGAGAGATGGTGGAGGGCCTTGCAGAGGGTGAGGCACCCCGAGAAGAAGAGGGAGGCCCTTGTGAGTTAAACCCATGTGTCCAGGGACAGGGCTGAGCTGGGAGGGGTGGGGCTCACCCATTTTATTTATTTACTTACTTATTTAGTCTTTTTTAAATTTTACTTTTTTATAAAACTTTTTTTAACTTTTTTCTTTCTTTCTTTCTTTTTTTTTCTTTTTTTTTGAGACGGAGTCTCATTCTGTCACCCAGGCTGGAGGTGCAGTGGCGCAATCTCGGCTCACTGCAAGCTCCACCTCCCGGGTTCACGCCATTCTCCTGCCTCAGCCTCCGGAGTAGCTGGGACCACAGGTGCCCGCCACCACACCAGGCTAATTTTTTTGTATTTTTAGTAGAGACGGGGTTTCACCATGTTAGCCAAGATGGTCTTGATCTCCTGACCTCGTGATCTGCCCGCCTCGGCCTCCCAAAGTGCTGGGATTACAGGCATGAGCCACCGCACCCAGCCTCCTTCTTTCTTTTTTAAGAGACAGTTTCCCTCCATGTTGCCCCTCCTGGCCTCAGGTGATCCTCCCACCTCTGCCTCCTGAGTAGCTCAGCTTACAGGCATGAGCCACCGCACTCGACTAAGGGGGAGTCTGGGCCTTGGGGAGCTGTTGTCCCCCATAGTCCTGTGGACTCCTGCAGATGATGAAGTAGCCAGCTGGAAGGCTTTAGGATAAGAGTTGAGCATGTGCCTGCCCTTCTGCCATCAAAAGCAGGTGTGATGGGGGCCCCAGAGGATACGTTAAACTTCAGCTCCACAGATGGGGGCGGTGCATGGATGCCCTCGTGAGCTGCCAGAGCTGCCTTCTCCTGCCCTCAGCACCCTTGGGACCTGCACAGCTGGCACGCTGGGGGGGTCTGCCATGCAGTAAGGAGGAATCAGGCTTTTGAATAAAGAGGAGAAGGCTAGCTGGCTGCAGTTCCTAAACACGCACCGAGGGCCTCTCAGACCAAGGCAGGAGAACTTCACGGGGTAACTCACATGGCTGCTGACTGCTTTCTGACAGAAAAAGAGTAGGAGAAAAAAAATTAAAGTGAAGAGAAAAAGGACAGAGAAAGAGATCAGTGCGGAAGCTGCCAGGCAGTTTTTCTCTCTGTTTGCAGTTTCTAAGAAGAAGCAGCATTGCAGGGCACACACAGGACTTCTTGGTTGCCGTGGGCACAGACACTCAGCAGGAGCTGGTGAGGAGCTGGCCAGGCCTCGGGGAGCCGCTGCATGGACGCCCGGGGAGCTGGCAAGCCCATGTCCCTCTGGACACAGTGACAGGCCACTCCAGGAGGCCCCCATCTAGATGTTCGTCAGACTTCAACCCCAGAGTAAACCCAAACAAGGCAGGGGTTGAAGGAGGTCACGTCTAAGCCCTAACAGAAACTTGGCAGTCAGCTGTCAGGGAGCGTTTGGCCATGCAAACCAGACTCATGGATTTACACAACAAACAGGACATGCCCAAGCCTGGTTGTTTAGATTGTTCCTGCATTTAGGTTTTAATTGTAGAATTCAGGCCTCCTCCCTGGATGCCCTGAACACAGCCCAGCCTGGGCTGGCTCACACTGCGGGAGCAGATCCTATCACCTTCCTCAGGCTGGGCCTTTGTTAACACTGGTTTTGTAAGCAGCCTGCTTCAGCATCCAAGAGGCACTCAAGGGTCTGCCCAGAGCAGGAGGATGTGCAGTAGGGCTGCTGCTCACCCAGCCCCGTCGCCCAGACCTCTCCACCAGGTGCTTCCCAGAGGGAAGTAGAGTGTTCCTGAGAGACCTGGGCAGAAGGAAGCAGGACTAGTTAGGGCCTGTGTCCCTATGTGTGGACAGAGGGCTGGGCCACACTTGTCCTTTGTGCACTCTGTTCATAATAACTGCTTGCTGAGCATCTGGGACTGCAGGGGATGTGCCTGTGAGAGGCACAGTCCTGGCTCTCGTGACGTTTGCAGCGGGGTGGAAAGGAGCCCAGTGCCAGGCTGGGAATGTCATATTCACAGAAACGGTGACAGCGGCCATGGAAAGTCCAGAGGAGGCCATGCTGAATGGAGCCGTCCCCCGTGTGGATGAGATCCTCCCAAACTGGGCACCTCTGGGCAGCTTTCAGCCCAATCGGTAGAGTTTATTTCCAGTTCAGTGGGGTGCCCCGGTTAACCCACTTTGGGAAGAATCTCCTTGTATTTGGAAAGAGCTGTGCTCATACCTTGAAAGGGGGATTGGACCTCATGAGCTTTCATGAGGGTGCGGGGTCTCCAGGTCCCCCAGAATTCTCCGGACACTTGCTTAATTTACTACCTCAAGGGGCCTCTGAGCAGCACTCAGAGAACTGAGTGCTCAGAGAACCCATTTCTCTGAGTGCAGCACTCAGAGAACCCATTTCACAGATGGAAACGGAGGCTGGACCTGTCCAAGGGTGGCCCAGGGCACAGGTGAGCTGGGAGAGACAAGGTCCTTGGGGCCCATGCTTGGCTCAGCACTGCCCCGAGGAGTCAGGACGGGGCTCCAGAGAGCACACTGGCAGGTCTTCAGCCCGACCCATGATGCCACATCCACGACAGTCAGACCTCCCGACAGCGATGGGCTGGAGAAGAAATAACCTTTTTTACTAGTCTACTTTATGCCTGAGGCTTTATGAGCATTAACTTATTCAATGATCACACCATCCCCATGAGATGGGTAAGGTTAACCTTGGGAAACTGAGCTTTCTAGGAATTAGTAACCTGCTGTCATTACATGGAAAATGACAAATAAGAGAGGGGAACTCAGCCTTCCCTGGGCCCACAGTCCACCCTCTACCCTCATACTGCCTGATGGTGCTCAGAGAACTCTGGCAGGGTTTGTGGTGGTGAGAGGGAGGCCTGGCGTCCCTCCAAAGACTTTGAGACTCTCAAGTGCAGGCCCCCAGACCTGCAGCATCAGGACAGAAATCCAAGACTCCAGCGTGAGCCCCCAGCCTTCCAAGTGAGAAGAGCTGGGAGAGACAGCCCAGCCCAGCAGGTGGAAGCCCTGTGGTGATAGTCCGTCCCCTGGGGAGTGCAGAGCACTGTTGACAGGTTGACCTGGCCAGAGCAGGCCCCATACAAGCCATATCCCCTTCTGCCTCCCGCAACCTTGCTCTGGGCTGTGGATAGAGCCAGGTGGGTCTGGGACCCACTGCAGGAGCCACATGCCCAGAGCAAGTGCAGGCAGGCTGGGTCAGCGCAGGCGGGCAGGAGAAACTGAGAACCAGGTCCTGCCTCAGGCCTGGCCACTGGGGTGGGCTCCAAAACACTCCACCCGGGCAAAGAGGGACAGACGCCGGGCACCTGACCCCAACTGGGGGACATCTGATCACCTCTGCTCTGTACAGTACACAGAGTAGAATGTGGGACAGATAATTCCAGGGAGCTGCCCTTTCTAATTAGGTGGTGAAGTCAGCATGAACTTCAAACAGGGCAAAAATAGGATCCTAAAAATAGCCTGGGGGAACTGTGAGGGGAGCAGGAGGTGCTGCCTGGAAAGTTCCGGGGCCTGGGCAGGACAGTTCCCACGTGGCCTCCAAACCAAGGGGAAGCCTCAGCTGACCCCAGCAGACCTCCAGATGCAGTGAGAACCCAGAAAGTCAGGGTGTGGGGCGGGTCATGTGATGAGAAAATTCCTCAGGACTTCAGGGGTGCGAGCCGGCACATTTGTGGCCCAGGGAGTCTTTCTCATGGTGCTATCTGCTTCATGGCTCTTTAAATATTGCACGGGGGTGCACACGTGCTCCTGTATGCATGGGCTTGCTCCTGCAGGTATAAGTGTATGTGTTTATCATTGTTTAGCAGGGACGTGATGGCTCGCCAGGCCTTCCAGACACTCCCTACGCAGAGTGCAGTCCCTGCACCAGAGCGATGGCAGTACCCAAGAGCTGGTTAAAACCACAGGCTCCAGCCTGCCCCAGACCCTCTGAGTCAATACTTGCATTTCCACAGGGTCCAGGGGTGACTTGGTGTTCAGGAAAGTGTGAGAAGCCTGGCTCCAGGTGTTCAGAGGCATGCCCCAAAGCACAGGGATGGGGCTGAGGGTCTCACGGGGTTTTCCTGGGGGTCCAGGCCCCAGCACACAGGGGCTGCTATAGGCAGGGGCTGGGGGATAGGGACCTGAGATGTGGCTGTTGGCTGAGCAAGGCCTGGAAGCTGGCCACCTCTGGAATGAGAATGCTCAGAGTCTGGTCCAGGCGTTGGCCCAGGGCTCCTGTTGGCAAGCAGGTAGGTGCTGAGCAGCACAGGGGATGCCTGCCAGGGCTGTCTGGGACCCCTGATGTCACTGTAACACACAGAGGCACTCCTGAGTTCCCAGCTCATGCACATTGAGAGAGTCCCAGCTCCACAGGACCTTCCAAAACACTTACGAAAGCTCCTACTACACCACAGGATGGGCCCCCACCGGGAGTGAGACTAGTAGGCTCCTTCACTCAAGGGCTCCCAGGCCTGCTGGGGAACAGATGCACAAAGCAGGTAATGGCAGAATACCATGGAGGCTGAGGGACCGAGCTTCAGCTCCGGAGTTGCCAGACCACAGGGAGCCACCAGCCAGGTAGCCAGCCCTAGTGTGGGTGTCCAGCCAGCCTGGAATCAGTGACTCCTCGTACAATGGTTTGTGCTTTTCTTTCTCTAACTGTGTCTTTCCCTTCATGTGAAACTGTTGTTTTAATTGAAATATAATTTACATCCAACACAGAGCACCCATCTTTAGAATACAGTTTGATTTGTCTTGACATTGTATACACCCAGGTCACGGTCCCCACACCAACATACAGAACACGTCACTATCCCAGACAATTCCCTCTGAAGACCGCCACTATTCTGACTTCTGCCACCATAGCTAGGTGTGCTTTTGATATTCATGTACGCTGACTTAATTCTGTGTGTGGCACTCTGCGTCTGGCTTCATTTGCTTAGCCTGAGGTTTTGAGGTTGATCCAGAATTGGGTATATCAAGGGAGGCCAAGCTCACTTGTTTTCATTGCTGCATAGAATTCTAGCATGTGGATAAATCACATTTTTTTTTTAATTCATTCTGTGACCAATGGACATTTGGGTCTTTCCCAGTTTGGGGCTATTATGAATAAAGCTACTATGGTCATTTATTTTTCTTTTTAAAGTATTTTTAAATTTATCAAGGTGAAAGTCACATAACATAAAATCAACCATTTTAAAGTGAACAATTCAAGGTCACTTAGTACATTCACCATGTTGTGCAATCACAAGTTGTATCTAATTCCAAAACATTTTCCACACTCCGAAATAAAACCCCATAAAGCAGCATCTCCCCATTTTCCCCAACACCCAAACCCCAGGCAACCACTAATCTGCTTTCTATCTCTTTGAATTTACCTATTCTAGATATTTTCTATGAAAGGAATCAGATAACATGTGGCCTTCTGTGTCTGGCTTCTTTTACTCAGCATAACATTTTTAAGACTCAGCCCTGGCCGGGCGCGGTGGCTCACGCCTGTAATCCCAGCACTTCGGGAGGCTGAGGTGGGCGGATCATGAGGTCAGGAGATCGAGGCCATCCTGGCTAACACGGTGAAACCCCGTCTCTACTAAAAATACAAAAAAATTACCAGGCATGGTGGCAGGCACCTGTAGTCCCAGCTGTTCGGGAGGTGAGGCAGGAGAATGGTGTGAACCCGGGAGGCGGAGCTGGCAGTGAGCCAGGATCGCACCACTGCACTCCAGCCTAGGCGACAGAGCAAGCCTCTGTCTCAAAAAAAAAAAAAAAACAAAACAAAAGGATTCAGCCCTGTCATAGTATGAGTTAGTGCTTCATTCCTTTTTAGAGTTGAGTAATATTTCATTAGATGGGTAAACTATGGAGTCCTAGCTGGAGAAAAGGAATCAGGCTGGTGGGACCAGGAGAAAGTAAGAAAAAGCAGTTAAGCTCTAAGTCTGCCTTTCTTCATGATCCAGAACACACAGCCCTCCCGCGCAAATAACTCATAATCTTCCTGTGCCCAGCTATCACCAGAACCTCTGCTGATAGAACAGTGCAAGTTAGCTCACTGCAGCCTTGGTGTTGTCAGTACTGCAGTCGCCCTCTCCAGCACAAGCATCATCCATCATCCTATAAAATCCCCACCAAGCCTTTGGCTCCTTGCAGTCAGCTCCTCCCTTGCTGATTTGCACGTTCTTTTCTTGCAACGTATGTTCCCATTTTCTCTAATAAATCAGCCTTTCTCTACCTACAACTGTCTTGGTAAATTATTTTTACTGCCCATGTGATGCTGGTCCCAGACAGTCGCTACCCATGATATAAGCCACAATTTGTTTATGCTGCAGCATCTTTGTGCATATTTTTGGCAGATATATGCACTCATTTCCCTTGAGTATATTTCAAGAAGTGGGGTTGCTGGGTCATGGAGCATTTGTGGTAGGTGTTTGGTGAGCCTTAGTGGACACTGCCAAACAACTTTGCCCCAAGGAGTGCTCAGTCACTGAGGTCCTAACCAATCAGGAACACTAGGGGCAGTACTTGGATGGTCAGTCGGCTCTGGTGGACAATGTAGACATCCTCCTCTGTTGTCCAAGCCTGCATGGGGACAGCTGTGGGCCCAGCCTGGTAAGCCTGGGGTCCAACCTCTTAAAGCCCCATGAGCCAATGACTCTCTGAAACCCTGCCACCTCCCAGGACCCCTTGACTGTAAGCCCCTGTAACCCATGAGACACTAAAGGTAACCCTTCCATCCTGGGCTCTCTCCCTGCCCCCTTGGTTATCCCCAATCCACCCCCAGCCAGAGGTGTTGTCTCTCTATTCTGCCCTGCTCCCTCAGGGTGAACCCACATACCTCCTCAGGGAGTTTAGAATTGTGCAGATAAAGCTTAGAACAGGGCTGCTCTTGGGCTCAGTAAGACAAACCCCAGGGAAACCAAAAAGTGCAAAGGCCTGGCTTCTGTGTTGCAGTGTGTTGTGTTGCAGTGTGTTGTGTTTGTGTTACAGTGTGCTGTGTTCTGTTCTGTTGTGCTGGGCTGTGCCATATTGTACTGCATTGTGTTGTATTGTGTCATACTGCATTGCATTGTGCTATAATTTATTGTGTTGCATTGTATTATATTGTGTCGTGTTATATCTTTAATGAGAAAAGACATGAGAAAGAACTCAACTTAACATATGCACAAACCACCCTGGCACATCATCACCTCTTGGGTGTTCTTAGTTGCCAATCAGAAGTAGATTTACCTGGTTCCAAGAAGACCAAGAAGGGCCCTCCAAAGATCTGGCCTGGGGGTCTTCGACCAGAAGGGCTTATGCACATCATCTCCATCCACTAGAAGCTACCAGGCAGTGGTCTTCAAGTCTGGAGACACTTGGAAATCACCCTGAAAATTTAAACAAAGTGACATCCAGGCCACAGCCCAGAGGTTCAAATTAATGTGTGGTAAGGGCTCAGAACCACCACCTTCCCACATCTCTCTCATCCGTTCACCATCTTCTGTAAGCCCCACATGGTTGGTGTAGTCACAAACAGAACCTTGTGTGAATGCATTCAACTGAATGCTAGGCCCTCTGCCTGGTAATGAAAGGCCATCTCCAGGCTTGCAGCTGCCTGAGGCCTTAAGGAATCAATGCTTAATCCCTCAACATCAGCCCAGCGTTCATCTTCCAGGCCCCATGAGTCCACTAAGGGGCCCTCTTTTTGGCCACGGTAACTTGTAGCGGAGGACCATTCACAGGGAAAAGGTAATTAAAAGGTGGCCCAGCCCCTCAGCCGTTCTTCCAAGGAAAGATAGCTTATTGTTTTCCGTTGTATTTCCCTGGTTGTGCACAGCTTTTCAGGGCGACTCTGAGCCAGGTGGTAGAGACTCACGTTGAGCACCCACACAGCGCTGCACTGGGGACTTTCAGAAGCATGTGCCCAGGTGAGTGGGTACGGGGGTCCTCACTGAGCAAGTTCTACAGCCGCAAGAGCACCCATGCCCACTGTGCGGGCGGGGATGCACGCATTGCTGTTCACCTCCCCCTGCATTTCCTAAGGGCCCCGTGCACTGATTTCCTTTCCATAGAACATATATCCCAAGGAGATAGACACACCAAGCACACACAATCACATAACATGTGAGATGTTCTCAGCACCATTTCTTTGGTCTCCCTTAAGTAAATACATTAGCAGCCTCTGGTGTACTTTCCACTGTGAGAGCAAATAGTCGAGTACATACAGCATGTGCCATAAGGACACAGGTACAGGAAAGAGGCCGGAGCATCCCTGGACACAGTTTTCTGCCAAGCCTCAGCCATTTGTCACTGAGGTTCCAGTTGTGAAACAAACAAAGTGGGCTAGGGCCTGAATGCAAAATCACCAAGACATGGTGTGGTCTTTAAGGGCATTTGAAGAGCTGTTTTCTCCTTTGCCTTGATGTTTTTGTGCACGTTGGACCATGCCTACATTCACAGAAAACACAGCACAAAGGCAGCAGAGTCTCTGGGGCTGGGCTGTCACCTACAGAAAGGTACAGGATTGGCTCCAGAGGGCAAGGCAGGGAGCAGGCAGGGTGACCCAGGCTGGCTCCCACCAGTCCCTTCCTAAGAAGCAGGGGTAGGATCTGTTTAGAAAAAGGTATCTGGCCAACGTTCTTGATCATCCATGGGACACACAGCAGGGAATTTGGTGCCATGACCCATGTTCTCTATCTCTTCAAAATAAATTGAAGTCAAAGAAAAACCAATTTATTTACTGTTTTTTAATCATCTAAAGGATTATAAAGCTTGCTTCAAAAAAATGTGCCTGCTTACTTAGTATAATCTAACTTTCAATGAATACTTTCAACCGCGCAATTTCTGGGCTAGCTACCTACTTAACAAGGCTAGAGAAGAAGGGATGGGGAAGGGGCCAGTTTTTAAAATCTTATGTGTGCAGATCAGAAGTCTTTGGACCAAATGTCACAGAGAGTACTGGACATTACATGACTGGTAGAGAAGGTTTTTCTGAAATGCAATTATCAAAAGAAATGTGAGGGCGGGCCCAGTGGCTCACGCCTGTAACCCCAAAACTTTGGGAGTCTGAGGCGGGTGGATCACCTGAGGTCAGGAGTTCGAGACCAGCCTGGCCAACATGGTGAAACCCTGTCTCTACTGAAAATACAAAAATTAGCCAGGCGTGGTGGTGCATGCCTGTAATCCCAGCTACTTGGGAGGCTGAGGCAGAAGAATCACTTGAACCCAGGAGGTGGAGGTTGCAATGAGGCGAGATTGCACCACTGCACTCCAGCCTGGGAAACAGAGTGAGACTCTGTCTTAAAAAAAAAAGAAAAAGAAAGAAAAGAAATGTGAAACACCTTTTTAAATAGCTTAATGTATGAATATTTTCTACAGGCAGATTCTTTACCATAATCATATGTTGAAATGACAACTTTTCTGAAAGGGCACTTTTCATCCAGCCATCCCCGCAAGGCCTAGCATCTCCTAAGTTTCTGTTAATGACTTTGCAAGCTACCACTAGCTCTGCAGGCATCTTTATGTTTTTGCTGTTTCCCTTTGCCTGTGATCTCCATGCCAGCAGCTATTCATTGGCTGCAAATCAGTAGTAATTTAAGTGACCAGAAATATGTTTACAGCTAACATGGGTCTGTATGGACAGCAAAGTTCATTTAGGAGCCTCAGCAAGGCCTGCAAGGGAAGGAGGAGGGGGAAGACAGAGAAGGAAGAGAAGCCTCAGGCGGATCTGAGTCCCAAGTCCTGAGCAGTCTTCAGGACCCCAGGGGCGTGCAGTTCCTGGAAAAGCTGCCAGGCATCAGGCTCCTCTCAGAACCGGCACTCAGCATCGTCAACACACCCCACGCTGTCACACACTCTTTTTTTTTTTTTTTTGATTTGTCATTCCTTTTATTTCTATGGCATATTGAAAAAGTGGACAAATAGGGCCAAAACAAAGCAGTGGGATTCTTTTTCTTTTTAAAACTTTTTTTTTAATTATACTTTAAGTTTTAGGGTACATGTGCTCTTAACAGGCCAGGGTTATATGGAAGCCACAGGACTTCCCACCTGCATTTCCACCACAACACTAATGATGACACCAACATACACTCTTCGGGCCCCCTCTTCATCACAACTGGCTTTCCCTTTTGGTCCATTACAAAGTCCCCATGAGTTTTCTAAATAGTCCTTTAGGCCATGACATGCCCCACACTGCAGAAGGAGCAGGCGGGGAGCACACAGGGCTTGTTCTGCCCTGGACAGCTTCCCCACATCCTCCACAGGCTCAGGAACCGCAGCTCTGATCCGGGCAGTGCTTGGCAGAGGCCCTCTTGGCCGGGGAGCAGCATTGCTGGAAGTGGGCGGGATGGCTCTGACTTCGCTGGCTGCTCCGTAAGGTAAGACAGTCCTTACGTTAATGGGGGGTAGAGGTGGGGTACACATGGAGTGGAGAAGAGCAGGGCTGGGGAGGCTACCAGGAAACCATGGAACGGAAACACCCTGGCCACAGAAAAGCATCTCTGCCGGAGTTGAGCTCCTTACACGCGTCTTGGTTTTCCTCACCAGGGTCCCTCTGATGCACCAATGCCCTGTGCCTGCACCACTCTCCATGTCACTCGGCCACCCTGGGAGGAGGAATAAAGCCAATTTGTCTCAGGTGGGGGCTTCTCTGTTTCTAGCACACTGTACATCCTCTCTGGGTTGAGCTTCCGAGTGAGGGATGAGAGACAGCCACCAGTCCTTTGACATAGGCCCCCACCGAGGGCATGTTGACGTGCCCTCCCCTTAATCTGCATGACTCGGGGTTTACTTTGACCAGTAAAGTCTGGCAAAAGTGCCAAGACATGAAGCCAGGTTCTGGGCCAAGGCGTTAGGAAATAGCCATGTCCTCTTCCCTCTCGGGGAATCCTGAGCCACCATCAGGAAGTGGGCCACCCCCAGAGGCTGTGCTGAAGCTCTCTGAGCCATGGCCCTAGCTGATCCCCACCTGCCACCACCCCATCAACACCCCAGACACGAAAATAAATACAGTTTAGATACTCAGACACTCATTTTCCGGCAGAATGCCAGCACGCTGGCTCAGCCATGCTACCTGAAGTTGAAGAATTGCCCAGCCATGCCCTGCCCTAATCCCTGACCCACGAAAATCAGTCTCAGGGCACTGAGTTCTGAGGTTCTGCTACCCAGTGGGTACCCTGATGCCCTGCTCCAGTGTCCTCCTAATGTAGATGTTATTTCCAGGCTCCCACTGGACTGACCATGAGGTCTCCCTTAACTGTGTTAGACAAGAGCAGAAGTCCCCTCATGCTGACCTGGTGTAGACCCACACACCCAGTGTGTGTGTGGCATTCTCTGGGTTTGGGGTTTGGGGTCCAGTCTCTGAGGGCATCAGGAGTTGCAAGAGGAAGGGAGGGAGCTATGACCAAGACAAATGCCTGCCCCCTCCCTGAGTGGGATGCCAGGAGTTCTCCTCCTTAGATCCTTTGGCTTGAGGCCTAGCCATGTGGAAAGTCGCCCTGTCCACAATGTAAGACCAGCCCTCAGTTGCTCTGGGATACGATTTCTCAACCTTGGCACCATGGGCATTTAGGACCAGATAATTGCTGCTGCAGGGCATCGGCAGCTTGCCTGGGCTCTACTCCTCCTCCCAGTTGTGACTACACAAAGTGTCTCCAGACATCACCAAATGTCTCCTGGGAGCACAGCTGCCACTCCCTCTGTGGTTGAGAATTTCTGTCCTAGTGTGTTTTGGCCTTGTCAGAAAGAAACAATTCCTAGCGCCACTAGAAGTGGCAATGAATGCTAGCAGGCCATATTTTGCAAAATTTATTTCTTCAAATTCAGCTTTTGGAATCCTTTGTCTTTTCTGGATTTTCTGGCCAATCCCCCTTCCCTTACCCCTCTGTGTGTGTGGTCCTGAGGGGAGAGGAACTCCCTGTGACCTTCCCTGAAGAAGCCAGAGGGGCTGGAGGTGGCACAGCTCACTCGCTCACTCCAGGCTTCCCGCCTGAGCCTCTGATATGGGAGGACACTGATGTGGGAAGAGGAGGAGACTGGGAACCAGCCTCAGCTCCAGCTGCTCCCTGCCAGCAGCTCCACATCTCAAGCACCTGCCCCCTTCTAGGCCTGGCCTTCCGGTCCAGCAACTCTGCAAGCCCAGGTACTTCTGGCTGAGGTGAGGTTCAGCCTGCAGCATCCTCTCCCAACAAATCTACCTTCCTCGGAAAGGAAAACCGAGGAAAAGGAGTGCAGATGAGGCCCAGCTCTTGCCGTGCAAATTGGCAGCAGCGATAATTAATGCCCTAGTCCACCCTGGATAAATACCTCCCACTCCCCACGACAAAAGTAAAATTCCTCTCTTGTGGGAGAGGAATTCACCCCTGCTCACAATGATTTAATTGCCTGGCAACTATTTAACAGCTGCATGTTTTGCTCTGGGGAAGTGGCCCAAAAGTCCCTTAGAGAAACTTTGTGGTGAAGAAACTGGGAGCCGGGGAGTCCATGTGCTAGACATGCCTGTTTAGTTATCGATGTGCACTGGGTACATCATCTCCAGGGAGACGGGGGCGGGGCTGAGTTTGGAGTGGGCAGAAGAGAAGGGAGATGAGAAAATGGGAACAAAGCAAGGCCATTCTATCCAGGAACCTAGGAGATCCAGGAACCAAAGGGAGATGGGAGCCATGTCAGGCCAGTGGGGTGAAGGGAAGGCTGCTTCAGGATTTTTTTTTTTTTTTTGAGACAGAGTCTCGATCTGTCACCCAGGCTGGGGTGCAGTGATGCAAACGCGGCTCATTGCAACCTCCGCCTTCCAAGTTCAAGCGATTCTTATGCCTCAGTCTCCCAAGTAGCTATGACTACAGGCATGTACCACCGTGCCCGCCTAATATTTTTTGTAATTTTTTTTTTCTAGTAGAGATGGGGTTTCGCTGTTTTGGCCAGGCTGGTCTCGAACTCCTGACCTCAAGTGATCTGCCCACCTTGGCCTTCCAAAGTGGCTTCATTTTTTTTTTTTTTAACAGCAGATGCATCCTATTTGAAAGGGGTGGGAGGGGAGTGTGGGATGTCCTGGTGAGAGGAGGGGCCGTGGGAAATGGAGAAGTGCTGCAGAGGCGAGAAGCATGGATGGAAAGCCTGGTGTCGAAGCTGCCGCAGCAGGGCCCACCCACCTCCTCCCAGAAACTGCCTCGGATCGAAGCTCAGGCGGCATCTCCACTCTCCTGGCTGAAGGCACAAGGGACTGAGCCTCCCCTACTGCCATGGGAGCCAATACCAGGGATATCACCCCCCTCAAACCACAGTGATGCCGTTTACTTGCCTCTAGATGGTGGAAGTGAAAACTTAGGAACATCTCTTTCATCCAATGTTTCTTCTTCACCTGAAACTCAACGCCCCAAGCAGAGGAGCCTTGCTAACTCTGGCTGAAGGGAGGGGTGCTCATATTACTATTGTTATTACTCATGAAACACGCTGGCCTGAGAGGAGCTGCAGAAGGCTTCCAGCTGAACTTGTGTGAGCCAGAAGAAATGAACCTTGAGTGTTGGTGTTGCAGGGACACACTGGTGACCAGGATGCACTCCTGCTGATGGCCAAGTGAATGCAGAGAAGTAAACAAGAAATCACGAGATGCCCTATGCTAAGCCTGGCTGTGGAGGTTTCTTGGAGGGTTCTGTGGAGGGACTTAGTAGTATAACCTGGGCCTCCTATTGTTGTCTGGGATGTGAGGGAGACTTCTGGAGAAACGACATCTAAGCTGAGTATCTAAAGGACTGCAGGAAGTGGCCAGCTGAGGCAGGAGGGGCGTCACTCCTGCCTCTCCCTACCTAACACCTATTGCTCTGTTCTTGCTGGGCTTCCAAGGAAGGAGACACACACCCCTTTACCACCGGCTCCTGTCCAGCCGGTCTTAGAACATCCTTGTCAAAAAGCTTTTAATAGCCAGAATGGATTCTTCCTGTTGAACTCTACGGCTATTTCCTCTCAGTCTGTTTATCTTAATGTCTCTTATCTGCCATTGGCAGCACAGGACTTGATCACTTACTTGGGGACATTACTTAAGGGGGAAACTTGTTAACCCTTATAACACCATGTAAGACAGTGTCATGGTTTTGTAAATAGCAAGTTCTCCAGACAGAGGCATCTAATAGAAACATGTGACCTCATACCTTTCGCTTCTAATCAAAGGAGTTACTATTCTTTCCAAAATAAATGCAAAGCCAATTTCAAAATCCAAAATGTACTTACGAAGTAGTTCTTAAAATGACTCAACATAAATTGGAAAATTGCAAATGAAAACAGTGCATTGATCCGTCCCTAAAAGCATCAGCAGAATTTTTTATGGCTTTGTATTTGTAATACTGATGATATTCTCCTTAGATGAAAGTATATTGCATGCATTCAGAATTCAGACATGGAGCATTCCCAAGCTACATGCTTGTTGAAAATACCTTTCTACACATGTTTAAATGTTTACACAGACATGCGCTTAAACATCATCCCTGGTTATTCAATTTCCTTTCTTCAGAAATAAGAAGCTGAGATTAAAATGCAGACATTTATATTCCAAGTACATATCTGGGTAGTTTCTATCCTAATGAAGACAAAAGCCTTCTAGTACTTGATAGTGTAGTAGGGAAATTATAGTTAGCAATCACTCACCATATAGTCCAAAGTGGCTGGAAAAGAAGATTTGTAACATACTCAACACACACAAAAAAGACAAATGTTTGAGGTAATGAAGATCTTAATTTCCTTGATTTGATCATTACATGTTTCATACAGGTATCAAAGTATCACATGTACCCCCAACGTATGTACAACTATGATATATCATAAATAAATGAATAAATAAATAATAAAAGACAGAAGCCTGACCATGCTATGTTCAATCCACAGCCACGCCCCTCACTGTGCACCTGATCTCCGCATCCCACACCAGCTCCTGAGAGACAGGACAGAGAACAGGGGCAGGGCTCCCCTGCCCTAACCACTGGTCTTCAGTTAGTTATCCTGGCAATACTTCCCAGGCGCTCTGCCCTGGTGCCCCCCACACTTGAGATAGCCCCGTCCTATCCCCCCACCCTGCAGGTGGGTCTGTGCAGAGGTGAGGTCACTGCTCCAACTGCTCCAAACCTCAATGGAGGGCACTGGGGCAGGTGTGCGCCATCTGTCACTGCACCCAAGGCCATACACCACGCAAGCAGTCCTTCTCCCTTTTCCACATGGAGGCTTGTGCATCTGGGGACAGATTTCAGAATTTAGGATACCCTAGTCCCCTCTTCAGGGCTTTGTCACCCACCTTTCATGTCCATAAAGCAGCAGAGCTTCTGTGGCCATGTCTCAGTACGTTTGATCCAGCATCAGCAAAGAAAGCCCATTCTTTTGAAACATCCTCTCCAAGCCTATGCTCCCCAAGGTAGAGGTTAGCTATTTCTTGCCAAGTATGAATGCTGATTTCCAATGGCCATTAGGGAATAGAACCCCCCACCCCAGGGAAGCAAAGCCACCCTCTTCCTCCTCCCCCTCACTCAGCTCCCATTACTGGCCTGCCTAAGGAGCACCTCTGGGCTCTCCTAAAAGAAGAAAAGCCACTGTGTCCTTGCAAGTCACACCTTTGTCCCTTAGTTCCATGAAAAGCTGCTACATGCCTACAGTGTGCCAAGCACTGGGGGTCTCCCTGTGGCACCTCGTTACACCCTAGAAGGCAGGTGCTGTTCAGAAATTTCTGATGCTGTTGGTGTCCTGCACTCAAGATGCTTCCCAAAGCCAGATTCCACTCACCGGCAGTCTCGCTGGGAGCACAGAGGGTTTCCTGATGCTCACACTCCACAGAGAGACAGGTGGAGACGTGTCCTCAGGGCGAGAAGGTGGCCATTGGGAATAGGAAGGACATTCCCCTTGAGCCATGGCACAAGGGGAGGCAGCCATGGGGAGAGGACAGAGCAGGGAGAGCAAGAAGGAACCTGGGAAGGAAGGTCTCTTGGACCCCTGGAAGCTCCAGGCTGGGGCACAGGGATCAAGGGGCACTCACTGGCCAGAGCTGAGAAGCATCTGCTCCAGTCTCTGGATGCCTGCCTGTCCACCACCAGCTGCTGGTGAGATGTTCTTGTTTGAGGGTGGATTTTATCTGCACAAGCTCCCCAGTGGTGAGGGTCCCAGGAAATGAGTGCTACACAGACATTCATAAGGCAAAAAGCCTATCCCCACCCCCACCCCACATTATAGATGCTCAGAGGAGACTGGTGTGACCAAGTTACCAGGTCCCAGGTGGGGCGGGACTGGCCCTAACAACCCTGGCATTCCAATATCCTGTCCAGTGTGTGCTCTGAGGTTGGAAGACCCCAGAGCACAGTCTGCTATCTTCTCAGCAGCTACAGAGGTCATTGGAATCGTAACATTTCTCCAGGATGGGAAAGGAGGAAGCAGCAGTCGCCTACATCTCCCGGAAACCCTGCCAGGGACCAGATGTCACACAGGCTTCCCGGCACGCTCTGTGGAATCATCCAATCTGAAGTCAGGCCTCCCCAGGGTGCAAATCCTGGCTTCTGCCTTGGAGAATTATTAACTCTGGGTTTTTTAAGGCAGCCGCTTACATTCAGCTCTCAAAACCATCAAAGGCATGAAGCACATAGGGTGCAGACTGCTATCATGCCAGGTCACATGATAGACGAGAAAGCAATCCCTGAGGTCCGAGTTGCTCCCACCAGGCCCATAAAAGAGGTTAATAAAGCATAAGGAAGCCTCTCAGAGAGGCCAGGTGGTGGAAGTTTTGCTGAACCTAGGGTGTCCAGGAAATGGATCATTTGGGGTTGTTTATGGATTGATGTCGCTCTGGTGAGTGGGTAGTAAGTAAATCCACCTCATATGGCTTCTTGTCAACCTTGAAGCTCACTAGTATAAACAGACCAGGCCAGATGTCCAGGTCCCTGGGAATAGTCAGGGGCATGACCCTTCTGCCCCTGGGCTGGCTGCCCTATTTGCTTCCAGCACCTCTTGAAAACCCCCTTCCTTTCCCTAGACCAATAGTTCCCAAACTGGGGTGCCTAGACCAGCAACATCAGCATCGCCTGGGAGCTTGTTAGAATCGCGCATTCCCAGGTCCTCCCTAGAACCACTGAATGCAAGTCCCTGGGGCACCTATACCTGCGTCTAACAAGCTCCCCAGCCATCCTGGTGCATCTGAATGTTTGAGAACCACTGACCTCTAGGCTAACTCCTGACTGGGCTCCCTGCTCCCACGGGTTTCTTCTTCCAAGTCATGTTTTCTACACATGCAGAATTGCCATTTCAAATCCCCTACGGCCATGTCACACTCTCCCTTATGTCTGGATACCCCTCCATTGCCTTTTGAATAAATTCTCACCATTTTCAAGGCTCTTCACTTTTTAAAAATTGTGGTAAAATACACATAACATGAAATTTACCATTTTATTTATTCCCAATATAGAGGTCAGTGGCATAAGCACACTCACATTGTGGTACAACCATAACTACTTTCCATCTCCAGAAATCTTTTTATCTTGTAAAAGTGAAACTCTGTCCCCGTTACACACTAACTCCCCATTTCCCTTTTCCCCAGCCCCTAGCAACCACCATCCTGAGCTCTGTTTCTGTGAATTTGACTACTGAAGAGATCGTATGTAAGTGGAATCACAAAAAGGTATTCGTCCTTTTGTGACTGGCGCATTTCACTTAACATAATACCTTTAAGGTTCGCCTACATTGTAGCATGTCAGAATTTCCTTCCTTTCTAAAGCTGAATAATATTTCATAAAATGTATATGCCACCTTTTGTTTATTCATTCATCAGTGGGCACTTGGGTAACTTTTTTAAATTGTGGCAAAATACACATAACACTAAATTTATCATCTTATCCATTCTCAATATAGAGTTCATTGGCCTAAGTACATTCACATTGTTGTGCAACCATAACTACGTTCATCTCCAGAATTCTTTTTATCTTGTAAAACTGAAACTCTGTCCCCATTACACACTAGCTCCCCATTTCCACCACCTAACTGGTGGAAATAGCTTTTTGGCTATTTATTGTTAAAAAAAAAAATGCTGCTATGAACTTAGGTGTACAAATATCTCTTCTCAATGCCCTGCTTTCAATTCTCTCATGGAATTCCCATCCAGGAATGAAATTGCTGGATCACATGCTAATTTTATTTTTAATTGTTGAGGAACTGCCATACTGTTTTCCATAAGGAGTGCCATAGAAACTATCCTTGCATTCCAGGAACAAATCCTACCTGGTCATGGTCTATGATCCTTTTAATGTGCTGTTGAATTGTTTGCTAGTATTTTGTTGAGGATTTTCGCATCAATATTCATCAGGGACATCGGTCTATAGTTTTCTTTTGTTGTAGTGTCTTTGTCTGGCATGGGTATCAGGGTAATTCTGGCCTCATAGAATGAGTTTTAAAGTGGTCCTTCCTCTTCAATGTCTTGGAAAAGTTTGAGAAGGATTAGTATTATATTTTCTTTAAATATTTGGTAGAATTCACCAGTAAAACCATTAGGTCCTAGGCTTTTCTTTGTTGGGAGATTTTTGATTACTACTCCAATCTCCTTTTGATTACTGATTTAATCTTCTTATTGGTCTGTTCAAATTTTGTATTTCTTCATAATTCAGTCTTGGTAGGTTGTATGTTTCTAGAAATTTATCCATTTCTTCTATGTTATTCAATTCATTGGTATATCATTGTTTATAATTTTCACTTATCATACTTTGCATTTATGTGGTATCAATTGTAATGTCCCCTCTTTCATTTCTGATTTTATTTATTTGAGACTTCTATCGTAGTTAGTCTAGCTAAAGGTGTTTCAGATTTTGTTTATCTTTTCAAAAACCCAACTCTCAGTTTCTTTAATCTTTTGTATTATTTTTCTAGTCTTTATTCGATTTATTTCTGCTCTGATCTTTGTTTTTGTCTTTCTTCTGCTAACCTTGGACCTAGTTTGTTATTTTTCTAGTTCCTTGGGATGTAAAGTCAAGTTGTTTATTTCTGACCTTTCTTTATTCTTAATGTAGACATTTATCAATATAAACTTTCCTCTTAGAAATGATTTCACTGCATCCCATAAACTTTGATGTGTGATATTTCCATTTTTATTTGTTTCCATATATTTTTTGAATTCCCTTTTGATTTCTTCTTTGACCCACTGATTATTCAGGAGCTTCTTGCTTCATTTCCACTTTTGTGAATTTTTCAGTTTCCTCCTTTGATTGATTTCTAGTTTCATAACATTGTGGCTGGAAAAGATCCTTGATGTGATATCAATCTTCTTGAATTTGTTAAGACTAGTTTTATGGCCTAACATATGATCTCTCCTGGAAAACATTCCCTGTGAGCCCTTGAGAAGAATGTGCCATCTGCTGCTGTTGGATGCAATGTTCTGTATATGACTGTTAGGTCCATTTAGTGGAAAGTATAGTTCAAGCCCAGTGTTTCCTCTTGATTTTCTGTCTGGAAGATCAGCCCATTATTGAGAGTGGGGTACTGAAGTTCCCTACTGCTGTTGTATTCCTGTCAATTTTTCCCTTCAGGGTTGCTAACATTCACTTTATATATTTAGGTGCTCAATGGTGGGAATACATTTTTATATGCTGTATATCTGAGAATGTTTGAATTTCTCCCTCATTTTTGCATCTGTTGAAAGCCTTCGACTTTCTGCTTTATTTCTTCCCCTGATCCTTGTGCTGGTACCCCCTGCAGCTCTGACATATGGCAGCAGTCAGTATTGCCCCCAGGGTCTCCATCCTGATATCCCAAGCAGGCTTCCCTTCCCATCAACACTCCAAGATGCGTGGGACAGAAACCAGTTCCACAGGCAGCCCGCAGACAAGCCAGAACCCTGTAAACATGTTTCGGTCTTTCCCTTGTGTCCCAAGGGAGGTACCAGGAGTAGGGTAGTCTCCTCCTGACTGTGCTGGGAAGGAGGTGGGGCAGAGGTGAGCCAAATGCCACAAAATTTCCTGCTGCTTTGAGTGTGGTTTTGTCCTCATTGGGAGTTTGCGTGATTGCTGCAGATCCTTAACCAGTTCCTGGAGTTCCCACAAGGCGACCTGGAGCCATGCACTGCCCCTCGCCTGGTGCTTCCACAGAGGAGCAAGGGTCTGCAGCACCCTAGGCCACTGTCCTGCTGACATCACTCCTGCACAGCCTTTCCCTTTCACTAAATCACATCAATACTGCCTTTCCTCTGATGAGGCCTCCCAACCTCCATCTGGCCTCTAGGGCCCTGTGCACAGGTCTTTTTTATAACATGTGCCCCATTCTGTTCCAGCAGAATTGCTCTCCTTCTCCAAGCATGAGAATCCCTGGGGACTTGCTGGAGCCAGAGTCCCAGGATCATCTCCCTGTGAATCCAGGCAGAACATCTGGGCTAGAACCCAGAAATCCATGTCTCTAGCAAGTGCCCTGGTGATTCTTAACAAGGAGCCTGTGGAAAAACAGAGTCTTACTGAACAATGTCATCTCCCAAACTCAGCGAAATTCTACCAGATAAAAGGGTGATCGCCAACATCTTTGCCCACTTACTGCATGCAGACACTGCTCTGCACACTAGATGCATATTAGCTCAGTTAATCTTTCAGTAACCTGTGCGATCAGTCCTATTATCATCCCATTTTACAGATGAGAAAACTGAGGCACAAAATGCTTAAGCAATTTCCCCAGGTAACCTAGCTGGTAAGTAGAGGATTTCAGCTTGAGCCTAGGCCTTTGTCTCCTTGCTCATAGTCTTCATAGCTCTGCTATCCGTGTTTAATTATTCAAGGCTATCTCCTCAGAGATGTCATGATACTGCAGCATGCCAACAGGCCGCAGCCACTTGCACACCATAAAGGCCTCATCTCTGGCTATGCCCACAGTAAAAAAAAAAAGTAAAAATAAAATAATGACTACTCCCACTAGGATATCCCTTCATGTAGACCAAGGGCCCTTTTTAAGCTCCTCACTCAACCTGCCCAGGCAGCATTTGGTACTATTGACTACAGGCTTCTGCAAGAGCTCTTTTGCCTGTGTCCTGAGGAGGTATTCTCCAGTTCCAGTCCCTGCGCTGTTTTTGTGGGTGCTGTCCTCTGCCCTTCCATGAAGTGCTGGTGTGCATGGGGGCTTGTATCTAAACCCTCTTCTCCTGGACAACCTCACCATCCACATACCGGCAACTCCCACCCCTGGGTGTTCTTCCCAGACCTGTATTCTGCATCCCAGACCCAGACCTCTGCTCGCTGCTTCTCTGTGGACAGGACTTTAACCTACCCAGCTCAGCATGTGCGACACAAAGCTGAGGGCCCACCTCCCAGGTATGCCTTCTTTCCGGCTCCCTGCCCATTACCCAGGCAGCTGTCCAACCAGACATGTTTGGGTTCTTACGGCTCTGAGGTGTGGTCTTGGACACATCGATCCTCATAAGTGTTCCATATGTATTGTAATCCATCAGGCTGAGCTCACTTTTCCACTAAATCATGCCTAACTGACTGTGGCTGAACACAACCAGAGTTCATTTCGTCTTCACACAACATTACGAGGTGGCTGCTTCTTGTGGCTGGGCAGTGACTCAACAAAGCATCAGTGGTCCCAGCCCTACCTCTTACAGCCCTTCCCTCCACCCTGCCCTGGATCTTCTGGGTCACTTCTCATCATGCTCCAAAGCTCTGCTCAGACCTTCCCTCATCCAGAGACTGCTGCACGGTCCCTGCAACAAAATGGTGAGCTGTGGGACAGGACCACAGGGACCCCTTTGCAGAGCTGGTAGGAAGTTGAAGGAGCGCCTGGCTACACACCCCTCTCAGGATGCTGGTGTGTGGTAGAGGCTCAGAAATGAGCCTCTCCTTTTTCTCTGCACCACCAGTACCACCGCTCCCCATTCACAGCCCTTTCCACACAGGGACAGCCCGTGTGTTCCCTGCTCTCCCAAACATTGTGGGGCTGTGAGGACAGGGACTTTGTCTCCTGCTTATGTCTCCCTGCAGCCCAGCACAGAGCCGCTCTCATGGTGGACATCAATAAATATGCACCCAAGGATTAACTGTAGAGAAAGGGATGACAATAAGCGAAGCAGTTCTAGGTAAGTGGTTCCCAAGCTTTAGTGTGCATCACAATGCCCTGGGCTGTTTGCTTAAATGCAGATTTCTGACTCTGTAGGTCCAGATGGGGCCAGAGGCTACCACTGCTGGCCCTGCCACCCTTCCCTGGGAGCCCCTGTGTGATAGATGCTGAAATGGAGAGTATGAGATGTTGAGAAACCTTCCCCAAACCGCGGAGGCTGACCCTTCAGGTGCCAAAAGTCACTTTCTGCCAGTCCACCTCCAACTTCAGCCACAGCTGCTGTGGACACTCTGGACAGCTCAGAGCCTCCTGGTGCAGCATGGCCCTGCCCAAGCTCAGTGCACCTGTCAGCATCCTGTCCCTAGGGCACTCTGATGCCAGGGAAGCCTTCCAGGTCCTACAAGCACAGCCCGGAGTGCAGGGGGCTAACAGCCAGTGGAGCAGCAGCAAAACCTCCACTCCCACCCTCAGGAGAGTGAGACCACCAGGCATGGGGCATTGGAAAGAATCTTCCAGGGGCTGCCATGTTCCCCCCTTGATAATATGCCCCTCGTCCAGTCCCCTCTTTTCCCCACCCCTATAATCCTGTAATCACTTCCCAAATAAACTCCTTGCAAGCAAACTCTTGTCTCAGGCTCTGTTTTAGGAAAAGCCTAAACCAAGCCAAGTGCACAGTTAGTAGAGGAAGCACAGTGCTCAGCACACTGCCGTGGGATCCTCCAGCCATGGCTGGTCATAGTCACTGTTTTCTAAGGGGATCAACCACAACTATACCGACAACCCGACTTGGAAGAATGGAGACCCAAGCAGAGGTTCTCTATTCCCCAGAACAAAGATGAGACCCTGGATTGGTTTGGTGTTTAACTAACAGATATTTACTGGGTGCCTACTGTGTACAAGCAGCGGACCATGAATTGAGGGTCTATAGTGGTGCATGATGTTCCGAAGGGACCCCTGCAGTCTACGAGGGAAGGAGAACATGGGGAGCAGAGGGTTAAGGTGCAAGAGTACCTTAAGTTAAGGAGTAGGAAATTATAATTTGATTCCACGAAGAGGTGAAGTGAGAGATGCTTTCCAGCCCTGGCCAGGAGGCATGGGGATGCTGGTGATGCTAGCTTCAAAGATGCGAAACCAACCACAGCTCAACTCCATCCCACCTCATGACACCTGGCTGCCAGCAGCCTGGCTCCAGGCCCAGAGGGGATGCCTCTGTCCATTCGCTTTGCTGTCTTCTCAAAGATAGAATTCTTTTGGAAGGACTGATAGGACAAGAGTACTGCCATCTTAATGAGATTCCACCATCTTAAAGTATCAAGCTTTTATTTCTTGGAACTGTCCGTTGCTACCTGACCAAACCGTAAATGTCAGCCCGGCCCATTTCTTCAACAGAATATAAGGACCGTAATCACAACAAAGCTTATTGAAGTCCAGTCAGCACTCTCCCAACACCTCCCCGATAGGAACCTCTCTTAGAGGACACTTCCCCCACCAGGCCCTTTTAAAAAGCCAGGGCGTGGTGGCGGGCGCCTGTAATCCCAGCTACTCTGCAGGCTGAAGCAGCAGAATCGCTTGAATCCTGGAGGCAGACGTTGCAGTGAGCCGAGATGGCACCACTGCACTCCAGCCTCAGTGACAAGAGTGAAACTCCATCTCAAAATAAAATAAAATAAAATAAAATAAGCGGTAGGCTATACGTTGGCTCCTAACCCTGCCTGCCAGAAGGGGTTCTGACTGTCGAGCCACCTTCTTGTCTCTCCCTTCCTTTCATCTCTCTACCATAACAGGGACCAGCTAGACTTTGGGATTTGAATAAAAATATTTTTTAAAGCCAGGAAGGTGAACCTCCTGTTTCCTATCTGTCTTAAAATGTCTTGCGTTGGCATTTCTCCCTTGCTTCTTATTTAGTGACAACACATTGGCAGAGAGACTGGCGAGGTTACAGAGCCACACTGTTTCATACTACCAGCTGATGTCCAAGAGTTGTTCAGCTTTCCCTCTGAGGGGCACCTCCCGCTGACTCCCTAGTGGACCCACATTAATGAAATGTGGTCACTGGCTGGACCATGGGGCTGAGTGGTTCGGCTCTATTCACCAGCTCCCAACCTGGCCTACATATTCAAATCACCTGCCCCAGTTTGTAAGCCTCTAACACCCAGGCTTCACTCAAACCACTGAAATCTGCATCTCTAGGGTTAGCACCAAGACTTTGGTAATCTGGACACTCCTCAGGTGATGATCATATGCAAGCAAGGTCAGGAGCAAGGGCTTTTTCCCAGTGATGGCCACTATCTTTAATGTGTGCAGCTGATCCCAGCAGGAACAGGACGGGAGACATCCCTCAGCCAAATCCTGTCCTCTTGCCACACACAGAGTCTAACAGGGCCATCGTTGTGTACCCACAACAGCATTTTTCAGCAGAGCACTAAAACAGTTTTGTCAAAACTGAACAAATTATACAACTCTTTCAAAGAAAAAAGAATGCATCATAGATCTCCTGCATTAATTCTCTTTGCAATGTGACTTAAATCTGAAACATCATGAAATTAGGCATACATTTCATACATTTTATAGCTTTTATATAACTATAAACCAAAATAATTTTTAAATTCAGTACTATAAAACTACAAACCCAATAAAAGACAAATAAAGCACATTAATTTAATGTGACAGGTGATGTCGTTTTGAAGAAACTAATTTACCGATATTGGGTTTAGAGTCTACGCTGTTGCCTCAGGGCTAGTTTTATAGACAATGTTTCCGGATTTTAATTTCCATAAAACAAATACAGAGAATGTCTGTCCCATAACTACGCTGTTCCAAGGATGTTAATAACTGGAAGGCTTTGTTTCCTGGCTAAGGATAATCCATCCTTCCAACCTGGGTTAATCTCTCTGGAGACGCTTCTCTTTCAGGTCCTCGGTCAACAGTCTAGGTGTGGCCTGGCTTCTTCTCCATCCATAGTTGAACCCGTTGACAAGTCTCATCAGCAGCTCTGCAGTCCCCCCATGGCCACCCTCTCTTGTCTGCCACCCTCAGCTCTCTGCCATCCATTTTCCTCCCAACATAAATCAAACTATTAGATGTTATCCGATAGCTTCACCTTTTGTTAGATTCCCATTGCATTTTGAATATAATTCACTTTTTTCTTCGTCCCACCACACCCCCCATGATCTGCCCACTGCCTTCTTCTCCAACATCTCACATGCTGCTCCACTGGTCTTCTTTCTGCTTTCCCGGTGCTCAGGCCCTGTACACCTTGGGTCTTTGTGCAGACGTATCTCCCTTCACTGCTCCTGTGATCTTTCCTAGAGTCAGCTTCATGCCACCTTGTCAAAGAGGCTGCAGCCACCTCTGAGCAGCAGTCACTCTGCCCTGCCCCTGGGGTCTGTGGGGCACCTGGCATGATCTGATCTCCTACTTTTGTCTCTATTTCTTTGTTTGTCTCTAGTATTGGTTTAGCTACTAAAAGTTGCTGTATCAGATAAATCCCCAGAATCTCATGGTTTAACAAGATATAATTCAAGTTTACTTTGCACTCATGTAAAATAAAGAATGATTGCTCCTGGTTGGCAAGTGGCTGTCCTCCAAGCAGTGACTCAGGGACTCTGGCTGTTACTACTTGGGGCCCCTCCGCCTTCATGACACAGCTCCCAGCTGTGCCAGAGAGACAGGAATTGGACACAGCCTCAATTCTCAGGAAGCAGTCTCTGACTTAGGCATGCACGATTCACTGAGTGTGGCAGAGAAGTCTATTCCCCAACGCTCTCTTTACTCCAATTTCTGGGTACCAGAATTCATTCGCTTGGCCTTTTCAACTTCATTGAGTGGGAACAATGCCATAAGTAAACATGCAAACATAGCATGATCGTCATAGCCCATGTGTAATGGACACCCAGATCGTCCCTGATATGCTTGTGTTAATATTGAAAATCATTATCCAAACACAAGTCCAAAATGACTGCATGTGCTTCTATAAAGGTACAAATATAGTGGAAATAATGAAATCTACCCAGATGTGAACAAAGACAGACAATTTATTCAGAGGTTGCTACAGCAGGACAGTCGGCCACTGTCACTTGTGTTTGCAGTGGCTCCCGGGCAGGCTGAGGGGTGGGGAAGCTTCACTGAGGGAAAAGCAAAGGCCCAGGTGGGCCCTATTGCAGGCTGTCAGCCTGGGGAAGCTGGAGTGGCCAGCTAGAAGAGGGGGATAAGAGGGGGATGTCCCACGGGATTGAGGAAGGGTGCCTGTTTGACATTCTTTTTTTGGTTCTGAGTTAGAAGCAACAACAAAAAATGGGAAGCTGGCAGTTTTGGGCTGAGTCCTGATTCTTCTGGGCCAACAGCTGCAGAGACTGTGAGCTAGAGCTCACATATGACTGTGAGCCATATGTGGTCTGCCATTGTCTTTCTGTTCAGTGTACCTGTCTATCTATTATCTATCATCTGTCTAATATCTATCTATTGTCTATATTATGCATTATCTATTTCTCTATTATCTATTATCCATCTATCTATTGTCTATCTGTCTGTCTACCTACCCTGATCTTCCACTGATGGGCTCTCCATTTGAAAACGTTTGCATAAAAAAAAGTCATATTGCAGCAACATGAATGATCATAGAGGATATTGTGCTAAGTGAAATAAGCCAGGCACAGAAAGAAAAATACTGCACGATCCCATCACTTACATGTGGAATCTGCAAAAGCCAGAGTCACAGCAGCAGACAGTAGAATGGCAGCTACTGGGAGCTGAAGGGCAGCAGGGCTGGGGAAGATGTTGGTCAAAGAGTACAAAATCTCAGTTAGAAGGAGGAGTATTAATAGCAATTAATACTCAATATTAGTATTAATAAATTCAAGAGATCTATTGTACAGCATGGTGATTATAGTTAATAACAATGTATTGTGTACTTGAAAATTATTAAAAGCATTCATTTTAAATATTCTCACCACAACAAATAAGTATATGAGGGAATGCATATGTTAATTAGCTTGATTTAGCCCTTCCGCAATGTATACATATATCAAAACATCATGTTGTACACCATAACTATATACATATGTGCACAGGCACACACTCTCACACACCCACAGAAACACACATAAGCACTCACACACTCAACACCCCCACACACACACCCACACACACTAACGCACACAGGCACATACGCACTTGACATACACACTTGGCACACTCACGCAAACATACACACATCCACTCACACTAATACATGTATACACATGCACATGTACACATGTTCACAAGCACGCCCACACATCCACACACACTGCCAAATGCACACAGATTCACACACACATACACCACATTCCCATGTCACATGCACTCACACTCACACACATTCCCATGTTCACACACAGCACAGCCACACATACATACACTCACACTCATACACACCCTCATGCACCTGTTCATACCACTCATGTGCTTACATGCGCACCTGCACTTGCAGTGCTTCTGGCGTGACGGCCACAGCAGAGAAAGCTGCAGCAGGAGGAAGGCAGAGCTGTGGGTCCCTTGGTGCCTGACACGCCATGGCGTCAGGCTGAGGTTGGGTGCAGCTGAGACATCCTTGTTCCCCTCCTTTGAGGCCTCTCCTGCCGCCCTCAGGAGCTGCCCCTCACTGAGGCACATCCTGGAGAATCCCCTCCCTGGGCTCTTTTCTTGGGCTTGCAGCCTGAGACATGCTCCTTGCTCCTAAGGGACCAGAATGCCTGCCAGAGCCCCGACCGTGGAGCACTCATCACCCCATCCCACCCCGCTCACTGCTCACCACCTGGCTGACCATGTCCCCAGCACCCACTGCCTTCCCCATACTGCAGCATGATCCTTTGCCTGGTCAACTCCTCATGCCTCAGCCTCCAGCTCGGCCCCCACCCCTCTGAGGACGCCCCAGACCCTTCCTTGGCCTCAAGGCCCTCTGCCACGTAACACTGTCCTGGGCTGCCAAGCGCTGCGCGTGTGACACTCGCTCTCTATTGGACTCTCATGGATCTGCAGCCGGGTCTATTTTGCTCATCCTTGACTTCCCAGAGCCTAAAGTACCATGCTGAGCACATAGTAGGCATTCAGTGAATATTTGTGGGAGGAATAAATGAATTTCATATAAAGTTATCAAATCAGTTAACAAAAGCAATAGCAGCCACCAATGTCTAATCGAAGCCCTGCAATGAATAATATAATTTACTGACTCATCAAAACAATACAACTCCATCAGCCATCTTCACACCTACTTACATAGCTGCAGTTCAGCAGTATCTCGGACAATATTAACAGAATATTCTACAAGGTGGTCAACAACTCTAAGAACAGACATGAATGTATATTCATTTTGTTTTTTAATACAGGGTCTCACTCTGTCACCCGTGCTGGAGTGCAGTGGTGTGATCTTGGCTCACTGCAGCCTCGACATCCTAGGCTCAAGCGATCCTCCCACCTCAGCCCCCCAAGTATTGGGACTACAGGCATGTGCCACCACATCCGGCTAAATTTTTGTATTTTGGAGAGACATGGTTTCACCTTGTTGCCCAGGCTATTATTCTCTAACTCCTGAGCTTAAGCGATCTGGCTACCTCAGCTTCCCAAAGTGCTGAGATTATAGGCGTGAGCCACTGTGCCCAGCCTTAATGTTTGATTTATGTTCCATTCCAAGGTAAAGTAATATTATCATTATTTCCAGACTTTCTGACCACCCTGTAAATAGCCATGTAAAAAGGCAACTTTAGATGCTAGTTCTGGGCCCATCCCAAACAAAAATCAGCTAAGATCCTCTTGTTTTGTTGAGGAAAAGGATTTCATTATGTAATAATAACTAAGTGTCACAATCAACCTGGGTGAATGAAGGACAGGGTATAAAATGGCTTAGAAACATGAATTTAATGGGAACACACAGTTCCATGTTCATCCTATGTGATTAGATCATTGCAGGTTTAATGTGCGGACATCTAAGCTCCTATAGTTGTGGTAACAAATTAGCACAGATGTATTGGCTTCAGACAACATGAACTTACTATCCTGTAGCTCTGGAGGTCAGAAGTCCTAGATTTCTCTCATCAGGCTAAAATCAAGGTGTTTGCTGGCCAGTGTTACTACTAGAAGCTCCAAGGGAAGATACACTCCCTGGCCTTTTCCCACATTCCTTGGCTCACGGCCGCTTCCTTCATCTTCAAGGGGCATCATTCCAGTCTCTCCTTCTGTCCTTTCATCTTTTCTCTCTTAACTCCATCTCTAACTTGTCTGCCTTTCTCTTATGAAGATCCTGGCTATATATTGGGCCCACCCAGATAATCCAGGAGAGTTTTTCCATCTCAGGATCCTTAAATTAGTTCCATCTGCAAAGGAACTTTTGCCAAATAAGGTCATACATTCACAGACTCCAGGTATTAGAATGTGGACATCTTTGGGGAGACTATTTAGCTGACCACTCTAGATAAATACCAAATAAAATGAAGGTGGTTGGGATAAATTTGTGCATTTATCAGAGAACTTCATTACCCCGAAAACCCTTGAGGGACTCCTGATGGAGTTAAAGGTGAATATTTTAATCTCCTGGCAATTTTACATTCCGCAGGGAGTAACAGCAAGAAGGACTGGAAAAAGGCTCAGAGTAGGTCTACAGAACATTCAACTACTGGATTAGAGCTGAGCTGGCTGGCCAGGCGCCATGGAAACACGTTCTCTTTCTCTCTCAGCTGCTTCTATCGCACCTGCCCGGTGGATTAAGGAGTGACTAGATTTTCCTGAAAGCTTCTCAAGTCTTGCTTAAAATAGATGTTTCCAGAAAAGTCAAGTGGAAAAAAAAAAGTGTGGATCTATTAATATTTTATAATGGACTTAAAAAATAAGCCACTGTTTGACTGAATCTGTGCAGAGGAACAAGAAGAGACAGCACAAAGATGAAACCAGTAACATGAGGTACTGTTTTGTTTCCTTCCATTGGACCTTCTTCCCACTACCTCACCACCAGCCTCTATGCCAGCAAATTTAAAACTCAAGTCTCTAATCCTCAAAGGCAGCCCCTGTAATCATGATTTACATGACTTCAAACCACCAGTTAATGTCTTAGAGGCACTTGTGGTCATTGTTCACAAAAATAACTACCTAAAGTCCAATGGTCCACATGGTTCCAACACAGAAATTTGGACTCCAATGCCAGATTCGTCCTCGGCTCTTACCTTTTCCTTTTCCATATGCAGAAGTGACAAGCAAAGCCTGCCAGCTCCTCCTCTCGAACCACATCTCTGCTGCAGGCTTTCCAGGACACTTGCTAATGCCTGGTCCCAGCTGCAGTGCCTCAACCTGGGCCTACTGTGGCATCCCGACGGCTTTCCCACTCTCAGCCTCTTCTCCATCGACCCCACCCTACAGGGCTTCCCGTTTCTCTCCCCTTACACGCCTCCTGCCCTCCGTGCCATAATCTTTGGCTTTCTTTTGTTTCCTAACACACAAGGTGCCTTCTTTCACATTTTGAGGACTGGGCCATGCTGTTCCCTCCACCCAAACACCTTCCCTCTTGCTGTTAGCCACAATGCTGCTCCCACGCATCAGCCTGAATGCCACCTCCTTGCGTCACATCAAGCATGGGTTCTCTAACTCTGGCCCTCCTGCACTGCACCGATGTTTCCTTTGGGCTGTTTTCATACTATGTAATTGTTTACCCTTTTACTGGGTTAAAATCTATTTCCTGAATTGGACTGTACAGGAAAGGAGATGCTGTTGCCCTCTTCCTGGAGTTTCCTTCCATGTCCATCAGGCTGACGCTTCTGGACACTCTCCATCTCTCCTTCCTCTCCCAGGGGAGAACAAGGGACTTTCCGAGGAGAGGAGCAGGAATACTTCTTGCCAGCAGTCCAATGGTCTACACAGGGCTGAGGTGTGATCTGCCCCCTGCAACAGTGTTGTAGGGACAGCCCTTGTGCAGGGAGGCCTGGGCTGCCTGGCCTTGCCTGGCCATAGGCCAGGTGAACCCATTCTCCCGGGTGTCCAGTGCTGGCATCTCTTGCCCCAAATATGACTTAGACTTATCACTTTCAACATTGACATCCTGACTGCCATGTGCTGGGTTTAGGGGTTCAACATATGAACTTGGGGAGACACAATTCAGTCCATAGCACCATGGGAGATCTCCTCACTACCTGCCTTCCACCCAAATCAGGTGGAGTGAGGCCCACTAACATCTACATTTCACCTCTGGAATGTGATAACAAAGGAGAGCCCTTTCTCCAGAACCCAACCATCACATGCTCTGGAGATGACATTTCAGGTACCTTGTGACTGTCCTGATACTTTTCCTGGAGGCCCACTTGAACGGAAATTGAAAAATGGGCACATCTGCTCCTCCCTTCATTTCTTTGTCTGGTCTAATTTCACTGTGGTGATCCGGGGAGCTTCCATCAAAAACTAGATGGATGATGATTTGTTCTGAAATACCACATCCTCAAAGAAAAATCCAATTTAAAATGGAGAGCAACAAACAGCTGTAGGATCAGGAATTGGGAATTGATTCTGGTGATTATAGCTTTTTCCAGTTATTGTTTGGCTCTGAAACCCGTGCCTCTGATGCACATGCCTGAACATATCCTACAAATACCCATCCCGGCCAAACAGAAGAGGAGGTGTTCCCAGAGCCAGGATGTCATGACCTGCATCCCTAGGCGGGTATAACAACACTTCAGTGTGGATGCCGACAGGTTAGGCGGCCTCCCCGTTAAGGGCTCCTATGAGTGTGCCAGGGATAAACACTTCTCACTCTCAACCAATTTCCCTAAGCAAACCAATTCCAGGAAGCAAGAGAAGAAAAAACATTTCAACAGAACAGTTCCACCTGTATGGAGCAGGAAGTAGCAGATCCTGGATGCATTAAGAAAAAGAAAAATGCATTTAAATTTCTAGAACTCTGTTTAAATATTTGAGGATATGAAATAACACTATGTGACTTCGAGCCACTTACATAGAGAAAAGCCTGTTCCTCAGTTGTTACCCAGGAATCAATTGATGTTTGCATTGGAAACATTTTAAAAATATGATTGAATATTTTCCCATCAGAATGGAACCACAGGCAGGCTTTTAAGCTTTAGAATCAGAGAGCGTGTCATGATACTCATGGCCTAGTACAAATCTCCCCTGCCAGGCTGTCCACAGTGCGAAGTCAACAGGCCAGACTGTTACCCAATATCTGCACAGGGGCCACCACACCCCTCCGAACCCTCAGCCTGGCCTCCCTCCACCCCACTTACCACACTCCAGAGCCCCCGAGCCTCTGTTTCTCCAACATTCTGAGTGAGTTTCCACCTCACGGCCTTTGTCTTGGCTGTTCTCCTGGCCTGGAAGACCCTTTCCCCAGGAGCCTACCTGGCTGTCTCATTCACTATGCTTATAGTCTCCGCTCAAATATCCCCCTATTTGAGAGGTTGGCTTATTTAAGGCCAGGCTTCCCTGGTCACACTTTAATGTCTTTCTCCTTTTTTCCTAGTACTTAGCACTGATTGTCCCCATCCCACCCAGAAAGGAAGAGCCTGCCAGGCATGGACTTCATTCAATAGCTTCTGCTCCCTGCTGTGTCCCAGGGGCCTAGAATAGAGCTGCATGCAGCAGGTGCTCAGTAAATGCCGGTTGGGTGAATGAGCAGACACAGCACACACCCCGTCATATCATGAACTCCCAGAGAGCAGGTTCTGTCTTGTTCATATTCACACTGGCAGCCTGTTGGTGGGCATTCAACAAAGGCAGGGATTTGACGGAATGCAGCTCTTCCATAGCTGTGCAAGCAGCTGCTGTGGGGTGCTTCTCTTTTCTCAGCTGGAGGCAGGGCTGGACTCCACCTTACCCCTCTGGGGAGGGACACTTGGAGACAAATATCAAATGTTGGTGAACCTCTAGTGCTTTAGAAGACACATCCAGAATGTTCGGAAACTCAGAATCTTTGTTTTCTATCTTTGTGTTTTTATCTTTCTCTCCCACACATGTGGGAGAGAAGAGTGTCGGGGTGGTGAGAGGGTTTCTATTTTCTATATTGGAATCATACTGGGAATTTGCCCTATTTTTCTGAAAAGCCCAGTTAAGTGTTCTATCAGGCCTGGCAGACAGTTATAGTGTCGTAACAACCCCAAATCACAGTGACTTAGCACAGCCGGAGTTTGTGTCTCACGTGTCCCAAGCTTGTCCTGGGCCCAGGCATTTCCTGACATGTGAGACTGGCATTCAATGCCACCCATGGTATTTCCATATCAATACACATTTCCCCAATCAGGGAGGCAGGGGAAGAAAGAGAGAGGCAAGTATTGGTAATAAAATACTTCCAGGCCACTGACCGAAGCAAGTCAGGTAGCCCCAGCCAATTCAAGGAGAGCAAAAAGTACTGTTCTCTCAGGGGAGAACAATAGGGGGCTGTGTTGGTGAACAGTAGTAATATGGGCCACAGGGTCAGTCCATTGCTTTCTAACTCTAGAGAGACCACCCCGCGGGGGTGGGGGGCAGCTCATTCTGAACTCCTCTGGAGAAAGAGCCCCACTCTTCTGAACCCCAGAGCAATTACCTAGAGATGTGTGAACCTTAGCAGAACCCTGTTGGACCTGCCCCAGGCCCGGACAGACATGTACCCCTCAAAGCCACAGCGCTGCATCAGGAGATCTAGGAAGAAGCTGTAGACAGAAAAGAAGAGGAAGAGCCCACACCTTGCAGAGCTGCAGCGTGCAGAACCTGGGATGGTGAGAAGTCCAGCAAAGGCACTGAGGACAGGCAGCTGGAGAGCTGGGGAACAAGGACAGCCCTGTCCAGGAAGTGCTCAGAAAGAAGAGTGGTGCAGTGTGCCAGGTGCTCCTCCATGTGACCTTGCCACTCACTCCCTCATCAAGAGGTGGGCTGCATTTCTCCCCCACCCGCCCCCACTCCTTGAAACTAGATGGGCCGAGGGACTGCTGTGACCAACGGAACGAAGAAGAATGAGCCTGCACTGGCTCCCGGCAGAGCCCCTGAGTGTCCCGGCAGCTTCTGCTTCTCATTTCCTGGAACACTTGCCCTTGGAATACTCCTTCACAGAACCTGACTGTCACACTCTGAGAGGCCAGCGTCATGAGAGGCCACATGTGGGTTCTCTGGTCAAAGGTCCCTGGTGCAGTTGCAGCCAATAGGCAGCACCAGTGGCTGGCCACCTGTGTGCCAGCAGAGCCTTCAGGTGACTCCAGCCCAGATGCCATCCAACTGCCACCACAGGAAAATCCAATCTAGAAGCACCCCACTGAGCCCAGTCAACAGAGGAAGTTCTCATTCATAAGAACAGATTGTTGGTTAAGTTTGGGGGTGCCTTGTTATATGGCAATAGGTACCTGGAGTCAGGGCTGAAGACTGACCACTGGATCTAGCCATGTCAAGACCATCATTGACTTTGGGAGGGGGAACGTCAACCTGACTGCAATCGATTCAAGGGAGAATTGAAGGAGAAATAAAGACTGGAAATCAGCCCGGGGTGGGGTTTGCTACAAAGAGGAGTAGAGAAATGAGGCAGCAGCTGGAATGGGTAAAAGAAGCGGTTTTCTTTTAAGATAGGGGAATTATTACAGTATGTTCCTGTGTTGATGGGAATGATTCAGTAGAGACACAAAAATTGATGGTGGAAGACAGCAGGGGAAATTGCAACAGCCAAATTCTGGAATGAGCAAAAAGCTCTAGAAAATGATAGTGGTGCTGGCCTTCTGCAGGAGCAGCAAATGCTCGTCCCCATTGGTGAAGCCTGTCCTGATCGGAGGAGGCTGAAAGCCACCCAGGGAGAGGGTGGAGGAGGCTGAGAGCCACCTGGGGAGAGGGCGGTGTCCACAGCTACCTGGAGGCTGACGGGCATGGCAGGGAGCTTGTGCTGGTTCCCACTGGCTTTCTCTGTGGAAAATATGTCACGCCTTTAGAAAAGAGTGAGGAGGAGGAAGGAAGGGTGGAAGGGAGGAGAGAGAAGGGCTGATATGGAAACCTCAGAGTGCAAGACAGGGACATGGAGGGGATTGAAGGCAGCCTTGTATGTCCACAAGGACTGTGTTCTCATGGGCTGGGGCCTGCTGGGGGAGAAGGCAGCGTGGAGCAGAGACCATCCCAGAAAACAGAGATCGATTACAATGCAGTGTGGCCACCACAGCGTGGTATAGGAGGTGAGGCAAGAACCTTCTGCCCGGAGGATACAAGAGGGCTTCATTGAGGAGGTGACATTTAAAGGGGATCATAAAAGATGAGGAGGAACTTCTTAAATGGAGGGTGAGTGTCAGATGTGAGCAAACAGCATGTGGAAAAGCAGGGAAAGAAGGAGAAATTAATGTGCCATAATGCAGGGACTCACAAGATCAGTGTGTGCAGGGCCTGGAGTGCACAGGCAGGAACCCATGAGAGCCAGTCTCTATGAAATAGATAGGATTCACACCAATCCAGAGGACAGACCTTGGTGTTAAGTGCATTGCACTGAATCTACTCTTTTGGATATACAACACATTTTAATAAACCAGGGTATTTATGCATTCATCCAACAAATAATTATTGTTTGTGGTAGTAGTTAAAATTAGTTTGGGATTTATATAGAAATGATATATAATATCAGCTTAAACAAAATAGAATTTTATTTCCTTTTCATTTAAAAGACATCACTACAACTAACAGACATACAGAGGTTAACTTCAACATGCATCAGGAAGAGAGGCTTCGTTCTAGATCCCACTCCATCATTTTTAGCTTTTTGCCCTCTCCCTTGAGCTTCAAAAATGGCTACCAGAGCTCCAACCATCACATCTATATTCCAGGGCACAACTCCTCTTTCAAGAAGACATACCCACCCCAGCTTTTGCTTTACCCCAGATTTGCTGGGGCTTAGCAGCATGCTCAAGAGCTGACTCAGCTGTCTCTGAGGTGAGGGCGGGCTTCATCCTAGCCTCTATTTCTCCCATCACAGCAGAAAGTAGCAATGCTGGTGTCCATACAGGCTCTGAAATTTCACTTCTGGTCTCAGAGGAAGCCCTATGCCACAGGGTGCCAAAACTAGCCTTCCTCAAGGCTACCCCACGGTCTGAGATACAAACAGGAAGCAGGGTACGGACTTAATATATCAGAGGTCAAACTTGGACCAATAAGAAGCTTGAGGCAGGACACTGGTAGATAAACTGCCCTCTCCTCTTCAAGTGGACTGTTCCTGTCTGAGAGCAGCCCCATGTGACTAGCAACCTGCCCTGCTTCCCCGCAATGCTGAGGCAGCTCTGTGGGGCACCACCTCGTGCTTGCCCTCCAACTCTCCTGCCTCCTAGTCCCTTTTCCTCACTTTTGCTGCCCCAGGATTACACTTCCCGAGAAAGTCTTAGTACTTAAGCCTTGCCTGGGGCCTCTTTTCTAGAGATCCTGGACCGAGCCAGGGAGTTCCCCCACGGTCCACACAATATCCTGCTTCATATCACGTAGAGGAAAACGTGCTCATGTGGCCAAACCTAGCTGCAAAGAAAGGTGGGAAAGGTGGTCTTTCCATTCTTGTAGTACTGAGCCCGGCCAAAACTTGGTGCTCTAATGAAGGGATTATTAGGAAGGAAGAGGGGAATGGATGTTGGGGTTGGCAGCCGGCAGGCTCCAGCACAGGGCCTACAATGGGCAAGGCGCATGTCTAATTAGTTAGAATGCATCATCCAGCAGTTTAAGAAACTAAGGAGTTTCTGATGCATATTCCCACATGAGACAATGAGCTCATGCCAATATGCATGTAACTGGGCTCTAAATTCAGACCATCCTTTACAAAGCAATGTTAAGCAAATCTTCCTGGTAGCCCTGGTGATTTCTGAGGAACCAGCGAAGGAGAAAGAGCTATAAACAGACGCAGCTCCACACCCATCCTGGGAGTGACACGTTTCCAAGGAAAGCATGAGGCATGGATTCCTCCTATCTGCAAGCAGTTAACCCACTCTGGTATCAATCCCCTTGGTGCAAAAAGTGCAGGTGGAGTGTTCTGCAGCTCACATGCCAGACAAATGTGCAGTTCTGGGAGGCAGCCTGGCCTTACAGGAACACTGGAGACAGCCGAGGCTCTTAGGGAGAAATAAATGTCCTGGGGAAAAGCCAACTGACATGCACATAGAAGAAGGAAAGAGGAATAGATTAAGACATTAACAGGCATTTTCATTCTTTCTCTGTTTACTTGATGGTGTGTACATTTGCATACAAACTGTCAGCCTTCTAGAATAACATGCTGCTGTGCTGTGTTTGTGATTTAACTGTTTCTGAATTTGAAGCTAAAACCCCTTGACAGTCTTCATTAAGTCTTTGGTTTGGGAACTGGAAATTTTCTGATGAAATGAAATCAATACATGGAAGTTTCCATTGGTGTAAAATGTGAAGCCTATGAATGGAAATGAAATAAAATTTCTTTAAGTATTCCAGGACCTAAACTGCAGAAGAAAAGATGGAAGATGGGCCAAGTTTTTTGTTCTATAGGAAATGATATTTCAGTGACCCTGGGCAACTGCAGTAAAATGAATCCACCTGGTGTCAATCAGAGAGCATGGAAGGGGGCGAGGAGGCACAGGTAAGCAGCGCTCATCAAGTGATCCAGCAGACGCTGGCTGGCTGTTTACAGGCATCACTTCAGTAAACCCAATAGGCAGCCTTGTCAGGGACGGATTTCCATCCCCAATCTACAGACGAGGAAGTCCAGGCTTGGGAAACATAAGGGGCTTTCCCAGGCCAATACTTAATACGAATTTACCATTTTGTCACTTTGTATGGGTCCAAATCAGCTGCTCTTTCCACCAGAATCTAAAAACCAGCTCACCTCAAAATAAATTCACTTGCATCCATCCCTTCTGGAAGGGAACCCTGCCAGAGAGGTTGGACCTTTTTTTTTTTTTTTCTGCTCACCTCTCATTTTCCACACCAGGAAAAGGGCCCATCAAATAATAAGTGGTCAGTAGGGTATTCGGTATTCCTTACTATCCAAACTTCAGCATCTGATTCAGGAACCAAGTGGCTTTGGCTCCTGGAGGAGACATTTATCTATGTTGAATAAAATGCATATGTTTGCACGCTAAGGAAGGAAGACAAAGAATTTCTATCCAGAGAGATGTCTAGTCACTCACCTTCACTGATTGATAGATGATCATTGTCAGCGCACCATGGGTGATACTAAACAGAAAGTGACAACTCTGGACTGGTCATTGTCTTATTTTGCATCAAGCTCTCTGTTCATCCATGCGCAAGTTTTCAGTGAGAACCTACCAGGAGCCACACAGGATGCCAGGCAGTGGGGACAAGGAGGTGAACCAGAAAGAGCCCCTGCACCTAGGAGCTTGCAGTCCAGGGGAGGGCACCACACAGGCACACATACATGGAACTTCAGTGACAGGGGAGCTGTCAGTGAGGGAGCACGTCTTCTCCAGGCCATGTGGGGACATCGCCCTGCTGGGCGCTCTGTACTGAAGGCCTGAAGCACTATGTGCTGCCCTATCACCCTGTCCCACATCTTGTGGCACCGTCTGATCTATAAAGTAGGCATATGGCTCTCCTGATGCAACCTGCTGAGCAGACAAGATTACCAGGTGTTAAAGCACCTAACCAGTGTTGCGTTCTTTCACCTCCATTTTCTGTCTCCAGGCCTAGCATTTGTTCCGCGTCACCAATGCCCTTTCCTGAATTATAGGTTTTGTGAGCAGTCACTAAGCAACAGACTAGGTCAGAAGATGGTTTGCTTTTTCTTGCAAATGTACCATTTACATATACTGTGACCAGCCCACTACCAGCTGGCTCCTTAGAAATCATACACATGTGTGGCCTCAGGCAACATCAGCGTCCTCTAGAGTTTACGTATATTTTGTTGTTACATTATACCTACTTAGGAGAAATTCCTTTTATTAGCAAAATTAAGAGAGAAATATAATACTCCAGAGTCCCACAGAAACAAGCCTTGCTCCCGAAAAGGAAGCAAGGACCTGATCCAAGATTTTGAGTGAGTCCTCTGTGATCTCTGACTTCTTAGGTTTTGGCGGGGTTGGGAGAAGAGGAGGGACAAAATAGAAAGCCTTGACATTTACATGCAGCAACTTTTAATAAGGAGCCATCGGGCAACAGCAGTCCCCAGTCAGCAACAAGATGTGTCAGAAGAAACAACACACATTAGAAGGAGAAGACACAGGCCTCTGTGTTCTTCTTCTTGGGAAGAGTTCCTGGGCAAGCCTCATTGCCTCACACACCCGGGCTTGCCCGTGAGCCAAAGGTTCTTATCCCAAATCACCCCAGGTGCCGCTTGGCACTGTTGTTTCCAAAGACCACATCTGTCTGTGTTTCCTTCTCAGGAAAATAATTTGTTGATTAAAAAAAAAGGATGAGGTATTTGACAGTAAGGTTCCTACAGTGTCTTTTTTTAAAGTAGTCTGGTAAACAATGGGAAGATGACAGGGGAGGCCCGATGAGTGACAAGGAGGTGGCACAGCCTAGCACAAGCCCATAGACACGAGGAGGGGACGCCAGCACCCACCCACCCCGCCAGAGGCAGGATCAGGCCCGCTCGCCTAATCTGGTAAAATGTCACAAACATCATCTCCTACATGCATGGAGAGAATCAGATGGTGAGGAAGCAGCTGAGGAGAAAGACATGATCCACACTCCCCACTATCATGGACAGATAGCATCCCATTAGAGGTGAAAAAAGCTTACAGAATATTTATAGATGATTGTCAATTTGATTAAAAGGTAGAAGAGCAAACAGCTTAAAAATACCGACTTTAAAAACCTCTAGTGGCTCAGCGCGGTGGCTCATGCCTGTAATCCCAGCACTTTGGGAGGCTGAGGTGGGTGGATCATTTGAGGTCAGGAGTTCAAGAACAGCCTGGCCAACGTGGTGAAACCCCATCTCTACTAAAGATACAAAAATTAGCCGGGCATGGTGTTGCATGCCTGTAATCCCAGCTACTCGGGAGGCTGAGGCAAGAGAATCGCTTGAACCCAAAGGGCAGAGGTTGCAGTGAGCCGAGATTGTGCCACTGCACTTCAGCCTGGGTTACAGAGCAAGACTCCGTCTCAAAAAAAACGAAAACAAAAAACAACAACAAAAAGCAAACAAACAAACAAAAAACCACCTATAGCCAAGCTCAGAAGAGAGAAAGGAAGGGCTTAGGTGCCAGAAATGAAGCAGAGACTCAAAGAAAGCAGAAGCGTACTCTTCTACGCCAGAACACCTAGACATGGGTGAACAGCGCTGGCCGCTTGGGGTCAGAATCGGGATTGTGGACCTACCCAGAGAAGCGAGACTCAGCATTGAGCTGGGAGAATGGAAGGACCATCCTGCCTTGCAAAAAGAAAAAAGAAAAAAGGAGAGTAGAGAAATTCCAGCTGCCAGGCCAAGAAGGTGTCAAGAAATAATGTCATCTGCCTGGGGCTCTTCATGGGAAGGAAACGGATTCCCATGAGAAATCAGAACCTCAAGCTGTACCACCTGCATGTAAGGACTCCAATTTGCACTTTTCATGTGGTTCAGGGAATCTTGAGCCAAGAAATGAATGCAAAAACTTGTCCTGAATGGGTGAAAGGGCCCCCAGCAAAGGGCAAACAAAGCCATTTTGTGGGAACATTTTCGCAACCCGGGGCCTCCAGGACAGCTCAGGCTTGGTCTCCCACATGCCACATCCATTTCCTGCTGAAACTCTGCTGCACATGCAGATCACAATCTCTACATTTCCCACTGAAGGGAATCAGAGCTCCTTAAGGAGGGGCTGACTCCAGGCCGAGGGCAGCGAGACTATCAGATGCACTTGGTATACTTTTTTTCTTTTCTGAAACAAGGAAGCTACTAAAACTATTAGGGTCGTGTCAAAGGAATTAGGGCCATAGATAGGACAATAAGAGCAACAACAAAGATAATAGGGAAAGGGATTAAAAACAAGCTCTTTCAATCTTGAGTATATAATGGTGCCTAATTTAAAAAAAAAAATTCATTACAGAAATTAACTCATTATTTTGAAAACTGGTAAAGAATCAAAAATTTATCCTGCTATTTTAATTTAAGATCTTTAAGATGGAGAGCACTACTGATATTTCAAAGATCAGTAGAGACACAAGATAGAAATAAAGACGTAAAAAGTTACAGACCCTGGGGAGTACATGGCACCCCTGGGCACCACACACACAGGGAGGTCAAGAATCACAGGGAGAGAGAGAGAGAGAGAGAGTGAGAAGGGGACCCGTAGCCAACACCTTTACTAGGCCCAGGGCATTATTCAAACAGTATTCCTACAGGGAGTTTTACTTGGTGGGTCTAAAGCAAGCAGACATTGAGTTTCAGGAGGTCACGCAGTGGCTGAGAGGTAGTCACTGCTGCCCATCTGCAGTCCATACAGGGTGTGAGGGTCACTCGCCAGTCAAGCAGGGGGAAGTGATCACTAGGAAACAGTTGTATACGAAGATATCTGGATGGATCTGCCATATTGAGGAACTAGGGGGAATGGGTATAGAACTGGAAGTTGTGTCAAGGGTGACTGGGCCCCAGTTTTGGTATGAGAAAGTCCAACTTATATTTAAAATGGATACTGAGGCAAAATAAAATTATAACCATTCATACACTGCCTTTCCTATGTAAACTCTTCCACTGTGTATCAAATAGCTAATGAGGGAAAGTTTCTTCTTTATAGAAATTCCATCCTATAAATGATGAAGGAATACTAGAAGTAGAACATCCTAATTTTGCCCCTTTAAATAAGTTAATGTGTGAGGGCACTGAGCATCAATGGTTTCTTACGCCACAAAGAGAGGGATTATGATCGGCGTCACATGCTACCTGATGGAAGTTCACAATATCATCTGTGCACTCAACAGATCAATCAATTAGCGAAATCTAAGTGTGAATAAACCTCTGAGTCCAATTACCAATTTATAGGAAATACAGAGAATAGAAAAGCAAGTTAAATAAAAATATGGGGAGGAAATTAGCAAAATCCAGACTATTGTGAATTCTGTAAGGCAGATGATTTGAGAGAACAAGAAAGAGAGGTAAGGAGGGAAGTTACAGATTAAAAGAAAGTTATAATATGTGGCAAAATCTCCCAATGTAAGGATCTTATATGAATAGTCGCTTAAAAATAGATTTAAACAGTATACACCACAACCAAGTGAGGTTTGCAACACAAGAAAGACCAGTTTGATATTTGAAAATCAATTAATGTAATCTGTGACATCAACAGCCTAAAGAAAAAAAGTACATGATCATATTAATTGATTCAGAAAAAGTGCTAACAAACACAACATTTACACACGATTTTTAAAAAATATTTCAATCATGTATAGTAGGAATGGAGGAGAACTTCCTGAACTTGATTAAAGAACAGTTTAAAAATCTGTACAGCTAACATCATAGTTAATGTTGGGAAACTGATACTTTCCCTCTAAGTTTACGGAGAAGACAAAGATATCTTGTCTCATCACATTTACTCAACATTGTATTGGAAACCCTAACTAGTACAATAGGACAAGAAGAGGAAATAAAAGATACGCAGATTGGGAAGGAAGAAATAAAACTATCTTTGTTCACAGATGACATGATTGTCTATATAGAGAAGCCTAAAGAATGAACAACAAACAAAACCTCTTAGAATTAATCAAGCATAGTAAATTTGCAGGATACACAGTTAGCATACAAAAGTCAATCACTTTCTTGTACATAGCAATGAACAATGAGAATTTGAAATTAAAAACACAATAGCATTTATAATGGTACCAAACTCTGAAATGTTTAGGTATAAATCTAATTTTTGAATGTACAGGATTTATATATAGAAAACTACAAACTATTAGGAAGGAAATCAAAGCTCATGGCTGAAAGAATCGATTATCGGCTCTTTCCATTTTGATCTGTAGATTCAATGAAGTCCCAATAAAATCTGAGCAAACTGTATTTTCTGCTTCTAACACATATGGAAAGGCAAAAGACCAAGAATAGCCAACACAATACTGAAGAAAAGAGAAAAAGAAGGAAAAGTAGCAGAAGTAGAAGTGGAGACAGAGGAAGAGGAAGAGGAGGAGGAAGTAGGAGGAGAACAGCAACAACAAAGTCACAGGACCCCACAGTACTGATTTTGAGACTTACTATTCTAAAGCTACAGCAATCAAGGCAGCGTGGTACTGACAAAAGAATAGACATGAGGTCAGCAGAACAGAAAAGACAGCCAGAAATAGACCAACACAAATATATGGAGTCAACTGGTCTTTGATAAAGAAGCAATGGTGATTCAATGGAGAAACAATAATCTGTTTAACAAATGATTCTGGAAGAATTGAATGTTCATAAATGAAAGATAACACAAAAAGATGAGCCTAACGTAGACCTCATACCTTTCACAAAAATAACACAAAATTGATTATAGACCTAAATGTAAGATCATAAAATTTCTGGAAGAAAACATAGGAGAAATTCTACATTTTGCGTTTGGCCATTAGATTTTTTTTTAATTTTTATTTTAAAAGCTTTCGGGGGTACAAGTGTGTTTTTTTCTTTACATGGGTGAATTATACAGTAGTGAATTCTGAGATTTTAGTGTACCCATCACCCAAGTAGTGTACATTGTACCTAATATGTAGATTTTTTTCATCCCTACCCCTTCTCCCACCCTTCCCCTTCTGAGTTTCTAAAGTCCATTATATTACTCTGTATGTCTTTGTGTATTCATAGCTTAGCTCCCACTTATAAGTGAGAACATATGGTTTTTGATTTTCCCCTCCTGTGTTACTTCACTTGGAACAATGGCCTCCAGCTCCATCCAAGTTGCCGCAAAAGAAGTTATTCTGTTCCTTTTTATGGCTGAGTAGTGTTCCATGGTGTATATAGGCCACATTTTTTTATCCACTCATTAGTCAATGGGCACTTAGGTTGGTTCCACATCTTTTGTGATTGTGAATTGTGCTGCAAATGTCTTTTTCGTATAATGACTTCTTTTCCTTTCAGTAGATACCCAGTAGTGGGATTGCTGGATTGAACGGTAGATCTACTTTTAGCTCTTTAAGGAATCTCCATACTGTTTCCCATAGAAGTTGTACTAATTTACATTCCCATCAGCAGTGTATAAGCTATCCCTTTTCCCCACATCCTCGCCAACATCTATTATTTTTTGACGTTTTAATAATGGCCATTCTTGCAGGAGTAAGGTGGTATTTATCTCATTGGGGTTTTCAATTACTAAACATTTTCTTTACCAGTTTGGTGGCCATTTGTATATCTTCTTTTGAGAAATGTTCATTCATGTCTTTTGCCCACTTTTTGATGGAATTGTTTATTTTTTTCTTGCTGATTTGCTTGAGTTCCTTGTAGATTCTGGATGCTAGTTCTTTGTCATATGTGTAGTTTCCAAATACTTCCTCCCATTCTGTGGGCTATCTGTTTACTCTGAGTATTATTTCTTTTGCTGTGCAGAAGCTTTTTGGTTTAATTAGGTCCCCCATGAGCTTTTAAAAGTACCAGAAGCATAATCAATGAAAGAAAAAAGATATATTAAATTATATTAAAATTTAAAACTTCTCTGTGAGACACTGCTAACAACAAAAAATAAGCCATGAATTAAAAGAAAACAGTAAAATATATCTTGTGAAAGCCTCATATCCAAAAATAGTTTAAAAGCTCTTAAAATTCAGCAATAAAAAAAAACAAACTACCCATTTAAAAATCAGTAAAAAATCTGAAGAGACAGCTCACCAAAGAAGATATACAAATGGCAAATAAGCCTATGGAAAAATTATAAACATAACTTGTCATCAGGGAATTAATTGCAAAATAAAACAATAATAAGATACTACCACATACCTATTAGAATAGCTAAAATCCAGAAAACTAACAATACCACACACTGGTGACAATGTGGAGCAACAGGAACTCTCATTCATTGCTGCTGGGGATACAAAATGGTATAGCGACTTTGGAAGACAGTTTGACAATCTCTAGAAAGCTAAACATAGTTTTATTAGTCTATTCAGGCTACCATAACAAAATACCACTGACTTAAATAACAGAAATTTATTTTTTCATGGTTCCAGAGATTGGAAGTCTCAAAGATGAATGTTCTGGTATGGCCCCTCTTTCTAGCTTACAGAAAAACATGCACTCACACGGCCTTTTCTCTGTGTGTGATTGAAGAGAGATCTCTGGTGCCTCTTCCTCTACTTATAAGGACACTAGTCTTAACAGATTAGGACACACATTTAACCCTAATTACCCTCCTACAGGCCCTTTCTCTAAATACAGTCACATTGGAGGTTAGGGCTTCAACACATACATTTGGGGGGAAAGTAATTCAGTCTATAACAATAGTCTGAAGATGTAATCCAATAATCACATATCTAAGTATTTACTTATATAAATACAAAAACCTGCACATGAATGTTTATAGCAGCTTTATTCATAATCACCAAAACTGAAAGCCACTAGGATGCCCTTCAATTGTTGAGTCGATAAATAAACTGTGGTACATCTGTACAATGAAATACTACTTAGTGATAAAAAGACATAACCCATCAAGCCAAGAGAAGACATGGATAAATCTTAAGTGCATATTGCTAAGTGAAAGAAGCCAATCTGAAAAAGTTACATAATGTATTACTGCAGTTACATGAAGTTTTGGAAAAGGTAAAAAATATAGCAACAATTACAAGATCAGTGGTTGCCAGGGGCTGAGGAGGAGGGGAGGAGGGTTGACTAGGTGAACACAAGGGATCTTTTAGCATGCTAAAACTATTTTGTATGGTACTGGAGTAATTGTAGAGACATGACACTAAGCATTTGTGGAAATCCATAGAACTTTGTGGCAAAAAAAAAAAATAGTGAATCTTAATGTAGGAAAATATTTTTTAAATCATATAGCAAGTTGGGGTTTCCAGGATGAAATGCAGAATGTGACAAAATAATCAAACTCTATCAAAAATGTGTAAAATAACCTCACTTAACTAGACAGAGGGGAAACGTGCTGACCTAAGTAACTTTGGAAATGAGTGGAGCATATACAACTAGAGGCAAAGAAGCTGTACATAAGCACTGTATGCTAGTTGATAGAGTTTTCACCATGGGAGGGAGTGAACAGTTCTAATCCTGCTATCCATTTGTACTGGAACTGAACCACTAAGTAAATGGATGGAGGATGGTAAAAGCCAAGTTTCTTAGTGTTGGAGTGGGCATTTACACAAAGCAAGGGGAGGAGGCTAGAATAGTCCATGTGGTGGCAGATCAGAGACAGAAGCATCAGTATGACAATTTCAGTAATAGGGTTCTAGTTGCAAGTGCCAGAAACCAACTATAGCTGATTTAAAGCAACAATCTTTACTTTCCACTCCATCACCCCCACAACAAAACCTAGCAACTTATAGACATTGGATAGTGATATAGTTTTGCTGTGTCCCCACCCAAATCTCATCTTGAATTGTAGCATCTCCCATAATCCCCACATGTTGTGGGAGGGACCCAATGGGAGGTAATTGAATCATGGGGGTGGTTTTTCCCATGCTGTTCTCGTGATAGTGAATAAGTCTCATGCAATCTGATGGTTTTATAAAGGGCAGTTCCCCTGCATATGCTCTCTTGCCTGCCTCCACGTAAGACATGCCTTTCTCCTCCTTTGCCTTCCACCATGATTGTGAGGCCTCCCCAGCCATATGAACTGTGAATCCATTAAACCTCTTTTTCTTTATACATCACCCAGGCTCAGGTATTTCTTCATAGCAGTATGAAGATGGACTAATAGAGATAGCTAATAGTATTTCTGAAAAATCTGGAGAACTTGGAACAACTGAATTAGCAGAAAGGAAGGAAGTCGGGGCAGAGCTCACCACCGCCAAAAGTAACTCCTGAGGAAGGTTGGCAAGAGAACATAGCTGCTGTCACTGCTAAAGTCTGGATGCTGCTCTTGTGATCCTGCCTCTGTCGGCTGAGCTCCTGCTGCCTCTGGACTCGGGCATGGCTCCTACTGCTGCTGGGGTGGATCCCCTGTTCTCTCTGCTTCTTAATATTGCCAGCTCCCCATTCAAACCCTAGGAATATCTTATCTTTGGCCAATACTTTAGCAGCAAGATAAGCTGGAAAACTGATTATACTTTTCAGTACCTACATGGGGTGGGAGAATCTGCCTCCCACTAAGGATTATACAGTGGAAAATGCCTCAAACATACAGAAGTGATGCAATGCGGGAGCCAAGAGCCTGATGAATGTCCACTACCTTAGCAAATACTCACCAAATCAAAGCGAGCAGAGTAATTTTACTCTCAGACACAATAGACATCGAAGCAAAGGAGTGGTAAGAAATCACTACTTAATGATTAAAAAAAAATTTCCAGGAGTGCTTAATACTCCTCCTTTTGTGAATAGCTAACAGCATACTGTCCCTCTCCAAATTAACATAATTTCAAAAAGAAGGTAAAAAATAGGCAATCATATTAAGAAGTTGTATTAGATGCAAGATAAAGTAGACCAAAAAAAATAGTTGAGATTCAGTTTTGAACACTGTAAAATATGTTGGTCTAGCAGACATATGCAGAACTCTGACCTAACAAGTTGGAAATGCATGTTCTTGTCAAATGTACATGGAATGTTTTCTAAAACAGACCATTCACTAGGCCACAAAAGAAGTCTCAACCCATACTCCATAGCCAATATCATGAAGATCATATTCTCTGCCTATAAGACAATGAAATTAGAAATCAATAACAATAACAATAAAATAACCAAAAATATGCAGGTCTGCTGATTTCCAACTTAAGCAGCTCCCTTCTCCATTCCCAAGTAGAAGCATGGAGAAACTTCCACAGCTCACACCTGAAGCTGGGACCTAGGGTACAGCGGAGTGGAGGATGCAGCCCATGCCATCTCTCTAGGTGTAAACAAGCCGCACTGTCATTTCCCACTTACTCAAGCTTCCCCAGCTGTATGCAAGTCCCTCCTTAGGCGGTCACCTCCCAGAGACCCAAAGGAAATTGTGGTCCACACTTCCGGAGCCTCCACTTTCATTTACCCTCACCTACAGTATTTTTTTTTTTTTTGAGACAGAGTCTCGCTCTGTCGCCCAGGCTGGAGTGCAGCAGCACAATCTTGGCTCACTGCATCCTTCGCCTCCTGTGTTCAAGTGATTCTTCTGCCTCAGCCTCCTGAGTAGCTGGGATTATAGGCACCCGCCACCACACCAGGCTAATTTTTGTATTTTTAGTAGAGACAGGGTTTCACCATGTTGGTTAGGCTGGTCTCGAACTCCTGACCTCGTGATCCACCTGCTTTGGCCTCCCAAAGTGCTGGGATTACAGGCGTGAGCCACCGCACCCGGCCACCTACAGTATTTTTATCCAGAGAGAACAGAGCCAGGAAACACACCTCTGACCACTGGCTCTTCTTCCTTCTCCTCAGGCTGTCCTTCTGGAATCAGGCCTGTCTGATTCTTCCTTTTACCAAGTGGAAGCTTCTTTATGTCATAGCCTTCCTCTCTCTTCAGTGACTTTGCATGAAACTATTCTCTGCTTCCCCAGTAAATAACTTACAACTAAAGTTTAATGTGTAAGGGTTGAAAGAATATATGATTAATGATAGGAATAAAAAATATTCATGTTGTCAAAATGTATCTACATTACACATATCTATACTAGACAGGGACAAAAGTCAACACATGAAAATGGAGGAGCAAAAGATGAGAGGAAGCAAAGGTAAACTAATTTGCTCATTCTTTTTAGTGGGAATTTAATGAATACTGTTATTGTGGATAACAATGATAATTCAAAATTTAAACACTTAGACATTATTTAAATATGTAAGGATAACAAAAGTGAAAAAGAAAGTCTCCTAAATCACCAAAAGGAAATGAAAGTGAATGTTAAAAAAAACACATAACAAAAGACAGAAAGCAAAGAAAGTGGCTAAAAAGACATTTTAAAATAAACAATGAGTATAAGATAAAATTAAGACCAAATTGTTGTCAATAAACGTGAAATAAATTCATTTGCTTAAAGTAAAAGATGCTCGGATTTGATTAATAAACAAAGCTCAGCTACATGTTACAAAATGAAACATACATAAAACAATGCTAAGAGAAAAAATGTATTAGTCATTCACATTTGTATTACCAAACAAAAATTAATAATTTTTATATGATTGATCAATAATTCTTCCCCAGAATAGAATACTACTTAGGTACACATGTATTTTAAGTATCTACCTCAAAAGAAATAGAAAACTTAATAAATCAATAACCATGGATGAAATTGAAGAGGCTATTAAAAAGCTACTCTGACTCAAAGACACCTTATTCAGATAGTCTTATGCATAAAATTTTGAAAACATTCAAGGAAGAAATAATTCCAACATATAAACTTTTCTAGAACACAAGGAAGAAAGAAAGTTTTAGATGATTTTTTGAAGGCCAGCACAACACAGAGACTAAAATTTAACTAATATGAAACAGAAATCAGATCAGCCTTATATAAGAAAGCAGTAATAAGGTTTTAATTATATTTGCTAATATAATTATATATAATATGATGTACAGCTAATATATTAGCAAATATAATTCAGCAGTGTGTAAGAAGGAGAATACACTATGACCAAGCTGAGTTCATTCCAGAAATGCAAAACTGGTTCCATGTTAAGAAATCGGTTTATGTAATGCATTGTATTGGCCAGGGTTCAGCTACAAAAAACAAAGCCTTCTCTAGCTAGCTTAGCGCATGATGGGATTAATGACAGGGTATTGAGGGGTTCACAGAAGCAGAGGCAGGACTGGAGAAACAGATGTTGGATGAGGTTTGGGGAACAGCTCCCAAAGCCATATCTCTGAATCGGGCCAGCAAGGGTGCTCCTGCCCCCTCTGCAGCCAGAAAGCCTCTGGCCCCAGTAGCACACTGCCACCACAGAGACGGAGACACTGCCATCACCAAGATGGAGACACTGCCACTTAGAAGCTGCCTCCAGTAGAAAGCCACAAGGATAAGAACATGGTCTGACAGGACAGACACTGTGCTCCACGGTGCAATCCCCTCACTGAGACCAAGTGAAGGAGTGCTGTGCGTGCTGCTTGTGAGTATTTGGGGCACCGTAGACTGGACGCTGCTCTGATCATCCCTTTACAGACAGGCAACACCTCCACCACCTTGCTTGTCGAAGCACCAGCAGATGCAGCGGGAGTGCAGCCTTCCAGCACTCTGCCTTCCAAATCTCAGGCTGCGGCATCTGATGGTCCAAACTTAAATCAAATCCAGAAGCCTCACTAGAAAGGACTCTCAGAGGCGTGTGTTTTGTCTTTCCCATCTCTGATATAGAGGTGGGTAGCGTGGATGCCGAGCACTGAGTTATTACATCCATTCCCAGCTACCCTGCAGCTTCTCCCAACGCTCATATCCCATTCCCCCAACAATCACACTTCCAAACAACAGCAACAGCAGTCTGCTCCTCCTACCTGAATGCGATTCTCTTCAAATGAAAGGAAACACACTCCGTGATGCAGTTTGTGTCTGTGTCCCCACCCAAATCTCATGTTGAATTGTAATCCCCAATGTTGAAGGTGGGGCCTGGTAAGAAGTGACTGGATCATGGGAGTGGTTTGTCATTGTTTCACACCATTCCCCTTAGTGTTGTCATGGCAATAGTGAGTGAGTGAGTTATCCCAATATCTCATTGTTTAAAAGGGCGTAGTACCTCCCCTGTCTCTCTCTTCCTTTGGCTCGGGCCACATAAGATGAACCTGCCTCCCCTTCACCTTCCACCATGGTTGTAAGTTTCCTGAGCCCCACCCCTGCCACCAGCCATACAGCCTGTAGAACTGTGAGCCAATTAAACATTTTTCTTTATAAATTATCCAGTCTCAGGTTATTTCTTTATAGCAGTATGAGAACAGACTAACACACCCACCCCCTCCCCAGAAGAGAAGACCCAAGTTCCATCATTGATGTGATGCTCCTATCTCACCTAGCTCCATACAAATTCAAGACTGAAGTCCTGTAATAATCTAAAGGCTAAATTATAATGACAGCCACCAATAGCATACCCTAAATGTTTAAAAAATATAGGAGGAAATTTGGTTAGCAGATATAAATATAAACCATATAACAAGGGAATGTGTATATGAAACAGTCCTAATTTCCACAATTTATCATGAGGCCAACGTCGTGATATATACACGTGTGTGAGCACGTGCGTGCACATGCGTGTAGAGAGAGAGAGAGAATAAGTTGATGTATTTATTAGTTTATATATATCATGTGAAGCCTCTAATATTGCTCCACAGAGAGCTCAGTCACACATGCACATGACACTCATGGCCATATGCAGTCAGTCTGCAGTGACAGTGTTTTCTTCTTCTTGGTGGTGGTGGTGGTGTTGTTTTTGATGGAGTCTCATTTTATTGCCCAGGCTGGCCTGCAGTGGTGCAATCTCGGCTCACTGTAACCTCTGCCTTCTGGGTTCAAGCGATTCTCCTGCCTCAGCCTCCCAAGTAGCTGGGATTACAAGCATGTGCCACCACGCCTGGCCAATTTTTTGTATTTTTAGTAGAGACGGGGTTTCACCATGTTGGCTAGTCTGGTCTCGAACTCCTGACCTTAAGTGATCTGCCCGCCTCGGCCTCCCAAATTGCTGGGGTTACAGGCATGAGCCACTGTGCCCAGCCAACAAGGGTTTTAAAAAACTTTCTTGGAATACCTTTTTCTCTGAGCTCTGTGTTAAGCTGTATGCCTTTGTTGACATCACATGCAGGTCTTCAGAGTCCATTAATTACCAGTTGACTGCTGTATTGTTTTTGACAACACTTTGGTGGCATGAATTGTCTCACAATCTGGTCTAATTAAATTTAGGGTCCTTTGTGGGCCAGTCTCTGGGGTACGTTCTGGCTGAAAGAGGGTTCCTCTTAGCTGTCTATTTTTCTTGTAAACTAGCTGGCCTATAATTCAGTTTCTTACTCCTCTGGCCCTTCTAGCCTCCTCTTAATTTCTTACCACCAAAATCTCCACTGTTTTCAAGAGCACTCTTAAGTTCGAAACTTTTCACACTGTTCTAAAGTCAGTTTCTTCTGGAAGAGTTTTAGAGCTCTCTCTTATTGATTGCCTCTCCCTCTGGGCAAAATCCCTGAGTAGCCACTGCCCCAGGTGAGAGGTGGGGACAGTGGCCCAGTTCTCTTGTTGCCACACCCTGCTGCACAAGCCAGGTGCTGGGTAGGAGTGATAGCTTCTGGTCTGCTGGGCTTGCTTCTCTTGGGGTGGAACTTCCACCCTGCCAGCGAGGCAGGGTGAGGGGGGTTGCCATCTGAGTATTCACAGCCTGCCATGCCTGAGGTGGAGACTTTTCCCTATAAGTAGGGGCTGGGTGTAAGAAGGGACCTCCCCGCCCCCACTTCTCAGCTGCACTCACTTGGAAGTTAGCCTCTACAACATGGATTTGAGGGAGAATGAGAAATGCTAGTAGCCTCTTTCTCCTGGGCATATATCTTAGTTCTTGACTTGGCACTAGGGAGAGAGGGAGCCCCATCTTCCATCTCACAGCTACCAGGAGTGAACCATCCATCACCCTGAGCAAAAGGCAGGAGGGGGAGAAGGAAGTCATGGTACTAGTGCCCCAGACTCTCAACATTCTGACCAAGACTAGATTTTTTGTATTCCACTGGACAATTTCCAGAGACTTAAATTGGGAGCTGCTTTTAAAAAAATCATTCTTAACAGTATTAGTTGTTTATCTGGAAAAAGGAGCATAGAGTTTCACATTGCCATTTGATAGTAGCAGGTTTCATGCAGTTCCCATTGTTGGTGTTTATATCTTCCTTTTTCCATTGCATAGTCTGTGGTCCCTTTACACCTACCCAGCTCCTCAGCTGGTCAGTATTCTTCTTCTGTGGTAGAAAACTTTTATTTCTAATGGCTTTGAGCCCTTGAAAGTCCTACCTATTTTGATTTTCTGCAGTCTCCCATTGACCTTGATCACTAGAGTTGGCAGTAAAAGGAGAGGCTCCCCTGATCACGTCTGCCTGCCACCATTGTGTAGTAGCAATCCAATTTACGTTTCATTCAGAGGATCCGTCACTCTAGCCAAAAGAGTAACCACCTGCATTTTACCTTTTGATTCAATTGAATGAGAAACCCAAAATGGCAGGCTCTAGGCATAATGGTGAATGATGCCACTCCCACTTCCTCCCCTTGGCTACAGGAAAAGTCATTCTGGTTACAAGAGAGCCAGGCCCATGTGCTTGTTGCTGGTACTAAGCACATTCCCTTCCTGCTGGACAGTATCTCAGTGTAGCGTGGTGTTGCCATCCACACGATGTTGTCATGAATCCTCAGTGGACCACTTGGCTACTCTATAGAGCCAGATGTTTCTGGTTTATGGGTACATTGTAAGACCAGAGAATCCAAATTGCCTCACCTCTTTCACTTTAAAATTTGTCTCTTAGCCATAAACAATATTGCATGGAACAACATGACCATGAAAAAAGTATTCTGTTAGTCCATGCATGGTTCTTGAGGCAGAAACAGAGCAGACATTGTAGGAAATTCCATAAAAGAAATAAATGTCTCTCCCACTAAAAAAGCATCACGAAGTTGCCCATGATGGACAGAGTCTAATATAATTGACCTACCATCATGTGGTCAGTAGGTCTTCTAGGGAACGAAGCCATACTGGGGGCTCACCATAGTTGCTGCTGGTAGAAGAGTCATTGCCCAAGAGTGGAAGAAATTAGAAAAGCCCTACTACTGGGAGGTTCACATTGCTGAGTTTATGCCACGGAAGTATTTGTGTTCATAAGCCTCCTATGACTGGGGAAAGGAACCAACTCCCATGTTCAGAATAGGGTAGGCTTTGCACTTATCCTTCAAGTCTTTCTAGGCTCTAATTGGCTGAATGTTAGCATCACATGGGAAGATTTTAGGAGTGGCCAATGCCCAGGACACAGCTCAGACTGGCTATATAAGAATTTCTGGTCCGGGTGCAGTGGCTCACATCTGTAATCCCAACACTTTGGGATGCCGAGGCAGGTGGATCACCTGAGGTCAGGAGTTTGAGACCAGCCTGGCCAACATGGTGAAACCCCGTCTCTACTAAAAACACAAAAATTAGCTGGGCTTCTTGGTGGGTGGCTGTAGTCCCAGCTACTTGGGAGTCTGGGGCAGGAGAATCACTTGAACCCAGGAGGCAGAAGTTGCAGTGAGACAAGATCACACCATTGCACTCCAGCCTGGGCTACAAGAGCAAAATTCAGTCTCAAAAAAAAAAAAGGATTTGGGGATGGGGCCCAGGCAGCAGTCATGTTTAAAACCTTTCAGGTGATCCCAATACACAGCCAGAGTTGCAGAAACACAGGGTTAGCTGTGGACATAGAGAGCATGAGAGGTTGTCAGGGTCAGGTAGAAACTACCCCAAGAAAGTGATTACAGGGTGCAAGAGGTGCAGATCGGTGAGAACTGAGGCCTCCAAAGTCAGCAGGGCTCCATCCATGCTTGGAGGTTCCAACAACGGTAGCACATCGAAGTCCACTCCATTCTCAGGGTGCTGCTTTTTCCAAAGGAGTAGAATAGACAGCACAGAAACAAAATAAAAAGTAGAGGAAGACGGTGTGCTTGGGGAGCCATGGCAAGACGGACTCCGAACCTTCTCACAACACCTGTTCAACCACATCGAAGAAAATAACTTGTCCCCTCATGCACTTTCATTTACCAAAATAAACTCCAATTAAAACAAAGATTTGTAAGTAAAAGCAATAAATGTAGTAGATTAAAATACCAGTGTTGTTTTATTTTTATTTTGTAATCATGGAGTGGAGAATATGTTTAGAATTATAAACTGAAACCCAAAATCCACAAAGGGAAATATTTGTGAATTTAATAACATGGATATTAAAGACCTTTGTATGCCCAAAATATCACCATAAACAAAGATTAAAAGTAAAACAGATTGTTTAAAAATATTTGTACTCATTTAACAAAGTATTAATTTCCTTGTCAAAGAAATTATCATGAATCAGGAGAATTAAAATACTGACCATTTTTAATAAGGAAATTAGCAAGGAATTTTGACAAACAAATCATGGGAAAAGGGTAGATGGTCAATACACAGATGAAGATGTATTCAGCATCAACTGTTGGCTAGGCGAGCACCGTCCGTCTCACATTCCATGCATAGCAGTGGTTGCAGCCACAGGTCTTGGGGAGAACGTGCCTGGGTGTGAACTGCGGCTCTGCCGTTGTGATGGCAAACATCCTGAGCTGCAAACAGTCCTGCCATGAAAAGAAGAAGCACTCTCAGTGGTGAGATGGAGACCACCTGCGCCAGAAGCATTGTGCTTCTGAGGGGCCTGGGCAGGAAGAACAAGTCCTCACATTTCCTGACAAGAAATGACCCATCTCTCAGGAAGACTTGAGTTTCTCCTCCCAGGACAGCCACTTCAGTTACAAGGATTGAACAGTATGTAAGATCGATAAGAAAATGAATGCAAGGCCATTCCACTTGTAGGAAAAAAGGGCTCCGAGGCCAGAAGATTGCCTAAGTGGGCCTGGAGGTCCTTTCCCAGGGGGACCTTTTTCTTTCTTAAAGGAAGCCCACCCCACCTAGGCAAGGTCTGCCCACAACCCAGGCTCCCAGACATGCTGTCCTCCTCCCCCAAACCGTGAGCTTGTGTGTGGAGATGCTCTCAGAGAAGGACCAGCAATTAATTAGAGTTGTTCAGCCTGGTGAGAATGCCAGCACAAACTCTTCCTGGAAATAGATTTTATTTAGGGAAAATCAACTCAGAAATGACATCAAGATGGTAAAACAAGCATATTGACCTCCTTTCCTTCCATATCCCTTAAAATGACAGAACACATCACACACCTGCACACACATGCTCACACCTACACATACATTAATGCATCACATATTCCTACACACACCCACATACACTCACACCTACACACATCACACACTGCTTTACATACACTCACACCTACACACATCACACACTGCTTCACATACACTCACACCTACACACATCACACACTGCTTTATATACACTCACACTTATACACACTGTCTCACATTCACACATACACACACACTCCTAATACATACTCATACACACCTATGCACATTCACACATGCCTGCCTGCATACATACACACTCACATGCACATACACTCACGTCCATACGGTCATAGCTAAATATCTTGGGTGGCTTCTCCCACAGAACCTGTTAAGCTTTTCCAGCAAGTTTTCTTTATGTAAACACTTCTTTAATATTTTTACTTTATTTTATGAAGTTTATACATATACATGGTATTTTTTTAAAAACAGGGAAAGCTCTAAAATATTGCTGAGAGGAATTAAAGACCAGAATAAATGGAGGAATATACCCAGATTCTTGGGACAGAAGATTTAATATTGCTAACATGACAATTCTCCCAAAATCAAACTGTGTGGATTCAACACAATCCCAATGAAAATCCCAACAGGCTATATTGTAGAAATTGGCAAGCTGATTCTAAAATTTATATGGAAATGCAAATTGTCTAAATTAGCCGATCAGGTATGAAGAAGAAGAACAAAGTTGGAGGACTAATATTATCTGGTTTTAAGACTTATTATAAAGCGACAGTAATCAAGACAGTGTGATATTGGCATCAAAGCAGATAGACCAATGGAACAGAACAGAGTTCAGAAGGAAATTCACACACACAGACAACTAAGCCTCAACAACGGCAACTGCAAAGTAGGTCATTGGAGAAAGGATAGTTTTCAACAAATGGTGCTGGAACAATTGAATATCCATATGTGTGCACACACACAAATGAGCTTCTATCTGCTCCATACCTGGAACTACATGAAAAAATCAGCTCAAAATGAGTGACAGACCTAAGTTTAAAACCTAAAACGATAACACTTCCAGGAGAAAACATTTGTGACCTTGGATATCAGGTTAACAAATTGGATTTCATCAGAATTAAAACTCTCTTTTTCAAAAGACACTGTTAAAAGAATGACAGTGAAATGAGGAACTCAGAACTCGATAACAAGAAAAACAAACAGCTCCACACAAAATATGGTCAAAATTCCATAAAGCACAGTATGGGAATGGAAGGGGTTCAATAGCTTTACAGTGGAATAAGCTGACAAACACTCTCTCACCAGGAGATGAAGGTCAACATCAGCAGAGATAAGTCGTGTTGATAGTATGTGACCTTGATGTTATGTGATGAGAATGGCACTTTATCTCTGTGGTCTCCTCCCCAAAACCCGTAACCTCTAGTCTATTTGATACAACCCTCCATCAGAGTTGGGCAGGCATCTGGAAGCTTCAGAGGGAGAAGGAAGTGACACCTACAGATGGCTGTAGGTCTTTTAAAACTCCACCAAAGACAAGAAGAAAATATACTTGAAAAATACATCGGTCGGGCATGGTGGCTCATGCCTGTAATCCCAGCACTTTAGGAGGCTGAGGTGGGTGGATCACCTGAGGTCAGGAGTTCAAGACCAGCTTGGCCAACCTGGTGAAACTCCGTCTCTACTAAAAGTACAAAAATTAGCCAGGCGTGGTAGTGGGTGCCTGTAATCTCATCTACTCGAGAGGCTGGCAGGCAGAGGTTGCAGTGAGCTGAGATCTCACCACTCCACTCCAGCTTGGGTGACAAAAGTGAGACCCAGGAAAGAAAAGAAAGAAGAAAGAAAGAAAGAGAGAGAGGGAGGGAAGGAAGGAAGGAAGGAAGGAAGGAAGGAAGGAAGGAAGGAAGGAAGGAAGGAAGGAAGGAAAGAAAGAAAGAAGGAAGGAAGAAAGAAAGATACATCAAGAAGGGGTTAGCTGAAACATAAAATATTTTTCACCATCACCGCAGCTTACAAGATTCTCATGGCCGGGTGCAGTGGCTCACGCCTGTAATCCAAGCACTTTGGGAGGCCGAGGAGGGCGGATCATGAGGTCAGGAGATTGAGACCATCCTGGCTAACTCAGTGAAACCCCATCTCTACTAAAAATAAAAAAAATTAAAAAATTAGCCGGGCGTGGTGGCAGGCGCCTACAGTCCCAGCTACTCGGGAGGCTGAGGCAGGAGAATCGCTTGAACCTGGGAGGCAGAGGTTGCAGTGAGGGGAGATCATGCCACTGCACTCCAGCCTGGGCAAGAGAGCGAGACTCCGTCTCAAAAACAAACAAACAAACAAAAAATAGATTCTCATCACATAACGTGAAGACTTATCTCTCTTGATGTTGACTGTCCGCCATGACTTATCTCTGTTGATGTTGACCTTCATCTTCTGGGTGAGGAAGTTGGTTAACCTATGAAATTTACTAAAGCATAGTCTCCCAATTTGATCAATCCTATCTAAGAGCAGAAGAGAAGAGCAGCAGTCTTCTTAGAGTCCCATCTATGTCTAAATCCCATGGCAGTCTAAACATATGAAAACCAGGAAAGGCCTTCTAGGAGGCGTGGCCAGGTGTTCCTGGAGGTTGAAAAGGGCTGTGGATTTGCAGGTCCATCTTCATCTGAAGGGTTGCTAGAGAATCTATATTTTGGAGAAATTGTAAAAACTAAGTTCTAGAGATATAGTGAAAAAAAATTAGAAATTCAACTACCAGCTCTATGCAAGACATTTCAGGCTTTTCCACTATTAGTCTTGATTTCTTCTTGTGATTCAAAACCACATTTCTGATGTCTGCAGGCAGCCGACACTGGGACGGCCCACCCTCGTCTCAGGCACGTGTTCCACCCTGGCCTCAAAGTTGGCTCCAGGCCCACCGGCCAGCCACCCCTCCCCTGTGTCATCCCTCTAGGTTCTTGCTCAGGAAAAGCCTGTTATCTCTAAAGCCAGTTCCTCCTCCTTCCTTCTGTTTCCACATTAAGCTCTGGCCTTGATTTCTTTGGAAGGTATTCCCAGATCACCCTCCCTCTGCATTCCCAAGCATCATCAAGGCCACCCCTGCCAGACTGCATGCTTTTAAAGCCTTGCTCTGATAAGCCCCCAATGCTCCTGGCAGACCCCACCTCCTGTGTGCCTGCCATGTCGCTTTCAGGGACCTCTGCTGTGTGCCACCATCAAGTCGAGCATTACGTACGCACAAACCCAGTGTCCACTCTGAATGGCGTCTCCCCAGACTCCCCTCCCGGGCACCCTGTCCAGAAAGCCTGGCATCCTGATTGCTGCCACCTCTGCCCACAGCACGTTTTGGCCCACGTGACTGCTTGCTGATGATGATCCTCCTGTCTGCTCTGTTTTTCCTCCTCCCTGCTCCCCTTATTTAAGCTTCCTAGCCTGCAGGGCCCAGCTTGGATTTCAGCCTAGGCATCTTCCCATTCCTGGAAGCCTAACACAGTTTCACCCAAGCTCAGAATTTGGTAGTAGGGGCCTTTAAATGCCATTCTTTTGACATAAGGTTGTGCTTACATTTCATGATGGACAAGGAAGGGAGATATTTTTATTACCCTGTTTTACAGGAGAGGAAACTGAGGGTCAGAGTGGTTCAGTGACTTGCTCAAGGGGCACCTCAGAAGCTGTGGATTAAGTATTCCAACCCCGATCTCTGAGCTTGTATGCTCATAACTTTTCATCAACCTAGTGTTTGTGCCTACAGTTCCCTGGGGGTCGTAGTAGAAGAAAGAAGCTGGAAGGGAGGCAGGCCACCCTTTGCGCCACGCTCCCAACCTTGCCTGTCTGTTTAATGTTGGCCTTTCATGATGTTGTTTGAACAGAGACAAGCTTAAAAGCTATGGCTGTGGGCCCTGCTACTGAATGATGTGGGGGTCGGGACCACATCTCTCTCCTAATCTCAAAGTGCAAAGCACTGCCCAGAGCACAAAGTGGGTACCACGTACCTGCTCATAGGGTTGTCATTTAAGCTGAAAATTGGGCAGAGAAAGGATGACATTCTCAGGAACTCACACCTAAAAACCTCGTCAGTGATATGTAGTGGTTTTCAACATGCCCCGAACTCCCTGGCTCTCACTCATGAGAGGTGCAGTCTATCTCCCTGCTGCTCCTTGCATCTGGGCTCCATGACTTGTCTACAAATAGAACATGGTGAGGGCGGGGCACCATGCCAATTTCTGAGCAGGTCCAGACTTTAGGAAAGAACAGCTTCCACATCCTGTCTCCTAGATGTGCTCTTGGAGCCCAGTTTCATGCTGAGGGGAAGCCACAGCTCCCACCAATCCCACCACAGAGAGCAGCAGCTTGCTCGCACCATCCTGGAAGTGGATCTGCCCATCCCGTCTAGTGGACACAGCAGGCAAGGGGCTAGCAGGGAGAGCTGTTCAGGCTGAGTCCTGCCCAAGCTGCAGATTCCTGGGCAAAATAACTGATTAATATTGTTTTAAGCCACTAAAGTTTGGGGTGGTTTGTCACATGGCCATAGATCATCAGAGCAGATGTCACTGGCAACAGAACAGAGAAGTGAGAGGAAAGAAAGGCCGGGGAATTTCCAGCTGTGTCGCTCAGCTCGGCTGCCAGACTCATCACCAGGGACTGGGTGGCTTCGACGGCAGGCAGTCACTTCTCACAGTGCAGGAGGCCGGGGGGCCAGGGTGGGTACCAGCAGATCTGGTGTGTGGTGGGGAGTGGCTTCCTAGCTTGGAGACGGCCATCTCCTCCCAATGCCCCTCTGTACCTGTCTATGACCAAATCTCCCCTTCTTACAGGCAGTCCAGCCAGATTGGCTTACAGCCCACTCTAACAGTCTTGTTTTAACTCAGTTACCTCTGCTAAGACCCTATGTCCAAATAGGGTCACATCCTGAGGTGCTGGAGGTTAGGACTTCAGCAGATCCTTTCTGAGAGGGCACTGTTCGGCCTGTACCACTGGGATGGATGAGGAGTGAGAGCAGCTTTTAGCACTCTCATATGAACGCATAAATAGAGCGCCTCCTAATGTGGCAGGTGCCCCTCTAGGGAGGAGATTTACGAGCTCAGCTTGGCTTGTTTTCTAGAGCCACCTCTCTGAGGGCAGAACCTGCAGCTCACACAGGCCTGGGATCTCCATGGACACGAAGGTGCCCAAGACTGTGACCTCCCTGAGAAGAAACAGGCCCTGCCACTTACCCTGTTGGCATTCTGACATCACAAGACAGCTGACCATTTTATTGAGCACTTAATACACAGTACCTGCTGCAGTGGCTTTACATAGATGCCTGTGTAATCCTTGCAGCAACACTGGACAGAGGGATGAGATTTGATGCCCGTTCTGCCAGCAGGGAGACAGGCACAGTAGGATCCTCTGGCTAATGAGGGACAGGGCCAGGCTGCAAGCCCAGAGGCAGTACAGCTTAGAGACCCTGCCCTTAGCAGCCACACGGTGCTGCCCATGGGGCCTGAGAATGTGCATTTCTAACAATGCTGATATTCCTGATCCAGGGACCCCAGTTAGAACCAGTTGTAACCCCCCATTAAAGTCTCCTTTCTCCATTCTCTCACGTTCAGGACGTTGTTCTTAAATGTCACAACAAGGAAAGCAGGGAAAGCGGACTTTAGGTAAGTCAGCCTCTCTCCAACGCAGTGCTCCCAGGCCATGTCTCCTGGTGGCCGGATGGATGGCTTCCGTGGACACAGGAGCACTCATAGTGAATAATGGCCCCGGCAGAGCAGCGGCTTCCTGAGACTGATGATCTCATCAGCCCAGACATGAAGGGCTGCCCCAGCTTTCCAGGAACTGCTCTTTTCTGCTCACATAAAAATAGCCATTTCTCATAAACTATTTAGTGGGGCTCGGATCACATCAGGAACCATTAGTGAAATGGGAGCTTTGTTGTTGGTTAGAGGAAGTAGATGGAAGGGAAGAATCAAAGCCAAAGTCACATTTCCCTCATTATATTTCAGGGAAAGGAGACATATTAGCTCTTGATCAGCCAGTGTGAACTAAGAGCCCAGCTGGGAGCAGAGAGGATGAGCTGAGTGCAGGGCTGTCTTCTGCCCCTAGCTGGCTGGCACCAGGCTGCAGGCGGGGACTGGAGTGCACAGTACTCCATTCCCCATCACCCCATCAGGCTGAGACCAGCCTGTTCTCTGCCTTCCCTCTGAAATTCTACATTGCAAGCAGGTGATTCTCTGCTCAGTTTAGTCTGGCTGTGGTATCGCCAGAACACCAGTGAGTTTCCCATTTCTACATCCTGTCCTACACGGTGTTCTAAAAGCACTCTGAAAAAAAAAAAAAAAAAAAAAAAAAAAAAGCCTGATCCTCAGCATCGGATTTGCAAGGGGAGCTCCCTAGAAGCTCTAGGACTTACAGCATTGTGTGCTTGCAAATTTGGAAGGTTTTTTAGAAATTAAATGTGGACACATAAATTGCATCAACAGGCTGTGTGTGTGTGCATGCACACACCTCTTACGTGGCTTCTTTTGAAAGGGTTTTCAAGCATTCTTTCCAAATGTTAATGCTGCTATGTCCACTACGCCCAGGCCCCAGCATTCAGGTTTAAAAAATGGATTTCCACTGTTTTATTTGCTTATTTAGACAGGCTTTTTTGTTTCACACTCACACTATGCATGAGCGCCTCTTAAATATAAAAATTTAGTCCACCTCAATCTTTCCCTTTTTTTTTTTCAGGCCCCCAGGAAACAATGTTGCTGAGATCATCCAGGACTCAAATCAGGTAAGGGGTAAAAGGACTCTCAACTCTCCATCTAAAATACATCTAAACTTCATTAGGTGATAATATTTGAGGCTTCTTCCAAGAACTTCAAGCTAATCTTAGGTGTCATCAGAGAATGTGGACATCTTTGCTGAGATGTGAAATGTATGCAAGCCCTTAAACCCACAGTGGTTCCTGCCACATGGTACCACGCTGTTCACTAAGTCTGCGGCAGCCTCCCCTGTAAAGCTGGTGCCTGCTATCAGGTGCTGTGGCAGTTCAAGGAGAGGACCAGCCCTTGTGCACCATCACATCCTGATGCATTAACGCAGGTGGTAGTTCTGCCTTTTGATCTCAAGTCCAAGCAGGAAGGAGGCGTGAGGGCCATGCCTCTCAATGGCGGAGAATACTGAGTGTATTCTTTAGGGTCCACCAGAGAAACAGAACCAGTGGGTGTGTAAACACAGGGAAAGAAGAGCTGGGTCACATGAGTAGGAAGGCTGACACTTCCCCAGATCTGCTGTTTTCAAGGTGGAAATCCCTTCAAACTTCCAGACTGAAGTCTGGCAAGCTTGAGACTCAAGAAATTGATGTTCAGTTTGAGTCCGAAGACAGGGGAAGATCCACGTCTCAGATCATGCAGTCAGGTGGATATTCCCTCTTACTCAGCCATTTTGCTCTCTTTAGGATCTCTGTGAGCTGGATGAGGTCTCGTCCTTGGGGAGGCCCCCTGCTTTACTAAGTCCACCAATTCAAATGCCAGTGTCATCCAGAAACACCCTACGCACATGCCCAGAATAATGTTTGGCTAAATATCTGGGTACCCTGTGGCCCAGCCAAGTTGAAACACGAAATTAACCATCATACAAGGTATGTGAGAGGTCACGGGATGCCCCCAGATGCAATGCCCTGGGCAGGGCTGGGGGGTTCACTGGGCGTCTGAGTGGCAGCAGGATCTACAGGTGGTATACACTCTGCTAAGGGAGCAGCTTCACCTGTCAAAGCTCCTGGCCCCAGGCAGTTCCCAGGAGCTGCAGCCATACCGCCATGGTCACCTTACCCCGGCACAGCCACGTGCATTCAAACTTTCCAGACCATTCCCTCAAGACTGCCCTGGAGCTTGTGTGACCAGGTACTGCTCTGAGCTGTGTTTCCACCTGATGTAGCTGTGGTTCAAGGCAGTGTTGGCTCGTGGGGCTCAGCCACACCTTGGAGGTCAGAGGTCAGCTCCACCAGCCACCTGGCCACCTGCCATCCACATGCCAGGGTAGTTGTACCCCCGTAACCCACACGCTCAGCAGCCACTTCTCCAAATGTGCCAGTCTTAATGGAACACAAAACACTGATGGCCTGGATTGGGCTTGGGAGACTTCTCTGTGACTCTGCATAAATGTATTCCAGCCTCTTACAAGATTTGGAAGGCTTGAGGTTCAAAACATTTTCTCCCTAGTTCTTTCTCAGCACTAACTTTTCAGGGCCCTTCCCTACATTTCACCTGGACCCTGAGGAAGTCAGCACCCCAGGCCAAGTGAGGCTTCAACCTCCTGTCCAGTTGTGGAGCAGAATGTACCCCACAAAAGGGACATCCGTATCTGGAAGGTTCCGTGGCTTCCCCGGGCTTGAGAAGCTTCATCTCCAGTGGAGATGGTTGAGAGAGGTAGTGAGGGGCTTCTTTCAGGCTTTGTGTGCAGAGAAAGCCTCTCATCCACCAAGATGAACGTTCAGACGGGTTACACCATCTGCAGCAAGCCTGTTGCAAGAAAGCATCCGTCTGGCTCCTGCAGCGCACATAGCAGTCTGCATAGTGAGCCTGGGTGCAGGTGGGCATGGGGGCTGCGGTGCTGAGCCCAGCCTCCATTCCCCCCTACAGCTGGGCTCCTGGAGGTGGGGGCACCGTCCTCCCGCACAGCAGAGTCACAGGATGTGTGTTTGATTTCTACCCCCTGTTATCTGAAGGGTTTTATGTCTACTTTCTCTGTGGGTGTTTCTTCTCAGCATTAGAGACAAAAAGCAAAAGTAGCCACACCTCATGGCTGGAAAGAGACAGAGATTGTCAAGCCTGGCCCAGGGCTCCCCACCTGGGACTCCACAGGTTCCCCATCCCCGGCCCTCCTCCCCACCCCACCATCTCTTCTTCATTCTACCTTCTCCACCCCCATCCCCTCCTCCTCCCCACCCCAGCTCACCTCCCCTACCTCCCCCTCTCTTTGCTCCCAGCCCTCCTCCCTGGCCCCAATTCCCCTATCCCACCCTGCACCTGGAGAGGAAGGTGGCTCTGTGCCCACACCTCATACCTGGGGAGGGGATCCCTGGCTGTTGCCAGGCCAGCCTTGCCCGCACTCTGGAAAGGGGCAATCCAGCATGTTCTCTGCAGCTGCCTGGACATATCTGCTATCTGTGGTCCATTACCCTGGTGACAGGGCCACCCAGCTTCTGCAGTGACGGCCCCTGACTACCCTCCCACATGAAGCCCTCTTCCCCTGCCAGGGCTGCAGCTCCCTCGAAGCCTAGAACTGTCCATCCCCATGTCTGTACTTCCAGCCCCCAGACCTGAAACCAACCTTGAAGTTCCTCCCCTGCTCAGCTCCTCCTCACTGCTGGCCACCATCCCAGGGGCACCAGCCACTTTCTTGAGGCCAAACCCCTGTGCTGCCACCCCTAACTTCACCTTTTGCTGCTGAGAGGTGCCTCCCCAAAAAAAGGAATGGTCAGGCTCCAGGACAAATTTCCTGGAAGATGGACAAACAAGGGCTCTTTGAAATGTTTTAGGTGGCAGTCCATCCAGATGAAAAACAAACTCAATCTCCAAACTTCACTGAGCCCCTCTGATGAGGCCCAGTGCCAGAAGGGAGCAAAAGTGTGTTCAAGACCACACCTATGAAGTGCGGGGCAGCACCAGGCTCCGGATTCCTGCATCCAGACATCTCTGTTACTTTCTAACAAAGCAACAGGTCTCCATAGGATTCAAACTCAGGTCTGCAGCTACAGCAAGCAGGGAACCCCTCATTTGGCAGGAGATGCTCAATGTGACTGAATGGATGAACTTCCTTCTCTGGATCACCCAGGGATGGCCCCATGCATTTGTGGATTTAGCTTCCAGACTCCTGCTGTCCTGCCCTCATGCATGGCTGATGATTTGAGCTACTGATTAACACTTTTTAAAGTCAAATTTCTCGGCACATGTCAGGGTGGGAAATTCTATCTGTCCTCCATATGCCGGGCATCATTCCACAGCAGCTGGTTGGGAAGGAAAGCTTAATCTCTCGGAACCTGCATAATATCTTTATAAAGGTACAGCTGGGCGAATGTCATAAAAATGTTCAGTTGTGGGTGCTGGGATATCAGATGCCTTGCGTGCCTCTTCACTGCCAGGACACACTCCAGGAAAACCCCTGGTGTGCTTGAGGCCACATGACACACAGAGAATGCAGGCAGCAACGCTTTGCCTTGGAAAGCTGAAGCATTTTCTATCTTAATCCCGGAAAAAAAAATTAAAAAACAACTGCCTTGAGAATGTGATGGATACTGCCCCTACACCTGGGTGTTTAGCCGAGATTTATTTAGAGTTTAGGAAAAGTCACTTGAATGATGAGGGCTTTTGTTCATCCCTTCATTTCTCTGAGTGACTATGGAACTCATATATCTGTGTTTTCCCACTAGGGTTGTCTATCCCTGCCATTTGTTTTTTCTTTGTTATTTCTACAGAGGCAGGGCTGACTCTTGCCTTAAACACTTTTGACGAATATCCCTGGAGCTAAAACCAGGGGCGCAAAAGCCACACCCAGGAACCAAGCTCCTGCTGCCTGCTTGGGTAACCATCAAGTTCATTTTGCTCCCTGAATTCCTGCCATGCACTGGGTTCATGCATTGTTCTTTGCAAACATATGAGATGGGGTTATGCTCAGGCACATGGGCAATCAGCACCCACTAGATATGACAGGTGAATCTATTATCTGCTCCGCATAACACATTCCCCAACACTCATAGCTTAAAACAATAGTCTTTTATCACCTCTCACAGTTCCTATGGGTCAGGAATTGGGACAGGGAGTGGCAGGATGGCCTGTCTTTGCTCCATGGTATCTGGTCCCTCCACTGGGGGACTCAAAGCAGAGACAGGAACCATCTGAAGGATGTTTCCTTGTAGATCTGGTGGCCCATGCTTGTTGTCAGTTTTTGGCTGGAATGCCCACATGTGGCCTCTCCTTGTGCCCTGGGCTTCCTCAGAAGATAGCAGCTGGGTTTTAAGAGCAAGTGTCTTAAGAGTGAGAGAGACAAGAGACCAAAGCAGAAACTAATGACTTTGATGATCTGGTTACAAAAGGCACACACCACCACCTCTGCCATATTGTATTGATTCAAACAATGACAAAGGCCTGCCTAGGTCCAAAAAAAGGGAACACAGCACCCCGCACCCAGTGGAGGATGGGCTTTAGATAGGTATGATCATCTTTGGAAAATACAGTCTACCACAATGGCAGACAAGCAGAGCCGGCTGTCCAATCGATCTCCTGCAATCAACACTATGCAGCTGCAGTGTCCGTCACCCTTGCTTAATGTCTCTCCAAAGCCCAATTCTATGTCAAGACAGTCTCTGTGATTCTATTCAGTAAAGACTGCTTCACCTGAGACCTCTCTTGAGATTGCTTTTTTGTGCTTCTCTAAGATTAATATCCGGAATTTAAAAAAAGGAAGAAAAATAGCCAGTGCCTTCAATATCCCCCTTCTCTGAATCATTACCGATTGGGCTAATGACTGCTGATAGTAAACTGGAATTCCTCTGAGCGCTGTACTGAGTAATCGCTGGCTTATTGTTTCACTGTGCTCAAGGTCTGCGTGGTGGAAATGGCTCATCACAAAGACGCATCACCCACGGAGAGAGGCCGCACTGCACAAGGGCCTGCCTGAGGCAGCTACCTCTGCAGCCAATGGGAGCTCGACCTGGAGCTGAGCTGCTCCCAATGACCATCCTCCGTGTTTCTCCAGACATTCTAATGGTCGCCGTCTCAGTGGGGCATGTACTGGGTATGGGGTATGGGGTAAGTGGGCTGCCGTGATCTAAGCCCCCAGTCATGCCTCTGCAATGTTCCCTGCGTGATGGGCATGGCCCAACCAATCCAAAAAAACCAGGCCCTGGGTGATGAGGCTTTTCTGTCTACCCACTAATTACAGTTTTTAGTGAGCTGTGTCTGGCCACAATTTCAAAATTCCATTCTGACAGCCTACACTATGGTCTCCAGCACGGGAGTCCTTTACCGCGCATCAGCGTGCGGGATCAGGTAACACAGACAGATAGATCAAGGCTGTTGACAGTCTTTAATGAAGTGGCAGGGGCTGGAGCCGGACGGCTCATCTCCAGGTCTTTGTCTTGTATGGTGCAGGCCGCACTGGAGACGCAGTTGGTGGATCACAGAGGCATAACCCTGGGCACACAAACACTCAAATGACCTGACTCTCCTGGTTCTACAGAAGCAAACCTGCGAGACTCAACGGCTGACAGCACAGTGCAAGGGAGGATTTATGCCTTCTTTCCGGCAGATTCTTATTTGCCTTGAAGAATCCAACAGAGGGCCACTGCCTGGAGGAACCCACATGCTGTCAGGCATTAATCAACTGCAGAAAACCCACCAAGGACACTCTGTTGCAAGTGGACAGCTTTGAACTCCAGCTGCCACAGCTGGGGGAACATTTGATAGTGAAAAACAATAAACAGCAGGGGAGGGAAGGTCATCTGGCTGAGAATATTTAAGAACGTTCCCCTAGAGGCAGTAGCAGAAAACACATTTACATCTGATTGTCTCTCTTCCTGAATGGTCAGTTTCTGCCTGATGCTGACTAGGTACAGAAATACAGGCAAGCAGAATCCAGAACCCCAGGGTTGGGCGAAAACACTCTGTTTTTTAAAGGACTTTGAACAACAATGAGAGACAAAGAATTCCCCATGGCTATTCTGCCAGGAAGTGACCCACCAGTGAAGGTTGCAGAAAAAAAAACACCCAGGGCTCAAGACCACGGAGGGAGATTTTCAGGGCCTGAGCCTCACTTGCTTCAGGTTTACTGATGCTCTTGGGGCTGGGGAAATGCTGAGGTCATCCAGGGGTAACTGGATTGAACCACCACTCTGTGCACACATTAAGGTAGTGAACTGCACAGTGCCATTTCTACCAGGTGGTACTGGCTTTTTTTTTTCTCTGGCCCTACTGCTTTCTTTGTGGAGTCTTCACCAAACCACCCCTTCCTAAATCCAATTCACTAAATGTTGCAAGGGGTATAAACATAAAGACCTGCCCTCCTCTGCCCACAAAAGCAGTCCATAAGAGAAGAAGGATGTGCATTTACTTGTGACTAGTGTTCTAACACAGATATAAACACAGTTCAGAAGAAACTTGCAGAGAAGAAAATAAATTCCCCGGGGACAGACAAGGCCACACTAAACTCTGTGCCAAATGCCACATGGTCCCTGATCCTAGAATGCTGGACTCATCAAGATCTTATAGATAGATGTCTATCAGTGACAGTGTTTTCTCTTAACGTTAGTATTTAGTGTCACTATCAAATATTTTAACCTTGGAAGACCTGTAAGTGACCTGACAAAGGGCATTTGAAGGTATACTTTATGACCAAGGATGCTTGACCCGGAGGAAGCCCCCGCACGAGGGTACATCTCCTCACTTGGGCTTCCCATGGGTTCTGATTCAATGAGGAGCACCAGGTCAGGACTGAGACATGGTCACATTGAGGCCAAAAGGATGCCATGCCACCCTGACACTGCCATGCAGACTTTAGGTCCAATTCTCGGCTTAAGGCTCACTTCTTCACAAGTGCGTCTCAATTCAGACACCAGCCATGAACTCAGGGTCCACAGACCGCCTACACTTCTGCCCAGCTAGTAACAAATTCCCATCAGGGTTAATCATATGCTGGGTTCCCATCAGGTTTAATCACATACTGGAATGACTCACAGAAGTCAGGAGAGCTCTATACTCACAATTCTAAGGGATACATCTCAGGACCATGCAAGCAATGTGAGACACAGAGGGTGAGATTTAGGAGGGTTCCAAATATGGATGAAGTTTTCATGTCCTCAGGATATGTCACTGTCCTGGCACATGGATGTATGACCAACCAGGGAAGCTCAGCTGAACTTCAGGTGTCCAGAGTGCCTATTGGGGTCTCAGTATGTAGGCTTCATTGATTCAATGGCTATGGGATTGAACTCAATCTCCAGCCACATCCCCTCCCCGAGGCCAGACTTATAGGGGCTCAGAGCCCCAACTCTCTAGTCACATGTTGATCTTTCTGGTGTGACCAGCCCCCATCCCGAGTCTTCCTGTTAGCATGAATTCTGGTGTGGTCACAGGGGCCTACCATGAGTAACAAAGACATCCTATCACTCAGGAAATACCAAGGATTTAGAGGGTCCTTCCCAGGAACCGGAGACAAAGGCCAGCCAAATGCTCTATTGTACAATAAAGTCCAAGTCTCAACCTCAGAGTCTCTCACATGAAAGTCTTCTGCCACTCCCTCTGGTTCTTCACTCTTCTGAGACCAAGAAGAAGGAAGAGCACAGTTTGGGTTCCCAGGCTCCCCTGGAACCCACCCATCTTCAGACTCCCTAGCAATCCAGACACCTTCGTCTGCAGTGTCACCCCAGTCTCTGGGTTCCTTATTCTTTGCACGGTCATGACCTGAGCTCCCACGTCATTCCTCAGAGCCAGACTTGCCGCTTCCTAAACAACTATGCCGGACTCATGCACCTCAGTTTCCACAACTGGGTTCTGTTTCCAAAGCCTTTTGACAGGCCGCTCCCCTTCCACTCCTTCTCTGGTGCTGACTCCCAGAGCCCCTGCCTTAGTCATCTTGCAGTCCCATGGTCAGCCATGACCCCACTCGCTCATGCATTTGTCACTTTGCCTCCCTCAGTCTTTCTTCCTGGAAAGGCTTTCTCTGGTCATCTGAGTCCCACCCAGTCTCCCAAGGCTTTCTCAGCTGCTGTTTACCTCTTGGTGAATTTCGCAGCCTCCCTCACCCTACCACTGAAGCAGGTGTCCTCGCTCACTTGGCAGTCTGCTTTCAAGATCTGGACTTGACATCATACTATTGAGCTGCACACATTAGCTTCTGCCAGCATGGGGCCAGTCTTGGAAGAGCTGGGTGGTATTTTCACGCGTGCTGGCAGTCTCAGCTCTTAGGGAAGCAGCTCCCACACTGATGGTGCCCAGGAGTGATTCTCAGTGGATTTGCAGCTGGTTTTACATGGTAGACAATCTCCTTTTTTATTCTGATAAAACTCTTGGCTTTTCTTGAACTGTTAATATTTCTGCCTAAAAATAGATGCAAAATAACTAAATTTGCAATCATCTCCAAAAAATGAACTACAATAAAAACCTGACTTTTCCTCTAAGATTTAACATAAGGTTTGAGTTATGTGTCTTCTTCAAGTGTCCATTGATGGAGGTATTGATTAATCTATTCTCAATTGCCTGTGGTTCTGACATATGCCACAGTTAAACATCTCCAAATGACAAGGAAACAGAACTTCAGCATGCGAATGAAATAACCAAAAGATCTGACTAAATAGAACTGAAGACATGATTGTAAGCTCAGTCAGCATTTTCTTCTAATGGCACCAAGTAGCCCACAGTATTACCTGTGCATGCCTCATTATCTAGGCCAGGATAAAAGGACATTCACAATCTCTGGAGTGTCGAATTTCTCTTAATATTCACTTTGGTGGATGTTTCAGCTCCTTTTATTTTTTGATACTTACTTGTCTTCTAGAAACATCTTTTTAACTTATTTCATCCCAAGAATCTTTGACACGAAATAGGAAAAAAAAAATGTTCCAACACCTCTAGTGAGTCACCATCAACCAGAAATGAGATATTGCTTTATAAATTCTGCACCAGATCTTTGCATCAGAGCCAGCTTCGGCTACCAGGGCACCCACCATACTGCATCCATCTGGTGAGCTGGGTATCCGTGACACAGAGCAAGCCTGGGGAATGTTCACCTGCCCTGGCAGGCCAAACACAGGGGTACTGTATTCTGGGCTCACAGGAAACCACAGCGTCATCACAGCCACACTACTTTTTGGAAAAGGTGATACTCAAAATTATCTGCACTTCCCTCCTACGCTTCCTTCCAGAAAGCCCATTCCCCGAGAACAGTTGCAAACCACTGATGACTCTGATCAATGCATTGTCTTTTTAATTGAAAATTATGCAGAAACCCCTTGCATTTTAATGCCTTTTGTTGAAAGTAACTCAAAAATATGCCATTGAAAGAATATCCTGAGTGTAAACACATCTGTGAACCAGCAAAGACTTCCCAGGAGCTCCTGGAATCCTCATTGAAATAACAAGTCTCTATTTTGTGATCCTAACACCACCGGATGGGGTCAGGGTAGGTGTGCAAGACCTTGGATGTCCCTGGAAGTTCTTCTTCATGCTTAGTAAATTCCTTGGACCACCTTTCTCGTTGCCATTCACTTATTTCCAAATATTAGGGGAACACCTACAGGTCATCTCTATTCACAGGGAGTTCTAGGTGGCTGGTCTGTGCTGTCTGTGCTGCTGGGATCAGAGGTGTGCCTTGAAGCGTCCCTGAACCGTCAAGGTACCACATGCGCAGGAAGGAGGCTTGAGCTTTGCTTTTGGTTACAGGGCATATGCATAAGGGCTACTCAGAATTTAGGAGTTATATCTCTTCTCTTACTCCCAGCCTGTGATGCGTGAAATGTGACCTAGATTGTAATCCAGATTCTTCCAGGAACTCGTGGTGAGAAAGACCTCCAATGAGCTGCATATCTCTCTGTGTCTCAGTTTGCTTATCCATTAAATGGGTTTAAGAAGAATACCTACTGCACAGGGCAGTTGTGTGATTAAGAGGGATAATTATAAAACCGCTTGCCCCAGTGTAAAGATAAAGAAACAATAACTGTTGATAAAGACGATGTCTATTCTTTAATGCTTGTCTCCTAGTGAAAACAACTGGCTTCTCTTCCAATCATTTTGGCAGCTGACCCCAAATTCACCAAGGCAGACACTGAAATGAATGGAATAGAGAAATGAAAGCAATGGGTTCAGGGGTCAAAAGTGCTGCTGTACAAGGGGTGAGGACAGACAGCTCTCCAGCCACAGGGAGCCTTTGGAGCTACCATGGTCCCCAGGGAGCCAGGAGTGCGACTGAGCTCTCTTTCCTCGGTGCTATATCACCTGGACAGCACCTGATGTAGACTGAGGCTAGGGCCCCGTGGCCCCTTCTGAAAAGAAGATATAGCCATATTAGTTAGACCTGTTTATAATTTAAGAAAGCCCCTATAGCCACATGGCATTGCTCAACTATGGCCACAGTATGGGCAGAGCCCGCATCTATCCACCGCATCTAGGAAGTGCTTCTGCGTGGCCTTTCCTGTCCCCAGGCTCCTGTGCTCTTACTCCTAATTGCTTCATCCACTCAGCAACCCACAGAGAACCTGATGCTGGTCAGTTGGGGCTCCCCTTCCTGAACCATCATGTCAAACACGCAGCAGTCTTGTGACTGCCTTAGAGGGTACAACCTCCTGGACAGGTTGGTGACATTCTACAAGTTCACTGACTATCTTCATTTGGGCACAACCTTTTCTCTGATGCAAACTGGGCACGAACTTAAAAGAATATTGACTCAAAAGCCACCGGTATGCACTTTTCCCCAGGGACCTAATCCCCTTGGAGTGTCCCATGCTTCCCTCGTGCCCCAAAACATGATGCAACCCATGGGAAATCAAGTCACTTGCCAGTCACATGAAGGTCCCTTGCTATTCAGCCAGCACAAAGGTCTTTGTGCTGGTCAATCCAGCTGCAGGATTCTAGCTTTCCAAGAAGAAGCAAGTTGATGGGAGCAAGCACTGAAAGTGGAAACAGGCAGAAGCTTGTAGTGAGTATTTTCACACAGGGAAGATGGGGCTGGAGTGTTTTGGATGCCAAGGTAAGCAGACACACAAGCAGCCTGCTCATGCACGCACTCCTCACTTCATCAGCGCCCCAGGGAGAGGGAAAGGGGAGCTGGGCCCTGGGCCAGGGAACCAGAGCCGAGTTTCCGTCACTCACATGGAGCCAGCTCAACTCAAAGCTCCAGCTGCAGACAGCTTCCCAGGACAGCCCAACCTCAGGACAGCGGAGATGCTGGGTGGTAAGAAGCAGGCAGAAGGGAAGAGCAGAGTAACATTCATCAGCTTAAGGAGGACCCCCATCTTCCTGGATCATCTTTTCCAAAACTTAGAAAATGCAACACAAACCCTGGGGTTGCTAATATTTCAGGAGTCTGTATTTGATTTCCTCCACTTTTGTAAAGCAACATCAAAGTACTAAAATTGACCTTCCTATTCCTCCCAGAACAGGGTGTACTCCCCACCATTCAGAGGCAGAGCCAAACCGAGAATGAAAAACAGCATCCCATCGTCTGGTCCTGCCCAGCAACTTCATCCCAAGCTCAGTGAGATGCTGTCCCCAGAGCTGCAGCCGGGGAGACTCCTCCAGTTTCACAAGCACACCCTCTTGTAATTTCCACCTCTTTGGAGTAGCAACTTGGATAAATTGAAAATGGCACATGAAACATCTCTGTGCCTTTCAAAGGGAGGGAGCATCTCTAATGAGCTTTTGAAAGAAAGCACAGCATCGCCCAGTGGAAAGAAATGTGTAGTGACCACCCAGGCCTGCAGACGAGGCTCTACGATCAAGCGTGGATGCTAATTCCTGATTCCACCCAGTCTCACATTAATTCTCAGGAGTCAGAAGACCTACAAATGTACTCAGGGCATCCAGAGAGAGGCAGAATGCTGCTGGATTGGACACAAAGGACCTGGTCTCTAATTCTAGTGCCACTTATTTCCTTCTTCCCCCAGGTCCGCGACTCTGGCTTTGAGACAGCTGCTTTCCCAACTCTCATTCATGGGAAACCCACCCTAGCTGAGCTTCCCACCTCAGAGCAAACTGGAGAGAACCCATGCCAAGTGCTTCAGCAGTCGCGGGGATGAGAGTCCTACGCAAATATGAAATGTGGCATGCAGTCTCACAGAAGAACATGTTCTCACCAAGGATTGTTACAGAGAGCTGCCTTGTTCAAAGGTCCAAAACGGCTTTGGCAAAGGGTATCTTTCTTTCCATATTTGGCCAGAAATATGAGCTGACAGCAAATGCTATGATTTTGAAATACATGGCATATTATTTTTGCGAGATAGTCTATCTTTGGTGGTATATTCCACAGCTGATATCCAATACTGTTAAATGTTGAAGTCAGAAGACTTTAAACCAAAATAGGAGATAGCAATTAAGTAATGCTGTGCCCAATCTGTTGCCATTGGAGGCTGGTGCATTATCACTGGTTAAAGAGCAAGTGGGGAATTTGTAACAAATATTAGTCACGAGGCTAACCCATCAGGCTCACGTGGGAGAAGGAAAAAGGAAGAGGCTATAGGATCAGGATGTCTCTCTCCCCTGTCTGCAGATGTTATAAATGGATCTGGCCCTAAGAAACAACTTCTTGTTTTAAGATGTTCTAGGGCGGCCTTGGCAGGTGAGTGGAGATTTAAAGTCAAGAAACATAGAATTTTGTGCATTATTTGACAGATTTTTTGACCATGTCTGAATTCAAAATGGCCCCAGTTAGACTGGTGCTTTGGAAGTCCATTTTGTTTAAGATGAGGATATTGAAAGAAATTCACAGGCACAATTTTCTCAAGTCAAAAATATAACCTGATGAGTAGCAACTATATGGGAGGAAAATGGGGTAAACACAGAGTGGTCTTCATAGTGCTGAGATCTGACCTCACCCCCACCCTACACTCTGTGGGGCAGCTCTGGACTGCAATTCTGCCTGCTTGCCACTGAGGCATGACCAGCATCTGTAGAAGGCAAAAAGTGTCTGCAAAATGAAAGAGCCACTGTGACAAGGTGGCTCTGTCATTTTGCAGACACTTTTTGACACAGAAAAAGCTCTGGCTGCAGACTTAACATGAACAACCAGAGGCCAGCAGGGCCAGCACCACCTCCACTCCAGTCTGGTCTGAGTGGTCATGGGGGCTGAGGCTGTGATAGCTGACTCTTCATGAAAGCATCTGTCAAGGGGACAGTGTGGATTTTGCTAGATTGAGATCTGGTCAAGGGTCTCCATGCTGAAGGATGAATTATACTTTCTTTTTGTGTGGGTTTTTCTTTTTTTCTGGACAAACAGATATCACACAGAGTTTTGGAACAATCCTAACACACCTTTGGACTTTTGGATGAATAAAGTTCTCTACCTACAAGTCAGCATAGCACAATGAAAGCAGTAAGGAAGCCTTGAGTTTCCATCGTTGGATTCGGACTTCATGGTGAAATGCAAGTAGGTCACTTGCCTAAGTACAAATATGTGATCTCAATGTTGGCCAAAAAATGGGCAAAACTTCCTTAGGAAGCAAGGGTGAGAGGAATGGGGTCTGAGAGCTAATCCAGAAGCCCAGAATTCAGCCCAGGATTGCAGGGGCCCGCAGGCCTTTGAAAACGACTGGACTTCTCAAGGCTCCCAGGTCCTGGCCAGGTTGAAATCCCTGAGGACCATGGCCGCAGAAGAGTACAATGATGGGATGGCGTAGGGTAGGTCCCTGGCAGAAACCAGTTGATATTTGTTTCTTTATAATGTAGAATATCAAGATTGGGAGCAGAGATTCTCAAGCTTTGCTCACACCAGAATTCCCTGGGCAGCTCTGAAAGATCCCCAAGCCCAGGTGTCCCATCAGACCCACGGAGCCGGAATATGGAGGGGCCCAGGCATTAGACCTACCTTTCTCACCCACCATGAGATTTCACAGGGATAAAAACAACCTGTGCATGTATAAGCAGGTTAACTCTCATCAGGTTAAATCAAACCTAGAGGAAGCAAATGACAGACATTTCCTGACCTCCAACCCCCAGGCACTTTTCTTCAGATGATAATGAGTCATTGCCGAGCGAGTGGTACTTCATTCCCCACTCACCTTCCCACAGGGACACCGATGCAGTCAACCCTGTCCTCCTGTGCCATGTGGGTGTGAGGTGGGGAGGCAGAGATCACTTCTCCCCTGGCCTGCTTCTCATCTGTCCTTATGTCCTCAGACACATATGAAAGACCCTCCTGAGAACAATGCCAGGCTGCACACAGCAAATTCAGCAGCTGAAACAAGGCTCGACCATCAAGCTTAGGAAGCACTTAATCAAACGTCTACACCTCTGCTCCATGCTTTTCAGGGAGCCCACACGTACACTGCACAATAATGGGAGGATGAGGGGTAGGTAGCCGTTTGATCACTTCTGTGCCAGAAAGGAGGCACCATGCTTTCACACAGAAGATCCAGAGGAGGGGGGACCCTTGTCCTCCACCACTGCCAATCAAAGAAATGCGGAGGAGTGGAGATTGGTGAGCGCTGGGAGTGGGATTTGAAGCTGGACCTGCTGACGCCACCCCAGCATTCCCTCCACCGATTCTCAGAGCCACCCTGCGGCTAGTGCCCTAGGCCCTGACCTCTGAGAAGGTACTTCCAAAGGCCTGCTGATCTCATCTGAGTGAAAACATTTTTCAGGAGTTCACAAACTCCTTATCTGGCTGGGCTGCCTTTCCATAGGGCCAAGCATGAGAAAGGTCAACGCTTGTGGTGGGTTTTGCCGTGGGATTAATCCAAATAACAAAATAATTGCCCTGCAGTCACAAGACCTGGCCTCTAGTCAGGAGGCTGAGATTCGAATCCTGATTCAGGACACGCCAGCCTTTTAAATCTCAGACGACTAGAGACAGGGCCTGCATGTCCCAAAGACCTTGGGGTTGCTCAGAGGAGTTAGCACCCTAGAGGAAGATCCTTGTGAGATCCTCTGGCAGGCCTGATACCTGGAGCCTGCCTCCCTCACACCACACACCTGCACTTTCCTTCCCAGCATCTCTCCTGTCCCTCACACCCACTTTCCAGCCAAGCCCCCAGCACCCTACTGTGGCCTGGCCAGGGCTCCACCGAAACCGCCAGCTCAGGCAGATCCTTCCATGTGGAAACTTCCCTTTCCAGCCCTCCTTAACTTCTGAGTAGCAGTCCCAAGTCCCAGCCCTAGAAAGTGATGTGATGGGCTGCTTTGCACTGAGGTGTTAATGACTGACACCAGAGATTACAGTTGCAGAGGACCACAGTTGTCAAACGGGCCATCTCCAATTACAGCTGAGGAAACCAAATGCCCACACACAAAGAGTTCTGTCCCTAGTCACACATCCAGCTGGAGCCAGAAGAACCTCTTCAAGGAGCTCTCAAATCTCAGGCCCCCATTCCTTCCATAGATAAGCCTGCCAGCTGGTGCAGCCTCTTTAACCAGCCTCCCACCCAAATGCAAAATGGTGAGCTGAGGATTCTGCAGCGCTTTTTCCACTAAGGCAGGGACAGACAACTTTCCCCTCTGCAGCCTCCGTATCAGGAGATGAAACCAGACTTGGACCTCAGCATCTGGGTTCCTGATACCAGCTGGGGAAACACCGTGCAGAATGTACATAAAAACTCCAGAGGCCCAGAGGAGCTGACCCTGGTTTCACGCTGAACCCCTTACCAGGCATGACGCGTGTATGGACCTTTGGGGGCCCATCTGCATGAGCAGCATTTGCTCTGCAAACAACAGAGAAGCCTTGCCCGTTTGCAAGCATGTGGTGCACACGTGTTTGCTGGCAGGGGTGTCTGCACATGGCCTGCTGAACAAACACATCTTAAGACTTAAAAAAAAAAACTGGAAACTGTCATTAATAATCTGATTTTTATCTTTATAGGGCTTTGGCCCCAAAGGTATCAGGCTTCCCTATTATCACATTTCAGTCAAGCTCACAGCCCGCACTTGACATGTTGTTTAATCTTGGCACATCAAAGGGAGGGCTCTGCTACATTTGTTGCTATTGTTACCAGTGCCTGAATCCATCTGCACTCCACCCAGAAACCTACTGCTCCAGACACAGGAATTCCACCCGCTTCCCACCTCAAGGCTCTCAGATACTTCAAAGCCATTTCCTTAAATAAATAAATAAATAAATAAATGAATAAGAGAAAAGGGAAGAGAACAAGGGTAAAGTTTTTATTGTTTGTTTTCCGAAATGTTTCACTTCATTAAAATTGTAGAAGTCAGATCCGATATGCCTTGGGGTGTCCACATATGAAAATGGCCATCCTATTTTACTCTTACAATAAAAACAGAACACTGTATGTTTATGTGAACTTTCAGAAGCTCAGAATATTCTGGAAACTTCTAAACGACAGAAAAGTGTGGTCATATGCCGTCACTCTATTAGAAACGTGTGGCTCAGAACTGGCGCAGAGTAAGACAAGACTGTCTCCTGACCCACTGCACTCAGTGTGAGGTCACTTTGTGTGAGACGCTGTCACCATCTGCAGTGACCCCAGCAGGAGCCAACAAGGCCACAGGGGCAGGCCCTGGGCCCGCGCACTCCTCGATGGTTCTCAGTTCTTGCATGGCGACCCAGCAATCCCTCCTCACGCACCATGGGAGGTCACACTATGTCCACCTCCAAGGCCTGCCAGGATTCCCTTGGCCCCAGCTGGGAGAGTCTCCCCCGTCATTGTCCGTACTGCTTCAGGCCACTGTCCACCCTGGATCATGTGCCTTTGCATACAGTCCTGTCTCCCTCTGAAAACAATAGGATGTCAAGACCTAAGTGTCCAATTCACGCCACTGTCCACCCTGGATCATGTGCCTTTGCATACAGTCCTGTCTCCCTCTGAAAACAATAGGATGTCAAGACCTAAGTGTCCAATTCACGCCTTAAAAGACAATAGCTGTGAAACACCTGGGTCAGAAGAGCACTCAAAAGAAACGGGGTGGAGCTGCTCACAGCCATCACTCTGAGCACCTAAGGATTTGGTCAGGATCGCTTCAGCCCAGCCCCCATGGCAGAAGGTGACACTGCCCAACCCCAGGCCGAGAGGGATGGGGGCCTCCATGAGACCACTCTGGGAACATGACACATGTCCCTTACAGCGTGAGGACCTGGTGGCCAGGGGTCTAAGGATGCCCCTCACCTCCCACCAGGGAAATGTGTAGGGCGAGAGCCAGAGGAGCTATCTTCCAGTTCCTATATGGAAGGGCCTGCAATCCCACAGGTCAACTGAACCTCGGGGGCCATAGAGGGGTCCCGAGGGACCAGAATCAAGACACATCACCTTGAAGAGCTCCAGAAAGGCTGGATGGGGACTGCAGACACCACCAAAGCCCTGTGAGCACTTGGCCTCCTCACAGCAGCACCAGTTCAAGGAAGACTTATGTTTCCCGTGCATTTGCTCCCTTCAACCACCCTGAACTCTCCAGAAAACTTGGGGGCTGGGGAGGATGAAGAGGAGCCCATGAGAAAAAAATAGAAAAAGTGGTCCCCGCCCAGATTCCCACTCCTGACTTCCACCCTGAAAATAAATATGAACTGTTCTTGCGGCTGAAAGTGACCGAGGACTGTTCATAACCTAAGAGGGAAAAGACGGCTCAAGGGGCCCGCCGCTCTTCATTCCTGCAGGAGAGCCACCTCCTCCCCTCCTGAAGAAAGTTTAAATGGCTGTGGACAAAATGCAAAATTGTATCTTCATTACAATTTACTCAACATACAAGTTACATTTATTTCGGGCACAATGACCAGGACAATTTGCTCATGGCTAAATTTCAGTAAATATTGTTGAAGGAACAGGTTTATTCTCCCAAAAATGAAACACCTAGGTTAGATCATGGGCAAAACACCACCTTCAGGGTACGTAGTTCTGAGGATATCATAGCCATAAAATGCTGCCCACTTGGTCCCCTCCTCTGGGACAAGCTCCTTGTCATCCTTCAGGGTCAGACTCCAGGCTCAACTGCCAATGCCCCCAAAGGCAGGCCAGGCTTCTCCTCCCTGAGGCATAATAACAACAATAATCACAGCAAGAGCTGTAGCCACGGCCTTCCTGTGCTCAGGGCTCTGAGTTCAGCCTCCAGGTGGAGACTTCCTGGATGCCTAGCCTGGGAGGGAGGATGCCATTAGCCCATTTCACAGGTGAGGATATGGGCACGCAAGAGAGCAGAACCTGTTTACAAACTCTGTCCGTTATGATAAAAATGTCCAAAGTCATTATGAAATGAAACAAATGCATTTCATGCATGGACTGAAACTGACACTTACCACACAAAAATATCCCCCCACTGAGAGTTTGCCTGCCGTCAGCCCAAGTGTCCATGGGACAGAACCGCAGAAACTCGAGCTGTTTCTCTGCCTCAATAACCACTGTTATCATTGTTTGTTCAAAACAAATGTTAAACACAGGGACACCAGGGACGTGTATGACCCCAGGGCGGTGTGGGGAGGGGAATCGCAGGCCATACCTGCAATGAACTGAGAGGGTCCTAGGCTGTTATTAACTCCCACTGGAAACAAACTCGTGTGTCTGACCAACTGTACAACTGGGAGTTCTTCAAATTTACTTCCCTGCAGAATACATTTATTAAAGTGTAGGTAGAATAAGGTGCCAGTTTGAGGCTTACCTATATATTATTACAATTCAACAGTAACCACTGGAGCCATTGTTTGGAACACAAATGTTTTTCCAGGGAGAAGTATTTTATCACTGGCATCACTCAGAATCCCTGGTGCATGGTGACGATAAACAGAAGACAGAAGACAAACTGGTTGGCCTTATTTTTGTTTTGGGATTCTCTAAAGACAATGAGCACCCTCACTGCCCACAGGGAGGAGGAGAGGAGGAGACCACGCCCCTACTCCACCCTGCCCTTAGCGTGCCACTGCCCAAGGTCACCGGGAGCAGGAGCAGAGCCAGGACGGAGCCCAGTGGTGTAACTGGGACTGTGGGTGCCACGCCCAGTCCACGTGGCCTTCCCTAGGAGCCTCCTTCCACCACGGCTCACAGTCCTTTTCGGGGTCACATCCCAAATAACCTCCCTGCACCCAAGTCACAGCCCTGGGTCTGCTTCTGTGGAAAACCCAAACTAGGACAAATGGGTTTCTCCTGTCGATGTCCATGAATGCTCTGATCTGGAGAGATCTTCACAAAAACCCACAGGCACCTGCTGTTCTTTGTGAAGACCTCTCCAGATCAGAGCATTCATTTTTATTTGCTTTCCTATGGTAATCTTTTTAAAAATTACTAAAAGCACACTCTGTAACCACATGATCCAGCAATTCAACTCCTCGGCGCATGCCCAGAAGAAGTGAAAGCAGGGACTCAGACACATATTTGTACACCCATGTGCGTAGAAGCATTAATCACAATAGCCAAGATGTGGAAACAAGGCCGGGCATGGTGGCTTACGCCTGTAATCCCAGCACTTTGGGAGGCCCAGGCAGGTGAATAACCTGAGGTCGGGAGTTTGAGACCCACCTGGCCAAGGTGGCGAAACCCCGTCTCTACTAAAAATACAAAAATTAGCCAGGTATGGTGGTGCATGCCTGTAGTCCCAGCTACTCAGGAGACTGAGGCAGGAGAATCACTTGAACCCAGGAGGTGGAGGTTGCACTGAGCCGATATCATGCCACTGCACTCCAGCCTGGGTGACAGTGTGAGATTCTGTCTAAAAAAAAATGGATATGGAAACAACTCAAGTGCCCATTGAGGGATGGGTGGAGAAACTAAATGTGGTACATCCATGCAATGAAATATTGTTCTGCCTTAAAAAGGAAAAAAAAAATCCTGTGATAGGCTATGGGACTGAAGCTTGAGGACTTATGCCAAGTGAAATAAGCCAGTCACCAAGAGGACAAATACTGTGTGATTCCACTCCTGTGAGGAACGTAAAGTAGTCACATTCATGAGCCAGAAAGTAAAATGGTGGTTGCCAGGAGCTCGAGGAGGGTAATGGGGCTCTGTTGCCTAATGAGTAAGGAGTTTTAGTTTTGGAAGATGAGAAAGTTCTGGACATGGTGGGTGGTGATGGTAGCACAACAGTGTGAATGAAATGAATGCCACTGAGCTAGCTGTGCACTTGAAAATACTTACAATGGCAAATTTTAGGTTATATGCATTTTACCACAATTTTTTTAACTAAAAAGAAAAAAATGTAAAAAGCCCATTTTGGATCATGTGATGTAAGTAAGCAGCCCTGGGCACTGTCCGTGACCTGAGAGCATGACTCGGGGTCACAGTCGATAGGATCACTCAGAGGCAAAGGTCAGTGCTCAAGCCAAAGGACACTGCTGATTAGTGGAGGGAATGCATCTTCCCCAGGGTTCAAAGCCGAGGTCCGGCCCTGCCAGCTCAAGACACCCAAGCACACAGTGGGACTGCGGCCTCTCTGCAGCTGACACCGAGTGCCTACATATGACTCATCTGTCACAATCAATTAATGCTGCTGATTTGACTTTCTTTGGTTTTAAGGTCTGTTTGCTATTAACTTGTAGAAGTGTTTGCTTTTGTAACTGTAAATGCTACAAGCCTATCATAGAATTATAGAAGTATGCAGAAACTTCTGCTTTACATATATATCTTAGTTTGGGCTCCCCCAAAACCTCTGAGACAGGATTCTAGATGCCGGGGAGAGAGGCAGTCCTGACAATGAGCTCCTGGGTGGAAGGGGTCCACGCTGCTTTAACGAGCCATTTCTGGGTGAATCCAGAGGCCTTCCCTGACCCTCACAGCGCTGCTCCTGGGGAAAGGAAGGGGGATCCTGCACTGTGCCTGGGTCCCTCCCCACAGGCCTGCAGGTTGACATCCACTGGGGCAAACATTGAGGTTCTGGTGAAGGCGGCAGTTCTCAAACAGGAGAGGGCATCTAAACCCCCAAGAAGGTCTATTCCCACATGAATTATGAGCCCTGCCCAGGAGTCTCCAGTTGAGTTGGGGGCAAGGGAGACTGAAGGTCTAAAATTTTGGCAAATTCTGGAGTGAAACTGCTGCTCTTCCCAGGACGTTCCCTTGAAAACCCCTGGACTGGGTCAGCTGAAGCCCTCTGCCTGGCAACCTCTGCACTGAACTCAGTCCCTTGGCCAATCCCGAGTCATTTGCTGCCATCCCAGACACGTGTCTTCACCTGCACTCTGCCGCGTGTCCTTGCAAATGGGAAGACCTTACAGGTGGCTTTAAGAACTGAATTAAATTCAAGAGTGTTTGGAAGGGACCTGCTCCCTGTAGCAGCTCAGTGCATAGCACGGTGACACCAGTTGGTGCTGATGCCACCCCCGGGACAGAAAGGGGGGCCCTCCACAGAGGCCAGGACAGTGACGTCAGCTTGGCCGAGAGGGTGCTGCCCTCCTGATGCCACATGGATAAGCGTGCCTCATGGCAAACTGACTTATTTTCATAAGAAAACAAACAGGCCTGCATTATGGACTAGAGTGCTGAAAATGTGCCCACATTTTGAAGATGAACAAAACTTCAAGAAAATAAAAGATTTCTGCTTGTGGCTGGCCTCTTGGGAGTATGCCCCATATCCCAGTCTCAGTTTTGTGACTGGTGAGGTCTGAGGACTGTGGCCAGGAGGCTGGAGGAGAAGGGAATTGTTTTCTGTAACTGGACTACCAGGCTGAGTCCCTCGGGCCCTGTCAGGAGATGCTGGTCCCGGTAGGGAGGGAGAGTCCAGGGGGGCTGGGAACCAGCAGGCTGGGGGCAGCTGAGCTCCCCATACCCACTCAGCTCATCAGTTGGCAGAGGGGTGCTCCATCCAAATCCTCCTACCCCTGATGTCAAACCTTGGTGGTGCTCAAACTGTAGCTCCCTCCAGGTCCTGGAGGGCTGTTAAAGGACACATCCCACCAGCTTCTGCTCAGCCCAGGTCAAGGTGAGACCCCTGACTCCAAATTTCCAACCATTTCCATGGAGGTCGATGCTCCTGGCCCAGGGCCCACAATTTGGGAACCACTGGTCTGACCTAAAGGCGTCACCAACCGCACTCCAGCTGCTTAAGAAGAGCTTCCAGTCCCCCGGGCAACTGTTCCAGGGTAGCAAAGAGTAGAGGGAGTTCTGGGCCTTCCTCCCTGGTCACACCTGCTCCCAGCCTGCTCTCAGCCTGTGCGGAAGCTCAAGGGACCAGATGGGAAGCTTGACACTGCCTGGGGCCTGGGCTGGGAGCAGCCATTGCAGCCCCTCCCAGTACCAGGTGTCCTATTGCCGAGGGCATCCCAGGCAGCCTGCTCCCTTCCCTGGGCCTGGCAGCCCTGCTCCCCGAGCCACATCAAACAGAAACGGGGTCCCCCAAAGCTGCACGCACTGCTTACCCTTTGGCCTCTCGCTCACCTGACTGACTCCCAGTCCACAGATTTTCCCTCTTAAACATTCTGTGTTTTTTTGAGGGGAGGAAGGTAAGTATGCTTGGGAGGGGATATGACCTGGGATTTGGTCTTGGCCTGGTGGGCAGAACCCCTCCAGACCCCCATACAAAATAAACCTGCACATGATCCTAAAAAAGTAAGTATTCTAATAGGGAAAAAAGTCCGACCTAGTTCCCTGAGAGGAGTATTAAGCCCCACAACCTGCATCTTCCCCAGCAGGCAAATGCCCCTTCAGATGAAGCAGTCCCAGGACAGCCAGGCCCTGAATTCAGATCCTACCAGATCCCTGGGGTGCAGTCAGTGAGGCCTCAGCTACTCACCAGATTCCAGGTTCTCCTCCCTGAAACCCGGGAGATCTGGACACTTCAAAGCACACACACTACTACATAAGCGGTTCTGGTCACAGGGGATGCAGGTGTGACCTGACACTAGCACAAAAGCTCTGCAGAGCAGTGGGCTCACCCACCCCGCCCTGCCCCACTCCACCTCACTCACCGGGGAAGTCACCTGGACCTCCAAAGAAGCTGGAGCAGGGTAACCTGACCTTTAAGCCCACTTTCCTATCAATTAGGCACCAGTTGGCACTTCCTCCTGCTCCTGCTCCTTGCTGGTTCTGCAGAAACAACGCACAGAGGTCTCAAGTCCAGCCCACTTTGTGAGGGCAAAGACAACTCTTACATACACACATTCACACACACATGCACACACACAGACACACATACACAGGCACACATGCACACACACAGAGGCACACACACACAGGCACACACATCCCATACAGACACATACACAGGAACACATGAGCACATGCACACACATGCATACAGAGACAGACACAGACACACATACACACACAGGCTCACATGCACACACACACACAGGGGAGAAGTTGCACAGCAATTGCGTAGGCAGGTAAACATGTTCAAACAGGCAAGGCACTAGAGCACAGGTCAGGAAGCACCACAGTGACTTAGACCAAGCTCTGGCTCTCCCAGGCTCTGTGACCTTAAGCAAGTCACTTGAAGTGTCTGCATCTCAGTTTCCTGGCAAACACTATTGAAACAGAATGTTCAGAAATCAGATTCCTCCTGCAAGAGCCATTCTCAGGTAACTATTATCAAAAAGTCAACTCAGACATCTGAGGCCTAAGGAATCAGAACTGAGCTGGAGGAGGTAGGGGGCTCACAGCCCTGCCCCGACTCCCCAGGGAGCTCTCCTGGCTGCCTTTGATTGGAGGCCTCTGAAAATCTGTAAGAAAACTTTAGTTTTTGGAGGAACCATCTGAAAAAGTTATTTTGACCAAACCCTGTGTGTGAAAGAGAGCCATGATCTGCTCCAGGCCCCGCCACAGGTTGTCGTCATGAAAGATGGAAGACCCCAGCTTTGCAGAGCTCAGCCATTCAAGCCTTACAAGGAGCAGTGCACGTGGGGCCATGAGGTTCCAGAAGCAGGACCTCCCAGGGCTGCAGCTGGATCAGAAGAGGCATCATCCATGAGATGGGATGACCCCGCACCCTGGGTGGGGGTCAACCAAGCAGATGGGGTCCCCCTGCAGTGTGGGTGTGGTGTCACAGGTGTGGTGTCAGAGGCAGGCAGCCTGGCTTGAGCCCTGCCCAGGCACAGGCCCATGGTCAATCTCTTCATCAGCAGAATCTCTTGCCCTTAGTCCCAGAGCTCCGATTTTGTTCTGAGCATCGCTGTGTCTCCAAGCCTCACTTGCCAACTCAGTGCGGCCAACTGACAACATCACAGCCAATGGGATCAAAACCAAAGTGTTGAGGGAACTTCTAGAAAGTCTCCTGAAAAAAGAAGGGATGCTCCTTGTTCCTCTCTTTCTCCTTCCTGCTGCCTGAAATGCAAACAAAAGGTCTGGGGCATCAGAAGTCATCTTGGCCCACGAGGTGACAAAGCAGGAGGGTGTCCTGGGTGAGGACAGACCCTGGCTGTGTCTCCCACTGAGGGGAGGCACAGGCAATGGGCTTGAGGTCGGTGGCAGGGACAAGAACTTGGATGCTCTCCTGACCCTCAGCTCTATGGGATTCTCTCTGCCCAAGCTCCCCACTGGGTCCCAAGCCCAGCCTGCAGAAGCACTCCCTGTGCCCCTGCCTAGACTGCTGGTTCTCTTGTGTGCACTGGCGAACTCCCACCCAGGCTCCTAGTCACTACTGTGCTGCCGTAACTGATACCCCACATCCTGTTCTTTTATATGCATTTGATGATTTTCTGTTAATATGTTTCATCAATTACCAAGAGAGAAGTGCTAAGTGTCCACCTCTAATTGTGAATTTGTTCATTTCTCCTTTCAGTGCCATCAATATTGCTTCATGTATTTTGAAGCTCTATTGTTACATGCCTACACACTTAGGAGTGTCACGGCTTCTTAAGGAATTGATCTTTTTTTTTTGCTTTTAAATTTAACAGAGTTTAAGTGAGCAAAGAATGATTCCAAAATTGGGCACCACCCTAACCAGAATGGGTTCAGAGAGACTCCAGGGCTGCCAGATGGTCAGATAATATTTATGCACAGAAAAAGAAAAGTTTTTTTATCATTATATAGTGTCTCTCTTTATCTCTGTTAATTACCATACTCTGACTTTTCATTTGTCTAACATTAATCTTGCCATTCCAGCTTTCTATTGATTAGTGTTTACCTGCTATATCTTTTTTCTTTCTTTTACTTTTAATTTACCTGTACCACTGTATGTTAAATGGATTTCTTGTAGCCCACATTTGGTTGAATCTTTCTTTAATCGATGTGTTTAAGCCATATGCATTTAATGTCATTATTGATATGTTTGGATTTAGGGCTACCACTTTCTTATTGTTTCCTGCTTGTTTCATTTTGGTTTTATTCTTCTGTTTCTCTTTTTCTATCTTCTTTTGAATTATTTGAATATTTTTATAATTCAATCATAATTAACTTATCTATTGGGTTTTGGACTGTATCTCCTCCTATAGTTGTTGGTGGTTGCTCTAGGGATTACAATATGCATGCCAATTGTTCATAGTCCACTTAGGATTAATATTTTACCACTTAGAGTGGAAATGCAGAAATCTCATCACCACATACTTCCTCATACCCTCCCCACTTTCCACTGTAGTTGTCACATGTATCTATAGCCACTGAAAACTCTCATCAGACAATGTTAAAGCTTTTACTTTCAGCCATTATACATATTCTAAAGAACTTAAAATATTCTACTAAAAATAGAACTTAAATAGACTTAAGAACTTAATAAGAATTTAAAATAGACTACTGTATTGACTTGGATGTTTATGATTTTATGACCCTTCTTTTTTATTTCTAAAGTTCCATGCTTCCCTCTGTCATCATTTCCCTTCCAACAGAACAAGTACCTTTATATTTCTTTCAAGGAAGTGATTCTCAATTGAGTGCCATTTTGCCTCCAAAGTGCAATGTCTGCAGACATTTTTTATTGTCACAACTTGGTGAGAAGGATGCTGCTAACCATCCTATACTGTATGGAGCAGCCCACCACAATAAGGCATTATCCAATCTCAAATGTCAACAGGTTGTTTCAGAGAAAGTCTGCTGTTAACAAACTCTCTTAGTTTTTCTTCACCTGACAATGTCTTTATTTTGCCTTTATTTCTGAAGAATAATTTTGTCGGATATAATACTCTGAGTTGACAGGCTTTTTTTTTCCTTTCAGTAACTTTAAAAATGTTATTCCATTACCTTCTGGTCTGATAAAAAGTTTGCAATCTTTCTGATAGTTTTTCCCTCATATATAATGTGTTGTTTTTCTTTGGCTTCTCTCAATTTTTTTTATCTTTAGATTTAAAGTTTGATTATGATGTATCTGGGAGTGGATTTCCTTATTTTGTCCTGTTTAAGGTTTGCTCCATTTCTTGAATTTGTATGTTTATGTCTTTCACCAAAATTGGATGTTTTTACCTATGATTTCATCAAATGAAAAAAGAAGTCTATGGGGCATTTTTCTTCTGTCCATTTGGGACTCTGGCATAAATAGTAAACCTTTTAACCTTGCTCCACAGTTCTCTGAGGCTCTTATTTTATTCTCTGTTGTTTATAAAGCATAATTTCTATTGTTCTATCTTCAAATCAACTCCTCTATCATCTCTTTTGCTATTGAGTCCATCAATGGATTTTTAAAATTTCTGTTATTGTATTTTTCAGTTCTAAAATTTCCAATTTGTTCTCTTTTTTATACCTTCTGTTTTTCTGTAAGACTCTTTATATTTTTGCTTCTTCCAAGAATGTTTGCTCTTCTTCTTGAAGCATGTTATAATGGCTACTTTAAATGTCTCTGATCATTCAAACATCTGGATATCTTGGGTTTGGTGTACGTTCATTGTTCCTCCCAATGAGAATTTGTCAGGCTTCCCTGGTTTTCCTTATGTTGAGTAATTTGGGGCTGTATGCTGAACATTTTGAATATTGTTATAAAGTTATGAGCCTTCATACAACGTATGAAGAATGTTGGGGTTTTGCTTTTTGCTTTTGTGGGCAGCTAATGAATGTGATTTCAAGATGTATGTTCTAATATGCTTTGTATAAGCTATGGTTCTAATGTCAGTTTAGTTTTCAAAGACTTTCCATTGTTCTTTAGATCAGTTTTATGTGTGCACCACTCATTACAAAGACTGAATCCCAGGAAGTGGTCTACTCCATAGTTCTCAAAACCTTTAGCATGCTGTTTGGGGTCAGATCCATGCATACTCAGCTTGGAGCAAGCCCAAGAGTTCATATACAATTGGTGGGTCACTTTCTTGAGCTTCCCCTTTCTGGAGTTCCTCCTCACTCTTTTGCGTCCAGGGATCTGCTTTCTTGGCCCTCTGCCTAGAAATCTGAGCAGTTTAGTTTCCTGGTTCTGCTATACACTTACTGCAAGTGTGTATATGTGCAGAGTCAAGCAGCAGGAGGCTACAGAGACAAAAAAAAATGCAACAGAGATTCCACCACACTCTTCAGACATATTCCTCTGATGAAAAAGATTCTCCTTCCTCAGAGTTTTGGGTGCCTACCCAAATCCACTGTCACCACTGTGACAGCTGCAGCTGCAGGCATGAGTTTCCTTGGGGGACAAAGGATGTCTTCCACTCTCTCTGCTCCTTTCTACTCCTCAGGCCAGAAAGTCAATCCTTTCTTTGAAGCTCTTCCTGTTCTTGCCCAGTGCATTATTCCAGGACCCATGCTGCCCTGGGGTGTATGCTGGTAGAAAAAAAACAAAACAAAACAAGAAACTCACCACTAGATTTATCATACTTCAAACCATCTGATTTTCTTTCCCAGTATGCCTGCTACCCTTTGCTTTTCAGACTCTTTAGAGAGCCGCACCATTTACCTTTCAGACTCCTCAAATAGTTGTCCCATGGATTCTCTCCAAGATTTTAGCTGTATTTTGTGGGCGAGAAAGAGTAGAGTGTGTTTTCTCCATCTTAACGAACCACAATTGCCCTATTGCTGTCTTTTGACTATGAAAGTTTTTAAAGTACTAATTCGAGAAATAATCTTAGAGAAAATATACTACACTCTTTATGCAAATTATCAAAAGGAGAAATAGTTTCTAATGTCATTTCAACATCAGAGATCCACATATAGAATGTTAGACCTGAGAGGCACCTTGCATTCATCCATTCTGTCCCTCATAGGTCCTTTTTCTCTTTGCCTTCTCAAATAGGAGATATTTGAGGTACGTGTGTGTGGTGGGGGTGTTGTGTATTTACTAGAAGAACAAAATTTGCAGACGTACAAACTATACTTGGTAACTTTTGTTTTGTTTTGTTTTGAGATGGAGTCTTACTCTCTTACCCAGGTGGGAGTACAGTGGCGTGATCTTGGCTCACTGCAACCTCCGACTCCCAAGTTCAAGTGATTTTCCCACCTCAGCCTCCCAAGTAGCTGGGACTACAGGCATGCATCACCATGCCCAGCTAATTTTTGTATTGTTAGTAAAGATGGGGCTTCACCATGTTGGCCAGGCTGGTCTCAAACTCCTGACCTCAACTGATCCATCCATCTCTGCCTCCCAAAGTGCTGGGATTACAGGCGTGAGCCACCACACCCAGCCAATACTTGGTAACTTTTATCTAATGTGTGCCACATTTTGCATTCTCAATCCTGGTTAATTGTATAATTACCCAGAAAGTTGCACAAATTCCAAAATCTCCACCACTATAAACTCTCACCTCAGCATCAGCTCATGCCCAGCCAGCCACAAGTATATTTTATCCAGTTGCAGAAATGCCAGCTCTCCTGCTCGCTCCACCACTGAACCAGCCTCATAGCCTCCCATATTCCAACTTCCCTCCCAATGAGTTTTCCACACTGTCATCAAAGTCCCATCGCTAACAAAAATATGGCCATGCATTAAAACACCTCTAATTAAAAGTCAGTGTTTCTCCCTTGCTTGCTTGCAAATCTCATAAATGTGCATACTCCTTTTAAGAGAAAAAATAATGTTCTTAAATCTTTAGTGTTGCCTCAAATTATATCACATGATTAGTGTTATTCTTATTTGTATTTACATTCAAATGAAAACTGTATATAAGCACATTATTCTTATACTCTTACTTAGCTATAAAAGCAAATATAATTTCATACAAATACAAACTATAAAACCAATAATATCATATTAAAGTCATTTATTTAATGTGAATAATGATGTTGTTTACTCTAACTAAATGACTGATAATAAGGATAAAAATGTGGCTTCAGGTCCAATTCTATATTTAATGTTTAGCTTTATTTGTTAATAATAATACCATTAAGAATGCTTGGTAAATGAAAGAATAATAAGCTCTTGAAGGCTTTGTTCATTAGTTTTCAACAATCACATCTCATAGTTAACCAAAAATGCCAGCCACCCATCCTCAAAAATCACTTTTATTGGAATGTTACTTGATAAATTAGTCAAGTTGACTTGTTCACTTGAAAATACAATAGCTGTTTTGCTGTTACTTAAATCTACATTAGATTTCTAAGATAATTAATTCTGCAAGTAAAATAAAAAATTATTCAATAGTTTCTCCAACACTTTCTGCTAATAAACCATTGAAGTAACAAGACGGGCTGTGCCAAGAGCATCCATTCACAACGAGACTGCGACATGACACAAATGAGACGAGTTCTATGGATGCCGACAGCTTGATTACCTTGTTCAAGGTGACGACTTTATTTTCACCCTCCTCTTCTCCTTTCAAACTACTGTGAAACCTCTTTATGACATCACTGTGCCTTCTTTGGTGTGGAAGCAATCCTCCATACAAAATGCCTATGGCACTGGAATCAAGCGAGTGTGGTCTCTGTCCCCTTGGTCTGAGCTGGCTCTCCAGATGATCCAGAATAGACTTGTAATATTTCATTTTAAAATATCACCAGTATTAAAAATGGGAAAGAGCACACAGATTTCTGAGAGTAGATCCATGGGTGGTCTCCAGTATTCCACACAGCTCAGTTTGAGAAACGCTGATTTACAGGACAAATTCTGAGCCCCTAAGTGCACTGGACGTGGCCCATCTCAAATCAGGATGAATTATCTATTCTTTTTCTCATCTCCAGCCTGGCCAACATAGTGAAACCTCGTCTCTACTGAAAATACAAAAATTAGCCAGGTATGGTGGCGGGTGCCTGTAATCCCAGCTACTCGAGAGGCTGAGGCAAGGAGAATCACTTGAACTCGAGAGGCGGAGGTTGCAGTAAGCCGAGATTGTGCCACCACACTCCAGCCTGGGTGACAGAGAGAGACTCCGTCTCAGAAATAAATAAATAAAATAAAATAAAGAAAGAAATAGAAGTATTTAACCACAATCTTTACGAGGTGCTATTGTTGATGAGTAATATAAACTCTCTCCTTGGCTTTCCCAAAAATTGTTAGGAGAAGTTTGTACCCCCTTCTTCTGAAACAGCATTTGGAAAGGCTGAAGGTAGGGCTCACTACCAGAAATTAGATTTCAAGCCCATCCCACCTGTGCACAGGATGAACAAGTGAGACCTACCTGGCTTTATTCTTTCCCATCAAATAATCAGGATAAAATTTTTCTCCAGTGGGCAGTTGGGTGTCCCTTCTGCCTCCAGCCTCCTCTCTTCTCTACTTCCAAGAGACCGTCTCAACATGCTCCTACCACCCCCATTCCCACCCTGAGTTTTTCAGCACTGAAGTCAACTTTAGGTGGATACTTTCCATTTGGGGCCATCTGCTAAACAAACAGGTCTTCAGCTAGGAAGGGTGGCTGCTTCCTATGGCCTAACTTTGATGTGTTAATATGTTACCTGTCTCAAGACCTTTCAAGAGGAGGAGAGAAAGGGCAGGAGGAGGAAGAAAAGTCCTTCCTACTAGCGATGTATCTCTCTCCTTCCTTTTTTTTTTTTTTTTTTTTTTTTTTTTGAGATGGAGTTTTGCTCTTGTTGCCCAGGCTATAGGGCAGTGGCACAATCTCGGCTCACCACAACCTCTGCCTCCCGGGTTCAAGCGATTTTCCTGCCTCCTCAATAGCTGGGATTACAGGCATGCGCCACCATGCCTGGCTAGTTTTATATTTTTAGTAGAGACAAGAGTTCTCCATGTTAGTCAGGCTGGTCTCGAACTCCTGACCTCAGGTGATCCACCCACCTTGGCCTCCCAAAGTGCTGGGATTACAGGACTGAGCCACCGCACCTAGCTTGTGATGCATCTCTTACTAGTGCTGTGCAGGCTTGTGGTCATCTAGGAAATTCCTTGGGCCTGGAGCTATAGCAAGGGCTGCATTGCAATGCCCTCACAGGCTAGAGGCCACTATTACTATTGTTTTATCAGTGCTATAACTCTGCTGATAATGGTACAATGAACCTACAGCTTGGAAGTGGCCCTTTTTCCTTAGAGTCCCAGACTTGAAGTTGTCCCGGGAAGGTATCAGGGACCCCAGCATCTGCCCATCAGCCTCCCAGCTGGCGGGCCTAAGAGCTGCTTTGAGGATCAAAGAAATTCTGGAATGATACAAGACTCACAGATCAAGGAGACTCACCTGTTCTTTCAAAGGGTCTGGAAGAATGCCCTGTTCAGGGAGGCATTGAGGCTATCAATGTAAGCCCAAGGGGGTGTTCCATTTCAAGATAAATGATGCAAACCGACACATCACACACATGGTCACGGATCCAGAGATGACCATGGTGCTTGGGAGGCAGCCCAGAGGGGCCCAGGGGCAAGGGCTCTGGGGCCAAGGCAGTTGTAAGGTGTTACTACAACACAGTGAGACTGTGGAAAGATGAAAAGGTGAGAAGCAGGAGAGAAGGAAGAGGGCAAAGGCAGAAAATACAGCAGTGTCCTTTGGGGATAGAAAACAATGCCCTATAAATCACATGTCTTAATGGATGCCATTCTGTCCTCTGCAGGAAAGGCAGGCTTAGCTCAGAGAAACCGCTGACTACATACAGGGAAATAACTACATCTCTTTGCACTGAATTCACACACCTTTTAACATGGAAATGCAAAATGGGGTTGGAGGATCTTGTGCCCTTTATTCCCATGGAGCACGGGGCTCATTGAGGCCAATAGCTTTCAAAACTCGAGAATTGTCTGTGCCACCCAACTCTCCCAGGCTGTGACTTCCTCTTTTCAGCAACCACTGTGCCCAGATGGAGGGAAGCAGTGAGTTCACACAGTCCATTGCCTCTCTCTGAGCCAGGCAAGGGGGTATTTCATTTTGACCCAGATCTATTTGCAGACACATCATACAGGGTGTGACTCAGCTGCTCCGCTCGCCTGGCCTAGGATCCTCCAAATATCAGCCAAGCTTGGTTTTTAGACAGTCTCAGGGTGAAGGTGCATTTCCCTCCCAAGGAGAGCTGCTGTAGCAATGCCATGAGGACCAAGGTCCCAGACTTTCACCCTGTACTCGCCTCTCCCAAAGCCCAGGCCTCTCTGCTTGCCTCATGTTCCCAGGGTGCTCCTGCAGTGCCTGACCGCTGAGCTCTTTTCCCATCGGAAGACAGAAGGAGGGAAAGAAGGAAAAGGTAATGTGCCCTCTCTTAAAGTCATCTTTCTCATCGGGCCTGGCTGGTGGCAAGGAGGCTCGGAAATGCCACCCCTTCATGGGCACATGGCCACATGGAATGACACCAGGCTCTGTTCCCAGAGAAGAAAAGAAGTGTGGATACGGGGCAGTGGCTCCTCTCCCTCTTCCTTTCCCTGCCCTTCCTCTGGGGAACTGAAGTCATTTATCAGTGAACAAGAAAGTTTGGCTACAGGATGCATTTATTGAATGCATGCATTAGCTGAAACATCCAAGTAAGCCATTGAGCCTACTGACATGAAAAGAAATACCATATCTTTTCTAAGGCAAATCAGATCGTCCCCAAGCCCCCATGTACTAAGTGAGAAGACCAGCATCAGTCACATCTCATGGTTCCTTCCCCATCCCTTGAGTTGTTTGATGCTTACACTGTCCAGGGAAATGAGCAAGAAGCCACACTCTGTTTCCCTTCAAAGCAGCAGCACCCCAGTTCTCCCGGTAAGCTAGCCAGCAAGTCAGAATTGGCTGGCCTCCTGGAGCTCTTCCAAATTCTGTGTAGGGTCTTTCCCTAGATTCCTGGCAACCTCTCTTTCTGTTCAGCCCTAAACACAACAAGCCGTTAGTTGCTTTTTGGGCAAAGGAGCCCAGAGCACGGACACAGACTCCCCTGCCCCTCCTTAGTGGGAAAGAGACGTTACCTTTCACTCTCTTAGAAGGGAGACCCTGCAGTAGCAGGAACATAAACCTCAATTCGTTTCTCAGAAAATTCATTCTACTATAGACATTTCTACTTAATTCTGTGGTACTTTTTTTTTTCTTTGAGATGGAGTCTCACTCTGTGGCCCAGGCTGGAGTGCAATGGTGTGATCTCGGCTCACTGCAACCTCTGCCTCCCGGGTTCAAACAATTCTCCTGCCTCAGCCTCCCGAGTAGCTGGGATTACAGGCAGGTGCCACCACACCCAACTAATTTTTGTATTTTTAGTAGAGACAGGGTTTCACCATGTTGGCCAGGCTGGTCTCGAACTCCTGACGTCAGGTGATCCACCCGCCTCAGCCTCCCAAAGTGCTGGGATTACAGGCATGAGCCACTGCACCCAGCCTGTGGTATTTCTAAATGTACATTTTGACAATCTACAAACAGCTTTTAGGGTAAATAAGATTGCTCTTGAATTTTCTAAAAGCAGTGATATTTAAGTCATTCACTCTCAAAATGATGAATTTCTTGTTTCCCTCTCCCGATTCAGGAAATGCGTAGTTGAACTTCTCAGGTTTGCTTGAACTTCTCAGGTTTGCTTTGCACAGTCCTAAATCAAAGATGTGGACCAGGAAAATCCCACAGGAGTGTGCAGGACTGGCTTCTAGGACTCTTTCATGATTAGGGAAGGTGGCTCTAGTGGACTGAAGTACGAATGTTTGAAAATAAAAAGGACACACAGACCTACTCCAGGACAAATGCCTTGCTCAGTCTTTCCAATTCCTTATGGCTGAGCTGTAGAAGGAAGGCCCAGAATATTCCAGAAAAGTTCTGCACAGAGAATAAAGAAAAGGATGGTCATTGCCATTTCTTGGTGCTGAGGCAAAGAGATTGGCTATTTCTGTCTGCAGATTTCCTCACCCCCAACCAGGGTTTGATTTGAAACAGACATATTGTCGAAATTTTATGTGGAAATAGAAGCATTCTTGTGCTGCTTAAACCCCACCAGAGTCTCCCTGTGGGATGTTTTTTCATGAAGCCTTAGATCAAGCATGACTAATCTCTAGCAATTTGGTTAGTTAAGTTACTCCTGGTTACCTCTCCTTTCAGACACCTGGGACTGAGAGAACCTTCCTGGCTGAACCAAGCCCTACACTTCCAATCCAATGGTGGGCAGGCGAGTGGCCTTGGTGGGGTAGTGGAGAGTGTGGCTGCCTTCTGCAAAGAGTGCCAGGCAGATACTGTCATGTGCTGGCTGTGATGTTTTTTGATATTCTCTGGCTGTCTTTGTATTAAGTATTTAGACATTTAATATATTACAAGAAGCAGTACTTTGAGTCATCCCCATCGGATGAGAATCCTTCATGTACACGATACTCGTTATTTGGCAACCGGATCTCATCCACATCTTTGTAATGACTAACACATATGTTTTCCAAATAAATCATTTAGCAGATGTAAGGCGGTTCTGGTAAGTTTCTGTTAAGATCCACATTGCAGAAATCAGCCCATTTGCACTGGAAGAAGCCTGGCTGACTAGTGAAGGCAGACACTCTTAAGTGAAGAAAATAGCCTCATTCAAAATTTAAGAACAATGAAGTTCATTTCTAAAATACTTGGAGTTTTAAGTTGAAAAGTGAGCGAGTGCATGAAGCAATTACACGGCTTAAAAACACACACACACAATTGAAGTTTAATTAACTGTTTTTAACTCAGTGTATCTTCCGACTAAACACAGTTTGAAGTATCTCTAAGTCATTTTCTCCCAACAGAGAACAAAATCACACACCCTTTTTAAATCCTGAATCTAGAGGAAGTAGGCTGGATCTCTTCAGCCAACTGGCAAATGGGGCCTTTCTTCCTGGTGGGCCTTTGTAGCCACGCTGTCCCTTCCCCTGGGAGACGCCCTGGCCATCACTGCTACTGGTTAAAGGCACTGGCTACTACAGACCTCTGCTCCCTCTTCATCAGAAGCAGCCCTTGATCTTGGACAACTTAAAGAGAGTCTTAGGTTTATGGCAGCGTGGAGAGAAATGCCTCCCGGGTCAGAGCTGCTCTTTCCTGCATTAACCCAGGGGCTGCACTGCTCTGCTCTGTGCACAAGGCAGGCAAGCGGGACTGGCTGAAGCTTTCATGGCAATAAGCGGGAGGCCGTTCAGAGCCCGCTTCTGCTGTGCTCAAATCAACAGTCCCCCTGTTGCCTTGGCTCTACCACCCACCCAACAAACAGCTAAGAAGGCAGCAGCATGTGCTCAAAAACATTCAGGATGTTAAAAAAAAAAAAAAAAAGTTTAAAACTCATTCACAGGGGAGGTTTTGCTACGTTACACGGGCCGATGTTTCATATTAACTTCATGCTTTCTAAGGTTGCGTTTGGGGTGACTAAGCCTCCTGATCTGGTTTCAATCCAAAGTCCGAGGTAAGTGTTTTCCCCTTATCTGCGATCATGAGTGAAGCCAGTGGAGGGTGATGGGCATACGCACACACATGCACGCTCCCATCAGAGAATGAAAGGAACGTGATTCTCCACCCTGATAACACCCAGGGGCTCTGCCAGCTTTGAGATGCTCTCATTTGGCACTTAGGAAGGTTTTCAGACCACCAAGGCATTCTTTTAAAGTAAACAGACAGTAAACAGACAGTAAAGGTGGCCCGGTGAGTGAGTTGGCCAGCAGCCCCCTCCCGCCCGCGTCGGTTCAGAGGCTCGTCATCCACTCACAGCCTCATTCAAAGACTCCAATCACAGAAAGCTTTCTGAGGTGCTGGAGACATAATGGTCAATAAAACAGAGTCCAGAACCGCAAAATCATCCAGGCTAATAGAGAGACCAGCAAACTAACTTTAATGCAGTATGACAATTGCTAAAAGAGGGATAAGATAAGCAAGCTGCCTGATGAATGACACAAGGAACCCTCTCCGAGTAGCTGGAGATGGAACCTCAGAGTCCTTAATGTCCCCAACACCCCCAGGGCCCAGAGCTGGCAATCCCAGCAACTCCCAGGAAAATAGACATCCACGGTATGACCATTCAGTGTGAAAACTCAGGCTCCTTCTGCTCTCTGGCAAAGCTGTTCTCTCTCTTGCGCTGCGATGCAGAAGGGCAGCCCGAGCTGGGTGGCCCTGCAGAGAGCATGCCCAGCTTGTCTAGCTGCACCTGGCCCAGAAACCCAGGGGTGGGGCCCATGCATCTGTTCTGAAGTCCCCCCACCATGCATGGCACTCTAGGATGTCACAGCACAACTAAGAGGTCTGCCTGCCCTGCCAGGATCAAAGACATCCCCACTTCAGAAGCAGTGATGCCTATGCTAAGACGGGCAAGCTAGAAGGAGCTCATTAGGTCAGGAGATATGCCAGCTGAAAACACCCCAGGCAGAAGGGGGCCAGGCTGGTGTGCGGGGCACAAGGCTCATTGAATACAGTGAACACATCCTAGGGGAGGTAAATGGAGAAAGACGCAGCTGCAGACACAAGCACAAGACACACACAAAGAAGTCATAGGGAAGAGCATGGAATACACCAACTAGGAACCAGGCACTGTCCAAGCTCTGGAAAAGGCTCTCAAAAAAGGAGCTGACGTCTCTGCATTCTGGAGGAGCCAGGCCTGTGGCAAACCGTCAACTAATAAACAGCTGACATGGAACTTAGGTAGGCTGCCATGGGGGATGAGGAGACATTGAAACAGAGTCCCTGATGGAGAGTGAGCTGACAGCTGAAGGTGGGAAGGAGACAACCAGGCTGGATGACGAGAGAAAATGAGCCTGTGGCTCTTATTCTTAAGTATTAGTGGCTTTGTTATTTTTGTTCTTTTTAAAGTAAACACTATATTTAAATTCCCTTATCTGGGTTTTTCTTCCAGCATCCCCTTACTCCCACTCCAGGAACTGAGGAGAGAGCCCCTGGCTCTCTGCTCCCTGCCCTGCTCCTGTCTCTCATCATGCAGTCAAGGTTGTGAGCGTTCTGTTCCTCTCCATCACCAGGGTAAGCCCTCCATGCGTTGTCCAGAGCTTGATTGCAACGTGGAAAACAGAACAGGGGCCCGCCGTGATGATGACCACCTATGTTGGGCACCGCAGGCCAAGGGGCTCACCAGGGTGGATTCTTTTTCTGCAAGTCCCATGTGTCAAACCCATCTCCTGGGCATCGGTTGCCCAAAATTGCACCCCGCACTTGGACCACTTGTAATTTTTCATAGTTTCCAGATGCTTGGTTCCTTTTCAAAGTACTTGGAGAGCAAGAACTCTGGGGCTCTGGGACTCAACTTTGGCTCATTCCATTGCACAGAAATCCCCTCTCCCTGCAAGTGCTGGTGCCACATAAGTTCTGGAAACTGCACGTGTGGGTGCGGGGTCCAGCTCCCCCATCTGCCCCCTTGCCCCACAGAATCACCAGCTGGTTGGCCACACATCCTCGCTTCTCCACTTGGTATTGGCTTATTCCCTGAGGAGTCAACCTCACACCTATGGTTTCCTAAGAGGAAAGCCAGGACTCAGCAACAGCCTGTGTCCTGGGGAAGCTGCAGCCTACCCTCAGCCCAGGTTGAGCTGCGGGGTCTCATCACCAGCCCTTTCCTGCACATTGTGCCGGCCGAGTGATGGCTGCTGTCTGTGGGCAGGGGTCAGCAGATTTCTAGTAGGGAGTGAGGCTGACCTTACAACTACCTACACACACACACACACACACACACACACACACACACACACACACACACACATACACATTAATGCAGAGACACAGTCCTGGGGACTGAGTCCTATGCACAGAGGGAGAATCGGGTCTCTGGACTCCAAGTAGAGGCAGACCACATGACCTTGAAGAGCTACAAGAGACCTGCAACTCCTCTGCTCCTTTCAAATGCAGCCTTATGATTGGATCGGTTTCAGAAACCCCCGTGTCTGAAGGACATTGTTTCTGAGTGAGTACCTGACTACCAGAGCCGCCATGCTGCCTGGCATGGTGGTGCAGGTCCCATGCAGGCTGTGGTTGTGGGCTGTTTCCAGCAACTTGGGGATAGCTCTGGGAGCTGGGATATCCTTGAGCATAGCTCCTGGGGAGCAGGGAGGCAGATCAGTCTCATGCATTGCAAAGGAGCAGCTCACGAGCAGCTTGACTCCCCTGAGATCACAAGTCCCAGACAATGATGGTGACAGGAAGGAGTCGCAGTCAGGTCTGTGCAAGGGACTGGCTTCTCAGTCGGATCCGGTACCGGGTGGGAGGGGAGGGAAGAAAGAACAGTTGGCAGTCTCAGCCTGAAAGATGCCTCCTTGTGAGCCAGACCGTAAGCATCATGATACCCTTCCAGGAGGGCACCCCTGGGAAACATGCTCTAGCTTTTAGCACCCTTGAGAAGGCACTGCTATTATTCTTGTACTCATGACCAGACAGAAGGTGAAAGAGGTTAAGAAAAGTCAGGGCCAGCTGTGATGGTTTACACCTATAATCTCAGCACAGGAGGATTGCTTGAGGCTAGGAGTTTGAGACCACCCTGGGCAACATAGTGAGACCCCATTTCTACCAAAAAAAGTTGCATTAAAAATTAGCTGGGCATGGCAGTACATGCCTGTAGTCCCATGTACTGAAATGGGAGGATGACTTGAGCCCAGGAGCTTGAGGCTACAGTGAGCTGTGAACCCAGGGCTCATGTTGCTCGCCTCTTCCCCAGACCATTTCATGACTGCATTCCTGCAACTGGCTTCATTGGCCCCAGTGAGCATCTCAGACTGGGTTGCTGGTGTTCACTGGAATTCAGATACTGGGCAGGGGGAGTCCCTCTGGGACCTGGCTGCACCCTCTGTGTGGAAGCTGGCAGTTTGGGGGACCTGCGGCAGCTTCCTTGTGGGAGCAGAGGGCCAGGTGGAAGACTGCCCCTTAAGGAAGGACGCGGTCCAGGCCCCGGGGGTGCTAGGAATGAGGAGTGACTGATCTGCAAGAGCTGGAGGGGCCTCCAGAGCAGGATTCCCTGGGCTGGATTCCAGGGTGACCAGAAGAGAATCGGGTGGGAGTCCTGACTCCACACTTTCCCAATAGATCCAAAGGGGTTCAGCCTTGATTCTTTGGTTCCAATGGAACAATCTTGCCAACACCGTGCTCCACATTGTAAGTGGGAGTTTTCTTCTGGTCACACACCTGGGACTCTGCCCAACCCTGGGAAGCCCTTTCCCAAAGGCACTTGTGTTTCTGGCAAATAGCAAGCCACCACAAGATTTCACCCCCACCCTGCTGTACCCCTGCTTTCATGCCTGGAATCTTGAAACTTGACTTCCCTTTGTCATAAAGCCACAGTCTAGAGGCTGCAACATTGCCCACTCCCCTCTGCGGCCTCTCATCTAGGCCTGCCATGGACTCACCCAAGGCTTCCTTGTAACCCCTACATCGGGCGAGACAGGGCCCTGCATGACTATGTTTTTTAAACCTAGTAAAAATTTGAGCACAAATTTCAATAAAGCTATACCTACGATTGCTCAACCCAGCCAGTTTGAATACCCATAACATCCAGAAAAGGAAAAGCAACTGAGACTAATGAACCATCTTATCTACCCACCCATGTCTTTTAAACATGGAAATTTATAGGCAAAATCAGAATGAAATCTCTCCAAATAACCAGAGCAGTCCATGTTAGGAAGGAGACAAGGGCTGGAAGCATGGCGCACAAGGGGATTCCAGTATGATGTTTGGGTAGTCCTCGCTGGGAGTGGAAGCGGCTAGAGAACCAGGATTTGAGGTATTTGGTGAGGACTTATATCTCCAGACCGAGCAACAGGGCTGGGCAGGCTGCAGAATGTGGCCACAGAAGGGCATGAGGCCCTCCCCTATCAGATGTCCTATGTGTGCGCCTCAAGCTGAATGTTCCTTTGAAAAGGATGTCTTTTCCCAATAAACCAAGCCATTCCTCCTTAAGGAATCTCACAGGGACTCCCAGAACTAAGATCCAAATATGTTTTCTATAATGCTTATCATGTTAGAATCACTCCCATAGGCTAGGGAGTGATACTATACATAATTAGTAGCCCATGGAATGAATCTCTGCCCTACAAGGCTGAGATTACAGCATCATTCATCCTGCCCCTTCAGCATGGAAACCCTTTAGCACATTAAGAGAAGGAACTTACTCATAATAAAGCAGAATTCCTCAGGCCACCAGGATTAAGCCAAGAAGAAATCTACTCTTTGATGCTTGAATAAGTTTAGAGAAAAATTTAATGTCATAGAATAAACAGTTATTTTAAATAAGACTATTTGTATTAACTGAGAGGGCCCTTAATGTATGAACGGTAATACGTAAGCTGGATGTCTAGAGCTAGAAATTTGAGTAGTTTCCTCTTCCAACTCTTCCCAGCCGTGTAAGCTTGAGCACAACTTAGTTGACCTAAGTCTCAGTTTTCTTATCTGTAAACTGGGGATAGCAGTAATTAAAGTGGGTTGTTGAGGGGCATTATATACTATGCCCTGAACAGTCCCCTGAATGTTTTTGCCTCTAACTTGGACTAAACAGAATATGCTGAGCAGTGACCTCATCATATTTTTGAGATGTTTCACTTTTCAGAACTTGTCTTTGATTGCTTTGAAGAGCAGAGGTTGACAGAGTACGAATTTTGTTTCACTGATGTCAGCACTAAGGGAAGTGATGATGCGCCCTTTTGTCAGGGCCCTGTGGCTGTGGCCAGCCTCTTGTACAATGGGCGGCTTGCACTGGTGGGTCGTAGCTCGTAGGAATCAAGTGACCGAATGGCTGGATGTGGATCCTCCGTGCTGTTGTTTCAGTTGCTTGCTCCTGCATAACAAGCCACCCCAAAATGGAGCACTTAAAGTAGCAGTGATCTCTTGGCTCTCCACGCTGTGTCTCAGAAAAGCACACGGGGCTTGGTTAGACAGGTGTTTCTGATTCATGCGGCACCGGCTAGGGCTGCTCAGCCCGACTGGAGGATTCAAGGTTGTCTGGACTTTGCCTCTGGTTCTTGGGTGGCATGTCTCTTTTCTCCTCCAAGTGGTTACTGCCTCCGGTAGGGCAGGACCCCAGAGGTATAGACTTGACCTGCCAAAACCTCCTAAGGCCTAGCCTAGAAAAGGCAGGCCTTCACCTCGGTCTGGGCCAGTCACATTTGGGATTCAAGGATGCAGAAATGGGCTCCACTCACCACCTGAAGGATTCAGCAGCACAGGACATGGACAAAGGCCACGGAGGGCACTGAGTCATCTTCAGGAGGAATATCCTAAACGAGGGGTTGGTGCCTCTGCACCTAGAACCCAGCTGCCTTCCTCCAGAGCTGGGCATGACCAGACCTCCCCTTGCTCACCCAAGGCGAGGAGAAAGCAGAAGTCCCCACACTTGTTTTGGGCACAGGTGCAGGAAAGGGATCAAGAAATCCCAGCAAAGGAAACAGAAGATGGCTCCAGGGAGCGCAGAGAACAGGAGAGTGGAGGGCCAGAAAGTAAGAGAGACTTTGAAGGAGGAGGGAATCACCACCAGGAGGACTGAACTGTGAATTATAAGAAACTGTGAAAAGTAGTTACCCTTGGCAAGGGTCTGCGCACTAGTGAGGGCTCCCACTTATCCTAATTGCCTGGATCCAGGCCTTCTACCCTTGCCCCTGGATCACAGTTTGTTCCCCCCAGAACTATCTGGGTGGTGGACTTATGATCATTCATTTTAAGTCTTTTTTGAAAGGTGTCTTTCCCACCCACCACCTTCCCCGCTCCCACCTGAAATTAGAGAATGAGAAACCCCATGACAGCACAGGCCACTTAATGACCCCAAGAGCTCTTTGGTACTCTTATTCTTGAATGTCACAGATGATCAAAAAACATGGGCAGGGATCTCTAATATCAAAGTTCAGTGATGGTTTTAGAATTTAAATAAGATTTTGGGGTCTCTGAAAACAAGGTGCTCATGGTGCAGTCACCTGTGGATGAATGTGGGGGAGGGATAATTGGACTGTTTGAAGGTACGGTACTCGAGGCTGTGATGCTCCTCCACATGTACCTGTTTGTTTACTAAAGAGGATGGTGCAGACCTTGGCACTGCCTCCCACTAAAGTGGAATATGGAGGTTCATGCCTTGAGACTGTCAAATCTAGGCTTTCTGGCCTTGGATCCAGAATCCCTGAGTGACAGTCCATGGATCCAGCGAGGTACAGCAGGCCTGACTCTGTTCCCCTCTGGCCCTGGCATCCTGCATTCTCCCAGCCCCCACTCAGCATTGGAAGGTCCCAGAGCAAGGCTAGGTCCCGAACACCTTCCCTCAGCAGTGTGTAGCCCCATCTTCCACCCTCAGCCTGACCTTCACATGCCCTACTCCCTGTCCTCCACCTGCCGTCACCCCAGGGACCCACCAGCAGGACTGCAGATGCTGTGTCCAGGGACCTGGTAGGCTTGCAGTCTCTGATACTCGGCCAGCCCTGATTGAGACACACACCTGTGTATGCACATACACAAGTATGCATGCAGGTAAATGAATGCATACCATATACACACATAGACACATTAACACACAAGTGCCACACATGCAAAAGCATGCACACATGCACACACATGTAGATACTCACTCACAGACATACACTGGAACCACCCTCAGGCCCAGCAGCCAGCACAGGAAGGCAAAGCCTGCTGTAAACAAGCCTGGCACACACCCTTTCCCATGGTACTGGTCCCATTTGGACATACCGAAGGTTTCCAAATTGCCCACCACAGATAAGAGAGGTCAAGTTGTCATCGCAAAGAACACCCGGACCCCTCCCACCCAGCCCACCACGTTCAGCTGTCTGGACACTTTCACACACAAGAGAATTATCATGCCTGCAATTATTTGGTGTCCTAGGCACCTTGCCAGGTATCTGACACACCTCACTCCCTTTATTCTCACAGCCACCCAGGAGAGGGGCTGCCAACAGCAGTATTGCTGCCCTGCTCATTAACACAGCACAAGTGGCCTCCCTGCCAGGTGCCCTGGACACAGATGGCCCCAAATGGAAGCCACACTCTGGACATGTCACAGAATGTCAGCCTCCGCGGGTGCAGTCAGGGATCATGGGCAGCCAGCCGCTGCAAAGCCCTGGGCTGGTCACCCTTACCTGCTGCAGCTACAGCCGATGTGCTCCTTGGACTCCTTCCCACCCACCATCAAAGCTTAAAAGGATGCTACCAGCTACTTTCACTTCCTTTACTGGAGCATTTCAAAAAATCATTCTGGTTAGCTAATGGGAACTGCTGGAGATTTAGTGACATCTTCCTCTTGTAACTCCCCCATCCCAGCCTCAGTTTTGGAGGACTTGTGCCTAAGCATCCTGCCAAGTTTTTACCGCTGGGAAGAATGTCTGACAATAATCCATGTCCTTTCGTAACAATCTCCATTAGAAAACAGTAAGTTACCTGATGTACTTCCCTGTGTGCTGGGCTTAAGGATCTAAAAGGTTTTCAGAGCCACTGAGGCCAGAGCCCAAGTGTGATTGCTCCCTGGCATACGCTGTGCGGGGCAGACATTTGGGGAACAATTCCTGAGAATCTGATGTTTCCTTAACCCCAAAAGAAGGAAATTTCTTAATGCATTACTGTTGTGAAATTAAAGAATATCAGGCTCCCCTAGTTATTTGTCACCCCAATCATTGCTGCCAAAATTTCTATTCAATACATAAAGGGTCGTCAAAATAACCCTTGTCCCCCTAAGGATTAAATTTGAATACTTGTAGTAATAAACACTCACTATAAGAAGGAAACAGTAAGAAGAAGAATACAATTGAAAATTGAAGGCTCACTTAAAATCTGTCCTAACCCAGTTCCTCGAATAATTAAAAATAGAATTACCATATGACCAGCAATCCCATTTCTTGGTATATACTCAAAAGAAGTGAAAGCAGGGACTCAAGCAGATGTTGTACACCAAGATTTATAGCAGTATTATTCACAATAACCAAAAGGTGGAAGCAGCCCACATGTCTGTTGAGGAATGAATGGTTAAACAAAATGTGATGTATACAAAGGGACTGCAAAATGTTCATGAAAAAATAGAATTAGAAGATACAAATTAAAAATATGAACTTCATTTCTCAATATAAGCTCCATCAATGTCAAGACACTTTTGTAAGTGATGATACACTTTTGTAAGTGATTTACTTCATTCCTAAGGAACTGAGAGTCCTAGAAATGTAACCATGTCAATGCAGTCTTTTTTATATTATTAACTGAAGAAAAATGAGTGCTCTTTACAGGTGTTTTAAGAATAGGAAACAGGCGGGGCGCGGTGGCTCACGCCTGTAATCCCAGCACTTTGGGAGGCCGAGGCGGGCGGATCACGAGGTCAGGAGATCGAGACCATCTTGGCTAACATGGTGAAACCCCGTCTCTACTAAAAATACAAAAAATTAGCCGGGAGCGGTGGCGGGCGCCTGTAATCCCAGCTACTCCGGAGGCTGAGGCAGGAGAATGGCATGAACCCGGGAGGCGGAGCTTGCAGTGAGCCGAGATAGCACCACTGCAGTCTGGCCTGGGCGAAAGAGCGAGACTCCGTCTCAAAAAAAAAAAAAAAAGAATAGGAGGCCGGGCGCGGTGGCTCATGCCTGTAATCCCAGCACTTTGGGAGGCCGAGGCGGGCGGATCACGAGGTCAGGAGATCGAGACCATCCTGGCTAACAGGGTGAAACCCCGTCTCTACTAAAAATACAAAAAATTAGCTGAGCGAGGTGGCGGGCGCCTGTAGTCCCAGCTGCGCGGGAGGCTGAGGCAGGAGAATGGCCTGAACCCCCGGGGGCGGAGCCTACAGTGAGCCGAGATCGAGCCACTGCACTCCAGCCTGGGCGACAGCGAGACTCTGTCTCAAAAAAAAAAAAAAAAAAAAAAAAAGAATAGGAAACAAAAAGAAGTCAAAAGTGGTCTTCATTAGTCTGCTCTCATGCTGCTAATAAAGACATACCCAAAACAGGGTAATTTATAAAGGAAAGAGACTTAATGGACTCACAGTTCCACATGGCTGGGGAGGCCTCACAATCATGGCCGAAGGCGAATGAGGAGAAAGTCCTGTCTTACATAGCGGCAGGCAAGAGAGCATGTGCCAGGGAACTCCCCTTCATAAAACCATCTGATCTCATGAAACTTATTCACTCTCATGAGAACAGCACGGGAAAACCCAGCCCCATGATTCAATTATCTCCCACCCAGTCACTCCCACAACACATGGGGATTATGGGAGCTACAATTCAAGATGAGATTTGGGTGGGGACGCAGCCAAAACATATTAGAGCCAAATCAGGACTGCGGGGTGGATGCCTGATGATTTCCCATGGAAACTCTGACAAAATCGCCCTTGTTTGATGAGAGGAGTGAGCAGGAGCATTGCCATGATGGAGAAGAACCCACAGCATAGCTTTTCCAGGTGTTTTTCTGCTAAAGCTTTGGCTAACTTTCCCAAAACACTCTCATAATAAGCAGAAGTTATTGTTCTTTGACCCACCAGAAAGTCAGTGAGCAAAATGCCTTGAGCATCCCCAAAAAACTACTGCCAAGAACTCTGTTCTAAACCAGCCTGCTTTTGCTCTGATTGGACCACCTCTCCACTTCTCAATAGCCATTGCTTTAACTGTACTTTGTCTTCAGGATCATACTGGGAAAGCCGTGTTTCATGTCCTGTTACAATTCTTCAAAGAAACGCTTCAGGATCTCGATCCCATTTGTTTAAAAAATCTATTGAGAGCTTGGCTCTTATCTGCTGCTGATCTGGGTGCAATCATTTTGGCATCCATCAAGTGGAAAGTTTGCTCAACATTAATTTTTCAGTCTAAATTGTGTAAGCTGAACCAATTGAGTTGTCTGTGGTGTTGGATATTGTTTTGGCTGCTAATCCTCAGTCCTCTTCAACTAAGGCACAGTCAAGATGATTTTTTTTTCTTGAAAATTGATGTGGATGGTCGGCCACTTTGGGCTTCATCTTCAACTTCATATCATCCCTTCTTCAAATTATCCTCTTGTAAACTGCTGATTTCTTTGGGGCATTGTCCCCATACACTTTTTATAAAACATCAGTGATTTCACCATTCTTCCACGTAAACTTCACTCTAAATTTAACGTTTGCTCTTGCTTCAATTTTAGCAGAATTCATGGGGCTCTGGTGGGTGCTCTTTCCAAACCAATGTCTCATCCTTCTTAGTGCCTCAAACTAGACCCTGCTCAGACATGTCCCAACAAGTCAGCACAAGTTGATTTTGTCAAAAAAACAATTTTGAAATCCATACATAGTATTTTCATAATATGCATATACAATAAACTTTTTAAAGATCCTTTGTACTTACAACAGAGTATTATTCAGCCTTAAAAAGGAAAGAAATTCTGACGCATGCTACAACATAGGTGAATCTGGAAGACATCATGCTCAGTGGAATAGCCATCACAAAAGATAAATACTATATGATTCTGCTTATATGAGGTATCTAGAGTAGTCAAATTCATAGAGATGGAAGGTTGAGTTGAGGGGCTTAGGGAGAAGAAAATAGGAGTTGTTTAATGGGAATAGGATTTCAGTTTTGCAAGATGAAAAAGTTCTGGAGATGCATTACACAACCATGGGAATGTAATTAATTTCATAAAACTGTACACTGAAAATGGTTACCATGGTAAATTTTATGCCAAGTTTATTTTACTACAATTTAAAGATACATATTTCTCCATTGAAAAAAATTCATTCTAACTCACCTATCAGCTATGATTTTCTGGCTATTGCACTGCATGTTGCTGTTCTCTTGGGGAGCTTTGACTGCACATACAAAACATCTTCAGGGAGAATGGCAATAACTAGCCCCAAGATCAAAAGAACAAATACAAGACTGAGTTCTGGTATTTCCAGTTTAGCCATCAGCACTTAGATAGTCTAACAGTCTGCAATGAGGAATGCAGCCACAGATAAGTAACTGAGCCACAAAGTAGAAACATACATATCAGATGAACAGTGCCACATGTTTTACAGTAGCCTGAAAGTGAAATCAACAAAACTGCTCATCAATAAACAACTGGATAAACAAAATTTAATATATTCATTCAGTGGAATGCTATTCAGTCATAAAAAGGGGTGAAGCGGTAACGCGTGCTACAACACAGATGAACCTTGAAAACATTATGCCCAATGAAAGAAGCCACTCACAAAAGGTCATATATGTTGTTCAATTCCAATTATATGAAATTTCCAGAAAAAAAAAAATCCATAGAGACAGAAAGTAAATAAGTAAATTAGTATAAATCTTTGAATTTATACTTATAATGGGTGCATGTTATGGTAGGTAAATTATACCTCAATATAGCTGTTAAAAATTTAAGTTAAATGTCGGGCGCGGTGGCTCACACCTGTAATCCCAGCACTTTGGGAGGCCGAGGTGGGCGGGTCATGAGGTCACGAGATCGAGACCATCCTGGCTAATGAGGTGAAACCCCATCTCCACTAAAAGTACAAAAAATTAGCCAGGTGTGGTGGCAGGCACCTGTAGTCCCAGCTACTTGGGAGGCTGAGGCAGGAGAATGGCGTGAACCCAGGAGGTGGAGCTTGCAGTGAGCCAAGATCGCGCCACTGCACTCCAGCCTGGGCAACAGACTGAAACTCCATCTCAAAAAAAAAATTTAAGTTAAATATATACAGACATATACAAACACACATATTATATATATATATAGACGACTGTACCTCTGTTGAGATGCACATCTATCAACAGAGGCATAGTCAATGAATATGCTGTTTCTCTGGGTGAGAATACAAGCCTGACTCTTAAGTTGGACAAAGGAACGTGCACCCTGCTGCCTCTCTAATGTCTAAAACAGGTGACTCCCTCCTAATCATCCCCTCAAATGCCAGCACTTCAGGCACTCAGTGTGTGTTTAACTGTGAGTACTGTGAACTACCACTGGTCAAAAGATCTCTGGAGACATCAGTCATCCAAGACAGTCAACAAGACATGTTAATCACCCATTACCCTATGTTCTCTAAACACTGTCACAATATTAGACTTGATTTTCAGAAAGCAACATCTCTGCCCCAATGAGTGATGGCTACTAACCATCACCAGGCCTTCGTGATATAAACCTTGTCACAGCAGGCCACAAGAAAGGTTAACTGGGGAGGCTTGGGATGAACAAGAGCAAAGACACATAGAGGGAATGTGCATTCTGAGAAGTTCCCACCTCCACATGCAGACTGAGAGGCAAAGCCCTTCGTAATTACAGAAGTGCAAAATACATTGGCAGAATGGAAGTTATTCTGCTGGGAGCTATTTCTCTTTAGAGTGCTAAGCCAGTGGGGCTTCTGGATAGCCCCCAGGGCATCTGCCAGCACCGTTGCCTCCAACTGCAGCCATTCAGCCAGAGCAGCCAGGCTGGCATTTGTTGTATTATTGGGCAGAAAATTTTGCCTGAAGAAAAGATTTTGTTAATAAGAATAGAAAAACCACCATTCAATTGCTTCATTGGGAAATTAGATCATTTTAAAATATTTATAATTGAGCTGTGGAGGTGGGAAAGATAGAATCCAGGTCTCTGTGATCCAGGCTGGCCCATGTCACTGTGCCCTTCCTTTCCTTACTCCCTCCTCCCCGACCAAGCACCAGCACTCCAGGCCAGCACAAGACTTGAGCCCTCTGCTGACCTGCTTTTTGGAGCAAGCTGACAGCCCAGGTATACCAGGTCAGCTGGTGACTGGGACAGTACCAAGGACTCAGGCCAGTCTGTGACAAAATAAATGACAGTAAAGGCATCATTTCTCAAATGTCAAGTGAGTGGCAAGAATAACCATCTGGGGCTAGGGGCAGAAGTGGGGATTGCCTGCAAATAGGCATAAGTGGTCTTTTTGGGGTGGGGTGACAGAAATGGACTGAAGCTAGATTACTGTGATGTGTGAACAACTCTGTAAATTTACTAATAATCTTTGAATTTGCACTTAAAACAGGTGCATGTTATGGTGGTAAATTATACTTCAATATAGATGTTAAAATTTTTTTGAGACAGAGTCTTGCTCTGTTGCCCAGACTGGAGTGCAGTGGCACAATCTCAGCTCACTGCAACCTCTGCTTCCCAGGTTCAAACGATTCTCCTCCCACAGCCTCCCAAGAAGCTGGGATTACAGGTGTGCACCACCAGGTCGGGCTAATTTTTTTTATTTTTTATTTTATTTTTTTTAGTAGAGATGGGGTTTCACCATGTTGGCAGGGCTGGTCTTTAACTCCTGACCTCAGGTGATCTGCCCATCTCAGCCTCCCAAAGTGCTGGGATTACAGGCGAGAGCCACTGCACCTAGCCAGCTGTTAAATTTAAATTTTTAAGTTAACTATATAGAGAGGCATATACAAAAACACACACATATTATATATAGGATATATAATATATAATATATGTAGTATATATAATATTTTGATTTTTATATATGACTGTGACATATATATTACATATATATGTCATATATATATGACTGTGCCTCTATTGAGATATACATCTATCAACACAGGCATAACAAGGAGAGTGAGACAGGGGAAATAGGAGCAACTGAGGAAGCTTCAGGACGTCCTGCAGTCACCAAGGGGGTTCCTGGGGCATGTCACATGGGCTGTCCTGCAGCCGAGCTTCTCAGAAGGCTCACCGGCCTGGCGCTGCCCTGTCTTCACCTGCGTCCTCTGGATTTGCATGTCCTCTGTCTTGCCAAGATGGCTCCTGCCCAAAACCTCCCATGCTGCCAGGTCCATGGGATCTTCTGTCTTCATCTTATTCAACCCTCCCCTGCACACCATATGATCAACCACACCCTCCTTGTTGAAGGCTTTCCTCTCTTGGCTTTTAACTACCTATGCTCCCTCAATTTTTCCTCCCTCCACAGTGGTCCTTCTCCCTCAACATCCACTGCAGGATGCCCAACTCTTCCTTGAACTCATTCAGCTCTCGAAGCCCCTAAGTGACCATGTTCCTTGCAGCTTCGTTCTGGGTTCCCCTTCGCATTTACCCACTCTCCTTAAAGATTGCATTTATTCCTATGGCTTAAAATACCGTATATGCACCAACAAGCTCTAAATGAACATCTACCGCCCAAGCTTCTCCACAGGCTCCTGCTCCTGGCTTAAGTGTCAACCTGACATCTGCACAGAAACTTCATCACCAGCCTACAAAGGTGGTCCCCAGTGACCCATGACAGCTGATGTCATGTCCTGTGCTGCTCCACCCTCATTGAATCTGGCTGGACCTGGGACTGGCTTTGACCAGCAATGTGGGAGTGAAGCTGGCGCTGCTGCCTTGGCCCTGTGGGAGGCCTGAGCTGACAGGTGAGAAGTCTAACTGCCCTCCTGGAGAGGCCATGTGGAGAGGCTCTGAGACTCCATGGACAGAGAAAGGCCTAATTCCCCCATCCCAGCCATGCTCAGCCTCCAGCTGTCCCCACAAATGTACCAGATATGGTCTAAAGCCATGCCAGGTGTCCCATCCACTGTTACCAGCAACTCCCCATCAGGACCTGTCACAGAGAGCCCATTAGGACCAGCTGAGGAACCGCCCAGCTCTGCCTAGCCAATCCAGAGTTTTTGCTGTTTTAAGCCACTACATTTTGGGTGTTTTTTTTCTTTAATGCATCAATAAATAACAGGATATCCATATCAGATCTCTTGATTTTCATAGCCAAATCTGTTTCAGGTAGGGATGACCTGATCTGATTTGTGTGTGTTTGTTTGTTTGTTTATTTTTACAGACAGGGTCTCACCATGTTGCCCAGGCTGGTCTCTAACTTCTGGCCTCAAGCAATCTTCCCACATTTAGCTTCCCTGGTAGCTGGGATTATAGTTGTGAGCCACCATATTGGGCTCTGATTTGCATTTTAAGACAATCACTAGCTGTCCGGTGGAGAATTGATTGAGGAACAGAGAGTAGAAAGGAGAGAGAACAATTAAGAAATTTCACTATTTCAAGGGAAATGGCTGCTGGAGAAGAGCAATGGTTATGCGGGTGTATTTCTCTGCGTGTGTGTGTGTGTGTGTGTGTGTGTGTGTGTGTTGGGCAGATAAGAAGACTGCAGAGAGAGGGAGGAGTCTAGGTTCCAGGCCTGAAGAACTGGGAGAACACTGGTTTCATTTCCCAGGATGAGGATCTGGTCATCCCTACCTGAAATCCAGCAATGGCTTTTTCTTTATCTTAACTAAAACCCAAGCTCCTTTTCATGGCCCGTAAGTCCCTGCATGTTGGAGCCACTCCCCTGCCCTTCACCCTCCACTGGTACCATTTCTGGCACTTCCCTCCTTCCACCCTGGACTTTTTGGTTCTCAATGGCACCCACTGCTTCACCACCACAGGATTCGTGTATTTGCTGTTCTTTCTGCTTAGAGGATTTCTCCCACAATTGACATCTCAACTTTGATGGCCCCTCCTCAGCGAGGCCTTCGCTGATTCAGTCAACAACAGCAGACTCCCACTCCATCACGTCCCTGTTAGGATGTGGCTCAGCTCATGGGTCATGTCCATCTTAATACATACTAAAATAGAACAGTTGTTGCTGATGCTATTGCTTCCTTTTTTTTTTTTTTTTTTTGAGACAGAGTCTTGCTCTGTCGCCTAGGCTGGAGTGCAGTGGTGTGATCTCGGCTCACTGAAACCTCCACCTCCCAGATTCAAGTGATTCCCCTGCCTCAGCCTCCTGATTAGCTGGGACTACAGGTGCCTGCCACCATGCCAGGCTAATTTTTTTTTTTATTTTAGTAGAGGCGGAGTTTCACCATGTTGGCCAGGATGGTCTGTATCTCCTGACCTTGTGATCCGCCCACCTCGGCCTCCCAAAGTGCTGGGATTACAAGGGTGAACCACCACACCCAGCCTGCTTCTTCTAATATATCCTTTCCACAGACTTTAAGACCCACAAGCACACTGATGTGTCTGCATAGGGACACAGCTGCAACCCCAGTGTCTGCAACATCCCTGGCATTCAATAGGCACTCAGTGTTTGTTGAGTGAATGAATGGGCCTAAGACCTTATTGGTGCATGTTGAGAGTGGATAAAAACAAAGACAAATCGGCCTCCCTGGTTAGAAATGGATTTTTAGCACCAAGTAAAGGCCTGGGCATTGGCCCTTGTCATACGGGCAAGCTGTCATAAGACTTTAAGAAATAGAGGATTGTCATCTGAGCTTCTGGGAGCAGTAGAAAGAAGAAATACAGCCTCATGTCCAAATATCTCAACAGCCTCTTGATCTACATCTAGAATGGAGAGGTAAGGGGCAGGGATGGGGTCAACCAGTATGGAAACTGCCTTCTGCCATTTCAAAAATTCAAACTTCATTCCTCTGATAAGCCTCAAAACACCCTTCCTAAATACAAACATGTACTGATTTTGGTCAAAGGCACTGACAAGTTGCCCAATCTGAAGGCTCAGTGCTCTGTCCTTTATGGGACAATGATGAAGGGCAAAAGGGACAGGAACAAAAATGCCTCCACAAAGCAGGCATACTCTTTACATAAGACTGCCTTGTCCTGGCCGGGCATGGTGGCTTACTCCTATAATCCCAGCACTTTGGGAGGCTGAGGCGGGTGGATCCCCTGAGGTCAGGAGTTTGAGACCAGCTTGACCAACATGGAGAAACCCCGTCTCTACTAAAAATACAAAATTAGCCGGGCGTGGTGGTGCATGCCTGTAATCCCAGCTACTCGGGAAGCTGAGGCAGGAGAATCGCTTGAACCCAGGAGGCAGAGATTGCGGTGAGCCAAGACCTGCGCCATTGCACTCCAGCCTGGGCGACAAGAGCCAAACTCCATCTCAAAAAAAAAAAAAAAAAAAAAAAAAGACTGCCTTGTCCATGAAATCGATATTTTCTTCATATAAGACTTATTTAAAGAACTGTTCGTGGTCAATTTATAAAAATTAGAAAGGAAAAAGTTCGTGAAATGTATGCAGACCACCCCTGCTCGATAAGACCATGGATGTGTGATCCTGAGCTTGTCTTCCCCGCACCTTCGAATTCTCAGCTATGTTAGAAAGTAGGAGGGTTTAGAACAAAAATAAAAACATTCGTATCGAGTTATCATGATGACAGACTGAGATAAATGTGCAATACGTGGTCATTTATGAAGAGTTATGCATATATTTGTAACAGGTCTCAGCTGAAACCAAACTGGGATTTCCACTCTGGCCGATGAAGGAAGGAGTGAGCGGGTGTCCCTGAGTAGGGTTTGGTTTTGTTTATTGCCTGGCGGAAAGGAGAAGGGATTTTGTAGCAAGTACCTGGAGGAGAGAGATGTCAAAAAGAGGCTACAGCTCCCGACTTCTGCAGGGAGGATGAGCAGGGCTCCAGAGCAACAGCAACAGCAACATTCTCCATGAAAATGTCTGGCAGCTCTGGGGACCAGGTAACAAAACAGACAAGTGTAGTGGAAAAGGCACTCCCCATACCCTCCATTTCAGCCAGAATTTCTACATTAGGTCAGAGGCAAGCAGGGGATCCTGGGACCTGAAAGGTCTGCTGCTTAGGGACACCAGGGCAGGAGCAGGAATGGGGCCTATGGACACCCGCGGGTGGGAATGCTGATGGAGGTGAGGCTGGCAGGAGACAGGCCAGGTGCACCCCTAAAGCGCAGTGAGACAGCATCCGACGAAGCTGCAGAACTGGGAGTTTCATGTTATTTTTGTTTTGTAAGCATAGAGAAAGCTGCTTTGGGGAAGAAACAAAACACTCCTTAACCTGAATCCTGGCTAATCCAAAATCAATACATGTTGCACTATTACCCAACTCCAGATGACCCAGCAGCCTCAGAGCCTTGTTGTTACTGCCTCAGTGATAAAAGTGACCAGTAAAGCATGGTCATCATTACCTTGTCAATAGTACCCCCTCCCAATCCACTGCCCCAAGTCATTCAGGCATGTGCTCCCCACTCTCGAACCCATGACAGACCCCCATGGTGAGCTTCCCCAACCTCAGACGCCACTGCTCCCAGAGACTTGCTCGGCCATCTCCAGCTGGAGAGCCATTTCTCCAGAAATATGTTGGCTCTTTGAATTCATCATGAAACAGCTGGATATCTATATAGCCTCGTGCATTCAGGCATAGATAAGACTTTATTTCCTGAGGGACTCTATGGCAATGGAACTACTTATGATTCTCTGTCAATGGTTGTCCACCACTGTTCTGCTATGTCCGTCCTGTCTGTCATTTCAGCGACCGGCTCCTGGAGCAATGGTAATCTGAGACACAGCTCCTGGTCCCTCTTCCAGCGTCATCATAGCCTGGGGGCGCAGGAAGGATAAATAATAATTACAGCGCCACTGTGTCAACAGGACGGTATTTTGTCTTGCTTGGTTTGTGTTTTGCTCATTCGCTGCTAAACCATCATTGGTTACTTGGGTACACGAGGGAATGGAGGAACTGTTGAACAGGAAAACAACAGGAACTGTCACTCAAGCAAAGCCCTCTGTGCTGCTACCCAAGGGAAGGCTTTGAGGGTAGAGAATCAAGAGTTGGATTTTTAACTAATGGCAGACATCAGCCCCAAACGAAAACTGACCAGGATCTTGCAAAGAGTGTGCATGATCTTAGGACAGATTTCAAGGCCAATGAGTTACAGAAAAGATCTTGAGGCCACAAAGCATCCCAAAGGGTCCTTTGTACTTCTGGGTAACAGGTATGAATATCTTCCAAATGAAATAAAATCCTGTAGATTTGCGATAGCTAATAAATGAATATTTCTAACATTTCTCAGTATTTTCCATTGATTATGAAGCAAAATAGCTTATTTGCAATTATTAACATTTTATTGATTCAAAAAAATGTTTTTGTGCTACTATTGCACTTTATTCTGCCCATATTTTTTATTATCTACCATGCTGGATAAATTACTGATTTTCAGTTAATAAAAACTTCCCTAGACCTTCTGTAAAGCATAAAAGAATCTCTGATTCCTAAATGCTGTCGGTATCAAAGCAGCCAGAACTCATCCTCCCTGGGAGACGTGGTGACGACAGAAGACGCTTCGGTTTCTGCCCTTGCCCTCATGGCCTGATGAGAATTTGCTTCCATTCTTAGTAACCTGTTGGGTCTGCACAACCCATGCCTGCTGCTCTTCCTCATCCCCGCAAGCCTTTCCTCAGATCTGACACAGACTTCCTGAGCTAAACCCTCTCCCAGGAAAGGGCCCTATCTCCTCTTCCCCTTCCCTGGTCATATGGAGACCTGAAGTCCTAGACTTCCAATGAGAGTAGTCCTGACTTGATGCAATATTATTTTTTCACTAAAAATGAGTTTTAGCCGGGCGTGGTGGTGGCTCATTCCTGTAATCCCAGCACTTTGGGAGGCTGAGGTGGGCAGATCACCTGAGTTCGGGAGTTTGAGACCAGCCTGACCAACATGGAGAAACCCCGTCTCTACTAAAAATATAAAATTAGCCGGGCGTGGTGGTGCATGCCTGTAATCTCAGCTACTCGGGAGGCTGAGACAGGAGAATCACTTGAACCTGGGAGGCAGAGATTGCAGTGAGCCAAGATGGCGCCATTGCACTCCAGCCTGGGCAACAAGAGTGAAACTCGGCCTCAGAAAAAAAAAAAAAATGAGTTTTCATCCTATTTTTTGAAAGCTGCACTAGGGACATTGCATATAAGAAAGAGCTCCATTGTGAAAATGTCCTATCACCTCGTAACCTTGGCAAGCCCACACTCCTACAGTCCTTCCTGTGGAAACGCAGGGGACACGGCACAGAGCCCTGGCTGGCTGCTCAGCTCAAGTGTCCCAGCCCAACCCCACCACACAGCAACTCTGCCAGCCACTCCCCAGGAAGCTCTCCAGGTATGACTGTTGCTGTGCAGCACCACTTGGGAGAAAATACCTTACATGTATAACCAAGTGAGAATTAATTTTAGAATTATTTAAGAATGTTTACATTGGAAACAGTTGTCTCTTGACCTAGGAACTGGAAAATGAGGCTGTTGTTGTCAGGGCCCATACCCCTCCATAGGCAGTGTCACCAGCAAGGGTGTGGACGCATCCTGCTCACTAGATCATCAGCCACCTATGGCCGAGAGGCGGGTCTAACCTTCCCCACGTGTGGCCAGGATGATGTCACGTGTCCCTCCAGCCCTGGAGACCACATTTCCCAGCCTCGTGGGTGGCTGGGGTGGGGAGGGGGTCCTGAGAAAGCTCTGGGAAATTGATTGTGAGCAGAAGTGACGCGCATCTTACTCAGGCTTGGCCCTGAAGCCTCCCATGGGATCCTCCATGCTGTTTTTCTCCTCATTCACCTCCTGGATTCACAGAATCCAACTGAGAAACCCAGGGCCCAGGAGGATGGCAGGGCCACGTGATGGAAGGGCCGTGGATCTCTGAGTGATGGTGTAGGGTGCAGCACCCCACCTTGACCTACAGCCAGCCCTCATGGATGGGGATGCCAGAAAGAAAGAGCTTTGGGGCTGCGGGTGGAAGCCGATTCCCTGGACCAATACATCACAGCATCTGCCAAGCCCCTGCCAGGGACTCCAAAAACCTGTGTTGAATGGACAAAATCACCAAGTGAGTAGAACACGAAAAGATTTCCTGACAAAAGAGTTGAGAACGAAATGGCCCTGTGCCCAGATGTGGGTCCATAGGGCAAATGACCCCACTTAAGGTGTCAGGTATCCAGCTCAGTTCCTGAAGCTGGATTGGTGACCAGGGCACCCAGCTGCAGTCCCAGCAGGACCTGCTTCCACTAATCCCAGGCACAAGAGACCTGGGGGACATTCTCAACCTTAAGGAAGCAGTGAAGCGGCCTGGAACCATGTGCCTAGTTCTGTGCTCACTCTACCCCACCCGACCAGGGTGAGACGCACACAGGAAGGCACAGACTGACCTGTGGTCTTGTAAGAGCCAACCATAGGCTCTTTCCTCAGGGAACAGGGCCCAGCGAGGGGGTGGCACTAAGCTTGCTCTAGTTGGCAAAACTCCACCAACCTCCAACACACGCTGTCCTCGCCTCACCTCCAGCCCAGTCAGCATAACCTTTAGACCACAAACTTTGTCAAAGGTTACACACACAGCACACAGGCCTGGCTTGCCAGGGAGGGACAGGCAGCAAGCCAGTGGCTTTTGCCAGCAGTCCCAGCCAAACCTTTGTGACAGGACACTGTAGAAGGTGACTCCTGGGACAGAATAGATAGTGTGGTAAGGGTACAAGTGAATTGATGCATTCAAGGGCTGTTTCGAGTCCTGGGGGTGCAGAGATGGAGAGACTCCCTGAGGAGTTTGCAGCTGAGAGGGAAAACCTCACCAACAGACCACTGCAACTGGCACAAGCGAGCACCGCCAGGCATGCATGTGCCCTGTGACATCAGAGCACAGAGGAAAGAATACGCAAAAGGTGGTCAGGGGAGGCTTCTGGAGAAGGTGTGGTTTGCATTGTGGGTGCCCTGCTAGCCTGACCTTGGGTCTCTGTTTTCCCACAGAGCTGCAGGCCCTACTGCAATGCCGGGCTCTGCCTGAGGATGCTCCCTGCACACTCCACTCAGCCTCTCCGGGTGGGTTCGGGAACTGATTGAGAGCCTGCCTGGGCAACAAAGCTGGTGATGGGAGGCACTGCAGAAGTCAGAGGGTAATCTCCCCAGCTTCTTAGCCTCCAGAGAAGACAACACCAAAGCCAGTTCTGCGCTTGCCCTTGAGGTCTCCAGGGACTGTGCCCCAGTGTCCAGTGGTGACAGCTCATCACATATAGCATGCACGTCCTACACTTGCCAGCACTTCCTGGAATAACTTCAAGAAGAAACCTTTGGAATCAGAGGAAACCCTTGGAGTCAAAGGAAAACCTTGGAATCGAACTTGTTGCAGGAACACAGATGACGGAGGAGGGAACACCCAGAAGAGAGTGAGAGTGTCAGAGGTTGGGGACCCGGCGCACACAGTCCTCGCATATGAAACAGCATCTGGTATATGAGAAACAGCTCAGGGCTTCTCCGCAGCCAGGGCTGTGTGGCTGAGAAGTAGGCAAGGGGCATGTCACAAAGAGGCTGGTGTGCACACTGCCATTTCACCCATGTGTATTACGAAAGCATCCATCCAAAGATGTGTGCAAGGAGGCACATAGCAGCTTTGTTACTCACTATTGCCAGCTGGAAAGCATCCAGGCATCCATCAACAGCGCAGCACTACCTCTGTATGCTGGAACACTCCTCAGCAATTAAAAGGAGCCAACTGCAGATGCATGTAATCGGCCACACAGATGAATCAATAAACCGGAAGCGTGTATACTCTACGATTCCGTTTATACGAATTTCCAGAAAAGGCAAAGCTAAGCTATGTTGACAAAATGCTGCCAGTGTTATCTTTGGGGAGTTGAAGGTGGGGATTGGCTGGGAAGGGGCAGAAGGGAACTTTCTAGGGCAATGGTGATGCCCTATATCTCTATAGAATTTGGATTATGGAAGCGGATGCATTTGCCTAAATACATCAGATTGTTCTGTTAATATATGTTCATGTCTTTGAATGAAAATCTGACCCCTTCCCCCCAAAAAACAACTGCTAACAAATACTGAAATCTAGTCAATAACATTCATGCTAAAGTGTTAGGGTGGCATGTACTGATGTCTGAAACTTCCATGCAATGCATTAAAAAAATGAGATGGACATGGTGATAGGGCAGAGAGATGGAGACATGTGGTAGAGCAAAGATAGTAAAAGGTTAATCATGGGATCCAGTTGTCAGGAGGATGTCCACCTACACTGTGAACACAATTCTTCACTGTACAATTATGTCAGCTTTTCTGCATGTTGTAAAGTGTTTATAATAAAATGTTAACAGAATAAAGGAACTAAGGTGCCATGCCAACATCAAGACTGACACACATTGCAGCAGAGGTATGGGGGCTCCTAAGGGTGGGTGACACCATCACACTGATGTTGAGAAGGGCTAGGGAGGAACCAGGTTGGTGTCATGCAAAATGGTTGTGAACACAACAGTTAGCAAGCTGTCTTGTGCTTCACTGAGGAGGAGCATCAGTGAGATAGGTGTGGCATCTGGAGACTCCCAAAATGCAGGGGTGCCAGGACCCAGGGGCAAGAAGTCAGGGTGACACCTGGTTCCTGGCTTGAGTTGCTCGTGGATGTGGCCTAGATCCTGAGCTTTAGAAGAGACAGCTCTGGGCATCTACAGGACAGGGTGGCCTGCCCCTGGGCCTTCAGCCTCTGTTAGTGACTGTCCACTGGAAGCACTTAAATACTCCGAACTTCAGAACTTAAATACCCAACACTCAGAGCCAAGCATGTGTCTTTTCCCTGACAGTCCCAGGAACGGCCTGGTGAGAAGGAGGTGGGGAGAGGGAGAACTGGTTGCCTGCCTGTTGTACTGAGCTTGCCTTGCCCAGAGCTCCTCTGCAATGCCCTTGCCCTCCCACCAGCAGCACCCACTTTTCCTACACATCAGCTTCAACTGAGGACGCTTGCAAGTCTTATGTCCACCCTCTGTGCTCTTCTTTCCTGTGGGTGGGGATTCCCTGAGGATGGGATGCTGCTCATCCTCAGTTGGGCCTGCATTACTTCAGGGGAGTCAGGCAGGCCACCAGCCATGGCTCATTCCAATGGGAGAACCTGGCCACCTACCCAAAGGTGCACACACTAGCAGGCGGGCAGGCTGGAATCCAAGGCCAGTGTAGGTGGACTCTAGAACTTGGACTTTTTCTGCTACTTCCATGTGATGGCAAGCAGTGGGAGGAAGAGGAAATATACAGCAATTTATTATTTGCAAATGAGAACTTCCCCAGGATACTGAAGCCCAGGACAAGGGTGTGGTTTCAGATGCTCTGGGCATTTTGTCATCTGTGTGATTTTTCCCTTTCACTGGCAAAGGTGAGAATGTGTAAATCAATTATATAATGCAAAAAAGAGTTACCAAGCAAGTATTCACTGGGAGAACAAGACCCATTTAAAAAACAATGGGTTCGCATACTGGCATGATTTTCCAAAGTGGTATATTCAATTCTTTTAAAATAAATGTTTTTCCAGTTCTCCGTATGGAGGGCACCAGCTGCCCACGACCACAGTGACTTCCCAAGTATACTCTGGTGAAATGTCTGCTGGACTCTGCTGTCCCAGTTGACCCACACTGGAGCCTCAGCCCTGGCCAGCTGAACGAATGTGCTGGAAGGAGCCATCAGACTCACCCACAGAACAGCTTGAACCTAGAGACTACATGTAGCAGGGGTTATGGAAATCCCCAGCTTAAACAAAAGAAACTGAACACAGTGACCTACTCCAGGGCCCTGCAGAGGGACCACAGGCTGTGTCTGAAGAAGGATATGCCTGAAAGGACCCTGGATGCCCCCATTCTGCTCAAGAAGACAACATGGCCCAGAGCATGGATGCCTGGCTTCTGAAGCCAGACACTCTGGGTCCAGGTTTCAGTTCCCTGCCCTTACCAGCTCTGTGAGCATACCTCAGTTAACTCATCTGTGTCGTGGGGATAGTAACTGCATTCCCCTGTGTGGTAGTAGAGACCCAGTGGACCCTACACATAAGGTGTCCTGCACGCAGCCTACCCTAGACAGCCCCCAACGCATGCTGGTACCACTGTCGATGTTCCCACAGATGAGAAGCCATAGAGTCACAAAGCCAACAGGAATCCTACCCAAGTCTCTGGGGATATCCAAGCCTACAATTGTTCCAGCTTCATAATTGCCCGGACTGTTCCCATCCACTTTCTCTACTGCCTGTGAAGGAAGTCCCAGGGCAGCTATAAATTTTGGCAGAAAAAAAAAAAACACATCACTAATTATAATCCTAATGGCTTCTCTAAATAAATGAGGGGCTCAACAATCCAGGGGTTGCAACGCAGGTGTCCAAAAGAATGCAACCTTTGATTATCGCAGACGTGATGCTGTGCTGTAGGAGCCAGACTCAAACAAACGCACCCTGCATGTTGCAATGATATACCTTCTAAGATAGATGAAAGTCAGCTATGGTTTCAGAGATAAGGATGGTGACCAGGCTTGGAGGGTGGTTGGCACTCAGAGGGAGCCTCTGGGGGCTGATATTGTCCTTTCTCAGGCTGACAACACATTTGGGTTCACCTTGGGAAAATTCATCATGTTGTTCAATCCTGGTGTGTGCCCTTTTCTATATGGAAGAGATATTTCAATAAAAAGAGTTCCCCTAAAATGCAATGATTCCCGCGTTGTCACCTGGAGAAATATCCAGGAATGATCAGAGAGTAGAAACAGTATTACAAACAACAAGAAAAACATAATTATGCAAAAATTCTGTGGGCCAGTGCTGGAACAGCTATGAGTATCATTTCAAATATCATTTCAAACATCAAGACTGGTCGCAGTGGCTCACGCCTGTAATCCCAGCACTTTGGGAGGCCGCGGCGGGCAGATCATCAGAGGTCAGGAGTTCGAGACCAGCCTGGCCAACATGGTGAAACCCCGTCTCTACTAAAAAATACAAAAATTAGCCAGGCATGGTGGCAGGCACCTTAATCCCAGCTACCTGGGAGGCCAAAAAAAAGTTTTCTTTTATAATAAAAAAAAATTAATTAAAAAAATTTAAAAAAACAAAAACATCAAAGAGCAGTGGGAAATGGTTCTCTGTCACTTTTATTAGGCAGCTTACACACTTCCAAGCTGGCTCCCAATGCCCCTGCCCTGGTCCCAGGCCCCTTCTCTGGGTCACCAGCCCACATATTCCTTCCCCACCCTCACCCCTCTACCCAAAAAGGGGGACACGTGGCCCAGCCCCCTCAGCGCCTAGACTGCCTCCATGCCCATGTGACTGGTGCCCCGCCTTGATGGTGGCAATATTTTTAAAAGAATTTAAAAGATTAAAATCTAGGTTTTGAAAACAAACAAACAATTCACATGAAGCTATTAACTGCGGTTGCCACCAGGGTCAGCCTGGTGGAGATAAGAAGGAATGTTGACTTCTTCAATTAAAAAAAAAAGGAGCGGAGGCGGGTGGATCACCTGACGTTGGGAGTTCACAACTAGCCTGACCAACATAGAGAAACCCTATCTCTACTAAAAATACAAAATTAGCCAGGCATGGTGGTCTACGCCTGTAATCCCAGCTACTCAGGAGGCTGAGGCAGGAGAATCGCTTGAACCCGGGAGGTGGAGGTTGTGGTGAGCCGAGATCATGCCATTGCACTCCAGCCTGGGCAACAGGAGTAAAAACCCCTATCCAAAAAAAAAAAAGAAAGAAAGAGTTGTTTTTTTTAACTTTTATGTTATTTAACTTTTATGTTATTTTTTTTAATTACAGAAGAAATAACTCATTACTTTAAATCGTATATACAGTGTGGATACATTTAAAAACTCAGTGGTAACAGACTAATCAGAGCAACTCTGGAGAAATAGCTGGTTGTCCCGGCTTTTCAGTCAAGGACAAATCTTCTCCCATGGATCCTGGTGGGGCCACTCAGGGCAGAGCTCCAGGCACTGTACAATTTCATAATTGAGTTCATCTTACATTAGTGCAATTCTCTTTGTCTCAAAATGTTATGCGGGTGTTTCGGCATATTTGTTTATGTTTACATGGTCTTTCTCCAACTTGTTTGTAAGTTCCTGAGGCCAGATCCCAGGAGATGCTCTTTCCTAAGGGGTCTCTGCTCTCTTGGATTCTCCCAGCTTGTGACTGCATTTCAGAAGGATCTTTAGTAAGAGTATTGTAAGATTGAAACCCTAGACAAAGCTCTGTCTCTCTATAAAAACTCACAGGAACACTGGGCAGGCTGCTGTTTTTCAGAGACGGCCACAGCTGTGTGTGTATGTCTGGGTATATGTGCATATCTTATACCACATGCTCCCCTCACAATGTGATCAACACTCCTCCCCCTAGGGGGTTTTTGTCCTCACCCTTAAATCTGGGTAGTATATATGCATGAAGAGAGCCTGGCAGCGAGGATGCTGTGGGGTGGCCAAGGTGAGGTCATAAATAGCATGTAGCTTCCTTTGGGCTCTTTGAGGACTCATCCTGGGAACCCAGCCACCATGCTGTGAGAAAGTCCAACTAGCCATCCGGAGAGGAACTGAGGACCCAGTTGACAACCCACAAACCTGTCAAGATGTAAGAATGAATTATCACCAGTCAGATGTCCCAGCTTGGGCCTCAGACATGGTAGAGCAGAGAGGAGCCGTCCCCACCATGCAGTCTCCAAATTCCTGACCCACAGGACCCACTAGTAGTTTCTCACACTAAGTTTCCAGGTAGCTCACCACCAACACAGTTACCGACAGCTCTTGTCACAGAAGGGAGGCAGCAGAGAGACGGCATCCTTGGAAAGATCTGTTTTTGACATTGACAGGCCTGGAACTTCCTCCCCGCACCCCAGCAATTCCTACTGGTGAGCAACATTGTGAAATTCAGGCAAATTTCAGCCAGTAGCTTTGATAATCTCTGGTTTACCCCACTAGTTCCTAAGAGCTGTGCTGAAGTGTGATGGAAATTTGTTGCATCCTCAGTCCTCACAACCACCCCAAGAGCTGAGTACAACTCTCTCTGAAGAGGAGAACAGAGTCCTAGAGAGTCCAGGTGGCTGGTCCGCAATTACCAGCTCCCCTGGCAGAGGCCAGCTTCTGGGACTGCGGCATCAGCATAATCCCTCCTCCCAGAGCCTAGCTGGCTTCTTTAATGACTCTCTGCTGCCAGCTCCCACACACAATCCTATTGTGGCCCAGGGGCCAGGCAGCCCGGCCAGCTGAGAGCGGCAGCTGTTTCCCAGCTGCGGGCAGTAATGAAGTGTTGTACAACCTACATCTCCCCACTCCATAAAGCACATCTGGGGCCCACGCTTCTTTCAGGGACCCCCCCCCCCTCGCTTGACACAGCTGCCTGGGAATTGAGGTCCAGCCACCCTGCCTAAGCAGATGGCCACAAGACGGGTGACGGGAAGGCTCTTTCCCAGAGCTGGTCTGGGTAGGCTCAGTCTTGTGGCTCAGTATCCCATGGGACTCTGGTGCTCAGATGGGGCCATGAGCTGTGCAGGTCACTCTGTACCACACAGCTTTGTCCAGGCCAGGCTCATCTAAGCCCATGTCCTCCTTGTCCTCAGCACACTGGGTTTAGCAGTCCCCTGGGCCAGGGGCAGGATCATGGGGAGGATGCAGGCTTTGAAGCCTGATCACCTGGTTTGGAGTCCTGGATGCCATCCTCACTGTGTGACCTCAGGTTGTGCAACCTCACCGAGCTTCATTTTCCTCTAAAGTGTAGCCAATCTGTTCACCTGTAAGATGGAGCTTCTGGAGCCTGCCCATGGGGCCACCAGAAGATTCAAGGGGACATTTATGTGGATTGCCCAGCACCCTTTCCAGTCTCAGGATGAGCACATGTGTGCCTGTCTGTGGTTGTGTGTGTGTGTGTGTGTGCGTGCATGCCTGTGGTTTTGTGTGTGTGCATGCCTGTGGTTTTGTGTGTGTGCATGCCTGTGGTTTTGTGTGTGTGTGTGCATGCCTGTGGTTTTGTGTGTGTGTGTGCATGCATGTGGTTTTGTGTGTGTGTGTGCATGCCTATGGTTTTGTGTGTGTGTTTGTGTATTTGTGTATGTGTGTCTGTGTTTATGTGTGTGCGTGTGCATGACTGTGGTTTGTGTGTGTGACATGTGTGTGTCAAATGGACCTGGTTTGTGTGTGTGTGCATGCCTGTGGTTTTGTGTGTATGTGTTTGTGTGTTTGTGTGTGTGCGTGACTGTGGTTTTGTGTGTGTGTGTGCATGCCTGTGGTTGTGTGCATGTGTTTGTGTGTGTGTGCACGTGCACACACTGGGAGAGATGTGCTGCTATGGCTCGGTGCCAGTCATGAGTGTGGGCCTCTGCAAGGCAGGGGTCCCCAGGTCCTGCTGCCCCATGCTGGGCCCCAGGTCACCCATTGCTCCTTCCTACCCAGCCTCAGGAAAACCATCAGCCACATAGTTGGGCAGGGACTTTTAATGACTCCCTGTTTGAAGGAGCTTTCCAGAGTCCCTCCTGACCTCCCCAGTGGCTAGGGGCCAAGTGACCAGAGCTCCCAGTGACAAGGCGTAGGCCTAGCCCATGTGGCCATAAGCCTCTGACTCTCTAGGGACCAAGGGGCTCTCCAGGGGATAGTGTCAACGCCAGACTTGACTGTGAAGGTTTTCTTGGAGGCTGGGGCAGAGGAACAACCCTGGCATCTGAAGTTTGAGACGTGCCTCTCTGAGTTTCCTGCAGCTGAAATTGCCATCTGTTCTCTGCTCAAGCCAATGGGGGAGGCCTGGGGAGATGGCACCATACATCCCAGAACTGTAGGTCATTTCCTTTCTAGAGGGCACCTCTCAGCCGTAGCACAGGTTTGCAGAGTGAGCAGTAAGGAATGGCTCTCTGTCACTTTAATTAGGCAGTCTTTGAGACTTTTTATTTCCTTCCTGTAGTTTCCTTTTCCTTCTTGCAGCTTTTTAAATGCCCACTTTTCTTTTAAAACAGGATCTCTGAGCCCTGGAAACTGTAGAGATGGTTCTGAGTGTCAACAACACCTGGGAGGTGGCACAACATCATTTGCACATGTGTAAATGTGCATGTGTGCAGTTTGTGTGTGCATGTGCATGTGTCCACGTGTGTACATGTGTGTGCATATGTGTGCGTGTGTGCACACATGTGCATAAACACATGTGTGTGCCTGTGTGTGGTTTTCTTGTATGTGTACACACAAGCATATGTATATGTCCTGTGTTAATGGCATGCATTTGTACATTTGTGCATGTGTGCACATGTGCCCAGTGGTTGCACATGTATGAACATGTGTAATTGTTCATTCATGCATGTATGCGTGTGTATGTGTTTACAGTTGGGCATGTGTTTATGTTTGCACACCCACGTGCATCTCCTGGGAACAGAGCCCACAGCTTTCGTCACTTTCTCAAAGGAGTCATGACCTTAGAGAAGGTTCTGCCCACTCTTCAAGAGTTGTTTACCTCAGTTGATTATCTGTCTGTTCATCTTTTTACTTTTCCATGGGAAACAGGCAGCCCTGTGCCTTCAACAAAAATGACGCCATTCAACTCCCTTCTTCCCCTCCAGACCCTTCCAAGACCCTTCTGGCCTTTGTCCTGGTTTAGCAGAGTCCCGGATTCCAAGGTGGCCAGCAGAAGCAGGTCAGCTGCTTCCGCCACCAACGCCTATCCGGAAAGCAACAAGCAGTGCCCTGAAGGCTGCCCCAGAAACCAGCTGGGGGCCCCCGCATCCCTGCTGTCTTCAGGACGATTCCACACAATGCTTCGGAGGCAGCCATCCTTCTGTCCCATGTTGCCATGGCTGCTGAGGAGGCCATGCCGGCACGTCTCCAGCCCTGGCCCCTGGGGTCTCAGCTCTGCACAGAACACTCTCCACAGACGTGTGGAGAAAGGCTCCACAGAAGCCAGCAGCAAATGGCCGGGACAGCAAAGACACACCCAGTGTTTCTGGCCATGGTAGCAAACTGCGTTCTCAAACTATCTGTAGCGAAGGACTGGGAACTTTTTGTCGGTCTAGCCAATTCATTGCCAATGGACACTTTTGCGAGATATATTTGCTGAAATGAATTGCTAGAAAAATGACCATGAGCTTGGATGTTGCTTCTATAACCTAGTGCTGTAAAAGTGTCTGCTCACTCTCAATTTCTGTGCTTACCTCTCCATGGCCCAGTAACAGTGGGCAGCCCTGCACCCACCCACACGCCAGGCTTTGTGGAGTCCTGGTGTGAAACTCATGTGCCTCCCCAATCCTGGGACTGGTGGAGTTGGGGTATTCATACTCCACTCTGAGAAGGATCAGTTGAAGAATTCCTGAGTTAACTCCTGGCACTTCTGCCTGTTGTGGGCTCAAACTAAGCAAGTGTGATGGTGAATTTTGTCAACTCGCCTGGCTAAGGAATGTCCATATAGCTGGTAAAACAGTATTTCTAGGTGTGTCTGTTTGAAAATTTCCAGAAGAGATTAGCATGTGAATCAGTAGACTGACTAAAGAAGTGGACCAATGCAGGTGGGCACCATCTAGTCCATGGAGGGCCAAGACAGAACAAAAAGCAGAGTACACTTAATGTGCTCTCTCTGCTTAAGCTGGGATATGCATCTTCTCCTGCCCTTGGACGCCGGCACTGCCGGTTCTCAGGCTTGCAAACTTAGACTGGAATTACATCATCAGCTGGCCTGGGTCTCTGGCTTGCAGATGGCAGATTGTGAGACTTCTCAGCCTCTATAATCACATAAGCCAATTCCCATGAGAAATCTCTGTATGTACGCACACACGGACATCAGATGGCCAAGGCCCACAGCGGGGGAGCAGGGCCCTGCCCAGTATCTGAGCCAGCAATGAGCCCTCCTAGGACAGGCTTCGGGGAGGGATTGCTCTGGTGTTTTGGTGGAGAAACGGTTTGTTGGTGGGAATTCCAGGAGTCAGCACATGCAGAGACCTGGAGGTACAAAAGGTCAAATCGTGTTAGGAAAGGCCAGGGCCCCAACACTGGTGCATCTCATGTGCGGTGCAGAGAAGGATTCTGGAGGTCCAGCGGGCAGCACAGCAGCCACTTGGGCTTGGAGTGAGTGGACAGTCTGTTCTCCGCTCCCTCCAGCAGCAGGAGAGGCGCGTGCGGTCAGCCCCTGCCTGTCAGCTCTCTGCTGAAAACTGGGAAAGCAGGTGATACCAAATCCACAATCCTGCCCTCTGAAGGGTCCCAGCCTCCCTCAGTTCTTGGATGAGGGGCCTGAGGCTGGCTGGCAAAACCCTGCCTTGCCTTCTCCCAGAGCTGCCTTTCCCAGTGCCTGTGGCATCCACAACCCCTTCCCAAGCAAACCACCAAGAAAACAATAAAATCACATTGGCATTGGAAGTGGGCCAGACATCTGATTGCACGGGTGGCACCCCCTCCCACTTGTAGCTCCAGATTCTCTATCTGTCAGGCCAGACCTGGGGAGGGCTGGCAGCTGGGCTGACCATGGTGGACAGCTAGCCCTCCTCATGCAGCACCGAGACCAGGCCCTGCATCCCTTTAGCACTGAGTCTCTCTGATCAGGCCCTGGGACTTCTTTGAGGCGATTGCCAAGCCTGCAGACAGGCATTGGTTCTCCATCCTTGGGAGCCAGGATGCTCCTCTGGCTGTGGCCTCCAGGCAGCGTGTCCCTTGCTCCATGATGGAGCCATCTCTTTGGGTGCATGCCGCCCTCCCATTCTCTCCTCTCTATCATCCAGAGAAGTCTCACTGCCACCCTCCCCTGCTCTCATGGTGAAGCACCACGAGGACCAGACAAATCCTAGAGCTATGTCCTTGGCCCAGGGCCACACAGCCCATTGGCTTGGCAGGGCCAAGGCTGGGGCCTCATCCGTGTTGAGAACAGCTGTTTCTCCATCCCAGCTGAAAGAGCCCAGGCTGACATTCACGTCACAGTTGAATGAAGCCTAGAGTGACTCTCCCCAGCAGCAACTTTCCATCAGTGCAGCCGGCTCCACCCAGGCCCCCCACAATCCTCACACCTAGATCAGGAGCAATTTCTGCAGGAGTTGTGGGCATGAGGCAGAGGGTGCCCAGAGCCCCCGTGTCCCCCAGGGGAGTGGACTGGTGTGAGACAGTCCTCACCTCCTCCCTAAGCACTTTCTCTGCAGGCAGCACATTAAACTACCATGATGGCACCCTCACTACTAAGATAAGGAAACTGAGGCTGAGCGTGTCTGTGGCCTACCACACTTCATTAACTTCCCGGGGTTCTGACACCAGGACTCAGGTTTCCTGATTTGCATTTAAGTTGTCTATCCACAACTCAAGGGTCTATTTTGAGGAATAAAAATAAAACAAATATAAATGTTTTCCTCATGGGATAAGCACACATGTCAATGTGGTGTCTGGCCCTCCCCCACTGAGAGTGGGGTCTATGGGCTTTCCCTGGAATCTGGGATGGCCTGCTGCTTCCACCAAGGGCATATGATAAAAGCAATCCTTGGGGATTGGCCAAGGTAGAAAGGTAGAAGCTGGGCTTTTATGCGGCATCCTAGGGGCCACACAGCTTCTAACTTTTCCACCAACACCCATTCTGAAGTGCTGGGCCTCCATAGAGGAAGTCTGCCCTGAGGCCACCATGCTGTAAGGAAGCTCAAGCCACACAGAAGTGCTCCAGGCAGCTGCCCAGCTAAGCCTAGCCTTGCAGAGCTTCCAGCCCAGCCCTGAGCCCGCAGATAGAACACACCCAGGTGTTTGCATGCCCCAGCTATGGAGTCACCCCTCTGGGTGAGCTTTCCAGCAGCCCTGCCTGAACACCTGACTCACAGAACACATGAGCCCAGGGAAATAGGCATTGCTTTATGCCGTGAAGCATGGGCTAGGTAGTGACACTGGAACAGTGGATCCATCTGCAACAGGAAGATCCAGGCCTGCATTTCTCCAGCAGGCATGATCCACCATCACACACACTCTCAGCAGCCAGGCCTAAGCTGAGGTATGTAAGGGACTGCCCTGGGTGATGACTGAGGAGTGAGGGGATGATTCCAAACCCACCCCCTTCCTGCAAGGAGGCTAGAGTCGAGAAGATGGAAATAAATTGATAAATCACCTGTCACCCCACCAGAGCCCCCAACCATGAAACTCTGGAATGAGACACATAGGTGGTGATCCTCACATGCCCAGGACCGGGCTGGCCACGGTCAGTGAACTTAGCCCCCGGCCAGCCCATACCCTGGCCCCACCCCATGGTGGATGCCCAGAGCCTAGAGCTGGAGTCAAAGACACCATAAAAGCAGAGCCGGCGGCATTCCCGGGACAGTAGGGCTGTCTGTGGTGAGTCCCACAAATCGTGGTCCCCCTGAGGCTCTTAGACCACAGCAGACATAGAAGCCCTGCCAGGCAACTCTCTCCAAGGACACCAAAATTATTCTGTCACTCCTGGAGCTGCTGTAAACATTGTGAACCAGGCGAGAACCTCTTTGAAGTTCAAACCTTGCCTACCCACAGAAAGGGACTCTCCAGCCAGGCAGCTCTTCACAGGGCAATTAAGATGTTGTCTCCAGGTATCTGGGCAATTTGCAGGGTTCGCTGTGGCTTTTCCTGGCAGTCAGCTCTCTGGCTCCTGCCAGAAGGCTAGGTACAGACGGGCAGTAGCCAGGAGGCCCAGGGCAGGGGCTGCAGCCAGGGAAGTCTGGGACCCCTGGGGGCAGCAGGGCCAGTTTGGAGGCTGCAGACGCTCCCTCCCGCCACAGGGCTGTCTCAGGCCAGCCAGAGCACACCTGAGCTCTGTGCTTTGATGTCCTGTCTTTGCAGACAGCTTTCTTAGCTCTCACTGAAACTGTTAGAAGTGATTCTTAGCATGCCTTTTATCAGAGACCAGAAGAAGGAGTTGAAAGTGGGACTCTGGGGTTTTCAAAAGAATCTGCAAGACTGGGGAGGGGAAGAAAAACCGCCTCAAGCCCTGAAAGGAAGCAAACAAAGGTCTATAGTCTCCCCGAGCCTGGAGGCCACGGTCCCAGGCCTGTGATGTGTGTAAGGGGAGGGGTGTGCTCAGAAAAGCTGCTGGGTTCACAGCTTAGGGTTTGGGTTGTGGTTTCACTTGGATCCTGTTAGAAATCTAATTATAAAAACCAAAGGGGCAGGTTCTCAAATCCCAGGCAATGGGGCACCCACCACCCTAAGCCAGCTCTTCTGCCTGGGACCTCCCAGAGTGTGCCACCTCCTGGGCTCTGCAGGTGAGGTGGGGAGGGCTCCAGATGAACAAAAATGCAAAATGAGAGCAGACAGCTGCAGTGATAGCAACCCACAGCTGGGACTGAGTCCCACCAAGCAAGCAGAGGCCTGGACTCCCTGAGGCCACAACGACCCGGCCGCGGTTTCTCAGGCAGAAGCTGCTGCCACAACCCTTGTAGGCCCAGCTGTTTTCACGGTGCTATTTGCCATAAAGGATGTCTTTCTTCTGGTTTGGTAAGAGAGAGACCTTCTCAGCAGCCATCAGGATCACAGCAAAGCCCCTGGTCACCAGGCAAGCCAGGCTCCCAAGGCCAAAGACATGTGAGGATGATGTGATACCTGGCCAGGAATGAGGTATCCCAGGCCAGGTGCCTGCAGGTGTTGGGTAGATGAGGGAGACTGCACCCCACCCTCAGGAGCCACCACCCACGGCGCTGATGGACATGCTGGCCAGCAGCCTAGCTGGTTTTTATTGTAGTAAAATATGCACAACATAAAATTTACTGTCTTAATTCGTTGTTCAGCGTACAGTTCAGTGGCATTAAGAACATTCACACTGTTGTGCAACCATCACCACCCTCCATCTTCAAAACGTTTGCATCTTGCAAAACTGAAACTATCCCCATTAGACAACTCCCCAGCCCCCAACCCCAGCCCCTGGCAACCACCATCCTACTTTCTGCTTCTACGAATTTGATTGTAGCTGGGACACTAGCTACCTCAAATAAGTGGAATCATACAGTTTTTATCCTTTAGGTATCTGACTAAAGGTAAAGGTATTTTTAAAGACATTTCAAGGCTGGGTGCAATGGCTCATGCCTGTAATCCCAGCATTTTGGGAGGCCGAGGCGGGCAGATCACCTGAGTTCAGGAGTTTGAGACCAGCCTGGCCAACATGGTGATACCTCATCTCTACTAAAAATAGAAAAATTAGCTGGGTGTGGTGGCACGCACTTGTAGTCCCAGCTACTCGGGAGGCTGAGGCTGGAGAATCGCTTGAATCTGGGAGGCAGAAGTTGCAGTGAGCCGAGATCTCACCACTGCACTCCAGCCTTGTAGAGCAATTCTCCATCTCAAATAAATAAATAAATAAATATAAAAATAAAAATAATGACATCTCAATTGAATTGATAGAGTCATTTTACCTCTTTTGTCCTTTTTCAATTAATAAATAATAAAAATAACTATTTCAGTGTACTGTTCTATGAGCTTTAAGACATGTATAGATTGTGTAACCACCACTGCAACTGGGATACAGAGATGTTCTATCCCCCAAGAAAACTCCCTGTACCTCCCCTTTATATTCACAACCTCCCCCACCCCAACCGCTTACAACTACCAATCTACTCTTTCTCCCTAGGTCACCTTTTCAGGAATGTCATATACATGGATGTGTAGCCTTTTGAGATTGCCTTCTTTCACCCTAATGCCTTGGAGGCTCATTCAAGTTGTCGCAGGGATCAATAGTTTGTTCTTTCTTACCCCTCAGTTGTGTTTCACGGTATGTCGGAGCATTTGGGGGCCTGGCTTGCTTCACTTAACATAACATCCTTAAGATTCATCCGTGGCCAGGCGCGGTGGCTCAAGCCTGTAATCCCAGCACTTTGGGAGGCCGAGGCGGGCGGATCACGAGGTCAGGAGATCGAGACCATCTTGGCTAACACGGTGAAACCCCGTCTCTACTAAAAATACAAAAAATTAGCCGGGCGCGGTGGCGGGCGCCTGTAATCCCAGCTACTCGGGAGGCTGAGGCAGGAGAATGGCATGAACCCGGGAGGCGGAGCTTACAGTGAGCCGAGACAGCACCACTGCAGTCCAGCCTGGGAGAAAGAGCGAAACTCCGTCTCTAAAAAAAAAAGAGAAAAAAAAAAAAAAGATTCATCCGTGTTGTGGCCAGGCACCTTGGCTCACGCCTGTAATCTCAGCACTTTGGGAGGCTGAGGCGGGTGTACCACAACATCAGGAGATCGAGACCATCTTGGCTAACATGTTGAAACCCCGTCTCTACTAAAAATACAAAAAATTAGCCGGGCGCAGTGGCATGCACCTGTAATCCCAGCTGCTCAGGAAGCTGAGGCAGGAGAATCGCTTGAACCCAGGAGGCGGAGGTTGCAGTGAGCCGAGATAGCACCACTGCACTCTAGCCTGGCAAAAGAGCAAGACTCCATCACACACACACACACACACAAAAAAAAAATTTCATCCATGTTGTAGCATGGGGCAGAACTTCATTACTTCTTACGGCTGAATTACACTCCATGTATGTTGTTTTAAAATGTGCTGGGGATTTGTTTCAATCAGGTGTAGTAAGAAATTCAGACACAGAAAAGACTGTTAGGAAGGAGAAAGTTAATATTCACAGACTCTGGACACAGGAGGCAGGGCACGCCACACCCCGGGCCACACAAGGAAGCACCAGGGTGGGTCAGGGGGCAGGGGTGGGGACGGGGGCAGGGGGTGCAGACGTGGGCAGGAGCCTTTATTGGGGTTTCCGCAGGAAGGAACAAGCGAGGCAGGGTAAGCAGGCTTAGGGTTGGCTAGTTTGCATGATTTCAGCAGGCTCTAGGGTGCAGGGGCTGTCCCTAGGTGTCTCGTACGTGCCCTGGGCTGATGAGTGCAGGGAGATAGTGCCCTGGACTGTGAGAGCCCCATAGAGGAGGTAGTTGGGGTGGCTTGGGACTGGCTGGTTTGCTTATGAAAGGGATGTTTGCAGGGGAACTTCACTGGAAATCAGCTGGTCCCTGGAACGAGCAGCCCCTCCAGGGTCAGCAAGGTCCCAGATGTCACAGCATCAGGAAATAGTAAAAATTAAAAACCTAATTAATACATATGTATAGACCACATGTTGTTTATCTACTCATCCATCGATTGCCTCCTGGGCTGTTTCTAACTTTTGGCTATTGCAAATAACGCTGCTAGCAACATCGACATAGCAGTGTCTGTCCAAGCCCCAAGCAGCCTAGATATATTTAAAGTGCAGTTAGGAACTTTTTTTTCCCCAGAAAATGAGGAAGGAGGTAGCAACAAAATCAAGGGTTGAAATACAAAATAGTCTTAACTCACAGAAGATGTTTGGGGCTAAGTTCTCACCCCCAGCTCCATTTTTTCCATCATTCTTGGCCGAAAGAATCAGAAACCCTGTTTCTAGACTGATAGCCACCACCCAGCCATGGCTCCTTTCCTGAAGCAGAAAATGACCCGGGTCTAGCAGCGTGGCTCTGATTACAGACAGGGAGTGAGCCATATCAGGTGCACTGAGAGCCCTTTGCCAACACAAAAAGCTACTCGCAAGCCCAAAATACTGAGGCACAGTGACCTCTGAGGCCGGGTCCCCTTTGCCACTCCACCACTGAGCCCCTGCCTGTCTGACCACCAGGGCCAGCACGTGGATCCCTGTCTCCAAGGTGAGGACAGCACCCCCGTGGCCCTTCTGGCCTTGTTGGAGATATTAATGATGCAGTATCATCAGAAGTCCGAGAAATAAGGACATAGATAACGACTAGGTCTTTCAAGGAAAGAAAATACTGGTCATTACTAGAACCCTTGATGACCAGTTTTTCAGATTTTTTCATTGTACTCTTTCTTGGGTTATTTTCAAAAACAGTCAACCCATGCACAACAATGCATGTGATAACCATCTTCTAGCATTAAGGAGGAAAGGCACCTCTGACTCAAAATCAGCCCAAAGATCACTAAACCCTGCAGTTGCTGAGGTCAGCTGGAAGCTCTTCCTCCTCTAAGCCCCAGCTTCTCCTCGCTCAGACGCTAACCATGACTCTTGTGAATTTCTCAAGCGGCTTGGAGAAAATGAGAGAAAGAAAGGATGTGGGTGCCACTTTGGAGATGATCAAGGAAAACTGAAAGACGAGTTAAATGCTTGGACAGTGCCCTCCAGCCTAAGGGAAGCTCTCCTGCAAGTGGCCACTGTGGCTGGAAGTCCATGGAGCCATTTGGCTTCCACTTCCTCTCTGGTTTTTCTGCATCCCTCATTAAACTTGGACTGTTTTGTTTTGTGTTGTTTTGTTTTTGTTTTTGTTTTTGTTTTGCCCCTTCCCAGGGCTTGCCAGCAAGAACAGCAAAAAGAGAAAGGACAGTCTCAAATTCAGAGAAATTAAGCTAATTTGAGGAACATGGGTCTTGATAGTGTTCTCATTTATATTTCCAACTCATTGGTTTCAATCACTGTAATACTTGACATCATGGAGCCAAACAGAAACATTCCTCGTTCATTCACTGGGCAAGTATGTATTGAGCATCTACAAGGAGCCACACTACTCTAGGTGGTAAGGATTCATCAGTGAGCAAGACAGAAAGGCTCCTGCTCTTCCTGAGCTTATCTACGGGGAAACAGGAGTGCACTGAATGATGGAGTTTCAGGGAGGACTGTGAACTTCAAAGAATGATAAAGCAGGAGCCAGGTATGTGAAGTGGAGGCAGGACCTCCGTGAGACCCTGCAGCTCAGGCATAGGATGCTCCCCACTGAGGGAACCTCAAAAGGAGGCCCAAGTAGGGGAGCTGTCTGACAGAGTTCATCTAGGGCAGCCTCTGAGGCACAGAGCAAGGTGAGAGCAGGGAAGAGTGTCCTGGAAGGACATCGGCAAGATCCCCAGCAGGGCATGTGACAAGGTCTCCAAGAGAGGGAGCCATAATCAGAGCTAGGCCAGGCTGAGGCTGCAGAGACAGTGCCGGGAAAGCTGCTCCCCAGAAGCTGGCGTGTCCCTTTCAAGGGCTTCGTCTGACACCAGTCCCATCCTTGCTGCTCTCGGTGACGCATGCACACACACATTCTGCTGCCTGCTGGACACGACTGGAAGGGTCCAAGCTGGGAAAGCCACAAATGAGAGATCAAGTTAGAAGACAAAATGGATGGATTAAAGTGTGAACAAGGCCAAACCCTCCCTCCCAGCCATGCAAACTCCACTTGGTTTTACCTCAAGGAGAAGCGTTTTGAAATGACATGCAGATAGAGAGGGGTGTGTGTTCATAAGGAGATCTGTAACTTTAAATGCAAAGCAACATTTAAAAACATGTAGTAGGTTATCTTTTTCTCATGCAAAGTTCAAGTTGACAAAGACCTTTGGGGATGGAACAGTTGCATAAGCACGGGATTAGCTGTACTTGATGATAAATAAATGAATGACAACGAGTGAGGCAAGCCTAGTATATACCGAGCAGCTACCAGCACCCCTATGTTTAAGACTTAGCTGAAACCCAGCTTTTGGGTTTTATTTGAGCCTTCCTTGATTTTCTGTCACTCCCACTACACACCTGGGTCTTCTGCCACCCATGGTCCATGAGTCTTCTGGCCTACCCTCGGGGGCACCTTGGCATTCCAATCTTCTGTTTCCATGCCTGGCTTCCCCATACAGCTCAGCTCCCCTGGGTCTTCGTCATAGCCTGGACCTAGCTTGGAACAAGCAGCACATAATAGCTCAATAAATATTTGCTGAATAAGTGAATAGGTGGCAGCCTTCACCAGTGCTCTCTGGGTTAATGCTCACAGCCACCCTGACTGTGGGCATCGTTATTGTTTCCACATTTACAGATGAGTAAATGGTGACCCAGGGAGGTCGGATCACTTCCCCTGGGCCAAACATCTGGCTAGTGACAAAAATAAGATTTAAACCTCAGTGAGACCAAATCCAGAGTCTACGCCTTTGGCTCAGTCTATGCCTTTGCCTCCTGTTCCTCTGAGAAAAACCTTGACTGAGTCTTAGAAGATTCAGAAAGATCCAGAGAGAGCCCGGGAAGCCAGTTGCTCTCATTGTTCGGTGCTAATGAAGGCTCTTTCCTTTTAGAAGTGGCCAAGAGTAACAATGTTAGGGCCAAAGTTTTTATTCAATGGATAATCAGTGAGACCTGAGTTTTATTCCATCCCTATCACTCACATCTTTGTGTCTCTGAGCAAGTAAATCACTTCATTTTTCGGGTACTCCTTTTCCTTCATTCAGTCATTCAACAAACACTTACCAAGTGCCCATGATGCACCAAGTAATGCATTGGGTGCCAGAGATGCAAAGATAAACATCCCTGGCTGCCTGTCTTCAGAAAGCTCACTAGCTAGCTAGGAGACAGGCCTGCAAATCAGCAATTCTAATGGAGGTTTATACAAATTCTACACAAGGTGCAAAGGAGCACAGGAAAGAGGACATAAGGCTGCAGAGGGTCAAGGGGTAGGGAAGAAAGGCTTTATGGAGGAGAGAGCCCCTGAGCTCTCTAGCAAAGTCCAAGGCCTGGAAGCTCCCTTCCAGCTGATGGCACAGGAATTCTGGATGCTGAAGTGCCATAAATGGAGGACTTGGGGGAAGGGGGACTTCTCCTTGAGCCTTTTGTGCTTTAGGGGGTGCCACAGCTAGTGGTCATCAAGGGGGCTTTGAAGCCAGCCTGGGTGGCCACTTCTCCCCAGTGTGACCCTCCCTACACTTCATCTTTGCATAGGAAATGCAGTTTCCCTAGCAAGTGCTTCACTGCAAACAGCAAAACCCTAAAGAAGGTGGAGAACCATGTCCTGAAACAGGCAGGGACCAGCAGTGACTTCCTGCCATGGGCTGATGGGATGAGGACACAGCCCCCAGGTCTGAGCATCCTGGACGCTGGCCCCCTGCATCCAGCATGACTCACTCAGACACAGACCTACTAAGAGTGGTGGAGACTAGTGGGGACAAGAGACCACGGTGCTCAGAGCTCTCACAATGACGGGAGCCAATGGAAGAGTTTCTGCAAGGCTGCTGCCCTTGCCTCTAGTGTAGGGCCTAGTGTTGCTATAGGTCAATAGCTCAGTGGGAGCTGAGAGGAGACTGGCACACAGTGCACACCCAGCACCCTTCACCAGCCTCAAGTGCAAAGGCTCAGGCTTCACTGTTCTGCCACCCAAATCCTGTGTGTGGCACGCAGGCCTGGGACCCCTCGATAATTCGTGCCTCCTTGGGCCCATGTCTTTGTCGGCCCCTTTCCCTGAGGGCAGGCAGAACCTGAGATCTGCATCTAACCAATAGTATATGGCAACCATTAAGGCAGTCCTCGGTTGTCATGAAAGTCCCAAATCAGCCGGTTTTGAGTTATCAAAAAGGAGATTATTCTGGGAGGGCCTGACTTAATAGATGAAAGTGCTCAAGAGAAGGATCAGGGCCCTTTCTGACATGAGAGACTTTCTCCCCATCACTGGCTTTGCAGAAAGAGCTGCCATGATGTGAGAGGGCCATGGGACAAGGACCTGCGGAGACCTAAGGAACCGAGAGCAGCCCCTGCTGACAGCCAGCAAGAGTGTGGGGACCTCAGTCTGGCAGCAAGAGGAGGTGAACTCTGTCAGCAACCTGAGTGAGCTTGGAAGCAGATTCTTTCCCAGTTGAACCTCCAGCCTCCAGATGAGACCTCAGCCCTGTGACACCTGTTTTGCAGCCTTGGGAGACCCTAAGCAGAAGACCGAGTCAAGCCGTGCCTGGGATCTAGATGTGTAGAAACTGTGGGTGCTGTTTTACCCTATTTAGTTTGTCTTGCAGCAGTAGAAAACTAATATTCCAGGGCCTTCTGGAAAAATGTCATTGCAGCCTAGCTAGATTGGTATCATTCTGCACCACACCCAGGCTCTTTCTAGTTCATGTAACCCCTAAAACCTCCAGGTCCCAGTAAAGACTGGGAGTTTTCAGGGATCTCTCCGGAATGAGCAGGGCCTCTGAAGATACCTAGATACCAACCTGGCCAACCCACACCTTGCCAGCCACTGCCATTGTACTGCCCAGTGTCACAGCAGATATGGCCCAAGTTGCATTCAGGCTTTTCCTAGTGGTTTGCAGGCTTGCTAGACTGTGCTGGACCAGAACGGATATTCCTACAACGCAAGCCTAGCTGGGTGTTCCTACCACATCCTTCTCCATCCCTGCGTGTCCCACTTAAAAGGGTTGCCAGGACCCCAGAGCCAGACCCAAGCCCTGCCCTCACCTTTCTTCCCTGTTTTTGGTCTGTAAGGAGCTGCCTCGTCCCACAGGATCTTTAGGTCCATTTCACTATAGTCAGAAATGTCTCTGAAGCACGAAGAAAGGCTGAATATCCACTAAACTGAATACGAGTTTTGTCTTTTGAGCATAAGCAACGTGGATCTCGGCGTGTTAAAAACGGACACATATGAATGCTTCTGGGCCCCTGCTGGGCTCACAGGTGGATGGAGTCTTGACCACAAAATCTGGGCCAGATAACTATCCAGAATGTCTAAACAGATCACCAAAGACAAGACCATCTCCAAAACGAAAAGTAAGAAAGCTGACTCTGAGCAGCAGTGCTAAAGCCCAGGCCAGAGCAACAGACATTGTGACAGAGGGCTTCAGTGCCCACGCTGGCCTGTTATTGGGCATATGCAGTTTAAGAAACCCTTACTTGTTTGCTATGCCTCCGAAGAAGCTATCAGGCTTAGAAAATCACAAAAGGGAACCAAAGGAAAAATAGGAAACTAACAAAATTGACAGCGTTTGCCAATGGCTTCCCAACACCGGCTTTGCATCAGCCAGGGAGGTTGTTAATAGGTGGAGCTGCTTCTGCTCTTGCTGTTTCCATGAAAGCGTCCGGTGTTTCTGTATTGCACATTCTGATTATGAAATTTTAAAACCGTAATAATGTCTAAAGTGACTATGACTAGAAGTATTCTTCTTTACGGAAACTAAAATCACAACTGTCAAGGGAACGGGTATGCCTGGGAATGCTGACTTCCCCAGGGCCCTTGCCAGGGCGCTTGCAGCCCTCTCCACTGCTCCTGGCAGCCACGCAGCAGTGACCTCATGTGTGTTTGCCCTCCAGGTCCACCAGCTGCAGTGACCTCGTCACAGGAATGCTGCACCACTCTGATCATTCAGCAGCCATCAATATCCAGGCAAGACCCTCCGCCAGCAAAGAGATTACAACTCGCAAAAGGCTCAGATAATCATTAGCATTTTTTAACAATAAAGTATTTTTTATTCAGCTATGTACTTTTTTAGACTTAATAGCATTCCACATTTAGTAGACTACAGTATAGTGTAAACAAACCTTTTTTCTTTTCTTTTTTTTTTTTTTTTTTGAGACGGAGTCTCACTGCAATGCCCAGGCTGGAGTGCAATGGTGTGATCTCGGCTCACTGCAACTTCCACCTCCCAGGTTCAAGCGATTCTCCTGCCTCAGCCTCCCGAGCAGCTGGGATTGCAGGCGCCTGCCACCATGCTTGGCTAATTTTTGTATTTTTAGTAGAGATGGGGTTTCACCATGTTGGCCATGCTGGTCTTGGACTCCTGACCTCAAGTGATCCGCCCGCCTCAGCCTCTGGGAGTGCTGGGATTACAGACGTGAGCCACTGCACTCGGCAAACGTAACTTTTATACGCACTAGAAAACCAAAAAATCCATGTGACCCACTCTATTGCAATATTCATTTTATCACGGTGGTCTGGAACCAAACTCACAATGTGTCCAAGGTATGCCTGTACAGTAAACTTGCACTATAAAAAATGTTTCTTAAAACTTTGGTGTGTTCTTCTTCATTAAGACACTAAATAGCAGTAATCTATACACTGCCCTATTGAAGTAGTGCTGAGCATACATGAACTATCAAGACGTTTGCAACAACCACCCTGAAAGAACATTAGCTGTGCTTCTACCAGAGGTCAGAGGTGCCATCAATACAGGGGATGGAAATGCTGAAGTGCAGTTAGATGTTAGTGAAAACCAAGATAGAATCTTTCCTCATATATGTTCACAAATCCCCTGGATTTTATCCGTGGTCTTGCCAGACCGTGTGGTGTCTTTTTCCATGTCCCCAAGCAGGATGACATAGTCTGCAGCATTTGCTTCTGGACCTGGTTCCGTGGAGACACCCAAGACTGGGCATCCCATTGTGTGCATGCACCTTTGTCTGGATATGAGAAAGAAGAGGAAGAGGAGGAGAAGGAAGGAAATGAAGAGGGAAGAAGGAAAGAAGGGAAGAAAAAGGGAGAGTGATAGAAGAGACTGTGGGGTCCTCCCCTCTTCACTTCATCAGCAAGGGGCCAGGAGGCAAGGACGGTAGGTTCAACTTGTCCATGACCTTCAGACCCAGACAGACCGCAGGTCCAGGGGCATCCCCGCACAGGCCATTAGGACCCGACCTCCACCAAAGTGTCGGAAGGAAACTTCACAAAGCTCCTCTGCAGCCAGACATTCTTTTCCAAGCCCACCTGACAGTCTCTGCCCCAGGGTCAGCTCCTGACATGGAGTGTCCTTGGTATGAGGCCCGCAGCCCCATCTGAGCCCACCTCCAAGCCTCCTCTGCTCTGTGTAGAGCCAGTGAAAGGGAACCTGAACAGAATGTGGACCACAGCCAGGGGAGGAGAGAAAAGCCCTTGGAAAGCACTAAATACTCTCCTTGTTCCAAAAGCCCCAAGGACAGCAGAATTATCTGGAAAATGAATTCCCAAAAATTGATTCATGGAGGGGAAAAAGAATTTTTCCTATGATTCTTCCTTCAATTTAAAATTTCTAGGCAAGTACACATTGCAGCCACATAATACACCCTTTCCCCATTAATAATCGTGATTTTCAGAAGAGAGGGTCATTTTTCCTGTTATTGTTGGTCACACCTGCCAGTAAACAAGCTGTGTGTGCTGTGTGGGGGTCAGGGCAGAGCATTCAGACTCTAAAAGCTAGACCCCGCGTGTCCATGACCTTGGGCTTGCCCAGCTGGACGGGTTTCCATGCACTCCACATCTGGATTCCAAGAACAGACTGACATACAATGTTCCAGAGCAGACTGATGTGGATGAGGATGCCCCATCAGAGAAAACATGGCCCATTCTCTCCCAAAGGCTAAATTTTTTAAAAAGAGGATAAATAATTACAAGCTACTTTTGCAATGTTTCTATAACAAAAGTGGGATTTGTAAATCTCTGAATTGTTCAAGGAGGCTTGTCCGCAACCCCCCTGAGTCATGACAGGAAAGGAATTATTTATAGCCCAGGACAGTTTGTTTACATACTTGCCTAGTTCCTGGGCAGAGTCCTTCCTCCACCTGCACAGTAAAAGTTGCTCATCAAAAATAGAAAATTATTGCTTCCTTTTCAACTTTCCCTGAAAGCACTGAGAAGAGGAAGGGGGAACACAAAATATATTTTTACTAAAGGGTTCTTTCCTCTCCAACTAAAATCTTATCCAAATGTTGCTTCCTTAATCCCCAGAAGGAAACAAAAATCCTGAGCTCTTTTGTAGAATGATTAGAGACAAAGTCCTGAGACTCCACACCTGATTGTCCCCAAGTCCCAGGGGGGTTTCTGAAACTGCCTAGGAGATGCTACGGGGGGCTGTGAGAATGTAAAGGAGCCCACCACCCAAGCTGGGGACCTTGAGACCGGCCTCTCTTTCATCCAGACCAGCCCTGCCTTTATCTGTTGTGCACAATGGCATTTAGACTGCTTCCACTGGTAAACTGGAGTTTGAAAGTGACAGGAATGGTTGATCAAGCAGGCCCTTGGGGCTCTCAGATGAATGCACCATTCTGTCACTTTGTCCTGTATGGTTGCCATCCATACAGAGAACACTGGGCTGAGCAGCCTCCTGCCCAGCCTGCTGGAGATGCCGTATCCACATTAGGGTGAGACCTAGAGGCACTAGGGGCAGCAGGAGGGAAGGGGGAAACCTGTTCCTTCCTGAGAGTTGTAATCTCCTTATAGAGAGAGATGATCCAGAGAGGGAGCTGGCGGGGTGGCATGCAGCTATGAAGGTGCTGAGCTGGCAAGAAAGCAGCCACGCAAAAGGTGGCACGGAGGGCAGGAAGCCTCAGCAACACAGAATAGGCAAAAGCCAGGACAGCTCCTCTGGGACCAGGGCAACTGGACATGCTCCAGGTAATGCAGGTAATGCAGGTAACGCAGCTGAGTGGGCACCAAAAGGCAAGAGCCATGTTAGGGAAGAGATCAGGTTGGTCAAATACACCACAGGCTGCTAAAAAGGGAGCTCTATTACTAAGCGTTAATCATAAGATTGGAGAGATTGTTGAGAAGTACTTCACACTTGAAGAAGACATCTTCAGGAGAAAATGAAAGGAAAATGTGGGTGGGGAGAAAGATCAGGTTATTCTATTTATTTCCAACTGGGTAATATGGTATATATGACACATACACAGATAGATAGTTGGATGGATATATATATATATCATAACGAAAAAGATCATCTCTCATATGAAGGTCTTGAGCCAGGACCCACATGCACCACACTCAAATATTATACCATGAATTTCCACAGACCAAAATCTTTAAAGCACCTACAACTGGAATTTTCTTAGACTAAAATAATTTGGCTAGGTAACAGAATTCAGCTACTTGCAAGAGTCAAAGGGGGACACGTTGTTTTATAAATTAACTAGAAACATTTCTTGAGCCAAACTAGAGATGGAGTTATTGACACAACCGGAGGGCAGAGCTCACCAAGGGCACCGAGACTGGCCGCTACTTAGCTCACCTAGGACCTCCCACGCCGCCCACAGGCCGCACCACAGAGCAGCAGGAGACACGTGTTCCAATGTTGACCGAAAGGCAGGTGGAGGCCAGAAAGCATGCTGCCCACTGACACTGGGCCCCAGCCACAGAGGCGGGACAGAGCCACCAGCTCCGCCGCTCCACCACCCCCAGCTCGCTGGGTAAACACACTCAAGCTGGAAGCCTGGTGTCCCGGCCTTCTCACGAGACTGCAGGAAGCAGGACGGACGAAGTTTACTAAAATCTAACATCCTATGGTACGTGGGATTTATTTTTTTTAGACACTATCCAGGCTGGTTTTGTTCTCCCCACTGTTTAACTGTATTTAGTATACAACCTGCAAATAAAAATATACCTGGGCTAGCCCTGATCCAGGGTTTGGAGGCAGTATGATCTCTGCAACATCTGCAGCAGAACCACTGGGGAATCATGAAGATTCCTGGCTCCTCCCTGCCCTGCATACACACTCACACACACACACACACCCCATTCATGCACCATACACACATCATACACATACCATACACACACAAACCACGCACACTGTAAACCCACATGCAGCACACACAGCACACACCCCATTCACATACCAGACACACACCATACACACATCATACACATACCATACACATACAGACCACGCACACTGTAAACCCACACACACCACACACAGCACACACCCCACCTACACACAACACACACACGACTCACTGTACATCTCACACACACTGTATGCCACCTACACATGCCCCCCCACACCATATACCACACACACACCATACACACCACACAAACCCACACAAGTACACTCCACACACGCATACACACACCATACATATACACATACATCCCACACACACATACATACAGCACAAATTACACACACACCACACATACATACACACACTATACACCACACACAATATACACCCTACACACACATACACACAGCACAAACTACGAACACACACTCACAACTACACACATTACACACACCACAAAAACTATACACCCCACACAGTATACACACCCACACACACATACACACAACACAAACTACACACACACCACAGAAACACAGAAACGCACATTATATGCACCATACAAGCTATATACCCCACACACAGCACACATTATACACCCTCTCCACCACACACACACACACACACACACACACACACACACGAGTCCTGTATTAGAATTGTTAGGAAGTGGCGCATAGTAACCTCCATTTTAACACCCAATCCTGAAGTTTGAGTCACAGCTTTTACATGAGCCAGGCTTCAAACCTTTAAACCCCTTTGATTAGTGGGCAGGCAGAGGGGAGCTTTAGTGGATAACAGCAAAGTGTGTCATGCACAGCACCCCATGTGGGTCAGCATCCCATGCCATTTTCATGACAGCCCTAGAAGCTGGGGATTGTCACTGTGAGTCTCAAACCCTACAGGTTTGCAAATGTACAGAATCCTCCTATCTCAGGAATGCCTATGGTTCCTGAAGAAAATAATATATACATGTAGCTAATCTTGGCAATTCCAGAGGCCAAAAAAAAAACAATGTCCCGCAGTCATGAGGTCATGGCCCTTCTTGTGGTGAGCTCATCAGTCCCAAGCGCCAGGAGGGCTCTCCAGGCACTATCTGAGCCTCACAACACCCTTGGGCAGCCCCACCTGGCCCTGCACTGCCTCCTTCCCTTCTTGCAACAAAAAATTCCATGTCAAGGCAAAGACTGATAACGAGGGTGATGTAATTAAAACTCCCCAGGACCAGACTCTCCACCCTGACTTTTCAAAAGGTCTATTCATCCCATCAATATCTTAGAAGGATGGGCCACATTCCTCCCTCCCAGTCTGCGGAAGCTATGGGGACAGGCCCAGGGGTGAGCTGCGAGCTCCCTCACCCCATGGAAAGGGCCCCTGCTCTGTCCCCCTCCTTTGAAGGTTTCTTCAGAGACAGAAGCTGTTCTTCCTTTGAAGGGAGGAGGCTTAGTGAGAGTGGGATGAGGAGGGGACTTCCAGGGACAAAGCTTTGCTGTGGTCCAGGAATTGTGGGGAACCAACATGTCCTGTTTCCCTAAATTACTGCAGGGAGGGGCTGCAGGGCCCCAGGAGACACCAGCACCCTCCTACAGCCTTCCCGGCAGCTCCAAGGCAATTTCCTCTCCCTTCTTCCCCTCCTTGGCCTTCCAGAGGGGTTTGAAGAGTCCTTCACCATGTCCTCTGGGGAGCACATGAAGATGATGACTTTTTTAGGCAGTGTCTCTTCTATTCACCTTGACTTTGGCAGCACTAATTTTTCAAAACCCATCTCAGTGTATATATACCTTCCTGTTTAATTTTATAAAAATTAGCTCACCAAACTCCACCCTGGAGTAATTCACCAAAGTCACAAATTCACTCGAAAGAATTTATCCAAGGAGTCTGTGGATGGAAGTCAAAGAGTCTGAGAACTTGAATGGGGAAAGAATTCCATCTTTATTTCCAACCACCCTCTAATTGGAATTGAGCCTTGTCTTCACTGTGATTTTAAGTACCTTCACAGTAGGATTTGGGATAGCTGTGATTTTGTCACCACAGAAGCCACAATTATTTGAGCAGCTCATTAAAATTGTTGCAGATGTCATAAAACTTTGTTTATGTATTTATGTATTTATTTAGAGACAGGGTCTTGCTTTATCACCTAGGCTGAGTGCAGTGGTGCAGTCTCAGTTTACTGCAGCCTCCGCCTCCTAGGTTCAAGCATTCTACTGCCTCAGTCACCTGAGTAGCTGGGACCACAGGCATGAGCTACTATGCCTGGCTAATTTTTGTTTTTTATATTTTGTAGAGACGGGGTTTTTCCATGTTGCCCAGGCTGGTCTAGAACTCCTGGGCTCAAGAGATCCACCTGCCTCCTAAAGACTGGGATTATAGGTGTGAGCCGCCACATCCAGACAAAATTTTGTATACTCTACCAATCCTTATAGATGTGAATCTTTAGCTAAAATTAAAATAAAATAAAATATTAAAAAGACAATAATTCTGGTTTTTCCTCTTGGAAAAAATCAGTAGAAAAATCTATGTGTGTGTATGGTGGAAGCATCAGGAAGACGGGGCTTTGCTGACACTGCTTCATTTATACTGCGTTCCCAGCATCTAGACTAGTACTGTGCATGGTAGGTGTTTAACAAACACAGTACTTACTGAATTTAAAACACTAGGTAAACTCGTAAGTGCTTACAAATCTATGGATTTTATTGACTTTTTAAACTGCAAAAGTAATGCATGCTTGTAAAACATCAAATGTTAAATTTACACAGCAAAAAAGACGTCTCCCTTATAATCACCCCATCTCCCCTCCACACCCCCCTGCCAGCCTGTGGTCACTCCTGGTAGCACTCTGGTGTGAATCCTCTCAGATCTTTTCCCACTTATTTAAAATGTGTGGGTTGAGGAGGGTGGCTTTTTTGTTTTTTGTTAATAAATATATAACAAGGTGACTGACTGAATATGTAATTTGTATTTTGCCTTTCTTTTTTCCTGCTTTTAGCAAGAGAAACTCTGGAGTTTTCAAGCAAAAGTTTTCCATGACTCAGGGGGAGGCATGAGAATAAAATATATAGCCACTCACTTGTTCCAGCTTTTTGTGCCTAAGACCTCCAAAAGAAAGAAATTGCCAGGAGAAGGGGCTGGCCTGAAAGCAGTGTATAATATAAACGGGTTTTCATGTTCTGAAGATTCAGCCCATGATGGGAATGAAGTTACATGTCTCAGACAGGGAGAGAAACTAGAGTCTGGGTCCCATGGCTGAGAGGTGGAGAACAGAGACAGCCCTAGGCTGTGTGCCCTGGTTTGGGTCACCAGGGAGAAGAGGTGGGGATATGAGAGGAAAGAACCCCCTCCCCTACAACCTTCAAGTGGCAGGAACCTGGAAGCCCCAAGAACCAAGTAGCCTAACCTAGTCCCAAGCCTGCAGATGAGCCTATTGATATGGTTTGGCTGTGTCCCCACCCAAATCTCACCTTCAGTGGTAATAATCCCCACATGTCAAGGGTGGGGCCAGGTGGAGGTAATTGAATCATGGGGGTGGTTTCCCCCATACTGTTCTCGGTAGTGAAAAAGCCTCACCAGATCTGATGGTTTTATAAATGGGAGTTCCCCTGCACAAGCTCTCTTGCCTGCCGCCATCTAAGATGTGACTTTGCTCCTCATTCGCCTTCCACCATGATTGCAAGGCCTCCCCAGCAATGTGGAACTGTGAGTCAATTAAACCTCTTTCCTTTATAAATTACCTATTCTTGCCAGGCGTGGTGGCTCACGCCTGTAATCCCAGCACTTTGGGAGGCCAAGGCGGGCGGATCACGAGGTCAGGAGATCGAGACCATCCTGGCTAACACGGTGAAACCCCGTCTCTACTAAAAATACAAAAAATTAGCCGTGCATGGTGGTGGGTGCCTGTAGTCCCAGCTACTCGGGAGGCTGAGGCGGGAGAATGGTGTGAACCAGGGAGGTGGAGCTTGCAGTGAGCCAAGATCGCACCACTGGACTCCAGCCTGGGTGACAGAGCGAGACTCTGTCTCAATAAATAAATAAATAAATAAATAATCTGTTCTTGGGTATGTCTTTATTAGCAGTGTAAGAACAGACTAATACACCTATTAAGGAGAAGTGGAGTCACAAGAACTTCCCAGAACGTCTGGGGCAGGAAGCCAGGCAAGGCAAACATAGTCCCTGACACCAAGCTTGCCAGGCTGCAGGAGACGGTTGCAAGGGAACAGACACTGGGATCCACCCCTGCCTGGCAGTGGAAAGGCAGAGAATCTCTTGTTTGGATTGCATAACCCCTGGGGGTGTTTGGGTGATTGGGGAGTAAGGAAACATCTTGAGAAGGATACAGGACCTCCCATTAGTCTGTATCTGGGAACTCAAGCTGATGCTCTGAAAAAATCATGGCAGCATTTGTATTCCAACATACCTAATTTTGTCACTTAAAAATTTAGCCTAGGCTAGGCGCGGTAGGGATTAGCCCTGTAATCCCAGCACTTTGGGAAGCCGAGGCTGGCAGACTACTTGATGTAAGGAGTTCGAGACCAGCCTGGCCAACATGGTGAAACCCCATCTCTACTAAAAATACAAAAATTAGCTGGGCATGGTGGCAAGTGCCTGTAATCCCAGCTACTCGGGAGACTGAGGCAGGAGAATCACTTGAACCCAGGAGGCAGAGGTTGCAGTGAGCCGAGATCATACCACTGCACTTTAGCCTGGGCAACAGAGCAAGACTCTATCTCAAAAAAAAAAAAAAGTTTATCCTAGCTATCTTCCCACACCATCACATATACAGACACTTCAATACTCTAACCAATGAATAGAATTCTAGACTTTGTATATACCATAATTTATTTACCAATCCTTCATTGACACTCAGTTATGGGTTTTCCCCAATGATTTCCCATTATAGACCAAGTTCACTTCTTGAACTTGGGTTTTTACAATCAGATGCAATTCTTTCTAAAAGCTGGAATCCTGAGTGGAATGACAGGCAAACAAGGTGGGCAAAGTTCCAAATGTGTTGACTCTTGACAAATTGCCCTCTGCAAACAGTATGTGAAAGTGACCACTTCAGCAAGCATTGTGTTATTGCAGTGATGTTGTAGACTAACTTGGGGGAGTGTGGTATATGAACAGTTTTAGCCTTTTACCGAAGAGTCTCCTGCATTTCCCTTTGTTCAAGTCTTCTTTTAGATCTTTCAGTAAAGGTTTTTAGTGTCCTATATATGGGTGTATTCGTTTCACTAGGGGTACCATAGCAAAGTCCCACAGACTGGGTGGCTTAAACAGAAGAAATGTATGGTCTCACAGTTCTGGAAGCCAGAAGTCTGAGATCCAGGTATCAGGAGGGCTGGCTCCTCCCCAGGCTATGAGGGAGAAGCGGTCTCAGGCCTCTCTCTCACCTTCTGGAGGTTTCCAGGAGTCTCTGTCATTCCTTGGTTTGTAGAAGAATCACCCAAGGTCTACCTTTACCTCTATGTGGGGTTCTCCCTCTGTGCTGGTGTGTGTCCAAGTTTTCCCTTTTTATAAGGTTACCACTGGCCATGTTGGGCTAGGGGGCCCTCCCTACTCCAGTATGACCTCATCCTAACTTAGCTAATTAAATACAACTGACAGGACTCCACTTCCACAGTCTGAGGTACTGGGGACTAGGATTTCAACATCTGTATGTGGTAGAGGCACAATTCAATCCATAACAATACGTATCACATGTGTCTTTTTTTGTTTGAGACAGAGTCTCTGTTGCCCAAGCTGGAGTGCAGTGGCGCGATCTCAGCTCACTGCAACCTCTGCCTCCCGGGTTCAAGTGATTCTCCTGCCTCAGCCTCCAGAATGGCTGGGATTACAGGCACCTGCCACCACGCCTGGCTAATTTTTGTATTTTTAGTAGAGACGAGGTTTCACCATGTTAGTCAGGCTGGTCTCGAACTCCTGACCTCGTGATCTGCACGCCTCGTCCTCCCAAAGTGCTGGGATTACAGGCCTGAGCTACCATGCCCACCTCACGTGTCTTTTTATGTGTATTACAAAATATTGTGAGTTTTCAATAATAGTATGAATAGGATTGTTCTTAAAATTACATCTTCCTGTTGCTGGCATTTAGAAAAATGCTTACATTTTGTAAATTTACTTTGGATCTGACTACCAAATTATGTCATATTAATCCAAATAAATTTGATTATCTTGTATTTTTACATGCAAATAAATAATTAAAATTGTGTCTCTTACTTTTAAATATTTATGTCCTTTTCCCTGTTCTTGCAGTGATCTTAAGACAATGTAAAACGTCTAAATTTGTTGTCAGTATCCGTATTTTTTCTGACAATAAGAGAAATGCTTCCAAAATGTCATTATTAAATATGATACTTACTGTATGTCTATTTTATGCACTTTTTAAAATATTTACATTTCAAAGTTTATACACATAGGGATTAGAAACTCTGTGTGTGTGTGTGTGTGTGTGTGTGGTTTTTAGCTTCCAAACAGATGGAATTCTAAGTAATCTATCAAGGACCTGGCCATTCCATTGGAAGCCTGCCATGTCAGAGTCTCTGGGGTGTGCTTCCTCTTGGATGAGATTCTTCAGATAAGAATTCTCCAGTCTCTTTCAACGGGGCAGGTACATGCCTAGCCCCGTGTATGGGAGCCAAGCAGAATGGAGAAGATCTCTCCCTGTACTGGGCAGACTCTCCTCTCACTTTCCCCAGCTGGGTCTGGGGTTTCCTAGTGCAGAGTCTTGTCATTCCATTTCTGCTGAGAATACATCTCCGACTCCTGCTGGTGTGGCTGGGATGGTTGCATGGCCATATTCATGAGTAAGATTAGGAAATACTTTTCTTTTTTGTTCTATTCAATCTTACTCTTAAGTGTGTTTCTCCCTTTGTGGAATTACATGCAAAGGTTTTTGGGGTTTTGGTTTGTTTTTTCCTTTTAATCCCCTGAAAAATATTTTAAATATTGTGGGAATTGGCCACCGCTTCATTAGTCTATAAAACTGTGTGTGATGCCTTTTATGGAAGTAGAACTTTGACATTTTTATTTCTTCTGTAATGTTTGGTACACTCAGAACTCTTCTCATTCTTGAGGCAGTGTGATTGTGTTTTCTGAGAAAATCATCAATTCTATGTGGATCTCCAAATTTATTGATTTAAAAAGGACATCTTAACCTCTTAGAATTGGACTCTTTTTTTTTTTTTTTTTTTTTTTTGAGACAGAGTCTGGCTCTTGTCACCTAGGCTGGAGTGCAGTGGCGCTATCTCAGCTCACTGCAACCTCCGCCTCCCAGGTTCAAGCAATTTTTCTGCCTCAGCCTCCTGAGTAGCTGAGCTTACAGGCACCCACCACCACACCCGGCTAATTTTTGTACTTTCAATAGAGACAGGATTTCGCCATGTTGGCCAGGCTGGTCTTGAACTCCTGACCTCAGGTGATCCGCTAGCCTCGGCCTCCCAAAGTGCTGGGATTATAGGCATGAACCACCGCACCTGGCCTATAATTGGACTCTTTCCACCTCCAAGGCTGTATTCTCCCTTATCCTACTTGATCGGGCTTATGAGACAGGTTGTGTGTGCTTGTGTGATTACTGGGGAAGGGAGGGGTTACCAGACTGAGGATTCATGGACCTTATCTACTGCATTTCTTTTACACTTAACATGACATTTCAAATACTACTGCATTTGTTTTTCTTGCTTCTTTCCTTTTCTTTAGGCTTACTTTGCTTTTTATCTAGCTTCATGGGTTAAGTACTTCGTTCAAATCTTTTGAATCATATATGTTTTCTATGAAATGATTTTAGGTTATATATTTTCTCCCAGAGTCACCTGGCTGTATACAATCAGCTCTGATTGTTCTGCCCTTCCTGTTCACATCAAAACACCATGCCTTTAGCTTTGATTTCCTCTCCTATACAAAAGTAACCTCGAATCTTGTGCAAATCCAACTAGAGGAAAACTAAGCCAGGATTGCGGCGCCTCTGGGCTGTCTTCTCTTGCTTAAACCAGTTTAAATCCAGAGCAATACTCATAGAAGAGGACATCAGGAACACAAAGACAGCCTCAGGTGGCCCTGGTGCCTGTGCCTGGTTTAGGGTGCTTAACTCAAAGGCACCAGGCAGAGGACCAAACCAGGCCAAATCAAGGCAAAGCGGGACAGCCCTTGACAGCGGCTCTTGGCCACTCAGTAGGGAAAAGCCCTCCCTGGGCAGCAGAATCAGCACCTTTCTGGCAGGCTGGGGGCAGAGCACGCTGAGTGAAAGTGGAGTGAGGGCCACCCGGCGGAGCAGGGAAGTAGTGGGAGCCGGCAGCCAGGGCAGCTGCCCACTGCTTGCAGGGCCCTGCAGCACAAGGGCCCCTGGAGTGGACTGACTGAGAACCACAACCATCTTCCTTGACCTCATGAGAGGCCCTCTAGTCCAGATAACTCTGACAACATCTCTGAATTGTTTAATGTTGTTTTGGGGCTACAAATGGTTTCCAGGGCACTTCGAAACACATAATTTGAGATTGATTTAGGAGCTAAAAAATATGGTATGGAAAATGCAATCACACTCTTCTCCTTTCCCCACTGGTCTTTGCATCCTAACACCCAAACCCCCAAATTTATGACACCCCCCTCCATCATCTCACTGGCTTATCATGACAGTCATTCTGCAATCAGGCCTTTCTTTATTTCTCCTCTGGAAGGAACTCCTGGGGGCTATCATGCGTTTAATGCCCAGACAGCTCTGCAGGTCTGAAAGTCACCCAGATCATAACCTTTGGGCCCTGTTCCACCACCTTCCCCAGCCCACCCCACCTCACCCCATCTGTCTTGCAAGCCCCATCAGCCTATCAAATTTTACGACCCATTCTTCACTCTGCTTAGTATCTGTTGACCCAGGTTGCTAAACAGTTTTACACAGCTGTGCAGCCAGACCAGAAGTCGGCAGTTTCATATCTGTCTGCAGTAAAGTTGGCTTGATGAAGTGGTTTCTTGGATTGCTCCATTTAGGATTTCTTAAATCAGCTGGGTCTGACACTGCAGATTTAGTAGACGTCCAAGGGGAGGCCAGAGCAGTGAGCCCTGTATTGCCCTTACACACACTGGACCTGGACACCCTCAGACTCCACCTGGCCAGGGAATCCCAAAACTCCCTTTTTGCAACAGGTGGGACCACAGCCATGGCTGTCAGGAAACTAGTTAGGAGTAATTCATGGACTGTATCTAGTGGCCCTTAGGCCTCTAAATGTGAGGAAATCTGATAGCTGCTGGAGCCAGCGTCTGCCCAGGTTGCTCCAGCATGCCCTACCAGGGAGGCCAGAGGCCTCGTGCATGTCTGTCCTGCCAGGAAACTCCCGAGGAGGGCCGAGGGCTAGGGGCCCACAGTGCCCTTAGTCTGCCCAGGGGGAAGGGGCCATCCCCAGAGACCTACAGACCACAAAAAATGCATTGCATGTGTGCACCCATGCTCACAGCAGTGTAACTCACAGTGGATGACAGGTGGAAGCAATACAAGTGTCCATCAGCTGATGAATGGATGAAAAAAATGTGGTCTAGCCACACCATGGAGTATTACTCCATCCCAAAAGGAAAGAAATTCTGACACATGCTACCACAGGGATGAACCATGACGACATGATGCTCAGTGAAACAAGCAGATCACAAAAAGTCAAATACTCTATGACTCCACTTACTGGAGGCACCTAGGGGAGTCAGATTCACAGAGATGGGAAATGGAAAGTGGAATGGTGGTTTCCAAAAATGGAACAGGGGGTAGCTGTTTAGTGGGTATAGAGTTTCAGACTTGTAAGACAAAAAAGTTCTGGAGATCGGCCTCATAACAATGTGAATGTCCTTCACAGTACTGAACTGTACACTTAAAAATGGTTACGATAGTAAATTTTATGTTGTGTGCTTTTCACTACAATTTAAAAAAGAAAAAATACATCGCAAATGTATGATATGATCCATCATATACTTGCCATCAACAGTGCTTGAAGTCCTTCAGCTCTTGGACTGCACACACCAAGAATCCCACCTTGATAAGTCCGGGTACTGCTGGTGTGGAATTCAGCAACACAGAACGCCTTTCAGCTAATATTTGCAGGTGTCTGTCCCTGAATTTTCAGGTGACAGTGATTAAAGACCTGAGATCTGTCTCCCACAGGGGGCTGAGATGCTTCAGCCCAAAGCCCCATAGCCAGGAAGGGAAGAGCTGCAACAATGAATCCCCACGCGACAACTGAGCCCCGTCCCTGCTTTCCTCCTGCTCCCTTGTGAAGATGAAAATACTTGTAAGATGCTGGGGGTCAGGGCAGGAAGATAATACTGCCTTCCAAGCCCAGGCATTGGCTTTAGTGGCCCCGTGGTGTGGTGAGATGCCCTTAGCCACCTCCTTTCCTCTAATGATGTGGGTTCAGTGCACTGAGCTAAGCAGTTCCAGTGACTGCCAGGGAGCAGCGGTGAACCAAGCACCAGAAATACCAGCACTTAGCACCAGGCAGCCCTCAGAGCCTGCTTCAGGCTCCAGCTTTATGAGGGTGGGTGGGATGAACATTAGGCAGCAGACCTGGATAGAGTAAGGGGCACATGGCTCGCCTCCTCATTGTACTTTTCTTCTTGACAAGGACCCTAAAAGCACAAGACTGGGGACCTATTGCTAGAGAAAAACCACCCCCAAACACCTAGAGACCCAAAATGTAGTGTCTTAAAATAACCACCATTTTTATTTTGTTCATACATCTGCAGTTTAAGCAGCGCCCAGCAAGGACAGCTTGCCTCCGCTCTCAGAGCATCAGCTGCGGTGGCTAGGAGATGGGAGGCTCTGCAGGATCACTCATTGACGTGTTGGGCAGTTGATGCTGGCTTGGCTGGGACCTCGGCTGTCGTGGCCTCTCTGTGTGGCTGCTGGGCTTCCTCCCAGCATGGCAGCTAATGTCCAAGAACAAGGGCCTTGAGAGTCAGGCAGAGGCTGTGTCATCTTTTCTAATCAAACCTCAAACTCACACATTGTCATTTCCACCACTGAAGCCAGCCCGTATTCAAGGGAGGAGGGTTAGACTCTATTTCTGGATGACAAGAGTGTCCAAGAATTTGCAGACATGCTTTTAAACCACAGCTCTTGGCAAGTTACTTGTCACTGACTACGAGCTGGTCTCTGTGTGCCTTAGTATACCTGTGTGCAGGTCATCCTGAGGTTTACACAGCTGATGGAGGCAAGTCTCTCAGCACAATGCTTATCCATCAGGGGATATTTGCTATGGATCATCCAGCCCTGCAGATAGAGAGGCTGGTTAGCATGATTGTCATTTTATAAAAGAGGAAGATAGAGCACAGTGAGATGTTGAGAGTTGTTTGAACACACCAAGCTTGTTAGGGAAAAGATCAAAACCAGAAAATATTCTCCCCAGCCAGTTGAAGGAGTTTCCCAAAGTTCCTGAAAGCAGATAAAGGCTTTTGCTCAGTTTGTGGAGAAAACCATTGCTAAGACGGTACCGGAGAAGAGTCACAGCAAGAGGCCTGTGCTGGAGCAGAGGGTCTGAGAGCCAGGAAGCCAGTGGGCAGGGCAGTCAGCTGGGAGATATTGGGAAACATGAAATACGAAGGAGCCAATATGAAATGCTGAGGAGGCCATTTTTGCAACCTACTACATTTTGTTAATGGTTTACACACCAGGCAATGACCCTAATGCCCCTGAGGATTTGGAGAGGGCCAGATAGTGATAGCCAGCCCTGAAGTTGCAGACTTGGAATGTGGGAGGAAAGCAGCCCTTCTGCTGATCTCAACTCAGGCCCCACACCCCAGCTCGAGCTGGTCTCACGATGTCCACCGTTGCCTCCCAGGCCTTCAGGGACCACCCAGCACAGCTTTCTCCCTGCTGGAATCTGCAAACCACCTTCAAGGAACGTGGCCCCTGTCATGCTCAGAAACAACCTAGAGACACGACTCTCTTCCCTCTAGCTAATGGAATGTCCACAAAGCCCAGTCCAGTGGCCTCAGCCAAGTGCCCCAGGGCCTTGTCTTCAGCGAGGGTGCAACCTTGGCACCTCTGGGAGTGGAGGAGACCAGGATCACTCTGATGGCTCTGCCCAGTGACTCACCCCAATGTCCTGGTGTCCCCTGAGGATACCTCTCCACTTGTCAATCACTGCCCTGAACACCCTGGCTGAAGGCAAGTCTCAGAGGTGAGTCAGTTACCTTCACTGAAGTGGGGTGAGTGTGGTCATGTGCTGACCAAACTCTTTCTGATTTTTCTGTGTCCCTAAAAGAATTGCCCACAACACTTCCCTGGGGCCAGACCCCTGCCCTTAGAGGCCTTCCTGAGTCCAAGTCCCCAACCTACCTAGTAGGTTGTACATGTGCTCTTTGGGAGCGAAAGTAATGAGTTACCGGCTCACTCTTTTGGGGGGATTACATCATTCCATTAGCTAGTAGGGAACAGTGTATTCCCCACCGGATCTTGGCAGCCTACCCTACCTCAGATGTTCTTCTGACTGTGAACTTGCCACTCACCCTTCAAGAGGAGGAACCCAGGTCCTGCTGCCAACCTGAGGGAACCTCTGTGCCTGCCTCCCTCAACAGGGTTCAGCAGACATGGCCTGCCATGTCTGCCAAGGCATTAGCCTGGCTCACTCCCTCAAAACGCTTGCTCTGAGAGAACAGCTGCCATGTTGTGAGGAAGCCCAGGGCTCACAGAGGCACAAGGAGGGGCTTTCTGTGGCACAACCCTGGCTGAGCTCCCAGCCACGGCCAGCACCAACTTACAGCCAGGAGAGGGTGCCCTCTTGGACATGAAGCCTTGTGAAGCCTCCACAGCTACTGCCACAGGTATGGGGAAGGCTCCATTCCCCCAAAGAAATGAAACAAAGTAGTATATGCTTCCTGCCCCAAAAACTGCAGAGGAGGCATCTCCATGGGGACCTCTTATGTCTTAGGCCCTGTGGCAGTTTCTGAAATGGCTCACAATGATTCTTAGCTCCAAAAATTCATACCTTCCCCATATATGCATGCATCTAGGCATATTTTGTGTGACCACGTGTGTGGGGGAGGTATATATGTGTGTATGTATGTGAGTGTGTGTGTATATATATAATATGTGTGTGTGTCTATGTGTATGTGACTAGGTATGTAAGTGTATAATTATGCATGTGTGGGTGTGTGGGTGTCTATGTGTGTATGAATGTGTGTGGTGCGTGTAAATGTGTATGGATGTACATGGGAATGTGCATATATGTATGTGTATGAGTGTATGTGTGAGACTATATTTCTGTGTGTGTGAGTATATGTATGTGGGTATATGTGCATGTATGTGTGTAGATGAGTATATGTGTGTATATGAATGAGTGTGTATGCAAATATGTGTATGGGTGTATGAGTGTATGTGTTCGTGAGAGTGTGTGTATGAATGCATATGAGTGTATGTGTGTGCAGGTATGTATATGTGTGTATGTGTGAGTGTATGAGTGTATGTATGTGTGTTTGTGTGTGGGCATGTATGTGTGTGCACATAAGCTGGACCTAGTGAATGACAAATAAATGAAATGAATAAACATTAATAAAATATGACGAAGCTGGCAGGATGTCATTTCCAAGGTCACCTTGTAAAAGACTGAGTTTAATCTTGCTTTCACTGTCTTTTGCCTTCTCAGCTTGCTCATTTTGATGAAGCAAGCTGTCATGCTGGAGGGTCCCATGTGGCAAGGAACTGAAACCCTCTGTTCAACAGCCTATGAGCGAGAAGCCACATGAGTTTGGAAGTAGATCCCTCCCTAGTCGAGCCTTGAGATGACAGAGCTGTGACTGACACCTTGGCTGTAGCCTGTTCCAGACCCTGAAGCAGAGGATCCAGTTAAGTTTTGCTCAGATTCCTGAGCTACAGACATTGAGATAATAGATATGATTGTTTTAAGATACAGTGTTTTGGGTTAATACATTATATAGCAATAGATAATAAAGACAGATTTTAGTATCAATGTAATGTTGCGGTAAAAAATGCCTGAGGCCGGGCATGGTGGCTCACACCTTTAATCCCAGCACTTCGGGAGGCCAAGTCATGCAGATCACAAGGTCAGGAGTTCAAGACCAGCATGACCAACATGGTGAAACCCAATCCCTACTAAAAATACAAAAATTAGCTGGGTGTGGTGGTGCATGCCTGTAATCCCAGCTACTCAGGAGGCTGAGACAGGAAAATCGCTTGAACTGGGGAGGCGGAGGTTGCAGTGAGCCAAGTTTGTGCCATTGCACTCCAGCCTAGGCAACAGAGAGAGACTCTGTCTCAAAAAAAAAAAAAAAAAGGCCTGAAAATGCAGAAGTGGCTGCAAAACTGGACAGTGGATGAAAGTGAATGGATTTTCAGGTGTGTGATACAGAAAGCCTAAACTGCTTTGGACATATTGTTAGCAGAAATCTCAGCTTTGGGAACACTGCCAGTGAAGGTTCAAGAGGAAGTGAGGGACATGTTATAGAAAATTGGAGGAAGGGGATTCTCATCACATAGTGGCAAAAGGTTTAGCTACACTGCTGCTTGCAGTTATGCGGAGTGCAGAACTTGGACCTAGCAAACTGTGTAGTCTAGATAAGAACTTCAAGGAAAATGTTGAAGGCATTACCTGGTTCTTCTTGCTGCTTATAATAAAATGTGAGAGGGGAAAGTGAAACTGAAGAAAGAACTGTTAGAAAGACTTGATGACACAGAAAATTCTCATCCTTTGCAAATAGCAAAAGATGCTAAAATTAAGAATATCTAAGCAACATTCAAAATTTTCTAGAAATAAAGGCAATATGTGATTGTGCAATCTTTTGTTAAAATCTCAGAACAGTCATAATATCAGAGTACAATTGAGACACCTGAAGGGCCCTTTTAAAAAATTGTGTACCCACAATTCCTCTCTATTGAGTCATGGGGTCTGTAAAAAGCATAAGGGTGTCGTCCCTAACCTTTCTCAGCGGAAGTCCAAATTAGAGAGGAACACATCTCAAAGAGATAGGTAACTGTGGCTTTGAAGCCACAGTTTAATTTATCTAATGAAGTGGGTTCCAGTGAGATTCATAGAAAACCCACAAATTGTCTGAAAAAAACTACATCAGCAAAAGCACTTCCAGCTTGAACTAAAAGGGACAGAGCCAGGGCAAAATGAAAAGAGGCAATTGGACCTCAACGTTTGACCGGCAGGAAGGAGGCTGAGAGAACTGCTCAGAGGCAAACACATTTTGTCTTTCATAAAAAAGTAAGTATACTAAAAGGACAAAAGTAGGAGCCCAGAGGGTAGAGCCAAGAGCCACAGAGAATGATTCCCAGGCCTTGAGACCTAACCAAAAAAATTCCAATGTTTTCCCAGCTGTACTTCAGAATTGCTATGGATCAGTGCCTACTGTGTGCCTCCCATTTCCCCTTTTATGAACAGAAAAGATTATACTGTTTATCCCATGCCTGTCCCTCCATTGCATGTAGAGTGAGTGAGGGGAAGATAACTTTTGTCTTGAGTTCATGAGTATAAGACTGAAAAGTGCTGTACTTGAGGATCTGTACTTAGGCAACCTCATCTAAGGAGCCTCACTCATCCCCTGGACTTGATTTAAATGATGAGATTTTTGACTTTGAGCTGGTGCTGTAATGTAATGAGATTTGGGGGGACCTTGTAGGACATAAATTATTAAGAGCCAGGAACAGCCTAAGTTAGGCAGCTCCCGAAATGGTTCCCAGGGGTCTCCACCTCTTAGAGTTTACACTCTAATGACCCTTTCTCTTTGCGGAGGTAGGAAGCTGAACCTGGTGGGTAGCTTCTAATGAACAAAACACAGCAAAGGTGATGGGAGGCCACTTTCAAGACAGCGCTATGAAACACTGTGACTTTCCTCATGCTTGAGCTTGCTCTCCTTCACATGCTCACTTTGTTGAAGCAAACTGTCATGCTGAAGAAATCCAAAGGGCAAGAAGCCAAGGACAGCCTCCAACCAACAGCCAATGAGGAGCCAAGGCCCTCGGTCCAACAGGCTGGGAGGAACTGAACCTGCTTGTAAGGATGCAGTATGCAATGGACTGAATGCTTGCATTCCCCAAAATTCACACACTGAAATCTTAATGCCAACGTGATCGTTTTAGGAGGTAGAGCCTTTGGGAAGTGATTAGGTCATAAGGGGGGAGTCTTTATGAATGGGATTAAGTGTCTTTATGAAAGAGGCCTCAGAAAGCTTTCTCATTTCTTCTGTCATGAGAGGACACAGAGACAACATGGCCATCTATGAACCAGGAAGCGGGGCCTCAACACGCACTGAATCTGCCAGCACCACAATCTTAGACTTCCAGCCTCCAGAACTGTAAGAAATAAATGTCTATTTTTTAAGCCACCAAGTCTGTGCTATGTTTTGTTATGGCAGCCTGAACTGACGGAGATACAGAGCTTCCTCCATTCAAGCTTTAAAATGACTACAACAGGCCAGGCACGGTGGCTCGCACCTGTAATCCCAGCACTTTGGGAGGCCAAGGCGAGCGGATCACCTGAGGTCGGGAGTTTGAGACCAGCCTGACCAACATGGAGAAACCCCATCTCTACTGAAAATGCAAAATTAACTGGGCATGGTGGCACATGCCTGTAATCCCAGCTACTCAGTAGGCTGAGGCAGGATAATCACCTGAACCCAGGAGGCAGAGGTTGCAATGAGCCGAGATCGCGCCATTGCACTCCAGCCTGGGCAACAAGAGCAAAACTCCATCTCAAAAAAAAAAAAAAAGACTACAACAGTCCCAGTCAACACCACAAGGGACCCTGAAGCAGGGGACCCAGGTAAGCCTGTGCACCATTGTATATGCCCAGATCCCTGACTTGCAGAAACTGGGTGGTAATAAGTGCTACTGTTTCAAACCATTGTGTTTTGGGGTATAATTAGTTAAGCAGAAATAGATGACTAAAACGTCCCACTTTCCAGGGGAATAGGGGATTACCTGGGTACAAGTAATGACCTTGGACCAGTCTCACCTGTGACCCCCAGGAATCCACATCACTGAAAATGCTTATTTGAAATGAGGTTCAAGGGGTGGTCCTGACCTTCCCAGACTAGGACCAAGATGGTTCTTATGGACACTGCTGCTTGTGAATGGAGGTGAGGGCAATGGCTTCTGATTCCCCATAGCTCCCCATAGCTCCCGTGAGGGCTTCTGTTACCATGACACCTTGGATCTATACCTATGCCATGCCTCCCTGGTCCCTGAGAGCAATGTCACTGTCACTAGGGATCTCAGAGCCCATTCATGTGTCCACTAGCAGAGAGGGGCCACCGCACCTGCACACTGACCCCTCAGCCAGATTGAACCCAGCAGGCTCTGGCTTCCCCAGGGTGAGTGTAGGAGAATTAATGCTATGGGGGTCTTGATGAGGTGAGAGATGCCTGGTAGGGAATTCCCTCCCTCCCCTGCCCCACTGCTGGGCTGTTCTGAAGCCCAGTTGTTCTCTCGGCCTATCTGAAATGCCCCACAAGAGGCACAGGTGCCTGTGGCCATGTGGCTGCTTGTCCTCCTAGGACACCCCACCCTGCCCCTGCCCCTCACCCTGCTTTCCTGGGCTTCCACTCCCTGCAGTCATCACAGGAGCCTTTGCCTCAGGCTCTGTTTTCAAGCTGAAGATGGCACTTCAAAAAAGCCAGATGAGGCTCTAGACCAGGCCAGGTTGGAGGACTACAGCACCAACTGTGATCCGGCAGTGGGAGCAGCCACCAGAGTTTCTGCCCCTGCATGAGGCTCCTGAAATGCCCCAGCAGGAGTAAAGTCCCTGCATTCCCTAGACAGGGGTGGAGCAAAGGGGCTTTTCTCAGTGCTCAATGTGAGTCCCCAGCAACCAGCAAAGAGGGGATGGCCATGTGGCAAGGACTGACAGAGGGGACCTAATGCCCAGGGCCACCCAGAGAACCCTCAAGTTCTCCAAAGAGCTGCCTGCTCACCTTCTGTGAGGCATGGGCATGGAGCTGTGCTTCTGCCCCACGTGTGCTCCAACAGTAGCTCTGGCCGCGGAGGGAGGAGGGAGCCCAGGGACTTTGTGACACTGTTTTTCACCGTAAGCTTCCTTAAACAAACAACATTGCCACGAGCCAGAATTAATTGAACCCACATGCCAGTGTTCTGAGTGGCTGCCTCTATGTGTATGTGTGTATAGAGATATGTAGGTGTGCATGTGTGTGCATATATATGTGTACTGTGTACTTGCATATCATGTGTACATGTGCATTCTGTGGTGTGCTTGTATGTGCATATGTGTGTGAGTGTATATGCATTGTGTGCATATATGTGTGTGTGTATGTGTAGTGTATGTGCATGCATGTATATATGTGGGTATGTACATAGGTATGTGTGGATGTGGCTGAATGTGTGTATGTATGAGGGTGTGTGAATGGGTGTGTAGGTGCATGCATGTACATGGGGGTTGGGCACGTGTGTGGGTGTGTAGTGTGTGTGGATGTGCATACATATGCGTATGTGGGTGTATTGTGGATGTACCTGTGTGTGTGTATGCATGTGTGCATGGGGGGTATGTACATGGGTGTGTAGTGAGTGGCGTGTGTGCGCATATGTGTGCGTGTGTACAGAGGTATTGGTCTAGTCCTCCCCAGCGTGCTGAGCCATCGCTCAGGGCTAGCAGTCACTGCTGGGCTATGTGTTCTGCACTAAATCGTCACAAACAAACAATGTTCCCAATTTACAGATGAGAAATCCAAGGCACAAGGAGGTGAAGTCCCTCACCTAGGCCATGGGGACAGCTATACAGCTTGGGTGGTGACACAGACCTGTGTTGAGATCCCTGGCCTGCCACAGCCTGGCCAAATGGCTCGCCTTTCCTTTACCCCTCCTTGGTAATGTGAGGACAAACTGCTCACCTGCAGGACCTGTGGGGAATCTGAGAGCTCTCGTGTGGGGAGAAGCTTGCCTGGTGTCTGAGAGAGCAAGTGCCCCTCCTCGTTCACTCACAGGAACTTCCTGCACACCTACTCTGTGCCCGGCATCACGCTGGTGCCATAAATCCAGCTCCTGGAAGCAGAGCTCAAGCATGGATTCATGTGATTTCTAAAGGGTTTGCTCCTGGATAGCAAAAATGGAGGGAGAGGTGTGGGGCAGGGAAGGGGAAGAGGCCAGGGTACAAGTTCAGTAAGAGCCCCAGCCCCTACCTGATCTCACCTGCAGCATCGATCGACAATGAATGTTTAAGCTGTGACGTGGTTGTTTAAGCTGCCTTGAATGGTCCGTGGTGCTCGTTGCAGAGACCCTAGCAGATGAAGACAACCCCAGGCCCCCAGAGCAAAGGGAAAGCAAGGCCTCTCATCCTCGCTGCCTGGACTCCCCCGACCGGGCACTCCATCTCCCCAGGAAGGAGTGTGGGGAAACAGCCCCGTCTACACTGGGGACAACCCACTTCCAGAAGCCCCTGTCCAATACTTTTACCCTTGATTTTTCAGCCTGGAGCATTTTATAGGAAATATAATCCACATGGCATTGAGTCACTGGGCCTGAGCTCAGCAAAAGTTGTTTTGTAAGAAATGTTTTCTATCCACCAGAGGCCTCTTTTCTTAGAAACAGGAAGTCATTTTTAGCCAAGAATAAACAAGCTTGACACTAAGCAGGTTAGTTTTTCACACAAAGCCCCTGACGGACTTTGTGGACTTCTTAGTCATAGGTTGGATTTCCTTTTCGGACTCTTTTCTTTTGACTCTTGACTGTTGAAATAAGATGAGTTCGCACTGGACCTACTGCCCACGGGACCCCCACCAAGCCACCACGCGAACATGGCGTGCATGGCCCAGGGTAGCAGCAGAGGCCACGTGACTTCAGCAGGCCCGATAACACTAACAGCTACCATTGACGGGGGTACCAGTACTTGGTGGCAGCATGCTGTAATCGTAAAGAAAATGAGCTGTAGATTTCTGAGCTCATCACTCAACCTCTCTAAAGGCCACAATCCATGTCTATAAAGAAATGTGGACAACCAACTGACAAGCTCGTTGTCAGAATTCAAAAAACCAGTGTCAATGTGCACGCCCATCTCAGTGCAATGCCTGGCATGGAGCACATGCTTGATAAAGGGTAAGTAATGTCACTACTGGAGGTCACATGAGATTCACCAACAGAGAGAACAGGGGCGGGAAAGGGGCTCTTTCACATTTGTTTTAATCCCTAGAACCCAGTGCTGTTACTGGCATGTGGTAGGAATGTCATTTACTATGCGTTGAATGAAAAGAATAAATGAGGATACAGACGCAGTCTGCTCCTAAATATTTAACAGCAATCCTGGCTACTTAGGCTTCTCCCTCCAAACGTATTGCTTCTTCAGCTAAGACAGCAGAAGAGGTGATTTAGTCTACGGTTGTTATACTCGGCCACAAGTGAACACAGAAATAGTCCAGAGTGTCACAGGTCCAGGGCAAAGGACTAACATGGACAGTTATGGACATGAGCAAGGTGGGTCTCAGAGGTGGTCTTGGCGATCAGATGGCGATGAAGTTCTAGATGCATTGAAACAAGCTCTAGACAGTAGCATGCAGTCCAACAACTTGTACCAGCATCTCCAGCCTCTGGCATTCATGTTTCTGCTCCTGGCACCTCCATGGGTGCAAAAACCTAGCGGTTTACTTGGACCTCTGCCTCATCTTTCTTCCTTTGAGCTTCAGTCTGTGCTTTTGCTTCTTTCTCCACTTGGCTCTCGCGGTGCAGAGGTTTCCAAGAAGATGGCACTAAGGCCAAGAGACGTATTGCTTTGATATTAATCAGATAGAGTTTATATCCCTGTCAAACTCAACAGGAAAGTTTCATGGTTTTTTTTTTTCCACTTTAGCATGGATGTTCCAGGTGATGGAACCCAACTGTGGGTTATTTAGACAAGGCTCTTGCTTCCAATCCACTGGAGTGGGCGAAAGAAAGAAAGAAAGAGAGAAAGAGAGAAAGAAAAGACAAGAAAGAAGGAAAGAAAGAAAGAAAGAAAGAAAGAAAGAAGAAAGAAAGAAAGAAAGAAAGAAAAGAAAGAAAGAAAGAAAGAGAAAGAAGGAAAAAAAGAAAAAGAAGTGGAAGAAGTGGAAGCAATGACCTCAGGTGAGTCTGAAGCGGCAGGTTGCATTTTCCAAAGATGGCTGAATAACATCTAGCATCCCACTGTCTCTTCCGCGGTGTGGCCTTGCCAGTCCCTTTCAAGGGCCTCATCTCTCCCACTTGACTCTGGGCCAACCTCTGTGACTTTGTCAACCAATACAAGTTCTGATTCTTCCAAGCCCAGGCTATCCAGAGGCCTTGCAGCTCCTTGTCAACTCTTGGGACCTGGCCCTTGGGATGCTCCCTCTTGGGACCTGGCCACCATGCTAGGAGAGGCTGAGTGGAGAGGGCTCATACGGGCACTCCTGAGATCCCAGGCCGAGAGGACAGCTGAAAGCCAACATCTTTGGCCAGGCACATAGATGAAGGCACCATCTTGGACATCCGCTCAGCAGAGGTTTCAGAGACTCCAGGTCTGGGCACTGTCTGATTGGATCTGAAGCCTCACCATTGTGAGGATGGTGTGGCCAAGCCCAATCTACCCACAGCACCATGGGAGAGAATAACAAATTGTTGTTCTAAGCCACTGAGCTTTGAGGTGCTTTTAAATGCAGCCATAGTCAGCCAGAACAGTGAAGAGGGCATCAACAGGACAACAAGTCAATGAGAGGACAGGACTTCAGGAGTGATGGGAGGAGGGAAGCTCTCTAAAGAGGCACTGTGTAGCTGAAATGCAGGTGACCAGGAGCCGGGCATGCAAAGGTGAGGAGAAGCATGCAGAAGCAGTGTGGCAGAGATGCTCAGGCGGCATGAGCTGGCCTGGGGTCGGGTGGGCAGCTGGGGAGACAGTGAGCAGGTCAGAAGGGGCCAGGGGAGCTGGCCATGTGGACAGCAGCAAGGAGTTCACCGGGAGGCATTAGGAGCAGTGGCGAGCCTGCGAATGGCTTTAAGCAGGAGGCTTTGTGGTCTGACACACCCAGTGGGGAATGGATTAGGTCTGGAGGGTAAAGAAGGAGGTGGGAGCTGGGAGGCCACCCAGGTGAGGAGTGGGGAAGTGGCAGTGGCACCTCATCTCCTCAATGACCAATGTCCCCTGAACTGGCTGCTCAGAGGCTGATCTCTCTTGATGACAGGCCTCTGGGTGGGGGCACTGGGTGGGTACCCATACTGTTCACCATGCAGGGCTGACCCCACCAGTCTGTGCCAGCCTATGGCGACTGCTTCCCTGGGAGGAAGGACAGAGTTGTGTTCCTTGATCAGCACCAAGCAATGATGTTCTGTCTCATTTTAAGAGAACCCAAATGGCTCACTGGTGAGGCTCTTCCATGGAGGGGAGCAAAGCACAGAGGTTTCCGGAATGATGAAGCTGAGTTCTCACTGGTGGCCTGACTACCAAACACTGCTAGCACTGACTTCAAACTTGCAATTGCTTCAATAAAATGCCAGAGAGAACTCTTTCTAGAACAGTGGCTTTTGAACTTCTCTCTGGCCCCATAAAGAATTGCATCTTACTTCGGGAGGCCGAGGCGGGCAGATCACGAGGTCAGGAGTTCAAGACCAGCCTGGCCAACATGGTGAAACTCCGTCTCTACTAAAAATACAAAAATTAGCTGGATATGGTGGCGCGAGTCTGTAATCCCAGCTATTTGGGAGGCTGAGATGAGAGAATTGCTTGAACCCGGACCCGGGATGCAGAGGTTGCAGTGAGCCGAGATCGCGCCACTGCAGTCCAGCCTGGCGACAGAGGGTGAGTCTCAGGTGAGTCTGAAGTTTGACTCTGTCAAAAAAAAAAAAAGGAAGGAAGGAAGGAAGGAAGGAAGGAAGGAAGGAAGGAAGGAAGGAAGGAAGGAAGGGAAGGAAAGGAAGGAAGGAAGGAAGGAAGGAAGGAAGGAAAGAAAGAAAGAAAGAAAGAAAGAAAGAAAGAAAGAAAGAAAGAAAGAAAGAAAGAAAGAAAGAAAGAAAGAAGGGAAGGGAAAGAAAGAAAGAAATGCATGTTGCCTGTCAGCCGGCACCTCCAGACATGGCTGTCCGCCAAGGACAGAAGGCTCAAAACACGGACTTCCCACAGGCAGAATGCACTGGTGTTTACTCTGCTCTGCTCTCCCACACATTAAAAAAACAAAAACAAAAACACTGGTCACTTCCCACTAATGGCTCTGAACCAAAAGTTTAAAACCCTGTTCCTGAAGCCCACAGTGATGAGAAGGATGGAAGACCCGGCCTTCAGGGAGGCACCTGGCCCACGCTCCAGCCCTCACCTCCCTCTGTGCTTGTGCCTCACCATTGGGCCAGATAAGTACCCCCTGGTTTGGGCCCCGGGAAGAATAAGGAGATGGAGATGTTCTTCCTCCAGTGATCAAGCTAGTGTTGTCTAACCGAAAGAGGAGAAGCAGGAGGGTGGGACTTCCCGAGACCAGCCCCAGCTCCCAGCCCTCTGTCACAGAACTGGCACCAGGTAGAACCCCCAGAGCAATCTACACCCCTCCCAGCTCTGCCTTTCATGATTCAACCTTTCCATGGGGAGGTTTAACATATGAAAATGGACATTTCACCGCACACAATCCAGATGCAAATACAAGGGGGCACTGAAGACAAATTTTCAATGTAGCAATTAGGGATAAATTTGTCAACAGAAACTAACTGCAGCCTAGATTTATAGTCAGTGCTTTCCCCGAGATCTTCCCTGGGGACAATTCAGCAAATGCATGTCCACCAAATGCTTTTCAAATCTTCTGCAAGATGTAATGTTCTGTTGCTCCTCAGATGACTTTTTAAAAAATTTTAAAACAATGCAATTTCTTGTGACCAAACCTTATATAAGAATGATTTTTTTAACTTCAAAAATAATCAATTTATATCTCTGAAAATTCTATGTCATTTTACAAGGAAGGGAAAATCTTTTTAGCAACATAACACACGCATATATGTTAAATTTTTCAAACACTCCTTTCCAAGTTGCTTGGCTTACATATTTTCATTTACACAACTAATCTATTTTCAAAATTATTAACACTCATGATAGCCTTTAGTGACTGGAAAGAACCCAGAGAATCAAGACGTTTATGATTACAGGAAATCTATCCCAAAAACCATACTATACACACTGAGCTCAGCTCCTCTTCCCACGTAGGGGCAAAATGAAGAACTATTCAATGAATCTTCCTAAGTTAACAGGAGACATTTGAAGTTGTTTTCAAAGTTTTGCTTTACACACAAAGTGACATCACTGAAGACTAAATGCTGACTGTTTGTCTTCTTTTGCCCAAATTCCTACTTAAGGGGCCTGGAGAGTCACACTCTACAAACCATAAAGTCTCATCAGAGGGATTTTATTTAACCCTATATAACGTGGTGGCTTACTTTCCAACCTGACTCTGGCATAACATCACGTAACAAGGAAGGAAACCAAAATATTTTAACCCCAAATATATTTTCTTGCCATATCTTGAAATTGCCCTGCAAAGTCATCTCTTGTGGGGAAAAATCTACATTCTATAAAGAATGCCCTTTCCCTTTTCCAGACCTTTTCCCTGATCCAAGAGGGAGTCAACTACGAGTCTGGCACCTTTTTAAGTCTGATAAGAAACATTCACAATCTATTCTCTCTGAAGCCTCCTACTCTGGAGGTTTCATCTGCATAATAAGAACCTTGGTCTCCACAATCCCTTATCTCAACCCAGACAATTGCTTTCTATTGATTCCAGGTCTTTAGATAAACTCTTTCAACCAATTGATAATTAGAAAACTTTTAAATCTACCTGTAACTGGAAGGGCTCCCCACTTCCCCCAACCCCTTCAAGTTGTCTCGCCTTTCTAGACCAAACCAATGTACACCTCAAATGCACTTGATTGATGTCTCATGTCTCTCAAAAATGTGTAAAACCGGCCGGCGCAGTGGCTCACACCTGTCATCCCAGCACTTTGGGAGACTGAGATGGGCAGATCACCTGAGGTCGGGAGTTGGAGACCAGCCTGACCAACATGGAGAAATCCTGTCTCTACTAAAAATGCAAAATTAGCCAGGTGTGGTAGCACATGCCTGTAATCCCAGCTACTACAGAGGCTGAGGCAGGAGAATCGCTTGAACCTGGGAGGCGGAGGTTGCAGTGAGCCAAGATCGCGCCATTGCACTCCAGCCTGGGCAATAAGAGCGAAGCTCAGTCTCAAAAAAAAAAAAGAAAAAAAAGTAAAACCAAGCTGTGCCCCGACTACCTTGGGCACAAGTTCTCAGGATCTCCTGAGGGCCGTGTCACAGGCCACAGTCACTCATATTTGGCTCAGAATAAATCTCTTCAAATATTTTACAGAGTTGGACTCTTCCTCAACATCATTTTGCGCAAGTCTCTCTAGAGGTAACTAGGGGTCGAACTGCATTTGTTACGTTGATGGAGAATGCCAAATGACCTTTCTCAGTTGGTGCATCATTTTTAACTCCCATTTTAAATATTAGTGGGTAGTGACCAGTGTTTTTGTTTAAACTATTTATACTAAGCAATATATGGGAATGCCTATTTCCCTACACAAGTGTTACCACATTTTTAAAACATTTCTGAAACTTCTGCAAAGTTTGATTTTTTTCATTACTCTTTTTTTTTAAACTTTTTATTGAAGTATATCCTACATACTGAGGCATGCACAAAGTGAACCCATTCACGTAACATTCTTGATTCCTTCCAGACACTGTTTCTCCTAGTCACAGGGCAGGTGTGTGCTCAGCTTTAGTGGAAACTGCCAAACAGCCTCGAGGTTGGCTGCACCAGTGCGTACCCTCCACCAGCAGTGGATGGAGGTTGGCTGCTCCACACCCTCACCAACACTGGCTCTTGTAAGTTTTGGGATTTTTTTCACTTTGGCCAATTTTGTGGCTGTACATGAGGATATCACCTTGTGGTTTTCCCCGGTGACTAATGAAGCTGAACACCTCTTTTTGCTCGTGGACATTTGGATTTCCTTTTCTGGGCAGTGCCAATGCTTCACATTGATTTTTTTTTTGTCTTGTCCTATTGATTTGTAAGAGCTCTTTGTATATTTTGATTAAGAGTTCTTTGTCAGATTTATGTATTGCAAATATCTCCTTCCATTCTGAGGTTACCTTTTAAATCTTGTAATGTTATCCTCGGAGGAACAGAAATGCTTAATCTTAATAGAGTCCTACTTATCAACATTTCTCCTTTTTGAACCTTTTGTGTCCTGATTAAGAAATGTTTGCCTGCTCCAAGGTCATAAAAATATTCTATTTTTCAAAGTCTTGTTGTTTGTGCCTTTTGCATTTAGAACTGCAATTCATTCTGAGTTTGAAAGGAGGTGGGAGTCAGATGAACTATTTTCTATATGGATAGAAAATTTATTCCTCATTTATTGAGGGAAGAAAATGTTCCCTCTGTACTATAGTATCTTTTTTGCATAAATCAAGTATCCATACAAATAACCATACATAACTGTTCCTAGACCCTATATTTGGGAACTAAAAATAAAATTCTAAACCCCTTAATGACTGAACAAACCCCCTCTTGGCCAAGGAGACCCCAGAAACACCTTAAAAACTAAGTTCCATGATGGGACAGGTGGTCAGACATGTCTCATTAAACTCTCTTCCTTTTGGGGTTCTCTTTCTCTAGCAGCTAAACAAGCTCCAGCCTTGAGATAAGCAATATTAAAGCAATTACAACCCATCCAGCTCACCGAGGCTGAGTAACTGAACGCCTGTTCCACCAGCCACAACTACAGCACTGGCTCTGGCTGGTTTACAGAGGCTGTGCACTTGAATCCCTTCATGTCCTGAAAATACCTCTTGACGTATAGGGCCTGACTGTAATACATTTAAATGTTCAGTCTCCACCCCAAGGTAGACATAAGTTGTATGTTACATACATGTGGGTTCAGCACACATGCATCAGGACCACCTCATGAATACTCCTAGCTCCTCCTATAACCTGTTGAAGATGCATGTTTATCCAACCCATTTAGCACAAAGCTGCTGCCCTAATCTCTCCTTCAGAGTGCCTGTCTCTGGCTTTGGCCAAAGGCAAGCTTCCTGGTCTAAGGGATGGCCACGTTGATGGCTGTAACCATCAAGTCTCCTTTTCCAAACTTATAGATTGTGTGATTTTTAAGTTAGCAATGTCTTTTTTTACACTGATCTGTCCATTCGTGTGCAAACATCACACCGTCTTAATTCCTCTAGCTTTCTAACAGATCTTTCCTTCGGACAGAGTGAGTAGTCCAGTTTTATTCTTCTTCCACAAAGAATTTGGGCCTTCGGATTTCCTACATTAACAAAAAACCCTGCTCTTAGCTGGGAGTGGTGGCAGGTGCCTGTGATCCCAGCTACTCAGGAGGCTGAGGCAGGATAATTGCTTGAATCCGGGAGGTGGAGGTTGCAGTGAGCTGAGAGATCGCGACACTGTACTCCAGCCTGGGCCACAGAATGAAACTCTGTCTCAAAAAATAAAAATAAAATTTTAAAAAACCCTGCTCTTTAAAAATTTCAATATAGCTCTTACATATTTCATGTGCTTAAAACTGTTTGTATTCCCTTGTCTGAAAACTTTTATTAATATATTTTAATCCTTTTGAACTATTGGTCTTTTTGTTATTGATTTATAGGAGTTCTTCATAAATTAGGAAAATTAGCTCCTTGTCTACGATATGAGTTGTAAATATTTTCCCACATTTCCATTTGTCTTTAGACTTGGAAATGCGTTGCCCACATTATTTTATTTTTATGTGTGTCAATCTTTTCCAGGTTTTTGTGTCTTTCTTAGAAAGGCCTTCCTCACTCCAAGGTTGTCATTACAACTGTTTAGAAACATGCATTTGTACTGAGAAGAGAGCAGCTGTTTTGCCAGGATGATGGAATGTGGGAAGATCCCTTCTGTTACGTATTTCCTCTAGTATTGCTATCACATATGGGGATACTATTTTAAAATAAATGCCATGGCCAAAGCATGGTGTTGGTGCTTCTGAAATGTTCTAGAACCATGTTACTAGCTATGACACGGACCCCTCCATGCCTTGATGATGACTAGGCCTAAAGACCCTTCACCTACACAGGCCACTCATGGTATTGAGAGGTGCCTTAGCAACAGATAATCATTATTATACCTTTTCTTAAATTTGACAAAGTAAGGGATTTGAACTGCAGTGGGTTCAGTCTGCCAGCAGTTCACATTCTAACCCCTCCTAGAGGTGGGGGTGGGGGGGAATGTAAATTGTGTTGTAATTCTGTGTTCTTTCTCATAGCAGGCACTCCAGCATCAGTCCCATAAAACCTGGACTTACTACAGTATCTACCTAGGAAGCACCAAATAGCATCTTGCACTGATACCACGCTCTTAGAAGAGTCCAGCTGCTGGACGCAACCTGCAGAGGGACCGTAGAGAAGATAAGGCTGGAGTGGGAAAGGAAGAAGAGGGAGTGAGGGTTTGGAACGGGATGGTGCTGGAGGCAATTAGGTAATAACTTACCTGAGGACAACTTGAACCCAGAGCACTGTCTTTCAGAAGTCTACCAGGTCAGCCCAAATCCAAAATGACTCCTGTAGCAGGCAGCACAATCAGAGAATGGAAATTAGCAGAAAATGGGGCCAATTCTGTCTCAACACCTGGATCAATTTGATCTGAGTGGTCAATCTGGGGAGAAGCCCTTACTGGCCTCCACTGCCTGGGGGGCAAGCTGGACTTCCAAACTGGCTCATGCAGATGGAGGTGTCCTCAGCCACAGGGCATCAGCAGCCAGGCCTGGATGCCCCCATACGGAGCAGCCCTGAGCTCACCCACGCCAGGCACTGGGGACTCAGACTGCCCTGGGGACTGCAGAGTCAAGCTCCCCTATCCACCCCCAGCCCCACATGGTCCCTCACAGGCCGTCAGGGACTCTCCCAACCTTTGTGTAGCAACGTTATCAGGGGTTTTCCAAGAAAGGCTCCTTCAGCCTTGCCTGGGGAAATTACAGAGCGGTGGGTGGGAGGTGGAGGGGGGGCCACCGCCAAACAGTTTTGCGTGTTCTGCTACAAGCGTCTCACCGCTTCCTGCTTTTCTCAGCATTACAGAAAACGCCTCTCTAATTTTGGCCGTGGCTCCAACAGTAACTCAGAAAGAAGGCAAGACACTGGACAAGTAGCTGCAGCGCTCTTAGAGGTGTGCACGCCATTTACAAATTTCTATTTAAAAAGAATTTGCATGTGAATGAGGTTCAGGACAGACACAAATCGACCTTAAAATATTTGAGGGCCACTAGCTCAGGGCTCCAAGCCACCAGGCTGATAGAAATACTCAGCCCCCTCCATCCCTGGAGGTTCCTAATGAAACTCAAGAATTCTAGGTCTTTCTTGCTCCTTTTCAAGTGATGTGAAAAGCCTCACAACATTGGAGAGAGTCCCTAAGGCTAGCAAATGTGAATGTCAGTGTAAACTGCAGGTGTTAAGTTTATCTTAGTTTATCTTGTATCATCTGCAAGCCTGGTTTCTAAAGGTCACTTCTCTGACAAAGGAGGTGAGTCTTTGTTTTCTAACCAGAGACATTCAATGAATTCTTTTTTAAGTTTTCTTGCCCATTTAACATGCAAATGCTACAGAATAATTGTGCCACATTGTAAATTGTGATGTAGGGGCAAGAAGCAGGGATTATTTCTGGATCAAGGGATTGTTGCAGTCTCACTAAGAGGTGCCACATGGATCAACACACACCCCCATCCCTGTATTTTGTTTATTTTATTTTATTTTATTTTATTATTTTTAAATTTAATTTTATATTTTTGAGACAGGGTCTTGTTCTGTCACCCAGGCTGAAGTGCAGTGCTATGATTTCGGCTCACTGCGACCTCCACCTCCCAGGTGCAAGTGATTCTCGTGTCCCAGCCTCCCAAGTAGCTGGGATTACAGGCACGTGCTACCACACCTGGTTAGTTTTTGTGTTTTTAGTAGAGATGAGGTTTCACCATGTTGCCCAGGCTGGTCTCGAATGCCTGAGCTCAAGCTATCCTCCGGCCTCGGCCTCCCAAAGTGCTGGGATTACAGGCATGAGCCATTGTGCCCGGCCCCTGTATTTTGTTTCTTTAAGAGACAAGAAAGAGCTAGAGGTGGACACTCAGACCTTACATGGCAATTCTCCTGGCCTCACGTGTGCAAATCACCAGACAGAACTCTCTGGAGAGGGATGTGGGCGCACCAGGGCCCTTCCAGCTAATAAAGAAAGCCAAAAATAAGACACGTGAACAAACACACTAGAGAAAACAGTGCAATGTGAAGACACCTCAGCTGCAACTGAAGAAGGTAATGTATGTCCATGGGAGGACAGAGAAGGGCAGCAGCTGAACGTCCCCTGGAAAGGTCTGTGGAGTAGGTGAGGCTGGAGTGGGATTGGGAGAAAGGGAGTGAGGGTTGAAGGTTTGGAAATGGTCAGCCCTGGAGGGAATTGGGTAGCAAGACGAACTGAACCCAAAGCATTGAATGTGCCAGAGAAAGAGGAAGACTGAGTGAATTCAAATCAGGCAAAGTGAGCACATCAAAGCGAAAAGAGGTGACTCTGAACACAGCTCGAGTCCCAGGGTCACCGTCCTACTGGGACTGGATTGTCACTGAGAGAGGAGAGAAAGTGTGGACTTGGGACTATGACCCTTGGCTTCCATCAGGAGTGAGCATTTGAAGCAATCGATGCCTCTAATGGAGATGGTAGCCACGAAGTTGGTGACATGTTCTGCGTCAGACTAGGAGAGCCTGGCGGGCAGGCCTGAGAAATTCAAGCTGGTAAGTCACCAGGCAGACGTTCTAAGAATCCAGGGCCTGTCGCTGGAACGAATTGGAAATCTCTCACGAGACCCACATGCAAAGGTTGACCTCCTCTTTTACCAAACTGGAAAATGTGCCTTGCTCCTATAAATGCTTTAGCGGGAGACATCACTGACCTTTTTCATTCAGCCAATCAAGAGTTCATGTACACAGGGACATTTTTGCCAAGCACTGCTGAAGCCACACATACATATGGCCCCTAACAGTACAGAGTTTGTCATTAAGAGATGAAAATCAGTGCCAACGGAAGTTAGAAAACAAGGAGAGACTTTCCCTACTCAAATTTACATCCAGGATTACAAAGTTGGCTTTTGTCTCTATCAAGAGGAGCATCCATGGAGACTAGAACCCTGCTATTCAAAGTGTGGCTTGTAAACCAACAACCTCTCCCAGGAGCTGGGTAGCAAGCCAAACCCTCAGACCCCACCCCAGACCTGCTGTGTCAGAGTCCTCATTCTTGCCAGCTCCCCAAAAGACTATAGCATCCCCATTTAATCCTAAACATAATCGACCCTGAGCGATATCCAAGCTCCCCCTGCCTGGGAAGAGAGCAGGAATCAAATAGGGGGTTTTAATCCCGGTCTATACCCCTCCTGAGTCCCTGATAGCGTGGCACGAGCAGCCCAGCCTTGCCCGTCCCCAGGAGCCTCCACAGAGCCTCTGAGCTGGGCAGCCACTGACCAAGGCTGTGTCCATCAACTGTCCCAGGGTTCTTCCCAACAATGGGCTCAGTTAAAAACCCTGAAGTCAAGGGAGCTGCCCTGGGCTGAGGTCCTTGGACTGCCATGGGCTCTCTGCCCATACCCGCTCACTGTCCCTCTCCTCACTGTGGAGGCCAGCAGCTGCCCAGGCCCACCCGCGTCTGAGTCGGCCATGGGCTTGGATGGGACTGGGGTCACTTGCTGCAGCTCAGCACTCTAGTTCTGCCTTTGGCGTGGGGAAGTAAAGCAGTTACTAATGTAAAATGATGGCTCATCTGGGCTGTGAAGGGCAGGTGGTCGCAGGCAGCTGTGTGAGTTACCCTTGTGTATGCAGTGCCATTGCTGCCTATGTTCCGGACACAGAGGAGAGAAGGAGCTCATCAGTCATTCCATGGTGACCCAGTCCCCTGTGATAGGAATCCCACAGCAGCAGGCACAGCTAACGCCCCACCCTCAGGGTGCAGAACACTGCTCCTGATGCCCTGTGGAATTTGACAAAGGCACCTTAAAATAAAATGTGTCATCTCAAAAGAATTTTCTCCCAAATTTGGGACCATAGGCCCTGGCTCTCAATCTCCAAAGAGTCTGAAGATTCAGACTAGCCTCTTTGATTTTCTTCCCTTTTTGAAACAATAGAATCCAGATTGGCATAACCCCTTAAACCAGCCACGATTTTTGATCAGAGTTTTAAAATACACTCAATTATTCTAAAAAGTACCAAACATAAAAATTTTTCAGTCTTCAAAGTCCAGTTAAACTTCACTCACCTGACTCTTTAGAATGTGAGCCATCAGTGTGCATGGCAGGGTGAGAATCTTTTACAGCTTCTCCTGCCTACATTCTGGAAATGCAGCTATGCTAAGCAAACACTGCAATGGGCCTCTGCATGGGCATGGACTCAGGTCCTGAATGCTGCAATCCGTGAAGATCTGTGCTGTAAGCAGGGAGAGACCATGACAAGCTTGATTAGGGTGGGTCTGTGGGTACCAAGTTCTTCCTTTATAGTCTCCCCGAAGTCACCACTCCTGCAAATGAGTTCAGGGATACCTGGGAGCTGCGTCCACACCAAATAATCCCAACAAGACTGCTAGTCCTCCCACAACAGAAACATTTCTCAGAACATATGGGTCAGTATGCACAGTAGCCACTGTTTATCAGATGCTTAGAGCAGGTCAGTCATTGTTCCGGACTGTCATTGACAGAAGTCGTTTTCAAAGCACCACCCAGGAACATGTAAAAATGCAAATTCCAGGCCCCATCCCAGACCTGCTGAATCAGGATCTCCTGGGTTGAGACCCAGCAATCTGAGTTTTAAGAAACCTCTGAATGGTTGTGGTTCTTGCTAAAGTTTAAAGACCACCAGCCTTCATCATCCCATTTCTGTGATTCAAGGGTGATTTATTGCAGAGCACAGAAAAGCGGGAGATCCGAAAAGTCAAAAAGCTCAGTGCAACGGTATGAGTCAGGGCTCTCCAGAGGAAAATAGCCAGCAAAGTGTGTATAGAGAGAGAAAGTCTAGGGGACTTTGCTCACATGAATACAGAGACTGGCAAGTTCCAAACTCTGGATGGTGGGCCACAGGCTGGAGCCCCAGGAGAGCTGACACTGCAGGCATCTGAAGGCTGTCTGCTGATGGTGCAGAGAAGTCCAAAGGCAACTCTCTCCTCCCAGGCAAGATCAGCCTTTTGCTCTATTCAGGTCTTCAATGAACTGATGAGGCCCACCCATATTAGGGAGGACAATCTGCTTTCCTCACAGTTCATTGATTTAAAGTTAGCTTCACAGAAACACCCAGGAGAATGTTTGACCAAATATCTTGGCACCCCATGACCCAGCCAAGTTGGCACATACAATCCACCATCACACAGGTCCACATACCCGGCCAGTGGGGAAGCCAGGATGGCAAGCCAGCCCAGCCTGGTAGCCTAGCAGCTGCTGCCAGTGACACTACCAGTTCATCCAAGAGGGCCTTTCATGTCCAGGTCACTGTGGAGGTGAGGAAGGCACAGCAGAGTGGAAAGGGCCCAAGCTTTGCCAACAGTAGAACCTGGACTTCAGCCTTCTCTGCCACATGCCACCGGTATGATCAAGCATACTGGCTATTCTCTGAGCATCAGTCTTCCCCATTGTGAAATGGGCCTGCACCCTCTGCACCTAGAGGAAGGGGAGATGTCAGCATCTTTCATCAGCACCCAGGAAGTGGAGGTGAGTTCCTTTCCCTCCTAGTTTTCTGCACTGAATGCTCCCTTTTCACAGGAGCAGCTGGTAGGTTAGAGAAATGACTGCCTTGCTGGCACCACTAGGGAGGGCGCAGGCATTGCCAACCTAAGTGACATGCAGATTTCACCAGGGACTTCGTGGGGTGGCCAGGCTTTCCAGAATTTAAAATATAGCCACTTTATCAGGTCTTCTTTTAGTAGAACCTAGAACTGGAGACCATCTAAAGGTATGGCACTTGCCTCAGGGCTACAGCCTGTCAAGGTCCCAGGTGTCATTTTTAAAAGTGACAGAGACGGCCGAGTGCAGTGGCTCATGCCCGTAATCCCAGCACTTTGGGAGTCCAAGGCAGGCGGATCACGAGGTGAAGAGATCGAGACCATCCTGGCCCACATGGTGAAACCCCATCTCTACTAAAAATACAAAAAATTAGCTGGGCATGGTGGCGCGCACCTGTAGTCCCAGCTACTCAGGGGACTGAGGCAGGAGGATCACTTGAACCTGGGAGGTGGAGGTTGCAGTGAGCTGAGATTGCACCACTGCACTCCAGCCTGGCAACAGAGCCAGACTCCGTCTCAAAAAACAACAAAAAACCAAAAGTGACAGAGACTATAGGTCACACCGGATCAAAATAGGACTGAACGTCCAAATGGAACTAAAACCTGGTGAATTCTTTTTTAAGTCAATTTAGTTGCAATTAATTTAATTTTTCAGTGCCCTGTTACAGTTAGTTATAAATTCAAATTAGCTTCAACCAGGTCAAAATACTTGCAGACAATTTAACAACTAGCAGAGGTTTGAGAAACTATAGCATTTACCCTCAGGGGCAAGATGTTCATAAGACAGTCCTGCTCTCCTCAGCCCAGGAACCCAATCCCACTACAGCCAAGAACAAAAGGGATCTGGACTCTGAGCTACTCTGAATTGCTTCTCATTTGCATAAATTTGCATATCACCTCCCAGCAGCTCCCACCCCAGCTGAATCAAAGGAATCATGGAGTGAAGCAGTCTTAAAATTAAGCTGCAGGCTGTGTCTCTGGCATGATATGTCTGCAGATTTTCAGGTTGATTACGCTGATCACATCACAGTTTAGCAAAGTGGACACGGAGGGAGACAATACCTTTGACGGGAGCTGCAGACCTTCCAGGGCTGTCCTGCAGCAGGAAGCAGCTGCAGGCCGGGTGGGCTTCAGCCCCTTCAGGGCAGAGCTGGCTCCACAGCCGGCCCCTGATCCTACCCTTTGGGGCCTCTACCTCCTCCCATATCCCCCTTGTAATTGGAATGGGTCATCTCATTGGCTGCAGAGCCTGGGGATTTACATAAGAACACCTTATTCCAAAGCCGTCATTTGCCCTACCATCTGAATCCTAACATCTCAGAGACACTTAGCAAAATCAAGCTTTCCTAAAAATAGATGCTGCATATTAGATGGCATATATTAGCCCTCATTAAGCCTCTTACTGAGAAAGCCCTTAAACCTTTTTATACAAGTTCCGCCTATCCAACTTCTCTTTCACTGTTTAAGCCTGAGCCAATAGACCCGAAATCGCTTTTCCTATTCCCCATCTCTGCAGCTCCCAGATGCCCCGGTGTGAGGCGGGACACACAAGCAGGGCCGCGGGGGCAGGGAGAACATACTAGAGCTTCTCTTAATATTTTTTTCATCTCTTACGTGGAGAGGTGTGTTCAAAACAAGGTTTACAGAGGGGGTACATCATCCAGTGGAGACAAACTGGGGAGCCTGTGCAAGGTGTGGCCCCTCAGTGCCTCAGCCTCCACACCTGCTGCCTCGGCAGAACCTTCCAGCCATGGCTCCTTAGCATCACTGACTTCCCACAATACATTTCATTGCTCATCTTCATCAAGGTTCATCTGCCTCAAAGTGTGATGGTGCTTTCCATTCACTCCAGCCGCTCTCCTTGTTTGCATTAAACTGGGAGAGGGGGTGGTTTTTTCCGGGGTAGGCCCTGCAGCACCGAGGGCTAGAGCCCTGTATCTGGCTACATGCCCGGTGGTGAGACCCTGAGCAGGAGCTCAAACTCTAGTGCATCACTGCCCAAGCCAGACCATGGGGCAACTTACGGTTTCTACCTAAAGGGGTATTGTGCCAATTAAATGTGAAGTACTCAACATAATGTCCAAGTAGGCACTCAGTGACCACTGGATGTTATCAAGATCACCTTACAGAAAAATGTGTTTTCAAAATGTGTGCCCCACTAGGTTCCAGGTATGAATGTGCCTATCTGTGCATCCATTGATGAATACGTCAGTTGATCTGTGTATTTGTCTAAATATATAGCCATGTGAGAGCCCTTTCTTATTTGTTCCGTAGGGATGTCTAACTACAACTTGGGAGGAAGGTCAGGGTACTGTTGCCTGCTGGATGCCATGTGTGGGTAGGGCACCCCTCACTGCCCCGTGATCCACAATAAAGGGCTTTCTGACTTCTCCCCTGTTCATCCAGTTTCTGCATTGGTAGGTAGGTTTCCTCTGTGTGAGCTCACAACGGACACCAAAAAAAGACTTGAGCAGTTCTTCATCCAAGGTTGTCATTTGGCAAATTCCTCCCACATAGCAGCGTATCCCGTCAGCAGCCCTGTGCCCTTGTAAGGACCGGCCATCCTCTGAGCATGACCCTGTGGTGAGCCTTTCATACCTCAGGCTGGCATACAGCCCGATGGAGGCGTCCGCTTCTTCCCCACCCCAGAATCCTCTCCTTCCGGCCTCCCTTTAGGAGTCCCCTTGTCTCTCATGCTCCTTCCCTGGACATAGACTTCCTGCCTAAGAAAACAGCATTGCCCATGCCCTGTCATGCAATGGTAGAGAAAGGATGGAAAGGGCATTCTCCACTCTCAGAAACAGTTCGCCCTTCTACCTCCAAGCACACGAAGGAAAAGGCGACCAATGTACCTACTACGGCTATGTCAGATGGTTAGTTTTCTACCCCAAATTCACACCAGAGAGCACCCAGCTATCTTATGCCCCTACTAGCACAGCTTTAGTCTCCCAACTGGGGGTACACCATATGAGTGCCGTGCTTAGCACACATCTCTGTCCTCTGCATTTTCATGCTGGCCCCTTGGAGGCTGGGGAGGAGGAGAGAGAGCCAGAGAGATGGAGGTACAGCAGTAGCCACGAGCTTGCTTCAGTGCACATGTGCCACTGCAGCTGCCAGTCCCTCTCTTTTTCTTACTCCATCTTTCTCTCTCTACACAGTCTTTATTGTCCCTAAGTTCTCCATTCATCTCCAAAGCACATTCTGGGCCTTGCACTCCCCTCGTCTGCTCCAGCTTCATGTCCCCACCCAGATTTCTTCTATCTTATCATCTCCATCTTACTCAACCTCACACTGTGTTTTGTTTCTACATTTTCTCTCATTTTAAAAAATCCAATCACCTTTAATATTTACTCGCCCCCCAGAGATTTTCAGTGTCGCCCCCTCTCCATTAATTGTAGGCCATCATCTTGTACCACCATCCATTTCATTCCTCTATTTTTTTCCCGCTGTGTTGACTACCACTTGCCAAAGAACACCACCTCCATCTGAAGATGGCCCAGCAGACATCCTGGATGATTTTCAAGCATTTTTTTTTTTTAGTGTACAGAGCTGACCCAGTAACTTCACCAAACTTTACCTCTGACATTCTAGCCTTCCATGTTTTGTTTTGTTTTGTTTTGTTTTGTTTTGTTTTGTTTTTTGAGATGGAGTCTCACTCTTGTTGCCCAGGCTGGAGTGCAGTGACGTGATCTCAGCTCACTGCAACCTCTGCCTCCCGGGTTCAAGCAATTCTCCTGCCTCAGCCTCCCGAGTAGCTGAGATTACAGGCACAAGCCACCATGCCTAGCTAATTTTGTATTTTCAGTAGAGACAGGGTTTCGCCATGTTGGTCAGGCTGGTCTCGAACTCCTGACCTCAGGTGATTCACCCTCCTCGGCCTCCCAAAGTGCTGGGATTACAGGTGTGAGCCACTGCTCCCGGCCAAGTCTTCCATGTTTTAATGATTAAAATGGCATCATGGATAAATAGGTTGAATTAATGTGAATTATTTTTCAGTCAGTATTCTCTGATAGGTATTATATCTCAGTCTTTCCTCCTGGCAATCGAGACAAGAAGGAACTGTAGGTGTAGTGTGAGACACAAATTTCACTTTATTTTTCAACTCAAAAAGCCCCCATGATGTCCCTTAGACCCCAGAGTAAAAAAAGTTACAAACTCCCTGGGGCTCAGTTCTTGGCACTTCATCCTAATTATGGCCCACGATCCTCAAAGTGGAGGTTGAATAAGTGATGATCTACTGTTATTATTAATTTGCATTTTTATGAAGCTCTTTTATAAGGACACCCTGTGGCTTCAGTGAGCTTGAAGATCCCAGCCTCCAGGCCCATAGCCTCATTCATGGTGTATGTTTCGAGGTGCCCTGTGGAATTAGGTACTGAGTTTATAAATATTTGATGAGCCTGGCCAACTTCAGAGGACAGTCCAAGAAGATTCATAATGCAACTGTAAAGCCAGGCCTTGGCAGCATCCTCTCTTGATATGTTATTTTGTTGAGAGAATCACAAAACCAAAAAGTAATTAGCAACTCAGAGGAACTGATAATGGTGCAGATGCTCCCTTCTCGAGACAGGAAGAAAGCCTCTGTCTCAGCAAAGCTGTCACCTACACAAGAGAGAGATCAGAACCAGAGCACTCACAAAAAGTTTGAAAAGACACTACAGTTTAAGATGGATTCCCTCTCAGTTATTTGCACTTTTTCAAATTCTAACCTGCACAGTTACTGGAAGCTTCTAGAGGCCTTCAAATTCTCTATAAAAGCACCTCTCTGCCCCACCCGGAACAAAATGGATTTGGTCTATATGGTCCTCTTAAACTTCTGGTATCTGAATTTTATCTTTTGTCATTTTCTGCTTTCTTCACTCTAGATAAAAATATCTAATGTTCTCAGAAGTTGGGGAGTATTTCTGAGCCTCCCCACAAACATCGTCTGTGTCCTTGTGTCCTTGGATTACTTGAGGTATATTTTGTGTGGCTGCTTTTGAAGTCAAAATGCCCCATAGAGCTTCAGTTTCATAGGAGTCAATCGTGGTAAAGTTCTGATCTTTTGAAGCACTGAAAGGGATTGCTGCAGTAGTAGTTCTTGTTGTTGTTGTTGTTTGTTGTTTGTTTTTTTGTTTCTCTGTTTTTTGAGGTAGGGTCTCACTCTGTCACCCAGGCTGGAGTACAGTGAAACAATCTTAACTCACTGCAACCTCCACCTCCCAGGCTCAAGCTATCCTCCCACCTCAGCCTCCTAAGTAGCTGAGACCACAAGCGCCTACCACCATGCTTGGCTAATTTTTGTATTTTTTTGTAGAGACAAGGGTTTCTCCAAGTTGCCCAGGCGGGTCTTGAACTCCTGGACTCAAGAGATCCTCCTGCCTTGGCCTCCCAAAGTGCTAGGATTGTGGGCGTGAGCTACCACACCTGGCCTGCAGTAGTACTTTGAAGAAGCTTTTTAAAATCTTGATGAGACTTTGGGAAGCCAAGGCGGGTGGATCACAAGGTCAGGTGTTCAATACCAGTGTGGCCAAGATAGTGAAACCCCGTCTGTACTAAAAATACAAAAATTAGCCAGGGGCGGTGGCAGGCACCTGTAATCCCAGCTACTCAGAAGGTTGAGGAAGGAGAATCGCTTGAACCCAGGGGGCGGAGGTTGCAATGAGCCGAGACTGTGCCACTGCACTCCAGCCTGGGCAACAGAGTGAGACAGCATCTCAAAAAAAAAAACAAAAACTTGGTGGGATAGACAGATGGATGAAAGGATGGAGGGATAGTGGGAAAAGAAAAGAGGAGAGGAGAGGAGAGGGAAGGGGAGGGAACGAGAGGGACAGAGGGGAGGGGAGGGGACAGAGGGGAAGGGAGGGGAGGGGAGGAAGATATAAGCTGGTAAAGTTTGAGGTTGATCTTCAAACCTCATTAGTCTTCGCACAGTCAGCAATACTTCCCTCCTGCTCTCAGCACGATAGTCAGCCCTATACTCAGTTCTTAAGAGTTGCTATTTTCAGGACTCATTAGTGGTTTGAATTCACAAATCCTGTGGTTTTACACCTAGCTACAGAGGTCAATATTTACAGTGTGCTACCAACACCACATAATAATGGAATTTCTCCCAGATAAATAGCAAATCTCTGATAATTACATGTTAACTTTCAGTATAACCTATAGGTCCAAAGGATACAAACCATGACAATGGGTAGACTAGTAGACCTTCAAAGAAAAGGAAATTAAGTGGAGTCTTACTGAAAGCATTCTTGCAACATAGAGCTTTAAACATCTTTATACATATTGACCCTGTAATCCCCTAAGAATATATCCTAAGGAAACCTTTAAGAATACTAAGATTTATGTTTAAAAAAAGCTTACCTTGGAATTTGTCATAATAACATATACTGCAAACAACCCAAATATCCCATATTAGGGGAATTATTATATGTTGTGGTGCATAAGGTGATGGAGGATAATATGTAAATATTAATACATAATATTTAAAACTTCATTTTCAAAGAAATCTAAACTTATCACACGCTCCTGTTGCCCGGGTGCAGTGGCTTACACCTGTAATCCCAGCACTTTCAGAGGCCTAGGCAAGCAGATCGCCTGAGTTCAGGAGTTCGAGACCAGCCTGACCAACATGGAGAAACCCCGTCTCTACTAAAAATACAAAATTAGCCAGGCGTGGTGGTGCATGCCTGTAGTCCCAGCTACTTGGGAGGCTGAGGCAGGAGAATCTCTTGAACCCGGGAGGCGGAGGTTGTGGTGAGCAGAGATGGTGCCATTGCACTCCAGCCTGGGCAACAAGAGCGAAACTCCATCTCAAAAAAAAAAAGAAAAGAAAATGTCAAAAATGTATACACAATAATTATTTAAGAAAAATGACCATAATGGAATATGAAATCTACCAACAATAAGAATCCTAACTGGTTATCCCTGATTGCCAGTAATTTTACTTTTCTCTATTTGCTTTTCTATATTTTCCAAGTTTTCTGCAAAGACATATTGCCTTTTAAAAATGTTTATTTGTACCATGTAATACATCACCTGATAGCCAAAGGGGGGAAAAAACCAACAACAAAAGAGGCTATGATGCAAGGCAAAGGTCTTACACTCTCCCCTCTCCACCTCTCCGGGGAAAATCTGATAGCTGTTCCTGGATTCAGTCATCTGTGATTGCCTGTGATAGATGCCTCTGTTCTGACAAGTTATCAGCTGTGGGAAACACCAATTGACTTTCCAGTTGAAAAGTGAATATCTTGTGGCCAGGCACGGTGGCTCACACCTGTAATCTCAGCACTTTGGGAGGCCGAGGTGGGCAGATCACGAGGTCAGGAGTTCAAGACAAGCCTGGCCAACATGGTGAAACTCCGTCTCTACTAAAAATACAAAAATAACTGGTGGAGCATGCCTATGCTACTCAGGAGGCTGAGGCAGGAGAATTGCTTGAACCAGGATCTGGGAGGCGGAGGTTGCAGTGAGCTGAGATCGTGCCATTGCACTTCAGCCTGGGCTACAGAGCGAGACTCCGTCTCAGAAAAAAAAAAAAAAAAGGAAAGTGGATATTTTGCTAACTTATGCTACCCTCTTTTCCCAATGTCTGGCATTTATATTTATGACTTTAGCTAGTTTATTTGTTATCTTTGGAACTCTAAGAATATATTTCAGTATCTGTTTTATCAGCTTTCAGGAGTAATTCCTGACACCTTATTTTCCAAGATGAAAGAATAGCAATGAGAATAGCAATTCTCCCACCTTTGCTTGACTTTCCTACCTTTTTCTAAATGTCCCTTTTTCCCCTGCCTTTTACTTTTGACCATCTTCACTTTAGTGACAAACACACAGCATGTGCTCTGTTTATAAATGATTTCTAACAATTAAAGACAAATGAACATGATTCACATTTTTTGTTCCAGAGACGGAGTCTTGCTCTGTCGCCCAGGCTGGAGTGCAGTGACACGATCTCGGCTCACTGCAACCTCTGCCTCCCAGGTTCAAGCAATTCTCCTGCCTCAGCCTCCCAAGTAGCTGGAACTACAGGCATGCACCACCCCACCCAGGTAATTTTTTTGTATTTTTGATAGAGACAGGGTTTCACCATGTTGGCCAGGCTGGTCTTGAACTCCTGACCTCAGGTGATCCACCTGCCTTGGCCTTCCAAAGTGCCGGGATTACATTCACGTTATTATAACTATAAACTATTGTTCAATTCTGACCCAAGTAGAGCCACCCTAGGAATGAGCTTCCTTCTCTGCAGAGCCATTCTCCCATCCTGCAGGCCAGGAACAATATTCCCGGCATGAAGATGAACTAATTCCTCCTGTCTTATAGCTCCTCATGGCTTCATTTCATAACATCTTTTTATTGGTTTCATATTTGCACTACAACTCTCTTAGGGTGCTTATCATTTTACCCTGTTTTTAGTTACCTTGTTTTTGTGGGTTTTTTCCTTCTGCATTTGGCTTGATGACAGTCTCAAAATTGTTCCAGGCCCTGAATCACAATTTCTTTCCTATTGGGTTCTTTTCCCCTGGATATCTCTTTTCCAGGCCTTATCAATAAGGATCCGTCAGAATATAGGGCAGCCGAGCTTTAGTTGGGCGGTGCTGTGCCCTCAGCCTTGAGCTCTAAGAAAGGCAGCTGCTTTTAGGGAAACTTGAGGGGGCAGTACTACAGCTCCTGAGGCTCTCCCGCCCAGTTTATGTGTGAGGACCGGGAATGTGTATATCCTTGTATGGTTTGAATGTTCCCTCCAAAGCTCGTGTTGAAACTAAATCCCCAATGTGGCAATATTGAGACTCAGGTGGGGCCTATCAGAAGTGATTGGATCATGAGGGTTCTGCCTTTAGGAACAGATTAATCTCTTCATTGATTAACAGATTAAAGGGTTATCTCAGTGGCTTTATGAGCAAAGGAAAGCACGCTCAGCCCCCTTACCACGTGATGCCTTGCTGAGCATGTTCGTCAGTCCCCACCAGCAAGGAGGTCCTCCCCAGAGGCACGCCCTTGACCCTGGACTTCCCAGCCTCCAGAACTGTAAGAAATTCCCTTTCTTTATACATTACCCAGTTTCAGGTATTCTGTTACAAGCAATGGGAAATGGACTAAGACAGCCCTCTAGGTCATGTGGCTCTGATAAAAGTCAGTGGGGAGACTTTAAGCCCATCTGATTCCCAGTCCTGTGCTCCCAGGACACAAGTGGCTCTGAGCCCCTCCTGCCCCTCCTGACAGGTTTCAGGAGGTGGATGCTGTGACCGGCCTGGCCACTCAGTAGGCACGTGTTTACATTGCGCATGTGGGTAAGTAATAAACCAGGAGCAAAAATTACAGACATACAGGATGGGCAGGTGGAGCCCTGCAGCCTCCCTTGAGAGCATGAAAGAAATATTGAATGGGGCTAATGTCATTCTGTCCTCTGACACTGAAGCCAAGAAATAAAATGCCCTACAGAGTGGAGGGGCCTGGAACTCTACACCAGTGTTCTCATTGTATAAACCACAAGGAAATACAGTTTTCCACAGGCCTCCCTGGCTTCTGTCGGAAGCACTGGCTCTCTGGCCTCCTGTCTGCTGTCCCAATGAATATGCAGAGAGAGGCTGGGGCTGAGCTGCAGGTCAGCCATGCTGCGCCTCACCTATTGAAAGAGGGAGCTGGAAGTAAACTCTCCGGCCCCCCAGCTTTGACATCTGTGCCCATCCTAGCCAACTCTCACAGAGCTGGCATGCAGGGTTGGATGAAGGAGCACCCTGGGATCCATAGCACAGGGCAGGGTACAGGACAGCAAGATACAGGCTCCCTGCCAGCCTGGGCTGGCCCCGAGGGGGCTGTAGGTCAGGGATACCACTGAAGATTTGCCCGTTAGGCAGCTGCCGGCCCTGTGCGACTGCCTCCTGGACTGCACCCCAGTGCTGGAGGTGGCCACCTGGGATGGGTGCAGTGGCTGAGGAAGCTGAGGTGACCCTGAGCCTGGAGGAAGGCCAGCTGGGGGCTGTCTGCTGACCACATCCCTGCAGCTGGGCAGCAAGGTCTTCCTGGAAGGGAGTCTAGAGTGCATAGCAGGGTCCACCAATGCTTCTAGAAAGCTGTACATCATCAGTATCATAGTCATCAGTGTCCTTTGTAGAGGGGCTTCTAGGCATCCTACATCTGATATCTCACTTACCAAGGGGGCAACTCAGCCATAAGGAAACTGAGTGAGCTGCCTACAAAGGAGAAGGAAATAGTTTTATAAAAAGAGAAGGCATATAGTCACCAACAGGAGAATGGGAATGGTAGAATCTGGCAGAGCTGCTCTTGGGAGCTGCCTGGGCATGTTGTTCAGAACCACGTGAGAGCATTGCTGACTCTGACCTTGATGCTCCCCGAGGATGAGGGCTGAGCCTGGAGCAACACAGGTGGCAGGGCAGGAAGAGCAGGCCGGCTCCCTGGGGATGGGAACCAGCAGGGAGGCTGCAGCTCCAGGCAGGAGTGACCAGGTAATGTTGGAACATCTGTCTGGACGTTCTGCAAGAGGCTGAGTCAGCAGCCAGCTAGGTGTGATTTAACTGGAGTGCACAGAGCTAGATGGTAAGAGAAAGCACGCATTTTTATTGTCCTGTCAGAAAATAATAATGCTCTTATGGCCAGCGTGGATCTCAGGTGAGCAGAAAATTGCACATTCGTCATTTCCCTACATATCAAGAGCCGGATCCCCCACACCACATGGGTGGGAATTTCCACCAGGGTAGTTCCTGGGCCTCTCCCCACCCTGCCCCAGAGTTTGTCCAAGTTGTCCAGGTTTACGCAGGGCCAAGCCACTGGCGAGCCTCCCAGTGCTCACGGACCCTGCCCCGGGTCCAATCTTCTGCCCAAATGGGCGCAGCCTCTGTTAGGATGCTGGAAGCCGGAGGTGGAGCATTTATACCCACCAGATCCCCAGCTCCCCCAAAGAACAGGACACAGCCCTCCTGCTGGAGGGACACACAGAGAGCCCTTGCAGATGTCCCACATCCAGGGAAATGTGTGTCCCCTGTGCCATTCCTCTCTGTGGGTACACGCTGGAGTGGAGGAGTAAGACAAAGCAGACAGAGAGCAGTTCCATTCCATGATGGCAACCCCAGGATGACAAGGGAGGCAGTGCCAGACGACTGACGCTGTGCCCACTCCCATGCTCTGGAGTCAGGCCTGACAAGGAAGATTTATTTTTGGTACAGGCGATAAGGCATAAAAACCCACGCACCGCACGTGCCTGTGTTTTGTGTGGCATGAATACATGTTAGCCGTGACCAACAAGAACGCAAAGCCATTACTTGGTGCCTGCAGAGGGAGGCCTGGCCAGTTCCTATAGCAGGACAGCAGCCCGAGCTGTCTCCAGGGAGAACCTCCAGCCTGCAGCTTGAGTCACACAGCACAGATCCAAGGCACCACCTGTGCCTATTCAGATTGTCTCATGCTCCAGAGAAGTCCATGGAGTGCCGTCCAGATATTCCAGCCCAACAAACCTTCTAAGGGAGAAGCAGGCGCTGACTGGCCCTCACGGTCCCCTGGCTCTCCACTGGAGCCAGAGTTCCCGACAGGACTTGTGGAACAGAATGTCAGCATTTGCTTTGTCTGGAAAGCTCAAGAGCATGTGGATCCGGCCTCATTCAACGGCCCAGAATATCTGCCCCTGGCATTGGTGAGACATCACCCTGTTCCTGCTAAAAGCACAGCAAGGGCTGCCGATGTCCACAAGGGACCTGCCCGCCAAGGCAGATTCTGTCTCCCGGGTCTTCTGAGCTCTGTCCAGCTGCCAAAAGATAGGCTGTGCCCAGAGGAGGACAAAACATTTTGCCCAAGGACTTTATTATGCAACGACACGAAAAATTACCACGTGAGAGTTTTATTCCTCTGAAAACACATTTTGTTGGAAACATTAAATGTTATGTTATTTCCTATGCTGTATATTTAAATACTTTATTTTTCTGGGCAAAAATGCCAGGAAAATAACTTGCCTCTCTGGAGGAACTACTCTACCTTTTTTTTTTTTTAAAGAACTGGCACTTCAAAAAAAAAAAACCCTTAGCTGTCAAGAAATGAGAGTTAAGTATTAACTCCATGCCAGCATCCACTTTATCTTAGATTCCTGATATATTCATTTCTCTTCCCCACTTTTCTACTAAAGTCTGCCAATGTCCTTGATTTCATTTTAACTCCTTGTGGGAGCATGCCAAGGCACCTGCAAGCCCTTTGAAAGAAAGGGAGGAATTAAAAGTAAATTAGCAGAGGCACTTGTAAGTAAGCAAGCATAAGGCTTGGGATTTGTGCCTCGTCATCTGAAGCAGCCTTGTTGAGGGCCGAGAGCTGGAAATGGCAGGAGAAGAACCCTTGGGCCCTCTCTCTAAGAATCCATGGGCTGTCCAGGAAGCATGGGGTTTCCCAGTCTGGAGCGAGAAGGGTAATAGCAGGGAGCATCAGGTATCCTCATTGTCTACTGCTGTGTAACAAATCGTCCCAAACTGAGTGTCTTAAAACAACCACAGTTATTTTATGCTCACTCCTGGTGTCAGGAAGGCTCAGCTGGGTGGCTCTGGCTTAGGGCTTTCTGCGGTGTAGTCAGACAGTGACAGGAGCTGTCAGGGGCTGGCCAGGCATCTCATCATACAGCCTCAACCCTTCCCATGTGCTCTCTCCCCATGGGATATTTTGTGCTTCCTGGCATTATGGCGGCCACAGGTGGCAGGACTTGTTGGGTGTTATTAACACTCAGGGCTCCAGCAAGAACCTCCCAGCAGCGCTCAGTGTAGAAGCTGCAGTGCCTTTGAGGGCTCATCCTCAGGAGTCAGACACCATCCCAGCAGACACACTGTCTGCTGGACACTGTGGATCCGCCAGTCCTGAAGATGAGCCTGGGTCCCAGGGGAGGAGGCAGACCTCACCCCTCAGGGGTAGGGGTGCTGAAGAACGTGTGGGTGCATCTCAAAACTGCCACCCACAGTATGCAGCAGTCGCTGGCCCCAACCCCAACTGGAAGGTAAAGAGGGATAGGACGGGTGGACTTCTCACTTAGTCCAGAGAGGTGATAACAAAGAATGCTGGAGCTTCTGCTGCTGGCCAGGCGTGTCTCTACAGAGAGGCAGTGCTGGAGAAGAAAAACACACTTCACTCTGAGAACAATCCACCACTCAGCATGTGCCACACAGACCCTCTCCCACAACCCTGCCAGCCCCTCACCGTGGGCCAAGTATATATGTCTGGATCTGGCTAGGATCACTGCACTACCAAGAAAGGGGCAGCCTGTAGGCCCTGCTACGGCCTGTGCCTGCCAGGAGCACGCTTAGCTTTTGCTTTAGGGTACAATGAGGACACTAGAGTCTAATTGCCCTCTGGCTCTGGGGCTAAGAGACACCACAATATGTGCTTTCACATTTTAAAAAATTTAATTTAAAAAAAATCATAGCTAAATTCCTACTCTGAAACCTTTCTCTTTTGCTAAATTATCTGGAAGTCGTAACTTCAGATGCCCCATGTTTTTGGTTTTTTTTTTTTTTTTTAGACAGAGTCTTGCTCTGTCACCCAGGCTAGAGAACAATGGCACAGTCTAGGCTCATTGCAACCTCTACCTCCCAGGTTGAAGGGATTCTCCTGCCTCAGCCTCCCGAGTAGCTGAGATTACAGGCCCGCGCCACCACACCCGACTAATTTTTGTATTTTTGATAGAGACGGGGTTTCACCATGTTGGCCAGGCTGGTCTCGACCCCTTGACCTCATGATCTGCCCACCTCGGCCTCCCAAAATGCTGGAATTACAGGAGTGAGCCACTGCACCCGGCCTGCCCTGTGGTTTTTGAGAACTTTTAACATGCTATGGCAGATGAAAGTGGATTTGCAAGTCACTTGGGCCTTGGAAAAGACACCAGTTCGAAAGAGGCAAGCCGAGGCACCTCCTCCAGAGCCTGGTGAGGCCAGCTGCCGAGGGCTCTGTGCTCTCTCTGGGGGTGTCTGTGGCCTCTCCCTCTACCTCCAAGGGCTGTGTCCCAAGATGTCATGAGGCCTTGCCTGTCCCCACGCAGGACTTCCACGGCACTTGAAACCTGTGGCAAGGAGTCTGACTTTTGTAGCTCTGAATCTCTGCAGAAGAAGAGGTAAAACCCAGGAGCAAGCAAGCTACGGCTGACCTTTCTGCAGCGCCTTCCCCAAAACGTCACTGCCCACAGGACCCTCTGTGTGGCAATGACACTTTGCTAAATCGACTCTCTACCAGTGTGTCTGGAATTGGTGGGTTCTTGGTCTCACTGACTTCAAGAAAGAAGCGGCGGACCCTCGCCGTGAGTGTTACAGTTCTTAAAGGCGGCGTGTCCGGAGTTTGTTCCTTCTGATGTCCAGATGCGTTCGGAGTTTCTTCCTTCTGGTGGGTTCGTGGTCTCGCTGGCTCCAGAGTAAAGCTGCAGACCTTCGCCCTGAGTGTTACAGCTCTTAAGGCGGCGCGTCTGGAGTTGTTTGTTCCTCTCGGTGGGTTCCTGGTCTCCCTGGCTTCAGGAGTGAAGCTGCAGACCTCTGCGGTGAGTATTACAGCTCATAAAGGCAGCGTGGACCCAAAGAGTGAGTAGTAGAAATATCTACCGCAAAAAGCGAAAAAACAAAGCTTCCACAGTATGGAAGTCGACCGGAGCGGGTTGCCACTTTTATTCTCTTTTCTGGCGCCAGCAGCCTGCTTTTCTTCTCTTATCTGGCCCCACCCACATCCTGCTGATTAGTCCATTTTACAGAGAGCCAATTGGTCTGTTTTACAGAGAGCTGATTGTTCCTTTTTGACAGGGTGCTGATTGGTGCGTTTACAATCCCTGAGCTAGACATAAAGGTTCTCCAAGTCCCCACCAGATTAACTAGATACAGAGTGTGGATTGGTGTATTTGCAAACCCTCAGCTAGACACAGAGTGCTGATTGGTGCATTTACAAAACTTGAGCTAGATACAGAGTGCTGATTGGTGTATTTACAATCCCTTAGCTAGACATAAAGATTCTCCAAGTCCCTACCAGACTCAGGAGCCCAGCTGGCTTCACCCAGTGGGTCTGGCAGGGGGGCCGCATGTGGAGCTGCCTGCCAGTCCCTTACGGTGCACCCGCACTCCTCAGCCCTTGGGTGGTTGATGGGACTGGGCGCTGTGGAGCAGGGGGTGGTGCTCGTTGGGGAGGCTCAGGCAGCCCAGGAGCCCGTGGTGGGGGAGGGGGGCGGTGGCGGGGGGTGGCGGTGGCGGGGCGGGGGCAGCGGTGCGGCGGGGGGCGGCGGCGGTGGGGTGGCGAGGGGGGGCGGCGGCTGCTGGGGCCCGGGGGGGGCGGGGGGGGCGGGGGGTGCCGGGGGGCCGGGGGGCGGGGGCGGCCGCCGGGGGGAAGACTCAGGCATAGGGGGCTGCAGGTCCCGAGCCCTGCCCTGCGGGAGGCAGCTAAGGCCTGGCGAGAAATTGAGCGCAGCACAGGTGGGCCAGCACTGCTGGGGGACCCGGGGCACCCTCCACAGCTGCTGGCCAGGGTGCTAAGCCCCTCACTGCCCGGAGCCGACAGGGCCAGCCACTCTGAGTGCGGGGCTGCCAAGCCCATGCCCACCCGGAATCTAGCGGGCCCACGAGTGCTGCGCAAAGCCCCGGTTCCGGCCCGTGCCTCTCCCTCCACACCTCACCGCAAGCGGAGGGAGCCGGCTCCGGCCTCGGCCAGCCCAGAGAAGGGCTCCCACAGTGCAGTGGCAGGCTGAAGGGCTCCTCAAGTGCGGCCAGAGTGGGCGCGGAGGCCGAGGAGGCGCCAACAGTGAGCGAGGGCTGCGAGGGCTGCTAGCACTGCTAGCACTGTGTCACCTCTCACTAGCACCTTCCAACCTCGGGAAGGTTGGAAGTAGGAGGAAAACAGGTGATTTGGGCCACAAGCAAGCCACACAGGAGTCAGCTGAGTTCGGGTGTGTGTGATAGTGTGCCCTGAGAACATGCTATTTTTTTTTTTTAGCTTACTTTCAGTTTCTTTCCCCAGTTTCCTGAGCACAGATCATGTGCATGGACACATGTATGGACATGAGCATATCCCCAGCATGTTGCCATGTGCTGAGTGAAGATTGTTCTGAACAGCAATGATTTCTTTCAGATCTTTTTCTTATACTCAGCAGACACGCATGTGCAGCCATGAGGAGCCATGCATGGTTCCAGGCACCCTGCAGGTGCTCACACATGGTGGGATTACAGGTGTGAGCCACAGTGCCCAGCCCACACTCTTCTTGAGAACACAGCTAGGTCCTTGAGTCCAACCTACCAGGCAGCCCTTCGCAATGCTGAAAACACACTCAAAATCCCTATCATGACTTTTTACAGCACAATAAAACCCAGCTTCCACCTTTTTCCCATCCCCAGGGATTCTGATACAGCTCTTTGGGGATGGATGAGGCCTGGGCAACTCTTAATAACCTCTCCAGGTGATACAGATGTGTAGGCAAGAGGGAGGGGCAAAAGAAAAAACTATCAGCTAATACCTAGCAGGAGAAGCAGTCAATTTAATGCAATGATCCAGTTATCACTCAGTGTATGAAAAGAGCAGCTCATCGTAAAAAAAAAAAAAACCAGCATGTTAGAGGTGGCCACCACCACAGTGCCCGGGGACATCTCTGGGAGTGGGCCTCCTTTCTCCTGTTTGCTGGCTGAGCCCCTTGTTCTTCTGCCACTACAACCAGGTCAGCTGTAGACTTGTCCTCTTGGCCCCCGGGGAAACCTTCCCACCTGGTGACTCGACAGCCTCCCACAGCCAGAGCAGAGACTCAGACCTCTCCAACTGAGTCAACTTTGGGAGGACACTCTATCCTTCAGGCTGGCCCAGGAGAGTGTTCGTGCCCAAAACAGCAGCCCTGTCTCCTCCTCCACACACTCAACACTGGACAACATAATCCCAGGTGGCAGGCATTGTCCATCACAGATGTACTAGGAGCTGATAAGAATACCAGGCCTGGGCCAGGGCTGCTCTGGACCCAGGGGATTGCTGAGCGAGGTGCCAAAATGCCCCAGAACTAACGACTTCCAGATGTGTCTCTACCTGGGAGGGGAACCAGGATGACCACACAGATGGTCTACACCTCCACTGCCCCATTTGGCCCTTTTAACATTTGTATTTTGACATAATTTCAGACTTAGAAAAAAGGTTGCAAGAACAGTACAAAGAATGGCCATAATCTTCACCCGGATTTCCCAAATGTTGACGTTGTACCATTTTTGCCTTCTCTCTTCCTCCGCCACCCCTTAATGTAGATATATGTAGAGAGAGAGAGGAGAGAGAGTTGTAATTTTTTTCTGAACCATATGGGAGTCAGTTGTAGGCATGATGCTTCTTTACTTCTGAATATTTACTGTTTATTTTCTAAAAAAAAATCAGAGACATTCTATTATGTAACCACGGTACAGTCCTAAAACCCTGGAAATGAACATGGATGCAATTGTATTGTCTAATCTGCAGAACTGATTCCGATTTTGCCGGTTGTTTCGACAATGCCTTTTACCACAGAAGAGCATCCCAAGTGTGTGCTGCTCGCAGCTGGCCTGCCTCTCTGTCTCCAAAATTTCTGTCTTCCAGGACCCTGGCATCCAACTCAGAGCAGAGGTCATGTAGGTTTGTCAGATGTTTTCTCAAGATTATCTCAGGTCGTGCATTTTTGTCAGGAATATTTCTAGAATCGAGGCCTCGCTGCCCTCTGGGCACCCTTGCAAACCCACGAAGCTGCTGTGGGACCCCACCAGGCACATGGGAAGCTCCTGAGGTGTGGCAGGTGCTTTTCCTACTAAGATGGCTATTGCTATCCTCCTTCTGTGCTGCCTGATTTGGGGGACTGGCTTCCAACCCTGTGTTTGCTCATGGTTAAAACCCTTTTCGTCACACACGGTGAAGTGCAGGCCAGGGGTTCTCCTCCAATGTTCTCAGCAGGGGCCAAGAAGAAACAGCAAGTCTGGGAAGTCAGGCATCCTGCCAAGGGACAACAACCACACCGGCGTGCTGTCTGCCAGCCTGCCTCCTGCTGCAATCACCTTGCCGCTTCATGGTTATAAGTGTATTTAATTTATCCAGCACATAAATTAATATCCACACACGCTGTAGCAAAGACGTCCTGTGGAGTCCCAGCTGGAACTGCACTGATCGAATTCCGGGGTGCCAGTGTCCTTGCTGGACATTTAGGGGGCCTGGGCTTCTGCACCCCGGCAGTGGGCATGATTGTTATGTAAACACAGAGTGCAGCTCCAGGGTGGCTGGCCCATCTGCTCCTCTGCACACTTCTTGCCTACACTAATCATTTTCCATCCTCTTAGGTGAAAACTTGGAAAATGTAAGGGCTCCCAATCTCCTTTTCATTTGCAAACGAGCCATTTCAGCTAAGCGTGGCCCCCTATTCTTCTCAGGCATTTGTGTTTGTGAAAAGACCCGTCTCAAATTTCTGGGGCAGGAGCAGCTGCTGCGAGGCCTCTTTTCACTTGGCCTGGCTCCCCTAGCCCTCTGCCTCCCACCCCCTCCCTCCTTTTGTCTCTGTCAAAGCCAGCTCCCCTCTTTGACCCCTGGCCAACTCGGAGCCTCCTCCTTTGTCAGTCTCCCCAGACAAGTTTCACCCTAAATCAAGCATTGTTTGGGCTCCTGAGGCCAGCACGTGCCCATATCCCCTAATCTTTTAATTTCACCCCAGGAAAAAGCAGCTGTTAGTGATACACGCAATGCACAGCTGTTGGCCGGGCCTGCTGCCTGCTCCAGAGAACAATGAAGAAGAAAGGGCACTTGCAGGGCTGCAGGAATATGTACATTTCCCTCTCTCTTTCTTCTTCTTAGGATTTTTTTTTTCTTTTTGCAACAGTTGGCAGCACGTGCTGTGAAATGCTGCCCTGCTAGAAAAGCCACCTCCTCCACCACGATTTTTGTCCCCACCCGTTCAGCACTCCACACACCATTTGGTTTGCAGTTGGGCTCATTTAAGAACCAAACTTTCAGTTTCAAAGATCCCTGGCGTGTGGCATGATCCTTTTGTTACAAACATGCATCTGATGAATTACAGGGGACCCAGACAGGCAGACAGAGGCTTCACACTCACCGGCACATGCCCACGTGGGCCTGCCGGAGCCCCCCACGCTGACATTCATGAAGGCAGGGCTCAGGGGGCTGTTTAGGAACATCCATGCTTTTTGGGACTCCGGCATGCATGACCAGGGGACAAGAGGATGTCATGGAAATACACATTACCGAAGTCAACCAAAGTTGGCCTGGCACCCGGGAGGGGGCTCCATGAAGGTGTTTGGGGGACACCTCATTTTTGCATGCTGAGTCTTTGCTGAAAAGCACGTGGTAGCTTGATTTTCTGGAGCCTTTCTCTGGGCACACCTGTGCCCCCAGCAGCCTAAGGCATTAGGGCATGAGAATAGAATAGCACAGTACTGCCCTGCACTGCCAATGTGCCCCGGAGCAAGGCAGGTCACCTTCTCAGGGAGGGAGGACAAGGGGCTGAAAGGACCCTCCACAGCACACTGCTCCATGGAACTTTCTGCAATAATGAGAAGGTTCTCTGAACAGGGTCTGCACTGTTCAGCACAACCACTGAGCACTTGAAATGTAGCTTGCACATGTAACAGACTAACTTTTAAAAATGCTAATACATTTAAATTAAGATAGCCACATCTGGCTGGTGGCTATTGCATTAGACAGCACAGCTCTAAATGATGGGTTTTCAAACTTTGAATCACATGAGAAACAAAAAATTCAGATGCCTGGGTTCTACTTCCAGAGTGTCTGATTTAACTGCTCTGATAGCAGCCTGAGCATGGGGATTTTTAAGGCTCCCCAGGTGGCCATGACGGGGAGAAAAGTTGGGGCCCTATCTTAGGCTTCCAGCTCCAAATCTGGGCTCTGCAGAGACAGACAGTGCATTTGGAAGGTATATATCTAATTTAGCCATAAACCTTCCCTGTTTCTAAAATGCAGGGGATTTTTAAAGCAATTATCCACCCTGACATTTGTCCCTCCTCTGCCTGCCCTGCCCAGGTTTCAGGGCTGTCCCTACCCAGAAGTGGCCTGTGCAGCCACAGGTTGGCACGGGCCCCTTTCCACTCACTTTATCTCACCTGGTAGGTCATTGAAAGATGCTGGCAGAAACCCGACGCTCAGCAGAGCATATGGCGAGCTGCACACCTGCCTCGCGGGCACCTGCTGGGCCTCCCAGGGGTGTGGGGCGGCTGTCTAGGGCGCTCCAGGCCAGTGCAAAGCGTCCGACTCATTTGCATGCTGGACGCCTGCCACGTGCCTGGACTATGGCAGATCTGACACGGCATGTCATTGCTTTGAAGACCAGCCAATCTGGAGAAGCCTGCGCCTCCAACAACAAAGCCGGCAGCCCGTCTGAGACGCGTGCCGGGGCCCTGTACAGGAGCAGGCACACATGTGCACACACGGGCGACAGACACTGCCACCCGCAGACTGTCTTCTGTGACTCAGGGCCTTGAGAAGGTTGTAGCTTGGCAGTGGCCAGGGGGTCAGCCCCCTGAGCTGTGTCCAGTAGTCCCCTAAAGATGCTGCCCAGGAGACCTGGACACTTTATAAAAGCCCACACTTTTATAAATCAGACCCTGATAGCATCTGTTCTTTGACATTTCCTTTTCAAACAAGGAATCACTGTATGTTTTCATCATCTCTAAAGCTAAGCAAAAAGGAAATGAGTGGCCATGTTTTAATAACGCTGTCATATGCTGCTTCATCTTAATGCTGATGGTTGCATTAGGTGAAAGCCCACTACGGTTGAGCTTTCAAATGCCTCCAAAAGAAGCGAATTATCTTTTTGCCAGATGCAGTGTAAATAACTGGAGACATTTGGCTCCCCCATTTTGCTGCACGCGTGGATAATAATGAGGCCGAGTGTGAAGGGCTCGTCCAATTTGGATGAATTCTTTCCCCCAAGGATCCAGCCCTTCACTCTGGAAAGGGTTAAAAGTCAATGCAGCCACTGCTGCCCTGTCCCCTCTGCCCTTGCAGGGTGACGACTGGATAATCACAGTGAATGAGCTCCTGCCAGGGCCAGAGGCCAGCAGTCTCCAGCCCACCTCAGCCATCTGTCCAGACACGGGGACAGCCACGCTCTCAGTGGAGGCAGGGCTTGGAAAGCACAGAAGCTGGGCCATGTGGCAACCCGGCCAGTTCACCAAGGGCGGGGAGAGGCGTCCCATAAAATATTGTGACACTTGAGGCCTGGCTAATGGCTGCAGCTGAAGGCTGGGTGGCCGGCTTACATCCCTGTGCCCAGGCTGGCATTCCTACCACCCGCCCAGGCCAGGATGGAGTGGAGGAGGCCTTTCAAGTTGGAGGAGATGAGGCTTTCCTCCAGCAGCCAGCAGGGCTAGGGAAGGTAACAGGCAGGCATGTTTTAAGGCCATTAGCAAAGAACAATGGGAAGCTGAAAGGTAATCCCAGTGAATAGAAGACACAAAGTGGGCTTGTGCCAGCAGCCTCAGGGTCAGCTCATTATCCCAGACGGCAGATGGAGGGGGCCTGGTTGCTGGGCAGAACTCCGAGCTGCCTGCTGGGCGGGGAAGGCAGGCGCTGCAAGCCCAGGACTCCTCCCATCAGCAGCATGAACAACACCGCCCTGTCCCCGAAGCCCTGTGCAATGAACTCACCAGATCAGCTGACCCAGAGTGAGGGGAGCGCTGCCTTCTCAGTCCCCACAGGAGCCCTCACTGATGGAGCATCTTCACTCAGCTAAGACCCCCTCAGCCCTGTCCAGCAGCCTTCCCCATTCTAAGCACTCTGACCCCAGGGACTAGAAGGTGCTTGAGAGCGGGGGCCATGTGCTCCGCATCGTGTCCTTATCATCATCTCAGCACAGGCAGCTTCTGACTCTGCTGCATTGTCCTCATGTGCCTACATAGGCTGAGCCTGCAGAGATGCCTTGGACAAGGCTGGCCAGGGGCTGTTGACACTGGAGCATGTGCACACTGGGGGAAGGATTGCACACTGGGGGAAGGATTGCTCACTGGGGGCTGTGCGCACCATGTGTACTGGATGTACACACTGGGGTGTAAATGCTAAGAAAGGGCACACTAGGAGGATATGCACACTAGGCGTGTGTACACTAGGCATGCACTCTAGGCGTGTGTACATTGAGGAGATGTGCATACTAGGGGATGTGCACTAGGAGATGTGCAGACTGGGGGCATGAACACTGGGCTAATGTGTACACTGGAGGCATGTGTACACTTGGGGGCATGCATACTAGAAGGACATGCACACTGGAAGAATGTGTATACTAAGAGAATGTGTACACTGCAGGGTGTGCACACTGAGGGAACGTGTATCCTGGGGGCATCTGTACACTTGGGGTGTGCATACTGGGGGTCATGCACACTGGAGGGATGTGCACACTAGGAAGGTGTGCACACAGAGGGGATGTGCACACTGGGTAGATGTATACACTGGGGGGATGTGTGCACTGGGGGGATGTGCACACTAGGAAGGTGTGCACACAGAGGGGATGTGCACACTGGGTAGATGTATACACTGGGGGGATGTGTGCACTGGGGGGATGTACACACTGGGGGGATGTGTACACTGGGGGGATGTACACACTGGGGGGATGTGTGCACTGGGAGGATGTATACACTGGGGGGATGTGCACACTGGGGGAATGTGCACACTGGGGGAGGTACACACTGGGGGGATGTGCACACTGGGGGGATGTGTGCACTGGGGGGATGTGCACTGAGGGGATGTGTACACTGGGGGGATGTGTACACTGGGGGGATGTGTACACTGGGGGGATGTGTGCACTGGGGGGATTTGTGCACTGGGGGGATGTGTATACTGGGGGGATGTGTGCACTGGGGGGATGTGTACACACTGGGGAAATGTGTACACTGCGGGGATGTACACACTGGGGGGATGTGCACACCGGGGGGATGTGTACACTGGGGGAATGTGTACACTGGGGGGATGTTCACACTGGGGGGATGTATACACCAGGAGGAATGTGCTCACTATGGGGATGTGCACACTGGAGGGATGTTTACACTGGAGGCATGTGCACACTAAGGGAATGTGCACACTGTGGGGCTGTTCACACTGGAGGAACCAGGAGTATGTACATACTGGGGACAGGAACATTCAGTTAATCACACTTGGGATGTGCACACTGGCCAAGGCACTTGCACTCACTATGACACCCACAGAGCAATGGCATTAGCAGACCTCGATCACCCTCCATGGAAGGGCACCCTTCAAATCTGCATACCTGGAAAGCCACCGTCGGTTGTGGAGTGGTGAGATTGCTGAACCACAGAGGCTGGAATGCCCTGTCCTCCTCCTCAGCCTGCTTTGAAATCTCTATTACGTCTTTCCTGCTGCCCCTGCTGCCAGATGATCCCAGCAGAATCTTGTGCTTTTTAAAATTTGAGTGTTTTGTTTTGCACAGTTGAGTTTTCATTCTGCTGCAGCCCCTTCAGGCAAAAGTGAACCCAGCCTGGGGCATGCTCTCAGCAAGGCCTCAATGACCAAAATCCATACTGGAGTGCATTTTGCCCCTCTGCTTCTGGGCAGTCAGCACTCCAGCTGCGGCTGCCTCACCATCTTCTATGTTCTCCTTGCTAGAAAAGCAGTATTTCAAGAAAACTCCTCGGTGAGCTTTCCCATTTTAATTCAGCCTGTTGCTTAACAAGCAGTCATATAGAATAAATACCAGTGCTGAACACATGCTGAGGCTCCCATAAAGGATGCAGAGAGAATTGACATTGTTCTTCTAAAGTTAAAAACCACAATTTTATTCAGGGGAGATCTTTATAAGCCATTCATCCAGTAGAGCTTGCTATTAGGTGCATACAGCGATACATCCATAAATTTTGCGGGGCAGCTTCTTGACAGAAATGCAATGCTGGCAGCAGCCTTTCTTGCGTTTCTTGCAGCAGCCTTTCTTTCTTGCAACAGCCTCTCTTGCTGGCAGCAGCAGTTCCTTCAATGTCTTAATTCCTACAGTAAAGCAACAGGAAGTAGTGGCCTTTGTGCAGCATCTGTATTATGGCGTCTTCAAGAGCCACTGCGTGCCGCAGACAGAATTATATGGACTCTGCCCACACTGGCCATCATCAAATTCTACCTAAAGTGTTTTCTTCTGGATTTCCCTTTTATAACACTGAGTGTCAAAGTAGTATAAATCTTTTAAGAAAAATGTAATAGCACATAAAATATATATTTTTTTGAGACAGAGTCTTGCTCTGTCACCAGGCTGGAGTGCAGTGGTGCCATCTCGGCTCACTGCAAGCTCCACCTCGCGAGTTCAGGCAATTCCCCTGCCTCAGCTTCCCAAGTAGCTGGGACTACAGGTGCGCACCACCACACCCGGCTAATTTTTTTGTATTTTAGTAGAGATGGGGTTTCACCATGTTGGCCAGGATGGTCTTGATCTCCTGACCTTGTGATCTGCCCGCCTTGGCCTCCTTAAGTTCTGGGATTACAGGTGTGAGCCACCGCACCCAGGCCCACATAAAATGATATTTTTAAAAATCAATCTCTTGACAATGGTAGGAACATTTCCATTTGAGAGGAATTCTCTTTCTGTGCTTTTTGTGTCCATTTGCTAGGGCTGCCATAACAAACTTTCACAGACTGAGTGGCTTATACAGGGGAAGTTTATTCCGGAAGCCAGAAGTCTGAGATCAAGGCATCGGCAGGGCTGGTTTCTGAGGCTGAGACCCAGGCCTCTTTCTAAGCGTCTGGTGGTTTGCTGGCCATCATTAGTGTTCCTTAGCTTATAGATCTCTGCCTGCATGTTCGAATGAAATTCTTCCTGTGTGCCTGTGTCTCAAAATTGTCTTTTTTATAAGGACACCTGAACCAGTCATTTAGGATTAGGGTGCACCCTCATGATCTCATTTTAACTTGACTGTGTCTGCAAAGACTCTGTTTCCAAATAAGTACCCAAGGAGTTGTCATCAACATCACCACCACCACCACCATCACCACCACCATCTCCATCACCACCACCATCACCACCATAACCACCATCACCACCACCATCACCATCATCACCACCATCTCCATCACCACCACCACCACCATCACCACCATCACCATCATCACCACCATCTCCATCACCACCACCACCATCATCACCACCATCACCATCATCACCACCATCTCCATCACCGCCACCACCACCACCACCATCACCACCACCATCACCACCGTCTCCACCATCATCACCACCACCACCATCACCACTATCATGACTACCACCATTACTATCATTATATCTAACCTTTAAACTGATCCTGTGTGAGGTACCATGTTAAATGCTTTACCTGAATTCACTCTCTTAGTCCTCCTTAGAGCCTGCTGGTGCATGTAGTATTATTATCTTCATTTTAAAAAGGATGACCCTGGACCCCAGAAGGCCACACAGGCAGGTGCTGGGAGGCAGAATTTGAATCACAGCCATCACGCTTAGGGACCTGTGCCCTTAAGGGAATAGTCAGATGGGCATTGTTTGCAGTAGCAAAAGCCCGAAACCAGGCGAATAATTCCTGCAAGGGAGCACTGTGAAATGATTGACCAACAGGTATATGCCTCATCATGCATGCATCTCATGAGCAGAAAAAAAGCAAGTCACCAAATTTATACTGTATAACTTTATTTACAAATGTTCAAAAACAGATAAAATTTAGCTATCTATTGCTTGACAACTCACACATTTACAGTAAAACTTTAAACAAGACAAGGTAATGATTAACACATAATCCGGGCCAGTGGTTATTGCAATGAAAGTGGGAAAAAGAAGAAGAATGTTATGGGACCATTTAGAGGTCTGGGTAACGTTCAAACTGCTAATCTGGGTGTGTCTTCGTTTATTATTGCTATTTTCTATGTATATGTAAGTTACAGATACTCTTTTGTGTGTATAGTTCATTTCAGAATTATTTTTCAAGTTTGTTTTTTTTTTAATCTCCAACTAGGAAAAAACAAATCCCAGAAGGGATGATGAGGAGCATCTCTAGAGGCTACTCTGGCCAGGGGCTCCTGCCTGTGACCATCTACCCTCCACATGTCTGAGCCTAGGTGCCTCTGTCTCTCCAGAAGGGCTAAGGTGGTGGACATAAGGAGTATAAATCTTAGGCCAAACACATCACATTTTGTTATTCCTGTTTAATTTGATTTAAAGCTAAATCTAGCGCTCTTTCTTCCGGGTAGATAGGAAACCCAATCTGAGATTTAGGAGGGCCTTGAACAGCCCTAAACCTGGAGGCTCCCCTCAGGACTGTAGGTGGGACGATGGATCCCCACAGCCCCACACACTCAGGATGCAGGACAGCTGGCGCCAGTGTTCCTAGTGACAGGACTCACAGAACCCTCACATCTGTGGCCTCCTTACCTGCCAGGGCGCTATGCAGGGAAGCTCCCCTTCTTGTCTTCCCCCTTTGCCCCTGACCCTGAGCATGGGCTGCTTGGCCCAGGTCCAGCCTCTGCTGGGTCCACTGGGGCAAAGGGCAGCGTGACAAGGGACAAAGGAGCCACCCCTTTCTTATCCCAGAGCACTTACTGGGCCAACCAGATGAACTCTTACGTACTTGGTGCCCACACCAGAGCCACCTTTTTTTTTTGTTTTTGAGACAGAGTCTTGCTCTGTCGCCCAGGCTGGAGTGCAATGGCATGATCTTCGCTCACTGCAACCTCCTCCTCCCAGGTTCAAGCAATTCTCCTGCCTCAGCCTTCTGAGTACCTGGGATTACAGGCGCATGCCACCATGCCTGGCTAATTTTTGTATTTTTTTAGTAGAGACGGGGGTTTCACCATGTTGGCCAGGCTGGTCTCAAACTCCTGACCTTGTGATCCGCCCACCTCGGCCTCCCAAAGTGCTGGGATTACATGCGTGAGCCACTGCGCCCGGCCCAGAGCCACTTGTCTCTGATCAATCCCTTGGCCATCCTGGCTGTTGCCCCCACCCAACCTTCCTGGGGGCTGCAGACTATCCAAGGAATGATTCACCTCAGCAGAGGCTGGACCTGGGCCAAGCAGCTCATCCTCAGATCCCTCCCACCCCAGGTCTCTTTCCAGTAGCATCCACCTCTGGTGCTGGCCTTTAGGTCCCCTACCCAGCCCCTGCTTGATGGCACAGGGCCTATCTGCAAGCAGAGCCAAGCCCTGTGACCAAGAAGGGGCCTGACTTTTGGGTCAACTGGGTTTGTTCAGTCAACTTGGTTTGTTCAGTCAACTGAGTTTGTTGACTTTTGCAGGTCAGCAATTGCTAAGCAGTCACTCAAAACCCAATAAACTTTGAGAACTGACCATTGTTCCATAACTCATTTGGAGGCCAAGCTTGACCTGAATGCCTGTGAGTCTTTATTTACCTGATTTGGTTTCGCTACGAAACACTAACCCATTTGCTTACAGGGTGCTCCCCACACCTCAAGGGGTGGTGTAGGGTATGTGGTATCCACACTATAATCCAAAAAATTCCCAGGCCCAAATGCCGTTTGGCTCCAAAGGGGTGCAGGTGAAGGTCCATGGGCACAGAAAGTGGGCACAACACCATCCTCAAGGAAGGGTGGGGTCTCCCTGAGGCCCCACTGCTCAGCCACCATTGCAGGGGTCTGCTTGTCACTGGATGATGCAAGGAGTTGCAAACACACACAGGAACACATCAAGTCTCATCTGCTCCCATCTCTCTCAAACTGGAATAGATGTGTCCACAGCTTACCGAAGCTCCTAGAAGACCCAGAGGGAGGCCTCCAAATGCCTCTCAGAGGCAGGCTAGGTCCTGTGAATCCTGCCTGCTCACTGCCTGCTGCAAAGGGCTTCCAGGGGCCTGTCTGTCCTCTTCCTACCCCTCTGATGACCCTCCCCAGGCACATGCACAGGCATGCGCACCCATGCAACACAAACACACAGTTGTACACACATGCTCACAACACACATACACATGTGGGCACACATACACACTGCATTTAGGCACACGTGCACACATGCACCCTCCCTATCCGAGTTTTTCTCAGTACAACAGTCCACGGGACTCCATAGCAACCAGCTGCAGCATGCACTCATGGTTTCCAACTCAGAATAATACAGAATGTGCACATGGTGTGACCCTAAGCCTGGTGTCTCCCCACAAAACCACCAGAACTTGCACAACCAAAATCATGTTGTCTGGGGAGAGCTGTCCACTTCTTTCCAGGATTTTATTCCAGATAGCTTTGGATCACCTCTTCTAGAATTCTTCTCAAAGCTAAATTCAGAATCAACAAAGAAACATGACCCACTGCACACCTGCCATGAGGAAACTGAAGCAGTTGCCAAAGTCAAACGACTACTTCAGATCAGTCCGCTCCCTGGTGCACATCAAAAGCTTTGCCTCTCAAACGGGGATCCCCACACCCAACTCAGCTGCCACATGGAAAGGTGACAGCCATGCAGCCTCTGTGAGAAGGTGGGAGGGCATCCTAGTAGATGGAGGCAGAAGGGCTTCAGGAAAATGCATTTAAGCGTTCTATACCTGGAAAAGGGAAATTGGGAATTTACCCTTGTCATATTCAAAGAGTTCACAGATGAGTGTTGGTGCCTATTTCATATGGACAGTTTCCAGGGCCCTCAACAAGTGGCTCTGGGCTCCTTTATGTTTTCCTCCCACAATATTGAGATGAACCCGAGGAATCGATCCCAATCTTGGGATCCACAGGCCTCCTGGCTGCCTGCTGGGCAGTGGCAGCCCTCCTTCCTCTCTTCCCATCTGACCTTCTTATCTCCTGTGTCAACACACATTTCCCAGTACTACTGAATGTCCTGAAAGCAAACACTCAGCCACCTCCGGGAACTGGCTGGGTGTGATGCTCTGAAGGGAGCAGGTGCCTCAGCCACGACAGACTCAGCAACAAACCGCCAGGCAAGTTTGACAGGGGGAGAGACACAGCCAGGGCTCGCTGCTCTGGGGGATCCGGCCCAGCCCCTGCAGAGCAAAGCAGCAAGGGCATGGCGAGCCTCAGTCAGACCATCTTTCCAAAGGCAGGGGCTCTGTGGAGGGAGGCTGGGCTCTAGGGCCATTCCATCAGCAACTTGTATATGAATGCTAGAATCAAACAGCCCCTTTGATCATGAATAATTTTAACATTCGCTGTACTGTCCTGAAATGAAACTTCTGGTTAATATAATGTGTCTATAAGTGATAGATAGATGATGTTACAGATGGATAGATAGATGATAGAGAAATAAAGATGATATAGATAGATTAGATAGATGATAGATGGTATAACAGATAGATGATAGATAAATAGATAGATCATATATGTAATGCTTTAATGGTAATACAAAGAAAACTGACATAGATATAATACACAATAACATCTATTCTGATAGTAAATGTTTAGGCACAACTACCCTAGATGACAAATCAAGTCCTCAGATGCGTGCATTCAGGTAAAATTAAGGTAAAATTTCTGAGGATTCCGCCAGACAGTGGACCTTGCTTTGGTAATTCCAGCATTCGCTAGGGCTGTTTTCTGAAATTAGGAACAAAGCTTGGCAAAGCTTGGAGCAAAGCAAAGTCTGGATCCTCCCTTAGTCTATGCCATAGCTGCAGTGTTGGGAAATCCAGTGTCTATCACAGCCATGAGAGAAGTGGGTGGTATTGACAGAACACAGGCATGGGACCAGACCAGATCCCCAGACACAGATCTGCCACCCAAATGAGAAGCCAAGGGAGTGACACTAGCCACAGTGCCGTCTGTCTGTGTGGGGCTTTCTCTGCTTCGCAGAACCTTGAGCGTCCTCAGCCCTGGACCACAAAGCCAGTAGTCCCTATGGTAACTGTTTCCACCAAAAAATGCCCCCACAAATTTCCAGCATGCCCCTTTGAGACCCACTCCCACGGTGAGCGCTGACGCAGGCAACAGAACCCAGCCCTGCAGTGAGGGTAAGTGGGGGCCAGCCCTTTGCCACCGCCCATGCCCAGCCATGATTCCTAAACTCCATCCTCAGCACAGGCATAGAGTCTTTGGTGGCCCCTCCGGGTCCCCTTTGTCAGCCCCTGGACTGTGTGGCCAAACCTGTGCAGAAGCACAAAACCCAGGCCATGCACAAAAAAAGGTCAGCCCTGTTCTGAGTGCCTGGGGATCCAAGCAGGCAACTGGTTAGCTCTGCCTCTGACACGCCAGCCTCCCACAGCCAGCAGCGTGGGCCCCAGGCCAGCTCAAAAGCACTGGAGAGTCCCTCACATGTTGGCCGAAACCTGTAAATTACCCATCAACCCTGCATCCACGTGTTTTGGATTCTAAAGAGTTGCACTTGGATGACCGGGTTCTGAAGCAGGAGGCCTCCTCTCCCGCCAGTGGCCCCAGCCCTGCTCCCTGCACATTGCACCTTTTTTCCTCATTTCTCGCCCACTTTGCTTAGTACTGAACATCTTTGTTCTAGAGGCCCCTTGACTTCCAGAATATGAGTATGCAAATGGGATACTGTGCCCCTGCCCTGTCGGTAATCAACCAACCCACTCTTGCTCCTCTCTTCAGATGTTCCTCTAAGTCCCACAGAGAAGACCACAGTTGTGTAAGACGGTTAGGTAAAGCTATGGGGCCAATGATCTTGTGGACAACCAAAGTCAGCACCTTTGCAAACCAGGATTCATAACTAAATATGCTGGCATTTCTGGCTTTATTCAAACCACTTCCAAACTAAGATCAGCACATAGACAGAATATCACATTCTGGACATAAACGTGGGTCTCCTTCCAAACATGAAACAAGCTAATGAACCAGCGAAAGCCCCAATCTTTGACTGGCTCACGAACTCAGTATTTAAAACAGTAACACTAGGCTTTTGTGGGAACTATTGATGCACATTTAAGTCTTTTAATAAGGGTAAGTAAGAAGAACTCATTCTACAAATGACTCTGGGGATGTTTTTTGGGCTAGTACTCAAGCACACGGCCAGAGCTTGCTAACTCGATGCCCAAATCTGGTGTCTGCTGACAGCTATCCTCAATAGTGAGCAAATTTCTTGGGATCTGGTTTTCTCAGTCTTTAAATGAGGCCAGGTGCAGTGGTGCACGCCTGTAATCCCAGCACTTTGGGAGGCTAAGGGAGGCAGATCACTTGAGCTCAGGTGTTCGAGACCAGCCATGGGCAACATGGAGAAACCCCATCTCTACCAAAAATGCAATTAGCTGCTCATGGTGGTGTGCACCTGTGGTCCCAGCTACTCAGGAGGCTAAGGTGGAAGGATCACTTGAGCCCCTGGAGGCGGAGGTTGCAGTAAGCCGAGATGGTGCCACTGCACTCCAGCCTGGGTGACAGAGCAAGACCCTGTCTCAAAAATAAATAAATAAATAAATGAGGCTAGGAATGGTGCGGACATACCCACCCAAGAGAGATGAGGATGGTGATGGTGAGGGGCCAGGTGACGTGACAGCAGGAGTCTCCAGAGCTGCCGGGAGCCCCTCGGGCTGGGAGGCACCATGGGTACAGCAGCCCAGATGCTGCCGCAGGGCCACTCCAGTGTGCTGTGCTGGGCAGGGCCCTCCCAGGTCTCTGCAGCAGGGAGGAAGCGAGGTGTTACTGGGCCAGCTCTGTTCTCCTGAGCCGGACTGGCTCCCGTCATCTGGACCTAAAGTGGCCAAACAGGTTTTCCAGGTGGCAGCTGAGCTTCTGCAGCATCCGGAACACTTTGTTCCTAGTAGTGTCCCAGAGGGCTGTGTTCACAAGCCAGGTTCAACGTGCGATGGGAGCCTGAAAGGGAGGGCGTATCCTTCATGTGTCCCCAAGCGTGACCCAGAGCACTCCAGAGAAGAAAGTCATCCTCTGTCCGGTTAAACGGGGCTGTGTTTTTAGAGCAAAGGACAGAGGGAAAGGTCAGAGTCTCTCTCATTCGTGCCCTTCTCAGGAGGATCTGAGCTCCCACCAGAGAAGAGGCCTAGAAAGGTGACACATCTCTAGCAGGGCCCCAGAAAATTACATTTTGGAGAAAAGAATGCCTTACCTCATTCTTTGCTTAATTGTCTATGGTAGTGGTTCCAAATCTGGGGAGGTATTTTTATACAGATTCCCAGGCTCCAACCCAACTAGAATCTCTGCAAGGGGAACCCAGGAATCCATAATTCTGATGTTACAGGTGTAAAGGACTAACATTCAGGTGCTGTGACCCACACTCCCAAGATTTCTGGGATACTCACTCCCCAGAGTTGAGATGATAAAGCCTGAGGCATTTCTAAAAATATCAGTCAACTGGTTGAATTTCATTTCTGGTCATGACCACTAAAATTCAACTGAGTCCCAGAGAAAAATTCAGAGATAGTGCATTTTTCATTGTTTTCTTGCCAGAAACCTTGGCTCCGTATTCCTATGCCATCCATTACCATTAGCTGTGTGCTCGCCTGCCAGGGCTGGCCCTGCATTCAGGGAGCTCACACACCCTCCAGCTCTGGACTTCCATACCTGGCTGGGGCACCTATAGCCAATAAGCCACTCACATTGGTAAACCTGGTTTAACTCAACTCTCCTGGTTTCTGTGTTTCAAAATCAGAAATCAGCCAAATGTCACTCCCCACCTGGACCGCCAGCTCTGGAGGAAGGGCTGTCAGGTCTGGGTGTCTGCAGCTCAGCTCGGCACCCGAGGGTGCAAGGAAGAAGCCAGTGGGTACATGAAGGACAGCTTGTTTCTCTTTCTTACTGCTGGCTCTCAGCCAATGTCAGAGGATTATCATAGCCCCTACTGCCTCTCCTCTTCTAGACCCCCACTCCCTCTCCTCTTCTCCAAGCTGCCATTCCTGAAATCTGCTTTCATCTGCCTTCCTTCTTGAATAAGGGAGAAAGGAACTAATAGCAGTTGAATTTTACTGTGCCCGGTGCTTTCATTCTATGTTATCTCTGAAAGCATCCCATTTCTCAAGCAGCCTTTTGTAATATTATCCCGATGAGAAAGTAAGGCCCAGAGAAGTTAAGGACTTTTCACAAGGTCACACAGCTGGTAGCAGAGCGAGCATTCAGGCTCCAGCCTGCATAAGGCAAAGTTGGCCCTTGAGCAAAGTTCCTTGGAATTCAGAGGAAATGCTCCTGTTTCAGAAATTGTCATCTCTACAGGGCCAGGTGCCACAAGGTAGAAGAACAGCCCAGTGCCCATCAAGGCCCACACACAGAGCCCAGGGCAGGAAACCCACACAGGAGAGCCACAGTACCCACAGAAACCACTCCCATCAGCCCTGCAGGACCCTGAAGACACCTGGCCACTGCTCTTCCCTCCAGGCCCGCCTGGGAAGGCAGTGGGATAGAACATACAGGGAGAAAGGAGTGCTGTTGGGGATCCCTGGGACTTCCCCAAGGTGCCCAGATGGCCCACAGAAGCACCAGGAGAGTGAGTCACAGCAATTGCTGGTGACCAGCAAGGAGACAGTGAGGATTTCGGAGCCCAGTTCTGGGGATTCTTGGGCCCATTTTCTTTGTGCACAGTCTGGGGGAGGTGGAGAGGTCAGTTCCTCTTAGATCCTTTCGAAAGTCTCCTCAAGAACCCCATCCCAGTATTGTTCCTCTTCCCATCCCCCACTCCTAACACCCCAGGTGACACCTCAGGGGGACGTTTGTGCTTGGACTTGTAGTCCTAGTCCAAGCAATGACCTCCCACTGAGCGTCTCAAGCATCAACCGCAGCACTGAAAGTGTGTGCTTTGCCGCACAGGGACAGAACCCTGGAGTCCTGCTGTCACTACTTGGTCAGCTGAAGAACGGTGTGGGAGCACGGAGCAGGAAGCAACTCCGGCAGCCTCCATGCAGAAACTGCGCTGTGAGCTCTGCCAGCAGAAGCAAGACAAAGAGGAGGGCCTGGCTGACCCGGTCACAATGCAGCCCACCGGACACCTTGCTTAACTGCGTCGCACAGAACAGGCTGCCCTTCATCACAGCCTCGGCCACAGGCCAGGGCAGCCATGGGCAGGGCGAGAATCGGCAGCCACCCAGCTGCTCTACCATCTGTAAAATGAGAGAACGTGCGGCTGAAACTATAGGACACAGCACAGACGCCTGCCCGGTAGAGTACCCCAGGTGGCTGCTAATCACTGCATGCTGACCACCACCCCCCGCCCCACCACCACAACCATGCGCCCTTCACAGATGGAGAAACTGAGGCTGGCAGCAGCAGTGACATTGTTGGTGTCCGGATAGCACCCCCAAGGCTGGCGTACACGCCCCCGAGCGCTCGGCCCCTGAGGGTGGCTTCCAGATGGCCTGAGAGTCAGCTGCCTCTGTTTTCTTAGGAATCTTCAGCAAAGGGGACAGATGACCTGCTTGTGTTGTGCAATTTGTGTAGTGCTCTGGACCTCCCTCTCTGGGGTCACTGTCTGCTGCCGTGGCCAAAACAACATGTGCTGATTTGTAAATAAACACAGTGAGGAGCCCCCTGAGCCCGCAGGAGATGATGATGGCGCTGGGGGCTGAATTTCACAACTGCGTCCCTTTTTGTTTTCAATTAGCTGAGGAGGTGGCTGCCTGCAGGAGGGCAGGAGGCGAGGGGGAGAGGCTGTTTTCCCTCTTGTTCTCGGGGTTGCCCCAGGAAGAAGCCATTCCACAGACAGGCAGGGCGTCCATCCACTAAGATCCCGCTCCTCCTGGGCTGCCCTCCGGATTGGTGGATCAGTGGATTGGTCGCTCCAGGCCCAGCCCAGCCGCACTTGGCAGGAGCCCAGCAAGAAGTGTTGTCCTAGAGCCAGGCAGAAGCAGGTTCCTGTGTTGAATGCAAAGGGCAGCTCTGCATTAGCAGGCTATTCAGACGTGCAGATGCAATTTTAAGAGCGCTTTAGTAATGACAAACATCGTGTTGAGCACAACGAAGGATAAACAGGGATCATGACAGGGAGAGGCCCTTAGATCTCAGTGTTCCACCCTCGAGAGCAGGAGTGGCCCAGCCCAGACTGAAGGCGGCAGCCACTGAGTCCTATTGCAGGGCTCGTGTGTAGAGAAAAAGAGAATGGCCGGAAAGGAAGATGACTTCTTTCCGCGCTATGGGCCGTCTCCCCAAGAGGTGGCCTGTCTTTGCACACTCGCCCTGAACAGCACGCTGCACAAGTCTTCTGCCTGTCACATGTCCACCTGGGGTGTGTTCCCTAGTCCATGCTATCTGTGGAATGCTGTGCGCAAAGCTCCCTGGCATGCACCAGGGAGAAGAGCATTTGGTGGCCATACCAGAGTGGCAGATGCTCACAGAAGACAAAAGGCATGCAGGATCTGTTCTCCACAGCCATGAAGCCCTGGACAAAGCTGTCCAGAGGGCTCAGCTGGTGAGAAATCAGCCAGTCTCCTGCAGGCTCCTCAGCTTCCTTCTTTCTGCCCCTCCCCCGGTGCATGGGCAGAGCATGGCCTCTCTTGCTAAAGGAGAAAAGTATTACCTCTTAGAAGTTTTTCTTATTGCAAATTCAAATTAACTATGTACTTTGATTCCCAAATATCATCACTAAACACTACAGAAAGCTTTAAGAAAACAATGCAGAAAGAGCTCTAATGCACCCAAAATTGTCCTTCTAGAGAGCACAAGGCTTTGCTGAGACATGATGCTTCCTAAGTGATATCCCATCATTTTTGGATGATTCCATTCAAGAATAAGCAACAGGGTTTTTCTAAACCCCTGGTGGACATATGACAGAGTTGTCTATCAAATACATGAATGAGTCTGGGGGCCACATGTGTCTTGGTACAAGAGGATCAAGTATACAAAGCATTCTAGTAATTGCACCTTCAGCTTCTTGTCCTTGAGGCTTGGCTTCTCCCATCCCGACATGGCACTCACGGGCTCCCTTCTCCCTCTGGAGGTCACCCAGTTTTCTCCTCCCTGTGCCCAGCACCTCAAGAGCATGGAGGGCCTAAAGGACAAAGGAAGGAAAGAGACCGCACCCCACAATCCCCACCCCCACCCTGCTGAGGAGCGCAGAGGATTTGAAAGAGGCAGAGATGGTTAACTGATGGCACCAATGCCAACAGGACTCTGCATTTGGCCAGAAGGACCTCAAGGAGGCCTAGGGGCATAACGGAGACCCAGTCTTTTAGCACAGGGAGAGACAGCAGCCCTGAATATGGCCGTGAGGAGCTCCTGTTCTCAGGAAGTGGCCAGTCCTATGTGGGTGGCAAGCCAGAGTTGCCCGGTCGGGGCAGACAGACCCGTTGCTCACCAGCCTCATGTGGCCTCAGATGTCTTTTCCAGTGTTAGGGGAATGACATAGCATGAGGCCAAAGCCTCTCTGCTGCATTTTCACAGTGGAGTTCTACATGGAGCTGCCTGGGGATGTGATGTCAAGGGGACAGCGGCCTCCAGGGTGAGCGGCCTCCAGGGTGAGCAATGGCCCTTTATTTGTCAGATATTTGGAGAAGTAGAAACTGCTAAGAAGAGGAACCAAAGCCTTTCAATGTCATGGCCTGAAGAGAAGAGACACTTACAGGGATGACACAGATGGAGGCAGCAAGACCAGCCAGGTCCACTGGCTCCTGGGCCATGCAGCCTTGGGTCAGGGCACTGTCAGAGAAGGTGCCCTCAGGTAGAAACAGTCAATACAAGCAATTTATTCACTTCCAAGAAGGAAGCCTGAGCTTCCCCTAGAAGGGAGTTGTTCTGCATCTGTTCTCACTACAAAGCCACTTCTCCTGCTTCTTAGCTTCCCCTTCCTTCACCATGATGCCTCTGAATTAGACCCACTGGCCCCAGGGCTTGCCTCCCCTGCCCCCTGCACCTCACTTCAGGATTGCAGACTAAGGAGGTCCAAGTCAGCCCTTCACCTTGCATGGCCGGCTGCAGTGAGGGGAGGGGGGCAGGGATGGGTTCATGTGAATGTCCTGGTGTAAAGGTCAGAGCAGAAGCAGAAACCTGGAGGGGCATCTGCAGACATGAGGAGCAGGAGGAGCTGCAAGAAAGAATGCTCATTCCTTCCTTCTTGGTTCATCTTCCAACCCCTGGGTTTCCCCACATTCCAGGACACTCCCCAGCCTGCCTCCCCCATCCCACATCTCCGCGTCCATCAGGGTCTCAGTGAGGAGCTCAGTGGGCACAACCTGGCCCGGGACTCACTGGAGATCCAGACCAGACTCATCTCCCCTGGGCCAGCCAAGGGCTCTGGGCACAAGAGGTAACACCCCTGTCTCCATTTCCTCACTGTACACTTCAGGTGCTCAAAGCCACATGACCCTGCTGGCAGGCTGCGATGAGAATCAAATCAGAATCATCAGTGCCGCCCTCTGAATACAGGCATGATGGAACCTGGGCACCTCGAACCCTCCCGAAACACGGCGTGCACTCAGCCTTACCACCCTCACCACCCACACCCAACATAGGACTCAGAATTGTCTGTTTTTCTTCAAGAAAATATGAGGGCAAGCCCCGTGAGCCTGGACCCTCTCACCCATCCTCCTGAAGCAACAGGACCACAGAGGGGAGCTGGCATTTATTAACCATCAACAGTATGCTGGAGTCTACTCTTCTGGGGGCTGCCCAGTGGAATCTCTTTCTGCAGATAGCAGGCATCTTAAGTGAGGTGGGTAGCACGTCTCACATGTGGAGTGTCTGGTGCAGAAGCTACTGCCTGCCAGCCACACCCCATGGCATGCCTCCCAAGGTGGATGGAAAGTGCCCAACACACCCATCGGCCACACTCTGCCACACCTCCCAAGGTGTGCCCAATGCACCGAGGAGACAAGCCGAGCAGAGTGCCTCACGCTACCTGGGCAGCAGGGCAGATGTGTGGTCTCCCGCTGGAGATCAGGAGTAATCTTGTGCCTGGTGTCTATAAGATGGAGCAAACACTTCTGCATAATTGTCAATTCCAAAAGGGCCTTGATAACCCCTTAGACATTCTGAAGAAGGAAAATCTTCCAAGTTACTTTTTAGCATGTGTCATTTTATTACTAATTGATCATATAATTTTTGTCATTTTTATTGTAAAGATATGATTTTTTTTTGAATGTGCCATCAGGGTCAGGCCCATGTTGAAAACAGATGGCACAGGCACAGGGTTAACAGAAGAGGGACTCATGAAGGGATGTGTCCACAAGGGCAGTGCAGCAGGCATGGCATGAGGGGCAGGGGTGAGAAGCAAGGGAGAGGCAGATGCTGTTGCTAAGGGCCAGCCTTAAGGGGCATGGAGTTGGCAGAGAGGCCACGGAGCAATGAGGAGAGGACTGGCAGAGAAGCAAGCACGCAGGCTCAGCAGAGCCTCCTCAGCGGGGAGGGCTGGTTCTCCCTTCTCCACGGCACACTGCATTCATCACAGGGCCCGTCAGTCTGTACAGATGAAGGGTAGCTGCAAAGCCTCTGCTCCTGCTCCCACAGGGAAGTGGAGTCAGTTCCCAGTCCCATGAATCTGGGCTAGCTCCATTCACTTTTCCAGGGGACATACCAGGAGAGACACACATCGGAGGCTCACTCAGAAACCTGGCAGCTTCCACCTCCTCTCTTGCAACCTTCTCCCTCTGGGAGAAAGTCCACAGACCCCAAGACAGTCAAGATGGAGACACGTGTGAGTGCTCTGGTCAATGGCCCCTGCCAAGTTCAGCCTCTTGGCTACCCCCATAAAGGCCCCAGCATGGGGATGAATCTGTCTTGGACTTCCCCAAACAACCCACATGCCAGATGTGGTATCACAAGTAACCTCCATCAGCTCCGCAGGGAAGAGAACAACTGTTCAAATTCCTGACCCACACAATTAGGTGATACAATAAAACGATGGTTGTTCTCAATGTCTACATGGGGGTGGTGTGTATGCAGCAACATCACCAGGACCTGAGTCTCTGTTTCACTTTCAGTCCCCTCTATGAGCTCATTCCACATCTCCAGCAGCACTAAGCTGTCACAGCGGTGACACAGCATGGGCATGGGCTCTCTGTGCTGCATCCTGGTGCATGCAACCTTGTCAAAACAATGCTACCTGGTTTTGACAGTAGTAACATATTGGTGTGCAAATGTACTTTCACACACACCTCAATACATGCAGGACTCATGCTCGGGCTAATGTGCTTGGGCAAAGAGGCATTATTAGCAAAGACCGGCATTTAACTGAGTTTTTAAAATTTCAATGAATACCTACTGAGGCTTTAATAGATCCCAGGTACTGTTTCTGGGATGCTGGTGATGGAAAACTGCTTTCCACTCAAAGAGATCCTCTGTCTTCATTATAGGAACTGCATGTGGATGCCTGGAAACCTGATCTCGCTCAGCTTGGTCCCAAGAATGTGAGATTCTGACAGCAGAAATGCTTTGTCAGCCCCACGGGCAATGGAGTCAGTGACTGATACTCTACCACTCTGGTTCTGATGGAAATAAAGAGAACAGCTGGCCCTGCTCCTGCTTGCATCGCCAACTGTGGACACCTGAGCCAGCCTCAGTGTTTTCAGGTGGAAGCAGGCACAGCATCACCAGTGTGGGCTTCTCCCCGGAGACTGGAGGACCACATGGGGAATGCACATGATCACATGCATAGTGCGCTATGTGCTGTGAGCAAAACCAGCTCCTCACAGCCATGCTTGTTAGAACCTGTAACATCAACCACATACACAATCCCTAAGAGGGAGCCTCAGAATGCGGTGTCCTCAAGCAGCGCATGTGCTCCCCACCACTCCACAGGGCCCAGTGGCCCACAAGGCGTGCCTTGGAATGCTATGCTGGACACAGATGGGGCATCACTCACCTTCTCTGTGCTTCTGTGTTCTCGTCCTCTGTATTAGTTCATTCTCACACGGCTATAAAGAAACACCCAAGACTAGGTAATTGATAAAGAGAGGAGGTTGAATTGGTTCATGGTTCCACGGGCTGCACAGGAAGCATGGGGAGGCCTCAGGAAGCTTTCGGTCATCGCGGAAGGCAAGGGGCGAGCGAGCAGGAGGAAGAAAGGGTGGGGGCAGGGCTTACACGGTTTTAAACAACCAGATCTCGTGAGCGCTCACTGTCACAAGAGCAGCACCAAGAAGCACTACCACAAGAAGCACTCGCGTGATCCAATCGCCTCCTACCAGGTCCCACCTTCAATACTGGGGATTACAGTGCGACATGGGATTTGGGTGGTGAGACGGATCCAAACCATGTCATCCTCCAAAGAAGAGAGTTAAACTAGAAGCCCCACGGTGCCCCTGACCCCATTGCCAACCATCCGTGATGATCACTGTGGACATGGTCAGGGTTTCCCCTCGAGCTACAACAGGCACCTTCAGAGGTGTCTCATCACTGCCCCAGCAGTGCACACGGTCTGCAGTGCTCATTTCACACGGTGGTTCTCCTCCAGTGTTGAGAAGGATTCTGAGGCTGTGTTCAGACACAGCCTGTCAGGTGAGTTCGTGGTGGCTGCCCAAGAGGAAGGAAGTGGTGGCGACTTACATGTTGATGCTTTGCCAACCCAGGTTTATAGGAAGTCCGGTGGGGAGAGGACTGCATGTCACGTACATGGACTGACAGAGAAGGGACAGCTAAAGTCTCCATATCAGGGACAGGGCTTGCACCCCACTGCTAGCCAGCCTCTGAGGCTGAAAAACAGCTGGTCCTCCTCAGTCACTCCATGCTGAGAGGACAAAAGGCCAAGGTGACCCAGCCTGTGACCGGACCTGAGCTCCAGCCAGGTCAGAGAATGTGCTTCGACCCAGCAGCCAGCCCTCTGGATGACTCCACACTCAGGGCCTGGAAAGTGAAACCGCTTGCGGAAGGCAGTGGAGGTGCAGCATCGCTTTCACTCCGGGGGCTTAGGGAAAAGCATCCAGCGGTGTGTGTGCCCGCACAGGCAGAGTCCGCCTGACCCCGCAGGAGATCACAGTCCCAAGATGTCTTTGCAGTCATCACTCCCTCTGAGGGGTGTCGGGGGCCTTGTGCACAGCATGGTAGTTCTAGGAGTCGTCGTTTTTGCAGGGTTGGGTGAGGCTTTGGAATTTGAAGAACAAAATGCGTGCTTTTAAAAAGAAGTTTCGAGCAAGCTGGGCAGGCTTCCAGCCGTGGACCCTCCTTGTTGTGATGCTGCAGCTGAATGGACAGACAGGGCAGTGCAGGCCTGAGCTCCCACAGCAATGCCTGGGGTGGCTGGCTACTTACTTATGCTGCCAAGGCCCACCTGACCTATACAGGGACAGCCCCTGCCCTCCTCGCCTTCCAAGACCATCTGTTTCACAGGTTTATTCTCATCAAGGCCCCACCACTGTGAGGCACCAGGCACTGGCAGCCAAGGGCAGGAGGACTGGGGCTCTGGCCTCCAGGAGCTCAAGGCCTCATTGACAATTGACAGTGAGCTGGCACACCAGAGTCCCAGGCCAATCTCAGCATGTGCAGGCTCTGCCGGATTGTGAGGCAGCAGGGAGGAAGGCCCAGTCACTTGGCAGGTCAGGGGATATTGCAGAGGGTGTAGATTAAACTGGGCTGTCAAGGAAACAGGAATTTGCCAGACAGGGAGCTGGAGGAAGAGTTCTACACAGAAGACATGGCCCCTGCAAAGCCATGGAGCTATGAGGTGTCGGGCTGCGGGAAGCGTGGGCAGCTCTGTGGTCTGGAGCAGGAGTCCTTGAGTAGGAGGAAGCTGGAAGGTCACTGCAAACAAGATCTAGGCTGGGAGGAGGGATCGGCTGGGTCAGCCATACGGCCAGAGTGGGGGGGACCTGTTGTGATGGGAGGGGAAGCCAGAAGTGCCTAGGGTCTGTCGGTGAGGGGACGAGAAAGAGGCAGGTGTCCAGAAAGGGAAGGTTTGCGGGCACCCGCAGGGGGCTAGCCAGTGGCATACAGACCACAGTGGCTGGCAGGAGATAGAGGCATGAAGCCAGCTCCAGGGCTCTCGGGGAGCGCTCCCCAGCTAGGCTGGAAGAAGGGTAATGTGGCAGGAGGGGGCCAAGGAGGATCTTGGAAAGAGCAGTTGCAGCAGAAGGATGGAAATCAGGGTCGAGGGCCTCTGTTGAAGCCCAGGAAGGAGCTGCAAGAAAGGAGTGGGCATCACAGCCAGCAGCCATGCAGGGCAAGGCAAGGGGAGCAGGAAACACGACCCTGGGATCCGGTTCCTCAGAGGCCAGCAGTGACCCAGTGACAGGGGATTCAGCAGGGTGAAAAGAGCTGCCCTGAAAACCCCACACTCTCACAATGTACACGAAAACAGATGACAGTTGGGTTAAATATATCAATACGCTTTAAAAACTATCAACTTAATAGAAACATGTGGAAGGAGATGTCATAACCTTGGCACAGGACAACCCCCCTAAGCAGAACGTGAAAATCCAGAAGCTCTCAGAATATTGCTACCTGGAAACACATAAAGCCAAAACATGTGTGTAGGGTCAAAGAGAACACAGAGTTTTAAAACAAACAACAAAGTGGGAGGAAACATTTAAGCCCTCCATGACAAAACTAAGGGTTATGGTCCATAATACGTCAAAAGCCTTTACAAATTAGTAAAAAAAAAAAAAAAAAAAAAAAAAAAAACAGAGACAAACCAGTAAAAACATTGGCAAAGCAAAACTTTGTCAAACATTGCCAAACTTTGCAAAACTAGAAAACAAAGACAAACTTTGGTGACAGCAAGAGTTTCCCAACCTCCCTGGCAGGGGACAGGCCCACCATTCTGGGCAAGGAGACAGGACATCAGGTGACGAGAACCCCTGCAGAGCTGAGGCAGCCGGAGCACATTGTCTCCTGTGCCCCTCCCTTCCCTGCTGCAGCCACCCGGAGTCCAAAGGCAAGGCTTTAGGAAGGAGAACACAGAGTAAGGAGGAAAATACAACCTGATCGTGTTAGCTCATTCGATCATGGAGTCTGTCTATTGTAAGAGTTAGCATTAATTTGGGTTGAATTAAGTTGGGTTAAATGTATGAGGATTAATTTTTTTTTTTTTTTGAGACGGAGTCTCACTGTGTTGCCCAGGCTGGAGTGCAGTGGCACGATCTCAGCTCACTGCAAGCTCCACCTCCCAGGTTCACGCCATTCTCCTGCCTCAGCCTCCCAAGTAGCTGGGACTACAGGTGCCCACCACCATGCCCGGCTAATTTTTTTTTTTGTACTTTTGGTAGAGACGGGGTTTCACCATGTTAGCCAGGATGGTCTTGATCTCCTGACCTTATGATCTGCCCGCCTCGGCCTCCCAAAATGCTGGGATTACAGGCATGAGCCACCGCGCCCAGCCATGAGGATTAAATTTAAAGCAACTTTGAACTACTGTACTATTTTTGACCCATCCTCAATACTTTCAAAATATTGCTAACATCCAGTATTGGAGAAGGCATGAGGAAAGAGGCATTCCAGTACTCTGTTGGTGGAAGTATACATTCATACAATGTTGTTGGAGAATAGCTTGGCAACAACCATAGAACATTTAAAATACATACTTAGCAATTCTGCTTCTAAGAATCTATTCTACAAACATATTGCTAGTGATGTAAATATATATGTATATATTTCTACTGATTTCTCTATATATTTATATATATTTCATTGCAGCACTGTTTGTATAAGCAAAAAAAAAGTTCAAACAACGTAAATAGCCACCAAAAAGGCATGAAGTTAATAAAAGAGGACCCATTCTAAGGAATATAATGGAACTGAAAAAATCAGTGGAAAAAAAAATCTCTATGTGTTAACATGGAGGAAGTCCATAATTTATCACATGAGAAGCCAAATACTGATTGAGCATCCTAAATCTAAAAATCCAAAGTGCTCCAAAATCCAAAACTTTTTGAGTGCTGACATACTGCTCAAAGGAAATGCTCATTGGAGCATTCTGGATTTTGGATTTTCAGATTAGGAATGCTCAACCACTGAGTATAATGTCAATATTCCAACATCCAAAAGAATTCAAAATCTGAAATACTTCTGGTCCCAAGCATTTCATATAAGGGATACTCAACCTATAGCAGGATATCTATACAGGATTATTAAAAATATGGGTTTTATTTAAAACACACTATATCACTATACGATTGCTTATATGCAGTTATTTTATATGTATACATGAATCCCCCCCACACACAGAGAGATACACACACATAATTTTAAAATACCTGGAGGATAAATCAGAACACCTGAGGGAGAATAATCCAGTAAGATAGGGATAAATTGGGACTTTCTCTTTGATTTTATTTTTCTGCATTATATTACTTTTGTAATACAAAAGAAAAAATAAGAAGAAGGTAGTTAGTAAAATTGAATAAGACAGTGCATGTAAAAATTGGGTGTGAGAAGAGAAAGAGCAGGTGGCCTGTGTACCTGTGGACCTTCCAGGTTAACTGGAAAATCTCACATATGTACGTATACATGCATTTTTCTTTTCTAAAAGATGTTCTGTCGCTTTTATCAATTCTTAAGAGCAATCCACCAGGCACAGTGGCTCATGCCTGTAATCCCAGCACTTTGGGAGGCTGAGGCGGGCGGAACACAAGGTCAGGAGTTCGACACCAGCCTGGTGAAACCCTATCTCTACTAAAATTACAAAAATTAGCTGGGCGTAGTAGCACACGCCAGTAGTCCTAGCTACTCGGGAGGCTGAGGCAGAAGAATCACTTGAACCTAGGAGGCAGAAGTTGCAGTGAGCCAAGATCCCACCATTGCACTCCAGCCTGGGCGACAGTGCTAGACTCCGTCCAAAAAAAAAAAGAGGTCCAAAAAAGTTAGAAGCACTGATGTATACTATGTTTTCAAGAAGTTTGACCATAAAGGAAAACAGACATGGAAGCCACTTGAAGGGAAAAGGATGTCAGGAAGGTACCTGTAAACTTGGGATAAACATCATGCCAGATGAGGCTGCAGATCTTTCAGAATCTTCTGAAAGATTCTGTATTAATCTAAACCAAGGAAAATGTGGCCACTTTCATAGGCAATCAGTCAAGTTTTCTAGCAGCAAATTTACCCATTGAGCTTTGCACCTTACTGAAAGTTTGTCTGAGTATGAGATTCTAGTATGCAAATCATTTCGCCTCAGGATGTGGAAGGCATCTTTCCACTGGTGTTTGATTCCCGTAGCTGCTGAGCAGGAGTTTGAGGTCAAGTTCATCTTAAATCCTTTGCATATAACCTATTCTCTCTCCCTGTCTCTCTCTCTCCCTCCCTGCCTCTTCCCACTCCCCACCCCAACATGCCTTTAATATCGTCTCATTATCCCTGGTATCCTGAGTTTCATGATGATATGCATTGATGTGGGGCTGGGGGGATTTGTCCACCATTGCGCTAAGCACTTCATGTTTCTTCCAGCCTAAAAAATCCCCCTCCTTCCATTTTGGTAAATGTCTGTGATGATTTCCTCTCTCTCTCTTTTCTATTTCTGGAACTCCTCTTTTATCAGATGTATCTCCTTGAATAGTCTTTGAATTTTCTTCTTGTATATCCCTTTGTTTTTCTGTTCCACTTTCTGGAAGAGTTCCTCAACACCGTTTCTCAAACTCCTATTGAGTTTTTTACTTAGGCCACATATTTTTCTTTTCTAAGAGCTCTTTCACATACCTTAAAAGTTATCTTTTTAACATCTCACCATTGGCTATTTCTTTGTTTTTTTGCATTTTCTTTGAGTTGTCTTTGTTTTTCTAATGCATTGTACTTCTTTCCCTGAGTTCCTTTTTTCTGTTTGTTGCTGTTTTGTTTGTTTGCGTGCTTGTGTCTTCCCAACAGAGGCTTTCCCCAGCTGCTCAGGTGTCTAGGGCCATCTCTTTCACTAATTAAGGCCCCAGTCGGCTGGCTGGAAGCTCAGTGTGGATGACCAGAGGTTGTCATAGGATCACTTCACTGTAGGTTTATCAGATGGGTACCTGGTGGTCTTATGCCAATTAATAGGTCATTTTTCTTTGGTTTCTCAGTTTCACCAAAGAAGAATCCTTTGACATTCTGGGTAACGGGCATAATCCTGGTGGCAACATTCCCAAAACTGAGTGGAGGGCTGAGTGGGAGGGATCTGACTATTCAGAAAGCAGGTTTTCACTTAATTCACCTGCTCTCCATCTAGGTTCTGTGTCCTCAACTCCGACTGGAATCTCCAAGTTCAGAGCCTCCTGGGTCAGTGTCTCCAAGGAGTAACTCTCCTGCCTTCTGCAGGGTGGCTGTGCCACACCCTGGCCTTTGGTGCTTCTGATTGCAAGTCTCCTGGGGTTCCGTGTGACCATTGTTGCAGCTGTAAAACATGGTTCCACAGTTCTCGATGCTCTTCTATTGAGAGGTAAGGGTCTATGGACCCTTCAATCTGGCAGGCTTGTGACTGCTTCAAACAACAGATTATGGTTAAAAGAAGGGCAATGTGACATCTGCATCTAGGTCAGAAAAGGCCAAGCAGCTGTCACCTAGAGACTTGGAATGTTCCCTCTGCGCACTTAGCCACCATGCTGTGAGGAAGCCCCACCACATGAAGAGGCCACGAGGAGATACTCTGTTGACAGCTCTAGCTGAGTCTAGCTTTTGAGTATTCCCAGCAGGGGCTCCTGACACAGTGGATCAGACATAAGGTAGCCCTGCTCTGCTCTGTCTGAATTCCTGACCCACAGAATCTGTGGGGATGATAAAATGATCTTTGTGTATTCTCATTTGGGCTAGTTTGTTGTGCATCAACAGTAACTGGAACAACCATAGGTTTTCTTCTTTGTTATACCAATACCACCACCCCCCTCTCTCTCACACACACACACACACACACAAACTTGCTGGTACATAGGTTTTAGTTAATACCTGTGTATTAACTAAATACACAGGTATTAACTAAGCTAAGCCATGTACTTTCCATTTTCCAAAATTGTGTTGACACGTCTGATCTGCTGGTATCCACATCCCTTTGGATTGATATCTTTTCCTATTCATTTACTATAATTTTGTGATGATTCAGAGGGAATGTAGAAAAACACACATAATCGATGTGCCAATTTTAACCAGAAATTGCAGCAAACCTTTCCTTAGTGCATCTAAATGAGTAAACCCAGAGCCAAATTAAAATCACTTCAGGTAAACTGAGGCAGTAACTTGGGAAACAGTTGTGCCCCAGGGTCTCCCTCAGCCACAGCAAAATCACTGCCATATCTGTACAGTCATTCTGAGCCCAGGCAGGCTTCACCTTCCATTGCTTCGTGTACATGTAAAATATCAAGAACAAAGGGGGAAGCTTCCTGCATTGATCTCCAAGATGCTTAGAGCTCACCACTAATTTAAAATAAAAGTTTGATCCAAAATGAGGCAAGAAATTTCCCCAAAGAAAAAATATCTCTCAATGGAAAGTAGCTGAATGTCCTGTGAGTTGGGCTGGGTCTTGCTGTAGAGGAGGAATGGCTGGGGCCCCACAGAAACGCAGGCTTGACATTGGAAACAGTGAGCTCAGGCCCTCTCGGCCACTGGAGCAGTCACAGTGCAACCCCCACTCCCCCAAGGAGTGTGTGGCTTTGACAGTGACTTAACCACAAATGGTAAATCTGGTCAACTGACTTTAATTGTGAGCTCCGACTAGGAACAGGTGGAGTCTGAGGTTTAATACTACTTAGATCAGTAATTTTAGATTTAAAAACATCGTTCCAAGGTCACAGGCTGCATCCATAAACCTGGCAGCCCTATCAGATACTTCTCTGTTGTGTGTGAATCAGCAGGACCTGTCACAGTTCCTGGAAAAACAACTCCAAACACACACCGCCCCGCCTCCCCCATAGTTCCGTAAACTTGAAGAGAGAAAGCACGACCATGGTGATTTTCAGTACATTCAGTGGTACCCAGAGCAGAGAATTGCTACAATGCCCTAAATGACTGACTCAAGCACCATTTGGTTTTATAAGAAGAAAGAGAATGAACAAAAAGTCCAGCCAGGGGCTCAGGCTCCCAGACTCTACGTTGCGGCAGCCACTCCCATGCTGTGTACCCTCCCCAGGGCAGGCTGCCCTTTCTGGGCCTTCCAGGCCTAGACTAGCACTTGTCGACCTGGGGTGGCACTGCCTCATCTGCCCTGTCTGGCCCTGTCTCAGTGACTGAGGGCTTCTCCCAGGAGTCAGTGCCTGGGGGCCAGAGCTGCTGACTGCCCTGCAGGAGGCAGCCCGTCCTCCACCACAGGGTGTCCTTCCCAAGAATACACACCATGCACCTTCCAAAGGGCAGGTGTCCCATCTCCAGTACTGTGCTCTGACAGTGTGCTCAGTGCAGAATGGAGACATGAGTGGGTGACCCTAAGGGGCCTCACAGCTCTGAGATCACCCAGTGTTTCACTATGAACATTTCTAATATCTAGAAAAGTGGAAAGAATTGCATCCTGAACTCCACAGCGTGCATGCACCATGAACATTTTGCCATACCTGCTTTATCTCAAATCTGTCCACCCACTCATCAGTCCATCGTGCTGTGTACCTACTTCAAAGACAAGGACAGGCATCCGGACCTTTGCCCTAAGCACACGGGCCTAAGTGTCATGAACTCAGTTCCACGTTTGTTTGATTTTTTTTTTTTTTTTTTTGGTAACATGTGGGTATTGCAGCAGAGACATGTGCTCCTCCGTTCCTAGACAGAGAAGGGAAACATCCGGCCAGACTCATTTTGGAAGGAGTGATTAGCTCACCATACAAAGAATTTTATTAAAAGTTTGCTTCAAGGAGATGCTCCAGGCACTGGGTCCCACACAGCAAGGAAAGTAGCCCCCAGCGCTGACTCTCCCAAAACTGTCCCTCCAGCTCTCCGCAGCCACACTCCACCACCCAGACAGTTTCATACCAGCAACTACACTCACAGAGGTGCAGCATGAGGGACCCACAGCACAGACAAGGGGGAGGGTCCAACGATGTAAAGAGGGGCCTCCCGGGTGCTTCTATCAGGAAGTCTCACCCAGCAAGAGCTCTGTTCCCATCCCTGTGTTTGCACAGGACAGTCCATCCTGCTCTGGTCTCACACCCAAGCTCTGCCTTGGTGTGTCCCTGACTGGACGCCTTCTCAGACTCAGGGCTATGACAGGTCACTTCCCTGTGACTGGAATTGAGTCTCCTGGTTTCTCTCACGTGTGGGGACAGTTTGCTCGCTTCTTCCAAACAGACAGTCTTGCTCTCCATGTTACCATATCCCATGAAAGCAGACACTGAGCTGGAGGCCACCCAGAGCCCTGAACTCGGCGCCTTTCTTTTTCTTAGAGGAAGCTCCAAAGCCCCTACCCCTGCAGCCACTCCGTGTTTCACAGCCTGCAACAGCAGCAGTGGCCCCAGGCTTGCATCGCAAACACAGACTCACACGTTCCCAAGCAAAAGGCATTTGTCAGACCTCCTCCTTACACAAGAGATGGATGAGCTTCCAGGAGCTGAGCCACCCAGGAAAAGAAAACGCTGTGGGGCGTGCAGCTCCGTCTGTCTGTGTTGTCCACAAGCACAGGCAGAAGGAGTCCTAGGTGGGGACGCTTGGCTGGGTCTGGGGTGGGCAGCTCTCTCCTCAGTGCCCTCTCCTCCTGACTTTCTATGTCTCTTCCCTCCCTCATCCGAGAACTGTCCACCTGACCTTTATACCCCTAATGACAGATAGAAGCCTCGGCCTCCCAGTAGGACAAGGCTTTAACCAAGGAGATGATCCCAGGTCAGAGCCACGAGAGCCATGGACCAAGCCAGGCCTCAGCCCGCCCTCCCTGTGCTCGGCTGCTGTGGAGTCAGGGGGTTACCAACTGCGAAGGGCTTGGAGGAGGGGACCCCATCTCTCAACTGGAGGAGTATCACAGAATTCAGACTACGTTTTAAAGCCACAACCCACCACACGTGTCCCTGAAATCAGTCCATGTGGGTGCCCACCCCAATGACGTCTCAGGACCTCTGCTCTGAGGCATCTTGCCTAGGCGGTGAGGTTTTGCATTTTTACTCAGTTTAACTCAGGTTTTATGACTCCCACATCTTGGGAGGAGACAGGGAGGAAGAAAAGTTGGGGCAACACAACCTCTCCAGCATCATCACCACTACCCCCGCCTCCCAAAGCCTCAGAAAAACAAGTCTATCCACCAGAAAGGGCAAAGCATTCTCCCACAGGCAAATCTGCCGCACGAATGCAGAAGGCGCTAATAAACATGATCATAAACTTGGAATCCACAATCCACAACATGTCAAAGGATTTGGAAGAAAACTTTAACTCCTGTGAACTACATTAAATTCTAATCTCCTAGACATTCAGAATGAAAATGCAGCTTGCTACAGCTGGGCTCCCGCTCTGTCCTTTGCAGACTCAAACATCCACAGCATGGTGTTTGTGCAATAAAAACTTTAAGTCAAAGCCTGTACACTGCAGAGATAGAAGGACATACCCAAGATTGTCCTGGTAGCTCAAAATAAATACACAAGCATGCTTTTGGATTCCATCTGTAGGGGATTTTAGCCCTATTTTTCAAAGAGCCTCCTAATCTACTCATGAAAATTGGGTGTTTGTAGCCACTAAATCTAGCAAAATCCATCTAAGGGTAGGCAGGTACAAATGTGCTGACCACAGCACATAGCCAGGTCTACAATGAAGGAAAATCTAATACCATATGGAAATAATTGAGCCTATCAATATCTCCATTTAAAACTCCCTCTTTGACAGGAAGATCCATAATAAAGTTATTTAAGGAGTCGAAAATCTACTTGTTATGTTCTAATAAGAAACGCACGAGTTTCTAAAAACATATTCCAGTCCTTGTGTACCATGCGGCATTTTGCATGTTTCTCTTCCTATATTTTTTCAATAAAGCATGGTGGTTGTTGGCTGTCAATGAAAGCCACCTGTGATGTGTGGAGTTGAACATGGAGGATGTTCGTGGGTTGTCTGATTCTAAGCAGGCTCATGCAGCCTGGAGGTGAAAGTACCTGGAGTTACATTTTTATGCATGGGGGAGGGACAATTTAGTACCTTTTTGGAAATACACACACAAAATATTCAATGATAAGTGATATGGTTTGACAGTGTCCCCACCCAAATCTCATCATGAATTGTAGCTCCCATAATTCCCAAGTGTCGTGAGAGGGACATTGAATCATGGGAGGTAATTAAATCATGAGGGCAGGTCTTTCCCGTGCTATTCTTGTGATAGTGAATAAGTCTCATGAGATCTGATGGTTTTATTAAGGGGAGTTTCCCTGCGCATGCTTTCTTGCCTGCTGCTATGTAAGATGTGACTGCTCCTCATTCACCTTCTGCCATGATTGTGAGGCCTCTCCAGCCATGTGGAACTGTGAGTCAATTAAACCTCTTTCCTTTATAAATTACCCAATCTTGGGTATGTCTTTATTAGTAGTGTGAGAACAGACTAATACAATATGCTTGTGTTCACTTCAAGTTTTCAAATTTAACACTAATGTGGAATTTCATTTTGACCTAGGCTCTTTCCCGGTGAGATAGGATTTTTGTCTGCAATTCTGAACAACCAGAGTTTCCAAGAACACAGTCAACTAAAGGACATTATTATATAAAACTTTCTGACTCAGCTATTCTTTTCCTACTAAATATGATTATTTATGAAAACAATTAGGCATAACTGTTAAGATGATACCACTCTGACCATCAGATGCAGCTACAGGATAGGTTTGAGGAAAGGCAAACACAAGGAAAACAAGTTCCTGTTCCCTTGGTCCCTCCAGGGCAATGCTGGCATCAATGACTCTTGATGACTTTATTCTTCTGTAAATGAGTAAGAAGATGCTAAGAGCTAGGAAGTCTCCATTTTTCTATTTAGAGTGCTATGTTAGTCCATTTCGGCTGCTATTACAAAATACCATAGACTAGGTGGTTCTTAAAAAACAGAAATGTATTTCTCACAGTTCTGGAGGCTGGGAAGTCCCACAGCAAGGCAATGGTAGATTCAGTGACTGGTGAGGGCCCCTTCTTCATAGACCATGACTTCTCACTGTGTCTTCACATGGTAGAGGGGGGAAGGCAGCACTGTGGCCTCTTCCACAATGGTAGTAATCCCATAAATAAGGGCTTCATCGCCCATGACTTCATCACCTCTGAAATGCCCTAACACCATCCTAACACCATCACTTTGGTGGTTAGAATTTCATCATATGAATTTTAATACGAATTTTAGGGGGGACACCATCAGACCATAGCAGTGTTTGACCCCAGCACTTTCTTTTTCCATCATCTTGTGAAAACAAAAGGAAAGAAAAGCAGAGCACCATGCTGCCCCAAGTAAAGACACATTTATCTCTCATTTATTCATTCTATAAACAGCTTTGTGCCCATTACCAGCTAGACTCTGCAAAGACAAGGAACACTAACAAGTGCCCCTGTCCCCAAGGTGTTTGTAGGTATATTAGCCAAGATGAGTTAACACCTATGAAAACAACTCTTAACTCTCAATGATCTAATAAGCTATAAGTTTGTTTATCCCTTTGTCCCAGTGTACCATAGGTTGGGGGAAAGAGTGATCCACACAAACCTCCAGGGACTCAGACTTGCCCTCCTCAGTGGCCCTGTCACCACCATATCCTCGGAGGTCTCCAGGCCCTCTTTGTCTGTCCAGCAAATGAGAGGAGAGAACCTGAAGGAAGACACAGAGAATTTAAAAAGCTGCCACATCCGCCCACATCCTCTGTGCAGAACTCCATCCCAGGGCCACGGTGGCCTGCAGCAGAGGCTGGAAACCCATGAAGAAGAGGGTAAAGAGTGAATACATGCACTGGTAATATGGATGAACACACACTCACAATGGTCTAGTCACCCCAATCAGGAAATAGAAGTCCCTTTTCCACCTGCACTTAGCACCAAACTCCTTTCTGCCCAGAGATGTGCACGCAACTAGAAGTTTGCATCCAGCACTTATGTTCTTTCATTGGAACTCCAAATCCAAGGACATCCTTCCATTTCAACCCCTTCATTTTCTTCTGACAATTTCCTTTAATAAGCACAAGTGTTCCTTTCTAACACATTCAACCAGAACAGAGCAAAGTTTAAAGTAGAAATATAAAATACTTTCTCAGCAGAGAATAATTGTTTTTACTCTAGTGAACCTGATCATTTAATAATTGAAGCTTTCCATAGCAAATGTGTAATCTCCTATAGATCAAGTGTAAATATTTAAAATTATTTTCCAAATGTCCAGGCAACCCTGTGGGTCCTCAGTCCCTTTCTTCTTGTTTACAGAGCTTCCTGTTTGGAAGCAGAGAGAAGTAAATAAGAAGTCCAGGTGCCCAGGTATGCTGAAGAGTAGGTGAGGAGCCATGTTTTTTGTCTCAGTTTTACTTCCAGTGATAGCAGAGCCAGGAGAGCCACATTCAAAAACCTTAGGAGTTCAGCCTGGCCAACATGGTGAAACCCCATCTCTACTAAAAATACAAAAATTAACCAGACGTGGTAGTGCCGCCTGTAATCCCAGCTACTCAGGAGGCTGAGGCAGGAGAACTGCTTGAACCCGGGAGGCTGAGGTTGCAGTGAGCTATGATCAAGACACTGCACTCCATCCTGGGTGACAGAGCAAGACTCGGTCTCAGAAGAAAACAAAACAAGAAAAAACCCTTAGAAGTTGATACCTAAATGGTCAATGGGCACAACAGAAATTTTATTCGTAAATTAAAGCATGAGGCTCAGCAATTGAGTTAGGAAGTTTCTGTCTGCCTATAATCTAAAATTCAGTAAGGCAATAATGATTTCTTCTTATTGCCATGGACCTGTTCAGGGCATCATGCTAAGTAAAAAAATAAAAATAAATAAAAAATAAAATTAAAAAAAATTCAGTGGCTGAAGACAACAGCAATGACTTAACATTTCTATGGTTTCTGTGGGTCTTGGCTCACTCAGGCATTTCTGGCTGGAATCCCCTGAGGGCTGGGCTGCAGTCCCTCATACTGGCTGTCGGCCACTCCTTATGGCTGCTTGAGTGTCCTCGCAATATGTCAGCTGGCTTCCCACAGAGTGAGAAAACCAAGAGACTGCGGGCCAGGCGCCGTCTGTGATCTGTATCACTTTTTATGACACAGCTTCGAGTCACATAAGGTGACCTCCATCACAGTCTACTGAGGGAAGCAGGTCTCAGGGAAGAGAACAGAGAGCTCACCTCTCAGTGGAGGGGTGTCAAGCCATACTACAAGAAAAGCTGATGAGAGAGTTTGTAGGTTGATGTGACTGCCTTTTGAAAATGCAATCTTTTTTAGGGCCTAACATGCAAATCTTGGCTTCTAAAACTAACCCTGAGATAATTTTATATAGCTAAACTCACACAGCCAGGAAGTGAGGGAAGGGAGAGGAGAATAGAGCCTATGGACTCCGGAGCCCCTTCCCCAGCACTCTGAGAGGTCTCCACCAAGCAGGAGATTTTGTTTTTTGTCTGGAGACAGAGTCTTACTCTATCGCCTAGGCTGGAGTATGGTAGCACAATCATGGGTCATGGCAGTCTCGGCTTCTTGTGGCTCAAATGATTCTCCCATCGCAGCATTTTGAGTAGGTGAACTACAGGCATGTGCCATGTGCCACCATGCCTGGCTAATTTTTTTTTTTTTTTTTGGTAGAGGCAGGGTCCCACTATGTTGCCCAGGCTGGTCTTAAACTGAGGTCATGTAAGCCTCCCACCTCAGCTTCCCAAAATGCTGGAATTACAAGCATGAGCCATAGTGCCTGGCCAAGATAAGATTTAATACAGCACTCTCGCTGGGTACTCAATGTTAGCCCTCATTGAGCAGGTGGTGGACAATCCCAGCCCTATCAGAGTAACAAGAAAGGAGATAAACTCTGTGAAAGCCTTCAGGGCAAGGCTGTTATCTGTAGCATCAATAACAATGGTAAATCCTGACCTGGCCTGAGCTCCTCCCAGGACCCACCAAACGCTCTCCATCCCATATCCAGCCGGGTCAAACACCCGAGGCATAATGCTGGGTGCCCTTTTGGGTGTCATTAAAGGAAGAGAAAAAATTAACTGTGAGGGTTTTAGAGACTTAAAACTCTAAAACTAAACTCTAAAACTCTAAATTTGCAGGGCAGAAGCTGCAAAATGACAGCAGGCCCAGCGCCGACGGGAAGCAAGTATGACTTTCCATGGGCCCACAAGCAGCTCTGAGGTCCTGAGCCTGGCTGGTCTGTGACTGTGGAACAGTAAGATTCAGGGTTCCAGGAGTGTGATGGCCAAGAATCCACACCACCCCTGCCCCAGGCAAAGGACTCAGCTTTCAGCTGCAAGAACTCCACAGAAGCCTATATAGGGTCTTGGAAGACAGCAGGGCGTCTGCCAACAGAGTCCCGTCTCTCTCTTCTCCTCCCCCTCACTCCTCTCTCCACTGCTTCACTGGACTTTGAAAAATATCATGGAAGGGGTCATTGGGTCTAGGGCCAAGAAAGGGGCTAAAAACCTCCATCCTGGGTAACTGTCATTAACACTAAGATCATGAAAGTCAAGATAAGCCCTCTTCTCCTTGATCCCCACCCCACCATGAGATTTGCAGGGCAAGTCTGGGAGGGAAAAGAAACGAGTCCTGATAAATGTAAATTGACAGGCACCCCTGTTCACAATCTGTTCTAGGTACAATTCCACATGGCTCCCCCAAGACAAAGATGTTCCCCTTTGATGGTGCTGTTGTCTTGGGGAGAGGCGCAGGCACATTCTGACTGGCCAGTTCTTGCTCCCTAAAATAGCCTGTGGACTATGCCCTCCTCGGGGTCGGGAGGCGGGACAAACAGCTCCTCTCCAGCCCACCCTCATGCTCCCACTCTGTTCTCCTCACTGACCTGGCCACAGGCTCTTCCACCCCAAAGGAACCCATAGTATCTCAGGAGCTCTGCCCTGAGCAGTCTCCTGCTAGGGAGGGCTGGGAAACAGGCCCTCACCGCCAGAGCATGCGACACAGCCTGTGAGATGGTGACAGTGGGTCCGGCTTTTTCGCTCAAGTTGACCAGGGCTTATGCTCCTGCAATGCCAGGTCAAAAGCACAGCCACCAAGTTCTCCTCCAAAGGCCCGACTCCTTTGGAACTCACTTCCTGGGGGGGTCAGAACAGAGTGTACCCCTACCCCGAGTCCTGGCACAGGGACACGGCCATATAACCTGGAGACTCTTCCTGCTACAGCCAGGAAGGCACCTCCTGCCACCAGGAGCCGGGGCTGGAGAGGGCTGGGCTGCCTGCCTGGCTCACACCAGGGGTGGTGTGGCTAGGAAGGAAGAGGGGAATCTCAGGCCTGTCTGGAGCACCTTGGGGATGGAGTCATAGGGGAGGGTCTAGACAGTGGCTATTCATTGCTTCTCCTTCCGGCGCTGCAGAAACTTCCTCCTCAGTCTGAGTTGGGCAGGGCCCACTCGCGTCCGCCTTCGAATCCCTTTCCTGCTGGTCAAAGGCAACCCCTCTGACTCTACCAGAGAGGGCCGGAAATCCAGCTGCCCACAACATATCCTGCCATGGCCTCCACAGAGCGCATGGAGCCCGGGGAGGCTGAACAGGAAAGGCAGAAGTGAGATCCCATCCCACCAGGACAGCAGATTCGGTGCCTTGCATGATGGCAGCTGACTGTGGTGGGTGCGTCATTTCAGGGGCCCACAATGGGCCTTTGGTGCCTCCCAGGAGCCCAAGGTGGCAGTGACTGCACACAGCCAGCTAAGAACGTGTCTGTCTGTGATGTGGTACCCACCAGGCAGGGATGTGGGGCTGAGGCACAGTCTCTGCTCCTTTGTGCAGGGGTGGGACTGCCTGATAGATGTGTTTTTCCCACTGCCCCCACTCTAGCCAACAGCCCGGAGAAGGGGAAGTTTGACGTCACTCATCCCCCACGGATGGCAGTAGCCAGAAGGCAGGGGCCCTGGGGCCACCAAAGGCAAAAGCCCACCAACAGACCCTTGGTTATGATGAGGGTCAAGTGGAGCACATCTTACCAGTGTGTCCCAGAGACCCACGCTCCTCCCAAGATAACACCCAGACTGAGAGCCCACTTCACCTACCCCAGCTTCTCTCAGGGACTCCAATCTGGGACTCTTGGGGTTGGGAGGCTGCATCCTCTGCTGTGGTGGGCCCAGGCTCGGGTCTCACAGGTGCTCCAGACCCATCCTCCTTCCCCCCAGAGCCAGGATGGGGATCCAAAAAGCCAGGAAAGCCAGGGACAGGAACAGGGAAGCCACCGGGAGGAGAAAGGAAAGACAGAGGGGCGGAGACCAGCAGCTGCTCTTTGAATGAAGAGAAAGCATTTCAGGCAGCCAAACAGAATGTCAGCAAACCTCAGAAGTAATTCACTCCCCCAAGCCCAGACTTATGGGGTTCCCACTGGTGCACCAGGCGCGGGCCAGGCCGACCCGGAACATTCAGTACAAATGCTGGGCTGCCAGCTCGTCCCTAAAATAAGACTCCAGCTGTTGGCCATGGAACTGCTTGGAAAGTAGAGCTCCCTGGGACAGGAAAGGAGCCCTGCAGGGCAGAGAAGCAAAGCTGGGGGAAGTGAGGCCTGCTCCCCTGTGGCAGAGGTTGGATGCGAGAGCCGTGTGACTGCTGCCAAGAGCTGCTGGCGTGCGGCCCCGGGGTAGCTGCAGGAAGGCACGCTGACGCTGGAGCCATCCTGCCATTCCCACAACAGTTTCTTCTGAAATCGACATCCTTCTTTTCCTGCACTTTGACCCCCACCTGATCTTGGCAAGGGTCTTTGGGCCACACAAGGCAGGCTAGTGTAGGGGTCCCTTTCCCCCTTCTTCAACATCCTGGCCCTTGAAGGAGTGAAGCTGGGGCCCCAGGAGCCACACTGCGGGGACCAGTCCCTGAGCAGGCAAGCAGGCTAATTCACATGGGCTGCAGAGGAAGGTGAGGGAGGCAAGGAGCAGGCCCAGATTCCTCAGCAGGGCTGAAAATATCCATTAGTGATGAACCAAGCTCACACTTCCGGGCGAGTATGAGTGCAGGGGTATTAAATGTCATGAGATGCTTTGAAACGAAAAAGAAGTTAACTTGAGACTTCTGCCTCTGTGTTGCCATCCATGTACAGAGGAAGTAAGACGCTAGCAGGTCCTCCAAGAGGGTATCCACCTGTACCTCATTCCTCCACCCCACACTATTGGGTGAATATGTAACAAGCGCACTTCTTGCTCTCATCAACGAAACAATGAATATTTGTGAGTCTTTCCTACAAGGCCAGCACTGTCCTAAGCACTTTCTCTGCATTTCCTTCTTTGAGCCTCATGGTAATCCTAAGAGGTAAGCACTGTTATTATCCTCGCTGTGCAGATGAAGAAACTGAGGCAGGGAGACGTGACATAGCTAGTCCCAGGCCAGGCAGCTGGTAATAGGGGTCTGGCTGGAGACTCTGTGTCGTCTGCCTTGCCCATGCTACCCCAGGTGGTGGCAGCTGCTCAGAGCCATCCACACAGTGCACACTTGCCAGTTCATTCTATGGAGCCCACACTTCTCCACGAGGAATGAAGAGGGATGCTGCAAGGAGGGGCAGGGGGAGGTCATAACTGGGATGATTGAGGCTTCAGAAAGTCCCTGGGCACATCCCAGCCTACCTGCTCCTCCTCTTCCAGGGTCAATGTGTGGTCTCGAACAGGTTGGCAAGAGCTCAGGACTTGGGGCTGGGGCTCCTCGCCTTTAAGATGGAGCAAGCTGGCTGTGACTTGTGTTGAATTCACTCCTACAGTGCAAGAATTCTTCCAGGACAAAACAAGAGCCTGCCCCTGGAGTCTGCATTTTAGCAGAGCAGGGAGTGCTGGATCACCAGGACACCATACAGAAGTAAGTCCTGCAGAGATGCAGTCTGGAACAAGGCTGTGAAGAGTCAGCAAGCCCAGTGGTGTCCAGAGTGGATGCCGGGTCTCAGGGGGACCCTGCCCAGAGGTCCTGGGGAGCTGAGTGGCAGACAGGGAGGTGGGAAGCGGAGCAGAGGAGCAGGTCTTGATCACAGAGCTCCAGGCCCTCTGAGGGGGTGGGTGAGTCACCTGAGGCTGGATTTCCACACACAGAGCTCGGCCAGTGAGGCACAGCCCACAGGAAGAGACACAAAGGGAAGCCCCACCTGGTGCACACGCTTGTATGGACAAGGCTGCTTATCCCACACCCCAGAGCCCCCCTGGTACCTGCCCGTCCATGGGCCATGGTTCTGGACTGACTTGGATTCATGATGCCCACCTAGTTCAGATTTAGAGGATGGCACGTCCTAACACCTTCACTGGCTGGGCCCAAAGGCATGAAGCCTATGTGGACAATAGGGAGGGGTGGGGTGCTTGGAAAACTGGAAGCTGTGGGCCCAGCAGAAGACAGGTTTGAAACACAGGTATCTGTTGTTAAACTTGTCTGGGATCTGAGTCCTGACCCCCAGCCCCTGGTGAAGCTTCCAGCTTTGTGGAAGATCAATTTGAACCCAGTTCAAACCACCTCTACTGAGATAACTGAAAAAGACTTGAGGCAGTGACAGGCCAGGGACAGGATGCATGCGGAGATGGACTTCTGGTGCAGATGATGGGCCTGGCCACAGAGAAGAGTCCTGCGAGGCTTCTGCTAACCTGGGAGGGGATGAGGCAAACACCTGCTCCAAATGAAAAGACATCCAGACACACAGTCCCAGACACACAGCTCTATAGACACATAGCCCCCAGACACACAGCCCCTAGAACACGTGGTGCTCAGCAGTGAGAGACAGGGAAGGAAGCCCGCAGCCGGCTCTTGGAAAATCACTCATTTGGGATAGTCATTAAAATCTTCTGAAACCTCCCCTCTTCTTAGGGCTGCTGCAAGGTACAACAGAGCCCACATGTGATAGAGAACAAGCACCTGCAAGTGCAGAACTGACTTCCTTTAATTTCCTTAAACTCAGGTCAATTATTTTTAGTGTATTTTGTTTTTGATGGAGTCTTGCACTGTTACCTAGGCTGGAGTGCAATGGTGCAATCTTGCCTCACTGCAGTCTCTACCTCCTGGGTTCAAGTGATGCTTCTGCCTCAGCCTCCCAGGTAGCTGGGATTACAGGTGCCCACCACCATGCCCTGTTAATTTTGTTTTGTTTTGTATTTTTAGTAGAGACAGGGTTTCACGACGTTGGCCAGGCTGGTCTCGAACTCCTGTTCTCAAGAGATTCGCCCACCTCGGCCTCCCAAAGTGCTGGGATTACAGGCATGAGCCACGGCGCCCAGCCTATTTTTTTAGTGTATTTTTAAATTTGTGGAAAAGGCCTATGTTTTCTTTAATGATGAGTATTTGTCACAAATTGGGGATTAAAAAAATAAATCTATCTCAGGGACTTATTTCTATTAGGAAGCTAATCAGCATAAAAGTAGCAGCTAGATACCTGACCATAAGGCAAAGGCATCCTATAACTCAGTGAAGAGATCCCTGATTCCAGGAACCTACGCTTGGGGTGGGCCTACTGCATCTCTCCTGAGGGAGCGGGGGCTTCCTGGAGCCCTGGAGAGGTGGGCTCCCAGGGGGCAGGCAAGACAGACCCTCAGCCCTTTGCTCAGGAGGGTTTTGGCAAATGTCTGTGGAATGGGAGATTCTTACATGTGGCAAAGATGGTAGCAGATGTGGCACCATTTCTGGAAGATCCAGTCCCTGCTAGGTGGGTTTTCGAGCTCCGGTAAGGTGTTAGGGCTCCGTCAAGCAAGGCGTGACTGCCAAGACCGGATGGCCAGGTGCAAAGGAATCTATCAGCATCTTATATTTTGTATTTCTTTCATTCTTGGTCCCAAATGTGTACTACTTGTTATCTACAGTCATCAGAGATTAGTTTGTGGTTGATTCTCAAGGGAGGCTATACAAGAATGGAGAAGCATGTTGAATTCCTCTACCTTGGTGAGTCAAATGAAAAAAATCTGAGTGGACCCTGGGCCATGCATCCAGGAACCATGGCTCACCCTTGAGCAGCCTGAGTGAATTTCAAGCATATCTCTGCAGCTGCTAGGGGGAGAGCAATCTGTGTGAAGCACTGGCCGTGCATATCTACCGTCTCTACATGAATGGCAGCTGGCATGGTTGGAGGACTGCCCTGGTTCTTACATGGGGCAGCTGGAGCTGTCTACAGAGCCACCCAAGGTGAACAGTGGTTGGCCAACGTTAGCAACCCAGCCACGATGGGCTTCTGGAGCTTCTCTGGGCACACGTGGCTAGCACCTGTAATGGCTTAGCAGAATGAGGGTGCTGCGGGGGGCCTTGAGCCATGGCCTGGACCCTGAAATGCATGGCACTGACCAAAATCCCAGAACCTTCCTGACTGTGTTTTTCTTAAAAGATGCCACCCACAAACACTAGGTCCTTCCACCCTCGGGTGATCTGCTGGGCTGGCTGCTGTTCAAGTGGCACCCTGGGCTGGCTGCCAGGGGAAAGCAATGCTGAGCACCCCTGGCCACCTGGAGACACTCTCAGTCTGGCTTAAGCCACCTGCCTTTATCTTACCTAAATGGCAGGTAGACTAGATGGCTGGGTACAACCCAGGCTATGGGTTGGTGTGTCTGAGCTGGCTTGTTCAAAGCCATTTGGACTGTCACTTCCTAGCTAAACCAGGCCAGCAACGATCCTCCAGCTCCTGCAAAGGGCTCTGGGTGGCTCCGGTCCTGCTTCTCCACACAAAGTTGCCCTTGCAGGGTTGCCTTCTGAAGAACGTTCTGTTTTCAACTAGGTACTATCTAAAGACTGACCACAGCAACTCCTCCCACACACCTCCTTTCCACAACAAACAGTAACAAAGGAAAAAATTCTCTTCTGAGCTGACTATGGAAAAGAAAGATTTTGCCTCCTGCGCTCGTTTAAATTGACTCACTCTGTTCTATTCAGAACATGCCAAATGACTAATGGACACGGCAGAGGCACAGCTTTAATGGGAAAAACAGTGGGGCAGGAGAGTTTCTCAACCATAATTGTGGGACTTAGGTATTACACTGCTTTTAAAGAAACTGGGGTTACTGGAAAGTGTGTTGCTATTTTGGTAGGTGGCTTCATGGCCTGGCCTTCACTATGGAATACTGCTCACACCCACTGTGCATATCATTCCCAAGTTTGCCCAGGAACACCCTGGGCTTTGTCCTCCCACTTTTTAGCATTAGATCAAAGTAATCCTTGACTTTGAGTTTACAAACCCATTGTTAATATTAGAGCTCAGCTTTAGGTTCTGTCTTTGGAAACTTTCCCCAGAGATACGGATATAAACAAATTTATTGTTTTGTTTTGTTGCTGGTACATTTTAATTTATGTATGATTCAATCCATTTTTTTCCTACTGGAAATGTTGTAAAAGATGAATTCGGAAGTGTGTGCAGTGTCTACTTATCTTGATGAGCAGAGCGTAGGAGCCAAGAGATTGGATACCAGAGCATTTAATTTTGTCTTAAATTTTTTTTAATCTTGTGTATTCACAGAGAAAGCAAAAGGAGGGCATAAACGTTAACTGGGTAAATCACACTGCATACAAGACTGCGCAGTCCTGGGCAGTTCTAAGGATCTGTCACTAAGCTGCCCCTGAGCCTCCATTTCTTCTTCTGCAAGGTGGGGATGATGATACTCCCCAGCCTGTCATTGTAAAGATGAGCTAAGTGATGCAGGTAGCTGGGCCGCGTGGAGAGAAAGCACTCGGCATCTGGGTTTAACTTCATCCAGTGACCCACCGAGCACAGGAAGAGAAGCGCTGATAGGGTGGCCGTGACAGCGGGTATAACCGTGGCCCAGGAGAGCACAAGGACGTGTCATACCATGGGGTGTGTGTGGTATGCTAGGGCTGCCATAACAAAGTATCACACACGGGGCAGCTCAAACAACAGAAACAGATTGTCTCATGGTCCTGGAGGCCTGGAGTCAGAAACCCAGGGGTCTGCGGGGCCACACTCCCTCTGAGACTCTGCGTGGGACCCTTCTGTGCCTCCTCCTAGCTCCTGCCCATGTCAGCGGTCCCTGGCATTCCCTGGCTTGTCCATGTACCCTCCCATCTCTGGCCCGTCTGCACTTGGCTGTTTTCCCTGTACATCTGTCTATTTGTTTTCTTATAAGGATACCAATCATTAGATCAGAGCCCACCTTAATGACCTCTAATTACATCTGCTAAGACCCTATTTCCAAATTAGGTCACCTTCATGAGGACTGGATCTCAACATGTCTTTGTGCGGAGGGGATGCAGAATTCATAGCAACAGAGAGCACCTGGCACTGACTGGCCAAGGAGTCGTTTGGCTTCCAAGACCCCTCAGCTGGCCTGGATCCACACCAGCCTCTGAAACTGAGGATGTGATGGAAAGCAGGCATCAAAGTGTCCCACCAAAGGTGTCTCAGCCCTGTCCCGTGGATGCAGCTCCATGCAGAAGGGAAGCCGGTCAAAAGCACCCTCACCTGTCATCCCATGGAGGGCCCCCAGGGCTGAGCCTGCTCCAAGGCCTCCCAGGGAATCAGGTGTGACCCTGGAGAGGTGGGGTGGCCCCATCCTCATGGTTATCCTGGGCACCTTCACCCCCAGATCAGAGGAAGGGAGAAAGCTGATTAGGAACATGCTATCGAGTGCCTGGAACTGTAGGCAACTGGAGCTCCAGCCTTGAGGAGCTCGGGGGTGGGGATGTAGACCGTGTCATGTCATGGAGGGGTGAGACGAGGGGATTTATGCAACAACCCTCAGCTCTCCTGGACTGAAACTGTTCTGAAGAGCATGACTCCCATGGCCAGGCATGGCCAAGTTGGGCCAGGACGTTTCTGCCAGAGACAGAGAGCTGCAGAGGTGGCAGGTGGACCCCCAGGAGGCATGGGTAAGGAGGTCTTGCCTGGTCCCTTACCGCACCCCAAAGCAACATTGCATTACTGGGATGCGAATGTTCCAGGCAAGCCCAGGTTACAGGTTGATTTGAGGTGCAGCCAAGGCTTAGCCAAGCACCTCCAAGAGCCCCCTTAAGGAATAGAGGACTTACACCCCAGTGGCTGGAACCACTTCCTGGCCCTCCAGGGACAGCCTCGCTGAAGCGCGCTGCCCTACTCCTCCCAGGCAGCCTGCTCCTGGGACCGGCCCACCTTGGGGTATAAAGGCCTGTCCTCTTGGCCTGATTCAGGACACCTGTGCAGGACCACCCGACCGAAGGTTCCAGTGCCCTTGCAGGTTCACCTGAAGCTCCCCATCTCCTTTCTTCTACAGGCATTAATCCCAAGAGTGCCCCAGAAGTCTCCTCCTCAGTAAGTGTCCCTGGGAAGGCCATCCACAAGACGCTGCTGCATTTGTCCTCCAAGCCAGAGTACTCTTCAAAAGTTTTACTTCTTAGGATCTCTGATAAGAGCTGGAGCCGGATCTGGAGCCTCTCACCTCCACCCAGCCCTTTCTGTGATGGCAGTTTACACAAATCTTTAAACAAACTTTGGTGGGATCAACATGGTCGGAATGCTTTCAACATCTGCTGGCGTTCCGCATGCCAGTCCTGAAAGATTTCTAGCAGCAAACATCCCATTTCCTTGTAAAACAGAAAGATTTCCCTCTCTACGAGCTGCTAATAAGCAGATGCAGACCTGCATGTCAGCCCAGTAAGCTCAGGAGAACAGAGGCTCCTAGCTGGGCCTTGGACACTGGCATGCTCTGCATGGCTCCCAAGCTTGGACTTGTAAAGACCTTAAAAGCAAATGCCAACACTATCGCTTAAAACCAGCGGTCACATCCTGACAGAACAAGGAGTCCAGACTGCCCAAAGGTTGCATGTCCAATCAGGCCCCATGCCAGATGCACTGGGCAGCAGATCTGTGAGGGGTCACCCACTGCAAGTCAGGCTCTGCCCTATTCTAACTTGACTCCTCTGTGCCAATCCAGGAGACACTTATAGAGGCAAGCCTCCAGGAAGTTCCAGCCACGGGCCACATGACCCAGCAGCCTTACCTGGGCACTTGGAGATTCTGGCATATTAACTATGCCCCAACCCCCTCCAGAGGGTGGTGATCCAGGGACCCCAGAGACAGGAGGTCAGGCCATCAGCTGTACCCATTAAAGTGGATCACATCGGAGTGTGGCCTGCAGCAGCTCAGAGAAAGCAATCATCATTCCCTTAGTTCAAGCTCGCTTATATTGGGTCCACAACAAACCTTGGCTACAAGGTTCCAGGTTTGATGCCCTGTTTATTTTTAAAGGTGAAGACAAGGAGCATGCAGAAGGAGCCCAGCCATTCAGGGAATAACCCTACCCCTCAGTGCAATTTGTATTTATCCATTTTGGGGTGAATGTTCCCCAAATTTATAAAGATGTTAAAATTAACAGATACAGTACTTAGGGGGAAAGGCAATACCAAGGGGCCATTCACGTGGCCTATCACGCTTTTAGCAGGCTGCTGAAATACCCACGCCTCACTTGGCATCACCCTGACAGCCCAGCAACATTGTAAACACCAAAAGGAGAGCTGAAGGCAGCTCCTCCTGCCACGACTCAGAGCTGTGGCTTATTTCCCAGAGCCAATAGACACATGGAGCTATTGAGATGAACACTCACTCAGAGGCCGAAGAACACGGTGGAGGGCATGTGCTCCTGGCCAGGCACCTCCTCCCTGTCCTGCAGGAAGCTGGGCAATTGGCCCTTACCTCAGAAGAGCCAAAGGGTCCTAGTGGACCAGAGCAATGTTGTTTCCAAGATCTAGCACATAGGGTGAGGATCTTCATAGAACACTATCAGCAGCCACATTTTATATCCAGTTTGGAGTTTGGAGTTTGCCAGGCCAACACTTCAGAGACATCTCTCTTTCCAGTAAGACACTGTCTGTAACTTGGGACAGTACCACCAAACCAATGGCCATTTCTGCAGACCAGGCACAGGATGCAGCAAGTTAGAGCTTTTGCAAAGGGCCCCACACAACCTGGCTGCCCAAGGATGCTCTAAATAAGCAAAGTGCTGAGTATAAATAGCAATTCCTCAACACTGCCATTTGCTGGAAGGAAAGTCACCATGGGTCTATTTCACACCTTGCTCATTGTCTTGGTCCATTAATACAGATACAACAAAATCGCATAGCCTAGGTGGCTTATATACAACAGAAATGTATTTCTCACAGTTCTAAAGGCTGGAAAATTGAAGATCAAGGCTCTGGTGGGTTCTGTGTCTGGTGAGGGCTGCACTCTGCTTCCGAGATGGCTCTCTGTTGCTGCATCCTCTAGAGGAGACAGAGAGGCTATGTGAATCATCTTTTATAAAGGCCTAATCCCATTCATGAAGGAGGCACCCTCATGATTTCCTCGCCTCCGAAAGGCCCCACCTGTTAATACTATTGCATTGAGATTTAGAATTCAACGTGAATGTGGGAGGGGAAACAACATTCAGACCACAGCATTCCACTAGGGAATGCCTAGCAGAGCCGTGGAGTCAGGGCTACAGCAGAGTCCTCATTAGGGCAATGTTTGGTGCAGCTCTGAGGGCAGGGCCACCTTCAAAACCCCAAAACTATGAGAAAATAAATGTGTGTTCTAAATTACCTAGTCTCCAGTACTTTCTCACAGCAGCATAATCAGACTAAGACATTCACCAAACATCCATTGTTTTCAGTCATTGTCTGGTCTCACCCTGTGTTTGTCCTGGCCTCAGGAAAGCTTTTACCCCAAGATTTTTCAGCCTGGTAAACTTTACCTGCTTGTAGCTACTGACTGGGAAAGTGGGAAATTCTGCCTTGGGCCCTCCTGCTCTGAGCGCAAGGAACCGCTGGGTCCCTACTCTCTGCCCACGAATACCAGAAACAGGAGCTTGTCTGCAAGAATGTGACTGCTTCTGGAAAAGGAGGAGGGATGGGTTCCATGTACAGAATAGTGACTATTGGTTCTCCTTTGCCAAAGAGGAATGTTAGAGCTTTCTTCCTTTCTTCTACAATCTGGCTTAGAAGAATATTGTTATAAAAAACAAACAAACAAACGCACACACATGCGCGCACACACACACACACACACAAAGGACTCAAAAGATGAAATTGCATGCTAGCCAACATCAGCAGGCACACTGCTCTTTCCAAATGCACAGGGCCATTGTTTTTGAGAAACTGAGACTTCAAAACATGATTTTGTAGAAGGAAACTTTCTAAACTACTAGATGGTTGGTGGTTTTTCTAGAACTGGGAGCTTGGAGGGAACAAAATAGAAATGGAGCCAAATGCAAGAGCAACTGCAGCACGAGGCATCTCAGAGGCTCACCGAAGTCACATTGCCTGCAACCGGCTGGGTTTTATTGTTGACTCTTTTAATACTACAAAAATAGTTCATGTTGCTGGAACAAGTGGCATAGTATGCTTGCATGAGGGAGCACTTCTGAGTCCTCTGCTCACCCGCTACCCCACCTCCAAGACCCAAAGCCATGGCCCTGACCTGTCCGGCAGCACCCTGCCTTCCTGCACCATGTGCACACACACAACCCTGAGCCCTACTCGGGGCAGGCCACCCTGGGCACTGAGTGGACACTTGCTGCTTTTCTGTAATTTAATATTTCCTGGGCATTCCTCCAGAATAATACTCACAGATCTACCTTGTTCCTCTTGAAAGCTATCTAATATTCCACTGAATGGAAGTCCCATCCTTTATCCGTCTATTCCGTCCCCAGGAACATTCAAGCTGTCCTGTTTTGTGCTATCTTTGTATAAAGCTGTGGTACACACCCTGTGCATATATTCTTACACATCAGTTCACTTACTTCTGAAGGATAACTTCCTAAAAAGGAGACTGCTGAGTCAAAGTGTCCAGGCACTTTACAGTGTAACGAAAACCGCCATTCTCTTGCCTTTGCTGTGGTTCACCATCCCAGCAATAATGTAAGGAAGTGTGCCCATTTCCTTGCAACCGGCCACCATTGAGGTTGTCCATTTTTAAACATTGTGTCAACCTTAGAGGTGGAAAATATACATCATTGTGACTTTTATCTTCATTTTGCTGATTACTAGTGAAATCGAGCATCTTTTTATGTAATCTTGGCAACCAAGGTGGCCTCTTCTTCCATTTTTATAATCTTTGCCCATTTTTTGTTTGTGTTTATTTTGTAAAGCTCTTTGCATATTGTGGCCACTAACCTTTTATGTTTCACAGAAATTGCCAAACATTTTCCCGGGTTTTTCTTAGTAATTTTACTTCTTGCCAAACAGAAATGTTTAACTTTTATGCAGCAAGTTTGTCCTTTGCAAGATCAAATCTGTCAGCCTTCAGGATGTCCTTTCTATTTTCTGGTCCTGCATATTTTAAAGGGCAACTCCCAACTCCAAATCAGACATATGTATGCCTAAAATTGCATCTGTCACTGTCAGAGCTGCATGTTTTCACAAGTGGTTCCCCAGGCTTTCTAAGACTTTCTGCCCCGCTGGAAGCAGTTGACACATGACTGTCCATAGGAAAGCTTTCAGACCACCAGGGAGCCCAGGCCAGGGACTCAGCATTTTCCTTTTTCCTGGCGTTAATTACCATGCAGAGAGAACACTCTATCTGAGCCCAAGGATTGCTAAGGATACCTCTTTTATTTATGGAAAATTTCGGAGTTTTCCAGAAAGAAACTGTTTGAAAGCATGAAGCTAAGCCTGGGGACACTCAGTCACCAAGGAAAGCTGCCAGGGACATTGGGGAAGTCAGGGTGCTGGTGAGTGCCTGCATGGGTGATTTGGTACATGCCCCACCCAGCTTGACCCCACCCGGTGCTCCCGAAGACCCCACAGGACACCCCACAGGAGAGCAGCTCTGCAGGGTGTGGAACAGGACCAAGGGGCAGAATGAAGTTCGCATAGACTGTGCTCCATCTGTGCCACAGCATGGGCCACAGTAAGATGTTCCACTGGTGGCTCATGCCTGTAATCCCAGCACTTTGGGAGGCCAAGGCAGGTGGATCATGAGGTCAGGAGTTCGAGACCAGCTTGGCCAACATGGTGAAACCCCATCTCTACTAAAAATACAAAAATTAGCTGGGCGTGGTGATTGGCACCTATAATCCCAGCTACTCGGGAGGCTGAGGCAGGAGAATTGTTTGAACCTGGGAGGCAGAAGTTGCAGTGAGCCAAGATTGTGCCACTGCACTATAGCCTGGGTGACAAGAGCAAAACTCCATCTCAAAAAAAAACAAACAAACAAAAAAAGATGTTCCACTGGGTTGTTCTCAGAATAGCCCAATATTCAAGTGACTTTGCCCCAATGTCACAACTGAGAACCAGGGTTCATAAGCTCACCTAGCTGGTTAGCAGGGTGATAGAGACCCCAGGTTTACCCTGACCCCAAGGTCCTGGTACTTGGCCCCTCACACCCCAGCCCCCTGCCCTGGTCTTTATCTCACCCTAGTGTACTGGGTGTCATTTAGACCCATGGAAGGACTCGCCCAGGCCAGTGAGCTCAGAGAAGCATAGGGAACCCTTGTCCGATGCCTGCCCCCAGGGAAGGCAGAGCAGGGCCAGTGGGGCAGGTGCCACACAGTGAGCTGTGCCTATGGCCAGCCGGCCCAGCGCTCCTTCCCGGGTTTCTTACTGTGCCGAGGTGTGGGGTGCAAAAGCTGATCCTCTCCCAGCTCTGAGTCTCCTTCAGGACAGCTCACTCCAGGGAGCTCAGCACATGTCACCGAAACCTTCCATCTGATGGCATCTCAGTGCCTCACGGCAGTGGAGCCCTCAGCCTGCCTCAGAGCAACTGAATCTAGGTTCCTAAGTGCATCCCCTCCCAGACTGAGCTCAATGCCCCCTCCTTAGGGAAGCTGTTCGTGCCTCTGAGGGTGTGTTCTTGCACCACTGTTGGGCTTTCTTTCCCACACTCCTCGCACTTTGTCATTGTGTGCTTACTTCTGTGATTACTGGCTGGGTCGCTGTTCTCCACCCACAGGTCCATCTGCCCCCTACAGTGGGCACATGAAACATGGTGAGTGAATAGCAAAACACCAGGAACCCCTTCACTGAAACTCCAGCCTGCACCATCTCCCAGCCCCACGCTATTCACACCAAGGTCAGCAGGGCCTTAAACGGCCAACGCCCCAGCCTGACATAGCACTGGGCACTCATTGGATCCCCTGTCCATGCTGAGAAACGATGGGAAGGAGGACAGTTTCCCTTTCAGGGTTCCAAGCCCTGCAGTTGATCTGGAAAAATAACGCCGGGAGCTGTGTTCACTCCCTGAGGCGTGTCAAAGCTCTCTTTATCTCCCCCTGGAAGTTCTGACATCAGGCAGTTCTCCTCGGGTCCCAGCCAGAGCGGGGACACAAGCTCTGCTTCTCCTGCTCCTCAGAGAGGTTTTGTTGGGCTGTAGGTCACACCCTGTGGCCACAGGCAACTCCACACCCACCTGAGTGGAATGTTCCCTGATTTTCACAAGAAATGTGAGCAAGCTGAGAACTGAGCTTGGCGGTGCAACTCCAATTTGCATTCACCCCCAGATCACACAGGTATCTGGGGCCTCTCTGCCTGCAGTGAGTGCCAGCCCACTGAGTTAGGCTGTGGGAAGAGCCTTTGCAAGACAGGAGCCCCTCATGTGAGCAGAAATGCCCCAGTAGGGCAGGGACCAGGTCAGTGGGGGAGTGAGTGGCTGCAGCCTGCCTGCCGCTGACCTCTCTGTAGCCATCGGCCTCGCAGGGTTCCTGTCTCCTTGAGCCAGGGGACTCTCTGACTTAGATTGTACCCATCTCTTGGGTGCTTGGCAGTTCCACAGCATGACATCAGTGGGGTCGCACACTTCCCAGATCCAGCCGGGCTCTGCTCGAAGCCAGGAGGGGCTGCAGCCAAACATTTAAGAAACGTGTGCTAGCAAAAAGCTGCCTGTTTTTTTAAGAATGAAGAAAAACTTAGTTTCCCAGTGGAAAGGATTAGGCAGAAAAGCTAACATTTTGCTTTAAGCTAAAACAACACCTATTATTGACAACCTTACAAAGGTCAATGTATTATCCTACTGCTCTGGGCCCCTGTTTCAACAACAGTGGAAAATGCCTGGAGAAGGGAGAAAACCCATAGAATCCACATTGCTCAGTGCTCTGTGGCGTCACTGCAGACTCACTGGGCACCAAGGGTGGTGGTCTCATCCCTGCCTCCACAGTGTAGGGGAACCCACGGCCATTTTAAACACAGATTGCCTCTGCCTGCAGGCCTGGTTGTAGTGGCCACGTGACTGCCTCAGCTCAAATGACCATGAAGTGAGGACTGCAGCAGGCCCCCTTCCATGCACCCACACTAGTAGAGTGGCCTGCTGCAGACGGCCGGTGGTTGCTGTTCTGGAGCAGAGTCTGCAGCCAACCACAGGCAAGTCATGACCCTGTATGCTGCCTGTGGGTGTACCTGGTGCCCTCCCCTCCATCCTGGACCACCGGCTTCTCACCTGGACTCTTGGTTCCCTGAGGGTGGAAGTCCTGGCCAGCCCATCTGAGACCGTACACCTGCCCCACCGTCTCTTATGCATAATGAGAGCTCCCTAACCATCTGCGTGGTGACTGCATCAGCCCCTCTGCGGCCATCAGAGGGACCCCCAGAAATCAAGTCTGAGTCAGCCTCAAGAATAATCAGAAGCCAAGAGCCAGACGGTGAGGCCTCTTCTGTGCACTCCAGAGTGTTGCATGGATGCTGTCCCTGTTCCCAGCCACTATAAAGGGAAGGCCTGGCTGAGCACAGTGGCTCACACCTGTAATCCCAGCACTTTGGGAGGCTGAAGTGGGAGGATGGTTTGAGGCCAGGAGTTCAAGACCAGGCTGGGCAACATAGTGAGAAAAAAATAAACAAAATTATTAGGGCATGGTGGCATGCACCCACAGTTCCAGCTACTCAGGAGGCTGAGGTGGGAGGATCGCTTGAGCCTGAGAGGTCGAGGCTGCAGTGAACCAAGATCGTGCTACTGCACCCCAGCCTGGGTGACAGAGCGAGACTGTCAAAAAAAAAAAAAGCCTTCTGAATGACTGTAAATGAGCACAGATGCACACGAGTCCAACAGCACCTCCTAGAAACAGGCTTGCTGCACCCAAATGTGTGGTCCACAAGGGGCAGGGCAGAGTGCTCCGGCCCCATGTCCCAGCCACTGCCCCCTGCCTCTGCTCTCCTTGGGCATAACTCCTCCAGCAGAGGCACTAGGGGAGGTGACACTCAGATGCATCCTTTTCAGTCTGGGAACCATTCACCACATCCAAGAGACAAAAAGTTAGAATGAGATTTCTGCATTGCCCCTTTGGGGTTTTTTATTTGCCTCCATAAATATGTTGGGGACTGAGTTCTGAACTCACCTCCACAGAGTATGTCACAAGGAATGGGGCATAGCCATGGCCCACGGGGGTTCACAATCCCAGATGAAGAAATGCCAGGGGCCGTCAGGACCCAGGTTATGAAAGACACCAGGTGGGTTGTCTCAAAGTGCCCATTCGGAAGTCACAGGAAATGAGAGCTGAACGCTGGAGATCCTGAGGCTATGGTTGCTGCGCTGGGTAGAGATGGGGGGCCAGGTGAGCTCTGAGAGCCCCTCTGAACCCCAAATCCACAGTCCTCAGGAGCCGTGCCCATGAGGTGCTCTGTGCCCCCACAACTGACAGCAATTCTGAGCCTTGAGCAAGGCACCCGGGGCCTCGGGACAAACCCAGAGTGAGTCTCACCATGCTCAGCACCTTTCCACCAAACTGCTGGTCCCAGCCGCTTCCTCCCTGGCATAGTCAGCTCCCAAACCCAGGTCTCCCAAGAAAGTAAAATGCCCTCCAATAATCAACGTCACTAGCAGGGCAGCAGCCTGGAGGAAGCTCCCGCCGGCCGTGGACTGAGCGCCGCCTTGCTGGGAGAGGCGCCCTCTCACTTTATTTTTCTGAAGGGTGGGCAGGGCACCCAGAGAAGGGGAAGCTGGTAGACAGAGCTGCCCTTAAAACTGCCACAGGCTGCCAGCAGCACACTGTGTTCAGGAGTAATAACAGCTATTAGGCTGCATAATTAACCCGCAGAGGGAAGTCATCACCACCAAGAAACTAAGGGCACTCAGTGCTCCTGGCCGCAGACCAGCTGGCTGGGGGCGCCAGGGCCTCCTCACCTCAAACAGCAGTAGCCCTCAGTGGGGGTTTCTGGCCTGCTCCCCTCCTGGGTTCCTGTGTGTTGGGCTGTGCACACTCTCCCTTGCTGAGCAGAGCCAAGCCACTCTGGAGACGCAGGCTGAGGAGCTAAGAGCCCAAGAGCCTCACTTGGTTTTCTTGCACTTTCTCAATGCAGCCCATGGCTGCAAAGAGCCTGCTGGTGTTCCTGAGCCTGCCAGAAAGATCTGAAATGCAGGCAGGTGTATGTCTTAAATGCCAAGAAAGGAGGCAGCAAGGGAAGCCCACAAGCTGTGTTTATGGGAAACCAGAACAAAAAGGTAAACTCCAGCCCTGCACAGAGATAAAAATAACAGCGGTACAGGAGGTCCTGCCAGAAGCAGGCTGTGCTCACAGCTCCTCATTGCCGCTGGGCCTGGGGCCGGGACCCAAACAGCGAGGACAGCGGGCAGTTCACCCCCAAGAGCCATGGGGGCTGGCCTCCTCCTCGTTCTAGCTTGTACAATTTATCTCCCTCTCACTGGCTCCCTGCTTCTGCAGACATCTGAGAAGTTCAGTCGGGATACCCGACTCCTAGCAGAGCTTTCAACCAGGCCCTGTAAACAGTTCCCAGACAGGCTTCAGGACGGCTGCAAAGCACTCCTCTGGGCATGTTCCCAATGCCTGGAGTCATCTACTCGCTGGTGACCTTGAGCTGGTCACTTCACTGCAGGCGCCTCAGGGGTCTTCCCTTCCCAGGATGGAAAATGATACCCAGCCTTTGAGGTCATGGCAAGCGAGGACCATCAACCTCAGGGCTTTAAATGCTGAGCTCTGCTTACTGAGAAGCCCTTTGTTTACAGAGGCGCTCAGGGTGTGGGGCTCGGCCTAATCCCCATCTGCACGGTTCAGAACATCCCACCCCAGCCAGGGAGTGTGTCCTGGTGCGGACCTCCCCGGCTAATGCCAGTGCCATTGCAAAGGCTAGGTCAGCTGCCCTTGGGCGATGCTGAGCCTGGGCCATGATTTCTCGATCTAGTTGCCAGCGTTGGTTTTATCTGAGGACTTAGCAGAAGTATGATATGCAAACACCTACACATGCACACACATATACATATATACATATAGTTGCTTTCTGGTTTATGATACACAGGCTTTGCAGACATATTTGTAACTAACTGAAGAGAAATTTCATCCACATGTCTGCACGGCCTTCACTCTGCCAGAATAATAGCCAGGGAGGCCCCATGGCTACTTGGGGGATCTTCTCTCCTTCTGTTTTTCAGTTGGAAGAAAAGAAATGGTACCTTGCCATGCACCAGAAAAGCTTTAATCCCACAAAAAATGGAGCTTCACTTATCCCTGGCTGAAGCTGGCCACGGCTCTGCTTCCGTGCTCACCGCACCATGCCGATCCTGGGGTTGCTTTGGGGCACCCTGAGTTCATTCACTGTGCTTCCTGGAAACCCCAACAGACCTTCCTCTCCTGAAACTTCCAGGGTGACTGTATTTAGAAAGGCAAGTTCCTCTGAAGGCAAATAAAGAAATAGGGGACAAGAACAGTTTCCCAGATCTCCACTTCCTTGCATCGCAGGCCCTGGGGTGGTCAGTATGCATGAATAGGAAAGAAAACCCAAGGTCAGACTGCCTCAAGGGGGCCGTCAACCTCTGTGGCTTGTAGAGAGCACAGACAGGAACCCCACAGGGGATGAAAAGGGGAAACCTTTGGATGAAGCTGCAGCTGCAGGCACAGTTGCATGGTGGGAAAAACAAAGTGGTTCGCATTCCAAGTGTGGGGAGGAAACTCACTTTCACCATGTATCCACTCCAGGCAAGGCCCTCTCCTGGGCACACAACTTTCATGCGTCTTGTCTCAGTCTTTGCAACAATGATAGGAAATGGTCTGGGTGGAGTTATTGGACAGAAGAGGAGACTGGGAGAGGCTGAGACCACATTAGTGGGCAGGATAGGGTGTGGAGGTGCCAGGGATCTGCCTTCCAGCAGGTGTGAACTGGAGGGCCAGTCCCTTCTCCACCAGGCCAGACCCCAGCCAGAGAGGTCTCCTCCTGCCCAACTGCTGGCAGATATGCTCATGGCAGCGTTGATGCTGAGGCCCAGAGCTTTGTCAGCCAGGGAACAGAACCTCTCAGAATCTGCTCTCTGCTGCCAAAGCCGGGCCCTGGGACAAACAAGACAGGCTCCAGGAGAACCCTGCAAGCTGAAGTTGTTCTTCACTAATTGCTAAACTGTGCAAGACCAAGTGAGAGAATCAAAGCAACCAACTTCCAGCTCAGAACAGAACATACTGTGCACCGGCTGCTTGTCCATCACCTCACCCGGGGATTCCACAAGGTGCAATGTTCCCATAACATGATTGTTTAATAGAAACCAAGGGTTCTGGCCATTGTTTTTTCTGTGCTACCTTGTTTATTTGAAGTAATTTGCAGCCCTGAAAAAATAAATAAATAGGGCAAATGCTAAGGAGAGAGGACGCTTGTAGAAAAAATGATTTTGTTCAATTTTACCCTGTAGAAAAAGGCAAAAAGTATCATTCAGCTTTGAAATAGGGCCTTCTCCTTTCATGTTTATGAGACAGATGTCAGCCTCCATGGAAAGGAGCAGAAGCAAGCAAAAGAGGCCACAGCCTCATCCAGCACATGGCTGGATGGTGACAATGTCAAAACCAGAGCAAAAAGGCAGAGCCCACCTGCACTGGTAACACCCAGACATCCCCACAGACCCTCGGGTGGCCTCAAGAACCCGGGAGAATGAAAAACATCAAGAGAATCACTGTCTTTATTTTCTAGTACTCACTCTTTAAGAACGAGCTGCCAGGCCCATTTGGGAGGCTCACAGGGCTGTCTGCTGTTGCAGGCCATTGAGCACGGCATGCTGGCCCTCCTCACCAGCACCTTCGCCACTCTCTGCAGGGGCAAAGTAGCTCTTTACTTTTCACTCATCCTTGACTATCTGAGGTTGGTAAAGCCAACGCTGCTGACCTAATGTAATAGCTGGGGAGTCCAACAAGATTGAACGATTGCGCTTCACAATAGACAGGTATGCACTATGGGCACATGTGCCTGTGTGTGTGCGTGTGTGTGTGTGCATGTGTGGGAGGAAGCAGCTAACAGAACAGGTGATTATGGAACCTGGGGAAATTGGTGTCCTACAACTGGGAGAGACTTTAAGAGCCCATTGGCTTTAATCCGCAGTTCACAAGCAGAGAGGCGTCTGGCCATCTCTGAAGATATTGAGCACTGAGAGAGGGAAGGCCAGCAACCTGCCCCAAGGTCAGATCCCGAGTCAATTAGTGCATTAAGCACCTCTGAGCACACAGGTACTATGTGAGGTCAGACGTCTTAAAAATGTGGACATTAAAGCTCAGAGAGGTACCAAAAAGTCTGAAGTCACAGCTGGAAAGCTGGGAAGATCAGGAATTCAAAATGCAGTCCCCAGCCCCACGTTGGCTCCTAGCCCAGAGCTCTGGCCCCGTGACCAATAAGGGCCAAGGTAGGACAGCGTCCTGTCTCATCGTGTGGTGGCACAGCACTCCTCCCGTTTCTCTGATGCTGCATGTGATCAATCAGCAGAGGACAGCCCCCTATCCCAGGATCAGCCTGGAACTGGAGCTCGAGCTCCCGTTCAAGTTCAATGTCGGTTCAGGCTTGGCCCCCATTGAGCCAGAAATTTCTCCACAGAGCTCTACCTGGGTGGAAATGCAAATCCACCCCATGGAGTGGAGGGCTCCTCTGTCCTCTCGATGCCCATAGTGTTCTCAGTGAACCAGCAGAACTGTCCCCAGAAGCGTTTTTGGAAAAATTGCCCTCCTGAGTGTGCAGGAGATCCCAGGGGACTGACAGGCAAGTTAGAGACCAAGACAGGCTGCTCTTCCCAAACCCAAGGAGACCCTGAAGTCAAGGAGCAGCCAGCCAGAGCCTGGAGGAAGCCAGCCAGCGCATCCCCTAGGGAAGCTGGCCTACCTCAGAGTGCCCTGGCTTTCTCTCTGGCAAGTTCTTCCCCAGTCCTTGAAGGAATCCCTGGCAGACTGGCCTGGCCTCATCCCTGGCCACAGTTGGCCCTGGTCTCACCCAGTGAAGCTGCCATGCTGCAGTGAAAGGCACCTTCCAGCACCCCTGCAGGGAAGGAAAGCTCTCTCTGGTCTGGAGAGCAGCTTGGCTGGCTGCAGGGAACCACTCCTTGCAGGTGGCCTGAGCCTTGGGGCTCATGTGGCTTTTATAGCTTGTTATTTAGTGCCCAACACCTCAACTCTTGATAGAGGGGGTACTTAGCAGGGGCTCCCTAACACTTCAGTTGTACTCCTTTGGAGAAAGGGAGAATTCCCTTCCCTTAAAAACCCCGTACAGAAGCTAGGCAACACTGGCCAGCATTCACTGCACCTTCCCTTGTGCAGTCATTGTTCTGAGCACTTTTTTTTTTTTTTTTTGAGACAGAGTCTTGCTGTGTCACCCAGGCTGGAGTGCAATGGCATGGTCTCAGCTCACTGCAACCTCCACCTCCCAGATTCAAGCGATTCTCCTGCCTCAGCTTCCTGAGTATCTGGGACTACAGGCATATGCCATCACACCTGGCTAATTTTTGGATTTTTAGTAGAGTTGGGGTTTCACTATGTTGGTCAGGCTCATCTCAAACTCCTGACCTCATGATCCGCCTGCCTTGGCATATTTTATATCTTTGTCTCACAAGCATCTGATGAGACAAGGCCTGCCTTCCAGAGGGAAGCAGCTTGAACTAAGTTATGCAGCTAGTGGGGGATGGGATTCAACCCAGCCCCAGCTTCAAGGAAAGCTCCCAGCAAACAGATGCTGCCCTCCTCCCTGCTGGTGCAGTCCCTGCTTCCTCCAGCAGTGGTGATGGGTTTAGTCATTGTTATTTACCATGGTCTTCTATGGCTGTGTCACACTCTCCCACAGAACAAATGATATACACCACAAGATGCACCATAAGTCTTATTTTCATTTGGGGATATTGGATTTTGCCTTAGCTCATTTGGGCTGGTACCACAGAATACCACATACAGAGTGGCTTATAAATAACAAACATTTATGTCTTGTTGACATACACGGTACCTCCTCACTGTGTCCCCACGTGGTGGAAGGGGCAGTGGGTCTCTCTGGGGTGTCTTTTATAGGGGCACTAATCCCAGTCATGAGAGCCCCACCCCTATGACCTAATCACCTCCCAAAGACCCCACCTCCTAACACCATCACCTTGGGGGTTAGGATTTCAACAGATGTATTAGGGGCAGGCCACAGTCAAACCACAGCAGATTTACTTTCTAGAAGGCAGGATTTTAAGTCAGACAGGCTTCCCTTTTGGTCTTGGCTTCTCTCGTTGCTGGCTTCATGACTCTGAAACAGTTCCTGCCTCAGGCTGGGTTCCCCAGAGGCTGGGATGCGGACTTCTGTTCTGATGATGGATGGGGGTGCTCTCAGGAGAAGCGGTGTGAGGAGGGAAAGCTCGGCCAGGAGGTGGCCTGGGCCCCCAGGGGCTCTGGAGTGTGAAGTGTACCTAGAGCTGGTCCCACTTGGAGGCAGCAGGCTGGCCTTTCCCATCTCCTTTGCCCGCTGGTCTTTGGCTGGGGTCTGGAGAGGGAAAGCCCCCACGGCTCCCTGTGTGCAACTCTGCAGAGAAGGAGGGGCAGGAATTGGTTAGCAGCCACGTTCTCAGGGGCTGAGGGATGGGCACACCTGTTGCCAAAAGGAGTCTGAGCAGGCACCCATGTCACTGGCAGCCAGGCCTCAGTGTGGGTCCTGGCACCACTCATAAACTTCCTGCTTCCCTCCTTCCAGGCACCTGGGGGTTGTGCTGCTTTGCTTTCTGATTAGGCACAACCCCAAGCCTAGCTTTGTCCAGTGATGTGGGAGAGGCAGGGACAGGTATGTGGGACTGAAGCCAAGTGCTCTGCCAAGAGCAAGCCAGCCCCATGCCTGACCTGTTCAGGGTCATGGTTCCACTCAAGTCCTCCTGCGTGCACACCAGCCAGGGCCAAGCAGAAGGAGGTGTCGCCCCAAGTTCCCACAGAGAAAGGAAGGTTCACATTCTCAGATGTGTGGTGGCTCAGAGAGCCAAGAGGATGGAGCTGATGTATTCCTGGGGACCGGGGGACTGTCACCAGCCTTGGGCTGAGGGCTGAGGGCAGAAGATACGCACAGCAGAGCCGTGGGGCAGGGGTTCCTGGCAGGAGGTAAAGTGCAGAGGGGCAAGGCACCCCTGGGGACTCAGCCGAAAGCAGGAGTGAGAGGGAAGACACACCCCTACCTCCCTCCCCACAGCCCTCTCATCTCCCACCAACACCTCTCATTGGCCAAATCCAATGAGAAGCCAGCAGGCAGGGGCCCATGGCATGTCTTCCTGGGACACGCAGTCCTGGGCGCAGACAGGACACATAGAAGGCATGGGGGAAGAGGGACACATGTTGGAGAATGATGAGTGGAAATTGGACCTCTATGCTAGATTCCAGAGTTTAGAGCTCAGTGTATTAATTGATATTTTCATTATTGAAACTTAAATCATAGCATGAAATGATATTGTTATTTTTCCCACAGATAAGGGAAGAGTGGTGAGTTAACAGGGGAAGCCTGGACTTGATTTGAAAGCCCTTCCTCACAGGCACCAGGCCCACCCCCCACTCCACCCCACCCAGCTGATTTACTCCCTGGAGGTGAGTGAGGGTCCCCTGGCCCTGCTGAGAAGCTCCTCTTTGCAAAAAGAACTTCCACAACACGTCTACCCACCCTATGGTATAACAGATGTTCCCACCTTCCAGATGTTTCAGATGAAGTGGAGAATATCTGATGGGGTGGGGGCACAGGGAAATCGAGTCCCTGGGGGCTTACTTCCCAGGAAGCAGGCAGCTGAGACTGGGTGGAGGATGTGCCGAGACACAGCCTTGTCCCCATCAGCTCTGAGAAGAAGGTGGGGAGTGCAGGCCCAGTTACAAGAGGAGGCAGACACCACAGTGTGCAGGCAGCAGTGTTCTTGTGCGGAGCCTGGTACCGTCAGGTGCCAGTGGAGGGTCCAGGGGCTGATAATGTGCCCTCACTAAGTTGCTGAATTAACCCTTATTCATGAGTATCTCTGCCTTGGAATTCATCTCGGCAATTCCTATTGCCTCTAAAAACCCTCTAAAGGCTTTTCCTAGCAAAGAGCAGTAACTCTTCCCCAAAACTGCAATGGCATAGACGATAACATTTTGTACTTTGAAGTAATTTCTCCTTGAAATGAGTTATGTAAGCTAAATGAGCCTCACACCTGATTCAGGAAAATGAGTCACAGCAAATCTCCAAAGATGGCCCCGTGGCCACCCTCCCAGGATCCCTGCTCTCAGGTGGTCTTCTCCCCTGGGTAACCCAGACCAGTGGCTCCCACTCACCCACAAAACGCAGTGGGAGTGGAACATCCCTGTGCAGGACGCTCTGGAGAGAGACCCCGTGACAAGACCGTGTGGACAGGCCCCACGGGGAGGGAGCAGCAGGGATGTCTAGCTTCCTGGCGAAGACCAGCCTCACAACCCCACCCTGTGCCTTCCATGGCACTTCCTGAGCCTCTCAGCCAGTCCGGCTCCCACATGACCACCAGGCAGCCTTGGGCAGCCTCAGGTAGAGCAAGGGAATTGCCGAGCCCAGGCCAGCTGGTCACCGGAGCTGAGAAACATCCCAATATGTGTGTGGGGGTGATTTGTTATGCAGAGGGACACAGAGAGAAGTGCCGAATTCCCTCAAGAAGCTGAGCAATTCCTGTCCCGACCTTCAGGTCAACAGATACTGCCAGGTCACCCCAGGGCCCTACGCGTCTCAGACACATTGGGACTGTTAGAAGCCCACCCTCCCCCCACGGGCAGCCCACATCTAACACAGACCCCACTCCCTGGGCTACCATGCTCTCCACCGTGGGCCATCCTACTCCTGCTTAGGCTCTGAGAACCTCTTTCTCTCTCTCTCTCTCTCCTTCCACACACACACACACCTTCCCTCTCTCCCTCTCCATTCACCCACAGAAAAAGTGTACCCTTGGGTCCTTGAATCTCTCCTACTGCAAGAGTGTGAGCCCAGGCCCCTGAGCTGGGAAAAGCAAAGGCAACACAAGCAAGCCCAGCATCTGCTCTCCAAGCGTGGGCTCCCTGCAGACCCAGCCTTAGGACAGGACTGAGGGGGTGACCGGGAGCAAACCTAGAAGATGTCCCCAGGGCAGTGACTGTCCTCAATTCTGTGCAAGAGCTCCACCTGCCTGAGTTCTGCTTCACTTTTAAAGCTCTGCCCCAGTCCATCACCCCCACCTGGCCTGTCCCCCAGGACACTCAAGCCCCTAAACACTAAGCACAGTGTGTACATCTGTTTGTTCTGATATAACCAAATACCTGAGACTGGGTAATTTATTTAAAAAAATAGAAATTTTTTTGGAAGTTCTGGAGGCTGGAAATCCAAGATCAGGGCACCAGCAGGTTCAATGTCTGGTGAGGGCTGCTCTCTGCTTCCAAAATGGCACCTCTTTGCTGCATTTTCTGGGGCCAGGAACACTGCATCCTCACATGGCAAGAGGAATAGAGGGATGAAAAAGAACCAAACTCCCTCCATCAAGCTCTTTTATAGGGCACTAATCCTTTCACCAGGGCAGAGCCCTCATGCCCTAAACTCTTCCCATTAGGCCCACCTCCCAACACCATTACACTGGGGATTATATTTCCAACACATATATTTTAGAGGACATATTCAGACTATGGCACATGGCCTCATCTAGTGGGCTTCAGCAGCTGTCCTCTGAGCCTGCAGTGACCACTGAGAAGTGCCTATGATGATAGTCCCTTGGAGGACGCAGCTGGGGGTGTACCCCTGGGCTCCTAGTTTAATCCCTGTAACCCCTACCTGATATCATTTGGGCCTCATGCCACACTGTTGACCTCATATGGGCACTGCAGGAGTCTGGTGACCAGAGGAAGCCAGCAAGTTCTGCTCAGGCCTCACTTTAGCTGCCGGGGCCCCCTTGGGGAGCTCTGAAAGTGGAATGGCCCATTTGCCTTGGAATGGGCTTCCCAGTTGTGGGGTGGTCTGCTTCTCTATCAACATAATCAAGATCAAGGCCAGGGAACCCAGCATGGACAGGCAGCTCCAGATGGCTAAGCTCCTTCCCCAGCAGAGAATGCTGCCGCCGAGGGACCCCCAGCTCCTGCAGCCCCTCTGGGTGGGCAGTTGTTTCTCCTGAGTCTTCTCCAAGCTCTTGGAGAGACTGAGCATACCCAGGGGCCTAGGGGCCACATAGAAGGAGAACAGCTGCTTGCCCCTGCTCATGACGGTGAAAGCAGAAACTCACTCACCCTCCCCTGCATGGGGACTGTGGGCATCCACACAGCCTGGCAGGACCTCAAACCCTCAGTCAGCCCAAGTGGATCATTTGGTGACATGTGGGCCACCTACCAACTCCCTGGACTTTATCTTGGTCATTGTTTCGGCCTTGCAGGGCTTGAGTGATTTGCAGACATGTCAAGACACCATGGTTTTAACTGGTCTTATGATAGCTGAGCCTAACCTGCAGTTGCAGCCTCCTTCCTGGAATGTTAGCATCAAATTCTTGCTCAACGCGGGAGTTCCATGAATTGCTTTGCTGCCGTGAATCACTCTAGGGAAATTTAATCTTGCTGCAAAAGAGGATACTTTCTCCAGAGTGTAGCTGTTCCTTTCCTTTCAATTTTGCTTTTTACTGTTGTTTCACTGTTGTTCCTTAGAATTCTATTTGTCTGAACTTTGTCATAGTGAAAACGCAACACATTTTAATTATTCTCTTGAATTTTCCCACTTGCAGAAGATAGGCTGTAAATGAGTGACCCCAATCCACCATTGCAGGGTAGGGATAACGCAAGTGTCAAAAATCGGAATCAATTCTAATGACCATGTTTCATCACTGACAGGCATGTAAACCTCAAACCAAAGCAAACTCTGAAAGCTGAAAAATGAATCATGAAACTCAGTAGCAAATCCCACCTCCCCTGGAGGTGAAGTAAAACCACATCAATGGCTCGGTATGAGATCAAGATGGTCAGTGGTTATAGGACAAGAGACCCACTTTGAGGGGGGAAAATAAAAGCTTTGACATCCTTTTAACAAGTGTTCCCATAACTGAGTGACTTTGTTCGGTCAGCCTCAGCTTTCACACAGCAAGACACAAACTTTTCCTGGATCTCATTGATCTGCCTGTCCCACATCCAGAGGCTAGACAGACAGACAAACGCGTCAACTCCTCATAATGGGAAGCCACAAGCAACAATAACAAAATGAGAGATGCTTTAACCAAAAGACTGTAGTACAAGAAAATTAGGCGAGGCAGGTCTCACTTTCCCATCTGCTTCCTTCTCTGGAGAACCGTGAATTCCATAGCTATCCTGCTTGTGTTTGGCCCATCATCTAGGCATCGGATAGCAGCCCAGAGGGGATGCTAAAAGGCCTTTGTTTCAACTTTGGACCAAAAGGCCCTGGGTCAACAAAGCCCAGACCTGATGAGGAGACCTGGACCTCACTGCAACTATGGACTCACCTCTCTGAGCCCATTTCTTTGCCTGTGAAATGAAGAATAACTAAGCTTCCCTCCAACACTAAGAATCTGTGATTTGACAGCACTTGGGAAATTTCATATAAGGGAAAAGATTTGGGGATGAAAATCAGTGATTCAGTGGCCCAGTCAGTGGCCCTTGGGTCTTTTAATCCCCAGCTGCAGGTGAGCGATAGAGGGTTGCCAATGTTCTGTAGGAATGAGCGTGCTCCAATCAGAGCCAGAGACTGGACCACAGGCACAGGCCTGCCCACCAATCCCATGGTGACCTTGGAAGGAGCCCCCTGTCCCGACACTGCCACCTGCTCTGTATAGGCCACCTCCTTAAATGCTAAGGTGGAACCCAGCTCTGGTAGGGCCCAGGGCCCGCAGGCTGACTCCTCGGCTACCTCCATGCCCAGCCCCCACATCTCCTCTCTAGGCAGACGCCCGTGCACTCCATGCATTCCACCTGCAAGCAGAGTCGCCGTTCAAGAAAACATGCAGTTCACGCAGCTGGACCAGCACGTCCAAGGCCCCGGGGTATGAAAGGGCATGATATGTCTGGAGAGAGGGAGAAGCCCTGTGGGACACAGGGAGAGGCGAGAGTTGGGGAGGTGGTGCAGGACAGGAGTACAAAAGCTGTAAGATGAGGTCCAGGTAGACCCAATCGAAGCATGAGAGGTAGGGGGAGGGAAGGAGGAGACCCTGATGTTCCTGGGATGTATTCGTTCCCTATTGCTGAGTAACAAATTAGCGCAAACTCAGCAGTTTAAAACATTCGCTATTTATGGGCTCACAGTTCCATGGATCTGAAGTCAGGCAGGCTCAACTCACTTTTCTGCTCAGGGTCTCACAAGGCTTGAACCAAGCTGTCAGCCAGACTGCGGTCATCTCTAAGGCTCTGGGGAAGAGTTTGCTTCCAGCTCATCCATGTCGTTGACAGAATTCAGTTCCATGCATCTGTAGGAATCAGGTCCCCATTCTCTTGCTAGCTGTCAGCCAAGCACCACTCTCAGTTTCTAGAGGCCACCCTCAAATCTTGCTCTATGAGCCCCTCCCTCTTCAAAGCCAGCAATGGTGTGTCCAATTCTTCCAAAATCTGCAAAGTCTCTGGCTCTGCTTCCCCAACCAGCCAGTCTCTGCTTTTAACATATTCATGTATTAGGTTTGGCCCATACAGAACATCTCTCTGTTTTCAGGTCATCTGATTAGTAACCTTAATTACATCTGCAACATTCCTTAATCCCACAACTGTGGGAATAACACCAGGAGGCAGTGGTTGGAGGTTTGTGGTAGAATTCTGCCTTCTGATGAGATATCAGCTGACATATCACTAAGATAAGTAAGACAGTTTCATCTGTCAGTCACTGCGCATCCAGGTGAGAAGCAGGTGGACAGCAGCAGGGGCAAGTCTGAGCAGCTCCCCATGGGCTGTACTCAGAGGGAGTTGCTTGTGCTGGATCTGGATGGGAAAGGGACTCGGGGACTTTGCAGGGGTCCTTCTGAGACATTTACTGAACTTCTATAAAAAGAAAATTGCTCATCTCTGGCAGGTTTTGTGGAATCCCGTGCTCCCCAATAGCAAACAACACTTCATGTGACCTTCACTGATTTGCAGCCTGACACCATCAGCTCAGTCTCAAAGGGTCACCCATCCCTTCTTTCTGCTCTGAAGGCAGCTCTGCTGGATGAGCCTGTACTCCACGAGAGGCATAGAAAACACGCAGGCTGTCTCCTTTCCACAGCACCTTCTTCCACCCATTTTGGTCGGGTTGTATTTCCTAGGAAGATGCCACTTCTAAGATGTCAATTCTAATGCATTTTCCTCCATGCGACAAAGAGCTAAGGAGGACTCAGCCCACTCTGTTCTCCCAGAAACACTGTTCTATTCTGAAGCTCAGAGGGGAGTCTTGCGGGACAATTGTCTTATTGATTGTTATCAGGCTGTGCTTTCAGGCTTGCACAGTCATCCACAAGCCTTCTGCCTGCACCACTTGCCTGATCATGGTCTCAGGGATGGTGGCAGGTGGCCCTCATCCTCACCCACCCTTGCATCTCCACCCTCCCCAGCAAGCTACCCAGCCCCCAGACTCTCTTCCCTTCCACCCAAGATGAACAAGCTTCTGGACTCTGTCAGATGTACTGAGTGATTTAGGGAGAGTCAGGAAAATGGAAAAGGAAGCCCAGGTGAGCTCCCTCCAGCCACGGCCCAGGACACAGATGCAGATTGGGCCAGACCCAAAGGAGTCACATGATCTCCACTATAGCAGGGGCTCCTCTGACCAGGAGCCTTCCTGCTACCCCCAAGCCTATACTGGCATCCCTAAAAGTAGGGGACTCAGGTAGGTGACAGTAAAGAGCTGGACCCTGAGGACAGGGATGGAAGGGGCAGAAGCAGAGCATGGACAGAGCATGGAGAAACCTAGGAGACAGAGCGCTGCACCCTGGGCACACTGGGATATGTGGAGCCCACCCATGTTTGCACAGGGTGTGATACTCTCTTCACCGGGAAACTTCACCTCCTCATCACTGTCATCATAGCCCACCTCATAGCCCAGTCATCCATCCACAAGCCCACCTCAAAGATCAGGACCTTGGCCCCCAGGGAAGGGCATGGAATAAGCATGCGGGTGTGCATGGCTCTTTGCACCAGGCCGGGCCCTGGGCAGAGACTGACTTTGGGCTCAATCAGACAAGGTGTCCGCTGGACCTCCACACAGGGTCAGGGCCTAGCAAGTTTGAGGGGATGGATCTGGGACACTGAGTGGATGGAAGGGAACTGGAGAGAGCCCCAGGCCAGGCCAGAGAGCTGGCGCCAGGCCCAGCTCCTGGGAGCAGAGGCTGCTCGTTTCTCGTCTGAGTCCCCAGGGCCTGGTTCACAGCAGGAGCTCCAAAATGGAAGTGAAGGTGGAGGGGGAAGGGGGAAAGAAAGGAGGAGGAAGGGAAGGATGTGGGAGAAAATGGACGAGAGGGAAGAGCAGAGGTGGAGGTGGAGGTGGAGGCAAAAAAAGGAAGAAGAAGAGAAGGTTGCAGGGAGGGAAGTAGAATTGGAAAGCAGTCTTTGGAAGCCACTAGCAGTGCTCAGGAGGGAAGCACAAGTCACAGCTTGGGAAGTCTTGGACTGGAGAAAAATCGAAGAAATAGAAAGAAAAGGGAGATGGTGAGAAGGAAAGAAGCCGAGGGTGTTTTTGATGCAAAAAGGTAATGGAATGCCAACTGTGACATATTTTTTAGTTGGCCAATGAGAGTCTCATAAAATTAGCAATTGGTATGGGAAATGGTGTCCCCACACTCACCTTTCTCATTCCTGTCCTCACCGTGTTTTCTAGGCAGGATGAATAAGAGACGGATGGGCTTGGGAATGCGAAGCCATGGGCTCAACTCAATGCTGTCAGGACCTTCCAGGCAGGCAAGGATCAGTGGGGAGGCCATGCCTAGCACTGTGCCTGGCACAGCACATGTGCTCAGGAAATGCCAGCTGAATTAATGAGGGGATGAATGAATGAACGCTTGAACCACATGGTGGACAGCCTATGTCCTACCCTTGAAGCCCAGCAGCCCAAGGCAGTGCCTGTCTTACCCAGCATGAGGAGCTCACAGAGGTTTTAAAGGCCTCTGCTGCATCAGTGGGCAAGAAGCCATGCATCTTGTTGGTGCAGCCACCAGCTCCCAGTATCTAGACTCTGCCACCCTGTGTGGATGAACTTTACTCACACACTATTAGTTGATGAAGGGAGTGAAATTATTTGGCAATTTTATTCTAGTTGATAAAGGGAAGTTTGAGCTAGACCTAAAAACCAAATATAAGTTTGCGCTAGGACAGAATTCAAAGCCGTGTAGTCATTCCAGGCACCCCGAGGCTTCCAGCTGGCCCTGCACACGAACTTAGCCACTCCTCTGGCGGCCGCTTGCAGCAGCTCAGGTGCACCACGCAGGATCATGTCTCATTGCCCCCAGTTAAGTCATAAAGTCTCTCCTTTGTGACCGTGGAAAGACAATACACTTTTGACATTTTGGAGGGCATACTCAAATGAGGAGTACAGGGGTTGGCATCTTAGAAAAGCAACTGAAAAACACAAGAATCTCAAAAAAGCAAAATTGGGTATCTGTTTACTGAGCTGACCCTACACGCCTTGGTTTGTTTGCCAACATCCTTGCTTTTCCTCTGAAAAATTCATTTTTTATTTTTTCTGAAGTGGCTTCAAAACCAATACGCATTGTACTTCTGAGGCTAATGGTTTAATAAAATATATAACACAGAGAATTAGAGCCCTTAAAAATAAAATAAATCTCAGAGATCATTTTGTCCTATCATCTTGCCAGGAGAGGAACAAGGAGACCTCAGCTCCCTATGTGGGCAATGCTGGGTGTGGGCAAGGAATGCCTGACTCTCCAAGCTGCTCCTGTTGTCATTCTGTATCCATTTCATCTTCACAACAGGTGCTTTGCCAGTGCCAATTTTTACAGTGACCATATGCAAAACTTAAAAAAATTAAAAATAAGAATGCTTTACTTTCATTGCTCTGGGGGTGGCAAAGGTTTGTTTTAGACATGTGATACCTAAAATCCTGCAAACGGCAGTCATGTTTCCAGTTCAGTGAGGGCTGCAAGGTAAAGAAGATGCCCCAGCTGGATCCCAGGCTGGAATGTGTATTTTCACCCAGGCACTGGAGCCTGCTAAAGCAGAGACAAGCCCTGTCCCAAGGTCATGTGGATATATGGGAGCTGTAATAGCATGTTAAGGAAAAGGAGACGGTAACTAAATCCAATGCAGACTAAGCCAAATGCAGCTTAAAAACTGTTGGGTGTGCTTGTGTGTGTTACAGAATATGTAAGAGGAAAAATAGAAGTTCAGAAGGAAATATTAATACATCAAAACTTGCTGATGGTCAGTTACAGGCACTTTTACTTATTTCTTTAATGTTGATGTATTTTACAATTTTTCTGCAATGAATACATATAACTTATAAAGGTAGAAAGTTATCTAATGAAAATAGCCTTCTTTCCAAAATAAGCCTGCCGCAAGTGCTCCAGCACCCGGAAGTTCATGGCAGCAACGTGTTGGTCCTGAAACCAGACGGCTAGTCCAAAACCCACTAGTTCACTTGGAGTTCTGTGGTCTGGGACAAATGTCTTCGTTAGCTTTTAAGTATTATTGTCATTAACATTCATTCAGTGCTTTCTAGATGCCAGGCATTGTGCTCGTCTTTATGGGTCACCCCCAACACATATGTAGTGATAATTACCACGCACTGAGGGCTTATATATGCATTATCATATAGGGTTGTTGGAAGTACTAAATGCAATTATGTGTTTATAAACACTGGACATTTTATTATCTGCCCTCTGAGTTAGTTCATGTTAATAGCATTAAACACCTGTTCATCAAAAAAAAAAAAAAAGAAAAAGTTTAGCACAACTTTTGGGCATGGCACTGTGTCCCATCATGCATTTATTCACCTGAAAATTCTCCTAGCCCTTTGGGGTTCCAACAGGTGGCCTCATAGCAAGCTCTAATCAAAAAACCAAGGGCTTACAACCTCATGTTCTACAAGTGTCGCTTGGCCAACAGGAGGGTCTGCCTACCTGCTCTGTGCAATGTTCTGCTGAATTTACTCATTTAAGGGTTCATTTTAAAGTAATCAAGTCCACTTTGTGTTTACAATAGCATGTTCTGGTCATTTTGCTGGAACGCAGACTGGTAGACAGGCCCACCCCAAGACTACCTCAATAAGAAAACCTTAAGATTTCAAGCAGCAAATAGGTAAAATAGTAATGAAAATTGGGCACAAATACAACTGAATTTTTTATCTAGGCTTCTGTCCCATTGAGGAGTAGATGTTTTTAGGAGCTGATAAATGGAAAACAAGGACGCTTTCATTACAAGAAGAGTAATTCAGTACAGTTTTCCTGTTGCCTCAAGAATCCTCCCGTAATTTGGACGGAATTTTAGGACGTGGCACTCAATGAGGTAAATCAGCCACCCCAAGCACTGAAGACAGCACATCATGCCTCCTTTGCCCAGAAGGCTCAGCCTGCTTGGCAGTCTAGCTGACAGCACAAGGGTCCCACATGTATTTCCCCTGCTGAAAGCAGCTAGTTAGACACAGAACGAACTCAAGGCATATTGGTCTCATAAAAAAGATTGATTCGATCAGGACATTTCCCCCTAGTTCCTTTTTAAAGAAAGTCTTGGCTTAAAATATTTAATTTTTTTTTCCTATGAGTCTTTAAACGGAATTGTGAATAGCAGCAATCCTCGTAACTCTGATGTGGGCAGAGAACACTGAAAATAGTAGATAGCAGATGCCAGGCCCCCTCAGAATTGCTCATGCCTATTTATATAGATGCTGCCTTCCAATTTTTTCTCAGATCTTCCAAGTTCTATCACAGCCATGACAAAGTAATGACTCATACTTAAATGCAGTCATCAATGTCATATTTGGTATTAGTACCTTTGTAGCATTGCTTTGTGTCAGAGCATTTAAGAGGAAAAAGTCCCCAAGAGCAGGAGCAGTCTGCCACCATCCTCAGGGACCACAAAGGGCAGGGCCTGCAGAAGGCAATGCTCATTGTGCAGGAAAGCCTGAGGCCTCCTGCAAGCTGTTCAGATAAGCAGCTGTAGGAGGGAGGGGGAGGAGGGCCGAGGAGGGGGAGGGGAGGCACAGGTCACTGTTATCGCCTTGGAAGGCAAGACTTCAGCTGCTGCACTGTCTTATCTCAAGTATGCTCCTGTTTTGCAAGTTTAAAATCTTCCTAAAAGGAGAAAAGTAGGAGCCAGGCTCAAGTTCTACCCTAGCACTGGGCAGCATGCCCTCCCTCTGCCAGAGGGGAGGAGCCTGTCATTCTTGCCCGACAGGAAGACGGAACAGGTGCCATCAGTTCCACGGAGTTCCAGCAATCCTCTGAAACCCTGCACGCCACCTCCCCCGACACAAAGATCCCCTACCCTCAATAAAGAGCATAAGTTTGTTTCAAAAAGTTTATTGTAAAATTCAAAGCTTCAACAGCAGCATCCTTTAGAAAACGAAGCATTGCCCGGATCCGTTTTGAAAAAGCAGCGCAGTCGGCTAAGTCCTTCACGCTCCTGCAACTGTACCAAGTCCAGGGCGCCGCTCCTTCCTGCCGAGCGCAGGCTGCTGAGTCACGCCTGCCCGGCCAGTCTGTCCTTCCTGGCCCTGAGGCCAACGTCCTAGCCTAGGCCTTCCTGGGCGAGCAGCCGCTCCAGACACTTGCAGAGTCCTCAGCTCGGACCAGCCTGGCCCTGCCGCCACCGGGCCCCTCCTCGGGAGGCCGCGCCTCCTCGCTCTCCAGGCGCCCCCCCCGCCTGCCAGTCTCCACGCCGCACTCGGGCACCCTCGGAGGGCCCCTCCACAGAGCCAGCCGCGCTCTAGGCGCCCCGGGGCGTCACCACGTCGATCAGACCAAGGTCCCCGCCGGGCTGTCACTCGGGGAGGGTGATGCTGGGCACCCAGTCGTTAACGCTGCGGCTCTCCTCGCAAAACAGGCTGAGCTTCTCCAAGGCGGGATCCTTCCAGGCGTCCTCGTTGGGGTTCTGCGGAGAGAGAGCAGGGTCAGCCTGGCTGGCCGCGGGCCGAGGCGGGAACGACACTGGGGCGGGGACAGGACGGGACTGTACTCACCGAAATGAGGATGCAGTGCAGGTCGCCCGGCGCACCCGCCTCCTCGCCGGCGCCCACGATAGCCGCCAGCCGCTGCACATCGCCCACGCGCACTATGTCGATGTCGTTCTCGCAGCAGAAAGCCTGGATCAGCGTAAAATGGATCTGCAGCGCGATGTCGCCCTCGTCCTCCTCACCCGCAGCCAGCACACAGAAGGTCACATTGTCGGGGTCCCTGCGAGGGCAAGGCGGGGACCTAGGTCAGAACCGGCTAGCCGAGTTCTCCCGCCGCCACCCCTCCCATCCGCCAGTCTCCTCGCCATTCACCCCCGCCCCTGTCTCCCAGCCTGGGCCGCGTCTACACTTACACGTTCAAGACTTTGGCTGACTCGTAGACGCCGGCAGTGAGGCAGCCCTGACGCTGCGCCGACAGCAGCAACTCATGCAGCGCTTTCCCGGCACCCTGCATCCTGCGGAGGAGCCAGCGCAGTGAGCGGGAGCCGGCCGGAGGGCGCGGCGGAGACCCCAGCCCCGGCCACCGGCACACACCCTTGGCTCCCCAACTCCAACCACACTCCAATCCCGGCTCAGCGCCTGCACCCCGGCTCTCCAACCGGGATCTGGCGCCCGGACCCCCGCGCTCCCCTCCTACCCCGCGGATTCCCACCCTGGAAAACCCTGACGGTCGCCGACCGACCAGCGGCTTTCTCAGCGCCCTGAAACCCACCTGGCTGTGCTTTCCGGAACTGTGTCCTGGCCGCGGACTTCTTCCAGAGTCATAGTGCGATCAACCAGCAGCTAGTTATCCACAAGCGGAGAGCGCGGAGGGGACGCGGGCGAACACACTGACAGCCAGAGCTCAGCACGGCGCGCCCACCACCAGCGAGTGCGCCCCTACTACGCTGCGCGCCCTTATATAGGCTGGTGGGTGCGGCGCCGCCAGCTGGCGCGAGGCTGCGCGCCTATTGGCCGGCACCCGCTTTCTGATGTAAATGAGGCGGCGAGCCAGCGGCTCGTGCCAGAAGGCCACGTGGGGAGGGGTGCGGGGGATGACAATGCCTCAAATCTGCCGCTTTTGTTGGGGTGTTACCAGGCAGACTGGAGCCTGCAGATTTCATCTCGCCTGGCTTTTTTTTTTTTTTGAAGTCCTTAAAAGGAAAAAGTAAAAAAAAAAAAAAAAGAAAAAACCCAACCCACAAAAACCTTGTTTGCTTATATGATGCTGCAATTTGCGAAAAGCACCTTTATAGAAGCAAAGGGATTTTTTTTTGCATTTTGTATTGCTACCTTTCTATTTGTTTCTTTTCTTTAATTTGAAGTCTATGAGACTGTTGCATTGGAGCCAGAAATTAAGGTAAAAACAGGTAGCGCCAGTTAGAGGCTTGCAAAAGGCAGTGGGCACAGCCCCCTGCAGCTGACCACTAGCGTCCCGAGCGCGCTGGTGATGCCTGCCAGGCATACTCAATGTGTACATTGAGCCGTCTCTGGAAGATCCCACCCCACCTCCCCGCCCTTGGCCGAGCGCGGCGGGGCGCGGGAGACGGGGGCGGGCGGGGACGAGCAGATTGCGGCCGGCGCACGCCGCTCGTTTGCATTTCTATGGAGGGCGCACAATAGCAGAGGTCTGGCGTGTGGCGGTTTGCTGTAGGGACAATCGAGGCTTTCTCTTCATAGCAACACTGTCCACCTGCCGCCGGGTGGGGTGGGCAGGACCCCGCCGCGCGTGGGGGTCGCCGGGCTGCCTGGCGCGTGGGGTCGAGGCTGAGTGCCACTCCGTGGTCCCTGAGTGCACGCCCCCAGTACTGGCCCTGCTACAAGTAATTCCCTTCCATCCGTTCCTCGCACGGGTGCCGAACAGCCGCGCGAGTTGGGAAGGACGGAGAGCTGCTGTGCAGTCTTCGCGGCTGGACGCCCTGTGGCCGGGACCCCGCGGCTGCAGCCCCTGGAGCTTAGGTAATGCAGCTCGGAATCTTTCCCGGGGCGCCATCTGCAGGCAGGTTAAAAAGATCCTGAACCCCTTTTGTCCTCCCCTCCCCCCAACACACACACCCTTGCATTGGCCTGGCGCGGGGGAAGGGCGGTGGAGAGGGACGGCCACGGAGCTGCCCGGCCGGGCCCAGTGAGCCCTGTCCAAGCTGCGCATAAATAGAACCCGAGTAAGGGCTGCAAAACGCATTCAGGTGGGACTGCAGTTACCCTGGGGAGTAGAGGGCAAAAGGAAATTCCCATCCAGTACTGATGGAGTAAGAGCCCCTACGTCTTATACCATGTTGAAATATCTTAATTACTTAAATGCGCATATGTAAAAAGCCTTTTTTCCGGCAATGGAATAAGTCTGGAAGAGATCTTGGGAGAGTTTAATAGGCTAGAGGTTGCTGCCGTTTGACCATACACGCTGGCACTTTCAGAGGATTCACCCACTGAGCACCTTCTGTGCTACGTGAAAAGGCGCGCTGGGGGACACCTCATTGCTTCCTTTTTTTGGGTGAAGCCTTGGAGACTGGCCAGGACAGTGGCGGGCCGGGTGGATTGGATGGAAACCCGGGCCCTGCCGCAAGACTGGGGCGATAATGGGAAAGTAAACAACGCCGTGGCTTTGTTCCTTTCATTCAGGCTTTCTTCAGGTGGGTGGTGAATGTACAAGGTACTTCTGAATTTGTTATGGGGAAGTTTCCATTCTGCGCTTGCAGGCAGGCACTTCTGCCAAGGTGAGAAGCTGGCGTCTTGCGCCCCCCAGCGGCTTCCTGGCAGAGGAGAGCTGCAAAAGCCCGGCCCTTCCTGGATTCTAAGAATGAAGAGCTTGCTCTCCTAGCATTTCTGAACTCCAGAGGTGTCTCCTAAGGACGGGGGGAGAGGGGAGGGGGAAGCGGAGCCAGGCGGCATTATGCCCCGTTTGTTCGCTAGTTTCTTTTCTTTCTTGATGTATAAAATGATGATATGCCTTGATTGGATAAAATATGTTAATTTTAAGTGATTGGAATATAGGTATTACTCTTTTAAAACTATTAAACTTTTCTTTTCTTTTCTTTTCTTTTTTGAGACGGAGTCTCGCTCGGTTGCCCAGGCTGGAGTGCGGTGGCACAATCTCGGCTCACTGCAACCTCCGCCTCCCGGGTTCAAGCGATCCTTCTGCTTCAGCCTCCCGAGTAGCTGGGACTACAGGTGCGCCACCACGCCGGGCTAATTTTTGTATTTTTAGTAGAAACAGAGTTTCACCATGTTGGCCAGGCTGGTCTCAAACTCCTGACCTCGTGATCCACCCACCTCGGCCTCCCAAAGTGCTGGGATTACAGGCATGAGCAACCGCACCCGGCCTACTATTAAACATTTCTTAAAATGTATTAGTCCCAGGTCCCCAGGACATGCTGGAAATAAGATTTACTTAACATGCTAGCACCCACCTCTCCAATTTATGACGCTAAAAATCTGCCTACATGCCAGGCCAGAGAAAACAAAGGCTAGGCCTGAAGCCTCAGCCCCTCCTCCGAGAGGAAGGCCACTAATGAACACTCCCGGCTTCGAGTTGGGGGTGGGTGCATTTCCAGTCCCTCCTGAGCTAGCCTGGACCAGAAGAGATGATTGACGACCCCTGGGGCTGTTCTACTCTGCTCACATTTTTAAAGTATTCAATTTCAGGAAACTGCCTTTTTGACATATGATACAGCCTCACTTTGCTTTGTTATGTCAGTCCCAATGGCCCCAAAGCCCCCATCTCAATTGGGAAGAACAATTTTGTCTGCAGGCAAAGGTGGCCTTCCAGCAGACCCACCACCACCCTTCAGTTCAGACACATGCTGAAGCTTCTGGGCCTGGGATGCCCCTGTGTTGAGGAGTGGGCAATGCCCACTAGAAGTTTGAGGATCCAGAATATCCCACTACACGGCTTTGTGGCCACAGCTCTCCCAAATTGCATGCAGCAAGGGACTTGGCCTGCTCTGTGCTTCAGGTCACAGGTGGCTGAGATGTTGTCCTGAGCTTCCTGTGACTGCACCCCTAAACCTTCCCCTAAATCTCAATAATGCAGGTGATGGTGACTTACTTAAAGGGATATCCTCAGAGATGCTCTATTCTAAAACCTTTTTGGAAATGTTTATAGTTGAACTGTTTTTATTAACACATTCTCTAAAATGTGCTTCTCATTCTTCCATGGCTTGACTAGGTCATTGATGGGCAGATGTCTTTCATTTGGGTACAGAAGGAAATGAGCTTTAAGTAAGCAGTAAGCTTTATGAGATATTCTTTGTTGTATTTTCACAAGTTACTTATGTGTGGAGAGTGCACAACATTGTTATTAAATAGCAGGTGTATGCCCTTATCCTACCCAAACAATGTGCCAGAATCCACGACCAGTCAGCCAGAGGCTGTGGGATGCAAAGCTGGCTACGCACCAGCCCCTTGCAGACTGCACGTGGGATTTCTTTGGCCTATGAGGCGTCTTAGGCAAAGTCAAATTCACTGCCACTTTTCAAAGTTAGCTGCATTCATATAAACATCTGGATTTCTAGCTTCTCTTGGAAAATGGGTAGATTTGGCCATGATGTGCCTAGAGTCCCCTCCCCACCTTGGTAACCTTCAGCAGGGGTCGGGGGCACTGGGATCCCGCATTGGGCACTGCTCTCCCATTCACCTCAATCCCCACCAGACCCCAGCTGAGGACACCTGGCTGCTTTGTTCATTTACATCACCCTCCTGTCACCTGCAGACATTTGCGCTTACAATCAAGAAACTGAAGTTTGAAGCACAAAATAAAGGGGCCAAGTTCCTAAAGATGAAGCCAAAAAGGTTGAGCATCATTTGTGTCTCAGCTTGTGCAGGACAGTGTCCTATGTCAGCACAGGGCTCTTGGAGCACTCTGGGCTGGCCCGTTTCCAAAAGGTTTCATGTTGCCCTCACTATTCTCCCTCGTCCAGCCCCTTCTCGGGCCAGAACAAGTCTCCTCGGGGGTCCTCTGTTGGGTTTTCTTCGGTCCAAAAAAGCTCTTGAATGATAGGGGGCAGCAGCAACTCAGTGACAATAGTACATTAACTCAAAAGGAAGCCAGGTTTTCATGCAGGACACATAAAAGCTATTACTTAAAACCCAACAGGTGCATCTCAGATGCCTTCCAGCATGTGAAGGACACCATTGCATTGGCTCTCACCACCACCATGCCCTCCTCCTTACCCAGGGTGAAGCATGAATCTGCACATGGGGAGGCTTCAGAGGACAACTGAGACAAGAAGCAGGAAGCTGAGAAAGGAGGACACCTCCCACACACACATCTAGCAAAAGCTGGACATTTCTGGTCAGTCATCCTTATGCAAAGACTTTCTGGAAGGAGCAGTTATTCTTGGGTGAGCACTTATGTAGCATGAAAGAGGTTAACATTAGCCCAGGGAAATCCTTCAAAGTAATTGAGGGGGAAGGATACATTATTTATGCATTTGTTCCCTTCTCTATCGACAGTAAGAAATGATTCATGGCACCTGTCACAGTCCTAGGTAGTGACAGACACCAGCCTGCACTGTAGCTGAAAACCCCTGAGAAGCCACAGATGTGCAGTCTTCCCAGCTTGACTACATGCCCAAGTCTTCTGAACCTTAGTTTCCCAACCTAGGAAATAAAAATTGTGCCCTTTACCCCTCATGAACCTTATTGGGGTCTTATAAGATTGCTCCTGGTTGCCATTTGGCCCACAGATGGGTTTAGTTTGGTGGACAGTGTCCCGAAAGACTTACAAATTCAGATCTGACTTGTTCATTTGTGTAGGGGAGAGTTGGTGGCACACATCCTCTCTGTCACTGTAAGTATGTTCCAAATGTCACATTAGGTCCACTGGCACGTGTAAGCCCTGTCTGGCATTTGCCTGGTCCCTGCAGGCATTTGGGTTGGCAGTAAACTTTCTTTTCTAACAGATTTCTGGAAATGTTTACATGTAGCATATAATAGAATAATAGAACCACAGAACTTCCACAGTAAAGCCTTCCTTCTTTTATGTTCCAAAAGCTAAAATGTACTAACAACCTCCAAAAGGCACTATGACATTGGAGTTTAAACTTTGTGGAGCAGGACTCAAAGCTGGACTTAGCTGCTTGCTAACTTTGACCTTGAGTGAAGAGTTAGCAGATGATTTAAAGTGTAAAGTAGAAAGAATTCATGCTGGTTAGCCCATTAAATACCCGTTAATTAAGCTCTCCAAAAACGCCATTCAAAAATGTATATGATAATCAAATATTTATTGCAATGTTTCTTAAAATAGTGAAAAATTAGAAAACATTATAGGGGGCTAGTGTTAAATCATGGTGTAACCAGAAATGAAACATTATGCAACCATAAAAAGGAGTTCTGAAGAGTAGTTCCCGGCATGATATAATGTGAAAAAAAGCAAAATACGAAATTGTGCAATTCTAATTTTGCAAAAACTTTCAGCGTACACGACTATCACTGTATAAAGTCACAAAGTAGGAATGGTGATTGTATCTTGGAGTGATGAGATTATAAGTGATTTTTAATTTTCTTCACTATGCTTTACTGCAATTAAACATTTACAATTCAATTTTATTTAACAAAAATATATAAAACTTCTCAAATGGAGTAACTTCAGTACCAGACATCCTCAACCTGACTGCTCTGGAGGTTATTGTGCAGAGCAATCTTTGACCATATGGTCACAGATCCAGAAGCCAGACGTCTGTGGGGCTTTGCTCCTGAGACTGTGACCTTTGATTCCTGCACTCCTCCTCTTGCCATCTGACGCCGGTCTGCGCCTGTGACTGAGTGAAAATCGTCATAACTGTACTCGGAGGTTAACTCTGGCATGACTGGGATGGAATCCCAGGCAACATGCTGGAGGCAGGAAAGAAGGCCAGCCGGCAAGTCAGAACCAAACACCCTGGACGGCACCTTTCCTTACAAATGCGGTTCACAGGACCCTTGGGGATCCTCTGCGCACACTGAGGCAAGCAGCAATGGAAGAAATTATCTTCCACTCCCTTCTTGTTGAAAATGTCTGTTTTCCAGAAATGAATTACAGTAATAGATTATGAAAATTGTTTCCATTGCCTACATAACACAGCAGGGAATTCTAAAATTTCAAAACATGTAATATACTCAACCTGTGCTTGAGACTGTAGGGTATTATTTAATTTTTCAGTGTTTGAATTTTGTCTGTTTGAGAAGGGTGTGGCACTCCTTGAGTACACTATTAGTAGTATTGTTGTTATTTTATTTACTAGACTTTTCCAGGACTTGCTGTGCACCAAGCACTGTTCCAAGCACTTTGAAAACATTGTTTAATTCTCATAACAAACTCGTTATGTAGGTGCTATTATCACCATTTTAGGCATGAGGAATCTTGGGCACAGAGAGGTTGAACAACTTGCTCAAGGTCACACAGCCAGGAGGTGGCAAAGCTGGGTGTTCTGAGCTCCTCTCTGAAGCAAGAGGGAACAGATGAATTTCACTGTGAAACCATTTCTCGAGCCTTTAGAACAAACCATTTGACCACCAAGGACAAGGAGAGCATCCAGGTGAAAATGAGGTTTCAAAACCATTTTTGGTTCTCCTCAGGAACCCTGAATCCAACAGTGCCTGTCCCAATGTCATGGTTGCAGGGTGACATCTTGCGGTCAAAGAGAATATCGCTTCCAGCCCTAAAAAGTAGCTTCTAACACCTCAGCTGGCCTAAACCCTTCCAGGCCTGCAAGTGCTGCCCTGTAAGCGTGTTTCTGGTGAGCCCATGGGCTCTCATCACACATTAAGGTTAATATCCAGATGCAGCAGACCCTGGTAACAGTGGGCTCAGACCCCACTGTGCCACAGCTGGGCAGCCCCCGAGAAGTCAGGCCGGCTCAGAGGATGGTGCAGTAGGGTTTGGTAGTCACAGAGCAGTGTGAACCACCATCAACAAGGAAAAGAGACCCCACCATCAGGGAGCGTTCCTGTGTCAGCTGTAATACCCATGCCCACTTCACAGATAGGAGTACTCAGTTTCAGGGAGTTTAACGACATGCCCAAGGTCACACAGCCAATGGTGGAGCTGGGATTCTAGCCAGCATGTGCCAGGCCTCCAGCCTCAGGTTCATTGGGCCACACCACAGGCAGAACATTGGCTTACAGCTAAACAGCTACCCTGGGGCACAGCCTACTGTGCAACTCAGCTGTACTTGGGAGGATCAGTCAGGGTGTATACCCTGCTTTTCTTACAAAATCAGGAATTCTCTGAATCACCCATGGTCTTCAGTTCTGAATTCCCCTCATCAGCCACACAATGTGAAGTATATAGGTTATTTTTTCTTACTCACAAACCCACAGGCAAATTTAAACTTGGGAGGGACCTGCAAGGTAACTTCCTCCAAAACTCTGCCTAATTTACCAATCTCTTCAGCAACACCCGACATGAACAGCCTGCCACGGGTGAAATCCCATATGCGGCATGACATCCACCCCAGGGAAGGTGAGTCCCACTTGCTGGTGCATTTCCCATGCACCCAACACCTCCCAGCGTTGCCCTCTCAAAAGGAACAGGAGTCACAGCTCCTTCATCTCCAAAGCACGCAGGTGCACCCTGAAGATGCCCATAGACCTCTGCTGCCCAGTGCATCCAGGGCCAGCAGCCTCAGCTTCCCCTGGGAGCTAATTAGCCTCACAGAATCAGAATCTGCCTTTTAACAAGAGCCCAGGGTAATGCATGCATGCATGCACATAAGTGTGTGGTCATTCATTCGCCAAAAGGTGCAAGGTATAGGGTGGATGGGAGGCGCTGTTTCAGAATCTAAGGGGCAGGATGGTGTGAGGCCCCCACAGGAAGCCGCTGTCAGGCAAGGGCAGATGTGAGAAATATAGACTAGTTGCAGAACCTTGAGGCTTATCACGGTCATGGCCACTCTTCAGATTACCTCTGAATCTGAGAACCGGTGAGGGGGCAGACTGCTCACGAGCCCTCGGGTCTGCTCTCTGATGATCCACAGTAATGGCGTTTTGACTTTGCACAGGGACTCCCAGCCAGAGACTGCATTCCCAGTCTCCCTTGCTGCATGGGGTGGTCTTGGGCCCCAGTTCCTCTACATTCCTTGCTCAAACAGAAGTTTGTAGCTGGCCAACTAGCTTCCTTCTCCTCCTTGCTGTTGTGACTCAATTATGCAGTCACAAGGGAAGGGGTCTGGGGTCCTGCATGGCTGTGTGGAGCCGAGCCTCCTTGCTAGCCTGTACACTCCACACTGTTGTGTTCAGTAGACAAGACACAATCTTCTGTCTTAAGCCTCTGTATTTTGGAGGTATTTTTAAATTTTTTAATTTTGATAAAGTTTCAAACATAGGAAAATTATAGAAATAGTAAAACAAAGTATTCCCATGTACCTTTCACCCAGATTCCCCCATTTTACTATATTTGTTTCAGCTTTGTCTCTCTCCTTCAAGTATATATATTATTTTCCGAACCAGTTGAGGGTAAGATACAGACATGTTGCCTCTTTTCCATTAAATGCTTCAATGTGTATTGCCTAAAAACAAGAATATTATCCTAAATCTATCAACTGTAGTAAAATGATGAAATTCAGGAAATTAATATTGATATAATTACCTAATCTACAAACCATACTGAGATTTTTGTCAGTTGTTTCAGTGATGTCCTCTGTAGCAAAAGAAAGTCCAGGATCACAGGTCCATTCAGTAGTCACATCTCTGTCATCTCCCTGAATCCAAAACCATTCCTGAGTTTTGCTTTGTGACAGTAACATTTCATGGCATTGATATCTTTTTAATATTTCAGGCCTGTTATGTTACAGACTCCTCTCCACCTCCACCCCGCACACTGCTGGGGTTTGGCTAGCTTATCTGCTGTTTCCTCCTGATTCAATTCAGGTGATAAACCATTAACTGGACCATCACAGTGGTGATGCTGTGTCCTTCTTGGTGTGTCATATCAGGATCATGTGCTTTGATTTGTCTTCTGGTTCTTGATTGTCATGGGGTGTCCTCTGGTTATTGATTGCCATGGGATGATGATCATTTGACCAAGATGGTGTCTGCCAGGTTTCTCCAGCCTAAAGTCGCTATTCTGCCCTTTGGAATCAGTGAGTGTGTTTTGCAGGAGGATGTCGGAGGTCATCAGAGCAGGGTGTCTGTGGTCACTAGTGTATGTGCTCAGTTAGCACTGGAGAAAACTCAGCAGCAAACCCAGGCTCTTTCGCTTATCAGGAGCTGTTGAGCATATATATTCACATCCTTCCCTGATATTTTGAATAGATGGGAAATGTTTACTAGTTCCCCTGAATCCACATTAAACCGTAATATTAATTTTTTAAAAAACAGCCCAGAAGAGAACCTGGATGGTGCATTTCCATTTTACTGAAGAGTCTACTGTAAGAAATAGTTCATGGCCGAGAGGACAGTGGGCTGCTCTATTCACTCTCGGTTTCCATGACAGATGACCCAGCTCAGGGTGGTTGAACCAGACGGCTCCACCCAGCCTTCCCCTTGTCTTCTCAGGCTGGATCCCACCGCTCTTGCACTTCCCCAGGATAATTGATTTAAGTAACCTGGAGAGACTCACCCTCCTCATGGAGGTATGTGCGTCCCGGCCCCTGCCTTGCTCTAGGATGCAACAGGCACTAAGTTCAATGAGGAAGAGGATGGCAACCCTGTCAGAGCAGGTGTCATGGACCCATGCAGCTCCCCCATCCTCTCCTTTGCCCAGCTCCATCCATCTCTGCTATTTTCCAGCTCGCCTCTGCTCCTGCTGGCCCCTGGCTTTGAGCAACTCCCTGCCCCACCCTTCAGCGCCTACCAGGAGGCCACCACCAGGCCACCTAGGGCCAATATGCCCTAAGGGGAGAGTCTTGGATCACCCAGGTGCTTCCTGCCTCTTTCCTCTCCTGTACAGTGGTGGTAACAACCTTCATCACAAGGATGTCCTGCCAGGTCTTTGAGTTGCTTACAGAGCCTTGGATCAGCCTCTTACACTGTGCCCATGAGAAGGGGGCTGGATGAGCAAGGACAGTGTCTGCCTCATTCCAGCTGGGAATGAATCCCCTCTGTACAAAGAGACAAAGATCCCTGCTTCAAGGGTCTGGGGACCACTGGCAAATGACAGGCCAGACCCAGGAAAGGGAAGGAGGAAAGATGGAAAGAGGTGGATGCGGCAAGGAGAGGGACCTGCTGGGCCATGGCGGGGGTGGACCTGGCCACACCAGCACTGTGTCAGGCTCTCAGCTGGTGCCAGGCAGTCTCTAAATAAGAGAGTGGGTAAACGGAATGAATTCTAGCAGGGAAGGAGGTAGAATATTTTCTCCAACATATGTCGTGAATATGCAATGTGACAAGAATTCCTCACTCCGTTTATGTCAGAAAATGTATATGGACATCTCCCTTTATAACTAATATGGAGCAATGCAGAGAGACCTACTGCTCTCCCTGATGGGTACTGCTCATTCCAGCAACTGGTGACAGAAAGGGTACCAGAGCTGGTAAAAGTGGTCCCAGCATTGTTAGGACACCGCTTAGCAGGCCACTCTTACACAGACATGGCCAAAGGTGCCAATTCCCTAACTATTAGTCTACGTAGACTATCCCAAATGAAGCCTCTTCTCAAAATTCTGCAGAAAGAGGTCACATCACCTAGGGATTTCTTGAAATGTAAACTGAATTTTTCACCCAGCACTTTGCACTGAGCACTTTACCAACAACACGCCTGGACCTCATCATTTCACCCACAAACTCTGGCAGGGAAGAAGTGGTCAGTCACTCTGGACACAGGCTCTGGACAGCAGGCAAGACCCAAGGCCTCAAGCAGAAGCCTCTCCTCCCTCCAAAGCCACCCTAGAGGGAAACATTGATGCTCCACCTGCCAACCTCCATCCCCTCCAGGGCAAAAGACCAGTCCGGTGAGCTACTCCCCCTGCTGGTGATGTTTGTGTGCCGCTGTAGCAATGCAGAGCATGTCAGCCTGGAGGGAGACCTCGGCCACGCCAGCCCTCACAGCACAATATGTCCAGGTTCAGGAGCTGGCTATTACTCTGCTCCACGCCCCGCTGGCTCGGCAGTACAGAGACACATTTGCCCTCCAGAGCGCAGTCTCATCTGAGACCCGCCCCTCATAACCCAGAAGCCCAGGGAGTCTGCAGAGATCCATGAGTCCAGGAGCCTGCTGAGAGCCAGCCTCCGAAAAAGTTCAATGTTCACTGAATTGCGGCCCCTGCGTGGCCTCGGCCCCTCCCAAGCTCACAGCTTCCAAGATTACAGCTCTCCCCTGCTTCCAAGATGTAAGAGTACTGGGCTCCTGGAAGACTCAATTTCTGAGCGCGTCTGCCCCAGCTAAACTCTGCACACATCCCAGGAGCATTGTGTGCCCCTGAGCAGTCCTCGCTGGTTTTCACTAAGGGCCAGCTCTCATGTATTTGTGGGAAAGAAGGACAGGCCGAGTCAATGCAGTTCAACCTCTGCCACAAGCATTAGTTGAGCGCCTACTGTGTGCAAGACAGTGAGCTGGGGCTGAGGATCGAGCAGTGGACTGGGTTCTGACCTCAGGAAGCCCATAGTCTGCTGGGGCATCTCCCAACCTTGCCGGACATTAGACATTCTCCCTCTTCATGTGTACCCCTGACAGGAGTGCTGCAGAGCCCCAGAGACAAAGCCACAGAAGGGAGTAGGGAAGAGTCTGGAAGATGCCTAAGGCATTGGGTGAGGGACAGCCCACAGCTCATGTAAACACAAGCTCACAAAGCCTGGAATGTGACCTCGTCGGGTCTCATAGGGAATGCAAGAGTGAGGAAGGCTGGTCTTGCCTGCAGACTCCAAAAACCACAAGGGGGCGGGGGACAGATGCAGTCCTGGAGCAGCTTCTCAGACTGATGCCTGGTAGAGCCCCACTCCAGGGCAGAAGGGATGAAGCCAAAGAGTGTTTCATTTTTAAATAGATCTGGAAAATGCTGGATTGAAAGATGTCTAATTCATTACCGAAGGACTTACCAAGGCTTCCATTATATCCAAGTATGCCTTGAATCTCCAAGAGCGAGGTTTGGGCATGCCACAGATATCAAACATTTGACCACAAAACTCTTTGTTGGGGACCATAAAAGGAGGATGCTATGGAACACAGTTGGGGACACAGCTCTCAAGTAGCTCCCAGCCCTAGCACTGCATCGGGGTTCGGTTCACATAGAGCAGTTGTTCTCAAAATATGGTCCCCTCACCTGGGAGCTCCCTAGAAATGCACATTCTTAGCCCCACTCGACCACCTGAACCCTGGGACCCAGCGATCTGTATTACAGCAAACTCTGCAGGCTCTAGTCGGAGGCCCACTGCAGTGGGGTAACAGGACACTAGCTATGACACCTGAACCCTGCCCCACTTCACCCTGGGTGCAATTCTATTCTTTCATGACCCAACGCCACTGCTGCCTGAGCAGTGAAGCTTCTCTGCCTGACGCCCCCTCCTTCCACACTCCAGCAGGAAGACTGCCTCTCCCAGTTTCCAAGACTCTCACATATACCTATTATCATCCTGTTGCCACACTTTTATGATTTGGTGATTGTCTGCCTTCTGTCATAGAGCAGGGTGGGGTCCTCAATCCTTGACTCTGAACACTGTCACGCACATGGAGCATCGGGGCCGCCATGCCGGGCTTGGAAGCAGTCTCCATGTCTCTTGGCAAGCGTGGGACAGTGGAAGGATGACATTAGCATAGGCATCCCCCAGAATGAGAACAGAGAGCAGAGCTCAACCGGGGGGTGTGGGACCCAGAGAAGGAAGAGGTGAATTCCAAGTGGGCAGCCTGGAGGAGGATGTAGGGAGAAGGTGTACAGGCAGGGTCTCGAAGGAGGAAGAAGAGCTTAAGGAACAAATGTGAACCAGCAAGCATGCACCCACGCTGCCATGTGCTGGGCCTGCTGCACAACTGACCAGGGCCCTATAGGGGACAGACACACAGGGCCAGACGGGAGACCTATAGGGTGCCATGGAGGCAAAGAAACAAGGCCACCCAGGATGGCTCCCAGAGAAAGGACCTCATAACTGTGATTGGAGAAGGAGAGAGTTCTCCAAAAACAACAAAAAAAGAGAAAACGGAACATTAGAGGAGCTTTCCTAGAGCCACTAGTTGCAACCCTAGCCTTGCTGGAGTGGGCGACAAGGGGTTGTGCAGCCAGGTGTCTGGATACCAGGTCCCCAGTGCCACTTCCTTCCCTCACCCTGTTCATCCCCACCAGTAGGGCCCTTCACTCTCTGGGGGAGGGCTGCCTAGGGACAGAGGCTTCCCTCTGGTGTCAGGATAACTGAGGTCAGCTGAGCAGATGGGCTCAGCTAGCCCACACTGCAGCCGGACCAAAGGACAGGATGGGTCTGTGGCAGAGGCTTGTGCTGTAGTCAGAGCCCAGAGTAGAGCCGGCTTTGTCCCAGCCCACAGGGGACACAGATGTCACCCCCTGCATGTCCGGGCACATGCTCTGATGGAACTTTTATTGCTGGAAATTGGGCCAAACTAAGCATAAATAATGCGATGACCCTGGCAAGCCGCTTTTGTGGCAGCTGCTCGGGTCATGCCGAGGCAACGATCTGAGGCTGAAGCCGAGGCCAGCTGCTGCCCAATGCAGCCCCTGCCCCCTGGCTTGTAATCACCCCTGGGCTCAGCTAACAGGGGCAGTGAGAGGGGAGAGGGGGTTACATTTTGCAGGCTTCATGGATGTTAAAGACAGAGTCCTGTTTGGCACCTTCTTGATGGTTTCTTTTTTTTTTTTTTTTTTTTGAGACGGAGTCTCGCTCTGTCACCCAGGCTGGTGTACTGCAACTTCCACCTCCCGGGTTCAAGTGATTCTCCTGCCTCAGCCTCCCAAGTAGCAGGGGCTACAGGCACCCACCACCACTCCAGGCTAATTTTTGTATTTTTAGTAGAGACAAGGTTTCACCATGTTGGCCAGGCTGTCTCGAACTCCTCACGTTGTGATCTGCCCCCGTCGGCCTCCCAAAGTGCTGGGGATTACGGGCCTGAGCCACCACACCCGGCCCTGATGGTTTCTTAAATACTAGAAGGTTTCAACTGGGGACAAGGGGTCTTCCCACCCTGGAATTGCGTGGCCCATTTATGAAGTCTCCCTGTAACTCAAGGGGTACAATATTTTTAAAAAGTCTCCCATGATTTTGAATATTCACATATACAATTTCAAACAGTAGCATTAACTCAAAATTCCAGAAGCAGATTGGAAGCACCAATTCTACCCCGATGCCCACAGACTTACTTGGACTGGCCATGCCCATCTGTTTGCATCAAGGCAGAGAAAAGAAATAAAGAAGGAGTGGGAGGTCTCACCCCAACCTGTGTAGAGGCCTCTGTGGCCAGCACCTTCCACTCAGCTACCAGCTCAGCTTGGGTGGATCTTAGGATCTAGTCCAAGTTAGCAGACAAAGCCTCTCTGGCAATGGTACAACTACCCACCCAAGCGGGATTTAGGATGCATATAGACATAACAGCCTATATTTCTGGGAACTACAGAAAAGATAAGAGATCAATTTTAAAGTGCACATTCTAGGTCATCTATAAAAACATGAAAACACTCCAGAAGCAGCAAAACAGTTTTCACCATGCATGAAACACACACACCTGACTCTAGTATCTACCTGTCCTTAATTCAATTTCCCCCAACCCCACCACTAAGGTCTTCCTACCCCTTAGGGGCCAGAAATAGCTGCTAGCCAGGGACCCCACCTCCTGATCAGTCTATGGTTTGTGGCCGGACCAGGTGGGTTTGGCCTCATCTCTTTGGTGGGGGGCATCTGGACCTCTCATTCTGTCAACTGTCCCATGAACAGCACCTAGCTGTGGCTGCATACAAAAACTGTACATCTCATCACAGGATCCATACTACTGGACTAACTATTGAAAAGTGACGTCATGTCATATCCTTCTTCCTCGAACCACTAAAAGGTTTGTGATTGTTCACCTGAATCCGTTCTGGAACAAAGGTCCCCCTGAGTTGAAAAGGCCTTTTTGTGATGCTGTTTCCTTTTTGAGTGCTACTGAAAACACTGAAACATTCAATAATAAAAATAACATCAACTGAGCACTTCTGTATCAGGTGCTGTGCAGACACTTCTCATTTAATTTTCACAACAGCCCTATGGGGCAGCACTCCTATTATTACCACTCCAGCTAATGTGGACACAGGTTCCCAGAGGTTAGGTTAGGTAATTTGCCCAAGGTCCCAGCAAATATGAGTCAGGAAAGAACACTGGTGCTTTGACTCCTGAGTCCACACGCTTAATCACGTTGGAGTATTGCCAAATACTCCAAAATCTTAAATTCTTTTTTTTTCTTTTTTTTTTTTTTTGACACAGAGTGTTGCTCTGTCACCAGGCTGGAGTGCAGTGGCGCGATCTCGGCTCACTGCTACCGCCGCCTCCCGCGTTCAAGCGATTCCCCTGCCTCAGCCTCCCAAGTACCTGGGACTACAGGCACATGCCACCACACCCTGCTAATTTTTTTGTATTTTAGTAGAGACGGGTTTTCACCATGTTGGCCAGGATGGTCTCGATCTCCTGACTTCCCAAAGTGTTGGGATTACAGGCGTGAGCCACTGCACCCAGTCAATCTTAAATTCTTAAAGGTAGAAGGACCCTTCTGAATATGTAGCAAAGAAATGACAAAAACTGGTGCATCAGTGCCTCCATCAGTGAGAGGAAAGGACTTTCTGCTGGAACAAGCTGAGCTAACATCACAGTGACCTGAAGACAACAGGGTTTGTTTCTCTCACCACAGTTCTGAGGCCAGCAGTCCAGGTGGGCCTGTGCAGGTGCCCAGATACAGGGCCCCTCCTGGGTCATTGCCCTTCATTCCCAGTTTGAGATACTTTGTTACAGCAACCTTGGGAGACCCTAAAGGACTTAATGGTCACTTTAAAACACATCCAGAATTTCTTGACATGGTTTCCAATGAAAGAGGGAGCCAAGTTCCTCTCCCCTTAAACGCATGACTTGCATCTGAGAATGCAGTGAGAGTGATGCCACCTGCTCTCTGAGGCCAGGTCGTAAAGGAGACATCCTGGCTCTCTCAGGATCTTGCCTAAGATCCAGTCGCCATGTTCTGAGGAAGCCCAGGCTACATGTTCTGGCCAATGGCTCAGCTCAAGTCCCAGGTGAAAGCCAGCTTCGACCACCAGACATGAACGTAGAGAAGCCTGGAAATGACTTGGCCATGGTAATGGCTGCGCAGGAGGGATTCTAAGAGGGAGCTGCCCAGCCAAGCCCAGAGTTGGCAGAGGTCCTGAGCAAATCACAGTTGTAGGCGTGGGGATGTCTGTCATGCAGCAGTGGAGAGCTGAAGCCCCCCTGGGGTTCTGGAAGGGAAGAGACTGTGGAAGGAAGACAGAAGTACCTGGTAGTCACAATGGGCGATGCAACTTCAAAATTAAAAATGACAATGAAAATAATAATTAATAATTAAATAAACCAAATAAGAATTGTGATTTAAAATAAATATTGTTTAATTAAAAATATTTTAAGTATTTGGTGGAATTTCCAGTGAGGCCACCTGGGCCTGGAGTTTTCTTTCTGGAAAGGTTTTTAACTCCAAATTCCACACTTTTCATCAATATGGAGTGATTCAGTTATCTATTTCCCCTTCAGTAAGATTTAGTCATTGTGTCCTTTAGGAAATTGTCCATTGTTTTAAGTTTGAAGTTTATGGACTAAATTTGTTCATCATATTTTGTTGGTGCCCTTTTAACATCTGTACAATCAGTAGTGATGTCATCTCTGTCCTTCTGGATGTGATCATTGGTAGGTTTTTTTCATGGTCAATCTGGCTAAAGGTTTATCAATTTTACTTCTCTCTTCAAAGAATCAGCTTCTAGCTGGGCATGATGGTTTGTACCTGTAGTCCCAGATATAGAGGAGGCTGAGGCAGGATGATGGCTTGAGCCCAGGAGTTCAAATTCAGCCTGGGAAACAGAGCAAGACCCCATCTCAAATAAATCGATTGATTGTCCCTATGATCATCTCCCTATTTCATTTATTTATCCTATGATCTTTACTCTTTCCTTTCTTCTGCATATTTGGGGTCTTTTTGTTCTCTCTCTCTCTTTTTTTTTTTTTTTTTTTTTTTTTTGAGACAGTCTTGCTCTGTCGCCAGGCTGGAGTGCAGTGGCATGATCTCGGCTCACTGCAATCTCTGCCTCCCGGGTTCAAGCGATTCTCCCTCCCAAGTAGCTAGGACTACAGGTGCCCACCACCATGCCTGGCTAATTTTTGTATTTTTAGTAGAGATGGGGTTTCACTATGTTGGCCAGGATGGTCTCGATCTCTTGACCTTGTGATCCACCCGCCTTGGCCTCCCAAAGTGCTGGGATTACAGGCATGAGCCACTGCGCCCGGCCTATTTTTTCTTTTTTTAATGTGAAAGCTGAGATCATCAATTTAGAGCCTTTGTTTTCTGATATATGTGTTCAGTGATACAATTTCTCTGTAAGCACTGTTTTAGCAGCATGCTCCAAATTTTGATATTTCTTTTCATTCAGTCCAAAACGATTCCTAATTTCCCTTTTGATTCCTTCTTCAGCCCATGAGGCATATAGAAGTGTTCATTTCCAAAATTTAGAAATTTTGTCTATAGCCATATCACCCTGAATGTGCTGCATCTCACCCAAAATATTTAGAGACTTCCCAGAGATCTCTTGTTATTGTTTTCTAATTTAATCCCATTGTGGCTAAAGAACATTTTATGGTTTGAATCCCTTTAAATGTATTGACGCTTGTTGTATCGTCAGAACTATGGTCTGTCTTGGTAAATTTTCCATATGAACTTGAAAAGAATGTGTTTGCCGGGCATGATGGCTCACGCCTATAATCCCAGCACTTTGAAAGGCCGAGGCAGTTGGATCACAAGGTCAGGAGTTCGAGACCAGCCTGGCCAACATAGTGAAACCCTGTCTCTACTAAAAATACAAAAAATTAGCCGTGCATGGTGGTAGGCACCTGTAATCCCAGCTACTCGGGAAGCTGAGGCAGGAGAATCTCTTGAACCCAGGAGGCGGAGGTTGCGGTGAGCATAGATCTCGCCATTGCACTCCAACCCGGGCGGCGACAGTGCGAAACTCTGACTCAAAAGAAAAGAAAAAAAGAAAAAGAAAAAAAAAGTGTTCTGCTGTCGTTGGGTGGATGTTCTGTCAATTAAAGGAAATTGGTTGATAGTATTGTTCAAATCTCCTGTATCTTCACTGAACTTCTGCCTAATTATCCTATCAATCATTTGAAAGAGGTTATTGAACTCTTCAAATCCAATTGTGGATTTGCTTATGTCTCCATGAAGTTCTTCGGGTTTTTGCTTCTTATATTTTGAAGCTCTATTATTATACACAAAAATGTTTAGGATTGTTGTGTCTCCTTGGTGATTGACCCCTTCTTCACTGTGAAATTTTTCCTGGCCACATGCCTTGCTCTAAAAGCCATGTTTTTGTTAACAGAGCCACTCCAGCATTGTTTTGATTAGTGTAAACACAGTATATCTTTCCTTGTCTTTTACATTTAAAACATTTATGTTTATATATTTAAAGTATGTTTCTTTTAGGCAGAAAATAGACATGTGTCTTGTTTTTTTTAATCCAATCTGACAATCTGCCTTTTCTTTTCTTTTTTTTCTTTTATTTTAGATTCAAGGGTACATGTACAAGTTTGTTACCTGGGTATATTTCATGATGCTGAGGTTTGGGGTATGAATGACACCATCACCAAGACACTGAACATAGTACCCAATAGTTAGTTTTTCAACCCTTGCCCCTGTCCCACCCTCTAATAGTCCCCATTGCCTATTTTTCCCATCTTTATGTCCACAGGTACCCAATATTTAGCTTCCACTTCTAAGTGAGAACATGCAATCTTTGGTTTTCTGTTTCTGTATTAATTTGCTTAGGATAACGGCCTCCAGCTGCATCCATGTTTCTGCAAAGGACATTATTTTGTTCTGTTTCACGGCTGCATAGTATTCCATGGTATATACGTACCACATTTTATTTATCCAGTCCACCATTGACGAGCACCTGTGTTGATTCCATGTCTTTGCTATTGTGAATAGTGCCGAGATGAACATGCAAACACATGTGTCTTTTTAGTAGAATGATTTATTTTCTTTGGGATATATATCCAGTAATGGGATTGCTGGGCCAAACGGTAGCTCTGTTTTCTTTGAGGAGAAATCTCCAAACTTCTTTTCACAGTGACTGAACTACTTTACATTCCTACCAACGTGTATGAGAATGCCCTTTACTCTGCAGCCTCCACAGCATCTGTGATTTTTTGACTTTTTAACAATAGCCATTCTGACTAGTACGAGATGTTATCTGATTGTGGTTTTGATTTGCATTTCTCTAATGATTAGTGATGTGGCTGGGCCACTTATCTGTCTTCTTTTGAGAAGTGTCTGTTAATGTCTTTGCCCATTTTCAAATAAGGTTATTTGGGTTTTGCTTGTTGAACTAAGTTCCTTATAGATATTAGACCTTGGTTGGATGCATAGTTTGGCAATTTTTTCTCCCATTCCATAGTTGTCTGTTTATTCTGTTGATAATTTCTTTTTCTTTTTCTTTTTCTTTTTTTTTGTTTGTTTGTTTGAGATGGAGTCTTGCACTGTTGCCCAGCTGGAGTGCAGTGGTGCAATCTTGGCTCACTGCAGCCTCCGCCTCCCAGGTTCAAGCAATTCTTCTGCTTCAGCCTCTCGAGTAGCTGGGATTACAGGCACCTGCCACCACGCCTAGTTAATTTTTTTTTTTTTTTGGATTTTTAGTAGAGACGGGGTTTCACTATGTTGGCCAGGCTGGTCTTGAACTCCTGACCTCACTGTCCACCCGCCTCAGCCTCCCACAGTGCTGGGATTACAGGCATAAGCCACCACAACTGGCAGATAATTTCTTTTGCTGTGCAGAAGCTCTTTAGTTTGATTAGGTCCCTCTTGTCAGTTTTTGGTTTTGTTGCAATTGCTTTTGGGGACTTAGCCATAAATTCTTTGTCAGACAGTATTTCCTAGGTTGAGAAGGGTATTGTCCAGGTTTTCTTCTAGGATTTTTATAGTTTGAGGTCTTACATCTAAATCTTTAATCCCTCTTTAATCCCTCTTTAATCTTAATCTAAATCCCTCTTTAATCTTAATTTTTGTATATGGTGAAAGTTAGCTTTGTATACTTTATATAGGGGTCCAGTCTTATTCTTCTGCATATTTTATATAGGAGTCCAGTTTCTTTCTTTATATGTGGGTCCAGTTTCATTCTCTGCATTCTTCCAGTACCATGCTGTGTTGGTTACTGTAGCCTTGTAGTATAGTTTGAAGTTGGGTAATATGATGCCTCTGGCTTTGTTCTTTTTGCTTTGGATTGCTGTAGGTATTCGGGCTCTTTTTTGATTCCTTGTGAATTTTAGAAGAGTTTTTTCTAGTTCTATGAAAAATGATGTTGGTTTGATAGGAATAGCATTGAATCTGTAGATTGCTTTGGGCAGTGTAGCCATTTAAATGATATTGATTCTTCCAATCCACGAGCATGAGCATGGAATGTTTTTCCATTTGTTTTTGTCATCTGTTGTTTCTTTCTGCAATGTTTTGTAGTTCTCCTTGTAGAGATCTTTCACCTCCTTGGTTAGATATATTCTTGAGTATTTTTTGTTTGTGTGCCTATTGTAGATAGAATTGCATTCTTGATTTTGCTCTCAGCTTGAATGTTACTGGTTTATAGTAATGCTATTGATTTTTGTACATTAATTTTGTGTCCTGAAACTTTGCGTAAGTCATTTATCAGCTTTAGCAGCCTTTTGGTGGAGTCTAGGGTTTTCTAGGTGTAGAATTATATAACCCATGAAGAGAGATAGTTTGGCTTCTTCTTTTCCTATTTGGATGCCTTTTATTTCTTTCTCTTGCCTGATTGCTCTTGCTAGTGTTTCTAGTACTATGATAAATAGAATCTGCCTTTTCATTGGCTTGTTTAGACCACATACATTTAATGGGGTTATTGCTATGATTAGGTTTAAATTTATTGTGTACTATTTGTTTTCTATTTGCCCCAAGTTCTTTATTTCCATTTTCACTTTTTGCTGCCTTCTTCTGGATTAATTAGTTGGATTCCCTTCTTTTTCAGCTTTGTTGTTGTTGTGTTGTCGTGTTGTTGTTGTTGTTATTGTTTTAGTGATTGCCATAGGGTTTATAGTATCTGTCTTCAAACTGTTAGTCTTTCTTCAAGTGATATTATACCACTGCATGTATTCTGTAAGAGCCATAAGATAGTATACTTCCATTTCTCTCATCCAGGGCTTTATGCTATATTTGTCACACATTTTACTCATACATACATTATAAATCCTACACTGCCCTATCATTTTTGTTTATACAATTACTTTTAAGGAAATTTAAATCATAGGAAAAAGGTCTTAGAGTTGCTATAAAGTTACCTTAGCTCTTCAGTTCTTAGATCCAGTTTCCCATCTGGGGTCATTTTCCTTCTGCCTCAAAGACTTCTTTTAACATTTTTGGCAGTGTCATTCTGCTGGTCAGAACTGTCTTGCTTTTGTATGTCTGATAACGTGTGTATTTCACCTTCAGTTTTGAAGGATGTTTTCTCTGGGCATGGAATTCTAGGTTGAAGGTTTGGGTTTTGCTCTGCGCTTTAAAGGGGCAGCTCCACCATGTTCTCTCGTGTCCTTCCCAGTGAGAAATCTGCTCTTGTTCTGCATCTGTTCCTTTGTGCTGCTTCTCTGGTTGCTTTTAAGATTAGATTATGATGTGCCTTGATTCATTTTCCTCATTTTTCTTGTGTTTGGGTTTTATTGAACTTTATGGAGTGGTAGATTTATACTCTTCATCAAATTTGGATATTTTTCAGTCATAATCTCTTTAGATAGTCTGTCTGTCTACATGGATGTCTTTAGATAGTCTGTCCATCTACTATAGTCATGTCCATATACATGGCAATCATGTATAGTTGTCCCATAGTCCAGTGATGCTTTTTAGTTTCTTACCCAAATTTTAGTCTTTTTTCTTTCTTCCTCTAGCTTTTTGAACATAAGAAATACAATTATAATAACCATCCTAATGCTCTTATCTGCTGATTCCAACATCAGCATCAATTTTGGGTCAGATTCAGTTGATTGATTATTCTCTTCATTTGGGGTTAAGTTTCACAGGCCTGGTGATTTTCTATTCAATGTCAATAATTTCCGGCTGGGCGCAATGGCTCACGCCTCTAATTCGAGCACTTTGGGAGGCTGAGGCAGGTGGATCACAAGGTCAGGAGTTCAAGACCAGCCTGGCCAAAATGGTGAAACCCCATCTCTACTAAAAATACAAAAATTAGCCTGGTGTGGTGGCTGGCACCTGTAATCCCAGCTACTCAGGAGGCTGAGGCAGAGAATTGCTTGAACCCGGGAGGCAGAGGTTGCAGTGAGCCAAGATCACACCACTGCACTCCAGCCTGGGTGACAAAGCAAGACTCCATCTTGAAAAAAAAGAAATCCATTTTACCTCATTGGATACTAGATTATTTCTGTATTCCTACAAATACTTTTTTAACTTTGCTCTAGGAGGCAATTAAGATTCTTAGAAACAGTTCAATGCTTTCAGGTCTTGTTTTAAGATTTGTTATTTGAATCCAGAGCAGATTGAAGTCTAGGGCTAACAATCCCCCACCACTGGGGCAAGGTCCTTCTGCGTACTATCCCCGGTGCCCCATAGATTCTGTCTTTTTTCAGCCTGCCTGGTGGGAGCAGGCACTATTCCCAGCCCTGTGTGAGTTCCCAGTACTGCTCCCTCTAATCCTTTGTGTGGGTTTCTCCCCAGCCCTGGGTAGCTTCCACGTACACATTCATTGATCCACACTCTACTAAATACTAAAGGGGGTCCTCCGAAGATCTCTGGGCTTCTATCTCTGCACAGCTCTCTCTGCAGTGGTGCCCTGCCCTGGGAAGACCAGCTGCCTTGGACTTCCCCGATGCCCAGCTCCCCTTTCTCAGCCCCAGCAGTGTGCCAGGTTCCAACACGAGCCTCCCTTTATGCCGGAGCCTGGAAACTCTATTCAGGCAGCCCGTTGGGAAACTGCGGGACTATTCTCATTTGTTTCTTGGCTCTCTCAGGGATCACTGTCCTTCCCTGTCTCCTGTCCAACATCATGAAAACTATTATTTCATATATAGTTGTCTGGTTTTTTAGTTATTTCAAGTGGAAGGGTAAATGTCATCTGTTGCCCCCTCTTGGCAAAAAGCAAGAGTTTTGGACAAGTGCTTACTTTTAATCATCCTTTTCTAGCACATATATTTCAAAAGCACAAATGAAGTGCCTCCTTCATCTTTGTACCTCCAGAGAGTCTAATTCAATGCCTTGTACATAGGATGTGATCAGCAAGTGCTGCTGATTGATTAATTGAGAAGAAATGGTGTTTCTTTGTTGCAGGCAGGGGAAATGATGAAGATGAACCATTTTCCAGCTTTTCCAGAAGTAGATCATTAAAATATGGTTTCTGACTCCAAAACAGCACACAATTTTGTTTTACAACTTTTTTATTTAGCTATGAATGCATATAAACATTTTTTAAAAGGCAAAATCCAAAAGTCTGGCCACTTTTTGGATTATGCTATAGGACTAGATGGATCAAATTACTAAAATTGCTATAATCTACTTCAACCTAGGAATTTGTTTCTAAGGAAATGGGATGTTGTATTTATAAGTACATTTGTATGTTTATTTGGCAAACATTGGGCATCCTCTGGGGCCTTGGGGCCTGGTGCAGCAGCTCAGCAGGGAGCTCCAGCACTGCAGCCTGGACAGCCCTTCATTGGTGGGTGGGCTGACTGTGTAGGGCCCGTCAGACACCTAGCCCCGAGTGAGACGCGCCATGGAGAAAAGGAGCCGTAGAACAACAGTCATGACAAGTGCAAAGAAGGAAAAATACAAATGACTAGGGGGAGCTTAGGCAGAGTCAGGGAAGGCTTCCAGCCAACACCCAATGCACCAATATCCAATGCACGTAAACACAGAATCAAAGAGCGACCTTCATTCTCAGAAATCCTGCCACCTAAATTCAAAGGAAGAAAGTGTTTTCCTGGTGGCTGCAGTAACATAGAAGCCTCCTCTCTCACAAGGGAGTCAGAAAGTCACCTTCCCACCAAAAAAAGGAATGAAGCTCCATCCCAGGCGTCTCTTCCTCGATGATTAAAAAGACCAGGCTGGACCAGGAGACAGTCAGGTGCTTGGCCAAGGCTCCACTTCCCGTGGGTCCTGCCTTGTGGAGGGCAGCCTTCTTCTTCTTCAGTTGATTTTGGAAGTGGAGAGCGCAAGTGACGACTGCTCATTCCAGAGGTTTGGTTGTGAAAGAGAAGGCTGCAGCAGCAAACTCAGGGGAGGCAGGACTCTGGTGTGAGGTCGAGGACAGTAATGAGCATGAACTTGTCTCCAAGATGGGCGGAAGCAGCCAGCAGATGGCTACTCAAACACCATCAAGAGAGGAGGTAGCAGGATGGCTTGGGAAGGCCCAAGAGGTAGGCCTTGTTGGCAGCCAGGGCACAGGGGAAGGCGTTGCCTCCAAGTGGGGCAGAAGCATGTCTTCTGCTGCACCAGGAGGATCGGATGGTATGGATACGCAGAGTCGCCCAGTGCACCATAGACGAGGGCTTTGATGCTTGCTCTCTGAAAAGGAAATGTCACCTCTGTGACCCGAAGCAGACGTGGCCAGCACTGCTGGGCTCTACTGCTAGAGGCTGGGGGTCCGGAAGTTCCCGTTGCATCAGTCATTGTGGTTGTGGGTTCTTCTTTAGCCCAACAGCAGTCTCTGCCCGTGTTCACATACAGGAGGCAGATAGTCACGTGGATAGATTTTGGGTGGGGTTTCCCATAAGAGGGGCAACTAGTGAAGGAGTAGAGGATCTGTACATGGCAGTTGATCAGGTGGAAGCTGGATAAGGGTGAACCGGAACACAAGAGGGAAGTTGCTAGCAGGTCAGGGGCCAAGAGATTGGAAACGCCTACAAAGACAAACTCACACACATAGACACAGTCACCTCTATGCCCAGGTCCTCCCATACACATACACACACTGTCACACACACACACCTGCCAATGCACATTTATACATACACACATCCATGCATACATATGTCCATGCACACATGTCCACATGTGCCCATGCACACACACATATCCACACACATCTGCTCACATACATGCACACACACAGCTGCCATCAACAGCCCTGGCAGAATGAGGTGGAAGAGTGAAACGTTTAAATTTAAAAATTTGTTTTGAAGGCAGTGCCTGGGTTCATCCTAACCCAGGAATATCCTTCTTTCCAAAATATTGCTCATTGTGAATGCAGAACAGCAGTTTAGAACATCTCCCCTCCCAGGCACTTGCATTCTGAGCCAAGGCGTCCATGGCACAGCAGACAACAGGGTGATCTTGGCTCACTGCAACCTCCGCCTCCCAGGTTCAAGCGATTCTCCTGCCTCAGCTTCCCGAGTAGCTAGGATTATAGGCATGCACCAACATGCCGGGCTAATTTTGTATTTGATTGCTATGACATGTTGAATGTGCTGTTCCTCAATAGTAATTCATAGTTCCCCATGGTTTGTGTGTGTTTGCTTCCCCTTCCGCCATGATTATAAGTTTCCTGAGGCTTCCCCAGCCATGCTGAACTGTGAGTCAATTCAATCTCTTTCCTTTATAAATTACCCAGTCTTGGGTATGTCCTTATTAGCAGAATGAGAATGGACTAACCCTCCACCTTCAAAGCCAGCAACAGCAGATCGAGTCCTTCTCACATCCATCAGGCTGATGTCCTCTCTGCCAACCCCTCCCACTTACAAGGATCTTCATGGTTACATTGGGTCCCACATGGATATTCCAGAATAATCTCTTAAAATCAGTTAATTAACAACTACAAGTCTATCTGAAACCTTAATTCCCCTTTGCCCTGTCATGTAACATGTTCTCAGGATCTGGGGATTCAGATGTAGACATCACTGGGGCATTATTCTGCCAACCACAGAGGTCCTTGTGAGAAAAATAAAATCATATGATTGGAAAGGAAGAAATAAAACTGGATTTATTCACAGATATAATAATCTACATGGAAAAATCTAAGGAATGTACAAAAAGCCACTAGAACTAACAAGTGAATTTGGCAAGATTGTAGGATACAAGTTCAATTTTTAAAAATTTGTTGGATTTCTATATACTAGAAGTACACTGAAAGGTGGAAATGTTCAAAACACAATAAAATATTGGAAATTAGCAACATTTACATGACATTGTAACATTTACAGTGACATCAAAGAATATGAAATACTTAGGAATAAATTAAACAAAAGATGCACAAACTACAAAACAATCCTGAGGAAAATTAAAGAAGGTCTAAATAAATGGAGAGGTATACCATGTTCATGAGTCAATATTGCTATGATGTCAATTCTCCCCAAACTGATTTAGAGATTTGGTGAAATCTCAAGTAAAATCTCAGGAGGTTTCTTCTTTTTTGCAGAAATTGAGAAGCTAATTATAATATTTACATGGAATGCAAAGGATCTAAAACAATTTTGTTTGCTTGTGGCCAACACAATTTTGAAAAAGGAGAATGAGGTTTTTTAGACTAACTGCTCATTTCAAGATTTATTATAAATCAACAGTTATCAAGACATTGTGGCATTAGTCTAACTGAAAAAAAACATGTAGGTCAATGGAATGGAATAGTGAGTTCAGAAATAGATCCACTCATGTAGAATCAATTAAATTTTGACAAAGTTGCCAAGGCAATTCAATGAAGAAATGATAATTTTTTCAACAACTGGTACTGAAACAACTGGATGCAAATTTGTCCCATGCAAAAACAAAACAATGAAATGCAACCCCTACATCACACTGTAGAAGAAGACTAATTTGAAATGGGTCATAGATCTTAATGTGAAAGCTAAACTATGAAACTTCTAGAAGAAAACATAAGAGAAAATCTTGGTCACCTGGGGTTAGGCAAAGATTTCTTAAACTGGACCCAAAAAACTAGAACTATATATTAAAAATTTAATAAATTGAACTTTATCAAAATTAAGAATATATGCTCTTCAAAAGACACTGTTAAATGAAAAGGCAAGCTATAGACTGTGAGAAAATATTTGCAAATAATAGAAAAGACTTTTATCTAGAATATATAAGAGCTGTTACAATGCAAAATGAGAAGATAAACAAGGTAATTTAAAAAAATAATCAAAAGATCTGAGCAGACAGTTCACCAAGAAGATATCGGATGGCAGATAAGCACATGAACAGATGTTTATTATCATCATTAGACATTAGGGAAATGCAGTCAAAACACAATAAAGTGTAACTACACACTCACCAAAATTAAAAAGACTGGTAATGACAAGTGCTGGTGAAGACGTGCAGAGACTGGAACTCTCACACATGGCAGGGGAGAGCATAAAATGCTGTGGCCACCTCAGAAAACCTTTTGGAAAACAGTTTCTTAGAAAGTTAAAACATATATTCATCACATGACACAGCAATGCCACTGCTTGGTATTTACCAAGAGATGAAAATACACGTCAACAGAAAGACTTCTGTGTAAATGTTTGTAACAGTTTTGTTCATAATATCCCAAAGCTAGAAGCACCCCAAATGTTCACTGTGGTTGGATGAGTAAACAAACTGTTGTAAAGCCATTCAATGGAACACTAGTCCACAATAAAAAGGAAGAAATTACTGAATCACTTAACAACATGGATGAATCCTAAAAGCAAGGGGCTGTGGAAAAGAAGCCACCTACACGAGGCTATATACTGTATGAGTCCACTAATACGAAATTCTAGAAAAGGTCAAGTGGCAAAAACCCATCAGTGGTTTCCAGGGGCTGGCAGGCAGGGAAGGTACGAGGGAAGTGACTGGAGTGATGCCAATGTTCTCTATTACAAGTGTGGTGGTGGAAACAAGACTGAATGTGTTTGTTACAACTCTCTGTATTGTATCCTTAAAATTGTTGAATGTTATTGTGGTATAAATTATACCCCAATAAAACTGACTCAATACAGGAGAGACAAGAAGTATTTTTAAGCATATTCCTAATTTAAGATCACTAAATTGAAAGTCGAAAGGAAGATGATAGTTTGTGGATTATGTTAATTTAAAACAAGCTTGTCCAACCCTCAGCTGGCAGACCGCCTGAGGCCCAAGGCGGTTTTGAATGTAAACCAACACAAATTTGTAAACTTTCTTAAAACATCATGAGGTGTTTTTTTTTTTTCCTTGCTCTTCAACTATCATTAGTGTTAATGGATTTTATGTGTGGCCCAAGGCAATTCTTCTACCAATGTGGCCCAGGGAAGCCAAAAGATTGGACACCCCTATTTAAAAGGTTTAAATTTTAACAATAAACAATTTAAGGGTCCCAAAGCAAAAAAATAGGTGCACACCGCCATCTAGTGGTCTAATTCCACAATTACAATATCATTCTGGCTTACCAGTTTAAGATAAAAAAAGTCCAGTAAAAAATTATTTCCCAAAAGTAATTTTATAACATTTAATATCTATTAGCAATAGGAAAAGTTGAAAGCCCTAAGAAGGGGAGATTATTACCTACATTTGGGCAACAACAAAAATCTACTTTAAAGACATTCCCATTTCTATTAGGGAAAAAAAATTACCTGTTGTGAAAATTATTATTTACCATTTGTCCAGAATGTTCAGTCAATGCAAAATATTTAAAAATAAATAAAACAGAAATAAGATGTGTAATTATGTAAAAGAAGGAAATAAAACTATCACAACTGGAGGATAGTGGAATAACACTCAAAACACAGCTAATCATCTTAAAATTCATATATGCATCAAGTGATTATGTATAAGATTAAACGTTACAAAATTAATAGCTTTTCTTTTCTTTTTTTTTTTCCTGAGACAGAGACTTGCTCTGTCCCCCAGGCTGGAGTGCAATGGTGAGATCTCAACTCACTACAACCTCTGCCTCCCAGATTCAAGCGATTCTCCTGCCTCAGCCTCCGGAGTAGCTGGGATTACAGGCACAAGCCACCATGCCCGGCTAATTTTTGTATTTTTAGTAGAGATGGGGTTTCACCATGTTGATCAGGCTGTTATCGAACTCCTGAACTCATGATCCACCAGCCTCAGCCTCCCAAAGTGCTGGGATTACAGGCATGAGCCACCCCTCCTGGCCCATTAATAACTTTTCTATAACACAGCAATCACAGAATATAAGCTATAATGGGGGAGATATTCCATTAATAATAGCAGAAATAAAAATACATTAAATGCCTATGATCTTTAAAGCAATATAGACAAACTAAGGAAGAAAACCATCAAAATTTACTGATTGAGGTACAAAAAAGTTTTCTTTGGTAAGATATATATTATTTCTTAATAGAAAAACTGCATTTATCTTAGATGTTTTATGAAACTCCAGTCAAAAATTAGTACAGTATCTTTTTAGAACTTGTTCATACAATTGAAGTTAATCTAAATACTACAAATGTATGCACACATTACTAATAGAATACATTGCGGTGCATGCCTTTTTTTTTACTTTGTATACTTGGCATCATATGGAATGCATCTTTTTTTGTATTTGAGACAGAGTCTGGCTCTGTCACACAGGCTGGAGTGCAGTGGCGCAATCTCAGCTCACTGCAACCTCTGCCTCCTGGGTTCAAGTGACGCTCACGCCTTGGGCTCCAGACTAGCTGGGACTACAGGCATGCGTGACCACATCCAGCTAATTTTTGTCTTTTTAGTAGAGGTGGGGTTTCACCATGTTGGCCAGGCTGGTCTTGAACTCCCGATCTCAGGTGATCTGCCCTCCTCGGCCTCTCATAGTGCTAGGATTACAGGCGTGAGCCACTGCACCCAGCCAGAAGACATTATTTTGCAACTTGCCTTCTTACAAAGAACACTACCATTTTTAGATGCATTTGTGTAACCGCCTAAAGGGTTCTGTTGTAGACACATACCCTAAATTGTTCATTCTTCTGTGAATGGATATTTACATCATCCACTTTTTTACAATACAAACAGTGCAAATGTAACCATTCTTTTTGTCTCTCCTGGTGCACAGGTGCACATATCTGAGCACAGACTTGCTAGGTCACAGGGCATGTATACATTGAGCTTTCCAAAGAGGCAGTGCCCAACCCCCGGCCATAGAATTATCTCCTCTTGAAAGACTAGATAGTAATATATGCTACCGACTAAATTATGCCTTCCTCTTCATTCTAATGTCGAAGCTTCACCCCTAGTGGGATGGTATTTGGAAAGTGGAGCCTTTGGGAGAGATGAAGGTTGGATGAGGTCACAATGGTAGGGTCCTCATGACAGTATCACTGCCCTCATAAGAAGATGAAGAGACTTCCCCCCACCCCTGGGCACATTGAGAAGGCAGCCGCTGCAACCCAGGAAGTGGGCTCTCGCCAGGAACCAACCTTGCCAGCACCTTGATCTTGGACTTACAGTTTCCAGAAGTGAGAAAATACATTTCTGTTGTCTAAGGCACTCCATCTACAGTATTTTGTTATGGTGTGTGGTATTTTGTTATAAGTGTGAGCAGGCTAATACAATATACCTCTGCTATGAAACTGTATTTCGTTGGTGATAACTAAAATTGTACTGTCTTAATTCAGAAATTTTCCCCAAAACGTGTTGCAGTTTCCAATGCTATTTTCCATTTTTTAAATTTGTATTACCAATAATTTTCTGTAAGTTTTCCCCCAAGAGTATATGTCAAATGCTTTATTATATCTGGCTCATAATGTTGTTTTATGTTTTCTCATTGATGATTACACTTTTTTTTATTTGAACTGTGAACATTATCAGGATAAAATATGTATTCAATGCTTTCAACTTTTAATGACTGACATGGTTTGAATATTTGTCTTCTCCAAAACTCATGTTGAAATTGAATCCTGGCTGGGTGAGGTGGCTCACACCTATAATCCCAACACTTTGGGAGGCCAAGGCAGGTGGATCACCTGAGGTCAGGAGTTTGAGACCATGCTGGCCAACATGGCGAAACCCTGTCTCTACTAAAAATACAAAAATTAGCCGAGTGTGGTGGTGCGTGCCTGTAGTCCCAGCTACCCGGAAGGCTGAGGCACAAGCATTGCTTGAACTCGGGAGATGGAGGTTGTAATGAGCCAAGATCGCACCACTGCACTCCAGCCTGGGCAACAGAGGGACACTCCATCTCCAAAAAAAGAGTAAGAAAGAAATTTAATCCCTAATGTGGCATTACAGAGAGCTGGGGGCTTTAAAAGGTGATTGGGTCATGAAGGCAGGATTCATCTATTCATGGATTAATGGATTAATAGGTTAATGGATTAATGGGTTATGATGGGAGTGGGTCTGGTAGTTTTATAAGAAGAAGACAGACCTGAGCTGGCACGCTCAGCCCTCTCACCATGTGATGTCCTGTGCCACCTCAGGACTCTGCAGAGTCCCCACCAGCAAGAGGCTCTCACCATACATGGCTCCTTGAGCTTCATCCTTCTCAGCCTCCATAAATATAAGCAATCAGTTCTTTTTCTTTCTATATTGCCCAGTTTCGGGTATTCTGTTATAAGCAACAGAAAATGGACTAAGACAATGACTTTCAAGTAACGTTTGCATCCAACATTCATGTCATTAACAACAAAAATCAGCCACTCATTTTTCTTGAAATTAGCAATTTATTTCATTGCAGAAATAGATATCTGTTCTATTGTAAGGTACCACAGGTTATCCATTTTTCTTTACCTGTTGAGAATTCATTCCAAAAATTCTTCATCAGAAATGTAAATCTCTTCTCAATACATTCAAAAAACATCACGTATTCCATCAGTGGCATCTGTTCCTAGGAAATAGACCTTCCTAGGAATCTTGTTCTTCAGGTTGCTGCCCCCTGTAACCTCAAGGTGCCAGGTGGTCAGGAGCGTGCCTTTGACCCTGATCTTGGGTCCTTTGCTTCCTTAATTTATTTTTTTATTTTGCTGGAGGGCGTCCAATAGCAGCTTCCTCAGAAAAGGTATCTACAAAGTGCGCTCCTCGGGAACTCACATGACTGAAAATGTCATTTTTCCATCCCCCTGGAGCACTCGCCTTTCAGGGTCTAGGGTCTAAGTGGAATGCTGTTTCCCCGGAATTGGGAAGTCATATTCTCACTGCATTCTAGCTTCCCGTGTTGCTGTTGGGAAGACAATTAGTCCTTAGCTTGGGTCCCATTTTTCTCACTGTGAGGCTTGATCTGAGTGTTTTGACGTTTCAGGATTTGTGTTTTACTGAAGGTCTTTTTCCTTTCATTTTGCAGGGGATTCAGTGAGTTTTTTCAAACTGGAAACTCAAGTCCTTCTGTTTTGGGAGTTTTTCTGTTTTTTGTTTTTTGAGACAGTCTCGCTCTGTCGCCAGGCTGGAGTGCAGTGGCACAATCTAGACTCACTGCAAGCTCCACCTCCCGTGTTCCAGTGATTCTCCTGCCTCAGCCTCCCGAGTAGCTGGGACTAAAGGTGCACGCCACCACGCCCAGCCAGTTTTTGTATTTTTAGTAGAGACGATGTTTCACCATGTTGGCCAGTCTGATCTCCTTCTCTTGACCTCATGATCTGCCCACCTCGGCCTCCCAAAGTGCTGGTATTACAGGCGTGAGCTACTCTGCAAGGCCTGTTCTAGGAATTTTTAAATGTATTTCTTTGATAATTTCCTCTTCTCTGTTTCCTTTCATCTCCATTAGAATTTGTTCACATCATGAAACTCCTGGGTTAATCCTCTAATGATCTTCACTTTCTTTCCTGTTTCCTTTCCATTTCCTTTCTCTTCTTCTTTTTTCTTTAAGACAAAGTCATACTCCGTCACCCAGGCTGGAGTACAGTGGCATGATCTCAGCTCACTGCAGCCTCCATCTCCACCATGCCTGGCTAATTTTTTTCATTCTTTTTTTTTTTTCCAAATGTAGAGACAAGGTCTCACTATGTTGCCAAGGCTGGTCTCGAACTCCTGGGCTCAAGCAATCCTCCCACCTTGATCTCCCAAAGTGTTGAGATTACAGGCGTGAGCCACGGTGCCCAGGTCTCATTTTCTTTGTAAGTCTATCTTCTGAGAAGTATTTCCTATTCTTCCATCATTTCCAATACAATTTTCATTTCCATGTTCTTTTTCTTTTTTTAGTTTCCAAGACCTATTTTCATATTAAGAATGTTACCTTTTGTTTTTCCCCATTTTTATTTATTAGGGACAATATCTACATTTGGGAATACATGTTATAATTTTCAGAAAAATTTATTTTTATTTTTACATTCTTTTTCTTTTCTCCCTTTCTCTTGAGTTTTCTCACTGTTCCTTCCGTTAACATTCTTTCTTCAAATGTCCAACTCTTGGCTGTCTGGTTTTAGAATTTGGTACTGAAGAGCTGGAGGGTCATCTCCCAAAGTACTGGGATTACAGGCTGAGCCACCATGCCCAACCCAGCCCTTCATTTTCATACTTTGAATAATTTGCAATACTTCGCAATGAAATAATTTATTTTTCCTAAAATGAAAAGATACAACCTCTAATTTCAAGAAAAGCAAACGGCTTACATTTGTTGTTGGTAACCTAATGTTGGCTGTAGATTTTACTCACAAGTGTTATCACCAAAGATTGAAAGTGGTAAATACTTTTTTTATCAGAATGGACAGTTGTAAAGTTTATGGTTCGAATAAAGTTTCATCAGCATTAAACTGTGCAACAACATTATGAATCAGCTACATACAATAAAGCATTTGGAAAAGTGCTTATCAAATAGTAAGTCAAACTAACATTTAGAAGATACCATCACAACTTAAGAATTTTACTGTATAGTTAAAAATAATTTGGTATTTTCTGCCATAATACATTTAATAGAATGTTAATAATAATATTGATGTCAGCATATCACTACATTCGAAGTTTATGGAATCAATTTCTTACAAAATATATATTTCACTGAAATAAGAAAACAATTTTGGTGAAAATATATAAATCAAGACAGTAAGAATTGAATAATAACCAATGAAGCTTCAACTCTTTGGCATAAAAATTTTAATCATTTACTTAAAATGTAAAATCCAAGATTTTTTTTTTTTTTTTTTTTGAGACAGAATCTTGCTCTGTCGCCCAGGCTGGAGTGCAGTGGTGCAATCTCGGCTCACCACAAGCTCTGCCTCCCGGGTTCACGCCATTCTCCTGCCTCAGTCTCCCGAGTAGCTGGGACTACAGGCGCCTGCCACCACACCCGGCTATTTTTTTGTATTTTTAGTAGAGACGGGGTTTCACCATGTTAGCCAGGATGGTCTCAATCTCCTGACCTCGTGATCCGCCTGCCTCGGCCTCCCAAAGTGCTGGGATTACAGGAGTGAGCCACCGCGACCGGCCAAAATCTAAGATTTTTAAGATAACTTAATGGTTTCATGATGCTATATCTGAAAGGCATCATATTTTACTATCAGTGCACATAAAACATGGTTTCAATGAGAAATATTTACATACAGAAGTTATTTAGTCTTGTCTAGGTGGTGCAGTGTAATATTAACAGAGAAAACGTGGTTTTCCAGCCAGAAGGTAAAAAAAACTAGGTTGGCTTAATTTGTTACCAGCCACAACACTGGATTTTTTTTTTATCTCTGAAAACTGCAATAAAAATGATAAATCATCTCACTTACATTATGTCTTGTCTCGATAAACTTTATGTTTTCAACTAAATATCAAATCATCCTCAGAGAGAATTAAGTAATATGGGTAGAAGGGAAATTAAAACAATGAAAAATGGAAAACATTTAGGCTCCAGGGTATGGCTGCAGACAGCTTGGGAACTTCCCTGGGCTTTTCAGTTTCACCTCAGTAGAAACTGTGAAGTGGAAGTCATTAAACATTGGAAAATGAAAACTTTTCTAGAGATTTGGCTTTATTTGAAGAAAGTTTCCATTGTTAAAGCTAATAATAGATTAAAATGAGGAATAGTAAAAAGTGACTGAACATATAAAACAAAATGAAAATATTCATGAAAACAGAGCAGACTGTCACAGTACTGAAGGACTCTGATATTCCAGTTGAAACAAAACAAATGGAAATATCAATTCCGAGAGAAAATCTATTAGGTCGTCTGAATACATTTTACAAAAATTCATGTGTTGTATGATGATAAGAGTGGAGAATACTTTGAATTTTTTTTTTTAGGAGATAGGATTGCCGAGGCTGGACTTGAACTCCTGAGCTCAGGCTATCCTCCTGCCTCAACCTCCAGAGTTGTTGGGATTACAGGTTCACACCATCATGCCCAGCAAGAATACATTGAACCAAAAGTTCTCTCAAGTTACTGAAACATAAAATTTGGCTGAATGACAGATTGTGGGTTAAATGTGAGTTAATAAAATAATGCCAACTGAATAAATCTTTCATACCAATAAGCAATTTTCACGTACTTAATATGGTCTTCTCTGAATAGTGTTAGAGGAGCTAAGCTCTGTTGAATTCACTGCAGCTAGTTCAGCAGAATCTGAGCAAGGTTCCCTCTCATGAGCAATGCTGTGGAGATCAGAAGACCATCCAGGAGCAAGCCCTCATCTACATAACGTGATGGTCATGAGAAGGCTCAGTGCAGCTTCGTACATTCAATCAAGGTTCAGACATGGGCCCCATTTAGTGACATCTGGAAGCAAACCAAGGATTGTGCCAATCATTTCAAAACTACATCAGATAATTAAAACATTCTTAGAATGTTTTGCTAAATGATTTGCACTACTGATTTCATCACTTGACACAGTTTTTATATAGAGTTCAGTTTATTTAGAAAATAAAAGAATGTATTTTTACTTTTGAGTTTATATATCAATCTACGCATCCTTTTGCATTGTCAAATGTGATGAAATCCATACTTTTTCAGTCCCATGTCCTGCCGGCCCCTCTCGAAGTCAGGCCTGACCAAAACCCATCTCGAGAGTCATTTCTTCCTTCATACATCATCTGGGAGAAAACGCCATCAAGCAGGAAATGCGTGTCAGTATGGCTTTTTTTAGTTACAAGCTAGGCAAACTGAATCTGGTGAACTTAAGACAAAAATTATTGGAAGGCTATTCAGTAGATTGTCGTAATGGAAAAGCTTGGCAGCCAGGCTATATTAGTCTGTCCTCACACTGCTAGTAAAGACACATCTGAGACTGGATAATTTGTAAAGGAAAGAGGTTTAATTACTCACAGTTCAGCATGGCTGGAGAGGCCTCAGGGAACTTACAATCATGGTGGAAGGGGAAGCAAACATGTCCTTCTTCACATGGCAGCAGCAAGGAGAACTGCTGAGCAAAACGGGGCAAAGGCCTTTATAAAACCATCAGCTCTCATCACTTGCTATCATGAGAACAGCATGAGGGTAACCATCCCTATGATTAAATTACCTCCCAGCAGATCCCTCTCATGACACATGGGGATTATGGGAGCTGCAATTCAAGATGAGATTTGGGTGTGGACAGAACCAAACCATATCACAAGTCTTGAGAAGTTTGGGGTCCTTGGCAGAAGGGTCCCATCAGTCATCTCTTGGGAACTTTCCACAGGAGGGCTCACTTCCCACCTCTCTCCATTTTTGTGTGTCTCAGTTCAAGATGCAAATTTCTAAGAAAGAACCAGACTGGCCAGCTGTGGTTCCATGCTCACTCGTTTAGTTAGGTTGGTCTGTGTGCTCTGACCCTGAACTGGGAACAGGGCACTTCTCTTGCCCAAGGAAAGGTAAAGGGATGCTGAGCTCACTGTTCCAGGGAGGGCAGGGTTTTAGTGGCCCTGTGGGGACAGAGCAAGGGCTTGGTCCATAGATGTTGGAAAATTGTGACTGGAGTCATCATAGAAAGCCCAGGACCCTTGAAGGGCTACACAGTCAGTGGCAGAAGATACTAGAAAAAAAAAATCCACCCACTGGTAAAGGGAGACAGCAAGAAAACATTTCTTTCTTGGTCTCAGCTCTCAGATGGAAATATTCCCTCTGGAAAGTTTATCGTCTCAGATTTTAATATGGGTTTGGCCTTTGAATGTGTACTACCCACATCTTCTAGGAAACCTCAAGCCAAGAAATGAATGTCCCTGGTTTGGTGGCTGCCAAGAAACATGACAGAAGCAAACTCATAACATCTCTGAAAGGAAGCACCTCAATCCAGGCCCCAGAGAGTTCCTAGAATAAAGTCCCACCAAATATGAGTCCACAATCCAAAATTACAAAATAGGTGATCCATGAGCTCCACAGGCAAGAGACCGCAGAAATGACAAACAGCAGAGGCCATCTCTCCCAAACTGCAGATCTTGGAACTACTGGATCCAGAATATAAGGTAAGTTTGGGGAAAGAGATCAAAGAAGGAATTGAAACATGAAAAAGGAACAAAATGCTATGAAGAAAGTAATGACTATTCAGGTCAGGTATCAAATTCTTGTTCTGCTCAGCTGCTTTTAAGTTCTTTGTTCCAAAAAACTTGAAGCCAGACCTATAGAGTTATAATTGGTAATGCATTAAAATTATTTTTGACGATAGATCACTATGTGTTTATTTGACATGTCATGGAAGTAGTACAAAAATGTAATGAATTATGTATATTTTACAAATCTATGCTTATCCATATATACTTACATATATGAACAAAGTGTCTTAGTGGGTATAGAGAAAGAGACAGAGACAGAGATAGAGACAGCTAGAGATGGAGATAGAGATCCAAAATAAGGTTACAAACAATGGTAAAATCTATCATACTTCAGCAATAAGTGCTCTTCTATTACAGATATCTGAACTAATTGAACTAAAAAAAAAGCCCTGGCCGGGCATGGTGGCTTACACCTGTAACCCCAGCACTTTGGGAGTCCAAGGCGGGCAGATCACAAGGTCAAGAAATCAAGACCATCTGGCCAACATGGTGAAACCCCATCTGTACTAAAAATACCAAAATTAGCTGGGCGTGGTGGCATGCGCCTGTAGTCCCAGCTACTCAGGAGGCTGAGGCAGGAGAATTGCTTGAACCCAGGAGGCAGAGACTGCAGTGAGCTGAGATCGCGCCACTGTACTCCAGCCTGGTGACAGAGTGAGATTCCATCTCAATAAATAAATAAATAAATAAATAAATAAATAAATAATGCCCCATCCATGTCAAAAGAAATTAATTTTTAAAAATCTTTACTACTTGTGTTTAGAATTATTTCTCAAAATGTGTAATACATTTTTATTGTTTTGCTCTAATAATTGTACTACCAACTGAATCCAGGAAAAAATATCTATATTTTTAATTTTGGAACATACAATCATAAGGAATTTTATTTCAATTTCTATTGAACTATTGCATATGTTCCTGTATTAGTTTCTTAAGGCTGCCATACCAAATGACCACAAAATTTTTGGCTTAAAACAACAGAAATTTATCTACTCGAAGTTCTGGAGGCCAGAAGTCTGAAATCAAGATGGCAGCAGGGCCACTTGATTTCACTCCTCTGAAAGCTCCAGGGGAGAACCTTCCCTTGGCTCTTCCAGCCTCCAGTGGCTGAGGCATCCCTTGGCTTGTGGCCACATCACTCCAATCTCTGCCTCTGTCTTGATGTGTCTGTCCTCCCTTAGTGTATGCCTCTGTTTCTCAACTCTCCCTCTCCTTCCTCTTATAAGGACACTAGTTATTAAATTAAGCGCTCCCCCTAATCCAGTATGATCTCATCTTGAGATCCTTAACTTAATTACATCTGCAAAGACTCTATTTATAAATAAGGTCACATTCACTGGTAACAGGGGTTAGGACTTGAACACGTCTTTTGGTGGGACACAGTTCAACCCACTATAGTTTCCAAGCATAAAAAATATGTCATTTAGGACACAATTTTGTGAGAAAATCAGGATAGAAATATGAGTTCAAGAAGGAAATTAATGGTGTAAATATGTAAAATTTGTACACATGTAAAAATTTTAAATATGTAAAATGACTTAATGAGGTAAAATTTCTGACGATTAATTTTATGGATTTTTTTTTGGTCAGGTCCAGTGGCTCATACCTGTAATCCCAACACTCTGAGAGGCCAAAGCAGGAGGATTGCTTGAGACCAGGAGTTGGACATCAGCCTGGGCAACATAGTGAGACCCCATCGCTACAAAAAAAGTTTTAACTAGCCAGGCCCTGGTGATGTACACCTGTAGTCCCAGCTACTTGGGAGGCCAAAGCAGGAGGCTAACTTGAACCCAGGAGGTTGAAGTTACAGTGCACTGTGATTGCGCCACTACATTCCAACCTGAGCAACAGAGTGAAAGCTGGTCTCTTAAAAAATAAATAAATAAATAAATAAATAAATAAAATTAATGTATGGCTTTTTAAAGGGAAGATGATGAGGGTCAACTTTACTCCATACTGGAAATTACATTCTTCATAACTATATAAGCTTATGAGGACATTTGTAGTTATTAACTTTATAATATATAATGCAGTACATAATTTTTCACAGTTCTTATAGGGAATATGAAAGAAAACAAGTCTTGAGAGTTGTTTTTTGTTTTTTTTTGAGACGGAGTTTCGCTCTTGTTGCCCAGACTGGAGTGCAGTGGTGCGATCTCAGCTCATTGCAACCTCTGCTTCCCAGGTTCAAGTGATCCTCCTGCCTCAGCCTCCCAAGTAGCTGGGATTACAGGCACCTGCTGCCACCCCTGGCTAATTTTTGTATTTTTAGTAGAGATGGGGTTTCACTGCGTTGGCCAGGCTGGTCTAGAACTCCTGACCTCAGGTGATCCACCCACCTTGGCCTCCCAAAGTGCTGGGATTACAGGCCTGAGCCACCGCGCTGGCCTTAAAGAAAAAACTCTTTCCTGCCATGGGAAGTCTGGGGCCTCCAAAGGTGAGTCAGGAGCTCCTGTGAGAGGAGGGGGAAGCACCTGCGCTCAGGGTGAGGGAGAGGGCGCGGGGAGAAAGAAGTCCCACCCAGGACCCTGGCGCACCCATTCTCCAGCTTCCGGGGACTGCACCCTAAACAGGGGCTGGTGGTGGAAGGGGGCACCAATATGCCAGTCTCTGGCCTCAACCAAAAAAGGGTCTGTTTTGCTTTTTGTTTTTAATCAACATTTTTATCCCCTTCTCCTATGCTTCATCCTCCTGTGCGTGGCTCTGTCCCAGCCTCCAAACAAAGCTGGCTCTGCAGGCTCCAGACCGGCTGCGATTGGCTGACATCATGGAGCAGAAAATTACCACCAAGAGCTTCGTGACATCACCATCGTAGATCAGCGGGAAGTAACCAGGGCCTCAGACCAACAGAGCCAGCTGTCAGTCACCAGAGGCTAGCTGGAGGCTTGCCCCCGCCGTCATCTAGAGCTCCCTCTGGCCACAGCATCAAAAATGGCAGGTAAGAAGCACTCTCCTTTGCCGTCTTCTGAATGGCTGGCTGTCAGTATTTACCACTTTCTCTTCCCTTGGCCTCCAAGACACCCTACTTCTCAGAGGCCACGGTTCCCCGTGATCGATCACCCAGTCAGTGCAGTGTGGAGCCGCATACTGGTGCATGCTTAGGACAAGAGTCCTGTGGGGACCCAGCACAGCCCTAGCCACCTGAGACAGACCGAGGCTACTTTGCCAGTGGCCTCTCCTCCATTCTGGTCGTTTCCCCGTGTGTCCTCTGCAGTCCTGGAGCGGTTCTCCACATTAGAGATGCAAAAATGCCAAAAGAGACGCACATGCAGAGCCTGTGCTGACCAAGATCAGAGAGATCATTCCCTTATTCCCCATTCAACAAAAATGAGGGTAAACCACATGAACCACTGTGCGGGGGACAACAAAAGATCAGATATTGGCAATTTTCAATCTAATCGTATTTATTGAGCCCCTCCATGTCCCCTGCACGTTTCCAGTGCTGAATATTGTGAAAGGAAATTAAATCTTGAGACCCCAAACTCATTAAGCCAAAGGGAGAAGTCAAGCTGGGGCCTGGATCACGCAAACCTCCCTCCCCCTTTTGGCTCCTAAATAAGATGGCTACAAGGTGAAAAGCTACATGCCTCCCCTGTATTTTGCCCACAAGGAAATTCTTAGTGAGCTGCAAGATCTTTTAAGGTGTTTCTGTTAACATTTCACCATGACAACGTAAATTCAAAGCTTATCATTACAGACGCAGTCACCCCCCGCCCACCAGACACAAATGCATATGGGATTGTTTTGCTGCCCCATTTTGTCTAAGTTATCTTATGTAAAATGCAGATTCCCTGCATTTTTCCCCGACCCATTTGTCAATGTCATCTTATGTAAAAAATGCAGATTCAGTGAGCCAGACAAAGTCATGAATGACTATTTTTCCCTACCCGCCTCTTACATGAAAACTGTGTGCTTCTCAATATCCCGCCCTTTCCCCTTTAAATTTGGAGCCCTCAAAATCGTCTTCGGAGCAAGGAATCGACCTGTCTCCCTGGCATGTCCTTAACTTTGGCAAATAAACCACCTAAAATGATTAAGACTTCTCTCGTCATTTTTCTCAATTGACAACACAAAGCAGCGAACCCAGGTCCCTGACCTCGTGCAGGTTCTTCAGCCCCAGGGGCATGGGCAGTGGACTGATGTGAAGTCATTTTGTTCATGGTGGAAAAGCCATTCTCTTCCCAGCTCTCAGGCCGTGGGACAATGTCATAAGAATGGCCCATTCAAGCTTGTGTGGAGTGTGTGTGTGCGCGTGCACGTGCATAGGTGTGCTGAGGGTCTGGGGTGTGGGTGGTGGTCTTGCCCTTGGGATAATAACATTCCCATCATACTAATACTCTGACTGCTACATCTTGTCATCTTCAATGCTTGTCCCTAACATCTCTTCCTGTCATTGAGATGCAATGTGACCAACAAACATTGAATCAGGACTGACAATGTCAGAAAAAGACAAGTTAGACCACACATATATAATACTTCTAATAATTAAACTATTCACTTTGGGAGAAATAAAAACCTAATTACGTATATTAAAAGAAAGGCAAGCTGGCCTAGGAATAATGTAAAACAGTCATTTATTAATGGTAGGTTTCACTGGCGAGGTGACAGATTCCCTAATTGTTCTGTTTAGCCTCATAACTAATATTTTAATGCTTTTTAAAATTTTTGATTATTGTAACAACCCCTAAGCAAGTAACTACAGAGGAAAGAAATTGTCACAGAAGAGGCCAAGAAAAATAGGAGTAAGTTAATCTGGAATCTAAATATTGTAGACAGACCACAACGTGGTTAATCTTTAGCTTGACCTCCTCTCTAGGGAACCAAACAGAATGTAGTGAAGTGGAAAAGACAATTTCTTAAACTGATAACTGTGGCCTTAAAGAATTCTGTAACTATGACACCCAAGTCATACCCAGTCTTTTTTAAAGCCTTTCTCCAGCTCCTGGGGCCCTTTGCAAATTGTTCATTAACTCCCCAGGGTTGCACAGTGCTGGAAGGAACAAGAGCTATTATAGCACGTCAGCATCTGAGGCTGGCCAACTTATAGGCCTTGGAGAGCCCAAATTTCATCAGGAAGGGAGGGCGCCAGGGAGCCAAGTGTAAGGAAGCCCTTCCAAGGAGGGTTGATGGAGCCATCATCCTATGACCACGGCGTGGTGGGCAGCCCCGGGAGCCTGGGAGGGGAGGAAGGCACAACTCTGGACCCGGGTGTTCCAGGCTGGGCTGTTGGAGATGGGCCCTGAGCTCCCTGCGTCAAGCCCCATCCCTGATAAGAGCAAGCAGCCTCTATAAATGCTAGTTGAATGATGGAGTTGGATTCTATAATAACTCGGGCACTTCCCGTAGCACAAAACCAGATGTCCCAGGACAAAACTTTGGGGACCATGAGGGTTGCAGGCGCTGAGGAGTCCCTCGGGCAACCAAAAGCAACACCACTGAGAAGCAGTGATGAGGGAAGTGACTGCTAAAAACACGTCCACACACACCTAAGATCTGGGAAAATACTGGCTACGAGGGTGGTAGCCCCATGCAATTACTGAGCCCTGGAAATGTGGCGAGTGTCACTGAAGAACTGAATTCTAAATTTTAATTGAATAAAATTTCAATAGCACATACAATCTGTGGCTGTCAAATTGGACCATGTAGCTCTAGGGCAATGGCAAGGCACCAAGCATGTAGAGCAGGAAGATGACACTATCAGATCTGCATTTGACACCGTCTGATCTGCACAAAACGTCTGGTTTTGTGCCATGGGAAGTGCCCACGTTTTTTGTGTTTTTAATAAAAGGTAGAAATCAAAATTGCATTTGCAATATGATCTACATTTTGACAATTTTTTTTTCTTTTTTTGAGATGGAGTCTCACTCTGTCGCCCAGACTGGAGTGCAGTGGCGCGATCTCGGCTCACTGCAACCTCCACCTCCCAGGTTCAAGCGATTCTCCTGCCTCAGTCTCCTGAGTAGCTGGGACTACAGGTGCCCGCCACCATGCGCAGCTAATTTTTGTATTTTTAGTAGAGACGAGGTTTCACCATGTTGGCCATGATGGTCTCCATCTCTTGACCTCGTGATCCACCCGCCTCACCCTCCCAAAGTGCTGGGATTACAGGCGTGAGCCACCGCGCCTGGCCTTGACAATTTTATATACATTCATACTTACATACACATGAACTGAACAGTTTGGGAAGAACTCCAGAAAATATCATAGTAGGTTAAAACTGTTATGGGGCTATAAAGTTTTTTGCTTTTTATGCTTTTCTCTATTTTCCATGTATACTACAACAAGCATAATATACATTTTTCATAAAATAATAAACATCTTTATTTTTCTAAAATTATACTGCCCACTTTTAAAAGCATTTAATTACTACCATCAAAAACATGAAAATGACCCAAATGTCCAGCTACCTGTAAATGGATAAACAAATTGTGGCACATCCATAAACAAAAGACCACCCGGCAGTGAAAATAAATGGATCACCGGCACACACAACATGGGTGAGTTTCAGAAACATCACGCTAACGTAACATTTACATGGACTATTCCTGGAAATGTGTGCAGGAGCAAGTCAAGAGTTTTGGTTTTGTCTTTTTTAAGAGCATCTAATAGGACCCGTACATCTGATTGCAACTATCTGAGCACATTGCCAACTTTGAACAGGAATCCAAAAAAAAAATAGGAAGTTTGGGTTTTACTGAGTATTTTTCTTTTTTATTTTATTTTATTTTTTTGAGACAGGGTCTTGCTCTGTCGCCCAGGCTGGAGTGCAGTGGTGCAATCTCAGCTCACTGCGACCTTTGCCTCTGGGACTCAAGTGATCCTCCCACCTCAGCCTCCTGAGCAGCTAGGACCACAAGTGCACACCACCGTGACCAGCTAATTTTTGTATTTTTTGTAGAGATGAGTTTTCGCCATGTTGCCCAGGCTGGTCTTGCACTCCTGAACTCAAGAGATCCTCCTGCCTCAGCCTCCCAAAGTGCTGGAATTACAGATGTGAGCTACCTCGCCCTGCCCAGGCATTTTTCTTTCCTGTTCATGTTGCATTTCCATACTGATGCATCACAGGTGAAATTCCTCCTAACTTTCTTAGAAATTCCGGCAGCCCAGGTCTTTCCTTGGAGCCCTGCAGCTGCACATCTAGACAGCCTGTTCCTCCCGAGTACTGGGCACCCACTCTGGAAGGGACGGGGAACCCCACCAACTTTGTCCTTCTCATATCAGCAGCCTGAGAAGGAGTCCTGCCAGCTCCCTTCCCTGCCCACTATCAGAGGCCACCACTATTCTGACTCCCGAAGATCTCTTGAATCTTTCCGAGATCATGCAGCCATTATTTACCCCCAGCACCACTGTGGCAACATCTCCACAGGTCCTTACACTGTCCGCATGGAGCCACAGTGAGTGACAAATAACAGTAACAAATGCAGATCCGATGGTGTCATCTTCCTGGTCTACATTCTTGGTGACCTGCCGTTGTGCTACAGCTATGAAGCCCAACTTGGCAGCCACAAGTTGCATGTGCTATTGAAATTTTATTTAATTAAAATCTAAAATTCAGTTTCTTGGTCACACTAACCACATTTCCAGGGCTCAGTAGTTACATGCGGCTACCACACTGGTCACTACAGATACAGAGGTTTTCTCTCTGTGCAGCAAGTTCTGCTGGACGACGCCGAATTGAAACATAAAGCAAGACCTTGAACTGGCCCTCGAGGCCTAGCAGCACCCCCAGCCTCACCTTGCACAATGTTCCCTCACACGCCACCCTCCCATTGCTCCAGTCCTGGCATCCCAGAGTCCCTTCCACCTCAGGGTCTTTACACATGCTGCTCCCTGCACCAGGAGCCCCACCTCTGCCCTCTGCCCCCACACACCTACCTCATCTAGCTGATTCCCCTCCTCTGGTAGAATTCAGAATTCGCTGGTCAGAGATTTCCCTGCCTTCCCAGATGAGGTCAAATCCCCTTGTAGAGCAATCTAATGGCTCCTATACTTATGGTTTAAAGCACTTTAATGATGAGAGCGTTGTTGTAGTTTAAGTAGTGAAGGGTATCATTCATTGCTTAGAGTGTCTTTTCCTAACAAGAATGGAAGCTCTAGGATAGCAGGTGTCTCATCTGTCTTGGACAACACCCAAACCAGTGCAGTACCTGGGACATAGTAGGAGGTAAATACATATTTGTTGAATAAATGAATGAGTTTAGAGGCTGATTCAAACAACATGAGTATCATAAGAGTATTAACACCTAACAAAGAAGGGTTTCCTCCATTCTAAACTCAGAGTAGTAGAAGCTGTGAATTAAATAATGTTTTGACTATCTGCTGTACACTTCATGTGGGATTTGCCGCAAGGACAGGGGAGGGGCCAGAGATAACAGCTTAGGTGGAGAGAACCTGCTGAGCAGCTGCCTGTGAATTGGAGAATGTAGCCAGTCCAAAGCTTTCCCCAAAAGCCTGGGTAGTGAGGGACGTTTGGCTGTTAACACCAGAGGCAAGAGCAAGCCTCTGCTGAAGGCAGGCTATGATCACAGGCCTTTAATATGCATTGCATTCAATAGAATCTTACACTTTTATACATTAGTGCAAAAGACTGAATGTGCCTCCTCTCCCCAAACCATATGTTGAAACCCTAACCTGAAATGTGATTGTATTAGGAGCAGAGCCTCTGGGAGGTGATTGGGTCATGAAGGTGGAGCCCTCATGAACAGGATTAGTGCCCTTATAAAAGAGGCCCCAGAGAATTCACTAGCTCTCTACTCTCCATCACATGAGGACACAGCAAGAAGGCATCATGGTAAACCAGACGCAGCCCTCACCAGACACCATACCTGCTGGTGCCTTGATCTTGGACTTCCCAGCCTCCAGAACTGTGAGAAATACATTTCTGTTGTCTATCAGCCACTCAGCCTATAGTATTTTATAGCATCCTGAACTAACACAGCGATACATACTGTACTGAGTTCAGAGGATATGATAGACTGTCTTGGATTTGCTTCAATGTGAACAGATATCTATAGGAAAAAAATAAACTTCGTCCCCTGCCTATACATACACAAAGAGAAATATGGAATGGATTACAAACCCAAAATAAAAACTAAAGCTATAAATCTTCTAGAAGAGAACATGTGCCAGCTTCACAGGAAAAAGCAAAAACCACAAGAGAAACTATTGGTAAGTCACTTTCATGAAAATATAAAACTATTATTCATTAAAATACACCATTTAGAAAATGAGGAGGCAAGCCACCTATCCGGAGAAAACGTCCAGGGTTGATTCGCATTACTGGTGGTAGTTACAGTCTGTGAAGTGCCTCTGTCCAGGGTTGATTCTCATTACTGGTGGTAGTTACAGTCCGTGAAATGCCTCAGCACCAATTTAGTGAACACCAAACCACGGTTCTTAGGGAAGGGAAGGTTCCTATGAGCCTCTGGTGATAGCATTGTCATCAACCCATCAATGCATAACCTTGTTTGATGTGTGTTTCTATTGAAAGATGCTTTATTTGATCAGCACTGTTGATTCCTTTACATTGAACTCGCAGCCAACACACTTGAATGAAGCTTCTCTAACACACCAGTTTTCTCCATAAGGCACAGCACAGCCTTCTTGCACTTTGGAGCCCCAGACAGCGCTTCAGCACCATGCCGGGGCTGTTACAAACTATGAGATCCCCAACAAAATGCACAGAAACGTGAAAAAATGGGGCACTAAATGGACCGTAAAAAGGACACTCACCGTCCCTGTGGGAGCTGCAGCAAGAAGGTGGGGAGTTGCCCTGTCCATCCCAGCTGGGGCCACACACATCAGACAACTCCAATGTCTCAGGGCTCTGTGTGTGCCCACAAATGGCCACAAAATCGTCCACAGTATTGACTTAGGGGTTATAAGTACATTTTATCAAGTAAATGAATTCAGAAATATGGAATCCACGAAGAATAAGGATCAACTATGACAAAGAATTGGCATCAAAAATATATAAAGGCTGGGTGTGGTGGCTCACTCCTGTAATCCCAGCACTTTGAGAGGACGAGGCAGGTGGATCACGAGGTCAGGAGTTTGTGACCAGGCTGACCAACATGGTGAAACCCTGTCTCTACTAAAAAATACAAAAATTAGCCAGGCGTGGTGGTGGGTGCCTGTAATCCCAGCTACTCGGGAGGCTGAGGCAGAAGAATACCTTGAACCCAGGAGGCGGAGGTTGCAGTGAGCCAAGATCATGCCATTGCTCTCCAGCCTGGGTGACAGAGTGAGACTCCATCTCAAAAAGCAACAACAAATTTATATATATATATATATATGTATGTATATATGTGTGTATGTATGTATGTGTGTGTGTGTATATATATATATATATATATATATATAGAAGTTATACAACTCAATAACAAAAAGACCAACAACGAATTTTTTTTAATGAGCAAAAGATTTGAACACATTCTTCACAAAGGAATGAACACCCTTGGCCAATAAGCACATGAAGAAAGGCTCAGCACGGTTCACCTACAGGAACGTGCAGATTCAAACCACATGAAGGTGCCACGGCACACCCACGAGAGTGACCGGAGTGTGAATGCGCAACAGCGCTCGGCATCGGTGAGGTTGTGGTGGGTTGGTGTAGGACCCCCACATGCGGTTATCGGGAATGGGAAATGGTCACTGCTCTCAAGAGACTTCCCAGCAATTTCCTGTACAAGGTACAAGTAAACATTAGTCACGTCTGATTGAGCAAGTCCACTCCTAGTGCTTACCCAAGAGAAATGGAAGTCCTCTCTCTCTCTCTCTCTCACACACACACACACACACACACACACAGACTTGCACACAAAGTTTCATAGCAGCTTTGTTCCCGGTAGCCCCACACTGGAAACAGCCCAAGTCCAGGGCAGTCTATGGTCTATGATCCCCTCCCCCTGGGCCACTGCAACCTGTGTTGCAGCTCACCCACCCTAGAGGGCAAAGGTGGGGAAGTGCTGGGTGCTGCCGGTGACATCACAACAGCGTCTGAGCTGGGGATGACACTCCCCCTCTGCAGAGTCAGAACACCCCCACCGGGCCAGCCAGTACCTTCCACGCCGGAAAGCACTCCACCTCCACTACCTCCCAGCTGACCTTCCAGGTGAGGGATGCCAGGCTGACCCCTGGTCCTGGAGCTGTCCACCCTTGTGCCTCATTCAAATCCCATCTGTCCTTCCAGGACCACCTCCTCCAGGAAGTCGACTCGCTGACCCCAAGCCACCTCTGACCTGCCCGTAGCAGGCATGCCTGCTCCCTCCTAATCATGTCTGTCCTGCACAGCTGGGGTTTCCTTGGTTTCATTTTAACTAACATTAACTGACCACATCTTAGGCCCCAGACTCTAAGCTAAACACTTGAAGTGCATTTCCTTATTTAATCCTCTCACAACCTGCCACATGGCATTAGGGTCCTTATCTTACAGAGGAGGAAGCTGAGGTGAAGGGAGGTAAGGCACACGTGTCCCTAGTCAGCCAGCTGTTTCATCAAGATTCAAACCCAAGTCAGGGAGGGAGGAGGAGCAGGTGCCCCAAGGGAAGGGGGAAGCTGCTGCCAGAACTGGGGTAGGGGCAGAGGCAGGTGGCATCAGGGGCTCTCAGCCAAACTCAGCTCCCCAGGGGGACAGAGGCACACCCGGAGGGCTTGGCGGGAACATCAGTAGCGTGCCCAAGGGCACCCACTTCCCAGGGCTACTCCTGCATGGGCAGGACACGCCAGCAACAGCAGCCTGGAGGAGTGGGGACCAGTGACCCTTCTTCAAATTGCCAGGCCTCAGTGTTCTTCGAAAACCCCAGAGGGGCCTGTGGTAGTCCTGGAAAGCCAAGAGCTGCTGGGCCAAACTTATTTGATCTCAAAAAGAGAAGAAATGTGTAATTTCCAGCCCTGAAAGGTTGTGGAGCACACCACAAACACCTGTCATAGCTGTGTGAGTATCTTTACTTTTCAGGCATGCACGGTTCATTTCGTTTCTTCACTGAGACTTGACGGAGGGCCTTGGTATGTCAGGAACATCTTTAGTGTCTGGGGAACAGAGGTGAAAAAGACATAAGGTGCCCACTTGTGCAACTGACACACAATAAACACAAACAAGAGAAATATCAGGGAGTAGCCACTGAAATGCAGAAAGTTAGGGAGTGAGTATCCTCGGGACACACCAGCTCCTATGGGTGGAACAGTACCCAGGGTGTCTTGGGGTTTCCACGTGAAGGAGCAGGGAAGTGCTCGGTGAGGTCCCTCAGGCTAGCAGGGCCTGTCCCGGGAAGTAGGAGGGCAGGGAACTGGGGAGGAGGCCAAAGGAGAGACCGGCAGATGCGGATGGCCTTGGAGTCCATTTCCAGCACCTTGGCAGGCTATCAGAGGGTTTCAGCAGGAGAATGGTAAGACTTGACTTGGGTTTTTCAAAAATCCCTGAGCATTTTCAAGAATGCCTGAGCTGTTTTAGAGACTGGATTTGGGAGTGGGGAGCACGAGTGGACTCAAGGGCCAGGTGGGGCCTCCTACAGTGTCCGGGGAGACAGAGGGTGGTGGCCCAGGGAAATGTGGGGACAGATGGGGTCCGGACACATTTCAGAGTTAGGGAACAAGATATACTGAGGGATTGGAGAGAGGAATCAAGGATGACTCCTGGGCAGAGGCGGAGTGGACGCCCACTCACCAGCGACTCAGGCTGAGCGGGGCTCTGCCCTCCTCGCCTCCCTGCAGCTTCTGGGTGGAGAGGCTCTTTCTCCCTGCTCTCCCCTTCTTTCCACTCTTCTGAAGACACAGCTCAGCTTGCATCTGGTTGCATGCAACAGAAATGGATTCTGGCCCACTTCCAGAAGAAAAGGATGTGATGGAAAGAAGTGGGTTGGGGTCAGGCTCAGAAACCCCAAGAGAAGCTCCTGGGGAAGGGAGGGGCTAGGGCTGCTGGGGTCCCTGAAGCAATTGCTGATGAAGGATCCCTTCTGCTGTGGAGGTAAATCTCCAGGAAAGGCCTGAAGTCCCCAGATGGCTTACTGGAAATCCACACTTCCCAGAAAGTCCAACTGGCCAAGCAGGATGTCCTGTTGTGACAGGACATTTCACCCACAGTCTCACTCACCAAGATTAACGGTGAGAAATGTCCTGTGCGAGAAGTCAGAAGAGGGAGCAGAGGCTGGGGCCACCAAAGCTCGCAATACAACCCGCTCTTGGCTCTATTTTCAGATGTTTTGGGTGTGAGTCCTGGCTCCAGAGCTGTGTGATGTGGCCAGACTACTTATCTTCCCTGTGCCTCAGTCCCCCATCTGAGAACATGGAGATAATAGCAATGTCTACTTGATAGAGATGTTATCAGAATTGAGTGTAAAATAGAAGAGTTTCTGGTATCAGATCAATGCTCAATACGTGTCCTTGTTATTACTAATTATTGTATAACTATGATTCCTCTTGGACAAGCAGGGACAGAGGATCTTAGGGGAAGGAAGCCAAGTAGGGGAGTCAGAGGCCACGTGAATTCCCTCAATGCAGAGGGTCCACCATGTGCCTGCTCAATGGGGAACTGACCCATGACTGTCTTTAGGGATGGGTGGGAACCTAGAATGCAAGTTCTCACTGAAACAATCTCTGGGCCAGTGAGTTTCTGGAGCAGCCAGCACACACCTGCCTAATTCGTGTTAGAGCTAAGCTCTACTTATTACAGCCCATTTCTGTGGTCAGCATTCTCAGGTGCTTCTGTGGCAAGATGCTCGCTCAGCACCTGCCACACAGTGGCAGAGAAGGTAAGAAACCTGGACTCGCACCACCCCCCAGAGCGGAAACAAGGCTCCCTGCCTCTCTGGTATCCCAGGGCTCCAAGCAGGAGTGCAGGGCTGGAGGAGGAGTGAGCAGGTCCCAAGGCTAGGGTGAAGAGGGCTTCCGGAGAAGTGGACAGCAGGGTAGGGGCTGCAGGAAGGACACAGGGCTGAAAGGGTGGCTGCAAGACAGCACAGGGCAGTGCAAAGAAGGAGATGGAGGCTGCCTGGGCTCCCTGGGAGGGAAGGAGATGGTGGTGGGGCGGGCCTGGGGGCAGCTGCAGCCCTGTCACACCTGTAGAGATGAACAAAGAAAACCACTTTAGTTTGTTAATGTTTGAAGGCGTCCTCAAGATGAAAAAGAGTTAAGAGTTACTATTAAATACTGTAATTACGCGTTTCAAAAGCCCTCAGAATAGGGAATGAGGAAAACAGCTCTACACATCACTGTGCATCTGCGTGCAGGTTAATGCCTGCTGACAAGGACATTTCCGCTCCTCATCTGGGAGCAGGCCTTGACTATAGTCATCCAGGTTCCCAGCTCACCTGGGCATATTAGCATATTAACCTAGGAGAGAGAAGAGACAGGGCTGGGGCCCCTTCTGGTGCAAGACAGAGAGATCCTTCTACAGCCTGCACCCTCATCTCAGAGGGACAGCCCGTCACCTTTGCCCTACGGGAGGAACTCACACAGCCAGCAGGGGACAGACCCTGGCCTGATCCCACCCCCTGCCCACTCTACCTGCCCCCTTTCCAGATCACCCCAGCTGAGAACATCTGCACTAAGGCCATGGCTTTAGTGCACATCGAAGAGCACCCGGGGGGAATACATTTCCAGAATACATTTCCTAAAAGATTGCACAGGTTACATACATCCCGTTGCAGTGACACAAAGTCCTGAGGTGGCAGGGTCCTGACTGTTCCCTGGACTCATGGCAGTGACCCCCAGTGGCCCACACCTTGTGTCATTCCCTTCCCTTCCATGTCAGCAGGACCTGAGGCTCACTTGTAACTGATAAAGCAATGCAGAGGGGACGGGCTGTCCCTCTGAGATTAGGAGCGGGATGTAGAAGGCTCCCTCCGGCTCACATCATCAGGAAGCTCCTCCAGGTGGCCTTGCAGAACAAGCTGTGCAGTGAACTGTCCACGGAGAAGACCGCCTGGCAGAGCGTTCTCCGGCCCACAACCAGTGAGAAGTTGATAAAAAGATCTTTCAAACAGCTTTATTCCCCTGAATTTGAAGTCAGAGATAAAAGACACAATCCTGCTGGGCACAGTGGCTCATGCCTGTAATCCCAGCACTTTGGGAGGCTGAGGAGGGTGGATCACAAGGTCAGGAGTTCAAGACCAGCCTGGTCAACACGGTGAAACCCTATCTCTTCTAAAAATACAAAAAAAAGAAATTAGCTGGGCATGGTGGCAAGTGCCTGTAATCCCAGCTACTCAGGAGGCTGAGGCAGAGAATTGCTTGAACCCCAAAGGCAAAAGTTGCAGTGAGTGGCGATCACGCCACTGCACTCCAGCCTGGGTGACAGAGCAAGATTCTGTCTCAAAAAAAAAAAAAAAAAGACACAGTCCTAGGAGAAACAAAATCTACCAAAACTGACCCACACACACAAATAGAATACATGAATAGCCCTTTACCTGATAAAGAAATGAAATATATAATTCAAAACCCTCCCACAAAGATTACTCCTTAAGAGATAAATTCTTCCAGAAAGTGGTAATAGAGGAAACAGTTCCCACTCAATTCATATGGCCTGCATGATTGTAATCCCTGAACCCAACAAGAATGTGAAGAGAAAGGAAAATTGCAGGCTGATCTCTCTTACAAACAAAGGCATAAAATCCCCAATAACATATTAGCAACCTGAATCCAGCAATTTATAAAACAGGGATAACAGATCATAACTAAATTGAACTTATTCCAAGAATGCAAAGTTGGTTGAATATTGAAAAATCAAAGTATATTGCCATATTAAACAGATAAATAATTTTTAATTATATAAAATCATTTTAATAAAGGCAGAAAAGTATTTGATAAAGTTCCAGCTATTCATTGAGAAATAAAAATAAAATCCTAAGCCCCACAACTGAGTGAATGGACCCTTTCTTGGCCAAGGGGACCCCAGGGTTAAAAACTTCAGTGTTATAAAGATGTCAATTATCTAGAAGTTGATCTGTAAATTCAATGTGATTCCAGTCAAATTTCCTGTGTGTGCGTGGGGTGGGGGGTGGGGGGAATGGGGTGTGTGTGTGTGTGTGTGTGTGTGTGTGTGTGTGTGTAAAAGCTGAGGGCCGGGTGCGGTGGCTCACACCTGTAATCCCAGCACTTTGGGAGGCCGAGGCCGGTGGATCGCGAGGTCAGGAGATTGAGACCATCCTGGCTAACATGGTGAAACTCTGTCTCTACTAAAAATACAAAAAATCAGCTGGGCGTGGTGGTGGGACCTGTAGTCCCAGCTACTCCGGAGGCTGAGGCAGGAGAATGGCATGAACCCGGGAGACAGAGCTTGCAGTGAGCCGAGATCACACCACTGCACTCCAGCCTGGGCGACAGAGCAAGACTCCATCTCAAAAAAAAAAAAAAAAACTGAGTTTCCGGCCATGACGGGATGAGAGGTCAGACCCACCTGAGTATGCCCCCTTCCTTATTAATCTTTAACCAGAATTATTTCCTAAGGAATAAGCAGAAACCAGCTCTGGAAAACAAGAAACAGACAATCATTAGCCAATCACCTCAGGCCTCAATCAAATGATCTCTTGCTTTTGTGCGTTCGACACAGCTGACAAACATCCCTTTCTGAAAACTGACCACCATCTCTTGACTAATTTGGGTCAATTTACGGAGAACTCTCAGTGAGAGTTTTTTTGTTCTCCATTTCACCTTTAGACATCAGAGAACCTAAAACTCCATCCTTGGATGGTGCTAACACTGCCCATTTTAAATATGTGACCAGTGAAGAGGTGTGAAGCTCAACTGTGTATTTTTACCTTTCATGAATATTCGTGACTCCTCCCATAGCGTGCTGAATATGCATACTTAGCCAGCCGGTTCAGCATGAATTCCTGACTTACTCTTCCCTCCCTCCAAGCACTTGCTCTCGGTGTGAAGGCTGTGCTTCCCAGCCTGCAGGATGGCCGATCTACGGGCTGCAACCCTTTATGAGAAATAAAGCTCTCCTTTCCAAATTGATGAACCTTGTGATTCTCTTCAGTTTGCATCATGTTTTTTTTTTTTTTTAGAAATCGTAGAAAAGTGGAAGTAGGACAGTTCCTTTAACTGATAAAGGGTAATCATAAATGTGTATTTAATGGTAAAATGTTGAAATCCTTTCTTCTGGGATTGGGAGGAAGACGGATGCCACTCTTGGCACTGGTGATCAGCACTGTGCAGAAGCCCATAGCCAGAGAATGGCAAGAAAAGGAATAAAGGGTGCAAGGATTGGAAAAGAAGAAATGAAACAATCAGTAACGTGAGTAGTACGATTGCCTAGGATGAAAATCCAAGAGGGTCGATGGGAAAATTGTTAGAATTTGAAAGTACGTGTAGCAAGTTTCCCAGATAAACATCAAAATTCAGAAATCAGTTATACATCTTCATACTAGCAACAAAGAGAGAATTATTTTAAAATATATCATTTATGATTATACCAAAAATATCAAATGCTTGGGAATAAACTTGATGAAAGATGTGCAAGAGTCTATACAGCAAAACATAAAACAACATTAAGAAATTTTCAAAAGACCTAAATAAATGAAGAGCTATACCATGTCTACGGATGAAAAACTTCAATGTTATAAACATGTCAATTCTCTAGAAGTTCATTCATAAATTCGGTGTGATTCCAGTTAAATTTCCATTATGTGTGTGTGTGTGTCATGTGTGTGTGTGAAACTTGACAAGCTGATTCTAAAATACATGAAAATGGAAGAGCCAGGACATTCAACAAGGTTGGAGGACTTGTTCTAGTGGACATCAATTTATGATATACGCTCAAGAATTAATCCAATGTGATATTGGCTCAAGGATAAAAAAGAAAATCAGCCAATGGAACAGACTAGAACACCCAGAATGATATCACAAAAATATGATAGTTGATTTCCGAGGAAGGTGGTCCCACAAAGTGGTGGGGTCTTTCCAAGGAGTCCTGTGGAAACACTGAGATCAGATATGACCCTTGGCCACTGCCTCCCACAATTCCAGGTACACTGAGAATCTATTTGTAAAAGGCAAAACCCTAGAGCTTTGGGTTACTTTTAGAAAGTAATGTAGAATGTCTTTGAGACTCGGCAAAGACTTCTTAATCTGGATGTAAAAAATTCTAACCATCAAAGAAAATACTGAGAAATAAATATTTCTCATAAATACTACATTGAAATGAAAAGTTGTATGTATCGAAAGAGACTATGAAGACAGCAAAATGGGCAAAACTAAATAGTAGTGTTTAGAGATGGTGCTGAGAGGGTAGGGTAATAAGGGAAGTGGGAGGGGATGACCGTTCCCAGCTGAGCAGCTGGAGGGGGATGAGGAGCTCGACAGGCAGGGGGCACCAGAGAGCAGGAGAGCTCTCGAGGCTGGCCACATGCAATTTCCTGAACTGAGTGGTGTTTATATGAAGGTTTGGTTTATAACAATTAACTAAGCCATAACTCATATGTTTTCTGAGCTTTTCTGAATAGGTAGCATATTTCACAACAGAAAGAAGTAAAAATACCTACATAAATATTTAATTATTTTAGAAATCCACTTGGACAGTTTAAGTGGATTGGTTTTTTGAAATGGATGGTAATGATATGTGAGCTGTGTATTTTTTTATTCATTATTTTTTGTGAGGAGACAGGGTTTCACTCTGTCACCCAGGCTGGAGGGCAATGGCATGATCTCGGCTCACCGCAGCCTCCACCTCCTAGGTTCAAGTGAGTCTCCTGCCTCAGCCTCCTGAGTAGCTGGGACTACAGGCATGCACCACCCCACACCCAGCTAATTTTTCTGCTTTTAGTAGAGACAAGGTTTTGCCATCTTGGCCAGGCTGGTCTCAAACTCCTGGCCTCAAGTGATCCGCCCGCCTCAGCTTCCCAAGGTGCAGGGATTATAGGCGTGAGCCACTGCACCTGGCCTGTGAGCTGTATTTTTTTTTTAAAAAGAAAAGGCTCTGCAGGAGCTCATGGAGGAGAATGTGCTGTTTCTTCAGGCCACCCTATTACACTCGGGAAAGGTGCTCATGCAGCAACTCAGATTCAGCACCTGCATTTAAAAGCCTCTTGCCTCATTTATGTCTGTCTGCCTGGTCTCTGCAACGACTTTGCTGAAATAAGCATCAGCTCATAAAGTCAAACATGCCTATTCATGACTGCTCCACCCTGCGCCGTGCAGACCGCGATGAGACACCCATGTGTCCTGGAGATACAGCTCAGCAAGACACAGTGACAGGGAAAGTCATCTGACGAGGGGAGTTCTTTTCCTTCATGTCTAATTCTTCCAGTCAGGTGGCAAAATAGTCAGTGAAGAGGAACAACACAAAATGAAAAATTCCATTCTGCACAGTGGAAAAATTCAGTGTTTTCAAGGACACTATGACCAAGCAGGCCAAAGGGTGCTGAGCAGAAGCAGAAGAGCCCGTGGGAGCTGGGAATAGCCAGGTTGGTGAACCAGTGGACACCCACGTCTCTGCATGGAGACCAGCCTTCTAGGAACTGGTCCAGTTGTTTACTGTTTGGGGCAGTCAGATGTCCCTGAAAGTAGCTCTAAAGCTGGGAATAAAGGTCCCAGAGCAAACTACTCAGTGAAGAACCCCCTGAAAAATTAACACAGAGAACAGCCTTGCTCAGCCCCTATGTGCAAAATGACTTGGTGAGCTTCAAGAGCAAGGGATTGCAAGGACTTGGCTGATGGTTCCATGATACTTTCATCATCTCCAAAAGCCCAGTGGCACACACAACCACAAGGCTCAAAGAACAAAGCCAACGTTTACTTGGCTCTGAGTTCAAATTATTTTCCAAGCATTGGGTAGAGGATGGAAAATAAATATTTAATTTTCCTTTATATTTTAAGGGAAATAAGCATTCATGAAAGTTACTAGAACCTGAGATAACAATGCATTACGGGCCAGGCACGGTGGTTCATTCCTGTAATCCCAGCACTTTAGGAGGCCAAGGCAAGTGGATCACCTGAGATCAAGAGTTTGAGACCAGCCTGACCAACATGGTGAAATCCCGTATCTACTAAAAATACAAAAAATTAGTTGGGCATGGTGGCAGGTGCCTGTAATCCCAGCTACTCAGGAGACTGAGGCAAGAGAATCACTTGAACCTGGGAGGCAGAGGTTGCAGTGAGCCGAGATTGTGCCATTGCACTCCAGCCTGAGCAACAAGAACAAAACTCCATCTCAAAAAAAAAAAAAATGCATTACATAGGGAAATCATTGTTTAGATTTCCCTTGCTATAGAAGAAACTGACATCATAGTTCCTTTTAAAGTGTAACCCTGAAAAAGACTGGCATCTGTAACAATTTAAAATATAAAAAAGAAACATATGTAACTTTTTTAAAAAGATATACAATAACAAGTGTTGGTGAGGATATGGGGCAACTAGAAACATCGCACATTGCTGATGAGAATGCAAATTGGTGCAGTCACTTTGGAAAACAGTTTGGTAGTTTCTCTGAAAAGTTAAATATAAACTTACTGTATGAGCCAGAAATTTCACTCCTGGGAATCTATCCCAAAAAAATAAAAACATTCATCCACACAAATATTTGTACATGAATGTTCATGGCTTCATTATTCATAATATTATTCGTAATGTACTTGTCAAGTCAAAGCAAAGGAAGGCATGTGCAAATTATAAGATGATTGTAATTATAAATTATAAAGTGATTATGATCTATTTAAAATATACTTTTTAACAAGGATACAAACATGGGAAGGGAAACTCCCCATTGATTTTAACTGAAGTGATACCCAAGAAGGAGGTGCTCCATGAATACGGATGGCAAAATCATATTTAGGAATATCAAAACATGATTTAGAAAATCAGACAGAAAATATACTGAAGAAGAGTTAAAATAAGTAAGCAACCATCTCTCTGGGGATAAATAATCTGAAAGCTGATATTTCATGGAAACGCTTGGGAACTTGTCTGGCCAATAAAATCTTGAGACGGCAATGGCTGTGGTGACATGACTGACTATGTTTTCTAGGAAATAAAGAAGAGTAGACTGACATATTCGGAAGAGAGGAGGAGTAAAGAAGGCAAGAAAAAGAAAGAAAGAAAGAAAGAGATAGAAAAAAAAGAAAGAAAGAAAGAAAGAAGGAAAGAAGGAAAGAAAGAAAGAAAGAAAGAAAGAAAGAAAGAAAGAAAGAAAGAAAGAAAGAAAGAAAGAAAGAAAGAGAAAGAAAGAAAAGACAGGTTTAAAAAGACAGAAAGAAAGGAGAGGAACGAGCACAGTGACTCACACCTGTAATCCCGGGACTTTGGGGGACTGAGGCAGGAAGATCACTTGAGGCCAGGAATCCGAGACCACTTTGGACAAAAGGACAAGACCCCATCTCTTCAAAAATAAAATAAAATAGCCAGGAGCAGTGGAGTGTGCCTGTGGTGCCAGCTACTCGGGAGGCTAAGGCAAGAGGACTGCTTAAGGCCAGAAGTTTGAGCCTGCAGTGAACTGTGATTGCACCACTGCACTCCAGCCTGGGCAACAACGCAAGACCCTGTCTCTTAAAAAATAAATAAATAAGAAGCAGAAGAGGAAAATGAAAAAAGAAAAATAAAATAAACGCTCTACAGAAGTTTGCAACAGCAAAATAAGTGATTGCAATAGCACAAGAGACAGCAGGGTTAAGGTAGATGGAATGATACTATATTCACATCTTATACTTTATGTGATGTGGCACACCATCACTTTATGTGGACTGTCTTTCCAGGATGCCATGTACAGGCATGCAAAGCCTTTGGTTGAAGGTAAGGATGCATATTCTAATTCTAATGTTTGTATCCCCTGTAGGTCTATTTCTATATTGGGTTGTTTCTGCTTGTTCTTATTAATGTTACCTTGTCTCCTCCTGTGTTTGACTAATTTCTATTCCAGACATTGTATTTGAAGTTATTTCTAGAAATACTTTGAGGCCTAAAAAATTTTCATGACTTCTGTAAGTCTCCTGGCCAAGAAGCAACCTGGAATTACCTAACTTTTTTTTTCAAAACTTGAGAGTTTCTGAGCCCCCAGATGTTTCAACACCAGGCCACAGTCTATTTAAAGTGGGCTTTGTTTTTGTTTTGTTTTGTTTTGTTTTGTCTTTACCTCTGATTCAATGTTACTCCAACAGTGTGGCCTTTTAGGGTTCCAGTCCAAAGCACAGGAGATCACCATGGGTACCCCCAGGCTCTGGCACTCCAAACTCCCCCCACATTCTTCCAGGATGTCAAATGCATTGCTGGAACACTCAGCCATCTCCATAGCAAAAGTGACCCAAGTTCCAGGCTCATGTCTCTGAACTTCTGTCTTCTCTTGCATCTCAGTCGTGGAATTCTTCACATCCTGGCTAGCTTTCTGATGCTTTCAAGCAAACTTTAAAACATACCTTTTCCAGCTTTCCTATTTGCCTTCAGCAGAAGAACTGGGTTGAATTACTTAGTGTAGCATTGTCAGAAAGTCTCCAAATCAAATCTTAATGTTTTAAATATTGGGGGTCTGTGATGGCAGAAAAACACCCACATGAAGAGATAATAGAGTTTAATTAGTAAATATAAATTAATAATATGTTTTAATACACATAAATGTAAGTTAGTAAATATGTGCTTTGGACTGGAACCCCAAAAGGCTACACTGTTGGAGTAACATTGAATCAGAGGTAAAGACAAAACAAAACAAAACAAAATCTAGGCTGATAGTGCAGATGTATTTATTCATTGATTCATTCATTTATTCAACCTCTCACTATGAGCCAGGTAGAGTTCAAGGGATTTAGAGTATATCAGTGAACAAAACAGTTGAGGACGCTCTCACGACTGCATGTCACTGGGACAGGACATAACCTGTACAATCACCTTTAAAAGGTACTTTGGATGTGTTCTCCAAGACACAGACTCACATGCATGCTTCCTAAGTGCACTAAAGCTATGACCAGAGCGCAGGTGTCTCCAGCTGTGTGATCTGGAGAGGGAGGCAGGTAGGAAGGGGGCAGGGCTGGGGGCAGGCTGGGCTCTGTCCCTGCAGCTGTGGCAATCCCTTCTGCACTGGTGAGGAGCAGCCCAGCCCTGTCTCTTTTCCCTCCTTGGTTAATATGCTAATGTGTCCAGGTGTGCTGGGAGCCTGGCTGGCTTAGGAGGTTGGCAGACCCTGTCGAATGCCTGCCCTCACAGGCTCCATGAGAATGCTCCGTGCTTTCAGCAGGAAGTGTTACTCTACACTCACATGCCAAGGGGCCACCCTCTCCGACTCATCAACTCGCTCTCCCAAGGGTTTTTTGGAACACAGGTATTGCCTTCAGCAGCAACCCTGAGCTTTCTCCATCTTGAAAATTTCTTCAAATGTTCATAGGCTGTAGCAGTTCCGTTGTTCATGCTCTCTTCGGTGAGATCAAAGGGCATGTGATTGGCCAGAAGTGGGGAAAGAAGCTCTCAGTCCCTGAGGAGCTCCAGGTGGCTGACTGCCCTCAATGTCCCCATGTGCCATGGCCCAGCCAAGAGCATATTCTCTTGGTGATATCAGTTGAGTCCATGGGCAGGCCGCCTGCTGTCTCCTCTGCAGCTCCCTCCCATCCTGTCCTCCAAGAATCTCCCCCTCAGTCCTGCCTGCTGTGCCTGTGTGTCTTTAACTGTGCCCTGGGTATTACTTGAAAACCTGCTTGTAGACACGCTCAGAGGCCGAAGATAATAACACTTTCCTGAAGAGAGGACTTGTCTGTGCCTCTGTGCTGGCCTTGGTTCAGTTTCAGGGACTGCGATGGTCCGGGCCGCGCAGGCGACAGAGAGCTGGGTTGCAGGCGTGGAGCGGACCCTTGACTTAGTGAACTTTTGGAGTTCTTTTTCTGCACCCACCAGCCTTCGACCAGGTCTGGTTACTGCTGACTCCAGGATTCAAGGCCACGGTGGAAAAGCAGATCCAAGGGCTAGATGAGCTTCCTGGGTTCCAACCTTCTTCCAGACCTTGGCTGGGTGATTTTTCACCAACCTGATCACTTTCTGATGCCCTGGAGCAGCACACCGTATTTTATATTGTGTGAGCTTTTCTAGTTCTCCTCTGTAGGACAGTTGATCTAAATTACTGCATCCACCACTATCAGAGGCAGAAGCTCTATGTTCTTTATGGAGAAAGCTTTCAAATAATGCAGAAGCGTGCCCACAGGAAAAGTGAACATTGGCCCTTCCGGCTCACTGCCAACCCATTTCTATGGGGAGCAGCTGCTGCAGTTGGTATGGAGTCTCTGTGTGTGCATACATGCATAGGTTTTTATTCCTCGACTGAACAATCTCCTCACCATGGGAGGACCAGGGGGCGTGACAGCTCCACTCTGGGAGTTGCTGCTCCCTGACGACCATCAGCACTCCCGGCCTCTCTCAGGACCGTCCCGTGTGGCTCGCCATCCCAGGTGGCCCTGCCCCCACCCCTTCTCCAGAGGATCTGGCAGCTGTATTTTCATTCCAAGGTACCTGACCTAAAAGTGTATTGGCCGCATGTTGGCATCTGTCCTGACACAGGGAAATCTGTCAGGGGAGAAACAGACTTGTCCACACTGCGTGATCATCCTCTGTGTTGTGCCATTTTGGTTGCTGAGGACAGGAAGGCAGGCAGACGTGCCGCCTCCACGGGGATTTTTATAGCAAGGCCTGAGGGCTCCAACGCCTCTTCGGCTGGCTGAGGCATGCAGAGGGATTTCCAGGCACAGTGTGTTTTCCAGTGCATGAACAGGAGCAAGTGCTGCCTGAGATGGGCGGCCAGCAATAGTGGGAGCCTGTCACGCCCTGTACACCTGCATCCTGTCTGGTCCCCGTTTTAACAAGCACAAGTATTAATGGCTTGGCCTTAGCAGGTGCCCTGGGAGGCTGGGGCAGGTTGAGGTCTGAGCAGTGCAGCCAGCCTGTCACCTGACTCACAGCCCCCATCAGCTCTGCTTTCAGAGCAGGGACAGTGGCTGTCACACACATCGCAGAGCACAGGCCAGCACTGTCTAGCTCTTGGGGCCCTCAAGGCTTACAGCAACAATAGAATTGTCTCTTCACTTAGGATGGATTTGTGCCCGTTTCTCTCTCCATCTCCAGACACGCTGGAAACACACACATCAAACAGGGCCAACTGAGCCTTCTGTCCCCATCTTCACTACTGAAAGAGCTTTTCAGCTGACTTTTAAAAAAAATTCTTCACTATCACACACATGCATTCACACATTTTTTGCGGATCTGGAGAAGTGTTGGCCGTATGTAGCTGTAATTTGAGAGAAGGATATCAAAACACAAGTCCATGGTTTTCTCCGTATTGCCTCATGACAAATTATGTGTTACACATATTTTGTGAACTTCCTTAAATCCTTCCTGGAATGAAACAGGTGTCTTAGTCTGCAATCCTCCAAAAGCAGGCCCTGATGCAGGTAGCTTTTTGGAAGGTGGGTCCAAGAAGCACAAGTGAGGGATTAGGGGGCTGAGCCAGGGAGAGGTGAATGGCTTCCAGGATGCATTCATGGGCAGGTGACTGTGGGTGATTGGCCTCAGTCCCACCACAGATGCTCTGAGGACCTGCATGGAGAACTCCACTGAATTGTCCCTGTGGGTGACAAGCAGCCTGCCCAGGGTAGCCAACTGCCCTGCACTTCCCTGTCACACCAGCCTGCATGGGACGTCCCCGGGGACCAGAAAAGCTCTCAAGCAAAGAGACTGCTGCTGTGCTGAGATGCGATGCTGCCCACCTGCTGCAGCTGTAGAACCCAGGCAGGTTGCAGGGATTTGGGGAGGGGGACCAGCAACATTGGTTTGCTGGGCTGTATAGAAAGAAATGAGACCACAAATCAAAGAGCCTTTGAAATGACCTGTTTGTTTAAGTATGTGAGTAATTGACCCCAGTCTTGTCTCCGGGCCACGGTAAGGGCATTCAGGAAGTCCCTCCTCACATTCATACCATCGGGTGAGAAGAAGGCAGGGCTCGCCTCCAGCAGGGTCTGCTGTCAAGCAGGGGGTCTTCAGGTGTCTGGGAAGATGGGCTCCAGGGGCAAAGGCAGCAGCCACCCCCTGCACAGTGAGAGATGGGAAAGGGTAAGATGACCTCCTCCGAGAGAAGCAAGACAACTCTAGCCAAGAAAGGAATCCACAGCCTCTCCCTTCTGTGGCGTCAAGGTTGGCAGGTGTGAAGGGGGGCTCTCAAAATATTAGAGTGTTAAGACAGACTTCCAGTTAAAAAGTCGTAGGATAACCATGGGCTCCCTCTCCAAATGTCCCTAAAATAAGCATACAGGACAAAAAGATAAAAACCTACCTATACCCAAGCAAGGACATGGATTCAAATATGTGAAGAACTCCTGCAAGTCAGTAAGAAAAGGGCAGACATGCTAATAGAAAAATGGGCAAAATATTTGGATAGTGCAATGGGTATTTTTATGGGTCCACTTGACTGAACCTCAGGGTGCCCAGATATGTGGTCAGGCATTATTTCCAGGTGTGTCTGTGAGGGTGTCTGGAAGAGTATTTAAATTGGTGGACTGAGGAATGCAGGTGGCCCTCCCCAGTGTGGGTGGGCAGCATCCAATCCATTGAAAGCCCAAATGGAACAAAAAGGTGGAGGAAGGTTGAATTTGCTCTGCCTGCTTGAGCTGGGACATCAATCTTTTCCTGTTCTCAGTGCTCCTGGTTCTCAGGCCTTCAGAATCTTCTGAAATTCCTTCTGGAATCTAAACCATCAGCTCTCAGGCCCTCAAACCATACCATCAGCTTTCCTGGGTCACCAGCTTGCAGATGACAGATTGTGGGATTTATCAACCCCCATAATTGTGCAAGCCAGTTCCTTATAATAAATTTCTTGTAAAAGACTTGTACGAGGCTGTTCAGAGTACAACTGCACATAATCGCTACAAACTGAAGCAATTCAAATTCCACCCTCAGTAGAATAGATAAGATATATTGAAATACAAAAATATAATCACATATTAGGTAAATTATATATTATTAATTATATATAAACCATGTATATAAATTATGTACAATATATGCATGAATAAATTATATATTATATAGAATATATGATATATTACACAGCTATATCATTACATTGTGTTGTATAATACATAAATATATTATTATACATATCTATATATTTAAGTGACACTTATATCATGCACATGGCATATTACAGAATGGAATCCAATGTGGCAATAAGAATGGATGGACCATGCTCATGAGCACCTGGGTGAATCTTACAGCATGGACATAGCATGGTGTTGGAGGTGAGTCAGACACAGAAGGGACACTGTGATCCAGAGACAGAATCAGAAACCAGCCACACTAAGCTCGGTGGCCACACTCTGCCACCCTGAGTGTCTTCAGGCTCATTCTCAGGAGGAGTTAAACTGCAGGAATGGGCCAGGGCCTGCTTGTTCTCCTCCCAAGTCTCTGGTTCTATTTGGCTTTTTCAGCTCTGTGCATCCATTACCTTGGTGAAAATAAACATTAGTTTAAAAAAAAAAACTAAGTAAATCAACTCAGGCAGTGCAGGATGCCCAAGGAGCATTTGAACAGAGCTGTCTATGTGTCAGGCAGCCCCAGGGAAGACCCAGGGAAAGCAGCCCTCGTGGGTAGGGCTGGGGCAGAGGACACCCTCCCAGGCACCCACGCTGCAGGGGCTGTGGGTGCTGCCACTGCCCTTATGTGGGTCCCGTCCTTTAAACCTCATTTTCAGAGCTCAAATGAGGGAGCCTGGCAAGACGTACCTAGAGATGCACGTGTCAGCCAAGGGGCCACTCTGGGAACTCAGTCTCCTGGGAGGCTTGAGGACATGAAGTTTATGTTTTCACAGAAAAAGGAGAATCAAGCTCTTCCCCAACAGACACAGGCACACATATGCAAGCACACATACCCACAGACATGCACACACACACGCATACATGAAGAGGCATGTCGACACACGTGTATGCATACATGTGAGCAAACATGGACGCAGGCCCACATGTGTGCGTGCTCATACACACATGCACAAACTCAGACACACAGCACATGCAGGCACATACACATGCCCATGTGCACACACGCTGGCTGCACCATGCATGTACTCTAAGGGGCAACGTGGTGGTGAGGTATTGCAGTGACCACGGCAGAGCAAAGAGGAGGGAGAGAAACTGGTGACCCAGGTCCTGAGCAGGGCAGGGTGCTGTGTGGCACTGCCCTTCCCTCTAAGACATCATCCTTTCTGGTTCACCGAGGGGACAATGGAGGCCCCTCAAAGTGACCTCAGGCCTTAGCTCAACCCCAACAGCTAAGAGGACTGGAGACCAACACAGCACTTTCTCATCTTTCTTCCCCTGCACGCTGTCTAACCAGCCTCTGTCCCCACGACACCAGCTCCTGCATGCCAATGCCCACCCCTGTGGTCCACCAGAGCAAGGAGAGGCAGCCAGGGAAGGAAGGTGGTAGGTGACAAGGACAGGCAGCTGCCTGGCGTTGGCAGGCAAGACGGGGACAGGAGCCACCCTGCCCCACCCACCTGCCTTTCATTACCAGGTAAACATCTGCCTCACTTGACACCCCACTTCAACCTCAGCAGCTGTGAGGCACCAAGAACCTTAGAAAGCCAGGGCCCTGCCAACAAAAAGGGCTTGTCATTACAGAGCCCGTCCCTCTGCTGGTGACCTGCAGACACCGGGTGGTCCCTGCACCTTCCCCGCTCGCTCAGGGAAGCCCTCGCCCCCATGCCCATCACCCCACTGCACACACTGAGGCTCAGGCTCCCCAAAAGGCATGCGAGGGAGCACCCCAGTTGGTGGAACGGAGCCTAAAAGAGTATCCACCCGGTCACTCAGCCATCTCTGACCACAGCTCCCCACCACAGGATCCCATCCCCTAAGGCTTTCCCTGCCACCAGGGCCCTGCTCTTCTTGGGGCCTCACACTCACCCTTTGGAGTGTAGAAGGGACCAGCAAGCCTAAGTGGGAGAGTCTGCATAGAGGGAGCCCCGCTGGACATAGGCCCACATATGCATCTGGACATAGGCCCACCTATGCATCTGGACAGAGGTCCATGTGTGCATCTGGACACAGGCCTATGTACGCACCTGGACATAGGCCCACATATGTGTCTGGACACAGGCCCCACGTATGCACCTGAACACAGGCCCATGTATGCACCTAGACATAGGCCCATGCATGCATCTGGGCCCTCCTTGCGGCAAATATAGCATCATTGCCATTTAAGGATCCAAGAACTGGAAATGACAATTGCTCCAGAATTTGCCAAGAGACTGGAAAGGAGATCAAGGCTCAGCTCTGCCTGCAAAGCCCATTACCCCAGGGATGAGGAAGGCAGTGCTGCAGGCTTGCCGGTGGGTCTCAGGACAGTTTTCCCTTATTTTATAGGTCAATCTACTCCTCAGGAGGCTACTGCCAGACACTCAGTGTTACATCAATGCTGTGTAATAATACTAGCCAGGAGAGACCAGACTCACTGTGCCTGCAGGCTGGGCCCAACAAACAGGCTCACAGGGCCGTGGAGCAGGGATTGCTTTAAAAGGAGCAGTGTGTACAGGGAGTGGGGATGCTGAGGGTGTTTTTGCACACCTACTACACTCAGGAAAGTGTCTTGTGGGATGAGACAGGAAAATCTAAGACCTCTGCCTCCGAAGAGCTTCACGTCTAGGAGAAGGCAAGGCCCTCAGGCACAAGATAACAGCAGCAACCAACCTGGGCCCAAACTGGCAGCTCCTGGTTACTTGAGGAGTCCCAGCTCCCTTGGGCTCGCAATGGCTGTAGGCGAGGGGCTGCTCCTGTCAGGTCCCTGCAGCTACCTGCACAAGGTCCTGTGCATCTTGGTGCTTGATGTTGGCTGAATTTAGCAAGATAGTCTCATTTGGTTCCAAATGGCCCATCCCTGTTAATGACCACTCCCAGAGGGCTCTGAGACGCCACTACTAACTATGAAATTCATAGTTCAAGGACAAAAACAGGTGTCCATGTGGAACGCTCTGAGCACGAGGGTTGAGAGCCAGTTTCCATCTTGGTCATGAGCCACTGCAATGTTAGGAACCAAGTAAAAAGGTATGCCCAAGTTATTTTTCCTGCCATAGATTATAAATGACATCAGGGCATGGAAACACATTGTGTGCTTTCAGAAGAGCAGGAATTGCATTTTCTTCCCCCTCAACATGATAAATCCCATAATAAAGAACAGCCGGCCCTGAGTAACAGCCTGGAGGAATCTGGTTGCCAGGCATAACCCAACGACATGTGTCTTTCTGGTCTTGATCAAATGTCACTTATTTACAACAAAACTACCCGGGCTTCTCCTGGGCTCTGAAGACAGGAAGCCAAGGGAGCGCCTGGATTATGGCTCAGCACTCTGCAAAGGCCTGTCCTGCCCTTGACATAGCAGCAACTCTAAAGAGCTTTCTCCTGGTTGGGCACCTCACTGGGAACAGTCCCCAGACGCCCTTCCAGCAGGCACACTGAGCCAAAGCAAAGGCCCAGCGGCCATCAGCATCACCTTCCTGCATCAAAGGTCTCGCTGGTCACTTGCTGATGTTCTCTACGGAGACTCCATGAGCCTTCTGAAGCCCATATGGGGAGGCACAGCCTGCAGGGCACTCGGCTTCCAGATTAATTGGAAATCAGGCGCAGAAATGATCACAGAACTGAGATGAGCTCTCCCCACTGTCCTGGGTCAGGGTGGAAAGGCTGCCAGGCTGTACCCTGCCTTCATGGTGGAGGGGCAGTGAAATCAACACAACCCAACCAGAAGAGGAGGCCCGCCACCTACACGCTGGCTGCCTGGGGACAGACAGCTCAAGCCAGTGAGCCTCAGCCTACACACTGATAAGAACAGTTACCAGTTTTCAGAGAACTGTTGAACACATCAGATAAGGTAACTAATAAGGTCCTGGACCATGCATAAGTCAATATACAGTAGACATTTCCCAAACGTCTTTTCTTATATTGCTTTCCTTATTTAAAACATGCATATACACATATGTATATATGTGTGGTTTTACATATATATATATTCATTGTAAGAAAAAAAAAGTAAAAGGCAAACACAGAGAAGCAAAAACAAAAGAGAAAGAAGAGAGAGGAAAAAAAGGAGACCACTTTGTGTTCTCACCTCCCACATCTAACCGTTTCTAGCAAGTTTGTCCACTTCCTTCCTGCCTTTTCTCTGCACATAGACACACCTACATATGTGAGGGGTGATGTGTGCTCCAACTTCCATATTTTCATGTAATATTATGCCATGGATAGCTTTGGATGCCATTACGTCTTACTCTCCAGTGTTACGTTAAATGCCTGTATTTTAAATCCATTTGCTACGGATGCACCCAAGCAACTTAGCTCACACCAGTGCCGGGATCCCCTTTTCTTTTCCTGTTTGTTCACTCTGAGACCCATCTTTCAAAATCACCTTCTATCTGATGAAATCACACTGTGCACTCAGAACTTTACTCAGATGATTGAGTAGTTTGTTTTATTTTGCTTGTGATTTTTTAATTCCTTCTTCTGAAATTGTAACACCAAATGGGATAAATAATAATGTCCTGGAAATTGTATATGGATTCCTCCACAACTGAGAGCACTCTCCTTCCTGCACGCTCGTCAGGCCTGCTTCATGGGGTCCCAAGGATATCTCCCAGACCTGCTATCTCCCACCCTCTCCCCCTTCCTCTTGGCCCCACTTGGGACCTCAGACCTCCTCAGGACCCTGCACTTGTCTTTGGGTTCTTTAAAGTCAATCACTTTATGACATCCTCAGCCCCTGGAGGTGGTGCCCTCCTTCAAGGACTTTCCTTCCTGGTGGCTGAAGGACAATTGGTGCCTCTCCTCACCTGCTGGCCATTTGTGACCCCCCTGGCAGGTGTGGGTGTCCATAGAGCTGAGACAACCAGGGGTCCCTGGGGGCTCAGAGGGTGTGAAGCAGGGCAAGGTCTCGCTGCCATGGGGCACCATGAGCACATCCTATACCTGAGGGCAAGGTGAGGCAAGGCCAGAATGCCAGCGCAGCCCCAAGTGTGCCAGGTGGAACTTGACAGCTGTCAACAGAACAACAGTTGTGCGGAAACTGGGACATTTATCACATTTCCACTTGCCTGACAAGGTAAAGACTGCAATTTTTCATCTAAAAAGGAAATTAGAACTCATTGCCTTGATTAAATATTCTGCACTTATTTACACCCACAACCCCAATAAAACTCAGACACACACAGGGTCCTACACACACACACACACAGCCTTATACACTTGTACACACACAGCCCTAAACACACACCAAACCTACAGCTCTACACACATGCACACACACACAGCCCTACACACACACAGGCCTATACACATACACACACACAGAGTTCTATACACACACACACCACCCTACACACATACACACACAGTCCTACACACACACGCAGCCCTACACACACACGCCTACACACACACACAGAGCCCTACACACATACACACACACAGCCCTACACACATACACACACACAGCCCTACACACACAGCCCTACACACACACACACAGCCCTACACACGCACACACACAGCCCTACACATACACACACAGCCCTACACACATACACACAGCCCTACATACATGTACTCACAGTCTCACACACAGCTTTCCATGCGCAGGTATGTGTGTACACCCTAGAACTGTGTGAGCAGGAGTGTGGTGCGCAAAAGGCAATGGTTTTTCCATCTCCCATGTCCTTTTTAGTGCTGTCCATTTCAGCTGTCATAAATTATGACCTGAGCTAACGCATGCAAAGTTATTAGGTTACCATGTGTTCATATATGTCCTGTGTGAGCCGGAGCCATCCAGCCCCCACAACACAGACACCCCCACACCCTCATCTGCAGGCAGGACTGGCTCTCCGCCCCCTGCTGTCAGCATCTCAGCTCCTTCCGCAGACTCTGGTGCAAGCAAGCAGCTTAATTATTTACAACAGGAGATTCCCGAAAGAGCCATCAATCCTTCCATGGAAAACCTCCACAGACGGCTGGCCCCTGGGAGGCTGCGCATCCCTCACCTCAACTCTTCACCTGGCTGCCCCATCAGCCCAGACAGTGACCCCGTCCTCGCTAAGCCCCACCTCAAATCAGACATAAGGCCCTCATGGACTCTGCCCTTGCTGCCCCCACCCCACATACTCTGGGCCCCCCTTCCCACATGAGCAGGAAACGCAGCTTTTAGTATCCTGGCAGTGGAGGGTGGAGTGGGGGCAAGATCTGGGGTCTGGCATTCGACCCCTGGATGGAAATCATGAGTGATTCTGATTATTCCTCTATGAGTTTCTTATTTTCTAACTGACAAATATTATTTTTAAAATTATTAAACTACAATGGATAAACATTACTTTATTAATCATAAGACCATCACCTGATGAAAATTAGGCAAGAAAAGGAAATTGAGTTCTGAAAACCATTCGAGAAGAGAGCTAAAAAACAGAGACCAATCTAGCTATCACATCAAAAATAGGACCCAGTTAACTGGTAGAAGGCATTTCTGACAAGCAGCAATGAACGCACAGTGCACAGGGGGTCACATGGCAGCTGGTAAGAATCTCACTGGACTGGGTCACTCCCAAGGCCCACGCTGTCCTCCAAGGCAATTTACATTCCTCTCCATCATCAGCCATGTGGATTTTTCATTAAAACAATGGCTGCTGTTCCTGGATGACCTGTTACAAACCATAATCAATCAACCTCCTCCCTAATGTCACAAACTGCCACCGCATTACACACTCCAGGAGAGATGCCAGGTTTGACTGGCACAGCTCCGGGCAAAGCTATCTGCTTGGCCCAGGAGAATCCTCTCCAGCCCTGCTTGACCCTCTCCTCAAGCCCATCCTTCCCAGCACAGAGCCACAGACACTGAATCAGAGGGACATCAGCCTGCAGCATGCTGTCCCAGACTCCGTGTCTTGCCAACCACCTGAAATATCACCACGATTTTGACTGTCACCATGGCAACTGGAAAGTTCCAGGGAAGTTGGCCCGAAGGCATCTCCCAGGATGCACCCCCAGCCTCCTGATGTGCAGCGCTGTCTCCTATGTCTGTTCAGGCTGAGGACTTGGTGCAGGGCTGAGGATGCCTATGCTGGAGTCCACCAGCCTCGTGGGAAGCAGCGTGCCCTCCTGCTGTGAAGCTGTGGGTGAGTTTCCCTAGGGGTGAAGACTAGATAATGTCCCTATGTCAGGAGTGAGGAGCATGCCTGAGAGACTACAAGAAAGGCTTTGTATTAGTTGGGGTTCTGGAGGGACAGAATCAATAGGATATATGTATATATATATATGGGAGTTTATTAGGGAGAATTGGCTCACACAGTTACAAAGGCCAAGTCCCACGCTGGGCCATCTGCAGGCTGGGTTATGAAAAAAGTCAGTCCAAGTCTGAAGGGCTCAAAACCAGGGAAGCCAACAGTGCAGCCCCCAGTCCTAGGTCAAAGGTCTGAGAGCAACCAGGAGGCTGCTGATGCAAATCCCAGAGTCCAAAGGCCAAAGAACCTGGAGTCTGATGTCCAAGGACAGGAAGAGAAAAAGCCTCCTGCTCAAGAAGAGGGAGAGAGAGAGAGAGAGAGAGGGAGAGTGCTGGATATCCATCCTCCTTCCACCTGCCTTGTCCACCTGTTCACCCCCAGCTGACAGAAGGGCGCCCGTCCACATTGAGAGGGGGTCTTCCTCTCAGTCCTCTGACTCACAGACACACCCAGAAACTGCTTCACCAGCCATCCAGGCATCCCTCAATCCAGTCAAATTGACCCCTTTTAACCATCACAGCCTTCATGCCATCATTGTGAACTGCTGGGCCTGGAGCCATAGTCCGCCCAACACCAGGGTGACTCCATCCCTATGCAGTATGGTGAGGGACAGGGCTACCTGGAAGTGATAAAGCAGCTCTCATCAAACAGGAACTATTGACTCACTGGCACTCCCAGAGCCTTTCAAGCCAGAGAGCCGACGGTGGCAATGACAGAGTGTGGACTGCACCCAGCACTTATGAAGGGGCTGTTGTGTGCTGAACAGAAACCTTGGTCAGGAATTCCAATTATAAATGGCAACCTTTGTCACTAGCATCATTACAAGCCATCCTTGTTCCACTGGAGTTCTCGTTGCACATGGAGCTGGGCAGCTGCATTCCCCTGCACAACACAAGAGGCAGGTGGGCCAAGACCCCAGCCACTCAGCTGGAAGATTCTCTCCCATCTTGCATATTGCCACATGGATAGCTCAGAGAGGTGGCATTGTCCTTCCCATTCTGCAGACTACAAAACTAAGTCTCAGAGAGCTCAGGCAGCTCTCAGGTCACTAGATAGCAGAACTCAGATTCAAAGCCCTTGTCATTAGTGTTGTTGAATAAAATACGGACAGCCTAGTTAAATTTGCATTTCAGATAAACAGCAAATAAACTTTAGTATAACTATATCCCCAATATTGCATAGGAGAATATTTTTGTTGGCTAAGCCTGGCAACCCTGTTGCAACTGATGTGTGCTCTCATCACACGGAAAGCAGGTGGCCACTCATAGGCTAGGATGCCCATGCTGGTTGCTGGCTGGGGCTGAGCCATGGAGATGTGGAGGCCCCAAATCCTGGCCATTTTCAGGCCATCTGCACCACCGTGGAAAATCTGCCGGCTCTGGGAGAGATGGTGCTTAGCAGAGAGGCTGTGAGCCTGCCACATGAATGGCCACCCCTTCTGGGCACCAGGTCCTGCTGTACTCCAAGTGGGGACCATGGAAGCAGTTCACGATCCCTGCAAGGACTCCAGGCCCCAGAGGGATGCAGGCTGACTCTCACCACTCAGGAACAGTGCTGTTCTCATAGCTAAATTGGAGGATGATTCTTCTTCTGACTCAAGTCTGGTCCAAGCATGTTCACACACCTAAGCCCACCATGTCCAGCAGAAAGCATGACCCCAGAGATAAATGGGATTGAACCCCTGGCTCTGTGTGCACCCCTTTTTGTCTTTCAGGCCCTGACAGTAGAAGCTTCCTGGACCCATGAGGGAAGGATGGCACCCAGCTAGGAGCAGAGATTCACCCAGGGGCCCCCAGAGTTGCTTTTCTTGTTTCATGGATTCCTGGTTCAGTTCTATTCCTGGCAGGATAAAGTGTTTTTTCCTTTGGTGTTTTTTTTTTTTTTTTTTTGAGATGGAGTCTTGCTCAGTCACCCAGGCTGGAGTGCAATGGTGCGATCTCAGCTCACTGCAACCTCTGCTCCTGGGTTCAAGCCATTCTCCTGTCTTAGCCTCCTGAGTAGCTGGGATTACAGGCACCTGCCATCAAGCCCAGCTAATTTTTTGTATTTTTTTAGAGACGGGGTTTCATCATGTTTAGGAGGTTGGTCAGAGTGGTGGGAGAAACTATAGGGAAAGGAGCAGGCCTTCTGAAAGGTCAGAAGGCTCTGCATAGTTTCGGGGGAGAATAGCTGAAGACAGCTGTTCTCTAACCCTGAGGCAGAGGGCAAGGAGTAGGTACAAGGGATTGTAGGGAAATTTATCTTAAACAGGCTTGTTTACTTATGTTGGCCAGGAGCTGACCTGTGATCATCCGCCATAAGTTCCATAAGTTCCCTGAAAGGGGAACAATAAATGTTAATTACCCACAGATTGTGTATTGCTTCAGGCTTTTAGCATTGTGCCTGCACTCAATAAAAGCAAGCAGCTCCAGCTTCTCGAGGATGCTGTACTTTGGCCACTAGAGCCTGGAAGTCCCCTAGCTGCTCTTCCACTGCATACCTGTGTCTGAGTACCCCGTTCATCCGTCGATTGGCCAGGGTCTGTGGGACAGACCCGGCAAGCATATTGGCTATGCTGGTCTTGAACTCCTGACCTCAGGTGATCTGCCTGCCTCAGCCTCCCAAAGTGCTGGGATTACAGGCATGAGCCACTGTGCCCGGCCCAGATAAAGTCTTTAAGAGCAGTTATTGGAAGTTTTTCATTGTGTTGCCTGCTAATGAGAAAACTTCCATTCCACAAAGACCTCCAAGCATAGAGATTAGTAGACAAAAAGCTAACTCTCCAGGACAATCTGTTCGGCACAGAAAAGTGCATAGAGCTGGCTTTCAGGGCCAGTGATACAGGAATGGCCTCACCGGCTGCTTCTCAAGCACTATGTGACTGTAGCTGCCCTCAACCTGTGCTCTGGAGGAGGTGATAAAGGGCAGTTGTCTCTGTGGACCAGCAAGAAATTAGACAGTTATCCACCTGGTCATTCAACCTAACACCTGAGACAGAATAGTCACCCAAACAGGGCATCTCATTTTCTGAACTACATCACTGTTAATTGTAAAAAGTCAATATACATATATCTATGCAAATTTATTATATACACATAACTACTGTATGTATTATACACATTACAAAACATACACCAAAACTTTTAAAAGATAAGATAAACCTGAAAGACTATTTCCAAATGTTCTGCTAAAAATGCTAGCTTAACTATTTACAATAGCCAAGAGATGAAATCAACCTGTGTCCATCAAGGACACATAGGATAGAGAAAACATGGTGCATATCCACAATGGGATGCTATTCAGTCATGAAAAAAGAATGAGATCCTGTCATTTGCAGCAACATGGATGAGCCTGGAGGATGTTATATAAAGCAAAATAAGCCAGGCACAGAAAGGGAAATACTGCATGATCTCACTTATATGTGGGAGTTAAAGAGCTCATAGAAGTGGAGAGTAGAATTGTGGTTACCAGAGGACAGGAAGGCTAGCGGGGAGAGGAGGATGGGGAGATGTTGGTTAACGGGTACAAAGATACAGTTAAAAGGAAGAATAAGCTCTGGTGTCTGCTGCACAGTAGGGTAACTGTAGCTAACAATAAGTTCTTGTATATCTCCAAATAGCTAGAAGAGAGGCATTGTGAATGTTCCCACCACAAAGAAGTAATGAAGTTGTAATGGTTATGCTAATTACCCTGATTTGATCATTACACAATATATACATGTAATGAAACATCACATTGTATCCCATAAATACATACAACTATTATGTGTCAATTAAAATTAAAAAATAAGTTTTTTTTAAAAATGCTGGCTTAATACTGCATTAGCTAACACTCCATGAGCAGCATACCCAGGGCATGGTTTGTGTTGACAATGCTGGTGTCAGTCTCTCTTTCAAACAGTTTCTTGCTCTTGTCATGTGCGTGGGGCTCCAGTGAGATCTACAGTGTCGGCTCTGCCATTGTCTCATTGCCAGAGAAATGATTAATAGAATCTTTATTCTGCCATCTCTTGGCAGGAGTATTATTAAGCTATCTGTCCCTTACATGATGGGGAGAGTAGTCACAGGGCTTGGGAAAAACAGGGGCTGCCGGAGGGCAGGTGCACACTCAGTATCAGCACAGGGCAGGGTTCCTGGTTTTTAGAGAGAAAATGAAAATGCTGACATTTTCTCCTGTGCACCACCCCCAAACCCGGGAATCACGAACCCTTCACTTGGGAGTCCTTGGACACAGCAGGTAGCAGGTACCTGAATCTCCAAAGCCTAGAGGATGACCCACTCAGATATGAGTGCAGTCTAAAGGAGCAGCCTCTTTCTCCTTCCACATGATACCTGAGAGTGAGACCCACCATCCCCATCACAAATACACCATTGGTTTCTGCTCCAGCTCCCTGGAGATGAGGGAAGGATCAATTCCCGAATCACTCAGCAGTCTGTGGGCTTGCTGTCCTGGTTATCTCTGTGCTGGGCTCCTGATTCTGCAATACCATCTCTGGCCTTCACTGAGCAGCCCTGAGGCTCACTCTGTCACCGTGTCCACAGATGTCCACCACAGCCTTGCTGACCTCTGCAACCCTCCTTGTGACTCCTCTCCCTGTGTGACTTCACTCGGTATACAAAAGCCTGCATCACCGCTCCCGTTAAGAGCAGCTGAGCCTGTTCTTCACTTTGTTTATTTTGCTTAAACCTTTCCGTTTCCATGCCCCACCCTGAGATTCAGATCAAGGTGTTTTTCTATTGTGACTTCCCTATGGTAGCCAGCCTCTCCCTCTTCATGTTCTGTGTAGTCCTGTCCCACATTGAATAGGGCTGACCAGTGTCATCAACAGACATCACAAACATGATTGTGCCTGACTTCCAAGGCTAGCTCATAAAACATTGAGTCTTCTGCCTTGCTCTCTCTGGGATTCCTCACTCTGGAGGAAGCCAGTTGCCATGCCATAAGGACGCTCAAGCAGCCCGGCAGAGAGGTCTGCATGCCTCCCACACACAAGCAGCACCAACTGCCCAGCTGTATGAGGAACTGCTTGGGAGGTGGAACCTCCAGCCCCATTCATACCTTTAGATGAGACAGCGGCCCCAACCGCTCAGCTAATTGCTTTCAAATTCCTGACCCACAGCAACTGCGAGAGATCAGAAATGCTTATTGTTTATGATTCTAAGTTTTGGAATAGTTTGTTATGCAGACACATTGAAGAATTCTGACTACCCAATTAAGAGAATGAAAAGTGCGTATGGCAACATACATCCATAACTGCACACACTTATGCACAGATATTTGAATCAGATTATACTAAACCGTATATACTATTGAAGGTATACTAGCTGCTGCTGTAATAACCAAATCCTAGCCTCCACAGCTAAACAAAATAAAAGTTTACCTCTTGTGCGTATCTCCATCCATGTGGGCGCTCCTGTTTGGGTGATTCACCTCCCAGCAGGGATTCCTGGACCCACTCACTGGGCAGCTCCACATCTTCAATGGTGACTCTCTTCAATTCAATGGGCAGATGGCAAAAGAGACTGTGGGAGTCACATCCACTTCTTAATCCTCTGGACCAGAAGTGACACTCACCCCATCCACTCATGTTCCATTGGTGAGAACCAGACACTTGGTCCTCCCTAGATCACAGTCCATGGGTGCTGAGGAATGGGGTCCTGGCTGGGAGCCACTCCCAGCAATAAGTCAATGCTGTAGAATCTTTTGTAGTTAGCTACCCATCCCTTCTATGTTCTGATTCATTTGCCTTTTATTAATTAAAAATATATTCTGGATATATTATGGATAGCCTTTAAGATGGTCACCTCCCCCATGATCCCTGCCTCCTAATATGCACTCCGTTGCATAATATCTTCCCCTGGAACACAGACTTGCTTCTAACCCATAGAAAGTGACAAAGATGATGGGATGTACATGATTATGCTCCATAAGATGATCACATCAGTCTTGTTAGGAGACACACTCCCTAGCTAGCTTGGAGGAAGCAAGTGGCCACATAAAGAGGGCCCCTGTGACAAAGAGTTGAGGGCAGCCTCTGGCCAACAGCCAGCAGGAAATAAGGCCCTCAGTCCCACAGCACACAAGGAACTGAATGTTGCTGACAACTATGTGAGTGAGGAAGCAGGTCCTTCCTCATTCGAGCCTCAAATGTGACTGCAGCCCCAGCCCACACCTTGGTTGTGGAGGACCAGCTAAGCTGTACCTGGACTCCTGACCCACAGAAACCGTGAGACAATAAATGCTGGTTGTTTCAAGTTGCTTAGCTTACAGTTATATTGTTAGCCTTTGATTACTAATTTAGGCATCTTCCCATATCTGGGCATACTTACCTACTTCTCTTTAAAGCTACATGTATCCCAGTGTGGCTGGGCCATGCTGTATTTAACTTGGGACATGCAGATGGCCTTCTTTATTTTCTACCATTGTATACAGCATGCAGGCACATTCGTGGATCTTGCACTCCTGTAAATATAGAAATGACTCATAAATGTTCTCAGCTAATGGGACTGCACCTGTAAAATTGTGACACACCTATTGCCAAATTGTCCCCCAAAAGGAATATCATGGCGATAGGTTGAGTTTTAACCAGAAAAAAATGCTGAGCAGAACATTCCAGTTGGAGGAGAGTGACTGGGCCCCGACAGATGCCTGGAAAGACCCAGGGCCCCTCTGGGAGAAGGAACCACTCAGGCTGCCTCAGAGAGAGAGCAAAGAGGAGGGAAAGGGCCTAAATGGTTTCACTCAGGAGCCCTTGAAAACAGGGTGAGAAGTTGGAAAATAAAAGTGGGGGCTGTGACGGACTGGTGAATGATTTCCTCAAAGTTGGAAAATTAAGAGTTGATGCCTTTGCCCCTCACTCTCACCAGGTGCAGATCCCCGTCCCTGGAGCTGGTAATGAGGGTAGAAGCTCTCCACTGGACCTTCTGATTTGTTTTCCTCTTATGCTCTCTCTGGGGGAATCATCTGGGTATAGGAAAATGAAATTATTGGGTCAAAAATCATATAAACTTTGAGTAGCACATCCATACAAATATATTCAAGGAGTTTCGTGGAAGGCTTTGGAATCTCAAAATTCCAGTTTTTCTTCTTGGTTAAATCCTCCCACGAAGTCAGCCAGTCCTGGGTCGTGGACTTTGAAACTCAGGGCAAACCAGCAGCATTGGAAGCAGGCTCTCTGCTCCTGCCCTTGTGCTTCCTACCCCAGCTGGGTGAGGCGCTGCCTGGGGCTCCGGGCCTGGCTGGTCCTCTTCGCCGTGCGCCCCGCTTTGCCCTCCCCACTGCACAGCCGGAGGACCTGCTGTCTTGCCATCTCTTCCATGTCCTCTCCTCTTCCTCATGATTCGTGAAGTCATGAACACTGAGAAATGGAAGAAATGGTTAAATCTTTGGAACCAACTACTTCCGCTTTTGTCTTTGTCTCCTCAGAAATTACAGATAACAATTCATAAGGCAAATGTGTCATTAAAGGAAATGGCCACAGGAACCCAAACCGCTGTGAACTCAAGTCACCAGTCACACTCACACTGTCTGGGGCTTAATGGCCCCACTTTCCACAGGGACGTTCACACCTAAGCTTTGAAGTCACCTCTCCACCTGGACAAATGGGAAGGCGCCTGTTTGTCCACCACCCTGTGCTGTGGAAGGCGTGTTCAGAGCAGGCCTTCTGAAGAGAGTCATTTTTCAAAAACACAAGCGACAGTTTGCGCCTCCAGCAGCGCTCCTCCTCCAGTCTTCACACCTGCATCCCCTATCTTCTCCACTTTCCGGTGTCTCTCATGGCTTTCTCCTTCCATCTGTCCTTAGCCTTCTTGTCAGTCTCCCTACAGCAGCGAAACCCGGGCTCAGAGGGAAGGCACTGAATTTTAGGAGGCTCCGGCGTTTTCCCCCCAAGGCAAAAAGACAGCCTAGCTTCCTGGATGCATCCCAGCCTTTTGCTGATGTTAAGGGGATTGCTTGAGTCTTCAATATCTTAAAACTTCAGTAGCTGGAGTGGAGATTTTGGGGACACGAGTGGAAAAGCCAAACACACAGCAGCAGCGCATGTCACACATGCAGTCAGAGTTGGATGGTCAGACCCTGAATCCCACTCAAATGAGGCTGTCTTTCTCTAGTGACTCCAGGTAACCATGGAGACATCAGCAACCCAATCAGCCTGAGCTCTTCCATTCCCAGAATGAATCTGACCCTGCCAGAGTCTCCATCAGACCAGGCGGAGCTCATCCAGGCTTTCTCTCAGGGGGCTGCAGCCGAGACTGAGGCCGGGCAGGGCCATCTCAGTGACCTCTTCACTCACAGGTCCAGCCCCAGGCGGTGGGGACAGGACAGCTGAGCCAGCTCCCACTCTCTCTCTCCTATATCTCTCTCCCTCTCTCCTACATCTCTCTCCCTCTGTGTGTCTCTCTTTTCTCTTTGTGTGTGTCTGTCTCTGTCTTTCTCTTTTTCTATCTCTTTCTGTCTCTTTCTGCCTCACTCTGTATCTCTCTGTCTCTTACTCTCACTCTTTCCTTTCTCTGTGTCTCTATCTCTGTTTCTCTCTCTCTCCCCTCTCTCTTCTCTCTCTCCAACTCTGTCTCTCCTTTCTCTCTGTGTGTATCTCTGTTTCCCTGTCTCTCTTCTCTCTCCTCCTCTCTGTCTCTCTCTTCTCCCTCTCTCTGTCTCTCTCTCTCTGGGTCTGTCTGTCTCTCTCTCCTCTGTCTGTCTGTCTGTCTCTTTCTCTCTGGTCTTTCCATGTGGTTTCTCCACTTGGAGTCCTCTGAATTCTGACTTTTTATATGGAGGCTCCCAGAGCAAGTGTTCCAAGGGCATTGGACACAGAAGTGTGGCCTCTTTTATCTGAGCCTCAGAACTCACACAAAGGTCCATCTGGGTTCAAGGACAGGAACACAGGCTGCACTTCTTGGCCAGAGGACTATTAAAGAATTTGCAAACATGTTTTAGAAGCACCACGCTGCCCACCCTCCCAGCGAGCCTGAGGAGTAGTGGGGGTCCCCAGAGAGGAGGTATCTTTCTGAGACCCAAGATGTTGACTGTCCAAAAGCCTCCCTACCCTTTGCTCTTGGCTGACACGGGAAGACCCTCAGCCCAGGATGCAGCCCAGAAGGAAAGGGCAGAATAAGCTGCTTCCCCAAATCCTTCCTTCTAGCACACCTCCCTCTGCAACCCACAGAGCCCAATGGGCCGCTTTCAACCTCCTCCTATCTGTCTGTCTGGGACCTATGTGGAGGTGACACCCTCCAGCTGTCCTTCCTGTCTCTGCTGACAGATGAGATCATCAGTGAAAGGAATGAAAACATGGGCTTAGGTTGGTTGAAAAGGAATAAATATGTCTGTGTAAAGTATCACTTAGGCTGATTTTTGTAAAAATATTTCCATAAAAGTGATTTTGGCAACAAATATGAGAACGCCCATCTCAGAGGGGCTTCAATAATTGTGACACTTACGGATGCCACAGAAGTGGCCTGGACATGGAAAGTCAGAGCTGGCGCCATTGCTCAATGATGTCCTCCAAGCCAGGCATGGCCTGCCCTTCAGTTTTCACTCTCAGCACAAGAGCTTTAGGGCCATACACTGCTTACCTCCTGGTTACAAAATAGCTATGAGAGCTCCAGGCATCACGTGAGCATCCCAAACCAGAAGGAAGCCATAGGGAAAAAGACCTGGAGGCTTCAGCTGACTTCTGTTTACCTCTCCACGTGCAGAATAGGGTTCTGTGCCACCCCATAACAATCGGTAGCAAAGGGAAGGGGGTTGCTACAGCTAAATAGCTTAAACCAAAGGGACTGCAGGACGCCTAGTTTCTCTGAGATCAAGGGCTCTTTGCCTGCAACTTTAATGCAAAATTGGATTCTTTTGGCAGGAAAGGAAATGAGGAAATTCCATTAAATAGGAAAAGGACAGTGTCTTCCATGAGTATAATCAGGGGATTCCAGATGTTAGACTGGCTTCCTATTTCAGGCAAGGTCTGTGTTTGGAATTCTAAATAAAGTCAAGTCACAATTATCTCTGGAATTAGACAAAGAAAGAGCATGAATAAATGACCAGTAAAGCTAATTGTACCCCAACATTCCAACCCCTTATCCCATTATTCCATTGGCATCCCCATCTCTTATTATATATTTTTTTGAAATCTAATAACAAAGAAAAATGATCTGATGAATATCTACCCAGGAGCTACTCAACAGAATCCTGCTGAGTCACTGACCACCTCCATGTCCTCACCTGCTATCATGCTAGAGTGAGGATGATCAGGTGGATGGACCCAAGGCCAGCAGCAGGACAAGGAGTGAGCCAGCCAGGGCCTGAGTGATTGACTAGCTACGCTAAGAGCTCCAGCAGTTCAGGGAAGTAGTTCCAGTCACTGCAGGTGGTCAAAAATTTTCCTCACTGAGTCTACGAGTTTCACAGGTCTTGGATTTCTTTTGACATTGGGGAGAATTGCACATCATCCATAGGCTGCAGACTTTCTTCCTTTCCTTGCGTGACCATCCTGTGAAAGCTTGCTGGCCTGCACTTGTGTTTCACAGCACTTCTCAGATGGCCCTGTGGTGAGGTATTTGTGTCCATGCCCTGCTAAACGCTGAGCCCCTGGGAAGGGCCTGCACACATCAGTGTGCTCCACACACTGGACATGAATGGGACACACGTCTACCCCTCTGAAGCTGCTCCGTTAACTGGCTCGAAGCCTGCAGACTTTGTTTCCAAGCCATAGGGTTTTACTCCTGGTGCAGGATGAGTAGTTCTTGCAGGCCTCTGACTCTTCTACAAAGAGGAAGTGCCTAAGCTGGGGCAAAGGCAAACCACTTCCTGCACCTGAAAAGCACTGCCACGAAACAGCACTGAGGTCACCGGAGAAGTCACCAAGTCTAAAACACTCTTTTCTGCTCCCACCCTGTAAACGTCTCCATGATTCCTGCCACTCCCCTCCTCTCTCTCTGACCCCTTCAACCCTACGACTCAACAAAGACTACTGAGTGCCTGCCATGCATAAGACACTGAATTCAGTCTGAGCAGGAGGCAGGCCAGGGTGAGAAACACCCGCCTGTCTCCCGTGGGCCACACCCCCTGCAGACTGAGGCATCACTTTGGGCTCAGTCTCAGCCACTTTTTACTTGAAAATGTTATTTTCCAGATCGTTGTTCCTTTTATCTCCAGTAGTTAGAATCATGGAACATCTTTCAGCCAAAATATTGGACACCTCAGCAACACATCCAGAATTTCTATAAGTTTTTTTTTTTTTTTTTTTGAGATGGAGTCTTGCTCTGTCACCGAGGCTGGAGTGCAACAGCATGATTACAGCTCACCGCAACCTCTGCCTCCCAGGTTCAAGTGATTCTCCTGCACCAGCCTCCCGAGTAGCTGGGATTACAGGCATGCACCACCACACCCAGCTAATTTTGTATTTCAGTAGAGATGGGATTTCACCAGGTTGGTCAGGCTGGCCTCGAGTTCCTGACCTCAGGTGATCCACCTGCCTCGGTCTCCCAAAGTGCTGCGATTACAGGCGTGAGCCATCGCACCCAGCCTATAATTTTCTTTTTTATAATTTCTATTTCTTCATTGATATCCTCCATTCAGTGAAACAGTATTTTATACTTTGCTTTGGTTCTTTAAACATATATATATATATATATATATATAGTTTTTTGGGTTTTTTTTGTTTGTTTTTTGAGATAGGGTCTTGCTCTGTCACCCAGGCTAGAGTGCTGTGGTGCAATCATAGCTCACTGCAGCCTCAAAGTCTTGGGTGCAAGCAATCACAAAATTCAGGGCCTGCCTCAGCCTCCTGAGTAGCTGGGACTACCGCCACACACCATGCCTGGCTCATTTTTAAGTATTTTGTAGAGATGGGGTCTCTTGAACTCCCAGGCTCAAGCAATCCTCCTGACTCAGCCTCCCAAAGTGCTGGGATTACAGTAAACATATTTTAAATAGCTGACCTAAAATCTTTGTCTAGTAAGTTTGGCCAATACCTGGGCTTCCCCAGGAACAGTTTCTACTGTCTGCTTTTTCCCCTGCATCTGACAACAGTCATCCTTTCTTGTTTCTTTGCATATTTTTTTTTTTTTGAGACGGAGTCTCGCCCTGTCACCCAGGCTGGAGTGTAGTGGCCTGATCTCAGCTGACTGCAAGCTCTACCTCCCAGGTTCACGCCATTCTCCTGCCTCAGCCTCCCTAGTAGCTGGGACTACAGGTGCCTGCCACCATGCCTGGCTAATTTTTTGTATTTTTAGTAGAGACGGGGTTTCACCGTGTTAGCCAGGATGGTCTCGATCTCCTGACCTCATGATCTGCCTGCCTCAGCCTCCCAAAGTGCTGAGATTACAGGCGTGAGCCACCGCGCCCAGCCTCTTTGCATATTTCTTAACTTTTTGCTGAAAACTGGCATTTTAAATAATGAAACGTGACAACTTTGGAAATCAGATTCTCCCCACTACCCAGGGTTTGTTGTTGTTGTTGTTGTTATTTGTTCAGAGACCTTTCTGAGTTAGTTGTGTGAAGCCTGCACTCTTTGTCATGTGTGGCCACTGAAGTTTCTCCTCAGTTAGCACAGTAGTCAGCTAGCAATTGGACAGAGATTTCCTTAAATGCCTGTATGATGGTTAATTTTCAGTAACAACTTGACCAGGCTAAGGGATGCCCAAAAAGCTGGTAAAACCTTATTTCTGGGTGTGTCTATGAGAACGTTTCCAGGAGAAATTCGCATTTGAATCAGTAGACTGAGTAAAGAAGTTCAACCTTGCGGTGGTTTAAATGTGTCCCCCCAAAAAGCATATGTTAGACATTTAAGCCCCAGTGCACCCCAGTGTTGACAGGTGGGATTTTTACAGGGTGATTAGGCCATGAGGGCTCTGTTCTCATGGATGGATTAATTTGGTTATCATAGGAGTGGGGTCCTGACAAAAGGATTCTCTCTCTTGCCTGCTCTTGCCATTCTGTGCTCTGGCACGGGATGACACAGCAGGAAAACCCTCACCAGAGGTGGGCCCCTTGATCCTGAACCTCCCAGTCTCCAGAACGGTAGAAAGTAAATGTCTGTTCTTTATTAATTACTCAATTGCAGGTATTCTGTTGTATAGCAACACAAAACAGACTAAGACAAGCCTTCATCAATGTGTGTGGGCACCATCTAATCCACTGACGGTGATTTTTGTCCAGATAGAACAAAAAAGCGAGGAAGGGTAAATTTGCTCCCTCTGCATGAGCTGAGACATCTATTTCTTCCTGCCTGCGAACATCAGCACTCCCAGTTTTTGGAGCTATGGAATTGGAGTGGGACTGACAGCACTGGCTCCCTGGGTTCTCAGGCCTCTGGATTTGGACTGAATGATGCTGTGGAATTACACCACTGGCTGGCTCTCCAGCTTGCAGACAAGTAGATCATGGAACTTTTTAGCTTCCATAATTGGGTGAAACAATCCATCATATATCTATCTATCTATCTATCTATCTATCTATCTATCTATCTATCTATCTATCTATCCTATTGGTTCTATTTCTCTGGAAAATCCTGACTAATGCAGCCTGAAGCCAGTATGTCCCCTGATCTTTGCAACAGGGCTCTGTGTATGTGTGTCTGGCATGCCTTCAACATTCAGTCAGCCAGTTAATTGCCAACTCTGCTTTGGCCTTCACTTCCTGCTGGCACAGGGCCTCAAGGTCAGCCAGAGGTGACAGCTCTGGGCCTTCTTAGGTCTTTCCTGAGCCTGCGCACACCTCTGAGCATGGGCACAGCCTTATGCATGCACTGCAAATCACCCCAAGCTAGTAGCTTAAGACAACACCATTGTATCATATGACATTTCACAATTGTAGGGTCAGGAATGTGAGGAGGACTAAGCTGTGTGAGTTGCTGTATAGGGTGTTTCATGTGGTGATAGTCAGATATCAGTGGGGCTGGAGTCATCAGAAGGCTTGACTGGGCCAGCCATCCGGTGACTCACCCACCTGGATGGACACTGATGCTGGCTGCCAGCTGGTAGCCCGGGGTTGTTGAATGGATCCTCTCCATGTAGCCTTTTGCTGCAGCCTGGGCTTCCCATGGCATGGTGGGCTGAGGAGGCTCAGGCTTCTTATTTGGTGGCTCAGATCTCCAAGAATGAGGGCTTCAGCAAGCCCCGCAGGAGGGAGCTGTCAGCCTTTGATGACCTGGCCTTTGAAGTCACAGGCACCATTTGGTTGTACTCTTTGTTGGTTGGTACTCTTGGTTAAAGCAGTCTGAAAACCTCCTTTTGCTTCTCATGCCACCCTGGGGGCTTTCCTGGGACATGCCCCGGCTGCATGAGGACTGAACCATCAGCTCGTGAGAAGTGAAGATTTTAGTCCAGGAGGGCAGGGCCTTCTAGAGTTTGCTTCTTGACCTGTTGCAGACACACAGTTGAGCCCTCCCAGATCTGGTGAAGGGAACAAAACTCACTCCCTGCCCAAGTTCCTGTTCTGGCCTAGTTTCTCTGCATCCCTGAGGCTACAGTTTCCAAGAAGGCCAATTCTTTCCAAAACCAGACTCAAGGCTGCATTTAACACCAAGGGCTTTCAGTTATTTCTGTGCATCTGACAATCTGGAGACCCCTTCCTTCCCCCTCCCCAGAAAGGAATCGGGTTAAGATTTGCCAAGACTCAACAAAGCACAAAAAGGAAGTGATCTCTCTGTGAAAGGTCTCACTCAGGTGCTGGGCTGTACCATCTCCCAGCTCCAGGCCCACCCTCATGTACAGACAATCAGGGGTGGGAGAGTGGCTGTGCCTCGCACTAAGGACAGATGTGCTAGGGCCTCACCTGTCACCCTCCTGGCAGGGGTCACCAGGCTTTCTTGAAGTCTCCTCAAGCTGAGATTCACACTCATTTTCCAAAGGTCTAGCAGCAGATATGCAAAGATCAACTACGTGCTTGTCAGGAACAGGTAGCATTTTCTGCTGTCAAGGGCAAAAAGATACTATCCCGAGGGCTGGTATCCCAGGAGGCAGAGGATCCAAGATACAGCCATCTCTCCTTCCTCCAAGCCTGTGCTGTGTGTTGCGCCCTTACCCGGATGGCATGGAGGCAGTCTCTGACCTCCCCTACCCTCCCTGCCCCTCTTCACATTTCCTTCCCAGGCACCCGACCACAGGCATGGAGGCTAAAGGCCCTTGATGGACATCAGTGAGCCTTCAGCACCTTGAACACAGTCCGTTATCATAGTGATGCATCTGCAGCCCCTCTGGGGTGTCAAGGGCACTGGGGCCACAGACAGCAGCCCTGCAAGGTGTGTAGGCTGCTGTTCCTGCCCAGGACAAAGAGACAGCCTCCAGGCCCCCAACCTTCTGTTCATGGAGATGATCTACTTTGCTTGTTTTAGATGTTGGGACGCACATGTTTTGTTTGTTAAAAAAAAAAAAAAAAAAAAAAAAGCCTGGCTAAAAAAGGCTTAAAGACACATATGTGGCCCATAAGCGTATGAAAAGATGCTCAATATCACTAATCATTAAGAAAATGCATATCAAAAACCACAATGAGATACCATCTCACACCAGTCACAATGGTTATTATTAAAAAGTCAGAAAATAACAGATACTGGTGAGGTTGTGGAGAAAAGGAAAGGCTTACACACTGCTGTTAGGAATGTAGATTAGTTTGGCCACTGTGGAAAGCAGTCTGGTGCATTCTCAAAGAACCTACAATAGAAGTATCATTTGACCCGGCAATTCCGTTACCCAAAGAACCATAAATGATTCTGCCATGAAGACACATGCACCTGTATGTTCACTGCAGCACTCTTCACAATAACAAAGACATGGAATCGACCCAGATACTCATCAGTGGTGGACTGGATAAAGCAAATGTGGCACATACACATAATGCTACACAGCTATTAAAAAAAAACAACAACAACGAGATCATGGCTTTTGCAGCAACATGGATAGAACTGGAGGCCATCATCCTAAGTGAATTAACACAAGAAGAGAAAATCAAATACCACTTGTTCTCACTTATAAGCAGGGGCAGGTGCATCAGCTCACACCTGTAATACCAGCATTTCCATAGGCCAAGGTGGGCAGATGGCTTGAGCTCAGAAGTTCAAGACCAGCCTGGGCAACATGGAAAAATGCTATCTCTACAAAAATTATGAAAATTAACCAGGCTGGATGGCCTGTTCCTGTAGTTCTAGTAACTTGGGAAGCTGCAGTGGGAGGATGGCTCGAACCTGGGAGGTGGAGGTTACAGTGAGTCGAGATTGTGCCACTGCATTTCAGCCTGGGCAACAGAGCCAGACCCTGTCTAAATAAATAAATAAATAAATAAATAAATAAATAAATGGAAGATAAACGTTGAGTACACATGGACACAAAGAAGGGAACAATAGACACTGGGACCTATTTGAGGGTGGAGGGTGGAAGGAGGTTGAGGGCTGAAAAACTACCTATCCTATACTATGCTTATTACCTGGGTGGCAAAATAATCTATACACCAAACCCTCATGACATGTAATTCACCCATATCGCAAACTCACGCATGTGCCCCCTGAACCTAAAATAAAAATCGGAAAGAAATAAGTTAAATTAAAACTTTTTTTAAAAAAATCAAATTAAAAATTTTAAAAAATAAAAGGAAAATATGTCCCAGATAACAAGCATGCATCCTAGTGGACCCCCAGGGGCACGATTCCTTAACCAAGGCTTGGCCTCACTGACTGGGCTTTCTTTCTTCCAGTGCTTGGGGTTCCTGTGGGGAAGACAGTTGTAGGTGAGGGCCCATGCCCACCCCCGCAGTCAGCTCTGGGCTTACTCCCTGGCCCTTCTCAAGGCGCCTTCTCCACCACAGTCTCTCTCTCCTCTCCTCATCCCACTCTTTCATCCCTGAAAGTGTCAAAGCCTCTTAGGGCATTTGGTCCAGAGAAGCCGAGAGCAGCCCGAGGGCTGGGATGAGGGTGGAGACGAAGAACCAGAGCTGAGTGGTCTTCATCTCTCCTTCCTCCAAGCCTGTGGCAGGTGGCTTGCTGTGTGTTGCGCCCTTACCTGGGTGGCATGGAGGCAGTCTCTGACCTCCCCTACCCCCCCTGCCCCTTTTCAGGTTTCCTTCCCAGGCACCCGACCACAGGCATGGAGGCTAAAGGCCCTTGATGGACATCAGTGAGCCTTCAGCACCTTGAACACAGTCTGTTAGCATGGTGATGCGTCTGCAGCCCCCCTGGGGTGTCAAGGGCACTGGGGCCACAGACAGCAGCCCTGCAAGGTGTGTAGGCTGCTGTTCCTGCCCAGGACAAAGAGTGGGAGCCCCAGGCCAGGCCACCCAGAACCCCATCTCTCCCGCTCCTTCCTCACTGGCTGGTGAGATGCAAGCCACAAGCCGAGAGACTAGATGCTCACCTCCTTCTGTCCAGCCATCCCCCGCCCCTGGTGCTCCTAGAACATCCGTCAGCCCTATTCTGTTCCCAAACATCCTTCTTCTCTCATTTGGCCACCACCTACATCCAAAGACAGTAGTAGTAAGATTCAAGCTCAGATACTTTTAGAAGTACCAGCACTATTGAAGACCTGAGCCCTAAAGAAATTAGAAATTCTCACAGTGGAGTGGCAAGCACCGTGGTGGGGAAGAGGCCTTCCTGGTGCCCCTAAAATTTGCTGCTCCAAAGCCAGTTCTGTCATTGAGACCAATTGCTACTCCATGAGTCCACTGGCGCTGAGCCACTTGGGCAGAAGGTTCCCTGGCAGCCTCCCACCAAGGTTTCTCAGCCCCAGTCAGCGCTGAGGATGAAGAGGAAATGTTTTTCCAGATCAAGGATTTTGTATTATGATATTAGAAAGAGTAAGTCACCAGCCTGGTGCAGTGACTCACACCTATAATCCCATTGCTTTTGGAGGCCAAGGCAGATGGATCGCTTGAACACAGAATTTCAAGATCAGCCTGGGCAACATAGCAAGACGTCATCATTACAAAAAATTAAAAAATCAGCCGGGCATACTGGCTTGTGCCTGTAGTCCAAGCTACTTGGGAGGCTGAGGTAGGAGGATCACTTGAGCCCAGGAGGTGGAGGCTGTAATGAGCTGTGATCACGCCACTGCACTGCAGCCTGGGTGACAGAATGAGACCCTGTCTCTAAAAACAAAAACAAAAAGAAAGAGTTAGTCACAAGCAGCACAAGCAGTGGTCCATTTATAGGGCAGCCATGGCCCTTCATCACGGTCTGTCATTCATCCAGCCTTTTAGGAACAGCAGATGCCTTTGGATATCCGAGGGGGAGGGGCAGGGAGAACCAAGAGACATGATTGTAACGTGGGCTAGCTGCTGTTTCACACAATTTAATGAAAGTGAGAGTCGATAATTGCACAAGGAAAATAAAAGTGTAAAACATATGAATACGTTCACAAAAAAGCATGCTTTTTACAAACCACCAATGAATCTATTTTCTGCTCTGAAAGGCAAAGCAATAAATTACTTCAAGTTGACACTGACAAAGGGGACCAGTACCACATGTGGTAGCATCATGGGGATCCTCTCTGCCTCAGGGCTGAAGTCAGGTTGTGGGGGCGGGCAGCATGAAAACCTGACCCCAATATGTGGGCATCCTGGAGTGGGGCCAGTATGCAACCCCACAACGGAGGCTCACCCTTTATCTCTCCTGGAAAATACATTTCGACTGAGGGATTCTGTCTTTCTCTCTTAACTGGGTTTTTCCAGCACAATCTTTTGCTGCATTCTGTATCTGCTGCAGTGAATAGAGACACCATTGCATCCCTAATAAAAAAAATACCAGTAGGCTTTGTCAAGGCCCACTTTTTCCTGGCTCCACTTCACTCTCCAACCTTGAGCTGCCAATGGTCCCTCGGTCCTAATACCATTAGCACATGGCTACGATGCTGGAGCTTTGCAAACCACTTTACTTAATGAAGAAGGAACCACAGCTTTCTGCTTAGCAGGAGCAGCGTAGCATGGAATGAGTCCACTCTGTCCACGTGAAATGCTTTCAAGAAGAGGACTTTTTCCTTCCGATTCACTTAGAGCCTTTGAAATGAAATATAGGGACTTCAATTTTCCCTCTGAGTTGAAGAGGAATGGGCTGGGCCTGGGGAGCTTCTTTATTAAATATTGTTATATTATGGAGCAAGAATATTGTGAGGGTTTCCCACTTGTGCCTTACCATTGCTTTTGTGTTACCCACTGCTGGCACCAGAGAAAATAGCCATTTTTCTGAACTTGACATTATATAAGAAGATTTCAAATATCGTATTCCACACCAAAACCCTGTCCATATTAAGTCTGGCTGAAGCACATTCGTCTCTCTTTTGGCTGATACGATTTCCTGCAGGTTCACCTAGTGTGATGGTTTGAACAGATTGTGGCAACAGATGGAAAAAATAACCATCTGATTTTGACATAATGCTAAGAAATAGATTTGATGAGCAATAATTAGAAGAAGCCATACACAGTCAGAGAAGACAATGTCAAAACAGTGAGATTTACTATAGGTCAGAAGAGGCTTAAACACAGAATGGGAAGAAAAAAGAAACTCCTATAAGAGAGTGTGGAAAATGAATTCTGAAATAGAGAAAACACCTATTTCCAAGGCTGTGCTGTCTTTCTAGGAGATTGTGTGCTAATTTGTAACCCTCGGGCTCCCAAGAAATCCTTGAGCTAGGCATATTAACCATGTTCATAAAGTCTGTAAAACGAGATAGGGAAATGCCCCAAGGTGCATACATGTGTGATTACAATGATGACAGCAACACAAGAGTCTAAGAAACACTCACCTCTGTGCGGTAGCCTGTCAGGGCGAGTGGAGGCTGAGCTGGCGGGGGCTGCAGGAGGCTGCTCGGCACTGGTCATCTCTGTCCTTCAGACGGGTGTTTGCTGTATTCATTTTCAGTTCTTTTCAACACACCATGAAAAAGTTTCAATATTGAAACACGGTGTTGAACCCAGTGTAGGGCCCACAGTAAGCACTTAGTCGGAACACTGTGTCTTTAGACATCATTAGGTGTCTGCAGTGAGATGATTGTCCTGGTAACCTGTAAATGAATGGATGTTTGAAGCCTCCTAAACTCTTCCAGACTTTTAAGAAGACCTTGTTTCAGTGCCCGTGGCTCCAGGATCTGGACTGAGCCTGGACGGAGCCAAGCTGGGAGGAGGAAGGAGCTGAGATGCACCCAAAGGCACAGAGGGAGAATGTCTCCAGGTACAGGAGTCTCTTGATTTATATGAGCTTGGAGCCCAAGACTCCTATTTTTAAAGTATGATGGAGGGTGATAACTATTATAAGTAAACAAATAGATCTCCATTTTCACCTGGCAGGCAAAAGCTTCCAGTCATTAAACAGTATTAGGTATATTGAATTTAATTATAAACACAAGGATGCCATCTATATTATGTCTAAAGAAGAATACACAGAAACCATGAACATAAATACAAGAACCCCTATTTTAAAAACTTTTAAACTTCCTAAGTGGTCCAGTTGCTCTAGTGGGCGTGTGGGGGCTAGCGTGAGCTCCATCAGGGATGCAGAACCACAAGGTGTGATGCCTACCGCAGTTCCAAGCCTGTGGAAGGCTACTGTCTCAGAAGCCTGGGGCAGCGTCAGGAAGGGGACATGGGTATAAAGAGGGTGAGGACAAGTCACATCCCCAAGGTGGGCTGGTTTGCAGCGTGTGCTCCTTAGCTCTGAGCCGCCAACCTCGATGATGATCCATGTGTCCTGCGGGAGAAGGGGACACCCTTATCTCAGAATGAATTATGCACCCGGCCCAGGGGAAGGAGAAGCTTGGGGTGGAGGGATCTGGCTATTTCTGGAGCAGCCACAGGCCCAGCCACTGCCCACCCCAGCCTGTGCACCAGCAGACCAGCCAAGACATGTGAGCTGCAGTAGCATCTAGTGGACCTGGCCCCGCCTTCCAAGCATAAAAGAAACATTTCTGTGCTTCCCTTCTGCCTTACAAATAGCATGGTCCACGCTAACTCTGAACAATGTGGGGAAGCTTCACTAAGGTGACTCCATAGCAGTCCACCAAATTGCTCCATTCCACAGTTTGCTGGTGCCCAGCCCAACAGCCATCTCCCCCTCACCTCCATACCTTCACCCAACCCGCAGCCTTCAACCTGCACCACACTCCCGCATACACCTAGGTCCAGGAGCCGTTTCCTATGGCGAGCAGACCTACAAGCCCAAAGGCTGAGGGAGGCTGTCTTGGACCATTCCTGACACCAAAATAAACACAGGAGACTGGGGAATGTATAAAGAATAGAAATTTATTTCTCAAAGTTCTGGAGGCTGGGAAGTCCCAGATCAAGGTGCTGGCAGGCTGGGCATCTGTGAAGGTTGTTCTCTGCTTTCTAGAGGGCACCTCATTGCTGCATCCTCACAAAGGCAAAAGGGAGGAACGCTTGTCCTCACATGGCAGAGAGATGGAAGAGGGCGAACCCACTCCCTCAAGCCCTTTTAGAAGGGCCCTGGTCCCATCCAAGCGGGCTCAGCCTTCACAACTTCATCACCTCTCAAAGGATCCACTTCTTAATACCACAACATTGGCAGTAAAGTTTCAACATATGAATTTGGGGGGATATTTTCAGACCATAGCATAGGCCAACCCAGCCACCCAAATCAGCCAACCCAGGTCTTTATTTTTAAACATCAACAGATAACCAAGAATTACTGGACACTTGGGAAAACTCATAAGGAGAGAGAGGAACTTGCCAAAGAGGCAGAATATCCGACCAGGAAGAAACTCTTGATAACTGCAGGAACAGAAGAGCAATTCACGTAATTCCAACTAGTTTCCTCAGACATCAGGGAAAGAGTTGAAACCATAAAGAGAACCAATGCCATTTAAAGTATTAAGTCTTAAAGGAGAAGTGTCCTGATGTCTGATGTCTGCAGTCGGACTGTATTTTTTAAAATGAGATGGATTAATAGCTGGGTGCATAGATCACCAGGTGCACAGATGTGGGATAAAGCAAGTGTAGCCACCTGCTAATTGGGGAATTAGTGGTGGGTATCCAGGCATTCACCAACCAATTGTTGCACCATTTCTGTTTGGAAATTTCCCTAGTAAAATGTTTGTGGAGGGGAATGAGCACTCTGGAGAATGGGAGAAGAGATGACAGTAGTTGAAAGATGTCAACACAATTTTGGAAGTTAAAAAGCAGATGGATATGTGGTTCTGACTTAGCAGACCAGAGAGAGCTAAGTGCCTGGAGGGCAAGGGCCGAGAATCCAGATAGTCTTGTGCAGGACTCAGAGAAGCCTCGAAATTGGAGGTCTCTGAAGGTGGAGATGAGGTGGAGACCAAAAGTGAGAAAACTGGGTGAAAAGCTAAGCATCAAAGAGACTTCCTCGTCCATTTCCTATTGTGTGCAGCCAGGTACAAGCTGTTACTTTCTGTCTTCAGAGATGCCAGGGACAGGGGAGGGCAGAGGCCTGGCAGTGAAAATGTATCACGGTAGACAAGGAAACCCTCCAGCCCCGTGCCCATCTCAGCCTGAGAACACGGCAGCCAGGCAGATCCCCACCCGTCTCTCACCCCTCTCCAGACAGGAGAATGGAGGATTCTTTCCCAGGGAAATGTACAGCCAAGGAGAAAAGATTTATTGATATAGAAAGTCAGGTGCCAAAGAAGTATCTGGTCCCTGCCCAAACACTCTGCAGTGAAGTTCTCAATGAGCGATCAGTAATCAGCAGCTCCTACTTGCTTTTGAGTGTGTAGCCAGGATCACCATGGGGGAAGCCTCACCACCAGAAGACAGAAATGAACACATTGACCCACCCAGGAGAAGGAACTCAAAGGAAGCAGAGGAAATGGAAGAGAATTCAAAATTCCCCCCCAAATTAAAATTAAGATCGTCAGTGAAAACAGATAATATTGTTTCCATTAAATAAAAACAACATACTACCAAAAAGTAACCTTTTTAAAATAAAAAAGAGCTCTTGGAAATTAAAATTTAGATTGCAGAATTAAGAACGGTAATAGAATTAGAAGAGAAAGTGATGGGATTCTAAAAGTAGAAGAAAAACACCAAAATGGCCAGGTGCTGTGGCTCATGCCTGTAATCCCAACACTTTGGGAAGCTAAGACAAGAGGATGGATTGAATCCAGGAGTTCGATACCAGCCTGGGCAACATAGCAAGACCCCATCTCTACAAAAATTTAAAAACTAGCCGGGCAAGGTGACGCATGTCTGTAGTCCCAGCTACTTGGGAGGTTGAGGCGGGAGGATTGCTTGAGCCTGAGAGTTCGAGGGTGCTGTGAGCCGTGATTGCACCACTACACTCCAGCCTGGGCAACAGAGTGGGACCCTGCCTAAAACAAAACAAAAGATGGATAGCGGCTAAGAAAAAAGTTAAGGAAATTAAAGCATCAGTTCACGAAGACCAACATCTGAATGTCAGGAGCTACAGAAAGAAAAAAAAATCAGAGAAAAGAAAATTATTAAAGTAGTCCATGAAGTTTTCTTAGAGAAAGGAAACAATGATGAAAAAATAAATTAGCTGGGAGTGGTGGCGGGCGCCTGTAGTCCCAACTACTCAGGAGGCTGAGGCGGGAGAATGGCGTGAACCCAGGAGGCGGAGCTTGCAGTGAGCTGAGATCACGCCACTGCACTCCAGTCTGGGTAACAGAGCGAGACTCCATCTCAAAAAAAAAAAAAGAAAGAAAAAGAAAAAACACCCACATCAAGGTATATCACAAAAGTTTAGAACACCAGAGACGAAGAAAAGGTTCCAAAAGTTCCAGAGAGAAAAACAGGTCACTAGCCAAGCTCTGAGAATCAGAATGGTCATGAGCCTCTCAACAGTAACACTGTCAGACAGGGAAGCCATGCCTTGCACACAACCAACCTGGAGTCCTACTTGGACCATGCACCTTGTTGGGGGCCAATGAGGGATGTGCTCCATCAAAATGATGGTGTCAACTAGTAAGGGCAAGATATAGATCTAGAGAATGGGGCATCTAAGCAGAAGAGGAAGTTGGGACATGGACAGGAGGATAACAGGCCTCAGGGTCCTGCCTCCGTGTCTGAATGGAGCAGGAAGGCAGTCAGCACTGAGAAGCACAACTTTAAGAAGAAATGGGGTTCCAAGCCATGAACGGCATCCAACTAACAGGACAGAAAACCTCAGTGTTATAATGGAGGTGTGTGCTAAGGAAAATGCATCAGAAGTCTCAGAAAAACAAACATGAAAATAGCAAAGCTGTAGCCCAATGACAAAGCAAATTAAGCGGTGGCATGATTTTGGGGAACTGATAAAAGATAAGAGCAGAGTTTGCTTATCCTTGGCACAGGGAGCGTTCTCCTTAAAGGGCACTGAGTCGGTGACTCAGAATGCCACGTCCTTCCCTAGGACCTGGTTCAGTCACATCTTTCATTCTGCAGGGAATGTTAGTCGTGAAATTATAGACATGTAAATATTCTTTGGGGTTGTTCTGTATTTAAAATCAACCTATATAGAGGACAATATAGAAAATTCAAAGTGTAAAAAAAGAATGCCATGACAGGGGGATGAAGGAAAAAGGGAGGTGGACTAGCAGCAGGAAGGACAGGATGCACAAGGATGGGTTTCTCCTCTCACTTAGGGGGTGTGAGGGTAACTCCATGTGTCCACTTGACTGGGCCTTGGGGTGCCCAGGTTGAACATTCTCTCAGGTGTGTCTGTGAGGGTGCTTCTGGAGGAGATTGGCATCATGAATTGGTGGACTCAGTAATGCAGTTCCCCTCCCCAGTGTGCCTGGGCTTCCTCAAACCCATCAAGGGCCTGAATAGACCAAACCGAGGAAGAAGGGAGGATGTGCCCCCTTCCTGCCTGCCTACTTGTGTTGGGGCATTGGCTTTGTCTTACCCTTGGACTGGGACTTACCCCATTGTGTCCCCTGGTTCTCAAGCATTCAGACTCGAATGCATTACACCACTTGCTTTTCTGGGTCTCCAGCTTGCAGAAAGCAGGCTGTGGGACTTCTCTGCCTCCATAATTACTGAAGCCAATCCCTTATAATAAATCTCTCTATAGGAAGGTAGGTAGGTAGATTGATATAGAGACGTATCACCTATTGATTCTGTTCTCTGGAGATCACTAATACAGCAGGGAGTCAAATGAAGCTGCCTAAAATTGCCTACAGTAAGTGGGAAAAATAAACCGTCAAGCTTAGTGTTTGATGATATATAGGAGACAAATAGGAAACCTAGTAATACTACAATTGACCCTTGAACAACAAGAGTTTGAACTGCATGGGCCCATCTATACACAGAATTTTTTCAACCAAACACAGATGGAAAATACAGTATTCACTGAATGCAAAACCTTAATGTAGACGGGGTGGACTTTTCCTACATGTGGGTTCTGTGGGTCGACTTCCAGACTTGAGTATGCGTGGATTTTGGCATACCCAGGAGTCCAGAAACCAATCCCCCATGTATAGCAAGGGATGACTATATTAGTATTTTCAATAATTTAGAAGGTGTAAACCAAAAATAAAGTTTGAAGGACCCCTCCCCCTGCAACCACCTGAATGAACTTCCTCCTCTGCCAGGGCACTCTAAAATCTAACCCGAAAGACTGGTTCAGGCTGGGACAGGAAACGGGGGTTGGACATGCCTCATTATACCCCTCCAGCATCAACATCAACACAGACCGTAAGTCTGTTAAGAAACATTCACTATCTATTTTTTCTGAAGCCTGCTACCTGGAGGCTCCATCTGCATAATAAGAACCCTGGTCTCTACAACCCCTTAACCCACACAGTCCGTTCTACTGATAATAACTTTGTCATCCAATTGCCAATCGGAATATGTTTAAATCTACCCATGACCTGGAAGCCCCCACTCCCACTTCAAGTTGCCCCGCCCTTCCAGATGGAACCAATGTACAGCTTATATGTATTGATTGACATATTATGTCTTCCTAAAATGTATAAAAGCAAGCTGTAGCTTAACCACCTGTTGTCATGACCTCCTAAGGCTGTGTCACATGGGCATGTCCTTAACCTTGGCAAAATAAACTTCCTTTTTTTTTTGTTTGAGATAGAGTCTCACTCTGTCACTAGGCTAGAGTGCAGTGGCACCATCTCGGCTCACTGCAACCTCTGCCTCCCGGGTTCAAGCGATTCTCCTGCCTCAGCCTCCCGAGTAGCTGGGACTACAGGCACACGCCACCATGCCCAGATAATTTTTGTAGTTTTATTAGAGACAGGGTTTTACCATGTTGGCCAGGCTGGTCTCAAACTGCTGACCTCAGGTGATCCTGGCCTCCCAAAGTGCTGGGACTACAGGCGTGATCCACTATACCCCGCCTGGCAAAATAAACTTTCTAAATTGACTGAGACCTGTCTCAGATATTTTGGGTTCACAAAGGGACCAGGAGATGTGGGGCCAAGTGGATGCCAAATCTTCATCTCTCATCCCAAGAAGTTGTTAGCTACTATCTAATGCTGATAAACCAGGAAACAGAGTACCTTATTTTAGAGTTACAGAGGTAATTACCAGAATCAAAAAATGCTTTCTCTTGAGATTAGGATAGGAGATAGGGTGGGAAATAAATGTTTAATATACTTATGGACTGTTGGGTTTGTCTTTACTTTGTGCATTTGTTACGTTGATGCTAGTTTTAAATTATCTTTAAATGAATGAAGTAGAGCTGTATGGATGTATACTGAAGGATGTTCCTGAGATTGCAAAACGAAATTTAAATCTTGCACACTTTTAAAATAAATAACAGAGATAGAAAGAGAGAGAGACTGAGTGATTGCTACCAGGCCTTTTAAGAGAGTACATACATATTTATGTATTTGAGGGGCACAAGGCCTGGAATAAAGCATATCCAACACTAGGACTGATTGTCCCAGAAGTGGGGGAGGAAGAAGAGTTGTCATCTTTTCTTTTGTTTACTTCTGTTTTATGTGGCTACTTTTGATATGCAACATAAATTGATAAATGTCTACACTTATCAATTTTCTGTTGAAACTAAGGTTTTCACTGATATCTAATATTTTTCCAATATCTTATTTTTACTCTTGTATTTTGCCTCAATCACAGGAAATTCTACCTTTATTCTGGTTACAGCTCAATCTTCGCATACTCTCTTCCCAAATGATTCTGGTTCTGTTGAATAAAGTAACAGTCGAGTGCTTCCCAGGCAGGCATGAAATGCTGGCCTTGAAGAGGGCTGTCTGGCTCTGGAGGCGTGGTCAGGAAAGCAGCAGGTCTGGGCGTCTGATTATGCTTGGACAATGGCCTGATTTGAACATACTTTTAATTTCTGCTGGCAAGTCCAGAGTACTTAGAGCAGAATCTTTCCATTTGGCTACTCCATACAATGGCTTTTCCAAACTGAATGCTAACCAGGTGGGGCTATTGTTGTTTGCGGGCAGGCGGTGCCTTCATTCAAAGCCTACAATTTCCTCCTCTGTGCCAGGGAAATACACAGCATGAGAACAGTCTGTGTCTGGTCAGTGCCTCCAATCCAATGTGATGAAGGGTCCCGAGTAAAGGAGAAGGCAGATGCAGAGACTCGTGGAACAGAGAGTAGGCAAAACTCAGTGCCATGAGGAGATGGCTGTCAGCCACCTGACAGTCATAGACAGAGAAAGGAGAAAACCATGGGGTCATAAGAATAGCAATAAGGCTCTCAATGTTTCTCTTTGAAAAATCCAATCCTTTGTACTCTCCAAATTCCCGAATAATCAAAAGGGAATCAGAACAATTGAGTTCTCCCATGCTCAGGTTCACGGCACCTTTCCTAGCAACAAATAACTGGGTGGGAGGCAGGCGTGAGGTGCCCTTTCCCTTTTGAGGGGCTGGCCTGCACTTCCCTGGGCAGGGGCTACTCCTGCACCTGCTCAGCATCACTGCCTGGTCTGCGCACAGCACTGGTGGTGGCCTCTTACTGCCTGTTGGAAGTTGTAACACACATTAAAATGTGTGTAGAGACTCTATTAGAAAGTCCAAACACGAGGTCAAAATTGTGCCCAGAAAGAGCACATCCAGTGAAGAATAAACTTCACTGACCTGCCCTGTTTCCTCCTCCATAACATGAGGACAGCATGGCCTGTCCTGCATATTTCTATGAGAAACTCAAGCTCTGGTGTTGTCAAGGACAGAACTCAGCCTGCAGGCAGCATCTGCCCCTCAGGAATGCTCCACCAGGACTTTTGCTATGTTTGATATTCAGTGTAGAGAGCAGGGTGGGGGATGGCTCTCCCAAGCCAGAGCAGGGGCCCTACTGAAAGTTGAACACACCATCATTTTTAGTTACAGACACTTCTCTTTACTTCTTTGCATTTTAAAATTTTCTATTGAGGATAAATTCTAAACATTAAAGTGCAGAGCTCAGTGAATTTTTTTTTTTTTTTTTTTTTTTTTTTTGAGACGGAGTCTCGCTCTGTCGCCCAGGCTAGAGTGCAGTGGCGGGATCTCGGCTCACTGCAAGCTCCGCCTCCCAGGTTCACGCCATTCTCCTGCCTCAGCCTCCCAAGTAGCTGGGACTACAGGCGCCCGCCACTACGCCCGGCTAATTTTTTGTATTTTTAGTAGAGACGGGGTTTCACCGTTTTAGCCAGGATGGTCTCGATCTCCTGACCTCGTGATCCGCCCGCCTCGGCCTCCCAAAGTGCTGGGATTACAGGCGTGAGCCACCGCGCCCGGCCAGTGAATTTTGACATATGTATACACTCAGGTAACCACCACCCAGGTCCAGATACTCAACACTTTCAGCCTCCCACTGTGCCTTCTCTAATTCAGAACCTACCTAAGAGTAACTGCTATTCTGACATTGATCCCTTTGTTATGTTTGCTGTTGTAGAACTTCTTATGGACAGAATTATACGGTAGCGGCTCTTTTGTGTATGTCTGACTTCTTTCAGAATTATGTCTAAGAGACTCACCTTTTTGCTACGTGGAGTTCTTTCCCTTTTTCATTACTTTGTAGTATTCCATAGGGTGACTTTACCACCAGTTATTTGTCTTTCTACTACTGATAGACACTCGGGTTGTTTCTAGTTTGGAGTCACAACAAATGAAGTTATCATGAGCATTCTTATATATGTGTTTTGGTAAACATATGCACTTATTTTTGTGCATTCTATCCAGAAGAGGAATTGCTGGGTTATAGAGCATTTGAGTATTTAGCTTCAGTAGTATTGCTCTGTATGTTCCAAAGTGGCCATACTATTTTACACTCCCAGCGAAGATGTATGAGAATTCTAGCTGCTCCACATCCTTGCCAACACTTGCTATTTTCAATTTTAGACATTCTAGTAGGTGAGCAATTTTCCACTTAAATGTATAGTAGCACTAATGACACTACAGTGAGCATGGCACTCACCTAGTTGTCCATGAATATCTGTTTTTCCTTTCCTTAATATATTAATTACAGACTTTTAGCTGGTTACATAGTCACTCAACTAGCAGCTACATTTCCAACTCCCCCTTGCAGCTACATGTGGGCCCAGGACTAAGTTCTGGTCAATGGTATGTGACAGAAGTGATGTGTGCTACTTCCTGGTATTGCACTGAAATCTATTGATCACACTCGTCCTGGCCTATGAAATCTATTGATCATACTCTTCCTCTTTCCAGCTAGATGGACGGTAACATCCAAATGGGAGACAGCAAAGCTCCCCACCAGTCCTGGTCCACATGTCTACCTCTGATAATGTTATATAAGAAATGAATAAACTTCTGTCTCAGTCAAACCACTGGATTTTTATCATAGCAGGGAATCGTGCATCCAAATAAACACTCTGTGATTGCTCATTTGCCCTCTGACTTGAACACACCTGGGCACATGTTGTTTCTATTTGCTTAGCACTCATCTGTGCATTAGGGAACTGCTCTCCCACAGCCCTGCAGTTCTGTGAGATTGTGAACTGTACCTGCTGCAAGCATATGCATGTGGCCCAGGTCTGACCGGTTGTGGTTTCTCATCCTTCTCTGGAATTTTGGGTAAATGGGATTGGCATGAGAGCCAACAGAGCCAATCAAAGTTCTTCCATGAGATTTGCAATATAAAGAGAAAGAGTCTTTGTCATCATTTTAGAGTTTGGTGGCCAGGAGCCTTGTGACAGGAGAGGATAAAACCAACACCCAAACAGAGCTAGGGCCAATCAGAGAGAAAGAGGGAAAGAGTCAGAGAGCCGAGAGAAGAGGGATATTTAATAATGGCATCCAAGTCCCTGGATCTAACTGTACCTGGAGCACCTTTAGACGCAAGTGAGCCAATAGTATGAGCTGAATTTCTGTCATTTACCACCAAGAGTCCTGTCTCCTTCATTAATGCTATAAACATGTTTGATGGCAACTTTATAAAGCACTATGCAAGATGCTGGAGATACAAGGTCCCTTTCCTTTAAAATAGTAATTCTTAGTCTGATCAACTTTGAAGGGTCCATCCAGATGGAAGGATGATAAGAAAAGAATTACATTTTTTTCCCCACTAACCTCTAACTGAAAGGAAGCATTTCCTTCGGGTGTACATGCAGGCAACAAACACAGCCACATCAGCAGTATGTAAGGACTTCTCAGCAGAAATCACAGCGATTCTCACATCACATCATGCTCGTTACAGACTTTAAAATATCGGCTGACTTATCATGACTTGGAAACTACAGCTATCAGATCTGCCGCCAGAGCATATTATTAAAAAAGAAGCAAGTAGATCACATTTTAAAGTATTTTGGTAGCTGGATTTCAGTATAATTCATTTCCTTTTGAATCCTGTATTTGACTTTATGCATTTAAACACATTACTCTGAAAAGAGTTCTGTAGACCTCACCACTCTGTGAAGTTCAAAATGTAGACCAGAGAAGAAAGAAAACTATCAACAAACAATTATAATGGAAGCTGGTGCAGGCACCAAGGAAGTGACGTGTAAGGTGACATTCGAGCTGAGGAGCAGGGTGGGGGATATTAGCTCTGCCCAGGGTGCATGGGTTTGTGTTGGAGGAAATGATGCCAGGGCAGAGCCTTGACACATAAGTGGGTGTCTGCCAGCCAGCCAGGGATGCGAAGAGGTCCATGGTCTGGCAGTTGGTGACAGCAGTCACCTTAAAGGTCAGAAAGGCATTGCTGGGGCAAGTTCACTTGCTGGGGCAAGTCTAATCCAGCAGACACCAGCACTGATTAGATCAATGGTCAGATGGGGCCACATCAGCATCCTGTACACTCCCCAGTATGACGAAGGATGGCTTGGTAAACCATTCTGCATGTTCAGTGATGTGGGAAGTGCTGCCATGAGTGTGTGCACCAAAAATGGATTACACCCCTTCACCAGATTTATCTAGCACTTAGTGGTTTGACAGTTGAACGCTGTGCAGGAGCACAGAGCAATGATAACATCTCAGCACGGCCTTCATTTCTATGCTTCTGCTGGTGTGACCCCACGTTTCCAAGTGTGGCTTTAACAAAAAGAGCTCTGTGGGTCCTGTGGGGGTCTCAGTGGCAGTAAGGACATATGAGGGTGCTAGAGGTGCCTGGGGATCTCAGAGCCTTCAAAATCCCTTTCGGCTTCCTTCATTGACATGTTCTAACAATCAGGGTGCCTGACAGAGACCGGTGTGGACTCTCTATTTTGGAGAGGCTGGCCAGGAAGGCCACACTCTTACCAGCCTTTTCTGGGGTGCGGGGAGGAACAGAGCTAGGAGTAGGAGTCACAGCATGGTCTTGGCAGCCACTGCATGGTAACAGTGGAGGTGTGGCTCACCCACGTCTCTGCAGAGTGTGGTCACATTCAAAGGACATCTCCCCGGACTTTTCTAGAAGCTGCTGGCAGGTCCCAGAGCCAACCTTCCCACAGTCCCTCAGAGGACCCCGTTTCTCCACTTGCTGTGCTGACTCTCTCTCTAAGCTTAGCCTGGACACTCTGCATGCCACTACAGGTGAGAGGCGGCAGGCCGACTCTTTCTGAAGACACCTCCTCCACTGCGTAAGGCTCCACACTGGGCGATCTGGAAACGGCTCCCAGCCCACTACGTGCCTGTTCCCTCCTGCACTGCAAAGTGGAAGCAGAGGATCCTCTCTCCTCATATCCACCTGGGCCGTGTTGGAAGCTGAGTATTATTTGTGCTGCCATACTTGAGTTTTTTTCTCATATGGGACTTAACTATTATCAATCCAGTTACTATGCTCATATGCATATAGATGGTGTCAACATTCTGGCTGGGAAATGCAGAGAAACTTTGCAAAGCATGGTCTCAGTATCCAAACACTTGGCATTTCTGGGGAAACTAGGAAATAGATTGGTTAATATGATCTTTGATATGCTTGAACTTAATATTGGAGGGGAAAGTAAGGGGGTGAGAGGTAAGGCAAGATTGGAGTTCATTTAGCTACTTTTATTTTTATTTTTTGAGACTGAGTTTTGCTCTGTCGCCCAAGCTGGAGTGCAGTGGTATATGATCTTGGCTCACTGCAACCTCCGCCTCCCGGGTTCAAGTGATTCTCCTGCCTCAGCCTCCTGAGTAGCTGGGATTACAGGTTTGTGCCACCATGCCCACCTAATTTTTGTATTTTTAGTAGAGACGGGGTTTCACCATGTTGGCAAGGCTGGTCTCGAACTCCTGACCTCAGGTGATCCGCCTGCCTCAGCCTCCCAAAGTGTTGGGATTACAGGCGTGAGCCACTGCACCCAGCCTGCTACTTTTATATCTATGTTTGAAATGTCCCACGACAGAGTGTGAAACAAGAATAAAAAGGCAAGCTTGGTCACTTTGGGAGACATAGGCAATCATGCTGAGAGAAGGGAACAGGGAAGAAGGTCAGAGAGGAGGGAAGAGGAAGACCTAATAATGGCATCCAAGTCCCGGTTCTAATGGTACTTGGGGCATCTTTGGATGCAAGTGAGCCAATAGTATGGGCTGAAGTTCTATCACTTACAACTAAGAGTCCTGTCTCCTTCATGAATGCAATAAACATGTTTGGGGGCAATTTTATATAAGCACGGTGCAAAGAAGCCCTTGTGTTCGCAGCCTGGGCATTGCGGAAAGCTTTTTGGAGTTTTTACTGAATTCTCTCATGTTCTTCTGTATGCATTAGGAAACAGGCTAGAGAGGACAGTATTCTGGAAGGTCATGATGCCAGAAGTGTGGGCCCCAGGACAGCCATGCAAAGTCTCTTCTTTGCCCTGGGCTGCCCTCTATTAGATTCTGAGCATGTGGGTCTAAAAGCCAGGAGAGAATTCAGCAGTTGTTGAGAAGCATACCCCTCTGCTGCTGGTCCCCTCCCTGCAGTGTGTTCCCAAGGTGGCCCCAGGCCTGTCTAGACGCTGGCTGTGAAGGGCACGCTCCTGTAGGGGCAGCCGGCTCTTCCACAGTGAGGTCTGTCAGAAAGCGCCCACGATAGGCAGGAATCCACTTTCTCATCTAATTTCCACCCATCTGTCCTCATTCTGCCCTTCATAACACCACAGAGTAATCCTTCTTCCCGGGACAGTTTTGCACATATTGGGGTTCTTCTGTCTTGTGCTCCACACATTGATTTTCTAGGCTGAAGACTCCCGGTGGGTCAACTCCCCTCCCACGGGATACTGCTGGCTGCCTTAGACACCAAGCAAGGGCATGGTATTCTAGATGTGTCTGACTAGTGAGGAATAAAAGAGAGTCCCCCCACCCCACCCCAATCAGTGCAATGCTTGCATGTGTAGATCCTAAGCGTGCATCCCTCCTTGGGTATAGAATGCTGTTAAACCAGTTCTGTCCTAATCCGTTCCCATTATGTTTCAATCCAAATGGGATGTGGAACATGGATTCATGGACCCCTACAATTGGAAAAGAGCTTGGAAAAGACTTCTCTAGTTTTTCCTGTAATAGTCACCAGCACTGAACCCGAGCACACGGTGCAGTGGGCTTTACCTGCCATTCTCTCTCCGTGCTCCCCAAACCCTCCAGGACGACCACACTGTCCTCATGTTGCAGGGTACAGAGGTTTGCTGAGGCCTGAGGTTATTTGGAAACTGCAGAGCTGTGAGTCAAGGGAGTCTATCAGATTCCAGGTCTGGATTCTTCAGCAAGAGGGTGGTGGCTGCCATGCCGTAGAGGGAGGAGGGGGTGCGTGCTCCACCCCACCCTGCTTGACACCAGCTTTGCCATCTTAGCCTTTGCTGGGCCGAAGCCCTATTCTCAGAGCTCCGGCACTGAACCACAGAAACCACAGGAGGCCCTAGAACGGAACTCTGAGACTGTTGGGCCTTTAACTCTGTGACTGTTGGGCCTGGGACTGGCTTCATTTGTAAACTCTGGCTCTCAGAGCCAGTGCTCAGCAGGAAAACAGCCTCAGGGCCCCTGCCCCTCAACAGCAGTCTGTAGTCCAGGGAGGTATCACCTGGCCTGGAGAGGGGCTCCCCAACTCCTCACATTTAGGGGAAATCTTAGCTGGTTCCGTAAGAAACTGTGTCCCCTTCTCAGGACTGTGTTCCTCAATAGGCCTCCCAGCCTGGCCAGTCACTGTGCGAGCCCTGTCACCTCTCCTGGGGGCAGAGGGAAGAGGTCTGGATGGAGCAGCACCATCTCTGAGGGCCCCCAGATCCCCAAACCCATGGGCTAGTCACAAACAAGTCTCACCAGCAGCCTCACAGGAGGACCATTTGCCATACAGAGTGGAAAATGATGAACGTTTGGCAAAAGGCTAGCACGGGGGTTCAGGGAAACCAAGACTCCAGGTGGTGCCAGCCCCTCCCCTGGGGAATGGGAGCAGCCTGGTGTGAAATATTCTTGCCCAAAGTCAGCAGCCAAGTGTTCTGGGTGCCACGTGCCTCACGCACACTGCAGGTCAGGTTCTCAGAAGAGCTGGCCCAGGGTCTGGGGGTGAAAAAAAACTGGGGGATTTGGGGGAGGCCTGGAAAGGGTGGGGTTCATCCAGGACCCCAGAAGGGGCAAGCTTGTCTATTGAGAGCTGGTGAGGAAGAGGGTGACAGGGCACCTCTTGGTCCTGGGAACGGGTGCTTGACTCAGCAGAGACCAACCCAGGGCTGAGGGACAACCCTCTGGGCCTGGCGGGGAGGCAAGAGAGATGGGAGGTGAGGAGGAAGGAGTGGGGAGCAAAAGTGGGGAGAAGGGGAGAGAGGTGGAAGAGTGTTGCGAAGGTGAAGAAAGAGGAGGAAAAAGAGAAGGGAGGAAAAGAAAGGTTGGGGGAGGGAAAGGAGGGAGGTGAGCAGGGGCGAGGAGGAGGGAGGAGGAAGGAGGAAGAAAGGGGCGGGGCCATAGGAGGGAAGAGAAGAAGGGGGAGAGGAAGGGGAAGGGAAAGGGGAGGAGGCGGGAAGGGAGGGGGAGCGGAGGAGGGGCCTGCGCGCCCGCCCCGCGCACTCCGTCCCCGCGCCGGCCTCAGCGCTCTCGCGCGCCGCAGCATCCCAGCCGCCGCTGCCGCCGCCGGGCCTCCCCGCCACCCCCTCCCCGGCCCGGCCGCCTCCCGCCGCTGCCGCCGCCGCCGCCGCCGCCATTCCTGGCGCCCGAACTCGCCCGGCCGGGAGCCGCCGCGGGCAGGACGCGCGCTGCAGGTAAGCGGCCGGGCTGGCGCGGGAGGGAGGGCGCGCGGGGCCGGGCAGGTGCGCTGGGGGCGGCCTGGACCCTCCGCGGAGCCCCCACTCCACACCCCTAGGCTCCTCACCGGACCCTCGGGGCCCTCCCCGAACCCCTGCAGGAGCCTCCTTCTGGGATCCCCGGACCCCTGGACTCCTTCCTGGATCCCCCCGGGGCCCCTCCTGGGACGCCTCCCAGAGACACCTACCCGGACCCCTCCGACCCCCTGGACCTCTCTGCTATCCCTCCCCGGCCTTCTCCCCTTCCCGGTTGCCTCCCCAGTCCCTGCGCGCAGGTGGCTCCTCTGGGCGCGGGGGAGCGGGGGCGCGCTGCATACCCGGGCCAGGGAGGGGGCGGTGCGCTCGGCCAGGCCCCGTCGCGCCCCGGCCCGCCCAGTCCGGCCCCGCCAGGTCAGGCCCCACTCCGGCCAGCCGGGCTCTGGCCGGGCCCCCGCGGGCTTCTATTTTGGTCGCGGAGGCCGCGGACCCTGTGCACTGGACCCGGCGCCGCGCACTCAGACAGGTGGGGCAGGTTGGGCCGCAGTGGTCAGGTCGCCGCCTTGGCAGTGAGTGCTGCAGGCCTCGGTTTCCTTTCGGGTTTTGGTTGCATTATTCTAGAACAGCCCAGGAGAACCACAAGCCTTAGCTTGGGCTGCACCTGTTGCAGCCGCCTAGTGAGCTGCAAGGGGCTGGCTCTACTGGGGTTATGCCAGTAAAAACGTGTAAAGGAGAGTTGAACTCGTGGTTGTCCTCTATTTTCTGGCTTAGTATTTTGGGGGGTAGGTGGGAGAGTGGGTGAATGGGAGTCTGTAAGTGGGCAGTTTGCGTCAAATGAGGCCTGGTGTCGAGGGCTGGGTCCTGCTTTCCGGAAGGTTTTCCACATGAAGTTGCTTTGCTTTTGTTTTGAAAACCTCACTCTGTGTTGAGCACATCCCAGGCTCGTGGGTGGCCAGGCCCCCGAAGGCCAAGCTGGACGTGGGGCCTGGGGCCAAGCATCTCACCCTGCTGTTCTGAGTCTTTTCAAATCCACCAGGCGCCACGGAACGGAAGTTTCCTTTCCTGGGGGTGACGTGACACCAGTGGCCTGTCACCTCATATGTGTCCTAGGCCTGGGGCCTGCCTGCTGGCTGCCCAGGCGAGGTTATTTGGGAATGTTTACTGTGTCCCAGAAACAGGCAGCTCTGGCCAGTGCAGGGGCAGGATTCTGGTAGAGATGATAATGCCCTGATTGTCATTTTGACAGTTGGTGTCTGCGTATATCATGTCTTGGTAGTCGTCAGCCAGAAGAAGAAAGCAGGCGGGCTCAGCATACCCACCAGGGAGGCTGGGGTGGGAAGATGAGGGATGCACTGGCCTGTTTCTGTGAGCAAAGACTGCCCTCCCATAAGGCCAGACCTTCAGACTGAGAAGAGTGTACGTGGTACACTCAGCGAGTCAAACAAAGAAATAGAAACACATCACTGGTGCCAGGAGCAGCCCTGGGGTCCCAGGAGGGTGGGCCGCTTAGGAGTTGGTAGACGGTGGAACTCAGTGGCTGTATTTCAGAGTGCAGACAGGCAAAAGGCCACCGTGGGGATGCAGAGCCCCAGCTGCCATGCCAGCCCAAGGTCTTGCAGCACAGCACAAGGGAGGGACTCCATGGGAGGGGGCCCACCTCCTGAGAAGCACACCCAGAGTCTGTTGAAAATGCAGCCTTGCACAGACCCCCCTGAGTGCCTGGGGTCCTGGGCTGAGGTTTAGAGTGCAAGACCAGCGACCATGTTGCATTTGATATCCAGTGGGTCTGGGGCCAGGGAGATGTCCTTGGTGACATCATCCACTTGTGGACAGTCCTCTCCATGTGGACCGCTGGAGGCAGATGTTACCTAGAGCCGCTTTCCCCACACCAAGCGGGTGTGTCTAGGCCAAAGCTTGGGAGTGCACGCTAATGGCCAGCTTTGACTGAGGAGGGAGGGAACGTCCGCTGCTGACAGCACAACAGCAAAATCAATAATGCATTGCAAAGATCAATGGTTTTCTCTATCTTCTGTGCTTCTGCATTGAGGCTGTTCAGGCTTCTGCCTCTCTTGGTTCCATTTCTGTTGGGGAGGGAGGGATGGGCGGGTCCAGGAGGGTGGTTGCAGATTCTCCTCCTGACCCCTGGAGCCAGAGCTCCAGGGTTGGAGCTAGGACCCATGGGGATGAAACTTGCCACGTGAAAATATAGAAATAAACGTGCCGTCGGCTGATTGTCGAGCCTAGTTGCTGAGAGAAAGGCTGCTGCCTGCTGTTCCCAACCAGGGCAGTTATTTCTTCTTTGAACTTGGACAATTCCAGGAAGAAGACTAGAAGGTGAGAAGGGAGGTGGCAGAGGCAGCTGGGGTGGGTCCTCTCTTCCCTGGGCCAGGGTCCGCCCTGGGCTTGGCAGGTGCAGTTCCTCAGCCCTGCCCATTGCATCCCCATCCCCATCACCATTGCCGTCCAGGGTCCAGGGCTGCTGGAGGAGATAGCTGCTGATTCAGTCAGGTGGAGAGGGTGTGCCAGGGCCTTCCCTGGAAGCTGGGTGGTGTTTTAGGTGCACTAGTTAAGGCGATCCTTGGGATAAGCAAATTGCTTTGCTGCTTGTGGGTCACTTTTCAGCTTCTGTGACCCTCCCTGAGCGAATTTGCCTTTAGCTGGGGGTGTCACAGCAGGGGCCCCAGCTTTCTACTGCCTTGCTGCTTCCCCTGGGGCATCAGCAGCCGCCTTCCCACAGCACCTGTGCAAACCTCAGTGGGGGGCAGGCAGGGTCCTGTTATTTGGTCCAGAAGTTTCAGATGCTGCCCATGAAAGCAATGACTGCATCCCTGCCCTGGATCACATCTAAGTGGCACCCCAAGATTTCTGGCTTCGATCAAAGCCTGATCCAGGCTGTCACTTGGATCAGCATTTGATCCAAGCATCACTCCTTTGAAAACTAGGCTATTGATGTGTCTCATGGACATTTGTGGAGTGAATGATGATTTTAAGGAATTCCTTAATCACAGCATCGTGGTTATGTTAGAATAACTTTCACCCTTTAGCAATAGATACTGAGTGTTGGTAGATGAAATGATGTTTGGGATCTGCCTCAGATTAGTGTGGGGTGGGGAAGCAGAGGGGATGAGAAGGGGCGAGATGGTCTGAGTGGACAGTTTGGGGTCTGGATGAGAGTACCTGGGTTCTTTGTTCTGTTCTGCCTACTTGCATGCACTTTGAAAATTCTCCATCATGAAAAGTTAATAATAATCGGAGATCTCCAATTCCTCCCTGTAAAACATGCCATTGGATTCTTTACTTCATGATGGCATCATTCAAAGGTTTACTTTAAAAGATATGCCAATCTATTAAGTAGAAATGTCACTCCTTAGTGTAGACTATAGAGAATGTGCCCTCTCCATGCACAAGTGCAGGCGCTCAGCACGGAAGCCCATCTGGAAGGACACACACCTGGTATTCAGCAGATCATTATGGAGCCGCCTATGTGGACCTGGTGCCAGGCGCTGCCCCAGGCTCTAGGGACTCAGCCCTGAGTGAAAGCAGCACTCCACAGTTAGCAAAGGGTGGGGCGTGTGTGAATGTGAGTGAGTGTGTGTTGGGGGAGGAGAGGGAAGAGGAAGAGGGAACCTATACTTTGTCTTCTTTTTGTACTTATGTATGGTTTGTTTCTGTTACAAGGAATTATTTTTGGAATATCAAAATGAATTTTCAAAAAGTGGTCTTCATTAGGTCATATACTTTCCTCTGGCGTTTTAAATAGAATTTGATTTGTGGAAGTTCATGTTTCTACACGTCTTAATAACAGATGAATTGGCTTCCATGAGGCAATCAATGAATCAATAGTTATTGATCCTCTGAATATGTGCTTTGTGGGCTATGAAGGATAGAAATCAATATGCTACTATCAGCATTAGGGGAGACAAGACAAAGACCCTGACAATTAAATAATAGTACAATCCAGCCACAGAAGGGTTATCCTTACACTCAGTACAGAAACAAAGGCCAAGTCTGGTCTGGAGCCTGCGCCAGAGGGGTCCCCATTGCTGGTTGGCTGACCTGGACCTGGGGCTTGTTCCAGCATTTCCTGTGGTGTCTTTGTTTTCTTCTTCCATTTAGTAAAGGATATGTTAAGTAACCTAAAGCTATAGCAAAAACATAAGTGATGCGTGCTGCATAGAAGTCTACAAAGTAAAAAGTAGAAATTGCTTAGAATTGTAACAGTTTTTGTATTTTCCTGATCTGTTGCAAGAAATTAGAGTTGCTTGAGCAGCCAGAACGTAATTTGCCTTGATGTAGAATGTGGGTGTTTGTTAGGCCTTCTGATTTGTGTGTGTGTTTTGACTTTGTTTGGAAGGACAGAAAGTTTCCCGTTAGGCCTGCAATTGACCCACTTGGTTCTCACTGTGAGTTTAGGAGCTTTTGTTTGTTGTTGTTCCTGACCGGTGTGTCCCATGTGCTGTGAGGGCACAGCCCAGTGCTGCAGCAGGGCTGTGGCGGGGCTCTGAGCCCTGGGCCATCTTTGAGGGCTGAGGGTCTTGGCACATGTTCATTGTTGTGCTGCCAGGAGCCGCCTGCCTTTGCGCCTGCACAGAACCACCCAGTGGGTGGATGCACATTCTTTTCCCCCATCTGGATCACACTTATCCTGTATAGCCCCCTCCTTCTGAGGGCCCACAAGGAGCTGAGCCATCTGGGCAGGTCACAGTGCTGGCACGTTTGGTCCCTGGTGGGTGATGCTCCTTTGTCTTAGGTTCCTGACCTGAAGGAACTGCTTACCTTTCAGGGCCCTCCCAACTCTTGCACTTGTCCACTTGATGAAGTTTCACTGCTTCCCCAGAAAACACGTATTGAATGTCAGTCATGGCTGGGGTGCCGGGGAATATGGTCAAGTGGAGGGAGATGGGAGGCTAATGAGAGGGGAGATAGATAGTTCTAGGTCCAGCCGCTTAAGGGGCCAGTGGTTTGTTGAGAGGGTGGTTGTGATTTAAAATCAGGTGGCCCCTGTGCCTTGCTGAGCCCTAGATGTAGGGGAGGTGAGGAGTGGTGAGGGGACACTTAGGCACACATGAGCAATGGTAGGAGGGCGGTGCGGGGCGGGCCTTGCAGGAGCTCGGGCAGTCTCCTCGGGTGGGAGGCAGGCTGATTGCAGGTGTTCTGCGAAGACGGAGCCAACAGGACTGTGATGGATCCCATGAGGGCTGTTGCAGCAAGCAAGGGGTCCAGGATGACCCAAGAGTCTTGGATCGGGTGTTGGAAGGGTAGAGTTGCCATCACTCTGAGACTGAGGTCTTCAGGGGAGGAGTTGTGAGGATTCAGAGGGATGGTGTGGCTCTCAAGATAGTACAGGTGAGAGTCCTACTGAAGTGTCCCAGTGGAGGTGGGGAGGAGGAAGTTGGAGGAAGGGATCTGGAGTTTGGGGGAGTGCTCTGAGCTGGGACCCTAATCTTGGCAATATATTGTAGCTATAGAGATGACATTTTGAAAGGGAGTTTGGATGAGACCACTAGGGAGTTGAGGTAGATGGAAAAGAGAAGAGGTCCGAGGACTGAGCCTGGAACAAGAAACCAAGAAGGTGCGGCCAGCGAGGTAGGGGATAACCAGAGGGTTCTGAGGGCATCCTGGAGGCCACATGCAGCTTGCATGAGAGGGAGGGTGACAGCGGAGGTCACGAAGGTGAGAACCGAAGACAACCTGGGGTTTATCCATGTGGTCTGGGATGGTGGGCTGAAGTATGGGGTGAGTTTCTTGAGAGAAGGAAGGAGGGGAATTTGGGACAGCAGGACCCTATTGCTTTTTCAAGAATTTTGCTGCCGTGAAGGGCAGTGGGGAAGTGGAGGGGGGTCATGGGCAGATAGGGCTGAGGGAGGCCCGCTTGGAAGGGTTGCATCCTGAAGAGAAGGATGGAGCAGAGTGGGAGGAAGCCGTGAGGTGGGTGGGAGGGACAGAGACTGGCTGGGGCCGCCCCTTTGGTGAAGGATCCCCATGAGCTGCTGTTGACTCTCGGTGTGTGCTGTGCCTCCTCTTGGCCCCGGGGCCCACAGATGCATGGGGCTGTCCCATCGCTGGTGGACTGTGAGCATTTTCCTCATCACCTTAGTGAGTGCTGGCATTGTCTCCAGGCCGGGCAGGGATGGCCTGCATTTTGCCTGCAACACTGACTCTCAGTTCCACATGGACTGAACGCTGGAGGAATGGGAGTGTGCTTCTCTGAGAGTGGTCCCCGCACCAGCGGCATTGCACCCCTGGGAAATGCAGAGTCTCCCTGGCATCTGGAACTGTGGGGTGGGACCAGCCATCTGTTTGTTGTTGTTGTTGTTGTTGTTGTTGTTTTTGAGACAGAGTCTTGCTCTGTCGCCAGGCTGGCATGCAGTGGTGTGATCTCAGCTCACTGCAACCTCTGCCTCGTGGGTTCAAGCCATTCACCTGCGTCAGCCTCCTGAGTAGCTGGGACTACAGGCACACGCCACCATGCCCGGCTAATTTTTTGTATTTTAGTAGAGACAGCGTTTCACCATGTTGGCCAGGATGGTCTCGATCTCCTGAGCTCAGGTGATCCACCCTCCTCGGCCTCCCAAAGTGCTGGGATTACAGGTGTGAGCCACGGTGCCCAGACTCAGCCATCTGTTTTAACAGGCTCCCCAGAGGCTTTTGAACTGCTGCCCTAAGACAGGCCCACACTTGGGAGTGGGTGGGACAGGCCCATGGGGAGAAAGTAGCGGTCCCCAGGTTGGATGCACCTTAGACTTGGGGTGCTTTCCACGTGGAGTCCCACTAGAGGCAATGCTGTCCTACTCAGTTTTATTGACATGAATTATGACAAAATGTATTCACTTCAAACACAGCTAACTGAGTTTTGACACATGTAGATAGCCATGTGACTGACACCATAATCAGGATATAGACCAGGATTTGGTAAGCTTGGGCCTGCAGGTCAAGTGTGCTGGGCCAATTTATTTCGAATCATCTGTGGCTGCTTTTATGCTATTGCAGCAGAGGTGAGCAGTTGCCACAGAGACCATATGGCCCTGAGAATCCCCCTAAATTTCCCTGTTGCCCCTTTTCACTCAACCCCCTCTTCCCAGCAATTACTGATCTGCATAGATTAGATTATTATAGATTGGATTTATTTCTTCAATACTTTCAAAGTGGGAGCATATATTTGACAGTTGCTCCTAGACCTGTGATGGGATTACATCCTAATCATAAACCCATCATTAAGTTGAAGATATCCTAAGTCAAAAATGTGTTTGATACACCTGACCCGCCCAAAAGCATACCTTAGGCTAGCCCACCTTCAGCGTGCACAGAACACTTATATTAGCCTACCGTTGGGCAGAGTCATCTAACACAAAGCCTTTTTTATAATAAAGTGTTGAATATAATTTATTGAATGCCACACTGACAGTGAAAAGCAGAATGGTTGTGTGGATACTCGCAGTACCGTTTCTACTGGATTCGAATGGCTTTCACACCATTGTAAAGCCAAAAAATCATAAATGAAACCATTGTAAATGGGGGACCATCTGCATACTCTTTTGTCTAGCTCCTTTCACTCTGCATAATGTTTTTTAGATTCTTACATGTTGCTGTGCATACCGGCACTTGATGTCTTTTTATTGCTGAATAGTTGGTGGAAGTTTGAATTGTTTCCTCTTCTGGGTTTATTGTGAATCAAAGTGCTGGGAGCTACAACTCAACCACAAAAACTGCCAGTTAAAACATGGGTAAATGTGTCAATAAAGGTGATTTACAAACGGCCAATAAACATGCGAGAAGGTGCTTAACATCATTAGTTGTTAGGGAAATGTGAATCAAAGCCACAGTGAGATACCATCTCGCACCCTACTAGCTTTAATTAAAAAAAAAAAAAGGAGGGTGGAGGGAAATAACAAGCGTAGGTGAGGTTATGGAGAAATTAGAACCCTCATACACTCCGGATAGAAATGTAAAATGGTGTAGCTGTTTTGGAAAAAAGTTTGGAGATTCCTCAAAAAGTTAAATACAGAATTACCATATGACCTAGCACTCCCACTCCTACGTATATACCTAAAAGAATTGAAAGCAGGGACTCACACAAAAACTTATACACGGCTGTTCACAGTGGCACTATTCCAGTAGCCAAAGGACGGAAACCCAGATGTCCAGCAGTGGATGAATGGGTAAGCTAAATGTGGTATATTCATACATGGCCTATGATTCAGCCATAAAAAGGAGTGAAGCGCTGATACATGCTACAATGTGAATTCACCTCAAAAACATTATTCTAAGTGAAGGTAGCCAGGCACAGATTAATAGCTGCATATTGTATTATTTCATTGATATGAAATGTTCAGAATGGGCAGATCTTTCCAGACAGAAAACACGTTAGTGGTTGCCAGGAGCTGGGGAGGTGGGGGAATGGGAAGTGAACACTTAATATGCATTGGGGTTCCTTTTGAGGTCCTGGAACTAGATAGGGGTGATGGTTACATAACATTGCGAATGTACTAAATGCCACTGGATTATACGCTTTAAAATGGTAAATTTTATCTTACGAGTATTTTACCACAATAAAAGATGATATAAGACATGCTGTGAGCATTCGTGGGCAAATCTTAGCGTGGACATATGTTTTTATTTCTCCTGCGTAACTACCTACAAGTGGAATTACAGGGTTTCATGGTAAGTAGATGTTTAACTTGATTAAAAATCTGGCAAACTGCTTTGCAAAGCAGTTGTATCATTTTACGTTCCCACTGCTAACGCATGAGAGTTGCAGTTGGTTTACGTCTGTGCCAACACTTGCTGTTGTCAGTCTTATTAATTTTAGCTATTCTAGTGGAAATGTGGTAGTGCTGTATCTGTGCAGTTTTAGTTGAGCGTCTTTTCATGTGCTTATTAGCTATTTGTGTATATTCTTTTGTGAAGTGTCTGTTCAGATCTTTTGATCACTTTTTAATTGGGTTGTCTTCTTATATGTGAGTTGTAGGTGTTCTTTACATATTCTTGACTCAAACCTTTTGTCAGATACTTGTATTGCAAATATTTTCTCTCAGTCTATGGCTTGCCTTTTTATCCGTTATATCTTTCAATGGGCAGACTTTTTGGTTTTAAGTTGTTTTAATGGTTTGTGCTTTTTGTACCCTATTTAAGAAATCTTTGTCTAATCCATAGTGATAAAGATTATCTGTGTTTTCTTCTGAAAATGTGGTAATTTTAGCTTTTATGTTTAGATCTGAGATCCATTTTGGTTGGGCGTGGTGGCTCACGCCTGTAATCCCAACAGTTCGGGAGGCTGAGGTGAGTGGAACACCTGAGGTCAGGAGTTTGAGACCAGCCTGGCCAATATGGTGAAACCCTGTCTCTACTAAAAGTACAAAAATTAGCCGGATGTGATGGTGCACGTATGTAATCCCAGCTTCTTGGGAGCCTGAGGCAGGAGAATCACTTGAACCTGGGAGGCGGAGGTTGCAATGAGCTGAGATCGCACCATTGCACTCCAGCCACTCCAGCCTGTGTGACAGAGTGAGACTCTGTTCTCAAAAAAAAAAAAAAAAAAAAAAAAAAAAGATCTGTGATCCATTTCGAGTTAATTTTTAATGGAAAGAGCTAAGGATTGAGGTTCATTGTTTTACATGTAGACTTCCGATTGTTCTCACACCATTTGTTTTAAAGTAAACAACAACAGCAAGCCTCTTCTTTCTCCAGTGAATTATGTTGATACCATGTTTGTAAAGTAATTGACCATATCTGTGTGCCTTTGTTTCTGGATTCTGTTCTGTTCCATTATGGCTTATTCCTCATAGGTCCCAGTATCACACTGTCTCTGTAGTAACTCCTGAAGTCAGGTAGCATGACAATTTTGCTTCATTTTCAAAATTGTAGTGTCGGTTCTAGATCCTTTGCATTTTCTTATATACTTAAGATCAGTTTGTCAGTTTCTACAGCAAGCCTGCTTGGATTTTGGCCAGAATTGTATTAACTCCTTAGATCAATTTGGGAAAAAACATTGTAACAATATTTGGTCTCTTGACCAATGAGCATGGAATCTCCCTCTATTTTCATCTTCCTTTATTTCTTTCAGCAGTGTTTTGTAGTTTTGAGTGTACAGGTCTTGCACATGTTTTATCAGATTTACTCATAAGTATTTCATATTATTATACATGGATTTTAAAAATTTTATTTTCCAGTTGTTAATTGCGATATATAGAAATACAATTGATTTTTTCTATTTTTTGTTTATCCTGTGAACCTTGCTAAGTCGCTATTTAAGTAGCTTTTTTTGTAGTCCCTCAAGATCTTTCATATAGATAATTCTGATGATTATGAATAAAGACCAGTTTCTTTCCAGTTAGAATGCCTTTTACTCCTTTTTCTTCTTTTCTTTCACTTCTAGGACTTTCAGTACAATGATTAATAGAAGTGATAAAAGTGGACATTCTTGCCTGTTCCCAATATCAGGAAGGAAGAATTTCAAGTTTTGTTGTTGTTGTTGTTAAGTATGATGTTAGGTAAAGATATGAAGTGCCTTTTACAAGGCGGTGGAAGTTTTTTAATTTGTTGAGAGCTTTTATCATGAGTAGGTGTTGAATTTCCTCATATACTTTTTCTGTATCTGTTGAGATGATCATAGGGTTTTTCATTTTTTGTTTGTAAATATGGTGAATTACACTGGTTAACTTTTGAATGTTAAATCATTCTTGCATTTCTGGCACAAATCCCACTTGGTAATTATGTATCTTTTTTATATATTTGTTTTATATATTATATATATATATTTATATATTGCTGGATTTGATTTGCTGCAATTTTATTAAGGATATTTGTGGCTATGTCATGAGGGATATTGTTTTCTTTTCTGGTACTGTATTTTATATTGGTATCAAAGTAAAGTTTGCCCCACACAATGATTTGAGAAGTGGTTCCTCTTACTATTTTTGAATAGTCTTTGTAGGATTGGGCTTCTCTTGCCCTCCCCTCCCCTTCCCTTCCTTTCCCTTTTTGGAGACAAGGTCTCACTGTGTTGTCCAGGCTGGAGTGCAGTGGTACAATCATAGCTCAATCATAGCTCACTGCAGCCTTGACTTCCTGGGCTCAAGTGATCTTCCTGCCTCAGCCTCCAGAGTAGCTGGGACTACAAGCATACACCACTATGCCTGGCTAATTTTTTTGAATTTTAGCAGAGACAGAGTTTCACTATGATTCCCAGGCTGGCCTTGAATTCCTAACCTCAAGCCATCTTCCCGCTTTGGCCTTCTGAAGTGCTGAGCTTACAGGTGTGAGCCACTGTGCCCAGCCTGTCTGGGGTTTTCTTTATGGAGAGGCTTTTAATTATGAATTCAATTCCTTAACATAGGACTATGAAGATTTTCTGTTTCTGTTTGAGTCAGTTCTGGTTATTTGTGTGATTTATTGAGCTATAATTTTATATACAGTGAAATCTTTCCTGTTAAATGTACCATTCTGTGAGTTTTGGTTAATGCATGTGGTTTTGGTAAATATAACCATACCAAATCATTTCCACACCAAATCAAGGTATGGAAAATTTTCATAACTCCAAAAATTCCGTCTTGTGCCCCTTTGTAGTCAGTTTCCTTTCCCCAGACCTAGCAACCACTGACCTGTTTTCCATCCCTCTAGGCTTTTCCAGAATTTCATATAGAAGGAATTATACAGATTGTAGCCTTTGAGTCTGGCTTCTTTCACTCAGCATAATTATGCAGGTATTTGAGCAGTAAATAAAGCAATCAGATCGATGTCTCAGGAGTAACTCTGGCATTTCAGAGTGATGAATTGGAAAGACAGATTGGAAACAAGGGAAAGAAGTTATGGGACAAGAATGCTAGATGACGTTCATGGTGACCTTGTTATAAATGATATGCCAAACTCTATCCGTCTCATGGAGTTCTGACCACAGTCCTGTAAGACTGGGTCAGTTCTCCCCTCTTGTTTACAGGTGAGAACAGAGAGAATAAGAATGTTATTCTTGAAGCCGCTCAGCCAAGAAGTGGTGAAGCCAGGAGTTGTGATTCGATGCTCTATACTGAGGTCCAGCATCTAATGCATGCACTAGGAGGTGGCAGTTGGTTAGTGGTTTTTTTTTTTTCTTTTTTTTTTTTTTTTTTTTTTTTTTGAGATGGAGTTTTGCTCTTGTTGCCCAGGCTGGAGTGCAATGGTGCAATCTTGGCTCACTGCAACCTCTGCCTCCCAAGTTCAAGTGATTCTCCTGCCTCAGCCTCCCAAGTAGCTGGGATTACAGGCATGCGCCACCATGCCCGGCTAATTTTGTATTTTTAGTAGAGATGGGGTTTCTCCATGTTGGTCAGGCTGGTCTTGAACTCCCGACCTCAGGTGATCCTCCCGTCTTGGCCTCCCAAAGTGCTAGGATTACAGGTGTGAGCCACCGTGCCCAGCCCGGTTAATGTTTTAAAGATTTTAAGGCACATGTACCCTTTGGCCATTGGAGTCTGAATGAGCTAGACATTTATTTAAAGAATCATGAATGTTAAGAAGCATTTATTGAAAAGGGTGTTTCTCAGTGTTTATAAATAGAAAATCCAGATATAACCTGGGCAGCTACTGACAGTGAAATAGTTAGGCAGGATGTGCCATAGTAACATTGGTCACTCTTTGAAAATCTAGTGTAAAATATGCCTAATGAGATGAGAAGTCAGCATAATACATCATGTGTTAAGAACAGTTTGTGAACCAACATGCATGGCAAGGACTTACAATTGCCTAGAAAGCACTAGACCATGTCCAAAATGCGAGTCAGATGTTTAGTTGATGACGTGCCTTCTGTTTTCTCCTTGGTGCTTGTCTACATTTCTCTGATTTTCTGCAACAATACTTGTTATGGAAATCACAAAGGAGAAATACAAAGGAAAAGGTTGAAAAATGTAGCTCTGGAACACACACACACACACACACACAACATACTACACACATATGCCTCCACCACCCACCCAGTACACACACACCAAACAACACACACATACACATCACACCACACACCCCATACCACACACTACACACATACCCCCCACACCACAAACACCCAGTATACACACATTACACACACACCACACAATACATCCACACACCACACACCCACCACACAATACATCCACACACCACACCACACATTCCCCATACCACACACTTCACACATACCTGCCACACCACACACACATAACACACAACACATCCATACACCACATCACATACCACACACACAGCCACCACACTACATACACACACCACACCACACACACACTACATATATACTGCATACATACACCGCACATCACACCACGGAACACCCCATACTACACACATACCCCACCATGTATACACACACCATACACGTACCTCCCCACCCCACACACCCAGTCCATACACACCACACACACTACACAAACCCACCACGTGGTACATACACATACCATGCCACACACACACACAAAACACACACAACACACACTGTACACATACACACCACACACACCACACATCAAACCCCACACATAACACCACACAGTCATATGCTGCACGTGCCGCAGCACACACAGCACACACATACCCCGTATGCATCGGAGTCTTGAGAGCTTTGCACACTTTTCCTAGACTGGTCATGCGTGCCTTGTTCCCAGAGCAGGTGGGTGTTTTGCAGCTTGTTCTGCTCCTAAAGGGCATGCAGGCAGTGAAGCTGGCCGGCCCCTCGCTTGCCTCTCCCAGATGCAGCCCAGCTGCAGGTGGGCCTGCAGGGCGGGGTGGCCGCGGCGTCCTCTTTAAGGCTCCAGTTCCTGGGGGAGCCCGGAAGCCCTTCTGTGCCTGCCAGCTTGTGCGCAGCCTCAGTGGGGCCCGCCCTCTTCCTTAGTGGGGTTGTCCCTCAGTGGTTGTTGGGGGACTGTAGGATTATTAAATGAGATGACTCCTGTAATATCCCTTCTTGCCCACGTTTGAACTGAGATGCATGTGGAATTCAGTGTTATGTTTGAAACCAAGCCTCAGGAAGGTTTCAGTGCATGGACCATATTGCTAAAACATTTTTTATTACAATACAAAAGCTTCTTGACCATCAGGCAGCCTGGCTGTGTGGGTGTCTCATGCCTGGCTGGCTTCAGACGCTGACAGTGACCCACATGCATTTTATATTGTGAGGCAGCACACGCACACACACACAGCACACAGATGCACACATGCCAGTAAGTTTTGCTCATAACAGCCGCCCTTAACTATCTGTGACACCCCCTGATATTTTTATTTGATTATATTTGTTGAAAAACTGTGTTTGCAACCCCCAGATTGAGAACTACTGACCCCCATGTGACATCTGGCCCTATGTGTAACTGCATGGAAATGTAAAAATTTTAGCGTGACGTCAATGTGTGTACACTATGTATTATTATCTTATTTCTCACGTTGGCTGACTTTGACCATGTACTCCTCTACCGCTTGATTTTCCTCTCAGTGAGGCTAATCCCCACATTTCTGGGGCTGGACATGCCTTAGAGCCTTCAGCACAGTGCCTACCCCAGGGGCTGGTGTTGGACCGCAAGCCTGAGAACAACAGGGCAGGAAAACTGGGTCAAAGCAGAGCTCTTGAGCAGGTGGAATTGGATATCTAGCTTGTCTTTGAATGCTGAGGGCAGTGGCTTGGGTTTCAAATGTGGAATCCTGGGAAGCCGCCTGGCTCCCTTGGTCTTGCCTGTAAGCAGCGGCTGCGTCCTGGATGTTCTGTGGGGCTGAGGTCTCTCTGTGCAGGGATCTGCCATCCTCATGTTCCAGTTCCTTCCACAAGAGCACGGTTGGAGCAGGGCTTGGTTTTTGCCAGCTTGGCGAAACCAGAGAGGTGGTGAGAAGGCGATTTTTAAAATAGACACCAGTCGCTGCAGGACCTGGAATCAAGCCTTCGGGGAGATACAGACTCCATTTATTTACAAGTAACCGCTCTGTGACTCCAGCCAGTGGGCACAGGTTTTATTTCAACTGGAAGAGAGTGTCATTTAATAATTAGCACATTTAGGGCTGCAGAAGGGATAGATGGCTTAGCACAGATGTCTCGCGGTGGAAATGAAGGAGCCCTGAGAATGCAGACATGCTCTCTCCCCTTTCTCTTTTCTCAGCGAGGAGACCATGCTCAGGCCACAGTGGCATTCTCTAAATAAGTGATGGTGTCATCTGGAGACTTCCACTGAGACATTTTGTGTCAGGACTACTCTGAAGCCTTTTCAAGCACTTACATTGTAGTTGCTACAGACGGAAAAACACTTTGCCAAGCACAGCCTTATTCATGAATTGTGTCAGGCCGGGAGTCCGTTCCTGCTGGTGTCACCCTCCCCAAACTGCTGGGCTGGGGGCCCTCTCCTTGCTGCTGGAGGAGGCAGAGTGTGCCTCCTGCTGCACAGGAGACATTTGCTACAGTGCAGTTATCCTGAGCTTTGCGGGGCCTTCTGCTGCTGGGGCTGAGAATGGCTGGGAGGCTTCCCTGAGGATCAGAGCTGTTGCTGATGCCTGTGTAAACCGTAACGAGTGTGGCCCGTGCTGTTCTTTGCGTTGTGACTCTTCCAAGTGCCTGTCTGATCAGAGCTGACATGAAGAGCAGATTCCATGGTCTGAGACTCTGGCCTCGTGGTCGTCAGAGTGATCCAGGTGTGGCCTGCTTGGTGGCCTTGCTGGTGCACATTCTCTGTGGACGTGTCCCAGGAGGGCAGTAGGATACAGCCAGCCAGTGGATGGTGGACATTGCAAGTGCTCTGACCGCTGTGAGCTGGTTGGTCCTCAACTGGCTTTGCTGCCTTCTTCTTAGAGCAGCTGGGTCGGCTCCATGGCCCACTACTTTGCAGTGGATCCCCTCACCCGTCTGGGCGGTGACCCCTCTCCCTGCCTCCTTTCCCCTCTTGGAGTCAAGGGAAGGTCATCGACAGGAAGCAGCAGCAGCGAAACCCTCTCACCAGGTTTGCTGTTTTCATCTTTCCATCTCCTCCTTCCTTCTGCAGTGAGATATTTGCAGAATTTACTGTGAAGCACACCTAGCCTCAGTGTGCGGCCCTTGAATCTTCACAAATGGAGCCAGCCCTGCGATGCCTGGGAAGAGGAGCAGAGCACAGGGCCCTGGGGCCCCCTGCTCACCACTCCCCAGCTGATCACAGCGCAGGTTAATCTTGGCTGGCTTGAGTCTGTGTGCCTTGGGTTCTGCAGCACATCCTCGTGCGTGTCACTCAGCATCCGTCTGTGACATTTGGCTTGAGCTCACCCAGGGTCTTCTTCTCTTGCCTTGCCACCACGTATTCCGGTGTGTGTGTCTGCCACAATTTAGGCACATTTATATCCGCCACGGGTGTCTGCTGCCCTCTCGGCTTCCAGTTTGAGGCTGTTAGGAATGATATTTTGAACATCCTTGCACACAGGCTGTGTTTTAGCCTTTTATTGTCCTTTCAGGACACCAAGGGCCCTCCAGTTCTTATGGCTCCACTTCCTGGGGCAGGTCTTGTCTCCGTGGTGGCACCTGTGGTTTAATTTTGTCTCAGACCTCCCACGTGGCACCCTGTTTCCAGTCCTGCTGTGAACCCTCTCCTCTGAGAAGGGGCCCCTGAACCAGCTCCTGTTGCTTGCTGATGGGCCCCGCCTCCCTCGCTGGACCCTCGGGGGTCTCTCCAGCTGTCCCCTCTGTGCATCCCACCCCACCGCCACCTGCTCACCAAGGCCAGGTGGGCACGTCCCTGTCATTCCTAACATGGTGTTTTTCAGCTTCACAGTTTCTGTCTCTGGCTGCACAGGGTCCACTCAATCTGCTGCCATCTACCCCTCGGAGAGCATGCAGTGCCTGCCTAGTGTGTCCCAGGTTCTGGGATGGCAGTGAGAGGTTGGGGGTTGGAGGAGAATGGACAAGACGTGTTACTTTTAGCGGGAGAAGGATGTGTGTATGTACTGATAGTGAGAGGTGACAGCGTGCTAGCAGTCCTCAGAGCCCTCGCTTGCTCTCGGCACCTCCCCTGCCTGGGCTCCCACTTTGGCGGCATTTGAGGAGCACTTCAGTCCCCCACTGCACTGTGGGAGCCCCTTTCTGGGCTGGCCAAGGCCGGAGCCCACTCCCCCAGTTTGTAGGGAGGTGTGGAGGGAGAGGCAGGAGCGGGAACAGGGGCTGTGTGCGGCACTTGCGGGCCAGCTGGAGTTCCGGGTGGGCGTGGGCTTGGTGGGCCCCGCACTCGGAGCAGCCAGCCAGCCCTTCTGGCCCCGGGCAATGGGGGACTTAGCACCCGGGCCAGTGGCTGCGGAGGGTGTACTGAGTCCCCCAGCAGTGCTGGCCCACCGGCGCTGTGCTCGATTTCTCACCGGGCCTTGACTGCCTTCCCACGGGGCAGGGCTCGGGACCTGCAGCCCGCCATGCCTGAGCCTCCCACCCACTCCATGGGCTCCTGTGCGGCCCGAGCCTCCCCGACGAGAGCCACCCCCTGCTCCACGGCGCCCAGTCCCATCGACCACCCAAGGGCTGAGGAATGCGAGCGCACGGCACAGGACTGGCAGGCAGCTCCACCTGCAGCCCCGGTGCGGGATCCACTAGGTGAAACCAGCTGGGCTCCTGAGTCTGGTGGGGACGTGGAGAGTCTTTATATCTAGCTCAGGGATTGTAAATACACCAATCAGCACCCTGTGTTTAGCTCAAGGTTTGTGAGTGCACCAATCGACACTCTGTATCTAGCTGCTCTGGTGAGGACGTGGAGAACCTTTATATCTAGCTCAGGGATTGTAAATACACCAATCAGCACCCTGTGTTTAGCTCAAGGTTTGTGAGTGCACCAATCGACACTCTGTATCTAGCTGCTCTGGTGGGGCCTTGGAGAACCTGTGTGTGGAAACTCTGTATCTAACTAATCTGATGGGGACGTGGAGAACCTTTCTATCTAGCTCAGGGATTGTAAACGCACCAATCAGCGCCCTGACAAAACAGGCCACTCGGCTCTACCAATCAGCAGGATGTGGGTGGGGCCAGATAAGAGAATAAAAGCAGGCTGCCCGAGCCAGCATTGGCAACCCGCTCGGGTCCCCTTCCACACTGTGGAAGCTTTGTTCTTTCGCTCTTGCTACTGCTAGCTCTTTGGGTCCACGCTGCTTTTATGAGCTGTAACACTCACCGCGAAGATCTGCAGCTTCACTCCTGAGCCCAGCGAGACCACGAGCCCACCGGGAGGAACGAACAACTCCAGACGCGCTGCCTTAAGAGCTGTAACACTCACCGTGAAGGTCTGCAGCTTCACTCCCGAGCCAGCGAGACCACGAACCCACCAGAAGGAAGAAACTCTGAACACATCTGAACATCAGAAGGGACAGACTCCAGACGCGCCACCGTAAGAGCTGTAACACTCACCGCGAGGGTCCACGGCTTCATTCTTGAAGTCAGTGAGACCAAGAACCCACCAATTCCGGACACAATAGGGGATACAGGGGCTTTGAGGGGATCTTGAGGGTGAGGCTGCCCAACGAGGACGGGGCTGAGGTGTTGAAGTAACAAACACTGAGTTAGAACTCAGAGCAAATCGGAAACAGCTGGTGGCTGAGCTGGGCGAAAAGCTGTAGTTTTTAAAACATGGTGGCCAATCTCGCCATTGCTGCCACTGAGATGCAGGGTGTCTGTCCCCTTGCTGTGGATCTGGGTTACTTCCTGACTGCCTTGATTGGTGGAATGTGGTGGGTGTGAGGCTGAGTGACCCCCAATGTGGCTTCCCCATTGTTCACCAGGATGCTGGCTCTGGGAGCCCTGTGATGCCAAGGAAGGAGTTGGCCCTTTGGCAGCCATGCTGTGAGGAAACCCAAGCTCCACAGGCAGCCATGGGAGCTCCAGTGGGCAGCCCTGGTATTCAGTCCCCTCCACTCAGGGCCCTGATAAGTGAGGGGACAGGCCTTCCAAGGACTGTAGCTGTAGCCCTTGGTAATTAGGTGTGTCAGCTTTGGTGTCCTTGGACATTGGAGCAGAGATGAGCTGACTGAAGCTGGGGCCCGCTGAGGCTCCTCACCCACAGAATTGGGAGTGTAGTAACATGTTGCAGGCTGCTGAGTTCAGGGTAACATGCAACACAGCAGCAGTGACAGGAACAAAAGCGGTGGCTGCCCAAGGAGGGGGAAGGAAGGGCCTTGGGGTGGGGTGGGGTGGGGTGGAGGATGAGGGGGCCATAGGACTCAGGTTTTGGGTGGGAGAGTGGAGTGTGAACAAGAGGCAGACCCCTAACAAGGGTGCAGTGAGGATGATTCATTTCATCTCATTCCGCACATTTTCATAGTCTGTGTATTGGGGGCTTTCTTGCTTTCTCTGTAAATGAACCATGAAGGAAACAATCCCTTTTCATAGGCGCACAGGGGACATAGGGATGAATGTCTGGTAGCTGCCATAAAAAGTACCACACACTGGGTGGTTTCCAACAACAGAAACTTATTCTCCCAGTTCTGGAGGTCAGAAGTAAAAATCAAGGTGTCAGCAGGGCCACACTCCCCTGAGGCTCTAGGGGGGCCTCCGTCCTGCTTCTTCCCTCTTGTGTGGCCCCAGTGTCCCTTGGCTTGTGACACATTGCTCCAGTCTCTGCTCCAACATCACATGGCGTCTGCGTCTGTCTTTCCCTCTGAGTGTATCTATAAGGGCACTTGTCCCTGGATTTAGGGCCCACTCAGATAACCCAGGGAGATCTCATCCTGAGATTCTTACATCTAGAAAGACCCTTTTTGCAAACAAGATTGCATCTCTTCAACCTGTTACAGCACACAAGAAGGCAATTGAAATACTGCGCGGGCTGAGCTGGTGGCCCTGGTGGGCGGAGACAGGGCTGGCAGGCTTTCACCTTCTCCAGGATATATTTCAGCAGGGCTTTATCAGCAGGAAAATGGAAACCACAGCTGCTTTTTGCCTTTGTGGGAAGCTGTAGAAATAAGAGTACAGTGGAAACTCTCTGCTTCGTAAAATAACTTCATGTTGACTCAGAGGGGAAACAGGAAAGGTGCCTTCTATCTTTTTTATGCGAGTTTTTCTCTCTGTTGGTGGGGCCTTTGCTTTTAAGGAGTGTTTCTACAAGAATACTTGTTGGATATTTAGTGTGAACAGGAAGTAAGATGTGCTGACTAACTTTTCCATTATTTTAATGGCATTTTTATTGCTCAGAAAATGAAGACAGAAAGCAAAGAGTGAACGCTTTCATTGTGCTGGGTAAATGCCATAAACAACCTGCCTTTCTGAATTTTTTTCTCTGCGATTTTCAGATGCACACACATGCGTGCATGCATAAGTACACACACATCCATAGAGGGGGTGTTTCCCCAAAGTCGCGGTCATGCCACGCAGAGGTATGCACCTTGCTTTATTTGCTCACCACTGTGTCATAGATGTGTATGTTCTGCAGTGTGCTACGAAGCCATGTGTGCCCTTGTGTGTGCTGTGTGTCCCTGGGGCCTTCAGTGGAGGTCTCTCCAGTCTGCCACACCCTTGACTGTTTTCCTTGGTGTACATTACTCTTGTCAAGGCATTGATTAGCAGGACATGTGATGGCCCCTGTGAATGGTGGAGCCCAGAAAATGAAATTGGCAGTGTTTTAGTAGGCCGTGTGTGTTTGTGTGTGTGTGGGGGGGTGCATGCATGTGTGTATGTGAATGTGTGTGAGCATTTGTGTGTGTGTGTGTGTACGTGCATGTACCTTGTGCATATATGCATGTGTGTGTGAGTGCCTGCCTGCACATGTGTGCTCATAGGTTCCAGAATAGCAGTGCACAGCATGCTGGAAGTCTGCATTCTGGGAGAGTTTCTTGGATTTAGGAGTCTCTTCTCATTAGGAGGCTTACTGAACTTATTTTACGGAAGTCTTAGTTGTATTTTTAGCCAAAAGATAAAACTCGCCCCACTCTCCTCCATGCCTCCAGCTTGTCTAAAGTGAAATGGCCTGGGGAGAATTTGACATGGTAGTACAGTGATGTGGTGTGTTTCTCTGGGGTCAGATATGTCGGCTCTCCTATCCCTGGACAGGTCAGCCCAGTATCCCAGCCAAATATTGTGTATGTGCCTAGATCCTTCACAGGCATGACTTTTTGTTGGTGCCATGTGGTCATGGGGGCTTCCTTCCGCAGTCAGGTTCTGCTCCGAAGTGGGGATTGGAGGCATCTCTGGAGCCTGGCGTGATACCTTTGCCATGTCCCTGATTGATTGTGTCGGTCAGGGTCCCCCACAGAAGTGAAACTAATGGGTGTGTGCATGTGTATGCGTGTGTAGACATTACAAGGAATTGGCTCACCTGATTGTGGAGATGCCACGAGTCTAAAATATACAGCAGGCTGGAGACCCAGAGAAGAATTGCAGCTCAATGGAAGGCTGTCTGGAGGCAGAACTTTCTGCTCTTCTCCTTGGGGGAGGTCAGCCTGTGCTATTCATGCCTTCAGCTGATTGGATGAGGACCACCCTCATTACAGAGGGCCATTTGCTTTACTCAAAGCCTCTGCTTTAAATGTTGATCTCATTAAAAAAGTAATACCTCCACAGAAGTATCAAGAATAATGATTGGCCAGATATCTGGGTACTGTGGCACAGCCAAGTTGACATGTGACATCAGCCATCACACTGGTCAGTGCTCCCCAGTGCACGGGCCCCGTGGCATGCTATGTTTTATAAACCAGTGTGGGCCCTAGGTAAGGTGTGTGAGCTTGCTCAAGGTGTATTGTATGAAGGTGTTGCCCTGCTCCCAGAAGCCTGCCCCAGAGCAGGCAGGGCTTGTTATTCTTGCCCAGAGATCATCGGGCCAGCATGAGGTGGCCGAAGGTTGGCACTTCTTACATTCTAATGGCACCAGGAGCGAGGTCCGGGGCCTTGTGCAAGCTGCGCTCACACCTCAGCCGACCTTCTGCTTCTTAGGAAGGTTGCTTCATTCCGGTCACCACTGGCCCCATATTTAAGCATCAGTAATACCTTAGGTGCCTCTGGGGACCATTCCTGTTGTCCTCCTTCCAAAAACTGCTTCATTTTCCTTCAAAATGTGACATGGCTTGGACATGCTAGAGGCATTTATTAGCAGAAAGCCTGGGAGCTCTGCCTCCATGATATTTTCTTTTTCTGGGAAAAAAAATATTTGTGCAAGCCATGGTCATATCATTGTTTCCCGCTCTCTGTGAGCCTGCTGACATTGGCCTCCCGTGTGCCTGGCGTGCTCTTATCAGACCTGTGTGCCATCCTGTGAATTCTACCGTAAACAGTCACAGCGAGGCGGGAGAAACACAGCCTGGTGGTCCACGGCAGGCTTGGTCTGGACTGGATGGGAGCTGCCTGATGGATCAGTAGGGGAATGCAGAGGGGTGCCAGCTCCAGGACTGGTAAAGGTGGCTCTTCTCTTTCTTTTCCATCAGGTGCAGTGTTGGAGTGAATGAATGATTGATGGGTGAACAAGTGAGAGAGTGGAGCTGGTCACAGAGGTAGGAGGGACTCAGGTCACTGGCCGTGTGGTGGGAGTGGGGAGCTGAGCCCATGCCAAGGCTGTGACCCATGGACCAGTCCTGGTGTGGTTGGGCTGGCAGGAGTGGGTGTTTGTTCCTGGGACTGGTGGTCAGCATGTGTCCCCTTCCCTGCTTCTCACTGGCTGAGGCTCAGGATCTGGGGGCCCAGCAGGCCCCTTCTGGCTCCCAGGTGGGTGGGGACATGGGTCTCAGTCCCACCTGCTTTCAGGCCCTTGGGGCTTCCTGCCCAGCCTCTGTGACACTGGTTCTCACAAAGCCTGGTCATTCCTGGCAGCCCAGGATGGCCTCCAGGTTGTGGCTGGTCTGTCCTCCAGCTGCAGGTTCTGCAGGTTCTTTCTCATCCTGCACCTCGACCCTTTTCCCCAGGAGAGCCTCCTCCGGGGTGGGCCCGGAGCTGGGGAGAAAGAGGGGTCTGGTGACCACATGGTGCCAGCAGGGCAGCTGTGAAACCCTCCCTGTAGCCCCAGGCACCCTCCTCAGGTTCTAAAGCCAGAGCTGCTGCTCTCAGAAGTGCTTTCTGGGACTTTTCAGGGTGGGACACCAGGGGCCTCTGCAGCAGGGACCCCTATTGCAGGGGCTGACAGTCACAGACCTGAGAGCAGAGTCTCCGGTCTTGAACCCAGCTTGGCCTTTCTCTACGGAAAGGCTTGGCCAGGAGGAACGTGGTGGTGTGGGAAGAATCCGTCTGGCTTTTTTCTCTTCTTTGAGGGACATATGTCTGTCAGGCAGAAGCTGACATGTGTCTGTCAAGCTACATGTGTCTGTAGCTTGGGGGAGAGTGGCTTAATATTTCATGTTTTAGCCCTTGTCCTCTTCCAGGGTGGGCTTGAAAACGATAATGAAGTGTACACACTGAAAAAACAAAAATCACCCACGGGTTCTGAAGCTCAGTGGAGTTCTGCAGGTGAGTTTTAGTGCTTCTGGTCATACAGAGAAAAACTCATGTAAACGCAGTTTACGCAGGCTATTTAGTTGCTGCTTTCATCTGTGTATACAAAGGAACATAGCTAGTAATTAAGAACATGGAGGCATTTGGATCTGTTTATATTTTATTTGTCCACTGTAATCTTTGTGATGTTCTTATTTGGATTCGAATGCTGGTGATTGCTAAACTCAAGCACAAACACAGGGTTTAAGCGAAGGTTAATTATGGCTAAAATGCTTGCGATGCACAGGGCTGGGTAAATGAGTCAGGCTGTGTTTATCTTCGGGGTTTATTGGTGCCAGGTGTCTAGAAGCAGCAGTTTGAATTTGGACATCTTTGGAGGGAGGTTTCTTGGCAACCAAAGGGGGAGGTGGGAGGACTTGAGCCCAGAACTTGGTGCCATGCATCAGCAGAGTGGCTGGAACTCCTTTGGGCTGGGATGGGGACCGTGAAGGCAGCCCTTGGGGGACCCAGAGTGCTGCTGTGGGCATGGTACCCGTCTTCTCTCTGTCCTACTTCTCTGGGGGATGCCTGGGGAGGACCTGAGAAAGGGAACTCAAATTTCTGTCACTGATTGACCAGCCTGGAGTCTCTGTAGCCCTCTGACTGTCTGCCTTCACTTCTTTCTTCTTTTTGTTTTTTTGTTTGTTTTGTTTTGTTTTGTTTTTTGAGATGGAGTGCATTGCCCAGGCTGGAGTGCAGTGGTGCAGTCTCAGCTCACTGCAACCTCTGCTTCCAAGGTTCAAGCGATTCTCCTGCCTCAGCCTCCCAAGTAGCTGGGATTACAGTCATGTGCCACCATGCCCGGCTAATTTTTGTATTTTTAGTAGAGACGGTTTCACCATGTTGGGCAGGCTGGTTTCGAACTCCTGACCTCAGGTGATCCACCTGCCTCGGCCTCCCAAAGTACTGGGATTACAGGCATGAGGCACCATGCCCGGCCGTTGTTTTTGAGACAGGGTCTCATTCTGTCACCCAGGCTGATTCCCTGCAACCTTGAACTTCAGTCCTCCCATGTCAGCCTCCTGAGTAGCTGGGACCACAGGTGTGCACCACCATGCCTGGCTAGTTTTTAAATTTTTAGTCTACTAAAACCTCATCTAGACCTCTAGATGAGGTCTTGCTGTGTTGCCTAGGATGGTCTCAAACTCTGAGACTCAAGGAGTCGTCCTGCCTCGGCCTCCTAAAGTGCTGGGATTACAGGCGTCAGACCCTGTGCCCAGCCTTTGCTCCTTTTTAAGGTTTGGGTCAGCTCCGAATGGAGCACTGCTTGCTCAGGCCTAGGATGTTTTGTTGTTGTTGTTGTTATAGCACAACTTACATATTTCAAAATGTAGTATCATTTACAATATCTTAGGAAAAGTGGCAGATATCTTACAGTATCTTAAGATAAGTTGAATGAGCGCTTCCTTTCCAATACTTTATTTGTTGAGACAGGGTCTTGCTCTGTTGCCTAGGCGGGAGTGCAGTGTTGGCTTACTGCAACTTCAACCTCCTGGGCTCAAGTGATCCTCCCACCTCAGCCTCCTGAGTAGCTGGGACCACAGGCGTGTGCCACCATGCCTGGCTAATTTTTTTACATTTTTTATAGAGATGGGGTCTCACTATGTTGCCCAGGCTGGTCTCAAACCCCTGGGCTCAAGCACTCCTCTCACCTCAGCCTCCCAAAATGCTGGGATTACAGATGTGAGCCACCATGCCTGGCCCTCTCCAGTACTTTGAGGTCTACAAGATGTATCTAGAAAATTTACTACTGTGGGAAATGAAGACTACTTAAGTTGAATGGGGGAAAAGGGGAAGGGCCTGGGGTTTTTCCTTTTGATTAACTTGTAACATTGGCCTTCGCGCAGCTGAGGAAGTTTCATATATTCCATAGACATCATTAAGCACCGACATCATTAGGCCCAAAGCTCTTGCAGGACATCTTTGAATGCTATATGAATTCTGCCGTTTTGCTAGCGGTGATTTGGCTCTTGGGTCCACCATGTCGTTAGGACTGTTAACTCCACTCAAATTAATTTTTGTCACAAATCTTACAAAAGGGGGGTGCTTCTCAGTGTTTAGGTCCACATTCTATTTTAAGGCTGTATATTTGGCTTTCATAAATTGTTCTTGGATGCCCAGTGATCATTCCTGTCCATCTTGTAAGTGTCTTGTCTCCATCATCTTCTCAATCCCAGCTAACTTTGCCATCTCCTCCTCCTTTCTGGCCTTCATCGAGTTCTTACGACAGTCAGAAATTGCGAAGGACTTTTACTCCCCAGCCCTTGGTGGCTGCCATCTTGTGTTCTTTACCCTCCACCAGTGACTTCACCCTTGGGATGTGTTTTACTTACTTTTCAGTTGCCTCTTGTGGGAAGCAAAGAGCATGACTCTTTTAAAGTCAGAAGGATTGTGCAAATTGACCCAGGACCTCTGTTTCACATTTAATCACAGAATTAGAAGCCCCTATTCCTGTGTGCACCTAAGCGGGCATGCACCCGAGCTGGCATGCACCTCAGCCTGTATGCATCTGAGTCAGCATGCACCCTAGCTGGCGTGCACCTCAGCCTATATGCACCTGAGTTGGTGTGCACCTGAGCTGGCATGCACCTCAGCCTGTATGCACCTGAGCCAGTGTGCACCCTGTCTGGCTTGCACCTCAACCTATATGCACCTGAGTTGGCATGCACCTGAGCTGGCATGCACCTCAGCCTGTATGCACCTGAGCCAGTGTGCACCCTGTCTGGCTTGCACCTCAACCTATATGCACCTGAGTTGGCATGCACCTGAGCTGGCATGCACCTCAGCCTGTATGCACCTGAGCCAGCGTGCACCCTATCTGGCATGCACCTCAGCCTATATGCATCTGAGTTGGTGTGCACCTGAGCTGGCATGCACCTCAGCCTGTATGCACCTGAGCTGGCGTGCACCTGAGCTGGCATGCATCTGAGCCGGCATGCACCTGAGCCAGTGTGTATGATAAAGATTGTGAACATCTGACATGAAGCACAGCAAGCTGTTGACAGTGATGTTATCTGGAGAGTGTGGTGGGGAGAGACTTTAGCTTTTTGCTTTTTGAACTTCTTTTATTGTTTTATTTTTATACAAATACAATTTTCTAAATCTATTCTTGTGGAAGAACATGAGTTTTTACAATTGTGGTAAAATAAACATAAAATTGATCATTTTAACCATGTTTAAGGGTATAGTTTAGTGGCATTAAGTACATCCATATTGTTGGGCAGCCATCACCACCCTCCATCTCCTGAGGTTTTTCATCATCCCAAATGGAAACTCTGTACCCATTAAATAACTCCCCAGCCCTGATTCCCCTTTCTGTCGCTGTGACTGACTACTCTAGGGACCTCCTATAAGTGGAATCACGCAGTGTTTCTCCTTTTGTGTCTGGCTAAAAATAAAGGTATTTTAAAAGACATTTCAATCAAATTGGTGCAGTCATTTTATTTTGTTTTTCCTTTTCCTTTACTTTTAAAATTAATACACAGTAAGAATGATTATCTCAGTGTGCATTTCTGTGAGTTTTAAGACATGTGCAGATGGTGTAACCACGACCACAGTTAGAATACAGAGAAATTCTATCCTCCAAGAAAACTTCCCATACCATCCCTTTATATTCAGCTCCCTCCCAATCACTTATAACTGCTGAGCTACTCTTTGTTCCTATAGTTTACCTTTTCAAGAATGTCATATAATGGAACCACGCAGTACATAGCCTTTTGAGATTGACTTCTTTCACTCACCACTGTGCCGTTGAGGCTCATTCCAGCTGTTGCAGGTATCAATAGTTTGGTTTTTTTTTTGTCCCTCGGTAAGTCCATTGTGTGTTTGAACAGAACTGCTGTAAACATTTGTGTATGAGCTTTTCTATGAACATGCGGTTTCATTTCCTTTTGATAAATGTCCAGAAGTGGGATTGCTGGGTCATATGGTCCGTGTGTGTTTATTCTTATAAGAAACTGCCCAAGTCTTTTCTAGTGTGGCGGTACCATATTACAGTCTCACCAGCCACATCACTGTGTACCCTTACCAGCACCTGGTATTGTTAAGTTTTTTCTTAAGCCATTCTAATGTATATATAATGTGCTCATTGTGGTTTTAATTGCATTTCCTAGTGGCTAATGATGTAAAACATCTTTTCATGTGCTAATTTGCCATCTGTGTATCCTCTTTGGTGAAGTATCTGTTGAAGTCTTGCTCATATTTTAATTGAGTTGTTTATTTTCTTGATATTGAGTTTTGAGACTTCTTTATATATTCTAAATACAAGTTCTTTGTCAGATATGTGATTTGCAAATATTTTCTCTCAATCTTTAGCTTGCCTTTTAATTCTTTTAACAGCATCTTTCACAGAGCCAAACATTTTAATTTTGATGCAGTTCACTTTATCAATTTCCCAAATGTTGATAGAATCCATAGAAATATGACCACTTTTATGTTGTTGATCTTGGACCCTCTTGACTTTGCTTAACCTCACTTATTCTAAGAGCTTTTTTGTACAAAAAGAAATCCTTGGAATTTTCTACATAGGCAGTCATGCTGTCTGTGAATAGTCCATTTTATTTCATTCTTTTCAGTTTGTGTGCCTTTCCTTTCTTTTTCTTGCCCTGTTTCTTTAGCCAAGACTTCTGGTGCAATGTTGAGAAGTAGTGAGAGCACATCCTTGCCTTGCTTCCGACTTTCGGTGAAAGCATCTGTCTGCCACCATGAAATATGATGTTAGCTGTGAGTTTTCCATAGATGCCCTTTGTCAGGCTGAGAGAGTTCCCTTCTAGGTTTAGTTTGCTGAAAGCTTTTATCATGAATGGATGTTGAATTTTTTAAATGCATTTTCTGTATAAATTGATATGCCTGTGTGCTTTTTCTTCTGTGAGTAGGTGGCTTGCATTTATTGATTTTTGAACACTGAGTCAATCTTGTGTTTTGGAATCAACTCCCTTGGGCTGTGGTGCATTATTTTTACATATTACTGGATTCAGTTTGCTAATATTTGGTTGAGGATTTTTGCATCTGTGTTCATGAGGGGTATTGTCCTATAGTCTTCTTGTAATGTCTTTTTCTGGATTTGCTATCAGGGTAGTGCTAGCCTCATTTAAGTTGGGAAATGTTTTTTCCTCCTCTATTTTCTGGAAGAGAGTGTATGTAATTGTTAGTTTTACTGGAAAATTCTACCAAACATGTAAGGAACCTATCTCTGAGCCTTTTCAGATGTCTTTTTCAGAAGGTATTTAACTACATATTCTATTTCTTTCCTGTTTATAGTATTGCTCAGGTATCTATTTCATCTTGTGTGAATTTTGGTGGTTGGTTGTTATTGAGAAATTTGATCATTTCCTCTAAGTTGTTGACTCTTTGTGCACGGAGTTGTTTGCCATGTTCCTTTTTAATGTCTATGGGGTCTGTAGTGATAACATTTCCTTCTTTCCTGATATTGGGAATTGGGAATGTATTAACATATGAGGACCTCAGGGCTAGTGTTTTAAATGCAGCCTCTGTGTGGAACCAGTCTAATCAGGACTGTAGTCTGTAGTCCTAGGTATTACCAGATTCTTATGGGGCTGGATTCCCTTGGATTACATGGTACCCCTTGGGGAGCAGCAAATGAGGTGCCTTAGGAGGGACATTAAGGCTTTTAAGCCCTGGGGTAGCCTTTGGTGCCTGAGTGGTAAGTTAATAGGAGCTACCCCAGTGACCTGCAGGACTTCAGTGTCTCTAGAAGTTTCAGATTGCTGCCCCCGAGCATTACACAAGCATTACACACCGGGAGAATCTGGGCAGCCTTATACCAGAGTGAGAAGAAACCCGCAGCCACCACTTAGAGGGGGGATGAGATTTTCACCACTTTTCCAGGGTGTTTGAGGTGATTATTCTGAGTGGCGTGTTGATAGGTACTGATTTATTTATGTTTTGTTTATTTCCAATAAAGGCCACAAATTAGCCTGTTTGAAAAACCCAAGAAAAATAAGGCCAAAAGGAGTGGTATGTTTTTAGAGTGATGTTTAAGCAGAGATTGCTTTGCCGTCACTTTTTATTTGGTGAGTCAGGGACTGAAGACAGTTGACGGTGTGTCCTTCTGAACGCTCTGTTGTCAGCTTTCATCTTAGGTCATAAAGTAGACATTTTTTCATTGATGGACTTTGGGGAATTTGGTTCCTGACCCTGATATTGTAGCATCTTCCTATGTGAGGGAAAAGGTCACAGTTTTGTAGTGATTCTTCAAGTGAGATTAGTTTTGCTTCACTTAATTAAAAAATCTGTGTCATGCTGGGGTTTAAAATAGAGTGATTTATGAGCAATAAAAAGAAAATAGATTTCTGCAAATGTGGAGGGTTTGGAAATACCTGTTGCAGGTGGAGTGGAGTGGGGTTCTGTGCAATCCCTGGAGCCATCCTATGGCGCTGAGTTTTCTCAGTGATCAAAGTCGTTTGGATGAGCAGGCCTAACACCACGACTACCCTAGTCTTTCGGTGTCTTCTCGCAAATGATTCTCTTTGGACAGGCTGACTCTCTTTCTGCTGCAGGGTTGTGTAACGTATGCATAAACAGCTGGCTAAGCACCTCCAGCCCTGGGAGAGCCCTTGGGGCTGGGAGGGCTGCTCTCCAAGCCTGAGGCTGTGGGACATGCCACTGCCAGCTCTCCCTGCTTCTGCTGTGGGCATATCCTTGCAGCAATTTATAAGAATCATGAGGCTGGGTGCAGTGGCTCACGTCTGTAATCCCAGCACTTTGGGAGGCTGAGGCAGGTGGATCACAAGGTCAGAAGTTCAAGACCAGCCTGACCAACGTGGTGAAATCCTGTCTCTACTAAAAATACAAAAATTAGCTGGGCGTGATGGTGCGCACCTACAATCCCAGCTACTTGGGAGGCTGAGGCAGGAGAATCTCTTGAACCTGAGAGGCAGAGGTTGCAGTAAGCTGAGATTGTACCACTGCACTCCAGCCTGGGCAACAGAGTGAGATTCTGTCTCAAAAAAAAAAAAAAAAAATCATGCGCTCCCAGGTGTGGTTCCCCCTCCCCCACTCCCCCGGATTAAACAAATAACACATTTCCTGTAAGAAGTTCAGGTAACTCAAAGGAGGAGAATGAAATCAACTCCTCCACCATGTATGTCCTTATGTAACTGATGGCCCTAGTCTCCTTTGGGGCTGAATTGTAGGAACCGGATGGCTGTGAACTCAAAGGATGCTGTGGTATAGGGACCTCGGAGGGAGCATCAGATGTGTGTGTTTTCACAAGGTCATCCAGGTTCTACGGTGTAAGGAGCCGGGAAGCTGGGGATGTGAGGACGTGAGGAGAAAGGGTGGGCACGTGCTCATACAAGTGCAAGGGCCGTGTACCCATGTCCTTGTGTGGCCACCAGGAAGGAGGCAGGCATGATACACGAGCTGGGACAGGAGTGCCCACATCTAGTCATGGAAACTTTTCAGCCTGAACAACAAGGGGGACAACCCCCGTTAACTTCACACATGGGGCTGTGAATGCTGCAGATGAATAATTCAGTTTCTTTCTGGGAGGTTGGTGACATTTTCGTTTCTGCTCTGGTTGCTTGTAAAAGAGTAACAGGGCCCTTTTTGGGCCTTGCATTCTGGAGCTGGTGGCTCAGAAACTTCTAGTTATAGAGTAACAAGACCACTGTGGGGAGGGAGCAGCATCCTTGAAGGAGGCTCCGATAATGACATCAGGCTCGTATTGGTCATCGTCATGTGCACTCCGAGGTGAATGCTTGTGACCTGGTAGCCGCCTCCCTGCTGCACACAAGGACAACTCACTGGAAACACAGTCCATGTAGGCTGCAGACCATGTTTCCATGTGCTGGGTTTGGGTAATAATTACTGTGTACTAATTGCAGTGGAAAAGTGGAGTTGGCTGTGCCTTGAGAGTGTGCACATGCAGGTGAGTGATGCTTCTGGAGCATGACCTTGTGCACACGGGGGCTGTGTGCTCCCTCGATGATGCACTGCGTATGGTCTAGACAGAAAGGTCACTCACAGAGGTCATGGGCAGCCCTCGGTACATATGGAGAGCAGTCAAGCATGTGTTCACCTGGCCTGTGAGTGTTAGCGTGTCCCAGGTGTTGTAGGTGTGGATGCCTGGGGAAAGCCGGAAGGGAAAGGCCCCAGGCAGCCCTCTGTCTAAGGTTGTGGATTCTTAGAGGTGTTCGAGGAGCCCAGAAAGAATTCCAGATTGGCAGAAAGAAAAGGCGTTTCTGAAAATGAGTCTGCATCACTACGTGGGAACTCAGAGCGGAGTGATCACCCTATTTTTTGTACAAGTCAGGGGAAATTATGTTTGTGTGTGTCATTGAGCATTTCGTGTGCCTGATCCCTTGGTGTGTGCCCCAGGAGCTGCGGCACTGTGCTACGGAAGCCCCTAGCCAGGCCAGGGCTGCAAACTGCCTGGCGTGCACCCTGTGTGGTCCTGCCCCTTCATGGTGCCTTGGACACCTCGGCTTCTCACTGTGTCACATGGTGGACCATCTCCTCAAGCCCCAGTGCTCCAGTGAGCCCACCTTCCCCCCTGCCTCCAAGAAATGCAGGAGTCACTCCTGACACCATCTCTAGACACACCTTATTCTGCAGCATCACCTTCCCATCGGCTAAAGCTGGTTTCCTCCTAAACCTGTGGACTCCATCTTCTCCTCATTCCACCTTGGACTTGGGCATAGGCAGCCTTTGAATGGAGCACTGGGGCCACCCAGGGCTCACCTGTCTTTGTACAGCTCTGTAAGTCATAGATATCCGAAGGCAATGCAAATAATCCTTGTCCCTAGACGTGCAAATGGGTTCAGCCTCCTGGAGAGACAATTGACTCCCCATGGAAAAGGCTGGTATTGTGTCCGTTGGAAATTCATGTCAATATTCTTTTACTCTGTATTATTTTTTTCTTGAGGTGAAATTCACATAACATAAAGTTAATCATATTAAAGTGAATAGTTCCATGGCAGTTAGTACATTTGCAATGTTGTGCAACCTCTAGCTCCAAGACATTTCCAGCACCCCAAAAGGAAGCCCCCTAATTATCAATCCATCATGGCCCAATCCATCCCCATTCCCCCAGCCAACTCCATGTCTTTTTGTGATTCTTTGACTTCCCCTCTGAAGGGATTGTGACACCTCCTTGGTTCTCTTGTGAGTGATGATTTAATAATGTTTTTAATGCATGGTCATTTTTTTTAAGTGACCCGTTAGCAGCCATCACCCCTGGGCTGAGTGGCCAGCAATCTCACCGGATGGATGGTGCTGGTTTCCTGGGGACTTAGGCCCCTCTTGTCTGTTCTCCGCGGGATGCACCGGACTAAGGGCTCTTTTTAAAGTGAGAATCTGGTCATGGAGGGCAAGGAGGAACATTCTGTGGGCGGATCTTCCCAGTCTTGTCTGTGGGTCTGAGCCAGCGTGAGAGGCTCTTGGGTGATATGTGGAAATGTGCCCCCTTCCTGGGCTGGTCCTCTTTGCCCCTGACAGGTTGGTCAGTGAGTATTGGTTAATTATTGTGTGCTCAGTGCTTTGTAAAGCATGCGAGATGTTTATAGCTATAGAGAGGACATGGTGTCAAAAACAGAGATGCATCCAAATAAAGCAAGCAAGCTAATATAATTTAGAGCCAGCATATGCTTGCATTAGAGATGTCACTGTGGGCTGAGCAGAGAGCAGGACCCTCGCCCTGGGGGTGCTCTCCGCACCCTCCCCCCACACCCCGTGGTAACTCAGGCTTATCCAGCCCTCTCCAGGAGGCGGGGGACCCCTGCAACCCTGCCCATTTCCTAATGGACCCAAAGAATGAGGATGTGGTTTTTGTCTAGCACTCACCTCTCTGATGGTTGACCTCTGTGACTGCCTGAGTTGCTGTCAGTTTCCCCTGGGGGTGCTTCACTCTGGGGAGACCAGTGGGTTTTGAACCCTGTCCTCAGTGTCCCTGTCCTCTTCTTTGTTCCCATGATCTTGCAGGGAGAGGACCTGTTGCTGCCCTTCCTAGCTGGGGTGTTGCACCCCACATCTGAGGGGTCTCTCCTTATTGATGAACTCCTGTCTTTTCCTGTCCAGATCCTGGGCATTGGGGAGGTGGCCAGAGGCAGCCTGGCTGCGCCCTGCTGCTGGACTTGTAATGTGTTGCCCCCCACCCCCAACTGTGGCTGCCTTGCCCCTGAGGTCCTCAGCCCCACCCCAGCTGTTTATAATCATCCGAAACCCAGGTCGGAAGGCAGGATTTCCAGCCATTCCTTTTTTCTCACAGGTAGCATCTTGGTGAAATAATTCAATTTACAATTAAGTATTTTTGTTTTACATCTTCAACATGATTAGAACAAAGTGTCCTTGGTCCCTGAGAGCGTAGTGCATCTGAGAGAAGAGAGGAAGAAACAGGCTCACAGTGCGGTTTTGTGGCAGTTTTCTTGGGGGTGGGGGAAGGTGAGTCACACTCTCCATTTTTGACTGGTGTTCTGATTCTGAAATTTAAGAAAAGCACATAGAACCCCAAAAGCACGTGTCTAAGGTGGAAAGTGGAGAAAGTGCCCCCATGACTGCAAGGGTTGAAGTTAAGCCTTTGGCTCTAGTTGGCACGATTTGGTTCTTTTTTTTTTTTTGTCTGAGACGGAGTCTTGCTCTGTCACCCAGGCTGGAGTGCAGTGGTGCAATCTCGGCTCACCGCAACCTCCACCTCCTGGGTTCAAGCAAGCCTCCTGCCTCAGCCTCCCAAGTAGCTGGGATTACAGGTGCCCGCCGCCACACCCTGCTAATTTTTATATTTTTAGTAGAGATGGGGTTTCACCATGTTGGCCAGGCTGATCTTGAACTCCTGACCTCGTGATATGCCCGCCTCAGCCTCCCAAAGTGCTGGGATTACAGGCGTGAGCCACCATGCCCGGCCCACCATTTGGTTCTTTAAACACAACATAGAGACCTTGTGTTGTGAATACACTTTGGAGACTGGTTGACGCTAATTAGTTTTGTACCTCCCCACCTCTGCTGCGAAAATGAAAAAGCAGCAGCGAAAAAGGGCTGGTCATGACCTGGATGAGAAAGAGCAAGTCTGGGACTTGATCATGAAAAGCCCCCAAGTAGCCCTGCTGAACAGATTTAGCACCTGGGAATGGACCCCTGTCTACGAAGAGGACCAGATGGATCATGCAAAAGATGGCTGGTGTGAGCCTCAGGTAGATTTTTAGCTCAGAAATGAATGGGCTTGGTTAATAAGCTGGGTTAACCATGTTCCACTGTGGCTTTCCCACTGCAAATGCAGGGAGCAGCTATTCAAAGATTCTGAAAAGAATATAGTAGCAGGTGGTTTGGAGAGGAAGATTAGAATTGCAAGTATTCCTCAACTGGGCATGAGTCTACCATTTTTCCCCATCTGGTATTCCCCAGTCTGAACTCAACACATTGGAAACCTGGAAGTGGGTACTGGGATGCAGAGAAGAGAGTGCCAGAAGCCTTCTAGGTTTGGCTTAAGGAGTAGAAAGGAACATTCTAGTGTTCAGAGTACAGACCCTTTTGTTCTGTTTCCCTTTTCTGTGTTCTCTTACATGCCTCTCTTTCTCCCTCGCTCCCCTCCCCTCGCTCGCTCCCCCCTCCTTTCTTTCCAGCACAGTCTTGCTCTTTTTCCCAGCTGGAGTGCAGTGACATGATCACAGCTCTCTGCAGCCTCAAACTCCCAGGCTCATGTGATCCTCCTGCCTCACCCTCCCAAGTAGCTGGGACTACAGGTGCATGTCACCACACCCAGCTAATTGTTTTTTATTTGTAGAGACAGGCTCTCACTTTGTTGCCTTGGCTGGTCTTGAACTCCTGGCTTCAAGTGATCCTTCCGCCTTGGCCTCCTAAAGTACTGGGATTACAGGCACGAGCCCCTGCATCTGGCTGGGACAGCTTTAAATAGGAGGTGTTGTTGGCTTGTTGTTGTTTTGAGTTGTTTGCCGTAGACTGGTATTGGGGAATTTTTACTCCTTCAAATTGAAAACATTCCATCATTTTGCCAAAAACAACCCCACCTATTTTGTACAGAAAACACAGCTCTCCTTAAGTGGGTATGCCACAGGGAAAAACATTTCCACATTTTATCAGCCGGTTGCCTGCCGTTGCTCACATCAATGTTGTTATAAAGGAAGAGCATTGGTGGCCACTTCCCTTGGAGCCTGCTTCTCTGTAGAAGCTAGCCTTATGGGCTTTTGTGCCATACGTTAATGTACAGATAATAATCTTAGTTACTGTGAATTATAATAGCACCGTATTTAAATTCTGGACTGAGTTAGCCAGATGATCTATACCTGTGAGAAATCAAGTTTCAAGAATTTGCAGTGCACTCACACCAAGCGATTTCTGGCATTTCTTTCTGGGTGTGCAGACCACCCTGGGCAGAGAGGGAGTGATTTTAGCTTCACGTGCTTCAGTTAGGGATTCAGCAAAGCCTGAGAATTTCCCTTCTTAACCCAAACCACGTTTAATGCATCACTAGGAAAAGCAGGTTGGTAAAACTCATCCTAGCCTTAAAATTACCCATTTGTTGTTCAAGAAATATACATCAGGCCAGGCACAGTGTCTCATGCCTGTAATCCCAGCACTTTGGGAGGCCGAGGTGGGCAGATCATGAGGTCAGGAGTTCGAGACCAGCCTGACCAACATGGTGAAACCCTGTCTCTACTAAAAATACAAAAATTAGCCGGGCGTAGTGGCGCACGCCTGTAATCCCAGCTACTCAGGAGGCTGAGGCAGGAGAATCACTTGAACCCGGGAGGTGGAGGTTCCAGTGAGCCGAGATCGCACCACTGCACTCCAGCCTGGGAGGGAGAGCGAGACTCTGTCTCCAAAAAAAAAAAAAAAAAAAGAGAAAAAAGAAATACACATTGGCCCTAGGATTCAGGCTTCCCAGGACTCTGGGGGTTTATGATGTCCAGGACACCATGATTTCTGTTCATATGCTACTCTCCTAGTATAGGAGAAAAATGTTTGGAGGTTTATTCTGGCAGCCTTCCTGTGGTGCCCACACTTGTCCTGGGAGGGCAGTGAGTCACCGTTGCCTCCTCAGTTGTCAGGACTCAGAACTGCAGCCATTTGCTCATAGCCATCCATGTGAAAGACGCAAACATACAATTTGGAGCCCGAGTGCTGCTTTATCTATTGACGTGCTTCTCTCTGTGGGGGCGCTTTTCAGTTTCACAGTCAAGAGTATATGGGGTGAAACGTTTTGTTGGGATTACCGGTCCCAATTTCTGCTCGTTGCTGATAGCTAAGAGGTACCCTTGTAAGGTTCCTGATATCCCTGGCATGCTGCTTGCTAGAAAAGTCATTGACAGCAGGGAGGGGCTCACACTTCCACACCACCTTAAGCCTTGTAATTATTTTTTCTGGTCATTTTGTAGGGGGAGAGTGGCATCTTGCTTTAATCTGCATTTTTCTGACCTCCAGTGAGATGCACATTTTCTTTCGTGTGTTCAGTTGCAGTTTGCAGTGATCTTAGAAAAGAGACCTTGGGGCTTCATGAGTGTGCTGAGGGGCCCAGCAGAGCCCCCGAGCATGACTGTAGGATTAGGTGATAGGGTTGTCTGCCCTGGGAGCCCTTTCTCTCTGCTGCGGGGTGTGGGGAACAGCAGGTCGCCTTCTCCGTCCTCCCCTTCGGCATATGTGGTGGCCACATATGAGGCTAGGTGTCATTTTCAGCTGGCCCTGCTAAGCCCTGCCTGTCTGCAGGAGGAGGGCAGCTTACACAAAATGCCCAGTGTGCTGAGTTCCACGCTGGAGGGCATGGGTTCTCCTGGGCCTGTAGGATGCCCGTGTCTGTGAGGGGTGTGGTTCACCTTCAGTGTTGCTTCTCCCCTTTTTCCTTGCTCTGCGGCCTCCAGGACCAGCTGTGCATGTGAGGCTGGGGTATCTCTGACATATTCTTGAGCCGTCTCATGAGCAGTGGGTCTGAACCGGTGGAACCTCGGTTAAACATGTGAGTACCGGTCTTCCAGGAGGCAGAAATCAAAGCTCTCACCTGTGCATCCATTGCATGAGTGTGTGACACATTTTGGAGTTTCAAGTTGTTTGTAATCAGTAAGCAGTTGTCAAATATAAAACAAATCCAGACTTAGTAAGAAGAGGCTTTCTTAGGAGTATGCAAAGGAAGGAATGGACTGTCACAGTAGGGGCCAGGGCCTGGCCACATGCTGACCATGAGATCACATGTGTCTGAAAGGTTAGGCCAAAGGGCTTTTCTTTGTAGGGTGGTGTAGATGAGGCTTCGAAGAACCAGAGGTGGGATATGGGATGAAGGTGGCAGGGTCAAAGGATGCCTTACCCAAGGCCAGCTGTTTCTCAGGAGGGGCTGCACTGGCTCTGTGGGACCCAAGGGGCCTGGAGAAGGACAGAAGCGAAGCAAGGTTTGGTTATGAGCATTTTGTTGTGAGTGATCGGGAGCAGGCGGGGGATGCATCGTGCCACTGGCCATCAAGAGGCACAGAGCAGGCGTTGGTGGGTTTCTGTGTCTGGCCTTATCCTGGGTGGGTGGGGGCATCGTGAGCCTTAGCTCAGTCCTGTGGGGAAGGGGCTTTTTTTGTAGCAGTTGTTTCTGGAACGCAGAGGGCAGGGGATTTCTTACCTCCTGCTGTTTTCTAGGAGCACTTGACATTGTTGCAGTTGTCACCCAGAGTTTTACACAGAATAGGGTGTGTTATTTAGTAACTGAATGCTGGCCTGGGCTCCCTCGTGTTAGCCACATGGGCCCTCAAATCTTAGCCTGGGTCTTGTGGCGTGTGGGCCTTTCTGACCAGCTGAGGACCTTGGTCCCTGCTTCTAGGTAGGTGGCATTTGAGCCAGGTGGAGACAGGAAGGAAGGTGCCTGCCACACACAGGGGCAGCCCCCAAGGCTTGCAGGGAGGATGAGGGTCAGCCCCCTTTGGGACCCAGGGCTGAGCAGGGACAGCTGCAGGGAAGAGGCTCTGGGTCTGCAGGGGGATTCTCATCTCTCCAGGAGGATAAGACCCTCAGGAATGTTAATAAGACTCCCCCCCAACACCCTTGTAGGCTGTTTCTCACATTGACATGCTCTTGCCTTATCAGTATCTCACTCCCTGAAATGACTTTCTCCAGTTGTTTCTTTGCGTCCTCAGGAGAGCCAGGGACTTTTGATGCAGCTTGGCACACAAAAGAAGCAAAAAGCATTCACTGACGGAATGAATGAGCCACATCCAAACCCTGACTCCCTTAAGCTGCCCCAGGGACTAGAGGCTGTTCACTGGAACTACAGCAACATCACCTGAGGGCCCATTAGAAATGCATGTTCTTGGACCCCCCCAGAGCACTACCGGACTGGGGCTCCAACTGGGGCCCAGAGATCTGGCATTCAGATCCTTGCCAGGGGTTCTGCTGCAGGCCGCAGTATGAGAACCACTGACCACAGGCACATGGGGTCTCTAGGAGGCTGCGATGGCTCAGAACCTGCCTCTGAGCTGCTGAGGAGGAAGGAGGTGATTCTTTCCCCAGCGTGTGAGTGGGTGGGAATGCTGGGCTGCAGCTCCCTTGGGGAGAGGATAAGGACCATGCACAGTGTGTGTATGAGTATGCATATGTGTGTAGGCACATGTGTGTAGGTAGATGTGTATATGAGTACATGTGGGTGTGTGCAGTATATCTGTATATGAGTGTGCGTATAGGTACATATGTTTGTGCATGTGTTTGTGTGTATGTGTATCCATGTGGGCATATGTATCCGTGTGTGTATGAGTGTGTGTTTAGGTGTATAAGTGTGTATGTGAATATGGCATGCATGTTTGTATGTGCATATATGTATATGTGTGTGTGTGCATGAGTGTGTATGGATGTGCGTGTTTGGATGTATATATGTGCATGTGTATGTATGTGTGTCTCTGTAGGTTTGTGTGTGATTTTGTATGTGAATATACATGTGTGCTTACATGGGTATGTGGGTGTGGTGTACCTGTGTGCATAGGTGTATACGTGTGTGCATGTAAGTGTGGGTGGGTGTGTGTCTGCTTGGATGGGTGTGTGCATGTATGCATGCATGTGATGCATGTTTGTGGCATGTGTGTGGCATGTGTGTGGCAGGCAGTCTTTTAGGTGGGCCCAGGAAGGGAACTGTGTGACCAGCCATGGGTTGGCCTTCCGTAGGATGTATGCACCATGTGGAATTTGTAGTTTCCACTAAAGAAAAGGGGCGGTGCTATGTGGGCAACTGTGGTATGTATCGGTTGCAGTGTGCAGGGTAAAAACAGCCCTAATACGGAAGCTCAGAAATGCAGGGACCAAGTTGCCTTCGGATCCCCAGGCCACTCCACAGCACGAAAAACCTGTTACTACTCTCTGGACTGTCCTCCCAAAAGCCTGTGTTTCCTGCGCAGCCACTCACATGCATACGTAAGGCCACCGTGGAGTGGTGGGCTTGCCCTGGCTCCCCTCCACAGCCTGCCTTTTTATTCTGTCTTGGGCAGTTCCCTTTCCACACAAGGTCACCTCCTCAGGGTTTGTTTTTTGTTGTTTGTTGTTTGTTTGTTTGAGACCCAGTCTCGCTCTATCGACCAGGCTGGAGTGCAGTGGCACGATCTTGGCTCACTGCAACCTCCGGCTCCTGGGTTCTAGTGATTCTCCTGTCTCAGCCTCCCAAGTAGCTGGGACTACAGGCGTGTACCACCATGCCTGGCTAATTTTTTGTATTTTTAGTAGAGATGGGGTTTCACCGTGTTAGCTAGGATGGTCTCGATCTCCTAACTAGTGATCCACCCACCTTCGGCCTCCCAAAGGGCTGGGATTACAGGCATGAGCCACCGTGCCTGGCCTGTTTTTTGTTTATTTGCTTTTTTGAGACAGGGCCTCACTCTGATGCACAGGCTGGAGTGCAGTGGCACAGTCATAGCTCACTGCTTGACAACCTGGGCTCAAGCAATCCTCCCACCTCAGCTTCTCGAGTAGCCGGGACTACAGGCATGTGTCACCATGCCTGGCTAACTTTGTTTTGTAGAGATGGGGTCTCACTGTGTTGTCCAGGCTGGTCTTGAACTTCTGGGCCCAAGCGATCCTCCCATGTCGGCCTCCCAAAGTGCTGGGATTACAGGCGTGAACCACTGTGCCCAGCTGACCTCCTTGTTCTTTGTGATGGGTGCATACACTTCAGTGTTTGGATAGACCATTTATTTGATTCTGGTCAGCCACTGATGGACTTGGAAGGTTTCCATGGCTTTGCTACGATGCAGGAAGCACCCTCATGGTGTAGCTTTGTGTCCAATTGGAATGTGATTCAGCAGCATCCCGAGCGTCACAGTCAGGTGCACTGGGTCTGCTCCCCACCTGTCAGGCGCTGGTTTCCCCACCCCATCACAGGCTCTGGTTGCTCCACCCCATCACAGGCTCTGGTTGCTCAGCTTTGTAGGTTACTGCTCATCAGAAAGATGAAAGCGACCATCCTGCTTCAGTTTGTTTCTTTCATCGTTAATGACATCGAACAGCTTTTCCCTTCAGTTGCCATTTGCGGCTCTGTGCCTTGTGGGAGGGGACTTTGCGATGCTCACTCCCTGCTCCAGGAGGCCAGTGAGGAAGGAAGGAGCCCTTTGCATTTTCTCAGAGTGTTGATTCATGTTTCTCCTTAATGCAGGGGCATTAGTAAGCCTTCCGCTACTTCTGACATTATTTAAAAAAATCCCTCCCAGCTGGACGCGGTGGCTCATGCCTGTAATCCCAGCACTTAGGGCCAAGGCGGGCAGATCACTTTAGGTCAGGAGTTCAAGACCAGCCTGGTTAACATGGTGAAACCCCGTCTCTACTAAAAAAGATACAAAAATCAGCCGGGTGTGGTGGCATGTGCCTTTAAGCTCAGCTACTCAGGAGGCTGAGGCAGCGGCAGCAGAATTGCTTGAACCTGGGAGGTGGAGGTTACAGTGAGCTGAGATCGTGCCGCTGCGCTCCAGCCTGGAGACAGACTGTCTCAAAAAGAAAAACTCTCCCAAATTCTGGTTCCTGTTTGGATTCTTCTTTTCTTCTCTCTCTCTTCCTTGCCCTCCTTCTCCTCCCCTTCTTCTCCTGATTTTGGTTTTTGAGTATGTAATTAATTTTAAAACTTAAAAAGTGTTGGAATATTGAATGCTAGCACTGACATTGTCTTCATATGTGATTTTAAATTAGGGACTGTTTTGGAGCTTTGTACTACAGTGTCCTTCTTGACTACACCTTCATTGTGGGTCACAGGGTTTCTGGGTTAGGCCTTGGCCCACCCTGGCTGCCTCCTGCACTAGAGCTCACGCCTAGTGATTGTGTGCTGAGCCAAGGAGAGGCTCTCTGCTAAGTTGGTGCCTGGCCAGGAGCAGAGGGGAGGAGAGAGATGGGTAGGGTGAAGGAAGGTGCAGATGATGCCTCCCTCCCAGTTCTTGATAATCCTTGTCTGTTAGCTGTGATGCCTCCTCTGGTCTCACGTGGCCAGGTAAGCTGTATCCTGTAACTGACAGTTCTCTAGGACGATGCTCTTGCAGTCCCTGGGGGACATTTTTCGCACAGGGTTGGGGTATGGAATTGTGTGTATGTATATTGTAAGGGAATCTGGTAGTTTATCCTGCTAAAATGTGCCCTTTTCTAACTCTGTTTCAGACTCTGCTAACACCAGATAGTGGAAAGAAACCATGTGCTGAAATGTTTGACGACACTGATGGTTTGGTAAGTGTCGGCGTCTCGGCGTCTGCCTGAGAGCCATGGTTCCTTTTGGAACTGGCTTTTCAGAAGGTCTTGTCCCGGTGTTCCATTCCTCAGTCAGCAGCGATGCCCATTCACTGTGTGACCTGCCAGGCAGGTGTCTGGAAAGTGAGGGAGGAAGGCCTGTCTCTGAAAGCTCAGGTGGTTCTGCCTGGAGTGGTAAGGGTCGGTTTAGGGGATGTGGATATAGAGGAAGTCAGAGTGGGTGGGGCAGGGGAGGCAATGAGCGAGGCAATGCTGAGTGTGGCTTGTTTGGTGGTGAGCCCAGTACCCAGCCTCAGCACCAGCTTCCCCGGCAGGAAGGGAAGGGCCCCAGTTGAGGAGGTGCCCCTGCCTGGACTGTCCCCTGAGGACTGGTGCGCCTAGGAGTTCATATTGGGTTGTTGAAGGTGGTCTTTCACCCGACCCTAGGGGTCTTCGGGATCTGGTGGGCAGTTGCTTCTCTTCTGTCCACTAACTCACACCCCCCATGCCCCGTGTTCAGGGAGGTCTGGCAAAGGCAGTGGCTTGGGCTGGGGTGAGGTGGACCGGGGACAGCCCCCTGGGCTGCCACACCTTTGCTCCCACCCCTGCCTTTCAAGTGTGCAGAGTGGACGAAGGGGCTGCTTGTTGTCTGAAATTTCAGAGCATCAGGCCACACGGGCCCTGTCACAGACAGCATGTGGGTGCGAGTCCGCATGTCATGGCAGCCCCAAAGGGCACTGGGCCCTCCCTGTCATGGATGAGGCCATGGAGGCACAGCGTGATGAAGTGATATTGTTGTAGGCTATGACCCAGGCTACCCGTTTTCTCTGGCCCTGTCCCCACCCCCTCCCAACTGTTGGGATCGGGCTGCCTGCCCTGCAGGGCTGCTGGGCCATGGGCTGGCCCGTCACTTCATGGGTTCAGTTTCCTTCTCTGTAAATGTGAAGAGGCAGAGCCACCCGGGGCAGCTTCCTCGAGGGGCGGGGCTTCCTCACCCGTGCTAGGCACACGCCTGGGCAGAGTCCTGTGCCAGGGCCCCACTGGGTCAGCTGGGGGCTGGGAGTGCTGTGGCATGGCTGTGTCTCTTCGCCACCCCGAGGGTGGCCTGGGCTGGCATGGGACATGTCCTTGTGCTGTGCAGGATTGTAGGCTCTGGGGGACTCACCCTGTGCAGAATGCTGCCCTCACACCCTGCCGTCACCGTGGGACACCCACTGCGGTTTGACACTCTCACTGGGTGTGGGAAGTGCCCTCGGTAGCCCCAGGAGGGACCGTCTTCGGCCAGCAGCCACCTATGCAGGTCTCTCGTTTCCGGCTTGTTTACGTGCTTGGATGGAACCAGAAGAGAAGAGGTCATCAGAAGAAGCTGCTCTGTTTGATTTGGTGGAGGGCCCACCTGTCCAAGGCCCCCAAGGTCCACTCCTGCTAGATCTGGTGTGGAAATAGAGGAGGGAGTGAAAATCTGGGGGGGGCTGACCATGTCAGCCACACCAAGCTAGGGGAGCCTCAGCCACGTCCACACCACCTTCTGTGGCCACTCCTGGAGACATGGATTAAAGGTTGATGCAGGTGTGTCTGTGTTAGAAGGCGTTTCAAGATGTGACTTTAGCTGTAAGAGGCAGGATATGTAAGTCCTTGCATCCCCTTTAGAAAGCCGGGTTGTGACTCCTACTGCCTCAGGGGTGCCTTGGCCCTCCTGGTCTTGCCCAGGCTGGGATCTTCCTGGATGCAGCTTTCACATCATAGATAGTCTGCATACACAAGACCATTTGCAAAGGACATACTGAAGATTAAGTCATATATTCTATCGAGACCATCCTGGCTAACGTGGTGAAACCCTGTCTCTACTAAAAATACAAAAAATTAGCCAGGCGTGGTGGCGGGCGCCTGTAGTCCCAGCTACTCAGGAGGCTGAGGCAGGAGAATGGCGTGAACCCGGGAGGCTGAGCTTGCAGTGAGCCAAGATCGCGCCACTGCACTCCAGCCTGGGCGACAGAGCAAGACTCCATCTCAAAAAAAAAAAAAAAAAAGACATATATTCTACAACTTGGGTTGAAGTAGAAGCAAAAATAACTTTTAAGGGACTTTTCCCAGCGTGAAGTGGCCCATATAAGGTGCTTTGCCAGCCTTTGTGTGGGGACAAAGCAGGCATTGTGGTTCCCGGTGCCACTGTGGGCCAGGCCCTGTGATGCTGAGTCCTGGAGACAGCACGGCCACCACAGGAACCTGACCGTCAGGGCTGTGTGTCCACCCAGCGAGGGCCGCGACCAGATGGTTCTGGGAGGCCTGGCTTAGATTGGTCTGGGGTACTGGGGTCTCTACTGCAGGCCTGTTGGACGTGGCTGGAAACACGGCCTGGGGGCCATCGCCTTCCAGCAGCTTCCCCTAGAAGCATAGGATAAGACAGGCAGCAAAGGGCTCTGCGTCCTCAGAGAAAGGAGCACAGGTTGGCTTGGACATCTGTCTGGGGGAGCCAGAGAGCCACAGGATACAATGCTGTGTCTTGCGTGTGATTTCTTAGACCCAAACTCTTACACTTGCATGTGCTTATGGGGAGTTGAGTGCAGAAAGTGAATTCCTTTGAGTTTGGTGGTTGTTTTGATACCGCCTGCATTTAAGCTCTTCCTTCTTAATTTACAACAACCCTGTAGTCTTTATAAAGTGCACTGTGTGGGTGCTGCCCAGCCTCCCTAGGGTCTGAGTGTGCCCCACTGCTTGGAGGCAGGGCTGCTTCACCTGCACTGGGATGGAGCCCTGTTCATAGGAGCTGGGCTTTATTTTTAGCAGATACAGTTCCACGTCTCACAGAGTTGAGAGCAGGAAGACTGTAGATTTAATTAAATGACACTGAAAGGGGAGGTAATTACTTCTGCATGTTTCAGGAGGCCCAGGAGGGTGTCCCAGGTCCTCTGCTGCAGCCCTGTGAGGCTGTTACCTGGAAAACACCCAAGATCCCATCCCTGATGGGCACTCAGGGTCCTGTGCATTACTCTGACTAATGATGAACAATGTGAGCTTTCCTCTCTGAAGCCTGGCTTTGGAGATAAGCCATGCAGTCTAGAGACAGTGCAGCAGGTCACTTCAGAGGAAGCATGGTCAAGCCGTGCATCCCAAAGCTGCTTTAACAGGACGGGACACCTGGCGTGGTGGCTCACGCATATAATCCCAGCACTTTGGGAGGCCGAGGTGGGTAGATCATCTGAGGTGGGGAGTTCAAGACCAATGTGGCCAAATTGGTGAAACCCCCATCTCTACTCAAAATACAAAAATTAGCCGGGCGTGGTGGCTCATGCCTGTAATCCCAGCCACTCTGGAGGCTGAGATAGGAGAATCGCTTGAAGCCAGGAGGCGGAGGTTGCAGTGAGCTGAGATCGCACCATTGCACTCCAGCCTAGGCGACAGAGTGAAAAGGCTGGGTGCGGTGGCTCACACCTGTAATCCCAGCACTTTGGGAGGCCGGGGCTGGCGGATCACGAGGTCAGGAGATTGAGACCATCCTGGCTAACACGGTGAAACCTCGTCTCTACTAAAAATACAAAAAATTAGCCGGGCATTGTGGTGGGCGCCTATAGTCCCAGCTGCTTGGGAGGCTGAGGCAGGAGAATGGCGTGAACCTGGGAGGCAGAGCTTGCAGTGAGCCGAGATTGCGCCACTGCACTCCAGCCTGGGTGACAGAGCGAGACTCCATCTCAAAAAAAAAAAAAACAAAAAAAACCAAGACAGGACATAGAGGGTACTAGCACCATCCAGCTGCCTCTGGCACACAGGAGGGGCCGGTGGCCAAGGGTTCATTTATAGTAACCAGAAGCTTCCACACCCTCAACACACTCAGATCCATAGCACCTCCTCCTATCAGTGGCTGTGTCGGTGGTACTGCCTCCTTATGCCTCATAGGATCCCTGCTTAGTATCCTAGCTGGACACCACACCTGATACAGAGCACCAGAAGTGTGCTGATCAGAGCCGAGATGCCTTGAGCAGTTACAAAGAGTTTGCCCACAGAAGGCAAGATGCACTACCTTGTTCATGACCTGCGTGCATGACATGCAGAAGGATTGTATTTTGGATGTGTATTGGGTTAGATAAAATATATTACTAAAGCAAACTTAGTCTTTTTTTTTTAAATGAGCAAATCCAAATTTATTTTAATGTCATTTCATTTTCAATGTGTTTAAAAACCTCATAAGTTAGTGGGAGCCCTAGTTTCCTGGGACAGCATGCCGGAGGTACTGAAATTTGTCACCTTTCTCTACAAAGTCCCAGCAATCCAATCCAAATCCATAGCTTCAGAAAGCCAGGAGTTTTATCTTCAGTCAGTCTACTCCTCTGGTTCTTCGTTTTTCTTTCAAGGGAGGGAGATCACAATATTTCAAACAGGGAACAAATCCAGTTGAGCTTCCAGCTCAGGTTTGTGTAAGATGGAGTGAGGGAAGACCCCATTGACTCCAGAGAAAAGGGTAAGGTTGAGATGGATTATTTCTTTATAGCTTTGTGAAAATGGAAGAAAAAAGATTGACAAATGAGGATCCATTTCATAGATGGGAATTGCTTCATAAGTGAAGGCTCCAGCTCCTAAAATGGGAGGGGCCTGACTGACAGCCTGAATCAGATGAGGAGTCGGCCACACCGAATAAAAACTATCTGAAAAATAATCCTCCTAATTTTGAAGCCAGATAAAATACTTGGGGAGAATGGAAAAAGAAGAAAAAGCCCCCAAATAGATGGAAAAATGCTAACATCAGAATGGTATAAAAAAATTCGGCTGAGTTTTCAGTGGTGGTGGCTAATTTAGCCCTGTTCTATCGTAGGGTTACAAACCTTGACCAAGCAGAGAGTAGAAGAAAAGGCTAGGAAGAGGGGCTTGAAGACAATGAATTTTGACTCCTGATTTTATTATTTAATTTCTTTTGTTCAATTAAAGTCTTCTGTGGTTGGGAAGCCTCGCCTCCCAAGACCAGAGTCAGATGGAGCTGGTTGTTGTTGGAAGGGAGTGGGTTGCAAAACTGGGGTGGCGGCAGGGACACCCCCACTCTGCTGGCAGTCCTAGGTGGAGAAGAACTGCACTTCACAGAGTCTAGGGTGTGGTGGGAAGGGGATGAGGCAGGAGCAGCAAGCTGGGGAGATGGGACCCACCTTGGTCCCCAGCTTCATTTTCTTCTAATGTTTCCCCACTGGTGGCATTCTCTGCAGTCTTGGAGGCCTTTTTTTTTTTTTTTTTTTTTTTTTTTCCTGGGTTTTTCGACTTGCAGAACTCTGGAGGAGGGTCTTTAGCTCTGCATCCTGGACCTTCATCTCAGACTTATAGAGGTCAGGCTGGAAGGGACCACTGGTTATCTGCATGGGGCCATTGGGCAGGAGCAGAACTGTAAATTTAAACTGGGCAACAAATTCACCCTCCTTCTCATAGAGAACATTAAATGGTTGCAGCATTTCATGTTTGGCGCACTCCACCACACCCATCCAAGCCTTCTTCTCATCTTCACATGCTCTTGAAGTAAATGGCATGGCATCAAAACGCCTTTTCATGTCACTGAAGAAGGCATGTCAAGTTTTCATTTTCAGTCCATACTGTTTGGAGGGGTCTCATTTGTACATAGTGGTTCTCTCTCCTGCATCCTTGGTCTTGCCCTTTCCTGAGCTGATGAGAACATCCACAGCATATACTTCATGTACCTCAAATTCAGCTTTTTCATGGTCCTTCTTCTGCTTGTCTGTGGGAATCTGGGTAATGGTTTTTTCTCCATCGATGACATGCTGCTTCAGCTGGTGTGACAGCATACCTTCTATTGGCATGCAGTTAAATAAGTGGGCAACTTTGTTCCAGGCTTCTGTCACTTGTGTGTTCTGATTTCCAGGTGTGACCAGGCATGGGGCAGCTTCAGCACAACGGTGAGCTGCCTTAATAACATCTGCTTTCCTCCCTGTTACTTGGGTCCCCTGAGCTACATCAGTCAGAAAAGTACGAGCTACATTAGTGATGAAGCCATTCACATGGACCCCAAGGTCAATTTTTACCAAGTCACCTTCCTTGAGAATATAATCCTGGTCTCTCTTCAAAGGGGAGAAGTGACATACACAGTTATTTACCAAAATGCTGGTGGGAAAAGCAATACGTTTCTTCATCTCTTTTTCTTTCTTGAAGATTTTCCCTGTTTCTTGCATAATCACGGCATCACCTTTCTCACACAGGCTCAGTACTGACACACCTGAGCTAGATGCGTCCACCAAGGACCGAAGTACCCCATTGGCAATGTCACCCCCCCATCTTATAGTTGGTCACGACCAGGTCCTCGGCGATAGTTTGCTCCTGCTGCTCGTCTTTGCCTGACATCTTCCTGCCACCACCACTGCAGCCTCGTTTCCCCTGAGCCGCCCCTCTGCCTCCCTTCCCAGCCACAGGCTGTGGTCAGAGCTCCCTCGATCCTCGAGGAGAGGGCCAGCGAAAGCCGCGAACTTAGTCTTTTAGCGTGACTTCTAAGAGCATCTGAAATTATACCTGTGGCTCGCCTGGTAGGTGTAGGATCTAAACTGCTCTTTGGTGCCCTTGGATTTGACTTCCTCTCCTGCTCAGGCCCCGCCTCTGTAGTTGGGAGCTAGTGACTTGTAACAACCGTATCAGGCTTTGAGAGTGTTTTTAGCCAGCTTTAAGTGCTATTATTTTGCATTTTTGCAGACAATTACAAAATAGCCTGCTGGGCCTTAGCAAATAGCCAGGTTTCACCACTGAGATTGTACATCTGCCGGGCTCCCGGGCCTGTGCTTTCAGTGAGCATACCCCTCCCCAAAAGGCCCCGTGCTATCCGGGCTTGTGTCTCCCTTGTTTTCTGTGGGTAAGACTTACACAGTGTATTTGCCACTGATTTTCCATGTCCCAGCTGTACCCTGAATGCATCAATGGGCGTGCTCAGCCTGCAGGTCAGTGATGGTTTGTGATGAGCCCCATCCTGCCTTCCCGTGGGAGGAGGGTCCCCACGTAACCCTTTCAGGCCCTGACCTTCACTTGCTTTGGCCACCCCTGGGGTCCCACTGAGGGGCTGCTATCTATGCAGCTGCAGGACACACGCTGGAGTCCTGGGAAAAGCCCCTCAGGCACTTCCACATCTGGCCGGGCTATTTATATCCCTCAAAATGGCCCATTTTTCTTTGCAGAGAGTGAACATGTGGGCAATGCTGTCATGCCCGCCAGTGAAGCCCGTGAAACAAGCCCTTTCATTGAATAGCTTTCTGGGTGCGTCTGACACATTCTCATCTATGTGCAGAGGCCTCGTGGTTTTACGCCTTCTCTGCTGCCGTTGTGTGGATCGCTGTTCCTCAGAGTGTAGGCGGGCTGTGGCCCCCACGGCAGCCTGTTCCTGGTGCTGGGGCAGCCCGGCTGGTCTGGGTAGGCATACCTTGCCTCCCTGTCTCTATCCCACATCGCCCAGGGGAGGGTGGGTCCTCCATGGCCTGTCATGCACAGTTCACTGAGCTCCTGCCCTGGGTCCCTTATGCCTGGGCAGTGGGGCATCAGCAGAGGAAATAGTATTTACTGTTGGGGTAGACAGACCCCAAAGGAGATCAATAGGTCAGGTATGACTGGAGTTACAAGGGGGAGAAATAAAGCGGAAAAAGATGCCAGGGGCAATGGCTTACTCTTGTAAATCCCAGCACTTTGATAGGCCGAGATGGGAGGATCACTTGAGGCCAGGAGTTTGAGACCAGCCTGGGCAACATAGTGAGACCCTCATCTCTATAAAAATATAGAAAATCAGCCAGGCATGGTGAAATGCACCTGTAGTCCCAGCTGCTCAGGAGGCTGAGGTGGGAGTGTGACTTAAGGCCAGGTATTCAAGGCTGCAGTGAGCTTGTACCCCAGCGTGGGTGACAGAGCAAGACCCTATGCAAATAAATACATAAAAATAAAATACAAATAAATAAATACATAAAGCAGAGAAGGAGATGAGACGGGTTCTACAAGGGGAGCTGGGCTGATTGATGGAGCCAAGGCTGGCGCCATGCCTGTGCCTGGGGAGGAGCACCGTATGCATGGGGAACAAAGGAGCAAAGGCCCTGAGACAGATAGGAGCAAGTCTTGGGTGTCCAGGGAGCACTGAAGTGGTGGTGGGGGGCAGTGGGCTGAGGCAGAGTCAGGAAGGGTAGGGGTAGGAGAGGAGGTGGTGGGTGGGGGAGTTTGAGGGGTTGGGGAAGACCCCTGGCTTCTGGGGAAAATGGGCCATTGTGGGGGTGTCGGGCACCCGGTTAGGCTGTGAGGTGGTCTGGGAGAGCGGTGCTGGTGTGGGCACGGTGCAGCAATGTCGATGAGGAGTGGCTCCCTTCAGCGCTTATTTGAAGGTGGACCCAGAGGACTTGCTGCCAGCTTGGATCTGGGGTGGGTCATGGTGGGGGTCGGGGAGCACAGAACACCCTGGATTTTGGCCTGAGCCATTGGAAAGACTTAGGCTCCAAGTGGGCTTCCACCTGGGCTGTCTCGGAGGCATCTCAGCTTTGGGGAGGTGAGGAGCGTGGTTTGGGGACACAGGAAGCTTGAGGTGCTTATTAGTGGGGAGGAGGCTGTGGGGTACCTAAGCCTGGAGTTGAGGAAACATCTGAGGACTAGCCCAAGGGTTAGTCCTGACTGGAGCCGGGGATATGGAGGTCTCCCAGGGCAGGCCCCCTCAGAATGCCCTTGCTCCTTTGCTGTCAGGTAGAGACATGTCTGAACCTGCTCCTGTTCCATGCTGGCCTGCAAGGGTCACAAGGAGAGACAAACTTTTGGGTGCCTCCATCGAGATTGGAAGGACCGATAGGCAGCGGGCGAGGGAGGGTCGGGGTTCGGACTGGCTGCTGGGCTGCGGTGGGAGAGATGGTCTGGGCCTGGGAGATGAGATGGACAGATCCACAAGGATAGGACACATGGCAGGATTTGGAAGGGAAGGCATCTGGAGAATTGAGGGTCTCCTCTTATCTCCTGCAGTCTTTGGGGGCAGCACCTATCCCACAGGGGCACGCCCAGCTGAGACTTCGAGTCCTCCGAGCTGGACACAGTGTGGGCAGGGAGCCCGCCTGAGGCCTGGGTGCAGCGTGGTGTGGGGAGTGGAAGGCACGTCCTGAGGGGAGTCACTGTCCTCCCCCGCCAGTGTGCCTGGCACATAACCCCCCTTTCATGCCTCAGTCTCCTCCTGCTGCTGCCTTGTTTTAGAAGGTGTGGCCACCAGGGTCCAGGATGGCCCACACCCCTGCTGAGGGGAAGTGGGAAGCGGCTGATCCTTTGTGCAGGGAGCCTCGGAGCCCTGGAGAAGTCCTGGGAGGCAGCCTCCCCTCTCTGCCCTCCTTGGTGGCCCGAGAGAGGCCCCGTGGTGCTTATCATGGAGACGGGATGGTGTTTCTTGTTTTCTTTAGCCCATGTTGGGCTGGGTGGGGTCATGGCCTTGGAGCAGGCCCTGTTCAGAGCCACTCAGTCAGTCTCAGGGTTTTTTTTGTTCTTTGGTTTTGCCCCTTGTGGTAGGCCAAATGATGGCCCCCGAAAATACCAGGTTCTAACCCTTGGAGCCTGAGAGGGTGACTTTATATAGAGTTAGAGTCTGCAGCTGGGACTAAGTTGAGGATCTTGAGGTGGGGAGATGATTCTGGACTATCTGGTGGGCCCCAAATGCACTCACAAGTGTTCTTCTCAGAGGCAGCAGAGGGAGATCGGGCACAGAGGGCACAGAGGCTAGAGTAGTGGTGGGTGTGGGGTGGATTTTATCTGCCAATTGGGCTGGGCCTCGGGTGCCCAGATAAGTGGTCAGGTGCTATTCTGGGTGTCTGTGTGGGTGTTCCTGGGTGAGGTTGACATGAGAATCGGTAGACTAAGGAAAGCTGTTGCCTGGGAAGCAGGATGGACAGACCTGCAGGGATAGAACACATGGCAGGGCCTGGAAGGGAGGGGGTCCGGGACATGAGGGTCTCGTCTCATCTCCTGCTGGGGGTGCAGTGCTTGTCCTGCATGGCACCTCCAGCTGAGCCTGCAGAGACCTCTGAGGTGGACGCAGAGGCTGGGAGCATGGGTAGGGAACCCGCCTGAGGCCTGGGTATGGCGTGCAAAGTAGAAGGTGGGGTAGGAGGTGGCCCTCCCCAGAGTGAGTTGGCCTCACCCAATCTGTCGAAGGCCTTAATAGAACAAAAAGACCCGGCTTCCCAAGTCAGAGGGGACTTCGGCTGTCTGACTGCCTGTGAATGGAAGCTTCACAGGGTCTCCAGCTTGTGGATGACAGATCCATAATCACGTGAGCCGAGCACATAATAAATCTCTCTCTCTCCCTGTGCACATCCTATTGGTTCTGCTTCTCTGGAGAACCCTGACTAACCAAAGAACCACAAAGCAAGGAACGCTGCTGCCACCAGAAACTGGAAGAGGCCAGGAAGGGAGTCTCCCCTGGGGCCTCCAGAGCGAGCATGGTCCTGCTGACACCCTGATTTTGGTCAGTGAAACTGATCTCAGAATTCTGTCCTGCAGAACTGTGAGGGAATACACTTCTGTTGTTGTAAGCCACCCAGTTTGTGGTCACTGGTGAGAGCTGCTGCCTGAAAACCATACAGGCAGTGTAAACAGTGCTTCCGTGAATACCCTGGCCATGCTCTGGAGCTGTCATTCAGTGCATGGGTTTCAGGGAGCAGCACTCACGGTCCAAAGAGCGTGTGTCTCTTCCTTGTAATAGATCTTGCAGGATCCGTTTCTGAAAAGATCCAACAGTTCATCCTTTCCCTGTGAGCACAGGGAGCTCCCTGTTCCAGCACCTTCTTTCGGCGGTGGCATGAAACACTATAAACTGACTTGTCAGTCTTCAAGGGCAGAGTGACAGCTTTGTGGCCTTGATGGTGTCACCCCAGATCCTGGTGAGTGTCGCATCCTTGTTGGATATTCTGTGGCCGTTTGGATCTTCTGTGAATCGCCTGTTGTGTGTTGTGACCCTGTTCTGTCGGGATGTTCAGCCCTCTTTTGCCAATCTGTAGGAGCTCTGGATTTGTTATAGATATTGATCTTCTTTCTTCTGCTTGGAAAACGTTTATTCCTAATTCTTTTCTTTGCCAGTTTCTTTTATTAATGTATCATTTGCTGTCCAGATTAACTCATTTTATGGTCGAATATGTCTCTTTTCTCTTAGGGCTCGTGGGTACCAGCGTTTGTTAAGAAGATTACATGGGTTGTCTGAGGATTTTCTGGCAGGAGTTTTCTTGTTTTGTGTGTTTGAATTAAACTCTTGAACGTGTCTAGAATGCTTTTAACATGAAATAATATGCTTGGGGTGGGGGAGGGCAATTTTGTTTCCTTCCAGTGTGCCAGCACTAATTAGTCAATAATCCGTCCTTTGACCAATGAATTGAATGACAGCTCTGTGGTCTGTTAGGGTCTCATGTAAACTGGGTTCCGTCTGGGGATCCTCCATCCCACTCGCTGGCCTGCTTGTCTCTTCACGTGCCCACATCCCGTCAGTAGCGGCTGCAGAGCAAGTGCTGATAGCTGGGAGGAGTCCCCTCATGTGCTGTGTGTGTGATGACGTGCTTTGTGAGCCGTGATGGCAGGAGTGCTCCTGTGTATGCCTGTATGTGTTTGCCTGTGTTTCTCCTTATGACTCCTGGGCAGAGCATGATAAGGGTGGGTACACTGTAGCTGTGCTAGAGGGGCAGCCAGGGAGGAGGCCATGGAGGTGGGGAGGGAGGCCAAGGTGAAGCAGGAAAACAGAGACCACCAGGTGGACGCAGAATTATGTCTATGGTAGGTAGGTATAATTTCTAAAAGGCAAGGTGTCTAGGACAATAAATGTAAAGCAGGTTTATTATGGGGGGAGCAGTGAAAAGAGAACCCTTCGTGTCAGGGACCCACCCACTGCTTGGATTTCCTTTGGGCATGAGTGCCCTGACTCTGCCCGTGGTGGGAGGATGCATGGGCATGCAGTGGGGTGACCGTGTCACTGCAGCTTAGGTGCCTGTGCCTGGCCCAGGGCTGCCTGACTCTGGGCCCCTGAGGATGCCCATGCCCAGGCACCTCTGGCAGCTGGCACCTCGCAGTCTCCAAATGCTCTCTGTGCCCCATCTTCTGTGGCACTGCTTTAGCAGGGCAGGCCACACCTATGCAGGGAGCCCAGGAGGTCAGGGCCTGCAGTTACCCACTGGTGACCCCAGCCCCACCCATGCTGTGGAGGGAGGGTAGAGAGTTTCAGGTGCCAGCCCATACAGGACTCACAGCCAGGACAGGAGGCAGCCAGGTCCTGGCCACCAGCTCGGAGGCAGGCATGGGGTGGGGTGCAGCTGAGCGCTGCAGGGCCAGGGCCGTCCGCCACCCGCCTACCCCAGGCAGATCCTCCTCTGGCGGCTGCTGCTGGCCGGACCTGCTTCCCGGGTGGCTATTATGGGCGGGTGGAGTCCACGCTGTGCTTTACTGGGAGGGCTCATTTTCTGTCAGACAGCTGAAGGCTCCACTCTGCAGGGACAACAGGACCGTGGTACACCCGCTTCGAGGTCAGTGAGAAGGTGGACAGGGCAGCCAGGCCCCGTGGGAAGGTGGCTGGAGACTGGGCCCATGGGCATCCTGGTGGCCCTGTTTAAGCTCCTTGTTCAGCCCACATATGGCTTGTGGCTGGAGTGTGTGTCCAGTTGAGCACTGGCATCCGTTCTTCTCCAGAGCACCTCGCGACCCGGCCTCTGTCCAGGGGGGTAGTGTGGGTGGTCATAATCCCGCCACTGACAGGGAAGTCTCACTCTTGAAGCTGTGGAGAAGTCCCTAGGGGACCTGATGGGGCTGGGCTCTGGACTGTGAGTCACCTCCTGGGGAGAAGAGCCGCCTTCCTCCTGGGAGGCTTCAGTCCCAGGTCAGGCAGAGGCTGTGCAGGCATGCTGTAGGGGTGCAGGGGGCCCTCCTGCTGCTGAGCACGGTCCTGGTGGGCATCCGAGGTTGCTCTAGCCCCAGTGAAGGCCCTTAAAAGTCTCACAGGCTGTGTGATGACAGGCTTGTCCCAGCCCAGGCCCGGGGCCCAGGTTTGCAGACGACACCGGCACATGCGTGAACCAGGGTCCCCAGCATTGACTCACATCTGCCCGGGTCTGGTGTTTCCTCGCTGGGAAATGGTGAGAAGGATGGGGAGGGCTGCAGCCATGCCAGACACTGTCTGGTGCTGATCCCTCTCTGGGACGGATGCAGTTATGAACCCCAGGAACCCTCCCCTCCCCTTGCATGTATCCTGACAGCTCAGGGTGAGTGGGTCTGATTCTTTGCTAGCTGTTGGGGCCTGTGGAAGTGAAACTCATTGTCTTTTCCATTTTTACCTTGAACTCTGTGTTTCTAGCAAGTAGAGGAAGAGGACCCCGGCCAGGCAGATGGTTTATTTTTATGCATGGTTTCAGATGGCGCCCACCCCTCCTCCCCTCCTTGCTGCTGACCATCTCACTCTTTTGACATGTTGCTGCTGCTGCATGGTTTTCTTACAATTTTTTCTATTCCACTGCATTTTAACTAATGAGGTCCGTATTCTTCCTGCAAAGCTGCCATGTTTAACAGAGGACTCTTGGAGCCTGGCAAGCTTGGAAAGAGCAGGTAGCTCCCTCCTCTTCTGACAGGCGGGCCAGTGGGGCTGGAGTGGGGGGCTCCAGCAGCCCCTACCACCCTCGTGGCAGCCGTGGTGCCCAGAGCCGACCCACTGAGCCCCTCCCAGTGCTTTGGCCAGTGACCTTGACCTGGGCCGTACGGCGCAGCAAACCATGTCTCTGGCCTGAAGATGTGTCCTGGGCCAGGGGAAAAGGGAAGGAAACAGCCCCAGCTCACTGGGTGCTGATGATGGGGAGGGGTGATCAGGAACATGCTGAACTCACCAGCCTGGCCATTGCTGGTCTACACATCCATGAACTGTGCAAGATTTCAGGCACGTTAAATAACAGAGCCTTACAGTCCAATGGGGAAGAGAAATGTGTAAACACAGCCATGGGGATGGGTGCCTGGTGAGGGACTGTCAAACATGGGCGTGGCCATGAGCCCCTCTTGCCAGCCTCTAGCCCTCTGTCCACACGGTGGGGCCTGGAGTTGCTGGACTTCCCTTTCACTTAGATCAGAAGCTGAAGTTTAACAGTGTGGGCTGGGATGGGAGTGTGGGAGGGGGGTTAGGGCCCAGGCAGGAAAGCTGGACGCAGAGTGGTTAGACAGGTATTGGGGCTGAAATGACAAAGAGGGTACTGAGGACACCCAGGGACAAAGCAGCCACAGCCTCCAGGCAGGTCCCAGGAGCCCTGAGGAGGAGCCATGGGGTGGTGGGGAATTGGTCCCCTCCCTGCCTGCTGCTTCCAGGCTGCCCTCACTTCCTTCCCATGGTCTGGGGCATTCTGATCCTGACACAGTGATGTGGGGGTGGCCCATGATGTGGGAATGGGGGCCTGGCCGGTACCGACATCTCCAGCCAGAGCTCAGGGTTGCCTCTGCCATCATCACCTCGGCCACATCCCCTTTCCTTCTGATCCCAGACACATTGGGCTCTGTCTTGCCTGCTGTTCTGTCTGCCTGGAAAGCTAATGTTGTTGGTGCCAAATTCCTGAAGAGTCCTCCCTGATGGCCCGTCCACCACGCGAAGCTGTGGAAATTGCCCGCTGCTGGGAGGAACAGTGCCGCCCGGCCGAGTCCTGCGCGTGTGTGGAAGCGGAGGCCAAGGGTTGGTATTCGTAAGGTCTGGGAGTTTGGTTTAAGGCAGATCTTTCAATGTGGGTGGCTGGTCTGATTTGGACTGGGACATGTTTACAATGTGTAATAAGACTTTAAGATCAGTGGACGCAGCAGAGGGCGTGAAGCCAGCCTGATGGTGGTTTGCTGAGGGAGCAGCTTGCCCAGGAGAGTGGCTTGTTGTTCTTAGAAGGACTCCCTGGGTGAGCAGGTCAAACAACTTTCAGGAGCTCTGATCAGTCAAGTTGCATGCTGTTTTGCCCTCTTGGGTGGAAATTTGCTGCAGTAGTCCAGTTAAAGTGTACTTGTGCATTTCTGACACCTCACCCTTCAGGTCCAACTTAGCCTCCTCACCAGGCCAGCTTGTCTCCTGTAGTTCTCTTGGCACCCTGTGTGTTCCTACTCAGGACTTGTCACAGTGTGTCATCACACACACGCAAGCACATGCTGTGGGACATTGATGTCTTGCCCACTGGAAGGGTTCCGTAGGGTGGAGTCAGCCCCACTTTGCTCTGCTGGCACTTAGCACGGCATGTGGCACGTAGCAAGTAGTTAGGAAATGTTTGCAGAGGAACATGAATAAGTCTTGCACGAGGTGCCGGGGAGCTCAGAGGAGGAAGCAGCCTCCTTTTTTTCCAGGAGACCAGGGGACGCTTTACCCAGAAGGGCCCTGCTGCTGTGGAGGGTGCAGCCTCCTTGGGGGCTGAGTGTGGAGGGCAAGCGGAGGGTAGGGCTCAGGGGCCAGGGTGATGGGTGCGGGTGGGAGGTGGATCAGACAGCATTGTGAGGGTAAAGGGTTGGGATTTTAAGCAAAAGGCAGCAAAGAGCTGTTGAAGGCTTTTTGGCAGAGGCATGTCAAGACCAGATTTGGAGTTTCGAGATACTCATGTAGCTATACCATGGGGGTGGGTGAAAGCGTGGGTGGGAGAAGGCACAGGGGCTGGAGAGGAATGGGAGGGAAGGCGTTGTGGTCACTGCTTCCTGGCAGGGGCGGGGAGGGAGCCTCAACTGGGTCTGTGGGGCAGAGGAGCCAGCACCACTCCAGGGCTCGTCCCGGGTGGGTGTGGATGGAGATGCCACAGCCTGCGTGGCTCCCAGGGTGAGGGTCAGGCTCACAGGGAGGACACCAGGCCTCTTATCGTGGCTCCATTCTCTGTGGACTGCCCTTGGTGGGACTAAGAGCAGGCAGGTCTCCATGTGTCCTGGACACGGCTCCTGACCCAGCACGTGTGTCCACTTTTGGGCTGTGGTGAGGGTGATTGAGGGGCAGTGTGCCAATGTAGAATGACTATATGGCATGTTTGTGGGCTAAAGTAAGTGAATGCTTAAATTGACACTAAGATGCGGTGAGCTTGATCGTGGGTCGGCCGGTTTCCATTCAGCTAAAATTCGTGAAGTGGGGGCATCACTGACTTTTTTTGTAAAGAGAAAATAACCTGTAAATAGGCTTTTAAAAATAGACACTTACTCTTGCTTTTTTTGTAAATCAGATTGACCTGTCAGTGCACTCTGGGGTCCGGCCAGCTGCGATGATCTTTAGACCAGTCAGCCGCCGGCTGAGCTGACACCTTTTAGATGGAAATGGAATAAATGCTGCACCACATTGTTCGTGTGGGTGGTGAATGCAGGTGTTTGAAACCATTAGCTTCTTTGCATAATTAAAAACCTTAATTTTTTGTGAAATCTTTAATCATAGAAGAAATGCTTCTTTCCAGTTTGAGTGTTTCTCTTAATATTACCATTGCTTTAAGACAATTACCTTCAGGGCTCATTACTTTCCTGGACAGTTTACAGGCCAGAGTGGTCTCCACTCAGCCACTAGATCTTAGAGGATTCTAAGAAACCCTATTCGTTAAGCCAGGTAACTCATATATTCTGAATCTATAAACATGTCTGAAAATTGTGAAACATACTGTAGAGTTTATAGAAGTTCTTAAAATACATACATTGTGCCGGGTACGGTGGCTCATGCCTGTAATCCCAGCACTTTGGGAAGCCAAGGTGGGCGGATCATGAGGTTAGGAGTTTGAGACCAGCCTGGCCAACATGGTGGAAACATGTCTCTAATAAAAATACAAAAATTAGCCGGGCGTAGTGGTGGGTGCCTGTAATCCCAGCTACTCAGGAGGCGGAGGCAGGAGGATCGCTGGAATCCGGGAGGCAGAGGTTGCAGTGAGCGGAGATCAAGCCATTGCATTCCAGCCTGGGCGATAGAGCGAGACTCCATGTTAAAAAAAAAAAAAAAAAAAAAAAAAAAAAAAAAAAGGCCCGGTGCGGTGGCTCACACCTATAATACCAGCACTTTGGGAGGCCGAGGCGGGTGGATCACGAGGTCAGGAGACTGAGACCATCCTGGCTAACACGGTGAAACCCCGTCTCTACTAAAAATACAAAAAATTAGCCGGGCGTGATGGTATGCGCCTGTAGTCCCAGCTACTCAGGAGACTGAGGCAGGAGAATGGCGTGAACCTGGGAGGCAGAGCTTGCAGTGAGCCGAGATTGCGCCACTGCATTCCAGCCTGGGCGACAGAGCGAGACTCCGTCTTAAAAAAAAAAGAAAAGAAAAAACATACATTGTATTTGATTCTAGTCAAAGAACATAAAGAATACTTCGATTTTTTGCCTCAAATATCCCTAACACTAGAAATGTTGTTTGTCTCAGGAACGACAGAATAAAGTGCTTCATAATGTGGGTTTGACTGGCATAGCTTTCAGCCCGTGATGTACTGGATTAATATTTTATCTAATTGCATGACCCCAGCTCTGTCGTGAGCAGGAGTTGCAGTCACCAGGCTCCCGCGGTGAATGTCGTCCTGCTCACCTTCTTGTTGCATTCTGTGATGCAGCCATCACGAGCTGCCATGGGAGGTGCTCCACCCTGAAAGCTCTCTCCAGGCCAGCCTGAGTGTGGCATCCACATGAGCACAAGTCCAGCACCAGCTGAGGCCCCCAGCCCTTCACTCTTCACCCTTCCTGGGTCTCCAGTTTCTCATCTCCAAACTTAAAACTTGCCTTCATGGCCACAAAAGGCTCCCAGGAGAGAAGCAGGGCGCTTGGCTTGAGTATTCTCTACAGTGCACCTTTGTTGCTTCCCTCTTCCCTCTTCCACACTCAGCCCCCAGGGAGGCTGCTCCCTCCACAGCATCTGGGTGCCCTACTGGGTAAAGTGTCCTCTGGTTCCTCTCTGCATCTTGCTGAGATGGCCCTGCCCTTCTATCCCTACCCCTGTAGGTTATTAGAAATCTTCCAGCGAGAAGGGCGCAGAGCCTGGTGCCAGATGGCACTGTGCATGTTAGCAGGTTGGATGGCTCATCCTTGGGACTGAGTTGCTCAATTTAAGGAATTTTAGACTTGGTATCTGGGTTCAAGCATGTCCCTGTCCTGGCTATGTCCCGAGCTGCGGACCAGGGCAGAGCACCACATCTTTTATACAGTGTCCCTGTCTTGTTCATCTCCGAGGCTCAGAGACCTCATTTGTGTGGCTGTCACCTGTGCCTGCTCAAGTCACGTTGCTACCTTCCTTTAGCACCTGGACACATCAGCCAGACCTCCCTCCCTGGGACCCCTTGACCAGAGGCAGCACCGGGAACCTGTGCCCCTTGCCGCTGGCACACATGGGCAGGTGCCCGTGTCACTGAGCCCAGTCATGCGCCAGGCCTGTGCCCTCCCCTCTCAGGGCGCACCGCAGCAGTGGGAGTGCCTGTCGCTGCCGCCTGCTAGGGTTGGTGCTGGGTGGGGGTGGGTGCAGAGGCTGGGATCTGGAGGCCACACCTGCAGTGTCAGAGACTCAGGGCGAGCTTCACACCTGCCCTGCTGCTTGTCCTGTGGTTGTTTGCTTATTCAAGACCAAGTGTGGGCGACCAAGATTGGGCAATACTCACTGCATCGCGCTTCCTTACAGGCTGAGGGCAGGTGCCTGCCGCTGTGGGAGGAAAACCTGGCCTGCAGAAAAATAAAAACTGCCAGAGCTGCACGAGCCACACTTCATTGCACTGTGCAATGCCCACTAGGATCAGGCCACTCATGGGGGTGGGCATGCTGGCCCGCAGAGCAGCCAGGGCCCTGCAGCCCCTAACAAAAGAGGCCACGTGCTTCCTGTTTTAGGGTCGTCTGCCCAGCTGGGAGCAGGCCATCTCGCTGCAGCACTGTCCAGCAGCTCTGTGCATGCTCACCTCCCAAGTTTGCCCTCATTGCTACCTCTTGACTGAGCTGTCTTCGTGATTCCTGAGTCCAAGGCTGGACATGAGAGCTCAGAGGGCCAGAGTGACTTGCCCAGGGCTACATCTGCTTCCTCGGGACTTCACCTCTAGCCCCATTGTCCCGTGGCCTTAGGCAGCTCACCCATCCTGCCATGGAGCCCCCAGATGACTGAAGTAGTGGCCAGGCCTGCAGGGTCCTCAGGCACCCAGGAGCTTGCCCTCGCCAGGCGACCTGCTGCTCCATGGGTGGACAATGGTGTGCATGGCTTGGGTGCTGGGCCGCAACCCCCCACACCCTCCTCTAAGGCAGCCTTTCTCCTCCTTCCTCAGCCTTGGGACTGGGCCCTGCCCCACGAGCCCCTGAATTAGCCCACACAGGAAAACAATCAGGCCCACATCGCTGAACAGCCCCGCTGTTTAAAAGGAAGAGAATGGGACAGGGTTGTTCCACAGCCTGCGGAGAAGGCTCACCACGGGACCTTGTCCCTGCGCTGAAGGGTGCCTTGTTGTGGCTGGAGCAGTCCTGGCCTGAGCCCCAACTAATAACAGAGCCCTTGAAACCCCTGCAGTCAGGACAGACGTCCCAGGCGAGCAGAGGCCCTGCGTGAGGATGGGGCGGCGGGGCCAGATGGTGTCCTGAGTATCCATCCTCCCTGGTGGCTGAGGACACGCTGACCAGCGTGGGGTCAGGAGCATGGCCCCTGGAAAGGTGAGGCCAGCTGGGCAGGGTCAGGGGCTTGGGTTTTCTTTGTCATTTGGTAAATGGTCTTGTGTTCCCATTTCTCACCCCTCACTGGGGTTGAGTGAGAATGAGCTGAGTAAGTGGGCTTCCTTCTAATGTGAGGGGACCAAATGACCAGCTGCCCTTCTGGACAACCAGAGGAAAAACACACTTGAGTGGACCTTACAGGCTTCACTCCAGAGCTTTGCACTTCTGTGCTTTGAAGACAACAGAAGTGCAGGATGTTGTCTGAGATGTCCGTCATTCTGTAGCTGGCCAGAGAGCAGCCAAGGCTGAGGCTGTGATTTGGGGGTGGGGGGCAGCGGGGGCGCTTCCTTGGCCTAGGCTATCCCTGCTTTCTCTTACTGGGCAGCCAATTCAGCATGCATTGGGATGCGGCACAGCAGATATGGACACTGGGCAGTGTTCATGCCCTTCCTTTATTTAAGTTTCATTTATCTCGAAGTTTCTCTGTTTTGCACAGCCTTTGTAAGGAAAGGCCGGACATGCAACCTGTGGGCGTGGCCCTGGGAGGGGTGCACCCAGACCAGGTTGTCCAGGAGCAGGCAGCAGGCTGGTCGGGGCCGGGTGGGGCGTAGGTGGAGCCTGTAGGACTTGCTCTGCATAAAGCCGTGGGTGTGGCTGATGTTCAGGATCTTTGCTGACACAGAGACCTGGGTGGCCTTGTTTGTCCCTGGGTTCTGTAAATCAAAGTACATGCCCGGCACTGTGTCTAGTATGGTCCAGGTGTGTGAAAGTCAGAGAGCCCTGGGAGTCTGCCATCTCTGTGAGTTGGGGAAAGGAGGAGGGGCCAGAAACAAACCAGAAACTCCACAGCTCTTGCTTAGGAGCCTAAAGGAAAGAAACAGGGCAAAGCAGCCAGAAGGCTGGGAACTGGAGGGCCAGTCCTCGGACTAGAATTTACATAGGAATGGGGGCTGTGAATGGGGATGCTTGTAATCCTTCCAGAATTGGGGTAAAATTTGCATCTGAATGGCTCATCAAGTCAAGATTCCCATGGAATGTACTGGTTTTCTGGTTATTTTCCAGGTCCTGTTAATGATCATTTGCATGTTTACTCAACCAGCATTCTTAAAATTAATATTACCTTATGACTGCCTTTATCATGACTCTCTTAGTGGGGATTTCTGTCCTCCACATGCCCTGGGGGATGTGCAGCCCCCGTGCACTCCCCGCCTTGGCCGGCCCCTTCCCCCATGCCCAGGTAGACTCTGAGCTCTTAGACCAGCAACTCAGCCCTCAGATGTGTTTGGTTGGGACTTCCCAGTATTAAAAATATATGGATTAATTATGTTGCAGCATTCAAAGGCTTCACCTAAAAATTCAGGTTTTTTTCTTTCAGGAGAAAAAAATCAAGAACTATTGCCCACACTAGGCCATGTTGTAGAAGGCTGGGAGGTGCAGTGGCCCCTTTAGACAGGGCCTGGCCCAGCTGCCCTGCCTCCCCTCTACATTCCCTGACAGGGCCCTGGAGACTTCACTCAAAGGTCCATGGCTGCACATGCCAGGGGTCTGCAGGAGGATGAATGATGCCCTAGTACCTTGGGGCATCCCTCATCCCTGGAACCTGTGAATGTTTCCTTACATGGTAAAGAGATTTTGCAGATAGGATTCACTTAAGAACCTTGAGATAGGAAAATTCTCCTGGATTTTCCAGGGTGATCCCTAAATGTAATCACAGAGTTTTCTTATGAGAGAGGCAGGAGGGCAGAGAGGAGAGAAGGTGCTACGCTGGTGGTGGAGGGAAGAAAAACTTTCACTCTACTCTCTTAGATGCTGTTTCTAGGGCCTGCGAATTAAACTGACGAAAGACAGTAACAGGAGAAAAGACAGACTAACATTTTTACATACATGAAGCTTCATGAAAGAAAGTGAAAACCCAAAGAAGCAATAGATTTGAGGGCCTGCATACCGTTTTGACAAAGGTCTCAGTGGAGATTGAGAAGGCGCCCAACGCCATTGTTCTGTCTTCCCTTCTAGAGGTTTCTAGGGTCCTGGCTGGCTCCTAGACCGAGACCCCTCCCTCCTCTACCTACACGCGTGCTGGATGGGGGCAGCATGCATCGTGGAGACAGGTGGATGGGCCTCACCTGGCTGGCAGCGGGTGACTGGGTAGACCTTGTCGCACATTACTGCTGCTCCGGGGCTGAGGTCTGGCTGGTCTTAAAACATGAACAGCTGGAGACAATGTGGTATGCGTGGTCCACGTCACTTGGCATTCCTGGTGTGCTCCATGTGTCACAGCATCTCTCCCCAGAGCGGGGCAGTCCGTGCATGCCAAGTGCTATGTGTGAGTCATGCACAGATTCCTGCCCACGTCTGCATGGGGGCTTCTGCAGCTCATCATAGCATCCATGTCACCCAGTCCAGAGGGGAGTGGTGGCGCTCTGGCTGGAGCTGCCCAGTGTGACCCACACTTAGTGCGGAGCTACTGGGGTATGCTGGTACCAGCATCCAGAGGCTTTGAGAGATACTGTCTGAGCCCCGGGACAATCTGCACCTAGGGCCATGCTCTTGTGTGTAATGGGACAGCAGAGGGCTTTGTGTCTCCCTGTTGCCCCCGGACCCTGTGACCCTCTGGACTTCTGCCCTGGGTGGTATCCACCCTGTACTTGGGCAGAACCTGATTGCTTCTATCAGAAGCCCATGCTCGGCTACATGCAGGGGTGGGAGGTCCCTCCCAGAGGGGGTTAAGCGAAATGCCAAGAGTTGGATGCATCTGACCTACTGTGCCTGTGCACAGTCCCTCTCTAGGACACATACCGTGGGCTCAGAAGGCCGTAGCATGTGGCACCAGCTGTCTTTACAGTCTGCAGTGGCTGCTGGTTGGACAGAGGTCATGGGAGCCCCTCTCTGCTGATTGGAGAGCCCTCCCTGCCGATTGGAGACCCCTCCCCACTATCAAGGACTCCGTCAGTGCTGACCATGCTGCAGTGGCCCACCGACCGCCTGGCCCCCCTGGAAGTGAGCAAGTCCCCTGGTGGCCCCACCCTCAGTCCGTCTGCTGCCGGCTGCTGTCTCTGCAGTTGCACTCATGGGGGACTCGTGGCAGCCTCAGGGGGTCACTGCTACATCCATGCCTCTATAGCAGGGGCATGCATACATCCGTGCTCCAGCCTGCTATAGACAGTGAGGTGAGAAGTCCCTGTGAAGAGCTGGCTTTTGCCCTGTGCCCAGGATGCACCAGCAGCACTTGGCAAGTCCTAGAGCCAGTTCTGCCACGTTCCCAACCATTGTGCACACCCGAAGACGCTCTTGTGTTCTCACTATGGTAACAGAGGTCCCCTTCAGGTTGTCCTTATAAAGGTGGGGTCACTTTGAGGACATGACTGGCTGCAGAAGAGATTTCTGGCCCTTGTGAATAGTGCTGTCGTGAATATGAGTGTACACGTCTCTTTGAGACTTCTTTGTGTACATACCCAGAGTGGAATCTCAGGAACACATGGTTATTCTAAAGTTTTAAGGGACCGTCATGATTCCCACAGTGGCTACACTGTATTGCATTCCCACAGCAAAGTGCAAGAGTTCCAGCTTCTCCACATCCTCACCAACACTTGTATTCCATTTTTGTTTGTTTGTTTTTTGCTTTTTTTTTGGTAGTGGCCACCCTGATTGGTGTGAGGCGGTTGGGAGGTTGTTTTTGCTTTTTAACCTCATTTTCATATGGGTATTAAGTATCATTTGCCTGCAGCACCAAATCTGTTTTTATCATTGAGGGCCTGCAAATCCCCACGGGGTGTGCCCCACTGCACTGGTGACCAGAGATAGAGACAGGGCACTCAGAGGAGGAAGAGCCATGCAGCCAGTGGTTTTATTGCTGCCCTTACGACAGAGTGCTGGAGGGCGCCCCTCACACTAGCCTCAGGCAGTTTTAGGACCTTACTGTGGCCGCCCTGATCATCCTGAATTTTCAGATCTCAGCTCCCAACTCCCCAGGGTCCTGTCCCCAGATCTCCAGGCTTAGTCAGGGTTACAGTTCCACTATCTAGTAAAAATGACCCAATCCATTCTGTGGTAGTACACTTATATAATACTACTTATATTAGTGGTTAACATTTATTGTGCCAAGCAGTGTTATAAATAATCCAAGTACCTTTTGTGGCCAACTCTGTCTTATGGATGGAAGCCAAGGGGCAGAGGGTTGAGTGGCCATTCCAGGGCTGCATAGCTGGTAAGGGTGGGCCCAGAGGGTGCAGCTGGGCCACCAGGCTCCTGTGCCATGTAAATATGCCTCTCCTGGGGGAACAGATGGACTGGTCAGGGCTTGTCATGGCAGAGCAGCACAGAAGGGAAGGTACACTGAGGTATGGACACAGAGAGATGAGGATAGCATAGATGAACCAGAGCTCGTATTGGGGCCTTGACTGTATGGATCCCAGTCTGGCCAAGGGAGGGGCTGGGAACGTGTCCTTGAGGAGGCGGGAATGTGCTCTGGGGGCTTTAGGGCCACCTTCTTTTTTGCTGAGGTGAAACCATCAAAAGAGAGAATCTTGCTGGGTACAGTGGCTCACACCTGTAATCACAGGGCTTTGGGAGGCCAAGGTGGGAGGATCACTTGAGCCTAGGAATTCAAAGCCAGCCTGGGCAACATAGCAAGACCCCATCTCTACAAAAAAATAAAAAGATAGCTGAGCATGATGGCTCACGCCTGTAGTCCTAGCTACTCAGGAGGCTGAGGTGGGAGGATCACTTGAGCCCAGGAGCTCAAGGCTGCAGTGAGCTATGATTGCACCGTTGCATTGCAGCCTTAGTGACAGGGTGAGACCCTGTCTCCAAAAAACAAAAGAGAATCTAGGGAAACTGCTCTTGTTTGGGAGAACAATACTGAAAAATGCCTCCAGTAAAAAAATTTGGAAGATACAGGAAAATTCAAAGAAGACATTGAAAGTGCCCCTAAAATTCCACCTCCCAGAATTAGTTCTGGCATTTTGGTGTCCCTCCTCCTGGAGGTTGCTCTACCTGCATTTGCAGGTGGTGTTCTAGCCAGCCCTGGGTGTGCCCCGGGTGGCTCACCCGCAGGAGCAGGAGCAGGAGCCGCCAGGGTTAGGAGTCAGCCTGGGAGTGAGCTTGGAACGTGCCAGTCAGGCCATTCCCTGGGTGTGACCTTTTATGACTGGGTTTTTTACATGAGTAAGCTTGCACTTAAGTGCTGTTTTATCTTCTCCTCTTTGCATTTAATAGAATGTTTATCTGTATTTGTCAATAAACATCGACTTGTGTGGATTGTACTGCCGGCATAGCATGCTATAATATTATTGTTAATTTAACCTGTTTCTGATGGGTGCCTATTTGTTTTTTGGTATTTTTCCCTCAAGATGGAGTCTCGCTCTGTCGCCCAGGCTGGAATGCAGTGGCATGATCTTGGCTCACTGCAGCCTCCGCCTCCCGGGTTCAAGCGATTCTCCTGCCTCAGCCTCTTGAGTAGCTGGGATTACAGGCGCGAGCCACCACACCCAGCTAATTTTTGTATTTTTAGTAGAGATGGGGTTTTGCCATGTAGGCCATCCTGATCTTGAACTCCTGACCTCAGGTGATCTGCCCGCCTTGGCCTCCCAAAGTGCTGGGATTACAGGCTTGGGCCACCACGCTCGGCCCATCTGATGGTGCATATTTGGATGACAGATTTTTACTGATAAGGCACCATGGAGATAAACATCCCTGGGCAGGGCATCTCTCTGAGCTTGCGGGGTTGCTGAGGCCTTGGAAATACACCTGTTAGACTCTGTAGACATCAGAGGCCAGTTTCCCCCTCCCCAGTAACTGTGGCTGGTCCTCTTCCCTGCCTGGGAAGATGTTGGCTGTTTGTCCTCCGAGCCTGGCTGCTGCCCCTCTGCAGGCTCCTGCCCTGGGTGGGTTTTGCGTCTGGACAATAGCCACCCCTAGAGAGGCAGTCACAGTCAGTTGTCTCCCTCTGAAGCTTGGAGGGCATCTAACTCACCCAGTAAGTGGGGTCCAGGCCCCTTGACACAGTGTGTATGTGGTTGGGGAGCTGTCTGGAGGGTTTGCTCTTTGGCTGCTGGGGAGCAGGGACAGATGCTTGGAGTTTCTGGCCCCAAGTGGGAGAGTATTGCTGAAAACTTCCTCCTAGTTCTGAAATTTTGTGGTGTATGTTCTGACCGTCCAGTAATTCCCTTCCCTGTGTGAAATATTTCCAGAACTTTCTGTCATTTGCAGATGCTTTGGGCATGACTTGCCATCCCAGCCTGAGGCCCGTCCTCCTCAGCCAGGCTTGTGACCGCTCCCACCCACAGAGCTGCCCGTCAGGGTTAAGCAGCAGCTTTGGAGGCTTTGATACAGGTTTTAGGGTTACAGAGTTTTTAATGAGGTTTTCTTGTTATGTGCATTTTCAGAGTGCTACTATTTGGCAAAGCTTGACCCCAAACAGAAACCCACAGCTGCATTCTTCTGAGCACGTAACTGGCCACTCCATCCACCATGTAGACTTCAGTTTGCAAACCGCGTAATTTCTTTCTTGTGCTGCTTTTTAAAGCTAGCAAAAAATTATTGCACCATGCGCTCTGGAATGGGCTGTTAGCAGCGTGCACTTCTCTGGAACAGCATGCTTCCCGGGCTTCTGGAGGTCGGGTACGTCCCTCGGCCACTGTCACCCGGCTGGGACCCAGGAACCTGCTCTTCATGAAGTGCTCACCAGGCTCCAAGCTTGAGATGAACTTGAGATTCTGTTAAGAAACCGATTTGAATGAGCACAGCTCAGCCCAGGTGTGCTCAGGAACTTGCTTTGGCCCACCTGAGTTTGTCTCTGATGCAGGGCGGGGAACTTTGCTTTCCATGCCTGTAGTGTCAGACACTGCCCCCTACCCCCCAACACTGATATGACTTCCGGAAGTTTCCAAGCCTTGCTTTCTTAGCTGCAAAAGAGGGATGGTGACAGTGTTGCTGGGTGACCTGAATTACTGTCTTCACAGCCCCCTCTCCTGGCCCCAAGAAGGCGCTCACCCTGATGGGGATGTCGATGCTCTCCTAGATGTCGTCTGCTTTGGGTGAAGCTAGGATTAGAGGCTTCTTGGCATCCAGAGTCAGCCGAGGTGGCCGCCGGCCTGGTACAACTCCTGGTGGTGGGTCTGGGAGGGCTGACTGGGCAGGGAGGTTAGGAGAGCCAGGCTACATGCCACTTCTGTCCAGTGCCCATGCCCAGGCTGCCCCGTGGGTAACCTGCATTTGGGGAAGGAGCTGGGGGCTGTGCTTGACTCTTCGCACTCTTGGACGAACCGCTTAGTGGGCCTGTGACCCAAGGCCAGGAGTGAGCGTGGAAGGGGAGACCCCCCCCACAGGGACCTAGGTCCATCCTGTCTGTCTTCTGGACCTCTGGAGCAGTCATGCGGAGCCTGCAGTGGTGTGGTTGGCAGGGTCCAGGGGCCCTGAGGGACCCAGGGGGCAGAGCCCTAGAGAAGCTTTGCGCTGGCTGCTGACAAGGTGGAGATGGGGACCTAGTGGCTGCTTTCTTGCGTATTTCCCTATGGCCAGCCCATACTGGGATCTGGTTTTTTGCTCTTCTGGGGGATGTCTGTCACCCTGCCCCTGGAGGTGGGTTGGCCGTGTGCACCATGGTCCTGTAGGTGGGGCCGGGGGCCATTGCCCTGGTGCAGGAGAAAGCAGTCTTGGAGACAGTGGGCCAGGCCGTGTGCAGAGTGGCTGGGAGCTGGCCTGCGCTGCATGACCTTGAGCAGGCTCCGTGACCTTGAGCAGGCTCCATGCCTGTGCCTCATTCTCCTCCTGCCTGTGATGAAGGGGCCGGTTCCTCGTGGTTCTGAGTTCCTGTGACTGGCTATTTGTAGCCCTGAGATCCACGCTGGCTGCAATGGAGGATGTGTGCCTCCCCTCTGCTGCCGCCTGGCACCCTCTCTGGTGGCTGGGGCATGGCACTGGGCTCTTGGCAGGTCATATGGGTCTTGCCCTCGTCCTTCCAGTTCAGGTTCCCCTGCAGGGCCAGGGACTGTGTTTGGGCAGTGCTGGGCAGCATCGAATGTGAGGCCCAGAAGGAAGCTGCATGGGCCATGGCGGGGGCCGCCTGGAGCTGGTGGCCAGTGGTGGTCCTCAACTTGTGACCACTGAGATGGTTGGGAAGAGCCTGCCCAGGGAATTGTTCAGTGTGGGGGCCGTATCCCTCCATGACAGGTCAGCGGTGGTCAGACGGACAGCAGCAGGCCCTCAGTGACACACGCAGGTGAGAAGGGCCTGGGTGTTGGAGCCAGCGTCTCAGGTCAGCCCTAAGCCACCCACGCCTACAGGGCAGAGTCCACCCCTCAGGGCCAGGCGGGCCCTCCACAGGTGGTCACCCTAGTGGTGAGTGCATCCCTAGGGGAAACACACCTCCTTCCTGGGCCCTACGAGAGACAGAACAATGGCCAGGTAGCCCCCCTCCTGGAGCTCTCAGACCTGGAAGGTGACTGTGTGGGGGGCAATGAGTGACAGTGACTCACCAGCTCCTCCCCACGTGTGACCCGCCACGTCGCACACATTCTGAATCATCTGGAAGGTGACACACTGCTCGGAAAATGAGAACCCCCACATGCTGTAGAGCTGGCTGCTTGCTGGAAGGACAGACACCGGGATGGGACTTTGCAGGGCCGTAGCCCCGTAGGCTTGGGCACTTTGAAGTCAGCCCCACTAAATGCCACTTGCAGGTGCTGCTGACCGGGGGGTGGAGAGGGGGTTCCAGGTTAATAGGACCAGGTTCCTTTTAGCAGTGCAGGGAAACGTGAGTGAGATCTGTTCCCATTTGGGTGCTGCAGAGTGAATCCTGAAATATTGGGGGTTTGCTTGACTCCTTCAGTGGGGAATTCCTACCTGGGCTCCTTTCACACTGAGAGGACGGCAGGGGTTACTCCCCAGGCCCCGGCTGTCTCAGGGAGGCAGGGGCTGTGGTTTTCTGATACAGGCATCTCACCAGGGTCACACCGCCTCCTTAGTCCATATGCACTTGACCCTCTTCTGGCATCTACGGCTATTTGGGGTTGGATGGACCTGAGTGACTGACTGTATCATTTTAGGCTGCCCCCCTCTTCTGACTCCCCAGGAAGGGAATTGAGGGACTGCCTTACTTGGGCTGGAAGCATCTGGAAGAGAGGAGAAGAAATATCATTTCCCTTGCACTGCAAGGGAGGATGGATTTAGTGAGTTGAACGTGGGGATTGACTATAATTCATTAGAGTAGAGTGTATCTACCTCTGACCCAATACTGGGCTTGTGACATTCAGCTAGAGGGTCATTTGGTGATTTGGAAATAGAAATTGATTGAAATTCTGGCCATCCATATGGGCAGTAATTGTCTTAGTGGCAAAGGGGGAACTCGCTGGGGACAGACCTAGGGCACAGGTGTGGCCTGCAGTGTTTGCTCCTTACCATCGTAGCCGGGTGTTGTGGTTGTCACATTGTCTATTTTTAGCACTTCTGTGATGCTTGTCACCTGCCCACAGTGACCACTTGGTCTACTGTTGATGGGAAGTGAGTTGGTTTGGTTTGAATATGGTTAAGATGTAGGAGAGTCTTAAAATAATTATGAGCTTAGTTGAAGTTGCTTCCTCTGATACTGAGGTTGAGGGAGGTTCTTGTGGCCTCTGAGGGGCTTTGGGGGCTGGTAGATCAGGTCGAGGCTGCGTGCACCTGGTGTCTGCGCACGACGGTAAGACAGCATTTAAGGTCAGTACTGAGACGGGAACTGACAGCCCCAGATGATGAAATGGCGAACATCCTTTTGTTTCCCGCCTGGAGTGAGGCAAAGCTGGGGCCTTCGCAGAGCTCTGGCTGGAGCTTGTGGTTCTCTGGTGGGTTTGCCACGCTGTTGCTAAGGCTGGCAAAAGCCATGTCCTGGGGAGGAGGCCCGGATAGTGAGGGAGAGCCTCCTGTTGACTAGGTTCCCTGTTGACTCTATTCTGGTTACGAGCTGTGGTCATGGTGGTCTAACTTTGTAATTGTAGTGTATATATTTAAAGAATCACTAAAGATGAAAGCAAGGAAAGTGGCATTTTGTGGTTTTGAGACTTAAAAAAGAAATTCCCACTTGGACTGGGGCCTGTCCTGAGGCTCCTGGGCCTATCCCCTCATGCCGTGCCTGCACCGTGGCAGAACGAGCAGGCCTCTGGCGCCTTTGCAGCTGGGCTGAGTCTGAGGGCAGCAGGGGAGGAGGATCCCGGCCTGGAGGAGGTCCAGTCCCCTGGAGAAACTGCATGCGCTCCCCCTGCGGACACTTGGTGGGGACTAGGGATGCCTCTGAGTGCAGGGCATCTCCCCAGGCTGCCTGTAGTCCTGAACCAGTTCAGGGTTCTGGATGGTTCTGGCAGATTCTGTGATGCCTTCACTGCTGGCAGTTGGCAAAGAGAAGGAGCCATTGTTTCTGAAGGGCCTGTCTCTGCCCTGGTGTCCCTGGAGGAGGAAGCTGTTGGCTCAGGGCAGGTGGAGCCTCAGCACAGCTGGAGAGCACTGTGCCAGTCATGGTCCTGGGGTCACTGCAGGACCCGGGAGGGCATCTCACCTCTCCCAGTGGCTCTAGACGGTTGTTGCATTTTTCTGAGCCTGTTTTTCCTCTTCCCAGCAGTGCTGTAAAACCTGTCTCCAGTGGGGCACACTGGGGGAGGGGGTGGATGTACAGCCAGTGGGGCCACAGGGTCAGGCTTTCAGGACTCCTGCCCCTGATGTCAAAGCAGCGGGCTTGTAGGCTGTCCTTGCCCAGGCCTCTTGAACACTGGGATTCAGTCAGATGTCAGATACGAGGGTTAGTGAGGAGCCTGCCAGGGAGCTATGAACATGGGAGGTGTGAGCAGCCCCTTCCCAGATGTCAGGGCCACGTGCTGCTTCCAGGTGACTCACAGCCTGACCCTCGCAGAACCCAGTAGAACAGTCACTTCCTCACCCTTGCCTTATGGCGGGTGTTAGTTATTCTTCCTGCTTACATTTTCCCCCAGGAGACCCCGTGAATGAAGACCAGCTGAGGGGAGGCATCTGTTCCCAGAGGGCAGGTCTGAGGTTGCCCTGGCCTTCGAGCTGAGCCACAGTGGACAGCCAGGATTTCAGTGGGTGGGTGTCAAGGATGGACTCAGGACATACCTAGGGGAGGTGGCAAGGCCTGGGTAACACTGGGCAAGGCAGGAAATCTGGTGGATGCAGGCCAGTTCTCGGTCCTGGCTGCCAGTTACATGGGCTGCTCTAAAACCAGACAGACCCTGGCCTCACTAGGGAGCTGCTAAATCAGAATATCTGGGGGGCTGGGTCTAGATAGGTGGTGTATTCTTGGTGTTCCACAGAAAGAGGGGAAAATGCACACCTAGCAAGTTGTAGGGCTTCCTTTGGGGACACTAGATTGGGGGCTGAGACCTGCCTCTGCAAGCCCTGGAGAGAAACAGGAGGCTTTGGAGCAAGAGAATAGTGTGATGCGAGCTGCCTTGTAAGAAATAAGCATGCCTTGTAAGTCCCCTCTGTGTGTAGGGGGACTGAAGGCCGGGGGCACAGGGGCCGTAAGAAGGTGGAGCTCTTAGAATGTGGTGTCATTCCCTTACAGGTAGCGGGAGCCAGGTGGAGGCCTCACAGGAGGGATGGTGGTATGAACCGTGGGTGTGAGGGAAGTGGGGGACATTGGGCAGAGGTGGGGGAGGGCAGGAAGAGGGTGCCCAGGAGACCAAAGCCAGGCAGGACACAGTGAGGAAGGCAATTAGTAGGGTTCGAGAAGGGTCCTGGTCAGAGAAAGGAGACACTCAGGAATTAAGGGTGCAAGGTTCTGAAAAAAAAGAGCTCGAAGGAATTTGGAGTCGGGACGGAAGCATCTTGGATTTAAATCATTTCAGACTCATTGAGCTGAGGTAAGTAGTAAAAGCTAATGTTGTGGTCGTGGGCTTTAGAAAGAAACTTCAATTTAGGAATAAATCACAGAGTAAACCATCATGGTTTAATGGAGATTGACGTTGATCTAGGAAAACCTATTTGCCCCTGCACTGCTCGTTTCTGTGGGATTCTGATTGGACCTTTCCGCACCTTGGTGTGGGCCGCCATTGTGGGGATAGTGCCATTTTGTTGGTTGTTTGTAACATTGTGTTTAACGTCCATGCCTTACAGTCCTCATTTGTGCAGTCTCATCTCTGGTGGTAGGGCTGTGTCTTACCCTCTCCCAGGGAAGTAGCTGTGGGGAGGAGGAGGTGCTGAGGGAGTAGTGGAGGGAGGGGAGTTGCTGAGGGAGTAGCTGGGGAAGGTGAAGTACTGAGGGAGTAGCTGAGAAAGGGGAGGTGCTGAGGGAGTAGCTGAGGGAGGAGAGGTACTGAGGGAGTAGGGAGGGAGGGGAGGTGCTGAGGAAGTAGCTGAGGGGGTGGAGGTGCTGAGGGAGTGGAGGTGCTGAGGGAGTAGCTGAGGGAAGGGAGGTACTGAGGGAGTAGTGGAGGGAGAGGAGGTGCTGAGGGAATAGCTGAGGGAGGGGAGGTGCTGAGGGAGTGGAGGTGCTGAGGGAGTAGCTGAGGGAGGGGAGGTGCTGAGGGATTAGTGGAGGGAGGGGAGGCACTGAGGGAGTAGCTGAGGGAGGGGAGGTGCTGAGGTAATAGCCGGGGGAGGTGAAGTACTGAGGGAGTAGCAGAGGGAGGGGAGGTGCTAAGGAAGTATCTGAGGGATAGGAAGGGGCAGAGGCCTGTTCTGGGTCACACAGCTGGGATGTGGCAGCATGGGAATCTGAACCAGGCAAGCTGGCCTCACAGCCGGCACTGCAGCTATCACAATATGCTTCCTCCATAGTTGGGGGAGAAACTAAGAAGCAATTAAGGTTTCTAATAGACTTGAAAGAAGCATAAAAAATGTTTGAGCTGGCCGGACACAGTGGCTCATGCCTATAATCCCAGCACTTTGAGAGGCCGAGGTGGACGGATCACCGAGGTTGGGAGTTTGAGACCAGCCTGACCAACATGGAGAAACCCTGTGTGTACGAAAAATACAAAATTAGCCAGGCATGGTGGCACATGCCTGTAATCCCAACTACTTGGGAGGCTGAGGCAGGAGAATCACTTGAACCCGGAAGGTGGAGATTGCAGTGAGCCGAGATCACGCCATTGCACTCCAGCCTGGGCAACAAGAGTGAAACTCCATCTCAATTTAAAAAAAAAAAAAAAAAGTTTGAGCTAGGTGACTTGTATTTTATAGCAAATATAGTATTACTTTGCAAAAATGACTTCAGCTCAACTAACTGAAAGTTTTAGAAGAGAGTCAAATGAAAATAAATCATGGAAGTTATGTGTGATTATTTCCCAGTTAAAGGAAGCAAACCTGTCAGCCTGATCAGTAGAAGCCCTGAGCCTCTGTTTAAGAAAGGCAAGAGAAGAACACATTGCTGACACATTGCTGACAGTCTCTAAAATGGTTATACAGGTTGTAACGACTACTAAAGATCCCAGCACTTGTGTCTTCTGTACTAACTTTATTAAGAGATTTCATCAAAATGGAGATTTTCAAGAACAGCAGACAGACATGATGGAACCATGGAATCTCCCCCGTGCCCATCTCCCAGTGCCCTCTGTGTGGTGCCTAGACCTCTGTAACATCACTGTGAACATTCCAGACAGAAAAGATTCTTGGCCGGGTACTGCTGGTGGTTAAAGAAAAATGAATTGTAAGTGGAGAGTTGGAAAGGATCGGAATGTCCCACATTATGATATTTAATTATGGAATATTGCACAGCCGTGACAGGCTGCTGAGGGCACCACGTAATAAACGGCACGGGGATGCGCACGCATGGTGCTCGGGGCAGGGACACACAGGACCTGGACGTGACCCACGCGGGCCCTCTTCCTCTACCAGCCTGTAGGCTCCAGCCTCTCTCTTGGACTTCAGGTCTCCTCTTGCATGGCTCCCAGCCTGCCTGTCCCACTTCCCATGTTACAGAGCCAGCAGGGCCCCCCAACCGTCCTGTGCGGTTGCTGTGGCCTGCCCTCCCCAAGCCAGAAAGCAGGGGCTGGGGGTCTACAGTCTATATCTGACTCTCACCTTCACCCCACACCCTCCAGTAGTGACTGTTGAGTGAATGAGTCAGAGTTTCTTAGAATGAGGAATTCACCAAAATGCCAGAAAGACCAGAACTGTATGTCATGTCTGTCTGCTGTTCTTAAAAATTTCCATTTTGATGAAATCTTCCTCTTAGTAAAGTTAGTACAGGAGACACCCGAGCTGGGATCTTACTTTAACCAGCGTTATAACCTGTGTAACCTTTTTAGAGATCGTCAGCAATGTGTTCTCTTGCCTTTCTTGAATTTTTCAAATTTTCTACAATTACTGTATTTTACTTTTGATATCAGATTTAAAATATTTTAGTTAGAAAACCACATGATTAAGGAAGGAATTCGAATAGTTCTAAAGAATCAAAATCATGAAAAATGAAGCACACTCCTTTTGCAGATCAAATTCTCTCTATAGGCATTGCTGCCAGCAGGTTCTTGATTAAATTGTGATCTCTTGAATCATCCTTCTGATGAGCCTGTGTGCACACCCACACACACACACACACGCACACACACGGTCACACACCATGTGCCTGCACAGACGGAAACATACTACTCACATTTTTGGGAACCTTACTTTTTACTGAACAGCGCCCTTTCATACAATTGCAGCTTTATTCTTTTTAACAGTTGCATAGTATTCCATCCTCTGGAATGTGCAATAATTTGTATAGAAAACGTTCTATGCTGTATCTGTGTGTACCCATGCACATAGACGCACACACACTGGTGGACTTCTGGGTGTCTTTGGAGTTTACCTATTGAATAGCCTCGTTCCAGTCATATTGCACACATGGGGTATATCCATACTGAATTCTTGGTAGAGGACTGTTGGATCAGAGATTCTGGATGTAGCTTCTTGGCAGGTGTTGCCCAGCAGGGTGCGGAAACATGTCCTCCGGGCCCTGTCTGTGTACTTTGTAGCCAGCCTTTCTCATGGGTGCCCTGCTCAGCAGAGTGTAATGGTATTGTGTTGTAATATGCATGCCTACCCCATCGAGGTGTGTGCTGCAGTGCCAATTTCAGCAGAAGGTCCCCCATTGCTCTCTGCCTCCGGAACTTCCTTACCTGCTTCTGGGCCAGGATGAGGAGATTGAGCAGAAGGGGCTCACGGCCCTCTCCCCGTCCACAGCCACAGCAGTGCTGCCTGTCACAGTGTTCCTAAGCCCTGCTTCCAGGAGTCTATGTGGACCTGGGGAAGCCCCGATCCCCCGTGTGTGCAGGAGGAGGCTGGTGGAGCCCACAGTCCCTGGCAGTAGGGGTTGTTAGATGTGCTAATAGCTGCACCCTGCTTGTTATATCTCTCTGAGTCTTCTTAGCTAGGCAGATATAACTGGCTTCATTTCACAAGTGGTAAGAATGATAGTTAATGCCTCCCAGTGCTTAAACAGCATCGGGCACCTAGGAAAGCACTAGGAAGCATTAACTGATTAGTCATGGATCCTCATAACCAAATGAGACAGGCAGTATTAGTATGCCCACTTTTTGGATAAGGAAACAGAGGCCCAGAGAGGCTCAGTAACTTCCCTCAGGAACACACAACTTGGAGAAGCCAGGACTGGAACCCAGGTTCCTCTGATTGCAGAGCCCCTTGCTCTTGCTTCATCCCACTTGTCTTCTCTGTGTGCTGAAGAACACCAGGTCCCTGCTTAGGGAGTACGCCCAGAAGGCGAGGTCATGTCTGCAGGATGGAGGCCAGATGAAGGCGCTGCCAGTGGCTCTGTCCTTCTGCCATCAGCGACCACTAAATACCTGTTCGCAAGGCCTGGGCGTTGGAGCCCCACACTCTCCTGCACTAGAGGGGGTGCACCAGGAGAGGATGTGAAGGCCATGAGAGGGAAATGCTTCTCTCTCCTAATTAATTTCATTGCTTTTTGATGAACAGGCCATTGGATTCTTTTTACCTGTGCTGTCAGGAGTTGGGAGATATGAGTTAAAACAGCATGATGAGTAATTACATGAGAAGTGTGGGTTTGCATTTTTAAGCCAGGTAACTCATAACTGTGGGGTTGCACGCTGAGAAAGAAGAAACAAACCGTGTATGTGTAGGGTGAAGGCAACGCGGGGTTGGGGCCTGGGCAATTCACTAAGAAAGGAAGTGTGTTCCCACTCAGGAACCTTGGGGCTGGCAGCTGTTTTTGGAGGCTAGATATGAACCCCCAGCTGGGAGGCAGGACACAAGGATGCTGGTGTTCAGGTGGAGTTGTTGGAGGCAATTGAGATGAGAACCCAGACCTGCTGACATTTGTTGTTGGATGCCACAAAATTACCGTGAATATGATACGTGTCTTAAACCACAGGATGAGCAGTTCTGGGTCTTTATTAAAGTGACAAAGGCTTATTTCATTTCTAAAAAATAGAAGTTTTTCAGGTGTTTTTTTGTTTTTTTTGAGACGGAGTCTTTTTCTGTCACCCAGGTCAGAGTGCAATGGCGCGATCTTGGCTCACTCCAACCTCCACCTCCTGAGTTCAAGCGATTCTCCTGCCTCAGCCTCCCAAGTAGCTGGGATGACAGGTGCGCACCACCACACCCAGCTAATTTTTGTATTTTTTTTTGATAGAGACGGGGTTTTGCCTTGTTGGTCAAGCTGGTCTTGAACTCCTGACCTCAAGTGATCCACCCGCCTCGGCCTCCTAAAGTGTTGGGATTACAGGCGTGAGCCACAGTGCCTGGCCAGTTTTTTAGTTTTAAAATCCGTGATATTCACATTATTTACCTAAGCCTCTTATTTATGTATGAATCTCTGCCTTTGTTGCCTTCAACTGTTTTTTGGCACAGTCTCTGGGCGGCCACTGTCCCCTCTCCCTCCCGTGTGACAGGAAGGCCTCGTGGAAACAAGTGATGTGGCACTTTGCAGGTGCCCACAGTAGCGTGGACTTTCCCTCTTTGCTTGTCCAGCAGTTGTGCCCAAATGCTCAGCCCTGCCCCAGGAGTTTCAACAGGAAATGTCGGTGTCAGGTCCTGGGTGGATGTGGCCTTTTCCAGGATTCTCATAGCTGCTCATGTGAACCTACTTTTGCTTATAAAATTGGCCGTAAGAGCCATCCACTGCTGGAGGGAAGACCCCAGTATCAGTCTCTGGAAGCTCCACTACGGTGGGGCCTGATGAATCGTGATCGTTTCTGATCACTGCCCTCGCGGTTCATTTGCTAACCTCAGGTGCCTGCTCAGGGTTCAGAGGATGTGTCGGCCCCGAGGGGTGGGGGGACCGGATGTTGTGTGCCTGGATGGCCGTGTCTAAGGTTCTGCTTCCTGGGGAGGGGTGTACAGGGCGTCTGTAGAGGAGGGAGCCGTCCAGTGAGGGGCCTGGGTGGGAGGGACGGGGGCTCCTGTAGAGGAGGGAGAGCCGCCTCCTTCCCAGCTGGCTTCAAAAAAAGAGCCGTGATCATATAAGCTCTGAAAGCAAAAGGCAAACAAAAAAGAAACCCTCCTCACCACAGAATATGCTGGAGTCTGATTCCAAGGTTTAACAATTACGTGGCTCCTGTGTTAATAGAATCATGGAGGGATCAGCGTCGGCTCCTGAGCGTCTGCAGTCCTGCACGTGGCTCTGGTTTTGCGATTCTGATTCTCTTGATCTAATTGTTGGTGCTGCTACTGCACCCCACGATCCCTGTCTTGAGACTGATCTCCCACACTGCAAAGGAGTGACAGCCATGCTATGGAACCTTGCCACACCACGGTGGACACCGTTCTGTTTGGCTGAAAACCAGCCATCCAAAAATAAAGGAAGATGAACAGCTCTTTAGTGCTTGTAATTATGCCATATGTGTTTCTGCTTTTTCCTTCTTTGCCTCATGAAGATGAATTTTAAAGGATACATATCTGGAGCTAATAGACAATTAGATAGTACTTTTTTGGTTCACAGACTCTGCTAACTGGAATGGCTTATTGTGCAAGAAAGTACACCTGGTCGGGTCCTGGGGCTCATCTCTAGCACCAGGTAACGGGCTGGGCTGCCCTTCCCCTCTGTTCGTGGGTGGGTGGTTGCACAGCTCCTCCCTCCTGTCTGCCCCAGTGCTGTCTTCCCCAGCACATGCAAGCCAAGCTGATCCTGCGTCTAAGGAAGTCTAGAAGGTTTAAACTCACAATAATTTGTTTTCAGTGCCTTTCTAGGAGTGTTGCTGAGTTTAAGTGGATGCACAGTTTAAGGGCTTAAATAGCCTTGTTTCCCATTATTTTCACAGCAAAGATTTCTGAAGACGTCTTTCTAGAAATGACTGGAAAGTTTCAAGAGGCATAAGATACAGGTAAAACCACTTTATTCATGATCTGTAATTTCAGTTGAGCAGAGTTGATAATGTGTAGAGGCCTCAGTTGGATCTGGCAGGTGGTTGGTTGCTTGGTCCCTTGGTCCCTGATATCCTGTGGGGCAAAGCTTCAGACTTGGCTGCCATCCCTTGGGCCCGGCATGGGGAGGTGGGTGCTGGGCACCCACAGTGATTGTCTGTCTCTGTTCTTGCTCTGCCACTGCTTGTCCCAGCTCCCCCTATTCTTCCCTGCTCTCTCGGCCTCTCCTCCCACTGGGTCTTGGGATTGTGGCAGCTCCGCGGCTGATGGCCCCTGGTGCCTGCACCAGAAAGCTTACTCTCTTCTTTTGGAGGGTGCAGGAAGGTGGCTGGTAAGGTGTGGTGTAATAAGAGGGCTCTCCAGGTCACCCTCCTCAGATTTGGGCCATTTTGTGTTTAATCTTAATTTTGGTCCGTTCCAAGCCATGCATTTTCAGTTTCAGAGGAGAAGGAAATAACCAGCTTAATTTGTGAAAACAAAAGTCAAACCCCATCTTTCCTTCATCATTTTCATATTACTCAAGTATCATGAATGAGCCCCCACAAGGTTTTTTATTCTGCTGGCTTTTAAAGAGTCCTGCTGCCAGCTTAGACCTTCATGGTTCCTATGCATGGGACCGTGATGAGAGCACATCTTGCCAATTAGATAGGGCGGCTTTAATTAGCACAGCATCACTGCCAGGGAGACAGCACTTTCTGTGCTTATTGGCTAGATATATTATCTGGTCCATTGGGGTGGGAGCTCTGTTTTCTTACATTTGTTAAATCACTTTATTTATTAGGAATTGGCACTTGTCTTACAAGTATTTTTTGCTGGTTTCTTTTTCCTCCCTTAAGTCATTTGTCTTTGAGTTTTGTTTTTTGTCAGTCTCTTCATAAAAAATATTTTGGAATCTTTAGTTATAAGGTAATTGAAAGCAGGGACAATTTTATCCATTCTGTGCTGTATTAAGCAGTAAGAGAATTCCATTGTGAGAGCCCAGGAGGACTGGCTCCTTCTGTTATTTTTTACTTTGCTGTCACAAAAAGCACGAAGTATATATGGGGAAAGGAAGCCACTTCTCATTTTTTTATGTAAATAAAAAAAAGGTCAAAGGTATGGCAAGAAATAGTCACCTAAACCAAGAAATGGATTAGCATGTGAAAAATCGCATTATGCACAGCTCCATACACTAATGTGGTGGGTTTCAATTTTTGGTCTACTGACTTGGGTGTAGCATGGGTGAAACATAATCTCTTCATGAATTAAATTTTTTTACAGAAGCAATATAAAAGTATGATTCATTTTTTAAAAAACAAAGAAAACTTGAGTTCCTGGTTGTTCTCCTCCTCCTCCTCCTTATAAGCGACCACTGTTAACAGTTGGCTGTCTGTCCACGTTCATGTGTGTGCATTTGTGTCTGGTATCTGTGTGTCCCTGTGTGTAGGAGTGTATGTTCTTGTGAGTCTGTGCCTGGTGTTTGTGCATGTCCCTGTGTGTCCGTGGCTGTGTGTGTATGTGTTGTGTGTAGACTGACGCATCCTCTGTTGACACAGGTGGGTCGCGCCTCGCGTGTTGTTGCTCTACACATGTCTTCGGTGTGATGGGCTCACAGGCAGTTCGTGTAGACCAGCTTTAGTCTTTGTAATGGTGTTGTCTTCCTTGCCTGACTGTTAACCAGCCCCTCATTGAGGAGCATCCCCTTTGGTTGCACATTTTACTGTCACGTCATGGCAGGGTGGTCTTCCCACGTGTCGCTTTGCACGCCTGTAGCTGTGCACACATAGTTTGCTGCCCAAGAGTTGCCAGGGGATCAGAGTGTGCAGACATCTGGATAGTTCAGAATTGTACCCAGAAGTCCTTTACCCCACACCTTCCCAGCACTAACTAGCAGCAGACTTTTAAATTTCAGCTTGCTTTGTGGACAATAATGGGTATTTTATTTTAATTTACATTTGGTTTGTGGAGTTAAGCACCCTTGGAATTATTTTTGAAGGTAGGACAGTTTTATAAGAGGTGGAAAATTAAGAATACAAATAAAGTCCACTTAAAGCAAAACTTTTCTATATAATGTCTTTTATGTAATTTTGCCCTCCCTGCAAGCCAAGCTCTGGGGGACCGAAGCACCAGTTTTAGTGTCATATCAAAGGCGCTACCAGTGTAAATGGTGACCGACCTTTGGCATTCTGGAAGCATCTCTGCTGGCTGGGTTCTGTCCGGTGCTGAGCTCTGCTGGGTGCCAGCAGCCCCTGAATTGCCACTGTCTCAGTCAGCTCAGGCTGCTCAAACAAAATGTCATAGACTGGGTGACATAAAAACAGACATTTATTTATCCATTCCGGAGGCTGGGAAGTCGAAGATCAAGGCGCTGGCAGATTTGGTGTCTGGTGAAGGCCCTCCTCCTGGTTCATAGACAGCGTCTTCTCACATGGTTGAGGGGTGAGGGAGCTCTCTGGGACTCCTTTTATAGGGGCACTACTTCCATGAAGACTCTGCCCTCCTGACCCAGTCACCTCCCAAAGGCTCCCTCTCCAGAAACCATCACATTGGTGGTTAGGATTTCAACATCTGAATTTGGGGGTAATCCAGACATTCAGACCATAGTATCACCTTTGAAAGACATGACACCAGGCATCCCTTTAGGGCCGCAGGGTTAACACAGTCCTCCCTGAGGGGCTGGCCAGCCACTTCCCAGAACAACCCCACACTGTGCCTGGGAGCCAGTGTCCAGTAGGGAGACCGTTGGCCCCCTTAGAGATGGCAGCAGGTCAACATTAGGCCAGTGGAAGATGATTATTTTTGCTAGCACTAACCTGCTTGGGCCCAAGGATGCATGCACACACCACACACCCTCCAGAAAAGACAGTATTGTCTGTATCCAAGTCTGAAGAGTAGAGTGATGTCACACAAATGGCATGACAGTCTGCATCTCTACCATGCTGGCTGCTGCTTAGAGGGGTCCCCACCCTTCCTCTGAAGGGCCCTGTTCGTGCCGCCACTCTGCGTGCATCCTCATAGCGCTTGTCCTGCCGACATTGCTGATAGATGGATGCCTGTGTTCTTCACTCCCACCGCCCTCTGTCTCTCTCCCTGGGTTTCCCATTCTGTACATGCTGCACCCAGGGGTTTGGGAAGTGGGTGAGGGTTAGAGCATGTCTGAGATATCCTGGCTGTGGCTCGCTTGCCCCTGCAGGGATGTGGCTTGAGGGTGAAGTAGACTGGTCCTGGCAGCTGCCCTGCTGGGTGAGTCCGGCCCAACACAGGTCCAGGGCTAGGCATGTCCCTGCAGAGCTGGAGTGTTGGTCTCCAGGGATCCATTTTAATTCTAGGAAAACTGAAGTTGGAACAATAAACTGTTTATTATGCTTGTGACCTAGACAGCTCCTGAAACCCATTCCTGATTCCTGATGGGATAAGGCCATTTTATCCTCAGTTTGCAAGGCAGTGACATCAGCATCCTAACTGGAGGTGGGAGAGGGGTTTCTGGGGGCAGAGGACATCCCAGGGTGGGGATACTAGGTGGCCAGGTACTGGCAGGGCATGGTTGGTGAGGGCTGTGGTGTCTTCTGTTTCCCAGCACCTGGCTGCCTGCTTCCAGCTGGGAGGGAAGATGTGGTGAGTGCGTGTCCTCCACTGTCCTGGTTGTAGGGCCTGGAGAGACTCTAAGCTTTACCTGCCCCATCTGGGCAAACCCCTGAGATAAGAAATAAGCCAGAACACGCTCCCCCAGGCAGTAGTTTGCATGCAGTGAGGTCAGGGGTCCAGGTAATGACTGCCTATGTTAGATTGGCCAGTCCACAGCTGTCACCAGAGATCCCCTTTCAGTTTCCCTGGGATGCCAGCCAGGGCATTTTAATGCCAGTGTTGCATCCTGTTGCTGGCAGAAGCACTGACACCTTCCATGTGGTAGTGACTGGTGTCCCCTCTGTAATCTACCCTAGCTGCCAGACAGCTGATCCCAGGAAGGAGCCGAGACACGGGTGACTGGACAGTCCCCAGATGGCATTTTGGTTCATGGTTCCTGCCTTACAGGACACTTGCCAGCAGTCACTATTCACATCTAAGATGCAACACTAGATCAGAATGTATGTTCTGCAACAGAGTGACACATGCACAGATGCACATATACACACATGCACACACAGATGCGCACATACATGTCTGCGTACACATACACAGATGCGCACACAGATGCATGCACGTATGTGCACATATAGCTGTGCACACATACATGTATATGCATACACAGATACATATGTATGGATATATGTACACAGGCAGACATGCACAGGTGCACACATACATTATACACACACATACACAGATGCCCATGCATACACATATGTATACACATGCAGAGATCCAAGCAGATGCACATGCACTCACACAGGTGTACATATGTATGCACACAGACATACACATGCATGTGCAGACATGCAGACATACACATGTACACAACACACCTGTACAGATGTGTACAAATGTACAAACATGGATAGGTGCACATATCTATGCGGGTTCATGTGCACACATACAGAAATACAGATGCACATGCGTGCACATACACAGATGCATACACACAGATGTACATGTGTCCACATATATATATACATACACGCAGACATGTATGCACAGTGGTTGCTGGGTACTCCCATTTTCTCTGCTGTGATCTCCTGCCTTGATTTGAAGACCCCTGGGGGTGGGAGAGCTGCCTTCTGACAAGTACTGACAGGCAAAAGAGTGTGGGGCTCAGAGCCCCCTTGGAGTTCCATTCTGCTGACATTTAAAGTGGGCTCGTGCACCCTCATGAACAGCCCCAATTACGTGTAAGTAATGAGAGTGACATTTCACAACCCTGTCTTTCTAATGGGCTCCTGTGTCAAGTCATTCTTTCTGAATGCAAAGGGCAGCAATTTCACACTGTCAGGGCAAAATGCACATGCATACAGCTCAGCTCCCAGCGGGATACCTTTGCTTCTCAGAAATGGCGAAGAAAGCCAGCAAAATGGCCTTTTTCTCCTTTTGTTTTAATTTAACTATTTAGAGTGAGGTCCTTAATGTAACACCCATCAATGATTATGGAGCCACTGTTCTGAAAGAACTCGCAGGGCCGGCAGATCTGTGTGAGTTGTGGTGTGTGCTTTGCTTAAAGCAACTTTAAAATTATATGAAACAATGCATTCTTGTTGAAAAAGGAAAAAAAAACCCTCCAGTGTCACAAAGAAAATGTGCAGCCCCCTCCCCCTCCCTGGGAGGAGCAGTATGTGGCATGGGGTCTGTCCTGACCTTTGGCTACTCATGTGGACTGTTTTAAAGGCCATTTGAGAAGAGCAGCAGGGCCTGATTTATGCCATCGAGAATCTGGTGTCTGCTGATGAGATCAATACACTGCAGACCTGGATATAAATCCGTGCCAGGAAGCCTGGTGGTCAATCATTGTTCTCAGGGCAGGGCCTGGAAGCCAGGTGGGGGTGCCCGTGCCCTGCTGAGCTCTACATGGCAGTGTCTGGATTGGTCCAAGGTAAAAGCAATTAAGAAAAAGGTTTCTTTTCAACATAACCAGTTTGAGTAACCGCATAAACAGCACCAGTCCTGACAGTCCTTCGTAACCATTTAAAGCCACACAGGAGAACCTGCTGGCTTCCACCTGGGCACCTGCTGACACTCCTGGAAATACCTTCTCTCAGCCACATTCGTTTGGGGATGGCTTTGCCATCCCTGGGTTTGGTCGTGGATACTATTACAAGATTTGTTTTCAATCTCTCTTCACTGGCGATTTTGTTTTGTGGAACTTTCTACTCTTGGCTCCTTACCTTTGTCCTCTCCGGGTCTGGCCCTAGTCTTCTCACTGGGATGTTTGTGTTTCTCCTGTTCTACCTCAACTAAGTCAGGGAGGCGTTTTTAGGTCCTTAGGCCAAGTGCTATGAAAACAATACCACAGAGGGGGATGGAGTGTGGGGGTCAGGGGAGGCAAAGGGTGACTGTGGGATGGAGCCAGCCACCAGCAGCTCCTGGGGGTAGAACAGTCTGGAAGAGGGAGCAGCAAGTGCCAAGGCTGCAAGGCAGCCTGAGACGGGTGGGGTGCATCGGAGGGAGGGGGCAGGAGTGGAGTGGAAGAGGCTGGCCACATTAGGTGCTGGCATTCTGCATTAAATCCTGTGCCACTGCCCAGCACTTCGGCTTTGCGGTGAACAATCCTATTTTTACAGCGTGTTTGAGCCCCCAGATCTGGCTGCCCTAGGGACCCAGGCTCTGCACAGAGTCAGCTCACTCTTCCCGTCCTTGGGAGCCTCCCTTCAGGGGGTCATGTCTTCTGCTTCTGGATCCACTGGGCTGCTTTCCCCAGGCTGTGAGGAACCAGAACATGGATGTCTTTTTAAGGTTAATTCATTTTATGAGAGTAATTAATGCAGGTAATTTTAAAGTGAAGTAGTTCTTCTTTAACTTGAGAGAGGAAGCAGCACTTGCTTGTCTTGTCCCTTTGTCCCTTCCCTGCTGCCCTGAGACACTGAGTTTCAACTATTTTCACTATTTTGGTATTTTCCTTCAAATTAGATATGCCTACATTTCCTGACTTTCCCATCTTAGATGTTGTGTTATGATGGAAGACAGGATTGTGTTCTCTGACTCTTGTCCCCTCCCTTTCCCTCTCTTTCTTCCCCCAGACCTCCAGTGGAGTTAGTTGTAATTTTTGTAATGGGGGCTATGCAACTGGGCAGTGATAAGTACACTCTGGTTACATTTCCATTCATGGGTCACTCTTGCTTCCCTGGGGTTAATAACTTCATTTTCTAATCTGTGTATCTGTTCTAATTCATCTTCAGACTCTTTGCCAGAGCCTTAAAATGCATTTCTGAGAACAAAGCCACAGATGCAATCAGTAATCCACTGTGCCTTCTCCTGCCCCGCCCCATTGGAGCCTCTGCCTGCTCCCCAGCTCCCCGCTCTCTCTGCCTCTCCTCCACTCGCTTCCTAAGAAAGAAGACCTGGGAAGCAGCTCCCTTGTTTTGGTGGAGCAAATCCTGCAGTAGCTTTCTGAGAAAGAAGCTGAGGGAGGTAAAACATTTGAGAACTTGTAGGTTTGAAGCAGTGTTCTGTACTGCACTCATACTGATTGATAATTTGACTAGATGGGGAATTCTAGGTATGAAGTCATCTTCCCTGGGATTCAAAGGCGTTGCTTTGCTGCCTCCAGTGGGGCACTCAGAGGTAATTTCTTTGTGGCCTGTTTCTTTCTGGAAGCCTCATGTAACCCTCCTTTCAGGATGATGTGTCTGGTGTGGGCGGGTTCCTTTCATTCACTGTGCTCCTGGGCGCTGTTATTCCGAAAGCTCAGGTCCTTCTGTTCTAGTTATTTTCTTTTTATTACTGCTTTAATAATTCCTCATTTTTTTTCCCGGAGCTCCTGCCAGTTCATGTGGGACTCCTGAATGGATCGTCCAGTTGTCTGTTCCCCTTTTTTTCATCTCTGCTACGTGTGTAACTTCTAGGAAACCTCTTTAGTTTACTTTCCAGCCTTTCATTTCTTTCACCACATTTTACTTTTAAGCTTGCTTCCATTTTCCAGGTTGTGTTTCTTTGTGACTTCTTCCAGGCCCTGGCTCAACTCTGGTCTGAAATTCAAATCAGTCAGCTCTGGTGGTGTGTGACAGGGTTGGTGGTAAACACAGCCACTGTTAAAAATTAAATATGTGGACTTAAAATGAAACAAATTATATTTAAAAAGGTAAAATACTCAGAACTCATTCCTTTCTAGTATCGTGTGCATTCTACTGTTATCTGTGTGGTTGCAGTTACTCGCCTCTTGTATCTGAGATGGCAGTGCCATGTGCTGGGTGCTGCTGTGCACCTCTCCCCAGTTCAGCGGCATCATTCTGGGAGCTCGAAAGCAGCATTTACACCACAGAAATCAGCGTGTGCTGCAAGCTGGGCACCCCCCACCTTACCCCACCGCCCACCCCCACTGCCCACCCCGTGGAGAGCCAGTTGTTACAGCTTGCCAGCACACCGTTGGTTACTGCTCACCTATTAATAGATTCCAAAGTCACCTCCCTCCTCCATTTTTATCCTTAAAGTTCATATCCTTTTAGAGTCATTTCATTGGGTTTCCAGAGAGAGTTGAAATAAATCTCTGTGTTCTCCCATCTCCTGGCTCTGGACTCTTAGCCTGGCCTGACCCCAGCATGCTTATTGGGATACGCAGAGGACTGATTGCAGTTGGGGGATCTAGATAGGAATTAGATCCCATGTAAACCATATCTCTCCAACAGTGATCCAGCATCTTTGGTATTTGACCCGAAATGAACTGGGCCTTGTGGGTCTTGCGTCTCTGCTCCTAGCCCTCCGGTGTGGGCACTTACTTCCTTAATGTGTCCAGGCCATGAACCCTCACAGAGGCTGCTTTTGTGACTGGCAAGGAACTCCTAGGCCTGTTCCTTGTTGTTACTGATTTTAATAGACTTTATTTTTTAGATCAACTTTAGGTTCATAGAAAAATTGAGAAGGTGGTACAGAGATTTCCCATATGCTCCTTCCCCACACATGCACAGCCCCCTCATTTTCAGAATCCCCCCACAGAGTGGTGCCTTTGCTACAGTCGGTGAACCCACATAGGTACCTTATCACCCGACATCTGTATCTGGACATTAGGATTGCCAGTTGGTGTTGTACATTCTGTAGGCTCGGACAAATGCATACTGACATGTGTCCACCGTGGTAGTATCCCTGCCAGCCTAGTTTCCCTGCCCTAAAAACCCTCTCTCTCCCCAGCCCCTGGGAACCACTGATCTTTTTACTGTCTTCATGGTTTTGCCTTTCCCAGAATGTCCTATAGTTGGGATCATGCAGTATGTACTTCTACAGATTGGCTTCTTTCTCTTTAATGATAAGCTTTTAAAGTTCCTCTGTGTCTTTTCATGGCCTAATGGCTTATTTATTTTTAATGCTGAGTAACGTTCCCCTGTCTGGATGTAGCGGTTTGTATACCCACTCGCCTGCCCCTGGGCTGTCTCCACGGCTGGCTTCCTGTGTGGTTGGCACGCCTTACCTCTGCAGGCTCCGCATCCGTCTTCAGAGCGCCTTCTCCCATCCCATGGCAGCTCATTGCTGTTTCTTTTGTGTGTATGGACCTTTGCCCAGCTGGGGGACATGCCACGAGAGAGGTTGTTTCTGCTTTATCCTTGCTGTGCACAGCTTGGCACTGGCTGGGACCTGGGTCTGGGTGTGGCTTGGAGGAGCCAATGTCAGTTCATTGGGTTTCACTGGGCTGGGACTGCAGCACATGGACCAGGCCACTGGTGTCCTTGCTGCATGCATGACAAGAACCCTTTCCAAGGCCCTGCCTGCCGCAGGCCTGCCTCCTCCTCCTCCTCTAGTGGCGCGGGAGCCAGTGTGAAGTCTCTCACAATGCGAGTGTGCAGTCCTCTTCTGCTTTAAGGGATGGGGCAGCCTGGCCACGTTGTCACTTCTGGCTCTCACTGGCTGTATGATGTTTGTCACATGGAACGGGAGAAAGGACGCATCCTTAAAATGCCAGGGGATCATTGCTCCAAAAGGAGGGGTAGCTGGTTTTTAATGGGAGCTTTTCTCTTGAGGGACTGTGGATAGCTTGTCACCACTGTTACCATCCTTTCTTATGTCTGTCATTGCATGCAATGAGGACTGAGAAGAGCAAGGGCAGCAGGACCCTGGAGGGGCATGGGATGTTTGTGGGTGCCAGGCCCTGGGCTGGTTGCTTCCACGCAGCCCCACTCCAGGGCGTGGGTTCTGTGGGGCCAGGACTTGTTTGTTCCAGGCTTAGCAGGAGCTCCATTCGTATTTGTCAGAGCAATAAACATTATTATTATCAGATGCTAATTGATTAGTTATATAGTAATATGATTTAGCAGATAATTCTCACAACTTTGTAGGCCAAGTAGGTCAACTTCTGTTTTGCAAACAAAAAGTGACACCATTATGGCAAGGAGCTGCAAATGTGCCTGGAATTCAGAAGATCTGAACCTATAATTTATTGAGTCTTCTTCATTGGGAGCCTATGTAGAAACCATTACTGGTTTGGGAGCTCAAAGTGGAGCAGCTTTTGGGAGCCACTCCTAATTACCAATCAGTTATACAGAGGAAAAGCCTCTCAGATGAATGAGACTGTGCAGTGGGATTTAGACCGGCAACTTCAGAACAGACACATCTGGAAATGTTCTAAGTGGTGTTGACAGGCAGGAGAGACAGCCGTTACACAGCCATGCAGAGGGGCCGAGCCCTGTGTGTTCAGGTGTAGCCAGGACAGTGCAGTGGAGGGAGTGTGGATGAGGAGCAGTTGGATGGAGGTAGAGTAGGGTTGTCCATGGCCTTGCTGGCCATGATGAAAATGTGGGCCTTATTCTGAGTGATGAGAAGGTGTTGAAACATTTCACATGGGGAAAGGATATGATCTGGATTTATGATAAGAGCATGACTTTGGCCACTGCTACTTTGTGGCAGTGGACTGGAGGGAGGTTGTGTCAGTTTGGAATGGTATTTGTTGGTAACAAAAATCTGCAAGCAAGTAATTTAAAGATTTTAATAATTTTATTAGCAAGTCTGCATAGACTCATAGCCTAGGGTCTCATAGGCTCTTGTGGGTTTCACTTGGCCATTCTTAGAATGAGACTTTTATCTTCATGTTGACAGCATGGCTGCCAGAGCTCCAGCCATCACATTCTAGTTCCAGGCAGCAGCAGGAAGAGAAGGACTGAGGGAATTGCTAGCTGAATCAGCCTCCTTTAAAGAGCTTTCCTGGAATTGCCATCTAATAAATTCCACATACAGTTTTTTTGGCCAGAACTCTCACCAGAGAAGCTGGGAGATATAGTGAGCTGGGCACACTGCCAACCCAAGTAACCTCGGAATTTTGTTAGCGAGGGTGCAGGAACATGGATGCTGGGGCAGGAAGCCAGTGATCTCTACCATGGAAGCAAGAGGCCAGGATGAGAGGTGAGCATTGCTCAGATGAGTGATGGTGGTGGAGATGGACAGGAGGAGACAAGCCCCAGATGTGTTTGAGGCTGAGCAGCAGCACCATCTATGGATTGGGGGTGGGGGTGGGGTTAGAGGTAGATGGGGTCGGCCCCTGACTGCTGGTGCTTTTTTTTAGGTGGGGACATGGACTGTAGGAATTGGCTGGAAGCAGAGTGAGGTTCTGTTTCGGCTGTGTCTGGCTGGGTGTGGAAGGCGGCATGTGGAGGTGGTAGGGAGGAGTGGGGTTCTAGAGTCTGGAGCTCAGGGGTGTGGTTGTTCCATGACCCTCACAGGACTCCTGGATAGAAGGGGGAGCAAGGGACTCAGGGATCCCAGGTTGCTGTTTTGAGTGAACTGTTTACAGAAGTGTAATGTGAAAGTGCCCAATCACTGGGTGCCCAGCTCAGGACATTCTCATAGAGTGAACCCAGGGGTGCAGCTGGCCCCAGATCAAGGTGCTAGACGCCCTTGGGCCAGTCCTGTGGCGGGTTACGCTGTGGGGCCCAGCAAAGGTACACCAGGACAGTAGCCATGCAGTCATCAGAGAATGTTGGGGACATGAGAGATGGGGCCAGGAGGCCTGTGCATGCCTCTCCCACCACCAGCCCCACAATTTCACTAAGCAGCATTAAGCCTGTTCTTTTACTAAGGGCTGTTTCTTACTGGGCAAATCAGAGTGAGTTACCACCATTTCTATGGTGCACAGACTTCTTTAAGTGAGACTGGAAGAGCTAGCAGGGTCCCATTTGGGGCAGGAGGTCAGACACTCCTGCGTGGTGAGGCCTCACGTGCGTGTGTTTCTACAGGTGTACATCCGTGCATGTGTGTGTGTACATATGTGTGCGCATATGTTGTGTGTGTGCATGTGTGTGCACTCACATGTACATCTTAGCTCTCTCTGCAGCCTCTGGTTTTTCTGGCCGTTTCCTCGCTGAGCGTTACAAAGGCAGAGTCTCTAAGGGAAACTGAAACCCGAGTTCTCTTCCTTCATTTTCATCTCATTACCAGCTGGACACAGCAGCCACACAGGAAGGAAGCTGGGCAGCCAGCCGGCCATGTGTGTCTGCCGGGTGCCCCACACCAGGTCCTCTCCATGTGTCTGTCCTGTGTTCTGGGCTGGTAGCTGGAGGAGCGGGAAGCACTGACTCCTGAAGACCCTGGCTTCGCTTTCCTGTGTCCGTTGGGCTGTCCACTTCTAAGACTCTCTTTGTCCCCCGCTGCCTTCCGTATTCCTCAGCAGATGGACCCGGGTGAGGATCCAGGGCAAGCAGAGGGGCTACAGAGCAGTGAGAAGCAGGTCATCACTCACCATGGGTCCTGCCTTTTCTTTCTCATGTCCTTCCAGCATTTCTTCTGAGGCCCTGAAGAAGTATCAAGTGGGCTTTGACATTGCGGTGGTGAGAGCGACCCCTCCTCACCTGGAGAACTGGGAAATGTGGATTCTCAGGGACCGCGCTGTTCACGAGCTCCAGGCTGTGCTGCTGGCCCTGGTCCTGGGGCGCTGAGCCGCATCTGCAATAGCACACCTGCCCGGCCACCTGCTGCCGTGAGCCTTTGCTGCTGAAGCCCCTGGGGTCGCCTCTACCTGATGAGGATGTGCACCCCCATTAGGGGGCTGCTCATGGCCCTTGCAGTGATGTTTGGGACAGCGATGGCATTTGCACCCATACCCCGGATCACCTGGGAGCACAGAGGTGAGTGACGAAACCTGCAGGGGTGCTGATGGCCTGGGATGGGGACCTCACTGCCTGGGATGCTGAGGTGGGTGGCTGGGGACGGGACAGGGACCCCACTTCCTGGAATGCTGAGGCGGGTGGCTGGGAACGGGACAGGGACTCCACTTCCTGAGATGCTGAGGTGAGTGGCTGAGGACGGGATGGGGACCCCACTTCCTGGGATGCTGAGGCGGGTGGCTGGGGATGGGATGGGGACCCCACTTCCTGGAATGCTGAGGCGGGTGGCTGGGGACAGGATGGGGACTCCACTTCCTGGGATGCTGAGGCGGGTGGCTGAGGATGGGATGGGGACCCCACTTCCTGGGATGCTGAGGTGAGTGGCTGAGGACGGGACGGGGACCCCACTTCCTGGGATGCTGAGGTGGGTGGCTGGCGATGGGATGGGGACCCCAATTCCTGGGATGCTGAGGCGGGTGACTGGGGATGGGATGGGGACTCCACTTCCTGGGATGCTGAGGCGGGTGGCTGAGGATGGGATGGGGACCCCACTTCCTGGGATGCTGAGGTGAGTGGCTGAGAACGGGACAGGGACCCCACTTCCTGGGATGCTGAGGTGGGTGGCTGAGAATGGGACAGGGACCCCACTTCCTGGGATGCTGCGGTGGGTGGCTGGGGACGGGATGGGGACCCCACTTCCTGGGATGCTGAGGTGAGTGGCTGAGGTCGGGATGGGGACTCCACTTCCTGGGATGCTGAGGCGGGTGGCTGGGGACGGGATGGGGACTCCACTTCCTGGGATGCTGAGGCGGGTGGCTGGGGACGGGACAGGAACTCCACTTCCTGGGATGCTCAGGCAGGTGGCTGAGGATGCTGGCATGTGATCTGTTGGATTCTCTGCTCTGAGAACTTTTGTCTGAGCAGACAGGCCTACTCAGCTGATCTAAGGGAGAGGCTGTGACAACTGTAGATACTCAGCAAGGCTCGTGCAGACCTCCTGATTTGGTTTCTGAATCTGGGGACCCCTGACAGGAAGCTTCCCTCCCTCGTACCTAGTAATGTTCGCGGCGTGCTGCCAAAGCACCCGCCCCACTGAGCGTCTGCTCCAGGCGCCTGAGAAGAACAGTGAGGCATCATAAGAATGCTCGTCCTACGTGCAGCTGAGCCTCATGCCAGCTACTTTCCTTTCCTGCTGTTTAGTTTTTTTTTAGTTATTTCTTCTCTTGGAGGATGTGTCTGGGGACCCGGGTTTCTGACTCAGTGGATTGAGAGCTTACACCCTGGGTCCTGAGCAAGGTGTTGCTTGCAGGTGGCTGAGAGCTGTCAGCAATATAGGCCATTGTTGTGCTGAGAGAGAGGACCTGCTGCCTGTGTGCATCTCTCTTCCACATGGGAAAATTAGAACAGAAAGTATGAACACCTGACTCTCTTTGTTTTTTCTCGAAGTCAGGGTCTGGCTCTGTTGCCCAGGCTAGAGTGCAGTGGGACAATCATAGCTTACTGCAGCCTCAATCTCCTGGACACAAGCAGTCGTCCCACCTTGGCCTCCCAAAGTGCTGGGGTTACAGGCGCCCGCCACCACACCTGGCCCACCTGACTCTTAAATAAAGCAGACTCTTGGTAATATGTAAAAAGCCAAGGTCAAAATGCTCAAATTGTTGTCAGGACAGTTGAAGAAACAGGTCCTAAAAAAAATAATGCTGATACATTTATATTATTCTTAAGCAGCTATTGCTCAAATCTTCATTTTCCTAAGTAGCTATTGATACAGTAACCTAATAAGCAAAGAGACGTCACTTGTTTCTCTGTCTATAAGTTTGTGGTGGTGATCACTGAGAATTGCATTCGTTGATGGATATATTCTCCAAAAGAAATTTTGTGAAGATTTTGAAGTAAAACATTCTTTTCCTGAATAAGAAAATCCTAAGTCATTGTATTCCTGTACACCTAATCTGTGGATGACAAGGCATGTAGACCAGAGTTGGGTGGGCAGAGGGTGGGAGCCATCACAGGAAGCATCTGGCAGAGCAGGGTTTGGGATTCTGGGATCTGAGGGAGCAGGAAGGGATGTCCGACTCACAGCTTCAAAGTGAGCACACTGGCTCCGGGCTTGAGCTCTAGGGCTGTGAGTGGTTCCCATGAGCACACCTGATGGCTACACTGTGGGTCTGGCGTTGACTGAGGCCACCTCCACTGTAGCAGTGCCTGTTGCAGCAACACATGGCCCTCGAGACATGACTGCACCCAGACGTGCTCATTGTCACTGAGACAGGGACCTAGGATGTGCTCAGGTTTAAAAATGCTTCCATCGCTCTTTTCTTCCTCCCACTCTGACCCTGCCCTTGCATCCCACAGAGGTGCACCTGGTGCAGTTTCATGAGCCAGACATCTACAACTACTCAGCCTTGCTGCTGAGCGAGGACAAGGACACCTTGTACATAGGTGCCCGGGAGGCGGTCTTCGCTGTGAACGCACTCAACATCTCCGAGAAGCAGCATGAGGTACGTCCTGGGCTCCCCTGCATGTCCACATAGCCCAGCTTGAGTGGGCAGCCTCTCCTGGCCCCACTGTGGGGCTGGGGGCTGACTTACCTGGAGCCTCCATTCTGTAGCTGTGACCATGCAGCCCCATCTTTGGGTGTCCACCAGCAGTTCACCCGGGGACCACCCTCTTTGCTTTTTTTTTTTTTGAACTTTTTATTATGAAAAAATCTCAAACATACCTATGAGCAGAGACAGCTATGCCATGAGCCCTGTGCCCACTGCAGCTTATGCAAGGCCGGGTGTTCAGTCTTGCCTACAGTACCCTCCACCTCCTGGGGCATTGAGGCAGATCCCGACACCACATTCTTCATCTGGGTATCTCTTACTGGAAAGGGCCCCTTGTCGTGCAAATAATCAAAAATAGCTTCTCCAAAATTTATATCATCATACATTCAGCCAGTGTTCATATTTCACCGACTCTTGTGGATGATGCTTGTTTAGTTGGTTCAAACGTTTAGTTTGAATCAGGTTGCAACCACGCTGTCCCAATCCATTGCAGCTGGTCACCCTGTCCATTCAGTCTCCGCTTCTAGGAGCCAGCCTCGGTTTCCTTCCTGAGAAAGCTACTCTGCACAGCCCATCCCATGTCCCACTCTTCACATTGCTCCTGATTCCTCGGTGTCTTTAAACATTTTAAAAAATCAAACCGAATTTAAAATTTGATTGTAGCTCACTGCAGCCTCAAACTCCTGGGCTCAAGTGATCCTCTTGCCTCAGCCTCCTGAGTAGCTGGGACTGTAAGTATGTGCCACCACACCCAGCCCCACTCATGGTGTCTTTAGCATGCACCTCTGTCTTCACATCCCCAGCTGGGTGTCAGATCCAGGCTCATCCCTCTCAGGGCTGTGAGGCGGGCTTCTCCATGGAGGCAGGTGTTCCTCCTCCTCAGTCTCGGTGGCCTTTGACCAGCGAAGTCTAGATGCTCTTCTCATCAAAGATTGCAAAACGCAATGTTCTGATTCTACCTCTCCTTCTCTACTTGTTAGCTGGAAATCGTATAAAAGGGGAAGTGCCCATCACCAGCTATTTTGGTCCGTAGAGGTCCCATTTCCTTTGGGAAATGCAGAATCGATGCTTGGAATCTTTGCCTTTATTTACCAGTTTTCAGAATAATGAGTTAATGAGTCAGTTTCCCCTCTGAAGGGCAAGAGTGAGTTTTTTGATTGATTTTTAGTGTCACAATGAAGTCATAGATTTAAAGATATTTGCTCTTCTTTGACCCATCACAGTGAAACACCTACCTCATGCTCAAATCGTCGCATCCATGGTCAACAGCAGCCTGTTTGGGTTGGCTCCTGAGACCTCGCGGTGTGGGGTTAGTTTTCTTGCTCTCTGGAATCTGTTCCAGGTTCACGCTGGACATTTTCTGCCCAGATCTCTTTTTGTTTTCATCTCCAGGGTCTAGCTTATTTCTCAATTTCTGTTTGACACATAAATGAGCTCTGAGCATTATGCTCTGAAAACAAGTATTTGGCTGGGTGCTGTGGCTCACGCATGTTATCCTAACACTGTGGGAGGTCGAGGTAGGCGGATTACTTGAGCTCAAGAGTTTGAGACCAGCCTGGGCAACATGGCGAAACCCTTTCTCTACAAAAACTGCAAAAAATAGCCAGGTGTGGTGGCTCAGGTCTTGGGAGTCTGAGGTGCTTGGAAGTCTGAAGTGGGAGGATCACTTGAGCCCAGGAGGTCGAGGCTGCAGTGAGCTGAGATCATGCCACTGCAGTCCAGCCTGGGCAACAGAGCGAGACCCTGTCTCAAAAAAACAAAAACAAAGTATTCAGCACTGTGAGGCACTCTGAGCAGAAAGATGTGGTGGTCTCACCTCACTCAGCTCTTACTCTTCGCGTGTCTGTTAAATTCTCTTCCTCTGAGCGCCTTCCTGACCACACAGGCTCACACTCGGTCTTGGGGGAATTGTGGACAGTGTGTTTGTGCTGGCCCCACAGGTGTTCAGTGAGAGCCAGACATTGCTCTGTTAATGACACCATGGTGGTCCCTCGGGGTTGGGGAGAGGCTTGGGGACCTCTTATACTTAAAAGAAAAAAATAAAGAGACCCCCGCCAAGCATCAGTGAAAATCCCTGCAAACGTGATCAAGAGTCTGTTGAAGTGTACGTTCCCTTGTCCTTATGCATTTCATGCGAGTTGACGAAATCATCTGTACTTTAAATGCTGAAGGAAGTGGCTATTTTAAATGAGACTCTGTTCCGCTTTTGTGTGCCCCTATCAGGACTTCCATTTCTATGAAATGACACTCCCTTAGTACTGTGTCTGCAGCCTGGGTGCTGTTCAGGAACTCACAGAGTTAGTTAGAAACCTAAAGTGGGGTTCCTCTCCTCATACTCTCCCTCCTAGAAGCCCTGTGTGCTTCCTAACCTCTGAGTCCTGACACCTGCTACAAGCCTTTTGGTGGAGAAAAATACATTGTTACTGGTTTCTTTTGCATCAGTTATGGAACATCACAGAGAGAGGGGGCATTTTGGGGAAGGTGAGGCAGAGATAGATATAGAAACCTTCCCTTTTGTCTTATGTTGCTTTCTATTCTGTGGGGGCTTTGGAGGGCAAGGGGCTAAGGCCCCCACCCCCTGGAAGTTTCTGATCACGAATTGTCCCTGGTTTGAAAGAAGAGGTGGTAGGAACATGGATCTTACTAAGATGGTGCCTGAGCTGAGCTGGTGGTGTTAGTTCATCACTTCCTCCTGCTGCCAACATGCAAGTTTAAGGAATCGTAAATCTCCCTTTCTACTGATACAGTGAATATTGTGGCTTTTTTTTTTAAACTGGACTGTAGAGTCACTTTTTTTTTTTTTTTTTTTTTTTTTTGAGACGGAGTCTTACTCTGTTGCCCAGGCACACGAGGCTGGAGTGCAGTGGTGCGATCTCGGCTTACTGCAACCTTCGCCTCCCGGGTTCAAGAGATTCTCCTGCCTCAGCCTCTCGAGTAGCTGGGATTACAGGCGCCCGCCACCACTCCCAGATAATTTTTGTATTTTTAGTAAAGATGGAGTTTCACCATGTTGGCCAGGCTGGTCTGGAACTCCTGACCTCAGGTGATCCGCCTGCCTCAGCCTCCCAAAGTGCTGGGATCACAGGTGTGAGCCACTGCGCCCGGCCTGTAGAGTCACTTTGAATGGATGGAAAAAAGCCCACTTTGATGTTTGAAAATACTTATGGTTTAGGTTTTTGAAAAATAATTTAATTTTCTCCACTTTCACGAGTTTGATTTTTGCTGCTGTTTTATGGTGAGTGATGGAACTTTTGGAGCTGGTCTTCCAGACTCCACTGGTTTCAGGATAAGGATCACAGTGAGGATGTTCATGAAGGCCCCAGGCTGCTCCCCTGCTCTCTGAACCTCCCTTGCAGTCTGAGAATTGATCATCTCAGGAGAAACCTCTAGGCTCTAAACTCTATCATGTGCTTTTAAAATTGTGCATTTTTATACTAGTATCTCTTTAAAAGAATATGCACTGATATGGACTCTATCCCAACAGGTGTATTGGAAGGTCTCAGAAGACAAAAAAGCAAAATGTGCAGAAAAGGGGAAATCAAAACAGGTAAATTTCTTTTGCAAGCTACAAAGAATCCCATTCAAGTATTTCTTGGTTGTTTTAATCTACTGAATGCCAGCATGCCTGCAGTGCAGGCCAGCCTTTTCTCCAGGCTCTGTTCATTCTGCTGGGCTTGGTTTTGTTGTGATGCGTCTTGGAGCTCATCCCTCTATTCCTGAGTATCAGGATTGGGTTTCTCAAAGCAGGTGCCAAACATATTTGGCCTTTGAGAAATACTTTTTTAAAGTTTATATGAATTGAATGTATTCAGATGGCCTGAAACTTTGACTACAGAACACTGGTGAATAGTGAAGCCCACTGGTGAATAGTGCAGAAATTCAGGGTTTGTTCTGCCTCCTTGCACCCAGAGGCCTTAGGCTTGGAGGAGTTGCTAGTCATGCAGTTTTTCTCAACCCCTTCGTTGGACTTGCGACAGAGATGCCCCATTTATTCGGCCTGCTGTGCTCAACCTCTTGCAGGAGGGAGCACATGAGTGAGCAAGTGTGGGATCTGGCCAGCTGTTTTGGGTGCCAGCAGGAGCAGGCTTTGTGTGAGCCCTGAGGGTGGCACCCAGGTTGGGGTGCCTGTGACCCCCGCAGCCCCAGAGGGTGCGTTACAGTGCTCTCTTATCTCTGTTCTCCATGGACAGTGGTGTGTTATAAGCTCAGTGGGCCCCTTTTCTCATTGTGTGGGACAGCTGTCCTCTGCCAGTGAGGGCAAAGGGCCAGTATGACAGCCTTTTTTGGGTACACACACTCAGGGTCCTGAGCTCTTGTCCGGCATCCAAGAAGAATGAGGTTGCATGGACACTTAAAGGATGGTGGAGTCAGAGAATTTTGTTTAGTGTTGGAAGTGGCTCTCAGCGGAGATGGGAGCTTGAGAGGGAACAGGACGAGCAAATAATCTTCCCTGAAGTCTGGCCAGCTCTGGCCGGCTCTTCTCCAAAGTTAAGCCATTTCTCCAAAATCCAGCCATCCCTCTGAAGTCAAGTCACCTCTCTCTAGTCCAGCACCTTCTCTTCTCTATCAACTGAGTCTGGGCTCTTATAGGCACAGGATGAGGGCAGGGTGGGCTGTGGGTAGTTTCGGAAAAGGCAACATCTGATTGTAAAAAGATGTTCAGAAAGAACCAATCGGGAGACGGCGGGCAAACAGGGATAGAAGTTCTCACTCTGGGCTGCGGGTTTTAGGCTTTTTGGCTCACATGTGGGGTTTTGCCAGGGACCTGCCCCTGTCTGCCTAGACTTTCTCTGGCTCCTTTCTCTATCACTGGGACTTTTGGATTCTTGGCACACGTCCGTCCCTTTGGTCCCTCAGGCCCCTCAGTGTGGTACTCATTCAGGGAGCCCTGGGCCGAATACTCATTCCCGTCTGCAGCTCTAGGTTACCCTCATCACCCTCTGAGCCATCATGTCCCTACCTGGCACTGGGCATTCTTCCTCAATGGTGGTCAAGACAAGCTGAGTTAAAGGCAAAAGAAGAAAGAAAACCCAAAGAAGTCTATGCTAAACTTTCTTAGCAAAATGCTAAACACTTGCACTGAAGTCTTTGTCTCTAAATCCAAAGTTAGATTAGGAAATGAGAGGAAAAGCAGGCGGTGCAGTGTAGCTCCGGTTTCCGGGGGTGTGCAGGTGGGTTGGGGTGAATAGTGAATTACTTCCAACCAGTCTAAAAAAGAGAACTCTCCTAATCTGGGATAATTTCAGACTATAGCACATGTAACGCAAGTACTTTTAGCCTAAAATAGTGGGTTCTGAAATGGTATCTTTGTTTTCCTGCTTGGGCCTTTCTGATGCCAAGCCGGGCTCCAGGCTCTCCTAGTGCAGCCACTCCCATGGGGGCTGGACTGGGACCCTGGGTTGGGTAGACCTAGTGTCGCTGTTCCTAGTTCTGTGCAAGTTGGAGGCAGGGTGGGGTCTCCAGAAACAGAGAGGAAATTCTGTAGGGTGGACACTTCTCCAGGCCTGGCAACAGAACAAGTGGTCCACGTACTTAGCAAGAGTAAAATATATTGCTTTCAACAGTGGGTGTCCCAGTAAGATTTGAGGTAAGCATTCATTGAGTTTTTTTTCAGTCACCACATCTTTGCTGAGTATCAATTAGGGACTGAAACAAAATCCTGTTTGGCACCTGAACAGCATGTGGACACTGCAGAGACACAATTACTCAGGCCAGTTTCAGCTTTAGGTTTGCCTAGGGGTGGGGTTGGGGTCTCAGTGAACCTTCCACTGTACGAGAACAGGCCAGTGTGTGAAGAGGAGTTGCAGAGGGTCTAGATGACAAGACAAGGCTGAGAATGCACACATGCCTCGTTGGCCTGGGGCCACCTGTGAGCTGGTGTTGGTGAATGTGGGTCTGTGCCCCTGAGATGAACGGCGTGAGCAGTTTGAATAGTGGAGGGCATCTGGGCTGGACGGTTGCTAATGGTGCATTTCTCTTCCCTGCAGACAGAGTGCCTCAACTACATCCGGGTGCTGCAGCCACTCAGCGCCACTTCCCTTTACGTGTGTGGGACCAACGCATTCCAGCCGGCCTGTGACCACCTGGTAAGGCTGATGGGCACCTCCCTGTGCTCACGCCAGCCTGGTCAGCAGTTAAAGTAGAAGGGGGCTCAAAGCAGACGTAAAGCTGTCTCCACCCTAAAAAAAAATAGGATTTTCTCAGAGCCAGCTGCAGAAAACGGGGGCAGCTTGTGGCCCCTCTGAAAGTCTTGCACAGCTGCTGTCAGGGGCACACAGCCCACTTGGCTCCTCTAAGTTTCGGTGTCCATGGCCAAGGGTGAGGCCTGGGGTGCAGCTCAAGGTGCTGGGAGCCCTTGGTGCTAGTGCAGAGCATGCCATGGAGGGGCGTGCTGGAAAGTACAGACAGCCTGAACATGGCATTGGGGATGTGCTGGGAAGGACAGGTAGCCTGAACATGCTATGGGGTGAGGGGACGTGCTGGAAAGGACAGACAGCCTGGCAGCTCTGGGCATCTGGGTCAGGTGGAAAAGTCAGGACTTGCTCCTGGCTTGTGTGTTCTTGGTTGGTGCATCTGTGCTCTGGCTGTGGGACCCACCCTTCTGGTCGGCTGTGGTGTGCAGCTTGCTCACTGAACCACTCCTGGGTCCACCCACTCAGGGGCAGCAGGTCAAGTGTGCTGAGCACCTTGAGAAGCAAGTCCGGCCTCTGTCCCTCACCGGCTCACATCCTTGACTGCCCAGCCTGGTATCCGGCACCTCCCCCTGTGTGACGGTCCTTTCTATCCAGATAATCTGATGAGCAATGTGATGATCATCAGAGAGGGAGAAGTAGCATTTTAAATAAGTCCATGTGAACATGGAAAATGAAGCACATTTTCTACTGTGTATCCCTGGATTTTAATGAGTCCTGATAAATGTAAAATATGCCACAGTGAAAAGCATCATTTGCTAGAACCCTAAATTAATTGGAATTAAAATATTTTCCAATCTTGAGTCAGAGATAAATGACAAGACAACGTATGGCCTCATTAGAGACTTGATGAGGAAGCCTGGTATTTGCACACAGACGTCTGGGGTGAGATTCATAGTAGGGGTCTACCCAGCTGCCTGTACCACAGATGCTGGCAACGAAACCTGATAGGGGGTGGGGGTGCTTTGGGGATAGTAAGACCCTCAGTCCTCAAAGACAGTCGTTTGTATTTACTTTTGTGCAGAAAGTACGGTTGGACCAGAAACATTTTGCACAACAAAGGATTTTTCTGGCTAAACTCAATCAGAAGCTTAAAGTTCTGTCATTTAAACTTACATTCTGTAGATAGGTTAGCTGTTGAGGTTAGAGGATACTGTATTTGGTTTAAATTTAGACCTATAATTTTTCCTAATTTTTTTTTTTTTTTGAGACGGAGTTTCACTCTTGTTGCCCAGGCTGGAGTACAGTGATGCGATCTCGGCTCACTGCAACCTCCATCTCCTGGGTTCAAGCGATTCTCCTGCCTCAGCCTCCCGAGTAGCTGGATTACAGGCATGTGCCACCACGTCTGGCTAATTTTGTATTTTTAGTAGAGATGGGGTTTCTCCATGTTGGTCAGGCTGGTCTTGAACTCCTGACCTGAGGTGATCCACCCGCCTTGGCCTCCCAAAGTGCTGGTATTACAGGCATGAGCCACCACGCCCCGTCAATTTTTCCTAATATTTTTAATAAAAGTTTTCACAGCTGCAGAAAAGATGTATCACTTGTATATCCTGGCAACCTAGATTGCACAATTGGGAGTGTGTGTGTGCACGTGTCTGTGTGCCTGTGCATGTCTATGTGTCCACATGTGTGTCTGTGTACATATGTGTGCTTGCTGAACTATGACCCGTGACTCCCAAATGCCTTCACAGGCATCTCCTAAGAATAGTAACATTTTCCTATGTAACTTCAGTTTTATCATTATATCTAAGAAAACGTTCAATCATTCCCCAGCATCATCCAGTCTCCAGTCCCCGTTCAGATTTCCCCAACAGCCCCGAAACCTCCTTTCAAGGTATGCTAAATGGTCACATCCAGTGGGGTTCACATTCCCTAACCTAACAGGTGAAGAGCTGTGTGCTGCTTTAACTGGCCTTTCAAGGGTGTCAGCTGCGGCCTTCCACGTGGTCTGAGCCTTCCTGCTCTGCTTCCGAGAGCGTGTTTCCAGCCAGCCTCCTGCAGCAGAGGTGCTGGGTGCCCTTGCCCCGCCGTGGGCCCTGCCTGTCTTCAGCATGCCCAGGCTGTTGGCTGCAAAGTGGCATCCCCACGCGTGTTCTGTGTGCTCTCTGGTTCCCGGCAGGCTCAGCCCCTCTCTCGTCTGTGCTGTCCAGATGGGTTTCTTCTGTCACTTGCTGGATTTTGCCTGTTTTTCTCCTGGATGCCCTTTCTCACTCGTTTGTCCACACTTCTCACATGTTCAGGGATGGAGACACCTCATCTGCCATTCTGTAGGCATTTCCCCCAGTTTGTCACATATTTAACCTTGCCGTATTATTTCCCCATGTGGAACTTTCCAGTTCTCTCTGTGGTTGGATCTGTGCATTGTTTTCCTCATGTGGCTGTGGGCACTCTGGCCAGGTAAAGAGAGGACCCCCAGATGGAAACGCCAGCCCCTGCTCTGTTTTAGTACAGTGCGGTTCTGTTTTTAGTATTCAGATGGTTGATCCATCTGGAGTGTGTTTTGGTGGGTGGAGCGACGTAGAGATTCTGCCTGTTTATGTTTTTCTGCTTCCTATTTATTGGGTCACCTAGCTGCTTAGAATGCCGTCTTTATTGATGTTAAAATTCTGCTCATGGGCTTCCGATTACATACTGAGCACGTCCTGTGTTGGGTTTATCCTGGTGGCTTTCCAGCCCTAGAGCCATCAGCGTTGCCATTTCCATTTTGCAGATGAGTAAATTGAGGGTCTGAGATCTTGAGAAGCTTGGCCAGGGCAACGGAGCAAGGGCACCAAGGTGCTGATGTCTAGACCTGAGCTGAGCAACACAAGCCCTGGCCCTAGTGGGCGGGACTCCTGTAGCTCCACACCTATCTGCTCGGCCCTGTTGGTCTTCCGAGAAGAGCAAATTTGTAAAATGAAGTGGTACAGAGACACATTGTTACTATAGAAATTCAGCCATCTGATGATGTGCTCTCTTTTTATTCAATTGTAGAACTTAACATCCTTTAAGTTTCTGGGGAAAAATGAAGATGGCAAAGGAAGATGTCCCTTTGACCCAGCACACAGCTACACATCCGTCATGGTTGGTGAGTCCTGCCCCTCCAGTTCCTTCACCGTGAAGATTACAGTGGCATGTTAATTACCAAACAGGATATTTGGATCTTCTCTGAAGTGCTGTCTTCCTTGGCTTTGTTTAAATAGGAGCTATCCTTACAAAAGGCACATGTGACTGCATAGACCCTTTAACTTTTGAATTCATTGTTTGCAAGGATAATAGCCGCCATGGTAAACGTCACTTTGTATCCATTGCTGGCTCATGTCATTTGGATAATCCCCGCGTGCTGAGCAGATGCTCCTGTTTGAGAGTAAGGTTTTGACTGAGCCACATGCTGTCTGCAGTGGTCTCTCACCTCTGAGCAAGTGGTCATAGCCTGGTGTGTACCCACTGTTGCATCTGCCAGCATTTTCCTGGATGTGGGAATTCCTTGCTCATGTTTACTTATTGCCCCATGACTCTTAAAATGCAGCTGAACATGGAGCATGAAATTATCCCCATCAAAGTGAGAGCACACCTGTGGTCCTAGCTACTCGGGAGGCTCAGGCGGGAGGACAGGAGTTTGAGACCAGCCTGGGAAACAGCAAGAACTCATCTCAAGCCAGGCTCAGTGGCTCATGCCTCGATCACTTGAGGTCAGGAGTTCAAGACCAGCTGGTCAACAGGGTTAAACCCCATCTCTACCAAAAAATGTAAAAATTAGCCAGACATGGTGGCGCGCACCTGTAGTCCAAGCTGCTTGGGAGGTTGAGGCAGGAGAATTGCTTGAACTGGGAGGTGGAGGTGGCAGTGAGCCAAGATCGCACCACTGCACTCCAGCCTGGGTGACAGAGTGAGACTCTGTCTCAAAACAAAACAAAAAAACCTCATCTCGAAAAAGAAAGAACTAGAAGACACAGGACACCCCAAAAGTTGAGGAGACTGTCTTTCCCTTTCCCCAGGCAGGGACTTAATTGGGTTATAAAGGAAAACACCGTGTTGAATGTTTGTCCCAGTGTTGGTGCCATAGCCTGAGAGGTTGGTTCCCTTTTCCTCTTTTCTTCTGGGCCCCTGCAGATGGAGAACTTTATTCGGGGACGTCGTATAATTTTTTGGGAAGTGAACCCATCATCTCCCGAAATTCTTCCCACAGTCCTCTGAGGACAGAATATGCAATCCCTTGGCTGAACGGTAAGGAAGAGCAGTGCACCTTAGTGGGAGGTGCGTGTCTCCTCATGAGTGCACACCTGTTGATCTCTCCTTTTCTGTCTCTGAGCCCTGGGGGCCCCCGAGCTTGTGTTAGCCCCTGTTTGTGGGGGATACTTCCCAAACTGTCCAGCAATGGCCAGAGTCCCAGGGCACCTTGTTGGGTGTTTTCACTGGTAACAGAGTACTGTTTTAAGACAGCTCCCCACTAACCCCCCAAAAATGGATTTGGGAGACTCTCATAAAATTGAGAATCTGATAGTAGATGGTAAACTAAGACTAATCAGATGGGGACATGGTATAATTTCCAGAATGATATTAAAGTGTGGCACCAACACTGGTGTGGGACCTGCCTCCGGGCCCAGCCTCTAGTGCCCGGTCAGATGGGCTCTGGGTGCCTTGTTGCTGCCAGCAGCACATGTCCGATGTCCGTCTTCAATGTGCAGGAAGAAGCTGGTGGCTGTTCATGGGGGCTTTTCTTGTGGGTGCCAGCCAGTAGAGCCTTGGGTTTTGAACCTCTTGACCTTAGGGCAGATCCCAAGACCCCAGATTCAGGGACAGTCGGCCATTCCTCAGGGTGGGGCAGGATCTGGTGGTTAGAGTTTGTTTATGTGAAGCATGTGTTGTTTAAACCAGCAAATGCATGCCTTACGTAGGTCTCTGATGCTGGTACCATCTGGCTCCCTGCCTTCCAGTCAGGAGGCCCAGCCTCAGTTCTTGGGGTGAACCTGGGTGGGATGCACTGCAGAACCACTGTCGGGGGCACCTCTCTGAGGCCGAGGAGGTGGGGGTAGGGCACCATCTGGGCTCAGGGCTGTCATCATCCTCAGATCCTGGAGTTTCTGTTTGGATTGTGGCATGTGCACACTCCAGACATCCTTGCAGGGAAGCCCTCAGGCCCCCAAGGTAGTGTTGGCCGGCCTCGTGACCTCATGGGTGCAGGCAGTCCCCCAGCTCTGTGTTCTGGGATAATCACTGTCCTCTCTCTGCAGAGCCTAGTTTCGTGTTTGCTGACGTGATCCGAAAAAGCCCAGACAGCCCCGACGGCGAGGATGACAGGGTCTACTTCTTCTTCACGGAGGTGTCTGTGGAGTATGAGTTTGTGTTCAGGGTGCTGATCCCACGGATAGCAAGAGTGTGCAAGGTGAGTGCCAGGCACTCTGGCTTCGCTTGGCCCCTGCCATGGCAATAGTGTGCCTGGATGATGGGTGGCTCCTGACCTTCGTCTCAAATGTCACTTTCCCTAGCACTTTATTCCCTTGGGCCTCAGATGCAGCTCTCAATGGATCTTATTTCTGGGGGTTGTGGGGACTGAGGGAGTGCTGGCCCCCATGTGTGACCCATTAGCCTCCTCTTCTCAGGAGGTTCTTTCTTTTAATGCACCCTCTTCAAACCTCTAGCTTATAAAAAGCAAGGCTTTGTGGAATGTATTCACCAGAGTCTGTTGGAATTTCACCATTTGGCTCTTAATCTACCTAAGAGTGAAACATTAACCGACAGCTTAAGATTAAGAAGAGAGAACCAATACAGAAGTTTGTCAAAACACAAATCTTTAAGTACATTAAAAGGGGAGGGTGCCTTTAAAATGACACACTGTAGGCACAGTGCTCAGCACAAGAGAATGGCCTATGGGCTTGATTACAGGAAATCTCAAGGTTGCTCAGTGGCAGTTTCCAGGAGGTGGATTGTCAGGCCTCAGGGGAGCTGGGGGAAACCACATGAAACACAGCCGCCATGTCCCTGGCCAGGAGCTCATCTCGGAGCAGGTAGCCATTCGTCTCTCATGGAAATTGGTAGATAGTTCTTGCGTGGCCCTTTCTCATGTAGTCATGACCATCAGGACATCAGAGAAGCAGGGTTCCTTTCATGCCTATGGCGCACAAAAGTGGGTGCCTTTGACACCGTTCCCTTAACAGCCCCTTGCATAAGGAAGAAGGTTGGGTGATGTGCACACCTGAGTATCCACCTGGTGCTTTGCTCCCTGCCCAGGCCTTCCGTAGCCAGGGCTCACTGACCAGATCCTCCAGCTGCCCCGCAGCCCCGCAGCCGTGGCTGCCATGCTCCTGTCTTGCAGACCAGGAAACCATCCTATCAACAGTATCAGTGTTGGGGGCAAGCCAGTGCCCCTTGAGATGGGGAGGGTGCTGCAGGGCCAGAGCTCCTGGCAGGCGTGCACAGTGCTCAGAATGCTGTCAGAGCAGCACTGGCCAGGGGACTCGAGCCCTCCCCTGCCATCGGGAAGCCAAGGATCAGACTTGCCTTGACCTTGACTTATTACCCAGCACTGAGGGTTTGCAGCAGGATCAGTGAGCAGATTCAGCGATGCACAGAGCAGCCACCTCCACCCCCGACAAGTTTCTACAAGTCTTAGGCACACTGCTGTCATCCCCTCTGATCCCTTTTTTTTCCCCATACTTGTTTGAACTCCTGGACTAGGGTGGTTTGAGCTTAGGCCCCACAGCTCCTGCCTACCACGCAGGCACACATGAACCCTTCACCTGCTGCCCGTGACCTGAAAGCCACATGAGACCCCTGACGAAAAATGTGCTAGAAATTATTCTTTGCTAAAACATCAAGGAGGAAAATGAAGTCCTTTTATCAAAAAGAGAATTTGGGCTCCTGTAATCACACAGCAGAGATGAAGGGGGAACATTTTCCCTGTGTCCAAAATAAGTAAGGCTGCTTCTATTTCATATTCTTCTGCACTCAGGTTTTGTGGTTTCAGTATTTCTCTCCAGACCACACACAGTCATGTGTAGTTTATAATTGTGTCTTGGTCATCGGATCCCTGAAAAGCGTTTATAAAGAACTTAGGTTCAAAGCACTTTAGCAGATACTTTGGGTAGAAAGGAAGTGAAGGATCTATTCCTTTAAAGGGAGGAAGGTTCACACATTTGCCCAAGACAGGCTGCAGGGCCGGTGGCTGTCCCCTGGAAGGAGGCTGCCGCCACTTGCCCCACCCAGAGCATGTTCATTGATGGGCCCTATGTCAGGAAAGTCACACAATGCCAGGGGCCTTGGCAGTTGGAAGTGTGTGAGCACGGCAGCACCTCTGCGGTTGCAGGACTGAATGCTGGGCACAGGCAGGCATGGACGATCAAATGAGCTTTCAGTGAGAGGGCTTTTGTCCGTTTTGTTTTGTGTGTTAACCCAGGAGCGTTCTGGGATCCAAGCTGGAACCTGGACGTGGTGCTGCGGGCCACTCACATAATTGCGGCATCTGTCTCCTGTTGCCCGAGCTTTGTTTCAGTCAGGCACAGCCGCGCTGTGCTGGGCCATGGAGGGGTGCACCTCTGACCTTAGTGCTTGCTCACAGGGGATCCACTCTCGGCCCACCACGTCTTCTTGTTGGGGTTTTAGGGGGACCAGGGCGGCCTGAGGACCTTGCAGAAGAAATGGACCTCCTTCCTGAAAGCCCGACTCATCTGCTCCCGGCCAGACAGCGGCTTGGTCTTCAATGTGCTGCGGGATGTCTTCGTGCTCAGGTCCCCGGGCCTGAAGGTGCCTGTGTTCTATGCACTCTTCACCCCACAGCTGTAAGTGCCCTGGGTGGAGTCCCCCTCCTTGCTCCCTTGATGCCGCCAGGTGGTCCCGTCACCTCTTTCCCCTCCCCAGGAACAACGTGGGGCTGTCGGCAGTGTGCGCCTACAACCTGTCCACAGCCGAGGAGGTCTTCTCCCACGGGAAGTACATGCAGAGCACCACAGTGGAGCAGTCCCACACCAAGTGGGTGCGCTATAATGGCCCGGTACCCAAGCCGCGGCCTGGAGCGGTGAGCTGGGGCACTGGGGGCGGGCCGTGCTTTCCCTTCAAGGCCCAGGGCATGGAATCCAGTACAGGCACTGGGGCCTGCTCATGGGCTGGGTACCTGGCCACGCCAAGGCTCTCTGCATTGGGACAGGGACGGCCGATGAGCACAGCTCATCCTTCTTCCCTTTTGCATGTTACGTAACAGCCATTGCTACACTATTGCACAAACAAGAAGGCTGGGGCAGCTGTTTTGCACAATTAACATTGCATAACAATTAGGTCTGTTTCATTTTCAGTTTCTTACAGAGAAACACATGATTCCTTGGCAAAGGCCTCTGCACTGTCCACTAGTCAACAGGAGTCACATTTTTTCCTCCTAAATATAGTGAACTTTATGTAGAAATTGGGAATTTCCAGGCCGATTCCTTCCCTCACATGGGGAAATGGGTGTGACAGGCATGTGCACAGCCCTCTGTGGGGCTGTGACCTACATGGGGTGTCCTGGCCCTCAGAGTTCACTGCAGCACCAGCTCCCTCCCAAGGGCAGCTGTCCCTGACACCATCATGGCTCCTTCTATGCATAGCTTCGTAAAATGTGTTCACTCATGGTCACAGATTTTGGTTTACACACATCAGGGAGCTAGAACAGGAAAAAAGAATCCCTCAGGCTCTTATGCTATTTTAAATTGTCCTGGTTTTAGCCATGTTTAGCATTCTTTTCATGAGAAAGCTGCAAATCAGTGTTCTGTTTTTTAATTTCAAAAGCTCAATAAGTGTTTTTCACTTACAAATAGATAAAAATTCCTTCCCTGAGTATGTATCGTGAATGCAATTCTGTCTTGCAGATGTGTTTTATAACTGTGTCCTCTGCTGGCTGGGGAGAGGCCACCTTTCCTCATAGTAAAGTTATTCACTGCTACCCTCATTTCAAGGCATGCATTGTGTGGTTTCCAGGTTTTGCAGCCCCCCCTGCGTTGGCTGCTTGTGTGGAAGCACCCGTTGCGTGGTGGGACACGAGCACGTTAACAGCGGGGATTTTCTCCCTGCAGTGCATCGACAGCGAGGCACGGGCCGCCAACTACACCAGCTCCTTGAATTTGCCAGACAAGACGCTGCAGTTCGTTAAAGACCACCCTTTGATGGATGACTCGGTAACCCCAATAGACAACAGGCCCAGGTTAATCAAGAAAGATGTGAACTACACCCAGATCGTGGTGGACCGGACCCAGGCCCTGGATGGGACTGTCTATGATGTCATGTTTGTCAGCACAGGTGGGTTCCGAGGGCTTGGCAGGCTTGACAGTGACAGCACATCTGTGTCCTCTGGTAGGAAAACTGGGAAATCCAATTATTCTTTCGTGAGTAGTTCCATTGCCTCCCTCGAGGTGACCTGGGAGGTTTGTGGGAGCGTAAGAAGATTTCTGAGAAGTCACCACACCAGGTGGCTTTCAGATCTGGGACCACCAGGCTACTGGAGGTACTTGTTAAAAATAAAAATGCAAGTCCTGGCCTGTGGCTGGGCTGGGCTGGGGCAGAGGAGTACTGGCCGCCGAGGAGTTGGGGCAGTGCCCACGCAGGGGGCAGGTGTGAGCCACCTGGGAGGAGGCGTCAGCCTGGCGTTTCCTGACTGCTGGCAGAGGACCACGTCCCTGCTTCCTGGCCGAGGAGCCAGGTTTTAGATGTGCCCTGGCATGTGGACTCTGAAATAAGCACTTCTGGAACAGGGACAGGGGCCAGGAGCCACGGTGGCTGGCAGCGCATTGTGGCCTGCCCTTGGAGCCTCCCAGCCAACCTCACATGCCCCCTGTCCTCACCGCCTGCCTAGGGCACTTACCAGTGACACCCCGAGGGCTGGTGGAGCATGGGAGCCCCCTCATGTGGCACTTAGCCTCAAGTGTAATGTCGACTGTTGGTGAGGATTCTTGGGGTCAACCATGGAACAGTTTATTTTCCTTGGAAAAAAACTGGAATAACCCATAACACTTGGGTTTCCAGTTGTCTGTTTTGCCAAAGCCTTTTCCTTTTTTTGTTTCTAATGCGAAATCATCATTGTTTTCTAAGTATCTGTGGAGGGAATGACTTGAGAGTGAAGAGTGTGAAGTTTGCCGCTGTGGTCACTGTCCTTGGTTTCTGTGTCTGGGTTAGTGTCACTGACCTGTAGCTTTGGCCCTGCAGACCGGGGAGCTCTGCACAAAGCCATCAGCCTCGAGCACGCTGTTCACATCATCGAGGAGACCCAGCTCTTCCAGGACTTTGAGCCAGTCCAGACCCTGCTGCTGTCTTCAAAGAAGGTAAAGTGACGCAGGCAGCTGGACCGGGGGCTTCTCCGCTCGGTGGCTTTGATTCTAGGTGACAGGAGAGTTGGCAAGCTGGAGTCGGGCTCCTGGGCAGGCCCCTCTGTCTGTCTGCCCTGGGTGAGCCAACCTTCAGAGTTTGACACAGAGCCATTCCGTGAGCTGTGGGATCTGAATTGGGGAAGGCAGGAAGGCAGACCTGGGGAGACGGGACTTTCTCTTCGAAGTTGCTGGAATGTCATTGAGTTGTTGGTGCAGCTTTACAGGCTGTGGAGAGGTGGGCACTGCTCCATGAAGACACCTTTTTATGCCCTGAGCTTGGGGGGTGTGCAGACTGCATCTGTGGGATATGATAGTGATACAGCTGACTCGTCACCGTGGAAAATCCACAAGAGAAGTGGTTCGTCTCATCTGTAAAGCTGTCTCCACCTGTGGCTGAGACTCTGGTCTGGCCTGCAATACTCCCAAGCAGCCCTTGGCAGGGGTGGGTGGGCGGGCATCCACGCTGGCCTTTAGGGGGCTGCCTCCCTGGCCCTGGCTCCTAACGGGACCTCCAACCACCTTGTGGGATCCAGGCCCAGTCAGTCCTCTCCTCCCTCAGCTGGGAGCAACAGGCAGAGGAAGAGGGCCCCTGTCTGGCCGGGTAAGATACCTACCCTTGGCAGGTGCGTATTTGCAAACACCCCTCCAGGTCTTCTGTCCTCTTCCCTCCCCTGTATCCACAAAGCTTGGGAGCCTGGGTCCTTTTACGTGGTCACCTCCCCTCTGCTAATGGAGAGTTCTCCCTCAGATCTGAAAGGAAAAGAGAATGAAATAGCCTGAGCAAGTTATAAGCCACTGGGTACTGGCATCTGTTCACCAGCCTCTCGGTCTCCAGGACACAAAGGGAGCCCTGGAGATTTGAAGGGTCGACGCTTTAGCCACTGTGGGGCCTCACCCCAGCCTCGTTGTTGAAAGAAGGGGACCCAGAAGCTCTTCTGGGGCCATCGTGCTGTTCAGTGGCCTCAGCCAGACTGGGCAGGCACCTACAACATCTCTAAAATGTGGACTTCTCATTAGAATGAAGATTGGGCCCCTGGTGTGGACATTCGTGAGAATGACACTCTGTTCCAAGGGTCACTTAGGGACCCAGGCTGGTGGAGGCTTCCAGGGCACATGGGCACTGATCCTCAAAGGCAGAAGGGGGTAGGAAGAGGAGGGCCGCACAGAGGGGGTTACGGGTCAGTGCCCACCCGCCATCTCCCAGAACTCGGTCACATGGCCACACCAGGGCAGCTGGCCACACAGGGAGCCTCGCGCCCAGGAGGAGGAGCCAGTGGGTTTGGGGAAGCGCTTGCTGGTCCTACTGGACCACCCGACCCGCCTGTCTCTGTAGGAGCCTCCATTCGTGGGGACGTGGCTTAGTTGCCTGGACAAGCGGAAATACATCCTGCCTGCCGTGGGGTCCTGTGCCTTCTCCTTGGGCCTCAGTAGGCTCCAGGTGGGGGTGGAAGGCCCAGCTCCATGGCCATGGCAGCAGGAAGTGGCTGTTCAGTGGTAAAAAGACTGTGCCGCCTGACCCCATCAGGCTCTCTCACGGTGATCAGCAAATGGAGAAACGGCCAGTACCACGCCCTCCCCCTGTCCTACAGCTGGGGAGGTGCGCTGTGCCTCCACCCTCACCTCCTCTCCCCTGATGACAAGCATGGGGTTTTGCTTTTTATTTTGGTAAATACACATCAGATGAAATTTGCCGTCTTAACCATTTTTCATTGTGCACGTCAGTGGCATTAAGAACATTCACGTTGTTTTGCAGCCATTACCACTGTCTGTCTGCAGGGTGCTTTTCATCTTCCCAAACAGAAGCTTTTTACCTGTGAAATACAAACTCTTCATTTTCCCCTCCTCCAGCCCTGGGCAGCCGCCATTCTGCTTTCTGTTTCTGTCTGGGTACCTCATATGAGTGGAATCACACAGTATTTATCCATTTGTAACTGGCTTATTTCACTTAACATAAAGTCCTCAAGGTTCCTCCCTGCTGTAGCAGGGGTCAGGGTTTTCCAAGGCTACATACTCCTCTGTCGTATGTGAATACCGCATTTTGTGAGTCCCGCATTTTGTGTGTGCGTTCATCCCTTGATGGACACGGTTGCTCCCACCTTCTGGCTTCTGTGAACAGTGCTGCTGTGAACGTGGGTGTGCAGATACCTCAAGTCCTTGCTTTCCATTCCTTGGGCGCACACAGCAGATGCGGTTTGCTCGGCCCTCTCTGAGCCCACCGAGTAGGCTGTGTCTGTATTTTCACCAGGACTCCTTGGGATGCTGAGCTACAGCTAGCGTGGCAGAGGGCAAGGAAGGCACTTAGACAGCTCAGTTGCCTCTGATCACGTCCACCGTCACTCCAACCTGCCCTCGGGGTCTGACGCGCACACACAGCAGCAGAGACAGAGATGGGAGCATGAGAGCTGCCTGCAAGGGGACAATCCTCAGGCCCAGGGAAGGCGGAGACAGGGGGCGTCGAGGGGCAGGAGTGCACAGGACAGGCTTGCTCTCAGCGGGCCTCACTCATGCTGCCAGGTGCCTGGTCAGGCTTTTTTTCTTTGCCTTTAAAAATTTTGTCTTGAAATAATTTTAAATTTACAGAAGAGTTTTGATGATTGCACAGAAGGATCTTGAGCGCCCCCACCTAGCTCCACATGTCCGATGTCTCACATAGCCAGTGTGCATTTATCTGAGCCAAGGTGCTGTCATGGTGCAGTGCGTTACCTGAACCCCAGACCCTGGACCCTCCTACCTCCCGCCCACCACATTCCTGGCTCAGCACCTCAGGTTGCACTGGACACTGCATCTCCTCGGCTTCTGCTCTGTTCCTGCCTCCCTGACCTCAGCACTCCTGGAGAGGAGTAGTCTGGTGTTTTGTGGTGTGTCTGGTGTATTCTTGTGATTATCTTGGGGTCGTGGTTTTAGGGGGAGCACCAAAGAGGGCGCTTTCTGGGGATGGGGCATCTGTATGACTCGCACCAGCGTGATGACCTTGGTCATTCTGTCCAAGTCACCACCGTCTTTTTCCATGTCGAGTGTGTCGGGGCATGTAGTCCACACTGGGGGTGGGGGAGAGTGAGCCCCACCTCCCAGGGGAGTCATGTGGGAAACCCCCACAGTCATTCATGCTTATTTGCAGGGACAGACTTGGAGGCTACAGAAATGCCCTGTTCTCCCACCCACTGACATCCACATCGACCAGTGGGTCCTGCCTGCAGCAGTTACAGCTGGCTGTCCTGACGACCAGTTCCTCCTTCCCTGTCCCCTCTTCCCTTCCACAGTCATCCCTTGGTCTCTGTGTGGCGTCGTTTAGTTTTTACAGCTTAGTTTCATTTGGGCTGCAGCCCAGCCCCATCCGGGAGAAGCGGAAGCTGGGGCTGAGTCTCCCGCAGGGTGCAGGAGGTGGTCTGGATCCCCTTGGGACAGGCCTTGCCCCCCAGAGCCCACCCCACCCTCCACAGCTACCCTCAAGCCTCTCTTTGGGGTGAGGAGTCAGGCGGGCCCCACTTGGCCACCCAGGGCACCCTGCTCTGCACTGCATGGTGTTCACGCCACCTCGCAGGTGCCCCCCGCGGGACCCAACAGGACCAGCTGTCCCTTGGAAGTTACCCAGCTTGGCTTTGCTGCCAGAGAATGTTTCCGCCACCTCCACAAGCCGCGCGATGCCCGAACTGTGATCTGGGATGTCATCCTCAATCCTTCCCACAAACGTGGCTCACACATGGCCTCATCTGCCCAGGTCTCTGCTGCTGCTGCTGCTGTGAGGCCAGCGGCGGGCCAGGTTCCCTCTGCTGTGTATTATCACAGTTTCCATCCTTGGGGGCTTTCCCTTTCTCTCGTGGGTCTGTGTCCGCACAGCTGGATGTGTGGCCTGGGGCTTCCTGTATTGGCATCAGGGCCTGTGATCTTCCAACCACACTCTGAAGTTGACTCCGAGCGTATCCTCTGAGGATGAAGGTCGTGTTTCATCTGACTGTAAACCACTAAGTCATGTGTAAATTTGGGAATCTTGTATTGTTAACCAAAAGGTGTCCCCAGGCTGTTGAGGCAGATGCCCTGGGCAGAGGCTAGAGAGCGCGCTCCACGGGCCACCTCCAGGTCTGTTGCACGCCCCCGAGCTTCAGGTGGGTGCACTGCATGTGGGGCACCCTCCTTCCAGCTGAGTTCCGTTCAAAAGCAGTCAGCAGCCCTGGATGCCTGTGTGCTGGGCACTGCTGGTGCCAGGTGGGCTGATGGGATGGACCTGAAGCTGGTGTCACTGGGAACCAAGTGTCCCAGAAGGTGGGAGAGTCTCACCTGCCCTCTGCTGTGGGTGTGGCTGCTCTGGAGCTCGGAGGTTGACTTCCCGTCTGTGAGCTCTTCCCTTTTACATATAGATAAGTGAAAAGCAAAAGGCATTGTTCCTTTTTTATGTTTTGTATCACGATCTCCTCATCCTTTGCATGTCGTCCGTTTGGCATCCCTGTTATGTTAGGCCTCTGCTGGATCCAGACCCTCACGAGAGGCTCCCCGCCCACAGGTGCTCACATTCTGGCTCGGGGGACGAGGTTGGGCTTCGAGGTGGTGTGCTTCAGCCTCTGGCTGCAGCCCCTTCTCACCTATAGTGAGGCCGGGAAGATGACCGGGAGTGCCAGGCTCATGCATCCTCTGCTGCAGGGAGGAGATCTGGAGGTGGGGACTGAACAGCCTCCCCACTGGCTAAGAGAAACACGTGCAGAGAAGCGCTTTGCTGGAGGGCAGGCACCTGTGGGTGCCCAGACAGGGGAGAGAGGGATTTGGACCTAAGGCCCAGTGAGCCCTGACATAGCACGTGGATTCTGCAGGAAGGTCACAGACCTGCCTTGTTTGCCTCTGGTTCTGAGTACCTCTCCTCCTTACTGCAATGTCCCCTGAAGGTACACTCTGGCTGCTTCCCACACACTGGTGCAGAAGCAGAGGCCATGCTCCTGGATGCCTGCTTGCCTGATGCTAGTTCTTCTCTGTCTCATACACGCAGGGCAACAGGTTTGTCTATGCTGGCTCTAACTCGGGCGTGGTCCAGGCCCCGCTGGCCTTCTGTGGGAAGCACGGCACCTGCGAGGACTGTGTGCTGGCGCGGGACCCCTACTGCGCCTGGAGCCCGCCCACAGCGACCTGCGTGGCTCTGCACCAGACCGAGAGCCCCAGCAGGTATGGGGCGGGATGCGCTGCCTGGGGATGTCCCCCATGTGTGTGGGTGAATAACACGTGCCGGTTGTTTTGCAGGGGTTTGATTCAGGAGATGAGCGGCGATGCTTCTGTGTGCCCGGGTGAGTGACTCCTCGACGTCCCATTTCCTTTGGGAGTGGCGAGGTCTTGTAGCCATTTCACGGTGCTTCAGTTCTGTGGCATTTGTGTGTGTTTTGTTTTTCTTTCTCCACTCGGAACAGAGGTCAAGTGTTCTGTAGCAGACTCGTGGTCTTCTCTGTCTTTTTTTCTTGCCGAAAGAGTACTTGAAGCCACTTAGAGTGTATCTGCTTACTGGGAAGCAGTCTCCTTCCAAAACCATCCTGTTTTCTTTCTGCTTAGCTTGGGGCTCATTAAGCAAAACCTAAGCCTGTTATAAATGGGGAGAAAGGAGCCCATGAGTGATTAATCCTCAGGCAGTGTAAGGGCTGGGGTGGTGTTTCCCCTGGGGCTCCCACCTGGGATTCACCCGCCTGTGGATGTCTGAAATAGCACCACACCCAGAGGGAGGGGTGGCATCAGGCCAGATGCCCCTTCCCCAGCAGCCACCTTCCAGGGTGCTAAAGGCAGACTTGACCCTCAGTTCTGTGTCTTCCTGACCCTGACAAGACAGCTGTCATCAGACTAAGAAAGGTTTAGGCAGCTGGGCATGGTGGTACACGCCTGTAGTCCCAGCTACTAGGGAGGCTGAGGCAGGAGGATTGCTTGTGCCCAGGGGTTCAAGGCTCAGTGAGCTTATCATGCCACTGCACTCCAGCCTGGGGTGACAAAGTGAGACCCAGACTCTAAAAAGAAAACAAAAGCTGGCCGGGCACAGTGGCTCATGCCTGTAATCCCAGCATTTTGGGAGTCTGAGGCAAGAGGATCACTTGAGCTCAGGAGTTCGAGACTACCCTGGGCAACGTGGTGAGACCCTGTCTCTACAAAAAATACAAAAATTAGCCAGGCCTGGAGGTGGTCACCTGTAGTCCCAGCTACTCTGGAGACTGAGGTGGGAAGATCCCTTGAGCTGGGGGGGTTGAAGCTGCAGTGAGCTGTGATTGCACCACTGCACTCCAGCCTGGGCAACAGAGCCAGACCCTGTTTCAAAAAAAAGAAAAAAAAGAAAAGTTTAGGCAGGAGGAGAGTGCTGAGATGCACTGAAAGGCCAGTCTTCCTTGCAGCCATTAGCAGAAGCGTCTCGTGTCTGATTCAAAGAGCTGACACTAGGCACAGAACTGGCCTCTGCTCAGCTTCCCCAGCCTGACGCGTTTTCTTCTGGGACACGGGTGAGAAATGGGATTTCTGCTGCTCAGAGCTGCCTCCAATTTCTTTGTCCCCATGGGCTGTCATCCAGGGCTCATCTTTGCTTTTTGGTCACGCATGTCTTTATCTCCTTAGTTGTTCTGGAAGATTCCATGTTGCTACAGTGGGTGAAACTCTTGCGTCATCTTGTGGGTATTTTAAAGAAGTTGTTAAATAGCAAATGGGGATTGTTGACGCTGTGCACGTTTATTTTGATGTTCCAGATAAAAGTAAAGGAAGTTACCGGCAGCATTTTTTCAAGCACGGTGGCACAGCGGAACTGAAATGCTCCCAAAAATCCAACCTGGCCCGGGTCTTTTGGAAGTTCCAGAATGGCGTGTTGAAGGCCGAGAGCCCCAAGTACGGTCTTATGGGCAGAAAAAACTTGCTCATCTTCAACTTGTCAGAAGGAGACAGTGGGGTGTACCAGTGCCTGTCAGAGGAGAGGGTTAAGAACAAAACGGTCTTCCAAGTGGTCGCCAAGCACGTCCTGGAAGTGAAGGTGGTTCCAAAGCCCGTAGTGGCCCCCACCTTGTCAGTTGTTCAGACAGAAGGTAGTAGGATTGCCACCAAAGTGTTGGTGGCATCCACCCAAGGGTCTTCTCCCCCAACCCCAGCCGTGCAGGCCACCTCCTCCGGGGCCATCACCCTTCCTCCCAAGCCTGCGCCCACCGGCACATCCTGCGAACCAAAGATCGTCATCAACACGGTCCCCCAGCTCCACTCGGAGAAAACCATGTATCTTAAGTCCAGCGACAACCGCCTCCTCATGTCCCTCTTCCTCTTCTTCTTTGTTCTCTTCCTCTGCCTCTTTTTCTACAACTGCTATAAGGGATACCTGCCCAGACAGTGCTTGAAATTCCGCTCGGCCCTACTAATTGGGAAGAAGAAGCCCAAGTCAGATTTCTGTGACCGTGAGCAGAGCCTGAAGGAGACGTTAGTAGAGCCAGGGAGCTTCTCCCAGCAGAATGGGGAGCACCCCAAGCCAGCCCTGGACACCGGCTATGAGACCGAGCAAGACACCATCACCAGCAAAGTCCCCACGGATAGGGAGGACTCACAGAGGATCGACGACCTTTCTGCCAGGGACAAGCCCTTTGACGTCAAGTGTGAGCTGAAGTTCGCTGACTCAGACGCAGATGGAGACTGAGGCCGGCTGTGCATCCCCGCTGGTGCCTCGGCTGCGACGTGTCCAGGCGTGGAGAGTTTTGTGTTTCTCCTGTTCAGTATCCGAGTCTCGTGCAGTGCTGCGTAGGTTAGCCCGCATCGTGCAGACAACCTCAGTCCTCTTGTCTATTTTCTCTTGGGTTGAGCCTGTGACTTGGTTTCTCTTTGTCCTTTTGGAAAAATGACAAGCATTGCATCCCAGTCTTGTGTTCCGAAGTCAGTCGGAGTACTTGAAGAAGGCCCACGGGCGGCACGGAGTTCCTGAGCCCTTTCTGTAGTGGGGGAAAGGTGGCTGGACCTCTGTTGGCTGAGAAGAGCATCCCTTCAGCTTCCCCTCCCCGTAGCAGCCACTAAAAGATTATTTAATTCCAGATTGGAAATGACATTTTAGTTTATCAGATTGGTAACTTATCGCCTGTTGTCCAGATTGGCACGAACCTTTTCTTCCACTTAATTATTTTTTTAGGATTTTGCTTTGATTGTGTTTATGTCATGGGTCATTTTTTTTTAGTTACAGAAGCAGTTGTGTTAATATTTAGAAGAAGATGTATATCTTCCAGATTTTGTTATATATTTGGCATAAAATACGGCTTACGTTGCTTAAGATTCTCAGGGATAAACTTCCTTTTGCTAAATGCATTCTTTCTGCTTTTAGAAATGTAGACATAAACACTCCCCGGAGCCCACTCACCTTTTTTCTTTTTCTTTTTTTTTTTTTAACTTTATTCCTTGAGGGAAGCATTGTTTTTGGAGAGATTTTCTTTCTGTACTTCGTTTTACTTTTCTTTTTTTTTAACTTTTACTCTCTCGAAGAAGAGGACCTTCCCACATCCACGAGGTGGGTTTTGAGCAAGGGAAGGTAGCCTGGATGAGCTGAGTGGAGCCAGGCTGGCCCAGAGCTGAGATGGGAGTGCGGTACAATCTGGAGCCCACAGCTGTCGGTCAGAACCTCCTGTGAGACAGATGGAACCTTCACAAGGGCGCCTTTGGTTCTCTGAACATCTCCTTTCTCTTCTTGCTTCAATTGCTTACCCACTGCCTGCCCAGACTTTCTATCCAGCCTCACTGAGCTGCCCACTACTGGAAGGGAACTGGGCCTCGGTGGCCGGGGCCGCGAGCTGTGACCACAGCACCCTCAAGCATACGGCGCTGTTCCTGCCACTGTCCTGAAGATGTGAATGGGTGGTACGATTTCAACACTGGTTAATTTCACACTCCATCTCCCCGCTTTGTAAATACCCATCGGGAAGAGACTTTTTTTCCATGGTGAAGAGCAATAAACTCTGGATGTTTGTGCGCGTGTGTGGACAGTCTTATCTTCCAGCATGATAGGATTTGACCATTTTGGTGTAAACATTTGTGTTTTATAAGATTTACCTTGTTTTTATTTTTCTACTTTGAATTGTATACATTTGGAAAGTACCCAAATAAATGAGAAGCTTCTATCCTTGATTTGGGGAAGACATTCCTTAGCGGAGGCTGTGCAGCCTCCCGCCCCTGCATGGCCCAGGCGGGACAGCTGGGCTCGCTCTTTTCTGTCCGTTTCCTGCTGTGTTTTGCCCTCTCTGGCCTGTGACGTGCTCCTGGCGACTTCTTCCTCAGTGCCCTCTCTTTTCTGTCCTCTCTGTCTCACAGCCTCGTCTCCTAAGCCCCTCCCTCCTCCTGGCTCCTCTTCCCTGTCCTGTCTGGGCCATGTGGGGGACAGGAGGCTTTCCTCTCCCTGGACCCCCTGGCCAGCCTCGGGTGCGGGGCCCGACAGCAGCTCGAGGGTCTCCTTGCTGCCGCCCTTCCTGAGTGACCAGGCACAGCACGTGCACGCCCTGGGGAACTTCTACCTCTTCTGCCAGGCCACAGGTGAGTTGGGCCCTCTCTGTCCCCTGTGCCCTGTCCATCTGTCTCCTCCCACAGGTGGGGGGCGGGCGGGGGCATCCTCCACATCCCTCCACATGTTCCTTTACCTTCCTTATCTGTCCTGGCTGCGTCCCTCGGGTTGAGCCGTTTCACGCTTTCATTGTGGGTCCATCCCGAGGGAAACTGTAGACAGTGTGAAGCCACTTCTAGTGTACAGGGGTCAACCAGTGTTTTCTGTAAAGGGCTAGATATTTAGGCCTTGTGGGCTGCAGGCTGTGTCACAGCCACTAAGCTCTGCTGTTGTATTGTAAAACCAGCCATAGTCAATACACAACGAGTGGTCAGGGCTGTGTGCCAGTAAAACTTTATTTATAAAAATGCACGGTGGGCCAGATTTGCCCCAAAGGCCCCAGTTTCCCAACCTGTGGTATATAGGATTGCTTCTCCCTTAAAAAAAAAAAAAATTTCAAGAGACAGGGTCTCCCTCTGTCACCAAGGCTGGAGTGCAGTGACACAATCATAGCTCACTGCAGCCCCTGCCTCCTGGGCTTAAGCCATCCTCCTGCCTCAGCCTCCAGAGCCAGAGTGCTTCTATTTCTGCTAACAATTTGGAGGTTGATATACGTGGTATTTGGAAATTTTAAAAAATTAAGAGCTTCCAGAATGGGAGTTGTTTTAATGACTTGCTTCGTGGTATTTAAAAGCGGAAAAGATTGGCGGGCATAATCCCCCTGCTTTGGGAGGCCAAGGCAGGAGGATTGCTTGAAGCCAGGAGTTTCACAGCAGCTTGAGCAACATAGCGAGACCTGATCTCTACCCAAAAATGTGAAAAAAACTAACCAGGCTTGGTGGCACGTGCCTTGAGGATTGTTTGAGCCCAGGAGTTTGAGGTTACAGTAAGGTATGATGGTGCCACTGCACTCCAGCCTAGATCACAGAACAAGACCCTGTCTCAAAAATCATCATCATTATAAAAACAGAAAAGATTGAGAGTCTAGTGTACTCCTCTGGGACCTGGAGGCATTTGCCCTGGATTGGAAAATACTCGGATGGGATATCTGCTCTTGAAAGATAGTAGATGTCCAGAACCACACTTCAAAGATGTATCCTGTGCTTCAGGCAGTGCGTGGTAGCCCTGGTGGCCCCTGTGTTGTCATCTGACTGATCAGTAGATACAGAAAGAAAGGAAGTGGCCTGTTAGAGCCTGCCCCGGGGGAGGGATGAAGTTAATGAAGAGGAAAAGCAAACCCAATTGCTCTCTTTTTAAACATGTTAAACACACTGTCAGTAGCTCCTGAGAGTTTTAAGGTGCTGCCCTCTCCTGTTAAACAAGCTCTGAGAGCCCCAGGTGGCCCATGTCTGCTGAGGCCAGAATGTCCCTTGGCAGCCAGCACTGGACAGGAGAAGCTGCCGGTGAGCATGGAGCACTGTGGAGACGGAGCTTTGCTAGGCTGGCTTGTGTGGTTCCTGCCCTCCACTGGGTGCTACGGACCAAGGCTGTGCTGAGCCCCCTGTGGCCGCTCTCACAGCTGAATGGTGCTCCTCGGCCAGCTAGTTTGCCTTGGTGCAGGCATCCCAGAGGACTTCATGTCTCCATGGAGACTGTGTCCTGTCGCAGCACTGGGGTCCTTCAGGCAGACTCAGGAAGCTCCTCCTCGGTGGGGAGGCTGGGAAGCGGGCGGGTCTCTATGAACTGGCCGTGGACCCAGGGCTCCTTTGCGGGCAGATGCAGGCAGGCTGTATGGTCAGGCAATGTTGGTTGGTTATTTATTTATTTATTTTTGAGGCAGAGTCTTGCTCTGTTGCCCAGGCTGGAGTGCAGTGGCACGATCTTGGCTCACTGCAAGCTTCGCCTCCCAGGATCAAGCGATCCTCCTGCATCAGCCCCCCTAGTAGCTGGGATTACAGGCACACCTCACCATGCCCAGCTAATTTTTGTATTTTTAGTAGAGACAGGGTTTCGCCATCTTGGCCAGGCTGGTCTCAAACTACTGACCTCAGGGGATCCACCTGCCTTGGCCTCCCAAAGTGCTGGGATTACAGGCATGAGCCACCATGCCCGGCTGCTGTTACATTTTTAAATGTGAGGCTCCAGGTGTACCCCCTGTAGCTAGGCAGGCATACACACAAGCCCCTGGGGTCAGCAGGGAATGAAAGATGGGTGCCCAGGGAGAAGGGACATCACTGTTACAGCAACAGAAACCACCCCAGATATTTCAACCACAGGGCATTTAACACAGGGAATTGGTTACAAAGGTGATAGAAGGGCTGGGAACAGTGGGAAGGTGAGGTTTCCATTATCAGCCATGGGCAGGAAGAGTGAAGTGTCAAACACTCAGTCTCACTTGCTGTGCCACCGAGGCTGTGGCCGTGTGATCTGCAGCCTCTCCCTGCCCGCCACACTGCCTTCACTGCTGGAGGTCCTACTTGAAGCCACAAAAATGTTTCTTCCTTCCAACTTCCTGTCTCCTGTCAATGACTCCCATGGCCAGACCTAACAGAAAGCTGGCGGTCACAGATGGATATGGGGAATGTAGCTGTGGGCTTGCAGCAGTGTGGCCAGGAGTAGTGTGTAGAGGGTAGGGGAGCTGAGGGAGGAGGGCAGTCCTTTGCCAGTGCTCAGGATGGACTGAACAGATTGAGAACTGAGGCCCCCAGCCCTCCGCCACCCCCTTTTCACGTGGTCTTTACTTTCTCTCCAGAGGCATTTGGCCCCATCTGGGACATTCTCGTTCACTTGTTCCACTGAGGCCACAGCCTGCGAAGGCTGTGAGACCTCCCCAGGGAGCACCAGCTTAGGAGAGAGTGGCTTCAGCCTTTTCAAGGGTGGGCCGAGGCCAGGGCATCATGGGCATGCCGTGAACTCAGAGGGGCTGTGGCTGTGAATTTCCCGAGTAGGCTCCAGGGTTCTGTTGGGGTCTGTAGATGCTTCCTGCGACAGAGGCCACAGTGTGACTTGCAAGTCCCAGAGACTTTCCTGAGGAGAGTGAGTGCCATTTTCTGCCTTGTGGGCCAGGAATGAGCCATTCCAGGTGAGGCCCAGAGCCTGGAGATTGCAATACAGTGCACTCAAGGCACAGGCCTACCGCTTCTGCCTGTGTCCTCCCCCAGCCACCCAGGGCAGGGCTGCTTTGGAACTTGGCTGGGTTTTTCTTTGCTATAATGGCTGTTTTCGTGGTAGCTGTCACAGTGGTTTGGGGGCTGTCTGATTAAAGGGCTAGCAAAGTGTCTTTAGAATATGAAACTTAAGAGGACATTCGTGGCATCTTCAGTTCCCCATGCTGCGTCCTGGTGCCTGTAGCTCTGCTGGGTGACCCTGTGTCTTGGGGAGCGTCTCACCCCCCAGAGAGGGCTGACTGATGGAAGGTCAGCTGGTCAGGGTTGCACTTGGGGACTGGGTCTGCCCCAGAGCTGGTGGAGGCCCATGTGTCACCCAGGAGATGTCCCCACCTGCCCCAACACTTGGCCAGTGCTCAGAAAGTGGCCCCAGGGACTTGGCCATCCAGGAGAGGTGAGGGCCCTCTGAGGCCAAAGCGCTTCCTGAAAGGGGATCGGGGTGGGTCTGCACAGGGGAAAACATAGCCTGTGGTGTGTGCAGAGGCTGCCAGGGCACAAGGGCCCAACGTGGGGTGCGGTGGAGGTGATGTGGCCACGTGGGCGGAGTAGGGCGGAGAGGCCTGTGTCCTGGGGATGCGAGAGCTTGAGGCCTGGTGGTGGGGTGGAGGCCCACCCTTGTCCTGCACCCAGGGGCCTCAGTGCCCATCCAAGGGAGGGACAGGGCCACACCTGTGGGCCTGTGTCAGGAGCTGGGGTGGGAGATTGGCCACCAGTGCCACTCTCCACCTAGACACATTTCATCCCTTCTCCACCACAGTTCTCGCCTCTAGGAAGTGGAATTATCAGTGGAAGATGATACGGAAAGATCCACTGATGGCCCTGGCACAGGCCAGCCTTGTCCCTGGGGCAGGATGGGACGGTCCTGAGAAGGCCCTGGGACACCCTAGGGGTGTCATAGTGGGAACTATGCCTTTGCAGTGCCCAGGTGAGACAGCACATGGTGTCACCCCAAGCATGGTACCCTGGGCTCAGTGACAAGAGGGGTGGGCAGGTCAGGACTGCACTGCCTTGGGGCCCGTGCCCTGGGAGCCGCTAGCCCTATGATCCTGAGTCCTGGGGGACTGAGTGCATCGGCAGGGCCTGGAGCAGCTGGGAGTGGCCGACTGCCTCAGTGTGCACTGTGGCCGCACAGGAGGGACAGCGGCCTTGAGAGTGTTCAGAGCTGTTGCACAGCCATCCTGCACCGCGTTGGCCCTGGGATGGACTGCTGTCTAAGCTTTGTCATGCGGCTAGCAATGCACATTTACTATAGTCAGTCACCCTGGTACCAGCCGTGAAGGACGGGCAGGGACACACACACCACACCCCAGACACACACACACCCCCGACACACCACACCCCAGACACCACATCCCAGACACACACCACACCACACCCCCCCACACACACCTCAGACACCACACCCCCGACCCACACCACACCCCATACACACCCCCGACACACACCACACCCCACACACCCACCACAGCCCAGACACACCACACCCCAGACACACACCACACCCCCCAGACACACACCACACCCCCCACACACACCACACCCATCACACCCCCCACACACACACCCGACACACACCACGCCCCCCAACACACACACCCCACACACCACACCCATCACACCCCCCACACACACACCCGACACACACCACGCCCCCAACACACCACACCCGACACACACACCCCAACACACACCACACCCCAGACACACACCACACCCCAGACACACACCACACCCCAGACACACACCACACCCCACACACACCACACCCCACACACACCACACCCCACACACACCACACCCCACACACCACACACATACCACACCCCAGACACCACACACATCACACCCCCCCACACACACCTCAGACACCACACCCCCAACACACACCACACCCCAGACACACACACCCCCCACACACACACCCCAAACACACCCCGACACACACCACACCCCCCACACACACACCACACCCGACACACACCACACCCCAGACACACACCACACCCCAGACACATCCCACACACATCACACCCCACACACACACCCCAGACACACACCACACCCCAGACACATCCCACACACATCACACCCCACACACACACCCGACACACACCACACCCCAGACACACACCACACCCCAGACACACACCCCCCCCCACACACCACACCCCAAACACACCCCCACACACACACCACACCCCAGACACACACACACTACACCCCAGACACATCCCACACACATCACACCCCACACACACACCCCAGACACACACCACACCCCACACACACACCCCAGACACACACCACACCCCAGACACACACCACACCCCAGACACACATGCCACACCCCAGACACACACACCCCAACACACACCACACTCCAGACACACACCAACCCCACACACACCACACCCCAGACACACACACCGTCACACACCACACCCCACACACATGCCACAGCCCACCCCACATACGCACCCTACCCCAGACACACACCACACCCCACACACCACACCCCAGATACACACCACACCCCCCCCACACACACCTTATACACCCCAGACATAACACACACCCCACACCCCAGACATACACACCACACCCCCCCACACACACCTTATACACCCCAGACATAACACACACCCCACACCCCAGACATACACATACCCCTGACACACACCACACCCCACCCCAGATACCACACACCCCACACCCCGACATACCCCTGACACAGCTCACCCCAGATACACACCCTACCCCAGATACACACCATACCCCAGACACACAACACCCCCCCAACACACACCATCCCAGTCACATGCCACACATCCCAGACACACACCCCACACGCCACATCCCACACACACACGCCCGACACACCGCACCCCAGACACACACCACACCCACACACATGCCACACCCCACACATACACCCCACCCCACACACACATCACACCCCTCACAACCACACCCCACACACACACCACACCCCACAAACTACATAGACTATGCTAGCCACATACCACACACCAGACACACACACCACACATGAGCATGACGTATACCGCACACATGCCATGCACTGTACCCCCCCACACACATCCCAGACACACATACCACACACACTACACAGACCACACAGCAGACATACCACACACCAGCACCACACCCCCTCACACCACATGCCACACACACCACATGCCAGCATCACACACACACCATACCTCCTTCATACACACCACACACACAAACCAGACACACACCTACATACCACACACCACACACCAGCCACACACCACAAACACACCACACACACCACACGCCACGCATATATCAGATACACCACATACGTACAGATACACCACAATATACACCACACGACACATGTACCACAACACACACACACGACATAACACGCACACACATCACAAACACAATCATGTCCACCACACAACACACACACCATGTGCATGCACACAATAAATGCACAGCACAAAACATCACATACACCAAATCACACACACCACACACACATCAAACACCATACACACAGACCATGCATACTCACTGCACATGTGCACACATACCAACACACACCACACACACACACTGTACACACACCTAAAACCACCCCCATACACACCATACCAAACACAACCACTCACACATGCACCACACACAGCACAGCATACAACACACATCACACACACACCAATCATACCACTGTTACACACACACCACCACACATACTGCACACACCAAAGCACATACACACCACATAGACACATGCACGCTACCCACACCACACCAATCACATCCACACATACACAACCATACACACACACACACACATTGTTGACTTAGGATCGTTTCAACTCACAGTGGGTTTATTGGGATGCAGCCCCGTGGCAAGTGGAGCAGCATGTGTATTGACAAGGGGAGGAAAGCCGTCTGGAGCTGGTGAAGTAAAGTTAGCATGCAGCCGAGCTCTGCTCGTCTGAACTGATGAACCCAAGTTCCTCATGGATCACTCAGAATACAGATGGGTGAAAAAATAACCCCACCACCCGTGTGCCAGCACATAGCGCATCTGGCATACAAACGTAAGGATCAATAGCGATGAATGGCGATGGGTTGTGTCTACATGCAGATACAAATCATGCACTTGTACATTAGTGTGCACACACAGAAACAGATCGATATAATTTTTTAACCAAAGTGCAGTCTTTACCCTGTCAGGGCCCTGCCTTCACCTCTGCCAGGACTATCTTCCATGTCAAGTTTAGACCCGTGTCATTTTCAAAGCTAATAATGGTTCCCCCATACTTTAGGCAGCATTTAGATATTTGGATTTGGGATGGCCTTTTATGTTTTAACTACAGTGTTAGAAATCAGAGCCCTTGGAACCACTGGGATCAGAGGGCAGCAGCAGAAGGCGCCCTTGGTCCTCTTTGAGGGGCCCAGGGCTCTGGAGAGGGCCCCCGTTCCTAGCAGCCACAGTGGCCTGTTGGCACGCATGTGTGTGTTCCAGCTGCTCTGTGACATTTCCCTTTGTTTCAGACTCTTGAAAGGCCACGGCCGTCGTGGGAATTAGTTGACCTTGTGTGTTGGGCCACCCTTGCTGGACAGGACAAGGTGGTGCTATCAACTCCCTGTGCTCTGAGGTCCTTCGCATGTTAGATGAGGCAGCTTCACCAGAAACTATCCATGTCTCTTCTGTTATCTGGGATAATTCCACGTGCCTTTACAACACAGCTGTCTGGTTACCTGGGGTCTGGAAATGCCCTCGGTGCCTCAGTGGTGCCTTCCCACAGGCCCCCCATGGAGCCAGGCGATGCCTACAGATGCCTCAGTGGTACTTTCTCAGGTCCCTTTGCAGAGAAGAGGTTCAGGATTCCTGCCCACATTGATAAGGCGGCTTGGCCAGTAAGTGGCAGGCATGAACAGGTGCATTCCAGAAGCGCTGGGGCTGGTCCAGTGCCCTGAGTGGTCTAGAGCATACCAGAGTGAAACGTTAGGCTGCGTCGGCCTGGTGACTGTCAGGGAGATGAGGACTCAGAGAAGGGAGCTGTCAGAATTGCTACCTATGTGGCAGGGGTCTCACTCTCTCCTCCCTCCTCTTGGGGCCCCTGGCTACTCTGTGACTTCAACAGAGGACAGAAAGGATGACCAACAAGGCCTCAGGGCATACCCCCAGCTGCACTGTCCTTGTCCCCAGAAGGGTCCCCAGAGTCTGGGAGGGAGGAGGGGCCATGGCCAGGATTAGAAAAGACCGTGCCCCAAGGAGAGAGCACAGAGATGGGCCAGGGAAGCAGTGGGATCCTCGGGAAAAGAGGCTGGGAGCAGGTGTCCGGGTGAGGCCCGGGCAGCGGGTACAGGCAGGGACAAGCCAGGAGTCCCATCATGGAAGACATGATGGCCAGCGGCCAGCACTGTGTGCAGAGAATGGCCCCTCTGGGGATGTGCCCGCTGCCCCATTAGTTGCAGGAAGGCCACCTGGATGTGAGTTTGGGAGATGGGCTGGCCCCGAGGCAGCCAGCCCTGAGGTCAGAGTGGGCCACATGCATGGGGATGCCGGGAGGACACAGAGGAGTGCTGCAGGAGATGGCAGTGGGGGCACTTTCCAGGATGGGCCCGAGCAACTCAGTCACTGGGTGGATGTCTCACCACCCCTCCAGGCCTTCCTCAGGGCGAGGCCACTGCCCAGAGGGCACCTGGTTTGTCGCAGAGTAGAATCAGCTCCATATTTTGTAATCACATCCACGAAGCTCTGAAGCCATGGTGGTCCTGGCACCAGCTGGCTCCGTTAGAGGCTTGGGGTGGGAGTGAGCAGGTGGGAGGTGCCCCAGTGACAGGCTGAGTGCTGGAGCCCAGGCTGCCAACAGCCTCCCCAGACTCCTGAGTTGATGTAATAAACCCAGCCCTGGTGAATAAACCTGGCCCTTGCTTATACCAAGGTGATCAGTCTTCTCACGACAGTCCTAGCTGTAGGAGAAAGATCATTACCTACGGCATCTGCCACAGCAGTTAATTTGCCTTCAACTTAAGCTAGTTGCAGTGACAGGAAGGGCCAGGGGGAAATATCTGTCCTCAGGACCTCTACCCTAGATCCTTGTAAGCCACAACAACTTCCCTTCTTTGAGGGCGCGACCAGTGTCACCTGGCTCGCCACTGGGAAGAGCCAAGGCACATCCAGGTTGGTGGCTGCTGAGCCCCACAGCATCAGACCAGCCTCTTGTCCCCACCCCACAGAGGCCAAGGGGGTGATCTGGGAGTAGCACCCCAGCCTGGCCGCTCTCTTGAGGTAACAGGGTTGGATGGTTAGGGAGCTTGGAGCACTGGCCCAAGCAAGAAAACAGTGGTGTTTTCAGGAGGCCCTGCTGGGAGATGGAAGACAGCTCCCCACTGGGGGCCTAGGATTCCAGGAGCTCCCCAGCAGTCCTCCGTGGGACATACGTGGGTTTGCACCTGCTGCCCTGTCCCGCTGAGGGTGCGGTGCTGATGGGGTGGCCCTGCACACTGATGGTAACTCTCACTTTCCCTCTCTCTCATGCATTCAGAAAGAGATGGATAGTTTAAAAACGAATACATGGAACGTAAGTACTTCTTTAACATCTTTAATGTCTTATGATGATCAAGCATGTATTTAAATAGTATTTACTGATGCCTGTTAGCAGTGGTAAGCACGTGTCTGTTTCTGCTCACACCCCAAGAGTGTAGAGCTTTGAGGGTTTTGCAGTCAGTGGTCCCATGATGGGGCGTTGGGTGATTAATCCAATCCAGCTTAGGCCACCCAGATTCTTAGTCTCAAGGGCTTGGTCATGAGAACCTTCCAGAGGCTCCTGTGACTCAGTGACTCCAGTCCCCTGGGTGGTTCTTGGTGCAGGTCACATGAGGGAGGAGACCGGGCTTTTATAGAACTCACTTCACTGTCTGTTCAAAGAAAAGTGTTACTTGATCATAACAGCTCAAAAAAATCTGTTTCTTAAAATGAGATTTTACCTGGATGCCCATCAGCTGGGAAAGGGAATATCTATTCCCCAGTTGATGGGCACCTAGATGTACATAGAGACATATGTTTGTACATCTATGTAATATGTACTTATATTTGTAGATAGATACATGGAATTATCTGTGGCCAGAGTCCAAAACATTTTGAGTGGGAAAAAACAAATTATAGAGTGTTAAGTTTTGTTTTTTTTTAAATTCTGCACAAAAACCAAACCTGTTCACAAGGGCTTGTCCACCAGGCCAGGGCCAGATGGGCCGCCAGGCAAAACAGTTTTGGAGCACCTTCTGAATTTCCTTGAGTTTACAGAATGTTTCCTTCAAAGTAACACTTTTATAAAAAATTATTATTATAAAAGCAATGCTTGTTTGTTATAAGTTTGGAAACTCCAGGGAAGTATAAAGAAAAAATTTAAACAATCCCAAATTTAACCATCCAGAGGTAGTTACCACCAGCATCCCAGCCATTTTTGGGCCATGACTATCTACGTTCACACATGTATACATGGGTGTGTACATATATGCACACATTCCTAGATATTGTTTCACTTATTTTTCTGTGTTGCTGAATATTCTTCGATGGCACTTCGAATGAGTGACTTGTGGCCCCCTTCTTGGACATTTCCCAACTCCTCACTGATAGAAACAGGGCTTCACTGGGCCCATCCTTGCCTCGGGACTCATTCCTAGGACTGCCCAGCTAAAGGGTCTGAGCTTGGTCAAGTCCTTGGGAGGAGCATTCTCTGGTGATCCTGGACAGTGGGGAATTGTTGACCAAGAGACCGGACAAAGATGAGCAGATGCCACAGTCAGTAAAGCAGGGAAAATGCATTACTAAAGTCAGCTTCATTAAACTGGCGATCTCTTCTTTTCAAAAGTCCAGCATGTGCCACAGAAATGGAAAGCTCTCTGGCCACTACTGTCCTGCCCAGGGAGGGGAGCGTGGGTCCACCCACACCATTTAATACCTGTAACTGGATGCACCTCTGCCCCTACACCTGAGAACAAGGCCAGTTTTTGTGTGTGCAGGTACTTTGGACTCTTTTGGCTCTGGAATTTGTTTTACCTGCTCAGTGTTCTGAACTCCTTCCTTTTCACTACTAAGCATTCTCCATGAAGCCACACTTCATTTTGTCATTGTGAGGTTGATGGACATCTAGGGCAAATCTAACTTCTAAAGACCAATTCTTACGAGGTGTCATGGTCAAGCAGAGGCCATGGCCGGCACTGGTCTAGGTGGCCCATGGCCCATTTGGGGGCCTTGGTGGGCCTCGAGGAAGGGCAGGTGCTGGTCAGGGAGCCGGGTCGCTAGGCAGCAGGTGGGTGTCACCCCAGTCCACGCTGCTGGGGTGCCTGGCCTGATGCAGGCTGTGCCTGAGGGAGACAGAAGCAGCAGAGTAGGCTGGCCGGCCTCCCCAGCCCCACCACAAGCAGGAGCTTCAGAGACAGAAGGAGCACCTGCACCCCCTCACCTGCCCTCCAGGGCCTGGCCTGGCCCTCCCAGCTCAACTCCAGGGTCTGTACGCTCTGGGGCTGGAGCTTAGTGGGACTGTGGCCCCCCTCAGCCCTTTCTGCATTTGAGTGGAAGCCAGTGTGCGAAGCAGATCAAAATGGATGTGCTTGTTTTTCCTTCAGTAAGAACAGGGAGTTGAGCCTGTCCCAACATGGCCAGCAGCCCCTGGAGGGCCAACAGACTTCACGAGCAAGGAAGGCCGGGAGGTGACCTGCTGACCAGAACTTACTTGTGCCCCTCCCCCCCGCCCAAAACCCCCAACATTCTGGTTTTCACAGCCCCACCCCAGCCACCTGGAACAAATAGTGTCTAGGAGTAGCCCTCAGGGTTGGCCGCGCAGACTTCTTGCCCTGGGATGAGGCTGGCCTCCCCAGGCGAGGCAGCCTGGGCCACAGGGGAACGTCTCTGCCTCGCCCACCCTCCTGATCTCTCCATCAGACAAGCTGAGGCCAGCCAGGCTCCACCCTGGCAGGTTGCAACAGATGGTCTGAGTGTGTGTGAAGTAACTGGCCTCTCTACTTTCTTCAATAAGTAATTAAGATCAAAAGCCCAGAGAAAAACAACAGAGGTTTGCGGCAGAAGTGGCCAATGTCGGGCCCAGAGTCCATGCTCAAGGCTGGAAGCCCATCCTGGATGTGCTGCACTCGGCAGTCCTAGTGTAATTCTGCAGGGCCTGGCCCCTGCCAGGGTCTGAGCTCTCCAGCCTGTGGCATCTACTCCCCTCCAAGCCCACCCCAGTGTCTCAATTGGAGAGACAGGCCCTCATGGTCCCCACTCTGGCCCAGCCCCCTCTGCACACAGCTGGCCGAGCTCTGGGCCTCTCCATGCTGTGGCCCTGGTGATGGCAGAGCCTTGGGATGTCTCTGTCCATGTGGTCACAGGACATGTGTGTGGCAGCAGGGCCATGGTGGGGTGGGATGCTGTTCCAAGGCCCAGAACCATTCTGTAAGAAACCAGCACAGCGCTGCAAGAAAGGGGGTCCTAGGGGACACAGGCCACACAGGTGTGCTTTGAAAAATGGCAATTAAGGTCAAAGAGCAGGAAGTCCACAGGACGGGCCAAGGCCAAGGCTCCCGCTGGCCATGGGGAAGCCACCTCCAGGGCAGTCCCAGGGACTGAATTGGAAGTTGTCCCAAGTCACTTCAGGTCCAACTGGGACAGCAGAGGTAACCCCCCTGCACCCTCATGGGGCAGCTTCTTTGGGTCCTAAATGTGGACTCAGAGGTGGAAACGGTCTGTGTCCCCAGGTCCTGCAGACATTCGCTTTGTCTGGGAGAAGAATGGGCGAGCTCTGGAGACCTGTGTCCCTGTGCAGACCCATGCACTGCCCGATGGCAGGGCCCATGCACTCAGCTGGCTGCAGGACGCCATCAGGGAAAGCGCTGAGTATCGCTGCTCTGTCCTCTCCTCAGCAGGGAACAAGACTTCGAAGGTGCAGGTTGCTGTGATGAGACCTGGTAAGTGATTCCCATGCCCACTGTTACCCTTTTATGAGGTAATTTTTCACTATTTACAATGGCAGTGAAAAAAACAGCTGGAAAGCATGCTTGCACGGTGGCATTCTGGGTTTGGGTTTTATTGGCTTTCCATTGAGAAAGGTGGCCAGTGGGCATCAAGGGTGCCATAAAGGCCCACAGAGCTTTGACCTGGGGACCCTGCTTGTTTTCCAGAAGTGACCCACCAGGAGAGGTGGACCAGAGAGCTCTCTGCCTGGAGGGCTGTGGCTGGGGAGCACGACCGGATGATGCAGAGCTGGAGGAAGGCGTGGGTAAGTGGCCGCAGCCGGGCAAAGAAAGGAGGGCTGGAGCCAGGGGCAGGGCACCTGCCACATCCAGTGGATCTTTCAAGGGCCCCATTCAGCATGGACCCCACTTGTTCCCTCTTAGCCCCGGAGCAGTTTCCTTTATGAAATCTGCAACACTGGGGGGGGAAATCCCACGTCTTGTTGCTGAGACTGCAGGAGATCAAGGGGCATCTGGCCCCAGCCCTTAAAAGAGACTGAAGGGAGGCGAGACTGGGAGGGACTCACAGGTGGGGCTGTCTAGTTAGATGGGCCCCCACGACCACCCCATTCTCTGTACAGAGCACTCAGCCAGCCACTCCTTTGAGGAGGGCAGGAAACCTGGACAGATGGGGAACCCTCCAGGTAGCTCCTGGCTGGATGCCTCACCTGAGGCACCTGTTGGAGGGGTCAGGGGGAGTGGCTTCCTGAGCTAAGCCCTGGCAGGAACTGGGCTACAGCATGGAAGCTGCAGGCAGTGGGGCAGAGGCTCCCTAGAGGCTCCCTGTCTCCCCACGGAGACAAAGTTGTCCAGCCCCGGCTCCTAAATAGCCGATACAGAAGGCAAAGGCAGGGATTCATCACTGTGTGCTACCACCTGCGGTGGGGTCTGCAGCACTCAAATGAGTGCATTAAAGTGTGTGGGTTACGTGGCTGCCAGCAGTACACCCCCGAACTGTTGCCACCAAAGGCTGGGCATTTACAGCTGATCCTCTGTACTTCAGCACACACAGGCTCCCTCTCTCCAGCCCTCCTGCCTCTCAGCACAATCTGGGAGTGGAGTGAATGCGCTGCTGCTCTGCCTTCCTGTCACATATGGGAGAACCACTCCTGGCATTTGGATCTTTAGACTCCAAGGAGGGGAACCACAACAGGGGGCTGAGGCCTTGAGTGCTCTGCCTGGGATGGGCTATGAGACAGACTGGGCTGCAGAGCAGGAAAGGCCCATCCGTTCCACCAAGGATTCAAAGACCACATTGTTCTTTCAGGAAAGCTGTAGCAAGGACACCCTGTAGCCACCAGGAAGGAGTCCCTGACACCGACCTCAACCCCAACAAGACCCTGCTGCCACTGACCACAGCCACCCCCGGAGAAGGCCTGGTCCCCCACAACTGTGAACTGTCTTGCCCAAGCCTGCTCTGAACACAGCCATTGGGCCACCACCTGATGGGCAGAGGCGGGACAGTGGAGAAGCCTGGAACCCAAGTGGGCCTGTGACAGGAACTAAGACTTAAAAAATTAGGTGCTTACCTGGGACAGTAAGTTCTGTCTGGCACAAGCAGGTAACCAGGATGGCTAACAGGCTTTGATAGCTGCTCGTGAACTAAAACAGCAGGGTGTGTGCAGGTTCCTCCTCTACGGTCAGGCAGCAGGCTCTGAAGGCTGATCCTACACCGTCCCAGTGACTCCCCTTGACAGAGTGCCCCCACCCCCTAATAGCCAACAGGGTTAGCATGGCCAGCACAGATCGCTGCTTTTATTGATGCAAATCAAGCCTGCTGCTTCTCCTCCCTGCAGACTTAGCCAAGGAACTCCAAGATGCATGACTGGGACAAGAAAAGGTGAGACTCCACATGGAAATGCCTTGCCCTAAACCTTGAATGACTGTGAGATGCGATCTGGGAGTGCATCTGTCAAGTCTTTGTGTTTTCTTCACTAACCTCAGAATACTGGGCTCTATTTTATCAAGCGCTGCAGTTTATGCCTCTGTCCCGTCAATGCTCAGCTTCTGCAACAGGACACCAAACTTGATGCAGAAAGCCAAATAGGTCAATTATGCAAATCTCCTGGTGCCATATTAAATTTCTTGACGATGGAATGAGTCTCATGAGTGTTTTGTTCTACCTGCTTTCAAGTCTCTAATTATTAAAGCTGTATCTCTGAAGACTGTGTCACTGTGTGTGTGAACTTGTCCTAAAGCTACTCAGCCTTTAATCTTACACACACGTCTCTTCTTGTCTGTTGAATGACAGTTTTCATGTCTATCATAAAACCAAAGCCTCTGTTAAAAGTCAAGCCGCACCCCTCTGGTGATCCTAGCAAATACTGAGTGTCTTCCCAGCAGTGTGACAATGACCTGTTTTGCATCCCCTCTTTCTGGAGCTGGACAAATTCTCTACCAGCCTTTGTGTGGGATCAGCATACATCGCCTGCTAATTCCTTCAGGATCCATCACAACAGGTGTCCTGAAGATGCTGGAGACACCCTGGTTGTCTCCACACGTTCCCCCTCCGCACCCCAAGTCGAGAGGCCCAGCTGCCTGTGAGGTGTGTGCTTGCCCATCCAGCCAAGGATGCCAGTCTTGCTCACGGAACCATCACATACTCATAACCTGAAGTTTTCCTGTAAAATATCCATCAGCTCACTGTGGTTCTTGCTTTGGGTGTGGCTTCAACCACTACAAACTGATGAGTGAAATGCTATGGGCTTTAGGCTTATATTCTTGGTGCTGTTTTCTGTCTCTTCTCCTGAAGTCTGGATTTCAAGCACTTTCACACTTAACAAAATAATTACATACTTGAAGTTTTCGTAATGTGGAGTGTTCTACTGGGAAATGGAGTTATGAGGATGAATTTCTGAGTCTTTCTTTGCTCTGCTGGAAAAAATAAAAATAGAGTTGTACATTGTTCAGTTAAATGACTGTACTTGGCGCCCCTGGCCCAGAGCTGTGTGCTTCATGCGGCACCATCTGCACGTTGAGGGAGCTGAAGTCACCTGCAGCAGTGGCCTCAGCTGGAGTCCTTCACTGCCAAGAAAATGATAGCATCACCAGGCAACCATGTGATGAGAGTTTGGTTAAATCCCAGGAAAAGGAAAGCTCTCAGCAGCTGCATGACATGTTGAAAAGCCTACCTACTCTGTTTAAGCTGCTTTTATCTTAGGATTAGCAAAACAAATATCACAGAACTAGAGAGCTCTAAAAAGGGGCTTTGAGCAGAGGAATTCATCTCTAGTGGAGATCTTTAATTTTTTGATTTATCAAATTTTAAAATTCTAGCTGCTGAGTGCAGCTGATAGGCTATTTTGTCTTTTTGCCCACAAATTAATTTTGGAACTTTCATTCTCAAATAATCTCCTATTTTCAAACTTACCACAACTTGCTATTTACTTACTGATGAGGGGAGGAGGAAGCAGGAAAGACCTCTCCTTTCCTGCTGGCCCCGCTGACTGCCCTGAAAGATAAATGGGTGGAGATGACTTGCTGCTTGGGACTACTGATGGCCTGGCTGACCACATCTACTTCCCATGTCTAAACAGCTCAGAACGTGTAAAGAACAGCAAGGCTCACACTGGTCACTGTGAGCTCCACAGATGACAGGGCAGACGGTGCCTTCATACACCAACCTCTGGTCACATTTCCAGCCCTGCTCATAGCATGTCATTTCTGACTCACTATTCCAATTTTATGTGCTCATCACAGGCCGCTTCTCAAGAGGTACAATATTGCCAAGACTGAATTCAATTAAGAGCACTTTCAAAGCCAAAACAATACAAAAAGCAGTGAAAATTCTTTCCTGCCATTGGCTGTGGTGAAAACGCAAGTGCAGGTTGGGATTGAGCCAGGATCTGGCTCCGGCAGGTCTGTGCAGTGCTGGAGGCTTTGACAATCACTACTTCCAGACCTAGGAGTGCTGGGGATAGCAGAACCCCCACTACGCGGCCCCCTTTTATTTCAGGGCCCAGACTGTCCAAAGGAGGTAAATTAAGACATAGGAATCATCAAGTAAGACAGAGACCACTGAGAAGCCTAAAATCACCAGAGTCTGAAACAAAATTTAATAATTACTCTTTATTTAAAATAAATAAGCCCTCTTACTTACAGGGAAAATATGAAAGCAAACTCTGTCCTCCTGGTCTAAGACAGAAACCACATTCAGAATATGTTCATTGAAAAAGGAAAGATTTGTTGATTATCAAACAAATCTAGGTACTTCAATACACATTGTTTCTTTGAAAAATAAAGACTGAAAGGAATAATTCATTTCAAAAAGTCACAGGTTAGAAAACCAATTTTCCTTCTGAGGCTCATTTTAGCAAATCCTCCAAGTGTTCCCAAATCTTTTAAAAAAGCTACATCCCCTGAGAAAGGGCCCTTTCCCTGTAGCCCTCTTGCTCTGACACCAGCAGCCCTGCACCCTTCTGCCAAGTGGCTCCCTGCAGGACGGTGCTGTTGCCGGGCAGGAATGGCCCTCCATGGCAACCTCCAGCAGGCAGGAGCTCACCACCTGCTTTCTGCAAACTCACTCACTTGGCTCAGCTATTCTGCAATGGAGAGGAAGTTTCCTTAGCAGCCAAAGTATTCTAAGTATCACATTTTCCAGTATTTTCCAGATCCGTAGTGTGCTCAGAAAGCCAGAGCTGTATCACCAGGCTTTTAGAGAAGATTAACACCTGCACATCTGAGTGACCTTTAACAGGCTCCGCAGCACTGAACGCCTGCAGACACTGCTTCATGTGCCCTTTAATGCTGATCAATTTCCAGATTCAACAGTTACACAAATTACATTGTCATGAAAAACAGAAGAAAAAGCCCCAAAGTCTTTTTCAGACCTCCCCTCCTTACCCAAAATACAGACACACAGGCAAGAACTCTCATAAATTCAAATTCATCATTTGAGAGGTTGAAGCCTCCAAGGATTCTTCTAGCTCCAGGGTACATCCACTGTATGCTTCCAGATGTTTTTTCCAGATTTCAACTAAAATGAGAAAACAGCACGAGTGAGGAATAGGCATCAACAAGTAGGAAAACTCCTGTAAGAAAACCAGCAGCATGAGAGAGGGAGCCTGTGGCCACTGCCCAGCAGCTCACGGTGCTCAGAGGTGCCCTGGCAGACATTCACTCACTGTTCTCAGCCTGCTGGGCCGGGCTGCCCCTTATTGAGGAGAAGCTGGGGGGCCATCTTCTATAGGGCAGCTGGGGCCTTGTGTAGGTAGGCTAGGAGAGGACTGAACCTTTACTTGGCCTTCCAAGCCTGTCTTGGGTACAGCTATCCTTAAGGCCACCCATTGTCAAAAGACATCTGACTTGAAGTCTGAGACAGTCACTGACAAGCCCTTCCCACTTCAAAAGTCTGATAATACCTCTTAGGCAATGGGCTGGACTTACCAGGCCCTGCTACTCAGCTGGTCTTGCAGCATTGTCAAGCTGCTCACCTAGGGACTCCTAATTAAAGTCAGTAAATAAGAGGACACTCGACCTGACACAACTCTCCCTTAAGCACTCACTGTAGTGTGGCTCTTCTTTTTCTTTCAGGGCTGGGGGGCCATCTTCTGCAGGGCAGCTGGGGCCCTGTGTGGGTAGGCTGGGAGGTGCCTGAGGCCTGGGCTCTCCCACCAGCTCCTGCTGCACATTCTCCAGCATGGTCTTGTACGCCTGTCGGGCCGCCACTGTCAGCTCAACCATCTTGTGGAACTGATCCTTGGGCACAAGTGAGAGCACACAGGTAACATCCCAGCTACAGAGGACACGGGTCCCTCAAACTCAGCAATGGCCACCTCCACAGAGAAGCAGGGGTGACATGGGGTAATGTGGACCTCATGCTTATGGGTGGGTACCAGGGATGCTGCCCCAGAGGAAAGAGTGGGCTAGGCCGACTTCTTGGGCCTGCCTGAGGTGCCACTATGTCAGCAGCAAGCCCAGAACAGAGCTCAGTTCAGAACCAGACAACCCATGATGTCAAGGAGACAAAGGCTACTTTTTTATAAGAAGGTTCTGCCTAAGTGGTGGCTCCTCCTCAATGACAGCCTACTGGAGGTTCTGGGGCTGCTCTGTGGGTGAGCCCACACTGACCACCTGCCCCCACTTCCTCCCACGGGCAGTGACTGAAGAGGCCTGTGCCCTGTGCACTCACCTGGGCCCCATCATAGCTGAAGATCCCCACCACACTGACAGGAACTGCCTTATTCAAACTGCGCCCCAGAGCTTTGCGGTTGAGAGCAAACACAAAGGGAATGTTCTGCTCACAGGCATAATCAATAATTGTGTGCAAAGTGTCATCCAGCCCACCTGGTCAAAGGACAATGAAAAATGACAGGAAGACATGTCACATGGAGTGTGGTGTTAATACTGGTTGCAAAGAGCTTTTTCTTAGCAACACACCCATCTATGATTTTATATCCAAGGCAGACGCCCCTGAAAATACAAGGAGAAAGCAAGTTGCAGAATCAACTCTCCAAAAATATGGGGAAAAATGGAAAGAAAACACACAGCTGGTATTGTCTTAACAGGAAAAGTTAACTATTAGTATTACTGAAACTTACCACCTATTAGCTCCTGTGTCCTCCCCCAAATCCCAAAAGGCAGACAGATGCTGTGTCCTCACTGACAGATGCACAACCAGAGGCACAGAAAGGTTAAGTTTCTTATCCCACATTGTACCCCTGGTCGAGGCACAGGTCTGGCTCCCGAGGGCTCACCACCCTCTACTCCCTGACCCTGCTTCTGGGCCAGGGACCAGCCAAGGCTGGTGCACCAGAGAGAGGATGGAGGTGAAATGAGTACCATGTGCAGGTGATGCACCTGGAAAACCCAACAGCACCTGAGAAGTACTCCTAACAGCATGAGAAATACATGAGGGGGTGTGGCACAAGCACACAGCAGCCAGTTGGCATATATCAAAGAGATGACTCCATTTACAACAGCAGCACAAGACTATAGTTGGTAGGAATGAATTTTTCAAGAAACATGAAAAGATTTACAGGCAACTTCAGCATGCTGTTAAAGAACGCAATACCAGCCTACGCAACATAGTAAGATCCCGTCTCTACAAAAAAAAAAAAGAAGAAAAAAAATTTGCCCAGTGTGGTGGTATGTGCCTGTAGTCAATCTACTCAGGAAGCGGAGGCAAGCTCAGTAACTTGAGCCCAGGAGTTCAAGGCTGCAATGAGCCATGATCATGCCACTGCACTCCAGCCTGGGCAACAGAGTGAGACCCTGTCTTTTAAACCATCCCCGCAACAGAAAATCTGAACAAATGAAAAGGCACCTATGCTCCTGCATAGAATGATCCAAAATGATGAAATGTCAACTCCACATTAATCTAACACTTTAAAACAGCGGTCCCCAATCTTTTTGGCACCAGGGACTGGTTTCGTGGAAGACAATTTTTCCACGGACAGGGGAAGATGGTTTTGGGATGAAACTGTTCCACCTCAGATCATCAGGCATTAGTTAGATTCTCATAAGGAGCAGGCAACCTAGATCCCTCACAAGCGCAGTTTACAACAGAGTTTGTGCTCCTATGCGAATCCAACGCTGCTGCTGTTCTGACAGAAGGCAGAGCTCAGGCAGTAATGCTCACCTCCTGCTGTGCCACCCAGTTCCTAACAGGCCCCAGATAATACTGGTCTGCAGCCCAGGGGTTGGGGACGCCTGCTTTAAAATACTGTAAGTTACTACAGACGGGATTTCACTAAGAAATAAAAAATATGGAAAAAATATAAAAAGATGTCAGGCTAACATGGTCAGGTATTAAAGTTTACTATAAAGATACCATAGTGTAAACAAGGTGATGCAGATTAACAGGATGGACGCCAGAAAAAACCGGAGTTTGATGGAAACAGCATGTGAGGAACAGCATTTTGGTTTAGTTAGGGAGAAGATCCTAGAGGACTGGGTGGGCCCATCCTGTCCATCTTAGACCACAATAAATCCTACCTAAACATATACAAATGAAGGAACCAGGAGATATACAGAATTTTAAAAGCAAACCTTTTAAACGCTGGAGTGGGAAGGCTGAGAAATAACACAATACCTAGATGCAACTAAAAAATGAAATACCAATATATAAAACACCTAAAGTCTCTGCATGGCCAATTTTTTTTTTTGGTGGAGAAACTGACAAACCAGAAGAAATACTTGGAACTCTTACCCAAAGGGCTAACTTATAAAAAAGGTACAAATCAATCTAAAAGAGGTCAACATCCCAAAAGCAAATGGGCAACAAATATGAACAATTCACAGAAAATGCCAAGCTCCTGATGCTGACCCTCCCTCATAAGAAAACTGCTAATAAAAACTCCTGGAGAGGATGCTCACACCACCCTGGGAGGGAACACAGTGGTCTCTGGAGGAAGGCACAGCATATGCTTTCGAGTTACCAAGGCACACAGCATTGTAGGCCAGGCATCTGGCCTACAGGATACTCACCCAGTCTTTACGGAGCAACTGTAAAAAACAACAACTGTTTACAATTAGCATAGTATCACCTGGAATCTACTTACATATCGATCCTCTCATTTCAAGAGAAGAACTTCTCCAATGCACGTCCTACCATACTGTGGAAACTGGGAACTCATTCTGCATCTAGTTGGATAGGAGATTAATTTCTAAACCCACAGCCCTTATTCTGCCCACACCCTGCCCCTGATCTACCCAAAGCATTTGCAAAGTGATGAGGAGGCAGCCTCCTGGGATAGAAACTTTGAAGAAAAAGACCAGTTCCAGATGGGCTGGGAAAAGGGGAGATAGGGCAGAGGTGGGGTGGAGTGTTCCGTATTCCTGAGGTATACTTACAGTGAAATCTATATTCAGTTTGTCAGGGGAGACATATGAAGTCCCCCGTAACATCAGATGCATCTCTCTCACTGGAGGGTCTCTGCCTGGTGTCCACCCCAGCTCCCGGGAGTGAATCTGAAATGTTATTTGAGCACTGTGCAGAAACAACCTAACAGAGCAGGCTTGGCTGCTGTCCTCTCGAGGCTGCCTGTCAGGTTGGCCCTTGGTTGGGGTCTGTGAACTTGGATTTTGGGAGGGTTCCCACCACCTTAACTGGTAAGAGTAACTCACTGTGCCTCTATGGTGTGCAAACACTGTGGTTTCTGCTGAACACCTGCTTTCCTTCTGGAGTCTGGAACTTTGTGTGTGCTAGGCAGAGGATGCCTGCGTGACCGGCCCCCAACAGAACCCTAGGCGCTGAGTCTCTAATGAGCACCCCTGGTAGACAACACTTCCCACGGGCTCTTAACTTGTCTCTGGGATATTAAGAGTCTCCTATGTGATGTCACTAAAAGTGACTTTTGGAAGCTGGAGCCTGGTTTCCCCCACATTTAACCCCATGTGCCTCTTCGCTTTGCTAATTTTGCTTTGTGCCTTTTCACTGTAGTAAGTCACAGCTGAAAGTACCACTCTAAGCTGAGTCATGTGAGTCCTCCTGGCACATCACTGAGCCTGGTGGTGGCCTTGGGAACACCCAATACAAGCAGCAAAATCCAGACTGTTTTGCTCAAACAACCTCCAACCCGTTATTAGTGAGATGAAAGCACGTGTGGCAAGGGCCAACTACTGAAGTTCCACAAGAAAGCTTATGTCAAACAAGCAAGATGCTAGGCTCAGATTATTTCCATTTCAAAGTTTAAGTTCAGAATTATTAGGTTAAATGCCACTCAGAGCAAATACAGTACTTCAACTTAATTCAAGGCTATAACATCAATTTTTATCTTTAAGATGACTGCAAGCCATTGGCTATCTTATCTGGCAAATATTTATAAAATATACAATCAAGTCCCTTATGCCTCAAAGCAAAAACGTGTCGGAACCAATGATTACACAAATGCATTTTAAGTATACAACAAATCCTTATGATGCTGATCAAGTAAAAACCTAGCCCCATGCTCTGGCAGAGGCAGAGAAGGAGAATGATGTCTTCCAAGAAAGTGGGGTGACTGCAGGCTAAGGGCATACATTTCCACCTTTTTGTTTTTTAAAGACACAAATCCACGGAAGAATGTGAGAGACAACAGCAAAAAGTTTCAGAAGCTGACATGCAAATGGACAACTGAGCTAGCCAACCTAAGCCAACAGTGAGAAAAGCCTAGAACAGCCAGCCCTGGACCCCAGAATCCCCCAAAGGTCGGGAATAGGCAGCACAGGGTGAGGCACAGGTGAAGAGGGCTGGTTGAACACTGGGCAAAGAGGCAACTCGGTGTCCAGCCCCTCAGCTGCAGCCCTCTGGTGAGGCACAGCACAGGTTTGCAGGACATGACGCACCACACATCTAATGGTGGTGAGAGGATGAGCTCACAGGGTGAAGTTCGCCTGTCCCTCCAGGCAGGCAGTGAGAAGTCTTCCTTGGGGATGTGACCAGCCCTAGGGGAGACAGAGACACCCAGGGGCACTTCCAACATGGAAGCAGCCCAACCACATCATCCTACAGCAGAAGTTCTCAGTGCACTCCTTGGAGAAGCAGCAACAGCACCTGGGAACTTGCTGGAAGTACAAATTCTTGGGCCCACTGGACCTACTTGAAGCAGAAACTCTGGAATCTGTGTTTTCCCCAGCCCTCTGGGTGATTCTGATGCTGGCTACAGTTTTGAGAATCACCACCCTCAACGCTGCTCACAGCCTTGAACAGCAGCCACACACCCGGATTTCCAGTCGGCTACTTAGTGGCTCTTAAGTAGGCGCAGACAACTAGGACACAGAGGACATCTGTGGAAAACCTCCACCATGAGAGGCCAAAACAAACAGAGCAAACTACCTGGAGGAAACAGAGGCACTGCAGGGAGAGGAACTAGGCATCATTAAAATTCTCCAAGAGGCAACCATGAGGCAGCAGCAACGTGATTAAAAAAAAAAAAGGAATCTTCAGAGGACAAAAACAGCTCCCAAAAAATAAAAATAATATCAGAAGTAAAAAATTATACAGAAATTTTACAAGATATGGTTGAGAAATTCTAACAGAAAATGAAACCAAAAGAAAGAGATAAAAAGAAGCAGGAAACAAATAATGTGAGGACACCAGTCCAGGAGGCCCGACCCTGACATACTTCCAAGAGCTGGCAGGGACTGGAGAAGAGGATTCAAAGCAAAAATTCATCGTGTCCCAGAGCCAAAGACACTGGATGCAAACTGTCCCACATCCTGTAACCCCAGGATCAAGGCACTTCCAGTGAACCCCCAGAGAGCACGAGGTGCAAAATGATCACAAAGGATCAAGAATCAGAGTCTCTGGATTTCAAGCAAGACCTTCAAAATATGCCTCCCATGAATCCTTTTCTCCTAAACCACTGGAGGATGCACTCCAACAAAACAAGAGTGCAGCCCAAGAAGAAGTCCATAAACAACACCTTATTGAGAGCAGGGTGGGAGCCAAGGGTATCCCTGGGTGGCAAATGCATGAGGTGCAGTGAGCTGGGAATGAAGGTTTCTTCAGCAGATGAAACTGCAGAATGCCTGGTGTAACCGTCTTAGAGGAGACTGAGGCAGCTGGCTGAGGGCATGAGGTTTCATTAATGCTAAGTATATAGACAATTAAGCAACCACCACAAAACAAGAACAATAACCCAAACTATACATTAGGGGAAGTAACAGCAAAGCCCTTTTGCTCTATTGGGAAGATGACAAATACTTAAAACTGAAAACATGTGAAGCAGTTGCTCACAAGCCTCTTACATGGAGATATGGAGGAAATATCCCACAGTGTGGCTAACAGCTGACAGGTGGAGTTGCTAGGAAAGGAAGGGAGCCCAAGCCTGCCCCTCCCTTAACAAACCCTATAGGACTACTTGACCCTTTAGCTGTGGACATGTACAACACTGACAAAAACAGCCAGGGAAGCATGTGGCCTGTCCTCTCCAATGACCTGGAAAGGCCTCTGGGCACACAATCAGATGAGTGGGTCACTGAGATCCCTTCTGTCATATTCTGGTCAGCGGTGATGCTGGACCCGTACCAAGTTAGGACAGGGACGAGCTGCTGGCTGGGGGCCTCGGACATGTCACAAAACTTCCAGGCTTTAGATATGAAATGGTAACTGGGAAACATCATCTTTGAGGGTTCAGCCCCAGGATGTGGATGCATTATCTCAAAGTGGGACTCCGTAAAGCTGAATTTGACACTGCAGGAGAAAGGAATGAGGCCAGGGAGGGGCTTGTGAGTGTTCCCTAGCCTAGATGGAGATGAAGGACAGGTGTCCATGAGCAATGCCACTCTGCTCTTATCAGTTCTCCTATTGCTCAATTCGAGGACACAACACAGGCAAGTCCTCCAGGAGCCAAGACAGCACAAGCACAGGGTAAACATGAGATGTCACAGGTGAGGGTTCACTGTTACCTGACCCAGCATATCACATCCAACAAAACAAAAACACACATTCCAGTTTAAGTAAAATGGCAAAGTATTTAGACAAAGCCACATCTGTAACAAGCAAACAGATGAGTCAACCACAGACTGAACAACAAAATGTCAAGTAGATGAAAGCCCTAGGTAGGTACTGCCTGGCTGCCAGGCACAGCATCTCTGTGGTGCAAGTGACCAGTGACAATCCCAGCCCCAGGGCAGTGGCCTGCACAACAGAGGCAGGTCTTTCCCTGATGCCAGAGGCCTGTGTGGGCTGGCTGGCCTCCCAGCGTGCAGGATCACAGGACCCACCTGCCCTACAGAGGGTAAGGCACTTGGTAATGGTCAATGCAGTTGGGAAACAGTTACTCAATAAAAACAAAAACCACAAAGAAAACGAGTTGTCAAGACCTGTGGCATGGGCCGCTGAGGTGTGTGGCAAACACGAGGGCACACTAGGCACTCATGCAGGGGCCCACATATCACAGGACCACACTGTGCCTTTACCTTTTGACTGTATCTTCTCACAGTTGGGAGAAATAATGACACATTTCAGTTTTTTGAGCTTCAGGTGTTTGAGAACCTCCCTCAACCCCAACACAAGTCGACGTTTAGTCTTGGCCTTGACTGGATCTTTCTGGTACATACGGTCTTGGAAACGGACCAGTTCTTTGAGTAGGTCGGTAACACAAGCATCCACTTCTTTACTAAGCATCTGGCTGCAGTAACTGAAAGAAACATCAGACATCAGGAATTGTGCCACTGGCTGTGACACTGCAGCACTGCTCCCATCCCACCCCAGGGAGAAGAGACGTAGACTGCATCAGACAAAAAGTCACGTTTCAACAAGTACTACTAACCAGAACTGTGGAATTCCTGATGATTTAATTTTATGAAAGGTAAATACTGGGGCATCTTCCCCCATTCCCAACTACAAGGGACAAATTTCTCTGGGCCCTGCCCAACCATAGTTTGCCACAGGTCCCCATCTCAGCCACTACCCCGTGCATCTCCCTGTCATAAAGACAAATACCGGGAGACTATCCTGGAAGAAAAGTGGGCAGGGGAGAAGGCAGAGTGAGCACACAAGGTTAAAGGAATCCTGCTGCCTAAGACATTACACAGAGATTAAACCATGAAAAGGGGCCCAAAGATGATGCACGGTCACTTCACTATCCACTCCCGACTGCAAACCTGGACTGAGGGCCCCTCTTCCATCATTAATACAAGAACCTCAGTAGAAGCAGAATCAGACACAACGATTAGGCTCTCCCTGAATGCGTGTAACCAGGTACCCAGCTTCTTTCAACCATGAGGTTTTTAAAGCACAGTGTGGCCCAGCAACAAGGATTTATGGGAGATATCAATGCCATACTGAACCGAAGCACTTCCATCTTCCCCTAGTCCCTGGCAGGCAGGGGCTCACTCACTCCCTGAATCTGCGGCTGTGGATCTTAGGGAAGGTGGTGTGATTGGGAGCAAGGTGGGAGGCCTCTGTGTCCCTCTGGAGCTCTGTGCCTGGTGGCTCTTCAGACTTGTCCTCAACCGAAGGAGTGGAGATCAGTTCGTCCATCCCCTCTGGCCCTTCATGGAGGAAAAAGGCATCATCAGATATCTGTGAGGCCCAGTGCACACACTGAGGGGCTGGCCCAATGCAGTCTCACCGATGCAACCAGACCCCTGCACACAACCACCACATTCACAGACAACATGCAGAGAGGTTTACAGAAGGCAGAAAAAACAGACGAGGATGCCTGGGGAAAACAGAAAAGCTGGTGGAGGCAGTCATGCCTGGAGGTGTGCCTCCCCTCAATTTACTTATACATTCATTTTTATTATGGTAAAATATACATCAATATTACCATTTTAACCACTTTTAAGTGTGCAGTTCAGTGGCCAAATTTATTTTTTGATTTTGAAGAATCTCTTATCAGGGAGCTTTAAAAAACAGGATTTTAGTTCTAAGTTTTTTCTCAAATGCTTGAGACCATTTCTTTTTGAAATAATCCTTTAGAAAGAGCTGAACTCCAACATCTAAACTATGAGAAACTCAAGAGGTGTGTTTAGTTTAAACACACCAGATCTGATGCAGTGATAGCTTACTGTCCCCAACTAGTTACTTCTACCGACTATCAAAATGCAATTGCAGTAACAGATCACCAAATGAAGGAATGAAAAAACATATACCACACCCACAAGAATGGCAAGGTTGAAAAACATAGTGCCCCGTGGGCTGGTAGAGATGGGGAGCACCTGCAACTCTCAGCCTCCCTGGGGCTGTAACTGGTAGAACAGTCAGAAACCCATTGGGCAGGAGCTACTAAAGCAATTCTGCTCCCAGGTAATGCCCCACAGGAACGAGTGCTTGTGTCCTTTAAGACACATACAACACTGTCCGCAGCAACCCTGTTTCTAATTACCCAAACTGGAAAATGCCTGAATGCCCATCCGCAACCCTGTACATTCGTCCAACCGAATTTTACACAGTAATGAAAATAAACGGCATCTCCATGTTGCCAGCAAGGCTGAAGGAAAGGGGACAAAGAGAGCAGCACGTAACACACAGTTGCACTAGAGCCACAGCCACAGCCCCTGGTGGGGTTGCCATGGGGCAGGGTCTCCTGGGGGAGGCCTCTGACAAGAGGGCACAAGCAATTGCTGGGCTGTGTTTTGCTTCTTGATCTGAATGCGGCGGTCACTGTGAAAAGTCTTCAAGCTGTACACTGATATTTGTGCACTTTTCTGAATGTATAACTGAATATGAAGTTTCCTTAAAAACACACAATTGTGTTCACGCCCCCACGTCTCCAATACTTGCTGGTAAGCAGCTGTGCAGCTAGCGGTGTTAATTCTCATGACCACTTCAAGTTAGAGGACCATCCAGCATCACACAGATCAAACCTGGTGGGAAGGGAGGATCCTCACCTCTGTCCCTCACAGACCCCAGAACCAGAGGGACTAGAAACACTCCCCCCATCTGTGGGGACCTCCCTTCCCTGTAAAGCTGGGAGCTCAATGCTGACCCACTTTCACCACAAAAGGAAGAGGAGTCAGCCAAGTCCTGGAGAGTTTGCTCAGCATAGCTCATCCTTTTCATAGTTGCTCTCGTTTAAATTATTCTTAAGGCACAAAGAGAAGTTGGTACCTGACAGCTCTGCCTGCTCGGGAAACTGGTCATCACCACCACTCTCTCCATCTTGTGTGTCATCACTGGTAAAAGCTGGACTCACAGCATTTTCTTGGAGACGCTGCTTTCTCTCTTGCCGTTCTTTCAAAATAATCTTAAAAATTAAATAAACAATTAAAATGCCTAAATACTTGTACTTAAAAGATAAGCTCTTCTGCAAATTAAACTGCCCAAGTTCAACTTTTTGGCAATGTGCCTCTTAGTGCCCTGAGAGCAGCCAAGTGCTCCCCAGACTCCAGGGAGCTCACCCAACCCTCCCCGCTGGTTTTGGAGGGGCACGTTCCTCCCAAGGTATGCAGAGCAGCCACAGGGGAGAGCCCTGAGCTCTAAAGACAATTCTGCAGCTCAGCACTTGCCTGAGCACCTACACCACAGGCTGCTGTAAGAATTCACCGGAGGGAGGCTGGGCGTGATGGCTCATGCCTGCAATCCCAGCACTTTGGGAGGTGCATCACCTGAGGTCAGGAGTTTGAGACTAGCCTGGCCAACATGGTGATGAGACCTCGTCTCTACTAAAAATACAAAAATTAGCTGGGCATGATGGCACACGCCTGTAATCCCAGCTACTCGGGAGGCTGAGGCAGGAGAATTGCTTGAACCCGGGAGGTGGAGGTTGAGGTTGCAGTGAGCCGAGATCGCTCTATTGCACTCCAGCCTGGGCGACAAGAGCAAAACTCCGTCTCAAAAAAAAAAAAAAAAAAAAAAAAGAATTCACCGGAGGAGCCTGTGACTGTCCTTCTGGAAGGTGTGCAAGAAGTGTGCATTATTCACTGACTCTCAACATCAGAAATATCAGCTAGGGTAGGATGAAGGGGGATCATAAGAAGAAGAAAAATGCAACTCCTCCCATTTCTGGTTTTCTGTCCATCCATTGCAAAGTTGAAAAAATAAAACATGTTCCTTTCCTCTCAGGTAGCTAAAGCATTCCCCACATCACATGTCCCTGACGTGTCACACTGGGAGGGTGAGGGATCATTTGTTGGAGTATCATTAACACGTTTTACTACAACATATTCAAGTAATACAAGTCGTAAAATCTAAAAATCTAAGAGCTGGGAGAATAACTATGGAAATGTGAGACTAAGTTTTCTAGTGCCTCACTTCGGCTGAAACACCCCACATACCTTCTTCAGTGAGGTTGGCTTCTTGGCCTTGGGGATCTCCCTCTGCTTCCCTTTCTTCATCAGTGGGGCGCTGGAGTCCAAGGGATTGTGCGGGGTCTTCATTTGACTCATGCGGCGGCCTCTCTCCCCTGATGCACATTCTTTGGAAAGGACTGGCACTGCTCCAACTGAAACGCAGTGGGACAAAGCCCTCACGGTCACCTCCCAGATGCCCCACCCAGCTCTTGGATCGCAGCTCGCCCAGGGGCTGCCTCAGGGTATCTGAAGGAGTTTGCCAAGTCACCCCCAGCTTGTCCCCACAACCCTTCTCATCTTTGAGAACAATCTCTTACACATTCTTTTCATTGGCAGTAATTCCAAATGAAACTTAGTATCTTTTGGATGAGATTCCCAAAAAGTATCAAGTAATTTAGGAACACCTACCTTCCTATCCATGTAATCAGATCTCCCATGTTTCTCAGTACAGTCTAATACAGCATGGATCTCATTTTCTGACTCAGGACAGTTCTAGGTGGTCTGCACTCACTGCTGCTACTGTGAACACGTCCCTCTCCACCACCGTTTCCAGTTGACACTGCCTTTGTGGAAGCTGGCCCTATTGGTTTCCGCATGTGTATCTTGTATCTAGCTACCTTATAAGGCCACTATAAGATTCTAGTAATATTTCTAGTTAATTCTCTTGAGTTTTCCAGACGTGTTTTCCAAAATCCCATCATGGGCAGTTGGTAATTCCTCTACATAGTCAGTAAATTATTGTGATTACTACTGAACATTTCAATTTTATTCTCCTTTTCTGTTCTATTTCCCATCTCAATAGTTATTTCAAGTAATCAGTTAATTCTCATATAGTTTTATCCTCACTTTTTGATCTGGAAAATTTCCAAACATACGCCAAAGAAAAAAGAATGGTAAACAAACCCCCTGTGTCCATCGTCCAGCTTCAACAATCATCAATATTTCTCCAAATGTATTTTACCTGCCCTCCTTTAATTTTGGAACATGTTTTTAAAATAATTGGTGCTTTGTCAATCAGGCAGTCCCACTAAATCTCGCCTGTCTGACTGTCTGATTCACTGCTTCAACGCAGAACGTAACCTGCACAGGTCAACCAAGACAACTGTACCTGCCTCCCAGGCTGCTCTGGCCTTAGTGAGCACAGCTGCTTCCATCTTTGGAGCCTTGTTTCCACATGGGGTTTGAAACATACATGTGACTATGTGACTGGCTCAATTGTTTTTCTCAGCTCTTCGTGGAAAACCCTGTATGGCTCATAGGTGCTCACTCACCCGGTCCCCAATGACACCACCAAGTTCAGCATCTCACCTGGGCTCCTGCAAAACCTGCCACAAGCCCTCTAGCTCTACACCTCCTGCACCCCACTGCCAGGCAACTCTTCACAAAGCACTGACACCGGGCCTGAGGAGGGTCCTTCCTACAACAGAGGAAGATCAACCATTCCCTCCCACAAAAACAACCACGAAGTTCAACAGAACTGCCAAACACAGTCATATCAGCCCTCTGGAAAGTGACCAAAGGGTTCCAACAAACCGAAGAGTGCTTACTCCTTAAGATGAGTAGCCTTCAGGTGGGAACAGTATAGGTGTGGACACTCCTGTCTGAGGCTTTTCCCAGAGTCTCTCCCCGCTCTGCTTTGGCTCATTCAACAGGTGCCAAGGCTATGAAAACCAGCAGCTTCCCTGTCACTGCCATAAGGGGCTTGCTGAATTCAAAGCGTGGTCATTCAAAGCGTGGTCATTTAAAGTAGTGATTTCAGCAAATGGGGAAGGCATGGCAGCATGGCCAGTCTGAGGCTGCCGTTTTGAACAGTCAAGCAACAGACAGGGCCAGGCCAGTGGGGACTTACACAGAGTCCAGGGGAAGACTCGCTATAGGGATGAGCTATGGGGCGGTCAACAAGAATTTTACATTCAGCAAAACTAACCTCCAAAAAGTGAATGCAAAATAAAGACATTCCAGACAAAGACCATGAGAATTTGTTGCTAGTATTGCTTGTGTCACTAATACCAAAGGAAGTCCTCCAGAAGAAATACTACCAGAAGTGATACAAGATGGCAACTGAATCCAGAGGAATAAAGAACACCTAAAATCATAAATATGAAACTGGTAAATACATATTTTTTCCTTGTTCCTTCTCTTCTTTAAAAGATATGGCTGTATAAAGTAGCAGTTCCAACACTGCAGTGTTTGGTTTATAATCTATTTAGATGTACCATATGACAATAGCATAAAGGGGGAGGAAGAAAATGGAGACCTACTGGAGTAAAGTTTCTTCAATATATAAACTAACATGTATATTGTAATCCCTACAGCAACTGCTAAGAAGGTAGTTTTTCAAACTAAAGTTAAAAAAAACAACAAAGAAATCAAAAGTGTACTCTAAAAACATTTAACACCAAAGGCAGTAAAGGAGGAAGCGAGGAACAAATGACGAAGTTGACAAACACAAGCAATGGGGAAAGGACTCCCTATTCAATAAATGGTGCTGGGATAACTGGCTAGCCATATGCAGAAAATTGAAACTGGACCCCTTCCTTACACCACATACAAAAATCAACTCAAGATGGATTAAAGACTTAAACGTAAAACCCAGAACTATAAAAACACTGAAAGACAACCCAGGCAATACCATTTTGGACACAGGAACTGACAAAGATTTCATGACAAAGACATCAAAAGCTGCAACAAAAGCAAAAATTGACAAATGGGATCTAATTAAACTAAAGAGCTTCTGCATTGCAAAACAAACCATCATCAGAGTGAACAGACAGCCTACAGAATGGGAGAAATTTCTGCAATCTATCCATCGGACAAAGGTCTAATAGCCAACATCTACAAGGATCTTAAACAAATTTGCAAGAAAAAAAACCCCATTAAAAAGTGGGCAAAGGACATGAACAGACACTTTTCAAGAGACATACACGTGGCCAACAAGCATACGAGAAAAACCTCAACATCACTTAATCATTAGAGAAATGCAAATCAAAACCACAATGAGATACCATCTCACATCAGTCAGAATGGCTACAACGAAGCTGGCGAGGTTGCGGAGAAAAAGAATCGCTTATACACTGTTGCTGGGAGTGTAAATTAGTTCAACCGCTGTGGAAAGCAGTGTGGTGATTCAGCAGACCTAAAAACAGAAATACCATTTGACCCAGCAATCCCATTACTGGGTATATACCCAAAGGAATATAAATCATTCTACTATAAAGACACATGCATGTGAATGTTCACCGCAGTACTATTCACAATAGCAGAGACATGAAATCAACCTAAATGCCCAGCAACAGTACACTGGATAAAGAAAATGTGGTACATATACACCATGGAATACTATGCAGTCATAAAAGAGAATGAGACCACGTCCTTTGTAGGAACGTGGATGGAGTTGGAGGCCATCCTTAGCAAACTAACGCAGGAACAGAAAACCAAATACCACATGTTCTCACTTATAATTGGGAGCTAAATGATGAGAACACATGGACACATGGAGGGAACAACAGACACTGGGGCCTACTTGAGGGTGGGAGGAAGGAGAATATCAGAAAAAATAACTATTGGTTACCAGGCTTAGTACCTGCGTGACAAAATAATCTGTACAACAAACCCCCATGACACAAGTTTACCTATATAACAAACCTGCATGTGTACCCCTGAATCTAAAATAAAAGTTTAAAAAAAAGAAGATCCACAGATTTAAAAAAAAAGTAGAGTTTTTTGAAATAATAAACTACTTCAAAAGGAAGAAACATATCTAAAAGCCTATGGTGGAAAATTTTCATGTTGCTTTTTATGACATATTGTGCGTTTTAACTGTCTTGGCTCTTAAGAGAAGATGTGTCAGAGGAAAGAGGCAGCCACATCAGCACTACTCAACACTGTTCCCAGTGGTGCCCCATGCACAGGCAGTAAACCATTTCCATGGAATGCAGCTTCCTCACCCAGACAGTAAAGATCTTCAGAAACTCAGGACACTTCTACAGATAAGGAGATTTTCAGCTACACAATGTCATCATATCAAGTGGAAAGCTCATCTTTTAATAAGATCAATTTTTAAAAATCATCCTATTTTAATAACTTAAAAATGTTTTAATTGTGGTAATATGACATAAAATGTACCATTTTAACTGTTTTTAAGTGCACAATTCAGCTGCATAAATTATATTCACAATGTTGTGTAACCATCACTACTATCCATTTTCAAGACTTTTTAATGCTCCAATGAATACTCTGTCCCCATTAATAATAACTCACTATTCCTTTTCCCCTCAGCCCCAGGTATCCTCTAATCTATGCTTTTATGAATTTGCCTATTCCAGATATTTCTTTTAGGTGGAATCACACAGTAGTTGTGTTTCTGTGTCTAGCTAATTTTATATGGTATAATGTTTTCAGGTTTCTTTCATGTTGTATCATGTATAAGAATTCATTCCTTTTTTAAGGTTGCATATTACATTGTGTAGGTATACCACATTTGTTTACACCATTATGTGGTAATGAACATTTGCGCTGTTTCTACCGTTTGGTTATTGTGAATAATGCCATAACAAACCCCAGTGTAAAAGTGTCTAAGTCTGTCTTCTTTTGGGTAAATGCTGAGGAGTGAAATCGCTGAGTCATGTAGTAACTGCATTGAGCATTGTTAAGTAGCCACCAGGTTGTCTTCCACAATGGCTGCACCATTTTACATTCCCACCGGCAGCGTACGGGGTTCCAATTTTTCCACATCTTCACTGACACCTGTTATTTTCTGTTTTTGGATTATAATCATCCCACTAGGTGGGAAATAGTATTTCACTGTACTTTTGATTAATATTTATTTCCCTGATGACTAATGATATTGAGTATCTTTTCACGCACTTATTGACCACTTGTGTACTTCTGGAGAAATGTCTTTTCCAGTCCTTTGCCCATTTTTAAATTGGATTGTTTGCTATTCAGCTGGAGTTCCTAAATATTTGAATATTAATCCCCTATCAGATACATGATTTGCAAATATTTTCTCCCATTCTGTAAGATGTCTTTCCGCTTTCTTGATAATGTCCTTCGGTATGCAAAAATTTTTAATTTTAATGAAGTCCAAAGTTTATTGTTCTTTTGTTGCCCATCTTTTTGGTGCCATATCTGAAAATCCAATGTCTAATAAAAGATCATGAAGATTTACCCGTTTTCTTTTAAGAGTTTTATAGTTTTAGCTCTTATATTTAGCTCATTGATTCATTTTGAGTTCATTTGGATCTATGGTGTGAGGTAGGAGGTATGACTATTCTTTAGCATGTGGAAATCTAGATGTTCTAATACCATTTTAAAGAGACTGTTCTTTGTTCTATTCATGGACTTTGCATACTTATGAAAAATCAATTGGTCACAGATCCATGAATTTATTTCTGGACTCTTAATTCTATTCCACAGGTCCTTATCTATGCTTATTCTAGCATCACACTGTTTTATCTATAAATAACTTTTGATAACAAGAGAAAATGGTAACATAATAATCTAGCTGAAAAAGACTTCCAATCACTTGCCTGAGATGGAAAGACTCTCTTACCTGAGACTACCACTGGTTTGGAGGACTGCTTTGCATGCTGAGAGTGCTGCTTCTTCTCCAGGGCTGTCAGCATGCCCCCCAAGTCCAACTGCACTGGAAGCTGGCTCTTCTTTACATTATTTTTAAAATTATCCTGAAAGTTCAAAATTCGTAAGTTTACTTATAAAACTATACAAACTGTGCTTTTCTTTTTACAAAAAACTGATGTAAAGATAAAATGAAAAAGATTGAGACTATAAAAAAGAATTTTTAAAAATTCAAGTAATGAAAGGAAAAAAAATCAATCCCACATTATCTGCCAGTATTACCATGGTTGTTTATGTCTTCCTTCTTTCAGAACATTGGGTTTATATTAAATCACCTACACTTTTGTCTATATCTCCATTGTGAGTAGTCAACAATACACATCTACAGGCAAGACACTAGCACTTGTATAAAGTCTTTGGCTACAAAGTCTGTGTGTGAGGCTACTTGGTTAGTACTATCGCCTCATTAGCCCATTCTCTCTCCAAATGCCTCCGTAAACCAACAAATGCCATGAAATTATAGTGATACAACCAAAAGTCTACATAAGCCCAAATCATACTCAGCAAATAATATTAAATGCAGGCTCAAAGTCTGATATGCTCAAAACAAGTGTTATTTTTGAAATTGTTGTGATTTGGGTTTTGAGACTATATAAAAAGTTGTACAAGGAAGCCCAGTGGTATGTCCTGAGGCATGGTGTCCCATTTGCTTTAGTGCCTCCGCTCCATTCTCCTGCCAAGTGTTCTCTTAGAGGACACCAAAAACCCTACTGGCTGAGGGCTCCCATCAGGGGAAAGTACCAAGTGCAACAAAGGACAGGCAAGGAGGCCTGCTACATGGAAGGAAGATGAGTAAATTATAACATTGAATTGAAAGTTAACTCACACAAAGGTTTAGAATTTTATTTTTCATGAATGCGAAAACAACAGCCCCCTTTAAAAGGCAAAACGACAATGAATATCCTAGCAAATAAATGTCTACAAGTACACAAGTTCCCCATCTAAATTATGACTCACAAGCTCCCTCCTGAATCTACGGGGTAGGTGGTGGAGTAGAGAAGGGGAATCACCTCCACTTTAGCTTCTATTTTGACTTCACAGAGTAAAACTGTGGTGCCTCTCTTATTTTTCTTCTGTCAGACATTACTGACTTGCAAAAAAATTCTTCCGTTTCCCAAATAAACTGAGTCAACTTTTTCCCCTTAAAGTTTCATAAGGCAGTATGATCCCCCTCCTTTCCAACTTAGCAACTGCAGTTACCAAATCTTATTATAAAATAATAATCTTATAAAATAAGTCTTATTATCAAATAATAAAATCTTATTATTTAAGAGCAATTCTGTTTCAACATGCTGGGTGCAGTTCTCTCATGAAGGAATGAATCAAAACAAAACCACCTGTCACCATACAGAAATGTCTGGAAAGCAGTTTTTCTCAAGCATTTAGTTGAGCCAGAAGAGTTAAGCCTAAAGCAATTTGTGGTTTCAATCTAAAAATTACCTGTGGCTGCTGCTTAGATTGAAATTTCGGTGTCTCTATTCTGTCTCTTCTTTCAGATGCAACTGCCAGGTTGGGAAATTCCTCGGCATCCTAAGTAAACCACACACCCCTTTAGCTCTTTTGTTAATGCAAACATGCCAAGTGCAACCTTTTCCTTGCTTATATTTTCATTCTTCAGTAAGGTCCCTTAAAAGTGATTTAAAAAAAAAAGCCGCGAAACTCTCACATAAGAGCTTCTGCTTTATTTAACTTAGAGCAAATTTAAAGGCCACAGTTCTAATACCCCTGTACCCAAAAAAAAGAGTGTCACCAACAATCTTGGTACACCGAGGGATCTAAAGAACTGACCTTGGACCACCTTGGCATGAGAGTATTCAAGTACCTGTTCTTCAAAGGATTATGTTTTTCATTAGAGAAACCATCCAGATTCAGTAGATTTACATGTTATCTCTGGTGAACCCAGGCTAATAAATGGAGCCAAAGGCAACAGGCCTGCTAAAAAACCATTTTTTAATCACTTAAAAATGCCTATGTCATTTTGTCAATATTTTAGGTTCCTTGGAAAAAGATGGGAAACATGGGGCAGAAATATAAATTATTCACTTGTCTAAACCATAATGCTCTGCCACGGTAGGTTTTCAAACATGTAACCCAGCTATTCTCAAATGATGTTCTAAGAGCCTTGGGAACCCCCACCCCAAGTCTGTGGGAATGCCTGGGCTTGACCCTAAGCTGGGCACCTGGGCAGCACCTCTGAGAGAGCCTTCGGCCTGCACAAGCAGCCAGGCCACTTGCTCTGGTACAGCAATGTAAAGAAAACAACCAGGCACACGAGAAATTAAGTTAGAACCCAGGCTGGCTCCTTAGAGTACATGACATACTTGGAGTATCATGGAACAATTAAAGCATGCTTTTGGAAATTCCTGAAATCTTCCTGACTTGGGCCCTCAATGGTTCTATACTATTCTACATTTCTCTCTATAATGAAGCACTTTATAATAAGACTTCTGGATAGAAAAGGAGGCCCTGCAAAAGCCAGCATCCTAAAGCAAGAAAAAAAAAAAAAACAGGTAAAGAAGATAACTGAGGGGAAATATTAGTAATATGGCACACAAACTATTCAACTCTGATACAAGTAGTTTTGTCTCCAGACCATTCATTCATTTGGATGTTCACTGAGTGGCTGCTCTGAGACAACTGGGAAGCCAAAATGAAGAGGTGAGAAGAGTGGCTACTGTTTTCTTTAGCACTACAAAAATGATCATTAAAAAGCCCTGGAGATTTTCACTTAGGAAACCAATATGAACCCAAGTTTCTTTTAAGAAAGACCCACTTATTATATCACACCATGTGAATAAAAAATATAAATGTACTTCAATCCTTGGAGGCTCTTGAACTGTCAGGACTTCATATTTTGATGTAGATTTTTCTTTCTTTTTCTTATTCTTTCTTGAGGCTTCATTTTGTTCAAGGTCACTACCTTGTGATGCTTTAGACTAGAACAGAAAATCAAAGCAAAAAATCCTGTTTTTAGGGCGGTCAATAGAATGTTTAATACTATGTATCAACAAAATTAAGATATCAAGTCCTATAATCACATGACAATTTTATTCAGAATTAGGTTCCTCATCCCCTGTTTTTTAAAAAGCCAGCATTCACTAGAATAGTTCTGAAGGAAAAAAAAGTTTGTTCAAATAGTTGTAATGCCCAATTCCTTTTGAAAACTGGTGGATTTGGACAGAACCTAGTTTTCAGCTTGAGGAGATCATGGTGTTCGTGACCTTCCTGATCCCAGCCTAACCTCTCCATATAATTCCAGGCAGGCCATTTCCATCAGCACGACCCAGTCGTTCCTCATCTGCACATCACACCTGTCTGCAGAGCAGAATCACCCCTGGAACCTTCAGACAAACACCTGGGACCATCCCAGGACTGCTAAATGTGACCTCATCATTCCTACAGGCCCCTAACCCCCTGGGCCTCTCCTCATCCAGGTCAGATGTGCTTTGGCCACAGGGCCTTTGCACTGAAGCCCCTTCACTAGAATTTGGCTAAGCTGGGGCTGCTCCTCATCTCCATCTACCCGTTGCTTTCTACCCTTGGACTGCCCATGGTTTTCTCTTCAGAGCACTGATCACTCTCTGACATGTCCTACATCTGTCTGCGTGTTGTCGGCCTCCCTCCATCAGAATGGGGAGGCTCTAAAAGGGCAGGGAACTTTTTGTTTTAGGCCCTGCTTTATACCCAGTGCGAATTTACACTTCAGAAGTAAAAGTCTCAGCAGCTATTAAAAAGAATATGCTTATCTACTGACCCACAGGAGCTGTCCATGATGTTTTTCTAAGTGAAAAAGACAGGTTGAAGGGTAATGTGTATAAAATGATCGCATTTTAAGAAAACAAAAAACAAAACAAAACAAAAAAACAGAGAAACCCCTCTCTCTTTGTTCATATTTTCATGAGTCTGAGGCAGGACATATGCCAGATTGCTAATGAAGGTTTCTCTGAAGGTAGGCATCAAAAGTATGGGAGAGATGACCTTTTCCATAAGTAGATCACTGAAGTGTTACACTTATCATTTCTGTAATAAAATTTCACAATACAGAAAGTTTCTAAAAAAACCATTCTGATCACTATCACTCCAGCTATGTAAAATGCAAAGCTATTTGGGTTAGAAGATAACAGGAGATGCTGATTTTCTTCTCATCTTTTAGAATTTTTCTAAAATAAGCTTTTCTTAGACCTATAATTAAGAAAATTTTTAAAAAAGATCTTGGGAAAATAAAACAAAATCTGTTAACTCTTAGAATGCTAACTGCATATTAGGAAAACCGGCTCTGAGAGTGACTTGGCAGCTGCAACAAAGAATTAGACAGTGGGGGGCCAGGTGCAGCGGCATAGGCCTGTAATCCCAGCATTTGGGGAGGCCGAGGCAGATGGATCACCTGAGGTCAGGAGTTCGAGACCACCCTGACCAACATGGTGAAACCCCGTCTCTACTAAAACAATACAAAAATTAGCCAGGCATGGTGGCGGGCACCTGTAATCCCAGCTACTTGGGAGACTAAGGCAGGAGAATTGCTTGAACCCAGGAGGCGGAGGTTGCAGTGAGCCGAGATCACGCCATTGCACTCCAACCTGGGCGACAGAGCAAGACTCCATCTCAAAAAAAAAAAAAAAAAAAAAAAGAATTAGACAGTGGGCTGTTGTCCAGCCTGCGCCTGGCCACCCAGAGGAGCCCCAGAGACAGGCAGGAGGCTTCACCGAGAGTCAAGTTCAGTGTGTGCACAAAAGGAAGGGTCTCTCCCTTACACATACTGCTCTCTCTCAAATACATGCACAGAGCAATGAGGAACAAGCACACGTCTACCTTCACAGTAATTGTCACCACTATAAATACATAGCTACCATTTATGTGGAATGGGCTAATTACATTTTTGGAAATCAAAAAGTATCCTCATACTCAAAAAGACAGGAAACCATTACGCTAAACAAGGCCACATTTCAAGCTAACATAATATATCCGTATACAATGAAAATCAACAACCATATTTAGACCAATAAAAAAAAAAGGCTCTTGAAGAAACAGTTCTAGGAATCAATAAAAATGTAACTTAAAAGTTGGGTGTGGTGGCTCACGCCTGTAATCTCAGCACTTTGGGAGGCTGAGGCAGGAGGACTGCTTGAGCCCAGGAGTTCAAGACCAGCCTGGGAAACACGGCAAAACCCTGTCTCTATAAAAAATACAAATACTAGTTGGATGTGGTGGTGCATGCCTGTAGTCCCAGTTGCTAGAAAGGCTGAGGTGGAAGGATTGCTTGAGCCAGGGAGATCAAAGCTGCAGTGAAAAAAAAAAAAAAAAAAAAAAAAAAAGCACTTAAAATTACTTAAGGGAAAAAAATCTATTCTGAATGCTATCTTATAACAAGTAAATAAATTCCATTAACCAAAAATTAGTGACACGTACCACATGATCACAAAATGTAGAATTCAATTATTTTGCTACTAGTACTCTTGTACTGGTAAAAGCCATTTAAATTCAACAAAGACTGGGGGAAAAACAAGCAGAAACTTTATACACCAGAGCATAAACTTATGCCAACGTTTCTTCTTTAAAGAATTCAAAATGGCTCACAGATATTTTAAGTCGATATGTCTAAAATGTACATTCTCACTCATAAAGGAAAGCTATCACTTGTATTTCATGACTCAAAACCTATTTTTTATTCAAAGTGTAAGTACAATAAACTCAGACTAGTGACTACAGTATAGAATGAAACCCAATTACAGTTAGGATTTGGAGGGATTAAAAAAAGACTATCCTGGCCAGGCACGGTGGCTCACGCCAGTAATCCCAGCACTTTGGGAGGCCGAGGTGGATGGGTCACCTGAGGTCAGGAGTGAGATTAGCCTAGCCAATATGGTGAAGCCCCATCTCTACTAAAAATACAAAAATTAGCCAGGCATGGTGGCAGGCACCTGTAATCCCAGCTATTCGGGAGGCAGAGGCAGGAGAATTGCTTGAGCCTGAGAGGCGGAGCTTGCAGTGAGCCAAGATCATGCCACTGCACTCCAGGCTGGGCAACAGTGAGACCCCATCTAAAAAACAAAGACTATTCAGTGGCACAGAAAATCAACGTAATCAAAACGTGATGCACATCTCTTTTTCCCTAATCTTTTTTTATGATAGTACCATATATATAACATAAAACATACCATCTTAACTTTTTTTTTTTTTTCAGACGACGTCTCACTGTGTTGCCCAGGCTGGAGTGCACTGGTGCGATCTTGGCTCACTACAAGCTCCGCCTCCCGGGTTCATGCCATTCTCCTGTCTCAGCCTCCCGAGTAGCTGGGACTACAGGCACCCGCCACCATGCCCAGGTAATTTGTTTGTATTTCTTAGTAGAGATGGGGTTTCACTGTGTTAGCCAGGATGGTCTCCATCTCCTGACCTCGTGATCTGCCCGCCTTGGCCTCCCAAAGTGCTGGGATTACAGGCGTAAGCCACCGCACCCGGCCCGTCTTAACTATTTTTAAATGAATATTTCAGTGGCATTAAGTACACTCACTGTTGTGCAACCATCATCACCATCCATCTTCAGAAACTCATTTCCCCTAGCAAAACTGAAACTCTCTACCCATTAATAAATAACTTCTCATTCCCCACTCTACTGAGCCCCTGGCAACCACCATCCTACTTTCTGTCTCTAGTGACACGTACCTTTTGGGTAGGATGAATAATGTGTTTTTCTTTGTTGTAGGAAGGATCCGAAGATAAAGCTTCAGAAGATGGTATACTAACATTTTTAGGATCTGCTGATGAAGCAATGGTCTTTAAGTTTATCATAGAAGTAACATTTTTAGGGGCTGCTGACAGTTCTGTAGATAATGTCTGTCGAACAACATAACCCATTGGTGTCCAAGATAACTCTGCTCAAAGATAACCAAAATTGTTGAACAATCTCAACAGTAAAATAGAAATTCCTTAGTTACTCAAACATGCATTACATGAGGTAACTGCTCAGAGCATCATTAAATGTAGGCTATCATTTAAAACATCCTCTTGGAAACTATAGTAGTCACTAAACTTGTTTTTCTTCTTGGGGCATGCATGCTGCATTTTTTTCCCTTTTAACTTGTAAGGTTAATTTTCCTGGAAACTGGTTTTTTAACCTGGGGGTTGGAGGTGGGTAGACAAACAGTAGTTTTAGTTAAAAAACAACAATCCACAATAAATGTCCACGTGGCAAGCACACAGAATTAACGAACTAAAGATCAAATTTTGGCCCTACTAACCTTGAAGTGTACCTTTAACATCAGAAGTCAAAGATCACTAGACTTCAGCTATCACAATAACTGGTAATTTATTTCTTTTAGAACAGAGGCATAAGTACAGCAACACTACTCCTTTAGGTGCCCATGAAACTCTATATACAGACAAAACAAAGACATCTATCAGGACACAGGCAGGTGAACACCTGTCAGCAGCCTGTGGCTACCCCCAAGGGTAAAACAGACTGTTCCCCTCACTAGAGAACTACACATCCTCAGAGCAGCCTGTGAAGTACAGACCATTACTCAACCACATACATATCGAACATGAGAACACAAAAGAAAACACCCTATGAATAAATTTGGAATCATTTTGTAAAAATGTCTCTGTTAGGACAAGCTACTGTAAAAATATCAAAGCAGGGTACATGGAACTCTCTCTGAAAATATTACTTCTTGGCCAGGACAGGACAGATGAGCAGTCCTTACAGTGTGGCAGGAGGCTCCCATGACCCTTGCAGGTGTCTATGGAGTTAAAACCGTTCTGGAGTACAAACACATCAGTTGCCTTCCCTACTCTCCCTCTCTCACGAGAACACCTGGGAGTCTTCCAAATGCTGTATGAGGCAGGACCGTGAGGCAGGTGAATGCCATGGCAGATCTACAGAGCCAGATGGCAGAGCTGCACAAGTGGAAAGCAAGGCTGCTCTCTGCACTACAGCTTTTTAATTTTGAAAAACGGTTTTCCTAAAAATATGCTATCTTAAAATGCAATACGCTTAATTTATTGTTATTTTTAAGCAAATTTGTTTGAACTTTGAATAGGGCAAATGTTGACAGGTATCACCCAAATAAACAAGAGCTCTTTGGGGTTCTCAATCTTTAAAGGTCTCAAAAACTTTTGAGAATAGGCAATACTAAAGGAAGTAGTTACTGCTGAGTTCATAAAATTTCTCACTGAATTGGATGTGTACTTCATTTAGAATTCTTGTCTCTTATTTTATACTCTTTGTGTGTGGATGTGGGATCTCATCTACTTAACTTTCTAAACTAACACTGATGTTAGGTTACCCACAATTCATTAGCTGTCTTAAGTCTTTACAACAAAAATCATTTCAACTGCACTGGAGTTAAAAATGAACTTAAAAAATCTATGACATTTTAAAAATTAACATTTTTGCAGCCACTTTTACCTCTTGTACATGAAGGAGAATTGGTAGCGGCATTAGCAGTTACAGATTCATTTGGGTTATTTTTCACCACTATTTCACCCTAAAAAGCAAACACATTAGATGTCATCAGAGAAATGCAAATTAAAACAAGGAGATAACACTACATATCAAAATCCAGAACACTTTGACAACAGAAATCCTTATCCATTGCTGGTAAGAATGAAAAACGTTACAGCCACTTTGGGAGATATTTAATAGTTTAGCAATTCCTTACAAAACTAACCATACTCTTACCATATGATTTAGCCACTGCACTCCTTGGTAATTATCCAAAGGAGGTGAAAACTTATGTCCACACAAAAACCTGCACATGGATGTTTATAGCAGCTTTACTCATAACTGCCACAACTTGGAAGCAGCCAAGATGTGGGCTACATACTATATGATTCCAACTATATGACATTCTAGAAAAGACAAAACTGTGGAGACAATAAAAAGATAGTAGTTAGCAGGGGCTGAGGGGAGGAAGGGATAAACAGGTGAAGCACAGAAGATTTTTAGGGCAGTGAAACCACTCTGTACCATACTACTATGGTAGACACACATCATTATGCATTTCCCCAAACTCTTAGAAGACACAACACCAACAGTGAACCCTAATGCAAACGATGCGCTTTGGGTGATGATGACATGTCAATGCAGGTCATCAATTGTAACAAATGCATTACTCTAGCACAAGATGTTGATAATGAAGGAGGCTGTGTGTGTGTGTGTGTGTGCAGGCAAGGGGCATATGGGAAATCTGTACTTTCCTCTCAACTTTGCTGTGAACCTAAAACTGCTCTCGAACATAAAATCTATTTTTTTAAAAAAGCCTAAGCAGTTACTTTCCATTTCAAAGTAATCATTTAATTTTAAAATATAGCTTCCCTTGCCATTCTTAAAATCTGCAAAATATATGCTAATTAAAATTTCCAAATATATAAGTACATAAAGTGAAAAGTTAAATTACTTCCTTCAACCAAATCTCACTCCCTAGAGGAAAACACCACCCACATCTATAGCTTCATTAGTATCCTTCTACTTCTTTGCCTATGATATAAACATTTGTGTATCATATTTTTATACGGATTCCCATAATGGAATCACACCACACATAGTATTGTGGCAACTTTTAAAAAAACTTTAACATACTACTGACAAGCTTTACAAGTTGGCACAGATGCACCACACAATTCTTAAAGCTGCAATGATCCCATGTAAATGCAAAAGCCATCATTCACTAGGCACACACCAAAGTTCAACAGTCCATCAAAATGTCTACAAAGACAACAAATGTAAGCCTGCAATGTATGCCCTGTGTTATGAAGACAGAAGGCTGTCTCACATATTAAACATAAGACATATAATGACGCTATGTGTATGGGGGGGTCGAGTATATTAAAAGGCTCCTCCAAGTGACTAACACCAGAGGTAAAAGTAAATTAAAAGATTCAAAGTTGAATCCATTAAGTAGATAATGGATTTAAAATAATTTTTAAAATTCATATGCTTCACAAATTTATCCATTTGTCAATTCATAACATGAGTCCAGGAATAAAAAATAATATTAAAACACAGCCTGTTCTTTTAGTAAACATAACTTTTATGCTCACCAAGGCCAATAAAAAATTAGAAATAGCTTACCTGTTCAAGAATGGTTAAATAAATTATACCTATCAGTATGAGAGATCCAATGCAAGTTGCTTTCAAAAAATACTTAATGACATGGAAAAAATACGAACAAAGTTTTAAACAATTCAAACGTAAGACTGTACGTATTTATAATCTCAAGGTGAAGGAAATTCCCACAATAGACTATTTTTAAAAGATTATGTGTTAAGCATGCTTTTCTTTTGGTTGTACAATTTCAGACAAATATATATATTTTTTGTCATTTTCAGACATTACTAATATCATCAGGAAAAAGTTTCTTTTAGAAGGAAAATAACTTTTTAAAAAGCCCACACATAATTCAAGAGTGTATGTGACTCTCTTAATAGAGCAATCAGTATGTATATCTTCTATCTTACTTCATATGTTCAAACACATTAACAGTCACATGTAACAAGTGACCTTGATATAAAGCCCCAGTCACACTCCTGCTCACTCCACGAGCTGACCCTGAGGCTTACACAGCATCCTGGACTACTTCTGCAGGGCACTCATGAGAGCGGTACGTGATGAAGACCGGCAGCGCCGTGGCTATTCAGCCACCGCACAAACCCAGCCTGGAGCCCCTGGAGCAGGCCAGATGGAACTATGATTTTTAGATAGCCATCAGTTGGCCTGACTTCTCCCAGCTCTTTGACAGGAAAGCACCATGCTACAACAGTGTGAGGGTACAACTGTATGAGGGTCCTGCATGCAAACTGCTACACAATGGCCTATCTTCTGCACATTACCAGCAACTGTCACTGAGCCTTCAGGCCTTAGTGTCCAGGCACCTAACAGAAGTCCAAGGGCAGGAAACAAATCCTTTCTAAATTCAAGAGGTAAAGCGAATGGGTGAGGCCTGTTTTCTTTATCTTTCTTCTTTCTACTTGCCTTCGTACTGGCATGTACTCCACTGCTCCTTCAGCGGAAATTCATCAGAAGCCATTTTAGGAACTACTAACCAGACACTATTTCTTCCTGGAAGTCTCAAATCAATCCATTTGAGAGAAATGCCTCAACTTGGTGGACTAAAACTCTGAGATCAAATGTTGAACAAAGTGAATTAACCTGCTGTAATAAGTTTTCCTGAATTTGCTGCATCATTAACAAGACAAAGATGTAATAAAAGCCTGGAAAATTCAAAAGTTACACTATGCAGTTTTAAATATTACTACAGTTAAGTCCTCAGTACCATGGACAGGTTCTTGGAAACTGTGACTTTAAACAAAACAACATAAAACAAAACCAATTCCTTTTTTCATCAACATCATAATGAAATGATGGTGAAGAAAATGTTACTGGAGGACCTACTATACAGCCTTTCATTTAAAGTTGCAGTTTCCAAGAACCTATTGACAACATTATGTGAGGACTTAATGTATTTCAATTTTTATAAAAGTCTTTTTTTTCTATATTGGAAAAAGTGCTATCAGCATGTTAGAAGTAGCGTGTTGAAAATGGGCTGTCAAAGCGGCTTGACTCTGTTACAACCTTTTCCTTCTGAGGCACCACAATACCTTTCAGCTACCATATAAAAAGGAGTATACTAGATTGGGCACGGTGGCTCAAGCCTGTAATCCCAGCACTTTGGGAGGCCAAGGCAGGTGGATCACCTGAAGTCAGGAGTTGGAGACCAGCCAGACCAATATGGTGAAACCCCATCTCTACTAAAAATACAAAAAAATTAGCCAGATATGGTGGCATGTACCTGTAGTCCCAGCTACTCCGGAGGCTGAGGCAGGAGAACTGCTTGAACCCGGAAGGCGGGGATTGTAGTGAGCCAAGAAGCCAAGATCGTGCCACTGCACTTCAGCCTGGGCAACACAGTGAGACTCCCTCCCCACAAAAAAAAAGGTATACTAGGTGATTCTTTTAAAACAATAGCTACAGCCGGGCACAGTGGCGTGGGTGGCTCACGCCTGTAATCCTAGCACTTTGGGAGGCCCAGGCAGGCGGATTGCCTTAGCTCAGGAATTCAAGACCAGCCTGGGCAACATGGTGAAATCCCGTCTCTACTAAAATACAAAAAAAAAATTAGCCAGCGTGGCAGTGTGCGCCCGTAGTCCCAGCTACTCGAGAGGCTGAGGCAGGAGAATTGCTTGAACCCGGGAGGCGGAGGTTGCAGTGAGCTGAGATCGTGCCACTGCACTGCAGCCTGGTGACAGAGCGAGACTCCGTTTCAAAAACAAAACAAAACAAAACAAAACGCACAAATAAAACAATAGCTGCACTAGATGTTACAGCCTCATTATAAACTGTTCAAACAAAGAAGGTCATATAAGTGCACAATGAAAGGCTTCCCCCAATACATCCTCCCCAGCTCCATGGACATCAAAGCCCACAGCAAGATTTAATGTGTAATGTTTGAAATGAGACAATTTAAAGTGTACAAAGGAAAAAGAAAAAGAGAGAAACCCTCACCTCACCTTTGATAACACTGCAGCTGGTTTTACTACTTCTCTTAGAAGAGAAATGTCGGTAGAGACAGAGTGGACAGGTCCCCACTTGGGTTGCTTCTGTATCTCTGACATATTGTTCTCTGCACCTTGCAGTTCAGGAAAGTCCAGTGTGGTAAATTCAAACTCAGGTTTGGAGGTAGATACATTTTTTGCAATGATTCTGGATTTCCTGTCTGTTCGCTTATGGTAACCATCTGTAATTACAAAATTAAAAGTAAGAGTAAAAATTTAGTTACTGTTTGATGACCAGTATGCAAGCAAAAATTGCAGAGTACAAAGACTATTGCTATTGATGCAACAGGTTGTTGTCAAAACACCGTAACTCTTACCGGTGTTGTTCACCTTCCTTTGTAAAAGTATAAAGTTTAAATGACCATAAGTATCAATCACTCTGGTTGGACCATCATGCAGAAAAACCAAAATGCACTGTACATTTAGGAGTATGTATAGTCACGCGCCACATATGATGGTCTGATCAGCAATGGATTACGTATACAACAGCCCCATAAGATTGTAATGAAGCTGAAAAATTCCTATTGTCTACTGGTAATGTCATGGTGCGATTACTCACGTTTGTGGTGATGCCAGTGTAAACAAACCTACTGAGCTAACAGGCATATAAAAGTATAGTACATGCGATGATGTACTGTACATAATACTCGGTAATGACAATAAACAACTATGTCACTTGTTTATGTATTATACTTTTTATCTTTGGAGTATATACTCCCACTACTTACAAAAGAAAAATTTGGCCAGGGCAAGGTGGCTCACGCCTTAATCCCAGCACTTCGGGAGGCTGAGGCAGGCAGATGCAGCCACGAGTTCCAGACCAGCCTGGCCAACATGGTAAAACCCCAACTCTATTGAAAATACAAAAATTAGCTGGGTGTGGGGGCGCATGCCCCCTAGCTACTTGGGAGGCTGAGGCACAAGAATTGCTTGAACTTGGGAGGCAGAGGTTGCAGTGAGCCAAAATAGTGCCACTGCACTCCAGCCTGTGTAACACAGTGAGACTCTGTCTCAAAAAAAAAAAAAAAACACAAAACGACAAAAGAAAAACTTAAGTATAAAGCAGCTTCAGGCAGGTCCCTCAGGAGGGATTCCAGAATAAGGCATTGTTATCACAGGAGATGACAGCTCCACGCATGTTACTGTCCCTGAAGACCTTCCAGTGGGACAATATGTGGAGGTGGAAGACAGTGATACAGATGATTCTGACCCTGTACAGGCCTAGGCTAATGTGTGTGGTTGTGTCTTCGTTTTTAATTAAAAAGTGTAGAAAGTTAAAAAAAAATTAATAGAAAAAAGCTTATAGAGTAAGGATGTAAAGAAAGAAAATATTTTTGTCCAAGCCAAGTATTTTTGGTTTTTCTGCATGTTTGTGTTTTATTACAAAAGGTAAGTGTTATTACAAGAGTCAGAAAGTTAGAAAAATTAAAAATGTATAAAGTAAAAAAGTTACAGTAAGCTAAGGTTAATTATTGAAAAAAATACTTTTATAAATTTCATGTAGCCTAAGTGTACAATGTTTAGAACGTCTCCAACAGTGTACAGTAACACCCTAGGCCTTCACATTCACCCACCACTCAGTCATCGAATCACCCAGAGCAACTTCCAGTTCTGCCAGCTCCATTCATGGTAAGTGCCCTATACGGGTAAAACATTTTATATCTTTTTTTTTTTTTTGGAGACGGAGTCTCGCTCTGTCTCCCAGGCTGGAGTGCAGGGACGCTTGATCTCGGCTCACTGCAAGCTCCGCCTCCCGGGTTCATGCCATTCTCCTGCCTCAGCCTCCCGAGTAGCTGGAACTACAGGTGCCCGCCACCACGCCAGGCTAATATTTTGTATTTTCAGTTGAGACGGGGTTTCACCGTGTTAGCCAGGATGATCTTGATCTCCTGACCTCGTGATCCGCCCGTCTCGGACTCCCAAAGTGCTGGGATTACAGGCGTGAGCCACCGCTGTACCTTTTCTATATTTTGATACACAAATACTTACCACTATGTTACAACTGCCTACAATATTCAGTACAATAATATGGTCTAAAGGTTTATAACCTAGGAACAACAGGCTATATCATATAGCCTAGCTAGGTGGTTGGCTATACCATCTAGGTCTGTGTAAGTACACTCTAAATGTTCCCACAATGACGAAATCACCTAAGGGCACATTTCTCAGAATGTGTCCCCATCAGTAAGTGAGGCATGACTATAATTCTAAGGCTGATGAAATAGTTACCTTAACCTGATTGTGCAGCTGGGCATTTTAATTATTCTTTTTAGACATTTTATTGTATTGCAAATTTAAAGGGACTCTAATGAATTTTCTGTGCTAGTAAACTTTCCATCTTTCAGTTTGCTGGAATAAACTAGAGGGAAGCAGGTAGCATAAAACGCATAACCTCTTCCCCATCTTTCTCCTGAAATGCAATGGATAAGGTAGGCTGCAGCTACATGAAGCCACTCATTTAATTATAAGACCACAGTTACTACAGTTAATAAACGTCCCTTGTACCAGATGGTTTATGAGTGAAGTCAATGAAAAGAGAAAAATGTATATACCAAATAATACAAATTATAGGCACTTAAGATCCCACAATGCAACAGGTACCAAATAATAATCCCATCCCTGGGAAGAAATACCTCTAGAATTGCTCAGGAAGTCTGACGCCCTAAGCTGTGTCAGACCCAGGTCTCATTTCTTGGAGTAGTCACAATGAACAAGCCCATAGAAACAGCTGTATACATAGCAGGAATGTTTCTGGGGCACAAGGAGTAGGCTCGCATTATACTACATTGTTGGTTATTTTTACCTGATTTCAAACTATTCTCAGCGTAAATGGACAAATGATGTGAACCTCTAGCTGATTTTATCTCAGATGATATAGTTCCATCAGCCCTTTCACTGTCAAACTTTTGCTGATCATACGTTTTTTTCTCATCATAGGTTTTCTTCTGCAGGAAAGATTAAAAAGCAACATGAAATAAAACCACCACTATAAAAAAGGTTTAAAGCAGCAAAATATTAAGTATTCACAATTCAATCATTTTTTAAAAGGTTAAATACAAAAAAATACATGATACTTAAATATGATGTACAAATTTACCATTTCTTTACATTTTAAACATTAAAGCAACCAACTAAAGGACACAACAAAACAACATCACTACTCACCTTAAACAGAGCTTTCATTTCTTGTGGGAGAGGGCATGTGTTCTCATTTCGATGCTTCACTGTTTGAAAACCTCGGTAACAACTGGGTTGGTTATAAAGATACTGGGAGCCAGGCACTGAGTAAACATTCTGTGTGGAGTCAAGGGTATAAGGAGAATAGGCATATGGATGAAGAGTTATCTCAGAAGATAAATACTGAGGTGGAAAAGTTGAAGCTCCAAAGGCCATGTCTTCAGTATATATTTTCTGCCTAAGTAAAAAGTGTAAACTTTAGTTGCAGATTTCATACTGCAAACCAAGAAGCTTTTCTGTAATAAACTAATTCAAACTGAACATTTAATATTTCTGAGACCATTCACTCTAGCACTGGAATAATCCCTAATTAAAAGCCAAATAAAATCTCTGGGTGTTTCTTTCTCACCCTGCAAAGAAAGATGTTGACTCTATTTTTTCACTAATGAGCTGGAAGTCCGTAAGAAACATCAACAGAGCCAGAAGATGCTCCAGCAGCTTTTCACCCAATTGCTACCAAGTATTTGGGAAAGCCTCTCCCAGCAACCCTGGCCAAAATGCCCCTAAAGACCATTCTCTCTGCTGCGGGGAGACCCAACAGCCTGCAATGCCTCCACCAAGGCTCCTGCAAATGGTTTTCTCCAGCCCTTCCCTGCTCCAAGCCCACCATGACATCCTGCGCTTTGCTGACTAACAGGGTCAGAGCGCAAAGCAGACACCGCACGGCACCGTGGATGTTAACTACACACTTTACTAACAGATGGACACCAGCTTTGAAGGTTGCTATTGCCTCAATTTATCCCAAGCTGCTAGACTAAACCAAAATATAATTTAACACTAATTTTTCTTTTTTAGCCAATTTGATACAAGGCTACAGGTTTCAACCTTTTTCCCATGAAAGCTGATACAATGACAAAATGCTAAGCAACTGATTTAAAATACAAATAGTAACCTCCTCCTTCCAGCAAATGTTTCTGTTAATTTCCGGAGCTATTCCAAAATGTACTAGTACACTGAAAGGCAAAAAATCCAAACCTAGTCATGACACACCCTTTAAGACCTTCAAACTGCTACGCTGTCAGGAGATATGAGCATAAGCACCGCTTACTAGAAATCATATTTCTAATGCGCTGCAAGTAACAGACTACACTGAATAAGAAAGGGAGACTACAGGCTCTACCTATAATATAATAACGTTTACTGCTTTCACTTCTATCCAGTACTTAATCATATATTCTCTCATCTCACTGTTTACTATTTCATGATATGTTAACTTAGATTTTCTAAGATCTTTTACTTACAGGTAAGTAACTTTAACATGAAATATTCCTAATTAAAAATCAAATAAACCCCTTTTTACTGACCTTTGTCTGTCCAACAAAACAACTGGCCTAGCACTGCTCCAAACATACAGCACTGAGGACTAGCTCTTTGTAGAAAAGAGGCTCAAAGCTTCATCCCACTGCCTACATGTTCCTGTGAATTCTGTGCTGTATTTTGTTTGTAGTTGAGAAAAGCTAGTGGGGGGCAAGTGTCACTGAAGGTGGATAATCTGTTCTTCATAAAAGATGAGTTGACAGAAAAAAAAATGTGAAAAAGACTGTCCCAAGTCCAATAAATAGATAAATGAACAGACAAATGAAATGTAGCTAAAAAGGAAAGCAGGGACAGGTTCCATTGGTTTTGACGGCTGCTGTCATCCAGGAAATTTTCATCCAGGAGTCAGGAGACCTTGGTTGGGGTCCTAGCTCAATCACAATCCAGTTTTCTATTCTGGGTAAGTCATTTGGGTTTCTGTCCCCTCACTGGTCCTTCCTCCTCTGGAAAGTTGGTATTTTCCATTTCCATCCAGTGCAAACACAATTACATGCAGAAAACAACACAAAATACAAAACATCAAAGCAGTAACTCACAGCATCTGGCGTGGCTTCAAATGGCATGTCTGGGAAATTCCAGATGCCAGGAGTGGCCCAGATGACCCTAAACCCACAGTAACACACCTGTTTCTCATTCACTGTCCTAAGCTACCCCATCCATACTAAAATCAAACTGTCTGAGTAATTGTGCAATACCTGCTGGTCTCCTGGCTCCACTTCCCTTTGCCCCTTTCCCACCAACGGCTTCCAGGTCTCCCAGGACCTCCTTCTTGCCTCTCCCTCCAGGCACCCGTTGGGTCTGGCTTGACCATCACATGACTTGAAAAGCTCCCTGGCCTGGACTTTGCTCGCCTGGCTCTCACCTGCCCTCCAAGGCTCTATCTCTGTCTCTTTCCCTAGTGCAGTCTCCTCTACACCCTCCTTATCTCACCCATCTGACACATTCTGGGTCAGAACCTCTTATCTTTCTGCTTAGGACTTGACATAAATATAAACAATCCAGCACCTTCCCTAGTCCAGGCCTCCATCTCCAACTTTCAGGTCATTTCCACTTACTATTTCACTTTTTCCCAATTCAGCACGTATAAATCCCAAATTTAACATCCATTCCCCAAAACAGCCCCATTTACAACTTCTGTTCTCATGTATGATCCTACAATTATTTCCATGTATTCAACCGAATATTTTTGTAACATCTTTCCCACCAAAACCTGTACGGACAATCATGGGGCTCTTTTTTATTTCAACAGTTCTCTCATGTAGTTTCTTTACTATTTCCAGTGCCTAGAACCTGGTCAAAGCCTTCAAGACCCTCTTCTTTAAAAATCTTTCCAAAATTTAGGAGTGATTACAATGACCCCATTTAAGACACTACCAAAAGTTCCCTATTGCCTACCCAGCAAACCTAAAACTTTTCAGCTGTACTATGCAGGCTTCCAATCTACTGACAGCTTCCCCCCAAAATTATCACTTTATTCCTCTACTATCTCCCAAACATATCATGCACATGGTCCCTTCAGTCAGGCAACGACCCAAAGGGGATGCAGTTTCTCCTCCACCCACCGAGCCACGTGCTCAGCTGTACAATGTTGTATACCACTAGTTCTTCTCATAGCTGATCTGCTTTAACTCAAAAGCATCAATTGGTACTAAAATTTTCACAGTATATTGGCAGATGGTGAAAATGCTCAACTACCTCTTGTCAATAGCAGCAGCAATTTTGAAGAATAGCACGTTAATTCTGGTTCTGGTGCTACCTATTTGAATTAGCATGAACAAACATTCCTAGCTTCAGTTTCCCATGTGCAAAATAACATTACATCTGCCTGCCACCTCATGGATTGTAGTAACTATGAAAGAAGTGGAAGTATACAATAATACCCAAACAAAAGGCACACATCCTCATACACAGGTTGCACAGGATTTTTCACAAAGGATGTAACATGACAATGGACATTACTTGGAAGAAACTTATTTTGTTTGCATAGGCAAATTTGTTCATTACATCAGTAAATAATCAGTATTTTCCAAACATGGCAAATGTTATCTATCAGACTACTTCTAATTTCTTTGTCTTGTCCTATAACATAAATATGGAAGAGTCTGGTATGTTCATTTTCATCTCCATCACTTCAAAACTATGGAAGACTTTCAATAATTAATTCCAAATGAATAAATGAGCATCTTTGAGTGCACTGTGAAAGGTACTGGAGGAGGACAAATTCTGTAAAAGGTTACTATACCTTCTTTAAGGAAAGATGAGGGAAGGGGACATACAAAGTTGACTTAGGATGCTATGTAGTTGAACAAGTAAGAAGGAGGAAATAGTTGTTTCAGAAACTTCTATTCCTTTTGTCACAGCAGCAAGAGATCTCCATTTACATGTAATCTGACTATGGCAATGCAATTTTTAATCTATATTAGAACTGCTCAGATAATCAATTCTCAACCATGTGAAGTCTCATTATTTCATCCCCACTTTAAAGGATCTTTTCCTTTCTAACTCTTCCTCTTCAACTTAATGCCTTCCTTATCCTTGTTTTCTTGCCAGGCGTGAATACTTTTCCTTGGTCATAAACCAAAGCTAAAAAAGAAGAGTTAAGAAAACTATTTTTTTTTTTTTGAGAGAGAGTCTTGTTCTGTTGCCCAGGCTGAAGTGCAGTGGCGCAGTCTTGGCTCACTGCAACCTCCATCTCCTGGGTTCAAGCAATTCTCTACCTCAGCCTCCCGAGTAACTGGGATTACAGGCACCTGCCACCACACCCGGCTAATTTTTGTATTTCTGTAGTAGAGATGGGGTTTCACCATGTTGGTCAGGCTCGTCTTGAACTCCTGACCTCGTGATCCACCCGCCTTGGCCTCCCAAAGTGCTGGGATTACAGGCATGAGCCACCACACCCGGCCAAGAAAACTAATTTTTAAATTCAGCACTGCCCATTCTTGAGTCTCTGATTAGTCTCCACTCATGTTACTGCCAAAATGTTCCTTTAGCCATGTGAATGTTTTCCACCACTATTTTGAGTAACTAAATACCACCTAGCAGATGGCTTTGAGCTCTTGTCACTGAGATATATTTTTGTATTTTGTTATGTGAGACACTCAAGGTAGGGAACAACTCAAGTGAGACCCATGCCAAACTCCCCTTTACAGTGGATGAAATACAGTGGAAAAATAGGGTATTCCTACCAAAGACCAAATTCCAGCATATAAAGGTAGTGTTTCAACTTTCGTCAAAAAAATACAACTTTCAGTATTTCCTAAACACAAAAGACAACTCAATCATTTTCTTATTCATTACAATTCTCATTCTTGCAAATATAATTCTAGAATTTATATACAGTACAAACTATTTTCAATTACATCATGCAGGCACAAATAAAAGGAAACAAGTTAGAATCATATCAAAGAAGAAAAAAGCATTAGGATTCTTAGATTAGAACTACACCTGATGCAAATCTTAAAAACAGATCTACAAATAAATCTACACAATTATGTGAAAGATTAATACTTTTTTTGTCTAAATTCAGCTGCAAGAGGAAGCCATTTTGTAAACCTAGAGAATGAATCCTGAGAAGGAAAAAGAAAATGTAAGGAAAAATGTAAGCCTTCTTTCAACTCAAATTTAGAAGAACTTAAGCCTGAAATGTGTAAAATTCATCTCCATATTAACAGATATAAAGTAAAAAGGTGGAAAGCAAAAGTCAACAATTTCCAAAAAATTATCCACACAGAGGCAGCTATGGTTGCTAGTCCCCTCCCCTTCGCTCAACAAGATTTTAAAATGTTAACCTTAAAAAGGAGGAGTACGTTTATTTGGTCCTTTCTTTGCCCTTCCCTCCACATTTCATCTCCCATTAGATATATGATATATTTTTAAACCATATGAACAAATGAACCTTGAAACGGGATTTTTTTTTTTTTTTTTTTTTTTTTGAGACAGAGTCTCACTCTGTCAGCCAGGCTTGAGTGTAGTGGTGCTATCTTGGCCCACTGCAACCTCTGCCTCCCAGGTTCAAAGGATTCTGCTGCCCCAGTCTCCCGAATACCTGGGATTACAGGTGTCCGCCACCATACCTGATTAATTTTTGTATTTTTGTGGAGACGGAGTTTCACCATGTTGGTCACACTGGTCTTGAACTCCTGACCTCAGGTGATCCACCCACCTCGGCCTCCCAAAGTGCTGGGATTACAGGCGTGAGCCACAGCGCCTGGCCTGAAACTGCATTTCTTATTAACAAATGCAATGCAGTCTCTACTATTTCTTTGCCGAAAATAACAATGAGTATGAAGAAAAAAAAGGGGAGTTAAAGCTTCTGTTTTTGGCACAGGATACAGTTAAGTTGTGCTACTGGCTCAGACTCTTCTTGGTTGAAGAGCATTCTCTCATCATCTGCAGAACTTTAGTGCAGTAACTGCTGAGTATTTGAAAGTCTAATCACCATTAAATCCAAAATGTAAGCCCCTAGGTAAGACTTTTAGAAAGATACATACTCTGTCACTGGTGGTTCCTGAACAAACGGATAGTATGTGGCTGCAGAGCTGGGGAAGACACATGCTTCTGAGGACTCTAACCATGCCACATTGAGCCCGGCAAATCTGGGGACAAATGGTTTGACATCTGCTGATAACTTGATGCCCTGAGGAAAAATATGAGGTTTTGGCCACAAACATTCAGAGATCAAGCAAATATAAACAAACAAAAAGACCCAAGAGGTGTTCCTAATAGCCCCAGAAATGTTCCCGATGTTGTTTAAAAACTTCTGCCTCGTAAAGACAAGAACCTGCTTGCTAACGATTTCTCCCCAATGCTTTTTTTTTTGTAGAAAAGGCAGTAGTTCAAACATTAAAAGTGAAAAATGACAACGAATTCAAGTGGAAATAAAACAACACAGATTATATAGTTTAGATCTTGGAATAAGGGTGTTTTTACCACAGATTCACTTAGAAATAATAGAACTGCACACAGTACAACTACTGCAGTCAAATACACGTGGACTGTTTAACTACAGCACCCAAAACACACTGCAGACGTTTATTTCCATTACATTTTCTTGAAAAAGTTGCACAAAAGCATATGCATTTTACTCATGAACCACTAAGTCTTGCTTTATTGAAATACCAAACCTTGCTTTGCTAGAAAATATTATCACCACGAGCCTTTGAAATTTCAATTCACTAAGATTTCTTTCTTTAGTTTTTAGTGACGTAGTAAGAGATTTACTTTCACCGAGAATTTTATGGGTCTAAAAATGATGCAAGCGATCGCCAGGGCTCCATCTAGTGGTAATGCTGAGTACGTAGAGCGGAGAATGACGTTCAGAAAAACGCAGGATCCTTTAAAACAATCTATCCGTTCCCAAGAGCGCGGGAAGCTCGCCAGAGTCCCCCCGCCCCGACTGCGGGGAGCGCCGGGCTGGGCCGCAGTCACTGCGCTGGGTGACATCGCACCACAGACGCGGCGCTAACTGTGGGCGGGGTCTGTAGCCGCTGACCGCCACCCCAAGGCGGACCCGAGGCGGGGCGCGAAGATCGCGGCCACCCGGTAGGGCGCTCCCGTGCCGTCACCAGCATCCGACCCACGCCCGCTGGACCAGCCCCGTCACCGCCCGGCCGAGCCCCCAGTGCGAGGCAGGCGGACGGACTGAGGCTGCCGAGAGAGCCCCCGTCGGCCCTTACCTCGCTTTCGGGCTCCCGCGGCCCCTCCGACGCCATGCCGCGAGGCGCGGAGGAGGCCGCGTCACGGAGGCCAGCAGCGGGCCGTCGGCTTGCCGGACAGACAAAGCGTTTCCGCCCCCGCAGGCGACGCCAGGAAGTGCGTCACAGCAAAGCGACAGAGCCCGCCCTTTCTTCCGGCCGGAAGTACGCGGCGGCGGCACTGGACCTGCGCGGGCAGCACGTGGAGGCAGTGGGGCGCTTGCGGAAAATGGGGACCCCCAGGAGTCCTCTGGGCTGGGGACCCACCGTAGCTTGCGGGAGTCTTGGATCTGCCTTTTAGTGCTGGGATATCGGAGATAGTCTCCACCAAGGCAGTAGCGACTATAAACAAGAGTTAGGCCGTGATTTACTTTTCTCCCCTGGGCCTCACGAGTCTAGCGTTAGGACGGGATGGGGTAGTCTGGAAAGGCCTCTCGCTGAGGTGACCTTTGAGCAGTCACCTGAAGAGAAAGATTTACTAATAAGGAAACTGAGGAGGCCGAGATTACTCTCACCCCCGCCACTGCATTTCCCTAAAATTTCCCCAAGATTGGTGACTTACAGGAATTGCATACCCTGTAGGTCCTACAAACCTGGAAAGCCTACAAGACTCTTGATGGTATCCTAAATTTCCAGAAACCTTAAGTTTGGAAGTAGCCACAGAAAATAATTTAAAAATCGCTCGGTTTCTTTCAAAAATTAAAAAAAGTGCTAAGATATGGTCAAGAGATGGAATAGTATAATTTTCACGAGAAAAAAAAAGTTCTACACAGAGCAAATTCGTTAAATATTGAGAGAAATGTATAAAGTGCGGCAGGGATAGGAGGTTGACCAAAAGTACAGGGAAGAATGCAGAGTGGATTTCAATAGATGGAGGAGGAACTTTCCTCTCACTCAAAGGCTTGGAGGAAAGTGCAAGTGGATTTAAGGAACAGAAAATGTCAGCAAAACAGGCTATTTGAGGAATGGGGATTAGGTTGAGGCAAATTGTAGGTTTCCTCTGTCCCTTGCACAGACGTTAACTCTACCATTGAATACGAAGTATTTCAAGCAAGTAAGGCAGGTGCAGCTCCAGTTTTTTCAGATTTCTGTCCTGGTGGGTCTCAGTTCACTACACAGCCTCTAGCAGAAGTGATCCTTAGGGTCTGGTCTGGCAGGAATTTATGCTGGAAGTTTAGGGGTAGCTGTCGCCTTCCTTTCAGCACTATTGGGTCTACCCGGAAGTGTAATGAAGTTTACTTGATTTTGTCATGTTTCTGTTGGTTACCCTGGACACAACCTATGGTAGTGGCAGTAGATTTTAGGATGCTGCTAATCACAACCTTCAAAATTTATTGCCCTCATGTGTAAAGACACCCTTTCTTAACCAATGGACCTGATGTATGCTGGCTGCTCATTTAAGATGTTTCTATAGCATAGCAATTAATTAGAATAACTCCAAAACACTTTCCTAGCAGCTAAAAAGGCAAAGGTGTTTTACAGTGTTTTTGAACTTTTAAAAATGTGGTGATACTTTATAGGAAACATTATCCCTACTTTGGAAATGTAGAAGAGGATAAAAAAGAGGTTTCTCCCAAGACCACCAGTGGCCAGTGAAGTAGCCCAGATAGTATTAATTTGGGCTTTCCTGTTCTAGACAATTCTCCAGGAATTCAAGAGGTAAAATCTACTTTGGCTTTAGTTTAAACATATCCCTGGTAATTAATTTCTTCATTAAGTGAATTAAATGGTATCCAGATCATACCGCACTATTTTAAACTCATTTAACATCATCTTTAAGGTAAGTTAACTTCCTCAGAGCTAAAACTATAACACTGAAATCAATTTCAATAGTCACAAATTTCAATAGTCACAAATTAAGAAAATATACCTCAAAAACTTGAAACAGTGATAAATGCAACATACAAACTTTATTGAACAAAAGTAAACTGTTTCAGTAAACTCAAACAGGCACTTAAGAGAAAAACTGACTGGAAGAACTTTTATCTTAAACATCTTACAGTAACCTACTTGCAGTTGCATTTAACTGAGCTCTGTTGCTGTGAAGAATACAGCTCATGCACAGGTATGGATGAAAGATTTGTACATTTCTCAAGTATTCACTGAATACTACCTTATATACACATATACATTAAATTTGAAAAAGATTTGACGATCCCCAGATAAACTTCATTTTTGTTGATCTTTTGGAAGAGGTCGTCTAAAGAGAAGAATATGTGGTTCTGTGGAAAGAAAATGTTTTGAATCATTTTAATATGATTTTCATATACTCAACAGAAATTCAAAAGTATTCTCAACTAAGCCAGAATAAAATAAACTAAGTCCACTATTAATTGGTTTGAGGTATCCAAAATGATTTTTTTTTCACAGTTACTGTCTACAGTAAATAGATTAAAAGTAAAAAGATTACCTCTTTATAGGGAAAAACACCTCCTTCAAATCACCTACAGGATCTCATACTAATGCTCATCCCCATAGATTCTGTTTCAATAGGTGGGGCACAGAAATCTACACTTAAGTTCTTCAGTTGCTTTTGTATTATCTGGACTGAATTCTAATAGGATTACGTATCTCAATCCCAAGAAAGTGATGAGTCCTTTTAGAGTTTTCGATGCAATGCTTTTCTTTAACAGCAGAGTAGAAGATAGTTTTAATTCCACCTACTTCAGCTTCTATAGTATGTCTTCAAATTTTGTTCAAAGCATTATAAATGCTGTTAGATTTACTGATAATCCAAATATAAAATTTAACCCACACTGTTTTAGTCTAGAAAACCCACAAAGTTTTAGTAGAGTTTACTATTTAACACCTGAAAAACTTTTGGTTAATACCACATAATAGCATAAGGTACCCATAAGCACAGTTGAGTTCATATGCTATTACCTCATTTAAACTTCATGTGGTATATATCCTTTCAGAGGGCTGAAGAATCACTTTAAATTAAATCAATTTCCACACATAGATAAGAACACTTGTCTTAGGATATACTTATGATAAAATGCTTTGGGATACTGTTAACAATGATACAGATTTTAAAATACATTTTTTTTTTTTTTTTTTTACTTCTTACATTATTTTCCAAGTAGAATAATGTGTTACTTTCACTGCTGTGGTATTTTATTTACCATAAAATTGGAACTCTCTCCAGAGTCAAGAAATTAGTCATTAAAAAAAAAAACTTATCAGAACAGTTACTTTCAGATATCATTTGATGTCAATGATATTTTTAAAATTTTGACAACCATAACCACCAATATTTCAACAATTACTGCTTTACTATAACATAGCATAGCTTACCTGGCTCATGAATCATGTAATGAACCCAGCCTAGACTCTGTTGGACACCAAGTCTCCTCCACTCCTCTTCAGACATCAGATGAGTTTTAGGTACTTGTTTGGAAAGTTCTCTGGGTAACATAACATGCCTGTTACAAGATACAGCCAAGTGTTAGTCCAGTGCCTTTTCTACAACTGTCGCTTTATACATGTACCTTAAGGAACTCTGTTGCTTTAATATTGAGAACTGCAATCTACTACCTTTAATTCTGATATGATGGCCTATGTTCAAATTAGGGAGCTAAGAGTGCACAATCCAAAAGCAGAAAGCATTTTCCATAGGATTAATCTTTTTCTCTTATCACAGAATGCTTACCAGTTGCCTTAATCTTCTTCAGGAAGAGAACCCCAAAATATAAGTTGAACATATGGTTACCAGCCTCCAAATCATAAGCCAACAAGATATAAGAAAATGTGTAACTTATTATGAAAAGTGTTCTCAAAGGGAAAGAACATGCTGAACTCTTTTTCTCCTTCTTGTTGAATGCACATTAATATGATCAGGGAGCCAGAGCAGGAATCTAGGACCATAGAAGCAACTGTAAATTGAGAACGGTAAAGCAACAAGAGGTAAGGACCCAGCCTAGTCCTTGACTGTAAAGCTGTTATCCCTGCCCCAGATTATTAGACTTTTATGTAACGAAAAAATCTAAGTTACAGTTAATTTGGGTTTCCTCTTACTCAACACTAGCTTTGTAGTAGCTACTAGTCCTTGTATGCTCCAGAAGTTGCTTTATACTTCAAGTACTTTGTTCAAAATTAAAAACAGAAAACCACTAACTGTACATACACATTGTGTGCAACCTCACCGTTTTCCAGTTAATTTACTGACCTATATCCAAAACTTACATTGTTCAGTTTCTTAGGCAAGCATGGAATAACCTTCAAAGTTAAACCATCAATATGTATAATTGTAGCCTTACGAGATTCTCAAAAACAAATCTGTATCATTAACAGTATCCCAAAGCATTCTATCAAAGATTTGCCTAACAAATCTCTTTCCCCAAATTGAGTAAGAATTTTTACTCAATTACCATAAAAAGGACTTTATGAAAGTCACAATTCTCAGCTCCATGTTTACCACCTGCAGTAGTAGCAACAGTTTTATACTGAACCATCCATAACCACCAACCCAAATTTTTAACCAGTATAAGATATCTGTCTGTGAGTCAGCTGGCTGGGGATGAATGAGGTGCAATCTGGTCACTTTCTGAGACACAGTAAACTGAATCCCTAACCCGCTATAAGCACCCAGCTGTCATCAACTTAAATTTTAGTCTGTGGTTAAGTACCAATTTATTTGCAGGGCAAAGTGAGCCTCAGAAAAATTCTACTGTGTTGTTAGATTGCCTTAAGGCCACCAAGTCATAGCTTACTACCATAATTTGTAGAGTTTTCATCAATTCCAGTGAACTATATAGTGATTCTTTGTAATTCTTACCAGTTATCACCCACATTCTTGAAATGCTGCTTTAACATCTAACTTCAAATAATCTGTTATCTTATTTCTACGTTCTATCTTGTTGATTATTCTCAAAGAGAAATGTAGTGCTTTTGTACCTTTTCTATCAAACTTACAGAGTACATAAATCTACCAACAAGTTATTTAGATAGAAGTTACCACCCTTCTCCATAAACACGGAAACAGGCTCTCCTCCATCAGGGTTTCTTTATAAAGGAAAAATGTTTAAGTAGCATCAACCCCATATGAGGATTCTACCTGTATTTTGCCACACAGAGATTTCAAACTAACTACATGTAAGGAAAATTATTTCCAAAATCTAACGTTTATTTCAGTTGAAATGCAAAATAGTGCAAGTATTACTAATTTGTAAGGCTGCCCAGAAAAATTAACAGTTTTTCTCTTGTGAAAACAGACTTCCATGATGTGGGGGTGGGGGCACCCACTGTTATGCCCTTAGAAACATTAAGACCCTCACGTAAAAGGACTAGGAAATTAAGTTTGTAATTAAGAAAAATCAAAGAAAGATAGAGATAACTGCACACTGGGAAAAATAAATACTAGCCTTTGAAATTTACATTGCATGCTGCACCATTACATATTAATACAAACCACCCTAGACTCATGCCTTAGTGCTATATTATTACTAGTTTCCCCTTTAAAATTATGTGTGGAAATTACTATCCTGTTTCATAAAGGTTACTGGCTTGGCCAATTAATACCAGCTCTAATTTTTATTGGATTAAAATACATCACTTCAGATATGTAAACTTTCTTCTATACATTACCACACACAAATCATTTGAGTATATTAAAACTAAAAAATCGACCTACTGCCATCAGAAAGAAGTCTGAGAAATAGCTTCATTTATTTTCAATATTATACCCTAAAAGAAACTTGTACCGACCCTTAAATCCTTATCCTAAACACTTGGCACCAGATGTGTTTCAGAATAATTTTCTAGGTTTTAGTAAGATTATTACGGTTTACATTGTGTTCATTATTGGATATCCTCAATAGGGCTCTTGATTAACATCGCATAATTGAACACTGCCAGCATATTACACGAGTATAGTTTATTATTACTATAAGGTTAACACAATCTACTTGAAATTTACCTACAGCCAGAAAAACATGCTATTTTTCTAGCTAGGAATACAAAAGGGTGCAATTACTACTACCCATAGAAATATTCAGTAGTCCTCATGTGAAAACAGACTTCCATGCTACTAGGGAGGGGGAGAAAAAGAGAAACCACCCACTGTTTTGTTCTTTCTTCCTTAAATAGCATTCGGAGAAATCTAACCTACAAAGGCAGCAGACAGAAAACAAGGTCACAATTTGGCCAACGATGGCATGGGCTTTATCTCCCCTAAATCTTGGTAGTATCCCAGAACGCAGCGTTCTAGTCGCTACCTAGTTAAGAAAAAGGGGTTGACTGTTTTCTGAAGCCACGCCCTAAATGAAGTGTCCCGCATACAGTAAGGACAACAAATTTTAAATGTCCCTACTCGCTTTCCCCCAATCTACTTTAATTGGGGGGAAGGGGACAGGGACATTTAAAATTTGTCTAATTTTACTGATCGATTACAGCCACCATGTTCTAGTACGGTGCTTCAGGACTCAAACGCAAAAGTTTCTCAAAGCCCAAAATTTGGCCAGTGTATACTAGCAGAAAATGATGCCCAAAGTCCACTCAAGTTCTTAATCGGCCTTAAAATGAAACTCCTTTAATAATACCCTCAATTGTATGACTGCGGCTAACCTATAATGGCCCAAATCACCATACCCAGTAAACATTTTCGAATCCCCATCAAGCTCATTTTTCGGGGGGTCGCCTCCAAAGCTTATTCTTATACCACTCACTTCAAAAACAAGAAAAAGAAAAGTGTTCCTCTGTGTTAACAGATGAAAATGACCATTTGACCATTCTAAACCACAAACTAGTAAAAGCTGCATCACCCCGTCAGCGACAGGGAAAGTGTGTCACGGTTGCTAAAGGAAAAAGGACGGCACCAGGTGGGTTTTCCTGGACTGGTTCAAAGAACTGGAACTGAGACCAGCTACTGAACGGCCTAATTACTTCGGCCACGGCCGAGAAAAAAGTGACGGGATGGTCACTCCGCGTCGCCGAGGACCCCATGACCCCCAAGTTGCGCCGGTTCCTACCCAGGTACTAAATGCGGCCCGGTGGGCACTCTTCCCTCACCCTCCGCGCACACCGAACAAAGGCCCAACCGGCCCGGCGCGGCCAGGCACCCAACCATGTCCGACTGCGCGGGGCGCCAGGTGGCCGCGACCCCAAACCCCGGCCCTCGCCCTCCGGCCCCGGGCTCCGCCCCCCAGGCCCCGGCCCCCACCCCCGACCCTACTATGCCTGGGTCGCCCCGCCCGCGGGGGCCCCGGCTGAGGGAGCCGGCTCGGGGTCTAAGAAAGGCGCCCACCGGTACTCGTAGTGTTCGTCGAAGTACTTGTCCGAGTAGTAGATCTGCTTGTGGGCCATCCTGCTGGCGCGCTGCAGAAAATGAAACGAGAGCGCGAAGAGCGGGCGCAGCAGACAAAACCACGTCCAGCCCAGGCAACAACTCGCCGGAGACTAACGACCGCAGTCCCAACGATCCGGATTTGAATCCGACAGCCCGCCGCCGATTGGACAGCAGCGCCGACCAATCACCTTCTGCGGAAGTCGGCCGGCTGCCAGCCTATCGTCGCCGCCGCCTCGCAAAGTCCGCTTCCTGGGTCAGCCAATCAGAGATCTGTTGCGAGGTTGCCCGAGGGAAGATAGGTACGTCACGGGGGTGGCAGGGCCCTTAACGGGCAGGGGCGTGGCCAGAGGAGGGCGAAGTCGGGACGTTAAGGGCCGCAGAGCGCGTGCGCAGGAACGTGGAAAGTTCCAGGACACGGAACCGTTGGGACGGAGGACCTGAAGGTGGAGTGAGGTATCACGGGGTTTGGTGATGACGTAGTCGGTCGAGGCCGGAAGCGTGGGCCACAGGGCTTTGAGCGGAAGCTGTCGACCTTGCACGGTGATGGCGCTCCTCGTGATCCCTTGTATCCCCTCAGGCTCGAGCCAGGAGCCTAGGTCCACTTTGAAAAGTAGTAAAAGGCAGAAAGGTTCTGCGGTGTGAGGGGGAGGGCGGCTTCGTGGTCGGCTGGGTCGGGGGAGCGCCGGGCGGCCGCGGCGTGGCTGTGTCCGGGGCTGCCCTGCGCAGCCGGCCGTTTCGCCGCCTGGTGCACTTGCTGAGCTTCCGGCCTGGCCCGTCGCGGGGCTCCTGGCGCCCCCCTAGACGACTGTGTGGAGAATGGAGCCTGCGGAGCCACGCGTAGAGAGAGGCCCGGAGCCGGCGCGGTGGCGGCGGGCGCCAGTGGTCCCAGCCACTCGGGAGGCCGAGGTGGAGTGTCGCTTGAGCCCAGGAGTTCCAGACAGGCCTGAGCAACAGAGCCAGACCCCGTCTCCACAAAGAAAGAAACAAATGGGCCAGAGACCCAGAATGCTTTCTGTAGCCTAACCTAATGTTCAAAACCAGGGCAGACCCAAGCCATGGAAAGCTTGAGGGAATAAAATAATATTCTGCTGCGGCCAAGAATAACAATGCTAATTCCTGGATAAGGGGATTTAAAATGATGTTTAACAACTTCTGGTCTTTTAATATTGACCCAAGTTTAAAAACATGTTCATATAAAAAAGTTACTGGAAGAAATTTATAAATGTAACTGGTGGTTATTTTTAGATGACAGAATTAAAAGTGATCTTTTTGGTATTTTTTCCACAACGAGCACGTGTCATTTTTATGTTAATTTCATTTTATGCGAAATGCTCCAGCGCAGTACAGGCTAGTGGGTTCAGGGTGGCTGTGACTAAGTAATGTAGATGGGGTACCTTAGACAAAGTTTCCAGACTAGAGGCTGGAAGTAAGAGGTCCGGGTGCCCTTTTCCACACTGCAGACCACGGACTTTTCCGGTTTCTGAACAAGTGAGACAGGCCGGCTAAGGACATTTATAATCTCCATGGGTGAGGGCCCCACCCTCATGACCATCTAATCTTGATTACCTCCCGAAGGCCCCACCTCCTAACTTCCTAATACAATCACTTCTTGGGGGAAGAGGGTGTTTGGAATTCCACCCCCCGCCCTTTTTTTTTTTTGGAGACAGTCTCACTCTGCTGCTCAGGCTGGAGTGCAGTGGTGTGATCTTGGCTCACTGCGACCTCCCCCTCCCAGGTTCAAGCCATTCTGCCTCAGCCTCCAGAGCAGCTGGGATTACAGGCCCAGCTAGTTTTTGTATTTTTAGTAGAAACGGGTTTTCATCATTTTGGCCAGGCTGGTCTCGAACTCCTGACCTCAAGTGAACTGCCCGCCTTGGCCTCGCAAAGTGCTGGGATCGTCAGAGGCAAGTGAACCAGAGCACCTTCATCTTAAACAGGAGCTGGGTAAGATGAGCCTAAAACCTACTGGGCTGCATTCCCAGACAGTTAAGGCATTCTAAGTCACAGGATGAAATGGGAGGTCAGCACAAAATACAGGTCATAAAGACCTTGTTGATGAAACAGGTTGCAGCAAAGGAGCCAGCCAAAACCCACCAAAACCAAAATGGCGAAGAGAGTGACTTTGGTCCTCACTGTTACACTCCCACCAGTGCCATGACAGTTTAGAAATGCCATGGCAACATCAGGAAGTTACCCTACATGGTCTAAAAAGGGGAGGCATGAATAATACACCCCTCGTTTAGCATATAAGCAAAAAATAACTATAAAAATGGGCAACCAGCAGCCCTCGGCTGTTCTGTCTATGGAGTAGCCATCCTTTTATTCCTTTACTTTCTTAATAAACTTACTTTCATTTTGCACAGTGGACTCACCCTGAATTCTTTCTTGCACGAGATCCAAGAATTCTCCCTTGGGATCTGGACTGGACCCCTTTCCTGTAACAGAATTACAGGTATGAGCCACAACACCCGGCCTGGAATTTCCACGCATGATTTGGTGGCTGGGAGCAGACACAAACATTCGTTCATACATGATAGAATCCTTCAGGTCTCAGATTAAGCATTTCATCTTCTGAAAGGCCTTCCTTAATCAACTTCTCTACAGAAAGTTCTTCAATTTCCCCATTATGCCCTTGCCACCGACTCCAGTGGGCTTCCCTCCCACTGTCGCAATTGCATGTTTGCTTAGGTGGTGGTTGTCTCCCTATCTGCGCTATAAAATACTCTCTGTTAGTGAGCCAAGACTGTGCCACTGCACTCCAGCCTGGGCGACAGAGCGAGACTCCGTCTCAAAAAAAAAAAAAACAACTCTGTGAAGCTAGTGTAGAGGCCATGTCTGTCTTGTTCACCACGGAGTGCCTAGCACATAGCAGAGTTCCTTGCACATAAGCACACAATAAGAAGTAAATTTTAGGCACAGTATAATAAGAGTAAATAATTAGGTATAATTACTATGATGGCAAAAATGTGAATAAACTGTTAAGGAAAATGGACAAGGAAATTACTTTCTGGCAGAACCTGGGGGAAAAAAACTTCCTGGGAGATATATTTTTAAATAAATGTATAGATGCTCCTTAATTTACAATGGGATTACATCCTGACTAGTCAAAAAAATTTTAAGTTGAACCATTGTAAGTCAAGGACCATCTGCACTGTGAAAAGTTCAAACACATGGAATAATAGAATCAACTCCCATGTACAGGTTGTGCATCTTTAATCTGAAAATCTGAAATGCTCCAAAAGTCCAAAACGTTGAACAACACTGACATGAGCTCAAAGGATATGCTCATTGGAGCACTTCAGATTTCAGATTTTCCTATTAGAGATACTGAACTGGTTAACAAAATGCCCATATTCCAGATTCCAAAAAACCCTGAAACACTTCTGGTCCCAAGTGTTTTGGGTAAGGGATACTCAACTTGTTCCAGTCATTTAGCTTCAGCAATTACCGTTTGCCAATCATGTTTCATCTGTTCCTCTCTAACTTTTTTTTTCTAGAATATTACTGAAGAGATCTCAGATATGTCAGTTCACTCCTAAATAAAACTTTTCAGTGTATCTCTGTGTTTATGGTGTGCATCTCAGGAAAATTTTTTAAAAAATGCATAACCACATCATACTTACGCTTAGACGTCCTTAATACTCTTTGATAGCTGTTTTAGACTCACATTTCCCTGACTGCCTCACCAAAGCTTTTTATAGTTTGTTTAACCCTGCTTTCAAACTTGGGCCTACATCTTGCATTTTGTTATTGTCTCTCTTTTTTTTTTTTTTTTTGAGATGGAGTTTCACTCTTGTTGCCCAGGCTGGAGTGCAATGGCGCGATATCTGCCCACTGCAGCCTCTGCCTCCTGTGTTCAAGCAATTCTCCTGCCTTAGCTTCCCAAGTAGCTGGGATTACAGGTGCCCTCCACCATGCCCAGCTAATTTTGTATTTTTAGTAGAGATGGGGTTTCTCCATATTGGTCAGGCTGGTCTTGAACTCACGGCCTCAGATGATCCGGCTGCCTCAGCCTCCCGAAGTGCTGGGATTACAGGCGTGAGCCCCCGCACCCGACCACATTTTGTTATTGTCTCTTTTAGTCTTCTTTAAACAACCCCCCAACCTCTACCTACATAGACACCCTCCCCACACACACCCCTGCCACCTTTTTTAACATCTGTTCATCAAACCAGGTCATTTTTGCCTGTGGAACGTTACACATTCTGGATCTGTGTAATTGTTTCCTTGTGGTGCAGTTTCCCTGGTTTTTCTATTTCTTGTATTTGTTACAATCTGGCATTTAGATCTAGGTTAAAACAAAACAAAACCATTTACCAAAAATTCCTAGTAAGTGGCAGACTCATATTTGAGCCCAAACTGTCTGACTCCAGAGTTAGGCCTCTTACCCACTATTCTGTTCTGTCTCTTAGAGTTCCACAGGTAGAAAGCCAGGAGGGCCAAGCACCTTTCCAAAGGAAGGATTGGTAGTTGTAAAGGTGTGAGGAAGTGTGGTACACACAGAAAATGCTGAATAGGTTTGGCTTAGATTGTAAAAGTCATGGAAAGGAAAGTTGTGGGAAGTGAATGTAGGAGGATGAATGTGGTAGAAAAATGGCCCCCAAAGATGTCTGTCTTAGTCAATTTTATGTTGGTATAAAGGACTACCACAGCCTGGGTAATTTATAAAGAAAAGAAATTTATTTCTTACCATTTTGGAGGCTGGGAAGTCAAAGGTAGAGGGGCAACATCTGGTGAAGGCCTTCTACTGCATCATAACATGGTGGAGGGCATCCCATGGAGGGAGGGCAAGGGCCAGCCGGCTCAGGTGTCTCTTCCTCTTCTTATAAAGCCACAGTCCCGTCATGGGAGCCCCACCCTGATGACTTTAATCTTAATTACCTCCCAAAGGCCCCACCTCCAAATACCATAAACATATAAATTTGGGGATTAAGTTTCCAACACGTGAAATTTGGGGGACACATTCAAACCACAGCAATGCTCATATCCTAATCTTTGGTATCTGTGAATGTTACCTTACACAGCAAAAGAGACTTTACAAATGTGATTAAATTAAGGATTTTAAGATAGGGAGATTATCTTGGATTATCAGAGTGGTCAAATGTTATCACAGGGGGCCTTAGAGGAGGGAGACAGGAGGGTCTGTAAAGGAGCTGGGATAAAAACAGAAGTCAGAGTAATGTGACCACGAGGCAAGTGCTGCAGGTGGCTTTTTGAAGCTGGGAAAAAGAAACAGATTTCTTCCCTAGAGTCTCCAGAGTGAACTCAGTCCTGCTGACATAATTTTAGCCTAGTCAGACCTATTTTGGACGTCTGACCTCTGTACCTATAAACTACATGTGACTAATAGAATAGAAACAATATCACAGTGTGATGTTCGCTGCAGCTTTGTAATTGTAGATGCCCTTTCTCATTTTAAAAATTCTTTTATTCCTAGCTTGCTGAATTTTGATCAAAAATAGACACTGTATTTCATCAAATGCTTTAAAGCCTTTCAGTTTTATAGTTAATTCCAAACTTTTTTACAACTATGAATATAAGTTGTAAATATAAAAGAGCTGAAAAGATCTTAGTAACTTCAGTCTTAAGGAAAAGTCACATGGAAATATTATTGAAAACTAAATAGCTGAAATAAAAAATTTAGTAAGTAAACTGAATGCACAGTGGATACAAATGAAGAGCTAATTATTGAACTAGAAGATTATGTTGAATACCAGCCCCAGAAAGCATTAGGAAGGAATAAAGAGATGGTAAATATGAAGTATAAAGACATGGAGGCTAGAAGTAGAGGTGACAACTGTCATTAAAGAAGAGTCCCAAAGGGAGAGAAAAAATAAACAGAAGGGAGGAAATACTTGTACAAATAATGGCCGTGAATTCCCTAGTTTTAAAGAAAGATAAAATACTTTAGATTGAAAGTGCTTATAGAGTGCTGAACAGTAGAGATAAAAAATATATAACCACAGAAAGATTATAGTGCAATTTAGGAAGATCAAAGAGAAAGGAAAATTTTAAAAGCTTCCACGGAGAAATCGCAGATCACCTACAAAGCAGCAAGAATAGATTGACAATGGCAACCTCAAAAGCCTTACTGGATCCAAGAAGAAAATGGGTTACTGTTTAGAATGTATTGGATAAAAGAATAAAAATAAATTCACTACAACAATGCAAAATATATAAGAAGAAAGCAAAGTTTTACTGTTGTCTAAAAAAGCATAGATGCAAATAATGTTTATCGTTACCAGTTCAGAAACTAACGTGGCTAGTAGAGAGAGGCTAAGAGGGAAGTTAGTGCATGCTAAGGCACTTACCTTTGCAGCTGCTGATAAATTTAGGAAGTTGAAAGAGATTAGGAGTCCATTACCAGAACTATTGGCTACAGTCACTTTGTTTCTGTTACCATCTGCAGTAGCAAAATTAGATGCTTCAAGTACTGCATGCCTCCTTGGGGTACAACTGAAATTATTGCCACAAATACTTCCTATCCTAGTATGCATGCTCGTTTGCAAAGCAACTTGACTACTCTTTCCATAGATAAGCGAAGTGTATTTCTTCACCCTTGGTCTGGTTTTATGACTTGCTTTGGCCAGTGGAATGTGGCTGAAGTGATGTTACACCACTTCTGAGGTTAGTCTTTAAAAGACGTGTCAGTTTCTACGTTCCCTGTCTTGAAAGGCTGCCTGTGAATGTAATCATCAGCAAGACACATAGAACTAAGTTGCTAGGCCATCAATAGCACCAGCCGCTAAACATGTGCCTACTGTAAGAATTAGAGAAAGAGGAGAGAAACACAAAGGGTGGCTTGACAGTCAACAAGTTTATTTCAAACCTGGGAGAGACTTATGAACAAGTTAGGTCAGAAGCCGCACCCTCTTACAGACTAACAGTTTGTAAGGATTCAGGGTGGGAGAATTTATCAGAGGCTTGGACTGCTTCTGTGTCTCTTTGTTGTGCTTATCTGGGAGGGAGAGTTGTATTTCTGTTCCCATACATCTTTCTGCAGCTGCAGGTGTATCCCCCCACTGTCTACTTTTAGCTTCCCTATCTTAGTGCACCTGAAGGGAAAGGAATGTGCTTATTAAGGCCCACTGTTTTACTGGTGCCCATCGTATGAGGGTGAAGTTTGGCAGTTACCCAAGAGACTTTCCCCCAACCTCCTTCTGTGCCTGAGCTGTCTTATCTGTGTTTTACTGCCTGCTCTTTCTGGCTGCTTGTAGTTAGAAGTGATTTTCTTGAAATGAATGAGGCTAGAAAGGGAGCTGGAACTTAAAGTGGCAGTGTTTGTCCCTGATGGCAGTGCTCCTGCTCTATCATTCCAGACCCTATAGTTATAAAAGGACAAGGGGTGATGTGTTCTTTCTGGCCACTTCCTGCTGATGGTGTGGGCAGAGAGCTTTTTGGTCTTGGATTGACTGCAGGAGCAACACGGTCTGTAGATGTTTTTGGGTAGTTGTCTGTGAAATGGCCATGATTCTGTCGGTTAAAATATTTTGAAAAAGGTTAATTAGGCAGGGTAAAAACATTAGTCCTAGGCTTTTCAGCAGAGTTTTTTATTAGGCCCAATTAGTTGAGACAGAAGCAACATTTCTTTCCTAATGACAGGCAGAGGTGCATGTTTGGAAAGACCCATGCGTTATTTTTCACTAATAACTGTTATTCCTGCTATGAGGATAATAATTAAGCAAAATGCTACAGTAATTGAGATTCTTTGTCGGATATTCCACCCTGAGGGTGCTACAGTATATAGTCCTACTGCAAATAGTAGAGTGAGTAAAGCAATTCCCGCAAGGGTGGCATAGTAGTATAATTTCCATTAAAAAAGATTTTAATATTTGGCTTAAAAGGAGAGGTAGAAACGACAAGAAGTATTTGGTGAGGTAAGGATGAGACCGACTAAGATGAGTAGTTTTCACTTAGTTACTTATCTTTTATGATTTTCGGCTTAAGATTTCATTTTTTTTACGTTGATAGGATGTTTTTCTGGGCTGTTAGAGGTTGCTTTCTCAGCTCTTTAGGCTTTGACTTAAGTGCGATGTATCCAAGAGTTGATTTCTATAATGGATATAATTTAAACTGTGGAGAATAATAAAAATTGAAAAACATTAGGCAAGACTAGAATTTAAGAACAAGTGTGCTATAGTTTTCTAAACATAATTTTCACTCTTCAGTTTCCCATTTTTATTAAAAGACAAATCGTGGTAGGACTGGTTTGCTTTATTATACTTGGCTTTATTATTTGTATATAGTGCATCAAGAATAATTAATTGCTACATAGGCCTTTTAAATCGGCTTCGATGGAACTTTGTTTTTTTTTGTTTTTTTTTATTATTATTATACTTTATGTTTTAGGGTACATGTGCACAATGTGCAGGTTAGTTACATATGTATACATGTGCCATGCTGGTGTGCTGCACCCATTAACTCGTCATTTAGCATTAGGTATATCTCCTAAAGCTATCCCTCCCCCGTCCCCCAACCCCACAACAGTCCCCAGAGTGTGATGTTCCCCTTCCTGTGTCCATGTGTTCTCATTGTTCAGTTCCCACCTATGAGTGAGAATATGCAGTGTTTGGTTTTTTGTTCTTGTGATAGTTTACTGAGAATGATGATTTCCAATTTCATCCATGTCCCTACAAAGGACATGAACTCATCATTTTTTATGGCTGCATAGTATTCCATGGTGTATATGTGCCACATTTTCTTAATCCAGTCTATCATTGTTGGACATTTGGGTTGGTTCCAAGTCTTTGCTATTGTGAATAGTGCCCCAATAAACATACATGTGCATGTGTCTTTATAGCAGCATGATTTATAGTCCTTTGGGTATATACCCAGTAATGGGATGGCTGGGTCAAATGGTATTTCTAGTTCTAGATCCCTGAGGAATCGCCACACTGACTTCCACAATGGTTGAACTAGTTTACAGTTCCATCAACAGTGTAAAAGTGTTCCTATTTCTCCATATCCTCTCCAGCACCTGTTGTTTCCTGACGTTTTAATGATTGCCATTGGAACTTTGTTTTGTAAAAGAAATTTGAGATAAGACTTGTTAAAGCCAAGCCCAGTCATGGATTTGTACCATTAAATGCCTATGAGTTGGCATTTAATTCCTCTCCTCTTGAGGTTTTAAGATAACTTGGCGTTCCTGGCCTGTCAGAAAGTGACATTCTTTACTTACCACAGATCAGAAACCCTGTACAGGGACTGTGTACACAAAATATGAGGCCAGTTTCCAAGGGCTTTCTTGGCTTCATAAGTCAAGTTTGATTCCTTTAAGGAAAGTGCACCATTCCAGTCAAAGCCTTGGTAAAATAACCAGGTTTTCCAATTGTGTTCTGTTACAAAAGAAAATGCGCTGATGCAAACAACTATGTTGTTATAATTTAAGAATACGTATGACTAGTTTTCAAATTCTAGAGGAACTAGGCAGAGAGAAACAAACACACTTTAAATTCTATTTACAGGAGTATACTTAGTTGTTAAAGGCTGTAGGTAGCTTAAGACAAGTTTTCTTTGACTGTGAAAAATAAGATAAAGATTAGCAGTGTTCAAAGCAAAAGATAAAAAATTTGTTTTTGTTTTCTATTAGTTTAGTCCACTTTATTAACCTTTGTTTTGCTTGATATTTATAAACATTTTTGCTTTTCATGAGTCCTTTACATTTTGCTGTTGTTGCTGTTGTGAATAACCTGCATTTGAGAGCACTTGTTAAAGTTCCACAGCTTGAATATAAACCATGTTTTGAAGAGAATTAAAACAAAATAACAATTATCTATAAATAACAAGATGTTCAGTTTGGATACAGTTAGAAATGCAATTGACAACAAAATTTGGTAATTTTTGTGGTTTACAGTAACCCAACATAACAATTTTAATTGTGATTAATAGTACATATTTGGACAGGAGAACCTTAGACACCCCATACAGTTTTGTAACTTATGTTAATATTATTCCCTAAAATATAACCTATTAGACATTATTTTGGCAATCTCATGTTGCCAAATAATCCTGTTTACCTCTTTTTCAGATGGTTCAGGGGTCCTGCGCAGCACCCAAAAGCTAGGGGTTGGGAAAGACAACCTTGAGACTAAAGTTTGATTTTGGGAAGGCTGTTAAATATGTTTAAAATTTAAAACCCTTGATATTATGAAATAGAATTTTAGATTACCATAAGTTGTTTTTTGTTTGTTTGTTTGTTTTGTTTTGTTTTGTTTTGCCAAAATGATGAGTTAACAATCTGGAAAAGCAAAACCCATTTTTTAGCCTTTTGTATTATATGAAATTTCTGTTTAAAAGAGAAAGTTAAATTTTACCCTTGCATTAGTTTGCTATTAATGTTAACCCTAATTGTAATGAAACCTTATAGATAATTTTATTTAATTTTAACCAATTTGATTATGAAGTGAGATTTTTACATACCCGTTATAACCCTTGACAAGTTTTGCTAAATAGTAGATTAGCATTTTAAGAAAATCTTGTGGTGCCTTTATTTTAGTGTTCAATTTACAGAAAAAAAACCATATAATACCTGTCTTTTGAGTTTAGTTAATATGTTTACACACAGAGTTTTCTTTGCAGGATTAATTTTTACAATGTTTTTAAAATTAAACCTTTCACTTTATTTAATTTTATGACTTTTTATTCATAAGCAAAATGTACATTTTTATGCCTTCTTATAATTTTTAACTAAAAATACTTTTTACTGTTTTTATACACCTTGCACGCAAATCCCTGTTCAGCAGTTTTAATTACATTTTTTGTTGTTGTTGTTGTTGTTGTTGTTTTTTATTTGAGATGGAGTCTTGCTCTGTCGCCCAGGCTGGAGTGCAGTGGCATGATCTGGGCTCACTGCAAGCTCCGCCTCCCAGATTTACTCCATTCTCCTGTCTCAGCCTCCCAAGTAGCTGGGACTACAGGTGCCCGCCACCACGCCTGGCTAATTTTTTTGTATTTTTAGTAGAGACCGGGTTTCACCCTGTTAGCCAGGATGGTCTCAATCTCCTGACCTCATGATCTGCCCGTCTCGGCCTCCCAAAGTGCTGGGATTACAGGCGTGAGCCACCGCGCCCGGCCAATTACATGTTATAATGGTAACTTTTAGCAATTTTTAACTTTAATGTAAAACCTGTTTTTTTTTTATTTTCATTTTTTTGTCAATCACTTGAAACTAAAAACACTGACTCATTTTGTAATTTGGGGGAAGTAGCTCTCAAATATAATGCATTTTTTTTTCAATCCTAAATACGTGGGTAAAATCGGAAGGGGAGTGCTTAGGTAGAAATAAGTAACTACTGAACTGGTGGGAGCAAAGTTCAGCTGGGCAATACTTTTTTTTTGAGACGGAGTCCTGCTCTATCGCCCAGGCTGGAGTGCAGTGAGCGATCTTGGCTCACTGCAACCTCCACCTCCTGGGTTCAAGCAATTCCCTGCCTCAGCCTCCTGAGTAGCTGGGATTACAGGCGCCCACCACCATGCCTGGCTAATTTTTGTATTTTTAGTAGAGACGGGGGTTTCACCATCTTGGCCAGGCCGCTCTTGAACTCCTGACCTCGTGATCCACTCGCCTCGGCCTCCCAAAAGGCTGGGATTACAGGCGTGAGCCACTGCGCCCGGCCATTGGGCAGTACTCTTTATGACACTGACAAGTGAAGTCTTATTAGTTCCAAAAGTGCTGACTATTTTTGTAGTCACAGAGTAGTTGAAAGGCAAGGCTTACCCAGCTCCTGGCTCCCACATGAACATTATTTATTCAGTATGCCATATTTTCTTTTTTTTCTTTTCTTTTTTTTGAGACGGAGTCTTGCCCTGTCGCCCAGGCTGGAGTGCAGTGGCACAATCGCAGCTCACTGAAACCTCCGCCTTCTGAGTTCAAGCGATTCTGCTGCCTCAGCCTCCCAAGTAGCCAGGATTACAGGAGCCCGCCACTACACCCGGCTAATTTTTTGTATCTTTAGTAGAGGCAGGGTTTCACCAGGTTGGCCAGGCTGGTCTCTGACTCCTGACCCGTGATCCGCCCGCCTCTGCCTCCCAAAGTGCTGGGATTATAGGCATGAGTCACCGCACCTGGCCACCAGATTTTCTTAAGGAGCACTAGACACTCAAAATATTTTTACTGGTAGGAAATGAGATTTTCTAGATGTCTAAATTAACTGCCAGTTCTGGTTTATCTTAGGGACATGCTCATTCAAACAGTATTATCGCTCAGTTTAAATCCTAACTTTTGTTCCCTTATGATCTTGTTAAAGTGATGAATATGTTTTGTACAATGAAGACTTTCTTTTGCTTTTTTAGGCTAGAGCTTCAGCATGAGAATTATGCTTTGACACAGAAAATCAGGTCTAAAAAAATATAATAAAGCATTCTGTAAAGAAGGAGGCTCTACCTTACAACCCAAAGAGAAAAATGTGTGGCACTAAGGCCTGGTTCCTTCTTCCCTCATTGTTTTGTCATTTTTTCCCCCGACTTTGGGAACTAAAATCTCTTTGCTTAAATGCTGAATTCATAAATCGAAACAGACTCTTGGGTTTTGTTTTAAAGGCAAAGTAATAATACTTCTATGTATTTTATAGGGTTATATAGTATAATAACTCGAATCCATGGTTGGATCTGACTGAACCTACATAGATACTAATCCGAATGACTCATATATAGAAAATGTGCAATATTCTAAGTATAAAAAAATTAAACGGGAGTAGTTTGCTTTGTTTTACCGTATAAATGAAAATAACCTAGATGGTAAACTATTCAATTATCTGAGCAGAAATTATGAATGGAAGGTGTATTCCAGAGCTACATGACGGAGGGACATTTCAACTTGAACTCCCCAGTGGCAAAAGCAGTCTATAAACTAATGCTAGTATATGCACTACTAAAGTGCCAAGTTATGTAACATTTCCTAATCTAATTTTAAAAATGAAAGATTTTCTTTTTTCTTTTTTTTTTTTTTTTCACTGTGGAGGGCAATAACACTAAAATCTTCCCCATGGGTACAAGTGAATGATTTAGTTAGTACATTGACATGCTGAACTATTAGTGTTTCTGGGAAGCTGGATTTGATATAAACTTATTTTGAAAAACACGATTTATGAAATTTTATAATAAAATTATCAATAAAGACATTACATTTCCATAAACATTAAATGTGAATATCTGTTGTCATGATTTTAAATGTCAAAGAAAAACTTTTAAAAATTAATATAGTGGCCAGGCGTGATGGCTCACGCCTGTAAGCCCAGCACTTTGGGAGGCCGAGGTGGGCGGATCATGAGGTCAAGAAATCGAGACCATCCTGGCCAGCATGGTGAAACCCCGTCTCTATTAAAAATACAAAAATTAGCTGGGTGTGGTGGCGCATGCCTGTAGTCTCAGCTACCTGGGAGGCTGAAGCAGGAGAATTGCTTGAACCTGGGAGGCAGAGGTTGCAGTGAGCCGAGATTGTGCCACTGCACTCCAGCCTGGCGACAGAGCGAGACTCCGTCTCTAAATAAATAAACACATAAATAAATATTAATATAGTGATAATATACATGTCCTGTGTTTGCTATTAAATTTAAGGCCAAGAACAATGCCCAGATTGATCCCTTAAGTAATTAATTTTTGAACTGCAATACAGTTTAGTGTGTCTTTGGAAAACAATGTTAGAGCTGAAGAACATACCTAAGAATTAAAACTTAAACCATAAATAGTACTGGTATATCTAAGCACAGCTAACTGGGACATCTAGCAAAAGCACACACACATAATAAAACCCCACAATTTTGCTTCAATAGAAGAATAAAGTAAAATGGCAATATACACAGTATTACTTTGCTTAACATTTTCCTTAAAAATATTTGATTTAAGTGCTTATTTTTCTTGGGCCAGTTAATTAATTAGAGCTCTTTTTAATAGACATTGCACACATAAACACATATATAGCCACACAGACAACCAGCAGAAGATCCAGTAGTTATAAGATTTACATTTGCTAATTTCCTAATGGGATTATTGGCCTCCGGATGAGGCTCTTTAAGAACAGGGCTAGGAAAACAATTTTCAGGGCCTAATAAACAAGCATAGCTGGAAGACAAAGACAGATTTTGAGAGGTACTTATTCACCTTTAATTCCAGTGGCTCCATAAGGACAACAGAGATTTTTCCCAAAATGGGATTTGTGGAGCCTTTTCTGTTTTCCAAGGGAGTCCCAGGAGGGGTGGGGTTTAAAGTAGAAGAAAGCCTGAATATGGAGAACCTCTTGCCATTTGCCGTTTCTGGTGATAAAGTTGTTAAGGTCCCTGATAATTTGAAAGTTAAAGGTGCCGTATTTGGGCCATCGGCTGTTATTATCTAGTCTGTGTTGGGGCCAAGCCATGTTGCAGCAGAAAATTAAACACTTTGGCTTTAGGTTTCCACGTAAGCCAAGTCTGGAGAGGTTGCGAAGATGACAGTTCAGTGGGGAGGATGTAGGAATGTGGGATTGTTTGGCACCCATACGGACTGGTAAAAGGAAGCCAAGGGTGGTCTTTTTTCTAGGTGTCCCCAGACAAAAGACAGAGACCCAGAACCCTCTTTCTGAAAGAGGCCAGTTAAGCTGAGAAGGAACTGGGCATCCCCAAGATTTTCTCTAGCTTAGTCCCATTGGTCCTCCAAGGACCTGGATGGCAGGCCGGACTTTCTCTGGTACCAGGAGGAAGCCAGGAGAAGGCAGATCTTACCAGCTGGCTGAGTTCGTGTCCGATATTGGATATTCCAGTTGGAATTGGCAAAGGGCCTCCCAGACTGGAGCCATGTGAGGAAGAGAGAGAGAGAGAAAGAGAGAGAGAGAGGAAGAGGGGAGCAAGGGTTAGGGAGTGAATACCCGTTGCCGGTGGTTGGAGGTGGATTCTGAGACCTAAGGGTTTTGAGAGCCCTGGCCTTAGCCTAGCAGTCCCCTTCAGGTTAGTAGTCCTCACACAAATCGCTTGAAAAGTGAAGTGAGAGAAAAGACAGGGGCAGGTGGCCAGATACCCTCAGGATCCAGGAGTTAACTCAGGATGAGCTGCCATTGCTCACTGCTTCCTGGGTTGCAAGAGAGCCTCTGCCCCCAACACCTGCCCTTGGTTTCAGCACCAAATGTAAGAATTAAAGAAAGGGGAGAGAAACACGAAGGGTGGCTTGACAGTCAACAGGTTTATTTCAAACCTGGGAGAGACTTCTGACCAAGTTAGGTCAGAAGCCGCACTCTCTCTTTTTTTTTTTTTTTTTTTTGAGACGGAGTCTCGCTCTGTCGCCCAGGCTGGAGTGCAGTGGCGCGATCTCGGCTCACTGCAAGCTCCGCCTCCCGGGGTTCACGCCATTCTCCTGCCTCAGCCTCCTGAGTAGCTGGGACTACAGGTGCCCACCACCACGCCTGGCTAATTTTTTATATTTTTAGTAGAGACGGGGTTTCACCATGTTAGCCAGGATGGTCTCGATCTCCTGACCTCGTGATCCGCCAGCCTCGGCCTCCCAAAGTGCTGGGATTACAGGCGTGAGCCACCACGCCCGGCCAGAAGCCGCACTCTCTTACAGACTAAGAGTTTTTAAGAATTCAGGGTAGGAGAGTTTATCAGAGGGTTCGACTGCTTCTGTGTCTCTTTGTTGTGCTTATCTGGGAGGGAGAGCTGTGTGTCTGTTCCCTTACATCTTTCTGCAGCTGCAGGCATATCCCCCGAGTCTGCTTTTAGCTTTTCTATCTTAGTGCCCCTGAAGGGAAAGGAATGTGCTTGCTTATTAAGGCCCATTGTTTTACTGGTCCCCATTGTATGATGGTGAAGTTTGGCAGTTACCCAAGAGACTTTCCCCTCACCTCCCTCTGTGCCCGAGCTGTCTTATCTGTGTTTTACTGTCTGCTCTTTCTGTCTGCTTTAGTTAGAAGAGAAGTGATTTCCTTGAAATGCGTGAGGCTAGAAAGGGAGCTGGAACTTAAAGTGGCGGTGTTTGTCCCAGATGACGGTGCTCCTGCTCTATCACCTATAGCACTAAATTCAGCACCTAAAGAGACCAAAAAAAATGAGGATAGGAACTGCCCAAACACCCCTTGGAATCCTGAGGAAGAATAAATCATTGTTTTAAGTCGCTAATTTTGGGGGACAGTTTATTATGCACAATAGACAACTGATACATTCCCCTTTTACCTTTGTTCGTAATTCAAGTCTCATAGAAGTATATCTGATTGAGGAATATGTAATTACATCCAAAATCACAGTTACCATGAAATCCATGAAGTGCTTTGAGTTTTCCAACCTCTGAAGCATTGGAGGGGCATTAAAATAGACCATGAAGGAAATACATGAACTATATACTAATTTGAAAACCTAGGTAAGATAGATCTTTAAGCAAGCTGGTCTACATACTAGAAGAAGAGGGGGAAAAGTCCAACTCACAAAATGAGGCTAGCATAACCTTTACTCCAGAATCAGAGAGAGGAAATAGAACAAGAAAAGCAGAGTCATTATGATTTTAAAACACATATGTGAATTTCACTAACTAAACCCAACATTTTATTAAAAATGGCATCATCATTAAGTAGGGCTTTTCTCAAAAACTCAATGGCATGAATTTATGGCAGTGAGCCAAACTATCAATGTAATTCACACATTAATAGAAGAAAAAAGAAATATAATGTTAATATATGCAGAAAAAGCAACTGATGAAGCTGAACCCTGATTATAACAAAAATTATCAGAATAGAGGGAAATGTTCTTATTTGATAGAAGTTGCATAAAAAACCCTACAGCAAACATTAATGGAGAAACTTTAGGCACATCCCCTTTAAGACTGGAAATATTACAAAGATGCCCATTGTTACCACATACAAATATGATCATTTTCTTTGTATACCATGATGTGAAAAAAATTGCAATCACTGGTGTAAAGTATCTAAGACTTAACCTAGCAATGAATGCACGAGATCTTTATGAAGACAACAAAAGAGGCTCTATATAAATGTAGGAATATAACTCATTTATGGTACTGCCAGTGTAATATTTTAAGATGTCAGTACTCCCTACATTTACAAATTCATTGCAATCCCAATGAAAATTCCAGAGAGTTGTTTGAGAACATTGAAAAACATATTCTAAAATTTATATAGAGGAATAAAAAATGCTAAATCACAAATCCACAAATAGCTAAATCAATTTTGAAATGATTCTGAAATCTAGGAAAAACATATAAAACAATGCAACAGAATAAGAAATGTAGAAATAGATGCATGTGTATATGGGAAGTGGATATTTGATAAGAATGGTCCCAAATACCAGTGGAGAAAGTATATAATTGAGACAATTGAGGCATGTAGAAAATGTGAACAAAATTATAGGGCTAATAGATGAAAGTGTTGGAGAATATCTTTGTGACCTTTGGGTCACAAAAGGCAGAATGTCAGTAACCATTTGGCAAAAAAATTGATCAAATTTGACTACAAGAAAAGTAAGCATTTTGGTTTAATAGGGACACCTGAGGTCAGGTGCCTGATAAAAGATATTTACAAGGAACTCAAGTCAATACAGAATTAATATCAAAATTTGACCAAGAACTTTTACAAATGAGAAAAAATAGAAATACAGCAGAATTTTGGCAAAAGCTAATCCAACAGCATTTTGGCAAAAACTTTAATAGGCAATTCATAGAAGGGAAACATCTGAAAGGCTAGCAGTATATAAAAGTCATTTATGGGCAGGCACGGTGGCTCACACTTGTAATTCCAGTACTTTGGGAGGCCGAGGTGGGTGGATCACCTGAGGTCAGGAGTTTGAGACCAGCCTGGCCAACATGGTGAAACCCCATCTCTACTAAAAGTGCAAAAATTAGCCAGACATGGTGGCATGTGCCTGTAATCCCAGCTACTCTGGAGGCTGAGGCAGGAGAATCACTTGAACAGGGGAGGTGGAAGTTGCAGTGAGCCAAGACCATGCCACTGCACTCCAGCCTGGGCAACAGAGTGAGACTCCATCAAAAAAAAAAAAAAACTCATTTGTAATCAGAGAAAGACAAATTAAGACAACTATGAACTTCTTTACATCTATCAGAGTGGCAAAAATTAGAAAGTCAGATATTATCAAGTGTTGGTGAGAACAGCAGGGTACAGGAACCGTCATGTCAGAGGACAAGCTGATACATGCTTTCTGGAAGCAATCTGGCTATGCTTAGTGAAATTAAGTATGCATATTCCCTAGTACATAGCAACACCACTTGTGGTTCCATATTCCAGAAAGTAATTCACATAAATTTGTAAGGTTTATGTATCTATAGCTATGTAACCCTATCATTATGTGTCTCTCTATATAGCAAAATGATTTGACCTAGAAAGTCTTAAGCAAAAAAGTGAAAAATAGATTGAAATTTATAATTTAATACCATTTACATAAATAAAAGCAAACAGAATTTTTTTCACATAGAAAATATATGAAAAATAACATTATGTATTTACAGTTGTGATAAGGCCCATTAACAAATTAATTCTGCATCATCTGTATGACATCTTAATTGTAGAGACAAGGATTTTTTTTTTTTTTGGTTCCCATTAGTACTCCTTTAGCTGTGGGCCAAAGAAATGAACGAGTCACACTTAACATGTCAAATAAGCCTGGTGTGGTGGCTCAAACCTGTAATCCCAGTACTGTGAGAGGCTGAGGTGGGCGGATGGCTCAAGCCCAGGAGTCTGAGACTAGCTTGAGCAACATGGTGAAACCCTGTCTCTACTAAAAATACAAAAAAATTAGCCAGTGGGGTGGCTCATGCCTACAGTCCCAGCTACTCAGGAGGCTGAGGTGGGAGGATCACTTGAACCCGGGAAGTCGGGGCTGCAGTGAGCCGAGATCATGCCACTGCCCCCTAGCCTGGGCAACAGAGTAAGACCCTGCCTCAAAAAACAGAAACAAAACAAAACAAAAAAGGTCAAATGAAAACCAAAGGTTAAACTAATACACCATATGAAGGCTTTGAATTGTTAGAATCAAGTAGTAAAGGATTTAATATATCAAAGCGCCCATGGTTTTTAAGTGATCTTGACCTCAAAATGAGCCTCTCTCTTTAAGGGTCTTTATCATATTCATGCAGTCATGATTGATTTCAGTAAAACATCATCCATCCTATGTAATTCAACTTAATTTGTTTAGTTTGTTTTGAATTAAATTTTTATTGTTTTTAATTAAGGGACATATGCCTGATTAATTCTATTTCTGTATGTAAGTAACATAATAAAAATATCCAGCATAAAAATGTGAAGTTAACCCTGGGGATCTGAGAGATTTATATTCATTTAAAAGTACACACTTCTCAAGTTTGAAAATCTCCACAAGAATGTGCAGTACACCTCTTTGACTCTGGTGTGTGACATAGCACCTGGGACAGCATTCAAATTATAGTCTCTGTGGATAGTGTAGGCAGCACACAGCTTGCTGGGCTGTATGCAGAGGTGCTGACAGCATGTGATGGAACCTCACGCAACCAACTTCAAAAGGGAAACATTTCATTTAAAGTCCTAATAATCGCAGATTTATTTGGGTGACAAAGTGAAGTTTTAGATGAATGCAAACATTCTAGGTTGAGGAGCTGACCCCTTGGGATGACTTCATTTAATTAGATTATTTTCCTAATAGTCCACAGCTGAAATATATTGCCCTGTGGGAAGAGGTTCTGATTTGCCGGTGGAAATGAGGAGGTGGTAATTTTTGATGGTGGGACACTTGGAGGCAATGGACAGGCAGAGTAGGATGTGGGCAGGAAGAGGTCCCTAAGTTATGCCCAGAAGAAGTATTAAACTTTTGGACAGCTGAGAAAATGAAGAAGGACAGTGCTGAAAACAAACTTCGTTTAAGAAAAAAATTGCCTTTAACTGTCTTCACTTTCTCTTTATTCAATAGCCTTGTCTCCGCAGAACTTAGAGAGTACTGTTTTCTAATTCATTATTCTTGTGGACTAAAATCAAGGGTCCTTAACCTGTGATCCAAGGATCCCTTAAGGAGTTCATGGATAGAATCCAAGGAATCCATAACTTTGGATGGAAAAACATTTCCTGTAACTGAAGTTTAGCATTTTCTTCAATTGTGAATGTTGGGAACAAAATGCAGTAGTATTAGTTATATTATTACAGCTTTTGCAAAAATCCTGTGATATAATTCTCACTCCTCACTACTTCAGAATTATAGTAGTTACTAGACTTTTTGATAGCTCTTCTTATTTAATCTGTTCAAGAAGAATATATAATACTATGTCACACATATGGTTTAAAAAATCTTTTTTTCTTTTCTTTTGAGATGGAGTCTCATTTGTCACCCAGGCTGGAGAGCAGTGGTGCAATCTTGGCTCACTGCAACCTCTGCCTCCTGGGTTCAAGCGATTTTCCTGCTTCATCCTCCCAAGTAGCTGGGATTACAGGTGCACACCACCACGCCTAGCTAATTTTTTTGTATTTTTAGTAGAGATGGGGTTTTGCCATGTTGCCCAGGCTGGTCTCGAACTCCTGAGCTCAGGCAATCCACCCACCTCAGCCTCCCAAAGTGCTAGGATTACCGGCGTGAGCCACTGTGTCCAGCCTTGGTTTTTAAATATTTTGATAATTTTTGCCATAGACTGAATCATATCCTCCCAAATCCATATGTTGGTGTTCTAAACCCCAATGTGACTGTGTTTGGAGATAGGGCTTTTAAAGGTAATTAAGGTTAAATGAGGTCATAAGAGACCTTAATCCAATAGGATTAGTGGTTTTCTAAGAAAAGGATCTCCTCATTTCCCACCCCTTTTCCTTCTCTGCACTAGAAGCACTAAAGAAAGGCCATGTGAACACACAGCATGAAGGTGGCCTTCTGCAAGCCAGAGGCCTCACCAGGAACTAACTCTGTCAGCACCTTGATCTTAGATTCCCAGCTTCCAGCAGCATGAGAAAATAAATTTCTGTTGTTTAAGCCACCCAGTCTAAAGTATTTTGTTATGGCAGCCCAAGCTGCCATACAAGTGCATTTTCATACAATTGGTTTTGTTTTGAATATGCATTTTATTTTACATATTTAAAATACTGGTCTGAGAAGGGGTTCGTAGGCTTCAACAGACTGCCGGAGGAATGCATGGCATAGAAGTGGACAAGAACCCCTGGGCTCACTGGGTTCTCTGGGTGAGGCTGCTGTTTTCCTTGCTTTCATCTACTTTGGAGGCTGGAAATGAAACCACTCAACTCCCCAGCCTCTCTTGCAGTTAAAAACAGACTTGTGTCTGAGCTCTGGTCAGTGAGGGATAAGAGAGGCCTGATGAGATGTTCCATAGGAGGAATTTCCTTCTGGAATAGAATGAAAAAGTCTTTTGAGCATAGACATTTTTGCCTTTCTTTGCCTGTTTTTCTGCCTGGATCATGATGCAGTGTTTAGATGTGGAACAACAATTTTGCAATTCTGAGAGTTGCATGTCAAACACAGCAGCCTTGACAGCATGCTGGAGCTGATGCATCGGTCTTGGCTGACCACTTCTGGGTGTTCTGTCACATGAGGAAACTCAACACATTTGGCCAAGCCTCTGTAATTCTGTGTCTGTTATTTGAAGCTGAGAGTAATGCTAACTGATAATCCTAGCAAATTAAGACTCATGTCTAGCAGTGTTTCTCAGACTGGGATCCCTGGACACCCAGAGTCCATGAATGTGTTCTTGAGAATTTGAGAGCTCTCAAAGCATTCTTTCAGTGTTGCATGCTCATGTTGATGATAATCCAAAATATATACATAGAAATAAGAAAGAAAAAATAATATATACATATATACACATAGATTTGTCTGTTATAAACCCTAAAGTCTCTTAGTCTTATTTTATTTATTTATTTTTTTTTTGAGACAGAGTCTCGCTCTGTCACCCAGGCTGGAGTGCAATGGCAGGATCTCGGCTCACTGCAGCCTCCACCTCCTGGGCTCAAGTGATTCTCATGCCTCAGCCTCCTGAATAGCTGGGATTACAGGTGCATGCCACCATGCCCAACTAATTTTTTTGTATTTTTGGTAGAAACGGGTTTTCACCATGTTGGCCAGGCTGGTCTCGAACTCCTGATCTCAAGTGATCTACCCAAACAAAAGTGATCTACCCTACCAAAACAAAAGGGCCTTGGCCTCCCAAAATCCTGGGATTATAGGCGTGAGCCATGATGCCTGGCTAGCCTCTTAGTCTTAATAGGTGATATTTGCACTTATGAGACATTTTTATAGACTAAGACTTTAAGTCTGTGTTTTTCAAGTTGGATCTATTGTAGGGATGTGGGCATGCATTTATAGGCATCTTTGAGAAATTATTTTCATCCTAATAGTAGGGTCCCTATTTACTGAGTTGTAGAAAAACTGATTCATAACAAAATACCTGGGAAAAATTCAGTTTGAGTTCCAAACTAACAATTTAGAAATGAACTTCCAGAAAGCAATCCCATTCATCAATCAAGGACAGCTGTGGCAGAGTTAAGAGCATGGGTTTTGAAGTCCACAGATCTGGACCCAAGTGCTGACTTATGAGCACTTACTGGCTTGGTGGCCCTTGACATATTCTGGAAGTTTACGGACCTTCAGCGTCGTCATGTGGGATAATTGTCTTTACTTTACAGAGTTGTTGTAGCAATTAAGTGAAGTGATGAGTATCAAGCGCTTCACAGAGTACAGTACACAACAGGCATACGATAAATGCTGATTACCGTTCTGTTCTTTTGTTCTGTTTTGTTTTGTTTAGTTTTTGAGATGGAGTTTCACTCTTCTTGCCCAGGCTGGAGTGCAATGGTGCAATCTCGGCTCACCGCAACCTCTGCCTCTCAGGTTCAAGCAATTCTCCTGCCTCAGCCTCCCGACTAGCTGGGATTACAGGTATGTGCCACCACGCCCAGCTAATTTTGTATTTTTAGTAGAGATGGGATTTTTCCATGTTGGTAAGGCTGATGTTGAACTCCCAACCTCAGGTGATGCTGCCCTCCTTGGCCTTCCAAAGTGCTGGGATTATAGGCGTGAGCCACTGCGCCCGGCACGATTCCATTTTGATATCAAATACCTAGTGAAGAATCACTCAGATTACAATTGCTTTTTTTTTTTTTTTTTTTTTGAGATGGAGTCTCGCACTGTTGCCTGGGCTGGAGTGCAATGGTGGGATCTCAGCTCACTGCAACCTCCACCTCCCAGGTTCAATCAATTCTCCTGCCTCAGCCTCCCGAGTAACTGGGATTACAGGCACCTGCCACCACGCCCAGCTAATTTTTTGTATTTTTAGTAGACACAGGGTTTCACTATGTTGGCCAGGCTGGTCTCGAACACCTGGCCTCGTGATCCGCCTGCCTCAGCCTCCCAAAGTGCTAGGATTACAGGCATGAGCCACCGCGCTCGGTCTACAATCACGTTTTATTATTGGCTCGTCTAGTCATGGGATAGAGAAGGTAAATAGCAAAATAGAAAGAAAAGGGGGAAAAGGTAGAAGGCAAGGGGAAAACTATTGGTTTTAGATCTTTATCCTGGTCCTGTCAATGATCAGGTAATTGGAAGGATCAAAATTAGGCCAAACTTGGTAATTGGGCCAAAATTGAACCAAAGTTTGTGTCAAGAAGACCTGGGGCAGAGATATGTGACTAAATCATTTGGAATATGCCCAGACCCCAAGAATATTTATGCCCAACTTGAATGCTAACCAGAAGTCCCTTACTGTAGAAGATTGTAAGGTTGCTATTTTTTTGCCCCGACACCAAAATATTGATGTATTTTCCAACACCAATTCTCCAATTCTCTGACACCAACTCGATGTTCAACAATTCAGTTATATTCTGTCACTAATTCCTGCAGCTATCAGCAGGCCCCACAGGTAAAGGATTCAGTCTCACAAGATTGCCCCCCCACCCACTTCAGTTGCCAGCTACAATGGGGTGCTCAGACCATCCACACTTCTGCCTAGCTGACTGCAGATTTAGGGATTCCCATGACTCTTTTCTCAGTTTTGGTAATTTGCTAAAACTGCTCACAAAACTCAGGTAGACATTTTACTTAACATTTCCCAGTTTATTATAAAGGCTACAACTCAGAGACAGACAAATGAAAGCAATGCATAGAGCAGGGTATGTCGAGTAGTTGGTGGCACAGAACTTCCAGGCCCTCTCTAGGCATACCACCCTCGCGGCACCTCCGTGTGTTCACTGACCCCGAAACTCATTGCATACCATTCAGGAGGCTTTATAACCCATTTCCAGGCCCCTTCCATCCGTGGGAGGCCAGTGGGTGAGGCTAAGAGTTCCCACCCTCTTTAGTCTTTCTAGTGACCAGAGGCTAGTTAGAACCACCCTAAGTCACTGCAGTAACATAAACTCAGGTGTAGTACTAGATATGGTGGAAGATGGCATGTTATGAGTAAAAGCAGAAACTCCCCTCACTCAGGAAATTCCCAGGGTTTTAGGAGCCCTGTGCCAGGAATAGAGTACAAAAATCAAATAGGTTTGTGTATATCACAGAAATATTCCAGGTAAACTGGATGACTGTTTAGTCCATTTGTGCTGCTGGAATACAATACCCGAGACGGGGTAATCCATAAAGAATAGACATTTATTTCTCACAGTTTTGGAGGCTGTCTGATGGGGGCCTGGTCTCCGCTTACAAGATGGCACCTTGAACACTGCATCCTACAGAGGGAGGAACAGTTTTCTTCACATGGCCAAAGAATTGTTGGGGGTGGGGACCAAACTGGCCTTTGTATAATGAACCCACTCCCACAATAATGGTATTAACTCATTCACAAGGGCAGAGTCCTCTTGGCCCAATCACCACATAAAGGGGCTACCTCTTGGCTGGGCGAGGTGGCTCACGCCTGTAATCCCAGCAATTTGGGAGGCCAAGGTGGGCAGATCACGAGGTCAGGAGATTGAGACCATCCTGGCTAACACAGTGAAACCCCGTCTCTGCTAAAAATAGCAAAAAAAAAAAAAAAAAAGCCAGGCGTGGTGGCAGGCACGTGTAGTCCCAGCTACCTGGGAGGCTGAGGCAGGAGAATGGCGTAAACCTGGGAGGCGGAGCTTGCAGTGAGCCGAGATTGCGCCACTGCACTCCAGCCTGGGCGACAGAGCGAGACTCCGTCTCAAAAAAAAAACAAAAAACAAAACAACAACAAGAAAAGGGCCACCTTTTAATACTATTACAATGGCAGTAAGTTTCCAACACATAGGCTTGCAGGGAACACATTCAAACCATTGCAATGACCAAATTATAAGAAGATTCTTCTGCTTTCTTGGACTCAAAAACATGGACATTTATTTATAAATCACACCTGGCCATCACCGAGTCCCCAGTTTGCCAACAAGATAATTCAATCTGTAGCCCCCAACTTGGCATCACATCTCACCTCAGGATGCACTTGTGAGATGTTGTGTTGGGTTGTGCTCCACTGGGGAGCAGGGGGGTGCTCAATCTGAAGGCTCACAAGCAATGCACAACCATGTTTGGTTAGAAACCTCTTGGGAATATTTGTATGGAAAGAAGGTTCTAGATGTGTTTTGGCAAGGCAAGGGTTTTCCCAACTTCAGTCTTCACCCTGTGAGATTCTCGGGCTGCCAGTCCAGGGGTCTTTGTTCCTGGACCACAGGAGGTGATAATGCAAATTAGAATAAGAACAGCTGTTTGGTTTTTTTTGCAGGAAAGTGAATCTTGAGTAGAGACACCCAGAGATGGAAGGCAGATAGAATCACAGCAACCTTAGGTGACAGTATAAGAATTCTCGTTCCTGAGAATTTTGGGTTTCTGTGGCTCTCTCCCCTTGGCTTGATTGTTCAGATTGACCAACAATTTCATGAGTTACTTACTACTGCTCCAGTGAGTTTCTTTTGTGCTCCAGTTAGGCCAAGGTTAATACCTGCACCAAATAACCATAATTGATACTTTTTTCTGTTGTATTGAAGTTAATCATTTATATGTTAGTCTTAACATATAAGGTTGTGTATATCCTGAGGGCAAGATCAGGTCCTGTTCCTTTTTGTCTCTCCAGGGCCTGCACAATGCTTGGCTTGTAGAAGGTACTGAATAGCTCCTAATTGTATTAATGGATACGATTTTTCTTTGTCTGATCTTTGGCAAATTCATTTGTCTATTACTTAAGTGGATATCTCTGTCCCCACCTACACTTTTCCTTCTGGTGCTACTTGGGATCTTAAATAGCCACAGAAAACCAAGTGAGAAGAGTGAGTGTGCTCTGAGGATGGTTTTGAGGGACTCTTATGAGGATTATAGTAAAATAATTTTATGTTATTTATTCTCACTATCCAGATACCTTTTACTCTAAATTTCTGCCAGCATGCTGATTTGTTGAGATTTGCAACACTAGAATTTTCCAGCAGAGCAGAGTATTGCTAGAACTTGTATCTCAAGCTTCTCTAGAACTGGCAACCTCCTTGGAGTGGCTCTTGAAGGCAATGCCCTTTTCCCAGGTAGTGGCAATGGGAAATCACTTTTCTGAGTGTCGTGGACACAGGTGGGAAGCCTTCGATTTCAGCCTAGGGTCATCTCTTCTATTCCAGGAAATGTTGGCTGTTTTCCACTTAAACTTGTTCATGCTTTTCAGGTCCCAGCTGTAGTCTTCAGAGATATTTGAAAATTAGCTGGTCTAAAACATGATTCTGGCAACCAGTGAAATGATAAAGTAGAAACTATTTATAAAAACAATACTTAAATTACGTATTTCAAATATGTAAATTTATTTGCTCTTTTAAATTTTATTTGTCCTTAGTGCTTTTTAATCCAAATCCATTTTAAACTCCACTGTTATATTCCAACTTATGTAGCATTATTCTGTGCTGTAGTTACACATAATAAATTAGTTACTGTCAGTTTACTTCATTATGCTTTAGTGGTTTACTCTTTCTGAGAATTCAATGAAGGTTTACTTTCTAACAATACCTACTAAAATATTACCAAAGTGAAGAGTATCACCAAGGAGTAAGGAATAACAGAGCCACAGGCAGCTCCAAGTCCCGCTTGTAGAGCTCCAGTCTCGGAACGTGGGATTGCCAGACCTGCCAAGTGGCCCCTTCTGCGTCAGAGAAAAGCAGGCTCAAGGAAAAGGCAGACTTGAGGCCTAGCCTCTTAATGTCCATGTGAAAGCAAGAGGCCAGGTGAAGTTTTTGGAGAGGAGTGACTTGAGTACTATTTTATATGAAATGTTTACTCGGGAGACAGGTTTTTTTTCCCACGAGATGAGGTGAGGAAGGCGCTTTTGTATGAACTGAATTTCAAATCCTCAGGGCTCATGGATATTTTTCCATGGAAAAGGAGGTTGAGAAGGGAGTTCCCCATGGGTGCTACCAGGATGAAAATTTGCCTAGATGTCTTTAGCTGGGGAGAGGGAGTCTGAGAGTTAGTTACGCCCTGTGTGTGTGTGTGTGTGTGTGTGTGTGTGTGTGTGTGTGTATGTATGTGATGGAGTCTCACTCTTTGTCCAGGCTGGAGTGCAGCAGCGCAATCTCAGCTCACTGCAACCTCTGCCTCCTGGGTTCAAGTGATTCTCCCGCCTCAGCTTCCCAAGTAGCTGAGATTACAGGTGCCTGCCACAACACCCAGCTAATTTTTGTACTTTTAGTAGAGACAGGGTTTTGCTATATTGGCCAGGCTGGTCTCAAACTCCTGATGTCAAGTGGTCCACCTGCCTTGGCCTCCCAAACTGCTGGTGTGTCCGGAATTGGTGGGTTCTTGGTCTCACTGACTTCAAGAATGAAGCTGTGGACCCTCGTGGTGAGTGTTACAGCTCTTAAGGTGGCACGTCTGGAGTTTGTTCCTTCTGATGTTCGGATGTGTTCGGAGTTTGTTCCTTCTGGTGGGTTCGTGGTCTCGCTGGCTCAGGAGTGAAGCTGCAGACCTTCCAGGTGAGTGTTAACAGCTCTTAAGGCGGCACGTCTGGAGTTGTTCGTTCCTCCCGGTGGGCTCGTGGTCTCGCTGGCTTCAGGAGTGAAGCTGCAGACCTTGGCGGTGAGTGTTACAGCTCATAAAAGCAGTGTGGACCCAAAGAGTGAGCAGTAGCAAGATTTATTGCAAAGAGCGAAAGAACAAAGCTTCCACAGTGTGGAAGGGGACCCAAGTGGTTTGCTACTGCTGGCTCCCGCAGCCTGCTTTTATTCTCTTATCTGGCCCCACCCACATCCTGCTGATTGGTAGAGCCCAGTGGTCTGTTTTGACAGGGCACTGATTGGTGCGTTTACAATCCCTGAGCTAGACACAAAGGTTCTCCACCTCCCCACCGGATTAGCTAGATATAGAGTGTGGACACAAAGGGTCTCCAAGGCCCCACCAGAGTAGCTAGATACAGAGTGTCGATTGGTGCGTTCACAAACCCTGAGCTAGACACAGGGTGCTGATTGGTGTGTTTACAAACCTTGAGCTAGGTACAGAGTGCCGATTGGTGTATTTACAATCCCTGAGCTAGACAAAAGGTTCGCCACGTCCCCACCAGACTCAACCCAGCTGGCTTCACCCACTGGATCGCGCACTGGGGCTGCAGGTGAAGCTGCCTGCCAGTCCTGCGCCCTGCGCCCGCTCTCCTCAGCCCTTGGGTGGTCGATGGGACTGGGTGCCGTGGAGCAGGGGGCGGCACTTATCGGGGAGACTCGGGCCCCACAGGAGCCCATGGAGGGGGTGGGAGGCTCAGGCATGGCGGGCTGCAGGTCCGGAGCCCTGCCCCGCGGGAAGGCAGCTAAGGCCCGGTGAGAAATCGAGCGCAGCGCCGGTGGGCTGGCACTGCTGGGGACGCAGTACACCCTCCGCAGCCGCTGGCCCGGGTGCTAAGCCCCTCATTGCCCAGGGCCGGCAGGGGCGGCCGGCAGCTGCGAGTGCAGGGCCCGCCAAGACCACGCCCACCCGGAACTCCAGCTGGCCTGTGGCGCGCAGCCCCAGTTCCCACCCGCGCCTCTCCCTCCACACCTCCCTGCAAGCTGAGGGAGCGGGCTCCGGCCTTGGCCAGCCCAGAAAGGGACTCCCACAGTGCAGCAGTGGGCTGAAGTGCTCCTCAAGTGCCGCCAAAGTGGGAGCCCAGGCAGAAGAGGCGCCCAGAGCGAGAGAGGGCTGTGAGGACTGCCAGCACACTGTCACCTCTCACTGGGATTACAGGCGTGAGCCACTGCGCCTGATCAGTTATGCTGTAAAGATTGAGAAAGTCTTGACCTGTTTCATACTGCTATAACAAAATACCTGACACTGGGAAATCTATAAAGAACAGAAATTTATTGCAGTTCTGGAGGCTGGGGCATCCAAGATCAAGGCACCAGCATCTGATGAGAGCCTTGCTGCGTTCTCACGTGGCAGAAGATAGAAGGGCAAAAGGGCAAAAACTCTCCTCACATTGCAGAAGAGCAGAATAGAGAGAACGCACTTCTGCAAGTCCTTTTTAGAACCACATTAATCTGTTCATGAGGGCAGAGCCCTCATGACCTAAGCACCTCCCATTTAGGCTTCACCCGTCAACACTGCTGCACTGGGATTAATTTTCCAACTCCTGAATTTTGGCGGACACATTCACACCATAGCAAACGATCATGAAGCCTCAACCCTAGTATGTGCCAGAACCACCCAAAGGATTTGTTACAAATGCAGGTTCCTGGGGACCGCCCCCGAGGGATTCTGATTTAACAGAACCTGAAAACCCGCATTCTTAATAAGCACCCCATGTGATTTCGGGTTGTGGATGTTCACTGGATCACACTTTGAGAAATGTCATGACTGTGACTTTAACAGACTTAAGGTTTGTCCTCAAGATTTTGTCTTGCAAACCTTTTGTTAGCCTTGGAATATAGTCAACAGCGATCGAGAAGGGAAATGAGGAGATCCACAGGTTCCCTCTCCAACATTAATGTCCATGTCAACTAGTAAAGCTTTGCATACTGCCCCTGAACTCTTTGCCCTGATGCTGGTTCTTCCTGATTTCTGAGGACAGATGGAAATCCTGACAAAAGTGAGAATGAGGACTGGAAACAGCAGATAGGATGATATGCATTCCTGGTCACTACTTGTTGTCCTCCACAGCCCTTGGCCTCAGTGCTAGCTGTCTTCCTGCCAACAGGATGATACAACCAACAAGTAGAAATGCTTGCGTGGCCTCTAATGAATTTTCAACAACATGATACAGATCAAAAGCTCTTCTGTACACTGATCATGTGGGTGAGTTCAGATTACACGTGGTTGCATTTTAATTCACTAAATTGAAAATTACATTTTATCTTTTGAAATATTTGTTCCCTTCAGTGAGTCATTCTAATAAATGTAACCTGAAGGCCAACCGATCCTTTCCTAATTTAGACGACTTAGAAGGTTTAGCCAATGTTGTTAATGTACTTCTTTTGAGGCAGTGTTCCCTCCAAGTTCAAGGAGAAATGAAGAAAAATATATCTTTTGAAAATAAGGTCTGGGGCGCCGTGGCTCATGACTATAATCCCAGCACTTCAGGAGGTTGAGGTGAGAGGATAGTTTGAACTCAGAAGGTCAAAACCAGCCTGAGCAACATGGTGAAATCTTGTCTCTAATTAAAAAAAAAATTAGCCAGGCATGGTAGCATGCACCTGTAGTCTCAGCAACTTGGGAGGCTGAGGCGGGACAATCACTTGAGCTCAGGAGGTTGAGGCTGCAGTGAGCTATGATCATGCCACTGCACTCCAGCCTGAGCAACAGAGTGAGACTCTGTCTTAAAATAAAAAAATAAGAAAAAGAAAAGAAAACATAACACATTTTTTTAAAATCAGGAAGATGTAATGTAAAAGAAACACATCAATAAACTTATTTTAGGAATCAAAGTGACTTCAAGTGGGAAGTCTCTAACCCTACCAGCAATGAGTCATGTGTGCCATGTTTGTACCAGATTATTTCTTCAATGACATTTAAAATTAAAAGCATTACCTGTGAATACAATATGATCCTTTTTCTTTTTTTTTACAATATGCTTCATATATATTTTAAGTGCTAAGACAAATACAAATGTATATGCCAAGAAAAGTCAACTCTGCTAAAATAAATAATATTTTTTATAGAATGCTAAAGGATAATCTGCAAATTAAATTTTGTTATTCAGAGGAAGCTTTTATATTTTAAAAAAGTCATTTATTTTTCAAAATCATCCCAGAAAGCAATTCTAGATAACATATAAGGTGACCAGCCATTCTAGATTTGTCTGAGGGTAAAGGATTTCCTAGGATGGTGGCTTTTAATGGTAAAACAGTGACAGTCCCGGGCAAAATGAGCCAGTTTTTCACTCTACACTCAAATAAGAGCTGGGGTTGGAGGGTAGATGGGTGTAGGGCTCCCAATTCTTTTGCCTGTGGGCATCTGTAGCTTTCCCCGTGACTCACACCAGGAGCCTGTTATGGGGAAAACACTGTGTGTAAGACAGACCAGGGCTTGTCCACACTGAGCTTCCAGCTTCCCTTCCACTGGGTGGGTCAGATTCAACACGTAAGCAAATAGGATGATTTTGGGTGGAGATAAGTGGTGGGAAGAAAACCAAGCCTGATGATGTGACCAATTAACAGATGGGTGGGTGGGTGGGCATTGGTTCAGAGCAGGTGTCCAGAAAAGGCCCCACTGAGGAGTGGCCTTTGCCCTAACATTTGTATAACGGGAAGGGGACAGTAAGGAAAAGCAGAGCAGGAGACACGGCAGGAGCTAGGCCACCGAGGATCCATGGGGTTTGGTGAAGTATCTGGATTTTATTTTAGATACAACAGGAAACCATTGAGGCCTGCTAAGCAGGAGGGTAATCTGATGTGGTTTGTGTTTTAATATGCAGTGGTGACTGGTTTGCATTCCTCATATGGCTTAATTGTATGGCTAAGATACACAGACAGTTTCAAAACACACAACCTTTCCTGTGACATGCCCACAGTAACCCACAGAAAATGCATGTCCTTAAAAGTGAATAATACAGTCTTTGCTATAGGGACACAAAGAAAAGCCTACTCTTACTAAGGAGATATTTACAACTCATGAGAAAGGGAAACCTAAGTGGTGTTTTTTGGGTAGTTTGAGAAAAGTTTGCACAGAGGCAGGAGATATTAAACTACAACAATCAACACTATCATTCTAAAGCCTTATATAAAACATATTTGGGATGAAATCTTGATCTTTTTACCTTATCTCCTTATCCTCTGCAATTCTGATAATAGCCACGAGAGGGCTTGCTACTCCTATTGTTTATAAACAGTAGCTCAAGATGGACTTTGCTTTTTGGCTGAGCATTTGTAGGCAGTGGTGTTCTTATTTTATTTTATTTTACTTTATTTTGAGATGGGATCTCACTGTCACCCACACTGGAGTGCAGTGGTGCAATCTGGGCTCACTGCAACCTCCGCCTCCCGGGCTCAAGCGATCCTCCCACCTTAGCCTCCCGAGTAGCTAGAACCACAGCCACTACTGCTGGCTATTTTTTTCTTTCTTTCTTTTTTTTTTTTTTGTAGAGACAGGGTTTCATGATGTTGCCCAGGATTCAAGCAGTCCACCCACCTTGGCCTCCCAGAGTGCTGGAATTACAGGCTGAGCCACCACGCCCGGCCTGCAGTGGTGTTCTAAGTGAATATTTAACAATGGGCTCTGGGAGGAGTGGAGGAAGCCCTAGTAGAATTGGCCAATTTCCTTGGTGTAAATACTCTTCCAGTGTCAGATTTCAAGCTACCAACTGTTTAGTAACAGGCTCACAGGATTTATAATAATTTAACCATGGGGGAAAACAGGTCTTCCTGGGCCAACTCCATCATGCCACTGGTTGTAGGGTGTGGGGAGTGAAATGGTGGTGATAGAAGAAGATAATTGGATTTTCTCAGGGAACAGTCATGAGAAGGAACAGATAACTAGAAAAGCATTATCCTGAGTGTTGGCTTGTCTCATTAGTAACTTTCAAACTAACAAATAAAATATTTTTAAAAATAGCTAACAGGAAGCAGGAAAAATAGAAAAATAAGAAGACACCTTCCTTTAATCCAGTTTTAAAGATACTCAGAAGAATATTATATATCCTTTCTAGGAATAAGTATTAATACTACTAAAATCTTTGAATCATGTGTACTTAATATAAATTTCTAAATAAATTTCTAAAGGTAGAACATTGTTTTAACTTGTTATGATTAGACTTATTTCATATTTTATGTTAGTTGCTTAGTAAGCAGTTGAATCCACACAAGGACTTCAGAGAATGGAATGTCTGTTTATTTTGGTATATTAAAAAATTTGTTTTTTGGTATAAATATGAAGTCTTCAGTATGCTGGATAAGAAGGAAAATCTACTAATTATTTGATTTTCTAATGATTTGACCCTGTAAACCGGGTATATGTGAAACTTAAAAGAAAAATTAAAATTAAAATTAAAAATTAAGAAACAAATATTGGGGCAAAAATAAAAAGAAGATATTAATTTTATTACTCACAAACCAACTTACTGAGAAGTGACATCAGTGAGAATAGGAGTTTTGAGTCCTTAGCCTTCCACAGACACACCAATTTTGGCAACTGCCCATTGCCAACAATACCTTTCTGGAAGCCTGGAAGTCCAGCAAAAAGGCTCCAGCACCCCATAGGAGCAAAAAATCTGAGACTAGCAATAGAAAAATGGGTAAGAAAAACAGTTTCACTTTACTTGCATCAACCTTCCCCCAAAGGCACAGCCCAGTGACAAGAGAGGCCCTCTTAGCCTGTGATTTCTCCTGCAGGGAAAGATGAAAGTGAAAGTGTAGTGTACTAGTACCTGGCTTCCCCAGCCATGTGGGAGGTGCACTTTCTTTTCACTCCACCCTAAACACTGAAGGGATTGGTACAGCTAAATAGTCTTTGAGTAGCTAGGAACAGGGAAAAGTGGTGGAAGCTCATAGCAACTGGAACATGGGACTTAGCAAAGGGCCACAGTTTCTACCAACCACCTTGCGAATTTCATCAAGAGGCTCACACACAAACCTTACAGAATGTGGACTATCCCCCCAACTAGCTCACATGTGCCCCCAGAACTCCGCACAACTTCCATAGCCAGTGCTCCCCATGCACTCCTACAGCCAGTGTACAAGTCTCTTCAGATCATGCAAGAACACCTGTAGATAGCCAGCTCAACTCTGCAGAATTAGGAGAAGGCACTTAACCTTGAACACCACAGGCCACTTGATGTGGTTTGACTGTTTCCCCACTGAAATCTCATCTTCAAGTTAGTTCCCATATCACCATGTATCTTGGGAGGGACCAGGTGGAGGTAATTGGATCATGGAGGCAGTTTCCGCCATGCTTTTCTTGTGATAGTGAGTCTCATGAGCTCTGATGTTTTTATAAGTGTCTGGCATTTCCCCTGCTGGCACTCATTCCTCTCCTGCTACCCTGTGAAGAGGTGCCTTCATCATGATTGTGGGTTTCCTAAGGCCTCCCCAGCAATGCAGAACTGTAAGTCAATCAAACCTCTTTCCTTTATAAATTACCCAGTCTCAGGTAAGTATTTCTTCATAGCAGTGTGAGAACAGATTAATACAGTAAATTGGTACCAAGGGTGGGTTGCTGCTATAAAGATACCCGAAAACGTGGAAGCAACTTTGGAACTGGGTAACAGGCAGAGAGTGGAACAGTTTGGAGGACTCAGAAGAAGACAGGAAGATGTGGGAAAGTGTAGAACTTTCTAAAGACTTGTCGAATGGTTTTGACCAAAATGCTGGTAGTGATATGGACAATGAAGTTCAGGTGAAGTGGTCTCAGATGGAGATGAAGAACCTCTTCAGAACTGGAGCAAGGGAGATTCTTGCTATGCTTTAGCAAAGAAAGTGGCAGCGTTTTTCCCTTGCCCTGGAGATCTGTGGAAATTTGAACTTGAGAGAGATGATTTAAGGTATCTGGCAGAAGAAATTGCTAAGCAGCAAAGCATTCAAGAGGAAGCAGAGCATAAAAGTTTGGAAAGTTTGTAGCCTGACAATGTGATAGGAAAGAAAAACCCATTTTCTGGGGAGAAATTCAAGCCAGCTGCAGAAATTTGCATAAGTAACAAGTCAAATGTTAATCACCAAGACAATGGGGAAAATGTCTCCAGGGCATGTCTGAGACCTTCATGGCAGCCCCTCCCATCACAGGCTCTGAGGCGTAGGAGGGAAAAATGCTTTCCTGGGCCAGGCCCAGGTACACACTGCTCTGTGCAGCCTCAGGACATGGTGCTCTGCATCCCAGCTGCTTCAGCTCCAGCCATGGCTAAAAGAGGCCAAGGTACAGCTTGAGCCATTGCTTCAGAGGGTGCAAGCACCAAGCCTTGGCAGCTTCCGCTTGGTGTTGAGCCTGTGGGTGCACAGAAGTCAAGAATTGAGGTTTGGGTACCTCCACCTAGATTTCAGAGGATATATGGAAATGCCTGGATGTCCAAGCAGAAGTGTGCTGTAGGGGTGGAACCCTCATGGAGAACTTCTGCTAGGGTAGTGCAGAAGGGAAATGTGGGGGTTGGAGCCCCACACAGAGTCCCCACTGCCTAGTGGAGCTGTGAGAAGAGGGCCACCATCCTCCAGACCCCAGAATGGTAGATCCACTGACAGCTTGCACCATGTACCTGGAAAAGCTGCAGGCACTCAACACCAGCCTGTGAAAGCAGCCAGGAGGTGGGGCTGTACTCTGCAAAGCCACAAGGGTGGAGCTTCCCAAAGCCATGGGAGCTCACCTCTTGCCTCAGTATGACCTGGATGTGAGTCAAAGGTGATCATTTTGTAACTTAAAGATTTAATGACTGCCCTATTGGATTTTGGACTTGCATGGGGCCTTTAGCCCCTTCGTTTTGGCCAATTTCTCTCATTTGGAATAAATGTATTTACCCAATGCCTGTACCGCATTGTATCTAGGAAGTAACTAACTTGCTTTTGACTTTACAGGCTCATAGGCAGAAGGGACTTGTTTCATCTCAGTTGAGACTTTGGACTTGGACTTTTTGGTTAATACTGGAATGAGTTAAGACTTTGGGGGACAGTTGGAAGGGCATGATTGTGTCTTGAAATGTGAGGATATGAGATTTGGGAGGGGTCAGGGGCAGAATGATATGGTTTGGCTGTGTCCCCACCCAAATCTCATCTTTATTTGTAGTTCCCATATCCCCACTTGTCATGGGAGGGACTAGGTAGAGGCAATTGGATCATGGGGGCAGTTTCCCCACGCTGTTCTCATGACAGTGAGTAAGGCCCAAGAGATGCGATGGTTTTATAAGCGACTGGCATTTCCCCTGCTGTTACTCATTCTCTCTCCCGCTGCCTTGTTAAGAGGTGTCTTCTGCCATGGTTGTGGGTTTCCTGAGGCCTCCCCAGCAATGCAGAACTGTGAGTCAATTAAACCTCTTTCATTTATAAATTACTCAATCTTGGGGATTTCTTCATAGCAGTATGAGAACAGACTAATAAACCACTGTACTTGGGAAAATAAACAGACAGCCCTCAGCACATGGCCTGGCTTTGTGAGATTGAGAGAAGACACACAGTCCTAACACTCCCCTTATCCTCCCTTCGCCAAGAGAAAGCAAGAGGACTGGAGTTGGCAGATCCATGGAAAAGGTCTGAGAGACTCCCTGAATCCCTAGCTGGGCTGACTGGTGAAGATTTTTCTTTCCCAAAGCCATTCAGTGGAAACTGGGGGAAATGCCTGCCTCTTCAAATATGAATGTAACAATACAAGACTTCAAGAAACACAAAAAGTTAAGGAAACACAACACTAAAAAAGAAACACAATACTTTTCCAGTAACCATTCCCAAAGAAATAGAGATCTACAAATTGCCTGACAAAATTTCAAGTAATTGTTTTTTAAAAGCTCAGCAGGCTACAAGAGAACACAAATAGAGAACACTACAAAACGAAGAAAACAATACATTAACAAAGCTGAAAGTTCTTTTTTTTTGAGATAGGGTCTTCCTCTGTTGCCTAGGCTGGAGTGAGTGGCACAATCATGGCTCACTGCAGCCTCAACATCCTAAGCTCAAGTGATCCTCCCACGTCAGCCTCCCTAGTAGCGGAGACAACATGTATGCACCACCATGTCTGGCTAATTTTTGTGTTTTTTGTAGGGATGGGGTTTCGCCATGTTGCCCAGGCTGGTCTCAAACTCCTGGCTCAAGCAATCTGCTTGCCTTGGCCTCCAAAAGTGCTGGAATTACATGCCTGAGCCACCATACTCAGCCTAGAAGTTCAACAAAGAGACATAAATCTTTAAAAATAACCAAACAGAAAATTTGGAGCTAAATAATGCAATGAATGAAATGAAGAATGCAATAGAGAGCTTCAACAGTAGACTCGATCAAACAGAAGAAAGAATCTGCGAACTTGAAGACAGGCTATTTGAAATTAGTCAGAGAAGAAAAAAGAAAAAAAATAGTGAAGAAAGCCTACAGAATTTACTGGACACCATCAAGTGAATTAATATATACATTATGGGATTCTCACAAGTAAAAGAGAAAGAGAAAGGAGAATAAAATGTATTTAAAAAAATAATGGCTGAAAACTTCCCAAATTTTGGGAGGGAAATGGACATCCAGATTCATGAAGCTAAAAGCTCTTCAAATAAGATCAACCCAAAGAAGATTATACTGAGTCACATTATAATCCAATTATCAAAAGATAAAGACAAAGAGAGAATTTTGAAAACAGCAGGAGAAAAGTGACTCATCACATACAAGGGAAACTTCTTGAGCCTATTACCAGACTTCTGAGCAAAAATTTTGCAGGCCAGGAAAGAATGGGATGGTATATTCAAAGTGTTGAAAGAAAAAACTGCCAACTACGAATATTATGTCTAGGAAAGTTGTCTTTCATAAATGAAGGAGAGATAAAGACTTTCCTAAACAAAAGTTGTGGGAATTCATCACCATTATATCTTCCTTACAGGAAATACTAAAGGAAAATTTTTAAGTTGAAATGAAAGGATGCTAATTAGTAACATGAAAACATATGAAAGTATAAAAATCACTGGTAAAGGTAAGTATATAGTCAAATTCAGAATACTTTAATACTATAATGGTGGTTCATAAATCACTTTTGACTATAGCATAAAAGTTAAAAGACAAAAGTAGTAAAAAAAATTAAGCTACAATAACATTATAGATATGCAATATGAAGAGGTATAAATTGGGATGTCAATAACATAAAATGTGAGGATGAAAGGAAGTAAAATATAGATTTTTTTTTGTATTGCAGTTAAATTGTTATCAGCTTATAACTATAAGATGTTTTATGTAAGCCTCATGGTAACCACATAGAAAAAATCTCTGGTAGATACACAAAAGATAAAAAGGAAGGAATTACAGCATACCACAACAAAAAAATTATGAAATCACAGAAGAGACATCAAGAAAGGAAGGAACAAAGATACCGCAAAACAAACACAAAATAGTTAACAAAATGGTGTATTAAGTCCTTATCTATCAATACTTACTTTAAATGTAAATGAATTAAAGTTTGTAATGAAAAAAATAGAGTGCTTGAAATAGAGTGATTGAGTGGATATAAAAACAAGATTCAGCTATATGCTGCCTCCAAGGAACTCACTCTGGCTTTAAGGACACACATTAGCTCAAACTGAAAGGATGGAAAAAGATATTTCATGCAAATAGCAACCAAAAGAGAGCAGGGGTGGCTATAGTTATAGCAGAAAACTTTAAGTCAAAAACTACTGCAAGACACAAAAAAATGTCATTATACAATGATAAAGGGATCAATTCATCAGAAGGTATAACAATTGTAAATATATATGCAACCAACATCAGAGTACCTAAATATATAAAGCAAATATTAACAGAACTGAAGGAAGAAATATACAGCAATATGGTCATATTAGGGGACTTTATTTTCTCCCTTTCAACAATGGATAGATCATCCAAAAAGAAAACCAGGCCAGGCACAGTGGCTCATGCCTGCAATCCCAGCACTTTGGGAGGCTGAGGTGGGCAGATGACTTGAGGCCAGGAATTCGAAACCAACCTGGCCAACATAGCAAAGCCCCATCTCTACTAAAAATACAAAAAAAATTAGCTGGGCATGGTGATGCATGCCTGTAATCCAGCTACTCAGGAGGCTGAGGTACAAGAATCACTTGAACCCAGGAGGCAGAAGTTGCAGTGAGCTGAGATTGTACCATAGCACTCCAGTCTGGGCAAGAGAGTGAGACTCTGTATTAAAAAAAAAAAAAAAAAAAAGCCAGGCGTGGTGGCTCACACCTGTAATCCCAGCACTTTGGGAGGCTGAGGCACCTGAAGACAGGAGTTTGAGACCAGCCTGGCCAACATGATGAAACCCTGTCTCTACTAAAAATACAAAAATTAGCCAGATGTGGTGGTGGGTGCCTCTAATACCAGCTACTCGGGAGGCTGAGGCAGGAGAATTGCTTTACCCAGGATGGGTGGAGGTTGCAGTGAGCCGATATTGTGCCACTGCACTCCAGCCTGGGTGACAGAGTGAAACTCCATCAAAAAAAAAAAAAAAAAGAAGAAGAAAGAAGGAAGGAAGGAAAGAAAAATAAATCAATAAAGAAACGGTGGACTTGAATCTTGAGTAACACTGTAGACCAAATGGGCCTAACAGATACATACAAAATATTCCATCCAACAGCAGCAAAATATACATTCTTCTCAAGTGCACACAGATCATTCTCTAAGATAGATAATATGTTGGGCCACAAAACAACAGATTCTTTTTGTTAACAGATTTAAGAACATTGAAATCTTATCAAGTATATCTTTTTCAATCACACTGGTATGAAACTAGAAATAAATAACAGAAAGAAAATCAGAAAATTCACAAATATGAAGAAATTAAACAACACACTCCCGCACAACCAATAGATCAAAATGGAAATCAAAAGGCAAATAAAAAATCTCTTGAGACAAATGAAAATAGTGCCACAATATACCAAAACTTATGAGATGCACCAAAAGCAGTTTTAAGAGAGAAGTTAATAATGACAAATGTCTACATTAAGAAAAAAGAAAATCTCAAATAAACAATCTAACTTTGCACCTCAAGGAACTAGAAAAATATGAATAAATTAAGCCTTAAGTTAGCAGAGGAAGGAAATAATAAAGATTAGTGTACAAATAAGAAAAATAAAAGCTAGAAAGACAATACAAAATCAAAACTGAGTTGAATTTTTGAAAAGGTAAATAAAATGGACAAACCTGTAGCTAGACTATCCAAGAAAAAAAGCAGACACATGTAAATAAATTTATAAATGAAAGAGGAGACATTATAACCAATGCCACAGAAGTATAAAAGATCATAAGAGACTACTATGAACAATTATATGCCAACAATTTGAATAGTCTGGATGATGTGGATAAATTCCTGGGAACCTACAACCTACCAAGAGCCGTGAAAAAACAGAAAATCTGAACAGGCCAAAAATGAGTATGGAGATTGAATTAGTGAAAAAACTCTCCACAAAGAACAGCCCAAGAATATATGGCTTCACTGGTGAATTATACCAAACATTTAAATAATTAATGCCAATCCTCCTCAAACTTACAAAAAAATTGAAGAGGAGGAAACATTCCAAACCCCTTTTATGAAGCCAGCATTATCCTGGTTACCAAAGCCAGACAAGAGCACTACAAGAAAAGAAAATTACAGGCCAACATCCCTGATGAACATAGATGGAAAAATCCACAATAAAGTACTAGAAAACTGAATTCAAGAGTACATTAAAAGGATCATATACTGTGATCAAGTGAAATTTATCTCTGCATGCAATCATGGTTCAACATACTCAAATCAAGAAATATGGTATACCACATTAACAAAATGAAGGATAAAAATTATATGATCAACTCAATAGATGTAGAAAGTACATTTGACAAAATTCAACATTTTTGTGATACAAAGTAGGAACAGAATAATGTACTTCAACAAAATAAGGACCTCATATGACAAGCTGTAGGCTAACATCATATTCAATTGTGAAAGACTGAAAACAGCTATTTCTCTAAGATCAGAAACAAGATAAGGATGCCCACTTTCCACCACTTTTATCCAACATAGCACTAGAAGTCCTAGCCAGAGCAATTAGGCAAAAAAAAAAAAAAAAAAAAAAAAAGACATCAAAATCAGAATAAAGTAAAATATTTTCTGTTTGCAGATGACATCACCTTATATATAGAAAATCTTAAAGACGCCACCAAAAACCGTTAGGACTGAAGAATAAATTTAGTAAAGTTGCAGGATACAAAATCAACATATAAAAAATCAGTTGCTTTTTATACAGTAACAATGAACTATCCAAACAAGAAGTTTAAAAACAATTCCATTTACCAGAGCTTCAGAAAGAATAATATACTTAGGAATAAATCTAACCAAAGAGATTGAAGATCTGTACTCTGAAAACCATAAAGCTTTAATAAAAGAAACTGAAAAAGACACAAATAAAAGGAAAAATATTCTGTGTTCATGGATTGGAAGAATTAATATAGTTAAAATGTATATATCCAAAGTGATATACAGATTCAATGTAATCGCCATCAATATTTTAATAGCAATTTTCACAGAAAAAGAAAAAACAATTCTAAAATTCATATGAAACCACAAAAGACCTTGAATAGCCATAGCAATCTTGAACAAAAAGAACAAAGCTGGGGACATCACATTTCCTTATTTCAAAATATATTATAAATCTACAGTAATCAAAACAGTATGATGCTAGAGTAAAAATAGAATATAGACCAGTGGAACAAAATAGAGAGCCACAAAATAAATCTACACATTTATGATCAACTGATTTTCAATAAGAATGCTAAGCTCATGCAATGGGAAAAAAGTAGTCTCTTCAATAAATGGTGTTGGGAAAAGTAGATATCCACGAGCAGAAGAATGTAACTGGACCCTTATCTACGTCATATAAAAAAATCAACTCAAGATGCGATTAAAGACTTAAATGTAAAACCTAATAATGTAAAAGTACTAAAAGGAAACTTAGGGAAAAGCTTGACATTGGTCTGGGATAGGACCCCAAAAACATAGGCAACAAAAGCAAAGATAGAATGATAGACAAGAGGAATTGCTGCATTAAGTGGTTCTGCACAGCAAAACAAACAAACATACAAACAAACAAAAAAAATCAACAGAATGAAGAGACCACCTATGGAGTGGGAGAAAATATTTGCAAACCATACATCTCATAAGGGGTAGTATCCAAATATATAAGGAATTCAAACAATTCAATAGCAAAAAAAACAAAATAGGGTGGGTAGGGTGACTCACACGTATAATCCCAGGGCTTTTGGATGCTGAGGCAGGAGAATTGCTTGAGGCCAGGAGTTCAAGACCAGCCTGGACAACATGATGAGACCTCGTCTCTACAAAAAAAAAATAAATAAATAACCAGGTGTGGTGGTGTGTGCCGATAGTCCTAGTTACTTTGCAGGCTAAGGTAGGAGAATTGCTTGAGCTCAAGAGTTTGTAACTGCAATGAGCTATGAGTGCACCACTGCGCTCCAGCCTGGGCAACAGACTGAGACCTTATCCTTAAAATAATAAATTTAAAAATGGCAAAGGACCAGAATAGACATTTTTCCAAAGAAGACATACAAATGGCCAACAGGTATTTGCAAAGGTGCTCAACATCACCAATCACCAAAGAAATGCAAAGCAAAACCACAGAGATGTTGTCTCACACTTGTCAAATGGTTATGATCAAAAAGACAAAAGATACCCAGTGTCGGTGGGGATATAGAGAAAAGGAAACCCTTGTACACTATTGGTGGGAATGTAGATTAGTACAGCCATTATGGAAAACAGTATGGCAGTTCCTCAAATAATTAAAAATGGAACTACCATATGACCCAGCATTACCACTTCTGGGTATATAGTCAAAGGAAATGAGATCAGTATCTCAAAGTGATATCTGAGATATCTGTCCTATGTATGTTCATTGCAGCAGTATTCTATTGTACAATAGTATTCTATTGTACAATATTCTATTGTAAATTCAGCCTTAAAAAAAGAAGGAAATCTTACCATTTGTGACAACATAGATGAACCTGGAGGACAAGATGCTAAGTGGAATAAGCCAGGCACAGAAGGACAAAGACTACATGATCTGTTACATGTGGAATTCTAAAAAGCTGAATTCACAAAAGCAGAGAGTAGAATGATGGTTGCCAGAAGCTGGAGGTGGGCATGGGGAGATACTGGTAAAAAGATACAAAGTTTGGTTATGTAGGATGAATAAGCCCTAGAAATCTAATGTACAGCATTGTGACTATAGTTAATAATACTCTATTGTGTATTTGAAATTTGCTTAGAAAGCAGATCTTACTATACATACAACCAACAAACATATGAAAAGGTGCTCAACATCACTAATCATCAGGGAAATACATATTAAAACCTCAGTGAGATACCACCTTACTCCTGTGAGAATGCCATAATTAAAGTCAGGCTGGGCGTGGTGGCTCATGTCTGTAATCCTAGCACTTTGGGAAGCCAAGGCTGGTGGATCACTTGAGGTCAGGAGTTCCAGACCAGCCTAGCCAACATGGCAAAACTCTGTCTCTACTAAAAATACAAAAATTAGCTGGGCGTGGTGGCACACTGCTGTAATCCGAGTCACTTGGGAAGCTGAGGCAAGAGAATTGCCTGAACCCAGGTGGAAGCTGCAGTGAGCTGAGATCGCACCACTGTACTGCAGCCTGGGTAACAGAGCGAGACTGTCAAAAACAAAACAAAACAAAACAACAACAACAACAAAAACCTACAACCAACCCCCCCCACCCCCCACAAAACCATAATTAAAGTGAAAAAAAAAAAAACGTTGGCATGGATGTGGTGAAAAGGGAACACTTACACTGCTGGTGGTAATGTAGATTAGTACAACCACTATGGAAAACAGTATGGAGCTTCCTTAAAGAACTGAAACTAGATCTACCATTCGATCCAGCAGTCTCATTGCTGGGTATCTACCCAAAGGAAAAGAAGTCATTACATGAAAAAGAGACATGCACATGCATGGTTATAGCAGCACAATTTGCATTTGCAAAGATATGGAACCAACCTTAGGGCCCATCAACCAACCAGTGGATAAAGAAAATGTGGTATATATACATCATATAATATGACTCAGACATAAAAAGGAATGAAATTGTGTCTTTTGCAGTGACTTGGATGAAGCTAGAGGCCATTATTCTATGGGAAGTAACTCAGGAATGGAAAACCAAATACCAGATGTTCTCACTTATAAGTGGGAGCTAAGCTATGAGGATGCAAAGACATACAGAGTGATATAATGGACTTCGGGGACATGGGGGAGGGAGTTTGGGAGGGTGGGGAGGGAAAAAAGGCTACATATTGGGTACAGTGTACCCTGCTTGGTGATGGGCACACTGAAATCTCAGAATTCGCCACTAAAGAACTCATTCATGTAACCAAAAACCACCTCTACTCCCAAAACTATTAAGCACAATAATAATAATTTTTTTAAAAAGTAGATCTTAGGTGTTCTCACCACATTCAAACAATGGTAACCTGTGAGGTGATGGATGTGTTAATTAGCTTGATTGTGGTAATCACTTCACAAGGTATTCATACATCAAAACAGGACACTGTAGCTGGGCACCGTGGTTCACGCCTGCAATCCCAGCATTTTGGGAGGCTGAGGCAGGCGGATCACTTGAGCTCAGGAGTTTGAGACCAGCCTGGGCAACATGGCAAAACCCTGTCTCTACAAAAAATAAAAAAATTAGCCAGACATGGTGGTGCGCACCTGTAGTCACAACTATTTGGGGAGCTGAGGCTAGAGGGTCGCTTGAGCTAGGGAGGTCCAGGCTGCAGTGAGCTGTAATTGCACCACTGAACTCTAGCCTGGGCAACGGTGTCTCAAAATGAGCGAACAAAAAGCATGACACTGTACACCTGAAATATATACACTTTTAATCAATTGTACCTCAGTAAAGCTGGAAAAAAATAGTCTTTGATAGTAAAAGTCAGTCCATTGTGGCATCTAATTAGTTTGACCCAGTAAAATAGAAGGCTAGAACAAATGAAGATGGTGGAGTGGGTTTAACACGGAATGATCCAGGGCACAGATTTCCAAGGTGGGAGGTGTGGTCCCCAGAGCAGCAGCATCACCTGGGAAATTGTTAGGCATGCAGATTCTCAGGACCACCCAGATCTGCTGATCAGAAACTCTGGGGTGGGACCTGGCAGCATGTGTCTTTAACAAGCCCTCCTGGTGACTCTAAGAATCAGTCTCCTGGAATTTCTTTTCCTATGAGCTGCAACTTTTATTCTGCCCTACTCTATTTTGGCCTAAGGCCTAGGCCTTATGTTTTGAAAGGGAGCGTCTTCTATCTATTCTGTCTTATAAATTTTTTATTATGAAATAAATTTTAGATGCAAAAGATGGTATTTAACGTACATGTAAAATCAAAAGGAGAATAAGGTCAACACTTACGCTCCTAACACTCAGTTTAGGAGCTAAAATGTTACCAGTACCTTAGAACATTCTGTTGCATTTTGAAGCAACTGTTTTTTGAGGTAGAGGGCATTGGGCAGTGAGATTATTTTTATAAAATCTCTCTCTTTTTTTTTTTATTAAGAGTCCACAGTATTAGTTAGATTTAAACCATCTCAAGGTTGAAACATGGCTTTAATTTAATGCGTAACTTCCAGTTTTGTTTTCATTTATAGTGTACTCATCCTCATTAATGTTCTATATATGTCCTTCTTAAAAAATCGTTTGTTTCTGTAAACTTCAGAGTCCCTATTATTGGTTAGTTTCAAGGTTGAAACATTTTAGTTTTAATTATTCACAGGTTCTGATTTTTGTTGCAATTCATAATGTCCTTGTTAAAATTCTATTGTTTAGTCTTTACTTTTTCTTTTTGGTAAAAATGTCTAGTGTTCAGGCAAACACTGATTAAACTAGCTATACAGGCATTAAAAGTTAATGCCTTTGTTTCACTTTTACCCACATATTGGTAGTTACCATGGTTACTGAGAAGGGTTCAGGTAGTGCAAACTTGCAGATGTGCTAATATGTTTTCCTGGCTCAATCTCTCAGTTGCTACAAAATTATGGTAGCTAGTTTCTAGGGCAAGCATTTTTTTCTATCCTAGGTTAATTTGGGGACTTTGTAATCTCTTATTTCACACCCTGAATTCAACCAACTCACTTGCACAAAGGGACTATTATATATGCAGTGGGGTAGACCATGGTAACTAACCCAGAGACGAATTTACAAGAATTATAATCCTTTTTTCCTGTCTATATATTTATTTATATTTCATCAATAATCATCTCATTTCAAAGGTGAGATAGAACTACATTTTTCAAGTCCTGATCTCATTGGGGATCTCTGAAGTACTTTGGTTGCAAGCAACAGAAACCAACTAGAGAAACGAGTGCTTTGTGGAACCTGGGACAAGGATGCAGCTGGAACTAAGGACTTGAATGCTTCAGAACTTTGTCTTCTCTTAGTTGTTTCCTGTGATTTTTTTTTCAATTTACATAGCATGAAATTTACCATTTTAACCATTGTCAGTGTACAGTTTAGTGGCATTAGGTGCATTCACCTTGTCCTGCAACTGTCGTCACTGTCCACCTCCAGTACTTTGTCATCTTCCAAAACTAAGTCTCTTTATCCATTAAACAACAGCTCCTCATTCCTCCCTTCCCCCAGCTCATGGTGACCACCATTTTACTTTCTGTCAGTATGAATTTGACCACCCCAGGTGTCTCATATATGTGGAATCGTTTGTCATTTTTTGCTGGCTCATTTCACTTGGCATAATGTCTTCAAGATTCATTGATGTGGTAGTGTGTGTCATAATTTCCCTATTTTATTGGTTTAGTTTAATTTTTTGTTTTTTAGAGACAGGGTCTCAGTCTGTTGCCCAGCTAGAGTGCAGTGGGGCGATCACGGCTCACTGCAGCCTCGACCTCCCAAGCTCAAGTAATCCTCCCTCTTGGCCTCCCAAATAGCTGGGACCACAAGTGTGCATCACAAGCCAGGCTAATTTTTTATTTTTTATAGAGACAGTGTTTCCCTATGTTGCCCAGGCTAGTCTCAAACTCCTGCTTTGCCCATGGTTTAATTGTGTTGTTTGTTCTTTTTGTTGTTGTTGTTGAGTTGTAGGAGTTCTTTATGTAGTCTGGATATTAACCCATTACCAGATATATGATTTTCGAATACTTTTTCCCATTCTGCATGTCGTAGTTGGCTTTTCACTCTGTTGATCGTGTCCTTTGATGCATACAAGTTTTTAATTTTTATGAAGTTCCATTTTTTTCTTTTGTTGTCTGTGCTTATGGTGTCCTATCCAAGAAAGCATTTCCAAATCCAATGTCATAAAGCTTCCCCCCATGTCTTCTTCTAAGAGTTTCTTAGTTTTAACTCTTACATGTAGGTTTCCAATAGATTTTGAGTGAGTAGAAGGTAGGGGAAAGGTCCAACTTCATTCTTTTGCATGTGGATATCCAGTATTTCCAACCCCATTTGTTGAAAAGACTATTCTTTTCCTGTAATTCTTGCCTTTCATGAAGATAAGCTTCCTCTGAATCTCGGGTTCACATGATATACAAGAGAGCTCCTAAAGGTATATATTATCCATTTAGTCTGTTGGATAGAGACTACCATTCTTTCTTATTCCAGTTCCAAATGTTGCTTTCCTAATACATCACTTATTGACTTAGTATCCAGAGGGTTGAGGCCACTTGACTGCGGAAGACTTCTTGCTAAAATCATTGATTCAGTAAATAATTATGAAGCACTTCCAGGTACCTTGCAGTGTTTTAAGTATAGAGATACAGCAGTAAACAAAGCAATGTCCTTGTCCCCAGGGAGCTTTCATTCTAATAGTTATGGGAATACAGAAGAAGAAGAAGAAAGGGTAGCTTCAGAAAGAGGGTTGGAAAGGCAATCCAAGAGATGTCCACTACAATAAGTAAATGACTAATATAGCAAATATTAATAATAAATATGAATATATAAATAATAAAACTAATAGTATATTGTTTAATAAAATATGCCACTTCTATATATGCCAAGAAACTGTCATATTATCATTTTGAATTTCTTTTTTTTTGTTTTTAAAAATAGAGATGGGGATCTCCTTATGTTTTCCAGGCTGGCCTCATATTCTTAGATTCAATTGATCCTCCCACTTCAGCCTCCCAAGTCACTGGGACTACAGGCGTGCACCACACTGTGTCTGGCTTGTGAATTTCTTTTAAAAAGAGCATTTATTTGACAAATAAATTAATCCAGATTATTTTTAATTATAAGTTACATAAACACCATTTCCAAATGAGAAGAACAACTTTTATAAGGCAGGATAAAAGAAATTTTAAGAAAGGTAAGGCAAAATAATTGGTTATTACAAAACAGTTAACTTTGAGAAAAATTAATTTTAGCTCGACTTAAGTCATGAAGCTGAATGCGTTTCAGTCGTCTTTGCATGAGTAGTGGGGCTGCAGAGGGCAGGAAAGAGTAGGAGTGCATGCCTGCCTGAGAATACTTGAGCAGAAAGAGGTCTGGAGACTTGAAAACAGGTCGTGTTTGGGGTGCTTGTGTGTAGTGTGCACACATTCTTCTGAGATGTCCTTGAAGGAGCTTCAGGATAGCTTAGTAGGTAATCCCAGAGAGCTCTGCTTTTTTTGCAGAAGTGGTGGTGCTCTCATGAGCATGAGGTATTTTGCAGGAATGGTAACATCTTAGATGGTGTAGTAAAATAGATCCAGCATGAGGGCTGAAATGATGAGTTTCACATTAAGACCTGTGTGGAAATTTGCTTCCACCACTGTATATAACATTAGGAAAGGTATTTAATTTTTTGGAGTCTTAGTTTTCTCATCTGTGAAATGAATGTTAGAATCAGTCTCTTAAATTTCCAGGGAGGTGTTTTCTTCCTTTAACAATGCCATTTATTTTGCTCCAAAATATAGAATTGGGCAGAGCTTTGCCATCTCTATTTCATGCAATGTCACCTGGGAGGAATGACTGGCATGCATGCATTTGGAGGGCTCTGTGGTGCTGGGTGTTGGCTGGTAGCTTGTCTGGGGCTTTGGTTCCTCTCCATGTGGGCCTCCACGGTCCTGCTAGGGCTTCTTTATGTCATGATGGCTGGCTTCTAAGAGCAAGTGGCCCAAGCAAAGGGAAGTTTGCCTTTTTCTCTCTGATTCCTCTCATTCTAGGTCATCCTTTCTCTGTTGTCATCTAATCCTCAGCACACAATCAATACAATTGTTTGAGCTCCTAGTCATTTTTTTGGCTTTCAGAAACACATACATCCCCCTTCTGAGGCCTAAACTGGCATTATCATGTTCTTAGCTTTCTGCTCTGGTCGATATCTTTCCTGATTCCCTCAACCCAATTCTTGCTATTTATCTTTGCATTGTCCCCAGTGTCAGCCCTCACACATCAGGTATTTGATTCCCTCACTCATGATTCACCCATGGAACTGATTCAATGTGCTCTTCCTTCCAGCTGGCAGAGTTTCTGCTAGATCTCTGCTTCAATCTTGCATCTCTTGTATAGGTATAGGACTTCATAACAACAACAAAAAACAGTGGGGCACTTATAGGTAACAGTAGCAGAAGAAGTAAGGGTTTGGAATCCCAGTTCTGGGGTTTACTCATCAATGTGTTGGACAAGCCATTTACCCTCTCTGAATCTCAGTTTCCTTATTTTAAAATGGAGATGACACCAATAACATATTTGCTGTGCAATTGTGAAGAAAAAGTAAGATAATTTATGCAAGGAACATAGTGACAGGTCAGTGCGTGTCAGTTTCCTCCTCCTTGCTCTTTCCTTCTGGCACTTGGAAGACCCAAGCACAGCCTGCTGGGTCTTAGTGCTCAGCTTAATGCTGAGGGTTAGACTCTTCAATACTCAACATCAAGCTGCTGGGTTGGGACAAAGGTGGTGCAGTTGGAAAGGTTTGGTCAGGGCTAAGAGAAGGGATGCAGAAGCGCCACCCTAGCAGAGCAGGTGGGGTGTGGCTTTGGGTCTGATGATCATGTAGGCTTCCAGCCAAGGTAGATGCTGAAGATCCAGGAGTGGATGAGGCCATGACGGCTCTGAGGCTGGGCTCCTGAAAAGCAGGACGTGGGGCTGAGCCCCTGGATAGTGGCTGATGAGGAACTAGGTTTTTTCTTGCATAGCCAGGACCCCTGGAGGGCCAGGCCTCATGATTCTCCATGTTGCTTACTAGGATAGGAGTGCATGGTTGGTTCTTCCTTTAGATTATCCGGGACAGAAAATGTGTTAGTACAGATTGTAAGAGAGATTCTGAGCGCGTAGGAAGTTTTAAGTCTTTCAGTCTGATGACCTTGATGGAAGGGCTGAGGGAGGAAATGGTTTGTAAGATCAAGAGAAATGAAGACAGGGATGGTCCTCAGGGTCAGTTACATCCTTATTTTAAAACCTTAAAATAATTTTTAATACATCTCATGATATGACACAGAAAATAAAGGTAAGCAAAAATATAAAATAAATAATACCTGTATTTAAATGTTGCTTTATACCTTCATATCCTCCATCTGCACACACACTGCATACACATACCACACACTACACAAACACCATACACATACAATGCAGCACATACACACACACCACAAGACACACACACACACACACCACACATGCCACACACACACCACAGAGCACATACCCAGCACACGTGCACCACACACCATACACACACACCACACACATATCATGCAGCACACACGCAACACAACACACACAGCACACACACACCACATACACACACCACACACAACAGCATGCATCACACCACACACACACTGCATGCACACACCACATACCCCCCACACCACATACACAACACACCACACACTACACATATACATGCACACTCCACACATACACACCACACCACAAATACACACACCACACATACACACACACACACAAACACTTTAAATCAAAATGAGATTGTATCAAGCCTACAATTTTATAAACTGTGTATTTTCAATTTATACTGACACTGCACCAAAACTACTTACTGAAAAGTAACAGCTTTATTTATGTATTTATTTTGAGACTAATCAACTTTCTGTCTCTAAGGATTTGCCTATTCTGGACATTTCACACAAATGTAATAATATAAAATATGTGAGGATCTTTTTTATCTGACTTGTTTCACTTAGCATAATGTTTTCAAATTTCATCCATCAGTACTTTTCTTTTTATGGCTGAACACTATTCCATTGTGGGGATATACTGTATTTTATCTATTCATCAATTGATGAATAGATTTGGTTTGATTCTCCTTTTTGGTGATTATAAATGATTCTATTGCAAACACTGTGGATAAGTTTCTGCGATGAACCTATGTTTCCATTTTTTTTGGATATATAACAAGGAGTGGAACTCCTGGGTCATATGGTGACTCCATGTTTAAGTTTTGAGGAATTTTCACACAGTTTCCCAAAGGAGCAACACCATTTTACATTCTTACCAGCAATACATGATGATTCCAGCTCCTCCATATCTTGGTCACCACTTCTTATTATTTGACTTTTTGGTTATAGCTATCCTAGTGGGTATGAAATAGGATCTCATTTTTGTTTTGATTTGCATTTTACTAATTATTACATCTTCTTTGGAGAAATGTCTATTCTAATCCCTTTCCCATCAAATTATTTGTCTTTTTTTTTTTTTGAGACAAGGTCTCTGTCACCCAGGCTGGAGCAGAGTGGCGGGATCATAGCTGACTACAGCCTTGAGCTGCTGGGCTCAAGTGATCCTCCCGTCTCAGCCTCCCAAATAGCTGGGTCTACAGGTGCGTGCCACCAGCTAATTTTTTAAAATTATATTTTGGCTGGGTGTGGTGGCTCAAACCTATAATCTCAGCACTTTGGGAGGTCAAGGTGGGAGAATCACATGAGCCCAGGAGTTTGAGACCAGCCCTGGCAATGTAGTGAGTCTCCGTCTCTACAAAAAGTAAAAAAAAATAGCCAGGCATGATGGTGTGCACCTGTAGTCACAGCTATTCAGAAGGCCGAGGTGGGAGGATCAGTTAAGCCTGGGAGGTTGAGGCAGCAGTGAGCTGTGGTCAAGCCACTCACTCCAGCCTGGGTGACAGAGCAAGACTCCGTCTCAAAATAAAAATAAAGATAAAAATAAATAAATAAATAAATAAATAAATAAATAATAATTTTGTTAGAGACAAAGTCTCACTATGTTACCCAGGCTGGTCTCAAACTCCTGGCTGCAAGCACTCCTCGCATCTTGGCCTCACAAAGCACTGGGATTACAGGTGTGAACCACTGCACCTGGCTAAGACTTCTTTATATATTCTGGATCCTAGACCTTTACTGGCTATATGATTTGGAAATATTTTCTTCCATTCTATGAGTTTTTTTTACTTTCTTGATAGTGTTCTTTGAAGCACAAACATTTTTAATTTTGTTGACAGCCAGTTTGTCTTTTTTTCCCCCCTTTGGTTCCTCGTACTTTGGAGATCATATCTAAGACACTATTGTTACCCAATCAAATGTCACAAAGAATTATGCCTGTTTTTTCTTCCTCAAGTTTTATAGTCTTAGGTCCTGCCTTCAGCTCTTTACTTCATTTTGAGTTAATTTTTTGTATATGGTATGAGGAGTCTAACTTCATTCTTTTACATGTGGATATGCAGTTGTCTCAGCATCATTTTTTGAGAAGACTGCTCTTTCTGCCATTGAATTGTCTTGGTACCCCTGGGTGAAAATCAGTTGCCCAAAACAAATCGAGTTTGTTTCTGGATTCTCAATACTATTTCATTATTTCATTGATCCATGTCTTATTATCTTATTCTATTCTTATTCTATTATCACACAGCCTTAATTACTGTAACTTTGTGGTAAGTTTTGAAATCAGAAGTGAGTCCTCCAACTTGTTCTTCTTTTTCAAGATTGTTTTGGCATTCTGAGTCCTTTGCATTTCCATATGAATTTTAGAATCAGCTTATCAACTTCTGCAATAAACTCTTTTTTTGCAGTTGGAATTTAACTAGGGATTATGTTGAATCTGAAGACCTATTTGGTAAGTTTTGCCATCTTCACAATATTAAGTATTTCAATCCATGAACACAGGGTGTCTTCCTACATTTAGGTCTTTAATTTTTGTCCACGGTGCTTTGTAGCTTTCAGTGTATAAGTCTTGCACTTCTTTGGTTAAATGCATTCTTAAGTATTTTATTCTTTTGATGTTATTGTAAATGGAATGGTTTTCTTGATTTGATTTTTGTGTCTTCATTGCTTGACTTTTCCAGCTTCTAGGGCCACCTGCATTCCTTGGTTTATGGCCCCTTCCTCCATCCTCAAAGCCAGCAACAGCAGATTCTTTATCTCACATCCCCTGCTCCTTCTTCCATCCTCAAATTCCTCTCTCAGCCAGAAACCTTCTCTTCTGTTAGGACTCATGAGGCTAGATTAAACTCACCTGGATAGTCCAGGAAACCCTCCGTGTCTCAAAATCTGCACCCTTCATCACATTTGCTATGTAAGGTAACATATTTACAGCTTCTGGGGATTAGGTGTGGACAGCTTACCTTTTTTTTTTTTTTTTTTTTTTGAGACGGAGTCATGCTTTGTCACCCAGGCTGGAGTGCAGTTGCGCGGTCTCAGCTCACTGCAAGCTCCGCCTCCTCGGTTCACGCGATTCTCCTGCCTCAGCCTCTGGAGTAGCTGGGACTACAGGCGCCCGCCACCACGACCGGCTAATTTTTTGTTTTTAGTAGAGACGGGGTTTCACCGTGTTAGCCAGGATGGTCTCAATCTCCTGACCTCGTGATCTGCCCGCCTCCACCTCCCAAAGTGCTGGGATTACAGGCGTGAGCCACCGCGCCCGGCCGGACAGCTTATCTTTAGGGGGCTGTTATTCAGCTGACTATGGAGAGTAAATGGGTGGGAGAGGTGTAGGGGAAGCACTCAGAATCCCTGGATGTTCTGGAATCCAGTCCAGCCTGGTACAAGGAAGAAACTCAGTCCAAGACACTAAATTCACTCGTTACCTTTACTTAATTGTAAGAGGATAGTACAGTTAAGCATGGGTGGGAGAGTTAAAAGGGCTCCGCATGGCTGGGAGAATTAAAAGGACTAAGTCTTAGAACGTATCTGGCCGGCATGGGTCAGCCAATACACTCAGTGAAGGCTTCTGGTACCTGTAGGATTAACACGTGGGGGAGCTCTGAAAACTGCAAACACCAGGCAAACCCAAGTTATTAGAGTGAACTTGGACTAGCTTAATTTGTAGACAAGAATCCTGATTTAGGATTTACAAAAGAATATTTGTTTTAAAAACAATTTGATTTCACTTTTCAAATGCAGTAAGTTAAAAAAGATGAAGAATAATGTTACTTTAGAAAACTCATTAAAACTATGTTAAAGTAACGGATTTCAGTTTTTAGAGCCAGCCTGTTACCTCTGCAGGTGGCATTGTTTCTGGAGGCAGAAGCCACGTGGAGGCTTGGAGCTGTGCCATGTTCTTAATTGGACACCTTGTTGAATGGTAATTGAAAAATGTCTTCACGCCCTCCTGGGTGCCTCCCAGAGGCTCCTCCACAGGGGGTAGCGATATCTTTGATGGTGGAGGCACTTGCCAGCAAAATTTCGGCCATGCATGGGCCACGTGGCCAGGCGGTTGCCTCTTCTCTGTGGAGCCAGCTGCTCTTTGTCTGTGTTGGTCAGTACAAGATGAGGATGGAACAGAAAAGAGGTGTTCAACACCTGGTGCATGGCTGCCGTGGTCTCCCTTCCTCCTTCCCCCATTCTTCTCCAGATGGCCTGTTATGGCAATTTGGTGCCACTGACTAGGTCTAGAAATTACTTATGTTTTCCTTTAAGATTTAAAAAGGAACACACATGCACACAGACACACTTGTAGACACACACATATGCACATACACCTCCATACACACATACACATGTACACACATATGCATGTGCACATGCATACTCACTCACACGTGTGTACACGCACCCAATCACTCACCCATATGCTCACACATGCACACTCATATACACATATGCACACGCACATGCTCACACTACGGCAATATCAGGTCTCAGCCACAGAGATTCTGATCTAATTAGTTGGAGTGAGTCCTGAGCATTATTATTTTTAAAAACTGGGACGCGCGCAGTGGCTCACGCCTGTAATCCCAGCACTTTGGGAGGCAGAGGCGGGCAAATCACGAGGTCAGGAGTTCGAGACCAGCCTGATCAACACAGTGAAACCCTGTCTGTACTAAAAATACAAAAATTAGCCAGGAGTAGTGGCATGCGCCTGTGGTCCCAGCTACTCGGGAGGCTGAGGCAGGAGAATTGCTTGAACCTGGGAGGCAGATGTTGCAGGGAGCCGAGATTGAGCCACTGCACTCCAGCTGGGGTGACAGAGAGAGACTTCATCTCAAAAACAAAACAAAACAAAAAACTGAACACACACACACACACACACACACACAATCCTCAAAACCGTAGACACAAAGTTGTGGTAGTTACTCCATTATACACAGAACGACAACAACATTTCACATTGCTCACAGATGCTTTTCAGAATCGATTGACAGGGAAGGCTTCTACCAACTCCAGAACCCACAACTTTTTTTTTTTTTTTTTTTTTTTTTTGAGACGGAGTCTCGCTGTCGCCCAGGCTGGAGTGCAGTGGCGCAATCTCGGCTCACTGCAGGCTCCGCCCCCTGGGGTTCACGCCATTCTCCTGCCTCAGCCTCCCGAGTAGCTGGGACTACAGGCGCCCGCCACCTCGCCCGGCTAAGTTTTTGTATTTTTAGTAGAGACGGGGTTTCACCGTGTTAGCCAGGATGGTCTCGATCTCCTGACCTCGTGATCCGCCCGCCTCGGCCTCCCAAAGTGCTGGGATTACAGGCGTGAGCCACCGCGCCCGGCCCAGAACCCACAACTTTTGTTTGTTTTCAGTGGTGGTGGCCTCCCAGGAGCCCACTTGACTGTGTGTGCACCGCGATTTTTGGTGAATGGAGTTCATAATGACAAAACTTACTACAACTTGGAATGCAGCTGGCTTTGCCCGCATGGTCCCTCTCTGTCGCTGTGGCTGCCCTGTGGTGGGCTCACCTGGGGGAATTGGAGGTGGGAGGCAGGTGAAGGGTCAAGCTGCCTTAGGCAGGCAGGGACTCTCTGTTGGTGGCCACTGCTCCTGCCAGGGTGGCTTCTCTGCAGGACCCTCCCCTCTCACTGTAGGGCCCAGGGTGTGTCCAGCCCCAGGGTTTTGCACCAGCCCTTGTGGTTTCCAGGTGGTATTTTTTTGCATGATCTCCTTATTAAACTCTCCTCCACTTACCCTAGTGGAGGAGGCCTTTTCCACTTTCTGCTAGGACGCTGACCCGAACGAGGGACTGAAGTGAAGAGTGTGGTCAGCTTTATCTCTGAGGCACACTGTGGGCTGCGTGTCCCAGAGGAATCTGCAAGCAGGCTGAGAGGGACAGGTGCAGCACCGCTTGGGGCGCTGAGCTGTGGCTGGGAGTTGGCAGCCAGCGTGATGATCTTGGGGAGGATGGAAAATTAAAATAGGTGGCGGCATGTTTTGAAATACATGAGGGCACTAAAAACATAGTGCAGCCAGGGAAGAAAGTCCAGAACCACTTTCGTGCACTCACACCACACACTCACACACGCCACACTCACACCACACACTCACGCCACACTCATACCACACACTCACACACGCCACACTCACACCACACACCCCCCACACATGCCACACTCACACCACACACACTCCACACTCACACCACACACACACGCCACACTCACACCACACACTCACACGCCACACTCATGCCACACACTCATGCCACACTCAACACCACACACTGACCACATACACACAGCACACAGCACACACTCACACACCACACTCACCACATACATCACACAGCACACACCACACACACCACACTCATCACATACACCACGCACACTCACGCCACACTCACCACATACACCACACACAGCACACACTCACACCACACACACGTCACACTCACCACATACACCACACACACCACACACACCACACTCATACATGCCATACTCGTCACATACACACATCACACACAGCACACACACCACACACTCACACATGCCACACTCACCACATACACACATCACACACACCACACACACCACACACTCACACACGCTACACTCACCACATACATCACACACAGCACACACACCACACTCACCACATACATCACAAACAGCACACACACACCACACTCGAACACGCCATGTATATCATACACTGACACACACCACATAAACACACAGTACACACATCATATGCATTACACGTACCACACATATCACACACACAACACATAGCACACACTCACACTCACATACACCACATAAACACACCACACACCACACATGCCACACTCACCACATACATCACGTACACCACACACACCTCATACATATACCACACACACATGCCACACATACCTTACACTTACACTCACACACAGCATATAAGCACAAAGCACACATGCCACACACACCACACTCACACATGCTACACACCACACACACCACATAAACACATACCACACTCACGCACACTACACACACCAGGAACACCACACACACCACACACCACATAAACACACAGCACACACTACACACACACCACATACACTCATACCACACACCGCATAAACACACATACACACTAATGCACAATACACATATCACACACTCACAATCACACACACCACGTAAACAACACACACTCACACACACTTTACTTACACATTCCACACACCACACACACTCATACCACATCACACATCATATAAACACACACATCATATAAACACACACTCACACATCTCATACACACCACATACACCACACACTCACACATACCATACACACACCACATAAACACACCACACACTCATAAACACACCCTGCACCACACACATCACTCACATATGCCACATACATTCACACATTTACACACACCACATACATACATACTGTACACACATATCACACACACAAACACGCCCCACACTGCACACACCCCTCACAGACACCATGCACTCACACTCACATAGACCACACAACCGACATAAACACACACATTCTCACACACACCAGACACACACACACACACACCCCACACTACAACGGGGCAAGCACATCTAAGCCTAAGACACAGCAACTTGGAAGGTGCCGGGTGGAAAAGGGAGTAGGAGAGGGATGGAGAGGTCTGAAGGGGGCAGCGACATGAAACTGGAGACACTCCTTGCACACACGGATGCTAATTACATTCCACAGACTGAGGAGTGCAATTGACTCAACTCGCTCTACTGGAGGCTCAAAGCATGCGTTTTATAAAGGTATGCTAGCCACTGTTTGGGGGCAGTTCATCAATTACAAAAATCCGTGTTTGGTTTTCTTAAGAAATACTGCTTCTGATATTTTTATTGCCTTTGTGTTTTGCAGAAGGCTTGGCTTTGGCCAAAGAACGTGGAATTAATTCCTCCACTCTGTGTTATGGCAAAACATGTGTTACCATGGTTTCTTAAAACAAAATTTCAATTAGCAGATGGAGCTACTGAGAGGAAAGTCTTATTGGGGTAGAAATTTGGAGCAGAATTAAGGCAAAAATAAACACATTTCAAAGCCCTACCATTTAGAATGATAATGAATTATTGCCAACAGTATGGTGGTGTATCAACTATTGTGTTAAACATTCTTAATTGATATATATCTCACAAAAATTAGTAAATTCAGTACCAGAGTTTAGTTTACAATGTGCTTTATTTTAGTCTATAATATTTTTAAACTTGGAGAATGTTGGATAGAGGTAGATGAAATACAGGAACTTATTTAGAATTCATTGTGGATGATCAAAGACTATTGAAACATGTTGAAATGTTGAAATGAATCAACAGAGATGTTCTAAATCATCACCAGAATTTAAATTATGCTATCTTTGTAGAGTATGTTAAACATTGGAAAATTACAAGGTGAAACTTAAAGTCAGTGGTTTGTTATTACTAACAATTTGTTCTCCCAGGGTAATATAATATTAGATGAGCACATGGCTGTTTAGAACAAAGACTGCATTTCCCAGCTTCCCTTGCAGCTACACATGTTTGTGTGACTCACATCACAAAGGGCTTCAGAATATTTCAACTTCTTGGAGCAGTCCTTAAGATCCAGCAACCTTCACCCTTTGCTGTCTTCTTCATTCATTGCTTCCTCTTGCTTTCCAGCATGTGGTGCTGCTAAAACCTCTAGGCTTGATTTATGTGTGAGAGAAATTAACTTCCACCTACAAGAAGTAGAAACTATCTCGAATTTACTTGTCACTTGCAGAAGAACCTAATTCTAAGTGTTGCAAATTCTTCCATGAATTCAATAGGTTTGAGACTTTAAAAGAGAAGCTGGTGTACTTGACAAGTTCTCATGGAAGACATTGAATATCATGGTTTATAGGGAAACTCAGATACCTGGTTAGCACATGCTCTGTTCACCCACTGTTTCCTGGTACCCACTAGGAATAGGTGGGCATGTGACTATGGACATCAGTCAAAGACTTGTGTAAGTAGAAACTAGCTCATATTTCAGGCAGTTATGTTTGGGGTCAGGGTTGGTGAACAAGATGAATCTGCATCATATAGATCCATTTGTAAAAGGGATCTCCTGCATTTGATGGAGTCTGTTGACACCACCTTATTCTGTTACTCAGCAGACCTTTGGTTTGGTGTAATGCTGCTGCCAGGCTTCAGGCATCCTGAATCACGTGTGTGACCCTCCTGCCTGATTGCTTCTCTCCAGTGCTCTCTAGCTGATGAGGATATGGCCATTTATCTAGTGTGGCAAGCTATGGATAGATGATAGATAGATAGATAGATAGATAGATAGATAGATAGATAGATAGATAAGAAAACAAACTCCAAATCCTGATTTTGGGGGGTAATCCAATATCTGGGGTTTGGGGAGAGGAGAAGGAGTCACCCAAAGCAAGGAGGAAAATGGGGAGGAGAGCATACCCAGCTCTGCCAGATGGTGCTGGGTTAGACAGGGAAGGGGACTGGATCCCTGGATTGGGAGAAGTGTGCATTCCTTGGTGACGTAGATAAGGGCAGCTGTGGAAGACTGCACTGGGGCCATGGGAGGGTGGGCAGAGAGAACACAGAGACCATGCTTACAAGGACACTTGCTATATAGTATAAAATGAAGAAGTGATATGAAGAGGGGTGGTGGCCTGAAAGGGAGGTGGAACCAGGAAAAGAATGCAGTTGAAGAGGAAGTCTGAGGAATCTTCTCTTTAGTTCTGCTAGACTATTGCTTTGGGATCTGTTTTGAAGATGATGATAGATAGATAGATAGATAGATAGATAGATAGATAGATAGATAGATAGAATGATAGATATAGACAGAAGATAGAAAGAAGATAGAAGATGGATAGATGATAGAAAGAGATGATTGATAGAGATAGATATAGATAATAGATAGATAGGTTTGATAGATGATAGAGATGAGGGCATCTACTCAGAGGCAAGGGCCTGACTGGGAGAGCTGCTCCCAGGCTGGTGCCTGAACTTGGCCTGGGCTGTAGAGGGCTTCTACCTACACAGACAGAAAGTCACGTCCCCCTGGCTGCCCCACCTGCTGTCCCCCACCCCCTCCCCCCCCGGGGATTTCAGGGTATTTCATAAAGGGATTTAAGTCGAAACACTTCCCCTTGCCTGAGACATTTTCTATTCTGGGAAAAAAGATATCTGCTGATGAAATGCACTGTGGGATTCAGACTTTTCTTTAGGAACATACTGTATTGTTTTGCAGACACCTGTCTTATTCTGAAAACAGGAAGAAAATTTAGAATAGGTCTCATCTAAGAGAAGAATAAGGAATGTAATTCAATGGCGTCAATGCTGTAAAGTAGGTTCCAAATGAAGAAAATTTAAAGCAACATTTAAGAGAGAGGTAACTGGTTGCAGGAAGTGAAAATTAAAGCAAGATTTTTTTCCTAATGAAATCTGTCAGAACTAGATGTTTTTTGATGTTTTTGTTGCTGCATCACAAGGAAGTGATTTGATGTATTTTAGACTACATCCTGAGAGTGTGTGGGGTGTGTTAGAATACAGACATCGTGAAATGCATGGAAATTTTGGGAGGGATACACCAGGGTGCAGGTAACTTTGAGAGCGAAGCTAGTCCTCCCTCGGAGGCGTGAAGCCTCTGGATTGGAAGAGTTAAGACGTGAACCCAGGAGGAGACATTGATTTACAAAATGGGCCACAATTTGAAATTGCACTGGGGGTTAGGGCCCCTGTTGGAGGGCAAAGATATGTAGGCAGGCTGCTTCCCTGCAGGTCCAGTGGACCAGCAGAGAGCAAGCTCCTGATTGTTTCTGACTCTCCCAGGCAGCCCAGGAGAAGCCAGGCCAGTTCTGCAGGAGGGAGGCCAGTGAAGTGTCTCATCTACTTAGCACCAGGAAAGTCAGGACATTAAAACTGGGTAAAGGAAATGTCCTTTTCCTGGACTATTTCACCTGGTGACAAAGACTCTCCTTGACCAAATGCTAGTCAGGCTCCTCTCCTCTGAGCCCTCTTCCCAGCTAGTTCTCAACGTTTAGACTCCTGTTCTTCTTTGCTGCACTCAGTGCTAGCAATAATCCTGTCAAGTGGGTTTAGCCAGAACCCCTCTCCCTCAATACCTGATGATTCTCCATATCCAACTGGGTTCTTCATCCTCCACCAGCCCTCAGGTCATGTGTGGTCACACCAGCCTGTCTTCTGCAAGAACCCTTTTAGGTCACTTTAGCCAGATTCCCCCATCACCCCTGATGTTCCCTCTTAGTCATTTTCCATCCACTGGACCCCATCCTGCTCCTTGGCTATAAACTCCCATTTTTCTTTATTGTATTTGGAGTTATAATTTGGAGCCCAATTTCTCTCTCCAATTGCAAAACCCCACTGTGGTGGTCCGTATACTTGCCATGATCGTTCCCTCTGAATAAAGTCTGCTTTCCCATGCTTTAACGAGTGTCATGAATCACATTTTTCTTTACCCCTTGCTACATGTTTAGATGGATCCTGCACCTGGATACCTTCTCATGAATCTGGGCATGTCTAGCCTCTGGGGACAGGGGAGCAAAGCTGCCCTGAAGCAGCTCTCAGCACCTCTGCAAGGCCACTGGCCGTGCCCACACTTGTTCCAGTTCACTTGCTGGCTGGGATGTGGTGAGCCCTTTCTTATTTTTAAGTCTTGTTTTTAATGTAAGCCTGTGCTTACATTATGAAATTGTTTCTTCAGCTACTCTGTGGTAACATAGCTTGGTAAATTACATAGGTTTATGAATATGTGTGTGTTACTAAAGATTAGCAGTGAGCCCAAACAGGATGAAATAATGGAAGTGGAAGTCTCTGATGTTAAAACCTTCAAATTGAGTTTTAAGACTTTGGAAATTGCTTCCTTCTGATAGAGCAATACTTATTTTGTGGGCTTTTTTTTTTTTTTTTATGGAGTCTTGCTCCGCCAGGCTGGTGTGCAGTGGCACAATCTTGGCTCACTGCAACCTCCACCTCCCAGGTTCAAGCAGTTCTCCTGCCTCAGCCTCCCAAGTAGCTGGGATTACAGGCATGCACCACCATGCCCGGCTAATTTTTTATATTTACTAGAGACGGAGTTTCACCATGTTGGTCAGGCTGGTCTCGAACTCCTGACCTCAGGTGATCCACCTGCCTTGGCCTCCCAAAGTTCTGGGATTACATGTGTGAGCTATTGTGCCTACCCACGTGGTGTTTCAGTGACAGTATTATCTGTTCCTTTAAGTGGGGAGAACAGTAAGACTGTGGGTCAATGGAGATAATTTTAGTGTTTAATTTTTTACAATTTGGTACATTTGTTTTAATTGCTTAGGAAGTTTACTGACTGGATGAAATATGAGGAAAATAAAAGCAAGTTTGTTCAGGGTGGATCAATGTTTTTCCCAGCTTCCTCTTTAGACATTCTTTGTCTTGCCTCTTAAGAGAGTGGAGAGGGGACCTAATAAGTGGGGGGCTCTGAATGCCTTCTGGGGAATTTGGACTTTATCTGATGTCCTTTCATGTGCCATTGTGTGTGTTTAATTTTCTAGTCCTGCTTTACATGAATTATGTTTACAACTTAATGAGATCTATTTTTAGTGACTGCATCAGAACTTTTATAGCCAATGATATTGACTTTTAAAGTGAAACTGCCTTTGCAGAATTATAATGAGAGAAATCTAACATGACTGACTCCGTCTTTCTTCCAACCTCACAGGCTAAACTATTTTTTTTGCATATTTTAGCACAGAGGCCAAGATAACCATAAGAGGAATGTAGTTTATAGTTCAACTTAGAGGCAAGGGAAACTGACCTGCCTCCTTGTCAGGAGGCTGAAGCCATTCATAAGAGGAGGTTAGAATTATGATAGGGCCTGAACTTTGCTAAAGAATAGGCAGCATTGAACAATGACCTGCCATTGCTGAGCATGTTTTCCTGTAAGTTGCTGACTGCCCTGGAGTCATGTAACTGGGGGTTGCAAGATTCATAACTTCCTCAATTACTCCTATAGATAACATAATTATAGTGAAAACTAAAGAACTGGTCTTTGGGACATTTTTTCAGATTTAGCATCTTAGTAAACCAAGAGACACCACCTGGTCTTGAGAACCTCCCTTTCCCCTGGATGACTCAGCTGCAGGAAGACAGCTTTAGAGGCTCCTGTGATTTCATCCGCAGCCAATCCATTGTTCCAGTGCCCCAGGCTCCTGCTCACCAAAGTACCCTTAAGAAACCCCAGCCTCTGAATCCTCAAGGAGACGAGTTTGAGAAATTTCTCCCTGTTCTCCTCGCTTAGCTGGCCCTGCCATTATTAAATTCTTTCTTTGTTGTAACACCTACTGTTCTCAACAAAACTGTGGTTTTGTTGTTGTTATTGTTTGTTTATTTCAGGGAATCAGGCAACAAGAACCTGTTGGGCTGTGACAAAAGTAGGCATTAGGGAAACTACATTTTTATTTTAATAATTTTTGTGATTTACCAAAGCATTTTTAGAACCAGCTAATTTTTTTCCATTCTTCCCTCTCCCCTCCCTTCCTTTATCACTTATTGAACATCTAGATGGTATAAAATGGATGTGGGTAATTTTAGGTGTCACTTTGACTAGGCTATGGTACCCAGATAGGTGGTCAAACACAAGTCTAGAAGTCACTGTGAAGGTATTTTTTTTTTTTTTAGCTAGATTAACATTTAAATCAGCAGGCTTTGTGTAAAGCATGTGGCTCTCCATAATGTGGGCAGTCCTCACCGAATCAGTTGAAGGACTTAAGAGAACAACACCAACCGCCCCTGAGAAGGAGGAATTCTGCCTCCAGACTGGCTTGCTACTTAAGCGGCAGCACAACGCTTCCCTAGGTCTCCAGCCTTCTGGCCCATCATGCAGATTTTGGACCTCACGTTATAGGTTCACAATTGTGAGAGCCAATTCTATAAAATAAATCTTCCCCCCCTCTCTCTCTTTTGCTACACACACACACACACACACACACGCACACCCTATTGGATCTGTTTCTCTGGAGAATGCTAATATAATAAATGAATTCAAGTCCATTAAGAAGCATTTGTTGACAACGTGATGGGAATGATCCTGACCTTTGTGCAAGTCCATGCAACCAGGGAGCAGACTATCACAGACCAGTGTGATGGGCACAAAGAGATATGTGTGTGGAGTGTCAGGGGAGACTGTGGCTAGAAGCGACAATGTTGGCTTGGTGGTAGGATAAGGCTTTTTAGCAAAAGGCATGATTAGGGCTGGGTATTGAGTTGATTGATGCTCATGTCCTGTAAGAACACCAGTCATGGCCCACACCTGGAGGGACAAAGTGAATGAGGACTGAGGGGCCTCCAGGGGATTGAGGGGTGATTCTGGTCAGCACACAGAGCTTGGTACACACAGTGGGGAGAGTCAGTTGGATTGCTGCCTTTGGAATCAACCAAGCCATGAATCCTGACCCTCAGGTGACTTGACTGATGGCTTTTGCAAATAAATTTTCTCTAACTGTATAAATCCAGAGTATTAGGCAGTAGGCAGAGTTCCTGGGAGGCACAGTGGACCATGACTTGCTGCTACAACCAGGAACAACCAGGAACAGTGCAGCCAGAGAAATCACCCAGCAGCATCACGGGCCCTGCCCTTGAGGCCACAGTCACAGGGAGCAGACCCTGAACTCACTCCCAGTCGTAGCTTCCTGGACATGCCAGCCTCATTTGCCTTCTTATGAGCGTTCCACGCTCTGTACAGGGAAGGCATGACACAGGTGTGGGAAGGCTGCTGGGGGAGCCTGTCTACAGCAGGAGCCATGGCCAGCTGCTCAGAGTAAGCCCAGGCCACAGCCCTGCTCCTCTGCTCCTCTCATCTTTTTTTTTTTTTGAGACAGAGTCTCACTCTGTCACCAGGCTGGAGTGCAGTGGTGTGATCTCGGCTCACTGAAACCTTTGCCTGCCAGTTTCAAGTGATTCTCCTGCTTCAGTCTCCCCAGTAGCTGGGACTACAGGTGCACGCCACCACGCCCAGCTAATTTTTGTATTTTTAGTAGAGATAGGGTTTCACCATGTTGGCCAGGATGGTCTTGATCTCTTGACCTTGAGATCCACCCTCCTCGGCCTCCCAAAGTGCTGGGATTACAGGCATGAGCCACCGTGCCCGGCCTCCTCTCATCCTTTAATTTCTGCATTCAGTACATGTCCTGCAAATGCCTGCTTAGCACAAGTCCTGGTCAAAGGAAGTTTTCTTTGGAAAAATAAGTACCTTAAGTTACACTTGGAAATAGGTTAGAAATGGTGTCACATTGTGCATCCCCAGTGTCCTCTAGCCAGCGATCACTGCAGGCTGTTTCAAGGAAACCTTCTACAGCAAGTGGAGGGGAGACTCTCATTAGAGATGAAACTTCCTGCCAAATACAGCCAAAATACATGCTATTGAAGCACGGAACACTTTTGTCCCTAACTCTAAGCTATTTTCTTTATCTCCATTGATTATAAGTTCTCATTTTCTTTACAACATAAAATTTTAATACTATATAATTCTAGTGATTTAGTTATCACTAGAGAATTATTTCTATGAGTGTGTGTGATTTCACCTATTTTTATGTCTAGGTAGTTCAGGATTTACTTATTCTGTGAAAAATCACTTGTCACTGTGGTGCCATCAGGTCAAAATATAGTTTTGATGTTACAGATTTTGCAACCTCATTGTGGTGGACGTCTGCCTGTGGACTTCCCTTCCTGAAATAGATTCCCAAGGCATTCCAGGTAATACAGGTTAGGGTGGTAAATCACACTTTCCCACCTTCCCCATGCCAAGGATGACCCGTGGCCTCAGTTGGCCCTGCCCAGCTCTTTTCAGGGATTGGTGTGGTTATTGGCGGGGGGAGGATTTTGCTCTTCTCCTTGGATGTTGTATATGGTAAACAATATGAGCCTGGAGTTGCCCCTGGCAATCTTTGCCCTCAAGTGGAGAGAGCTGGCCTGAGGTGAACGTGACAGAGAGGAGAGCAGCCCCAAAAATTGGAGAGGACAGGTCTCGGTGACATCATTTGAATCCCCAGGGCCAGCCACACCTGAACCCAGACTCATGCCTCTAAGCCAATGAATCACTTCCAGTTTTTCTTTGCTTAAGCTAGTTTTAAAAAATTATTAAAGTTAAAAAAATTTTAAATTGTGGTAAAACGCACACAACATAAAATTTAGCATCTTAACAATTTTTAAGTGTATAATTCAGTGGCATTAAGGACATTCATATTGTTGTGCAGCTAACACCACCATCCATCCCCAGAACTCTTTTCATCTTGCAAAGCCAAAACTCTGTTCCCATTAAACAGCACATCCCCATTCCTCCTCCTGCAGCCTCTGGCAATCACCATTCTACTTTCCATCTCTATGAATGTGACTACCCTAGATACATTTCATATGAGTGAAATCACACAGTTTTTGGTTTTTTGTGATTGACTTATTTCACTTAGTATAATGTTGTCAAGGTTCACCCCTGTTGTAGCATGTGACAGAATTTCCTTCCTTCGAAAGGTTGAATAATATTTCATGGAATTGATGTAACACATTTTGTTTATCCATTCACCTGTCAATGGAGGAGGGTGACTTCCACATTTTGGCTATTGTGAACAATGCTGCTATGAACATGGGTGTATTATTATTAAACTTTTAAATTTTGAGATCATTACAGATTTGTTACAGTGGGTAGTCAGACACGAGCAGGGCAGGAGAGGGCCCCATCACCCAGGAATGTCAGGTGACCATCAGGTGATGGTCAGGTGGTTGTAAATTGTCTCTCTAAAATAATAATTGCTCTAATTGGTCACAGCCGGTGCCAGGGAAAGGCAGTCTCCTAGGAAACAGAAAAACACCTAAAGCTGGTGATCAGCAGCTTCCTGATAAGATCTCAGGAGTTGAGTGAGTGGGCTCAAGCATGTACAATAAGAGGCAAAATGGCAGAGTTTAATTGGTATATGACCTTCCCCAAGGAACACTCGACTGATAAGGGGAAAACGCTTCAAGTGAGTATGTGTACAACTTCAGCAAACACACTGCACATGCAGCCCCTTCCACGTGCTGGCAGGTCACTGCACATGTGGACAGCCCACCCCAAGGGAAGAATTAGGGGAGAGGTAATGCAACCCTGGAAGCATGCCAACATCTAAGACCCAAATCAAAGGTCAAACCATACCCTTGAATCTCTCAAGTTGCCTCTTGGCCCTCTTCCGAGTGTGCTTTACTTTCGTTCCTGCTCCAAAACTTTTAAATAAACATTTACTCCTGCTCTAAAACTTGCCCCAGTCTCTCACTCTGCCTTGTGCACCTTCGCCAAATTCTTTCTTCTAAGGAGGCAAGAATTGAGGTTGCTGCAGACCCATACGTGCTGCTGCTAACATACTTTGGTGCTGTGTGACTTGGGTATGTTCCCTAGTGCTAACAGATTCACATTGTAAACAAAAATAAAATCCTAAGCTCCTCAACCAACCAAATAGACACTTTCTGGGCCAAGGGAAACCTGAAAAACTAAATTTCAGGCCATAATGGGAAGGGAGAGATTAGACACCCTCATTATACCCCCTCACTTTTGAAGCCTAGGCACAGTTGACCAGCATTAATATTAAAATAGAGACCATAAGACTGACAAAACAGACTCTTTGGCAATAAGGTACCAAATTCCAACCTGACTCTGGTATAGCCTCACATACAGATAACAGGCCCTAAAGGAAATTAAAGTATTTCACCCCAAAATATATTTCTTTGACATATTTTGAAATGGTCCAGCAAAGCCGTGTGTTGTGGGGAAATTTGCCTCTGTAGAGAATTTCCTTTCCTTTCTAGTATTTCCTAGATCTAGGAGAGATTTAATGAAGAATCTGATACCTTTTCAGGTCTGAAAGGAAACATTTACCATGTACTCTCTCTGAAGCTTGCCACTTAAGAGGCTTCATCTACATGACAGCTTCATGTACATCTCAGCTCCCACAATGCCCCTCGTCTTAACTTCAAGTGTTTCTTTATGCTGACTTTACCTCTTTCGGCAAAGTTTAACTTTTCAACCATTTGCCAATCAGAAAATCTTTGAATCCACCTATGACCTGGACCCTTGTCTCTGAAATATATAGGCCGAGGCGGGTGGATCAATCAGGAGTTCGAGACCAGCCTGGCCAACATGGCGACACTCGTCTCTACTAAAAATATAAAATTAGCCAGGCATGGTGGTGCGTGCCTGTAATCTCAGCTACTCAGGAGGCTGAGGCAGGAGAATTGCCTGAACCCGGGAGGCAGAGGTTGCAGTGAGCCGAGATCACACCATTGCACCCCAGCCTGGGTGACGAGCAAAACTCCATCTCAAAAAACAAAAACAACAACAACAACAAACTCAAGCTATACCTCACCATCTCTGGTGCACTTTCTCAGGACCTCTTGAGACTGTACCCCAGACCATGATCATTCATAAAGTCTCTGATAAATCCCTTTAAGTATTTTACAGACTTTGGCTCTTTTGTCAACAACATGCAGTTGTAAGAAATAATAGAGATAGAGAGATCCTCTGTATTGTTTACCCAGTTTTTCCCAGTGGTAACATCTTGACAAAACTATAGTACAATATCACAGCTAGGGAAACTAATAAAAAAAATAGAGAAGATCAACAAAATTAAGGTTTTTTTTTTAACAAAAGCAATAATGAAGGAAAATGTTGGCATTGATACAATCCACTCCTCTTATTCAGTTTTTTTTTCTGTTTTATTTTACATGTACTTGTTTGTGTATGTGTGCCTGTGTGTAGTTCTGTTACCAGAAAGAGGTCCTGATCCAGACCCCAAAAGAGGGTTCTTGAATTTTGCAAGAATTCAGGGCAAGTCCATAAAGTGAAAGCAAGTTTATTAAAAAAGTAAGGGAATAAAAGAATGGCTACTCCATAGGCAGAGCAGCCCCGTGGGCTGCTGGTTGCACATTTTTATGGTATTATCTTGATTATATGCTAAATAAGGGGTGGATTTTTCATGCCTGCCCTTTTTAGACCATGGAGGGTAACTTTCTGATGTTGCCATGGCATTTGTAAACTGTCCTGGCACGGATGGGAGTGTAGCAATGAGGATGACCAGAGGTCACTGTCATTGCCATCTTGCCTTTGGTGGGTTTTAGCCGGCTTCTTGACTGCAACCTGTTTTATCAGCAAGGTTTTTATGACCTTATCTTGTGCTGACCTCCTATCTCACCTTGCGACTAAGAACACCTTAACCTCCTGGGAATGCAGCTCAGTAGGTCTCATCCTCATTTTGTCCAGTTCCTATTCAAGATGGAGTTGCTCTGGTTTAAATACCTCTGAAGGTTTTATGCAATTTTATCATATATGTAGGTCTGTGTATCCACCACCACAGTCGAGATATGGAATAGTCCATCCCTACGAGCATCCCTGTGTTCTCCTGTCATGCTCACCTCTCACTGCCTCCCTCCACCTTCCATAGTGCCTGGCAACGACTAATCTGGTTTCCACTTCTATAATTTTGTCAGTTGGGGAATGTTATTAAATGGAATCATACAGTAGGTAATCTTTTGGGATTGGCTTTTTAATTTAGCATAATCTCTGGAGAGTCATCCAAGTTGTTGCTTGTATCAATCATTCATTTAAAAAAATACTGAGTAGTATTTTGCACTATACCACACATACTGCAGTTTATTCACTCATTGAAGGACACTTGGGCTGTTTCCAGATTTCAGCTATTACTAATAAGGCTGCTATAAATATTCGTGTGTAGGTGTTGTGTGAATATAAGTTTTTGTTTCTCTGGGATAAATGCCCAAGGATACAAATTGTGGATCATATGGTATTTTTCAGGTTTGGTTATATAAGAAACTGCCAAACTGTTTTCAGGGTGGCTGTACCATTCCATATTCCCAGCAATGTAGGAGTGACTCAGTTTCTCTGTATCATCCCCAGCATTTGGTGTTGTCACTAATTATTATTCTGATAGATGTATATGTAGTGATATCCCATTATGATTTAAATTTGCATTTCCCTAATGACTAATGGCATTAGACTTATTTTCATGTGTTTATTTGCCATCTGTATGTCCTCTTCAGCGAAATGTCTGTTTACATCTTTTACCCATTTTCTAATTGACTTTTCTTAATTGTCAAGTTTTGCAAGTTCTTTGTTTATTCAGGATACTAGTCTTTGGTTAAATACATGGTTTGCAAATATTTTCTCCTGATCTGTAGCTAGTTTTTGCCCTCTTAAAATTTATTTTTGAGTTTTCAGTTTCTCTGGTGACTTTTTTTTTCTCCCTCAATTTTTCCGAATTATTTTCTCTACTTCTAGTCTCTCTCTGGTTGTTTCTTCCTGTTAAGGTTGGTGGAAGGATAACAGGAATAGGGGGAAAGAGGAATACAACAGAGGGGGAAACTGAAATAGTAGATTTGAAAATTAAGATGAAGAAGAATTAAAATTTCTATCCCTGGAAGGAACCTCGGGGAACTGGTGACAGTTGGTGCCATTTGGGAGACAGGCTGGTAAGTGGGGCATACTTTCCATGATTGAATCTTCGATTCCTCATGATGTGTTACTTACTTGTAAACATCTCTGTGTCTCTTTTCTTTCTGTCTTAGCAAAAGCAGAATATAACTTCCAAACAAATACAGAAGAAAAAGAATAGGAAGAAAGGATTACCAATTTAATTGAAAGTAAACAGAAAACTAAATCAGATTAAATAACCAACCAAATATGTCTGTAATCACAAGGAATGAAAATGGATTAAACACATCCAATAAAAGAAATTTCATTTGAAATAAGAAACATTTATGTTCTATGGTTTATGAGAGAGACACCTAAAATATAATAAGCAAGATATGTTGCCAGGGATGTGGTATACAACTTTTTCTGATAGTAACCAAAAGAAAAATGGTAGAGAAATACAAAATTTGGATAAAGTAGACTCTGTCATTACTTGATGATGAAAGAATAATTTACCAGGACGACACACCAATCTTGAAATTATGTGACTTAATAACTCATCTTCAGGGTCTATAAAGCCCAAATATACAAAGACAGTGGCAGATTTTAACATCTCTTTCAGATTAATCAGACAAATATTTAGTAAAGATATAAAATATTTGAAGGGCAAAATTAAAAGCTGCAACTAAATCGTATTCTTAGAATCTTGTGCCAAACAAATAATTGCTAATATTTGTTGACTACTTACCATGTGTGAGGCAACATTCTAGGTTCTTTACATGACCAACTCATGCTAAATCAGAATGTAATGAGGAAACTGAGGCAGAGATAAGTTGAATAATTAACCCAGGATTACTCAGCTAGTAAGTACAGAGCTGGAATCCCTACTCATCTGATTCTGGAACCCAAACTCTGGAATTAGAAAAATTAGATATTAATGAATCAGCCATTCAACTCAAGAAGGTAGACAAAGAGAATACGGTAGACCCAAAATAGTAGAAATAAAGAAGTAATAAATGTGAAAATGTAAATTAAGGAAATTGGACACTAATTTAAAAAATAGAGATGATCAACAAAATTGTTATTTTTGAACAAAAGTAATAATAAAGAAAAATACTTCGCTAACCAAATCAGGATACAAAAAACAGAAAGCTTTTAAACAATGTTAGTAAAGAGAATGGGGCATAATTATTAATATAATACAGACAAAAAAGAGTAAGAGAATATAAGGATTAGGTTTGTATCAATGAGTTTAAAAACTTAGATGAAACTGGCAATGATCAAATAACCAAAGCTGACACAAGAAGAAAGAAAAAACTTTAATGGTCCTGTAATTGGTTAAGAAATTGAGTTTGTAGTGAAAGGTCTATCCATAACTTTCACCCTTCACCTTTTTCCCAGGGTCAGATAATTTATTAATGTGCTTTGTCAACATCAAGGAACATATAATCTCTATTTTATAATAGTTCTGGAGAATGCAAAATGAACTCTGGTTCCCTAAACCATGGGATTGGTATATAATATTTTTTCTTAAAAAGATATAAAAAGCATAACTGACATACAATAAATTGCACATGTCTAAAGTGTAGAATGTGATTAATTTTGACATACGAATATGCCTGTGAAACCACTACGATGATTAATATAATTAACACATCCATCATTCTCCCTTCATAGTCTCACTCCTGCTGTTCCCCACCTCCCCCATCCCTAGGCAGCCACTCATCTGTTTTCTGTCACTGCTTATGAGTTTGCATTTTCTAGAGTTTTATGTAAAGGAAACTCCCTTTTTGTCAGCGTCTTTCACTTCACCTGATTACTTTGAGATTTATTGATATTGTTATGTGTATTAATATTTCATGCCTTTTCATTGTTGAGCAGTATTACATGGCTATGCCATGATTTATCAATTCATCTGTTGGGTTAGTTCCAGTTTTTGGGTATTACAAATAAAACTGCTATGAACATTCATGTAGAAGTCTGAGTATATTTCTCTTGTGTAAATATCCTTCATTTCTCTTGTATAAATAGGAGTAAAATTGCTGGGTCATATGGTATATGTGTGTTTAAATTTTAAATAAAATGCCTCACTGCTTTTTTTTAAGTGGTTGTACCATTTTACATCCCCACTAGCAGTGTATGAGAACTCCAGTTTCTCTGCATCCTCATCATCAATTGGTATGGTTTTCTTTTTAAATTGTAGATATTCTAATAGGTATGTAGTGGTATCTCATTGTAGTTTCAATTTGCATTTCCCTAGTGATTAATATTGTTGAACTTCTTATGTGCTCATTTGCCATTTTTATATTTTCTTTGGGTGAAATGTATTCTAATATTTTGTTCATTTTTTATTGAGATGTTTGTTTCTTACCTGCAAAATCATTATCAAAATAACATGATTATCTTTTTATACCACTAAGTTTTGGGGTATTTTTTGATGCAGCAATAATAACCAGAACAGCTTGTCAGGCTAGAGGGTGCAAGAGACTACTCTACAATTGGCAAGAGTGCAGGAACCTGGAGCGCCTGACCACTGGGAGGACAATGGGCCTTCCCCTGGTGAGTCTGTGAGGGGACCACCAAAATCCAGAGACACAGCAAGAGCAGTCTGGGAGACAGGATGTGTTGCCCACATTCAGGGAGTTGCAGTAGGAGGGATCTCGCAGGGCCACCACCTAACTGCTTCGAAAGGGCTTGTTTTAGGTCGGGCTGCTATAACAAACTGCCATAGACTGGGTGGCTTAAACAATAGAAATTTATTTCTCATATTTCTGCAGACTGGAATTCCTCAATCGGGTGCCAGCATTTTTGGGTTATGGGGAGGGCTGTCTTCTGGGTTGCAGACTGCCACCTTCTTGTGTCCTCACGTGGCAGAGTGCAGAGAGGAGAGGCAAGCTGTCTCATGACTCCTGTAAGGGTACTTATCCTATTCGTGAGGGCTCCACCCTTATGAGCTCATCTAGTCCTAAATACCTCTCAAAGACTCCCCCCTCTAATACCATCACATTGTGGGGTAGGGCTTCAACATAGGAATTTGGTGGAGATACAGACATTCAGTTCCTTACAGTGCTTCTCAGAGGAGGAGTTGGCATTTGATGGCAGCCAGTCCCAGAAAGGACTTAGTCGTTTTGCAATAGTTTCTGTCAGGTAAAGACTCTTGCCCCATCACCTTTCTCTGGCTGAGCCCAGGTAAGTCAGAAAGACTAGCCAGCCAGTGGGGGCGACAGTGACAAGCAAGAAGGAGGAAGCATGACAGCAGGTTCCTTCTGCAGCTCTGCTCAGGGAGAGAAAACAGGGCTACCTAAATGAGACTGCGCTGGTCACTTAAAATGACTGTAAGATTTTTTTTTTTTTTTAACTTGGAAGTGGTCTGCAGGTTTGGGGGCCTGCCCAGGCAGAGGCAATGTTGATGAACATCCTCTGCTGAGTAAATTTTTAAAGAGATAATGGGAAAGCAAAAACAAAGTTGTGTTTTTGTTACATTGTACCAGTTGAGCTTGTTGGGTGTGTTTTATAAACATGCACAACATATGCCTTTTTAAAGGGTCTGTAATATCCAACATGCAAAGAAATATTGAAAAGCATTTACTGTCTATTTAGGGCTGGCTAAGTAATGCACAGCAGTCAGCAACTGGTTGAAAATAATTTTTCCTCTGGCATTTCTCTATTATTGCTATTTATATGCAGGGCGTCTTTATTTTCATATGATATTGCACACCTATAGGAGGCAATGCTGGTTGCTTTTTCTCATTATACTGAGGTAGGGAGATGGAGAGTTGGGATATAAGTGGGTCACTAAAGGGAGCCTGGAGAGGTTGTCCTCAGGGAGGGAACAAGCACTGATTGCAGGAGTCTTTGGAGGAAGTGGGAGGGAAGGCAGGCAGAATGAGCCATCCAGATAGGCTCCTGGGAAAATGGTGTCTTCCCCGAGGGTCTGGACCCCACGCGCTGCACTCAGGGGAAAACCTGGGTCCAAGGTGGCAAAGCTTAGCCATGGGGTGGTTAGTCTAGGTGAGGGTGGGCAGTTCCAAACACCCAGAGCAAGGAATGGGATCCAGAGCTGGTAAGTGGAGCAAGTCAGTGCCCCCGAAGCTAAGCTTTCATACCGCATTGCACAGACTCACCTGATGTTTCCTAAGACCATTCCTTTTGAAAAAGCCAAATACTGTCTTGAGAGAATTAAGGTGAAAAAGGCAGAGACAAACAATGGTGGGGACCAGAAATCAAGGAAAAATCCAGAAGGGGAAAAAATGTTAGTGGTGTCGATCCCATCCTCCTCGCTCTGGCAACCACTTCCTACCTTTGGAATTTTGGGAACCTCAACGGGAAAAATGCTTTTTTTTCTCAGCGTCCATCCACTTAATTTTGTGCTGTGTTGCTATTTCGTCCAGTGTTGAATGTTTATATATTAAGTTTTCAGGTGTTTAAAATTAATAGAGTTTATGGTACCAGAGATTCCTATGACAACATTGGAATGTTTCAAATAACATTGCTGATAAATATGCATGCAAAACTCATGTTTCTGTGGAAGAAAAAGTCTGATGGAGGAGTTTGCATTTTCATTCTCTTGCCTTGTGGGAAATCCAGAGGGAGGATGTCAAGTACGATGATAAAGACATGAGATCGATTCTCCCACACTTCACCTGGTGGCAGCCTCCTTCCTTCATAGTCACTCTCCACTGAAAATTCTGCTTTAACAGGTGAGGGGTGGGATGTTGTTATCTAGGTGCTATACCATCTCAGAAATGCCTCATTAGGGGATTTTGTTGTGGGAGCATCATAGAGTGTGTTTACACAAACCTAGATGGTCTAGCCTACTACACACCTAGGATATACGGTTTGTTCCTGGGCTACAAACCTGTGCAGCATGTGACTGTACTGAACACTGTAGGCAATTGGAACACAATGCTAAGTACTTGGGTATCTAAACACAGAAAAGGTACAGTAAAAATGTGGTATTATAACCTTATGGGGCCATGGTCATATTTGCAGTCCATTATTAACCAAGATGTTCTTTTCAGTGCATGACTGTATTGTAATTTGCAGGAATTTTATTTTATATTTGCAGTCCCTGTAACACAACATTTGAATAAACGAACCAACTATATCAGAGCTGTTAAAAAGGGGCATGAAGTAGAAGCAGCGTGGAATATGGAGTCATTTTTTCCCAGGAGAAACACTGAACAATGGAAGCCCACTGACAACTTCAGTTCCCTCCCCAGCACCGCCTCTCTTCTTCCCTTTTCATCTTTAAAAAAAGAAAAGGCCGATTTGGATTCATGCCTTGGGAAGCCCTTGCTTGAGCTCTTTATTGCCGAATGGTCCTTGCTAGATGATCTTTCTCTCTTGGGAGACGCGGTAACGAGATGACAGGACAGATCTCGCTGTGTCACAGTTCTATGTTGTGTCAATAACATCTACTTTCCCCGATGGGAAAGATGAGATTCGCTCTCAGTACCTTTGGTTAGAGTATTTCCGATTTCAGGGGTTTCTGTAGCCAGCGCTGTGGTTTTGGGCGAGACGAACCGCACGCTCTTTGGGTTCGGTGAGGTCTCTCGGTGCGCCCCCGTGCGCCCTGGGCGTCCGCCGGCTACTGCAGCACCCACGTGCGCCCAGCCTCCGCCGCTGCCTCCTCAGCCCGCAGGGTTTACCCTTGGGGAGAATTTGACAGAAGTAGTCACTACTCGGCAGATTAACCCTATGCAGATCGGGCTCCGTTTCCATAACCACCCAAGTCAAACCGCTCCTGGAGTGCAGGGTGAGGGTCTAAGTGGCACACGTTCGCCATTAAAATGACAAAGACCCAGGGCCGAATAGGAATCGCTTATGAATCGGACGAGCTTCTCGGTGAAATTAAAATGGATTAAAATCCTCTTACTAATAAGAACTTAGAAACGATAATGCAGAAACAATTCATAGCCTGCTTTGCGCGTTGACATGAGCAGTGGCATTTCAGGAGATAATGGTACAGCAATGGGCGGTGGGGGGGGAAGCAGTCAGATCTTCCCAGGGAAAAATGTCCTTAATTGGCTGCCATGGGTGGTGTGTATTAGCAACCACTAGAAAAGGCAGCACAGACTTAGAAATTGGCTTCCTTTTTTATTGTTGCCTTCTACCAAAATATAATTAGTACACTATAACCAAAGTACGTTTATACATAAAGTATATTGCTGCTATATGCAGGACTAAACAGTTCAAATTTCCTGCAAGTAATTTAACTATTTTGCATTCTCAAGTTTCTTTTTTAAAAATGAGGTTAGTGAAACCATATTCAACAATCATTTAAAAACAGACATATTTTGTAAATGTATTTTAAAATATATGTGTAATGTCACAGTGTTCACATATAGTGTCGCAAATAGCTTTTTGAATTATTTGTAATTTCAAAAGACATTTTCATTTTAATCCTGAGGTTAGTTTGTTCATTAAGAAAAAACAAGTGATATATTAAAATAAGTATAGTTTAATAGAAGGAATGAAAGATGGTTAAATAAAAATAAGTATAGTTTACATAAAATTTAACCTTTTTAAGTAGACTATATGAAATCACATGACTTCCCTTGTCTGATCCCTCCATCTATGTTTAAGATCAATTCCTATTGAATGGAAATTTTTATTCTTTCCTCTTTTTATGACTTTTTATTTTGCCCACTCACAACATGAGAGGATTTAAAATTTTTTCACATTGAAAAAAATGTTCAAATATGATAACAGATCATTTTCTAAAGTGTGGATAAAAATATTTTTAATGTATTTAAGTATATTATGAAAAACATTTTAATTTTTAAAAATTTAATGCCAAAGTCTAAAACTCTCTCAAAATTAGCTATTTAGACCTGGGAAAGCAAACACAGCAGAGATATTTGAGGTGAGAATTGAAGGATGAATAACTTTTCAGAGTGGAGTGGGCAGGAGATAGAGAAGCCAGCCTGTGTGCAAGAGCAGAAAAGAAGGACATAAAGTCTGAGTCTCGTAGGGCAAAAGGGCCACGGGGCATCAGACTCAGGTTTCAGAGTGAATCCTGTTTAACTAGCAGGTGACCCTGGTAGATTACGTAGCCTTCCTAAGCCTTAATTGCCTCACACTAAAATGCAGAAAACAAAAGTAACTGTCCCACAGGATTGTTGTGAGGACTACATGGGCATAATTACCTGAGGCTCATCCAAGGTGCTGCTTGACTCAGTAGCTCATTCCTTTTGATTACTGAGTTACTACTCAGCATGGATGTATCACAGTACCACACACTGAAAGACACTTCGGTAGTTCCCCCTTTTTGGTTATTGCAAATGAAGCTGCTGCTGTGAACATTTGTGTACAAGTTTCTGCATGGAAATAAGTTTTCTTTCCTCTGGGGTAAATGCGTAAGAGTGCAACTGCAGGGTTACATGGTAAGTCCATTTTTAGTTTTGAAAGGAAAGGCCAGACTACTTTCCAGAATGGTTGTACCATGTTGTATTCCCACCAGCAACATATGAATGATCCAGTGTCTCAGCATCTTCATGAGCATTTGTTATTATCACTATATTTTATTTTAGCTATTATAATAGGAATGTAGTGATAGTACTTTATGGTTTTAGTTACATTTTCCTAATAACTAATGAAGTTGAACATCTTTCCATGTGCTTGTCACTTGTATATTCTTTCCAGCAACATGTGTCTTTATATCTTTTGTCCATGTTCTGATTGTTCACAGTTTTTAATGTCAAGTTTTGAGAGTCCTTTATATATTCTTGAGATGAATCCTCTGTCAGATATGACACTTGCAAATATTTCCCCTATTGTAACTTGTCTTTTCATCTTAACAGAGCCTTTTGCAGAGAAACATTTTTCATTTTGAAAGGTTCAATTTTTTTTAAATCAATTTTTTCATCCATGCATTGTGCTTTTCAGGTCAAATCTAAGTACTCTTTGCCTAGTTCTAGTCACAGATTTTCTCCTCTTTTTTTTCTAGAAGTTTTATAATTTTACACTTTAAGTTAATGATCCAATATGAGTTAATTTTTAAAAATAAGGTATGAGTTTTATCTGTATTCCTCCCCCAACTCCTTGGAAGTTCAATTACTCCAGTACAATTTGTCACAAAGACTGTCCCTCCACCATTGAATTGCTTTGGTTTCTTTGTACAGACCTAGTTTGGAATTCTCTATTCTATTTCATTAATCTATGTGCCTATCTCTCTACTAGTACCACACTGCCTTGTAGATATAATCCTGAACATCAGGAAGAGTGATTCTTGCTCCCTATTATTTTTTTTCAGAATTGTTTCTGCAATTCTAGCATCTTTCCCTTGCCATAGAAATTTTAGAATAAGATATTATATATATATACCTTTTCTGATAAGAATTGTGTTAAGTCTATAGATCAATTTAGGAAGAATTGACATATTTTCTATGATAAGTCTGCTGATTTATGAACAACACTATGTCTCTCCAAATATATATGTATATATTTTTTTGAGATGGAGTTTTGCTCTTGTTGCCCAGGCTGGAGTGCAATGGCACAATCTTGGATCACTGCAACCTCCACCTCCTAGGTTCAAGTGAGTCTCCTGCCTCACCCTCCCCAGTAGCTGGTATTACAGGCATGCACCACCATGCTCGGTGAATTTTGTATTTTTAGTAGAGACGGAGTTTCACCTTGTTGGTCAGGCTGGTCTCAAACTCCTGACCTGAGGTGATCCACCCACCTTGCCCTCCCAAAGTGCTGGGATTACAAGCATGAGCCACTGTGCCCAGCTCCAAATACTTAGATCTTCTTTTATTTCTTTCATCAGGATTTAAAAAAATTTTTTATCATAAATCTATGATAGAAATGCAAGTGACTTTTGTGTGTTATACATAGATCTTATATCCTGTGATCTTAAGGATTTATTAGTTTAAGAAGGTTTTTGCAAATTCCTTGGGATTTTCTAGGTAGACAATTATGTCATTTGAAAGTAGGAACCATTTTTTTTCCTTTTCCATCTGAGTGCCTTTTATTTCTTTTTCTTGCCTTATTGCAATGCCTAGAACTTCCAATGCTCTGTTGAATAAGAGTGGTGAGAGTAAATATCCTTGTCTTATTACTGACCTCAGTCTTTCACTGTTAAGTGTGATATTAGTTGTAGATGTCTTTTATTGGTGCTCTTTATGAGGTTGAGAAAGTTTTATTTTATTTATATTTTATTTCTGACAAACTGAGAAATTTTAATTATGAATGAATGTTGGAGTTTCTCAAATATTTTAATTGCATTCATTGACATAATCATATCAATGATTTGTAGCCTGTTAATATGGTAGATTACATTGGTTTTCATTGGTAGATTTCACCGATATTAAACCAGCCTTTTAATACATTGTTGGATCCAATTTGGGTTGGATTCCAAACAAGGGATTTCAATTCATGAAATATTAAGGAGATGCATGAGAGATACTGGTCTTAGTTTTCTTTTTCTATGCTGTTTTTGTCTGGGTTTAGCTAAAACCCAGTATTACCCTAATGGTTAATACTGGCCTCATAAAATGAGTTGAGAACTATACCTTCCTCTTCTATTTTCTGGAAGAGAGTGTGTAGAATTGGCATTAATTCTTTACATGTTGGTAAATTACTCCAGTAAAAACATCTGACTTTGAGATTTCTTCTGTGGGAGCTCTTAAATTACAAATTCAATTTCTAGTGGCTATAGGACTACTTAGGTAATGTATATCAATTTGGCTGGGTTTTAGGTTTTTTGTGGTTTTTGAGGAATTGGTACATTTCTTCTAAATTGTTGGCTATATGAATGTAAAGTTGTTCATAGTAATATTCTCTTATTTTTATTTTAATGGCTATAAGATCTGTTGTGATATCCTCCATTTCATTTCTCATGTTGGTGATTTATATCTTCTCTTTTTTATCTTTGTCATTTGCTAGAGGTGTATCAATTTGATTGATTGTTTTCAAAGAACCAGCTACTTGTTTTGTTGATTTCCTCTATTGTTTTCCTGTTTTTAATTTCATTGATTTTTTTCTCTTCACTTTATTATTTTCTCCCTTCTGCCTTCCTTGAATTCGTTTTCCTCTTCTTTTTCTAGTTCCTGAGGTAGGAACATAGATATCTGATTTGAGACCTTTCTTATTTTCTAATAAAACTATTTAGTAGTATACATTTAACTTTTGACACTATGTTTATTTGCATCCCACAAATCTTGGTAGGTTGTATTTTCTTTCTCATTTGATTTTGTGTTTTAACATTTCCTTTGAGGCTTCCCCCTTTGACCCATGGATTTGACCCACACATTTAGGACCGCTATGTTTTTTGCTGGATGGATCATTTTATTATCATGCAAGGTTCCTCTTGATCCACAGTAAGTTTCCTTGCTTTGAAGCCTACTTTATCTGATATTGATATAGCCATTCTTATTTTCAATGTTTGCAGGATATATTTTTTTCTAGCCTACATTATTTATTTGAAGTGAGTTTCTTGTAGATAGCATATAGTTATAGTGTTTTTTAATCCACTCTGCTCATCTCTGTATTTTCTTTTTTTGTTGTTTTTGTTTGTTTTGAGATGGAGTTTCGCTGTTGTCATCCAGGCTGGAGTGCGATGGCACAATCTTGGCTCACTGCAACCTCCGCCTCCCAGGTTCAAGTGAGTCTCCTGCCTCAGCCTCCCAAGTAGCTGGGATTATAGGCATGAGACACCGCACCTGGCTAATTTTGTATTTTTAGTAGAGACAGGGTTTCACCATGTTGGTCAGGCTGGTCTCAAACTCCTGACCTCAGCTAATCTGCCCTCCTTGGTCTCCCAAAGTGCTGGCATTACAGGCATGAGCCATTGCGCCCAGCCCACCTCTGTGTTTTCACTGGTGAATTTAGATAATTTATGTTTGAACTTATTACTGATAGTCCCAAGTGTACTATTTTATTATTTGCTTTCTGTTTATTCTTTCTGGTTCTCATTCCTCTGTTTCTTTCTCTCTTTCTTTTTCTCCTTTCTGTGGATTACTTGAACTTTTAGTTTCATATTTATTTATTTAAACTAGAGTGTTTTAGTATATTGCTTAGTACAGTTTACTTGGTGATTGAGGTAGGTATCACAATATACATATGTAACTTATTACAGCCTACCATTACTGACATTTTACTAATTCAACTGAAGTCAAGAAAAACTAATTCCGTTGAGATCCCTTTATTCTCTGCAATTTCTAAGCATAATTGTCTTAAATATTTCCTCAACATACATTGAGCACTGCATCAGATGTGTTATAAGTTTTGCTTCAATCACAAAACATAGTTATGGAAACTCATGATGTAAGGATAGGCTATCATATTTACCTCTAATTTAAGCCATTCTGTTGCTCTTTTTTTCATTTCTAAGGGCCCGCCCACTTCTGTTGCCATTTTCTTTTGTTTGGAGAGCTTTCTTACCTATTTTTAAAGGGTAAGTCCTCTAACAACAAATTATCTTAGTTTTCTTTCACCTGAGAATGTCTTTATTTTCCCTTCCTTCCCAAAGGATAGTCTTTACCAGATATTGAATTCACAATTAATAATTCTTTTCTTTCAAAACTTGAAAAATGTTTACTTCCTCTGGCCTCCACGGTGTACTATGAGGAATCTACTGGCATTTGAACTGGTGTCTTTCTATAGGTAATATGTCATTTCTGTCTGCTATTTTTGAAGTTTTTTTTGTCTTTATTCATCGGAAGTTTAATTATAATGTGTTTTGGTGTGGATTTCTTTGAGTTTATCAAATTTGGATTTTGCTCAACTTCATAGGTATATGGCTTCTGCCAAACTTAGGAAGTTGTCACGTATTATTTATCTGAATACTTTTTGAGCTTTACACTCTTTTTCCTCTCCTTCTGGAACTCCAATAATATGAAGATTAGATTTTTGTTGTTGTTGTTACTGCGTCACAGATCTCCAAGACTCTGTTTATTGTTATTTTTTAAGTATATTTTATATCTGTGGTCCTGGCTAAGCAAATTCTATTGATGGGTCCTTACGTTCATTGATTGTGTCCTGTCATCTCCACTCTACTACTGAGTCAATCAGTGTGTTATTTAAAAATTTCAATTACTACATTGTTTAGTTGTATAATTTTCATTTGATTCTTTTTATAACTTCTAATTCTTTGCTGAGATTTTCTATTTTTTAACACTTGCTTTGAGATAATTTGTAATTGTTATTCCCAATTCTTGGTAGGATGAATACTTTTCAATTGTATTGGGGCATAGGATTTATTATGTTAGGGGGATCTGTATTTATTATTTTTATAGATTTAGGGGTGTAAGTGCAGTTGTGTTACATGGATATATTGCATCTGGGCTTTAATATTCCCATCACCTGAAGAGTGTGCATTGTACTGAATAGGTAGTATTTCATCTGTTAGGAGACTGTTGATACTATTTAAGCCCTCTATTTTGGCAGGTAGTTATCCTGTTTAAGTTTTTAATATACCGTATACTTTTTAAATGTCATATTTAAGTTTAGTGTGTAGGTTCTAGTCTACTTTCATGGGCTATGGGTGGCAGGTGTTTTTTCAGAGCTTTTACAATGTTATTCTGATCTGCTTCATCTTTTGGTGCTGCCAGAGCTCCTACATGATCCTGCTGTTGTCACCTGCAGGAAAAGAAGGCTCTTCCACGGGCTGCCTGGTGTTGCTGGCCACTTTTGAGGCCACTTTGTAGGGTAAGGAGCAGGCTCTGCTGGGCTTGGGTTTTCTTCCCTGGCTGGAGGGTCAAGAGATGCTGGTCTCCACTGTTGCAGGCCCTGCAGGTGGACTGTTCCAACTGCCTGTGCTCTGGTTGTGGAATTGTGTTTGGGTTGCCTGCTGGGGCTCTGAAGCTGCCACTGGGTACAGGATCAGCCAGCCAAGGCCATCAGGTCCCTGTTGGAGGTCCCTACTAGGTCTCTTGGGATCTTCTTTCCCTTGTCCTTTGGTGGGGGGTTGGGAGGTGGCTATCTTTATTGTTGGTTTTATTTTGTGGTTGTTTTATTTCCTTTTCTGTGTTTTTCTTTTTGCCTATACCTGTTGCTTCCAGGTTGCAGATTTTTTCAAGGCCTATTCTGAGATATATGAGAGTTAAAAAGAAAACCCAGGGAACTCACCACATTGTCATTCCTCAAGTCCTGAAGTCCATAGTCAGTTGCTTTCTTTATTCCTGCTTTCAAATTCCCTTTGTCATTATCTGCTAAGTTATTTCCAGGGTTTTTAATTGTATTTACAGGGGAGGAACAGGGACAACTGAGTCTACGAGATCTTCTTCTGGAGCCAGAAGTCTGCAACTGACATTTTTAAAACCTAGATTATTAATTTTGATAATATGTGTCCAATTGAACTGAGGGTTTTTTCCAAGCAAAAAGATCATTGCAAAATAGTAGATTTCTCTGAAAGGTTTCCAGAGCTTACTTCTAGGCTCAAGGTAGGCCAGAGGTCCAGGTAGGTGGGATGCCCAGAGTCACCAGGAAATTCCTCTGGGTGGGAGGCATGGCCTGGTTCTGGTGCTCCACTGTTTCCCAACACTCGATGAAAAGCAGTAGAAAGGCTTTTTCTCCTTTCAAGAAAAAGAGGCAGTGGTGCATACACACATATTCCTCACTTGTAGGTATTTTATTTTTGAACTTTTTCCTCTATTATTAGCAGTTTTTGATTTTTATGACAACAGCCTACATACTGAGAGGTCAAATTTCAGTAACTTTCATTAGTTAGAAAGGCGGGGAACAAAACTAATTGAACTTGCCCCCTGTAAGAAGTTCTGGGCCAGTTTAAACCAGTCAGTATAAATCAGAAGGAGGTTCACTGCATGGATGGAGGGAAAGAGAGCTCCTAAGCTAACAAGAAAGGGTCACCAGCAGACTTAGAAAAAGGCTGGTCGGTTGGCAGGTTTTAGAGAGGAGCAGAGGGAAGCAGCAGGAGATGCCCGGTGGGAGGAAAAAGGGTCACATTTTTCTGACTACAGGGGTGGTGAGAGTGAGTCTAGGGCTGGATGGAGCAAATGCTTGCTAGGTTTCCTGGGCAACAGGCCCCTCCCTTCTGGCAGTCTATTAGGCTCTGAAAGGCTACAGGCAGATAAAGCTACACAGTGATAGAAGAGCATGCCTGGATCAGCTGACTCCTCAGAGAAGGCCCTGGGAAACAGCATTTCAGAAAGGCGCCCATGAAGGAGGACTTGGGGAGACAGGGGACAGGGAGGCTGGGGGCCCACTGGGCCCTGCATGGCTGCTGCAGCTCCTTCGGCTTGGGTGCATGGATGTACACACAGACTGGGAATTTGTGAAGCCACTTTGCCTGGCTTAGCAGGGCTGGGAACTGAAAGCCACCCTGCAAGGCAGGGACTGCCATTCTCATTTGCTAAAGAAGGATCAGCCAAGGCAGGACGCCTGCACGTGGCTGCCCAGCCAGCAGGCAGCAGCGGGACAGGGCATCTTCTGGAATCTGTGGGGCTGCCTTCCTCTGGAAAATGGTGACCCAGGAGGAGAAACAGAGAAAGAGAAAAATCATAGCCTAATTACCAAGCGCTTTTGCATTCCACTCGGTAGGGGTGGCCCTGAATCCTTCATTCCGACCTTTTTCTTTCCTGCTGCAGAGAAGTCCAGCCTGGGCAGTTGAGGGATGTCTCAGATAGCATGGATTAAAAGCAAGGGAGGAGGCCAGGGCTGCAGGAGGCAGGCGTCCAGGAGGAATTCTTCCAAGGGGAGGTTAGAAACATCACTGCAAAACAATGTCTGTGTATAAATTATAAAGTACTGTGATGTCAGAGAACATGGAAAGTGCCCTGGATACTGTTACAGAAGATGGTTGACTCTTTAACATATTTGAGAGAGATTCACACCCTCAAAGATAAATACAAAAGTAGAACCCAGTATTCATGCCTGATACCTTTTCTCCCATTGTGTGGCCTTTGGGGGTAAATAAATAAAATGTGTCCATTTCTTCTGGGAAAATGTGGCAAATCAATGATGAAATCATAGCAGTAAGGTCCTCAGAACCCGTCAAAAATGTCATATGTCCAGTCAGTGTGAGAATTTGGACTCTACTCACCAAGGAGGCTGTTGTGGAGAGGGCCAGAAGAGCAAAATGGCCCAGAGTCACGTGGTTTTTTGAAGGGTGGGGAGAGTCTCTCTTTGGCATTCTGGAATAGTCCTGCTCAAGCCATGTGGTTTATGTGGCACTGGTCCAGCCCTGGACAAGCAGATGTGTGTCCTTCGGGCACAGTGATGGGCTCAAGTTCTGGCCTGTCACTCATACCAGACAAACCATTTTTCCTGGGAGTTTAGCTCAGAAAATCCCTCACTCTCTCTGGATGGTGATGACGAAAGGAATCCCATGCATCAGGAGCCAAAGGAGCATCTTGCTTCCACCTGGAGAGAGAGTACCTACTTGAGAATGAGGCCAAGGAAGGCCAGCAGGGAGGGAGAGACAGAGAAGAGAGAAAGAGGAGTGCTGATATCACTTGAACACCTGGATCCTGCCGTGTCTGATGCTAGATACACCCGCTTTGGATTTCCCAGCCACACAAGCCAACACATTTCCCTTTTTAAAAAAGCTTATTTGAATTGGGTGTCTGTTACTTATAAATGAATGAGTCCCAATGAATACTGCTAGTGTAAAATATAACTGTTGTGCCAGAGTGGTCTGGAATTCTCAGCTGGGTTGCCCCTAAATGGATTCCACTGTTAGATTAAACACACGAACCTTTCACGAAGGCCTCATAATACTCTTAATAGCTTCTCAGTTGGCTAACTAGAGTCAAGATGGCTCTGATCACCAGCTAGCAGCAAGAGGGCCACTGCCTTAAACCTAAATAGTGAGGTGCAGTGCACTGAATTGTATCCCCCACAATTCAAATATTGATGCCCTCGCCTCCAATGTGATGGTATTTGGAGGTGGGGCCTTTAGGAGGTAACTAGATTTAGATGAAGTCTAAGGGTAGAACTTCCATGATGGGATGAGTGTCCTTATAAGAAGAGACAAAAGAGCTTTCTCAGCTCTCTTTCCCTTCCCTACATCAAGAAGGTGGCTGTCTGTAAGCCAGGAAGAGAGCCTTCACCAGAACCTGACTATGCTGGCACCCCAGTCTTGGACTTCCAGCCTCCAGAATGGTGAGAAATAAATGTCTGTTGTTCATGCCCCACAGTCTATGGTGTTTTGTCATAGTAGCCTGAGAAGACTAAGACAAGGGACTTAGAGAAGTCCCAGGAGTTGGAACTGGCCTCTTCAACTCTTGATGTGCTAAATCCTTTCCTTGGGAAGTGTAGCCCCACACCTCAGAGGGCAGGCTTCCTTCAGATGGAATATGACTTTAGTGCAGTGGTGTGAGCCATTTCTTGTTAAGCTTCATCTACTGACCATTCCCTTCCCCTGTCTTCCTTGTGTTTTTCTTCCTGAAGACAGAGAGAGGAGGAAGCAGGAGCCAGCACCATCAAAAGGCACTCGGAACACTGTGGAGGGAGGGAGGGAGGGAAAGAACTGAACTAGTGGAGAACAGCCTGTGACTTCTATCAAATGATGAGGCCCATAGGTCCCCAGAGATGAGAACCTCTGCCTTCCTACGCTGGAGGAGCTCACCCAAACTTCCTGTGTCCACAGTGTGCATTTGGGCTGTGAAGTGCACTGGGAACAATCCATGTTCAGGGCTGACTCAGGGATCTCTCATGTTTTCCATGGGGACGTCCCTCCACCAGAGATATAGAATCACTGTCTACCCTGTTTGCTTGGGCTACAGAAGAGACCAACAACCTTTTTTTTTTTTTTTTTTTTAAATAAAAAGGCAGATGGTAATATTTCAGTCTTGGCAGGCCATGCAGTCCTGTCATAACCACTCAGCGCTGCTGTTGCGGTGTGGACAGTATGCAGACAGAATGTGAACACATGGGTGAGGCTCTGTGCCCAGCTGCCTTTATTCATTAGTTTGATTTTCATATAATTTTCATGTGTCATTAAATAGTATTCTTTTGACATTTTTCTTCACCATTTAAAAAGGTGGGAACCATTGTGTCATGACCAAATTCATGACACTTTTGAGACTTTCTTCTCTTAGTTTTGGTCATTTCCTCCAAGTTGCTTCTTCCTGTTAGTCTCCTGATCTTTCTTTAGGAAGAGACTTGCCCCAGATGCACGTGGCTGCTGCTCACTTTGGGGTAAAGGCATTGCAGAGGTGGTTGGGAGCTTTGGGGCTTGTTCTGGGCATGTCACTTGCATATTCTGCCACATGGGGATTTAGGGGGCCTTCACAGGGGACTCCCCAAGGTCAGCACCCTTTGATTTCCTCTTGGGTTCCTCTTGGGCCCCTCTTGGGACAGAGTGCACACAAGGTTAGTTTTCTGTCAGAGGATCCCAGCCTGGCTGCCAGTTTCTGGGAGCAAAGTGGAAGAAGAAAGCTGGCAAGTTCCCCACAGTTAGGACTCAAGCATTCCTTATACCCCCATTTTCCCTAAGACTCCCCCCACCCTCAACCATACCTGGCACATGCCAGCCCAGAAGCCTCCAGAGAACTACCCTTCAGTCTTGCGTTGGTTTGGAGAGGAGGACAGCTGGGATCTAGTGGGTCCTGTCCTGCCAAGCCATCTTCCTCTTCAGGCTACCTGTTACCTCACTTGCAGAGGTCTCTGGGGCCTCCAGTTTCTGAGCCTGTTAGGTGCTCTATAGTGAAACTCAGGCTGCTGCTCATCTCTGCACAGCCAGCTTAGAATCCAGCTCTCCTGGGCCTGCAAAACCAGATGCTTGCCAATGCCCCCAGTTCTGTTGCTGTTGTCTCTCTCCCATTCTCTTTTATCTTGTAGATTTGTGCCTTAAAAAAATCTATTTATTATTGCTTTAGCATAGTCTTGGGAGGGGATGGAATTAAAGGCATGTGTTTAATCTGCCATCTTTCCCTCAAAATTCCAGTGAGTTTTACTGAAATACTCCATGTGCAAAATGTTTATAATTAACACCTGACTATAAAGTAATGAGACTGAGATAGCTTATGAAGTCTATGTTTTTACTTTATAAGCATATATGACTTAAAAAGATTTTTGTAAGTCTACCAATTGGGTGATTGGGTCAATGATCTATTTACCATCTATTTCCTCATCTTCTTCCTCATGAGCACTCACCATCTGAGGCAGCATTGTGCAGCCAGTGTGCTGAATTTTGCAGACTCCCTTGTGCCGGAGGTGGCTCCATGGCACAGTGTTGGCCCTTGAGACATAAACCTGCTGTAGGTTTCTGGGAAAATTTGGCTAGCCTTTCTTCCTTGTTGCTTCCTTCTCCTTTCTGAGTGGAATGTGGAAGTGATGGCTGGAACGGCAGAGCCATCTTTCACCCTTGACTTGAGAAAAAGACCACGATAATACATACTCTTCTGCTCCTTGACCTACTGATATAATGCTAGGACTGCGTGGCTCCTGATGGCTTTTTGTATAAAGAAAAAATAACTCCTAATTAGTTTAAACCTTGGTTTTGCTAGGTTTTCTCTTACAGCTCCAAATACATTCCTCAATAATATTTTTGATGAACACAAGACAATATGGAAGTCTTCCTTAGAGCCTGACTGGGCTCTAGTTGCCTGCCGGCTGCTGCTATTGTCTGTTCTCCTGAAGTCAGCTGCTCTCTAGTATCTAACATCAATGTAAAGAACCTAAAATGATGCTCTATGGCTTTCAGAGTCTTCAGTAGCCTAGAGAAACCATAACGGATAATGTTTTCCCTGGGGGAAAAAAAAGAGTGTGGCGATTAAAATCTGCAGTGGTCCCTTCTGTCCTCAGGGAGATGATAATGTCTGGGAATGCAATGGCCTGACAGGGACAGGTGAACTGTGTTTCTGAAGCTGATGCAACTGGCTGTGATATGGTACTCCAGTGTGTGGGAAAGACAGCACCTACAGGAGGACCTTTCTGTTCTGCAAGTTACAACTTAACCCTCCTGAAAGGGCAGTGATCTTACACTGGAAGCAAGTATTACAATGGCAATTCTTCACCTTAATTTTAGGATAAAAGGGGGAATAACACCAAAATAAAGCTAATGTGTGGAGCTTAAAGACAAGGGAAACTCAAGATTGTATCTTGGATGGCATTCATATTTACAATAATTTCCCATATCATCTACTACACACATCAGAAGGATTAATTATGACCATAGCTGGAGGAAATCATTCATCACAATAATACTTAATCACACTTTGTAATTTTTATTTATTAAGGCAAGGGAGTTTGAAACACATTTAAGAAAGTTTTTCGTGAGAAAGAATTGTAAAAAGTTTTATACTTTTACTGCATGGCTCTGCAAATGATTGAGTAAGGCATCCAGATGATCCTTGTATTCCTTTGCTGGGGCTGCCATGACAAAGCACCACAGACATTTATTTTGTGGGCTGGAAGTCCCAGATCAAGGTGTCAGCAGGGATGGTCTCGCTCCTTGGCTTGTAGATGGCATCTTCTCTTGTGTCCTTACATGGTTGCCCCTCTGTGGGTGTCTGTGTCCTCATCTCCTCTTCTTATGAGGACATGGGTCATACTGGATCAGCACCCATCTTAATGGCCTCATTTTACCTGAATCACCTCTTTAAAGGCTCTGACTCCAAATACAGCCACATTCTGAGATAATGGGGTTGATGCTGGTGTGGGGTGGGGTGTGTGTATGTTTGCATGTTTTGTGCAGGTGTGTGCTGCATGGTGTGTGTGTAGTGTGTGGTGTGTGTCTGTGGTATGTAGGGTGTGAGTGTGGTGTGTAGAGTCTGTATGTGTGTAGAGTCCCTATTTGTGTGTCTGTATGACATGGAGTCATGCACATGGCCTGAAGACATCATCCCTGGACAAAGGAGGCGGACATCGTCCTGGGCCATCTCTATTTAGGGAAGGAAGGGTGCACTGACTGAACATGGAGAAGTTGGATAAGAGTGGATGAGATTCTCACCTTGGGTTGTGTGATGTGCATTGCGGTAGAGATGGGGTCCTGTAGCATTTTGCCTCTTCAGGATGAGTCAGCCCTCAAGAGCCAATCTTCCTGTTTTGGAGTGGAGTTATAAGGAAGGTGGTCGCCTGGGGTGGGGTGTCTCCCAGAGCCGCTGACTCAGTGCGTCAGAGCCAGCAAGTTCACTTCTTGGCGTCCCCTCACCTATCCCTCATCAGGAAGTTTCCTTGGCCTCTCCATAAGCCACCAGATGGGGTGATGACTGCCTTTGGGTTTGTGAGAATGCTGTGGAGCAGGCCTGTGAAGGGCTTGACAGCCCACCTGCCACGTGGTCAGTGCTTGGCAAGTGGCTGCTGATTTGAGTTTTTGTTTTCCAGCCTTGGGGTTGTAGAAACAGGGAGGGCCATGGAGGGGCAGGTCCTAAGACCCATGCACACTCCCCCATCACCAGCCCTCATTCCCCATCAAGACAGGCCAGCTTCAAACCTGTTTCTGTGAAGCTCGGTCCCTCTGGCTTTTCATTGCTCTGCTTTTTCTGCAGGGAAAGTTCATTGGTTGCTTTTTAACCGTCCTCACCAAGGTCACACACAGCAGCTCCTGGGGCCAAGCACAGGGCTTCCTCCAGGTTTTCAGAAGCTGACCTGACCAGGCACGCAGGGCCAGGGCCAGGTGTTCACCCAACTTAGGCCTCGCAGGGGCTTGTCAGTGTGACAGCTTTCCCACAGTCATGAACTGAAACTTTTTCTTTTGCAAATGCAGAAAGGGCCAGTTAATTAAAAGGGAAACACTTGGGCAATTCATTTTCACTTTTTTCCACATTCATTTTTCATTTTGCAGATATTTGTATATCGAATCTGAATGTTGAGATACAGTTTCTGAGTGAAACTGAAGGCCGACTGCACAGGAATAGCCTGGACTTAGCCAAGAAGGAAGGTTGGGACTGATGATAAAACTGTCAACTCTACAAGGTGCATATTCATTCATCAGCATGGAAACCAGAAGAGCTTCAGGGGACATAGGGTTCTTTGGAATGGGGAATTTCAGGTGCACTGTGATGGCTGGTCATCCTGAGGCAAATGCCCTGACCACTAGCTCTCTTCTCCACACCTTCCCCTGGTCCGGGTGAGTGTTGAGAGTGCAGGAATAGGTCCAAGGCAGCAGGGAAGGAGGTGGGGCAGAACAAACCCCCCAGGAGCGGGCATTCATTCTGGGCTGGATGAAACTCCACGCTTACACCCGCCTGAGAGTTCCTGGGTGGCTAGGCTTGCCCTGGCCACTTGTGGCTGCCTCTCCTGGCGCTTCAGCATCCTGGCTTCTCGATTTCACCAGGTGGCCCCAGAACAGACCCCCTGGTGGGGATTGGCTGAGGCATTGAGAATTGCATCTGGCTGGTACTTCCCTTTTGTCACCACGCATGTAGCTGGAGGGTTGGAGAGTTGGTATCAGCATGGCTCTTCCAAGGCAGTGGGTGCCCAAGGTAGCTAGGAATGCCTGTCTCCTGATGCAGTACATTTTCCCAGTTTGCACTGGATGAGTCCCGCATAAGGTTTTCAGGGGTTTTCTGATCAAAGACAACCACCATAGTATCAACAGGAAGGTCCTCTTTCATTATACAGAGTCAGGAGCTAAAGAAAATGCAATCAGGAAATGAGCCACTTTAAGGAATTATCCCTTACAATAATAAAACTTGTCCCTAACAAATAACACAGTCCATGAAAGTTGACTGGGTGGAAGATTCTGGATTCCAATCAGGATTTCTGATGAAATGTTACACAATCTGTTTGCCAGAATACGATTTCAGAGACATTGAAAGGGAGACTCCAAAAATATTTTGATTTGCTTCATTTGGGGCTTTCTAAACATTTACTGTTTAATATCTTTCAGATTAATGATTCAAATGCTATTTATTTCTGACAACTTATGTTTGGTTTATACTTGCCATTTATAAACATTCAACAAAAGCAGTCTCGTGGCATTTTAGTAGTGTTTGTAATTGCTATTATTGTTTTTTCTTATGATTCTAGCGTCGCTAAGTCACAGGATGATGGTGAACAGGTTCTAAAAGGAAGGTCGATGTAATTGAAACAGCATGAAAGCCCAGAGGATAACCTAGGAAGTGGCCATAGTTCTCCTTCTCACAGGGACAATCTCTAACAGTTTCTGGTGAATGCATTGTGAGTAGATGAAAGAAAATGGCACTAAATTAAATCTAAATGTTCCAGCCAACCTGGCCTCTTGGGCTAACACCATCTCAATGCTGCAGATAACACGCTGATGTACTTACGGGGTCCCCCCTTAGCAACAGAGTTGCCATGGAAACACATTGTGACTCGCTGAGAGGAAGCAGACATAAGGAGACAGGAGGAGTTCGCAGGAATTTCTCATTGAAATAATTACAGTAGTTCTCAGCGTGTTTAAGAAATGAATGCGGCATGTTTTCTTAAAAAAATTGTTTTCAAAGCCTGCTTGTGACATTCTTGCATCCAAAGAATTTTGCTCAAATGCTTACTATTTTAAATCTAAATCATAATGTATTTTTTGAAAAGCATGATTGAGAAACAATTGGAGGGCAATTATTTTTTCTAGAATATGGAGAGACATATGTGTTTTAAATGTTTACCTAGATATGAAAATCCCATGGAAGGGGCTGGCTGTGTTTGTGCACAACAGGAAGGAGGTGTATGGTGCCGTTTGTTTGCTTTGTTTTTTGTTTTTGTTTGTTTGAGACTGAGTCTTGCCCTGTTGCCCAGGCTCGAGCGCAATAGTGAGATCTTGGCTCACTGCAACCCCTGCCTCCCGGGTTCAAGTGATTCTCCTTCCTCAACCTCCCGAGTAGCTGGGATTACAGGCATGCACCACCATGCCTGGCTAATTTTTGTATTTTTAGTAGAGAAGGGGTTTCGCCACATTGGCCAGGCTGGTCTTGAACTCCTGACCTCATGTGATCTGCCCGCCTCGGCCTCCCAAAGTTCTGGGATTACAGGCGTGAGCCACCACACCCGGCAGGTGCCATTTTTATAACAGGTTTGTCAAAGAGCTAACTGGATTTTGTGTTCATTGAGCCACTATGTACCATTTGTACTTTTGCTTAAATACTATTTATAATGAATGATCACTTTTTGTGGTTGATTCCATTTATCCCAGCATAGGCGGATCATGTCAGTGCTGGAACTAGAGTTGACCTTCAAAATGTCTGATCTTTTAAGAAATTTTACGGTTGCTATGAGAATATACAATTGAGTCTAAATCCTCTACCATTTAGGGATCCTGGGTGTGGTGGTTTTAGTTCACTGTGTTAACCACAGCAGCATTTTAGCTGAGAGGTGCTGTGTCCACTTGCCCCTGGAGTTTCTGTGGGCTCTGCCATCAGAGTATCATACCTTGGACTAGAAACCAAAGACCAGCTGGAGTCAAGGCTTGAAAATCAAGTAACGGTACAATTCTAACTAAATCTAGTTAACCAATGGCTGGGTTCCTTTTTCTGCAAAGAGACTTTGGAAGCTGATTGTGTGACTGTGGACATCTTAGAGAGTCCCTTGACCATCACTATGTACTGCAAAGAAAGTGCTTGAGATACTTTATTCTTTTTTCATATTTACCAGCAACAGGATAAGGGAGGATTTTTAAAAACTGTTTTTGTGTTGTGATAAAATATGCACAACATTTGGCATTTTAGTTGTTTTTAACTGTACAATTAGTGGCATTAAGTACATTTACAGTGTTGTGTACCCATCATCACTATCCATTTCTGGAACTTTTTCATCATCCCAAATGGAATCTCCATTCCCATTAAACACTAACTCCCCTCCCAGCCACCATTCTACTTTCTGTCTCTGTGAATTTGACTACTCTTGGTACCTCGTATAAGTGGAATCACACAGGATTTGTCCTGTGTCTGGCTTATTTCACTCAGTATAATGTTCTCAAGTTTCATCCATGTTGTAGTGTGGGTCAGAACTTCCTTCCTTTTCAAGGCTGAATAATTTTCCGTCACATGTATGTCCACATTTTGTTTCTGCATTCGTTAATGGACATTTAGGTTGCTTCCACACTGTATCTATTGTGAAAAACAGTGCTGCTATAAACACGTTTCTACAAATATTTCTTTGAAACCCTGCTGTTAATTCTTTTGGGTAGATACCCAGGAGTGGAATTGCTGGGTGCTGTGGTAACTCTGTTTAACATTTTGAGGTACCACCACAATGTTTACCACAGCAGCTGCATGATTTTACATTTCCACCAGAAGTGCATGAAGGTCCAATTTTCCCCCTACCTTTTTGATAGTAGCCATCCTAATGGGTATGAAGTGGAGGAGGAAATATTTTTAGGAGAAGGTGGTAGGAGTTGGGGCAGAGACCCAATGGCCAATGTGGCTTTGCCCACAGGACCAGCTCTCCCTCATTCTGGAACAGACGAAGGACACTGTCTATCCTCCAACCCCTGCCACGGCCATGGGGATAGCCTGGCTCCCCTTCTCATGGAGAGCCTCCCCTTCATGTTTTCACTTATCTTTTTGAGCCAGGGAAGATCACGGTAGGAAATCATAGTTTTATGTCTGGGTTAATTTAGTCTATACTGTGAATAAAAAGAAAGTGTTTGTATAGAAAAGTGTAACTTTTGAGAAAAGAAACTGAAAAGCAAACTCAAGTGGGGTGCCCCTCTGCTGTGGATGTGGATGGAGATTTGAATGGCCACAGCCCCTACTATTCACCACTGCTGCCATCTGTCCACACTACCCTCGAAGAAAGAGACACAAGACTTAGCAAACTAAGCTCAGTGCTGACTCAACTCCTTGAAGTCTTTTCCCAGGCCCTTGGTCAGTTGAGGGTCAACATTTGATTTCTAATATGGTAAACATCTAAAGGAAAGGACCCCTCTGGAGTGTTTTCATGAAGCTATTTGTTGAGTTCAGATGCCACCCAAGGGGAATTGTCCTGAAAATTCCTAGGAGGAATGTGTTACAATCCCGCTTCATTTCCTCCAGGACCTCCTGGGTTGTAAAACCCTGTTTTGTTTCAGAAATCGCAATCACTTGTGGGGAACGGCTGCTGTTTATGCAGGACCTTGTGGGGTTAATGCTGGTCTAGACTGAGAGGAAAAAGCCCTTGTTGGAAGTGCTTTCATGGTGTCAGCAGAAATTTTGCCTTGTACCCTTTTAAAAGGCTGGAAGAAACAGAGGCTTCACAAATTTTACTAGGGCTAAGCGTGTCGGCTCATCTTCCTGCTTCACCAGGTGGAATGCCGCAGGTTCAGGGATCGGGCCCCCCCTTCCTTTTTGTTACAGAACTCTGAAATGGTGCTCAGCATTTCTTTAAACACTGTCTTGTTTGGACAACTGCGGCCTGGCCTATCTTCTGCGTCCCTGTCTTCCACTCTCAGGGAAGCTCAAGCCCTACTGTTGATCTTCTCTCCTTACTGGGCTCTTCTTCTACGTCCTTCCTCTTGGTACACAGAACATCTGCCCACTCACACTCTGAACCTGTCCCTTTCTCCATCCTCACCACTGAATCCAGCCCTCCCTCCCTATCACCTGGCTGCCCCTCCACGCCTCAATCCAGTCTTGACCCAGCACTCAGAGGGACCCTCTGGAATGCAAATGACAACATGGCAGTGCTGGGCTTCATACTCTTCCATTGTCTCCACTCCCAGTGCCCCTGCCTGGGAAGTCTCGCTTGATCTAGTCCCTGGCCTCCTTGCCTCCTGGTCACCTGCACACTCATTCCCCACCAGATCCAGCGGAGCGCCCATCTCCCCTGCCTCCAGCAGTTGCTGGGGACGCCTTTCCCCCAACCTGAGGGGCTCAGTGGCAGTTAGAAAGGCAAGTCATTGGAAAGGCCCCCAGGCTCGCCTGGTAAAACCCGAGCCTGGAGCCTCACTTGCTATTCTCCAAAACCACTCCTCACTCTCATATTGTTCCTCAGCATTCCTACCACAATGGTGGAATTACATGCTGATGTAAAAAATTTTTACTTCCTCCATTCTATTAATCTAAATGTTGCATGCTAAATATATTCTATCTTGCATTTTTTGGGGGAATTACTTTGTATTTTTGTCTGCATTTAAATTTTCAAATGTTTGATTGTACTTTTAATTTTGATAATTAAAAGTACATGATAATTGTGGATTTGCATACAATTGTAAGAAATAATACTGAGAGATTCCATGTACCCTTTACCCAATTTCTTCAATGGCCACATCCTACAAAACTGTAACAGGGTATCACAGCTAGAGTGCTGATATTGATACAGAACATTTCCATCACCACAACATGATCTCTCATGTTGCCTTTTTTTTTTTTTGAGATGGAGTCTAGCTGTGTCGCCCAGGTGGGGCACAGTGGCACGATCTCGGCTCACTGTAAGCTCTGCCTCCCAGGTTCCTGCCATTCTCCTGCCTCAGCCTCCCCAGTAGCTGGGACTACAGGCACCCGCCACCACACCCGGCTAATTTTTTATATTTTTAGTAGAGATGGGGTTTCACCTGTGTTAGCCAGGACATGTTGCCTTTTTATAGCCACGCCTACTTCCTTCCACTGTTGTCCTCTCTTTAACCCTGGGGCAAGCACTAATCTGCTATTTCTATGATTTTGTCATTTCGAGAGTGTTACGTAATGAAAACATACAGTATATAATATTCCGAGATTGGCTTTTTCACATAGTATAATTATCCAGAGATTCCATCCAGGTTGTTGCGTATATCAACAGTTTGTTATTTTTATTGTTCAGTCGTATTCCATAATATGGACACACCAAATTTGTTTAACCATTCACCTGTTGAAGGACACCTGGGTTGTTTCCAATTTTTGGCTATTACAAATAAAGCTGTTATAAACATTGGTCCACAGGTTTTGTGTGCACATAAGTTTTCATTTCTCTGGGATAAATGCCCAGGAATGCAATTTCTGGGTCATGTGGTAGTTACATATTTTGTATTTTAGGAAACTGCCAAGCTGTTTTCTGGAGTGGCTGTACATTTTACATTCTCACCAGCAATGTCTGAGTGATCTAATTTCTCATTGTGGTTTTAATTTGCATTTTCTAATGGCTAATAATGCTGAATATTTTCTATGTGCTCATTTGCTATCTATGTGTCTCCTTAGTGGAATGTCTGCTTATGTCTTTGGTCCATGTTCTAATTGGATTATTGGGTTTTTCCTGTTGAGTTTTGTGAGATCTTTCTATACTCGAGCTACTAGTCCTTTGCTGGATATGTCGTTTGCAAATACTCTCTTCCAAACTTGCCTGTTCATCCCTTATTTTCCTAAATGTCTCCTTATTTGAATGTAAATTCTATGAGATTCTAGGGAATTTCATGAGATAGACCAATGTCACCTTAGTTACTACAATGTCTCAGTCACCAGAGACATGCCAATTAAATGGAGAGTGAGGAGTAAATGTAAAAATGGTAGAATGCCTTTAATGAATTTTATTTACCTGAAATCATTGTACACATGGTTTTTTTAATTTTGTTTTGTTTTGAGACTGAGTCTTGCTCTGTTGCCAGGCTGGAGTGCAATGGCGCGATCTTGGATCACTGCAACCTCCGCCTCCTGGTTCAAGCAATTCTTTGCCTCAGCCTCCCAAGTAGCTGGGATTACAGGTGCCTGCCACCATACCCAGCTAATTTTTGTATTTTTAGTAGAGATGGGGTTTCACCATCTTGGCCAGGCTGGTCTTGAACTCCTGACCTCGTGATCCACCCACCTCGGCCTCCCAAAGCGCTGGGATTATAGGCGTGAGCCACTGTGCCTGGCCATACACATAGTTTTAAAAGTGTTTTTATTGCTTTGTTTCTGATTGCAGATAATACGTATCAGTTATAGAAATGTGGAATGTGAGCATAAGAAAAAGAAATGATTACTTGTGACACCATCATCAGAGGTAACTATGTTTGTATACATATACTAACGTACAATACATATACATATTTGGATCTATGCATATGTATACAAACATTACATAAAGAGATAGTTGGGTCTGGCATTTGATTTTATCCCTGTTAGTCTTTTGTGGATTCTGACAGTTGCTACAAGACTTCTAGGTCACAGACAACATTATTACTCACAGCACAGCAAGCAGCCGGACCATCAGCATGTTTGTGTCAGTTCCTCTTGCTCCCAAGTCCCATGAGGCTGACACAGTGAACCCACACAGCACTTGCACAGGCAGTGAGTTGCACACAGAAGAAGAATGCAAGCTTGGAGGAATCTGTTGCTTTTATAGCAAGCAGTAAGCAAACCTGCTCCTTATTCCAGAGGGAAACATGATCTCATCCTTCAGTGCAGCTTGCTGCAAACACAACCTTGAGAAGTGGCCTTGGCAAAGAGTATTTAGGGCCTCTTTTTTTTTTTTTTGAAATGGAGTCTTGCTCTTTTGCCCAGGCTGGAGTGCAGTGGTGCAATCTTGGCTCACTGCATCCTCTGCCTCCCAGGTTCAAGTGATTCTTCGGCCTCAGCCTCCCAAGCAGCTGAGATTACAGGCACCCGCCACCACACCCAGCTAATTTTTGTATTTTTAGTAGAGATGGGGTTTCACCATGTTGACCAGGCTGGTCTCAAACTCCTGACCTCAGGTGATCCATCTGCCTCGGCCTCCCAAAGTGCTGGAATTACAGGCGTGAGCCACCATGCTCGGCTTGGGGCCTCCCATTCTTGTCATACCTGGTAAGATGTGTAGAAGCATGAGAGATGCATACGGGACTGTCTCTCTCAACACATACATTTCATATAAGGAGCATAGTTCATAACGTTTTGTAACAAGATTATTTTCCATGTAGCAAAAATATATTAACATTTTGTATAAAATGCATACAACTATAATATACATTACATGTACACGTCTATGTATATATCACTTTAAATATTTGAGATCAGAGTACTTGATGTTTCCTTTTTTTTCTTTCTTTTTTTTTCTTTCTGAGACAGACTCTCGCTCTGTCACCCAGGCTGGAGTGCAGTGGTGTGATCTTGACTCACTGCAAGCTCTGCCTCCCGGGTTCACGCCATTCTCCTGCCTCAGCCTCCTGAGCAGCTGGGACTACAGGTGCCCACCACCATGCCCGGCTAATTTTCATGTTTTTAGTAGAGGTTGGGTTTCACCGTGTTAGCCAGGATGGTCTCCATCTCCTGACCTCATGATCTGCCTGCCTCGGCCTCCCAAAGTGCTGGGATTACAGGCATGAGCCACCGTGCCCAACTGAGTACTTGCTGTTTTCTGATGTGCTTTTTCATTTAACCAGATACGTTAAAATAATTTATAATTTTTAAAGATTGCATATTATTGCAAATGAGTATGCTGTAGTTTATTTAAATGAATTTCTATTGTATGTTTAAATTGACAATACAACTTTTATAGAAAATTTTCTTGATCATAACATGATTTTAGAATAGGAACTAGCTGGGAAGTTCTACCTTACTTTGGGGTTGTTAATGAGACAGGATGGGTTGGAGGTTAAAAGCACTGGGTCTGCAGTTGAACATACATGGGTTGGAATCTGGCCACCACTTACAGCTGTGTGGCCTTAGCTATGGTTTTAACCTCTTCTGAGTCTATTTTCTCATCTGTAAAATGGAATAACAATTCCTACAGGTCTGCTGTCAGGCTTAAAAGAGATCGTCTTTGTAAATTCTTACCTCAGCTTCTGTGCTATGGACTGAATGTTTGTGTCCTCCTAAATTCATCTGTTGAAATTCTAATCACAATGTGATGGTGTTAGGAGGTAGGGCACTTGGGAGGTGATCACATCATGATGTGTCCGGAATTGGTGGGTTCTTGGTCTCACTGACTTCAAGAAAGAAGCCGCAGACCCTTGCAGTGAGTGTTACAGTTCTTAAAGGTGGCGTGTCCGGAGTTTGTTCTTTCTGATGTTCGGATGTGTTCGGAGTTTCTTCCTTCTGGTGGGTTGTGGTCTTGCTGGCTCAGGAGTGAAGCTACAGACCTTCGCGGTGAGCGTTACATCTCTTAAGGCAGCACGTCTGGAGTTGTTCGTTCCTCCTGGTGGGTTCGTGGTCTCACTGACTTCAGGAGTGAAGCTGCAGACCTTCATGGTGAGTGTTACAGCTCATAAAGGCAGTGTGAACCCAAAGAGTGAGCATCAGCAAGATTTATTGCAAAGAGGTAAAGACCACAGCTTCCACAGCGTTGAAGGGGACCCCAGCGGGTTGCCACTGCTGGCTCCGGCAGCCTGCTTTTATTTCCTTATCTGGCCCCACCCACATCCTGCTGATTGGTCCATTTTACAGAGAGCTGATTGGTCTGTTTTACAGAGAGCTGACTGGTCTGTTTTGACAGGGTGCTGATTGGTGCATTTACAATCCCTGAGCTAGACACAAAAGTTCTCCGCCTCTCCACCAGAATAGCTAGATACAGAGTGTCGATTGGTGCATTCACAAACCCTGTGCTGGACACAGGGTGCTGATTGGTGTGTTTACAAACCTTGAGCTAGATACAGAGTGCTGATTGGTGTATTTACAATCCCTTAGCTAGACATAAAGGTTCGCCAAGTCCCCACCAGAGTAGCTAGATGCAGAGTGTCCATTGGTGCATTCACAAACCCTGAGCTAGACACAGGGTGCTGATTGGTGTGTTTACAAACCTTGAGCTAGATACAGAGTGCCGATTGGTGTATTTGCAATCCCTTAGCTAGACATAAAGGTTCTCCAAGCCCCCAGGAGACTCAGGAGCCCACCTGGCTTCACCCAGTGGATCCCACACCAGTGCTGCAGGTGGAGCTGCCTGCCAGTCCCGCGCTGTTCGCCGGCACTCCTCAGCCATTGGGTGGTGGATGGGACTGGGCACTGTGGAGCAGGGTCGTCGGGGAGGCTCCGGCTGCACAGCAGCCCACATGGGGCGGGGGTGGGGGGGAGGCTCAGGCATGGTTGGCTGCAGGTCCCAAGCCCTGCCCTGCGGGGAGGCAGCTAAGGCCTGGTGAGAAATCAAGCACAGCAGCTGCTGGCCCAGGTGTTAAGCCCCTCATTGCCTGGGGCTTGCGGGCCAGCTGGCCGCTCCAAGTGCGGGGCCCGCCGGGCCCACGCCCGCCCAGAACTCGCGCTGGCCCGCAAGTGTGCACGCAGCCCCGGTTCCCGCCTGCGCCTCTCCCTCCACACCTCCCCTCAAGCTGAGGGAGCCGGCTCTGGCCTTGGCCAGCCCAGAAAGGGGCTCCCACAGTGCAGCGGTGGGCTGAAGGGCTCCTCAAGCGTGGCCAGAGTGGGCACCAAGGCCGAGGAGGTGCCCAGAGCGAGTGAGGGCTGCAAGGGCTGCCAGCACGCTGTCGCCTCTCAATGGGGGCAGAGCTTCATGAGGGGATGAGGACCCTCATAGGCTAAAGAAACCAGAGTGCTTTCCTTCAACCATGTGAGGACACAGTGAGGAGGCACCATCTGTGAACAAAGAAGAGAGCCCTCACCAGTCATGGAATCTCTGAGAACCTTGATGTTGGACTTCCAGCCTTCAGAACTGTGAGAAAGAAATGTCTGTTGTGTATAAGCCCCCCAGTCTGTGGTATTTTGGTATAGCAGTCTGAATGGACTGAGACAATCTGACATTTAATAATACATACTTGCATAGTTGAGAGGAATCAAGCTTCTTGAATAGAGCAAACAGCTATGGACTATGCTTGCCTCAAACAGAAGCTATTGTTGATTGGACCCATTCATTCTTGCTTTTGCTAAACTACATTTTCAAGAAGTTGGGAAACATTGCGGATGCATCATCTGCTTGAGTGTAGAAAAGATTTTGAACTAGGAAAAGGTGCAAAACCTGCCAGGTGAGAGTCACAGTAATGTGGTGTATTAGTCCGTTCTCACACTGCCATAAAGAATCGCCCAAGACTGGGTAATTTCTAAAGAAAAGAAGTTTGATTGGCTCACAGTTCTGCATGGCTTGGGAGGCCTCAGGAAACTTACAATCATGGCTGAAGGGGAAGCAGGCACATCTTACATGGCAGCAGGTGAGATAGTGTGTGAAGGAAGTGAAGGGGAGAGAGTCCCTTATGAAACTATCAGATCTCGTGAGAACTCACTCACTATCGTGAGAATAGCATGGGGGAAACCAGCCCTATAATCCCATCACCTTCCACCAATTCCTTCCCTCGATACCTGGGGATTACAATTCGATATGAGATTTGGGTGGGGACACAAACCCAAACCATATCATGTGGTCCTCCCTAGTACTCAGCAAGACTGGGAGACAGGTGACTGAGGAGAGCCTTCTGTAGCTCAAAGTCTTCATCAGTACTGACCATTTCAGCCCAGTGTTCAGGAGAAATTCAGGGAACTGTTGAAGCAGTGAAGACCAAGAGATAAAAGTGCTTCTGTGGAAACCTCTGTCACAAGGGTTGGAGGCTGTGGGGATTTGCACAGCAACACTGTGTGACAGAGGAGAGAAGATATGAGGGAGCAGCTGCCAACGTTCACAAAGATTGCCATGGATGGGGTCATCTGCTCAACACATTCTCTAGGTAGAGAGCACATCTGTTTTTGAAAGTGAAATGGTAGTCCTTGTTTCAGAAAAGAGAACAAGAGTTTAGCATTTTTGAGGGATCACCCCCTTTGGTGGAAGTCATCTGATATGAGTGAATTTGGACCTGTGAATAGTGGAGATAAGCCCATTCCAGAGCAGGGCATGGGGTGACCATGTGGAGGAGATGACAGTGGATTCTACTTCACAGGGTGGACCCAGGCTTGCCTGCACTGCTCTGGCCTTTGCCACCTGGATGCCAGGCACCTTCCAAATAGCTCATGGTGATTCCTAGCAGGCACTCAGTTCACATTTGCCAAGAACCCAACAAATGGAAGGAGTGCTTCAGCCTTTCCTGCACTTTGAAAATATCACTGTCCCTAACTCTGGCATTCTTCTTGAAAAAAGAGAAAAAACTTTGCAATCCTCCATTTAAATTTAAAACTAGGGGTATAAACATTAAAAAAGAGAAAAAAAGAAAGGTCAATATGAACCTCTTGGTTTCCTGGAGGCAAAGGAAAGCAGGAAGATTCTCATATATTGTATAGATAAGGGTATGAGGATTAAAAATGCAGTTGTTGTCAATTGCTTTGTAATTTACAAAGCACTGTCATACTCACTGTCCTCATTTAGAAAAAAAAAATGGCTGTATGGAATGGAATTGTGATTCTCATTGTGTAAATAGAGAAAAAGTTTAGAAAGGTGATAAAACTGGCACAAGCCCACCTGAGCAGTGGCAGATGGCCAGTGGGTGCTGGTAAATGCTTAATAACCACTTTACTGGAAAGCAAACCAACCAACCATGATCAGTAGTATTTGCTGATATCTGTGGTATAAATGCCCTACTGTGGCCAATTTCAAACCACTGATGATTCAACGTGAAGCTCACGCAGTCAGTAAAAATTTAACAATTGGCTCTAATGAGATGATACAGGCTGGCTACCTCATGCCACTGGTTGGCAAAGAACTTGAGTTCGTGCATGTCTGTCTTTGTCCCAAAAGCTTCCGGTGACACCTCACTGCCAGGGGAAAGTTAAGAGTAATAATTTGCATTCAGAGGAAAGAATGAGGAAGGGCTTAAAATTGATAAGAAATTTTGCATGACATATGGTATTGCATGAACCAGTATTTGAGACCACCTTTGCAAAAATTATGACAATAAGAGAAACCTGACATAGCTGACTCCATCTTGCTTCTAACCTCACAAGCTAACTGTCTTTGCTCATTCCTGGGTGTAGGCCAAGCTAACTGTAGGAAGAATTTAGTTTATAGTTTAACATTAAAACAAAGATGATAACAGTCCTTTCCCAAAACTAACCCCCTCCATGCTCAGGGACTGAAACAGCCTTTGTAAAACTAATACATTAGCCACAAGGTTAGAATTATGGTTCAGGAGTCATGTAGCTAGAGGTCACAAGATTTGTAACCTCCCCAATTGCTCCTATAGATAACATCATTATGGTGAAACTTAAGACTGGCGTTTGAGGTACTTTTCAGACCTTGCATTTTGATGGGCCAGCTGGGGCCACCTGAACAGGTAATCCTTACCCAGGAACTGACCCAACTAGTCCTGTGACCCCCACCCAGGAACTGACTCAACATAAGATGACAGCTTGAACCCCCTGTGATTTAATCCCCAACCCAACCAATCAGCACTCCCCATTCCCCCGCCCGCAGCCTGCCAAACTATCCTTGAAAATCCCTAGCCTCTGAATTCTTGCAGAGGTGGATTTGAGAATTATCTCCAGTCCTCCTTGCCTGGCTGGCCCTGCAATTATTAAACTCTTTCTGTCCTGCAACACCTGCTGTTCTCACTGCATTGGTTTTTAAGGGTGGTGGGCAAGAAGAACCCATCAGGCTATAACATCTTTCCTGAGCCTTTGGATGTGGAATTCTTTCTACTTGCATTCTAAGGCTGAGCATCAGTTCATTTACATGAGTTGTGTTGTTCCTCCCTTTAGCGTGATGATAACACAGTCGCTGTATCTACTGGTTTTGTGGCAGGCCTTGGTTTTTATCAGCCCAACTATATTTCTCACATTTCTGCAAGACCCCCACAGCCTTCACAGGTGGGAGGGGAGTGGCTGGACCTCTTGTGAGGCTCCTGTGGCAGATTTTCTATGTGTGTTGAGCTGCTGTCCATTGTGTTTGGGTTTATAGAAGGCATGAGAGCGTGTTGCTAAGGAGACAGCCTTTCAGGGAGGGACCCAGTGGGAGTTATTCCACAGAGTGTCATGGCTGGGGATGGCTGCACATCCTGCAAATTCAGGGTCTCTGCTACCTGATAATGCAGCAGGAGGTATTGCCAGCGCAAGTGGCAAGTGGCCCACCACTGTGATAGTGGTGACCCTGCTGCATGAACGAGATGAGGCTACACCAGATGCTGTACCAGGGAAATCTCCCATCCTCGCTGTGGGAAAATCAGTGTGCCATCTTCTCAGGGCTTTGACCGTTAGAAACATAATTTGTAATTTTAAAGTCATCTCAATCCCACCTGTGCCCTTTAAGGAAGAAGATAGAGGTAGTTAATTACTAACATTGATATTTGCAGTTAACCTGGATGCAGATTTTGGCTTCCTGACTATAGGCTACTCATCAGCATGCAATTCTGTTGGAAAAATAGTTTTTTCGGGCTTTCTGGTAAAATAGACTCACCCCAGAGTTAGAGTGTTGTGGAAACATGGTAGCTATATTAGTTAGGGTTTTTTGGAGACACAGAACCAATAGGATATGTGTGTGTGTGTGTGTGTGTGTGTGTGTGTGTGTGTGTGTGTGTGCATGTTCTGTCTGGCTGAACTCCTGGTGGAGGCACCCCAAAAACAGTGGCAAGGGAGTTCCCATAAGCGACTCTGACTCAGGGTAGAGGGTTCGTTTTTACATGTTTAGCAACATGTTTGATCTTTTCATGTTTTGGGCACAACCTTAACAACTTTATCAGTGCCTGGGAACATTCAAAGTGTCCGCATGAGTTCGAGCCTGCAAGAGAAAACATGCAGCCAGCTGGGTCACAGAGTGGTCAGGCCTGTATTTCTTAGTCAACACAAGGAGAGGAAGTAGGGGAAAACTGAGAGGCCCTGCAATATGTGAGGGGATTTATTACAGGAACTGGCTCATGATTACGAAGGCTGAGAAGTCCCATGACATGCCACCAGTAAGCTGAAGGCCCAGGAAGGCCCATGGTATAATTTCAGTCTGAGTCTGAGGCTCATGGTGGTGTGGAGCTCCAAAGTTTGAGGGCAGGAGAAGACGAATGTCCCAGCTGCTCCAGGAGAGACAGAGAATTCACTCTTCCTCCACCTTTTTCTTCTATTCAGGCCCTCAAGTGATTCGAGGGTGCCCAGGCTGGTACGGGTAGATCTCCTTCACTCAGTCTACCAAGTCAAATGTTAACTTCTTTCCGAAACACCTTTCCAGGCACACCTGAAAATAATTTTCTCAATTAGTTCAAAGGCACCTTTTCTGTTTGCTTACATTGGGATCACCATGGCAAATTTTGGTGGGGGATGAGGATAATTGCCCCTAATGAAGTGTGACTGTCCGTTAGAACATGACAGACCTTGGAGAGTGGACTCTCACTCTCCTCTCCCCAGCCTGGACTGGACTTGAACCACAAACCCAGGTGATTCCTTTAGATCCCAAGTTGCGATTCACGTTTCCCTCTCTGTTTTTAATTGATGATTGATAATAACTCCATTTGCTGAACAAGCTCTGTAAGAGTGTGCAAAATAGTACTGTTCTACACAGGTAAAGAATACGCATGCCACTTTCATGCTCATCATTGGTGTTTTTGGATCTTATTCAGGACTTTAAAAAATCCTCAGAACTTTTTTCATTTTTCCATTTTAGTGTGGGAATGAGGCATCAGAATTGGGTGGAGAGACTGAATGAAAGTCTTCAACTCTGATTAAGTTAGTATTTTAACCCTAAATAGATTCACTTTTTTTTAAGGGAATTGTTAAATTTTTCTTCTCTTATATATTTATTTTTAAAATAAAAATTGTGTATATCTAAGGTGTCCTATGTAATGGCTTGATATACCTAAACAATGTAAAACAATTACTATAGTCAAGCTAATTAACATATCCAGCACCTCACATAGTTACCTTTGTTTTTGTGTGTGGTTACAACACTTACTACCTCTCTTAGCAAATTTCAAATGCATGGTACATTATTATTAACTATAGTCACCATGCTGTTCTTTAGGTCTCTAGACTGTTTATCCTACATAACTGCAACTTTGTACCCTTTGATGTCTCCCCTGCCCTGCCCACTTGCCCCTGGTAACCCCATTCCATTTGGAATTTTTTTGTCTTTTTAAATTATAAAAGTAATACAATATACAATACAGAAATGATGGACTTGGGTTACACTTTGCTGGCTGACTCTATTGTCTTTTCTCACTCTGCCAACATCCTTGTTCTGCACTAGCCTCAAGCATCAATGAGATGGCCTCTCTCCTCCCCACAACTGGAAGATGCAGGGCAATTCTGATGGTGGCCGTATACGAATAAGAATATGTAACTAACCTGCACATTGTGCACATGTACCCTAAAACTTAAAGTATAATAAGAATAAAATAAAATTAAATAAATAAAAAAAAGAAAATAGAATGAGAGAAAGTCACAAGAAGTACTGTGAAAGCAATTAACTGAAGCCCTCAGGAATGGGCTTAGTCCCCTTATTATAGAGGTCCCATTGAGCTCCCTCACCCCTTCCTCCATGTGAAGACACAGTGAGAAGGCGCCACCTATGAACCAGGAAGATAGCCCTCCCCCATCACCGAATCTGCCAGTGCCTTGGATCTTGGACTTTCAGCCTCCAGAATTGGGGGAAATAAATTTCTGTTGTTTATAAACCACCCAGTTTTTATGGTATTTTGCTATGGCAGCTGGACTAAGACACCTTCTCTTCTGCTCCCCCAGGCCCCCAAATTCTAAGAAGCCCCAAACCGGCCTGCCAACCCCTATCTCTTAGGCAGCATAATTACTCTATTTGTGCTCATCATCTCTTAATTCTTACCATTTATTACATTGTGCCAAGCTGGCTGTATACATGGAGTTCCTGCTTAGATTGAAAGGAAGTGTATTAGTTCTCATGCTGCTGATAAAGACATACCCAAGACTGGGCAATTTACAAGAGAGAGGTTTAATGCACTTACATTTCCAAATGGCTGGAGAGGCCTCACAATCATGGTAGAAGGTGAAAGGCACATCTCACATGGTGGCAGACAAGAGAAGAGAGCTTGTGTAGGGAAACTCCCCTTTTCAAAACCACCATCAGATCTCGTGAGACTTACTCATTACAAGAACAGCACAGGAAAACCTGCCCCCATGATTCAATTACCTCCCACTGAGTCCCTCTCACAACACGTGGGAATTCAAGATGAGATTTGAGTGGGAACACAGCCAGACCGTATCAGAGAAGTGCCTGCTTTCATTACCATTGTCATTGATTAGCATACTGCAGGGCACGTGATGGAAGCACTAGGAAGCTTTGTATAGGAATAAAGTTTTAAACAAAATCTTTTGTGTCACAGTGTATAAAATGTACAACTTGGTGCTTTTCCCTCCTTTAAGCAAGCCAAATATCAGGATGAGATAATGCTGTAGCCTAGTCCTCTTTAGGCAAATTTAATGTATGAAATCAGCACTAAAAATGCTTTTCAAAAAGAATCTCATGTTACAACTATGATTTCTTAAAAATGAAGGATGTTCTGGTGGAGAAATCTGGTGGGCATATCTTTCACCAAAAACTTAAACTTAACCAATACTGGGTCAAACGAACATGATGAGATGCTCTAGGGATGACATGGCACCCTTGTTATTGGGAAATGCACATGGAGAGAGTTGGGGGTGAAGTGCCATGATGTTTGCAGTGTGCTTTCAAAGGGTTAAAAATGTGCTCAAATAGGAAGACAGCAAGCGAATATTGCAGAAGGCAAACAATTGTGAATCATGTGAAGGACACATTCCTCTTTGATCTACTCTTCCAACCCTTCTCTAGGTTTAAAAATTTTCACAATGGAAACTTGGGGTTGGAGAGGGTGGATGGAGAAAGCTGCAGGGAGACTGAAGCCTCTGATGAGGGGGGATGCCCAGGAAGCTCTGACTTGGAGAATGTATCATGACAAGGTGTCTGGCCTTTGGTCTGCAGACCAGGCGTTTCATGTGGTAATGACACCCAAGTTCTTCTGTCCATCCAATCACCATCTCTCATCATGGGAGATGGCAGGGGGCAGACATTTCCGAGGGGGTCATTCTGCTTCCAGTCTCACCTGTCCAGTCTATTCTCCATCCTACTTTCCAATGCTGTAAACCCAGTCCTGTGACCTGATGGTTTATCATACTTCCAGAGGTTCCCCCTAAACCAAAGAGTTAGTGCAGATCCTTAGTTCTGCCTGAGGGGCTCTCTAGCCTTCTCCCTGACTCTCCTCCAGCAGGCAGACATCCCTGTGACTCGGACTCAACATCTGGCTTACAGGCTTGGTTAGCCTCCAGTCTGGTGACCTTCTTGTCACATCACCTTGAGGCCTCTTCTGGGTCTGACCTTGCCCCAACCAGCACAGTTGTGTCCCCTCCTCCATTCCCTGTGCTCTATGAAGCTCTGATGCAGATGCCCACTATCTGCAGTGCACTCACCATGCCTTATCAGTCTGCCCATGTGTACCCAGCCTCCCTGTGTGAAGGCAGGCTGTGCGGTTCCCCATACGTAGTGTAGTGCCCAATGAGGACTGAAGGGAAGACACCTGTAGGTCAGAATCCTGACTAGGTAATTTACTGGGAACTACAACATGCAGTTCAGGGTTCTACCAGTGCAGAGTTCCCCAGGCCAGCACATCCTCCTCCTACAGGAAACAACACAGTAACACTTGGGTTACTTCCACTTGGAGCAACTGTGTTACTTGAAGGACACTTGGGTTACTTCAACTTTGGGCGACTGTGAATAATGCCGCTATGAACACGGGTTTACAAATATCTTTTCAAGTCCCTGCTTTCAATTTGTTTGGGTATAATACCAACTAGTGGAATCCTTAGATCATATGGTGATTCTATGTTTAATTTTTGGAGGAACTGCCATGTTTTTCATGGTGGCTGTGTCATTTTAAATTCCCAACAACAAAGATTCCAATTTCTCTATATCCTTGCCAACACTTATTTTCTGAGTTGTTTTTTTTAATAGTAGCTATCCTAATGAGTGTGAGGTGGTATTTCATTGTGGTTTTGATTTGTATTTCCCTAATGATTAGTGATGTTCAGCATCTTTTCATGTAGTTATTGGACATTTGTATATCTTTGGAAAAATGTCTTTAAAATTCCTTTCACCATTATTTTTATTTTATTTTATTTTATTATACTTTAAGTTTTAGGGTACATGTGCACAACGTGCAGGTTTGTTACATATGCATACGTGTGCCATGTTGGTGTGCTGCACCCATTAACTCTTCATTTAACATTAGGTATATCTCCTAATGCTATCCCTCCCCCCTCCCCCCACCCCACAACAGGCCCTAGTGTGTGATGTTCACCTTCCTGTGTCCATGTGTTCTCATTGTTCAATTCCCACCTATGAGTGAGAACATGTGGAACATGCGGTGTTTGTTTTTTTGTCCTTGCGATAGTTTGCTCAGAATGATAGTTTGCTCAGAAGTTTCCAGCTTCATCCATGTCCCTACAAAGGACATGAACTCATCATTTTTCATGGCTGCATAGTATTCCATGGTGTATATGTGCCACATTTTCTTAATCCAGTCTATCATTGTTGGACATTTGGGTTGGTTCCAAGTCTTAGCTATTGTGAATAGTGCCGCAATAAACATACATGTGTATGTGTCTTTATAGCAGCATGTTTTATAATCCTTTGGGTATATACCCAGTAATGGGATGGCTGGGTCAAATGGTACTTCTAGTTCTAGATCCCTGAGGAATCGCCACACTGACTTCCATAATGGTTGAACTAGTTTACAGTCCCACCAACAGTTTAAAAGTGTTCCTATTTCTCCACATCCTCTCCAGCACCTGTTGTTTCCTGACTTTTTAATGATCGCCATTCTAACTGGTGTGAGATGGTATCTCATTGTGGTTTTAATTTGCATTTCTCTGATGGCCAGTGATGATGAGCATTTTTTCATGTGTCTTTTGGCTGCATAAATGTCTTCTTTTGAGAAGTGTCTGTTCATATCCTTTGCCCACTTTTTGATGGGGTTGTTTGTTTTTTTCTTGTAAATTTGTTTGAGTTCATTGTAGATTCTGGATATTAGCCCTTTGTCAGATGAGTAGATTGCAAAATTTTTCTCCCATTCTGTAGGTTGCCCATTCACTCTGATGGTAGTTTCTTTTGCTGTGCAGAAGCTCTTTAGTTTAATTAGATCCCATTTGTCAATTTTGACTTTTGTTGCCATTGTTTTTGGTGTTTTAGACATGAAGTCCTTGCCCATGCCTATGTCCTGAACGGTAATGCCTAGGTTTTCTTCTAGGATTTTTATGGTTTTAGGTCTAACATTGAAGTCTTTAATCCATCTTGAATTAATTTTTGTATAAGGTGTAAGGAAGGGATCCAGTTTTGGCTTTCTACATATGGCTAGCCAGTTTTCCCAGCACCATTTATCAAATAGGGAATCCTTTCCTCATTTCTTGTTTTTGTCAGGTTTGTCAAAGATCAGATAGTTGTAGATATGTGACATTATTTCTGAGGGCTTCATTCTGTTCCATTGATCTATATCTCTGTTTTGGTACCAGTACCATGCTGTTTTGGTTACTGTAGCCTTGTAGTATAGTTTGAAGTCAGGTAGCTCCTTTCACCATTTTTAAATCAGATTGCTTATTTTCTTTGTTGTTCTTGAGCCATAGTATTTTTTAGAAAAATAATCTAGATATTAATCCCTTATCAGGTGTATCATTTGCAAGTATTTTCTCCCATTCCATGGGTTGCCCTTTTACTACATTGATTGCATTCTTTGATGCACATAAGTTTCTAACTTAGATGCAGCCCTATTTATCTATTTTTTCTTTCATTGACTGTACTTTTGGTGTCATATCCAGGAAATCATTGCCAAATCCAACGTCCTGAAGTTTTTCCCCTGTTTTTTTTTTTCTAAAAGTTTAATAGTTTGAGGTCTTATATTTAGGTCTTTGACCGATTTTGGGTTAATTTTTGTATATGGTGTAAAGTAAGGGTCCAACTTTATTCTTTTGCATGTGAATATCCTGTTTTCCCAGCATCATTTGTTGAAATGACTGTCCTTTCATCAATGAATGGTCTTGGCACCATTGTCAGAAATCATTTGACCATATATGCAAGAGTATATTTTTGAGCTCTCTATTCTGTTTCATTGGTCTATATGTCTGTCTTTATGCCAGTACCACACTGTTTTGATTACTGTAGCTTTGTAATATTTTTGAAATAAGAAAGTGTGATATCTCTTTTTTTTAAATTAAAAATTTTTTTTATTTCAATAGCTTTAGGGGTACAAGTGGTTTTCAGTCACATAGTTAAATTGCACAGTGGTGAAGTCTGGGCTTTTAGTGTATCCATCACCCAAATAGTGTGCACTGTACCCAACAGGTGATTTTGTATCCCTTTCCAACCTCTCTCCCTCCCCCATTCTGAGTTTCTAATGTCTGTTATACCACTCTGCATGCCTTTGGGTACCCATGGCTTAGCTGCCACTCATAAGTGACAACATGAGGTATTTGGTTTTCCATTCCTGAGTTACCTCAGTTAGGATAATGACCTCCAGTTTCATTGAAGTTGCTGCAAAGACATTATTTCATTCTTTTTTAATGGCTAGGTAGTATTTCATGGTATACATACATATACATATATATATGCATGTATATACACATATGCATATGTGTATATTTTATATATATATATCTCTCTCACATTTTCTTTATCCATTCATCTGTTGATGGGCACTTAGGTTCATTCCATATCTTTGCAATTGTGAATTGTGCTGCAACAAACATATGAGTACAGGTATCTTTTTAAATATAATGTTCTTTTTCAAGAATACTTTGGCTATCAGATCTCTTAATATTCTGTATGAGTTTTAGGATGGACTTTTCTATTTCTGCAAAACAAAACAAAAGCACCATTGAGAGTTTGATGAGATTGCATTAAATATGTAGATTACTTTGGGCATATTGACATTTTAACAATATTAAGCCTTCCAATCCATGAACATAGATGTATTTTCATTTATTTGTGTCCTCTTTATTTTAGTAACACCTTGTAGTTTTTAGTGTTCAATTCTATCACTTCCTTGGTTAAGTTTACTCGTAAGTATTTTATTATTTTTGATACTATTATAAATGAAATTGTTTTCTTAATTTCCTTTTTGGATTGTTCATTTTTAGTGTACAGAAACACCACTGACTTTTGGATGTTAACTTTGTATCCTGCAACGTTTCTGAATTTGATTATTAGTTCTAACGTGTGCGTGTGTGTGTGTGTGTGTGTGTGTGTGTGTATAATCCTTAAGATTTTCTACATATAAGATCACATCATCTGCAAACAGGGATAATTGTACTACTTCCTTTCCTATGTTTATGCCTTTTATTTCTTTTCCTTGACTAATTTCTCTGGCTAGAACTTCTAGTACTATATTGAGTAGAAGTGGTGAAAGCTGGCGTCCTTGCTAAGCTCTTAGTCTTTTATCATTGAATATAATGCTAGGCGTGGGCTCCTCGTATATGGAATTTATTATGTTGAGATTGTTTTATTCTACTTCTAGTTTGTTGAGTGTTTTTTTGTCATAAAAAGGTGTTAAAATTTTTTGAATGCTTTCTATGCATCAAATCAGATGACCATGTTGGGTTTTTTTCCTTTCATTTTGTTTATGTGTATATTATATTGATTGCTTTTCCTATGTTGAACCATTCTTGCATTCTAGGAATAAATTTCACTTAGTCATGGTGTATAATCCTTTAATGTGCTGTCGATTTCTCTGTGCTAATATTTTGTTAAGGATTTTTTTCATCAATATTTCTCAGATATATTTATCTGTACTGTCTTTTTCTGATTAGTGTCTTTGGCTTTGGTATCAGGATGATATGGTTTGGATCTGTGTCCCCACCCAAATCTCATGTTGAACAGTAATCCCCAGTGTTGGAAGTGGGGCCTGGTGGGAGGTGATTGGATCATGGGGTCAGTTTCTCATGGTTTAATACCATCTGCCTTGGTGGTGTTGTGGTGAAAGTGAGTTATCATGAGATCTGGTTTTTTAAAAGTGTGTCGCACCTTCTCCACTCTCTCTTCCTCCTGCTCTAGCCATGTAAGATGTGCCTGCTTCCCCTTCACCTTCTGCCAAAATTGCAAGTTTTCTGAGGCTTCTCTGAGCAGATGCCTGCCTCATGCTTCCTGTATGGCCTGCAGAACCATGAGCCTCTTTTCTTTGTAAATTACCCAGTTTCAGGTATTTCTTCATAGCAATGTAAGAACAGACTAACACACAGAGCAATGCTGCCTTATAGAAGAGTTTGGAAGTATTCTTCCTCTTCTAATTTTTGAAAGAGTTTTAGGAGAACTGGTGTTAATTCTGTTTTAGATGTGTGGTAGTATTCTTGGTAAACCCATTTTGCCCTGGGCTTTTCTTCACTGGGATGCTTTTGAGTATTGATTCAATCTGATAACTAGTTATAAGTTTGTTCAGGTTGTCTATTTCTTTATGATTCAGTATAAGTAGATAGTGTGTGTCTAGGAATTTATCAATTTCATCTAGGCTTTCTAATTTGTTGATCTATAATTGTATAACAATTATGTATAATCCTTTTAGTGTCTGTAAAATTGATTGTAATCTCTTTTATTTCTGATTTTAGTTATTTTAGTCTTCTCTCTTTTTAAATCTCAGTGTAGCTAAACGTTTGTTTTGTTGATTTTTTTGAAGAACGAACTCTTGATTTTGCTGATTTTTCTCTGTGGTTTTTCCAGTCTCTATTTTGTTTAATCTCTGCTCTAATCTTTTTTGTTTTCTTTCTTGTGTTAGACTTGGGCTTAGTTATTTTTCTTTTTCTAGTTCCTTAAGGTAGATTGTTGATTTGTAATTTTTTTGATTTTTAAAGAAACAGCGATAACTTTTAAAATTTTCTTTTTAATTGACACATAACAGTTGTACATATTTATGAGGTACAGCGTGATGTTTTGATACATATATACATTGTGTAAAAATCAAATCTGAGTATGTAGCATATCTATCACCTTATACATTTATTATTTCTTTGAGGTGAGAACATTCAAAATCCCTTCTTATAGCTATTTTGAAATATACAATGCAATATTGTTAACTGTAGTCACCCTACTGTGCAATAAAACACCAGAACGTTTTCCTCCTATCAAACCAAAAGATAGTACCCGCTGGCCAGTCTCATCTTATCTCCCTCTCCCCTTCCCAGCTTCTGATAACCACCATTCCACTCCCTACTTCTATGAGATCAACTTCTTTAGACTCCACATATGAGTGAGATCATGTGCTATTTATCTCTCTGACCTTGTTTATTAAACTTAATATGACGTCTTCCAGGTTCATCCACATTGCTACAAATGACAGGATTTTACTTTTTTTTGTGGATGAGTAGTATTCCATTGTGCATATGTACCAAATTTTATTTATCCATTCATTTGTTGATGAACTCAGACTGATTCCATATCTCGGTTATTGTGAATAATGCTACAGTAAACATAGCAGTGCAGATATCTCTTTGACATACTGATTTCATTTACTTTGGACATATACTCAGTAGTTGGATTGCTGACTCACACACAGTTCTATTTTTAATTTTTTGAGGAGCGTCCCTACTGTTTTCCATAATGGCTGTACTAATTTACATTTCCACTAACAGTATATAAGAATTTTCCTTCTTCATATCCATGCCAGCATTTGTTATTTTTTGTCTTTTTGATAATTGCCATTCTAATTGGAGTGAGGCGATATCTCATTGTAATATTCATTTGCATTTCTCTGATGATTCATGGTGTTGAGCATTTTTTCATATATCTGTTGGTTATTTGTATATCTTCTTTTGAAAAAAATGTCTACTTAGGTTTTGCTATACTTGGGATGTTTGCCCCCCCGCCCGAAACCTCATGTTGAAATTTGATCTTTGGCCAGGTATGATGGCTCACACCTCTAATCCCAGCACTGTGGGAGGCCAAAGCAAGAGGTAGGTGTTCAGGAACAGCCTGGGAAACATAGAAAGACTCTCTCTACAAAATATAAAAAAATAAAATTAAAGAAAGCAATTTGATCCTCAATATTAGAGGTAGGGCCTAATGAAAGGTGTTGAATGGCTCATGAATGGCTTGGTGTCATCCTTGAGGTAATCAGTGAGTTCTTGATCTATTAGTTCCCATGATTGCTGGTTGTTAAAAAGAGCTTAGCACCTCCTTTCTCTCTCTTTTACTTTTTCTCTTGCCATGTGATCTCTGCATATGCTAGCTCCTCTTTGCCTTTGGCCTTAAGTTGAAGCAGCTTGAGGCCCTCATCAGAAACAGATGTTGTAGCCACGCTTCTTGGTCTACAGAACTGTGAGCCAAATAAATCTCTTTTCTTTATAAATTACCCAGACTCAGGTATTCCTTTATAGTAACACAAACAGAGTAAGAAAGATCTTTTACCAATTTTTAAATTGGATTTTTTTTTTCTTGCTATTGAGTTGTTCAAGTTCCTTATATGTTCTGGATATTAACCACATGTCAGATGCATAGTTTGTAAATATTTTCTCCCATTTTATAGATTGTCTTTTTATTCCATGGATTGTTTCCTTAGCTGTGCAGAATATTTTTAGTTACATATAATCTAATTTGTCTATTTTTTGCTTTTATTGCTTGTGCTTTTCAAGTTATTGAAAAAACTCTTGCCCAGACTAATCTTATCTTAATAAACATTTTCCCTATGTTTTCTTCTAGTACTTTTAGTGTTTCAGGTCTAACATTTAAGTCTTTAATTCATGTTTAGTTGATTTTTGTATATGGGGAGAGATAGAGGTATACCTTTATTCTTCTGCATGTGGATGTCCAGTTTTCCCTGTACCACTTACTGAAAGGATTGTTCTTCCTTCATTATGTGTTCTGATGCTTTTGTGGAAAATCAGTTGGCTACAAATATATGAATTTATTTCTGTATTCTCCATTCTGTTCCATTGATTTATGTGTATATTTTTATACCAGTATCATGCTGTTTTGGTTACTGTAGTTTTGTCATATATTTTGAAGTCAGGTAATATGATGTCTCCAGCTGTGTTATTTTTGCTCAATATCGCTTTATTTGAGGTATTTTGTGTTTTCACAATAATTTGAGAACTGTTTTTTGTATTTCTGTGAAGACTGTAATTGGTATTTTTATAGAGATTATATGCAATCTGTGGATCACTTTGGGAAGTGTGGGCATTTTAACAATATGAATTCTTCCAGCCTATGATATGGAATATCTTTCCATTTATTTGTGTCTTCTTCAATTTCTTTCATTAGTGTTTTGTTTCAATATGAAGATCTTCTACCTCCTCGGTTAAATTTGTTTCTAAATATTTTATTTGTAGCTCTTGTCAATGGGATTGTTTTCTCAATTTCTTTTTCATATAGTTTGCTATTAGTGTACAGAAATACTACTGATTTTTGTATGTTAATTTTGTATCCCACAATTTTGCTGAATTTCTTTAATAATTCAAAACTGCGTTTTAGTGGAGTCTTTAGGGTTTTCTACATGCAGGATCATGTTGTCTGCAAATGAACAATTTAACTTATTTCTTTCCAATTTGGATGCCTTTTATTTTTTTCTCTTGCCTGATTACTTTTCTTTTTTTCAAATGTAATCATTTACAGGTTTACATTTTCCTCTTAGTACTATTTTTGCTAGACCCCATAAACTTTAGTATGCTGTGTTTTCATTTTCATTTGGCTCAAGATATTTTCTTATTTTCCTTATAGTTTCTTCTTTGACCTATTGGTTATTTAAGAGTGTATTGTTTGATTTCTTCATATTTGTGGATTTTTCAGTTTTTCATCTGGTATTGATTTCTAGTTAAATTTCGTTACAATTAGAAAAAATACTTTGTATGATTTCAGTGTTTTAAAATTCATTAAGACTTGTTTTGTGGTCTTACGTATTATCTGTCCTGGAGAATGTTCCATGTGTACTTGAGAAAAATGTGTATTATCCTTTTGTTAAATGGAGTGTTCTCTGTTTGTGTGTTAGTTGATTTAGTCTATAGCATTGTTCAATTACTCTCATTCTTTATTGATCTTCTGTCTGGTTTTATTCATTATTGATAGTGGAGCATTGAAATCTCCTACTATTATTTTAGAGCTATTTCTCCCTTCAATTCTGTCAATGTTTGCTTCATTTATTTAGGAGTTTTGATGTTTGGTGCATGTATGTTCATAATTATTATATCTTTTTGATGAATTGACCCTTTTATCATTATATAATGTTCCCTTTTGTCTCTAGTAACAGGCTTTTGACTTAAAGTCTATATTTTTCTGATGTTAGTATAGCCACACCTTCTTTCTTTTGGTTACTATCTGGATAAAATATCTTTTTCCAGCATTTCACTTTCAACCTATGTGCATCCTTAGACCTAAAGTCTCCATTATGCAGCATAGTTTTAGACAGAATACTGTCTTAAAATAAAATTTATAGAATTTCAAAGGCAACCAATTAAGTTGTCCCTCAGTATACATGGGTGCTTGGTTCCAAGACACCTCCCCTCACAACCTCATGGATACCAAAATCCACAGATGCTCAAGTCCCACAATCTGTCTTGCTAAACCTGTGGATATGAAGAGTTGGCCTTCCATATCTATCAGTTCTGCATCCCTCAAATAGTGTATTTTTGATTTGTGATTGGTTGACTCTGAGGATATAGAACTTGCAGACATGGAGGGCTGACTGTGTATGAAATGTAATTATCAATATTAAAAAACATGTCATATACTAATATAGATGCTTCTTTATTAATTCATAAAATATCCAGATATAGTGGTGGTAATTATTACTACTATAATTTTGGGGGAGTAAGAAACATAAATGATATTTTAAAAGATATGTAGCAACTGTACTGTGATAACCAACTACTGTGGCTATTGCCTGCATCTATATGTTATTGAAATGCTAAATTACACTTAATGACTCATTTTCCTCCCACTGACATTCCATGGACCCCAGGTTAAGAAGGTAGCTTTCTTAGAAGAATGTCCTTTGGTAAGGTCAAATACTCACCATATCACTAAATGAAAAAAATGGGAAATGAAGCCACATGATTTTATTCATGTGGAAAAATATACTCAGAGAATAAAAGAGCAGACAATGTTAGCCATGGTTTAATTTTCTTCTTTATGTGTGCCTGTATTTTAGGTGTCTATTTAAATGATCCCAGAAGCCCTGTTCTTCTCGTTTTATAACACGTAATTTCATGATTACCTGTTCTACATTTATCTTCTCACTTGGTCATGGGGCCATGTGGGCAGGCCCCGTTGCTCTTGAGCATGGTAGGTGGCATTCCTTCATAGTAAAGGCTCTGGGCCTTTCTTTAGTCAAGCTCTGGACTATGTGGCTTTAGGATTTATTGTTCTTCATTCATTACCATACATTGGGGTGGTCTTTCCTGAGATGTGAATGAGCTTGTAATGTGTTCCAGGCAGAGCTGAGATGATGAAGATACAGAGATGCTTAGGGCAGCCTAGCCAGTAGACATGAGTGGCTGTGGAACACTGCATTGCCATTCACCAATCATTGCTCTCCCTCCCTGGAAGGATTGTGTAGCTCCACCCTGCTGTACTCAGGCATGGCCATATGACTTGCTCTGGCCAGTGAAATGTAAGCAACTGTGATTTATGTTGCTTCCTGGTGGAAACTTGAAGGGCTGCATGAGCATTGCCAGCACTCTTTCTTTTGCATACAGTTGTGTGCACAAAGTCCAGATAGAGTTTACTTTGTCTGCTTCATTCCAGAGAGTAGACAACAGGGGACAGAGCCCCATCTGACCAGGGATGGATGTGTGGAGAGAGGAGTAAATGAGCCATGGAGATGTTGAAGTCTTTTGTTGCCATAGTATAACCTAGTCTATCCTGAAAATACCAAGCCAATCACATGTTGACCTATAGCTTTATTCTCCTATCAATTAACATAGTCATTACAGGTGGCGTGGATACTAGGTAGTATTAAGTAACGGTTGTTCTAAACCCCCATTTGGAACATTTGGATTTGAAAGGCTGTCTCCTCCTGGAACACAGCCCTAGAGCCAGTGTCTAATGCAGGGAGGGAAATACAAGGCAATGCTAACCTATAATCACAACTAAATATTATCAGACAGTAGCCTGCAGGCTCAGGGTATGAAAATGTTCACATATGTATTACAGATTATATATCACTCATATATTATTCACGTATAGCATTACAGATTACTGTGGTATTACAGATCATTATCTATCACTCATGTTTTATTATATTATTCATATGTAGCATTACAGGTTATTATCAATCAGTTCTCTGCTATTCTCTGTCTTTGAAAGGGAGATTTCAGGTGATGCTAAATGCAGTCATCTCCTTTTAAATCCATCCTAACTCTTTAAAGATATTATACTTTTCTGGTTTGATAAAAGCTGCCAGGAAAACCAAACACAATCAGCAAAACCTGCAAGAAGGTCACACAAAAATTGTTCAAGTTTTTAAACAAATGACTTTTTAGGGTAGGTCATGGATTAATATTAGGCACCAATTTTCATTAGTTTTTGTGCGAATTATTCTCTCAATGTTATATTTTTGTGACTATCATTCCACATTTGCACACTCCAAGACTCTCTCCAGATGGGAGTCAGTCACACCACCACTGACTAACCTTTAATGTTGAGAAGTACCCTAAGGGAATAACTTCTACTGCAAAATTTAATGTCATGGGTACAGTTCCTTCAGAGAAACCTCAAAGTATAGGGCACTTAATTTCAACAACTTAATAATTATCTCTCTTTTGCTAAAGTTGCAGATCCTTTATTTTGTCAGATCTCTTTCTCCCTATCTCACGCCACTCCACCCCAACAGCTACGCTGCTAGCAAGGTGCAGGGCAGCTGACTTGATGTAACATCTTGTATGAGAAACAAATGATTATAAGGCCTAGCCCATAATATCACTGGGAGAATCACAATGGAAATGGTTTTATATAAAGTAATATCTTAGTTTCTGTTTTTTATAAATGTATTTCCACACACCTTTTCTTAAAACAGGTTTTTTTCAGGCATGAGTTACATGCTATAAAATTCTCTCATTTCAAATGTACAATTCAATATCTTAGTAAACTTACAGGATTATAAAACCACCACCACAATCCAGTTCTAAAATGTGTCCTTTACCCTTTGTCATCAGTTTCTGATCCTGCCCTGGACCAAGCCTCTGGTATGTACTGATCTGCTTTCTGTCTCAATAGATTTGCCTTGTCTAAACATTTCATAGAAATAAAAGAAATCATACTGGTGGTCACCTATGGCCTGGATGTGTAGAGTGGGAAGGGGACTGGGGAGATCAAACTGCTTTTTAAACAGGCTTCCATCCAAGCCTCCTCATTTTAGCACCTGCCCTGCTTTTGCACTTACTTCCCAAGTACCCGGTGTTACTCACTCCTAAAGCTGCAGAGGTCAGTCATTCACAGCTGAGCCTGGAGTCAGAGTGGCTGGAGCTGAGTCCTGGCTATAGCCTTAACTGGCTGTGACCTTGGCAGGTTACTTAGCTGCCCCATGCCTCAGTTTTCTTATCTGTGAAACAGGGATAATGACAGTACCTACATCATTAGCGTGAAAACACATTTAAAGTACTTAGAAGAGTGCCTGGCACATATTTTTTGGCTATTCCTATTATTTTGAGGGGTTCTTGGTTTAAATTCTTGGCTTTTTAAATTAGGATGTGGCCAGGGCTGGGAACTCTGTTGCAGAGGGACTTTGCGTCACGGGGTTCTCCTGAGCTCCACGAAGCTGCTGTGTCAGCAGCTCTGCTAGGATTTTGTCTTGCTAGCCCTCTCAAGGCTGACCATCTTGCTGTTCCCCAGATTCTGGGCAGGCAGATATGTTCAGTCTATTCTATCCTATGCTTGGAATGTGTCCAGAAATTTTATTTTCAGTTTGGAATTACAGAATTGCACAGTGGCTGAGCAGTCAGAAGGCCTTGTTTAGGTGGGAATCAACTGAGTATCACTGCCATCACCTGGGAGCCACCCACACCTACTGAGTCAGGAACCCTGGGGTGGGACCAGCGGTCTGTGGGTAAAGAGCTTGCTGGAGCATTTGGAAGCTTGCTTAGGTTTGAGAACCACAGAACATGGAATGGCTGCTCGTGGCTTGTAGTGGGAAACACAAAGTCTTGGTGGTCTCCGCCTCTCTAAGTTCTTCAGGTAGGGAAGGCCTTTCTGGAGTGTCTGCTATCTACAGACTGACGCCCCTGTTTCACTGTTACTGATTCTTATATGAAAGACAAATAGAACATATGTAAATATTGTACCAATGTAGGCTTTCTATGGATATGAATATATAATTATGCACATAAATTAACCACATGAAAGTAAAATAATACATATAATTAATTTACATAAATATTATACCAGTATAGGTTATGTGTAAGTATATATAATTATGTATATATCCTAATGCGTAGCATGTTATATGATATATATAAATTGTATCACATAATGTAACTATATTATACATAATTATATGTGCAAAAATATTTATCAAGAAAGATAAAAATGGTAAACATTTGACAACTGTAGGGAAAGCTCACACAGAGTCCAACAGAAATGATCTAATTAAAAGTAGCTTAAACATTACTGTGTCTCCAGAACTGAGACTCAAGTTTAGAGCAGGCCACTAAAAATTTTTTTGTATTTAAAATAATTTAAAATACGTATTATATAATTATAAATTAATATATGTTTATATAATTATAAATTAATATATTTATTCACATATATAATATTATATAAATATATACATAAATTTAGAGGCAGGCTGTCACTCTGTCACCCAAGCTAGGCTGCAGTGGGGCAATCATAGCTCACTGAAGCCTCAAACTGCAGGGCCATTTGTTGATGGAAGGTGTAGGTAAAGTTAAGCAAGGTTCAAGTGCACAGGCAGACTGCCTACCACTGAGGTCTGGTAAATCTCTACACTTTTTATTTGGAGCCAACCAGTCAGAATATAGTGAGAAGGTTGACATTCCTTCCACCAATCAGAAGCCACAAATTCTTGAATAACCATATTACAACTACTCAATGAAACACCATTTCCAACTATGAAGATAGCAAAGATAGCAAAAACCAAAGCTGCTGAGTTTGCAGGAAAATTCATATGCTCCTAGTGATTACTGCCAGTGGTGAAAACTGACAAAACATTTAGCAACATCAATCGAGAGTTGTAGAAATGTTCATTTCCTTGTGAATTAGGTTCAGAAATAATTCAGTGGATATAATAAAAGCTGCATGCGCAAAGGCTCTCTTTTATGTCAACATTTGCAGTACTGATAAGTTAGAAACAACCAAGTGTCCAGTGATAGCAGAGGGCCTAAGGGAATGATCATGTCTTGACACCATGGACTATTATTCAGCTGTGAAACGTATTTGTGGAGATTATATTATACAACAAAACGTCTCTAAAAGTAGGTCTTTTAGAGGGAAAATGAGGAAACAGTAAATTGTTTCTACATAAAACTAGATACGCATATAGTCAAGGAACTGAAAGGAATACAGAGTCTCGTTTAAATTTTTCTAAATGAAGCAATTCTTCTTCAGGAAAAGCTGTAATTTATTGTTTTACAAATGACATAAGGTTCTTACATATTTCAATCCAGCAACTATTTTTGAGCACACGGTGGCCTCCTAGCTATACCGTATAGTGCAAATTCTTGTAATTCCCTCTTCTTTTTCTGATGAATTGTCCCTTGGGATTCTCCCTTCTGAAACAAGAATTGATTTCCTAGCATTGTCTGCTTTACAATGTTTCTGTTTTCTTCCTCTCCTCTCATATCTCCCCTAACTAGGCCAGCATGGGCCTGGGGATGGACGTTTCCCAAGATTTATTTCATCCCTTTTCTATATATGAAGTAGGCAGTGACTTAAATGTTAAATATTTGAGGTAGTGGATATGTTGTCTAGCTTGATTGAAATATTCTACATTGTTTTCATAAATCATAACATCTCTTTGTGGCCTGTACATGTATACAATTATAAATTATTACTTTACAGTAAAAAAGTAGGCAGTGACATGTCGATCTTTCCCCAATAATAATAAAAATACCTCATGCTGAGCCCACATGGCTCTTGTGTTCTGCCGTCTGATAACCATGGCAACAGTGTAAGGCAGTGGTAGGCTGTGTTTTTTTTCTCCCTTCATAAGGGTGGGAACTGAGCAGTGGCAGAGCTGGAATGAGGACCCTCTTTGTGTGTTATTTTTGTGGGAGCACTGGGTCAGGCTGGCTTTGGTGTGACTCACTGCTCTGTTGCCTGCTAGAAAGTCACCTGGTCTCTCCTGGCCTCATTGTTCTTATCTGTAAAATGGGGTGATAATAGGACTGTCATCGTAGGGTCATGAGGAATAATGGACCCACAGGAAGCACTCAGCATGGTGCCAGGCCCAGTGAGCAGTAGCCTTTGAGGAACTGTGGCTCCCACCCCAACTCCCACATGTGTGTGGGGAGTTGAAGCTGCTTGGAGGGAGGGATGATAATTTGAAACTTACGTCATTGGAACCTTAGAAATACAGAATATGGAGGGCGATGAGGGCTGGTGAGCCAGCGCTCTGACCCATCCTTGGAGCTGGCTGAGGCTCAAGGCCCTTCTCTGAGGACAGGGAGCCTGGCCCCGGCCTCCAGTTGTGAGGAACTCTCCTTGGTGCTGAAGCATTGGGTTCCACTGTTGGGAGCCCTGTTCCAGATTATTCTTAACCACAGGTATTCCTACATCCAGTCCTGCTCTCCATTCCCACAACAGGGAATGGGCATGTGGTCCCCTGAGGGTCCCTGCAAAGAGTACGTCTGCCCCTCTGCCTGGGTACCCCTCCCTCTACTGTCAATATGAGGTGTGGCTCTTCTGTCTTCTAAACAACTTGTGCCCTCATTTGCTCTTCCCTGAGTGCCCAGCCATCTCACCCTTCCCACATTGTCCTGGAGAAGCTCTCTTCTGTTTCAGCCTCCTCCCAGGATGACTCCAAACTCTGGCTTCAACAAAACTGGAACTCCCCACCCCCCAACACTGTGGTGAGGCTGATCCTTCTCCCCACCTACACCTCAAGAGGCACCATTAGGGACCTGCTCCCATGCACCTCTCCATGATGTGCACCCCAAGGCCCCAGGTTGCAATCTTCCCAGGGCCTTGAGAGCACTGTGCCTGCGTTTGATCCTCCTTCAGTGGCCATCCTATCCTTCTCTACCCCACATCCATTCCTGACTCCTGCTGGCTGTGTCCTCCAGGCCCTCCCTCCCGTGCCTTCATCCTAGAATGGACCCTGTAGCTAATGATTCACTGTCTTCCATTTCATAAACAGGCAGATGGATGCCCATATCTGGGCTCTCTATGACTGGTTCATGGTGCCATGCAGCAATCCCTTGCTTATCCTGACACATTGGCAGCACCTTTCGCCCCCCTCAGTGGCCATTCTGTACCTTCAACTGCAACTCAAATGCCTTACAGAAATGAAATCATCTCACTTTTTAAGTACATCCCTGCCTTTTATTCATGGTGAAAGTCAGGTGTAACGTCCAAATCAGACATAAAAGCTTTGAGCTTCCTACCATCGCCACAGACAAATTGACGTGCAGACACACTCAGCATGCACTTCCCCTCAGCCTTCCAGTCTGCTCTGTGCCTGGGGGCTGCCTCTCCCCATGGTCCCATCACCAAGCTCCCTGGACCTCTGGCTTCCCATGGATGTGGCCAATGGGAGGCACCAACAGGAGATAAGAGTAGGGAAAGAGACAGTCTGGGTATTTCCCCTCTCTGGCCTCCTCTCTGTCAGTAACTTTTGCCCTCTGAAACTTCAGCTGCCTCTGACAACCTCCACTCCAAAGTTCCAGCTGGGATTCTCCTGGCTCCAGTGACTCAATTCCCTTTCTGTTGCTTTGGTCCTGGAGCTGGAGATGGCCTCTGAGTCTTGTGACTCAGAGATGATATATCCCTGGCATATCACCATCCTTTGGGGCTATGTTAACCTCATCTTTATGTCTGTTATATTAAAGTCTCTGCCTTTGAACCACTTCAGAGGGGAGGGACTCCTGTTTCCTACTTTGGACCCTGAATGGTCTGCTCATCAAGTCCTCCTTCCCACCAGAGGATGAGATATCCCACCATCCCCACAGGGCAAGAGCTACCCAGGCTCTTGACCTGTCTCCTTCCTGCATTGATTTCTCCCACTCTGCTCTGCTCCCTGCCCCTAAACACACTCCTAACTCTTCCATCCCCTGCTTTGTACTCTTCTGCTCTACTGCTGGCTACTACCCTATGTCCCACCTTTCATTTCATTCCATCTTTTGGAAAGTATGATCTTTTCATTCATTTCTGGTCTCATTCAGCTGGCACCATCCTGCTACCTAAGCAGAAGCCTCTCCATCCCCATTGTTAAGATGTCGGGTGATGGCTGATCACCACCTGCCAAGGATGGGTCTCAGCAGGTACCTTACACAAGCTGTCTGAATAGGGGTGATGCTGGGTCATGAACGTGGCTTTGGAGTAAGACTATTCTGTCAGTTCCTCACTGTATTAGTCCATTCTCACACTGCCATAAAGAAATGCCTGAAACTGGGTAATTTATAAAGAAAAAAGGTTTAATTGGCTGACAGTTCTGCAGGCTGTATGGGAAGCATGGCTGGCGAGGCCTCAGAAAACTTACAATTATGGCGGAAGGTGAAGGGGAAGCAGGCACATCTACATGGTAGGGGCAGGATGAAGAGAGAGCAAAGGGGGAGGTGCTGCATACTTTTAAACAAGCAAATCTTGTGAGAATCCTATTATGAGACAGCACTGGGGGACAGCTAAACCATTAGAAACTGCCCCCATGATCCAGTCACCTCCCATTAGGCCCCACCTCCAACACTGGGGATTACAATTCAACCTGAGATTTGGGCAGGGACACAAATCCAAACCATATCACTCACCCAGTGTGGCTCTGGCACATTTTGTAACTCCTCTGATTCTTGGTTTCTTTTCATTCAAAACAGGCTGTAAACCATCTATCTATATCTCTCTATAGCAGGCATGCATTGGTGCCTAGGGACACTCAGTCAAGGTGGTTATGACTGTCATCATTACATTTGTTAACTATCACTGGTTTTTCTCTTGAAACTCTCCTCCATGACATTCATCAAACCAGGTTTCCATATTTATTCTCCAAATTATGACCGTTTTTTTTTCTTAGCTCCCATCTGGGAAGTCTGGCATTTGCAAGTTTCCACTTCCAGCCCTGACTGCTCTTCGGCTCTGGCCATCTCTACATGGAAGATCCCCACCCCTCACACACATTCAAGCCCAGCCCTTGCCTTTCCCCATGACCTGCCTGTCATGGGGATGCTCCTCATCCTCATGGCTAACATTCAGCTCAACCCAATGGTCCAAGTTAGAAACGTGGGCTTTGCTTGGCATTCCTTTCTTTGGGAGAGGCTGGGCTGCAGGGTGCCATGGGCACACAGCCTTCACATCAACTTTTTCTGGGGGTGCTCAGCTGTGGGGTGCCACCTGCTGGAGGCTGTTCCTCCCTGGGCAGCCCACACTAAAGAGGTGAATGTGGGAGAGAGTGAGGGAGTGCGTGAGAGTGAATGAGGAGCCCTGCAGGCCAGGGGATACTCTCTGTGGATGGCACTCTTTCTCCAGAACTCTTGGAAGGACGAGGTGTGTGGGGCCTGGGTCACAGCCCACTTCTGCCTCTGCTCCCTCCTGCAGCCTCCCCTGCTTTCTGTGGAGCTTGATCTCTAATAAGCATCTTGCATTCCAAACTCTGTCTTAGCTTCTAGCTGCAGACAGCCTACCCAGCCTCGCTCTCTCTTACACTTCCTCATCACAGAGACAGATCCTTTACCTTCCCAGCTATCTTGAATCCATCCCTCTCTTTCCAGCTCCACTGCTCTTGCTTTCATTCAAGCCCTTGTTCTTTTTAACTTGTCCTGTTGTCTCCTACCTCCTCTCAACTTCCCAGAGCCACCCCAAGTCACTATCAAAGTGGTCTCCATAAAAGGCAAACCTGACTATGTGACCCTCTCTCAAGCCCCTTGTGTCCATTTGTTCTTGCATTGCTAAGAAGGAATGCCAGAGGGTAATTTATAAAGAAAAGAGGTTTAATTGGCTCATGGTTCTGCAGACTGTACAGGAAGTATGGTGTTGGCATCTGCTTGGCTTCTGGTGAGGGCCTTAATTGTGGCAGGAGGTGAAGGCGGAGCAGGAGTGTCACATGGCATGAGCAGAAGCAATAAAGAGAGTGAGAGGGGAGGCGCCACATTTATTTTATTTTATTTTATTTTATTTTATTTTATTTTATTTTATTTTATTTTATTTTATTTTATTTTATTTTTATTGTTTTTGAGACAAAGTCTTGCTCTTTTCGCCCAGTCTGGAATGCGATGGTGCGATCTCGGCTCACTGCAAACTCCTCGTCCCGGGTTCAAGCGATTCTCCTGCCTCAGCCCCCCGAGTAGCTGTGATTACAGGGGCCTGCCACCATGCCCGGCTAGTTTTGGTATTTTTAGTAGAGATGGGGTTTCACCTGTTGGCCAGGCTGGTCTCGAACTCCCGACCTCAGGTGATCCATCACCTCGGCCTCCCAAAGTGCTGGGATTACAGGCATGAGCCACCACACCAGGCCGCCATATTCTTTTATCCAAGCAAATCTCATGTAAGCTCAGAGCAAGAACTCACTTATCACCAAGGGAATGGTGCTAAGCTATTCATGAGGGATCCACCCCCATGATTCAGTCACCTCCCACCAGGCCCCACCTCCAACACTGAGGGTCACATTTCAACATGAGATTTGGAGGGGACACACATCCAAACCTCATCACCCCTCTAAGCCTTTATGAGTGCCCAGCCTCCTGACCTCCTCACCAACCCAACCAACCTACCAGGGATTCTGGGAGACTCTGGACTGCTCAGGCCTGGAGCCCTTGCCCACACAGTTTCCTCCTGTGAAGTCACCTGGAGGATGCCTCCACTGGGGTCAGGGGTCACCTCCGCATCCTCAGGACAAGCTCACTCCTTTGGTCAAGTTTTTGTATCTCACACATATTACAAAATTCACATAGTCTTAACTAGGTTATAACATTAATTTCAGATCTTCTGCCTTCCAGAAGGCAAAACCACTTTCCCCAGGGCCCAGCTCATGGCACCTTCTCAGAAATTTGTGGATTCTCCCTCAGAGCCTCCAGAGGAACCAGCTCGGCCCACACCCATGCTGGATCCCAGCATGACCCATTTGGACTTCTTACCTACAAACTGGAAGATAATAAATTGTGTTATTCTAAGCCATTGATTTTGTGGTCATTTGTTACGGCAGCCATAGAAAGCAAATACGTGTTTAAGCATTGATTTAAAAAAGAAAAACCACAACATACTGGAAAGGCTCTCATTGTAAATTGCCCCAGACTGCCTGGCTTTGGTGAATCTCAAGGCTGACTTTAAAATGGAGTTTTTTTTTCCTGCTTCCTTCCATGGCTATCAAGCAAGCCAGCAACAGAAAATTTCATTTACATTTAGCATTTTCTGTCCCAGTGGTCTCCTCTCTCATCTGTCTCTATGTTGATCAAGAAGATATGTGGGCTTTCTGGTACAGGGTCTAAAATAAACATGAACAGCTCCCCAGAAAGGGCAAAGGGTTTTCTCATGAGTAGGGTGTGTGAGCTTCTGTGTGGGCTGCACAGCCTCCTTTTGATGCTGAGAGGCCTTCGGGTTTTTCTTTTTCCATCTTTCTGCTACGTTCCAAAATGTTGATACTATTTTCCAGGTAAGTGAGGTTTTACCGTACTACTGTGTTCTTGGAATATTAATTTCTGTCTTTGATTATATATCTTTTCATATATAGTAAATTTATGTTGCTATTTATATTTTAAAATGACCAATTTCCCTCCACTGGCCTCATAATAAAAGAAATAAAAGTCTCCTGTTGGCTAAACGTTAAGTACATAGCTTTGGATTTTTTTTCCTCCCTGGAGCCTCAGAACGTGTACAGGTGTCCTACATGCCTTTTACAAAAAAAGAATCAAGGGCTAGGAACCTAGGTTTTGAACGTGCATTCAATGTACATTCATAATAAAAGCTGAACGACTGGCACATTCATGGTTGCTCCTTGATGTAAATGAACGGCTGAATGAAAGTTTAGGGGCACAGCTCACCTCCAAGAGAGACCCTCTTCACACTTAGACCTGACCAAGGGATCTTGAATTCCCTTGTAAAACTAGCTTTTCCTCTCCATAGCAGCTGGCCTCTTCCTCCCGGTATCTTTGTAATCCGGCTGGGTGTTTTTTTTTCTTTTTCTTTTTTTTTTTCCCACACTGCCGTTGGATAAAAGATCCCGCCTTTGATTGAAATGGAATCTTCCACTATTGAGCAAGCCTTTGTTGAATGAGTCATCGGGGCGGCCGCTCATTGGCTGAGGCCGCTGGAGCCCAGGGGATTGCCTGGCACCGGCTGCAAGGCCCTGCTTCATTCACAGAAACGCTGGCTCGCTCGCTAGCCTTTTCATTCACACAAACAGCATTTCATTCACATTTTGCGGTTTTTGTCTGCATCTAATGAAGATCTCGCTTTGGGAATGATAGGGCTGTTTCGCTACAGATCTGGGGAGGACTCTGATAACCATCAAAATCATCTATGGGGTGTGCAATTGCTGTTGCTATGCAAGCTAGGGAAAGGGAACAAATGAGTGCCGTGTAGCTGTTCTGCTAGGGCTGCGGCACAGGAGGCGAGCCGTGGGGACGCGTTTCCTGTACCGGGGACGCCGCGGCTCCTCTGCGCTCTTGCGTCCTAGGGGTTGGCCTCACCCGCTCGCCCGCCATGAGTGGCGCTCATTAAACTCTGCTCCATAGAGCAGGGTTCAAGACTCAGGACCTCACGTGCCCCACATGTTCGGTCATGGGAGTGAGAGGACTCAGGGTGACCTGAGAGTGTGCTAGAGCTGAATTTATTCGCTTGCTCAGAAGTTGCGGGAAAACTTTGATAGTGAGTGTTTCACTGTGGAGCAGGTGATCCTAATGCATGAGGAAGCCTGGCAGAGCCCACTGAGGTCAAGAGTCAGAGGGCTTCAGTCTCGGGCAGACCTCTGGGGACAGCGAAAGCCTTGCTCTCCTAACTGAGAGGAAGAAGGCCTGTGCATTTTACTTGCAAGCCCGAGCCTGACTCCTGAAAAGAAGGCATATTTTCCTCCTTGTGGATTTGATGTGCAATAAGAACAGCTGCATTTTTTCCTTCCTGACTGCAGGGTTGCAAGCAGCAACTGAAGGAACATTGAAATGTATTTGTAGCATTTCTTAGGCGTTTTTCCAGAGCTTAAACACATTCAGTAGGATTAAAGCTTCAAATGCAGCCCCTTTTTTGGAATGGATTTCTGGAGCCTGTTGCCACTCGTGAAAGAAGCACTCTTCTTTTTTGGAAGTGGATATTCAACTTAACCCTGGCTGAGAAAGACTGCTGTAAATGAGCAGGGAAGACCCCTTGATTGGCACTGTGCAGAAGTTCATATGCAGATTTTTTTTTTTTTTTTTTTTTGAGGAACTGCATTGCCACAAAGACACTTGTCATCGCTGCTCTGTTAATTTGAAAAGAAAAAGCAAAACCCAGGAAATTGGTATTTTACAGTCACCTGGGGGTGAATATCCTTTTTGTTTTTTTCTATTTAAAAATTCCTGCTGCCTTCCAAGTCAAGATTCATCAGGATTCGCTGAAGATCTGATTCTTAAAAAGCCTTCGTCACATTTTAACGCATCGCTGTTAGACACTTTTACAGGCTCACACAGATGGGCTGAGCAGGGACGAGCAAAACCTAACAGAATAATGGGTTTCAGAAAGTTCATTTGACGATTTGAAGGAACTGGATTGGATTTACCTTTGGCACAAATGCAGATTGCGGGGGATGGGAAGGTGAAAAATCAAAGGTTGGAAGGAAATATCTGGGAAGGTAGAAAAAGGAAATTTGAGAATTGATTGGCTATAGTGTGCTGTCAGCGGGTGGATGTCGTTTTTTTCTTCTTTTTTTCCTTTTTTTTCTTCTGCTACAGGAAGTGATTTGCAGTGCTCACCGAGCCTTTGTTGAGAAGGGTCTCCTCTCAGAGTGAGTCATGCTTTTGCTGTGAGCAGCCCCAAGCAGCTGGGCGCTCCATCAGAGGCAACTATGACTTTTGCAAAGCAAACGTGCAACCCCAAGCAGCGGTCTCCCGGGCCGGGGCTGCGCGGCCGCCGCTGTGCTGGCTTTTAACGGTGGGAGGGCACCATCCTCTTGCTCTGCTCTCGTTCTCCAGAAGGCTGTCCCGGGGCCCCCACTCTCCGTCCCGCTCCGGGGACAGTGGCTCGCCTGCTATGCGCGGCAGCCCGCGCCGGGGCCGGCACCAGCAGCGCCCGGGCGGATGCAGCGAGCCCACGGAGGGGCATGCTTCCACGCACCAAGTATAACCGCTTCAGGAATGACTCGGTGACATCGGTCGATGACCTTCTCCACAGCCTGTCGGTGAGCGGCGGCGGAGGCAAGGTTTCGGCGGCGCGCGCGACCCCGGCGGCGGCTCCCTACTTGGTGTCCGGCGAGGCGCTGCGCAAGGCGCCCGACGATGGGCCCGGCAGCCTGGGCCACCTGCTCCACAAGGTGTCCCACCTGAAACTCTCCAGCTCGGGCCTCCGCGGCCTGTCGTCGGCCGCCCGGGAGCGGGCGGGCGCGCGGCTCTCGGGCAGCTGCAGCGCGCCCAGCCTGGCCGCCCCGGACGGCAGTGCGCCCTCGGCGCCCCGCGCCCCGGCCATGAGCGCCGCCAGGAAGGGCCGGCCCGGCGACGAGCCGCTGCCCAGGCCCCCTCGGGGGGCGCCGCACGCCAGCGACCAGGTGCTGGGGCCCGGAGTCACCTACGTGGTCAAGGTGGGTGCGGGCGCGGGCCGCCCTGGGGGCTGGGGGTTCTGGGGCCAGTTCGGGGCAGACTCCTTCATTCCCTGAAGCCCGGGGTGCGGGGCGCTCCCGCGACTGTCACGTTAGAGGCAAGCAAATGCGCACTCCTTAGCAATCAGCTCGCTTGACAGCGGTGAGGAGGGAACTACAAATGCGCTTTTCCCGCATCCATTGGGAAAAGGTTTACCACTCGGGTGGCCCGCTCCGTCCCGGTTTTCCCTAGGCTCCACTTTTTTGGCACGCCTTTGCCACCTGGCTTACCAGATGTCTGACCAGTGTCATGGGCGCCCAACCCTGGGCAGCGGGGGTCCGGCCTGCCTAGTATCTAGGAAACGCGCTGGGGAGAGCTGGGCAGCCCCCGGGAGGAGAGATGCACGGAGTGGCGGCCCTACTCCTGCTGTGTCTTCCCCGGCGGGAGGGTGGGTATCTTGTTGCCCCCCGCAGCAAGAATTCCCAGCTCCTTGCAGAGCAGGCCAAATGCTGTGCTGCTTTCTCTTCGACGGGCTTTACTTTCTCACCCAGTCCAGGTTTTCTTGGGGTTTGTCTTTCATTCCCTAAGGAAAGGTTCTGGTTTACAGCAGCGGAATGAGAATTCTGGGACTATTTTTCTGGTGACTGTAGTCTTCCATTTAAATGTGCTAAAAGGGAACTAGGGCGCTGCGCTTGGAGCCACAGGCTGGAAAGGAGTTTTTTCCTCCAACACAAAGATGATAAAATCACGATGTAGTCAATAAAATTCCACCCTTATGCAAGCATGTTATGATATTTAAGGAAAAATGCTCAGCACAGTTCAAGTAATCTGCCACGCGGTTATTTCCTTCTGCCGGTTGGGCAGCTCAGAGCTTTAACAGCCTCCACAGCCGAGCAGACAGGGGTTAAGGATGGAAGTTGCAGTATTTCAATCCTGCCACTCCAAGGCATGGCTTTGTATTGAGAAAGAAATGAGACACAAACTCTATCCCCACCGTGTCCTCAATAACACTGAGAAACCCCCAGGATGTCTGTTCCGTAAATATTGGCTGCAGATTCCAGTGTAAAAATTAAATAGAACACATCCTCAGGTAAAATGCAGTGTCTGGTAATTTCGGAACCAAAATATTAACAGAAATACTTAACTTTGTGGATTGCCTTTAACTATATAAAAAGTACTTACAGATGAATGTGGCCATTGTTGTTAAAAGAGGGCTTCTTCACCTTTTCAGTCTGCTTTTTAATTTAACCTTCAAACTATGGATTATTATATTTTACCAAAGGGGTATAGATGAGCATAATATATGCATATTTGGTTGAGTTTATTTTAAGAGGTACTGAATATTCTTCTTGTTTTGCTTATTTAAATTATATAACCAGGGGCCAAAACAAAAAGAAAAAAACAAACCAAACCAAAAATCCCTGACAGCTTTGAGGTTGTGTTTACTTCTGGGGTGTTAGCATAATTGCTGTTTTAAAAAGCCTACATTTCAAATAGACAAATAGACCTTGGCAAAGCTTTTTCTACCTGTCATATTAAACAGAGTAGTTTTCAAATTGAGGGAGAATTCTCAAACTTATGGCTTTAAATTTTTGTTTTAATCACTTTGCTTAGAACTTTGCTTTTGCTTTTTAAAGAAGGAAGGCCAGCATCAAGTTTGAAAGGTCAAATGTGGCAAAATAATGATGAATGTACGAAAATAAGACGGCTCTGCGTCGACAATCTGTTGCTGTAAGGTTTGTGACTTACTGGCAGCATCAGCAGTAGTATTCATAGTCAAAGGGCTGGATCTGCACAGAGCTTGTCTGTGTCTTGGGGTTACTTTGTGTTGCCTCAAATTTAAGGGGTTGCAGTGATGGGTTGAGGGGTGCATGGCATGACTAATTAGGGCTCTGTACCATCCATGTTTTGGTTCCTTGTTCATTAGCAGCCATGAATGGTGCTGTGATGTGAACATAAACGCAGGCATTGTCCTCTGCTGTCCTGGAGAAGTTTGAAATCACGCAGAAAGAAAACCAGATGCTAAAGTGTGTGTGCATGTTTGATTCAAATTATCACATGGCCCTCTGTTGGCGCACATGTGCAAATTCCCGCATTGCCCATGTTGAGTTTAAAACCTCGAACTTATTTTATTGAAAAATTGTTAAACTGAAAACAATCTTAATTTGGCGTTATTTAGAATTTTTGAATAGTTCTACCGGTATCCTTACTTTAAAAGATTTCTGGTAGATAGAAATGGGCCATCTTTATCATATGACTAGATACCAATAGTAAAATATAAAGGTTTAGGGTTTGGGAAAGGATGCATTATTCTCTTTGATATAATTTTTTTCTAAATTAAAAATAAAGCCCCCAAATGTTTTCTAGTTTCCTGGAAAATTTATATACTGTATTATAGATTTTCCCCCTCAAAGAAATACCTACTTACAGGTGATATTAGGATATTGCACATATGAATTATAATTCAAAAATATTTCAACTTAATCTGAGAACAGGGACTGTAAAATACAGAAGTCTGGTGAATTTTGATCATCTAGGAAACATTAAACTATTTGAGCAACAGCTTAGAATGTGAATTAATGAAGGACTTAAAATTTAAACATGGAAGAAGTTCCTGAGCAACAGTAGAATTCAAAGCTCAAAGCATGTCTAATTGGTCCATCATTGAGTTTGCTGCTAAATAACAGAATGGGGCTATGCACACAGAAAGGCTGCAGCTTACTCTGCCTAGAGGTTTATATTCTTTTCAGCTGGGCCTCATTGGCAGCACCTTTTTACTCCCCTAAGTATCTTGACATTTCCTTTTTTCTTTTGGTGACGTAAAAGAAAGAACAAGGAACTATGCTCTTGATAGAAAAGAAAAATCCAACAGCAAAGAACAATGACTATTTTCATTAAATTTCCATTTTAAAAGTATTTGATATTTGGACCTAAAAGAAATACCAATGAGTATTGATTACGGTGCTGCCCACCTTTAAATTATCTTATCCTAAAGTCAAGCCTGGGTAGGACCCCAATCACTCAAGGAGGCTGCTGGTCTTTAGCAGGTTCAAAAGGCAATATCCTGGTCCTCCACCTTCTCTGTCCTCAGATCCACGGTGGGGAAACTGTAGGAAGGAATATGAACAGTGCAGGGGACAGGAGGCAGGGGTTCAGTTTTTAAAGAGCCAGTGGGCCATCTGAAGACAAGCACAGCCTTGACATTCAGCTCTGAAACTGCCTGCTGGAGGGGCGAGGCTGGAGCAGGAAGCAATGCTGTGTGGGCTGCACCGGGTTTGCCTTTGGCCCCAGCGTGGTCCCCAAAAGACGGGCTCCTTCTTAGAGCACATCACAGCACAGACTTCAAAAGGATAAGAAGTGACCATATTTAGAAATGACCCAAGTGCCAAGGGCAAGAATCAGGAGGCCCAATGTAAAAGCAATGGTTTTAGGTGCCCACTGCTCAGAGCTATTCCAACAGCGTCAGCATTCAGTGAGCCAGCAGATTACGCCATTCATAAACACCTGTGAAGGCTCCAGCGAAGTTACATAGGTTTCAGCTTGTGGAGTGTTGTATATTTACTGACAGTGAAAATGGCGAGCTATTTATAGGAGATTTAACGATCAGAAAAGTACTGCATTATTTCCTGATACACTGGACCCTTCCTGATATGCTTCCCTTTTGGAACAAAGCTCTGTTTTTACAAGGACTCTTTAAAAATTATTTTATTACTCCCATTTGTGCATCTAATGATATTTGGGGTGGTATAAATCATTTGCTTTATTTGTAAATGCTCTACTGCCTTTTATAGGTGGTCTTCGTAAATTACATTTACTCAAAAATTTATTCTTAATTTTTTTCACTTGACAAAGTGTATAAAAATATCTTAAATTTTCATTTTCTCAGAGCTGTATTCTTTTGGTAACTGTGAGCAAAGATCATACAAAAGTTATTTTAACTATATTAAAATAACTATATCAATTCTACTATAATATTGTAGAATTTTATTTTACCTCTAGACTGAAAAATTGATTTTGATGTGGAGTTGAACTTTAAAAAGTTGATTTTTTTCTCAAAATTCTTTCGAAATCTTATGATATGGATGGCTTACACGTAAATATCTAAATGGTTTGAAAAATAGTTTAAGAATTTCTTTTGACATTAATATATAAAGTTATTAATTTGATCTGGATAGTGAGTTGTCTCTTTTTATGTGACACAAACATAGATGTGTTAAAGGCACACACACACCACACACATATACACAAACCACACACACACCTCACATATACACACACATATGCACATACACACCATGCACCCACACACAACCATACAGACACTGCACACACACAACACACACACCCCACAGCCCACAGGTAGATGACTTGTGATGACTTTGGATGGGGGCTGTTTTCTTTCTTGTTAGAAAATAGGAAATGTCATATTTCTAGAAATACCCAATTATCTCAGTCATTTCTTTTATATTCATGTTTAAGAAAAAGATAAGCTACGACAAAACTTCCATCCTATAAAGAACAGATGGCTGCTTCTCTGCCTCCGCACGGTGTCTTACCTTTGAGTATATGTCATAGTTTTGAGGAATATATGATTACTATCATTAAAGCAGAGTCCTGGGAACAGAAAGCCTGGGCAGCAAACACGTGAACCCACTTGCAAGACTGGCTTTCCAGCCAACAGGCTGGCCCTGCAGGATGTGCCGGTGCTGCTGGCCTGCAGTGCCTGGCTTAGGGTAGGGGACATTAGAGCAGACACCTGGCCTGGTGAAGGTCCTGGACTGGTGAAAGGCAGGACACCTGGGCTGCAGCTCCACCGCCAGCTTAGTGTGGGGCTAGAGCAGTCAGCTCACCTCTCTGGACCTGGCTGTCCCTGGCTGCAGCAAGTTGAAGGCAGGGTTGTGCTGGGGTTGGTCTCTATGGGTTGGAGGCCTGGCCGAGGCAGAAATGGTGGCATCTGTATTGTTTTTTGCACCAGCATCTAATGTAATTGGAAGAGACGGGCCCAGGGAAGCACACTGCAGTATCAGGAGTGTGCTCACCTGATGGACACCTGCTGGATCACTGGGGCCAGGGCCAGACCCTGCAGTACAAGGATCCAAGTCCATGGTGGGGCTCAGAGGAAAGCAACAAGGAAGAGCCAGCATGTTCAATGAAAATACCCAAGGGCAGTAGAGTTAGTGAATTATTTAATTCATAAATAAAATGGTTTCAGATGCAATGGAAAGAAATGACCAGTTATGTGTGTTTCCTGGGTAAAGGACAAGAAAACAATTTTGCAATTTATCATAAGAGTTCTATAGTATGTGGTGGAAAAATAATATCTTTAAGGTGGGAGGCAGTGAGCATAGGAACAGCCTACTGAGTGGGTGGATGTTGACCATCGTGTGTGTGTGTGTCTGTGTGTGTGTGTGTCTGTGTGTGTGTGTCTGTGTGTGTCTGTGTCTTCGTGTGTGTGTGTGTCTGTGTCTGTGTGTGTGTGATGGGGTGTGGGGATGTGCAGCTGCACAATATGCCTTACAAGTTGGTTTTGGTCTTACAAGTTCATAATTACTCATTTTCTGTTGAGTTAAAAAACAAAACAAAACATTTTGACCCCACTGTGATTTTGCCTCTCCCCTCCCAACCAAAACAACAACAGTGTGACAAGGATCCACTGAGGGTCCACTGGGAGTAATTAATCCATGTCTCCCAGTGCTAGAATTGGTGAATTTTCCCTGAGTGGCCACGTCAGAGTTGCAGAGCAGTCACGGTTATAAATAAGCAGAGTGGCACCAGTTACACTGGGGTCAGAGGGATTAGGCATCCCTATTTGGACCATTTGAACCCCAGTGAGATACCAGGGGCCAAAGGCCATGTTTCCATGGTTACAGGCCATGCTGATCTTCTTTGTCTTTGTGAGGAGAGTTGGTGAGAAGGTGCCGGATATACCTCAGCCCTCCTGTACCACCTGACATGACTGGAAGAGGCACTGCTCTTCTTGGCTGGCGAGCATCTTCTCAGCTCTGGATGGCACCTCTGGCGGGTTTCTTTTTGAGGCAGGTGGCAGCAGTTTAGTTAGATCCATGGATTCTATGATCTATGGATTCTGGGCTCAGACATGCCTTGCTCTGCACCTCAGCTGGTCTGGCAGATACCACTGCCATCTAGTGAAGATTTGGGTTTCTAGCCATGAGCCCAGGTGCCTGTGAGGATCTGCAGTGAAGCCTAGATGCTGGAAGAAGCTGCAGAAAAGGGAAATCGAGGAGACAGCTTGAGCAGGTGCCTTACCCTGTCCATTGGAGCTTCCAGGTGCCTGATGCCTCAGCAGCTGTCTGGATATCTGAAGCTCCTCAAAACCAAGAAGAAAAATGTTCAAAGAGCTCATTGTTATAATGCTGCTTACTTCAGACTTGAAGCCATCCTTGGATATCATCTGAAATGCATGGTTTCCCCGAAGTGGAGAACCCCTCAAAAGAGGCTTTGCTCACTTTCGTCTATTGAATAGGCAGAAAAAGAAGCAAACAGTCCATTCCAAATTTCAAGAATTTAAACTCGTATGAACCCTTCAAACTCTGGAACTTGGCCTTCACCCAGCCTCACATCAGAAGTGCTCTCTACTCTGAGGTCATTCTGACAAACTTCATTTTATCAAATTCCATTAAATATAATTGTTTGGCAATCTACTGACAATAGTGCTTTTTGCTTTGCAAACATTAAAAATTTCCACTGCCACCTGCCCAAATAGAAACTTTCTGTTTTTTTCAAAAAAAAAAAATCAAAATATGGTTCTAGCTCTGTTGACAAGGAATTTACCCCTAAGGTGGTATTTAGCAGAGGTACTGTATACTCTGGGCCTCTTACAGTTTACCAAAGCAGGAGTCACAGATGGCTTTTATTTCTTAAGATAAAATGATGAAAACCTAGTTGTTTTGAGTGTTCTTTGCCTGGAAGACACAGCCCTTCACAATGACTTATTGTCCCTCCGGAAGATGGACAAAATGTAAGTGAATTATGAGGGGTTTGTGTACAATCATCCCTTGAGATCTGAGGGGGATTGGTTCCAGGAACCCCATGGATACCAAAATTCGAGCATGTTCAAGTCCCTGATATAAACTGGTGCAGTATTTGCAAATAACTTATGCACATCTTCCATACACCGTATACTATAAATGTAATATCTCTAGATTACGAATATCTATTATAATGTAAATGCTACACAAATATTTGTTATACTGCATTGTTCGATTTGTGTTATTTTTAATTTTTGTATTCTTATTTTTATCATGTATTTAAAAAAATATTGTCATGAATTTGGAGGGCCAACTGTATTCCATTATTCCCTAGCATATGCACTTGTTTATTTCTGAGATGGAGTCTTGCTCTGTCGCCCAGACTGGAATCCAGTGGCCTGATCATGGCTCACTGTAGCCTTGACCTCCCAGGCTCAAGCGATCCTCCCTCCTCAGCCTCCCGAATAGCTGGGACACAGGCACACACCACCATGCTTGGCTAATTGTTTTACTTTTTGTAGAGATGGGGCTTCCCTATGCTGCCCAGACTGGTCCTGAACTCCTGGCCTCAAGTGATCTGTCTGCCTCAGCCTCCCAAAGTGTTGGGATTACAGGCATGAGCCACTGTGCCAGGCCGACATATGCATCTTTCTAGGATTAAAGTGAGTAGTGCAGGTGTCTCTTCTGGCCATGGTGGGCCCTCCCTGCTGATTTTGACTGCATGAGCTATGCTTCAGGCTGGCAAAAATACAGGTTGGCCCATGCCAGGCACATTGTTTAGTTCCTGGATGTGCCCCTGTGCTGTACCATGTCGAATCCCAAACAGGAGCCCCTCACCACCCAGGATTTAGCGCATCCCTCCTTGCTGCCTCTCCCTCTTGAGTCTTGGTTTGGACGCCTCGGATCTTCCCAAGGAAAAGGCCTCCACAACCCACTCAGCAGGAAAGGCCCCTAAAAACTGGCAGCAGGAGAAAGAGAGCCTTGAGCCCATTTGTCCTGCCCATCCCTGACCTGGCAGGAGGGGTGAGGGAGCCTAACCCGCCTCACACTGATCTCCACCTCCTCCGCTTGCAGCCCTGCCTGTCTTGCAAGGTCACCTGCCAACCTTGTAACATGCCTTGTAAACCACCCTTTTATGAAATTTAAACATTTATTATGAGGATTTTAAAACATACATCATCATAGGAAACATATAAACACAACAAAATAGAGAGAATGGTAAAATGAGGCCCCAGGGACAAATGGCCCGCCACCCAACTTCAACAGCCATCAGCTCAGTGCCATCTGCACCCCACCCCCGCCTTGCACTATTTAGGAGTGGTTTCCAGACTTTCGGGTTTTGCCTGTTGCTCTTCTGTGGACTTGTGTGGGCCTGCCTTTGCCCTGGTGTGGGTCAAGCAGTGGCCTGGATGTCCAAATTCCTTCTAGACATGAAGGCCCTCCTCACGCAGTGGGAATGAGGGCCTCAAGTTGGCACGTGGTGACTGTCCTTCAGGAATGAACTTACAAATGTGTTAGTGGAGCTCTAGAATTGTGCAGGTCTGGGTGGTGCCTCCGCCTCAGTGCTTGGAGAGCACACCATGTTCTTGACTAATAAGTTGCAGCCTTGGGCTTAACAGTGATACCAAATATGGCCAAGTGGTTCAGGGTCCCGTTATGTGCTCAGACGTCCTGGATTTGACTCTGTGGTCCCTGAGAAGCACTGAGAGCTGTGAGGAGGGGCAGGCCTCCTAGTCCTCAGGTGGGGAGGTGGGAGTCACACCTCTCAACCTCCTCTGCTCAGTGTCCGGCAGGGCCTCTTCCAGCATCAGAGGAGCCTTCTGGAAATGGGTGTTCTCCCAAGTTGTTTTTAATAGTATTAGTCAGGGTTCTTCAGAGAAACAGAACCAAGAGTTGCTTATTAAAAAAGAGATTTATTATAAGGAATTGGCTTGCATAATTTTGGAGGCAGGCAAGTCCCAAGATCTGCAGGGTGGGCCAGACCCAGGAAAGCTTATGGTGTCAGTTCCAGTTCTGATGCTGTCCTGCTTGAGACCCAGGAAAAGCCAATGTTTCAGTCTGATCTGAAGGTGGGAAAAAATAGTGTCCCAGCTTGAAGACAGCCCAACAAGAGGAATTCTCTCCTATCCAGGGGAGGGGTCAGGCTTTTTGTTTTATTCAGGCCCTCAACTGATTGGACAAGGGCCACACAAATTGGGGAAGGCCATCTGTTTATTCAGTTTATTACTGATTCAAATGTTAATTTTATCAAAAAGGAAAAAACTCTCACAGACACACCAGAATAATGTTTAACCAAATATCTGGGCATCTCATGGCTCAGTCAAGTGGACATATACAGTTCACCCCCAAAATATACATAAACTCTAGAAGTATTTTCTAGAGTGGCCACTAGCTGACCTGAACCACTTGTAGGGATTTCTATTTCTTAACAATATGGAAATATGGGATAAGGAATGATCAAATAAACTTGCCTGAAAGAGTCTCAGATGTTATTATTATTCCTGTGGGCATCAAATAGAGAAACTTTTTTTTTTTGAGACAGAGTTTTGCTCTTGTTGCCCAGGCTGGAGTACAATGGTGCAATCTCGGCTCACAGCAACCTCTGCCTCCCGGTTCAAGCAATTCTCCTGCCTCAGCCTCCTGAGTAGCTGGGATTACCGGCATGCATCACCACGCTCAGCTAATTTTGTATTTTTGGTAGAGAAGGGGTTTCTCCATGTTGGTCTGGCTGGTCTCGAACTCCCGACCTCAGGTGATCCACCTGCCTCAGCCTCCCAAAGTGCTGGGATTACAGGCGTGAGCCACCGTGCCCGACCCAAATAGAGAAACATTTTCAAATTCCTCAAATGTTTGTTTAGGGTTTACTATAGATGGATGCTAGAGTAGGGGTCTGAGCTACAAGATGGATAAACTGTGACTCTGCCCACAGGGAGAGCTGTAGGTAGGTCTTTATGGGGCTAAGTGGCAAGGGCCCATGGCTGTGGTTCGCAAGCTGGCTCAGGGTGTGGGGGCCCGGGTGGCCGCCTGCCCCTGGAATCACACCTGATATGGTCCCTCGAGGTGGGGGCAAGCCCAGCAGCAGGGCATGTAGCCACCTTACATTGATGCTTTTGAGTCACAGCCAGAGGCAGAGGCACCCAGGAGGGGAAACACGCTTCTGTATCAAGGTGTTTCACCAGTAAAATGGAAAAGCCATGGGGTTTTTCCCCCTAATTTGCAAACAATAATAGCATAATAATAATTTATAGATGTGATTTTCTCAATTTAAGATTTGCTGTCATGGAAGTTCTAAAAAGTATACTCGTGCATGTTTCTATTTGGGTTTGACCAAATTAAAGAACAAATAGCAAGTAAGTACTCTCAGAAAATGGAACTAGGCAGGGTGATGCCTCTTTTGGGAAGTTGGGCTGAGAACAGAAGGTCACGGTCAGGTGGGTGAGCTGGGAGGGCCTGGGACCTGGCAGGTGCCCCTGATTCCCTCCTGCTTCCCACATGCTGAGAAGCCTCCTTTCATCCTCTGACTTTCCACATCCATATGACTGATGGGATCATGGTACCCCTTGCTTGGTCAGCCCGCCTCTCCCCTTCCTTGGGCTGAGTTCTCCAGGGTCTCCTCTGGTCTCTGGGATAGAGAAACTGCTTTTTAAAGGATTGTTATTTGTAAGAAGGTGATGGCTGCACTATCTAGAGAACTGAGCTGTGACTTTTTTCACTGGAAGTAGCAACTCCTGTAATAGATGAGAACCTCATTTGCAGAATGGCTTATTAACTCAGGTGAGAGGAGAAAATAAGACTCACAAATAACAGCCAGAGGGGAGAATTCTGATGTCCGGGTGTTGACCACAACCCCTGTCACCCTCATTGCCCTCCCTCCCTCCCTCCTGCTGGACCCCCAGGGCAGGGGTGTGCTGGCCAATGGTTAACATCTGGCTCTCAGGACAAAAAAGTCATGATTTGAAGTTTTGCCAGCTTTCGTGCTGTGAAGAGCCACTGCCCTGCTGCCACTGGGAGACGGGAAGAGGAGTGCAGTAGCTCAGCTGGTAGAGTCTACACCACACAGTACAGTGGATTCAACCTCAAGGTGCAGACAACAGCAAAGTGTAATACAGTCATTAGAAGGTGCTGCGTTTTTAGTACTTATTACCTTCGCCTGTCTTATAATTACATATACAGGGAGAGAGACACACTCCTGAGGTCTGTTCCCCGCTAAATCAGCCTTTCCTGCATCCTGCCTCCACTTGAAGCCCTCTCTCTTCCCTTGCGCATCCTTTCCTTCCCACTTCACTTCCTCTCTTCTTATTCACATCAACATGCAGTGATCGGCTTCTCCCAGTCTGTGGATAGTGATCTGGAAAAGGTTCATTGGTGCCCCCTCGTATGAAATCTAAACCCCTTTTCGATTCTTTTGCCGCCTGACCTCCCTCCCCGCAGACCCTGATGCTGTTGGCTCACAGCCTCTCCCTGGAGGACTCCCAGTCTCGGCCTTGAAGCGTTTTCTCCTTTGGTTCTTGTGCAGTCCTCTTGTCTTCCCATTTTTGTTTCTGGATTTTTTCCAGTCTTGCCATCCCCATCCACCCATTCACTAGTGTATTCCTTCATCAATTTTTAAATCAATTGTTTTATTCAACGGGTATCTATTGAACCCCTATTCTGTGCTAGGCCTGTGCTAGGATTGGGGATAGAGTGGTGGATTTTTTGCTTCCTGCTCCTTCAGTGCCAGTTGGGGAGACGGAGGAGAGAAAATACCAGGGGCTGCACTAGTTGTGGTGACATGGAAATCAAGGATGGCTTCTCCCAGATGATACTGAAATGGAGCCCAAATAATGGGTGGGATTATCTGGCATGTGGATGGGACATGTGTGTGTAGGTGTCAGTGCATGAGTGTGTGGGCCCATCTCCAGGAGGCGACAGAAGCAGAGTGCGCCTGCGTGGCTGGAGTGTGTGGAACCAGACGGGGTGTGAGGTCAGACCTACAGCTCACTGGACTTTGGCAAGTATGGTGGGAAGCCACTGGCAATTTTCCAAAAGATTATTCTACCTTCTGTGTGGAGAAACCATCGGAAAAGTAAGAATGAAAGTAGAGGCAATTAGAAGACAATTAGGAGTGATGTTGGAAGCTGAGACAAGCGTCATGGGCTCAAGGCTACTGAAACATCTACCCAGGTCTGTGTCGCTAACTGGTGGTGCAACCTGCCCATCTACCATTTCGGAGGCCTTTTAAGTGTAGCATGTCTCAAAATAAATTCACAATTTTTCCCTCTGGCATCTGTTTCTTGTTCATGTGTCACTGCACTGTTCATCCTCTCCCCAAATCTGAGACCCCCCAAGTCATCACTGAACACTTCCTTTTTCTAAGCCTCTTACATCTGTTGTCACCAACCTCTCATTTCCACCTCTAAAGGGTTTCAAGTTTTTCTTCTTTTCCCTTCCTTTTATTCTGATTCATGCCCTCACCATTTTTTTTTTTTTTTTTGCCTTGATGATTGCAATAAACTACTGATCTTGCCAGAAAATTGCTTTGGGAAATACTTTTCTTATTAAATTAGAGAAAAAAATGATACAGCCTCTCTGAAATGTTTCAAACAATACACAAATGTTTGGGGTGAAAAGTGAAAGTTTCCTCTCAGTTCTCTTCCTGACACTTACTAATTTTATTCTTCTCAGAGATAATCCCCAAAAATGATCTGCTACTTATATTTCCAGGGTGTGTGAAAACACACACACACACACACACACACAAACACGTCTTTTTCTTTTCTTTCTTTCATCTTTTCTTCTTTTCTTTTACACAACACAAAACATTCTACATATATTGATCTGTGACTTGCTTTTCTAACTTTATATGCTTTGGAGATCTTTCAATATTAGTACCTATAATTCTGTCTCTTTTTTTGGCATTCACTTGGCAATCAAATTATGGGTGAACTAAAATTTATTCCAACAGTTCCCTATTGTTAGACAGGTAGACAGTTTCTAATTTCTCGCAAATTATAAAATAGTGAATATTCTTCTATATTCATCTTTCCACTTGGAGAGATATTTTTCACTGTGTGTATACTAAGTTTATTCCTTTCCTTCTCTTATTGCCTTGGCTGGGGTTTTGAGTGCAGTTATCAATTCTATTGGTGAAGGCTACTTTGTTGCTCCTGGCTACAAAGTGAGCTCTTCTGTATTCAAATATCAACAACATTTACTATTATATACATTTTTACAAGTTAAGAAAATTTTCCTATGATCCTAGCTTTTTAGAAATCTGAAATGGTTGCTGAATTATATCAGGTTTTTTTCAGCATCTAGTAAGATAAATATGCATTTTTCACCTTTTTCTGTAAATGTGGTGAATTATTTATCTTTCTAAAATACATGTCTGTCATCTCATCTGCCTAATTAAAAGCTCTCTGCTGCTTGCTTGCCTTGCTTACAGAATTCAATCCAAATTCCTTATTATGAGTGTAAAAACTTTCAGTTTGGCTTCATCTTACTTCTGGAGCCTCATCTCCTGTGCCCCTACCCCCCGATACTCCAACCATATGGAGAAACTTGTTTTCTCCCAAACCAGTTGCACTTTTGGGCTTAGCTCAAACTCTTCCCCTCTGGGCCCCTTCTCTCCTTCTCATCTTGGCCTAAAATAATGCTCTTTGTCCTTCAAGACTCAGCTCACATAAGCAAACAGTTCTGTCCTGCCTCTCCCTTTCAGACAGCTGGTGCCCTCTGCTCAGGGTCTCCAGAGCTCTGTAGCCTTCAAGTCAATCCATATGAAGTGAGACTCTATCAGATGCCCAATGCCGGAGCCCCTGAGAATCCAAGATGAATTGGATGAATGGTCCCACTCTCAGGGAAACCATAATCTAGGTGGGCTTACATGTGTGTGGCATCAGACCATGAATTTTGATATGTGATATGTTATGGACTGAGTGTCTGTGTCCTCCCAGAATTAATCTGTTGAAATCCTAAACCCTAATTCGATGGTGTTAGGAGGTGAGGCCTTTGGGAGGTGATTAGGTCATAGGGGTGGAGCTCTCATGAATGGGATTAGTGCCCTTATAAAAGAGGTCCCAGAGAGCTTGCTTGACCTCTTTCTACCATGTAAGAATGCAGCAAGAAGACAGTCTTCTGCAACCAGTGAGCGAGCCCTCACCAGACACTGAATCTGACAATACTTTGATCTAGGATGTCCAGATTCCAGAATGAAAAATAAATGTGTGTAGTTTAAGCCACCCAGTCTGTGGTATATTTTTTTTCTTTTCTTTTTTTAATTATACTTTAAGTTTTAGGGTACATGTGCACATTGTGCAGGTTAGTTACATATGTATACATGTGCCATGCTGGTGCGCTGCACCCACTAACTCGTCATCTAGCATTAGGTATATCTCCCGATGCTATCCCTCCCCCCTCCCCCCACCCCACAACAGTCCCCAGAGTGTAATATTCCCCTTCCTGTGTCCATGTGATCTCATTGTTCAATTCCCACCTATGAGTGAGAATATGCGGTGTTTGGTTTTTTGTTCTTGCGATAGTTTACTGAGAATGATGATTTCCAATTTCATCCATGTCCCTACAAAGGACATGAACTCATCATTTTTTATGGCTTCATAGTATTCCATGGTGTATATGTGCCACATTTTGTTAATCCAGTCTATCATTGTTGGACATTTGGGTTGGTTCCAAGTCTTTGCTATTGTGAACAATGCCGCAATAAACATACATGTGCATGTGTCTTTATAGCAGCATGATTTATAGTTCTTTGGGTATATACCCAGTAATGGGATGGCTGGGTCAAATGGTATTTCCAGTTCTAGATCCCTGAGGAATCTCCACACTGACTTCCACAATGGTTGAACTAGTTTACAGTCCCACCAACAGTGTAAAAGTGTTCCTATTTCTCCACATCCTCTCCAGCACCTGTTGTTTCCTGACTTTTTAATGATTGCCATTCTAACTGGTGTGAGATGGTATCTCATTGTGGTTTTGATTTGCATTTCTCTGATGGCCAGTGATGATGAGCATTTTTTCATGTGTTTTTTGGCTGCATAAATGTCTTCTTTTGAGAAGTGTCTGTTCATGTCCTTCGCCCACTTTTTGATGGGGTTGTTTGTTTTTTTCTTGTAAATTTGTTTGAGTTCATTGTAGATTCTGGATATTAGCCCTTTGTCAGATGAGTAGCTTGCGAAAATTTTCTCCCATTTTGTAGGTTGCCTGTTCACTCTGATGGTAGTTTCTTTTGCTGTGCAGAAGCTCTTTAGTTTAATTAGATCCCATTTGTCAATTTTGTCTTCTGTTGCCATTGCTTTTGGTGTTTTAGACATGAAGTCCTTGACCATGCCTATGTCCTGAATGGTAATGCCTAGGTTTTCTTCTAGGGTTTTTATGGTTTTAGGTCTAACGTTTAAGTCTTTAATCCATCTTGAATTGATTTTTGTATAAGGCGTAAGGAAGGGATCCAGTTTCAGCTTTCTACATATGGCTAGCCAGTTTTCCCAGCATCATTTGTTAAATAGGGAATCCTTTCCCCATTGCTTGTTTTTCTCAGGTTTGTCAAAGATCAGATAGTTGTAGATATGCGGCATTATTTCTGAGGGCTCTGTTCTGTTCCATTGATCTATATCTCTGTTTTGTCACCAGTACCATGCTGTTTTGGTTACTGTAGCCTTGTAGTATAGTTTGAAGTCAGGTAGTGTGATGCCTCCAGCTTTGTTCTTTTGGCTGAGGATTGACTTGGCGATGCGGGCTCTTTTTTGGTTCCATATGAACTTTAAAGTAGTTTTTTCCAATTCTGTGAAGAAAGTCATTGGTAGCTTGATGGGGATGGCATTGAATCTGTAAATTACCTTGGGCAGTATGGCCATTTTCACGATATTGATTCTTCCTACCTATGAGCATGGAATGTTCTTCCATTTGTTTGTATCCTCTTTTATTTCCTTGAGCAGTGGTTTGTAGTTCTCCTTGAAGAGGTCCTTCACATACCTTGTAAGTTGGATTCCTAGGTATTTTATTCTCTTTGAAGCAATTGTGAATGGGAGTTCACTCATGATTTGGCTCTCTGTTTGTCTGTTGTTGGTGTATAAGAATGCTTGTGATTTTTGTACATTGATTTTGTATCCTGAGACTTTGCTGAAGTTGCTTATCAGCTTAAGGAGATTTTGGGCTGAGACAATGGGGTTTTCTAGATATACAATCATGTCGTCTGCAAACAGGGACAATTTGACTTCCTCTTTTCCTAATTGAATACCCTTTATTTCCTTCTCCTGCCTAATTGCCCTGGCCTGAACTTCCAACACTATGTTGAATAGGAGTGGTGAGAGAGGGCATCCCTGTCTTGTGCCAGTTTTCAAAGGGAATGCTTCCAGTTTTTGCCCATTCAGTATGATATTGGCTGTGGGTTTGTCATAGATAGCTCTTATTATTAGTCTGTGGTATATTTGTTATGGCAGCCTGAGCTGACAAGGACATGATGTAAGGCCATGGATTGTGGGACGGGTGTTCAGCCGATGTATTAGCCCATTCTCGCATTGCTGTGAAGAAATACTCAAGACTGGGTAATTTATAAACAAAAGAGGTTTAACTGGCTCTGCAGGCTGTACAGAAAGCATGATGTTGAGATCTGCTAAGCTTCTGGGGAGACTTCACAGCAGAAGGTGACGTGGGGAGTAGGCACATGGCAGAAGCGGGAGCAAGAGAGAGAGAAGGAGGGCGCCTACACTTTTAAATGACCAGATCTCACGAGAATTCACTTGCTATCGCCAGAACAGCACAGTGGGGATGCATGAAGGGGGTGGTGCTAAACCATTCATGAGAAACCTGCTGCCATGATCGTATGGGGTCCTACGAGGCCCCACCTCCAACATGGGGATTATATTTCAACATGAGATTTGGGTGGGGACCAGATCCAAACTCTATCAGCCAGCCTCTCCCAAAGCTTCCCTAGAGCAGGAGCCCGTGTTAAATACTTCATATGCGACAGACGACAGAGGAATGGGAGCAGCTGCAGGGCACTGGGGGATGTGCCTGATCAACAGCAACTGGTCCAGAAGGTGACCTGGAGCCTATTTGTATACTGCTGGGGATTAAGAACATAATTCCATGGAGGCTTATTTTGAACTCTGTTCTATTAGTAAATTCCTTGGTAATTGTTCCTTCCATGAACTATGTATGCCACAGCCCACCCAAAATCTTTAAAGGCTGTTTGGTAGTTGGAAAGCATTATTAGCAGGCCCTTGAATTCTGTGTTCTCCTGTCCTTTCTCTTGACAGCTAATTACAGAAAGGTTTCCGTAAGAGACTCAACTTTAATGACAGCCATGAGAGATCATTATTAAGATAAAATATTGTATAGCCAAATTTTACCAGCACATTTCCAAACAGAAAGCTAAATAAACTCCTTAACACTTTCACTTGCCCCCACCTCTAATTAAAATTACATGGATTTATGAAAAAGAAAGGGGGAAATGAATGGATCAACAAGTATTTTTTGAAAGCTCAATTACACGTCTTGTTCTGTGGAAGGTATTGCAGGTTGTTAAAGAGGCGCAGGGTGATTGCCTAAAAGGAACTTTTAATTCAGTTGAACGGGGAAAAAAAATCTATGTTCTAAAAAGGTGTTAATTATGTGGTAAGAGATCAGTGGTGGGCTGGGGTTATCAGAAAATGCCTCGCCAAGGAGGTGGGATTTATTCTGGGTCTGGAAGGACTATCCAGATCTGGGTAGGTGGAGGAGTGGAGGGTGTTCACAGCAGGAGAATCAGAGTGAGAAGCTCTTTGGAGGTGGGAGGGTGCACAGTGTTTGCCAAGGGGATGGGGAAGATGTGCCACTGAAGGATGGCTGTAGTCAGGGACACCTGACACTACATATCAGCTGTCATTTGTCTGTAACATGGGCTGTAGCCCCTTAGAGTTGGAATGCACTCAATCAGGGTTAAAATCCTTGGGAAGCAGGGTCTGTGCGAAGTCCTCCCATGGCCGGGATTTCCCTATTAGATGAAGTGACCAGTGTGTTGCTGGCCATTGAGCCTTGCACTCCATGACCTCTGTGACGGTTAATACTGAGTGTTAACTTAATTGGATTGAAGGATGCAAAGTATTGATCCTGGGTGTGTCTGTGAGGATGTTGCCCAAGGAGATGAACATTTGAGTCAGTGGGCTGGGAAAGGCAGACCTTAATCTGGGTGGGCACCATCTAATCAGCTGCCAGCATGGCTAGAATATAAAGCAGGCAGAAAAACTTGAAAAGGCTAGACTGGCTTGGCCTCCAAGCCTACATCTTTCTCCTGTGCTGGATGCTTCCTGCCCACGAATATCCGACTCCAAGTTCTTCAGTTTTGGGACTTGGACTGGCTCTCCTTGCTCCTCAGCTTGCAGGCAGCCTATTGTGGGACCTTGTGATCGTGCGAGTTAATACTTTATAAACTCCCCTTTATATATATGTATCTATTCCATTAGTTCTGTCCCTCTAGAGAACGCTGACTAATACAACCTCCCTTCATCTGGGTGACATTTGCCCTCTCAAGCCCGGCAGAACGGAGCTCCTTCCTTACCAGATGACAGTCCTTGAAGTAGCTAAAGAGGTGTTTTTCCTTAGCCTTCTCTTCTCCAAGCCAAACATTTCTCACTTCCTCAACAGTTGTGATCCCACTGTATCTAGATTCTCTTATTGTTTACATTCTGGTTTGTAAATTAAATTTAAGACACCCTGCTCATAGTAAGGAATGAGGTTGAGTTACTGTGTTGGCCACATTTGGCCTATATTCTATCTGTAGAGTTTTGTCCTATCCTAAGAATAATTTGGTCTTTAGTTCATGTGCCTACATGACTAAGAGATAATTTAATCTTTGTCTAAGATATCACTACTCTTTTTTAAAGAAAAGATGGTAGAGCTTTCTTTATGGCTTATTATGACCTACAAGCAGAATTATTGATGGTTTTCAAAGTCACACATTCTTTTCTCAAAAGGCCTAATACAGACTCATGTCTACCCTGCACACTTCTACCCCCTACTATATGCTATGGTCCACTTGACTACTATGAGTTTCCAACTATCAGCCTCTGTCATCAAAATTCAGGCTTGTAATTGAGAAAGCCGGTGGAATTTTCACTGAGGATTATTTTGCCCACCCAACAAAGCAAATGTCACACTACAGAGTGGTAGGGTAAATTCTGGTACATTTACACTATGGAATAGTACTATGTAGCCATTTCTAAAAGTGAACTAGAGTCCTATTACAGTTGATTTGAAAAGATTTTTACAAGGAATTGTTGAGTGAAAACAGCGTGGTGAAACAAAGCATGTGTATGAACCCATCCTTGTAACAGAAGCAATCACAAGAAAGCATGTATATATCCACAATTATAGTTGGAGACTTCAACAGCCCGCTAGACAGAATAATCTAGTAATTGATACCACTAGCCATTGATGGAACTACTAGACAGAAAATCGCAAGGATGGACAAAAGCTGAACAAAATAATCAACCAACAGGATCTAACGGACATACATAGAGCCTTCCACAAAATCACAGCAGAGTAAACATTCTTTTCAAGTGTTCATGAAACATTCACCAAGATATACCATGTTTTAGGTCATAAAACAAATCTAACCAAATTTAAAAGAATTAAAGTCATACAGAGCATGGTCTCTGATCACAATGAAATTCAATTTAAAATGGAACTAAATTAATAATTGATAATAGAAAAACAATAAGAAAATCTCCAAACTTTGAAATTAAACAACATGGCTGCAAATACTTAATGAGACAAAGGAGAAGCTTCAAAGGAAATACAAAAAATACATAGAATTGAATGAAAATGAAGCCACAACATGTCAAAATATATGGGACATAGCAACAGTGCAAAGAGGAAAATTTATAGCACCAAATGCTTACCTTAGAAAACAGAAAAGTTCTTCAATCAGTAATCCAGCTGTCTACCTCAAGAAACTAAAAAAAAGGGTTAAAGCAAGCAGAAGGAAGGCAATAACAAAGATAAAAGCAGAAATCAATAAAATTAAATATAGGAAATCAATTGAAAAAATCAATGAACGCACAATCAGATTTTTTGAAAAAAATTGATAAAATTGATACACCAGCCTGGGCATGGTGGCTCACACCTATACATATCCTATGCACTTTGGTAGGCGAAGGTGGGAGGGTCACTTGAGGCTCAGAGTTTGAAGCCAGCCTGGGCAACATAGCCAGATCCTATTTCTGCAAAAAAAATTTTTTTTAAATTAGCCTGGCGTGGTGGCAGGATGCCTGTAGTCCCAGGTACTCAGGAGGCTGAGGCAGGAGGAGCACTTGAACTTGGGAGTTGGGGGTTGCAGTGAGCTATGATTGCACCACTGCACTCTATCCTGGGCAACAGAGAGAGATCCTGAATAAAAAAAAAATTGTTAAACTTAGGAAGATTGACAAAAATTAAAAAAACATTTTGGCAATATATTAGTTTCTTGTTGCCAATCTAACAAATGACCACAAATTTAGTGACTTAAAACAACAGAAATTTATCTTACAATTCTGGAGGTCGGAAGTCTGCCCTGAGACTTACAGGACCACAGTCAGGGTATCTGCAGGGCTCATTTGTTCTGGAGGCTTCCGGGGAGAGTCTGCATCTTGTCTCTGGAAGCTTCTAAGGCTTCTAGCTGTGAGAACGCTTTGGCCTGTGGCCACATTAATCTCTGCTTCCATTATCACTTTGTCTTTTTCTCACCTGTGGTCAGATTTTCCTTTGCTTATCTCTTATAACGACCCTGTGGTTATATGTATGGGCCACCCGATAATCCAGAATGATCTTTCTATCTCAGGATGTTACTGAACTGAACTGGGGTCCACTCACCCAGTGCAGTAGGGCCAAATATTTATTGAGGTTTGTAGTGGGAGAAAGGAGGGTGTTAGCGGGAGGGTATTTAAGTGTAACCCTTACTTGTAGGGTGCCAAGTAAGGAGAATTGGGTTGCTTACGCTTGACACCCGACCTCCCAGATGGCTTAAACGTAAGGGTTTATGGAGGCAGGGAGGCATAAGTTATAGGCAAGGTCATAAATCAACACAGGGAGGCTATACATTGGTTTGACTTAAAAAGACAGGACATCTCCAAGCAGAGGCCCACAGGTCATAGGTGGATTCCAGGATTTTCTGATTTGTGATTGATTAAGGAGTCAAAGCTTTGTCTAAGAATGTGTGATCGGCAGAAAAGAAGGTGAGCTCTGGTTCATAGGCATGACCTTCTCCAGGCCCCTCAGGAAGAAATTTAGAACAAAGAATAGCAATCAGAGTTGAGTCCTCAGCCTCTCCTTACCTGAGATCTGTGTGCCAGTGGCTCCATTTGGTGGGGTCTAGGTTTCTGGAAAACAACTCAGGGACATATTTTAAGATGTTGTCTTTGGTTTTTACAGGGAACCAAACATCTTGTGACTTTAGTTTGTTTGGCTATTAAGTTTTTTTTTGTTGTTGTGGTTTATTAAGTTTTTATTTACTTTTTTAGGACTAGTTAAGTGACTGGAAGTTTTTTGAATGCACCGAAGATTAAAAAAATTATGTCTTTGGGGGCCCACAGGCTCCTAAGAGGGGTTCCTGCTCTGTTTTAAGGATCCTTAACTTAATCATATCTATGATGTTTCAGTTCAGTTTCAGTTCAGGGTCTTCCCTGAAGTTATTAGATGTCAACTGGGACTGTAATCGTCCGAAGGTTTGACTGGGGCTGGAGGGTCCACTTCAGGATGGTGAACTCCTATGACTGGCAGGTGGTATCTGGCTATATGCAGGAGGGCTCAGTTCCTTTCCACATGGCCCGCTCCATATTTTTCCCATAGGGATTCTTGAGTGTCCATATGACATTGTGGATGGCTTCCCCCAGAGTATGCAGCAATCAAGGCAGTAATAGATTTTATGACCTAGCCTTGGGAAGCACACACTGTCACCTTCACAGTATTTTATTGGTCACATGGGTCAGCCCCATTCAATGGGGGAGGGCACTCTATAAGGGCACAAATGCCAGGAGGCCTCAGAAACATAAATATTTTTGCTATGGGTATAGATTCATGGGTTTTAGGCTGGAAGAAACCACAAAAATACCCTGGTTGACAGTAAGAATCAGTCCCATTGATGATAAAAGATGGAATTTAAAAGCTTAATAGGGACAATTTTCTTCTGCAAAGAGGTAGATGGGGTGGCATGAATTTCTTGTGTTAGAGACAGTTTTAACAGATGAACCCTCAGGTGCCAAGTCAGTTAACCAGAGCTGGGTTGACAATCAGGGATTTAGGAGGGAAAAACCCAAGGCAAGGAAAGTCCTTGTGAATGTGACCAGGTGGAGAAACAGGTAGATGACGATTTGCCAACTCCATGTTCAGGGGCTGAGCTGAGGCCAGAGTCGGCAGCTGGTATTTCTTCTCCAATGGGCTACTTAGGGTGGCTTTTTGGGCTCAGTGGCACTCCAGAACAAGTCTAGCATATTGGCTGGTGGTAGCAGGACCTTACTGACATTCCATATGGAATGGAGCTGGAAGCAGTCCTGTGAGGTCTGGGTGACACTCGCACATCCTGTAAGGATGGAGAAGCAATGGACTAGGGAGCTGAGACCCCCAAGACCATCATTCTTGCCCAGGCTTCAGAGACAACTGAACTTCTTCTTGGTCATTCACACCAGACTGGAGATGGCTGAGTGGTTGTTCCGTAAGAGCAAGGAGAGAGAAGCCGGCTCCGGGAATTAAGGGCGTGTGGCATCGGGTAGAATGCAAGCCAAGCATTCAGAAATGGTCCAGTCCAGTGAAATGGAGGCTTGTATTGAGTCTGGGGCCCAAGGCTGAGAGAAGGCTGGCTCCGTCGAACCAGAAACAGCACTGAGAACCTGGCTGGTGGCACCGGCTTCAGCTGCACAGAGAGGGGGTCAGCAGGCCACACAGGGTCATCCTGACCAGCAGTCTTTTTTGTGGGGTGTCGTGAAGAAAAGCAATGCTCAAGGGTAGATAACGAATTTTCTAAGACTGAGCAGCCAGCTTAGTGGCAGAGTGAAAATGAGAATAGAAGTGGAAGTACACTGGAATGAAGATGGCTGCTTAGTTTTATCTGCCTCACCCACTAGCTAGAACGTGGCTTTAGCCATAATACCAATATGTATTTTTGGAACATTCCTTTGCTCTTTTCCTTTGACTTTGGATAGCAGATGTGGTCTATTGCATTGCTGTGATTTTCAGATGAAATCAAGCACAGTGGTTTACTTTTAACCAAACCCCAGTCATACTTCCTCTCTCTGACTCAGCTTCCTTGTCGTACGTAAGATTGATGACACACGCCACCAGCTCACATTTACAAAGGCGTTCTAGGTCTTTTGATGAACACCTATATGGCATTTATATTAATATAATTTTCTCTGTGAGAGGAGAGATTTAAATGAGAGTTGTCTTAGTAGCTGAGGAAACAGATACATGATTAGGGGAATAGCTAATTTCTTGCCTGATGTAATGTATGGAAACTGAGAAAAGCCTGGAAAAGGAGGTTGGAAAACTGAAAGTGGGTGGGCACCACTTTTCACACCCAACCCTCTTTCCATGCCCAAAACACCGTGGGGCATCCCCTCCTCACAGGGCCTGTGTGCTGGGCTGCACTGACATGCATTCCGGCTCAGAGTTGGCTTCACCCTTAACAGCGGGTACTGGGACTCTGTGGACACATGGACAACTTTACTTAACTCTAAATCGGGGTGTCCAGTGTTTTGGCTTCCCTGGGCCACATTGGAAGAAGAAAAATTGTCTTGGACCACACATAAAATACATTAACACTAATGATAGCTGATGAGCTAAAAAAAAAAAGAAAAATCACACACAAAAAAATCTCATAATGTTTTAAGAAACAGAACGGCTTCCAACCAGTTAGTAACCTCCCAGGGGTAACCACTATTCCAAGCCATCCTGGGCCACATATAGCCCATGGCCAAGGGTTGGACTAGCTTGTTTAAGCCCTCCACTTCTCTTGGATGATGCCTGTCATATGGAGGTGCACCTGCACCTCAAGTTCTTTATCTGTAAAATGGGTGTAACGGCAGCACTCTGTTTATAAGGTCGTCAGGAGGAACGAAGGGAATGTCTGTGAAAGGCTCTGCGGAGTGCCTGGCAGGTGGCAGAGGCTCACTGAAGGTCCGCAGTCTGAGCCATCCCCAGTCCTACTGTTAAACCCAGAGCTCACTTCTCCAAAGCCCCATGAGTCAGGGCCAACCTCGCCTTTAGTCATATTTCCTTTATTCAAGAGAGAGTACTGTGATATCACATGATAGTGACTCCAGCCGTGTGTCAGCTCAGCCTTTTAGCTCAAGTGAAATTTGTTCTGCTGAAGGTGATGTCGTGGCACCGTTCTTGCCACCCTTGAGGTGGACAGGAGGTTGAGACTTGCTGGGGTGAAAGCTGGAGTGACTGAGGGGCCTCCCTGGCCCAAATGAGGGTTCTCAGCTTTACAGCTTTGGGAAATCACTTTTGGGGCCACAGCAGTAACAGCATGAGCCAATCACAAAAGGCAAAGGACAAAGTGATAACCAGGGAGGAGTTTTGAAATGCTCTGAGTGAGAGCAGCGTGGATGAAACGCTGTGAGTGAGAGCAGCATGGATGTTGGGGTAGGTGATGTTTGTGGTGTTAGTGCTGAAGTAGGCGATGTTCATAAAAAGCTCCCAGCGGCCGCTGCCTTATAAGTAGGGCATCAGACAACATTCTCATAATACCAAGTTATTCTGGGGGGATTGCCTATGAATGATTTTAACTTTTTGATGCTTGTTTGTATTTTCCAAAATTTTCTGCAATGAACATACATTATTTACTAGGAAAAGGTGAGTGTTAGAAAGAAAATAATTTCAAGGACCCCTTAAAATAAATGATTTTTTAATTCTTTTTTACTGAGCACAACATACATAGTAAACCACAAAACCTTAAATAATCAGCTCAACGAGCACATATTTATACACACATCACACCAGTGCAAACATCAACAGACTAAGATCTAAAGCAAATTTCCAGTCCCACCCCCTGAGTTCTTTTGTATTTGATACCTCCCAGGGGTATCCACTCTTCTGACTTCTGTCACCATTGATTAGTTTACGGCAATTATCTTTTAAATTAAACAATACTAATAATATTTGGTCAAATTAGCACTATTAAGTATAGCCCATTTTTTCTAAGTATGGATTGTATCTTTTAAATCAATTCAAGGTATTATTTAGAAGAGAGTTCATAAATATATAACTTTGATGGTGCAGAATCCTGTATAAAGTACATTAGACAAATTAATTTATGAAAAGTAGAGTTTCCCTTTGCTCAAATACATATAAATGCTTGTAATAAATCATCTTAATTTTAACATTACTGAATCAAGTCATTTTGGAACTTCACATTATTCCAATGCCAATATCAGACGGATGTGCCATGTTATATAAGCTGGAGAGTGGGCAGTGGTTGACTTTAAAGAATTGTGAGAAGGTGCGATTGCACACAGGCATCTAGAACATGTGTGGTGGACTTGCTAAGACAGTTGGACATAGATATTGAGGATGTCTATGGTGGACCCACTAAGACTGCCAAGCCACAACTAACTTGAGCAATTCTGAAGGATTTTGAAAACGTAAATATTCTGGAGCAGAATTTTGCTTGAATTTCAAATGGTCCTGTAAATTGATTTCATTTGACCTCTATTTTTTACAGTGCATGGTAATTGATCTATGCCCAGGCCAACTGGCCACCACTGGGAGAGGAAGAACAACCCATAGGATTCGGCTTAAAGAGATGCCCAATTCACAGGACTGTGGATTCTCCCGTTTTTAACAAGTGACAATTCACTAAGTCAGAGTTAAGACTTAGGAGCTTGATTGCAGTGTTAGTTTACATCCCATATCTTTAACTCTAATTTTCCAGAGAGCAATATGTAACATATGGCCACTTCCCCTGACATAATCTGAAGCTACTCAAATCACTAGGGGCTGGCTCCGCTAACAATATAATCCTAGAAAGAGAATCATCAAACATTATTGCAAATCCAGAAGTCTGGGCACAACCTTACTGAATCTGAATACTTTTAGTACTGAATCTGAATACTTTTAGTTAATAATATTTAGCTTTCTTTTATTAGGGCAATACATGCTAATTGCAGAAAAAGAAGGACATAAAGAAAAACATAAAGAAGAAAATTAAAATCACCTATAATCATAATCCTCCATGATGATGTCTTAAAATGTCCATGAATTATTTTAGCCCTTATTTTTATTTATGCAAATGTGAGATCAGGCTCAATGATTCCCCAAATTGTTAAATATTATTGGCAGACATAATTTTTAATAGCTGCATAATATTCTATCCTGGAATATGTAAAGAATACTTACAACTCAACAATAAAAAGAAAAATAACAGAATTTAAAAACAGCCCCAAATTTGTCTTAGTCTGTTCCTGCTGCTATAACAAAAATACCTTAAACTGGGTAATTTACAAACAACAGAGGCCTGAAGTCCAAGATCAAAACACCAGCAAATTCAATGTCTAATGAGGGCTTTCTGCTTCATGAATGGCTCCTTCTCATGTCATTCACACATGGCAGAAGGGACAAGTGCTCCCTTCAACCTCTTTTATGAGGCCACTAATCCCATTAATGAGGACAGAGCCCTCATGACTTTATCAGTTACCAAAAGGCCCAACCTCTTTATATTATCACATTCAGCAGCAGGTCTCAATGTATGAATTTTGGGGGGACACTAACATTCAGACCTTATGAGGATTTGAATAGACATTTCTTCAGAAAAGACATACACCAGCCTGGGCAACATAGTGAGACCTCATGTCTACAAAACATTTTAAAAAATAGCCAGGCACCGTGTCACATGCCTGTAGTCCCAGATACTCAGGAGGCTGAGGTGGGAGGATTACTTGGTCCCAAGAGGTTGAGGCTGCAGTGAGCAGTGACCACAGCACTGCACTCCAGCCTGGGAAACAGAATAAGACCATGTATCAAAAAAGAAAAAAAAAAAAAGACATGCAGATGGCCAATAATCACATGAAAAGATGCTCAACATCTTTACTCATTAGGGAAATGTGAATCAAAACCATAATGAAATGCCACTTTATACCCTTTAGGGTATAACAAAAAAAGCTATAATTAAAAAAATGGACAATAACAATTATTGGTGGAATTGAGAAATCAAAACCCAGCTTAAAATACACAGCTGGTGGGAACATAATATAGTACAGCTGCTTTGGAAAACATTTTGGCAGCTCCTCAAGTTAAATACAGAATTACCATAAGACCCAGCAATTCCACTCACAGGTATATACCCAAGAGAACTGACAATGTATATTTACACAAAAACTTGTACACAAATGTTCATAGCAGCTTTATTTACAATAGCCCCCAAATAGAAACAACCCAAATGCCCATCAATTGCTGAATAGATGAACAGAAGGTGGTATATACATACAACGGAATAGTATTCAGCCATAAAAAGGAGTGAAGTACTGACCATGCTACAACATGGTGAATCTTGAAAACATTATGCTAAGCAAAGGAGCCAGACACAAAACGGCACATATTGTACTATTCCATTTACATGGACTGTACAGATTTGGCAAACCTATAGAGACAGAAAGTAGATTAGTGATTACCAGGGACTGAGTGTGGGAGAGGATGGGGAGTGGTTGTTAAGGGGTATGGGTTTTTTTTTGGGATTATGAAAAAAGACTATAGAATTAAATGGTGATGGTTGTACAGCATTGTGAATACAATAATCTCCTCTTATCCCTGGTGGCAATGTTCCAAGACCCCCAGTGGGTATCTGTGATCATGGATAATACTGAACCCCATACGTGCTATGATTTTTCCTATACATACATACCTTTGATAAAGTTTAATTTATAAATTATTCACAGTAAGGGATTAACGACAATAACTAATAATACATCAGAACAATTATGATGACAAGTCAGCATCACTACTCTTGCACTTTAGGGCCATTATTCAGTAAAATAAGGGTTCCTTGAACACCAGCACTGCAGTACCATGACAGTCAGCCTGATAACTGGGATTGTTACTAAGTGACTAAGGGATGGGTAGTATAGGCAGCCTGGAGATGCTGGGCAAAGGGATGATTCACACTGCGGGTGGAGCAACTGGGGCTTCATCATGCTGATCAGAAGAGTGTGCAACGGAAGACTTATTAATTGTTTATTTCTGTAATTTTCCATTAATATTTTTGGACCCCAGTTGATTGTGGGGAACTGAAACCACAGAAAGTGAAACTACAAATAAGGGGGATCTACTGTATACTCAAAATCACTGAATTGTACACTCTTAAAAGGTGAATATTTATGGCATGTGAATTATACCTCAATATAAAATACTTGTAAAAAGTACAGCTATATTAAATAAAATGAACCAGAGGTATGTGGGAATTTGACTTCATTAGAGTTCTAGGATCTAAAGGTAGGTAGCAGTTATCCAGATGAAGAGGGGAGGAAAAAAGACTTTAGACGACAGGATCCTAGTGTGAAAAGGTCTTAGGAAGAGGGGTGCAGAGAGATTGATCATGCCTCTTCTTCATGCATTTTTGATTATTTCCCTAGATTAAGTGAAAAGGATGGGACATTAAAATTTAAATAAAATGTAATTTCTGAAGCATTTTATAATGCTTTATTTTACAATGAAGTTCATTGTAAAAATTATAATATTCAGAGAAGTAACAAAATGAAAAGAAGCCACCTTGTAGTCACATCCTGCAGAGCTGGCAGAGGGAGGAGAAGGAGCCCTAGTGCACTATGAGTGGATGTGTAAATTGGTGCAAATTTTAGGAAAAGCGAATTGAAAATCCTTACCACACCAGTGTGCGGTGGAGACTAGTCATTGTTTAGAATGCAGCATGTCTAACTTGCTTTGATTATGCACACAGCGATGCCACTTGTCCAAAATCCATGCCCTCTCATGTAATTCTCACCATATTCCATTCTTCAGGCGAGTAAACAGAGACTCCACAAGCTCAAGTAATTTGCTGAATGTTCACACATAACATTCCATGAAGTGGGCCTTTAACTGAGGGCTGTATGACTCCAACTTCTATTCTTTTCTTACTAAAAAGCAGAACGCAGAAATACATGCAAGTTTTATAGGGCTTTGTCATATGCCAGCCCAGGGAAAGTGACGTATGCCTTTCATAAATCTGTAGTCTCAGGCTTTTTAAAGAACAAAAGATAGAGTGAAATTTGGAGTCAGTGACTTTTTCTTCTTCTATGTGAGTGCTTGGCACATAGAAACAGTTAATCAATGTTGAATGGTGTAATTGTGGTAAATTCAGCTTAAAAGTGTACTACCAGGTAATATTTACACTTAGAGATTAGGTCATTAACTTATAGAATATCCATTCATCTTATATAACCTGTGATTCAGTTTGGAAAATGTCAACTTATTGATCTATTAGGAAATACATCTGAGCCCCAGTTGAAAGTTACCTGTATCCTTTTCAGCGTATTGCTCTAGACAGGAAACAATGGGTACCCAGGTAAACTGAGAGAAAAAGTTGAAATTTATAGCAATGGTGCTATATAGTCTTCTTTTCTCCCCCAAAATCTGTGCAGTTTTTTCAACAATGTCTTTTGAAATAATTACAGAGTCACAGGAGGTTATAAATAGAATGCACTTTTTACTCCTTTCTTTCTTTGCTAAGATCAGATTCCATTTTTTTAACCCTCATTGTTCTTGAACTACAATGTCCAAGTTCTCAAACATCCACCTGAATTCATATAGCTGAGGGGAAGGCCTATTTAATCGCGAAATATCGAAATTCCAGACTGATTTCACAGAAACGCAATCAGACAATGTTCAAGTTCATTACAAATTGCAAACCAATACAAATTGGTGCTAATAAGTGAAATAAAAAGTTAATGAAGAAATTATGATTCATGAGATTCCTGCATTATCAAATGAAGTACTATCAGCTTTCCAGTCCTACTCACTAGGGGTTTATCAAGAGCGTCTTTAACTTCATTAGCCCTTAGTGAATACATTCAACAACATTTATTTTGTACCCATTACATGTGAGGCCTTAGTCATAGGCAGAGGAGCGAAGGCACAGCCTGCCCATGTGAGTGACAAAATATACACCTGGGTTCTGGAGCCTGTGCTGGGTGTCTGGGTGATGGGGCAAGGCTGACACCGACTCAACATTTCGGAGGTGAGCTGGGGTGTCAGGCTATCATCAGGGAGGAAGGGAATGTCAACACCAGAGAGCCTTAAAGCTTTAGATTTCCTTTGTTTTGAGTTTCAGCAGCATGATTTCCTTATATTCTCGGTGCCTACCTTTTTGGTGTAATAAAAGGGGAAAAAGGCATCGTGCAAACTGGCAAAGAAGTCAATGTTAACAGGACACAGAGCGTTCTATTTCAAGATCAGAAAGGTTTTTACTCGAGGAGTGAGGAGGGCTTTCTTGGCCACATGATATTTGATACAGATCATTAAGGATTGAAGAGATCTGAGAAGTGGAGAAGGGGAAGCGGAGAGGGAGGGAGGGAAGGAAAAAAGGGATTCCAGGAAGGAGGAATCGCATATGCAGAAATGGAAGGGGCACAATGTTGCTGAAAATTCAGTTTGGCAGGAGGATGGGTGGGGAGTTGGCACAAGAAGGGCAGAAGGTGGGTGAAGCCAGGCTGGTTATTTATTCATGTTTATTACCTACTTTCCTGAGCAAAGTGAATTATCAGTGAATGTAGAACCTCACTAATTTTGTTCACTGGTGCCCTACCCAGCACCAAGATGAGTGTGGCACAGAGTGAGGCTTGGTCAACATTTACTGAATGAATGGTGAGGGTTGAAGGGCTTTTTTTTTTTAATTTTTTTTTTATTTTGCCAGTTACAGAAAGGCTGTTGCATGCAGTTGAGGCTCTTCTATTCTCATTTCTATGCGATATTATATTTCATGAACATATCACAATTTGTTCATTCATTACGCTGTTGATGGATATTTGCTTCTTTTCCAGTTTGAGGCTATTATGAATAATGCTGCTATGAATATTTTTATACATTTGTTTTGGTGGACATACGGGTTAATTTCTCTTGGAGTGGAGCTGCTGGGTCATAGGACATGCACATGTTCAGCTTTGGAAGAAAATGCCAAACATTCGGAAAATGGTTTCCAAAGTGTTTACCCAAATTTATACCCGTGCTAGCAGTGAATGAGAGTTCCTATTACTCCACATCCTCAACCACACTTGATAGTGTATATTTCACTTTACCATTCATGTGTATTTTTGCCACTACAAATGACCTTAAGTTTTAATGCACACGTTTAAACTAGTATTTTTCTGGCACTAGTTCTGACATCTGAAGGTAGGCAGGACTCCAGCCCAAAGGAGATGAGGGCCTCTGCCTCCTTTCCCTTCCCCTCATTGCCATTCTCCCTCTCCCATGTTCACCCCACCTTCTAGGTTAACATGGGATTTTACTTCCAGTCTATTCCTATATTAAAACACAACCACAGCACTTATTTAGACCTAATTAATTTCATTGATTATTCAACATTGCTTCTTGCTTTCCATTTCTTTTTCTTGGATTTATGTTAATTCTTGCTTGAGTACAGCCTCAGTTAATTCTTTCAGGGAGTGTTTCTGGGTGGTCAGGTTTTTTTTTGTTTTGTTTTGTTTTGTTTTTGGAGACAAAGTCTCGCTCCGTCACCCAGGCTGGAGTGCAGTGGCGCGATCTCAGCTTACTGCAACCTCCGCCTCCCAGGTTCCAGAGAGTCTCCTGCCTCAGCCCACCAAGTAGCTGAGACTACAGGCACCCACCACGACCCCCAGCTAATTTTTGTATTTTTAGTAGAAACGGGGGTTTCACCATGTTGACCAGGCTGGTCTTGAACTCCTGAACTTGTGATCCGCTCGCCTCAGCCTCCCAAGGTCACCTTTTTGAATCTGAAAATGTTCACTACTTTCCCCTCATCCTTGCAGTATATTGTAGCTGCATGCTGAAGTCCAAGTTCAAAATTCATTTTCCCTCAGAATTTTGAGGATGTTGCTTTATTGTGTTTCATGTTTAAAGTTGCTGATGAGAAGTTTGTTGTCCATGTGCTCATTCTTTTTAAAAAAAGTAATATATATTTTAAAACTGTGGTAAAGTATACATATAAAACTTAACAGTTTAACCATATTAAATGTAAGTTCAGTGGCATTAAGTACATTCACATTGTTGTCTCGTTCTTTCTTACTTTATCTAATACTAATCCCCTATTCCCGAGGACTTTAGAATGTTCTCTTTATCAGTGTTGTTCTAACATTGCACCAAGAATGGAAGATTATTTTCATTTATTTAAAAAAAATCTTGTTAGGCATTTAGTGCAACTTTTCAAATGAGGACTTGGGTCTTCAGTTCTGGGAAAGTTTGTCCTATTACTCCTCCTGTGTATTCTTACTTCTGTACTTTGTATTTGATGGACACCGGAACAGCCGAATCTATCTTCATATCTCTTACATTTTCTTTTACTCATCTTATCGTTTTGTCCATTTGTGCTGTTTAGTGTTCACTGTGGTTGATTCCTCAAGGTCCATTTCCCATTGTGTAGCAGTAGTATGTTTTTGGAGTTGTGCACTGTCTCTAGGGGTGGTCTTGATTACTTTAAGCGAATCATTGTAATCATTTTCCCCTTGGAAATAATTGGTTCAGGAAGCAGAATGAAGTCCATCTATACAAGGCATTCTCTTGGCAACTTTTACTTTCGGTCTCTTAGTGCTCTCTGTGCTAATGCGTCAGTCCTCTGATGTATGCATGGTGTTTGTGAATTTCCTATTCAGTCCTATCCTGATTGGCTTTCCCTTTTTCAGGGATGCCTTAATATAGTTGGTCCACCAACATGCCACTTCTTCTGTTTTAGGGATTTGCTTATTCTTTACAACTCTTCTGTACTCCTGGGGATGTGGGTGGAGGGAGAGGCTGCTGTGTGCATGCAGACTGCCAACATCATCCGGAACCTTCAGTCGATTTTTAAATGGGAAAAAAAAATTCTCTCCATCATGATATACATGTATTTCCTTCTTGATTTCCTTGGGTTGGTGAAACCTATTTGTATTTTAGGATGCTGCCGTTTGTTAAAGAAAGGATATATCCTCGCCAGCCCTGTATGGTGTGGAGTGAGAGGGCATCCCCACATCCTGGCGTCCTGTTCAGATTCACACCAGAGTTGTCATCTTGGGGATACACTGCATTGAGACCAAAAAAAAAAGGCTCATGACATAATTAACAAAAAGTACCAAAGCAATAAATACTTAACAACTTTGAAAAACTACAGAAAGCATACTTGTAGGACTTTCAGGATGAGTTGATGTTATATTTAAAAATCCAATAAATACATTAAAAATATATTTTAAGAAAATGATCAAAAACCAAATTCCCCTTAATTCCATCACACAGAAGTAGCCCTGGTCAGCAAATGGTTGAGGTCAAGAGTTAGGTCTAATGTGATGTAGTCTGGGCTCAAATCCTGGCTCCTCCAGTGAAACCTGAAGCTCAGAATTCCACCTTTCTAAGACACTATGTGGTCTCTGACCAGATCATTAGCATTAGGCTCCACCCAGAGCTACTGAGTTAGAAATTCTGGGGTGGGGCCTAGCAGCTTGCGTTTAACAAGCCGTCCTGGGGTGCCAGTGCATACTCCAGTTTGAGAGCCATCCTGTTAGGCATCAGTTTCTTTTACTTGTTCTTTCTAATTGCATAAGTAACACATGAATACATTCCTGTTGGAAAAATTTAACACTGTAAGACATACATAGAGTAAAAAATCAAAAGTCACTCTTCCCCACACCAGGCATGAATCCTTCTGATGGTCAGTGCAGTTCCTAGCCTGGTGTCTGTCCTTATAGACTTTTCTGTGCGTATGCACACATATTTTATTATGACTTACCCTACCATTTCTCAGGTTCATGGAACTTCAAGCTATACTTTCTCTTTCTTTAAATAAGACCTTTTATGGATAGATCCTTGTGAAAACTCAGAATCAGGCCCTGATATTGAAGAGTGAACACTAGGGCTCAAGAGACAAACCACACCACCACCCTAAGGCCCCCAAGAAGGGTGCAGGACACTTTGATGGAGTCCAGACATATATCAGTGGCTTAAAGGTTTAGTGGTACTTCCCTCTCGCCTGAAAATGAGGGATATATGTTTTGAGTATGACCTTACAGTTTACAAAGCACACTGACACACTAACCCCGAAAAAGGCCAGTCTGCCCCTTGGGTCCCTGGAGGTTCCAAGCAACAGGCAATAGCAAGATCAATTTCAGAGCGGCAGCATTCATTCAGCCCTAAAAGCCATCTCTGACCAACCAGTTCTCCTGTGACTCAGGAACACAAAAAAAATTTCTGTTATACTTGGACCCCCATCCCTCTGTCTCTAACTTTTCAGATTCTGTGGAAGCTTCTGCAATTCTGCCTACAATGATGCGTTTCCCAACTCCCTTCACCTTCTGAAACTCCTGGGTGGAAGTGTCAGAGGCATTTGAACCAGAGCAACTCCATCTTGAATATGGGCTGGATAAAATGAGGCTGAAACCTGCTGGGCTGGATTCCCAGATGGTTAGGCATTCTAAGTCACAGGATGAGATAGGAGGTCGGCACGAGATAAAGGTCATAAAGACTTTGCTGATAAAACAGGTTGCAGTCAAGAAGGTGGCTAATTCCCACCAAAACCAAGATGGCAATGAGAGTGACCGCTGGTCGTCCTCACTGCTACACTCCCACCAGTGCCATGACAGTTTACAAATGCCATGGCAACATCAGGGAGTTACCTTATGTGGTCTAAACAGGGGAGGCATTAATAATCCACCCCTTGTTTAGCATATCATCAAGAAATAACCATAAAAATGGGCAACCAGCACCCTTTGGGGCTGCTCTGTCTACGGAGTAGCCATTCTCTTATTACTTTACTTTCTTAACAAACTTGCTTTCACTTTTGCCTATGGACTCACCTCAAATTCTTTCTTGTGCGAGATCCGAGATCCAATATCCCTCTCTTGAGTCTGGATCAGGACCCATTTCTGGTAACATCTTTCTGGTGACCATGGAAGGGACAATACTGAGGAAGCCCCCAACCCAAAGGCTAATTTGGGGTAAGTGGTGGGGTCCGGTAACATCTTTCTGGTGAACTCCAAAGGTATGATACTGAGGAGACCCTCGACCCGAAGGAAAATTATCTGTACACACACCAATTGGCTGACTTTGGGCAAGTGGTGTGCATATATGTGAGTAAAGGATGGGATTGGGTTAGAGGCCAACTTAGGGGAGTTAGAATCTCTCCTAAGACAGAGTGGGTAAAAGACACCCCCCGCCTTTTTTTTTTTTTTTTTTGACAGAGTCTCACTCTGTCGCCCAGGCTGGAGTGCAGTCGTGCGATCTCACTGCAACCTCCTCCTCCTGGGTTCAAGTGATTCTCCTGCCTCAGCCCTGAGTAGCTGGGATTACAGGCACCCACCACCACACCTGGCTAATTTGTGTATTTTTAATAGAGATGGGATTTCACCATGTTGGCCAGGCTGGTTTTGAACTTCTGGACCTCAAGTGATCCACCTGCCTTGTGGGATTACAGGCACCCACCACCACACCTGGCTAATTTTTGTATCTTTAATAGAGATGGGGTTTCACCATGTTGGCCAGGCTGGTTTTGAACTCCTGGACCTCAAGTGATCCACCTGCCTTGGCCTCCCAAAGTGCTGTTATTACAAGTGCAAGCCATCGCACCCAGCCTTAAAGGCCCCTCTTAATAAAAGGCAAGGAAACTCGACTGAACTTGGGTTCAAGGCCCAACTTAAGAAGGTTAGAGTCATTCCTAAGATTTAGGGGGTTGGAGGAGCCATTTAGTAAAGTCCTTCTGGGCTAAGAATGGATTTGGCACCATGGGATGTTAATTCCTATTCTTTTTTAATTAATCTGCCTTACATTCTTTGCTGATGGCTGTGGGCGACAGAATTAGGCATGTACAGGATGAAGGGACATGGGGAGCTTTTTTCTCCCTAAAGGGGAAACATGAGAGCTGATGGAACTGCTGGAAAAGATCCCTCCTATGACCGACAAATGGCCACCTGAACTTTTCAGTGTTGCTGCAATAGATGGGTCTTTCTCTGGCCTCCCTGACCTCTTCGCCTCCCCCACCCTGCTGCAGACAACGCATTTCTCTCTCTCTTTTTCCTTTCCTATATTTTTTATTATTCAGGGTGATCATCTTGCCCTGTGACCGCAAGTTGAAACTGCTGGTCAGAGGTTGGATTAATGATGACAGGGCCCAATCAGGAGCAAGTTTGAGCCATAGTAGTTTGACATTGGGTGCTAAGCAGGGCAGCTAGTGTCTGCTTTGTCACATGTATTTTTCTCCGGCCAGAACAGAAAAAGACAATTTTCCTTTATAATGTGGCTTGGCCCCCAGGGCTGTGGTGCAGCCCACAGGTCACTAGGGCTGTTCACTAGGGAAAGGGAACCCAGAAGCCTGGCATGCTGGCAAAAGGGTAAAAATTTCTTACCAGTCAGACTTCTGGCCTCTCTCTCTGTGCAAACCAGTTGAATGAATGGTAAAAATCACTGTTTATCTCCTTCATAAAGTTTTGATTAATGGAAAAAAGATTTGTGAGGCTACTCTTAAGCTGTGGTGAATCTGGCATGATTTGTGTGTCTTTCTGTATTGTTCTGTCATAAAGAAGGGTACCGTAGGATAGAACACAGCCCTGGGACTCCACAAGCTCGCTGTTCAAGACAGCCCAGCAAACTGGTCAGTTATGTCCTTGGGAGCTTGACCTTGTAAATACGTGGCAGTACTTTCTCTTGGTCTCTGCCATTACAATGGCATCCCAACTTCAGGGTCAATTCCCTGCTTAGGGAATGAGTTCTTTCTTGTTTGATATCTGCATGACCATTACCATTTGTTATTCTCTTCTCCTCCAAAAACTGTCCTGTATTTTCCTTTCACTGAGCCAGAAATATTGGCTGTTTGGCCTGGCTAAAGTCTGGTAATAAGAAATTTACCATGACTTTTTAAAAGAGCGCTATGGTTAAAAATCAGCTTAATTAATTTAAAATATGGATATCTAAACTATATATATTTAAAAGGGCTTTATCTTTTTCCCCTTCTTGAATCTTGTTCTTTCTGAAAAAAGTTTTTCTCCTCAGTCGACTGAACTGTTTTTCTTCATTTTGTCTTTTTGCCACTGTTAATGCCGACATAAGAGAACCTGAGATAATTACTAACAGCCTAGAACTCCTGGAGAAAAACAGAGGAAGTGCCACGGACCCTGTTTTGGGAAAATTCTCTTTTTTTTCCTCATGAAACCCCAGGAATTAAAAGCAGTTAGTTTCCTCTCAAAATCTAAGGCTTTGTTCTGTTTTGCATTGCCGTATCTGATGTTTTTGACTTTTGCAGGTATCAGAAATTGTTTTGCATTATGAGAGAATTTGGTGTGTAATAACTAGGTAGGAAATATACTTTTGGAGATGGCTAATGGCAGTTATTGGGAAATACTCAGCTGTGCATGCTTGGATAAGAAACACATGCTCTTGGCCACCTAGGAAGTATGGAGATGCGCCCCCCCACCCACCACCACCGCCACTGAGAGATAAGACTTCCATGGGGAGGGGCTGATTCCTTCTTTTTGGGATCCAAGATCTGGTATAAAAGCAGGACCCTTAATCTGGGGGGGGGAATCTGTTTGCCTTCCAGCTGTCCCTGCTTATTAGCCCTAGAAAATGCATGCTTTCCTGGCTCTGGGCTCCACCCTGAAGCCAGTAATCCAATTAAGAAACTGGTAAATGAAAAATCTTACAACTACTGGGTCTTCTTCTGTCATGTATTTATGTGTGTTGTGTGTTTGTGATATAAAAAAGAAGCTTTCATTGGTTTAAAAACAATGACTGCTTAAATCAAGCATTTTGTCAGAAAAGTAAAAAGTCTAATGGCTTTTAGTTCATGTGACTTTAGTACTCTTCAAGAAATGACAGTTTTAAAAATTATTGGTAAAATTAAAATGTCTTCAAAATTTAAACATTTGGTCTAAATTACTCAGGTCAGATATTAGGCTTGCTAAATGCTTTAAGGTAATAAACTGTTTCTTTAAGTTTTGAAAATTGTTCAATTTACCTACTTTAGAGCATTAGATTCTAAATAAGGCCTAGGGACATATGGAGAGCCATGCTCCCTAGCTAGGCTCAAGAGTCAGCCTTTATCAGCCCTTTTGCAATAGGACAGAATTGGAGAAACTGGTAATTTTACCAACGCTTTGACTGTAATGGTGTTCTTTCCTTTAAGGAATCAAACTTGATTTGTAAAGCTAATAAAAGCCCCTTGAAGAAACTGGCCTCATGCCTAGTCTACAGCAGTCTCTGTACAGAATTCCTGACCTGTGTGATAAGTAAAGAATGGCACTTATCTTAGGCCCAGGAGCCCCAAGTTATCTTGGGATTTCAAAAGGAAAGGAATTGACACAACTCATAGGTATTTGAGGGTACAAACCTATGGCAGGGCTCAGCTTTATAAAAGTCTTATCTGAGATTCCTTCTATGGAACAGAGTTTCACAAAAGCCAATTTAAAAACAGCTTATGTGAAAAATAATTATTCTTACTGCACTTTATACAAATAATCAGGCCAAGTGTAATAAAGCAAAACAGTCTTACCATGATTTGTCCTTAGTAACAATGGTAAACTGGATAGAGAAAGATTATGTTTCAAGAACTATGGTACACTTGTTATTAGATTCTAGTCTCATTGGTTGTTTTTGAGTTTTTTCTTCAACTTAGGCTGATCTGGCTCATTCCTGTGAACCAACCAGCAATCTCTGACTGCTGCTCAGAAGAAATAAGAGGGATGGGTAATGTAAAAAACATCTGGATAAAATCAATATTCTAATTCTGGGTGCATTAGAATCAGCTAACAATCCCATATCAGCCTGGTTCCAACAGTTTCCCAATTCATGGAAAGACTTCTAGTTTAGTTTACTTGAAATAATTGTACTTATTTTGCTTTACTGCTGTGGAATGTATTACTGTTGTACTCTTCGTGTAGGAATGCAGGATAAGCTTACTCAATGTTTTCTTAAATTGAATACTTATTAATCTTCCAGATACCACCTTTTCTCAGAACTCAAGAGTCATGAATCACCCTTACTATACTGATGCCTCCTGACAGAGCTCCTTTCTATGCCTAATATAAGAGACCCTAATAGGCAGGAATATCATCACCTCTAATCATCCTGAAGAAGTTACAGAAGATGGATCTTTATCCCTCCGCAACCCTTAGGATTAAGGGTTCTCTTAGAAAAGGGAGAGGGGAAATGTCAGAGACATTTGAACCAGAGCAACTCCATCTTGAATAGGGGCTGGATAAAATGAGGCTGAAACCTGCTAGGCTGGATTCCCAGACGGTTAGGCATTCTAAGTCACAGGATGAGACAGGAGTTTGGCACAAGACACAGGTCATAAAGACCTTGCTGATAAAACAGATTGCAGTCAAGAAGCTGGTTAAATCCCACCAAAACCAAGATGGCAATGAGAGTGACCTCTGGTTGTCCTCACTATTACACTCCCACCAGCTCCATGACAGTTCACGAATGCCATGGCAATGTCAGGAAGTTACCCTATATGGTCTTAAAAGGGGAGGCATGAATAAACCACCCCTTATTTAGCATATAATTGAGAAATAGCTATAAAAATGGGCAACCAGCAGCCCTTGGGCCTGGTCTGCCTATGGAGTAGCCATTCTCTTATTCCTTTACTTTCTTAATAAATTTGCTTTCACGTAGTTCTATGGACTTGCCTCAAATTCTTTCTTGTGCAGATTCAAGAACCCTCTCTTAGGGTCTGGATTGGGAGCTCTCTCCACCAGTAGGACAGATCTGCTGTCACCCTTGCCCTCAGATGCATGTTCTTTGTCCCCCAAGTCTCTGTAGCTGGCAGCTCACGGCTTCCCAGGGCAAGGCGAGAAGCATCAGAGTCTACAAAGGGTGACATCTATGACTAATCTTTCCCAACTCTGGTTTGGCTTCCTGCCCTTTCAGTGCGTTTGCAGCCTGCACAGACTCATAGTTGCAGAGGAAAGTCTTTGTGAAGACTCTGTTACAAAATAATGGCTTTGTCTTTGTACTATGGGCTGTTATCGTTCTTTTCTTATGGATTGAAGGAGCAACGTGTTTCATTTATTTTCCTCTTGCTCCTGATGAATTGAGTTTGCTTTTGGGGTCTTTGTAAGTTGCAGCTCTTCTGATGACTCTGATTTCTTGCCTACACACTCTCATTATTTCTTTGAATTCTTTAGCAAGCTAGCTCAGTTTATTCTATCACTGACATTCTCATTTCTGTTACAGGAACTCTGTCTCCACCCCTAGACGTTTTTGCTTTTAATATTTCTCATTCAGAAAGCTAATTTTATTCTGTGCCCTTGAGTTATTATTTTTAATAATAGTGCAGTTTGCTAATATTCCTGTTTCCCAATAAAAAAGTTTCAGAAACTTGATTGGAATTTTTTTATCATGAACTTGAGTTTTCACAAAGTCTGTCTGCCACAATTGTACCATCAATTTCTTAAGATTTGGGATTTTTTGGATGTCCTAATTGGAAGTTGTGTATCTAAGGCTTATTGCAGTTAACTGGAGGTGCCAAAAACCATAATGTGTTGAGATCCTCAAAGTAATCTTGAGTTTGAGAAATAAAACACACTGAAACTTAAGCCATTTTTAGCTAAGTGTGAACTGTTGCTGAGCCCTTAGCCATGTGTATAAAGATGCTCCTGAGAATCTGGACTAAAGTGGAAAAACAATGGTATCTCCATGACATGGTTTAGCTTTGTGTCCCCCCACTAAATTTCATGTTGAATTGTAATCCCGATTTTGGGGGAGGGACCGGGTGCAAGGTGATTGGATCCTGGAGGTGGATTTTCCCTTTGCTGTTCTCATGATAGTGAGTATGTTCTCACAAGATCTGGTTGTTTAAAGGTATATCCACCTCCCCCTTCACTCTCTCTCCATCCTGCTCCAAGCATGTAAGATGTGCCTGCTTCCCCTGTACCCTTCTACCATGATTATAAGTTTCCTGAGGCCTCCCCAACTATGCTTCCTGTACAACCCGTGAAACTGTGAGTCAATTAAACCTTCTTTCTTCATAAATCACCCAGCCTCAGGTAGTTCTTTATAGCAGTGCAGAATGGTCTAATACACTCCAGCCATATTGTTACCTGAAAGTGGTCCCAATCCAGACCCCAAGAGAGTATTCTTGGATCTCGCACAAGAAAGAATTCGAGGCAAATCCATAGAGTAAAATGAAAGTAAGTTTATTAAGAAAGTGAAAGAATAAAAGAATGGCTACTCCGTAGGCAGAGCAGCGCCAACGGCTGCTGGTTGCCCATTTCTATGGTTATTTATTGATAATATGCTAAACAAGGCATAGATTATTCATGAGCTTTCTGGGAAAGGGGTGGACAATTCCAGGAACTGAGCATTCCTTCCCTTTTTATATAGGGTAACTTCCTGACATTTCCTGGCATTTGTAAACTGTCATGGTGCTGGTGGGAATGTAGCAGTGAGGAGGATCAGAAGTCACTCTCATCGCCATCTCTGTTTTGGTGGGTTTTAGCCAGCTTCTCTGCTATAAGCTGTTTTATCAGCAAGGTCTTTATGACCTGTATTTTGTGCTGACCTCCTATCATACCCTGTGACTTAGAATGCCTTAACTTCCTGGGAATACAGCCCAGTAGGTCTCAGCCTCATTTTTTCCAGCCCCTATTCAAGATGAAGTTGATCTGGTTCAAATGCCTCTGACATGTTTCTCCTCTCCTTTTTCTAAGAGAACCCTTAATCCTAAGGGTTGAAGAGGGACAAAGATCCATCTTTTGTAATTTCTTCAGGCTGAATAGGGGTAATGATATTCCTGCCTAACTACTGGGGCTCCTCAGGGTAGAGAGGAGCTCAGTCAGAAAGCATCAGTTTGGTGAGGGTCATTCATGACTCTTGAGCTCTGACAAAATGTGATATCTGGAAGATTAATAAGTGTTCAATTTAAGAGAATATTGCGTAAGCTTATCCTGCATTCCTACACAAGGAGTACGACAGCAATATATTCCACAACAGTAAAGCAAAATAAGCAAAATTATGCCAAGTAAACTAAATAAGAAGGCTTTCTATGAACTGGAAAATTGTTGAAACCAAGCTGATATGGGGTTGCTAGCTGATTCCAGTATATGCTGAGAATTAGAATATTGATCCAGATTGTTTCTACATTACTCATCCATCTCAATTCTTCTGAGCTGCAGCCAGAGATCACTGATTGATTCACAGGAATAAACAGAGTCAGTCTAAATCGCAGAAAAAAAACCCTCAAAAACAACTGATGAAACCAGAATTTTATAACAGGTGTACCATAGTACTTGAAACATAATTTTTTCTCTCTCTCTATTATCCCACTTTTACTCAAGACAAATCATAACAGACTGATTTGTTTGCAAAAATAAGCCTTAGTCTTATACTTGACCAGATTATTTGTATAAGGTGCATCAAAAATAATTTTTTTTAAATATGCTTTTTAAATTGGCTTTGATGGAATTCCTTTTCTATAAAAGGAATCTTAGATAAGACTTTTTTTTAAAGCCAAACCCAGCCATGGGTTTGTACCCTCAAATACCTGAGTTAAATAAATGCTTCTTCTTTTGAGGTCTGAAGAAAACTTGGGGCTTCTCAGCCTGTCAGAAAGTGACATTCTTTACTTACCACAGGTCAGGAACCCTGCACAGGGACTGCTGTAGAAAAGGTATGAGGCCAGTTTTCCCAAGGGGCTTTTGTTGGCTCTACAAGTCAAGTTTGATTTCGTAGAGGAAAGCACACCGTTTGAGTCAAAGCCTTGGTAAAATAACCAGTTTCTCTAATTGTTTCCTGTTACAAAAGAAAACATGATTGTTGTACTTATGCAAATATTTATATTGCCATAAATTAAGATTACTCAAAAATAATTTCTAAATTCTGGAGAAATCACATAAAGAGAAACAAATATGCTCTGAATTTTGTTTACAGGAGTATACTTTACTCAATTGCTAAAGGCTGTAAATACCTCAAAAGAAAAGTTTCCTTAACTCTGGAAAACAAAACAAAAGATCAGCTACATTTTAAGCAAAAGTCAGAAAGATTACTTCAGTCTTCTATTAGTTCAGCCCATGCAGTTAATTTCTGTTCTGCTTGATATTAATAAACATTTCAGCTCTCCATGAGAGCCCTTAAAGATTTTTCCTCTATTCTAATGTTACAATCTCCAAAGTTATCAGAAACCTGCATTCGTTAGTACCTGTCAAATTCTATAGCTGATTATAAACCACCTTTTGAAGAGGATCAAAACAAGAAAACAATTGTCTGTGGATGGCAAAGAGTCTTAGGACAGCCACTATTAAAGTCACAATTGACAAGGAAATTTTGGTTACATCTATGGCACACAATAATTTAACATAACAACTATAATTATTAGACAAATCTATTCAATCTTAATCAGTTCAACTGTAAGGCAAGATTCTTATAAACCCTTTATAATCCCTTAACAATTTTCAGTAAAGAGCAGATCAGTGCTCTGAGAAAATCCTGTTGTGCTTTTATTTTAGTGTTCAACTATTATTCAGAAAAACTGAATAATACCCCCTTTAACTCTAGATAATATGTTCACACAAAGAATCTTTTTAACAATTAATTTTTTAATAAACTTTCCACAACTTGTTCAAACCTTTAATATTTTTCTATCTCACTTTAAAAGAATCCTTTTACCCTTTAAACACAGGCAAGAAATCCACATTCCCAGGCCTTCTTATAATCTTTTACCAAAAGTATATTCTACTTTCCTTACACTCCTTGCATATTGTAGAACTGTTTCTTTAGTAGTCTCAAACACATATTGCACTGTTAACTTTTAGCAACTTTTACTTTTGGTGAAAAACCTGGTTCATAAGTGATTATAATTATGTGCCAGGTGTGGAGCCTAGGACACCAGACAGAAGTGCTGTAAGAGCTGACTCTTTCCAGCATGGCTAAGGGGCATGGCACTTCACATGTCCCCAGGCCTCATCTAGAATCTAATGCTTCAAAGTAGATATTCTGAACAATTTTTTTATTATACTTTAAGTTCTAGGGTACATGTGCATAACATGCAGGTTTGTTACATATGTATACATGTGCCATGTTGGTGTGCTGCACCCATTAACTCATCATTTACATTAGGTTTATCTCCTAATGCTGTCCCTCCCAGCTCCCCCCACCCCATGACAGGCCCCAGTGTGTGATGTTCCCTACCCTGTGTCCAAGTGTTCTCATTGTTCAATTTCCACCTATGAGTGAGAACATGCAGTATTTGGTTTTCTGTCCTTGCGATAGTTTGCTCAGAATGATGGTTTCCAGCTTCATCCATGTCCCTACAAAGGACATGAACTCATCCTTTTTTATGGCTGCATAGTATTCCATGATGTATATGTGCCACCTTTTCTTAATCCAGTCTATCCTTGGTGGACATTTGGTTTGGTTCCAAGTCTTTGCTATTGTGAATAGTGCCACAGTGAACATACGTGTGCATATGTCTTTATAGCAGCATGATTTATAATCCTTTGGGTATATACCTAGTAATGGAATCACTGGGTCAAATGGTATTTCTAGTTCTAGATCCTTGAGGAATCGCCACAGTGTCTTCCACAATGGTTGAACTAGTTTAAAGTCCCACCAACACTGTAAAAGTGTTCCTGTTTCTCCACATCCTCTCTAGCACCTGTTGTTTCCTGACTTTTTAATGATCGCCATTCTAACTGGTGTGAGATGTTATCTCATTGCGGTTTTGATTTGCATTTCTCTGATGGCCAGTGATGATGAGCATTTTTTCATGTGTCTGTTGACTGCATAAATGTCTTCTTCTGAGAAGTGTCTGTTCATGTCCTTTGCCCACTTTTTGATGGGGTTGTTTGATTTTTTTCTTGTAAATTTGTCTAAGTTCTTTGTAGATTCTGGATATTAGCCCTTTGTCAGATGGGTAGATTGTAAAAATTTTCTCCCAGTCTGTAGGTTGCCTGTTCACTCTGATGGTAGTTTCTTTTGCTGTGCAAAAGCTCTTTAGTTTAATTAGATCCCATTTGTCTATTTTGGCTTTTGTTGCCATTGCTTTTGGTGTTTTAGACATGAAGTCCTTGCCCATGCCTATGTCCTGAATGGTATTGCTTAGGTTTTCTTCTAGGGTTTTTATGGTTTTAGGTCTAACATTTAAGTATTTAATCCATCTTGAATTAATTTTTGTATAAGGTGTAAGGAAGGATCCAGTTTCAGCTTTCTACATGTGGCTAGCCAGTTTTCCCAGCACCATTTATTAAATAGGGAATCCTTTCCCCATTTCTTGTTTTTGTCAGGTTTGTCAAAGATCAGATGGTTGTAGATGTGTGGTATTATTTCTGAGAGCTCTGTTCTGTTCCATTGGTCTATATCTCTGTTTTGATACCAGTACCATGCTGTTTTGGTTACTGTAGCCTTGTAGTATAGCTTGAAGTCAGGTAGTATGATGCCTCCAGCTTTGTTCTTTTGGCTTAGGATTGTCTTGGCAATGCAGGCTCTTTTTTGGTTCCATATGAACTTTAAAGTAGTTTTTTCCAATTCTGTGAAGAAAGTCGTCGATAGCTTGATGGGGATGGCATTGAATCTATAAATTACCTTGGGCAGTATGGCCATTTTCACAATATTGATTCTCCCTATCCATGAGCATGGAATGTTCTTCCATTTGTTTGTGTCCTCTTTTATTTCGATGAGCAGTGGTTTGTAGTTCTCCTTGAAGAGGTCCTTCACATACCTTGTAAGTTGGATTCCTAGGTATTTTATTCTCTTTGAAGCAATTGTGAATGGGAGTTCACTCATGATTTGGCTCTCTGTTTGTCTGTTAATGGTGTAGAGGAATGCTTGTGATTTTTGCACATTGATTTTGTATCCTGAGACTTTGCTGAAGTTGCTTATCAGCTTAAGGAGATTTTGGGCTGAGACGATGGGGTTTTCTAAATATACAATCACGTCATCTGCAAACGGGGACAATTTGACTTCCTCTTTTCCTATTTGAATACCCTTTATTTCTTTCTCTTGCCTGATTGCCCTGGCCAGAACTTCCAACACTATGTTGAATAGGAGTGGTGAGAGAGGGCATCCCTGTCTTGTGCCAGTTTTCAAAGGGAATGCTTCCAGTTTTTGCCTATTCAGTATGATATTGGCTGTGGGCTTGTCATAAATAGCTCTTATTATTTTGAGGTATGTCCCATCAATACCTAGTTTATTGAGAGTTTTTGGCATGAAGCGCTGTTGAATTTTGTTGAAAGCCTTTTCTGCATCTATTGAGATAATCATGTGGTTTTTGTCTATGGTTCTGTTTATATGATGGATTACATTTATTGATTTGCGTATGTTGTACCAGCCTTGCGTCCTGGGGATGAAGCCAACTTGATCATGTTGGATAAGCTTTTTGATGTGCTGCTGGATTCAGTTTGCCAGTATTTTATTGAGGATTTTTGCATCGATGTGCATCAGGGATATTGGTCTAAAATTCTCTTTCTTTGTTGTGTCTCTGCCAGGCTTTGGTATCAGGATGATGCTGGCCTCATAAAATGAGTTAGGGAGGATTCTCTCTTTTTCTATTGATTGGAATAGTTTCAGAAGGAATGGTAACAGCTCTTCTTTGTACCTCTGGTAGAATTTGGCTGTGAATCCATCTGGTCTTGGACTTTTTTTGGTTGGTAGGCTATTAATAATTGCCTCAATTTCAGAGCCTGTTATTGGTCTATTCAGGGATTCAACTTCTTCCTTGTTTAGTCTTGGGAGGGTGTATGTGTCCAGGAATTTGTCAATTTCTCCTAGATTTTTTAGTTTATTTGAGTAGAGGTGTTTATAGTATTCTCTGATGGTAGTTTGTATTTCTGTGGGATAGGTGGTGATATCCCCTTTATCATTTTTTATTTCGTCTATTTGATTGTTCTCTCTTTTCTTCTTTATTAGTCTTGCTAGTGGTCTATCAATTTTGTTGATCTTTTCAAAAAACCAGCTCCTGGATTCATTGATTTTTTGAAGGGTTTTTTATGTCTCTATCTCCTTCAGTTCTGCTCTGATCTTAGTTATTTCTTGCCTTCTGCTAGCTTTTGAATGTGTTTGCTCTTGCTTCTCTAGTTCTTTTAATTGTGATGTTAGGGTGTCAATTTTAGATCTTTCCTGCTTTCTCTTGTGGGCATTTAGTGCTATAAATTTCCCTCTACACACTGCTTTAAATGAGATTCTGGTATGTTGCGTCTTTGTTCTCGTTGGCTTCAAAGAGCATCTTTATTTCTGCCTTCATTTCATTATGTACCCAGTAGTCATTCAGGAGCAGGTTGCTCAGTTTCCATGTAGTTGAGCAGTTTTGAGTGAGTTTCTTAATCCTGAGTTGTAGTTTGATTGCACTGTGGTCTGAGAGACAGTTTGTTATAATTTCTGTTCTTTTACATTTGCCGAGGAGTGCTTTAATTCCAACTATGTGGTCAATTTTGGAATAAGTGCAATGTGGTGCTGAGAAGAATGTATATTCTGTTGATTTGGGGTGGAGAGTCCTGTAGATGTCTATTACATCCACTTGGTGCAGAGCTGAGTTCAATTCCTGGATATCCTTGTTAACTTTCTGTCTCGTTGATCTGTCTAAGGTTAACAGTGGGGTGTTAAAGTCTCCCATTATTATTGTGTGGGAGTCTAGTCTCTTTGTAGGTCTCTAAGGACTTGCTTTATAAATCTAGGTGCTCCTGTATTGGGTGCATGTATATTTAGGATAGTTAGCTCTTCTTGTTGAATTGATCCCTTTACCATTATGTAATGGCCTTCTTTGTCTCTTTTGATCTTTGTTGGTTTGAAGCCTGTTTTATCAGGGACTAGGATTGCAAGCCCTGCTTTTTTTTGTTTGTTTGTTTTCCATTTGCTTGGTAGATCTTCCTCCATCCCTTTATTTTGAGTGTGTGTGTGTCTCTGCAAGAGAGATGGGTCTCCTGAATACAGCACACTGATGGGTCTTGACTGTTTATCCAATTTGCCAGTCTGTGTCTTTTAATTGGAGCATGTAGCCCATTTACATTTAAGGTTAATATTGTTATGTGTGAATTTGATCCTGTCACTACGATGTTAGCTGGTTATTTTTCTCGTTAGTTGATGCAGTTTCTTCCTATCATTGATGGTCTTTACAATTTGGCATGTTTTTGCTGTGGCTGGTACTGGTTGTTCCTTTCAATGTTTAGTGCTTCCTTCAGGAGCTCTTGTAAGGCAGGCCTGGTGGTGACAAAGTCTCTCAGCATTTGTTTTTCTGTAAAGGGTTTTATTTCTCCTTCACTTATGAAGCTTAGTTTGGCTGGATATGAAATTCGGGGTTGAAAATCCTTTTCTTTAAGAATGTTGAATATTGGCCCCCACTCTCTTCTGGCTTGTAGAGTTTCTGCCGAGAGATCTGCTGTTAGTCTGATGGGCTTCCCTTTGTGGGTAACCCGACCTTTCTCTCTGGCTGCCCTTAACATATTTTCCTTCATTTCAACTTTGGTGAATCTAACAATTATGTGTCTTGGAGTTGCTCTTCTCGAGGAGTATCTTTGTGTCATTCTCTGTATTTCCTGAATTTGAATGTTGGCCTACCTTGCTAGGTTGGGGAAGTTTTCCTGGATAATATCCTGCAGAGTGTTTTCCAACTTGGTTCCCTTCTCCGTGTCACTTTCAGGTACACCAATCAGAGGTAGATTTGGTCTTTTCACATAGTCCCATATTTCTTGGAGGCTTTGTTCATTTCTTTTTACTCTTTTTTCTCTAAACTTCTCTTCTCACTTCATTTCATTAATTTGATCTTCAATCACTGATACCCTTTCTTCCACTTAATCAAATCAGTTACTGAAGCTTGTGCATGTGTCACGTAGTTCTCGTGCCATGGTTTTTAGCTCCATCAGGTCATTTAAGGTCTTCTCTACACTGTTTATTCTAGTTAGCCATTCATCCAATCTTTTTTCAAGGTTTTTAGCTTCTTTATGATGGGTTCGAACATCCTCCTTTAGCTCAGAGAAGTTTGTTGTTACTGATCGTCTGAAGCCTTCTTTTCTCAACTTGTCTAAGTCATTCTCCGTCCAGCTTTGTTCTGTTGCTGGTGAGGAGCTGCGTTCCTTTGGAGTAGAAGAGGTGATCTGATTTTTAGAATTTTCAGCTTTTCTGCTCTGGTTTCTCCCAATCTTTGTAGTTTTATCTACCTTTGGCCTTTGATGATGGTGACGTACAGATGGGGTTTTCGTGTGGATGTCTTTTCTGTTTGTTAGTTTTCCTTCTAACAGTCAAGACCCTCAGCTGTAGGTCTGTTGGAGTTTGCTGGAGGTCCACTCCAGAACCTGTCTGCCTGAATATCACCAGCGGAGGCTGAAGAACAGCAAATATTGCAGAACAGCAAATGTTGCTGCCTGATCCTTCCTCTGGAAACTTCATCTCAGAGGGGCACCGAGCTGTATGAGGTGTCAGTCGGCCCCTACTAGGAGATGTCTCCCAGTTAGGCTGCTCAGGGATCAGGGACCCACTTGAGGAGGTAGTCTGTCCATTCTCAGATCTCAAACTCCGTGCTGGGAGAACCACTACTGTCTTCAAAGCTGTCAGACAGGGACGTTTAGGTCTGCAGAAGTTTCTGCTGCCTTTTGTTCTGAACAATTTTTAAAAGTCAAAGTAGCAGTTTGTGACTTTAAAACCATTTAGCAAACCTAATATCTGACTTGTGTAATTTAGACCAAATGTCTAAATTTTGAAGACAATTTAATTTTACTAATAATCTTTAAAACTGACTTTATTTCTCAAAGCTTACTAAAGTCACATGAACCAAAAGGCATTATATTTTTTCTTTTTCTGATAAAATATTTTATTTAAACTCTTATTATTTTTAAACCAATTAATCAAAGCCCTTTCATATGTAGACATCACGCACACAACACATAAATACACTGGCAGACAGAAGAAGATCCAGTGGTTGTATTTTTCATTTGCCAGTTTCTTAACTGGATTACTTGTTTCAGGGTGGAGCCCTCAGAGGAACAGGGGTAGGAAAGCATGCAGTTTCTACAGCCTAATAAGCAGGCACAGCTGGAAGGTAAAACAGATCTCAAAAATTAAGGGTCCCATTTTTATACTGGATCCTATACCCCCAAAAAGAGGGAATCAGCCCATCTCCTTTGGGAGTTTTATTTCTCAGTGGTGGGGGGGGGTGGAGTGGGGACATTGCCATACCTTCTAGGTGACCAAGAGCATACTTCTCTAATACAAACATGCGAAGAGGCAAGTATCCCCCCATAACTGCCATTAGCTATCCCTCAAAGTATACTTCCTACCTAATTATTATACACCAAAGCCCTTTCATAATGGAAAGTAATTTCTGACACCCTCCAAAGTCAAAAACGTCAGATAACACAATGCAAAACAGAACAGATCCTCAGATTTTAAGCAGGATCTATCCACTTTTAATTCCTGGGGTTTCATGAGGAAAACAGAGGTTTTTTCCAAAACAGGTTCTGTGGGGCATCTCCTGTTTTTCTCAAGGAGCCCCAGGCTGTTAGAGCTTGAATATCCACTTTAAATTAAGCTGACTTTTAACCATAGCACTGTTTTAAAAAAATTCTTTTAAATCTCTTATTACCAGACTTTAGCCATGCCAAACTGCCAATATTTCTGGCTTTTGAACTGTACCAAAGGTAACCTCCCAGGTGCTTAGAGAAAGGAAAAATTCAATAAGGGAAGCCAGAAGTTGTTCATCATGGAGGGGAAGAGAATTTAAAAAATGACAAAGGTCACACAGATATCAAACCAGAAAGGACTCATTTCTTAAGCCAGGAATTGAACCCTGAACCCAGGCCACCACTTTGAAAAGAAAACCTTTAGCTACTGAGCTACAGTACTGGGCAGTCTCCATTGCTTTTCCCAGGAGTCTAAAGTGGTGAATTTTGAGCTTGCAAAGGCTTTTAACTGCTTAAGACAATTTTTAGGGCTAACTGTGATGTGAATTCCAAAATTCCTGTTCCCTGGATGGCAGAGACTAAGAGAAAGTACCACCACATGGTTACAAGGTCAAGCTCCCAAGGACATAACTGACCAGTTTGTTGGGTCATCTTGAACAGCAGGCTTATGGGGTCCTAAGCCCATGTCTATACTAAGGTACCCCTCTTTCATAGCACAAACTATAACAGATTCATGACAGCTTAACACTAGCCTTGCAAATCCTTTTTCCAATGAATCAAAACTTTACAGAAGAGATAAACGGTGATTTTTATCATTCATTCAGCTGGTTTGCACAGAAAGAAAAAAAGGGAAGGGAGAAAAATATTCCCTGCATCAAGGGTGGGGAAAGTGAGGACCCCAGGGAGACCAGAGAAAGACCCACCCATCTCAGAAATGCTGAATCAAGAGTTCAGGAGGCAACTTGTCCATAGCGAAGAGATCTTTTCCAGCAGTTCCATCAGCTCTCAAGTTTCCCCTTTTGGGGAGAATAAAGTTCCCCATGTCCCATGATCTTGAACATGCTTAATCCCATCACCTAAGCCATCAGCAAAGAGTGCAAGGCAGATTAATTAAAAGAGAATAGCAGTTAATATCCCATGGTACCAAACCCATTCTTAGCAGAGAGAGACTCTACCGAATGGGGCCTCTAACCCACTAAATGTTAGGAAGAACTCTAACCTTCCTAAGTTGGGCCTTGAACCCAAGTTCAGTCACTCATCCTTGCCTTTTATTAAGTGGGGCCTTTAACCCACTTTGTTTTAGGAGAGTCTCTAGCTCCTCTAAGTTGGGTCTCTAACCCTATCTCATCCTTTACCCAAGTATGGGCACTCTGCTTACCCATAGTCAGCCAACTGGTGTTGTGTGCAGATGATTTTCCTTTGGGTTAGGGGTCTCTTTAGTATAGTCTCTTCCATGGTTCGCAGGAAAGATGTTGCCTGAACGTGGTCCTGATCCAGATCCCAAGAGAGGGTTCTTGGATCTCGCACAAGAAATAATATGAAGCAAATCCATAGAGTAAAATGAAAGCAAGTTTATTAAGAAAGTAAAGGAATAAAAGAATGGCTATTATATAGGCGGAGCAGCCCCAAGAGCTACTGGTTGCCCATTTTTATGGTTATTTTTTGATTATTTGCTGAACAATGGGTAGATAATTCATGAGTTTTCTGGGAAGGCGGTGGGCAATTCCTGGAACTGAGGGTTCCTTCCCTTTTAAGACAATATAAAGTAAGCTCGTGACGTTGCCTGGCATTTGTAAACTGTCATGGCGCTGGTGGGAATGTAGCAGTGAGGACAACCAGAGGTCACTCTCATCACCATCTTGGTTTTGGTGGGTCTTCTTTACTGCAACCTGTTTTATCAGCAAGATCTTTATGACTTGTATCTTATGCTGACTTCCTATCTCATCCTGTGACTAAGAAAGCCTTAACCTTCTGGGAACGCAGCCCTTTAGGTCTCAGCCTCATTTTACCCAGCTCCTATTCAAGATGGAGTTGCTCTGGTTCAAACGCCTCTGACAATATGGTGTGCCAGGAGCTGTGTGAGATACTTAGACTTAAAATAAATCCAGGAAGTAGACACCACCATCACTGTTCTCATTTAAGAAAAATGAGGCTCAAGGAGACTTAATTGAAAAAAAAAAACTAACATTAAACAATTAAAGAACCAAGATTTGAACTTATCTGTCCTGAACACAACACTGATAAGACAAAGCAAACTCGGAAATTTAGATGTCTCGTACAGGCAGATCTCACACTTGACTGGACATCAGAATTTCCTGGGAAGCTCGTGGGAGGTTTGGGGTTTGTGTTCTTAACAAGCTCCTGGTTGATGTTGATGCTGCTGGCCTGAGCACTTGGAGACCCACTGCTGCAGACCCACAGCTCCCATGTAAGTTGTTCCATGGTACCCTTCCTTGAATCCCAGAAGTTTATCTCTAATTCTGGCTTCTGTGTATTTCTTTTGCTGCCCCACATGATGACTTTCTCGGGCATGACTAGTAAATTCTAAGGTCTTTGAATGCAATGCAAGATTTAGTTACTCCCTACCAGAACATCCTAACAGGTGCAGATACACATTTATTAATTGAGTGATGAGGGAGATATTTTTTTCCTTTTTTCAGATTTCTTATTTTTTTTTTTATTTTACTTTAAGTTCTGGGATACATGTGCTGAATGTGCAGGTTTTGTCACATAGGTAGACATGTGCCATGGTAATTTGCTGCACCTATCTACCTGTCATCTAAGTTTTAAGCCCCGTGTGCATTAGGTATTTGTCCTAACGCTCTCCTTCCCCTTCCCCTCACCCCCTGACAGGCCCCGGTGTGTGATGTTCCCCTCCCTGTGTTCATGTGTTCTTGTTGTTCAACTCCCACTTATGAGTGAGAACGTGCAGTGTTTGGTTTTCTGTTCCTGTGTTAGTTTGCTGAGGATGATGGTTTCCAGCTTCATCCATGTCCATGCAAAGGACATAAACTCATTCTTTTTTATGGCTGCATAGTATTCCATGTTGTATATGTGCCACTTTTCTTTATCCAGTGTATCATTGATGGGCATTTGGGTTGGTTCCAAGTCTTTGCTATTGTAAATAGTGCTGCAGTAAACATACTTGTGCATGTGTCTTTATAGTAGAATGATTTATAATTCTTTGCATATATACTCAGTAATGGGATTGCTGGGTCAAATGGTATTTCTGGTTCTAGATCCTTGAGGAATCGCCACACTCTTCCACAATGGCTGAACTAATTTACACTCCTACCAACAGTGTGAAAGTGTTCCTATTTCTCCACATCCTTGCCAGCATCTGTTGTTTCCAGACTTTTTAATGAAAGCCATTCTAACTGGCATGAGATGGTATCTCATTGTGGTTTTGATTTGCATTTCCCTGATGACCAGTGATGATGAGCTTTTTTTTTTTCATATGTTTGCTGGCAATGCAGGAGTTTTTATATGTAATTAGGAAGCAAACACTTCTATTATTAGCTACAATTGAATGATTGCTTAAATATTTTAAAGTCATTTAAGAGACCCTTTTTGCCCAGTACCAGATGCCTAAAAGGCAAATTAGTCAGCATACTAACAATAAAATGTTCATATTATAATAGATTTTCCATCAGGTCTAGCATGGATGACATTCCCATTTATGGGCCCTTCTTGGAAACAACAGGCCTGGGCACATCATAATTCCAAATGGACCTCAGAAGATGGCTCTAATAGACACTGAAGGTAGAAATCACCAGGGTTAATTATCCATGAATTCTTATAAATTCCTCTGGCCAGGAAAGTTTGGTGGCTGAGAAACAGGAGGACGGAATGATGTATAGCTCTCTGAAGCTGGATTTGACTTTGTCAAAAACAAAAAGCAGCCGGTACTCCCCGCAGTTCTAGTGACACCCCCAGATCTTGACACACTGGCTTGGCTGGGATCACACACCCACCCCTGACCAATTCCTGAAGCCAGGAGGATGGATTTCAATGATGAACATGGACAAGCCCACCTGAGACTTATTGGAGGAAGAGGGCTGGCTGGTCTCACTGCCTCCCCTTCCCTCTTCCATCTCTCATCAGAATGAGATGACCCTCAAGAGGATCATTGAGGAGGGAGGTTCCAGATAGTTTCTAATTGGAGTCACCAGACATCTGTTGATTGCTCTGTGAGCAATTCTGATCACACCATGGAGGTCCAATTTTATTAAGCATGGTCTTTTTTGGTGGAAAATATTTTTAGTTTTTTTATTATTTGAAGTTGTGCAAGTAATTAGTAAACACATTCTTTTTACAACATGTTTAAACAAAACAGAAGTATAACCACAGGACCAGCTGAAGCTGATTAACCATTGCTTAAGTTGTTAGCAATGGTGGAGAGCAAAAATTGCATCATATAGCCCATGCATGTGCAATAGGGAAAAGCTTCAAACTCCTAATTCGTAACACCACCCACCTGGCAGATTGGCTGCATTGGCATCACCTGGGACTAGTTAGCAATCCCATAAAAGCATGACCCACTCCCAATATGCGGAGTCAGATTTGAGCCTTGCCTCCTGCCTCCTTGCCAGTTGACTTGCCATAAAGCCTTTCTTTTCACAAAAGCTGGCGCCATAGTATTGGTTTCTATGCTGATCGGGAAGCAAGCCCATCCCTTGGTAACAGAAGTATTTAGAGGTAAAAGACCTCCTTCCCACAATTCCTACTCCCCCACCTGACTCCCCACCCTAGCAGCACCTGCTCCATCCAAGTCTCCTCTCTGCTCACTTGTCTCCAAAGGTTGACTCAGTGAGCCAAGTCTTCTCAGGTTCATACCCTTAGGTGGCCCTTTCCCATGAATCTGGCTGACTCCGTGACTTGCTTTAACTAATAGAATGTGGAGGGAGTGCTGGTGTCTTTTGGAGAATCTAAGTTTGCATCATTTTAAAAATGGCTGCATTTGGTCTAAAATCCCCAACATTTAATTGAATCCCTAAGCCATATGGTAGATTTGGAAATAGGTGTTGTCAAGCCTTCTAAAAGTGAATTTCAAGGTATTACCAACAAAGGTTGTTTTTTTCCATTCAGCCCAATGCATTTGGTAGACAATTTAGATGAGTGGATTGGCCACATGATATGGCAATGACGACAATTTTAAAAATGCATCATTTCTCTGCATTGGCATTCCTGCCAGCTAGTGACATTCCAGGAGCTTTTAGTGAATTAAAGCTTCATTTGCCTGAAGAGGGTAGCAAAGTTACTGACTGCTTCAGAAATAATTATGTGCATGATAGGATAAGAGGACATTTATGCAATGGTATTGCTGTTCTGTCACTGGTATTATTTTCACCAATAATGGTCTGTGTATGAGTGCATGTGAAATGGATTCCCAGGTGTCCAAAACAACATAGAAGCATGGCTCAGAAGATGAAAAAATTTAATAGGGAATGCTTGTGTTGGGGTATATAGAATTGTGGAAGAATTTCAAGAGCATCACCATGGAGAAAATGAATGTGAATTTATTCTCCAAGGAGAGCCATGACCTAAAAGAAAAAAGCAGTAGTTTCTCATGATGCAAGGCTTCCAAATATAGTTACTGATAGTGAAAGTTGGCCAGCTCTTATGGACTACCTCTGTGCAATTGCTGTAATTTATCCTCATAATACACTTCTTCATGTCGAATTTTCTTTTTAGGTTTATAAAGTCCTTAAAACCTTTTCCCCCATTACTTTAAATTGTTAGCATTATTTGTTTATAATTCACCATACTATGCATTTCATCTTTGCATCATTTCCAATACTGGAAGTATAAATTGTATAAAGACTTTTAGAGAGTTCTAATTCTTTTTATGCATTTTCATGCAAATTTGACTCTACACTAGTGCAGTATCACAACATTGACTGTGTGTAAGCATTGTGTGTGTACTTAAAAACATTGAAACTTCCAGCCAGCACAGTGGCTCACACTTGTAATCCCAGCACTTTGGGAGGCCAAGGTGGGCAGATCTCCTGAGGTCGGGAGTTTAAGACCAGCCTGACCAACATGGAGAAACCCCATCTCTACTAAAAATACAAAATTAGCCGAGCGTGGTGGTGCATACCTGTAATCCCACCTACTCGGGAGCCTGAGGCAGGAGAATCGCTTGAACCCGGGAGGCAGAGGTTGCGGTGAGCTGAGATCGTGCCATTGCACTCCAGCCTGGGCAACAAGAGCGAAACTCCATCTCAAGAAAAAAAAAAAAATAGAAACTTCCTCCTTTTTGTACATTTGCATTGGTGAAAGAATTTCTTGATCTCAGTTCTTTGGGTGAGTGCATATGTGGTAATGACACATCACAGTTTTTGATTGATCTCATTAAAAGACTTAGGTTGTCCATCACAATAGTTCATATGACAGCAGTCATATAAGCTTTAAGAGTATGAATATGATTTGTAGGCCCATAACTTATGCCCAGGTAACTGTTGTTTAGCATGCCTAAGTGTTTATGCTTGCAAAAATACGTATGTTATTATTGCCTACTTTATTGTGTAAAGTGGCCTGTGAAGTGTTCAGTGGTTTTTATATGTTTCTCAAATAAATCCTCTTTTAAAATGTAAATAAATTTCTTTTAAATAATTTTTAATTTTTATTTTAAATAATTTTTAGTTTTAAATAAATTTTATGTTTATTTTATTTTAAATAATTAATTTTTTCCGGAATTGTATCTTTGGGAGTTTGATCTTTCTGGGATTTCAACATTTGGGGTTATGGCATTCCAGATTTTATCTCTCGGAATTATGGCCCAGACTCTAAACTCTATATGGGAAAGAAAGTAACAAATATCTTTATGGTTTTATGCACTTACACATGAATAGAGTTCTACAAATAAAGTTAGTGGGTCAAAGGGCAAGTGCATCTTGTATATCCATAGATACTTCCATATAGTTTTCCAAGAAGGCTTCATCAAAGTACATTTGCTCGAAGAATATGTGAGAAGGCACATTTTCCTGTGTTCTCACCAAATTTGACCATTCTGCTGGGTGAAAAATTGTATCTTTTTCAGTGTTAATTTTAATTTCTCAGATTACTAGTCTTTACAGATGTATATTGGCCAATTGCCTTTCTTCTGTGAATTTCCTTTTTGTACCCTTTGCCTATTTTTTTCTATGGAGTTGATGGGCTGACTTAATGACTCACAGAAACTCTTTGAGTACCCTGGATATTAAAGGTTTTGTTTAATTTATTACATTTTTCTCAGTCTTTCACTTGCCTTTTCATGCTACCTATGTCATTTGTTTTGTTTTACAAAAACTATTGATTTTCATGAGTTCACTTATGGCCTTTGAGTTTTAGGTCTTGTTATAAAAATATTATTCTCTAGATTCTTATAATGCTTTTATATCTTGTTTCTTAGGTTTGGCTCTTTAACCATTTTAGCGTTTATATTTGTGTATGGGGTACGCTGGACATGCTGGGGGGAATATCCCATTCTACACCACAGTAACACACGCCTTACACAACCTTGCACAATGGCGCTGGGCTAGGCTGCATTGCTCCATGGATTCTCTTCTTAATGTACTAGCTAATCACAGCATCACCTTATGGCTCATCCTTTCTTCAATGGTTCCCATGGACATGTGTGCTCTTTCTCCTGGACTGTCTTCTAATTCCTTGTATGACTCGCCTGTTCCCACATTATTTTCACCAGTTCCTTTTTATCTTCTTCAGAAATTTCTTTGTGTTCTTAAGGATCATCTTTTATTACATATACTTTAGAATTAATTTCCCATGTTCTGGGGGAAAAGTGCTGTTGGAACTTAATTGTCATCACAGTCAAATTGTAGATTAATTTGGGGAAGAATTGGCATGTTTTCTATTGAATCTTCCAATCCAGAAAGCATGACATGTCTTTCCACATAAGCAGGTTTTCTTTTATTCACTCACCTTTCATTAAAGTTTTCTTCTATTTGATTTTGTACATTTCTCATTAAATTCATTTTATGTTTTTTCGTTCTTGCTATTGTAAACAAGATATTTCCCCATATTAAACCCCTGTTTTCTTTTGCTAGCATTTGTCTGATATAGAATATGTTTTATATATCTAGTATTTCCTTTGTCTTCTTTTCATCACTTTGTTTAACCCATACATATTTTTAACCTGTGAAGGGCTTTGACTTTTAATTGGCAGGTTTGATGCATTTATGGTTATTGTAATTAGAGGTATTGGGAACTATTACTGATGTTTATACTTTATCTTTGCCTTTCATCTGTGCATATTCTACTTGTATCCCTTCTTTTTATTGGCTGGGCTATTTTTGTTTCTTTCTTTTGTTCTATAGTAGTTTGAAGGTCTCTTATTCTATTCTTATTTTTACAGTGATATATAATTTTTTACACACATATATAAACATAATTTTTTACTGTTACCTAGAACTACTCAGTTCCGGACCTACCTCCACAAAACTGAACAGCGCTTGGCATGCTATACCTTTTCTTCTCCCACCTCTCCTGGCCATCGTTCCCTTACCTTCCATGTTTAGATCTCCTGAGATACTAGTTTCTGATCATTGTAAAAAATACATATTTAAAGTTACGCATCAATAATTATTAAGGCATAAGGTGTATCTGCAACTTTTACTGATTCTTTTATCGTCATTGTTTCTTGCAGCCCACATCCTCCTCTTCTTTGTATTCATTGTTTTTCTGGAATAATTCCTTCAGAGTGTCTGTGGGTGGTTAAATTTCTGAGTCCTCGCTTTGCCCTCCTACTGGGATGCTAGTTTGGGTGCATATAAGATTCTTGGCTCAATATTTCTATTCTTCAGACTTTTGATGATGTTATTTGTCCTCATGTATTTGGTGCTGAAAGAGAACATTAACATTCCACACCTCCTTCCTTTTTAAGTAACCTGTCTTTTTTTTTTTTCCTACTCCTGGAAAACTTTTAGAATGTTTCTCTCTTGATCTGTGTGTCTGAAATTAGGCAACTGTGGTCCATGAGTGCATGTTTCTTTGCATTTCTCCTGGGAGCCATGAAAATGTGACCAACCCTGTCTCTAACACTAAACATTTTGTTTTGCTGATATTTGAATATTTCTTTTCTTCTTTTTAAAATTTTCTTTTTCTGGAATTCCTATGAGGCAGATGCATCTAAACTCTAACACTTTACATTTCCATTTGTGTTTCAGTCTTTTTGGCACTAGGAGATTTTCTGGGCTCCATTGTTTAGCTTTCATAATCCAGTTTTGTGTATCTCTGGAGCCCACTGCTTGAGTTTTCTCTTTTTACCCTAAGTCAATAGATTTTGTCTCTGTTAGCAAAAAAAAAAAAAAAATAGGTAGAGACGGAATGGAAAAAATTAAACTCTCACTCCCTGTGGTGACCAACACTTTAAAAAAAAAGTGCCTTGGAATACAATGTAGAAGAAAAGTATAGACTGTAATATGAAATTTCAATCAGAATCTAAATCATTTTTGAGGGGTAAGGAAACTTCACAAAATGATTTTAAATCTCTTCAGAAAAAAAATACATACAAGAGACAGCAGTTGACAAATGAAGAGAACAGAATTCAGGTAAAAGTCCACACAGAAATAGGTATTTAATATACTGTCAAGTTGGCACCTCAGTTCAGGAATAAATGGATGACTTATTAAATAAATGGTATGAACATGAGTGACAGTCCATCTGGCAGCTAAATATCATAACTCTTCCCATATCCTATGTAGACAAATGCATTCCGAATGAATTGAAAAGCTAAATGAAAAACATTAAATAAAACAAATAAATGAATGCATAAATAATAAATATTATTAAAATAAAAGGAGAATATTAGTAAGAACTTAAGGTTAGGAAGACCTTCTTAAGGAAAACAAGACTCTCAGAAGCCATCTAGAAAATGACCAACATATATGATTATTGTAATTACTACAGTCATAATTTTCTTTTTTCCCAAAATACCTCTAACAACTGAAAGCAATAATTTTTGTCAGATAAAATGTAGATGCCACCAAAAGAAAGATGATTGAATAAGAAGTTAATATCAATTAATCTAAAAGAAAAAGATAAATAACTGAATTGAAAACTGGGCAGAAAGATATGAACAATCAAATAACAGAAAAAGAAATGCAAATGGCCAATAAGCATGTGAGAAAAATCACCTTATTAGATTTGAGGGAAATGCAAACTAAAACAAAATGAGTTACTTTTGCTCATCCTTGGCAAAGATTCAAAAAATTGACACTGCAGTACTGGGAAGGACAGAGACCACTATGCTTGCTTATGCCGGGTGATGAGAGGACAAATTGCTGCACATCTTTGAGAGGGCAATTCAGGTCTGCGACGTTGGTGCTGGTATTCACATTCACTGCAAAGGTGGTGTTGCTGGTAATATAACTACAAGAAATTAGGCCCAGGCTACACATAACTCTGTAAAAGAAGTGGTGGTATTTACATAATTCTGTGACTATATGTTAGTGGGTGGTAACCACATCACTCTTCAATGTACATTGTGATATTTACATAAATCTGCAAACTCGGTTGTGATCTTAACATAACCCTATGACAGAGGAGCAGGGCATCATCCCGAAAATCTGTGATGCTGATTATGGTCATATTTACATAACTCTGCAATGTTAATTGTTATTCATGTGATAGTGGTGATGGTGGCATTTCCTTGATTCTGTGCTGGTGGATGTGGTATAAACAGCACTCTGTTATGGTGTCGGTGGTACTTACATAACTGCAGTATTGTCATGGTATCCACATAATTCTGCCATGTTGTTCATGGTATTCATATTTCACCTTGTGACATTGATGGAGGTATTCACATAATTCTGTGATGTTGATGGCGATATTTACATAACTCAGTGATACTGTTCACGGTATTCACATAGCTGTGACATGGGAGGTCATAGTATTCATATAACTCTGAGTGTTGGAATTGACAATTTTGCATCATTGTTTATGGTGTTCACATAACTGTGATGCCAGTTGTGGTTTTCACATCTTTTGGTGTTGGGGTGTTGGTGTTGGTGGTATTCACATATTTCTGCAGCTTTGGTTGTGGTATCCACACAACTCTGTGGCATTAGCCACAGTATCCATAAACTCTGTGGTGGTGGTGGTGGTTGTATTCACGTAACTCTGTGATAGTGGTGGTGGTGTATCCACATCACTCTGTGATGTTGGTTGTATTCACATAACACCATGATGGTGGTCACAGACTGCAAAGTTTGTCATGGTGTTCACATAACTCTGCAACGTTTGTTGTGGTGTTGACATAATTGTGCAACACCGTGGTACTGTTAGTCTCATAACATGGTGACGTTGTTGGTGATGTTTATGTAATTCTCCACTCATGGTTGTGGTATTTACATGACTGCAATATTGGAGTTGATGGTGGGGTTCACATAACTGTGAAATTTGTCATAATAGTCCCATACTGCAACCTTCATCACAGTATCACGTAATTTTGCAACATCGATGGTGGTACACACATAACTGTGCTATGGTTCTGCTGCTGATAGTCACATAATTATGACATTAATTATGGTACTTGCCTAACACTGTGACATTGGTGGTGGTGGTATTTACATATTTCTGCAATGTTTGTGGTGCTATTCACATAACTGTGATATTGATCATTGTATTCACATAGTTCTGTGATAATGGTTGTGGTTGTGTTACTCTAAGTGCAAGAGTGGTGGTTGTATTCAGGTAAATCTGTGACATTGTCATTGCTGTTCATGTGACACTGCAGTGTTGTTGCTGGTGGTCATATAACTCAATGACATTACTCATGGTGTTCACACAATCTTTTGAAAGTGGTCCTGGTATTTGCATGACTCTGCAATGCTGGTGGTAGTAGGGTTGACATGCACTGTGCAGTTCATCATGATGTGCATTCAACTCTAAGATGATTGCTGTGGTATTCACAGAACTGAGATTCATCATGGTGTTAACATAATTATGCATTGGTGCTGCTGGTGGTATGCACATGGCACTGTGACATTGCTGATGATGGTATTTACATAATTCTCTATTGGTGGCAGTGGTATTCACATGAACCCATGACATTTGCCATGATAGTCACACAATTTTGCAGCATTGGCGGTTGTGGTATTTATAATATCTCTGACAGTGAATGTGGTGTTCCCATAACTCCCTTGCTGATTATGGAATTCACATAATTTTGCATCATTGTTGTTGGTGGTATTCATGTAGCTCTGTGGTGTTGGTTATGGTGGTATTCACAATATTCTGTGATATTGGTCATGGTTGTAAACAGATAACTCTGCAAAGTTGGCTGTGTCATTCCAATAAATCTGTGAGGTTATCAGTGGTGGCATTGACATGACTCTGCAATGACAGAGAAGACAGTACTCATCTAACTTTGAGATGTCAGTCATGTTATTCGTATATGCTGTGAAGTTGATGCAGGTGGTACTCTACTCTGGTGGTCATGATATTCATATAACTGTGATGGTGGTCATGGTATTCAAATAACCCTGTGACTTGGTTGTGCGAGTCACATAACCCTGTGACAGTAGTGTTGTTGGTATTCCCATAACTGTGTCATTGGTTGCCTATTTACATAGCTCTGTCATGTTGAACGTGGCATTCATATCACGCTGCGACATCAGTGGTAGTGGTATTCACCTAACTTTATGATACTGGTGGGGATTATATTCACATAACTGCAGTGTTGCTGCTGGTGGTAGTCTTATAAACATGTAATTGTGGATGAGGTTGCAAATCATAACTCTGCAACAATGGTGGGGGTATTTATATAACTCTGCAACATTGGTCATAGTTTTCACTTAACTCTGTAATAATGGATGGAGTATTTGCATAATTCTGTGACTCTAGTCATGTTATTTATATAAATATACTCATCACCTAGCATCCACAGAGTGGTTTCAGGACCCTCTAGGATACCAAAATCCATAGATGCTCAGATCTCTTATATAATATGGTATAGTATTTACATGTAGCCTGTGCACAGCCTCCTTTATACTTTGAATCCTCTCTAGATTATTTACGATACCTAATATAATATAAATGCTATGTAAATAGTTGTTACTATATTGTTTATTTGCACTACTTTTATTGTTTTTTTTTCTATTTTCAATCCACAGTTTGTTGAATCTGTGAATGTGGGACCTGCACACATGTAGGGCTAACTGTATACGTCCATGGGGGGACAGGTATTTTCAAAACTCTGTAATAATGGTGGTAGTGTTAACATAACTCTGAATTGTTCATAGTTTTCAAATAACTCTATGGCATTGGCATGATATTTACGTAATTCCACAATGATAGTGGTAGTGTTCGTGTAACTCTGCCACGTTGGTTTTTTTGTGGTATCTTCATAATTCTCATAATTCTGGAACAGCATGGTGGTGGTGGTATTCCCGTATTCCCACAATTCTATGACATTGATGTTCATGGTATTCACATAACTCTGTTGTCAGTTGTAGTATTCATATAACTTTGTGACATAGGTGGTGGTTTTCACGTAACTCTGCAATGGTGGCTTTGGTGTTTGGATAATTCTGTGGCTTTGATGCTGGTGGTATTCACATAACTCTGTGACATTGGTCCTATTATTCACATGAACCTGTGATGTTGGTTGTTGTAATCACATAACTCTGCAATGTTGATGGTAGCCTAATTCATATTTCTCTGACATTGGTCATGGAATTCACATAACTGTGATGGTAGTGGTGCTATTCAAATATCTGCCTTGGTAGTGGTATTCTCTTAATGCTGCCACAGTGGTTGAGGTATTCAAGTAATTCCATGATGATGTTTTTGTGGTAGTCATATAACTCTAATGGTGTTAGGTATGGTAATCCCCCGAGTCTGCAAAGTTTGTTGTGGTCTTCACATATCTTAGTGACAATAGTGATATTGGTGGTGGTGCAATGGTGGGAGTAATAATCACATTTATGGGTGTATAGACAGGCTCAGATAAATTTAAAGTTATAAGAAGATATGACAAAGCCAGCCTCCAATTCACATTTTCTAAATAATTCAAATGCAGTTTTTTCTTTTTTTCTTTTTTGAGATGGAGTCTCGCTCTGTCGCCCAGGCTGTAGTGCAGTGGCATGATCTCGGTTCACCAAATGCAGTTTTTTCTGTACCATACCATGAGATCTCCTTCTGCTAAATCTAAGGCATTTATCTAAAACATCTGTATCTTCAAACTCCCCAAAGGCTTTGGAACATAACTATTGGATCTAGCTCTTTATCCATAACTTTAGCTATGTCCATATACTTACACATATACATTTTCATGTGTGAAACTGATCAAAATTTAGCTATGCATTTAGATGTATAAATCTGAGCTTCTAAAAATTTATGATCATGCAGAAGATCTGGTAAACCAAAGTAAATCACCTTTGAGGGTAATCTATAGTTCATAGAACCCAAAATATATTTATCAGATAATGACATTTAATGTTGATGAAAATGTTGGTCATATCATGTTTTCATTCTTTCTCTAAAAATTGTAAACCTGTAGAAGCCTCGTAAAAGACTAGAAATGCAATGTTGAGGTCTGGGTGGTGGTTTCATGGCAAATATATGTTTAAACAATCATTGAATTAAACATTTAAGATCCCTGGATTTCACAGTATATAAGTTATACTTCCATAAAAACTTTAAAAAGTGTACATCCAAATAAGATGAAAATACTAACAGGTTTTAGAAAAATCCAGTGTAGTGCCAATCTAACCACTCATGATATTTTCTTGTGGCTGTGAGTTATTGCTTTTATAGAAACAAAACAAAGCCTCACCCTAGAATTTAAAGTTAAAATGTGATTTAAGAAATGTGTATGGCTCCCAAAAATGCCCTTGTATAGTTAGGAGTTGTCTCTTTATCTCAAATCTCAGGGCTCACGATTTACATTTTTTCCCCTTGCAGTACTTGGGGTGCATTGAAGTTCTGCGCTCAATGAGGTCTCTTGACTTCAGTACAAGAACACAAATTACCAGGTAAGCCCTCTTGAAAATGGACTCCTGTGATTTTACTTCTGAAGGAAGGATCTCAGAGATTAACAGCTGACACATTTTTAGAAGAAAAGACCGGCCCTTGGAGGGTTAGTGGCTGGTGACAGTGAGTCAGTACTGTCCTCATCTCAAGACATGTGCTTGTTAGTCCATGTTTGTGATGTATATCTCTCAACCAAAGTACCTTGAAGGACACTCTGCCCTTGCACGCTCTTTTTATAATTTAGCTGCAGACATATGGAGCAGCTGAGTATTTATGTTTGTTTCTTTAATGTGTGAAACTCTAACACAAGATTGGTATTTTAAAATGTACTGAACCATGTTCTTTTTAAAAAAGAAAATCAAGATGTCAAGAGAGACTTTCCAACAGTATACACAGAGAGTAAGATGCATAGAATTGGAAGCAGAAACAGCCATGGGAGTAGGTCATTCAGCAAGCAGACCAATTCTTTAAGGTGTCTGTGACTTTGAACAGGTTTTGTATATTCTCCACCACCAAGTAGAATCAAAACTTCTTCAGGGGCAGTATTTAAGCACTGGTTTTTTAAAAATAAAATCTTATACTCTAATATAGCTCCCAGTAGAGCTTACACCTTTAGAAAAATGCCAGTTTCAAGCCAGCTTGAAGAGGAGAATTGGAAAGCTAGGACAGAGTCTGTGAAACTGCTACATTTCTGTGGTCAAGGAGCTTAGGTTCATTTGGTACTTATGCAGTAGCTTAATTTAAATAGTCACCTCAGAAAAATGCCTCATATTTACTTGATTCAAATCATTCTATTGTATATGTTTGGATTAGCAAACCAAGTCTAAAGATTGAGCTTTAGAAAGCAACTGGTTTAGTCATTAGCTGCTAAGAAACATACACACCTCAATTCTGTTATAGGTACCATAATAATACCTCTTCCTCCTCACTGAAGAAATTCATGGTCAAAGAGTTAATGTTTTGTTTTTTTTTTTTCTCTTTCCTAAGTGCCTTGAGACATGTAAGTTGTGAATGTACCAACATCAGTAATCTACCTGAAGGAAGGAATCCACCTCCACATATTTGTAGAAAATGGTTCATGAACATTTCAAAGACAATGGAATGATGTTTTGAATAGACAGCACTGTGGTTAAAAGAAAAGCTTGAGTGTTTCTTAGTCAGTCATTTATTCACCTTACCCATGAAAAGGTATGCCAGTGGCATCACGGTGGGCAGAACACTGTGCCAGTGACTGGAGGAATATGGGAACTGTGTGAAATTGGTCATGTTCTCCTGTGTGGTGATAGTTTTTAAAGGAATGACAGTCAATTGGGAGAGAACTGTCAACCATTCCTACTGGGTTTCCTTTCTAGATGCTAGGATTTCTGAGGTGATTTCATGCCATTTTAGTTCTCCTGATGTAATTATTAAGCATCTACTGCTGATTGTGCACACACAACACACTGGACAACGTGACTCTCCGGCTTTGCTAGGCCTCTCAGTGTTGGAGAAAGGTGTATACATAAATGATTGAGGGGCATTTGAGGGGCACAGAACAAGTCCTGCTCCTTGGGGTAGTGGTGGGGTGGGGGAACAAGTGAATAATTACAGTTTGCTCTTTGATGAGGATACAACTCCTGGGACTCTCTGTGGTAGAACCCAAATGGACAGAAGTAATAATAACATTGTAGAAGAAAGCAGTTGGAACAGACACTGATGGGTTTGGAGGTTTTGATGTCTTTCTTCAATCCCATTCCATTTAGATTTTTGGGAAGGTGAAGCAGCATAATGGGACAAGTGGAGCATTATTCTTGTACTTAAGAAATTTGGTGTTGAATTCTAATTGTGCCAGAATTGCCTTGGGTTTTATTAGACCTCTTGAAAGCTAAATTTGCTCGTCTCCATGATGCTTTCTGTCTCTTGCATCATTTTCAGTAGGTGACATGTTTCTTACTTTAGCTAATAGCTGGAGGTCACTCAAAGGAAACAATTTGACAAATCAACTTCAGAATGAAGCACTTTGCATCCAGTTGAAGAATACACAGCAATGTCTTGCAGATGTAGCACACTGTGGAGCTTTTAAGGTCTCCATGGTAACTAAGTGTTCAACATACCTGTGATTAAACTCCACTGCCATGGTTTACTTTATATACTAAAGAAATTCTTGGAAGTTTATAGGGAAATCTAATGTCCTAATTAAGTTATATTATACAGGCACCAGGAAAACTGGTTTCCAAAGGCACTCCAGTCACACCTTTTATTAAAAAATATTTTTATAAGCAGATAATTAATCCCTAATTATCTGTTTAATTTAAAATTTTGCCCCTACGGCTGGGCTTCACTCCCAGCATTTCACTTTGTATACACAAATGTGAGGACTCCACTTCAGAATTGAGGTGATTTGAAAACTCCCCAGGAATATGTATAAAATCTTCTTAGTTTGAAAGCCAAATCAAACTTGTGAAAGGAAAACATCTTTCTTTTGGAAAGGTGTTTCCTTTTTGTTCTTTTTCAGTGTATTGGCTGGGTTCTGAGGAGAAATTTATCACTCATGTCAGTGTATGTGTATATTGCAGTTCAGAGTGTTGCTTGCTTACCTTAATAAAACAATGAGGCATAGGTATAAATGAAGGAACATGCAGGTCAGCTGTCAGTGCATGAGTGGACTGAATGCTATGAAATTGCATACTTTTCTGTTGGATGTTTCATGGGAGAGACTTTGCTTAGAAGTTAGCTGAGTAATCATGTGATCTTGGTATGAGTGTTAAGCATTCAGCATGGCTTTGAGTCTGAACAAAAGAGCAAACAAGCCCTGGTGAGATGAAGAAGGGAGCAGGAGCCTGGAGATGCCTGAAGATGTTGGTGAGAATCACAACCTGGAGTGCATGGGGGTGGTCTCCTCACCAACCCTTGGCACAGTGGGTTTCATCTTCACCTTGAAGGAGAGCAGGCCAGACAAGATCTCAGCACAGCTTCGCAACTGCGTCCACCCTCTCTTCTCTTCTAAGAGTTCACTTGGAAGGCTTGGCAAAACTCAGCTCTCAGGTCACTTCTGGCTTCCAACATTCTATAAATGCTCTCAGAAAACAAAAGTCCAAGGTAAAAACTTTCACCACACAATCCTTTCACTCCATCATGTCTCTGAGCACCCTTATCCATGTACATTCCGTCCCAACTCTATGTATGTATTCTGTGTGCATGAGCCTGGGTGTGCACCCTCGCTGGACTTCCTGAAAGGGAGGGGCCAACCAGACTGCATGCTGGGCACCATGACCGGAGGAGGGACCCCCTTCACCCATGCATCCTCTGCGACCCCTCTACCTCTCTCTTCAGACATTTCTGGGTTGCATGGACCTTTAATCACAAGTTCATTTGGGGATGGAAACAATGCATATTGTGCAGTATTAAGACAGGCTGCATTTACTAACAAGATATTTATGTTGTTTGTAGAGGATTTCCTATCCCCAGGACCTGGCCCAGGCTGAGAGAAGCTGTGTGGAGTGGAAGATGGACATTGAGGAAGAAGGGCAGGTAAGGTCAGGCCTCCTTGGAACCTCAGAGAATGTCAGAAGTCGAGGAATGCTTTGAAGGTTCTATTACAACTGCCCAGTTAAATGATGTGTATTCCCAGATGCAGGGCAGTGGGATCTGAATATTTTTTGTTCAGATTTTTTGGTAATAATTTCTTCTTTGAGAGTGGTTAGCACGAACTCTACTAAGTGGACATGAATTGGCTGCAGCTGTTCTATGCTAATGAAGGGCATTCTGTTAGTGTTAGGGCGACTTTCTCATTTTTGCAAACACTGGGATGTAACTCTGAAGAGTCTCATATTTGGAAATCCATTGTATAAACCATGCTAAGATGTTTTTACAACTGGTGCAGGGTAAAGAAATCAATGTAGACTTTTATTCATGGGCTTCCTTAGATCTGATAAGAAATCTTATCCGTAAATTAGATTTCAATTAATCTTAAATTAGACTTCAGTCATGCATCAGGGATAGGTGTGTATGTGTGTATGTGTGTGTGTGTGTGTGTGTATGTATATGCATTTTTTTTGAGACAGTGTTTCACTCCTGTCGTCTAGCCTGGAATGCAATGGTGCAATCTTGGTTCACTGCAACCTCTGCCTCCCAGGCTCAAGTGATCCTCCCACCTCAGCCTCCTGAGTAGCTGGGACCACAGGTGCATGCCACCATGTCCAGCTAATTTTTGTATTTTTTTTTTTTTGGTAGAGGTGGGGTTTTGCCATGTTGACCAGGCTGCTCTCTAACTCCTGGGCTCAAGTGATCCATTCACCTCAGCCTCCCAAAGTGCTGGGATTACAGGCATGAGCCACCGTGTCTGGCCAGGGATAGTTCTGAGAGATGCGTCATTAGACAATTTTGTCATTGTGTGAACATCGTAGAGTGCACTTAGGCTAGATGCTCTCACCTACTGCACACCTAGGCTATATAGCATAGCCTATTGCTCCTAGGCTACAAACCTGCACTGCATGTGTGACGTACCAAATTCTGTAGGCAATTGGAACACAATGGTAAGTATTTGTGTATCTGTCATATGCGAGCATAGAAAAGGTAGAGTGAAAATACACTATTATACTCATGGGACCACCTTGATGTAGTTGGCTCATCATTGACTGAAATGTTTATGTGGTACATGTACTTGATTATGATATTTCAGAATTCCTTTTTCACTGCAAAATAAATACCTTTAATGTTGATTTAAATTAAACATGCCAGGGAAAGGGAAAAGAGTGAATCTATTTTTGTAGATTCTCTGAGGCTGGTTGAATTTCGGAATTAGAACAGAGAGCAGTCATGTGAATTACCTACCACCCCACCCCACCCCCAACCCTGATCCCTGTGCATTTGGGTGGTGCAGAATGGCTAGCTTTTGGATTTTAGCCTTACAGGCTCTTACTAAATGTGCTTATTCTAAACATGTTTCATGGCCAAGCCTCTCTCAGCCTGCACCTGCAGAGGGGTGAGGCCTGGCAGGAAGGGGTTGATGCTGTCCTGGTTTAGAGTCCTTTTTGAAAACACCAGCTTGCCTGTGTGCATGTGCATCCCGCCTTTGGAATAAAGTAGGCTGGATGCCTCCACTTCACTTCTGCACTATTACTCTGATTTTAACACCAGCTAGAATAATACTGTACCCTCGTGTTGGCTTCATGGGCATTTGTGTGCAAAAATGCATTAGACATAGGGGTGCAGGGATTATGAGTCCTCAGGGACCACAACCCAGGAAAGGAGCCCAGAGTCACAGGGCAAGGGGCCACATACTTACTGCAGTCATGGGATACTACCCCAGAAACATGGAAGAGGGTCCTTGCGGCCTGGGAGACTTCCCAGAGGAGGGAGGGAGCACTTAAGCCAGAGTGAATTTCTTCCTCAACAATATGGCAGGTGTACGACTTGGGCCGAGTTCTCCAGCCAGCCCATCAGGGTGACTGGAATGTAAGTGGTCACTCCTGACAGTCCCTTAGCTGGTCCAACTCTGTGCAGCAGTTCTAATGCTTGCCAAAGAGTAGGGACCTGAGTGAGGCTCAGCGAAGGACCATGGAGACAGTCTGAACCCATTAGGCTGGAGCCTTCCTGCCGTTAGAACACCAGCAGAGCCCTGAAACAGGGATTGGGGCTCTGCTTCCTCCAGGCCTCATTCTGCTCTATTTTCGTGTTCAGTCCCTCAACCATAATGCATCTAGTAGGTTTATTTTTCATTTGTGAGGTTAAACAGACATCACTGTGGAAATGTCTGATCCAGCTGTGGTGAAGGGAAGGGACCCACAAGCCGTTTTCTTGGTTAGACCGAAGGTATCTTCAGTTGCATTCCCCCAGCAGCCCCTGAGACTTGGTGCCAGGAGGCTATTTGGGAGGATACCTAGGGAGCAGTGGCAGGGGTGGGCACAGCCAGTAGGAAGGGAGAACCACCCCCAGGACCATCTGGAGCAGGGTCCCGCTGTGGGCGCTGGGCCCTTTGGGGAAGTGCGTAGGAACTGGGGAAGCTAGGATGTCTGCTCACCGACTGCCTCCCCTCACTACTGAAGGACAGTCCCCTGCTCCTCCAGGCTGCCCTGTGTGGGCTGAGAAAGCTGGAGAAGCCACCACTGAAGGGGCGGAGACTAGATGCAGGCACTCCCAGGAGCATGGCAGCATTTACGGGACTGTCCATGTGGCTCAGAGTGTCAGGGCCTGCCAGGCGACAGCGCTGGCTGGAGCCACACAGTGTCAGAGCACTTGGCTCCCATGTCTGACTCTCTAAATTAGATTTTTTGGTTGAGGCACCTCTGAACAGCTGCCTGGTCCAGTCTTTGGACAGCAAACTCCTGACCCCTTGGAGCAGAGCCTGTTGATGTAGGGTGAGCTTCCTACTCTTAGGGGATGAGGAAAGGGTTCCTGGGTACCAGCCCACACTAATACTCAGCAGAGACACTCATTCCACCAATGAGATTGACCTCTCTAGGGCTGGGGTCCTCATCCAGAGAACATGCATGACACCCCTGCTTCGAGGCTTGTTGAGAGACATAGAAATGAGACCTGAAAGTGCTGTGGCTGCACCTGGCACATAGTGGATGTTCAATAAATCTGCATGGGGTTATTACCATGAATATCCTTTTGCTACTCACTCCTGATAAAATTCTGTGTATAATAATATCAGTTGCTGATTGGTATTGTTATTATTAATATCTACCAATTCATTCCAGGGTGTTTTTTCTAACTGAAGGGAAAGATTGGTTTGATGCAACAAACTGAAGTTATTGAAAATATGTGGTGATGTGGCATTAATTTTCACTTGAGCTGATATTGTCTAGTATTTCATTCTGTGTTTCTGCTTTACTAATTCTAATGATGATGATGAGGATGACACTAGGATAGAATACTTACCCTGCTCCAGACACTGCACTAAGGTGTCATTCATACATTCAACAAATATTTATCAAACACATACCATGTCTAGTCACTGTTTAGATATTGAAGATAAAACACTAAGTAAGTGCTTACCTTCTGTTATGGGGAGAGGGAAATACACAAACATATACATAAGTAGGATATCAAGGTGAACCATATGAACATGCCATTTTTATAGATGAAATGATCCAGTATCAGCAATTTTATATAGTTCAGCACGGTAATTTCAGATAGCGATGAGGGTGTGTGTGGTCTTTTCTCAGTAACCTTGGGAGGCAGATTGTGTGTATTTTGGGGATGAGGATACAGGATCCGAAAGTTTATGCAAATTGTCTGAGACCAGATAGCTAGGAAAGGGCAAAGTCAAGATTTGAGCTAGAACAGTCTGAACCCAGAGACTACAGTCAGGAGTAGCAGTTATACTGCTGCTTGAGTAAGGGGGCTCACATCCTTCAGAAAGGCAGGAGGACTGGCAAACCCCACAAGTACAGAGGGGCATCATTACAAGACCATCAAGATGGATTTGCTGACCACTGTGGTGTGATGGTCTTGAGCAGGGTACAAAGAAAATGAGTGTAAGGTTAGAGTCTGTGAGAGGCACTTGCAGTCGGCTGGGATGCAGTGGGCAAGTGCATGTAAGAAGGGTCAGCTGTAGGGGCAGCATTGCCTCTGTGAAGACTGCACTGCCTGCATTCACCTGACTGTGCTCATCCCGGGCATGGCGACGTCCCTCCTTTCTGTGCTTCAGAAACTCTTAGTTGAATTTCCCCAAATAGTAAAAGGATATGTAACAACATAGAAATCTTCTTTAAAAATTGAATATGAATAATTTATAGAAAACATAAGGCCCTCACTACCTCAAATAGCAAATGAAGGGTGGGATGGGGTGGGGAAAGGTTGGATTGGAGGGTGAGAGGATAGATAAACTGAGGAAGGATGGGCTTGGTGTGGGGATGAAATGGGCGACCCCCAAGGTGGTCCTGCTACCTAGCTCAAGGTGGTGACAGCAAAGTACAGAAGATCTCTGTCATCACAGCAGTGGGAAAGCACTTCTCACCTAATGTGGGCTCCGCTGCAGCACAAATTCCTTTAAGAATCCATCAGGTTGGTTGCAGAGGGGCCACAGAGCTGGTCTGTATTCTGTGGGCACTCTGACTTGGCACAAGGCCCTCAAAGATTTGCTACACATACTTAAATCATTTCATTTTTTAGAATAGTGGTTCTTGGACTGGAGCATACATACATCAAAATCACCTGCAGAGTTAGTTACAACACAGATTGCTGAGCCGACCCCACAGAGTTTTGTGATTCAGTAAGTCAGAGGTGGGGTGTGAGAATGTGAACTTCCAAAAAGTTTTCAGGGGTTGCTCATGCTGCCCATCCAGGTACCCCAGTTTGAGAACCAGTATTTAAGAGTTCTATTTTTAACTTTGGAACCATTTGCAGCTACCATCTATGAAACCACAGCTTTGAAAACGAGTCTGTTTATTTTTTTTTTCAATTGATCCCACTCATCCAGAAATTTTAAAAATGGAGAACATAGATGACTTGGTGACTGAGAATGGTTTAAATAGAATCCATAAAATGAATCCGTGGTGTTCATTCCCCTACTCTCCTTGAGAACCATCTGGCATGGTGCATTTTTATAATCCTCATGCCAGAAGCACATTTGTGTCAAAATGTACCTCTCTGATTGCTCCTTTTCTGTCTTTTCCTCTGAGTTCACTTATCACCCAAACATATCATTCCATAGGGATCCCTTTGCTCCTGACAGAGGCAGCCTCTGGTAGTAGGTTTAGAGTCTGACTATCTGGGTTTTTGTCTAGGATCCACAGTTTTCCAGCAATGTGACCTTGTGCACATGACTTAAGTCCTCTGTTTCTCAGTTCCCCCATGTTTAAAATGGGATTCACAATGGCATCTCCATCATAGGGCTGAGAATTAATTGAGCTAATATCTGAAAAGCATTTAACATGCTGCCTAGGAAATGCAAGAGCTCAAACATGTTGACAAATACTGATATTCTCATTTTTATTTTATGCTCTCCGTATTGATAATCTCATTGCTTCAAACAACACTTCCAGGTATATAAGTCACAAATCTCTATCTCCACATCCGGATTTTCTCTTAAGGTCCAGGCCTGGGCTATAGTAGCCTAGCCTCCTGGACATGTCTTTTTGGAGGTAGCCAAGCAGCTGCTGAGTCCTGAGTCCTGGCTCTGCAACATTACTTCTCATAACTTCACCCATTCTCCCCTCCATTACTGGGGTCAGGCTCGGCTCCCATCTCTGAATTCTTCTTGTAACTGCAATCCACGTGGTCTCCCAAACTCAAAAGCTTGGAGTTGGTTTCATCTCATCTTTCTCCCTGTTCAATTACGAATACCTGTTGATTCTCCCTCAGAAGCTCCCTTGTCATTTCTCTTTTTCCCGTCTCTCTCTCTCCTTCAGTTTCCTTTGTTCTTGTGAATAGGTTAACGTGCCTCAAACATATGACTCCCTATTAAACATCGTTGCTTATCCATTCTTTGCTGAACAAATGAAAACTTTCTTAGCATTCATCGTTAAGTTCCGCTTGCCTGGCTGCAGCACACCTTTCCAAACATTCCTCCCAACTTCCATTCAGCATATCCTCCACACTGAATTCCTGCTGTCCATTCTCCTGGTCCACAGTCCATGCCCCACCATCACCCTCCAGGCTAAATATTGAGCCACAGTTGGATTTACTTTTGTCCTGAGCTACAAGGCCACTATGTTCGTATTCATCTGGAGACTTTGATTTCATTGCACATCATATTGAACTTTTAAAGACACAGACCATTTTTCATCTACTTCTAAAGACAGTAAGTCCTCACTTAACATCATCAATGGGTTTTTGGAAACTGCAACTTTAAGTGAAATGGCATATAACAAAACCAATGTTTTTTTCTCACCAATGGTATAATGAAATGACTTTGCTGTACATTGTTTAGCTTAAAGCCAAAGTTTCCAAGAACCTATACATGACATTAAGTGGGGACATACTGTATCATCTGCTGTTAAACACTTCATTATTTTACAACTACAAAAAAAACCTGCCAATTAAAATATGACACAATGCTTTCATATCACTTAGAATCAGTTCATATATATTGAAAACGCTATTTTGGGTTATTACAGACACAGACATATCATTATAACACTTGCATATCTCTTAAAAGGAAAATACAAGCAATATAAAAAAGGTATTCCTAAAATTTTCTTCAAATTCAGAGTCTGAATATACAGACTCATTCCTTGATCCAGAGTCATTACCATCTGTTTTTTTCATAAGTTTTATTGTCCATTAAGTCATTTGAAGAGCATTGGAAATGAATAAATTTGGAATCTGAAAAAAGATAGAGGAAATATTGAAAACCAAAGGTGGTTTTTAAAAAGATCAATGCCATGATAAACTGCTAGTTAGAGGGATCAAAAAGAGAGAGAGAAGTTCAAATGACCAATATCAGGAACAAAGGAGAGGCCATCATCCTTTTAGATGCTGTAGACACTGAGAGAATAATAAGGGGCATTAGGTTAAACTTGATGCTAATGAATTTAACAACTTAGATGAAATGAACAAATTCTTTGAAAGATACAACTACTAATGTTTGCTAAAGAAAAAAAGAGATAATCTGAATAGGCCTGTATCTATTAAATAAATTAAATGATTGTAAAAATATTTTTAGAGAGAAAACTCCAGGGTCAGGACCACTAGTGAATGCTACCAAACATTTAAGGAAAAAATAACATCAATTCTCCACAATCTTTTCCAGAATATAGGAGGGAACACTTTCCAGTTTATTTTAGAGGCAGTATTATCCTGATACCCAAACCAGACAAAGGCATTACAAGAAAAGAAAATTTATGAACCTAGACACAAACCCTAACAACATATAAACAAATTGGATCAAGCGATATGTCAAAAAGAAAATAATGCATTATACCCTGTAGGGGTTTTCCAAGGATTGTAAGGTTGAGTCAACATTAAAAAAAATCAGTGTAATTCCCCATATTGGCAAATTAAAAAAAATATATATATATATATGAAAATCTCAACAGATACAGAAAAGCCTTTGACAAAATTCAACATACATTCATTATAAAAACTGTCAACACACTAGGAATAGAAGGAAAGTTCCTCAATCTGATAACAGGGCATCCACTAAAAATGTACAGTCAATATCATAGTTAATGGTAAAAACCGAATACTTTTAAGATCAAGAACAAGGCAAGTCAATGCAATAAGGCAAGAAAAAAATAAAAGCCATTCAAATTAGACAAGAAGTAAAAGTATCTTTTTTTTCATATAACATGGACATCTACATAGAAAATCCTGACAAATCTACATGAAAGCTATTAGAATAAGTGAGTTTAGCAAGGTTGTAGGATACAATGTCAAAATACAAATATCAATTGCATTTCTATGTACTAACAAAGGTCAATTGGAAAATAAAATTAAAAACTAACCATTTACAATAGCATAAAAACATAAAATATTTTAGTGTTACATTTAACAAAATATGTGTAAGATTTATATGCTAAGAACTATTGAACATTGATGAGAAAAATTAAAGAGCTAAATAAATGGACAGATATACCGTGTTCATAGACTAAAGACTCAGTATTGTTAAAATGTCAAAACCTTTCCAAATTGATTTATAGATTTAACACAATTCCAGTAAAAGTACCAGTAGGCTTTTTGTAGAAATTGACAAGCTGAATCTTAAATCTAGAATAACCAACAAAAGAATTTTGAAAATCAGTTCAAAGAGAATTCACAGTGTAGAATCAGCATAAGAACAGACTTAAATGAAATAATTCTAAGCAATAAAAACAGGTAATATGTACAACAATGTGGATGGATCTCAAAAACACTATGCCAAGTAAAAGAAGCCAGATACAAAAAGCTTCATACTATGTGATTCCCTTTATGTGACATTCTAGAAAAGGTAAAACTATAGAGAAAGAAATTAGATCACAGGTCGCTAGGATCTGGAGGTGGGGAAAAGTGATATTGATTACAAAAGGGGCATGGAGAAACCTTTTGGGGATAAAAGAACTATTCTATCTCTTGATTTGATGATAGTTACGTGACTATATGGGTTTTTCAAAATTCATAGAACTAAGGATGGGCATGGTAGCTCCCAGCACTTTGGGAGGCTGAGGCAGGATCACTTGAGGCCGGGAGTTTGAGACCAACCTGCGCAACATAGTGAGACCCCTATCTTTGCAAAAAATTAACAACAACAACAAAAACCCTCATAACTGAACATCTAAAAAAGGTTTATTATACCTCAATAAACTTGACTCTTAAAAAAGTTCTCAACTTTTTGGAATTCTCTTTCAAACTAATGATACCCGTTCTGCAAGCTTTGATGCATATGTGCAGGAAGTGGTAACTACCTCATGACTGCTGCCTGGCCCACAGCGATTTCAGAAATGTTAAAATATGAAAAAAAATATGCATCTTGGATCAGTTCTAAGTGTTACCTTCTCTTTCTGACTGGACTTTAAGACCCTTGATGGTACCATCTGAGTTTGGCTTTTCCTTATGTCTCATGAGCTTTTAATTAACGTTTATTGGGTCAATTAATGAATTCTACAGCAGAGAAGCTCCTTAGACCTGAACTAATAGATGGATAAGTTTGTGCGATGGGAAACATAGGAAATGCACAGATAAAAATCAGGCATGAAATTCAGAGAAAATAACTATGTCTTGTGAATCAAAATGTATTCATTTTTTCTGATTACAAAAACACCAACAAATTAATATGTGCTTATTGATACAAAATTGGAATGATCTCCCATCCACAAACTCAACGCTGTTAAGATTTTTAAATATCACATTTTAATTCCAAGATGCACCCTTTTCACATGTTAATATCTCTGAAATCTGGATGCATTTTATATTCACGGTGTCTTCACAGTTGCTTCTGTCAGGCCCATGGCAGTTGTGTGGTTGCTGTCAGTCCTCGGCATGGGCACACTTGAAGCTGTTTGTGTCGGCAGAATTAGGTCAATGATCAGTACACCAGCATTTCAGGGAATGACAGTCCTCACTGTTGGCCAAAGTCCTTTCCCCAATCCCTTCTGGAAAGGTCAAGCATTAAAGCTTGCAGGATAGGGTTCAGTGGCTTGGAAGAAAATACTGGAAATAATCATGGAATATTCTTTTGAAAAGCTGCTGTATCACCTACATTCTTGATGGCTCAGAGGATGATATTCCATAGAAAAGCACAAACGTGAACAATTCTGAATCAAAGGGTTCAGAAGTGTTGAAATTGGCATGTGAAGAAGTTGGAGGATAACTTTAACTTATTTCACTTACCTGTTTGTTTTTATATGTACAAAAGAGTGATATAGAATAAAAATTGATGCATTAGCAAGTCTAAAAGAGTTCTCTAAAAGTGTAAAGAAAAAGCCTAAGTGATAGGAAAATGTTGTGTCATCATCTTATTGGCTATATTTTTTCTTTACTTGTGAAACATAAAATATAATCTATTTTACAATCACTTGCTACTTCAATTCTATTGAATATAGCTTGTAATTTCTTCATTGTTTCTGTGCATTTTCAAACTTTCTATATGATTTTAAACTAATTAAAAAGATATAAGAATATGACAAAGGAATCCTGCATATTTCTTTTTTAATTAATTAATTAATTTATTTATTTATTTTGAGACAGAGCCTTGCTTTGTTGCCCAAGCTAGAGTGCAGTGGCACAATGTCGGCTCACTGCAACCTCCACCTCCCAGGTTTAAGCAATTCTTCTGCCTCAGCCTCCCGAGTAGCTGAGATTACAGGTGTCCACCACCATGCCTGGTTAATTTTTTTTTTTTTTGAGATGGGGTCTCATTCTCACCCACGCTGGAGTGCAGTGGCGCAATCTCAGCTCATTGCAAGCTCCGCCTCCCAGGTTCACGCTGTTCTCCTGCCTCAGCCTCCCAAGTAGCTGGGACTACAGGCGCCTGCTACCATGCCCGGCTAATTTTTTTGTATTTTTAGTAGAGACCGGGTTTCACCGTGTTAGCCAGGATGGTCTCGATCTCCTGATCTCAACTGATCTGCCCACCTTGGCTTCCCAAAGTGCTGGGATTACAGGCGTGAGCCATGTGCCCAGCCTAAATTTTTTTCTGAACTATTTGAGAATAAGTTGGAAACATCATACCTCTTCAACACTAACTAGTTAAGTGCACATTTCCTGAGGACAATGTTATTTTCCTACATACTCACAGCACAATGATCAAGTCAGGAATTTTGACACTGACAGAACACAATTACCTAATTTAATAGTCTAAATCCAAATTTCATCAATTGTCCCGTAATGTCCTTCATTGATGGTTTTTTTTCCCCTCATTCCAGGATTGTTTAGAATCACACATTGCATTTTGTTGTCACATCTCTTTCATTTCCTTGAATCTGGAATAGTTCTTTAGCCTTTCTTTGTCTTTCTTGACATTGACATTTTTTGAGAGTGCATGCTAGTTACTTTATAGAATTTCCCTCAATTTTAATTTGCCTATTGCTGTCTCATGATTAGTGTCAGGTTATGCATTCCTGGCAGGAGACAATAGAAATTGTTGTGTCCTTCCCAGTGCATTATCATGGAGGTACATGATGTCACTGTGGCCCAATATTGATGATGCCAACTTTGATGATTTAATTAAGATGGTTTATTTTTATGTGCATCTTTGATATAATAGTGTTCCAACTGTATAGAAAATGTCAGATTCATCTTTCTTCCTTTAGAATCAATCATAAGCATTTTCTCATCATTAAATGCTGTTAATATTTTTTATTTATTATTGAAAAAGCACAAAGTCTAAAGTGTCTAAAAGCGATGGAGATTGAACCCCATTACTTTGCAAACTTGGGTTTGAGATTCCTTGACGAACCCTACTGGGAGGCATCCTCTGGTGGCCCACAGAGGTGACAGGCAGCCCTCAGAAAAGGCCTGTGGGAGCTCCTGGCCCAGCACATAGTAGGTGCTCAATCATTATTTGTTGAAATCTTAAATTTTCAGGAATCCAGGGGAATGACTAAAAATGAAGCAAGCTGCTAAGAGCACCAGCTCAGAAGATGTGACTCCTGAGACAAACTCCATGCGAAGAAGTTATATTCGATAATTCCTCCTTCCTTTCTGCCCCCAGGGCCTTTTAAAAATGAAGATTAGTACATCTGCATCTGCTTAGTAGGATGGAAGTCACTTATTTTAGAAAACACAGCTTCTTTTGTTTGGCACAGTGCTTTTGTATAAAGTCCTTTCTCTTCATGTTTTCATTTTACTGCTTATAACCTTGAGAAATGAAGACTTGTTATATAAAGATTAGGAACTTATAGTTCCTTTTGAAGTAAAGCCTTTGAGCACTGAAAATTAAATTAAATTGGCCAATGTGTAATTTCCTATAATTTAGTTAAATGCACTTTAATACCTAAAATATCTGCTAAGAGAGATGTACTTTGTTGGATGTTGGATCTGATCCCGCCTCCTCTGAGGAGATGGCTTGTGGCCTTGTTTTTTTTTTTTTTTTTTTTTTTTTTTTCATGAGAGCGAGCACCTTCTGGGCGCTGCCCACTGGTGTCCAGGGCTGGCTGGTGGCCTCCTCGCTGCTGAGATCCTCTCCTGACCTGGTGTCTGCAGCGCCCTCTCTGGTGGACCCTGGCTGGTCCAAGCAGTTGAACACCTGCGTGGATTGAGTCCCTACCTCCCATCACACATTCTCTCTGGTACTTTTATGAGGTTCTGCCCATTCTGTCTTGCTCTCTTCTGTTTAAACAAAGCAATCTTAACTTCCCCATCTTGGCATGGTCGACCTTTGGGACCAGCTGTCCTGTGCATTTTAGGATGATGAGCAGCCTCTCTGACCTTCACTCTCTAGATGCCAGTAGCACGTCTCCCCCTAACATTGTAACAACCTTCAGACTTTGCCAAATGTCCGCTGGGGGTTAAAACAGCTGCGCTACGCTAACCTACATTCTTTAGAAATAAATTATATTGCATTATAAAAGTAATATATACATATGCACTAGAGAAATTTTAGAAAACAAAGAAATGTACAAAAAGAGGGCTTGGGGTTTTCAGTTTATTTTGCACATATTTGCAGTCACACTTTATACAAAAATCTCGTGCCCTTCATTTTCCTCTTATGAGTAATATTAAGCAATCATGTCAATACATTAATTTAATTGTATGTTGTATGCATATATGAATATTATCACTGTCTACCCCTCCAATCCATTTGCTTAGTGTTCATGGAAATTAGCTTGTAAACTCTTGTACGTTTAGTGGGAGCTGAGTCAAAGCACAGATCTCCCTTGGTGGCGCATTGGATGGAGCCTGCCTCATGTCTCTGGGCTCCTGGAACCCCAGGGACCAAAGCAAGTAAGGATTTCCTGGCTTTCTAGGAATCTCCAATCATCTCATGCCTACTTAGTAGAAGGCAAAATTTTAACATGTTTGGTTAAATTCTTGTTTTTATCTGAACAAGCCTCTCTCATGCGTATTCAACGTTTGTGCGGGTAGTTGAAGAGAACTGGCTCCTTGGAAATCTATGTGCATAGCTCTCTATGTGTTATTTATTATTTTTTAGCTGTGGTTTGTTTACATCTGAGGCAGCACTTTCTGACATGTGGCCAGACGCCCACAGAGCCTTTTAATAGCTGCGGAGGACAGGGAGTGCTAAGGGATGCTGCCTCGGGTGTCCCACGAGGAACATGTTATCATCCAGGTTTGGAAGTGTCTTAGCTCAATTATTTATAGCCTCAGGCAGGAATTCTATCATTACAGGCATGAAAATGCACCGCAAAATGATGATGAATTTGGAATACTGGAGGTACTAATTTTGCTCAGAATGAAGAAAGAGAGGAAAATCAATATGAAAGTCAGTTTGTCTGTCCCTGCCCTGGAGGTGGGGGTGTCAGGCTGCAACTGAGCCCTGTGACTGTGCCCATAGCTCTCAGTGTGTGGCTTTCCCGGGAATAATGGTTTTTTTTTGGCTTTTACTTAGTTGCTACTTATTTTTAAGTTGTGGTAAAATATATACCACATAAAGTTTACCATTGAAACCATTTTTCACAGTGGCATTAGGAACATTCACATTGTTGTGCAACCATCACCACCCTCCATCTCCAGAACTTTTCATTTTGCAAAACTGAAACTCTGTCCCCATTAGACAACAACTCCCCACTTCCCCCTCCCCGTCCCGATCCAGCAACTCCCACTCTGCGTTCTGTCTCTATGAATTTGACTGCTCTAGCATCCTCATCTGAGTGGAGTCATACAGTATTTGTCCTTTTGTGACTGACTTATTTCTGTTCGCATAATATCCTCAAGGTTTATCCATCTTGTAGCACGTGTCAGAATTTCCTTCCTTTAATATTCCATTGTCTGCATGGACCACATTTTGTTTGTCCATTCATCAGTTAAGGATATTTGGGTTGTTTCTACCTTTTAACCAGTGTGAATAATGCTTCCATGAACATGGTGTACATGTATGTGTTTGAGTCCCTGCTATCACTTATTTTGGGTATGTACTCAGAAGTGGGGTTGCTGGATCATATGGCGATTATATGTTTAATGTTTTGAGGAACCGCCATGCCGTTTTCCACAGTGGCTGCACAATTGTATACTCCAACAAGTTCCTATTTCTCCACATTCTTGCCAACACTTGTTGTTTCCTGTTTTTTGTTTGTTTGTTTGGTTGGTTTTTTTTGTTGTTGTTGTTAGTGACCATTCTGATGGGCGTGAGGTGGTATCGCATCATGGCTTTATCAGGAATGATCTTTTGCACTTGAATCATGTTTTGCTTTACATCCCAAAGTCCCTGGGCATGCAAGTTGACATTGGCTCTCCTCTTGAGTGGTGGGTGTTTGCTCGTGACTGTAATGCCAGGCGTCCCAAACTGACCTCACCATCTTCCTTCCAGTATGCAGGGCTTCTGTTGCAAACAGTCTCACCCCCACCTCCCTACTGTGTGACCTCAAGCAGGCTACTTACCCTCTCTGGTCTCAGGTTCCACTAATGAAAAGGAAATCATAATGATCCCTACAATATTAAAAGATTAATATGTGCAAAGTTGTAGAAAAGGGCCAGACACTTAGTAAACACTCTATAAATGTCAATTGTGGCTGTTATTACTTCTACAATCTTCCTACCTTTTGCATGTCATTGAGTCATCATCTTCAAATTGTGCGTGCTCTTCTTTGAAATGTTTCTTGGGCCCCTGCCTTCCTTCCACCCAGCCTTAGGCCTTCCCAGGCCTTGTCACTTCACCCAGTGGCTGATGCTCACATTCATCCCCTGAGAACGTGGGCAACTCTTCTTCCCTGACCAGGGCTTCCTGAAAAAATGGCCAATTCCTGTTCTGAAATCACTTTCAACATATTTTTCCCTAGCTTCAAAAGCTACAATGGCTCCTAGTGACACAGCAAATTACATCCCAAGCCTGCTGCCTCGTGTTTTTGTTTTCATTTTGGGATTTAAATATGAATTTGTTGAGGTCTCATAGAGTGCACAAATCTTTTCTTTTCTTTTTTTTTTTTTTTTTGAGACAGAGTCTTACTCTGTACCCTAGGCTGGAGTGCAATGGTGCAATCTCGGCTCACTGCAACCTCTGCTTCCCAGGTTCAAGCAATTATCCTGCTTCAGCCTCCTGAGTAGCTGGGATTACAGGTGCCTGCCACCACACCCAGCTAATTTTTGTACTTTTAGTAGAGATGGGGTTTCACCATATTGGCCAGGCTGGTCTCAAACTCCTGACCTCAGGTGATCCACCCACCTTGGCCTCCCAAAGTGCTGAGATTACAGGCATGAGCCACCGCGCCCGACCAGTGCACAAATCTTAAGTGTGTTGTTCATTGGAGTTTTATGTATGCATTCACCAAGTAATAGTCACCCAGATCAGAATATTCCAGACCAAAGAAAGCCCCTGTTCCCCACCCCATCAGTAACACACCCCTCCCCCAAGCCCCTGTCCTTTCCTTTGAGTGCTTTTGTGTACCAGAAATGTGAACACTTTTTCACATCTATGTGCTGGCTGGTTTAATTTCCTTTGTTATGAATTATCTGTTCACATCACTTACCCTTTTTTTTTTTTTGGAGACTCTACTTTCTTATCAATTTGTGGGAGCTTTTTGCATATTTTGTATGTGCTGGAAATATCTTGCCTTATCATTTTAAAGATGTTTATTAGACAGTAACCAAATTCTTGATTCTTGATTGCTTCATCCATGCAGTCAAGAACATTTCTACCACTCCCAAAAATCTCTTGTGCCCTTTTTCAGTCAGCAGCCTTTTCCAAATCTCCCTGAGGACCTTTCTGGCACTATTATTCTGCCTTTTCTAGAATTTCCTGTAAATGGAACCATTCTATGCAATTCTGTACAAATGGAATTATTCTGTACAAGATTTTATGTGTCTAGCTTCTTTCACTTAGCTTAAGGTTTTGAGGGCTACCTGTGTTGTGTGTTATTGCTGGTAGGAATGTGAAATTGTACAGGTGCTTATGAAAACAGGTGGACTGTTTATTATAAGGTTAAAGATAAATCTACCATGCTATTCAGCAATAAAAATGTATGTCCACAGTATGTCCATGTTCATAGAAGCATTCTTTGTAATGGACTCAAACTACAGCCCAATTATCCATCAACTAGTGAACAGATAAACACATTTTGATATGTGCATGATACAAATACTACCCAGCAATAAAAAGGAATGAACTACAATGAACTACCAATGCATGCAACAACATGAACTGATTTATTTTTTTAAATTAAAACAATAGATGCTTTTCATAATGAGTCAAACAAGATAAAGGTATAGAAAGAAAAGATAAAGATGACCAGTGTTAATAGCTTTCCAGATTTTTTGGTATACACACACACACACATACACACACACACACACACACACCTTCCTTCTTTTGTGTTAGAAATGGGAATCATACCATCTTCATCATTCCACAATCTACTTTTTCCTTGAATGGATCAGTAGATTGGGGCCTAAAACCTGATTTTTTTTTTTTTTTTTTTTTTTTGAGACAGAGTCTTGCCCTGTTGCCCAGGCTGGAGTGCAGTGGTGCAATTTGGCTCACTGCAAGCTCTGCTTCTGGGGTTCACACCATTCTCCTGCCTCAGCCTCCCGAGTAGCTGGGACTACAGGTGCCCGCCACCACGCCTGGCTATTTGTTTGTATTTTTAATAGAGATGGGGTTTCACCGTGTTAGCCAGGATGGTCTTTATCTCCTGACCTCATGATCTGCCTGCCTCGGCCTCCCAAAGTGCTGGGATTACAGGCGTGAGCCGCTGCGCCAGGCCAAACCTGATTTTTTATAGTTGCAAATCATATGGCTGTATGATAATATAGTCAACAATTCCTGGTTTTGCTTTCTTTTGCTAGGCAAAACAATGCTGTGAGGACCCTCAATGTCCCTACACCCTTCTGTGCTGAACCACACTCCAACAGGTGGGCCGCTGCAGATGACTCCTGAAATTCACATATCACATGCAATTTAGGAAAGTGGCCCTTTCTTCACAACTATGCAGCACTGAGTGCTAATATTGCTATCAACCAGTTTTATCATCAAAACAATAGTTGCTATTGTTTTCCTTTGAGTGTTTTTGCATACAGAAATGTGAACACTTTTTCACATCCATGTGCTGTCTGGTTTCATTTTCTTTCTTATGAATTACCTGTTCACTTCACTTACCCATTTTTTTTATTGGAGTCTCTTTACTTTCTTATCAATTTGTGGGAGTTTTTGCATATTTTGTATGTGCTGGTAATATCTTGCCATATCATTTAAAAAATGTTTATTAGACAGTAGCTGAATTCATGAAGATAGAAAGTAGAATAGAGGTCTCCAGGGGCTGGCCAGATGAGGCAGTGGGGAGTTATGTGGAATTATTATTTAATGGGTACAGAGTTCAGTTGGGGAAGATGAAAAAGTTCTAGAAACAGATAATGGTAATGGTTGCACAACAATGTGAATGTACTTAATGCCACTGAACTGCACACTTAAAAATGGTTAAAATGGTAAATTTTATATTAAAAAATGTTTTATTAGAGTGCATCCATCAGCCATTCCTTTATGGCTTGTAGTTTTCCTGTCTTGACAATCTCCTTCACTGTAGATCAAACTAATCTTCTAATATTTTCATTTATTTTACTTTGTATGTATGGATTTTTAGTTTACCTGTAATAAGATAGCCAGTTAGGCCCAAATCTCCCCACTGTGTTGAAATGCCATTGGACTGTATGTTAAATTACCACACACTCTGTTTCTGAACACCTAATTTCAGTCCACTGGTAACATTTGTTTTCTGCTGATGCATTTGTTTGTGTGCCATTAACTTCTGGTTCTGATTTTGGTTGTGTTATAGTCATGTTTTTCATCTGGCAGAACATATTTCTCCTTGCTATTCTTCCTTGTTGTTTTAAAATTTTTCTTCACAATTTTTGAAATTTCTTATGCACTCTAACATATTGTTCAGTGCAAAAAGATATCAATTAGGATGACAATTATAATTCAATTAAATTGATAAATTAATTTAGGGAGAATTTACTTCATAATAATGTTTCATCCTTATCTCTGGGAACATAGCATGAGTTTTCATGTGTTCAGATCTTGCTTTATGTCCCCCAATACCATGCTATGCTTTTCTTCACGCAGGCTATATCTGACTTGTTATGCCATGTCTTGCACAGTTTTGTCCTAGATGTGCCTGGGGGATCCCCACCCCACCCCGTCATTTCCATTTCTATTAGAGGGAAAAGATTCTTCCTCATTTCGCTCTGCATCAGCAAACCCTGATATTCATTTCCTTGTAGTTTTCACTACTTAAATCTTTAGGAAAGTCCTCTCACCTGGCATTCATGATACCACCCATGTTGATTTCTTGCCTGTTTTCTTGGGTTCCCTGTTGTGGGTCCTTCTGCAGGCCACTCACTCCCCTTTCTCTGTGGCTGCACCCTGGTGCACCCCCAATCCGCATGGGCTCAACTGACCTCTCTCTTCATCATTTCTGTGTGCTCAGCTCACACTCTCCTCTCTCAAACCTCCTCAGCCTCCAAGGCCCTGTGCAGCCTCACCTCCTGGGGGAAGCCTCCCATACCCACCAATCCCCTGGAGTGACAGCAAAGTGGCAGTTATTGATCACACTGACCTCAGCATTCTACTTAACAGAGCAGCCGGCCAAAACTAGTGGGGTGGCAGTCAGCTTGCATTCAGGTGCAGAATTACTTCCCAACCATAACCTTACACTGGGAGGCCATGGTCTTGCCTTTCTCCAAAGCCGTTGGCACATCAGGTGGCATGATCTTTGGCTGGATAATCTTTGTCACTTCTCTCCACTGCATGCATCTAGTCTCATGTTCTCATGTCACAGAGAGCCCAGTTCAAGAGCTTTGTGGTCTTGGCCAATGTCCTGGACTCTCTTTGCCTCTGGAGGAGAGAGAAATGGGTGGAGATAAAATTTTATATATAATATGTGGGTGGAGATATATTTTATCTCCACCTTGGAGTAAGGGCAACATCCACATCTCCTACTGTCATAGAAATCAAATGAGATGCTGTCTGCAGGGCCTCGCTGACCGTGATTTATCCATGCTGGCGCTCAGGGCTCCGTGTGTTTGCTCGTGGGCCTGAGGATGTGCATGGGTGGTTTTTAAAGGCAGGGCAGGTAAGTTTAGTTTAGTGTTTTTCCTCTAGAGCTGGCGGCCCTGCCCGGCAGGCCTCTGGGTGACGCACTCTGCCTTGCCTGAGCCGTGGCCCTTGGGGGCTTCCTACTCCTCACTCCAAGAAGGTGCTGGCTGTGGTGTGACCTCCTGGGTCGCTGTGTGGACTGCTGAAGTCAAAGCAGTCAGGGGCTCCTGTGGGCTCTGACCCCTCCCCATCCTCATGCCCCCAAGAAGACTTGGGACCTGGGAAAAAGTGGCTCTGAAGCCTGGAAGAGCTCAATTCAGATTTTGACTCCACCAATATTGTGTGATTCTGGGAAGAGTTAAGACCCTCCTCTGAGTTTATTTCCTTTAATTTTGGTTTACTTTTCCCAAATGGGAAGGATCACTCCTTTGTCTTAGGTATGGTGGTTCAGTGTGTCGGGGGGCATAAAACCCAGCAGCTGCCCCCTTGCCTAAGGGCAGTGCTGGCTTCTGGTGGTGTGTGAGCTTTAAGGTCTGGAGCTGGTTCTCAAAAAGCTGGACACTCTGCCCCAGGTCCCAGTTCCCTCCTGCTCCACCCCCCAGGCTCCAAGATCAGCGTTGCACATGGCACCTAACTCCAAGATCAGCGTTGCACATGGCACCTCCAAGATATACTTCCTAGAAATTTTATTCTGTCTCACTCAGGTCCTTTCTAAGGTTTCCTCTTTCTTTCTCTCTTCCTCCAATTCTATCAGTGGGGCTTCTTTTCACATGCACATAGAAATACACAAATATTGATAGAAAGAGGTCAGAGATAAGGACTAAGATGGGACAGCCAGCTTCTGGTGCATCATCCAGTAGAACTGCCCTGGAATGGACAGGCTCTGTGCGGTGATCAGAAAGGGGAAATACCTCTCGAAGGCAGATTCTGCCACAGAACAGTGCCACCGAGTCGATAGCACCGTCTAAATAAATACTTGCAGGAAGTGCCCCTCCAGCAGGAAGCTTTGCAGATGAGGAACACCGTTCACAGTTTGTGAAGAATAAACCAGCATCTTCTCTCTTGCCTTGCAGGTGTGGTCTCACCCAGAATGGTTCCTGCTGCTTCCGCGGTGCCCAGGCTTTTCTCACGGCCTCTGCTGGGTTCTCCCCTGGGTGCTGTGGATGCATCCTGCCTGCTGGAAATTCTGTGCTCTCTGTTTCCATCCCTTTGTCGTGGTAATGACCGTATACCTCTCCCCTGTACCCTCCTCTGCCTGCTCTCCGTGCAGGCCCCTCTCCCTCTGGTTGTCCCATCAGCATTTCCCCACAGCTCGTTGTTCCTCCTTCCTCTTTTCTGGTGACCTTTCTACTGATTGCATTGTACCTCTTTCCCTGATATTAAAGATGTTTTTAAAAACAACAGACCCATTATGTCCATGGAGTTTTTATTTCTAAAGGCTTTATGTTGATTTCTTGTATTCTGTGTTTTTCATCTTTTTGACAAAAACAGTCAAACTCTGTAAAACATTTGAAGAGGTTTTTTTCCTGAGCCAAATATGAGTGACCAAGGCTGGAGACACAGTTTCAAGAGGTCCTGAGAATATGTGTTCAAGGTCATTGGGTTTTAGCTTGATTTTATACATTTTAGGGGAATAGAAGTTACAGGCAAACATCAATCAATACAAGTAAGGTGTACATTGGTTCAGTCCAGAAAGGCAGGACAACTTGAAGCTTCTAGACCATAGGTGGCTTGAAAGATTTTCCTGATTGGCAATTGGTTGAAAGAGTTATTATCTAAAGACCTGGAATCAAATGAAAGGAGTGTCGGGGTTAAGATAAGGGGTTGTGGAAACCAAGGTTCTTAGTATGTAGATGAAGCTTCCAGGTAGCAGGCTTCAGAGAAAATGGATAGTAAAGGTCTCTTAACCAACCCTAAAAGGTGCCAGAATCATAATTAAATCTCTCCTGGGTCAGGAAAAGACCTGGAAAGAGAAGGGGATTTTCTACAGAGTGTAGATTTTCCCCACAAGAGACAGCTTTGCAGGGCCATTTCAAAATATGTCCTAGAAATGTAATTTGAGGTAAAATACTTTCATTTCCTTCAGGGCCTACTATCTGTCATGTTGGTATCTTATTGCTACAAAGAGTCTGATCTATCAATCTTAAGGTCTCTGTTCTCATCTTAATGCTGGTCTGCCTTGCCTGAATTCTAAGGGAGGAGTGTATAATGAAGCATGTCTGACCCCCTCTTCCCATCAGGACCTGAACTAGTTTTTCACGTTTACTTTGGAATCCTCTTGGCTAAGAGGAGAGGTCAGTTCAGTTGGTTGGTGGGCTTAGAATTTTATTTTTGGTTTATATCATCTAGAATTAGTATATAATAATAGTAATCTGTCATTGCCTTATAAATGCCTAAAACAAAATGTCAACAAGGGAGGAAATTTTTGAATGAGCAAAGTGGACCACCACAAGAAGCAGGCATGTGGGATCCCCTGGCTCTCCCTCCCACACTGATTGCCTGGGCTCTGTGGTGGACCTCGTCCCCCTGCAGGCACCCCAAGAGCAGGGGGAGGCCATCACACTTCTGTTTTCCTCTAAGCACTGCTTGGTGAGGGGAGGGGAAAGTTCTGATTCGTTCTGATTTGCTGTGGTTAGTCTCACAGAGTATTTCCACATTAGTTTCTCCTAATGTAGGGGCCAGTGTTGGAGAAATTATGCTATGGCAAGGTGATCTTCACCCTAGGGATCAGGGAAACATAAGTTAGGCTACTTGGATGAAAGAACTTCTGGTATTTTCTGATTGACGATGTTTACTATTATGTGTTTGACTTTGTTGCCATCAGTTTCCTTGATTGGAAAATAGGAAAATTAGCTTTAATTCCAGTTCTCCTGTGGACTTCCTGAGGGTTTGTGCCTCATAGCCAAGGACATCTGGAGTCCCTTGATGCACATATATGTGTCATGTGGGCGGATGGGTGTGCGCATGCATGGTGGAACCCACGGTAGTGAGGAGGACGTGCAATCACCCCATGGGCCACGTATGTATGTGTATATATTTATTGTATATATGTGTATATATTTATTTGCATATAAGATATATCTTAGGATCAGTGCATGTGCCCCCAACGACTGAAAGATAACATGCACAAGCAGCTTTGATATGGATACTGTGTACTGTGAAATATGCATTTGGTCTTTGTCCTGTTTGCTGGCATACAACTAAAAGATTCTAAAATCCTTGGAATCTTCAAAGTAATGTGTCTTTTGTATGCTAATGAGGTGACTGGTGGCTGGGGGCTTGTCACAGGAAAAATCAAAGCAGGGTTAGAGGTTGGGACTTCCAGCCCCGTCCCTAATCTCTGGAGAGGGGAGAAGGGCTGAAGATTAAGTGATCACCAATGGTTAATGATTTAATGAATCTTGCCTATATGATCAAAGCCTCTATAAAAACCCAGCAAGACTGGGTTCAGTGAGCTGCTAGACAGCTAAACATGCAGAGGGTCCTCTCTAGGGCGTCACATCCTGGGAGGGCATGGAAGTTCCACGCTCCTTCCCCCATACTTCATCCTATGCATTACTTCATCTGCATCCTTTGCAATATCCTTTAGAATAAACCAGTAAATGTGTTTCCCTGAGTTCTGTGAGCCGTTCTCGCAAATTAATTGAACCCAAGCTGGGGGTGGTGGGAACCCTGATTTGTAGCCAGTTAGTCAGAAGGAGAGGTAAAATAAACTGGGACTTTATTTTACCCCTGTGGGACTGAGATTGGCATCGGAAGTGGGGCACAGTCTTGGGGACACTGAGCCCTCAGCCTGGGGATCTGAATTGGAGGACACCCAGCTGGCATCTGCTGCAGAATTGATGGCTTGTTCAAGCGGTGGTGTGACAGCAGAGGAAAACAGTTTTGTTTCTTCCATGGAGATATTGATGATGGTAACATTAATGGTTAACTTGCATGTGCCCCATGCCAGGCTCTATTAATGCTAAGTTGTATAGATTCATAGATGTGTCATTTAACCCTCACAGAAAGCCCCCACTGCACGTTTGGTTGTTAATCACTCATACAGATCCATGGCTGGTGGCCTGGGTGGAAGCCACTGTACTGTAAATCTGGAAATGTGGGATCCTGAGGATTTTATTGAGGAAGGAACTCGTGTGGCTGCTCACTGGGCACTCCTTGCCAGGTTGATGAGGAGGCGTTTGGAAAGCATTTCTAGAACTCTAATGCCTTGAGGGTTGATGAGCCCTGTGTCCTTATTTTGGAGAGCCAATGTGTGTCTTTGGGAGGTGGGTTCAGTGTTACCTTCTGCAGGTTTGTGCCCCAGGAAAGCCTTGTATGAAGCTGAATTAAACAGAAACTGGATGGAAACCATTAGGTCCCGGAGTGGAACAATTATGGAGAAAATGTCTGTGTGGCTCAGGACTGCCCATCAGGGCTACATTCGGAATTCTATTGTCTCAGCCTATTTTTAGTGGCCTCTGAGACCTGTGTCTATCTACCTGCAGAATCCTACGGAAAAAGACTTTATTGGGAAGCTCTTATTGGCACATTTCTTCACTGCCTCAGGGATCTGGCATGGGGAACTGCGAGAGCACGGGAGACAGACTGGCCTCTTCATCTTAGAGCCGTCTGACTGCCTTGGCTGAGGAAGGCACCTGAAATGATTTAGCTGCCATTTTACAAGGAAAAGTGAACAGAAGGCTGAGGGAAGAGACCAGGGATTCAGCCCAGGTTTACGTGGTTCAGTCAAGACTGGTGCAAAAGGGAGACGCTGTGATGGAGACTTGCCCTGAGCTTCATGGGATGCACACATAATGCCTTCAGAGCACTTAGAACAAGTCCCAGCCTGGTGTCAGGCACCACAGTGGTCCCCTTTTCTTTTGTGTGTGTGTTTCCAAAGGGCAGAAGCTTTGGGGCCAAGTTTGCTCACTTCACCTGTATTCATGCTTTACGACTAAGGAATCAGTGGAACTGAGATCTTTAAAGCCTGTGGTATTTGATCTCACAAAATGCATCTTTCCCAAAAGATAAGTAATTCCTAAAAACTGGCAGTGAAGACAGGTGTGTGCAGGGTTCCGTGGGTCTCTAGATTCCACACTGTATTGGGCAGCCCCATCCAACCCAGTCCAGCCCCTCATGGGTCCAGCGCCTTGGTGGTCCAGCTTCTTGATGGCTCATCTGAGAGACATGGCACCATCTCCCTCAGGGTGCAGCACAGATTGGAGGCTTCTTCCTCATTGCCTGAGAACTTGGCTCATTTACGAAATTGTGGGAAAACTGAGGAGTGTGGATTTCTCCCCTTGATTGGCATATCGGCATCAGGAAGCAGTCAATTTGAGAGCAGAAGGCTTATTCTAACCCAACTGTTAGAATTCTAAAGGAGAAAAAATAATTCAATGAAAGTGTTTATAAGAATAAAGCAAGTCTCTGATCTGTCCAGTGAAGATGCCTGTGACATGACCTGTGACCTCAAGTGAACTTTATTAATTAGTTACTTAAACCATGAAAGGAAAATTAGCCTCAATTTTGTCTCTGTTGGGCTTTACTTTTTTGGTCAATACATTCTTAGTAATCCCAAGAGCTTATCTTTCACTTTCTGAGATCTCTTTCAGCATGGTTTAGGAACCTCTTTTCTAGTTTCATTATTTGGGCTTTTATGTGAATATATAGGATACTTTTTTTGACATCTGTTTAATAATTACCAACCAGTATTTATTTACCCCTGTGTGTATATTTAAACACCTTTCTGGAGTAAACCAAAGGCTGAAGCACAGAATGAGGTCTCAGGAGAATGCTGGGATTATAATGGCACAGGTGAACTGCTAAGGTGTAAGGGAAGTCAATTTCTCCAGGGGTGTGCAGATTCTGAAATCCATGGCTCTTTTGTTATGTCTGCAACATACAAGATTAAAGTGATTTCAACACATCTTGGTCAAATGACTTTTTAAAAAATCAGGTTTATGGTATTTTTGATGCCTATGATTTCTGACTCTCAGTTTCTCCGAATGGTTTGGTTATGGCTGGATGCTTAGTGTGCTGGAGCTGGGAAACTAATCTGCTTGGCTGTGGATGAAACTGGGAAGAAGCCATTGGTTCTGTGTCCCTCTGCCCTTGAACTCTCACTCCTGGTGCCTGGGCTCCTACGTGCCCTCGGCCTAGCTGGCAGCCTCCCAGCTCTGTCCCTACTGCAAATCCAGCTCTCAGACATGGCCCACCTGGAGTCAACAGCTTCGGGATGGAGAAAATGACCCATGAGAAAAAGAGAGAGGCCGTCCCCAAGATGAAAGAGTGAGTCATCTGTGGGGCTGCCCTCAGCAACAGTCTCCATAATGAAGCAGGTCTGTGGGCTTCTTCTCCAAATGGTCTTCTTTTCGTTTTCACTCTCACCATCCAAGTCTGGCCGTCACAACATCAGTAACTTCCCAGCTCATCTCCCTGCCTGCAGCTTCTCAGCCCTTTCTGCCTGTCTACACACTGACACTATTTCTATCATATCAGGGTCTAGTAAAAAGGCGTTGGTTGCTTCCTGCTCCTTGGCATATCCTGAAATGCCTCTAAGACCTGAATCAGAAACCTCCATGGTTCTGCCTTATCCCGGGATTCTGTACACCTGGCCCCAGCCAGCTGGCGCTCCTGCACGTCCACTGTCCTGCTGTGCTCCTTCCTGGTCTGGGCTCCAGTTTGTATTTTTATAGGATCTTCCTCCACTGCCTCTTTCAGCACCTGCTTCTTTGGCATTGAGGCTTCTTTGCTGACCAGGTAACTGACCTCTTGCTCCTCTGAAAGGTAGAATTGCACACTCCAGTCCTTCATAGTACACGTGTGACTGTGTTATCCTGTCTCCTCCACTACTCTGAAGGCTTCTGGGGAGTGCAGCCTGGCTCACCTTCCCCATGGAGGCAGGGTGGTGATGGGTTTGGTGTGTGGCTGGTAAGGGAGAGACCCAGGACTGCTACCTTGTGTGGGGTGAGAGCTGCTGGGTGGACCACGGTGCTGTTTTCTGTCCTGGGAAGGCTGGAGAGAAATATTATTGGTGGGAAAAATTAAGGCTGTGTTTGAAAACTTCAAGTTTGTGATGATTTTAAGACACTGAAGCGGAGCTAACAATTGGGTGTGGTATCTATCTATAAAATTCTGGTACTCGGAGATGAGCGGGCCAGTGGGGAAGGTGGGTGAGCCGCCTGCTGCTGAAGCATTCAGAGTCCAGAGACTATGAGGTCCCTTCAGACAGGAGGGCGGGAGGCAACCGCAGGTTAAAATGGGACTCTGGTAAAGTTTGCCTGGGGTCCGTGGGGCATAGGAGGACTCCAACAGTTCAAGGGAGGGCTGGCCCTCCTACAAAGGGCTTGGGAAGAGGGGTGAGAATCTATTTTGCTGCACTTTGCCCAACCCTCACCCTAAAGTTATAAAGAGAATAAGAGCAAGTCCTTAGTGGCCTGTGAGTCCTCCCATGGAGGAGGGGCGATGGTTCCCTCTAGCTTCAGAGTCAGTGAGGGGCTTAGGAGATGACCAAGACTTTGACACATGTCACCAGGGCCTAGGTGGCCCCATGGACCGATGTCCAACTCACACAGGGAAGCATGCAGCAGGAGTGGCTGTGTTTGAGGAGCAACTGCCCTCCTGCTATAGCCTGGCAGAGGTGCTGGTTCCAGGGAGGGGTACCTATGTGGCCCAGTCAGCTTTCTGCTGATGACAGGAGCCATGTCACCAGCAAGAAGCTGGAGCTTCCCTCTGGTGTGGATGCTGGGAGGGAGCGGGTGTGTGGGGTGAAGAACAGACACTGTCCATTGCACCCATGGGTACCTCCTTGCTCCTGGGGAGGAGTCTTCAAATAAAAAAGGAAAGTGTCCCTGAGAGGAGAGGGGTTGGGTGGAGCCCTGGAGGGGAGGTGCTCGCCATGGCTTAGAGGCTGGAGATTTAGTCTCAAGAATCTCAGAGGAGACAAGTAACTTACACAGGGCATGGGGGTGGGAGGACATCCAGGAGCACCAAGGGGGTCGCCTGTTTCCCTGCAAGGTACTACCAGCCTGGCCAAAGGGCTCAGCACTGGGGCTGTCAGTGTCACCTCTCCACCCCTGACCTCTCTGTATCCACCCCCTGCAGTCATCCCTACCTCACCAAGGGGTCAGGAGCTGCAGCTGAAAGGTTAGGAGGCACTTTCTTCCGTGGCCACCTGGAGGTTCCCTAGGCAGGCCTTAGGGAGGGAGGAGAGGAGGTTTAAATGAAGGTCAGGGTTTTTACTGTTCTGCTGGGCCTGGACATGTTTATTACTAAAAATAGATAAATAGGGTTACACGTTAAGTGATGGAAGACTTTTTCTTGTGTGGAGGTGAGTGGATTAGATTCATGGCTCCATCCAGCCCAGGGAGGAGCAGGGCCAACTGAATGCATTGAATTAGAAAGGACTAGGGGGGTGGGATATTCTTATTGTACCAGCACACATTCACTCAGGGTTCTGGTCACACAGTGGCCAGAAGAGGGGATAAGCAGGGGGAGGTTCAGAGGCTGGAACTTTAGAGTCTCAGGGTTCTCAGAAGAGGCAAGAAACTCACTCAGGGTGTGGGGGTGGGAGGGTATTATGGAGCACTGAGTAGGGTGCCTTCTTCCCTGCAAAGGACTGTAAAGCTTCAATATTTGGCTATGAAAATAGAATTTCAGTATAGGCTTTAATCTGCATTCTGGTTACCATTAAAGTTGAGTATGTGTTTGTGTTTTTTGGAGCCATGTGTATTGCCTTTCCTGAGAACTCTTTATCCATATCCTTTGCTCCGCCCTCTATTGGGCTTTTGATAGTTTCCTTGCTGACTTTTATTAAGACAATTACTTTGTTGACTGTGAAATGTTACATATTTTCTTGTCCATAAATTTTTTATGCTATTGAGTGTGTCAATATTTTTCTTTTATGGCTTCTGGATTTTGTAACATCCTTCCACTAAAAGATAATTTTAAAATATTCTTCCCGGCCAGGCGTGGTGGCTCATGCTTGTAATCCCAGCACTTTGGGAGGCCGAGGAGGGCGGATCATAAGATCAGGAGATCAAGACCATCCTGGCTAATACGGTGAAACCCCATGTCTACTAAAAATACAAAAAATTAGCTGGGCGTGGTGGCCGGCGCCTGCAGTCCCAGCTACTTGGGAGGCTGAGGCAGAAGAATGGCGTGAACCCGGGAGGCGGAGCTTGCAGTGAGCTGAGATAGCACCACTGCAGTCCAGCCTGGGTGAAAGAGCAAGACTAAGTCTCAAAAAAAAAAAAAAAAGTATACATACATATATATATATATATATATATATTCTTCCTAGTTTTCTTTTACTACTTTCATCGTTTCATTACAAATGATTTCAATTTGTGACCCATCTGTAATTTATTTGCATATAAGGCAAGAGATAGGAGCCCAACATAATTTTTTCCTGCATAGCTGCCCACTCACTCAAATGCTGCTTCTTGGGTATCTCTTTCTCTACTGATGTGCATTGACCCATGCCAGTCACATAGACCATTCCTTGTGGGGCCTTGGGATGGGCTGTAGTGAGATGGATGAGGAGGGAGAAAGATGCTACTACATGATTTCAAAGAGTCCAGTTCTGAAGGGAAGATGGTGAAATCATGAGGACAATGAGGGTTCACATCTGGCGGTTGGGCTGGCTTCCGAGACTTTCAGATGACCACAGAGGTTGCCAAATGTCCCATTTTCAAATTAGCCGAGTTCTGAGGTCTTGATTTGGCTCACAGAAACAGGGTCATACTGAACAGAATGTTAAGAAGCAATCCCTATGATTAAAAACAGGGCAAAATTGGTACCTGAGACTCAAATGGGGATTAAGTGGAACTACATAAAGCTAAATAATGATTGCTAAACGAACAAATGGAAACAGTACTGCTTACCAAAACGTACTACACTTAAACAGCAAGAAGGGGAATTGAGAATAGTTACATTTAAAATTAGATTTTGGAGTTAAAGTAACTCATTCCAGGCATCTAAATATTGCAGTTATTAATAGTTATGCTGCATTTCTATTTCAAACAGAAATAGATGCCATCAGCGTGGTTGAAATGAGAATTCACACACACGTGTTATCGTATGAGCATTAGGAAGGAATTTATGCCAGTGATGAAAAGAGAACATTTTTCTAAAAAGCAGTTTCATTTGAAAACTCCTTTGGGGATTCTAAAGACTCACAAGTGGGATCCTTAGGATTTTCCCTGAGTATATGAGCTCTGAGAAATTTTTGGAACTTCTTCTATCTGCGAATGTGCCCTGAGACCTGTGCATTCTGTTCTGTGTGAAAAGGTATTGGAAAGAAATGTTAACAGTTTTCAGAGCTTTGTAATTCCTTCTAACTGGTGATGCATAGTTTCTACCTCCCTTCCCCAAAAGTAGCACAGAAGCAGCTGGGTCCTGTTGCAAGCTCCAGGGCCTGACTAGATGAGACATTTGATACTATGTGTCTTTTTGGATAACTGTCCTTGGAGTCTGATTTTTTTCTTTTAGACTCCATGTTGGTGGATGGTAAAATAAATACGGTGCTTATCAGGAATATTTATGGAGTGATTAAAGGGAGACACTTCAGCATGTAATATCTTTCTACCCTGCTGGAACCATCAGAGGTTTAGCTGCCTTGCTCAACTAAGTATGTCACTTAATATAAGAAATACAATGCAGCGATTCACTGTACTGGTTTTCTAAAAATTAAACATAAAATATAGATAATGGGTTTATATAGTTCTGTAAAGAGACAATTTGACCTTCTTTAATAAGAAGTTAGCTTTTAGAAAGTACTTTAGATGATACGTGATTGGTCACTTTGATAGAAACACAGTTAGAATATTATTATAAAATGAATAAGAGTAAGCATAAACATCAAAAACATTTGTTTCTTGCTTCACTTTTTCCATGTCATGATGATTCATTGCCTACGGTTTTCCTGGCATCTGAGCTTTTAGGAAAATGTTTCCTTCCCTGCTCTCTACAATAAATTGAGTGGCAAATGGGAAGCTTGTCCTGATAGTCTGTTGCGTAACTGATATGGACATATTTCTCTTCAAAGCACTGTGTTGTTATGGTGATTATTTTTCGTCCACATGGTAGAAATTAATCTGAAGAAGTATTGAGCTCGGAAAGTTTATAGAATGTTTCTGAGGACCTATTATCTTCTCTTGTTCACCGTGTCTCCAAGTCCCTGTTGATTTTTTTCTATGCAGTAGTATTTTCTCCTCCATGTGTGAGTGGGAAGGGTCACCAGCTCCTTTCTGGACCCCTGACTTGGAACCACCTTTGCCCACCTCCCAGGCATTTCTCACTTAGGCTGGATCATGAGGTTGAGCTGTGTTTCCTCTCCAGCATTCCCTTCCTGCCACCCTAGCCCTCAGCTGTGACCATCCTGTCTTGCTTCCTCACCCTCTGGGGTCCTCCTGCCCCATGCAGAACCACGTGTTGGACTCTTGCCCCCGGCCACTCAGCACCAGGACACTCTGCCTCCTCCACCGGGACCCATGCCTGCACGTCCCAGCAGCCTCACCAGTGCGGTTCCATGGAACTGCCCTGCACATCACCTCACTGCCGGGTTCTTTATACACCCTGCAGTTCCTCTTCTCCTTCCAACCCCTCTTGATTTTGTAAGATTCACTAACCGCAGAAACTGGGAATAAAACTCGGGATGACCATGTTTCTTTTAATTACATTCTAACTCACTTAAGAAGGATCTCAATCAATCAAGGTGGTTGATTAGGTTTGGGCCTGATGTCCTGACCAAAGCCATGGAGATAGATAGCATCACAGTGTCGGGAAGAGAATATTTTAGGGTGCTGACTTACAAAAATAGAATCTTAGCAAAATGTAAAAAAAAAAAAAAGTGTAGCATTGACACAGATGACATTGTTAGTATCCAGCCACCACAACAAAGAGAACTAGAATATTGCCAGGAGAGGTTTTACGATGACCTGTTTGCGTTTTGTTTAGTTTTGTGTTTTAGAAGAAGAATCGGATGACTCCCAAATTGGCAGCTCTGTTTTCTATACTGAAATAAACAGGCAGTTATTTTCTTTGGATGTGCAAGTGTAGCATCTCTGGGTTCCATAATCCCGACTGACACGTAATAAAATTGCTTTTTCTTCCTGTCCTAAGGGAAGCCATCAGCCGCGTCTGTGAAGCTGTGCCTGGTGCGAAGGGAGCCTTCAAGAAGAGAAAGGTACTGTCCTCAATGCTCTGTGTCTAACTGTGTCTCCTCTACTTCCTCTTTTTTGCCACTCGGTATCTTCAGTCACACAGAATTATTCATTGTCCTCTTTCTGTGGCCCGGCGCTTGCTACTTCTAAAAGCAGAAAGGGCTTAGATTGCTTTCTCTCTCACGTGGTTGAGGACAGTTAGCTGTCCCTGTCTCAGAAGTAGACACCCTGGTTACTCATTCACTGTGGCTTAAACTCTGAAGATAATGATAACAACAGACACTTAAAACAGGGTCAGGCTTTCCTTTAAGCACTTTCAATACATCAATTTACTTAACTACAACAACTGAGTTAGATATCCCCAGTGGTGTGCTGGTAAATGTTTAACAACCAGCTCTCCAGGTTGGGCAGGGGAATGAAAAAGAAAGTTTGTAGCATTTTCTGATTTGTGTGATGTCAATACCTCTGCTGTGGCCGATTTCAATTTCTCAAAATTATATCCCGTGAAAACAGAGTCGGGAAGAGATATGTAGTAGCTCATGGTTGTATAATGTTTCTGCCATACAGGTACTGTGGGCATAAATAACTTGAAAAACAGTTAGTAGTTAATGCAGCAAAAGAATTAGGAAGTGATGCATGTTGAGCATTTATTGTCTGTTTTTTTTTGTTTTTTTTTTTGTTTTTTTGAGACAGAGTCTCGCTCTATCCCCCGGGCTGGAGTGCAGTGGCGTGATCTTGGCTGACTGAAATCTCCGCCTCCTGGGTTCAAGCGATTCTCCTGGCTCAGCCTCCCGAGTAGCTGGGATTACAGGTGTGCGCCACCATGCCCAGCTAATTTTTGTATTTTTAGTAGAGATGGGGTTTCACTGTATTGGCCAGGATGGTCTCGACCTCTTGACCTCGTGATCCACCCGCCTTGGCTTCCCAAAGTGTTGGGATTACAGGTGTGAGCCACCATGCCCGGCCCTATTGTCTGTTTTTTTAAAGGTAATTTATTTAATTGTAAGTTTACATACATTCATTTTTAATAACAGCTGTGATTAATAGTCAGATTATAAAATTCTGAAAAATTTAATAATTGGCTCCCATCAGCTGGGCCAAGCCAGCACTAGAATACCACTGGATATCCCCGTATTACAGATGATGACAACTGTGAACGGAGGGGAAAGGCCACAATGCAGGTAGATGTTGTCTGAGAGCAAGCTCAGAGGGCTGGGCTCCACAGGCTGCATGTTCAAACACTGCACTAGGACTTTTCATCCTGAAGATATTTGAGTCAGAAGGAAAAAAAAAAAGCCTGGATTAGGAGAAACCATGAAAACCTCTTCAGTTAAGTTGTCTAGTGAATACCCAGCTAAATCCACAATCAAGGCTTTTCTATGCCTAACCTGAATTGTGGAGAAAGCGTCCTTCAAAGAACCTCTGAATCTGCCCTGAGGTTGCACATTCCTGATTCCAGATCATCTGGGCAGCTGCATGTGTGGCTCTGCTGATCCCAGGCTCAAGCTTGTTTCTGTCTTCAGAGCTTGGGGACTTTCACGCACCCACAGGGCAGCTGGGTTTCGGAAGAGAACTCTGAATGAAGACTCAGATGTGCCAGCCCATGTTCTGGCCAGTCCATGGGGAACCAAGTAAGGCTCCAGAGTCTCCACTATAGGAACTAGGACGGCAACTGAGAACGAAGAAGGGGAATCTCATCTTCCAGGTCCCAGCTCATCCTGGGGCATCCTCATGGTTCTCTTGGTGGAAACGATGCCCGTTTCTTGGCTCCACCCAGAATCTCATGGGTGGGGCCTCAGCATCTCTGTTTTTAAATATCTCCTTCAGGGGATTAAAAAGGGTGTGCACCTGGTTAGGAACTAATTAGCATATCAAAAGAGAGAGTGTTCTAATCCAAAAAGAAGGGATGGGTTGGTACCAAAGGGCATTGCCCACCCAGGTACCTAGGAAGAAGGTCCCTGGCCCCAAAACACAGCTGTCAGTCCCCTGTAAGGACATTTCTGACAGGGTAATGGGAACTGTATACCAGTTACAGCCAGGCCATGTCTATCTATCCTTATGCTGGCTCTAGGCCCATGGGTTTTTAAGAGGACAGTCCATGAGAACCTTGACCAGGGAGAGTGTTTGCTCCAAAAAATTTGTGGTCCATTCCCTTCGGCCGCGAACATCCTTGCATCTCTCTGGGATTCTTGTAATCCCCTAGAGCTGGCCTGCTTTAGTCTTCCTCTAAGTTAGTTTGACTCTTCCTCTGAAGTAGGTGTGATGATACCAGGTTGCTGAGCGTACAAAATGTGATGGGCTTTCCCCAGGTTTACATATGAGGACTTCTCCATGAGACACTTCCCAACAGGGCCAGAGAAAAGGCCTGGAAGACTGATGCCTCTGCCTGCCTGCAAGAGTTTTCACCTCAGCATTTGCATATTATATGGTTTATAATTTGCATGTTGCATATTCTAAAATTTGCTTATTAGCTTCGGATCCCCCTACTCCCAGCTTATTCATTTCACATTTTGTCTTCTTATGCCTAAGGAGGGAGGAACAGTTAGTGAGAGTTTAGGGGTATGGCAGGCATCCACATCCCCACCCTTTGAGATGGAAATGAAACAGCTAAAATAATGCTCTTTAATTTCACAGCCTCCAAGCAAAATGCTGTCCAGCATCTTGGGAAAGAGCAACCTCCAGTTTGCGGGAATGAGCATCTCTCTGACCATCTCCACGGCCAGTCTGAACCTGCGAACTCCGGACTCCAAACAGGTACATGGGTGCTCAGATCCCCTGTCCCTGCCCACAGCCCCAGGTGATGAGTGTTTCGCAGGCTTCTTCCTTGCAGCTTTACTGAGCTCACATAGCATATTTTGTGTCAAATTTTTACTAGAGTATGAACTTTGGCCACTTTGAAGGATCACCAAGAGAATGATAAATGAAATTGGCTCTCTTTAATTCTGCTTTTTATTTCTTTGGAGTATAATGCACAAAATCATTGGTTTACTTGCAATGTAAAAAAAAAAAAATGATGTGTGTGCAAAGTCTCTTCTTAATGTCCTTGCCCTTATTTTTTTCTTTTACACCATATTTAATTGGTTTTACAGGCCATATTTTATTTTATTACCTTTGAAGTGGACGGCATGTCATGGTCTAATTGGTGATTTTTTTTTTTTTTTTTTTTTTTTTGCTTTAGTGGCTCATTGTTTTGGAGCATCTTGTAGTACATAGTGTTGTAGGGGTAATAAGAAGTGGTGTTGTCTATGGAATAGCCAATGTGGAATGAATTTGGAGCTGACTGAGACACCACAGCCACAGTGTTAATTAAGGCTAATTTTATTGAGGATGGTTGCGTTCCTGCACAATGTCTATCTTTTAGATTTCTCTGATCTAGTCATCATTAATTTCTTTAGCTGGAAAAATAGGTGTTTGAGTAGCTATTTTAGCTACCAACAAGGCACTTCTGAAGGTCAAATGAGGCGCAGGAGGTGAAATGCTTGAGCAGTATCCAGGGGGGTGTGGAGTGTGGACTCTCCTCCCTTGCTGTGCCCCGGCTCAGCTTCTGGGGCTGGCTATCGGAGCTGGAGCTCGGATGGGACCTCTCTATATAATACTCTACCTGATTCCGACATTGTCACCAGGGATGCCCGCAGTGACCTTTATGTTACTATACATACTTCTGTTGATTGACTTCCATATTCCCCAGGTTAGTGAGCAGCATCTCCAGCTTCATTTATTCCTCCACCTGCCACCCAAGATGTTGAAATAAATCCTGGATCTAGCACAGAAATGGGAAGCAAAACCCAGGCTTTGTGTTAACATAACTAGATACCACTTCTCACTGCCTCCTTTTGTCCTCACAGGACTGATAGATAATTTCTTGTCTTTTTATCTTAACTTGTCTAAGGGACTAGTTCACTAGCTCTGGAGGTTGTGGATTCTGAATATTCACCAGGCTCAGCCTTTCTCTGGCATGGTCCAAGACTGCGCTGTTCATGAAGGCTTGTTGGCTGGGCTCACCTCTGCACTCTCCTTCATGCCCGGAGCTGTTCCTTTTCTATGTCTCCTGGACCTTTTATTTGGTCCTCAGACTTCTTAAATCTGTGGGATCTTCTCCCTGAACTCCCCTCCCACCTCAGTAAAATAGAAAACAAACTAAGAGCAGTGGGATGAGACTGGGCTGGCCCTCTCTGTCCTGGAACATGGCAGCCGAAGCAGGTGTCCAGTTCATGTTTTCCTGCCCTTGGTTTGGGCGGATGGGGCAAAGTGGCAGGTTCTGGACACCCAGGGGACTGGTAGTTTGGTTGATGAGTGTGTGAAGGTTGGGTGGGGGGCAAGCACACAGGGTTCTGACTCTCCCTTCCAGCTGACTTTTGGGCCCAACTGTAGCAAATTGAGAACAGCCTGGCTAGACACTCCCTTCTCCATCCAGTGAGACAGCAGCAAGACAACAGCCGCTCCCCTCTACAGAGTTCCTAGTGGAAATGAGATGCAACACCCTCAGGGCAAAACACGTGATTTAGGTCAATTAGCTCTAATTTTCTTACCCTGGTTTTCAATTTCTGTCTTACCCAAAGAGATAACATACAATCACACAATAAGGCTCACGCATCACGTCAACCAAATATGACTTTCATTTTTTTTCCAAATCACAGCTTCCAATTTAATTTCCAAACTCCAGTTTTAGACCTGCCTTATAAGCAAAAATTAAATAAGCAAAAATGTAAAACTTTGAGAGCCATAGTTTATCATTTCCTGGTGGTTGCTATTTCCTCATTATTCTCTTAGGAGCCCTCTACCTTTGCGCCAGAGGGAAGATTCCAGAGAGCTGCAAAGACCACTGTTTTTAGTTTAACTCAGCTGGGGCTTGGGTGCAGCCTCTGTAGCCAGCCTCATTCTCTATTCACTTATGTACTCAGGGGTTTCTAGATCCTGAGGTGTTGTAAGTGCCAATAACCAAAGTAGGCATTTAAAACTATCTTATTTTCTATTATAATTCAATTATATTTTATTTCAAGTTTTACAGGAGCATGTTTGGACAAATCCCTGGGATGTATGATTATAGCTATATAAATCCTGACTGCCTGCCCGAGGACAAGGGCCCAAGGGGACTCTGCAGAACTAAACCTGGTTATGTTGGGTTAGAGATGAGCTCTGTTCTCACCCCCGGAAATTTACTTCAATGTCATTACATTGTCTTTAAAAAGATAAAATTAGCATGGAAGACTTATGTAGCTTTTTAAATTTAGGGCAGCTTCTAATTTACTCAGTGTCTACTAAATTCCACTGTACGCTGCAGTTTATAAAGCTAATGGAAATTTCCCATTTCAAAATTAACATGGATTGTCTGCTCTGGATTTTACATTGATAAATTACAAGAGTGCTTTAGATGGCGCCGAGTTGGAATCTTGGATGCTGGCTTTCTAATGGGATAAAATGGAAGATGGGCCACATTTCCCCCCATTCTAGCTGTGAGTTCTGTGTCAGAGACCTCAGTGTGTTTTTGGAAACATAATCTATAAGTTGAGATGTTTTGGTGTGTGGGTGAGACAGATTCCTTCTGGAAGAGGCATGGTTGTTAAGACCCTGGCCTCGGGGTGGGCCTCCCTGTCATAAGCAGCTCAAGGTCAGACATAACCAGGTCCATGCACATTTGTGTCTTTCCACAAGGTCAGACTTTTATTGAGGCTATTTTAATAATGAAAACCATGAGCTACATGGAGTTCACTCTGTATCAGAGCTGTGGGCACACAGACTGAAGCCACTCCACAGGTCAGTCAATATTGCAAACCATACATAAGAGTATACTTAATCAGTATATAAATGTTACAGATTAAACATTCCACATCAAACCAAGTAACATTTAGCATCAAGAGAAAAAGAGATAGGAGTAGGGATTAATAAACCAGTCTGGGGCAAGTGATGTGGACAAAGAGAGTGTCCTGGCTTGATCCAGATGCACAACAATGTCTTGCAAGGAAGAGTCTTTGATGTGGGCAGAGCCTTCGTTGGCAGATGCTGGCTGCTTATCACCAGTGACAGCAAGACGGTGTCTGTTAAGAAGGCTGTTTCAAGCTGGTGAAGTCCTCCTTTTTATGACCAGAGTCCTCTGGTGAGGACTGATAGTAAAAGAGTCTGCCTTTTTATGTCCTTATCTTGTTGGGTGCCATCTTCATTAATTAGGCAAACATCTGGTACCTGTTGGCATGTTGCTTCTTGAAATGTAAGATGGAGTCTTTTTCTAAGATGGAGTCACTTATGTTAAGGGTGCTCTATACGCCCCCGTGTTAGATCGCAGCTCTGCTAATCACCAGCTGTCTTAATTTGAGCAAGCCACTTGACCCCTCTGGGTTCTGGCTCCTCACCTGTAAAGTGGGATGACGATAGTTCCCACATCACAGGCTGCAGCGAGGCTTCACGGACACTATTCTGGCAAAGCAGCTGGACAGCAGCCATCAGATTTTGAAAGGTGATCTATTGCTATTACTTTTATAATCATTATTTTTATATAGATACCAATTTTCAGGAAAACATGTCAATTTGTAATGCCTGCCAACAAACAGTTGCTTTTCCAAAATGTGGAAAGGGCGATAACAGCACATCTCGTTTCTTGTTTTGGGCCTGGCAGATCATAGCGAATCACCACATGCGGTCCATCTCCTTCGCCTCTGGGGGAGACCCGGTAAGTACCCTTGGGGTTGGTCTCTTGCTCTTGTTGGGAATTTCTGAGAAGGGACCCCTGCTTCAATAATATGCCTTGCAAGACACTGTAAAAAAGGTTAATTGTGATGGCAACTAATTTCCCCCTCCTGATTTCCATAGAAGATCTTCTTGGCCATCGTTTTATTTTTAGGGGTAAGCTGTGACAAGGACCCCACCATTAGTTTTCATTTCATTAGCCAAAAGCTGTCAAAAATCCTGGAGGCACTGGCGTTCTTACCAGGTGATGAAATAGTCCCCCTGGCCCCAGAGTTGCCACAGGCTTCTCACGCTGTCACTCGGCTCTTGCCCTACTTTTTGTTTTTTTATTGGACCTCCATATTAATATTTTAAGTCTGCCTGAAGAATGTGAATTTTCTTAGTCTGCTTTATTCATAAGCATTTAAAATCAGCATTTTTCTCTCCCAGTGTAATACTGCAGCCTTTAATAGTTTGCTTTGCCAACAAGGAGGGAGTTGCAGAGAGAGAGAGAGAGTAAGAAGAAGACTCGAGAACAGAATGAGAATGTTCTATTTTTGCTTCACATCTTTAATGAAGAAGGTGGAATAACAAGGGAATTTGCTTCCCACATTTGGGCGGGAATGCTACAATAGGATGTCAGCATCCAGCTTCAGAGTGGCCATGTCATCTAAACTGTACTGTCACGAAGTTGAACTCAGAAAACCACCTCCCGCTCCCGGGACAGGGCGGAATCCACACACAAATTGGCTGCTCACTGTGGACAGCCTGGGCCTGCAAAGAAACCAGGCAGGAAATTGGTCACAAAGGAGTGAGGCACAGAGGGCAAAGGGAAGAAAGCCAAGTCAGCCCTTTCCAGAAGGGAGAGGGAAGAAGGCTCACCCTCCGGAAAGTTCTCATCTTAATTTTTATGCGTCTGGGTAAAGTTTCCACCAGTTTGGAGAAAAGTTTTAAAATTAGGATAATAGATTGAGTTTTTCCTGGAGCTAAATTTATTCAATTGAAAAATGATCTTATATCCTAAGAAGCCATCTTTTATACTTTTTTGTGTTCAATAGCCTTTTAATATAAAATAATGTCCTAGAGGTGGTGTTTTTGTTATTATTGCTATTTTGCATTCTTTAGCCAAATTATGAGTAGGCAATCTTCAGATGTTACATAAAGGTTTACTGGTCCAAGATCTCTTCATTTCAAGGTTGAGGACCCTGTGTTTTACTAGCACAAGTAGGAACTTTTCCCTGTGACTTTTCTACCTTTTCTTCCCATACCCCTTCTACCTTGGAAACTGGATTAGAAAATTGCTGTTGGCACATTGGAAGCCAAATTGAAGGAGCAATGTCAAAGGTAGACTCCAGAGCCTTGACATTTCCAAAGGACAGTACAATTGGGCCACGAATCTCAGCAACAGGGAAGTGGTACTTCTCCCTGCCCTGCTGTGGCAGCTGCCAGAGGCAGGCATCATGGCCATTCTGGGCATCACTCCTGCCTGGGCCAGCACGAGCTGCCGTGGAGAGGCTTGGGCCCTGCTGCTTCTCAGTGACCCCATCTCAGACCCTTGAGCCAAGGGCACTCTGCAGGGGAAGGTATTTGCCCACCCAGCAGATGGTTCTTTGCCCTTATATCTCTGCTTAATTGTCAAAGGATGGTCAGAGCACTGTTTAGCCCTGAGATCTGCCATTCCATAGGGTCAAGTGGCTTGGGCCTTGTTTTCATACTTTCGATCTTCTTGTCAAAAGTCAACCACAATGGCTTTCTCTTCTTTTTTTTCTTCCCTTCCCTTGCTATGCCTTTCCTTTCTTTCTAATCCTTATAATTTCTTACACTTTATTGTAAGATGAAAGTCCTTATTGAGATGCATATTCAGAAAGTGGAAGTCTTCCCCAGTTGAACTCATCCAACAGGGTCTCATTCTGTCACCCAGGCTGGAATGCAGTGGCGCCATCACAGCTCACTGCAGCCTTGACCTCCCAGGTTTAAGTGATCCTCTCACCTCAGCCTCATGGGTAGCTGGGACTACAGGCACACACCACCATGCCTGGCTAACTTTTTGTATTTTTAGTAGAGACAGGGTTTCACCATATTGCCCAGGCTGGTCTCAAACTCTGGGCTTAAGTGGTCCACCCACCTCGGCCTCCCAAAGTGCTGGGATTACAGGCATGAGCCACTGCACCTGGCCCAAGGTGCATTTCTTCAGATGCTGTCTATATGTGTATGTCCACCTATTTGCTACCTAATTTGCAGTGGTTGTCTAATTGCTTGCCCCTTGTGATGTTTGGAACCATAGTTTCTTAAATTTGGAGGATAACCCAGTTTGACATATAAAAGGCAGATGTCTTGTATATTTGCATTAACAGCTTCCTTCAAGAGCTCTTCTTAAACCTGTCTTAATGTTGACATTATGAGTGAAGACACACATATCTAGATTGTTGGGAGCCAATTACATTGGTTTGTGTCAAAACTATTTTATTTTCAGGATGCACATAGGACTATACATTTTTTTTTTCAGATTTCCTCATCACATCTTATTTTTTTTTAAAAAAAATTGGAAACATTTAGTAATCCTTAAAGTAATCCACAACCTTTTATATTTTCTGTGATTTCTTTTTTCTGGTTTATAAAATGTCATAACACAGGACAGGAAGCCTAGTTACTTTCCATTTTAACCAATCCAAATGCATTTTATATTGTGCATGAGATTACATTCCAAATTGATTTGTAACCATGAATTTAGCACATTATAATTGGTAGACATTTTTAATAAAGCTGACAATTCTATATTCTAGTCCTTGTTCTCCTGCTAAGTGTACATGTCACTTATTGCTTAGTGCCTCAGTTTACCCAGTAGGAAAATGGTATTTTGAAATAGCAAACAAGATAGACTAGAAAACTTTATTAATTCCTCTCTAAAAACGGCATGCTGTGATTATAATCTACTGTAATTAGCAGTGTTAAAAGACCACCACAAAAATGCCAGAACAATGGCCAGGCACAGGGGGTCTTGGGGAGTGGGAACAGGTATAGAATAGATGCAGAACAGCACTTCTCAGCTCTGTCTTTGGAACTTAGTGCTTCCTGATGACAAGAATATTGTTTTGAATGGTAATATATTTGCCTGCTCTGCCAGAAAAGGATCAATATTGGCATCAGAAAAGCTTGGCCATTGACCATCTGAGAGACAGGGACATATTATGTCTCTCTATTCTCCCTCCTTTCCCAACTTTGAGCCAGAGTAAGAACGTAAAAAAATATATTCCTTGTATTCATTACTAATGCTGACTCTAATTTTGTTACCTGAATATGTGCAAAAACAAATTAAAAATAAACTTCTTTTATTTATACTTTTTATTTAACTCTCCCCCTACTTAAATTTGAAAGTTAAATACAAGTAAACATTGTAAGGCCAATGACATTCAATGTAATATTACTTTGCTATGATGGACAAAGTTCGCTGAAACTAAATCTCCATCTGAATGTGATGCTGGCCTGGCCACCATGGGGCAGAATTTTTTAAGTTCAATGTCTCTTCATTACCATGGGCACCTGGATGACTCAATTCTTCCACTAATTTCTTCTATTCAAGCAGAAACTTCAGTTGTACATCATGTACAAGTATAATGTCAATTTGCTTTATGTGGGCAGAGAAATCTACCCTGTGTCCTTTTCTTTCTAATTCTTTGAAAACCTAGCAATCATAATGTTGGAAATCCAGCTGCAAATCCTGGCATTGAAATTGTGTGCAGAACTTGATAACACAGTGGTCACCTAAATGATCCCAGTTACTCTTATATTAATTTTAAGATAATCATGGAAATGAAAATAAAAATTTTTTAAAATGCTGGTGCCACCTCAAACACTGGAGAAGACACCTGTCCAACCCTAGGGTTCTATGAATTTCAGCTTGAAATCTAGTGCTATCTTAGATGCTCTCTAAGGATCCTTCTGACATTCACGTCTTGTGAGTTCAGGAAGTGCCTATGATTACAAGCTGTTATCCTTGTTTTTGCCAATAACTTCAGATTCTGACTGGATCCTCCTTGATGGAAATGACCAGAAGCCAGTTTGACCAGGTGGACGATCTTTCATTTCCTTTCCCTAGTCAGCCTGTGAATACACCAGGGAACAGTGTCCTGAGCAGAAAAGAAAACAGCTTAGCTGAGCCACGCCCTGCAGAATGACCGGGGAAGCAGCACCATTGTCTCAAGAGCTGCTGGAAGAATGCTACACTGGTGTGGTCTTGTTGGGCTGTGTAAGATCCAGCGGGATGGGGTGTGGAAAAGTGCCCAGCACCACCCACCTGAACCTACAGCAGATGTCCCACAACAGTGACATGGCCACCCCATACTCATTCTCTCCCTCATCTCTCTCTCCTTGGAGAGCTTTTGTAGGGCACTGTTGAGAGAGAAGGGGATGTCTCCTTTGCCCATAGAGAAAACAGTGGAGCAAGTCACGACAGAGCCTTTTAGGTGCTGGCAACATCGGGAGCGTATCAATAACCTGGAAGCCCTTCAAAGCAATGACATATGGGAAATGTCTGCCAAAATGAGGTAGACTTTTATCAGTTGCCCCACAGAGTCTTGAATGCCGAAAATACCAACTTTGCAGAGGAGTCTTTTCTGCTTTCAGGAGTTAAGATAATTATTGGTTTCTCTGCTTATTTGTTTATGAATTAAAATGCATATGGTTGCCGTGGTCTACTTTTGAGGTCATCATTTTCCCTATGCACTGATTATATGAGAAGGCAGGCAAAGAAACTCACATTTCATATGGAAGGATGAGACTTCTCAATAGAGCTCATATTTTTAAAACATATTAAAGTATTAAGATCATTATTTATGTCCAAGAAGAAAATAACCATTATATCTCATCCACCAGGAAGGCAGCATTTGCAGTCAGCCTTTGAACATCCACTCTGGTTTTCTTCTAGCCTAGTGGTTCTCAAAGTGTGGCCCCCAGAGCAGCAGCAGCTAGAAACTTGACAGAAATGCAAATTTTGAGCCCTTACCCCAGAACTACTACCAAATTAGAAACTCGGGGGTATGGCTTAGCGTTCTATTTTAACAAGCCCTGCAGGGGATTCTGATACCAGCTCAAATTGGAGAACCACTGGTGTAGACAAAGCTGAGAGCAGTGGTTCTTAACATGTGGTTCACGTTACAGTCATCTAGGGAGCATCTAAAAACGAATGCACAGGCCTCACATCCAAACCAATTAAATGGGATTATCTGCATGTTGGGACGCAGGTATCAGTGTGTTTAAAGCTTCTCAGGCGATCCAACATGCCTTTTCTCCTTGCTGCTCAAAGTGTAAGTGGACTTCTAACCAGTTCCGGTGGGATACTGAGACACTGCAGCCTCAGTATACATGGGAGCTGGTTAGAAGTACAGGACCTCAGACCCTACCCCTGACCTGCTGAGTCAAAGTCTGCAATGTGAGACCTCTGGGTGGTTGCTACCCACATTATATAGCTTGAATCTTCTGGGGGCTGTTTCTTAGGCAGCATTTGATTCTTTAGCTGTTTGGTGGTTGAGTCCTTCTAAGCTCACTGGTTTGTGCCCTGTGTCCCTGACTGTGTGGTCTCTCACTTGTGATTAGTGACATAGACATCTCTTTTTTCTTTAACAGGACACAACTGACTATGTTGCATATGTGGCTAAGGACCCTGTTAATCGCAGAGGTAAGCGGTGCTTGACCCCTTTAATCTCTTGTTTGTGTACAGCCAGGCTTCACATTCTATACAAGCTGGTCCTCGTTATCTCAGCCCCCTCCCAACAAATGAGTAGTGCCATCTTGTATTACTAAGGATGAATGAGGTTTGCAAGGGTTGTAGATCGCTTGGCTGAGTTAGGAGGTACCGGACCTCTCTGACCACCAAACACACGCTTGTATCCAGATAGCTGGTTTGGTACAATTGATTTACACACAAACAGCCCCTGCCCATATTCTGACAGTGGCCTCGGTTACTCCTGGAAGACCACCTGCTGCCTGTCCTCCTGCCCAGCTTCAGCTCCTGGTGTGTGCCCAGTGCCCACTAAGCCACCCCTAGCTACTTCACTCTGCCCTGCCAGCCCTAGAGGTTAGTGTCTGAGCTCAGGCGCTGTCTGATTATATCCCTTTCAGCTTCTAAGTCTTCAGGAACAGGCTGGATGGGGGGAGTCATTTATAAAACCAAAGCCCATTGGATGGTAGCATACCTGGGGTGGCTGGGACTGACCAAGGTGCACTACCCTGGAGTTCCAGGCAGCTATTGATGCACCACACCACAGCTGCAATTTAAAACTCATTGATGAAATAACAAATGGAATTAATAACGGCACAAAACAGCACTCCCTTTCACTACCCCCCTACCCCAGGTACCAACTAAGATTTTCTAGTTTGCTTTGCATAATGCTTATCCGTATACATACCCTCTCTTTTTAACATTTTCATACAAATGAGATCCTAATATTCTGTTTTGCTACCTTACCCTCCAATGCTATACCTTGGATATATTTTTAAGATAGCCCATACGGAAGAGATGAACTGATCCATGATGCGGCCTTATGGAGAATCATCCCCCACGCCACTGCCTGGGGAGCTTAAAAAAACCTCAATGCTCAGGCCTCAGAGAGTGGGGCCCAGACAATACAATTTTCTAAAAGCTCTTCAGATGATTCCAAGGTACCGCCAAAGCTAGGAAATAAGGCTTAGGTCCAGATCCTGAAGGAGTTTAGCCCCGAGTCATTGACTTCATTTCTCAGGGGCAAACCAAGAGTACTTTCTGCCCACAATACAGTTCCTGTCCAGCGACATGGGAATCAGGATCGATTCCACATGTCCCGTGGCTGCCTCACCAGGCTCTCTCAGGTTTGCATGTGGTGATACTGTGAAGACAAATGCCAGACCTGTGATGCAGAAAAAGATCTCCACCATTTTTGGTGCTTGAGGGCACCACCAACACAGGGGCCCTCTTATGGACTGAATATTCACGTCACCCCCAAATTTATATGTTAAAATAGAAACCCCCAATATGATGGTATTGCATTAATTAAAGGCCCCAATTGAAGGTGATGTCTTTGGGAGGTCATTAGGTCATGAGGGGGAAGCCTTGTGAATGGGTTTGGTGCTCTTGTCAAAGAGACCTCAGAGAGCTCCCTCACCCTCTTCCACCCATGTGAGGACACAGCAAGAAAGCGCCGTCTGCAAACCAGGAAGAGGGCCCTCAGTAGACATCAAGTCTGCTGGCACCTTCCAGCCTCCAGAACTGTGAGAAACAAATGTCTGTTGTTGAAGTCACCCAGCCTGTGGTGTTGTTACAGCAGTCCCAGCTGATTAAGACAGGCCCTTTGTTTGAGACAGTTAGTGGGAGATACTCACTCTGTGTTCCCACCTATCTATTGCCTGTAACAAACTACTTCAAGCTTAGTGGCTTAACAACAACCATTTTATTATAATAGAATGTGGGTCAGGAATTCAAGCAAGTGTCAGCTGGTCAGTTCATCTGCCCAAGTGGCATCGACAGGGGTCATCGAGTGGTCTTTAGCTAGAGAGTCTGGGCTGGTCTAGGAGGTCCAAATTGGCTTTGCTTCCACACCTGGGACCTTGGCAAGGATGACTAGAGGCTCAGCCCTCTCCATGGAGTCTCAGAGACTCTCCAAGTGGCCCCTTCATCCCTCTGGGAAGTAGGGCTTTCTGTATGGCAGCTCTAGGTTCCATGAGACCCAGAGTAGATGTGTCCAGTGCTCTGAAAGGCCGGGCTAAGCTTCACTTCTGCCATAGATTTACTAGTCACAGCTGTCAGCCAGGTGTGGTGGCTCACGCCTGTAATCCCAACACTTTGGGAGGCCGAGGCGGGCAGATCATGAGGTCAGAAGACCGAAACCAGCCTGGCCGACATGGTGAAACCCCATCTCTACTAAAAATACAAAAATTAGCTGGGCGTGGTGGTGCACACCTATAGTCCTAGCTACTTGGGAGGCTGAGGCAGAAGAATCGCTTGAACCTGGGACACAGAGGTTGCAGTGAGCCGAGATCGCACCACTGCACTCCAGCCTGGCGACAGAGCGAGACTCCGTCTCAAAAAAAAAGCTGTCACAGCCAGCTCAGACTCAAGGGGGAAGGAAGCCACATGTACCCTTCAAGGAAAGAATGTCAAGGAATTTGCAGCCATCTTTACCCCTCAACCCTGCTTTCACCATGTGTGAGGAGGCCCAGCCTACCGGATGACAGTGTGGGCAGGGAGGGTGGATCTAACTGCATCCCTCCAGCAGCCCAGCTATGAGCATGTTCTGCTCCATCTCATCAGTGTCCTTACCAGGATGACTTCCTCCATGAAGGAGCCAGTGGCAGGGCTTTCTCCCAACTGCTCTGTTTTCTTTCTTCCTCCCCTATGCCATGTACAGGGGTTAATTTAGGAAGATTGGCCTCTACCACTGGGCAGAGTAGCAAGAAATTCTGGGTGTGAATGTTCTTATTTGGGCTCTTAAAAGTCCCCACACTGGGGCTTCTAGCCCTCTGTGTATGAGCAGACCTTGTAGTGTTGTGGCTGCAGGCACAGCCCCTAAAGACCATCAGGGACAGAATGCATCCCAGAAAGTCTTCTGTAAAATTTTACAGTTACGGGTTCAAGTCCCTCGATGCTGTTACTGTTTGTCTTTTTCCGTGCTGATTCTTGCTTCTATATTCTTATATGTGTTTGTGGTTAATCTAGAATAATTCTAATGAGAATCTATATTTGTCTCTCTGGTATCAAGAATCCATGGCTTCTATAGTTAATCCAGTGAAAGGACAAAAGGTTCCTGACCCAAGTCATTAAGTTGGATGGTAACCACCACCACCACCATCTCAAAGAGATAAGGGTGGAAAATGAGCCATGTCTCACAAGGTTGATAAATTATAGCTAAAAGTCAGGACCATAGGAGGCCTAGGTGATGACTACTGGCACCTGTAGGGATGCAATTCCCAACAAGTCAGGCTTTGCTAAATTCTAACATATCATTTTCTTTTTACATTGGAACTTTCATTACTACCGGGTGACTCCCATGCCCTGCAACCTTATGTATATATTAGACAGTTCCAAATGGACTGTTTAGGTCACAAAAGTAGCTACCAAATGATGCTCAAATTAGGCATACGACTGCCTACAGAAGGCATGTAATTCGTATACTTTATAATTGTAATAGTATCCCTGATCAGGCGCCCTCTGGTACTCCCTGAACCAAGACATGGAAAGTTGTTTCCTATATAGTAGTTCCCCCTTATCTGTGGGGGTATATTCCATCCAAGTCCCCCAGTGGATGCCTGGAACCACAAATAGCACCAAATCCTACACATACTATGTTTTTTTGATCTGATAACTGAGTCAGCTACTAAGTGAGTGCCAGGCATGTAGCATATGCAGTGCGAATACTTGGGACAGAGCGAGGATTCACGTCCTGAGAAGGACTGGACAGGATGGCATGAGATTCCATCACACTACTCACTCAGAATGGCGTGCAATTTAAAACTTATGAACTGTAAATTTCAGAAATTTTCCATTTATTGTTTTTGGACTGAGGTTGACCATGGGTAACTGAAACTGTGGAAGGCACAAACTTCGGATAAACCGTGATGACTATGCTTAGGTGCTGCTGACCCAATGGGAGAGAAGCCTACATATCCAGCCTGAACAGCGGCTCCTAAGACATCTTGCTGCTCTTTTCCCAAGATTTTCTGGAGAACAGGAGGTCTTAGGAGTGAGTGGGCTTGAGTGGGAAGCCCACATGGGGAAGACAATGCTTCACACAGCCAAGCTTGCCTCTTCTGGGCTTCTCGAATATGGTGGTTTCAACAAAAGGAGTTTCTGTTTCCTTTGGCCCTGGACTGCTGTAGGCCCCAAGAGGTGACTTTCTAAAAGAGGCCTTAAATATTTTGAACTCATTGGTGGAAGTAACACAGCACTGCTTCTAACTTTTCTTTCCCTTGGCAGCAAAGCCTCAAGTGTATAATGGGTGAAAGCAATGGCTTATTTTTTTTAACCAGGTGGTTAAATATGCCATCGAATGACACTGTGGCAGGAGGTGAATTTTCTGATGGTTGGATGTTTCCCACATTTGGCTATTATGAGCAGTGTTTTTACAAACAAAGCCAGGCTCTGTGCTTTACGTACCATGCCTGGGCTGAGAATGCTGAACATATTTTTCCAGCCCTGGCCTCTGCCTGAAAGCCAGCTCTGTGTCTCCACTTGGGAGTCTCACAGGCCTCTCAAACATAGGCAGACACAGATAGGTCCAGCACTTTCCTCCTGAAGAGCACCTGCTGGTTTCTATCAACCGCAACCCCTTCCCGACTTCCCCAGTTCTCTGCCTTCTTTCCTTCACCTGCACCTGCCGGCAAAGCCTTCCATCTTACCAGTTCTTGCCACTGCCCTGCTGCCCCCTGACAGGCTCCATAATTAATCATCAGTCACTCTGTGCCCGCTCTTCCACTCTAAAGTTTTTTGTCCACATGGCAGACAGAAGGATCCTTTTAAAATGATGCAATCTTGTTCCTTCTCTGCTCACTCCAAATAAAATGTCCCATTCCCCCAACACCCACAGGACCTTCTGTGAGCTCACTCCCACTCCATCCCGTCTCACTTCCTATGATCCCCTCTCCCTGCCACTCCAGCTACACTGGCTTCTGGGTCTTCCTTGACCCTGACCGTGCCAAGCAAGCTCTTGCCTCCTGGGCCCTGTGCCTGCCTTCTACCACCGGCCTTCCTGGACTTCTCTCCCTGACTCGCTTCAGGTATCTTCTCCAGTGCCGCCTCTAGGGCCACCTCCCCTGATCATCCTGTGTACCATCCTACACCAAGCATCTTCCAGCATATCTTCCACCACCATCCTCCACCACGTCCTCTACCATGTCCTCCACGACTGTCCTACACCACGTCCTCTACCACGTACTACACCACTGTCCTCTGCCACTGTCCTCCACCATGTCCTCCACCACATCCTCTACCTTGTCCTCCATCACCGTCCTCCACCACATCCTCCACCACCACCCTCCACCACGTCCTACACCATGTCCTCCACCACATCCTCCACCACCGCCCTCCACCACCGCCCTCCACCACGTCCTACACCATTGTCCTCCACCACATCCTCCACCACCTCCTAACACCATCATCCTCTGCTACTGTCATCTACCATGTCCTCCACCACGTCCTAACACCACCATCTTCCACCACATCCTCCACCACCATCCTCCACCATGTCCACCACTAAATCCTCCACCATCGTCCTCCACTGCGTCCTTCACTATGTCCTCCACCACATCCTATATGACATCCTCCACCACTGTCCTACACCACCATCCTCTGCAACGTCCTCCACCACCATCCTCCACCACCATCCTCCACCACATCCTATATGACATCCTCCACCACTGTCCTACACCACCATCCTCCACAACGTCCTCCACCACCATCCTCCACCACCATCCTCCACCACCATCCTCCACCACGTCCTCCACCACCGTCCTGCACCACCATCCTCCACCATGTCCTCCACCACCATCCTCCACCACCATCCTCCACCACGTCCTCCACCACCATCCTCCATCACGTCCTCCACCACGTCCTCCACCACCGCCCTGCACCACGTCCTACACCATGTCCTCCACCACATCCTCCACCACGTCCTCCACCACCACCCTCCACCACATCCTACACCACTGTCCTCCACCACATCCTCCACCACGTCCTAACACTATCATCCTCTGCTACCGCCCCCCACCATGTCCTCCCCCACGTCCTAACACCACTGTCCTCCACCATGTCCACCACTAAATCCTCCACCATCATCCTCTACTGCATCCTCCACTACGTCCTCCACCGCATCCTCCACTACATCCTCCACCACCGTCCTCCACCACCATCCTCCACAACGTCCTCCACCACCGTCCTCCACCATGTCCTCCACCACATCTTCTACAATGTCCTCCACCACCATCCTCCACCACATCCTATATCACATCCTCCACCACCATCCTCCACCACCGTCCTCCACCACTGTCCTCCACCATGTCCTACACCACGGTCCTCCACCACCATCCTCCACCACATCCTCCACCACCGTCCTCCACCACATCCTCCACCACCATCCTCCACCACCATCCTCCATCACGTCCTTTACCACGTCCTCCACCACCGCCCTCCACCACATCCTCCACCACGTTCTCCACCACCGCCCTCCATCATGTCCTACACCACCGTCCTCCACCATGTCCTTCACTACTGTCCTCCACCATGTCTTCCACCACGTCCTCTACCACGTCCTAACACCACCATCCTCCACCACGTCCTTCACTACTGTCCTCCACCATGTCTTCCACCACGTCCTCCACCACGTCCTAACACCACCATCCTCCACCACTGTCCTCCACCATGTCTTCTACAATGTCCTCCACCACCATCCTCCACCACATCCTATATCACATCCTCCACCACCATCCTCCACCACCGCCCTTCACCATGTCCTACACCACTGTCCTCCTCCACGTCCTCCACCACCGCCCTCCATCACATCCTACACCACCATCCTCCACCACATCTTCTGCTACTGTCCTCCACCATGTCCTCCACCACGTCCTCCACCACGTCCTAACACCACCATCCTCCACCACATCCTCCACCAGCATCCTCCACCATGTACACCTCCACCATGTAAATCCTCCATCATTGTCCTCCACCGCATCCTCCACTACATCCTCCACCACTGTCCTCCATCATCATCCTCCACCACCATCCTCCACCATCATCCTCCACCACCATCCTCCACCACATCCTATACCACATCCTCCACCACTGTCCTCCACCACATCCTATGCCACCATCCTCCACCACGTCCTACGCCACCATCCTCTACCACCGTCCTCCACCATGTCCTCCACCACCATCCTCCACTGCATCCTCCACCACCGTCCTCCACCACCATCTTCCACCACGTCCTATGCCACTATCCTCTACCACCATCCTCCACCATGTCCTCCACCACCATCCTCCATCTTCTTTGTTTTACATTGTCTTCCTTGCTGTGTTCATTTCCTAGGGCTGTTATAATAAAATGTCACAAACTAGGTGGCCTGAAACAACAGAAATTGATTCTTTCACCATTCTGGAAGCCAGGAGTCTGAAGTCAGGCAACAGCAGAGCCATGCTCTAGGGGAGACTCCTTCCAGCTTCTTGTGGCCCAGCCATTCTTTGGCTTGTGGCAGCATCAGTCCTCTCTCTGCCTCCCCTTCCTATATGTTTGGGCCCCTCTTCTCATCTATTATAAGGACACTTGTCCTTGGATTTAGAGCCCTCCCTAATCCAGGATAATCTCATCTCGAGATCCTTAACTTAACCACACCTGTAAAAACTCTTTTCCACAGGTTCCAGATGGTCAGGGGGCATGACTTTTGCGGGGAGGAGGGCACCCTTCAATCCACTACAGAGGTATATTTTTATTTATTTATTTTCAGTGTCCACTGAAACTCTCCCTAGATCCTAGGGCAGGGCCTTGTGCACAGTAGATGCTCAAAAAATGTCTGCTAAATAAAGTCTTCAGTAAATATTTTGTATATGTTTTTTTTTGTGCTCTCGTCCAGGAATTTCCCTAGGCTATGTACCTGGAGGCCAAATCACTGTTTTGGACATCCTCAACTTTTCTGAAATGGTCATTTTACTTTATAATTCCAAGGGTAGTATATGAAGTCTCCTTTTATTCAACAATTGGCATTTTTAGACTTTTAAATTCCCACAAATCTGATGGGTGCAAAATGCTATACCCTTATTACTTTAATTTGCCCTATCTGGGGCTAGGACATGTACTGAGAAACTCATCATAGCAGGGTGGCTGAATGTTGGATTTCTTACTCTTCTCTGATTAAAAAAAAAAAAAAAAAAAAGAAAAAGGAAAACTGGATCAATTCAGAGTGCATGGCTACATTGAATAAACAAACTAAGGTTGTCTGACCAGTCAGAGATTGAGGAGCCCTCGTCTCTCTGGTAGAATTCATTCGTTTTTGATATTCCTTTTAAGGTGTGTGGGTTATCAGCTCACTAAGATGAAAAGACAGCCGTCCTTGTTGAGCAGGACATTTCCTCATTTGAGTAATGACTTCGAATATCTCCAAGGTTCCCCATGCCCTGGCCAGCTGCTCTGGAATGTGGCTGGATCAGAGGCTACTGGTGTCTGGATCAGCAGCCACTGGAGAACCCCAGATGGACTGTGGGAGCCAAGCCACCCTGGAGAGGCTGATGGACAGCACCTGGGACCCATGAAGTGTGAGGCTGGGGTGTGGCTTCCTGAAAGTGGGGCATGGATCCCGATAAGTTTTTTGCCTTGGCTTGGGCAGGGTCTCGCTGTTCACACAAAGCTTGCCGAGGCAATGGCCTATGCCAGAAGTGTGCAAACAGCCCACTGTGTGGGACATGAAGGCTGGAGCATTGGCTCACAGTTCTAATCTGGAAACAGGACGATCTTAGCCCGTAATAGCAGAGGAAGGGCAGGATGGCTGCACAGCAGGCAGGGCTCTCTGCTGCCAGCCCATGTGCTGGGATGTGGGGTGAGCGGCGAAGCAAAGTGGGTTCTCAGCTGTGTGAACTAGTTTTAACTGAACTAAACCTCTTGGAGAGAAACTGTACATTAGGGATTACACCCATCATGGCAGCTCAAACAAATAAGAAAGAAATGGAAGAGGTGGGTGGGTATGGTGGCTCATGTCTGTAATCCCAGCACTTTATCACTTGAGGCCAGGAGTTCGAGACCAGCTTGGTCAACATGGTGAAACCCTATCTCTACTAAAAATTAGCTGTGTGTGGTGGTGGGTGCCCGTAATCCCACCTACTCGGGAGGCTGAGGCAGGAGAATGGCTTGAACCCAGGAGGCTGAGGTTGCAGTGAGCCAAGATCGCGCCATTGCACTCCAGCCTGGGCGACAAGAGTGAAACTCCATCTCAAAAAAAGAAAAAGAAAAAGAAAAGAAATGGAAGAGCTGATAACATTTACTTCCATTTTGAAAACTTCACAGGCTGCATTTCACAGTAAAAACACTGATCATCTATTCATATAAGATAAGAAATCAGCCCTTCCACATTCAAGATGATTAAGAAATGTACCTCCAGGATGGAAAGATGAATTTTTATCCATCATAATAACAATAGATCACACCTAATGTGGTTGTGTCTTGAGATACTGACTGACAGAGTAATGCTTTCACGGCTAACAAGACAGCTTAAATTTTTATTTTTCTCTTTATTGCATCCTTTTTGAAGACAAAAGATATCTTTTAAAAGATGTTTTTATGATACACATAATATTAATACAGGAATGCACGTTAATAATTTACAAATAGACACTTATTGGGGATGCATGGTTGGAAAGTTCTTTGTGGTAGGCATGAGTGAGAAGCAGCATGGATAACTGTGACTTAGAGAAGGGATTCAGTGGGTGTGATGGGCATTCCTAATATCCTGCTCTCCTATCCTTCCAAACTTGCAAAAGATGGCATCTGCCAGCCCCCTCCTGCTTGGGAGAAGCCCATGACAGTTCTGTGTGACGGGCTAAGAGCAGAACAGAAGGTGCATTTGGTTCTGGTGCAAGGCCCTGCTGTCTGTTTCTTCTGCAGATTGTGGGAAAGGCCTTGCGTTGAGTTGCAAGATCAAAAGATCAAACCAGCCTGGGCCACTGAGGCACCACAAGAGGATGGCTGCCTTAGAGAGGTGCCCAGAAATGAGTAAGCAAGAATGAAATGGTTGATTTCAGCCAGAGACGTTGGGATTGTTTCTTACTGTGGCATAACTTGCCCACCCTGACTCACAGAATAGGTGTCACAGGTAGGGTGTTGAGAGCGTGCTTAGATGAACAAGCCTCACACCAGTTTACTGGATGCCCTGTTGCAGCAGGCAGATGGCCGGGGGCCAGTCCTGAGCGCCAAGCCGGGAGCAGCTACTAGCCTCTGGGCTTATTTGGGGAGAGGAGGAAGCTGAGAACTGGAAGTCTGGTGGATTGGGATGCATCTAGGTACTGCCTTCTCATTCACCACTGTTAACCATTCTTCAGGGAGCGGGAGATGTGAGTGGACATGCCAGGAGCTACCATATGGCTGAAAGCCACCACATCCCCAGCTACTACAGTGTGACTACAGAGCCACAATACATTCCTAAGGGAGTGGTTTGCTTTCAAGTTGCCCATCTCAGTTATGGAGTAGTCCTTGTGATGTGAGCTCTTGAAAGTCCCTTTGCTGATGTCATGGCTCAGGTGGCTGCTCCGGGGCAGCTTGGGCTAGTGCTCTTAGAGAGTGGCTTCAGCTTTTTTTATTGGCGGGGCAAAATAAGAGAGAAACCAGTGTCAGCAAAGGATCCCTGCTTTTAAGTAAATGAACTATTGCAGGCTGTTGGTACGAGTTTCCCCAGTGGGCAGTTTCCTCAAATGAGGACTGTGGAATTCCCTGTCTTGCTGACCTTGTTTACATTGAGCTATGTTTTAGATTTTGCGTCATTTGGAATCTCGATTCTGTGCACGAATGGGCTGCATACCTCTCTTGGTTTCTTCTCCATTGTTTGTGAATGACATCTTTGGTTTTGTTGTTTCCTCAGGGAGAGGTGAAGCCCAGCAGGCTGGATGACTGCCTTTGGGGAAGGCCTCATTATTTAGTGCACACATCAAATCACACAGGGCAGGCTAGAAGATTGTGGCTTTTGGCTAAGTGTCAATACTCTCAGAAGAAATACCAGGCCCAGAGAGACAAAGTCCAGGTTTAACTGGTTTTGGAGTGAGTTTCTGGAACATGTAGAGGCCATTTTATAGAAGGAATCCTCAGACCAAAGCAACAGGTGACTTGTTTTCTCCATTCATTGAGGACTCTGCCAGGTGCCAGGAGCTGCAGGCATGAGTTAATTCCCGAGAGTCCATGGGTCTACTCACAATCTGCAGGGCCTGCCCCCGAGTTAGTCACTTGGAGTAACATGCCCATTTCTCAGCATGCTAGAGTGCTTTTACCTCAAGCCCTGACCTGCTCCACATGTCCTGGACCTTTCCCACAGAGGCCCCTTCCCAGGCTTCATGCTCTCAGGTGTGTAGAAGGTTAGTAGCATGTGGATGAGATTGTACAGCCCACTCTCAGTAAATCGTATTCTTCGTTCTTCATCTTAAAGGCTAGGATACCTATTTTCTCCTTAAAAAAAACAGGCTACCCTTTCTGACCCTTTTCCAGTCTTTTTTCTCATTCTCCAAAACACCGACCAACCAGTCCTGTTGGCTGGTGCTGATGCTGGACAGCAGGGCCGGGAGGGGCGTGGCACAGGACAGGTCAGGGGAACGAGGTGTCTCACTGGCTTTCCCTTGCTCAGGCCTGGACTCCTACTTCCTTCTTAGCTGGAAAGATGGTTGCATTTGTATCAGTCAGTGACCTGCACAACTGTAACAGCTGCTTGGCATTGCTTTGTGACTACCTGGGGGCAATGCTTAGTAAATAATAATGTCAATACTAAAATAATATCAATAATTGATCATCAGAAGACAACCAGGATGTCTGAACCTTTGTAGACACATCTCTTGGCAATATCTAAAATAACACTGCCGTATCCAAGGGGTTGCATTGCCCCCCAAAGCAGAAATACATTTGTACTTGCTCTTCCGAGGAAATACATTTCCTGTGTCCACAGAAGTCTCCCTGCCCTGGAGTCTGGGAGAGAAGGAGCTGAGGCCCCAGGGCCTAGCTGGCTGCCTCCGGGGTAAAGTCCCAGTGCCGTATTATGCTGAGAGGCTCCACACTGTGCAGAGGCATCCGTGTCTGTCTCTCTGTCCCCTCCCTGACAGCTTTCATCTTTCCAGTATGTACTGGCTTCTCCTATAGGGAGGGCACAGTTCAGTGTCTCCCTAATCACTGCCAGGGCTGGGGAACAACAACTCATGAAGAAATGCATCCTCCTCACTGCAGGGACCAACGCGGCTTTTGGAGGAACCCTCCTTGGCATACGATTGTCGGCAGGAGAATGGTGGGGTGTGATGAAGGCAGCTGTCATCCTTCCCAGGAATTCCTGAGAATTCCTTTATCCCATTGGTAAAAAGATCATGCTAGGCTCCTCATGGCGACAGCCCTGTGGCTCCTTCAGGAGGGACATGTGGACGCTTATGGTAGGGCACGGTGGAAGTGGGTCTGGAGAGTAGAGGTATTTTCCAGTACCCTGGAGAAAAAGTACTACTTCCTTATGAGGCAGAGGCTGGCCCTCTTTTCTCTGAAGGTTTCACATAGATAATCCTGCAGCCTTGCCACTAGGACATCATGTCCTTGTGTAACAGCTGGTGCCTGCTTCAAGCATAAGGACTGCTCCAGGCCTTACCACCAGGCCTCATTTTGGCCTACCGCCACCCCTAACTTTTATCTACTCTTTACACAAGCTGCTTTTCTGAGAATCTGCATGAATAACCAGTCTCAAATTTACGTAGATGCATGTGTCATGTTATTGGCATGGTCACACTGATAATTAATATCTCTTTATATTCATCTTCAAAGGTTTCCTTATTGTTTTGAGTGGCCACATATGGTGATCAACACTTTACCCCCACTAAGAAGCAAGTGAACTACTTGCTCTAAGTCCACTGAATAAATCAAGATTCACTCAACAGATGCTGGTTTCAGTCCATTTTTTAAGGCCTCATGGGTTTGAAGGGACCTAGTTCATGTCGAGATCAGGCTCTTTGTCGTGCTGAAGTCTCCTTCTAAACAATTTTTCCCTATTGATGTCAGAATTGATGCTTTATAGACTAAAGAAATTGAAGAACATCAAATTGAACTTGAAAAATCTTTAATTTATTTAAAAATGAAACCTATAATTTTGTAGACAATAGGCTATTAAGAAATGCATGCCTATTGTGAGATGTTATAGCTGTAGGATTCCCTACCTGGAGATAAAGCTGTGGTTGGATCTGCTAGGACATATTATGGAAGAAGCATGCACCTCTCTGTCCCTGTGTCCTCAGCAAGGGCTCTTTGTAGAGGAGCCCAGGTAGCACCAGTGTCTGTCTCTAATAGGCCCATGTCACTTGCTTTCCCAGCTTGTCACATTTTGGAATGCTGTGATGGGCTGGCCCAGGATGTCATCGGCTCCATCGGACAAGCCTTTGAGCTCCGGTTTAAGCAATATTTACAGTGTCCTACCAAGATTCCCGCTCTCCATGATCGGTGAGTAGTGCTGTGACACCATTTGCAATAGCCTATGTGGGTTTTATGACCTTTCCTCTTAAAACCACATCCCTGAGCTGTGTTCTGGACAGGCACAATTAATCACAGGGCTTCCTGGGCTCAGAGACACCTGGTCGGTGCTGGGATATGGCACAGAAAGCCAACAGATGGAAGCCAACATATGGATGATGCTTTGAATGTGTAGAAAAACATTTTCTTGAAACTATAGTGACGGTCGCCAAGGTTACAGAAAAGCGACTTCATTATAAATTTTTTTGTTCTGTTTCCTCTGCAGCCATGTGATGGTTCCATATGTCACCTCTTTGGGTCTATGTTACCACCGGTTCTGTGTGTCCCATTGTCCTTGTCGTTACGATTAGCCAAAGTCGTGCTACAAGAGGTCCCCTCCGTGAGGCACTGTGCTGGCTACCGGCATAGTTTCGGCTTCGCTGGCCTTTGCAGCTTAACAGCTTGGTAGTTTGTTTACCTTCCAGGTGGCCCTGAGCAAGTTCTGTAAACTCCTTGAGTCTCAGCAGCTTTATCTGTGAAGTAGGAATAAGAATGGCACCTTAGGTTTTTTTTTCAGTGTTTAACAAAATAGTGAGTGTGAAGAGGAATTGGGAGATGTTTAGTTTATTATAAAAAATGTTCAGGTTCTATCACTGAGTTTCCTTAGGATGTAAGAATATTCCATACAGCATCAAGCATTAAAAGAAAAGTAATATGGGGCATATTGGTCATTCAGTATTCTGTCCTTGATTGAACTTGCATAATGAAAATCTATTCTAATGTTGTGATCGCTAGAAACAAAACTTTACTGTTCCTAAATTTACTCTATACTTTTTTCAAACTTCTAAAGCCACATTCTTCTATGCCTTAGTTCTAGAGTCAGACTCTACCTTTGTTCTTATGATTATGAAGACTTCTTTCATCTCCCTTCTCAGTCTTTGCCGTTCTTCAAAGAGACTTTTCATTTCTTTTCCTCTTTCCCTGGAAAATTCCGTTTAAGACATTCATTTTGGAGGTGCCTCTGCAGGACCCACCATTTCCACATTGCTAGAAACTTCACTCCAGAGGCTGAAAATGCTAGAATTCAATTCTCCCTTATGGCCATCATATTAAAAAAAAAAAAAGAACGAAAGAAACTTCAGCAAGCTGGGACAGGAGGATGTGTATAGAAGAGTTAGAGGCAGACAGTGACAGCAACCCAAATGTAGGTAGGAGACTGAGGAAACAAATTTTTTATTTTGTGTATAATGGGACATAGTAGTTAATAAGAATTCACCAATATACATGTACTACCAGCATAAATCTCAAAATTTATAATGAAATAAAAAAGAGCAAGTTACAAAAGGATATGAACCATTTATGAAAATTTTGAAAACATAAATGATTGCATATATAGTATATGGATAAATAAATGTATGGAAAGACTATAAAAACATACACAAGGCCGGGCACAGTGGCTCACACCTGTAATCTCAGTACTTTGGGAGGCCAAGGCGGGTGGATCACCTGAGGTCAGGAGTTCAAGACCAGCCTGGCCAACAGAGTGAAATCCCGTCTCTACTAAAAATACAAAAATTAGTTGGGCATGGTGATGCATGTCTGTAGTCCCACATACTTGGGAAGCTGAGGCAGGAGAATCACTTGAACTCGGGAGGTGGCGGTTGCAGTAAGCTGAGATTGTGCTGCTGCACTCCAGCCTGGGTGACAAAGCAAGACTCCATCTCAGAAAATCAAACACACAAACAACAACAAAAAAATGCAAAAATGCTATACACAACTCCAGGATATCTGAAGACAGGACAGAGGTGTGGGTAAATGGGTTGCATTTGACTGTATTTGTCAAGCATATACCCCCTACACCATTTTATAATAAAAATGTTCCAATATACACAAAGAACTGTATAGACAACATCTAGCTTCTACCATTAACATTTTACTTATAATATCACATATCTATGTATCCATCCAACGTAAGTTTGACAAATTTTATTAAAAAGGGAAGCATGTAATTGATAAAAGAAAAATTTCAGCCGAATTAAATTTAAAGGAGTTTAATTGAGCAATAAACAATTCCCAAACAGAGCAGCCTCCCAGCCAGAGTAGACTCGGTGACTCCAGGGCAGCCACGTAGTGGAAGAAGATTTATGGAGAGAAAAAGGAAAATGACTTACAGAAAATGGAAGTGAGGTTCAGAAATAGCTGGATTGGTTACAGCTCGGCGTTTGCCTTATTTGAACACAGTTGGAACAGTTGGCCGCATTTGATTGGCCAAAACTCGGTGATTGGCACAAGAGTAGGCTACAGTCTGTTTACACCTCCACTTGTATAGTTCAGGATTTACAGAGAAACCTTTAGGCCAAATTTAAATACGTAAGGAGGTAGCTTTAGGCTAAACTTGATTTAACATAATAGATCAAAAGGTTAACACTTATTTAATCTCCATGGGGGATGCATAAGTATATTTCATATTAATTATTATGCTAGCCTTTGTTTCTGAAATGTTGAATAAAAGCCAAATAAATGCTATTAAGATAATACACACAAAAATGAATGGAGGGAGTTAGTTTAACTACCATACTTCTCTGGCAGTGTACATAATGTATGAAGTTCTGTATGTGTTTGTATGTAGTGAAGTTTGAAGGACTTTTGGGGAAAGAAAATGTAGTAGACAGGATCTTATCCACTGAGAAAAATGTCGCCTCCAAATGCAAGTATTGGCATATCATTTCTGGTTTTGTTTTGTTTTGTTTTGTTTTGTTTTGTTTTTAAGAGGGAGTCTGGCTCTGTCACTCAGGCTGGAGTGCAGTGGCGCGATCTTGGCTCACTGCAAGCTCCACCTACCGGGTTCGCGCCATTCTCCTGCCTCAGCCTCCTGAGTAGCTGGGACTACAGGCGCCTGCCACCACGCCCGGCTAATTTTTTGTATTTTTAGTAGAGATGGGATTTCACCGTGTTAGCCAGGATGGTATCGATCTCCTGACCTCGTGATCCGCCCCTCTCGGCCTCCCAAAGTGCTGGGATTACAGGCGTAAATCACCGTGCCCGGCCGGCATATCATTTCTAAAGCAGAGCAGTGACAAGGGGCCCTGCCTGTAGCTTCATACTGTCGGTGACCTGACACCCCCCTCACCTTATCCTGCAGAGGCTCCTGGTGTCCCGCAGGGTACTATCCGAGAGCGGGGTGACGGGGATCTCCTGAGCTTGCCCTGCCTTCCGTTTCAGCTCCGCTCCTCCAGCAGGGTGCAGCCTGGGAACATGAGAGAACCCACACTGCATCCAGCTGTTCCAGCCCCATTCTCTGGGGACACTGAAAAACAAATCAGATGCCACTAAGACTCCATTTATTATTATTTTTAAAATTGATAATTCATATATAATCAAATTGCTCTTTTAAAGTTTACAGTTCAGTTGATTTGTTATATTCAAAAGTACAATTATCACCATTAATTCCAGAACGTTTTCATTACCCCCCAAAGAAACTCTATACTCATCAGCAATTACTCCCCATTCTCCACTCCCCACTCTTCCACCAACCACTAATCTACTTTCTGTCTCTATGGATTTGCCCATTCTGGACATTTCATATAAATGGAATCATACTGTATGTATCTGGCTTCTTTCACTTAGAAGAATGTTTTCAAGATTCACTCATGTTGTAGGATCTGTCAGTATTTCTTTCATTTTAGAGTTCTTAATAATATTTGAGTGTATAGGTATATGACCTTTTGTTCATCCAGTCATTAGTTTATGGACAGTTGGGTACTTCTACCTTTTTTTTTTTTTTTTAATGGAGTCTTACTCCATTGCCCAGGCTGGAATGCAGTGGCACGATCTCAGCTCACTGCAACATCCACCTCCCGGGTTCAAGCAATTCTCTCGTCTCAGCCTCCCGAGTAGCTGGAACTACAGGTGTGTGCCACCACGCCTGGCTAATTTTTGTATTTTTAGTAGAGACAGGGTTTCACCATATTGCTCAGGCTGGTCTTGAACTCCTGACCTCATGATCTGCCCGCCTTGGCCTCCCAAAATGCTGGGATTACAGGCATCAGCCACTGCGCCCGGCCCTACCTTTTAGCTCTTATGAACAATGCTACTGTAAAGATGTATACAAGTTTCCTTATGGACATATGTTTCAATATTCTTATGTATATACCTGGGAGTGAAATTCTGTGGTCATATGGTTATGCTGAAACTGCAAAGCTATTTTCTAAAGTGGCTGCACCATTTTACAGTCCCATGAGCAATGTGTGAGGGTTCTAATATCCCCACGTTCTTATCAACACTTTTTCTTGTCCATCTCTTTGATTATAGCTACCCTAGTGGGCATGAAGTGGTCTCTGGTTGTGGTTTTGATATGCATTTTCCTGATGACTAACGATGTTGAGGAACTTTTCATGCATGTATTGGCTTTTTGTGTATCTCTGGAGAAAAGTCTGCTCAAATCCTCAGCTCATTTTTAAGATCGGGTTGTCTTTTCATTGTTGAGTCGTACGAGTACTTTATATATTCTAGATACATGTCTCATTTAAGATACATGTTAGCAAATATTTTCTCCCATTTTGTAGTTTGTATTTTTACTTTCTTGATAATGTCCTTTGAAGCACAACAGTTTTTTCAAATAGCAGAAGGGAGAATTTTGAGAGGTTCATATTCTACCATTTTCCCTCATATCACTAAATTTCCATTTTGTAGTTGGTTTTGTTTGGGATCAATTTCATGGCTTACAAAAATGTGTGCTGTCCCTTGAGGAGCTGGCTATCCTTAGGCATAATTTCTTTTTTAATTAAAATGTACTTTTACAAAAGGACATCCTTCAAACATGATTGAAATGTTCCAATGAGTGAAACTCTGAATATGGCAGAGATATTTTGCTAAACCACTCATCTGCTTTTCATCTATGCATGAGACCTGGATGGCTGAGGAGGCACTGACTAAACTCTCTTTTCTTAATAACAGGCGCTAACATTAGATTTGTTGATTTTGGCTGCAAGTTCAACTTTTGGCTAAAGCCCTTGGAAATCTTCCTTTAACAGAATGCAGAGTCTGGATGAGCCATGGACGGAAGAGGAGGGAGATGGCTCAGACCACCCATACTACAACAGCATCCCAAGCAAGATGCCTCCTCCAGGGGGCTTTCTTGATACTAGACTGAAACCCAGACCCCATGCTCCTGACACAGCCCAGGTAAGTCTTATAGTTTTTTTCTTATATAAGGAATGGAGGCTAACTCTACTTTATTTCCTTTTGTTTTCTTTGGTTTTATTTCAGGCTGATGTTCTGTTTCATTTTTGACACAGTAAATCATGAGCTTTCTCTCACTGGATTTCATGAGGCATGCAGATGAAGAGAGGCTTTGGGTTAACATCATAAAGCATTGGCCAAATGCTTTGGAACTGTGTGGTGATTCCTGGGATATGAGTCTGGGGGTGTCCTCTGTACCCTCAGACATATTCCATCATACTGTGATCTCAGTGAGGGAAAGAGAGAATTTAAGATTTTAAAAAGGCTTGGGAGGCATTGGGTTCTCTGAAAAGGAGTGAATATAGACGCTTAAAATGATGAGAATTTTATGAGTTTTCTATTTTATTCATTCCCTTGTTTTATGTCCAACTCAAAATTCTAGTAAGGCAATTGCTTTCTAGAGTTATGATATTTCTGTTTTGTTATAGGAAATTTTTTAACGTTACTACCTTATGTGAATGATAATGACACCACTAAAAATGGCAAAATAACGTTGAGCTCAGGGATCTGACACTGAGAGGGAATTTCCTGATTTTTTGAAGGAAATTTCCTGGTTTACAGAGTGGACTTGACCAAGTGTGAACGATCATGGGCGTATGTGTTATGTGGGAAGTGTGTTCTGACACATAGATACTCTGTAATTGAAATTTATTTTAGGACATACATATGGAAGAGCTTGATTTACAGTCACACTTCGGGAGGGGTGGGGGGGGTAATGAAAACAAGCGGGGGGGCATGTGTAGTTTTGATGGAGATGCAGCCTTTTCCTCACACCCACACAAACTTATTTCCCAAATCTTAATGCCAACCATGAGGCATGAAGGGAAAATTGGGTGTAACAGAGGATGCGAACCACCTTAAGGATCAACTCGCCGACTGTCTTGTGGCTTTCAAAAGTGGTGAAATGAGAAGAAAATAATTTTTTCATTCTGTGTATTTACATGTGTCTATAGTTTGCAGGAAAAGAGCAGACTTATTACCAGGGAAGACACTTAGGAGACACTTTTGGCGAAGACTGGCAGCAAACACCTTTAAGGCAAGGTGAGAGGCAAGGTGAGATGGGTGAGAAACACAAAAGACACTTTTCAAAAGTAACATGCTCACCACTGGGTCGCCTATTTTCTGTGGACTGACAGAGTGACCCCTGGATATATGTGCTGTGTGTGTTGCTATAGAATCCTGACTAGACTATAGAAATAGAAGCAACGGTGTGGTCAGGCGCGGTGGCACACGCCTGTAATCCCAGCACTTTGGGAAGCTGAGGCGGGACAATCACCTGAGGTCAGAAGTTCGAGACCAGCCTAACATGGTGAAACCCCAACTCTACTAAATAAAAAAATTTGCCGGGTGTGGTGGCGGGTGCCTGTAATCCCAGCTACTCAGGAGGCTGAGGCAGGAGAATCACTTGATCCCAGGAGGTGGAGGTTGCAGTGAGCCAAGATGATGCCATTGCGCTCCAGCCTGGGCAACAACAGCAAAACCCCATCTCAAAAAAAAAAAAAAAAAAGCAACAGTGTTGCAGACATCTCCTGGCACCAATCAGATAGTGCCTCCCTGCAGCTCCAGGACCATTCACACCCCGTCTGCAGTCACTGCCTCATGCCCTTGAGACTGTACACCTCCATGCTGGGAGAGCTTCCATGCCCAGGGGTGCTGAGAAGTTGACATCTCAGGCATACTTCACCCCAGTTTCCTATGGGAACTGGTGAGGCAACTCTAAGGTGGAGGTTGAGCCCCCGTGACTCCTACAACAAATTGTTGCCTTTCCTTCCTTGTCTCGTTCTCCTTCCCTTTACTCAGGGTCAGCTTCAGGGGGGATGTGAAGCCCCCTACTCTAAGCTGGGGATTGAGGCAGAGGTGGCACCAGGGATATACGTCTCTCACAGGCCCTGGATACTCTCAGAGAACACTTCTGCATCTTACAATCATAATATGCACCTACATCACACATTAAAACTAATGTCGATATAACTGTCTATAAGTCAGATATCTGCAAATAATTCAAATATATTTAGATACAGCCATCATAATTTAGATACAACTATCTAAGAAGTAACTGCTAATTGCTCACATAAGTCTTTATTCTCTAGACAGTTATATATACACATACAAATATGTATGAATGTATTCATATCTCAATCTAATCCTTTAAGAATGTCTTTTAATTTTAACCTTTTTCCCTTCTCAAAAACATTTATAACTCTTTCACTAGCTCTGGGATCCTGGCTACTAAGTCTATAAGATCTGAAGGGGATGGATGCAACTGATGCTTCTATGTATCTAAATTTAAACATTATTGGTTTAATGTTGAGGCTTATTCCTTCATTATAGCTATTTATGCCAGGAAGCAAATGACAATACATTTTTAAAATGTCCTCTGTGTAAGAGAATTTCGTCTCGCCTGCCCCAGATGCAGGAAGACCCACAGTGCTGGCCCAGTCAATAAAACATAAGGCCTGGCAGAAGCCACCACATGTTCTGCCTCAGAATAGGCTGGAAATAGCAAATCAGAGTCATAACTTTGCCAGAGGGACATTTTCATTATGGGCTATTTATCCTTGTTCTACACACATTTAAAATGCATTTCCATAACATGTGTGTGCATAGACATATAATAACTGCTAAAGAATAAAGGAGACACATTATTTCCCTTAGATATTTACTTTATTGTAAAATATATCAGGTTTATTTTAAAATAGGCCTTGTTTTTGATATATTCAAGTTATTCCAGCCAGATCGAGAACAGATGATGTCGCAGAATGAACTCCTGGCCTGGAACTTGAGACTCAGAGCTCTCAATAAATTTCCAGCTCTTCTTTGAAAACAATAAATAGGCAGGGCATGGTGGCTCACGCCTGTAATTCCAGCACTTTGGGAAGCCGAGGCGGGTGGATCATCTGAGGTCAGGAGTTCGATGCCAGCCTGGCCAACATGGTGAAACCTCGTCTCTACTAAAAATACAAAAAATTAGCTGTGCATGGTGGTGGGCACCTGTAATCCTAGCTACTCGGGAGGCTGAGGCAGGAGAATTGCTTGAACCTGGGAGGTGGAGGTTGCAGTGAGCCGAGATCATGCCACTTGCATTCCAGCCTGGGTGACAGAATGAGACCCTGCCTCAAAAAAAAAAAAAAAAATAAATAAATATCTTTTCTCACATAACAAATTAGAATGTCACTTATTAATTTGCTGGCAGATACTGTCCCTAATGGAAGTGAACTCCAGGTATCACGATGGCACGTGTCCTCCTGCCCCGGCTCAGCACCTGTTGTCATCTATGGTGGGAAAGGGCAGTCAGGAAGATTATGCATTTGGGCTCTTGATCTTCTCCTTTTAAAATTTTTTAATGAAATTCTTTTCTAAAGGCTGATTCGTTTGCAATGTACACAAAGGTGTAAACTGCAAATAGCTGTCACTAAGCAAGGATGCGTAATCTGACTAGACTCTTCAATGTAGAAAGCATGTTGAGAAATAGGAGAGTAGAAACACAGTCCATGATGTTGCAGGTGGTGCTCCCCAGCGAGGGAATGTTAGCACGACACTTCATTCTCACACCTACAGCCTGGGAGACAGTGGTGTGCTGGCAAATGTCCAGCCACAGGCTCTTGGGAACGCTTTTTAAAAAGCCCTGAACCAACTCCTGCCAGCTGGATTGAGCTGGCTTCAACACACCACCGCCCATAGGGTATGAAAGACACCCTCTTTCCAGAAATGTGAATACCACAGGGTGTTCTTGCGAACATGTTTACGTAAGAAGATTGGAGACAGGGCGCACACACAAAAAGACTCCGAGAAGGATCTGAACAGGCGTTCTCCGGCAACTAGGTCTGGGTGTCACTTTCACCCAGGGTCTGGGTGACAGAACAGCCCGGGCCCAGCCTCAGCACACCCACTGGCTAGCTGTGAAGTCCTGTCAAGGCACTAGGTCTTTCACACTAGGTCTCGGTGACAGAACAGCCTTGGCCTAGCCTCAGCACACCCATTGGCTAGCTGTGAAGTCACATCGAGGCAGCATCACTGCCTCAGCAGAGGGGGCTCTTCACTTGCACACCCACCCTGGGCTTCCTTCACAGACCCAGGGGCAGTAACTGCAGCCCTATTTTATAAGGAAGGAGTCTCTCTCAGTTCCTTAGGAGGTACAGAGCTTCTATTGTATTGCTTGAATGAAGTTAATTTATAAAGCATTTGCTTATATTTAAAAAGAAAACAAGAGCAATTAATATAAGGCTTGTGGTCCTTCTGCTCAGTTATTTGATCTTGGAGCATTTGTCAAGGAGAGGAGGTCAGGCATGTTCTGCCTGCCAGGCTCCTGCGGTCTTGGGGCAGCAAGGGCCAAAATTTTTGCTAAGGCCATCACAGTGGAGCCATCAAGGTGTCCACCCTGACATTGGCTGGCAGACCCCATGCTGATATGAAGGACTGGAAAACATCCTAGCTGGGTCACAGCAGTGTGTGGTGACAAGCTCAGAAGAGGAGAATATCACCCATAGGAATCCGAAGGAGGAGGTTTCCCATTTGCAGGCAGAAGAGCTTCTTTGTGAAAGGCTGGGTGGCTTGAATAGTGTCACCATCGTAAAAGAAAAGGGGCTCACTTTCTTGTTGCAGGGTCCTCGGACATCTACAGCACGCCAGAAGGGAAACTGCACGTGGCCCCCACGGGAGAAGCACCCACCTACGTCAACACTCAGCAGATCCCACCACAGGCCTGGCCGGCTGCGGTCAGCAGTGCTGAGAGCAGCCCAAGGAAAGACCTCTTTGACATGAGTGGGTTTCTGTTTGTCTCTGGTTTTCTTTTCTTTTGAGGTTGCTTTTTATCCTGCCTTTTATTTGAAATCTGTGTAATTACTGAATTTTCTGATAGTAGGGTTTTGGTTAATGGTGATGATTAGCTGTACTTTTCTGGGTGATGATTGGGTTTGTTTAAGGCTTTAGGATTATAGCCCTCTCTGTAGTCAAGAGACAGAGCAATTTCCCCCTCTTTTTGGAATTGACGTTCCTCTTGAAGATCTGCAAATGTATTGAGACAATATACATACACAAATGTTTATTTATTCATTTAAATAGTAATTGGCTATTATGTGCCAGCTACTGTATTAGTTGCTAAGGATGCAAAGATGAAATGGCATGGCCCGTGTTTCCACGGATCTCTAGGTCTATGAAGCAGACCAACATTTAACATATAGGCAAGAAATTGCAACACACCTCTCTCTTATGAGGGTTTTCTCTCTCTTTCTCCTCTCCTCCCACTTGTGCTCTCATTTTTTTCTCTCCTTTTTTCTCTCTTGCTCACCTTTTACCTCACTCCAAATATTTACTGAACACTTACCATTTGTCAAATACTATTCTACTTGATGGAGATATACAGGAAAACAAAACCAGCAAAGTCTCTACCTCGTGGAGGTATCTATTACCAGGTAGTGGTACATGCTCCTCAGTTATGAAAACTAAACAGGATAAGGAGAGTAATAGGAATCTATTGCAGATAGCATTATAGTGGGATGTGTACCACAGACTTTCTGTTTGTCATATAGACTGAGGAAATTAAATCGTTCATGAACTGATTAATGAAAGTGAAAATTTTTGTTAAAAAATTTTGAAAGAGCATCACAAGCTCACAAGAGCTAAATTTGCTTTTCATATTCCTCGAGAATTTTATAGGCTGAAGAGGGAGGGAATGGAGACTAGTTCTGAATGATTTTCTACCATGTGCTAAACACTTATTTTTAAATTTTTACAGGTAGGTATTACGATAACTACTGTTATCTTTATTTTACAGAGAAGGAAACGAAGAATCCTAGAAGTTAACTAACTTTATCATTTGTGAAAGGCAGCCTTGCTGGTCCAATATCTGTGATTTGTGGTATTTTGTATGAGTGAGGACAGTGTTAAGTGCCTTTATAATTAGGCAGCCTCATGAAAACAACACTGTTTCTCTCCAGCAAATTTGACTTCCCAGACACACTGGACCCCCATTTTGACTTAACAAAAATAATCTAAGCAAGAACTGTAGAATCTTAATGCTTGAAGCCACCTTCAATGCTAGATCACCTAATTCAGTCCCGCCAGTGCCTTTATTTTTAAAAATGTGAAAACAGCTTGAGAAATGTGAAGCCACTTTTTCAAGATGCAAAGCACAGTGGTGGCTCTCCAAGCTTTTGCTGGAGTTGTTATAGTACCTCCAAACTGCAGTTTAATAGTTCCATGTCTGGTTAGACCATTTTTACTGTTTAATATAGTCAATTTACCAATGACTCCTGGACACGGACCCTAAGGAAAGTTAGATTGGCTGGTGTTTGGGATGAAAAAATGAGAACCAGAGCTACCCTTTTCCCACCAGTTAATTTCTCCTCCTGCTTTCAAAACCTAAGGAGGGGAAACAGGATGTGAAAAGAGCCTTAGAAAGGCTGGTGCCTATTGAAAAGTATGGAACTAAATAAAGCCAGCACTCTGTGTTCTTTATTTTGAACCAGTAGATCTAAATATAGCGGTGCTGATGTGATGATGGTGGTGATGATGGTGCTGCTGCTGATGGTAATTTTGATGGTGGTGGTGGTGGTGATGGTGGTGGTGATGATGATGATGGTGATGATGCTGCTGATGGTGGTGGTGTTGATAGTGATGATGATGGTGATGATGATGGTGGTGATGCTGCTGCTGATGGTGCTGGTGGTGGTGATGATGGTGGTGATGATGCTGATGATGGTGCTGGTGGCAAAGGTGGTGGTGGTGATGGTGATAATGGTGGTGAGATGGTGGTGATGCCGATGGTGGTGGTGGTGGTGGTGGCAATGGTGATGGTGATAGTGCTGATGGTGCTGATGGTGGTGATGCTACTGCTGCTGCTGTTACTGCTGCCGCTCCTGTTGCTGCTGGTGACAGTGATGGTGATGATGATGGTTATGCTGGTGACAATGATGGTGATGATGATGATGATGACAATGGGGATGATGGTGATAATGGTGATGATCCTGATGATGCTGATGGTAATGGTGGTGGTGATAATGGTGAGGGGATAGTGATGATAGTGTTGATGGTGGTGATGCTATTGCTGCTGCTGCTGTTGCTGGTAGTGACAGTGATGGTGGTGACAATGATGGTGATGATGATGGTTATGATGGTAACAATGGGGATGATGGTGATAATGGTGATGACGATGGCGACGATGGCGGTGATGCTGATGGTGGTGGTGGTGCCAATAAAAGTGAATGTGGGGATGGTGGCGATGTTGGGGATGATGCTGACGATGTTGATGATGTAGATGATAGCAAAGGTGGTAATGATGTAGAAACAGTATAAAACAAATGACAATTCCAGGTAATCAGGAAAAAAGTCAGATGAAAAAGAACTTCCACAGACATAATTTTTGCCAATGGTTCTAACTTATTTTTATCTCCAAATCTGTCAAAGATTAATAAGCATCAAAAAGAGCTAATTTTAGTTTCATTTACTCACCTCACTTCTGCCCACGCTGTACTAACATCGAACAAGTTTGGCTTATTTTACAGCATCTGTTGACTATACTGAATGAACTGTGTGCTAGGAGCAATGCTGGGCTCTGAGGGTGTAGTTATGCTCAGGAAAGAACCACTCCTGTTCTTGTGCTGCTTATGTTGTATGTATGTGTATGCTTATGGGTAGACAGCGTAGTCTGAAATAACCATCGCACTACCTTCCACTTGCATAGCACTGTGCATTTTTCAGAGTCCTTTCATACACACTACCTTATGTGAAAATCGAACATCGGGATTTAGTTAGACATGCCTGGCTACTTCTTTTGCTGCTGGTATTTCTTGTTAGAGCAGCAGTCTCACCATTCACACATGCCTTGCACTGAGAAGTGTGCTCTGAAGGGGATGAAACCAAGTATGGTCTCAGGCACTCATGTGAGAGCCTCGTTCCACAGGGAAACAAGTGAAGGTTAAGGGAAGGTGGAGCTCCTAGCCTGGGGCAAGTCACACAAGAGGAACCCAACACCCGTCAGCTTTCTCTTTTAAAAATTTGCCTGATGCAAAGATTTTGAAATAAACCTTTGGTGGATTGGGCTCAGGTTTTGCATAAAATCAAAGCTTTGTAGCTTGTCTTTCCCTTTGGTATTGGCAGATTTTTGTTCAGAATTTGTTAAAGAGGCTGGCTGAAGTTCCAGAGAAAGTACGTGGCATGTGATATTCATGGCCTCTTGCAGCATGCAAAAATGAAGTCATTCCAGCTAGCTAGACAAAGGGTGTGCTTGACTCCTTGGCACATAGCACAACTCCCAGCTGTCTTGGGAAAGCAGACTCATCAGAAAGTCATGCCAAAATTTGGGCTGTGCTTTTCAATGCTTGTTATGATGGCTCTTGTTATATTACCAGCCAGTTAGTTGTCTCCATTGGTTTTTGTTTTCCCCTTCTGGAGGAGTTGCCTTTGCATTTCCATCTCTCTCACTGTATTTTTTTTTTTTTTTTTTTATCATTTGCTCTTCTTGGGATTGACTTGTTGCTGGTCAATATTGTTGATGACAGAACCTTTTGAAGATGCTCTCAAGAACCAGCCCTTGGGGCCCGTGTTAAGCAAGGCAGCCTCCGTGGAGTGCATCAGCCCTGTGTCACCTAGAGCCCCAGATGCCAAGATGCTGGAGGAACTGCAAGCCGAGACTTGGTACCAAGGAGAGATGAGCAGGAAGGAGGCAGAGGGGCTGCTGGAGAAAGACGGAGACTTCCTGGTCAGGAAGAGCACCACCAACCCGGGCTCCTTTGTCCTCACGGGCATGCACAATGGCCAGGCCAAGCACCTGCTGCTCGTGGACCCAGAAGGCACGGTGAGCACCCAGTGGGGGTGGGGCCGGACCTGCCAGTGGGTGCAGACCTGCCTTAAACAGTCTCCACTTTGTCAAATGCCCTCCACATTCCCACCTCTATCCACAAGTGCCTACTGAGTCCTCCAGGGGAACGCAGGGACAGACAACTCCTGTCATCAGGCCAGAGCCAGGAGCCAGGAGCCAGTGGTCAGGGCCCCACACAAGTTTTAAAACTTTTAGAATTATGGCCTAGGCTGAAAGCCTTGACTTTTATGTCCTTTAAAGTAAATAAATACAGAAACTGAGAGCATTTTCCTTACAAACACATTTCTAGTAGACAAGGAAGTACAGGCTCCTAGGCTTTTAATATTTATCTTGAATGCTTATCTCGAAAAGTTGAATCACTGAGGATTTTGTTCTAAGGCTGTAAAATGTGATGATCAGTAAATGAAACCCCCATTGCTAAGTCTCTTGTTTTCCCGTTTAGAGAAGTAACTCCTACTGATGTTGGCCATCCCTGGCACTACAGCTGTATCTGAATAATCCCGTAGGTTTGGCTGAATTTTTCATCTTCCCGTCAAGAAAGACATTCATCTTTACCTGGGGCATAGTCCAAGAATTGCTAAGTTTAATAAATGCAGTTAAATCAACCTAACCATTGAGTGAAATTCCAGGATTGTTTAAAACCTTTTATCCAGTGAAAACAACAAAGCAGGGTAGAGTTATTTAATAGGAGTTAAGAACATTGCATTTTCTGATTGACAGGGAGGGATGAAGCCTTTGTCTCAGTTGGACTGGAACACAATTAAACTGCATGTGTCGGGGGTGGGGGTGTTACCCAAGACAGTTTATTACCTCAGGTGCCAAGACTCAGTTGCCTGAATACCCCAGCTCCTGGCACTCTGAACAATTCCCCTTTCTGTCTCTGCAGAAGCAGCCACTTCCCACTTCCAGCCAGTAGCTAGTTCCTCTTTCCCTTCCGCGGAGACAGCCACTTCCTCATGAATGTAACCTATCTCCTTCCAATCCACCTTCTTTTTTTTTTTTTTTAACATATATGTACTTCTGAGAAAACATATTTTGTGTTTGTGCCTTTTAGAAATTTGCAAATTAGCCAGGCATGGTGGCGACTGCCTGTAGTCCCAGCTACTCAGGAGGCAGAGGTGGGAGGATTGCTTGAGCCCCGTAGGTCAAGGCTGCCCTGAACTGTGATCGCAACTACTCCACTCCAGCCTGGGTGATGGAGAAAGACTCTGTTTCAAAAAAAGAAAAAAGAAGTTTGCAAACATGTTATTGTTCCACAAATCCCATTTTGTTTCTTCCTTTTCCACCACTGTATATGTTGTTGAGATCTGTCCATGGTGGTTTCTGTTTATCAGATCATTACTGTGGTGGGCTGCCTGGGGCCCGTCACGTATGCAGTCCACATGTCACTTACTGAGCTCTCTTGAGAAGGATGACTAAGCTGCTACAAACTCTCACGCATGTTTTTCTCTGTACCCGGGGACGGTATCTCTGGGACAGGAGCCAAGAGTGGCGTTTTGGTCACAGGGTACACGTACATTGAATTTCCCTAGGGCTTGCATTTGCTTTCAGAATGGCTGAGCTACTAAGGCGCACACCAGCAACATCCTTGCTCTTCCTTGAGAGAGTCTCTAGGTTTGCTAGTTTGTGGGAGTAGGGAGAAAGGGAATACCTCATTGTTTGATTTGTAATTCTTTGGTTGCACTTCATTAGTAAATTAGCAGATTCTTCCTGTAAATTTTATGTTCTTATCTTTTCTCCATGTTTTTCTTTTGACTTTCAGATTGGGCTTTCTTGTTGAGGTTTTCAGCAACAGAATTTTCACATGTATTCTCTTGCTTTTTTCATCTATCTGATAATTTTGTCTGTGATACTCTTCATCAAATAGAAGTCTTTCATGGGATGCATCCGAATCCATCAGGTTTCCCCCTTTGTGCTTGATGGTTTTGACTTTTAAAGTTTTTCTCCCCCACAAATCACAAATATACTGGATTTGAATATATATTTTCTTTTGTTAGCTTTATAGTTTTATCTTTCACATGTAGACTTTAATTCCAACTGAAGGTACTTTTGAATATGAAATGAGATAGAGACCCAATACACACACACACACACACACACACACACACACACACACATCTATATATATATATATATATTTTGTTTGTTTGTTTTTTGCTTGTTTTTGTATTTTTAGTAGAGACAGGTTTTCTCCATATTGGCCAGTCTGGTCTTGAACTCCTGACCTCAGGTGATCCACCTGCCTTAACCTCTCAAAGAGCTGGGATTACAGGTGTGAGCCACCACACCTGGCCGAGGCTCAACACGTTTTTAAATCTCCAGATAGTAAGCCAGTTTTTCTGTCACCATTTACTAAATCATTCATCTCTTCTCTGCTGTCCTGATGTTCCTTCTGAAACATACTAAGTTCCTTGCATCATGGTCTGTTTCTGGGTGCTGGATTCTATTCTACTGATCTGACTGTTTAGTCCTTGTATAAGTACCATGCTATTACATCCTTATGGCTTTGGAACTCTCCTAACATCTGGTGGTGTGAGTCCTTCCTCTTGATTCTCCTTTTTCTAAACCGTTTTACTGAGCTTCATATATATATTCTTCTTTATACTGATTTTAGAATCAGTTTTTCAAGTCACCAACAATACATGCTGGGATTTCAATAGGGCTTGCAATGAATGTATGTAGATTAATTTGAAGAAGAACAGACATTTTTGTTGGGGAGATCAGACCCAACGCCAGGTCGTGGGGCTGACAAAGTCCGGCAGAGTCAAAGGATTGAGAAAAAGACAGTTTGAGAGAGGAAGGTGGGACACCAGAGGGCCATCGCAATCGTGGAGGTTGCAAAGGCCCTGAGCTCTGGGAACCCGCACTATTTATTGGTAATCCAACAGAGGAACAGGTGGTGAGAATGTGGAGGTCAAAATGACACGTTGCATTAAGCACATGATTTACAGCTGTGATGGTTTAACATTTATATGGAACATGTTCTGCTACTTGAGATAATGGGAATACAATCGATCTAGGAGCCTAGGAGGGCTAGAAGCAAGGAGCCAGCAAGTCTAGACACATTCCCAAGGACATTATGCAAGCCCTGCCTCAGTTTCCCTCCCAACATTCAGCTTTTTCCCAACAATTTTTCTGTATTAGATCAGCACAACCATGAACATGGCATAAGTCTCCAGTAACTTAGTTTTTAAGGTGTCTTTTGATAGAGTTTTAAAATTTTTCCCACAAATTCTTCTGTCTCCTTTATTAGATTATTTCCTACAGTGTCTAGATTTAGCTCCTGTTGTAAGTGGCATGTTATTTTGAGTTTCTTTTTCTTGACGATTTTTGCTGGAGAGAGAAGAATGTGGTGTGATCTTGTGCCTGGACACTTTGCTTCTTCCAGTAGTTTTACAGGAACATTGGTCCTGCCATTGCAGACCTGGACAGTTTCACCTCCTGCCTTCCAGGGCTCACCCTTACGTGGTATTTCACCCCATTGCTCTGACTAGGGGCGCCTACAGAGGCTGACCAGGGGAGAGTGTCCTTGTCCACTCCAAACCTGAAAAGGAATGATTGCACTGGTTGCAGTAGGCTTTGGGGAGATTATCTTTTAGATGATTGTCCTAAAAAATTTCATTCATCCATTTATTCATTCATTCAACAAATACATACTGAATGCCTACTATGTCCAGACATTGTGTTTTGGCAGCTGGGATATGTCTAGGAATCTGTTTAAAAAGAAAATCTCTGCTCTCATGGAACTTACACATATTATTTAATTACTTTGATTATATATAGGTGTTGAACTTTATCAACTACTTCAGCACCTTTTGAGATAATAATTGTTTTTTAAATTGTTAATATGGAGAATTACACAGCTAGATTTTTCTGATGTTGTAATCCTGTCATAAACTCTACTTCACCTTGACATAGTTCTTGTGAAATGCATTATTGGATTTGGTCACCGAATGTTTTATTTAGGATTTTGTTGAATCTCTGTTTGTAAGTAAAACCTGTCTTGTCTTTGCTGCCTTTGCTTGTATATGCTCATATGGTTTTGGTATCAAGATTTTGCCATTTTGCTCACCTCTTAAGATGAGCTAGGCTTCCTACACATCAAAGAAGTCTTTTCAGAGAAGCCTTCCCTAATCTTTTTATCCCAAATAGGATCCCCTCTATACCCCCTGTTTCTGCATTCTTCTTTGTTTTTACCTTAAAGCACTTACCACAAACAAACATTCATTTCTTTGTTAATTTCTTCATTATGTGGCTAGTTTCTTCTACTAGACTGTATTCCCCATGAGGGTAGCAAACTTGTTTAGTGCCATAGTGCCCAATATGTAGAGTAGTGCCTGGCACATAGCAGTATTCAACAAGCATTTGATGAACAAACACAAAGATTGGCCTGGGCTTTTACAGGTTAAGAGTTGAGAGCCTGTGGAGGTGATGGGGTGCTGAGGGTTGCATGCTACTAGCAGATGTAGAATCAGAAACGAAATTTTTAGAATCAGCTCATACTTCTTCCTGTTTGCATAGACTAACAGTTGTGGTTATCTAAAAGAAAATAGGGGAGAAGATACCCAAGCAATTCTATGAGAATATAAATATTTCAGTTCAAAATTTTAGATATTTAAAAAAACAAAAAGCTAAAATCTAGTTAAATATGTCATCTTATAGAACAAAGATTATTGAATTTGTTCACTTAGTCTGTATAGATCAAAGAATGACTTAAAAAAGAGCTGTGTACTCCTAATAACATATTTATTATACATTAAAAATCAGTATCATAATGTAGCAGATAAAGAGGGTATGAATTTGTGGAAATACGATTAAACCAGGTATCCAAGCGAGCCAATGCCCAAAGCTGTGTTTACCATACAATTTTAATTTTGGAGGAGGAACTTGTAGTACTGTTGAGAAAATTTGTCAAGTCATACCTACTAATGACTGTTCTTCGGTGGGGGGGCTTTTTTGTTGGATCTAATTTTTTAGTTAAATTGATCCTATGGAGGACAGCTTTAGCTGAAAAAGAAAATGGAAATGAAAGACTTAATTAAAAATGTAACATCACATTCTTGCTGTGGGGACACCAAAATAGGCAATGAACACATTCTCTTCAATATTTATTCATCTGATTTTCATGGTAATTGGTTGGTCCCTGACTATAAAGGGGGAAACTTGGCAGAGAACAGATTACTCAGAGAAATAAGGATGAAAACAGTTCTGCGTCTAAATTTACTCCAGAGTATACTAACCTTTGTGCCTTCCCACCGTCCACTGAGATCACTGGAAACGTGGTGAGAAGCTGCGTGGGGCATCTTCTGAGCCCTGTTCGTAAGGTGTCAAGAATATTGACTCTAAAATAGTATCTGGAAAGTGCCAGTAGCTGGGTCTCTAAGAGAAGCCTCAGAGATGGAGTCTGGAACACTTTACTTTTCAACATCTTCAGAATTGTTTAGTCAACGCTCTTATGTCTAAAATTATTCCCTGAGTCATTTATCATTGATTCATCTCTTTGGTCTTGAAGGACCAGCTAAGCGAGGTGGGCACTGTGCTTGCATTTGAATGTGTTGCTACCGCTGGTGGGTGGGTTTCCTGTGGGCGTGATTCACATGGTGTCTGGTCATTGCACATTTAAGAGCACATGCTGGAAATTTTGTTCATAAAATCACAAAACATTGATGACAATCCAACGCCCCCACATTCACTAGTTTTTAAGAGTAGTTTTTAAATGTTCCCTAATCCTCACTTTATAATGCCCTGTTGTTATTTTTAAATTCCCTTTGTACCAGCCAGTCTAGGCTGTTCTGCAATAACAAATAAAATCTGGATTCTCAGTGGTTTAACCCAGCAGAGCTCAGTCCCCCGCATGCCAAGTCACGTGTGTGTTGTGTGGCTCTCCAGTTCCCGCAGGTCCTTGGGTGACTCAGGATCCAGATGAACTGTTGTCCATCTCCTGGGCTCATCTTCTCAACACGGGAGCTCAAAGGAGAAGAGAGGCTGGAGGAAACTCGTGGGCTCTCAATGGCTGTGCTGTGGAGGGGACTCACATCAGCTCCCTCTAGTCCATGAGTCCCAGCCTCACTCCAAGGAAGCTGAGAAATGCTGAGAAACATGGAGCATTTGATCCAAGAGCCTGTCTCAGCAACATACCTTTTACATTTTTATCAATGTAAGACTGAAAAACATAAACAAAGGAGATAGAAGGCTTTTAAAGAAAAACACTGATCTCCCCCAAACCATTTCCACCCTCACCCCATTCCCACGCAAAAACTTGTGCACACATAGTTATAGTAGCATTATTCATAATAGCCAAAAGGTAGAAACAATTCAAGTGTCATCAACAGATAAATAAGAAAGTAAAATGTCGTATATCCATACAATAGAGCATAATTCAGCTATAAAAAGAATGAAGTATTGACACATGCCACAACTTGGATGAACCTTGAAAACATTATGCTAAGTGAAAGAAGCTAGTGACAAAAGACCACATATTATTCTATTCATAGTAAAGTTCAGGATGAAAAAATCTACAGAGACCGAAAATAGATGAGTGATTCCTAAGGGCTGGGTGAGAGAAAGGGATGGGAGGACAGGGAGGTGATAGCTGAAAGGTATGGCATTTCTTTTTATGGTGATGAAAATGTTCTAAGATTGACAGTGATGATAATGAATGTATCTGCGAATATACTGAAACCCATTGAATTGTACACCTTAAATGAATGTGGTGTCTAGATTATATCTCAATGAAGCTGTGTAAAAAGAATCTCTGTATCTGCCAGTTTATAGAAAAATACAGGTCAGGTGTGGTGGCTCACATCTGAAATCCTAACATTTTGGGAGGCTGAGGTGGGGTGATCACTTGAGGCTGGGAGTTCAAGACCAGACTGGGCAATATAGTGAGACCCCATCTCTAAAATAAAAAATTAGCTGGGCATGGTGGTATGCACCTGTAATCCCAGCTACTTGAGAGGCTGAGGCAGAGTTCAAGGCTGTAGTGAGCTATGATCATACAACTGCTCTCCAGGCTGGGTGACAGGTGACTCTGTCTCAAGAAAAAAAGAAAAAAAATTACAGGGGACAGAGGAACAAGTTATACAATGCCAGAAGGAAGCAAAAGCCAAATCATAAGGTGGGGTATTCCACAGACAAATATCTTGTTTTTCAAACAAATCACTGGTATGGAGGAAAAACGGAAGGAAAATATAAATAGAATAGAAGAGTGTTAAGAGAAATAATGAAATGCAAATGCAGACTACATCTATTTGGGTTCTGATTCCAACAAACAGGTAATAAAAAGAACATCCTTGAGACAATTAGAAAAATTTGATGTTCTGTTATTAGGTGTATATGTGTTTTTAACTGTTGTATCTTCCTTATGGAGTGACCCTTTATTAGTATGAAATGTCCCTCTTTATCTCTAGTAAGTTTTTTAGATTATGAATTATCTTCACTTGTTATAGGTCTATTCAGATTATCTATTTCTTCTTGAGTCAGTGTTGATATTTTGTGTCTTTCTAGGAATTTGTCCATTTTACCTAAGTATCAAATAGGTTAGCATGTATAAAGAATGTCGTTGCATGGAGTTCTTTATAGATATCTATTAGGTCTAGTTGGTTTCTGGTGGTACTCAAGTCTTCTGTTTCCTTGTTGGTCTTTTGACTAGTTGTTCTATTCATTATTAAAAGTCAGGTATTGAAATGTCTATTATTGTTGAATTGTCTATTCTCCTTTTATTCCTATTAATTTTGCTTTATGTATTTTGGTGTTCTGTTATTAAGCGCATATGTGTGTATAACTTTTGTATCTCCCTGATGGATATACCTTTTATTAATGTGAAATGTCCCCCTTTATCTCTAGTAACATTTTTTGCTTCTTTTGTTTTAAAATCTATTTTATCTGGTATTAGTATATGTACTCCAGCTTTCTCATGGTTGCTATATATGAGACACATTCTTTTCTCTCCTTTATTTTCAATCTGTTTGTTTTATTTTGGCCACTCTGAAAATCTCTGCCTTTTGATAGCATTTTTAATCCATTCATATTTAATGTTATTTATGATATATGATTTATAGCTGCCATTTGACTTTTTGTTTTTTAATGTAATATGTATATTATAGTTCTATATATTAGGCATAACATTGCATTACATATGTACTTTTTTTACAGATGCTTTTAAAATCAGTTAATCTTGAAGTTTCTAATTGCCCTATTCTTGAGAGAAGACAGCTATGTTTTCCTCACAATGTCTTTACCCTTAACCAGTGCCTTGCTCATTCCATCTATTTCTTAGGACACACAGACAGATGGACTTCCTCTTCTAAGGTGAACTAATAAATTTCCAGGGCAAACTCATCATCCCAGGGACATATTTTCATTGGACTCTTGGACTTGTATCCTATATCTTCCTCTTTCTTGGCTTTCACTCACTTTTTACCAGACTGCTTCCTTAAGTGCCTTTCTCGGAAGAGGTGCATGAGCATAAATTTTCTCATCCTTGCGTGTCTGAAAATATGTTTTTCAGTCACTTTTGATTAAAAGTATGGTTAGTTGTAGTATGACTGGTGTGATTCTTCATCCCTTATGGTTATTTTTTTCTATAAATTTTTAATTTTTTTCTTTTGTCTTTGTGTTCTGTAATGACATAGGCATGAATCTACATGTGTGTCTTTTTCTATTCATTGTTCTAGGAACTTGATGAACACTTTCATTCTGAAGACTTGTGTTTTCCTTTAAATCAGAACAATTTTCTTATATAATATTTTTGATAATTTCCTGCCTTCTATATTTTTTCATCTCAGAACTCCTGGTTGAGGGAGTAGACCTTCTGGATTGACCTTGTCTCTTGTCTTTCCAAAAAGTTTCCAGTTCTTTGAAATTATGTTCTATGTTCTGGGAGCTTTTCTTGACTATCATACAAACTTATGTGTGTATAATATAGATATAATCTAGATCTATATATAGATTATCTCTCTCTATAGATATCTATATAGATATCTATATCTATATATATATTCTGCCTCAGAAGATAATTTGGAAAACAGAAAAAAAAGTTAAAAAACTTATATTAATAGATATAGATTAATAGATATAGATTATATCTAGATATATATCTAATCTATATATAGATATATTTACACACATGTTTGTGTGTATATATATGCTATATATAGATATAGATGATCTCTCTATATCTCTCTATATCTATATAGAGAATATATATATAGAGAGAATATATATCTATATAGAGAATATATATTCTCTATATAGATATATATAGAATATATAGATATAGATTATCTCTTTATATAGATAGCTATATCTATATATATTCTATATAGATATCTATATAGAGAGATAATCTATATCTATAGCATATATATACACATAAACATGTGTGTAATATATATCTATATCTAGATTAGATATATATCTAGATATAATCTATATTAATCTATATCTATATAGATATAATCTATATTAATCTATATCTATATAGATATAATCTATATCTATTAATATAAATTGTTTAACTTTTTTTTCTGTTTTCCAAATTATCTTCTGAGGCAGGTGTTGGTTTGCTCATCATGATCTTTCTCTTCATGGTACTGGTGTTTTTAAGATGTCTGGCATTCTTACACCATGAGATTTCAGAACAAGAGGCTGGATGGATTTTCCTGGGGTTGTTCTCTTCTGCTGTGATACATATAGCTCTCTTTCCCTCTAGTCTGTCCCCAGTATCAGAAGACTGACTGAGATTATGTGTGAATTGTGTGTGTGGAGGTGATGTGGGCAGAGGATAGAGGGAATGACATGTGTGGGCGTGGTTTTGTCATCTGAAGTTTAGACTTTAGGTTGAGAAGGGGAGGGGGCTTGGACTTTTAGCCTGGGTGCCTCCCAAGAGTTCTTCACTTAGGGTCACCATCCTCCTCCTACTGCCTTAATTCTCCCCAGGCAGCATGTTTAATTTCTTTGGATTAATGTTCCCTAGACTTCTTCCCCAAAGGCAAAATGCTAGTTTGTCTGTAAGGAGTTGGGAGCAGCGGGAGCTGCAGGCTCAGTTACTGAGGAGTGGTCTTTCTGCAGCCTGGCTGCCCTCCTTCCCACTGTTGCAAGGGTCCCTCTCCTCCACTGCAAGACTCCCCTGCCATGCATTCTAGGCTGCCCTCCTCCTCACTCTCTTTTATCCTTCAATATACTTCCATCTTTTCTGTTAGTCTGTAATGTGTTGAGATCACTGCCTCCTTCCCTTTTGTTTTTAGAAGTTGTTAATTCCTGCACTGTCCTTTTTCTGGGTTCGGAGAAGGTGGGATAGGGCAATTCCTGTACTCATCCTAACTGCTATGAAAAATCAGCATTTTGGCCGGGCACAGTGGCTTATGGCTTATGCCTGTAATCCCAGCACTTTGGGAGGCCTAGGCGGGCGGATCACGAGGTCAGGGGATTGTGACCATCCTGGCTAACATGGTGAAACCCCGTTTCTACTAAAAATACAAAAAATTAGCCGGGTGAGGTGGCAGGTGCCTGTAGTCCCAGCTACTCGGGAGGCTGAGGCAGAATGGCGTGAACCCGGGGGGCACAGCCTGCAGTGAGCCGAGATCGTGCCACTGCACTCCAGCCTGGGCGACAGCGAGACTCAGTCTCAAAAAAAAAAAATCAGAATTTCACCCATCACTAGTTGTCTACTGTCAAAAACTTCAAAATCAAGCAAAATTAAAGAAATGAAAACACACAGGTAAATTTTAGCATCATGCTCACTTAATAACTGGTAAGGAAGTTTCCTCTCTTTTCTGTGTAAATACACAAATGACCAGGACAATGCGTCTAGCCCCAGGGGAACTCAGAGCTGTGTCCACAGCTTCTCTGCTCTTCTCTGACCAGGCTCTGAAGAAATCCTGACTGGGAACAATTTCCTACACATTTCCTGTTTGGTCACCACGGTCAGTTCTCTACCATTTTTTCATTTCTATTGTCAAGAACAGACTTTGCTGACTCTTGGGCAACCTTGGAGATGACAAGGGGCTTCTCAGTAGCTCGGAACTAGAAAAGGAAGTGAGATCCAGAAGCAATAGGGCCAGGGAAGACCAGGAGTCTCCTCCTTTCCCTGGACAAGGCTAGTCCAGAAAACCACAGGAGCATGAAAGAGAGGACTTGTCCAAGGGCCCAGGTGTGCAGGGATTCAAGGTCAGGCTCACTCCTCAGGTGGAAAGTGAGTGCTCGCCCAGGCAAAGGGGTTGCTTGTGGGCATGTAAGCCCTGGGCGGACAGGGTTCCAAGCTGGGCTCTTGGCATTTGTAAACCAAAAAATATCTGAGGCAAATCTCAATCATTTCAGAGGTTTATTTAGCCAAAGTTAAGGACATGCCAGTGACACAGCCCCAGGAGATCCTGAGAACATGTGCCCAGGGTGGTCAAGCTACAGCTTGATTTTATACATAAGATATTAATCCGTACATGTAAGATGTACATTGGTTTGGTCTAGAAAGGCGGGACAATGTGAAGTAGGGGGCTTCTAGGTTGTAGGTGGATTCAAAGATTTTCTGATTGGCAATTGGTTGAAAGAGTTTATCTAAAGACCTGGAATCATTAGAAGGGAATGTCTGGGTTAAGATAAGGGGTTGTGGAGACCAAGGTTTTACCATGCAGATGAAACCTCCAGGTAGCAGGCTTCAGAGAGAAAAGACTGTAGATGTTTCTTTTTCTTTTCTTGTTTTTTTTTTTTTTTTTTTTGAGATGTAGTTTCACTCTTGTCACCCAGGCTAGAGTACAGTGGCGCAATCTCAGCTCACTGCAACCTCCACCTCCTGGGTTCAAGCCATTCTTCTGCCTCAGCCTCCTGAGCAGCTGGATTACAGGCATGCACCACCACGCCCAGCTAATTTGGGGTGTGTGTGTGTATTTTTAGTAGAGATGAGGTTTCACCATGTTGGCCAGGCTGGTCTCGAACTCCTGACCTCAGGTGGTCCGCCTGCCTTGGCCTCCCAAAGTGCTGGGATTACAGGCGTGAGCCACTGTGCCCAGCCAATGTTTCTCATCAGACTTAAAAAGGTACCAGACTCTTACTTAATTCTCTCCTGGATAAAGGAAAAGACCTGGAAAGGGAAAGGGATTCTCTACAGAATACAGATTTTCCCCACAAGAGACAGCTTTGCAGGGCCATTTCAAAATATGCCAAAGACATATTGCCAAGGACACATATTTTAGGGTAAAATACTTTAATCTCTTTCAGGGCCTGCTATCTGTCATGTGATGCTATGCTAGAGTCAGGCTGGAATTGGGTGTCTTATTGCTACAGAAGTCTTAAGGTCTCTGTTTAAATGTTACTGCTGGTCAGTTGTGCCTGAATTCCAAAGGGAGGAAGATATAATGAGGCATGTCTGACCCCCACTTCCCATCATGGCCTGACCTAGTTTTTCAGGTTAACTTTGGAATGGCCTTGGCTGAGAGGATGTGTTCATTCTGATGGTTGGGAGGCTTCAAATTTTATTTTTAGTTTACACATTGCAGGCCTGGGGGCTGATGTGGGCCCAGCTCTGTGGCTCAGCCTTCAGGTTTGGGATGGACCTGGATCACGTCTTAATTTCAAATGTAGGAGAGGCTTGGGCAGCATGTCTGTGTCTGGGACAGGTCTACATCACACCTGGGTTAGGCTGGATCCAGGCATGAGCCTACAAGCCTGGAGGTGGGGTGGGGTCTCTCAGTGGATCCAGCAGAAGTGAGAAAGTGGGCAAAGGTCAGCCCCTGTGTGTGTGTGTATGTGTGTGTGCGTACGTGTGTGTGTGTGTGTGTGACCTGTTCCAGGATAACTCATGTTTTAATCACAAGATGTCCCCATCTGACGGCTTTGCCTCTTCTAGGAATGTGACCCTTTATAAGGGGCAGATGTAATCATTTTGTCATTGATGGAGTGTCGTCATTAATGGAAAAATTTTAACCAGTATTTCTAACTGCCCACAGGGCAACTCCACTTACACGTTTCCCAGGCAATTGAAGCCCATGGCGTCTGCAGTGGAAGGTGTTGTCCCCACCTCCTCAGCCCCAGCTGCCCCTCCTGGGTTCCCCGCCACACCACACCTCTCTTCTCATACTCTGCATTCAGATGCTGAACAAACTCCCCTAAATATCCCTGTAAGCTGCCTCTTCCTCCTGACCCACCTGGACTCCCAGTGACAGCCCCAGCCCACCCTGCAGGAGGCTCTGCTGATGTCCATTCCCTGCTCAGAATCCTTCTGGGATGCCATCACCTCCAGTGTAAGGTTAAACTGTGCAGTGTGGGTAAGAAAATAGGAATAGCAAATGTTCCCCAGCATGTCCTTGATGCCACGCACTGTACTAACTACTTCACTTGTATTAATCCTTTCATTCTGAAAACGGTCCTGTGAAGCAGGACTCGCGATAGCCATCTTACAGAGAGGTCAGTAACTTCCTATAAGGAGTGTCATTAGCAGGTGGCAGGCCAAGTTGTGGCAGGTGCTCAAAACTGTCTTCTCCTCACTTGTCACTGCACTGGACTGAGCAGGACAGGCAGTATTTAATAACGCACACAGGGAGTGGTGGAGTGCACCTGTAGTCCCAGCTACTCAGGAGGCTGAGGCAGGAGGATGGCTTGAGCCCAGGGGTTTGAGGCTGTAGTGAACTATGATCGTACCATTGCACTCCAGCCTGGGTGACAGAATGAAACCCTGTTTCTAAATAAATAAATAAAAATAAACAAATCCATAAATAAATAAGATGCACAGGATGCTGCTTGTGCACCCAGGAGAGAAAGGGCTTCAAGGGTAATGGCTTGGGATGACCATGCCCTTTACACATCAGGGGAGCATCCTGAGAGGGGCTGTTTGTTTCTGATTGGACCATGAGAGGGGGCTGAGTGAACTGGGAAGGCATTGTTGCATTACAGGTAACTTACGAATCACACCCACAGCTGGAGCTGCTGTTCTAGGCCAGCCATTAATCTAGCAGCTTCAGCATCAGAGAGCTTGCTTAGAAACGAGATCCTCAGCTCCCACCCCAGATCTGCTGAGTCAGGAACTCGGAATGGGGCCTGGATGTGTGGGATGGAGATGAGGCAGTAGTCTGAACTTTCACAAGCCCTTCAGGGGCTAGAGTTGGGAACCACAGGTCTAGGCAACAGACCCTTTTAAAAATGAGGAAGGATATGTTAGGTAACTTGTCAGGCAAACAGAGCACATTAGCAGTAGAAACAGGATTTGAACTGATGACTTGTGATATCTTGACCAGTGGTTTTTCTCTATGTGGTCATACCTTCTGATTCTGTTCTGCTGTCTATGGCCAGTTAAACACAGAAGTGGATCATCTAGATGCTTGGATGAATAAAATTTGAAAAATTAATTTCTACTGAATTTCTGGAAAGTATGTAAGAATAGATGGTAAAAGAAGTAGCCAGGAAGAAGTTCCACCTCCCCCAAGCCAAGCAGTTTTCTGGAGGTTGTGGCAGAGAAGAGAAACAGTAAGATTGGTTATGGCCTCAATGGCAGATTTGGGAAATCAGAATATGCTGCATATTTCTTAACGATTTTAATTTCCCACACTTCTGAGTTGCTTCTCAGGCTCCCAAGCATCCTTGGGCCTAAATAAACCCAGCCTTTCTGAATGCATGGAGCTTGATTCCTTCCCACTGAGCTGCTGGCAGCTTTGATCTGTGGGATCTGATTTTCTTCTACTCTGAGACTTTCTCAGATGATTAAAAATATTGTAAGCAACTCAAAGAGACCTTGTTGATAAGGCTTATCAAGCTGGCCTCAGAGTTTATTCTGGGCTGCTGACTCCTGAAGGGCAATCAGCTCTCATGCTAAGATCAGGGTGGGCCTGAGGCCCCAGGCTGACCTCTCTCCCTGAGTGTTCGCTTCTCATAGAGGAAGCCTGCGCCTGCCCTCCCTTCCAAAGAAGGCAAGGCCAGGGGTGGCTGACTCACTCAAACCCATCACATGCCTGGAAAAACCTTCCAAGCTGTTTATGGTTGTTGTGAGACCTCAGTTCTTGTCTTCTTGATTTAGAAGAATTTGAGCAAAAGACAACACAGCAAGGGAGGTGCAAAATAGTGCAATTTATTACAAAGGAGAAAGAATATTTTGAAAGTTAGGTGCAGAATAGACAGTACACCGTAAGAGAATTCAGGGCAGGCTTCGGGGTAAGGATGAGACAAATCCATAAATAAATAAGATGCACTTAAAATAAGTGCACTAGGCACTTATTTTAAAGACGGGCACTAGGGGAGACTCCCTTTATGGGAGGCTTTCATGATTTTTCATAAGGAGGTGTTGCTATAAGCATGTTCGGATGGTCCTCTGGGTGCACATGCGCAGTAGCTGTACATGCTTGTTCATAAGTCACATCTCATTAGCATCTTAAATCTCCACCCAGGGTTGTGTTTTTTTGCTATTATGATGAGCAAAGGGTCATTCTGAGGACAACTAAAATTAAAGTGCGCATGCTCTCTAGAGGGGGAAATTCCTTACTGAAGATAGCTGTGCTTGAATTAGCTGGACTACAGTGTGAATGCTGAGGCTTATTGTGTTGACTGTACGTCCCACGGTTGCCACGTCCCAAAAACTTCCTTGACTACCTATCCCGCCGCAAAGCCACAGGTGACGGTGGCCAGACTGGTGGAGCAGGCTTTGAAGAAGGAAGTGGGAGGTCTGAGCTTTCCCCACTGTAGGAATTTCCCCCCTCCCCCAACCCTCCCTTCCTGCACTGAAGTGTCCTTGAATCTCCTTCTAGGCTCCTGGAGCCCCGACAGGACCGCCAAAGTGTTTAAATAGTGCCCGAGGCTCTTCAGGTTCCTGCCCTGGGTCTTGGCTAAGATCATGGTCCAGCCCTGTTGGGATGTGGGGTGGGGCGGAGTTCCCTGCTCAGCAAAATGAACTGAGGCCTCAGTTCTGTTTGCTGGAGGACCAGCTGACTTCTCTCATTGACATTGTGCCTTTGTTCGCTACAAAGGAAATATGGAAATTACGCAGCCCATTCAGTCACCTCTGGCTCGGGCAAGTCGTGTGACTTACAAGTTCTGAGTGGGAAAGACCACCCCGTAGTCTTGCTCTGGAAGCCCCCAGGGGCAGGCAGAGTCCTGAGAATGCTCCAGGGCCGACCTCCTCCCATTTTATTCCCAAGTCATATATCCTGGGTATCCAGGTAGGGCTGTGTGTGACAGAGTTTTTCCATGGCTAAAAAAGAAACGTCTTAGAGGGCAACAACAGGCAATGCGGAAGTAGCCCTCCATCTCTCAAGGTTCCGATTCCTAGCACTGTGTTCTACTGGCCCCGAGGGGTGCTGGAAACCCTCAGTTTCCACCTGGTGCAGGACAGAGGAGCCTCACCTGGGATGGCCCAAGGCAGGTGAGCCCTGGCATCCAGGCAGGGTTCAGGGAGAGCCACTGCTCACTTTCCTGCGGTACTTCCTTCTCTCTCTCTGCTTTGCTTCTGGTTTGTGGGTTTTTACACAGGTTTCAGGTTAGTTTTGTGGGTCAGCTGTGCTTTCCCAGAGGTGACCTGGGCCTAGGCCTTCCACTCTGTGAGCCGATCTGGTGCTGTCTTTGGTCACTGAGGTCATGGCTGTGGGGACATTGAGTGCGGTGGTGTTGGCCTCCCTACTCTGGCAGCTGAGTGAAGACTTCTTTGTGGTTTCTGGAGCAGTGACTCATCAAATGCTGTCCTGGAGGTTTCATGGAGATGGCACAGTTCCCAAGGTAGCCTGGGCTTTTCCCTGAGGCAGAAGGAGACTACCCCTCTATCCAGCTGCAGAGCTCCTGAAAAATCATTTTTAAGGTAGAATTGGCAGTGATGATAGTCAATACTAACACGAGTGTACTTTCCATACAGTTGGAACAAAAGTTTCAAACCTGATTCTGCTAGAATATTAGTGTTCCAGAAGGCTGGTGCAACTGGCGGGCATCTCCTGTGTGGGCGCTGAAGCTCAGTGCGAAATGTCCCTGTGAGGTCAAACTGGGGCTGCAGCTCAGCAGATCCCTACAGCTCCCCTGGGCACCTCCCCAAGCCCTGAGTGTCCTCATGAGGCCCATGTGTGCCACCATAGGGCAGGAGGCTCTCCCCTGCATCCTTCCACCACTGGGCACTTTGGAGGATCACCAAGGTACCGCACCCAGTGGCAGAGCTCCACCCAGACACACAACCCTGCAAACAGACATTTGTGCCCAGCTTAGTCACTGCTGATGGAGGAGACATGGAGAGTTGGTGAGGGGGACTCACCTGTGTCCCCTCCCCTATGCCTGTACATTCCACTCACAACACCCACATACTGAGGTTGGCCTGCCCATTTTGCTCTCCTCCTGGGCCTGCATCTCCTACTGCACATGAGGGCGGTTTTGTGCCAGCCCCTGCAAGAGCTTCGGTAAGGATGATTTATCTGTCTCATTCTGTTGCTGGTGATAGTTTAGTGTCCCCCTAGATCCTGGCACCAGAAACTGTCCCTGTTTTGTCCTGCTTTGACATGGACGTACGTCACAGCCAGAGGAGGAGCCCTCACCTTCCCACCAACCACCTGGGGACCTGAAGGAGGCCCAGAGGGAAGGATGAATATGACAAGTCAGACCTGCTGTTGTCCACAGACCACAGAGGCCCCCACACCCACAATGTGGCACAAAGGAGCCTGCCCCACAACTGGCACCCCACCTCCCTGCCCTGCTGCCTCTCACCCTCCACCTTCACCTCTCACCCCCACCCTTCCTATCTTCCACCTTCCAACCCCCTGTCACCTCTCCCTCTTTCACCCCTTAACCTGACCCCCACTCTCCTTACTTTTGGGCACTGGGGGTGATGCCTGCTGACCACAGGCCACACAGAGCTGAGTGTGCATTTCTGCCCTAGCCTAGGGAAGAAGCATATTTTAATTAAGCTGCTGTGAAACCTTGGGGATCTCTACCTAAAAACAATACACATTTTTAACAGTAAAGGTCTACAAAAATCAAATCAAAGAAGTAATTCCTTACTATGAACCATTCCAGAGGCTCCAAAGTGCCCTTGTTTTAGGAGTAGATGTTGCTTTCGTTTCTTTGTAAAACCTCACTTCCTCCAGCTTCTCTCCCTGAAAACCGAGTCCCACCCAGTGCTCTCAAGCTGAATATTCATTTATTATTTTTGTTTTTAAATAGACTGTATTTGATATTATTTAATAAATATTGCAAAGAACTGACACCTTGACAATATTGAGTATTCCTATCCATAAATATGAAATATCTCTTCATTTATTTAGTTCTTCTTTGATTTCTTTTATTGGACTTTTGTAGTTTTCCTCATGTAGATCTCATAGGTATTTTGTTAGATTTATACCTATTTCATTTTCAGGGGTGCCAATGTAAATGGTATGGCATTTTAAATTTTAAATTCCACGTGTTCATTCCTGATATATAGGAAAGTGATTAACTTTTGTATATTTACCTTATGTCCTGCAACCTTACTATAATCACAATTAGTTCAAGGAGATTTTTTTTATTCTTTCAGGTTTTCTTCTAGACAATCATGCCATCTGTGAACAAAGGCAGTTTCATTTTTTACTTCCCAATCAGTATGCCTTTTTTTTCTTTTCTATCTTACTGTCTTACTTTTGGACACTGTAGGTGAGGCCTTCTGACCACAGGCCACACAGAGTCAAGTGTGCACTTCTTCCCCAGCTTAGAGAAGAGGCATATATTAATTAAGCTGCTGTGAAACCTTAGAGACTTCTACCTAAAAATGGCAACACATTTTTAGCAATAATGGTTTACAAAAATGAAATCAAAAAAGAAATTCTATAGGTTTTCTTTGGAATATTAGGACTTCCAGTACGATATTGAAATGGAGTGGTGAGAGGGAATATCCTTGTCTTGTTCTTGATCTTTGAGTTCCTCAGTATCAGATATAATGTTAGCTGTAGGGTTTTTTTGTAGATATTCTTTTTTTTTTTTTTTCTCTGAGACAGAGTCTTGCTCTGTCGCTCAGGCTGGAGTGCAGTGGCATGATCTCAGTTCACCGCAGCCTCCATCTCCCAGGTTCAAGCGACTTTCCTGCCTCAGCCTTCCGAGTAGCTGGGATTACAGGTACCCACCATGACGTCCGGCTAATTTTTGAATTTTTGTTGGTAGAGATGGGGTTACACTGTGTTGGCCAGGCTGATCTTAAACTCCTGACCTCAAATGATCCGCCTGCCTTGGCCTCCCAAAGTGCTGGGATTACAGGTATGAGCCACCATGCCCAGCCCATAGATATTCTTTATCAAGTTGAGGAATTTCCTCTCCTACTTTATCAAGAGGGTTTTCTTTAAAAAAAAAAAAGAAAGAAAGAAAGAAAGAAAAAAAAACTACTTTATCAAGAGTTTTTTTTAAATAACATTTTTAAATTACAGTTTAAGTTCTGGGATATCTGTGCAGAACATGCAGGTTTGTTGCATAGGCATACACGTGCCATGGTGGTTTGCTGTGCTCATCAACCCATCATCTACATTAGGTATTTCTCCTAATGCTATCCCTAGCCCCCCACCCCCTGACAGGCCCTGGTGTGTGATGTTCCCCTCCCTGTGTCCATGTGTTCTCATTGTTCAATTCCCACTTATGAGTGAGGGCATGTGGTGTTTGGTTTTCTGTTCCTGTGTTAGTTTGCTGAGAATGATGGTTTCCAGCTTCATCCATGTCCCTGCAAAGGACATGAACTCATCCTTTTTTTTATGGCTGCATAGTATTCCATGGTGTATATGCCACATTTTCTTTACCCAGTCTATCATTGATGAGCATTTGGGTTGGTTCCAAGTCTTTGCTAATGTGAACAGTGCTGCAATAAACGCACGTGTGCATGGGTCTTTTTAGTAGAATGATTTAAAATCCTTTGGGTATATACCCAGTAATGGAATTGCTGGGTCAAATGGTATTTCTGGTTCTAGATCTTTGAGGAATCACCACACTGTCTTCCACAATGTTTGAACTAATTTACACTCCCACCAACAGTGTAAAAGTGTTCCTATTTTTCCACATCCTCTCCAGCATCTGTTGTTTCCTGACTTTTTAATGATCACCACTCTAACTGGCGTGAGATAGTATCTCGTGGTTTTGATTTGCATTTCTGTAATCACCACTGATGATGAGCTTCTTTTCATACGTTTGTTGGCTAAATAAATGTCTTCTTTTGAAAAGTGTCTGTTCATATCCTTTGGCCACTTTTTGATGGGGTTGTTTTTTTCATGTAACTTTGTTTAAGTTCTTTGTAGATTCTGGATATTAGCCCTTTGTCAGATGGGTAGATTGCAAAAATTTTCTCCCATTCTGTAGGTTGCCTGTTCACTCTGATGATAGTTTCTTTTGCTGTGCAGAAGCTCTTTTGTTTAATTAGATCCCATTTGTCAATTTTGGCTTTTGTTGCCATTGCTTTTTGTATTTTAGTCATGAAGTCTTTGCCCATGCCTTTGTCCTGAATGTATTGCCTAGGTTTTCTTCTAGGGTTTTTATGGTTTTAGGTCTTACATTTAAGTCTTTAATTCATCTTGAGTTAATTTTTATATAAGATGTAAGAAAGGGGTCCAGTTTCTGTTTTCTGCATAGGGCTAACCAGTTTTCCCAACACCATTTATTAAATAGTGAATCCTTTCCCCATTGCATGTTTCTGTCAGGTTTGTCAAAGATCAGATGGTTGTAGATGTGTGGTGTTATTTCTGAGGCCTCTGTTCTGTTCCATTGGTTTATATATCTGTTTCAGTACTAGTACCGTGCTGTTTTGGTTACTGTAGCCTTGTAGTATAATTTGAAGTCAGGTAGTATGATGCCTCCAGCTTTGTTCTTTCTGCTTACAATTGTCTTGGCTATGTGGGCTCTTTTTTGGTTCCATATGAAATTTAAAGTAGTTTTTTCTAATTCTATGAAGAAAGTCAATGGTAGCTTGATGGGGATAGCATTGAATCTATAAATTACTTTGGACAGGATGGCCATTTTCACGATATCGATTCTTCCTATCCATGAGCATGGAATGTGTTTCCATTGTTTGTGGGAAAAAAAGACCTTTTTTTAAAAGAAAAAATCTCTTGGTAAGATTTGTTGGATTTTGTCAAATGCTTTGTCTGCATCCATTGATATGATCATGTGATTTTTCTTCTTTAACATGATGGATAAAAGCAATTGATTTCTGAATATTGGACCAACTTCGCATACCTGAAATAAATTCCACTTGGTTGTGGTGTATAATTCTTTTTATACATTGTTGGGTTCAATTTGCCAATATTTGTTGAGCATTTTTGCATCTATGTTCATAAGAGATATTGCACTATAGTTTTCTTTTAATGTCTTTGTTTGGATTTGGTATTCAGGTAATGCTGGCTTCATAGAATGAGGAATTATGTTCTCTGATTCTATCTTCTGAGAAAGATTGTAGGGAATTGAAATAAATTATTCCTTAAATGCTTGATGGAATTCACTAGTGAACCCATCTAGGCCTTGTGTTTTCTGTTTCAGAAGGTTATTAATTATTGGTTCAATTTCTTTAATACATATATGCCTATTCTGATTGTTTATTTCTTCTTGTGTGAGTTTTGGCAAGTTGTGTCTTTCAAGGAATTTTTTAATTTAGATTATCAAATTTATGAGCATAGAGCCATCCATAATACAGATGTTCCTCAACCTAGGATGAGCTTACATCCCAATAAACCTATCATATGTTGGGAATATTGTAAACCAAATGCAAATAAGATCCTGATAAACTGGTCACAAAGTTGAATTCCGTTATTCCTGTATTTCTTTATTGTCTTCTTAATGTTCTTGGGATCTGTTGTGGGGTCCCCTCTTTTCTTTCTTATATTGATAATTTGGGTCTTATAATCTTTTTTTCTTAGCCTGGCTAGAGGTTTTTTGGGCCTTATCATCTTTTTTTCTTAGCCTGGCTAGAGGTTTATCAATTTTATTGATATTTTCAAAGAACAAGCTTTTGGTTTCATTTATTTTTTCTACTGATTTGCTGTTTTCAATTTATTGATTTCTGCCCTAATTTTTATCTATTATTTCTTTCCTCCTGCTTACTTTAGATTAATTTGTTCTTCTTTTTCTAGTTTCCTAAGGTGGAAGCTTAGATGATTAATTTTAGACTTTTCTTAATTTCTAGTATATGCACATTTTAGTCTCTTCTGTAGCCTGACTAGAATGAAGGCTTTCATCTTGATTTTTATTTCCTCTTTACGATGCACAGCCTCAACCAGTTGTCTGGGGTTAACATTCCATGTGTCTTCACTGTGGCAGAATCCTTGCAGGTGTGTCTGGAGTCTAAGTTTGTCCTGGCTGCCCAGTGGTTTTAATCAGCCATCAGAATTTCTAGTGCATAACGGGTGGGTCCACACAGAGAGTTCTGCTGGCTATAAGTTCTCTGGGCAGAAGCCAGACTTGAGTATTTACGGTAATGAAGTGAACTAGCCTCTCTATTTCCTTAGTCAGTAAATACATATATGTGTGTTTATGTTGGCCAGCCTGTATACTGAAATATGCTAACTGGTGGTTCTCAGCTTTGGCAGCATGTTGGAATCACTGGAGGAGCCTAAGACACTTGGTGTCCAGGCCCCACCCTGAGCTCCTTATGGAATTGGCCTGGGGCCTGGGCTGTGGCTACTAAAAGGTCCTCAGGAGTATTGGAGGTGAGACCACATTGAGACTATTGTCTCAGACACTTCCCTGCCCTAAATCACTCTTCACCCATTCCAGTTCACCCAGAACTTACGTGAGTGTCAGTCGTTAAGGAATGAGAATAAGGAGTCAATGTTAAGGCAACACCCCAATACTGGTCTCAAGTTGAGTTCCTGGGTGCCCCTGGCTTCCAAATAAGTATGCTTCTTGAGTTACTCAGGGGGTCTTTCTGGGGCAGGAATGCTGAGGAGCCCCAAGAGAATTAAACAACCTCAGTAGAAAGATGCTGGGAAGTCTTGCAAAAAGCTTCCTTTTGAACTTGCCCAACAGGTTACATCCTTAGTGAGGCTTAGTGCCCAACAATCAGGAGACCCTCTGGTCCTGAGAGCTCTTCTCCCTCTGGTGCTTACAGAGATGGGGGGAGAGGGTTCCTGCAGGGGGAAAACATTCTAATTTCAAAGTTTTTCTGTTCCTTCAGGTGCTAATTGGTAGAGCCATGAGCAGATGGTATGAACTTCTCAGAGCACCTTGGGTGGGGATTTCCAATATGCACACCTGAAGTATAGATTTGGGATGGGAGCAGGATGGGGGTTGAAAGTCCAGAGGCTGATGTTTCTTTGGTAGGTTGATGGAGAGGGAGGGGCAAGAGTGGCCACATTAGTGGAAGCAGGAGTCACAATGAGAATTTGGGGAAAAGAGAATATTGGGGAAAACAGGAGAATGAACATTGCCTCAGGAGTCCCTGCAGGAGGGCGAGGAGAGCTGGGTGTCCCATGAAAGGATGGGCTCCTGGAAACTCATCTGCACACACTGATGGAGAGGAGACCACTGCTAAGGCTGGAGAGCAAAGCCAGGGAATTCAGCTGACCCTCGAGCATAGCCGCGAGGGTGGCCTGTGAGGGTGAATGGACCTAGCCAGGTGGCTGCTTTCTGCCCCCATCTCCCACTTATCAAACATGCAACTCCCAGGAGATTGTGTCCAGACCTCCTCGAAAAATTGCTCCTGACAGGCCCCACTCCACCTTTTTCAAGTGTGAGTGATATCTGTGAATGTGCCGGCTCAGAGTGGAGGCGGCTGATGGACCCCAGGGACCACAGTGCAGGCCAGCAAGCAGGGCAGAGTGTTCAACCTCCTCTCCCCTGACATGGCATTAAAAGTTTATGGGCAGGCTGTAGAATTGAAAGCCCAGGAACACGGAGCCTGTACCTCTGACCCAGCCTGGCTCACTCTCCAGTGGGGGACTGCAGGGGCAACAGGAGCTCCTCTGGGGAACTGTGAGGCTTGCCCCTGGTGGGTGCCCAGGATGTCTGGAGAGGAAGGAAGGCTGCCTGGAGGTGCTGGCATTGAGGTAGGGCCAGGCTCAGGTGGAAGACACTAATTCTGGGCCGGGAGATGTCCATGCAAAGGCCTAGAGGTGGGAGGGTCATGGGAGCCTGCAGAGCCCAGTTCAGGGCTATCCTGAGAGGGCCAGGGAGGGAGCAGGAGAGACAGGTGAGGTGACCTTGGTTGGTGAAGGTGGAGGAGGCCATGCCTATAGGACAGTGGGCTGGGACATTCCAGAACTGAGTCCTAGGGGCCTGGGCTTATGGTTACTGAAAGGTCTTCAGGTAGTTTGGAGGTGAGCCCAACCAATGAAATGGATTGGCCATTGCTCTTTGCAGACAGCATCTCTAAAGTGGTGGAAGCCCCTTGTCCCCCCCTCCTTTCCTTCTGGGCCAGTTCAGATGGTCTGGCTGATTCTGAGCAAACCATTTTCTCTTTTTGCTGCCTGTGAGATGTGCTTAACCTTTCCTTTGCTTCATTCATAGATCCGGACAAAGGACAGAGTCTTTGACAGTATCAGCCACCTCATCAACCACCACCTAGAAAGCAGCCTGCCCATTGTCTCTGCAGGGAGTGAGCTGTGTCTCCAGCAGCCAGTGGAGAGGAAGCAGTGACCTGGCCAGCACTGCTCCCAGCACTGCGCACCAGGTCAGGAGGACCTGGAGTGGACTAGAATCGGGGCTGCTGGAACTGGGACAGCTGCCTGTGGCTCAGAGCCTTCTTCAAAAGCTTCAAAAGGAAGGCTTCCTTTAAGGTCAAGTTTCATAAACTTGGTTCTGAATTTCTCATATGCATATTAAAGGTGTACATACCTATACATCCTGTACAAATTATCCCTCTATATTTATATTTTTTAAGACTAAGAAAGATGTAAGACTAATGTTCTGTGCTGTATGTTTTTAATGAAAAAAAAAAATAAGTTTAACTGTAGTTGTCCAGGCAAAAATTTAATTCAACTGACCCATCCCACCGGGAAATGCCACTAGGAAGGTGTAGCCTGCAGTTTTACCTAATAAGCACAACTGGAGGGGAATAGAAACACAGAATTGTGAGGGAATCGCAAGGCATGCTGCTCAGAGCATGCCTAGCCCTGCACTGAAAGCTATGAGATACTGGTTCTGAGGCATGGCTGTGCTTGCTGGTGGGAGCGGGCATCCTCCCTTGGCCTCCCTGGGACACCTCCTGTGCTCCCTGCACTGCACTCCACGTGCCTGGGGTGTCTACACAACTCGCTGCAGCTTCACTAAAGAACAGGTGGCACTCCAGCTTCTCCGGGTCCTGCTGAGCACAGGGCCCCGCCACCCTTGACCCCAGTTGTGCGAGGAGTACTTGGGAATTCATTTCATGCCAAAATGGCACAAAATAAGCTTCACCAACCAAGATTTTGATTGACAAGTGCTTCCCTGTTCTCATGTATCTAATGCTAAAATGGGTATTTGTAGAAGGGTGGTCGGGGCAAATTCCTGGTTTGTGTCTCCCTCTAGTCAGCGGTTGACTACAGGCTGCTTATGGTAATTGCTAGTAAAGTCCCCCGCCCGCCTTATACAATAGGGGAGAAGCCTGTGTGACAGCAAGAGCAGGCACCCATCCCAGAGCTCAGTCCCGAAGACTCAGGTATTGAGGCTTCTGGGGCTGCATGTGCCAGAAACCCAGGAGTCACTGGAATCCATTTGAGGTACTGCCTCTGGCATGAGGGATGGGGGAAAGGCCTGCTGTCCCAACAACAAGGTTTCTCCGTTGCTGCAGGGAAGAGCATGTGCCTGCCCCCACTCTTTGTCTTGACTCCCTTTCTTCCAGGTAAAATACTGTCATTTCCTGAGGAGTCATTTGGTGTTAGAAAGCTGGCAATGTTTATACCTTTCAAATACTATCTGGGCTGAGATTGCCCTGTGATTTTCACAGATGCCCTTTAAAGAATAGATGGATCCATTTGCTTGCTGGCAGCGTGGCTCTTGTTCTGGTGAGACCCCACAGGGTACAGCACCCTGTAGGGTATGGGTCAGCAGAACAGAAAGACACACTAAACACGCTTAGAGTTGGATAGTGATAAATCTGATCCTGTAAGGAGAGTTATGAGGAGACTGAAAAATCTGGCAGATAATAATACTGCTAAGTTCTAATGCCAATGGTATGAGCCCCATTTCTGCCTTGGGGTGTGCGTGTGGCCAGATGGAAGGACAGGTTAGAGCTAACCAGTGAGGATGAGTCAGGGCAGGCCCCAGCCTTCATACATGGCCTTCTAGGGAGTCTTTGCCTTTGAGGGTCCAGTGAATTTGAGATGACAGTGAAGTCAGTGTTCTAGAATGTTCTGCAGTGGATTGAAACTCTGGAGAGTCTGACACTACTGTAGACTGCACTGCTGTTTTCTGAAATGGTTTTGGCTTCAGGCATCATGTGGATACTCTGCTTAGTGATCCAGAAGCAGACGGCTCCACGGGGTTGCTGGCAGCAGCTGCATCAGGCTCCTGCCCCAAGACAGCATAGACTTGGGTGCTCTGAGAGCTGCCCTGCACATCTGTCCTCTGGGAGGCTGGGAGCCCTGGAGAGACACACACAGCTCTGACCCACCTGTGCATGAATGTGCACCACATAGAAAAATGTGCGAAATGACCTTCTTTCTACATTCATGCATTCCCCACTTGTGAAAGGTCAAAATGCTATTATAACATTCAGGGACAATAGCAAAGTAGGAAATGCAAGTTAGGAGCTGTGAATGCTGTAACATTTGATTTACTTTATTTTTCTCTTGGGGGGACTTGAATGGTAACCTGCAGCTTTAGTAGCTCTTGCTGTGAAGTCAGTGTCTAGTTCGATGGTGATAGAAAATATATATATTTTTTGCATGAGAATCAATTTAGAAAATTTAAAGTATTGGAGTCGAATTTTTTCTTTTTAATATTAATTCAAAATATACATTTTTAAGCTCAGATTATATATTGGTTACACTAGAATAGTGCCAGTGAAGTGAGCAGGCTTCAGACATAGCAGATGGCAGCGATTTTCTAATCTTTGTTCCCTCCCATTTGTAAAGTGGGTTAGAGCACACATTAGTTATCCCAACTCTTCCCTCCAGCACTGTGTGGTGGGCCATTCCTGTGAGCCTCACAGACACATGGGGAAAGTGAGGCTGGGGCTGGTGCCACACCTTCCTGGAGGCCATGTTGTCATCTGGCTGCAGAGCTCTTCTGCTCACTCAGCATTTCGTGAGCCCTGCTGTGTGCCAGCCTGTGCTTTGAGCTCAGGATTCCAAGGCAAAAGCAATGGAGGCTCCTCCCTGTCTAGCCTGGGCCCCTCTTCCCCACACTTTCTCAGGCCACATCTCTGCCTGGGCAGGGCAGGGAAGCTGAACAATGAACGCAGCGGGAATGGCATTAGGCCTTGCGTTCCAGGGCCTCAGGCTTCCAGGGCACAGTCGCTGCTGCTGTGCTGGGCCACCCTGGTCCTGCAGAGTGCACCTGGGCCCTGCTGTCCCTCCAATGGGCACCCCCAACACTTAACCCCAAACTCTATGTCTTCTGGGAGTACAAGGTGGGGGCCAGCAGTCCTAAAACGGCCCCTCTGCCCTTACCGAGTGGCCCTAGAGACCCCCACCCACCTCCCCTAACCCCACGAATGAATCAGCTGTGCTTCAAATGACATCTCTGTCCCACGGAGGCCGGCTGGGCCTCTCATGGGGGTGCTCATTGTGGTTTAAGTCAGCTTTGATTCTTGACCTCCAAGGCTGCCTCTGAGTAGCTAACCGGAGAATCGGGTGGGGAGGTGAAAAACACCGCAGTCAAATGACTCAATCTTTAATCCTGTGCTTAAGACACCACTGTTGCTGTTTTTTATATTTGAAGCACCCAAAGACTGGGCGTCCGCTCAGCCTTGATGAGCGAGCAGCTATTTTGTCAGGCCATCTATGATGTTGGGATAATGGACAAAGGCCTGATTGGGCCATATATGGCCTTCTTTAGGGCCTCCTGGAGGTGGAGGAAGTTGTGGGTAATTTCTAATAAAGACGGGAAATGACAAGCCGTGTGTGTAGGTAAAGTCCTAACTTAAAAGGAAGGACAGGCCTAGGGAAGGGTGGACCCTAAAGGGCCCATGTGCCAGGGGAACAGTGGACATGTGTGTCCAGCCCAACCTCCATGTCTGGTGCTGGGATTCTGAAGGTGGCCCCCAGCTCCCAAAATAAAGCTTTCCTTTTCAGTAGCGTCCGACACTTGGGTAGCTTCTTTCTATAAGCAATGCTTGAAGATGGACGTCTGGGTCCTCATTTCCTCCAAACTGGCTGCTACCTGAAGGCAGTCACACATTTCTTTTCTGTTGGGCTGAGCTGGGCAGAAGCCTCGGACTATAGGCCTTTCCAGGGCAGAGGCAATGCGGGCCACGAGTAGATACCTCCATCCAGCCTCCACCCTGGCACACCCAGAACGGCGTGGACTCAGGCGGGTTGCTGGATTTCTCTGAGCCTTGGCGTGCTCTACACTGCAGGGCTATACATGTTCCCAGCTTGAGGGCGTGCTGGGGATTGACAAATATATGAAACATATAAGCGCAATGATTTTCTAAAATTGTGCATTCCCAGCGTGCCCATTGGTTCTCTCTCGCTGGCCCAACTTTGTGTGCTGTCCATAAATCCCTTTCTGTGGACGGTGACAGTAGGATTGGGAGTGAGTGGGAAGATTGTGGAAAGATTGCAAAGAGGTCATTGCAGGACTCAGACAGACCTTGCAGTGGGTTTCAGAGTAATACTCAGGTTCTCCCATGGAACTTTCAAAGCTGGCTCTAAGAAAGATGAAGAGGACAAACCCACTCCTGGACATAGTGCCAACCTAGAACTGTCAGCTCCACACAGGATCACAGGGAAGGGAGCTTGGTAAGACAGCCCAGTAGGGGGCCCTGCTTTTCAGAAGAGGAAACTGGAGCCATGCAAGGGCCTGGGGATCAACTTAGAAAAGAGCACAGGACTCACAGTCCTGGGCCTGCACGTAAAGCTAGCCCCCTGCCCCACGGAAATGGCAAGCAGTGCTTCCCTCCAGGGGTTCTACATCTGTGCTCCATCTCAAAATGCATAAAAGCCTGAGTCATTCAGATGGGAGAGACAGTGTTTCTACTTCCTCTTAGTTGGGGTTCCTCCAGAAGGAGACCCTGAGAGAGGACTTGAGGTTATGTAGTTTATTTGAGTGAAGATCCCGGAAGTAGGGAGAGAAGGAAGCTGACGGGGAAGGCGTGCATTATCAAGTAAGTTACCGTCATGTGCACAACTGGAGCTGAATCCCACCGGGGAACCCCGAGAGACAGAGCTGACACCCCAGAGTTCACCCAGCAAGGCGGGGAGACAGCTGGGGTATTTATTCACCAAGTCTATCACTTATGAAAGGCTGTTTCTGGAAACAATTTCTGACTGGCCCTGCACACACCTGAGCATACTTCCTAAGCCGGGGATGTCCCTGAGCTGAGACAGGCGTTCGTGACAAGCAGACTTCGAGTGGAAGGCAGGCATCAGAACCACCCTGTGAGCTGGTTCAGACAAAGATTGCAGGCCCTTCCACCCCCCTGGCCCCGCCAAGTTCCTGACTCCCTAGGTCTGGAGTGGGGCCCGGGAATTTGCATTTCAAAAAATCTCGAGGTGATGCTGGTGCAGCTGCTCTGAAGTCTTGACTTTGAGAACCACTCACTAGTGAGAGTTTCCAGCCCTTACCTGTCTCTTATTGATGGCTTTCCCCCCTCTAATTTATAATTATGCTTTCACACCACTTCATGTCACAGATCCCAGGGTCCGTGCTGTGAATTTAAAAGTGGAGAATTAATAAGCATTTATAACTCCATGCAACCATTGCTGGCAGCTTAAATGCCATCTGCCAGCCATAATTTATTTATAATGGGGTTTATACATATTTATAAGTTTGCAAGCAACAAATGCACAGTTTTAAAACTGGCACATTTTATAGCAGCCAGAAAAATTGCAACTTTATACCAGGACTTGTGAATGTGAATTGCATATGTATATACATATACGCATATACTTACATTGATTAAAAACGGATCTGCATCTCTGTACACACGCAGATTGGCTCTGTGTTGTGCACCTTGGGACTCCTCCCTGGGCTTTGGTTTTACAGCTAAGTAGGAAGTCAAACAAACGTGAAGAATTTGGGAATTGGCAGGCTGTGGCATCAGCCATGGAGGATGGTCCTGGATGCTGTAGGATGTGAGATCCAGCACAAAGAGAACAAGAACAGGACATGAGGACCACAGGGATTGGGGGAACCCACTGTGGGAAATGACAGAGAAGCCAGTGGGGGAAGACAAAGAAAGAAGAAGGTGGAGGCAGAATAAAGGTGAGAAGAAGGGAAGGGGAGGATAAAACAAGTCCAGATTTAGATCTTCCTTCATGCAGCCATGCATAGCTGTCTGAGGCCAGCAGGGAAGGAGGAGAAAGGGAAGGTGTGGTGGAGGAGGCTGTGCTCGTGATGTCATGCTTTCGTGTATTCCCAGGTGCAGCTGCATATACTTGGCACAGTTTCTTGGGATTTCTAGCCAGTTTCTTGGCCTCATTTGTGCATTAGTTAATATGTGGCTGGCCCTGTACTGGGATGGTGGGATAGAGAAGTGAATGTATGAGGCCTCTGCCTGAGTTTATAACCTAGAAAGAAATAAAGACACACACACACAAAGGTGTTGGAGTGTGACAAGCCTTAAGGTACCCGTGTGTCCAAGTAAAGTAGAACCAGCAAGGGTGGAGTGCCCAGGTCAGTCTGGGGACTCTGGAGGCTTCGCACTGCAGGCGTCAGATACTGAGTGTTAGTGGCACGGAGAAGAGTGTGGAAGGCTCAGGATGGGGGTGGACAGCCTGGAGTTGTCACTCTCAGTAGAGATGCTAGAAGGGGCGGGAGGTGATCCCAGCCTCCCTTCTTTCCTCCTCCTGGCTGTCACAGATGCTCTGAATTGATGAATCCTTCAGGCCAAAAACACACAGGCTCCTTCCCTAGGTCTGGAAAAATGGTTCTCGCTGAAAAAGCACCAGGAATAAAATCTCATACAATTTTAGGTGTCTATTTTGTTGTCTCACCTTGAAATACTGCAGACAGAAAAACATGCACATGGGGAGCTGTGGTCCTGAGCTTTGAGGTAATGAATTCCCACTCATGTGATCATTTTTACCATAACCAAAGTTTCTAACCATCAAAATCAAGTGACAATTAAAACAGGCATTAATGGATAAATCCGTCTTTAAATATTAATGGGGTTAATTTTGTTAACAGCTATGTGTTGGTTGCAAGTGGAATGTTCTCTGTTCATTTGACTTTTGAATATAACTTGTTCCAGAATATTGTAAAATTAAGTATGTGAATGTTTCTTTGTATTCAGAATTAAACATTTGGTGTTAAAATCCCAGGATTAGGAGACAACTCCATGTAAATTTAATGTGTAATAATAAGATAATAACTTTTTAAAAAGCATTTGGATGGCAAATTATACATACTGACAAATGAATATTATCTGAAAGTTGTTTTGTTTCCATTAACTTTTGTGAAACAAAAAGAATTACTGTAACAGTCTATGTCTTGGCGTATTGCCAATTCACCACTTTCTACTTTGTGCTGGAACAGAACTGGCTTTTTTGACATCCCTGAGGAGTGGAAATGCAAAACGAATTTCAAGTTCTCTAATCTTTGTTCTATGACAAATGAAAAAACCTAAGTTATCTGGTGTTTTGGAGATTTGAGAATACAGCAGGTGAAGAGAATTAGCTTAAATTCCCTCCTCCCTTTTGATAAATCCACAGGGATTCCTTCACTCTGTCAGGAAATGGTGTGGTTTCCAAGCATTAGCCCTTCATGATCTGTCTGGTGCATTTCTGTGCTCCTGGGATCGCCAAGTGCAGGCACGGCATCGCATCCCCAGGTGTCATCCTGTGACCCAGGAGGGGAAGATGACACACCCAATTTAGGTAATGCTGCACTTCTTGTTATAATTGGTTATTGGAAAATGTGCCTTTATTATCAGAACAGTGGTGTGCGCATTTCTGATTATGGAGCTAACTTTTGGATATCTGACTTAGATACTAAAAACATTTGGGTGTTGCAGTTTTGCACTTGTAGATACAACTTAAAAGCATGAAACTGGTGATTTAATTAGATGTTTTCTATAAAATGCACCTTGTTACATTTCTGTGAAAGGGTCTTACCAGCGTGGAATAACTGGCTCAAGGGTTGAGAGAAACAACCATTTTCTAAACAGTTAATTGTTTAAAGGACTATACATGTAAGTCTGCAGGCAATAAAGGCTGTTGTGAAAAGTATCTTTCATTTGGATGATGGATTTTGTATTGCCTCACAAAAGAGAGGAGGGGAGCTTGAAACTTTTCTCTAAGAAGTAGGTATTTTCAGTGATTCCCTGGGGGACTGCTTAAAAAACAGTCACAACAAAGCCTCGTCCCATTCATCAAGGCTGCGGAATGAAAATGCATCCGGGCAGATGTACTCCTAGAGAACTCACCTTACCTTCTAGCTCTGGGGCGGGCAGCTGCGTCCTCACTTGCGTTGGGACATTTCATCATGAGTTGTAACAAGCATCGCTACCAGAACAGTTATGCCGAGCACTGGCCTCCTCTTTACATAGCAAGTGGGACAGAGAGGCTAAAATGGACCGTTTGTGTGGGAGAAAGCTAGTGTGCAAAGGTTGGTTCTGACCTATTCTCTCCTGCTGCATAAACAACAGCAAATGGGGCAGGACAAGAGGTCCCATGTCTTTGAGCTGCACTTTTATTACCATGGGTCTTAGAAATTTCTCCCTATCAAAAGACCATTCTCAAAATAGTATGACCTACCAAAATTGGTGTAAATAGCACCCAAGGCACAGACGCTTCATTAAAATACCACCTATGATAGTGGGTAAGAAGAAAGGGGAAAGGTTATTTGGGGTTCTGAATGTGGTTTAATTCCTGAAATGCTAAGAAACACAGGTGGGTAGCAAGCCTGCAACAACAGTGCGCACCCCTGCAGTGGGGAGGGCACCCGGTGAAAACGATAAAACAATCCCATCACATGGACTACGAAGAGTGGGTTTCCACAAAGGCTTTTGGTTTTATTATTATTATTTTTAACAAACATACATTGGAAATAGTAAAGGTTTCTAATTGAAAAGAGACCTAATGCATAGTTTCTCTGCAGCATAGAAGACCACCTGTTTCCAAACTTCAAGGTTAGGGCTTTGAAACATTCCCTGGTAAATTATCTCCAGCTGGCTAGCTAGTTAGGCATATTGGTGCACATTGGTATCAAAGGTGATTATTTTTTGCATTTAGCAAATGAGCGCTATTACTTTTTTGATGTATTTTTAATTCAGATTGCTCAAAAGTCTTGTTATTTCAAGGGAGCCTTATGTCATACCACAAATATTGATACCTCCTAGTGGAAATGGTGGCTGTGGGCTCCCTAGTAGAGTTAATGGATGAAGGCTGAGATACTTAGATACTGCGGACATCAGGGTTATGGAGCAAAGTGTTATGAACAATAGCTACAGAGAGCTCCAAGTCTCCCAAAGCAACTCATAACTATAACACAGATAAAGTTCCAAAGTCATTTCATCACCTATGTGAAAATGCAATACTGAATGTTTTGGCTCTCTGATGCATTTTGTTGTTGTTTTATTTATTATTATTATTATTTTTTGAGACAGAGGGTCGCTCTGTCACCCAGGCTGGAGTGCAGCGGTGCGATCTTGGCTCACTGCAATCTCCGCCTCCCGGGTTTGAGCAACTCTCCAGCCTCAGCCTCCCGAGTAGCTGGGACTACAGGCACGTGCTATCGCATCCAGCTAATTTTTGTATTTTTAGTAGAAACAGGATTTCACTATGTTGGCCAGGCTGGTCACAAACTCCTGACCTCAGGTGATCCACCCGCCTCAGCCTCCCAAAGTGCTGGGATTACAGGTGTGAGCCACTGCGCCCAGCCTGTTGTTGTTTTCTTAATCCAGTACTTTAACGTTTTACTGTCCTAGAAATGCCCTGTGTTTTCTCATGCTATTTCATAAGAGAATATGCTACTTTTCATTGATGTCAAGAAGGCAACAGAAATGCTCCTGGGGAAGATCTCCTTACAAATAGGTTTCATCTCATCAGTAACAAAAATTAGAAAAGCCTTTGGTCAGCCCATGGAGGTGAGTTACTCTGAACCTATGAAAATGTCTCTTTATAAGAGCAAATTGCATCAGATGACAAAACAGGAATCAATTTCTCTTAGAAAAAGTTAGTAATGTGTTAAGACTACTCTTTTAGGTTTTATTCAGGCAAATGCTCACTGAACCTAAAATACTTTAGGGGACTCTGATGGGAGGTTCCTTTGAACGCTGGTTGGTTTTGTCCTTGTTTTTAAAGAGAACTCAACACAGCAACTGTGTGCTTATGAAAGTTCTACAAACGTGTTCACTTTTCTTTCCATCTATTTGTATAATACGTACAATCCTTGGGGAAGAGCATGTACAAAAATGTCTTCTAAGTAATCCCTTTACAAGGTAAACAGACTGCTACGGGTTCAACTTATGTTGAAAAGTAAAATTACAGCATCACATAGGTATTATTACATTACTCTGAAGAATGCATAAACTGCCAGATCACATTTTCTAACCTGAAAATTAAACTTCTTTCACTGATAGTCACGATCAGTGCCAGCTTTCAGGATGCTGTGAAACTGCCGGTGGCCACAGCTACTTAGCTGTGATGCCACGGGGGATTACTGACTTGCTGCTTTTCTAATATAGAAACAAACTCAACATAGAATCAAAGTGCTGTCTTGTGAATCTCTGCTCATTTCCTGGACAGCTTCCATTTCCTGAAGCAGACCCCTGCCCCACTGGCGTGGGAAGGTGAGCCAGGCCAGCCGTCTGCTTCTGCTTCTCCTTCATAGGCTCTTTCTTTGGCCCATCTGGGGGCACAAGCTCCTGGGTGATCTTGGCTGGCTCTTCTGTAATTTGCAGAAACCTGAAAACCATCACATAATTGGGCTTTGGAATACGATTAAAATTACGCAGGGACAAATGACTGAAAGGACAGGACACAGGGCTGGTGTGGGTCAGACCCACACATCTGGGGCCAGCCTTGGACAAGCCTTTTTGGGGAATTTGAACTTTTAAAACTTGGTTAACATGAGAATCATGTCAGTCTAAGGAGACCAGGGATGGCATGTCCACCTAGTTCAAAACAATGTCCTTGTACTGGGGGTTCAGTCTGAATCCACTTGTATAACCTGTTACCTGTGTGTTGTATGGAGATTCTATGTAGGTACCACATGGCAAACACCTGCAACACAAATTCTGTGTAACATAGAGATGTACGAATATACAAGCATCCATTCTACGCACAGGAAATGTAGTGTAAAATCATCAAAACACCATTCAGAGGCACACGGAGAGGGTCACACAGCATTGTGTGGCCCACGACCTTCCCTCTCTGTGAACAACAGGGAGGGTGTCTAGGATGCAGCAGAAGGCAGTGGATGATGTCAGCAGCTTAGTACATCTGAAAGACTCTGGAGCCCAAAGTGGACAAGGCACGTTGTTTACACTGAAGCGGGGTGGTGATTCCTTGGGCCCCCTCTGTAAGAGACATCCACACTGGGCAGGCTGTTGGTCAAAGTAAGGTAGCTCTCCCGAGTCACAGCTCTTGAGGGGCCCCTGTGGAAGCGACGCATGCAATAAATAAGAACACAGCCGCAGAGCAGGGCGCATGGAGACGATCAGTTGCAGAAGATCCCATTCTGAAGTGCTGCGTTCTTGTCCATGATGCAGGATGAGGGGGCTGTGTGGGGCAGGTCTTCCTTGACCTTCGGAGAGTGGCTGCTATTGTTGCTGCTGCTTGATTTACTTCTGCTTGGGTCGAGCGCAGGCTGGATGGGTGAGGCGCGGGCCCCCCGTCCCCTGACCAGGCAGTTGCAGACCAGACGGAAGAAGGCCCGCCGCATCTCCTTGCTGGCCAGCGTGTAGATGACCGGGTTCATGGCGGAGTTGAGCACAGCCAACACGATGAACCACTGAGCCTTGAAGAGGATGGGGCACGCCTGCACCCTGCAGGCCACATCAATGAGGAAGAGGATGAAGAGTGGGGACCAGCAGGCGATGAACACGCTCACCACAATCACCACGGTCCGCAGCAGTGCCATGGACCGCTCCGAGTTGTTGTGGTTGGCCACCTTACGGCTGCTGGACTTCACCAGGAAGTAGATGCGTGCGTAGAGGATCACGATGGTCACCAGGATGGCCGTGAAGATGCTGATGCAGAAGGCAATGTACTTCTTGGAGTAGAGGGGCAGGATGGTAGAGCAGTCAGGGAGATTGTGCAGGCAGTTCCAGCCCAGAATGGGCAGGGCGCCCAGCGTGAAGGCAATGAGCCAGCACATCCCGATCAGGAGGAAGACGCGGTGCCTCTTGTTGGCGTCGTAAGGCCTCATTTTGATCATTGTCAAGTGCCGCTCGATGGCGATGGCCAGTAAGCTGCAGGTGGACGCCCCAAGGGCCACGAACATACTGCCCTCCCTGAGGAACCAGACCGTGGGAGACAGGCTGAACGTCTTCTTGCCAGACATCAGAATGTTGACCTTGTAAGCGATGCCGGCCAGCAGGTCGCAGAGAGCCAGGTTGCCAATGAAAAAGTACATGCGGTTGTGAAATTTATTGTTTTTCCAGATGGCAATCAAAACCATCAGGTTCTCCAAGACGATGAAGCTGCAGATGACCAAGAAGAGCACGGTGGTGAGCGTGCTGCCCTCGGAGGCCTCCTTCAGCCTGCCCGCCAACTTCCCCACGTACTGGTAATGCTCCCGCAGGGTCTCGTTCCCCCGCACCGGCTGGAGACGCGGCGGGAGGGCAGTTGCCATCACTTGGCATTCACAGACGATTAGCTCCAAAATCCACGAGAGGGCGCCCCAGGAACATTCATTTCAAAGGGAAGCGGGGCTGAGGTTCCGGCTTCATTCAGCAAGGCGTGCAGGCCAGACTCCAGCGAGGGCGTTGAAAAAGGGCTCCTGCCAACAGATAAAAAGAGGGAGCGACCATTGATAAAACGATCGCCGCCTAAGGGGCCACGGCAACGCTGTTGGAGAAAGGCATGAAAAACGTGGAAGTACTGGGATGGCTAGCCACGTCAGGCTGCAGAGAGGGTCTTTAGACACAGGCTAAATTCCTAAGTGATTGGGGGACACCATGGGAAGCGATTTGGTGTCTGGAGTTGCCGGGAAGGGAAATTCAGTGCATGAATTATTGAATCCTGTAACAAAGATACACAGACCCAAGTACAGCTTCCATCTGGAAATCTCCAGGCACTAGAAAATGCTAACTAGTCCTCATCTAGGGCATGGGAGCTGGTGACCCATTATCCCAGTTACTCAGGGAAAAGCAGGATTTTCTCAGGACCAAAAAGCAGGATGGAATCTGAATGATGCCGGTTCAATTTCTAAAACCTCCCTGGTGAGTTTTACAGTGACATCGTGGGAAGATCCCGCACTTCCCAGATGGCATCCCCTGGATCCAGGCCCAGAAATCAGGTCTGTATGGGCTGTAGGTCGGCCTGGCAGAGAGCCCTGAGGCCTGACCATGCAGCCATCGAGGGACCAACAGTGCATGTCTGGGCAGTGCCCATGCAGACACCGCACTCGTGAGCAGTGAGTCCAGAGCCCAGCGAAGACAGAACATCAACCTGCAAAAACGGGACCCAAGTCTACAGATGATAAAGGAAGGACAGGAAAGCAGTGACAATCACACTGACTGAGTCTGGCTTGAAATTCAGAGCCCTGAATATCAAATAGAGCATGGGTGCATGTGAGCCAACAGAAAAGTGGCACATTTGGGAACACAGCGAGAGAGGGAAAGTGGTGAGTGAAGGCCTCAATGGATTCTGAATTCCAAACTCTTCCCCCACGAGACCTCAAACACTTGCACTCAACCACACCTGGTAATATCGATCAGCCTTCTGTGATGTTGATGACGCCACACACCCAACTATCAAGGTAGAAACCGCTTTCAGTGGACTCACTTATTTTATTTTATTTTTTATTTTTATTAAAAAAAATTTTCTTTTGAGACACAGTGTTGCTCTGTCACCCAGGCTGGAATGCAGTGGTGCGATCTCGGCTCATTGCAACCACTGCCTCCTGGGTTCAAGTGCTTCTGCTGCCTCAGCCTCCCAAGTAGCTGGGATTACAGGCACCCGCCACCATGCATGGCTAATTTTTGTATTTTTAGTAGAGACGGGGTTTCACCATGTTGGCCAGGCTGGGCTCGAACTCCTGACCTCAAGTGATCAGCCTGCCTCAGCCTCCCAAAGTGCTGGGATTACAGGCATGAGACACCGCACCCAGCCATCATTTATTATTTGAGTATTTAAATATGTAATTAAGTTCAAATGAGGCTAATTTAAAAGAGCCTACTGTGTGTATCCAGTGAATTTTTTTTAACTTTTACGATGTTTGAACCACAGCCCTAAATTTGCTTCAGAGACACATGAACAACTCACCAATACTATGGGCTCTGCATTTTAGGGTGTGATTGACTCTGAATCTCATCCATGCATGAGTTTATTCCCAGGTACAAATCAGTCCCTTGAAGATCCAGGGCTTGCCTGGGTGGGGCTGAGAAGCAGAGGTGGCTCCAAATGGTTTCTGTATCCTCGTGACCCTCTGGAGTGCTGAATGCTGTCAAAGCCCTCCTCTCCCTACATCAATTTGGGGGACCTGGATTTTCTGAGATGGCCCCTTGCTTCTTTGCAAAGATTTTTTTTCCAGTGTCCTGGAGCTTGGTGGTGTTGGTTGCTCTGGAAACCCCGGGGGCGGGGGGTTGGCGGGGGGTAGGATGTCTGAGCTGACGTCTGTGCTCTGCCTGGAACTGCCCTGACCCTTCCCAGCTGCCGCCTCCTGAAGTCACAGAGGCCTTGGGTCGAGGTCAGCTGGAATGCCAAGTGCTGGCAGAAAGGCTTATGTGTTGGCCAAGGCCCTCTGCTAACTGCAGAAAGAAAAAGCAGCCAAGTTCCAAGTCCAGGCTGATGATGCAGGATGAGAGGAGGTTGCCTGCCCAGATCTCTCCCATCACTCATGAGCCATGACAGGCAGCGCAGGGCCCGGGGCCTGCCTCCTCGAGCTGTGGCTCACCCATGCCAGCCCTACTTGGCTTCCCATTCACCTGAGAAGAGACCATGTCTTGCCTGTAGGTTCTCCTGGAGGCAAACAGGACAGTCCAGTGGGCAGCCTTCCCCCCAGCCCCTCCCTCTCTACCGTTTCTGAATTTTATTTAAATCTTGCCCATCCTTCAAGCCTCAAGTCAAATTCCACTTGCTCTGTAACATTTTCTGGAATCATGCCAGCCCCTGGTGACTTTTCTCTGAGGCTGCATGCCACTTCTGAAAACGTACTGCAAACTGTCTCTTTAAATGGGGCAATACCACAGTCAGCAGCATTTTCTGAGCATTGAGCTTATCCATTAACACAGGGACTTTCACCATGGGTAAGTTCACAGTACCCTCCCCAGCATCCTGTACACTGATGGGTGCTAAAAAGATACTGTCCTTTTAGTTGTTTTTGTTTGTTTTTTGTTTTGTTTTGTTTTGTTTTTGGGATGGAGTCTCATTCTGTCACCCAGGCTGGAGTGCAGCGGTGCGATCCCGGCTCACCACACCCTCCGCCTCCCCGGTTCAAGCGATTCTTCTGCCTCAGCCTCCTGAGTAGCTGGGACTACAGGCGCCCGCCACCATGCCCGGCTAATATTTGTATTTTTAGTAGAGACGGGGTTTCACCATGTTGGCCAGGCTGGTCTTGAACTCCTGACCTCAAGTGATTGCCTGCCTTGGCCTCCCAAAGTGCTGGGATTACAGGTGTGAACTACCACACCAGGCCTAGTATTGCTTATTATTTCTTTCTTTCTTTATCTGTGAACAGGAACTGGAGAATCACTATTTCTGATTTTCACTTTGCTGGGTTTCCACCCCTGATCAGGGGCCTCTCAGGGACACATGTGCTATGCCCGGCATGCACCCTGGCATGAAGCCGGGTATGAAGACAACCTGGGCCATCAGGCTGTCTCCTGCCACCTCCGGTACCACTGCACAGTGCTGATGGGGACCGCGAGGGCTCTGCCGTTTCCCACACGAACAGCCACTCATGCTCATGGAAAAGGCATGGAGCAAAGGCAGTCTGTGAACAGTGCCCTGTGCCAGCATCCTCCCTCCCATAGCAACTGGGGCCAGAGCCCTCACCATGCTGCCAAATGGATGACCTGCCCGGCTCACATTGCAACCAGAGGGGCCATCACCTGGCAGACAGCCAGCTATCCATGACACCACAGTGTCCTGGTTTATCCTACAGATTGCTGGGATACCCACTCCAGTATGTTGGGTTTCTGTCCCAGAAACCGACAAGCTGCAGACAAACCTTGGTTCCAATGTCAGTGATTCCTGAGGCCCCTTTTCCCCAGCTCACGTAGGGATTCAAGTACAGCTCCATGTTCCTCATCCTTTTAGGTAATACTGGCATGTCGTTATGATTCAGACTGTTCTTGTACTAACTCAGCTTGCCTCCTGTGCCTCAGTTTCCCCCATGACAACCTGACCCTACCATTTTATACATGTCCTGTCTCCTCTGAACCTTCTCCACACCTTTGCTTTTGCCATGCATCCAACAGCCAGATGTGGACTTGCTCCCGGGAATGGAGAGAAGAGGGTGAATAGACCCACGGCTTATACAAAAATTGATCAGAGCAGAAAACAAGCAAACAATTAAAAACTAATAACCAGCAATAAAATAACCCCAATAAACATAGTATAAGATTTGCCAGAGACCCATCAAAATCATGAATCTTGAGGGCAAACATATTTTCCCATTAATGTTTGATTTATCATTTCCCTTATAATTAAATATTCATCCCTCAAGAAGCATATTTGTCCAGAACATCTTTTGTTAAATATGATTCTCTGCATTTTGCATAAGTGGAAGATATCTGGCTGTCTTTGGAATCTAAAAGCTCATTTTCTCTGGATTATCAACATTTACAAAGCAGGCCTCATCCCAAGAGTTAAGTGCTGGGCTAAAGGCCAGATTGATTTTGGATGCGTCTACACATTATTGCGCACGGTTAAAAGCATCTCATGGACAAGAGTTCCCCTCCGCTCCTGAGGGGTACCAGCCACAGACCTCAAGTTTGCTAGAAGAAAGCTCAAAGCCCACCCCGCCCTGAGGCTCCTGGAGTCAGCAAGCCCTACTCAGGGCAAGAGGGGAGTCAGTCACTCTGGCGGATTGGTACTAACACTGCCAGGCACGGCAGGAGTGCTGGGCACTGCAGGCACCAGCAGGCCTGGGAGGCTGACCTGCCCCACCACACAGAGATCAGTGAGACCAGCACCCAGGCCAGCAACAAGATGGGCCGGACCCTGCAGCCTTCCTTGTGCCCCTCCTAGTCACCACCTGTCCCCAAGCATGACCACTACCTGGGATAGGACTCTCCCCTAGGTGAGTTTAGCCTGCTTCTGACCTTCACGTGAATGAAACCCTACAGGATACAATTGTGTCCATTGCTTTCCTCTCCCCATGATGCTTGTACGAGTCATGCACATAGATGCACCTGCATGCTGAATATTCTTGCTCTCATGGTGTGGGTAGATACACTACCCTCTATTCATTCTTGTTTATGGACATGGGGTAATTTCTTCCATGGCCCATGTGTTGATTATCATCAAGTAGCACTGCTGGGATTGATTGAGGATGTTCTCTTGGCGAACACATGTCCATGTTTTCGCAGGTCGATGTTGATTTGTGAGCGGTGTGTTGGTGTCTGAGATGGGCTTTAACCATGACTCGGAGGCACTGGGTTTCTCAGACCCCAGCCAGCCCATCTTGCAAAACTGGTGTGGGGAGAAGGGGCGGCCCCTAACAGAGGGCAAGACTGATGCAGTATTAGTGTTCACTCTTTGCTTTATTCCAAAAGTAAGTGTCCAGAGCTGGCAGTGACATTGTAAATTTGATCGCGGCTTAAATTCCACCTGAACACTTAGAAATAAAGCCAGATGCTGAGACATATGGCTTTTTGCAGACTAGTTTTGCATATATTCAGAGAGCTTGGCACATTACGGAAGACACAGGAGTACAGACAGCTGCAGGGTAGAGACGCTCCTCCTCATTAGCGGTGGTCTTCTAACCAATACAGATGCTGACACTGGGCTGCTCCCACTGCCCACCTCCACGGCACATCCTTGCCTGGTCGTTCCACTCTCTTCCAAGTGCTACACTAACACATCTCCCTGACCACCTGGGAAGACCCCCGCCCACCACCCAGCTCTTCAAGAGACTTAAGTATTTGATTGTCTGCATCTTCAGTCTTTTCATGTTTACTGAGAGACACTGCTTACATCTGAACTTACCTGAGTTCTACTCAATAAAGACCCCATTAGCTAAGGGTTTTCATGTCATCCTCACTAAGCTGGGTTCATCCAGCCTACCTCAAAGCATTTTAATACCAACACATTTTTTTTTTGTCGAGGAGGAATAAGACGCCTTCTGGAAGATGAGTATGCAGTGGATGACCCCAAGTTAGACCCTGCCAAGGTCAGAGGTGCCTACCTTCCCCCAACTTCCAAGGAGAAACATTGCTGGGAGGAGGGTGAGCCAGAGAGAGGAGGCCGGATGGATTCCAGATGTGCTTTCTATACTAGCGATTCGCTTTCTCTACCCATGTCAAGTTGAAAAATAAACAAACTATAAAAGGAAGAAAAAGAGAAAAAATAAAGAAAATGTTTCCACAGTCTGGTCTCCTTCCCAACACCCCCCTTTCTCTCTCCGCATAAAAGATAGGCACAATAAGATAGTAAGATAGCATCTTGGTCAGATGCAGGATGCTATATTTTTAATAGGCATGTACTCCCAGGGAAATTAACTAGTTCATCCTCCAAACTGAATCAAAACACCAAACATATGCCAACAAGCAAAATTTCTTGGAAAGCAAGATGTTTTTTAAAATTTCATTTAAAATAACTTGGAAAGGAAATAATGAGTCGGCCGTTACAAGGCTCCAGCAAAATTCCTTTGCTAATGAGTATTTTCCCTTGCTCTAGATTTCTTGGGTGACCTCGCTCTGCTTTTGGAGACAGTCCATTGCAAAATGCATGCTTCACACACCCAGCTGCACAGGCTTGGCCCATTAATGCAGCTCCCCTGAGAAATAACAACTGTTACAGACAAACCAGGTGAGGGTTTTGTATCTTTTCTCCCTTCTCTTCTTCAAAGCATGCAAGTCAGTGCACTTCCCTGGTTAGACTTACTGCTTCCCGGTGGCTTTTCCCCAAGTCCTTCTCCATCACAAATAAGGCTGGGACATTATGAGCTATCTGGGCATAGTCCAGGGAACCCCAGATATGGAGGCTGTGCCCCAGGAAACTCAGGCCCCGGCCCCGAGCATCTGCCTCCGTGAACACCATCCTGAGCTTCCAGACTTGTGTGTGGGAAGGCAAGTGCGTCTGAGCCAGGAGGTGTTTGACCGCTTTGCCTGTCCATGAGTCTTTTTAAACCTTCTCCATTCTGCTGCTGCTTCATGACAGCATAGGATAAATGATTCTCAAGATTTCCACAGGGATGAATCCACAGGGATGTGGAAATAGGCTCTGTGAGGTGGCTAAAGGCACATTCAAATAAGAGGCATCCTGCCCACGAAGGCTACCGGAGATCCTTCCTATCCCTTCCCAAAGCGGCAGTCTCACCTGGTGACTCGGCATGCGTGCCACCTTGCACCATGGACATAGCACACATGGCCTCATGGCAGCATCTGCCTTCTGAATGTACACAGGAGGAGACCGAGGCTGGGGGAGGGGGGGTGTCACTTGTCCTTAGTCACAGAGCTGGGAAGGGGCTGGGCCGGTGTCCGTGCCATCTGATTCCAGGATGTCACATTAGGGATGAGCTCTTTGGGAGGCTGCCACCTTGCCACTGGTTCTTTGCCTAGGTAGTGACAAGAGATTCTCTGGCATGTTTTAGAGACAAACTGCCTCATGCTCCCATGCCAGCAGAATGTTAGCATGTCATTCTGGGGGCACTGAAATATCTGGAAAATTTTGAAGCCAGGAAAATGGAGCGGCATCTGCAAGGCCGAAGAGCACCATCCACTGCTTGAGGAGCGGACCGTCACCTCGCTGTGTGAGCTGACCCCAGTCCGGCCTGTGAGCAGTGAAGATCCACTCACTGGGCACCAATCTGCACTGGACAATCTCGTCACTGATTTAACCCAACTGGCCTATTGTCTCTTACAGACACAGCTTCAATGCCTCAAAAATAGGATTCAAAAAAGGGAAGGAGACTTTATGCCCAGTAGCTATAACAGTAACATCAACTGAAACATGTTATTAACTGAAACTAGATACGATTCCACTCAGTCTATTCTTTTTCTTTTTTCTCAAACATTATACATTTCCAAAAGCTTAAGGAAAATCTTAAGGCAATTAATTTGGCAGAAAACATATGGCAGAGGAATAATAGGAAATGCCTCCAAAACTGATAAGAAAGGAATTACAAAGCCAAATATGAAGAAACAGAAAGTTTCATAGAACCCACAGCACAGCACCCTGGTTCCAGCTAAGGTAAACAGACTGCATAAGGCTGGCGGCCTGGCTCTGGTAACACTTGGGAAACAGTACAAAGTCCTGGCAGTTAAAGGGTTCTACAGCAGGGCAACCTCAGATTTTTCAAGATTGTGGCATGCTCAAATTCTCCTTTTTTTGGTAATAAAAATATACCTACAGTATATAATAAAAATATACATACAGCACAGGCATTGAGGAAGATGAAAGAGATACCATGAAATCAAGTTAATGTCATAATTTCCAGAAAGAGGAAACCAGTTCCTGAATTTTGAGAAATAAGATCCTTCGGCCACTATGTGAAGTTTCTTCTATAGGAAACTGTAGTCTCTACCCTTTGTATATGGTAGAAAATCAGAGACTCATGCATTTGAATAAAAATCACAATGATAAAGGGAGAAATGGCACTTTCAAAGATGAAAACTGGTTGAGAAATCATTCTCTCTAAATCTTAGGGGGAGGCTCTTAAGGGCTAGCTTCAGTTTGTATCTCTGGTGTTAGGTGATGGAAGTGATTTCAGAGGCCCAAAGTGAGTGCTTACTGGTTTGCTAATGAAAAAAGCCTGACGTGCGGTTCTTCTTCTATGGCAACAAAGTTATTCAACCTAGCATTAAGGTCTGCATCCATGAAATAATACTTTACAGATATGAACACTTCCACAACTCCTCAAGCGCACACACACACACACACACACATGCCCCGCACCATCACCACCTCCTCAACCAACACCAGCCCTGGGCATGGCCAGCTATCCTTGTTAGTCATGTATCTGCAGAGCATAATCCTTCCCTTGTACTTTCTAGGAATTATATTTTTCTTAACTATGCCTGCAAGATTTTCATCTATGAATAAAAAACATTGAAAAGATAAATTATGAATATGTGGTTATATACAAAGTCTGTGACTTCTAATGTCCAGATTTTAGAATGATGCCTAATTCTGGAGGTCTCAGAGGTCCAAGTGGGAGTGGGTACCATGAATGGGGGGGCCTCCATTTAAAAGTAACCTTCTAAAGAGCTCTCTGTTCCTGTAGCTCCCCTTTCCTTATTGGAAGGGTCAAAACGAAGTGTGTTCCCTTAAAAATCCAACAAGAAGTTCCTCTCTTATATCCAAATATAAAAACACCACAAAGAAATATACCATTGGGAGTGTCCAAAGCCAGAAAGTCAGAGGAAGAGAGAGAGAGAGAGAGAGAGAGAGACTGACTATTGGGAGACTCAAAAAGCCCAAAGCCCCTTCTCTAGCTGTTATCTCAGTTACGAACACAACGTACTGATTTTCCGTGGGAACCTCATTATTGCACTGTGGGGACTTCGTCTTCCAGCACCGATTCTGACGGCCCTAATTGCCTTGTTTGAGAAATGTTAGGAAAAAACTAATTTTCCGGCGAATATTGTTTAAAAGAATGATTTTCCCAGGCTAACGACCACAACCCTCTCCCACGTCCAGCATCCCCAGGCCCTGGCACTGTGGAAGCCTAACTTGTTAATTGTCCAAGGAAAACGACTGATGGAACTTCTCCACGAACAGCCTCTCCACTTTCATCCAGGTATTCAGCTCCAGCCCGTTGTAAACGCTCCGGGTGCGGTGGAAAAGGCCTCCTCCCTGTTCCTGCAGCGGCTCTGGGGGAGGGGTGCTGATGTGGAGCGCTCCGGCCGCCGTGGCGCGCCCAAGTCCCCGTCGCGCCCGGGATCGGTGGGGATTTTGTTGGAAAGGTGGGTCCTTCGGCCCCCAGCCCCCCACCCTGGTTCCGCGCCCCGCCCGGGCCCGCCTCTCACCTCCGTCGGCTGAGGGCGCTGGGGCCACCGGCATCCTAGCGGGTGGCGCGCGGCGGTGCCGGGGCGCCCGGTCCTGCGCTCGAATGCCAGATGGGCTGGGAGGCCCGGCAGTCTCAGCGCTCGCGACGTCGTTCCCGGGCCTGGGGTCCTGCTCGGTCGCGTCCTGCAGCCGCCTTCTGGTCCCTGAGTCCCTGTTGCCCGTCCCCGGAACCGGCTTCCTCGGCCTCTGCCCGAGCGAGTCAGAGACTAAACTTTTCCAGCGGCCCGCCGGGGCGGGACCCGCGCTCCGCCCCTCCCCTCGCCGCCCCCGACTCCCGCCCCTCTCCCCGCCCCCCTCTCCCCGTCCCCCGCCCGCGAACCCGGCACTCCTCCAGCTCCCCACCTCCCGCTCAAGCCGCCTGGTCTCCGTGCGCCCCGCCCGCCCCTAGCCTGGACCCCTTCTCCCCGACCCTACCAATCCCCTAGGGTCCGGCTCGCCCTTCGGCCCCTGTTCCCAGGCCGGCCTCCAGACCTTGTCCTCATCGGGCGAGCTCCAGGTGCAGAAACCGGGCGCCCAGAGACCCAGCGGGAACAGGCTTGGAACCAGGTCCGAGGTCTGGGCTTGGGCGGGCGCCTGTCGCCCTGACAGCGAGGGTTTGTTTGGGCCGATTCTTAATAGGAGGATTAATACTATCATTATCGTTGTCCAGATCCTGACCATTTCTTTTGTAACTGGCCGAGCACCGGCTTGGGCTTGCAGGTGGGCGCCTGGCGCCGGACAGCGTTTTTGTTTGGGCTTCTTCCTTTTCCGCGCGGGTCCCCTCCGGCGCCTGCCTGGTCCCTCTCCGCGCTCTACCCCCAGGCACGCAGAGACTTGGGCTCCAGGCGGGGGCAGCACTCTCCCCCAGCCTCTGCTGGTGCACCAGAGCCCACTCCGGCACAGAGCAGCGCCCCTCCTAGACCGGCAGCCAGCAGATCTCAGCCGACCCCCATGCGACCCCCTTCCTCACGCGGATTTGCCCCTTTTGTGTGGCAAAAATAATAATAATAATAATAAATCCATATGAAGGCTTCAAACAGAATTCCGAGAGAAGGAACTGCCAAATTTTCAATCAATGCCAAAGGCCATGATTGAGCGAACACAGAAACAACTGTAGAAGCTTGGGGAGAAAGGAGAAAATTAAAGAAAAAGGAGGAGGAGGAAAAGGAGAGAGGAGAGAAGCGGGAGGAAGAAGACGAAAAAGCAAGGAGAGGCCTGTTATCCGACCGTGCATTCCTGGGCCGGCAGGATTGGGCCGCAGGGGCCGCTGCAGAGAGTTGAGTTTGTGCAAAGGCCGCTCGTTACTTTCTGTCTTTTGCCCTCTTGCCTCCAGAGGATCAGCCCAGCGCATCCTTCTCTTGGAGCAGGGTGCATACGCTTATTTGGGGTGCAGTTTGAGCGGTGAAGGGCACCAAGAGTGGAAGTCGGCGGCACTCCTGTTCCCTGCAGAGAAACGCAAGCCCTCAGCAATTGAGCTGAAGGAGGCAAGTGACTCTGCCTGCTGAGGCTGCCAGCCCTAGAGGCTCTGGCCCCCGGGAGCTGGGGTACTTCCCAGCGTTTTCGCCTAAGCCACTTCGCCTGTGCTACTGTGGAGTCTTCCGGCACTGTAGCCTTCCAACTTGTTCAAAGTGCCTGGTGCACGGCTCTGAGAAGCCACTTCTGTCCCAAGTTTCATGTGGGCCTGAATGTGCTTCCCTTTGTTGGACTCCTACAGCATCAAGTCAAGAAAAGAAGGAAACATGCTCCTTTGGCATTGGTCACAACCAGGATAACAATACAGCATACTGTGGCCACTGTGTCTATATTACCAAAGTGGTCAGTAGGTTCATCACACCTCTGTTCAATTAGTTGCTTCCCGTGATGAAAAATTTACTGCTAGGATACTGGCTGAGGGTTGTTTTAAGGGGCACCCAAGTCTCCGTTCCTAGAGAAAGTCAGTTACCCTGATATAACAGAGCAACCTTGAGGCGTGGTGATGCCTCCAAAACTAGTCTGCGGAATCGGAGCCCAGAAGCCCTGAGGAGTAATGTGGCTCTCATGCTTTATGGCAGGTTTCCCTAAGAGAGACCCAGGATCTGACCCATGGCATCACTGAAATTCCTCTTTCAGTGAGGCTCCGTTTGCCTAAAGATCCCTGTCCTCAGTGGGTCTCCCCACACACGGGCCTCTCACTCACCCACTGCCCCACCCCCATCTGCTGCCCTCTTCCTGGGCCTTAAAGCTCAGACACTAGACTCTGACAAGGAGCCCTCCATGCCCCGGTAGAGACCATCTTCTCTCACCACTCCTTTTGAGAGAAACAGCCCTCCCTACAATTCTGTTGAATAAGTCTCCTCCTCTGCATCCTGTTTCACAAGTGAAAGCAGTTTAACAGAAGAATGCCAGCTCATAAACGTAGAAATGCGAGAATGAGGAAATCCCCATTCTGTAACCCTTAATGAAATAATTAAATCAGGCAGTGTGCACTAGTGGGTGTCAAACCCTTAGGTGAAAGTGTGCAGGCGAACGGGTGCTAATTGGAAAAAAAAAAGAAAAAGGTTTTCCATTTTCCATTTTTTTATGGAGACATCTGGCTGTACCTTACAGGAAGATCAAACTCAGTGTCACTAATACTGGCTCAACCTGGCATTATGTGATGCAAAAGAAACACACAACATCATTGTTGCTGTGTGCTTGCCAAAGATGCTTCAATTGAATCAATTGCAAAGCCTCTAGACTTTACTGCAAGTTTACAGGAAATGGAAGAGTTTGAGCCATGAGTTAAATGACACCATGGGAAAAACTGGACTACCAGAGTGTGGGCATTCTGCAGTCCTGAGCTCTTCCAAAAAAAATCAATGTCAAGAAAAAGGGGTGAAGGATTCTTCTGGTATAAGAACAGCTGAAAAGAAGAAGTATAACAATAAGTACAAATCCGGATTGACTCCCAGCTGGACAAATCAGCACACACACACGCACACAAAAACATTTTGGAGGAAATTACAAATTGGAGGGGATATTGACTGATAGTATAGAATTATTGTTAATGTTTTTAGGTGTGATAATGGCATAATGTTTGTTTAGGAGAATGGCTTTAATTTTAGGAGGTGCTGCTGAAGTATTAAAGGGTAAAATGTCTTCATGTCTAAAACTTATTTTAAATTGTTCAGCACAGTACGTGCACATAAGCTGATATGACAAAAGGTTGGTGATTATTGGTTCTACGTGGTGGATTTAGGGAAGGGGTTGTACAATCTGTTCTCCTTCTTTGTATCTTTGAACTTTTTCCATAATAAAAAGTTGGAGAAAAATAAAATGGCAGGTACTAAACAACTAAAAAATTTCTCTACCTTTGCGCTTAGACTTTAAATCAAATCTAGGCTTATGGGAATAAAATTGAAAGATACTATGAGTTATATCTGTATACTTTTGAAAATCATGTGGCCCCAAACTTAAATATGATTTGAATAAATGTATTATATATCACAATTATGTAATATAACCTTACATGCTTTTTTAATTAAAAAAATGAAATATATTCACTTTCCCAACAATTTAGTGTCCACAGCCTGGTGAGCAGGTACAGTGTGGTTAAAGGACATGCAGTTTTAAGATTCAAACTCAAAGTGAGCCCTTTCTCCAGCAGAACGAGTGCACCGCAGGAGAGCAGAATTGTCTCAGAAGAGCTGAGTAAATGCACCTCCTTTCTCGGTCCCCTCTGCCCTCCCAGCATCTGCTTCCAGGATCCCAGGGTGCCTCCCCAAGTTTCTGGGTCTGAGTTAATCTGCACTATCTCTACTCTTAGCTCTGTTTAGCGTAAAGGCTGCAACAGACAGTCATTATCTGAGTAAATGTGCATGCATGATATTTTTTTGTTTGTCTGAGGCCTCTTCTCAGGAAAATGTGTGTTGGTCACAGTTTGCACACATGAGCTTGACACTTCAAGTCCTGAAGGTTTCCAGAGGAGGACTGCCCCCTGCAAGGTGGGGTCTAACAGATAGTTATGATGGTTAATTGTATGTGTGAACTTGACTGGGGCATGGGGTGCCCAGATATGTGGTCAAACATTATTCTGAATGTGTCTGTGAGGGGGTTTCTGGATGAGATTGACAAGTGAGTCAGTAGACTGAGGAGAGCAGATGGCCCTTCCTAGTGTGGGTGAGCCTCACCCAATTAGTTGAGGGCCTGAGTAGACTGTTATTGAAGACAAAAAGCCAACACTCTCCCTAGTTAGAGAGAAGTCTCTAACTAGGAGAATCCTCTTAGGACTGGAACTGGGACCTTGGACCTATAGACATTGGATGTGTCAGCTTCCATAATTGCATGGGCCAATTCCTTATAATAAAGCCTTTGTGTATGCTATAGGTATACCTCCTGTGGATTCCGTTTCTCTGGAGAGCCCTGACTGATGCAGTGGCCCCAGGGAAAGGGCAGAACCTCACAGATATGGCCACTGTGGCAGAAGGGAGCCCGGAGCTACAGTGGGGATAAGCGGCTTGTGGTCAGTCCATCTGCACCTTGCCAGATATCTCAGAGCCATTTCTTCTCTGTCAGCTTGCTCTACACAGAACTTGGGGGAAATCACTTTAAAATATTGACCCCGATGTGGATTTGTAGAATGAAACTTGGCTTTTTGTATAATAACTCTGTCTTGACCCAAATGAAGCCTTTGACTCACTGCCAGAGCTCTTTAGGGAGGCGTGTTCATTTGGTGACAGAGATGTCTTCCAATGCTGAATCTCAGCACTTCAATTGTGGCTCCACAGTGGTTACATCACTGTGTCCCATCATTAAGCCCTTAATGTGTTCCCACTTCCAACCTCATGGTCAGCCAGAAATCATCAGAAGCTTCAGGAATTGTTCCTTTTTTTTTTTTTTAAGACGGAGGCTTGCTCTGTTGCCCAGGCTGGAGTGCAATGGTGTAATCTCAGCTCACTGCAACCTCCGCCTCCTGGGTTCAAGCAATTCTCCTGCCTCAGCCTCCTGAGTAGCTGGGATTACAGGCGCCCACCACTGTGCCTGGCTAATTTTTGTATTTTTTAATAGAGACGGGGTTTCACCATGTTGATCAGGCTAGTCTTGAACTCCTGACCTCGGGTGATCTACCTGCCTCGGCTTCCCAAAGTTCTGGGATTACAAGCATGAGCCACCGGGAATTGTTCTTTGTACATTTCATATTTTGTAATGATGTTTGTAATATTCAGAAACATAAGTAGTTGTGTGTGTGTGTGTGTGGTGTGGTGTGTATGGTCCGTGTGTGTGCATGTCTCTGTGTGTGCATGTTTGCATGTTTGTGTTTACTGGAGAGGCAGAGAATGTGTCTGTCCCTCTGTGGAAGATGCAAACATGGCCTCTGAGGCCTCTTTTGGTCTCCTGCTTGGCTTTCTGCTTGCTCTGAGCTCTGCCTTCTCCTTTCTTTCCCTGGTTACATCTTGCCCAGGGAGAGTTCGTGTTACCCTCAGGTGCAAGTTACACAGCACATCTGAGTGGGAAACACACACCCACACCAGGTTCATGAACTTCTAGGGGCCTTAAGTCATTGTTGATGAAAAATATATTAGTACCCTTAATAACCAAAAGGCGAACTCAAACAACACAGCACTTTTCTGGGTGAAATATTTTCCCCTAATCCCTTCCCTTGGCTGGTAACAGAATGGGAATTCACCACCACCTTGGGCAAGTGATGACTTCCTTTCCTTTTTCAACCATTATATAGTAAGATGAAACTCTCAAACGACCTGAAAGTGAGATGAAAATCACCTCAAAAGAACCAGTATGATGAAACAAGTTTAAATTAAAAACAAAGAATATTTCAACAATCTGTCTTCAGCATATCCATGTGATGAAAGCAGGTGGCCCCATTGAGTGTGGGTGGGCCTCACCTAATCAGTTGAGGGTCTGAAAAGCCTTCACTCTATCCATCTGAATTGTGAGGACTCAAGTGCAGTTAGACATACGAAATGAAAGAATTATAATAAATGGGATAACAGGCAGGTTTAGCTCTTTTAAACATAGAAATAGTTGTAGAAAGGCCATATGGATATGGTGGGGACAGAGAAGGAATGCCCACTGAGCTTATTGGAGACCATGCTAGGGTTGCTTCATATACCCTTTTATGAAGCAGAGAGGTTGCTGTCATTGCAGCAATGAGTAAATAAAGGCTTGGAGAGGGGACCTCATTCAAGTCTACACAACCCATAAGGAGGAGAGCCATTGATTCTTATAGAACCACACCCTGTCTCCTCTCTCCATTCTGTTCCCAACCTCTTGCCAGTGATATTGATGGTAAACATGCTGTTTAACCACAACGTGAAAGGCACAGGAGCAAATATCCAAATTATTGCAGCAAACAGCTGGCGGGAGACATTTGCTCAGAGATGCCCTATCACTATGAATTGAGCATTGTTATCTACAGTGCATTCTCGGAGAACATACATCAAACTCAGAGTTTGCTACCTGAAGCATCACTTTAGGATCTGGAAAAAAATTAACAAATTATTCTGGCATGAGGAATCGGACTTACACTGGGCAGGATGTAGGGTTTTCAGATGCAGTGGGAGCAGACAGGGAAATAAGAACTCAGCTGGCAGAGGTGATGAGGGTCTAATATGTTCTTGCACATGTGTTTTTGTTAAGAGCCTGTACATTCTGAGAGCCAGGAGAAAGGTTAGAAGACACACTGCTGGGGGAGGCACTCTTGATTCCCTCTCTACTGTTTTGACTGAGGCTTACTGGAGACTCATAGTGAAGCCTGCATCTGAATTCCACAAACGGGCAGTGCCATCTTTAGCAGTCTTGATGCTCTGAGTCAAATTAGTCCAAAAAACTTTCTTGTCTTTGTGGATACCACACCTAGGGGGTGTGGTGGGGGCTGGCTTGCTGGAGGAGTGCTCTTCACTTACAAACTGTTTATACACACTGTAAACTGTAAGTCAACAAAAGTGCCCAGTTGTGTTTGAATCGTTCATTCAATGGCATGCAGTGGATGGGGTGGTTATGCACAAACCTGTTTGCATTCTGCATAGACTGGTTCGGCGTATTCCTCCCCTGCCCCTGGCTCTTTGAACAAGTGTCGACAATGTTGTGGAATAACTTTTCTTCTTCTTGGCTACCAAAAGGTTTACTTTATGGTAGGAATGGAGAGAGAGGGTGGAAATGAATATAAAGGGTAATTGCCAATTTCCTTATTCTTCTGACATCAAAGCCAGTGGATTTTAAGCAGAGAGGACTGAAGGAGTTTTGATGGGGCAATAAGGGCAAATGCCAGCCAGTACTGCTGATCTAGTGCTTATGCCATGCTGGGCACTGTTCAGAGAGCTCTATACACAGAGACAAACTTACTCCTCATAGCAACCCTGTGAGACCAATACCAATATCATCCCATTGTTCGATGAGAAAACCAAGGTACAGAGAAACTTTGTACATTTGCTCAGAGTCACATGGCTGGTAGGTGGCAGAGCTCTGAATTGACCCTGGATACTGTAAAGATGGCTGGGGTGCCTTGTCCAGGTGAAGTTTGTTGATGCATTTTAACCCTTTGGAGGTTGCAACTCCTGAAAGACACTGGGCTGACTTTTTTTGTGGATGACCACCACCCAGGGTGCCTGCAGAGAGCCAGGGGGTCTGGCTGGAGCCCAAGGACAGAGTGGGGAGGACAGATGCCATCACAGACCCTCAGTCTTGCCACTCCCCACATCTACTCTCAAATCTGGAGTACCATGGGCTGGTTTGGGTGAGACTGGATGGAGCCCACCCAGATTCCTTTTGGACAGCCCCAGCTGCAGACCTTGAGGACAGCCATTACAGGCTGGATGCTGCCGTGGGAAGAGCAGTGTGGGGGTGGGGAGAGGGGAGAGGGCTTGCTTCTTGTCTTGCTTTCACCATAACTCTTGGTTAATAAAGAAACTATTTAACCTTTGGGTTTGTCCTTATCTGAAAATGGTACACTCTAGCGATCAGTACAATGTTAAATATTGGGGCATTTAAAAGAATAGTAGGATTCTACAACTTTACACAATATACACATGAGTGAAAAGTTTTTTTTCCATATTAGTTGAATTGAAACCATGCAAAACCTTACCTCTTAATTAAAAAAAAAAACTAAATCTGAGGTTTAAGAGAGAACATGTCTCCATAATCTAAGCTCTCACCTCAAGAAACTAGAAAAAGCTAGCAAAATGGATGTCAAGCAAGCAGGGAAGGACACAAGAAAGATAAAAGCAGAAATTAAATTAAAACAGAAAAAAATCAACGAAACAAAAGGTACATCTTTGAAAAGATCAATAAATTGGCACATTCTAGCAAGACTGACAAAAAAAGAGAGAGAGAGAAGGCAGAGATTACCAATATAAGGAGTGAACAGAGGCTATCGCTACACACCCCACAGACATCAGAAGGATACTAAAGGAATACAGTAAACAATTCAACACACATACATTTTATGACGTAGATGAAATGAACCAATTCATTGAAAAGCACAGCTACCACAGTTCTCGCAATATGAAATAAGCAATTTGAATAGCCCTATTAACTATTAAGAAAATAGAATTTATAAACTCTCATAAAAGAAACTCAAGGCCCAAATTGTGTCACTAAAAAAGGCTACCAAACATATAAAAAATTTCATAACCATTCTACACAATCTCATCCAGAAAACAGAATAAGTAGAGATGCTTCCTAACTCATTTTATGAGGTAAGTAGGATACTTACTCCAAAACCAAAGACAGTACCAAAACATGATACAGACCAGTATTCCTCAAAAATATAGACACAAACATTCTTAAGAAAATACAGCAAATATAATTCTACAATATACAAAAATAATTATGTACTATGATCAAGTTGGGTTTATTCCAAAGATAAAAGGCTGGGTTAAAATTTTAAAAATCAAGCCCTATAGTCTACAATACTAATAGGCTTAATGAGAAAAATTATGTGATTATATCAATTTATACAAAAAAATTTGACAAAATTCAAGGCCCATTTATGATAAAACTCTCAGGAAATTAGAAATAGAAAGGACCTTCCTCAATGTGATAAACAGCATCTGCAAAAAGCAACAGCTATCATCATAGTTAATGGTGAAAGACTGAATGCATTCCTTTGAGATCTGGGAAAAAAACAAGATGTCCCCTCTCTCTACTTCTATTCAACATAGCACTGGAAGTTCTAGCCAGCACAATAAGAAAATAAAAGAAAATGAAGGCATGTAGATCTAAAAGAAAGATACAAAGTGTCCCTATTGCAGATGACATGATAATCTGCATGAAAAATCTCAAGGCATCTACAAAAACAAAACAAAATAACACAAGGCAAAACAAACAAGCACATGAATAAAAACCTCCTAGAACTAATAAGCAAAGTTGCAAGATATAAGACCAACCCAATGGTATTTTTATATACTCACAATGAACATATGGAAACTGAAATTAAAAATACAATATCTCATACAATCAGTAACACAAAATAAAATTATCAGGTGTAAATCCAACAAAACACTTACAGGATTTGTATGCTGAAAAAGACAAAGCTGAAAAGAAAAATCAAAAATAAAAATAAAGACAGACATACCATGTTCATGGATTGGAATACTCAACATAATAAAGGTGTCAATTCTTCCAAATTGGTAAACAGGCTTATCACGATTACTATCACAATTTCAGTAAGATTTTTTGTGAACATAAATAAGATTATTCTAAAATCTATATAGGAAAGCAAAGGAACTAGAATGGCTAAAACAATTCTGAAGATAAAAAATATAATCAGACCTATCAGTTTATCAGACTCCGATACTTAATACGTAGGTACATTACTCAAGACTCTGTGCTACTGGTAGAGGGAGAGACACATTTATCAATAGAACAGAATAGAGAGCCCAGAAATAGCCCCACACAGGTGTGGTCAACAGATTTTTGACAGAGGTGCAAAGCAGTCCAATGAAAGAATGATAGTCTTGTCAACAAATAGTGCTGGGTCAGTTGGATATCCAAAAGCAAAAAAATGTACCTTGACCTAAACCTTACGCTTAATACAAAAGCTAACTCAAAGTGGATCACAGATTAAAATGTAAAGGGTTTATACCCCCTTTACATTTAAATGAAGCTTTTATATTTAAATGAAATACCCCTTTACATTTAAATAAAACTTTTACAAGATAACATAAGAGAATATCTTCGGGACCTACGGCTTGGTGAAAAGTAATTTAAAATGATAGCAAGGTGTGATCTATAAAAGAAAAACATCAACAAAGAGGACCTCATTAAAATGAAACCTAGCCCTGCAAAAGACACCATGAAGAGGGTGGAAAGACAAGCTATAGACTGGAAGAAAACATTTGAAAACTGCAGATCTGACAAAAGGGCTCGTAACTAGAATTTGTAAAGAATATATTAAAAACTTGACAGTAAGAAAATCAAACAATTCAAATAGAATATGGGCTAAAGATATAAAGAAGACACATGGATAAAGGCACATGACCAGCCATTAGGGAAATGCAAATAAGGTCATGATGAAATTTCACTACAGATCTATGAGAACAGCTAGAACAAAAGATACTGCCAATGCCAAATGTTTGTAATGATGTGGAGAAACTGGATCACTCTAGCAGGAATGTAACATGGTACAGCCACTTTGGAAAAGAATTGGGCAGTTTATTAAAAAATTAAACATACAATACCAAACAACCCAGCAACTGCTCTCCTGGGCATGCATCCCAGTGGAATTAAAAATAAATTCATCCCTGTGGAATTCTATGGAATGTCGACAGAAAACCTGCACATGATTGACCATAGCAGCTTTACTTGTAATAGTCAAAACCTGGAAACAGCCAAAATATGCTCATTAGGTGATTCACTAAATGGATGGTGGCCATCTACCAAGGAGTTTTACTCAGCAATAAAAAGAATCCACTGTTGATACATACAACAACTTGATTGAATCTCAAGACTATTATGCTGAGTGAAAAAACCCAAAATCTGTGTGATTTTTGTGGCAGGCCAGGTCTCACTGACAACTGTTTCAGTACTGATTGAATGGTTAAGTTAAATATTAGAAACCAATGCCCTTATACAAAGGCTGGGATGTAACAAAAGCCCATTAGGAGTTTGGCCTAGGCTTTTCCTGGGCCTTAAAGCATGACAAAATAATGAAGGAATTCTTAGCAGGGCCCATTTAGGATTAAACAAGTTTTATTGTGGGTCTGAAGAAACTCCCCAGGCCTCCATAAACAAGTTTACTGGGGATCTGAAGGAACTCCTCAAACCTCCGTGATTTAGCAGGAGACAAAATAAGGGTAATCACCTCAGCACCTGGACCCATTTAGATTAAGTAAATTTACTGAGGCTCCAGAGGAAGGTCTTCAGGACTCAGACCTTAGTTACAGATTAAAATAAGTTAATCACTTAGCCTTTAGATGAATGCACACTTACACATAGATATATAGCTTAGAAGGTAATATAAGCTCTGAAAAACTTTGTAATTTTGACTTGGTCTGGTGATAATTTACAGGCCTTCTCCCTGTAACTGGTTATAGAAATAAAAACTCTCTTCCTCCCCAGTTCATCTGCATCTAGTTATTGGGCCACAAGAAATAGCAGCCCACCCCCACCCCCACCCCCCACCCTGCTCAGTTTGGTCCAGGAAAAATTTCACTTACATAATATACATGGAGATGGGAAACAGATTAGTGGTTGCCAGGGGCCAGGACTGAGGGGCTGGTGGCGAGAGAGAAATGGGTGTAAACATAAAGGAGACTAGGGAGATCTTTGGGCAATGAACTCGTTCTGTAACTTGATTGCAGTAATGGTGACATGAATCTATACATGTGATAAATGGCACAGAACTACACACATCACACACATACACACAACATGCTGTGCAATGTCAATTTCCTGGTATTGATATTACAATTATGTAAGGTGTAACCATTGGAGGAACTGGGTGAAGGGTACATGGAACTCTCTGTACTATCTTTACTTATACTTGCAAATTCCTGTGATTCTACAATTCTTTCTAAATAAAAAATTAAACATTTAAATAATTAAAAATCAGAAAACCCACTTTTGTGTCTGTGGGTGTGAAAAATTTAACAAGAGATGTCCCTCTGTTCTACTAGGCAACTTAAAGGGTAAATGTGTTCTAAAGACCATACCCAAGTATTGAAGAGTAGACCCCTCCATGAGAAGGAACTGGGTTATCTTCTCATTAGGCAAGTGGGGTGGCAGGAAACTGCACATAGAAATACCATGGACTTGGTTTGGAATCATGTTGCTGTTCCTGGAGCCTGCGGTCTCAATGAGGAATGGCTTTTTTCTAAACTATTCTCTTTCCAGACAATGCAAATACAGCACATAGAACTCCAAAACCTTGAGCCACAAATCCCAGGATCCCTTGGGTAAGCTGGAGGAAGGCTAGGGGCTGCAGGCTCTCTGTATCCAGAGAGACATGCTCAGGGCTGGTGGCCGGCTTGGCCATTTCCTGCTTCATGGAACTGAGCTTGGCACCAGCACTTCTTGCCATTTCTCAAGTGGCTCATTGCCCTTAACTCTGACTTTTAGATGACCACATGGCTCCCAGCTGTAGACTTTATTTTTCCTGAATTTATCCACTTATCTCCTCTTGGTTAGCCTGAGCATCTAAACTTAAAATCATAATGCTACAAAACTTTTTCTTCCTTTTTTCCCTTTTATTTATCCTTAAATGCCTATGTGCCCATTATAGTCATTGAAGCCCTGGTACATCCCGCAGTCCCCACAACTTTTATTGAATGGAATTAACTGTATTCCTTATGAATTACAGATGATTTTTTCTAGCACGGTGGCATCTATTTTCAGGTGATTATAGACGATTCTGAATTACCTTTGGGGCTTCAGACAACAGGTTAGGCCCTGCAGGTAGGCGTTTTTCTGGGTTTATCATTTACCTCTGCTTTTTATCTGGTTTTGCAAAATCCTAAAGCCACAACTAGGATCTTGCATCTGGGGGCTTTCCTAATTAGAGATTTCAGTCCTAAAGCAAAGATCAGAAGCTGTCTTAGACTTCTGGAGTTGAAGGACTCTGGTCATTTTGTTTCTTCCCTTTTTGTTTGGGACAGCAAGAGACAAGAAAGTCGTGGGGAAGGGAGGCGGGGATGGTGTTGATGGGCTTGTGTGCTGGGTTTATGAAAGACTGAGGGCATTTATAAAGAAGAGCTTCAATGTTTCTTAAGTACAATTCTTATTAGGCGACTGTATAAAATTCCATTTTAATCATTAAAAATGGCGGTGCAGGTGGTCATTTCACATGGCTCAATGTAACACATTCTCCTGGGAAACAGCCTTTCTTCATCTGTCCTTTCCCTACCAAAAATACACAGGCTTCTTTCCTCTTTTTGTCCCTCGACACCCTCTTCCAACAAGCCTCCTCTCATCCCAGCACTTCCATCCCAACCAACCACAATATTTACCGGTTCCCAGGAGACAGCCGTATTTGATGTGGTTTGCAAACATCAGCATTGTAGACCAAATGGGAATGGGCTTGACAGGAAGCTGATGGGAGAGAATTCTCCTGGTGTGAACCCTTCAGGCTTCCCAGTGGCAGTAAAAGGAGGAGGAGGAGGAGACGGGGAGATGATCATTAATGAGCCTTCTGCGTAGCTTCATCCTGAGATTCCAGCTCAGGCACCCAGGGATTTGCTTTCCTGTGCTCCTGAGTCAGGTTTCTTATACCCAGGGCCCATGTTGTTCCCTTTCTTGGTTCTGGAGGAAAATCTAGCAAGCTCACTGTCAGCACCCTCCTCGGCAAGTCCGAGTTGCAGCCTCTTCCACTTTGCTAAGCCAGTTTCCACCCCTCCATCCACTTCTCTCCCAAACGCTTGCTGTCTTTCTCCCTAATGTCGCTGGCCCAGCTTTCTTCATCCCTTTGGCCTTCAAATCTGGTAAATTTATTGCCGCTAGAGTGGAGTTTCAGGAGTGTGAGAAGGTAAGTGTGGTGAATGCAATATATTCAGGTGGAAAACGCATTGGGTTTTAAGCACAGGGAAATCATCTCGTTTTAAACAATAATAACAACAGCACAACATTTCCTTAGACAACTTCATCCTCCTCCTGCCCACAGCTACCATCTTTCCTCATCTTCCTAGAAAAGTACTATTTCCTCTCTTTCTCCTCAGCTCTCTCCCATTTAGCTTGAATCCATTACTGCAAGCAGAGCACCTCCTGCTAACGCTGCCCAGGTCCTCGGTGCCTACACCACTGCCCTTCTCCTCCATCGTGACCACCCAGCCAGCTCTGCCAGTACGGATCCTGCTTTGGGGCAGTTGTTTTTCCCTAGATCATCTGTTGATTCTCCTGTCTGCTACTCCTTTGCTCTACTTTGCAGATGCCTCTGGTTTTACTCAGGGTTGCACCTGGGGCCTTCTCATTTCTAATTTTCTCTTTAATTTCCATAATAGTCATGCATCGTTCACAACTTCACTCTTCCCAATCATGCCTCGCACTGTAGCCAAAGGAGTCTTCTCAAAATGCCCCTCTATAGCTCCTCAGCTCCTGGGGTGAAGTCCACACTCTTGCACGGCCTAAGTGCCCTGTGTATCCTGGCTCCAGCCACCTCTGCCTTGTCACACCCATACTCTCTCGGCTGTCTCCTCCCCACCTTCAGAAAGCTCATTCTTGTCATGCTGCCTCCTGCCACAGGGCTTTTGCTGTCCCCCCTCCTTAAGCGTTTGCCTCCTTGCTTACCACATTAAATCCCACACATGTTCCAGACAAGTGGTCCTTCCTGCAGGAAGCCTTCCGTGATATGTCTGATTTGCTCCATATTACCTCCTGGCCATTGAAGAGGTAAATCTCCCCTAATTCCCCTTCCTTCATCCCAAATTGGATTCTGCATCTGCCTTCAGACCTTGCTCCCCACTCTCCAGAAGGCTTGGATCTCTGTTACACTTGAGCAACACATTTGTGAGATTTTTCCTTCACTCAAGCCAGTTTCAAGGCATGATGCAGAGGGTTGTTTCTGTCTTCCCACGCGGTAGAAACATAGTTTTTACTCACTTCCGCCTGCTTTGACATGATGGAAGTTCCTGACCTTTCTTGAGGAGGGGAGGATTTATCTTTTTTCAAATTACTCACATAAACTGATCTTTTTATTTTTAAAATTCACATAATTAAAATGCACATTAACATTCAGGATGTGTAGACTATTTTCAGTCTCACCCTGGCATGCCACAACCACCCCATGCCAGGACCTGGCACTCAGGAGCCCTGGAAGTTCTCCTGGGGAGTCCTGCATCCAGACCTGCCTGCTTACCTGGGGGTATCAGCTTGATGACCCTCCTGGTCGGGGCTGGAGCTGTAGAGGTGGCCAGATGTGCCCAGCAGAGCCACAATGCAGAGAAAGAACAAGGTTTCATCTCACTTACAGTCTTCCAGGGTCAAGAGATTTTTATTCACCAAATTAAAATGTTCGACAGTTGGTTGCTTAATACAAGCGGGCAGGAGGGACCAGGGCCCTGGGAGAATAGACAGCCACTTTGGCTAGATTCCAAAAGCTGGAGACAGTAGAAGTGTAGGCTCAGCAACTCTGTGGTCCTGAAGCTCAAGAGGACCCTGAGAAAAGGGTGGAGAAAGAAACTGTGTGTGTGTGTGTGTATCTGTGTGTACAGCAGGGATCTCAGAACCTTACAAGGCAGTTTTCTGTAGGCAGGACAGGCTGATTTGAAGTGGTTGCCCGGTTTACCTCCCTCGGGCTCCTTGCTGATCAGTTGCTTCTGATGCCTTGGGGATCTGACAATATATTTGGAATGTTTTATGCCAATTACCGCTTTGGTTACTAGCACTTTCTTTCTTTCTTTTTTTGAGACAGAGTCTCACTCTGTTGCTCAGGCTGGAGTGCAGTGGCACGATCTCGGCTCACTGCAACCTCTACCTCCCGGGTTCAGGTGATTCTCCTGCCTTAGCCTCCCGAGTAGCTGGGATTACAGGTGCCCACCACCACACCCAACTAATTTTTGTATTTTTAGTAAAGACAGGGTTTCCCCATGTTGGTCAGGCTGGTCTTGAACTCCTGACCTCAGGTGATCCACTCGCCTGCCTCAGCCTCCAAAAGCACTAGGATTACAGGCATGAGCCACTGTGCCCGGCAGTTACTGGTATTTTCAATTCATTTTCTACTATGTTGGAAGAGAATTTAAGATGAAAACAGTCTTATTTTTCTCTCACTATCAATCTTATTTGATTCAGATGTCAAGAAAGCAAGGTGTTTTCTGTGTTAACCTAGAATTTTTAAATACTGCTGCTGGTATTATATTATGCTCTCCTAAATTTGCAGGACAATAGCCATGCTGTGAGCATCCACAAAGTGGAAGATAAGATCCACTCATTATTCAAGCAACATATATTTATATTCTTGTCACTTTTAATGAAATTTTCAACATAAACTTGCTACATTTATCAGTGTTCTTTCTGCCATGCACTCTGTCACATAGAGAGTAAATTCCAGGGCCCTTTAAAAAGAAACTAGAACATATGGTTTGGACAACTAAGTACTTTCTGCTCTCCCTCCCTCTCTCTGTCCCTCCCAACTATCATTCATTGATTTCTTTATCTAATCCATTAACTAATGTTGCCATGCCAGGCCCAGAACTGGCACTGGGAGCACAGTGATGAATGGGACTAAATATCTGTCCTCAAAAAGCCTATAATCTAGGAGAGAGGGAAGAACAGAAGATAGAAGTGGTGACAAGTATGACAGCTGCTCTCATGGAGGGGCAGCAAGACTGGAAGCATGCAGGGTGGGGCAAAGGCCTCCTGACAGAGGAGGGGCTTGCCCTCCAGCTTGCAGGACACACACACACACACACACACACGCGCGCGCACATGCATGCACATGTGTGGCACAGACCCCAGCCCCCAGCTCAGGGGCGCTGGGAAATGGAGCTAGCCTGGAGTGTTCCAGCTCTCTGAGCATTGCCATCTGTGTGTGTGTGTGTGTGAGAGAGTGCATACACGTGTGTGTCTGTCTCTGTATTTACACGTGCATGTTTGTGCATGTGTGATTGTGTGGGAATGTAAGAATGTGTGTAGAATGTGTGTAAAATGTATGTTTTGTGTAGTGCGTAGTGTGTGTGTGGTATGTGTGTGTGGTGTGTAATGTGTGTGCCTGTGCGTGTGGTGCATGTATGAATATAAGTATGTGTTGTGTAGTATGTGTGTTGTGTGTAGTGTAGTGTGTGTGTTTCTATGTTGTGTGTGGTGTGTGGTTTTTGTTGTGTAGTGTGTGCTTGTGTGGTGTGTGTGTGTGTTTGTGTGTGGTGTGCATTGTGCAGTTTGTGTGGTGTGTGTGTGGTGTTGTGTAGGTTGTTGGGTGGTTGTGAGGTGTGGTGTGTGCATGCGTTTGTGTGTGGCATATGTGAGTGGGTTGTGTGTTGTGTAGTCTGTGTATGTGTGGTGTGAGGTGTGTGTTTTGTGTAGTCTGCATGTGTTTGTATGGTGTGTGTGTTGTGTAATCTGCATGTGTTGGTTTGTTGTGTATGGTGTGTTGTGTGGATGTGTTTGCATGTGGTGTATGTATGTGTGTGGGTGTTGTGTAGCCTGCATGTATTTGTGTGTGGCATGTGTTGTGTCATCTGTTTGTGTGTAGTGTGTGTGCGTTGTGTAGTTTGTGTGGTGTGTGTGTGTTGTGTAGGTTGTTGGGTGGTTGTGGGGTGTGGTGTGTGCATGTGTTTATGTGTGGTGCATGTATGCGTTGTGTGTTGTGTAGTCTGCATATGTGTGATGTGTGTTTTGTGTGTGTTGTGTAGTCTGCATGTGTTTGTTGTGTGCGTGCTGTGTAGTCTGTGTGTTTGTGTGTGTGGTGTGCATTGTGTAGTTAGTATAGTGTGTGTTGTGTGGTGTGTGCCTGTGTTTGTGTGTGGTATATGTGAATGTGGGTTCTGTGTTGTGTAGTCTGTGTGTGGGGGGGTGTGGTGCGCATTGCGTAGTTTGTGTGTGTGTGTTGTGTGCATGTGTTTGTGTGTAGTGTATGTCTTTGTTGTGTGTTGTGTAGTCTGTGTGTGGGGGGTGTGGTGTACATCGTGTAGTTTGTGTGTTGTGTGCATGTGTTTGTGTGTGGTGTATGTGAGTGTGTGTTGTGTAGTCTGCATGTGTTCGTGTGGTGTGTGTGACTGTGTGTATGGCACGTGAAAGTGTGAGTGTGTGTCTGCATTGCAGGGGCCGGCAGTGGGAAGGGAGAGATGCTGAGGATCCCCGCCTGGCTCCTGGAGGTATCCCGGCCTTTTTGCAGGCTTCACAGCTGGTGGGTGTCCTGGCCTGGGGGCATTAGACAAGCAAGGCTTCAATGATGAGGCTGGAGCGTCAGACCCTGTGGAATCAGGGAAGCTGGGGACCTTAGCTTCCTGAGGTGGCTCGATAAGACTTTGCTCAACCTGAGCAGTGGCACCTAGCAGAAGCAGGCGGGAGGATCCCAAGCGGACATTTTCTTTAAAGCTGGTGGTTAAGGTTCCTAGACAGGCACAGGGAACTTGTTGGATAAGTCCCAATCACCCCCACTTCTGCATATATTGGATCAGTGTCCCTGCATTGATGCTGTTGCAGCGTCCTCATTTTCCAAGCGCCCATGGCCTAAGAAAAGGCCAAACAGGACCTAATAGGTGTCTGAGGAGGCTGAGAAAAGAGGCTGGAGGCTGACTGCTGGTCTTGGAGACTCCCCCCACCGGCAGGGGGCTGAGGAGGGGCTGCGGGGAGCAGTGAGACCTCTGGAAGCTGCACAGTGGTTCACAAGCGTGGCTGCACATTTAAATTCAGAGGAACTTAAAGCAGCACTTTCACCACACTCCAGCCCAACTGAACACGAATTTCAGGCTTTGTGGTTTTGAACCCCAGATAATTAGGTTTGTGATCGAGGTTGAAGACCAGCATCTGCCTAGTTCCTAGTGTGGTCCTGGGATCACCTGTGTCTAGACTGTCCAAGTTACAGAGCTAGATCCTTAGACCTAACACAGACTTGGGGTCTGAGGCTATGGGTGGGCCTGGGAACCTGTATGACAGTGCAGTTAATAGGATATTTTTAGTTACACCCCAGTCAAACCAAACCGATTGGGCTCCACATAGGGCAAGGGAAAAGTAAAGAAAGGATGCTTGGCTGGCGGAAAAGGCAGGTGGCCCCACTAAGCATCAAACATGTGGCAGGGATAAGCCTGGGCTCTAGGGGGTGTATAGCCGTGAAAAGAGCAGGCTCTGCTGTCAAAAACATGTGGGAGGCAGACAGCCTATAATTAACATGTACAATAAAGTGTGCAAATGCTGCATGTGCAGTGCAGCGTGAAAATGATACATGTATGATGCAGAGTATATATGCTGCATGTGTGATACAGGATGTAAGTGAAACACGTATGCTGCAGGGTGTATCATATCCTGGGTGTAGGCGATGCATGTATAATGCAGAGTGTGAATGCTACATGTATGATGCAGGCTGTAAATGCTGCGTGTGCAATGCTGGGTGCAAATGCTTCATGCCGTTGGGCCCTGGCACTGAGGTGTGTGCTGGTATCTCCCCAGTGTAGTGATGTCTCAGAACCTGAAGGATGAAACATTGGTCAGAGTTCTTGGTTGCAGACAACAAAATCCACTTTAAAAAAAGAAAAAAACTGGATGGGTCTTAGTAAATTATATTAGTTGGCTTCCACAAGTTCTGGAACAGAGACCCAGCCTGGACACTACCTAGCCAGGAATCAAGCAGCCCTGAAACCACCAGCGACATCCAGAGAGACACTCTGGGGAAAAGCTGTTGCTGCTACCTCTGGCCCTTAGCACCCTCCACACAGAAGCCTGGTCCCCACCACAGCTTCACCCAAAGCAAACTAATGCCCCAGAAGCTGACCTCAAGGGCTCAGAGGCGGAGAAGCTGTGTGAGGGCCGCGGGGAGTCGGGAATGGCAGGCACAGGTTGGTTCTGGGCTTCCTGTTGCCCTTCCCTGCTGAGTTTGGTCAGTTACTTCACTCTGGTGTGACCAGGCAGCCTCTCCCTGGGGTTCCAGCGTGCCCACAGTGAGGAGGTGCTTCCTCCGCAGCTTCCATAGGGAAGGAAGGCAGAGGCCTGGGGAGGCCTGGCCTGGGCTGACCGCTGAGGCTGCTAGAAACGCCACCCTCTGGGCCCCTGGAGCTCTGCGCCAGGGACGGAGGCAGACTGTGGTGGGTGGACAACAATGCGCTCACTCTTGCGGAATGTTTTAGAAACCGTAGCTTCTTTGCTTGCTTTCTATAAACATGTATATTGTCCATCAATGGCAAGCGTACTTGGAGGTCTTTTTGTGTGGACTGGCATGGGCAGTCAGGCAGAAACATGCTTTGTCAAGAACACAGAAGGGGCGGCCACAGTGGGGAAAATGGCGGAGGGGAGGGCGAGAGCGGAGAAGCCTGAAAAGTCACAGCGAGCTGGAGCAGCCAGAGGACCTGAAGAGGAAGCAGAAAAACCTGTGAAAACGAAGACCGTTTCTTCTAGTAATGGAGGGGAAAGTTTCAGTCGCAGCACTGAGAAGGGTCAGCTGAAGGAGCTGCAGACCTCCCAACGGAGTCTACAAAGATCTCCACATTGGATTCGCCATAGGTAGTCAGATGATGAAGAAGACATCAGCCATGGCCATCACACTCGGGTCAGGGAGTGAAGCGGAGGAAATGCCTCCAGAAGCCAAGCTGAGGATAAAGAATTCTGGAAGATCCCCACCAACACCAGCCGGACCAAACTCCTTCAATAAAGGAGTTTGGGTTTTCTGATAACCAGAAGTTATGGGAGCAAAATATAAAATTTCATCTTGGAAATGTCCGTGAACAAGACAATTAAATGATGTGTTTTGAAATTGGGATGGGGGTGGGTGTAAAGTTAAAAGAAACAGTTTCCTTTTTTAAAGAATGGTATAAGGCCGGGCGTGGTGGCTCACACCTGTAATCCCAGCACTGTGGGAGGCCGAGGTGGGCAAATCGCTTGAGGCCAGGAGTTCGAGACCAGCCTGGCCAACATGGTGAACTGTCTCTACAAAAAAAATACAAAAATTAGCTGGGCATGGTGGCAGGTGCCTGTAATCCCAGCTACTAGGGAGGCTGAGACAGGAGATTTACTTGAACCTGGGAGGCAGAGGTTGCAGAGAGCTGAGATCGCACCATTGCATTCCAGCCTGGGCGACACAGCGAGACTCTGTCTCAAAACAAACAAACAAACAACAACAAAAAGAATGGTATAAGACATTTTGGGAGCAGCTTTATTTTTTTCGTTTCCATTTTTTTTTTAAAGATTGAGAGGTACACTAATAAATGAGAGCTTGAAATTAAAAAAAAAAGAACACTCTCTCTAAGGCCTTGCTCCTCAAAGTACCCACAGCAGACAGCACCTGGGAGCTCCTAAGAAAGGCAGAGTCCCTGGCACCGCCCACCTGGACTCCTGCACCAGAATCTGCATTTTAAGGAGACCCCACAGGAGTTTCCTGGGAACACTGAGGTAGAACAAGCTCTGAGCTGGAGCTGTTCTCAGCCTGTGCGCAGAAACATCTGGGGAGCTATTCACACTCCTAGGTCCAGGGCACAGCCCAGATCAGTGGAACCAGTGTGCCTGGGGGTGTGGGGGAGGGTGAATTGCAGGGACACCTGTTAACTTTTCCCCAGGCAAGCAGGGCTGAGCGTCTGCTCTAGGCTCACCCACCAGCTTTAGCTCACCTGAGCCTGCATCTCCATCTACCTACATAGTTGCTAATCATGGTCTTTGCCTGACCTTCATCTCTGGACCCTGTGGATCCAGAAACTTCCACCCTGCCCTCACTCTCCTGTGTGGCCTCTGCAACTCTCAACAGAGCTGCATCTTGAAACCCTCCTGCATATACCACGCTCGGGCCACTCCACACCCATTAGCCAGCACCTCTGGGTGCAGGCCAGGACAGTGTCATCTTTCAATACATTCCTGCCACCCACGTGCTGCCATCGACCTCCCTGCACATCCTCACCTGCCATCCCCCCAGGTAAGAGTCCATCGTGCATTATCATAAATCCCTGTTGCCTGTCCCTGCTACAACTTACACCCTCCCTTCTCCTGTCACCTGTGGGGTCCTTGGCAGATATTTGAACTTGGTTTAATCAAACTCTGTGCTTACTTCATTCCTGCCTCCAAGCAGCCCAGTGCAGGTGGAGGAAACTCTAGAATTCTTGCTAACTAGTCTCATGTTACACTCCCAAGTCAGCATAGCCCTGAGAGGTGACAACTTTCCCTGATCCCTTCATTCAACCCGCGCAGACACAATCACTTCACCTCTCCTTCGTACTCGAATGCCCTATGCCCTCGCCCTTCTCATCACTTGCAGCTGAGAACCTGGCTCATTTTTCACTGGGAAAGTAGAATATAACAAAAGGGACCAGTTACAGGCTCCCACATCTTGTCCACCAACCACTGGCTGTGTCCCAGACGGTGCCTTCCTCCCTGCTGAAGTGGAGAGACTCCCAAAACTTCCCTGGCCAGACTCACCGTGGGCTCCTGAGCCATCCGTCACTCTTGGTCAGTGGCCTGGCTGCTGTATGTCCCCTGCTCTGATGCATGGTCACCAGCTCCCTTTCTCCTGGCTGGATCTTGGTAGTGCTCAGCATGTGGGGGATGGCCCTCTGTCTGTCTGTGGAGAGTAGATGCTGCCGAAACCCCTGCTGCTTCTCCTCCATTCTCCCTGGGATCCGCTGGGGTCAGGCTTTGGTTCCCACCGTCCTACCAGACTGTCTGACCTGTCAGAGGGTTTAACATGGGTGGCTGCATCCAGCTTCTGGAAATACTCTTCATGGATGGAGTGGCCCTCCCTCACCTTCCCTACCTTACTGCAGCTCCTTCCAGACTCCTTGGCTGGATCCCTCCCTCATCTGGCTACTCCACCCCTGCAGCCCCCGGGGCTCAGTCTCCACCTTTCTGTCCTCCACTTTCATCCCTGGGCTTTAAATCTCACCTATGTCCTGCCAAATGCTACCTAGAGACCCCCCGCCTCAACCCTCCCTGAACTCCAGACTCTACATGTCCAATGGACATCCCTAACTGAATAGACAACAGCATATATACATGCATTCAACACACGCGTATGACACAGGTATGCATGAGTGCATACTTGTAAATTCAACATAGTCCTCTCAAACCGACATATATATCAATTTACTTAGGCATATAAGCTTCATACATAGGTACATACATCTGTCTATTTCAGTCCTAAAAATTCTGCTTACTGAGTAAAGATTGTGGGAATTGTTTTGCTTATTTTATTAAAATCCAGCTGTATTTATAATTATTTTTTTTCCTGCCCATGATTCTTTGCAGGCGTGTGGACTGATGATTATCATTTTCAAAGCAAATAAACAGAGCCTTCACTATGGGCTTTTTTGAAAGTCAAAACACTTCCCATGTTTAGGTTCCTGCTTCTCCATGCTGAAGACATGGTGAGAGAATACAGGGGGAGCTGAAGGCGAACAACATAAACTTATGTTTGAGAAGCACCTTTTACTCTATGAAATAAAGTGAGTGTAAACAGTAAATGGAACAACAAGCTTTCAGAGTCAGTGCAGGGCAAGCGCTGGGGAGGGAAGAGCTGGCTGGTCAGGGAGGGTGCACTGGAGAGAAAAACCGTCAAATTGGCCGGGACATTCCAGGACATCAGGGAGACCACACAACAGCCCACTGCATCCTGGGGTTCTGCTTCTTACCTGAAAGTCGTGGCAACAAGGGCCCCTCGGTGCTCCTGTGACTGCAGAGGACAATTTGCTTTTTGTTTGTTTGTTTGTTCGTTTTTTGAGACAGGGTCTCACTCTGTCACCCAGGCTGGAGTGAAGTGGCTGGATCTCTGTTCACTGCAACCTCCGCCTCCCGGGTTCAAGTGATTCTTTTCCCTCAGCCTCCCTAGTAGCTGGGACTACAGGAAACTGCCACCGTGCCTGGCTAATTTTTGTATTTTTAGTAGAGTCAGGGTTTCACCATGTTGCACAGGCTGGTCTCAAACTCCTGACCTCAGGTGATCTGCCTGTCTTGGCCTCCCAAAGTGCTGGGATTACAGGCATGAGCCACCTGGCCCAACCTGACAATTTGGGTTCACAGCTACATCTTTAACACAAACATCTAAAGAAGATTTCACTGAGCAGGATCCTGGGGATGGCTGGAAATGACAGCTGGTGGCCAGAAGCCCCGGAGGAAGCCCCCTAGTGCAGGACTCTGAGCAGCCTTGAGGGCATGTGACCCAGGAAGAACAAAGAGCAAACATGGCCAGACCACGCCGTGGGGTGCAGCAGTAGCGGAGGATGATGGTGTGGGCAGAGGTAAGCTTGCTGCAGGATTTGGGGCCAAGTGCCCAGAGCAGGGGCTGGCCCTAGAGGAACCACATGCATTGGCAGGAATGTGATGCACCCGGACTCAGCTGTCCTAATCAGGGTGAAACATAAACTCTGAGGTGAGTTACAGGAAGGACATAACCATGAACCATGAGATCCAAGGTGACGGTGAAGCATTTTGGCCAGCCGAGAGGTGGGGAATCTGCCACAGGGTAGCCTGGCTGTGTGAGAGCTGATAACAGCACTGTAGGTGGCTCCCAGGAAGGTGCAGGTAGAATCCTGGCCCCAAACAAAACCCACGTTGGGGCAGAGGGAAGGCAGTCCACCTCCCACACTGGATGGGATATCAGGAACTGAGGTCAAAGGCTTCCTAGAATGGCCTTGATCAGGGCGGGATGTGGCCAGCTATAGTGACAAGGCCAGTTGATCATACTTCCAGGAGGGGTTTCCTCTCTGGAAAGATGGCCAGACATGAAAGCGTGGGGCAATGGGCAAGGCCAGTGTCCTGCCCCAGGACCCAGAGCTGGGGCCCACAGAGAGGACAGGTCTCTGTCTACCCAGCTGGCTGGTACAATGCCATATTAACGTTACAAATTATAACAAAGGAATGCTCGGACTGTCCTCTGACACTACGAATACACGTCCCTTTAAAAAAAAAATTAAATTTGAAGGTACTTTGAAATTATAGATGAGGACAATGCAATCAGGAGAAGCAAACAGCATGGGAATTAATTCCATCACGAAACCAGGATGGGCCCCATTTTGGACACTTTTCAATGATGACTCTTGAAGCAGCAATGTTTGGCTTTGGCATAGGGTTAAACGAAAAGTTGACATTCAGGTTAATCTGTGAATTTGTTTATGGGGTTCTCTCTCCTCACTTTATTTAGTGCATGCTCTCTCTGAGATGTGTTCTGCACTGGAAGGATTTCTGAGTAGCATTCTCTCCTAAAGCCTTTTGCAGAAGGTAGACTGTGAAGAGTGTTCCTCAAGGTAAAAATACTGAACAATTAAGAAACCTGCCTGGCTGGGTGTGGTGATATGTGCCTGTAATCCCACCTACTTGGGAAGCTGAGGCAGGAGGGTCCCTTAATCTCAGGAATTCAAGACCAGCCTGAGCAATATAGTGAGACCTTATCTTAAAGCAGAAGGAAAGAAAGAGAAAAGACAGAAAAGAAAGAAAGGAAAGAGAGAAAGAGAAAACAGGCTGGGCGCAGTGGCTCACGCCTATAATCCCAGCGCTTTGGGAGGCCGAGGTGGGTGGATCACCTGAGGTCAGGAGTTTGAGACCAGCCTGGCCAACATGGTGAAACCCAGTCTCTAGTAAAAAAAAAAAAAAAAGGTACAAAAATTAGCCAGGCCTGGTGGTGCGTGCCTGTAGTCCCAGCTACTCAGGAGGCTGAGGCAGGAGAATCGCTTGAACCCAGGAGGCAGAGGTTGTAGTGAGTCGAGATCACACCACTGCACTCCAGACCTCCAGCCTGGGCAACAGAGTAAGACTCCATCAAAAAAAAAAAAGAAGAAGAAGAAGAAAAGAAAAAGAAAGAAAATAAAGGGAAGGGGAGTGGGGAGGGGAATACAAAAGAAAAGAAGCCTTCCTAAAGTCACTCAACACTTCACAGTGATTAGCAATATAGGTCCTCTAAGGACACAGAAGCTGCGTGGCACAGGGCAACCTGCTCCTGCCAGCGCTCTAAGCTGAAAGCTGGGACAGGATGCCAGGGAAGGCCTGAAAGTCTGCCCTCGCAGGCGGCACACCTGACAGAATTCAGACAGGAGAGAGTGATGGCACAAGTCACTTGCAGGATTTGTGTGTATTACCCGAGAGTGACATGGAGTCAGCCGTGCCGAAATGGGAGGCTCATTGCAGGTAGTACAGGGTGACTTTGTATGTTTACTTCATTACATTTAATCCGTGGGAGGGTCCCCTCACAAGATGTCCTGAGACTTTCTGTTTCCTGCCTCCCACTGCTGAAGGGGAACGAGTTTTGGTCTAACTCGATCTTGCCAGCTGAAAGATCTCTGCCAGGGGCACAGTATATCACTCATTATTTATGAAGGTCCTCTCCAAGTTCCCCCTGTATTCCAGAAACTCATATTTATTATCCAACTTGATTTTGTAGAACGTTTCTCATTGCTACTACAGGGCCCTGGGCTTCTTTTCTTGGGCTTTTTTTGGTTTTTGTTTTAATTTTAGGTTGATTCTGCTTTTGACTAAAGACATCAGTGCTGGCCGGGTGTGGTGGTTCACACTTGTAATCCTAGCACTTTGGGAGGCTGAGGCAGGTGGATCGCCTGAGGTCAAGAGTTCAAGACCAGCCTGGCCAACATGGTGAAACCTCGTCTCTACTAAAAATACAAAAATTAGCCAGGCATGGTGGTGGGCACCTGTAATCCCAGCTACTCAGGAGTCTGAGGTGGGAGAATCACTTGAACCCAGGAGGTGGAGGTTGCATTGAGCTGAGATTGCGCCACTGCACTCCAGCCTGGGCAACAGAGCAAAAACTCTGTCCCCCACCAAAAGAAGACATCAGTGCCAAATGCTTTGGAGAGTCTGGTGGGGAAGCTGGACCTCTCACTTGCCTGAGTTGAAGCCGGGCCTCAACTCAGGCCTCCCCTTCTCTGGGGCTGAAGGGGACAGTATTCACCAGTCAGGCGTGACTGAGCCCAGCAGAGAAGCTCTAACATCCAGGATTGATGGTAACTTCAAAATGTATTTTGCCCCCAGCTTTATTAAGAAATAACAGGCAAGTAAAAATTGTATATATTTATGGTGTACAACATGGTATTTTGGTATATTTATACATTGTGAAATCATCAAATCAAGCTAATGACTATATCCATCACCTCATCTACTTATCACATTTTTGTGGTGAGAATATTGTCTTAGCAATTTTCAAGTATACACTACATTAATATGAACTATAGCCACCATGCTGTGTGATAAATTTTCACAATGTATTCTTCCTGCCTAACTAAAACTTTGTACCCTTTGACCAATATCTCCCCATTTTCCTCACTCCCCAGACCCTAGTACCTCCACTCTACTCTCTACTTCTATGAGTTTAACTTTTTTAGATTCCATACATCAGTGAGATCATGCAGTATTTGTCTTTCTGTGCCTGACTTATTTTACTTAACATAATGTCCTCCAGGTTCATTCATGTAAAAAATGACAAGATGTTTTTCTTTTTTAAGGCAAAATAGTATTTCCTCTTATGTAGGTGCCACATTTCTTTATCCATTCATCCAGTAGTGGACACTTAGGTTGATTCCTTATCTTGGCTGTTGTGAATGAAGCTGCAATGAAGATGGAAGAACAGATAGGTCTTCGAGGTGCTGATTTCATGTCCTTTGAATATGCACTCAGAATTGGAATTGCTGGATCATATGGCAGTTCTAGCTTTAATTTTTTGAGGAACTTCCAGACTATTTTCCATAGTGTTTGCACTAATTTACATTTCCATAGAGAGTATTCAAGGGCTCCCTATTCTCCACATCCCAAGGAACACCTGTTATCTTGATCTTGTCTGCTTGATCGTAGCCATCTAATTGGTGTGAGGTATCTATCTTGTCTGCTTGACAACCTCTTTGTGCTTTTGGAGTCATATCCTAAAACTCTTTGCCTCCCCGATGTAAAGAAGCTTTCCCCCTATGTTTTCTTCTAGTAGTTTTATGGTTTCAGGTCTTGTGTTTAAATCTCTGTATTAATCTGTTCTCACACTGCTATAAAGATACTACCAGAGATTGAGTAATTTATGAAGAAAAGAGGTTTAATTGACTCACAGTTCCATGTGGCTGAGGAGGCCTCAGGAAACTTACAATCATGGCAAAAGGCAAAGGGGAAGCAAGGCACGTCTCACACGATGACAGGAGAGAGAGAGAGCGAGGAAGAGGCACACTTTAAAACCATCAGCTCTTGTAAGAACTTCCTCACTATCATGAGAACAGCATGGGGGAAACGGCCCCCATGATCCAATCACCTCCCGCAGAGTCTCTCTCTCAACACATGAGGATTACAATTTGAGATGAGATTTAGGTGCGGAAAAACAGAGCCAAACCATATCAGTCTTTAGTCCATTTTCAGTTTATTTTGCACATGTTGTGAGATAAGGGTTCAATTTCATCTCTCTGCATGTGAATATCCAGTTGTCCCAACACCATTTATAGGAGACACTATTCCTTCCCATTGTGTGTTCTTGGCACCTTTGTTGAATACAATCGACTATCAATGTGTGGGTTTATTTCTGGGCTCTCTATTCTGTTTCATTGGTCTGTGTGTCTGTCTTTAGGTCGGTACCAAGCTGCTTTGATTATGAGAGTGTAGGGGAGACAAAACTTTACCTTTTCCCATTTAGGATTTTATTTTTGGCTAGGTCTAAGAATTACATTGACACAAGACGGATTTAACAGGAGAAAAGCATACAAGTATATGAGGAAACTTCACAAGGAAATGAAGACTGAAAGGAGCAGTTAGAGTCAAACACGTATATACCGAATTAGACAAAGGTGTGGTAAACTGAGTCAATTGGGTAGAGAAAGTCCTAGAAGTAGGAAGATAAGGGTTAGTTTAACAAGATTTGTTTGTACAGAATTCCTCAGCTTCAACTTCCTGTCCTACATAAGAAGAATTTTACTTTCCTTGTGGTATAGGAAGGACATTTTTCTACAGAAATTCTATCTCTTGCTTTTCAGAAACAGAATGAAGGTCAGAATGATCTTCTTGTACCTGCTGTGTTAAAAAGTGCCTTTGATTCTACATGGTCAACAGACCAGAGCAACATATTTTGGGGTGGCATATTCTTTACTCCTTCAACAGCTTTGCAGTGTGTTTTAAAACCAGGTAGTGTGATGCCTACAGCTTCATTCTTTTTGCTCAAGATTGCTTTGGCTATTTGAAGTGTTTTATAGTTCCATATAGGTTTTAGGATTTTTTTTTATTTCTGTGAAAAAATGTTCTTGGAATTTTGATAGGGATTGCATTGAATCTCTTGTAAGACCAGGAACAAGACAAGAATGCTCATTCTTACCACTTCTATTCAATATAGTACTGGAAGTCCTAGCCAGAGCAATTAGGCAAGGAGAAAGGCATCCAAACTAGAAATATAGAGAAGTAAAATTGTCTTTGTTTGCAGATGACATGATCTTACATATAGAAAACCATAAGGATGCCACCTAAAAGCTGAGAATTAATAAGTTGCAGGATAAAAAAATCAGCCTACAAAAATCAGTAGCATTTCTTATATGCTAACAACAAATTATTCAAAAAAGAAATCAAGAAAACAATCCCATTTACAATAGCAACAAAAAATACCTTGGAATGAATTTAACCAAGGAGGTGAAAGATCTATAACTAAAAACTATAAAACATTGACAAAGGAAATTGAAGAAGACACACATAAATGGGAAGATATCTGTCTTAATGAATTGGAAGAATTAATATTGTTAAATGAATTTTATAGCATTAATTACAAGGCAGCAGTCTCAAATATGGTTGTTACAAGATCAACCATCGCTGGGAGGTAAAACAATTGTGTTTCTAAAACTATACTCTTGAGATTTTAACTGCCCCTCTTCTGCTTCTGGGAAAGTGAGGTCTGTGGGGACCACCAGGGACCTCCAGGGATCCATTGTCCTGGACATTGTCCTGGAGGTTCTATCTCAGCCCCTTTTTGCAGCCATGCTGAATATGTGGAATGTTACAATGTAGCTGGGAGCTGAGGGGCTCCTGTCTTTACCAGGCTCAGGTGTTAGGGAGCCGATGAAACTAGGCTTAGGTTTGAGTTTCAAACCACCAGAGTAAAAAGGAAAAGTACAAAGAGGAAAATAGTGACTATGGCCACAAGGATGGCAGATAGAAATAAAAGTAACCAGGAGTGACAGTGTTTATATCTGTGCATGCACATGTCTGTGTGACATGTGGGATAGGTGTGCCTGCGCAGGTGCATTTTCCCAAGTCATATCGAGTCAGAACTGGAGCTCTGAGACCAGCAGTCCTCACCTCCCCACCTTCCTCTTCCACACCTTGCCTCACTCCTGCAGGACAACACCCTGCCTCAGCAGAGACATTATTTTAAGCCATTGATTCCCAAGCGAGGTAGATATTTTTTCACAAGCAAAGGGAGATTAAAGTATATTACTGCTCACGACATGGAATCATGCACCTGTAGAGCTAGAAGTCACCCTCAGTATATTCTGCCTTTTCACTTGATTACAGCAGGAAGATCCATTTATTCCATAACCATTTATTAATGGTTATGTAAAGTATGGAAAGTAAAATTCATTTCATCTAAACCATTCCACTGGTCCCTACATGAGGCTGGTGAGGTTGTTTACAGACTATCAGGGAGGAACAGACAAAATAGCAACCGAATAAAAGATGGAATTAACAAGAGTACATCCAGGTGAGGGAGGCTGATGAAAGCACCTGAGAGGCACTGAGCCTTGAGCCGGTGCTGCATCCATTCTACTTCCCCTGCCAGCTCGTGGATGCTGTGAGGAACAGATCATCATGGCATGAGGACAGTGACTGTGTGGCACCTTAGCTGGGAGATCAAGGAAGACATGTGTGAGGATGTGCTCACCTGTGATTGATGGATTGGCTAGGAGGTTGAGCCATGCAAAGATGAGGGATGACCAAATTGTGCAGGCAGAAAGAACAGCTAGTGCAAAGGTCCTGAGGTAGCAACCAGCCTGGTATATTGGGGAAGAGTGAGAAAATCAGTCTGCCCAGAGCATGTGAAGCCAGGGTGAGAAGGGCTCAAGCCAAGGTCAGGATCAAATCCTACATGCTTTATATTGGCTTCCTAGGGCTGCTGTAACAAATGACCACAAACTTAGTGAATAAAACAATATAAACGTATTACCTTACAGTTCTGTAGATCAAACGTCTGACACAGGTCTCACTGGATTAAGACCAAGGTGTCTGCAGGGCTGGTTCCTTTCTGGAGGCTCTAGGGCAGTGTTTGTTTCCTTGCCTTCCCCAGTTTCTGGAGGACTCCTGCATTCTGCAGCTTATGGCCCCTTCCTCCATCCTCCAGCTCAAAACCAGTGATATCCATGTCAGCCTAAGCCTTTCTCAGGCTGCCATCACCCTTGTTCCCCCTTCCCCTTCAATGACTCTGTAAGGACCCAGGGCCCACATGGATAATCCGGGATGATCGTCCTTTTTCAGTTAGCTGATGAGTGACCTTAATTCCATCTGCAACCTTTGCTATGTAAGATAACATCTTCATGGCTTCTGGGGCTTAGGATGTGGACATCTTTGAGGAGCCATTATTTTGTCATTGTTAGCCCAGTAAGGAGTGTAGCTTTTTATCCTGCATGTGGCAGGATGCCATTGGAGGGATTTACGTTGAGAAGTATTCTGTTTAGGGAACCCTCAGGATGTTCCTAGTGCCTGCCATGGCCCGTTTCACAGGAGCAGCCCCCTGGCTGTCAGACCCTACCTAGGGCTCATCCCAAGCCACAGCTGACCCCCATGTGTCCCTCCACGTGGGGAAGGAGAGTTGAGTGGCTGCTGTCTGCCATCCAGCTGCTCCTGGCCAAGGCCTCTCCCTGATTCAGCCTCACCTGCATTCCAGAGGTATCTGAGTTATTTGTTCAACAAGAGAGTGATGTAGTGAAATGTCCACCTTTTGGGGATTTTTGAATAAGAAGAGAAATGAAAATACCTTAGAATTGATTTGGAGTTAGGCCTCCTTCATTTCTCAAGAGAGAAACACATAGTTTGAGACTCCCATCTTTTTTTTCGGTAACTCTGTCTCACTTGCCTTCCCAGTCATTTAAAAAGTCAACTTCAGACTGGGCAGCCAGGCAGAGGAGCTCCGGGGGGTCAGCCCCCCGCCCGGCTAGCCGACCCGTCCGGGAGGTGAGGGGCGCCTCTGCTCGGCCGCCCCTACTGGGAAGTGAGGAGCCCCTCTGCCCAGCCAGCCGCCTCGTCCGGGAAGGAGGTGGGGGGGTCAGCCCCCCACCCGGCCAGCCGCCCAGTCCGGGAGGGAGGTGGGGGGGGGTCAGCCCCCCGCCCGGCCAGCCGCCCCGTCCGGGAGGGAGGTGGGGGGGTCAGCCCCCCGCCCGGCCAGCCGCCCCACCCGGGAGGTGAGGGGCGCCTCTGCCCAGCCGCCCCTACTGGGAAGTGAGGAGCCCGTCTGCCCGGCCACCACCCCGCCTGGGAGGTGTACCCAGCAGCTCATTGAGAACGGGCCATGATGACAATGGCGGTTTTGTGGAGTAGAAAGGGGGGAAAGGTGGGGAAAAGATTGAGAAATCGGATGGTTGCCGTGTCTGTGTAGAGAGAGGTAGACATGGGAGACTTTTCATTTTGCTCTGTACTAAGAAAAATTCTTATCCTGTTGATCTGTGACCTTACCCCCAACCCCGTGCTCTCTGAAACATGTGCTGTGTCCACTCAGGGTTAAATGGATTAAGGGCGGTGCAAGATGTGCTTTGTTAAACAGATGCTTGAAGGCAGCATGCTCGTTAAGAGTCATCACCACTCCCTAATCTCAAGTACCCAGGGACACAAACACTGCGGAAGGCTGCAGGGTCCTCTGCCTAGGAAAACCAGAGACCTTTGTTCACTTGTTTATCTGCTGACCTTCCCTCCACTATTGTCCTATGACCCTGCCAAATCCCCCTCTGCGAGAAACACCCAAGAATGAACAATAAAAAAAAAAAAAATTTTTCAGGCCAAAAAAAAAAAAAAAAGTCAACTTCAGTGTCATCCCTAAGTTATTTAATCATTCATGTTAAGCGATCCACTTGCTGTGATCAATAGTCTTACATAATACTCTTTAGGAAGGAAGAGGAGCTGCCGTCCTATTTAACTGGTTATATAGGCTTGCATAGAAAGTTCCAGGAAATGACTATAATCATAGTAAATTGTGTAAATTAGCACAAGTTAGTAAAACTGGTGAAATTAGAAAATCTTTGTTTTAGGGATAAACTTCATGAAAGCCTGAAAATTAACTCTTTAGCAGCTTGCATTCCAGTTACCTTCAAGACTGTCGGATTCTGCAGAAGTGATTACAGCACTTGACAGCAACCCCAGACCTGGAAGAGTGAGGGGAAGCAGGGCTCTTCCCAAGGCGGCCAGGGGTGTGAGATGGAGTTTTGACCCTAGTGAATATCTCTTCACTGTTTTCAGGAGTGGAAGATAAACTTGCTGGCTTGGACTTACCTGAAAACACTGACTAATGTGTATTTCTTTTTTTGTTTGTTTGTCTGTTTAGACAGAGTCTTGCTCTATTGCCCAGGCTGGAGTGCAGTGGCACGATCTCAGCTCACTCCAACCTCCACCTCCTGGGTTCAAGTGATTTTGTGCCTCAGCCTCCCAAGTAGCTGGGATTACAGGTGCCGCCACCACACCCGGCTAATTTTTGTATTTTTAGTAGAGATGGGGTTTCATCATGTTGGCCAGGCTGGTCTCAAACTCCTGACCTCAGGTAATCTGCCTGCCGTGGCCTCCCAAGTGCTGGGATTACAGTCGTGACCCACCACACCTGGCCTAATGTGTATTTCTTGAGCATTGTAATAGACTGGTCTCTCAGGAGACAAGTTTGTTCTGATCATGTGCCAGGTGGCACATCAGAGGAGCAGCTATGGACAGGACTCCCCGCAGACACCAGCAGTGGGTGGGCCACCCTGTGGGGCTCACAGTGTCAGACAGTCATGATGACTCATGGATGGTGCAAAAGGCAAGAGGTTTGGGGCTGTGATTTTGGATTCTCACCTTTCCCTGGCGACAATGCTCACAATAAGCCCTCCCAGGTCTTTGTTTTGTGTTATCACAATGGAAACAAACAGGAATTACTGTTTGTTAAACTGGAAGAGGGAGTCTCACCTAGCTGACTGCAAGGATGAATAATACAATGTCTTTAATCTTCTCCTGGTACCTTCCTATGTTTGCAGCGCTGATAGTTTAATATACATTTCCTTTGTTCTGCTCTTTAGCATGACTGATAGTTTGTTGCTGATTTATATTTTTGTTTTGTTTTGTTTTGCTTTTGACCTACGTTCTTCTGGTTTTAAATGGTTTTCTTTTCATTTTTATTTATTTATTGATCTAATTTTGTCATGTGAAAATGTCATGTTGGTCTTGTGTATTTGTCCTCCAATATTTCCTTCCTTTTTAATCTTTCTTTTATTGCATTTCAGGCATTTCACTCTCACACCTTTGATTAGCTAAACAATTGTTAAATATTCACAAACTAAGTAAAGAAATGCTCAAAAATGAACATGATTTTTATACAGCCTTATTCATCTTAGTGTTCAAAATAGTGATACATGTTTAATAATACCTATAGAAATGAAAAGTTGAACTTCCAAAATAGCAAGCAAGTAAATTCTCAGAAGCTAAAGTCCACACTGGTGAGTTTTCAGTGCAGCTTTTGTGGGCACTGTCTCTTGATGCGTGGGACAGCAGGCTTTGCCAGGAGTCCACAGCAGGAAGGCACCTCATTTTCCCACCAACCTCTACAAGCCTGAAAGTCAGGAAACAAGGTTCTGCTAGAACCATGCTGCCTATAATGTTCTCACTGGTAGGACAAACCCTCAAGGGCTTTGAGGGTGGACACGAGAATGGCTTGGCTGTGGTTGGCTCTGGAAAACGTTTTAAGAAATTTATAACTTATACATCCACACCATGTGACCTGCAGGGAAGTTTTCTCAAAAAAGGTCAGTTTTTTTCAAATCTCCTTGCCTGCTTTCACTGCCTTTGACATCTGTGGTTGAACCTTAAGACAGAGGGAGGAATAGTTGGGTGGATGGCAGGTGCATGTGCAGAGACACCTGGGGGAAGGTGACCAGGGTAAAATCTGGATGGTAGGATCTGGGGGTTGGGTCTGTTGGTGCTCACTGTAGAATTATTTTGGCTTTTCTATATGTTTGAAAACACAATAAAATGTTACAGCTGAGGGGGAAGACAGAGGTAGAAGGGATGATGGCTCAGGATCTTTGGAATCCCTATGATTTTGATTTCCTGCTAGTGACTTCTGTGCAAAGAGCAGCAGAGTTCAGCTAGAGCAAGGTTCCCCAACCCCTGGGCCACAAACTGGTACTGGTCCATGGCCTGTTAGGAACTGGGTCGTACAGCAGGAGGTGAGCAGTGGGTGAGGGAGCATTACCACCTGAGCTTCACCTCAGCAGCAGCATTAGATTCTCACAGGAGCATGAACCCTATTATGAACTGCACATGTGACAGATCTAGGCTGTGAGCATCCTCTGAGAATGTAATGCCTGATGATCTGAGGGGGAACAGTTTCATCCAGAAACCAAATCCCCCCACCCCACGCACCCTCCGTGGAAAAATTGTCTTCCACAAAACTGGTCCTTGGTGCCAAAAAAGCTGGGGACCACTGAGCTAGAGAACACTCGCTGCTCTAGCCAGGGCTGGCTGCTTTCTCAGGCTGGCAGATGTGGGGTTGAGTCTTTGCAGTCAATAAACCCAGGCTCTTGGGTGGAGATCAAGCTCTTTTCTTTTTTGTCTTCCTGTCCGTCTGGATCAATGCTGAGCACAGAGGGCATTTGCAAATACTATTTTTGAGTGCACTGGCTAATTGGCTCTTGTATGGGTATATTTCTCATTATGTTGGCAAACCACAAGGGGCAGTGAAAACTGAGTAACTGATATGTTTCTCCGTTATAGGTATTTTTTGAAGCTTAGCAGGTGTCAGGGTCTGGGAACACGAAGCTTAATGACAAGAACACTGCTTTTAAGGAGTTTAGAGAGAACAGTGATCATTGCAGTGTGATGTGATGCTGTGGCGTAGAGGTTTGCTCAGGGGGATTCCAGCTCACATTGCTTGGGTAGGTCAGCTGTGGGGGCTGTCGACCACTCCTGGCCTTTACCCCCTTGGCCTCTCCAGTGGCCTCCCTCAAACAGCCCCTGAACGGGCCCAGCCTCTAACCTCAGGGCATCTCTGGGCCCCAGAAGGGCTGGGGAGTCAATGCCCAGGATCAGCTTTTATCAAAGAGACACTGACAGTGAAACCATCTCCCCTGCTCCTTGAGAGGCTAGTACTGAAGATGACCTACCGGGGTCCTCAGCAGGACTGAGTCCTGAGCCCCACATGTCCACAGCACCTCATCAACACACCCTTCCTTGGTTCTCCTCCCTTCCCTGGTTCACTTCCTCTCTCCCCTGGAAGTGCTTCCTAGAATCATCTTCCAAATAAACCACTGCAACAAAACTTTTCTTAGTGTCTGCTTTCGGAAAAACCCAAACTAAGACACAAGACTTCAGCGCCTAGAGCAGGGAAGTGTCGCTTGTGGTGGGCTAGAGCTTCCATAAATGTGGAGACAGGGGGAAGGGTGGCATGTTTGGGAAATCTTTTTAATTGAATTAAGAAAACACCCAGTTTTAAAAAATCATCTAGAGTGGAGTTTTCTATCCTTGGCACTATTGACATTTTGGGCTGGAGAATTCTCTCCTGTGGGGCTGTCCTGGGTGCAGCAGGAGGTTGAGCAGCATCCCTGGCCTGGACCCTTTAGTTGCCAGTAGAGGCATCTCCTCCCAGTTGTGACAAACAAAAACATCTCCAGAGGTTGCCATGTGCCCCCAGAGGGCAAAAGTCACCTCCAGTTGCACTGATATAGAGCTTCTGGAGGAGTTCCAAGGTACATCATCCTTCCCAAACATCCCTGAAGTGTGGGGTACTTGTGTGCGGTAATGGCATATTTCCTTCTTTTCTTGGGCTTAATTGGAGTTGAGTAGGGTGAGCCCTGATCCAATATGACCAGTGTCCTTATGAGAAGAGGAGAGACACAGAGAAAGAAGGCATGTGACAATGCAGGGAGCGATGGGAGTGAGGTGCCTCCAAGCCAAGGGTTGCTGGCAGCACCAGGGGTGGAGGAGAGAGGCATGGAATAAATTCCACTGTGAGCCTCCAGGAGGAACCAACATTGCTGACTCCTTGATTTTGGACTTCTGGCTTCCTGAGCAATGAGAATAGAGTCCTGTTGTTTTAGGCCCCTGGTCATTAGTTACAGCAGCTCCAGATCATGAGCCCACCTGCCTTCCAGCGTCCTCACCTCTGGACTCCTGTCAGCTTCTCAGAGCCTTGTCTTCCTGCATGTGGTTGAGGAAGCTGAATCACCAGAATATGTGGTGTGCTACCCGACAGCCTGAGAGTAATACCACATTCTTTCTTTGCTTGCATTTAATTAGAGTTGGCTTGAGGCACTACTAGCCAAATTTGGCAGGAAGCCATCATCACTAACTTTGAGGGGCTGTGGTCCCTTCCTATGGAGGATGCTTTTACCTCAAGAGCATCTCTTCTGTAGTCCTGAAGATGTGTCTACCAGGCTTTTGTTCTCCATTGGGAAGAGCCCTCCCAGCTCAGCCAGGTTGCAGCTGTTGTGGCTGCTTCCTAGGGGCCACAGGATGTGGCTATCCATGGCTGGCACCTGCAGGAGCTGGAGTCTCCCATGCAGTCAGCTCTCTGCCCTGGTGGAGATGGACCAGGGGAACTCTCCCTTCCCACTCAGAGCGCAGCTCCTCAGATGTCAGCCCTGGGACCCAGCTGCCCTGGCAAGGCCCCTGAGGGTGGTACACTACCCAGGCTTTAATCCCTGTCTCCCAGGGAGCCAGAATGTTGTCTCCAAAAATTCAACTCTATGACCACTTTCACTTTCAAACTCTCTAACACAGAAGGTCCATTGTTCAACTTTCTGGGCAGAGTTTAGTTCTCAGATGAGTTTAGTAGAAGCTCCAAGCACAAGGCCCAGTGTCCATTTTCCCTAAGCACAAAGGCCGATTCCTGCCCCTGGGAGAAAGGAGGGCCAGACCTGGAACTGCCCCACTCTGGGGAAATTGCTCTCATTCCTTCCTAAAGAGTCCACGCAGCAAGGGCAGCATCCTTAATGCAACACAAGCCTGTTTCCTGTTCTGACAGAGGCCAGAAATCCCACGAAGTCAGAATGAGACATCGCTGGGCAGGACTCACATCCCTCATTCCCTCTGATGTGTAGCAGATGACGGACTGTGGGTCCCTAATGTTGTGGTTAATCTGTGGGTGAAGCTGAACACTGAGCGACACAATTTGCTCCCACTGTTCCCGACTCACCAGATGAAAGTGGTTAGTTATGAGTGTGGAACTGGGTGGTGTATCTACCCTCAAGGGCTGCTCTTGTGTGGCCCCCACCACACTGTCCAGGGCACCTCTGTCCTCTGCAGGCAGGTCCCTATCTCCCGATGCCCACTGATCCCACTGACTCAGCACTGTGGGCTTACAGGGCATCCCTTAGAGGGGCCAGGTGAGGTGAGAGCTGCCCTGAGCAGAGTGGCTGGTGCATTGAAGGGATGTGTGCAGCAGCCTGGTGCAGAGTGGAGGGGAACTGTGGGCACCAGACCCACCAGGAGGAGGCTGAATAGGGCTGGGTCACAACTTCAGTCTGCTTGATGTGAATGGGGCGCTGTTAAATGCAGGTTCTCAGGCTCTGGCTCCCAAACTTTGAATTTGGTGGTCTTAGGAGTAGCTTTTTATTTGTGTTTTAAATTAATATTCCCAGGTGGTGTATGCACAATGCCCTGAGAAGCAAGAGCTTCTTATGTTTTTTGGGGGGACAAAGGAATGGATACTTTATTGTGCAACCTCACCCTGGTGGGAGAGCTGAGGGATTCCTTTGTACTCCATGCCCACTCCATCCTGGTGTGGTGGTGAAGACAGCGGGAAATGAGAAGGAGCTTGCTTGTGCCTTCCTGCTCTTTTCTATGAAAGGCTGGCACTAACAACCCGATCTTTTCTTGGGTGCCCCTCTTTTGGGTTCTGAGTACCATCAAGCAATGCAATGGCCTGTGATGGTTCACCCAATCCCCAATCTATGAGGACCATGGGTGCTTAAAAATTTATCCTGATAGGACAATGGCTCTCAAAGTGTGGCCCCAGGATCAGCAGGGCCAGCATCAGCTAAGAATTGCAAATTCTTGGATCCCACCCTAGATCTGCTGAGTCAGAGTCTCTGGGGTAGGGCATTTTTAAAAGTCCCCCAGGGGATTCAGCTGTATGAGAACCACTGCAATAAAGAATAATACGTTTTGCACCAATACAGACCAGCTGTATTCAGCTCATGTTTGCCATGGGGAAATTCAGCTCATGTTTGCCAACACCAGAATTGGTGGCCTTGTTCCACCACCATTTTGATGCCCATTTTCCAGGGAAACCAGAAGGCATCCCATCTCTCTGTCTCTTTCCAAGCTGGCTTGTCTCCTGCCAGAAACTTTCTCTGACCTCCTTCTCCAAGGCTGGGTGATGAAGGCCTCGTCTCAGCTCCCAGGGCTCCTTCTCTCACTAGCAGACCCCAGAAAGCAAGCCCCATGCATCATAGCACAGGCCAGGAACAAGGTGATGACCCTCCCATGATGGTCTTCATGATGACCATGAAGTTGGCCAAATATCACTGCTGGCAACATTGCTTGACTTCTACCCATAGAAAGGTGCTGGGTATTAGTCAGGGTCCTCTAGAGGAGCAGAACCAATAGGATGCGTGTGTGTGTGTGTGTGTGTGTGTGTGTGTGTGTGTGTGTAGACAGAGATACTGATTTATTTTAAGGAACTGGCTCATGTGATAGTGAAGGCTGACAAGTACAAAATCTGCAGGGCAGGCCAGCAGGTTGGAGACCAGGGAAGAGTGGAAGACTTGATGCTTCAGCTGGAGTCCAAAGGCAAAGGCAGTCTGGGGGCAGAATTCCCTCCTCCTAGGGAGAGGTCGGTTTTCCCCTAAGGCCTTCAACTGACTGCATGAGATCCACCCACATTACAGAAAGGAACCTGCTTCACTCAAAATCTACTGGTTGAAATGTTAATCAACTCTTAAAAATACAGCAGGTGTTTGACCAAACATGTGGGCACCATAGTCTAGCCAAGCCACCACATAAAGTTAACCATCACATCAGTGACACCATGGGAGCAACACAACTGTGCAGCTATCTGGAGAAGTGTTAGGTGGGAGACATTGTTAAACTGCGTTGGATGCATGTATCTGCTCAAGGACATGCACATGTACACACATGTCTGCACATGCATTCACAATCACATGTGCACATGCACAGATACACACACATGCACACACACACAATGCATGGATCACAGCATGAGGCAATGACCACACAACAGTGCCCATGAGGTGAAATCATTAAACTGAGGTCTTGATTTGACCATCCTCCAAACACACATTTTTCTATGTAACACAAAGCAGGTCAAAAGCCATTCTGCATCTGCCCAGAGCCCATCTCCCAGAGGCCAGGTCTGTAACTCACAACCCAAGGACTTTTACTGGTTTCTGTTTGATCCTCCTCTCTAGGAAACTAGCCCTTAATGCATGAGGAATGAAATTCTCACTATCTGCAGCTAATCAAGCCATGTTTGTTATCCCTAGCTAGTATGACTCATTAATTTTCTGCCATGGTGTTTACCTCACAAAAAGTATTCTAAGTAATCCGTGCCTGCCGTGAAGAGTTTAAATGCAGTATTTTGACTTTTAGTGGACAGTGACGTCTTTTTACCGCAATCCATTTCTCTCCATTCTTAAAAACAATGGGGATAAAAATCGAAGTGTTTGAAGAGCTACTCCTTAAATACTCTGACTCACACTGGACGATCTCACTGGTGTGTGCTTCTTGCAGGCAAAATAATAGACGAGTCTTCGTTTTCCTGGGCTTTTAAATTCATGATGTTTTCAATAATTTTAAACTTATGACAGTGAGCACATTTAAGTGAAAGTTTTTGAAACTGTTTTTGTCTTGTTTGCCTTTGTCTGTGATGTGTTTATACAGGACTGTTTCACAACTATGCTATTGTGAAAGACATGAACAATGAAGATGTGTGAACAAGCTCTCATGGCCCAGGGGATTATAGCTGTGCATGAAGTAGTGAGTGGAGGAGGGGGCCAGCCCAACCCTAAGCAGGGGCTGCAGGCAGCCCTGCGGACTTTGCTGGAAAGCCTGAGCCTCTCTGGGAACAGGGCACATCTCTTGAGCAGAGTCAGGTCATGGAGCGGCTCTGGTTGGGGAGGAAGGGGCAGCTCCAGCTGCTAAGCTTGGCTGAGAAGATGCCACTGGCCATTCTAGGGCAAGTATGCCAAATGCTTCTGTGAGCAAATGCCTTTGCTTTTGGTTGCTTTCATCAAAGTTTCAAAGAGATCTGTGACCCTCTTCGTTTGGGTGTTTGGCTGGAGTGTGATGAAGGTGTGACTGCAGGGCCTTGTGGTGGAGGCAGGAGTGTGTAAACAGCCCCACTGGGTGTGGATGATGCATGAAGATTCTCAGTTGCTAGTTGAGTCACCAGGTTGGTGGCTGGAAGCTTCTTCAGAACTGGGCAAAAACAGTAATGAGATTGATTCCCAGCTTTTATTGGCCTAATGAGCTGGCACTAATTTGGACATGCCACTTCACACTCAAGTTTGCATATCTATAAAATTGAAAGGGGGCAAAGTAATCCCTTAATAGTAGGCATTTTAACATGGACACACTCGGGTGCACAGAGTGCCAAAGTGTTGGCCAGGCATGTTTGCAATATGAAAGTTTGAACTAGATTTCTCTTGGGGAATTCATATACACATTATAAAATACATGGTGTATTTATATGAGCACTGGGGAAAGAAGTGACAAGAGATTTGTGGAGTGTAGGTGAAGCTGTTGAAGAAATCCAGTCTGCATTCAGCTCTGTACTTGGCAACGTTTCTGGAAGGACTAGCAGCAAACGCTTCTATTCTGGGAACAGTCTCTCCCACCTTTGCACTTTCCCCATCAGGCGGGTGTGGGCCTTGGTGATTAGCTGAGTCTGAAAATAAACGGCGCCTCTGTCTCCAGGGTCAGATTCCAGATGCTGAACAATAACCTGCCAGCATGGGGGAGACTGAAACAAAAGCCTCTCAGGAAGTGATGCTCCATCTTGGTTGAGGAGTTGGCACGTTTCCAGAAGGGATGTCTCCCGGCTGTCAGGCCATCGGGACTTTCAGCGTTCTGCATGTGGCTCCACTGCAGAACACACACACTCAGAACAGCACCAACATTGTGTCAGCACCCCATTATAACTTCCCCTGTTTTCCTTTCCATAAACTCAAGAATTCTTCTCTGGCAAATTTCATTTTATGGAGATGCTAATATTCTTCATCTAATTCAATTTTCCCGCACCCAAACCTTCACCCATAAGAGACAATATCACAGCCTGAGAGAGGAGGCTGGCTCTGTAGGAATGGCTTTGAGAGCATTCGAATCTTCTCATCATTATTTCTGATGAATCGAGACTGGCAGGCATTAGCCAAAGTCAGAGGAAATCAACTAACACCTCTCTCCCATTACAAAGGAGAAGTAACTTAAGAAGTAACTTAAGAAGTAACTTAAAAAGTAACTTAAAAATGTTGAAAGATGTCATGTGTGGTGGCTCACGTATGTAATCCCAGCACTTTGGGGGGCTGAGGCGGGAGGATCACTTGAGGCAAGGTAAGGCGTAGGCAACATAGTGAGAACCCATCTCTACCAAAAATTTAAAAAAATAGCAGGGCATGGTGGCACGCGCCTGTCGTCCCAGCTACTTGGGAGGCTGAGGGGCCAGAATTGCTTGAGCATAGGAGTTTGATGATGCAGTGGGCCATTATTGTGCCACTGCATTTGGGTGACAGAGTGAGATCCTGTCCCCTCCACCCCAAAATATAACAAAAGTTTTTTAAAAATTTAATGCTGAAAAAGTAGATAGAAGAATCTATTAGCCAAATGGAAGGTGAGTTTTGATAGGAAGAGATGCAGCAAGTGACACCCTGCCCCTCCCCCACACTGTGCGCACAGACACAGACACATGCACACAGGGACACATATGGATATGCATGCACACACGTGCATGCACATGGACACACACACGCAAACACATGCACAAACACACACATACCCACAGGTACAGGTCTTCACACATGCACACATACTCATGCACACAGAGACACACATACATGCACATGTCTGCACACCTGCACACATACCCAGGCACACACATGCACACATACCCATGCACATGCGTGCACACATACACACATGCCTGCACACATACCCATGCACATACATGTGCACACACATGCACATGTCTGCACACATGCACACATACTCATACACACAGAGACACATACATACATGCACATGCATGCACACACACACATCCAGGCACACACATGGGCACACATGAGCACACATCTTATGGCAATAGCCCCACAGCCCTCTTTGCTCATCTTGCCCTGTTTGGATTCCTGCCCCATGGGACAGGGTTAGTGACTGTCTACTTATAATGATTTCGGGACCAGGAGAAACTATTCCCCCACCATCCCCACTGTCTCCTACCTCCTTCACTTAATTCTGCTGACTCATGCCTAAATTAGGTGCTCATTTTGTTTGAAACCAAGTAAGACTTTTATGATTTGTTGAAAATCCCCAAATCTCTGAGCCCAACCGTCATTGAATCTTTATATGATGTGTTTTCAAAGCCCCTCCTGAGAACATGTGCAAAAACTCCTGCAGGAGCAGTGAGTTTGGGAGCTGTGAATGCATCTTTGCCTTCTCATCTGTGATACACCCAGGGAATTTTTACTATAAACAAACTTGAAAAAACTTTCCTAACATGTAAGCCCTTTGTCTCAGCAATTCTCCTTTCAGGTTTGTTTCCTAGAGAAAGTCTATGACTAAGCAAGAGACACACACAAAGAGATTTGTAGCAGCAATTTTTAAATGCAGAAAGCTAGAAACAAGCCAAATGTCCATCAACAGGAGATTGGATAAATAAATGGTAGTATAGTTCCAAAGTAGTAAAAACACAAGGTCTTAGATTACTTCTAATAATGTAGATAAGTCTCTCAAACAAAATGCTCAAGGATAAAAGCAAGTTGCTGAAGAATGCATGTGTTATGACACAATTTATAAAGCATTAAAGACATACAAAGCAAACACGCAGAACCTTCTAGCAAATTTCATGGGAAATGCAGCATGAAAAATGGTTGGGAATGAGGGACCTGACAATGGGGACGCAAGTGACCTCTGTGGAGCACAGAGAGAGATTCTGCTGGGGAGGTGGTGTTCCAGGCAGGTAGGATGCTCATTTTATTATATGTTATTCATTTTCATATACCTGCAATATTTAATAATGATAAATATGTATAATTATATTGTTATATGACCATAAATACTAAATAGAATAAATAAAACATAATTAAAAATCAAAAGAGGCAAAGTGTGCTACAAGTATTAATTTTTCTACACAAGTCATGAGTGTTAAATGAATGCAATGTTATATTCTGAAAAAAAAGACTTACTAGCCATCCTGCTGGAGTGGAAAGTGATTGCTGGCATTAGGGTGGTGTTTGCCTCACCTATGCTCTTCCTGTCCAGGCAATGAATCCCAGAGAATTTGCCTTTCAGTTGGTTGGTTTTCATTCTTTACATCACCCCTGCGAAGTCAGGATTCCTAGGCAATGTAGAAATAAGCTGGACCATGAAGTGGGCCCAAGTTAACCTGGAAAGTGCTCCGCATGCCCCTGTACCCTGCATGTGTTGGGAGTGCCTGGTGCTGCAGGCTTCCCTGTTTTCCAGTGTGGATCAAGGAGCCCCTGGGCATGTGGTGGGCCTGTACATCAAGGAATACTGCAGGCAGCTGCCCAGGAGGCTCTCACAAGGAAAGGAACAGGAAATGTTTGCTGAGATCAATGTGGTTTATCCAGCATTTTCTAAGGAAACCTATGTTGGACTTTCAAGGAACAATCAATCCTTATTTGAATAAGGGTTTTATACAATTTCAAGTTTCCTCTAAGTCCACCCCCCACTACCATTTTCTTTAAAAAGCACAACATCCCTGAAGACTATGATGGGTAAAACTTTGCCTGACCCCTGACCTGTTTTATTCTCCTCCAAACAATCAAAAGTTTAGACAAAGAGTTCTTTTGGGGGAATATTTTACTGTTTGTCAACTGTTTTTGTTTGATCTGGTGGGCTTCTATTTGTGTCTACAATCTGTCATCAAACATGATTTTGTTTTAGTTTAGTATGTTTTGGCAGAAAATAAAGATTACTATATCAGAATAAAGGATCAATCTAATGACAGATTTTTGTCCCAATGCTCAGTGCCTTTTTGTCCCCAGTAAACTCTCTGATGGATCCATCATGATCCCACACTGCGGGGAGCAGATGCCAGCCTCCTCCATGCTCAGGCACAGCAGCCCCCTTCCACCCCTGGACCAAGTATTGGCAGGGCAGGGGCTCTCAGCCATGTCAGCCTCAGAGCAGTTCATAGTGAAAGCTGATTTTGACTGATCGACACAACATACACACAGTAGCCAAAGGATATGTTGGTTTATTTCTCTCAGTGACTCGAACAAAACACTATGAGAATTTCACCATCATCCCAATATTTCCTGTTTTGCTATATGTTTGTGATTTTCATGCTTAACTTTCCTGCCTTGACTGCAATACTTATCAGGTGGGTTTAATTGCTTATGGGAATAACTAACATCTAATTTGTTCAATAATTCAATCACTCATCTTATAAACCACTTCCCGTTTACTCTGTGCAAAACTTTGAAGACAGTCATGATGGAGCAGGTGCTGACATCACTCTCCAGAAACCTGCAATCTAAGAAGGGAAGAAATGTGGGAAAAGAAGTTCTAGTAAGAAGAAACACCATGAGCAAAGGTCCTTAGATGGGAAAAATGGAAACCTACAGATAGATCAATAATTATAGTTGATTAGAGAATAAAGGATGAGTATGCAGTGCATGCCAAACTGGAGAGGGCTCCAGTATTTATTTGTGTGGTAGGGGCAGCTTCCAGTTGGCCAGTGGTCTCCAGTGGATTTTGATCCAGCATCCCATCAGAACAATATTTTGAGTACACCTTCTCACTATATACCATTTATTCATCATTTTATAATGTCTAGACTACATGACTGACATATATTATGTGTATGATCAAATCATTACAAAAAACAGGAATAAAAAAATGAGATGGAAAATAATGTAAGCAGAAGTTTGAAGATCTTGTTTGCATACTGAGTGCTCTTTCTTCTGGGGACACAGTTTTAGGCAGTGGGGACAACTGAGGATTAAATCTCACACTATGACCCGTCTCTGAACGAAAGTCCTGAGGCCAAGGAAGCTCAGTGAGGTACACTGATTAATTCTCATAAGGTCAGTTAAAAAGTGAAGGAAGTGGAGACCTGAAACTATACAAATTCTGGAATATAACATGGAGAAACCCTTCTAGACATTGGCTTAGGCAAGGATTTCATGACTAAGAACCCAATAAAGCTAATGCAATAAAAGCAAAGATCAATAGCTGGGACCTAATTAAACTAAAGAGCTTTTGCATGGCAAAAGGAACAGTTAGCAGAGTAAACAGACAACCCACAGAATGAGAGAAAATCTTCACAATCTATACATCTGACAAAGCACTAATATCCAGAATCTACAATGAACTCAAACAAATTGGTAAGAAAAAACAAACAATTCCATCAAAAAGAGGGCTAAGGACATGAATAGACAATTCTCAAAAGAAGATATATGAACAATATAACATACGTAAAATGAAATACATGAAAAAATGCTCATCACTAATGATCAGGGAAATGCAAATCAAAACCACAATGCAACACCACCTTATTCCTGCAAGAATGGCCATAGTCAAAAAATCAAAAAACAGTAGATGTTGGCATGGATGTAGTGATCAGGGAACACTTCTACACTGCTGATTGGAATGGAAACTAGTACAGCCACTATAGAAAATAGTGTGGAGATTCCTTAAAGAACTAAAAGCACAACTACCATTTGATCCAGCAATCCCACCACTGGGTATCTACCCAGAGGAAAAGAAGTCATTATACAAAAAAAAAAAAAAAAAGTACTTGCACATGCATGTTTATAACAGCACAATTCGCAATAACAAAATTGTGGAACCAACCCAAATGCCCATCAATCAACAAGTGGATAAAGAAACTGTGGTATATATAGGGCAACCCCCTTTGGGTCCCCTCCCATTTTATAGGAGCTCTGTTTTCACTCTGTTAAATCTTGCAACTGCACACTCCTCTGGTCCGTGTTTGTTATGGCTTGAGCTGAGCTTTTGCTCACCAACCACCACTGCTGTTTGCTGCAGTCACAGACCCACCGCTGACTTCCATCCCTCTGGATCTGGCAGGGTGTCTGCTGTACTCCTGATCCAGTGAGGCACCCATTGCCACTCCTGATCGGGCAAAAGGCTTGCCATTATTCCTGCATGGCTAAGTGCCCGGGTTTGTCCTAATTGAGCTGAATAGAGCTATATCACTCACCGCATGGCCCAAGATTCCATTCCTTGGAATCTGTGAGGCCAAGAACCCCAGGTCAGAGAACAAAAGGCTTGCCTCCATCTTGGAAGCGGCCTGCCACCACTTGGGAGCTCTAAGAACAAGGACCCCCTGGTAACATTTTGGCGACCATGAAGGGACCTCCAAAGTGGTGAGTAATATTGGACCACTTTCATTTGCTATTCTGTCCTATCCCCTTAGAATTGGAGGAAAATACTGGGCACCTGTCGCCAGTTAAAAACGATTAGCGTGGCCGCCAGACTTAAGACTCAGGTGTGAGGCTGTCTGGGGAAGGGCTTTCTAACAACTGTTGGGAGTGTTGGTCTGCCTGGAACCAGCTTCCACTTTCAATTTTCCTGGGGAAGCCGAGGGCTGACTAGAGGCAGAAAGCTGTCATCCTGAACTCCTGGCATTGGCCAGTTGAGATCATGGCGCAGCCAGAAGTCTACTCAACAGTTGCCCATGTGTGTGCCCCTACCTCTCCTTCTGACCCATACCTCCTGGGCCCCAACCATGACTTTCTTAAAAGTGTAGCCCCAAAATTCTCCTTACCTCTGAATCTACTTCCTCTGATCCCTGCCTCCTAGATACTAGTGTTTCAGAATTTCGCTCCCTCTGCCAAGTATTAGAGAAGGCTGTATCTCCAAAGGGATCTAAGGAAGCTCTACGCTGTGTCCTTAGGCACCTAGGCTATGGACCCAGGGAGTCTTGTCCCTGGTGTCCCTCCCAATTTAGGCATACAGCTCTTGACATGGACAGTTATGTGCGACCCATTCCCCACCACCCTTGCCAGGGCCCCAGATTTGTAAAGCAGAAAAAGAAAGAGAGAAAAGGAAGAGGCAGAGAGAGAAAGGAGAGAAACAGGAAAGAGAGAGACACATGGAGGAGAGAGAGAGATGGAGAGGAGAGAGAAAGAAAAAGATAGAAGTAGTAAAGACAAAACAGTGTGCCCTATTCCTTTAAAAGCCAGGGTAAATTAAAATCTATAATTGATAATTGAAGGTCTTCTCTGTGACCCTATAACACTCCAATACCAACTTGTTGTCGGTGTAAACAAGGGCGTAGCCTGAAAGCACTGAGACCACTGACAACCTGTAACCTTCCTAGCAAAAATCCTTAACCCAGCAACCCGCGGATGGCCCAAATGCATTCAATCAGTAGTGGCAACCACTTTGCTAAAAGTAGAAAAATAACCTTTACAGGAAACCTCATTGTGAGCACACCTCACCAGTTCAGAACTATCCTAAGTTTAAAAAGCAAAAAGGTAGCTTACTAACTCAAATCTTAAAGTATGGGGCTATTCTGTTAGAAAAAGTTGATTTAACATTAACCACTGAAAACTCCTTTAACCCAGCAGATTTCCTAATAGGGGATTTAAATCTTAATTACCATACAAAGGTCTGACCAGACCTAGGAGGAAATCCCTTCAGGACAGGACTATAGATGGCTCCTCCCAGGTGATTGAGAAAAAACCACAATGGGTATTCAGTAATTGATAGGGAGACCTTGTGGAAGCAAAGTTAGGAGAATTGCTTAATAGTTGGTCTGCTCAAACGTGCAAGCTGTTTGCACTAAACAAATTAAAATAGACCTAGGTAAATTCTCAGATAACCCCAATGGCTATATTGATGTTTTACAAGGGTTAAGACAGTCCTTTGATCTGACATGGAGAGATATAATGTTACTGCTAGATCAGACACTAACCCCAAATGAGAGAAGTGCTGCCATAACTGCAGCCCGAGAGTTTGGCTATCTCTGGTCTCTCAGTCAGGTCAATGATAGATTGACAACAGAGGAAAGAGAACAATTCCTCACAGGCCAGCAGGCAGTTCCCAGTGTACACCCTCACTGGGACACAGAATCAGAACACGGAGATTGGTGCCACAGACATTTACTAACTTGCATGCTAGAAGGAGTAAGGAAAACTAGGAAAAAGCCTATAAATTATTCAGTGATGTCCACTATAACACAGGGAAAGGAAGAAAATCCTACTGCCTTTCTGGAAGAGACTAAGGGAGGCATTGAGGAAGCATACCTCTCTGTCACGTGATTCTATTGAAGGCCAGCTAATCTTAAAGGATAAGTTTATCACTCAGTCAGCTGCAGATATTTAATAAAAACTTCAAAAGTCCACCTTAGGCCTGGAGCAAAAGTTAGAAACCCTATTGAACTTGGCAACCTCGGTGTTTTATAATAGAGATCAGGAGGAACAGGCAGAACGGGACAAACTAGATAAGAAAAAGGCCACCGCTTTAGTCATGGCCCTCAGGCAAGCAGACTTTGGAGGCTCTGGAACATGGAAATGCAGGGCAAATCGAATGCCTAATAGGGCTTGCTTCCAGTGTGGTCTACAAGGACACTTTAAAAAAGATTGTCCGAATAGAAATAAGCTGCCTCCTCATCCATGCCCCTTATGTCAAGAGAATCACTGGAAGGCCTACTGCCCCAGGGAATGAAGGTCTTCTGAGTCAGAAGCCACTAACCAGATGATCCAGCAGCAGGACTGAGGGTGCCCGGGGCAAGTGTCAGCCCATGCCGTCACCCTCACAGAGCCCCAGGTATGCTTGACCATTGAGGGCCAGGAGGTTAACTGTCTCCTGGACACTGGCATGGCCTTCTCAGTCTTACTCTGCTGTCCTGGACAACGGTCCTCCAGAACTGTCACTATCTGAGGGGTCCTAGGACAGCCAGTCACTAGATACTTCTCCAAGCCACTAAGTTGTGACTGGGGAACTTGACTCTTTACACATGCTTTTCTAATTATGCCTGAAAGCCCCACTCCCTTGTTAGGGAGAGACATTCTAGCAAAAGCAGGGGCCATTATACACTAGAATTAGGAGAAGGAAAAAGGGTAAATATTTATACAGACTCTAAATATGCTTACCCAGTCCTCCATGCCCACACAGCAATATGGAGAGAAAGGGAATTCCTAAGTTCAGAGGGAACACCTATCAAACACCAGAAAGCCATTAGGAGATTATTATTGGCTGTACAGAAACCTAACAGGTGGCAGTCTCACACTGCCAGGGTCATCAGAAAGGAAAGGAAAGAAGAAATAGAAGGGAACTGCCAAGCAGATATTGAAGCCAAAAGATCTGCAAGGCAGGACCCTTCATTAGAAATGCTTATAGAATAACCCCTAGTATGGGGTAATCCCCTCAGGGAAACCAAGCCCCAGTACTCAGCAGGAGAAATAGAATGGGGAACCTCACAAGGACATAGGTTCCTCCCCTCAGGATGGCTAGCCACTGAAGAAGGAAAAATACTTTTGCCTGCAGCTAACCAATGGAAATTACTTAAAACCCTTCACCAAACCTTTCACTTAGGCATTGATAGCATCCATCAGATGGCCAAATTATTATTTAGTGGACCAGGCCTTTTCAAACCCATCAAGCATATAGTCAGGGCCTGTAAAGTGTGCCAAAGAAATAATCCCCTACATTACAGACCATACATTCCAATTCCTGTATCTTTAACCTCCTTGTTAAGTTTGTCTCTTCCAGAATCGAAGCTGTAAAACTACAAATTGTTCTTCAAATGGAGCTCCAGATGCAGTCCATGACTAAGATCTACCGTGGACCCCTGGACCAGCCTGCTAGCTCATGCTTTGATGTTGGTGACATCGAAGTCACCCGTCCCAAGGAAATTTCAACTGCATGACCCCTACTACACCCCAATTCAGCAGGAAGCAGTTAGAGTGGTCATCGGCCAACCTCCCCAACAGCACTTGAGTTTAACTGTTGAGAGGGGGTACTGAGAGACAGGACTAGCTGGATTTCCTAGGCTAACTAAGAATCCCTAAGCCTAGCTGGGAAGATGACTGCATCCACCTTTAAACACGGGGCTTGCAACTTAGCTCACACCTGACCAATCAGGTAGTAAAGAGAGCTCACTAAAATGCTAATTAGGCAAAAACAGGAGGTTAAGAAATAGCCAATGATCTATCGCCTGAAAGAACAGGAGGAGGGACAATGATCTGGATATAAACCCAGGCATTTGAGCTTGCAATGGCAACCCCCTTTGGGTCCCCTCCCATTTTATGGGAGTCTGTTTTCACTCTATTAAATCTTGCCACTGCAAAAAAAAAAAGAAAAGAAAAGAAACTGTGGTATATATATATTCAATGGAATACTCTCAGCCATAAAAAGGAATGAATTAACAGCATTTGCAGTGACCTGGATGAGATTGGAGACTACTATTCTAAGTGAGGTATTCAGGAATGAAAAACCAAAGATCGTATGTTCTCTCTGGTATGTAGGAGCTAAGCTATGAGGAGGCAGAGGCATGAGAATGATACAATGGACTTTGAAGACCTGGAGGGAAGGTGGGAGAGGGGTGAGGGATAAAAGGCAACAAATAGGGTGCAGTGTATACTGCTCGTATGATGGGCACACCAAAATCTCACAAATAACCACTAAATAACTTACTCATGTAACCAAATACCACCTGTACCCTAATAACCTATGGAAAAAAATGAAAAAAAATTAAATTAAAATTTTTTAAAAAGTTAAGGAAGTGGGAGGGAAAACTCCAGAAATATCTGTAGGAGGTGAAGTCAGGGAGGAAGAAGAGAACTCCTGGAGGCCCTGGGCTTGGTGGCCTCCTCCATCCAAGCCCAAGGCAAGGGCCCCTTGGACTAATGTTTAAGTGTAGATTGGGATCCCTGCAGCCATTGCCACAGTCTCACTAAAGCTGCTTCTAGGGAGGGTGGACTGCCTCCGTGCATCCCTGTACATACACCATCTCAATTCTCCATTCCCAGGAACCCTCAAACCTGAGGCTCAGAATAGCTTAGGGAGCCTCCCATATCACTCTTACAAACACAACATTTGCTGTAATTTTCAAGAATGGGAAGTTCCTGGAAGATCTGAAAATATGGATAAACAAAAAGAAGGCAATAGCAATCACTTTGTTTCCACTACCCAGATTTGTGAATTTGTTAGCATCTTCCCTTTTCCAACATTTTTCTCTGTGGAGTGTGTGTGTGTGTGTTTACAAAATCGCACATTTTAAGTTATTTTTGCAACTTGCTTTTTCCATTTAACAATATATTATTACATGTTTCCATGTGATATTGTGTTCTTGAACATCTTTTTTTTTTATTGTGGTGAAACACACATAAAATTTATCGTCAATCATTTTTAAGTGTACTGTTCAGTTACTTTAAATATTATACATTAATATTATACAGCTATCACCACCATCCATCTCCAGAACTCTTTTTATCTTTCAAATCTGAAACTACACCCATTAAGCAACTCCCCATTTCCCCCTTGCTCTGCCCCTGGCAACCACCATTCTACTTTTTATCTCTATGGATTGGACTGGTCTAGGTATCTCATATGAGTGGACTCACCCAATATTTGCCTTTTTGTGACTGGCTTACTTCACTTAGCATAATGTCCTCAGGTTTCACCCATGCTGTAGCATATGTCAGAATTTCCTGTCTTTTTAAGGCTGAATAATATCCATCATACTTCAACATCTTTCTGAAATGACTGCATAGTATTTCTTTTGCAGACAGGCTATGATTTACTTAACTCTTTTTTCTTAGGTGATCACTTGATTTCCATTTTTGAGTATTATAAACAACACAGTAGTGAATGTCTGCCTATCTAAATATTTGCACATATACATGATTCTTTTTTCCCCATGGAATACACTCCTACCTGGAGGCGGAATTGCTAAATCCAATGGTGGAGCCACACCCTTAGTCACCACACAGGGCATGAGCCTTTCACTTTGGCGAGGTGGCCTCTGCTCTAGTTGGTCTCTGACACTTGAAACTTCACCTCTCTTTATCGTACTTAAAATGGCTCTCCAATTACAGTCACAACCCTTCTTAGGGGAAAAAAATGCATCCAAGTGGCTACCACGTTGGATTGAATTGGGTGCTCATCCTGTTTCCTCAGCAAAGGAAAGGCCTTAGGATGTGAAGAGAGGAACCCACATTTTTTCAGTATTTCATATATTACCAGGCCTTTTCATGGCTGTTCCTCCATAGCCTCTCATTCTCCAACATTTGAAGGTCCACCTTATTCTAATTCATTTTTCAAAATTTTGAGATAATTTTAGATTTATGGATGAGTTGTAAAGATAGTACAGCGATTTCTCATGTTCACTAATGTTAAAATCTTGCATAACCACAGTATATTTGTCAAAACTAAGAAAATAGCATTAGTGGACAGGTGCAGTGGCTCACGCCTGTAATCCCAATACTTTGGGAGGCCGAGGCAGAAGGATCACTTGAGGTCAGGAGTTCAAGACCAGCCTGGACAACATGGTGAAACCCCACCTCTCCTAAAAATAAAAAAATGAGTTGGGCATGGTGGCATGCACCTGTAATCCCAGCTACTCTGGAGGCTGAGGTAAGAGAATTGCTTGAACTTAGGAGGCGGAGGTTGCAGTAAGACAGGATTACGCCACTGCACTCCAGCCTGGGCAACAGAGTGAGACTCTGTCTCAAAAGAAAAATAATAAATAAAATAAAATAAAGAAAAGAAAAGAAAATAGCAGTAGTGGCTTGGAGTGGTGGCTCACTCTTATAATCTCAGCACCTTCAGAGGCTGAGGCAGGTGGATCACTTGAGCCCAGGAGTTTGAGTCCAGCCTGGGCAACGTGGCAAAACCCTGTCTCCACCAAAACATAAAAAACTAGTCAGGTGTGGTGGTGGGCTCCTGTAGTCCCAGCTACTCAGGGGCCTGAGGAAGGAGGATTACCTGAGCCTGGGAGACAGAGGCTACAGTGACCCGAGATTGTGCCTCTGCACTCCAGCCTGGGCAACAGAGAGATAGCCCGTCTCAAAACAAAACAAAGCAAAACAAAACAAAAGAAAATGGCATTTGCACTACACTATTAACTACACTACACTATTAGCAGGTCTAGCTATGACCTGTTTTTTCTATGAATGTCCTCCTTCTGCCCAATAATCCAATCCAGGCTTCCACACTGCATTTAGTCTTCATGACTTCTTAGTCCCCTCCAATCTGTGGCAATTTTCAACCTTTTCTTGTTGTCATGACTTTGATGGTTTTGAAGAGAGCTGGTCAGGTATTTGGAAGAGTGTCCCTTCATTTGAGTCTGTCTTATGTTTTCTCCTAGTTACACTAGGATTATAGATTTGCGGGAGAATGAGACAGAGGCAAGCGTCCTCATCACCTTCCATCAGTGGGTGCATGATGCCAGATGACGTCCTTGTTGATGGAAACCTGGACCACGTGGTTGAGGAAGTGCCTGCCAGATTCCTCCTCCATGAAGCTGCTATTTTTCTCTTTCGTTACACAATTGATGAGATGAGAGTCACCAAGTCCAGCTCATACTCAGGGGAGGGGAAGTAAGATCCACTTCTGGAAGTGGATCAAAGCATTTGTGGATCCATATTAAAACCACCATGATAATTAAGAATTATTTTGGCATAGACACTTTGAGGCCATGCCAATAACCTGCTTCTTTTTCAAGTTTTACTCACTAATTTTAGCATCCATCAGTGGATTTTGCCCTCAGCAATTACCACTGTGTTGTTCTAATGGTGATTTTTCTATTCACTCATTCTTTCTACATTATTTAGAAATTATTAAGGAAGATTTGTCTATTTCCTCATTTATTTATTTTTCAATCATTTATTTATATCAGTAAGTACTCACAGATATTTATTTTACTCTCTGGGTCACAAGCAAACACTCTCCTTATTTATTGTATTGCTCAATTTGTTCTGATTTTGGCCATTGGGATTTTTTTTTTCAGGTTGGCCCTTATGCTCTTTCAAAATGCCTCTGACTTGTTATTTTTTGTTCCTTTTTTTTGTGAGAACTTTCTTAATTGCCGGCACTGCAAGATTTTCCAGGCTCATTTTGTAGTTTCTCTGCCCCTGTCCTAGAATCAGCCAATTCTCTGGGGAATCGTGTTTCCATTTATTGGAAAATGGTTTTTAGATAACAAGATTTGGGTGCTGGATGAACTTGTTGCCCTGGGATGTTATGCTTCCAGACCCTCTTGGCAGACAGAGCCAGTGAATATATTCATGTGTGTGCGCAGTCACCCTTGAATGTCCACACACTGACATTTATTTCAGTATCTGAAATATATACTTTCAGTATATATTTTCAAATATATTTCAGTATATATATATATATATATATATATATATATATATATATATATATTCATACAAATGATTTTTCTCACAAATTTTTTTGTTTCAGACTTGGTTTCCTAAAGTCAAGAAAAGCCTAAACCACAAGAAAAACTCATATGTGTGTTGATAAGTAGTAGATACAAGCTTCAGACCCCAACCTCCATTAAGCAAGACATATCTATTCCTTTATTTTTCTTGAAATATGACTAAATCTTTATGCTTTCAGGATGGTGTAGAACTGGATCTCAGGCAGTCTTGTAATCTCTTGCTCTCCTAGATTACACCCCGAGGGTCATCCAAGTGATAGGAAGGGCTGCTAGACTGAGATTCATCATAGAGGCTGCAGGCTTCCTCACTGTCTTAGCTGGCAGTGGCCCAGTGGACCTGGAAGCTCTCTATTCCCATGACCCGAGAGGGATACAGGAATTTTAGCCAAGGCTGAGAGCCCCAGTGCTTGGGTTCACCCTCTATTCCTTGTCTGGTCTCACTCCTCCTCTGGGTTCTTTGTTTCTACTCCCAACCACTCCTCTCCCTGTCTCCACATACTTGCTTAGCCTCTGAGAAATCTCTCTCTTTCCTCTTGTTGCCAACAAAGGCTCTTAGGATAACCTCTTTAATACAGTCAGATTTTAGGAAAGCAAAGGCCAGAAAAGAAGAGCCTAGGCCTGCTATTGCCTCCAGTGGTTACTCCAGTGGAATTAGGAGGAAGGAGGCCAACACACCTGTGTCCAAGTTCTCATCTGGGTGGCATTTCCAAAGCCCTCGTCTGGTAAACAGAAATGTTTATCAATTTTGGCGGAAATAATTGTACTTGTGCACCCTGTCTTTTTGAATCAGACAACATCAGTGGTGTTGGGTCACAGGATGGTGTGCGATGAAGCAGGAAAATCACTGATAAAAGAATGCTCCTCGAGAATCTGGGTCTTGAAGGATGGTCTCCACTCTCTTGGAAATTCCACCCAGGCTCATTCCAAACTGTCTTGGGTGATTGAACAACTAGTGATTTGGTTACCGGACTCTGCTGCACTGTGAGGCTCTTTCATAGGAGGGAAAGCCACTACTGTTTTTTGGATTTAGACTCAACACAACTGTCCTGAGGGAGGTGATGGAAGGGACAGGTGTAGTGGCTGCCCGTACCTGGGACCATGGTCCCACCTTTGTTGGAGCCATAGTTCTTTAATAACAGCTATTTTCTTTGGGTTATAAACCTTATAACCCTAAGATTTTGTGTTCAGTATAAAACAAAGAATAACAAAAATTATGATGAAGAAGATAAAAGTAATCTATTGTTCAACTACTCAAAATAAATGCTGAAATATTTTTTAAAAAATTTTCCTGTGGAATTTTCCAAAAACTGGGAGGTAGTATGGCCTGTGGTTCCAGGTGTCCCTGGGAACCACCTTGCTGTGTTTGATTTCTGTTTCTTCAGTGAGGAACTGTGTGGCCTTTGGTAGTTTTCTTAATTCTACTGATCCTAATTGTCTTGATGTATCAAATGGGGATAAATATACCACGTATTAGTTTTCTAGAGCTGCTGCAAGAAACCACCACAAACTAAGTGGCTTAAAAGAACAGAAGTTTATTCTTTTACAGTTCTAGAGTCCACAAGTTTGAAGGCTCTAAGGGAGGAGGCCACCCCTCATATTGTCTTATGCCCAATTTCTGCCTCCAAAGAAGGAAGAAGTAAAAACTAAAAGGCAAAAATGAAATCCACAGGCAGACAGCCCAGCGCTGCACCCTGGCCCTGGTAGTTAAAGATCGACCCCTGACCTAACCGGTTATGTTATCTATAGATTCCAGACATTGTTTGGAGAAGCACTGTGAAAATCCCTTTCCTGTTCTGTTCCGTTCTGATTACCGGTGCATGCAGCCCCCAGTCACTTACCACCTGCTTGCTCAATTGATCAAGATCCTCTCACACGGACCCCCTTAGAGTTGTAAGCCCTTAAAAGGGACAGGAATTGCTCACTCAGGGAGCTCGGTTTTTGAGATGTGAGTCTTGCCAAAGCTCCTGCCTGAATAAAGTACCTTCCTTCTTTAACTCAGTGTCTGAGGGGTTTGTCTGCGGCTCGTCCTGCTACAGCTCTAGGGGAGAATCCTGTCTTGCCTTTTTGCTAGCTTCTGGTGTCTGTTAGCAAGCCTTGGTGTGCCTTGTTTTCAAGGTGAATCATCACCCCAATCTCTGCCTCCATCTTCACACAACCCTGTCCCCTATGTGCCTGTGTCCAAATTTCCCTCTTCTTATAAGCACACCAGTTATCACGTTACGACCTATTCCCTAATCCAGCATGAACTTAACTTGATTGCTTCTGCAAAGACCTCATTTCCAAGTAAGATCATAGTCACAGGTCTGCACAGACATGAATTTTGGGGACACTAATTCAACCCAGTATATACCTTCCTCATAGGGTTGTTTCAAGAAATAAATGAAATGCTTGTTCCAAAGCACCTAGCACTGTGCATGACAGGACATAAAATAGCCACTCAGTAAAAGACAGCTTTAGCCAGCTGTGGTAGTTCACACCTATAGTTGGGAGGCTGAGGTGGGAGGATCACTTGAGCCTAGGAGTTTGAGGTAGCCTGAGCAACATAGCAAGACCCTGTCTCTAAAAAGAAAAGAAAAGAAAAAAAGAAAAGTGGAAAGGAAGGAAGAAAGGAGGAAGGAAAGAAAGGAAGAAAAAAATGTAAACAGCTCTATATCCACTGAATAGAGCTCAATATTTAAAAAATAAATAAATGACAGTTTTTTTTAGCATTCCAGTTAAAAATATCTATCTATATATAACCATCTCTATAGCTATATTTCCATAAAACATGCCAGAGGTGTGGTGTGGTGTTGAGACAGCAAAATGCCCAGGAAGATAAAAAGGGGTCCGCTGCGAATCTCCGACCAGCCCCGCGAGTGTTTGCATGGATGCTTTTGTGCAGATGAGGGAACCTGCCCAGGGCTTGTCTGAGCATGCTCACAGCAGACCGGTGCCCAACATGCGCACTGGGGGAAGTAGGTGGAGCCACGGGGAATTCACGCGGTTTGCAGCGGGGAGGAGCCTGGCTTCTCCTGTTCTTGTGTGGTGACCTGGAATTCAATTTGTGAGATGGAAAACCTGCTAGCAGGACTCTCTCTTGCTTTGCTGAGAGTTATTTTTCCCTTTTCCTTTTCGCCAAGTGAATTCCGTTCCCCTCACCTTTCAAAGTGTCTGCATGCCTAACTTTTCCTGTCATGTGACAAGAACCCGTTTTTTTTTTTTCTACAACAGTGTGAACTGGAAAATATGATACATATGTATGTATACACTGTATAGTACTAATTAGAGCTGTGCTTCATGAAGCCTCTGCCCTGCTTGTTAGAATAACTGCTCTATTTTTCCTTATGCTATTAAAACGTAACATAAAATATCAAACACCTGAGTTTTGACGTCTATCGTTTTCCACTATATGAATGCAGTCATTTACCTAACGCTTCCCCTGCTGTCTGACAGCTGATGTGTTCAGGCCCTTTCTAGGTATCACTGCTTCTGCAATGAACCCATCAATGCTAAGCCCCATGCAGACACATGGGAGACACATTTGTGCCCTGGCCATCCCCAGAAAGGCAGCAGCATGTCATGTGCTTCCGTTCCTTGCCTGTGCCTCTTATTCTGCTTGTCTTCACCATTTGTGACATTTGCTTCACCTGAAGGTTTTAATTCTCACCCCGTCTCCAGAATAAGTTTTAAAGGATCCCCCTCAGCTGGACGACCACCATTCCTACTGCATTTAATGTCTCAAATTACCTTTGTCTAAAATGTCACTTGTCCCTGAATTTATTTCTTGATAGAAGTTGAGGATAAGCTGCTTTGATCAGGAGTGCTTTAAGGCTATAGGAATTGGGACTTGCTGTTCCTCAACCCTCCTGGGTGCCAGGCAGGAGCGGTGAAGGCCCTTACAGCACTCTGGGTTCACGCTGCTCCTGTGCTTTAAGCAGGTCCCCGTGTGCTCCCTCAGAAAAGTTGGGGGTCTCCAGAGAGGCACACCCTCAGCCACCTGCTTCTGGGCACACATGGGAGACTCTTCTGGAGAGGTGTTGCTCCTACGGCACATCTCCGCGGAGGCTGATTGCTTCTCAATAAATACATCAATAGTATAGCAACCAGAACACAAATTACACTTGTCTAGTTTCCTATTACTATGTAACAAATTACCACACATCAAAGAAATTTGTGAAGAAATACAGACAGTGAGACTTCTGGAATGATGGAGTAAGGAGCTCAATGAACCCTCTGTCCAACAAAACAATTTACTGGGTGATATTATTTTAAAAGATCATTTAAAGTTTCTGGAAATTGTTCTAAGGCCATACAGCAAATGGAGAAACATTTATTTCTCCATTGGTAGAGAAAATCTACCAATTCCTGGTGAGAACAGTGAGAGTCTGTTGCATTTGAGCTATGGCCTTCTGTGTTAACCTCTACCCAGGGTGTATGCAGCCAAGAAGTCAGGGGTATCCTGTCCCCTAGATCTTAGTCTGGGGTTACAGTTCCATCCTTGGATGGGCAGGCAGTAGCATTTCTTATCCCCCCAGCCCTATGTTACGGAAGCTCTATTTCAGACCAGCACAGCTGAAGGGGCTATGTCTTGCTTACTCTACCCAACCCCCACTCATACAATAGAAACTCTGCTCCAGATGTGACAGGTCAAGTGTGCAGGGGTCCCAATCACTCCCTGTCCCAGATCACTTGAAGGATAGAAGTGTCATGCTGGGAGGGTCAGACTGTGACGACCAGGAGGTACCCCTAGCCCCACCAGGGCCCACTTATAAAGTGGGAAGCTCACTCTTGTAGAAGCAGGACCCAGCCTTTTTGCTGTGATGCAGAGATGCTGGGGTTTTGTCCAGAGGTATAGGTAGGCCACAAGGTAGCTCTGCAGTCTTGCTGGGGAGGACTGGCTTTATTTGGAACAGAAAGTAGGGAATCCGTGCCTGAGGGTGTTGGGGAAAACAGTTTACATGTTTGTGGGTAGAGAGCAATTAATAAGAGGCAGGTAGCTCTAAGACACAGTAAAATGAACAGAAACATATAAAAGGTAGGGCACCACTAAACATACCAATGCACAAATAATGGGAGTACCGGAAGGAGAGGAGAGTGAGAAAGGAGCAGAAAAAACTATTTGAAAGAAAAATATGACGGAAAACTTGCCAAATTTGAAGAAAAACATTTTCTCATATATACAGAAAGCTCAACAAACTCCAAGTATGATAAACACAAAGTTATCTACACTGAGACACACATATCATAGTAAATATATTGAAAGACAAACGGGAAAGAGAAAATCTTCCAAGCAGCAAAAGAAAAATGAGTCATGATGTACAAAATTAATAGCTGACTTCTCAGCAGAAATAATGGTGGCCCAAATGTTGTGGGATAACGTACTCAAAATGCTGAAAGAAAAGATAAACAACTACCAAACCAGAATCTCATATCCAGCAAAAACTATCCATTAAGAGAGAAGGAGATTCCCAGATTTAAAAAAAAAAAAAACACAACTGAGAAAATGTATTGGTTGAAGACCAACCTCATAAGAAATACTAAAGGAAGTTCTTCAGGCTGAAAGGCACCACACAGTAATTTAAATCCACATGAAAAAACAGTGTGCCAGTAGAAGTAACTATACGAGTAATTTAAAAGATAGTAAAATGTGATATTTCTTCTCCTTCTTTCTCCTGACTGATTTGAGAAACAATTATATAAAATTATTCATCTATCTATCTGTATTTTGGGGCCTATAACACATGAAATAAAATATATTTGACAATGACAACAAAAATGAGGTGGTTGAATAAACTCTAAAAAATACTATACTTACTAATCTTTTTTCTCCAAACTTCTTTAAAAGATACAAAATTATATAAAGTAAAAATTATAGCAATATATTACTGGGTTTGTAACATCTATAGACATGATATGTATAACAATAATTGTACAGAAAAGGGAAGAGGCAATATACAAATCCCACTTTAATTATGTTTAGCAATACTTTAGAATTAATCTGAAATAATTATAATACATTGGTATGTATATTGTAAGCTCTAGAACAACAACTAATAAAATAACTTTTAAAAACAGTTAAAAATAATCAAAGAAATTAAAACGTTACACTACGAAATGTTCACTATATGCAAAGAAAGCAAAGAAAAAAAAAGCAGGACACCAGAAAACAAAAGTAAAATGACAGACATATTAAACAGCCAATTAAAGGCCAGCATTATCCAAATACTAAAACCATAAAAAGACACACAAAGAAAAAATTCTGCCGAGCAGTATCCGTTATGAACACAGATGTAGAACTTCTTAACAAAACACAAGCAAACTTAATTGGGCAACATATAAATGGTATTATTCCATGACCACGTGGGATTTATTCCAAGAATCCAAAGTTAGTTTAACCATTCAAAAGCAATTTGTGTAATGCAATATATTAATGGAATAAAAAAAAGTGACCACATCAATAGATGCAAGAAAAAATCACTGGACAAAATCCAAAACCTTTTCATAATAAAACCACTCAACAAACAAGAAAAAGAAGGGAACTTCCCCAACCTGATAAAGGCCATCAATGAAAAAGCCACAGCTAACATTATACTTAATAGTGAACACTGAATGATTCTCCCCTAACATCAGGAACAAGACAAAAATGCTATTATCACTTTTATTCAACCTTGTACTGGAAGTTCTAGCTAAGGCAATTATGAAGAAAATAGAAAGAAAAGCAGCCAGTTTGGAGAAGGGGCAAAACTACAATTCGCGGATGGCATGACATTGCATACAAAAATGTCCTAAGGAATCCACTATAAAAATCCATCATGAGAACTAATAAGTTCAGCAAGGTCTCAGAACACAAGATCAATGTACAAAGTCCATCATGTCTCTATACATTAGCAATGAATATTTTGAAAAAGAAATTAAAGGAAACAATTTTCAATAGCATCAAAAGAATAAGAGACATAGGAATAAATTCAATAAAAAAGTGCAAAACTTTTATACTGAAACTATAAAATATTGTTGAAAGTAATTACAGTAGATCTAAATATATAGGAAGCTACTCCATGTTCATGGTTTATGAGAGTTAATATTGGCAAGATTGTCATGCTCCCCCAAATCATCTACAAATTCAATGCAATCTATATCAAAATCTCAGTTGGCTTTTTTGGCAGAAATTGACAAGCTGATCTTATAATTTGTGCAGAAATGCAAGGAACTCAGAATAGCCTAAACAATCTTGATAGTAAAAAACTAAGTTGAAGAACTTACACTCTAATTTCAAAACTTACTACAAAGCTGTAGTAATCAAGACTGTGTGGCACAGGTGTAAGGATAAACATATGTATCAATGGAATAGAATTGAGAGTTAAAAATAAATCTTTACATTTACAGTCAACTTATTTTTACAAGGGTACAAAGACAATTCAATGGGAGAAAACACTGTCTTTTCAGAAAATGGTACTAGGAAAAATGAATATCAACTGCAAAAAAAAATGAAGTTGGTCTCCTACCTCACACAATACACAAAAGCAAACTGAAAATGGATCATCTATCTAAATGTAAGTGCTAAGTCTATAAAACTATTACAAGAAAGTATAGCAGTAAATCTTCATGACGTTGGGTGAGGCAATAGTTTCTCAACTATTAACAATAGTTAACTGTTAATAATAGTTAACAATGACACCAAAAACATAGGTTACAAAAGAAAAAAAAACAGATAAATAAGACTTTATCAAAACTAAAAACTTTGTGCTGCCAAAGATGCATCAAGAAAGTGAAAAGAATGGGTGAAAGCATTTGCAAATCATGTATCTAACAAGGAACTTGTTTTTAGAATATATAAAGAGTTCTTACAACTCAATATTAAAAAGATAAATGACCCAATTTAAAAATGAGCAAATGATTTGAACAAATATTTCTCCAAAGGAGATAGACAAATGTTCACCAACTTATACATTAATAAATAAAATGTATTATACTATACACATTTTATGTATGTAATATTATTCATCCATAAAAAAGGAATGAAGCCATAATACATGCTACAACATGGATGAACCTTGAAAACAATATGGTAAGTGAAAGTATGTAGTCACTAAAGACCTCATATTATATGATTCCATTAATATAAAATGTCCAAAATAGACAAGTCTATGGTGACAGAAACTAGGTTTGTGGTTACTTAGGGCTGGGCAGGAAAGAAAGCGAAATATGGAGTCAGCTAATGAGGACTGGGGTTCTTTTAAGAGAAGTGAAAGTGTTCTAAAATTAGATAGTGTTGACGATTTCATAACTCTGTGAATATATTACACTATAGTATGTTGGATTGTATACTTTTAATGGGTGAATCGTATGTGTGTAAAATACAGCTATTTTTTAAACACACCCACTCACACAACTACCCATCTATTATCTCATGGTATCCAGGAGTCAGAAGTCTGGGCATGGCTCACCTGAGTCCTCTGCCAAGGAACTTGCAAGGTTGGGGTCCAATCAGGCCATGTCCTTATCTGAAACTTGGGGTTCCCTTCCAAGCTCTCTGGCTGCTGGCAGAATGTGGCTCTTTGTGATAGCAGGATTGAAGCCCAAGGCCTTCTGCATTTCCCAGCCACCCCACATGGCCCTGTCCTTGGTTACAAGATGGCATTTGCTTCCTCAAGGGCCACGACAGTGTCTCCCTGTGTACGCAGCAAGACAAAACCTTGTACGGTATATACACATACAGCAACTTCATCTCGCAAGGGACAGCCCATCACCTTGCCAGATCCCATTGGGAGGGTCACAGGTCCTTCCCACACTCAAGGGGAGGCAATCACATGGGGGAACACACCAGTGGGAGACCCCAGGAGCCATCCGGAATTCTGCCTAGCCCCCATCTCTCTCTCTCCCCTTACAGTTGTTCATTCTGCAGAGAATTTTTTTTCTTGAGTTGAGCAACTTATTTTTAAAGCTGATTTTCTGCCAGAAACTTCTTAAAGGAGCCAATTTCTCTTTTTCTCTCTTGTTCCTCTCTCTTTCCTCATTAAGCTCTCCCTCTCAACATTTTAAGCCCTTCAGAATAAGGTACACTAGTTTTAAACAGGTATGGCACAATCTCTTTATAACAGCTCATTGAGAATTTATAGAATTTTCAGCATTTTAGAGCAGAGGTAGCCTGCTGAGAGACCTGTGTGTTTAAAATTCTAATAGTCTTGGGGGAAATAAGACTCCCTCAAAACATTTCCCATCGTATGCTCCTGTAAAAAGTTCCCCCACAACCTCTTAAAGACTTCTTGCAGTTAATTTGGAAAAGTTATCTCATGGATTATTTCGTGTGTATGAAGACCTGAAATGATGGTGTGAGTTTCAGGGGACTCACAGACAGTCTTCATTCTGTACCATTCCTCACCTCAACTGCTGACACGCAGCTTGCAGACCCACCCCACAGCTCCTGTCCAGGCTCAGTGGCCATACTCTCTACACACCCCTGTCCCCCAGGAGACAGGACTGAGGCAGACACACTCTGAAGCAATGGTTTTCATCGTCTCTGCCTGCTTGATGGTTTTCATTTTATTTATTTATTTTTTTTTTTGAGAATGAGCTTAGGCAGTCCTCAAATGAGGGGCCCACAGATGCTATGGATTTGACCTGCATAGATAGTGTTTGGTAGGGGTAAGAACAAAAGAAAACGCCCCTCAGAAACTCTGAAATCCAGTGCCACCTGTGTGACAGATAGCAGACCCAGGGCCAGTGAAACTGCCCTCTGTGGAATGCAAGCATGCGGGTGACTTCTCTTGTTCCTGGACACCTGGCCCATGACCACACTGTTCACAGCAGGGCTCTTTCCTCCTCTGCCCAGGAAAGATGCTGGGAAAGGCTGTGGGGTTGATTTACAATGTTTCCAGGAGTACTGCTGTCACCAGGAAGCCATGGCCTTTGGCAGCGTGGCCCTGCAGGGTGTGAGGGGCATCTGGGCAGCAGGCGGGTTGGTGCTGCCAGGGAGTGTCCCCTGCACAGTCCACTTGCCTCCAGCCAAGGGGAGAGCTGATCTATTGGGAGCAAGAGAAACAGAGTTGGGGGGCACGTGAGGAAGTAGTCCATACGTCGGGACATGAGTGTTGGTCAGTCATAGGGAGGTTCTGGAAGATTTGGGGTTTGTTAATGATGATCCAGTCTTCCCAGGAAGGGTATGAGATGGGGATTGAGGCCATTAGTCAGATTAATGTTTCCCAAGAGAAGAACAGGCTTGTTAGTTTTGGGACACAGATGGAGGAAGGGCTGGGGGATATTTGTGGTCTGCTGAGAATGAATCGCTTGCCCAAATGACTCTGAACTGCCGAATCATCTCCCTGAAAGGATTCTCCAGTGAGAGTAACCCCCTTGCTGTTCCAGTCAAATGCCTTTGAAAATATTTCTAAAGTGCATTATTCCAAAGGCTACTTAAAGTTATGTATCTTAAGGGTTTCAAATAATTCTATTGACCAAGATGCTATTGATCTTGACAAGAATTGGCTTAAATCTGAAATAAAAATAAAAGCTGGCTTGTTGAAGACCTGAATGAGGCTCTCTCTCCTGCATGAAGGCAGGCAGTGGGTGCCACTGGCCAGGAAGGGGTGGAGAGTATGCTACCAGTGCCATCTACCAGAGCCCAGGGGCGGAGGCCCGCTTTTGGGGGTTTATGAGATCACTGGGCTTGGGACCCTGGTCGGCCCCTGATGTGGAGTCCACCTGGCGTTTACTGCCTCTGTGTCCTTCGAGTTTGAGTTCACCCATGAATGAAATGACATGTATGAACATTCTTCATAAACTAAAATACTTGTGGGCTCTCATACTCAAAAAACCTGTGGAGCATTCCCCACGCTGACCATCAGTCATGGAAGGAGTGTGCAGCCTATCAGAGACACAAGCTCCTGCGCCACACGTTATGACCTTTCCCCCAGGAGACAGCCCGAATGAGTCCTTTCCATTTGCCCAATAATGGAGTGAAGGGCCTGTGAGGCAGCCTGACCCTCCAGGCTGGTGATGGCAGCTACTCAGCTGTGGAGCTGGTTGCAACTGCTCATTCTTCTACAGCAGGAGTCCCCAACCCCCAGCTACAGACCAGGATTGTCTGGGGCCTGTTAGGAAGCAGGTCACACAGCAAGAGGTGAGCATTGGGCAAGCAAGCATTACCACCTGAGCTTTGCCTCCTGTCAGATCAGCAGCAGCAAAAGATTTTCATAGGAGCATGAACCCTATTGTGAACTGTGCATGCGAGGGATCTAGGTTGTGTGCTCCTTATGAGAATCTAACTATTGCCTGATGATCCAAGGTGGAACAGTTCCATCCTAAAATCATCCCCACTACTCCCACCGGCTGTGGAAAAATTGTCTTCCATGAAACCGGTCCCTGCTGCCAAAAAAGTTGGGGACCACTGTCCTACAGTACTTTCTCTGAATTTCAGATTCATCCTTTCTAGTTCTTGTTTCTGACCAAAAAAGGCCCAGACACCCCGCTAAGTAACCATCATCAGCTTTTAACATGTGTTTCCAGGGTATCAGCATATGATACCCTGGAAATAACTCTTAGGGATTTGTGCAAGACTAGCATGGGAAGCTCCTCGGAGGTCATGTGTGTGACCCCCCAGAGGTTGCGTGTGTGGCTCCCAGCCCCAAGTCCCCCCGACCCCCACCCCAGAGGCCGTGTGTGTGCCTGCCTGGAGCACAGGCTCTGGGTTCATTCCTCTGCAGCTCCAGCTGGCCCGTCCTGGGCAAGTAGATTAACCACTCTTGGCTGTCTAAACAGAGAACATGTGCTGTGCTTATTCCTGGTCTTGTTGAAAGCCATTTTTTTCACAATCAGTCAAGTGGCTTCTGACTATGACTTGGCTTCCCGTGTAGCATAGCCACGGAAACCCATGTGAGTGGCCCAGTGAGCTCCAGGTAGGTGCTTCAGTCTTAGGAGCATTGAGGAAGGGGGACCTTTTCAGAGACTGAGTCTGGACCCTGGCAAGGGTTGACCCAACTGTCTGAAGGCAGCATAGACACGGCTGGCCCTTGGTATAGCCATGTCATTTCCTGTCTGATTGCCACATCCACTGGTGACACTGTGCACTCAGACGATGGCCTCATCGGCCACCCGCAGGCACAGTGAAGCCACAGTGCCGGAGGCTGGCCTTCAATATAGCCATGTCATTTCCTGTCTGATTGCCACACGCATTGGTGGCACCATGCACTCAAGATGATGGCTTCGTCGGCCACCCACAGGCACAGTGAAGCCACAGAGCCAGAGTCGCTGCAGCCCCCGCTGCACCATTGACAAGCCAGGACTCACACGGTCAACTCCTCGGGCCTAGAAAACAGCAGAAAGGGAAAGACATATGGAGCACATCCTGGCCTTGGTCTGTGATCAATGGGGACGTCCAGCCGCAGAGATGTAGGGCTGCAGTGAGGTTCCTGAGGGTGAAGAAGTCTGTTCTCTGCAGACAGCTGAGGAGAGAAAAGCAGAAAGTGGTGAAGTATCTGAAGGAGAAGAGGAGAGGAGCATGCCTGCTTCGAGCTCTGTGTGAGCAGATGAGGAACACACTTAAACACATGCCTGGGAACACCTGGAGGAAAAATGGCTTCATCAACCAGAGTCTTGCAGGTGAAGTGTTCTCTCTCATCCTGTGTGCTATGAAGCTGGGGTGGCACCAATGAGCCTGAAAGCTACAGTGCAGAAAAGGCAAGGGTTCAGAACTCAGGCTGCTGTGGTCCCCAAGATTAGCAACTGTGGTCAGCAGTGGGTGATGCCATGTGTACGACTATGTCTTAAAACCACCTTCAGACCAGAGATCCCACACTTCCTAATTTCCTAAAATTCTGTCACTGCATGGACCACATGTAGACAGGTATATAAGCATTTATAATCCAACGAGGGAGAGCACACTAAAAGACTGAAAAAAAAGAGAGAGAGAGAGAAAGAGAAAAGACCCATCCTGCTCTGAATTTTAGTGGGTGTTTTGTTGGAAGAAAGTGAAAATAAGAATAGACAGAAAAGGCAAAGGTAAGAAACCTAGAAAATAAAAAAAAATCTGAAAATCAGAGAAAGTTAAAAACATAAAGCAAAACCACACAGGAGAAAGAAGAAGAAAAGGGGAATAACCAAAGCAAATGAGAATATCTGAGAGACAAGAAAATCCTTTAGGCACAGCTAAAAATAGAAAAAGTAGCTCTTTTTATACATCTTCATTTAGGAGATTATCTGAACACTGAGATTTGAGGCATCTGACTTTGAGGTATCATGTGTACATAAAAGTAATCAAATGAGCCATTTAAGCATGTTTCCTTGAAATAAAATGTTAGTTTTCAGTTCTTCCTTTGAGTTGACGAAAGATATGCATTCTCATAGAGCCCCACTTTATTATTTTAGTATAAGATTGGAAAAAGCATATTATATGTTTAGTAAATTGGATTCAAATGAGACAATGTATCAGAAAATGGAATTTTTAATTTGGTTTTAAAATGTTCCTATTTAAGAGATGGTCAAACAGGTGTGAGACAGAAGAAAAGAACATCAAAGCGGGTGGGGCCAACGAACCCTCACGTCTCTGCAGATGGAAACAAGGCCGTGGTTATTGCGGTCTCACGTGCTGTGCATCTTCAGGGCTCTCGCTTGTGAACTTTCTGGCCTATAACATTGCAGCTAAACCTCAAAGATCAAGGCTCAGGCACTGTGTTTGCCTGGAGGTCGTTTACTGCTTCCACCCAGTCAGCTCTTGTGGTTCATTAGTTTTGCTGCAGCAGCGGAGAGGGAAGGAGTTTGACTGTGCAAATGGTGCCCGCAGAGCCTCCAGGCACACACAGGGCAGATCCTTTCTAGAATTTTTTATAGCTTGCATCATTCAATAGCTCCAGGCTGTCCCCAAGCCCCATCTTTCGGGTTTGATGGGTTGAATTGTGTCCTTTCAGAATTCATAGGCTGAAGTCCTAACCTGTATCCACACCCTTCTTCCTTTCACTTGTGTGTGTATCATTTTCTGGATATTTGTAAATGTTTAGGCTCCTAGGCCCTCCCCATGCCCACTAATCCCTAGCTGGCCCCTCAAACAGGTGGCAGATGCTGTTACAATGCCCATTGTGCTTAGTACATCGGTGGGCCTGGATGATCTGAGGCCATCAGTCCGTGGTCACTTTGGGGGTTCAATGTTAACTTTGGTGCTGAAAACACAGTTTGCAGACCTTCAGCACAGGGATCGCCCGGGAGCCTTTTAGATATGCAGAATCTTAGGTCCCACCCCAGACCCACTGAATAAGACTCTGCATTTTAACAAGATGCTGGAGTATTTCACATGCACTGTCCTTAGACCATGTGAGGGACTAAGTTCCTAAGCAGCCAGTCTCCTATTATGCCACCCAAAGGAGAACTCTTTGCTCTAATAAAGCAACTGAATTCCACAGAATCTCTAGAGTCTTGAGGCTATTTTCTTCCTATTAAAAACTATTATCAAATTTTGATCCTTACATTATCACCCTCCTCTGCATCATCATTTTCTGATTCATACAAATAAACTTTGCAGTGGAGTAGACCCTACAGTTGGGAAGTTGGCTCCAGCACATCTGCTAAGAATTTGCTGGGAATGTATACCTTCCCAATAACATTCCTCTTTTGCTGCTGATGAAAGTTCTACACCTTTCAGATGTGTGTGTGTGTGTGTGTGTGTGTGTGTGTGTGTGTAGAAGGTTAATTGATGCTTTTTAAAAATGTGGCCCATTTGAAGCTTTGAAAAGACATGCTCCTTTTCCCACTAAAGTGATGGCCAACCTATCTCTGCCATCTCAGAGACTGGCTCCCTGTGACACTTGCAGAATTATTCCACTGTGTCCCTCCTTCTGCCAGACACAACCAGCCACCTTTCCCTCTTGAATCTTTGGACTTACCTTCCAGTGGCTGAAAGGGCCAAGCTTACGTGTGTTCCTAGGAACAGTCTGCCTACAAGTTATCACCTCCATACCCCAAGAATGAGCATCTGCTCCTTAAGCTCCCCCATCCAAGACACTGGAAATTTCTTCAATGCAGGGAAAAACATTTTACTTCATTATTAGGAGATGGACTTGAAATCAAGGTAGACCTGTGGTACACTGACAGGCCCCACCAGGTGGAGGTAATGAGATGCTGGAAAGCAGGGCTGGGTCTTTGGAAACAGGAATACCAGGATATGGGGCCTCCAGCAATGCATGAGGAGGTGAAGCTAAGGGTGTCAAGTTCAGCCTCACCAATTTCTTAACTGTACTGGAGCATTTTGGACTGTTCTAACATGGGATTTCTCTTTGTCAGTTAGGAGAGGAGTGGCCCTCTTCTCAGCAATGCCTTCCTGTCAGGGTGGTCTATTCATGAGTCACAGCCTTAAGTGAGGTCAGGTCACTTGCTGGCCCTTCATCCTCCACATAGGACTTTGGCAGACCCTTATCCCTTCCCAGCCCAGGTTTCTTGATCAATGGTACACATGATCACACCTGCCATGGGGTTTATAACTGGTAGAACAACTCTGATGAAAATGTCTGGACTTTTCAAAACACACCAGCTTTATTCCAGGATGGCCCCAGAATTTCCCAGAGATCCAAACAGAATCCTGGAAATCTGTTAAGCTTTGGATGCCCAGGACTGCACAGGTTTCTTAGTAGCATGAGAACAAGGAGAGCATGGTTCATGAGGTGAAAAAAATGCAAGAAATAAGGCTTAGAAATAAAAATAATGCAAGCAACCATTTCTGAAAGACTAGATGTACTCTGGAGATGGCCTGCTCTGTACAAACACATTCATAAAGTATTGCAGAACTTGGCAGTGGGTGCCATCTATGAAGCTCCTGAGTGTCAGTCTTTTCCTCTATATAATGGGGATATTAACATCACTTGGATTTAATGATTTGGTGCCACCACCAACACTGATATGATTTGCTGTGTCCCCACCCAAATCTCATCTAGAATTTTAGCTTCCACAATTCCCACATGTTGTGGGAGGGACCCAGTAAGAGGTAACTGAATCATGGGGGTAAGTTTTTCCTGTGTTGTTCTTGTGATAGTGAATAAGTTTCACAAGATTTGATGGTTTTATAAGGGGAGATATCTCTGCACAAGCTCTCTCTCTTTGCTTGCTGCCATCCATGAAAGACATGACTTGCTCCTCCTTGCCATCCACCATGATTGTGAGTCCTCCCCAGCCACAAGGAACTGTGGGTCCATTAAACCTCTTTCTTTTGTAAATTGCCCAGTCTCAGGTATGTCTTTATCAGCAGCATGAAAACGGACTAATACAGTAAATTGGTACCAGTAGACCAGGGTGCTGCTAAAAAGATACCCAAAAATGTGGAAGCAACTTTGTAACTGGGTAACAGGCAGAGATTGGAACAGTTTGGAGGGCTCAGAAGAAGACAGGAAAATGTGGGAAAGTTTGGAACTTCCTAGACACTTGTTGAATGGTTTTGACAAAAATGCTGATAATGATGTGGACAATGAAATCCAGGCTGAGGTGGTCTTAGATGGAGATAAGGAACTTGTTGGGAACTGGAGTAAAGATGACTCTTGTTATGTTTTAGCAAAGTGACTGGAGGTATTTTGCCCCTGCCCTAGAGATTTGTGGAACTTTGAACTTGAGAAAGATGATTTAGGGAATCTGGCAGAAGAAATTTCTAAGCAACAAAGCACTCAAGAGGTGACTTGAGTGCTGTTAAAGGCACTCAGTTTTATAAGGGAAGCAGAGCATAAAAGTTTGGAAAAATTGCAGCCTGACAATGTGTAGAAAAGGAAATCCCATTTTCTGAGGACAAATTTAAGCTGGCTGCAGAAATTTGGGTAAATAATGAGAGGCTGAATATTAATCCCCAAGACAATGGGGAAAATGTTTCCAGGGCATGTCAGAGGGCTTCACAGCAGCCCCTCCTATCACAGGCCTAGAGGACTAGGAGGAAAAAGTGGTTTAATGGGCTGGGACCAGGGTGCCCTTGCTCTGTGCAGCCTAGGGACTAGGTGCCCTGCATCTCACTCACTCCAGCCATGGCTAGAAGGGCCCAAGGTATAACTCAGGCCATTGCTTCAGAGGGTGCAAGCCCCAAGCCTTGGCAGCTTCCACATGGCATTGAGCCTGTGAGTGCATGGAAGTCAAGAATTGAGGTTTGGGAACCTCCACCCAGATTTCAGATGATGAATGGAAACACCTGGATGCCCTGGCAGAAGTTTGCTGCAGGGGTGGGGCCCTCATGGAGAACCTCTGCTAGGGCAGTACAGAAAGGAAATGTGGGGTCACAGCTCCCACACAGAGTCCCTACTGGGGCACTGCCTAGTGGAGCTTTGAGACGAGGGCCACTATCCTTCAGTCCCCAGAATGGTAGCTCCACCAACAGCTTGCACCATGCACCTGGAAAAGCTGCAAACACTCAACACCATCCCATGAAAGCAGCCAGGAGGGAGATATATACCCTGCAAAGCCACAGGGCAGAGCTTCCTAAGACCATGGGAACACACCTCTTGCATCAACATGACCTGGATGTGAGACATGGAGTCAAAGGAAATTATTTTGGAGCTCTAAGATTTGACTGCACCACTGGATTTTTGGGTGGGTGTCTCCCTCTCTCTGTGCAGTCCTGGCTTCTTCCTCTAGATGAATCTTCTCTTCATTGTCTCTCTGCAGGGTGTCTCCACCAGGGAGCTGTGCTTTATACAGCATGGTTCAGGGACCCCCAAAAGCACATGGCTTGGGCTGCCAGGTCTTCCTAGGGTTTATTCTGGAAGTAGCACTACATTATTTCTGCCACCTTCCATTGAAAACAGGTCCCAAGCCCAGCCCAGATTCAAAGAGAGGGGATCACCCAAAGGCTCGGATCCTGAGAGGGGTGGCCATTGGGGACATGAGGCTACTCCTACTCATATCTTCACTTCCATCTTTGTACCCCATTGGAGTCAACACAGAGCAGGGTGAGCGTTGTTCATGAAGGAGGGAGGGGTGAGTGACCCATAACCAATCTAGTATTGTGTGTGTGTCAGTCCCAGCCTCTGCCTCCCAATGTACTGGGTTTCAAAGGCTTGTTTCCAAGTTTGTTGTTTGGAGCTTGGGTCCCATCTCATTGAAGACATAATTGTCCCTGTGGTTGCTTTCCTAGGCTGGCCACACAGATGGTTACTGGGAGAACTGTACTACCATTCCCACATCTGATGTGAGGTGGGAAAAAAAGTTTGTGGGTGGGTCTGGAAGCTGACTGCCTCTTTTCAGCATTGATCGTATGGGAAGATGGTTCTGGGTTTGTCTGTGTAGGAGCACCTGCGGCTCACCTTCTGGAGTGGTGGGCCCCAAGCTCTGTGGCCTCCCCTGCCTCCACAGCCCTGTTCCTTGCTGTGTCATGGGCCTGGTGGCAGCAGGCTTGGGCTGGAAGTGTGCCTCTGCCACTCATTCCCTGGGCAACCTTTGATCCCTGCGTTCTGTGTCTACACAGAGGGGAAAGAACAAGAAAACACACAGTAAGTGCCAGCTCCTGTATGCTTCCACCCTCAGCCTCCTTCTCACCACATCAGGCTCTAGGCTCCTGGGGCAAAGACTTGGGTGCCCTTGGGGTCTCCACTGTGCCAAGTTTCTGTTTGTTGAAATACCTCGAGATTGAGTTTAAAATTTGGCATTACTTTGAACTTTAATTGACCAGTGGAGTCAGTTTGAATGTCCAAGGCTTTTTCTCCAGATGCTCAATGATTTTAGGGCTTTCTTTAAGGCAACCTTGTCCAACTTGCTTTATTTTGTTGTTGTTCTGTTCTGTTTTGTTTTAGGCTTTTAGCAGTATGAAGCCATGGTTTTTAGTTTCTGTCTCTAGTGATAAGTGGAAAAGAGGGACGAGGAAGGGGCTTTACCAGCCCAATCAGAAACAGAAACTAAGAACCCATGACTGTGTTCTCTCCCTTGGACACCCTGGCAGGGAGTGGAAATTATTGAACACTAAGGTAAGCTACAGCTTTTTATATTAAAATCACTTATACATATGCAAAAAAGCAATAACATGTACACTATTATACACACTCCCACAGCAGAGCTTATGTGGAGATATGATGTGTTTTTGTATCTACATTTTGTTACTTTTCTATAAGGAATATGTATTAATCTATTATGTCATTTTATTTTAGATAAATGGAGATCACTATAGCCTTGAGACTAAATTTTACTTGCAGAAGAATGCGGAGAACCTCTTCCAAACAGCTTTAGGAAAAGGGAGAGCTCCTCCCTCCTTCCATTATCCACCAGCCTGTGCACCTGGGAGGAACTTTACCACCTGCAAGGTGACACCTCCCCACCCGTCTACTCTGGAAATTACAATATCTACATTATCAATCCTAAATGATTGTTGTGTGTCTCAGAAGAGATCTTATATACCAAAGTATAAGCTATCTTGGGTAAGCAAAAGAGCAAGAAGTAGATTATCCCCTGCAAAATGGGGAGATGCAGGCCTTCAGAGTAAAGCAAAACTGCCTTCCAGAGAACAAGGGAAGGGTTTGGGTTTCATAGCAAAAAAGGGTTCCACCCAGGTTCCCAGTCGGATCTGTTTATGCAAGTGAAGGATTGAAACTTGCTTAGTTCTGATTGGTGGATTGCAGCTGAGTTTGATTGGTGAATTGCAGGTAAGTTCTGATCGGTTGGTTCAGATGAGTCCTGAAAGTCCCAAAGGGGAACTGCAGTGTGGGTTTTGGGGAAATTCAGAGTACCTCTAATCAGGAAATGGCTACTATTTTAAATCTAGGCCTATTAGCCACTCCAGATCCACCACAAAGGACTCCTCAGGTTCACATTTGTTTACACAGCCTAACCTGAAAAAAACAATCTGGAGTGACAGAAGCTACCTTATTATCTGCCAGCTGACCTACTCCTTGCAGAGAAATCATATTGCACAGATGGCCTCAGAGTCCACCCACCTCTAACATTTGCCAGGTTCACCAGTGAAGTTCAAAAAGAAAGTATGATTATCCCCAATTTAATGAGGAAACCGGTCTGCCCAGAAAACACATCTCATGCCTCCCAGCTCTGTCGGTGTCTCAGCTTGGAAGTAAATACTATAGCAAACTGTTTAACACTATCAAAAATATCCTCCTCTGATAAAAGCTAGTTCAGCTGCTCTTCTGCAGTGAAAAGAGCCCAGGTTCTTTGCCAGGGCCCAAGGGTGCTGAGTCCAGGGGCATTTGCCTGAGACCTGAGCTCTGTGGAATTCAGAGCCCACACCAGGGTGAGCCCAGAATGCGTCCCCTGGGCAGGTTGCCAGGTGGAATCTCTAAGCTCCCACACATGTAGCAGCCAAAAACAGTGTCAGTCCCGGACCCCCAACTCCATGACCAGTTTCCAAGGCTACAGTGATTTATCTCCCATAATAAACCTGAAATACTAGGAATTAGTCCATAGCCAGACTGGTTAAAAGTTGTTTTAAAATAGCTAAAATCAGATTAGAAAAATCTAGTTCTCTTTCCTTGGAAAACATTCCAATCGGATGGAGAGCCCAATAGAGTAATTACAGAAGTCAGAGTACCACGTGGTGCCTTGAATCTTGAGAAAATGAGAAAGTGAGGCAATAGGTCCCAGGCCTCCTTTATTTCTACCTGGGAAGCTACAAAATTGTTTAAAATGTGAGAAATCTCTGAGACCCCATTGGAACAAAAATAACTCTACGTCCCATAAATAATTGAAACCAGATATTTACTTTTCTAGAGCAGGTGGGAGGAAATAGATGTAGAGAAGTCAGCAAAAGAAAGAAAAGGTTCTTTTTGGAAAGTGGACAAATAGGAGATGAATGTCCTGAATCATTTTATTGCTGGTAATAATGCCTTGGGTTTATAGGGTGGCTTTCTTCTGCAGATCTAAAGACATTTTTTATACCTACTATTTTGCTTCTGTTCATGGCAACCTGAAAAACAAGACACGGTTGTAAAATAAACATCAGATGTGGAAATCCTGCTGAAGAAAAAGACAAAAAGGCCGGAGAACCCTCACAGAGCTGCATGCCCACAGGAAAAGGAGCACCCTCTCCTCACTCACTCCACAGTGCGCAGAGGGCAGAAGTTGAGGAGGCAAATATCTCAGCTGCAGCTCCTAGTTTCTACAGAGGCTCAAACCCCTCACCAGACCAAGCCGCTTTCTGTTTCCATCAGAGGAAGCCAGAGAGCAGGGGTAACAGGTATAGGGGTACTTTTTATTTCTAAACATCTTTTTTTATTTCTTTTTATTAATAGGCTTTATTTTTTAGAGCAGTTTTAGGTTCACAGCAAAATTGAGAGGAAGGCACAAAGAGTTCTCATATACTCCCCACCCCCTCAACCATATGCACAGCCTCCCCCACTATCAACATCCCACTCCAGAGTGGCCCTTTTGTTACAGGTGATGAACATGCAAACATCACTATTAACCCAAGGCCATAGATGACATTAGGGTTCACTCTTGGCGCTGTATAGTCCATGGGTTTGGACAAATGTACAATGACGTGAATCTACCATTACAGTATCATACAGAGTAGTTTCACTGCCCTTAAAATCCTCAGTGCTCCATCTACTTATCCCTCTCTCCCTTCCCCCATTCCTTAGCAACCACTGCCTTTTTACTGTCTCCCTAGTTTCACATTTTCCAGAATGTCCTATAGTTTGAATCACACAGCATGGAGTCATCATTTTACCTATGGATGCACAATTGTTGCAGTATCATTTAATGAAAAGGCTATTATTTCTCCATCAAGTTGCCTTTGAAACTTGGTCAAAAATTAGATGTTCATATAGTGTGGCTTTATTTGTGGACTTTCTACTACACTCCATTAATTGTTTTGCCTGTATTTTCACCAAAACAACACTATCTTGATTACTGTAGGCTTTTCATAGATCTAGTAATAAGATAATATTCATTCTCCAAATTTGTTTTTATTTTTTTAAGTTGTTTTGACTATTGTAGGCACTTTGAATTTCTGTATGAATTTTGTAAATTCTAGATTTAGTTATCAAATTTTTTTAAAAGCCTACTGGAATTTCTATTTGGATTGCACTGATCCTATAGATCAATTTGTGGAGAACTGACATCTTAACAATATTGAGTCTTCCAACTTATGAACATAGTATATTTTTTCCTCCATTTAGATCTTTACTTGTTATCAACACCATTTTACGGTTTTCAGTACACAGATGTTTTACTCCTTTGAAGCAGACTAATTCCTAGGTATCTTATTTTTATGCTAAAGTAAATGTTATTTAATTTTCAATTTCTAATAGTTTGTTGTGAGTACATAGACATACTATTGATTTCTGTATATTAATCTTCTATACTGGAAACTTGCTAACCTCACCTGTTAGTTGTATTAGCTTTCTTTGTAGATTCCATTTCATTTCTACAAAGATGATCATGTCATATGCAAATAAAAGGTTCTACTTTTTCCTTTCCAATATAAATGCCTTTAATTTCCTTCTTTTGCCTGATTGTACTTGTGAGAACCTCCTCCAGGTTGAATAGAAATGTGTTTTTTCTAATCTTCAGGAGGAAAGCATTTTGTCATTTACCACTGAGTATGATGTCATCTGTGGGTTTTTGGTAGATGCCCTTCTGGTCCTTGTTTGATGAGAGCTTTTATGTCAAGTATATGTTGAATATTATCAAATACATGTTTGTGTCTATTAAGGAGATGATACAAGTTTTTCTTTTTTAGTTTCTTAATAGGATGAATTATAGTGATTAAGATCTTAAAGTTAAGCCAACCTTACACACTTGTGGTAAACCCCACTTGGTCACAATATCTACTGCTTTTGATATACTGTCAGCTAGAATACAAAAATTTTGTTTAGATTTTTTTGCATTTATGTTCATGAGAGATATTAGTCTCCACTTTTTTTGTCTAATAAATTTGTCAGGATCCGGGGTCTGAGTAATGCTGGCCTCAGAAAGTGTTGGAAAGGATATCCTCCTTTTTAATTTTCTGGAAGAATTTTTGTAGACTCAGAACTCATTCTCTCTTTAATGTTTCGTAGAACATACTAGTGAAGCTACCTGGGAATGGAGGTTGTGTGTGTGAGAAGATTTTTAATTACAAATTCAATTTATTTAATTTAGAGTTATTCAGATCATCAATTTCTTCTTCAGTAAGCATTTGTAGTTTGTGGTTTTTCAAAGGCTTTGTACATTTCATTGATGTTGACAAATTAATTCACATAGAACTGTTCATAATATTATCTTATTTTCCTACCATTATCTTTTGATTCTGATGCCACTTTGCTTTTCTGATTTTGGTGATTTATGATTTATTTTCTGATCAATCTTGCTAAATGTCTATCAATTTTATTGATCTTAAAGAAACAGCTTTTGGCTTTATTGATTTTTTCTATTGTCTTTCTGCTTTCTATTTTATTAACCTCCATTCTGACCATTTTTACTTCCTTTCTTATACTTACCTTGTGTTTAAGTTGATCTTTTTTTTTTTTTTTTTTTGTACTGTTAAGGTGGAAGCTGAGGTCTTAACATTTGAGAACTTCATTTTCTAATATCAATGTTTTGTGCTCCAAATTTCCCCCAAATGCTTTAGTGATAATCTAATAAATTTTTATTTGTTATGTTTTAATTTTCGTTCACTTTAAAACAGTGCCTAATTTCCCTTCTAATTTCTTCTTTGACTAATGGCTTATTTAGAAATGTGTTGTTTAGTTTCCATGTTTGAGGGATTTTCTAGAGATTTTTCTGTTACTAATTTTTAATGTAATTTCATTGTGAGTAGAGCACAAACTTTGTATGACTTGGAATATTGTATACTTTTTGAGGCTGGTTTAATGGCACCAAATTTGAGTTATCTTGGTAAATATTATGTGTACAGTTGAAAATAATGTACACTATGTTATTATTGGGTGGAGTGTTCTATAAATATCAACTAAGTCAAATTAGTTAATGGTGTTTAAATACTCTATTCCTTACTGAGTTTTTGTTCACCTGTTTTATCAATTATTGAGAGAGGGTTACTAAATTCTCTGTCTATAACTATACAATTATATATTTTTCCTTGCAGTTATATCAGTTTTTGCTTCAATTGTTTTGTTTTTGTTGATATTTAGGATTGTTATTTCCTCTTGATAAATTAATCTTTTTGTCATGAAATCTCTTTATCTATTTCTGCTTATTTCCTTTGTTTAAAGTCTAATTTGTCTGATATTAATGTAGTAGCTCCAGCTTTATTTGATTAATGTTAACATGTATTTCCTAATTATGTATTTTCTATGGCCAGCATATAGTTGGGTCTTGCTTTTGCAACCAATTAGACAATCTCTGCCTTTTTATTTGAAGTATTTAGACTATTTACTTTCATGTGATTATTAATATGGTTGTTGATATGAATATGATCATCTTGGTATTTATTTTCTGTTTGCCCCTTTGTTCTTTTTTCCCTTTTCTCTTATTTTTTAAACCATCTTTTGGATTAATATATTAATTTTGACTATTATAATTCTTTAACCGTAATTATTTGCTAAATGTTCATTTTATGTCCCTTGTTGGCTTTTGTTTTGTTTTGTTATTCTAGTGGTTGCTATAATTTTTATATACATCTTTTAGGTGCTATTATACCACTTCCATATCATATGAGAACCTAAAAATAGTATATTTATATTTTTCTTCTCCCCAACTTTGTTCTATTATTGTCATATATTTTACTTTTACATACACTGAAGACACCACAGAACATTGTTATTATTTCTGTTTAAACAGTTAATTATCTTTTAAATATATTTAAATAATAAGAACAAAACCTGAGACGATGGGGTTTTCTAAATATACAATCATGTCATCTGCAAACAGGGACAATTTGACTTCCTCTTTTCCTAATTGAATACCCTTTATTTCTTTCTCCTGCCTGATAGCCCTGGCCAGAATTTCCAACACTATGTTGAATAGGAGTGGTGAGAGAGGGCATCCCTGTCTTGTGCCAGTTTTCAAAGGGAATGCTTCCAGTTTTTGCCCATTCAGTATATCAGCTGAGGGTTTGTCATAAATAACTCTTATTATTTTAAGATACATCCCATCAATATCTAGTTTATTGAGAGTTTTTAGCATGAAGGGCTGTTGAATTTTGTTGAAGGACTTTTCTGCATCTATTGAGATAATCATGTGGTTTTTTGTCCTTTGTTCTGTTTATATGATGGAATACGTTTATTGATTTGGGTATGTTGAACCGGCCTTGCATCCCAGGGATGAAGCCAACTTGATCGTGGTGGATAAGCTTTTTGGTGTGCTGCTGGATTCGGTTTGCCAGTATTTTACTGAGGATTTTTGCATCGATGTTCATCAGGGATATTGGTCTAAAATTCTCTTTTTTTGTTGTGTCTCTGCCAGGCTTTGGTATCAGGATGATGCAGGCCTCATAAAATGAGTTAGGGAGCATTCCCTCTTTTTCTATTGATTGGAATAGTTTCAGAAGGAATGGTACCAGCTCCTCTTTGTACCTCTGGTAGAATTCGGCTGTGAATCCTTCTGGTCCTGGACTTCTTTTGGTTGGTAGGCTATTAATTATTGCCTCAATTTCAGAGCCTGTTACTAGTCTATTCAGGGATTCAACTTCTTTCTGGTTTAGTCTTGGGAGTGCGTATGTGTCCGGGAATTTATCCATTTCTTCTAGATTTTCTAGTTTATTTGCATAGAGGTGTTTATAGTAGTCTCTGATGGTAGTTTGTATTTCTGTGGGATCAATGGTGATATCCCCTTTATCATTTTTTATTGTGTCTATTTGATTCTTCTCTCTTTTCTTCTTTATTAGTCGTGCTAGCAGTCTATCTATTTTGTTGATCCTTTCAAAAAACCAGCTCCTGGATTCATTGATTTTTTGAAGGGTTTTTTGTGTCTCTATCTCCTTCAGTTCTGCTCTGATCTTAGCTATTTCTTGCCTTCTGCTAGCTTTAGAATGTGTTTGCTCTTGCTTCTCTAGTTCTTTTAATTGTGATGTTAGGGTTTCAATTTTACATCTTTCCTGCTTTCTCTTGTGGGTATTTAGTGCTATAAGTTTCCCTCTACACACTGCTTTAAATGTGTCCCAGAGATTCTGGTATGTTGTGTCTTTGTTCTCATTGGTTTCAAAGAACATCTTTATTTCTGCCTTCATTTCGTTATGTACCCAGTAGTCATTCAGGAGCAGGTTGTTCAGTTTCCATGTAGTTGAGCAGTTTTGAGTGAGTGAGTTTCTTAATCCTGAGTTCTCGTTTGATTGTACTGTGGTCTGAGAAACAGTTTGTTATGATTTCTATTCTTTTACATTTGCTGAGAAGTGCTGTACTTCCAACTATGTGGTCAATTTTGGAATAAGTGCAATGTGCTGCTGAGAAAAACATATATTCTGTTGATTTGGGGTGGAGAGTTCTGTAGATGTCTATTAGGTCCACATGGTGCAGAGCTGAGTTCAAGTCCTGGATATCCTTGTTAATTTTCTGTCTCGTTGATCTGTCTAATGTTGACAGTGGGGTGTTAAAGTCTCCCATTATTATTGTGTGGGAGTCTAAGTCTCTTTATAGGTCTCTAAGTACTTGCTTTATGAATCTGGGTGCTCCTGTATTGGGTGCATATATATTTAGGATAGTTAGCTCTTCTTGTTGAATTGATCCCTTTACCATTATGTAATGGCCTTCTTTGTCTCTTTTGATATTTGTTGGTTTAAAGTCTGTTTTATCAGAGACTAGGGTTGCAACCTCTGCTTGTTTTGTTTTCCATTTGCTTGGTAGATCTTCCTCCATCCCTTTATTTTGAGTCTATGTGTGTCTCTGCACGTGAGATGGGTCTCCTGAATACAGCACACTGATGGTTCTTGACTCTTTATCCAATTTGCCAGTCTGTGTCTTTTAATTGGGGCATTTAACCCACTTACTTTTAAGGTTAATATTGTTATGTGTGAATTTGATCCTGCCATTATGAGGTTAGCTGGTTATTTTGCTCATTAGTTGATGCAGTTTCTTCCTAGCATCGATGGTCTTTACAATTTGGCATGTTTTTCCTGTGGCTGGTATCAGTTGTTCCTTTCCATATTTAGTGCTTCCTTCAGGAGCTCTTGTAAGACAGGCCTGGTGGTGACAAAGTCTCTCAGCATTTGTTTGTCTGTAAAGGTTTTTATTTCTCCTTCACTTATGAAGCTTAGTTTGGCTGGATATGAAATTCTGGGTTGAAAATTCTTTTCTTTAAGAATGTTGAATATTGGCCCCTACTCTTCTGGCTTGTAGAGTTTCTGCTGAGAGATCCACTGTTAGTCTGATGGGCTTCCCTTTGTGAGTAACCTGACCTTTCTCTCTGGCTGTCCTTAACATTTTTTCCTTCATTTCAACCTTGATGAATCTGATATTTATGTGTCTTGGGGTTTCTCTTCTCAAGGAGTATCTTTGTGTTGTTCTCTGTATTTCCTGAATTTGAATGTTGGCCTGCCTTGCTAGGTTGGGGAAGTTCTCCTGGATAATATCCTGAAGAGTGTTTTCCAGCTTGGTTCCATTCTCCCCGTCACTTTCAGGTCCACCAATCAAGTGTAGATTTGGTCTTTTCACATAGTCCCATATTTCTTGGAGGCTTTGTTTGTTTCTTTTTACTCTTTTTTCTCTAAAGTTCTTTTCTCACTTCATTTCATTCATTTGATCTTCAATCACTGGTACCCTTTCTTCCACTTGATCGAATCAGCTACTGAAGCTTGTGCATATGTCACGCAGTTCTCGTGCCATGGTTTTCAGCTCCATCAGGTCATTTAAGGTCTTGTCTATGCTGTTTATTCTAGTTAGCCATTCTTCTAATCTTTTTTCAAGGTTTTTAGCTTCCTTGCGATGGGTTCGAACATCCTCCTTTAGTTCCGAGAAGTTAGTTATTACCAATCTTCTGAAACCTACTTCTGTCAACTCGTCAAAGTCATTCTCCATCCAACTTTGTTCCTTTGCTGGCAAGGAGCTGCGATCCTTTGGAGGAGCAGAGGCACTCTGGTTTTTAGAATTTTTAGCTTTTCTGTTCTGGTTTCTCCCCATTTTTGTGGTTTTATCTACCTTTGGTCTTTGATGATGGTGACCTACAGATGGGGGTTTTGGTATGGATGTGCTTTTTTGTTGATGTTGATGCTATTCTTTTCTGTTTGTTAGTTTTCCTTCTAACAGTCAGGACCCTCAGCTGCAGGTCTGTTGGAATTTGCTGGTGGTCCACCCCAGACCCTGTTTGCCTGGCTATCAACAGCGGAGGCTGCAGAACAGCAAATATTGCAGAACAGCAAATGTTGCTGCCTGATCCTTCCTCCAGAAGCTTCGTCTCAGAGGGGAACCCAGCTGTATGAGATGTCAGTAGGCCCCTACTGGGAGGTGTCTCCCAGTTAGTCTACTCGGGGGTCAGGGACCCACTTGAGGAGGCAGTCTGTCTGTTCTCAGATCTCAAACTCCATACTAGAAGAACCATTGCTCTCTTCAAAGCTCAGTTGGAAATGCAGAAGTCACCCGTCTTCTGCATCACTCATGCTGGGAGCTGTAGACTGGAGCTGTTCCTATTCAGCCATCTTGGAACTGGAAGCACTTCTTTCTTATTTAAAAGTACTTATAGCAAATTAAATCATAAGGCCATGATGTCCACTTTCATCATCGTTATTTAGATTTGTTTTGGAAGTGCCAGCTAATACAATGAGAAGTACTAGTAAGAAATTCAAAGTATAAAAATTGGAAAAGTAAAAATATTATAATGAGTTATACACAATAAACAAATAATATTTTACTTATTAATTCATTATATACCTTAAAATGAAGGTATCTTCTGAAAAAATATTACAAACAATAAGTTAATTCAATAATGTGACTTGGTACACAATCAATATACAGAATCCTACAACCTTTATTTATAAAAAGCAACAGTTATTTGGAGGAGCTAAATTAAAGAAAAAAGTCCATTAAAATATAAAGAAAATCAATAATTGCACAAAAAGTGTGGAAAATCTATGAGAAAAACTGTACAACTGTAAAATTCTTCTGAAGATAATTTTTTAAAGACCTGAACAACTGGAAAGACTGCCTGTATACTCAACCAGAAAACTCAATATTACAAAGATATTAATTCCCTCAGTAAGTTAAACTCTAACATTATTTGGAATCCAATAAAAATATCACTGAAAACTTTTTCTAACTAGGCAAAGTTCTTATGGAAAAAATAAATGAGACAGAATAGGCAGAAAATATGTAAAGAATAAAAATGATGACGAAGACTAACCCTGCTAGATGTTTAAACATATTATGAAGCTACAGTAATTAAAATGACATAGTATTCGTGCATGAATAAATAGATGTATGCCATAGAATAGAATGTCTAGATATAGCTTTGTGGACTTGTGAAAATTTGCTAGATCACAGAACTGGCATTTCGTAAGTGCAAAAGTGGATCATTCAATAAATGCTTTAGGACAAATAGGAGGCCAGTTGGAAAAAAATAAATCTATATTTATACATCACAGTTTATACTGAAATTCCAGATGGATAAAAGATATCAATTTTTAAAGAAGTGTTAAAAATACTAGAAGAGTCAGTCCAAAGTGTAAGGAGCTTTCAAGTCACAACTTCCATTCATTCTCACAATTTAAGAAAAGTTGAAAAACTGAAAATTAACAACTCTTTTTAGATCCACCAGAGAATTTAGATCATAGGATAAACCACCACTCTAAAACTGGAGACACAGACATACACAGAGAATCCGTTTACCTGGAGTGGGAAATTGAAACCTGCAGTGAAACCAGCATCAGGTAAAAGTACTTATTGACTAATTGCTGGAGACTGGGTGTGAACTAACTTGAAAGGAAAAATAAAAACAAAAACAAAAACCCTAAAGGCTGGTGAGCATTGTGTGCGGGAGGCACATTTTCCTAAGTTTTGTCTCCCAAAACCCCAGGAGGTACTCAGGGTGAAGATCATAGGAAAAATCTCCCCATATCTCCAGCAGAGAAATGTGGAAAAGTAACTGTTTTGAAATACTCCCAGGGCATTCTTCTCTCCTTTCAAAAAGTCTACCCTCCAAGAAGACTGGTTCACCAGAACCTAACTGACTTGTATTTTACCAGAAGCTAAGCATCCCTGGGGAAAGGTAATGGTCAATTCCAGCCTGTTCTAAACTCCATGTGAAAAAGAGAAATACCTAACCAAGCCTCTTCCAGCTTTTCTGACTAGAGGAAAAGGGAAAGGGGAGAGGAGGTGCTCAGCAGCACTTGTGAAAGTCACCATCCAGGGCACAGGCTCTCTAAAAGACTGAGACTATCATGGGATTACAGAACGCTTCCCATTACTCCACATACTTTAGTGCTACATCACGAAAAGCCTATTTACCACAATTGTTTTCACCCAGTACATTATGTCTGGCTTTCAGTGGAATAGTACAAGTCATACTAAAAGTCAAAAATAAATAAACAAACTCCCAAATCACATACATGCCCACACATAGAGTATGAAGAGACAAGGCAAGCATCAGAACCAGACTCAGATGTAGTAGAGAGGTTAAATATCAGACCCAGAATTTAACCCTTTTCCCATTTAGAAAAAAAAAAAAAGGGCAGCTCGCTACCAGCACTCACTTAATTTTTACATAAACACACTCTTTGAAGCTGAAGCAAATCTGACTGATTTTCACTGTGAAAATAAAATATAAAAACTTTTCATGGAATTATTTCTAAACAGAATTAACATCAGAATCATCTGAATCATCAGAATCATCTATTTCAGAAAAATCAGATTCATCAAATGAATCTTCAGGCAACAACTACTTGAGAATGATGTTAACATCACAAGTAGGATTGCTGCTTTCTAGGATTTGACATTTTCAGCGATTGAGAATTACTATATTTTGTAAATGGAAATGCCACTACTAAAAACAATGCTATAAATGGAATGATGTCTTTTATTTCCAAAGTTGACATACTAGAGCAATGTGAAAATAATAATATTTCATGGCAAAGTCATCTCAGGGTAAACATTGCAGTCGCAAGCGCCACCAGCAAGTATTCTTGGGGCAAATGGAAAAAGGGTTAAAAGAACTATGATATATATTATGATAGCTTTAATGGAAAAAGTAAGCAAAATGCAAGAATAGATGGGTAATGTAAACAGAGAGATGAAAATTCTAAGAAAGAATTAAAAAGAAATACTAGAGATCAAAAACACTATAAAGAAATGAAGACTGCTTTTGATGGTCTCATTAGTAGTCTAGACATGGCTGAAGAAAGAATCTCTGAGCTTCAGGATATGTCAATAGAAACTTCACAAACTGAAAAGCAAAGAGAAGAGACTCAGAAAATGGAGCAGAATATCCAGAAACTGTGGGACAGTTACAAAAGATGTAACATATGAATAATGGGAACACCAGAAGAAGAGAGAAAGGAACAGAAGAATTATTGAAGCAATAAAGAATAAGAATTTCCCAAAATTAAGACAGACATGAAACTACGGATTCCAGAAGCTTGGAGAATATCAAGAATGAAAAATGCCAAAATATCTACTCCTAGGCATATTATATCCAAACTGCAGAAAATAAGTACAAAGAAAGTCTTGAAAGGAGCCAGGGGCAGAGCAAACCATCTCATCTATAGAGGAGTAATGATAAGAATTAAGTCCAACTTCTCCTGAGACACCAGGCAAGCAAGAAGAAAGTGGAGTGAAATATTTAAAGTGTTGGAAGAATAAAACTTATCAACCCAGAATTCTGTGAAATTATCCTCCAAAAGTGAAGGAGAAATAGACTTTCTCAGACAATAAAGAATCAAGGGAATTTGTCAGCAGTAGACCTACCTTGCAAGAAATGTTAAAGAAGTTATTCAGGGAGAAGGAAAGTGATATAGGTCAGGAACTTAGATCTATGTAACAGGAAGCATGTTAGAGAATGCATAAATAAAGGTAAAACTAAGATCTTTTGTTTTTCTTATTATTTTCTTTTTTTTTTTTTTTTTTGAGCGGAGTCTTGCTCTGTCACCCAGGCTGGAGTGCAGTGGCGTGATCTCGGCTCACTGAAAGCTCCACCTGCCGGGTTCACGCCATTCTCCTGCCTCAGCCTCCCAAGTAGCTGGGACTACAGGCACCTGCCACCACACCTGGCTAATTTTTTTGTATTTCTAGTAGAGATGGCATTTCACCATGTTAGCCAGGATGGTCTCGATCTCCTGACCTCATGATCCCCCCGCCTAGGCCTCCCAAAGTGCATTTTTCTTATTCTTAATGGATCTAACAGATAACAGTTTGTTCAAAATAAGAGCAACAATGTGTTTGCTGATTTTAGCTTGTAGATAAGTAAAATGAATAACAGCAATGATATAAGAGATAAGAGGGAAGGGTTGGGAATATGCTCTTAAAAGGTACTCGCGTTACCCGTGAAGCAGTATAGCGTTATCTAAAAATGGACATAGAGTAGTTGTAAATGTATATTGTAAGCTCTACAGCAACGGCTAAAATAGGTAAAAAGTGTAATTTATATGCAAAGAAAGGAGAGAAAATGGAATCATATAAAATAAAACTACAGAAGGCAGAAAAACAGTGGAAGGTGAAAATAGAAACAAAGAACAAAGGCAACAAATAGAAAACAATAACAAATACGGTAGATATAAATCCAACTATATCAATAGTTAAATGTCACTGATCTAAATACACCAATTAAAAAACAGAGACTGAGTGGATAAAAAACAGGACTGAACCATATCATCCCCAACCCCCTGGCTATGGCCTGTCAGAAACGGCTACACAGCAGGAGGTGAGCGGCGGGCAAATGAGCATTACTACCTGAGCTCCACCTCCTGTCATATCAATGGAGGCATCAGATTCTCATAGGAGTGAGAACCCTATTGTGAACTGCACATGCAGGTGATCTAGATTGCATGCTCCTTATGAGATTCTAATGCCTGATTATCTGAGGTGGAACAATTTCAGCCCAAAACTATCCCCCACCCCAAGTCCATGGAAAAATTGTGTTCCACAAAACTGGTCCCTGGTGCCAAAAAGGTTAAGGACCACTGATCTACAAGACATCCACTTTAAAAATAAAGACACATATAGAAGAAGAGTAATGAGATGGAGAAAGATACACAACACTAATAGTAATCAAAAGAAAGCTAGAGTAGATACATTAATTTCAGACAAAGTAGGTTTCAGAACAAGGAAAGTTACTAAGGATAAAAAGGTTTTAAATAATAATAAAGGGATCACTTTTCTAAGAAGACATAATAATTCTTAAAGAGTACACCTCTAACAACAGAGTGTCAAAATATATGAACAAAAAAATGATAAAGTTGCAAGGAGAAGTAGACAAATCAACTATTAAAGGTGAAGAATTCAACATCCCCCTATCAGTAACTACCAGATCCAGCAAGCAGAAAATCAGTAAGGATATAGTGAACAGCACCATTAGTCAGCAGGATACAATAAACTCTTTTTTTTTTTTTTTTGAGACAGAGTCTCACTCTTTGTCACCCAGGCTGAGTGCAGTGGTGCAGTCTTGGCTCACTACAACCTCCGCCTCCCAGGTTCAAGTGATTCTCGTGCCTCAGCCTCCTGAGTAGCTGGGATTGCAGGTGTGTGCCACCATGCCTGGCTAATTTTTGTATTTTTAGTAGAGACGGGGTTTCGCCATGTTGGCCGGGCTGGTCTCGAACTCCTGTCCTCAAGCGGTGTGCCTGCTTCGGCCTCCCAAAGTGCTGGGATTATAGGTATGAACCACTGCACCCAGCTCAATACACTTTTATAGAATATCTTATCTAACAACAGCAGAATATAATTCTTCTCAAGCTCACATAGAACATTCACCAAGATAAACCAGATTATGGGCTATAAAATATTAATACATCATAACAAATATAAAGAATAAAAATCATAAAATGTATTGCTCTCACACTACAATGAAATAAAAGTAGAATTTAATAACAGAAAATAGATGGAAAATCCTAAAATACTTAGAAATTAAACAACACAGTTTTAAATAACATGTGGGTCCAAGAAAAAAAATCTGAAGAGAAATTTTAATGTTTTTAATTAAATGAAAATGAAAATACAACTTAATTAAAACTTGTGTGCCAGGTGCAGTGGCTCACACCTGTAATCCCAGCACTTTGGGAGGCCGAGTTGGGCAGATCACCTGAGGCCAGGAGTTCGAGACCAACATGGCGAACATAGCGAAACCCCCTCTCTACTAAAAATACAAAAATTAGCCAGGCATGGTGGGGCGTACCTGCAATCCCAGTTACTTGGAAGGCTGAGGCAGGAGAATCTCTTGAACCTGGGAGGCGGAGATTATAGTGAACCAAGATCCAGCCACTGCACTCCAGCTAGGGCGAAAGAGCGAGACTTCATCAAAAAAAAAATAAAAACAAACAAACAAACAAACACAAACAAACAAAAACTTGTGGGAAGCAGCAAAAGCAATGTTTCGAAGGAAATTCATGGCATTTAATCCATATAATGGAAAGGGAGAAAAATTTTTAAAAATAATCAGTGCTTTTGCCTTAGAAAATTAGAAAAAGCAGAGCAGGTTAACTCCAAAGAAAGCTGAAGAAAAGTAGAAAATAAAAGCAGAAATCGATGAAATTAAAAAAATTCAAAACAGGAAGTCAAGTGAAAAATTAATGAAACCATAAACTCATTCTTTGAAAAGATCAATAAAATTGATAAAGCTCGAGCCAGGCTAACCAATTAAAAAAGAGAGCAGATACAAGCAACTCATACCACAAATGAAAGAGGGGTTATCACTACTGATCCCATGGATGTTAAAGGATATTAAAAGAATATTATAAACTATACTCACAAATTTGATGACCTAGTTGATGGACCAATTCCATCCTATTTGGCCAATTCCTTGAAAGGGATAATCTTCCTGCTATTGTTCTAATATGTCTCCTCCAAAATTCAGGTGCTGTCAATGTGATAGTATTAGGAGGTGGGCCCTTAAGAAATGATTAGGCCATGAGAGGTCACCTCTTGTGGATGGGATTAGGTGCCCTCATAGAAGGGCTTGGAGGAGGAAGTTTGTCTCTTTTTGCTCTTCTGCCTTCTGTCATGTAAGAACACAGTGTTCCTTCAGTCTGGAATATATGGTGTGCAAGGCATCATCTTGGAAGTAGAGAACAGCCCCCCCCAGACACCAAACCTGCTGGCACCTAAGTGCCACTAAGACACTTCCAAAACCCACAAAAAAAGAAATATGTTATCTAAGTAGATCTATATCAATTCAAGAAATTAAATCAATAATTAATAATTTTCAAGACATAAAGTACCAGACTTGGATGAGTTTACTGGTGAATTTTGTAAAATAGTTAGGTAAAAAATAATACTGATTCTCTACAATCTTTCCCAGAAGATAGAAATAGAGAGAATAGTTTCTAATTCATTCTATGAGACTAGCATTATCCAAATATCAAAACCAGATAATGACATTACAAGAAAAAATAAACTACAGACCAATATCTCTCATGAAATAGATGCAAAAATTCTCAATAAAATGTTAGAAAATCGAACCCAACAATGTATAAAAAGAATCGTATAACATAATCAAGTTGGATTTATTCCAGGTATATAAGTCTGGATCAATATTTAAAAATCAATTAGTGCAATCCATTACATCCACCAGCTAAAGAAGAGAAATCACATGATCATATCAATAGATGTAGAGAAAGTATTTGACAAAATCTGACACCCATTTATGATAAAAATTCTCAGCAAATTAGGGATAGTGAGGAACTTCTTAAACTTAATAAAGAATATTAGCAAAATAAAATAGAACCCACAGCTAGCATTATTCTTGACAAACTAGAAGCTTTCCTGCTAAAATCAGGAATGACAATGATGTCCCCTCTCATCACTCCTATGCAGCATAATACTGGAAGTCTTAGCTAATGCACTAAGACAAAAAAAAAGGATATTTGGTAAATAAAAGGTACACAGATTGGAAGAAGCAAGAAATAAAACGATTTTTGTTTGTAGATGACATGATTGTCTATGTATAAAATCCTATACAACTGACAAAAATCTCCTGAAACTAACATGTGATTGTAGCTAGCTTTCAGGATACAAGATTTATATACAAAGCCAATTGTTTTCCCATACATGAGCAATTACAATTGGAATATGAAATAAAAACTTTAATACCATTTACATTAGCTCAAAATATGAAATATTCAGGTATAAATCTAACAAAATGTGCACTGATCTTTATAAGAGAAACTACAAAACTGTGGTGAAAGGAATCAAAAAACTAAACAAATGGAGAGGTACTCCATGTTCATAGATAGGGAAGCTCAATACTGTCAAGATGTCCCTTCTTATCAATTTTATCTATAGATTCAATGCAATCCCAATCAAAATCTCAGCATTTACTTTGTGAATATCAACAAACTTATTGCCAAGTTTTACTGGAGAGACAATATACCTAGAATAGCAAACACAATATTAAAGAAAAAAAAATAGAGGACTAATACTATCCATCTTCACATAAAACTATAACAGTCAAGACAGTGTGGCATTGGTGAAAGATCAGTGGAACAGAATAGAAAGTTCAGAAATGGACCCACACAAATATAGACAACTGATATTTGACAAAAGAACAAGATAATTCAATGGGAAAAGGATATGGTTTTCAACAAATGGTCATAGAATAATTAGACATCCACATGCAAAAAATAAGAGGATTCTAGACATAGATCGTATACTTTTACAGAAAAAGAAACCCTCAGATGTATCACAGACCTAAATGTAAAATGCAAAACAATAACACTGACTATATGCAAATAAAAAATTACAACTATGAAGTGAGTTAAGTCAAGATTACACACTGCATTGTAGTGTTTAATAGCAAAGGATCTGTTGAAACATTAATTAATGGATATGGCATATACTATTAATGGAATTCTATTTGACTTTTAAAAATAATGAGGAACTGCTTCACTTGTGATTAGAAACAATCTAGGGGGTATATTAAGTGAAAAAAGCAAAGTCCGGAATAGTTGGTAAAGTAGGCTACTGCTTGTGTGAAAAAGTGAGAGGTGGAAGAGCATGTACAGACAGTCCCCAATTTACAATGGTTCAACTTAGTTTTGACTTTTGGGTGGTGTGAAAACAATATATGCGTTCAGTAGAAATTGTACTTGGAGTATCCATACAATCATTCTGCTTTTCGCTTTCCATACAATATTCAATCAATTGCAAGAGACAGTCAACACTGTATTGTGAAATAGGCTTTGTGTTAGACAACTTGGCCCAACTGCAGGCTAAGGGAAGTGTTCTGAGCATGTTTAAGGTAGGCTAGTCCAAGCTATGATTATCATTAGGTTAGGTGTATTAAGTGCATTTTTGACGTAGGAGATTTTCAACTTATGATGGGTTTATTGGGACATAACTCCATTGTAAGTCAAGGAGCATTTGTATATATTTGCATATCCACATATAAATGTATATGTGCACACAGATGTGCACACACTAGTGCTGGGTAGATGCATAATACATAACACAGCCTGCCTCTGGGGAGAAAAAGCACTGCAGCTGAGCACAGATGGAGCAGGAGATTCTTCTCCATTCACTGTTTTTTATTTTTAAGCTTTGAACCATGAGAATATATTATTCATTACAAAATAGAAATTAAGCTGCATAAAATTACATTATACATACCAGAGCAAAATGTAAAGTATTTGTGGGTGGTCCCCTATGTCAGATTAACCAGCACATGACTCTTTTTGACCCATGTTTTTCAGCCACGTGGAGCAGAGATCTCACCCACGTGGAGCAGAGATCTCACCCAGTGATTGATATCTGCTTGTGAAGGATGAGTCAGGCAGTCTTTAATTTGCTTGGCTGATCATTGTTTTGAATTATGTTGGACCTAGCTTCTCATTAACACCCTGACTGGAGCCACTGATATTTTTTCTCTTTCACACGACCATATATGTGTATTTTTAAAAAATTGAACTGTTTTGAAAGTTATTTTCTGAACCCCCCGCCTTTTAGCCAATACCTAACATCATCACTTCTTGGTTAAAACAATTATTTTGTAATGTCTGTCACTATTTATGGCTTAATGCAATTACAGTTCATATGTTTTCTCAAACAAGAGCTATCAAGATATCAAAAAAAGATATCAATGTTTAAGATAATTTGCAAAGGAAAATAAAATAATATTTATGGGCAACTATCAGTGAATCAGAAATCATGTTCAGGGATGGATGCTCTTTTAAATTTCTGAATTTGCTAGAATATTTCTTACTCCTAGTTTCTATGGGAAAATGCCTTTGTCTTTTTAATGATTGGCATGATGCTGTGTTCCCTTAATTTGTTTTATGAAACATCTTTTTTTGGACTCTGGGTTCAGTATGCAGCATTTCTTCAAAGAGGACCTACTCATTTTATTCCCTATCAAGGTCACCATTTCTTAGCTCATACCTGTCCAATGCTTGCAGGAAGTGAGCATTTATGTTTCTCAGGTGCGTCTCTTGTTGCCTGAAGGTAAAGGAATTGCCCAGGAGGAGAGTAATAAAGCTGCATTAATTTCTTAATAGAGATCTTACCCAATAGCCTGTGAAATGTTCATGCAGTGAAAATTAAAATCTGATTTACATCAGTTTTTAGCATTAACCCAGTATCATTACTCTGAGAATGCTAAAGATGCCCTGAAGTTACCTTTAGTAAATCCATAACTAGAATACACTGGGACACATTTTCTACTCTTTACAGACCCATTGAAATAGAGAATTGGTTGGGGAATTTCCAGAGTAAGCTTATTCATCCATGGCAACCAGTGCTCCCCAAACTTTTCAGAAACAATAGGATTTGCTACTAGGGAAGAACTCAAGGAACAAAATAAAATAACAAGATGCCAGGTTTTAAGGCAGATATATTGTTCCAGTGAGAAAGAAAACTCTCTCCTAATGAATCTGATGTTACCCCCAGAGTGGGCTTTTGAGGGATGGTCTTCTTTCATCTGAGTTTGGTCTTCTTTCATTTGAGTTTGGTCTTCTTCCCTTGTCTTATGAATGGGATTCCTCCCCCAATGTGTGTGTGTGTGTGTGTGTGTGTGTGTGTGTGTGTGTGTGTGTGTGTGTGTGTGTTACTTGAGGTATTAATTACAAACAGCGAAAGGCACAGGTCTTAAATGAGCAGTTCAATGATATGCCAAACATACATACACCTCTACAACCAATACCCAATACCCCAGCCAGGACATGGGGCATAGACATTACACTCTCCAAAGCTCTTTCATATTCTTTTCCAGGGACTATTCTGATTGCAATTTCTAACAATTAGTTTAGTCAGCTACTAATTTCATAAAGGTGGATTTTAAATACAGTAGGAACACTTTTTCGTCTGGCTTCTCTTAGCATAATGTTTTTGAGATTCTTCTATATTGTGTGGATCAGTAATTTGTCCCTTTTCATTATTTAGGAGCACTCCATTGTATGGATATAAAACAATATGTTTATCCATCCTACAGTGTGGGGACTTTGGTTGTTTCCAATTTTGGCTATTGTGGACAATGCTACAATTAATATTCTTAATACTGAAGTTGAGTTTTACCTTGTTAGGCAGAGCAAATGCCAACAAATTGGCCGAAAGGGGTGAAAATACTATGCAGTTACTTTGCTTTTCCATTTTGATCTAGCCTTCCACTTGGCTGTTGTAATCCTTGTGATGACATTTATTTTAATTTGCCTATCTAATAAATCAGAGATTTAAACTATATTTATTTATGACTTGTAAGACAAAGTATGAGTTGTTTGTTTGAATATATATTTCCATTTTTTTTCTTGGTAGACGGAATCACATATCCATGAATGGGAATTCTCAGGTTAAAAGAAGCATTTATGTTTAATTTTATAAGATATTGCAAAACATTCTTCTACCATGGTTGTACCATTTCACACTCCTTCTAGCAAAATATGAGAATTGCAGTGCTTCACATCCTTATCAACACTTGATATTGTCAGTCTTTAATTTTAGCCATTCTAGTGTATTTGAAGCATTGTGCTGGTTGTAAGAAATTTCATGTGTTTGTTGGTCACTCATACCTGTAGCTTCTTAGTTAAAAAGTTACAATTTCAGTTAAAGTCACATACCCTTGCTTCTGAGAAACTGGAAGTAAAATTATTTCTTGATGTTTTTTCCCTCTAGTCTTAAAACAAATAAATAATGGGAGAGAATGAGTTTTACCCTGTTAGGCAGAGCAAATGCCAGCAAATTGGCCAAAAGGGGTGAAAATATTGTGCAACTACTTTGCTTTTCCACTTTGATCTAGCCTTCCGTTTGGCTGTTGTAATCCTTGTGATGATATTTGTTTTAATTTGCCTACCTAATAAATCAGAGGCTTAAACTATATTTATTTATGACTTGTAAGACAAAATTTCCTGTTGTACATTTCCCATACAGCTTTGTCAAAATCGTTAGATATCAAATATACTCAACAAATTTAAGCCAAGGTATTGTTGGATTAAGAGAGACCAAAGTCTTAACTCTACACAGATTTTATCATAGTACAACATGCATACCCACATACACAAATCATGAGTATTCAGCCAAATTGAGTCTGTATAAAATGAACACCCTCAGATCAAGATGTAGCCATTTCTAACACCACAGAAAACTCCCTAGCACCCCCTCAAATATTACAACCATAAAGATAACCACTGTTTTGATTTTCATTAAAATAAATTGGTCTCACTTGTTTTTCAGTGTTTATGAAATGAGATGATACAGGGTGGATTCTTGTAGCTGGCTTCTTTCCCTTGGCATCATACTTGTGGGATTTATCCATGTGTATACAGCAGTAGGATCGCCTTTGCTATCATTGACTCTGCATTTTATATTAATTTTAGAATCAACTTGTCAAATTCCCCCAAAACACCTACTATAATTTTTATTCTGATTAGACTGAATCTCAATCAAGTCTTAGCCATTTTCTGACTTCCATCCCCAAACATGATCTTAACTTGCATTTATTTTGATCTTCTTTAATTGCTCTTGATCATATTCTATAGTTGTGTAATGGTCCTGTGCATAGTTTGGTAAATTTATTTCTAGATATTTGATTGTTTTCTGACACTTTTATAAATAGTATTATTATTAAAGTTTTATCCTTCAATTATTTGTGGCTAATATTAATATAAGGCTATAGTAACCAAAAACAGCATGGTACTGGTACAAAAACAGACACACAGACCAGTGGAACAGAACAGAGAACACAGAAATAAAGCCGGACACCTACAGCCATCCAATATTTGACAAAGTCAACAAAAATAAGCAATGGGGAAAGGACTCCCTAGTCAATAAATGATGCTGGGATAATTGGCTAGCCATATGCAGAAGAACAAAACCAGACACCTACCTTTCACCACATACAAAAATTAGCTCAAGACTCATTTAATAATTAAATGTAGGACCCCAAACTCTAGGAATTCTAGAAGAAAACCTAGGAAACATCATTCTAGACATTGGCCTTGGGAAAGGATGTATAACTAAGTCATCAAAAGCAACTGCAACAAAACCAAAAATTGGTAAGTGGAATCTAATTAAACTAAAGAGTTTCTGGACAGCAAAAGAAATGATCAACAGAATAAACAGAAAATCTACAGAATAAAAGAAAATATTCTCAAACTACACATGTGACAACGGTTTAATATCTAGACTCTATAAGGAACTTAACAATTGGACAAGCAAAAAACAAATAACTCCATTTAAAAATGGAAAAAAGACACAAGCAGATACCTCTCAAAAGAAGACACACAAGCAACCAACAAACGTATGAAAAAGTGTTCAACATCACTAATCATCAGAGATATGAAAATAAAAACTCCACTGAGATACCGTCTCACACCAATCAGAATGGCTACTATTAAAAAGTCAAAATGCAACAGATGCTGGTGAAGCTGCAGAGAAAAGAGAATGATTATACGCTGATAGTAGAAATGTAAATTAGTTCAGCTGCTGTGGAAAGAAGTTTGGAGATTTCTCAAAATCTTAAAAACAGCATTTGTAAGGAAAACGTCATTCTACCAAAAAGACCCATGCACTCACATGTTCATCGCAGTACTATTCACAATAACAAAGACATAGAGTAAGCCTAGGTGCCCATCAGTGGTGGATTGAATAAAGAAGATGTAGTACATATACACCGTGGAATCCTATGAGGCCATAAGTAAGAACGAAATCATGTCCTTTGCAGCAACACAGATGCAGCTGGAGGCCATTATCTTAAGTGAATTGACACAGGAACAGAAAACCAAATACCACATCTTCTCACTTATAAACAGGAGCTAAACAATGGGTACTCACAGACGTAAAGATGAGAACAATCGGCTGGGCATGGTAGCTCACAACTGTAATCCCAGCACTTTGGGAAGCCGAGGCGGGCAGGTCATCTGAGGTCAGGAGTTCGAGACCAGCCTGGCCAACCACGTCTCTAATAAAAATACAAAAATTAGCTGGGCGTTGTGGTGCGCACCTGTAATCCCAGCTACTTGGGAGGCTGAGGCAGGGAGAATTGCTTGAACTCAGGAGGCAGAGGTTGCAGTGAGCCCAGATTGCACCACTGCACTCCAGCCTGGGTGGCAGAGTGAGACCCTGTGTCTCAAAAAAGCAAAACCAAAACAACAACAACAACAAAATAAGATGAGAACAATAGACACTAGAGGGAGAGGGAGGGGAAGCAAAGTTTGAAAAATTATTGGGTACTATGCTCAGTATCCGGGTGATGAGTTCATTTGTACTCCAGCATCACACAATGTACTCAGGTAACAACCCTGAACAAGTACTCTCTAAATCTAAAATAAAAGTTGAGAAAAAGAGAATCATCTCCAATAAAAATGCGTTACTTTTGAAATCACAAATCATTTTTAGAATAAGTCATATATATCTATAACATATAAGTGATAGATACAATACTTTTCTTAAGAGGTTAGGATTATTGGAGATTTTCATCTTTTCTTTAACATGTATTTTTCAGTTTTCCTAATGGAGATGTAATAGTTTGGAAGACCTTCGATAGGGAACAGTGTGCAATGGATCCACAGGGACTCGGAGTGACCTTCCTGGGGGAGGCTGGTGAAAGGCTGAGGTGGAGAACAAGCCACAGCTGTCAGACATCAAGGCTCTTTGGGATTTGAATTATTCCTTGAGGCTGCAGCAGGGCTCGCATTTCTTGGACAGGATTTATGTTAACATCTTACCAGAATGGGTTTTAAAAATAAAAAGGGCTCCTAAGAATGGTAGAGAATCTCGTGCTATTATCTCATTTTCTAAGTTAAGTTTTAGAAATACACACAAGGCTACTTATTTTTTTCGGTTGTCTTTTAAGCTCAGAATGGTTTTTGTACCTATAGTTGCTTGCTGGAGCTGCTGGAATGAAGTACCTCGGACTCAGTGGCTTGAACAACGGAAATTCATTTCTTCCAGTCCTGGAAGCCGGAAGTCCGAGATAAAGGTATCAGTGGGCAGGGTCGGTTCCTTCTGAGGCTGTGAGGGGGACGCTGCTCCAGGCCGCTCCCCTGGGCTTGTAGCTGGCAGCTTCTCCTGGCATCCCCACATTGTCTTCTCTTGGTGTGTGTTTTTGTGTAAACATTTCCTTCTTGTAAAAACACGTTATATTACATTAGGACCCATACTATGGCCGTGGTTTAATTTAATTATCTTTTAAAAGAGCCTATTTCCAAACATGGCCACATTCTGAGGGAATGGGGGTCAGGACTCCAACATAGGAGTTTGGGGTGGCACAATTCATCCCATAATAGTGCAGCTCTTCTTTGTGCCTATGTGTTTGTAGGTTTGCTTTACAAGAGTTACAGCACTCATTGGTGATTCATTTGTTCCCCCGTCCCCAGCACTAGATTCCTGGCAGCGGCTGGTACCGAGGTAATCAACAGTGCAACCAAGGCTTCGGACTGGGCTCTGCATGGCATCTTGATTTTCATTCATTGGGCACAAATGAACTCATCACAAAGATTGGCTCCCAGTGGCTGTCACCACCCCTCCCAACCAAGGTGGGGACATCACTCAGGCTGGCAAGGCTTTTTTGATGGCAGATCCTAGAGCTGTCAGAAGGAATTCCTATCTCCAGACCATTTTAACTTGTGAAAAGCACTGAGCATGAAACATGGTAGCTGGTAACCAGGGTGGCCTTTCTGTGAAATAAGCACCTGCTTTCCCCTCATGGGCCGTTCGGTACAGCAGGAGATACACATGCCGAGATGAGCTGGGGGCCACGGGCTAAACAGTGGAGCTTGGGAGGCTCCCTGAGTCCAGGCTTTAAAACTGGGAGAGAACTTAGAGTTGAACTGGTCCAGCTCCCTCATTTCTGATAAGAAAATTATGACCAATAATGAGAGAATGTCCAATAAATGTCCAATAATGAAAGAATGGTTAAGTATAGTAGAAGAATGATTACATAAATATGGCAAAATACTTCAATGCAAGAAAGGATGAAAATTCATCCTAGGTATATACCAAGGGAATGGAAGATCTATGTCCACATGAAAACTTGCATATACATGCTTATAGCAGCATTATTCATCATAGCCCCAAAACTGAAAACAATTCAGATGTCCTTCAATGAATGAATAGGCAAAGAAAATGTAATCTTATTCTGCCATAAAAAGGAATTTTTTGACACATGCCATGACGTAGATGAGCCTTAAAAACATTATGCTAAATAAGCCAGACACAAAAGGCCATAAATTGTATAAAACATGCAAAATTTTATGTGAAGTATTTGGAATAGGCAAATACATAGAGACAGAACCAGTGGTTGCCAAGGGCTAGGAGGAAGTGGGAAGTGGGGAGGAACTGCTCATGGGTTTCTTTTGAAGTGAGGTGTTTCCTTTTTCATGTAGGTGTCCCCCTGCATGCTGGAGGGGTGAGCCTGTGAGCCATGGGAGGGTGTGGAGGGAGCAAAAGGTGAAGGGTCATGGAGGAGTGGACATCAGGAACTGGGGGACAAGAAGGGTCAGCCGTGTGAGTGGTGCTCACAGGAAGACAGTGGAAGTAAAGGAAAGAGATTCTTTGAACCTAGAGGCTGAGTCTTCCATGAACAAGTAGGGAGATGAGTGGGTCACATCAGGTCTACTCAGGCCCTGTCGCCCCTGGGAGCCATGGTGACTCTACTGCACAGTATTTCATCTGGGACCATGGATTCTTGACATACAGTTTACAGATGGGCTTCTAAGGGTGCATGAGCCCTCCCAAAATGGTATGTCAGATTCTACGTGTGCACGGCTCACATACATTCTCTTTCCTTGAAAAAAGCATTCATGACTCATCAGATTTTCAAAGAGATGAGTGATCTAAAAAATTAAACCAATCTAAGAATCACTGCTGTAAAGGATTTGTGTGAGGAATAACTCGATGAAGACAATAAAAACTGCACATGGACATAGGAGGGGCACACAGCTCTTAGTGTGGCCTAGAGTCTCTGTGCCTATCCAACCCCAGCCCAGAGAGCTGGAGCCTGCAGAGGCGGCAGGATGGCAAGACCAGAGACACGGAGGGAGGCTGGGCTCTGGAAATCCACAGGGCACTCCCCATGGTGCTGATGAACTCGGCCGGTGACGTCTTCAGGGGGCAGCTGCTACCTATATTGCTGAATGGAATTTACTGACTTCAGCTGGCCTCTGCGTAAGAACAGACCTTTCAAACGAATATAAGGGAATTTCAAGTATACAATACAGTATTGTTAACTGCAGTCACCATGCTGTACATTAGTAACCCAGAACTTACTCATCTCATGCTGAGAGTTTGCACCCTTTGACCAACATGTCCCCATTTCCCCCACCCCAGCCCCGGGTCAACCACCATTCTGCTTGCAAGAGTTGGGCTTTTTTACACGCCACATAAAAATGAGATCATGCAGTACTTGTCTTTCTCTGTCAAACTTATGTTAAATGTTCTCACCACAGATGTGCACACACATACAAAACACACACACAAAGGGTAACTATGTAAAGCGATGAAGGTCTTAACTAACTTGATTGTGGTCGTCATTCCACGATATATACATATATGAAATCATCGCATTGTATGCCTTAAATTTATACTATTGTGTATGCTAACTATACCTCAATAAAGCTGGGAAAAAATATGTGGAGTGGTAAGCTCTCAACAATAGTAGTTTGCAGACTGTAGAAACCAGGCCTGGTTGTTTGCTGGTTTTTTTTTCAGGACATGCTCAGCTGGGCTGATGAAGATTTTACCTCCATGACACTAACAGCAACTTGCAACCTTCCATACCAGCTTTCTCAGTTCATAGCCTTGCATGAATTTGGAGAAAAAATAAGATAAAACCTACAGTTCTACTTAAAGACAATAAAACCACATGAAAGGTATCTGCTGCAGGGATTCTGAAGCTATGAGACATTGCTGTCCTGCATCCCTGTGCTGTCCACTCCCCGGCCGCCCGCCCACTTGTCTCTTGCTGCCCCCTACACCACCGCCCACAGGCTGCCAGCTGAGGTTGCTAGGCAGACAGAATTGCTCAGTGACTGATCTACATCCTGTTTTAATTAATCACATGACTTTTTCTGATTTTAAAAGCAATGCATGCTTATTATAGAAACTTTATAACATAAGAAAAAGTATAAAAATGAAACTATGAACCCCCCCCAAAAAGAGAAAGGATACAAAACTGCATATGAAGTGTCCCAATTTTGTAAGAGAACAGTAACAATTTTGCATCTATGAAAGGAACGAAGGCCTGAATGTCATCCTCCCTCAATGTTTTCAGTCTCACCAGCCTGGGAGCAGAAGTGAGCTTGCAGGGGCTCTCTTTGCACCTCTGTTATGGCAGCTCTGGGCCGCTACCTCCTGAGGAGCCATCTGGATCCCCACTGTCTCACTTCCCCCGTTGTTTTTGTGTGTGGCCAGGAAGTGCTCAGATGTCCCCTGGAACTGGAACCCACAGGTCCCAGGCCCTGCACTGCTGCCCCAATGCCACCCTTGAGAGTGTCCAAAAAGAGGGCTGCTAGTCTCTCTGGTCCTTGTGGGGCAGGGTAGAGGGAGGCCCATCCCACCATCCTTTCCCATCCCCAACAGGGCCCAGCCTGAACTCCTCTCTCAGCCAAATCCAAACCTTCCTGCACATGGATCCTGCAAATAGATGCCCCAAGGGGCCACTGTCCACCATGCAGAGGGAAAGCACTGGGTCCCTAAGTATCACACACTCATCCTACACCTGTGGGCACTGAGATGGCAGCTATTTACAGACTTCCTTTTCTATATCCCTGTGCATTTTCTAAACTCTCCACAAAAAAAAAATTAAAATCACAATAAAAAAGAAATCAAGAACAAAAACATCTTAGCATGCTGCATTTATTTAGTGAAATAGTTGGTAAAAGTTTTGCATTTCACAGATTTCCAATCATTATGTAACTCTGTTAAAGTAAGCCCAGAACTTTGGGAGACCGAGGTGGATGGATCAGGAGGTCAGGAGTTCAAGACCAGCCTGGCCAATGTGATGAAACCCCATCTCTACCAAAAATATAAAAAATTAGTCAGGTGTGGTGGCACACACCTGTGGTCCTGGCTACTCAGGAGGCTGAGGCAGGATAATTGCTTTAATCCAGGAGGCAGAGGTTGCAGTGAGCTATCGTGCCACTGCACTCCATCCTGGGCAACAGAGACAGACTCCATCTCAAAAAACAAAAACGAAAAAAAAAAAAAAAGGAAAAACAACACCTCACCAAGGAGTCAGGACATGAAGTTCATACAAGTACTTGGTGAACTTGGGCAATATTGAAAATTTAGGAGGTAGCCACCCAGAAGCTTGTATACTCTGGCAAGGACACTCAGATGCAGTCTGAGGTCCACATGTCTTTGGTTTGCTTTGGTACTGGGCCCTGTTTGTTGTCTGGCAGAAAGCCCAGGGCACCACACAGTGGGACTCTCTCCTCCATCTCTACATTCCTTCACAGCTGAAATGACCCAAAATGAACCAAAAATAGATTGTATATTAGGGGTCTCCAGTGAAATTGAACCAGCAGGGTGCATATAGCTTTACAGAAAGAAATTTATTATAAGGAATTGGCTCACCCGATTATGGAGACTGACAAGTCCCATGAGCTGCAGGGTGAGTCAGCAGGCTAGAGACCCAGGAGAGCTGGTGGTGTGGTTCCAGTCTGAAGGCGAGCAGGCCCAAGATCTAGGAAGAACCAATGTTTCAATTCAAGTCCAAAGAAGGAAATAAAACCAATGTCCCACTTTGAAGGTGGTCAGGCAAGAAAGTTTCCAAAAGCAGTCATCTGAAGAGTTTTTAGAGAAGCCTCTGGGAGGCCAGACATTTTGTTTTATTTAGGCCTTCAAAGACTTAAATGAGCCCACCCACATGGGGGAGTGCCATGTGCTTTGCTTTATTCAGCCTACCAATGTAAACATTAATCCCATCCAAAAGCACCCTCACTGAGACACCCAGAATAAGGTTTGACCAAATATCTGGGTACTACATGGCCCAGTCAAGTTGGCACATGAAACCAACCATCAGGATTTTGGGATCATGGCAGATGGGAGGCAGGACTAGATTGCAGCTCCAGACAGAGCAGCATGGGGAGGCTTCCACTGTGAATTTTAGCTTCAGATCAACAGCAAGAAAAAACCAGCAATCCTGAGAGGACCCACAGACCCTCTGAAGGAAGAAGACTGCTTCTGCCGGACCCAGGAGACACCCCAAATACTCTAAGAGGCAGACAGCCTTGGGCAAGTTTTCAAGCCCATCTCACCCTTGGCCTGGAAACAGACTCAGGGCTGTTGCAGGTGACACAGTGGGAGTGAGAATGGCTCTTTGGTTTGCTGGGAGGTGGGTGAGACCTGTGACTGCTGCCTTTCCCCCACTTCCCTGACAACCTGTATGACTCAGCAGAGGCAGCCATAATCCTCCTAGGTACACAACTGCAGTGACCTGGGAATCTCACCCCCACCCCCCACAGCAGCCACAGCAAGACCTGCCCAAGGAGAGTCTGAGCTCAGACACATCTAGCCCCGCCTGATGGGCCTTCTCTATCCACCTTGGTAGCAGAAGACAAAGGGCATATAATCTTGGGAGTTCTAGGGCTCCACCCACTGCCAGTCCCTCTCCATACTACTACAGCTGATGCTTTCTGGAAAGTGCCACCTCCTGGCAGGAGAAAAACCAGCACAAAAATAGAGCATGAAACCACCATAGGTCAGGACCCTCATGGAGTCCATTGCACCCTCCGCCACCTCCACTGGAATAGGAACTGGTATCCATGGCTGAGAGGATCACATCACAGGACTCTGTGCAGACAACCCCCAGTACCAGACCAGAGCTGGGTAGACTTGCTGGGTGGCTAGACCCAAAAGAGAGACAGCAATCACCTCAGTTTGGCTTACAAGAAGCCACATCCATAGGAAAAGAGGGAGAGTACTACATCTAGGGAACACCCCATGGGACCAAACAATCTAAACAATAGCCTTCAGCCCTAGACCTTCCCTCTGACAAAGGGAATGAGAAGGAACCAGAAAACCAATCATGGTAATATGACAAAACAAGGCTCTTCAACACCCCCCCAAAATCACACTAATTTGCCAGCAATGAATCCAAATCCAGAAGAAATCCCTGATTTACCTGTAAAATAATTCAGGAGTTTAGTTACTAAGCTAACCAAGGAGGGACCAGAGAAAGGCAAAGCCGAATGCAAGGAAATCCAAAAAATGATACAAGAAGTGAAGGGAGAAATATTCAAGGAAATAGATAGCTTAAAGAAAACACCAGAAAAAATTCAGGAAACTTTGGACACACTTTTAGAAATGCAAAATGCTCTGGAAACTCTCAGCAATAGAATTGAACAAGTAGAAGAAAGAAATTCAGAGCTCAAAGACAAAGTCTTCAAATTAACCCAATCCAACAAAGACAACAACAACAAAAAAAGAATAAGAAAATAAGAACAAAGCCTCCAAGGAGTCTAGGATTATGTTAAATGACCAAATCTAAGAATAGTTAGTGTTCCTGAGGAAGAAGAGAATTCTAAAAGCCTGGAAGAGATATTCAGGGGAATAATTGAGGAAAACTTCCCAGGCCTTGCTAGAGACCTAGACATGCAAATACAAGAAGCACAAAGAACACGCGGGAAATTCATCGTGAAAAGATCTTCACCTAGGCACATTGTCATCAGGTTATCCAAAGTTAAGATGAAGGAAAGAATCTTAAGAGCTGTGAGACAGAAGCACCAGGTAACCTATAAAGGAAAATCTATCAGATTAACAGCAGATTTCTCAGCAGAAACCCTACAAGCTAGAAGGGATTGGGGCCCTATCTTTAGCTTCCTCAAACAAAACAATTATCAGCCAAGAATTTTGTATCTAGCAAAATTAAGAATCACACATGAAGGAATGAAACAGTTGTTTTCAGACAAACAAATGCTGAGAGAATTTGCCATTACCAAGCCACCACTACAAGGACTGTTCTAAAAGGAGCTCTAAATCTTGAAATAAATCCTGAAAACACAACAAAACAGAACCTTTTTAAAGTATAAATCACACAGGACCTATAAAACAATAATACAAGTTAAAAGCAAAAACAAACAAACAAAAATACACAGGCAACAAAGAGCATGATGAATGCAATGGTACCTCACATTTCAACACTAACATTGAATGTAAATGGTCTAAATGCTCCATTTAAAAGATACAGAACTGCAGAATGGATAAGAACTCACCAACCAACTATCTGCTGCCTTCAGGAGACTCACCTAACATATAAGGACTCACATAAACTTAAAGTAAAGGGGTGGAAAAAGGCATTTCATGCAAATGGACACCAAAAGCAAGCAGAGGTAGCTATTCTTATGTCAGACAAAACAAACTTTAAAGTGACAGCAGTTAAAAGAGACAAAGAGGGATATTATATAATGGTAAAAGGACTCGTTCAACAGGAAAATATCACAATCCTAAACATATATGCACCTAACACTGGAGCCCCCAAATTTATAAAACAATTACTAATAGACCTAGGAAATGAGATAGACAGCAACACAATAATAGCGGGGAATTTCAATACTCTACTGACAGCACTGGACAGGTCATCAAGACAGAAAGTCAACAAAGAAACAATGGATTTAAACTACACCTTGGAACAAATGGACAGATATATACAGAACATTTCATCCAACAACTGCAGAATACACATTCTATTCAACAGCATGTGGAACTTTCTCCAAGATAGACCATGTGATAGGCCATAATACGAGCCTCAATAAATTTAAGAAAATTGAAATCATATCAAGCATTTTCTCAGACCACAGTGTAATAAAACTGGAAATCAACACCAAAAGGAGCCTTCAAAACCACACATATATATGAAAACTAAATAACCTGCTCCTGAATGAGAACTGGGTCAAAAATGAAATCAAGATGGAAATTAAAAACTTCTTCAAACTGAATGACAGTAATGGCACAACCTATCAAAACCTATGGGATACAGCTAAGGTGGTGCTAAGAGGAAAGTTCATTTCCCTAAATGCCTACATCAAAAAGTCTGAAACAGCACAAACAGACAATCTAAGGTCACGCCTCAAAGAACTAGAGAAACAAGAAGAAACCAAACCAAACCCAGCAGAAGAAAGGAAATAACCAAGATCAAAGCAGAACTAAATGAAGTTGAAACAAAAAAAAATACAAAAGATAAATGAAACAAAAAACTGGTTCTTTGAAAAGATAAATAAAACTGATAGACCATTAGCAAGATTAACCAAGAAGAGAAGAGAGAAAATCCAAATAACCTCACTAAGAAATGAAACGAGAGATATTACAACTGACACCACTGAAATACAAAAGAACACTCAAGGCTACTATGAACACCTTTATGCACATAAACTAGAAAACCTAGAAGAGATGGATAAATTCCTGAAGAAATACAATCCTCCTAGCTTGAATCAGGAAGAAGTAGATACCCTGAACAGACCAATAACAAGCAGTGAGATTGAAATGGTAATTTAAAAATTCCCAGCCGGGCACAGTGGCTCATGCTTGTAATCCCAGCTACTCGGGAGGCTGAGGCAGGAGAATTGCTTGAACCCAGAAGTCAGAGATTGCAGTGAGCTGACATCGTGCCACTGCACTTCAGCCTGGGCAACAGAGTGAGACTCTTTCTCAAATAATAATAATAATAACACTAACAAAAAAAGTCCAGGACCAGATTCACAGTAGAATTCTACCAGACATTCAAAGAAGAATTGGTCCCAATCCTTTTAACACTATTCCACATAATAGACAAAGAAGGAACCCTCCCTAATTCATTATATGAAGCCAAAACCAGAAAACCAAAACCAGAAAAGGACACAACCAAAAAAGAAAACTACAGACTGATACCCTTGATGAACATAAATGCTAAAATCCTTAACAAAATACTAACTAACAGACTCCAACAACATATCAAAAAGATAATCCACCATGATCAGTGGGCTTCATACCACAGATGAGGGATGGTTTAACAAATGCAAGTCAATAAATATGATATACCACATAAACAGAATTAAAAACAAAAATCACATGATCATCTCAATAGATGCAGAAAAAGTATTCAACAAAATCCAGTATCGCTTTATGATTAAAACCCTCAGCAAAATAAGCATACAAGGGTCATACTTTAATGTAATAAAAGCCATCTATGACAAACCCACAGCCAACATAATAGTGAATGGGGAAAAGTTGAAAGCATTCCCTCTGAGAACAGGAACAAGACAAGTATGCCCACTCTCACCACTCCTCTTCAAGATAGTACTGGAAGTACTAGCCAGAGCAATCAGACAAGAGAAAGAAATAAAGGGCATCCAAATCGGTAAAGAAGAAGTCAAATTTTCACTGTTTGCTGACAATATGATCATTTAACTTCAAAACCCTAAGGACTCCTCCAGAAAGCTCCTATAACTGATAAAAGAATTCAGCACAGTTTCCAGATACAAGATGAATATACACAAATCTATACACTAACAGCAACCAAGCAGAGAATCAAATCAAGAACTCAACCCCTTTTACAATAGCTGCAATAAAATAAAATAAAATAAAATACTTAGAAGTATACCTAACAAAGGAGTCAAAAGACTTTCTACAAAGAAAACTACAAACAATGCTGAAAGAAATCATAGATGACACAAACAAATGAAAACACATCCCATGCTCATAGATGGGTAGAATCAATATTGTGAAAATGACCATACTGCCAAAAGCAATCTACAAATTCAATGCAATCCTCGTTGAAATACCACCATCATTCTTCACAGAACTAGAAAAAAACAACTCTAAAATTCCTATGGAACAAAAAAGAGTCCACACAGCCATAGCAAGACTAAGCAAAAAGAACAAACATGGAGGCATCACACTACCTGATTTCAAACTATACCATAAGGCCATAGTCACCAAAACAGCATAGTACTTGTATAAAAATAGGCACATAGACCAATGGAACAGAATAGATAACCCAGAAATAAACTGAAATACTTATAGCCAACTGATTTTTGACGAAGCAAACAAAAACATAAGGTGGGGAAAGGACACCCTTTTCAACAAATGGTGCTGGGATAATTGGCTAGCCACATGTAGGAAAATAAAACTGGATCCTCATCTCTCAACTTATACAAAAATCAGCTCAATATGGATTAAGGACTTAAAACTAAGACCTGAAATTATAAAAATTCTAGAAGTTAACATTGGAAAAACCCATCTAGACATTGGCTTAGGCAAAGATTTCATGACCAAGAACCCAAAAGCAAATGCAATAAAAACAAAGATCAATAGCTGGGACCTAATTAAACTAAAGAGCCTTTGCACAGCAAAAGGAACAGTCAGCGGCATAAACAGACAACCCACAGAGTGGGAGAAAATCTTCACAATCTATACATCGGACCAAGGACTAATATTCAGAATCTACAATGAACTCGAACAAATGAGTAAGAAAAAAAACAAACAATACCAACAAAAAGCGGGCTAAGGACATGAATATACAATTCTCAAAAGAAGATATACAAATGGTCAACAAACATATGAAAAAATGCTCAACATCACTAATTATCAGGGAAATGCAGATCAAAACCACAAATGCAATACCACCTCACTCCTGCAAGAATGGCCATAATCAAAAAATCAAAAAATAGTAAATGTTGGAATGGATGCAGTGAACAGGGGACACTTCTACACTGCTGGTGGGAATGCAAACTAGTACAGGCACTATGGAAAACAGTGTGGAGATTCCTTAAAGAATTAAAAGTGGAACTACCATTTGATCCAGCAATCCCACTATTGGATATCTACCCAGAGGAAAAGAAGTCATTATTTGAAAAAGATACTTGCACATGCATGTTTATAGCATCACAATTCACAATTGCAAAATCATGGAACCAACCCAAATGCCCATCAATCAACGAGTGGATAAAGAAACTGTGGTATATATACATACATATATATATACACACACACACATATACATATATACACATATACGTATATATATATATACGATGGACTGCTACACAGCCATAAAACAGGAACTAACAGCATTTGCAGTGACCTAGATGAGATTGGAAACTATTATTTTAAGTGAAGTAGCTCAGGAATGGAAAACCAAACATCATATGTTCTCACTGATAGTGGGAGCTAAGCTGTAAGGATGCAAAGGCATAAGAATGATACCATGGACTTTGGGGCCTTGTGGGGAAGAGTGGGAGAGGGGTGAGGGATAAAAGACTACAAATAGGGTGCAGTGTATACTGCTCAGGTGATGGGCACACCAAAATCTCACAAATCACCACTAAAGAACTTACTCATGTAACCAAATACCACCTGTACTCCAATAACTTATGGAAACATAAAATAAAATAATAAAAATATTTTTAAAATAAAAATAAAAAATAGATAAAATAAAATAAACTTCAAGAAAAATTCTATCACTTTCTAACTGTTCCTCCCTGAATGTAGTATGAAAATAAATGTCAAATTAAAAAAAATCACTCGTTGTTTGGGCAATGCAAGCTGTCATGCACAAAAGGGGACTGAAGGCTGCTTGTCTTTGCTTAGGCCTCAAAGCTGTCCTTGATGACAATGGGTACCCATTCTTCTTTTCAGTCATCACTAAGGCAATGTGGGTGTGAGAAACCTGAACACATCATTCACGTCCTGCCGATGCACAGGTGCTTCTGGATCTGCCCACACCACACACTTTTCCATGGCCTTCAAACCCGTCCATATGGTAAGTGCTTCTGATGCAGGAGGACCTTGCATATACTATCTCATTCAATCTCATAACAGCACATGCCTTATGGGTTTTCCTGTTTTCAGTTTATAGATGAGAAAACTAAAGGCTTCAATACATTGCATGAGTGAGCCAGAATTACGGAGTCTGGAGTCCAAGTTCCTGTAGGACCTGCGAGTGCTCCTGGGCAGTTATGTAAGCAGGCTCAGCCCCGTCTGTGTGGCCAGCTGAGTGCCACACCTGGATGAAGAGGCTGCAGGGCATGCTTCGGCACCAAAGGAATGCCCGCGTGACCCTCGGCTTCTCAGCTTCATGCCCCAATGCACATTGTGCCAACAACATGGCAGCTGGCAGACTTCCTCCTGGAGTGTCTCCTGAGGGTGTCTGAGCAAAATCCTGAGGCGTCTTGCAAATGGTGAGCCTGGTGTGACACCTCCAGCTGCCTGGGCATCCGAAGATGTTTCAGAGCAGCTAGACCAGCTTGACAAGAATCCTTAAAAAGCTCTTGCACTTGACCCCTAGGGCACTCATTGAAGGAGGCTTTTTCAATGATGGATGACACAGACATTCCTCCCAAAAAACTGACTCACGTGGGGACATACTGCTCCCTGGCAAGCCCGTGCATCACTGCAGCATCGCACATTACACTTGAGGACGCCATTAAAATGGCTGAGTCCAAGCCTGTGGGAGGCACTGTACCACGCCTCCTCATCCTCCTCACCTCAGATCTTGAGCTTGCCTTTGTGAGTCTCTGGAAGAGACATTCACACCCTCCCCAGCTGGTCTACCACACCTTGTGGGAAGCTTCCCAGCTCCTTGTGGGAAGACAAGGTTCAGCGCTGCCTCTGACAATATGCAAGGCCCAATGTGTGCAGGTCTGGGTCAGCCCTCGTAAGGCTGGCAGTCTTACCAGTGATGTGTCTTTGTTGATAGCTCTGTAGACATTTTTTGTCTCCATTCACGTAGTCAATGCAGTATCATAACAACATGAAGATGGTTCTGAATTACAGCACATAGAGTCAGAATGCAGAAAACAAAGAGTTTCACATTGGGAGGTCCACAGAATATAGACAGGAGATAAGAACGCTGTTTCCCAAGGCATCTCTCCTGGTCCCAGTGGCTCCTCTTGCCACAATTCCTGCCTCCACGAAGTGGTGAGTCCCATTTCTAAAAATTAGAGTCTCCTTGAAAGTCATAGATGAGTGAACCACGACTGCATGACCCAAAGGAAGAAGACTCAGGTTCTGTTATGGAATTCCAAAAGAAACTTGGGCAAGTCACTGCATTCTTAAAATAAGAGTCTGAACTCAAGGTTGACAACTTCAAAGACAGCAACACTTACTAAGTATCAGATATGATTGGGGGATCATTATTTACTCATAGTTGATGAGACAGCAGAGAAGAGAGATGAGTCCAGGTGGCCTCTGGAGGAAAGGGAAGGATGGGGCCATGGGAGGGGCCTTCTTGGTGCTGGATACAGGCCTCAAGGGCTGACCTGGCAGTGGAGCAGCTCCTGGATGGGGAGATGCTGGCACAGAGCTTCAGGCAAGGCTCAGGGGCTGCAGCCCATGCTTGGGAGACAGACTTGGCTCATGATCCTGCAGCTAAGGGCTCACACCCGTGGCAGGAGCCCTAAGTTCAGCTCTGCAGCTGGGCTTCCCAGTAATTGCTCATGCCCAGCCTGATGGAATATGCTACCATTCACCAGCTTCCAGAGTACATTGTTTCACAGAGGGCTTGTTTGTTTCTTGACCAAGAGCCATGGTGGGGGAATGGGGTCAACCTTTTTTCACATGACCTGCATAGAAGGCCATAGCCACTCCACTTGGTGAGGGCTGGGTGAGGAAGGCCATAGCTTGGACATTGAGGGGATCCTTTACACACATACCAGGAAAGTAGGCAGGGATTTTAACCTGCACCTGTTGTTCTATGTGCTTTTTAGAAGCTACAATCAATACCTTGACGGTACAAGTGTTCTCTATTATTAGCTAAAATAAAAGAGTGATGCATCTGTGGAGCTCTGTTTCTACAAGGCATCCCTCCTGGTTCCTGTGTTGGGGAAGAAATGGCTATGCTTGGAAAGCCATGTAGAGGATTGACTCACATGACTCAGATGTGTGAGAAGCGTGTTTCCTCGCATGGGTGTGCCCAATCAAGCTCACCTTGTTTGGTGTCTCCTCTACCCTCGTGATAGAGAGATAGAAGCAAGTGTCCCCAGAAGAGCCCAGGGAATGGCGAGCACATCCAGCTTCTCTGCTTATCACTCCATGGTTCTCTCAGAGCCTCAGTTGCCTTGTCTGGAAAATGGAGGTAAACAGTAACACCTACCATAAATGGGGTTGTCATGAGGACTCTGAACAGGGACTGTCACACAGCACACACTCAGTAAGTATCAGCACTGTTATTGATTAAAGCGGAGCTTATCCGTTTGATTCGAATCACTTTTTCAGCTAAATAGCCCTTTGGGTAAGACAAGTGCAAAGTTGAATTGCTCAGCGTCATTCCTCACCTCCCTCCTGCCTGCCCAGGTGGAGTGGGAGTCTGCACACCCTCAGGGAGATTGCTCTGTGTCTGGGCTCTGGGGCAGAACAGGTTCCATTGAGTGGTGTTTGGTCTTTTCCTCAAGCTCCTGGTGCTGTGTCAGCCAAAACAAGGCTCATTTTTCCTTTTGGACTTCCTGCCAGCCCCTGATGCTGAAGCCCAAGGTCTGACATTTCTTTCTCCACTCACTGACCTCCTCACACTCTATGGCCTCCACATCCCAACCTCAAGCCTCTGACCATCCAGTGGTTTCTTCATTAGCTCACGCCTCCTGTCCAGGGCATTTGGGACCCCTGGGTCACCTGTACTCAACAGGTGTGCCTTCAAGTGACCAGTTGGCTACCTCAGGTCCATCTTTCTAGACACCTCCTTTGCTCCTGCTGATCAGCCAGCCGGGGCATGGTGGGAGGGGCAGGCAAGCTATCCCTCAGCCCACCTGGGCTTCTAGAAAGAGTTTTCCTTATAACCCATTTTTGCCCAGATGTAGAAGGATAGGGTGCTAGGTCACTTATTAAAGATTCAGGGAAGTCTCCAATTTTCTCTCTCTTCCTTCCATGCGTTAAGGGGACATCCCATTCTGGTCTGATGGCAACCTTTCCTATATCATATTTCTTACTTCCTTACCCCTAAGCATATCTCTGTCTGCTGTCCCTTCTCTTCTGGGTAATAAACATGATTCTCTTGATCATAATGACAGATGGGATGCAGGGTTAGGTAAATACTGATTGCCTGGCAAAGAAAATATATCAGGAAATATAAAATTATGGTTCCCATTAATATAATGAATAATCAGAGGATGGAATCATGGTTCATTATTATAAAGATGTCAACCCTACACTATTGTTAATCTATTACAATCATTTAATAATAGAAAATATTTTCATTGGGAAGACAGAAAGAACTATTTTGAGTGGAAATATATAAAGAATCCTTAATTTCTTCCACAGACTAGATCAGAAGCCTCTAAATGTAGAATCTCCTGCTCTTTCTAGTTGATTTGTCTGTGTCAGGACTTGACATGTCAAAAAGCATATCAATTTGAAATTCCAAATGAAGAAGATATGTCCAAACATTCCTTCTATTTAATATCTGGATTGGCTTCGAAATCAAAGTTGATATTGAGTGAGCAGAGCCATGTCTTTGGAAAGGGCAAGTAGACAAACTTTGATTTCTTCAATGTGTTAGGGGCTTTTGTTTTAAAGTAGGGTACAGAAAGAGGAACATTCAACATTGAATATAAATATGGGCACCATCGATGCTGACACCTGGTACAACACTGTCCAAATCTGAATCACAGGTGGTGAAGACAGCTGCTCAAGTCTGCAAAACTCCTGAATTTGGATTTCTTAATTCAGAACTTGGAAATAATCTAGGTTCCACTTGTTACAGAGTTTGAGTTGGTACACTATACAAAGGGTTTATCATACAAATTAATGCCAAATCCAGCGCTGTGTAAATAATATTTAGCCTTTGTGAATCAAAGTGCTTAAGCATTTAAAATAATATGTAAAGAAATGAAATCATGTGCCCAATAAAAGTAACGCTAATGTATATATTAAAGCAGATCCCATGGAGAGAAGTCTGTTTTAATCAGGTCAGATATCTCTAAAGACCCATATTTTTTTCATGTTAATAATTGAATTCAAGCAACAGGTTGTTTTGAAAATTACTAGTCGTTAACCAATTAACAAGTAAAATTCAAAATATAATAAAAGGACGTGAAGAAAGTTGTGTTCCAAATTTTACCAGAAAAAAAATATTATCTTGATGGTGCAATGAATGTCAGTGGAGAATGAAATGTCAGAGACCTTGGGTTTCAGCATCAGGGGCCAGGCAGGAAGCCCAAAAGGAAAAACGAGCCTTGTTTTGGCTGACACAGCACCAGAAGGGAAAAAAATGCTTTGTTTTAAGCTTTTCTTCTTAGAAAATTAAATTATTTTATTTGTTTTTCTATAATGAAAGGATGTAACTCCTGAGTGTACCAATTCGTTAAATCACTCTGCACTCTGCACGTGATTCTGCAGTGAGGGTTCTGTTTACTAAATTAATCAGGAATTCTGATTCCAATATTTTGGAAATGGAAACTCTTAAAAATAGTGTTTATAGTCTTTGTACAAGATACAAGAAGCAACTGCCTGAAATCTCTGGGGAAATAAGAAGACAAATAACCTATTTTTTAAAAAAAAATAGGCAATAGATTTGAACAGATCCTTAAAAGCAGACATGTGATGGCCAATAAGCTCACGAAAAGATGCTTGAGATTGTCAGTCACCAGAGAAATGCAAATCAAAATCACAATGAGACACCATTCCATGCCCACCGGGATGAAGAAAGGAGAAAGATTGCTCATACCAAGTATTGGCAGAGATGTGAGTCAAATGGAATGGTGCAACCACTTTGGAAACTGGCAGTTTGTTTAAACATATAGTTAAATATAAACAAATATATAACCCAGATGTTATGTTATTAAGTATTTATCCATGAAAAATGTCCACACTGAGAGGTATACATGAATGTTCATGGTGGCATTATTCATAATATCCTAAAACTGGGGACCAGTCAAATGTCCACCAGCAGATAAACGAATAAACAAAATGAAAGTGGAACTTCCATATGATGAGTAATACTCAACATAAAAGGGAATGATTACTGATATGCAAAAATACAGATGAATCTCAAAATCACTATGCTGAGTGAAAGTAGTCAGGCACAAAAGGTCACATATTACATGCTTTCATTTATATAAAACTCTAGGAAAGAGATTTTTAGTGACCAAAAGCAAATCAGGGGTTGCTTGGGCCCAGAAGCAGAGGGAGGGAGGGACTACAAAGAGGTACAAAGAAAAAAAAAGGGCAGGGTGTCATATGTGAATTCTACATCCCTCAATAAAGCTGATTTTCTTTTTTTTTTTTTTTTTTTTGTTTTTAGGAGACTGAGTCTTGCTCTGTCGCCCAGGCTGGGGTGCAGTGGCACAATCTCAGCTCACTGCAACCTCTGCCTCCCAGGTTCAAATGATTCTCCTGCCTCAGCCTCCCGAGTAGCTGGGACTACAGGCGTGCACCACCACACCCGACTAATTTTTGTATTTTTAGTAGAGATGGGGTTTCACTATGTTGGCCAGGCTGGTCTCGAACTCCTGACCTCATGATCAGCCCACCTCAGCCTCCCAAAGTGCTGGGATTACAGGCATGAGCCACCGCGCCCAGCCAATAAAGTTGATTTTTAAAAAATGTTTCAGGCTCCTGCTTAACCCACAAACTTTAAAACATTAGGAGATCTGTTACTTTTTAGGTGAAATTGGAGAACACAGCCTTCTCTGGAGTCATTGGTATTTGAGGACTTGAAACAGGGAGTACTCATTTTCAGGGCACTTTCAAGATTGTAGAATATTTTGCACAGTATTTCCCTGAGGCAAACAAGATTTCAGTCTGTGAATAGGTTTCAGTGTTTGCTTTGGTTCTTTTCAACACAAGTTTACTCTAAAAAGTAAAGCTCTTTTCCCCCAAAAGTGAATAGTGCCATGACACATTACACTCTCCAAGGAGACTGGTCCTTTCGGCAGACACTCTTTGGAGAGCCACAGTCTCTTAGTCATAGTGACAACTTCTCCCATCCTCAATAATGGCCCTGCACTTATGTGCAGAGACGCCAGGTGGCCATCAGTAACACATGAACTTCCAGTTTCTCCTGCCCAGGAAAGATAATCATATTTACAGGGGTGATCCTTCACATATTCTAAAGCCACTCCTTTGCTGTGACTGCCTGATACTGTGGTATGTGGCTGAGCCACCGAGTGAGTGTAATTGGCTTAGCACGGTGCCAACAGAGCCAAGGTCACAGGCGGGTCAAGGTCAGGCGAGGGGAGGAGATGGGGAGATGGCCGCAGCACAATTTGACCCCTTTCACTGTTCATGTGTCAGCGCTGAAAGCAAACAGCAAATTAATTCCTCAAGTACTTGTATTGTCTAATTAGAAAGAAAATAGCAGTTTTGGGGGCCATAACTTCTGCCTAATTCCAAAGTTCTCAAGTCACTCATGAAGTGATAGTGGCAATGCATATTTATCCATGTTGCCCACGTTTGAACGTATGTTAAAGAATGAAAATCATAACTGTCATCCCCCAAAAGCTTTGAGAAACAGAAAACTCTTCATCCTTGAACCTGCCATCCTGAATGGTCCCTCTTTCTCTTCTGGAATGTAAGAGACTCCCTGCCTCTCGGGCTCTCCAGGGAAAACTGTGTGAGCCTGGAGTCCCTGATCACTGCACCGATCAGACTCCCCTTCCTCGGCAGCTCCTGGTCCTCCTGAGAAGCGCATTTGCATGGCCAGGACAAGGAGAATGAAGCAGGGCCGGTGGGGCTCTCTGCTCCCTCGGGACTAGCAGTGAGAATGCACACCCCGCAAGCACAAGGGTCCTCAGGTGCATGATGCAGCTGGACAGACCCCTCCTGGCAACAGCGTGAGTGCTTCATGAAGATCCGCCCCGGGGCAGGAGCCCAAGAGCCAAGAGCTGCCCAGATGAGGCTGTGACCATGCCAGGAGAACGACCTCTCATAGGTGCTCCATCTCAACAGTGTTTCTAATCAAAACATGAAAAAGGATTATAGATTGGGGAAGAAGAGTAATTCCAGACACACCGGCTCTGCTTTCCCCTCTCCCACAGGAAACTGGGATTTGCCAGTGTATGTCCTCTCTCTCTTTCTCTCTCTCACTCTCTCTCTCTGTCACTCTTTCTCTCCTTTGCTTTTCTGCTTTCTGTCTCTTTCTCTCTGTCTCTGTCTTTCTCTCACTCTCTCACTTTGTCTCTCTGTGTCTCTCTCTCTGTCTCTCATTCTGCCTCGCTGCTCTGTCTCTGTCTCTTTCTGCCTCTCTCCCTCCCTTTCTTCTTCTTTCTTCTTTCTTCCTTCTTCTTCCTTCTTCTTCTTCCTCTTCTTCTTCTTTCTTCTTCCTCTTTCTCTCTCTCTCTCTCTCTCTATCTCTCTCCCCCTCTCTCTCTCTTTGTTTCACTCTCCCACTCTCTGTCTCTTGAATCTTGGTGACTGCCTTAGATGGGGTGGGGTGGAATGCAGTAGAAGCGATGCTGTGTGGCCTCCAGAGCTGGATCACAGCAGGAGACACTCAAGTCAGCCTGGTCCTCTCGGTTCTCTCTCTCTCTCTCTCTCTCTCTCTCTCTCTCTCTCTCTCTCTCTCTCCCCACACCGCTATCTGCTTTTGACTCTTTCTCAGTGTCTTCCTCTCCCTCTCTCTCCATCTGCCTCTCTCTCTTCCTCTCTTCTTCCCTTCTTTCTTCTCTCTGCCTCTCTCTTTGACTCTTTCTCTCTCTCCTTCCCTCTCTGTCTCTTTCTTTTTCTCTCTCTCCCTCTCTCTTTCTCCTTGACTCTTCTATGTCACTCCCTCCCTCCCTTTATTTCTCCCTCTCTTCTTTATTTCTGTCTCTCTTTCTCTCTGTCTTCTCTCTGGGAACTGTAGGTTCCATTTAGACATGGACAGCTCAGATAAGGGGGTGTGGAAGAAAGTAATGAAAGGTCACAGAGGACTTGGAGCAGAACCAGCTTTGAAAGACCAAATTCCAGGCCTGAGAATGTCGCATTGTATTAGTGCAAGGTTGGTAACAAGAAATTAGCGCTGAAGGTTGAAAGAGTGGATGGGGGGAGATGGAGAAAAGGAAAATGCACATAGATGGTTTTCATACTTTTAACTTCTTTGCTTGACTTAAACATATTGTTTCCCTAAAGAGGAGTGCCCCCTTCCCTCAAAAAATAAAAGAAGTTTAGTGTTGGGCAGTCCCTTATTTTTGTGTGGCCTTGAGTGTGTGGACAGGATGAAAGTGCAGCTTTAATGACAAGGACTGGCCCTGGAATGCTGACAGGAATAATGACTGAGCAGCAACTTAGTTTTCCACATCAGAGCAGGATTTATATTCCATTCACCAACCCTCAGAGGAATTTCCCCTGTCTCTGATTTGGCCTTGTGAATTTTCCGGCTCATAATATCTCTAAGCAGAAGCAAATGTCTGGAGGGGGGAAGCCTGGTTGACAAAGAGAAGCAGCTCTTTGTCTCTCACTGCAGTTTTAAAAAACCCCACAGATTCCTAGTTTCATGGGCACGACTGCATTTTCATCAAAACCAGGGGCTGGGAACAGGGTGGGCGTTGAGTAGCTGGGTTCTTCCTTCAAAGAAGGTCCATTTAGGGACTTGGCTATGGCCGGGCAGTGGGGGACAAAACAGGCCTCACAAAAGTCCTTCCTGGGAGGAGAGACCAGAGATGAGCTAAGCTCAGTTCCTTGTTTCCTCTGGAACATTCCTCTGGAATGGCGACAGGGTGCTGCTTGAGGGGCAACTCACAGCTGGGCAGTGTGACCCTTGCCGTCCATGCCAGCGAAGCAATAACCTCTTCAGATGTCCCCAGCCAGTGCCCCGAGGATCCCATGCTGCAGCGGACACAGCGCTGGGCTGCAGGGGAGGGCTTGGTTCCCAGTGGCCTCACCCCCTAGAGGCCATCAGCATCGCACAGCTTCTCCACTTGGGGGTGACCACTGAGATCTGTGACTCCACCTGAAGGTAGAGAAATACATTTTTAAAATGACAAAATAGGCCAGGCAAGGTGGCTTACACCTGTAATGCCAGCACTTTCGGAAGCCAACTTGGGTGGATCACCTGAGGTCAGGAGTTTGAGACCACCCTGGCCAACATGGCGAAACACTGTCTCTACCAAAAATACAAAAATTATCCAGGCATAGTGGTGGGCACCTGTAACCCCAGCTACTCGGGCGGCTGAACAGGAGAATCGCTTGAACCTGGGAGGCGGAGGTTGCAGTGAGCCAAGATCACACCACTGCACTCTAGCCTGGGCAGCAGAGCAAGATTCCATCTCCAAAAATAAATGAATAAAATACGAATGACAAAATATCTATATTTAATTCATCATTATGATGATCGAACACTCATTAGTAGCTCCTGCTATGGATCATGCTCTTTGAAGGCAAAAAGTACAAAATATGGTCCCTGCCTCAAACTGCTTATGTGTGTTTGGAGAGGGGCTACGCACATTTAAAAAGGATGAAACAAATGGTAGCATCTTAGGGTTGCTCAACTCAAGTTATTCTTATTAGATGTGTATATACATATATACCTCCCAGTTTTGCATATATAAATAACATCTCACACTGGAAGTGAAGTGAGAGATTGGAAAGTCTTTCCCCAAGTCTTTCCCTAACTCTTTAAATAAGTTATTTGACAATATGAACTTTACTGGATTCTAAAATTCTGAATTCAGAAACACATGGACCTCTGGAAAAACTGAATTGGTCATCAGTAAAAATATGTTCCTGCCCTTGGGGAAACACTGAGGAAAATGAACCTTCGCTGGTACAAAAGGACAGGTGACCCTCTGGCTTCCAGCTGCTGTGCTGACCCAACAGCACAAGAGGAGCCACGGAGCCCACCCACTAACCAGGGCTGCTGCCTCCCCACGAGGGTTGGAAGCCAGAGCAAGTCCCTCGGGGTGCGACCCATGAGTAGGAAAAAATTATCTCATTCATGTTCTTTTTAACCAATGGATTTTGCATTGTATTGATTTAGGAATTCAACTGGGTTTAGAGGAAGAAGACTTTTTCCTGGATTCTTGAGGGTCTTCTGCCAAACAAAGGTGCTTTTGCACAGAAGGAGGTGCAGGTGCAGGTGGCAGGTGATTTCTCATGGCAGTGGAGATGAATGGCTAGTCAAGCCTCAAGAGATGATGTGTGTCTTTTAATGTCTCTATTTGTTAATACAAACTTAAAAAAACTAAAAAACAGAGTTTCATGCATTTCTGGTACTGAACTGATGGTTATAAGGTATTAAGGGCATAAATATCATACCTAGTCCCATTAGACAAGCAGATAAGGAATTTACCTTTCAGCTTTATCTGACAAGCTCTTTTCCTGGGCTACTCCAGTTGGAATCTTGTCTACATTCCACTCTTTCATCAGTAAAACTCAAACTTTCCTAGAATCTTTGCCAATATTCACTAACTAGAAACCTCTTTCTCTGGCTGCAGATACAATTCCATTAACACAAGATGAGGAAATGGAGGCCGTGGATTCCAGGACTTAAAACAAATGTTGCTTCCGCAATATAAGATTATGGAGCTTGTATTTTCTGTCTAACTTGCATATTAGAAACAAGCCATAACTTTCTAATGTTTCTAATGTTCAGAGACTATTCCCCACTTCAGCTTAATATATGTTACTGAGACCAATTTTAAAAATGTTTAAGCTTATATATTGTGTTTTTTTGTTTTAATTTTATTTTAGTGGGTACACAGTAGGTATATATATTTATCAAGTACATGAAATGTTTTGATACAAGCTTGCAATGCATAATAATCACATCATGGAAAATGGGGTGTCCATCCCCTCAAGTGTCTATTCTTTGTTACAATCCAATTATACTTTTAGTTATTTAAAAATGTATAATTAAATTAGTATTGACTATAGTCACCCTGTTGTGCTAGCAAATTCTAGATCTTATTCATTCTTTTAAACTATTTTTTTGTACATATTAACCAGCCCCACCTACCTTGTTCCCCTCACTACCCTTCCCAGCCTCTGGTAACCATCCTACTCTCTATCTCTGTGAGTTCAATTGTTTTGATTTTTAGACCCCATAAATAAACGAGAACATGTGATGTCTGTCTTTCTTTGCCTGGCTTATTTCACTTAACATAATGACCTCTGGTTCAGTCCACTTTGTTGCAAATGACAGGATCTCATTTTTTATGGCTAAATAGTACTCCATTGTATATATGTACCACATTCTCTTTATCCATTCATCTGTTGATGGACACTCAGCTAGGTTTTCAAATTTTGGCGTTGTGAACAGTGCTGCAACAAACATGCGAGTGCAGATATCTCTTTAATAAATGATTTCCTTTGTTTTGTGTATATATCCTGAGTAATTTTCAAATATTTTCTCCCACTCTGTGGATTGTCTCTTTACTTTGTTGATTGTTCCCTTTGCTGTGCAGAAACTTTTTTACTTGATGTGATCCCATTTGTCCATTTTTGTTTTGGTTGCCTGTGTCTGTAGGGTATTACTCAAGATACTTTTGCCCAGACCAATGTCCTGGAGAGTTTCCCCAATGTTTTCTTGCAGTAGTTTTATAATTTGAGGTCTTAGATTTAAGTCTTTAATCCATTTTGATTTTTTTTATTATGAGAGATGGGGTCTAGTTTCATTCTTCTACATATGGATATTCAGTTTTCCCAGCACTATTTATCAAAGAGACTATCTTTTTCCCAATGTATGTTCTTGGCATCTTTGTTGACAATGAGTTCACTATAGGTGTATGAATTTGTTTCTGGGTTCTCTATTCTCTTCCATTGGTCTATATGTCTGTTCTCATGCTAGTATCATGCTGTTTTGGTTACTATAACTCTGTAGTATAATTTGATTTCAGGTAATGTGATTCCTCCAGTTTTGTTTTGTTTTGTTTTTTGTTTAAGATAGCTCTGACTATTCTGGGTCTTTCGTCATTCCATATAAATTTTAAAATCGTTTTTTCTATTTCTTTGAAAAATGTCATTGGTATTTTGATAGGGATTGCATTGAATTTGTAGATTGCTTTGGGTAGTATGGACATTTTAACAATATTGATTTTTCCAATCCATGAACATGGAATGTCTTTCCTCTGTGTGTGTGTGTGTGTGTGTGTGTGTGTGTCCTCTTCAATTTCTTTCATCAGTGTTTTATAGTTTTCATTATAAATATCTTTTACCTCTTTGATTAAGTTAGTTCCTAGGTATTTAGTTTTATTTGTGGCTATTGTAAATGGGATTACATTTTAAATTTCTTTTTCTGATTGTTCACTGTTGGCATATAGAAATGCTACTGATTTTTATATGTTGGTTTTGTATCCTGCAACTTTACTGAATTTGTTTATTGGTTCTAACAGTGTTTTGTGGTTTTCCAAATGTAACATTGTATCATCTGCAAACAAGAATTTTCCAAATATAAGATTGTATCATCTGCAAACAAAAATAATTTGACTTTTTCCTTTCAAGTTTGGATGCCCTTTATTAATTTCTCTTGTCTGATTGCTCTAGCTAGGGCTTCTAGTACTACGTAAATAACAGTGGTGAAAGTGGGCATCCTTGTAGTGTTCTTGACCTTAGAGAAAGGGTTTTCAGTTTTTTTCTCATTCAGTATGATACTACCTGTAAGTCTGTCATAAATGGTTTTTATTATGTTGAGGTATGTTCATTTTATACCCAGTTTTTTGAGGGTGTTTATCATGAAGGGATGTTGAATTTTATCAGACGCTTTTTCAGCATCTGTTGAAATAATCATATTTTTTATGCCCCCCCACTTAGTCTGCTGGCTCTGGGTCCAGTTCAGCACACCTAGGAGTTGCAGACCTTGTGGCCTAGACTGCCTTTCACATTTATTTACAGCCCTAGAACACTTTAGCCCATAGTGATGAGGCTTGTGGGAATTCAAGTTCAGACGGCTGAGATCAGTGATTCCCTAATGGCTATGGCTGGTTTAAATGCTCTTTGGTGGGCAGGTGTCAGCTGAGTTTGGTCTAGTTTTGTTTTTTTCATATAACAGGGCAACACTGAGTTCAATGTCTCATAATTGCTATGCTCTCCCTCTCCCCAGAGCACAAAGCTGCTCTCTACACCACGCCACCACAACTAAAGGGATGAGGGAGTAGTGGCATTAGTGATTCAAGACTGTTTTTCCTACCTCTTCAGTGCCTTTTTCAGCAATATGTGGTTAAAACCAGGTAATGTGAGTGCTTACCTGATTTTTGGTTCTTATGAAAGTGGTTTTATTGTGTGTGGATAGTTGTTAAATTGATGTTCTTGCTGGGGGTGATGATCAGTGGAGATTTCTTTTCCACCTCTTGCTCTGTCCCCCAATCTGTGTTCCTTTTTAAAAAAATCCCTAAGTTTCTAGAATTGGGTTTAGAGGTTCAAACTCTTGAGCAAATAGCTCCGTTACAGAAATCTACTTTCAATCAAGTAGAGAAATAAACACTCTGCCAGCCTCAATATTTCTTCTGCACACAACACAGTCAATGTACCATTTTCACTCAACAGGGACACTCACGAATTTTCAGGATGTCACAGTCTAGTATATGCTCCCAGTCCTCCAGTATAATTAGCATACTAAGATAATTTAAGCCCATGAATCAGAGTTGTCCAGGAGAAGCAAAAAAAAAAGAGAGAGAGAAAAATTTTAACAGAAGATATTCTTATTAAAGTAACCAAAATTACAGTTGCAACTCCTAGCACATTCTGTATATATAACGGATACACAATAAATATAAATAAAAGCATTAGCAAGCATATGGGCTAATGTTGCCCCTTAGAGCAGAATGGCCACAGGCTGGCCTGAGGCCAATCCTCTCCATGCTAGCTCTATGTGAAGGCTCACAGCCCCACATGTGCTAAATCCTCTTTTTTCCTTTATATCAAAGCTTAGTTTTCAAACCTCTGAACACCTGACCCTCATATATTAAGAATGTGTCAAAAGATCACATTTATTTAACTCATTAAGGAGAAAACTAATACACGAAGCATGGCAAAGCTCTTTCAAAGGAGGATATGAGGATGCATACAAATGCACATGCACACATTCAATGGGAAAAAATGCAACTTTGGGGTAATCATTTCCACCACATAGAAGTCATTTTCATACTCAGTGGCAAAAATTATTGGTAACTTGTGAATTTTGTATTAAGTTAACATCTAACCTTACCAACTCTGGCAGTAAATAATAGGAAACAATAAGCCTACGAGCTACTGTTCACTAGAACATCAAATAATTATTAGGTTGTATTGATAAAGTCTAATTATGACTATCAATATTTTTCCATTCTCCCTTTTTTTTATGAATTTCCTTAATAATCACAGCATACAGAATATATCCAATTCTTAAAGTACTGAAGAAGGTTAATCTTAGAACAAAATAAAATAGCCCATTACCCTTTTGATTTAGAATTAACCATAAATAAAATGATTCTCATACTTAATCTTTCACAAACCTTTTGACTTACTATGCATAAAAAATTAGTATTCCTTTGGATCTAAGAAATTTTTTTAATAAAAACATATTTTTCATACAAGTCTCCCACTATACCTGTTTTCAAAATATGAACAATTAATTAAGGAAATAATTTGCATTTAGCAGATGGTAATAATAGATTATTGTCAGGAACTATTATCTGAATATGGAAGGAAAAGAAGATCTGAATAGAACTCCCTTATTTGATTGGCTTTGTGCTCTGCTAGAAAAATGGGCAAAAATTATGACAGGGTGTGTCAGAAGTCCTGCAGTAAGGGGTCCTAAGGAAAGGACATATCGATCTTAGGTGAGAAGCATTCAGTTTTTCATCATTATGTATGTAAACTGTGTTTTTCATAGATGTCCTTTATGAAGTTAAGGAAATTCTCTTCTCTTTTAGCTTGTTGAGAGATTCTATCCTTAATGGATGTTGTATTTTGTCAAATGCATTTTCTGTGTCTATTGAGGTAATTATATTTAATTAGACTCTGAGATACTTGTCTTTTGAGATACTTGTAGATTCACGTGAAGATGTAAAAAACAATATAGAGAGATTCGGTGTACCCTTAACCTGGTTTCCCCCAATGGTAACATCTTGCAAATTTATAGTATAATATTAAATCAGGACATTGACATTGATAGAATGAAGATACAAAACATTTCCATCAAATAAGGATCCCTCCTGCTGCCTTTTATTAGCCACTCACATTTCCCTCCCATCTATTTTTAAGTTTTCTACTGTTTCATTGATCTATGTGTACATTCCTCTGCTGATAGCATGCACTTTTGGTTATTGTAGCTATGTAATAAGTCTCAGAATTGAGTAGACTGATTCTTTCCATTTTTCTCAAAAGTATTTTAGCTATTTTAGTTATATTGCCTTTCTGTATAAATTTTAGATTATCTTGTCTATATTTATTTAAAAACCTGGCTAGGATTTTGAAAGGAATTTCATTAAATTGGAATATCAATTTGTGGACAACTGACATCCTCATTATATTGAGTCTTCCAATCCATGAACATGGTATGCCTCTCCATTCATTTAGACCTTCTTTGATTTCCTTCATCAACATTCTGCAGCTTCCAGCATATGAGTCCTGTACATGTTAGTTATATTTATATCTAGGTACTTCATTTTCTTTTTGAGCAATTGGAAATCGTATTGTATTTTTAATTTGGGTGTCTATATGTTCATCACTAGTACATAGAAATACAGCTAAATTTTGAGTGCTAAATTTGTATTATAAGACATTATTAAATACACTTAGTTGTAGTTTTTGGAGTTTTTTGTTGTTGTTTTAGATTTTTTGAGATTTTCCACAGAGACAACCATGTTATTTAAAAAGAAATACAGTTTTCTGTCTTCCTTTCTGATCATATGCCTTTTATTTCCTTCCTTTCCTCATTGCACTGGCTAGAAATTCCATGACTATGTTGTATAGTGATGGTGAGAGTGATCATCTTTGCCTTGTTGCCAATCTTAGGGGGAAGCATTCAGTCTTTGGTATAACAGTATACCATTAAGTGTACTGTTAGCTGTATTTTTTATAGATGTTCTTTACCAAGTTTAGAAAGGTGTCCTTTATTCCCATTTTTCTGACAGTATTTGTCATGCATAGGTATTGAATTTGGTGAAATGCTTTTTCTGTCTTGATTGATATCATCTGTGATTTTTATTCTTTAGTCTGTTATTATTGTGGTTTACACTGATTAATTTTGAATATCGAGTTAGCATTGCATCCCTGGCATAAACCCTACTTGTTGATAATATACACTCCTTTTATATTTGCTGGATTCTATTTGCCAGCAAATAGAATTTTCTTGATATTGTATCTATACTCATAACGGATATTGTGTAGTTTTATTTTTTGTATTGCCTTTACTAGTTTTAGGATCAGGGTAAGAGTAGCTTCATAAAATTAATTGGAAAGTGTCCCCTCCTTTTCTATTTTCTGGAGGAGTTTGTGTAGAATTGGTATTACATCTTTAAACATGTGGCAGAATTCTCCACTGAAACCATCTGGAACTGTAAATTTCATTTTTGGAATTATTACATTATAGAATCTATTTAATAGTTATAATGCTATTCAAATAGTCATTTTCTATGTTGTGTGAGTTGTGATGGATTTTACTTTATTAGGATTTGGCCCATTTCATAAATGTTTGTCAAATTTGTATGTGTAGATTTACTCATAGTCCTCCCTTATCCTTTTGATATCTGTAGTGATATTTGTTGTTCATTGCCGATATTGGTCACTTGTTTCTTTTGTTTCTCTTTTTTCTGTTGGCCTTATTAGAAATTTGTCAAATGTATTGATATTTTCAAAGAATCAGCTCTTAGTTTCATTGGTAGGATTCATTGTCTTACTGTTTTCATTTCTGCTTTTATCCTTATTATTTCCTTCCATTGGCATGCTTTGAGTTTTTTGGCTCTTTATTTTCTGTGTTCTTGAGGCAGAAGACTTTATACTTCTCTAATGTGTACATTAAGTGCTATAAATTTTCCTTTCACTAAACCATACTTTAGCTGTGTTACACCAATTTTTTGATATGTTGCATTTTCGTTTTCATTCAATTCAGTGTGTTTCTCAAAATTTCCCTTCAGATACTTCCTCTTTGACCATGAATTAAAGTATGCTGTTAGGGGTTGGGCACAATGGCTCATGCCTGTAATCCTAGTGCTTTGGGAAGCTGAGTTGGGAGGATCGCTTGAGGCCAGGAGTTCAAAACCAATCTGAGCAGTACAGCGAGACTCCATCTCTACAAAAAGTAAAAAAAAAAAAAAAAAAAGCCAGGCCTTGTGGCATGCACTTGTAGTCCTAGCTACACAGGAGGCTGAGGTAGGAGGATTGCTTGAGCCCAGGAGTTTGAGGTTGCAGTGAGCCATAACCATGCCACTGCACTCCAGCCTGGGTGACTGAGCAAGACGCTGTCTCTGAAGAAAAAAAAAAAGTATACTGTTAAATTCCACGTTTGAAGATTTTCTTGTTATCTTTCTGTTGTGGAGTTGTAGTTTGATTCCACTGTGGACAAAAAACACTTGGTGTGATTTCAATAACTTTAAATTTATCAAGGTTTGTTTTATATGATCTAAGTATGTTTCATGGGTGCTTGAATAGAACTGTGTTGTTGGATGGAGTATTTAATAATGCCAATTAGATATTTGTTCATGGCACTTTTGAGTTTTCTGTCTTTGCTGATTTTTGTCTAATTGGATTAGTTGTTAGGAGAGTGGTGGTAAAGTCTCCAATTATACTTATGGACTTATGTGTTTCTCTTTTCAGTTCTTTTTTAGTTTTCTTATACTTTAAATTAGTTTTTTTTTCTCGGCATATTTTGTTGCTGTCATATTTACTGCATAAACATTTAGGGTTGCTATGACTGCTTGGTGATTGACTATTTTGTCATTACATAATATCCTTCTCTGTCTCTGGCATATTTATGTACTCTGAAGCCTACTTTATATGATATTAATATAGCCACTACTGGGGTTTTTTAATTAATGTTTGCTACTCCTGTTGTGTTTCAATTAATGTTTATATGATATATATATCTTCACCCTTTTACTTTCAACCTGCCTGTATCATTCTATTTGTAGTGAGTTTCTTGTAGATAATGTGTCATGTTTTTAATCTACTTTGCCAACTTTTATTTTTTAATTGACATATATAAACAATTGACATTTAATGTAATCTGCTGATATGTTAGGGCTTAACTCAGCCATTCTACTTTATCATTTTCTGCTTATTCTGCTTTCCCTTTAACTGTTTTCTTTTTTATATATCATTGTGGGTTATTTGAATGTTTTTATAATTTTATTTTTATTTATCTACAGTGTTTTAGAGTGTATTTCTTTGTATAGCTTTTTTAGTGGTTGCTTTACATATTACAATATATACAGAAAACTTATCAGTCTACTGGTAAGTAGACAAAATATAGAAAGTATATCTACCTTTATGTCCTTTACCCTCTCCCACTTATAATACAATTGTTTTAAATTTTTTCCAGAAACATTTAGAACCACATCAGATAGCATTAGAATTTTCTTTCAGCCATCAAACTTAATTTAGAGAATTGAAGGAGAAGGAAAGTCTATTGTATTTACTTGTAATTTCACTTTGTTCTTTTTTCCATCCTGACAGCTCAAGATTTCTTTTTTTTCTTCTTCTTTGTTTTATTTCAATTGGTTTTGAGGGAACAGGTGGTGTTTGGTTACACGAATAAGTTCTTTAGTGGTGAATTCTAAGATTTTGGTGCACCCACCCGAGCAGTGAACACTGTACCCAATGTGTAGTCTTTTATTCCTTATTTTCCTCCCACCCTTTCCCGAGTCCCCAAAGTCAATTGTATCATTCTTATAACTTTGTGTCCTCATACCTTAGCTCCCACTTATGAATGAGAACATATGATGTTTGTTTTTCCATTTCTTCACTTAGAATAATGGTCTCCAATTCCATCCAGGTAGCTGCAAATGCCATTATTTCCAATTATTTTATTCCTTTTTATGGTTGATTAGTATTCCATGGTGTGTGTATATATATATATATATCGTGTGTGTGTGTGTGTGTGTGTGTATATATATATAAAATCACATTTTCTTTATCCACTCATTGATTGATGGGCATTTGGGCTGGTTCCATATTTTTGCAATTGCCAATTGTGCTGCTACAAACGTACATGTACAAGTCTCTTTTTTGTAAATGACTTCTTTTCCTCTGGGTAGATACCCAGGAGTGGGATTGCTGGATCAAATAGTAGATCTACTTTTAGTTCTTTGAGGAATCTCCACACTCTTTTCCATAGTGATTGTACTAATTTGCATTCCCACCAGCAGTGTAAAAGTGTTCCCTTTTCACCACATCCATGCCAACATCTTTTTTTTTTATGGCCATTCTTGCAGGAGTAAAGTGATATCACATTGTGGTTTTGATTTACATTTTCCTGATAATTAGTAATATTGAGCATTTTTTAATATGTTTATTGGCCATTTGTATATCTTCATTTGAGAATTCATTTGATAATTCATGTCCTTAGCCCACTTTTTGATGGGATTCTTTGTTTATTCCTTGCTGATTTGTTTGAATTCCTTGTAAATTCTGGATATTAGTCCTTTGTCAGATGTATAGATTGCAAAGATTTCTCCCACTCTGTGGGTTATCTGTTTACTCCACTGTTTCTTTTGCTGTGCAGAAGCTTTTCAGTTTTATTAAGTCCCATCTATTTATCTTTGTTTTTGTTGCATTTGCTTTCGGGTTCTTGGTCATGAAGTTTTTGCATAAGCCAATGTCTAGAAGGATTTTTCCAATATAATTTTTTAAAATTTTTATGATTTCAGGTCTTAGATTTGTCTTTGATCCATTTTGAGTTGAGTTTTGTATAAGATGAGAGATGAGGATCCAGTTTCATTCTTCTACACTTGGCTTGCCAGTTATCCCAGCACCATTTGTTGAATAGGGTGTCCTTTCCACACTTTATGTTTTTGTTTGCTTTGTCAAAGATCAGTTGGCTGTAAGTATTTGGGTTTATTTCTGCGTTCTCTATTCTGTTCCATTGGTCTATGTGCCTATTTTTATACCAGTACCATGCTGTTTTGATGACTATGGCCTTATAGAATAGTTTGAAGTCAGTTAGGTAATGTAATGCCTCCAGATTTTTTCCTTTTGCTTAGTCCTGCTTTGGCTATGTGGGCCTCTTTTTGTTCCATATGAATTTTAGAGGTTTTTTTTTCTAGTTCTGTGAAGAATGATGGTGGTATTTTGATGGGAATTGCATTGAATTTGTAGATTGCTTTTGGCAGTACGGTCATTTTCACAATACTGATTCTACCCATCCAAGAGCATAGAATGTGTTTCCATTTGTTTGTGTTGTTTATGATTTCTTTCATCAGTGCTTCATAGTTTTCCTTGTAGAGGTCTTTCACCTCCTTTGTTAAGTATATTTCTAAGAATATTTTTTTATTGAAGCTATTGCAAAAGGGGTTGAGTTCTTGATTTGATTCTGAGCTTGGTTGCTGTTGGTGTATAGCAGAGCTACTTATTAGTGTACATTAATTTTGTATCCTGAAGCTTTACTGAATTCATTTGCCAGTTCTAGGAGCTTTTTGGATGAGTCTATAGGGTTTTCTATGTATACGAGTATGTCATCAGCAAATAGCGACAGTTTGACTTCCTCTTTACCGATTTCGATGTTCTTTATTTCTTTCTCTCGTTTGATTGCTCTGTCTAGGACTTCCAGTGCTATGTTGAATAGAAGTAGTGAAAGTGGTCAACCTTGTCTTGTTCCAGTTCTCAGAGGAAAAACTTTCAACTTTCAACTTTTCCCCATTCAGTATAATGTTGGTTGCGGGTTTGTCATAAATGGCTTTTATTATCTCCTTCTATTTTGCTGAGGGTTTTAATGATGAGGAGATGCTGGATTTTGTCAAATGCTTTTTCTGCATCTATTGAGATGATCATGTGATTTTTGTTTTAAGTTCTGTTTATATGGTGTACCACATTTATTGACTTGCATATGTTAAACCATTCCTGCATCCCTGGTTTAAAACCCACTTGATCATGGTGGATTATCTTTTTTATATGTTGTTGGATGATGTTAGCTAGTATTTTCTTAAGAATTTTTGCATCTATGTTCATCAGGGATATTGGTCTGTAGCTTTCTTTTTGGTTATGTCCTTTCCTAGTTTTGGTATTTGGGTGATACTGGCTTCATAGAATGACTTAGGGAGGATTTCCTCTTTCTCTATCTTTTGGAATAGTCTCAATAGGACTGGTACCAATTCTCCTTTGAATTTTTGATAGAATTCAACTGTGAATTCCTCTAGCCCTGGACTTTTTTTGTTGGTAATTTTTTAAATTACCATTTCAATCTTGCTGCTTGTTACTGGTTTGTTCAGAGTTTCTATTCCTGGTTTAATCTAGGAGGGTTGTATATTTCCAGGAATTTATTAGTCTCCTCTAGGCTTTCTGGTTTACACACATAAAGGTGTTCATAGTACCCTTGATTGATCTTTTGTATCTCTGTAGTATTGGCTGTAATACCTCCTGTTCCTTTTCTAATTGAGCTTATTAGGATCATCTCTTTTCTTTTCTTGGTCAATCTCATTAACAGTCTATCAATTTTATTTATCTTTTAAAAGAGCCAGTTTTTTGTTTCATTAATCTTTGTATTTTTTTGTTTCAATTTCATTTCATATAGTTCTGCTCTGATCTTGGTTATTTCTTTTCTTCTGCTGGGTTTGAGGTTGGTTTGTTCTTGTTTTTCTAGTTCCTTGATGTGTGACCTTAGATTGTCTGTATTCTTTCAGACTTTTTGATGTAGGCATTTAATGCTACAAACTTACCTCTTAGCACTGCCTTTGCTGTATCCCAGAGGTTTTGATAGTTGTGTCACTATTATTGCTCAGTTCAAAGAATTTTTTAACTTCCATCTTGATTTTATTGTTAACTCAGTGATCATTCAGGAGCAGGTTATTGGTTTCTGTGTAGTTGCATGGTTTTGAGAGTTTCTTTTGGAGTTGATTTCTAATTTTATTCCACTGTAGTCTGAGAAAGTACTTGGTATAATTTCAATTTTCTCAAATTTATTGAGACTTGTTTTGTGGCCTATCATATTATCTACCTTGGAGAATATTTCATAAATAGAAGGTATATTCTGCAGCTATTTGATAGAATGTTCTATAAATATCTGTTAAGTTCATTTGTTCCAGGATATAGTTTAAGTTCATCATTTCTTTGTTGACTTTCTATCTTGATACCTGTCTAGTGTTGTCAGTGGAGTATTGAAGTCCCCCACTATTATTGTGTTGCGGTCTATCTCATTTCTTGGGTCTAGTAGTAATTGTTTTGTAAATCTGGGAGCTCCAGTGTCAGGTGCACATATATTTAGGATTGTGATATTTTCCTGCTGGACTAGTCCTTTTATCATTACACAAGATCCCTCTTTGTCTTTTTTAACTGCTGTTGCTTTAAAGTCTGTTTTGTTTGATATAAGAATAGTTACTTCTGCTTGCTTTTGGTGTCCATTTGCATGGAATAGCTTTTTCCAACCCTTTACCTTAAGTTTATGTGAGTCCTTATGTGTTAGGTGAGTCTCTTGAAAATAGCAGATAATTGGTTGTTGAATTCTTATCCATTCTGCCATTCTGTATCTTTTAAGTGGAGTATTTAGGCCATTTACATTTAACATTAGTATTGAGATGTGAGGTACTATGCTATTAATTGTGCTATTTGTTGCCTGAATACCTTGGGTTTTTCATTGTGTTTTTCTTTTATAAGTCCTGTGAGATTTATGCTGTAAAGATGTTCTATTTTGGTGTATTTTAGGATTTGTTTCAAGATTTAGAGGTCCTTTTAGCAGTTCTTGTAGTGCTGGCTTGGTAGTGGTGAATTATCTTCACATTTGTTTGCTTGAAAATGACTGTATTTTTCCTTCATTATGAAGCTTAGTTTCACTGAATACAAAATTCCTGGCTGATAATTGTTCTGTTTAAGGAGGCTAAAGGCAGGATCCCAATCTCTTCTAGCTTGTAGAGTTTCTGCTGAGAAATCTGCTGTTAGTCTGATAGAGCTTCCTTTATAAGTTACCTGATGTTTTTGCCTCACAGCTCTTAAGATTCTTTCCTTCATCTTTATTTTAGATAACCTGATGACTGTGTGCCTAGGCGATCATCTTTTTGCAGTGAGTTTCCCAGGTGTTCTTTGAGCTTCCTGTATTTGGATGTCTAAATCTCTAGCAATGCTGGGGAAGTTTTCATCTATTATTCCCTCAAATATGTTTTCCAAAATTTTAGATTTCTCTTCTTCCTCGGGAAAACAATTATTCTTAGGTTCGGCCATTTAACATAGTCCCAATCTTCTTGGAGGCTTTGTTCATTTTTTATTGTTGTTTTTTTTTTCCTTGTCTTTGTTGGATTGGATTAATTCAAAAGCCTTGCCTTTGAGCTCTGAAGTTCTTTCTTCTACTTTTTGATTCTATTGCTGAGAGTTTCCAGTGCATTTTGCAATTCTCCAAGTGTGTTCTTCATTTCCAAAAGTTGTGATTTTTTTTAATTTATGCTATCTATTTCACTAAAGATTTTCCCATTTATATCCTGTATTTTCTTTTTGATTTCTTTCAGTTGGACTTCACCTTTCTCTGGTGCCTCCTTAATTGGCTTAATAGTCAACCTTCTAATTCTTTTTCTGGCAATTCTGAGATTTTTGTCTTGATGTTTTGGGGGTGTTAAAACCTTGTTTTGTCATATTACCAGAATTGTTTTTCCAGCTCTTTCTCATTTTGGCAGACTATGTCAGAGGGAAGATCTGTGACTCAAGTGTTGCTGTTCAGATTCTTTTGTCCCACAGGGTGCTCCCTTGATATGGTGCTCTTCCCCTTCTTCTAGGAATGGGGTTTCCTGACAGCCTAACTGCAGCCATTGTTATTTCTCCACTGGATCTAGCCACCCAATAGAACTACCAGGCTCTGGATTGGTACTGAGGAGGGAGTGTCTGCAAAGAGTCCTGTGATGTGATCCATCTTTAGCTCTCTCAGCTATGGATACCAGCACCTGGTGGAGGTAGCTGGGGAGTGAAGTGGACTCTGTGAGGGTATGTGGTTGTATTTTTGTTTAGTGCACTGGTTTTGTGTTCGTTGGCCTCCAGCCAGGGCGTGGCACTTTCAAGAGCACATCAGAATTCCACAGCTGTCCCATGGAGCCTGCAGCAGCAACCCACCTCCTTCAAAGGGTCTTTGGATTCTCTCAGCATTCCTGGTATGTTCCTGTGGCAGGTCTTGGAGCAAAATTTCACAATGTGTGTCTCCACACACTGCTCTGTCCATCTGAGTGGGAGTTGAAAGTTAGTCTTGCCTCCTCTCTGCCATTTTCTCTCCCAGACAGTTCTGGAGACTAGATGTCCAAGATCAAGGTGCCAGCTGGTTTAGAGTCTGATAATAGCCCAGTCTCTGCTTCCAAGCTCCCAAGATTTCTTATTTTATAATTTCCTTTATGTTTAACCCATTTCCCTTTAGAAAAAAAAATGCAGCTCACTGCCAGCACTCATTTAATTTTACATGCTCTTTGAGGCTGAGTCAAATCTGACTGATTTTCAATGTGAAAATGAAATATAAAAACTGTTTTTGCAGTTACTTCTAAACAGAACTTGTCTCTAATACTAATGTAACAGAAATGTCTATGATGTCACGTTAGGATTAGAGAGAAGAGTATTCTCAGGGCAAAGAGGAAATGGGTTAAATAACTTCCTTTAGTTATTCTTTTGGGGTTGGTCTGTTGGCAGCAGATTCCCTTAGGTTTTCTTCATTTGAGAGTGTCCTGATTTCCCCTTCATCCTTAAAAGATATAATATTCTGTACTAACAATTCTGTTCTTTCTGCGCTTACAAAATGTTGTGACCCTTCCTTCTTGCCTCCTTGGTTTCTAATGGAAAACTCATTGTCATTTAGACTGTCTTTCCTCTGTAGGTAAGACATCCTTTCTCTTTTGCTGCTTTCAATATTTTTTCTTTGTTTCTTTGTTTCTAGTTTTCAGAAGCTTTAGTATGATGTGTCCTGGTGTTGATCTCGTTTGGAGTTTATTTCACTTCTTGAATCTGTAGTTTAAGTCTTTTGCCAAATTTGGTATATTTTCAGCCATTACTTATTTGAATACATATTTGTTCCTGCAGCATTTCTATTCTTACACTCTTATTACAGACTATGAGGATAGAAATTCAATTTCCTGGCATGGTGGCCACTGACAGCATGGAAGCAGGAGGTGTCTTACTGTTGGGCGGGGATGAAAGTCTTGACTCTTAACTCCAGCTGCTCTGATACCAACCAGGATGAAGAAATTGGGGATAGGGGTGTTTGGAACACCTTGTTACTTCATGAGGTTAGGAGTTTGGGGTCCTTGGCCTTTGCTGGTGTAGGTGGGGATGGGATCAAGTGTTTTCTGTGTTTTTTGATTGGAATTGAGCAATTACAGTCTAAAAGTTTAATATCTTGTGAGGCTGCTCCTTTTCTGGTGTTTTGGCTAGCAAGAGTAGGTTTTTGTTTGGACTATTTTTGTCTGAACTTGTTGGCATCATTGTACTGCCAACTTTGCCAACATCCATTCTGATATATGAGGTAAAAGTAAACTCAGGAGTTCACCACCATATTGCTACTTAGACTGAGGTACCTATTAATAGCTGGTCTTTTTTTTTACTCCTCCCTTGAGAGTCTTTTTATTTCTTGAAATGAGCATTGGCGTGTGTATAAGTTGATAGACAAGAAAAAGCACATCCACTTTACCTTCATGGAAATGGAAGTGGGAGTATTTTACAGGTTTCTGAATGTTAAGCCAACCTTGCATTCCTAAAATACATCCCACTTGGTCATAATATATTGCCTTTCTATTTGAATAATATAATATTTAGTTGAGGGATAATTATTCCCTACCATTGAAGCAAGACAGTTCTGTGTAACGTGCCTAACATTTTTTGAATGTGTATTTTCAGTCTGGATGATTAGGAAAGGCACCATCCCCAGCCCTTTGTGAACACCAAACACTGGTACCTTTACATTTCTAGATAGTTCACTCACTGGTCTTGGGTAATTTCCTCAGCTGAATGGATTGATTAATTAATACTCAGCTGAATGGATATCATCAAAAGGTAAATACATTAAGCAAATTGTGTTACATGCATGAAATGAAATACAACTCAGCAGTAAAAAAAAAGGTGTAAACTATTGATAGGGGCTACAATGTGGATACATTTCAAAATAATTTTGCTGATAGAAAGAATTCAGATCAAAACCAATGTGTATACTCATCTTTTATTTTTATAAATTTCTACAAAATGCTATTTAACTTATAGTGGCAGAAAACAGACCAGTGGCTGTCTATGGATGTGGGTGCATGGGACATGGTGAGAGGGAGTGATTCCAAAGGGAAATGAGAAAACTTTTGGGGATGATGTGTATGATCATTATCTTGGTTATGATGATGGTTCCATAAGTGCATACAAATGTCAGTAGAGTATTAAATGTAAATTTTAAATATGCACACTTATTTTATATCAATTATACCTCTTTAAAGCTGTTTTTTATTTTAAAAAATTAAAAAATTAAAAACTCCAGAGGTTAGGGCTGTATTGTCAGGTAAAGTATTAACCTCTTCTTTTCATCTAACTTAGACATCATATTCCAGCAGCCTTTCTTTCACTGACCATATCTACATAAGACCCTTACATTCTCCTTTGAATCACATTTGTCATCTTGCCGATTCCCTCATTAATGTTAGGTATGATTTGTCCATCAAGAATAATAATAATAATAAAAATAAAAATAATTTTTAATGTTAGGTATGCACTGACTCTACACTTTATATACTTGAAGGAGAATTATGTTTTTATCATTTTACAAATTATTATTTGATAAGACTTTTACCTAGAAAAACATAAAATACATTCATTTAAAATATTAATACAAATTCTTTATGAGAAAATGTCTATAAACATCAAGTATCAAATAGTACATCTCTTAACTCCCTTTCTCTACCACTGATTCTGTGGAAACAATTGTATTATACTCAATTTTTGACAACTTGGGGATTCTTAGGGCTCTTACGAACTATAAGCTTATAGTTCCTATAAACTAATAATCTTAGGATTCTTCGAAACTATAAACTTAAGCAGAGCAAATAAAATTTCATGTCTTAGGCATGATGTGAAAATGAAGATGAGACACAAAAACGCTTGTATATTTTAAGGCAAATATTAAGATCCATCTGGGAATTTGGGAGATGGTGTAAAATCCAGGCAAACTGCATAAAATAGAAAACACATGGTCTATAAAAAAAAGTGGATGGGAAAGTTAGGAGTACAGGTGATTAAATTTTGGCATTTGAGCCCATATGTCACAGGAATGATTATCTCTACATTATGCACTCAAATGAACAGGCAAAGAAGGAAAAATGATGGATGGAAATGATGTACAGAAAAAAGGGAATAAAAACAAAATTAGACAAGAGAGAAATTGGAAGAGTCTGGATATATATAATCATGTTGACTTACCCTGAGAAATGGGGAACACACATCCTGGGACAAGTGGTACACAGTTATGCAGCTGTGGAACACAGTCATCTGAAAAAACACAGGCAAATACACATCACCAAACAAGGGGCCTGTGGGACATAAAGGCTCCCACCCAGGGATGTGGCTGAGTAAAGACTGGAGGATATTAAGGAATGCCCCCAAGGGCAGATGACTCAGCAATGTGCTGACAAACTGTTCTAAGGAAACAGACTTGCGCTGAAGTTTCCATCTAACCCTCTGTGCTCTCTAGCATCTGGACACTCTGTTCATGAAAATCATTATAGACCTGAATGGAATTTCCCTCTTTCAAAGATGACTTATAAGCCCAAAATGTTCAGTGCTGCACATAAATACTACCCTCACCTCTGTCACTGCTACTCAGAGAGGGAGAGAGAGAAAAAAATGGGAGAAAGTAAATAAATATCATAATACTAAAATACATTTCAAGATAAAAATTGTTCCAAGCATCAAAAAAAATTTCAAATTATTGTAATCTACAGTGTTAAAGAAATTAAAGAAAAACATGGACACTGGGGAAAAAATCACAGAGGAGATTACTTATTTTGTTTTTTGTTTGTTTGTTTTTGAAACACGGTCTCACTCTGCCACCCCAGCTGGAGTATGGTGATAATCATGGCTCACTGCAGCCTCAATCTCCCAGACTTAAGCCATCTCAGCCTTGGAAGTAGCTGGAACTACAGGCACGCACCACTACACTTGGCTATTTTTAAAAAATGTTTGTCTCACTGTGGGGTCTCACTATGTTGCCCAGGCTGATCTCAAACTCCTGGATTCAAGTGATCCTCCCACCTCAGCCTCTCAAAGCACTGGAATTATAGGCATAAGCCACCACACATGCAGCCAAAAAAAATTTTTTTAAGACAAGTTAAAAAGGTTAAAAGTGAGTTGGAAGATTAAGAAAATTCAAGATAACAATAGAACTGTTACAGAAATGAAAACCACAATAGAAGCAGCAGGAATAAAAATAGAGATTGCTGGAAATAGATTCAATGTAAGAAGAACAGCTTTAAAAAGATCACATAAGCAAAATGAAGAAGTAAAAAAAAAGTTTTGGAGAGAATAAAATATATAGAAAAGCAAGTTAAGAAAATTCAGCATGGAAGAAAAAAATATTTGAAGTCCTGATGGTGTTCAAAACGTTAAAGATTAAAATGTGAGAAAAAAGCCAAGTTACTTAGAAGAAGAAAAATAGACTGACCTCAGATTTCCCCAAATAGTTATTTTCAATGGAAGAACACAGTGAAGAAATATATAGATAATTCTGAGAAGGAAAAGTCAGACTCCAAACTTATGCATGTAGTCAATTTATTCTTCACATAAAAGACGAAAGAAAGCTATTCTTAAAGTATGTATTCTTAGTGCATATAGTACCTATTCATCCTTAAAAAAACATGATGACAAATCCAATCAATTGCACCTTTAATGGAGAATTCCAAAACTAGAATTCATATTGTTGAATATTTGATCTATCAAGACTAAATATCTAATCTTTCATGATGTAAGAATAGTTGATACTAAAAGTTATGAATTAATAAAGATGACATATATCTCCAAATTTACAAAGATAACACTAGAAGAGTGTCTTAGTAAATTTGGTTGCCATAAAAAAAATGTCAAGCATTGGATAGCTTAAACAAAAGCAATTTATTTCTGACAGCTCTGGAGGCTGGAAGTCCAAGATTAAGGTGCTACTGATTTGGTTCCCTGGTGAGGGCTCTCTTCCTGGCTTGCAGACAGCCACCTTCTTGCTGTGTTCTCTTATGGTGGTGGTGTGGAGAGAGATCTCTGGTCTCTTTTCCTCTTTTTATAAGGATGCTAATTCCATCGTGAGGGTCCCACTTTCATGAACTCATCTAAAAATAATTACCACACGAAGGCTCGCCTCCCAAATATCATCATCTTGGGTGTTAGGGCTACAGCATATGAATTTTAGAGGGGCACAAACATTCAGTCTGTAACAAACAGACAATAATACTTTCAAATTACCAGGAGAAAAGTAAGTGCACCACTTTCTATACATACCACTTCACTAAACCACACACATACACATACACACCACTTCACTAAACACACACACATACACATATACACACACACAGAGAGAGAGAAAAGGAAGCACATGTATCAAGCATATCTGTTAGAAATACAAATATAAATAGAAATATAAAATCTGTTAAAAAATAATTTCTTTGTTTGATCCAAAAGCTAATTACATGCCAAAAGTAAAAGATATGTTAAAAAATTACAAAGTTATAAATTAAAGGTTAGACAAAGATAAAGCAAACAAATGCCAACAAACTTAAGTGGGGATTGTTGTATTAATAAGCAGGCAAATTTTAATTTTAGGCAAAAGACATGAAAAATCCTAAATGAACTCATTGTTTAATGATGCAGAAAGTATTTCACAATAAATGTAAAAATGTCAGGAACCTTTATGCTCAGATAATATATCAACAAAAATACACAGAAAAAGCTACTGAAAATACAAAAATAAATACACACCAAAAAGTATAATAGTAAATATTAACTCATCTTTTTCAATCCATCACTAATTAAGACTACTTAGCAAAATAAGAAATATAGAGAATTTAAGCAGTACTACTAATATTTTTATTATATGTGATATAAGGTTGTGTACTATATGTACTCAAATTTCTGTATCTTACAAACAGACATACACACCTACTTTTAAGCATCTTCAACATTTATAAAAATTGACCACAAAGAGACAACAAAAATTTTTTAATCACAGAAAAGAAACTTGTGCAGACCATATTCAATATCTAACATGAAAATAAACAAGAAATTGGCCGGGCACGGTGGCTCATGCCTGTAATCCTAGCACTTTGGGAGGCCGAGGCGGGCAGATCACAAGGTCAGGAGATCGAGACCATCCTGGCTAACACAGTGAAACCCCGTCTCTACTAAAAACGTACAAAAAATAAGCCTGGTGTGGTGGCAGGCATCTGTAGTCCCAGCAGTGAGCCGAGATTGGGTCACTGCACTCCAGCCTGGGCGACAGAGCGAGCCTTCATCAAAAATAAAATAAAATAAAATAAAATAAAATAAAATAAAATAAAATAAAATAAAATAAAATAAAATAAACAAGAAATTAATAATTTTTAAAAGAGGGTACCAAGATAATTCATTTAGGGAAAGAATCATCCCTTCAACAAATGGTGCTGGAACAACCAGATATTCACATGCAAAAGAATGAAGTTGAATCACTAAACAAAACTGAACTCAGAATGAACCATCAATCTAAAGGTAAGAGCTAAATCTACAAAACTCTCAGAAGAAAATATAGGGACAAACCTTCATGACTTTGGATTTGACAGTGGGTTCTTAGATATGATACTGAAAGCACATGGAACAAAAGAAAAAGTAGACAAACTGGACATATAAAGACAAAAATTTTTAACATCCAAGAATATTATCAAGAAAATGAAAAGACAATCTACAGAATAGGAGAAATATTTTCAAATCACATCTCTGATAAGGGATTAATATCTAGAGTATATAAAGAATTGAAATTCAACTGAAAAGACCATTTTAAAATGGGCAAAGGACTTAGTATTTCTCCAAAGAATATCTAAAAATGGACATTAAGCACATGAAAAGGTGACCAACAACATTTGTCATTAGGAAAATCCAAATCAAAACCAAAATTAAATACCACTTCAAACCCACTAGGATGTCTACAATCAATAAAATGAAAAATAAGTGTTGGCAAGGATATCTACAAGTTGGAACTCTCAAGTATTACTGGGGGAAATGTAAAATGATTCAGTCACTGTGAATAAATATTTCATGGTAAGTCAAACATAGGCTTACCAGATGACCCAGGAATTCCACTTAGGGACATACCTAAGAGAATTGAAAACAGGTATGCAGATTACTCTCTATATGAACATTCAGAGCAGCACTATTCACAATAGTCAAAAGATAGAAACAACCCAAACATCCATCAGTGGATGAATGGATTAATAATGGATATGAACAGAATTCATCTTGTGGCATATCACATAATGTAAACATCGCTACACTTTTTCTGAACAGGTATGTTTAGTGATAAACAGAATTTTAATGAGCCTTCCATCTTTTCATTGACCTATCCATCCATCCATCCATCCATCCACCCATCCATAATTCAGTCTTTTTTCTTCTTCTTTCTGTAAGTCTCTTTTTTTTCTTTGTTTTAACTTATATTTTAAGTTCAGGGGTACAAATGCAGGTTTGTTACATAGACTTGTGCCATGAAGTTTTGTTGTACAGATTATTTCATTGCCCAGATATTATACAAGATTATGCCAGGTGAAAGAAGCCAGACACAAAAGTTCACACGTTGGTCATATGACTCAATTACATGAAATGTTCAGAATAGGTAAATTCAGAGGTACAGAAAGCAGAATGGTGATTGTCAAGGGCTGGAGAGAGTGAGTAATGGGGAGTAGGTGCCTCATGGATATAGGATTTTATTTGGCGTAATGAAAATATTTTGGAACTAGATAGAGTTAGTGTTTGCAAAACATTGTGAATGTACTAAATGCCACAAAATTGTCTACCTTAAAATGCTTAATTTTGTCTGTAAATTTTACCTCAATAAAAAAATAAATAAAAAATGCTGGGCACAGTGGCTCATGCCTGTAATTCCAGCACTTTGGGAGGCTGAGGCAGGTGGATCACTTGAGGTCAGGAGTTTGAGAGCAGCCTGGTCAACATGGTGAAACCCTGTCTGTACTAAAAATACAAAAATTAGCAGGGCATGGTAGTGCATGCCTGTAGTCCCAGCTACTTGGGAAGCTGAGGCAGGAGGAACCTGGGAGGCAGAGGCTGCAGTAAACCGAGATTGTGCCACTGCACTCCAGCCTGGGCCACAGAAGTAGATTCTGTCTCAATAAATACATAAATATAAAAACCAATAATGCCAAACATTTCAGGAAAACCTAATAAGCCAAATATTTAAAGATAACTTTCTTGGCTAAAAAAGAATGGTATAATTTTAAAAAATCAGATTATCAAGAAAACAATAATAACAAAAAACCTACATATTAAAAATCAATGAAATGCAGTCAGAGTTCATTTGATGGTGCTTTCCTTTATTGCACCTCTCAGATATTACGTTATTTTTTTTACAAACTTCTTTTTACAAGGTTTGTGGTAACTCTACTCTGAACAGCCTATTGACGCCATATTTCCCAAAGCATATACTGCTCAATTTGTGTCTCTGTGTCACATTTTGGTAATTCTCGCAACATTTCAAACTTTCTTATTATTACTATATCTGTGATAGTGATCTATGATCGGTGATCTTTGATGGAACTACTGTAATTTTTGTTGGGCATCACAAACCATACACATACAAGACAGTGAACTTAACTGGTAAATGTGTGTGTTCTGAGTGCTCCCTCCATTGAACATTTTCCCCTCTCTTTCCCTCTCCTTGGGTCTCTTTATTCCCTGAGACATGACAATATTGAAATTAGGCCGATTAATAACCCTAATGGCTTCTAAGTGTTCAAGTTAAAAAAAAAGGGTCACAGGTCTCTCACTTTAAATCAAAAGCTGGAAATGATTAAGCTGAATGAGGAAGGTATGTCAAAAGCCAAGATAGGCAGAAAGGTAAGCTTATTGAACCAAATCACTAGTCAAGTTGTGAATGCAAAGGAAAAGTTCTTGGAAGAAATTAAAAGTGCTACTCCAGTGAACACATGAATGATAAGAAAGTAAAATAGCCTTATTGCTGATGAAAGTTGTAATGATCTGGAAAAAAGATCAAAATGACCACAACATTCCCTTAAGCTAAAATTTAATCCAGAGAAAGACCCTCACTCTCTTCAATTCTGTGAAGGCTGAGAGAGGCAAGAAAGCTGCAGGAAAATTTGAAGCTGGCAGATACTGGTTCACGGTATTTAGGGGGGGAAAAAAGCTGTCTTTGTAAGATACAAATGTAAGGTGAAGCAGCAAGTACTGATGTAGAAGCTGCAGCAAGTTATCCAGAAAATCTAGCTAAGATTATTGATAAAGGTGGCCACAGATTTCCAGTGTAGATGAAACTACCTTAAATTGGAAGAACATGCCATCTGGGACTTTCATAGCTAGAGAAAAGTCAATGCCTGGCTTCAAATCTTCAAAGGACAGTCAAAAAAAAAAAAAGTGATGGATGGATCACTCTATCACTTTCTTTTGCATGGATGAAAAAAGAAAGTGATTCCTTTTCTTTACTTAAAGCCCCAAAATAATCTCCTTTGACTCCATTTCCCACATCCAGGGCACTCTGGCACATGAGGTGGGCCTTCAAGGCCTTGGGCAGCTCTGCCCCTTGTGACTTTGCAGTGTACATGACCATGGCTGCTGTCATGGGTTGGAGTTGAGTACATGTAGCTTTTCGAGGCTCAGGATGCAAGCTTCTGTTAGATCTACCATTCTTGGGTTTGGAGGGTGGCAGTCCCTTTCCCCAAGCTCCACTAAGCAGTACTCTGGTAGAGTCTCTGTGGGGGCTCTCACCCTGCATTTTCCCTCTGTGCTGCCCTAGTAGAGGTTTTTTGTGAGGGCTCCACCCCTGTGGCAGGCTTCTGCCTGGTCACCCAGGTTTTCTCATACATCCTCTGAAATCTAAGGGGAAGCTGCCAGGCCCCCTTCACTCTTGCTTTCCATGCTACCATAGACTTAACACCATGTGGGAGCCACTAAGGCTTATGGCAGCTTGCAGTCTCCAAAGCAGCAGCTTGAGTACTATCTGGAGCCCTTTGAACTAAGGCTGAAGCTGGGACAGCCAGGATGTGAGAAGCAGTGTCCTGAGACTGCACAGGGCAGCAGGGCCCTGGGCCTGGCCCCTGAATCCATTCTTTACTCCTAGGCCTCTGGGCCTGTGATAGGAGGAGCTGCCTTGAAGATAACTGAAATGCCTTCGAGGCCTTTTTCCCATTGCCTTGGGTATTAACACTTGGCTCCCTTTTAGTCATGCTAATCTCTCTAGTAAGTGGTTGCTCTGCAGCCTGCTTGGATTCTTTGTCTACCACAGGGCTAGGCTGTGAATTTTCCAAACTTTTATGCTTTGCTTCCCTTTTAAATATGTTTCAACTTTAAATCATTCCTTTACTCCCATATCTGAGTTTAAGCTGTTAGAAGCAGCCATGTCATATTCTTTTTTTTTTTTTTTTTAGACAGAGTTTCACTCTGTCACCCAGGCTGGAGTGCAATGGCATTACCTTAGCTCACTTTAACCTCTGCCTCCCTGGTTCAAGCGATTTTCCTGCCTCAGCCTCCTGAGTAGCTGGGATTACAGGTGCCAGCCACCACCACACCTGGCTAATTTTTGCATTTTTAGTAGGGATGGGGTTTCACCATGTTGGCCAGGTTAGTCTCAGACTCCTGACCTCAGGTGATCTGCCTGCCTCAGCCTCCCAAAGTTCTGGGATTACAAGCATGAGCCACAGCACCCAGCCTTACCAAATATTTAAGAAAAGAATAATGGGAATTGTATACAAGTTCTTCAAGAATATTGAAGAAGATATACTTCTTAAATCATTCTATAAGGCCAATTCTCAATACTAAACTCTAACAAAGATATTATAAGAACATTATAGAACAATATCCCCTGTGATTATAGACACAAAAATGTAAAACAAAATTTTTAGAAAATCAATGCAGAAATACAATTGATATTCATAATTCAGAGATTCCATATTTTCCAATTTGCCTGCTTGCTAAAATGTATTTGTAACACTCAGATCAATAGCTGCAGCATTCTCATGGTCACACGCAGATGGGCACAGAGAGATGAGAGGGATGGGTCTCCTGTGGTGCACATTCGCAGCTTGAGTTTAACAAGCCTACACTCTGCTTTCTTGCTCCAGCTCTCACACTGTAAACAAATGTCCTTTTTGCAGTATTTCATGCCATGTTTTAAACATTTTTGAGCTCTTCTGGGGGCAATTCACTATTTAAAATGGCCCCAAGCTTTCATGCTGAAGGGCTGTCTAGTGTTCTTAAGTTCAGGAAGGCCATGATGTGCTTTACAAAAAATATATGTGTGATAGGATTTCTTCAAGCTGAGCTATAGTGCTGTTGGCTGTTCAATGTTAATGTATTGGTAATAGATATATATACACAAACATATATTAAACAAGATATCTTTAAACAGAAACATACATAAGACGAGGTTTTATGTTGATATGTTAATAAAAATATTTTGGTTATTGTGGTCACCTCTGTGGAACCAGATGTTCTCAGGAAACTAGCCTTGTCTTTCCCCTAAGAGCAATGGTTCAGTGTTCACTAATTCAATGTTTGTGGCAAGTTTATAAAGCATAACTACTCAAATTTATCTAGGTTCAATGCAATCCCAATCAAAATCCCAGAAAGATTTTGTAAATAATGACAAGGTGATTTAAAATTCACATAAAAATATAAAGAACTTAGAATAGTCAAACAGCATTTAAAGTAAAAAAAGAACAAAGTTGAAGACTTATGCTACTTGACTTTAAGGATTATAGCACTACAAAAATCAACATAAACAAATAGATCAATGAGCCAGAAAAAGAGACCAAGAAACAGATCCTCACACACACATATTAACAACTGATTTTCAACAAAGGTGAAAGACAATTTAGTAAAGAAAAGATTGTCTTTTCAACAAATTGGATATCTATATACAAAAATAAAAATAATTTCAGTCTATACTTTGCACCATATAAAATAATCAATTATAAATAGATTACAAATATAAATGTAAGAGCTACAACTACAAACTCCTACAAGAAAACAGGAGGTTTTTTGGTGACCTTGTGTTAGGCAAAGATTTCTTAGATATTGTACAAAAAGCACAACCCTTAAAAAAACTATAAATGTAGCTTCATCAAAGAATCTTTTGTTTTCTGAAATATATTGTTAAGAGAATTAAAAAAATCAAACCCCAAACTGGAAAAAATATTCATAAAGCATATATCTGATGAAAAATCTTATCCAGAATATATTTAGAAACTCTTAAAACTCAACAATAAGAAAACAAACCATAAAAAAATTGACAGAAGATTAAGATGTTTCACCAAAGAATATTATATATATATATATATATATAATCAATAAGCACATGAAAAGTTGTTATTAGGAAAATGCAAATTAAAACTGCAATGAGGTATCATCACACATCTATTAGAATGATTGAATTAGACAGATTTATTTTGTCAAGTATTGGCCAGAACCTGAAGCAACTGTAACTCTCATACACTGCTGGTGGGAATGTAAAATGGCAAGACCACTCTGGAAACAGGTTTGGCAACTTCTTCAAAAGTGTAATAATAATAAAATAAAATAAAATAAAAAAAGTTAGTCATACACTTCTGATCCAAACATTTCACTTCTAGGTTCTTACCCAAAATAAATGAAAGCATATATCCATACAAAGATGTATTCACTATGTTCACAGCAACTTTATTTGTAATAGCCCCAAACTGGAAATAACCCAAATGTCTATGAACAGATGAATACTTCAGCAAAGTTGGCATTTCCATACAATGGAAAATTACTCAACTATAAAAAAACTTAACTATTGATACACTATATGACATTGATGCATTTCAAAATAATTATGATGAGAGAAAAAAAGCCAGATTAAAAAAATACATAGTATATAACTTAATATATATAATATTCTAGAATTTGCAAACTAATTTATAGTGAGAGGGAAAAAAAATTAGTGATTCCCTTGGGATATTGAGGTAAGTCAAAGAGGGGCCAAATACGAGGAATTAAAAAGGGTACAGGGAACCCTTTGGGGTAATGAATATCTTCATTATCTTAACTATGGTGATGGTTTCATGGGTGTATATGTTAAAAGTGTATATGTCAAAAACTTAAACTGAACACTTTAAATATACACAATTTATTTATTTATTGTATGCCAATGCTTTATTATACTTAGATAAAGCTGTTTTTTAAAGTCTATGAGATATGAATAGTTATTCCCAAAGTTAAGTTCATAGACTTAAATCTTTACATTGCTAAGTGAGAAATAATAAACTAATAAAAAATCTTCAGAAATAAGAAAAATAAGAAATAACAAAAAATGAAAAAAAGGAAAAAGTCAATACAGAAGAAGCAAGATTTTAAGAACCAGGAAACAATTAATAATAGAACTGACAAATCTCAGTGCTTGTTCATTATAGATCCCAGGATAGAGTTGCACCAACTGCCCAGGCTCATTAATAAACAAGGTAAGGGAAGGTATAAGCACACAAACTTAGCACTGTGTGCCGGGACATAGCCACAGGTACAAAGAAAGAAGAAGTATGACAGGACACAGTTATTGATTTAAACAGTTATTGATTTGTGCTAATAAATTTGAAAACTTGATTAAATAGGTGATTTTCTAGGAAAATATAAATCACAAAATTTGATTTTATAAGAGATTTTTTTAAAAAACCTAAAGAGACCAATAAAAGCAAAATAAATTGTGAAGATTCCTAAAGTGATATTGCCCAAATTGCCAAGCCCATATTTTTTCCCACTTTCAAAGAAAACATGATTCTGATGATATTTATACGGTTTGGAACTTATAAGGAAGATGGGAAGCATCCAAATTTCTACTATGAATGAACATAACAGTGATTACAATACTTGACAAACAAAATGGAAAAAATAAAACAGAGATTGGTAGTATTAATATCCCCATTTAACAGATGTTGAGAACTTTTTCCAAGTCACATATCCATTTGGAATAGAGTTGGTATTTGAATCCAAGTAAGGTAATTTCCAAACCCTGTTTCTCAACTACTACTCAGTAATAAAAACTAAAAGTATTTCCTGTAAAGTCAGATGAAAGATGGAGACACTTACTTATGCCCCTTGTATTGTCATAAATACTTAGTCAAAGCAATGAAGTGGAAGAAGAGATAAGACTAAAGTGGAAGAAAAAAGGTAATGAGTATAACTGGCTGATGTGACTCTGCGCCTAGAAAATTATGATGGCAGCTAGGCAGTCCAAAGTGGTTGGGCAAAAATAATAATGAGGATGATGGCAATAGGGGTATGATAGAAAACTTGAATAAATGGAAAACATGAGTTCATTATGCTTGGAAAAGAAGGCTTAAAACAATAATTCTGAAATTAGTAATGAATGCAATTCTAAAATTCCCCTGGCAAAATTATTCTAAAATTAACCAGTATAGGATTAGCCTGAAAATTTTTAAAGAAAAAAATGATGTGAGTCTAGTTATATCTGTTAAATACAATATATTATGATGCTAATAACATAGGACAATATAGTGTTGTACAGGAATAGACTGATAGAAAGTGGAACTAGTTCTGTTTTTGCCCAGCACCACAGTCTGCAAGCCCACCACAGTCTGCAAGCACAGTCTGCATGCCAAATGCATGTGAAAACTCCATAGATCAAAAATTGGTGTTTCAAATGAAAGTATACCTGTGTAGAAAAAGATAGCTTGTCATTTGAAAAATCACAAAAATGCTTATTCCTACCTTATTTCAAAAGACATTTCAGATAAATAAAAATATTAACTACAAAAAAAAAAGCCACAAGTGCACTATAAACCAAACAGGTAGATTTGTATAGATTTTTCCAAATTATGGAAATTCTTTCTAAATATGCTATAAATTCCAGACATCACAAAGGAAAAAATTGATTAATAAATTTGACTTTATAAAAATTTTCCAGCCAGGCACGGTGGCTCATGCCTGTAATTCCAGCACGTTGGGAGGCCGAGGTGGGTGGATCACTTGAGGTCAGGAGTTCGAGACCAGCCTGGCCAACATGGTGAAACCCCGTCTCTACTAAAAATACAAAAATTAGCCAGACGCAGTGGTGCGCAACTGTAATCCCAGCTACACGGGAGGCTGAGACATGAGAATCATCTGAACCCGGGAGGCGGAGGTTGCAGTGAGCTGAGATCATGCCACTACACTTCAGCCTGGGTGACAGAGCAAGACTCCATCTCAAAATAATAATAATAATAATAATTGCACAAAGTAACAAAGGAAGTAGACAAATGCCATACTATTTATTAGGAAGTAGAAATTAGTTGTATTTCATACAACAAAGACAGAATTTCTTAATATATAAAATGCTCATACAAATCAATAAGAAAAAGATAAACAATTCTATTGAACATAAACTACAAAGGACTTGAACAAGTAGTTCATAGAAAAAGAAATATCAATGATGGTATACACATGAACAGAGGCTCAACTTCATCACTAATGTTACTGCAAATGTAAACAATGATGAGATTCTATTTCTCGCCTATCAGATTAAAAGTTTAATATTGCCCAGTGTTGGCGAGAATGCGGGTAACATTTTCAATGAATATAAATTGGTGGCCGGGCATGGTGGCTCATGCCTGTAATACCAGCACTTTGGGAGGCCCAGGCAGATGGATCACGAGGTCAGGAATTCGAGACCAGCCTGGCCAACATGGTGAAATGCCGTCTCTACTAAAAATACAAAAATTAGCCGGGTGTGGTGGCAGGCACTTGTAATCCCAGCTACTCAGGAGGCTGTGGCAGAACAATTGCTTGAACCCAGGAGGCAGAGGTTGCAGTGAGCTGAGATCGCGCCACTGCACTCCAGCCTGGGTGACAGAGTGAGACTCTGTCTCAAAAAAGAAAAAAATGTATATCTTACAGAGATACACTATTGGCATGATTGTGCAAACACACACACACACAATTGTGGAACATATGTTAATTTCAGGAGGTATTACGTACTTATTTTCTCTAAATATGAAAATCGGTAGCATTTTGAAATGAAATTGAATATAAGTTGTCTGCATTCTTCTAAAGAAAAGTTTTGTATGTGTTAAAGTAATTTCTTATTTGCGTATAACCTGTTGACAGCTTCACTGGAGACTGGCAACTGTCAACCTCTCATGTGCTAACTAAGAAAACCACCAGAACTTCCTAGTCAGGCACAGAACACTATCTTTTTTTCCTGGGAAAAGAAAGATGCAGCATTTTATAAGTGCTTGCTGAGGGTACCCCAGACACAGGACTGCTTTTGTGAAACACTTGTGGGTATCCAGCAGCAGCTGTGTGGTCCCAGTGCTTGGAAATGAAAACCAGCACCCTCTCAGAGAAGGAGAATCAAATTTGTACTCCAGTAACATGCTGGCTTTCAGCAGCAAAGCCTTAGCTTTTTCTGGGAAGAGAACTCCTCAAGGCTGAGTTGATTACTAAGATAATCTAAGAGATCTGAGTCAGGTAGAGAGCCCCAGACACCCGAAATATGTAGGAAAACAAGAGAAACCTTTGACTATTTAGAGAAATTAAAATAAGCTTTCATTTTGGTTATTACTGTAAAGAAAAATGATTGGTGAAATGTGATACCTACCATTTTCAGAAGAGGTCAAAACAAGGGCCTATGGAATTTGCTGGAAGCCAGTTTTGCTTAGGCCTTGAATCCATGACCAATCATCTCAGGATTGTTGAATTTGTCAAATAAAGCAGGGCTCTGGCATTTGAAATGGATCTTGATCACATTTTCCACAGAATGAATTTCTGCTGTGATGAGCCTTTGTATGCTTCCTGGTAGCCCCGTCCACTGAGGCAGGCAACAGCGGGCTTCCTCGTCGATTATTTGTTAAGGGTGATTCAATGCTGAATGAAACATGACCCTTTTATTCCACATGTGAGGGATTACATCCTCACACACTTACATGATCACTCTCTGGACTCACAGAAACAAATATATGTACTATTACTAAGTTCTAGATTTTTTCATGAACACTGAATTGTTTGCTGACAGTGTCTATGTGAGCTTTGGCTTTGACAGGGCCATGTATCTGCGGTGGCAGATGGGAAGCATTGCAAGATGCAAAGATCTGTAACCCACATAGACCTGTGCTGTCCTGCTCCTGTTTTCAGGACAGTCCCACTGAGCACCCAAGCACCCAATCCAGGGCCCTCTAAGATGGGCTTTTCCTGAGAGGGCAGCAGATGCACAGAACAGAGCAAAGCACCCAGAAATTCTCTCTTTAGACTTCTGTCCTAAAGCCCATTTCTTTACCCTTTCCCTCACCCAAATGGCCCAGAGTCTTCTCCCGCAGCCCACCAGCTGTGTGACTCCCTGTTTTAATCCACAGCATCTGTTATTCTCCCCAAAGACCTCCATGCAATTTTTCATTTAGAATATGTTTTTCCCATCTTCAATTGAGGGTATCCATTTATTTCATTTCTTTGTGAAACAGAGACCTGTAAAGTGGGGAGAAAACAAATATTACCCTATAGATGGTAGGGAAGGGAGAAAGTTATATATGCAATCATTTTAATTTTTTCCCTTCAAAGATTAAAGAATTTCTTGCATCCTTTAATTTTTAAAACACTTGCTACGTGGCAAGTATTGAAAGAGCAAGGTCAACTAAACCATACTTGCTGCCCTTGGGAGATCATGGTTTCTGGTTCTGACAACTCGGATGATGGAAGGAAGGAAGGAAAGAAGGAAGGAAGGAAGGAAGGAAGGAAGGAAGGAAGGAAGGCAGGAAGGCAGGCAGGCAGGCAGGCAGGCAGGCAGGCAGGGAGGGAGGGAGGGAAGGAGGGAGGGAGAAAGGAAGGAGAGAGAAAACGAATTGTTAGTCTAAATGAAGTTGGTTTCTATCCCACTCGGTAGACCCCTAGTTTTCGTGGTTGTGAAAGTGCACACCGTCTTTAGGAAGATGATTCTGTTTGAAGATGCTGCTTCATCTCTCATGAATTTCCACCAAGAGGCTCCCTCCAAGTAGATAATTTTAATTGTAACTTCAGAATTCCTTTTTGAAAACTTTGCTCTAACCTTAAGACAAAAATCCATGTATTCCTACTACCTTGAGCTTTTTGTGCAGTCCTACAGTGTGCTTTCTCAGGAGTTTAGATTGTAAGTTACTTCTAAGTCCACTGAAACAAAAGGACTTCTCCCAAGAAGAAGCTAGAATTTACTTTACTATGACTTTCCAACAAAAGAAGAAACATAAATTTATCTTCTAACCTGCTAGTAAAGAGTTGGCTTATAAAAAGGATTTTAAGGCCTTAGGCAAACAACAGGTTGAAGGTTGCATGCTCATAACACTTGAGCTTTCACTATCTCCTTTCTTTCACATAATTCACAGGGACCAGTGCTTACATTTCTGGGGTAGTTGCCATTTACTCACTCTTGTACTTACATTTTTTTTTGTCAGATCAAGAAGCATAAGTAAGTGACTGGGAAGCATCCTAGACAGGAAGCAACATGAGACCAAGACTGTGCATTGCTCACCATAGTATTCCCAGCTTTGAACGTTCATCCGGGCACCTGTGATGTGTTCAGTAACTATTTTATGCAATGAATAAATAAGAGGAAAAGAATCTGAGATTTCTATTCTCTATTTCCTTGCTTTTCAAAATCTCAACACTCTTCATATCAAGAGAAAGGGAAAAGCTGGTGGGAAAGACATGACATCTTAATCATCTCTAATACAAAAGAAAAAATAGGACTTTCGTCCTTCTTCCATAGCTTCTTAGATACCATCATTAGTGACACAGACTAGCATGGAGAAACTGCACAGGAATGAATTCCATGCTCAATGTTGTGGTTTTAGCCAAGATATTCTGAGTTAGAATTCTCTTCCTGGGTGCCATGATGAAGAAGGGAAGATTTCTACACCTAATTTGTACTGATAAAATGTTGAAGCCTTTAGACTAAAGGAAATGAAAACCGGCTCCCTCTCAGAGAAGGAGGATCAAATTTCTGCAATGCAGAAATCAATAATGGAATCATATATATATATATATATATATGATTATATTATATATAGAATTGCATTATGTATAGAAATATATTTTTTATATATAAAATATGTTTATTATATATTTGTTATATATATAATTCTATAGTCTAAAGGCTTCAACATTTTTTCAGTTCAAATTAGGTATAGAAACTTTCCTTTATTTAGCATATTTTTTATCCTTTCCAGTTTATGATTATATCAATTATTTTCTCAACATACATTGAGAACAATATCAGAGTGTCAGAATTTTTGCTCCAATATCACACATAATTTGGAAAACTCAAGAGGAGGAGGAAATTCTATTGTATTCACCATATTTTTACTCTCCCCATTCACCTTTTTTTTAATGTTTCAAGATTTCTTATTTTTATCATATCCTTTATATTGAAAGAATGTCCGTTACCCATACTTTTAGGGTAGGAGTATTGGTAAAAATTTTGCTTAGTTTTTACTTCATCTGAGAATGATGATTTCTGAAATTCATCTGAGAATGATTGATTTTCCTTTCATCCCCATAAAATATTTTCATTGGATACTGAATGCTTATTGGTAGGGTTTCTTTTCCCAGTACTTTAAAGAAAATTTAAGCCACTTACTTCTGGTCTCCATGGTTTCTGATGAGATATTATCTTTCATTTAAGTGACTTTTCCTCTATAGGTTAAGGTGTCATTCTCTCACACTGCTTTCAAGAATTTTTCTTTGTTTAGGTTCCAGAAATTTGACTACAATGTGTCTTGGTATGGATTTTTTAGATTTGTTCTATTTGGATTTGCACAATAATTTCCACTCTTTCATTTTTAATAAACAATTAAAGAGCATTTTCTGACTTGTGGGGGTATCTTCTCTTCTGCAGTGAACTTTATGTCTCAATTATGAAGTAAACCATATTGGGAATTTGGAAATTCAAAATTTTAAAGCAAATGCAAGTCTCAGAAAAGGGCTATGCTTGTGAGGGAAGATATAAGGCTGAACAAGTGGTCACCATGAAGAGATTTGGGTGAGTTTTGCCATGAGCGCCTGTGGAACATGCAGCGGAGAGAAGAGCAGAGCCCTGTTAGGTGGCTCTCCATACCTTCCTCACATTAGTAGCCATGATGCCACTAAAGAGCCCATTACAGGGTGAAGGTTCAAACAATGTTGAATGAATAAAAGTGAAAATGAGTGGTGAAGAATATTCAGTCTTCAGAAAACTTTCCTGACTTTTGGGATTTTCCAAAGAAAATTAATTTCTTCTGGCTTTGCTTTGTCTTATGTTCTCCCATTTATTTTAGAAAGCACCATGTTTCTTCAAAAAAGTTGAGAACTCCTAACATACAAAAAGAAGTGTTAGCTCACTGCCCTAAAAAGTTGGGATGAGGCCAGAGGACACAGATAATTAGTTATCTAGGGACTGGTGGTTTGGGCTGAGAGGCCATAAAAGGAAGGAAAAAAAGCCAAGTTTGGTATTAATATAAAGAGACTATGACGAAAAGGAAGTGGGAAGCAAGCAATTTAGAGATTGAATAATTGGATTTGGGAAACAAAATTTTGCTCGATGAAAAGTAGGCAAATTGCTCAAGTCTCTTTGTACGTTAATGCAGCTCAAGAATGGTTGACATGGGTGTCACATTAGTTTCTGAAATGAAATATAAAATAAAAATTGAAGCCAAACTACAAGTATATTAAAATAAACTTTTAAGACATTTTTATCAGAGTGATATATGGTTAAAGTATCATTATATAAATAAAAAATATTGTCATATAAAAATCCTGCTTAAACAAATATATCATGTTTCCCAGTAATAACCACACTTCAACATTTTTAGCTATTTCTTAGGGTAGTTACATTTACAACTCTAAGTAGTATGCTTACATTTTTGGTTCATTCAATATTTAGATATTATTTAACTTCTGATAATTGAGAAGCTAGCTCTCTCAAACTACATTTCATCTCCCTTTATCTATCTTGAAGTATAGTCATAACACTACTTTAAGTTAGACAGAGGGCACTTACATTACCCTGCTCTTATGCGACTGTGGTTTACCACAATTTCCTCTTCTTTTGAGTCTGGTTTTCTAGAGGTTTTTTTTTTGTTAATTTGACTTCTTATCAAGCAATGTCTTCCTCTTTAATAGTCTTTATTTTACCTCCAAACTTCATTGTTTCAGGTCCTTCCTGGAATCCTTCCTGGTCTTGGCTGGCTGTTCTCCAGGACTGCTCAACAGCTTCTAAAAGCTCACACATTGCTCTATTTGGTGGATTTGATCTAGTATTTCATTTTAGATAAGTGCAACCTTAAGTAACTTCTGAGGAAAGACTGAATAAGAAGTAAACATTTTGAGTTCTTGCATGCCTGAAATGTCTTCACTCTGTAATCATACTTATTTAATATCTGCTGTGGATATTAGAATTCTACACTCCAAATTATTCTTCCACAGAATTTTGAAGGCATTGCTTTATTGCCTTCCTCATGCAGGCTAATGACATTCTTAGTTATGTTCTGTTAAAGGTGATCTGTTTTTCTCTTGGAGTTTTCAAATTTTTTTTTTTTTTTGAGACGGAGTCTTGCTGTGTGGCCCAGGCTGGAGTGCAGTGGCACGATCTCGGCTCACTGCAATCTCCGCTTCCCAGGTTCATGCCATTCTCCTGCCTCAGCCTCCCAAGTAGCTGGGACTACAGGTGCCCGCCACCACGCCTGGCTAATTTTTTTGTATTTTTAGTAGAGATGGGGTTTCACCGTGTTAGCCAGGATGGTCTGGATCTCCTCATGATCCGCCCGCCTCGGCCTCTCCAAGTGCTGGGATTACAGGCGTGAGCCACCGCACCTGGCCTTAGTTTTTATTTTGCAGTTGTGTCCTGAAATTCCATAATTATGTACCTTGGACTGTTTTTGTTTTTTTAAATTTAATTGTGGTAGACTTTTCAAGGATATGTTCAATCTTGAGATGCATGTACTTCCATTTAGAGAAATTTTTTTGGTAATTTCTTCCCCTTAATCTTTTCCTTTTCACTTCATCTAGAATTTCTGTTTTTTAATGGTTTGACCACCAGATTTATCTTCTAGGTCTTTTGTCTTCTTTATTTGCTGTCTTTTTTCTCTCTTCTAGGAGAATTCCTTCACCTGTAGCTATAAACTGAATATTTGTGCCTGTCCTCAAATTCTGAAATATGTTGAAGCCTGTTATGGCTTGAATGTATCCCTCAAAAGGTATGCATTGGAAACTTAATCCCCAACACAACAATATTAAGTGGTAAGATCTTTAAGAGGTGATCAGACCACAGTTGCTGCCCTTCAGCCAAGACCTGCCTGGAGGGAGATGACATAAGCACATATTATTCCAGCCTTCCTTATTTTTTTTTCTGTGACTCTCTGAACAAAAGCTAGTCTCTCATTTTTTCTAGAATGCAGGGCAAGTAAAATCATTCATTCAGGCAATACGTTGATTAAATATCAACCCTATGTTGGGCATTGTGCTTGGACTGAGAACATCCATCTGGTCTGGAAGGCAGACTATAAAATCATCATTGTGCAACAGAGTAAGAGCCAGACTGGAGTTTTGGTGTTGGTTGGGGGTTCAGTGGATGAACAAAGCAAGTGGGGGATCCCAGGCAGGCATATAATAAAAAATGGGTCCATGGGGATATGAGACAGAGGTTGCTCTTGGGGACTGCAAGTGACTTACAAAGGCTGGCATCATACAGCAGGAAATGAGGCCAGACATTGGGTCTGGGCCTGGCCAGGGAGGCCCTCAGCCTGAAAGGAGGAGGATGGGCTGGCCTTTAGAGAGTCCACACTGGTCCTGCTCTGCTGAGTCCGTTTCTGCAGAGGGGGTGTGCCCACCTTGGGCCTGTACCCCTCCTTCTAGATCATGCTTGTGACACCCCAAAACCCAGAATTCACTGCCCAAACATCCCAAACCCACTTCCTGTAGGTCTCTTCCTGAGGACTGACCAACTGTCCAGTATGTACCCTGGGCTCAAGGGGTAGCTGAGCACAGACATGTGGACAACAGTGTGGTAAGTGTGGTAAGAGCCATACGCAGATTTTGGAAGTTGGGAGTTCAGTGGGTGAACAAAGCAAGTGGGAATCCAGGCAGGTGTCCACACACGTGTGCTCAGAGGTTGGATGTTCAGGCCAGAATATTCACTTGCAAGGACATGAAAACTTGAGTACCTGAGCACAAAGGGTTCTCCTTTGGGCTGGGGGCTGGGCTGAGACCAGAGCTTTAAAATATGCAGAGATATGATATATGGACTATCCATTATCACTTGCCCTGAATGGTTTGTGTGGACCTGGCCCAGGAAGCCATGAGCCACAAAAGAATGCTTGAGCTTCATCCAAGCTAGTGGGAATGGAAGGTGATATGGTTTTAATCTGTGTCCCCACCCAAAACTTATGTTCAATTTTGATCCCCAGTGTTGGAGGTGGGACCCAGTGGGAGGCGACTGGATCATGGGGGCAGTTTCTCATGAATGGATTAGGACCATCGCCTTGGTTCTGTTCTTTTGATAATGAGTGAGTTCTCACGAGTTCTTATTTAAACATCGGCAGCACCTCCCCCACTACTCCTTTTGCTCCTGTTCCAGCCATGCGAAGTGCCTGCTCCCACTTTGCCTTCCTCCATAACTGTAAGCTTCCTGAGGCCTCCCCAGAAGCTGGGCAGATGCCAGCATCATGGTTCCTGTACAGCCTCAGAACCGTGAGCCAATTAAACCTCTTTTATTTATAAATTTCCCAGTCTCAGGTATTTCTTTATAGCAATGCGAGAACAGGCTAATGCAGAAGGGTCTAAGCAAGGAAGAGACAAGATCTTCTGTGAATTTTCAAACTACCCAGGTAATGTTTTGTAGATAGGTGACTGGAGGCAGTACAACGTTGACAGTGATGGAGGGTGTGGTCTGTGAGGGGGGTTCTGGTTCTGGCTCCATCTATCAGTTAGGCAAACTTGGCAAGTTACTTCTCTCTCTAGTTCTCATTTCCCACAACTATAGAGCTGAGGCCATTGAACAAAGTAAATCATCCAGGATAATCTGCAAATGTGAGTTCATATTCTTTTCATTATTATGGAAAGAGTCTTACTTTAGTGAAAAGCCCTAAAAGCAGCCCTGGGAACACATTCCAGCGTGGGCTCCTCTCCTGCTAGAAAGGAAGTGGCCCGTCGGGGAAATGTAACATTCCTCTGAGATTCACCTTGTCCTGCTGGAGTGGAAATGCACAACATTCCAGAACCTGGGAGCCTGGAGGGGAGATCAGGGAAGCTGCAGACCTTCCTCAACATGTGTGCCTGCCTGTCTGTGTGTGCTCTTGGAGGCCCCCTTCGAAGGCTCCATTGTCTGGGTTTATTTTTCTGCCGTATTTCATTCTCAAAACCCCCATCCAGATGAGGCTGTTTAATGGCTTTTGCAGGTCAGTTGCTTTCTGAGAATCTGATATCAGCCAGTGAAGGATTCAAGACTTCCTCAAAATATGATGAGAATAACTGTCTTTGGATTTCCCCTAAGAATTGTGAGGGATTTTTTTTCTCTTATTAACTACAATTTTTTTTAAGCTTTTAAATGGAAAATGGCAGCCTGCATTGTGCTTGGAAAAGGAGGAAGAACCCCCAGATGTTCTTTGTTCTCTTTTTCTGTTTCAACGCATCAAGAGCAGCTCCTTTGGGTGGTTTTCAGGGCATTTCTTCCCCTGGAGAAGGTCTTCTCAGGACGTGGCCTTCCCCTCTACCCACAATCAGTGGAGATGTCCCAGTGGCTACATGGAGCAGTGGATTAGAGCAAACAACCCTTTCCAAATAAAGAAAATCAAAACACTTATTTAGTGCTTACTGTATGTTAGGCATTGTAAACTTATTTTTTCTATAATTCACTTAATTTTCATGCCCTGTGAACAACTCAACTCCTTGAGGCTTCAGTCTCCTCATCTGTAAAAAGAGCAGAGCCCTTTGTTTTTGTGTGTGTGAGGGAATTAAATGAATCACAGCAAAATACGTTTACATTGCCTAACAAGAGCGAGCATAAATAAATGTGTTCATTTTCTCTATGTGGATCCACTTGTTCAGGACTGCTATATTTGAAGGGCGGGCATGCCCCTTCTATATTGCATGTGGCCACCACCCTCCTCAGCAGCACAAACACATGGTTGTTAAGTGGCCAGTGTGTGCCAGGCTCCATACTGGGCACTAAGGGCGCTTGACCACAAAAGGTAGATGAAAATAGATGATGAGTAACTTGGCTGAGTATATATGTAAAAATCCTCCTCCTACAACTATAGTTTATGGAATGCCTGCCTTTTGCCAGGTGCTGAGCAGAGGGCTTGCTTATGTGGTCCACTTAAATAAATACTTATTTTGCACTTATTCTATGCACCAGGCCCAGTTCTGGATGCTAGGACAACTGCTGTGGATAAAGCATGCATCTCCTGTGAACCCCACAGTCCAGTAAGACTGGAGATTCATTTGATCCTCGTAACAACTCTGAGAAGCAGGGGTCATCACCCCATTCCATACTGGAAGAGCCAAGATGAGAAGCATCATCGGCACATCCCGAAGTGCTGGCTTGGGTGCCTAGATGTCGGATGTGGCACTCTACCCATGGTGCTCACAGGGTCTGTAAGCCTGAAAACCCACTTTCTGAGACAAGGTTTTCTCATCTGTGAAATAGAGATAAGAACACTGAGTCAGAATTATAAGGAGACCAGCATGGGAAAATATCAATAAACAAGAGTTTCAGGCTAAGTGTGGTGGCTCATGCCTGTAATCCCAGCACTTTGGGAGGCCAAGGCTAGAGGATCGCTTGAGCCCAGGATTTCAAGAGCAGCCTGGGGAACATAGTGAGACCCTGTCTCTACAAAAAAATACAAAAATTATCCAGGTGTAGTGGCACATACCTGTAGTCCCAGCTACTCATCTACTTGGGAAGCTGAGGTGGGAGGATCGCTTGAGCCCTGGAGGTCAAGGCTGCAGTGAGCCATGATTGTGTCACTGTACTCCAGCCTGGGTGACAGAGAGAGACCCTGTCTCAAAAAAAAAAAAAAAAAAAAAACCCAAGTGTTCCAAAGACCATGATCAAGGTCACAGAACTGCCAAGTGATGGGGGTGGAATACAAAACCCACCCCCCAAGTTCAGAGTCCTTTCTCCAGCCCCACCTGGCTGCACAAACACTGTGTGAGCACAGTGACAATGTCAGTGGCTTCACAGAGAGATTTTAGGGAAAGACGCAGGCCACAGAGACTTAGGGGCCTCCTAGGTGGAGAGACAGGAGATGTGTGCCATGTGGAACAGCAAAGTGAAGAAAGAGCCCAGAGGCATTTGTATGACAAAGAGCCTGGGCCAGGAGGAGGACTGGCTGGAGGGAACAGAAGTCAGGGCTGAGGCTTGGTCAGGGCTTGAGGATGAGAAAGAACCTAGGGAAACAATGCCTGCCAGCCCTGGCCAGACAGGTCCAAGCTCCCCAGATGCCCTCTAGAAGTGGTCAGTGCAGACACAGGAAGTGCCCAGCACATATTTCAACATAAGCATTCCCACTTTGACACCTTTCTTTTCCACAGGGAGAATAAATCCTTGATGTGCCCTGTGCTGCCCCAAGGAAACAGACCTTGGCATAGAGATGGCCCAGAGCCCATGAGCCTTCCTCCTGGGTCATCTCCACTCTGACGGTAGGGAGGAGCCATGTCTGGAGTTGATTTTGAACACCCACTGTGGTTAGTCATTAGACATAGAAGATAGAGAGTCTCTGCCCCAGCCTTGAGGGGAGGGAATTCGGCTTGGACGACCTTCCAAGTGCCCCTTGAGGGCTCTAGGCTGCAGTGCTGACTTCTTCTGTTCTCACAGCTCTCGTAGTAACTGCTGGGGGCATCTCATCCCCTGACACATTCACTGGAGCTGGGTGAATGTAATCTATTAACCCCGGTTGCTGTTGCCATGGAGTGCATACCTCACCCCGTGCCTGTGTGTGGTTTGATGATGCATAAGGTGCTTTCTTATTTACTGTCTCAGTTCATTGTCCTACAGCTTCATGAGAAATATAGAGCCGATGCCACTAAACCTCATCACAGGTACATGGATCTCAGGGTGCCTGGAACTATGGCTAGGGCTGTCATGCCCCAGCAGTAACTGGAGTTTTGTAAGATATTTTTCCTTTGAATAACAATTATATAACACATTGGGAAATGCTAATGAAGAATAAGTAATAATGATCACTCATACTTATAGCTTGTGTGCCTGGCTGTGCTACAGGTGAAAAAGCTTTATTTTCTTTCAATAGGCATTAGCTCCATGAGAAATGTATTAAGACCTCTCATTAATTTGTGAGAAACAGGGAAGTTAAGTCAGTTACTGAATGCCACACAACTCCTAAGGAGTCTAGGCTCAAACTAATGCACATGCATCTACGATGCCGTGGTGGGCCGTGGATTTCAGTCAAAGCCAGCAACACCTGCACCAGCTGTTTCCATGGCCTGCATCAGCCCAGAATGTGCACAAACAGACGCTGTCACCCCCAGTTTCAGCAAGAACAAGGGCTGGGCTATATCATTTTATGAGAGAAAATGGCTGGCACAGATTCAAGCTCATGAACTCGATTGATAAATGGCCTTACAAGCCCTGCATTAACTGATGGCCATGAGCTGATAGCCAGTCCTTCTGGGTTTGGATTAAACAAAAATTGCCAAGGTCTGCATTTCATCAGCACTTTAAAAAAAATCTGACATGGGGTACAGAAAGAGATTATTTTGCTGAGTATTTTGCAATACCAAGGGAATTAAATCCCTTATTTTTATTTTTTTTTTAATTAGGCTGTCCCGGACTGTCAGGTTTTATAAAAACAGCACATTTGTGACGGCATAGGTCCAGATCCAAAGTTTCTTGTCTGTTACTTTCTTTCCCTGGGGAACAATGGTCTCTTGGATAATATTCCAGAATGATAACAGTCACAAGCAGTTTCTGAAATCGCTTGGGAAAAACAGAAAGAGGAGACGTTTACTGCTTGTGGCAGCCTTTTCCTTTCTCCGTCTTTTTTTGCTTTAGTTCCAAGTTGTACAGAGCCCCTGAAGATCCCCCCTCTCAGTCCCCTTCCCACTCAGCAGATGCCCTGGATTTCAGGCTCCATAAGGTGCCCAAGGGCAGATCAGGATGCAGTTCCACTATGTCCTGAAATGATGTAAACCCACGTCGCCTGCAGCAAGAATGGTGCCTTTCATGACGAGGCATCCCTGTGCGCCTGGCAACCTCAGACTGTGCCGGCCACTGGCAGGCCTCCCACGGCATCAGGAATTTGAGAGTGATGCTCCTTCACCACCTTCCCTCCTGGGAGGTCAGTCCCTCGCTCCTGAACTAGGTCTATCCTCCTGTAGGATTTTGAATCCTGCCCTTTCCTACCTCTTTCCTCCTGTTTCTGTAAACCCATCCACATCCACCTCCAGGGCCCCCCAGCCCCCATCCTCAGCACATGCATCCGCATGCATATCTCAACTCCATTTGTGACAATGATCCTGTCTCTACTGTTGCCCTTGGAAGCCTGCACTGCTCACCACTGTCCTCATGGATATTCTGGCCCTGCTCTTCCACGCCACCTCTTCTGCAGGATGAGAGACTGGGTGCTCTTCCAGGTGCTCAAGGAGGGGGCCACAGCTATTCAGGAGCACGCAGAGATGCACCCAGGGCAAGTGAGGGCAGCGCCCTCTCAGTGCCCCACCAGGGTCCCTCCCTTCAGGCACCCTTGCCTACTGCCTGCGGGGTTGGAATCAGTGCACTGAGCCTCCTCGCTTCTCTTCCAAACCAACAGTCTCATGGCTTTGGACTCGGGCCTCAGTATGGCCTCTAGACAGTCTCCTGGCCTGGGTACCATTCCTTTACGGGGACCTTCATGCACCCACTTGCTGAAAAGAGGAGATACAGTTCTGAGGAGCCTCCGTCCATGTACGCTGCCGCTGTCCCCTCACCTCTGGGCCTCTGTCCCTACGTACATGCTTTGCACAAATGCTGTCTCTGTCACCTGCCTGAAATCTGTGCTGCCCATGTGTGTGCGGCCCCAAGCCCCTCTATCTGCCCACTGAGATGGTCTCTCTGACTCTGGAAAAGAACCCAGGCCTCCTGGCCCTCTCCCTTGTTCTAAGGACCTTCGGGTCCCCTTTGTTAGCTCCCTGGCCATCACTGTCACAGCAAGAGCTGTTCTGGAATCCCCTAAATTCACCTGTCCATCTTCCCCTGACTGGGAGCTCAAACCACAGCCTCAAGCAGTACTTCCCTGTGCTCCAGCACACAGGAGCCTGGACCACAGGAGGGCTGGGTGCAGGACACATTTGCTGAGTGAATGAAGGAGGGAGTATGTTTTCATAAGCATACTCATGCAATATGTGTGGTTTTTATCTTTGACAGTGGGGGAAAGAGTTATTTCCCTCTTAGATTGCAGTTCCCAAATCCTTATTTTGTCCACAAATATTTTTCTGAAAACCAAAGTAACCACAGCATATAACCTAACCAATATTTCACAGTTCTTTGCTCTTATTGTTTGACTAGTAGGAAATGTAGAAAGAGAATAAGAGGTGTGTCCAAGCCCTGATCTGCTTCTCTGCTGGGAATTAGACTGCATCTGATTCTCAGGGGCTGGGATGAGCATGAGGAGCCTGAGACCAGAGCTCGCAGTTTCCTGCCCAGCTGATCATCTTTATTCCTGAAAAGGACTGGTTTGTTTTGTTTTGTTGGTTTTTGGTACTTGTAGGCTCTTAATTACATACATGTCTCATGGTTTTTCATCCTACACTCTTTATTTCCAAAGAGCATGGTGGCTTGGGTGGGTGGCTTATAAACAGCAATTCATTTCTCATAGCTAGAGGCCGGAAGTCCATGATCAAGGCACCAGCAGATTATGTGACTGGTAAGGGCTCAGTTTCTGGTTCATAGATGGCACCTTGGTGTCTCCTCACATGGTGGAAGGTACCAGCTAGCTGTCTGAGGTTTCCTTTACAAAGGCACTAATCCCATTCATGAGGGATCCACCCTTATTGCCTAATCACCTCCCAAAGATCCCACTTCCTAATACCATCCCCTTGGAGGTTAGGATTTCAACATACAAATTTGGTGGGAACACAAACATTTGGTCTACAGCATTCTGTTCCCGGCCTCTCAAATTATGCCCTTCTCACATGCAAAATATATTCATTCCATCCAAATAGCCCCTAAAGTCTTCACTCTTTCTAGCATCAGCTCAAAAGTATAAAGTCCAGAGTCTTAGGCCAGGCACAGTTGTTCACACCTGTACTTCCAGCACTTTGGGAGGTGGATTACTTGAGCCCAAGAGTTTGATCCCAGCCTGGGCAACATAGCAAGACCGCATCACTACAAAAAAATATGAAAATTAGTCAGGCACGGTGGCATACACCTGTAGTTCCAGCTACTCAGTAGGCTGGGCTGGGAGGTTTCCTTGAGCCCGGGAGGTGAAGGCAGCAGTGAGCTGTGATTGCACCACTGCACTCCAGCCTGGGAAACAGAGCAAAATCCTGTCTCAAAAAAACAAAAACAAAATAAAGCCCAGCGTCTCATCTAAAACAGGTATGGGTGAGACTCCAGGTACAATGCATCCTGAGGTAATTTCCCCTCTAACTGTGAGCCTCTGAAATCAAACATGTTATGTGCTTCCAAATTACAACGGTGAAACAGGCATAGGACGGACATTCTCATTCCAAAAGGGAGAACTAGGAAAGAAGAAAGGGATAACTGGTCCCAAGTAAATCTAAAACCGTAACGCCTCAGAATCATCTTTGGCTGGAAGTTCTGCCATGTAAGCCCACTAGGGCAGTGGGCTTGCCCCTGAGTCTATTCTCTGCCATGGCCCCACCTCTATAGTAGCTCTGTGCCTGGGTAACGCCCCCAGCTCTCCTCGCCTGGAATCATGCTTCTGTGGCTCTTCTAGTACAGGGTCTCAGGAACAGCCCACCTCCATGGCTCTGCTGGGGTCTCTGGGGTGGCCTGACCTCTGCAGCAGGTCTCTGCCTTGGCCCTGTGGCTTTTGGGGGCATCCTTTAAAATCTAAGTGGAAACAGTGATGTTCCCTCAGCTTTGCCAGGCACCAGGCACACTATTTTGAGGCTCAACAGCTGCGCTGAAATGAAATGAAGTAAGAAGAGCCCGCAATATGAGGTAGCACTGGGCAACAGTGGCCTTCTTTCTCCACCCAGGCCTTTGCACTCTAAGACTGTGATGGGAAGGGCAGCCCCAATGATCTCCACCTTTAGGTCATCTTCCATTGTCTGGATAAATAGTACCTGGCTTCCCTTGAGATGCCAACTCATACAAATCTCTTTATCAAACAGTAGCTTGGCCACACCTTTACTGTTCTCTCCTGAACATGCTTTTTCATTCTCTACAATATGGATAGGCTGAGAATTTTCCGCAATTTTTAGTTCTGTTTCCTTTTTGATCAACATTGTCTTTAAGCCATTTCTCTCTTCTCACACTTTACTATAAGTACTCAAGAGAAGCCAAGCCATGCCTTCAACATCTTCTGTAGAAATTTCGTAATATTCAAATTTTGAAACCAAATATCCAATTTCATCACTCACAAGTTCTACCTTTTACAAAAACCTAGAACAACAACACAATTCAGCAAAGTTCTTCGCCACTTTATAACAAGGATGGCCTTTCCTCCACGGTCCAATCATGTGTCTCTCATTTCCATCTGACCTCATCAGAATGGCCTTTACTGTTCATATTTCTACCAGCATTCTGTTATCAAACACTTAAGTGTTTTCCTGGAAGACAGAAGATTCCCCACAGCTCTTCTCTTCTCCCTCTGATCCCTCACAAGAATCACCCTTACTGCTCCATCCATTGGCTTTTCTTAGCTAGAACTTTAAAATTCTTCCAGTCTCTATGCATTACTGAGTTACAGGGCCACTTCCACACTTGCAGGTATTTGGTACAGGAGTCCCCACTCCTTGGTACTAATTTTCTGTCTTAGTTCATCCAAGCTGCTATAACAAAATGCCATAGGCTGGCTTGTTTATGAACAACAGAAATGTATTTCTCACAGTTCTGGAGGCAGGAAAGTCCAAGATCAAGGGGCTGATAGAGTCCATGTCTGGTGAGGATCCCTTCCTCATAGATGGCACCTTCTTACCGTGGCCTCAAATGATGGAAGAGGTGCAGGGTCTCTCTGGGGTCTCTTTTATAGAGCCATTAATCTCATTCATGAGGGTGCCACCTTCATGACCTAATCACCTCCCAAAGGCCCCACCTCCTTATACTGTCACCTTGGGTTTAGGATTTCAACAGATGAATTTGGGTGAATTTGGGGGGACACAAACCTTCAGTCCACAGCAACCTTCCTTGAGAATATCCACTCACAGTATAACAAGAAAAAGGCTCTAGAGCCAGTCTCACAGCACCTAGGGGTCACGGGCCTTGAATCTCAGATTCTACCCCTCCCTAGCCTCATTTTTCAAATGGCCCCTCACCAGCCTGTGCGGTTCTGATCTCCCCGCCTGGTGTCTATAGGATCCAGGCAGCCCACAAAGACTGGAGTCTTTGTTCCTCCCTCTTTCCCTGCCCAGATCTGGGGATCCAGCTTCAGGCAACCTTTGCTGCCCCTGGAGACCACCCTTGTGATGGCATCAGTTCAGGGGACCACCTTGCCACTCCCACTCTCAGGGCCACTCTACTACCACCCCACAGTGGCCCCTCCAGAGGGACCCTTGGCCCACTTTGGTCCCACTATGTCAAGGGGACACAGCATGGCTTCAGAGTCCCTTGGTTCTTGGTCCAAGCTGAAGCACTATGGGGGCTGTGATGTGGCTGAACCCAGCTGGCATGTGGGCAGCTGACCAGCAGTGATAGGCATCCCCAAAGCCCTCTGACCCCAGCATTGTCCTTACTCAAGCTCATCTGAACCAGAGTGAGCTCTACGTGAGCATCTCCTCCTCCCCCTGTCTCTCCTTCTCTCTTCCCTCTGCCCACCTATCCCTTCTACCTCCTCTCACTTCTCCCAGCAGACACAAAGGCCAGGCTGCCAAAGGGTGAGGGCAACTTCTCAAACTCTTAAAAGTAACTCAATGATCTGGTTTCAATAGGCTTTGTCCTTGATACAGTAAAGGAATTTAGAAAACATTATTTCTTTTGATAAACCTAAGAATTGGCGTCAGTAGACTTGGTGTCAATTCCTATGGGAAGCTATAATCTGCACACCCATACACACAATCCCAAGCAAGTAGGTGCCTAGTATGACCAGGGGAAGTTCATGAACTCAGGAGTGAGAATGAAAAATGCATATCAAAAACCCTACATGATTCATATTCTCTAGACTATTGGCTCCTGGAACACAGGGGTCTCTGTCCACAGTCACCTGGGCTTAAGGAGGGACACGGGGTGGCCACTGCTCTGAAACAGAGTCTTCTCACACAGGAAAGGGGACTTAGAGGAGAAGGGGCTCACACCAGGGGCTCAGTTGAAGCCATTGCCACATCTGCTATTACTACCATGGTCATATGTCAAAGAAATGAATGAATATCAGTTCGCAGCACAGCCATTTAATTCCAAAATATTTGTAGCTCGCTTTATGCTATGATTAATATAAGGAGAGCTAAGTGGCAATCTCAGTTCCTTGGAAGACTATCAAAATTCAATTTTGTTGATCTATGGTAATAGAGGAAAGCCAGAGAGACTGATAATTGACACTTGACTCATTGTGTAATATATGGCAGGCTAAACTCGTATATTTCAAACCCACTTATGCACACTTATGCACACACTGCATACACACACAGACACTCACACACCACATGCCCAACACACATGGTTCCTGTCACTCCCTGTGTGAAATTTTCTTCTCCGCTCCCTCAGCCAGTTTCTCTCCTTGTTTCTCCCCCTAAGAACAACTCTAAGCCCTTGAAATGGCAGAAGAAGCCACCACAGGACTCTGAAAGGGAGAAAGAGGAGGGCAAACTGATCAGCAACCCCAGGACTAGAGGAACAAAATAGCGCCAGAGAGTCCTACACCCCTGACCCCAACAACAGAAGGTGACCCAGACCCTGCATTCCTTGAGCCCCCAGCCTAGCAATGAAGGCCAACCTGGGCAGGCTCCTCCCTGCCCCAGATCAAAGAAGAGTCCTGCTGACAACACCAGAGAGCCTGGCAGCAGGCGTGGGGGTCTGGCTCTCTCTGAAGGAACATGCTCCTTCACCACTGGCCCTGAGCTCACCTCTCCCAGCTAGAGGCTTTGGCAGCTGGGCAGCACTAGGAGGTCCCTCCCAGCTCATGCCTCAGCTAGAGAGGTACTCTAACCCCTTAGTGCTGGAGAATCCCTTCCTCCACCAAGAGACACTGGGACATTGGGTGGCATGGACAGGGCAATCTTTGCCCAGCAGGAAGCATGGGCTGGATAATGCTCTTTGGCCCTTAGAGACACTGGGCAGCTGAGAGAACTCACAGGGGCTGTCTGCAACAACAGTAGCCCCATCCAAGCAGCACATTTTGTTCCTGAAGTCCAACGAGGTCTTCTCCCAACCAGAGTCACAGAGAGGCCACACAGTTCCATAGGGATGACCCCACAACCATGAGCACCAGCATGGGATTGAAACCACAGCATACAAAAGCAGGCCAGGCCACCTGCTAACCCTAAGCCTGGCAACAGCCTCCTAAAATGAAGAGTCTCATAGGACCCAGAGTCTAAAAATGCAATAGGCAAAATGTTCTCAATATTATTTTTGCTGTTAAAAGTAATGGCAAAAACCGCAATTACTTTTGCACCAACCTAATACAATAAGAAGTCACCCATTATACCAAGAACCAAGAAAATCACAACTTGAATGAGAGATAATCAACTGATGCCAGCACTAAGATGAAGCAGATGTTGGAACTGTCTGACAAGAATTTAAAAGCAGCTGCCATAAAAATGATTCAACAAGCAACTACAAATTCCCTTGATAAAATTTAAAAATAGACAATCTCAGAAAGAAACAGAAATTTTAAAAAGAATGAAATGGAAATTATAGAACTGATAACCGCAATAACAGTAATTTTTTTTAAAACTTGCTAAATGGGCCTATAGTAGAGTGGATATGAGAAATATAGAATGAATAAATATGAAGACAGATCAATAGAATTTATCAAATCTGAAAAACAAGAAAAATAGACACATTTCAATATAAACTTACCAAAACATATATAGAATCTGTATACTAAAAAATTACAAAATGCTGATTAAACAAATCAAAAAAGTACTATATAAATGAAAAGACATACTATGTTCATGAATTGGGAGATTAAACATAATAAAGATAATTTTTTCCTATATAGGTTTAATACAATTTCTCTAAGTGTCCCAGCAAGGTTTTTTTTTTTTTTGTAGCCATTGGCAAGCTTATTATAAAATTAGATGGATAGAATGGATAAAGAAAATGTGACACATATACACCATGGAATACTATGCAGCCATAAAGAAGGATGAGTTCATGTCCTTTGCAGGACATGGATAAAGCTGGAAACCATCATTCTCAGCAAACTAACACAAGAACAGAAAACCAAACACTGCATGTTCTCACTCATAAGTGGGAGTTGAACAGTGAGAACACATGGCCACAGGGAGGGGACCATCACACACCGGGGCCTGTCGGGGGTTGGGGGGATAGGGGAGGGATAGCATGAGGAGAAATACCTAATGTAGATGACGGGTTGATGCGTGCAGCAAACCACCACGGCATGTGTATATCTATGTAACAAACCTGCACGTTCTGTACATGTATCCTAGAACTTAAAGTATAGTAATAAAAAAATAAAAAATAAATTATATGGAAAAATACATGTGCTAGAATACCTAAAACAATTTGAAGAAGAACGAAGTATAAGCCATCACTCTACCCAATATCAAGACTTTCTCTATTAAGCTAAAGTAATGAAGACAGTGTCATATCAATGAAGAGATAGATACACAGATAAACTGAGCAGAAGACAGAGTTAGAAATAAGCTTGTTTGTGTATATCATGTCAGTTATCAATTTATTGCCTCTCAGCTCCAAAGAACACTTCCGTATGTGCTGTATGATAAATCCCAGAGTTCCATTAAGCTTTTCTCCTATGTCCCATGCTATGCTTTCTTAGTACAGAGTGCTGGAGGGACTTTGCAGAAGGATAAGGGTTTTGACATTTCTAATCTTGGCTGTGGGTAGGATTAGCTGTGTGGGGACATCTGATAGAGGCTGCCCCAAGCCACAAGCCACAGAACACAATGCCCTTGTCACCTGGCAGCTGTGGCCTGGTCATAACCTATCCACTGACTCCTCCACATGGAAACGAAAGCCCCCAGGTGGCCTGCATACCTTGGCATACCTTTACCATGAAACATTCCTCAGCAGTAAAAAAGAAATTAAGCATTGAAACACACCACAACTCTGATGAATCTCATGGGAATTATACTGATTGAAAGTCAATTGTAAAAGGCTACATACTTTATGGTTTCTCTTGTATGACATTTTTGAAATAACAGAACTATAAGATGGGGGTACTAATTAGTGATTGCTGGAGTTAGGGATGGGCATAGGGAGAAAGGTAGAAGTGGCTACCTTTCTGCCCTGGAAGGACTAGACTTCCACAAGAATCTTGCATGTTGTCCTCCTACAACCTGTTTTGTTGAATTAAAACAAAACAATATTGTTAAATCCCAAATCAGATGTTCCTTGTTTCAGGCTTGATAAATTGCACAGTGGAATAGGTCAACTCCTCAGGAATCTTGGAACCTCATCCATGTTAGGAATGGGAGACTCATTCACTGAATGGAAATGTACACATTTTAGGTGCCAAAATGCAGACCCAGCCCTCACTGCTGCATAATGCACAAGTGGAGGCTGAGTTTGAGAAGACTCCAAGCCAGTTGACTGCAATTAAAGATTCTACTTTCTCCTATACTGCTAATTAGGACCCGCTTCATGATGCAAAAGGAAAGAGCCTTCGTTCACAATTATTTAGAATTTGAAGATGGTGACAGGAGAGCATTAAGCCAAGCACAGGGCCCTTCTGACAGTGGAGACCTGTGTACCTGCCTGGGTTGCTTGCCCATGAAGCTGCTCTTATTTGTTCTCTGTTCTTGGTGCTAATTTTTATCACATAAGAAAGTTGTTGTCTTTACTAACTTTATTTTACCCCAGGAATTGTTCAACACCATTGCAGCATGGGGAAGAACGGTGCCCACCGGCCCTGGAAGGACCAGACTCCCATGGGAGGAAGTGGAGTGGATGCCTCCCACCTTAACCTTGGTGCCGCTGGCATCTGCATCCATCTTGCAGAGCATCTGGAGTCTGTCTTGTTTAACTTGGCTTCTGACCCAAAGAGCTCAATTTCCTGCATTTCAGACCACAAAGGAATCCTGATGAGTCCCCATGGAGGACTCGTAATGTGATAATAGGGAAATCTGAATAAGACGAATGAATTGTATCAATTCACCCATAGAATGCCATCCACAGAGGGAGGCCGTCTACAGAGGGATGCCATCTCGTAGACCCTTGGACAGCCTCCCTCCGTGGTCAGCATTCCTGGGGAGTTGTGATCACCTAGCTGGTATTAGCTCTCTCTGCCCAGGAGTCCCCTGGGGCTGCCTTCTACAAACTGCAATTGTGCTCTGAGCAGACTCGCAGGCCAGGCTTGCACTAGGCAACGTTAGGCAACTTCTGCCCTTCCATTCTTTGTGTTGCTGCAGTTCTGTAGGTAGATGGGGGAAAGCACACACTCAAAAGAGAAGGCAGGACCTGTCATTTGCACTCAAGATTGGCACAGTGACAGTGTTGCAGGATTACAGCACATGTGAGACATTCCCTATGGCTCTCCCAGGGCTAGCGGGGGTGTGCGGCAAGAACACAGCAGGAGTTTGCTGGAAAACAGCAACCGCAATGCTTTTTTTCCACTTTAAATTTTACCTGGGAGAAAAAAATGTTTCAGAGGAGATAATAAATTTTATTTAAGTAATTAAAGACGGGGCCATCTAGTATACAAGAAAGAAAATTATATTTGAAAAATAGAAATAAAATTATATTTGAAAACTACAATAATTTAAAACTGTGACCATGGCTCAGAAATGGATAGACAGATGAGTAAGACAGATCATACATTTCAGGAACAGATCTAAGCATATATAAAAATTTAATGTAGGAGAAAGGGAGCATGTAAACTTTTGTTTTTATAAAAAATGGTAACTGCGCTAATCATTTGAGAAAAATATTAAAGACCTTATGCCATACAAATAAATGGATGTAAGACAATTATTTTTAAAAAACATAAAAGTAATGAAAGAAAATATAGGTGAGCCTGTAGATACATCTCGATGTGAAAAGGGCCCTCTACATAGGGCCTCAAGGCAGAGACCACAAGGATAAAAAATAAGGGATCTGACCTCTCTCCTTCCACCCAAAACATAACAAATAAGAAAATACAGTGTTAGATTAAACACCCCTAACAAACTAGAGAGATGGATGACAAAAAAGAACCATATTTTTCACTCTGTATGATGAAGATTTTATACCTTAAATCTTAAAGCCTAATACTGAGACACTAAAGGAATTGGGCAAAGAATACCAAAGGATGATTCACATGCAAAAATGCAAATTAAAACCGAGGAGCTGATATCTTCCACCGTGCAACCTGAAAGGCTTTTTTTTTTTTTTTGAGTCTCACTCAGTCGCCCAGGCTAGAGTGCAGCGGCGCCATCTCGGCTCAGTGTGACCTCTGCCTCCCAGGTTCAAGTGATTCTCCTGCCTCAGCCTCCCAGTAGCTGGGATTACACGCACCCACCACCAGGCCTGGCTAATTTTCTTGAATGTTTAGTAGAGACTGGGTTTCACCATGTTGGCCAGGCTGGTCTCGAACCCCTGACCTCAAATGATTTGCCCACCTAGGCCTCCCGAAGTGCTGGGATTACAGGCTTGAGCCACCACACTTGGCACCTGGCAAGGCTATTTTATGTTGGTACTACCCAAGCAAACATCTATCAGTAGTAGGTTAGATAAATAAGGGAGGAATAATTTGAAAGTCCAAAATGAAGAGATTGGTTGAAAAAGTTTTGTTACATTCAAAGTAATGGAATCCCAGAAGGCCATTAACAATGATGTTGTAGGAGTGTGTTAATGATACAGAAAGATGTTGAAAATGTCAGGTTTCTTGAACTAACAGGCTTTGAAATCACGATTCTGTTTTTAAGTAGAGTGTATTGAAAACATTACATGTAAAATCAAAAAATTATTGGAATGACTGACATTAAAGCATTTAAAGTGGTTATTCCTGAATGGGGTAGTTTAGATAGTTTTAACTTTTTATCTATTTGTATTTACTATAAATACAATTTTTCCTTAAATTTCATTATAATAAATAAATAAATATAAATAAATTTCCTTATAATTTTCGTGTGTGAGAAGGAGAGAACAAAATTCTTATTTCAAAGAAAAATAGAGTCAACACTGCATCATCAGCTGGAGAAGAGCTGAGCTACCTTTGGTACTTCTGGTACACCTGGTATCCCTGCTACACCTGGTCCCCTGGCACACCTGGTGCCTTGTACATCTGGTACCCCTGATGTGAATAGTCCCTGGGCACACCTGGTACCCATAGCACACTTGGTCCTGTGGCACACCTGGTCCCTGGATGCACCTGGTACGCATGGCACACTTGGTTCTCTGGCATACCTGGTCCCTGGCACACCTTGTTCCTGGCACACCTGGTCTCCTGGCACAACTGGCACCCTTGGCACGTCTGATCCCTCCGGCACACCTGGTACTCTGGCACACCCTAGTACACCTGATATACCTGAAGCAAAGGAGTTGGCCTGTGACATTGCCCACTCAAAAAGTGAGCTGTTGGAGCACATAGATTACCTGGCCCCAGGGGAATCCCAACTTGAAAAGCCCTGGATCTGGATCCTGTCCATCCTTCTCCTTTCAGACTCAGTTGTTGTCTACACTGTTCCAGAGCAGGGACCATCACAGTGACCGATGCAGAGACCAACACAGCAGGAAATTCCACAGTAGACCACACTCCATGAAGATGGAGTGTCTGCCTCAACCCAACCCAGGGACTGACCACAGGGAGCCGGCAAGAGAGTCAGTCATCAGTCATGATGCACGGCGCTCTACCGAGGAGTCAAAGGCAGGAAATGAGAATAGACTGGAGGTCGGTGAAGCGCTTTGTCAGTGGCCAGGAAAGCAACAACCAGCTCCCACGCAAGGCTCTGGGACAACTTGAGCTCCTGCCTCACTCTCTCCAGGCCTCCCCTACACTACTTGTATTTTGGGACCAGCATGCTCGGAATATCTGGTATGACGAAGATGGGGCAGAGAGAGTGAGAGAAAGAGAGACCCAGGCCTAAATTTCTCCACTCGTTACAGGTGTGGAAAGTGAAGGAGGCTGCCCAGGAGATGTTTCATGAGTTCTGACTTTATGGCACATCACCTGGGAGGCGATAGCAGATGGCCCAGTACTAGTCCCAGCTTTGGAGCAGGCAGATCAGAAATGCCCTTCCCCCGGGATACCTAGGAAGAAGATGGGCCAGGAAGGCTGCAGAGTCCTTTCTCCCCTAAGTGACCTGCTGGAAATGCTCAGCAATTCTTGTTAGAACAACAGATCTCGTGCACATCCATAGAAACATGCATTTGTGCAAACAGAATCCCTTCTGCTTTGGTGCACAACCTTTTGCACAAATTCACGCTTTTGAGCAGACACTCCGCTTCTGGGGCAGGAGTACGTCACTGTATCAGTCTTTCATTTTCTCTTCTGGCATCTGAATACTCTCATTTCTTCTTAATTTTCCACCAGTTTTTCCTCTCGTTTGCTACTGATCTGCCTGGCTCTCCTTTATACCGCATCTGAGCACCCTGCACATGCCTCTTGAAAGTGAATGAGTGCCTTAATTGGAAAATGCTCTCTCATTCACCACAGGGAAGAGAAGAATACTCCAGCTAATAATGTCTTTTCCACAGAGCCCTCGACCAAATGACTCTCTCTGTTTTAATTGAGAGCCAAAGCTTTTGAAAATGAATATGTATCTTCAGGGATGGATAAAGAATGCAGTTTGATCTTATGGAAATGTCACGTTGGGATGTGAAGGTGATGGATTGTTCAAGAATCAACCAAAGAGGACAGCTCTGGCCCAGGCTGCTGAGGGACAACCGAGCTCAGATGATGCCCCCAGAGAGCAGTGGGATAACTGGGGAGGGACCACATGGTGGTTGCCAATGAGTCTCGATAGGTAGAAAAAAGGACTGAAATGAAGGCAGCAGCTAAGGACAAGGTGACAGTCTGTGACTTTGAATGGCATGCTATTTCCAACAAGCATCCCAAAGCAGAAATAAACATGGTTGGAAGGGGAGTGCAGAACATGAAATATCTACTGAGAGCTGAGGGCCACACCAGGGTGGTTAGGAGGGGAAAGAAGAAGAAACTTCAGGAATAAAAGCATTTTAAGTCTCTTAGCAACTGCCTATAGATGGAGACACGCTGGGTGGAGGCTGTCACAGGGCTTCTTGCGGGGTGTCCACCCCTCTGTTGGCCTCCTTGGACACCACTGCCCTGAAAAGGAGGGGAAAGTGCATTTCTCAAGCTGAAGCCCTGGCCAGGGCCTCTAATTTTACTTCCATGAGTGTGCCCTGATTGATTTTGAAAGGGAGGAGGTGGATCATAAAAAAACACAGCCCACAGCCGAGCCATAATCAGCTGCAGCTGCTGCTGGGATAGAGTCCTGACAGGCAAATGGCATCATGATGGAGCATTCCTTGGGACTGGCAACATTCGGCTGCCAGTGTGGGGGCAGGGAGGCAGTCTATTATTAGGAACATGCCTGAGATGTGAGTTTGCAGAATTCATTGCTCTAGATTAAAATCACTTTTGCAGGGAACAAACTCTGGAGATGGTGGAGGTACGTAGACTTCCTCTCAGCTTGAAAGATGTATCAAACTTTAAGAGGGGCTTGGACCACCCATTTGCAAATTGCTTTTTCATGCAGTTAATTTTATTTATTTTTCATCCAAATCTTAAAGCAGACCCCTCCTTTAAAAGTGTATGGCCAGCCGCGCTGGCTCATGCCTGTAATCCCAGCACTTTGAAAGGCCAAGATGGGTGGATCACCTGAAGTCAGGAATTGGAGACCAGCCTGACCAATGTGGTGAAACCCTGTCTCTACTAAAAATACAAAAATTAGCCAGGTGTTGTGGCGGGCACCTGTAATCCCAGCTACTCGGGAAGCTGAGGCAAGAGAATTGCTTGAACCCAGGAGTTGGAGGTTGCACTGAGCCAAGATCATGCCATTGCACTCCATCCTGGGCAACAAGAGTGAAACTCCAGCTCAAAAAAAAAAAAAAAAAAAAGTATATGGCCAATAGATCAACAGAAAGTGCCCTAAAGTAAAGGACTGTTTACATAAATGACTAAGGCACATAGGGACCCTGGAGGCTCTGACCTTGACCTGGGTCTGAGTGGGGAAACCCCACACGCTCATTTCTTAGCGTTTCTGCACGCATGTTTTGCTTATTAAAGAGAATTATAAATCCCATGCTTTCTAAATCTTTTGATGGAAAGCAATTTTCTTCCCAGAGATGAAAAGATGTTAACATGAAGGCGCTGCTTGGAAAACAGGGCACAGGACTGGCTGCATTTCAAACGAGGTGCCGGAGCTTATGCAACATTTACAACGGAATTCATTAAAAATTGGTTTTGCTCTCTGAGGACCTGTTGGAGCATCTAGGCCTCATGTGGGGGAGGCTGGGAGACTCTGTGAAAAGGATTATTTGGAGGGTGTATCGAAGCCCCCTGTAGGTGTGGAAGGTGTTTTCCCTTTTAGCTCAAGTCAAGAGCTCATCCTGCCCGCTTCCGTGTGAGGAACTGCTTCCTGTGGCTGTTAAGATCATGGGGAATGGGAGACCCACTGTGCTGGGAGTGATGCCCTGTCAGAGCCGGCTGCAGCTCAGGGTGCAGGAGGCCTGATGGGATGTGGGCCTGGTGTGGGAGGTAGCAGCATCAAAGGCCAGCTCAGCTCCCTCCACCTCTGGCTCCCTGAGTAAGCGACCCGCAGAAGTGAACCCGACTGCAGGTGAAGGGGCTGCGGTCACAGACCCTCCCCGCCCACCCAGTGAGAGGGGAGCTTGGCAAGCCAGAATGCACTATGAGAGGGTCAGCAGGAGGCCCTTCCTGGGCCCAGAAGGCAGGTCCTCAGGGCTCTCCTCCTCCTGTGGTCCCTCCTCCAAACCTTCATGTGGAGCAGTGAGCTCTCAGCCATAAGTGGAGAGGCCCTGGACAACAGGAGAGACCAGGCTCAGACAGACTGACTGGCCCTGAACTGGCCTGCCCGCCCACATGTGCCTGCAGGGGACGCTCAATTCAGGTCAACACAGGATTCAACACAAATGACCAAATTGAGACTATATTCTAAGACTGTGTTTTGATGGCTTGAGTAGACAGAATACTTCCATCAAGAGTTTTTTTTAAAAATAGTAAGAGAAGTATAAGGCCTGCTGCATTGCCGTCCCCGGGGAAGAGAAATATTCCCTCCACTGAAGACTTTCTTAGAGAGACAAAGAGAGTATTTTCTGATTGTGCCACGCAAGTCTAAACCAGCTAAAGTGCAGGTATGCGGATTTTATTTCTTATTAGCAACAAACAGTTTGATGATACGCCAAAGACAAAGAGGAGGAGTTGGAGATACTTCCATGAGCAATGCAAATTTAGAAAACCCAACAATGGAAACCAGAAACAGAAAGAGAAAAAAAAAACACTCAAAATAGGAAACAGAGAGGGAACAGGCCAGCACCTGGTTGGGGCCCCGCACTGGACAGGATTCAGGGTGGACTGTCCTTACCTGTTTTTCACTATCTGTCTTCATTCCTCCATTCAGAACACCCTCTGCTTCATTTGGATGGGCAATTGTCTTGGAGTAATTTTCTATGAAAAAGGGTGTGTTTTCCGTATTGAATCCCCAGGATCATGGTTTATGATGCTGGCATTGCAAGTCCCTGTGGCTCTTCAGATGCTGTGAGTGCCAATCACAGATCCACAGACTTTTCAGGCTTACTCAGTGTTAGATCCCCAAAGGCCCCTAGAAATAATCTTTTTCAGTGATGTTCACATGTTAAAAACACCAAAATACCTTCTTTAAATAAAATTGTATATAGAAGCCCAACATATAAAACCCAGGCAAGAGCCAGAAATCCCTGTCCCTCAAAAGGGGAAGGTCCCACAGTCCAGGTTCTGGGGATGCCCTTGGCCTTGCCCCATGGCACCTTAGTGGAAACCCTACTGTTTCTCAGAGCATATTTTGAAAACACTGTGCTGCCGCCGGGTGCGGTGGCTCATGCCTGTAATCCCAGCACTTTGGGAGGCCAAGGCAGGTGGATCACATGAGGTCGGGAGTTCAAGACCCACCTGACCTACACGGAGAAACCCCATCTCTACTAAAACTACAAAATTAGCCGGGCGTGGTGGCGCATGCCTGTAATCCCAGCTACTTGGGAGACTGAGGCAGAAGAATCGCTTGAACGTGGGGTGGGGGCAGGCGGGGGCGGAGGTTGTGGTGATCTGAGATAGAGCCATTGTACTCCAGCCTGGGCAATAAGAGTGAAACTCCATCTCAAAATAAATAAATAAATAAATAAAATAAAGAAAAAGAAAACACCGTGCCAACTTAGTCTGCTTGTGTGGCAAAGCAGACTGGCCCAGGGGAGCCAGGCTGGAAGCAGCACCAGCGTCTTCGCGCTTGGCCTGAGGCCGCTGTCACTGTATCCATTGCAGGGGGGCACAAAGGCTGCATCTTTGCTCTGAAATCATTGCTGCAGGTATTGTTTCAAGGCAATGCATAGATCTTGTTCAAGTCTTTGATCTCTTATCCACTCTATTAGGGTGTAAGAAACATGCTCAAGTTGCCTCATTAGTGGGGGAATAAGGAATTAAGGAGAAAGGATCATGTATCAGTTGTCTGTGTCTGCATAACAAACTTGTCCAAAATTTAGTGGCCGTATACAGCAATGCTGTTGTTTCTCCTGGTTCTATGGGTTGACGGGGCAGTTTTTCAGCTCACCTCACCATTCAGCTGGAAATGTTGATTCCATGTTCTACCGTCTCCTCAGAGAAACAAGGAGTCACTGGGCCAGAGCAAGATTCAGGCATTTTTAGGGTATCTAAGCAAATACCACACAACATTGCAACAGATCCATCCAGCTAAATTTGAAGGGCATTCCACAACCACTGATTTTTTCATTTAACAAGCATGTTAGAGACCCAGGAACTGGGCAGGGGCTGGAAGGATGAACACAGTCCCTAAACTTTCCAAGTAGAGGCCACATCTAAGGAGGAGGGAGCCCGAGGGCAGAAGCCACATTTAAGGAGGAAGGAGCTTGAGGGCAGAGGCAACATCTAAGGAGAGAAAGCCTGAGGGCAAAGGCCACGTATAAGGAGGAGGGAGCCTGAGGGTAGAAGGAACTTCTAAGGAGGAAGGGAGCCTGAGGTCAGAGGCCATGTCTAAGGAGAGAAAGCCTGAGGGTGGAGGCCATGTCTAAGGATAGTGGAGGTCAGGTTAAGAAAGAAAAAAACAAGGAGGAAGGGGAAGGGGTGAAACAGAGACATCTGCTGGAAGCTCTTCTGACTGGGTTTATGGGCTAGAACTGGGTCTGCTGCCCACCCCTGGCTGTAATGGAGGATGGAAAGTTTCATTTCATACCTGGGAACGCTAACTCCAAGAATAAAATCAGACTCCTCTTAAAGAATAAAGGCATAATGGGAGCTGGGTAGACAACCAGCCGTTTCTTGACATGAGGCAGTCCAGAAGCATATGGGAGAGGCTAAGGGGAGTGAATCCATAAAAGGAGTGTGGGGAGATGTTTAAGAGCAAACTGTCTTCCCCTTGCTTTGTTGGGAGACCCACACTGGGGAGGTATCCACAGCCTGTCTCCACGTGGACACATTACCCACAAACACGGAAAGTGGCCCTCAGATGCCTCTTGCAATGAGATTCCCTTTCATAGATCATAAAAACGGTGGACCATGGGATGTCATATGGTTTTCATTTGTAGTTTTGTAGGACATCATCATTAGCACTCTGAATTTTTACCGAGGGGTTGAGTAGAGGGGTTGTAGGGGCTTACCATCCCCACAGAACTGGCCCATGTCTGTCCTTGCAGAAGCCAGGAGTGGAAAAATTCCCATTTCAAGCTTATTATTCCAGCAGCATGCTCTAGTTAATTGAAATGACACAAAATTATTTTTCAACATACATAAAACCTGCCCTTCCTCTCCTACTTCATAGCACAGCAGCAAGCAAGCAAATGAGCACCAATTCATCTTCATTTGCTTCATTGCCTTTTGATGTTGTTCCTAAGTCATCAGCTCCCCTAACGTATTGTGGAAGTCTGCCATGCTGAATGTTGGCGTTGTTGCAGACTGGATAATAAAAATGCAAAACGTGCTGGCTGTACTAACAAAGAAAAATAAACATGATAGATGAGGGGAAACTTCATTTGGGTTCTGTTCCTGACAGTTCATACAAGTTCACGATTGTTGTTGACGTAAATAATGTACAGTGATGAAGATGACAAGACTGGCTGGCTCATATTTGAACTTTATCCATTTAAATCATGTTTTTCCAAACTGTTGCAAATAAATTAAAAGCCCCATGCCAGGGGGATTGAGTGGCAGTAAGTTCTGAACCACTTAGGGCCGGAGGTTTATGTTCCTAAGGGCAGAAGTTTCCAAGCTGATGAGCCCCACAGTCTGGGCACAGCTGCCTGTCTCACTTCCATGTCTGAAGAGACCCATCCGGTGCACAGTGGAAGGAGCTAGAAGCTATCACTGTTCACAAGATGGCCTCCTCCTGGGGTTTGTGTCATGATAACAGCTCTCTAGGGGCGAGCACACTGATGCAAGACTTGCCTCCTCTCTCCTTATTTTTCCAAGAATAATAAACAACTCCCTGTCCAAACTCTAGGCTGATGTTTATCTCGGGTTGTGGAGGCACAGAAAGAACAACAACAACAATGGTTTCCTGCTCTGTTGAGAAATTTGAGGCTTAAAACAATGAACTGGCACTTGTGAAATGCAAGGTGTGTAACTTTGAGCTTCTCCTAGAAAGTATGACTGGAACCTTCTGAGTGAGGACCGTTGTCACTGGGCCCAGATTTCAAAATATAGTGGGTTGATAGAAAACTGGAGGTATAGTAAGGCCAACAGAGCAGGAGAGCGGGGAGGGAGAGGGGTGCCATTGAAAAGATAATTCAGTCACTCAGACTCCAAGAGGAGGGGACACCCTGCCTCATGCCGGGGTGTGTGGGGAAGCACTAGGGCTGGTCAGGGAGCAGAGGGAACTGGAGGAAAACATGGCCAAGAGCCTTTATTGCGGTTTCTGTGGGAAGGAATAAGTGATGTAGGGGAAGGAATAAGTGATGTAGGGTAAGCAAGCTTAGGATTGGAATGCAACAATCCTAACTTCAACAGGCTCTGGGGCATAAGGGGTGCCCCTGGGGCACAGTGGCCCAGAGTGTGAGAATCCAGTAAGGAAGGTGATGGGGTGTGGGCGCTGGATTGGTTGGTTTGTATTTGAGAAGCATCTCTTGTATGAGTTGTTTACTACTTTTACAAATTGATGAACCCTGGGAGGGGCAGTCCATACAGGGCCAGCAAGGCCCTAGTTGTCAAAGTGTCACTGAGCAATGGTCTCGTAATCCAGTGAACACAGGAGCCAATATTATGGCACCGGCTTTTGAGAAAGGCAAAAGACAATGCCATTGTGAGTCTACTGGCAAGGAGATAGGTGGCAATTCTCCAATCTGTTTCCCGTGCTCTGACGCAAAATGATGTTTTAAAATTGTAGCATTCTCTACCTCAAGCCATCTAGGCCTATCTGGGAGTGGGTCAAGCTTTTATGGCATTTCTAACTAGTCCCAGATGATGCCAGTGCAGCCAGACTGCCATGCTGGTCCTGTTACCAATTAGGAGGCTGAAGGATACATGTCTTGCCCAGGATACATGTCTTGCAATTTTGGCTCTGTGCCATGTATAACAGCTTAGGCAATTGTTAGTGGGTTTAAGCTGGTCTCATGGTTACAAAAGCATTAGGAAATATAGAAAATAGAAGACATGGTTAACACAACCCACCCTGGGCTGGAGAGGTGAGAAAAGCTGCCTTGTGGAGCTGTGTTCATTGGAGCAGCTATAGAGGGTGGCTGTGGTGCCACAAGCATGGCTGAGGGATGAACCACAAGGGGCTTCTGCCACAGTACAGACCCCCAAGGCTGGGAGGAGCTGACCTCAGGGAGTTTGGCAAGGATGGTTTGCCCATGAGCAGTCCAGAGGCAACCTGGGCCTCTAGCAAGGCAGCTAGCTCAGCACGAGGCAACACCACGCTGGTCTACAGCAGGAGGAGCACCTGTGTCTCTCACTGGCCATGTGCTTGCCACCAACTGCTTGCCCTCTCATGTCTTTTGAATTCTTTCCAAGTAAAGAAAATAATTTGCTTCCTACAGATACTACATGAATTAATTTTGCTCTCAAAGAATTTCTCAAAAGTGGGGAGAAAGGAATCTCCTGGGCATGCATAGCTGTTCTATAGAATCACATCCTTGAATCTTTTTTAATGACCTGCCAGGTGGCTACCTTCTGCATGGACTCACAGCATCAAGGTCAAAGGACTTTCTGCCCCAAACTCTGTCATTCTCCTGTGTCATGGTAAGCAGAAATATAGACACTGAAGGTGGACGTGTAATGAGGACAGGACCTTCACCTGCCCACAGGTGTTGGCACAGGCTGGACATTCCCTTGTTCATCCCCTCCTTCCAGCATGTCTCTCCCTTCATGGGCACAGTGCCTCCTGGCCTCATGCCTGCCTGGTTCCAGAAGGCTGGCCCCAACCGTGCCTCCCCAGGGAGTGTCCGGCCTGCTCCCAGGAGCACAGCGGCCTCACTAGCTTCAGACTCTTCGGTGTGCTCTCCTCTTCTCTGTCTCAGGTGACTTCACATCAGTTCTGTGTTAAACAGGCCAGGAAGGATCATCTCTATCACACATGAGGACTGGAGTCTCAGAGAAAGCCAACCAGTTCAGTCTAAATGAGATCAGAGCTTGGATGCCCCAACACCAAGTCAAGAGCTCCTTTCACGGTGATTCTGTCACGGCCATAAGGACTCTGTCCAAAGAGCAGACCCCAGGATAGCCACACTCCTATCCTAGAGCTTTGGTTGTAATGGAGAACATAACTTAAAGTGGCATTGAAAAAAAGAAAGGACATGTGTTGGCTTATTGGGCGCAAAGGTCTAAAGGCAAGGCTGGCTTCAGGCAACAGGTGACCCAGGTGTTCAAATGTTGTGCACTGATTTCTTCCCTCAGTTTCTCAAAAGTGTCTCTTCAGCACTGGCTTTCCCTCCACCATCTCAAAATGGTGCTCAGCAGCTTCCTCTCTCGCTGCCAGCTTCCAATCAGGAGGAAAGTGTTTTGCTTCTCTGGGACCCAAATGTCTTGCACTTGAGTGCTACTGAACCTGATTGGACTGATTTGAGTCATATGATTATCCCTGAACCAATCATGGTGGAGTTCATGTCTTGATTGGTTTAAGGCAATCCCAACGGGCTCTTAGAAATTGGTTTGGGAGGTGGGGCCAACTGCTCCCAAACTGCACGTCCAGGAAAGAGGAGGCACTGACAGGGAGAAAGCAGGAACCCACCACGGTAGTGCTTCTTACTCTCAAACTTGGGATACTCTAATCTTGCCTTACTCTTTACTGAGTCAGGAGGTAATCCCCAAAGATCTGTGACACTGAAGGCCCCCATCCAGGAGAACCCAGTGGCACTGGGTGGAGGCTGAGCAGATGGCCCTGTAACCTCTCAAACGCGGACCACAGAGGCGGTGTTTCCCCGCATCAGCCTCCTCCTCCTCCAACATCCCTCTTCAAATGAATCCATGTTCTCTTCAAACATAAACTGAAATTTTTCCATGTCCCTTGTTGAAGACAGTGCTTCTCCGGGCATAAAAATCCTTGCAGTCTGCTGGGATGATTATTCTGTAAGACAGACGACAAGAGGAAAAGGTGAACTTGCTGGAAAAGATCTCTCCAAAGATCTGATGAGAGGCAAGCTTTTCAAGGCTATATTCTCAGCATAAAATAAGGAAATAAGGCCAGGCATGGCAGCTCCCATGGGTAATCCCAACACTTTGGGAGGCTGAGGCAGGAGGACCACTTGAGGCCAGGAGTTCCAGATCAGCCTGGGCAGCATTGTGAGACCCCCATCTCTACAAAAAATCAAAAAGTAAAAAAATAAAATAATAAATAATGTTTTTAAAAAACAAATTCAGAGCTTGGTATTCCCAGTGGATAATTTTTCAGAGTGACAAAGCCAAAAGCTGAAAGGAGAAAGGGCCATAAGTTTGTGGCCATAATTACACATTTTTGGGGGCTGCTGGTTGGCTCTAGAAATTATCTGGCTCCTGTACTACATGAGACCTTTGCTTGTGTCCATTGCTATCACTTTATAAGTTTTTCAGACCAGATATGTCAAAGCTATTTATTTTGTCCTGAATACATTCTTTATCATGAAGACAAGTGACCACCACACGGTCAGCCATGTCTTTCCAAAGCAAAATTAAGTGAGACGAAAGCAGTCATCCTTTCTCACTCTACTATTCTTTTCTTTAAAAAGAAAAACCAGAAATAGAACTCGAAGCAAAGGCTAGTACATCTAATCACTGTTTTAAAAATACCCAAGTAGGCAAGTTGTAAAGAAGTACAGTCATCAAGGTATAAGGAGAAATGTTAAATATGGTTCTATTTTGTAAAGAACTTCCAGTATGACTCCATATTTTACATTGGGAAAGCCAGAGAAATTTAAGGTGTTCATGTTCTCAAAGGTCTTCCTCGAGAAACTGGAGCTGAATTCATTGTCATCAACTGATTGGTAACCAGTGGCCCTTCTCTTAAATGTTCTCTGACTGCGTTCCAAGATAAAACTTTATTTGGAAACAAGTACTCTAAAAATAAGGCCACTGACTCTTCCAGCATCTCCTCATTTACAGAGTCTGACCAATGCCTGCAAGACCATCCTGCAGCTGACTCCAGCCCTCATACTCACTAAACCGCTAATAAGGTCCACTCTTCACCCCAGGTCACACGTGGTTCCCCATGGTGTGTGAGCCCTCTTGTTATAGCAATTAAGAAATCTAACTTTGTCAGCCACAGATGTGTCCCTACTGGTCCTTAGCTGACAGATACCAACATGGGTTATAAATGTTATATATGCATATATGAAAAATACAAAATTGCATGAAACTACGATTATAATTCTAGTTTATCGTTTTCCCAGGTATGAGCAATCTGTTACTTTCAGTTTTCTTTATATTTATATAATTCTACTGAATACACTTTCTAATTTTCTTTTTAATTAAGAAATAGTTCAAAGCCAACCAATCCATGGAATTATATACTGGCCACTTGCGCATCTACCACCAAGAATTGATACCTGTGCGTGTTGTGTCATCATTGCTCCAGGCCCCCCCAAAAATAAATAAATAAATAAAATATTTGAGATAAACAAGTAAGAATTTAATAAATTCTTATAAATAAAATAAACAACTATTTAAGATAAAATATTTGAGTTAAAATCCCTTCATCATCTGCCAGCGATCCCTCTTTCTGTAGAGGTGACCCCTCAGTTAAATTAGGTTTATATATGTCATGAGCAATCACTACAACGTGTGTACTTAAAAATAAGATAGGCAGTTGCTTTGATGCTTTTTAGAATATGACTCATTGACATATTCATGCATCTTTTTGTCATGTCTTTTCCTTGAATTATCATGTTTTTGCTATTGACCTTTGTTGATGTATGTAGATATAGTTCATTTATTTTAACTGCTCTGTAATATTCCATCCAGTCAAGAAACGATTCATTTATCCATTCCTATGCTGAGAGATAGTTTGTTGTTTCCAACATTTTCACTGTTACAAACATTACTGAGAAATCCTCTTACCCACATCGTTCTGTGCTCACCAGGAAGTAGGATTTCTAGTCATAGGCTATGTGTCATTTCACCTATGATCATACTGGCAGAGTGCTCATATAAGTGATTGTAGAACCAGAGGAAGACATCACTTGCTGCCTTCAGCTGCCTACCCCACCATGTGGCAGCCATGGCCACTCCATTCCAGCTCACTTATCTCTGACACACAGGTAAACGAGTTTGCTCTCAAACCTAATGATTTTAACAGAGCCTCCCAACTTCCCACCGCTCACATATGGCAGGGTTGGCAGCTGCCCAAGTGGAGTTATGCATATTCTTGGGACATTCCTGGAAACACACCCCTCCCCTGATCCAGCCAGCACACCACTATCTGCAGGAAATCTCTTCCTGCTTAAACTAGATTGATTTCTGTTTCCAACCCTGAACTCCAACCTCCACACACTCCCACCAGCAGTATTGAAGACTTTATATTTTCCTTGGTATTAGCAGACTGGTTTTTGCCAATCTGATGGTGAGGAAATGGTATTTAAATGCTGTTTTGATTTGCATCATGCTGAGAGCCTTTTCATTTCCTCTTTTATATATCTATTCATATTCTTTGCTTGTTATAATCAACAGGCTAATTAATCCTACATAGTGTAATGCATAACCACAAATCCTAGCGGCTTAACATCAAAAAAGGTTAATTTTGCTCAACACATGTGTGATATGAACCAGTTCTTTTTGGAACTCTCTCTCTCTAATCTGGGATTAGACTGGGATCAAGTGACTCAATCATCTTAGAGTTTTGCCTTTAGTCATGAAGATAGAGGAGTGAGAAAAAACACGGAAGATGATGTGGGACATTTTAGGAGCCAAGCCTGGATGGGGAAAGGGCTGCCTACATTTCATTGGCCAGAAGTCAGTCGCTTGATCACCCTAACTGCAGGAGTCTGGGAAGGTAAAGGTGCATATGGATCCAGGTGAGCACTAATGACCTCTGTGAATTCTGCCCTGCTGCTCAAGAAATATCAGGTTACTCCCCTCTGCCCATCCATACAGCATACTCATGTCCTCCCAAGGAAACCTTACAAAATGCCCTTGAGTGTCTGCACTCAGCTCAGCTCAAAGTCTGGAAGGTCCAGGTGATGCATGTTTCTTTCCACCAGGACCAGATGAAAAATCTCTCTGTGGGCTAAAAAGTAAGCCATCCACCTCTCCTTCCCATAGATCCTACAGACAACAGCAGAGCAGGGCTATATGCCTGCGGTAAAACCCTTGTTCAAGAAAGGGAAGAACAGAAGACACATTGCAATGATGAGTTCAAAGTTTTAATGGGTTTCCACTGCATACAGTGGGCTCCACTGGTTTTCAGGACCCATGGATTCAATATCTAGGTGCCTTTCCTTGTATATTTTATTGGTCATATGGGAAACATGGGTAGGGCAGGAACATGTACATTCCTCCTTGAGAATGTACAGGCTTTGAAGCCTGAGTCTTGCTCTTGAGGCTGTTCTGGTCATCTATTTTTGTGGACTAAACACTTCCAAAAGTTAGTGGCTTAAAAAGCAAAAATTATTTAGTTCACAAATCTGCAATAGGGCAGGGCTCAGTGGTGTCAATGGGAGCTGGAGAATCCGCTTCCAAAACAGCTCACTCACAAGGCAGACAAGTTGGTGCTGGCCATGGCTGGGAGTTCATTTGGAGCTAAGGACCAGAAGACTTGGTTCTTTCCATGTGGGGCTCCCCCCAGGGCTGTTGGGCTTCCCCACAGCATGGTGACTGGGTCCTAAGAGCAAACGTCCCATGAGAACCAGATAGACGATTCATCATCCTTCATGAGTTACCATGGAAATTGCATAGTGCCAGTTCCGCCACAGTCACAAGCATACCCATAGTTAAGGGGAGAGAACGTAGACAACCTCCACCTTATGCCTCAGTGAGAGGTGTATTGGTCACTTCTCAAAAGAGCAGATGGCGTGAGAGGTAGTAGTGTGATCATTTTGGAAAATGTAATCTCCCACAGAAGTCTTTGGACCTCAAATAGTCAACATTTTTGTTGCTGTTCCTCCTGTTAATGGTGTCTTTGGAACATGATTTCCCCAAAAACCTAATTGATTTCTGGTCCATTAGCTTCCATTCAGGTTCAAACCTCAGTCACTATGCCCATAACATGTGTGTGTGTGTGTGTGTGTGTGTGTGTGTGTTTTTTCCTGAATATAGACTCAAACCTTTCTGTATTATAATGTTTACTCACCCTTATTCCTCTTCTTCTCAACTTTCTGGAGGCTCTCAGGCTTGTGTGGGAATGGCATACCCTCACTATGATCTTTCTCTTTAATCACTGAGAAAGATTTATAGCTGTTGTTGAACAAATTATTTTCAAGTCTCGTCTTATTGTTTGTGATCTGAAAGCAGTTGGCTCTTCCAACCCTGCAGTGACTAGAATGTTTGGACTTTCCCAGTCCCATTATATTTCTCCCTATAAACAGCCCGGTTTTTTCTTGGGCTCACCTCATTGTTGGAACACCTTTCCAAAAGGAGCCCAGATACACCTTGAATCTTTCTGATTCACTTCTCCTCAAGCTGCCAGCTTAATTAGGCATATGACATGCCTCCTAACATGTTTTACCAAATATGTACCAGTTCATAACATAGATTTCCGTGTTTCCAGGCTTAGGTTTTTGTTTCTTTGACGCCTACCACCAAAACTAAGAAAATACCATATAGCTCAGGTTTTTTATGTGTAAGCACTCCACCCCTGGCACTAGTTTTTGAATAGATAAAGGTAATTAAGACTGGCTGCTCCAACAAACAACTCATCTTGGTGATGTAACACAGTAAATATTTATCTCCTCTTCACATGCTAGCCTGATGTGGATCTAGCCCAGACCATGGCTCCTCTCCAAGGGGACCCAGGGACCCAGGAATATTCCACTGGGGGACTCTCTGAAGCCTTCACTTCCAGCCATGAAGATGGGGAAGACAGAGCCCGTGGAAGATTACATGGGAGGGACATCTTAGAGACCAGACCTATAAATGAAGGACAGCTCTTTGTTCAAATGTCATTGGCCAAATTTTGGCACATGGCCAGTCTAGGAAGGGAGGCTGTGAATAGAGGAAGAGTTGGATATGCACAGGTGCTCTTTGTTCCAATATGGTTTCTTTATCTCCTTCTCACTGATATGTAGGAAACATTCATATTTTTTCACTAATCCAACTTCAGTTATAGCATTGCCAATATTCTTCCTAAACTAAGGGCTATCTCTTGGAACTCTTAAAGTATGCTTTGTCATTCAGAAGCTTTCACTTAAAAGAAGGTATGGTTTTTGTGTTTTTTTTTTCCTTTCTTGGTTTATGCTTTTGACACTTGTCTTAGAAATGCCTTTCCACCCTGAGGGCATAAGATCTTCCTTGTTTTCTTGTAGGTCTTTACATCATCAAATTTCTCTATGTGGAGATCTGGGATTGAGTTTTATATTTTCAGCCCATGAATAGCAAAGGGACCAGTCCATTTAATTAATAATCTGTATTTCCCAGCACGAGAACCCCACGTGGGTCACATATTTCCAAATGTTCTAGCCCTCTTTCTGAACTCTCACTTTGTGCCATTTTTTTCTGCTCACTTATGCATTGAAAACAATATTTGTTATTTTATATTTCTAGGTAATAGTTTTTAAGTTATTTAGTTTACCTTATTGTCCAAACTGAAGTTCATATAATTTTTTGAAAGAAGATTGTAATTATTATTGATATATGCTATTTCCTCTTATCATTAAATATTCTTCAAAAATGACTTTTAATAACTGCATATAACTCAGGGAAGCAACATAATTTGTTTAAACACTAGCCTTGGTGGGAGTTTATCTTGCCCTTTTTTATGTTACTATTTAATCTTGGCCTAATTTCCTCTGGCCTCCCCCATCTCAAGGATTCAAGAGCTTTATCAGGTGACAAAATTCCTGCTGCTCTTATCTTTCCGCTCAGAAAGCAGTTAGTGTATGGAGTGCTCCCCTGCCCCTCAGAGCCCCTGACTCATTCATTTGCCTTCCTTAAGTCTCCCGCCACTCATTTCTCTGTCTTTTCCTCTGACCCATGCACACTTATCCCTTGCCCACTCCTTGATTTATAGAATTTCAACTTTACGAGGAGTCTATATTTATGCCTATTTGTCTATGTAAGTTCATTTTCACTTGTTTACTAAAAGCAGTCTTTATGAGACAATGGTATGTTCTGTGATCCTCTGACAGACGAATCCCTGGGCTGGCCCCTGATCCTGTTGAAGTAGCCAGTTGCAAGGATGTTGGGAGCTAGGATGGGTGTGAGAGGTAGGAGGTGCCATGCACATTGAAGAGCACTCCTGACAGGCACGGGACCTGATTTGGATTCTCTTTTGCCCTGTCACTTGCAGCATTATGTTCCCACAAACCAGTAAAAAAAGGGCTAAGAAACTGGTGCTGTTAGCACTTTGAATTAATGCACTGTTTCTGAGGCTGGGGGAGCTCCTGTCTGGAAGCTGGGGATGCTCAAGTCACCCTGGATGCAGAGCTACATGGAAGGGAGAAGAAGCCAGGTCCTCTCATCGCCCAGAGCCACGTGATTCTAGAAGGAATCAAGGGAAGAATGGAATGCAAGTAAGGAGGTGTTGGAATGCCAGGGTAGTTGTGGACCTTTTGGAAATTCAAGAACAGCGCCCCTCTTTTTAGTCTCAAACTAAGCCTTTTGAGGCTGCCAATGATTTTTTCCTTGGAAACTTCAGAAATATTCATTAAAGGATTCCAGCATTGCTGAATGTTATCTATTTTGGAAGAGAATGTCTTCTCACCTAATTTTACTTCATCAGATGGAAACAAACCACAGATGGCAAACAGATCTTAGTTTACTTTTTTGTTACTTTGAAGGTCACAAATTTAAACCGTGGCTGGTGGAATTCTCTTAAATTTCTGGGACTGTTAAATGTTTGAGAAGAAACTTTACAAAGTTGGCAAATGAAGCTGTTTATTCACAGCACAAAGTGCTAAAAGGACATTTATTTGAATAATTTTACGATGAAAAGAATTATTACATTGAGAGGCTGAGGCGGGTAGATTGCCTGAGCTCAGGAGTTCAAGAACAACCTGGTTCTTGACATGGTGAAACCCTGTCTCTACTAAAAATACAAAAAATTAGCGGGGCATGGTGGCATACACCTGTAATCCCAGAGGCAGAGGAATAGCTTGAACCCGGGAGGCGGAGGCTGCAGTGAGCTGATTGTGTCACTGCACTCCAGCCTGGGCAACAGAGCGAGACTGTCTCCAAAAAAAGAAAAGAAAAGATTATAGAATTTGCTATTTAAAATAAAGCCAGCAAATATCTACTCTGGACTTGTCTCACCTCCCCACTGGAAAGCACAACCAAAAACCCTGTAAATAACATAAGAAACAATGAAAGATGAAAAGAGAAATGTGAACTGGTTTGTGAGCCTGGGACTGGACAACGCAGTGGCAGAGTGTTTTACAGCCCTCACTCGACGGAAGCAGGCCACCAGACCCAGTGTTTCCAATACCCAACCTAGCTATGGAAGGTAACCCAGGTAGGCTCATTTGTCCCTCTAATCAAACAGAGTCCTGCAGCAACACCAGGCGGGCCAAGCAACCATCTAAGCATAGCTGGAGCCCTGCTGACAACAGGCCACCAGGGGAGGTGCTCTTTTCCTTTAACACAGGGGCAGAGAACCCCCCTCACCACCCACCTTGGGGCACCACTAATGGGGATCCTGCCCCTACATGTGCCTGGCCCCCACAAGCAGGAGCCATCCTGCCACAGCAAGGGCCTTGACTGGGAGGCCTCATTGTCCCCACCGTCTGCCGATGTCCCTCTTCCATAGAGACCCAGCCAGGGGAAGCTTCATCTGCCTTCTCAGACAACACCTGAGGTGCCTGACGGGAGCCCAGCAGCATGAGATATACCCCCCAGTTCACATTAGCACCACTAGGGCTCTGCAAATTAGAGTGCCACAAAAGTAGGCCAGGACCTTAACAAGTCCTACACCTTAACAAGTTAAAAGTGAAAATAAATAAAATACTTAAAATATTGACTTTAGTGACTGGGCACGGTGGCTCACACCTGTAATCCCAGCACTTTGGGAGGCCAAGGCGGGTGGATCACCTGAGGTCAGGAGTTTGAGACCAGCCTGGCCAACATGATGAAACCTCATCTCTACTAAAAATACAAAAATTAGTCAGATGTGGTGGCACATACCTGTAGTCCCAGCTACTTGGGAAGCTGAGGCATGAGAATCGCTTAAACCTGGGAGGTGGAGGTTGTAATAAGCCGAGATTGTGCCATTGCACTCCAGCCTGGGCAATAAGAGTGAAACTCTGTCTCAAATATATATATATACTTTAGTGATAAATAAAATAAAATAATTTAACAGAACCCATAGTTTCCTAAATAATAGGCAAAATGTCCAGCTTACAATCAAAAAATCATCCATCCTACCAAGAACCAAGAATATAACAAACTTTAATGAGAAAAGATAATCCACTGATGCCAGCACTGAGACAAATCAGGAGTTAGAATTATCAGACAAAAAGTTTAAAGCAATGATCTTAATAGTGACTTAACAAGCAATTACAAATTCTCTGGAAAACTTAAAAGATAGAAAATCTCATAAAAAATTGAATCAAAAAAAAACAAATGGGAACTGTAAAACTGAAAAATACAATAGCAGAAATTAAACACTCTGAGTAGGCTCAACAGTAGAGTGGAGATGACAGAGGACAGAATTGGTGAACTTGATGACAGATCGACAGAATTTACCCAATCTTAACAGAGAGAATATGGACCTAAAAAATGAACAGAGACTTCACAACCTGTGTGACTGTAACAAATGAGACAACATTTGTATCATTGGAATCCCAGAAGGAGATGAAAAAGAGAACAGACATAAAAGAGTAGCTGAAGCAATAGTGGCTGTAAATATCCAGACTTGGTGAAATACAGGCTTAAGAAGCCGGGCAACCCACAGATAGCAAAAACCCAAAGAAACTCATACCAAAATATATCATTCATTAAACTTCTGAAAACAGAAGACAAAGAAAAAAATCACTATTTCAAAATTTTTAAAATAATACATTTTTAACATTCTCACCACAAAAAATAATAAGTTGGTGAGGAGATGGATGTTAATTAGCTTGATTTAATCTTTCTATAATGTATACATGAATTAAAACATCACATTGTACCTCACAAAAACACACAATTAGTTTTTACCAATTAGAAATAGATAATAATAGAAAACAGCCAGAGAGAAATGGCACATTATATATAAAGGAACAAACACCAATTCAAAGGACAGAGGATTTTTCATCTGAAACCATGGAGGCCAGAAGGAAATGGCACTGCATTTTTCAAGCACTGAAAAGAAAAAGAACTGTCAATAATGAATTCTGTATGAAAATATTCCCCAGAAATGATGAGAGAAATAAAGACACTCCCAGAAGAAGGAAAACCAAAATATTGTGTTGTTAGCAGGTCTACCCTTAAAGCGTCGTTAAAAGTAACACTTTAAACAGAAAGACAAAGTAAAGGAAGGAATCTTGGACTATCAAGAAGGAAGAAAGACCAGTGTAAAGGGAATAAGGTGAGTAAATGCAATAGGTTATCCTTCTTGTCATGAACTCTCTAAATCATATATGATGGCTGAAAAATATCATCACACCATCTGACACACGACAATATTTAAAAATAAGGAGCTAAAAGGACCTAAATAAAATTAAGGCTTCCACATTTTGCTGAAAGTGATGAAATGCTGACACCAGTAGACTATGTTGTCACATGTATATTTTAATATTTAGACCAGCCACCAAGACAGTGACACAACATGATATACTCGAAAAACACGAGATATTCTCAAAAACACAGAATGAAAACCTAAAAAAAATTCAAGTGTTTCTTTTTTGCCACAGAAGCAAAAAAATGAACTAGAAACAAGAAATGAACAGAAAATTGTTACACTTTACATTAATACTGATATGGTTTGGCAGTGTCTCCACCTAAATCTCATCTTGAATTATAGCTCCCATAATTCCCACGTGTTGTGGGAGAAACCGGTTGGAGGTAACTGAATCATGGGGGTGGGTTTTTCTTGTGCTGTTCTCCTGATAGTGAATAAGTCTCACAAGATCTGATGGTTTTATAAAGGGGAGTTCCCCTACACACACGCTCTTGCCTGCCACCATGTAAGATGTGACTTTACTCCTCATTTGCCTTCTGCCATGATTGTGAGGCCTCCCCAGCCATGTGGAACTGTGAGTCCATTAAACCTCTTCTCTTTATAAATTACCCAGTCTTAGGTTTGTCTTTATTAGCAGTGTGAGAACAGATGAATACAAATATGATTAAGGAAAATATAATATTTTATTTTACTTTCACTTCTTTCTTCTCTGGTGCTCTTCCTTTCTTTACATGGATCTGGGTTTTTGACCTATGTAACATTTCTTCCCCCTGAAAAGCTTCTTTAACTTTTCTTACAGGGAAGATGTGCTGAGGATGATGTGCAGTTTTTGTTAAAAATCTTTGTTTCTCCTCCCTTTTGAACAACAAATTTGGCTAAATATAGAATTCTAGTTTGGTGGGGATTTTTTCTTTCACACTTTAAATATATCACTCCATTCTTTTCTTGCTGACATGGTTTCTTATGAGAACTCTGCTGTAGTCCTTATCCTTATTTTTTTAATAAGTAAAGTTTTTTCTTCCTCTCTGGCTACTTTCAAAATTTGATCTTTGTCTTTAGTTTTCTGCAGTTTGAACATGATATGGTATAAATGTTTTCCCTACAAGCCTAGATTTTTTATGTTCTTTCAATTTCATGGATCTGTGATTTGTACTCTATCATTAATTTGGGAAAGTTTTTGGTCATTATTACTTCAAATATTTATTTTGCTTCATTCTCTCTTCTCCTGTTATTGCAACTGCACTTAGTTATATCTCTTGTAATTGCCCCACAGTACTTTCTTGAATTGTGTGTGTGTGCATGTGTGTGTGTGTGTGTGTGTATTGCAAGTGTCTATTGACCTACCTTAAAGCTCACTGACAGCCTGGGCCACATAGTGAGACCTCATCTCTACAAAGAGTAAAGAAATTTAGCTAGGCATGCTAGTGCACACCTGTAGTACCAGCTACTTGGAAGGCTGAGATGGGAGGATCACTGGAGCCTAGGAGGTCAAGGCTGCAATGAGCCATGATCATAGCACTGCACTGCAACCTTTGTTTCCAAAAATAAAAAATAAAAAATAAAAAGAGCTCACTGATACTTTTCTTGGCCATGACCATATTCAGTCTACTCATGAGCCCATAAAAAGCATTCTTTATTTCTGTCACAGTGCTTTTGACTTTCTAGCTTTTTCTGTTGATTCTTTTTTAGAGTTTCCATCACTCTGCTTTCATTATCCATGTCTTCTTGCAGGTTATCTACTTTTTGCATTAGAGCTCTCAACATATTAATAATAGCTATTTTAAATTCCCTGTGTGATAATTCCAACATGTGTATCATGGGAGAGTCTGCTTCTAATGCTTGCTCTGTCTTTTCAGACTTTGGGTTTCAAGTTTGGTGGGGTTTTTTTGGGGGGTTGGTTGGTTTGCTTGCCTTTTAGCATTGCCTTGTTGAAAGGTTAATACGTTGTCTGGATATAGTGGCTCATGACTGTAATCTCAGAACTTTGGGAGGCCGAGGCAGGAGGATCGCTTGAGACCAGGTGTTTGAGACCAGCCTCAGCAACATAGCAAGACCCTATCTCAGAAAAAAAAAAAAAGAAAGGTGGACATGTTTTATTGAATAATGGGGTCTAAGGCAAATTAGTCTTTAGTTTGAAATTTTACGTGAATTTGGCTAGGAGTTGAACTTTGATTAGTATTTGCTGTAGCCGTATATGCCACAGGCCCCAAATTTCTCCTGGCTTTTGCTCTATTTTTAACTTTGGGCTTCCCTAAGTGCTCTTCCTCGGAGAGAGTCTGTGACTTGCAGCTCTTCCAGCTGTAATTCACTCTTATTCTACCACAGCTCTGTTGGTGTCGTGCTAAGAGGAGTGTGCTTGGGGTTGCGGAGGGGGCATTATTCTATAATCTTATGATTAAATTGTAGTTTTTTTCATGGGCCTCTGTCTCAAGGCTGTGACCCTCACAAGTGTTTCTCTAGTCGTATTGCTTCCTTCCTGTTTGGTGAGACAGGAAGTCTAGAGTGGGCTGGAGTGGGAGCAATGCCTTTTCTCCAGCTGGGGGAAGATTGTAATAAAGTGTTTTTCCCTGACGAGCAGGTCTCTGTTACGGAGAAGGCTCCAGGGGAGCTTCATGAGAATTATTCTTCCCCACCCCTCACCAGAAACAGGAGGAGATCTTGCTTTTCTCTTCATTGTGAGAAGCTGTTGGGATTTCTGAAGGTAAAAACCGTAACAGTGGGTCCCTCTAGGACTGCAGCCCATAGGAGATACCCACTTTCACACTAGTCCATACTCAGCCTCCAGCAAGTCATCAAAATTCATGTTTAAGACTTCCTGCCAGTTACTGCTCCAGCAGCTTCTTCCCCAGGCCAGTAGATCTTGGCTGTGTCTCTGGATTCACCTGTCTCGACAGACTTCAGGGTGTGGTTTGTAATCTCAGTTCTCTGCTGGGTCTAGAAAAAGTCATTGATTTTCAGGTTTTTTTCAGCTTTTTCTTTTTCCTTTTTTTTTTTTTTGAGATGGAGTTTCGCTCTTGTCGCCCAGGCTGGCATGCAATGGCACAATCTCAGCTCACTGCAACCTCCGTCTACCAGGTTCAAGTGATTCTCCTGCCTCAGTCCCCCAAGTAGCTGGAATTACAGGCGTGCACCACCACACCCAGCTAATTCTTTTGTATTTTTAATAGAGACGAGGTTTCACCATGTTGGCCAGGCTGGTCTCAAACTCTTGACCTCAGATGATCTGCCTGTCTCGGCCTCCCAAAGTGTTGGGAAGCTTTTTCTTATTGATGACTTCTGATCTCTTCACATGTCAAAGCTGAACCCAGAAGTCTGATTAATTTTCTTTTTATTTTTTAGGGCCATGTCCCACGCTAAAGGAAGTCTAGCTCCATTAAAAAGTAAACCGTAATGGACCTCCTATTGAGTTTGGAGGAATTGCTGTGGGCTGATTGCACTGATTAAATCATTCATCCTCCATCCAGCATGAACACTTTGCATGCTCCCTGTGGGCCTGTGATTTGGATCTATATATTGGAATGCCCCTACAGAATTCAATGTCTTTAGATCCCAATCTCTTCTCTATTCCTCAACACATGGGGAGCTCCTTGGAATCCCACAATGATTCCTGGTTACAGAGACCCAGACATACTGGGCATGATTGGACCATTCCCTGCCTGAGGCCATGCTGGAGCCAGAGACTGTGTGACAGAGATGCGCTTGTAGTTTAAATATGAGAAGACAGGGTTTAGGGCTGATATTAGGGCCTTAACTACAAAAATCCAAGTGAAATCTGAGAACCCTGATTGTTGTGTTCCAACCTAAGACCCTTTGGTTGTTCCCAAATACCAAATAATTTGGGGGAAATACTGACATACTGACAGCCTCTGAACATTAGAGGTGGTCAGAAACCATGTCTCTTCTCCCAATCCTCCTTACCAGGTGTTGTGTGGAAAGCAAGTCTCAGACTGAACTCATACAGACATTTATTAGCTCTATGTATGAACCAGCTGATGCAGAATCCTTCATAAAACGTGATCTCTTAAGCTTCTATGCTGCTGCATCCTTTTAGGCTCCCTGGGAAGCACATTAAGTATAGAAGAATTCACCCCTGGCAATTGCAACCATTATGGGAAGGTGGGAACATCTGGTCTGTCAGTCCGATCAAGTGAAGGATGAAACAGATTTCCACATCCTGAGCACCACTCCAAAGTGGGGAGACTACTGGGTTTGCTGGATGCTTTTACTCCATTCATACACGGGTGGAGGCAACTTTGCCAGTCTTGCAACCAATCACATATAATTATGCCACTTATTTCATCAAAATAAATTATCCAACAGTCCTTACACTGATCAATGGACCTGTTACTGCTGATTCTGATGGTAATATTTAAAGGCTTGCCTTAGTTGTTTCTGGAAAACTGATTCCAAATTAAGGTCTAAATTAAGGTAGTTAGGATTCCTCATTAGTGTCCTCCACATGGTAAATAAAAGCCCTGGGAGTTTAGATCAATGTTGACATAAACACACACACACACACACACCACACACACACATCACACACACATCACATACACACACATATCACACACACACACACACACCATTCTAAAAACTTAAGAATTTTTAAAGTAAATTACTGACAATACTTTAGCTTACTTTGTTTTTTTATCTTACTTGACTCTGTTGTCTATTGACAACAAAGCCCAGTGTTGTATTCTTAACCACTACTGATCATCAAACATGAATGTTATCATTCTTAGAAAATCAGATGTACAAATAACCCCACACTTTCTGCATGTGTAACATCAGGCAGGTCATTTAACCTTTTTAGGCCCTAATTTCGAAATCTGCAAAGTGAAGTTAATAATGAGAGTTATCTACTTCCAAGAGTGGTTGCCCAAACCCCATGAGATAAGATAAGTCAAGGCACTGTGGAAGCCATATAAGCAACAGGCGTGAGGAAGGCGTCATTAGTTGTCTGCTTCTTGAAGGGAGAACATTCAGGAGGGAAAGGCTGCAGGCTTCCTCATCTGGAAAAACTCCCTGCTGCCTAAAGGAGCACAGAGCATCCTCAAAATCCACACACCCAAACCAACCCCAAAGGCACTTGTTATTCATAAGTGAAAGGTCCTGGGTGTGGGTGGATGAAAGTTGAAAGCTTTCCCAAGTCAAATGAGAATGTTTGCTTCCATTGCCTCACACTGTGGTATGAATAAGAACATTTCCTGGCAGGGTAATGCTTTCCTGTCTTCTCCAAGCCATGAGTTCTTCTGTCACTGACAAATTACTTACAACTTCTGAACTGTGAGCTCTTTTATCACTCCAGACAAAATTCAAAAATTCAGGAGCCCACTGAAGCAGATAGAATGCTTTGGATTGTAAGTAACAGGGAGATTCTAGAAAAGTTGACTTAGTTGCAAAAGGGATTGTCTTGGACCCAGAAGGCCCAGGTGGGCTGACTCAAAAGCTTGACAAAGGCCTGACCACTTCCTCCTCTGCCATCCACAGGGCAGGGCTAAGAGACTCCCAGCAGGCACCTGTACCTGATGGAGTATTATTGGCCAATAAAGTTGTTGAGAAAGACTACATAACAACATGGGAAAATGCTTGAGATGCTAAGAGAAAGACACAGAGGATAAAAAGGTACATAAATACAATTAGACTTGTCCTTAAAGAGAAAAAAGCAAAATTCTGCTTCAAAAAAATTGGAAGAAAATGGACCAAAATATTAACAAGAGCTGTATTTAGGTTTTCTCTGTGCTTTTTCCCTACTTTTCAGTATATTTTAAGTTTTCTTTAAGGACTTTCAAGGTGAAAAGATGTTTATTTTAAAATTTAAAATGAAATAAAGAGATGTTCAGGTCTCCCTGGGAAATTCCTGGTGAATGAACACTGCTTTGCTGTGGGTCATAGAGTTTTGTGACTCTGTCACCCTGATTGAAAACTGAGTAACTCTCGTTTCCATTTTTGGGATACTTCCACTATAATTAACCTGAGAGAGTAGATTCTGCTAGTGGCTAATTAAATTTTTGCCTAATAATGATAGAAAGCTCATTATCTCATTCTATCAGGATACTATTTATCCCAGCATTTCTGTACTTTTAATGACATATTTTGGAATAGATCAAACTTACAAAAAAGTTAACAGAATAATATTTTTTAAAAATCCCATTTCTCCTATGATGGCTTAAATTTTACCATCATTTTCACCATCACACTTTCTTCTATCCATCTATAATCATAAATCACTCATCTGTTTTGGAACCATTTGTGAGCATGCTGCAGATACCCCTAGATACTGCAGTGTGTTTTCCCCAAAGACACTCTCCTACATAAACACTGCACAACTCCTCTAATTGAGAAACCCACACCAATACGTTTGCATCCAACCCACAGACACCATCCCCATTGTGCCAGCTTTCCCAGCACCATCTCTACTTCCTTTCTGGCATATAATTCAATCCAGGTTTGCACGCCATATGCAGTTGTCCTGTCTTTTCAGTCTCCTTCAGTCTGGAGCAGTTCCTTGCCCCTTCTCTGTCTCTCATGTCCTTGGTAGTTTTAGAGAAACTGAGGCATGGTATGTCCTCACAACAGACTCAGGCCAGGTCTCCATGATGGAAACCATGCAGTGCTCAGTGCACATGATGCGGGCACTTCCCACTCCTGCAGAGGGTCGCCTTCATCACCTCAGAGCCTGCCAGTCCTCTCCTCAGCAAAGTCAGCATTTCTCCTTTGCAATTGATGATTATGTTGTGGATGATGTACTGAGACTACAACTCTACCCTTTTCTCGTCAACTCCCACTTACTAGCCACAACACCTAGTAATGACTTCTCCCTGAATCACCACCCTTTTGGTGATTTCCAAGTGATAATTTTGTAATTCCATCATTCCTTTTGCATGCATTAGTCAGCATTCTACTTAAGGGAGAGGCTTCTCTTTTTTCCATTTACTCATTCATTTATATCAGGGTGGACTCATGGGGGCCTATTTCCTTCAATGGGCTATAGTCTACTACTATGATAATTTATCTTGATGCCCAAAATGCCCAAGATAAGACCAGTAGAGACCTCCACAATTTTAATCCTGTATCTTTTAAACACAACTCCATCATTAAAAAGCTCTGAAAACCCCCTCAGCAATTTTGTTCTTGTTCTCTAAAAAGTGAAAAGTACTCACATCATGAATGATCAATTCTCTAGCCTTCTTTTTGTAAACAGGAAAGGTTGAAGTGGGAATTGGGGCCAATAAACTATTGGTTTTTCTAACTTACACTTTCAGGATCTGAATTGCCAAAAGTTACTTCTCATTAATGTAGGATTTGGGAGATTGGAGATCTAAACCTGAGCATTAAGGAGGCTACCAGATTCCTCTGGTAGACCAGCTGTCCACCCATAAGTAGCCTGCCCAGTGTGGCCTCCAGGTCATTTCAGGCCCAAATAGAGCAAAGGACCAGCCCTGATGTGGGTGATGTACAGGGTATCATTGTCGGGAGACACTCGGAAGATCTACCTCTTTCCCACCCACAGTGTCCATGCCAAGCATAGGACCTGGCAGTATATGGACAGCAGTCTCCTCTTGAAGGCTGTTCTCTAGCTCTTTTTAAACTTTGTGGTAACAAAATTGGTCACATAAAAATATGCATGCTACCAAAAGAATTTTTTTTTTGAAGACAGAGTCTCACTCTGTTGCCCAGGCTGGAGTGCAGTAGCATGCAATCTCAGCTCACTGCAACCTCTGCCTCCTGGGTTCTAGCCATTCTCCTGCCTCAGCCTCCCAAGTATCTGGGGTCACAGACGTGTGCCACCTTGCCCAGCTAATTTTTATATTTTTAGTAGAAATGGGGTTTTGCCATATTGGCCAGGCTGGTCTTGAACTCCTGACCTCAAGTGATCCACCCACCTCGGCCTCCCAAAGTGCTGGGATTATACTCGTGAGCCACCATGCCTGGCCCCAAAAGAATATTAATCAAGGTTCGAATTAGCTAATTCATTCAAAAAATATTTCTGAGTCTGATCTTTGTAAAGCATTGTTCTGGGTACTAGAGACAGATGAGTGAACAAATCAAAGTCCTTGTCTTTGTGGAAATCAGGAGATAAAATGACCATTTAAAAAAACTGAGCAAGTTCACATGCAGATGACAAGTGGTGATATGCAGATGGAAAAACTAAATGGGATGAAGGGGACAATACTGCTGAGTGTGTGTGTTTATGGGAGGTGGTGGGGTGCTTTCCGTTAGCACCAGGGAAGGTTCTGCTGAAGCAGTGCTATTTAAGGAGAGACTGGAGGACTTGAGATCAACTGGTGGAAGAATCTTCCAGGGAGAGGGGTCAGCAAGGGTGAAGTTCTAGAAGTAAGCTTGGATCTCATGTGCCCAAGGAACAGAGAGGGGCCAATAGGCAGGGAGAATTGGGTGAGGGTGCAAGTAGCTGGACATGAGTTGGAAGCAGTAACAGGGATAAGCACAGGTTGTCCTGGAGGCCACTTTGTAGGTTTTGGCTTTTACTCAGAGTGAAATGGAGCATCATGGGAAAGCCTCGGGGAGGAGGTTATGTGGTCTGACTTAGGCTTTAAAAGATTGTCTTTGGAGGCTGTATTGAGAATGTTCTATGGAAGGGCCGTGGCAGGAATTGGGATGCCAATTAGGAGCTGTAGAAATAATCCCAGCAAGAGGTGGTAGCACCTTGGACATGGCTATTGACGTGCAGGTGGTGACAAGTGGTCAGATTCTGTGTATATTTTCAAGGTAGACTCAAAGACTTTGCTAAAGCTTTGGCAGTGGGATATGAGAGAAAGACAAGCCTTGTGTATTTGCCTTGGTTACTGGAAGGAGGGAGTAGCAATTTCCTAAGATGATGGCACTGCAGGATAATCAGATGAATAAATGGGATCAGTCTGGATGGACTAAGCTTGAGGCCCCTGGCAGACTTCCTGGCGGAGCCATCAAGGAGGAAGTTTAGGAGAGAGGTTGGGCTGTAAATAAAGATTTGGACATCATCAGCATACAGTTGGTGTGAAAAGCTGTGAGACCAGAAGCGAGGACCTAGGGAGTGAGGGTGAATAGAAGAGAAAAATAACCCTCTGAGGGCAAGCTCTGGACCATTCGAGAGTGGCCCCTGAGAGAGGAGAGCTGTGCACAGGAAAAAGGGAGGGGTGCCTCAAGCACAGAGCAGTCAGCTCCATCATACATGTGACAGGTCGAGCCCATAGCAGCCAGGACTTGGACACTGGATTGAGCAAAGTGGAGATCTCGGATAACCTTGACAAGAAGAGTCTGGTGACGAGGTGGAGACAAAGCCAAGATGGAGTTGGTGTAACAGATAGAGAAAAAAAAGGAGTAGAGAAAAAAATGGGGGCAACAAATATAAACAATATTCAACAAAATGTAGGAAATGTTTCCTAGCCCTTCCCCAGCGTGCTATCAGGAAGGTGAGCTCCACTTCCTACCTGGCTCTCAGAGTAGGGAGCCACCTTCCCATTCACTGACAGCCACAGCTTTCTCTTTAGATAAAAGAAAGAAAAAGCCTGGAAGAGGGGGCTGACTGCTGCTGCTGTAGCACAGGGCTGGGGTGTGTATGCAAACGGCACACAGAGAGAGATGCTTGATTACTATCAGCCTGAGTTAAAAATACAGAATTTTAAATGGTGGTTAGGAAGACTGCAGCAAGTCCTGAAGTTTCCATATTGACCAATTACATATCAACTCATTTTTGATTTTGAAAACAAGTTGCTATTAAGTGTAGGCACGTTTCCCCATGTCCATTGCTGACCTGTCACGTGTGAGGGGACCACTCTGCAGCCACGCTTTCCGTACACCACTTTTTTCCTTTGCCTTTAAGACAGGCTCTCACAGGAGCTTAGCCAAGCCTGTCAGTTTGGAGGAGAAAACTAGAAACTAGCCAAGTATGCCGTCCTTCACAAAGTATTTCACCCTCACACTTCAGCTCGAGCTCACACAGAATGTCGCCCTTCTGCTGAGAAGCCATCCATTTATCTGAAATGTCATTAGCTGATGTCACTCGGATATGAAAGGGAGCAAGTCAGGGCAGGGCTTCACTGGACTTTCCAAAGACATGTTTGACCCCACAAGAGGGAGGTCAGACCAAGGGGTAAAAAGAGAGGGGGAGAGAAAACACACATGCCCACATGCACAAGTGGGTTTAGGTCCAGAGGATTTTAAATGTAGTTCAGATATGCAAATTAATTTAAATGGAAGGAAGCATCACCCATGGTAAGATGGGAGACCCCCTAAGAACCTGCTCATTTGGGCCTGGAAGGCAGCTTTGCCATGTCAGTGAAGACACAAGATCAGAGACAGGCAGCCCTCTGACAAAACAGAAGGTTCTGTGGATGTCACGTGGACGTGCTGTTACTGAGATGGAACTGAAAACCAGGATTCAGAAACATCCAGGGCGATCACACAGCTTGCTTTCCTAGGACCACCCGTTTCCCCTCTGCCCACTCCCACCTTCAGTGTCTGTCCTCACCTCCTGAGACTCACCAGCATCAGGGACAGTGGTCAGTCCCTGAGCAACATAGCCACGGGGCCCTTGGAACCCCACCCTTTGGGGCAGGTTGAGCCTGATGGGCTGTTTCACACTGTGCTCACCCAGTCTGGGTGCCTGTTCAGAGCATTCAGAGCTGTTCAGCAATGACCCCTTTGTGTTACTTCCAAACCGTAGGGTTGTACTTGATCTCAATTGTCGGTGTGTTTTTTTTCTTTCGTTTCTTAAGAAAGATCTGGGGATGAATAGAAAAAACATACCACGAGTTGTACTTTTAGTAGTATTTACTTGTTTGAGCCTCTAGGATGTTTGTTTCATAGTCTTTTTCTAGTGGGCAGCACATCTCTACTAGGTTTTTAGCTCACTTTAGATGGAGAGGACGCCTTGGACCTCCTGGTGCTAACAGAATCCCAGAGGCAAAACCACTCAGATGTGGGGGGTGGGGAGTTGACTGATTAATCATACAACATCACAATTTTTACAGATTTTTATTTCTCCCAGGTAATTATTTAAATGAAATATGTCCAAGTTCCTCATATCTCCTCACCTCCACCTTTCCAGCATTTCTGTAGTGTATAACATACGCAGAAGCCGTCTTATTACAAAGTTTTGTTCGGAACGTTAGCAGAAATGATTACACAACATTATATGCAGTACTCAGAGCATAAACATTGGGTGCTACCACCAGCCAGGATCAGTCTGCAAAACCCATTTGCTGTATCCACATGCAAGATGTGGCAGCATGTGATAGTGTGTGAATTAGACCCCACCATTTCTCTTATCTAATCATAACTCTCAATTTGCTTGATTTGATGTTGGCATAAAAACTACCACTTTCTGTATTTCCAGGCACGAGTTTCCAGGGGCTTTGTGAGGCCATTTGCTCCCTGGTGCTCTGGAAATTGACGGGGTTAGCCATTGGTAGAAGCTCCCTGTTCACTATTCAGTTGGCGGCTGCACCCCACAAGTCATTCCCAACACCATAGCAGAGGAGGGGATGTCATCCCACGTTCCAAGATGGCCACCATTTCCTCTCTTATTCCATCTGAAATAGAGGTCAATTACCATACCTAGGTTCCACTGTGGATCCCTCTGTCCTTGGTCCTGCAACCTCAGGATACCTGCAGGGCTGGTGGATGGGGAGGGATGTTCTCCTTGCCATCAGCATCCTGTTTCTCTGAGCACCACCCAGCAGCATTTCTCCCCACTGGCAAAGGCCCAGTTGCAGTTCTGCGTATGTCTTGTTCTCCTTCTTCCTTAATTACAGAACCTTAGTCCTGTAGGAGTTGGCAGTGTATGAACTTGAAACAATATTTTATAGCCTTCTTTGCAGATAAGAGCAGCCATGTGACTATATGTGACCAATAATACGTATGGTGACTCCATGACTATTTTCCCTCTTGTTACTACAAAGGAGTCTTCTGCTGGCACTGGCCTTTGCACTTTGCCGTTTCCTCCTTCTTTGAGGGGGCATGGGCTGTGGAGAAGGTTCAGCCATCTTGTGGCTCTCTGCCAACATCCTGGAGCCACACTCTTACCCTGAGCAACCTACCCCTGGACTTCATGACATGCAAAAGAAAAAGAAGATCTATGACTCAAGCTGGTACATTTGCGTCTGTTACTAGGATCTAGGATATGCATGGAGCCCTTGCATAATACAAACCATCCATGCCATCCTGACCCGCAGTCACTGAGGACCGGGCCCCTTCGGGGACACTCACATCTCTCTTCAGTCCTATTCCACGTTGGTTGGGCTGTGACTTGCTCTGGCCACTGGGCAGTCCCTTGGCCTACAGTGCTCTGCTGACTTCTGTGTCCCTTCATGTAAGGTGACAGGAACCACTGAGGTCTCTTCTGCACTTTCTGAGAGCAGCGCAGAGCTGTGCAGAGACAGCACTCAGGCTCCCCAAGGATCCCTGTCTGCATCCTCCCAGGATGGTAGCTCTGGCAGGGCCTGAGGACTCACCACCACAAGTCTCCAAGTCAGCAGTGAGGTGTCCAGCTTACCTCCTGGCAAACAACCTTCTCATCAAATGGCAGGTGACCTGCCTATCCCTGAATAGCAGGTTTTGGTTCTCTGCCAGCCTGAAGAATTATTACAAAAACCAATCACAACTTCACCCTGGAACCAAGAGGCAGCTCCCTCTCTTGTTACTACAGAGCTTGCCTTCCACAGCCCCTGGCTATTCATGCTGTTCCCAAGTGCAGCCCCCATGTGGCCCCACATGGCCTGTGGTATCCTCCTCCCCTGGGCTTGATTCTACATGCTGTTCATCTGACCAGCCCAGCACTGGGTGTGCTGTATTCGTCCATCTGCCTAACCAAGTGGAGGGAATCCCTCTCTCACCAACTGATTGAGGAAGAGGAGATTAAAACCGAATCCCCCTTTACTCCCCCATGGGAGGAAGTCTCTCCCCACCACTGCTAACTACACACACCAGTGACTCCCCTCCCACACTACCTCTTTTTCCTGGGGAGCAGTCGGGGTCTATGACAACAGGCCAGTCCTGCCTCCTCCAGGAGCCGCACAGTAGACCCTGGTCACTGGCAGCTCACTGGAGAATGTGGTGAACGTGGGACCTTCGCTTTTAGTTATAACAGGAAAAGCCCCTTATAGAGAAGAGAAACAGCCTCCTACTGACGTGAGAAAAGAGGCTTAGAGGAGACAAATAGGGCTGCAGGTCAGGATGGGGGTGTGAAATGACAGTGGCCCCTTTAAACCTCTCCCTCCTCCTCCATTTTCTTCTTTTGTAAAAATATCAAGCCCAGCAAATCTCCTATTTGGGAGAGAAAAATAAAAGAATTAGGGAAAAGTAAAGAGGAAAATAGCATGTGAAGCACCCCTTGCTGTCTCCCATTCTTCAGCCATCAATCAGACAACTGACGCTGTGACTATTTCCAAACTTGAGTCATCTTTTTGTTACAAAAAGGTTGGCCACAGACCTGGTTTGGAATTTTCACTATTCAAGCCATTATTTGTTGTGTCAGCAAAGCAGTCAATTGTGTTCAGAGTCATCGGTTTGTTCTCTGAGTCTAATTTGAAAGACATGAAAACACAAAAGTACTCGGAATCCCTAATTAGGTACCTCTGTGCAGGCATTCCCCAATGAAGCTACCTTTTGATGGAAACCATCCGCACAGAAACATTGTTCACTGTTGGTGGCCATTCATGCCTCTTTACGCTCTTGTCCATTTGTGAAAACAGGGCTAGCCTCTTCCTGCCCCCAGGCCCACTGTAAATCCAGTCGCAGCCTGGGTCTCATCCTCCAAACAAGAATGAGCCAGTCGGACCATGCTAGAAAGGGATGGGCGTTTTGTTGGGATTTAAAAAGGAGAGTGCATCTTGCAGACCACACAGCAGAAGGAAGCTGGACTTGCTCAGCCAGTGGTTGGGGTCTTCCCCTCCACTCTTCCCTTCCCCATTCTTCATTTCCAGCAGCTGCCCCTTGCCGCACTGCTCCTTCACCCACACACTTTTTTGTTTTTTGTTTTTTTGTTTTGAGAAGGAGTTTCACTCTTGTTGCCCAGGCTGGAGTGCAATGGAGCAAACTTGGCCCACTGCAACCTCCGCCTCCTGGGTTCAAGCAATTCTCTGCCTCACCCTCCTGAGTAGCTGGGATTACAGGTCCCTGCCACCACGCCTGGCTAATTTTCTGTATTTTTAGTAGAGACCAGGTTTCATCATCTTGGCCAGGCTGGTTTTGAACTCCTGAACTCGTGATCCACCCACCTCAGCCTCCCAAAGTGCTGGGATTACAGGCGTGAGCCACCACACCTGGCCCACCCACACGTTTTATAAAGTCTCCTCTATTGTCCTGGGCAGTCTAATGCTGGGTGCAGCCTGCTATGACCTTCACAGTGAGGATAACACACAAGATGTAGCTTCACAAGTCCTCTTTGATCAGCAGCCATCCAGCTCTGGTCTGCCGAAGCCTCCTGTTTCCCAGGCAGCTTACTCCAAGGACTCACCGAACAATGCAGAGACAGCAGGAGCCTGTGGAGGGGGCCTCCTGCTGGCAGATAGAACATGCAATCTGGTTCCTTGTGCATACACATGGAGACAGCGTCCTGTTTTCAGTGGCAATATTGTTTTGCAAGCCCCACTTGCTGTGTTTTACCCACACATAAGAAAATAGGCCAAAAAGTCTTCTGGATAACTGTCTTCTTTCATCCCTCTTCTGTTGCTTATTACTGCCTGCCGCCTTTGCCCCTCAGCTGTGCCCTGTCTCCCTCCCACTCACACAGTTTCCGCCTGTCCTCATTTCTTCTCTTTTTTGGGACACATTTAAGATAAGGCCTCACTGTGACTCATCCAGCAGTTTTGTCCTTGGGCCAACCCAACTTCAGGCCATAGGTTATATAGTTATCACTCAACAGCTAGGGAGGGCTCATAAGAGTTTACCACACACTATGACGGGAGGTGTCAACTGAGCATCTGAATACAACAGAATGCTGAACTAGCAGGACTCCCCTGTCATTTGAAGAGAAATCCATTCAAAGAGAAATCCATTCAAAAAGAAATCCACTCAACATCTGGCTATCAACCATCTGGACAGTGCTGCAAGGAGTAAGGGAGTCTGTTATTGCCAGTACTCCAGGAGGAAGGCCAGGCTCAGGAACGATGGAGGGTGGATACTTCATTCTGGGAACCCTGTGAGGCTGTGGACCAGAGATAGTTCCTCTTAGCACAGAAACTGCTCATTTAAAAAAGTAAATTAAAAAAAAAAAAAAAAAGCAATAGGCATAGCCGCCCTGCTCTGAGCAATGTGGAAAAGTGCAATGGTTTTTATTCTCACTATGTATCAGGATCACCTAAAGAACTATGACTGTAGATATTGATTATCAACAGTTGCTAATATCTCTAAAAAAGAGACAACCATTCTGTATCTCTTGCTAAATGGACACACCCCCCAGGTTATATTCTTAATAAAAATTGAAACCTGAAGGAGATGAAGCCTCTAGATCTAACTAGATCTATCTAATTGGATCTAACTACGAACTAACAGGAAATATGTGGGACAGAGGAACATGATAATGACAACACCTGGATGCAAAACTGATAAAAGAAAGCATGATTCACCCTGAGAGCTACTCTATCCTGAGAGGATAAATGACCTGTTGTCTCAACAAGTGTATGCAGAGACAGGCAGAGAGAAGAACTATAGATTAACAATGAAAGAGCCTTATTTGGATTTTGATTCAACAAACAACCTATAAAATACCATTTTATTTTATCCAGATAACTAGACATTGACTAGGTATTAAGGAATTATTGTTGTGTTTTTCAGGTGCAATAATGGTACTGTGTTTGTGTTTCTTAAAAAAAAATTGTCTTACATTTTAGGGTGGTATTCTGACATGTTTAAGATGAAATGCTAGGAATTTTGAGATTGGCTTCAAAATAAGCCAGGACTGGGGAGAGAGCAGAGTGAGGGTGAAAATTGGATGGCCAGGAAAACAGTGATGTTTCGGTATAAGTATTGTCCCACGTGACGTTATATTTTTATTAAAAAGTCATCCATTTTTTACCTGAAATTCAAACTTAACTGAATGTCCTGCATTTCTATTTGGTAAAGCTGGCAGTTTGCTAGGTAAAACGCACTTGATTGTATTGTTCTCTCTACTGTTTTGTGTACTTCAAGTAAATAAATGAGGTGAAGGTTTTTAAAAAGCCTCCTCCAACCCCCTCCCTGGAGATCTGAAGTTATAGGAGTGGTGGTCCTTTGTAGCTGAGGCAGGTAGAGTGGTAAATATGCGTCATTCTTTAGTCAGCACCTCTGGTGGTTCTGATGCAGACAGATGCAGGTTGTTCTTGGGGACACTGGCTGAATGAGATGGACACAGGCCTGTAATTCTGGGCTTAGGGGCCAGCTCTATGGTTTTGGGACAAATTACTTATCAGCTCTTGAGCCCTCATGGAAATAATAATAATAATAATAGCCACTGATGAGGTCCTTATGAGGAGTAAGTGAAATTATAAGATCTGAGCTGTAAAGCAGCATCCAAGTGATAATTGGGTAATCAATAAATGTGAAAAGATGAAGTTTACCATCGTCATTTTCTAAAGTGTAGTTTGGGACATAGTATTTGCCTTCCAACATTAAATACAGGCCAAAAAAAGTTAATTATCAATATCAAAAAGAAACACTGTGGTTGAGAAAGATGTCTCAAATTGAGAAATAAAGCCACTTCTTAACAATTAGGAAACATAAAAAGGACAAAAACAAGTTTTGAAATAAAAGTGTGAAAAATAAGTCTTCGTTAATAGGCAGGAATCCTTTTAATAAACACCTTGCAGCCGGGCGCGGTGGCTCACGCCTGTAATCCCAGCACTTTGGGAGGCCGAGGCGGGTGGATCACGAGGTCAGGAGATCGAGACCATCCTGGCTAACACGGTGAAACCCTGTCTCTACTAAAAATGCAAAAAATTAGCCGGGCGTGGTGGTGGGCGCCTGTAGTCCCAGCTACTCATACGGAGGCTGAGGCAGGAGAATTGCTTGAACCTGGGAGGCGGAGCTTGCAGTGAGCCGAGATCACGCCACTGCACTCCAGCCTGGGCGACAGGGAGAGACTCCATCTCAAAAATAAATAAATAAATAAACACCTTGCACTTATCCAGGAGCAGCTGAACATGTTGCACAGCAGATCAAGCATGACCCTGGGGTTTTGTCTACACCTCTCTCCACCCTATGCCTGAGAACTCCAAATGAGGAGTCCATGGGCTCAAAGTTAGGGAACGTGGGCTCTAAAGTTTACCTGTAACTTCCTAAAGTCAGAGCTCTCTAAGCCTCAGGTTCCTTGTGTGTAAACTGGAGATGAAACATGGTTTCCTTCAAGGATTGGAGCATCTAGTGGACTAATTAAAGTGAGCAATGTCAGGAACAATGGTCATATTCCACCCTCTTGGAGGAAACTCCCAATGGTCCCATCCTGGTGGGTGGCATCCATGTCCCCAGGGAACTTGGCATCCAGGCCCAGGGCTGGAGGGAGCAAGCCTGGGAGAGGGGTGGACTCATAGTCCAGCAGAAGCCTCTGATCTCTCATTTATCTATTCCATGTGGCCAAGGAGATAGGTTCAAAAGAAGCCTGAGGATGAATATTCTCAGTGACACCAGATATTAAGAGGCACAGGTTAGGACTTCCCTTTACCCATGTTCTACTCCACTGTTCCACTATTGGTCTTTTTTTTTTTTTTTTTGAGACAGAGTCTCACTCTGTCGCCCAGGCTGGAGTGCAGTGCTGCAATCTCTGCTCACTGCAAGCTCTGCTTCCCAGGTTCAAGCAATTCTCCTGCCTCAGCCTCCCAAGTAGCTGGGACTACAGGTGCCTGCCACCACACCCAGCTAATTTTTTGTATTTTTAGTAGAGACAGCATTTCACCATGTTGGCCAGGATGGTCTCAATCTCCTGACCTCGTGATCTGCCCGCCTCAACCTCCCAAAGTGCTGGGATTACAGGCGTGAGCCACCACGCCCAGCCTATTTGTCTTTTATTCTTCCTCTTCAAGATGGCTCTCGACATCACTTTAGTGAGTGTCCTTTTTGTGAAAATACATGTATTGAGAGACAGGAGCCCTGAGCAATTGGCAGTGACCCTGTGTGTGTCAGCCACAGCCCAGGGACAGAGTGAGGGTCAGCACTGATCGTGGCCAAATGGTGGGGAGGTTTTCAGACAGGCGTCAATTCTACATGTGGCTGCAAACAACTGCGTCATCTTGGTTGAATGTCTCCACTTTCTACCATCCAGCTTCCCCGCAATGAAGTGTGCAGAACTCACTGCTGCAGGCCAGGCCACACTGTCACTATCACTAAGATGACCGTGCCTGTTCCCAGGACTGTGCACAGGTTACTCCCTGAGATAAGGAGGTGGGCATCCCCTGCCTGTTCCAGGAGCTCTGAGGTGTTAGCTGCCCGTTCCTTCCAGGAGAGTGGGAGAACCCGGCTGGGGAGGGTGTGAACCCCACAAAAGACATCTCTCCCCAGTTCTCACTTCCTGATGCTTGGAGCCAGACCTGCCTTACACACACACACACACCCCACCACCACCACCCATGCTCTGAGGGTAGAGCTGCAGGACTGGCCCCTCCTTACTGACTTGAAGACAGGCCTGAGAGGTCTCCCCAGGGCCTCACTAGCGAGCCACCAGCTGGGCCTGCAGCCTGGGCCCCTGACCCCAGCCAGGGCTCTTCCTCCCCAGCTTCTCACCGACTCAGCGGGCTGGGCTGGGGATATTAAAGGGAATTTTAAGAACAGGAAATGATCATGCATCCGGTTGAACTCGCCTGCTGTCCTTTTTGGCTGCTCCTAATTCTACCTTCCGGCCTCAGAGTTTGCCTCCTGGGGTTTGTTTCTCTGTGCTCAATATTTTCTGCACAGCGACCTGAATTTCATTATGTGAGGCTCAGAGGGCTCTGGCCCCAAATAGTGGGGGAGAAACAGAGCGAAAAAACACAAAAGGTTCCTGGTGGAGTTGCTGATTAGAGTAAGACAATCCTTAAATGCTGAAAGAGAGAATCAGAGAGAGTTGCAGGAAGAGAAAATAAAACAAGCTGCCATAGTTGCCTTGAAGTTATCTCAGAAGATGGGCAGTAACTGTCATGCCGTGGGGAGGAGTGCGGAGGAGGGTGCAGAGCAGTCTGGTTTCAGGGAGACCTTAGCAGGATGAGATTCAGCTCTTGGAAATTAGGAAAGGCCACGGCTAAGAAACATGTATTGTTAGTCTTTCCCCCCAAAATTTCCAAGAAAAGAAAGTAGTGCGTAAGAATACTCTGTGAAAGTAGGGATTTTATCTCTGTACAATTACAATAAAACTAATTTCTTGAACACAGAAGCCCCAGATTTTCCCTGATGTTTTGCCACCAGTGTTATGCCCCGTACACATGCACACACACACATGCACACTCACTGCAGGCCCTCCACAGGTGACCACGCAGAAGGAGGAACCACAACTACTGCTGACGATTGATGCTGCGTCTGAGACACTTGGCACTCCAAGAGCCCATGGCCCTGGCCCTGTTGATACAAACACCTTCCATTTGTGCCTTTATTTTTTTTTTTTTTTGAGGCAGGGTCTCACTCTGTCATCCAGGCTGGAGTGCAGTGGCACAATCAGAGCTCACTTAAGCCTTGAAATCCTGGATTCACCCGATCTCCCACCTCAGCCTCCTGGGATTATAGGCATGCGCCACCATGCCCAACGTGGGCCCATACTTTTTCATATGCACTTATAGGCTCCCCAGACACTCTGGTTTCTTGCCCACTTCTTGTTTTCTAAATATGAGATGTTTCCAGTTTTCAAACATTCCTTTGCTCTGATCTAACCTGGTACATTGTTGTTTCTCTGTTCTGCTGTACTGGGGACTGTGTTTGCTCATAGTTAACCCCAATGACTAAGCAAGTCCATTAAAAGGCAGGTCTAAAATGGGGGAGGCAAAAATTTTGTCTGCTATAGTTTACCCTCTGACCACATTCCTCTCTCTCATCTGCAAAATGCATCTATCCTGTCTCATGACAACAAAGATCTCACTCCATTAGAACACCCACTTCAAGTCCAAAATCTCATCATTTCAGTCGCCTTGAGCAGTCAGGTGAGGCTCTGCTATGATACACCCTGAGCCACAGACCCTGTCTATCTGTGGCCCTGTAAAACTAGAAAACAAGTAATCTGACCACCAAATTCAATGATGGTATAAGTGTAGGAGAGCCATTATAGACATTCTGGTTCCAAAAGGGGAAAATGGGGGGCACCAGTTCAGGCAGTTTCAATCCATCTGGGAGATGCAATTAAGTTTAAGGAATTATCCTCACTGTGTCGTGGGCTCGATTCTCTAGGCTCTCAATTCTACCTTTCAGGCTCTTGGCTCTCCAGAAGAGAAAAATAAAAGCAACTGAAGAAGGCAGATGACCAATGCCAATCAATTTGACATGGCTGTGGGCTGAGTTGTATCCCACCCCCAAATTCTTCTGTGGAAGTTCTGACCCCTGAAAGGGGCAGCTCCAAGGGCACCCATCAGCCCCCATCCAGCCCCTGAGGGGCAGCTTCGCCCTCTGTCTTCTGACTCTGCCCTTCTCAGCCTGGGACTTGCCTGGGTTTTGTCTTCCCTTTCAGCATGAAGCCAGGGACCCCCAGACAGTTTGGGAGAATCCTCATATGGCCTACAAGATGCCCTGGCCCTCTCTGACCTCACCACGTGCACTCACTCCCCCAGTGGCTCTCTGCTCCCCAAGTGCAATATGCTCTGTCTCCCAATCCACACGCTTGGCTTGTTCTTTCTCACCCTTCAGGTTTGAGTTTAAACATTTCCACCTCAGAGAGTCCTTCCCCGAACATTCCACGTAGAGTTGTTCAGTTCCTTCCTCCCCATCCACCCCGTCCACTTGACTTCCCAACAGGAAGGGAAGAAGAGAGGAGATGATCTTGAGAGGGAAAAGAGGAGAAGAGTGAGAATAAAGGAAGCGGGGGTAAGAGTCGCTGTGAGGGTTAAATGACTCAGCATACATTAAGCAAAAAGGACAAATATGTATTTTGCTACAAAATACATATTGGGTGACATCATCTCTGCCTAAGGACTCAACACCTTGGCTCACTGGTTCCTTCCACCTGGAGGTCCTGCCACCACTCTGTCAAAATCCTGTGGCCACGTGTGAATATCGGCTCTTTCATAAATCTCTACTTATTCCCACCCAGAAAATGGTCTCCCTTCAACCCCTGTAGGGTGTTGCTTGTGCTTCTTCCTGAGCACCCCTTGCATTCACCCTCCTCCATTGTCTGCTCTCATTTCTGATGCTGGTGTACAAGGACCAGCACTCTCACTTGCTCAGAGACAAGAAAGCTGCAGATGCCTGGTCACCCTGCCCAGTTCTGCAGTGTGATGGGTCCAGACTGCAGACTGCCTAGGACTCTGCTTCCTGGAGAACCCTCCCTCCCTTAACATCCCCTCTGGCTCACTCTTTGTCCTCAGGCCTCCTTTGGTTTTAGAGTGATAAGCTGATAGCCATAAACAGTTACAGCCTTTTAAAATATGAAGGCTCCCTTGCCAAGAATGCTCATCAAGCAAGAAGTCTTTGTTGCAACAAAGATAGTGCCATGGTTTTACTCCTTGGCTCTCCTGAGATTGAAGTTAAACAAATACGCAGTTTGGCCCAAGACCTGCTGAGTCACTTCTCCCATGTAGACACACTAAAGGTTTAGCAATAAGTTATCATCTCTCTTTTTTTTAAGTACAAACAAAATATTATTTCAGGAGGAAAAATTTCAGAAAGTGTTTCATTTATTTCTTTCTGTTTTCTCTGGGAGTCTTTGTCTATCCTAGACTATAGAATTGGTGTCATTACCTCAAGCAGTGAGACGAAAAAGGGAGGACCCTTCTTTCCATGGGGTGGGCAAGATGGGAGAATCACAACGGTTCCTTGAGTGTGTGATGTGGCTCTCCTCAGCACCTCCTTCTTGACTGCCTCGTAGACCCAGTTAAAAATCAAGTACTGGGGACCCAAGCTTACTGTTTGGAGCTATTATATACTTCGAGGACATTACAGTTGCAAAAAGTCAAGAGCCAATTATTAAGTAATTCAGTCTCCAAAAGAGACCCTACAGCCACAAGTGTCTGGATATTAAAGCAGATTTAACTCTCTGAATTAAACTAAACTCTTGTTTGTCAAGGAAACGCATGCCACTATAACAGCCAATAATTAATTATGTGACTGTCAACAAATAATCCCCCAAACTGTTTGGAAATGAATAAATATGGTAGGATTGAAACCACACGATTTAATACCCTAATTCCATTTCAGCCATGGCCAAACTCACAATTTACTCAATTTCCTATCTACAAACTTTATTATTTTAGCAACATATAAGTGGGACTTCCTGTGCAAAAATGAGTAAGATTTTATAAGCTCAACAGATATAATTCCCATGAAACCGATCATTTTTACCCCATGGTGACAAAACTGCTTACAAAATCTTTCATCAATCTCACAAAACAAATGCTTTTATTGTTATGAAGATTGATAACCTTCCCCTACAAACTGCTTTTGAAGAGAATGATGTTCATTTGTTCTCTATTGGTAATCAAAAGCCAACTTGGTGAAAATCAGGGGAGGATGTCACTTTCTGTTTTGTTGTTGGCTTACTCCTAAACAATCTTCTGTATTTAGATTTCAAGTCAGCAAAAATCATTGCATGCCTGCCATGTACCAGATCTCCAGCAAGGAGGCAGGCTGCAAAGGCATGTAAAGGGAAGGGTGTCCTGAAGACAAGTAATTCTCACACTGTGCATTCAGTCCTCGGGGGACCTAGATAAGGGAGTAATTAATTCTGCCTGAGGAGAATTAAAGAGGAGGTTAAAGAGAGTGACATAGAAGGGTCATGTGAAGAATTGAGGCAGCGGGTGATGAGAAAATCTGCGAAAGTATCATTGTGAAAAAAAGTGAAATTAAAAATAGCATGTTTGACTTTTACATAATGTAAAAAACTAAGTGCAGAAAGGGAAATTATGTTACTGTAACTGGTGAAGTGAGTCATGGCTCTCTTTAAACAGCCATCACTATGTTTACCAATGAAATTCACTCAAAAATTTAGTAAACTGAAAGCCCGATTTCCTTAACTTATGGGAAAAAAATTACAGTCAACATCTGAGATCTCTTGCCCCTGAAAAACCACAATTAAATAGGTAATCAAATATATCTATATTTTAAAAAAATGGGTAATTCTACTTTTAGGAGATTTTAAATAACAATGTCAATTATTTTAATGATTGTAGAACTATTTAGATTATCTATGTCATTTCGGGTAAAGAAATTTCTTTCCTTTAAGTTATCAAATTTATGAGCACAAAGTTGTTCACAGTATTCTTTTATTATCTTTTTAATGGCTGTGGGATCTGTGGTGACATATCACATTTCACTCCTGACATTGATGATTTGCGTCTTCTCTCTTCTTATTTTTGTTATTCTTGCTAGACACATCGATTTTATTGATTTTTCAAGCAGCCAGCTTTGTTTTATTAGTTTTCTTTTTGTTTTCCTATTTTCGATTTCGAAATGACTTTCTTGTTTTCTTCTGCTTCCTTTGGGTTTATTTTACTTTTCCTTTTTTTTAGCTTTTTGAGGTAGAAAGATGACTGATTTTAGAGATTTTCTTATTTCTAATGTAATCATTAATTGCTAAAAATTTTCTTCTCAATACTCTTTCAGCTGTATTCTATATAGCTTCCTATGCTGCATTTTCATTTTCATTTATCATTCAGTTCTATTTTTAACATTTTTCCTTCAAGACTTATTCTTTGACCCATGAATTATTTAGAAGTGTGTTATTTTATTTGCAAGTATTTAGAAATTTCATGTTACCCGTCTGTCATGGATCTCTAGTTTGATTCTATTGTGGTCAGAGAACACACTGTATTATTTCAGTTTTTAAAAAGTTGTTGTTACTTGCCAACCAAGAATGACTATATACCAAGAATACAGTCAGTCTTGGTGAATGTTCCATGGGTGCGTCAACAAAATGCATATTATGCAGTTGTGTGTGGAATGTTGTGTAAATGCCAATTAGATCCTGTTGGTTGATTGTGTTAATCAGATCTTCTGTACCCACACTGATTTTCAGTTTATTGTTCTATCAGTTGCTGAGAGGAAAAAATTGAAGTCTCCAGCCATAACTGTGGATTTGCCTATTTCTGCTTTCAGCTTTATCACTTTCCTTTCGTGTATCTTAGGCCCTTTTATTATTTGTATACAGGTTTAGGTTTGTTATGTCTTTCTGGTGGATCGATCTTTCCATCTCTATGTAATGTCCCCTTTGCCTTTAGTCTTGCTCTTTGCTCTGAAGTCTACATTATTAGATATTAATATAGCAACTCCTGCTTTTTTAAATTACTGTTTGCATTGAATATCTTTTGCAATCCTTTTACTTTCAACCACTTATGTTATTGAATTTGAAGTGAGTTTCTCATAAACAGGATATAATTGGTGTGTGTGTGTGTGTGTATGTGTGCATTTAGCTACTTGGTCAATCTCTACTTTTTAACTGGTGTATTGAGAACATTTATATTTAAAGTAATCATCGATATATTAGGAGTTACATCTGCCATTTTATTATTTGCTTTCTGAAACATAGAACATTCATCATGATAAACAATATTTTGTGCCATAAGACACACTTTATTAACTTAAAAGAACAGAATTTATACAAAGTATGTGCTCAGGCCACAATGTAATTAAACTAGAAATTGATAGTAGAAAGATAGCTGGAAAATTCTTATTATTTGGAAGCTAAGCAACACACTTCTAAATAACACATGAGTCAGATAAGAAATCAACTAAGAGAAATTTAAAATATTCTGAAGTAAAAGAAAGTGAAAGCAGAATATATCAAAATTTATGATATACAGTGAAAGCAGTGCTTGGAAGGATTTTGCACCACTAAATACATATATTTAAAAAGGGGGGATCTAAAATCAATAAGCTAAGCTTTCATCTTAGGAAACTAAAGAAAAAAGAACAATTAAAATCTAAAGCAAGCAGAAAAGGATAAAATAAAAATTAGGGCAGAAATCAAGAAAATTAAACTTAGGAAGAAATTAAGAAAAATCATTGAAATCAAAAGCTGGTTGTTTAAAAAGAACAATAAAACTTATAAACCTTTATTCAGGTTAACCAAAAGAAAAAGAGAGAAGACACAAGTGACCGATATCAGAAATGAAGGAAAGACCATCACTACTACCATGTACATTAAAAAGATAATAAAGATAATAAAGGAACATTATGAACAACTCTGTGCCCATAAATTTGATAATTTTGATAAAGTGGACCAATTTTTTAAAAGAAAAAAAAATGGCCAAAAATTCACACAAGGAGAAATTGACAACCTAAATAGGCCCCTATCTAGTAAAGAAAATGCATTAATAATCAATAACTTTTTTTAAAGGGAACACCAAGTCCAAATGGGCTTGCTGGTGAATATTATCAAAGATTTAAGGAAAGTGATGCCAATTTCCTATAATCTCTTCCAGAAAAAATAAGCAGAATACTTCCTCACTCATTCTATTTGGCAAGCATTACTCTAACACCAACATCAGATAAAGATGTTACAATAAAGAAAAACTAAAGGGAAATATGTTTTATTAAAATAGATATAAAAATCAACAAAATATTGGCAAACTAAATTTAACAATGCATAGAACGAATTTTATACCATCACTAAGCAGGATTTATAACTCTGGTTTAACATTGGGAATAAATTAATCACCACATCAAAAGACTGGAATATAAAAATCATATGACAATATCAAAAGATCCAAAAACATTTAGTAGAATCCATCACCTGTTTATGATTAAAAAGACTCAGCAAACAAGGAATAAAAGGAAAATTCCTTAACTTGATAACAAAGATCAACAAAACACCTAAAGCTAACATCATACTTAATGGTGAGAAACTAGATTCTTTCCCCACTAAGATTGGAAACAAGGTAAGAATGTCTTCTCTCAACACTCTTATTCAACAAAATATCAAAAAGGGGAATAAAAGACATACATATTGGAAAGAAAAATATAAAACTATTTTTTGTTGCAGATGTCATGTTTGTCTATGTAGATAATTCCAAAGAATTGACAAAAATACTTCTGAAACTAATAAGCAAGTATAACAAATTGTGGGATATCAGACTAATATACGAAAGTCAATTTCTTTCCTATACACCAGCAATAAATAATTGGAAATTGAAATTTTAAAAAACACACAATAGTACCAAAAAGTGAAATCATTAAGTATAAATATAACAAAATATATATAGGATCTATATGTGTAAAATACAATACTCTCCTGATGAAAGATATAAACAACAGATCTATATAAATAGGGAGATAGTCCATGTTCAAGGAATGGAGGACTCAATTTTTTTAAGATGTCAATTCTTCCTAAATTCAATACAACGGAGTCAAAATCCCAGAAAACTATTTTTTGGATATCCACAAAGTAATTGCACAGTCTACAGAGAAGGCAAAAGACCTAGAAAGTCAAACACAATACAGAAGAATAACAAAATTGGAGGGCTCACACTACTCAATTCCACAACTTCCTATAAAGCTCTAATAATCAAGACGGTGTGGTATTGGTGAAAGAACAAACACACAGATCAATAGAACAGAACAGAAAGTCCAAAAATAGGCCCACATAAATGTAACTGGTTTTAGACAAAAAAGCAAAAGCAATTGAATGGAGAAAGAATAGTATTTTCTAAAAATGGTGCTGGAACATCCATATGTTAAAAAATGAACCTGGGCCAGGCACGATGGCTCATGCCTGTAATCCCAACACTTTGGGAGGCCGAGGCGGGTGGATCACGAGGTCAGGAGATCGAGACCATCCTGGCCAACATGGTAAACCCTGTCTCTACTAAAATACAAAAAAATTAGCCGGGCATGGTGGCACGGGCCTGTAGTCCCAGCTACTTGGGAGGCTGAGGCAGGGGAATCGTGTTGGAGGCAGAGGTTGCAGTGAGCCAAGATCACGCCACTGCACTCCAGCCTGGTGACAGAGCAAGACTCCTTCTCCCCCTTCCAAAAGAAGGAAAAGAACCTGCACCCAGACGTTATGCCTTTCACAAAAATTAACTCAAAGTAGACCATAGACCGAAATGGAAAGCTTTAAAATTTTTAAAAGAAAATATAAGAGAAAAATCTAAGTCAACTTGAGTTTGGTGATGAGATTTTAGATACAACAGCAAAATCACAATTCATAAGAGAAAAAATTAATGTGACATTTATTAAAATTAGAATCTTCCTCTATCTGAAAGACACTGCTAAGAGACTAAAAATACAAGTCACAGATTGGGAGATAGGTGCAAAACACATATCTACAGAGGCCTTGTGTGAAAAACACATATCTAATAGAGGCCTTGTATCAAAATACACAGAGAATTCTTAATACTCAACCAGTAAACAAACAACCCAATTTAAAATGGGCAAAAGATCTGAACAGACAACTCACCAAAGAAAATATACATATGGGAAATAAGCATTTTAAAAGATGCTCAGTGTCATTTGTTGTTAGGCAATTGCACCCTGAAACAAAACTAAGCACTTATTTGAATGACTAAAACTTAAAATCTGACAATACCAAATACTGTTGAAGATGCAGAGCAACAAGAACTGTCATTCTTTGCTACAGAAAATGCAAAATAGCACAGCCTCTTTGGAAGATAATTTGTCAGTTTTTTTATTAAACTAAACATAGCTTTACAATAAAATCCAGCAATCGTACTCCTAGGTATTTATCCAACCAATTAAAAAAGTCATGTGAATGTTTATTCATAATCACCAGAAACTATCTACAACCAAGATATCCATTAATAAGTAAGTTGATAAACTGTGGCACATCCATAAAATGAAATATTCAGTAATAAAAATAAATGAACTATTAAGTCACAAAAAGATATACATGTATCTTAAATGTTTATTGCTAAGTGAAAGGAGCCAATCTGAAAAAGCTACATGCCATATGATTCTAATTATATGACATTCTGGAAAAATAAAAACTAAAAAGATGATGCAAAGATCAGTCACTGACAACGGTTCAAGGGAGAAGAAAGGGTTGAATATATGAGCACAGGATATTTTGGAGTGGTAAAATCATTCTGCATGGTTCTATAATGGTGGATACATGACATTACACATTCAACAAAACCTGTAGGACTTTATAACACAAAGTTCTGTGTGCAAACCTTAATGTCTGCAAATTTCTACAAAATCACTTACAAAGCTGGGAGAATTCCAGGTGGAATGTCAAACATGACAACAACAATCTAACTGTATTACAAATATATGTAACAATCTCATTGAAGGGGTGAAGGAGAAATGTGCTGAGTTAAGTAACTTTGGAAATTAGTGGTGCTTGTAAGACAAAAGAAAGTGTTCATAAGCCCTATACTCCAGTTGATAAAGTTGTTTTCCTTGGGAACATGGATTGGCAATTCCGATTCTGCTACACATGTGTACTGGAATTCAAGTAAATGGATGGTGGATGGTGGAAGCCAGATTTCTCACTATTGGAGGAAGAAGTTCCAGATAAGCAAAGGGAGGAGGCTGAAATGGTCTGTGTAGTAAGGCCTTAGAGTTGGAGACCTCAACACGAATTCATGTTTAGCTTATTGTAAATACAATGTTATATATGGAAATATATATAGATGCATATATACACAGGTTAGTATACACTCAAACGTTTCTTTTTCCTGCCAGCTGAATGAGCCCAGAAGCAATGATACCCCAGTAACAATGAGCACACCAGTGCCCAGATCCTAATCTCTAATAAGATTCTCCAACAAAAGGTGCCAGGACTCCTTCCAAAAATGAATGACTCCTGGACTGCAGCAGGAAATATACAAGATGAACATGGAGTGTCTTACAGTCAGAAAAAAAAGAAAAAGTACTCAAAACAAATGAATAACAACAACAACAAAAACTCCACAATGAACAGGTTATGTCAAAAACAGCAAACTGAAAGAGCTCCCAATGGCCAAAACTGGAAAGATTTGAGCAACAAAATAAATTAAATGGTCCATTATAACTGAAAGTATTAAATAAATATCCATGAGCTCATGCAGATATAAATGAATGAATAAATAAATAAGTGGGGGAAGAATGAACAAATCTCTCATGTAGATTTCCAAATAATTTATGTAGTTACTCCATCCTCAAGGAAGTGGAATAAACCACAACTTATTCATACCTTCTAACACTGGTGGGCATTTAGGTTTTATCAGGTTTTTGACATTACTATGCTACTAGGAACATGTCTCCTGCCTATGTAAGAGTTTTTTCTAGGGTATGTTCTTTGGGGTGAAATTGCTGTGCTATGTACTGAGTATGTGTTCAACTTTACTAGGTAATACCAAATGTTTTCCAAATAGTTGCACCAATTCTTTACACCTTTAGCTGTGTCTGAGAGTTCCCAGTGTTCAACAGCCTACCCTAAGCATGGAGTTTTCTGATTTTCAAATGTTTCTCAATCTAGTCCTTATATAATAAGGCATTGCATTATAGTTTTAAATATTTGTGTCTCACTGATGACAACAAAATGTAAAATCTTTTCATACAGTTTTGGATCAGTCATCTTTTTCTTGGAAAGTGCCTATTCATGTATTTTGCCATTTTTCTCCTTGTTATTCATTTTTAGTTCTTTATCATCTTGGGATTCTAACCCTTTGTTGGTTATAGATACAGCACATATTTCTTGCTTGTGGCTTTTTGCCCTCTTTATAGTATCTGTTGAGAGCAAGAAATTCTCAGTGAATCATCTACAAATGATCACATCCTTGTAATCACCACCCACGTAAAGAAACGGAAACTTAACTAGCCTCCAGGAACATTCCTTCATGCCCACGCTGATTACTACCCCGCTTCACCCCAAAATTAAACATTACCCTGACTTCTAAAACCTATAGATTAACTTGGCCTACTGAACAGCTTTATATAAATGGAACCCTATAATATATATTCCTTTTGTCTGGTTTATTTCATTCGGAATTATGTTTATGAGATGCATCCAAATTGTTACATATGGCTACAGAACATTCATTTTCATTGTGTGAATGTACCACAATTTATTTACCAATGTTAGTGTTGACAGATACTAATATTGTTGGTGTGTTGAGCGTGTTTCTAATTTGAGGCTATTACGAAAAATTACTGCCATGAAGATTTTTATACATGCCTTTTGGTACATATAGTTCTATTGAATTTATATCTAGGTAAATTTCTGGGTCACAGCTAACTTTAGTTTCAGCTATAGTGATACTGTCAACAGTCTTATAAATTGATTGTACTCATTTTACACTCCTATCCAGTATTATGTAAGAGGTTGTATTGTTCCATACCTTTTCATCACTTGCCATTGTCTAATTTATAATTTGTAGTGGTATCTCCTTACAATTTTAAGTTTTTATTTCCCTATGTCCAACGTGGTTCACCATTTTTAAATACATTTATATGTTATTAGATAGTATATTTTGTGGGGTGTCTGTTCAAGTCTTATATTCATTTTTAAAATAGGCTTACGTGTCATTTTCTTGATTTGGAAAAAATCCATATTTTCTGGATATGAGGCTTTATCAGTTGCAGGTTTTCAAGTATTTTCTCTAAATTTGTGGTTGACCTTTTGAATGTTCCTAGTGGTGTTTTTAATTAACAGACACTTTTTGATTTAATGTAGTACAACTCAGCATTATTTTTATTTTATGGTTGAGCTTTATTTGATCAATTTAAGCATTCTCTGCCTAGCACAATATCATAAAGATATTCTTCTACTTTGTCTTCTAGAAGTTTTCTTGTTCATACTTTCACATTCACATTCATGGAGTGTGCACCTGGAATTGAGCTTTGGTGAACAGTGTCTAGTAGACCTGATTAGTTTTTTCTGTATGGATATCCCACTGGCCCAGCAACATTTCTTAAAATGACCCTCCTCTTCTCACTATTCTGCAGTGCCACCTTGCCATAAATCAAGTATGCATACAAATTTCTGTTTCTGGACCCCACATTTTGATCACTTGGTACAATTGTCTATTCTTCAGTCATTGGAATTCTGTCTTAATTGTAGTAAATTTATTAAAAGCCTTGTTTTATTATAGTGTAAGTTCTTCCATCTTGATATATTATTTTTGAGAGGGTATTGCCTGTTTTGCCTTGTTTTATTTTGGCATTTTTATATAGATGCCAAATAAGATTGTCAATTTTTACAAATTTTCATGCTGGAATTTTGGTTGTTATTGTATTTAACCTATAATTCAATTTGGGGAGACTTAAATCTTTATAATGTTGGTTTTCTAATCCATGAATATGGTATATTTCTGCATTTATTTAGTTTCATCATTAATTTCTCTCAAAAACATTTTGTAGTTATTTTTCTAGAAAGCTGGCATAATTGTCTGAGATTTAGTCTTACTTGATACTATTTTTAATGTTATCTTTGACTTTTTTCTATTTTCTATTAAGGTATAATTTACATGCACTATAATTAACCCATATAATTACACACTTCTGTAAATTTGGACAAATATAAAGTCACTAAATTCAAGAAGTGTCATCAGCCAAAAAATTCTCTGTGGTCCTTTGTAGTGACCACCCCCTTCCCCATCCTCAGCTGCTGTTAACCACTGCTTTGTTTTCTGTCTCTCTGGGTTTGCCTTTTCTGGATTGTGATATAAATGGAACCACATAGTGTGTAGACTTTGATTCTGGCTTCTTATACTTAACATAATCTATCTGAGATTTATCCACACTGTTGCACATACCAGCAGTTATTCCCTTTAATTGCTTAGTAGGGTATTATCATACCATGGTTTTTTTACCCGCTTGCCAGTTGAAGGATATGGTCATTTGGATTTTTCCAGATTTGAAAGATTATAAATAAAGCCATTATAAACTTAAACATTTGCCTACAGGTTTTTATGTTAATGTAAGTTACCATTCCAAATGGGTAAAAATCTAGTAGTGACATTGAGAGGTTTATGGTAATTTTATGTTTAAGTTTAAGAGAAACTGCAGAACTGTTTCTCAAGGAAGCCATACCACTTTGCATTTCCACAAACAAAACATAAGAGTTCTAGTGGCTCCACATTCTTACCAGTATTTAAGATTGTCAGTTTCTTTCTTTCTTTTAATTTGAGCTAGTCGAATAGGTGTGTATTGTTATCTCACTTGTGGTTTCACTAATGACTAATATTGTCCATCATTTTATGTGTTTTTGCCATTTGGGTAATCTTTTCTGCCATTCTTGTCTTTTCATTTTCTTAACAGTGATTTTTAAAGAGAAGTTTTTAGGTTTGATGATATCTAATTGATCAATTTTTTTCTTCTATGAATCATGCTTTTGCTATTTTATCTAAGAAATCTTTCCTCATTTGAGGTAACAAAATTTTTCTTCTATGTTTTCTTCTAAAATTTTATAGTTTTAATTTTATATTTAGGTCTACAGTCTATGGCTAACATGGAGTTAATTTTTGTATATGGTGAAAAGTATGAATCTATATTTTTTTATTGCATGTGAAGATCTAATCCTTTCAGCACCATGTGTTGAAAACACTGTACTTTCTCCATTAAATTGCATTTGTGCCTTTATTTAAAAAATCAAGTGATCATATACATGTGGGTCTATTTTTAGACTCACTCTTGACTTTTTGCCAATACCTCTCTGCCTTGATTACTATAGCTGCTAATGAAATCTTGAAATCAAGTAGTCTGAGTTCTCATTCTTTTTCAAAAATTTTTTAGTTTTACTTATAAATTTTAGAATTAGCTAGTCAATTTCTACAAAAAAAGTTTCTGATGAGATTTGAATGGAATAGCAAGGAATTTATAAATTAGATTGTGGGGAACTGACAGCTTAACAATCCAGTCAATAAGCATGGTATATTTCTCTGTTTATTTAAGGCTTTTTAAGATTTCTTTCATCAGTGACTTGTAGTTTCAGCATACAGATATGGAACATATTTTGTTAGATTTTTACCTAAGTATTTTATGATTTTTCATACAACATTACATGATATTTTACTTTTTAACTTTAATTTTACTCTGTTACTATATAGAAATACGATTCATTTTTTATTACTGCAAATGTCCTAAACTCACTAGAGTTGGTAATTTTTTTTAATGGTTCTTTGGAATTTCCTGTATAGACAAGCATGTCAGCTGCTAATAGAGATAGTTCTATTTCTACTTTTTCAATCTGTCTAATTTTAGTCTTTCTCTGTCTCTCTCTCTCTCTCTCTTTGCCTGCCTTCCTTCCTTCCTTCCTTCCTTCTCTTCCATTCACCTTAGGGTACTGGATAGCATCTCCCAGTACAATGGTGAATTAAAATGCTGAGAGAACACATCCTTGCTTTGATACTGATCTTAGGAAGAAAGGATCTTGTTTTTACACTAAACATAATGTAAGCTGCATATCTTTTTTTAAACTCTCTTTATGCAGTTAATGAAGTTTCCCCATTGCAAAAATTAAGAATGGATTTGAGGTTCTGTCAAATGCCTTTTGTGCATTTATAGAGATGATTATATGGTTTTTCTTCTTTAGTCTGTTGATTTACTTAATTATACTGATTATTTTCTAATGGTAACCAATCTTGCATTCCATAAGGTGTTATCCTTTCTCTTTGGTAAGATTCAATTTGCTAAATTCTTGTTGAGAATTTTTACCTCTATGTTCATAAGGAACATTGGTCTGTAGTTATCTTGTAGTATCTTTATCCAGTTTTGGTATCAAGGTAATGCTCTATGCTCTCCTCATAGAATGAGTCAGGAAGAATCCCCACCTCTTTAGTTTTCAGGAAGAGTTTATGTGAAACTGACATTATATCTTCCTTAAATATTTAGTAAAATTTATGAGCAAAGCCATCTTGGCTTAAAGTTTTATTTGTGAGAAAGCTTTTTAACTACAAATTTCATTCCTTTTACAGTCATAGGGTCATTCAAACCATCTATTACTTCTTGAATAAGCTTTATTAGTTTGTATGTTTTAAGGAATTTGTTCATTTCATCTAAATTATTGAATTTACTGGCATAAAGCTGTTCATAATATTCTCTTATATTCCTTTTAATTTCTGTAGGGTCCTAGTGACAGCCCCATTTTTATCTCTCCTATTTTAAATGGTGCCCTATTTTTAAATTATAGGTTCTGTATTTTCATTGCTATTATATAAAAATGAAATTGATTTTTGCATGTTGATCCTGTAACACACAAAGTTACTGAACTCACAATAATTCCAGGACGTTGTCTTTTTATTTATTTATTTTGTAGATTCCTTTATGTTGTCTACATAGATAATCATGTCACTCACAAGTAGGGATGATTTCATTTCTTCCTTTAGAATTGGTATGCCATTTATTTATTTATTTATTTGTTTGTTTGTTTGTTTATTTATCTATTTATTGCCTTCTTTCACCATCTAAAATTTCCAGTACTATACTGAATAAAAGTAGTGAGAATCGACAGTCTTGCCTTGCTCCCAGTCTTAGGGAAAAAGAAGTTAGTCTTTCACTACAAAGTATGATGTTCCCTATAGGTTCTTTGTTAATAGTCTTTATCCAGTTCAGGTAGTTCCACTCCATCCTAATCTTGCTGAGAGAGAGTTTTATCAAAAAATAGATGCTGAATTTTGTCAAATACCTTTTCTGTATCAACTGATATGATCATATGATTTTTCTTTTTTGCCTTGTTGATATGGTAGATTATATTTACTTTAGAACATTGAACCAGCCTTTTGTACCTGGATTAAATCCCATTTGGTCACAGTATATAATTTCTTTTATATATTGTTGGATTTTATTTGCTAATGTTTTGTTGAGGTAAATTCACAAGAGATATTGTTTTGTAGTTTTCTATTTTAGAAATGTCTTTCTCTGGTTTTGGTAATAGAGTAATATTGACCTAATAAAATAAGTGTTCCCTACTCTTCTGTCTTCTGGAAGAAATTGTATTAAAATGTTGTTAATTCACCTTAAAATATTTAGGAGAAGTATCCCATGAAAGCACCTGGACCAGCCTTTTTCAGGAGGTTTTCAATTAAGAATTCATGTAATCATTATAGGACTCCTCAGATTATCTGTTTCATGTTAGCTGAGTTTAGATTTTCAAGGAATTGGTCCATTTCTCCTAAATATTCATATTTATATGAACATCAAGTTGTTCATAGTATTGTCTTATTATCTTTATAATCCTTTTCATGGTTGTAGGATCTTCAGGGTTATTCCTCCATTTCATTCCTGATATTAGTGAAACCTCTTGCTGGAGATTTATCAATTTTATTATTTGTTTTAAAATAGCTTGTGGTCTTATTAGCTTTTTCTATTGTTTTCCTATTTTCAATTTCATTCATTTCTGCTTTGATCTTTATTGTTTCCTTCCTCTGTTTGCTTTTAGTTTATTTTGCTCTTCTTTTCAGTTTCTTGAGGTAGGAACTTAGATTTATAACATGAGACTTACTTTTTTCTAACGTAAGCATTTAGTGATATAAATTTTCCTCCCACACTGTTTTAGCTACATCTCACATATTTTTATTTGCTGTATTTTCACATGAATATGTCATTCCATTCTACCATTTTTTTAATTTTCTTTGAGACTTTCTCTTTAATTTATGGGTTATTTAGAAGCATATTGTTTAATTTCCACATGTTTACAGATTTTCCTTCATTTATTGTCATTAATTTCTAGCTTGATTCCACTATGCTCAGATAATCATACTCTTTAATTCTTTAAAAAATTTTGATGCTCATTAAAAAGTCAGAAAATAACAGATGCCGGCAAGACTGTGGAAAAATAGCAATGCTTTTACACTGGTGATGGGAGTGTAAATTAGTTCAACCATTGTGGAAGACAGTGTGGCAATTCCTCAAGGATCTAGAATCAGAAACACCATTTGACCCAGCAATCCCATTACTGGGTGTATACCCAAAGGATTATAAATCATTCTACTAAAAAGACACGTGCACACATATGTTTATTGCAGCACTATTTACAATAGCAAAGACTTGGAACCAACTCAAATCCCCATCAATGATAGACTGGATAAAGAAAATGTGGCACATACACATCATGGAATACTATGCACCCATAAAAAAAGAGTGAGTTCATGTCCTTTGCAGGGACATGGATGAAGCTGGAAACCATGATTCTCAGCAAGCTAACACAGGAACAGAAAACCAAACACTGCATGTTCTCACTCATAAGTGGGAGTTGAGCAATGAGAACACATGGACACAGGGAGGGAATGTCACACACCAGGGGTTGTCAGGGGGTGGGAGGCAAGAGGAGGGAGAGCATTAGGACAAATACCTAATGCACACGGGGCTTAAAACCGAGATGACGGGTGGATAGGTGCAGCAAACCACTATGACACATGTATACCTATGTAACAAACCTGCACATTCTGCACATGTATCCTAGAACTTAAAGTAAAATTTAAAATAAAAAAAATAAAAATTTTTTTTGATACTTGTTTTTGGTCAGGATACGGTCTGTGAATGGTCATGAGCACTTAAAAATGTGTATTCAGCTACTGTTGGGTGAAGTATAATCTATGTGCCAATTAGATCTTATTGGTTGATTATGCTTTTCAAATCTTCTGTATCTTTGCTGATCTTCTTCTAGTACTTCTGTTAGTTGATCAGAAGGTTGCATTGAAGTCCCCAACCATAATTGTGAGTTTGTCTATTTCTCGTTTCAGCTCTGTCAGTTTTTTGCTTCATGTACTTTAGTCTCTGTTGTTGTTTGTATACACATTAAGAATTGTTATGTCTTTCTGGTAGATTGACCCTTTCATCTTTATGTAATATCCCTCTGTGTCTTTAGGTATTTTCTTTCTTCTGAAATCTATATTATTGGATACTAATGTAGCCATTTCTGTCTTTTTTAAAATTAATGTTCTCATAGTATACCTTTTTCCCTCTTTTTACTTTCACCCTATCTGTGTAATTGAATGTGAAGTAAGTGTCTCATAAAGAGCACACAGTAGGGCCATGGTTTTTTATCCATTCTGCCAATCTGTGTCTTTTCATTGTAATTATTCCAGACGGCATGGTCTGCTGCAGCTCTCCGCAGTAGAATGTTGAATGTCCCCCAACCCCCAAAAAAGGCCGCTGTGGAGCTTTCAGGAAATGCCAAGTCTACCTTGTGCTGATTAGTGCCATTTATAACCCAGCTCAGAAATGCAACTCAACACTCCCCATCTGCTCTGGATTTGGAACTGCAAGTTTGAAATGTCACGGTATCCACCTCTTTGCCCAGCCCCCTCTCCAATCCCTGTATATTGGCCTCGCTTGGGATTTTCTCTAGCACCACCATCTGGGATTTACTTTTTTCTCTTTATTTTCCCAAGGAATAGAACCTGGGATGTATCAACTCAGTTTCTTCCTGAAACTCAGTTTATACAACCAGGCTGCCTGCTGTTGAATCCTTGAGTGCTGGCTCACACAAGATACTGATGCAGAGCCAGTACTATGAAGAGGCCTCTGGAGACTTACAAGGGCACTAAGGAAAAGGGGGACTCGTTGTTTAATTTACACATTCCCTTTATGACCCCTTTTAAATGCCCCTGATCCATAATGGCTTCCCTGCTCACACCACTCTGGGACCATCTCTCCCTTCTCTCAAGTCTGGCAATATTCATTTCCACGACTTGCTTGAGTATTTTTAAAAATTAAGAATGATTCATTAAAAGCCCTCTGGGTTATTGGTACTCTGTTAGAAGTTCTGATTGTGGACGGATTACAAGAAGGAAAGAGCCCATTGGCAGTATCCTTGAATTTCTTGCAGTTTCAGACACCTAACGGCACTCAGATTATTCAACAGCAACAACGAGCCATGCGGAGGTAGGTAGAACAGGAAGATTTCACACTCTTCTTTCACTATCGCCACTGCTCTCATAACAGAATCATACCAAGTGATGTGCTGAAAAGCAGCCAGCATCAGTGTCCTTTGGAGGATTCTATCCAGGTGTCTTTTACCCCAGCCCACCTTCCAGGGCAGGGGCAGTGCTTCAAGTCCTCCCAGCCTGCATGTGGGGCCTAAAGTGGAGACCAGAGGGAAGTCCAGAGGGCAGACACCAGCGTCAACAAAGCAGCCACAGAGACTGTTTCCTTTTTTTTTTTCTTTTTTTCTTTTTTTTTTCTTTTTTTCTTTTTTTTTTCTTTTGAGACACAGTTTCACTCTGTCGCTCAGGCTGGAGAGCAGTGGCTTGATCTCAGCTCACCGCAACCTCTGCTTCCCGGGTTCAAGCGATTCTCCAGCCTCAGCCTCCTGAGTAGCTGGGACTACAGGGGTGCGCCACCACGTCTGGCTAATTTTTGTATTTTTAATAGAGATGGGGTTTCACCATGCTGGTCAGGCTGGTCTTGAACTCCCGACCTCAGGTGATCGCTCACCTCGGCCTCCCAAAGTGCTGGGATTACAGGCAAGAGCCACCGCCACAGGGTTCATTTTCTTTTTGTCACTGGTTGTCTGCCTTGGAGCTCATCCACTCAGCCCCCAGAGGATCCACCCCCAAAGGGCAGAAACGCAAAAATAAACAAACAAACCAAAAATCCAATAACAACTGAATGGAATGATCACATCAAGATGTCCCCCAAGTAACAAGTAAACAGAGCCCCCACCTTCACAAGTGAGACCCCCAGAGAGCCTGCTAGGACAGGAAAAGGAAAGCCTCTGCCCCACTGCTTCCACCTAGACCAGCCCCATGTGTGAAATGAGCACCCAGGTGTGAGTGCTTCTAGACACAAATACAAAATCAGTCTTGTTTGGATGGGGAGAGAGGAACACTGAATTTAATTAAATCTCTGTATTAAGTATGCAGTAAAATGTGCTGCTTTATCAAATTAAGTCATCCGCCAGAAAAAAGGCCATGTTGACAATGTTTTATAGATTCAACTACCATTTAACTATTCATTCATTTAATGTGTTTATTTAAAAAAAAAAAAATCTGCCAGACATTTGGCTCATGCCTGTGGCCTTAGCTACTTATGACGTCGAGATGAGAGGATCTCTTGAGCCTAACAGTTCAAGGCGCAGTGAGCCATGATTGTACCCCTACGCTCCAGCCTAGGTGTCAGAGTGACATTTCATCTCTGAAAAAAAAAAAACTTTTTTTCCTACCTTGGCACAAGGCCAGTGCTACAAGCAGCAGTCACACAGTCCCATGCCTGACATGTGCCCTATGCACGCCGACCCCACCCACTTAGGCAGGCTGCAGGCCCTGTGCTAATTGAAGAAGCAGGTGGAGAGCTGGTAACATCAAGCACAGGGACAGATTTCATTGTGACATCACCAACAGACAGCACCCCGCTGAGGTGGTACCCACAGCCGATAGCCATCCAGCTGTACATTACTCACAACAGGTAACCCACCCACCCACCAAACCAGGCCCTACCCTTAAGGAGGGTTGGCCCAGGAGGCACAAACACAAGCCTTTTGTGTCTCCATTTTGGAGTCTGAAAGCCTTCTTGAAGAGAATTCTCCCGATCAGTCTCTCCCTCAAAGAAATGTAATGTCACATATATATTCACAAACAAAACGGCATTTTAAAAACTCTTTTCAAATCTTACATTTCAGTTTTAACAAACAGTACTGGAGCAATTGGATGTCCACAGGCAAAAAAAAAAAAAAATGAAACGACATATACCTCACATTTTTGACAAAATTAATTCATAATAAGTTATAGATTTAAATGTAAAATATAAAGCTATAATGCTTTTAGAAGAATATGTAGGAGAAAATCTCGGAGGCCCAAGGGTGGTGAATAGACATGACACCAAAAACATAGTCCATCCAAGAAAAGAATCAAGAAGTTGGATTTCAACAACAACATTAAAGATGTTCGGTTTGAGAAAGCCCAGGTGAAAGGATGGAAGACGCGATGACAGACTGGGATACCTAATTCCAAACCACAAATCTGACAAAGGCTTGAATATAGACTATAAGAGCTCTCAAAGCTCAGCAGTTAAAACAAAAACAGCAATCCAGTTAGAACGTGGACAAGAGACATGAACAGATATTTAAGAGAGGAGAATGCAGATGGCAAATAAGCCCCTGAAAAGATGTTAAACATCATTCGTTAACCATCTGGGAAATGCAGATTAAGGCCATGATGAAATATCATTGCATACTTATTAGAACAACTACAAGAAAATAGTGATGGACCTAATACTGGTGATGATGCAAAGAAATTGAATTTCTCATCCGTTGCTGGGATGCTCATATAATGGTATAGCCACCCCCAAAAACAGTGTGGCAGCTTCTTAAAAACCGCAACAGGCCAGTCACGGTAGCTCATGCCTATAGTCCTAGCAGTTTGAAGCCAGGAGTTCAAGACCAGCCTGGTCAACAGAGCAAGACCCCATCTCTACAAATAATTAAAAAAAAAAATAGCTGGGCGTGGTGGCACACACCTGTAGTCCCAGCTACTTGGGAGGCTGAGGCAGGAGGATTGAGTGAGCCATGGAGGTCAAGGCAGCTGTGAACTATGATCATGCTACTGCATTCCAGCCTGGGTGACAGAACCAAGACCCTGTCTCAAAAAAGAGAAAAAATAATAATAATACATACACTTACCATGCATACCCTTACCCTGCTTGCCGTGAAACCAACAATTACGTTCCTGGGCACTGATCTCAGGGAAATAAAAATTAATCACACAAAAACCTGTAGATGAATGTTCATAGCAGCTTTATTTGTAATAGCTAAAAACTGGAAGCAACCTCAAGGGGTAAATGGAAACAACTGTGCCACCGTGCTACATTGTACCATAGAATATTCCTCAGCAGGGAAGAGAAATGAACTACCTATGCGCAGCTTTGATGAGTCGGCTGGGCATTATGCTGAGTGAAAAAATGCCAGTCTCAAAACATTCCATCTGTAAGACATTCTCAAAATGACTAAGTTATAGAGATAAAGAACAGATTAGTGGTGTCCAGTGTTAGGAGGGGAGGGCTAGGGAGGGGTGGGCAGACAACAAAGGGACTGCAGGAGGGGGTGTTTGTGGTAGAGGAACATCTCTGCTACTTAAATTGTGGCAGTCACTGCAGAAATTCCCACAGGTGACCAAATGGCACAGAGCTATGCACACACGCTGCACCAACATCAGCACCCCAGTTTCGGTATCAGACTGTAGTTTTACAGGATGTAAGCTTTGAGCGAGACTGGGTAGAGAGCGAACAGACATCTTTTTTTTTTTTTTTTTTTTTTTTTTTGAGACAGAGTCTCTCTGTCGCCCAGGCTGGAGTCCAATGGTGCCACCTCGGCTCACTGCAACCTCTGCTTCCCAGGTTCCAGCGATTCTCCTGCCTCAGCCTCCAGGGTAGCTGGGACTACAGGCGTGTGCCACCAAGCCCAGCTAATTTTCGTATTTTTAGTAGAGACCGTGTTTCACCACGTTGGTCAGGCTGGTCTCCAACTCCTGACCTCATGATCTGCCCTCCTCGGCCTCCCAAAGTGCTGGGATTACAGGCTTGAGCCACCATGCCTGGCTGCAAACAGACATCTTTATAATGCTTTTGAAACTTCGCATTATAATTTTCTAAAATAAGAAGTGTAAAAGAAAAGTCATATTCCATGTACTTCACTGAAATGGAATGTTATCTGTCCTAAAAATGATTACAAATGATTGGACTAGGCTTCTGTTCGTGTTTTATAAGTTGTGTTGGAATTAGAGCGGTTAGGTCCTCTTCCCACCAGCAAAGTCCTACAGCTCCTGAGTGCTGCAATTTACAGCCTGCTGGAGTCGGTGTCTGGGAGGGTGGTCTCTAGCTACACGCCAGGGCCAAGCTTGCTAAAAGAGTCCTTGAGCTCTTAGCTCTTGGAAAGCAGGAGTAATGTGAGGATGGGCTCCTTGATCTTGTATAGCAGGCTCAGGAATGAGAAGAGGCTTCTGAGAACATGATATAGCAAGAACACAAAATAGCAGGAACCCGTGTTCTGTTTTTTGCATGTTTATGCTAGGTTATATCTGACACCCCAGAGTTAGAGGAGATAAAAAAGCTGGAAGGGAACAGGAATTGATTGGATGCCCGGGGGACGGCTTACCGTACATGTGCGCAATCCTTCAGCAACCCCACTAGGTAGAGCCATCCCTGCCAGTTTGCACACGCGGACCTGGCGCTCAGGCACACGGACAACACACTAGGCTGTTTCCTGGCAAGGTGCAGGCCTGCTCTGCCTCTACCTATGTGCACTTTTCCACAACATGCAACGTGACAGCACCATGGGTCAGACTTGCAGAGCGAGGCACCCTTTTGCAGTCTGGATCATAGTGCCAGGTTCTGACGTGCGGTGCTCACCTGAAGCCTGTTGCTGTTTCAGCAGTGACTGCTTGCCATTTTCCAACACGTGCTTCCAATGGGAAGGGCCTAGACAGACACATCCACTTCACTTTTGTCACGAGTCCTGGTTCCCAGGCACCTCTGGGATGCCTTTTTCATGTTTCTATCCCAATCCCAGCATGGGAATATTTCAACAGAGCTTGCTGGGAAACCCTGACCTGTAATTATGGAAACCAAGAATGGACATGTTTCTATTAATATTGGCCCCAGATAAACCACCTACTCTTTTAGGTCAACATTATTTGGCAAGGGAGGAGGTGGGCTGGATGCAGCATCTGCAGCCTTCCCACACAACACCCCAAGCTTCTCTGCATGGCGGAATTCCTGCTTTCGGAGGGCTCCAGCTCCAGAGGGCTCCAGCTCCGGAGGGCTCCAGCTCCAGAGGGCTGGAGAAGTTCCTTTAAGTCTCTTGGCCTCATTCCTGCATCCATTGAAATTTACATCCAGCTTCATTCTTCCTCAACATCAAAGGGCCTCAGATGGTCTGGCTCTGCTTCCAAACAGAGTGCAGGAAAGTGTTTACTGAAGAAGAAAAGTGAATCAGGAAACAGCTGTGCGAAGGGCCAGGGCTGTGTTCCCCGGGGTTCACACATGGCCATCTGTGTCTCTTATTATGGCTAATCTCTCTAGTTCTCAGAGAAGCGGCCCATTAACCCAGACAGCTGGGAAATGATGGAAACCATCTTTTTTTTCCAAACGTTCTTATTATGCAGTGTTTATGTTTCAGGATCTGAGGGACTTTCGAACGTTGACCTTTCTCGAGCTGTCCGAGCCCAGAGGAGTGGTGGCTGGGAACTTGCTGTGAGCCCCCATCTTTCTACCTGGACCCCAAAAAGAATAGGCGCCACACAGAGCCAGCTTAATCCAGGGTTAGGTGTGCTGACCAGGGGGCTGCCTTCCTGAGGGCTGGATCCAGTTTTCTTGCAGCAAATTTTTCTTCTGCAGAAAGTGGCAGATCTAGGTCCTCTAAATATGGTTAATTCAAAGGATGGTTCTGGAGATGGATGGTGGTGATGGTTATGCAACAGTGTGAATGTACTTTTTTCCCCCATGGGTATCATTTATTATAATGTTATTTATTATAATATATATTATATAATACATAATATTATATTATTATTTATTATTAACCTTATAAATTTCACACAAATGACCATATTTTAAGTGATAGTATAGTCTGTAGGCTATTATTTTAAATAAAACTGTACCTCTTTTCAGTTTTATTGAAGGTGAATGTGCTTAGTACCACTGAAGTGTACATTTTTAAATGGTTAAGATGGTCAATGTTGTTATGTGAACTGTGACACAATTTTTTTAAAGGAGTAGGGAGAGTTTATTTTCCTTTTCTTGGATGTTGGTGACTGCCTGGGGTGGGGTAGGGGTGTAATGCAGTGGAAGTGATGCTGTGTGGCCTCCAAAGAGAGGTCACAATGGGCAAAACTCAAGTCCACCTGGTCCTCTCTCTCTCTCTCTCTTTCTCTCCTCTCTCTCCTACTTTGTCCCTCCCTTTCTCTCTGTCTCTCTCTCTCTCCTTCTCTCCTTCTCTCTCCTTTTCTCTCCATCTCTCTCTCTCTCTTTCTCTGTCTCTCCCTTTCTCTCTGCCTCTGTTTCTCTCTCCCTCTCCCCACTCCAGCTCTAAAGGGATGGCTCCTCTATGAATGGTTCCTGCCCCTCTTGTCCCCTGGGCCAGGCTCCTTCCATGTGTTAGGCAGGCATTCTAGAGCTGCAACTTCAATGTGAACAAATAAACATTCATTTTAAATTGAGATGTGTATGAGTTACAAGGTGCTATGCATGCGTATCCCTGGGGGTCCAGGAGAGCCCCCTCAAGCAGTGATCTTTGATGTCATGCCTGAGCAGGAGCTGCAAATGGGTGTCAAGTGGAAGGAAGAGGTCAGGGATGGTGCAGTCCAGACCCCAAAACTTTCAGGAAGGGATGAAGGAATGCACTTGGGGACTTGAGGGGTCTACCCACCCCCATGGTAGTGGGCCCTCTTGGGGCCAAGGCCTGCACTAATAAGTCCTCACCCCACCTCATCCCAGCCTCCTCACCCACTGGTCTCAGGGGTTGCAGCACAGAGTGGAGGCTGTGGCTGTGCAGGTGGAAGTGGAGGCTCGAGGGGCCAGTCCTCGGCCTGTGAGGTGGGGATTCCAGGCTCAGGTCCAGAAGCCTTTGAGAGTTCCACTAAGGAGTCTAAGTGTCTGTAAATAAATAAACACTGCAGAGTTGGGGCCTTCTTTTTGCTGTCTTTCAACCTCTCTTCTCTTGAGAAGGTTCTGGGACAGGAGTGGGAGTTCCAGCAGGAGGAGGTGGGGACACGCCCCCAGCCTCAGCGAGCCCTTCTTCCCTGCTGGTGAGCCGTTTTGGGCTCCCCGCAGGAGCCTCTGGGCCCTCCCTCCCAGTGTGGTGGTCATGGGGATGCTCCTGCCATGCAGATGCCCTGGCTATGTCAAGTGACCCACCACCTAGGGAGCAGCGTACTGTCTCCAGCCCTGTGCCCGTGCCCACCCTGGGCCCAGCCAGACCTGGGCCTCCCGGCCTTCTACCTGGCTCACCCAACCCATCCCCAGGAAGGAGCACAGAGGATGCATGTTCCAGAAAGCTGACCTCGCTGCTCCTTTGTTCCCCCTAATTGCACTAAAATTAGGCAGTTTTATGACTCACCATGTGTCTATGCTGTTTGAGCCTTCAAAGGCCTTCATCATCATCACACAGGCAGCACCTAATACAGATGCTGCATCACCTGCAGCACAAAACATTTCACATTTGCTCACTGGAGTTACTGGAGAAAGGGAGTTTCTAATGAATGACCCAAGCATGGGAATGTGTCCTTCAGCTGTCTGAAAGTTCAGCCTGGGAGCATGTTTCTGAGTGTTGGGGTGCAGGACTTCTCTCTTCTGAATTCTGAAATTCTTATGCCCTAATTTAACCTCAGACTGAATTCTTCTGGTGCAACCACTTTAGAAAGCAGAATACAGTTGGCACCAACAACCTTTTACACAGAGGGCTTTGGTGAGTGGGCAAGCACTCTGGAGAGACCCATCCTGAGTGGACAGGTGGGCCCGAGCCTTCAGGGGCAGCGAGGGCACCTCAAGGTCCCTGGAGACATCTGTTCTGCCCATAGCAGTTGTGGGAGGTTTTTAAAAGTGATACAAAGAGAATATTTTTAATTTCCCTGCTATTTACAGGGAATGTTTCACTTCTATAGGACAGAAAATACACTGCCAGATGAAGTGTTCTTGCCAAGAGAAGACCAGCTGCAAATAATTTGGCCTGGAAAAAAATATATTTTTTAGAAAACATTCTCCCAGCAAAAAATGGCCCTGTGCTCCCCTGTTCTCTGTTCTTCGTGTTTCTCACCCAGCATATGTTCAGGTTGTCATGGTAACCCTGCAGTATCTTTCAGAGGAGTGAGCAGAAGTTGAGTTCAACATGGAGGATTGGTCCATTTGAGTGCAACCTACTGAAATCAATGTGACCTTGGCCTTTTTCATCAACTTAGGCAAGACACATTTCGTTTTTAAATTTTCAAATAAAATCAGGGGTACCTTGGTGGAAGAATAATAGCTGAGAATGCTCTGGATAGGGATAGTGAATGTTTGCTGCCACATTTCCATCCTGGGATTGCTCTGGTTATCTTCTGCTGCATAACAAGCCACCCCAAAAACTCATAGTTTATGATAATGGCAATATTTTTTTCACCACAAATTTGTAACATTGACCGGGACTTGGCAGGAGCAATTTCCCACTGCTTCACACACTTCTGTCTGGGGAAGCTTGATGACTGCTGATGGGATCACCAGTAGGCTAGCTCAGGTGCCTGGTGGGGGACGCTGACTGTCTGCTGGGACCTCAGCTGGGCTCTTGTTCTGGGCACCCATGTGTTGCCGACTACCTCGTATGCTGTGCGCTTCTTCACACAGTGGTGGCTGGGTTCCAAGTGTGAGTGCTCAAAAGTCACATTCTGTCTGTCAGAAGCAAGCCAAACCATATCTAAAAGTTAGATTTCCCCCTTTCAATGAAAGTAGTGCAAAAGGATTTGTGAACGTGCTTCAAAATGACCATGATGCCCATGTCAGATATTGCTAATTAATGATTGAGCCTGGACTCCACTTCAGAATCCTTCCCAACAGTGTTCCCAGTCATCCACTGGCCATTGCTGGAGCTGGCCCTGAAGTTAACGCCCATCTAACACCCTTGTTCTAGGCTAATGGCCCAAGACAGCACAGGACCAGTGCTCTCAGAAACCAAGTTCCTACAAGTCCATAATAAAACCAGATAAATATAAACAGTGTAATAAATTTTTCATAAAGACAACTTTATCCTATTTAAAGATTGTCCATTGTTCTGAGATTATGTACTTCTTACACTTTTGGAGTGTTCAGCTGCCGTTTCTCTTATGAATTGAGGAGATGATAAGGAGCAGTTGTGTTGTTTGAATCTCCTTTTAAAATATTGGTGATCCATGCAATCCAAAAGTCACAATCCCCTGCCCTGGGCCATTTGTTGGTGGTTGAAACTTCACTGTCATAAGCAGTGGAGTGCCACATGGTGCAGACACAAAACTTTGCACATCTCCTCCATGAGTTCACCTCTGAAGGCCCACATGCCACTCTAGAATCACTGCATCTTTTCCCTGCTTGAGTCTCTGGATTGAGCTCGAGTTTTGCTTTTTTTCTCTCTCTCTTTTCTACTTTCTGCCTGGCCATTCTGTAAGCTGCACACTCTTGCTAAGCAATGTGTGTGTGCTCCTGGTGTCATCAGAAGCCCAGTCCTGTGGCAAACACTATCCAGAACTCAGAGCTACACATACCCCTGGGAAATTCCCATGGGCTTGTCAACTCAACAGTGGGGAAACAGGGCCTCGGGACAACCAAGAATCCTGGCCTTTGAGTCAGAGTTGGTCAACATGACTTGGGGAAGATATTAAATGTGGGAACCAAACCAAAATGACATAAGTGGTCTAGCAGTATCTAGATACAAACAACACTGTCTGGGTTTGAAGGAGCCCCTGTGCCCATTGTCTCCTCCCTTGTTAATCAGAGAAATAATTGCCCACTTTACTCCCAGAGATGGGGTCCAAGTTAATGAGGAACTGTAGCAGCTACTTTTAATGCAAATTCTTGGAAACATTAGTAAAGTTGGAAAATATATGGGTCTTCCAGATTATGGAACATAGAAATAGGAAAAGGGAAAAAGGCAAAAGAAAGGAAGAGGAAGAAGGGAAATGAGAAGGTAGAAGACAGACATCCGTGGGGTTACAAGGTACCTTTTACCTAGGGCTGCAGTTTCACTTTAGGAGAAAACAAAAACTGGGCTTTCCTTTGAATGATGTTAAGGAAGTTACCAGCATGGTCCCTCTGTCTCCTCCAGGGAGCAGGGCCTGGCCGAGTCTCATTATACTGCAGATCACTGGTCTTGAGCCCAAGGCTTTACAAGAGAAGCACAAACCCCAACAATTACAAGGGACATTGCTTTCCCATCCTGGTCCCTCCCTACACAACAAGAAGAAAAACAAAACAAGCCCAGATCCTGTAAGCAGGACCCAAAGAAAACATTGTGATGATGGGCTTTCTTCAAGTAAGTGAGCTGACACAAAAGGAAAGGCAGAAAGCTCTTTCCGGCTCTCAGATTTCAAACCACCAGGGAATGTGTGCTGTTCCAGGGCCTCTGAGAAGCCAAAGGCTGGGTTGCACAATCAGCCCTGCTGCCCCAGGCCAAGCATGCTGGACACTGGTCAGTCAGGTGCCTCTCACCTGGACGGTCCAGCCTCCCTCTTTGCCTTCAGCTTCCTCTGGCCACAGGAAGGGCTCAGTGTCAAGGGCAACTTCTTCCTGCTTCGATTCTCAGGAACAGCCATCTGGTATTTGTCCTTCTTGTCTGGCGTCTTTCACTTAGCACACTGTCCTCTGAATTCACCCCTGTTGTCACAAACGGCAGGATGTCCTTCTTTTTTAAGGCTGAATACTACTCCATAGTACAGACATATGCACCAGACTCTAATGAAGTTGACCTCTTAGAAGCAGAAAGTAGAAGGGCAGTTACCAGGGGCTGGGGAGTAGGAAAAAACTGTGTGGATTTTGGTCAAAGGGTACAAATTTCCAGTGATAAGATACTTAAGTTCTGAGGATCCATGAACTGCATGGTAACTATAGTTAATAATACTGTACTGTATGTTGAAAATGTGCTAAGAGAGTAGAACTGAAGTGTCCTCACACACACAAAAATAATGGTAACCATGTGAGGCAGTGGAAGTGCTGATTAGCTTCATCTTGGCCGTCACTTCATGATATGCACATGCATCAAATCATCACATTGTACAATTAACTGTATACAAGCTTTATTTGTCAATTACATCTCAATAAAGCCAGGGGGTGGAGTCGGGAGGGAGGAACTTCTGTCTTGCTCTAGGTTTATGCAGTATCTTGTAAAGACAGCATGAGTCATCATCACTATCTGGCCCAGCCAAGTACTCTGGGGCCCTTTGTGCTGCAAATCGGTTCACACACACCAACCAGTGTCTTCTCATGATGCACAGCTGGAAGTAATTTCTTTTTAAGCTTTAAAAAAATTCAAGACACAGCTTATCCTTGGTGTCCACCCGCAGGTAGTCAGGCCCTGAGAACATGTCACCTGTGGGCAAACGCTAACTTTCCCAAGACCAGGATTAAGTGTTGAGTGGGAGGTGAGGCCTTTGTCCTGCCCCTCTCTCCCTGTGTGGACCGACTGACCAACCCGCCAAAACACTTTGAGAGCCACTAGACATAGTAGCTTACTTCTTCTCATGCAGATATTCCTTGGAGGAGCCTGGTGTATTTATTTTAAGAGTTGCTTTCAGAAACAGAGGACCTCTCTTCTGTTTCACAAAATACATGTCACAGAGAAGAACAAACCCACCCATGGCCAGCCTCTGGCTGTGTAATTGCTACTCTGCACAATAGGAAATGAGTGGCCACGGCACAGGTAGCCCATTTGGGAGTCGCCTAGAGCCCTGTCCCTACAAAGAAATTATAACGTAGCAAAAAACCAGAGGCTCCCTTCCTTGAATATCCAGGCTTAGGCCTAGAGCACGGAAACAAGACCAGTGTAATTACCTCGCATGCATAATCACTGCTGAGACCTGAGAACAGAGGCCGGGCCCTGCCTGGCCTTCGGCTGTCTGGCCATAAGCAAGCAGCCACTGAAACCAGGCAGCTGGGGTGCAGGGTGTTTGTGTGTGTGAAATGGCTCTGCTGCCCCGAAGCAAGGAGCAGGGAGATGGCTTTTCCCTGTGTGGCTTACCTGGGTCAGAATCAACAAGCAGGAGCATAAAACAGAGATCAGACCCCAGGAGGAAATGACAGCCAGGCCCACTTTGTGTGCACGAGTGAGGGTAGGCATGGGGAAGATTCCTGTTTGCTTGTCCCTTTTAAAAAAGCAAAACCGGCACAAGACTGTGGTCAGGAGCTCAGTATACAGGAAGGGGCCGAAGTCTGACAGCCTTCCTCAGAGCCCCGGGTGGCCTGGGGAGGAAGGCATGCTGCCCTGAGACTGCTGTGCAGGGATCCCTGGAATTCTCCTCCAGCATTAGCTGTGGTAGAAGGGACTTTTCTATTTTGTGATTCAATCTTTTAGTTAGATTGCTTGGGGGACTTGATACTAGGAAAATTTTAATGGTTTTACCTAAACAAGGGATAACCTTGTTTTGGAAGCTTATGATATGGAGGAAAGAGTTAACTGTAAAATCGGCAGGCCTGGGGAAAACAAAACCAACCAAGCAGTAGCCAGGGTGGGTGCAGGGCTGTAGCCAGAGCTCCGGGCTGCCCCACGGCACTCCCACTGCGTCAGGGAAGCCTTTTCTGGCCTCCTAGTTAGGAGGCATCTCCTATTACACACTCTTGGAGCATTTTGTAATTCTTCTGAGAGTTTATTACCCTAGCCAATGAATAATTGTGGAATTACTCAATGTTGTCTCCCCCTCTGGAACATGATACAAATGTCAGCTCCATGCCTGACTTGTTTGTTGCGGGATTCCCTGCGCCTAGACTAGTGCTTTGCACATGCAAGGAGCTCATATTCATTGAATAACTGGATGGGAGGGTGGATGGGTGGGTGCATGGATAAGAATGAATGGTTGGATAGGTGGATGGACAGATTGAACAGACAGGCAGGTGGATGGATAGATGGATAGAAAGATGGATGAATATAGATGGAGATAGATGGGTAGATGGATGAATGGGCATGTGGGTAAATGATTGCAGAAATGCATAAATGAATGAGTAGATAGATGAATGGGTGGGTGAAGTGGATGGGTAGATGAATGGATGAGTGGATGGGTGGATGGGTGGATGGATGGATGGATGGAGCCCACAAGGTCATTAAAGCATTTTGTTCTCTAACTTCTGAACTGAACTCCACTGGTTGTCTATAATAAGAGCTTTTACAGAGGGAGGTTGAACACCCAAGCATGTTGGACATGAGTGACAGCAGCTAGCATGGTATCTCTGCCCTAGATGCACTGATGGCAGCAGAGAGCTCTGTCCCTTGGGAGGGCATTGTGCAGGGCTATCAGGCAGTTTCCTGGGCCCTGTCTGCAGAGCCTAAACAGATCACATCTGGCCAGTCTCAACAGGGCCTCCTTACCCTATAAACCATGCATGTATTTATGTAACACTTCAGGCCTGATGGAGACCAGATGTGACCAAATGGTGCTTTATGCGGCCCAGGAATGCTGAAATACCAACATAGACATCTTTTATGGCTGCTCTTGCTCAGCAATCTCTCTTTAAATCTTAGGTTTGAGCCCTGATATACAACCATTAACTTCATTCTTCTGTGAAACAGAAACATCTGGCAACATCTATTTGATTTGTTATCCTTATAAGAGAAATACAACTATGTACAACTTCTATTCTCAGTTAGTGTAGTACAGTAAAAAGAATGTTGATGGGGAGGCAAGAAACCCAGACCCAGCTCCGCCCTGTACCTCCCTTACTGGCTGGCCTTGGGCCAGTTGGTTCTCACCAGGACTCAGTTTTCCATTGGTAATTTCAAGAGCTATCATTTATTAAACACTTCCTGAGTTCTAGGCACCCTACCTTGTGCTCAGTAAAAGCTACAGATCATTGCCACAACTACACCCCTATTCAAATGTACAAATGGATACATAGGCGTGAGTTTCCAATACCCATCATCCTTAGGAGGCAGATCCCAGTCTCAGTCTTCTGACTCCAAAACCACCTCTTCCCATTAAACCAAATGGCGGCTTTCACCTGCAAATAAGGAAGTGCAGCTGAATTGCTATTTTCTGAATTTGTGTTCCTTGGACACTTCTGTTGGGAGCGACTAATAAGTCTTTTGACCCCTCTCCAAAGAATGTGTGTTTAGGGACACTGAGGAAGTGTCCCTGAACACACATTTGGGATTTTGGATGCCCACAGAACATTACAGATGCTACAAGAATTTAAGCCTGTTTACTGTGGGGTTTCCTCATTGGGCCGCTAGAATGCCTTTGTCCCCTGAAACTCCTATTAATATCTTGAGGATCACTGATGCACATTCATACAAAAATGTTGATTGAATAGGTTTCATGCTCCTGGCAGGACAGGCTGTGTCTCTGCACTCAGGGAGCAGCCACCTTACTGACCCAGGTGCAGCTCAGCCCTGATTGCCCCTTCTATACTTTCCTGTTTATACAGAGCTCCTCCCTTCTCCCTCCATGGATGTATTTACAATGTAGAGATGCTGTTAATACTGTCGGCTGCTGCTACTTGAGAAAGCTCACCACACACTTTCCATGGGGATTGGGAATGGAGTTGAGCAGCCCCATTTAGTTTCACCAAGAGTAGTGGGACCTTGTGTACTTGTTTTAAAGTCTCACTCCCTGAAAGGGCCAGAACTGGATTCTGAGTGACATCTACCCAGTGCAATTTCTCCATTGAATAGAAAGAAATGTGCAAAACATTCTAATTATGCTTTTACAACAAGCTTTTTAAGAAAAATTACATTGCAAAGACCCAATCAGTGCAAAACTTGCCCTGAAGTTCCTTACAGTTTAAAATCACCATATCCCCTCTGCCCCTTCAGCTTCCTTCTGCAATTTAGGGTGCTCGTGACGCAGAAGGGTTAGGGGCTGCAGGAGGTCCACGTGCTTTGGCTCTGATCACAGACTGCAGCTGTAGCTTCATCTCTGTCTCTGCTCTACTTAAGGACAGCTGCCCTCAGAATGCCAGGCTGGAACATCTAAATTCTACTAAAATGATCACTCACTCAGAATCAACAGCTAGGAAGAGGCCACAGAGCAGAGCCCTTGTTAATTTGGAACATGCCAAACTGCAAAGATGGTCCATAATGCCCCAGCAGAGCGTGTGAGAGCCCAGCATCGGATTTGATGCCACCTGCCCAAGGCCCAGGCCAGTGCAGCAGCGCTTCCTCAGATGGGTGTGGGCTTCGGAGCCCTGAAACGCTTCCCAGCCCAGAAGCAATAAAGCCCCAGTATGTCCTTTTCTGCAGGCCAGCACCCTGTCCACAATCCCGAGGGATGAGGGATGGCCGCGTCATCTCCCACTAACAGCGAAGCCCAGGGTGTGCAGTTCCACCCCCTTCCTAAGATAGATGTGAATTTAGAAAACCAAGAAGAGAGCCTCTTGCCTCCATGCAGCACTTCTGAAAACAAGCAAAGCATTTCAGGGGAGGAGCAGCAGGCGGCTCTGGAGCTTTGCACAAACCAGCCGGGAAGGCTTTGACTGGAAGGCAAGCAGGGCTACCTTTTGCCATGATGATCTTTAGAGGCCCACGTTTCTTCTTATCCTTTCTTTAAAAACAAAAACAATACTATTATTTCTTAATTGTCTGAACTCAAACAAATTAGAGTCCAGGGCCAGGTGCAGTGGCTCATGCTTATAATCCCAGCACTCTGGGAGGCCGAGGAGGGCAGATCACAAGGTCAGGAGATCGAGACTATCCTGGCTAACATGGTGAAACCCTGTCTCTACTAAAAATATAAAAAATTAGCCAGTTGTGGTGGCGGGTGCCCGTAGTCCCAGCTATTTGGGAGGCTGAGGCAGGAGAATGGTGTGAACCCGGGAGGCGGAGCTTGCAGTGAGCCAAGATCACGCCACTGCACTCCAGCCTGGGCAACAGAGCGAGACTCCGTCTCAAAAAAATAAAAATAAAAATAAAAAATAAGAGGCCAGTTTGCCCAGATAGGATTTTATAAAATGTTTCCTAGCAGTTAAAGAAGTCTATTTGTCTTTAATTTTGTTACTTTCCTCTCGTGACTTCCTGGGGAAAATGTGCAGAAGCAGAAGTGTGCTGCTTGACGGAATTAAACATAAAATTCCAACTCCATCAGATGGGCTTTGGAATCAACCAAGGATGACTTACGGGAGTCTCAAGTTTATCCAAATCCAGTGTGGTTTTTTGTTTGTTTGAGCTTAATTTTTCTCTTATTATAAAAGTTAACCAGGTTATAAAATAAAACCTGGAGAATATGAAAGGTATCAAATACAAGAATAGAAATCACTTGTGATAACCCCATCGTATCTATTTTTTTCTAAAAGAAATCTTGACTGCTTGAAAGAAAACTCAGAATCTCTGTGAAACGCCCAGTCCGAGTCATCTGCAGCATCCAGAGGGTGGGGCTTTAAGTGTTTTTTGGCATTGAAACTGTGTTTCTGGTCATGAAAGAGGAGAGCTGAACAGCATTTTATATGAATTTGATTCCATGCCCAAATTGCTACACTCACCCTCTGTGTCTCCGGAAAACTGCCAGCTTGGTCTCAGCTGAATCGTTAGCAAAAGTTTCACTTAATCCCAGCACCAGGCATGAAGAGCTGCTTGGCACTCCCACCCTTCAGATGTGGGCAGGGAGGCCGGTGTGAGACATTCAGTTCTGCAAGCAGAGTGACCCAGAGGGCCAGACAGTTTGAGACCGGACACTGACCCATAATCAGCCTGAGCAAGGCTTCCAGGGTCAGGCAGTGGGCTCAAGGTAACAGTGGCTCATCTCTGCTCCTGACCCCTCAGAAATCAGGAGAAGCACAAAACCCCTAACTGCAATAAGAATGGACAGCACCTCATCCCTGAAAGACCTTCAGTGATCACCATATTCAAAACTGCAGACTCCCGCCCGGCAGGTGCTTCCCAGCTCCAGCTTCCCCACTACAATCGCCTCCTTGCCCACACGCCTCTACCTCCTCATGAGGTTCTGGCTACCTTGACCTCCACCGGAATGAACGGATGTACCCAGAGAGGCAGGGGCGTGGGCCTGTTTTATTTATGTCTTTATTCTCAGAATCTAGAATACCACCTGGAAAAATAGGTGTCCAATAAATGAGGAATAAACAAATAAATGAATGAAACGCATTATTCTCTTAGAAAAGGACAAAGACAACAGAAATTTCAGGAACGAGAGCAAAAGATCTGCAGATAGTCACAATCCAGAGTTCACCTTCTGGGAGGATAACAAAAGCAATGCATTTGTTTCTGAAAAGGAAGGTTTGTCTTCTAGCGGCACACAGACTCCCACAGAGAAAAGGATGTGATCTTGGCATACCACTTGGCCTGAATCGTGAATAAGATTGACATAAAAATTATGATGCATCCACACTGCACTAATGTATTTTTGTTGTTGTACACATATTTTATTTATAATTATGATAACAAATTTATGTGTGTCTATGTCTTCCACTAGACTGTCAGTACAAGAGGCAGAGATTTCTTTTATATCTTGTGCAAACTCTAATTGCTGGTATGTAAAAGAGTATATAGATAGACACACAAAATACTTTTGAAAAACTAAACACTCGCCTACAACTCAACCGCAAATATCCAATACAGCATCCCAGGTGTCCCACTTATTTGCTTCCTGGGGCTGCCACAACAAAGAACCACACAAGGGGGCGCTAAAACAACAGAAATCTCTTATCCCACAGTTCTGGAGGCTGGAACCCCATGAGCAAGGTGTCAGCAGGGTTGGTTCTGCTAAGGACTGTGAGGAAAAATGGGCTCAGGCCTCACTCCTTGCCTTGCAGGTGGCAGTCTTCTCCCTGTGCCCTCACATGGTCATCCTTCCATGCATGTGTCCTCATCCCCTCTTCTTGACAAGGACACCAGTCATATTGCGTTAGGGTCCACCCTGACAGTCTCATTTTAATCACCTCTTTATCCTATCTCCAACTCCAGTCATATTCTGAGGTACTGGGGTTAGGTGTCCAACAAATGAATTTGTGGGGAAGTCACAATTCACCCATAACCCCCGGCCCCTGCGTAGAGCATCCCCCTCCAACTCTGAAGCTGATGAGGTGTTCACTCCCAACCCATCACTTGCACAGGACGCTTCTAAGGCCATAGGTGGGACCCCCAACAACGTGTTTGCGTGTTCTTGCTTCTGTGAGATTTGAAAAGAGCAGTGTTGTCATGGCAACTGGTTTCCAATGCTCATTCCCACTGCCCTTCACTCACACTGTCCCTCATGTTGGGGGACATCAGAGTGGCCGCAGGCATTTCGAGATCCAGCTAATGGGAAGGTTCAAGGGACATGCTTAATTGGACTGTTGGGGATATTTTCACAGCTTAGTCACTTCCATGTATAAGTAACTTACTGCTAGCCAATCCAGAGGAACGACTTCGTGGAATGGTACCCTGCAGACTGTGCCAGTCCTCTCGTGTCTCAGTGTGAAGGTACTCTTATTTCCTACAGCTCCATACATGTGGGTGGTGGAAGAGAAACATGCTTCAAAGGGCCAGGAGCTAGTCTATAGAAAATTATCTCAGTCTTTACATTTATAAGGAGTAAGCAGTTCTCACTGATGTCTAGGCAAAAGCTAAGTTTTCTGGTCAGGAAAATGCTTAAAGTGCAGTAAATTTAATTATAAACACAACATATTTTTCTCCATTTTGATGAAAGTCACGTGCAATAAAACTTATCAGAACTCCTCTTTTGTCAGGCAAAGCACCATAGCATTACTTTTAAAAGGCACATCTTACCCACCACAGAGTAGCAATTGGCAAATTAGGAATTCTAATGAATCTTGTCCTCAAGAAGTAGACAGTTCCTGATGAAACACGCAAATCACCACCAATGCAGTACAATTCCTCAAGAAGCAAGTATTTCAGAGGTGTGTCAACTTATAAAAATGTTATTTTTATGATACTGTGAAATCCATGGTATTTGTTCAAAAATACATAATTTACTGTGATTTCTTTTCTCATTCTAAGTAACCTTTCTCAGGTGAGTTTGCCTTTATAATGTTATGTCCTGGATCTGCCCCCACCTGGCACATTACAATTCCACATCCTTAGTAACCATGTATTTCAAGGATGTAATGTCCTCCCTACATTTGGGGATCAACCATGTGACTGGGGTCCAGGGAGTGGCAGGAGCTGAGACGGACTGGGGGCAAGAGACCACAGCACAAGGAAGACTCAGCTAGATGTGGCAAGGCCCCTGAACCGAGTGACTTATGCATCCTGAATACCATTTGCACCTTGTGTCCACAGATGGCTCTACCACATACAAAGGGCACATCCCTGGGCTGATCTCATTGTCCTGGGAGCCTCGTTTCTTTATTTCTGGAAAGCAGGCAGTGACTGTAAGTAGCTTCATTGGGTTTGGGTGAAGATTAAGTGAGAACAAAATATGACTGTGCTTTGGAAGCTCACATGTGCATTTGACATAAAGGGTTGTTTTTCCAACTGTGGGGAGGTGTGCAAAAATGTGCATTTTTAAAATGATTATTAGCAAATTTGTTTCTGGGTAGAGCAACAGTGAGAAATTGGGGAAGAGAGAGGAGAGAAATGTCAAGATAGCCAGGAGGGAGGGCCAGTGCTTCAGAGATCTTGGTCCTAGAGCACCCTGGGGTGTGGCCATCAGAAAGGGGTAAGACAAAGAGATTCCAGAGAGAAGCTATCTCTATCTAGACAGGAGGCTGGGTGGCCCCCTGTGCCCCAGGCAATGATATCTGGACGACCCCTAATATGATTAGCTTCTTAAAAGCCCTTTTAAAAATGTGTTCAGCTGGAAAATAAACTCTCTTCCATGGTTAAAAAAGACAGAAAGTCCGACTTTTAACTGGCAGATGGCTCACTTAGATTCCGACAAGGCCCGTTTGAACTCATGCTACTTAGAGATGCATAAATTGTTGTTTTTGTTTTCTCCCATTAACTGCTCAGGATTGCAAAATGAGGGATAGTTAGCAGAAATCATTTCACCGTTAATGAAGCATACATTAAAACATTCCATAATGTAAAAATATATCAAAACATTACACTGTACCCAAATATATACAATTATTATTTGTCAATTAAGTAAGCTTAAAAATGTGAAATAAAAACAGACATTTGGAATTTGGGGGCAGGGGAATAGGATGGGTTAAGTGAAAAAGTGATGCTTTACGTAAGAATCCTAAGTCTGAACTTTGAGAGACTGCACAATGGAAAATGCTGGAAAGTCCCCAGTGCTCTGGATCATGTAGGATAAAACTGGTTTCTGAAATAATTGGGCCCATGTGTTGTTATCAGAGACCTAGATCTTTTATTGACATTCTTTCTGTTAAAAAAAAAATGTGCAGCCTAATACTTGCAAAGGAAATGTGATTGCTCCATTTGCATTTCTGTCCATACCACATGGAAGTCATTTTAAAGTAAGTGGTTTAGAATTAGGGCGGGAAAGGAGTTCCAGCTTTTACATCAGAGGGGGCAACCTCTCTCTGCTGGTGCCGTCCAGCAGTCAGGCTCCTTCCATTGTAAATAAGCCATGCCCTGCTACAGGAGAGTTCTTGAAGTTGAGCCCAAACCAGCGTCGTCTTCATGTCACTCACTCCTTCGATTGAAAAATTATCTGCTGCTTAATCCCAAAAATATCATCACAGGTGCTAAAAGATGAATGAAGAAACATATAAGAGAAAGTTAAAATCACCTGGACAGACCATCAATGGCAAAACCTTCCAACACAGGATGGTTCCCAACAATTGTGGTTGTTTACATTTTTCTAGGAAAGAAAAGAATCGATTTGAGAACTCTCTGGAGAAATTCTTCTAAAGCAGAATCTTGTGTCCAGAGAAACTTTAATTTCTTCTTTAAATGCCCACATTTCAAAGGATTACTTAGGAAAAAAGGTAAAACAAAAAACAACTACAAAAAGGCTTTTTCTGTTATCAAATTTATGAAATCCTAATACACATTAAAAATATTTCAAAAACTTGTTTCCACCCCTTCACTTAAAATATTGTGTATAGGCTGAAGTAGTTAACAAAGGCTATTTTCAGGAATCAAATCCCATCCTGAGTGCTGTACTGGGCGTTGTGAAATGCACAGGAAGCAGCTGTAGACTCCACGCGGTCGCCTGCCTGGTCTGGGAGCATCCATGGGCCAGGGCAGCATACGTGGCATAGGGGCAGGCTCCAAGCCAGCCCCCCGCCTCTGACCTGCCTGCACATCATCTGTGAAATGAGGACACTGCTTAGGGCTTTCGGAGGGTAAATGGGTCAATCCATGGAAAGTTGTCTGGGCAGTACCTGACACAGTAGCAAGTGCTAGCCGCTGACTGCTTTTACCCGTTTCTGTTCAGTTACAGGGAACTGTAAATTATTCAGGGACCCATTCTTGGATTGTACATTAGTCTGGCGACATTTTCAGCATCCTGTTTTGGGCTTTTTAGGTAAGTTTGCTACTTTTTGAAAATATCATCTGGGACAGAGAAAAAAATGAAACTTAATGGAATCCATTTTTCTTCTTTGTAGAAAAAACAAATGGGCCAGGAATGAAGCCTCTCAAAATAAGCCCAGAGTGGTGAGTGGCGTGGTTGGATGGCCCTGCCAGCCATGCAACAGGGTCTGCACTCCATCTGAAGAGCACGGTGGACCCCCTGGAGGATTTCCAGCAGAGGCGTGCTGGCTTTGTGTAGTCAGGGGATGTGGCAGAAAGCCTCCAGGATGGCCCCTGGTGATCTGCAGATCCTGGAATTCATGCCTTTGTGTGATCCTCTCCCTTTAGTGCAGACTAGACTTAGTGACTTGCTTCTGATGAATACAATACAAGCAAAAGAATGGGATGGCCCTTCTGAGATTAGGTTACAAAAGGCCTGTGGCTTCTGTCTTGGCTTCTCTCTCTCACTCTACCCCTTGCTCACTCCAAAGGAAGGGAGCTGCCATGTGGTGAGCTGCCCTGTGTAGAGATCCATGGGTCAAGAAATTGATGTTTCCAGCCAACAGCCAGCCAAGACCTCAGGGCTGCCAACAGCCACGTCAGTGAGCTTGGAAGTGCATCCTATCCGAGTTGAGCCCGCAGATCACTCAGCCCCAGCCAACCCCTTTGCTGCATCCTTGTGAGAGATCCTGAGTCAGGCACCAGTGAAGCCTTGCTCAGATTCCTGATCCACAGACATGGTAAAATGAACGTTTGTTGTTTTAAGCCACTAAGTTTGGAGCTAGTTTGTTATGCAGCACTAGAAAACTAATACAATTACTCTGGCTAGTGTAGATACTACATTGGAGAGAGGAGGTAAGACTGGAAAGAGCTGCAGTAGCTATAACTCTATGAGAAAATTAGTAGCCATAACAGTAAGAGTGTGGACTGGGTGTAGTGGCTCATGTCTAAAATCCCAGCATTTCGGGAGGCTGAGGCAGGTACATTGCTTGAGCCTAGGAGTTCAAGACCAGCCTGGGCAGCAGGCTGAAACACCATCTCTACAAAAACTACAGAAACTAGCCAGACATGGTGGTTAACACCTGTACTCCCAGCTGCTTGGGAGACTGAGGTGGAAGGATCACTTGAGTCCAGAAAGTCAAGGTTGCAGTGAGCTGAGATCGTGCCACTGCACTCCAGCCTGAGTGACAGAGCAAGACCTTGTCTCAGTTAAAAAACAAAACAAAACAAAAAATTCCCACAAGCAAAATAAGCTTTCTTTTGCCATCTTCCATCATTGCCAATGGCATTCATCCAAAGTGAAATTCAATAAAGATTCTTTGGTTGGTTGCACTATGGTACACTCAGGGTAGTATGTGGTTGATTTAATCCAAGCACAGATGTTGGGTATGTAAGAGGAAAGTTGGGCTACATGCCCATCCTTCACTTAGCTTTTCCCGTGTTGAGCAGCACTAAGTTCAAGGCCATACCCCTTGGCTGGAGCTGGAGGGCACTGCTTGTCTGTGAACATCTAAGTGTCAACCTGGGCAGACAGACTGTTCACCACTGTCACATTAGAAGGGATGTTGGAGTGGAAAGAACATTCTAGAGACAGCAAACAAGTAATTCTGGACTCACTCCAGCTCCCAAAGTTCTATAACATAAGAGGTGATCTGGAGGTTAGCCTCAAAATATCTTTTTCTTTACTTTTTAAAAATTAATCTTTTAAATAGAAACGAGATCTTGCTATGTTGCCCAGTTGGGTCTCAAACTCCTGGGCTCAAACAATCCTCCTGCCTCAGCCTCTTGAGTAGATAGGATTACAAGTATGCACCACCCAGCTACTATTATCGCTTCTAAGTTTTTAAAGCAAGTGTAACAAAAGTCAAGAGTGCAGCTGCTGATGTCGGAATTCCTATATTTTTTCCCAGCAGAGTCCAAGCCTGATCCTCTTTGGGGACCTGACTGGTCAGGTTCTGTTTAAGCAGCTTCACCTTCAGAGGAATACAGGGCAGTCCAGTCTCACTTTGGAAAACTTCTCCATGGAGGACATATTCTAGTAGATTTTTTTGAATCCAAGTGATAAACAGAGAAGAGGAAAAGCAAGTAGATTAGTATTTATGAGGGAGGAAGTAGTGCAGGAGATGGCCATGGAAGCCCACTTCTGGCTCCAAGGGTCTGGTTTGTAGCAGCCTGATCCTGCTGATGCCCGATTGGAAAGTTGGACAAAATGCCAAAGGATCTGTCTGAAGACACCTGGTAGCTAGAACTTGGCCAATGTCTCAAGGAAAGAGGAGCACATTGATATGAACCAGTGGGTACCTGACACAAAAGCAACCCACATTGCAAGTGTTCAATCGCCACCTACAGCTACTCTACTAGACAGCAGAGATAGAGCTTCTACAGTTTCCTATATACAATATCTACTATGCAATGAAAACTTTCCAGGCATACAAGAAAGTAGGACCAAAAGAAAAAAAAAATAGGTAATAGAAACAGATCCCGATATGAGAATGATCAAAAATAGATTTTTAAATAACTAAGATTCATATATTCAAGAAATTAGAAGACAAATGTGAATTCAGCAGAAAACTCAAATCAATAAACCAAATGAAAATTCTAGAACTGAAAAATGCGATAACTGAAATTAAGAGCTGAATAGATAGATTTAACAGCAGATTAGTCACAGTCAAATAAAAGATTAGGAAACTGAAAGATTGGCCAATAGAAAAATCCAGAATAAAGAATAGAGAATTTAAAAGGGTATAAAATACCAAAAAAGTATATAAGAAACAAATGTGACATGATGAAGTAGTTTAATATATATACAATTGAAGTGCTACAAGGGAAGGAGAAAGAGATTATGGTGGAAACAATATTTGAAGATTTCTCAAATATCATGAAACCCATAGAAGCAAGAGGTTCAGTGAACCACAAGCAGGGTAAATACAAAGAAAACCATACCTAGAGAACATCATGGTAAAATGCTGGAAATCAACAACAGTGATAAAAACCTTTAGAGCATCCAGAAAAAATTTAAAGGGCATATTAACTTCAAAGGGGCAACAGTAAGACATATACACAGCTGATTTCCCAGCAGAAACAGTAAAAACAGAAGATAATGGCATGACATCTTCACAGTCCTGAAAGGAAATGTCTGTACAGAATAAGCAAGCAGGAGAAGAGAGATCTGAGGCTGTTTACTTCTACAAAAGAAAAATAAACCCCTGGTTGTCTATCAATTACTTATACTGCTTTAATGGGAGTTTTTATTTTTCTGTTTTCACCTTTTTGGATCTTTACTGCCTATTAATTTTTTGTTCTGCTTACGTAACTGAGATAAAGCATTACATGTATTCTAATTCCAAGGAAATAAGTTAATATGTTTTCCTAATGAAGTCTTCAATCTCATTTTTTAAAACTATATTTTATTAGTGGAACTTTCCTCCCATCAAACGCTTACAAATGAATGAGGTCATTGCCTACATTAACTACACATTCCAGTGACTAATTAGAGTGGTATATAGTTTCTTTCCTCCTGCCACACTAAAGTATTTCATTTGCATGGCTAGTGAAATCATTAAGAGTCCCAGAATTTTAATTAAGGCTGTCTGAGTAGGAATCCTGCCTCCACCGCCTACTCACTGTGTGATCTCAGGCAACTTCATGTCTCCAAACCTTGTCCTTTCACAGAGGACAATCATAGCCATTCCTAGGAATTTGTGAGACATATATGAGATTATGCATGTAAAATTCTTGGCACAGTGGAGATTCTGTTTTCTCCAAAAGACATAGGACCCACATGTTTCCAATAAAACTTGGCAATACTAGCAGAAAAAGCAAGTTCTTTTGGCAAACATACACCATCAGTAACGAGCTGACGACACCCATGACAAGGCATGCCCACTGTTACAAGGCCTGCTCCCCTGGGACAGCCGCGCTTTGAACAGGGTCGATGTGTCCCAGACAGCAACAGATGGTTTGTAAAATTGGGAAAGGAAGGGAAGAAAGGTTGTTAAAGCAACCCCACTTTGTGAAATGTCTTCACCCTCAGGGAACACTGAGTAATCCCGGGCACCCCCTGCTTCCTGGGATCTCTAACACCTCCCCACTTCAACCTCTGCAGAGTGAGCATGTCTGTTTGAAAACTGAGCTTCCCCCTCTTCCTGAGTAATCTGGTGCAGTCACATGAAAGTAAAGCCTAGTTCTGGCTTTGGGTTTCTGGTTCTTTCATCCCTTGCCCCATCCCTAAAGCTCCATTTCTTCCCCCACAATCACGAAAAATGAATTAAAGATGAGAGTGGGGAGCAGTGGTGGTGAATTCTTAAGCAATCCTTTCAAGAACTATTCTTGGGGAGAGGGGGTTAAAGGGTTCTCTAAAGTTCATTTTAATTTCCTTGGAATCACTACAGAATCCAGAGAAACATTATATGATTTTTAAAATAATCTTTTTCAGAAACTGATAGGCAACACATACAAGGATTAGATTCAACTTTGTGATTCTAATTTCTCTAAACAGCATGTCATCTGAAATGTGATATGGAAAATCTAAGTTCTAATTTTATTCAACTAGATAATGCATACTTAGGATCTGGCTCTTTCCTTATTATCTTTTCATTGGTGAAGTATTTCCATCTTTTATGGAAGCATAATGCAGAATACAGAAAATATACATATCAAAACTGTGTATGTGTATACAAGTATACCCTTGATGATTTTCTCAATGAAAATTCCATGTAATTCATTAAAATAGTAACCTACCACATTACTGTATCTTCAGGTCCCAGGGCCTGGAAAGCTGAGGGGCATGGGTTTCATTCTGCTAACCCCCTTCCATCTCACCACTGCTTAGCCTCCACCCAAAAGCCTCTACTTTTATCTGTTTTAAGGATTGGGGTTGGGCACTAGATTTTCTTGTGGGAAAAGGAGAGGTTCTCATGTAAAAAAAAATAGTTTTAAAGTTAACAATCTCATCCTGAGATTCAGGGTTCCTTCCTGTTCATAGCTCAGGACGTGGGACGTGCTGTCCCAAGACAAAGATGCTAAGCCAAGACCAGGTGGCAGGTGGGGCTCCAGGGTGAACATAGGGTCCAACATGGGCAAGAGACCTCAATGTGGAAGCAGGGCATGTCCCAGCACCAGATCTATGGGTGAGCCCCTGGTCAAGAGTCAAAAATGGACAAGATACCAGCATTGGAGCAAAGACTTCATTTGTCTGAGTCATTTCCTTCAAGAGTGGTTTGCGTTATGCTTTTGCAAAATGTCCTGGTCTTCTCCAGAACCTGCAGGTTAAATCCATGGAGTTATTCAAATCCAAAGCTCGCCACTCCATTCCAGGCAACAGCTGTGGGAAGTTTCAGCTCCAGGTCTCCGCATCTGATTCAGCCAAATTCCCAGAAATGGTGCGGGTACTTCCCAGGCAACTGGATCCTGTGCCCAGCTCTCCAGAGTAGATGTCATTCTGTTCTCTGTCGTGGAATGCAACTTTACCCTTGCCCTCAATTTCTCCACACTGAATGTCCTCATCTACTGTTCCCTCCATGAACTTAGGGATGTGTTTCTTGGCTCTGAGCCTGTGAAGCACTTCTGTTGTGATGTTATAACCTCTTGAGTGTGTTGTTTCCTCTGTGACTCTTACATATACCTTCCCCCACAGGCCTCCCCACAATTGCAAGAATATGCACTTAGTTGTACTGCTTTTCTATTTTGCTTTCCCATAGCCTTTCCTCTCCCTTGGAGAGTAGTTTTCTCTAATGACATTTGAAGGCATGCTTTCTTTATTCTGTTTTTCAGAAAATAATTCTGCAATTCCTTTGGAGGCTGCCGTCTGAAATGCATTTGTACTGCCCTGTTTTTATCCTTCTGCCTCCTACAGCACATAGAAAATTAATCATTCGATTCCTCCCAGTTGTTTTTTGAGAGACCACAGTCTCCAAACACTAAAATAGGCCCCGTAAGGATAATATAAAGGACACAGGAGATGAGATGTGGTCCTTGCCCTTGAGTAAATGGTAAGAGAGCTGGAAGAACTCTGTTGATCAATACCGGATACAGCCAGGATGCAGCTCAGTATTAAATCATTCCTTCAGGCTGGGCTCAGTGGCTCATGTCTGTAATCCCAGCACTTTGGGAGGCCAAGGTGGGTGGATCACCTGAGGCCAAGAGTTTGAGACCAGCCTGGCCAACATGGTGAAACCCCATCTCTACTAAAAATACAAAAAAATTAGCCAGGCATAATGGCGAGTGCCTGTAATCCCAGCTACACGGGAGACTGAGGCACGAGAATTGCTTGAACCCAGGAGGCGGAGGTTACAGTGAACTGAGATCACACCACTGCACTCCAGCCTGGGCGACAGAGCGAGACTGTCTTGAAGTAAATAAACAAACAAACAAACAATCATTCCTTCAGTTCCCAGAGCCCTTGAGTAGCATCTATGGAAGAATGCTTTCTGCAGCTCCTACTTTTTAAAAAAGGAGTTTTCACCACTTTTCCAGTAACTTTGAACCATTACCTCAACAGTCTGAACCATAACAGAGTCTCAAGTAAATGTTTTGGACAAACAAATGGGTGGGTGGATAGATAGATGGATGAATGGATACTCATCCATAAATACATGGATAGGTAGACGGATGGATGCATGGATGGGTGGATTGATAGGTGGATGGATGAGTGGATGGATGAATGGGTGGATGGATGAATGGATGGATGGACGGGTGGATGGGTAGGTGGATGGATGGATGGATGGATGGATGGATGGATGGATGGATGAATGGATGGGTGGAAGGATGGGTGGATGATGGGTGGATGGATGAATGGACAGGTGGATGGGTAGATGGATGGGTGGATGGGTGGTTGGATGGATGAGTGGATGGATGAATGGGTGGATGGATGGGTGGACAGATGGATGGATGAATGGATGCATGGATGGGTGGAAGGATGGGTGGATGGCTGAATGGACAGGTTGATGGATAGATGGATGGGTGGATGGATAGGTTGATGGATGAGTGGATTGATGAATGGGTGGATGGATTGGTGGATGGATGCATGAATGGATGCATGAATGGGTGGAAGGATGAGTAAATGGATGGGTGGATGGATGAATGGACAGGTGGATGGGTAGATGGATGGATGGATGAATTGATGCATGGATGGGTGGAAGGATGGGTGGATGGATGGGTGGCTGAATGAGTGGATGGATGAATGGGTAGATGTAGATGGATGCGTGGATGGATGGATGGATGGATGAATAGATGCATGGATAGGTGGAAGGATGGGTGGGTGGATGAGTGGATGGATGAATGAACAGGTGGATGGATGGATAGATGGATGGATGGATGGATGGATGGATGGATGCATGGATAGGTGGAAGGATGGGTGGATGGATGAGTAGATGGATGAATGGACAGGTGGGTGGATGGATGGATGGATGGATGGATGCATGGATGGGTAGATGCATGGGTGGATGGATGGATGGATGGGTTGGTGAGTTGGTGGGTGGATGGATGGACATATGGACAGGTGGATGGATATATGAGCTACTTTACTTGATGTTGGATATCCTACTTAAGAGACAGCTTGGTGCAGTAGCCTAGTGTGGCTGTGTAAATATGAAGAAGTTATTTAACCTTTGTTTCTTTTTTAACTCATTTGTGAAACAGAGACAGAACAGGTCCATGATCTCTTATATGCAATCCTTGTGGATTTGTTAGGGATTCAGACATTGTCAGATTTCAAAGGGGTGATGTAATTTATATATACCTCCAGCTGGGTCTGAGGCAGCACCACAAAACAAGAATACTGACTATTTTTATTGAGTAGTGTAAATAGTAACTTAATGGGCTAAAAAGAGACTGTAACCATCCTAAAGTCTTCTCAGTTTGGTTTTGCCACCAAATGAGATATGACCAACTTTTTAGTTTCCAGAGCATTTTGGATCTTAGCATTGAATGTAAGGAAATGTGAATTTGTCTTCTCTACATTTTAGAGCTTGTTTGGGGATTCCCGTAAGATTATAAGCATATATTGGTTGACTTGTTTATTCTCTACTTTCCCCACAGTATTAACTATAACCATCATAAAAGTGAGGGATGTGTTAGAAAAATTCTATGCCTACACCTGAGCAGGTGTTCAACGAAGGCAAGTGGTATGAAGCGTGGAGTGAGGGATGAAGTATCCTGACCCCTGCACTTCCCTCCCCAGTGCGCTGCTACTGCAGGCCTATGCTCTGAGCTCAGCAGCACATCAGTTTTTATATTCCTGAACCACTGCAGCACGTACCCCCATGGGCCACTTCCTTCTTCTGGAAGCACTCCCATTCCTTCCTTGCTTTCCACAGCATGACATCTTTTTGGTTTTTCTTCTTCATCTCAGTCTTCTCTTAGATTTCCTCTTCCTCCTTCTTGTCCCATAAATGTCAGTACTTTATAGATTTCCTCCCTCAGTCACCTCTCTTTGAGCTTGTGGAGAACTCTCTGCTGGTTACCTTGCCTGCTCTCTGGCTTTATTTATTGTTGCATACACTTAAGATTTTCAACCCAAATCTGTCCTTGAGCGAGGACTCTCATGAGCTTCAGGCTCAAGTGTGCATCACTTCTAGAATGTCTGAAAGCACCCTAATTCTAACATGCCCAAAAGAATTCACCTCATTTTGCCCAAACCTGATTCTCAACCTGTGCTCTCTTATCAATGAATGCACCATCATTCACCCAGGCCAGAACCTGGGAGGCATCTCTTCCTCTTTCCCTAAATGAGATCCATCCTCAATTCTCCAGCAATGCTGTGTTTATCCATCTCTCATTACATCTCTACTGTTCCTTTTACCTCCCTCATTCAGGTTCCTATCATAGCTTCTTTGATTTTCTGAAGCTGTTCTCAAGAGGTGATTCAGGGACCCCTAGGGATCTATCTCCAAGGTCCTTGCAGGCATCTACAACATCATATCATGCATGAATAAAACCCATTCAAAGTTCAAGAGAGATTAATGGTTTTCAATGTACAGAATTTAAGTGTACTGATATCGTTTCAGATTCCCCTTTGCAACTAACATTTAAGAAACTACCATCTGTTGAATATTGGTGTGGTATCAAAGAATAATATGCACAATTATCTGAAAAGACCATTAAAATATTTCTCCATTTTCCAAGTATACATCTGCATAAGTCTGGATTTTCTTTGCGTACTTAAACTAAAAAGCACTCACAGCAGACTGACAGTGAAAGCAAATGAGACTCTATCAGGCTTCCATTAGACTATACTTTAAAGAGATTTGCAAAAATGTAAAGCAATGGTATCCTATTATCCTAGATTTTTGGTTTTTGAAATAGAGTTCTGTTTTATAAAAAAATGTCAAGTTAACATGTAATGGTTTAATTAATGTTATTTTTAATGAGTTAAATACTTTTTAAATTTTCTGTTTCAATTTCTAATTTGGCAAATATTGGTAGGTACAACCACAAAACAAAAACTCTTTAGTATCCTCAATACTTTGTGTGTGTAAAGGAGCCCTAAGACCAAAATGTTTGAGAAACTTTCTTTGATTTACCAGAACAGCCTTGTGACCAGTCTCCTTCACCCCTGTTGAGCCCACCCTGCAGCCAAAGTGACTCTCCTGCAGGGCAATGTCATTAAACAACAACCGCTAATAAAACCCTTGAGAGGGTTCCCACTGCCCTGAGGATAGACAACAGGCAGGGTCCTCTACAACCCTGCAAACTTCCCTCTCTTCCTTCTCAATCCCCAGCCATGGGCCTTTGCACATATGTTCACTACCTCTAGAATGTTCTTTTCATTCTACCATCCCTTCTGTTTTCTGCAGAATAGGATCTATCATAAGGCCAGCTCCCTTAATGATGGTGGGATGCGTGTCAGCAAACCAGGGTATCACTTCCTTCTCATGCCAGATGGTTCAGTCTTTCTTCTCATATATTGCACAAAAGACCAGGGTTTCCCTCAGAAAGGAGTACATCGGTAGACCACCTACCACTGATGATCAATAGCTTTGATCCTCAAAAGTCCACAATAGATGACTCTCTTTTTATTAAATTAAATTTTATTTAAAACATAAAAATTAAATTACATTAAATTTTATTAAATCATCTCTCAAAATGTTTTCAAACATTTTGGTCTATCATCCACTGTACTTCCCTATCATAACACTTATCATATGAATAACCTGAAATTGCTCCTGTAATTATCTTTCTTTCATTTGATGCTAAGGATATGAGGTTGGGAACTGTGTCTGCCCTGTTTAATGCTATATGTCCAATACCTAGTGTAATGAAGGCTTTGCATAGACTAAACCAAAAATAAAATTCTAAGGCCCCCCTAACCATCGGAATCAAGCCCTCCTCTCAGCCAGGGTATTCCAAAGTTAACCTGAAAACTGGTTTAGGCCATGACGGGAAGGCAGGGTCAAACATGCCTCATTATGCCCTCCTTCCTCTTGGAATTCAGGAAAAGCCAACCAGCATTCACATCAACACAGACCTTAAGACTGTTAAGAAACATTTAGAATCTGTTCTCTCTGATAGCTGCTACCTGGAGGTTTCATGTGCATGATAAAACTTTGGTCTCCACAATCCCTTACTGTAACCCAGACACTCCTCTCTATTGATAATAATTCTTTCAACCAATTGCCAATCAGAAATTCTTTATATCATCTACCCAAAACCTGGAAGCCCTCTCCCTCTTAAAGTTGTCCCACCTTTTTGGACCGAACCAATGTATATCTCACATGTATTTGATTGCTGTCTCATGTCTCCCTAAAATGTATAATACTAGGCTGTGTCCCAACCACCTTGGGCACATGCTCTCAGGATCTCTTGAGGTCTGTGTGACAGGCCATTAGTCACTTATATTTGGCTCAGAATAAATGTCTTCAAATATTTTACAGTTTGACTCTTTTTGTCAACAATAGGTAGGTACATAATAAATGTTTATTGGTTAAAGAAAAGTAGATGAGGGAAAGCGAGACAAAATTGGGTCCTAGCAGAAATCAGAAGAATATCTGGAGAGAAAACAAAGGGGCATTTTTCTAATCTTAGAGAGGAGATTGAGGCCCTGCTCTGACTTTTCAGGTAGCGTTGCCGTGATTATTACTGAATATTGAAATACTTTATATCTTACCTGGAAGGTTTTACAGGAGGCACAATTTAAAAGTTAAATTTGATTCAGAAATTTATATTGATCTGGTTAAAACCATTTATTTTAAGAGTTTTTTAAGTTATAAAATTGCCTAGTAGATGTTTTTGAATTATCTTTAAACATTATTATCTGGAGAATTTTGATAAGCACAAGAGTATAATCCTGATTTTTACATATGACCCTTTCTTCATACTATATCCCTATAATTACTTTAGATTTCAGACACCCTTTATTTTATATCACCTGGAGACCATTTGCAGTTGCCTTAAACATGTAGATGAACATTCTACGTGCATATAAGGAAAAAACAGGCTTCTTTTTAAAACTGCAGGTCAATTCCCTGCCAATTTAGAAAGAATCAAGCCTGAATACTTAAAGGTACAGCTCCAGCCATGTGAATTTTAGATGAGGGAGAAAAAAAATCTCTATTTTTCTTGAAGATTTTAAATTATTATTTGGGCTTGTGTTTCTCAAGTTAAAAAACAAAACAGTGTTTACTATTCAGGTCCTGTTATCACTCTTCTACTCAAAAAAGAAAAGGAAGAAAAGAAGAAATCAAAAGGCAGCTCTGGATTAACAAAGTCATGAAAAGGCTTCCAGATAAAAATCTCAGTTTCAAAAAGTGATTTAATATCTTCATAAAATGGACATAGAAATGCCTCTGAAATTGGGTTGTATGTGACATATTTCATAAAGTTTACTGATCCAAGACTCAATTAAATCTAAAAGGTCAGAACTGCCACCAAGCCCTCTCTGTGCTGCTCAGCTGAGCCTCCCTCACCAAAGGGACCCCTAAGATTTGGGCTCCTTGATCAGCCCCACACATAACTACTGAGCCCAACTGCATGTTCCCTAGAAAGCCATGCCTGGGCTGAGCCTTTGATGACCGGGCTTCTTACAAAGCCCCATCTAGACATTGACAAGGCGACTCGTTTCTGTCCAGTGTGAATCTGGGATGGTCTTGCAATAATAATATAAAAATTTGGCCAGTGTATTACCAAGTATTTTATTTTTTGTATTCTGATGCTTTGACATCTTGGGAGCTGCTGGCCCTGGAGGAACTGTTCTCCCCACCCCAGCCCCAAGAACCAGCTAATTCCTAGAGGGAGTAAAGGACCCCTGTGAGTACACCTTTCATATGTAAAACAACCAACCCAGAGCCCACACCCCACTGCCCCCTCTATGGGGCTCTCATACTCTGGGCCACTATCCCCTTACCCCAATCACCCCAGGGCAGGTACCAGACAACCAGGGAGAGTCCCTCCACCCCAGAGCCCACTGAAATGATTCATACTAGCCAATCCCAAGCCTGCTTACCCTGCCTCACCAGTCCCTTCCCACAAAAACAAAACAAAACAAAATAAAGGCTCTTGCCCACAGTACCCTCGATTCCTCTGCCTATGGCCTATCTTGGTATTTCCATATATACCTCGTGGCATGGTGTGGGCTCTCTTCTTGGGAACTGTGAGAAACTATCTTTTCAATGGCAGTCGTATTCTTACCTGTTGGCGTTACTATGCCTCAAATTTTCTCCCACTGCGCTATATTTCAAAACAGCCAGGGAAGGCCAGGCGCGGTGGCTCACGCCTGTAATCCCAGCTCTTTGGGAGGCCGAGGCAGGCGGATCACGAGGTCAGGAGATCGAGACCATCCTGGCTAACACGGTGAAACCCCGTCTCTACTAAAAATACAAAAAATTAGCCAGGCGTGGTGGTGGATGTGTGGCTGTGGTCCCAGCTACTCGGGAGGCTGAGGCAGGAGAATGGCGTGAACCCGGGAGGCGGAGCTTGCAGTGAGCCGAGATCAGCCACTGCACTCCAGCCTGGGCGACAGAGCAAGACTCCGTCTCAAAAAAAAAAAAAAAAAAAAAAACAGCCAGGGAAATAAATTTTCTTTCAACATGTATTAATACATAGAAGGAGTTAAGATGAAGGGAGTTGCCCAATAAGGAAGCTCTGTCCTTTAAGCCCAGGGCAAGAAGGGTCTGGACAGAGCATTTCTGGCTTGATTCCATGGGACCCTCCCCTGGCCGTCTCTGCTGGCTCACACAGCATCCAGTTGCTCAAGGTTCCCTCTGTCTGAACACTTCTCCCTGCAGTCCCAGTGACTGAAGCACTCGGATCTTCTTTTGGGCGGTCTTGAAGTTGATGATAATCTCCATCTGCCTGAGTTAGGAAAACATTTTCTGATGAAGGACTTGGCAGGAACGTGCTTGTGCCTGTCAAAGCTAGTGAGCCCTGAGCTGATGAGGAAAATAAGTGCTGATATGTGACTGAGGACTGTTCTCACATCCCAGACAGTTCGTGTGGACTCCCAGAAATAACTGATTACATTTATTCTTGCTTTAGGACAAAGAACATGGGAAATATTCTTTTTTTAATTTGCCAAGTGGCTGATATATTTTTCCTCACCCCGGCTTTATTGAGGTATAATTAACAAATAGAAATATATTGAAATCAGCATGTTGAAGAGATGTGGGCACTCCAATGTTCATTGCGGCATTATTCACAATCGATAAGATATGGAAGCAGCCCAGGTGTCCACCATCAGATGGATGGATAAGGAATGTGTGATCTATATACTCAAGGGAGTACTGTTTAGCCTTTAAAAAGATGGAAATCTTGTTATTTGAGACAACATGATAAACCTGGAGTACATTATGCAGCATGAAATAAGCCAGGCACAGAAAGGCAAGTATTGCATGATATCACTTATATGTGGAATCTAAAAAAGTTGAACTCATAGAAGTGGAAATAGAATGTGGTTACCAAAAGCTGGGGGAGAGGAGTGTATGAAGAAATGAGAGATGTTGATCAAAAGGTACAAAGTTTCAGTTAAATAAGGAGGAATAAGTGTTAGTGACCTATTGCACAGAATGGTGACTATATTTACAATGCATTATATATTTTAAAATTGCCAAGAGAGTAGATTTAAAATATTTTCACCACAAAAATGAAAAGCATGTGATGAATTTGTTAATGAGCCTGAATTAATCATTCCACATTGTAAACATATATCAAAATATCACTTTGTGCCCCATAAATATATAGAACTATTATGTCAATTAAAAATAAAATTTTAAAAATTAATATTAGAAATTACATATATTTACACGATGTTTTTAATATATGTATATATAATGAAATTATCAAATCAAGAAAATTAACATATACATCACTTTATATACTTTTTTTTGGGGGTGGTGAAAACATTGAAGACCTACTGTCTTAGTCAATTTCAAATATACAATGAAGCATTATTAACCATTGTCACCAAACTGTACAGTAAATCTCCAGAACTTATTTATCCTCCATAACTGAAAGTTGTACCCTTTGACCAAGATCTCCCCATCCCTCACAAAACACCCAGCCTCTGGTAACTACCATTCAACTCTGCTTCTGTAACTGAAATGCAGCTTAGTTGCTTGCTGCATTTAGAGTCCAGTTAAAAAAAGTAAGATCTGATACCTAAAAAAGTGAATTTCTTCCGAAGCTAGCTTGGGGAAGAGGCACAGATGTCCTACTGTACTGCTTCACCTTTGGAGCAGAAAGCGGGCACTTTTATAAGGTGGCGGGGTGGGGAATGAGCAAGGGCAGGGTTCCCCCTGTTAGGTTGGTGCCTTGTCTATCTACAGTTGAGTTGGCACCTTCCTGGGCAGATGTAAGTTGTAAAAGTGGCCAAGCAGGCATGCTTTCCATATGCCCTCTAGTGGATCAAAGTTCTGAGGCAACCCCCTACAAGTGAAAGTTCCATGGGGTATGCTTTGGTCTGCAAATCAACTGTCAACTCTCCAGGAGAGATCCATCTTGGAGTGCATAGTTAGATGAACTTGCCCTGTAAGGAATGTCTGGTGAGGGGGGAGGTGAAAGGTTACATTTGCATTTCTGAAGGGCTAGGTAGGAAATAGGGAGCCAGGGAAGTGAGAAAAAAAGTGATAGAGGGAAAAAAAAATAAACCACCTCTTAAAAAAATGGGGGTACTCCCTTACACTCCTCTGAGTTGGACTTTCTTAGATTCCACAGATGAGTAAGATCATGTGGCATGTATCTTTCTATGCCTGGCTTATTTCATTTTGCGTAATGTCCTCCAGGTTCATCTATATTGTCCCAAATGATAATATTTCATTTTCTTAGGCTGAATAGTATTCCATTGTGTATATGATACTATATTTTCTTTATCCATTAATGAAAAATGTTCTGTGATTATGTCATATTGTACTGTGTTGTGTTGTACTATCCTACTTGCCATGGACCTTCATATCTCCCTACTTTCTGTTTGCAATAAAATTAATCTAGGCTCTCAGGAAGGACCTAAGCGTGTGTGTGTATTGGCTTTGTTTTGCACAACCTTCCACATCTTGTGGAAATAAGGAGTCATAACAGGAAAATCCCTCTTAATGCTGTGCCCTCAATATTTGTCAATGAAGATTCCATTACTCTGTTTAGCATGTGTTAGAAATGGTGTTAGAGCCAGAGCTCCACAGAGTGGGAATGTAGGACTCCTTTATTGTACCTTGTCAATCCTGTGATGTAGGACTTTGTTGTAGGTGGAAATATGAAGTCAGCTAGATGGCCTGGGGCCCAGTCCTGGCTCTATCCTGTCAGAGGCATTTAAACCAGAGCAACTCCATCTTGAATACAGGCTGGGTACAATAAGGCTGAGACCTACTGGGCTGCATTTCCAGGAGGTTAAGGCATTCTTAGTCATAGGATGAGATAGGAGGTCAGCACAAGATACAGGTCACAAAGACCTTGCTGATAAAACAGCTTGCAGTAAAGAAGTCAGACAAAACCCACCAAAACCAAGATGGTGGCCAGAGTGACCTCCGGTCATCCTCACTGCTCATTATACACTAATTATAATGCATTAGCATGTTAAGAAACACTCCCACCAGTGCCATGGCAGTTTACAAATACCATGAAAAAGGGAGGAAGTTACCCTATATGGTCTAAAAGGGGGAGGAACCCTCAGTACTGGGAATTTTCCACTCCTTAATCAGAAAACTCATGAATAGTCCACCCCTTGTTTAGCATATAATCAAGAAGTAATGGTAAGTTAAGCAGCTTGAGTAGCTCATGCCACTGCTCTGCCTATGGGGTAATCATTCTTTATTTCTTTACTTTCTTAATAAACTTGATTTCACTTTACTCTATGGACTCACCCTGAATTCTTTCTTGCATGAGATTCAAGAACCCTCTCTTGGGGTCTGGATAGGGGCCCCTTTTTGGTAACAACCTTGTACTACAAAAAAGGAACAGTGCTGTTAAGTCCCCATTGGAGGCAGGATTTTGGGATGTTATTCCATTTCTGCAAGCATAATAAAATATATGCATTGGCCTTTGTTCCTGGCTCCTGGCACATAGCTCCTAAAACCCACAGAGTCTCCTGAGTGATGAGTGTCTTTTATATGCTGATGTAAGATGACTGGTGGGTGTGGCCCCGGATAGCTTCAGGATAGGGGTCCGGTTGCCAGAAAAAACAACCCTGGAATTAGAGGGTTAGAACTTTCAGTCCCACCCACTCTGGGGGAGGAGAGTGGGGCTGGAAATTGAGTTCAGCCACCAATGGCCAACGACTTAATCAACCATGCCTATGTAACAAAACCTCTACAAAACCCCTTAATGATGGGGCTCAGAGAAATTATGGGTTGGTAAATGCTCAATGTGCTGGGAGATGAGGTGCCTTGGAGAGGGCACGAAAGTACCATGTTCCTTACTCCCCATACCTTGCCCTATGCATCTCTTTCATCTGGCCATTCTTTTTTTTTCTTTTCCTTTTTCTTTTTTTTTTTTTTTTGAGGGAGTCCCACTCTGTTGCCCAGGCTGGACTGCAGCGGTGTGATCTCGGCTCTCGCAACCTCCGCCTCACAGGTTCAAGCGATTCTCCTGTCTCAGCCTCCTGAGTAGCTGAAATTACAGGCACACACCACCATGACCGGCTACTTTTTCTGTATTTTTAGTAGAAATGGGGTTTCATCATGTTGGCCAGGCTGGTCTCGAACTCCTGACCTCAGGTGATCTGCCCACCTCAGCCTCCCAAAGTGCTGGGATTTCAGGCATGAGCCACTGCCCGAGGCCCCATCTGGCCATTCTTAAGTTGTATCCTTTATAATAAGCTGGTAAACATAAGTAAACTGTTTTCCTGAGTTCTGTGAGTTATTCTGCAAATTCTCAAACCAGGTGGTGGGGGGAGGGAGGATATCAAGGGAACCCCTGAATCTGTAGCCAGCTAAGCAGAAGTGTGGATAATCTGAGCACTCCACTGTGGCTGGCATCCAAAGTAGGGGCAGTCTTGTGGGTCTGAGCCCTTTACCTTTGGGTCTGCAATAACTCTAGGAGTTAGTGACAGGATGAGATAAATTGTAGGACACCCAGTTGGTGTCCATAGAGTTGGGGGAGTAATATTGAAAAAGATACAACTACTTGAGGTCAGGGAAAAAACATGAAAATTTCAAACTTAAATCAACCCTTCAGGTTAACTATTATATTACAAATTTGTAGATGAAGAAATTGAAGCAAAGAGACTAAGAAGTTGCCAAAGTTACAAAGCTAATAAGCACCTAAACAAGGATTTGGACTTGGGTATATTTGAATCCAAAGCCTTCCTTGTTCTCCTCACAAACCAGGCAGCCCTCATATTAGCAGGTGATGCTGGGCAATTACCCAAACATTTCCAACAGCTCTACTTTAACAAGCATGGAAGGAGCGTGGGTTTGGTCACTTACCTCCTCTGAAGTCTAAACCTGCTTCCTAAGGAGGTCATGAGTGTCAGGTAAGACTGGGAAATCATTTTGTAAAGTGTAAGTCCGTGTCCACTTGTAAAGTATGTTTATTATAATCGTATTATTTTTGTTATAAAATTTATCAGCATCAGTTTCTCATTATACACCCATGGTAGACTTCCACACTGCTTCTACACCACCAGCAAGGGAGCCCAACAGAGTTCCTTGGTTTCAAGGTTGTAATTTGCAAAGAATCATCTGTCTGTGGCATGCCTCTGGTCAGGTAGAGACCAGTACTGATGTCCTTTAATTACATATGTTAGAAACCACAGCTAATTCAGGACAAGCTAAAACATTTGAAATAAATACCAGATTGGCAGAGCACTAGATGGTATACCAACCAGCGCCACGTTACATAAAACAACCAAATAAAGACAAAATAGAAAACAAAGCAAGATGTTTAATGTCCCCCTTTTCTCAAATACTGGATTCTGACATGACTGTTCTGATTCCATTCAAAGAAAAAGTCAATTCCATATGATGGGAATTCCATATACATTATCAATCAATGTCATTAAAACTTCTGGAAATCATTTGGACATTGTTCATATCCATTGATATTTAAATCCCACAAAGACACAGAGACTGGGGGAAAATGTTGGAAGCGCAGGATAAAAATTTATCTAACACAGGGGTGAATGAATGAACAAGTAAATAGATGCAGACCTTCTCTGACTTAACCGCAGGGAGGTCTGCATGTGGAAACTCAACCAAGAAGGTGATAACAGGAATTTCTCCTTACTTTAATAAGAATATCTCAGTTTAGTGTGTGGCCTGTCTTCCTTTAACTAAATATTGGTGTTTAACTGGTTCTACTTCGTTTGCTGTGCTATTCAATGCATTGAAAAAAGGCACTAATCATGTATCCTTCAAACTACAGTGTTGATTTTTACCAGAATATGTATTGCTATGTTTCAAAATCCCGTATTTGGACAGAAGGTTCTCTGTCACTTACATGCAATGGAGAATATGTTATTGAATGATGTTTTTGCACTGCATTTGTTACAATCCCATCTTCATGACTCTAACTTGTAGAAGGAGAAAACATTACATTTATCAAGAGGCTTCTCTATGCCACAATCTCCATTGACACTCATCAATTAAATAATGTGTGGATCCAATTAGTCAGACAAGCAACATTCTTTACTGAGGACTAGTTAAGTGCTGGGGACACAAAGATGAATAAGACATAGTCCCTGACATCAGATGACTCTGACCAGTAGGAGAAGATAGGCATGTTTTTAAAAGAGAGATACCAAAAAAGGGCCCAAAAATACTACAGAAGATTCTATTATTCTAATCATAAAATTATGTTCACAAGACTAGGAAGTTAAAAAGTAGAACAAGCGGGGTTTATATTAGAAGAATTGAAGAGACTCACAAAGAGGTATCTGCACATTTATTTTCGTCGCAGTATTATTCACGATAGCCAAGGTATGGAGGCAACCTAAATGTCCATTGTCAAATGAATGGATGAAGAAAATGTGGTATAGGAAGTAAATTATGAACCTTGAGGACGTTATGCTAAGTGAAATAAGTGGTTACAAAAAGACAAATACTGTATTACCCCACTTATGCTAGGGATCTAAAATAGTCAAACTCATGGAGATAGAAAGTAGAATGATGGTTGCCAGGGGTTAAGGGAAAATGAAGAGTTGTTTAATGAATATAGAGTTTCATTTTTGCAAGATGAAAAAGTTCTAGTGATCTATTGTACAATGATGTGCTGTAGTTAGCAACACTGTATTATACACTTTAAAATGATTATGAGGTTAAATTTAGGTAATGTGTTTTTTGCCACAAAAAAACAAAGCAGGACAAGATCAGAAATAACTTCACAAAGGTTGGGTCCATCACTGAATGTTCCCAGGAACATCATGAGGAGGATGATACTGTCCCATTTTACAGCTAAGGGAGTTGAAGACTGAATTTCAGGTCCATGTGACATGGAAGAGTGTGATTTTCCATGACCACCCCCTCCATGTCTCTTCTGTACGATACTAAATCCATATAATGCATCTTAAAATTTTTTCACGAGGCAAATCAGAAAGGATAAAATTTCTAATGTGCTCTTTTGCTTCCACAAACCAAAAATGAACCAAATCAATAATCAAAAACTAGGGGGAAAATATACTAAACATTTATTTTTGTTTTCTTGTATTTATTTACTTGCTACTTGCCTGCTAATGGAAATGACTAACTTTTAAAAATAAAACTATGAGCTTTTAAAGCTGTAAAGTGAAAACTGTTTTCTTGCCAAATAATGATTTCAAGCAAATGGAGCTCATTTACTGAATGGAGGCTCCCAGAATATTTTTATTGAATACAACCAAAAATGACAAAGTCACACACACACTGTTTGCCTCCTCAGTAGATAAGAGAGTACAGGATTCTTAAAACACTGAAAAAGGGTCTAAAATATCACTTAATAAAGACATATGTATCTTCTCTTTTAAAGCAGTATTTGGAATATTTGTTCATTATAATTTTGTTTGAAATGTGAACATCAACTTAATATGCCAGAGAAACATACTACCCTTGCCCTCTAAAGTGGAAATATGAATTCTCAAATATCTATAAATAAGACATATAGTAAATAATTTGTAGCTGTATTTGTAGATGAATTTATAGATGTATTATTAGATTATAGCCATTGCTATTATTGATTGTCGAATAAATCAGAGTAGAGGCAGACTATTCATGTGGTGGAATAATGTGAATGGTTCTCAACCCCCAGGGGACATTTTTGGTTGTCATGACCTGAGAGTGCTACTAGCAATGAGTGGGTAAAGGTCAGGGATGCTGGTAAGTATCCTACAGTGCACAGGACAGCCCTTCACAATAAATGACTATTTGGTCCAAAACGCCACAAGTGCTGAGACAGAGAAACCCTATATTATGCCAATTCTTTAATTGCTCTCTGTCCTACCCACTATGTCTCAGATCAATAGAAAAAATAGGCAATGTCATTCCCTTCCAGGGAATATGCTTTCAGGAAGCATACTGCTCATGGCTGGGAAATGCTTGTTTTCAACTGTGGTATTTTTATAGGAATGACACACAATTCATCCAAAAGGAGACAGAATGATAAACTGCAGGCAAAGAGGAGACCAAGTTCTTTTCAGAACTCTACACTGGCATTTAAATCATATCAAAAAGACTGTAACAACTGGGAACTGGACCAAGATGGCACATTTTTCAATTTGCTACCAGATCCAGGAAGAGAATTGGGTCCAAATGAGTCCTCAAAAATGAGTTCCTTATAAGTAAACATTTTATTTAGTTTGATTTATCCCATTAAAGGTTTCACTTCATATACAGCATAACATGATTCAATTAAAATTACAAAAAAAAATCAGCCCACAAAACGATCAGTAGGGAGGGAAATAGCAGGAAGTCAGACAAAGAAGTAAAATATACTGTATAAATTTATGCAACCAGCCAGGTATGGTGACTCATGCCTCTAATCACAGCACTTTTGGAGGCTGAGGCAGGCAGATCATGAGGTCAGGAGTTCGAGACCAGCCTGGCCAGCATGGTGAAACCCTGTCTCTACTAAAAATACAAAAGTTAGGCAGGCATGGTGGCATGTGCCTGTAGTCCCAGCTACTCTTATGGCTGAGGCAGGAGAATTGCTTGAACCCGGGAGGCAGAGGTTGCAGTGAGCCAAGATTGTGCCACTGCACTCCAGCCTGGGTGACAAAGTAAGACTCCATCTCAAAAAAATAAATAAATAAATAATTAAATTTATGCAACCAAGAGTAACCCCCATGAAATCAAACTAGCTAACTAGGGCTCCTTTAACTCATTGGCCCTCACATGTACATGGGACAACTTCTTCATGTGGTTACCCAGTTGTCTCTGAGACATTTCATGACATTCATTGATCATAGATTTGTTTGTCCACTTGTTTTATTACTTTTATGCTATTATATCATGAACATTTGAGACACTTAGTGTGTGCTTTGCTGATCTGTTGCTATGAATCACAGTACCCTGAAGTTTGTCAGTTTAAAATATGCACACATATTATCTCACAGTTTCTTTGGAGGAGAAATCTGGGTATGACTTATTTAGGTCCTCAGCTTCAGTCTCTTGTAAGGCTGCAATCAAGTGGAAACTGGGTCTGCAGTCTCATCAGAAGGCTCAACTGGGAAATGATCTGCATCCAAGATAACTCACATGGCTGTTGGCAAAATAATGCTTCTTGAAGGCTGTTATTCCAAGGTCCTCTGTTTCTCTCTGGCTGCCGACCAGAGGATACCCACAGTTCCTTGACAGGGCCTCTTCATCAGGGTAAATATGCAAAAAAGCCAGAGAGAGAATTCCAGTCACTTGTCAATAAGCTTGAGAAAAGTATTCAATTTCAAAGATTGGCAGAGAGATAATGGGCATTATAGAACTAAAGAACAACTCCCTGTGAAACCAGTGCTTTGTGCAACCATAGCTCTATGAGAGATTCTGCATTAGATGCTGGAGATAAAACAGGATATAAGACTATGGGTTTGGGTCTCAAAGATCTCACACTCTGCTAGGTGGGAAAACATGTAGACCTGGAAGAGAAATACATATAAGAAAATGTATGCTCAAGGCAGATTGTCTTGAAGAGGGGATATTATTAAATAACCAACCAGAGGCAACTGAAAGTATTGAACAAAGCTTGAAGGCCAGCCTCAGATAAATAGAAAGAAAGGAATGTACAAAGAGTGTGAACAAGTGATCACACACACACACACACACACAAAGTGTTTAACATGTTTGGGGACTAATAAGAAAATCAAAGGGCTTCTGTGGGGGACACATGAGATAAAATAAAAGAATCTAGCAACGAAAGTGGTTAAGATAGAGGACTCTGGGGGCCACAGTACCCAGTTTCAAAGTCTAGCTCTTCCTCCTTGATACCAGGCAAGTTATTTCACCATACTGTGCCTTATCGTCCTGCTGTAAGTGGAATGACAATAGTACCTGTCTTTTTTTTTTTTTTTTGAGATAGAGTCTCACTCTATTGTCCAGGATGGAGTGCAGTGATGTGGTTTCAGCTCACTGCAACTCCTGCCTCCTGGGTTCAGGTGATTCCCATGCCTCAGCCTTCTGAGTAGCTGGGATTATAGGTATTCACCACCAGGCCCAGCTAACTTTTGTATTTTTAGTAGAGATGGGGTTTCAACATGTTGGCCAGGCAGGTCTCAAACTCCTGACCTCAAGTGATCCACCCACTTCAGCCTCCCATAGTGCTGGGATTACAGGCATGAGCCACTGTGCCCAGCCAGTACCTGTCTTGGGGTAGGAGCACACACGTACTAGGGACTCTGGACATCAGTTATCTTTCCTACTATGATGATTAATATCATTGCTACTTGTTCTTATTCTGCAGATAATCAGACACTACAGGAGAACACAAGGAGCGGGGATAAAAGGCATGGAGTGACCATTTAGGGCAATTATGTCCTGAGTCTGTGTCCATGGTGACCAGCACAGGGAGAGGGTAGAGGCACTGGTCCAGGCAAGGGTTGATGGGACCAGCCCTTGCAGAGTCACAGTGAGGACACAGGGAGGACCCAGAAATGTAGGCCAGGCCAAAAGAGACCTGGGGGGCTTGGAGGCAAGTCTGGATACCTGGACATGAGGGTTGAGGGCAAGGCAGGACTTAGGGATTGTCTACAACAGCCAATGGTGACATTTTTAAAAGGAGTTTGTAAATCTTTTCAACACCTAGTTCCTTCTCCTGTCTGTAGAGAGTGCTCAGTAAATGCTGACGATTCAAAGTAAACTTAAATGCATTCCAGCCATCCTGTGGCCCCGTCTCAGCAGAAGGTAGCATTTTAAACATCAATTCAGTCCCATCAAAAATTTTTAAAGGTTCAACATTTTACTACAACCTATTAAGATTTCCAAAAAGAAAGTGTTGTCATAGTACACAAAAAAACACCTCTTTAAAATTCCACATCTCTCTCATTTGAAATGTCTCTCTCACACCCGGATTTCCCCAGACATTTCGTCCTTTCTCTTCCAAGCTCCCCAAACACATACAAATCCAGCTTACACAGGCCCCTGTTTCTCCCTCCTCCCTCCTTGGTTTTTTAACTTTTCTGTTTTTGTTTGAGGTTGGCGTTTTGGTTGTTTTGTTTTGTTTTGTTTTGTTTTGTTTTGTGTTATTTGGGGATTTTTCCCCATTGTTCTGTTCCAACATTCCCTGGATTCTATCGGAAAAAAATTAAACAGTAAGGCCAGCCATCTGACCCAGAAATCTTTCTTTTCTCACTCTCCCTATCCCACCACCTGCCTTGCACCCACCCTTGTAGTGGGGATGGTGATAACAGGGGCCACAGACCCCTACAAATTGGTGTCTTTTCTTTTCTCCTCATTACAGAAGTAACCCCTGATTCTTATCTCACCTAAATTGCTGAGCCTAAAACAAAATCCAGTCCAATCCAAATACCTGTATTTACTTAACCTCAAATGGAAACTACCAAGAAAAAAAAAATCTCCAATCACCTTGTGATCATTTTTAACTATAGCCAAATCCATGACAGAAAACTCAGCTTCATGTTTCCTAACTCTCTGATTGCCACTCACATTGGAATTTTCCTAACTGGAAAGGTGAGGTGTAAACAGTAGGGAGACTGGGGTTTATGTCCAAACCACTGGGCAGGGTACAAGAAGGGAAATGACTTCTCAATCTGCACAGTTGCCTGTGGGTGTGCTCACACACATGCACATACCATATGCATCACACACACCCCAAACACACAGGCACATACCACATACCATACCCACATACCAATATACACACATATATATGCATATGCATGCATGCACACACACCCATATACCCACACAAATGCATGTACCTTTCCCTCTTCATCTGTGCCAATTCTGTGTGTTGAGGTTTTGGCAACTAAATAATCAATATGGATTTTTTTTTAGCTACACACAAATTACCAAAAGAGTGCTTGAGCAGACCCCCATTAGCCATATAGAGATTTCCAAATTGCCTTTGCCCCCAACCATGTTCTGTAGACTCCAGTTGTTTGCTATGAATACTGATCAGCTTTCATCTCGTAGAGATTTTACCTCAAAAGTTGGGTACCTGGACCCCATCAAAGCACATCACATGGCTCCCCTTTTCTGTGGACATGGCCAAAACTGAGCATCCAGCCTCAGCAGTTGTGGTCAAAGCTCTATATTCAACTCCTTGTCACTTCCAGCCCATGCAAACTATGCTTGAACAACGTTGGGAGTTACAAAGTTCAGGTTCAAAATTCTTTGGCAAACAGATACTGAACTATCAATTAGGCCTGCCTTCATTTCTCCTAGCTGCTCACCCACTTGTCCTCATTTTACTGCAACAGAATTGAGCTGCAAGTACAGTGATAATGAGATCTTCAAAATTATGAATATGAGATATGGCCTTCTTGAATATATTGAATAAATATAGTGATTTTGCAGACAGGACTTGCTTTTATGTGATCTACTTGTAAATGAGAAAATATTTAAAACACACTGAACTATAATGGACATCCATACACTCACAACCCAAACTTCATAAATTTTGTCATACTTGCTACGTATCTTTCACAGTTGATGTTCCATTTGTGCTCAAACTCATCCATTTGCCTCTGTCTCTTTTCTTCTTCCCACAACGTGCCAGAAGGAGGGCCTTGCCCTCTTCTTCTTCCTAGTTGGAACCTCTCATACATGGATCTTTGTGATCTACTCCACCAAATTTATCTCTTGATATAGTCAGTAAATTTTCAAAATCCTTTTTTTCTCAAAAATAGTTAGCTCTGGACCCATTATCTGGATGTGAAGTCAAAATCATCTTCACCACCATTACTATGATAATCACAACCATCATTCCCATCATCATCATCACCACCATCATCCTTGCCATTATTGCCACCATCATCATCACCACCATCATCCTTGCCATTATTGCCACCATCATCATCACCACCATCATCACCTATCATCATAACTATTATCACCATGATCACCACCATCATCACCATCATTGCCACCACCACCACCACCACCATCATCATCACCATCATCACCACCATCATCACCATCACCATCACTATCATCACCTACAGTCTCAACTGAGCCATGTCTTAGTCTAGCTCATCACTGCCTGTCTCCAGCACACTGAATCCCATTGTTCTGAAGGGTGGGAAATTTCAGAGCAAAAACTTACACAAGATAAGTCCAAAAATCTTCTCTTAAATATTATCTCTGTTACATGCCCAAGTACTCCAGCCCCCACAACAGTTGACATCCCAAACCACACACACACTCAATTAACTACTGTAAGTCATCCAAAAACATCCTGAAACATCCCAAGTCATCCTGAAACATCTTCTTAAACAAGAAATTCAAGAGAAGACATGCTTTATGCACCCCCATCCCATCTTCAATGATGTACTGGAGCCAGCTCATATGAGTTGGTGAGAGCCAATTTTTAATTTGCCAGGAATTTTAGAAGCTGGTTGACATTGAGTTGCTAGCTTGAAATCAGCTATTGTGAGAATAGTTACACCACAGAAATTGGCAGGTACTGCAAATCAGGGCTCCTCCACCTGCCCTCCCAGGGTTGTTAAACATTGACCAGAAAAACCTTTGTCTTCCTCCAAGAAATAAGGTGTAGGGAGAGAGGAACTGCATTTTAATACTTAAATAAAAGCTTAGAAAACTGATTTTAAAAATCAGCCAGGGTCCTGCAATATTTCCTCTCAGTTTTTTGTTCCCAGGCAAATATGTTCTCTATTTAACCATCATAGCATATCCATAATTTTAATTTTTTCATATCATGTTATAGACATTTTTCCTGTTGTTATACAGCTTTTGTTACTATCATTCTAATGCCAGTTCCTCTACTTGTACATTTTCGTTCCCATGAACTTTTTAGAACTTACAGCATTTTTTTTTTTTGAGACAGATTTTCGTTCTTGTTGCCCAGGCTGGAGTGCAGTGGTGCAACCTCAGCTCACTGCAACGTCCGCCTCCCTGGTTCAAGGGATTTTCCTGCCTCAGCCTCCAGAGTAGCTGGGATTAAAGGTGCCCACCACCACGCCCAGCTAATTTTTTGAATTTTTAGTAGAGATGGGATTTCACCATTTTGGTCAGGCTGGTCTCAAACTCCTGACCTCAGCTGATCTTCTTCTTTTTAAATTTTACAAATGATACATTAGCAGATTCTTGTAACATGACTCAAACAATCCAGAAGCCTACAGACTCACAGCTACTCTGTCCTCCACTGCCTACACCACCCCTAGCTGTCTCCACCCTGGTGGTGGCCCTTCCCTCCACACCCTGTACTCCCTTACACACATGCTGACATACCTATATATTTCACCAAAGACATTTTGGGGAAAATTTACATAAATAGAAGAAATACAAAGAATATTGCAAGGCATTTTGCGTAACAATGTGGGAAAAAAAAAAACCTCTGCTTTTTCCTTGTAGTTGAGTTTTTTTTAATACCACTGTATTATATGCCATATAGGAAGGTGTCCAAATCTATTTAAGCTTCTCCTTTACTGGAGACTCTGAAAAGTGGAATTGATGTGTTCAAGGTCAAAACATTTTTTATTTGCAACATACCGCCAAAACAATTCAGAAAAAAAGCTAAGCAGCATATAGATGCCTCTTTCCCCACATAATTTGCAAATGTTTGAATATAATGAAATGTTTTAAAATTTCCCAATCGCATGAGCAAATTACTGAGTATAGTGTGGCTTTAATTTGCATTTTATAATTAGAAATAAAGTAGATCATATTTTCATATTTGTCCTTTATATTATTTTTGTGAATATCTTTGTTTTATTCTTCACCTATTTTTTATTTAATTGTTTTACCTTTTATTATTGGTTTATAGGAGCACTTTTCTTTTACCAATATTTTATCTTTTAAATATGTTGCAGATATTTTCTACCAATCTATTACTTGTCTTTTAACTTCGCTTATCTCCTATTTTGCTATATGTAAGTTCTAACTTTTTTTCCTTTTTTTTTTTCTTTTTTTTTTCAGACATGGGCTCTCTCTGTGGCCCAGGCTAGAGTGCAGTGGTGTAATCTCCGCTCACTGCAACCTCTGCCTCCCTGGCTCAAGTGATTCTCTTGCCTCAGCCTCCCAAGTAGCTGGGACCACAGGTGTGTGCCACCACGCCTGGCTAATTTCTGTATTTTTGGTTTTTTGTTTTTTGGTTTTTGTTTTTTTTTTTTTTTAGAGATGGGGTTTCACCATGTTGCCCAGGCTGGTCTCAAACTCCTGACCTCAAAAGATCTGCCTGCTTTGGCCTCCCAAAGTGCTGGGATTGCAGGTGTGAGCCACCATGCCTGGCCATCTAAATTTTCATGCGACCAAATCCAACAATCTTTCTTTTTATTATTTCTTAGTTCTAGCTGTGGATTTATTTGTAAACTCCATTGTCAGTGACTTCACACATGCACACACACAATGATGGCTAATTTTGGGTGTCAGTTTGGCTGGATTGAGGAGGGCTTGGACGTCTGGTGAAGCATTGTTCGAGGGTGTTTCCTGGAGAGATTGACATGTCAGTCAGTGGACTTGGAGAGGAAAACCCACACAATGTGGGCGAGCACCATCCAGGACATGGCAGCTGGGAGAAGTGGGTATTCAGCTTGCTTTGCTGTCTGTTTGTCTCTGTCTGTCTGTCTGTCTCTCTCTCTCTCTCTCTGTCTCTCCCTCTCTCACCCTTGGGGGCTTTCTGGCTTTCGGCCTCTAACTGATGGCTACAGCACCTGCTTCCCTGGTTCGGAGACTTCCAAGCTGAGCCATGCTACTGTTTTTGCTGCTCCAGTTCTGCAGATTGCAGATGGCCTATTGTGGGACCTCTCCACCTCTGTGATCCTCTGAGCCAATACCCCGAATAATAAATTTCCCCTTGTATCTCCTATTGGTTCTATTTCTCTGGAGAACCCAGATGAATACACACATACACACACACACACACTTTTTTTTTCATTTTAAGTTCTGGGATACATGTGCAGAACGTGCAGGTTTGTTACATAGGAATACATGTGCCATGGTGGTTTGCTGCACCTATCAACCTGTCATCCAGGTTTTAAGCCCTGCATGCATTAGGTATTTGTCCCAGTGCTCTCCCTCCCCTTGCCCCCCACCTCCTAATAAGCCCTAATGTATGATGTTCCCCTCCCTGTGTCCAGGTGTTCTCATTGTTCAACTCACACTTATGAATTAGAACATGTGGTGTTTGGTTTTCTCTTCCTGGGTTAGTTTGCTGAGGATGATGGCTTCCAGCTTCATCCATGTCCCTGCAAAGGGCATGAACTCATTCTTTTTTATGGCTGCATAGTATTCCATGGTGTATATGTGCCACATTTTCTTTATCCAGTCTATCATTGATGGGCATTTGGGTTGGTTCCAAGTCTTTGCTATTGTAAGTAGATGCACACATTATTTTTATCTCTAATGCAGATGTTTCTGTTCCAGCAGCCATTCTTGGCTGCTCTCCTCTAGGCAGTGACTCGGGGATCTGAGCTCTTTCTCTGCCATCCCAGAGGTGTTCCCCCTGGCCATGGGAGACAGACAGAGCAGGCAACACTACTTAGAAGTCAGTGAGAGCTGTGCCAGGCAGGGTACATATCCCTTTCCCCTACTTTCCACCAGGCAGAACTCACTCACATATTCTCACCCAGACACAGGGAAGGGTAGGAGATGCCGTCTTCCTGTGTGCCTGTAGAAATGGGGCATCATTTGATGAAGATGTAGCAGTCTCTGCCACAGCTTCTGGCTTTGTGTCTTGCTTCAGAAATCCTTCCCCAGCTGCAAAGGGTGAAAATGTTTCTCTCTTCTGTATTCCTCTCTGCTGTTTACAGTTGATGTTCTCTAAATCCACCTGGAATTTATTTTTGAGACTATAGTAAGAGTCTCAATGGATAATTATTTATTCCAAAACCTCTTCTTACTATTTTGATACACCTCGTGATCAAACAAAATTGCATACACACATATATAAATGGTTCTGTTTATGAACTCTTCTCTATTTCATTTATCTATCTATCCTTGCTGAATCAATACCACGCTGTTTTAATGTCTGGCTTTGTAGTATGTGCTCATATAACAAACTCCGTTCCTTTATCTTTCTCAGAATTTTCTTGGCTATTCATATACAGTTGCTTTTCTACATCTGCATTGTTATTTAAATATTCCATTGTATGGATATACAATAATTTATTGACCACTAGAATTTACAACCTTTTTATTGCTATGAACTTCTTTGTATCTAAAACTTTGTTCATATCCATATTTATTTCCCCGGAGTAATTTCTGGAAGTGGAACTGCTGGGTCAAAGAATATAAACATATTTAAGGTTTTGGGTATGGGCTACCAAGTTGTGCTTTAAAATGATTATACCAAACATTTTACCACCAGCAATATAGGATATGGCTCTTTTCTCCACGTGGTTCTCAGTTCCGAGTATTATGATCTTTAAGTAATATTTAATAAGCGAAATATTTTATTTTAATATGAATTTATTTGATTTCAAGTAAGGTTAGCTTTATGTTACTGGATGTTTTTCTTTCTGGCATAAATTGCTTATTTATGTCTTTATTGCAAACGATCATTAATTATAAATAATTTGATGTAAAAAAAAATTGTGGCTTTTGTGACTCATCATCCAAGAGCAACAGCTTTGTCCTATGGTCCTATAATGGAAGGCTGCCCATGTCACTAATATGAAAATTTTTGGAGTATCTCAACCTCCTGGGCCACTCTCTTTTAGATAAATTAATTAGGGGAAGATTCTGCTACACAAAACATTGGGCTGGCGCAGTGCCAACCTTCAGGAGCTTCCCCCAACAGGGACCTTTGATTGTTGGTTGTGAACTGTCCCCGGCCCCACACCAACCCTGCAGTGGCCAGCCCATCCTGCCTCCACAGCGCAGCGAGGTGCCATGCCGGCACCGCACACCCTCTGCAGATGTCCTGTCCCCTGCTAGGCCCTCGCAAGCTGACAGTGTTAACGCAGAGGCCTGCTTAGCGCGGAATGTGGCCACTCCCCGCAGACAGTGGCAGGAGGGCCTTGAGAAGCCTTTTGAAGGCTCTACTCCCTTTGCGTTCCAGCCTCAGGTGAGCGTCCACCACACACAAGGCGGAGGCTCTCCGGACCTCCCCGACAACTGATGCGTTAACTTGGTACTAAATGCCACTGAACTGGAAAGTGTCAGAGGCCATGCAGGGAGCCTCCCACACAGCGCCCCTCAGTGCAGGGACTGGAGCTGCACGCCAACGCAGTGAGGGAGGGACACACCCGGCGCCTTTGTCCCTTTGAGTCGGCCGAGTGGGCAGCGGAGGTGGGCAGAATGGAGGTCATGTGAAGGCTGAGTAAACAGATGTGATTCCTCACCCGGAAAACTCTCCAGGGCAGCCACTGACCCACTTAGGACTGCCCTTTGTCCAGTCGTGGTGCACATTCTGAAAAGGCCTGTTGTCGAATTCTTCTGCTATTTTGCAATGTCAACAGACATGAAGCTCTGAAGTGGCAAATGAGGCACGGCTCTGACAAAGCCTCTCTCATCCCCTGAGAGGCCAAGCGAGTCAGACGCACTTGGGGAGGTGAAGGGCCCCAGAGCGCTGGCGCGACCTGCCTGGTGCCAGGCATGAGATGAGCCGGGAGTCAAATGTTCCCACCTCCCTCGCAAACGGACCAGCCGCACCCCAACGGGGAGGCATCATCGCAGCAAAGGGCTAGTCTTTTTCTGCTAGGAAGAACTTAACAAAACCCAGTGAGGCTAGCACTCTGTCCTGCATCCCGTAAGGCTGCCAGACTTAACAAATAAGTAGACACCACACCCAGTTAAATTGTTAAGTTCAAATTTAAACAACAAATCATTTTTTCAGTGTATATCCCTCCTATGCGTATTTTTTTTAGTATAGTGATTATTTGTGCTAAAAACTCACCAGATTGATTAATATATGTGAAGGGCCTGGCAGAAGGGTTGGTGGAGCAAGATGCTTGATAACTTGTAGTTTCAATGATCAGAGATTACAATTTCCAGGAAAAACTCCCCCTTAGTCAGGAGCAAGTCTCAAAGGTCCTCAAGAGGCCATTTGGGGGCCGGACGCGTTGGCTCACGCCAGTAATCCCAGCACTTTGGGAGGCCAAGGCAGGCAGATCACCTGAGGTTGGGAGTTCGAGACCAGCCTGACCAACATGGAGAAACCCCGTCTTTACCAAAAATACAAAAAACTAGCCAGGTGTGGTGGTGCATGCCTGTAATCTCAGCTACTTGGGAGGCTGAGGTAGGAGCATAGCTTGAACCCGGGAGGCGGAGGTTGCGGTGAGCCAAGATCATGCCATTGCACTCCAGCCTGGGCAACAAGAGTGAAACTCCGTCTCAAAAAAAAAAAAAAAAGAGAGACCATCTGGGGCCAACTTCACTGGAAGCTCTGATCTTTGATTTAACAGCGCCTGTCTTTGAGGTCAACATTTTGAGATCCCTAATTCAGTAAGCTGTCATATCATTGCACTTATGTGATGCACAGATTAATAAGAGTGGATACATAAATCCCAAGGCCATAGATACCAGTTTAAAAAGAACTTTTTTGAAACCACTGTAAAGGACATGAAAAAATTTCCAAGTGCAGCTATTAATGACAAATGTCAGCGAATACATTTGAAACAATGATTTTTCATTATGTCACACAATATTACACATGCATATTACTTTTGCCACCATACTGACCACTAAAATGGCCAACCCTGTGGATTTTTCTGTTTATCCATTTTGCACAAGGCCTCAAATGGCTACCAGCATCTATGTGAACTCCCAGCTCCAAGACCCACCACCAGACACCCTGTTACAAATCCTAAGAGAAGGGGTTGGAGTGACTTCACTTGTCCTTCTCAGCACTGCCACATGCATCTTGGGCCTCTGACCAGCTCACCCATGGGCCCCCAGCGTGGTCAAATCCACTACCATATCAGGCAGTGAGGAGGGACAGTTGTTCTGAGAAGACACCCCAAAAAAACCTCCTATAGTCCAATCAATCAATTGCAAAATTACAAAATAAAGACACAACAACTGCAGCTTACACTTCAAGTACTGGCCAGGGCGATTTCATCAACAGTAAACTCAGAGGAGCCATCCACGAGCTGGGCTGATAAAGCTGCACGTTGGGATCATGGGAGGTGCCTGCTCCCAAGACCGGTTACCCCAGAAGCCCCAGGTTGGCCCCCAGGGCTGATTCTGATGGCCGCCATATTGCAATCCACTGATCTGGCCACAAGAGGTGAATGTCCCTCTGCGCTTGATGAAGTTCACACCTCTTGTAGTACCTGTTCAGTTCTAGGAACCCAGAGAGGGACAAGGAGGTCTTGAGCACCATGCCACATGGACACATTTGTAGAAACCGGAGATGTTGGCCTCCAGGGAGGGAAAGGGAGATACAGTTGCTGGGTTCAACTATTTAAATGGCTGCCATGCAGAACCATCATTCTGTTTATAGATTTCCAAGCGGCAGAGCCTCTTGTCACCCAAGGGTGACAGCTACAAAAGAAAAGATTGTATTTTAAATTAAGGACTATTTAAAAAGTAGACTGAATAGTCACCAGACAAGGCCCAGAACAAATAACATTTCAGGGCTCCTTCCCAGATATTCTGAGGTTCTGATTTAATTCCCACCTATTCTTTGAATACAATATTTTTTAAAACACCAACCTATTCCCCACCTCTCTAAACTAATACTACACTTAGCATCCCAGTCACTCATTCTGGCATTTTTCACATCCTATCCTGGATGTTTGCTCACTTGCAGCACATCCAGGCTCTGTGATGGGCACAGGAACACACTGAGGTGCTGCCACTGGCCCTGCCTGGTCCCCAGCCAGGTGCAAACCATTTCTTATTCTTCCTTACCTTACAATGCCACTTGCAGTGCTAATCACTGTTTTTTTGTTTGTTTGTTTTTTGTTTTTGAGACAGAATCCTTCTCTGTCACTCAGGCTGGAGTGCAGCAGAGCAATCTCAGCTCACTTCAACTTCCACCTTCCAGATTCAAGCGATTCTTGTGCCTCAGCCTCCCAAGTGGCTGGATTACAGGCATGCACCACCACATCCAGCTAATTTTTTGTATTTTCAGTAGAGGTCAGGTCTTGCTATGTTGGCCAGGGTGGTCTCAGACTCCTGGCCTCAAGTGATCCTCTTGCCTCAGCCTCCTAAAGTGCTGGGATTACAGGTGTGAACCACCATGCCTGGCCTGCTGATCACTCTTTCTATCATCGGTATTCACTTAACCAAATAAAATTTTCTGCAGAATTAATTTTCTCATGTGAATTCAGTGTTTAATAATAATTAAATGGGAAAATGACTGTGTCAAACTCACCTTCCTGCTTTATTATAATATCTATTAATGAATTACAGTGTGTACACCTAGTTCTGAACCATTCTTTTTTCTTGTATCTGAAAAAGTAAATTTCTTTTTTGGCTTGAGTTTTTCAATTCAAAAATCGAAGCTCCAGTTAAGAGAAAATTTCAGCTTCAAACAAAGTGCTGATGTCCTGGGCAGCTGACCTGGGCCTGGGGGCCTCACCTCCCAGTGGTCTAGTGGACTTCAGGTGATGCTAAATTCTGCCAGCTCTGGCTTTTCTATTTCAGCCATCAAGGCTTCAGCCCTTGCTCTTCCTCACTCAGTGGCTGGGCTGTATTTGTGGCTTAATGACCCACTCCGAAGTCCATTTCTGGGTTATGCCTTTTGTCTACATTCTGGCTTCCAGCCTAGAGGTAAATAAACTCTATTACCTACTTCGCAGTCAAAATGAACATTTTCTGTGGGTTCTGCTCCCCTGGGCTGCTCATTCCACTCACCAGAATTGTGACTTCATATGGGTCTTCTTTTTATTAACATCCTGAGCCAACAGACCTAAATAATGTCAGTGATAAAATACTCCCATAAAAATCTTTTGTCCATTTAACATATTTATTATGCAGCCTTTTACCGAAAGTTGACTTATGGAAGCACTAATGAATACAACAAGTCAGGTTTTCTTCATCATGCCCCCCAAACCCCTTCCTCCATGCTCTAGCAGTGGTCAAGGGCCCAGTGTGTGGTGCCCAGGGAGCATATATCCATTAGACGCCTGTGACACCCTCCAGTTCTGCAGCCAACACGAACAGTGTGTGAGATGGAAAGCTCTCCTTCTAAGCACGCATTACCTTCCCCTTTCATCTTTGATCCTAACGTAGCAGCAATTTCTTTCCATTAAGGGGACATTTCTGGTCCCTTCTGGAAACGCATTTCTGTAATGAATATCACTCAGGTGCTAGTTCACTCCACACTAAGGACATTGCTATTCTTCTGCTTCTGGAGAAATCTCATGCTGTTCTGTATATAAAATATCACCTATTCTTCAGATATAGCCCCACAGAGGGAGAAGAAGCAATGACAGTTCAAGCAGAAAGAAGGAAGAAGCTTCTCTCAAGCAGAAAAAAGACTTTTTCTTTTCCTCACTGCATGATCAGAGCAGGCTGTCTGGGCAAGCTGTACCAGGCCACACAGGGACCTAGATAAGAGAACCGCCTATCCCAGCAGCACTAAATCACACAGTTTCTGCTTTGAGTTGGCCTTCATTTTAGACACAACAACTGGATAGCTTTATGGAGATGTCATTGATCAAATCTGAGAAACCCAATACTTATCCAAGTAAGGAGACATGAGAAAAAGTAAGGAGGGCAGAGGAGCCAGCACTTCTCAGCTGAATTGGGAAGGGTTCTTAGAGGCAGACAGATGCTAACTTCAGCAATGTACTGGAAGACTAGTAGGCAACTCATGGAATTGAGGGGAGATCAGGAGAGCCAGGCTCAGAAGCAGAACAGGAGCAGAAAGGGGTGGGTAGCTGAGGGCACAAGCAGTGAGAGGAGTCTCCTGTCTCCAGGAGGAATCACTGCCACCACCACAGTCTCCCCCCACCCCCAGGCCACCCTCCTGCCTCAGCCACCTCCCCCAGGAACGGTCTCTAAGTTACCCAGCATCTTTGCATCATTAATAAAGAACCCCTGGTGGGGGCTTCCAGCTGCCCTGGCCTAGATTTTTAACCCCACGCCAGCTTTCAGGAGGCAGGTGAGAGAGAATCTGGCTCCCCTTTAGCTTGCAGAGACAGAGAGAGTGAGTGAGAATTGATGCCTTCAGGAAATGGCCAAGCTCCATCCAGTATTTACCAATGCCACCAGGTGACAAGTGCTTGTGCATACTCCCAACTTTAACAAAAAATGAATTAGAGGATGCTGGAATCTCAATCAGCAGCCAAGGCTGTATGGTTAATTAGGATTTGTATTATTTTTATATTACTGCATAACATACTTCTACAAAGTTGGTGGTTTAACACACTCACTTATGGCAAGGCACAGTGGCTCACATCTGTAATCCCAGCATTTTGGGAGGCTGAGGCTGGAAGATAACTTGAGCTCAGGAGTTCAAGATCAGTCTGGTTAACATGGTGAAACCCCATTTCTATTAAAAATACAAAAATTAGCCGGGCATGGTGGCACATGCCTATAGTCCCAGCTACTCAGATGGCTGAGATGGGAAAATCACTTGAACCCAGGAGGTGGAGGTTGCAGCAAGCAGAGATCATGCCACTGCACTCCAACCTGAGCGATAGAGTGAGACCCTGTCTCAAAAAATAAATAAATAAATAAATAAAAAGAAAACACTCATTTACTATGTCACAGTTTCTGTTGGTCAGGGGTCTGGGTAAAGCTTGGCTGGAATCTCTGCATAGGGACTCACAAGATTGCAGTCAAAGGACTAGCCAGGGCTGGGTCCCACACAAGGCTTGGGGTCCTCCTCCAAGCTCTCGTGGTTGTTGGCAGAATTAAGTTCCTTGAAGCAATAGAAACACCTTGAAGCTGCGATGGTTCTGGTGTGCTTCAAATGCCATGGGGCTGCCCTGTGATTCCCTATGGGATGGCCAGAGACTCCACACAGGACCCTAAGCCACGTGGACATGCAATGTCTCCAAGGCCCATGGCAGAGCCATGGCTATGCTTCCCTGTCCAGCTGGAGAGCCTGCTGTGTCTCTGAGCTTCACCCACAGCTGCCAGCCTCCTGGTGAACCCACAGACATACCCAAACTTTGTGCCTGTTGCCGCTGCATTTTTAAACATTTTTTTGTAGAGACAAGATCTCACTATGTGCCCAGGCTGATCTTGAACTCCTCCTGACCTCAAGCCATCCTCCTGCCTCAGCCACCCCAAGCACTGGGATTTCAGGTGTGAGCCATCACACTTGGCCTGCCACTGCATTTTAAAGAAGCCAAACCAGAATCATATTTCCTTCTTAGCAATGGGGGTGCGAGGACAAGTAAAATGTCCTTCCCTTTGGAGAGGATGTGCTGCCATTACCCTCAGCCAAGTTCACACATGTGCCAAGCTTTTTACTGTTTTATCAGTCAAGGTTCTCCAGAGATACAGAACCAGTAGGGTATCTAGATCTACATCTGCATTTGTATCTGTATCTGTGTCTAACCTATATCTAATCTATTTCTACATCTATGTCTGTATCTGTATCTACATCTGTATTTCTAATCTATTTCTATATCTTTGTCTGTATCTGTATCTACATCTGTATATCTATTTCTATATCTGTGTCTGTATCTGTATCTACATCTGTATATCTAATCTATTTCTATATCTATGTCTGTATCTATATCTACATCTGATATCTAATTTATTTCTATATCTCTATCTGTATCTAGAGAGGTTTTAAGGAAATGGCTCGCATGATTGTGGAGGCTGGCAAGCCTGGCAACTCTAAGACAGAGCTGGACACTCAGCTAAGAGTTGATGTTGCAGTCCTGAGTTTGATCAAGGCTGGAAAGTCAGGCAAGATTTCTGTGTTGCAGTCAGCTTCCCACTGATTGGATGAGGCCCACCCACACTATGGGGAGGGTACCCTATTTTAATTAACATCAACTGATTGTAAACGTTAATGCCATCCACAAAGTACCCTCACAACAACATCTAGACTGGTGTTTGACCAAACAACTGGGTACCATAGCCTAGCCAGGTCGACACATAAAATCAGCCATCTCACTGTCTTGTGATATTTCTCCTCCCTCCTCCTTAAGACACTTGCTGATTTCTGAACCCTTAGCACAGGTTTATACACCTATTACCAAGATATCCCCTGTGTAAACCAGCATTGTCACACAGTATATTTGGTAAATGAGTGTTCCAGCTTTCTGAGCCCCAAAGAGTGGCTCAGAACAATACAATCACACACTATTATTACCTCTCCTCATTCTGTGGCTTGACTGAGCTTAGCCGGACAGTTCTCACCAAGGTCTCTCATGTGGTTACAGTCAGACGGTAGCAACGGAGAGACATCTTCAAGAAGCCTTTGAGGTTTCCTCATTCATATGTCTGGCTCCTGGGCTTGAAAGACTCAAACTTCTGGAAGCTGCCACTGGTGAGGCCTCTCACCCATTCATCTATGTATTCCTGTCACCCAGCAGCCCCAGCATAGCTGGACTTCTTACAGGACAGCTGGAGGTCCCTAGAGCAAATGTCCCAAGAGAAACAGGCACAGCTGTGTGGGCTCAGCTCACCAAGCCTCAGAAGTCACAGAGCATCACGAAGGCCCACCCAGGTTCAAGGCGAGACCACATGGAAATGCAGTCGTGTTAAAACTACCACAGAACGCTTTCTCCCGTGTGATTTGACTCTGAAATGCACCCACCCAAGGATTGAGCATAATTGTAGATCTGTCCTCTTTCAGGGTAATTCTCTCCGGCCAGGACATGACAGCATCTTCAAAAAGAAACATAGGGAGTGTATGCGTGCAAGTGGCTGGGTTCAGGTGCTCTGAGGCTTCCCATCCCCCCCATATCTCCCTACTCCAGCATTCAATGCCTCTATCCCCCAGCTCGGCAAGCCACTGGATCCAACTCTACTTCTGATTCTTGGCCACTATCACCCTGTGGGAAGAAGAAGAGATTCTATTAACACACACCTTCGGAAGACCTTGGTTTGGGGACATATGTTGGGATTTGAACTTCTTTTTCTTCCATTTATCCAAGTGCCTGTAAAAGTAATCATTCTACCCTTAAAGACCTAGAAGGCTTCAATGGCTAATATGCTATATTCTGTCTTATAATGGCAGCAAATGAGCTGCAAAAACATTGACTTTACTGAGCACTTCAGTCCAAGTGACCACAAGCAAAAATGTAAGATGTAATTTTCTGTTTAGCCATTGAATTCTATTTTGGTTTTCTATCACTGTGTATAAAACCACCCCAAAACTTAGTGGCTTAAAAACAATCGTGTGTGTTTCTTATAGTGGTTTGACCTCTGTTGGTTTTGCTCAGGGTCACTCATGTGGCTAAATTGAGCTGAGGATGGGCTGGGCTGAAAGGTCTTGGGGCTGGGGGCTGGGGACTGGGGTGGCTGGGGCACCTCAGCTCCCCTTTACAGGACTCTCTCTCCAAACCTTCCTTGAATCCCTAGAATGGTTCCCAAGCCCTGTTTTATGTTTTAATGGCTCTCTGTATTTCTTCTTTGTTGTACTCATTACAGTTGTGATTTAAAGCTTAGAGTTATTTGTCTAACAGCAGTCCTCCCTACTGAAGTGTAAACTCTGCAAGGACAGGAAGTATGTCTTGTTCAGAATTGCATTCTCAGCACTTGGCACAGTGCATCTCACACTCCCACATAGCAGGGCTGCACATGGTATAGACACAGAATGAATGAAGTCATAAATGCAAGGGAGACATTAGACTCAAATCCTGGTTCACGCATTTAGTAGCTGTGCAGCTTAAAAATCAGTTTCCATCTGCAAAACAGGAAATATAGAAACTCTGTCTCTGGGTTGCAGTGATGATGGAAGCAGAAAACACACACAAGTATGGAGCACGTGCCGTTCGTGAGAAGTGCATGGGCAGCCAGTCAGCCTGGGTGTAACCATGTGGTGTGGTGTTTAATTCAGGGCCACCGGGCACGTCATGGCACCTTAAAGGCAACCGAATCCTTCTGAGAAATTTCATCTCTTTCAGGGAAACTCAGAGGAAAGGGGAAGGAAGACGGGGTGACTTTGAAAAGCAGTGGTTGGGAATAAGTGGATTCATCACAGAGTTGATGTTTGATGCAGGGGTAACCAAGAACCCACACAGACAGTGAACATCAACCTATGGCTGTCGCAAGAGGCTGCTCACGGGAACCAGGTCCAAGATCCCCACAGGCCTCGCAAGGGGTGGAGAAAATGGACACGCTCCCGAGCATGCTGGTGGACGTGGAAATTGGTGCAGACTCTTTGGAGGACAACTTAACACTGCCGCTCAGAAACTGTCACATCCCCAACCCGCAGGTGACCTCGAGGAGCTCACTCCTCACCTCGCCGACGAAGCACCGACTTGACAAGTTCTGATCTCATGACGCTGACCCTCTCAGTGGGAAAGGGCAGTGAACAAGTAACTAAAAACGATAACTGCAGATGGTGGTAAGACTGTTCTGAGAGTAAAGCAGGTGTAACGTAGAGAAAGGGGTGGAGGGTACGGGGCCAGCTCTCCACAGCTCTAACGATTGAGGGGACGGGATGTCTCCCACATGGGGACGGCACAGACAATGAGGGGCACAGAGGTAAAGGACAGTGAGAACAACATTCAAAAGAAGGAGGGCACGTCCACCAGGCCAGAGGATTTGGATTTCATACTAAGTGCATGGAGGGGCTTCAGTAGAAAAATGGTCCCTTTTAAATGATGCCCCGCCACTGGGTGGGAGGCAGCCACGGGGCTTTGAAGTAGAAGCAAGGAGACGATGGTGACCTAAGTGGGCCAGAATAGGTATAGCCCATTTTTTTTCCTGGTTCTATTCTTACAATTTTTCCACCATGAACACATATTCATTCTGTAACGAGAAAAAAATAAATGTTATAAAATAACATCACAGCCCTAGGGTTGCCCCCTCTTCCCTGCGGGCCAAGGACCCATCCTGCTCATTTATTGCCCCTCAGAGCCAGAGTTAAGGCAGGCGGAGTCTGTGACCAGCAGGTGGGGGATGCCCAGGGGTGAGGCTGACAGGCAGCAAAGAGGGAACCCAGCAGCCATGACAGCTTGGTCACCCAACAGGCCCCTCTCGCTCCCATCTCCTGAAGTTTGCGATGTGGGCACTGCCGACACCGTGAGGGGAGCCTGGGAAATGCCAAAGAGGCGTGAACCTTGAAACCCTCCCGTGTTTCTGAATGTCCTGTGCAGGCGGACTCCCTTAGCCTCTGCTCTGAGTTGCAGACATGGCCAGGTGGAAAGTGCCAGGTAAACTCTGGTGCTGATCACTGGGGAAGCAGCGTCCTGAGTGGTTTGGTTGGTGGGAAGCACTGCACACCCACATAGCTCTACCCAGCTCCATTCTTAAATTTGGAAGGAGGTTTGATGGGATTCGCCTTCCAGAAGTACCTGCATATCTTGGTTGACAAGTGTGTCCGAGGGAAGCACTAATTCAATATGTTTTAGAGTCTCTTAGAAGCCTACTTGTTCTCCTCCTATTTTTTTCCCCATGAAGACCCTCAAAACTATCCGAAAGAAACCCCAGGTTTGTTCTTGCTGCTTTGTAAGGGTGGTAATGCGTTTGCATCTGGAGGAAGCTGTGTGGGCTTCAAGGCCCACACACACAGGGGTCCATGACTGGACCACCAGCCCAGCTACAGAGAAGGCCATGCCAAAGTGAGACATGCTCAGTCTGGAAGATGACGCCCAGGGACTGAGGCCATCAGTCCAGGGTTCTCCAATTGGCTTTAAGAATAGTTCTGCTCCATAGCCTGCAAAGTAAGCTCCAGGAAACTAAACCCTATTTCTGCATTGATTTCTATGATAAAATCAGACATTTTTTTCCCATGGAAAACAGCTTTAGCTACAAGTTATAATTAAAAATTAGACTTCAAGTGTTGCTATTTTAGAAGAAAAATGATAATTTTCCCAAGAAACTAACCAAAACTAAATCACAAAGCGCACACTCTGCATTAAAAGTTTAGGAACCCTGTCAGAAGTTACATCCCCTTGGGTAAAACTTGTAGGAGGGTAGATATTCTCCATTTCAATACCCTAAACGTCTAGCTATTTCTTTGGAAAGAGTTCATCTTTTAAGTATGAATCTTTTCATTGCTTCACAAAAATATTTTATGGCTTTTGTTTGCTATCCTCAAAGTTTTGTCATGCCAGTGGTCTCTCTTTTTCTATTAAAATAATTATTTCAATGGTTTATTTTTTGTAAGTGTAGGTATTTGCACAAAATCAAGTTTTTAAATCCAGGTTAGAAGAAATGTTAAGGTAATTTAGTTTTATCTTCTACCATTGGAAGGAAGTCCCTTAGCAAAGACCCTGGCGGACAGTGACCAGCCTCCACCTGGACGTGTTCTCAGAAAGGCATGCAAGGGGGTCCTGACCGGCCCCACGTTGTCATGGGGCTGTCCCTCGAGAGAGCTTTTCTCACCTGGACTGGACGATGCCTGCCTCCCAGACAGGAGCCTCCCCACCTGCCATGATGCAGGACAAGAGCAACCTGTGCCTATGACATCTCTCACTCTGCAGAGGCCCTTGAAAGTCTGCACGGCGTGGGTGAGTGAGCCCTTAAGAGCAAAAGGAAGGACAGGCCTGAAATGAGAGCTCTCCTCTCTACAGGACACATCCCCAGCTCCTCCATTAGATCCTCATGACTTCCCAAGCCCTTCCCTCTTCTCATTCAGTATTCTGGATCCATGGGGCTCTATGGTGCCCAGAGCAACCACGATCCTCCAAGGAAGATGGAGCAGGGCAGAGTTCAGGGGGATGTTGCACATTCTACTGGGGACAGAAAAGGCTGATGTTGGTAAAAATCAAGTGGAGGGAAAGGCAAGCAGAGATGCTGCCTGGACGAACCCGTACAGGTTCCCAGGTTCTGGGCAAGTTCCAGGAAGCCTGCGACACGTCTGCTTCCTCACTACACTGTCTTCGTTGGCTGGGAAATGGATGCTGCAGATATTCAAATCAAGGGGAATATTTAGAATACTCTGTCAAGGACAGACAGATGGTACAGAGAAGCCTTCACTCCTGAATAATGACAATTTCCCCTGCTCCGTGCGGGACGTGGTCTGCGCTCTAAAGCCCCTACCGCAGAGTCTGCTGCTTCCTGAAACCAGCTGGGAGAAGCGGCTGTGCTTTGCTATTTCTGGTCACTTCTCATCCCATGGTTATTACTCATCCCCAGGGAATAGGCTGAATCTTCCTGTTACCACTGCTTGCCATGGACAGTGCGAACTTCTCTTGATTTCACTTGTTTTTTTTTTTTTGGTGGGGGGGTGTTTGTTTTTGGTTTTGTTTCCCAGCCTTATTGAGGTATAATTGCCAGATAAAAATTGTATATATTTAAGGCATACAATGTGATGATTTGATATACACATACATTGTGAAATGATCATAATACAATTAATGAACACATCTATCACCTCACACAATTATCATGGTGTGTGCGCACAGGGGGCAGTGAGGATACTTAAGATCTAATCTCTTAGCAAATTTCAAATATACAATATAGTATTGCTAACTATATTACCATGCTGTACATTAGATCCTCAGAACTTATTCATCTTACAACTACAAGTTTGTACAATTTGACCAACATCGCCCCATTTCCCCCAGCCCCCAGCCTCTAGCAACCACCATTCTTCTCTCTGCTTCTATAAATTTAACTTTTTAAGATTTTCCTTGTAAGTGAGATCATATGGTATTTGTCTTTCTGTGTCTGGCTTATTTTACTTAGCATAATGTCCTCCATGTTCATCTGTGTTGTTACAAATTTCAGGATCTCCTTCTATTTTTATGGCTTAAAAATATTTCATTGTACATATATGACACATTTTCTTTATCCATTCATCTGTTGACAGATACTTAGGTTGGTTCCATATCTTGGCTATTGTGAATAATTCTGCAATAAAAGAAAAACAATCCTAACATTCAAATGGAAGCACAAAAGACCCCAAATAGCCAAAGCAATCTTAAGAAAAAAGAACAAAACTAAAGTCATCACCTATCTGATTTCAAACTATATTACAAAGCTATAGTAATCAAATCAGCAAGGTACTGTTAAAACAGACACATAGACCAATGGAACAATAAAAACAGACATATAGACCAATGGAACCAAACTGAATGCCCAGAAACAAACCCACCCATATAAGGTCAACTACTCTTGGACAAAGATGCCAGGAATACAATCGAGAAAAGATAGTCTCTTCAATAAATAGTGCTGGGAAAACTGTTTATTCACATAAAAAAAGAATAAAATTGTACCTTTACCTTACATCATATACAAAAATTAACTCAAAATGGATTGAGTATTTAAATGTAAAACCTGAAACTGTAAAACTCCTAGAAGAAAACAGGGAAAAAGCTCCTTTAGATTGGTCTTGGTAATGATTTTTTGGACATACAACAAAAGCATCAGCAATATAAGCAAAAATAGCTTTTGTTAATTGACGACAAGTTTTCTCTCTAGAAGCAGACTTCTTAACTAGCTTTTGGTCTGTTTTACTAGTCTTCACAGCTGAATTCTCCTCTTTGCAAACCTTTAAGTTTTTTTAAAAAACTATATTTCTGGTTGGCTTGAGTTGGGTATGGAGGGGCTCTGCTGGGAGGCAGCAGGGAGAACTGTTTCCCCTGAGCCACCCACCAGCTGATGTCAGGAGTTTGGACACTCACACAGGGAAAGGATGTATGTTCTGTCCAGCAGAGTCACCATGCCCTGCACAGCCACACACCAGACCAGCAACACGGCATCATCCAGGAACTTGTTACACATGCAGATGATCCAGCCCAGCCTACACCTGCTGTGGCAGAGCCCCTGGCTGTAGCCAAGCAGGGGGGTTCTCCTGTCTCAGGTTTGAGAACCACAGCCCCAGGCAAGTGCTTTCTGGCTGCATAGTTTCACCACCTTTGCTTGAATGAACATGCTTTCAGAGGCCAAATCAGGGTGACAGTCTCAGTTATTTCTGGCAGGCAATCCCCGGCTCTGATATAAAGCAGTCTAGAATTTCTCCTTTTCCTCAGGGGTACTGCTAACCTCACTGCACCTGCCACCCTTCCTGGGTATGTGAGCAGAAGAAATGGGGCTTCGATGGAGAGGGCAGCATTTTCCCCTCCTCTCTGGTCAATATACTCAGAGCCCTCCATGTTTGTTCATGTAGTTTCACTTCTGAACTTTAGGAAATCTTGCTTCCAATCTTTAGATACATCATAACTGACGAGTTGGCCAAATGTTAGTGAAAAACAACAACAACAAAAACATATGAAGTGATTATTTGAAAGGAAGGCTGATCTATAAACCTAATAAAAAATGAAGGCCTCTCAAAAAAGAAATAAAACATTGTCTTCTTTTGCTGTTTTTTTCCTCATGCAAAGCAGCAACAAAATGTTTCTATCACTTGTATTCTTCCTTACTCTAAAAATAAGTGAAGAGGCTTGAGGAAATATATTCATCATAATGGGAGAGACCCAAAGATAGAGAAATCAGGAAGACAGGAAAATGAAAGTCCAAGGCAAGGAGGCAGCAGGGAAGGTGAAGTTCTGAGTGGCCTGGTGGGTGGGTGACCTGGGTGGCCTGCCTTTGGTCACCAAGTAGACACACATGGATTCTGAACTGACTACTGGCCAAGGAAAACCAACTAATTACAAGCATTATAGAGTCCACAAGGCAAACCAACCTGATCTTTAAAAGAAGAGCAACTTTGCCAAAGATGAGAATCAATTACCCCCAGTTGAAGTCAGAACCCCAAGTTCAGGGGCTGCCACCCCAACATTACCTGTGATGGACACTCACATCTGTTCAGCCTGTGCACACTTACTCTCCTATCTGCCACCCCAGTGGTGCTTCCCAACACAACACAGCTGCTCAGCTATGACTCAGAACGTAAGACTGCTTTATGGATGATGACTTATTTTTTGCTATAATGACTTTTTTCACCTTAAAACATATTAAATTAATACATGAAAGGTTTTGACTTCACAGTTTCCAGCAAAGACACAACACATGCACCAATTTTTGCTGACATTAGTGTCCAATCAGAAAATATCACGTGAAACCAGTTTGGGTGGTGGGGCCTTGATGGTTGAACCCAAACATTTTGCTTTGCATGTGAGCACCAGGGGCCAGGGCCAAGGGGCGGAGTTCCCATGACCCCTTCATTTGTTGGGTGCTCCATGCTATCTCCACCTGTTTTTAAGCACTCTGGGTGCACGCTTTATTTTGCCTTGTTTTTCTGTGCTACCATCTTGCTATTTTTTTTTTAAGTAAAAGCAAGTTTATTAAGAAAGTAAAGGAATAAAACAGTGGCTACTCACTCCATAGACGGAGAAGCCCTGAGGTTGCTCATTTTCATGGTTATTTCTTGATTATATGCTAAAAAATAGGTGGGGGGTGGATTATTCATGTCTCCCCTTTTTAGACCACATAGGGTAACTTCCTGATGTGGCCATGGCATTTGTAAACTGTCGTGGTGTTGTTGGGAGCGTAGCAGTGAGGACAACCAGAGGTCACTCTCGTCACCATTTTGATTTTAGTGGACTTTAGCCAGCTTCTTGACTGCAATCTGTTATATCAGCAAGGTCTTTATATCTTTTATCTTGTGCTGACCTAGCTCATCCTGTGATGGAATGCCTAACCATCTGGGAATGTAGCCCAGTAGGCCTTAGCCTTATTTTACCCAGCCCCTATTCAAGATGGAATTGCTCTGGTTCAATGGAAGATTAATAAGTGTTCAATTTAAGAAAATGTTGAGTAAGCTTATTCTGCATTCCTACACAAAGAGTATAACAGCAATATATTCCACAACAAAGAAAAATAAAGTAAAATTATTCCAAGTAAACTAAATTAGAAGGCTTTCCATGAACTGAACAATTGTTGGAACAAAGCAGATACAGGGTTGCTAGCTGATTACGATGTGCCCAGAATTAGAATATTGATCCAGATTTTTACATTACCCAATCCTCTTGTTTCTTCTGAGCTGGAGTTATAGATCACTGGTTGGTTCACAAGAACAAACAGGGTTAGTCTAAATTGCAGGGAAAAAAAAACTTAAAAATAACTGATGAGGGCCAGGCACAGTTGCTCATGCCTATAATCCCAGCAGTTTGGGAGGCCGAGGCAGGTGGATCATCTGAGGTCAGGTGTTCGAGACTAGCCTGGCCAACATGGTGAAACCCTGTCTCTACTAAAAATACAAAAAAAGTTAGCCATGCATAGTGGCACACACCTGTAGTCTCAGCTACTCAGGAGTTGCTGAGGTAGGAGAATTGCTTGAACCTGGGAGGTGGAGCTCGCAATGAGCTGAGATTGTGCCACTGCACTCCAGCCTGGGAGACAGAGGGAGACTCTGTCTCGAAAAAACAAAAACAGAAAAACAAAAACAAAAATAAAATCTGATGAGACTAGAATCTAATAAGAGGTGTACACAGTTTTTGAAACACAATATTTCTCTCTCCATTTTCTCATTTTTACTAAAGACAAATTATGATATGACCGATTTGCTTTATTATACTTGGCCTGATTATTTGCATAAAATACAGCAAGAATAATTTTTCACATAAGCTCTTTCTAAATTGGCTTTGATGGAACTCTGTTCCATAGAAGGAATCTTAGATAAAACTTTTTTTTAAGCTGAGCCCAGCCCTGTTTATACCCTCAAATACCTATAAGTTGGGTAAATTCCTCTCCTCTTGAGGTCCCAAGATAACGTGGAGCTCTTGGACCTGTCAAAAAAATGGCATTCTTTACTTACTACAAGTCAGAAACCCTGTATAGGGACTGTTGTAGACAAAATATGAGGCCAGTTTTCCCAAGGGACTTTTATTGGCTTTACAAGTTAAGTCTGATTCCTTAAAGGAAAGTATACCATTCCAGTAAAAGCCTTGGTAAAATAACGAGTTTCTTCAATTGTGTCCTGTTAGAAAAGAAAGCAGATTCTTACTGCACTTATGCAAATAACTATATCGCCATAAGTTAAGAATATTCACAGTTTCCAAATTCCAGAGAAATCAAGTAGAGAAAAACAAATATTGTCCAGATTTTGTTCACAGAAGTACACTTTACTCAATTGTTCAGCTACAAATAGCTTGAAAGAAAAGTTTCCTTCCTTATCTCTGAAAAACAAAATAGGATCAGAAATGTTTTAGGCAAAAGGTTAACAAAGATTACGTCAGGCTTTTATTAGTTTAGTCCATGCAGTTAACTCCTGTTCTACTTGACATTCGTGAACATTGCAGCACTCCATGAAAGTTCGGAAAGTGTTTTTCCTCTATTCCAATGTCACAATCTCCAAAGTTATCAGAAACCTGCATTTAAGAACACCTGTTAGAGTTTTAGAGTTGATTATAAAACCACCTTTTGAAGAGGACCAAAACAGACAACAAATGCCTGTGAATGACAAAATGTTTTAGGGCAGTCATAATGGAACTATCCAACATTAATGCCTGCTCATAAACCTTCTATAACCCTTGAAAATTTCTTCATTAAAGAGAAGATCAGTTCTTTAAGAAAAACCTGTTGTACTTTCATTCCAATATTCAATTTATGGAAAAACTGAATACCCCTTTAACTTTAGCCAACACATTCACACATAGAATTTCTTTTCACAAGTTTAATTTTTCCTAACTTTCCTACGAATGTTTCATAACTTGCTCAAACTTTCAGCTTTACCCTATTTGACTTAAAACAATCCTTTAACCTTTTACTCTAGGCCAAAATATATTCTACTTTCCTTACATGTCTTACATGTAAAACTGTTTCTTCAGTAGTCTCAACTACATGTTACAATGTTAACTCTTAGCAACTTTTACTTTTGGTGAAAATTTGGTTAGTAAGTGATGGTAATTATGTCCCAGGTGTGAAGCCTAGGACATCAGACAGAAGTACAGATAAGGGCTGACTCTTTCCAGCATAGCTAAGGGGCAAGGCTCTCCACATGTCCCTAGGCCTTATCTAGAATCTAATGCTCCAAAGTCAGCCAATTGAATAATTTTCAAAAGTCAAAGAAGCAGTTTGTGACCTTAAAGTGTTTAGTAAACTTAATATCTGATCTGTCTCATTTCAACCAAATGTTTATATTTTTTAAGATAGCTTTATTTAACCGATAATCTTTAAAACTGCCTCTATTTCCTCAAGATTACTAAAGTCTCATGAACTGAAAGGCATTACACTTTTTACTTTTCTCACAAAAATATTTGATTTTAGCTCTTATTGTTTTTAAACCAATTAATCAAAGCTCTTTCATTTCACACACACAACACATGTAAATACACAGACAGACAGAAAATGAGGGACTCATTCCCTAAGCCAGGAATGGAATCCTGAACCTAGACTGCCATTGTTATGGTGGAGACCAATAGAAAATACTGCCACATGGTTACAAGGTCAAGCTCCCAAGGACATAGAACAAGACAGCAGGAGAAGCTCATCCAGTTTGTTTTCAGGAACCTGCAGCAAAGTTTATAACTGACCAGTTTACTAGACCACCTTTAACACTGGGCTTATAGGTTCCTAGGCCCATGTTCTATCCTCTTTATGACACAACAATACAGAAAGACACACAGAGCACATCAGATTCACTATATGTTAAGACTAGCCTCACAAATCCTTTTTTTTTTCATTAATCAAAACTTACAGAGGGGATAAACAGTAATTTTTATCATTAATTCAACCAGTTTGCACAGAAAGAGAGAGGGAGAGGCCAGAAGTCTGGCTGGTAAGAAATTCTTACCCTTTGGCCACCGTGCCAGGCTTCTGGGATCCCTTTCCCTGAGCAGCCCTGGTGACCCAGCTAGCTGCACCACAGCCCTGGGGGCCAAGCCACAACACAAAGAAAAATGATCGTTTTCCATTCTGGTGAGAACAAAATACATGCAACAAAACAGACACTAGCTGCCCTGCTTAGCACCCAATATCAAACTGCTACTGCTCAAACTTGTACTCCACTGGGCCCCGTCGTCGTTAATCCAAACTCCGACCAGAAATTTCAACATGTGGTCTCTGGGCAAGATGGTCCCCCTGAGTAATAGAAAAGATAAGAAAGGGAATGGAGAGAGAGAAAAGCATTGCCTGTGGCAGAGTGGGAAGGCAAAGCGTTCAGGGAGGCCAGGGAAAAACCCATCCATTGCAGCAACACAGAATCGAAAGTTCAGGTGGCCATTTGTCAGCCTTGAGGGGATCTTTTCTAGTAGTTCCATCAGCTCTCAAGTTTCCCCTTTTGGGGAGAAAAAAGCTCCCCATGTCCCATGATCCTGTAAATGCCTAGTCCCATCACCTACAGCCATCAGCAAAGAGTCTAAGGTAGATTATTCCAAAGAGAATATGTGTTAACATCCCATAGGGCCAAACTCATTCTTAGCTGAGAGGGACTTTACTGAGAGGGACCTCTAACCCCCTAAATCTTAGGAATCATTCTAACCTTCCTAAGGTGGGCCTCAAACCCAAATTCAGTCAAGCATCCTTGCCTTTTATTAAGAGGGGCCTTTCACCCACTCTGTCTTAGGAGAGGCTGTAACTACCCTAAGTTGGGCCTCTAACCCAATCTCATCCTTTACCAGGATAAGTGCACCCCACTTACCCGAAGTTGGCCAATTGAACCCACAAGCCCACACAAACCCACAAGACTGGAGAGAACCGCAGGGCAAATTAAAATTTTAAAAATCTTCTGTTACATCCGTTTACATTCAAAACCTTTTAGAAGGAAGTTAGCTCTTTGAAAATAAAAATTAAAAAACTTAGTCAATAAAGAAACAAACTGGCTGGGTGAGGTGGCTCACGCCTGTAACCCCAGCACCTTGGGAGGCCGAGGCAGGCAGATCACGAGATCAGGAGTTTGAGACCAGCCTGACCAACATGGTGAAACCCCGTCCGTACTAAAAATACAAAAATTAGCCTGGGGTGGTGGCACGCACCTGTAATCCCAGCTACTCAGGAGGCTGAAGCAGGAGAATCACTTGAACCCAGGAGGTAGAGGTTGCAGTGAGCTGAGATCGCGCCACTGCACTCCAGCCTGGGTGACAGAGTGACACTCCATCTCCAAAAAAAAAAAAAAACAAAACAAAACCAAAAAAAAAGAAACAAGCTAAAGATGCAGATGATTTTCCTTTGGGTAAGGGACCTCTTCAGTATTGTCCCTTTGGTGGTGTGCCAAGAAGATGTTACCAGACCCCACCACTTACCCAAAGTTAGCCTTTGGGTGATGGGGGACAGGGGTGTTCCCCAGTATTGTCCCTTCCATGGTCACCAGGAAGATGTTACTGGAAAGGGATCTCAATCCAAACCCCAAGAGAGGATTCTTGGATCTCTTGCAAGACAGAATTCAGGGCAAGTCCATACAGCAAAGTGAAAGCAAGTTTATTAAGAAAGTAAAGGAATAAAAGAATGAAAGAATGGATAAGGAAGTGAGAGGTGACAGCATGCTGGCAGCCCTCGCTGGCTCTTGGTGCCTCCTCGGCCTCAGTGCTCTAGGTGCGCTTGAGGAGCCCTTCAGCCCACGGCTGCACTGTAGGAGCCCTTCTCCGGGCTGGCTGGGGCTGGTGCTGGCTCCCTCTGCTTGCGGGTAGGTGTGGAGGGAGAGGGGTGGGTGGGAACCTGGGCTGCGAAGTGCGGCCCTCACGGGCCAGCGCGAGTTCCAGGTAGGCGTGGGCTGGGTCACCCTGCACTCAGAGCAGCCCGCCGGCGCCACTAGCCCCGGGCAGTGAAGGGCTTAGCACCCGAGCCAGCAGCTGCAGAGGGTGCACTGGGTGCCCTAGCAGTGCTGGCCTGCCAGCGCTGCGCTCAAATTCTCACTGGGCCGCAGCTGCCTCCCCGCGGGGCAGGGCTCCGGACCTGCAGCCTGCCATGCCCGAGCCTCCCCGCTGCTGTGGGCTCACCAGAGCCTCCCCGACAAGTGCTACCCCCTGTTCCGTGGTGTCATGTCCCATCGACTGCCCAAGGGCTGAGGAGTGCAGGCACACTGCACAGGACTGGCAGGCAGCTCCACCTGCGGCCTGGTGAGGGATCCACTAGGTGAAACCAGCTGGGCTCCTGAGTCTGGTGGGGACTTGGAGAACCTTTACGTCTAGCTAAGGAATTGTAAATACACCAATTGGCACTCTGTGTCTACCTCAAGGTTTGTAAACACATCAATCAGCACCCTGTATCTAGCTCAAGGTTTGTAAATGCACCAATCAGTGCTCTGTGTCTAGCTTATCTAGTGGGGACTTGGAGAACTTTTGGGTCTAGCTCAGGGATTGTAAACGCACTAATCAGCAACCTGTCAAAACGGACCAATCAGCTCTCTGTAAAACAGACCAATCATCTCTCTATAAAATGGACCAATCAGCAGGATGTGGGTGGGGCCATATAAGGGAATAAAAGCACGCTGCCCTAAGCCGGCAGTGGCAACGCACTTGGCTCCTTTCCAGACTGTGGAAGTGTTGTTTTTTTGCTGTTTGCAATACATATTGCTGCTGCTCACTTTTTGGGTCCGCACTGCCTTTATGAGCTGTAACATTCACTGCAAAGGTCTGCAGCTTCACTCCTGAGGCCAGCGAGACCACGAACCCACCGGGACGAATGAACAACTCCAGACCCACCACCTTAAGAGCTGTAACACTCACTGCGAAGGTCTGCAGCTTCACTGCTGAAGCCAGCGAGACCACAAACCCACCAGAAGGAAGAAACTCCGAACATGTCCGAACATCAGAAGGAACAAACTCCAGACACACCATCTTTAAGAACTGTAACACTCAGCGCGAGGGTCCGCAGCTTCATTCTTGAAGTCAGTGAGACGAAGAATTCACCAATTCCGGACACAGAAGGACAAACATACCAGGAGATCCTCCCACATCATCCAGCTCCACCCCCACCCCTGCGGGTCTTAGCTTTCTCCTTCATCCAGAACCATGAAGCTTCATTAAGCTGTATATTTTGTACAGACTCTATTATTTGCTTTCAAAGGATTGCCTATTGCTTTTATAAACTTGTTTTCATTGTTCAATTGACCTATTTTTCTATCTGAAAATTGTTCGATCACTTGGGTGGGATGGAACGCTTCAAAAGTCTCCCCATTAACATTCATGGAAATATTTTTCATTGAACAACTTTCCTTTAGTGTTAGCATTTTCAGCAGTGACTTTACGTGGTTCAGCAAGAGCTAGGTGTGCCTGTCTGCCCTGGATTTTTCTCTGGTTTTCCTTTTCCTGGCATAAATTTGCCAAATGTCTGGTCTAGGGGACAAAAAGCCAACCACGCCCATCTACAGGCTATTTTCAAGCAGCCTGGTAGAACTTACACATTTACCACCAAGGTTGCTGACCAAACTATTTGGTTTTCATTTTGAAATTCCATCAATATTGCATATAAAACTAATCTTGCTGTGCTACTCACAGGCACTGTTTATGGGTTATAAAAATGGAAAACTATTAACTAATACATCTTTCACAGCATAATAATAGTGAGACTGATAGAAAGGACTCATCAGTGACAGGCTGAGTGAATACCCCGCAGCCAGCTCAGTGATCTGTGGGTGTCCTGAAATCCAGTTCTCTGCTTTGTGGAGAAGGCAGAACTGGCTCAAGAAAACACATTTGCACAACCGTGGTTGATGTCTCAGTCAGCTCAGGCGGCCAAAGCAAAGCACCACAGGGTGCCTTAGACAACAGAAACGCGTTATCTCACAGCGCTGGAGGCTGGAAGTCTGAGACAGGGTGGCAGCAGGGTTGGCTCCTCTGAGGCCTCTCTCCTTGGCTTGCAGGCAGCTTCTCCCTGCGTCCCCACATGGTCATCCCTCTGTGTGTGTCTGTGACCTTATCTCCTCTCCTTATAGGACGCTAGTCCTGCTGGATTAGGGTCACCCATAAAACCTGTCTCTTTTTTTTTTTTTTTTTTTTTGAGACAGAGTCTCACTCTGTTGCCTAGGCTGGAGTGCAGTGGCACAATGTCTGCTCACCGCAACCTCCACCTCCCAGGTTCAAACAATTCTCCTGCCTCAGCCTCCCAAGTAGCTGGGATTACAGGTGTGTGTCACCACACCTGGCTAATTTTTTGTATTTTTAGTAGAGACAGGATTTCGCCATGTTGGCCAGGCTGGTCTCGTATTCCTGACCTTAGGTGATCCGCCCGCCTCGGCCTCCCAAACTACTGGGATTATAGGCATGAGCCACTGCACCCAGCCACAACCTCATAACCTCATTTTAACTTAATCACCTCCATAAAGACCCCATCTCCATTCTGAGGCACTGGTGCCTAGGGCTTCAATTTATTTTGGGGAGATACAGTTCATCCTATAGTAGATGGCATCTGTCAATCTGGAGAAGCTGGCGCTAAAAGATGTCAAAGAGTGGCAGTTTACAGAGTAATATATTTGAGCCTCAAAGAACAGAGCACCACTGACTCCTGGGGCCCCGGCGCCGCGGGAGGAGAGGCTCTGCGGCCTTTCCCATCTGCAGCTTCTCTGATGGCTCCAGAGACAGTGCAGAGAGCCAGCGACTCTCAGAGAGCAAGGCTGGGGCCGCATGGCCTCAAGCCGTGTGTGTGGCCCCTCGGCCTCAGTCTCAGCCTATAGACTATAGATTGAGGGAGGCAGCACCTTTTTGTAGATGCAGAGAGGAGATAAAAGTGTTTCTCTTCCTCTTCCATGAGTCCACCTTTAACTTGTTTCCTTATTTACTTTTTTATTATTATTTTCAAAGAACTAACCTCCTACCAAAAGGTTTTGAATGAAAACTGATGTAACAGAAGTTTTTTAAATTTAAATTTGCCCTGTGGTTCTCTCCAGTCTTGTGGGTTTGTATTGTTACGTTGTTTTCAAACCTTGTTCCAAATAAGCGTTTGGCCTGGATCGGTTGCTCTTGCAGGACAGCACCTTCTGGGGGAACTGGAAGGGGCAGGAGCAGGCAGCAGGAGGGGAGGTGCTGTACATTTAGGGTTGTGCCTCTTCACGACAGTTTCCCACTCCCCGAAGCCAGCACCCTCATCCACTAGGGCCCCAGACATCACTGACCCCCACCTCATTTGGTGCTGGAGTGGCTTCCCAGATTCTCAGCCAGCCTGTGGACACCCTGGCTTGCCTTTGTCAGTAATGCTGTTCTGTGTCAGGAAACCGTACTGTGATTCCCTTCCCACGCTGTACTGTGGATCATGTGAAATGTTCCCAACCCAGGCTCATAAATCAGCCGGGAGCACAAACACACAACAGTGCCCTGGCTTCGTCTTCACCTCCAGGGGCATTGCTGTGAAGAGGCCTCTACTGGGAAAGCTCCGATGCACGGCACCCACAGCCGTGAGAATCCCCCGATGTCCACTGAGGGGGCAGGAGCGGGGCATTCCCGGCCGCCACACAGTGACCTCCTCAGAAGGGCCACCAAGCCTGGACAGAGGTGAGTAAGAGGCAGGATGACTATCCTAGCTTCCAAGCGCTTGCATTTCAAAATTGATTCAAAGATACCATGCCCAGCCAGGCGCGGTGGCTCATGCCTGTAATCCCAGCACTTTGGGAGGCGGAGGGGGGCTGATCACGAGGTCAGGAGTTTGAAACCAGCCTGGCCAACATAGTGAAACCCCGTCTCTACTAAAAATAAAAAAAATTAGCTGGGCATGGTGGTGGGCACCTGTAATTCCAGCTACGTGGGAGGCTGAGGCAGGAGAATCGCTTGAACCCAGGTGGCGAAGGTTGCAGTGAGCCGAGATCGCGCCACTGCACTCCAGCCTGGGCTACAGTGCGAGAATGTGTCTCAAAAAAAAAAAAAAAAAAGATACCATGCCCAGCCTCCCAGCACTGTAACCAAGTCCGTCCCCATCAACAAGGCACCCCAGCCCTGGCCTCAGTTTCCCCAACTGTAAAATGGAGATTCTAAGCACGTCTACCTTCCCTCTCTTTCTCCTTGATTTATGGTGAAAGTAAAATAAAAATATACATCTTATTTTATTACTGATACCTTCAGTGGCTCTCTGAGAGATGAAAAATTATTTGTCATGCACTCACGCAGGCAGACACCACAGCCAGCAGGCACTGGGCATCCCCATTTGTTTACTCGCCACACTGACCACCTTCTCTCACCCCCACCCCAGGGAGAACTTGTCTCCAAGTTGGGCAGTGATCAGCAACACATCGTTTCTGGTTGGACCCAGGAGGTAAGCAGCATTTTGTTTAACAGGAAGACAAGACCTGTCTCTACAAGGGAATGTGCATTATGAAATCCTCAGAGCAAAGCCGCTTGCTCACCTGTCACAGACACACCAAGACAGGGTTTCTGCTCAAAGTCCAAAGATTACACGCCATATGCAATCGTGAAGAGCAGGAGAGCTGTGTTCAACTCCACCACTCAGAGGACAGGGCTGACAGGAGGCTTGTCCCTGCCATCTGTCGAAATGTCCTGACGCCCTTATGTCTCTCACTACCAACGCCAACGGCAAAGGAAACTCTCAAGACAACATGGAAAGAACCTACCTCTCTTTGCAAACTGGCCTCTCGATTCTGCTGAAAGAGAGAAAGCCATGGTGTTTCACCCTCACCAAGCCTCTTTGGAGGCTGAGAGAAAGAGAAAAGGCCTGCTTTAGGGAAAGGCCACGTGTCAAGACCACATCACTGCATTAATGCAGGTAACTGAGGGGAACTGGCCCTCATGAAACAATGCCCTGTGAAGCAACATTGGTGCCAAGTGATGTCTTTCTGCTGGTCTTTTATAGCAAGCCAACCTCTCCCACTTAGGCTGCAGTTTGGACTTGGCTCACTAAGGACCGATCCTCTTCCCAACTCCATATCTTTTGTCTAATGAAAGATGACCTTTTTTAAAGTGAATCTTCCCATACTTTATCACACCCGCCCACAACTTAAGATTCTAGGTTTATGTGTTAAAAGAAAAATAGCACTACACGGATTGGCATGTTCCCAACTTGTCTCCAGATGGCACATACAGAGTCTGGGCCCACTTGCCGGATGAGGGAAGGGGTGGGAAAGGTGAATGAACCTGCAATCCTGTGTGTGGGAGCCATATCCAGGAGGTGGCTCTGTTTTTTACCCCCCTGGAGTAGATCCAGATCATTTCATGATGTCTAGAATTTGTTTTAAAATATTTCAGAAGAAAGGGAAGGCATAAAGCAAGTGTGGCAAAATCGTGATAACTTCTGAGTCCTGAGTGGGAGTGTGTCGGTTTGGGTTCCCCGAAGCCAGCTCTGACACAGGAATTGGGAGGTGACCCAGAAACACATGAGGGAGACAGGAAGTGAGTCAGGGGAGGAAAGAAAGCAAAATGTAGGGGTTTAAGGAATGGACATCTGAACACTCTAAGAGACTGCAGGACCTCCAAGAGCCATTCCTCGAGGGCAAAGAGGCAGGGGTCTTTGTTAGCCAATTCTGCCCCTCTGGCCAGCTGATGGCAGCCCCTGGGGTGTCTGGCCAGCCTTGCGCTCAGGCTGTTTCACAGCAGGGCAGGACCATCAGCACCCAAGGGAACTGTGCTGGGACCTGCCAAGACCAAGGGCGTGGGCTGGGCACAGTGGCCTCTGCTACAGCAGGAATACCTGCATTCATTGTGTCATCCTTTCTACTTCTGTATATAACTGAAACTTCTCCACACGGATGGGGAACTGAAGCAGGAGCTACAGGAACAACACACATTTCCCCCAGGGAATGAATTAGCAATGGTAGGAGGCAGGGGTTGAATTCAAACCAGCTTGCTGCGCTGAGTCAAGTCCCAAGCTGCTTTTTTCAGATTGTTGCTGCCCTTCCCACATCAGCTGAGGTTTTCTCGCTTATCATATATTCTCTTTTAAACAGAAACAAATGTTTCAGAAGCTTCCCCATCATCCCAGCAGCTGGATTGATCGGAACCCATGCCACCTCCCAATCCAGTAAAGACACACGTGGCGAGCGTCCACTAAGTGCCTCTGTTGGTGGCTGTGGAATGATGTGGGTTTCACGGTGTTGCCCTGAGACAGCAATATTCTAGTTGAGAAAACAAGAAATGCTCCAAGGAAGCCTTAAAGGGACAACAAAATGATCATAGAATTGTTAGAGATCATTTACTTCAACTCATTTTATTTGTGAGAAAACACAGCAAAGATTCTCTCCTGGACCAAACTCTACCCAGGCTCTGCTGAACTCTTTTCCAACTAGGCCTGACTTTTGGACTCTCATGCTTTTCTCTGCATTGTCTGATTTTAGCAAGAATCTTGCTAAATTGGTATTGTCAGAAACCCCACCCTTGATATCTGATCACTCTCAGTATCTGGGTTCCCCATCCCCCGCTACTCCCCCGGTGGTGTCTGGTCACCCTGGCCTGCATTCAGCAAAAGGCCTGTTAGCCAGAATCCCCCACACCTGAGATTTCCTCTTAGTAATTTTCCATCCACTGATTACTCCCCTCCCCACCTCGCCCCTTGGCTGTAGACTCCCACTTTCCCTTGTATTTGGAGTTGGGCCCAATCTCTCTTCCCACTGCAAGACCCCATTGCAGTGGACCTTACACTATTGTGCTGGTTAAAGCCTATCTGTGCTTTAGCAAGTAAGTGAATAATTTTTTTTCTTTGACAACACAGACCCAATTATTTGCCAAGAGTGAAGCTGGGTTGTGGTAGGGCCTGCTCTAGGGCCTGCATTCCATAGGCTTTCTCCAAGCCTGGGTGCAGGCATGAGTAGTGATACAGGGAAAGATGCAAGTTAGCTACAGGTGAGAATAAACCAGGTGCTTTAGGCCACTCTTGAATGTTTTCTTTTGTCTTGGTATAGCAGAATTCTGGAATGGAGGGCATGGGGTGACCTATAAGCCATGGTGAGAAGACCAAACCAGGTGGGGTGACAATTCCAGGCCAAGGGCAGGGCCCCACTGACCTCCCCACCCCACATCAACCCCTATTCCACCTCCTCTTCCCTGATCTTACAGCACAGCTGCCCTGCCATGGGTCCTTTTGGGGTGCCGGTAGTAAACACCCTAGCTGACTTAAAGGGTCCAAAGTATTCATGAGGGACTCCCTGGGAAGCATACGATCCTGTTCTTACAATTTCCCCCGCCTCGTGAGCTCCTCAGGGTCATTCACTCATTCATTCATTCATTCACTCAATCAATCAATCACTTACTCCCTCACTTCCCCCAGTCACTGCAGTGTAGCCAAGACTGAGTCAGAAGGACCCCAGTGAGTCCTGCCTTGCTCTGCCCAGCCACCAAAGACCAAGGCCCCACACAAACCAGGGCTGCCTGGCATGCTTGCTAGCCCCTGCTGCCAGGTTTCCTGGGAAGAAGACGGCTCCACAGCAACCAGGGAGGCCCCGTTCTTGCACTGAGACTGTGCCTGCCCGGTGGAATCAGTTGCCTGAGATACATTTTTAACAATCAAATTATGTTCTGACTGGAGAAAGACTTGGAATTTGAATGAATTCTCTAGGGAGCTGTTATCTACCAAAAACTGTTTAAAATATAAAAGCACCCTTCATTTTCGTATCCTTTGTAAAAGTCCAACTTTGCGAAATATGCTTTGCTTAGAGCAGGGCGCACCACCCAACAGCTCCCATCCATTTTCCTCTGTAGGTGAATTATTTCGAGTCCTTAGAGAAGCAAATCATTTTTACTCCAAGAGCTTGACTTGCATAGATTCTGACTGAAGTCTTGCTTTGAGTAATGCTCACCAGCAAACCTCTTTGTCTTTCCTGAATGCCTGTCACATTTATCTAAGTTAAAATCCTTACTTAATCATAGTTGTCAGTGATGGCAGAATGGCAGAGGCATTAAAGGTTAGACATTAAATTACTCATAAACATCTGATAGCCACCACACAATCCCACTCCCCTGCACCCCACACTTTAAATGGGGTTGCTACTTACCAAGATGGAACCTTAAAATACAGATGGAGGGAAATGCTTACAATAAGGGCAAGAGAAACATGTTCAGTGTTTTTTATGTAAAGATTACATACTAATTCAGAAAAATCTATTCCCCTAATTGTAAAATTGTTCCCAATCATTAGTTCACCTCAAGATATCCCTACATAACCCATTGCTGATGTGTGAAAAAAAAAACCAGACACTCAAAAATCCCAGAACAAAGGGTGTCATTAGTCCCATGGTCCTCATTGACCCCATGATTCTCACTGTCCCCATGGTCCTCACAATCTCCATGGTCCTCACAGTCCCCATGATCATGACCATCCCTATTGTCCTCACTGCCCCCATGTTCCTCACAATCCCCAAGTTCCTCACAATCCCCATGGTCCTCACTGTCCCCATGATCCTCACTGTCCCCATGGTCCTCAATGTCCCCATGATCCTCACTGTCCCCATGGTCCCCAATGTCCCCATGATCCTCACTGTCCCCATGGTCCCCAATGTCCCAATGATCCTCACTGTCCCCATGGTCCTCAATGTCCCCATGATCTTCACTGTCCCCATGGTCCCCAATGTCCCAATGATCCTCACTGTCCCCATGGTCCCCAATGTCCCAATGATCCTCACTGTCCCCATGGTCCTCACAATCCCCATGTTCCTCACAGTCCCCATGATCCTCACTGTCCCCATGGTCCTGTCACCATGGTCCTCACAATCCCCATGTTCCTCACTGTCCCCATGTTCCTCACTGTTCCCATGGTCCTCACAGTCCACATGGTCCTCACTGTCCCTATGGTCCTCACTGTCCCCATGATCCTCACTGGCCCCATGATCCTCACTGTCCCCATGGTCTTCACAGTCCCCTTGGCCCTTACCATGCCTACGGCCCTCACTGGCCCCCTTGCTCTTTTGCTTCACACACAGCTTCAAACCTAGGTTCCACTGCCTTTTTTTGGACGCCACCACTTCTGGGAACCTGGCATGTGTAGGAGGCCTCTCTGGCTCCACATTCACCACTGGAGTGGAGAATTCCACCTTGGCTTCATGCAGACTCTACTCATGATAAAATCTCAGGATGCAATTCTTGACTAGGTCTCCATGATTCCCCATGAAGATGGGGTAGATGATGATTCAGGGTATACAACATATGTTCAAAGAGTGTTACCTTGAAAAAGAGCGCAACGTGATTAGTCATCAGGAAAATGCAACTAAAACCAACATGAAGTATCACTACACACCACCAGAATGTCTAAAAATAAAAGATAGACTGTACCAAGTGTTGGTAAGGATGTAGAGCTCTCAGAATCCTCAAACATCACTAGTGGAAGTGTAAAATAGCTCAATAACTTTGAGAAAAGTTCTGGCGGCTTTATATAAAATCAAACATAATTCCACCCTATGACACAGCAATTTCAATTCTAGATATAAACCCAACATATATGAAAAACATATATCCACCAAAATATTTACACAAGAACATTTATAGCAGCTGTATTTATAATAGACAAAACAACCCAGATATTCATCAATAGGAAAAAAAAAAAGCAAACTATGGTATATTCATACAAGGAAATGTTTGTCAGCTGCAAAATGGAACAAACAAGGGATACACGCAGTAACATGCATGAATCTAAAGACGATTGTGCTGAAGGAAAGAAGCCAGACTCAAAAGAGTGCATTCTTTATCATTCCATATTTATGCATTTCCGGAACAAACAAAAATAATCTGTGGAGGAAAATAAATCAGATTAGCAGTTGGTTGTGTTGGAATGAAACACAGGTTGGAAATGAACATGGGAGACTTTTGGGCGATGTAAATGCCCTATTGATGAAGTTCGGGTTACACGGGTAGATGCATTTGTCAAAACTCATTGGATGGTATACTTTAGATTGGAGCATTTTGTTGAAAGAAATTTTCCTCCAAAAAAGAGCTATAAATAAATATTAAATTCTGATTAATGAGGTATATGCTGAAGTACTTAGTGAGAAGGGTATTAATATCTGCAGAAATTAATTAATTTCTAAGAAATTACTATTTCTGCTCTGAAATGCAGCAAAGAAGAAAATGGATTAATGGATGAGTAGGGGGATCCATGAATGGATAGATAACAGAAGTGAGTGTAATAAATGTTAATAGAATCTGGGTTGTGTGGACATTTACTATATAATTTCCAAAGTTCTTTTTTTTTTTTTTTTGAGATGGAGTCTTGCACTGTTGCCCAGGCTGGAGTGCAGTGGCATGATCTTGGCTCACTGCAAGCTCCGCCTCCCAGATTCACGCCATTCTCCTGCCTCAGCCTCCCGCGTAGCTGGGACTACAGGCGTCTGCCACCACGCCTGGCTAATTTTTTGTATTTTTAGTAGAGAGGGGGTTTCACCATGTTAACCAGGATGGTCTCGATCTCCTGACCTCGTGATCCACTCGCCCCGGCCTCCCAAAGTGCTGGGATTACAGGCGTGAGCCACCACTCCCAGCCTCCAAAGTTTTTATAGTTTGAAACTTTTTATAATGAAATGTTTGATGGTGAAGAAAACAGGTAGAAAGTTGAAAATGCCTCCTGATTTATGGCTCCTGATTAGTTATTGATTTCTCTCTTTATGCTTTGTCTGCTCAGATGGCTCTGGGAAGGTATAAGGAAAGTCCTTTCACAGAGGAATGGGGAGAGAGGTTGGACAGGAAAAGTAGGGAGACAGACAAAAAGACAGGAGGCAGATGGCAATGGTCCTGGGGAGGGTATCAGTCAGGGTCCAACCAGAAAAGCAGAACCAGTCGGAGGCACATACTAAGAGAATTATCACAAGGAACTGACTTACATGATTATGGGGCTGGCTAGGCAAGTTTCAAATCCATCTGGAAGCATTGTGGAAGGCCAAGCTGGAATGGGCATGGGTGGAGGCTGCTGTCCACGGGCAGAATTTCTTCCTCCTCAGGGAAGCCTTCACTCTGCCCTTGAGGCCTTCTGACTGATTGAACCAGGCCCACCCAGATCATCTACGATAATCTCCCTTACTTAAATTAGCCGATGATGAACTTTAATCATATCTGCATAATACTTTCACAGCAACACCTAGGCCAGTGTTCGATTAGGTAATTGGGGGCTGTGGCCAGTTAAGATGACACAGAAATCTGACCATCATGGGAGGTTAAGGGGAAGCTGTGGTCCAAGGGCTTTTGTCTCTATTTCCAATTAAGACTATCAAAGGTGACAGCACACTGAACATCAGAGGAAAACCATGGCCTGGGTTGGTGCCCCGAGTCTCCCTCAGTAGTCCTGCAAGAGGAGAGGCAGCGGAATCTTCCAGGCACCCTCAGAGTAAGGTGGACAGAGCTGATACAGGTATGTGAAATAGGCTCTGCTGGATGCACAATGGCACAGCCCTTTAGAAAGCGATTTGGTGACATAAGGAAAACATTGAGCCTCAGAAGTTCCTGCCTCTGACTGACAGCTTTCTGCACAAAGGTTTTGACTACACCATTATTTCCAGTAGCAAAAAATCAGTGGCATCCTGATGACCTGCCACAGAAGATAGTTTAGGAACTAGGATATACATCTGAAGCATCTTATACATCTATAAGCAAGAAGAAAAACAAGGGTCATGATGTCCATGTTACAACATAAAAAAAAAAAAACTTAAAAGATGGTACACCCCATTTTCTATTGTATGAGTGTTTTCATACTAATATAAATACAAATGTGTGTATATATGTGTGTATGTGTCATATATACACACACACAAATATATACATAACATCCTTTCCATTTTCACAAGAACAATACTGAAAGAATGTCCCATAAAGTGCTAAAAGTTATATTTGGAAGGAGATTTGAGAGACGACTGTCTATTTTCCAAATATTCTGAGAGGTGGTTGTTACTGCTTTTACAATATGGGAAAGAAATTATGAGCCTGCCTGGCTCATTATGGCTGCTTGTGGTTTCAATGCCTATGGGATTGCTGAAACCAAGCTTCAGCTGAGACCCCTGAATCCAAATTGCTTTTTAAATTAAGTGGCAGGAAACTTGGAATGCATATTTTGTCTCAAATTTGGTTAATAGGAACCAGATGCAAAGCTTCACCCAAACTTCGTTGTTTAGTGTTCTGGTACCCATTTACCCATTTGCTTGCTGAGCTAAAATCATTTTATTCATCTGCATCTTTTTGTGTGTTAATGCCTTGGATACATTAGTAAGATATGCCTACGATATGTTCTTTCCATGTAGTGAAAATGAACTTGCAAACATTAACGTGGGAATACAAGAAGTGTCTATTATTTTCCCAAAAAGCAAATGAAATCTGAGTCAGAATCTGCATCCCACTCAGTTGATGAAAATTCAACCTCCAGCATTATAGGAACCTCCTCCCAGCTCTACACGGTCCTGGGGCCCTAATGCCGAGTAGAATATTCTGAAAGCTTTTTCATTTTTCTGTCCACACTCCTGACTGCTGGGATGCTCTCCTTCCCAGCCAGGATAGGCCATGGGGTGAAGCGACATCCTCCCAAGTTGGTGAGGAGCTGGGCCTTCCCCAAGATGGCTTCTCCCACACAACCTGGCTTCTCTGGTCTCAGGAAATGGCGCCTCCTGCAGTGAGAGCTGCCGCTTCTGTCCCTGGAAACCCATCCCTCCGCCTGCAGCCTCCTGGGGTGTTTGCCAGGGAGAGCCTGGTAAACAATCTCCTCAAGTCTGGTGTGGAACATACACGCATACTACGCACCACATATACACATATATACCATACCACACACACACCATATATACCCCCACACACACCCCATACACCACACACAGACCACACACTACACACACTGCACCACACGCACACACCATACACACCCCACACCCCACACACAATAAACACAGACCAAACACTGGACACTTCACACCACACACACATGCCATACACACCCACGCACACACCACACACCACACACAGTACACACAATACACCACACCACACACATACACTATACATACCCCCCACACCCCCCATACACCACACACAATACACACAGATCACACACTACACGCACCACACACTACACACCATACATACCCGCCACACATCCCACACACCACACACACTACACTCACCACACCACACACATACACTATACATATCCCACACACACCCATACACCACACACAATACACAAACCAAACGCTGCACACACCACACCACACACACATCATACACATCCCACACACAATACACACACCACACCACACACATACAATATAAATACCCCACACACCCCATACACCACACACAATATACACAGACCACACACTGCATACACCACACACATACACACCATATGTACCCCACACACCACACACACCAGACGACACACACATACACTATACATAACCCCCACACACCTCATACACCACACACGATAAGCACAGACTACACACTACATACACCACACACATAAACACCATACATACCCCCACACACCCCACACACCACATACAGACCACACAGTACACACACCGCACAAATACACACCATACATACCCCACACACACCAAACAATACACACAGATAATACACTACACACACCACACCACACACACGATACATATCCCCACACACCCCATTCACAATACACACAACCCATATCCACAACACAAACACACTAAACACACCCCACACACCACAGACAGACCACACACTACACACACTGCACACATACACACCATACATACCCCCACACACCACACAATACACACAGATAATACACTACACACACCACACCACACACACCATACATATCCCCACACACCCCATTCACAATACACACAACCCATATCCACAACACAAACACACTAAACACACCCCACACACCACATACAGACCACACACTACACACACTACACCACTCACACACATACACACCATACATACCCACCACACACCCCACACATCACATACAGACCACACACTACACACACACCACACCACAGACACAACATGCATACCCCCACGCATCCCATACAGCACACACAATAAACACAACACATATCCACAACACAAACACACTACACACACGAAACACACCCCCTACACACTCCATACACCACACACAATACAGGGACCACACACTAATACACACCACACATACACACCATAGATATAGCCTACACACCCTATACACCACACACAATAAACACAGCACATATCCACAACACATACAATGCACACACTACACACATACACACACCATGCACACAAACTATAGACACACCACACCACATACACCATACATACATTCCATACATCCTAACACCACACACAATACAAACATGTCCACAACATAAACACACAATCCACAACACACACCCAACACATGATCTCACACAAATATCACACACACTACACACACCACACACGCACCATACACACACACAACACACACATTCATACACACATACACCATACACCCACACACACTACACACACTGTACACACACACACCACATACACCATAAAGACAGAGCAGATTTGCAACTCACTTAAGTCTTGATAAGGGCCCTGCAGCAAGGCCTTGAGGATGGAATAGCATAACTGTGAGCCCAAAGCAAACACCATTTGTTAATCCACTATCCCACCATGCTCAAGAGTCATTTTTTCTCACTGCCAACTTGCTCCATATGCAATGTAGTCACCTTTAGTTAACACTAATAAAGCACGTAGGTAATCCTGCTGGTGATTAGCTGTTGAAGAGTGAGGCGCTCTCTCTAAGTCTCAGTGTCTCACCGTAGTTCACCTCCCAAGAATTATGATGAGAGTTAAATGAGACAAGGCAGGGATGGTGCTGTCTAGTGCCTGGCCCATAGTATGTGCTCAATAAATGTTAACCTCAGAAAACAGCCACACAACTCAGCACTAAACAGTAAGTCCCACTGCATGCCCATGAACAATCTTAAACTAGGAAAGGACATGCTGAGAAAGTCGATATTTTTTGACCAAAATCATTCAAAGAGCTAACAGACAATTCGTAGAAGAAATGCAAAGATATGGTAGTGATCAAATAACATAAATTAAAGCAATAAGATCATTTTTCTTTGACTAGACTGACAAGGATGTAGAAGAGTAGAAGTATCTGGTGTTGATAAGAGTGAGGGGAAGGCCTTGAAAACTGGCACAAGACAAGGATGCCCTCTGTCACCACTTCTATTCAATACAATATTGGAAGTTCTGGCTAGGGCAATCAGGCAAGAGAAAGAAATAAATGATATTCAAATAGGAAGAGAGGAAGTCAATTTATCTTTGCTTGCAGAAGACATGATCCTATGTCTAGAAAACTCCGTTGTCTCAGCCCAAAAGCTTCTTAAGATGATATGCAACTTCAGCAGTCTCAGCATACAAAATTAATATGCAAAAGTTGCTAGCATTCCTATACACCAACAACATGAAAGCAGAGATCCAAATCATGAATGCACTCCCATTCACAAATTGCCACAAAAAGAATAAAATGCACTGGAATACAGCTAACAAGGGAAGTGAGGGACCTCTTCAAGGAGAACTACAAGCCACTGTTTAAAGAAATCAGAGAAGACACAAACAAATGGAAAAACATTCCATGCTCACGAATAGGAAGAATCAGTATTGTGAAAATGGCCACACTGCCCAAAGTAATTTATAGATTCAATGTGATTCCTATTAAACTACCATTGACATTCTTCACAGAATTAGAAAAACTATTTTTAAATGCATATGGAACCAAAAAAGAGCCTGCGTAGCCAAGACAATCCTAAGCAAAAGGAACAAAGCTAGAGGCATCATACTACCCAACTTCAAACTATACTACAAGGCTACCGTAATCAAAACAGCATGGTACTGATACAAGAACAGACACATAGACCAATGGAACAGAATTGAGAACTCAGAATTAAGACTACACACCTGCAAACATCTGCTCTTCAACAAACCTGACAAAAACAAGCAATGGGGAAAGCATTCCCTATTTAATAAACAGTGCTGAGAGAACTGGCTAGCCATATGCAGAAAACTGAAGCTGGACCCCTTCCTTACACCACATACAAAAATTAACTCAAGATGGATTAAAGACCTAAATGTAAAACCCAAAACTATAAAAACCCTAGAAGAAAATCTAGGCAATACCATTCAGAACACAGGCATGGGCAAAGATTTCATAACTAAAATGCCAAAAGCAATTGCAACAAAAGCAAAAATTGACAAATGGGATCTAATTAAACTAAAAAGCTTGTGCACAGCAAAAGAAACTATCATCAGAGTGAACAGACAACCTACAGAATGGGAGAAAAATTTTGCAATCTATCCAGCTGACAATTGTCTAATATCCAGAATCTACAAGGAACTTAAAAAAATTTACAAGCAAAAACAAACAATCCCATTTAAAAAGTGGGCAAAGGGCATGAACAGATACTTCTCAAAAGAAGACATACATGCAGGCAACAAACATATGCAAAAAAGCTCAACATCACTGATCATTAGAGAAATGCAAATCAAAACCACAATGAGATACTGTCTCACACCTGTCCGAATGGCTATTATTAAAAGCAAAGTCTCAGGATACAAAATCAATATACAAAAATCACAAGCATTCTTATACACCAATAACAGACAGAGAGTCAAATCATGAGTGAACTCCCATTCACAATTGCTTCAAAGAGAATAAAATACCTAGGAATCCAACTTACAAGGGATGTGAAGGACCTCTTCAAGGAGAACTACAAACCACTGCTCAATGAAATAAAAGAGTATACAAAGAAATGGAAGAACATTCCATGCTTATGGGTAGGAAGAATCAATATTGTGAAAATGGCCATACTGACCAAGGTAATTTATAGATTCAATGCCATCCCCATCAAGCTATCAATGACTTTCTTCACAGAATTGGAAAAAACTACTTTAAAGTTCATATGGAACCAAAAAAGAGCCCACATTGCCAAGTCAATACTAAGCCAAAAGAACAAAGCTGGAGGCATCACACTACCTGACTTCAAAGTACGCTACAAGGCTACAGTAACCAAAACAGCATGGTACTGCTACCAAAACAGAGATATAGACCAATGGAACAAAACAGAGCCCTCAGAAATAATGCCACATATCTACAACTATCTGATCTTTGACAAACCTGACAAAAACAAGAAATGGGGAAAGGATTCCCTATTTAATAAATGGTGCTGGGAAAACTAGCTAGCCATATCTAGAAAGCTGAAACTGGATCCCTTCCTTACACCTTATACAAAAATTAATTCAACATGGATTAAAGACTTAAATGTTAGACCTAAAACCATAAAAACCCTAGAAGAAAACCTAGGCAATACCATTCAGGACATAGGCATGGGCAAGGACTTCATGTCTAAAACACCAAAAGCAATGGCAACAAAAGCCAAAATTGACAAACGGGATCTAATTAAACTAAAGAGCTTCTACACAGCAGAAGAAACTACCATCAGAGTGAACAGGCAACCTAGAGAATGGGAGAAAATTTTTGCAATCTACTCATCTGGCAAAAGGCTAATATCCAGAATCTGCAATGAACTCAAACAAATTTACAAGAAAAAAACAACCCCATCAACAAGTGGGCGAAGGATATGAACAGACACTTCTCAAAAGGAGACATTTATGCAGCCAAAAGACATGAAAAAATGCTCATCATCACTGGTCATCAGAGAAATGCAAATCAAAACCACAATGAGATACCCCATCTCACACCAGTTAGAATGGCGATCATTAAAAAGTCAGGAAACAACAGGTGCTGGAGAGGATGTGGAGAAATAGGAACACTTTTACACTGTTGGTGGGACTGTAAACTAGTTCAACCATTGTGGAAGTCAGTGTGGCAATTCCTCAGGGATCTAGAACTAGAAATACCATTTGACCCAGCAATCCCATTACTGGGTATATACCCAAAGGATTATAAATCATGCTGCTATAAAGACATGTGCACACATATGTTTATTGCAGCACTATTCACAATAGCAAAGACTTGGAACCAACCCAAATGCCCAACAATGACAGAGTGGATTAAGAAAATTGGCACATATACACCATGGAATACTATGCCGCCATAAAAAATGATGAGTTCATGTCCTTTGTAGGGACATAGATGAAGCTGGAAACCATCATTCTCAGCAAACTATTGCAAGGACAAAAAACCAAACACCGCATGTTCTCACTCATAGGTGGAATTGAACAATGAGAACACATGGACACAGGAAGGGGAACATCACACACCGGGCCTGTTGTGGGGTGGTGGGAGGGTGGAGGGATAGCATTAGGAGATATACCTAATGTAAATGACGAGTTAATGGGTGCAGCACACCAACATGGCACATGTATACATATGTAACAAACCTGCATGTTGTGCACATGTACCCTAAAACTTAAAGTGTAATAAAAAAAAAAGTCAAGAAACAGCAGATGCTAGAGAGGTTGTAGAGAAAAAAGAATCCTTTTACACTGCTGGTGGGATTGTAAATAAGTTCAACCATTGTGAAAGACAGTGTGGCGATTTCTCAAAGACCTAGGAGCAGAAATACCATTTGATCCAACAATCCCATTACTGGGTATATACCCAAAGGAATATAAATTATTCTGTTATAAATATACATGCACACATATATTCATTGTAGCACTATTCATAATAGCAAAGACATGGAATCAACCTAAATGCCTGTAAATGATAGACTGAATAAAGAAAATGTAGTATATATACACCATGGAATGCTATGCAGCCACAAAAAGGAGTGAGATCATGTCCTTTGTAGGGACATGGATGGAGTTGGAAGCCGTTATCCTTAGCAAACTAATGCAGGAACAGAAAACCAAACACTGCATGTTCTCACTTATAAGTGGGAGCTGAATGATGAGAACACAGGGACATATAGGAGGAACAAAACACACTGGAGCCTGTCAGAGGGGGCGTGGGGTAAGGAGAGCATCAGGAAGAATAGCTAAGGGATGCTGGGCTTAATAGCTAGGTGATGAGATGATCTGTGCAGCAAACCACCACGGCACACACTTACCTATGTAACAAACCTACACATCCTGCACTTCCTGCACTTGTACCCCTGAACTTAAAATAAAAATTGAACGAAAAGAGTGAGGGAAAGGATTGGAGCATAAATTGAAACAACCTTTTAGAGAGTAATTAGCAGTGATTTAACTCCGGGAATTTATAGTTCAGAAACATATGCACACGTCCTCCAGGCTATAGACAGGAAGCCATTAATTGTTTATAAAGGCAAAATATGGAGACAACTTCAATTCCATCCCTAAAGACTCTATTTAATAAATAATTATTGAGTCATTCTGTGCAATGTCTGCAAATCTAAAGAATGACAGAAATACACGTGGAAGAATGACCATATATAGTTGAGGTATTTTTTTAAATGAGTTGAAAAATAATATACAGAGTTTCCGTTTTGTAAAATATAAGCAAAACACATGCTTGTGTACACATGAGAAGGCGTTTGCATATGTGTACATGTACCTATAATTTGCATATGCCAGGAGCAATTCTGGGAGGAAACACAACTGCTCATAATGGTTACTCTAGAGATGTGGAAATCAGAGAAGGGAAATGCAGGAAGAGTTTTTCTCCAAATGTGGGCACTCTGTGGCAGGTACCCTCATGCCCCCAACAGCTCCTGGGGCCAGTCATCTGTGCATACTGGTATAGTCCATGTACTAAATGGCTTTGTGGAGTGCACCCAGCCCAAGCGTGCCATAGACCAGGAGTGCTGGGGAATGCACATCTAGAAGCGACTGCCAACCAGACAGATGGAGGGTGGTATGTAAATACCTCAACTCCCCAGCTCCTTGGGGCACACAACTCAGGGGTATTTATACCAGCTCCTGGAGCTCCCTTGCGAACTAAGCTAAGCTCTAGTTGCCCTCCTTGGTGTTTTGCTTGGTAACTCACCTATATGGGCTTCCTCACTTCCCTGTCTCACTTCCCTACTGCACCACCAACATCTCTTGGGATCACCGTCTGGTATGGTTTGAACGTGTGTCCCCATCCAAATCTCATGTTGAATTGTAATCCCCAGGATTGGAGGTGGGGCCTCATAGGAACTGATTGGATCAGAAGGGCAGAGTTCTCATGACTGGTTGAGCATCAGTCTCCCTTGGTACTGTGTGGTGAGTGAGTTATCATGAGATCTGGCTATTTAAAAGTGTGTGGTACCTCCCCCCTCTCTCTCTCCCTCCTGCTTCAGCCATGTGAGGTGCTGGCTGCCCCTTTGCCTTCTGCCATGATTGTAAACTCCCTCAGAAGCAGATGCCATCATGCTTCCTACACAGCCTGTGAAACCATGAACCAATTAAACCTTTTTTCTTTAAAAATTACCCAGTCTCGAGTGTTTCTTTATAGCAATGTGAGAATGGACTTATACACATTCTAAGCAAACTGCTTGCCTCAAGTCTCCTCCTAGGGGAACCTAAACTAAGACGACTTTTCATTGTCTCAATTGTTATAATAATCTTCACTGCTTTTATTTTGTTTTCTCTTCTTTGCTAAGATACATAGAGCTGCCTAAACCATGTCCCCTCGTTCATGGCACATGCTTGCTGATGGCTCCTGCAAGACTCCTCTTTGGTTTACTTGACCTCATTACTTTTCCCCTTCATCTCTCACAACCAGGTCCATTTCTGTTCTCTAATACAGCAGTCTCCAACCTTTCTGGCACCAGGGACCGGTTTTGTGGAAGACCATTTTCCCACAAATGGGATGGGTGGGGGTAATGGTTTTAGGATGATTCAAGTGCATTACATTTATTGTAGACTTTATTTCTATTATTATTACATTGTAATATATAATTAAATAATTTTACAACTCACCATAATGTAGAATCAGTGGGAGCCCTGAGCTTGTTTTCCTGCATCTAAATGGTCCCATCTGGGGGTTATGGGAGCCAGTGAAAGATTATCAGGCGTTAGATTCCCATAAGGAGCATGCAACCTAGATCCCTCACATGCACAGTTCACAGTAGGGTTCACGCTCCTGTGAGAATTTAATGCCACCACTGATCTAACAGGAGGCGGAGCTCAGGCAGTAATGCAAGCCATGGAAGTAGCTATAAATACAGAAGAAGCTTCACTCGCCTGCCAGCCGCTCACCTCCTGCTGTGCGGCCCAGTCCCTAACAGGACACAGACCGTTAGCATTCCGTGGCATGAGGGCTGAGGACCCATAGTCTAATACACACTTTTGCTATTGTATTTTAAGATGTTCTCACAGTTCATCATCATGCTTTTTGGATGGATGCAGTTTCTTAACAAAGATGCATAGTGTTATTTTCATGTCATGTCCTCACATTGTCTCTGAGCTTTAGTGGTTGACACAGAGAAGTTAGCTGTTGGTAGAAGCACTGCTCCTCTGCAAGTGTTCTGCCTTGGCCCTGAGCACTTTTAGGAGACTTCAGTTCTGTTATATTGTGCCTGGGTGTGGACGTCTTTTTGTATAACTATCACCTGGGATTTGTTGGGAAAGACTGGTGTGTTTCATCAGTTTGGGAATATTCTCAGGCATCAGCTCTTCAAATATTTCTTCTGCCCCAATTTCCCACTCCTCTCCACTGGGACCCTAACTGGCCAGTAAGATGAATCTATTATTTCCTTCACTTCTCCTTTCTCTTCCACACTGCACTCTAGATCATTGTTTCTGGCCTATCTTACCATTTACTCAGTCTCCTTTCCACCCTGGCCAATCTTCTGTCAAGAAGACATAAGTTTCTTCAACTAAATTTTTTTTCAGATTATTTTAGATGTAGGAGCTGTGGTGAGAAATGATACAGAGAGGTCTTGTGTGCTCTTTGCCCAGCTTCCCCCAGTGGCAACATCTTGCATAACTATAGTACAATATCGTAACTATGGGATTAACACAGATACACTCCATGATCATATTCAGATCACCCCAGTTACTAGTACTCATTTGTGTGCATGCACATATGTTTATTTCTGTGCAATTTTATCACATGCATACATTCCTGTATCCACCATCACAGTTGAGATACTGAACTTTTCCATAACCACAAGAATCTCTCATTTTGCCCTTTTATAACTACTGACTGGCAACCCGCAACACCATGTTATCATTTCTCTGAGATAAATCCCCAAAAGTGCTGGGTCATGTGGTAATTTTATGTATCATTTTATAAGAAGCTGCCAAGCTGGTTGCCAAAGTCACTGTATCATTTCATGTTCTCGCAGTAATGTACAAATGATGCAATTTCTCCGCTAGCAGTTGATCTTTCTTGTCATTATTATTTATCTTAGCCATTCTGATAAGTGTCTAGTGATATCTCACTGTGCTATTAATTTGTATTTATATTCCCCTAGTGACTAGTGATGTTTAACATTTTCTTGTGCTTATTTGCCATCCATATATTCTCTTCAATAAAGTGTTTATTATTAAGTGTCTGTTACCCATTTTGTAATTTGAATGTTTTTTTACTGTTGACTTTTGAGAGTTCTTTATATATTATATTATATTATAGATAGTAGAATGATCCAGACACTATATAGTTGGCAAATATTTTCTACTAGTCTGTAGATGATCTGTACATCCTCCTAACAAGATATTACACGAAGCAAGTTTTTTTTTATTTTGGTAAGGTTCAATTTGGCAATTTTTCCTAATATGAATTATGCTTTCAGTGTCAAGTCTAAGAACTTTTTGCCAAGACCTAGATCCCAAAGGTTTTTTATGCTTTTTCCTAAAAGTTTTTTTAATAGTTTGCATTTGCATCCAAGATCCATTTTAAGTTAATTTTTATATAAGATGTAAAGTTTAAGTCAAGGTTCTCTCTTTTCTGGCCAATAGCTAAGTAATTGTTCTAGTATCTTTTTTTTTTTCTTTTTTTGAGACAAAGTCTTGCCCTGTCACCCAGGCTGGAGTGCAGTGGAGCATGGCTCATGGCAGCCTAAACTTCCCCAGGCTCACTTAATCCTCCCGCCTCAGCCTCCCAAGTAGCTGGGACTACAGATACACACCACCACACCCAGCTAATTTTTGTGTTTTTTGTAGAGACAGGGTTTTACTGTGTTGCCCAGGCTGGAGTTCCAGCATCTTTTTTGAAAGTTTACCCTTCCTTCATTGAATTGCTTTTGTACATTGATCAAAAATAAGTTTGCCATGTGTGCATGGGCCTATTTCTGGGTTCTCTGTTCTGTCCCATTGAGCAATGTTTCTACTCATCTGTCAGTTCTACACTGTCTTCATCGCTGTGGCTATAGAGGAAGACTTAATATTGGCTACAGTGATTCCTCTCATTTTACCTTTTTTGAAGGGTGTTTTAGCCATTCTAAGGTCTGTGCCTTTCCATATAAATTTTAGAATAAACTTTTTTATGTCTATCAAAAATAATCTTGCTGGGGCTTTGATAGGAATTGATCAATTTGTTAATAATTTATATCTTTAATGTTTATTTCACTTTCTGTTTCCAATAAGTTTTTCTTATTATTGCTTTATAGCACCCTGTTTTTCTGAATGAACAAAGTATTTTCTATTATCTTTCTAAGTACAGTTTTGTAAATGCATATTTTGTCAAGGTATAATATACACACAAAAAGTACACAAATCCTGAGTGTACAGCTCAGTGAATTTTCAAATGAAATGCACAATGGAACCAGCACCCTAATCACGAGACAAGACCATCACCCCAGAGCAGCCCCATACCTCTCCCAGTCCCCATCAGTGCCCTCCAAGGGGAGCTAATACCCTGCCTCCTAAACCTATCGGTAAGCTTTGACTTTTAAAAATTTCATATCAATGGGATCATGCAGTTCATACACTTTTGCATTTCTTTCCCTCAAAATAATTTGAGAGATAGATCTATATTTTTCTTCTCAGGGTTAAATATTCTTTTGTATGAAATGGAAATTTCTATTGTTGATGGACTTTGGAGTTGTTTCCAATTTGGGCTATTATGAATAGTGCTGCCATGAAACAGGTATATGCCTCTTAGTAAACATATTTACACACTAATACACCTGGGAGTGAAATAGCATGGTCAGAAGATATGTATATTTCAGCCTTAGGAGATTCTGCTGAAGGCTTTCCAGAGTGGATAAACCAACTTAAACTTGTGCCAGCTCCATGTCCCCACCATGTGGTACTGTTTATCACTTTCATTGGAGCCCATGTGGTAGGTGTGTAGTAGTATTACACTGAGATCTTGATTTTCAGTTTCCCCGGCTAACAAAGTTGAGAAATTTTCATATTTTTATTATTGATTTGAACGCTTTACTTATCGAACTTCCTGTTCAACTGTTTTGACCATCTTTCTATCTCATTGCCTTTTTCCTACTGAGTTCTTTACATATTCTGGATAGAGTCGCTTGTCATATACGTGTGTATTTATACACACACACACACACACACATCACACATCACAGAGCAAACACCTCTCCTGCGCTCTGACTTGTCTTTCCACAAATCATCTTTTGATTAAAAGACATAAAAGACATTCTTAATTGTATATAATCCAATTTTTCTTATACTCTTAAGTATTTTCATTGTATTTCCCTTAATTGTCTTTTATTGTTCTTGTATAACACTCTTGTTGAGATATAAGTCACATACATGCAAATCACCCATTTAAGGTGTACAATTCAATGGGTTTTAGTATGTTCAGTTAGACAACCATCATCACAATCAATTTCTGAAAAATTTCAGCATCCCAAAAAGAAAGCACATACCTGTCATTGTCCCCCAACACCTATCCCCTCAGCCCTAGGCAACTACTAATTTTTCTTTCTCTATAGATTTACCCATTCCCCTTTCTTTTTTCTTTTCTTTTCTTTTTTTTTTTTTTTTTTTTTGGTAGAAGGATGGGGGAGGTGGATCTTTCTTGTTCACATTGGAGGTTTTCCTCAAATGTTTGATGTTTTTATTGCTGTCATTTATGTTTGAGGGAGTCACTAAAAGATTTATGAGAAGTGCTGTATGTGCACCTCACTGTAACAAAACAAGGCAGCATTTTCTTTGAGGTCTCCCAACCAATATCTGTAGCTCCTTTGTCTAAGTGCCCTCATGTGCAAAGCCTCTGTATTTCAACATCTCAAGAATAAATCTCTGGGATCCTAGAGGGCAGGAGACATACAGACACCTGCTGCAGGGGGTGGTGGAGAAAGGGACCCAGGGAACACAGCTGCTTCACAGAGACTTCCCAGGTTTCATGCTGTGTTCAGGCTCACACTCAACCCCACCTGCCAGAGTACCTGCTGTCTTCCATTTGGAGCTTTCAGCGATTCTTCAAGGCAAATGTGCTCACTCTTCATCAATATCACCCCCTGCAGGCACTGGATGCTCATTTCATCTTCTCTGTTAGGTCAGCTACATCCTCCACCCAATTTACATCTTCCAAAATGTTGGTGTCTTTTATCTGCATTTTCTTTTCTTTTGTTCTCTTTGTTCTTGTAGGTAGATCTTGTTTACTTATTTACTCATTCATTTATTTGTTCATTTTAGTAAAGATTTAAACGTAAAACTATACATTTATGTGATCTTAGTAGGTTTTCGAAAAGGAGAGATGGTTAAATGCATTGCAAATAGAGATCTTTTTATTAGTCAACTATTACATTTTTACTACTTTGATTATAATAGATTAATCCGAATTGAATTAATTGGATTTTTCTCACAGTTAGTGAGAATGACATCTTGTCTTATTAGAGTGCTCCTTCTGTAAATTAACCTAATGATATCCTTTGCTGATTTCTCTGTTTCTTGTCTTTTATCCTTGTTGATGTATGAATACTTCATGTATTCTAAATGTTAATCATCTTACTGATTTAGACACTACAAACACCTACCAGTGTTCTTTCTGTTAACGTCATGGAACAGATTTCATGTTCTTCGTGGAAGAAAAATTTTCTAATTTTGATACAGTAAAATTTATTAAATTTTGGCCTTACTCTTCATGCTTTCAGGGCCTTGTTTAAAACACCATCTCACAATCCAAGATTGCTGAAATATTTTATTTTTTCTTTCATTTACTTTACAGTCTTACCTTTTGCATTTAGGTCTATACCCATATTGCTCAAATATGGCACAATATCAGGATGCAGCTTTATTTTACTCAGTTTAGAAAGCCAATTTTTCCATCAACATTTGCTGGATAATCTACCTTTTCTTGTAAAGCTGTGATGTCACCTCATATGTAAAAGATATACATGAACCCTTGGAACTATTATTGGGCCCTCCATTCAGTTTCACTGGTCTCTTTGCATGATCCTTTCTTTGTACCACACTGTTGTTTGGGGGTTTGTTTTATTACTATGTCTTTGTGATATGTCTAAACATTGCGTAAGGTGTTTCTTAACCCACCCCCTTGGCTCTTTGCTCAAAATGGAGAATCTCTATTTCTCCAAATAAATTTTAGAATCACTTTTTTTTTTAAGACAGAGTCTAACTCTGTCACCCAGGCTGGAGTGCAATGGCACGATCTCAGCTCACTGCAACCTCCACCTCCCGGGTTCAAGCGATTCTCCTCCCTCAGCCTCCCTAGTAGCTGGGATTACAGGCCCATGCCACCATACCCAGCTAATTTTTGTATTTTTAGTACAGACAGAGTTTCACTATGTTGGCCAGGCTGGTCTTCAACTCCTGACTTCAAGTGATCCACCTGCCTTAGCCTCCCAAAGTGCTGGGATTACAGGCCTGTCATGCGTATTCTGAAGGGAATTCCCAGAAAGGATTCCAGCAGTGCTGTGAGCCATGCTAGCAACTTTGACAGGTGAGCTCAGCCTCCTAGAGAGCCATCTGAAGGATGGGCATTCATGGGCATGTGCAGGCTTGAGGATGCTTATTAGCAATCACTCATTTCTGTACGGGAACAGCCATGAAGAATATTATCCCAAATATCCCCCTCCTATACTAACACAATAATGGAAAAAGCACATCAGTGCAAAATTATTTAGAATTTATTTCCATAATTGGTAAGCCAAATCAAACTGATAATCTAGAATAAAAAGTTGAATTATTCTCTTGATCCCAACGTTCTTTCTTTGTTGAACACTTCTATTCCCTGGAGAAAACACCACAAATTGCATCTTTAAAGAAGTATGCTTACATTTACCTTTTAAACCTATATATGTAAACCTTTCAAAAGTACCAATTTAAAAACATGTTGTAATAACATGTTCTCAAAAAAAGTTGAATTATTAAAGTTACCTACAAAAAACTCAACCTTCTGTGTTGTATAACCCACCTGGAAGCTATCTTTCAGCGCCCCAACTGAACTTTCCCTAACTGCTTAGCCTCCCTCATGTGTGGGTTACTGTCAGCAAGAGGGTTTTATGTAAAAAGGACATCAGGGCTACTCCACACTCATCCCATTTTCCCTGCTCACACACTGAGGTTGGCCGCCCAGGTCAAAAGGCCAACCTCCCGTTTGTCTTGACTGAACACAGTGAAGCTCCTCCCTTACTGCTTTGAACTGACTTGCACGGTTGGCCTCCTGCCATATCCACCAAATGGAACCGAGAGAACATAAACTCTTGACAAGCAAATCTCCTTTTGGATGGCATGACATTGGGAGCTGGCCAGAAATGATTCTTTAATTTGTGTGTCATGTTTTTTGCCATTGAAAACCCAGGTTTTGAGCAATAACTAAGTCCCTAGAGCGTATGACAGAATCGTTTATTATCTCCAGGCCTGAGAAGTGATTCCAAGATCACTAATGAACATGTGCCTTTCTCTGAACTTCTGGAAAAACAATAAGTATGTGGAAATGTAACTATGCTCCTGACGTGTGAGGTTAACACAGCAGCCTGACTATTTTCTCACTAATTTTAAAGGCACCTAAAGAAAAAAAACCAAAAGGGACAGATGCTTCATTGAGGATGTTTTCAGACTAGTTCATCTATAACTGAATCAGTTCCCTGGGTTCAGATGCCAGCAGGCCCTAATAATGTTAACGAGGCCAGTGGCTTCAGGATAATGATGCTGACATGATTCTCCCAGGCTGTGCCTCTTGGGTGGCCAGGAGCTTGGAGGCTGAAGCATTTCCTGAAACTTTTGACCCCAAGCCTTTACGTTCACTGTGCACAAACACTCCTTGTGGGTCCCATGTTCCTGTTTACTTTTCTACATTGGAATCCCTTTCAATCTGATTGGTATTAACTTAAATACTTGAAGAATGGTGTTTGAGAAGCAATGAATTTTCTAAAAACTGCAAAGGAATAAAAATACTTGTCTTGAGAGAAAGGAATTGACATTCTTTTCTCAAAAACTTTCCTCATTTCTACTAGGTGCTATTGGTTGTGTGTGTGTATACACACATCTACACCCAACCAATAACATGTATATACATATATACACAGGCACATATACATACATATAAACACACACATACATATGTGTAAATAATTTACAAACTTTGGATTTATATTAACAACTCCATGCTTCAGGTCACCACCAGTGATAATTGTCTGCGGACAGACATGGGACTAGGCAAGGTGTCAGAGCTTTGGTGTAATCTGGGCGTTTGTATTGGTATTTTTGGGTTTATGTTCATTTTTGCATTGTTAGCTAACAGGCCTACCTCAGAACTAGAAATGTGTTCATGCATCACACAGTGCCCAGAACCTGGTCAGTGCCTACTGGATGATGGATGAGATGGTCCATACATTCAGTATTTTCTAAGCTAATTGTCTCTTTTGCTCATTTCTGTAGCCCAACAAGAAGATAAGCCGAATTCATACTGAATCATTTTATTGTTGTTTTGAAACGGGATCTCGTTATATTGGCCAGGCAGGTCTCAAACTCCTGGGTTCAAACAACCCTCCCACCTCAGCCTCCTGAGTAGCTGAGATTATAGGCATGTGCTACCATGCCTGGTTCATACTGAATTATTCATATAAAAATTATTTAACATGTCTGTTATTTCACCTTGCTTTTACTGATGACATGCATGTTTTTAAAAACCTAGTGCCATAATTTTTTCCTTTGGTTTATTGAAGCTACTTGTTCATTGGTTTGTAGATATTGTTATGAGTATATTTGGAAAACAAATAACAGGAAAAAGCAAGTAGCACTTGGTGGAAATTTTTTTAAAGGGTGAGTGTTGTACTAGGGTCTCTCTCTATAGCCTCTTGTTTAATCCCCACTATAACTCTGTGAGGAAATTAGTAGCCATAATAGTAAGACTATGGGCCAGACATGGTGGCTCATGCCCATAATCCCAGCACTTCAGGAGGCCAAGATGGATGGATTGCTTGAACCCAAGAGTTTGAGACCAGCCTAGGCAATATGGTGAAACCCTGTCTCTACCAAAAAATACAAAAATTAGCTAAGCATGGTGGCAGACGCCTGTAATCCCAGCTACTCAGGAGGCTGAGGTGGGAGGATCCCTTGAGCCCAGCAGGCCAAGACTGTGGTAAGCTGAGATCTGCACTCCAACCTGGGCAACAGAGTGAGACCCTGTCTCAAAAAAAAAAAAGTGTGAAGGCATTTTCCCCATCAGCCTTATGTGATGGCATCACTTTTTCACTATGGAAAGTGAACTTAAACCTATTCCGAGTGCACACTACATCTCTAGAGAAGAGCAAATCCTAAGGTGACTAGTGGGAGGTGTGGTTTTAAAAGATGAAAAGTCCTAAATTCATTCTTCTTCGATTTTATTCCATTATGCATTTCATTTTAAGAAATTATAAACTCCTAAAGGCAAATGAGTGTTTTGTGATGTTGTAATATTACTGAGAAATTCAACCATAGTACCAATAAAAGAAATCCAAATACCACCAAAACTCTCTTTTCCACCATTGGATTGGGGATGTCCGAGTCTGACCACAGTCCCTCAGTGCTGACAAAGGTCTTGGAGACTCCATCCTTGCTGCTCTGTGGGAGTGCTCACCACATAGCAGTTGAGGACGGCAGTCTGATCATGGGTGGCAGCATCTTAATGGGCATTCTTTGTTTTCTTTTTTTAAATTATTATTATTTTATTTTATTTTTCCAAAAGTTATTGAGGCACAGGTGGTATTTGGTTACGTGAATAAGTTCTTTAGTGGTGATTTGTGAGATCTTGGTGCACACATCACCCAAGTAGCATACACTGCACCATATATGTTGTCTTTTATCCCTCGCCCCCTCTCCCACCTTTCTCTCCAAATCCCCAAAGTCCATTATATTATTCTGATGTCTTTGCATCCTCATATCTTAGCTCCCATGTATAGGTGAGAAAATGCAATGTTTGGTTTTCCATTCAATAGGCATCAATTCTGATCCAGAGGGCCACTTCTAGTTTATTCTAAAAAGATGATCAGGCAAGTCAGAAAAAAAAAAAAGTAGTTTTCATTGCAGCCATTGTTTTATAATAATCTTTAAAATTAAGGAAAGCTACATCTCAAAACTATCAACTTTTTTCGAAATTCAGTTCCACCTTGTTGATCTAACCCAGTGTCATCCCTCACCCAATATGTTCACAAGGGCTCTCTCACGCTTGCCTCCAGAAACCGCTACCTGTCTTCCTCACTAACGGGAAAGTTCAAGTTCCTTGAAAGACCAACAAGGCCAAACCCTTGTTTGGTAAGCTGAGATCTGCACTCCAACCTGGGCAACAGAGTGAGACTGCCCCCTCCAGTGCTGGGCTTTGGCCATGCTGACCTTTCCTCTGTTCCAAGAAACAAGCCAAGGTCCTAGCACTATAGCACTCCTTCTCTCTGGAAGGCTCCTTCCCTCCCATTCCTAACCAACACTACCCTCCTTTAGGGCTTCTGTGATTGCCACCTGCCCCAGATCGCTCTAGTTCCCTGTGCATCATGGCTTCATGCCACCTCGTCTTGCACCTGCAAAGCACTTACACATTTCATGAAGCCAGGGACCATGTCTCTTTCTTTGGTATCTCTATCCTTCACTTTCTTATTTTTATAAATTTAAGGGGTACAAGTGAAGCTTTGTTATGTGGCTATATTGCATAGTGATAAAATCCAGGCTTTTAGTGAAACCATCCCCTGAATAGTGTAGATCATGCCCATTGAGTAATTTCTTATTCCTCACTCTCCTCACCCTCCCACCCTTCCCAGTTCCAATGCCTATTATTCCACACTCTGTGTCCACGTGTACACTTTATTTAGCTCCCACTTATGTGAGAATATGTGGTATTTGACTTTCTGTTTCTGATCTGTTTCACTTAACATAACAGCCTCCAGTTCCATCCTTGTTGCTGCAAAACATGATTTTCTTCTTTCTTATAGCTAAGTAGTATTCCTACATATATATATACACATTTTTTTTATCCAATCATCCATTGATGGACACTTAGAATGATTCCATATCTTTGTGATTAGATGCTCAGAAATACTTGTTGAAACATGGCTAAATCATACATACCAGGCTCCTTCTTTATTTCTCTCTCTCTCTCTCTCTCTCTCTCACCTCTGCCACTTTTAGCAACAGCTGCATTCCAAGCAGGAAGACGGAGGTACAGGTTGAGTGTGTATCCCTCGCCCAAAATGTTTGGGACCAGAAGTGCTCTGAATTTTGATTGTTTTCAAGTTTTGAAATATATGTATTACACTTACTGGTTCAGCATCCCTAACACAAAAATCTGAAATGCTCCAATGAGCATCTCTTTGAGCATCACATCAGCACTCAAAGCGTTTTGAATTTTGGAGCATTTTGGATTTCGGATTTTCTCACTAGGCATGCTCAGCCTGTATCAGAAGAGGCTCAGCCAAAGCCACTTCCCTGCCTTAAACTGAGCTCCATGGCCATTCTCAGCTATGAGGGCTTGATAAAGATTAAGTTTTATTTATCTTTGCAGCCCCTACAGCAAGTAAAGATGAGCAAAAAGAGGTTAAACTCAGAACTAAAATGTCTAGAGCCACCTCCATCTACCCCACTGCAATGAAAACACAAGGACATAAGCATTTACTGCAGTATTGTTCCCAGTGGCAAAAAGCTGGAACTCAAATAAACGCCTAATGACAGAGGAATGATGAAAGAAATTCTGGCTCATACACACCACAACCTATTACACAGCCACTGAAAAGAATGAATTAGAGCCACATTGATGACTCTGGGAGATTTCCATGAGCAATTACAGAGTAAATGAAACCAAATGCAGAAAAAAAAAGTCTGTTTTATTATCCCATTTCTAACAAAAATGAAGAAAAGCACTCTCTAACATCTGTGCACATACATGCAGGTAAGCGCGAGTGAGCTGAAAATTATAGGCCACATACTGTTATCATGAGTTACCTGTGCAGAAGGCAGAGAGAAAGTTTGGGAAAGGAAAGAGAAGAAGAAGAGCAAAGAACAAAAAGAAAATTTTTGAAAAGAAATGTTATAATATGATCCATTAATGTATTAACTTAAAGATATATGTGTGTTCATATGCACGAAGAGAAAACTTTATATGTTGTCTCTTCTTTTCTGTCTCTTAAATCAGGCTTGCAAGACTTTGGCAATTTCCCACTTGTTTTGAATCCTCAGAAAATATCGTATCTCCAGAAAGTAAACAAAAATTGACCAGATAGCATTCCCTTAATGCAGTTCCAGTGACTGTTCTGGATAAGAAAACAACACTTCTACATTCAAACCCCCAATTGCCATTTGAATCTCATCAAATGAAATTTTAGTTTTTCTTTCTAGCTTATGTTTTTCCCTGGAGAAACAAGTCTATAAATGTTTAAAACTGGCACTACTTCTCATAGTGAATAAAATATTGTTGTGTAGAAAACTGGCTCCAGGAAATTAAAAATCAATATACTTTGAGAACTAAAATAGGATGGAAAAGTTGCTTTGTCCAGATTGCAATGGCCAGGCAATGCAAAACAAAAGAATTGCTATTATAAAATGAGAATTACAAGAGAGCATTTTTCAGCTTTGTATGAGAAATGCAATTGACCGAGTGAAAAAAATTAACCCTGTTTGTGTTTCATTCAAGTGGCCATCTCTGCAACTTACTGCTAATTTGCCTTCTTTGAATTTACCATTCCTGGTGGCAAAATCATTTGCTCAGAATTGTTCTAGTATTGCCCAGTCATACTTTTCTAATTAAGATTCCTTGCTGAATGTTCTAACTTTGACCTCATTTCAAAGTTACTTTCATTTTAAAGCTTGACTCAAGATCTTCAATTCTTATATCTTAAAAATCTTAAATGTTTTCTGTTTCTGTTATTAACTATACTAGGTTAGGGATATTTAAAATAACAGCTGATAATATGGTTTTTAAAAATTGTGAGAATGATTGCTAATGTCTGGCTCTCACTTTATTAAGAGGACATGGGAGCCTTTGAAAGATGGCTTGCCTGTCTACCTAGGGCTGACCCCCAGGTCCAGATTTGAGAGTCTGGGCTGGCTGACTGCTGGGTGGCTTTGGTAGAAGCTGGCTTGTCTTCTGGTTCCATTTTTCTCTCCACCCCAGTATCTTGGGTTACTCTGGAAAACTATGCGATGCCCATGTGCGCACCCAGTTAAAGGGCATTCGAGTCTTTGCCCGTAGAAATTTCATAAATAGAATATGTAATGAGCCATGCATGTCTTATCGCTAAGGAATCCAGGGGAATCTGAAACTTGGATGACAAAGTCTCTTATGGGTCTTTCCTTCTCACACCACTTGATACAGCACGACTATCTTGAAGTCAGCCAGCGGCCTGCAGAGGCGGTCTTTCCATCTGTTTCAGAAAACCCGGTGGCTTGTGCAACCTGGGAAACTTGCCCACAGCCATCCCACGTGGTGAGTCAGCTCTCTGGCTCCATTATCTACTGTCTCTTCCCAGATGTGACTCCCTGTTTAGGAGCAAGCAAAGTTATGGGGACCCAGGGGAGAAGCAGACACTCACCTAATGCACAATCCTGCTGAGAATTTACCCAAACCCAAGGAGGTGGAGATGGAGTAGAGCTTGAGTCCTTTCCACGACTGTTAACTGAAGATTTCTGTTGTGACATCACATAGAATTTTGACTAGCATTCACCAAGGATGAACTGAAAGCAGGATCTGTCTCACCATACACTGAGAACTGTAGAATATGCAAGGCACATGGAACTTATTTTCTTACGTATAAAAGCGTGTATATGCTCCTTATACATCTGTCCTAATGCTTTCCAACAGTCCTCACTCTAAGCCTCACCAAGACCCAGATGAGGAAACAAAGGCACAGAGGGGTGAGTCACTTGACCAAGTCACAGCACTGGAAAGGAACAGAGTTTCTGTGTTTCCTTCTCCAAGAGAAGCACTCTTGGCTATAGTGCTTCTGATTAACCAGTGATTCCCATACAGTGGTCCCTGGGCCAGCAGCATCAAAATCACCCAGGAACTTGATAGAGGTGAAAAGTCACTGAATAAGACTTACTGAATCAGAAACTCTGGGGAATGTGGCCCAGAAATATTTGTTTGAACAAGCTTGTCAGGTGATTCTCATGCACACTACAGTTTGAGGAATATTGAACTAGGCCTTTGGAATGAGGTTTTTCATTACTGAGTGTTTTAGGGGAATTCTTGGGCAAATATCAGAAGAGATTCACTAGGAGTCATTTCTGGGTACAAGTTAATAAATAGGTTTCCTTTCTGAGGTACTACATGCAATAGTCAGAACTGTAAGAAAGTATATTTATGAACATATCAATAAAAAATGTATTCACTCTGTGAAAATAATATTCCCCTTAGAAAAGCGTTCACATGAACTTGGTGATTGATCTCATAGGGTGCAGTCGGGAGGGGTCAAGAGTCACCCCACATCTTGTATCTCAGGTCAGCCCACTTCTTTCCATCTCTGCTCCCATCCTGGCCCCAACTATGCTCATCTCTCACTCAGAAATCTACAGTGGCTTCCTAACTCGACACCCCTTCTATTCTGAAGCTCATTCAAGCTGTTCTTCACATTGAAGCCAGAGTGATTTTTCTGCAAATCTGAGCTTAAGTAAAGCCCTTAAAGAATTACTATTGTTCACAGGATACAGAACAAAATGCCTAACAAAGCCCCTGAGTCAGTGGGACATGGTCTGCCCATCCCTTTACCCCAAGAGACATAGAATGCAATTCTCCATTTCACTGCTTGCTCCTAGTCACCCCAGCAATCTTTTATTTTCTTAAAAACACATAGCCTTTTATGCCTCAGCTACTTTCACGTTTGTCCCTCTTCTTTAAATGTTTTTCCCCTCATTTCACTGTTTAAGCCATATATACCCTTCAAAATTCAGTTCAAACCTCACTTCAAGAAAACCTTTATGTTTTCACCAGAGAGCTTACAGTGTTTGGCATCCCATCAAATATTATCAGGCATGAAAGGAAGGAAAAAAAGCCCCGTAATGGGCCGGGTGCAGTGTCTCACGCCTGTAATCCCAGCACTTTGGGAGGCCAAGGCGGGTGGATCACGAGGTCAGGAGATCAACACCATCCTGGCTAACATGGTGAAACCCCATCTCAACTAAAAATACAAAAAATTGGCCGGGAGTGGTGGCGGGCACCTGTAGTCGCAGCTACTCGGGAGGCTGAGGCAGGAGAATGGCGTGAACCTGGGAGGCAGAGCTTGCAGTGAGCCGAGATGATGCTGCCGCACTCCAGCCTGGGCGACAGAGAGAGACTCTGTCTCAAAAAAAAAAAAAGAAAAAAAAAAAAAGAAAAAAAAAAAAAAGCCCCGCAATGAAGAGAAAAATCAACAAATTGAAACAGTCCCAGAATGGGCACAGATGTCAGAATTAGCACACAAGGACATTAAAACATTGTTATAACTGTATTCCAGAAGTTCAAAAACTTAACTAGACACATGAAAGATATTTTTTAAAAAACACCCAAATTGATGGGATGTGGTGGCTCACACTTGCAATCCCAGAACTTTGGGAGGCCAAGACAAGAGGATCGCTTTAGCCCAGGAGTTTGAGGCTGCAATGAGCTATGATAGCTCCACTGTACTCCAGCCTGAGGGACACAGTGAGACCCTGTCTCTTAAAAAAGATTTTAAAAAAAGATCCAAACTGAACTTTAAGTGAACTGGAAGACATAACAATAGAAACTATTCAAAATGAAAAAGACAAAAAGAATTTAAAAGAAAAACACAAAATAGCAACACTGAGTGGCAGGACAGTTTTATGTGACATTCATATCTCGTGTGCAAAGGGCTCCTTAAGCATATTTGATCTATGGCTTTATAATTTTATCAAATTTGGAGATTTTTCAGTCATGATTTCTTCAAATATTTTTTCTGCCCTTCCCGCAACCTCTCTCCTTTACAGACTCTAGTTACACACATATTATAAGAAATATTGAAAGAAGTCTTCTAGGCAGAAGGAAAATGAAATGAAAACCAGATGAATATGAATGAACTGTACCAGAAATGATAACTATTAAATACATTGGTAAATATATATACTTTAGAATTTAAATCTTTTGAAAATATAATTGTTTAATCAAGAGTAATACCAATGTACTATGGAGTTCGTAACATACATAAAAGTGAATGTATGACAACAAAACCATAAAGACTATATAGGTGGAAAAGGGCAAATAGAAGTATATTATTTAAGCTTCTTATACTGTCAGTGAACCTGTATAATATGACTTGAAGGTAGACTATATTAAGTTAAATATTTTAAACCCTATAACAACTAGTAAAAGAACAAAACAAGGAGTTACAGCTAAAATCCAACAAAGAAGATAAAATGGAATCATAAAAATTTTCAATTAACTTTTAAAAAGGCAAAAATAGAGGAAAAGGGTAACACAGAATAAACGTTACAAATAGAAAGCAAATAGCAGGAGGAGATACTTAGACCTAACCACAGCAATAATCATATTAAGTATAAACGGTTTAAACACCACAATAAAAAGTCAGAGATTGTCATATTGAATCAAAAAAACAAGACCTAATAAACACAAGAAATTCTCTTTAAATATAAATAGACAAACTGATTAAAATTAAAATGTTCAACAACGATACACTGTGCTAACCCTTCTCAAAAAAAGACTGGATGGCCGGGGGCAGTGCTCACACCTGTAAACCCAGCAATTTGGGAAGCCAAGGCAGGCGGACGACTTGAGGTCAGGTGTTCAAGACCAGACTGGCCAATGTGGTGAAACCCCATCTCTACTAAAAATACAAAAATTAGCCAGGCATGGTGATGAGTGCCTGTAATCCCAGCTACTCAGGAGGCTGAGGCAGGAGAATCACTTGAACCTGGGAGGCAGAGGCTGCAGTGAGCCAAGATGACGCCACTGCACCCCAGCCTGGGTGACAGAGGGAGACTCTGTCTCAAAAAAAAAAAAAGACTGAAGTGGCTATATTAATATCAGACAAAGTTGATTTCAGATTAAAGAATATTTCCAGTGATAAAGAAGGAATTGGAAATGACTTTATACACTCTTGTATTATTTGAAAAAAATCAAATAATACAACGTGTAGCCTATTTGTGCATTTGAACATGTACCTATTTAGTAATTTAAACATTCAACACACTTTTCTTTAGGCTACTCCCTATACCTAGCACTGTTTAGGTATTGAAAAAAAAGGGGGGGGCGGATAAAGAAGTTGGACACAGCCCCAGACCTAGGGGAGCACAATCTGTTAGGGAGACAAGACACTAACTTTTTTTTAAGCTAATAAAAGATGTGTCAGATGTTAATTGAAAAATGGAAGTTCAGAGAAAAGAATATTTCTGGCACCATAGCAATTAGGGAAAGTTTCTAGAAGAGAGCTAAACCCCAAGAGTATGCACAGATAAAGAGAAAGAGGGAGGAAGAAAAGCATTTTATAATAATTGGAAAAATTTTAATTTATGTGGCTGGGTAGGTTTTCACTTTGCTTTTTTCCTCCTACTCGAGCAGAGGGACCATTTTGGTCTCATTGCTTCCAGGCTTTCTGGCTTTTGTGGAGAGTGGTTTGGGTGGATGCAGGGGAGCTGCTCTGGTGAAGGAGCCATGGCTGTGCAGGCCTTCCAGCAACCTACAGAGAAATAGCAAAGCCCTGGCCGCATGGAAGCCTGCCTGTCTTGCCATCCTTGGAAAGACTGGTGTGCCTGAATGCGGGGCATAAAACAACACATGTTTTTACACCCCATCCCAGGACAATGACTAAGACCAAGACCAAGTTATTACCTGTGTATAGAGATGACAAAGATCAACTGGGCACCAACCACCACCTTGAGAGTGGGTCACTACACAAGCCCCACAAATTTCACCCACCTCCACAGTGAGGGGACCCCAAAAGAGATGGAACTACCCTGCTCCACCAGCTCAGGGGAATGAGGCCTGAAGTAGATACTAAGTTGAATTACAGGTGATTTTTTAAAAACCTACACATCTGAGTTTGGGGGCTGAGATTTGTGTTCATAATACATATCAGCAGCTCAATAGTTAGAATCATTTTCTGATAATAAGATGATTACTCTTTCTTCTTTCTTAGGTACATTGAAGGAGGTCAGTTTGGAAAACCACAGTGTAGACACTTATTCTCTCTCCTTTGTGTTTCAGATAAACTCAGAGCAGGAAGACAGCAAGGAATAGCAGTGAAAAGCATGGTGCTTAATCCAACCCCTTACTCACTGCTGAGACCTGGAAATGTGTTCATCAGCTACAAAACAGGAGAGATGATAACTCATTATGTATATGTGATGATAAACAGAGACAATATATTGAAGAGCTTATATGAGTGGCAGACACGGGACATGCTTCCCTGTGGCTGGCCAGCGTGTCATCTTCTCCATGTGTCCAGAGAAAAGCTTTGCAAATCAACCTCTCGATGAATGATGACGGCACCAGTGAAATCAGGGGAGGCAGAAAATCATGTTAGTTTGGTTTATAATGCAAGAAGTTACAGAACACAGAGTGCTCAAAACTAAGAATGTGCTAGTTGTATAACAGGGTCCTTCTTGGGACTCAGCCAGGATTCAAACTATAAAGGAAAATCGGGTGAGCAGGTGGGATAGTCAAGTGATTCTATTTGCATGAATAATTTTGTGAGATGATACCTTCTTGTCCAGGAACATTGAGCAGTGCTCGTGCTGGGTGGATTGTGATGTGGAAACCCTGGGAGATGTCACGTCTGACATCAACTTTCTCCCAGGTGACAGCTGCACCCTCTAAAGGCTTCTCAAATGACAGAGCTCAATGAATATAGAAGGGAAAAGTATGAGGATGACCTATGAGCACAGGGTGGACAGTCTCTGCGGTGGGCAGGCATTAGCAAAGGAGAGACCTTCTGTATTATGCAGGTATGTGCAAGAACCAAAGAAAATAACTGTCATGAGAATTCTGACCTCATTAATACCCACAGACTAGAGACACCAGGAATCTAAGCTTGCAAAAGCATAAGGGAACATAAGGGTTGTGTTCTCTTGCCCTTGGGGCACAGCTTTTCACCACATTTTGTACTAATTTAACCATGATGCAGATCGAAGAGCCCCAGTGATTTCCCAATAAAATGCTCCAGTTGTATAAATTTGCTTGACCTTCAGTAGATGCTCATTCCCTATGGTCCACATCTACTGCAGGCTCACATTCTGGACAGGGAGAATCCTCCGCGTGACTGAAGCAAGAGGTCCCACATGATTTGCTTTTCGCCTGGCATGGAGGCACTGTTTGCCCTGGTGACCAAGGGCACATAGCCCTGTCTTTCCTCTGGCGGCCATTGGATTCATACTCTGTTCTGAGATAACTTTGTATTAATCAAGACCTCCTAACATGTCTCTCTCTCTCTCTCTTTTTTTTTTTTTTTTTTTTTTTGAGACGGAGTCTCGCTCTGTCGCCCAGGCTGAGTGCAGTGGCACAATCGCGGCTCAGGGCAAGCTCCGCCTCCTGGGTTCACCCCATTCTCCTGCCCCAGCCTCCCAAATAGCTAGGACTACAGGCGCCCGCCACCATGCCCGGCTAATTTTTTGTATTTTTAGTGGAGACGGGGTTTCACCGTGTTAGCCAGGATGGTTTCGATCTCCCGACCTCGTGATCCGCCCACCTCGGCCTCCCGAAGTGCTGGGATTACAGGCGTGAGCCACCACGCCCGGCCACATGTCTCTTTTTTGAAAATGACAAGCATGCTGTGATGAGGTTCTCAAGATCTGATCACAGCTTTCTCTCAACAACGCACCAGGATGTAGCGGTGCTCAGCTCTGCCTTCTTCTGTCCTGGCTTGGGTGCTGTGTTGAGACAGACACAGCAGCAAGCGAGCAAACCTCTTGCAGTCCTGTAGCCTTCCCCCTTTTCTTCTTCTCTGTCTGTCCCATCCCCTTCTCTTTTCTTTCCCCTCATCTCCATTCTTTTCTTCCTTTCGTTCCTGTCACTGTTTTCTTCTTTGCTTTTGTTCTGTTTCCAGCTTTCAAAACACATTTATAAAGAGAGCTTCCTCTGAGCCAAAAGTAACAAAACTGTTTCACATTCTTTATCTGGTAGCAGGCTGCTGTCTAAAGGGCATTGTAAACACTTCCCAGACTTTCCCTCAATAAGGGGACTGCCTGATTCTCAGTTACAGAATGTCATTAGCTCTAATGCGTGCTGGTTTCCCTGCTAGAAAATAGCAACTAACATAAATTATAAAATATTAAAATTAATACCAATAAACTGTCTTGTATTTGCAACATGAATGAATTGGGCTATCATCTCATAATTTTCAAGGACACAAAAAGCAAAAATAACATGCCTGATTAAATGATGTTTTCCAATAATTTATTAATTTAAAAGTCACGTAGGCAGGCAGAAAGACTACGTTTCCCAGCCTCCTTTGCAGTTAGGTTGAGACCATGTGACTGAGTTCCGGTTGATGGGAAATAGGTGAAAATTACATACTTCCAGGTGTGGGTTTTTTTGTTTGTTTGTTTGATTTTTGGGGGTTTTTTGGGTTTTGTTTGTTTGTTTTTGACAGAGCCTTGCTCTGTTGCCCAGGCTGGAGGCTGGAGTGTAGTGGCATGATCTCGGCTCACTATAACCTCCACCTCCCGGGTTCAAGCAATTCTCCTGCCTCAACATCCCAAGTAGCTTAGACTGCAGGCACACACCACCATGCCTGGCTAATTTTTGTATTTTTAGTAGAGGCGGGGTTTCACCATGTTGGCCAGCTGCTCTCGAACTCCTGACCTCAGGTGATCTGCCTGCCTCAGCTTCCTAAAGTGCTGGGATTATGGGCATGAGCCACTATGCCCAGCCCAAGGGTGGTCTTTAAAACATCTCTCAAAGGCTTTTTTTACTCCATGCTACAAGATGGAGGAGGATTGCCCAATCCATAGTGCATTGTGTGCCAAACAATATATAATTTTTAATTGTGTTAATATCCTGAGATTTCAGGGTTTGTTGTTTGCAAAACAGTATAACTTATCCTGACTCATACAATGGAAAATTATAATTTAAGCATCTACTAAAGCTAATAAAAGTCTTAGAATAAAACAAAGAAATAAATCTTCATAATCTTGGATTTGGCACTTGATTCCTAGATATGACACCAAAAAGCAACAGCAAAAAATAGATAAATTAGACTTCATCAAAATTAAAAACTTTTGTGCATCAGTGCTTATTATCAGGAAAGTGAAAAGACAACCTACAGACCAGGAGAAAATATGTTCAAATCAGATAATAAGATTTTAATATCTAGATTTCATTTACATTCGTTTTGTTTTTTCTCGCTATTTACTGATTGAAGAAATTGGACCTTTGAGGACCAGCTGGGACTTGGGAATATAGAAAGAGGTCCTTCAACTCAACAACAAAAAGACAAACAACCCAATCAAAGAATTGTCAAAGGACTTGAATAGTCAACACTCCAAAGAAGATATATAAATGGCCAGTAAGCACCTGAAGAGATGCTCAACATCACTAATTATTAGGAAAATGAAAATCAAAACCACAATGAGATATCAATTCATACAGGTTAGGATGACTAAGGGAAAAAAATCACAAATGTTGTCAAGAATGTGAAGAAATCAGAATGCTAGGATATTGTGGGTGGGAATGTAAGATGGTGCAGCACTATGGAAAACAGTTTGGTGGTTCTTCAAAAAGCTAAATGGAATTACCATATGACTCAGCAATTCTACACCTAGGTATACATCCAAAAAATCTGAAAACAAGGACTCAAAGAGATACTTCTACGCCAGTGTTCATTGCAGCACTATTCACGACAGCCGAAAGGGGCAAACAACCCAAGTGCCCGTCAACAGATGAGTGGATAAATGAAGTGTTGTTTATGCCTACAGTGGGATATTTATTACTCAGCCATAAAAAGGAATGAAGCTCTGACACATGCAACAACATGGATGAGGCTTGAAAACATTATGCTAAGTGAAATCAGCCAGACACAAAAGAACAAATACTGTAGATTCCACTTATATGAAATGTCCAGAAAAGGACAATTCCTGAAAACAAAAAGTTAAGTTAAAGGTTGCTAGGGGCTGGGGGAGGAGAAATAGAAAATTATTACTTAATGAGTAGAGTTTCTGTTTGGGATGATGAAACAACCATAAATAAATAGTGGTGATGGTGCACAAGATTATGAAAGTAATTAATGACACTAATTGTATACTTAAAATGGCTTAAATGGTAAATTGTATACAATATTACATATAGAGAGAGAAAGAGAGAGAGAGATTACTGTTCTAAAAAATGGGGGGAAAGTCTATCACTTAAATTTAAATTTGAAGTAGCAGTTTGGATTCATGATGTATTTAATCTTTATATTTTATTTTTCTATTTCCTTGCTCTGTCTACTGAAAAGGCCAAATGACAAAAATCAACACAACAGCAATAAGCATCCTAGCCTAGTACCTAAGTTGTCTCTAACTACCATTTCCTCAGGAAAAAAAAACTAAGAACCCTTAAAGAGAGGTGCATTTCAAGATCTGAGCAGGAAATATATAGGACAATCCTGGAATATCTTGTTATAGAAAGAGAAAAGCCTCTTATGAGGTCCACTGGAACCATGCGAAATGAGTTCAGGAGGCACCTTGTTAATCTCCCATTTACCAAGGATGGTACCATTTGAACATCAGTAAAAATAACTGCAACAATTTGAAGTACATAAAATATGTTTATTCCCATGAGTCCATAATAATACTTTAAAAAAAATTTCTTTGCCACACTTAAAGGATGCTAAGAAGCCAACTCATTATTCTGAAAACTAGAAAATAAAAAAGAATCAAACATTTTAATCCTGCTTTTCCTATACAAATGAGATGTCAAAATAACAAAATGTCTGTGAGGAAACTTTCTCTTTATAGAATTATTCCAGCTTTAAAAATGAAAATGAAAATAAAGAAGAGGAGAAGGAGAACTTGGAGGAGGAGAAGGAGAAGAAGGAGGAGAGGGAGGGGGAGAAGGAGAAGGGGAAGAGGAAGGGGAAGAGGAAGAGGAAGAAGAAGAAGAGGACGAAGAAGAATAAGAAGAGGAGGAGGACAAGGAGAGGAGAAGGAGGAAGAGGAAGAAGAAGATGAAGAAGAAGTATTGATAGGACAGACACAAACAAATGGCTGAATGGTGGCACCATTTCCTGAGGGGGGGCACACTAAGGCAAGAAGCAAGGCAGAGGGAAGGCATGAGTTCTGTTAAGGATTACATTCATCTGCTCCAGTTGTCATAACAAAGGACCACAGATGGGCTGTGGGTGGAGTTGCTGACACAGCAGAAATCTACTGTCTCACAGTCTTGAAGGCTGGATGTCCAAGATCAAGGTGTTGGCAGGGTTGGTTTCTCTAAGGCCTCTCTCCTTGGCTTGCAGATTGCTGTCTTCTCCCTGTATGCTCACATGGTCATCCCTCTGTGTGTGTCTGTGACCTCATCTCCTCTGCCTATAACACATCAGTCAGGTTGGATTAGAGTCCACTGGAAGGATCTCATTTTACCTTAATCACTTCTTTAAAGACCCTGTCTCCAAATACATCACATTCTGAATTACTGAGTGTTAGGACTTCAAAATATGAATTTTTTTGGTTGGGGGGATGCAATTCAGCCACCACAAAGACATGCTTCCTTTAAGATCCAAGTGGAAATGTTTATCAGGCCATTGTACCGTGAAGCCTAGGGCACAGAAGAGAGTACTGTGTTGGGAGTGGACAGAGAGCCTGAGAGGGAAACTGATTGAGAGGTGCAGGTGGCTGTAGGAAACCCCAACCAAGGACAAGCTGGGTTGGGGGTGGTGAGTCAGAACACCCAGATCATGACGCCTGCTCAATGCCATTCTCCAGCAACAGGAAGGAAGGCTCCTCAGAGAAATGCCTGGTCCCAGGTCTGGAGCAGGGAACACAGAAGATGAGCCTGGAGGTCACACCACCCCAGAAATTAAGGAAATGTTAGAAGAGGATGGAGACACAGCAAGAGGACCCAGGAGCCAGCTGAAAAAGGCATCCACTGGTCAAATTTGGAATAATTTGAACTAAATAGTGATAATGAGGGATTGTAACCTATATCATAGACAAGGAATCCATGCACCCACACAGATATGAGCAAATAAATATGGGAGAAGGGCCAGCTCTTCCTCGCAGTGGAATGCCGACTCATATATGCAAAAGGAGTGACAGAATTAGAAAACCACTTGGCACCCACAACTGTAATGACTGTTTTAGGCAAAAATCATCAAAAGATGCTAAAATCAATTGGCAAAAGTGTGATAGGGAGCAGGATATTTGCATAGTCTCAAAGTATCACCTCCCAAGATTCTCATTAATGACAAAGGGGAAAATAGGAACCTGGCAGTGAAGAAACCTGTGACACTGTGTTCACCAAGTAACTGTCACTACCATCACCAGCAATGGGACAAATTGCTACCACGTTCCTCCTGATCTGACACAACACCACTTCTGTTGTATCTCTGCCAAAAATGCATGAACTGTATGCCCACACACACATCACAAACACACATCGCACACGTGCGCACACACACACACACACACGTTCTGCAGAAACATCAGGCAAACCCATTTAGAGGGATATTCAACTAAATAATGAACACCACTCTTCACAAACGTCAAGGCCATGGAAGATTAAAAAAAGACTAAGGGACTATTCCAGATTAGAGGATACCAAGGAGACAGGACAACAAAAAGCAATGTGGGATGCTGGATCAGAAAAATAACATTAGTGGGACACCCAGAAAAATTGGAATAAGGTCTGTAGATTAGATAATAGAACTGTATCGATGTTAATTTCCTGCTTTGATAGTTGCACTATAGTTATAAAAGAGAATACCCTTGGATTTTGTAAATGCACAGTGAAGTGCTCCAATAAGAGAACCAAATGTCTGCAATTTATTCTTAAATACTTAAAAAAAAACTATAAACTATACACATACACAAGTGTGCACACACACACATGCATACACAGTGCTAGGGGTGAGAATCACATACTCAGTAACATTGTACTATTTTTTGCAATTTCTTGTAAGTCCAAAATTATTTCAAAAAGAGAAATTGTTAAAAGGAAAGAAACAACAATAGCAATAACAAAACGGAGTGGGATGTGTAGAAGTACCCAGTGAGCTCCTGTGTTGCTCTGGTTCTCAACCTGAAACAGCTTATCATGTGCAGGCAGCTGTAATGAAACAATTAATTCAAACAAAATTCTTCTTGTCATTAAAGGCAGGCATCTGGTGGACCTTCTTCTTGGATTGTGATTCAAAAGCCCAAACCATTCCTCACTGGTCTGAAAAGTGAGTCAATTGCCAAAGCCTCCCGAGCCTGGATGTGGGAGGGTTCTACTTCTAGAGAGGTGATTTCCTTTCCTTTCAAAGCAGCTGGCTAATGACCACATGCCCCTCTAGGCATGAAGAGAGGGGAGCAACTGGCCAACTAGGAACCATAACACAGTTTCCCATCTCCTCATATCCTTGGTCCCATTCGATCAATCCAAGTAGTTTCCAGCCCTGTGAACATGGCCAGGATAGCCCAGAAACCAAGTTCACTTTTTTGGGCAAAGAGCTGAAAAGAGTTTCTAAAGGTGAATTGCCAGGTCACCTTCCTCCTCCTCTCTCCTCCAGCTGCTTAGAGGAGTAGAAGTTAAAAGCTGGTTAAATAACTAATATAAAAAAAAATTTGGAGAATCACACAGGTTCTCTCACAAGAGGACTTCACATCGCATGGTCCAACTCTGATTTGCTAGATGAAGAAGCCAGAAGCCCATTTAAGCAAAACAGTTTGTTCAAAGTTATGCTGGTCAGGACAGGCCAAGACAAGAGATCGTATCGGGGCCATAGGGCACACAGAGGACACCTGACCCAGATTGGGGACCATTAGAGAAAAGCCTCTGGAGAAAGAAAACAGTGAGGCAGAATCCTAAGGAATTCAACAGAGGCAGCAGACACATTTTCCAAGGAGACGGATTCACAGCCCAGAGCTGGGAGAGCAAGGCAGGGTGTGGGACACAAGCAGCAGCCCCCTGCATGTGGCCTGTGGGCAGATGAACTTGCAAGGAGCCACAGAGTCCACGGCCCAGGAAGGAGTTGGGGTTCGATCCAGAGGGCATGGGGAGCCTTAGAGGAGTTCAAGCCAGAACTTTCATTCTCACATTCTGGTCTGCGATCCAGGCAGGGTATGGCATTGTTGCTTCTCCGTCCCTCTACCTGGGGCTTAGAGTTCTTGATAAGAGCTCTAGACCAAGAGGGAGGTCTGCAGAAGAGAGACTGGGATGAGCTCTGAACCCTGAACTGGTCAGTCTCTCTCACTCCTGGAGTCTTCTGTCCCCGTCTGGTGTGCCCTTCCAATGGCTGGGCCTTGAGTGGCCACTCCTGTGGTGTCAGCTTCCAAATGCTGGTTATTTATCACATACATCACACACACCCTCCATACAGTGCACACATACACACACCTGATAACCAAGATGAGTGACTAAGGCAAAGGTCTCAATCACCAAGGTTTATTAAGCCAGCTTTAGGGTGCATCTGGAAAAAAAAATTAGCCACAGACACATCCCTGGATGTTTTTCCAAAGAGGTTTTCAGGAGACTTAGTATTTATACATTTCCTTAAATTGAGGGATGGCAGACAGAAAGAGGGGCAGGTAGATAGTAAAGCAAATGGTTACATTCCTGTTACACTTTAGTTAGTGCCCAGTTAATCTACATTTCACATAAGAGAAGCTGAATGTTTAAAGGAAAAAAAGGGTGTAAAGGACAAGTTAATTATGCAGCCATCTCTGGGTAGGAGGGAGGAGTCTTTATTCTACACCTGGGAAGATAAGCTTGTAATTGACACTATCAGTATGGAATGAACAGACTTTAGTTTTAGGAGCCAGACTTAGATTGTACACCTAAAATTACAATTGGCATGTCCTTGTTTATGGGAGGCCAGCAAAAAATTTACTCCTGAATGATCTGTGGGGCAGCCCATGGTAGATCCCTGAGGCCTCCTACCTGTCCATGGGGACCTGGCTGGTGCACAATGCTACAGCTATTCATTTGGAAGCTGGTGTTGCATGGCTCAGCCTCCCGGCTCAAGTTTGGGAGTCCTGGTATTTTTTTATTTTCCTTTACATACCATACACACTAGGCACACTATACACACACCACACATACATCACACACACACACACAGACAAACACACATATGTTCTCAGTCACATACTTGCTCTTTGTCTTCCTCTTTCTTACTATGCCTCTTCCCCTCTCCCTACTAGTTTCCTGAGAACTTCGTCTTCATTGCTAAAGGGGGGTGCTTACAGAGGGGTAGACTGAGGTTGCTTCTGCTCCCCTGTCTGGCCCCTCTTTCCTGACCAACTCCTGCTCTCTGAGCCCAGCACCATTTTGAGGCTGAGTGCCCAGTGCTGCCATGCTGCCAGCCAAGAGCTGGGGTGGGCAAGGGTCTCGCCTTCTCCTGGCTGAGAATGAATATGCCCAACATCCCAAACCTGCCCTCACCCTGTGCCCTTTACCAACACATAGGGACTCAAAGCCACTTTGTCTCTGGGCACCTTACTCCTACCTGCAGGGAGATTTTCATAAGCTGATGACCGTGGAGCAATACTGGAGTCACTCCCAGCCCAAATCACCACACAGAGATGCAAGCCAGCTCCTTCTCTCACACAAGGGAAATTTCAACTCATTGAGACACTCAAAATGGATACCCTGGGCTTATCAAAACTTTGATGCATACTCAATTTTGTTTAAAAGTCATACGTACAGATATGCATGCATGTATATACTGTATACATAGATAGGGTTTGGAAAAGTTATTGGAAGAACATAGACTAAAACATGTTTGAACAGTAGTAGGTATACAAGTGATTTTTTAATGCCCTGTTTTATTCAATTTTGGTACAATAAATATGCAACAGTTTTAGAATCAGAAAAGACATGAAATAAAAATTGCCCATCAGACTAGAACAAGTAGAAGAAAGAATTTTAGGGCTTGAAAACAAGGCTTTAGGATTAACCCAACCAGAAAAGACAAAGAAAAAAAGAATCAAAATAAATAAAGTCATCAGGAAATATGGAATTTTGTAAAACAGCCAACTCTAAGAATAATTGGTGTTCCTGAGGGAGAAAAGAAGTCTAAAAGTTTGGAGAACTTGTTTGAGGGAATAATTGAGGAAAACTTCCCTGGTCTTAGATACTTCCTTGGTCTTAGAGATCTAGATATCCAAATACACGAAGCTTAAAGAACTCCTGGGAAATGCATTGCAAAAAGATCATCACCAAGGCACATAGTCATCAGGTTATCTAAAGTCAACATGAAGGAAATAATTTTAAAAGCTGTGAGACAAAAGCATCAGGTAACCTATAAGGGAAAACCTATCAGTCTAATGGCAGATTTCTCAGCAGAAGCCTTACAAGCCAGAAGAGACCCAGGACATATCTTTAGCCTTCTTAAACAAAATGATTGTCAGCCAAGAATTGTGTATTCAACAAAACTAAGCTTCATAAATGAGGGAGAGATGAATTCTTTTTCAGACAAACAAATGCTGGGGGAATTCGCCACTAACAAACCAATACTACAAGAAATGCTGAAAGGAGTTCTAAACCTTGAAACAAAGCTCAATGTGAACTAAGATAGAACCTCCTTAAAGCATAAATTTCAAAGGGCCTATAAGACAAAAACACAATGAACAAACAAAGTATTTAGGCAACAACTAACAAGATAAATAGAACAGTACCTTATATCTCAGTATTAAAGTTGAATGTAAGTGGCCTAAATGTCCCGCTTAAAAGATACAGAATGGCACAATGGACAAAAAAAAATCACCAACCAAATATCTGCTGACTTCAAGAGACTCACCTAACACACAAGCATTCCTATAAACTTAAGATAAAAGGGTGGAAAAAGATATTTCATGCAAATGTAAACTAAAAGCAAGCAAGAGTAGCTATTCTCATATCAGACTAAGTAGACTTTAAAGCAACAACAATAAAAAAAGAAAAGAAAGACAAAGAAGGGCATTATATAATGATAAAAGGATTAGTCCAACAGGAAGATATTACAATCCTAAATTTGTATGCATTCAACACAGGTGCTCCCAGATTTACAAGGCAATTACTACTAGACCTAAGAAGTAAGATAGACAGCAACACAATAATAGTGGGGGACCTCGATACTCCACTGATAGCACTAGACAGATCATCAAGACAGAGGGCCAATAAAGAAACAATGGACTTAAACTATACCCTAGAACAAATGGACTTAACAGATATTTACAGAACATTCTACCAAACAACTGCAGAATATACATTCTTCTAATCAGCACATGAAACATTCTCCAAGATAGACCATATGATAGACCACAAAACAAGTCTCAATAAATTTAAGAAAGTAGAAATCATATAAAGTATCTTCTCAGACCACAGTAGAATAAAACTGGAAATCAACTCCAAAGGGAACCCTCAAAACTATGCAAATACATGGAAATTAAATAATCTGCTCTTGAGTAATTTTTCAGCTAACAATGAAATCAAGATGGAAATGTAAAAATTATTTGAAATAAATGATAATAGTGACACAACTTACCAAAACCTATGGGATACAGCAAAAGTGGTGCTAAGAAAAAAGTTTATAGCTTTCAATGCCGACATCAAAACATCTGAAAGAGCACAAATAGACAATCTAAGGTTATACAATAAGGAACTACAGAAACAAGAACAAACTAAACCCAAACCCAGGAGAAAAAAAGAAATAACAAAGATAAGAGCAGAACTAAATGAAATTGAAAGAAAACAACAACAACAAAAACAAAAACAACACAATGGCTGGGTGCAGTAGTTCACGCCTGTAATCTCAGCACTTTGGGAAGCCAAAGCAGTCAGATCACTTGAGGTCAGGAGTTTGAGAAGAGCTTGGCCAGCATGGTGAAACTCATCTCCAAAAGAATATAAAATAATATTGTATTTTTTTGTAAAAATACAAAAATTATCCAGGCATGGTGGTGCACACCTGTCATCTCAGCTACTTGGGAGGCTGACAGGAGAATCACTTGAACCAGGGAGGCAGAGGTTGCAGTGAGTCGAGGTCATGCCACTGCACTCCAGCCTGTGTGACAGATGGAGACTCTGTCTCACAAAAAGAAAAAAATACAAAAGAGAAATGAAACGAAAAGCTGTTTCTTTATAAAGATAAACAAAATTGATAGACCTTTAGCAGGATTAACCAAGAAAAGAAGAGAAAAGAGTCAAATAAGCTCAATTAGAAAGAAACTGGAGATATTACAACCAATACCACAGAAATACAAAAGATGATTCAAAGGTACTATGAACAGCTTTATGCACACACACTACAAAATCTAGAGAAAATGGATAAATTCCTGGAAATATGCAAACCTCCTAGATTAAGTCAGGAATACATATAAATGCTGAACAGACCAATAACCAGCAGCAATATTGAATCAGTAATTTTTTAAATGCCAACAAAAAAGTTCAGGACCAGATGGATTCACAGCTGAATTCTGTCAGACATTCAAAGAATAATTGGTACAAATTCTACTGAAACTATTCCAAAAGATAAAGAGAATCTTCCCTAAATCATTTTATGAAGCCAGTATCACTCCAATACCAAAACCAGGAAAAAAATAACAAAAAAAGAAAACTACAGACCAATATCCCCAATGAATATAGATGTAAAAATCATCAACAAAATACTAGCTAACTGAATCCAACACCATATCAAACAGATAATACATCATGATCAAGTGGGTTTCATACCAGAGATGCAGGGATGGTTTAACATACACAAGTCAATAAATGTGATACATCACATAAACAGAAATTTTTTTAAAAAACCATATGATCATCTCAATATGCAGAGAAAGCATTTGATGAAATCCAGTAACTCTTTATGATTAAAAAAAAAATCTTAACAAAATAGACATAGAAGGGACTTACCTCAAAGTAATAAAAGCCATACAAGACAAACCCACAGCCAACATTATACTGAATAGGGAAAAGTTGAAAGCATTCCCCCTGAGAACAAGAGCAAGACAAGAATGCCCACTTTCACCACTTATATTCAACATAATACTGGAAGTCCTAGCCAGAGCAATTAGACAAGAGAAAGACAAGACAATCAAACAAGAAAATCAGACAAGAGAAACTATTGCTGCTTGTTGATTATATGATTGTATACCTAGAAAACCCTAAAGACTCACCCTGAAAGTTCTTTAGATTTGATAAATGAATTCAATAAAGTCTCAAGATACAAAATCAATGTACACAAATCAGTAGCACTGCTATACACCAACAATGACCATGCTGAGAGTCAAATCAAGAACTCAATCCCTTTTACAACAGCTGCCAAAAAAAAAAGAGTAAAATATGTAGAAATATACTTAACCAAGAAGGTGAAAGATCTCTACAAGGAAAACTACAAAACATTGATGAAATAAATCATAGAGGACCCAAATGGAAACACATCCCATGCTCATGGATGGGAAGAATCAATATTGTGAAAATGACCATACTGCCAAAAGCAATCTACACATTCAATGCAATTCCCATAAAATGCCATTGTCATTCTTCATAGAACTAGAAAACAATACTAAAATTCATACATGAACAAGAAAAGAACCTGCATAACCAAAGCAATACTAAGCAAAAGGAAAAAATCTGGAGGCATCACATTACCCAATGTCAAATTATACTACAAAGCTATAGTTACCTAAACAGCATGGTACTGGTATAAAAATAGGCATGTCAGCCAATGGAACAAAATAGAGAACCTATAAATAAAGCCAAATACTTAGAGCTAGCTGATCTTCAACAAGCATATAAAAACATAAATTGGGGAAAACATACCCTATTCAACAAACGGTGCTGGGAAAACTGGCAAGCCACATGTAGAAGAATGAAACTGAATCCCATCTCTCACCTTACACAAAAATCAACTCAAGATGGATCAAAAACTTAAATCTAAACCTGAAATTATAAAAATTCTAGAAGATAACATTGGAAAAATTCTTTTAGACATTGGCTTAGGCAAATAATTCATGACTAAGACCCCAAAAGCAAATACAACAAAATCAAAAATAAATAGTTGGAACCTAATTAGACTTAAAAGCTTTAGCACAGCAAAGGAAATAATCAACAGAGTAAACAGACAACCCACAGGGTGGGATAAAATATTCACTAACTATGCATCCAACAAAGGATTAATATCCAGAATCTACAAGGAACTCAAACCAGTAAGGAAAAAGCAAACCCATTAAAAAATGGGCAAAGGACATGAATAGACGATTCTCAAAAGAAGATATACAAACCGCCAACAAACATATGAAAAAGTGCTCAACCAGGAAGAAATTGATAGCCAGAAGAGACCAATAATGAGCTCTGAAATTAAATCAGCAATAAATAGCCTACCAACAACAACAAAAAAAAACACCAGGACCTAATGAATTCATAGCCAAACTCTACCAGATGTACAAAGAAGAGCTGGTACCATTCCTACGGAAACTATTCCAAAAAATTGAGGAGGAGAAACTTCTCCCCAACTCATTCTATGAGGCCAGGATCATCTTGATACCAAAACCTGGCAGAGACACACACAAAAAGGAAAACTTCGGGCCAATATCCTTGATGAACATTGATGCAAAAGGTCTCAACAAAATGCTTGCAAACTGAATCCAGTAGCATATCAAAAAGTTAATCCAGGCTAAGCGCAGTAGCTCAGTCTCTACTAAAAACACAAAAACAAAATTAGCCAGGCATGGTGGCGGGCACCTGTAGTCCCAGTTACTCGGGAGGCTGAGGCAGGAGAATGGCATGAACCCGGGAGGCAGAGCTCTCAGTGAGCAGAGATCACGCCACTGCACTCCAGCCTGAGCAACAAAGCGAGACTCCATCTCAAAAAAAAAAAAGAAATTAGCTGGACGTGGTCAGGGGTACCTCTAATCCCAGCTACTCAGGAGGCTGAGGCAGGAGAATTGCTTGAACCCAGGAGGTGGAGGTTGCAGTGAGCCGAGATCATGCCACTGCACTCCAGCCTGGGTGACAGAGCGAGACTCTATCTCAAAAAAAAAAAAAAAAAAAAAGGTAATCCACCATGATCAAGTAGGCTCCATCCCCAGGATGAGAAGTTGGTTCAACATACTCAAATCAATGAATGTGATTAATCACATAAACAGAACTAAAGACAAAAACCACATGATTATCTCAATAGATGCAGAAGAAAAGGCTTTTGACAAAATTCAACACCCCTTCCTGTTAAAAACACTCGATAAACTAAGTATTGAAGGAAGATACCCCAAAATGGTAAGAGCCATCTATTACAAACCCACAGCCAACATTATATTGAATGGGCAAAAGCTGGAAGAATTCCCCTTGAAAAGTGGCACAAGACAAGGATTTCCTTGCCCTCTCTCACCACTTCTATTCAAAATAGTATTGGAAGTCCTAGCCAGAGCAATCAGGCAAGGGAAAGAAATCAAGGGCATAAAATAGGAAGAGAGGAAGTCAAACTACCTCTGTTTGCAAACGACATGATTTTATACCTAGAAAACCCCATAGTTTCAGCTCCAAAAGTACCTCCAGCTGATAAACAACCTCAGCAAAGTTGCAGGATACATAATCAATATAAAAATCACCAGCATTCCTATACACCAACAACAGCCAAATCAGAAAAGCCATCCCATTCACAACTGCCACAAAAAGAATAAAATACTTAGGAATACAGCTAACCAGGGAGGTGAAAGATCCTCTGCAAAGAGAATTACAAAACATTACTCAAAGAAATCAGAGAAGATACAAACAAATGGAAAAAAATTCCGTGCTCATGGATAGGAAGAATCAGTATCATTAAAATGGCTATACTGTCCAAAGCAAATTATAGATTCAATGCTATTCCTATAAAACTACCAATTACATTCTTCACAGAACAGGAAAAAAACTATTTTTAAATTCACATGAAACCAAAAAAGAGCCCAAATAGTCAATGCAATCCTAAGCAAGAGGAACAAAGCTAGAGGCATCACATCACCTGACTTCAAACTATATTACAAGGCTACAGTAACCAGAATAGCATAGTACTGGTGAAAATGCAGGCACATAAACCAAAGGAACAGAATAGAGAGCTCAAAAATAAGGTCGCATATGTACGACCATCTGATCTTTGACAAAAATGACAAAAGCAAGCAATGGGGAAAAGACTCCCCATTCAATAAATGGTGCTGGGATAACTGGCTAGCCATATGCAGAAGATTGATACTGGACCCTGACATCATATACAAAAATTAACTCAACATGGATTAAAGACTTAAATGTAAAACCCAAAACCATAAAAACCCTGGAAGACAACCTAGGCAATACCATCCTGGACACAGGAAAATTGACAAATGGTATCTAATTAAACTTAAGCGCTCCTGAACAGCAAAAAAAATTATCAACAGAGTAAACAGACAACTTACAGAATGGGAGAAAATATTTGCAAACTAAGCATCTGACAAAGTCTAATATCCAGCATCTATAAGGAACTTAAACAAATTTATGAGAGAAAAACAACCCCATTAAAAAGTGGGCAAAGGACATGAACAGATGCTTCTCAAAAGAAGACATACATGCAGCCAACAAGCATATTTAAAAAGCTCAGCATAACTGATCATTAGAGAAATGCAAATCAAAACCACAACGATATACCATCTCACACCAGTCTGAATGGCTACGATTAAAAAGTCAAAAAATAACACAGGCTGGTGAGGTTGCAGAGAAAGGAACACTTACACACTGTCAGTGAAAGTGTAAATTAGTTCAACCATTGCGGAAGGCATTATGGCAATTCCTCAAAGAGCTAAAAGCAGAACTACAATTCGACCTGGCAATCCCATTACTGAGTATATACCCAGAGGAATATAAATCCTTCTACCATAAAGACACATGTACACAAATGTTCATTGCAGCACTATTCACAATAGCAAAGACATGGAATCAACCTAAATGTCCATCAATGACAGATTGGTTACAGAAAATGTGGTACATATACAACATGGAATACTACGCAGCCATAAAAAAGAATGAGACTATGTCTTTTGTGGGAACGTGGATGGAGCTGGAGGCTATTATCCTTAGCAAACTAATGCAGAAACAGAAAACTAAATACTGTATATTCTCACTTACAAGTGGGAGCTAAATGATAAGAACTTATGTACACAAAGAAGGAAATAACAGACACTGGGTTATACTTGAAGAGGGAGCATGAGAGGAGGGAGAGGAGCAGAAATATAACATTGGGTGCTTGGCTTAATACCTGGATGAGGAAATAATATGTACAAAAACCCCGGTGACACATGTTTACCTATGTAGCAAACCTTCACATGTACCCCCAAACCTAAAATAAAAGTTTAAAAAATAATAATAAATTGTAAAATAGTCATAAAATAAAAAACCGAAAGAAGAGCATAACTACTGCTATTTGCAACAGCTTGAATGAATGTCGTGAACATATTAAGTAAAAATACTCGACAATAAATAAAAAAGAAAAAGTGCTTGACACCACTAATCATCTGGGAAATGATTATTTAAACCACCTTACTCCTGCAATAATTGCCATAAGTAAAAAGTCAAAAATGTGGTGAAAAGGGAACACTTTTACACTACTGCTGGAGATGTAAGTTAATACAACCACTCTGGAAAACAGTATGGAGATTACTTAAAGAAATAAAAGTAGAGCTACCATTCCATCCAGAAATCCCACTACTGGGTATCTACCCAGAGGAAAAGAAGTCATTATATGAAAAAGACACTTGCACACGCATGGTTATAGCAACAAAATTTGCAATTGCAAAGATATGGAACCAACCTAAGTGCCCATCGACAAACAAGTAGATGAAGAAAATGTGGTATATACATAGCAAGGAATACTTCTCAGCCATACAAAGGAATGAAATAATGTCTTTTGCAGCAACTTAGATGGAGCTGGAGGCCATTATTCTAAGTGAAGTAACTCAAGAATGGAAAACCAAACATCAAATTTCCTGCTTATAAGTGGGAGCTAAGCTATGAGGACCCAAAGACACAAGAATGATATAATGGACTTTGAGGACTCAGCGGGGAAGGCTGGAAGGGGGTAAGGGGTAAAAGACTATATACTGGGTACAGTGTACACTGCTCAGGTGACAGGTGCCCTAAAATCTCAGAAATCACCACCAAATAACATATCCTTGTAACCAAGAACCACCTGTACCCCAAAAACTATTGAAATAAAATTGTTTTTAATGGCTCATCATTTTAATTTAATTTAAAAGAAAATCATGTTGCATTTTTAAAGTTTATTTTCAGGAAAACATTGACCATGACTTTATCTTCATTCCATGAAGGTTCAATGAGAGGGTAATGATTATAAAAATAGTGGCTATGTCCAAACAATATCTGGATGATTGGTATCACGAGCTGGTACTTTTCCAAAATATTTCTGAAAACTGGGCTAAGGCCCACGGCTTGATGAAAACAAAAAAATGTTGATCTTTTAGGGACTTTAATTCCAAATAAGGGCTTTGATTTATAATAAGGATATTGCAAAAATTTATATTATCTTGAACAGCAGTTAGCTTCTCAATGAATATGTTCATATTTTCTAGGAGAAAAGAGTTTTGCCTTATAATCAACTTTAAAACAAATACTTCTTGAAAGAAACCTGCAAAAATATTTTGAGTCACATGAAAACCTCAATAATAAACAGGCAAATGGTACAATAATGTGGTTTACATTCTCCTGGTAAACATGCTAGGGATGGGCCAAGGGCACTGAAAATGTGTAAATATTCACAATGAGCTCATTCCTCCCACCAAGAATTCTTGGACCACTGTCTACAACTTCAGGAAATGCATGGAAACTGATTCCTGAGGCTGGCAAAACTGCTTCTAAGGTCAACCTCTTCAGAGTCCATACACATAACTCCAGAGCATCTTCCTTAGCAGCAAATGGGCTCTGGGGTCTGCAGACAGATGCTTGCACCAGTGACATTCTGTTTCTTCTTTCTTCCTGTCCCTGTTCTTTCTCTAGCCCTCTCTCTTTCCAATTCTTTTGTCTCTTACTATTAGTATCTTCAGAGACAAAATATTGCCATGATATTCTTGCAATGATAGGGACAAATACCTGCACTAGTCAAATAATGGAGCCATTAGCATATTGCTTGGACTTATATTATCCAGATCATTGCCTCGGGAATTCACTTGCAGACAGCCATAGGCTTTACAGCTCAGAGGTTTAGAGCCACAACTTCCAAGTTGTAGTTTTTTCCCCAGTGCTTCACCAAAATTAGAGAACAATGCATTTTTCTCCAGTAAAGTGGTTCTCAAAGTATGGTCCAGGGACTCTGGGGGTCTCCAAGATCCTTTCAAGAGATTCATGAAGTCAAAACTATTTTCATGATAACACTAAGACATTATTTGTCTCATCCTCTTATGAGTCTAGAGTGGAATTTTCCAGAGGCTACATGATGAGTGACGTCACGACAGATTGAGTACAGAGCCAACTATGAGAATCCAGCTGCCTTCTATTAAGGTAGGCATTAAAAATATTTTAAAAATGTAAAACAATGCCATTCTTCTCCCTAAATAGCCTTTATTTTGGAAAATGTAGTTATTTTTATGAAAATATTTTATTTATATTAACATGTAATGGTTTGTTATTATTTTTAAATAAATTAATGTTAATTTTTAGATTTATTTGTTTTAATTTCTAAAAGGATATATATCAATAGCTATGATCCACATAAACAAAAGCCATTTGGGATCCTCAATTATTTTTAAGAATGTCAAAGAGGCATGACACCAGAAAAATTGATTACTGCTTTTCTAGTACAATTTAAAACAAACAATTTCATTAAATGGGCTTATTTTATTTTGGCCTTGTCTGATAGAATCTCTTTGGGGCTAGATGTGGCAGCTTTGTAAGGTGTCCAGTTGGCCAGGCTGAACCACATTCCCACTGTTGCCTTTCTCGTGTGTTTCTGGCCAGAGGGAGCCAAAGAAAGGCTCTAGTGCAGTATTTGAAGCAGAGACATGAAGCAGCCACCATCTTGTAACTCACCTTATAATATCTGCTTCCAAGAAATAGCCACTTCAAGGCATTCACATGCCCTTGGCATTCACTCCTCATCTGCGGATGCACCTCCTTGGTGTGAGGAACAGCCAGGCCTCCTGCTGCTCCACCTTCCCCCCAATCCTCCTTCAGCTTCTCTGACTGCTGGGCCAGCTGTGTGTGATGAAAGACCTGGCTTCTCCAGGACATGCAGACCATCAAGGGCAGAGAGAACACAAGAAAGAGTCTGAGTTTCTATCTGTTCTCCCGGGCTCCAGCTGATGCATTTCAGCTCCTTCTTGCTCTCCCCATTTCATATTCATCTTATTTTCCAGGTACCCTTTCTGTGGATACCTTCAAGTTCCAGCACCAAATATGAAGGCGACTGCCATCACCAGCTCCCACCCCTACATGAGGTCAAATCCCTGGATGGCATATAACACACTAGAGCAATTAAGAGGATCTAACTAAAGGTGGGGAAGGAAAAATGTGTGTACAGAGACAGGAAGTCATGGACACAGTTATATTGAAAGATACAATGACCTCCTCCTCCTCCTCATTGTGATATTATCACGCCTTTCCACACTTGGGCTTCTGAGATTGTTACACTGGAAGTCTGCCCTAACTACAGGGTCACATGTAGAACTGCGTCCACAAAGAGGCAGATTGATTGTGGGATGGTTTCTTTTTTTTTTTTTTTTAATTTATTTTTTTATTGATAATTCTTGGGTGTTTCTCACAGAGGGGGATTTGGCAGGGTCATGGGACAATAGTGGAGGGAAGGTCAGCAGATAAACAAGTGAACAAAGGTCTCTGGTTTTCCTAGGCAGAGGACCCTGCGGCCTTCCGCAGTGTTTGTGTCCCTGATTACTTGAGATTAGGGATTGGTGATGACTCTTAACGAGCATGCTGCCTTCAAGCATCTGTTTAACAAAGCACATCTTGCACCGCCCTTAATCCATTTAACCCTGAGTGGACACAGCACATGTTTCAGAGAGCACAGGGTTGGGGGTAAGGTCACAGATCAACAGGATCCCAAGGCAGAGGAATTTTTCTTAGTGCAGAACAAAATGAAAAGTCTCCCATGTCTACTTCTTTCTACACAGACACGGCAACCATCCGATTTCTCAATCTTTTCCCCACCTTTCCTGCCTTTCTATTCCACAAAGCCGCCATTGTCATCCTGGCCCGTTCTCAATGAGCTGTTGGGCACACCTCCCAGACGGGGTGGTGGCCGGGCAGAGGGGCTCCTCACTTCCCAGTAGGGGCGGCCGGGCAGAGGCGCCCCTCACCTCCCGGACGGGGCGGCTGGCCGGGCGGGGGGGCTGACCCCCCACCTCCCTCCCAGATGGGGCGGCTGGCCGGGCGGGGGGTTGACCCCCCCCCCACCTCCCTCCCGGACGGGGTGGCTGCCGGGCGGAGATGCTCCTCACTTCCCAGATGGGGTGGCTGCCGGGCGGAGAGGCTCCTCACTTCTCAGACGGGGTGGTTGCCAGGCAGAGGGTCTCCTCACTTCTCAGACGGGGCGGCCAGGCAGAGACGCTCCTCACCTCCCAGACGGGGTCTCGGCCAGGCAGAGGCGCTCCTCACATCCCAGATGGGGCGGCGGGGCAGAGGCGCTCCCCACATCTCAGACGATGGGCGGCCAGGCAGAGACGCTCCTCACTTCCTAGATGTGATGGCGGCTGGGAAGAGGCGCTCCTCACTTCCTAGATGGGATGGCGGCCGGGCGGAGACGCTCCTCACTTTCCAGACTGGGCAGCCAGGCAGAGGGGCTCCTCACATCCCAGACGATGGGCGGCCAGGCAGAGACACTCCTCACTTCCCAGACGGGGTGGCGGCCGGGCAGAGGCTGCAATCTCGGCACTTTGGGAGGCCAAGGCAGGCGGCTGGGAGGTGTAGGTTGTAGTGAGCCGAGATCACGCCACTGCACTCCAGCCTGGGCACCATTGAGCACTGAGTGAACGAGACTCCGTCTGCAATCCCGGCACCTCGGGAGGCTGAGGTTGGCGGGATCACTCACGGTTAGGGGCTGGAGACCGGCCCGGCCAACACAGCGAAACCCCGTCTCCACCAAAACCAGTCAGGCGTGGCGGCGCGTGCCTGCAATGGCAGGCACTCGGCAGGCTGAGGCAGGAGAATCAGGCAGGGAGGTTGCAGTGAGCCGAAATGGCAGCAGTACAGTCCAGCTTCGGCTCCGCATGAGAGGGAGACCGTGGGGAGAGGGAGACAGAGGGAGAGGGAGAGGGAGAGGGAGAGGGAGAGACCGGATCCGATTGTGGGATGGTTTCATGGGCATATATTTATCTCCAAATTCATCAGATTGTATACATTAATTAAATACAGTTTTTGTGCTACAATTATACCTCAATAAAGTGAGAGCTTTTTTCAAAAGAGAGGGGAAGAAGGCTGGGCTCATTTGAAACAATGGCTCAGGCTGTCACACCTGGAAGCACATTTGTTATCAGGCCAAGGAAGTTGGAGAAAAGACCTTCATGGCATCATTCTGGCCATCTGTGTAAGACAAACAGCCAGCCTCCTAGCTGGGGATAAATGGCAAGTGTGCCTGCATACATTCCGCTTCCCTGTCATTCTTCCCTTTAATTTCAGTTTGTTTTTCAAGTATTTGTTGAATTCCATGCCCTCCATGTGACCAGCACTGGGTTGGATTCCATGGGCAAATACATATATTTTTGTACTTGGGGTATTCGTTAGTTACCTATTGCTGCATAACAAATTACCTCCAAAACTTAGCAACTAAAAGAAACAATTATCTATTAACTCACAAAGTTCCTGACAGTCAAAAATCTTGGAGTGGTTTATTTGGGTCTTTCTGACTCAGGCTGTCTTATGAGGTTTCAGTCAAGTTGTTGGCCAGGACTGCAGTTATCTGAAGGCTTGACTAGGGCTGGAAGATCTGCTTCCAAGAAACAGCCACTTCAAGTCATTCACATGCCATTGGTAAGAGGCCTCAGTTTCTCATTATGTTGACTCCCCCATAGGTAATATGGTTGGCGTGTGCATGCCCTCCAAATCTCATGTTGAAATGTGATCCCCGATGTTGGAGGTGGACCTGGTGAAAGGTGTTTGGGTCATGGAGGTGGATCCCTCATGAATGGCTTAGTGCCCTCCTTGCAGTAATGAGTAAGTTCTCACTCAATTTCACATAAGATGTGGTCACTTCAAAGAGCCAGGCAGCTCTCTCCTCCCTTTCTCTTGCTCCCTCTCTCAACATGTGACACGCTGCTCCCTCTTCACATTCCACCATCATTAGAAGCTTGCTGAGGCCCTCACCAGAAGCAGATGCCAACACCATGTTTCCTGTACATCCTGCAGAATCATGAGCCAAAATAAACCTCTTTTCTTTATAAATTACCCAGCTTCTGGTATTTCTTTATAGCAACACAAGTGGACTAACACAGAAAATTGTTACCGAGGAGTGGGATGTTGCTATAAAGATACTTGAAGATGTGGAAGCAGCTTTGAAGCTGGGTAACAGACAGACACTAGAAGAGTTTGGAGGGCTCAGAAGAAGACAGGAAGACAAGAGAAAGTTTGGAACTTCTTAGAGACTGGTTAACTGGTTGTGATCAAGGTACTGATAGAAATATAGACAGTGTTTTTCCAACAAGAAACTATAAGAACAAACAAAATTAAAAAAAAAAAAGAAATATAGATAGTGAAGGCCAAGCTGATAAGGTCCCAGACAAAAATGAAGAAGTTACTGGGAGCTAGAGCAAAGGTCACCCTTATTGTACCCTAGCAAAGAGCTTTGCTTCATTGTGTCCATGTCCTACAGTTTTATGAAAGGTTGAACTTAAGAGTGATGACTTAGCATATCTGGCAGAAGAAATTTCTAAGCAGCAAAGCATTCAAGATTTGCCCTAGCTTCTTCTAACAATCTAAGATAAGATATGGAAGCAGAGGAAAAACTGAAGTTGGAACTTGTCATTATAAGGGAAGCATAGTGTAAAAATTTGGAAAATCTGCAGCCTGGCTATGTGGTAGAGAAGAAAAGAGCATTTTCAGGGGAAGAATCCAAGCAGGCTAAGGAACAACCACTTTTTAGAGAGACTAACGTAGCTGCAAGAGAACCAAGTGCTAATAGTCAAGACAACAGAAAAAAGTGCTTGAAGGCATTTCAGAATCTCTGAGGCAGACCCTCCCATCACAGACCTAGAGGCCCAGGAGGAAAGAATAGTTTCCGGGGCCAGGCCCAGGGCTCCGTTGCCCTGCTCCCAGAATCCTGGTAGTTCCATCAACAGCCTCAGTGAAAAGGACCACAGATACAGTTCAGGCCACAACTCCAAATGGCACAAGCCATAAACCTTGGTGGCTTCCACATGGTGTTAAGCCTGCAGATGTGCAGAATGCAGAAGTGAAGGAGGCTTGGAAGCTTCCTCCTAGATTTCAGAGGATGTATTGGAAAGCCTGAGTGCCCAGGCAGATGCCTGCAACAGGGGTGGATACCCCACAGAGAGACTCTACTGAAGAAGTGCTGAAGGGAAATATGGGGTTGGAGCCCCCACACAGAGTCTCCACCACCAGGACACTGGTTAGTGGAGCTGTGAGAAAGCAGCCACTGCCCTCCAGACCGGAAAATGGTACAGCCATCAGCAGCTTACACCCAGAGCCTAGAAAAGCTCCAGGCATTCAACTCCAACCCATGAGAGCAGCCAGAGGGGTTGCACCCTGCAAAATCACAGTGGCAGAACTACTAGGGCCTTGGGAACCCACACCTTGCACCACTGTGCCCAGCATGTTGGACGTGGTGTCAAGGAAGATTATGTTGGAGCTTTAAGGTTTAATGTCTCTCCTGCTGGGTTTCAGACTTGTGTGGGTCATGTTGCCCCTTTCTTTTGGCCAATTTTTTTCCTTTTGGAATGGAAATCTTCACCCAATACCTGTTCCATCATTGTATCTTGTAAGTAAATAACTTGTTTTTATAATTTTACAGGCTCATAGGTAGAAAAAAACTTGCCTTGAGTCCCTGATGAGACTTAGGACTTTGAACTTGAGACTGTTGAGTTAATGCTGGAATAAGTTAAGACTTTGGGGGACTATTGAGAAGGGATTATTGTTTTCTGCCATGTGAGAGAACATGAGATTTGGAGGGCTGGGGGCAGAATGATATGGTTTGTCCCCTCCAAATCCTCCCATGTTGAAATGTGATCCCCAGTGTTGAAGGTGGGCCTAGTGGGAGGGTTTGAATCTTGGGGTTGGATCCCTCATGAATGGCTTAGTGTCCTCCTCACAGTAATGAGTGAGTTCTCACTCTGATTTCACACAAGATCTGGTTGTTTAAAAGAGTGTGGCACCCTTTTTGTCTCTTGCTCCATCTCTCATCATGTGACACGTTGCCCCCCGCCTTCACTTTCTGCTATAATCAGAAGCTCCCTGAGGCCCTCACCAAAAGTAGATGCTGGCACCATGCTTCCTGTACAGCCTGCAGAACCATGAGCTACATAAACATCTTTTCTTTATAAATTACCCAGCCTCTGGTTTTCTTTATAGCAATGCAAGTAGACTAACATGATAGACTTTTAATGAAATGGCAGCTGGCTTCTCCCAGAGCAAGTGATCAGAAAGAGAGAGAGAAAAAAAAAAACAAGACAGAAGCAGCAGAGTCTTTTATAGCCTAGAATAAAAAGTGATATGTCATCACTCCTGCCATATTCTATTGGTCACACAGAACAATCCAGAAAGTAACCCACAGGGGCATGAATCTTTGGAGGTGGGAATCTTGGGAGGTTGGGAACCACCATGGAGGCTGTCTACCATCAGGAACTCATCATCTTATGACCCAGGAAAAGATAGAACAATGAACACGTAATCCTCAAGCAGCCAAATTAATTCATCTTTATTCATTGGTTCATTTTATTTTCATGGAAAAAATTAATGTGATGTCAGCAAGGAGGTATTATTTCTTTTATGTGGATGAGAAAAATGAAGCAAAAACAATCTTTTACTTGCCCAGAGTAACCAGGTAATGATGCAGCTGAGACCAGATCTTGAACGTTTAGTTGACTGGGTTTTCCCCCTCTGCTTTTCCATTACAGAGTGAGGCAATGAGGGTTCAGAATGAAGTTCCCCATAGGATGGAATAAAGAATGACTTGCAGGCAAGAGATAAAGAGAGGGTTTCTGCCATTTCAGGAGAATTTCCTACATGATCCTCCTCCATGATTTTCAGATTAGTAGTTTTCAAATAAAGCCCTTTCTCTCTATCCTGAACAAGGTGTCCTGCTGCTAAAATTAAATTATGCCAATTTCTTACCAAGTACTCATACATATACAATATGGATAAAATTTTCTTTATTTTAAGTTTTTCTCTCCTAAATTTTTCTTAAATTTAGAAGCTTGGTACCAATTATCCACTGAGAACTGGTAGAAAACAAAATGAATAAAGAACAAATGACTAGTAGAAAAAAACCTACACAGACAATATGTTCAGTTAATACTTTGTGGCATTTTGAATGTATTTTCACATGCACTTAAGATTATTTCACATTATGCAAATATATTTTCATAATTATTCCTAACTTGTGTGTCTCATTAAATGAATTGATATTTCCAATGTCTTACCAAGGCATACTGTGACCCTTATCTGGAGGTTAGCTTCCTGAACAAAATCAATAGCACTGAAGATGAGATTCATTCTAATTCACCATCTCTTCTGGTCATTATAATTCTGATCTTTGTCTTCCATAAAAATATATATTGGAGGAAAACAATTTTTAATGTTCTGCCCTGGAAAATACAGACTAGGAAAATATCTTCCTAGTGGCACCCAGTCAGCTTAATTTTCTGGGGCCACTATGCTCTCCTCTTAGTGAGACATCTAAGAGGAAGAAGAGTCTTCCCTCATACCTGGAAATTCTTTCTCTTCCCCTCTGATAGCGTGCGCAAACTTGACGTTAGCAATGCCTATGGTGCTATTCACCTCTCCAGGGTAGGAATCCTTCATCCATAGCCTCCCACAGTACCTTGTCATAGAGAAGTGGTAAATAATTTTCTGTTGAATGAATGACTGGCTCAGAAGTCTCAGAAGACCTAATTCAGTTCCCAGGGCTTTCTCATCACAGCTTTCCTCAGCCAAGGATCCACAGGAGAATTAACCTACAGGCAAGTTGCAGAATGCAAGGTAATAATTTTTTTTAAAAGTTAATTGCTTTCTTACATAGCAACAATGAACACTGAAATTGAATATTAAAAACACAATATTGTTTTTATTATCATCAAAAAGTGAAGTCCTTGGGTATAAATCTGTAATGGAAATGGCACAGCAAAGGTTGCCATGTTTAGGCATTAGAAATAGAACACCACACTCAAATTGCTCAAGCCAGTGGCCAGAGATAAAAACTTATAGGTATCTCTCCTGCCTAGCAGCCTGGGCTCTCTGTTTTTTCTGCTGCTTCCTTTAAGCAGATGAGCCTTCAATCTGAATTTGTGCCTTCCATCTGAAGAACCAAGGGCTACCCCAGGCTGGGTTTTCCATGGGAAACTGAGGAGAACACAAGGTTGGGCTCGCAGCACCAAAGCAATAGTCAGGTAGGCATAAATTGGACAAGGTCAAACAAGAACCACAAGGTCATCTGCTAAGGTAAACAAGTTTCCTGTGTGAGGGACACTGTTCATAGGTCAGAAAATGAGGCATTAGGCTGTCTACCAGGTAAAATAAGTATCGCATGAAAGGCACACTATAAACACCCCCATCTACTACCCTTCATTTCTTGTTAGGGTAGAGTTACTAGCCACTGTGGTACTGGAACACCAATTTAGCTAGGGGCTTTCAAAACAAAACCTAACAAAATATGTACAAGACCTATATGAATTGCACAAAAACTACAAAACTATGATGAAAGTCAAAGAATACCTAAATAAATGGAGAGATATTTCATGTACATAAATAGAAAGATTTAATATTGTCAAAATGTCAGTTCTTCCCAACTGATCTATAGATTCAACATAATCCCAATTACAATCTCAGCAAGCTATTGTGTGGATAATAACAATAAGACTCTAAAGTTTATATGGAGGGGCAAGAGACCCAGAATAGCCAAGACAATATTATAAAACAGCAAAGCTGAAGGACACAAACTAATTTCAAGACTTACTATAAAGCTAAAGTAATAAAAACAATATGGTATTGGCAGAAGAAGAAATAAATAGATCAGTGGAACAGAATCCAGATCCCAGAAACAGACCCACGTAAATACAGTCATCTGATCTTTAACAAAGGAGCAAAAACATTTCAGTGAAGAAAGGATAGTGTTTTCAACAAATTAGGTTGAAACAATAGGACATTCACAGGAAAAATAAGGATCCAGACATAGGCCTTACACTTTTTACAAAAATTAACTCAAAATGGATCATAGGCCTAATTGTAAAATGCTAAATTATAAAATTCCTAGAAGGTAATATAGAAGAAAACCTAAGTGTCCTTGGATTTAGTGTTTAGATGCCACACCAAAGACACAATCCATGAAAGAGAACATTGATAAGTTGGACTTCAGTAAAATCAAAAATATAAGCTTTGCAAAAGATCATGACAATAAAAAAAATCACAGACTAGAAAAAACATTTGCAAAACATATATCTGTTAAAGGACTGGTATCCAAAGTATACAAAGGCCTCTTAAACTCAATAATGAGACAATAAACAACCCAACTGAAAATTAGGCCACAGATCTGAACAGACACTTCACTGAAGAAGATACACAGATAGCAAATAAGCATATGAAAATATGTCCAACATTATATGTCATTAAGGAAGTTTTTAAAAAGCAATTAAGGCCAGTCGCAGTGGCTCACGCCTGTAATCCCAGCACTTTGGGAGCCTGAGGCGGGCGGATCACAAAGTCAGGAGTTTGAGACCTGCCTGACCAACATGGTGAAACCCCGTCTCTACTAAAAATACAAAAATTAGCCGGGCATGGTGGCATGCACCTGTAATCCCAGCTACTCAGGAGGCTGTGGCAGGGGAATCTCTTGAACCCAGGAGGCGGAGGTTGCAGTGAGCCGAGATCACCCCATTGCACTCCAGCCTGGGCGACAGAGTGAGACTCTGTCTCAAAAAAAAAAAAAAAAAAAAGCAATTAAAACAATGAGATACTATACTACTGCATATCTATTAGAATGGCTAAAAGTAAAAACACTGAAGGTGTTAGTGACATCAGTAAGATGTCAGAATAGGAAGTTTTCAGCTTTATTTCCCATCACACGAAGTCCAACTAGCAACTACTCACAGACAGGAACACCTTTGTGACAATCCCGGAGCCTAGGGGTGAGGCTGAGACACTCCACCTAATTGTGGGGTCCAACCATTGGCATCACCTTGCCAGGGACCACAGCCTGCAACCCCACAACCAGCGGCAATTGTGAAGCCCAGTTAGTGGCACCACACAACCAAGAAGCCCAGCCAGCAACCTGCCTGAACTCAGAGCCCAGCCAGCAGCCTTGCCTGACTACAAGCCCTGCTAGCAGACCCACCTGACTTCAGAGTCCATCCAGCAGCCACCCAAGCTCAGAGTACAGACAGTGGTCCTGCCCAGCTAGAGAATTAACAGCAAGCCCCACCTGCCCAGTGACACTACCAACTGGTCTGTCCAGACCCCAGGTTGGACCAAATGGTTAAGGTATATCCCTACCAAAGTGAATTTGTAAAGGCCAGACAAGGCAAGCACTTCCACAAATGCACAGAAACAAACACAAGAATATGAAAATTGGAAAGAGTCAGGGAATATGACACCATCAAAGGAAACTAATAAAGCTCCAATACCTGAAAGGGATGGAGATCTATAGACAGTCTAACAAATAATTCAGAATAATCCTCTTAGGAAAGTTTGATGAACTACAGGAAAACATAAATAGATAGCTAAACAATATTCAGAAAAACAACACATGAACAAAATGAGTAGTTCAACAAAGAAACAAAAGACAACATAAATTTTTTTAAATCCCAAATAGAAATCCCGCAGATTAGGAATGCAATGACTGAACTGAAAAGGTCAATAGAGAACTTCAACAGCAGACTCAATCAAGCACAATAAAGAATCAGAAGACAAGAAGATAGGTCATTTGAAATGATCTGATCAGAGGGCAAAAGGAAAAAAAACAAAAAGCAGTGAAGAAAGCCTACAAGATTTATGGGACACAACCAAGAGAAACAAATTTGCATTATAGAAATTCCAGGAGAAGATGGAGAGAGAAAAGGACAGAATGTGTTTTTAAAAATAATGACTGGCCAGTTGCAGTGGCTCACACCTGTAATCCCAGCACTTTGGGAGGCCAAGGCAGGAGGATCACTTGAGGTCAGGTGTTCAAGACCAGCCTGGTGAAACCCCATTTCTACTAAAAATACAAAAATTAGCCAGGCATGGTGGTGCTCACCTGTAGTCCCAGCTACTTGGGAGGCTGAGGCAGGAGAACCGCTTGAATCTGAAAGGCAGAGGTTGCAGTGAGCCGAGATTATGCAATTGCACTCCAGCCTGGGTGACAGAGTGAGACTCTGTCTCAAAAATAAATAAATAAATAAATAAATAAGGCCAAAACCATATCCAGAAAATTGAAACTGGATCCCTTCCTTACACATTATACAAAAATTAACTCAAGATGGATTAAAGACTTAAATTTAAAACCCAAAACTATAAAAATCCTAGAAGAAAATTTGAGCAATACTATTCAGGACATAGGCATGGGCAAAGATTTTATGATGAAATCACCAAAAGCAATTGCAACAAAAGCAAAAATTGACAAATGGGATCTAATTAAACTAAAGAGCTTCTGCATAGCAAGTGAAACTATCATCACAGTGAACAGACAACCTACGGAGTGGGAAAAAAATGTGTGCAATCTATCCATCTGAAAAAGGTTTACTATCCAGAATCTATGAGGAGCTTAATCAAATTTACAAGAAAAAAACAAACAACCCAATTAAAAAGTGGGCAAAGAATATGAACAGATACTTCTCAAAAGAAGACATTTATGCAGTCAACAAACATATGAAAACAGCTCAACATCACTGATCATCAGAGAAATGCAAATGAAAAGCACAGTGAGATACCATCTCATGTCAGTCAGAATGGTAATTATTAAAAAGTCAAGAAACAATAGATGCTGGCAAGGCTGTGGAGAAATAGGAACACTTTTATGCTGTTGGTGGGAATGTAAATTAGTTCAACCATTGTGGAAGACAGTGTGGTGATTCCTCAAGAATCTACAGGCCAGACACGGTGGCTCATGCCTGTAATCCCAGCACTTTGGGAGGCCAATGCAGGTGGATCACAAGTTCAGGAGATTGAGACCATCCTGACTAACACAGTGAAACCCCATCCCTACTAAAAATACAAAAAAAATTAGCCAGGCGTGGTGTTGGGCGCCTGTGGTCCCAGCTACTTGGGAGGCTGAGGCAGGAGAATGGCATGAACCCAGGAGGCAGAGCTTGCAGTGAGCCGAGATCGCGCCACTGCACTCTAGCCTGGGCAACAGAGTGAGACTCCGTCTCAAAAAAAAAAAAAAGAATCTAGAACCAGAAATACCATTTGACCCAGCTGTCTCATCACTGGATACATACCCAAAGTGATATAAATCATTCTACTATAAATACACATGCACACGTGTGCTTACTGCAGCACTAGTTAATAGCAAAGACATGGAGCCAACCCAAATGTCCACCAGTGATAGACTGAATAAAGAAAATGTGGTGCATATACACCATGGAATACTATGCAGCCATAAAAAGGAATGAGATCATGTCCTTTGCAGGGACATGGATGAAGCTGGAAGCCCTCATCCTCAGCAAACTAACACAGGAACAGAAAACCGAACACCACATGTTCTTATAAGTGGGAGTTGAACAATGAGAACACTTGGACACAGGGAGAGGAACGACACACACTGGGGCCTATCAGGGGCTGGGGGACAAGGGGAGGGAGAGCATTGGGACAAATACCTAATGCATGTGGGGCTTAAAACCTAGATGACAGGTTGAAAGGTGCAGCAAACCACCATGGCACATGAAAACCTATGTAACAAACCTACACATTCTGCACATGTATCCCAGAAATTAAACTGTTTAAGAAAAGAAAGAAAAATAACTCAACATCACTGATCATTAGAGAAATGCAAATCAAAACCACAGTGAGATACCATCTCACACCAGTCAGAATGATGATTATTAAAAAGTCAGGAAACAACAGATGCTGTGAGGTTGTGGAGAAATAGGAGCACTTTTACACTGTTGGTGGGACTGCAAATTAGTTCAACCATTGTGAAAGACAGTGTGATGATTCCTCAAAGATTTGGAACCAGAAATACCATTTGACCCAGCAACCCCATTACTGGGTATATACCAAAAGGAATATAAATAATTCTATTATAAAGATACATGCACATGTATGTTCATTGCAGCACTATTCATAATAGCTAAGACATGGAATCAACCCACATGCCCATCAGTGATAGCTGGATAAAGAAAATGTGGTACATATACACCATGGAATACTATCCAGCCATAAAAAAGAATGAGATCATGTCCTTTGCAGGGACATCGATGAAGTTGGAAGCCATTATCCTCAGCAAACTAATGCAGGAACACAAAACCAAACACTGCATGTTCTCACTTATAAGTGGGAGCTGAACAATGAGAATACATGGACACAGGGAGGGGAAGAACATTTACTGGGGCCCGTTGGGGGAGGGCAGGGGTGGGAGAGCATTAGGGAAAAGAGCTGATGCATGCTGGGCTTAATACCTAGGTGATGGGTTGAAAGGTGCAGCAAACCACCATGGCACATGTTTATCTATGTAACAAACTTCTATATCCTACACAAGTACCCCAGAACTTAATTAAAAAAATAAAAAATTTACAAAGTGTTAATTGGACCAAAAAAATGGCTGAAAACTTCTAAAATTTGAGAAGAAAAATGAACATCCACACTCATGAGGCCCAAAAGTCTCCAAATAGGTTGAGCTCAAAAAGCGTACGCCAAGACACATTATAATTAAGTTGTCAAAAGTCAAAGACAAAGAGAAACTTAAAAGCAGCAAGAGAGAAGCAACTCATTACATACATGTGAGACCCCTTAAGACTACCAGTAGATTTTCTTAACAGAAACCTTCTAGGCCAGGAGGAAGTTGGATGATATATTCAAAATAGTGAAAGAAAAAATACTGTGAACCAAGAATACTATACCTGGAAAAGCTATTCTTCAGAAATAAAAGATATAAAGAATTTCCCAAACAAATAAAAACTGAAAGAGTTTATCACCACCAGAACTGCCGTATAAGAAACACTAAAGAAAATTTTTCAAGCTGAAATAAAAGAACAGTAATTAACAACATAAAAACATATGAATGTATAAAACTCACTATAAAAGTAAATATATAATCAATGTCAGAATTCCCTAGTATTGTAATAATGATGCATAAATCACTTTTACTTCTGGTATAAAAGTTAAAAAACAAACATATTAAAAATAACTGTAACTACAATAATTTGTTATTGGATACACAATGTAAAAAGATATAAATTGTAACATCAGTAAGCTAAAATGTGAGGGGGAGAAGTAAAAGTATAAATTTTTGTATGCAATCACAGTTAAGTTGTTATCAGTTTAAAATAGCATAGTGATTATAGTTAACAATATTTTTTCCTATAATAAAAATTTGCTAAGAGAATAGATCTTAAATGTCCTACTACACAGAAATGTTCTACAACCTCTGGAAAAAAGATAACTAGGTGAGGTAAAAGATTAACTTAATTATGATAAACATTTCATAATATATGTATATCAAATCACAATGTTGTACTCCTTAAATTTATACAATTTTACTTGTCAATTATACCTCAGTGAAACTGGTGAAAAAAACAAACGCTGGAAAGGATGTGTTGCAATGAACAACAGAAAGTCTCATTTATTGCTCATGAGAATGCAAAATGGTACAGTTACTTTGAAAGACAGATTGGCAGTTTTATACAAAACTAAACATACTCTTACCATATGATTCAGTAGTCACATTTTTTGGTATTTACCCAAATGAATTGAAAAATGTCTACACAGAAAGTGCTTCACAAACATGTATAGCAGCTTTATTTGTAATTGCCAAAAGTTGGAAGCAACAAAGATGTCCTTCAATAGGTGAATAAACTGCAGCATATCCATACAGTGGAATGTTATTTAACAATAAAATGGAATAAGCTGTCGAGCCATGAAAAGAGATGGAGGAATCTTAAATACAAATTATATAGCCAGCTCTGTTCTTTAATCAGGAGATAGAAATATAGTCTCAGAAAAGCAATGCACCAATTATTAAGTGAAAAAAATCAATCTGAAACAGCTACAGACTGTATGATTTCAACTATATGACATTCAGCAAAACTGCATAAACTGTAAAAAAATCTGTGGTGGTAAGGGCTTTGGGGAGAAAGACAGGGATAAATAGAGTGCAGGGTATTTTAAGGCAGTGAAACCTATTCTGGATGTGAATCTTTATATTCACCATTACAATGGTGAATCTTTATATTCACCATTACAGTATCATATATGATACTGTAATGGTGAATATAAAGTATTGTATATTTGTCAAAATCCATAGAATATGCAACACAAAGAATGAGCCCTAATGTAAACTGAACTACTGACTTTAGTTAATAATAATGTGTATCAATATTACTCATCAATTGTGACAAATGTACCACAGTAATCCAAAATGTTAATAATAGGGGATTCTAAGGGTGAAGGAGTGAGGGGGTAAATAGAAAAATCTCTGTATTTTCCACTCAATTTGCCTGTAAACCTAAAACTTCTTAAAAAGTAAATTCTATTTTTTAATAAAAGAGAAATTAAAACATTCTAATATACAAAAACTGAGTTTGTCACTAGCAGACCTGTCCTACAAGAAATTCTGAAAGAGTCCTAAGGCTGAAATAAAATGACACTAAACAGTAAGTTAAATATTATGAAGAAATAAAGAACACCAGTAAAAGTAACTACATAGATAATATGAGAGACAGTGTTAATGTAGTTCTTGTTTGTAACCCCTGTTTCTCCTATATAATTTAAAAGACAATTGCATAAAGCAGTAATTATAAATATATGTTGTTGAGCATGCAATGTATAAAGGCATAATTTGTGAGAATATTATAAAAGGAGAGGAAATGGAGCCGTATAAGAGCTAAGTTTTGGTATACTATTGAAAATTAAGTTGTTATTAATCTGAATAAATTATTATAAATTAAAATGTTAATTGTAATTTCCAAGGTAACCACTAACAAAATAAATTTTAAAACATTGTAAAAGAAGTGACAAGGGAATAAAATGGTACACAAGAAAATACCTATTTAACAAAAAAAAGAAATAATGAAGGAAATGAGGAAGAAAAAAAGATGTAAGATATAGAAAACCAATAGCAAAATGGCAGAAGTCTTCCCTTATCAGTAATTATATTAAGTACAAATGGATTAAACTATCCAATTAAATGGCATAGGCTGGCAGAATGATTTTTTTTTTTTTTTGAGATGGAGTCTCGCTCTGTTGCCCAGGCTGGAGTGCAGTGGTGCAGACTTGGCTCACTGCAACTTCTGCCTCCTGGGTTCAAGTCTTTCTCCTGCCTCAGCCTGCTGGGTGTCTGGGATTACAGGTGCACACCACCGGACCTGGCAAATTTTTGTATTTTTAGTAGAGACAGGGTTTCACCATTTTGGTCAGGCTGGTCTCGAACTCCTGACCTCGTGATCCATCTGCCTCGGCCTCCCAAAGTGCTGGGATTACAGGTGTGAGCCACAGCACCCAGCCAGAATGGATTATTTTTAAAACGTGGTTCAATTATATTCTGTCTACAAGAATTCACTTTAGATTTAAAGACATAAGTAGGTTGAAAGGAAAATGTTGAAAAAACATTCTATGCAAGTAGTTATCAAAGGAGAGCTGGAATGGCTATACTCATATCAAACAAAATAGACTTCAATATAAAAATTGTTAAAGAGACAAAAAGGGCATTATATAATTATTAATATAAAAGGGTCAATTCATTAATAAAGTATAACACTTATAAACATATATTCACCTAAATGCAGAGCTCCACAATACACAAAGAAAAAATTGACACAATTGAAGGCCAAATAATAGAGTTTAACAATAATAGTTGAAGACTTTAATACCAATTTTCAATGATGTCTAGAAAAACTAGATAGAAAATCAAAAAGAAAATAGAAAACTTGAGCAACACTATAAGCCAATGAAATCCAGCAGACATCTGTAGAACACTCCACCCAACAACAGGTGAATACACATTCTTCTCAAGTGAACTATTTTCCAGAATGGACCATACATTAGTCCAGAAAAACAAATCTCAACAAATATAAAAATATAAAAATTATGCCAAGTATATTCTCCAACAATGGAATGAAATTAGAAAGCATTAATAGAAGAAAATTCACAAAGAGTGGAAATTAAACACTCCTAAATAACTGATGAGTCAAAGAGGACATCACAGGGGAAACTAAAACATATTTTCAGGTGAATTAAAACAAAAACACAGCATACCAAAACACTGCTCAAAGAAATCAGAGGTGACACAAGCAAATGGAAAAACATGCTGTGCTCATCAATAGGAAGAATCAATATCATTAAAATGGCCGTACTGTCCAAAGTAATTTACAGATTCAATACCATTCCTATCAAACTACCATGATATTCTTCACAGAAGTAGAAAAAACTATTTTAAAATTCATATAGAACCAAAAAAGAGCCTGAATAGCTCTTTAAGTCAATCCTTAAAAAAAAAAAAAAAAAAAAAGACCAAAGCAGGAGGCATCACGTTACCTGACTTCATTTTTCCTTTTCCTATTTTTTGGGATGGGGGGTTTGGGGGGTGGGGACAGAATCTTACTCTGTCACCCAGGCTGGAGTACAGTGGAGTGATCTCGTTTCACTGCAGCCTCCGCCTCCAGGGTTCAAGCGATTCTCCTGCCTCAACCTCTGGAGTAGCTGGGGTTACAGGCATGCATCACCACGCCGAGTTAATTTTTGTATTTTTACTGGAGACAGAGTTTCACCATGTTGGCCAGGCTGTTCTGGAACTCCTGACCACAGGTGATCTGCCGGCCTCAGCTTCCCAAAGTGTTCAATTACAGGCGTGAGCCACCGCGCCCGGCTACGTTACCTGACTTCAAAGGCTACAGTGACCAAAACAACATGGTACTGGTACAAAAATAGATATATGGACCAATGGAACAGAATAGAGAGCCCAGAAATAATGCTGGTTGCCTACAACCATGTGATCTTCAACAAGGCCAACAAAAATGAGCAATGGGGAAAGGATTTTCTATTCAATAAATGGTGCTGGGATAACTAGCTAGCCATATGCAGAAAATTGAAACTGGACCCCTTCCTTAAACCATATACAAAAATTAACTTAAGATTGATTAAAGACTTAATGTAAAACCCGAAACTATAAAAACCCTGGAAGAAAATCTAGGCAATGCCATTCTGGACACAGGACCTGGCAAAGATTTCATGACAAAGACATCAAAAGCAATTACAAAGAAACCAAAAACTGACAAATGGGACCTAATCAAACTAAAGAGCTTCTGCACAGCAAAAGAAACTATCAACCGAGTAAATAGACAACCTACAGAATGAGAGAAAATATCTGCAAACTATGCATCTAAAAAAGGTTTCATATCCAGAATCCATAAGGAACTTAAACAAATTTACAAGCAAAAAACAAACAATACCATTAAAAAGTGGGCAAAGAAGATGAACAGACTCTTTTCACAAAAAGACATGTATGCAGCCAGCATGCATATGAAAAAATGCTCAACATCACTAATCATTAGAGAAATGCAAATCAAAACCACAGCGAGATATCATCTCACACCAGACAGAATAGCCATTATTAAAAAGCCAAAAAATAACAGACGTTGGTGAAGTTGCAGAGTAAAGGGAACACTTAAACACTGCTGGTGGAAGTGTAAACTAGTTCAGTCATTGTGGAAAGCAGTGTGGCAATTTCTCAAAGAACTGAAAACAGAATTACCATTCAACCCAGCAATCGTATTGTTGGATATATATCGAAAGGAATACAATTTGTTCTGCCATAGTGACACAGGCACACATATGTTTACCGCAGCACTGTTCACAACGAAGACATGGAATCAACCTAAATGCCCATCAACAGTAGACTGAATAAAGAAAAGTGGTACATATATACCATGGGATCCTACACAGCCATAAAAAAGAATGAGATTATGCCCTTTGCAACAACATAAATTGAGCTGGAGATCATCATCATAAGCAAACTAATGCAGAAACAGAAAACCAAATAGTGTATATTCTCATTTATAAGTGGGAGCTAACCAATGAGAACACAAGGATACAAAGAAGAGAACAACTGGACACCAGGGCTTACTTGAGGGTGGAGGGTGGAAGGAGGAAGAGGATCAAGAAAAAATGCCTATTGAGTATTATACTTATTACCTGAGTGACTAAATAATCTGTACACCAAACCCCCATGACACACAGTTTACCTATATAACAATCCTGCACATATACCCCTAAACCTAAAATAAAAGTTTTTTTAAAAAACTATAGAAAAAGAAGAGCAAACTAAACCTAAGCAAGAAGAAGGAAAAAAATAAACATTAGAGGAGAGATAAATGAAGTAGAGAATAGAATGACAATGGAAAAAATTAATAAAACATAACATAGTTATTTGAAAAGATCAACAATGTTGAGAAAACTTTGGCTAGACTAACCAAGAAAAAAGAAAAAGAGTAGACTTAAACTATTAAAATCAGGAACAAAGGAGATGTTGCTAACGATATAGAGAAATTAAAAGCATTGTAAAACAATACCGTGAACAATTGTATGCCAACAAATTAGACAATTTAGATGAAATGGACAATTTCTGGAGACACACAAGCTACCAAAATTGACTCAGGAAGAAACAGACAATCTGAATAGACCTATAACAAATAAAGAGATTGAGTCAACCCTCCAAAAGCTTCCAATAAAGAAAACCCCAGGACCAGATGGTGAATTCTACCAAATTTTTAAGAATTAGTAGAAATGCTTCTTAGACTCTTCCAAAAAAATAGAATTGAGAAAACTTCCTAACTCACTCCATGAGGTCGGCATTACCATGATACCAAAACCAGATAAAGACATCACAAGAAAACTATAAACCAAAGTCTCTTATGAATGTAGATGCCAAAACACTCAACAAAATACTAGCAAACTGAAGACTGGGCACAGTGGCTCACACCTGTAATCCCAGCACTTTGGGAGGCCAATGCAGGCATATCACTTGAAGCCAGGAGGTCGAGACCAGCCTGACCAACATGGTGAAACATCATCACTACTAAAAATACAAAAATTAGCCTGGTGTGGTGGCACATGCCTGTAATCCCAGCTACTCGGGAGGCTGAGACATGAGAATCTCTTGAACCTGGGAGGCAGAGGTTGCAATGAGCCAAGACGGCACCATTGCACTCTAGCCTGGGTGACAGAGTGAGACTGCATTCTACCCCGCCAAAAAAAAAAAAATACTAGCAAACTGAATCCAGGAGTATATTAAAGATATTATACATTATGTCCAAGTGAGAGTAATCCCAGGAATGTGAAAGTGGTTCCAACATATAAAAATCAGTCAAAGTAACACAGCATATCAATAGAATAAAGGAAGAATATCCAGGTGTGGTGGCACATGCCTATAATCCCAGCTACTCGGGAGGCTGAGGCAGGAGAATCGCTTGAACCTGGGAGGTGGAGGTTGCGGTGAGCCAAGATCGCGCTGCTGCACTCCAGCCTGGGCAACAAGAGCGAAACTCCGTCTCAAAAAAATAAATTAATTAATTAAATAAAGGAAGAAACTGATTCCTCGGTGTGTTGCATTCTGGATTCAGAGCTTTCCACACCCCAATAAATTGCCCTAAGATCACCAATTATAAGTTCACTGCAGAATTTAATAGATTTTAATCTTTCTGTCACTTGATCCCTCAAGGACATGAGGCCTGTTGGCCACATGCTTCTGGTTCTCCTCATGCCTTCCAAACATTTCTTTCCAGTCTCCTTCATGAGGCTTCCTGCCTACTCTTTGACAAGTGACCTTCTTCTGTTCATACTCTAACATCTGCCTGAATACAGTAATCCACATTTTGGTTTAACTGCCACCTTATATCATATCCCAGGATCCTCCCCTGCCCTCCAGACCCATGTATCCTTTTGCCCACTGGATAATGCAAACTGGATAATTCCAAGTTGTTCAAGTTCCACGTGGCTAGAATTGGACTCCTTATCTTCCACCCAAAACCTTCTACTATTCCATGATTATTTGATAATTTAAAAGAATAACCACAAGCCTATTATTATTAAATAGTCCAACCCAGTTGTCCAAAGCACAACCTTGGAAATCACTGCTGACCTCTTCCTCAACAATCAGCATTCAAGAGGTCACTAAATCCTGAGGATTAGTCTTCTGTCACAGCTCTGCCGAAATCTGTACCATCTGTTTCCTGGAATGTTACTTTAGGCTCCTAAGTGAATTTTCTTCTTTTTTTCCCCTTCAATCCGTTATCCACATTGCAACCAAAGTGATCTTTCCGTAACTGATGTGATCCCATGACTCCGAATAATACCCAAGATACACGAACATATACACAAATAATAGTAACAGCATTATTTCAATTCTTAAACATTGCTGGATTCTTTCAGATCCAGCTAAAACACCCCACTTTTGGCTAAAAAATGACTTAAAATTTCTCTTAAAATCCTATACATATAAGGACACCCTCTTTTGTGCCCCAACACTTCTCCCAAACACACATGAACACCTCCTACCTCCTACCTCCTACCTAGCTATGGTCAACCACTCAATACACATCTCCCCTGCATGACTTCAAGGTCCTTGAAGAATGAACCTTATTGTTATTCATTTCTATATCCTCAGGGTATATATCACTGTCTGACATGTTATGAATTAAGAACTTAAGAACTATTTCTACATAGTCAATGGATTATTATGAATTATAATACTATCCCAGACAGTACTAGTTAAAGTCTGCTACTTATTCTGAGACCAGCACAGGGCACCATAATTTAATGTGCACATGGAGAAAGGAGAAAATATGAGAAAAGAATCTAACGTTCGGAAAATTATACTTATTGGGAGACTAAAGAACATCTCAACTTGAAAAATGGAGGCTGAGGAGGGATTTAAATACATCTTCAAATACAGCCATTAATGGTAGAAAAGAAATCCCTGCAGGCTGAGGAGACCAAGCCTCTATTCTACTAACTAGCTATGGGAACCCACGCTTTCTGGGCCCAAGCTTTTGTTCCTGTTAAATTCTAAGGCTAGGCTCTAAACTCCGTTAAAGCACTAGTGCTCTATGATTCTAAAGTTATACATCACATTAAAGCAGAATAAAGAAAAATACACAGGTGTCAGCATAAGGGACTTTGTTAAACCCAGGAAATATTTTCCCAAAGCAGAACTGGTTTCAGAGTGGAGTGACTGTGAGCAGGGCTGTGCAGACTTGCTTGCTGAATGCCCTGATCAACAGAGGAGTTTTCAGTCATCCTGCAGGATTCGTGTTGTGTTCTTCCTAGAGGGAGTAGAGGGGCTTGAGGGAGAGTTTGAGACAGATTACCCAACCTGAACCTCTGATATTTTCATAAACATTATGTGTCAAAGAAGGTCTTCTTTTCCAGAAAGATCACACCAACTTCTCGGGGCATATAGAAAAAAATCAATGAGTCATCATCAATGCTTCCTGTCATCATAATCATGAGTGACAATCCTATAAAGAGTGGCGTGTTATGGGGTGTAAGGGGAGGGGGGGCTTTTTGTAAAAAGATAGCAGAATTTTGTCCTAAAACTAGAAATTCAAATATAACTGGGAATATATTTTCACAGCAGTGTGAACTTTCCTCTACAAATCCGCAGCAGATGACCTCTGTGCTTGATCTTACGGAAGCTGAATGCCGGGGTGAATTCACTGTTTTCTGAAAAAAGATACAAAAAATCCAGATGGCAGCTTATGGCCTCAGTCAACGTTCTGCCATGAGTCCTCTCCAAGTCTATATTTAGCATGATCTGATTGAGTAAGATCACATGCTCAGAGTAAACTCAGTCCAGAATATCAACTATGATTTACTTCCAGAGGCAGTAATAAATCTCCCTGTTGGAATTTTATTCGGTTTCTGCTGGCTAGGTTCTTTGTCCATTTGTATTATGCCCTGAAGCTGTAAATATGTAGAATTAAAATGGGCAAGAGATATCTATATTTATATCTGTTTCAATATTTCTATTTATATCTATCTGCTCTACTGCTTGCCTCCTGCAGAATGAGATTAATCCCTTTAAATATTATTAATCATGGTCATTTGCTCAAGACAATGCAATAGGGGGAATAAACAGCTTCCAGGAACCACCTACTTCACTGTGGATTTCCCACCAAGAAAAATAAATATTGAATTTTTCTCAGCTACTGAAAATAGCAATTCCACCACAGCAGCAGAAAAATAACCTTAGTAGGTAAAGACATTTGAGCTAAGCTAGACTTTGGGAACATAGTGACCTGGTCTTGAGATGAAGCCAAGGGAAATTAGCTCTCTGTCCATTTATGGGAACTGAATTTCAGCGGGAGGAGGAGAGTTGAGCACATCTTGGAAGTGACAAGTTTAACGTTTGCATTCCGGTGATCATAGCCTGCCCTATCTCAGGACAAGGATGTGTGTCTGTCCTTCCCAAAATAACCCTGAGTCTTCTGCTGGCCTGGATAAGCATCCTCACCCAATGATTCAGGAAGGGCTGGTTGGGAAAGGGGCATGTCTAGCCCAGCCCAGATGAGGCCACACTCTTTTACTGGGCTCATGGGGCTCAGGTTCAGTGCCCATTCAAATACAGCCAGATATTTCTTCCCAGATAAAGCAGAAGACTCCACATCTACCTTGTGTACTCCCACCATAAACCAAGTTAGATTGGAAACTTCAATTGACCTTTCTCAGTAAGGATTACTGATAGAATAAAGCTCCAGTCCATTAAGGCAACCAAACATGTAACAAATTAGCTTATCTCCTCTCCATCTACAATGGTACTAGCTATGTTGCATTCTTGGGAAATGGAGAATTAGTCAACGAAATCACTTGTCTGTAGGCTAATTCTCTTTTGGGACCCTGATTGGAAAAGACTATAATTAGAAAGCTTCAGGGATAAGATGAAGCCTTCTGAGACTTGTGGACCAGATCTGTGGACTTCAGTCTAGAACATAGGTGGACACTGGGGTTTTTCTGGATCTTATCTAGTCTTGGCGTGGCAAGCATGCTTTTTGTCCCACAGTGGGGTCTGTCAAGATTTAATAGCAACTGCTGACCTTGCTATTGCAATGCAGGCCTATCACCATATTACTCCTGCTGCCTACAATAGCTGTTCATACGGAGGAAGCAAGTAAGTCAGTGATTCACCTTGGTTTTTGTCCTGTATCCAAGAATTAAGAGTGAGTTCCATGGTGACACAGTGGGCTGAAAATCTTAGTTAAGGGCATTTATAGAGACTTGATTATATGATTTCTTTTTTTGTTGAAATACACTCTCATTGGCTTTATGGTGTGAAGATTACAATTGTGGGTCCTTGAAACAGACAGACCTGAGTCTAGTATCGCTTTGTGTCTTATAAGCTATGTGTCCTCAGAAACATTACTTAGACTCTCTAGACTGAACACAAGGCAGCGAAGGACAGTGATCCCTGAGTGAGCCTCCCTCACCCAAGAGTGAGGGTGGCTGCTCTCCCCCATCTAACAAGATAGAAGTTGAACATAGTTGAGGTGATTCTGAAAAAAACAGTTCTTTATTTGGAGTAGCAAGGAAATTATTGGGAACCAAAAATAAATACTCCATGCAATGTTTCTCAACCTTTTTCCATGTTATTCACTTGTCTATGGAAGGAATAAATTAAACTGCATGATTTTAAAAATTTATATCAGACAAAAATTTATATGCCACTTATTTTCACTCAACAATATATCATGTCTATTCTTTTATGTCAGCGCATATAGATGTATCTTATTCTTTTCAAAAAATTATTTATTAGGTAAGTCAAAATTATATATACTTACATTGTACAATATAGTGTTGGTGCAATGGATAAATCAAGCTATTTAACATTTCCATTACCTCAAACATAATTTGTGATGAGAACACTTAAACTCCTTAAAATCTACTCTCTTGGCAATTTACAAGTATATAATATATTCTTTTTTTATTATTATACTTTAAGTTCTAGGATACATGTGCATAATGTGCAGGGTTGTTACGTAGTTATACATGTGCCATGTTGGTTTGCTGCACCCATTAACTCATCATTTACATTGGGTATTTCTCCTAATGCTATCCCTCCCCCAGCCCCCCACCCCACGACAGGCCCTGGTGTGTGATGTTCCCCTCCCTGTGTCCAAGTGTTCTCATTGTTCAATTCCCACCTATGAGTGAGAACATGCGGTGTTTGCTTTTATGTCCTTGTGATAGTTTGCTGAGAATGATGGTTTCCAGCTTCATCCATGTCCCTACAAAGGACATGAACTCATCATTTTTTATGGCTGCATAGTGTTCCATGGTGTATATGTGCCACATTTTCTTAATCCAGTCTATCATTGATGGACATTTGGGTTGGTTCCAAGTCTTTGTTATTGTGAATAGTGCCGCAACAAACATACTTGTGCATGTGTCTCTATAGTAGCATGATTTATAATACTTTGGGTATATACCCAGTAATGGGATCACTGGGTCAAATGGTATTTCTAGTTCTAGATTCTTGAGGAATCGTCACACTGTCTTCCACAATGGTTGAACTAATTTACACTCCCACCAACAGTGTAAAAGTGTTCCTATTTCTCCACATCCTCTCCAGCATCTGTTGTTTCATGACTTTTTAATGATTGCCATTCTAACTGGTGTGAGATGGTATCTCATTGTGGTTTTGATTTGCATTTCTCTGATGACTAGTGATGATGAGCATTTTTTCATGTGTCTGCTGGCTGCATAAATGTCTTCTTTTGAGAAGTGTCTGTTCACATCCTTTGCCCACTTTTTGATGGGTTTGTTTGTTTTTTTCTTGAAAATTTGTTTAAGTTCTTTGTAGATTCTAGATATTAGCCCTTTGTCAGATGGGTAGATTGCAAAAATATTCTCCCATTCTGTAGGTTACCTGTTCACTCTGATGGTAGTTTCTTTTGCTGTGCAAAAGCTCTTTAATTAGATCCCATTCATCTATTTTGGCTTTTGTTGCCATTGCTTTTGGTGTTTTAGTCATGAAGTCCTTGCCCATGTGTATGTCCTGAATGGTATTGCCTAGGTTTTCTTCTAGAGTTTTTATGGTTTCAGGTCTAACATTTAAGTCTTTAATCCACCTTGAATTAATTTTTGTATAAGGTGTAAGGAAGGGATCCAGTTTCAGCTTTCTACATATGGCTAGCCAGTTTTCCCAGCACCATTTAATCAATAGGGAATCTGTTCCCAATTTCTTGTTTTTGTCAGGTTTGTCAAAGATCAGATGATTGTAGATGTGTGGTGTTATTTCTGAGGCCTCTGTTCTGTTCCATTTGTCTATATATCTGTTTTGGTACCAGTACCATGTTGTTTTTGTTACTGTAGCCTCGTAGTATAGTTTGAAGTCAGTAGTATAGTTTGATGCCTCCAGCTTTGTTCTTTTTGCTTAGGAATGTCTTGGCAATGTGGGCTTTTTTTTGGTTCCATATGAACTTTAAAGCAGTTTTTTCCAATCCTGTGAAGAAAGTCATTGGTAGCTTGATGGGGATGGTATTGAATCTATAAATTACCTTGGGCAGTATGGCCATTTTTACGATATTGATTCTTCCTATCCATTAGCATGGAATGTTCTTCCATTTGTTTGTGTCCTCTTTTATTTCGTTGAGCAGTGGTTTGTAGTTCTCCTTGAAGAAGTCCTTCACATCCCTTATAAGTTGGATTCCTAGGTATTTTATTCTCTTTGTAGCAATTGTGAATGAGAGTTCACTCATGATTTGGCTCTTTGTTTGTCTGTTATTGATGTATAGTAATGCTTGTGATTTTAGCACATCGATTTTGTGCCCTGAGACTTTGCTGAAGTTGCTTATCAGCTTAAGGAGATTTTGGGCTGAGATGATGGGGTTTTCTAAATATACAATCATGTCATCTGCAAACAGGGACAATTTGACTTCGTCTTTTCCTAATTGAATACCCTTTATTTCTTTCTCTTGCCTGATTGCCTTGACCAAAACTTCTAACACTATGTTGAATAGAAGTGGTGAGAGAGGGCATCCTTGTCTTGTGCTGGTTTTCAGAGGGAATGCTTCCAGTTTTTTCCCATTCAGTATGATATTGGCTGTGGGTTTGTCATAAATATTGGCTGTGGGTTTGTCTTATTATTTTGAGATACGTTCCATCAATACCTAGTTTATTGAGAGTTTTTAGCATGAAGGGCTGTTGAATTTTGTCAAAGGCCTTTTCTGCAGCTATTGAGATAATTATGTGGTTTTTGTCATTGGTGCTGTTTATGTGATGGATTACGTTTATTGATTTGCGTATGTTGAACCAGCGTTGCATCCCAGGGATGAAGCTGACTTGATCATGGTGGATAAGCCTTTCGATGTGCTGCTGGATTCAGTTTGCCAGTATTTTATTGAGGATTTTTGCATCGATGTTCATCAGGGATATTGGTCTAAAATTCTCTTTTTTTGTTGTGTCTCTGCCAGGCTTTGGTATCAGGATGATGCTGGCCTCATAAAATGAGTTAGGGAGGATTCCCTCTTTTTCTATTGATTGGAATAGTTTCAGAAGGAATGGTACCAGCTCCTCTTTGTACCCCTGGTAGAATTTGGCTGTGAATCTGTCTGGTTCTGGACTTTTTTTGGTTGGAAGGTTATTACTTATTACCTCAATTTCAGATCCTGTTATTGGTCTATTCAGAGATTCTGCTTCTTCGTGGTTTAGTCTTGGGAGGGTGTATGTGTCCAGGAATTCATCCATTTTTTCCAGATTTTCTAGTTTATTTGCATAGAGGTGTTTATAGTGTTCTCTGATGGTAGTTTGTATTTCTGTGGGATCGGTGGTGATATCCCCTTTATCATTTTTTATTGCGTCTATTTGATTCTTCTCTCTTTTCTTCTTTATTAGTCTTGCTAGCAGTCTATCAATATTGTTGATCTTTTCAAAAAACCAGCTCTTGGATTCATTATTTTTTGAAGGGCTTTTTGTGTCTCTGTCTCCTTCAGTTCTGCTCTGATCTTAGTTATTTCTGCTAGCTTTTGAATGTGTTTGCTGTTGCTTCTCTAGTTCTTTTAATTGTGATGTTAGGGTGTCGATTTTAGATCTTTCCTGCTTTCTCTTGTGGACATTTAGTGCTATAAATTTCCCTCTACACACTGCTTTAAATGTGTCCCAGAGATTCTGGTACGTTGTGTCTTTTTTCTCATTGGTTTCAAAGAACTCTTTATTTCTGCCTTCATTTTGTTATTTACCCAGTAGTCGTTCAGGAGCAGGTTGTTAAGTTTGCATGTAGTTGTGCAGTTTTGAATGAGTTTCTTAATCCTGAGTTCTAATTTGATTGCACTGTGGTCTGAGAGACAGTTTGTTGTGATTTCTGTTCTTTTACATTTGCTGAGGAGTGCTTTACTTCCAACTCTGTGGTCAATTTTGGAATAAGTGCGATGTGGTCCTGAGAAGAAGGTATATTCTGTTGATTTGGGGTGGAGAGTTCTGTAGATGTCAATTAGGTCTGCTTGGTGCAGAGCTGAGTTCAAGTCCTGGATATCCTTATTAACCTTCTGTCTGGTTGATCTGTCTAATATTGACAGTGGGGTGTTAGCGTCTCCCATTATTATTGTGTGGGAGTCCAAGTCTCTTTGTAGGTCTGGAAGGACTTGCTTTATGAATCTGGGTGCTCCTGTATTGGGTGCATATATATTTAGGATAGTTAGCTCTTTTGTTGAATTGATCCCTTTACCATTATGTAATGGTCTTCTTTGTCTCTTTTGATTTTTGTTGGTTTAAAGTCCGTTTTATCAGAGACTAGGATTGCAACCCCTGCTTTTTTTTTGCTTTCCATTTGCTTGGTAGATCTTCCTCCATTCCTTTATTTGGAGCCTATGTGTGTCTTTGCACATGAGATAGGTCTCCTGAATACAGCACACTGATGGGTCTTGAGTATCCAATTTGCCAGTTTGTGTCTTTTAATTGGGGTATTTAGCCCATTTACATTTAAGGTTAATATTGTTATGTGTGAATTTGATCCTGTCATTATGATGTCAGCTGGTTATTTTGCCCATCAGTTGATGCAGTTTCTTTATAGCATCGATGGTCTTTACAATTTGGCATGTTTTTGCAGTGGCTGGTACTGGTTGTTCCTTTCCATGTTTAGTGCTTCCTTCAGGAGCTCTTGTATGGCAGACCTGGTGGTGACAAAATCTCTCAGCATTTTCTTGTCTGTAAAGGATTTTATTTCTCCTTCACTTATGAAGCTTAGTTTGGCTGGATATGAAATTCTGGGTTGAAAATTCTTTTCTTTAAGAATGTTGAATATTGGCCCCCACTCTCTTCTGTCTTGTGGAGTTTCTGCCAAGAGATCCACTGTTAGCCTGATGGGCTTCCCTTTGTGGGTAACCCGACCTTTCTCTCTGGCTGCCTTTAACATTTTTTCCTTCATTTCAACTTTGCTGAATCTGACAATTATGTGTCTTGGGGTTACTCTTCTCGAGGAGTATCTTTGTCGTGTCCTCTGTATTTCTGAATTTGAATGTTGGCCTGCTTTGCTAGGTTGGGGAAGTTCTCCTGGATAATATCCTGAAGAGTGTTTTCCAACTTAGTTTCATTCTCCCCGTCACTTTCAGGTACACCAATTAAACATAGATTTGGTCTTTTCACATAGTCCCATATTTCTTGGAGGCTTTGTTCATTTCTTTTTACTCTTTTTTCTCTAAACTTGTTTTCTTGCTTTATTTCATTAATTTGATCTTCAATCACTGATATCCTTTCTTCCACTTGATCGAATCAGCTATTGAAGCTTGTGCATGCGTCACGTAGTTCTCATGCCATGGTTTTCAGCTCCATCAGGTCATTTAAGGTCTTCTCTACATAGTTTATTCTAGTTAGACATTCTTCTAACCTTTTTTAAGGTTTGTAGCTTCCTTGCAATGGTTTAGAACATGCTCCTTTAGCTCAAAGAAGTTTGTTATTACCGACCTTCTGAAGCCTACTTCTGTCAACTCATCAAAGTCATTCTCCATCCCACTTTGTTCCGTTGCTGGTGAGGAGCTGCAGTCCTTTGGAGGAGAAGAGGTCCTCTGGTTTTCAGAATTTTCAGCTTTTCTGCTCTGGTTTCTCCCCATCTTTGTGGTTTTATCTACCTTTGGTCTTTGATGTTGGTGACCTACAGATGAGGTTTTGGTGTGGATGTATTTTTTGTTGATGTTGATGCTATTCCTTTGTATGTTAGTTTTCCTTCAAACAGTCAAGTCCCTCAGCTGCAGGTCTGTTGGAGTTTGCTGGAGGTCCACTCCAGACCCTGTTTGCTTGGGTATCACCAGCAGAGGCTGCAGAACAGCAAATATTGCAGAACAGCAAATATTGCTGCCTGATCCTTCCTCTGGAAGCTTTGTCCCAGAGGGGCACCCGCCTGTATGAGGTGTCTGTTGGCCCCTACTGGGCAGTGTCTCCCAGTTAGGCTACACAGGCATCAGGGACCCACTTGAGGAGGCAGTCTGTTTGTTGTCAGTGCTCAAACGCCATGCTGGAAGAACCACTGCTCTTTTCAGAGCTGTCAGACAGGAACGTTTAAGTCTGCAGAAGTTTCTGCTCCATTTTGTTCAGCTATGACCTACCCCCAGAGGTGGAGTCTATAGAGGCAGTAGGCCTTGCTGAGCTGCAGTGGGCTCCACCTAGTTAGAGCTTCCTGGCCGCTTTGCTTACCTACTCAAGCCTCAGCAATGGTGGATGCCCCTCCCCCTGCCAGGCTGCAGCCTCACAGGTTGACCTCAGACTGTTGCACTAGCAGTAAGCAAGGCTCCCTGGGCATGGGACCCACCCAGCCAGGCACGGGAGAGAATCTGCTGGTCTGCCAGTTGCTAAGATCATGGGAAAAGCACAGTATTTGGGCGGAAATGTCCCGTTTTTCCAGGTACAGTCTGTCACAGCTTCCCTTGGCTAGGAAAGGGAAATCCCCCAGCCCCTTGCACTTCCCGGGTAAGGCAATGCCCCCACCTGCTTCAGCTGGCCTTCTGTGGGCTGCACCCACTTTCCAACCAGTCCCAATGAGATGAACCAGTACCTCAGTTGGAAATGCAGAAATCACCTGTCTTCTGTGTCAATCATGCTGGGAGCTGCAGACCGGAGTTGTTCCTACTCGGCCATCTTGGAATGGAGGGTGAAGCATCTTTTATTCTAATGAGGCAACTCTTGGTGGCTTCCTAGATATCTTGAGGATTGGAGCTAGTGGCCAAAAAGACCAAGCCTTCATTAGAAACTTGGAACTTTGTCCCCACCCCTGACCTTTAGGGAGGAAGGAAAGGCTGGAGGGTGAGTTAATAACTAATAGCCAATGATTTAATCAGTTGTGCCTATGTAATGGAGCCTCCATAAAAACAAATTATGGGGTTCAGAAAGCTTCAGGGCTGGTGGATACATGGAGATGGTGAGAGGATGAGATGCCCAAACAGGGCATGGAAGTTCCCTGCCCTTCCCGCATACCTTGCCCTATGTCTCTCTTCCTTCAGGCTGCTCCTGAGTTGTAACCTTTATAATTAACTGGTAACAGTAAGTGAAGCACTTTTCTAAGTTCTGCAAGTCATTCTACCAAGTTATTAAACCTGAATGGGGGTGTGGGAACCCCAATTTTGTAGCTAAAGTAGACAGAAGTGTAGGCAAACTGAGGACCTGGTTCTTGCAACTGGAGTCTGAACTGGGGGCTATCTCGTGGGACTGAGCCCTTAAACCTGTGGGGTCAGCTAACTCCAGGTAGTTCATGTCAGAATTATGGAGTCTTCATTAGGGAAAGGGCTAGTGGGACCAAGGGAAAACAAAAAGAGGAAACAGATAAGCTCTAAGTCTGCCTTTCTTCATGGTCCAGGACACATGGCCCTCCTGTGCAAATAACTCACGATCTTCCTGTGCCCAACTGTCACCGGATACCTGCAAGCGAGTTCACTGGAACCTCATCATTTTCAGCACTGCACAAACCCTTCTTCAGCTTATAGCATAAACACTATTCTATAAAATCCCCACCAAGCCTTTGTCTCCTTGCAGTCAGCTCCTCTCTTGCTGATTCTGTCTGTTGCTTTCTTACAACGTATTTTCCTACTTCCTCTAATAAATCTGCCTTTCTTTGCCTACCACTGTCTTGATAAATTATTTTACCCCTGCACCACCGGCCCAGGCAGTCACTGCTCACCCACAACAAAAATAGGACTGAGTTACTGGACACCCAGTTTGTGTTTGGAGAGTTGCAGAACCCTTGGTCGTTGGTGTGGAAAAAACCAACACACTGGTGTGAGTCAGAAGTGTTGTGAATTAAAAAAGACCTGTGTGTGTGTGTGTGTGTGTGTGTGTTTACAATTGCATCTCTATCTACAGAGAGAAGGAATGATGAGGCAAATATGGTAAAATGTGAAAAATTGGAGAATCTGGCTGAAGGGTGTCAGGAGCTCTTTCTATGCTTTTTGTAATTCTGGAAAAAATGCTGTTTTGTTAGTGTCCTTTGTGCCGCATGACACACTGCTCCGTCTCATGGAAGGAACCACCTCTTTCACCCAGTTTTTCCACTGGCAATGACTTTGTATTCTTCAAATTTAATTTGAACACATTATACCAGGTGTATATATACCAGGATATGTAGGTGTAATAGTTCTCAACGCTGTGTAACAAATTATCACACACTTATGATTTAAAACAACACTTCACCAGCTCACAGGTCTGTGGCTCAGAATTTTGCAATGGCATGGCTGGGTTCTCTACTCAGAGTCACACAAACATAAAATCAAGATGTTGACAGGCTGAGTCTTCCTCTGAAGGCTCTAGGTAAATATTTGCTTCCCAGCTCATTATTCTTGTGTCAGAATCCAGTTCCTTGTAGCCATGGGCCTAGGGTACATGTCTCCTCACTGACTGACTACAGGCACTCTGCTGTCTTCTAGGCCAGCAGAGCCAGAGAAGGGTTTATGTGACTAGGTTAGCCGACAGGAGAGTCTCCCTATCTGAGGTCAAACATACTGCGTAACCTAACCTAATCACAAGAGTAAAATTTGTCACAAAAGACATTAAGTGAAAATTCATAGTCCCAGGATGTGCATGATCTTCAGGGATGTCTTATGATTCTGCCTACCACATATTTCTATTGATAAGAACTTAACATATTTTACAAATCACAAACCAAACTGTAATGGATTAGTCAATACTTGCTGCTAGGAAAATTATTGATCTTATTGAGGGAAAATAAATCAGCTTTCTAGTCTAACTTCATGTTACATATCAAGATAAATGTTGAATGGATTAAAAGGTGAAATATAAATCTGAAATCATAGAAGTATTAGAAAAACTGTAGGTGAATAGTTACCTTTCTTTTGCATAGGGGTAGGAGATTTTGCATAAAAAATAGCAAAAAAACTAATAGAACTGAAATTACTATAAACAAAATTAAATAATGCAGTAAGCAAAAGGGGAAATGTTGACATCAAATAGGAGAAAGTTTATTTATAATATTTCAAGAACTCACAAATTTGGTGAGAAAACCCTAATTGTAAAATAGGCCAGGTGTGGTGGCTCATGCTTGTAATCCCAAGACTTTGGGAGGCTGAGACAGGAGGATTGCTTGAGCCCAGAAGTTCAAGACCTGCCTGGTCAACATGGCAAAACCCTGTCTCTACTAAAAATACAAAAATTAGCTAGGCATGGTGGTGCACACCTGTAGTCCCAGCTACTCAGGAGGCTGAAATGGGAGAATCACTTTAGCTCAGGAAAGCAGAGGTTGCAGTAAGCCGAGATGGTGCCACTGCACTCCAGCCTGGTCAACAGAGCAAGACCCTGTCTCAAAGAAAAAGAAAAGAAAAGAAAAAAATAAACAAGAGACAGAACCTTCAAAAAAGAAGAAACAAATATGCAAACAAGTGCCTGTATGAATGTTTGCGCTCACAGTCATTAAAGAAGTTCAGATTTGAGCCACACTGGAATGGCATGTTTTACCCAAGAAATTGTAAACATTGAAAATGCTAGCAGTCTATGACAGCAAGGATGGCATAGGAAGCCCACTCCACTCACTCTACTATTGTTGAAATTGAGAATTGGGACAACATATCTGAAAATGAGAATTTAACAATGTGTATCAAGAAATTAAAAATTATTTAAATCTCTGACCTAGTCGTTCCACTTCTAAAAGTATATGCAAGGGAAATTAAATGAAAAAGAGACAAAATTATATCCACACAGTGATGACAAGAGTGCTGTTTCTAATGGTCAAAAAATGGGAACAGCCTAAAAATCCAACAGTAAACTATGATTTGGAGACGGAGTATTATGTAGCCATCAAAAAAGAGTTTGTGAATAATTTTTATGGAAAAGGGCTTTTTGAAAGCATAAACTTTTGAGAAAGACTGAAAAGAAAAGCAAAATATTAACTGTGGTGTCTGTGGAAATATGGTTTGGTTTCATTTCCTGCACTCTGCAAAATTTTCTCTCGGGGTATTCTTAACCTGGAGTTATGGGCCCCCTGGTGGTGAAGGGGATCTATAAAAACCCTCAACAATCGTATATTGGGTGTATGTGCAATTTTCCCACATATAAAACAAGCCCTTGAAATGAAATTATGTGGGCTCTAACCACCAAGAAAGCTGAGTCATTTTTTTCCTCAAGAAAGCAAAGACCCTGAGGACCTACACGTTCTCTTCCCCAGCACAGCCTACCATTTCCAGGGGCAAAAGAGAACCACGGTGCCCCACAAATCCCACCTGCCAAGAATCTGTCCCAGGCAGTGTCTCTAGAGCTTCTGGGCAGGTGGAGGAGGCTGCAGGGAGCTGCAAAGAAAAACCAACTTTCCATTTGGCATTTGCAAAGCCTTGACACAGAACCAGGTTTGTCTTTGTTTTTTGCTTGTTTTTTTGTTTCTTTGTTAGCTTTTGCACCTTTTTGTAGGTGCATTTTTTTTCAAAGGCAGAGAATTTCCTTGCTCATTCCCCTTGTCTGCCTGAAAGATGCAGATGGAATGTGTACCTGTATCCCCAGTGGAGATTCGTTCAGAGTCCTGAGCCTGCAGAATTACCTGCACTTGTTCCTGCTTCACGAAATCACAAGAATAAAAATGTTAGCAATCTCATCTTTGTCTGTGAATCAGTTACTCTGAGAGTGTCTTAGGCAAAGGCTTTTGGAATTCCCTTTTGCCCTAGAAGCCTGACCTGCAGAGGTGTGCACCCCACACTCACCATTGTTGCTCCTGCTGAGCTGCCTGCCCTGGGCTTGAACGACCAGAGGCTGAATGACCAGACAAATCAATAAGATCCAATGGGCCGAGGTGACACATAGCCCCCAGTGCCAGTCTACAGGCTCTGCACAGATGCCGATAGGTCATTTTTAATCATGATTTTCGATTTTTCAACCCCAGAATGCCTTATACACCCAAGTCTCACCGTGCGGATTCCCTTCTTTAGAAATTACAGCGCTGCATGGAAAGAGGCTGCCGGCAGGCTTGTGCTGCCTGGGTCAGCGTCCTCCATGTGCCACTGATCAGGGCTGAGAAGGCTTCGCAGAGCGCATCTCGGTGTCTTTCCAAAAGCCCAAAACTCTGTATTATGTGGCATCCTCAGACTGGTCTAGGAGAGCCCAGAGCTCCCCAGCTCCTCCTGAGATCAGCTTTTCGGGGGTTGAGAGGGAAAACACAACACTGAAACACGCACACAACTGACAATAATATCCTTCCTCTGCTGGCAGCCGAGTCCTGAGAATGAGTTTGAATAGTTTGGGAATGCCCCGGCCCACTGACCTTTCACCCAGCCGCAGATGGTAGACTTTTATTTTTATTTTTACCAACTCTTGCTCCTGCTCCTGATCCCTTAAGGTTTGAACTCTGTCCTACATGTTGTTCCCCTCTGTGTGCCCATTGCTGCAGGTTCATTATACAGGTAAACTCGTGCACAGGGGTTTGGTATACAGGTTATTTTGTCACCCAGGTACTAAGCATAGAACCCACCAGTGATTTTTTTGTAATCCAGCCCTAAACCTAAAATAAAAGTTGAAAAAAAAAACACAAAAAACTACCTATCAGGTACTATGCTCACTGCCTGGGTGATGATATCATGGTAGTACTCACCCCCAAACCTCAGCAACATGCAATTTATCCATGTAACAAACCCACATACATGCTCCCTGAACCTAAAAACATAAAATAAAATAAAAAAATAAAAGAACCCTGTCCTACATGGATAGAAATTATTTCAAAACATACCTCAAAAATGCCAGGACCTCATGCTCATTTGCCACTTGGTTAAGTCACAGTTATCCTATGTGACTGTTAGATGAGTTTCCTTCAAACGTGAGCCCTCTTCTTAACAGAGAGTTGTTCCTGACTTGGAAACTCTGCTTTTCAGTGGACCATAAGGTGCCCCTCACTCATTGCAAAGCGCAGGGAGGTTCTTGAGCTCTCCTGGCTGGAACACAGCAGGCAATTTCCTCCGTGAAGCTTAACTTTTATTTTATATAAAAACAGATAAATTGTATGTACAACATATAATTTTTAACTTACAACAAAGTATAGCTACATAATTTTATAGTGGGGTTTTGTGATGACACATTAGGTCAAAGTAAAGAGCACAAAGTTGAACTACAATGCCGCCAGTTGCAACGCTGCCCACACGAAGGGAGCTGGTCCACAGTCATATGTATGGCACGTTCGTGTCCTCACAGCAACGACACAGCTTCTGAGCTCCATCCTCTGCCTGGAACCAAGCAAGTCTATTTTGCTGCTAATAGTAAGGCCCATCTCAATTTCAGAATTTGTGTTAAAGAATGAAAGAATTCTGTGTTGAGACTCAACAAAATACTGTTGTCGAAATGTGCGCAGCTGCTGCAGGGTCCTCATTCACTGGCCTTGCCAGGAAGCCACAGAGTCGGCAGGCAGAAAACGATGCCCACATTGAGTGGAGAATTTCTGTTTCTAATGAAATCTTCCACGCAGTTGATGGCCTGCATACCCTGGCCTATTTTCCACAGCAAACAGAGTCCTTCCAAAAGATTCATCAACTTAGCAGCATGCATTACATATACACACGATAGACCCTTTCCCCCTCCATTACTGCCTCTCAGCTGACTGCATTTGGCCTGAGACAACTTCATGGCTAGAAAAATCAATAGTGTGGAGGGCAGCCACGCCTTGCCAGTGGATCCATTATCTGTCTCTTTCCTATCTCCATTAATAGAGGGAAATGTTTTCTTAGTGTTATGCGAATTAGAGAAAGAAGCAGTGTCTGCCACAGAATATTGTATTTGTTGAAATTGCCTCTTTGGTGGAAATTTGCCATAAAGTATGTCTGACCAAAGGCTAAAATCACCCAATATTCCTGATTCACTTTCCCTCTTCCTGCTCCCAAGAGAGCATCGGCATTGGAGGTGCATGCTCTCCAGGGGACATGGATGAGAGTGAGGCAGGATATTTTCTTGACCCTTTTGCAGGACTCACGAGAAGGGTGCCCCTTTTACTCAGCTGACCATGCTCAACCCCTCGCAGGAGGGAGCACATGAGCGAACCAGTGCAGGAACCAGCCCGCCAATTCTGGCTTCTGTGCAGACAAGAGCAAACTCGGTTTACTCCAGCCCACCACACTCCATTTCTTGCCAGAGGGAGCGAGTAGGCAAGCCAATGCAGGAACCAGCTGGCCATTTTGGCGCCAGCAGAGAAAACTCAGTGCAGGCCCTGCGTCAGCATCCAGGTGGGGGCGCCTGCGATCCCAAGGCCCCAGAGGGCATGTTGCAATACTTAGTTCTACTGTCCACAGACAGCAGTGTGTTATCAGCTCAGTGGGCCTTTTGTCTCGCTGCGTGGGGCAGCTGCCCTCCACCAGTGAGGGCAAAGGGCCAGTGTGACAGCCTTTTTGGTACCCACATTTGGTAGGTCTTGAATTCTTGTCCAGTTCCAAGAAGAATGCGGTCACATGAACAAATTGAAGGATGATGAATGTGGAAATTTTATTGAGTGATGAGAGTGGCTCTCAGCAGAGAGTGGAACTGGAAAGGGGATGGAAAGGACAGGTCACTCTCCCCTGAAGTCAAGCAGCCTCTCTGCCTCCCTCCTCTGAAATCAAGTTGCCTCTCTCTGAAGTACAGCTGCTTCTCTCTACCAGCTAAATCTGGGGTCCTTATAAGCACAGGATGGGGGGTGGGGCAGGCCATAAGTAGTTTTGGAAAAGGCAACATTCAAATGGAAAAAACACATTACTCAGAAAAAACTAATAGGGAGAGAGTAGGCAAAGAGGGACGGAAGTTCTCACTTTAAGCCGTGGGTGTCAGGCTTTTTGGCTTGAAAGTGGGGCTTCACCAGGGACCAACTCCTGTCTGTCTAGAGTTTCTCTGCCTCCTGCCTCTATCAAGAGGAAATAGTAAAAATAAGTGAGGTGACAGCCATGCCCTATTCCAAGTGTCAATGTACAGTGGGGCACAGGCAAGGCAGTGGGGCCAGTGGCTCCCTGCTGGGCCTTGTCCTCAGATGGGCACAGTGGGTGGCTCGCAAGAAATTTGAGAGGTCTTCCCCACTGCCTTGCATTGATTCTGGAGCCTGTGTGTGCCAGCCCTCTGATCCCTGCAGGGCCACCCTCCCTGAAAGCATCTAGAACAGGGGTGATGCTGGGGTTGCCCCACACCACGCTCAGCCCTGCCCTCAGCCAGGCTCACCCCAGGGGGACAGGGTATGTGAGAGGCGTGTCTACACACCCCTACACAAGGCCAGGCCAGTGGGGACTTCTGGAGGCATCACAGGTGTGCATGTGGCAAGGGGCACATTTAAAGCTGGTTTCTAGTTCCTGCAGAGAAGAGGAAACTGGAGCCTCTCCCCTGTACCCTGTGTGTGCACAGCCCCATTTTCAACCTTGCTTACCAACCTTGGCACCATCCCTGGGAACGTTCCAGTTTTTAAGCTTCTCTGCTCCTCTGTTTAACTCTGGCCCTCTTGTCACACCAGAGCAAATCCTGGGACACAAAAGTATCCTAGCAGGACATGGGGTCAACAGAAAAGGCTACGGAGTGGTAGAACAAACTAAGATTTGGAGCCCAAGTTCAGTTTCCCTTGAGGTTTCTCCATGGAACCAAGTGAAAATGATACCCCCCACCCCTCCGCTCACACTGTTCCAGCGTGGACACACACACCACAATCTGCCATGAGCAAAGGAGAATTCTGGGCAGCACAAGCTATTGTGGCTAAATCCAGAATTAGGGTCCATTTTCCCCTTGCCCACAGCTGGTTGCCTTCTCTGCTCATGCATAGAGCAGACACTGAGGCCCAGGGCACCCTGCCCCACAGCCCAGCAGGGCAGACAGAGGCAGATCAAATCTCTCTTTCCTTTGTGTGATGTTCTTGGGTATCTTTTCCCACTATTTTCTGTGGGCAGAAAAGGGATGGTATAGAAATGTGTCATCTCCCACCCACAAGACCTCCACAGTCAGGAGAGAGGTAAGGATTGTTCTGCCAGCTCCTATTCACTTTATTCATTATTGAAGACTTTAAAGACGAGGTAATGAGACAACCTGGACCCTGTTGAAGTATATCAATAGTAGAATTTTTAAAAACAGAGCATGGCCCCTCTGCACGAAATCCACAAGTTTCTGTGTGTCTGCGTAGCTGTTGGGAGAGAACAGGCAGGACTGACACCACTCCTGCCGTTCCACCAACCAACCTCCCTGGCAGGGCCTTGCCTTTGGGGAAGCTCAGCCCATGAGTGGTATTAGTTCCTGTCTTCATCCATTTGGGTGGCTATAATGGAATACCATAAACTAGGTGGCTTATAAACAACAAAAAATTATTTCTCACAGTTCTACAGGCTGGGAAGTCCAAGATCAAGGCACCAGAAGACGTGTTGTCTGGCCAGGTGAAGGCTCCTTCCTCAGAGACAGCGCCTTCTCGCTATGTGGTAGAAGAGGTGAGGCAGCTCTCTGGGGTCTCTTTCAGGAAGGCACTAGTCCCATTCACGAGAGCTCCACCCTCATGACCTCATCCCCTCCCACAGGCCCCACCTCTTACTGACATCACACTGGAGAGTCAGTTTCAGCACAGGAATCTCAAGGGACACAAACATTCAGGCCATAACAGTTCCTTTCCCATGATCTTTAGTGCATTGACCACTGAAGATCACCAAACTAATCATCTCCATATGTACCCTACCTCCAACTGTCTCTATCTTCTCTTGCCCCTCCCCGCAACCCCATTTCCTGCCTGCATAGGAGAGACCTGCTCAGCAGCCTGGAATCTATATGGAAACATCTTCACAGACACAACACATCTAGCAAGAGCAAGGGCTGCAGCCATGGAGGACCCTTCAGAGTCCCTCAAGGCTGTGTTTGGCCTGGGACATTCCACAGGCACGATGAGCATGAAGAAGAGGTTCTGAGAGGACCTTGTGTGCCACCCTGACCTCATGCACACCCTGCTGGATGACCACAAAAAAGGAACAGATCCCACCACCTACACCTGGGGAACCCTGAGACCAGCCCTCCCTGCACACCCAGGGACGCTCCAGACCAGGTCCTGACCCACGCACGGGGATATGGGGACCAGAGGCCCACCCACACACTCAGGGACATAGGAACCAGAGCCAACTGTCCTTGTCCTCTTCTACCATGTACCTCAGGAGCTTAAGGCAGTGGCTTATGTGCCTGGAAAAGCAGAAGATTGCAGAAATCGTGTTTTGGAGGGAAATGAACTTGCAGGGGTTTTTTGGTGACAGGAAATGCTGTTCCCTGCCTGGATCTTAAATTTGTTTGCGAAGCATCTTTCTGAAGGTGGTCTGTCTTTCAAGGGTCAGAGCTTTGTTTTCCAAATTCAAAATTATAATTGATTTTCATGCTATCACACAGGCCAAGTTTTATTCTCCTTCCCTCCCTCCCTTCAGCAGTGGGCTGAGACCTGATGCCAGCCTGGTGCCTGGGCTCCATCACTGGGCAGAAAGGACCCAAGAGGGTGTTTGAGAGAGTTAGAATGCAACCAGGAGCACATCCTCATGCCCACCCTTCCTCTGCTGCTCCTTAATTTCCTTGTCTTGGCTCTTGTCTCCACTGCAGCTCTATAGAGGAAACATGTAGGCCTCACCCAAACACACCCTGCAGCCCTGGCCTCAGTGTCACCCTGTGCTGTTGGCACCCAACCCTGGCTTGCTGCCAGCAAAACTGAAGAAGAAAACACGACCTGCAGCAGTCCTTCAGATCTATTGAGAAATAGACGAGTCATTCCAATTTGAAAGGAAAGACAACCACAAGTTGGGGGGTGTGGGGGGTACTATCTCGTAACAAAAAAATTAACAAAAAAAAACCCTGCTGAGAAAATGACAAACACTATTTTTTATAAAGGGAAAGATATTTGGATGTACTGATAGACACAAACCACCTAGGCAAAGACCCTTCAGCCTGTAAAGAATGACCACTGTGAAGCACCGAGCACTGGCTCAGTGTTAAGCAAACAGGTGAATGAGTTGTATAAAGGAGGTGGAACTAGGGGCATCTTTAAATCTTTAACTTTAAAGTTAAGGCCTTCACTTACCACCTCATTATCAGTGAAGATGTTATGTTGCCTGCTATCTTCCTGAAGACACTAATACCTAAAAAACTCCAAGGGAAAATTATTTTCAGCCTGAAATTATACATTCAGCAAAGTATTCATCACATGTAAAGACAGACTAAAGAAATTTTCGTACATATAAAGATTCATAAAATTGACCTTTCTTGGCCCTTCCTTAAATAGCTACTGAAAATAATGTCCAGTAACATTAGGAAAACAAGGAAGCAAAGAAACAGTAGGCCCCACCCAGGAGAGTAAGAAGCAGCTCTAGGGTGAGAAATGCGCCACAGGCCTAGAGGGCAAGCAGCCCAGATGTGACGGGTTTATAGAAGTATGCAGAAGGGAAGACTCTTGGGGAAAGGGAGAAATCTAGTAGAACAAATTATAAAAATTGAACATTTGGGGACAATAACAAAAATATGTGGCTAGAAAATATACAAGTGAAAAATGAGGCAATTAAAAACTCCAGCAGAAACAAAAAGCTCCACAAAACAGGAAATGGACACATTGTATATTCACCTCTTGGGGCCTCAGTGAACAATATGTAAATAGCTATCCTAGTAATAAAAATATTGATTATTGATTCAACTGTATGATAAGATGTGAGAGAAGACAAAAACATGAGGCAAGAAAATCTGTCATTACAGAAAATCATTTCACAATTACTTAATAAAATTGATCAAATCAAGAAGTAATTATATGAGCATACTGACTAAAAGCTATGGAGGTGACTAGCAGAAGAAACTGCTAAGAAGTTTAAAAGTGAGTGACTCTGAGAAGCTGGGCTGGGGGACCTTGGGGAGGGGCAAGGGGACTTATTCTTTTCATTGTGAGATTTTCGGTTCTGTTTGATTCTTTGAATAATAAGTATGTTTTACACTGATAAATATGTATTTATTGATTTTAATAAATAAATATTCCCAATGGATGAACAAACCAACGTCTGGCCTGTGAAAGGGCAGAAAGAAGAAGGGCAGCAATTGGTGGTGAATGTGATGCAGTAAATAACCGAAGCTGGAGGACAGGACCTCCGGAGGCAAGGTGCAGGCAAACCCTTGGAGACAGGTGCAAAATTCAGGTGGAAGGGGAAAGGTGAGAGGGCCTTCCATTCAAGTCCTATCCAGTCGTCACTGCCTGGAGAAATTTATTGTCAAATGTGGTATCAATTCAAATTGAAATGTCTTCACTTTCATCACTCCTTTTTTACTCTCCTAAGCAATACTAGGAAATATTTGCTTTTGATATTCCTGGACACTTGGCAAGGAGTAGAATTTGTTTGTAACACACTGCTGCTGTGTTTATGCACATGGTTGGAACACATTCAGGGAAATTGTACCACAAAAGCCCAAGAAAAGTAATTCCCAGTGGTGAAAATAAACATGGTTTCTGGAGAAAATGCTACATATAATCATCACATGTTTGTCTGGATTCAAGAGAATGTTAAAATCACTTCTCAGGGAAAAGAACTCATCTAGGATAAGTGCACAGAATTGACCATTTTCCAAAACAATGATGGCAGAATTTCAGCTCTGTCTGGTATTATTGGTGTGTGTGGCTCAAAAAGAAACTTAAGAAAATAATTTATCCATGGAAAACTGAGTTGACCTGCTGAGGTGTGTCTTTACTGCTAATGTACATACATGTGAGGAGGGACATAGCCATATAACCTAGACTTCATAAAATGAAGTGAGAATGTGTTTTCTCATTAATTTATCAAGGGTTCTGTGCTTAATGACATGTAAGTGGTGATCTTTATGTCTCACCATTCAGAAACGAGATGTCATGAATTAAGATTTCAAATAGAGCTGAAGCTGTTGCCTCTAACCCTTCACCCTCTTCTTCAGGACCCATTTCTGAACTGACTTAGAAATACAACAGGAGAGGCAAGGCATGGTGGCTCACGCCTGTAATCCCAACACTTTGGGAGGCCAAGTCAGGCAGATCACTTGAGGTCAGGAGTTTGAGGCCAGCCTGGCCAACATGGTAAAACCCCATCTCTACCAAAAAGACAAAAATTAGCTGGGCATGGTGGCGTGTGCCTGTAATCCCAGCTACTCGGGAGGCTGAGGCAGGAGAATTGCTTGAACTCGGAAAGTGGATATTGCAGTGAGCCCAGATTGTGCCACTGCACTCCAGCCTGGGCATCACAGTGAAACTTCATGTAAAAAAAAAAAAAAACGGAAATGCAACAGGAGAAAATACACACCCACACCCCATACCTCATTGTAGCTCAGGAGACTAGCCACAGGTGAACTCCCCTGTCCTTAGAGCCTCTAGGAACTTGGGCTGATAGCTCAGATGGCTCAGACTCAGGAGGATTGATGACTGATCCTCCCTGAGTGGATGGTTTCTTAGCTTCAAACATGTTTTTTCTCTCTGGACATTAAGTGACTGTATTTTTTCGTTCAGGCTGTCATAACAAAATACCACAGGCTGAGTAGTTTAAACAACAGACATTTATTTCTCACTGTTCTGGAGGCTGGAATTCCAAGATTAAGATGCCCGGCAGGATTAGTTTCTAGGCAGAGCTCTCCTCCAGGCTTGCAGACAGCCGCCTTCTCTTTGTGTTCTTGCATGGCTTTTCCTCAGTGAACGCACACACTTCCTGTTCTTATAAGGACACTGGTCCTATCAGATTAAGGCCCCACCCTTATAATCACATTTATAGTTAATTACTTCCTTCCTCCAAACACAGTCAGTGATGAGTTGTAGGACCTCAGGCAAATCACCTCGACAGCCCTTGGCTTCTTCTGAGATGATTTCATGTTTAGAAATACTAAAAACAGACTGGCTGTCAGGCTAAAGAATTGCTTCTTAGTTCCACCAGCTTCTTCCCAGTGATGCTTTCGGATGATTCTGCAGGCAATTGGATTGCTTCCACCAGATGGCTTGGAACAGAAAGTGCAGGCATGGAGAGAAGGTGGCCGCATGTATTAGTTGGCTCCGGCTGCTGAAACAAAATACCATTGACTGAGTGGCTTACAGATAAAAGAAAATTACTTTCTCATAGTTCTAGAGGTAGGGAAGTCCACATCAAGGTGTCAGCTGATTTGGTTCCTGGCAAGGGTTCTCTTCCTGGCTTGCAGACAAGTGCCTTCTCAGTGTGTTCTCACATGGTGGAGAGAAAAGAAGCTCTTTCTCTTCCTCTCCTTATAAGACCACAGTCATATCAGATTAGGGCTACCCTGTGACACATTTAACCCTAATTGCATTCTACAGACCTTGTCTCCAGACACAATCACATTGGGCGTGAGGGCTTCAACATATGAATTTGGTAAATGCAGGACACAATTCAATCCACAGCAATGATAAACCACCACCACCACGACCAAAGTCTAGCTTTCATCCCAAAGCATCAGAGCAGCACAATCTCAGCACCATCCTAAGATTTCATGCCCCCAAAGCGGGGGTGTCTGTGTAGGGTGGAGTCACCCGTGAACAGTCAGACCCCTCAGATGCTGACCAGAGACCAGCGGGGTGATGGAAATCCACTTTAGGGCCAGATTACCATGCAGCGTCAAATACCATTATTCCTGCTCGACCTAAGAAGAGTGAGCTATGGATTGGAGGAATTCAGAGAACATTCCCTCTCACTCTTGGAAGTTGTGCCCTGCTGAAAGAGTGAACCCTGATATTCCAAAGGAACTAAGAAGATAACACTGAGTGGGTCTCCACGAGCATGCCACGCATTAGGGCTTTCATCCACGTTTGCAGTGCAGCGGTAACAAATGCCGCAGAAGCAGAGACTTGAACAGTGCTGCACAGGCTTAGAATCCCAAAACCACCATGGGAATGAGCCCAGTCGGGCCTGCCAGGGGATAAGAGGCCACAGAGAGCAGCATCAAGGTGTCCTAGCTGCCTGGCTGCCCACTGGCCACAGACACATGGAATTGTCCAGTAGAGACCATCAAGCTGGCCCAAACTAGAAGAAATGCCCAACCAACTCCTAGACTAGTAAACCAAAGAAAAGGGGTATCGTTGGGCCAGGCTCAGTGGCTCATACCTGTAATCCCAGCACTTTGGGAGGCCAAGGCGGGAGGATCCCTTGAGGTCAGGAGTTCGAGACCAGCCTGGCCAACATGGCAAAGCCCCATCTCTACTAAAAATACAAAAATTAGCTGGGTGTGGGGCACATATCTGTAATCCCAGCTACTCAGGAGGCTAAGGCACAAGAATTGCTTGAACCCAGGAGGTGGAGGTTGCAGTGAGCCAAGATCGTGCCACTGTGCTCCACCCTGGGTGACAGAGCAAGACTGTCAAAAGAAGAAAGAAAGAAGAAAGAAAGAAAGAGAGAGAGGGAGGGAGGGAGGGGAGGAGGGAGGAAGGAAGGAAGGAAGAAAGGAAGGAAGGAAGGAAGGATTGTTTTAAGCCTCTAAGTTTTGAGATATTTTGCTATGCAGCAAATAGTGCTTAATACTTGCTAATGGTGCAATCTCCCAACTTAGACTGCTTTTCTTTTTTTTCATTTTTTTATTTTTTTGAGATGAAGTCTCTCTCTGTCGCCCAGGCTGGAGTGCAGTGGTGCGATCTCGGCTCACTGCAAGCTCCGCCTCCCGGGTTCACACCATTCTCCTGCCTCAGCCTCCCGAGTAGCTGGGACTACAGGCGCCCGCCACCATGCCCAGCTAATTTTTTGTATTTTTAGCAGAGACAGGGTTTCACCGTGTTAGCCAGGATGGTCTGACCTCGTGATCCGCCCACCTCGGCCTCACAAAGTGCTGGGATTACAGGCGTGAGCCACTGCACCCAGGTCTAGACTGCTTTTCTAATGAAGAACATCCTCCCCTTCCCAAACAAAATTCCATTTCTTTGTACAAATATAGGACTAGAGAGTAGCAAAACCTCCTGCAACTCAAATATTCTTCCAGAAGCCAGGTGAGGAATGACAGAAGTAGTGAATGAGAACCCCGAATGAGCTCTGGGGTGGGGAGTGGTGACAGGAGAGGAAGCCGAAGTCCATAAGGAGATGTGCCAAAACCACTCCTCTCCATGGGCTGCAGCCACCAGAACCGGCCACAAATGTGGTCATCTTGCCCATGGTTAGGCTCACCTTGAAAAACAGAACCTTCTCAACTGTAGAGAAAAGCATAGACATCAGCAAGTACTTATGTGCAGCAAAGTCCATTCCACAATATGTTCTTACTGATCTGGAAACAACACAGTCACAAATAAATGGGTTAAGAAAGTGGTTGCAGCCGGGTGCAGTGGCTCACGCCTGTAATCCCAACACTTTGGGAGGCCGAGGTGGGCGGATCACCTGAGGTCGGGTGTTTGAGACCAGCCTGACGAACATGGAGAAACCCCGTCTCCACTAAAAATACAAAATTAGCCAGGCATGGTGGCACATGCAGGCGCATGCCTGTAATTGCAGCTACTCGGGAGGCTGAGGCGGCTGAGGCGGGAGAATCGCTTGAACCTACGAGGCAGAGGTTGTGGTGAGCTGAGATCACGCCATTGCACTCCTGCAGCCTGGGCAACAAGAGCGAAACTCCATCTCAAAAAAAAAAAAGAAAAAGTGGTTGCTTCATTTAAAATTACTCATGCTCACTATTGCCAAACTCCCCCCAAAAGTGGTAGCATTGCCTTTGTCTTTGGACACACTGGGTGTTGGAGGTCATTGATGAGGAACTCCTTGTGGACCCCCAGCCAGCTTTGTCCTCTTGGTTTCAGTGAAGCTCCAAATAGGCTTCGCCCATTTCTTGCAGTGGGTAGCTGCAGACAGAAGCTCCTTCCAAGGCAGTGGCTGGGACAGCAGCTAAAAGACTTAACTTGGCAGACACTGTGAGTCAGTGCATGAAAAGGCCGGTATGGAGATACAGATTAATTACATAGGGAAAAATAGCAACTGCCCCGAGGAGAAAGCTGCACACAGCACCTTCACCAGGTGAGCCGGGTTAGCATCATCAGTCATGCCACATACTGGCCTTATGTGCCCTCTGATACCACACACTGAGGAGGATACCACGTCACTCTTATGATATTCTTGCAAAAAATAATGCATAAGCTACATTTAATCAGGAGGAACGTGCCACAAAATCATGGCCAGTACTCTTTAAAAAAAGTCTGAAGGTCATTAGAGACAAAGAAAAGTTGTGGAACCATTCCAGACTAAAAGAGACCAAGGACATTTGATGACTTAAATACAGCATGAGATATTGGACTGGGTCCTGGATCAGAGAAAGACATCAGTGGGGCCATGGATGAAATCTGAAGAGCATGGGTGGATTCGTTAACAGTACTGCATCAATGCTAAGTCCCTGGGATTGACTATCTTAACATAATTATGTGAGGTGTAAACACTGGGGAAACTGGGGTAAGGCATACAGAAAATTTTTGTACTGTTTTTGCAACTTTAAGTTCCAACTTATTTCAAAATCAAGTTTAAAAAGTAAAGAATAAAATCTCTTTAAAATTTAACAAGAAGAGAAAAAAAAAGAGAGAAGCTCCCACCACTGTTGGCTGACATCTATGTTCTTTAAATTTAGTGGGAAAGAAATGATCAATTTTGGCCAGGCAAGGTAATCCTAGCACTTTGGAAGACCGAGGCAGGTGGATCACCTGAGGTCAGGAGTTCGACACCAGCCTGGCCAACATGGTGAAATCCCATCTCTACTAAAAATACAAAAAATTAGCCAGGCCTGGTGGCTGGTGCCTGTAATCCCAGCTACTTGGGAGGCTGAGGCAGAAGAATCACTTGAACCCAGGAAGTAGAAGTTGTAGTGAGCTGAGATTTCACCACTGTACTCCAGCCTGGGCAACAAGAGTGAAACTCCATCTCAAAAAAAAAAAAAAAAAGAATTTTTTTTTTTTGAGATGGAGTCTTGCTCTGTCACCCAGGCTAGCGTGCAATGGCGCGATCTTGGCTCACTGCAACCTCTGCCTCCCAGTTCAAGCGATTCTCCTGCCTCAGCCTCCTGAGTAGCTAGGACTACAGGCGTGTGCCACCACACCCGGCTAATTTTTTTGCATTATTATTTTTTTTAGTAGAGATAGGATTTCACCGTGTTAGTCAGGAGGGTCTCGATCTCCTGACCTCGTGATCCACCCTCCTCAGCCTCCAAAATTGCTGGGATTACAGGCGTGAGCCACCGCGCCCTCCCATCATTTTTTAATTCATTTGGCTACCAGCCCTCAGAAGGTTAAGAGATAGCCATATGGTGGACATTTGTTTGGGGCCACCCTGCATAACCCACTCACCCCCTTCTCTCACCCCGGGTTTTCATTGCGGAGTTTATTTTTCCCTTGACTCGCAGTCATAAGACTCTGGGGAAGGAGCTGCTAACTCCAGCCCTAGAAAAGAGGTGTGTGGCCCAAGCCTACCCAGCAGCATATTCAGTCTCCTTGGCCCTGGTGACACTCCACAGAGGGCATGTGACAGCAGGAAGTAGACTTAATTCTGAGCGTTTGGCTTAAGCATCAGGAGGCTGTCACAACCAGCCCCACCTCCACTGGACTTGAATAAGCTCAATGGGGACCAAAGCTACCTCTGTGACCAGCTGCTGCCAGGAGGGAGTCTGTCCCAGCAAGAAGCCAGCCCTGAAGCTGCAGAAATGAGTCCTGCCACAGCACCCAATCCCTAGTCAGGCCACACCTGACTCCACCCCGTGGGTCCTGTAACTAGAAGAGGTCAGGAAGCCCCCCGTCCTTCAGGCATTCCGGATTGCAGGGGCCTCCCGCAACCAAGAGAGCCATGTTTAGCTGAGTTCCATCTCCTGCTGAGAAAGTCAAGATCAGCCAAACCACATGCTGCAGTGTCAGAGTCTCGGGTTATGAAAGGCGGCATCAGTGGGGTAGTGAAGACAGGAGGAAAGGGCAGAGAGGCCACCAGTGTGCCTCTGGGAGGACAAACGTTTTACATTGGCCAGCGTGCCCCCATATTTTGGTGTTCTGACAACCCACCCACTTAATCAGCAAGAAATCGAGACTTTCCTGTGATCCCCATGTCCAGTTCATCCTTTGCAAGTTCCTGGGCGGGGAGCAGAGTGGCTGTCACATAGACAAAGATGTAGGCCGCCCACCAGCGCCTACTTCTCCAACTTCAAGGTCCCCTGCTCCATCCACTGCTCCCCAGATGGCCTGGGCATCCTTGAACGTGGCCAGCCCTTTCCCCGTGAATCAGTTCCCTGTATGGAGTCCAGGTTGCTCAGAAAGGCCTGTGGACAATGTCTGAGCCCCAGTCGAGGCTGAGCTCCACCAGTTCCTGTGCCCTAAGGAAGTCAGGAGATGGGGCTGAGCGCCCAGCCTTCCGGAGGTCGGAGCCTGCTGCCTAGCAGATGACCACGAGGGGGCAGTGTGGAGCAGTTGGTAGGCCGGGCCGGCGGCTCCTGGCTGACCAGCCGGACCGGACTTCCCAACCTGAAATCCAACCGGAGGGAAAAGAAAATACACAGCCAGCGGCAACAGCCAACCCTGAGTGGCGGGGTGGCAGATTATGTTTATTTCCCAAATGTCCTGTAATTGATAAGTAACTGATTACCAAATAAATTTTATTACTAAAATGAAAGAAAGAAGCCAGATCAGTAGATACCTGTTTTTCTGCATTGCTTGTATCCAAATTCACACATTTGTCCAACTGCAAAGATCCTGACCAGGTGTCACGGACCACTCCAGGACCGGCAGGGACTGCTTCAGGCAAGGAAGATTTGTACCCCTGGGAGCCGCTGTGCCCGTCTCCACCTGGGGTCCAGCGCAGCCCACCTGGGGTCCGGGAACCCTCGCCTTGAGGACAGGTGTCTCTTATCCTGCGTCCAGTTATTTTGGTTGTGATGGAACTCCATTTTCTCTTGGAGATTAACAGCGCCTGCACTTTGTATACTTGAGGACATTGCCAGGGGTGCCCTCTACCACCCCACTCTTAACTTGTTTTCATAGCGACATTTCCCAAATTCTCAGTCATTTCACGTGAAGTCTTCCCAATTTCTCCATGGATCCACTTCAACCGTGAAGACACTGGACACAGAGTGCCATGAGGACTGAATATAACGGCAGGGGCCTGCGCCTAGGGGCGGGTCCCACAGCAGGACACTGCTCTTGCTGCCAGACCCACCGCTGGACCCAGGGTTTCTAGGCACTGATGACTCCCAACCACCCAGGATTCTTGTTATGGACAGGATCATGTGCCCGTAGTTCATATGTTGATGCCCTAAATCCCGATATGGCTTATAAATGGCACTTGGAAGGACATATTGGATTAGAGACTCACACTTTTGAAATGAGGTCATAAGTAAGTCCCTGATTCAATATGACGATGCATCCTTAGAAGAAGAGGAACAGATGCACGGTGCTGCGCTCGCTCGCTCTCTTCTCTCTCTCTCTCTCTCTCTCTTTCTCTCTCCACATAAGCACAGAGGAAAGGCCATGTGAGGACACAGTGTCCACAAGCCAGGAAGCAGGCCTTCATCAGAAACCAGATTTGACAGCACCTAGATCTTCAGCCTTCAGAACAGTGAGAGAATGAATGTCTGCCATTTGAGCCCCCAGCCTGTGGTATCATGTGAGGCAGCCTGAGCTGGCACCTGCAGTTCTCTTAGGACCGTAGACATGCTCACCTGGAACAGAGGCCACCGTGTCCATTGTCTGTGCAGGGCTGTTCTCACCCCTGCCCGGGGGTGCATCACAAACACCTGATGGTCTCATGCCGCCCCCCCCGCCCAGTCACAAACACACACACCCCATCCATGAGCAGTAGAAATAAGCATCCAGGAAAGGAATCAGGGAGCTAATTCCTCTTCCTAATGCTAAGAATTGCTCAGAAATACATGCACTTTTAACCCTCACTTGTCTGGGGCTCTGACAGACCTCCCTCTCTGGACGGCAGCTGTGTGTGCTTCAACCTGTTTCAGCACGGTCACCCCACTCCCCTGCTTCCTCTCTGCTCCTCATGGCCAGGACACCTCGCAAGGACCCTCCCTCACCCTCTACCTTGAGGGCAGCCATAAGCAGTAGCCTGGGGCTTGGGAGTTGGGAGCTGGGACCCCCCCTACCTACCACTCTATGGGTGGTGGCTCACCCCAGTTGGGGATAAGGCTGCAGGGAACACAGTGTTGGAGCCCCTTAAGCATGGCCGAGAAGAAGCACTTCATGGAGACACTCAGGCAGCAACATGGCAGGGGCTGTGTCTGGTGCTCAGGCTCTTACGTCCCAGAGAACCCAGAGGAAAGCAGGGCCGACCTCCCTGCTACGGGCTGCCTGTAGTCTACTCCATAGTCCCAGGAAAACAAGCTCTGCCCTTTCCCTTTGAGGGGCTGGTGGAGAAGGGAGCAGTCCCAGCCAAGAAGACACAAGTTGTCCTTCTAGGCTTGTGGGCCCCGAGGAATAGCTGCCCCTCCCGCACCTCCATTGGCCATTCTCCCTCTTCCCCTTCTCCCCTCAGGAGAGCAGACATGTCTCCCTTGTCACCTGCTAGCAAACTGGAAGTCTCTCTCCCTCCTTCAGCAAGCACCCCTGGGAGACTTTATCTTCAGCAGACAAGGTCTTTGCTCACCCTGCACGGGGAGAATTCAAGAGGCCTTGGACATCACGAGGAAACCTGGCCCACGTGGGAGCTGGGGGTCTAGGGCCACCACATAAGTGTGAGTCCCCAACGTGAGAAAGAAGCAGCCACCTGTTGAACCAGGTATAAAAGGAGTCGAGAAACCTTGAGAAGTCTAGGTCCATCGCTGTGGGTTCACATGTCGGGAGAGTCAGGCGCATTGGGTTTTTGTTTGTGGTTTTCAATATTTTGTTTGTTTGTTTGTTTGTTTTGTTTTCTTTTTGAGACGGAGTCTCGCTCCATCGCCCAGGCTGGAGTGCAGTGGCACAATCTCGGCTCACTGTAACCTCTGTCTCCTGGGCTCAAGCAATTCTCCTGCTTCAGCCTCCCAAGTAGCTGGGATTACAGGTGCCCACCACCACACCCAACTAATCTTTTGTATTTTTTAGTAGAGACGGGATTTCACCATGTTGGCCAGGCTGATCTCGAACTCCTGACCTCGTGATTCACCTGCCTCAGTCTCCCAAAGTGCTGGGATTACAGGTATGAGCCACCGTGCCTGGCCTAATTTTTTTATTTTTAATTTTTGTGGGTACATAGTAGGTGTGTATATTTATGGGGTACATGAGATGTTTTGATACAGGCATGCAATGCATAATAATCACATAATGAAGAATCGGAGTATTCATCCCCTCAAGCATTTATCTTTTGTGTTACAAACAATGCAATTATAGTTATTTTTAAATGTACAATTAAATGATTATTGACAGTAGTCACACTGTTGTGCTATCAAATATTAGGTCTTATTTATTCTTTGTATTTTTTTGTACCTATTAACCATTCCCACCTTCCTCCCAACCCCACTTTCCTTTCCAGCTTCTGGTAACCAACCTTCTACTCTCTATGTCCAAGAGTTCAATTGTTTTGATCATTAGATCCCACAAATAAGTGAGAACATGTGATGTTTGTCTTTCTGTGCCTGGCTTATTTCACTTCACATAAGGGCCTCCTTTTCCATCTATATTATTGCAAATGACAGAATCTCATTTTTTTAATGGCTGAAGAGTACTCCATTGTGTATATGTACCACGTTTTCTTTATCCATTCATCTGTTGATGGACACTTAGGTTGCTTCCAAATCTTGGCTGTTGTGAACAGTGCTGCAATAAACATGGGGGTGCAGATACCTCTTCAATATACTGGCTTCCTTTTCCTTTCTTTCGGGTATATACCCAGCAGCAGGATTGCTGAGTCACATGGTCACAGCACATTGTTAATGAGCACAGACTCGCAGAATGCAGGACACGGATGGTGCGGGGGGAGAACAGCTGCACTCTCGGAGTGTCCAACTCCTCTTCAATATCTTTCCCTCACGTAATTCACAGCAATGGCTTCAAAGGAATAAGAAGGGGAGGGTGAGCTTAGTGCCAGATCTTTTAATGACCTCCTCTTAAGCTTAAAAATGCAGTTGCAAAATCAAAGAGTCCTACAAAAAGAAATTATTTAAAGTAAGTTATGCAACGTGTGCCCTTTGGAAAAACAGCAATGTCCTTAGAGTTATGCCCCCAGGATGGTGGGGACAGGCCCTACATCTGCAAACACATGTGCTCAGACCACCTGGCCCCTGCCAGGATCCCCCGCCCCTGGCCGTCTGCAAGTTTCCAGTCTTCGCAAAAATCCATTCGAGTCTGGAAAACATTCCTCTCCCCAACAAGCTGGCTCCTTCCCTCTATTCAGATCAGCTAAAAATCCTCTTCCTAAGGATCCAGCCCCAAATATGCTGTATAAGGAAGTCCCCACCTCAAAATCTCCACTGCCCTATTTCTTACTGAAATTCCTGTGGACAAAGGACAGACAGAGCTCAACATCATCTCTCTGCACACTGACATAAATGCATATCTAATTGCTTCCTTTGGAACAACTAATCAGAAACTCAAAAGAATGCAATCATTTGTCTCTTATCTACCTATGACTTGGAAGCCCCCTCCTTGCTTCGAGTTGTCCCTCCTTTCTGGACCAAACCAATGTACATCTTACATATATTGATTGATGTCTCATGTCTCCCTAAAATGTATAAAACTAAGCTGTGCCCTGACCACCTTGGGCATATGTCATCGGGACCTCCTGAGGCTGTGTCACAGGCATGTCCTTAACCTTGGCAAAATAAACTTCCTAAATTGATCAAGACTTGTATCGGATACTCTTTGGTTTACAGTATGGTACCACATTTGTGTATCCATTCATCAATTGACAGACATATGGGTTGCTTCCAGTGTTTGACAATGGTGAATAATACTGCTATGAACATTTGTGTATATGCCTTTCTGGGGCATATGTTTTCAGTTCTCTTGGGTGTATATATATATGAGTGGAATTGCTAGACCATATGAAAACATTTAACTTTTTAAAGAAACCACTAAACTGTTTTACAAAGAGGCTGCACCATGTTACAATCCCAGCAGGAATACAGATGTTCCAGAGGCTCCACATCCTCACCAATACTTGTTATTAACAGTCTTTCTCATTCTATCCATGCTAGTGGCAGGGAGGTGGTATCTCACGGTGCCTTTGATTTGCATTCATTTGATAACTACTAACGTTTAGCACTTCTTCACATACTTTTTGACCACTTGTGTATTTTCTTTGGAGAACTGTCTATACAGATCTTTTTTAAAATTGTGGCAAAATGCTCATAACATAACACCATCCTAACCATTTTAGTGTACAGTTCAGCAGTGGTAAGTATATCTGCACTGTTGGGCAACCCATCTCCAGAACATTTTCATACCCACTAAAAACCGTGCCCCATTTCCCCTCCTCCTGCTCTTGGCAACCACCAGTCTACCATTTCCATGCATTCAACCACTTGCTCGTGAGTGCAATGAGTAACTCTCTTCAATCCCCTAGTGTGATGATCCTATATAAAACATGTCCATTTTATTATGGAATTCTTTGGGGCACCAATCTCTGTTAGAGCATTTCTCCAATATCACCCAAGATAGTATGAGTATTTCAGGTTTCAAGACTACTGTATGGCCAGGCACAGTGGCTCATGCGTGTAATCGCAGCACTTTGGAAGGCTGAGGCAGGGGGATCACTTGAGCCCAGGAGTTCGAAACCAACCTGGACAACATGGCAAAACGCCTTCTCTACAAAAAATACAAAAATTAGCTGAGCATGGTGGTGCATACCTGTAGTCCCAGCTCTCCGGGAGGCTGAGGTAGGAGGACTGCCTGAACCCAGGAGGTAGAGGCTGCAATGAGCTGAGATCTTACCACTGCACTCCAGCCTTGGTGACAGAGCAAGACCTTGTCTCAAAAAAAAAAAAATTGACTATTTTATGTCCTTCAATCAATCATAGGAACAATTTCAATAAATGTTCAATAGCAAGCTAGTAATTGCCCCTCAGGTGGGAACTCCCTAGCCCACAGGTAAATCGGCCCTTCAGGCAATATTAATTGGACACATTAATGGGATTGAGCAAGATTACCCAGGCCCACACAGGGTGCTAATTTCAACAGTACAGAACAGAGGCTGCAGTGCTGGCAGCAAAGTCTCTGCACAATGGCCTCTTGTGGGACACAGACTGAGGCTTATGGCACCAGCCTGTGAGCACATCCCGGCCACACGTGAGTTAGATCCATCTCTGTCTTGGGCGCCTCTTCACCAGGAGGATTAAAGAACAATATCCAGGGTGCTGTCAAAGTGCCGGACCTCCTTCTCCTAACTCAGATACTCTTAGGGTGACATGGGGGATGGAGAGCTAAGGTGTCCGTCATTAAAGCGAGGCTCAGCCTCACCTCAGAGGGATACTCATGATCCCCCTTCACCTCCCAACACCTGGGTCGCAGCACAGGCCGATCGCCCTGTGTTTTGCCGGGGTCGGCAGGAGCTTCTGCTGCTGAGCATGTCGCCTGGTAGGGGCACGGCTCACCCAGTCTGAGGGCGTCTCCAAAGGCCCGTCATTCGTCACATGTGTGACTACCTGCAGGGTGTACTGTGCATGTTTAACACCCAGCTGCAGGAGGAGCCGCTACTTAGAAGTGTTGTCTGATTTCTGCTCTGTGAATACTCCCCCATGGCCCATTTCAGGCCCGTTTCCTACTATAGGTGGGAGGCCGAAGAAAGGTTCACAGGAGAGCCCTAGGAGCTGTCCCCACCTAGGATCTACTCCACCCATCCACAGAGTCAGAACATGTTTGTCCCAAGGGCAGGCACAAGGGCTGGCATAGAGAAAGCCCCCAGTAATACAATCGAGTGAATGAATGAGTGCACGCCCCAGAAACAACACTAACAAAAGTGTTAAAGGTTCTAGTGCTATTATAACGGAACTTGGGGTCAGCTATTTAGGGACACGCCAACAGGAATCAGATGCATTCTGTCTGGAGGTGGGCTATGGGGGACTGAGGGAGGGAGAAACCGCCTTCTCTGGGCACGTGCTCCTCAGCCTTGGGACACCTATTCACCTTCTCCATTTGTTTGGGGACCAGAAGCCACTCAAGTCTTCAAGGAAGAGATAAACATGGGCCCTGTGTGGCCACCCCCTCCCTGCGTGCCCTCTGATGGTGAAAATGTTTCTCTGAATAGATGTGGTCCTGGCTCTCCTGGCTGAAGGTCTCCGGTGGAGACGTTAAATGGGCAAGGCACAATTCTGAGGAGGACTGGCCTGAACCCCCGTCTTGCCCAGTGAGATGCCCCCAGGTGTTCAAGGATTCATGGTGGGACTGGGCCCCTCCTCCTGACGGAGCAAAGCTCTTGGTGAATTACACAGGACTGGACTAAACCTACTGACACAGGAACTTGCCATTTAGTTTAATTCAACCCTTGCTTGGAAACAGGAGCTCTTGCCATAGCAACGGTGGAATCACAAGATTCCCTGCCCACTCCACACGCGCAGCACAGTTACCAGAGCCAAATTGTGGTAGGAGAGAAAGAGAATTTCAACAGGAAAATAAAACATCAGTTCTGATTCTGCCAGCTAGCTTTAAGATTAATAAGGTATTTAAGATTTTCCCATGTACAGGCCTCAACATTCTTCCTGCACAGTGGAGGCATCTTCCAAAGCACCTATAGCTCCAAGCTCTGATCATTTGAAAGCATCAAAACAGGGCCAGGAGCTGTGGCTCACACATGTAATCCCAGCACCTTGGAAGGTCGAGGCAAGTGGATCACCTGAAGGTCAGGAGTTCGAGATCAGCCTGGACAACATGGTGAAACCCTGTCTCTACTAAAAATACAAAAAAAATTAGCCTGGCATGGTGGCACGCACCTGTAGTCCCAGATGCTCAGGAGGCTAAGGCTAGAGAATCACTTGAACCCAGGAGGCAAAGGTTGCAGTGAGCTAAGATCACGCCACTGCACTCCAGCCTGGGCAACAGAGCGAGACTCCGTCTGAAAAAAAAAAAAGAAAAGAAAGCATCAAAACAGTATTGGGGACCTGGCACCGGTGGCTCACACCTGTAATCCCAGCACTTTGGGAGGCCAACTCGGGTGGATCACCTGAGGTCAGGAGTTTGAGACCAGCCTGGCCAACATGGTGAAACCCTGTCTCTACTGAAAATACAAAAATTAGCCAGGCATGGTGGTGCACTCCTGTAATCCCAGCTACTCAGGAGGCTGACAGAGAAGAATCGTTTGAACCCAGGAGGCGGAAGTTTCAGTGAGCCAAGATCCCGCCACTGCACTCTGGCCTGGGCGACAGAATGAGACTCCATCTCAAAAAACAAAACAAAACAAAAACCAGTATTGGGCTCTTCCTGTTAAATCTGAGATTCTCTGAAGCTAACCAAATGAACCAAGCATTTACATAATGTTTGCTGCGTGCTGGATGCCCTTTTAAGAAGTCTGCATATATTCACAATCCATCTATTCCCCCAACAGCCTTATGAGATAGGTGTGATCATTATCTCCATTTTACAAATGAGGAAACTGAGGCATGATGAGGTAAACAAACTTGCCCAGGAGTTTGCATTTAAATAAAGGATTCAAACCTAGTACATCTCCATATTCTATTCACCAAAAAGGAAAGTACATCTTTGAAAATTAAAAACAAGTAAAACCTGCCAGGCATGGTGGCTCACGCCTGTAATCCCAGCACTTTGGGAGGCCAAGGCATGGGGATCGCTTGAGGTCTGGAATTTGAGATCAGCCTGGCCAACATGGTGAAACCTCATCTCTACGAAAATGCCAAAATTAGCCGGACATGGTGGCACGTGCCTGTAATCCCAGCTTTTTGGGAGGCTGAGGCAAGAGAATCACTTGAACCTGGGAGGCAGATATTGCAGTGGGCTGAGATCACACCCCTGCACTCCAGCCTGGACAACAGAGCCAGACTCTGTCTCAAAAATAAAAATAAAAATAAAAAAATTAATTAATTAAAAAAAAATAAAAACAAGCAAAACCAAGAGTGACACCCTATGAAAAACCACCGAGTACACTGCAAACTACGCAGGTGGGTGGACAAAGCCCTGAATGGGCATGGAGGTTTGCAGACATGAGGCGCCCTGCAGAGGTCTGCAGAAAAGACAGCACATTGCTGGGAATGGCAAGATCTGGGGGCAAAAAGTGCAGAAGAAATAGCATACAAAAAACAATCTCTGCAAATAACCGAAATAAAATATTAGCAAATCTAATTCTAAAACATATTAAAATAATAATAAATCATGGCCAAATAGAATTTATCCCACAGGAATGCAAGGAAAATTCAAATTAAGAATCTATTAACACAATTCACTATATTAATAAGTCAAAGAAGAAAAAACCACATAATTGTCTGCATACAGCTAAAATGGCACTTTAAAAATTCAGAATTCCTGATTAAAATTTTAAAACACTTAATAACAATAAGTGCATATTATGATACAAAGCATATCTTAAACCAAAAATAAGTATTAAACTTGATATCAAAACATCAGACATATTTTCATTATGTCTCTGCCATTATTAAATGTCAATTTAAGGCAAGAGAAAACCCGAAGAGATGAAAAATTATACTAAGGAAGGCAAAATTGAAAGATGGCACCTCCATGTGCTTGGGAAATCCAGATACAACTGAAATGCCTTAAAAACAATAAGGTTGCTGGCAAGAAACTACATACTGCACAGAACTTCTTTTCTATATATAAAGTTTGAAGGAAGAAAAAAAAGGAAGAAAGGATTATCTTTACAATGGCAACAGCAACAACATATGTGAAAAGTTACAAGCCATGCAGACTTGTATGGAAAAAACATTAAAACTCCAGCAAGTGGGCCAGGCATGGTGGCTTACGCCTGTAATCCCAATATTTTGGGAGGCCAAGGCAGGAGGACCATTTGAGACCAGGAGTACGAGACCAGCCTGGGCAACATGGCGAAACCCAGTCTCTACAAAAAAAATACAAAAAAATTATCCTGGTGTGGCGGTGCATGCCTGTATTCCCAGCTACTCAGGAGGCTGAAGTGGAAATATCGCTTGAGCCTGAGAGGTTGAGGCTGCAGTGAGCCATGATTGTGCCACTGTACTCCAGCCTGGGTGAGAGTGAGGCGTTGTCCAAGAAAAAAAAAAATTCATCAAGAGATGTAAAACAAAATTTGAATAAAAGATATCTCAGATCTTCTTGCTGGATCAAAGCCTCCATAATGTAACCAAGTGGGTTCTCATCAAACCATATTATAAATGAACGTGAAATAAATGTGGATTCATGTAAAAACAACAGGATTCTCTTCTGAACTACATACTGACATTTAGCTTATTGCAGAAAAACTAAACATGTGAGAATACCCAAGGAAGTTCTGCAAAAGAAGAGAAAACAGGGAAGATTTGCTCTACCAGATGATAAAACATTATAATGATACAGAAAATCAAATAGCTTGATAGGACAAACAGATTGACGGACTACTTGGAAAGACCAGAAAGAGGCCCAAGTATAAACATAAATATGGAAAGATAATGCCAGATGCAGGTGACTCTTAGAGTTTGAGGTTGTGGCCCTCAGTGCTGATCCCCTGGGGGGCCCAGTGTCCCCTCAGTCTTTTCAGTGGCACCAAGCCTGCCTCTCACCCTCCCCAGTGCGGAGCTGGGTCCATGGCTGTCTGGCCAGGGACGACACCCCCGGGCTCTCTCTACTCAAGTACAGCCATGTGACCAAGTCTTGGCCAGAGAGAGGAAAGCTGAAGTTCTCAGTGTGGATCCCCCTGTGCCATCCCATTCAGTAGCCACTAGCCACATGTGGGCATTTAAATTTAAATTTAAATTAATTAAAATAAGACATTGTTAAAGATGCAGTTAGTTGCACTAGCCATATTTCTTGTGCTCAGATAGTTGCATGTGCCTGTGGCTGCAGTGCTGGGCTATAGGGAATTCTGTGTACTTGATCATCTCTAACTTAAAAGCAAGTAACTTCCCCTGGGTATCCCCTAGCCCAGCGTGGCTCCACCCACGGTAGTAACCATCTGTGGTCACACAGTAAGAACACAACCTTAGGGGTAGGGTTGGGACTGGGTGAGGCAAGTCACGTACCTAGGTTGCAAAATTTAAGGAGGGACTGGCACCCAGCATCACCCAAGTGAGGGCCCCCCTGAATTCTGAGCATCAGTACCTCCTTCAACTCAGGCTGGTCTTGGTCCTGCTGTAGGGAGTGGAGAGCAACCCGATGCAGAGAGCCTAGGGGTTGGCCTGGAGTCTGGGCTGCTCCCCACACAGAGAAGAAAGGCCCAAGTACTTAAGTCACAGCTCCAGGCCCTTGTGGTATAAGTGAGAGATTAGTGCCTTACATATTAGTGTCTTATTTTATTAGCGGGAGAAAGACAGATTATTCCCTAAGTCAGAATGGGACAACTGGCACACTGTTTAGAAAAACAGAGATGAATCATTTTTTTACTCTTTCACCAATTCATCTTGAAGTTAATTGTAGTCCAACAAAAGTCCTGGTTGGCATATATACAAGGATATTTATTGAAGTAAAAGTTAAAGACTGGCATCAATTCTATCAACCAAGGACTGTAGAGAATAAATTATAGTATACCCACTTTAACATGCTGCATAGACATTAAAAAGAATTCAAGCCCAGGCGCGGTGGCTCACGCCTGTAATCCCAGCACTTTGGGAGGCTGAGGCGGGCAAATCACGAAGTCAAGAGTTGGAGACAAGGCTGGCCAACATGGTGAAACCCTGTCTGTACTAAAAATACAAAAATTAGCTGGGGATGGTGGCAGGCACCTGTAATCCCAGCTACTCAGGAGGTTGAGGCCGGAGAATGGATTGAACCTGGGAGGCAGAGGTTGCAGTGAACCTAGGTTACGTCATTGCACTCCAGCCTGGGCAACAGAGCAAGACTCCCCCAGAGAAAAAAAAGAATTCAATAAGTCAGGAAATAGTTATAGAGAATCTACTATGTACCAGTTCTATCAACCAGGCAGATGGAATTTCTGCTCTCAAAGAAGTCACAGTCTGTCTGTGGAGAAAGAAAACATATTAGATGATAGATAGATAGATAGATAGATAGATAGATAGATAGATAGATAGATGATAGATAATAGAAAGATGATAGATTAGAAATGATAGAGCTAGATTAGATAGATAGATAGATAGATGATAGATAGATAATAGGCTAGATAGAAAGATAGATAATATACCATTTTCAATAGCATCAAAAGAAATAAAATACTTAGGAATAAACGTAACTAAAAAGATGAAAGACTTGAACACTGAAAACTACAAAACTTTGATGAAAGAAGTTCAGTAAGTGGTGTTGGGAAAACCAGAAAAGAATGAAACATGCAAAAGAATGAAATGTGTCCTTTGTCTACACCATACACAAAAATCAACTCAAAATGGATTAAAGATTTAAATATAAGACCTGAAACTGTAAAACTCCTAAAAGAAAACATAAGGGATCGGCCAGGCGCAGTGGCTCATGCCTGTAATCCCAGAACTTTCGGAGGCCGAGCTGGGTGGATCACCTGAGGTCAGGAGTTTGAGACCAGCCTGGTCAACATGGTGAAACCCTGTCTCTACTAAAAATATAAAAATTAGCCAGGTGTGGTGGTGCGTGCCTGCAGTCCCAGCTACTCAGGAGGCTGAGGCAGGAGAATTGCTTGAACGCGGAAGGCAGAGGTTGTCATGTTGTCATGAGCTGAGTTCATGCCACTGCACTCCAGCCTGAGTAACAGACCAAGACTCCATCTCAAAAAAAAAAAGAAAAGAAAACATAAGGGAAATCTTCATGACATTGGCCTTGGCAATGATTTAATGGATCTGGCACTAAAAGCACAGATAACTAAGGCAAAAATAGACAAGTGGGATTACATCAAACTAAAAAGCTTCAACACAGCAAAGAAAACAATCAACAGAGTGAAAAGGCAACCTATGCAATGGGAGAAAATATCTGTAAACTGTATATCTGATAAGAGGCTGATTTCCAAAGCATATAGGAATTCATAAAACTCAATAGAAAAAGCAAAACAAAAAATTAATAACTCAATTAAAAATGGGATTAGGACTTGAATAGGCACTTCTCCAAAAACATACAAATGGCAAACAGGTATATGAAAAGATTTTCAACATCACTAATTATCAGGGAAATGCAAATCAAAACCACAATGAGATATCACCTCACACTTGTTAGAATGGCTATTATTAACAACAACAAAAATACAAGTGTTGGCTGGGCACGGTGGCTCATGCCTGTAATCTCAGCACTTTGGGAGACCAAGGTGGGTGGATCACATGAGTTCAGAAGCTCAAGAACAGCCTGGCCAATGTGGTGAAACCCTCTCTCTACTAAAAATACAAAATTAGCCAGGTGTGGTGTCCCGCACCTGTAATCCCAGCTGCTCAGGAGGCTGAGACAGGAGAATCACTTGAATCTGGGAGGCAGAGGCTGCAGTGAGCCAAGATCATGCCACTGCACTCCAGCCTGGGCAAGACAGAGAAGGACTCTGTCTCAAAAATTTAAAAAAATTAAAATTAAAATACAAGTGTTAGAGAGGATGTGGAATAATTGGAACCCTTGTACCCAGTTGGTGGCAATGCAAAATGATGCAGCTGCTATGGAAAACAATATGGAACAATTCCTCAAAAAATTAAAAATAGAACTCTCATATGATCCAGCAATCCTACTTCTTGGTATTTATCCAAAAGAATTGAGATCAGGATCTCAGAAAGATATCTGCAGTCCCATGTCCCCTGCAGCATTATTCACAATAGCCAAGATGGAAACATAACCATCATGTCCATCGACAGATGAATGGATAAAACATGTGGTACACACATACAATGGAATGTTATCCAGCCTTACAAAAGAGGGAAATCTTGCCATTTGTGACAACACAAATGAACCTTGAGGATATCATGCTCAGTGGAATAAACCAGGTGCAGGAGGACAAATACTGCATGATTCCACTTACAGGAGGTGTCTAAAGTAGTCAAACTCACAGGAATAGAGTAGAATGGTGGTTGCCAGAGGCTGGGGGAGGAGAAAATGGGAGGTTGCTACTCAATGGATATGAAGTTTCATCTGTGCCACATGAATAAGTTCTAGAGATCTGCTCCAAGACATTGTGCCTGTAGTTGGCAATACTGTATTGTCAACTAGAAATCTGTTAAGAGAGATCTTATGTGAAGTCTTCTTACAAAAATAAAATCAAAATAAGAATCAAGAGATCTAAAGAAAAAGAAATATTAGTAAATGTATAATAGACAGATGGTTGACAGAGATAAAGATAGATGAGAAAGAGAAAGGTAAATAAAAGACAGATAATAGATTAGACAGATTAATAGATACAGCTGGGCACAGTGGCTCACGCCTGTAATCCCAGCACTTTGGGAGGCCGAGGCGAGTGGATCACCTGAGGTCGGGAGTTCAAGACCAGCCTGACCAACATGGAGAAACCCCGTCTCTACTAAAAATAAAAAATAAGCTGGGCATGGTGGCACATGCCTGTAATCCCAGCTACATCAGAGGCTGAGGTAGGAGAATCACTTGAACCCTGGAGGCGGAGGTTGCAGTGAGCTGAGATGGTGCCACTGCACTCCAGCCTGGGCGACAAGAGTGAAACTCCATCTCAAAAAATAAATAAATAAATATATAAATAGATAGATATGTACATACATTGTACATATATACATGATAGATAATAGATGACAGATAAATAGATGATAGCTATAAATAGACGATAGATAGATAGATAGATAGATAGATAGATAGATAGATAATAGATAGATAGATAGACAGATAGATAGATAGATAGATAGATAGACAACATCAGAGAAGGGCTTTTTTTTTTTTCAAATGGAGTTTCGCTCTTGTCCCCCAGGCTGGAGTGCAATGGTGCAATCTCAGCTCACTGCAACCTCTGCCTCCCAGGTTCAAGCGATTCTCCTGCCTCAGCCTCCTGAGTAGCTGGGATTACAGACACATGCCACCACGCCCAGCTAATTTTTTTATTTTTAGTAGAGACAGGGTTTCACCATGTTGGCCAGGCTGGTCTCAAACTCCTGACCTTAAGTGATCCACCCACTTTGGCCTCCCAAAGTGCTAGGATTACAGGTGTGAACCACCGCGCCCGGCCCAGAGAAGGGCTTTGATGAAACTCAAGCACGCTAGAAGTCAGGTGCCATTTTTGAATGGGAGGGTCAGGGAAGGGTCCTCTGAGGAGATATTTAGGCAGAGGTGTGAACAATTGGAAAGAGTGATGACTGCAAAGAGGTGGGGAAGGATGCTCCCGAGAGAACGCCTAGCCAGCCACAAGCTCTTGAGAGGAGAGGGTGGTGTGTCTGGAGGGGAGAAAGGGAGGTGCAGAGAAATAGGGGAGCAGCAGGGTGGTTGGGAGAGGACTGGACTTTAGTCTAAAGGCACTGAGAAGCAGCAACACCACATGATCCAATTTAAACCTCAGAAGGCTCATTTGAGTGGCTGTATGGGCAAAGCAATATAGGGAGTCTGGAGTGAGTACTGGGAATCCAGCGGAGAGCCCACTGTGACCACGCAAGTGAGAGGCTGAGGGGCGCAAGGAGGGTGGGAGTGGGCGGTTCGAGATAGATGCCTCCTAAAGCACCGGGTGTGGGACGTGAAGAACAGCAGGCACTGGAGATGACTCCACAGCTTTTGACCTGAGCTATGGGAAGTCAGGAGAAGAACTAATGTATGAATATAAAGTAATCAGCAACAGATGCTGCGACATGAGAAATTCAGGGTGCAGAAAAGTTAGAATAGAAAGTCGCCAAGTGCACACACGTGTGTGTGTACACACATATGTGTGAGCATGCATGTGCACGAGCATACATGTGTATTTCTGTTCATTGTGTCCATTACCACAAACAGGAATCAAGTCGGTCTATCTCTGTCTTCTGACCCCAGACCCCATATGTGGTAAGCCCTCAGTCTGTTTATTTTATTTTTATTTTTATTTTTGAGATGGAGTCTCGTTCTGTCACCAGGCTGGATTGCAGTGGCATGATCTCGGCTCACTGCAACCTCCACCTCCTGGGTTCAAGCGATTCTCCTGCCTCAGCCTCCCGAGTAGCTGGGACTACAGGTGTGTGCCACCACGCCCAGCTAATTTTTGTATTTTTAGTAGAAACAGGGTTTCACCATGTTGGCCAGGATGGTCTCGATCTCTTGACCTTGTGATCCACCTGCCTTGGCCTCCCGAAGTGTTGGGATTTTGTCAATAAGCAAAATTTCCTCTGCCTTCTGTCCTACTATTTGTATGTCTCTTAATGCCTCACTACAATTTTTTTTTTTTTGAGACAGAGTCTTGCCCTGTCACCCAGGCTGGAGTGCAGTGGCATAATCTCAGCTCACTGCAACCTCCACCCCCCGGGTTCAAGTGATTCTCCTACCTCAGCCTCCTAAGTAGCTGGTATTACGGGCCACGCCACCATGCCTGGCTAATTTTTGTATTTTTAGTAGAAATGGGGTTTCACCATGTTGGCCAGGCTGGTCCTGAACTCCTGACCTCAAGTGATCCACCCACCTCGGCCTCCCAAAGTGCTGGGATGAGCCACCGCTCCCAGTCTCCTTACTACAATTTAAATTGCTTTTCTTTCTTTCTTTTTTCATTTTTTATTTGAAAGTTAACAGAAATGAAGGGCCTGATGGATTTTCACGAAGTGAACACACCCATGTAACCAGCACCTAGATGGAGATGCAGAGCACCTCCAGCACTCCCAGCCGCCCCCAGCCGCACCCTTGGGTGCCCTTTGCATTTCTAACCACCCCTCCACCAAGAGTGAGCACTATCTGACTTTTAACAAACACAGATCAATTTTCTCTGCTTTTGTATTTTCTATCAATGGAAACATACAGTATGTACTCTGTGTGCCTGGCTCCTTTTCCTCCACATTAATTGTTGAGATTCATCTCTATTGTATGTAGTTGTAGGTTGTCCCTGTGTAGTATCATGTTGTGTAAATATACTACAAATGATTTACGCATTCTACTTCTGAGGGGTGATGGAGCTATTCCCAGTCAGCACCTGTTACAACTAGTGCTGCTATGCACATTCCTGGTCGTGTCTTTGGGTAACATAGGATCCGTTGGGATACACCTTGGAATTCCTAGATGTGCAATTTTTCGGCTTTAGGACAATCAGCCAAATTCAATTTCTCAAATGGCTGTATGAGTCTGCATCCCCACCAGCAGCACAGAGACTTCCAGTTATTCCACCTCTTCTCCTGAGCTTGGCTTTCCCACCTTTAGGATCAGAGTCCTTCTGGTGGGTGTGCACCAGTGTCATGTCATGGCTGGTGTGGTTGGTTTCTAATCCTCTGGGCAGAGGTTCTCGGCACATTGGGATTACTGTCCACACAAGGCTCCCCTCTTGTTATTGGTGCTTGCTTATTTATGCCCCTTTGTATCCCCACACCCCTACCTTTCCCCCTCCTCCAGCATTAGGAATTCACTCTAAGGCTTTTATTGTGTAGACTGGTTTGTGTGTGTCATTGTCCCATGTATTAGTCAGGGTTCTCCTAGAGGGACAGAACTAATTAGACAGATAGATGATAGGTAGATAGAAAGATAGATAGATAGATAGATAGTAGATGGTAGATAGATTGATCGATAGATTGATAGATAGATGATAGATAAAGAGGAGTTTATTAAGTATTAATTTACACAATCACAAGATTACACAATCACAAGATTCCACAATAGGCTGTCTGCAAGCTGAGAAGCAAGGAGAGCCAGTCCGGGTCCCTAAACTGAAGAACTTGGAGTCTGATGTTTGAGGGCAGGAAGAATCCAGCATGGGAGAAAGATGTAGGCTGGGAGGCTAGGCCCGTTCCATCTCTTCACGTTTTTCTGCCTGCTTTATATTCACTGGCAGCTGATTAGATGGTGTCCACCTGACTAAGGTGACTGCCTTCCCTAGCCCACTGACTCAAATGTTAATCTCCTTTGGCAACACCCTCACAGACACACCCAGGATCAATATTGCATCCTTCAATCCAATCAAGTCGACACTCAGTATTAACCATCACACCCCATGTGTGGGGTCTTCTTGTGTGTGTACATATATTTTTAATTGCATAAAGATAATGTTGCACACCTATCTCATGAATCATCTTGTGTTTTTCTTTCCTCCCCCAGCGCAGTGCTCTCAATATCCATCTCTGCTGCTGTGGGGTCAGATTCTGGGTCTCAGCCCAAGGCCACTCCTCTCTACACTGTGATGCTGGAAATGAGAACCTATAGTGACGTTCAACATTCCCAGGCTTGTTGTCTGCAGCTTCCTAAATTGTCTTTCTTTTTTTTAGAGACTGGGTCTTACTATGTTGCCCAGGCTAGACTTGGACTCAAACTCCTGAGCTCAAGCGATCTCCAACCTCAGCATCCACAATAGCAGGGATTTACAATGCACAGCACTGCACCTGGCCTGTGTCTTCTTTGCTCTTGAACCTGGCATAGCCAAGATACTTCTGCATGCTCTTCTCTCTGTTTGTCGCAGGTAGTGCAGTTTCCCTTTTCTAACTGATTCTGTTACGCTTCATAAACATCTAGTCCCCTGCACTCTAGATGCTGCATCCACCATGTGGATCTTTGCTTTGGTGGACACCCAGGCCCCTCCAATTCCAGAGATGCCCCGGCAATCCATTTTTCCGATGACAAGTGAGGTTTAGCATCTCCTTGTGGGGGTGTCAGCCTTTCCGTCTCTTTTCTGTGGCTTGCCAGTTTGTGTTTTTGTCTAGTACTGGGTAGGAGTTCCAACAAGCAGAAGGGCTGAGTGGGCAATGACAGGATCTCAGGGGAGAACCTCCCGCTGGCAGAAAGATGCATCCACATCCAGAGGTCCAGGAAGGGCTTTCTTGCAAAAGTGACCAGGCCTTTTTTCATCATCTTCACTGAGGCCAGAATTTACTGGGAATTGTTTGAACTGCTGCCTAAGGATGTGTATTAGGTTCCTGATGATAAAAGACAGGAATACTCTGCAATTATTCCCAGGGAAAACTACAGACCTCCTTCCATGAGCCCCACTAGATCCTGAGGCCACGCAGCAGGGCCAGGACAGGGCAGGCCATGAAGGTTAACCCGAAAAGGTTTTAGAAACCCTCCAGACACTCACATCCTGTGTTTACATATGTCCCACTTCAGCCAAACCTTTTACGTTCTCAGGACAGGCTGACTTCATAAAACCTGCCACTTGGTGGCTTTGCTCTGTATGAGAAGTGGAAATGGCCAGAAAGGGCACCGGCCGGTCCTGAAAGATGGACACACACACTCTTTCCACTGAGGCCATTTGTTTTGCAATTTCAGGGTAGAGGGACTTACTGGTCGTGATTGTTCTGAAGTGTGGGATTTAAACAAACTGGGCGAGTAGAATGAAGCTCTGACCACAGGCAGTGCATGGAGTGGGGATTCTGTGCTCAGAGTCTAGCTCAGGGACCTGCTGCAGTAGCTGGCCACCTAGGCCCTTGAATCCCCATTCAAGGGACAGGCCTACGGATGGCAGGGATGAGGTCGAGCAAGTGAACGTGCTTGGTAGCGAGGAAGCCCTTTGCAATTCGATTTGCTGTTGTTGCTGTTGGAGGGGCAAGTACCAGATGCTGGCTGGTCATGAAGGACAGATTCTTGTAGGGGGCAAAGCTCTGAGTCTCAGGGGACAAGCTCGTGTTGCAGCCTCCTCTCTGGGCTGTCATTAGAGCCCAGCATCATGGGTGCCTATAATAGCTTTCAGCCTCCAGAGAGCTGCTGCTATTCCTGGTGGCATTGATCATACTTGCCATGTAACCTGTAGTCCACGGGCCATGAGCAGGCCTCCTCCCGGGCCTGAGCACATGCCATCCCAACAGAGAAAAGGCACCAAGCTCCTTGTCCCCATCCCTCCAGAGGCCACCTGGAAGTGGAAGCAAACAAGAGAGCAGGCAGTCGTCCCTATGGGAAAGAGGTGGTCTGAGGGCTACCTGGACCCTCTGGCTCTTCTTTGTTGTCTGTGTCTCTTGGGAAACACAGAGGGTATCAGTTGCATGCAGAGACATCTATTTGCTCAGCATGGAGAGCTTAAGGGAGGTTGAGTGCTGGGTGCCATAAGGGGAAAGATGGGGACAGGGACCACATCAGTGCTGATGGACCTGCCACCTGGGATCAGAGGGGACTATCTCCACCTGCCATCTCTCCCCTTGAGACCTAAGCCCCTACAGGTAGAAGGAGGCTAAGAGACAGGAAAAACCAAGGTATTTCTCCTATTCTCACTACCACTCACCACTCACTTCTGACATTAGATGTGTGGGGGTTTTCCCTACACATCAACCAGTTCTCCAGTGGACACCAGCTGGGAGTCTTATAATTCGATTCCATTTTGACACAACCTGCCTATAGTTAGCAGGCAGGTTGGGATATGTAGGGTCATATCCCACAGGTTAAGGGATCAGTCCCACAAGACGGCCTCTTCTACTTCAGACACCAACCAAGCCCCAGGTTGTTTAACCTGTGCTTTTGACCCAGTGGCTATACATAGGGGTTCCCATGACCCTCTCCTTAAGTTTGTTTAATTTGCTACAGGAGCTCACAGAAATCAAGGAAACACTTCACTTACATCTATCCATTTATTATAAAATATATGAAAAAGGATACAGATTATGTAAGGATGTCTGAGGATGAAGAGATGCTTAGGGAGATGCATATGAGAGAAGGGGTATGGAGCTTCCATGCCCTCTCCGGGAACACCACCCTCCAGGAATCTCTACGTGTTCAGCTAGCCAGAAACTCCCCAAACTCTGCTCTTTTGGGGTTTCATGGAAGCTTTATTATGTAGGCATGACTGATGACATCATTGGCCATTGGTGGTCAACTCAATCTTCAGCCCCTCTTCCCTCCCAGGAGGTCCCATCGGAGCTGAAAGTTCCAACCCTCTGACCACATGGTTGGTTCCCCTGGGAACCAGCCCCATCCTGAGGCTATTCAGGGGCCCCCAACCAGCAGTCATTTCATTGACATACAAAAGACTCATCACTCTGGAGATTCCAAGTGTTTTATGAGCCATGTGCCAGGAAACAGATGAAGCCCAAATATATATTTCACAGTATCACAGAGGCACAATCCTATTCCCACTGAACACGTTCTCAGTGATGTCTGCTGAATGAAGCAAGGGCAGAAAAATTGTTGCAGGGGAAATTTCCTGGAAAGAGAGAGCAAAGGCCCCTCATTCCAACTGTATGCTCAAACAGGAGAGTGAAATAATCCCTCCTGGAAATTATGCTCTATCTAACCTGCAGATTCTTGAGTGACTGCAGGGATTCTGATGAGTGGCTGCTGGTTGGCTGGTTTTCTGGGCTTTGCCATTCTCCTCCTCTGGGTAGTGTGAGGTGGAAAGCACAATTGTAAACCAAGGTTGCCAGTCAGCGCTCATTTTTGGACAAAGGTCAGTTGTTCAGAAATTAGACTATTCCTGCCTCCTGTCTTAGCTGTTGGTGGCTCCACTCCACCTGAACACAGGGTATAGGGAAGTCATTTCAAGCCCAGTGATTCTGCAAATTGGAATGACTCTGACAGCAAAAGTTGTTTGTGCATATGTTTGTGCATTTGCTTAATTCACGTTTACCTTAAGAACGTGCTCACCCTGTGATCTCTGCAGAAATCCTGACTCTGGTGCAGGAGCCTCCACTAGGAAAATTTGGAAAATTTGATGCCCAGCATGAAAGGAAAGCCACCCAAGCCTGTGATTTCTCAGGTCTCTTTTAAAGCCAATGTCCCAACAGTATTGTCAACCTAAAATAATCAAAAGGTTCAGAATCTAGTTCAAAGAGAATTTATCCCAACAGTACAAAGTTGAGGACAGCCCACTTGGGAAGAATGTATTCCAAAGAATGGAAATCTGTGCTTCAAAGTGTAGTAGAAGTTTGGGATTGCTTGTATGAACAAAGCTTAGGGAAGCTTAACAGAATTTCAACATCTTTCTTTTTTTTTTTTTTTTTTTTTTTTGAGATGGAGTCTCACTCTGTCACCTAGGATGGAATGCAGTGGCATGATCTTGGCTCACTGCAACCTCCGCCTCCCGGGTTCAAGCGATTCTCCTGTCTCAGCCTCCTGAGTAGCTGGGACTACAGGGGTCTGCAACCACAACCAGCTAATTTTTTTTTGCATTTTTTAGTAGAGACGGGGTTTCACCGTGTTAGCCAGGATGGTCTCGACCTCCTGAGCTCATGATCCGCCTGCCTTGGCCTTCCAAAGTGCTGGGATTACAGGTGTGAGCCGCTTGCACCTGGCCTAACATCTTTCTATGGAAGGCTGAATGCATAATTACAACAATCTGATGAGCCAAAGTGTTGATAGCAGTAGAAGGCAGACAAATTCCTAGGCAGACAGGGGCAGGTCCCCAATGAAACCTGATCTTCAAGCCATAGACAGCCTGAAGCCTGAAAACCAGGCAGCCAGCTCCAGGTAGAGTCCATGACCTGAGTGAGAACTTCCTTGATGCTTTTATAGCCAGTCAAATGGTGCTTTTTCCAGGACTGCTTATGGACCAATCAGCACACACTCCCCCATTCTGAGCCCATGAAACCCCTGGACTCAGCTACATGTTGGGACTACCCACCTTCAGATATGGGTTACCCACTTCGGGTCCCCTCTCATGTCAAAAACTGTTCTGTCACTCAATAAAACTCTTCTCTGCCTTGCTGACTCTCCGCTTGTCCATGTAACCTCATTCTTCTTGGACAAGAACCCAAGACCCACCAAACAGTGGGTGAGAAAGGAGCTGTAACACTGTAGCCCTCCTGCCCTCTGCCATTGCCAGGTGGCCTCCCCATGTGACAGGAAGCAGCAGTGGGCAAACGAGCTGAAACATATTCCTGGCTGGCCCACCAAGTTGCAGGCGGTGATGCACTCCCATTCACCAGACTATGAGAGAAGAGCTGTGACCCTCTGGGGGCCGAGACCTCGGGACTCCCTGAGCCAGAGTTGTGACCCACTGTAACACCCGCTTGGGGCTCCAGGGTTGCTGTGTCTCCGAGTTTCTGGGAGCCACTGTGTTGCCCTCATCCAGATGCCAGCACCCAAGGTGGAAGCCATTCAAGGCACACCTGGTCCAGCTGCAGCCTTTCATGGAGCCCATGCCTGTGCTGGCACCTAGAGCTGCCCACCCAACCACAACAGCCGGCATGACTGGCTGTGCACTGTGGCCGGACCCTCTGCTCACTGGCTCACACACCTTTTGCCGCTCTGCACCTGGCTTGCCCACAGAAGGTGAAGGATCTGGGACAGTAGCAAGAACTGAGCGCAGCCCGCCAGGCTAAGTGGGAGGAGTGAGCCCAGTGCCAAGCCCAGAACCAAGCAAAGCCCGAGCAAAGGCACCACCGGACAGAGGTTTCCAGCTGGCAAAGCGGCACCGAAAGAATCGCCAGGGCTTTTTTCCTTTCAGGAAAAGTATATTTACATTCCACACTGAAGATATAACTGTCATTGAGATAGGAGTTTGCAAGGACTTGTTTCACAAGACACAGGTCACAAAGACCCTGCTGATGTGGCAGAGAAGCCAGTCCAAACCAGCTAGAACACAGACAGCTACAAAGGCAACCTCTGGTTGTCCTCATGGCTTATTATATGCTAATTATATAGTGCATCAGCATGCTAAAAGACACTCCCACTGGCGCCATGACAGTTAACAGATGCCATGGTAACTTCCAGAAGTTACCCTATATGGTCCAAAAAGAGGAGGAACCCCGGGTTTTGAGGATTCACCACCAGTTTCCAGAAAACTCATCAATAATCCACACTTTGTTTAGCATATGATCAAGCAACAACCATAAAAATAGCCAACCAGCAGCCCTGAGGGTTGCCTATGAAGTAATCGCCCTTTTATTCATTTACTTTCTTAATAAACTTGCTCTCACTCTCTCTGTCAGCTCACTCTTGAATTCTTTCCTGTGCAAAGCCAAAAAACCCATGTGGCCTCCTGGGCTAAGCCCCCGTTTCAGGGTTTACCCTGCAACATCATCAAGTCTTGTGTACCATCTGGTCTGAGTTAGGTACAGGACAATAAATGAGGCAGTCAATCTATAACCAAGATCAGTGATTGGAAGGTGGGTAGATCTGGTATCTGGTCTCTCCTAGTCAATTCTAGGACAAGAACAGTGAGTAAGAGAGTTAAGCTATAATAAGAAGCAGAATTGCAAACAACATGCTACGTGACTCAGTCTCCAGGCTTAAGTTCCCCCATGGTATAAAAATTTATAGGGCCCTGAAATTTTATTTTCTTTTACAATGTCCAGAGAGAGGTCGGAAAAAGAGGAGCCTCATTCAGGTGAGATATGTAAACGAGACGGTAACCTGCCAAAAACACTTGTTGCAATTAATATTTGTTGCTGCAATGTTGTTATATCCAGGGCTCTGCAATATAGAGAAATATTCCTAAATGATTTCCTTCAGTGCAGACATATAATTCTTGGTTCAACTCCAGCAGATGGTTATTATCAACATAAAGAAATAAATCATTCCCTGCCAAAGGCACCAGATTTCCTCTCCAGGAAGTGGTCATTGAGGTCTTCTTTAAAGGGCCTGTCTGGGTGCGGTGGCTCATGTCTGTAATCCCAGCACTTTGGGAGGCCAAGGTGGGCAGATCACTTGAGGTCAGGAGTTTGAGACCAGCCTGGCCAACATGGTGAAACCCCATCTCTACTAAAAAGACAAAAATTAGCTGCTGTGGTGGTGCACGCCTATAATCCCAGCTACTCAGGAGGCTGAGGTAGGAGAATCACTTGAACGTGGGAGGTGGAGGTTGCAGTGAGCCAAGATCTCACCACTTCACTCCCGCCTGGGTGACAAAGGGAGACTCCATCTCAAAAACATAATAATAAAAATAAATAAAGGGCCATGGTGTCAGAATGGGGCAGTGGTCCTTACAGGTTCCTCCAGCCCCACTCTATCTTCTCCCTCTGAGCTTTATCCCTGCCTGAGGCCCTGACTCCACCACCTCATCATATACCATTATAACGATGAGTTTCATGTCAGCCCAGGCCTGGAGAGAGAAGAACCAAACGCCTGTTGAATGAATGAATGGATGAATTAATTAATTGATATCTAAAACCTTGTACTAATACAATACATTTACCTGAAGATGATTATTTGTAACAAAATCATGACAACACATACATAAGGAAAGAGGAATAAAGATCATTACTTTTCTGTTTCAGAAAGTGAAAATAGAAAAGCAAAAAGAACATAGGAATGAAAAGTGATGTCTCTTATGCCTTATCACTGCAAATGTTTACCCAAAAAAACCATAAGGCTTTAATCTTGAGGATTTATTCCAGGTAAATATATCTGGAATAATATCAGATCTTTTACATGAAGTATAAAGGAGATATGATTTCTTATGTCCCTAGCCAGCCCTCTCTCTGTCACTCCACAGCTAGATAAGAAAAATGTTCTTCTTACCCTGTTGGACTCTCCACCTCCCTGACCCGCTAGAAAGAGCCTCTGGGTTAGACCCAGCTGCTGATGTAGCACCAGGAGAAAAAAATAAAGCGATGCAGATTCAACCAGACATGCTGCAACACGCTATGTAGCAAGGAGTTCAGAGACAAGGAGAAGGAGGGTGGGGAGCAGAGCCACATGGGCTGGGCCTCAAAAGGAGTGATGGAAGACTCTGGAGGGCTATTTGGGGAGGAGAAGCATGGGTTTTTTGTTGTTGTTGTTGTTGTTGTTTGGGCTTTTTTGAGACAGAATTTCACTCTTGTCACCCAGGCTGGAGTGCAATGGCACAATCTCAGCTCACTGCAACCTCCGCTTCCCGGGTTCAATCAATTCTCCTGCCTCAGCCTCCTGAGTAGCTGGGATTACAGGCGCACATCACCAAGCCGGGCTAGCAAAGGAGGTTTTAGATGAGTAGCCTTGGGTTGTGAAGTGGATCTCCTCAATTATTTTTCAAATGATGCAAGTAACAATTGGAGTTTGCTTTTTGCAATTATTACGGCATTCACTGAAGGCAAGACTGGGTCCCATGGGACATTAGATTATAGATGGGTTTTTCATGTGGAGTGGAAGGATATCATCCAGGATTTCAGATCTAAGATTCCTAGCTAGCTGCCCCTAGTTTAAAATCATCCTTTTAGGTCTTAGTCGTGGGCAATTTTTCCACCACTTCCTACCTCTGGTGTAAAGTGGTCAGATTCAACTGGGCACAATTGTTCTCATTCTCATACTCCAATGGCAAAGTCAGACAGATATTGTGGAAATAACTTTGAACTTGTCATTACAACTGTAGAGGTATTATAAAGGTTAAGAATGCATGTTTCACCGGGCGCGGTGGCTCATGCCTGTAATCCCAGCACTTTGGGAGGCTGAGGTGGGCGGATCACGAGGTCAGGAGATTGAGACCATCCTGGCTAACACGGTGAAATCCCGTCTCTACTAAAAATACAAAAATTAGCTGGGCGTGGTGGTGGGCACCTGTAGTCCCAGCTACTCGGGAGGCTGAGGCAGGAGAATGGCGTGAACTCAGGAGGCAGAGTTTGCAGTGAGTGGAGATCGCCATTGCACTCCAGCCTGGGTGACAGAGCGAGACTCCATCTCAAAAAAAAAAAAAAAAACATGCATGTTTAAAGCAGAAAACTAGATTCACATGGCATTTTGTCAGTTCACTAAATTAAGTAAAATTTTAAAAGGAGTCTTCCTTGTAAAATTACAAACATAAAATTAACTTTTCTCAACAATCAGGCAAATAGGCAGTTTAAACACATGCATGCAATTTCACTCCCTAATAGAGCCATTGAAATGACAGCAAAGGGATTTGTTTTTTTAATGATGGGGAAAACAAAAGAGTAAACAAAACAAAAACATGTTTGGAAGCTGTAAAAGCGGAAGGGGAGTGGAGGCTGACTCCACAGACACACAAGCGTGATCTGGGCCAGAGCTGGAAAATGTGAGAACCAACTGGTTTATCCCAAGTAATCCTCAAATGACTGGGAGCCAGTGGCTCCAGAAGCCCCCTTGAAGTAGTAATACAGGCACCTATAAGGAAGAGTGTGATGTGTTTACAAAGTGGTTTGATCTCCAGGCTCCCTCCCACCTCCACATGCTGAGTGATTGAACTTACCACCCCTGAGGTGACAAATGGGCTCTCTTGGTTGAGAAATACGTGGCTGAAAGTAAGAGTGCCAAAATGAAATCAGGGTAATTTCATGAAAAGGTATGATCCTACCCAGCTCCCAGAACACTGAGCCTTTCATCCCTCCTCCTGATAGGAGATAAGAGGATGCTTTCTGGTAAATGTGACAAGCCAGAAAGAGCAATCTTGCTAACAGAATGGCCCCAGCAGGATCACTCTATAGGGGAGCTCAGCGTTAACAAGCCCCACTGATGTTCTGCTAAGTCCCTCCCAAAATAAACAGGAGAGAGAAGCAACAGGGGAAGGGGAAGGGGAAGCCACTTGGGGTGAACAGAAACTGTGCAGAAAGAAGACATTTTAAAAATATGGTTAATATCCTTAGAGAGGTATGAGGAGATACTGCTTTCATGGAACTAGAACAGAATGCCATGAAAGAGAGATAGGAAGGGAAAGGAGGGAGAGAAGAGAGACAGAGAGAAACTGACTCAGACAACAAAGAACTCTTTATATGTATTAAAATCATGATAGCAGATAAAGGGCTAGAAGATAAATTTGAGGAAATCTCTCAAAAAGTAGAACAAAAATAAAAAGAGATGGCAGATAGAAGAGAAAAATATAAGGATGTTAGAGGTCCAATCTAGAAAGTCCAACATTCAAAAACTAGGAAATGCCGAAAGACAAAGCCAACCAAACAGAAGACAGAAAATTAAGAAAAATAACTCTGAGACATTTCCCAGAAGAAAACGAGTGTGTTTCCAGACTGAACAGCTCCCAAGAGCCAACAGGCCCTACGGTGAAAACAGAGGCTTGCTAAGGCATCATGAAAGTATAGAACAACAGGCAAGGAGAATATCTGACAAGTTCTGAGAGAGAATAGACCACGCTTGAGATGCAGCAGGGACCCCTCTTGGAGGCCTGCCACCCCCGACAAGCATGGAAATAAAGGAACATCTTGAGTTTCTTTAAGGGAAATTCCAGGCACCTACCCAGCCTTGAGAAGTAAATAAGCAACCTAGAAAACAAGAAGGTGACGAGAGCCTCACACAATAGCCAAGGAAGTCTGAGCCACAGAATGTTCGGTTCCCTACAGAAACTAAAGATTACACCTTAACAATATTCTTGAGTTGCTTTTCAGAAACCTGGACCATACCAAATGGAAAATGTCATCTACTGGCACATAGACCTCAGAGAAGAGAGAATTGAGGACTGAACTGTGACCACTGTTCTCTATTCCAAATTTCTTCCTACTAAGGGTCCTGGAGGAAGTCACACCCACAGGCCAGAGCTCAAGATTCCTTTCTGCTGACCCCAAGTTTTTAGACAAAGCTTAACCAATAACAAGTCAGAAAATCTTTGAATCTACCTATGACCTATGAGCTTCCCTGCTTCAAGATGTCCCACCTTTTTAGGCCAAACCAATGTGTAGCTTCCATGTATTCATTTATTACTTTGCATGTAACCTCTGCCTCCCGCCTTTAAAAACCCTTACATGTAAGCCATTAAATTTGTGTCTTAAGCCTGAGCTGCCTGATTCTTGTTGGCACCTCACAATAAATGCCTCACTTTCTCTCACTGCCATCACCATGTTAGTGTTTAGCTTTGCTGTGCTGGGTGGGCAGACCCAGGTCCAGCTTGGTCACTGATGTAGTTTGGATGTGTGTCCCTTCCCAAATATCATGTTGAATTGTAACTCCCATTGTTGGAGGTGGGGCTTGGTGGGTGGTGATTGGATCATGGGGGTGGATTTCTCATGAATGGTTTAGTGCCATTCTCTTGGTATTGTCCTTGCAATAGTGACTGAGCTCTTGCAAGATCTGGTAGTTTAAAAGTGTGTGGCAGGCCGGGCACTGTGGCTCACGCCTGTAATCCCAGACCTTTGGGAGGCCGAGGTGGGCAGATTACCTGAGGTCAGGAGTTTGAGACCAAAATGGAGAAATCCCATCTCTACTAAAAATACAAAAAAATTGGCCAGGCGTGGTGGCCCATGCCTGTAATCGCAGCTACTCAGGAGGCTGAGGCAGGAGGATCACTTAAACCTGGGAGGCGGAGGTTGCAGTGATAGCACCACTATACTCCAGCCTGGGCAACGAGTGCAAAACTCCATCTAAAAAAACAAAAAAAGTGTGTGGCACCTTCCCCCTCCCTTTCTTGCTCCTGCTCTGGGCATGTAACATGCCTGCTCGCCTTTCACCTTCTGCCATGGTTGTAAGCTTCCTGAGGCCTCCCAAGAAGCTAAGCAAATGCCAGCATCATGCTTCCTGTAAAGCCTGCAGAACCATGAGCCAGTCTCAGGTATCTATAGCAATGCAAGAATGGCCTAATACAGTAACCACTCACAGGGCCAGGAGTCACAGTGTAGTTGGATCTCTCAACAATAACAAAGAAACAAAAAAAAGCTATGAGGTGGTGCCTTCAAATCACTGAAGGAAAGTACTTCCAACCTAAATTCTGCACCTGCCACTCATCCAGTGAGTACATATAGAATGGAGGCTTTTCAGACTCAGGAGGCTTCAAAGAGTTTGCCCCCTTTCACCTGTTCTTAGGAAACTATTAGAGGATGTATTCCAACAAAACAAGGGTGGAAACCAAGAAACAGAATGACAAGAAAGAGAAACTCAATGCAGGAGAGAGCCGTGGAGCAGCCCGGGGATCATTCCAAAGGGTGACATCGGGTTGACAGATGTACCAGGAACATAGCTCACCAGAACCTATGGAGATGTTGGGAGGCTTCAGCACAGGTTTCTTCAAGACGATAGAAGGGACAGACCAATGGATGTGTCTGCATATCTCGAGAGGAAACCTGGATAGCCAGTGGAGGGTTCAGGTTAGACTACTTATAGGCGCTGTCTTTGTCTGTTCAGGCTGCTATCACAAAATACCACAGACGAGGCTGTGTATCATAATAGAAATGCATTGCTCACAGTTTTGGAGGCTGTAAGTCCAAGGTCAAAATGGCAGTAGCTTCTGTGTTTCCTAAGGGCCCACTTCTTGTTCACAGATGGCATCTGCTCACTGTGTCCTCATATATTAGAAGGGGTAAGGGTCTCTCCTAGGAGGACACTACTCCCATTTATGAGGGCTCCACCCCACCCTCCTGACCTAATCACCTCCCAAAGGCCCCACCTCCTAACACCACCATCACCTAGGGGTTAGGACTTCAACACATGGATTATACCGGACAGAAACATTCAGGTCATGGCAAGTACATAGAATAAAATACACACACAAAGCAAACAGCCAGATAAGATAATTCCTTTTTTTTTTTTTTTTTTTGAGACAGAGTCTTGCTCTGTTACCCAGGCTGGAGTGCAGTGGTGCCATCTCGGCTCACTGCAAGCTCCGCCTCCCAGGCTCAGCCTCCCACCTCAGCCTCCTGAGTAGCTGGGACTACAGATGCATGCCACCATGCCTGGCTATTTTTTTTTTGTATTTTTAGTAGAGACAGGGTTTCACCATTTTAGAGACAGGGTTTCACCATATTAGCCAGGATGGTCTCCATCTCCTGACCTCGTGATCCACACACCTTGGCCTCCAAAAGTGCTAGGATTACAGGCATGAGCTACAGCACCCAGCTTTTTTTTTTTTTTTTTTTTTTTTTTTTTTTTTTTTTTTTTTTGAGAAAAAGTCTTCCTCTTGTTGCCCAGGCTGGAGTGCAATAGTGTGATCTTGGCACACTGCAACCTCCACCTCCTGGGTTCAAGCAATTCTCCTGCCTCAGCCTCCTGAGTAGCTGGGATTACAGGCACCTGCCACCACGCCCAGCTAATTTTTGTATTTTTAGTAGAGACGGGGTTTCACCATGTTGTCCAGGCTGGTCTTGAACTCCTGACCTCAGGCAATCCACCCACCTCGGCCTCCCAAAGTGCTGGGATTACAGGCGTGAGCCACCACACCTGACTCATCAGATAAGATCATTCTTTTTTCTTTATTTTTTTTTTAAGATGGAGTTTCGCTCTTTGTTGCCCAGGCTGGAGTGCAGTGGTATGATCTCGGCTCACTGCAACCTCTGCCTCCTGGGTTCAGCGATTCTGCTGCCTCAGCCTCCCGGGTAGCTGGAATTACAGGTGCCCGCCACCATGCCTGGCTAATTTCTGTATTTTTAGTAGAGACAGGGTTTCACCACATTGGCCAGGCTGGTCTTGAACTTCTGACCTTAGGTAATCCACCCACCTCGGCCTCCGGAAGTGCTGGGATTATAGGCATGAGCCACCATGCCCAGCCCAGATAATTCTTAAACAAAAATGCAGGAGAGAAGGGTAATTCAGTTTACCAAATGGCTCAAAGATTCTAGATAGCTGGCAAAGTGGAGATGACTAAAACAGAGGCTCTTTTCAATCAAAATTAGCATAGGACACCCTACTGAAAGGATGGGGTTTTAAGGTACCTCCATGGTGTTTGTAAATTCGGCCTAAGTCAGTCCAGCCCAATAGAGCATAATTCTCCTGACTGGTGAGCTCTGTGTCACCCCTCTTCTTCCTTTCTCTAGGAATGTCTGTGTCTGTGTGTGTGTTTGTGGTGTGTGTAGGTTATATGTGTGGTGTATACGTGTGTTCTCTCAGTGACTGCCCCTCTCCAGTGCACAGTGACCAGCATTTCATGAGTCTCCCTGAGGTCTGCACGCGCTCCTGCAGGAATGCCAGTGGCTAGGCCTCTCCTGGGAGAGGGGAGGGCCCCCACCTGCCCCAGGCCTGATGGCTTGTGGAGCACCCTGGGCTTTGATAAAGATGCCCCAGTTGTGGGCTGAAATCAGTGAAATGACTTCAACAAATTCAGTGGACAAGACACCTTTGCAGAGCCATGCTTCTCAGATGTTAGCGCCCACGGGGCTCACCAGGGAGTCTGGATGAGACGTGGGCCTGGGCTGGGTCACGATGCTGCATGTCTTTCAACCCCTGCCCCATGGTGCCCACATCACACTGCCACTGCTTGTCTATGTCCACACGCAGGGTGGCAAGTGTATAAAGATGAAAAGCAATGTGTACACACGGAAAAAATAAAAAGGTGGTGACTTTAGGGGACATATAGATGGACTAAAACATCCATCATGGCTTTCCCTCAGGATGATGGAATCTTTTTCCTGATGTTCGTCCACAGTGAGCACGTATTGCTTCTGGAACACAAGGGGCACAAGGCACTTGTAGAAATAGTCACAAATTACACAGTTCTCGGAAAGAAGGCTGGAATACTTTGCCTTACGTCAAGAAAAATTGTTTGGGATGTTATAATATTAAAGTATGTGTCGGCCAAGCGTGGTGGCTCATGACTGTAATCACAGCACTCTGGGAGGCCGAAGCGGGTGGATCACTTGAGGTCAGGAGTTCGAGACCAGCCTGGCCAACATGAAGAAACCCCATTTCAACTAAAAATACAAAATTAGCCGGGCTTGGTGGCAGGCGCCTCTAATCCCAGCTACTCGGGAGGCTGAGGCAACAGAATCGCTTGAACCCAGGAGGCAGAGATTGCAGTGAGCCAAGATGGTGCCGCTGCACTCCAGCATGGGAGACAGAGACTCTGTCTCAGAAAAAAAAAAAAAAAAAAAAAGAATGTGTCTTCAGGGAGTAATAATGGTTCAAAGGACACATCACTCTCCCAGCCCTAGGTGACGAAGGCCCATGTCCTACAGGGCCAGCCCAGCCGAGGTGGACCCTGCCTCTCCCTCTAGTCACCCCAAAGCAAAATCTTCCAGCCCACAAACACCAACACAGTTCTTGGCAGTTACAAGCACGTTTACCAGGAGGGCCGTTTCTCTACCTTTTAAAAGTGTGTGGTTGTGGTTCTCACACACACACACACACACACACACACACGAACACTCAGTTTATGGATACTCTACATGCAAGAGATGTCCACCCAGTTCCCAAGAATGTGTGATTAAAAATATCATAATTAGGCCGGGCACGGTGGCTCATGCCTGTAATCCCAGCACTTTGGGAGGCCGAGGCGGGTGGATCACCTGAGGTAAGGAGTTCGAGACCAGCCTGACCAATATGATGAAACCCTGTCTCTACTAAAAATACAAAAATTCGCTGGGCGTGGTGGCGGGCGCCTGTAATCCCAGCTACTCGGGAGGCTGAGACAAGAGAATCACTTGAACCCAGGAGGCGGAGGTTGCAGTGAGCTGAGACCGCGCCATTGCACTCCAGGCTGGGCAACAAGAGTGAAACTCCATCTCAAAAAAAAAGAAAAGAAAAAGCCATAATTAAATAAATATTTCATCTCTGAGTTTTGGAAGAAAACTGCATTTCTACATGACTTATTTGGGGCACGAATAACAATGAGGTTAGTGTAAATGCATCCTTAGTCAACCCACAGGGCCCCCAGGAGGCTGGGTCTCAGTGGTCAGGGAAGTTAACTGACAGCGCAGAGGGTGAGGGAGATTGAAGGGACTAATTAATTAACAGCTTATGTCTCAGTGGCACAGGTTCACTGAGTATCACCCACTGGGCTTCCTTACTCTACTATTGCTGGTCCTACTGGTGTCAGCTTTGCTCCAAATTCTCAGCTGAGGAACCCAGCAAGCTGACCAGATCTGCAGGTGAGGACTTGGCTAGAGATGGGTATCGGTATTTTCACAATCCCAGCTGATTGGATAAGAATGAGGCTGGAAAGAAACAGGAAAGACCGCCAGCAAGAGGCCACAGGGGAAGCTGGGACAGTAATCTGAACCACTGACGGCTTTCACCACCATTAATAAAGATTGTTTACTTCGATGGATTATTAACTTTTAGGTAACACTGAGGTTTGATCTTGAAGATGTGAAAACACACCCTTGAAAATTTCATTGCTTTCTAGGATATTGTAATACTGTTACAAATAAGTGTAAAGAAAACAAAGAGAAGAAGAAAATTCCAAGATGACATATAATTAAAAACTAGCACCTGTGACAAATAAGACATATTTAAGCATGGTATTTGTCAAGAGACTCCTTTTCTTCCTACTGGCACCTGGAATGGAATGAGAAAGAAGGCAATAGACTTGTTTATTAAAGTACACAGCTTGCAAACTTTATTAAGATAGTTGTGAAAGCATACCATTAAAATAAACAGATCGCCAGAAAATGTTATCAATAAATATATTATTTTACCTGAAGAGACTTGTACAAATAAATGTCTTGCATAGATTTCCAACAGCTCAGTATGAACATATGAGGATCCTTCCTTAAGCACAGGTGGATAAAGGTATGCAAAGAATAACAAAAATAACTATAATACAAACAGCCTGCATGATCAAAATATGGAGTGTATTATTTCCTGAGCAATAGTTGCTTTTTGACCACAGCTTAGTGCTTCTGCTCTGAAATACAATGAAATCACACCAACAGAGGAAGGAACCCAACATGCTCCTCTTTGCCCCAGCGTCGGTGCTGGAGAAGCAGCACCTGTCCTGGCCCTCTGAGGTCCCTCCCACTTCAAACGGAGAAATTCTGGAAGATATCGGCCGCCTCCACCCAGTCCTGGAAGCAGGCCAACCCCCGTTCCCGGATCTGCTTCCGCCCTTTGTTGGTGATGACCTCCCCATTTTGTTTCACAATCACAAGCTTGGGGATGGCTGTGACGTTGTACCTCTTCCTCAGCTCACTGCAGGACAGAAGAGTGGTACCGAAGTTAGCACTCCCACATGCACATCTGAAGGGACACGCCCCCTCCCTCCAGCCTGAGGTACAGCCAACTTGGAGGAAGCCACCAGGTGCCCCACCCAGCCTGCTCCTGCTCTCCCTCCTGCTGGGGTGGGGGCTCCTTTCTTCTTGGTGCTACTATTTCTTTTTCTTTTTCTTTTTCTTTTTTGAGATGGAGTTTTGTTCTTGTCGCCCAGGCTAGAGTGCAATGGCGCGATCTCGGCTCACTGCAACCTCCACCTCCCACGTTCAAGCGATTCTCCTGCCTCAGCCTCCCAAGTAGCTGGGATTACAGGTATGTGCCACCACATCCAGCTAATTTTTTGTATTTTTAGTAGAGATGGGGTTTCACCATGTTGGCCAGACTGGCCTCGACCTCCGGGCCTCAAGTGATCTGCCCGCCTTGGCCTCCCAAAATGCTGGGATTACAGGCGTTAGCCACCACGCCCAGCCTTGGTGCTACCATTTCTAACCCAATTCCACACCAGAGAGCTGCCTGCAGCAGTGAACTCTCCGTATCTGTGCTACCCAATCCAGTAGCCACCAGCCACGTATGGCTGGGAGAGCTCAGAATGTGGCTAGTGTGCCTAAGGAACTGAAGTTTTCATTTTAATTAACTTTTAATTTAAATTTAAGTTGTCACAAGTGGCTAGTGGCTACCAGATTGGATAGTGCAGGTCTAAACCCACAAATAAACCCAGTAATTTTTTATGTCCTCTACATCTCAAGGGGTTGAAAAATATCAGGTACATATAATGGTAAAAGTTAAAATTCCAGCCAGGTGTGGTTGCTGACACCTGTAATCCCAGCACTTCAGGAGACTGAGGTGGGAAGATGGCTTAAGTCCAAGAGTTCAAGACCAGCCTGGGCAACATAGTGAGACCTTGTCTCTACAAAAGTTAAAAAATTAGCTAGGCGTGGTAGCATGCACCTATAGTCCCAGCTACTCGACAGGCTGAGGTGGGAGGATCGCTTGAGCCCAGGAGGTCGAGGCTGCAGTGAGCCGTGTTAGTGCCTCTACATTCCAGCCTGGGCGGCAGACCCCATTTCTAAGGAAAAAAAAAAAAAAAGTTAAAATTCCATGAGTTCTAAATACATCTAGAGCTTCACTTGACTTTCCACCCTACAAATTCAGTGATGCACCAATTGCCATTATCATGATGAGAGGTTTCTTAGCCTCATTTTACATCATTTACATTTACAGTATCTATAACCTGATGAGTGGTCTTTTTACAAAATTATTTGTATTCATTTAGGGAAACGAGCATCTGCCTTCTTGGTTTTGCAGTTCTCGTAATCTTCACTGGGATTACTCCCTCAAGACAGGGCAGCCGGGTGAAATCCCTTTCCTGTTTACCATGGCCAGGTCACCAGGGCCTCACAGTGACAGTAATCGGATTTCCTTGATCTGTCACCCTCAGGATTGTGAACCCGAGTGGAAGGAAAAACCCATTTGAGACCCTCCTATTAGCAAATCTCCCCTTTGACACGTCCCTCAAGTTCTTCCTGCCACTTTCTGGCATCCAGGTCAAAGACACACCATCACTCAAGCAGGAAAAAATACAGGGTCCCCTACGCTCAACAGAGAGAGAATATGGTTTATTTCCAAACATCTATGAAGCAGTGACAAAATCAATCATGTTCTCAAGTCACAAAGGAAGTATTAATGAATTTCAAGTGGTCAATAACATATAGATCACTTAATCAGACCAATGGTAATGGAATTGGAAACCAATAAGAAACCATTTTTGGGGCCGGGTGCGGGTGGCACATGCCTGTAATCCCAGCACTTTGGGAGGCTGAGGTGGGCAGATCATGAAGTCAGGAGTTTGAGACCAGCCTGGCCAGCACGGTGAAACCCTGTCTCTGCTAAAAATACAAAAAATTAGCCGGGCATGGTGGCACGCATTTGTGGTCCCAGCTACTTGGGAGGCTGAGGCCAGAGAATTGCTTGAATCCAGCAGGCGGAAGTTGCAGTGAGCCGAGATCGCGCCACTGCACTCCAGCCTGGGTGACAGAGTGAGACTCTGTCTCAAAAAATAAAAATAAAAAAATATATATTTTTTTGTTCGTTCGTTTGTTTTTTGTTTTTTGTTTTTTTGTTTTTTGAGATGGAGTCTTGCTCTGTCGCCCAGGCTGGAGTGCAGTGACGCAATCTCGGCTTACTGCAAGCTCCGCCTCCTGGGTTCATGCCATTCTCCTGCCTCAGCCTCCCGAGTAGCTGGGACTACAGGCGCCCACCACCATGCCTGGCTAATTTTTTTGTATTTTTTTAGTAGAGACGGGGTTTCACCATGTTAGCCAGGATGGTCTCGATCTCCTGACCTCGTGATCCGCCTACCTCGGCCTCCCAAAGTGCTGGGATTACAGGCATGAGCCACTGTGCTCAGCCAAAAAGAAATCATTTTTAAGAATGAGTTTTAAAACTAACTGTATGTTATATGGGAAATAGTAACGCAGATGACAAAGTATTTAAAACAAAACAATATGGAATATACTACAAATCCCAAGCTGTAAACACAATTAAACACACTTAGGAAGCTGTAGCCTTAAAAACGCTTATCCAAAACTTTAGTATATAGATGACTTATGGATCTAATTCAAGAAGCTAGAAAAATAAGGATGGCACAAACACAAAGAAAGTAGAAAGAAGGCAGAATAAGATTGAGAACAAAAATTACTGACATAGGAAATGAACCAACAAAAACCAACATGGGGTGACCAATAAAACCCAACCTGGTTCTCAGGAAACACTAAAATGTGAAACAAATCTCTACCGAGCCTGGGCACAGTGGCTCACGCCTGTAATCCCAGCACTTTGGGAGGTCAAGGTGAGAGGATCACTTGAGCCCAAGAGTTCAAGACATCCCTGGGTGACATGACAAGACCCTGTCTCCACAAAATAAAAAAAAATTAACCAGGTGTGGTTGCACGCACCTGTAGTCCCAGCTACTTGGGAGGCTGAGGCAGGAGGATTGCTTGAACCCAGGAGTTTGAGGTTGCAGGGAGCTGTGATCACACCACTGCACTCCAGCCTGGATGACGGTGCAAGACCCTAGCTCTAAAAAAAATGTCTACTGAGATTGAGCAAGGAAAAAGAGAGAATGCAGAAGAATATCAAAAATCAGGCCAGCCTGGTCATTACACAGGCCCAGTGTGGACTGAACCTCCTTGAGGGGACACTGGTGGGTGACATGACAAGACCCTATCTCCACAAAATAAAAAAAAATAACCAGGTGTGGCTGTGCACACCTGTAGGCTCAGCTACTTGGGAGGCTGAGGCATGAGGATCGCTTGAACCCAGGAGTTCAAGGTTGCAGGGAGCTGTGACCACACCACTGCACTCCAGCCTGGATGATGGTGCAAGACCCTAGCTCCAAAAAAAAAAAAAAAAAAAAAAAAAAATCTACTGAGATTGAGCAAGGAAAAAGAGAGAAGGCACAAGAATATCAAAAATGAGGCCAACCTGGTCATTACACAGGCCCAGTGTGGACTGAACCTCCTTGAGGGGACACTGTTGGGAGGGCTGTGGCCTTTCTGGGGCTGCATGACCCCTGCCAGGACAGGCCTATTCCCCAAAGAACCAATGGACACAGCCCCCACCCCGGCAGTCCGGACCTGCTCCCTGTGGTGTCCAATGACTCACCTGGGGAGGGAAAGGAAAAGTGGGAAAAAATAAAAATGTAAACTATTCTCTAAAACCTATCATGCACAGTGAAAAAAAGACACAGCAGAGACCACTCAGCCAAAACTGTATTTGCAGAACTGAGAAAGTCATGTCTCAAACACAGAGCAGATGTGAATTCATGTCAAACTGCAGGTTTAGGGGACACCAACTCCTTCACGAACAGCCATGAGTGCTCACAACAGGGGAGGCGCGTGTGGAACTCGGCCAGATGGAGCCTGGACAGGTCAATGAACCACAGCAGTCAGCATGAAAGATGTGGCAGAGATGTCCCTCTCTAGCATCTTAAGAATCCTGCACAACACCTATTTTTTTTTTTTTTTTAAGATGGAGTCTCGCTCTTTCGCCCAGACTGGAGTGCAGTGGTACAATCTCGGCTCACTGCAACCTCCGCCTCCCAGGTTCACGCCATTCTCCTGCCTCAGCCTCCAGAGTAGCGGGGACCACAGGCGCCCGCCACCATGCCTGGCTAATTTTTTGTATTTTTAGTAGAGACAGGGTTTCACCGTGTTAGCCAGGATGGTTTCGATCTCCTGACTTTGTGATCCACCCGCCTCGGCCTCCCAAAGTGCTGGGATTACAGGCGTGAGCCACCACGCCCGGCCGCACAACACCTAAAATTTAAAATGCCTAAGCAATTAGCTTTCCCCAAAGGCATAAAACAAAAATGTGTGGCCAGGTGCGGTGGCTCACGCCTGTAATCCTAGCAATTTGGGAGGCCAAGATGGGTGCATCACCTGAGGTCAGGAGTTCGAGACCTGTTCACATGGCGAAACCCTGTGTCTACTAAAAATACGAAAATTAGCCGGGTGTGGTGGTGGGTGTCTGTAATCCCAGCTACTTGGGAGGCTGAGGCAGGAGAATCACTTGAACCCAGGAGGCAGAGGTTGCAGTGAGCTGAGCCTGCGCCATTGCACTCTAGCCTGGGCAACAAGAGCGAAACTCCATCTCAGAAAATAAAAAAGAAAGAAAGAAAAAGGTGAAGAAACGAGAAACAACCAAGTAACTCTTTGCATAAAGACTGCAGCAAAATGGCCAGCAGCCTGATTTAAGCTCTTTATCCAGCAGTTTTGGCAAATGGGTTATTTTAGCATCTGTACTTTGGGCAGTGGGACAGGGCAGGGCTCGCACACGTCACTTCCAGAAAGGAAAGTAGACGGTCCGGCTGGGGCCAGACCAGGTGGGACTCTGTTATCTCAGGAACCTGGAACCTCTTCCCCAAGGCCATGAGGACTCCTTGGAGGGCTGCTGGTGGGTCGTGAAGGGGTTGGGATGCCAGCAGCAGCAGCAGCAGTATCTCACCTACAGATTCCTGAGCACCCCCAGGTCCGACAGCATCTGCACTCCTGACAGATTCCCAACTGACATGGGTCCATGCACCAGCCTTTGACCAGCACTGTCAGGAACAATATGGGGTCCCAGGAGCAGCAACACCAACATCACCTGGAAACTCATCAGAAATGCAATCTCCCCACCTCTGACGCTGGGGCAGTGCCCAAGATCTGGTGGTTTATGCTTGCTCAAGTTGGCCAATCCCACAGCAGTCTTCCAGGGCTTTCTGCATCCCCTGCACCAACTGGGAGGAGGTAGGAGACAGCAAGCGGAGAGGAGGCTGGGCATGGTGCCCCTGACAGCACGGGGAGTACAGGCCTGTGGTTTGCTGCTCAGCATCTGTGACCCTCCTTGGGAAACCATGTCTCCTTCATTTTCTGGCATGAACTAGCTGTGTGTCATGGGCAGGCTAGTTAACCTCCTGCACCTCGGATTCCTCATCTACACCACGGGAATAACAGAATCCACCTCCTGGAGTTGTTGTGAGGATTAAATAAACAGCTTAATGAAGAATGAGGCTTGGCACATAATAAGTACTTGATAAATGCTAGCTGTTCTTACTGTGTGGGAAAGACCCACCTCCAATTCCACCTGGGCCAACTGCTCAGTCAGCATATCTATCTGGTGGCCCCTGGCTACACTTAATAGTACAGAAATGGGGAACTAGCCAAATCAGAATCAATGAGGCGTGGTGCAGCACCTGGCTGTGTGCTGGGAAAGAGGAAAGTACAGGAATGCGCAGTCTGAGACACAGCAGCCATTCTGCCACCGTGAGGAGACACAGGATTTGCCAGGCAGCAACTGCCTGCAGCCTGAGCAAGGGGCAGACGTGGCAGAAGGCGAGCCACAAAGCTGCATCCTCCGTGGCCTCCAGCTTGCCCTTGACACCATCTTCTGGCTGATGGGTGTCTCATTAAAGCCAGCCCATAACCTTTACTGTTCAAGCTCTTTGAGTTGTTCTCATTGCTGCTGTTTTAATCACTTGCAACATTAAATCAAGCTCTAACACAGTCAGGGGGATGCAGAGCAGGCTGGGCTTTGAGGAATCAGGAGGGTGGAGGTGGTCATTTCACTGATATTCCAAGAGACACTCAGTACCAGCCCTCAAATCCCCATGCTGGCAGCCTCTGCCTGGGGACAAATGTAACCTTGGAGCTGCACATGAGAGGCAAAGAACCTCACTTTTTCCCTAATGTCATCTCAATCCCCTCTGGGCCCTGAGCTGTGTCCACAGAGAAAAGAACTTGCTTTTGGAGGAGAGAATGTTGTCATGGTAATAACTTAGGACTTTAAGCATTTGGGGAAAATCCAAGAGCCCAGTTCCTCCTTGTCCTCAGCACTGTTGCAACCAGCGTTGGTCCCTGCCTTCAACTAACACAGCCACATCCTTGTTGCTGGCATAAACCACACTTCTGGGTTGCCATGGCAACTCCTGACTCTAGTCTGTCATCTCAGCCAGGAGCAGGCTGTGGCCAAGCAAATCTCTCTGCAGAACTGTCTTTTGCTCACTTGCTTCAACTACTCACCAAACACACTCCCTGGGGATGCCAGGCACTGAACCATGTCTGGCTCTGTCCTGTGGGCAATGGAAACTCAGGAAACCCCCGGAGAGTTGGAGCAAGGCATGGCTAAACCGGATTGGTCTTTGAACCAAGAGCCAATCAGATGGGAACACCAAGGTCCTGTAGACGTAGGATAAGCAGAATTTAGGGCGTAGCTCCAACAATTCCCACAGAATATCCCACTACCTAGCTTACACATGACAACAACAGAGTTAAGGAAGTTCAGTGTGGAAAGGGGTAGGGACAAACAGCTAAGTTTACAAAAAGAAAAATCCCTCCCAGGCCAGCCAGGCTGAGAAGATAGGAGCACACAGCTGACCCACGTCACGCAGCTCACTGCCTCCAGCTGGAGCTCACAGGCTTGACCAGAGCATCAGAAACAGACGAGCAGTCTCCATGGCCCCAAGCGATGACCTCCCCAGTCCAATCTGTGTGCCGCTGGGGACCAAGACTCACCACCCCCTCAGTGAGGAAGTAGGGCACGGCAGAAAGAGGGTCCTCAGAGCCAGGAGAACTGAACTCTATGCCTCAATGGCACATCTGTAAAATGGGGCAATAGACTAGAGAGCTGGGACATAACCAGCGGACACATGAGCTCATATGTGATCAGCTCAACCCTGACAACAACCACGTGATGTATCATATGCTCAGCAATAAAATACCTTGCCTGCCATCACCTGGCAAGTAAATCCCAGAGCTGGGCCAGAGCTTTGTGCCTAATTACTATAATGATACTGCCATCGTCTCTCGCTTTCAAACCTGCGTTCTTTCAAAAGCTTACAAATAACTTGAGTACTAAACAAGTCCAATCCTGTTTTTAAAAGCACCACTTGAACTGATTCTGTAAGAAATCCTTTTGCAAAGTGAACCACCCATCTTGGAGATTCATTATCAATAGAACTTTCAGAGTCCCGGTGTGAGTGAGGCTCCCAGAAGCAGGTTACCCCCCTGGAAGGCTGGGCGGTGCCCTGCCTGGGCCTCCTCTTTCACTGGGAATCACCAAAAATCATGTTTGGGGGAATAATTAGATTTCTTCCCATTAATTACTCATCTACAAAACTTTCCAAAGTTAGCTTCCAGTTTTCATTTTCCAGAAGGAATGTCATCTCATGATAATCAGTTTAGGGGGTAATGCCACAACTTAATGATAATCTCCAGAAATGTGAGGCTGTAAAGCAAAACCCAGAAATTCACATTGGTACCTAGAAGGGGGTGGCCAGGACAACATACTTGACGAGGCCTGCTTTAAACCTAAGTCTGGACTCTTACACCATAGGAGACCACAGGAGACCCACCCCAAAAGCAGAACAATCAATCCCTGTAATCCCCTCTCTGCCAATCCCTACCCCCTCCTTTGCAACAGTTAGAGTAATAAAGTTTATAGTAATGAGTTTTATGCTTCTCTAGTGATGAAATTCCATCAGTGTCGGTAAAAATGAAACCGCAAAGGTGGCCAGCACCTGGGTTCCTGCCAGCCTTGAAGCCCCCGTCCCTCCCTCCCAGCAAACCAACCACGGCCTGCACTGTGGGTGCCTGTCACAGAGCTGATGTCCTCGCGGGTCATCCCTCATCCCCGCATCCAGACACCGGGTCATGTCCCTGTGCTTCCTGCCCACTAACTGGGAGGATGACGCAGCGGCGCCGGGAGTCCAGGGCTGATTGGGCCGGCGGTTCCCGGAGCCGAGCCCGCGAACTCACAGCATCACCACCACTGGGAGCTCCTTCGCAATGCAGATTCCCGGAGCTCCAGACCCCAGGCAGAAACGCGCCCGCGTCCATGCTCCACGAGCCCCCTTGGGGTGCCGATGCCCTGGGTTTTCGAATCTGGTCTGCACCCTCCCTGGTCTCCAAGAGAGGTTGAAACTGAGACTGAGTGTGATTTACCGGAGTCCGGACGTGAACCGAGAGACGGGGAGGTGTTGGGGGGGGGCGTCATAAAGAGCTCCCCAGTGCAGAGGGGGAGGCCTGGGGGAACATGGGGGAGACGTGCCGGGCGGCCCCCGCCCCCCCAGGACCCCCACTCACTGCCGGTAGGGGTCGTGGAAGGGCAGCGCCAGCCAGGCGCCATGCAGCTCGCGCATGAAGTCCAGCATCTCCTGGGAGCTGCCGTCGGCTGACACGAAGACCACTTCGAAGGGCGCGGGCCGCCGCGCCTCGGCCACCAGCGCCGTATAGAAGTCGCAGAGCAGCGGCGTGAAGTCGCGGCTCGGCGCGCACCGGGCCGCCGCGAAGTACAGTGCCACCACCTTGTTCTGCAGCGCCGCCTCGGCCTCCACCGTCGCGCCCTTACAGGTCACCAGGTGCCGCTCGCCCAGAATGTCAACCATGGCGCAGACACGCAGCCACCTGAGACCCGAGGACACCTGCAGGAGGATGATCACCTGCGGGGAGGCGGCGGCGAGCGCCGCGGTGCCCCGCCTCTGTCCGCACCACCGGGCGCTGGACCTCTCAAGACCTGCCCCAGATGCGCCCACACCTTGGCCAGGCCTCGCCTGTGGCTGGAGCAATTGTGTTCGCGCCGACAATGAGACACTCAGACACCAGAGACCCCAGATACCTGGGCGACAGCGCGGCACCCGCCTCTGGGAGCGGGGCCAGCCAGGCAACCTCAAGCCCTCAGGTCTCTGCACCCTCCCCCAACTGCGCCCCGCCCACACTCCTGCGCCCTCCCACCACTGCGCCCCGCCCACATTCCCCGCAAGCTCCCCAACTGCGCCCCGCCCACATTCCGCACTCTCCACCCACTGCGCCCCGCCCACATCCCGCACTCTCCACCCACTGCGCCCCGCCCACATCCCCGCCCCCGCCCCCACTGCGCCTCGCCCGCATCCCCACACTGTCCCCCACTGCGCTGGGCCCACATCCCTACACTCTCCACCCACTGCGCCCCGCCCACATCTCCGCACCCTCCCCCACCGCACCCCGCCCACATCCCCGCACTCTCCTCCAACTGCGCCTCGCCCACATTCCACAGTTTCCCCTCACTGCGCCCCGCCCACATCCCCGCACTCTTCTCCAACTGCGCCTCGCCCACATTCCACAGTTTCCCCTCACTGCGCCCCGCGCACACTCCCGCTCCCTCCCCCACTGCGCCCCGCCCACACTCCCGCGCCCTCCCCCTCACTGCGGCCCGCCGACATCCCGCGCCCCCGCCCCCATCCCGACTGCGCCCCGCCCACCTCCCGCGCCCTCTCCCACTGGTTGTCCAGCCCACATCCTGCACTCCCTCCACTGCGCCCCGCTCACACTCCCGCACCCTCCCCACACTGCGCCCTGCCCACACTCCTGCACTCTCTCCCCACTACGCCCCCTACCACATCCCGCGCCCCCGCCCCCATCCCCACTGCGCCCCGCCCACACTCCCGCGCCCTCGCGCCCCTGGGCTCTCCCGTCGTGGGCACTCTCCCCAGCGCTTCTACACTTTCTCCCGACGCAGCGCCCTGCCCTCCGTCCCGCCCCACCTATTGCCTCCTGCGCTTCCCCCACACCGTGCTCTTCCTCCTCCTTCACTTCCTCCCACTCCTCGCGCTCCCCTTCAGCGCCCCACGCAGCCCCTCCCCCAAAACCCCGCGTCGCTCTCCTTCCCTCCTGGCCTCTCTTCCAGTCTCGCGCTCCCTGCCGGGCCCCGCCGCAGGTGTCCCGCAGCCGTCTCCCCAGGGCATTTGAATCTTGCCTTGGAGCTCTTGCCGCGCGGCCCAGCACCCTGGAAGAGGCATCAGGGAGGATGGGACGACGAGGAAGGGGAAGGGTAATTGGGCTTGGAGCGGGCTTGGGCGGGGTGGTAGGGAACCTGAGCTCCGTTGGTTCAGGGTGTTTGCCCCTGACATCCTGTGGCCTGGCTGGGAGGGTTCGTGAAGTTCAGGAAGAAATTGGGAGCAGTCCTTACAGAATGTTTTATTTGAAGAACCAAGAGTATTAATTTTTTGGCGAGCACTGTTGTAGGCCCTGGGAATTCAGCAGTGAGAAAAATAATTTCAACTCCCTGCCAGACCCGGGCTAGAAGGAGGCAAGCGAGCGAGGCACTCGCATAGGGGCAAAATTTAAGGGCGCGACAAAAAAACTCAGTAGTCAAGGTAAATAATGTTTTAATACAATATCTTAAAAAGTCAAAATGAATGCAAAAAAAGTTTATAATGAACAAAATATCAAAAACTTAAAGACAGTGAATGAAACCAAAATATGCCATCCTAAAATATGCCGCTTTGGTATATTGATTATTTTGAGCGAGAGGCACTTGAAAAATAGCAAATGCAGAGAGACGTTCTCCCCTTACCTGTCTAAAGACGGAACCTCCAAAAGAAACTGATTGTCGTAAATTCCCTCCCGGGAGGATGGACTCTTATCACAGCAGAAGTCCACACCACACCTAGACAAACTTTGTCACAAACTCATAAAGACTTATGCATCTTTCCTAAAAATCAGTTACTCTCCCCTAAGTGGCCTACACCAGCTTCCAGTTCCCCAATTTTAGAAGCTCTCAAAGCTCACTGGTTTGGGGGGTTTTCACCTAGTTTCCTGCAATGCCCCCATGCAGGTGATATTAAAGATTAATAAATGTGTATTCCCGTTCCCCCCGTTCATCTGCCCGTTGGCAGTTAATTTCATAGAGCCAGCTATGGAACTGGGGAGGACAGAGAGAAGGTCTTTGCTCTCCTAAGACAAGATGGATCCCCCACTGACTTTGGACTCCCGTCACGTTCACCGACCCCTGAGTCCTGCTCCTGTGCCTGCCTGGAGCTTATGTTCTAACGGGCACAAACAATAAATAAGGAAGATATTTTGCAGGTGCTATGCCAAAAGAAGAGCCATGAGGAGGGGCGCAGGTTTTTGTTTTGTTTTATTTTGGTTTGGTTTGGTTGGTTGGTTGAGATGGAGTCTCGCTCTTGTTGCCCAGGCTGGAGTGCAATGGCGTGATCTCGGCTCACTGCAACCTCCGCCTCCCGGGTTCAAGCAATTCTCCCGCCTCAGCCTCCTGAGTAGCTGGGATTACTGGCGCGTGCCACCACGCCCAGCTAATTTTTGTATTTTTAGTAGAGACGGGGTTTCATCATGTTAGCCAGGCTGGTCTCAAACTCCTGACTTCAGGTGATCTACCCACCTCTGCCTCCCAAAGTGCTGGAATTACAGGCTTGAGCCACCGAGGGGCGCAGTTTTAATCTAGCGGTGAGAGGAGTCAGGGAAGGTGAAATTTGCGCTTCCTGAGGACCCGCCTGCCGGCCCGGGCTCCCCCAGTCTCGCCGTTAAATGAACGGAAATTGGCGGACGCCGTTGCCTGCAGGCACAGCCCGTCGGCTCGGTTGCGTAAATGTACTTAGCAGCCAAAGCTCAGTGGAAACCCTGCGGGAGGATTGATTGGCGCTCTTAGGTGAAGCAGGCTGTCAAGAGCCCCGATTCACTGTCCTCTGGGGAAAATGGATAGACAAATCGGAGGAAAAAATTGAGAGGAACTGTGAGCAGTATAAATCTTGCATGAGGAGGCCCCTGACTTACGTTAAAACTCAGAGGTAAGAGGAATGAAATGCAGCTAAGCTCTCAAAATCATCCAGACTATTTTGTTTTGTCATCTTATCCTTGAACACACAATGAGCCAAAGTAGACAGCATTCCTAATTAGTTGACGGTGCCACCCTCCCGAGAAAATTAACGGTCATTCGCATTAATACTGCCTGCCCTGGGGAACTCACCCAACCTCCATCCAGGAATGGATCGCACTTCCTGCTGCCGATGTCGGGGGCAGGGCGGCTTCCTAGGCATGCAGACCCTCAGAGGCACAGGGCCCTGCACTCACTTGGGGCTCAGTGTTCTGCGGTTGCAGTCTTTGTTGTTTTGTTTTTTGTTTAGAAACTGAATCTCACTCTCTTACCCAGGCTGGAGTGCAGTAGTGGGATCATAGCTCACTGCAGCTTCCAACTCCTGGGCTCCAGGGATCCTCCCGCCTCAGCCTCCTGAGTAGCTAGGACTATAGCCACATGCCACTATGCAAGGCTAATTGTTTTTATTATTATTATTATTATTTTTTAGAGATGGGGTCTCCCTCTGTTGCCCAGCCTGGTGATTTTTTTTTTTTTTTTGGATGGAGTCTCGCTCTGTGGCCCAGGCTGGAGTGCAATGGCGTGATCTCAGCTCACTGCAACCTCCACCTCCCAGGTTCAAGTGATTCTTCTGCCTCAGCCTCCCGTGTAGCTGGGACTACAGGTGCACGCCACCACGCCTGGCTAATTTTTTTATTTTTAGTAGAGACGGGGTTTCACCATATTGACCAAGCTGGTCCCTAACTCCTGACCTCGTGATCCGCCCGCCTCAGCCTCCCAAAGTGCTGGGATTACAGGCGTGAGCCACCGCACCCAGCCAAAATTCTTAATTTATCTTTGAATTTGTGTGGTATATGAGAGGTCTTGGACAGTGGCACATATGTGAGTGTTTGGACCCTAGCTCATGTGTGCTCCCACCTGCCACTGCCTCCCTACCTCCCCAAGACAGGTTCTTCTTCTTATTATTATTATTTTGAGACTGAGTCCCACTCTGTCACCCAGGCTAGAGTGCAGTGCTGTGATCTCAGCTCACTGCAACCTCCGCTTCCTGGCTTCAAGCAATTCTCCCTGCCTCAGCGTCCCGAGTAGGTGGGATTACAGACACCTGCCACCACGCCCAACTAATTTTTGTATTTTTAGTAGACACGGTTTCACCATGTTGGCCAGGCTGGACTTGAACTCCTGACCTCAGGTAATCCGCCTGCCTTGGCCTCTCAAAGTGCTGGGATTACAAGAGTGAGCCACTGTGCCCAGCCCAAGATAGGTTCTTGACTGCTCAATCCTCTCCTCCTTTTGGTGTCCTGGGCCACACCTGGACTCCCCATCTCCACCTCCACCCAGGAACCGCTAGTGTCCTCTGTGGTCACTGGGGGCCCAGGTGGTGGGGGGAAGACTGACGTCCGATGCCTTTGCCCCACAAGGTCTCAGGGTAGGTACGGCATAGGAATAGCTGGTGGCCTGCAGGGCCCCCAGACAAGGGTGAAAGTTGACATTCACCCTGTGCCCAAGAAAGTATGACATTCAATGGCAAATAAAAGACCATGCTAGAAAGAGAAAAGCTTTTGCATATTAGTGCCTTTGCTGGCACTTTCCTTTCCTGCTTGTTGAACAAGGGGCACTGCATTTCCATTGCTGGGGAGAGCAGCCCACTCAGTGTTAATGGAAAAACCAAACTCTGTAAACTATTTGAAAGAGGTTTATTCTGAGCTAGTATGAGTGACAACAGCCCAGGGAAAGACATAAACTGAAAAAGCCTTGAGTCAGTGGTCTCAGGGCAGTTAGATCGCAACTCTGTTTTACACATTTCAGGGAAGCAGAAGTTATGAAAAAGTCATAAATCAATACATGAAGATTAGACATTGATTTGGCCCAGAAAGGCAGAATATGTTAAAGTGGGGGCTTCCTGGTCATAGGTCACTCCAGAGTCTTCAATTTGCAATTGGTTAAAAGAGTAAAACTTTGTCTAAAAATTTTGAATCAGCAGAAAGGAATGTTTTCAGTTAAGGAAGTCTGTTAACCAAACCACTGGGTCAGAGTGACCCATGGGGTGTGTGACTTAATCCTTGCCTGACATGGACTTAGGTCCTATTTATCATTTGCTACCTTATTGTCACAAAGAGTCTGTTTTGTTAGTCTTATGATCTGTATTTTAACATTTATGCTGGTCAGTTCTGCCTAAACTCCAAAAGGGAGGGCATGTAACAAGGCATGAGTCCAACCTCCCTTCCCATTGTGGCCAGGAATTTCGTTTTTAACTTTTTTCTGGGATCCTCTTGGCCAACAGGGGGTCTGTTCAATGAGTAGAGGGTTAGGATTTTATATTTAGTTTACATCAGGGACCTGGGTGAAGCGAGTAAGCCCTCCAGGGAGGTGTGATCATGGGGGAACAGAGTCAGCCACCCCCATCCCAGATTCTCCTTGGACTGCCTGCTCTGAGCGGCTGTGTGTAGACAGCAAGGAAGAGGGGTCTTCGTCAGATGCGTGCACCAGAGACTCCAGAACAGCTCAGCCTGGCTCACTCAGTAAAGGGCATTCTCAAGGGTCATTGCTGACTCTTCCGGGGCAGCCAGTCTTCAAATGGACTTTCCCAAACCCCTTCCTATTGCAGAAAGCTTGTGTCATTTGCCTCCAAATGCTGTCCCCCTGACCTCTCCCTGGGGAGGGAGTGGGCTGCAGGTGCCACAGGATGCAGCATGAAGCCCTGCATTCTCCCACCGCTGCTGGAGCCAAGTTCTCCTTCATGTTTCTCTCTGCACAACACACACAGGAACACTCACAAATGCAGTCCTGGAAACAGGATTAGGTGGCCCCTACTTTCCTAGCTGGGATATGCAAAGCCACTTTCATACCAAACTTCCTTCCAGGGCATCTAAAGGTGACATGAGTGTGGGCATCTGTAAGCAGCTTTACTTGCCTTGGACAACCACAGGGAAACTGGGCAGTGAGTCCCACTCCAGATGCTGGCCGGAGAGACCCCAGTGAAGGCACCCTCAGGCCTGCCCTCCCTCCCTGAGCCCCTCTCCCCTCCCCGCTGCCCCTGATTTAAGGGTAGTCCTTTCTGCATTTCCTCCCGAGAGCACGATAATAACTCACTGCTTGACCAACTTCAGACAGACTCCTCCGGCACTTTTTTCAGCTAGGCCTCATCCTTGGACCCCGTGCTCAGCCTGCCTGAGCCAGTCTTAGCAAAGAATCCTGTTAAGTCCTCTTCTGCCTTTAGTATCCAATCATCCTGGCCTGCCTGCAGCAGGTGTCCTGTTAAGTTAGTTTAGCAAGATACCCCCCTACCGTCAAGGTCCCCTCTGTTTTCCATCTGCCAACCCCCCACCTCCACCCTGTTCCTGGGCTGTAAATCCCCACTTGTCCTTGTGTTGGGAATTGTGCTCGGCGCTTTCCTTTTGCAGTAGTGCTCAACAGAGTCTGTCTTTTTGCCTTGGATAGTGTTCAGTTCTATTTCTCATTAACAGTTATGAAGGGCTGTGACACCTTGCTTGGCTTCTAGTCTTGACATAGACTAAAAGGCAGAAGGTTTCCAGAGCTCACGCTGGATGGCTGGGCAGATGAGGTCTTCAGAGACTCTCCAGGGAGGTACGGCTCTGCCTTTCTACTCAGTATGCAAGCTCCCCAGACTTCTGAAGAGGGATGTTTCTCCTTAGAGAAAGTCTCCCTGAATGTGGGTATTTCATAAGTTCTTGGACCAGTTCTGCTCTTCTCAGTCCTGCTTTTTGTCAACATACATTGAATCACTTCTCCCTGGCAAAAGAGCAGCATGTGAAGAAAATGTGATCCTTGGTGGTTTGACATGAAATTGACTTTTTCTTCTAGCAACACTTATGAATATTCAAATACAATTATGGAAAAGATTTTTTGCACTGATCAGCATAACAAACAAATTAGACATCCCAGTGTGCAAATATAACTTTCTGAATTTCCTAGTTTTAAATATTCCAGTGGCCAGGATACCCTATCCAGAGGAAGCAGGACCGTCTCAGCTGACCAGGGCCCTTGCCTGCTAATAGCATCATGCATACCTTGTTTCTTCATGAGGCTGCTTGCCCGAGTTCCAATCCACCAGGAATTCATCTTGTATCATAGCTGATGGATCCCGTGTCTCGTTTCTAAGTTGGAGCATCACTTTGCAGCTCCCAACCAGGGCCAGCCACAAAATTTGAAAGGCCCAGTGCAAAATAAAAATGCAGAGCCCCTTGTTCAAAAAGCAGGAAAAGAATGGGCCAGCAAAGGAACTAAAATAAACGAAAGCTTTTCCCTTTCTTCCATGGTCTCTCTTTTGACCTATCATGGTGTTTTTATTTGCTACTGAATATCATGCTTTCTTGGGACAGGGTGAGTGTCAACTGTCACACTTGCCCAGGGGCCCTGCCGAGTGACTTGGTGGGTACACAGTCCACCAGCTGCTTGCATGGCCACGCCCACCCTGAGATGCCACGGGTAGTGTAGTAAAAGCATCTGATGTCAACCCCACACCCCTCCACACATACACACTCAGGTTCCCGCAGACCATGGAGGGCACCAGCGGTTGCTGGGTGAGGGTGGGGATGGGGAGGCCATGTGGGGCCCAGGACACCAAAGGGAGGGAGACGAGCAGTCAATAATGTGCCTGGGAGAGGTGGCGGACCAGCAGCAGATGGGAGCACACATGAGGCAGGCTCCAAGTGCTCACGTATGCTCCACTGTCCAATGAGGCCTCACTTACACCACACAAATTCAAAGATAAAATAAAGTTTTTTTTGTTTTGTTTTGTTTTGTTTTGTTTTGGAGACAAGAGTCTCACTCTGTCACCCAGGCTAGAGTGCAGTGGCGCAATCTTGGCTCACTGCAACTTCCACCTTCCAGGTTCAAGTGATTCTCCTGCCTCAGCCTCCCAAACAGCTGGGGCTACAGGTGTCCACCACCACACCTGGCTAATTTTTTGTATTTTTAGTAGAGATGGGGTTTCTCCATGCTGGCCAGGCTGGTCTCAAACTCCTGACCTCAAGTGATCCGCCCCCCTCGGCCTCCTAAAGTGCTGGGATTAGAGGCATGAGCCACCGTGCCCAGCCTGATAAAATAATTAAGAATGTCAAGACAGCAATCACAGAGCACTAAACCCCAAGTGCAGGGCCCTGTGCCTCTGAGGGGCTGCATGGCCACGAAGCCACCCTGCTCCAGCATTGGCAGCAGGAAATACAATCCATTCCTGGATGGAGGTTGGGTTAGTTCCTCAGGGCTGCTGTAACAAAGACAACCTGGGTGGCTCCAAACAACAGAAATGGGCTATCTCATAGTTCCAGAGGCCAGAAGTCTGACATCAGCGTGGTGCAGGGCCGTGCTCCCTCTGAAACCTTAGGAAGTCCTTGCTTGCCTCTTCCTGGCTTCTGGTGGCTGCAGCAATCTTTGGAGTTCCTTGGCTTGTGGCTGTGTCACTCCAATCCTAGGTCTTCACCGGTCTCCTTTTTATAAGAACACAGTCACATTGGGTCAGCGGCCCACCCTGCTCCAATGTGACCTAACTTTAACTATTACATCTGCAAGGATCCTGTTTCCAAATAAGGTCACATTTTGAGGTCCTGAGAGTTAGGACTTCAGAATGGCTCATCTTTGTGGGGGATGCACAACCCATAATAGAGGTGTGGAGGAAGGAGAGTTTCTTCAAGGGGCAGGACTGGGAAAGACTTTGTAAGGAGGCTGGTCCTTGAAAGAGGTGGCAGGAGCGGGGCCACAGCAGGTTGGGAGAGGGAAGAGTGAGCTTCTCAGTTGGGCCACCATGAGGGTGGCTGTCACTGGGTGCAGACAGCCGACCCCACTGTCAAGTTCTAGGGCTGGGCACACTGTTGCCCAGGAAGCAGGAGCTGGTCAAACCCCTATGGGGGTTTCCTAGGAGATAAACCCCACGGCCCAGGTAGGGCACGACAGAACAGACTGTATGGGGACAAGAGGTTCAATTGGCAGGACTCTTGGTAACACAAGGAAGGGTGGAAATGCAGAGGGAACAAGCCATGACTGTCTGCTCTGCAAACATAACTTGTCACATTAAAATCACCCACTCTCTGCCTGGGCGCGGTGGCTCATGCCTATAATCCCAGCACTTTGGGAGGCCAAGGCAGGTGGATCACAAGGTCAGGAGATTGAGACCATCCTGGCCAACATGGTGAAACCTCGTCTCTACTAAAAATACAAAAATTAGCTGGGCATGGTGGTGTGCACCTGCAATCCCAGCTACTTGGGAGGCTGAGGCAGAAGAATCGCTTGAACCCGGGAGGCAGAGGTTGCAGTGAGCCAAGATTGCACTACTGCATTCTAGCCTGGTGACAGAGCAAGACTCCATCGCAAAAAAAAAAAAAAAGAGGCACCTGAAAGATGCTTCGCTATGACATAGAACACATTTCTATAGCTTGTATTTTTGAAAACATGTTTACCAGATGCCCAGGGCTTTTGTTTTTGGTGTTCTGTTTTGTTCTGCTTTTCCAGCATTTTTCCAGCAGCATCCTACAGATATTTCCAACAGTCACCGTCACTTCATCACACTCCCCAAAACTAACCACGCCAGCTACTCCTAATGATGACAGCAGCAAGCCCCCTAGCCCGAAGGCCTTTTCATTTCAGAACAAAACCCTTGATATAGACACCATTCAGTTATCTGTTAAGCCTGACCAGAGAACTACCATCGCCAAGTCAGAAAATCACAAAAACCCTATAGTCCTAACCCACGGTTGAAAATTCAGTCCAGGTGCAGCGGCTCATGCCCAAATCTCAGCAATTTGTTAGATCAAGGCAGGAGGATCACTTAAGCCCAGGAGTTCGAGACCAGCCTGGGCAACATAGCAAGACCGCCCCATCTCTACAAAAACAAAAAAGAAGAAAATTCAGTCTTTAACGTAGCATGCATCTGTACGTAAGTGTGTGTGTGGTGGTGTGTATATGAGTGTTGTGTGTGTATGTACATGTGCATAAGGGTTATATGAGTGTATATATATGCATGTGTGTCCCAGCTTCCAAACCCCATGAATGGCCCCTCTAGGACTCGGGGCTAGGTCTTGCCCGCTCGTGGAAGCCTCCTTTGCTCCTCCCTCACTCTGCAGTCGCAGCCTGGCACAGTCATGGGCTCAGTCCATGAGAGGCTTCTCTCCCCCTGTAACAGGGAAGAGGTCACTCAGTGGGAATGGCCAGGGTGGTGGCTTGCAGAGTGCAGGGCAGGGCCCCACCCTTGGGTTATGCCTATTTCGTTTCTAGAGCCAAACCTGCTCTTGGACCTTTTTAAAAGAACCTATATACACCGCCCCCCGACCCCCCGCCATCCCCTGTCCCCTCTGAGAAAGACTTTCTGTTGCTTGGAGCCGAAACACCTGACTGCTGACCCAGAGGGGATGTTCATGCCCCAAGTCCTATCACATCCTCATAAAATGTATTATTTCTCCAATTTAAGTCATCTCCAAAGACCTCATTTCATGTGAGGGGAAATTTTTTTTTTTTGAGACGGACTCTCGCTCTGTCGCCCAGGCTGGAGTGCAGTGGCGCGATCTTGGCTCACCGCAAGCTCCGCCTCCTGGGTTCACGCCATTCTCCTCCCTCACCCTTCCGAGTATCTGGGACTACAGGCGCCCACCACCGCGCCCGGCTAATTTTTTGTATTTTTTTTAGTAGAGACGGGGTTTCACCGGGGTCTCAATCTCCTGACCTCGTGATCCACCTGCCTCAGCCTCCTAAAGTGCTGGGATTACAGGCGTGAGCCACTGTGCCCGGCCGAGGGGAAATTTGAAGAAAGAAGGAGCTGTACAAAAATTGTGTCAACAGGAAATAGCTGTTCATGTCAGGGTGAGGTGGGGGACTCCATTGACCCACACAGCTTTTGACTTGGAACTTTTTCCTTTGAATTTGTATCCCCTGAGTATAACCCAATAGTATTCAACTTTTGAGACCTGTCATTGTTTTATCATTTTATCAGAATGTTTGTCCATGTCCCCTCCCTCCCCCACTCCTGGCCAGTTACTTGCTTTTAAGAGATTTGGGCAGGGCGTGGTGGCTCATGCCTATAATCCCAGCACTTTGGGACGCTGAGGCGGGCGGATCACCTGAGGTCAGGAGATCGAGACTAGCCTGGCCAACATGGTGAAAACCCATCTCTAGTAAAAATACAAAAATTAGCTGGGCATGGTGGCAGGCACCTGTAATCTCAGCTACTCAGGAGGCTGAGGCAGGAGAATCACTGGAACCCGAGAGGCGGAGGTTGCAGTGAGCCGAGATCGTGCCATTGCACTCCAGCCTGGGCGACAGAGCAAGACTCCTTCTCAAAAAAAAATAAGAAAAAAAAGAGAAAGAGAGAGAGGTTTGATGAATTCTTAAAGGCCAGCCCCTGGGGTGGAGGGTACCATGGCTAAGATGCCTCCATGCCACACGAAAGGTCATTAGGGATACAGGACTCCCTGGGCTCCTTCCTGGGCCATTTTTATCATGTGCAAATGCCCAGGGTCTTAGAGGCTCACCTGAGAACACGTGACTTCACCTTAGACCAAACCTGGAGGCCTCAAGCCACCTGCATTTGGATGATGAGAAACCACCACGTTATCAGACTCATTCATCTTTGTATCAACTTCAGCAAAAAGCAATTAAACCAGGAAGCAGGGCATAATTCATAGTTATAGGAAATCATTTCAACTCTTCGGTACCCAAGTCAAAGACAAAAGGCAAGAGCTTTTTTGTGTAAAATCTCTGTAGCATAGAAAGTCTGCTAGACCTCCCTAGAAAGGACACATTCCAGCAGCCTACGCATAGACATTTTCTCAGGCCTCCCCATTTTTTCCTGATCTCATCCATGTGTTTCTTCCAGCTTTGATTGTAAAATAAAAATGAGATTCAGAAAACCACATAAAACAAACATACAGCTGAATGAGTTACCTTAAGAGGAATATCCCTGCACTCCTCACCCAGGTCATAAAGAAGCTTTTCCCCCATCCAGAGGCTTTCCCAAGCTCCCTCCCTCCCCAGGAAGGTGGCCACATCCTGATGTCCCTGGAAATCGCCCCCTCACATTTCTTCCTGGTGTGTCACCCTGGCCGCATCCCTAGACACTGTTTCTATCCATTTGTCCAAGTCCATCTCTTTCTTTGCCTTACAGTTTACCTGTTGAAGGTTCCCCTGTCGCTGGCCCTACTGCCCCACTCTCTGGTTGTGTTACCTGAGATCGCTCCAAATATTAATAATTTATACTCGGCCAGGTGCGGTGGCTCACACCTGTAATCCCAGCACTTTGGGAGGCTGAGGCGGGTGGATCACCTGAGGTCAGCAGTTCGAGACTAGCCTGGTCAACATGGTGAAACTCCGTCTCTACTAAAAATACAAAAATTAGCCAGGCGTGGTGGCAGGCGCCTATAGTCCCAGCCCCACTCAGGAGGCTGAGGCAGGAGAATCGCTTGAACCCAGGAGGCGGAGGTTGCAGTGAGCCGAGATCGCGCCACTGCACTACAGCCTGGGCAACAAGAGCAAAACTCTATCTTAATAATAACAATAATAATAATAATAATAATAGTTCATACTCAAATGCTCATCTCAGGTACTGTGTGACAGGGCAGGTGTCGCTTCTAACCAGCCCAATCCAAGAGAGCCTCTCCAACCACAGCCCCAGGTTAGGTGCCACCCACCCAATGTGGCCTAGGCCAGCGTCTAGATTGGGCCCTCAAGGACAGGACCAATGTCCTCTGTCTTCCTCCCCACTGGCCACACAGAAGGGAGGGTGCAGTCAACTGTGGAGCAGACAGGATTTGGGGTTCCGCAGAGCCACACAGCTGCGTGACCCTGTCCCTTTCCAGAGGGAGGATCTCATGGGCTGGCCAGGATAAAGGGGAGTTAGAGGCTCTTGGAGAGAGTGGGATGGTCCCAGAACCTCCTCACAAAAATGGACATTTGTAAAGCAGTGAAAGTTAAATAAATAAATAAGATGGGTCGTCATCTGGCTCTGCCTTTATTTTAACTTGCTTTGAGGATGAAAGAGTCAAACCCTGGGGAGTGACCAGTTGTCTGAGAAAAAGAAGAAAATGAGAGGCCCCTCGGGTCATCTCTCCAATGTATGACCTGGTCTGGGCTCCCCTGAATCTGCCCTGCTCCTTCCCGGCACTCAGGTTAGGAGAGGCTCCTTCTCTCCTTCTTCCTTTGGGGGTGACTTTCTGGAAGACACTCAACTGGCCTTCCTTAACTGATATGAGGCTTCCTGTATGTTGTCCGTGCCAGTAAACTATTTGACACTGATTTTTTTTTTTTTGAGATAGAGTCTCTGTCACAAGACTGGAGTGCAGTGGCGCAATTTCAGCTCACTGCAACCTCTGACTCCCTGGTTCAAGCGATTCTCCTGCCTCAGCCTCCCGAGTAGCTAGAATTACAGGCACGTGCCACCACGCTCGGCTAAATTTTTTGTATTCTTAGTAGAGACGGGCTTTCACGACGTTGGCCAGGATGGTCTCCATCTCCTGACCTCGTGATTCACCTGCTTTGGCCTCCCAAAGTGCTGGGATTACAGGTGTGAGCCACCGCACCTGGCTATTTGACACTTTCATCCCCAAATTATAGCTGTTGTAAAATAGTCCCATTTTTTAAAGAGAGAAACCCACATTCATATGCCTTTGGGTTTGGGTTTGAAGGATGCTCTAAGCCCTGCAGTTGCTGCAAGTGCACTGGCTCAGTGGGTGGAATCGGAAAGCTACTTCCTCTCTGTGAAGCGCTGAGCTCAGCTCAGAGCCACGGCCTCTGTGGGGGCACTTCTCCAGCTAAGCCACATTTACAAACTTCAGCTTTCAAAGCAGTCTCCAAGCCCAAGCAACAGGGCTTCTGGAGAGCAGCTCAGCGATGAAATCACCCCCTAATTAGCAACCTGAGAGAGGATTACATAAAAGACCCAAGATAATGTAATGCTCTTTTTGAAGGTAAAAGAGAAAACTCTAAACTGTATTACCTTTTTACCTTCTCTTCATATCAGAAATCATTGTGGGAAGCTCATTCCTCTTTCTGCGCGTCCCCATTCTCCTTTCCAATCAGCCCTCCTCCCCCAACACAGGCACTTACAAATTCTGGAAATATCACTGCTTTGAGAAAACAAATAGGTTGTCAGGACAAGCGTCTCTAAAGGGAAAATGGTTTTCCCTGGCAGGATGAAAAACATTAAATCACAAGAATTTCTGTCTATGTGCTACCACCTGAAATGGAAAAGTTTTGTTCATTCCACCAGACAAACAGCTGATGTTTAAGTCCTGACCCCGGGTGCAGTGAGGTCCTAAAGCGTATAGCATAACCATCAGCATGGCCCACTGTTGGGGGTATGGGGAGGAGTGGAGACCAGGACCCCATGGGCACTAGGGCCTGGGGATCCCGCAACCAGGTTGTAAGCACCAAGGTGTTTCTTCCTGCCCATTGTATAAAGAAAGACCATAGCATTGCAGTAAAGAAAGAGTTTAATAGAGACAAGGCCGTTCATGACCATGGGAGATGGAATTTATACTCAAATCATCTTGTCCAAAGCTCGTGGGTTAGGGTTTTTTTGTTTTTTTGTTTTTGTTTGTTTGTTTGAGACAGTCTCGCTCTTTCGCCCAGGCTGAAGTGCAGTGGTGCAATCTCGGCTCACTGCAACCTCCGCGCCTCAGGTTCAAGCAATTCTCCTGCCTCAGCCTCCTGAGCAGCTGGGATTATATGCGCCCCCCACCACACCTGGCTAATTTTTTTGTATTTTTAGTAGAGACAGGGTTTCGCTATGTTGGCCAGGCTGATCACCCGCCTAGATCTCCCAAAGTGCTAGGAAGGATTACAGGCGTGAGCCACCATCCCCAACCAAGGGTTAGGGGTTTTTCTTTCCTTTTTTGTTTTTTTTTTTTTTTTTTTTTTTGAGAGGGAGTTTTTTGCTCTTGTTTCCCAGGCTGGAGTGCAATGGCGCTGTCTCGGCTCACTGCAACCTCTGCTTCCCGGGTCCAAGTGATTCTCCTGCCTCAGCCTCCCGCATAGCTGGGATTACAGGTGCCCGCCACCACACCCAGCTAATTTTTTGTATTTTTAGTAGAGATGGGGCTTCATCATGTTGGCCAGGCTGGTCTGAAACTCCTGACCTCAGGTGATCCACCCACTTCGGCCTCCCAAAGTGCTGTGATTACAGGCATGAGCCAACATGCCCGGCCAGGAGTTTTTCAAAGGCAGTTTGGGGGAAGGGCTGTGGGTGGCTGCTGATTGGCTGAGGTGGAGATGAAATCATAGCAGGTGGAAGCTGCCCTCCTGCGAGCTCAATAGCTTCTGGTGGGCCACAGGAGTGGGGTTGGTAGGTCCAGGTGGAACCATAGATGTCAGACATGAAGATAAAACTGAAAAGATATCTTAGGTTCTACAACAGTGATATTATTTGCAGGAGTAATTGGGGAAGTTGCATATCTTAAAACCTCAAGAATAATGGCTGACAATCGTTTATGTCTGCGCCTTAGCAGGACGCAGGCTCCTCTCCACCTCCCAGCCTGATGGCCTCCCATTAGCTTTACAAAAGCGGTTGAATTTGGGGGGAGACCTATTAACACTATATCCTAAAAGTCTCTCAAAGTTAGCTCAGCCCAATAACCCAGGAATAATTAAGGGGAAGGCAAGACGCAGGGTGGGTTAGCTCAGATCTCTTTCACTGTCATACTTTTCTCACTGATACAATTTTTGCAAAAGCAGTTTCAAGATCATAGCAAGGGGCAGAAACCAGCTCCGCCCCACATCTGAGCCCCCAAAGGAATTCAGGTCGGGAGTCAGCATCCACGGCCAGGGTCACTGGAGAATTCAGGCTCAGAAATCCTGCACATGGGTGTCTAAACATCTGTGGCTGACTTTAGTTCTTATGGAACTGAAGACTTTTCTGAAGGGGAAAGAGGCCCCATAGTGGGTAACCAGCCCCTATTCTGTGCTTCTGCTGAGACGGCCCCTGGATGCCAGTGATCAGGCCAGAATTGGGATCCACTAGTAGGGACATCCTGTCACCAGAAAGCAGGGATGTTCCTGAATATTCCATGATCCCTTTCCTGATGGCTGTGTCTAACCCACGTTTTCTCTACTCTTAGATCCAAGCAAGGGATTGGCTACCTGCCCCCCACAAGATATTTTATTCACCTGACACGTCTTCTCAATTGAGATGAGCCCTTTTTTAACCATCCATAAACACATTCATGCACCATATGTTTCCGCCAACTACAGACGACATAGACAACGGTGGTCCCCTAAGATTATGATACCGTATTTTTACTGTGCCTTTCTATGTTTAGATATGATAGATACACACTTACCACTGTGCTCCAACTGCCTACAGTATTGAGTACGTCACACACTGTACAGTTTTGTAGCCTAGGAGCAATAGGCTTTATCATATGGCCTCCTAGGTGAGTAGGAAGCCATACCATCTAGGTTTGTGTGAGTACACTCCATGATATTCACAGGATGACAAAATCGCCTAGCACCACATTTCTCTGAACATATTCCTGTCTGCCGGGCATGGTGGCTCATGCCTGTAATCCCAGCACTTTGTGAGGCTGTGGTGAGTGGATCATCTGAGGTCAGGAGTTCAAGACCAGCCTGGCCAACATGGTGAAACCTCATCTCTGCTTACAAAATAAAACATTAAAAAATAAATAAATAAATTAGCATGGCCAGGTGTGGTGGCTCACGCCTGTAATCCCAGCATTTTGGGAGGCCGAGGTGGGCGGATCACCTGAGGTTGGGAGTTTGAGACCAGCCTGACCAACATGTAGAAGCCCCATCTCTACTAAAAATACAAAATTAGCCAGACATGGTGGCACATGCCTGTAATCCCAGCTACTTGGGAGGCTGAGGCAGGAGAATCGCTTGAACCCAGGAGGCGGAGGTTGCGGTGAGCCAAGACGGCACCATTGCACTCCTGCAGCCTGGGCAACAAGAGCGAAACTCCATCACAAAATAAATAAATAAATAAATTAGCTGGGCATGGTGGTGCAACGCCTGCAGTTCCAACTACTTAAGAGACTGAGGCAGGAGAATCACTTGCACCCAGGAGGCAGAGGTTGCAGTGAGGGGAGATTGCGCCATTGCACTCCAGCCTGGGCGACGGAGCAAGACTGCCTCAAAAAAAAAAAAAAAAAAACCACCAAAAAAAGCACATATTCCTGTCATTAACTGACACATGACTGCTCCAGTATGTTATCTCTAAACATATAAGACTCTTTTAAAAAATTTAACTACAGTGCCATTACCACACCTACTAAAAAGTAAAATAATTCTTTAATAACATCCAGTGGCAAAGTAGGTTGCAGTTTACTCAATGGCAATTCCTCATGTTCAAATTCTCCCAAGTTTCAAAGGTTAAAAGGTTAAAAAGTCTTTTTTTTTTACACTTGGTTTGCTCAAGTGAGGACCCAAAGAAAACCACTCATTAAATGTGGTTGGTTGAACAAACATATGAAAAAAGTCATCATCACTGATCATTAGAGAAATGCAAATCAAAACCACAATGAGATACCATCTCACGCCAATTTGAATGGCGATCATTAAAAAGGCAGGAAACAACAGATGCTGGAGAAGATGTGGAGAAATAGGAATGCTTTTACACTGTTGGAGGGAGTGTAAATTAGTTCAGCCATGGTGGAAGACAGTGTGGCGATTCCTCAAGGATCTAGAACTAGAATTACCATTTGACCCAGCAATCCCATTACTGGATATATACCCAAAGGATTATAAATAATTCTACTATAAAGACACACGCACACGTATGTTTATTGTGGTACTGTTCACAATAGCAAAGACTTGGAACCAACCCAAATGCCCATCAATGATAGACTGGATAAAGAAAAGGTGGCACATATATACCATGGAATACTGTGCAGCCATGAAAAAGGATGAGTTCATGTCCTTTGCAGGGACATGGATGAAGCTGGAAACCATCATTCTCAGCAAACTAACACAAGAACAAAAAACCAAACACCGCATGTTCTCACTCAAAAGTGGGAACTGAACAATGAGAACACATGGACACAGGGAGGGGAACATCACACACTGGGGCTTGTCGGGGGGTGGGGGACTAGGGGAGGGATAGCATTAGGAGGAATACCTAATGTATATGACGGGTTGATGGGTGCCACAAACTACCATGGCATGTGTATACTTATGTGACAAACCTGCACATTCTGCACATGTACCCCAGAACTTAGAGTATAAAAAAAAAAAGTGGTTGGCTAGGTTGGGTTCACACCTGTAAACCCAACACCTTGAGAGGCCAAGGTGGGCGGATCATTTGAGGTCAGGAGTTCAAGACCAGCCTGGTGTGGTGGCGCATGCCTGTAGTCCCAGCTACTCAGGAGGCTGAGGCGGGAGAATGGCTTGAACTTGGGAAGCAGAGGTTGCAGTGAGACTGCACCAATGCACTCCAGCCTGGGTGACTGACTGAGACCCTGTCTCAAAAAGAAAGAAAGGAAGGAAGGAGGGAGGGAGGGAAGGAAGGAAGGAAGGAAGGAAGGAAGGAAGGAAGGAAGGAACAAAATGTGGTTGATCAGTCTCCAGGCCTCTTTCAATGTATTAAAGCCTCCCCCGCTACTTTTCCCCATACTGTTTACTCACTGAAGAAGCCGAGTTGTTTAGCTTAGAGAAGTTTCCAGTCTGGATTTGGCAGATGGTTTACTTGTGGTGTCATTAATTTATCCCTCCATGCCTGGTTTCCTGTAAGACATTGGTTTAAACTAGAGGGTCGGCCGGCATGGTGGCTCACGCCTGTAATCCCAGCACTTTGGGAGGCTGAGGCAGGTGGATCACCTGAGGTTGGGAGTTTGAGACCAGCCTGGCCAACATGGAGAAACCCCGTCTCTACTAAAAATAAAAAATGAGCCGGGCATGGTGGTGCATGCCTGTAGTCCCAGCTACTCGGGAGGCTAAGGCAGGAGAATTGCTTGAACCCAGTGGGTGGAGGTTGCTGTGAGTAGAGATTGCGCCATTGCACTCCAGCTCTGGGCAACAAGAGCGAAACTCCATCTCAAAAAAAATTAAAATTTAAATTAAAAAAATAAACTAGAGGGTTGATTTTTTTTTTCTTTTATTGGTGAGCTACCTCTTAGGTGATGCTGAGTGCTTCCCACAGCATCGCTTCCATCAAAACTGATCAGTGGTTTCAGGTGTTGTCAACCTGCTCTGTCCTTTAAAAGTTTTCCTCAAAATTTCACCTACGGCTTTAGCATCCACTGATTATTTTTGTCTCAATCTGTTACTTCAGCCTGTTTAACATGGTGACTTCCTAATCCAATCCTCCCTTTAGCTTTCTGCACTGACATTTTTCCATAAAGAAGACCTTTCCCTCCTCTGGTATGGTTTCCCTGAGGTGCCGTTCATGCAGAAAAAGCTGGATACATGTTTGACTCTTTATGGATTTTCAAAATGAGTGACACCCACCAACCTTGAAAGGGAGCTAATGCATTTTATTAAATATTTTTATTAATACATATGGCATTTTATAAATTTGATGTGCTTTGATCCATTGTAGCAGTTTTTCTTTCTAATGTTCAAATCATTTCTTTGGCCAGTAGGACTCCTTTCAAATTAGCTGTGTCCTTCTAAAATGACCCAGAGCCGGGCGCAGTTGTTCATGCCTGCAATCCCAGCACTTTGGGAGGCCAAGGCAGACAGATCACAAGGTTAGGAGTTTGAGACCAGCGTGGCCAACATGGTGAAACCCCTTCTCTACTAAAGATACAAAAAATTAGCCGGGCATGGTGGGACGCACCTGTAATCCCAGCTACTCGGGAGGCTGAGGCAGGAGAATTGCTTGAACCCGGGAGGTGGAGGTTGCAGTGAGCCAAGATCATGCCAGTGCACTCCAGCCTCAGTGACAGGGCGAGACTCCATCTCAAAAAAATAAATAAATAAATAATAATAAATAAATAAAATGACCCTCGTAGTTTTTGTTGTTTGGCACAAAATGTGCCCCAGGTTTGTCTTGTGCATTTCCTGCCCCAGACTGGAATCAGCCATTGCTCCAAAGAGCCCTACTCTTTTTTTAGAGGAATACGGTATTTAGCAACCAAATCATTAGAGAATTAGAAGTGTTACATGACAGAGGTCCCCATCCAGACCCCAAGAGAGGGTTCCTGGGTCTCATGTAAGAAAGAATTCAGGGCGAGTCCACAGTGCAAAGTGAAAGCAAGTTTGTTAAGAAAGTAGAGGAATAAAAGAACGGCTACTCCAATGGCTGGGCGCAGTGGCTCATGCCTGTAATCCCAGCATTTTGGAAGGCTGAAGTGAGCGGATCGCAAGGTTAGGAGATCGAGACCAGCCTGACCAACATGATGAAACCCCATCTCTACTAAAGATACAAAAATTAGCTGGGTGTGGTGGCACGCCTGTAATCCCAGCTACTTGGGAGACTGAAGCAGGAGAATGTCTTGAACCTGGGAAGCGGAGGTTGCAGTGAGCCAAGATCATGCCACTGCACTCCAGCCTGGGCAACAAAAGCAAAATCTGTCTCAAAAAAAAAAAAAAAAAAAAAAGAATTGCTGCTCCATAGACAGCGCAGCCCCGAGGGCTGCTGGTTGCCCATTTTTATAGTTATTTTTTGATGATATGCTAAACAAGGAGTGGATTATTCATGCCTCCCCTTTTTAGGCCATATAGGGCAACTTCCTGATGTTCCATGGCATTTGTAAATGCCACGGCGCTGGTGGGAGCGTAGCAGTGAGGATGACCAGAAGTCACTCTCGTAGCCATTTTGGTTTTAGTGGGTGTCAGGCCTCTGAGCCCAAGCCTGCACGTATACAACCAGATAGCCTGAAGCAACTGAAGAATCACAAAAGAAGTTAAAATGGCCAGTTCCTGCCTTAACTGATGACATTACCTTGTGAAATTTCTTCTCCTGGCTCAGAAGCTCCCCCACTGAGTACCTTGTGACCCCTGCCCCTGCCCGCCAGGGAACAACCCCCTTTGACTGTAATTTTCCACTACCTACTCAAATCCTATAAAACTGACCCACCCCTAGCTCCCTTTGCTGACTCTCTTTTCGGACTCAGCCCACCTGCACCCAGGTGATTAAAAAGCTTTATTGCTCACAGAAAGCCTGTTTGGTGGTCTCTTCACACGGATGCACGTTGACAGTGGGTTTCGGCCGGCTCCTTTACTGCAAGCTGTTTTATCAGCAAGGCCTTTGTGACCTGTATTTTGTGCTGACCTCCTATCTTATCCTGTGACTCAGAATGCCTTAACCATCTGGGAATGCAGCCCAGTAGGTTTCAGTCTTATCTCACCCAGCTCCTGTTTAAGATGGAGTTGCTCTGGTTCACGCACCTCTGACAGAAGTGCTCATTGCTACTGGGTTATCATGGCTTCTAAGTGTTTTCATGGCCAGAACTAGGAAACATTTATGTTGTAAAAAGAGAAAAATAAATCCTGAGTTCATTCTGATATTTCTAACTCAGATCTAAAATTATAGAGGTTTTATTAAACTTAATTTCTTTCTTTTTTTTTTTTTTTTTTTTTTTGAGACAGGGTCTTACTCTGTTGCCCAGGCTGGAGTGCAGTGGCGCAATCTTGGCTCACTGCAACCCCCACCTCCCGGGTTCAAGTGATTCTCCTGCCTCAGCCTACTGAGTAGCTGGGACTACAGGCACATGCCACCATGCCCGGCTAATTTTTGTATTTTTAGTAGAGACGGGATTTCACTAAGGGAGGAGACCACCCCTCATATTGTCTTATGCCCAATTTCTGCCTCCAAAGAAAGAAGAAGTAAAAACTAAAAGGCAGAAATGAAATCCACAAGCAGACAGCCTGGTGCCACACCCTGGGCCTGGTAGTTAAAGATCGACCCCTGACCTAACCAGTTATGTTATCTATAGATTCCAGATATTGTATGGAAAAGCACTGTGAAAATCCCTGTCCTGTTCTCTTCTGTTCTAATTACCAGTGCCTGCAGCCCCCAGTCACGTACCCCCTGCTTGCTCAATGGATCACGACCCTCTCACGCGGACCCCCTTAGAGTTGTGAGCCCTTAAAAGGGGCAGGAATTGCTCTCTCGGGGAGCTTGGTTGTTGGAGACATGAGTCTTGCCAAAGCTCCCAGCCGAATAAAGCCCTTCCTTCTTTAACTCAGTGTCTGAGGGGTTTCGTCTGTGGCTTGTCCTGCTACATCACCATGTTGGCCAGCCTGGTCTCAAACTCCTGACCTCAGGTGATCCACCTGCCTCAGCTTCCCAAAGTGCTGGGATTACAGGCATGAGCCACCACGCCTGGCTCTAAACTTAAAATTTTATACCTGTATCTGTCTTCTTTTACACTGTAAAGTTTTGTTCTAAATGATCAAAAATTACTGATTTATTTTATTCTACAGTATAAATGTAATAGTTTCCAAATAACAATAGCAATCTTACTACTAAAATTAAGTCATTGGAATAAAACTTAAAATTTCTTTGTGGTTCTTTAGTCCTTAGGATCTATCCTACTGCAGATCAAAATATTGTTTTCAAGAGATAAGACTTTAGAAATCTTTTACTTAAAAAAAAATCTAACCCAACTGAATTAAAAACTTTAAAATGCTTTTACTCATTTATTCTTCCCCTACACCTTCTCCTCAACCCTTAGGTTCAAATCCTTCATTCTCTATAAACAAAGATGTTCAAAGGCTATTAGCACCTCTGTTTATAAGTAACAGGAACATAAGAGGTACCCCTAGACTGTCACTATTCACTTGGCATCAAGAAAATCTTAGCCTCATGGAATGAATTGGAAACTGCCTTTGCAGAAATTATAACTGAGAAAGTTATGACAGTGAAAAAGATCTGACCTAATCTAATCTATCTTGCTTCTAACCTCTAAGTTGTCCTTGTTCAATCCTGGGAGAAGGCTGAACTAACTTTGGGAGGAATTTAGTTTATAGTTCAACTTTGAAACAAAGAAGATAATAGTACTTTCCCCAAATAAACCCCCTTCTTGCCTGGGTACCAGTCTGCCTTTGTAGGACTAACAAATTAAGCTACAAAATTAGAAATTGCAGTTTAGAAGCCAGGCAGCCTCCAGCTGCAATGTCGGACCCTCCACAAATTGCTCTTGGGATGTTAATCACTGTTGTAAAACCTAAGATCAGTGCTTGAGATATTTTGCAAACCCTGCATTCCGATGCACAAGCTGAGGCCACCCAGACTGGTAATCTGGCTCAACTTGTTCTGCAATCCCACCCAGGAATAGAAGACAGCAAGAAAAACTCACTTCAATCCCCTATGATTTCATCTCCAACCTAACCAATCAGCATTCCCCACTTTCCCACCCCCTATCCACCAAACTATCCTTAAAAACTCCGATCCACCAAACTATCCTTAAAAACTCCGATTCAAATCAGGAGACTGATTTGAATAAAAATAAAACTCCAGTCTCCTGTAGAGCCAGCTCTGCGTGAATTAAACTCTTCTCAGGGCTGGGCACAGTGGCTCACACCTGTAATCCCAGCATTTTGGAAGGCCAAGGCAGGCGGATCATGAGCTCAGGAGGTCGAGACCATCCTGGCTAACACGGTGAAACCCCGTCTCTACTAAAAAATACAAAAAAAAAAAATTAGCTGGTTGTGGTGGCGGGCGCCTGTAGTCCCAACTACTCAGGAGGCTGAGGCAGGAGAATGGCGTGAACCCGGGAGGCAGAGCTTGCAGTGAGCCGAGATCACGCCACTGCACTACAGCCTGGGCAACAGAGCAAGACTCCGTCCCAAAACAACAACAACAACAACAAAAAACGTCTTTCTCTATTACAATCCCCCTGTCTAGGCAGCGGGCAAGGAGAACCCCTTGGGCGGTTACAAATTGAAGGGCTTTCTCTCTTTTATTCTTCTCAGGTGCAACTGTATAAAGTAGAGATGATCTGTTCCTTGAAGGGTTTGGTAGGTCACATCTGCAAAATCATCTTGGCTTGCCTTTTGTTTTGTTTCTGTGGATACATTTTTGGTGATTCCGTTCATTTAACAGTTAAAGGTCTATTCAGGTTTTCTGTTTTATTCAATGAGTTTTGGTCACTGATTTTTCTAGAAAGCTGTCCATTTTGTCTAAGGCTTTAATTCAAAGGTATAAAATATTCATAGTATTCTCTCATAACTATTAAAATATTTACTTTATCCATAATTGGATACTCTGCTTTAAATTGTTTGTTTCTTCTATCAGCTTGCCTGACTTTGGTACCCTGTGGATACTGAGTGTTATTATATATAAAGTTTTGGTGCCACAAAATAAATAGCACTCGAATATAAGATTTTCTTTTTAATTCTCAGCAAGGCAAGGTACTTCTATAGAAGGGTGCGCCCTTACAGATGGAGAAATGGTGAGCGCACACTTGGACAAGGGAGGGGAAGGGGTTCTTATCCCAGAGGCACGTGGCCCCTGCTGCTGTGTCCTTCCCCTATTGGCTAGGGTTAGACCGCACCGGCTAAACTAATTCCGATTGGCTAATTTAAAGAGAATGACAAGGTGAGTGCTTTGGTGGGAGTCAGGGCAGAGCAGGTAGCAGGTAATCGTAATGAGCTAGGGTGGAGCAGGTGATTGGAATGAGTTAGGGTGGAGCAGGTGATTGGAATGAGTCAGGGTGGAGTAGGTAATCGAAAAAGGTTGCTTTATGAGGAAGTTAAGTTTAAAAGTAGAAGGCAAAGAATTGAACGTACTGACATATTAATTATTTGAAAAGAAATTTAGAACTCATATCTAACAACAGGGACAATTGTGTATGTTACCTACACATAATTAATATATGAGCTACATATAATGAATGAGCTTGATATAAGGACAGGCATAGATCCCTTTTGGTGCAGGGATCTATGCCTGTCCTTATATTAAGCTCATTAATTATATTGTTCAAATCTTCTGTGCCCTTTTTGATTTCTCTCTGCTGATCTCTCAATTTCTCAAAGACTTATGTTCCATTTTCCCATTGTGATAGTGGACTTGGCAATTTCTTTGTATTCTGTCCTTTTTTGTTTTATATATTTTATCAGAATTTTTTTTTTTTTTTTTTTTTTTTTTTTTTTTTTTTTTTTTGAGATGGCGTCTCGCTCCATCTCCCAGGCTAAAGTGCAGTGCTGAGATCTCGGCTCACTGCAACCTCCGCCTCTCAGGTTCGAGCAATTCTCCTGCCTCAGCCTCCCAAGTAGCTGGAACTGCAGGCACCCACCATCACGCCTGGTTAATTTTTGTAGTTTTAGTAGAGACGGGGTTTCACCATATTGGCCAGGCTGGTCTCAAACTCCTGACCTCGTGATCTGCCCACCTTGGCCTCCCAAAGTGCTGGGATTACAGGCGTGAGCCACCGCGCCTGACCTGTTTTATATATTTTGAAGGTATATTTTGTATCTACAGATAGGATTATTATATATTCTTTACAAGGTGCTCCTTTTTATCATCAACTAATGAAGTCATTACTTTCTTCATTCTTTTATGCTTATTGATGCTTTTTACTTTAAGGAATACACTTTTCCTGATGCTAATTTTGGGTCACCCTGCTATCCCTCGATCCTCTTCACCCCAGTCCCAGCCAGCAGAGCCCTCCAGGGTCATCTGGCTTGGGAACATGGCTGGGGATTGAGGAACTGGGTGGGAGGTATCCCGGGAGGTGGCATTGTGCTCTGTACCTGGCAGGCATTTAATAAATGGGGGTTGTTAAGGCTATTTACAAATTTTCCAAAAATGCACAAAAGCAGAGGGCAGGGATCCCAGTTATCCCTTCCGTAGCTTCAACCACCAACTGTACCTTGCTATATGGCTTCATCTGCTCTACCCCCGCCCATCCTGGATTCCTCGAGTACTCCTGCACCATTTATGTATCTGCTTATTGATGCATTTTGCTGGAACATTCTTTTTCTTTTCTTTTCTTTTCTTTTTTTTTTTTTTTTTTTTTTGAGACAGGGTCTCACTGTGTTGCCCAGGCTGGTCTTGAACTTCTGAGCTCAAGCAGAATTGAGGCCAGGCCCCTCTGCCTTGGATTCTCGAGTAGCTAGGATTACAGGCACATGCCAACATTTTGCTGGAACATTCTAAAGCAAATCCCAGACATGGTGTCATTCCACCCATTGATACTTCTTATAAAATTAACTTTTCACACATAACAAAAATAGCCAATTTGCAAAGCTCCAAAAACAGAGCGCAATATTATATTATTGCCCCAACTGTCTGTGAAATATGTTTTTACAATTGATTTGTTCAAATTAGGATTCAAACAAGGTCCACCCTTTGTGTTTGGTTAGTATACCTCCAAAGCCTCTTTTTTTTAGGTCTGTAATCTATAAGAGTCTCCACTGCCCCCATTCCTGCCCCCAGTTATTTATGCCACAGACTTGTGGACACTTCCTTGGTGGTTGCCCAAAAGCCTTGTTCACACTAGGAATCTGGCCAGTTACTTCCTCTAGGTGGACTTTAACCTGTTCCTCTATCCCCATCCTTAGTTTTTCACTAACTCACAAACCACCTGGCCCTAAGAAAGAGAAGCCACACTTTGCTGGCTTTGATGACCAGGACATAGGCCAGACAGCTGGCAGCCCAGTGGGAGAGGCCAGCAGTGTTTTCATGCTGGAGGTTAAACTGAATTTCAATTGTTTTGTCACAAATGGGGATTTTTATTAATAAAAATAACCAGGACACTCATTCTGGCCATCAATTTAACTCTTATTGGCTTCGTTCCATTTTCATTCCTGTTGAAAATACCATACATAGCATTAGGACTTTAAAATGGTGGTTTCTTCTTAAAACACTGGATTACTATGCATGTGCATTAGGGTAATTTCATATTCTTCTGTTTGTAAAATGACTCAGTGACAGTTGCTATAAAAATTTCCCTTCTGTATGTTTAAAATCACTACTATTTTGTGGTATTAACATACTTTGGGGATTTTGATTTTCCCCACTCCTTTTACTTTTTTTTTTTTTTTTTTTGAGATGGAATCTCGCTCTGTTGCCCAGGCTGGAGTGCAGTGGTGTGATCTTGGCTCACTGCAACCTCCACCTCCCGGGTTCAAGTGATTCTCCTGTCTCAGCCTCCTGAGTAGCTAGGGTTACAGGCACATGCCACCACGTCTGGCTAATTTTTGTTATTTTTAGCAGAGATGGGGTTTTTCCAAGTTGGCCAGGCTGGTCTTGAACTCCTGACCTCAAGTGATCCGCCTGCCTTGGCCTACCAAAGTGCTGGGATTATAGGCATGAGCCACTGCACCCAACCTTCCCAATCCTTTTTGTATAAGACCATGATTAACAGCACAATGAGATTAAAAACAGTGACACATTTCTCTGGATGCTAGATGTAAAGTTAACAAAAATGACCTGAGTGTCTTTATTCTTAAGCAAGTCAGGAAAATAAACAGGGTTTCTTTCAATTTGCAAAGCTCCAAAAACAGAGCGCAAGGCTAACCAACTCCCTAAACTGTGTCCACTGTGGGGGAGCCCACTGCACAATCCCAGTGCCTCAGGATGCACCCAGGGGCTTCTGCACATTTGAAGGGGCTTCTAGATGGAAAAGAAGTGCATTGAATGACACAGTTTTTTTGTTTGTTTGTTTTGAGACATAGTCTCTCTCTGTTGCCCAAGCTGGAGTGCAGTGGTGCAATCTTGGCTCACTGCAACCTCCAACTCCCGCGTTCAAGAGATTCTCCTGCCTCAGCCTCCCAAGTAGCTGAGACTACAGGCATGCGCCACCACACCTGGCTAATTTTTTTGTATTTTTAGTAGAGACGAGGTTTCACCATGTTGGTCGGGCTGGTCTCAAACTCCTGACCTCAAATGATCCATCCACCTCAGCCTCCCAAAGTGCCAGGATTACAGGCGTGAGCCACTGCGCCTGGCCAGATGACACAGGTTTTTTGTTTTGTTTTGTTTTGGTTTTTTAACACAGAGGTAATTCTCCTCTACGGGTCTTCTTAAGCGCACAGGAAAACCTAAATTGAAATAACAGTTGTTAAGACCAGTTCGTAAGGGTGCAGATGTTATAACGTTTAACTAACAAAGTGAAAAGACAAATAGGGCACTTTATAAAATCAAAGTACACTTAAATATTCAGATGAGAAAAAGTGTTTTAGGGTCAGGTTATTTTAGGATTTCCTTGCAAAATTGCCATTTTTGTCCATGTGTGGTAAAATTAAACAAGAGTTGACAATTTTGTCCTTATCATAAAAATATGAAGTGGATTTTTAAAAGGAAGTATTTGTTCTTATGATCCTCATTCTCCAGAAAACTATTTGAAGTTACTGAGAAAATGACCAGATTTCTTAAAATTATGAATATTTTCCAAAGGTCGTTTAGAAGTCACAGTGAGTAGCTTATATCTAACAACTTTTTATACACACATGGCCAGACGCGGTGGCTCACGCCCGTAATCCCAGCACTTTGGGAGGCCGAGGTGGGCGGATTACCTTAAGTCAGGAATTCGAGACCAGACTGGACAACATGGTGAAACCCCATCTCTACTGAAAATAGAAAAATTAGCCGGGAGTGGTGGCACATGCCTGTAATCCTAGCTACCTGGGAGGCTGAGGCAGGAGAATGTTTTGCGCCTGGGAGACGAAGGTTGCAGTGAGCCAAGATCCTGACACTGCACTCCAGCCTGGGCAACAGAGTGAGACTCTGTCTCAAAATATATATACACACACATATTGATCTAGCAATCCTTCATCTCTAATTTTATTCTGCAGATCTACTCACGAATGCCCCAAATTGTGCCTAAGGACATTCATTGAAGCATTTTTATAATAACAAACAAAATTAAATGTCTATTAGTGGGAAACTGCTTAAAGATTTGGGGAGGAGCATCCATTCACACTATCACAGAGTTGTTTTGTTTTGTTTTGTTTTGTTTTTTTGAGATGGAGTTTCGCTCTTGTCGCCCAGGCTGCAGTATAATGGCATGATCTCGGCTCACTGCAACCTCCACCTCCCGGGTTCAAGCGATTCTCCTGCCTCAGAGTCCTGAGTAGCTGGGATTACAGACACGTGCCACCATGCCCGGCTAATTTTGTATTTTTAGTAGAAACAGGTTTTCACCATGTTGGCTAGGCTGGTGTCGAACTCTTGACCTCAGGTGATCTGCCTGCCTTGGCCTCCCAAAGGGCTGAAATTACAGGCGTGAGCCACCACCCCTGGCCTATCACAGAGTTTTGATCAAAAGAGAAGAGAAATCTATTGTATTTCGGCAGAAAAATGCCTGAGTTGGTAAAAATGGAAGGTGAACAGTCAGAATTCAAGAGGTTATGCCCAGGTCACCTAGACATCCTAGACTAGGTCAGCAAGAGGAGGAGGGAGGGAGTATACGTTTGCATTCTTGCAACAGCAAGGGGCAGGAAAGGCAAGATTGCAGGTGGTGCGAGGCCAGAGGGAACGGAAGACATAGCTGCACAGCCCCACGCAGGCCCCTCTCCGCAGCCCCGGCAGAGACCCTCTTCAGGATCATGGTCTCCAGCTGAATAAAGCCACATGCAACCGAAGCAAATGAAGTGAAGGAACTGGGGCTCTGGTTAGCTCCTCCTAAAGAAGCGTGGGCTGGACAAGGAGTAGTTTGGGAAGGGTTTGTGTACCAGATGAATGAGAAAGCCACAAAGGGGCTGGCACTGGGCTGCAAACCAGGACAGTAGTGTGCCTGTGGGCCTATCTGTTAGCGGACAAACAGCACCCAGTTATATGGACACCAGCACAGCCCCCAGAAAGAGAATCCAAGCCACAAATGGAAATTTAAATTTTCCCGTAGCCACATTAAACACAGAAAGTATACACAGGTAACACTGATTTTTAAAATATAGCACAGTGAGACTAATGTGCCAAAAATACTAGCATTTAAACGTCTAACCAGCAGTACATAATTACTGAGATATTTTGTGTGCCGAGTCTTCCAGTTCTCACACTGGTAGCACATCTGCATTGAGATCAGCCACATTTCCAGTGCTCACTGCCACACGTGGCTGTGGCTACCATGACGGATGAGGCGGGTCTAGAGGCAGCATGAACTGATTATCATACCCAACAAAATTACTTCTCTTTATGGGATACGGCCACTAGACCAACTAGATCAACTGCTCATCAACGGCGTCCACACATGCACCGTCCACATACATTGTTACATAATTCTCTGAAATAGCCAAGACCAAACATACTTATTTAATGATCTGTGGGTGAGAGTCTCTGTGGTAGACCCAACCACGTTCAATCCATGCACAATGATTCAACTAAAGTAGAACTTTTCAAAGGTTTTTGGAACATGACCCCAATGAGAATTTATTTTATGTCAATCCCAAACATATAAGTAGGTAATAAACTTTGGTGGGGACTCTCTGCCCTTCTGAGCTCTCAGTCAGGTGCTGTCTGTGAGGCTCTGGGGTGTTTTCTCAATGTGGCTTGAGGTCTACTGAACCCACACAGGACCCAGCAGTGGCCCCAGCCTCACTGTGAAAGCCCGGGTCATGCTTGGGTTTGTGGTGTGAGCTCCTTCCCTGAGGGAGAGGCTCCCCGATCCCAGGATGACACAGGACAGGCGGGAACAGAGGACACCACACACAATAAACACACACGCACCACACACAACACACGTGTCACACACCATACACAACACACTCATACCATATACATACCACACATACACCACAATATACACAACACACCTACCACACACACCACATATACACATATCACACCACATGCACCACATACACATACCACACACACACCACATATACAACACACCACATACACACCACGTATACCACACACCACATACACCATACACCACATATACCACACACTGCATATACATACCACAAACACCACATGCACCATGCCACATATACACATACCACGTACACACCACACGCACACCAGACACACCACACACACACACCCCTCGCACACTGCACACACTGGACTCACACCACATATACTATACATAGCGTAAACACACAGCACACACCACACACCACCCAAACACACACACACCACACACCAGGAGCAGGGCCCAGGGCCTGTCCTGGCATCCCCGTGGCTGCGCTATCTCGCTAGTGCTTTGCTTGCACAGAGTGTGGGTTCTTCAGCTGCCCTGTTGCTCACAGGGTCCAGCTTTCGAGTCTCCCACTGCAATGACTTTGTCAGCTGGGGTGGTGACTTTCCGAACAAGAGAATGGGTGGCCCAGTCCCCCACATTTGTGATGGCAAGTTCACATCCCTGTGAGGCCCTTGAATGAGGTGGCAGAGCGCATAAAGGGTCCTCTCTGGTGGACACAACTGCACGGTGTGACATAGCGGGGACACCTGCATGAGAAGACCTCACAGGGAAGTCTGTTGGTGACAGAATGAAGACAAACACCAGTGTGTGTGCATGCATGCTGTGTGCATGCGCCTGTGTTTGACAAGGAGGAGAGGATACAAGGACTTGAGTACATATACATGACACACACACACCACGCATGACTCTTGCCTCCAGCGCTGAGTGAGGCCAGGCTCACCGGGCTGGCCCTACCCTTCTCCTGGCACTCTGTCCCTCTAACGGAAGCAGCTGCGGCTGCCTGGCCCAGGGCCTCTGCCCCTTCCCTAACCCACTCTTCCTGCTCCCTGGGCCTCACTGCAGTGTCCTCTCCACAGGTGGATCTTTCTTCCCGGCCTCTGTCAGGCCGGTTTAGTTCAAATGGTGCCCTGTACTACTGGCACTCAGCATGTTTTGCACGTGGAGCGAAGCAGCCAAATCTCTATGTTACATGTATTTGTCTAAGGGTTCCCACGTGTGCAGCATAATGAGGAGTGTGACATTCATCCCCCCATGGCTCTGAGCATCATGAAGGGGCTGGTGGCTGTTGCTAAGTGCTGGCTGGGTGGCCTGCTGTAGAGCCTGCGGTGAAAGTGGACGGGCCCCCCTCTCCTTCCTCTGCCTGAGGACATCCAGGTAAGACCAGCTACAGAGCTCAAACATTTGAAATGACAGCAGTGAGGATGAAGCAGCCCATGGTCGCCCAGGGCCTGAGTCAGGAAGATGCAGACACCGTCAGAGGCGAGAGCCTCAGACAGTGGCTTGGACATTCGTGTCACTCTCAACTCTGCTGTTTCCGGAGAAACCGGCCTCAGCCACTCTGCAGTCCAGTCCTGCTGTGGCCCCATCCACATAGGCCTGCTTTGCTTCAGGCCTATCAATACATTGCTGCACTTAACTTTACCCCAGCTCCATCCTTCTCCCCAGTCCTAGAAGGGTTGTCTCTTCCTGTTTCCTAAAGATGCCAGAAGTTCTCTTAGTGAGCAGTCTCCTTCAGTCTCACTGTAATGGGGCAATAAATCAGAGGACAGCCTTGTCCCAGAGCAAGCCTCTGGGGCTCCCAGTAAGAGTCTCGGCTCAGATATCACCTCCCCAGGATGTTTGAGAACGCACATTCCAAAGTACCGTCCCCACCCCGGGCCCGCTGCCCTCCTGTCCATCTTGCTTGTGACTTGCTGACTTACTGTCTCCTCGCCAGACCATGAGCCTCAAGGGCCAGCCCTCATCCCACTCACCGTGTACGCAGGACTAGAGCAGAGCCCAGCACACAGGAAGGCGCCGGTAAACCCGGAACTGTGGGTGGGCACATATGAGTGTAAATGGAGCAGTAGAGTGAGGAACAAGGGGAGGAGGTGTGGCCTGGGGGACACAAGGAGGATGGCAGCCTCCTGTGTGCTGGCACGGCTATCCAGGCCACAGTGTGAATCTATTCAGGTCCCCTGGACACAGGCAGCACCAGGTCAGGATGCTGGCATGACAAAGGGCCTGCAGCCTTTGTCCTCCAGGCTAGATCATGGAGATCTTAAAAACTGAGAGATAATTGACACACTGTAAAATTCACCCACTGAGAGCATTATTCAATGGGTTTTAGTAGATTCACAAAGTCAGACTCCCATCACCACCAATGATCTCCAGAACATTTTCATAGTCCCCAAGAAAAACCCCAGACCCATAAACAGTTACACTCCCTTCCCACCTGCCCCTCCCAGGCCCCGGAAACCACCAATCTACTTTCTGCCTCTTCAGATTTGCCAGTTCTGGACATTTAATATCAGTGGAATCATGAAATGTGGCCTTTTGTGACTTCTTTCACTTAGTACTTTCTTTTTTTTTTGAGACAAAGTCTTGCTCTGTTGCCCAGGCTGTAGTATGTACAGTGGCATTATCTCGGTTCACTGCAACCTCTGCCTCCCAGGTTCAAGAGATTCTCCCACCTCAGCCTCCTGAGTAGCTGGGATTACAGGCGCACACCACCACGCCTGGCTAATTTTTGTAGTTTTAGTAGAGACAGGGTTTCGCCATGTTGGCCAGGCTGGTCTCGAACTCCTGACCTCAGGTAATCCACCCGCCTCAGCCTCCCAAAGTGCTAGGATTATAGGCGTGAGCCACAATGCCTGGCTACACTTAGTACATTTTTAAAATGCATTTATCTTATAGGATGTATCAGAATGTCATTCCTTTTTATGGCCCAAATAATTCTCCATGCTAGAGATAAACCACATATCCATTCGTCAGCCAACGGACATTTAGCTTGTTTCTGCTTTTTGGCTATTGTGGATAATGCTGCTGTGAACATTTGTGTGGATATGTCTTTTCATTTCCACTGAGGAAAAGAATTGCTGGGTCACATGGTAATCCTGTGCTTAACTTTTTGAGGAACCTCCTGTTTTCCACAGCAGCTGCACCACTTTATTTTTATTTTTTGAATCTTTTTTTTATTTTTTGAGACGGAGTCTCGCTCTGTCACCCAGGCTGGAGTGCAGTGGCACAATCATGGCTCTCTGGCAGCCCTGACCTCCAAGGCTCAAATGATTCTCCCTGCTCAGCCTCCCTGGGACTACAGGCATGCGCCACCACACCCAGCTAATTTTTGTATTTTTTTGTAGAGATGAGGTTTTGCCATGTGGCCTAGGCTGGTTTCCAATCCCTGGGCTCAAGCCATCCACCCACCTTGGCCTCCCAAATTGTTGAGATTACAGGCGTGAGCCACTGCACCCGGCACAGCTGCGCCCTTTTGCATTGCTTCCCACCAGCAGGGTAGAAGGGTGTCAATTTCTCTACCTCCTCACCAGCACCTGTTATTGTCTTTTTTACTAGAGTCATTCTAGAGGGTATGAAGCGAGTATGAATACATATCTTTTGAGAGCAAATATATCTCTCCTCTCTATCATCCCAAAATTTTAAAAACCCTTTCAGTACACATAATAAAAAACAGATTCCAGCCAGGTGCAGTGGTTCACATCTGTAATCCCAGCACTTTGGGAGGCCGAGGCGGGCAGATCACCTAAGGTCGGGAGTTCGAGACCAGACTGACCAACATGGAGAAACCCCATCTCTACCAAAAATGCAAAATTAGCTGGATGTGGTGGCGCATGCCTGTAATTCCAGCTACTTGGGAGGCTGAGGCAAGAGAATCCCTTGAACCTGGGAGGCAGAGGTTGCAGTGAGCCGAGATCATGCCATTGCACTCCAGCCTGGGTGACAAGAGTGAAACTCCGTCTCCAAATAAATAAATAAATAAAATAAACAGATTCTAATGCCCCACAAGTGCTGTGGCTCAAGAGGTGTGGACATACAGGTGAGGCAGACCAATTCCTACTAACAGGACTGTGCTACTTATTTACCATCCCTCTGCCTCAATTTCCACATCTATAAAAAGGTGACAGTAATATCTGTTAAATGAGGAATTAATGAGATGACATATGTAAACCATCCTGAAAAGTGCCTGCAAACAGTAAACTGTTGTTTCTTCTTACTATTACTTTAAAATAAGCTCCTATTAGCAATAGAGATACTTCTTTTTTTGAGAAAGAGTCGCACTCTATCACCCACACTGCATTCAGTGGTGCAGTCATAGCTCACTGCAGCCTCGACCTCCTAGGCTCAAGTGATTCTCCCACTTCAGCCTCCCAAGTAGCTGGGATGACAGACATGCAGCATCATGCCTGGCTAATTTTGTTCTGTTTTGTTTTTTGTAGTGACAGAGTCTTGCTATGTTGTCCAGGCTGGTCTTGAACTCCTGGCCTCAAGTGATCCCCCTGCCTCAACCTCCCGAGTAGCTGGGATTATGGGCATGAGCCACTGTACCCGGCAGAGCAACTTCATTTGTTGCAGCAAATTAGAAACAGTGATCCACTGGCTATCATGTGATCTAATCAAGGGATAAATAAAACAGTGACAATCTTAAAGACAGCTGGCTGGGGTACAAGGCCCCAGTCAGAGACCCTCTTATATATGTGACTGACTTCGTGGCATTGCTGAGCAAGAGAAGCAAGATGGCCTGGACTGATCTGAACAGAAGCCACTGGAAAAGTCATACTCAGACACTAATGGGAGAGACTGGAGGAGGCGGACCACAACCTTTCAAAGTGTGGGGTTTACCATGCATACTAATGAGTATTAACACTTAGCTGCACAGTTTAAAGAACAGCAATAAACAGACTACCCCCAAGTTAAGACGCAGAGTGGCACCTTGCCTGCACTGACACAAGAGCTACTGGCCACACATGGCTATTTAAATTAAGTGAAATAAATCTTTTTTTTTTTTTGAGACAAAAGCTCGCTCTTTCGCCCGGCCTGGAGTGCAGTGGCGCGATCTCAGCTCACTACAACCTCTGCCTCTCTGGTTCAAGTGATTCTCCTGCCTCAGCCTCCTCAATAGCTGGGACTACAGGCGCCTGCCACCATGCCCGGCTAATTTTTTGTATTTTTAGTAGAGACGAGGTTTCACCGTGTTAGCCAGGATGGTCTCAATCTCCTGAGCTCGTGATCTGCCCGTCTCAGCCTCCCAAAGTGCTGGGATTACAGGCGTGAGCCACCGCGCCCGGTCCAAAGTGAAATAAATCTAAAAATTCAGTTCTGCCGTCTCATAAGCCCCATTTCCAGCCCTCTGAAGCCATGTGTGGCTCATGGCTACCATCCTGGGCAGCACAGACAGAACATTTTCTCCATCACAGGGAGCTCTATGGAGCTTCCTTAGATCCTCAGACCACAGGCTAAGTTCCCCCCCAACACACTCAGCCTGCCCCTTCTGTAACACGGGCGTGGTAACAATGCCTGTCAGGGTAAGGTGACTGTGAAGAATTTTATGCTCTATATAGAAAACATACACATGGATCGAAGTCCCTGTGTGTGCCTGTGTTCTGTGGTTCATTAAATTTGAGCTCTTACTACAATGAGAAGGGCATGACTTGGGCTCCTGCCCAGTGCCCTTGGGCAGGCACAGTTCTCCTTGAGTCCTTATTTTGTTGGGTGTTAGTAAGATGTGCTCAGCTAATCTTACTAATCTTACTTTGGCTCCCGGGTGTTTGGAACGTTACTTTTACAGCTAAGCTTACTTTGGCTTCCAGGTGTTTGGAACGTTCCTGGCCTACACAAAATTTCTCTCCATCTTGGCTTCTTCCAAGAGGTGCTTCTAAAATTCCAAGCTGAGGCAGCTTGATCCTGGGGAGGTCCAGCCAGCTTGGTACTCACTTGGAGAGTGTTTATAAGCGGCACTGTCTTGATAGTAGCTATCCGCAGACAACACGAGGAAGGAAATTATAACCGAGCATAAGGTCCTATCCCCATATGTATGCTCCATGTCAAGACATTTCTGTGCCCGTCTCCCCTAAGTGAGAGTTTCCAAGCGTCTCTCTAGGTCCTCACACCCACAAATCCAAACAATGCTTTATTCTTAAGAGACTTTCATTCAAAGATACCCTGGTAGATTAGATTCTACTTCTTAACAGCAACTATCAAGTAATCATAATTCTAAGAATTTCTTTTTTTTTTTTTTTTTAGACGGAGTTTCACTCTTGTTGCCCAGGCTAGAGTGCAGTGGTGCGATCTCAGCTCACCGCCACCTGTGTCCCCCAGGTTCAAGCGATTCTCCTGCCTCAGCCTCCCAAGTAGCTGGGATTACAAGCACACGCCACCATGCCCAGCTAATTTTGTATTTTTGGTAGAGAAGGGGTTTCTCCATGTTGGTCAGGCTGGTCTTGAACTCCTGACTTCAGGTGATCCGCCTGCCTTGGCTTCCCAAAGTGCTGGGATTACAGGCGTGAGCCACCATGCCTAGCAATTCTAAGAACTTCTTTGGATCAGTTATCAAATGGAGATTTAAAAAGGCAATCTCAAACTTATAACAAAGTCTCTGGGGGCGGGGGTGCACTTTCGGAGGCAGCCTCCCAATCCAGCATGGCTGCTGTGTATCCATTAACTGTTATTCATTACTGCTATAACCACAATTTCTCCAAAATAGAGAGGAAAACACCCTGCCTAGGCCAGACACTTGGCTTTATTCTTTGGCATGTAATTTAGATAAGAATATCACTGATACTCAGTGGGGCTAGCACACACACACAGACAGACATAAAATCAACCAAAGCAGGTCTGGAATGGCTGCTGCCTGAGTCTTCTGTGACACGGGGTATAACGTCCAGGTTAAGGTTTTCCCTGTCAGAGGCAGACAGTGGCATCATTCTAATTCCCTTTTCCCTTGGCCTCAAGCCCATCTCACAGTTCTTCTGCTGTACAAAGAAAGTAACCAGTTCCCAAGCGCAGCCACTCCACCTTCACTGTAGTACAGGCATTCTTAAAACTTGAATTTGCACGTGACACTACAGATTTTCAAATATATACAGAGCATTCAGGTGAAAGCACAGCTCTCACAACAGAATGAGTGTGGTTGGCATGACCTTGAGTTGCTCTCCTCAAAAACTGAGACAGGGCAAACATGGACACATAAGAATGGAGAGTGAGGCCCATTGGAGCCCCAAAGGCACATCTTCCCTTTAGATCTGGACCCCTGCTATCATTCTTGGGTGGATCTTGGAGAAAGATGCATGTCCCAAGCCTGAGAGGAGACAGGGCCCTGGCAGTCACTGCCTGTGGGGACAAGGCTGGAGCTGGCACTGGACTGACCGCTAGCTCACACAAAGATGATGCAGTCCATGGAAACAGTGGGAGGGCCTAGGGTGGCTTGCAAAGGACACCAAAAGGGAAATATAGAGGGGATCCCCAGTCACACCAGTAAAGCGAGAATATCCCTTGAATGACAGCAGTGGAACCTGACATGGAGAAACCTTGTGACCAAAAACACACACAGAAGGCATTAGAACAGCAAAAATAAGGTGCTCCCTCCAGCAAGGGATTCCAGTAGAAGAGACTCTTGAAATCCATATGAATTGTTATCCCAAACAGCCTCCGTAACATCTCGCCTCCAGACTGTCCCTGCTAGCATCTGCTCCTGGATGGCATTCTGTTTCGCAAATGACTTTCCCTTTCCCCACCCCAAAGGCCTCTGACATGTTTGATCTGTTTCTCCCTCAAAGTCCAGGGACTTTGGCAGCAAAGGATTAAACATACCTTTTGCTTCCTTCTCTCATCCATGTCCATTTTGGACACGGGAAGGAGGCAGCACAAGGGAACGTGAAGAGCCAGGCCTGACTCTCGGGCGAGCCCCATGCATGGTCTGGTGTCAGTGGACGCGCTACGGAGTGCACCCGGCCCTGTGCAGGACCTTGATGGGATATTTTCCCATATAAATTGACCCTGGTGCTGGGCTGACTTGTAAGATCGCCTCCATAGCTAATTTTTCTCAAAAAAACTTTCAAAACACCCCACAGAACCACAGATGTCAGATGACCACCACTGCTTCTGGCCCTCCACACTGTCATCTGTGTGCTCTCACATTTGCTCCAGCCAGCACATTTCAAATCCACACAAACATGGTGCAGGGCATATATGCATGGAGCATGCACAAACGAGTTTCCTCCCATCTCCAAAGTGGGCTCTGGAAGGTTCTTTGGCAGAGCCGGTTTCTCACAGCAGTAGCCTGAATTCTTTTTTTTTTTAGACGGAGTCTTGCTTGTTGCCCAGGCTGGAGTGCAGTGGCGTGATCTCAGTTCACTGCAACCTCCACCTCCCAAGTTCAAGTGATTCTCCTGCCTCAGCCTCCCAAGTAGCTGGGATTACAGGTACCCACCACCACACCTAGCTAATTTTTGTATTTTCACCATGTCGCCCAGGCTAGTCTTGAACTTCTTTTTCTTTTTTTTTTGAGAGAGTGTTTCACTCTTGTTGCCCAGGCTGGAGTGCAATGGCATGATCTCAGCTCACTGCAACCTCCGCCTCCCAGGTTCAAGCAATTCTCCTGCCTCAGCTTCCCAAGTAGCTGGGATTACAGGCATGCACAACCATGCCGGGCTAATTTTGTATTTTTTAGTAGAGATGAGGTTTCACCATGTTGGTCAGTCTGGTCTCGAACTCCTGACCTCAAATGATCCTCCTGCCTCAGCCTCCCCATTACAAAGTTGGGATTACAGGCGTGAGCCATCACGTCCGGCCCGAATTTTGATGGAGGGAAATCCTGGTGAGACCGCTCAATAGTAACAAAAAGGGGGCTCTTGGCCACAGCCCGATGACCCAAGTCCACCTCCTCACAGTTCCCACCCTGAGGGCAGTGCCCTCCCTAGCACAACCAACTTAATTCCCAGCTAAACTCACCTAAAGCAGATTTCAGATAAAGAACTACAAGGAGTGAAAATAAACTGCATGAGGGTCTATACTCAGCTTAACTGTTTTGCTTGTATTCTTGGGGTTTGGTTTCGGCCTTTTGCACTCTGGTCTGTGGGCCATGTCTTTGGGATCTGCCTTTCTCACTGGCTAACCTTCCTTGAGTCTCCAGGCAGGACCGGATTTCCAGCATCAGGAGGGCCTGCCCAGGGCCAAGGTACTTCGTTGAGCGCTTGGTCACTTGTGGGCCTTGCAGCACGGTCTCGCTCACTCAGCCCTGTCCCCTGCAGTGTCCACAGGCCGAGTGACAAGCTGCTTCCGGGAGCGCATCTCCGTGGCTGTGCCTGGATGCCCAGCTCAGCCAGCACTTGTAGCTTCTTGTGTTCCTGTTCTTGATCTCAGCCACTCCTCCCGCGCTTTTCAACAAGAGCTTTGCAACTCATGACAGCCTCCTCCTCAGGATCTTTTGGTTTTCACCATTTTCTTTCCTAAAGGGGAAACCTTTAGCTTTTCAGGACTTCAGCCCTGTCACTGGTCACCAGATTTTACCCGGAGCACCATGGCGATCAGGGCCCCCCTCAGGCATTCACCTCATTCAGACACAAGTGGATATCCTATCACACAGGGCACTGGGTCTAGTCCCAGGGCTTTGAATGGAAGCAACACGCCACCTGGGAGCTTGTTAGCAATACAAGTGCTAAGGCCCGGCCCGGTGGCTCATACCTGTAACCCCAGCACTTTGGGAGACTGAGATGGGAGGATCACCTGAGGTTGGAAGTTTGAGACCAGCCTGGCCAACATGGTGAAATGCCATCTCTACTAAAAATACAAAACGTAGCCAGGCATGGTGGCGTGTGCCTGTAATCCCAGCTACTTGGGAGGCTGAGGTGGGAGAATCACTTTAACCCGGGAGGCAGAGGCTGCAGGGAGCTGAGACTGACCCACTGCACTCTAGCCTGGGCGACAGAGCAAGACCCTGTCTCAAACAAAAGCAAAAAACAAATTCTAAGGCACCAGCCCACAACCACAATCATAAACTTCTTCCCACACTTTCCTTTTAGAATTCATGTCTCATCTCAGGAGCCTTGAACAGCTTTATTGAGGTGGAATTTACATACAGGTCATAAAATCACCTATTCTACTTATTTTAGTAATTTTAACCAATCTTAAACATTCCCCTCATCCCAAAAGGGCTCCTTGTGCCCATTCGCAGCTACTGTCCACAGGCAGCCCAAATCCCAGCCCCCTGCTAATCCACTTCCTGTCCCTACAGTTTTCCCTCTTCAGGACATTTCATATAAATGGAACCATACAATACATGGTATTTTCCCCTTGGCTTCTTTCATTTTATCAGTTTTTGAGGTTCATCCATGTTGTAGCATGTACTTCGTCACTTTTCATATCTGAGCAAGATTCCTTTGTGCGTATATAACCTACTGTGTTTATCAATTCACCAGCTTATGGAAATTTGGGTTATTTCCAGTTTGGCACCAAGAATAGAGATACAAAGATCTATATGAACTACATGATGCAGCTACAAGTATTAGTTTACAAGTTTCCTATAGACATATATTTTAAAATTCACATGGGTCTATTCCTACGAATATGGTAAATTTGTATTTACCATAGGAAATTACCAAACTGCTATCCAAAGGGGCTGCAACTAGTTTCTCAACACCCTGACCAACACTTCTTACTATCTTTTATTATAGTCACCCTAGTGTGAGAGAAGTGGTATCTCATACTTTTAATTAGTATTTCTCTAATGGCCAAAGATGTTGAGCATCTTTTCAATGTTTATTGGCCATTTTATATCTTCTTTTAGAGAAATATCTATTCAAATCCTTTGTCTTTTACATGAATTACTTCCTGAAGATTTCTTCATACATTCTAGATATAAATCTTTTATCAATATGATTTGCAAATACTTTTTCCCATCTGTAATTTTTTTCATTTCTTTAATGGTGGCTTATGAGACACAAGTTTTTAACTTAGATGAAGTCCAATTCATTAGTTTTTTTTTTTTTGTTTTTTTTTTTGAGACAGAGTCTCGCTCTGTCGCCCAGGCTGGAGTGCAGTGGCACAATGTTGGCTCACTCCAACCTCTGCCTCGTGGTTTCAGGTGATTCTCCTGCCTCAGCCTCCTGAGTAGCTCGGATTACGGGTGCCCACCATGCCCAGCTAATTTTTTTGTATTTTTAGAGTAGAGATGGGCTTTTTCCATGTTCGCCAGTCTGGTCTCCAACTCCTGACCTCGTGATCCACCTGCCTGGGCCTCCCAAAGTGCTGGGATTACGGGTGTGAGCCACCGCACCGTACCAATTCATCAATTTTACCTTTGAAAGATTGTGCTTTTGGTGTCACACGAGAAATTTTTGCCCAACCCAGAGTCATGAAAATTCTTGCCCATGTTTTCTTCTAAGTTTTAGAGTTTTAACTCTTACATTTGGGTGTATGGTCCATTTTGAGTTAATTTTTGTGGAAAATATAAGGATCTAAATCCATCATTTTGCATGTGAATATCCAATGCTTCAAGCCTCATTTGTCGAAAGGGCAAATCTTCTCCACATTGAAATGCCTTGGCACCTGTGAGCAAAACTGATTAAGAATGAATCTAAGGGCTAATTTCAGGACCCTCAAATCTTCAATTGATATATACATATATATGTCTATCCTTATACCACATTGTCTTGATTACTACACCTTTATAGTAAATTTTATCATTTGGAAATGCTCCAAATTTGTTATTTTTCAAGATTTTTTTTTTGACTATTCTGAGTCCTTTGCATTCCCATAAAAATTTTAGGATCAGCTTGTTAATTACTGAAAAAAAGCCTGCTGGGATTTTGATAGGGACTGCCATCTTGAGTCTTCTAACCTATGAACATGGAATGTCTCTCCATTTATGTAGTCACTAATTCCTCTCAGCCATATTTTGCAGTTTTCAGTGTACAAATCTTGCACTTTTGTCAAATTTATTCTGAAGTATTTTGATTTTTTTTTTGAAATGGAGTCTTGCTCTGTTGCCCAGGCTAGAGTGCAGTGGCGTGATCTCTGCTCACTGCAACCTCTACCTCCCAGGTTCAAGAGATTCTCCTGCCTCAGCTCCCCAAGTAGCTGGGACTACAGGCATACACCACCAGACCCAGCTCATTTTTGTAGTTTTAGTAGAGACAGGGTTTCACCCTGTTGGCCAGGCTGGTCTCGAACTCCTGACCTCGTGATCCTCCCACCTCGGCCTCCCAAAGTGCTGGGATTACAGGCTAGAGCCAACGCACCCGGCTCTATTTTGACCTTTTTGATGCTACTGTGGACAGTATTGTTTAGTTTTGTTTTCACAATTTATTGCTATATTGCAATATAGACATATACAACTAATTTTCGTATATACATCTTGTATCTTACAACCTTGCTGAACTCATCAGCTCCGTTGTGTGCACACGAGTGTGGTTATATGTACCCTTTAGGATTTTCTACATACAGAATTATGTCATCTGCAAAGCAAGACAACTTTATTTCTTCCTTGCCAATCTGGATGCTTTTCCTTGCTTTATTGCACTGGTTAGAAACTGCAGTACAATGTCAATAATGAGGGGTGTGTATAGACACCCTTGACTTACTACTGATCTTAGGGGTATATTCTCTCGTCGTAAGTATAATGTTATCGGTAACTTCTTTTTATGGATGTCTTTTTTTTTTTTTTTTTTTGAGATGGAGTCTTGTTCTGTCGCCCAGGCTGGAGTGCAGTGGCGCGATCTTGGCTTGCCGCAACCTCCGCCTCCTGGGTTTAAGCGATTCTCCTGCCTCAGCCTCCCAAGTAGCTGGGACTACAGGCAACTGCCACCACGCCTGGCTAATTTTTGTATTTTTAGTAGAGACGGGGTTTCACCATATTGGCCAGGCTGGTCTCAAACTCCTGACCTCAAGGGATCCGCCCGCCTCGGCCTCACAAAGTGCTGGGATTACAGGCATGAGCCATCGCACTTGGCCTATGGATGCCTTTTATCAGACTGAAAAAATTATCTTCTATTCCAGTTTTTTTCCATTTTTATCATGAATATGTGTTAGATTTTGTCAAATGCTCTTTCCCCATCATTTGAGATGACTCCTGCCTTCTGTCATCTATTAATAGGTAAAATACATTGTTTTTCTGGTATTAAACATGTCTCACCTGGCCATGTAGCTAAATCTTTCTATATGTTATTTGACTTGTTCATGGTTTTTTGTAACTATCAATATTTTCATGAGGGATTTTCTATCAGGGTAATACTGGTTTCACAGAATGAGTTGGTAAGTATTCCTTACTCTTCTTCTTCCTGAGTCTGTGAAAAATGGTATGTTTTCTTCTTTAAATGTTTGGCAGCACTCTTCTTGTTTTGTATGCTTTCAGGAATAAACCAGAGGTCATCTAAAAGTGACTGAGCTTCATTGCTGATTAAACTACCAACATCATTTGTACTGATGCCTGAAGGTTTTTCCCCATCAAGAACAGTCCCTTCTTAATAGCCAAAGGCAGATAAGGGTCACCTGGCTGGGGCTATAGGTAAAACTAAGCCTGGCTCATGAATGGGCAAGTCACAAGTACAGCTGGTCTTCCGCATCTGTGGATTCAACCAATCATGGATCAGAAATATTTGGGAAAAAAACAACAAAAATAATATTCATTAACAAGTACAGTAGAACAGCTATTTATATAGCATTTACATTGTATTAGGCATTATAAGTAATCTAGAGATGATTTAAAGTATATGGGAAGACGTGTGCAGGTTATATGCAAATACTACACCATGTTATATAAGGAACTTAAGTCTACATGGTTTTTGGCATCTGTAGGGGTCCTGGAAACTGAGGGACGACTGTAACACTATGTGCTGATAATCTCAGCAATCTGGAAGGCACATTCACAGAACTCCAAACTCAACAACTTTAATCAATCCCACAGTTCCAAACTCTTTTAAGATTCATATATTGATATAAAACTTAATCGCAGGTTTGAAACAGGAAGATTCAGGTCATTAGGAGCATAAAATCATTTTCTCCTCATCCCTGAGATACAGCCTTGCAAATATTAGAAAATAAAAAAAACTCCATGACTTTTAACTACCTCCAAAATCTAAAATGGTAGTTCTTTAACCTGAGTGATGGTAGGTCCGTGCCTCTAACGTTACTTAAGGGTGGGGGGAACGTGCTTCTTAAACTGCAGTTTCCTGGGCCCTAATTTCAGTCTGGGTGAAGCTCAAGAATCTGTACTTTCAACACCCCTCACACAGTTGCCGTAGCTGGCACTCGCACTGCATTCAGCACTCGCCTGAGGTGGGTTAAAAGTATCTGGCCTGAGGACACCTCAGTACATAAGTCCTTAGGGTAATGAACTGCAACCTAACTTAGTATGGAACTAACTGAATGCCCAATTTAGGCATACAGTCATGCATGGCATAATGACATTTTAGTCAATAGCAGACAGCACATAGACAGTGGTCCCATAAGATTCTAATACTAGGCCAGGCACAGTGGCTCACGCCTGTAATCCCAGCACTTTCGGAGGCCAAGGCGGGCGAATCACAAGGTCCGGAGTTCAAGACCAGCCTGACCAACATGGTGAAACCCTGTCTCTACTAAAAATACAAAAATTAGCTGGGCATGGTGGTGCATGCCTGTAATCTCAGCTACTCAGGAGGCTGAGGCAGGAGAATTGCTTGAACCTGGGAGGTGGAGGTTGCAGTGAGCTGAGATTGCGCCACTGCACTCCAGCCTGGGCAACAGAGCAAGACTCCATCTCAAAAAAAAAAAAAAAAAAAAAAAAGAATTATAATACTGTATTTTTACTGCACCTTTTCTGTTTGGTGTGTTTACATGCAAATACCATTGTGTTCCAACTGCCTACAGTATTCAGTACAGTGACACGCTGGACAGGTTGGTAGCCTAGGAGCAGCAGGCTATCCCAGGCAGCCTGGGTGTGTAGTAGGCTATACCTTCTAGGATTGTATAAGTATACTCTAAGATGTTCCTACAACGAAATATAAAATTTTGCAAAAAGTGTTCCCATCAAAAGCGATGAGTGACATTACAGTGCATAACAGTAGATGTTTTCATACTTTTGTAACAGTCTCAGACAATCATAGCAGCCAGTCAACACAGGCACTGTTTAAATTATATAAAAAGGTACACATCGAGTGGTTATCAATCAAGCTGTCTCTGTGTATCAGTCGTTTTTCTCTACCTCATTTCTGTTTTCTGTTCATAAATGCCGTCTGGCCACGTGACAGATGGGAGTTCTTTGAACCTACCCTGGTTTGGAGGGCTATCCGATTCTAAAATCATGAATAAATGCCTGTTAAGATCTAAGCTAAGTTGGTAATTTTGTCTTTAATGGCAATAACAATCTCACATTCTTACTGATCACTCTTAAAGACCATCCATCTCTGATGAGTAACAAACTTAATGTGCAATAAATTCCTGTCTCTTGGATCTCTAATTTCTTTCTGCCCCAGAGGAGTAACTTAATGGTGAGTTAGAAGCACAATGGCAGATACTGATGAACAAAAAGCAAACAAAACACCACTTTTTAAGGATCTAAGGTAGCAACTGAATTTTCTGGAAGGGGTTGGGCTCATGACCTTTTAAAAAGTGTTAACTGTTGATAAGGCAAGGGAAATAAAGGTACGAAGACTGGGAGGCCAGGCGCAGTGGCTCACAACTGCAATCCCAGCACTTTGGGAGGCCGAGGCGGGCAGATGACAAGGTCAGGAGTTCAAGACCAGGCTGGCCAATATGGTAAAACCCCGTCTCTACTGAAAATACAAAAATTAGCCGGGCGTGGTGGCATGTGCCTGTAATCTCAGCTACTCGGGAGGCTGAGGCAGAATTGCTTGAACCCGGGAGGCAGAGGTTGCAGTGAGCCGAGATCGTGCCACTGTACTCCAGCCTGGGCAACAGAGCAAGACTGTCTCAAAAAAAAAAAAAAAAAAAAAAAAAAGACTGGGGAATAACTTGTATGAGAGAAAATGGTCATGCCAGCCATCAGCTAATTAAGTTACATGATACCTAGCTAGTTGCTGACTCCCAACAAGCAACCTGAGGCTGGCCAACAGCTCTTTGCCCTGCAATCCTGTCTCCAAGAAGTGGTTAAAGTAGAAGCAGCCAATTAGACCCTGACTGGCCTTCCCTGCTACCACTCATTCTGCTACAACATTAAACCAGGGCAACCTCTGAGGCTATAAATCCAGCCTGGTCCATTAGGATTCAGATTTGGCTCTTCTTTCTGTACTGTGAGGCCCTTTTCTACAGTCCTGACCATCCACAACAGGAGCATAACCATGGAAAGGTCCAGCCTTCCGTTTATGACTCAATGGGCACCATTTCTCCCACTAGAAAGTAGCCTGAGGGGCAGCCAGGCAGCACAGGCTCCACGACAAGCAGATATCTTGACTTTCTGAGGTGTAAGAGTCATCCCTGCATCCAGCTGACAGGAAATTATCAGTTGAGAGCTGCATTTCTTCACCAGGGACTATAATTCTCATTGGGCACCGGGCCTAGACTACTTCTTGGATCTTGCAGAGGCTTCTGTAAGTGACACCAGCACCACTCATGCGACCTGTAACACCAATCATCACATCATAGGAAATGCTGTGCTTAACCAACTCAGCAGTCGGCCAGAGAACCACGATGGAGAGGGGTCCTGGGGTGCCTTGATCAGCACAGCTGGAGGTGCCCCTTAACCACAACCTGGGTCTCAGCATGTGAAAGCCTGACATGGAGACCGACCTAAAGATTGACTCTGCTGAACTTGAGAGGAACTTGCTCAGAGCATTTCTTCTAATGCTTAAAGGTACCTTATAGGCACTATATGAATTAACTTCCTCATTTTTTCAATTAGGTACTGTCATACGTTTCTTTTTCGGGAATTTTCTTCTCAAACTCATTCAAACCCAGAATGTTTTCACTAGATAGTACTTCCCAAACACTGAACTAGAACTTAATCTGAAAAAAATTCTTCATGACATGAGATTCTTAAAATTGTTCCTTTAAAAAAAAAAAAAAAAAGCACAAAATTATACTATCACAAGAATCCTCAATAAAACTACAACAATTTTACTTTAAGACATTCCGGTTTTTACAAAGTGCAAAGGCAGTTGATATTATGGTTAGTTATAAAAGGAACTTTAAAGTCCCATTTTAATAGTTTCTTTCCCAAAATTTTATGAACATTTTTGAAATCCATTAAATCCCACAATATGCCCATCGGAAAGATAAAGCTGGTATTTTTTCCATGGAAGTAGAGCTCAGAACATGAGATTTTAAGTTGGTGATTCACCCAGATCCTTCAAGACAGTGTCCAACCAGAATCACATCAGCACCTTGTTCCCCGTTCTAATTTGACACTGTAACTACAGCTATTTTTAAAGAGTAGAAAAAAAAAAACATAAAAATGATCTTAGGAAATTTTATAGTATAAAGACATAGGAACTAGGAAAGTTTCTGGATATTTTTCTGTGGAATGGGAAGGAACTTGAAACTTAACCTTTCAATTCATGATAAAACTATAGAACACTGTGCACATAAAACATAAGAAGTAACAGATACAATGCCTGACCAGCCAAAGGTCTTGACTGTAGCTAAATGAATCACGCTGGAACAAAAGTCCTGTGCATTTGTGTTGTTCTGGGGCAGATGCAGAAATGGCCTTGGTGGATTCCAAAGTATTAACATTCTGTCCGCTAATGCTCAGCTAGAATTATGACTGTAAACTGAGAACATGCTTCAATTTGTATTTTACTTTTTATTTTCTCTTCCTGAAAGCTATAGCAAAATGGCAATCTTTAGACTTAAGCTCCTCCATGGATCATCACAGAAGCACACAAGAACAAACGACTTCATCAGCTTGACGTTTCTAGTCCAAAGTCCAGATGTCATCGTTAGTTTTAAGACATAAACAGTGGAAAGTACCTAAACTAAGTGAGCAGCCGCGTGCGATGGCTCACGCCTGTAATCCCAGCACTTTGGGGGCTGAGACAGGTGTATCACTTGAGGTCAGTAGTTCGAGACCAGCTTGACCAACATGGTGAAACCCCGTCTCTACTAAAAATACAAAATTAGCCGGGCATGGGGGTGCATGCCTGTAATCCCAGCTACTCAGGAGGCTGAGAGTCAGGAGAATCGCTTAAAGGGAGGCGGAGACTGCAGTGAGCTGAGATTGCGCCACTGCACTCCAGCCTGGGCAACAAGAGTGAAACTCCGTCTCAAAAAAAAACAAACCCCCAAAAAAACTGAGCAATGGAAAGCTTATGACTAGTCACACTTACAATAGACACAAATGATTTATAGACAACAACATGTTAGTGGCTGGGCGCAGTGGCTCACACTTGTAATCCCAGCACTTTGGGAGGCCAAGGCGGGCGGATCACTTGAGGTTGGGAGTTCGAGACCAGCCTGACCAACATGGAGAAACCCCGTCTCTAATAAAAATACAAAATTAGCCGGGCGTGGTGGTGCATGCCTGTAATCCCAGCTACTCGGGAGGCTGAGGCAGGAGAATCACTTGAACCCAGGACGCAGAGGTTGCAGTGAGCCAGGATCGTGCTATTGCACTCCAGCCTGGGCAACAAGAGCGAAACTCTGTCTCAAAAAAAAGAAAAAAACATGTTAGTGATTCAAATTATGTTGCTAGTTTTATAGGCAATGTACTGTCACTGAATGTGACACTTCGCAAAACCAAATTAATCTTTCCAGAGTGTTTTAAAAAAATAGGAAACCATACTGTTATTCTAGATAAATCAGAAGTTCAAACATGTTAAGAAAATCATGCAAGAAAAGAAACTAAGGCACAGAGACATTTTAAAATAGAGAACAGAACAGACTACAAAATCTCTGCCTAAGGCTGATTCTTACCAGAATCTAAGTCCAACTGCCACCTGGCACAGTACTCCCTAAATCCCCCAAATCATAACCACCATATAAGTTCATTTACAGGCTTTTTTTTTTTTTTTTTTTTGAGACAGCTTCTCACTCCGTTGCAATGGTGCCACCTCGGCTCACTGCAACTTCCACCTCCCAGGTTCAGGCGATTCTCCTGCCTCAGCCTCCTAAGTAGCTGGGATTACAGGCACCTGCCACCATGCCTGGCTAATTTTTTTTGTACTTATAGTAGACACAGGGTTTCACCATGTTGCCCAGGTTGGTCTCCAAGTCCTGACTTCAAGTGATCCACCCGCCTTGGACTCCCAAAGTGCTGGGATTACAGGCGTGAGCCGCCGTGCCTGGCCTGACAAATTTTTATAATGTAACAGTGACCACTAATTTTAGGAGCCATTTCTGCTAACTGCATCTCTGAGGATAGGTGGTGGAACACCATGTCAATTTACATTTATCTAGGAAGAAAGAATTCTTCAACATGACAGTTTAAAAATTTGTAATTATTCCTTTTGGCCCGAACCACCATCTTCCAGTAATTTGCCAAAATTATGAACAAAAGGAAAGAAGAGAGGCACCTGATATATTTCCTCTAAACCTTTTAGAAAACCTGGAGTTGTCCCTTTGCCCATATATATGTGTATCTGTAAAGAAAGGTGATATTGTAGACATTAAGGGAATGGGTACTGTTCAAGAAGGAATGCCCACAGATGTTACCATGGCAAAACTGGAGCAGTCTATAATGTTACCCACATGCTGTTGGTATTGTTGTAAACAAGGTAAGGGCAAGATTCTTAAGACAATTAATGTGTGTTATGTATAGAGTATACTGAGCACTCTTAAGAGCCAGGACAGCTTCCTGAAATTCGTGAAGGAAAATGATTGGAAAAAAGGAGGAAGCCAGAGAAAGGTGTCTGGGTTCCACTAAACGCCAGCCTGCTCTACCCAGAGAAGCGCACTTTGTGAGAACCAATGGAAAGGAGCCTGGGCTGCTGGAACCTAGTCCCTATGAATTTATGGAATAATAGATGTTAAAAAATGATAATTAGATGGCAAAGAACTTTCTAAGGACAAAATTATTTATATCCACTTTATCCCATAAAATATTTTAGGTGGGTTATGAAGTTATTTATATATACCCACATTTTAAAAATATACTAGAAGAAAATACATACTTTAGCTACTATCTAAATAGCATTGAAACCAATTTAAGTTGGAACTGACTTGCTTATAAGTTACAATAAAAACTTGAAGACCGAGTGTGGGTGTCTCATGCCTCAAATCCCAGCACTTTGGGAGGCCGAGGTGGGAGGATGGCTCGAGGCCAGGAGTTCAAGACCAGCATGGGCAACATAGAGAGATCCTGTCTCTGAAAAATCAGCTGGCTGTGGCGGCACCTGTCTGTAGTCTAGCTACTTGGGAGGATCACTTGAGCCCAGGAGTTCAAGGTTACAGTAAGCTGTAACTGTACCACTGCACTCCAGCCTGGGACAAAAAGAGATCCTACCTCTTAACAAAAGTTGATAGATAAAACATGTGAAATTCCAGTCTAAAGAAGTTTAATTAAACCTTCACCTGCAGTTACATTTTCTTTTTTTGTTTTATTTTTGAGACAGGGTCTCCCTCTGTTGCTCAGGCTGGAGTGCAGTGGCGTGATCTCGGCTCACTGCAACCTCTGCCTCCCCGGGTTCAAGCAATTCTTGTGCCTCCGCCTCCTGAGTAGCTGGGATTAAAGGTACGTGCCACCACACCGAGATAATTTTTGTATTTTTAGTAGAGACGGGGTTTCACCATGTTGGCTAGGCTGGTTTCGAACTCTTGACCTCAGGTGATCTGCCCACCTCGGCCTCCCAAAGTGTGGGATTACAGGTGTCAGCCATGGCGCCCAGCCAACAGTTACATTTTCTAGACTAGAGGTCTAGAACGTCCCTTAAATTGCTAATCCTTTAGGAAGGCAGCCTACTACCTTCACTTTCTCAGGACCAAAATATGCAAGTTTTCTTGCCATACTATTGACACCACTCACACTCTCTGCTACGTCACAAAGCTCCACATGGAAGAACATAAAATGACCCACTTGCCTTTAGAAATCACTCCCGCAATCTTGATAGTTATTTCTTTTGAGCACACATTAAGAGAATGAGATTCTGTTGGAATTGATAAAGCAGCTAGCTTTACTTAGATTGTGAGGACCAATGTTATAAATCCATACCAGAAACTGAATTAGTGATGCAATGTCAAAAAAATCTTTTTTTTTTTTTTTTTGAGACAGAGCCTTGCTCTGTTGGCCAGGCTGGAGTGCAGTGGTGTGATCTCAGCTCACTGCAACCTCCATCTCCCGGGCTCAAGCAATTCTCCTGCCTCAGCCTCCCGAGTAGCTGGGATTACAGGTGTGTGCCACCACATCTGGCTATTTTTTTTGTATATTTAGTAGAGACGGGGTTTCACCATGTTGGCCAGGCTGGTCTCAAACTCCTGACCTCAGTAATCCGCCCGCCTGGGACTCCCAAAGTGCTGGGATTACAGGTGTGAGCCACCGCACCAGGCCGGAATGTCCAAAAATTCAAGGTGAATTTTAACATCTGGAAATTTCTCCCTTTAGAAACACAATCAACTTTTTAAACTTTTCCAAAGACCAACTATTTCAGGTTATATTTGAAAGAAAAAGACTGATTAAATACATCACGTATCTAAGGCCTAAAGGTAGAAACAAATACAATGATGGTTACTTTTCTGTAGTATTCAACAGATAAACTTTACTGGGCACAACTGTCCGTTTTAAAAGAATGCAGCTTAACTCTCTGCAGGAATACATTCTGAAAGCAGACCTGCTGTTTAAGTCACTACTCATCTAGCCATGAGCTTAGACTGCAAACTCCAGCACCATGTTTCACAAATGAACTAAGAAGACAATTTAGTGTTCATGAACACTAAGACAATGCAAAAGCAAACTTAAAACACAGATTTCTCCCTTCGAACTGGGCGCAGTGGCTCATGCCCACTGCACTTTGGGAGGCCAAGGCAGGTGGATCACCTGAGGTCAGGAATTTGAGACCAGCCTGGCCAACATGGTGAAACCCTGTTTCTATTAAAAATACAAAAATTAGCCGGGTGTGATGGCAAGCACTTGTAATCCCAGCTACTCGAGAGGCTGAAGCAGGAAAATAGCTTGAACCGAGGAGGTGGAGACTGCAGTGAGCCGAGATCACACCACTGCACTCCAGCATGGGTGACAGAGCGAGACTCCATCTCAAGAAAAAACAAACACACACAGATGTGTCACTTTATTCATAAAAGTTAGATGTATAGTCTTCTCAATCACAATAAAGTAGAAAATGTGAAACTTAACACTGCTTATTACAATTTTTATATACGCTGGAAGATGCTAGTGTTGTTAAAAAAATGTAACAACTAAAATCTTCCTAAAAACGAACATTATATAACAAGCAAAATCGACTGTGTGGAACTGAAAGCGTAATCTCAAACATCAAAAATAAAGCCAGCCGGGCATGGTTACTCACACCTGTAATCCCAGCACTTTGGGAGGCTGAGGCGGGAGGAACACTTGAGTCCAGAAGTTTAGGATGAGTCTGAGAAACACAGTGAGACGCCTTCTATGGAAAAAAAAAGAAAGAAAGAAAGAAAGAAAAAAACAAAGCAAAACATTGTAAGGCCTTAAGTGACACCCAATGATGACAGGCCGGCAGAACAGCGGCAAGCCCTGTGCCAGGCATAGGCCTGCACTGTGCTTACTTGTCTTTGACACACTGCTCTCCCCTACAGGACTGCTCTGAAAATGACCAGTTTTGTCCTTAGTAGCATCCATCAGATTTAGATTAAATTAAGAATCTAGTGGCTACTTTAATCTAGTGGTTAAAGCTACTTTACCATAGTTATTACAGAAAAACTGGAAGTAACATTTTGTTAAAACCAGGTCCCCAATAAATAAAACAAAGAGTAAACACACTACAGGATAAAGACTGACTTTAGGAAAAAGACCTACTGCTGATGTCATTTCTCTAACAGTCATCAGACTTTTCTATGAGAAGACCAGAGGCTCACACTTGTATACACGGTGTGCAGGTGCAGGGAAGACCAAGGAAAGCAGCTATCCAATTTTTTACAAAGCCACAGAAAGACAAGTTCGAGGAAAAAGCTTTAGAGTTATTTTCACGATCTGTATCTGAAGACAATTCACAATGCTGCCACTCAACCCTGGGTTGTTAACAACTGTTACTTATGTTAACATCAAGGTTTTTTTTTTTTTTTTTTTTTTTTTTTTGAGACAGAGTCTTGTACAGACTCTGTCGTCCAGGCTGGAGTGCAGTGGCACGATGTCAACTCATTGCAACCTCTGCCTCCGGGGTTCAAGCTATTCTTCTGCCTCAGCCTCCTGAGTAGCTGGGATCACAGGCGTGCGCCACCATACCCGGCTAATTTTTTTGTATTTTTAGTAGAGATGGGGTTTCACAATTTTGGCCAGGCTGGTCTCGAACTCCTGACCTTGTGATCCATCCACCTTGGCCTCCCAAAGTCCTGAGATTACAATAGGCATGAGCCACCGCGCCCAGCCCAACATAAAGGTTTTTAAAAGGCTTTCTGTCCTTTCACATTATAATCTGCTTCAGTAATTCCAACATAGAAACAGACAATTTTAAAGTTATGTATAATCTGCTTACCCTATTAAGGATTTTAGGTAGTTTGTGTGGTATATAAAGCTCTTAACTTTCCCTCCAGAAAGCATACACTGAAAATAATGAGAAAGAGGATGGTAAAAGCAGAGCCAGGAGTAAGCCTCCTCTCTCACTGAACAGTCAACGTAAAAAAACAAATGCACAGCAAGGCCCCGCACTTGTGTGTCACCTCAGAGCTGACAGGGGCCGACGCACCACTTGGTCCAGGGCCCTCACTTGAAAATTAAGCAGAAAGAATGCCAATGTCATGTTTAGGCAAACTTATGTGCCATGACATTATTAAAAAACCGTCTGCTACTTGGTTTACCAAAACTAATCATAAGGGCAGACGAAGACTCTAGGAATGGCTGGAGAAGTAACTTAAAGACTCAATGAATTCTCTCAACTCCACATGCTGCCTAAAACTTACCAGTATATGACACAGAACAAACTCATTACTATAAAAATTAAACATAAGATTGTAGGTTATGAGCAAAAGAAATCTAGGCTTTTTAAGTCTCCTGTATGGTTAAAAAAATTAGGTTTATGAAGATATTACTTTCATGATATATTCAAAGTGTCTTTAAAATATAGTTATCTGGCTGGGTGCCGTGACTCACGCCTATAATCTCAGCACTTTGGGAGGCTGAGAAGGGTGGATGGCTTGAGCCCAGGAGTTCGAGACCAGCCTTGGCAACATGGTTGAAACCCTGTCTCTACCAAAAATACAAAAATTAGCCAGTCTCATAACCCAGTCTCAAAATAAATAAGCAAATGAATAGATTTAAAAGTTAAAATAAAGTATCTATATTCTTGTGATGAAAAGTTATTAAAATTTCTTCAGCATACTTTCTCTCCAAAAAAGACATCATTATTTTTATTTTTTTAGTTATGGAAAAAAAATTTTTTTAAGTTCCGGGATACATGTGCAGAATGTGCAGGTTTGTTACATAAGTATATGCGTGCCATCGTGGAGACATCATTTATTTTTTAAGCACAAAAATAATTTTGGGTTATAATTCTTAGCATACAGAGACACAGATGCCTACATTCTAATGACTAATATAAAACCTTTTATTTGGCAATTTGGAAATAAACACTTTTTAGATATTAACTTATGAAATAAGGTTACAGAAAATTATTCATAGAAAATATTACACTATAGATAGATTACTCAAATCACTCCAATGAAGTAATTTAATTGAGGTGTTCATAAAGCAGCTCAGAGTCTGGGCACAAAATAGAGATCCGAGTCTTCATTCCCCTATAATCCTGCGTGAGATACTCAATCTCTGCCTCTTCCTCAAAAGACCATTAAGAACTAAACAAAATAGTGTGGAAAGTGCTTGGCAAGGTACTTATTAAGCATTTATGAATGCTTTATTAGTACCAAATGCTTTTGTCATCACAGAGTTTAATTGTACCAAGAGAAAAAACAAAAATTCTCCAACAGAGTGATGACTGCTTTAAATAGGAGAGTTGATTCATTAGTTTACAAATACTAGTTATCAAGTTTCAAACTTCAGACTAAACTTGCATTGTTATACTTTTGGGGCAATATTTACAGAGCTGTACCCATGACAGATAACACAGACAACGAATAATCTACCTTCAGCAAGGAAGGTCAGAAAACCCAGACTCAAGAGAGGCACCTGTGCTTCCCAATGGCTCATTTCCTCCTTGAACTGCAGCCTTCTTCCACCTAAGCCGGAGTAGACCCTGCCTTCAGTCCACCTCAGTAACCTCCATGGACTTGGAGCACAGGCACTGCACTGACACAAACCTAGAAGCCCAGCGTCCCAAAGCCCAAGTTTGCATTCATCCCTCACCAAGTATCAACCATTCTCCCAAAGGCAGGTAAATATCCCAGACTTAAGCATGAGATCCTTAGGCCAAAATGAACTGGGAAACATTAAAAAAAAAAATCTTATTAAAGCATGCCATAAATTCCACTTTTTACCTCACTGATTAAAATAATCAAGAAAGATAAAACATACATAGGTGTTAATATTAGGTTGGTGAAAAAGTAATTGCATTTTTTGCCATAAAAGCAGTGGCAAAACTGCTATTACTTTGCACCAGCCTATATTACTTTCATTTTTTTGTATCCTAGCATTGAGAAATAGTGATTTTTCACTATAGAATCCCATTGTTTATTATTTATGAGTAAAAGCATTATAAGAAATATTCAAAGCAAGAATACTTGTGAAAAGTATAAAATACCCATTATTTAATTATATTTAAAAGAATTTTTTTAAGTTTAAGATCTTGTAAGTTAAACTTTCTCAATGTCAAATTGCAAACTTCAATATTTAATATATGTGTGATATTGATGACTGCCTCCTCTTCTTTCAGGTATTATTGAATGTTATCAAATAAAAATTCTATTTCTTTCTATGCATATCTGACATTTACATGTGGTGAAAAGGTTACTTGGCCCAAAAAACTTTTCAGAATCAAGTTTAACACATCACATGTTGCTCATCAGCACAAACTTTACAGTCAGGAGTTGCACATAAAGGGTTTATTTTAAATGTTTTAAGGATAAGATAGAGTTACATCATAATTATAAAAATTACTTACAGAATTAACAGATTTATATTGTGTATACTTCTAAATGCAGAGAACAGGGAACTGTCTACACATTGTATAAAATAAAATTAAAATTAAAAATGAATTCAAGCTTGAAAGATGAGGTCATTTACCTAATTTTAAAATGTGAACACGAAGACCTCTGACCTATACACATTCATTCCAACTGCACTAATGATGGAAAAACACAAAGAGCGCAGCATTTCCAAGGAACCACAGACATTTCAACCATAATTATTTTGTTATAATAATTGTTCTGTTTTGTCTTTGGAGAACTTTCATTTTGTTAAGACAATCAGCTTAAGAGTGTTTTCAGGCACTACAATTTGTAACAATCGGAACAGTCTTCTAATGGGTCTACAGTGTTCAGAGATTGAAGCCCAATGCACTTCGTGGTTTGGCACATAAAACAATAAAAGAAATGAAATCTGGTTTAGAAGTAACTGTGATTTTTTTTTAAGAAAACACAGTCCCTTCAAATGCTGCATGACATTTACAACTGGAAAATCACCTTCTGTTGGCACTACATTTGCTTCACCAGTGCATTTTTATCCTAAAACCACTAAAACGGCACAGTAAGCAAATATACAGGAAACTGAAAACAAATAAAAATAAAGAAAACAAAAAAACCTAAATATCTTTAACATGCAATTTTAGTCAGTTACATTGAACATTCTACTTAGAATAGAGCATGCAAAAAAGGATGGTCTGCTTTTAAGATTTTTCTCTGAAGTTTTACGTGGCAGCCTGACATCACACACGCACGCACACACAATACAATAATACTAGAGCAGGTAAATGAGAAAGGCCGATAAATTTTATACATAGATTCATGTCTTGTATTGTCACAAGTCCCATGATACTTTTGGAAATTAATGTTGAATTCCTGGAACAAGGAACCAACATTCAGATACCAGAAAAATGCAAGCAATGCATGCAGATCTGACACATGAGCCTAAAATGAAGCCCAAGATACAAGGGCTTGGGAGCAGAATTAGTCATAGCGTCATTACATGTGGTGTAAGTCACCAAAAGAAAGACAGAATGGGGGAAAATGGGGAGAAAAAAAAACAAACCTTCCCTTTCCCTCAGCCCTAAAGGCAATAAATGAACAATGATTAAACTCATCGTCATCATCACCATCATCATGTTGCATTCATCTAGAAACTGGGAGACCATGTGGTATAAAAAAAGTCATTAAAGTTGCTTGCAGAAAAACCACAATGCAAGTCATTAAGTAATGCTAGAAATGTCTCAATTGACCCAACCCTCAAGATACTTCAAAATGTACTTTATTTTTCCACGCAAAGTTACCGAGCCAAGTTCTGCACAGTTGGTGCATGCTGGACACACTTGCAAACTCTTGCGCTGTAATGTCAGTCTGGACTCTGGGAGCCAGGCTCAGCTTTGAGATTTACATGCAGGGACTCTTAAGAGTCAACAGGAAAACACATAACAGATCTGTAGAATGACACCTGTTCACATACGAGAAGCACCTATGACTTGGGTATCACACTGCTTTCAGAAGCTTGTCCCTGGCTGCCCACAGTGAAGCACGAGGGACAGAGCGACTGCAGCTGTGGACAGAAAACTGAGGTACTGTGTTTACATGGTGAGTGGTCGTTACCATCCAACAGCACAAGGCACAAAAAATGGGCATCAAGCAAACCATGCATAACGAGGCCTGGAAACCATCAAGAACAGCCACAAAAGAGGTCACTCAGACCTCTGATTCAAACTTCTGGTGTTTGAGTGACAAGCATGCACGTTTAGGCTCTGCCCAAATATCAGGGAGGATTTCCAATCTCCACAAGAGACTGGTTTCACATATGGCCTTTCTCCTGGCTGTCAAACCACCAGGGTTCCTCCAAAACAAAATGAGAGCAGCTGTTTTGCTGATCAACCAATCACACTAGCAGTTCTATTTCAGTTTAAAACAACCTTGCAGGAATAAACCACATAAAGACTCCGTGGCTAAGGGCTGCTATTACTTACACCTACCAAGCGAACACAAACGGCTGGCTCTTCTATGGTAACGCTTCACTGGCATGCAAACCCCAAGGGGCCACTGAATGGAATGAATCCACATGAACAGCATACCTGGAGCAGGAACATGCACCCCACAAGAGGTGTCAGGAGACTAAGCTGCTGTTTGTCTAGACATTCTTTGTGAGGAAAAGCCAGGGGTAGGCAGGAAGGGGTGGGTTGAAAGTCTCTGACCATAATCATACATTAGCAATAATAGTAATAAAACTTTAAAAGTCCCAGAGAGCTTGTTAGAAGGCAACAATGCCACTCAAAACTTATACTTCCAATATAAAAGCATTGTATTCTTCCAGAAACTTAACCAAAAACACACAAACCAGTGATGGATTGTTGCCTTTTAAATCCATGTACTGAAATCCAGATTACTGACTTGTACACAATGGACCATATGTGCTGTCCAAAATACACCTACATTACACTGTGTGGAACAAGAACCTGGGCTTTGCAAAAAAGAATTTATGATTAAAATGTAACCCCCCCCCAAAAAAAAATGAAGCTTAGAATTAAAGGTAGCCTTTTACCCAGATTGTTCACCAGATTGTAAAATTCTAATATGGGTCATTAACTGTTCACAAATAATTCATATTTGGACTTATGGTTTAAGGGCTCCAGATTGAAAAGGTGCTCTGAACTTCTGATTTTTTTTTTTTAAACAAGCTGAATGTTCCCATATGGTTCCTGTGCCCAAAGTTTACTTTTAAATAAAGAGCAGTGATATCATATCCATGACTGACTTGGGTAAAGCACTCCTGTTAAACTCAAGAAAATTATGTCACCCCCATCCTAATCCACAAAGACTGCCAGTGGGGTGTGTGTGGTGTGTGGTGTGTGTGTGTACACTTGTATCTGTGTGTATATATTATATATGTATACACACATATAGATATAGGTAGATACAGATACATACATCTCAAAAAAGGCAATAACGAAAACATCAAACTATGCTTGCATTGTGGCGGCAGAATAAGAGAGTTAGGGTGAGGGGGAAAATGGTTAAGATCTATTACAATTTTAAATGACTATGATACTAGCTTAACTTTTACCAAACTTGCCTGTAACTCCCCTCGAAATAGACAGACTTCTTTTAAAAGAAAGGGGTTCTCCTTACACAAAATGCTTTGTGTTCACATCAATCTGTACTATTCAGAACAAAACCAGTTCTGCTGGCAGAGATTGTGGGTTCGCAGGGACATTTAAGCTTTCATTAAACTGGAAAGCAATCAAGTCTTTATGTCTACAAATAATACATTTCATAGTTCCACAAATTTGGCAGAGTTTGTGATGACATCTAGGATGTTTTCACCAAATCGTAGACATAAATATGGAAATCATCATCAAACTTGATGAAATAGACGGAGGGCTTGGCTTCTACTTGATGAATGACCATGCCAGTCCTTTTCGAGCCATCTTCTTTGGCATATTCCACTTGTTTGCCTACCAGGCTGTCCACAACTTCTCCTGGTTCCCTTTCTGCTGGAGGTGAATCATCTATATTAAAAAAAAAAAAAAAAAAAAAAAGAGAGAGAGAGAAAATTTCTAAGTCAATTTTTAGATATAAATCAACTCACATATTTATTTTCATAACTTAAAAAAAATTTTAATAGCCTGAATTCATGATTATCTAGACCAGGAGTCAGCAAACGTTTTCGTAAAAGACAAGACAGTAAATATTTCAGGCTTAGGGTCATATGGTCTCTGTCCCAACTGCTGAACTCTGCCACTGTAGCACAAAAGCAGCCACTGATGATATGTATATAAACAGATGTGGCTGTGTTCCAATAATAAAACTTTTTTTCATAGTTTGCCGACCTCCATCTAGATATATGAACAATTTTGAAAATCATAACCAAAAATTTCTTTGGCCCATGTTTAATCTGTAGCTGCACTTAAATGAAAATAAGTTTGAGTGGCTTTGAAATATAATTTGAAAGCAGACAATTCCTACAGGGATTACTGAGAATATGGCACACATTTAAAATGCCTAAGTACCATTGGTTTTACTCTGTGAATCCTTAAAGCTTCTTCCCCCTCAACTTCACTGCATTTCACATCATCTTCCTAACTCAGTTCCAAAATTTAAGCTTTCCATGCTTTAAAAATTGGTGCTGAATGAACTTCAGCCCAGGACAACTACAAGGGAATCTCTGAGGATGGCACAGGCATCTGTACTGTTTAAAAGGTCCCCAAGATTAATGTACTGCCTCTAGCCTCTAAGAAAACACACAGAAACAGCAAACCATCACCACCAACAACAAAAAAACAAAGTAAAAGAAAAAAAAGAGAGGGGGTTTGCTAGGCAATTATAATTCTATTTTAAGAAACTCTGCATGGGTTCTGAAAAACTCGAAGCTCTTTTCCTCGTAGTAGCAGGTGGCCTTCAGGTAGGGCAACCAGAGGATCCAGCTACATAAGACAGTCCATGTTATCCTGGCACAATTGGTAGTAATGTCATTTTACTCTCACAGGTATCCTGGTGTAGACCATATAATGTACATGTATTAATAGTAGTCTGCCTCTTCGGTTACAATAAATTCTCTCACTGAATGACAATCCAAAAACTGCTACTGTGATCTCTGGTACTAAGAGTCACAAGAAATAAAAATAAAACATCTGAGCATAATCAATTCTTTTAAAAGAAATAAAGAAATATAAGCTGAACTCTTTTCTTTAAAAATTCTCTTCCCTTAAGCAGTATCATCATACTGCCATATTTTTGTGGCACGTTTACAAAAGAATTACAAATACACAATCGCACGTGAATTTTATAGTAACTCAGCTAACCAAGGGAGTCATGTAGAGGCCTGTTTTACCATCAGAGCGGGTACGCGACCAGGACCCTTTCAGAAATCATTAGATCAGAGCATCACCACTGTTTCTAAAGGTAATAAGCTTCCATAGCGCGTGCACACACACACACACACAAGTTTGGAGAATTAAAGGAGAGGGAAGATCAAAAAATGGCTAGGAAAAGCGATGCAGAATTGCAGACGCCCTTGCATTTCCTATGATTAGGTTAACAGGACTTGCTCTATTTATCTATAAAAAAATGTTCAAGTCACCTCATACAGGTTGGAGAAATGCTTTTTAAAGAAATGTTCTCATGACAAATTCCTGAGTATGTAAGTTGCATTACCCCTTTATAACAAATGTACACAATTTTTTTTTTCTTTTTGAGACGGAGTCTTGCTCTTCTCGCCCAGGCTGGAGTGCAGTGGTGCAATCTCGACTCGCTGCAACTTCTGCCTCCCGGGTTCAAGTGATTCTTCTGCTTCAGCCTCCCGAGTAGCTGGGACTACAGGCGCCCTCCACCACACTTGGCTAATTTTTTTATTTTTAGTAGAGACGGGGTTTCACCATATTGACCAGGCTGACCTCGAACTCCTGACCTCAGGTGATCCGCCCGCCTCGGCCTCCCAAAGTGCTGGGATTACAGGCGTGAGCCACCATGCCCAGCCCAAAAATTTTAAAAATATGTATTGAAGAAGTAGAAATTCAAGGCCAGATGAGGAAATTAGTATGTTAACTAACTTATTCATAGGAAGAATTTTTTTAAAAAAAGAAATAAAGATGACTGACGCATGGCTAATGTATGGAGAGGGCCTACCAGTTACATCTGTCCAAGGCCAGAGATTCATGTGTTTGAAGAAAGGCCACTGAGTAGTTTTTAAAGGAACAAGCTTATCCAAAAGTGAAATTAAGAAAACAATTCAATTCATATGCACAATGGCATCAAAAAGAATAAAATCCTTAGAAGTAAATTTAATAAAAGAAATGTGGAGCCGGACGCAGTGGCTCACGCCTTTAATCCCAGCACTTTGCGAGGCCAAGGTGAGAGACACAAGGTCAGGAGATCGAGACCATCCTGGCCAACACAGTGAAACTCTGTCTCTACTAAAAATACAAAAATTAGATGGGCGTGGTGGCGTGTGCCTGTAATCCCAGCTACTCGGGAGGCTGAGGTAGACGAATTGCCTGAACCTGGGAGTTGGAGGTTGTAGTGAGCCAAGATCGTGCCACTGCTCACCAGCCTGGCAACAGAGCAAGACTCCATCTCAAAAAATAAATAAATAAAAAGTGGCCAGGCGCGGCGGCTCACCTGAGGTCAGGAGATCGAGACCAGCCTGGTCAACATGGTGAAACGCCATCTCTACTAAAATACAAAAATGAGCTAGGCGAGGTGGCATGTGCCTGTAACCCCAGCTACCCGGGAGGCTGAGGCAGGAGAATCGCTGGAACCTGAGAGGCAGAGGCTGCAGTGAGCTGAGATCAAGCCATGGATTAGAAGACTTATAAAGTCTTGTTAACATTGTTAAGAGGGCAATACTCTTCAAAACTGATCTACAAATTCAACATAGTCCCTGTCAGAATCCCAGGTGACTTCTTTGTTCTGACAAGTTGATTCTAAAATTTATATGAAATTGCAAGGGACCCAGAATAGTCAAAACACTCCTGAAAAAGAAAGGAGGGGCCGGGGTGCAGTGGCTTACACCTGTAATCCCAGCACTTTGGAAGACTGAGGTGGGCAGATCACTTCACCCCAGGAGTTTGAGACCAGCCTGGCCAATATGGCAAAACCCCATCTCTACTAAAAATACGAAAGTTAGCCCAATGTGGTGGCGTATGCCTGTAATCCCAGTTCCTTGGGAGGCGGAGGTTGCAATGAGCCGAGATCGTGCCACTATACTCCAGCCTGAGCAACAGAGTGCGACTGTCTCAAAAAAAGGAGGAAAAAAAAAAGCAGGACTCAAACTTCTTGATCTCAAAATTTACCACAAAGCAATGTAATCAAGACAATGCAGCACTGGCACAGCAACAGACATACAAACTAATGCAACAGAATTGAGAGTCCAGAAACACACCCACGTATCTGTGGTCAACTGATTTTCTTTTTTTTTTTTTTTTTTTTTTTTTGAGACAGAGTCTCGCTCTGTTGCCCAGGCTGGAGTGCAATGGTGCGGTCTTGGCTCACTGCAACATCCACTTCCCAGGTTCAAGCGATTCTCCTGCCTCAGCCTCCCGAGTAGCTGGGATTACAGGTGCCTGCCACCACACCTGGCTAATTTTTAGTAGAGACAGGGTTTCCCCGTGCTGCCCAGGCTGGTCTCGAACTCCTGACCTCGTGATCCACCCGCCTTGGCCTCCCAAAGTACTGGGATTACAGGTGTGAGCCACCGCGCAACAAGGATGCCAAAACCATTCAATGGGGGAAAGAATAGTCTTTTCAAAATATGGTGCTTGGACAACTAGATAGGCAGTCACAAGCAAAAAAAAATGAAGTTGGACCCTTAACTTGAACCACAAACAAAAATTAACTTGAAAATGCATCAAAGATCTCTAAGTAAGAGCTATAATTATAAAACTCTTATAAGAAAACGAGGGTAAATCTTTATGACCTCAGATTTGGCAAAAGATTCTTAGGACACAAAAAGCATACTCAGCAAGAGAAAACATAACTCGGACTTCAGAGTTTAAAACTTTTGTGCAAAGATCATCATCAAGAAAGTAAAAACAGCCCATGGAATAGGAGAAAACATTTGCAACATATATCTGATAAAGGTCTTGTATTTAAAAAATTGTCACAATGCAATAATGAAAGACAGATAATTCAATTTAAAAATAGGCAGGGGATATGAATAGACATTTCACCACAGATGATATTAAAAGGGCCAATAGGCCGGGCATGGTGGCTCATGTCTGTAATCCCGGCCCTTTGGGAGGCCAAGGCAGGTGGATCCTTTGAGGTCAGGAGTTCAAGAGGAGCCCGGCCAATATGGTGAAACCCCATCTCCACTAAAAATACAAAAATTAGAAGACATGGTGGCACGCGCCTATAGTCCCAGCTACTGGGGAGGCTGAGGCAGGAGAATGGCTTGAACCCAGTAGGCGGAGGCTGCAGTAAGCTGAGATCACGCCAATGCACTCCAGCCTGGGCGACAGAGCAAGACTCTGTCTCAAAAAAAAAAAGGGGGGGGGCCAATAAGCATATGAAAGATGCTTAACATCATTACTCATCAGGGAAATGCAAATCAAAGCCACAATGAGATACCACTTCACATCCACTAGGATGGCCAGAATCAAAGTAACAGTAACAGTTGGTGAGAATGTGGAGAAATCAGAAGTCTCATACACTGCTGTTGGAAATGTAAAGTGGTATTTCCGTTTTTAAAATTAGCCTGGCAGTTCCCCCAAACGATTAAACATAGAGTTACCATTATGACCCAGCAACTCCACTCCTAGGTATATACCCAAAGGAAATAAAACATGTCCACACAGAAACTTGTACAAAAATGTTTACAGCAGCATTATTCATAATAACCAAGAGGTGGGGAAACAACTCAGATGTGCTTTACTGGATGAATGGCTAATCAAAATGTAGTATATCCATACAATGGAATCGTATTTGGCCATTAAAAGGAATGAAGTACTGATATATGCTACAGCGTGAATGAAATCTCAAAATATGCTAAGGGAAAGAAGCTAGCACAAAGGACCTCACACCATATAGTCCATTCATATGAATGTCCACAACAGGGAAATTTACACAGCAAGTATTACTGGTTGCTTAAGGCCAGGGGGTTCGAAGAATAAAGGACTGACAGCTAACAGATACAAAGTTTTCTTTTGAGGTGATGACAATGTTCTAAAATCGACTGTGGTGAGGACTGTACATATCTGTGCGTATATTAAAAAGTACAGAAATGCACATTTTAAATGGACTAACTATATGGACTAACATGGTCGTAATGGCTCACACCTGTAATCCTAACACTTGTGGGAGGCCAAGGCTGGTGGACTACCTGAGCTCAAGTGTTTGAGACCACCTTGGCCAACATGGTGAAACCCCATCTCTAAAATATAAAACAAAACAAACAAACAAACAAAAATTAACCAGGTGTGGCGGTGGGTGCCTGCAGTCCCAGCCACTTGGGAGGCTGGGGCAGAAGACTCGCTTGAGCGTGGGAGGCGGAGGTTGCAGTGAGCCAAGACCACACCATTACACTCCAGCCCAGCCTGAGCAACAGAGCAAGACTCTGTCCAAAAACAAAAACCACAATAAAGGTTTTCTAGGCCTAATGAAATTAGCCCAGGTCACATCCTCTTCTACCTTACCTGTGTGAACAGACTAGTTGTGGAAATAGCTAAATCACCTGTCTAAACACTGACTCTGTACTCCACTTGCTACTGAAAAGTTAGCAGTCAATCGTTTTCTGAAATTGATGTTCTCTAAATCAGGAGTCCCAGACACCTGGGGCCACGCCGCACAGCAGGAGGTGAGCAGCGGCAAAGAGAGCACTGCCGTCTGAGCTCTGCCTCCTGTCAGATCAGCAGAGGCATCAGATTCTCACAGGAGCACAAACCTTATTGTGAACTACGCATGTGAAGAATCTAAGTTGTGTGTTCCTTATGGGAATCTAATGCCTCCAAAACCACCATATCCACACCCAACCCCCAATCCACAGAAAACTGTCTTCCATGAAACTGGTCCCCGGTGACAAAAAGGCTGAAGATCGCTGCTCTGAAGTTCAAGTATTTACAGATGAAATAATCAATGTCTTGGGATTAGATTCAAAATAATTGCACTGGGGGGACTAACAGATAAAACTAGACAGGCGATGAGATAACTGTTAAAGCTGAGCAGGGTACACGGGGACGTATTTTACTGATCCCTATTCCATCATGTTTTTAAATAAAAGCAAGAAGTAATATGTAGTAGTGTTAATAATTATAAAACAACTTGTATCTTATTACAGAAGCCAAGCAGAACTGACTATCAAATATTTTCTTATCTAACATTTATAACAACTGGATGAAAAATTTCAAAGGCTGTGTTTGTGCATGACTAAAAGAATCATATATCCAAAAATAAAAATGTATCTGCAAAAGAGCCAATCAAATATCTTGTACTGAAGTCCAAATCCCTTCTAATTATCACATATAAAAGTTGCCAATATATACTTACTGGAATCAGGCATAATGCGAAGGTCGCCTTCTTTGTAATCATCTAAGAGTTGGTACATGTACAAGACAGGGTCTTTCTCATAGGTAATGTAAAACCATGTGTTCATGACAGGTGCACGTGCTAAGACCATTCCCCTCCACTCATCTTTAGAACCATCCTCTGTCTCAAACATATGTTCCACTGCTTTGCCAATCATTGTGTCTGCCAAGTGTGCATCGCTGATTCGAGATGTCGCTGGGGATTAAAAAAAAAAAAAAAAAGTTGACAAAGTGTTTCGCTGATTACCGACTATGAAGACTGAATTTACTAAAGAAGGCTACACCTGAAATTTTGTCCATGCAACGTATTAGCAAGCATCAGAATCTGGGAAAGCTTTAAAAAGTACAAAAACCAAAGACAAACTACTGGGCCCCAGCTCAGAGATGGATTCAACAGAATAGAAGTATTTTGTCCCAAGTCAGTTAATTGAAAAAAATATGATTTTTTATTTTTCTGGACTCATCTGCTCTTGGTTCTGTACCCAAATCAAAAGTTTTAATTGTTCATTCAAGGTATAAAATACTGTTTGTTATTGTTTACTTAACAGTTAAATTTTGAGATAATTTCAGACTTACAGAAGAACTGGAAAAATAGTAGAGTTCCTGTATACGGTTCACTTTGCTTCTCCTGTATTAGCATCTTACATAACCACAGAACGTTTATTTAAAACTTAGAAAAGCTATTCAAGGCACAGAGGGTTTTTTTTTTGTTTTTTTTTTTTAAAGAAATTGGTGTTTGTTTTCCTTCAGTCTTATTTCCATTTTTTTATTAAGGCATAGGTTTTTACTCTCTTGCTCCTACAATCTTATTCTTCACTGCAACCAAAGTAATCGTTGTGTCACTGATACCACATTGTGTGATCTAAAATGTTCCCATGCCTTCCCTTTATAATTTGAAAAACAACCAAACTGCTCACCATAGCCCCCAAGCCCTAAAAGCCTTCACGCCTCTGCCCTCAGGTTTCCCATCTTCCTCCTTGTTGTTCATGCGTTCTCTACTCTGCTCTTCTTCCTCTCCCATTAGGACACACTCTCCTCTGCCTGATAAGCTCTTCCCCATACCTTCAGAAGGCCGGTTCCTTTTGGAGTTCTCCTGACCAACAAGGTAGCCCCACAAATCCCAGTCACATTACCCAATTTTACCTCTTAATAACATTCACCATGATCTAAAGTTATCCCACTTTATGTTATTTGTGTACTTGTTAGTTGCTTGTACATCCCCATGAAAGCAGAGACCTTCCCTTTCTTGTTTTATACCTAGATCATAGCAGGTCAGTATTTGTATGATTTAATCAGATACCCCATGTGGTTGGGAGCTCAGGTCTCTGAAATGATAGATTAACGGTCCTAGCCCTTAATATTTTTCAAAAGTGGTGAAAATTATCACCTTCATCTTTTTAATACTGGAAAAACTATGAAGGATCCCATTGGTTTTAAGACTTCTCCAGTCCACAATTTTAGATAACTGTCTTTATACCAAATTTAAACAATTATCTTTAAAAAACAAACAAACAAACAAACAAACAATTAGAGACAAGCACGGTGGCTCACGCCTGTAATCCTAGCACTTTGGGAGTCCAAGGCGGGCGAATCACTTGAGCCCAGAAGTTTGAGGCCAGCCTGGGCAACATGACAAAACCCCGTCTCTACTAAAAATACAAAAAATTAGCCAGGTGTGGCAGTGCAGGCCTGTAGTCCCAGCTACTGAGAAGGCTCAGGTGGTGAATCACCTAAACCCAGAGGTCGAGGCTGCAGTGAGACAAGATGGCGCCACTGCACTCCAGCCTGGGCTACGGGAGTGAGGCCCTGTCTTAACAACAACAAAAACAACAACAACAAACAATTAGCTCTCCTATTTTCCTCATTCAACAAACTTCTATTTCTGTTACATCAAAAGAAACAAAAAAGTGAGATTTTCTTGATACATGTATTGCTATTTAATTTTATCAGCAAACCCTAAACATGTATGGCTGGTTTTAAGTACGCAGTAATAATAAAAAATTACACAGAATTCCCCCCGTGTATGACAGTAAAAAAACCCCACTAGTTTCTTAAAGCCAGTAGATCTCAGACTTAGATCTCAGAACTCCATGTGCATTCTTAAAAATTACTGGCTGGGCACAGCGACTCACATCTATAATCCTAGCACTTTGAGCCCCAGGCAGGAGGATTGCTTGAGGCCAGGAGTTTGAGACCAGCCTGGGCAACATAATGAGATCTCATCTCTACAAAAAGTTAAAAATTAGCAGGGTACTGTGGTGAGTGCCTGTAGTCCCAGCAACTCAGGAGACTGAGGCAGGAGGACTGTTTGAGCTCAACGTGTTGAGACAGCAGTGAGCCCTGATCACACCACTATACTCCAGCCTGGGTGACAAAGCGAGATCCTGTCTCTAAAAAAAAAATTAAAACATAAATGGAAATTACTACAGACCTAAAAAAGCATCTGTTTACATAGATAATGCCTACCAATATTTACTACTTCAGAAAATGAAAAACAAATCTAGAAACATTTATTTAAAAATACCTATATATCAATGCATTTTAAATTAAAAATAACTATTTCCTATCAAAATACATTAAGAGTGGCTTAATTTTACATTTTTGCAAATCTCCTAATGTCTAGGTTTTAAAAAGAACAAGTAGATTCTCATATCTGCTTTAGCACTCAATCTGTTATGATCTGCTCTTTCAGTTCAGGTATAAAATCCAGCCTCTCAAAGATATGATACTGAAAAGAATATTCTAATCGTCTTTCAGATAATTCTAGATATACTTATATGAAACCACAGAATTCAACAGTTAGCTCCTTAAAGGTTAGTTACAATGCAGAATCTGAAACCATTAATAAATCTGTCATACTGTTACATTAAAACTCATGTCTCCAGAACATATAAAGAACTCTCACAACTCAACAAAAATCAAAATAACCTAATTAAAAAATGGTCAAAGGATGTGAGTAGATATTTCCCCAAAGATGATTTACAAGTGGCCAACAAGCACATAAAAAGATGCTCAATATCACTAATCATCAGAGAAATGCAAATCAAAACAAAATGAGGTATCGTATCACACCCATCAGGATGACCACTATGACAAAAACAGTAAATAGCAACTGCTGACTAAGGGATGGAGAACTGGAACCCTTGTATACTGTAGGTAGGACTGGAAAATGGTACAACTGCTGTGGAAAACAGTATGGTAGTTCTACCTAAGAAATTAGAATTACGATACTAAAATTAAAATTATAATTACCATATGATCCAGCAATCCCACTCCTGTGCCTATATCCAAAACAACTGAAAGCAGGATCTCAAAGAAATATCTGCATATCCATGTTTACAGGAGCACTATTCACAATTTTACATGGTACAATTTTACATTCTACCAAGAGGTAGAAGCAATCCAAATGTCCATTAATGGGTGAACAGATAAACAAACTGTGGTATATAGATACAATGGAATGTTCTTTTCAGCCTTAAAGGAAATCCTGTCACACGTTACAACATGAACCAACTTTGAGGACATTATGCTAAGTGAAATAAGTTACTCACAAAACAAATACTGTGTGATTCCACTTCTATGAGATATCTAGAATAGTCAAATTCATAGAGACAGAGTGTAGAATGGTGGTTGCCAGGGGCTGGGAATGGGAGGAAAGGTAGGTTGTTTTGTTTAATAGGTAGAGAGTTTCAGATTTGTAAGATGAAGTAGTTCTGGAGATCTGTTTCAACAATGCGAATGTACTTAACACACTACTGAACTGTACACTTAAAAATGGTTAGGACAGTAAATTTTATGCTATGTTTTTTTACAATTAAAAAAAAAGTAGTTAGTCTTGCACTTTGAATAGCTCTTTCACCAATGCATGATGTGGTACCATGCACTGCTCATAAAGAAAATATTGTGTTCACTAAGTTATGCAAATCTTCCAAATAGATAGTGGGAAACTCCACTGTGTAATTGAGAAAAAGAGAGAGTGAAAAGCGCGAATTACAGCTTAACAAAATGAAAATATTTCTGACCTTGCAAATCTCCTGAATGGGCTTCAGAGAACCCAAGGGTCCCCAGGCCTTGCTTTGGGAACCACTGCTCTGTGACATCACATGCATTCTGGCTGACTGACTTTTTTCTCTAACTTTAGCTTAAGAAAAACATAATTTTAATTATACTCTAATGTACTGCCTGAAGCAATTGCTTCCGACGTAAAACGTAAGTGAAGAGCAAGTAATTTTTTAGACTAAAGTAGGTTGATGCCAAAGTAACTGCTGTTTTGGCCATTACTTTCAATTTCAATGTCAAAAACCGCAATTACTTTTGCACCAACCTAATACCACGAATACTAAAATTAATAACAACTATTAGCTGAATTAGGCATATATATTGCTGATTTACAGAAAAGCTCTTGGGTTTCTTTTTATATTGCTTGAATGTTTACAAAATTACTATTGTTGGAAACAGAGATAATACCAAACTACAAACAACATGGAACCCTTAGTCCCATCACCAGAGATACTTGTACAGTTTCTATCCTTCGATGACAAAAGGACCAACAACCACAGGTCATGCAGCAATATGCAGGAACCTTCAAGTGAGCTAGCTGTCGTCTCAGAAGGGGCAGAGACTAAAATTCTGCTGTTAAGATTTTTAATATGTTAAAGTTTCTTATATGGGAAATGGATTAATGCCATGATCAAGAAGAAATGTAGGATGTGCATCAAGAGGAAGAGCAGGTGATCAGTCACACTTAAGAATAGATGAGAATGTTGAAAATAACAAAGACTTAATATTACTTTTAGGAGTAATAATAAAGATTTAAATTTAAAGAAAGATTTCTTTGAAAACTGAACCATATTTATACAGATGAGCAAGGATTTAGCATTTGATATCTAAAGAGAAGAGTAAAACAAAATAACTTGCTACTAAGGCAGAATTAACTTCCTAAGGAAACTCGTTATATCCCAGGGACACAATGGCACAGTCTGAAGAAAAACAAAGCGAGGAGACTGAACTAATTTCTTCCTGTGACAATTTGATCCCAAAATTCCTACCTCCCAAGTCTAGATCTGCTGAAACTTTATTATTTAATGGTATAGACTTATAAAGACAATTCTAAAAGTATAAACCAATATTTTAAACAAGAGCAGCATCACTGTAATAAGAAAATATTTCAAAATAAATACTTCAAAAAAAAGTAATATTAGTTTGGGTGTATCCCACCCTACTAATAAAATCAGTAATTATTATTTACCTTAGACCTTATGCCTTAAGGAACACTTGCAGGGCAAAACTGGCACTGTATGACATTTAAAAAGAGCCATTCATTTCCACAAACATTGTTCAATCAAGCTCTGTGTATAATAAAGACCACGTTTTGGTTGTTTAAATTTTGGCTCAAAGTACAATTATCATTTACGTTGTACACAAAGATACACTTTCACAGAAAGATTCTAAAGGCACAGCATTCTCTTATCTTTTGTATCTGATGAGATGAGATTAACATATAGGATATTTCAGCTACTGATAACCTTACCCATCAGAGTCCAGAGAACAGTGAGCAAAAATGTTAGAAATAACCGTATTATAAATTATTACGTGGCAAACTTCTTGGGGGGAAAATACACATCTCTATATCCCTCACACAGTTCCTTGAACTGCTTAGGATCCATTTTTGTGGTTTTCGGTGATTTAATATAATGTTTATCAAGAAGGGTGCTTGTGTTCCAATAAAAGTGAAGTATTAATAATGTAAAATAAAAAAAGCATCCAGTTCAATATCATTTTTAAAGTATATAATGCACAAATTATAAAAAGAACTTACCAACTCTATCAGGGAGGACTTCAAGCGCAGAAACTCTTTCATCTTTATTAAGTTCTAGTCCATAAACACAGTCAAATCCATCGTATTTTATAAGATACAAAGAAGGATTTACAGGCACCTGGTCCAGAACGGTTCCTTTCCACTGGGTAACAGGGCCATTCCCCTCTTTCCACCCATGCTGAATCCTGCAGCCTACGATGTTCCGCCGGGGCTGGGAAACAGGTTTGCTCGGACCCACACTGCTCCGATGTTTTCTGTATTCACACATATACACACATAAGGTATTATCTCAAAAGTATGCATGCCTAGATCTAACATAACCGCTGGCTAGCATGATCTCATTACAGATGGTCCCAAAATATGTACAAACTCATGTTTGCCACATTCCTGCTTCAGGTGACTCAAAGTGGTTGTCCTCTACCCCTGTACCAGTGGTGGTGAGTGTGTAACATGGTATGTTAGTAATAGGAGCTTGTTGTGCACCTCAACTGTGTATAGGCAGAAAAAACTACTAGTCAATAGCAACTTAAGCCCTACTATTAAGCATCAGGTTATCAGCTTTCTGAGTTTATTTTAATTCAATCAACTCAAAATTTTCCAAGTTAATTAAAGAAGGACTGATCCGTGAAATACATGTTATCAATAATCACACAGGTATATAGTTTTATATAATATCTACTTCAAGTTAAAAAGAAATGTGTAACTATTCAATTTCACCCATTCCCGTGCCCAAATAATTCTGCCTGTACAAGCTTAACTAATAAAAATAAACTAGACAATTTTCTCTTAAACTGAAGTCCAGACTAGCTTATATCAATGCACTATAGAAACATTACTTGTCTAGAAAACATATAATCTTAAAACTGAAGTTTATAACAATGTAATATTAAAAATTATTGAAACATCAAACTACTTTTTTTCTGGCTTATTATTAGCAATTGAAAAATCCACACAGAATGTTTATAAATAATACACCTGGCTCTTGATATCAGGAAAAAATCTTCATTTCACCTTAAAACCCTGGCTTCTTGGATGCAAGCTGAAGGTCAAAACCAAGATAACAGATGCTGATATACGCCAAGAACAAAAAGACCTGAAAGGAATTCCCTTCCCACAGTTTTATGGGTATAAAGCTCTCATTTCGTACACCATGAATAAAAGTGATTAATATCTGACATATAACACAAATAAGTTTTAAAGAAACAATTTATTGTAGGTTGTAACAGCTAAAACTAAAATTATATATTTTCTAAATAGAAATAATTTACTCTAGACTGGTAACATATATTTAGCTAAGTCAGACGGGAACAGGCCATAAGAGACAATAAGGAGTACTCGCCGCAGAAGGGAAGCTTCTCTCCTGGGGGTGAAAAACTAAGCAAGGGGGTCTGAACCTAACCAAGGAGACTGGGAGGAGATTCACAGGGTTAAGTGCAAGACTGTAAGGCCAGAAAACCCAGGTCTGCCTAAGCCCCTTGGGACTGTGCAAAAACCCAGCAAACCTTCCTTCCAGAAAGACAAAGCCCTTCTGAGTACACAATCCTTACTGACCAGGACAGGACCACAGGGTGAGGAAAGCAGGATTCAGGCAGAAATGAGGGCGGCAGGTCTCAGAAAGTATGACAGAGGTGGCTACCCAGAGAGGTCTTAAGCTAGGAAAGCATTCTTGGAATCCTCTCATTTACATGGGTCTGGAAGCATCATGGTTGGACAACATACGAAAGTATCTTGAGGAGGAAAAAGACTAACAATGTGACAGATGTTCTGACAGGCAGGAGCAGGCCTCAAAAACAGGCTCATTAAGTAGATGAAAACTACTATCTAACACTGAGCAAATGACAGAAGCCATGAAATAGAAACTGTGATGATTAATTTTGTGTGTCAACTTAACTGTGCCACAGAGTGCCTAGATTAAACACTGTTCGTGGGTGTGTCTGTGCATCTGAATCAGCAGACTGAACAAAGAAGATGCCATCACCAATGTGGGTGGCCATAATCCATTCTGTCAAGGGCTTGAATAGAACAAAAGGTAGAGGAGGGAGGAATTTACCCCTTTTTCTTCCTGCTGGCCTGCCTGAGCTGGAACATCAGTCTTCTCCTGCCCTTGGACTGGAACTGACACCACTGGGTCCCCTGGTTCTAGACCTGCAGAATGAATTCCACTTCCAGCTTTCCCGAGGCTTGGCTTACAGACAGCACTCCACGGGACTTCTCAGTCTTCAAAATAGCATAAACCAATTTCCTCATAATAAATCTCCTTCATATTTTATCTATTTCCCAACGATTCTATTTCCCTGGAGAACCCTAACGTAAGAACATGTATCAGGAACAGAAAAGATGAGAAATGAGATCGCTAGACAAGAGAAGATGTGAGAACTACCAAACAAAGTAAAGAATCAATAATTTGAAATTTTTTTTCAGAAATTAAGACTAGAAGAACATGAGAAGAAACAGACACCACGGGAGCATGTGAGGAAAGTGGATGATGAAAAGGGGACAGACGGGGACAAAAGTAAAAAGAATTAAGAGATGGTAACAAATATTCCAACTTCTGTGTAACAGAAGAACCTAAAAACTAAAATCAAAGTTCACAGAAGAGAGTACTAAAAATCGTAATTGAAGAAAACGTTCCTGAAACAAAACACTTGAATGTACTAATGCACCCCACAGGAAAACCCAGAATGACTGGCGCTAAGGCATATCCAAGTCAAATAAACGAATTTTAAAGAAAATAACACCCTTTGGGCATTTACACAAAAGGACCAAATCATGTGTAAGGGATAGACTCAGAATTTGACAGCAACACTCTATGCCAGAAGGCAACAGAGTAATAAACTTAAGGTTCTCAAGGAAAAGAAAATGTGAGCCAAGGATTTGTTCATCAGCCAAGAAGGTACACTGACCTTCAAGTATAAAGGCCGCAAACAAAACTGTAACGAACATGTCAGAAGGCAGGGGATACTGTTCTTATAAAGTTATATGACAATGAGCTTCAGATAATCAAGGAACTCACAGAGAAGGTTCAGTACAGCACTGAGAGAAAGCAATGAATACATTTAACTGTAGAACAAATGGCGGCAAGGAGAGACAATAGTGTGTAACCGTTATCTGTTCTGATATTTCAAATTTAACACAACTCTCAAAAACAGGAGAAAAGAATATGCAAAGCAGAGTAAGTATAGTGAGTGTCTTATAAACTTAGATCAAAAAAGAATTAAAATTAGGATTGTAGAGAGAAAGGAGATGACAAAGAGCTAAATTCAGTATTGTTCACAGTAAGGAACCAATATATATATATAACATAAAAATAAACAAAAAGTCTGTAACTTTACTACTCAGAGGTAGAAGAAAGTTGACTTCTAGACATCTGCATAATCTCTAGTAATATACAGTAACATCCAATTGGCCTCTACGGGAAAACAGCTGGTGAAGGAGATTACATTTCCACTTTAGAATACAAGAATCCTTTGTAGCAATACTTTTTTTCTTAAACTGACAACCAGTTACGTATCTTCTTTTGATTTCTAAGCCAAAGATCCAATGAGTTACTCCCCGTACAGGATCAGGCTTTCTTCATATTTAGTGCAAAGGCTAAGGTTAGTTCCCAAACCTCACTAAGGATAGAATTCAGTCATGTGTCCCATTTTGTAATTTACACAGACATTCCATGATTACTAACAAAATTATAAGCAAATACAGCATCTTCACCCATATGGTGGTTAACTTTGTGTGTCAATTTGGTTACACCACAGTAGTCAGATATGTGGTCAAACACCACTCTAGATGTCTCTGTGAAAGCATTTTTTAGCTGGAATGAACATTTGGATCGCAGACTATGAGCACAGCAGACTGCCCTCATAATGTTGGTGGACCTCATCCAAGAAAAAAACTGGCCTCCTCGGAGGAGGAAGGAATTCTGCCTCCAGACTGGCTGTTTGTGCTGCAGCTTCAACTCTTCCCTGGCTCTCTAGATGGCTGGCCTACCCTATAGATTTTGAACTTGTTCAGTCCCAACTGCATTAGCCAATTCCTTAATATAAATCTTCCCCGCTTCCCTCCTCATGTGTTTTTCTCTCTCTCTCTAGAGGCATGAAATTTTCTACCCTTGATTTTCAAGAAAACCAACATAAACGTGACCTATGACAGCAGAATTTTTCGTTGTCGCTGCTCCCTCCCACACCTGTTAGCAGCATTCCTCTGTAAATGGGAATTATCTGCAGTTGCTCCTGATAATGGCTAGAATCACATTTCAAAATAAGCAGTTTTCATACTAGACACCTCCAAGGAGCAAATAAGGTCTCCTCCCTCTTGAGCATTATACAAGGGGCTTGTATCTGGCCAAGAGTCCTCCTCAAACTGGACCCGGGGTCCTTTAATTCTGGGAATGCATATTCCTCCCTTTTGAACTGATTTTATTTCCTCATCTTCTTATTAAGAGTTAGCCTTTGCTGTGGTAAATGATACTATGAGTCTCATACTTAACATTTTGTTCTGTGTTGTCTACCTGTCTTCTGTTTTCATTTCCTCACTTTCCTCTCTTCCTTCATCTGTGCCACTAGAATGATTGAAGTTTCTTTTCACTAAATAAAGCTTCTAACGCAAATGATGTAACTTGCTTCTAGTCTTCCAACAATTATCTTTAACTTTGCATATATTATACCTAAACTTTCATTTTTCTATTAAAATCTGTGATTAATCAAAACCTATACTTTTCATCCCCCAGCCAAAGCAACACTAAAACCAAACAAGAAAAAATCCTTAGTAAAAGAAAAACTTAAAACCTTACCTGGCTAATTCTACTGCATTGCTGAAATGTAGACTTTTGTTACAAATTGGTATTTTCATTTTGCTACTATCTTAGTAACTTTTTAATTTAGAAACAAGAAAGGTTTTTTGGTTGCTTTTTGCGTAGTATTTTCACATTTTTTTCTCATGTATATTCTGTCTTTCTAGATACATCCTCTGGTAATTCTTTCAGGTAAAGTTCAGGAATACAAACGCTAGATTTTTGCAAGCCTCAAATTATTATTTTGCCCTTATCCCTGAATTGCCTGTGTATACAAATCAGGTTCAAAGTCTTTTTCCCCTCAGTACTTTGAGAGAAAAAAAAAACTTTCATTTTACCATCTAAAATTACAGACAATAGAAGCCAATCTGATCCTTGTTCCTCTGAGGGGCAATTTTCTCTTCAAGGTGTTTTATTTTATTTATTATTATTTTTTGAGAGAGTCTCACTCAGTCACCCAGGCTGGAGTATAGTGGTGCAATCTCAGCTCACTGCAACCTCCACCTCCCAGGTTCACGTGATTCTCGTGCCTCAGCCTCCCTAAGTAGCTGGGATTACAGGTGTGCACCACCACACCCGGCTAATTTTTCCATTTTTAGTAGAGACAGGGTTTCGCCATGTTGGTCAGGCTGGCTCAAACTCCTGGCCTCAAGTGATCCGCCCCACCTCAGTCTCCCAAAGTGCTGGGTCTTCAAGGTGTTTTAGAATTTTCTTTGTTCCTAGACTCTAAAATGTCACAAAGACTTGTGACATGTGTTTTTAATTATCCCTCATAAGAAGCTGGTCAACCTAGAGAGAGCAAAGCAAAATTATCACCCATTTGTAGTCTGGATTATTCTCCTCCTCCACCCGCTTTTGAAATGTCATCAGACAAATGCTAGCACTTCTAGATCAATTCTCCATGATTCAACTGCCCTGTCATACTTTTCATCTTGAAGAAATTTTTAGCTCAATTGTTAGTGAATTAAGTAAACTCTACTTTCAGCCTATTGAATATCTTGCATAATATTTTTAATGTCTTTGTCTTATCTCGAATGGTTTTTCTTTTTAATGAACATGCTTTCTGATATCTGAAGATAAGTTTCATTTTTTCCTGATTCTTCTAGGAACTCTTTAGGATCAAGTCTCCTCTGTTTTCTACACATACATGGTGATTCCTGGCTTGTTCTTCTGTTTTGACTAGTGACTGTCTTTTATGCGTTTAGTGCTCTAAGATGCCTCATGATTCTTGGTGTTCGTATTTGTAGATGCAAGTCAAGATGAAGTGGCATTTGTAGATACAATGTATGTCTTCAGCTCAAGTCAGACTCTCTGGCCTCTGAGCAGTAAGTGCAGGTTCTGATGACAGAAGCCACAACCCTGGTAGCTGCACAGAGGCTAAGAAGTGACAGGTATCTTTAAATCAAGAGGAGGTAAGTTGAGCATCTTCTGTTCCAATGCCAATTCTGTACAATCAATTTTCTTACCCTTTTAATATTTGGTAACTGTACTCAAGCCATTCTATTGTCCAGCCCTTACTATCTCTGATCCTGGCAGTATTCTAAATCTAGTTTATTTACTTGTTGGCACCAGAGTTCCTCAGTGGAGTCTTGATATAAACTTGTTCCTATCTGCTTGAGATCTAGAAATTTCTTAGTGTTCTGGTCTGCCAGCAGGATGACCTTTTTATATTAACAGTAACAAAAACTTAGAATTTTGATAATTTCATCATAATTTTAGTACAAATTATGATGAAGTATTATTTTCTATCTGTGTATAAAATGAATAAAACCTTTCTAGTGATTAGTTTGGCAATATCTGTCCAAAGCCTTACCATGTGGAGTTTCCATTGTTCCGTGAGTCCACATCTACAAATTTATCAAAAGAAAATAATAATGGATGTGCACAAAGATATTGCTAACACGGGAAACTAAAGAAAATGTTTAACAATAGGCCCCATTAATTTAAAAGCTCAGAGCGTTATCTCTATGATGAACTATATACGTATTAAAAATCATGAAAAAGAATTTAAAGAACTGGGGTCTTGCTTTGTTGCCCAAATTGTCCTCAAACTCCTGGGCTCAAGCAATCCTCTTGCTTTATAGCCTCCCAAGTAGCTGGAACTACGTAAGGGTGCCTGCCACCATGCCTAGCTAATGTTTAATTTTTTGTACAGACAGGGTCTCACTATGTTGCCCAGCCTGGTCTCAAACTCCTGGGCTCAAGCAATCCTCCCACCTTGGCCTCCCAAAGTGCTGGGATTAGAAGTATGAACCACTGTACCCAGTCTTAAAAACTTTTTATTTTAAAAACCCACAAGTGTAAAAAATATGACATGAAAAATTTTTATACACAATCCTTACAGGTACGTAGGAAAAAGTTTTTTAAAATATACATTAAATTATTAACAATCTCTGGGTGATGGCATTATAAATAAGTTTTCTTTCTCTGTTTACCTATGTTTTCAAAATTTTCTACAACTTAAGTATTTCACTTTTGCAGCCACATAAAACACAACTGTTTTTTCTGACACGGAGTTTCACTCTTGCTGCACAGGCTGAAGTGCAATGGCGTGATCTCAGCTCACCGCAACCTCTGTCTCCCCGGTTCAAGCGATTCTCCTGCCTCAGCCTCCCGAGTAGCTGGGATTACAGGCATGTGCCACCACGCCTGGCTAGTTTTGTATTTTTAGTGGAGATATCATGTTGATCAGGCTGGTCTCAAACTCCCGACCTCAGGTCATCTGCCAGCCTTGGCCTCCTGAAGTGTTGGGATTACAGGTGTGAGCCACCGCGCCCGGCAGAACACAATTTTTAATTACTGCTACATTAATGCAATGCGTATACTAATTCGGCAAGAAATTATATATAAAAATAGATTTGCATATTTTAAGGATGGCAATTCCTACATTTATTTCTACTGCCTTTTTGTGATTCAAGAGCAATTCTTTCAGAATGTAATTTTATTGTTTCCAAAAGAAGGATTAAAGAATATCTGTTATAGATACTATTTCTGTCCAATTTCTTTAAAGGCAAAGGAAACAACGGTAATTTTCCCCTCAAGGCTGAAGGCAAAAAACGAGTAATTAGAATAATATACTAATTGTTAAAATCATGAGTCCAGCTTTCCAGTTGTGGGGCTTGAATGCACAAGCTGCTCAGCAGCCAAAGTTCACAAGGAAGAGTATTTAAACAAACCTAGACTGTGCTCACTACTAAGAGCACTGAAATATGGAAGCTGTTAATAAATTTCAGTTCTTCCAACTAGTACCTACTTAAGACAGGTTTAGATACACTAAGAATATCTGATGTTTGATGTAGATTATTGAAGCTAGGTGAAGAATGCCAAGATTTATGATACACTACTCTATATTTTTATGTATATTTAAAATTTCCCACAGTAAAAAGTTATTTATATATTGAACAAGTTCCTAAAAGAAATTTTAATTTCTAATCACCTATTTGGAGTTCTAAAAAATAAAATTAAAAAAACACTATTAATAACAAAAGTTAAAGCTTACTTACATAAGTGGAAATAGTGTATATAAAAGCAAACTATTAGGAATTACTAGAAAGGGAATAAAATGATCAAACACCCTTTGGTCATATCTGGATCATTCAGTCTAAGAATATCCCAAATAGAGAAAAGTGATTAGCAACTTAAATGTGATTTAAAATGAAGGTTCTTTGAATATAGTGATTTTTATTTAAATACTATCTTGATATATGTATTGTTAAAAGCCCTTCAATCTCTTATATTTTCTTGGGAAAGAGTCTAAAATATTCTTACTCTCATTTACCAGTTAGTAACATCCCCTCACAGAGCAATACTGTAAAACAAATACCAAGATACTTCATTCAACCTAGGACATCTTGAAATGCAGCCAGAATTAAACATCTATAACCTCTTTTCTTGTTTCGTAACTCCAGAAGCTATTTCTTGAAACAATTCCAGAAAAAAAATAAAATAATCGAAAGGTATTTAGCATCATTAGGGATAAACCGGTATCTGTGTAATGGCTAAAAAAAACTTTTCTTGTAGTTTGAATTTGAGTATATGGTGAACAATTACACAGCACTGCAATGACCTTTCATTGCCATAATTTAGTGTACTGATTTCCAACCCCAATTTAACTTAGTTCTCCGATGTGCTTAAGATACCGCGGGCGCGGTGGCTCCCGCCTGTAATCCCAGCACTTTGAGAGGCCAAGGCGGATGGATCACCTGAGGTCGGGAGTTTGAGACCTGCCTGACCAACATGGAGAAACCCCGTCTCTACCAAAAATACAAAATCAGTCGGGCGTGGTGGCGCATGCCTGTAATCCCAGCTACTCGGAAGGCTGAGGCGGAAGAATCGCTTGAACCCAGGAGGTGGAGGTTGTGGTGAGCCGACTGCACTCCAGTCTGGGCAACAAGAGCAAAACTCCATCTCGGTAAAAAAAAAAAAAGATACCATTCCAACAATGATTTAAGGCCAGTGCTTCTCAAACTTCAGCATGCATGTGAATCCTCTGAAGATCCTCTAATGAGATTCCCCAGACCAGCCCCCAAATCCTCTTGGATTCAGCGGCATGAAGAGGAACAAAAGAATTCCTATAAGCTCCCAAGTGCCAAATTGATGCTGCAGCCAATCCATGAACCATACCTTGGGTGGCACTGATATAGAACAAACACTATGTGTTCCTGTTCCCAAAAAAGTAAACTGAGATTGTAGGAAACATTATGTACTCTTCTCAATACTTCAAAGAAGTTCTGAAAGTACCATCACTTTGTGCTGAAGTCATGTGTTGAAAAACCTTTTTAGGAGTGCAAAAGGCTTATTGGGAAAATAAAAAATTTAAAAAAAAAGGAAAGCAAAGGGAAAGGGAAAGGAAAGGAAAACGACCTTTCATCTTTTTACCTAGACTTCCTTAATGGCTTGAATTAACTCCTATTCCTAACCAGTATTTAAATATCTAATCTTGGTAGCCAACATTTACAGACATCATACATGTTAAATTTTCAACAATCACAATTCTACCACATACCAGTAAATGCCTGTCATACACTGTATACTAGGTTGTAAGGATTAATTACTGATACTCTTGGTCTATTTGGTATTGTAATAAAGCAATTCTCCTACTCTGGGCTACAGTAGATTTTAGAAGAAAAGACTGGTTAAATCAAAATAACTGTCTTTTTGCAAGATGCAAACCAGAAAGAGAGAAAAAAACCTGCTTTGCAGGTAACTGTTATTCAATAAAAGTTCCATGCCAAGTACTGTCACTTCCCAGATTAAAATGTCAACAATAAAACAAGATAGACCCTAAAAAAGTCAGTTCTCCATCCACATTAGCATGTTTCCTTTCACTACTTTGTCTACACACTGCGCACTTTGGGAATACCAGAGATGTCCACGGCAAACATTCAAACAGCTTTAGGGCCTCCAAGTGCTATTCTCATTGCTGGCATGAATGACTTACTGCAAGATGATTAAAAAGCATTCAATGTTCTGACCAACTTAAGACTGTATACACCATGGTGCACATAGATGCCCGCACCAAGAGTTACCCAGTCTTCATGTCCACGACTGAAATAACCAATTTCTGAGAAGAGAAAACAAAACCTGCAGTTCAGTAAATATGGGGTGGTACTTAATAACATGGGCTCTGGAATCAGACTGTCCTATTTGAGTCCTAGCTCAATCACCTACTAGCTGGATGACCTTGGACAAGTTACTTAATCCCTCCATGCATCAGTTTCCTCATCTGCAGTAAGGGGTCACAGTTCCTACTTGACAGGGCTATCATGAAAACTACATGAGAACACACTAGGGACAAGGAGGAGTACAACGACACTTTTGTCAGTGACTAATATTTGTGTCTTATAAAATGGGAGGAAAGAAATCCCTGGAAATACCTCTATTTAGTGTTTAGTAGATTCTAGTCCACTTTCTAAGTTAGTGAAAAATATACCAAAACCCAATCACCCCTTTCAACAGTAGCATGGAATGGAAATCTATTCCCTGTTCAAATTGCAGGAGGGGGGAGGGAATTTACATTTGAAAACTGAAACGAAGAACCACTAGAAATAAATTTGTCTTAGACACTCCCCCAACTATATTTTCCCTCCAAGATGTACTTTTAGGCTGGGCACGGTGGCTCACGCCTATAATCCCAGCACTTTGGGAGGCTGAGGTAGGTGGATCACTTGAAGTCAGGAGTTCGAGACCAGCCTGGCCAACACAGTGAAACCCTGTCTATACTAAAAATACAAAAATTAGCTGGGCGTGCTGCGGCACGCCTGTGGTCTCAGCTACTTAGGAAGCTGAGGCAGGAGAACCAGTTGAACCCAGGAGGTGGAGGTTGCAGTGAACCAAGATTGCACCACTGCACTCCAACCTGAGCAACAGAGCAAGACTCCATATTTCAAAAACAAACAAACAAACAAAAAAACAGACGTACTTTTAATGCAAATGTTTGTCCCAAATCATGGACAGCCCAGAAAGGTGTATCCACCAGTTTCACCCAAAACACCACAAGGTGCTCAGCCTATAGGAAAAAAAAGCTTGCTTCTATTTTCTTAAAAAACACAAACCCAGCTATATAATGTTTCCTGTGTGGTCTCAGTACTTCACACCAGACTCCTTGAACCTTCCTAACACCTTCGGGGACAGGTGCTATTGCTCACTCAGTGCAGTTCTGTGACTTTTCCCTCAAGCAACCAGAGGTTCTTTCTCGGGCACCCCATACTGACTTGGGAAGAGACAGAAGGAGGGCCACCGTCATTGAGCCCCAGTGTCAAGCCAGGTGGCCCTTATTCCTTGCAACTCCCGTTGAGTCAGAAGTGGAAAAAGTGAAGGGGAGAGGGATGCTATAGTTCTGTTTTTTTTTTATATTTGGTTTCCATAAAAATTGCATTTTAGAAAGGAATCTATGCTAAAAAGCTGCAAACCTCATTGTTCTAGTCCAATACCTTGATTTTAGACAGGATTAAGCCAACCTTAGATACATTAAGGAACTTCCACAGGCCTAACAGCCAAGCTCCATCAGGCTTCCTAACTTCAAAACCAGCACCTGGGAGAGCCTGCGTCCCCACCAGGCAGCCTCTTCAAAGCTCCATGCAGCCATCCCTGCTCACTCCATGTGAAAAATATTAATAATCATCATTCGTGAATGTGGAAACTTCTGTTTCAGCCTTTCCTTCTACCCATCTTCAGATTCACATTGAGAATAGGAAAATGGGACTCACAACTTTTCCTTTCCATTTCTCCCTTTTGCTAGATAGTAATATGCTCAAGGCTTCCAGTCTTCAAGACAACTATGTATGCTTGTGAAAGCACTAAATTAAGGTCCCCAAATGTGGAACATATAGGATGAGAGATTTTTTCAGTTACTATGTATACGAACTTTAGGTGTTTCGTTTCTTATGCTTTAGGGAATCAAACCTATGAATTAATGAACAGTATGGCTTATTAGGATGAGGCAGATGGAATCTTATTGCACAAAACGCATTATAATAACATGCCCAAGAGCTCAAACCTATTAATATCTGAAATCCTAAGTAAATGAACTTTTAATCATAGATGATTAGAAAATACGGAAAAATGATTAGAACGCACATTAATATTCTATAAGCCTTTAACTTAACTTGCAAAATCTATTTTGAATGAACTGTTCTGGTCCTGCAAAGTTAAGGTTTAACTTGCCTTTGTCCCCACTGTATTTAAGTTTTTCATCATTACCTAATATTTATGGCTTACATTTGTTTTTATTGTTATGTTTTATTTGTGGCAAGACACAGCTTACCATTTACAGTAATGACATGATAATGAGCAGAAACATATCACTGGGTATGGCAAAACCATGAAGATGATGAGCACATGGATAAAATTTGAGAAACTATTAAACCTCAGAGAAACAAGAACTTATGTAGCTTACCTTCACATTTTTACTTTCCAGGTAGTTTCTTAAGCTAAATATTACAAATATTTGTATTATGTATCACGTACACATTTTGGAGACTTTTGTTTCGCCCAATCACTAACAATTACTGAAGGGCATTCATCCAGCCCTTCCCTGAGAGCCAAGAGGCCTCACATCCTCTTCAGCTATTACAGTGTGGTGGCTAAGGGGCATACACTTTCAATATAAATATTTTGGGGGAAAATGTTTCTTAAGAGTGCCTCACGATGGTCAAGGAGTGTCTTCTCCATATTTAATAATCTATGACTAAGAAGAGTCTCACAATCAGAACAGATTGTTCAAGTGACATTTCCAGTTTGAAGTGGCATAGTTATCAGTATAGGATAGATAGTTGTGAAATCTATTAGATATAATAAAGTAAAAGTGAATATTATAATTGAAAACAATAGAATCTTAATTTCTTTTTTGGATGTAACTATGTCACACACAAAAAAAAATTAGGGAAAAAAGTGGCTTCTGTAAGCTGGTATCTACAGAATTTAGGATTGAGAACACACTGTCAGTTTACGTAGATGGCTATTGCATTATCTTTTAACATGGATATGCTTTCCCTAAATTCATAAGCTTTTCCTTCATTTAAAAATGCTATAAAACAGTGAGCATGTGACACCATGCTAGGCAGGCCCTCCCAGCTTAAGACACGGTCTCTGCCCAAAAGGAGCTCCTTGTCAAACAGTGGACCAAGACCAGGAGAGGAAGCCTGCACGCAAGGCTCACACAGGCATTCCAAGGAGAGAAGAGGGAGAGGTTCACCATGCACCTGCCACACTTACCATAACAGTTTTCCTTCCATTGGCCCAGTTCCCAAAGGCTTTTAAAGGCTGAAGGGTAGACCTGGCACACTGCAGCCAGGCCAAGGGGAAGGGAAGAGACAGAGAAGATGACTACATACTATTCCTCATCGCACACTACATCTCCTATGAGCTAGGAAGCCCTCGATCACAGGGGAGGAGGCCTTACCTAGGTGATCTTGTATGCTGCGTAACAAAAGGTCACAAAACACTATCTAGAACCAGTTTCAGAACTGCTTACTTGTGGGATGTCCTCTTCTTCATCATGTTGGCAGATACTCCAGCATGGCCTGTAAGAGAGATGAGTATATAGTCAATGAAAACCAGATAAAAGAATACCTCAGAATGCAGGAAATCTTAACTTCTGAAAAACTGCTATACAGAATATGAAAAGAAAATACACCACTACCAGCAAACATGTTAAGAAAGCCATTTGTTTACTGAACTTTTAAAAAAGAGATACACACAAGAGATTCTTGAAAGACAAAGCAGCAGAGGCAACAGTTCTCTATCCCCTCAAATCAGCCGTAAAAGCACAAAACCAGAATTGCATGGACAAGAACTACAAGAAAAACTATGTGTCAGCCTGGTGTGGAGGCTCATCCCTGTAATCCCAGCACTCTGGGAGGCTAAGGCAGGAGGGTGGCTGAGGCCAGGAGTTCGAGACCAGCCTGGGTAACATAGCAAGACCTTGTCTCTACAAAAAAAACAACAAGCCAAGTGTAGTGGTATGCACCTGTGGTCTCAGCCACTCAGGAGGCTGAGGTGGGGGGAGTGCTTGAGCCCAGGAAGTCGAGGTTGCAGTGAGCTGTGTTTGTGCCACTGCAGTCCAGTCTGGGTGACAGAGCAAGACCTTGTCTCAAAAAACAAAAAAAACAAAAAAACTTAACTGGGTACAGTGGCTCACGCCTGTAATCCCGATACTTTGGGAGGCCAAGTCGGGTGGATTCCTTGAAGTCAGGAGTTCGAGACCAGCCCGGCCAAGATGGTGAAACCCTGTCTCTCCTAAAAATACAAAAATTAGCCAGGCGTGGTGGCGTATGCCTGTAATCCCAACTACTTGGGAGGCTGAGGTGGGAAGATCGCTTAAACCCAGGAGGTGGAGGTTGCAGTGAGCCAAGACTGCACTACTGCACTCCAGCCTGGGCAACAGAGTGAGACACTGTCTCAAAAAAAAAAAAAAGACCAAAACAAGACTAAGTGACAATCCTAGCCATAAAATCCTAAATGGTACAGAACTGTCTTACTGTCATAAACAACTGAAAAACAGGATGAAATATATGAAACACCTGGTTTCAGATGCTGGCTGATAGGCAGCACAGGTGTGTGGGACCTGGGAGCAGAAAACACACACGAGAACCCTGCATAGGCCCTGACCTCATTCCTGGAAGCAATTTTTGGGCAATGGTGTATGAAGGGGGAACCAAGAACACCACCCTTTTACCATGTTGTGACTCAGTGTAGCGTTGGGAAGGGTGGGCTGGCTGGAATTTGTGGACTACATGTACATGTGGGCAAGAAGGGATCTACTCAGAAGGGAAGCTCAAAAAGTCTGCATTTGGGGGAGGATGTCTTAAGTCTTTGGCTAACACAAATCTGCACATAATTCTGAGAAGTCACAAAGGGACAGCTGTTCAGATTCCATCGCCACCTCTTAACACTTGGAGCAATCAATAAAAATGGCAAAAGATGGCCCTAACTAGGAAATGTGAGGAAGCCTGGAACAAAAGCTCAGCACGTGCTTGCCAAAATAGACTCCAACAGTCTCGAAAGGGCATCAACAAAGTCCCAACACTCAACAACACAAGGTTTCAAATGTTCAACACCAACAAAAATTATTAGACACAAAAAAAAGTAGCAGATTGTAACTCCATAAGCAAGTAGACTATGAATGAAATAAAGTACTTAGCAGGTAAGGACATTGACAACATTAATAAATATGTTAAAATATTTAAAGGAAAATAAAAACACTTAAAATACAAAATGGAAAATATAAAGAAAAATGAAATTAGTGAAAAATACATAATCTGAAATTAAAAATTCACTGAATGTGAGATACAAAGAGCAGTGACCTTGACACACAGCAATACAAACTACTCAAAATAGCACACAAAGAAAAACCTGGAAGAAAACAATGAGCACAACCTCAGTGACCTTTAGGACAATATCAACTGGCCTAACACATAGGAAAGCGGAATCAAAGACAAAGAGCAGAGAGAGGAATGAGGGAAAATATAATGATACAAAGTTGTCCAGATGTGATAAAAAGCATATAACCACAGAGCTAACAAGCTCAACAAAGCCAAAGTAAGATCAAAAACAAAGGAAACCACACCAAGGCACTTCTTCATCAAATTTCTAAAAACCATTGATACAAATAAGTTTTTTTAAATGGCTAAAGAACAGAGGATACATTAAATATAGGAAAACAAAAATAAAACTGGCTCCAAAATTGATGTCAGAAACAACGTAAGCCTGAAGACAGTGGAATAAATCTTTAAGGTGCTAAAAAATAAGCAAGCCGGGCTGGCGCAGTGGCTCACGCCTGTAATCCCAGCACTTTGGGAGACAGAGGAGGGTGGATCACATGAGGTCAGGAGTTCAAGACCAGCCTGGCTAACATGGTGAAACCCTGTTTCTACTAAAAATACAAAAAATTAGCCAGGTGTGGTGGCGCACACCTGTAATCCCAGCTACTCGGGAGGCTGAGGCAGGAGAATCGCTTGAACCCAGGAGGCGGAGGTTGCAGTAAGCCGAGATTGTGTTACTGCACTCCAGCTTGGGCAACAAGAGCAAACCTCCGTCAAAAAAAAAAAAAAAAACAGCAAACCAACTAACCTATGGACTTAAAATACTATATCCAGCAAAAAATACCTTCCACTTGCAACACATTGATAATTAAACTAAATAGAAACAGTCTAATTGTACCAATTAAGACTGTAAAGGGAAAAGCCAAACAAACTAGCTTCAAGACAAACAATATTACCACAAATCAAAGGACAATTCCAAATTCTAAAAGAGTGAATTAATTAAAAAGCTATAATAATCTTAAATGCATATGAACCCAATTACAGAGTAATGAAACACATGAAGCAAAACTGACAGAATTAAAGACAAAGACACATCCATAATTATACTTAATTATACAACTCTCTTTTCTCAGCAGTTGATATAACAAGCAGACAGGAAAATCAGAAAGATACATCATGAATATGCCAATCAAAATAATAGAAAAATTAAAAAAAGAAAATCAAAAGGAATACAGAAGACCCGAACAACCAACCTTACTTAGTTGACATTTAAAGAATACTAAAAGAATGCCAAAATAGTTTTCCAAGTTCACATGGAAATATTCACTCAGATACATATTTCTGAATCATACAGGTCTCAGGCGGAGCATGGTGGCTCACACCTGTAATCCCAGCACTTTGGGAGAGGCCAAGGCTGGTGGATGATTTGAGGTCAGGATTTTAAGACCAGCCTGGCCAACATGGTGAAACATTGTCTCTGCCAAAAATACGGGGGGAAAAAAAAAAGCTGGGCATAGTGGTGGGCGTCTGTAATTCTGGCTAAGGCAAGAGAATCGCTTGAACCCAAGAGGCAGAGGTTGCAGTGAGCCAAGATCACGCCACTGCACTCCAGCCCAGAGCAAGACTCCATCTCAATATAATAATAATAATAATAATAATAATAATAATAATAATAATAATAAAAGTCTCAATACATTTAAGAAAATCTGAAATCAAACAAAAGCTTACTGTACTACCTTGGAGACTAAAACTGGGAGATAGGCCTGACTGCCAAGAACCACTCTACCCACTTCACCCAGCATGTTCATACGCACTGAGACGTGGACAGAGGCTTGATAATGGCTAATGGGTGAAGAATTAAGTATGTGATGGCCTCAAATAGTGAAGACAAGACACAGACAGGAAGCAGGAGCAAGTCTACCTGAAGCATTCCTGGAGCATGTCTGGGCTTAGAGTAGACAAGGATGGAAGGAGGTCAGAAAAGAAAAAAAAGAAAGAAAAGTAAAAAGTCTTTCAAGATCTACTGGAATTGCACCCTTGTCAAGAACCCTTTTCAATCCCCAACTTACACACAACCCCACACTGGATGTACTCAGTGCTGAGTTCCAGGAAAGGGTGCCTCAAATGCCAAACATCCCCCTATGTCCCCAGAGTCAACATTCCCATTTAGAAGAAACAGAATCTTGCTATTTATCACTCAAGAAAAGGGGCTGGGCGCGTGGCTCACGCCTGTAATCCCAGCACTTTGGGAGGCCGAGGCGGGCGGATCACGAGGTCAGGAGATCGAGACCATCCTGGCTAATAACACAGTGAAACCCCGTCTCTACTAAAAATACAAAAAAATTAGCCGGGCGTGCTGGTGGTCACCTGTAGTCCCAGCTACTCGGGAGGCTGAGGCAGGAGAATGGTGTGAACCCGGGAGGTGGAGCTTGCAGTGAGCCAAGATCATGCCACTGCACTCCAGCCTGGGCGACAGAGCAAGACTCCATCTCAAAAAAAAAAAAAAAAAGAAAAGAAAAGGTAAACCATTCATCATCAAAGAATTGAGAAAAATGAAAGTGACCACCATCACTATCCCTGAAATGATCTGAGATCTAAAATGATTATAAAGAATTGGCATCTCCAAGGAAACTGAAGATATTATAAAAACAGAATGGGGGCCGGGCGCGGTGGCTCACGCCTGTGATCCCAGCACTTTGGGAGGCTGAGGCGGGTGGATCACGGGGTCAGGAGATCGAGACTGTCCTGGCTAACAAGGTAAAACCTCGTCTCTACTAGAAAATACAAAAAAAATTAGCCGGGCATAGTGGCAGGTGCCTGTAGTCCCAGCTACTTGGGAGGCTGAGGCAGGAGAATGGCAGGAACCCGGGAGGCGGAGCTTGCAGTGAGCCGCGATCCCGCCACTGCACTCCAGCCTAAGCGACAGAGCGAGACTCTGTCTCAAAAAAAAAAAAAAAAAAAAAATGGGAACAAGAGGCTATGAAAAGGGAAAGCAGCTCCTGAAAATTAAAAAATAAATGAAGAGAATCTGGCACTTAAAAAGCTTCCAAGTTAACTAATTTGTCCATAAAAAGCTAAACAAACTTAAAAAATCAACAACTTCTTAGACTAGTCAGAGAATTGAGGTCACAAGACAAACAACTGTCCCCAAAACTGGAGAGGCAGGCGGAGATAAAGAATCACAACTTACTAGATCAGAAACCTCTACACAGGAACCAGGGCCATGGTAAGAAAACCTAAACTGCAACCGACATTGCTAGTCAGCATGGGCAGGTCTGACAAAAACTCCAGGGGTTGGGGGCTCTCTTAAGAGGACCCCTACAATTTCCTGAATTTTTCCTCTACAAGCCGGGGAAGTTGATCAAGCCATCCTGTCCCACAAGGGGTAGGGGTGGGGAAACTGAGAAGTACAAGCAAAGGTCACAACCCAGGGGTACAAGCCTCATGAAAAGATTGACGGGCAATCATAGGACTACAGACTGCTTCTCCTCCCCGGCATACGTTACCACTACCTTGCTAAAGACCTATTACCACAGCTCCTGTTACCCAGACATCATCTGCGCCTTTCAACAAGAAATCACAGGCTTTGAAATGCAAAAAGCAGTATTAACAGAGAAAACAAGCATCAGAACCAGACTCAACTAGGCAGGGAATTACCAACTACATCTGTTAATTTCACCCAGACCAGGAATTTAAATGAACTATGATTAATATGCTAAATCTCTAAAGAGTAATACAGACAACATGAAAGAATAGATGGACAATATATACAGAGATGGAACTTCTAACAATCAAAAAAAGCTACAGATAAACACTTTAACAGAAGCAAAGAGTGCCTTTCAGAGACAGGCTTATTAGTAGACTGGACAGGACTAACCAAAGAACCTCTGAGTTTAATGGCATGTTAATAAAACTTCCAAAACTGAAAAGCAGAGAGAAAAACCCCGGAATACCCAAGAACTATGGGACAAGTACAAAAGGCATAACTTACACATTATGGAAATGCAAGTAGGTAAAGGAAGAAAGGAATAGAATCAATGTAAAGCAAAGACTGAGTTTTTTTTTGTTTTTTTTTTTTTTTGAGATGGAGTCTCGTTCTGTCACCCAGGCTGGAGGGCAGTGGTGCCATCTTGGCTCACTGCAACCTCTGCCTCCCAGGTTCAAGCGATTCGCCTGCCTCAGCCTCCCAAGTAGCTGGGACTACAGGCGTGTGCCACCACGCCCAGCTAATTCTTGTATTTTTAGTAGAGACAGGGTTTCACCATGTTGGTCAGGCTGGTCTTGAACTCCTGACCTCGTGATTTGCCCGCCTCAGCCTCCCAAAGTGCTGGGATTACAGGCGTGCGCCACCATACCCAGCTAAGACTGAGATTTCCCAGAAATTAATGCCAGACACCAAACCACAAATCCAGGAAGCTCAGAGAATGCCAAGCCAAATAAATGCCAGAAAAAAACTACACCAAAGAGTATCATATTCAAACTGTAGAAAATCAAAGGTAAAGAAAAAAAAAATCTTCACCAGGCATGGTGGCTCACACCTGTAATCCCAGCACTTTGGGAGGCCGAGGTGGGTGGATCACTTGAGGTCAGGAGTTTGAGACCAACCTGGCCAACAAGGTGAAACCCCATCTCTACTAAAAATACAAAAATTAACCAGTAATCCCAGCTACTCGGGAGGCTGAGGCAGGAGAAATGCTTGAACCAGGGAGGCAGAGGTTGCAGTGAGCTGAAATCAGGCCACTGCATTCCAGCCAGGTGACAGAGCAAGACTGTCTTCAAAAAAAAAAAAGGAAAGAAAAAGAAAAACATCTTGAAAGAAACCACCTTACCACAGAGGAATAAAGAATTACATGAGCTTTCTCCTCAGAAACCATGCAAAAAAGGAAGATAGTAGAGGGAACTATTTAAAGTGTTGAGAGGAAAAAAAACTACTAACTTACAGTTTTATATCCTGCAGAATTACTTCAAAGGGAAGGAGAAATAAAAGCCTTTCTCACACAAACAAAAAGTGATGAAATTTGTCACCAACAGACCTGCCTTGTAAGAAATGTTAAAAAGAAAATCTTTAGAAAGAAGGAAAATTCAGCTGGGTGCGGTGGCAAGCGCCTGTAATCCTAGCTACTTGGGAGGCTGAGGCAGGAGAACTGCTTGAACCCAGGAGGCACAGGTTGCAGTGAGCCGACATCACATCACTGCACTCCAGGCTGGGTGACAGAGCAAAACTCCATCTCAAAAAAAAAAAAAAAAGGAAAATATAGGTCAGAAGCTGAGATCTATATAAAGGAAAAACATTAAAGAAGAAATAAGTGAAAATAATATAACAACATATAATATACAATTATAATAAATATGTAACATATTTTTATTTTATATTATTTTATATTTTATAATACAAAAATATAATAAAAATATAATATAAAAACTTTTATTTATTTATTTATTTTTTAGACAGGGTCTCACTCTGTGGCCCAGGCTGGACTGCGGTGGTGCGATTATGGCTCACTGCAACCTCAACGTCCCAAGACTCAAGCGGTCCTCCCGCCTCAACCTCTGAAGTAGCTGGGACTACAGGAATGCACCATCATGCCTAGCCATTTTTATTTTTCATAGAGATGGGGTCTCACTACATTGCCCAGACTGGTCTCGAACTCCTGGGCTCAAGTGATCCTCCCACTTAGGCCTACCAAAATGCTGGGATGATAGGCATGAGCCACAGCATACTGGCCTGGCCTTTTTTCTTAATTGAGCAACAATGTATGTACACACACATGGGCGCGCGCGCGCGCACACACACACACACACGAATGGCAGCAATGATGATACAACCAGACTGGAGAGAGAATCAGGAATACAGCCGTCCCTCCATATCTACGGGGGACTGGTTCCAGGACCCCCTTCAACACCAAACTCCATGGATGCCCAAGTCCCTTATATAAAATGGTGTAGTATTTGCATCTAACCTAGGCACATCCCGTCCCATATACTTTAAATCATCTCCAGATTACTAATAATGCCAAATACAAAAGTTATGTAAATCATTGTTATAATGCATCATTTAGAAAAAAATGACAATAATGTACATGTTTATAGTATAGGCACAATGATGTTTTTCTGGATATTTTCAATCTGTGTTTGGATGAATCCACAGATGTAAAACCCACGGATACAGAGGGCCAACTAAATTTTATTGTCATAAAGTACGTGGCACTACCCCTAAAGCAATATATTATTATTTCGAAGTAGGCTTGGGGAGGGGGCGTTTTTTGTTTTTTGTAAGAAAACACAAAGGGGAGGGGAAGGGAGGGAAAAGGGAAGAAAGAAAGAGGCCAGGCGCGGTGTCATGCCTGTAATCCCAGCACTTTGGGAGGCCAAGGCAGGTGGATCACCTGAGGTTGAGAGTTCAAGACCAGCCTGGCCAACATGGTGAAACCCCATCTCTACAAAAATACAAGAAATAGCTTGGCGTGGTGGCGTGCATCGTGTAGTCCCAGCTACTGGGGAGGCTGAGGTGGGAGAACTGCTTGAACACGGGTGGCGGAGGTTGCAGTACGCTGAGACCACACCACTGCACTCCAGCCTGGGCAACAGAGCGAGACTCCATCTCAGAGAAAAAAAAAAGGGTAGAAAGGAAGCGAGAGAGAGACAGAGACAGAGAAAGAAAAGAAAGAAAGTAGACTTGGATTACTTGTAAATATATATCGCAAACTACAGGGCAATCACTAAAAAAGTTTAAAAACTTAACTGGCTGGGCACGGGGCTCACGCCCGTAATCCCAGCACTTTGGGAGACTAAGGTGGACGGATCGCTTGAGCTCAGGAGTCCGAGACCAGCCTTTGTAACATGGTGAAACTCTGTCTCTATTTTTAAAAATTAAAAAAAAAATTAAAAACAAAAAATATCCTTGATATGCTAAGGAAGGGAAAAAGGTGGAATCATATAAAATGCTCAATTAAAACCAGAGAAGGCAGAAAAGAGTGGAAAGCCCGAGACCAGCCTTTGTAACATGGTGAAACTCTGTCTCTATTTTTAAAAATTAAAAAAAAAATTAAAAACAAAAAATATCCTTGATATGCTAAGGAAGGGAAAAAGGTGGAATCATATAAAATGCTCAATTAAAACCAGAGAAGGCAGAAAAGAGTGGAAAGCAAAAACTGGAAAAAAGAACAAGGGCAAAGAACAGATAATAGTAACATAAATATGACACGGTATTACTCCACCTACATAATCATTTTCTGTGTCACTGATCTAAATATACCAATTAAGACAGACTCAGAGTGGATCAAAAACAACATGCAACTTCATGCTAGATACAAGAAATCCACTTTAACTATAAAGATACACAGATTTAAAGTAAATGGATGAAGAAAAGATACAGCTTGCTACCAATAATCAAAAGAAAGTGGGAAGCTATATGAATTTTAGAAAAAGCAGAGTTTGGAGGAAGAAAAGTTATCAAAGATAAAGGGGGGCATTACATAAAATAAAGGTGTCAACTCTCCAAGAAAACAAAACAATCCTTAATGTGTATGTGCCTAAAAATGGAGCATCAAAATATGTGAGGAAAAAAAGCTGATGGAACTATAGGAAGAGACAGATTAACTCCACTGAAGGTCGAGTATCTGTTATTCAAAATGCTTGGGACCAGAAGTCTTTCACATTTCAGAATATCTGCGTATAAAATGAGGTATCTTGGGAATGGGACCCAAGTTTAAACACAAAATTTATTTATGTTTCATATAAACCTTCTATATACCCCCTGAAAGTAATTTTATGTAATATTTTAAATAATTTTGTGCATGAAACAAAGTTTATACTCATTGAAGTATCAGAAAGCAAAGGTGTCACTAGCTCAACCCATGTGGACAATCTGTGTTTGTTATCATCATCATTCCTGACACTGAATTTATATGCTACCAACAGCAACCATTCTCTTACACGAATTCACACATAAGTTCTTAACAGTAAAAAATATAGCATACCATTAATACACTGAAAAAATAATGTGTTCAGGATATCTAAGCAGCACAGTAGCAGCGCCAGAATATCTATATCAGCTATTAACAGCAACAACAAACAACAGCTTGCCTTTACTCTCCACCTACAATTCTGTGTTTTGTGTGTTTTATTTTTTTAGGTGAGAAAAAAATATCAGAAGCAGTTGAGGGGCCAGGAAGTGGGTCCTTAGGAATGAGCAAGCATTCTACTGGATGGTTTTTTAAAGTGTTTCCTCTAGTCAACCGCCTCATGAACAAGTTTTTGTCTTAAAAGTCTCTCTTCGATCATATAAATTGACATGGTTTCTTGTTGTGTTACAAATGCACCCTGCTCTAGTCCTCCAATAAGCCCATCACACATTTTCCCCATGTCATCAACAGGCACTTTTTCTTTAGTATTAATGTCATCTTCATCACCCAATTGTGGAATCACGTGAGTTACTCAAAAAGTTTCAGATGTTGAAGTATTTTGGATATTAGGTTTTTGGATTAGGGATGCTCAACCTATATTATGGTTATGGATTTCAACATCCTTCTATCAATAATGGACAGATCCAGAAGGCATAAAATCAGTAAGGATATAGATGAACTCAACAAGCACCATCAAATCTAGTTGACTATAGATCAAATCTAATCTATATATTTGATCTATAGTCAAATCTAAAGACTACTTTGCCCAACAGGAGCAGAATACAAACTTTTCTCAAGTTCACACGGAAAATACACCAAAACAGACGACATTATGAACTGTAAAACAGTTTCACAAATTTAAAAGAATACAAATCATACAGTGTATGCTGTCATACAACAACGTAATTAAACTAGAAATCAGTAACAGAGAGATGGCTGAAAAATCTCAAAATACATGGAGATTGAACAACATACTTCTAAGCACATGGGTCAAAGAAGAAACTGCAAGAGAAATTTAAATATATTTTGAACTAAGTGAAAATGAAAACATAACTTACCAACACTGAGCAAAAGCAGTGCTTACAGAGAAATTTACAGCAATTAATGAATTAATTTATAGCAATTAAAAATCTTTTTTTTTTTTTTGAGACAGGGTCTTGCTCTGTGGCCCAGGCTGGAGTGCAGCAGCATGATCTCGATGCACTGCAAATTCTGCCTCCCAGATTCAAGTGATTCTCCTTCCTCAGCCTCCCAAGTAGCTGGGATTACAGGCGCGCATCACCACGCCAGCTAATCTTTCTATTTTTAGTAGAGACAAAGTTTCACCATGTTGGCCAGGCTGGTCTTGAACTCCTGGCCTCTGCCCCCCTCAGCCTCCCAAAGTGCTGGGATTGCAGGCTTGAGCCACCACGCCCAGATAAAGAAAGATCTAAAGTCAATAATCTAAGCTTCTGTCTTAGGAAACTAGAAAAAGAAGAGAATATTAAATCCAAGATGAGGAGAGGAAAATAAACTTTTAAAAATTAGAGCAGAAATCACTACAATTGAAAATCAAAATCAATAGAGAAAAATCAATGAAACCAAAAGCTAGTTGCTTGTGGAAATGCAAAACGGTAGAGCCGCTTTGGAAGACAGTTTGGCAATTTCTTGCAAAGTAAACATACGTTTAACCATAAACCAGGAGTTGTGCTCAATATTTATCCAAGAGTTGAAAATATCCCTGCACAAAAATCTGCACACAGATATATATAGCAGCTTCATTCATTTTGTTGTTTCTTTCCTTCTTTTTTTTTTTTCTTGAGACAGGGTCTTACTCTGTTGCCCAGGCTGGAGTGTGGTAGCATGGTCAGTGCTCACTGAAGCTTCTCCCTCCTTGGCTCAAGCCATCCTCCCGCCTCAACCTCCCGAGTGGCTAGGACCACAGGTGTGAGCCACCACGCTCCACTACTTTTTGTATTTTTTGTAGAGATAGGGTTTTGCCATGTTGCCCAGGCTGATCTAGAATTCTCAGGCTCAAGAGATCGGCCTACCTTGACCTCCCAAAATACTGGGATTACAGGTGTGAGCCACCACCCCCGGCCTATAGCAGCTTTATTCAAAACTGCCAAAATTTGGAAGCAACCAAGATGTTTCTTCAATAGGTGAATGGATAAATAAACTTGTGCATCCAAACAGTAGATTATTTGGTGATAAAAAGAAATGAACTATCAAGCCATAAAAAGACACAGAGGAGGCCGGGCGCGGTGGCTCACGCCTGTAATCCCAGCACTTTGGGAGGCCGAGGCGGGCGGATCACGAGGTCAGGAGATCGAGACCATCCCGGCTAAAACGGTGAAACCCCGTCTCTACTAAAAATACAAAAAAAATAGCCGGGCGTAGTGGCGGGCGCCTGTAGTCCCAGCTACTTGGGAGGCTGAGGCAGGAGAATGGCGTGAACCCGGGAGGCGGAGCTTGCAGTGAGCCGAGATCCCGCCACTGCACTCCAGCCTGGGCGACAGAGCGAGACTCCGTCTCAAAAAAAAAAAAAAAAAAAAAAAAAAAAGACACAGAGGAAATTTATGTGCATATTAATTACTAAGTGAACGAATCCAATCTGAAAAGACTCCACGCTGTATGATTCCGACTTTATGACGTTATTCTGGAAAAGACAAAACTAGGGAGACAATAAAAAATCAGCACTTGCCAGGGGTTAAGGGTGAGAGAGAGAAGAACAATGGGAAAACAAGGGATTTTCAGGGTAGTGAAACATCAAGAATGAACCTTAATGTAAACTATGGACTTTGGGTGATAATGACATGTCAAAGAAGGTTCATCAACTTCCAGCAAATGTACCACACTGTGAGATGCTGGGACAGGAATGGGGCAGGGTGTGCTGCACATTTGTGAGGGAAAGGAATATATGGGAACTCTGTTATTTTCCACTCCATTTTCCTGAGTACCTAAAACTGCTCTAAAAAAATAGAGCCCGTTATCTCTTTGCAACTCTAAAACTGTAGAAAGATTGTAAAGTTTAAAAACTGTTAGTCTAAAATTATTCTTCTGTCATCAACACTGAGCTAGAAAGTCAGGCGCTGTGGAGCACACCTGTAGTCCCAGCTACTCGGGTGGCTGAGGCAGGAGGATCACTTGAACCAAGGAACTGAAGTCCAGCCTGGGCAACACAGTTAGACCCCACCTCTTTAAAACAAACAAAACTGGGCTAGAAAACAGTAAGACAAGAGAGTAATATTGTCAATATTGAAGCAAAATGATTTTGAACTCTGAACTTCGTACCTGGGTAAATTATTAACTGACAGTATATACATTTCCACACATATATGGGCTAAAATTTATATTTCATACACATCTTCTTTGGAAGTTACTGAAGGATACCCTTCAGGAAATAAGAAAAGCAACATAAACACATAGGATCTGAGAAACCATAGATATAACCTAGAAGAGCAGAAGGTTCCAAAGCAAGACTTATGTGATATAGGCTGACAGACCCATACAGGTGGGAGTGAGAGACCAGGGACTCAAGAAAGGCTGTTTCCAAGAAACTGACTCCACACAACAGAAGTGTAAGAAGGTAAATGACCCCTATCACAGATTAAAGGTTAATAACTCTGATGTAAAAAAACCTTATGCAAGTAATAAAGAAAAATAGATGTAATATCAGAAAAAGGAAGGCCAAGTAGGCCCTTACAAGCCAAGATCACAAATAAAACTGCACAGAAACACCATTTCTCACCCACAAGACAGACAAAACCACATATTTGACAACATATGTCACTGGCAAGACTGTGAGAAGAGAGAAACTCTTTACATATTTTATTGCTGGTAAGAATGCAAAATGGGGCTGGCACCATGGCCCACAAGGCTCAGGAGTTCAAGAACAGCCTGGTCAACATGGTAAAACCCTAAAAAATTCAAAAATTAGCCGGGTGTGGTGGTGCATGCCTGTAGTCCCAGCGACTTAGAGGCTGAGGTAGGAGATTCGCTTGAGTCCAGGAGGTCGAGGCTGCAGTGAACCATGATCGTGCCACTGCTCTCCAGCCTGGGTGACGGAGTGAGATCCCATCTCCAAAAAAGAAAAAAGAAAAAAAAAAAGAATGCAAAATAATACAGAGTCGATGGAGGGCAATCTGGTGAGATCTCACAAAATCATACATGAATTGAAGATCTGACTCAATTCTATTTCCAGAAATTTATCCAATGACACAACAGCAAGACATACTGACAAAGATAAGCTTTTTTTTTTTTTTTGAGCTGGAGTCTCACACTTTCAGCCAGGCTGGGGTGCAGTGGTGCGATCTTGGCTCACTGCAACCTCCGCCTCCCGGGTTCAGATAATTCTCCCGCCTCAGCCTCCCAAGTAGTGGGGATTACAGGCACCCACCACCATGCCCAGCTAATTTTTGCATTTTCAGTAGATGTGAGGTTTCGCTATGTTGGCCAGGCTGGTCTCAAACTCCTCAAGTGACCCACCCGCTTCGGCCTCCCAGAGTGTTGGGATTACAGGCATGAGCAACCGCGCGCAGCTCATTGTAGCTATTATCTGTAAGAGCAGAAGAGTAGAAACAACTCACACGTCCAGTAATAATGGATACCAAATGAATATGGTACAGCCACACAATGGAGTACTATTCATCTGTAAAAAAACAATGAGGAAGAGCTCTACATACTGCTAGAGCTCTACATACTGCTTAACCCACATTGTTAAGCAGAAAAAGAAAAGTTAATGGGTACACATTAACTGGATACTGTTATCAGTTTGTCACCAAATGGGGAGTTATATCACCCATCACTGACTTTCCAGTGGAAAACAGAAGTTTCTTTAATATATAGCTTTATTATATCTATTTGTTGAAGAAAACCGTAATTTATAAAATAAACTAATTTATAAAATGAATTTATAAAATAAACTATTTTATAATTTATAAAATAAACTATTTTATAATTTATAAAATAAACTATTTTATAATTTGTAAAATAATTTTATAAATTATAAAATAAACTATTCTATTTGACTCTAAAACAGTTAAACTATACTAAACCATAATATGCAAGAGAAACAAAATACAACCAAAACTGTCTCACAGAGGCTTACTCAGGCACATGTTCCAAAGTAAGACCAACTATTTTAAGTGAACTTTGTGTAGACTCAGATGCTCCAATGATAAAGACCAATGTCTGATCCAGCAGCTCATTTGGATTAGAAATTCTAAACCAATCCTCATCTACATCATACTTCCTGACTTCCAACCCTATGACTCACTCCTCCCCTTGAGTTCTCACTTAACTATCGATAGGTTCTTGGAAACTGAGACTTTACACAGCGTAAAGGAGGTCCTCAAACGCTGTCAGTTCAATGTTCAAAGTTGTTTCCTTATAACGTTGATGAGAAAAAAAAAAACAAAAAACTGGTTTTGTTTTCCTTGAAGTCACAGTTTCCAAGAACTTATGGATGACATTAAGTGAGGACTTACCGTATCTTTCTTTCTTTGAAAATTTCACTGAGAGTCCACCAAGGTGATACTCTCCTTGTTGCTCTGCAGATTTTATAAGCTCAGCTTGGTATGACAGACAGTCTTGTCTGGGGATGCAGCAGGTAAGGAAATATGACTATGTAAACTTAAAAGAGAAATAAGAAAATATGAGAGATGAGTGATCATCATCTATGGAGGACACCTGACAATCCATCTCCAAAGAAAACATTTCACAGACTCCCCAATAAGGCAGGAGAAGTCCAGGCAACAAGAGCCATTTCCTCACAGACAGCTTGCCATCATCTTGATGTCTTCCTAGAGGATCATGCTAGGATCAAGAGACTCAAGGAAAGCCTCCAAATGAAACAGAGACTAATAGCAGAGACACAAAGAAACTCGTCAGCAACAAGGCTAACACTAGAAAGGCTATTTAAAAAGCAATTTATAAGCAGGTACACTGGTGCATGACTGTAGTCCCAGCACTTAGGGAGACCAAGGCCAGTGGATCACTTGAGCTCATGAGTTCAAGACCAGCCTGGGCAACATGGCGAAACCCCATCTCTACAAAAAAATACAAAAATTAGCAGGGCGTGGTGGCACTCACGCCTGTAGTCCCAGCTACTCAGGAGGCTGAGGTGGGAGGATCTCTTGAGCCTGGGAGTTTGAGGCTGCAGTGAGCCAAGATCATGCTACTGTGCTCCAGACTGGGTGACACGGCGAGACCCTATCTCAAAACAAACAAAAAGTAATTTATATCCCCAGAAACATAAGCTACTTGTATCTATGAAATAAACAAGTATGAGAATAAAAAAGCTGGATGCAGTGGTACATGTGCCTGTATTCCCAGCTACCTGAAAGGCTGAGGTGGGAGGATCTCTTGAGCCCAATAGTTTGAAACCAGCCTGTGTAAAAGAAAATGGGGGAGGAAGAGGGAAGGCACTTAGAAATTAAGTTGCTGACTGAAATTAAAAAAAACAAAAAACAAAACAGAAAACGTGGGAAAATATAAAGTAAATAAGCTCCCCCAGAGAATGGGAAAATGGGCCAGGCGCAGTGGCTCATGCCTGCAATCCCAACACTTTGGAAGGTCAAGGCAGGCAGATCACAAGATCAGGAGTTCGAGACCAGCCTGGCCAACATGGTGAAACCCCATCTCTACTGAAAGAAAAAAGAAAAAATTAGCTGGGCATGGTGGCATGCGCCTGTAATCCCAGTTACTCCAGAGGCTGAGGCAGGAGAACAGCTTAACAGGGGAAGCAGAGGTTACAGTGAGCCGAGATCGCGCCACTGCACTCCAGCCTGGGTGACAGAGCAAGACTCTGTCTCAAAGAAAAAAAAAAAAAGGAGCCAGGGTGGCTCACACCTGTAATCCCAGCACTTTGGGAGGCAGAAGTGGATGGATCACCTGAGGTCAGGAGTTCGAGACCAGCCTGGGCAACATGGTGAAACCCTGTCTCTACTAAAAATACAAAAATTAGCCAGGGCAGTAGCGCATGCCTGTAATTCCACTACTTGGGAGGCTGAGACAGGACAATTGCTTGAGCCCGGGAGGTGGAGGTTGCAGTGAGCTGAGATCATGCCATTGCACTTAGCCTGGGCAACAGAGCAAGACTCTGTCTCAAAAAAAAAAAACTGGGGGTGGGGGGGGCGGGACGGGCACAGGGGAGGGTGATGGAGATCAATCTAAGAGGCCAAACATCCAAGTAGCATGCATTTCAGAGAGAAGAAGAAAAACAGGAGACAGTTAAAGAAGAAACATAATATTCCACACTGTTACAGAATAAATCTATTTTTTTTTCTGGACAGTCTGTCACCCAGGCAGGAATGCAGTGACACAATCACAGCTCACAGCAGCAACACCTGAGCTCAAAGTGATCCTCCCACCTCAGGTTCCTGAGTAGCTAAAACTACAGGTACACACCATCACACCCAGCTAATTTTTTGTAGAGAAGGGGTCTCACCATGTTGCCCAGGCAGTCTCACACTCCTGGCCTCAAATGATCCTCCTACCTCAGCTTCCCAAAGCGCTGGGATTATAGTTTATGAGCCACTGTACCTGACCTAAAGGATTAATCTGAAGATTGAAAGCCTAGAACAATAAATGAAAAAGATATACACTAACAGGCATTATCATAAAAGTTTCAGAAGACATAAAAAGCCAATTCTAAAAGTTTCCAAAGAATGGGGAATAAAACCCACTGGACACACACAAAGAATGAGAAATAAAAATGCCATTCAAAGCTGGGCACAGTGGCCTACTTCTGTAATCCCAGCACTCTGGGAGGCCGAGGCGGGTGGATCACCTGAGGTCGGGAGTTCAAGACCAGCCTGACCAACATGGAGAAACCCCGTCTCTACTAAAAATACAAAATTGGCCGGGCGTGGTGGCGGATGCCTGTAATCCCAGCTACTAGGGAGACTAAGGCAGGAGAATCACTTGAACCCAGGAGGCGGAGGTTGCAATGAGCCGAGATCATGCCACTGCATTCCAGCCCAGGCCGACAGAGCTCTTGAGACTCCATCTCAAAAAAAAAAAAAGAGAGAGAGAGAGAGAAATATTTGTTAAATTTGAGTAGTAGGTACATGAGCATCTATGACTAACATTCCTTGTACCATCAATATGATTAAAATATATCATAAAAAGGGCCGGGCATGGTGGCTCACGCCTATAATCCCAGCACTCTGGGAGGCCGAGGCGGGCAGATCACCTGAGGTCAGGAGTTCAAGATCAGCCTGACCAACATGGAAAAACCCCGTCTCTACTAAAAATGCAAAAAAGTTAGCCGAGTGTGGTGGTGCATGCCTGTAATCCCAGCCACTTGGGAGGCTGAGGCAGCAGAATCACTTGAACCTGGGAGGCAGAGGTTGCAGTAAGCCAAGATCGTGCCATTGCACTCCAGCCTGGGCAACAAGAGCAAAACTCCATCTCAAAAAAAAAAAAAAAAGAAAAAATATATCATAAAAGGAAAATACTGCAACCTTTGCTAAAATACTAAAAATGGAGGCTAACACCAGGGGAAAACGTGAAAAAAAATTTTACCATATACCCTAATAGTACTTGTTACCCAATGTCATTAGGCATAAACTGCTACTTAGCAACCAGTTAAATTTCAACATAATCACAGATAAACGTAAGTTATTTTCAAAACAGAAATTCCTGATATGTGAATGAGATAAAGAAAATATAAAATTATTACTTTCAAATATTTCCTCAATCATTCACCCTCTATGTTAAAGACAGGTACTGGGGGTCATGGCAGATGTTGGAAGTTGCCTACCCAATCTATTTACCACTGTAGCAGTTTTAAAACATAGCCACAAATTCTTTGCTACTTCTCCCATCAAGTATAGTGTCTATGCTCCCTCCCTGGAAACTTGGTGAGCCTCTGTGACTGCCTCAATGAATAGAATGCAGTAGAAGTGAACCTGTATAAGTTCCAAGGCTAGATAAAGGCCACACAGCTGTGACAGTTTCTCTTAGGGATACTATCTGGAAGCCTCCATGTAAAGGTCCCCATAAGAAAAGAGATGCCCAGGAGGCCGGGTGGCTAAAGCTCCAGGCTATTTAAGTCCTATCAGCCCATGTGAGTGAAGAAGCCTTTGAGATGACACCTGCCTGAGGGCATAGCTGAACTACCTAACCAACTCTGAAATGCCTACCTGGGCTTCTTGCTGCCTGAGACAAAACCCTTTTTTGGTGATTTTTCTTTCATTTGCAAATAGACACATTGGTTACTGATACAGGGACTTAGAAGCAGCAGAGCATTTGTCTATGCTAACAGGAAGAATGATTAAGACTCTATTTTATAAACAATACTGATCCTGGGGTCAGCAATCTTTCCAAAATAGGCTATACTTCTGTAATACTGTGAAATATATATATTTGGCCTTCCTCCTCCTCTTGACTTACAGCTTCCAATACCCTTGGAAACTCTGGAGTGGTAAGTGTCTTCTGTATGCTAATGGGATAACCAGAGACAGCTTCAGGATGGGGACTGGTCTCTAGTAGGACCAAGGCATGACTAAAGGATCAGGACTTTCAACCACCCACTGTTACGGGACAGGGGCTGAAGGTTGAGCTGATCATCAATGGCCACTGATGTAATCAATCATGCCTACACAATGAAGCTTCCATAAAAACCACAAAAGACAGAGTTTAGAAGAGCTTCCAGATAGCGCAACACTATCTGAAGGTTCCTGGAGGGGGGTAGATGCACCAATGCCCCTTCCTGCATGCCTTGCCCTATGCATCTCTCCTTCTTCCATCTGGCTGTTCATCTGTATCCTTTGTAATACCCTTTATAATAAACTGGTAAAAGTTAAGTGTTTCACTGAGTTTTGTGAGTTGCTCTAGCAAACTAATTGAGCCCAGGGACAGGGCTGTGGAAACTCCAATTTATGGCTGTTCAGACCAGAAGTTCCAGAGGCCCAGATATGCATCTGAACTGGCATCAGAAGCAAGCAGCGGTCTTATGGGACTGAGCCCTCAACCTATGAGATTTGATGCTGTCTCTAGGTGGACAGTATCAGAATTGGACTGAAGTGAAATGATGTCTGCTGCAGAACTGCTTGATTGCTGGTGGGAAGCAACTCCTCCCCTTCCCACATTTGGGTGACCAGAGGTGCTGTGTTGTATTGAATTACATAAGAGAATAGGTGGAGGCCAGGCACACTGGCTCATTAAGTGTAATCCCAACACTATGGGAGGCTGAGGCAGGAGGACCGCTTCAGCTCAGGAGTTGAAGACCAGCCTGGGCAACACTGCGAAACCCTGTCTCTACAAAAAAATTAGCCAGGCTTGATGGCACACACCTGTGGTCCCAGCTAGTCGGGAGGCTGATGCAGAAACCACCTAAGCTCAGGAGTTCAAGGCTGCAGTGAACTATAATCATACTACCACACTCCAGCCTATGTGAGAGAGAGGAACTCTGTCTCTTTAAAAAAGAAAGAGAGAATAGGCAAGAAAAAACACTTTGGTTTGTTTTTCTTGTATCTTCTTACACAACATTAAAAAATAACCTCACGGACTCTTATGCTAAAATATCTCACACGCCAACTAGGATTTACATAGAACCTATTTTGTCTTTAAGCCTATGCCATATGCCATAAAAAAATCAAAGAATAAGAAAATGTAAGATCAAAGTACTTGTTAGGATTAACAATCTCACCCTTTAAAAAAAATAAAATCTTTTGGTTTAGTTCCTTCAGTTACTTATACCATATTACACATCACTTTACTCAGCCTGCTAGGTTCCTCACAAGATGATTTCAAAATCGATAAAGAAAATAGCAATGTTCACAGCCATGAAAAAGAATGAAATCAAGTCCTTTGCAGCAACAAGGATGCAGCTAGAGGCCATTATCCTAAGTGAACTAATGCAGAAAGAGAAAACCAAATATTGCATATTCTCACTCATAAGTTGGAGCTAAATCTTGGGTTCATGTGGACATAAATATGGAAACTATCAACACCGGGGACTCTAAAGGGAAGGAGGGACGCAGCAAGGGCTGAAAAACTTCCTGCTGGAACTAGTATGTTCACTATCTGGGTGACAGCATCAATAGAAACCCAAACCTCAGCACCATACAATATACCCTTGTAACAAACCTGAACACGTACCTCTGAATCTAAAATAAAAATAGAAATTTAAAAGAAGAATGCATGTTGAATTTGGAATGCTGTATGCTGTACATATATGAACTTTAGAAAAGGAATTACTATTTCAAATGACAGAGACCTGGGAGGTTTCACCAGTCAATAAACACCTGGCAGCAATTTTTTCAATTAATGAGAAGAAATAAAAATATCTTATTCTAAACATTATGATCAATAATAACACTATTAAAAGTGCCAGGCAACTACCTAAACATTTGACTCACATCTCATTTAGTCCTTAACCCCAATAGGTACATTAATAGTCCCATTTTTTGGCCAGGCGCAGTGGCTCACACCTGTAATCCCAGCACTTTGGGAGGCTGACGCGGGAGGATCACTTGAGGTCAGGAGTTCAAGACCGGCCTGGCCAACATGGCAAAACCCCATCTCTACTAAAAATACAAAAAAACTGGCCGGGCAGGGTGGCTCATGCCTGTAATCCCAGCTACTGGGGAGACCAAGGCAGGAGAACCGCTTGAACCCAGGAGGCAGAGGCTGCAGATCACCTGGAGCCAAGATCGCCTGGGTGACAGAGCGAGACTCCGTCTCAAAAAAAAAAGAAAAAAAAGAGAGAAAAAGAAAAAAAAAGTCCCGTTTTTTTAGATGAGAAAAACTAAGGCTCAAGAGGACTAAGAAATGTGCCCATCTTTATACAGCTAATAACGGCTAGGATTCTGAGTAAGCTCTCATATACCTTAAACTTCAGTCATCACCAACCCAAATTAATCTGACTGACAAATATTAAATATTTAAATGAGTATTATCTTTATAAAAGAGAAGCTAAAATAAAGATAAAGGGTACTTAGAAATCTTAATTCTTGTGGTTTTTCTACAACAGAACTCCAAATACTACAGTAAATAAATAGAAGAAATTGTTCTAAATCACTTAAGTTTGTACTATTAATAATTTTTATAGAATAATTCTGATTCATTTGTCAAAGAACCCTAAAATGTTCTTTTTCAACATTCAGATATATGTCTGAAATGGAGAAGAATGCTTTTCAAGTCCCAAAGAAAGTATGACTTACCTATTTTATAGGGTATTCTATAAGATTTTGTTTATCTTTATTGGGGCAGGCACGCTAAAAATCAGGCAAAGACTAACTTCTATTCAAGTTATACTAGCTATGTGCCACAAAAATAAGAATGAATGTAATTTTTATTAAAATTTCCACACCAGTAAACTTCTTTCAAGTAAACACAAGAAATTCCAAGTTTATCTTTCTTCCTAAAAGTTGCTCTCAGTACACTAAATCTCACTAAATCCAACTCATGTCACCTCACTTTAACTCTTCCGGAAAAAACTCCTTTTACTATAATCCTATTAACAGATATTTACAATTCACTTGCTAAATTTACTAGACATTTATAACCTGCTAAAGGATTATACAGAAATTTCATGTGACTACTTCCCTTTCAAGAAACTTAAATCTGCTTCTTAATATATGCATATGTGTATAACATACTAGAAATGACAAAGTTTTTCACTAGCTATTATGTGAAAGTACCCAATTTTACACTTGTTTGAAATGAATTATATTAAAGTATATATTTAAATATGTGTAGAACCGCAATGCCTACCTGCATCAGCTCTGGACCGCTGGCCAGGTGTCTTTCCGAATGGGGTCTTCATTCATCTGTATTTAAGTGAGCAGCGGAGCTGCTGGACTAGGGTGAAAATTCAATATTCTCCAATTTGAAACTTTTCACAGAATGTTAGTGTTCTGGTTAATCCACCATCCAAGTGTCTCTTTTACGAGTTCAGCAAAAATACGTGAAATCACAAGCACTCTGTAAAATAGTGAAACAGTTCATTACTAGAGCATCAAGAGAGCAAAATTATGCCTAGTGAGCCATTAAACATAAAATTTTAAGCAAAAGTATTAGCTAAAGTGCATTTTGTCCCAAAGCAATTAACTTTATTTCCTAAGACCTGGGTTCTTAGGACATGACAAAGTAGAAAGGAGAAAAAGAGGTGATAGACTCTTTAAAAAAAGAAGCCTGGGACATGTGCAAGACCCAAAAGTGAAGCTCTTCCAAGATCAACTGGAACACAATACAGCTGCTGTCTGACATCCCCATTATTATCCTAAAGCATCCTGCTGCTAGAAATCAGAAAAGGGTGGATGCTGGGATTTCACAGAAGATTTAGACAGCATGGCCCATCTGTCTAATGGGACACAAAGAAACAGAGTATGGGGGTGGGAGACAGGGGTGTGAGGTTACTGGGGAGGCAGAGTGGAAGGACAGCACGGGGGCAGCACAGGAAATCATGTTCAAGACAGAGTAACAGCAAGGCTGAAGATCAGCAGGCCAGGGTCTTGGGCAAGAGAAAGAATTATAGCCAAACACGTCTCTGAGTTTCCCTTTCTGCTCACAAGCTTCCAGAAACTAAAGAAAAAGGTCGAGAAATTTCAGCGGAGCCTCAAAGACAGTTCCTCACCCATGCAAATGCCAAAGTCATTTTATGGAAGTAGTGTATCTTTTTTTTTTTTTTTTGAGACAGAGTCTCGCTGTGTCGCCAGACTGGAATGCAGTGGCGCAACCTTGGCTCACTGTAACCTCTGCCTCCCGGGTTCAAGCAATTCTGCCTCAGCCTCCGGAGTAGCTGGAACTACAGGTGTGCGCCACCATGCCCAGCTAATTTTTGTATTTTTAGTAAAGATGGGGTTTCACCATGTTGGTCAGGATGGTCTCAATCTCCTGACCTTGTGATCCACCTGCCTCGGCCTCCCAAAGTGCTGGGATTACAGACGTGAGCCACTGCACCCTGCCAGAAGCAGTGTCATCTTTTAAACCAAATTTAGTTCCTAGAGATACAGCAGGTCTGTTTCACCACTCAATGATGTAGAGAGACTAGGCCTAAGATGAAGGCTATCAGGACAACTGGTTGCTTACTCACCTTTCCCTGAGAGCCTATCCAGCTGCCACATCAAATCTCATATCCCTCTTTTCCCTCATTAAACTCTCTTCCCACTCAGACCTATCTAATGGGCCCCTATTACTCTCTTCCCCCAGCCTGCCCAAACCTCTCCAGAAGGTAAAGTCGTTCTTCAGCAAAGTGCAGTCTACTTTGACCACATGACCCTACCACCAATAGCTCCCCCAAAAAGATGGTTTGCATTTGTCACCACACACCCTGACACAATCTCTCCTACCCCAATCCTCACCCTAGAAGCACATGCCATAACACTAGTCATAACAGCTATCCCTTTTTGTTACTTTTCTACCTGTGAATCTTCCGTCATCAGCACTCATTTGTTGAAGATTATGGTATTGGCTTTACTTCTTTTCCTCCATGATCCCATCAACATTCTTGACATCCTCAACATCCACACATATGATCCATTCAACCTCCCGCCTGGCTCTTACACACCCTACCTTCAAACCACTTACCCTACACTTCATCTATTCTCACAGTCTCAACACAGACCTTTTTATCAACAATAACTGCAATAATCCCAAAACCTTTATTTCAAGTATCTCATACTCAAAACCATCTCTGATCATTCTAGTTTTCTTACACTGACACTCCCATTCCAACAATTATTTGATGCAACCAGTATCAATGTACAGCTTTATTGTTTTTCCAATATCGCATTATCTCCCTCAGGGACTAACTTCCCTTATTATTCTGCTTAGATTTTCATGGATGGTCAATCACATCACGATGATTATTATTCCATTGCTTTTCTCAATTTTCTTCCCTTCTCTTCTTGTCACTGTTGTATGGCAAAACCCTAACCCAAATCCCTTCCTAGAGTGCTTACAACATAAAGTGGTTAAACATGGATGAAAAACATACAAAAATTTCACTTCAAATTTGTAATCTCGTATCTCAAGTGTGCATTCAACAATACTACCCACAGCCTCAGCAGACAGGCTTGCTATTGGCTAGGAAAACAGAAGCAAAGAGAACTACTCAACTACTCATCACTTTACCACCAAATTGACTAACTGATCAGTACCCTTTGTCTCCATAATAAAAGATGCAATATCTCTGAGCCACATTCAACCCTGTCACTTGCCTAATCAATCCCATACTTTTTCTCTGTATACATTTACCACTAGCATAGTCCCATCAACATACAACACACGATGTAAAGGCCAGGCGCAGTGGTTCACACCTGTAAACCCAACACCTTGGGAGGCCAAAGTAGGCAGATCACTTGAGCTCAAAAGTTCGAGACCAGCCTGGCCAACATGGCAAAACCATCTCTACAAAAAACACAACAAAAAATTAGCCGAACATGGTGGCGTATGCCCTTGGTCCCAGCTACTCGAGATGCTGAGGCAGGAGAATCACTTGAACCCAGGAGGCAGAGGTTGTAGTGAGCCAAGATCACACCACTGCACTCCAGCCTGGATGACAGAGTGAGACCCCATCTCAAAAAAGTACAATAAATAAAGAAGATCAAGAGCTTTTTATTAAAAAAAAAAAAAAAATACATGATGTAGGCTGGGCACAGTGGTTCACACCTGTAATCCCAGCACTTTGGGGGACCGAGGTGGGCAGATCACCTGAGGCCAGGAGTTCGAGACCCGGTCTCTACTAAAAATACAAAAATTAGCCAGGTGTGGTGGTGCATACCTGTAATCCCAGCTACTTAGGAGGCTGAGGCAGGAGAACTGCTTGAACTCGGGAGGCAGAGGTTAGAGTGAGCCGAGATCGCACCACTGCACTACAGCCTGGGTGACAGAGCAAGACTGTCACAAAACAAACAAACAAACAAACAAAAAACCCACAAACCATAATGTAGTATTTCCCAATTTTAAAAAACATCCCATGACTCCACTCCCTTTCTGTGCTATTTACAGAATGACTTCAAAGATCAAGAAAAAAAATTCTGCCTGAGCCACTGCACCCAGCCAGATTAAAGAAATTTTAAAACTACATAAAATCAATTTATCCTAACAAATTCATTCAATGAAATGAAAATTTTAACTTACTGATATTCTGAAGTATGTACCCTCCTATCAGATTTAAGCTTATCTTAGCAGTATTTTCTGCTGTTTTCCACTTCATTAAAATTTCAAGTTGAACTTGTTAATAAACTAAAAATTTAAGACAGGAGTAGAAGGAAGAGTCGCAGTGGGGGAAGGATACATGGTGGCTATTTGAATAATATTAGAACGCAAAACTCCAGATAAGAGTCCTTCCCTCAGCTGGGTGTGGTGGCTCACGCCTGTAATCCCAGCATTTTGGGAGGCCGAGGTGGACGATCACCTGAGGTCAGGAGTTCAAGACCAGCCTGGCCAACATAGTGAAACTCGGTCTCCTCTAAAAATACAAAAATTAGCCAGGCATGGTGGTGGGCAGCTGTAATCCCAGCTACTCCAGAGGCTGAGGCAGGAGAATCGCCTGAACCCGGGAGGCAGAGGTTGCAGTAAGCTGAGATAGTGCCACTGCACTCCAGCCTGGGCGACAAGAGCAAGACTTCATTTCAAAAAAAAAAAAGAAAAAAGAGTCCTTCCCTCATGTTGAGATGTAATCTAAAAAATAAAATAAAATTTTAGAGTCCTTTCTCTTTTTTGAGTTGCAAGTAATAAATAGTTCAACCACCTGATCTTATCCTAACTCCTGTTAAGACCAGAAAGAAATGCAGAGACAGATCAAAAGGAAAACACTAATGAGTGCTAACTAATGAAAACCCTGGTTTTAACAGCTGCCATGTAAGGCTTTCAAAATTCAGATGAACTAGAGCTTTTCTAAAACAAATCCCACTCTTCTTTGACTGGAAAAGGCTAAATTTAATTTGCTCAGGTTTTTTTAAAGATATACCATCTTCACCTTAAGTTATTCTACTAAGTGATTAACTTTGTAAATGAAAACTGAAGGAAAAAACTGAAGGAAACAAAAAAATTTTAGATTCAGAGTTAGCATTATTTCTAGGTTAGCAGAACCTTCAAGTGTTACGGAAAATATTGTCAAATGGAGCTTTATTATAAGGTCATTAAGAAGAAGGTCCTGCATTCAGAGAGACCCATCAATAGTTGCTAAAACTATCAAGAGAAAGGTTGCTGGAGAACAATAATTGTACGGTATCAAAACAAGTAACTCCACAGGTTACTCGTTAATTATAAAGGGGAAAATGTTACTGCTTTACAATGGAGCAATCTTGACCCTTCACTACAACGGAATTGAAAGATAAAACAATTTGGCATCATTAAAAGGGAATCAACCTTGCTTTATTCACTTCTTAATGTGATATGACGCAAAGCAGACTATATCACTTATAAAATACTCGTCAAAAATGTTTTACCTCCAGGTGAAATGTGGCAATATAAAATATATTAAAAAAAAAATCTAGTCAAGCTTTTAGATCGAATTTCTAGTTTACAGAAATACAGGTGATGCAGAAGCAACTTAGACAACACCATGAGGAAACAGACAAATTAGAAAGGTGGACTTTGTACATGAAAAGTGGGCCATACTCTTCAAAAAGTCAGTGTCAAAAAAGAAAAATGGTAGACATACTGCTCTAGACTAAAAGAGACTAAAGACTCAACAATAAGACACAATGAATAAACCCTAAACACACGGTTTGTTGGGGCGGGGGGAGGGGGCTGGCGAAAGCTACAAAAGACACTTAAGGCCAGGCACAATGGCTCATGCCTGTAATCCTAATCCTTTGGAAGGCTGAGGAGTAGATCACTTGAGCCCAGGAGTTCAAGTGATCAATCAACACAGTAAGGATAGCTGTGGGTGGTGGTGCACATCTGTAGTACCAGCTACCAGCTACTCAGGAGGCTGAGGTAGGAGGATCACATGAGACCAGGAGGTTAAGGCTGCAGTGAGCCATGATCGAGCCACTGCACTTCGGCTTGGGCAACTGAGACCCTGTATCAAAAGAAAAAACACACAGACACACACACACACACATTTAAGACAACTGGGAAAATTTAAATGCAGACTAAACATTAGATATTGTAAGATTATCATTAAATTTTAAAAGCACAACAAAGACATTGTGGTTATGCCTGAGAATATATTCTTTGGAAACATGTTGAAATGCTTAAAGAGGTAGACTCACAATTTCTGTAAGTTAACTTCAAATAATTCAGGGAAAGAAAACAATACATACATGAGGGTTAACATAAATATCAAAAGACAAAATTACAATAATGTGGTTTAAGGATCTTAAACAGCTTTATTTACGATTCTAGAATCCAGCAACACTTTGTTCCATAAAATAGAATGAGCATCCAATGAGCAGAGCAGAGGCTACGTGTACAGACAGAACAGGCCTGAAGAAAGCAGAAACAAAGAACTGTGAAAATAATTCAAAATCAAATCTGCTGGAAGTTTTTAAATTATTTTCAGCCTTAAAGAAATGTGATAATGGGATCTGAGTCACATGACAGGCAGCTTTAGTCCTCTGATAATGAATTAGCCTCTTTACCTACACTGTTTTGTAAAATGTTGGAAAAGACTAAAGGGCTCCAGAGAAGACCCCCATCCCTCTAAACTTAATCTTCATTGTAGATTAACTTCCTTCTTTTACACAAAGACCTCAAGACTACCACACTAAGATGGAATGTTAAATAAACTCTTTTAAATTGGAAAAGGAAAAGAACTGTAACTAATCAAATTGCTATAACTCATAAACCAACCTTGTATGGAAAATGTGGCAATCCTGTTAAATTTGTTTTCTGCCTACATAAGCAAGACCTTAAACTTTTCAGCTTCAGAGGACTGGCTGGCTCCATTCCTCTGGATTCTGTGCTACCCAGTTGGCTACTCTCAGTTTTGCACTTGAGTAAAACTCTTTTGTTTTGTTTCTGTTTCGTTTTGTTGAGACGGAGTCTCACCCTGTTGCTCAGGCTGGAAGTGCAATGGCGCAATCTCGGCTCACTGCAACCTCCGCCTCCCAGGTTCAAGTTATTCTCCTGCCTAAGCCTTCCGAGGAGCTGGGATTACAGGCATGCGCCACCACATCCAGATAATTTTGTAATTTTAGTAGAGACGAGGTTTCTCCATGTTGGTCAGGCTGGTCTCGAACTCCCAACCTCAGGTGATCCACCCGCCTCGGCCTCCCAAAGTGCTGGGATTACAGGCATGAGCCACCGCGCCTGGCCTGAATAAAACTCTTTTAAACTTGACTGTGATCCTTTTGATTATTTCAGGATGGCAGAACAAAAAGCGGATTGGTCATTTCAAAGTTACTTTCCTTGTAAGGAAGGAATGAAAAAACAGGACAATAGAGAAATCACTGATTGGGAACTGCATTATCATGCCAACTGGAACTGCCTGGTTTGAGAAATTAAGGCTATTCCTCTCTCCTGATTTCTGGAAAGGTCCGATAACACCTCAGTTTGGTAGTCTGGAACCTCAGCATGAGTGGCTCCATTTAGATTTTAGTCTGGTCTATCATGGCCCAGTGCAGAAGATTAGCTCAAAACAATGGCACCACCTACAATTTCCATTCAACATGAACATGGCAAAGTATTTTTTAACGTAGGTGAAGAGAATATTAGTGTTCACTAATGTTATTCTTTGAACTTTTATTTCAGTTCAAATTTTTCATAAGAAATTAAGAGAAAAAAAGATGCTGGATTTTCCTTTGCTAAGTCCATCTTTATTAAATATAGTTAAGTATTGTTATAAAGTTTCAGTGCCACAAAATAAATAGCACTCAAATACAAAATTTTCTTTTTTTTCTTCTCAGCAAGGCAATTTACTTCTATAGAAGGGTGCGCCCTCACAGATGGAGCAGTGGTGAGCACACTACCTGCACAAGGGAGAGCAAGGGGTTCTTATTCCTGACGCATGGGTCCCCTGCTGCTGTGTCATTCCCCTACTGGCTAGGGTTAGACCGCACAGGCTAAACTATTTCCAATTGGCTAATTTAAAGAGAGTGACGGGGTGAGTGGTTTGTCAGGAAAAATGGTTATGACAGAACAGGAAATCAGAATGAGTCAGGGTGGAGAATGAGTCAGGGTGGAGCAGGTAATCAGAATGAGCCAGGGTGGAGCACGTAATAGGAATGAGGGTAGGAAAGGCTGCTTTAAGAGGAAGTTAATTTTAAAAGTAGAAGGCAAAGAATTGAACATACTGACATATTGATTCTTTGAAGAGAAATTTAGAACTCTTATCTAACAGTATCCAGGCTTGCAATTTTACTAATCTTAAAAATGTGTCATGAACTTAAATTCTGAAACTCAAAATTCTCATTCTATTGCAATCTCAAAGGAGATCAAAAAATTCTCCAACTACTTACCAGAAAAATGACTGTTCACTGAGCACTCGCTATGTGTCATGCACTCCTCACAACCATGAGGAAGATATGCACTATAACTATTCCATCTTGGAAACTGAAAAACTGCAGCACAGACATTAAAATAACTTGGTCAGGGTCACACAGACTGCAACTAGCATTGTCGAGATAAACTTCCTATTTAAAAATAAACACATAGATTGCTTCAATAAAGGAATAGGGTATCAAGAAATCAATGACAATGTATTGTCTCCAAAAAGGCTAAAACATGAATATTTCAACATTTCAGATATAAAAGCAGTAATTCTCAGGAAACAGAGTCATATCAAAGTATTTGTTGCCTGCTGCTACCACTGAACAGTGCTATTTATAAAAAGAAAATTGACTCCTAAAACTGTTTAAGCAAAAATACTAAGTTCCCATATCTTAACACCAGGACCACTAATGAAAAAGTATACAGGAGTACTAATAGTGAAACATGTCAAGTGTAAACTGAAGCTTGGGCTGTCAACAAGTTGTCTTAAAACTGTTACCTTGGTATGCAACAAGACCTAAACAAAAAAGAAAAAAAATTGTTGTCACACAAGGTTAAACGTGAAGAAATATATACTTTGTTCTTCCATTTCCTGGTACCCAAATTCCTAAAACTCTAGGAATACCAGTGTCTTTTTTATGCTAATGAGATGAATGATGTCTGATGGCTTCTGGATAGCCTCAGGAAGTGGTTTGATTTCCAGGGGAACCCCACCAGTGGTTAGAGGGTTGGAACTTTCAGCCCTACCCTGGGAAGGGAGGCGGGTAGAGGAGAGGGCTAAAAGCTAAGCTGATCACCAGTGGGCAACGACATAATCAATCATGCCAGCTTACTGAAGATCACAGAAAAACCCAAAAGGACAGCTGCAGAGAAACTTAAGGTTCGTGAACACATGGAAGTACTGTGAGGGTGATGAGCCCAGAGTAGGCAGGGGAGTTCCACACTCCTTCTTTGCCTTATGCATCTCTCTTCCATCTGGCTGTTCCTGAGTTGTATTCTTTACTATAAAATGGTAATCTAGCAAATACACTATTTCCCTGAGTTCTGTGAGTGATTCTAGCAAATTACAAAACCTCTTTGAAAGAGGAATCACAGGAGTCTCCAATTTATAGCTAGTGTGTCAGAAGCACATAACATAACCTGGACTTGGCTGGGGTGTGGTGGCTCATGCCTGTAATCCCAGCACTTTGCAGGCCAAAGCCAGCGGATCACTTGAGGTCAGGAGTTCAAGCCTAGCCTGGCCAACATGGTGAAACCTCATCTCTACTAAAAATACAAAAATTAGCTGGGCATGGTGGCACGTGCCTGTAGTCCCAGCTACAGGGGAGGCTGAGAAAGGAAAATTGCTTGAACCCGAGAGGCAGAGGTTGCAGTGGGCCGAGATCACACCACTGCATTCCAGCCTGGGTGGCAGAGTGAGAACTCCATCTCACAAAAAATAAATAAGTAAATAAATAAAATAAATAACCTGGACTTGCAACTGGCATGAGAAATGGGGGCAGTCTTGTGGGATGTGATGCTATTTCCAGGTGGATACTCTGAGAAGTTAAACTGTAGGACAACCAACTGGAGTCATCAGAGAAAATGAGACACAGATAATGTAGGGAAAACCCACACACATTTGATCACAGAAGTGTTGTGCTGAGTATGAGCATAGAGAATAAGAATTTGTTTCTCCTTTCTAACTTAGTGGGGATTACATAAATTATCACAGACATTTATACGAAAAAAACATATAGCTAAAATCTAAATACAGAGCATAGATATTAGATATGAAGGGCTAATTAGCTTTCTTAAATATGGCATGTAGTTACAAAGAATAACAACCTTACTTTAACAAGTGTCATGATGTCTGCAATTTAATGCAACTTTCAAATGGTTCAATAATAAAAAACAGTAGAGCAAAATGTAAGCAAATTAAAATCTTGATATCAGGTAGACAGGTTAGGTCATTCTGCTATAGTTTCAACTCTTCTATGTGTAGAAAATTTCATTCAAGGCTGGGCGCGATGGCTCACGCCTGTAATCCCAGCACTTTGGGAGGCTGAGGTGGGCAGATCACCTGAAGTTGGGAGTTCGAGACTAGCCTGACCAACATGGAAAAACCCCATCTCTATTAAAAATACAAAATTAGCTAGGCGTGGTGGCACATGCCTGTAATCCCAGATACTCGGGAGGCTGAGGCAGGAGAATCACTTGAACTCAGGAGGCGGAGGTTGCAGTGAGCCGAGATCATGCTACTACACTCCAGCCTGGGCAACAAGAGCGAAACTCCATCTTAAAAAATAAAGAAAGAAAAAGAAAATTTCATTTAAAAAGTTTAGGGAAAAAACAGCAGGGGAAAGGAGTAACTAAGTTTAGAACTAGCAGCAGCATCACAAGGGTTTACCAGTTAAGTTTGTAACTAAGACATTATTATTAAAAGTAGAGAAATGCCAGATGTGGTGGTATACATCTGTAGTTCCAGTTCAGGAGGCTGAGGTGGGAGGATCCCATGAGCCCAAGAATTTGATGCTGCAGAGAGCTATGATCAAGTCACACTGCACTCCAGCCTAGGTGACAGAATGAGACCCCATCTCTAAAAATAAACAAATAAAACAAAAATAGGGTAAGAAAGGATGGTTTAGCAGAAAAGAAATTTAAAAACAAAAAAGAGGAAAAGACAGCAAAATATCTGCAATTCCTGAATGTAGATGTTGAGGACAGATATTAACTGCCTGTTTCAACTTTTCTATGTTAGAAATGTTTCACAACAAAAATTTAGGGTCAATGGTTTTAGGTTTTATAGTTCTGGAAAGAAAAAATACTCAGAGTACAACTCAAAACCTTCCTAGGTAACTACAAGAATTTATTAAGACGTTCTTGGGCTAGGCGTGGTGGCTCATGCCTGTAATGGCAGCACTTTGGAAGGCCAAGGCGGGCAGATCACGAGGTCAGGAGATCGAGACCATCCTGGCTAACACAGTGAAACCCCATCTCTACTAAAAATACAAAAAAAAAAAAAAAAAAATTAGCCGAGCATGGTGGCTGGCGCCTGTAGTCCCAGGTACTCAGGAGGCTGAGGCAGGAGACTGGCATGAACCCGGGAGGCAGAGCTTTCAGTGAGCCAAGGTTGCACCACTGCACTCCAGCCTGAGCGACAGAGCTAGACTCCATCTCAAAAAAAAAATTATTACATATTCTTATTTAAAATGTTACAATGGGCAGGGTGGGGCTCAAACCTGTAATCCCAACACTTTGGAAGACCAAGGTAGGAAGATCACTTGAGTCCAGGAGTTCCAGAGCAGCCTGGGCTACACAGTAAGACCTCATTGCTATAAAAAAATAAAAAATAAAAATTAGCCAAGTGTGGTGGTGCATGCCTGTAGTCCCAGCTAACTGGGAGGCTGGGGTGGGAGGATCACTTAAGCCTGGGAAACAGAGGTTGCAGTGAGCCAGGATGGCATCACTGCACTGGGTGACAGAGCAAGACCTTTCTCAAAAAATAAATGTTACAATGAATGGAACTTAAGGACAATGTTCTAGGGGCCTCTGGTGTAGGTTCTGCCTTTAGCTAAAACTTCAAAGATTAAAATAAAGGGCTCAATCCTTATAAAGCATTGCTAATTACACAATGTTCAGCTACTTAAGGATCCTGGCAAAGCAGCTATCATATATACCAAGTAGATATCTGAAGGCCTTCAGAGCCCAAATTCTCTATCAATATAAAAATTATTAGGCCAGGCGCAGTGGTTCACACCTGTAATCCCAGCACTTTGGGAGGCTGAGGCGGGCGGATCACAAGGTCAGGAGATTGAGACCATCCTGGCTAACACGGTGAAACCCCATCTCTACTAAAAATACAAAAAAATTAGCCAGGCGTGGTGGCATGCACCTTTAGTCTCAGCTACTCGGGAGGCTAAGGCAGGAAAACTGCTTGAACCCAGGAGGTGGAGGTTGCAGTGAGCCGAGATCATGCCACTGCACTCCACCATGGGTGACACAGCGAGACTCCATCTCAAAAAACAAAAAAAATTATTAAACACCCTAAACCACTAAATATCAAAACACCAAGTTTTAATACAAGTGTAATACGTGGTCAAAATTTATAAGGACCATGGATTTGGACAGGAGAAAAAATTTTATCTTCATCTTTCCTAACCTCTACCTGAAGTACAGCACTTCCTTCTATCATGAATGCGTGCAACAAACCACAGTATTAGTAGTAGTACTTCCAACTTCTCAACAATAGAAATCACATATATTTCCATCCCATTGCATTTGTTGTAGCTCAAAATACCACTTAAACTCATCAGCTGACACTTGACTAGATTTGCCACCAGGATAGAGCACATAGTCTTCTCATGCAGGCGCTCAGGCACAGCTCAGGTCAGCCACGTGATATCACTAGGCCTGGTCCTTAGGCATCAAACTGAAAACAGAATTGCTGACTGTGGTATAACAGAGAGACTGGATGGCCTTTGTCCCAGCTCCAGTTGGTGCCCTTTAAATCCCTGAAATGTCCTGAGAGGGACAGGGCATCTCTGTGATTCATGGTGAGCACCTAGTTTATGTTAACAAGATCTCAGGATGTGGAGGTGGGGGGCTGGCCAAACCAGAAAGACCAACCATGGCATTAGAAGGTTGGGGCTCTGAGCCCCAGGATAACAGCCCAAAGTTCAGAGAGGGGAGCAAGAAATTGAGTTCAAGCTCAAGGCCAATGATTCAATGGATCATGCTGATGTAGTTAAGCACCAATAAAAACTCTGGACACAGAGGCTCACATGAGCTTTCCCGGTTAATACCCTGTCTCCACAGGAGGGCATGAACACTTCATATCTGAGACCTTCCCAGACACTGCCCTATATGTCACTTCTTATGGTTGGTCCTAATTTGTATTTTTTTTTTTTTGCTATAATAAACTATAAGTACTGGACTTTCTTGAGTTTTGTGAGTCATCCTAACTGAATTATCAAACTTGAGTGTGATGGAAACCTCCACATTTGTACTTGGTCAGAAATAAAAGTAACATGGGAGCCCCCGAAGTTTGCAGCTGGTATCCAAAGTGAGGGCAGTCTTGTGAAAACCTATTAACTTTGATCTAAGTCGAACTGTATCGAAATCATACATCCACAATGCTCACTAAAGTTCCCCATCAACAATTATTTGTTGATGAATATATAAAAGGAGGTAAGCCAAAGACCACCCCACAATTGATTTTTATTAAACATCAAAACCTTAATTTTGGCCCGGCACAGTGGCTCACACCTGTAGAGTGTGAGACCTTGGGAGGCCAACATGTTAGGAGGCCAAGGCAGGCTGATTGCTTGAGGTCAGGAGTCTGAGACCAGCCTGGCCAAAATGGTGAAACCCTGTCTCTACTAAAAAAAATTAGCCAGGTGTGGTGGTGCGCACCTGTAGTCCCAGCTACTCAGGAGGCTGAGGTAGAAGAATCACTTGAACCTGGGAGGCTGAGGTTGCAGTAAGCCAAAATCGCACCACTGCACTCCAGCCTGGGCGATACAGGGAGACTGCCTTAAAAATAAAAAAAACAGAACAAAAACACCTTGGCCAGGGAAGTGGCTCACACCTGTAATCCCAACACTTTAGGAGGCCAACACTTTAGGAGGCCAAGGCAGGCAGATCACCTGATGTCAGGAGTTTGAGACCAGCCTGGCCAACATGGTGAAATCCCATCTCTACAAAAATTAGCCAGATGTGGTGGCACGCACCTGTAGTGCGAGCTACTCAGGAGGCTGAGGCAGGAGAATCACTCGAACCTGGGAGGCAGAGGCTGCAGTGAGCCAAGATCGCACTACTGCACTCTAGCCTGAGCAACAGAGCAAAACTCCATCTCAAAAAAAAAAAAAAAAAAACTTAATTTTAATATCTTAAAAAACAAAATCTGAATTATCTATATACCAACAATATTGTCTTGTCACTTAAATTACTGACAAAGAGGCCAGGCGCGGTGGCTCACGCCTGTAATCCCAGCACTTTGGGAGGCCAAGGTGGGCGGATCACGAGGTTAGGAGTTCGAGACCAGCCTGGCCAACATAGTGAAACCCTGTCTCTACTAAAAATACAAAAATTACCCGGGTGTGGTGGCATGCGCCTGTAGTCCCAGCTACTAGGGAGGCTGAAGTGGGAGAATCACTTGAACCCGGGAGGTGGAAGTTGCAGTGAGCTGAGACCGCGCCATCTGCACTCTAGCCTGGGTGACTGAGTGAGACTGTCTAAAAAAAAAAAAATTACTGACAAAGAAAGACACCATGGTCTTCTGTTTAACAGGGTAGTAATATTTGTATAACTTAAATATAATTGGTTTCTGTTGTGATCCTATGTATTTCATTCACTGTGTTCAGAAGATTCTGAAAAGGCATCCATAGGTTTCATAAAACTGGCAAACGGTCCATGGCACAACCCCCTCTGCCCAAACCTATGGACAACAAGCAGTCTCTCTGGGTCTTTGATGGGTTTCTGAAGGCCACCCGCAAGGATCAATATAAATGGCCAACTCTTGGGAACAATGGACTGGTAATTTAAACAATCCTCCCAACAGCTACAAAATTAAAGTAAAATTTACAAGGATATCCCTAGTAAAAACTATCAGAAACCAGAGTTGCTTAGAGAAATAACCAACTCCAGATAAGGAGAAGGATATTAGAGGAGCTTGGAATATCTTGTCATATCAGAAGCAAGGAAGCTCTATCAACGACTACTGGAATTGTGTTAAGGAAACAAAAGGTTTTTGTTTTTTTTTGAGATGCAGTCTCGCTCAGTCACCCAGGCTGGAGTGCAGTGGCATGATCTCGGCTCACTGCAAGCTCCGCCTCCTGGGTTCACGCCATTCTCCTGCCTCAGCCTCCCGAGTAGCTGGGACTACAGGCGCCCACCACAAGGCCCAGCTATTTTTTTTTTTTTTTGTATTTTTAGTAGAGACGGGGTTTCACCGCACTAGCCAGGATGGTCTCGATCTCCTGACCTCGTGATCTGCCCGTCTCGGCCTCCCATAGTGCTGATTACAGGCATGAGCCACCGCACCCGGCCTCAAACGGGGTTGTTCTGAACTATTTTCTTGACTTCTGTATATAACTGAAAACTACCATAAGAAAAAGTTGAAAATAGGCCAGGCACAGTGGTTCACACCTGTAATCCCAGCACTTTGGAAGGCAAGGGAGGGAGGATTGCTTGAGCCCAGGCGTTCAAGACCAGCCTGAGCAACACAGGGTGATCTCATCTCTACTAAAAATTTAAAAAATTAGTCAGGCATGCCGATGCATACCTGTAGTCCCGGCTACTAGGGAGGCTGACACAGAAGGACAGCTTGAGCCCAGGAGGCCAAGGCTATAGTAAGCCAAGATCATGCCACTGCACTCTAGCCTGGGTGACAAAGTGAGATTCTGTCTCCAAAAAAAAAGCTTTCTGCCCATGGATGACGCTGAAGCATCATTAAAGTCTCTCTTCTCCATGCCATCATGTCTAAGTCACAAGTCTCCTAAAGAGCCCGAACAGCTGAGGAAGCTCTTCATTGGAGGGTTGAGCTTTGAAACAACCGATGAGAGCCTGAGGAGCCATTTTGAGCAATGGGGGACACTCACGGACTGTGTGGTAATGAGAGATCCAAACACCAAGTGCTCCAGGGGCTTTGAGTTTGTCACATATGCCACTGTGGAGGTGGAGGATGCAGCCATGAATGCAAGGCCACACAAGGTGAACAGAAGACTTGTGGAACCAAAGAGAGCTGTCTCAACAGAAGATTCTTAAAGACCAGGTGCCCACTTAACTGTGAAAAAGATATTTGTTGGTGGCATTAAAGAAGACACTAAAGAACATCACCTAAGAGATTATTTTAAACAGTTCTGAAAAACTGAAGTGATTGAAATCATGACTGACCGAGGCAGTGGCAAGAAAAGGGGCTTTGCCTTTGTAACCTTTGACGACCACAACTCCGTGGATAAGACTGTCATTCAGAAATATCATACTGTGAATGGCAACAATTGTGAAGTTAGGAAAGCCCTGTCAAAGCAAGAGATGGCTAGTGCTTCATCCAGCCAAAGAAGCTAAGTGATTCTGGAAACGTGGTGGTCGTGGAGGTGGTTTCAGTGGGAATGACAACTCTGGTAGTGGAGGAAACTTCAGTGGTCATGGTGGCTTTGGTGGCAGTGGGGATGGCTATAATGGATTTGGTAATGGTGGAAGCAATTTTGGAGGTGGTGGAAGCTACAATGATTTTGGCAATTACAACAATCAGTCTTCAAATTTTGGACCCACGAAGGAAGGAAACTTTGGAGGCAGAAGCTCTGGCCCCTATGGTGGTGGAGGCCAATACTATGCCAAACCATGAAACCACGGTGGCTACTATGGTGGTTCCAGTAGCAGCAGTAGCTATGGCAGTAGCAGAAGATTTTAATTAGGTAACAAAGCTTAGCAGGAGAGGAGAACCAGAGAAGTGACAGAGAAGCTACAGGTTAAAACAGATTTGTGAATTCAGCCAAGCACAGTGGTGGCAGGGCCTAGATGCTACAAAGAAGACATGTTTTAGACAAATACTCATGTATATGGGCAAAAAACTCGAGGACTGTATTTGTGACTAATTGTATAACAGGTTATTTTAGTTTCTGTTCTTTTGTTTAAAGCATTCCAACAAAAGGTTTTAATGTAGATTTTTTTTGCACCCATGCTGTTGATTGCTAAATGTAATAGTCTGATCATGATGCTGAATAAATGTCTTTAAAAAAAAAAAAAGTTGCACACACACACACACACACACACACACTAAATATATGCATGAAAGCATCAAATAACTTGAAAGATAGTAAGGTATCAGAGAGACAGGATCTAAAGAGGGACACCCTACATTTATAACCACTTTGGTCCCTGAGAGCAATTGCCAAGTGTTAAGGACCAGCTGAGAACTTGACAGCTTGGTAAGATTAGGAGAAAAGAACTAAAATTCGGAAAATACCAAAGGGGGTTACAGGGGGACTGGTAAACTCACCTCCCTTCGAGTTGGAATCCTGAATTGCTGAACTTAAGAAGGAGGGAAAAGGGAAGCTGCCAGGCTCTAAGACATGTAGCTCAATTTCTTTTTTTTTTTTTTTGAGACGGAGTCTCGATCTGTTGCCCAGGCTGGAGTGCAGTGGCGCGATCTCAGCTCACTGCAAGCTCCGCCTCCTGGGTTCACACCATTCTCCTGCCTCAGCCTCCTGAGTAGCTGGGACTACAGGTGCCCGCCACCATGCCCAGCTAATTTTTTTTTTGTATTTTAGTAGAGACAGGGTTTCACCATGTTAGCCAGGACAGTCTTCATCTCCTGACCTCGTGATCCGCCCGCCTCGGCCTCCCAAAGTGCTGGGATTACAGGAATGAGCCACCGCACCTGGCCGTCGTGTAGCTCAATTTCAACTCATCTTTATCCCTAAAACTGAACCACGGTGTTCCCAGACTGCCTATTCCCTAAGATGCCTGAGATAGAAATAAGCATAAATCCTCTCTGGATATATCATCCTAGACCCGAAATTATTCAAACGATATTTATAATGTGATCTACTAGATGTGCACGTGTGTATACACACACACAGAGCCAACAAGGAGACAAAATGAATAAAAACCAGCAGAAAAAAAAACAAGAAAAAAGAAAAGCAGGCCGGGCACAGTGGCTCACGCCTGTAATCCCAGCACTTTGGGAGGCCGAGGCGGGCAGATCACCTGAGGTCAGGAGTTCGAGACCAGCCTGATCAACATGAAAAAACCCCATCTCTACTAAAAATACAAAATTAGCCGGGCATGGTGGCGCATGCCTGTAATCCCAGCTACTCCCGAGGCTAAGTCAAGAGAATCTCTTGAACCCAGGAGGTGGAGGTTGCGATGAGCCGAGATCACGCCATTGCACTCCAGCCTGGGCAACAAGAGCAAAAATTCATCTCAAACACACACACACACACACACACACACACAAACACACACAAACACAAAAGGGCCGGGCGCTGTGGCTCACGCCTGTAATCCCAACACTTTGGGAGGCCCAGGCGGGCGGATCACGAGGTCGAGATCGAGACCACCCTGGCCAACATGGTGAAACCCCGTCTCTACTAAAAATTAGCCAGGCATGGTGGCAGGTGCCTGTAATCCCAGCTACTTGGGAGGCTGAGGCAGGAGAATCGCTTGAACCCGGGAGGCAGAGGTTGCAGTGAGCCGAGATCGCGCCATTGCACTCCAGCCTGAGCAAAAAGAGTGAAACTGTCTCAAAAAAAAAAAAAAAAAGGGCCAGGCATGGTGGCTCACACCTGTAATCCCAGCCCTTTGGGAGGCCAAAGCGGGTGGATCATAAGGTCAGGAGTTCAAGACCAGCCTGCCCAACATGGTGAAACCCTGTCTCTCCTAAAAATACAAAAATGAATGAGGCCTGGTGGCGGGCACCTGTAGTCCCAGCTACTTGGCAGGTTGTGGCAGAGAACTGCTTAAACCCAGGAGGCGGAGGTTGCAGTTAGCCAAGATAGCACCACTGCACTGCAGCCTGGGTGACAGAGCAACACTCCGTCTCAAAAAAAAAAAAAAAAAAAGAAAAAAAGGAAAAGAAAAACCAAAACAAAAATATCCAGGATGAAGCATGACAAGGGTAAGGGACTGAGAAGATCTGAAGTGCTTAAATGGGCTCTCAGAAGGTGGGGGGAGGGGGTAAAGGGGGGATAGCAGAAATTGCCTGTCAACTTTTCGAAACTAATGAAAGACATCCCACCATGGGTTCAATAAAACCTAAGAATTCCAAGCAGGATGAATAAAGAAATATATAACCAAACACATCACAGTAAAACTGTTGAAAACTAAAGGCAGAAAAAAAAAACATAAAGCCTGCAGTACCAAGAGATTCCAGGCTGGGCACAGTGGCTTGCACCTGTAATCCCAGCACTTTGAGAGACTGAGGCAGGCAGATCCCTTGAGCCCAGGAGTTCAAGACCAGCCTGGACAACATGGCGAAACCCTATCTGTCTGTACAAAAACCACAAAAAATAGCCAAGCATGGGGTGGCTCAGGCCTGTGGTCTCAACTGCTCAAGAGGCTGAGGTAGGAGGATCATTTGAGCCTGGGAGGTGGAGGGTGCAGTGAGTCGAGATCATACAACTGCACTCCAGCCTGGGTGACAGAGCAAGACTCTGTCTCAAAAAAAAAAAAAGAGAGAGAGATTCCAGTCATAGGAGTGATTTTTAAAACTTGACAGTTTACTTCTTACAAAAAAAAAAAATGAAAACTGAAGATACAATTCAATAGCTTTTTTTTAATTTAAAAAAAAATTAGAGATGAGGTCTCACTATGTTGCCCAGGCTGGTCTCGAACTCTTGAGCTCAAGTAATCCTCTTGCCTTGGCCTCCCAAAGTGCTGGGATTACAGATGTGAGCCACTGCTCCTGACCACAATTCAATAGCTTATTTTAACACCTTAGAAGAAAACTGACAACTTAGAATTCTGTACACATCAGAAGTATCCTTCAAAAAGGAAGATGAGGCCGGTGGCTCACACCTGTAATCCCAGGACTTTGGGAGGCCAAGCAGATGGATCACTAGGGATCAGCAGTTCAAGACCAGCCTGGGCAATATGGCAAAACCCTGTCTCTACTGAAAATAACAAAAAAAATTAGCCAAGCATGGTGGCGCACACCTGTATGTAGTCCCAGCTATTCGGGAGGCTGAGGCAGGAGAATGGCTTGAACTGGGAGGCAGGGGTTGCAGTGAGCCAAGATCACGCCACTGCACTCAAGCCTGGGCAACAGAGTGAGACTCCATCTTTTTTTTTTTTTTTTTTTTTTAAAGGAAGATCAATTTGAGGCATGTCTAGACTAACATAGGAAATTCACTACTAGAAGTTACACAAAAGGTGGGAAGCATAAAGGGTGTTCTTCGGGCAGAAGAAAATGTTACAAGATGGAGGATCTAGTTAGGAAATGAAAAGGATAAATTTTGTGGGTAAATCTAAATGGCTATTGAAAATACAAATTAAACCTGTCAAGATAAAATACAGACAGAATTAAAACAATGCAATAATGACAATGTGAATAAAAATGAGCTCAACAGAGTATCCAGGAGAGGAGGAAAGTATCAAATAATATTAGATTTTGATAGTAAAAGATTCATGTTTAAGTAACTTCCAAGTTAGAACAGCAGAACAAACATAAAAAATAAGCATCTAAAAGAAGGCAAGAAAGGACAGGAAAAGGTAAAAAACAGGTTTGATAGGCAGAAAGTACTTATTAACAGATTGAAACTAAACGTCAGTTACTTTGTCAAATGCCAATAGACAGATGCTCTAATCATAAGAAACACACAAGATTTTTTAAAATTCTAGTATATACTGGCTGGGCACAGTGGCTCAAGCCTGTAATCCCAGCACTTTGGGAAGCCGAGGTGGATGGATTACAAGGTCAGAAGATGGAGACCATGCTGGCTAACACGGTGAAACCCTGTCTCTACTAAAAATACAAAAAAATTAGCTGAGGGTGGTTGGCAGGCGCCTGTAGTCCCAGCTACTGGGGAGGCTGAGGCAGGAGAATGGTGTGAACCTGGGAGGCGGAGCTTGCAGTGAACCGAGTCTGCGCCACGGCAACTCAGCCTGGGTGACAGAGCGAGACTCCAACTCAAAAAAAAAAAAAAAATTCTAGTATATACTGTTGGCAAGAAAATCTTTCAAAACTTAAGTACAGTCATGCCCCACACAGAGACATTTCAGTCAATAATGGATCACATATACAATGGTAGTCCCATAATATTATAATAGAGCCAGGCACAGTGGCTCACATCTGTAACCCCAGCACTCTGGGAGGCCAAGGTGGGCAGATTACTTGAGTCCAAGGGTTGGAGACCAGACTAGGCAAGCGGCAAAACCCTATCTCTACACGTACACGTACACACACACACACACACACACACACACACACACACAGACACACAAGCCAGGCACGGTGGCATGCGCCTGTAGTCACAATTACTAGGGAGATTGTGTGAGGATCACTTGAACCCAGGAGGCAGAGGTTGCAGTGAGCCAAGATGGCACCACTGCACTCCAGCCTTGGCCAGAGCGAGACCCTGTCTCAAAAACAAACAAAAAAAATTATAATGGAGCTAAAAAATTCCTATTGTCTAGTGATTTCATAGCCGTCTTTGTGGTGATGCTGGTGTAAACAAACCCACTGCACTGCAAACAAAACTACTGTGTTCAAAGTCATACAAAAGTATAGTACAGGCTGGGCAGTGGCTCACACTTGTAATCCCAGCTACTCAGGAGGCTGAGGCAGAAGAATCACTTGAACCCGGGAGGCGGAGGCTGCAGTGAGATGAGGTCGCGCCACTGCACTCCAGCCTGGGTAACGAGAGCGAAACTCTGTCTCAGGGAAAAAAAAAAAAAAAAAAAAGGATAGTACAGGCCAGGCACTGTGGCTCACGACTGTAATCCCAGCACTTTGGGAGGGCGAGGTGGGCGGATCACGAGGTCAGGAGTACTGGACCAGCCTGACCAACATGGTGAAACCCCGTCTCTACTAAAAATACAAGAATTAGCCGGGCATGGTGGCGCATGCCAGTAATCCCAGCTACTCGGGAGGCTGAGGCAGGAGAATCGCTTGAACCCGGGAGGTGGAGGTTGCAGTGAGCCGAGATCCTGCCACTGCACTCCAGCCTGGGAGACAGAGCGAGACCCTGTCTCAAAAAACAAACAAAAAAAAGTATAGTACAATTACGTACAGTACATTGTACTTGATAATAAACAACTATGTTACTGGTTTATGTATTAACTATGTTTAATCATTATTTTAGTCTGTACTCATACTTATTTATAAAAAAAGTTAACTGTAAAACAGCCTCAGGCAGGTCCTTCAGGAGGTACTCCAGAAGAAAGTACTGTTATCATAGATGACAACTCCATATGTGTTATTGCACCTGAAGACCTTTCACCTGGACAAGATGCCGAGGTGGAAGACAGTGATACAGATGATCCTGAGTATCTTAGTTTTTTTTTTTTTGTTTTTTTTTTTTTTGAGACGAAATCTCACTCTTGCCCCCAGGCTGGAGTGCAATGGCACGATCTCGGCTCACTGCAACCTCTGCCTCCTGGGTTCAAGCGATTCTCCTGCCTCAGCCTCCCGAGTAGCTGGGATTACAGGCGCCTGCCACTACGCCCGGCTACTTTTTGTATTTTTAGTAGAGACAGGGTTTCACCATGTTGGCCAGGATGGTCTTGAACTCCTGACCTCAGGTGATCTGCCTGCCTCGGCCTCTCAAAATGCTGGGATTACAGGCATGAACCACTGCGCCTGGCCAAGTATCTTAGTTTTTAACAAAAAGTTTAAAAAGTAAAAACAAAAGTAATAAATTTTTAAAATAGAAAAGGCTTACAAAATAACAGGAAGAAAGTATTTCTATACATCTGTACAATGTGTTTGTGTTTTAAGCTAAGTACTATAAGAGTCAAGAAATTTAAAAATTATGAACTTCATAAAGTAAAAAAGCTACACGGTTTCTAATACAGATGCAAGAAAAAAGTGTCTTCGCTGTCTGACTGTAGCAGCCAAGACTGGATTGAAGAATTGGGGGTTAGGGGAGAGTAAGCTAAGGTTAAGTTATTATTGAAGAAAAATTTTTCTATAAATTTAGTGTAGCCTAACTGTACAGTGTTTATACACAGTCTACAATAGTGCACAATAATGTCCTAGGCCTTCACATTCACTCACCACTCACTCACCCAGAGCAACTTCCAATCCTGCAAGCTCCATTCATGGTAAGTGCCCTAATACAGGTGGACCATTTCTGTATCTTTTATACCAGGTTTTCACTGTACTTTCTCTGTGTTTACATACATAATTACTTACCATTGTGTTCCAACTGTCTACAGTATTCAGTTCAGTCACATACTATACAGGTTTGCAGCCTAGGAGCAAATAGGCTTACCATTTAGCCTAAGTGTGTCAAAGGCTACACCATCTAAGTTTTGTGCAAGTATGCTCTATAATGCTCACCTAACAACGCAGTTCTCAGAACATATTCTCATCATTAAGCAACACATGCTGGAAAAATAAGTAAGACTGAAATTAAAGGGTAAAAAAGGATATACCCTACACATACTAACCAAAGGAAAACACTGCAGCAACATTAATATCAAGCTAAATAAACTTTACCTCTAATAATACTGGCCCCTTAAAAAGAACACTTAATAGTGGTTTTCTTTTTTTTCCCCCGCTTTGAAGACAGGATCTTACTCTGTCACCCAGGCTAAGTGCAGCGGTATGATCAGGGTTCCTGAGTGCAGCCTTCACCTCTCAGGCTCAGGTGATCCACCCACATTACCCTCCCGAGTAGCTGGGACTACAGGTGTGTGCCACCACACACAGCTAATTTTTTTAAATTTTCTGTAGAGATGGGGTCTTGCTATGTTGCCCAGGCTGGTCTCAAACTCTAGACTCAAGTGATCCTCCCACCTCAAGCCTCCCAAACTGCTGGGATTACAGTGATTTTAAAAGACCTGGTTGATACATAGCTCTAAATACCAATGCATCTAAGAACACACCCTCATAAGATAATGTATAAAGCAAAAGGTATCGGAACTAAGGAAAAACTGACAAATGCAAAATCAAAGTATTAATACATCTCTTTCAATAACCAACAGAACAAGCTGAAAAGTTTCTGCACAGCAAAGGAAACAAATGACAGAGTGAAGAGACAACCTGTTGAATGGGAAATGATATGTGCAAACCATTCATGACAAAGGACTAAAATCCAGAATATGCAACAAGCTCAAATAACCAACAATTAAAAAATAATAATAATAATCCCACTAAAAAGTGGGCAAAGGACATCAAAAAACATACAAATGGCCAAATGATATATGAAAAAATGCTCACATCAGTAATCATCAGGTAAATACAAATCAAAACTACAATGAGATAGCACCTTACCACAGTTAGGATAACTATTATTAAAAACACAAACAACAGAAGATGGCAAGGATGCGGAGAAAAGGGAACTCTTATACACTGGGATGGAAATTAGTAAAGCCATTATGAAAAACAGTACGGAGATTTCTCAAAACACTAAAAATAGAACTACTACATACTTCAGCAATCCCACTACTGGCTATTTATCCAAAGGAAAAGAATTCAGTATTATCAAAGGGATACATACACTCACCTGTTTACCACAGCACTATTTACAAAAGCAAAGATATAGAATCAACCTAAGTATCCATCAATGAGCAGAGAGATAAAGAAAACGTGGCATGTATACACAATGGAATGCTATTCAGCCAGAAAGAAGAATAAAATGTTTGCAGCAACATGGGTGAAGCTGGAGGTCATTATGTTAAGTGAAATAAGCCATGCCAGGCATAGAAGGACAAATAACACATGTTCTAACAAATACATGGGAGCTATAAAAAAAAAAAAAAAAAGTTGACCTCATGGAAATAGAAAATACAATAACAGGTATCAGAGGCTGGGAAGGGTGAGGAAGAGAGGTTGGTTAATGGGTACAAACATACAGTTAGAAAGTTCTAATGTTCTCTAGCAGAGTAGGGTCACCATAGTTAGCAAATATATACTGTATATCTCAAAGTAGCTAAAAGAGAAGGCTTGAAATGTTACCAGCACACAGCAATGACAAATACTCAACGAGGCGCAGTAGTTCACACCTGCAATCCCAGCACTTTGGGAGGCTGAGGCAGGCGGATCACCTGAGGTCAGGGGACCCAGACCAGAATGGCCAACATGGTGAAACCCTGTCTCTACTAAAATTACAAAAATTAGCCCAGCATGGTGGCACACACCTGTAATCCCAGCTTACTCAGGAGGCTGAGGCGGGAGAATTGCTTGAACCCAGGAGGCAAGAGGTTCCAGCAAGCCAAGATCGCACCGCCGCACTCCAGCCTGAGCAACAGAGCGAGACTCCATCTCAAAAACAAAAAGATAAAATACTCAAGGTGATGGATGCTCCAGGTACCCTGACTTGATCATTATACATTCTATGCATGCAACAAGTATTCATATGCATCCCATAAAGATGTAAAATATTATGTATTAATAAAAGGAAAAGATTGTTAGGAATTTAGCAAAGTATTTTTAGGCAAAGGCTTAAAACAGACACATAACATCTCAACATAAGCAAGAACATACAGTTCCACAACTTGCTTCTCTTATTAAATGTTACATTTTTTGTGTAATATAGTTGGCCCTTGGCCTCTTATCCCTTCAGCTCCACATCTGTGGATTCAACTAACCTCAGATTTTCAACATTTGGGAAATGATGGTTTCATCTGTACCAAACACATAAAGTTTTTTCCTTGTAGTTATTCCCTCAACAATACAGTATAACTATTTGTATAGCATTTACACTGTATTACATACTAGGAGTAATTTAGAGATTAAAGTATACAGAAAGATATGCATAGATTATATGCAAATACTACACCATTTTATATAAGAAACTTGAGCATCCATGGATTTTGGTATCCATGGGGTGGGGTGCAGGCGGGGAGGCAGGCGGAGTGTGGGTCCTGGAACCAATTCCCTGATATGGAGGGATGGCTGTATGAATTTTTTTTCCTATCAACCTCTTATTATTAACAGTGGCACAATATTCCAGTGTATGGGTATAATGGTCATTTACTCTACCTTAACTCCATTATTGGACAGTTGTTTCTAATTTTTCTCGATCACAAACACTGATATAATGAAAAACCTTAAACATAACGTATTTGTATACTGTCCAAATTCATCTATACAATAAAATCCTAGCAGTGAAACTGCTGGATCAACAGAGCACATGCATTTTAAATTCTGTTTTAGTGCAGCCATCCTCCAAAAAGGTCCTAGCAAAGTACAGTTCCACCAACAATGCAAGTTATTTAAGGGCTATGCATTTAGGTGAACCTTTCCTTATGAACTAATATTTTATTAGAATCTCACTCTGTTGCCCAGGCTGGAGCGCAGTTGCACGATCATGGCTCACCGCAGCCTCGACTTCCCCAGCTCAACTGATCCTCCCACCTCAGCCTCCCGAGTAACTAAAACTACAGGCACAAGCCACCACACCCGGCTAATTTTTTTTTTTTTTTTTTTGAGGCGGAGTCTCGCTCTGTCACCCCAGCTAGAGTGCAGTGGCATGATCTTGGCTCACTGCAACCTCTGCCTCCTGGGCTCAAGCGATTCTCCTGCCTCAGCCTGCCGAGTAGCTGGGATTAAGGCATGGGCCATGATATCCGCTTAATTTTTGTATTTTTAGTAGAGATGAGGTATCGCCATGTTGGCCAGGCTGGTCTCAAACTCCTTACCTCAGGTGATCCTCCTGCCTTGGCCTCCCAAAGTGCTGGGATTACAGGTATTAGCCATCACGCCAGGCCAAATATAGACTCTCATAGAAGGTGAGTGAATGGTCAGTGGAGTTCCTTGTTAGGCCAGAAAAAATCTAACCGAGGCATCAGGCCTTGTGGATGGGCCTCAGTCAATTAACCCAACTGTTAAGAGTCCTTTCTATCTCCTTGAACTATAACACTGAACCCAGAATCTCTGCTTAGTGAGCCCACATCAATAAATTCTGCCTGATTCAACTTTATGTTCCTTCCACTGTTATACTATACCCCTAAGATCCATTGCCACAAATCAAATACTCCTCCAGGCTCCTGACTATACAGTGGCAAAACTATACAATCTTTTAGAGTGCAGCATACCTTTCTCATGGGTCACCTCACTCTCTGGGGCCTGCTGCAACTACAGTCCAGCCACAGATCTACAAGAAAGAAGGATTACAGGGCAGATTCTGAGGAAGACAGTACCGTGCTGGGCAACTACCCAAAGGGAGGCCAATTACAGGTTTTTCAGGCAAACGGAGATTAAGTTCCTCTGGGAAGGGTTGGAAAGGCTGCTTCTCCGGGAAAGGCAGCAGAGCAGCATTTAAGGATTTAAGGACTCCAGCTTAAACAGAATCTGACCATATGCCTCCAATCCAATTTTCAGGATTCCATTCCTACCAATCAATGATCTCACCCACAAATTAGGAATTACATTTGCATTTTTAGAGCAGTCACAGAAACCTTCGGGTCCCTTACGTGTAGCCTGAGCTAAAAATTTAAAAGCCTGAGCTGATCATTCTGCTTTGTATGGTTTGAACTTGGCTGAGCTGAACTACATTCCCCAGAATTTCCTTTCCTTTATGTTTCCAACTTGCATGGCTCACAAGAGATTTTTGTGCAGCAACTGAAGGGTGCAGAAGATAAAGCAACCACCCTGCAGCTTGCACACACTGTTGCTGCTCATCTTCTGACTCACCCCATTCGTGTGAGGCAGTGGTTGGCCTAGAATTGCAGCTGCATCCACTCCACCTTCCTCTGGGCTCTCCTTAAGCTTCTCTGCCTCCTGGGCTACATTTGCCAAGGATCCAACTCTTACAGGCCACCCACACAAGCAGGAACAAAGGCAACTAGAACTAGCATGGTTTCCATGTACCTTGCCTGTGGCTTCCTGTGTCCTCTTCTTCCCCACTTTACATCCATCTTCCTTTCTCAAATGACTGCCCTGTGGACTTCAAACTCCAGCATCAATCACAAAGACAACAGCCTGACAGAAACCGCTTAACGGCTGGGCACGGTGGCTCACGCCTGTAATCCCAGCACTTTGGGAGGCCGAGGCGGGTGGATCACGAGGTCAGGAGTTCAAGACCAGCCTGGCCAACATGGTGAAACCCCGTCTCCACTAAAAATACAAAAAAACTAGCCAGGCATGGTGGCGCACGCCTGTAGTCCCAGCTACTCGGGAGGCTGAGGCAGGAGAATCGCTTGAACCCAGGAGGCGGAGGTTGCAGTGAGCCAAGATTGTGCCACTGCACTCCAGCCTGGGCAATAGAGCAAGACTCCATCTCAAAAAAAAAAAAAACTGCTTAAGCCAGCTCCTCCTACACTGTGTGAACTCAAATCACTGTAACAAATGCCTTAATACATACACACACATATCCCATATACGTTTTCCTTTATCCATCCTAGGGGTTTCATTTTTCTAAACCTTATGTGATCCTGAAAAAAATATTACAATTAAAAGTCAACAAGGCCGGGCACGGTGGCTCACGCCTGTAATCCCAGGGAGGCCAAGGCAGGCGGATGACCTGAGGTGGGGAGTTCAAGACCAGCCTGACCAACATGGAGAAACCCGTTTCTACTGAAAATACAAAATTAGCTGGGTGTGGTGGTGCATGCCTGTAATCCCAGCTACTCAGGAGGCTGAGGCAGGAGAATTGCTTGATCCCACGAGGCGGAGGTTGCGATGAGCCAACATCGCGCCATTGCACTCCAGCCTGGGCAACAAGAGCGAAACTCTGTCTCAAAATAAATAAATAAAAGTCAACAAATTGTTACTTAATAATCACTGTATGACAAACACCTGTGCAGACAAGACATTTAACCAACCAGACACCCTCAATTTTCTTATTATTTAATTCTCGCTACTGCACAGGGTAGCTTGAGCCCTCACAATTCAGACACTGAGCTAGATACCAGAAAAGTAATTACAGGCAAAAACAGGAATGGTTCTGCTTTCATGAAACTCAGCCTTTGTGGGAAAACTAAAATTAATTAAATCACATAAACTAATATAACATTGTAATTCTGATAAGCACCAAGAGGACTTGACTGCAGAAAAGTCAAAAAAATTCAAGAACTTCAGACAGCCAGGCACGGTGACTCATGCCTGTAGTGCAGTGGCACAGGTGGGAGGCTGAGGCAGCACTTTGGGAGGCTGAGGCAGGTACACTGCTTGAGTTCAGGAGCTCGAGACCAGCCTGGGCAACAAGGCAAAATCCCGTCTCTACTAAAAATACAAAAATAAACTAGCCAGGCATGGTGGCACATGCCTGTAGTCTCAGCTACGCGGGAGGCTGAGATGGGAAGATCACCTGAGTCCGGGAAGGTCGAGGCTGCAATGAGCCAAAACTGTGCCACTGCACTACAGCCTAGGCAACTGGAGTGAGACCTCGTCTCAAAAAAACAACTTCAGGCTGGGCACGGTGGCTCACACCTGTAATCTCAGCACTTTGGGAGGCAGAGGAGGGCAGATCACTTGAGGTCAGGAGATGGCGACCAGTCTGGCCAACAAGGTGAAACCCTGTCTCTACTAAAAATACAAAAAAATTAGCCAGGCATGGTGGCACGCACCTGTACTCCCAGCTACTTGGGAGACTGAGGAGTGAGAATTGCTAGAACCTGGGAAGTGGAGACTGCAGTGAGCTGAGACCGCACCACTGCACTCCAGCCTGGGAGACAGAGCAAGACTGGGGAAAAAAAAAAAAACACTTCAGACAACTGATGCTTGTTGGAGTCGGTGATGAATATCAGTACAGTCCAATCTCTTTATCTTATGAAAATGTGCAAGCACGCACACAGAAAATTTCATTAAAAGTGATGCTTGAGCCAAACTCTAAAGACCAGGAATAACTGTTAACAAAGAAAGGCATTCCAGGCAGAGGAAAAGAACAAGTGCCAAGATTCCTGGTGGAGAATATGGTGAGCACAGGAGAATGAAGGAGGCCCCACACAACTGGAGCAAAGGAAAGCAAGGGGAAAAACAGTACAAGATGAGGCTGAGGCCCAAAAGTAATTAGTCATGCACCACCTAATGACATTTCTGTCAACACAACAGACCACATATACTACAGTGGATCCATATTATGAGGCTGTTTTAAGCTACGTGTTATTTAAAAAGACAGAAAGTTTAAAAAAAAGTTAAAAAGCTTATTAAGTTAAAAAAATTACAGTAAGCTAAGGTAAATTACTGAAGAAACTTTTTATAAATTTAGTGTAGCCTAACTGTAGTGTTTACATACAGTCTACGGTAGTGTACAGTAATGTTCTAGGCCTTCACATTCACTCACCACTCACTCACAGACTCAACCCAGAGCAACTTCCAGTCCTGACAGCTCCATTCATGGTTCAGTGCCCTACACAGGCATGCCATTTCTCTTTTATACCACATTTCTACTGTACTTTCTCTGTCCTTAGATATGTTTAGATAAATAAATACCTACACAGCACTGTGTTCCAATAGTCTACAGTATTCAGTTCAGTCATATGCTGTACAGGTTTGTAGCCTAGGAGCATTAAGCCATATTACATAGCCTAGGTGCCTAGTAGGTTGTCCCATATAGGTTTGTGTAAGTATACTCTATGAGGTACACAACGAGGTTCTCTGAATGTATCCCATTGTTAAGGGATGTAAAGCTATATGTACACCAACTATATGTGTACCCTTGAGGCTACATTATAAACTTTTGTCCTTAAGGCACTGGAAAGCCATTTAGAGTTTTTCTGTTTTGTTTTCTGAGACGGAGTCTCACTCTGTTGCCCAGTCTGGAGTGCAGGGGTGTGATCTCAGCTCACTGCAGCCTCCGCCTCCCAGGTTCAAGCAATTCTCCTGCCTCAGCCTCCTGAGTAGCTGGGATTACAGGCATGCGCCACCACACCTGGCTAATTTTTGTATTTTTAGTAGAGACGGGGTTTCACCATGTTGGCCAGGCTGGCCTCAAACTCCCAGCTTCAGGTAATCCGCCCACCTCAGCCTCCCAAAGTGCTGGGAGTACAGTACAGGTGTGAGCCACCGCACCCACCTGGCCACCATTTAGAGTTTTAAGTAAAAAGCTGACATGGTCAGATCTGCCTTTTAAAAATGTAATTTTTTTTTTTTTGAGATGGAGTCTCACTCTGTCACCCAGGCTGAAGTGCAATGGCGCGATCTCAGCTCACTGCAACCTCCACCTCCCAAGTTCAAGTGACTCTCATGAGGAGTAGCTGGGATTACAGGCGCAGGCCACCATGCCTGGCCAATTTTTGTATTCTTAGTAGAGACGGGTTTTTTTGTTGTTGTTGCTGTTGTTTTTGAGACGGAGTCTCCCTCTGTCACCCAGGCTGGAGTGCAGTGGCGCAATCTCAGCTCACTGCAGTCTCTGCCTCCCAGGTTCAAGTGATTCTCTTGCCTCAGCCTCCCGAGTAGCTGGGATTACAGGCACGCGCCACCACGCCAGGCTAATTTTTGTATTTTTAGCAGAGATGGGGTTTCACCACGTTGGTCAGGCTGTTCTTGAACTCCTGACCTCATGATCGGCCCACCTCAGCCTCCCAAAGTGCTGGGATTACAGGTGTGAGCCATCACACTGAGCCTGAAAATGTAATTTTTTTAGGCTGTATTGATGCCTGACGCCTGTAATCCCAAGTTTTTTGGGAAGCCCAGGTAAAAGAACTGCTTGGGGTCAGGAGTTCAAGATCATCCTGGGCAACACTGTGAGACCTCATCTCTACAAAAAATTAAAAAGTTTTAAAAAGAAAATGTAACATTTTGACACTAACAAAACTACAAATGTGTTTACCTTTCACCCCACATCTATCTTAAAGCTGTATCTGCACAAATAAAAAACAATATACCCACAAGGTTATTCATTGCCGCAATATTTATAACAGCCAAGAGAATATAAACAACCCAAATGTTCATCATTAGGAGATGAGTTGCAAGCACGCACTTCAATGAAGCGCTCTCCAGAATAAATTAAGTAAAAGGGAGCAGTGTGCATAGAACGGCAGAGCAGTGTGCATAGAACGCTGCCTATTGTGTAGGAAAGGGAAACAAAAATATACACATATGCTTACATTTGCAAAAATGAAATATCAGAAAAACAAAGCAAAAACAACTGGGGCAAGAGAGAAATTCGTGGAGGAACAGAATTAAAGTGAAGCTGTGAACATAACTTTTTAACACAGATCAGATTTTTTAACTACATAAATGTTCACATAAATGTTCTACATGTTAAAAAATACATTAAATAGGCCAGGCGCGGTGGCTCACGCCTGTAATCCCAGCACTTTGGCAGGCCGAGGCGGACAGATCACGAGGTCAGGAGATCGAGACCATCTTGGCTAACATAGTGAAACCCCGTCTCTACTAAAAATACAAAAATTAGCCGGGCGTGGTGGCGGGCACCTGTAGTCCCAGCTACTCAGGAGGCTGAGGCAGGAGAATGGCGTGAACCCGGGAGGCGGAGCTTGCAGTGAGCCGAGATCGCACCACTGGACTCCAGCCTGGGCGACAGAGCGAGACTCTGTCTCAAAAAAAAAAAAAAAAAAATACATTAAATAAAAAACTAAAGCAATTCTTAAAGGAAGAATTTCAGGCAAACAACCCAAATTAATTATCAAACATATAACATAATCAGAGAAAATCTTTTCAAATGGCCTTCCAAATTAGAATGTCAACTGTACATGCTTATGTGGATATATTTTAAGGAAAAAACCATAACCAAACATAAAGCTACAGTTGCTTATTAGTGTTATTTTCAAACTACATTTATACTGTAAGATAATGCAATTATATTAATGTTGCTAAGAATGTAAATTTTCAACGTTAGAGAAAAAAGGATAAGCTCATAGTAAAAACTCTGTGATGTTAAATTCGAACTGGAAATACCAATATAAAAATCAAAATCTGTATGCTTCCCATGGCTGTCCAATAAAAGCATGGGCATTCTAACAGTAAGAACATATAACACCCAGATTTCTGTATCTAAATTCTAATCCTCAATAAAGCAAGCTGAAAGACTCGGTTGATAGGTATTTGGCAGGAAAAGCACAAAGTGAACCTTAGACATCTTGTGTCAGAAAGCAAGAAAAGCTTCAGAGATTACGTGTCATGTCAAAGGAAAGAGAACCAGGTTGAAAGGACCTCAACATGTCCAAGTTGTGAAAAGCTAAGGAAAAACAGTGAGTATTTGATTAAAACACTGGATAAAGCCACACATGGTGGCTCACACCTGTAATCCCAGCACTTTGGGAGGCTGAGGTGAGAGGATCACTTGAGCTTGGGAGTTTGAGACCAGCTGGACCAACAAGGTAAAACCCCATCTCTACTAAAAATACAAAAAATTTGCCAGGCATGGTGGTGCACGCCTGTAATCCCAGCTGCTTGGGAGGCTGAGCCAGGAGAATAGCTTGAACCCGGGAGGCGGAGGTTGTAGTAAGCCAAGGTCACACCACTGCACTCCAGCCTGGGTGACAGAGCAAGACTGTCTCAAAATTTAAAAAACCAAAAACACACATTGGATACATAAAAATCCATGGGTCTACAATGATGCTAAAGAGAGAAAGAAAAAAGTAATTCAAACCCCTCCCTCCAAAAAAAATCAGCTCTGGAGAGATGGCTGACGCCTGTAATCCCAACACTCTGGGAGGCCGAGGCGGGCAGATCACAATGTCAAGAGATCGAGACCATCCTGGCCAACATGATGAAACCCCCGTCTCTACTAAAAATACAAAAATTAGCTAGGTGTGGTGGCACATGCCTGTAGACCCAGCTATTCGGGAGGCTGAGGCAGGAGAATCGCTTGACTCCCGGGAGGTGGAGGGTGCAGTCAGCTGAGACTGCGCCACTGCACTCCAGCCTGGTGACAGAGGGAGACTCCGTCTCAAAAAAAAAAAAAAAAAAAAAAAAAAAACCCAAAAGCAAGAAAAAGGACATTCTTTTCTCTCCTTATTGCCTGTGTCAGGTTAAGCAACAGTAATTCAAATATATGATATGATTTGTTAAATCATTTGCAGACAGGCCCAAGCATAAACAACTACAAAGAAATATAACCTAGTTTTAAAAAAAAAATTGCCTATTTTGTTAACACGCTACTATAACATCTCAAATGGTAAAAAGATGCCTTACTAGTCTTTTCATGTATTCTCTCACCATTTGGATAAAATAATATTTACATTGAGTAAATTCTTCCTCCTCCCCTCCCTTCAGGAAAAAAAAAAAAAAAAGCACATTTAACATAACATTAAATATTCTGAGTTCAGACCAATACCCCATGCCTTAAATGACTTCACCAGCTTCTCTAACAGGCTAGACTCTGGAGATTAAAGATCCTACATGGGCAGGTTCCTCCAACTCACCTTTCATACTGTTCTAAAACACAGGTCCAATCCTGCCCCTGCTTTCAATGGTTTCCCTCTGCCTACAAATTCAACACCAACCACCTTAATGTTACATGCAGAATTTAAAAGGTGGCCCCCAAATTCATCCCTAGACAGATCAGCCATAGGAAAGAAACTACAGGTGGTGTAGGCAGTGGTGACATCATCATCAATATCAACTGGGCATTTACTGTACACCAGGAGCCTATGAAACATTTTACTTCATTTAAGCTCACCCCTGATGAGGTAGGTGTTCTCGTCCCCTGCTATACATAAACACACTCACAAAGGAGGATAGATAGAAAATAGTAGCTAGGTAGATAGGTAGAAAAAGAGGGAGGAAGGAAGGAAGGAAGGAAAGAAGGAAGGAAGGAGGGAAGGAAGGAGAAGAGAGGAGAGGAGAGGAGACAGGTAACAAGGGGCTAACTTTTGGCTGGGATTGAAATCCCCGATGGCCTCTTTAACTCCTCTCATGCCTCTGTTCCTGCTTTCCCCTCCATCCAGATGTCTTTCTTCTCCCATTCTGATAATCTATGGAATCACCTTCTCTTCCCAGATACCTTCAGCACAGAATTCCCTCATTATATGCATGTGTATCTCCTCTATCAGACTATAAAGTCTGTAAGGATACATCTGTGTTTATATATTTAGCCAAACACGACTTGTTCTATAAAGGGTTTACGGCAATTTTAAGGTCATGAACAGGCTCCCAGTAAAAACATAATTTAACATTAAATTGGACTGAATACTGATGCACAACTAAGGAAACTGTTTACCTCAACATTAAAAAAATGCTAATAACTACAGCTAAGTTCAAAAGTAGAAAGGAGAAGGAAATCAACATCTACTGGCGTCAGCTGCTGTATTTCAGGAACTGTACTGAGAACTCTATAAATCCATTTCATGTAATTCTCAGAACAGACTTACACCATAGGTTTTATCCCAGTTTATAGGTAAGGAATTCAAGGTTTTAAAAGGCTTTGCGGGTTGGCTCTTTCACCAATATTTGCTGGAGTTTGGGTTTTCAGGCTCTTTCTGGGTCATAGATTTCTTTCCAGGATACCTTGTAGCAATTTGAGAGCTGGCATCACTTCCCGCTGGGTCCCAAAGATGCAGGAAGAGCTTAGTACTGTTGACTAGACCGCGGATGGACCCACCACAAAAGTTTAACCCAACCTTGACCCCAGAATCTTCACAAATGCTCAGTGAAGAAAATCCCCAGGACGACTCGGGCCTCTCTTCTGCTCAGAGATGTCAATAAAGAACTTCAGTAGCGTGACTTTCAACCCTAGTACCAAATTCCCTTCCCTTCTACCAGAAGATTCATCCCAACAACTGGATAGAAGAGAAACGACCTTCCAGGACATCAGAGATGGCTTGCCTCAGGAGTAGAAGTAAGAACGCTGCTACCTATGCAGAAAGGAAGTATGGCAAAATTGAGATACCTGTTACTCAACAGATGTTCTTGGCTTGAAAAACTAGTAGACACTGGGCCAAAGGGAGAGTTCAGAATGAATCAAGAAGGGAACCATTCAAATGTGGCTGCAGTTTCTGTTATCATAGATAGCCTGAGAATGCTACAACAGGGAATCATGACACCAAGCCAATTCAACCATAAACTGTCATTCTTGTACTTTTTTTTTCTTGCTGGTAATTTTATGTATTAGGTTGAGAAAGCTAATCTATGTTAGAAGAGCCTGTATACCAATAATTTTAATAAACAGTTCTGTGATTTTTTTGGGTATATTTTCATTTCTACCATACCACCAATAATTTATCAGAGATCTATGTAGCTTGAATGTATTTGAGTAACTTCAACATACTTCAGCTCTCCTCCCTGATGTGACCCAAAGAGCCAGTAGGTCCTAAGTGTCCTATGTGTGTTAGAAGCCTGAAGTCAGTGAGATGAAGCCCAACCCAAGAGTTCAAGTAAAGCAACTTGTGGGGCAAGAATATAAAGAAAACAGTGGGTAGTTTGGCAAGAGCATAATTATTAAATTTTCTGGTTTTCAAAAATGTGAACTCCAATAAGAGGACCTTCAATGTGCTGTTTTTGCAATTTTCAGTAACAAATGTGTGTACAGAGAAAATAAAACTGACATATTTGAGTAGCTTTAAAAAAAAACTTTTTTTAAAAAAAGGCTGCATGATGAATCAGTTATGTGGCTTTGGACCAGTAAGGAGTCAATTTCAACCCAGACTGTTCTGACTTGGAAGGCCATTGTGATTCCATGTCTAACTCCAGAATATTGTTTTCACAATACCATAACATCTTCTAAACTGAACAAAATACTTGCACGAAATAGTTGATTCTCTTCTTCCAATTTCTTTTCATTCATGGAAAGGGAAAGAAGACACATTGAATTAAGCATCCAACAAATATAAATACAGCATTAACATTTAAATGCTATCTCAGCAAATATTTTAAAGGATAAACCAAAAGAATGTATATCGAATATACTAGAAAAAAGATGCTAGCAATGAAGGAGTGCAACCAGTAACGTTGTAACTATGTGCAATCAGGTAAGTCACTGGAAGTGAAAACCACCTAAACCTCTGGCAGCTAAAACCAAATTAGTAACTCTCATCAATATGATAGCCAAATTTGAGACACTACCCACGAAATGCAGAGGGGCACACATCAGGCACATCAATATTGTGACCCCTCAGTTCACAAGTAAGGGAGACACACAATTATCTGAGATACACTTTAAGGACACCAATGACCAACATATGGCATCGCAATGGCTGTTCCAGGGAACATCCATTTTCACTGTTTCCTGGATTTCAGGCATAGAAAGATGACTGAAGACATATAGTGGCCCTTTTGCCTTGACCCAGTTCATAACCATTGTAAAAGTAACCATTTCACTACTCAAAAGATTATAAAGAAACTATTTTTCCTAAGAATCTAGGATCTACTACCTATAATTCTGGCATACACATTCTTTACAACCTTAATATATAATTATCAAATCTGATAACGAACGTTCTGTAAATTACCAGGTACTACAATATTTTGGTGTTTGCCTTTTAACTAAAGCTGAGGGGGGAGAGTGGGGAGGTTGGAAGAAGCCTCATTTCACCTGCCCTTTCCAAAATTTCACTTCAAAAGAGTGTTAAAAAAAACTCAGTATATCCAGGTATAAATCTCCAAGTTTAATTTTCACTGCTTAACAAAAGCGATGTAGAAAGCAATTACTGTACCCTCCATTAATCCTTTCGGATTGCATGGAATTCCTTCCAGAAAATTCCAATAGAAAAAAAGTTAAGACAGGTAATCGCGTTTTGGTACGTGTGTCGTCTCTGGCACAAGTCATGTAGAGTGAAATCCTTTAAGACATTTAAATGTTCCTGGTATTGTTTTGTGATTAACGTGATAAAATTGCCAAACAATCCATATTTACCATGAGTGAAAACACTTCCACCACGTACGGAAAATCTCTCCAAAACACAAAATCTGATTCAAAAATTATAAGTAAAAAGAGAATAAATGTAAAAACAATTCCATAAACAAACTTTGAAATGCGTATACGATGACATTACTGAAGCCATTACTCAAAACGAACCTCTGTAAAATCGAGAACGCACAATCAATGCAATAAAATGCTCGAGAAAGCCAAACCCGAGGCGCTGCGCAGTTCCCGCATCGCACAATTCGTTTCAACACATTCCTTGACGAATACACCCAAGGTCACTCACGATGGAGAGGAAAAGTGCCTGTCTCTCTCCAGAGCACGCAACCCGTTCGCCGCGCCCCCACGGAGGGCGGCGAAGAGACGGCGCATCAGGAAAGGGGCTGCGCGGGCGCGAGGACTGGCCGGTGGGCGTTCCGGCGCCGCGAACCGCGGAGCCTGCAACTTACAAGGTCCGCGGCCATCCCCCGGGCCTGGGAGGGGTGGCCCCAGGGCAGGCCCGCGTCCCCGGGGTGACCCGACCCGTCGCGCCGGGGTCCCGCCCCTCCCCCCGCCCCGCCCCCGTCGCCGGCCCGGGATTATGCAACGTTCCCCCTCCCCGCCTGCATTCTGGCGCAGCGCCCCCTCCCCGCGCCCGACTGCGCAGCGCCGCCGCCCCCTGCCCGCCGGCCTCCCCGCCCGGCTCCAAACAAAGCGCGCGCTAAGGGGCCGGCGGCGGCCGGGGAACTGGGGACGAGAGGGTGGCGGCCATGTTGGCGGGGGGCGGCGGGGATGGGGGCACGGAGGAGTAGGGGCCGGCGAACAAAGGAGCGCGCGCCCGCCCCGAGGCCCAGGCCCGCCCAGCCCGGGTCCCCGCCGCGGCCCAGCCGGCAGGGGGCGCTATGCGGGCGCCGCCCGCTGGACAATGCTCCGCCGGGCCCCGCGCGGGCCGCGCTCACCTGCGCCCCCGGGCAGACCGCCGCACCGCTGGCCCGCCCGCAGCCCGCACTCCCTCACGACCCACGCCCGCCCTGCGCGGGCCTCACCTGCTGACCGCCGAGGCTGCAGTCCACAGGCCCACGGGTTCCGCCGTCGCTCGTTCGCGCTCCCGCCGGCCCCAGCCTGAGCCAGACGGCGCCTCCCCGCCCCCGCTCCCTCGCCGCGGACGCCGCCCGCCCCCCAACAGTCAGGGCGCACGCGCACTGCGCCCGCCGAACTGCGACGGCCGCGCCGCCCCGGCGCCTGGCGCCGACGGCCGACTGCGCAGGCGCAGTGGGGCGGGGCGGGGCCGGCGAGGGCGGGGCCTGGCCCCTCTCACCTGGCTGGCGGCAGGGCGGGGCTCGAGCCCGGGACTGCCAGGTGCGCGCCGGGAATGGGCGGCGGCAGGCGCGCGGGGCACAGGTTCCTGAGGGGGCGCAGCTTTTCCTGGAAGGCAGGCAGCCTGAGAAGGGCTTCGTTTTTGCGCAGTAGGACGTTGAAGAAAGGACAAGCCCCCTTTGTCCTGGACGTAAGCCGCAAGTCGTCCTGAGTGGTGCACACCGCGAAGACTGAGGAAACTGGATCACAGGGCTGGGCCGTGAGCCTTGAACCTCGGAGAACGTCGCATTACTGCTCCAGCGCGCCGGTTCAGGGCCGCGGGACGCGAGCCCTTTAAAAGGATGGATTTGCTTCCTGTGACTCCCTGGAAGAGACGTCTTCACCACCGCACTGCGTAGAGGCCGGCGTCGTCGCCGGCTCACCCCGCTTGCTGCCTCCCCGCACAAAGCCCAGCCCAGGTAGCTCAGGTTAGCTGGAGCCCCGGAGCCTCACCTACAAGTACCTGGCCTGTCCTAGGTTGTGTGGGGACGGGATGTGGCTTCTGCAAGCCCAGAAACCTGTTTCCACTCCCCCACCACAAATGGAACTCACCCAGCTCTACTCGCAAGGTTAGGAGCCAAAAATTCCCATGATCGCACGCGAATTCATTTGACTTCCGTTTCAGTTAAGATGCCTTTTCAGCATTTTGTTGCTTGTTTGCAGAAGGGAGAGAGGTAGGATCAAGAATAGTTTTTACTCCTGCAGAGTCGAGTGCGAGACTTGGAGGCTGAGTCCAGGCGCTCTCCCCTCCCCGCCAGTCCCGTGTCCTGGAGCAGGTCACTGACCTGGTTCCTCGAGTGCGACAGCGCAGCCTCATCGTAATAAACCGCCTCCCAAAGCGTTGTCAGATCAAATTCCAGAACATGTTACTGGAAAGCACCTTGAACACTCTAAACTGCAGCACAGTTATTAGTTAGCAATACTCTTTGGGGTTTCACTGGCACCTTTTCTAACAAATAAGATTGATAGATGCCTGCTCAAACAAATTGAAGTGCTTGTCTCAGATGACACACTTGGCAGGCATGGGACGTTCACAGGCCAACTAGAGAGCTAATTTCAAAACTGAGATATAAAAGTGTATCGCTGTACTTACAAGTTACCAAGTGTTGAGAAATTACTCACTTTCATTTGTGTGTTTAATGTCTTTTTTGTTTTTTTAGACGGAGTCTCACTCTGTTCCCCAGGCTGCAGTGCAGTGGCATGATCTCGGCCCACTGCAACCTCCGCTTCCTGGGTTCAAGCAATCCTCACATTTCAGCCTCCCGAGTAGCTGGGATTACAGGCGCGCACCACCATGTCCAGCTAATTTTTAAAAATATTTTTAGTAGAGACGGGGTTTCGCCATGTTGGCCAGGCCGGTCTCAAACTCCTGGCCTCCAGCAATCCGCTGGCCTCGGCCTCCTGAAGTGCTAGGATTACAGGCGTGAGCCACCGCGCCTGGCCTGTTTAATGTCTTGCAGTGGGGTCATCTCCGAAACAAAGAGGGATGGGAAGAAGGTAGGTGCCAAGAAGTCTGCTGGTTGGAAGATTTCATCTCATTGGCGAGATCCCTGGGTTTCTCCACCTCAGCAGTGTTGGCTTTTGGGATGGGATAATCCTTTCATGTGGGGTCTGTTCCATGCTTTGTAGGATGTTTGACAGCATCCCTGGCCTCCACCCACTAGATGCCAGTAGCACACACACTCCTCCAAAATTCACGGAAAACGTCTTCAAAGTCAAATATGTGGCCCCACCTTCATCTCCATCCCCAACCCCTGATTTAAAATTTGCCACTGGTGATGATCTCATTGGGAGCTATTGAGAATACACAGGACTGTGGTTTACACCTGTAATCCCAACACTTTGGGAGGCTGAGGCTGGAGGATGGCTTGAGCCCAGGAGTTTGAGACCAGCCTGGGCAACATAGCAAGACCCCAACTCTAAAATAAATAAAATTTTAAAAAATTTTAAAAAGGCCAAGAACAGTGGCTCTCACCTGTAATCCCAGCACTTTGGGAGGCCGAGGCAAGTGGATCACTTGAGGTCAGGAGTTTGAGACCAGCCTGGCCAACACAGTGAAACCCCATCTCTGCTAAAAATACAAAAATTAGCGAGGCGTGGTGGTGCACGCCTGTAATCCCAGCTGCTCCAGAGACTGAGGCAGGAGAATCGCTTGAACCCAGGAGGCAGGGTTTGCAGTGAGTCGAGACTGTGCCACTGCACTCCAGCCTGGGTGACGGAGTCAAACTCCATCTCAAAAAAAAATACACAGGATTGTGGCTCATGCCTGTAATACCGGCACTTTGGGAGGCCAAGGTGGTAGGATGGCTTGAGCCCAGGAGTTCAGGACCAGCCTGGGCAACATAGCAAGACCCCAACTGTACAATAAATAAATAAAATTTTTTAAAATGAAACAAAGGCCGGCCAGCTGCAATGGCTCACGCCTGTAATCCCAGCACTTTGGGAGGCCGAGGCAGGCAGATCACTTGAGGTCAGGAGTTCTAGACCAGCCTGGCCAACGTGGTGAAACCCCATTTCTACTAAAAATATAAAAATTAGCCAGCCGTGGTGGCAGGCACCAGTAATCCGAGCTATTTAGGAGGCTGAGGCAGGAGAATCGCTTGAACCCAGGAGGCAGGGGTTACAGTGAGCCGAGATTGCACCACTGCACTCCAGCCTGGACAACAAGAGTGAGACTCCATCTCAAAAAAAAAAAATTAAAAATAAAAGAATGCACAGTCCAGTAATGTCACCCAGCCCTATATCAGTAAAGGTCACACTCTAGAGTGGTACATATCTCAGCTGCATCTAAGGCCTTGCTAATTAGCTCATTAGAATGTCACAAATGGGTTTTTATATTACCCATGTATAGCTGCCAAAAATGTTTAAGTGAATCTAATCAAAGTTGGAAAAAAAAATAAGAAAAATCCAGGTTGGAAGACATTCAGCAAAACAATTTCCCTGCACTACACTCTAAAAAAAGTCAAGCTAGGGAATTGGTCCAGACAGATAACACAACTGGGTTGGTCCATTAAGTGACCCCTGATGCAGCACTGCATTGAAGGCAAAAAAGCTGTGAGAGAGATTTGAGGGACAACTGGGGAACTTTGTAGTTATATATGGACTATATATTAGACAGTATTATTGTATCATCATTAGATTTTTCAGTGTGACAGTGGCTATTTACAAGAATGCCCTAGTTCTTAGGATGTTAGTGCTGAATCATTAGACAAGAGACCTGATGGCTACAACTGACATATAAATGCCTCAGAGACTGATGTATTTTATATGGAGGTAAAGCAAATGTAACAAACTGTTAATAGTTGGTGGATCTAAGTGATGAGTCTAGGTGTGTTATTGTGCAGTTTTTTCAACTTTTCTGGAAAACGAACTTTTCAAAATAAAAAATTGGAAAAATAGAATTCAAGTTAATTTATGAATTTCTAGGATACTAAGACCATTGATTCAACTTGCCAGGCAGCTCCTGCTGTCCTCCAACTTGCTAATGAAATGTTTTGAGAAACTTACCTATATAGCAAATTTCTTTTATTTTGCTTTTGTTATATTTTGGAGAAGGAGTCTTGCTATTTCGCCCAGGCCTGGCTTGAACTGTCCATCCTTCACCTTGGCTTCCTGAATAGCTGGGGCTACAAGCATGCACCACCAACCCTGGCATATAGTTAATTTCTTTGCAGTTTCTCAACCATACTCAACTTCTAGAGATTGGATCAAAGGTTCTACATATATTTTTCCTCCTATAGCAAGCTTATTAAATACAAATTGGCATGTTAAAAACCTTGGCCGGCTGGGCGCGGTGGCTCATGCCTATAATCCCAACACTTTGAGAGGCAGAGGTGGGCAGATCACCTGAGGTCAGGAGTTCGAGACCAGCCTGACCAACACGGTGAAACCCCTTCTCTACTAAAAATACAAAAAAATTAGCCGGGCTTGGTGGCAGGCGCCTGTAATCCCAGCTACTCGGGAGGCTGAGACAGAAGAATCGCTTGAACCTGGGAGGCAGAGGTTGCAGTGAGCCGAGATCGCGCCGTTGCACTCCAGCCTGGGCAATAAGAGCGAAACTCCGTCTCAAAAATAAATAAATAAATAAAAGCCTTGGCCTATACTAGATGTATATGTCTTTTAACTCTGGGTTCCTGGGCTCCTACTTGGGAGGATTTCTGCCCCAAGGATGAATATGCTTGTGATTTGGAGTGGAAGAAGGAAGAGATACCAAAGGCATGAGGGGTGGTTATATCTACGGTGAACCTTGATATGTTCACCCCACTGGCATTGATGTAATAATTGGAAACTGACCCTAGGGATCCTTTTCAAATTAGTATATTTATTATAGAATTATTCAACACAGCGAAAAGTATTCAGTATCCAATATATACCCCAAGTACATGGATAATTATTTGATTGGCTTAACCTCTAGGTGGGTGAGCTTGAAGATCCACCTTTAGGAAAGGATGCTGTCTCCCCAGTGGTTGCCTGTGTCATACACAGATGGGTCAGGCAGCGGTCATCCAGCTAGGACTGCTCAGGTTCTCCCGTTGAGTGAATATTAACATGTTGGCCCTTAATATGATTGAGGTTCATGCTGGTTCTCCCACTCACACTCATGGCTATAGATTTATGGATGTGCTGATTAGGCAGCTCTAAATGCTATGGTTTGAGTGTTTATCTCCTCCAAACTCATGTTGAAATATAGCCCCCAGTGTGGCAATATTGAGAGGTGGGGCTTTTAAGAGGTATAGTCCATACATGGATTAGTGGATTAATGGGTTGTTATGAAAGTGGAACTGATGGTTTTATAAGAGGAAGAGAGACCTGAGCTAGCAAGTGAGCTCACTCAGCCCCCTCTCCATGTGATGCCCTGCACAGTCTCAGGACTCTGCAGAGAGTCCCCACTAGCAAGAAGGCCCTCTTGAGCTTGGACTTCCCAGCCTCCATAACTGTAAGAAATAAATTTCCCTTGTGGCCGGGCATGCTGGCTCATGCCTATAATCCCAGCACTTTGGGAGGCGAAGGAGGGCGGATCACCTGAGGTCAGGAGTTGGAGACTAGCCTGGCCAACATGGTGAAACCCCGTCTCTACTAAAAATACAAAAATTATCTGGGCATGGTGGCACATGCTTGTAGTCCCAGCTATTTGGGAGTGTGAGGCACAAGAATCGCTTGAACCCGGGAGATGGAGGTTGCAGTGAGTCGAGATCATGCCACTGCACTCCAGCCTAGGCAACAAAGTGAAACTCCATCTCAAAAAAAAAGAAAAAAGGAAACTTCCTTTCTTTATAAATTACCCAGTTTCAAGCAACAGAAAATAGACTAAGACACCTAACATGTGAATCCTGATAAGATGGTGGCCTCACTGAGACAGAGGCAGCTCTTCTGTGTTGGATGTGATGAGGCACTGGGGCCAGATCTCTGACTGAGAGCCACAACTGATACAGGCTCCACGTGAGGAAGTGTGGTGTCCATCCAGGCTGTCGGTCAGAACCGAAGTCACCAGCACCTGCCTGGATGGTCAGCATTAGGACCAGAGGAGGGGAACAAATAAGGAAAGCACAAACAGAGACAGGGTCAGAAACAAACTGAGCACACACAGCCCTGCTGGGAGCCTCTCTGGGTGTTGTCTGCTCACCTGGGTTCCAGGAGGCTGGCAAGGGTGGGAGCATGCTCCATCCCTCCTCTAGCCCTCTGTCACATTATCATAGTCTTATAAGCTCCCAGCATACATCCTTTGCTCTATCCTTTGCCGTATCTCCACTGCCTAGACAAAAGTCTGGTGAGAGTAGGGGGTCAATAAAGACACTATAAGGGTGGGCACTGTGGCTCTCACGCCTGTAATCCCAGCACTTTGGGAGGCCTGGGCAGGAGTATTGTTTGAACCCAGGAGTTCCATACCAGCTTGGGCAAGTTCCATACCGGCTCAGGGCTTATTGATGGTTTAGAGTCTCTGTGGATGGCTTCCCCATGTTCACGCTACAACTTCAATACAGAAGTTATTCTTCCATGGGAAGTAATTGGTTTAAAAAAAACAAACCCAGGTGGTCTGTGGAGGAGCCACACCCAGTCTTAGGCCCAGCCCCCATCCTCTGACCCTTTCTCCCACTATCCCATCACCTTGCTAGAGTGTGAGTCTTGAATGGTGGGGGCCTGTTTAGTTTACTTCTCAGGAAGCCTCCGACTACTGGACTCGACACCAAAGCTTCTTCCTGATAAAGAAGAATATCAGACAAGATAAGTTTAACAGAGTTTATTTGACCAAAGAACAATTCACCAATCATGCAACCCTCAGAACAAGAAGGGGTTTCAAGAGCTCATCTCCGCAATGTGGGCAATGAGTATTTTGGATGGATATGTTGAGAATAAACCTTTAACAGATTTATTCTGAGCCACATATGAGTGACCATGGCCAGTGAGTGACACAGCCCTCAGGTGGTCTTGATGTTAGATATGAGTTCTAAATTTCTTTTCAAACTGTCAATATGTCAGTATGTTCAATTCTTTGCCTTCTACTTTTAAAATTAACTTCCTCATAAATCAACCTTTTGATTCAAGCGATTCTTCTGCCTCAGCCTCCCGAGTGGCTGGGATTACAGGCGTGCACCACCACACCCGGCGAATTGTGTATTTTTACAAAATTAAACTTCCTCATAAATCAACCTTTTTCGATTACCTACTCCACCCTGACTCATTCTGATTATCTACTCCACTCTGACTCATTCCAATTACCTGCTCCACCCTGACTCATTCCGATTACCTGCTCTGTGATAACATTTTTCCCGCCAAACCACTCACCCTGTCACTCTCTTTAAATTAGCCAGTCGGAATTAGTTTAGCCTATGCGGTCTAACCCTAGCCAATAGGGGAATGACACAGCAGCAGGTGTCAGGAATAAGAACCCCTTCCCCTCCCTTGTCCAAGTGTGTGCTCACCATTGCTCCATCTGTGAGGGCACACCCTTCTATAGAAGTACCTTGCCTTGCTGATAATTAAAAGAAAATTTAATATTCGAGTGCTATTTCTTTTGTGGCACTGAAACTTTATAACACTGAGAACATGTGCCCAAGGTGGTCGGGGCACAGCTTGATTTTATATATTTTAGGGAGGCACGAGACATCAATCAAATACATTTAAGAAATACATTGGTTTGGTTCTGAAAGACGGGACAACTCAAAGAGGGGGCTTCCAGGCTATAGGTAAATTTAAACATTTTCTGGTTGACAATTGGTTGAGTTTATCTGAAGACCTGGGATCAGTAGAAAGGAAATGTTCAGGTTAAGATAAAGGATTGTGGAGACCAAGTTTTATCGTGCAGAAGAAGCTCTCAGATAGTAGAATTCAGAGAGGGCAGGTTGTAAAATGTTTCTTACTGGACCTAAAAGGGTGCCTGGCTCTTAGTTGATTATCTCCTGGATCTGGAAAGGAAGGAAGGTAAAAAATAAATAAATGAATAAAGAAAAGGGGGAAAGGGGATTCTCTGTAGAATGTGGATGTTTCCCATAAGACATGGCTTGGCAGGGCCATTTCAAGATATGGCAGAGAAACATGATTTGGGGTAAAATATTTTGATTTTCTTCCTTGTTATGCCAGAGTCAGATTGGAAAGTAAGTCACGATATACAGGGTTAAATAAAACCCATCTGATATGATTTGTAGGGCACGATTCTGCAGACCCCTTAGATAGGAATTGGGGCAAGATAAAAAAAATCAGAGCTTAATCCTTAGGTAAAAGGATGAAGAAAGCAGAAACAAAGAACCAAAAGCAAATTGGTACGTTCAAAGTTGCTTTCCTTGTAAGGGTTGAAGCAGAGGAGACTCCCTTATCAAGCCAGCTAAAACTGGCCTGTTTGGGAGTGACTTTTATCTCTCTCTCTCCTGATTTCTCAGGTCAGTTAACTTAGTTTGGTGGCATCAAACTTTAGCAGGAGGGACTCCATCTTGCTTTGGTCTGTTGGAGCTGGTGCAGGAGCTCAGTGGAAATCAATGGCCTCCTATAAATGTTATTTACATTTCTATTAAAGGGAGAGGGAGCCAATGGTGGAGTTCAGCACACACCACCCCAAAACATGTCTGTAGGAGACCAGTATATTGCCATTCCAAATAAGCCTCTTTGACAAAGGATTACTTTCAACTGGTGATTTTGGGAAACAGCAGACACAGGAGAAGCTCTGAAAACAGTCAACAGTTATCCTTTTGCAAGAGAAACTTATTCTATAAAGAAAATCTGCATTTGTAATGGTGTTTTCCTCTCTATGCCAGGAAGAAAAGGATGACTAAATCACTGCAAATTCTTATTTTATTTTATTTTATTTTATTTTATTTTATTTTATTTTATTTTATTTTATTTAGACAGAGTTTCGCTCTTTTTGCCCAGGCTGGAGTGTAATGGCACGATCTCGGCTCACTGCAACCTCCGCCTCCTGGGTTCAAGCAATTCTCCTGCCTCAGCCTCCCGAGTAGCTGGGATTACAGGCATGCACCACCATGCCCGGTTAATTTTGTGTTGTTTTTTTTTTTAAGTAGAGACAGGGTTTCTTCATGTTGGTCAGGCTGATCTCAAACTCCGGACCTCAGGTGATCCGCCTGCCTTGGCCTCCCAATGTACTGAGATTACAGGCATGAGCCACCATTCTCGGCCTTGGAAACTCTTACTAATGCAAAAAGCACAAGCTCAATCTGCATCACAAACCTGGCTTTTGTTTACCCTGCACCTCTTGGCCAGGTAGTCCTAGCAGAGGATGAGGGTGATCTGGCCCACACCTTTCATTATTTGTATCAGGGAATGATGGTACATAAGTCTGAAGCTACCTCTTTGAGATCTACTCTTGAGATTGTCTCATTTCTCTGAGTTATCTCCCTTGTATTTATCAGATAGTCATGTTAATAAACTTGTTTGCTTTTCTCTTGTTAATCTGTATTTTGTTCTAGCAGTCCATCTCAGTGAAGAACTCAGAGAGGGTTGAGGGAAAATATTTTTTTCCTCCCCGAACTAGCCTGCCACTGTCCGCTGGAAGCCAGGCAGCTGTGGGACTACAAGGGGCAAACAGAACCCAGGAACTGTGTCTCTCGGAAGGCACCCCCTCTCCATACTCATTTATACTGTGGCTTAATGCCATGCTCCTGGAGCCTCAGCAAAATCACAAATTGTAGTGCCATGCCCTTCCAGGCTTCTCTCAAACAACTGTCCATGTCTGTATAAAAATAAACAGAGGCCAGGCACGGTGGCTCACACCTGTAATTCCAGCACTTTGGGAGGCTGAGGCGGGCGGATCACCTGAGGTCGGGAGTTCGAGACCAGCCTGACCAACATGGAAAAACCCCATCTCTACTAAAAATACAAAATTCGCTGGGTGTGGTGGCGCATGCCTGTAATCCCAGCTACTCGGGAGGCTGAGGCAGAAGAATCGCTTGAACCTGGGAGGCGGAGGTTGCGGTGAGCCAAGATCACGCCATTGCACTCCAGCCTGGGTGACAAGAGCGAAACTCCGTTCAAAAAAAAAAAAGACAGAAAGAAAAGAAAACCAGAACAGCCCTTCCATTCCCTGGTTCAGCAGTTATCATTATTCATTAGCCTCTGGAGGGGGCACAAAGTGTATATCCACAAGAACATTTACACATCACAGGGTTGGGGAGCGGGGAGACATCACATGGTGCTCAGGAAATGTTTACTGAATGAAGAACTTGAAGAGAGAAACAGCAGGAGCAGAGTTCAGCCATCTGGTCAACTTACCAGGCTTCTTTCCATTTCCCTTGGCTGACTCCCCACCTCCCTACAGGTCATTTTCTGCACAGCAGGCAAATAAATGCTTTTAAATGTCACCTCCTCAGAGAAGCCTCCCCTGACCACCCGCACAAGTAGATTGCCCACTATTATTTCCTTTTACTTACACCCTTATTGTTTCTACTTGTAGCATAGATCCTTTTTGTAACTGCATAGGTATCAGTTTGTTTACTTGTGTATCCTCTGTTCTCATACCCCATTATCAAGTCCAGAGGGCACAACAAACTCTTGTTTTCATTATCAGTATACTCCTAGAGCACGGTAAGGGTTCAACAACTGTTTATTATGAATAAACGCATGACATGGTCAGGGAATACTGGGTCATGTGGATTTATTAGGACACTGGGGTTATGAAGCGCCAGGATATTGGGGGAATTTAAACTCTCCTTGCCCATTCTTACAGAGTTATGTCAAGGATCAAAATAAGTTCTATACAGAACTACACTTTTATAAAGGAGTTTCACCATACAGTTGGAAACCATTTAAGTTGTTCGGTCAGGTTTGTGGGGTAAACTTTGCTGAGTCAATCTGGTGCTGTCTAGAGGAAAATGTAGAGGAGGAATTTTGAGATATAGGAGACCATGTAGAAGACTCTTGTAATAAACTTTTGGAGACAGGATTTGACCTGATGGAGTGCTCATGAAAAAGATAGCATAATAATAATTGTCAGGCTGGGTGCAGTGGCTCACACCTGTAATCCCAGCACTTTCGGAAGCCTAGGTGGGTGGATCACACTGAGGTCAGGAGTTCGAGATCAACCTGGCTAACATGGTGAAACCCCGCCTCTACTACAAATACAAAAATTAGCTGGGCGTGGTGGCAGGCGCCTGCAATTCCAGCTACTCAGGAGGCTGAGGCAGGAGAATCCCTTGAACCCAGGAGGTGGAGGTTGCAGTAAGCTGAGATAGCATCCACTGCACGCCACCTGGGTGACAACAGTGAAACTCCGTCTCAAAAATAATTGTCAAACAGCAAGTAAACTGGGTACTTCACGATCACAGATAATTATTTTATTGGGGAGTGGGATGATGGTTATGTTGAGAAGGAGGATATTTTATAAATGTTTATAAAATGTGTATGTTTATAAATGTATAACCACCTAAAATGTTTACCTTGACTGCTGACTAGACAGAGCCAATTTATCAAGACAGGGGAATTGCAATAGAGAAAGAGTATTTCACACAGAGCCGTACGGAGATGGGAATTTTATTATTACTCAAATCAGTCTCCCCAGGCATTCGGGGATCAGAATTTTTTTTTTTTTTTTTGGTATAGAGTCTCGCCTGTCTCCCAGGCTGGAGTGCAGTGGCGCGATCTCAGCTCACTGCAAGCTCCGCCTTCTGGATTCCCGCCATTCTCCTGCCTCAGCCTCCTGAGTAGCTGGGACTACAGGCGCCCGCCACTGCACCCGGCTAATTTTTTTGTATTTTTTTAGTAGAGACGGGGTTTCACCGTGTTAGCCAGGATGGTCTCGATCTCCCGACCTCGTGATCCGCCAGCCTCAGCCTGTCAAAGTGCTGGGAATACAGGCATGAGCCACCACACCCGGCCTTTTTTTTTTTTTCTTTTTAAGACATAGTTTCGCTCTTGTCGCCCAGGCTGGAATGCAATGGCATGATCTCGGCTCACCGCAACCTCCGCCTCCTGGATTCAAGCGATTCTCCTGCCTTAGCCTCCCAAGTTGCTGGGAATACAGGCATGTGCCACCATGCCCAGCTAATTTTTGTATTTTTAGTAGAGACCGGGTTTCACCATCTTGGCCAGGCTGATCTCGAACTCCTGACCTCGTGATCCACCCGCCTCGGCCTCCCAAAGTGCTGGGATTACAGGTGTGAGCCACCGCACCCAGCCGGGGATCAGAGTTTTTAAGAATAATTTGATGAGTGAGGGGTGGCACCAGTGATTCGGGAGTGCCGATTGGGTCAGAGATGAAATCATAGGGAGTTGAAGCTGTAGTCTTGTGCTGAGTCAGTTCCTGAATGGAGGCCACAAAATCAGATGAGCCAGTTGATCAATCTGGGTGGTGCTGGCTGGTCCATCAAGTGCAGGATATGCAAAATATCTCAAGCAGTGATCTTAGGTTTTACAATAGTGTTGTTATCCCCAGGAACAATCTGGGGAGGGTCAGAATCTTGTAGACTCCAGCTGCATGACTCCTAAACCATAATTTCTAATCTTTTGACTAATTCGTTAGTCCTACAAAGACAGTCTAGTTCCCAGGCAAGAAGGGAGTTTGTTTTGGGAAAGGGCTGTTAACATCTTTGCTTCAAACTATAAACTAAGTTATTCCCAAAGTTAGTTCAGCCTACCCCCAGGAATGAACAAGGACAGCTTGGAGGTTAGAAGCAAGATGGAGCTAGTTAGGTTAGATCTCTCTCTCTCTCTCTCTCTCTCTCTCTCTCTCTCTCTCTATATATATATATATATATATATATATATATTTTTTTTTTTTGTTTGTTTGTTTGTTTTTGTTTTTTATTATACTTTAAGTTCTAGGGTACATGTGCACAACGTGCAGGTTTGTTACATATGGATACATGTGCCATGTTGCTGTGCTGCACCCATTAACTCGTCATTTACATTAAGTGTATCTCCTAATGCTATCCCTCCCCCCTCCCCCCACCCCACGACAGGCCCTGGTGTGTGATGTTCCCCTTCCTGTGTCCAAGTGTTCTCATTGTTCAGTTCCCACCTATGAGTGAGAACATGCAGTGTTTGGTTTTTTGTCCTTGCAATAGTTTGCTGAGAATGATGGTTTCCAGCTTCATCCATGTCCCTACAAGGACATGAACTCGTCATTTTTTATGGCTGCATAGTATTCCATGGTGTATATGTGCCACATTTTCTTAATTTAATCTATCGTTGGAAATTTGGGTTGGTTCCAAGTCTTTGCTACTGTGAATAGTGCTGCAATAAACATACGTGTTCATGTGTCTTTATAGCAGCATGATTTATAATCCTTTGGGTATATACCCAGTAATGGGATGGCTGGGTCAAATGGTATTTCTAGTTCTAGATCCCTGAGGAATTGCCACACTGACTTCCACAATGGTTGAACTAGTTTACAGTCCCACCAACAGTGTAAAAGTGTTCCTATTTCTCCACATCCTCTCCAGCACCTGTTGTTTCCTGACTTTTTAATGATCGCCATTCTAACTGGTGTGAGATGGTATCTCATTGTGGTTTTGATTTGCATTTCTCTGATGGCCAGTGATGATGAGCATTTTTTCATGTGTCTTTTGGCTGCATAAATATCTTCTTTTGAGAAGTGTCTGTCATATTCTTCGCCCACTTTTTGATGGGGTGGTTTTTTCCTTGTAAGTTTGTTTGAGTTCTTTGTAGATTCTGTATGTTAGCCCTTTGTCAGATGAGTAGATTGCAAAAATTTTCTCCCATTCTGTAGGTTGCCTGTTCACTCTGATGGTAGTTTCTTTTGCTGTGCAGAAGCTCTTTAGTTTAATTAGATCCCATTTGTCAATTTTGGCTTTTGTTGCCATTGCTTTTGGTGTTTTAGACATGAAGTCCTTGCACATGCCTATGTCCTGAATGGTATTGCCTAGGTTTTCTTCTAGGGTTTTTATGGTTTTAGGTCTAACATTTAAGTCTTTAATCCATCCATCTAGAATTAATTTTTGTATAAGGTGTAAGGAAGGGATCCAGTTTCAGCTTTCTACATATGGCTAGCCAGTTTTCCCAGCACCATTTATTAAATAGGGAATCCTTTCCCCATTGCTTGTTTTTGTCAGGTTTATCAAAGATCAGATAGTTGTAGATGTGTGGTATTACTTCTGAGGGCTCTGTTCTGTTCCATTGGTCTATATCTCTGTTTTGGTACCAGTACCATTCTGTTTTGATTACTGTGGCCTTGTAGTATAGTTTGAAGTCAGGTAGTGTGATGCCTCCGGCTTTGTTCTTTTGGCTTAGGATTGACTTGGCAATGCGGGGTCTTTTTTGGTTCCATATGAACTTTAAAGTAGTTTTTTCCAATTCTGTGAAGAAAGTCATTGGTAGCTTGATGGGGATGGCATTGAATCTATAAATTACCTTGGGCAGTATGGCCATTTTCACGATATTGATTCTTCCTATCCATGAGCATGGAATGTTCTTCCATTTGTTTGTACCGGTGCTCTACACGTTCAGAGAAACTTCTTTAGTAACGAACTATAGAAATGATCCCTGAAAGTATAGTCTTAGGTTAGATCTCTTCTACTGTCTCGGTTATACTTTTGCAATGGCGGTTTCAGAATTCTGAAGACAAAGTATGAGTATTTGTCTTAATAGATACAACACCTACACAATGATATCATCTACACAATGATATCAAAATTTTAGATCTGCCAATTTAGTAGGTGAATTTATCATATCCTGTGGTAATCTGGATTTGCATTTATCTTATTAGTATAGGAGAAGTTGATCTCTTTTCATATATTTAAAAGTAATTTGTTCCTAAGGAATCCTCTAAAAAACTCTTAGAACTAACAGGCCAGATGCGGTGGCTCATGCCTGTAATCCCAGCACTTTGGGAGGCTGAGGCAGGCGGATCACCTGAGGTCAGGAGTTCGAGACCAGCCTGACCAACACGGAGAAACCCCATCTCTACTAAAAATACAAAATTAGCCGTGTGTGGTGGCACATGCCTGTAATCACAGCTACTCAGGAGATAGTGCCATTGCACTCCAGCCTGGGCAACAAGAGCGAAACTCTGTCTCAAAAAAAAAAAAAAAAAAAAACTCTTAGAACTAATAAATGAGTTCAGCAAGGTTTTAGGATGTATGATCAATATATAAAAATCAGTTGTATTTCTATACAGTAGCAATGAACAAACTGAAAATGAAGTTAAGAAAACAATTCTACTTATAACAGATTCCAAAAGAATAAAATAATGTTGAAGGTAATTAAAGTCCAAAATAAGTTTAAAAGCATCCTATATTCATGAATTGAAAGACAAATTCATAGAGACAAATTATATTGATGCCTAGGACTGGGGGGAATGGGGAATTGAGGGGTAATGGCTAAGGAGTACATGGTTTCTGAAACTGCCTTTGCAAAATTACTTAAATGGCTACCAGACATTATTCCAGAGGTCACAAGATTAGCAACTTCCCCAATTATTCCTGTAAATAACATCACTACGTAGACCCTAAGATTGGCGTTTTGAAATGTCTTTCCAGACTTTGCATTTTTTACTACTAGATAGCCCCACCCAGGCCCATGACTCAGCCAGTCCTGGGGCACCCACCAAGAAGCCGACTCAGACATAAGGATCATTTTCCATACCCCTATGATTGAATCCTCAACCAATCATCAGCACCTATAACCTCACTCCCTGCCCACCGAACTATCTTTAAAACACCCTAACCTTTAAGCCTTTGGTAATATTGATTTGAGTAGTAACTCCGTCTCTCATGTGATGTGACCAGCCTCACATCAATTGAAGTCTTCCTTTACTGCAATTTCGTGGTCTCAGTGAATTATTATAATTTTGTCTTTGCAATTGAAACCATCTTTGTAAAATTATGACTGAGACAGTGAAAGAGATCTAACCTAACCAACTCCATCTTGCTTCTAATCTCCAAGCTGTCCTTGTTCATTCCTGGGGGTAGGCTGAACTAACTTTGGGAAAAACTTAATTTATAGTTTATAGTTTAAAGTTTATAGTTTAAAACAAAGACCCTAATAGTCCTTTTCCCAAAGCAGACCTCCTTCTTGCCTGGGGACTAGACTGCCTTTGTAGGACTAACGTTAGCCATAAGATTAGAAATTATGGTTTAGGAGTCATGCAGCTGGAGGCTACAAGATTCTGACCCTCTCTAAGTTGCTCCTAAGATCAGAGCTTGAGATATTTTGCAGACCCTGCACTTGATGTGTCAGCTGGCTCCACCCAGATCAATAAACTGGCTCATCTGATCTTATTTTCCCCAACCAGGAACTGACTCAGTCCAAGAAGACAGCTCTCACTCCCAGTGATTTCATCCCCTACCAATCAGCACTCCCAGCTCACCGGCTTTTCCCAACCCACAAAATTGTCCTTAAAAACTCTGCTCCCTGAATGCTCAGGGAGACTGATTTGAGTAATAATAACACTCTAGTCTCCTGGACAGCTGGCTCTGAGTGAATTACTCTTTCTGTATTGCCATTCCCCTGTCTTAATAAATCAGCTCTGTCTAGGCAGAGGGCAAGGTGAACCCGCTGGGCAGTTACACAATGGGCAGGAAGAACTTGTCAAGTGCTTACATTTCTTTCTGGAGTAATAAAAATATTCCAAAATTGATTATGATAATAGATGCATAAGTATGAATATATAAAAGCTGAATTGTATGATTTAAATGAGTAAAGTATATAGTACATGAAATGTATCTCAAAAAAGCTGTTAAGAGAATAAAACAAAAAAAATTGGAAATTTATTTCTTGTAAATTGTCCATGTTGTGGTCTAATCTATTTGGATTTTGTCTTTTTTCCTTGATTTACAGGAACTCCTTACATGTTGAAGAATATTAGTCTGTTGTCACATATGTAGCAAAATTTTTAACCAATTTTTTATTTCGGTTTTTATTTTGTTTATGGTATTTATTTTCCTGCAGTGGTGCAATCATCAGCTCACTGTGTCCTCAACCTCTAGGGCTCAAGCAATCCACCCACCTCAGCGTTCCAAGTAAATGAGGTCCCAGGCACATAACATCATGCCCTAGCCAATTTGCTATTTTTTGTAGAGAGGAGGTCTTGCAGTCTCAAACTCCTGGGCTCAAGTTATCCTCGTGCCTTAGCCTCCTGAAGTGCTGGGATTACAGGCATGAGCCACCATACCTGGCCTAAAATTTGTGTATAATCAAATTTGGCACTATTTTCTTACACTGCTTCTTTAGTTTTTACAATGTTTAGAAACATCTTTCCCATACTAAGATAATGCATTTTTCTACTCTCATGTTCAGAAACACTTGAACACTTTGAAACATAAAAGTTTAAACACTTTTATGTTTAAAAACTTCAAATTATAGAATAAAACCTTAAGCACTGGAGAGGATTAATTTTGATTTTGTCTTTATTTATTTATTTCTGAGACAGAGTCTCTGTCGCCCAGGCTGGAGTGCAGTGGCACACGATCTCAGCTCACTGCAACCTCTGCCTCCCTGGTAAAAGTGGTTCTCATGCCTCAGCCTCCCAAACAGCTGGGAATACAGGCGCACGCCATGATGCCTGGCTAATTTTTGTATTTTTAGTAGATACGGAGTTTTGCCATGTTGGCCAGGCTAGTCTCCAACTCCTAACCTCAGGTGATCTGCCTACCCTAGCCTCCCAAAGTACTGGGATTACAGGGGCAAGCCACCAAGCCCAGCCTATTTTGTCTTTTTTTTTTTTTTTTTTTTTGAGACGGAGTTTTGCTCTTGTCACCCAGGCTGGAGTGTAATGGCACAATCTTGGCTCACTGCAACCTCCGCCTACTGGGTTCAAGCCATTCTCCTGCCTCAGCCTCCCGAGTAGCTGGGATTACAGGCATGAGCCACCACGCCCAGCTAACTTTTGTATTTTTTAGTAGAGACGGGGTTTCACCATGTTGGCCAGGCTAGTCTCGAACTCCTGACCTGAGGTGATCCACCCTCCTCGGCCTCCCAAAGTGCTGGGATTACAGGCGTGAGCCACCGCACCCAGCCCGCCTATTTTGTCTTTAAACATGTTTTTCATATGGCTCACAATGTCAAATAATCAAAATATTCCACTTTCATTCTCTATCAAGTGTAAATGTTAGTTTATATAGCTAGCCCACAGATAATTTCCTTAAAACAAAAGACAAGCTTTCCAAAGGATTACTAGTTCTCCATGTGCATCTGTGTTTGAGACTGTCTGTTCCTGTGTGTGAGAGACCAACCAATCCCCTCCTCCCCTGGCCAGATTTGCCCTGAGGGTATAAAGTGTAAGTGCTCACTTCTTTGATGTGAAAACCATAAATCACCAGCATGTAATAGAATAGATTAAATCTAAGAAACCACAGTGCTTTCAAACAGTGACCTTGAGGGGTGGTTACTTTCACAGTTTTCCTCCAAGACTAGGTCATCTACTGACTATAGTCAGAGTGTACATGATAAGTGCCCAGCTTCAGTGGGGATGCTAGGCCTGCCCACAACCTCTCTCGGTGTCACGATGAGTCTGAGGGCTGCACAAAGGCTGGGGCACAGACAGGGGAGCCTTGGCATTCCAGCAGATAATACACATCCCAGATAATACTTAACTAGTGTTCCATTATTGGAACTCTAAGCTTGTGGGAGTTATTTATATCCTACTGCTCAAGATCATTGCCAAGATCTGACTTTTCACACAAAAAATTGCAACCTCCAGCATAAATGAGTTAAGGTGTAGCCAGGCCAGGACAGAAGGGACACCCCAAGACTCAGCCAACACACTAACTCCTAGAGAACAAACACTCTCATGCCCTGATCCAAAGCCCTCCACCTTTCATGGCATCACCAACTTTCTCCTGCCCAGGCAGAGGAAGGGATCTTTATCACGGGACAGGAGAGCGCTGATCTCATCCAATCTTTCCATATTCCTAAAGTAGATATATCTTTAGAGATTTGACATTTAAGAGAAAAAAAAAGAAAAGAAAAAAGAAATTTGGCATTTGAGTCTCAAACAGACCTTGCAGACTTCAAAACTTTGTTGTCTCAAACTAAAATCTCTGCCTTGAGATCTCAGAAGCCTATTTTGCAAACCAAAGGCCAAGAACTGTGTTCATTATCTTCAGTCTTCTGATCATCCTTTGAGGCAGGAGTGTTGGAATGTTCTACACAGATGAATTCCAAGTGTGTTTGGGCAGTTAAAAACCTGTTGAGCATGCCCATATGTGAATGTACCATGTGCGCACGCGTGTGTGTGTAGCTGTTACCTACATATGAAAAAATGGCCCAAGTTTAGCTGATTTTTCTATGCCTTAGTTATCAATTAAATATGTCAACATTGTCATCACCTCTCCCCCTCAAACTACATGATTTAGAAATTATTGCTTCAGATTCCTGGGTTGAGAGTGAACCACTGCAGAACAAGGAAATCTGGGTGTTCGTGGTGGGAATACATCAGTGGGTACTTCCCAGATCATCTGCACAAAAGGAACCATGCCTGGCCAGAGGACTTGGGGTGATGTTGTGCTAATGATGATGTCGTGTTAATAGGAGTTGAAGACTTAGAGGCCTCCCAAAGTTCTGGGATTACAGGCATGAGCCACCGCCCAGGCTGCTGTTTTTTTTTTTTGTTTTTTTTTTGAGACAGTTTTGCTCTGTCGCCCAGGCTGGAGTGCAATGGTGCGATCTCCTGCCTCAGCCTCCCAAATAGCTGGGATTACAGGTGCCTGCCACCACACCCAGCTAATTTTTGTATTTTTAGTAGAGACCGGGTTTCACCATGTTTGCCTGGCTGGTCTCAAACTCCTGACCTCAGGTGATCGCCCGCCTCAGCCTCCCAAAGTGCTGGGAATACAGGCGTGAGCCACTGTGCCCAGCCTTGCTGTTTTTACAGTTAAATGCAAAGGCTTTTATGAGAAACCTATGAGGCCTGGGCATCTCATTTGCATAAGGTGCAAATTTCTGGTAGCTCCACCCCATCTTCCTAATGTGCACACGGGCCCTTCCTTAGCTTGAGTTACTCCATATTGCTCTGTTCCCCTTACTGCCTATGTGTCAGGGTACAGAATTTTCCATTGCGGGCATGTCACCTATATATCCTTTCTTTTTTTTTTTTTTTTTTTTTTTTGAGATGGAGTCTTGCTCTGTCGCCCAGGCTGGAGTGCAGTGGCACAATCTGGGCTCACTGCAAGCTCCACCTCCCGGGTTCACGCCATTCTCCTGCCTCAGCCTCCCAAGTAGCTGGGACTACGGGCACCCGCCACCACGCCCGGCTAATTTTTTGTATTTTCAGTAGAGACGGGGTTTCACTGTGTTAACCAGAATGGTCTTATCTCCTGACCTCAGGTGATCCATCCGTCTTGGCCTCCCAAAGTGCTGGGATTACAGGCGTGAACCACTGCGTCCGTCCGGCCTATCCTTTCTTATCTGTGCAGCCAAGGGCATGTCTTAGGCAAACCCTTTATGCAAGTTCCCTTATCTGTGCCTGAAGCTTGATTTTTCAGGCTATTCTTTTGTATGAAAGAATTCAACCAAGGACCCACCCTAACTGCCTGCCTCACTGATTTCTACCTTTCTCCTGTCTCACTGAGTTTACAAGTGTAAGCCACCATGCCCAGCCTTATATCTCACTTTAAACAATTGTATTTGTTTGTTTGTTTGTTTTGGAGATGAGGTCTCACTCTGTCACCCAGGCTGGAGTGCAGTGGCAAGATCTCAGCTCACTGCAACCTCTGCCTCTGAGACTCAAGCCGTCCTTCCACCTCAGCCTCCCCCTGAGTAGCTGGGACTACAGGTGTGTGCCACCATGCCTGGCTAATTTTTTTTTTTTTTTTTTTTGTAGAGACAGGGTTTTGCCATGTTGCCCAAGCTGGTCTCGAACTCATGGACTCAAGCGATTCATCCACCTTGGCTTCCCAAAGTGCTGGGATTATAGGTGTGAGCCACCACATCTGGACTGCAATTTTATTATATTGTGCTTTGGTGTAATTTTCTTCATTTTCCTTCTGCTTGTGGTTGTTGGGTTTTCTTGTTGGTTGGAACTGTGGGTTTATAGTTTCATCAAATTTGAAAACACAGGCCATTATTTCTTCAAATATTTTTGGCCAGGCCATTATTTCTTCAAATATTTTTGGCCGTCCCTCCTTCCACCCCATGTCCATACATCTGGACCTCAAATTACAAATATATTAGGCCATTTGATTTATCCCACAGCTCACCGATTCATTTTTCAGTTTATTTTTCTTTTGAGTCTTTCCCTCAAAGACTATTTCTGGGTCTCTATGTTATGGTCTGTTTCATTTTGCCTGGATTCTGTTGCTACATCTTCCAATTCACTCATCTTTTCTTCTGCCTTGTCTAAGATGCTGTTAATCATGTCCAGTGTTTTTCTTTTTTCTTTTTTTTTAATCTCAGACATTGTATTGTTCATTTATTTTTTTTTATCTTTTTTTTTTTTTTTGAGACAGAGTCTTGCTCTGTTGCCCAGGCTGGAGTGAAGTGGTGTGATCTCAGCTCACCGCAAGCTTCACCTCCCCAGTTCAAGTGATTCTCATGCCTCAGCCACCCGAGTAGCTGGGATTACAGGCAGCTGCCACCATGCCAGACTAATTTTTGTATTTTTAGTAGAGACAGGGTTTTACCAATATGTATTCCTCCCTGAACATTGGGAGGACCTTTCTCTTCTTTTCTTTTCTTTTCTTTCTTTCTCTTTCTTTCCTTCCCTCCTTCGTTTTCTTTCTTTCTTTCCTTTTTTTTTTCTTTTTCTTTCTTTCATTTTTTGAGACAGTCTCGCTTTGTCACCCAGACTAGAGTGCAATGGCGCAATCTCAGCTCACTGCAACTTCTGCCTCCTGGGATCAAGCAAGTCTCTGCCTCAGCCTCCCAAGTAGCTGAGATTATAGGCGCCCACAACCACACCAGGCTAATTTTTTGTATTTTTAGTAGAGACGGGGTTTCACCATCTTGTCCAGGCTGGTCTTGATCCTGACCTCATGATCCACCCACCTCGGCCTTCCAAAGTGTTGGGATTACAGGCGTGAACCACCACTCCAGGCCCTTGAGTTTTTCTATAAGGTATGAAACTTGGCCGAGATTTATTTTTTTGCTTTTTAATGTCCAATTGCTCCAGTACCATCTTTTGAAGAGGTTATCTTTCCTCTGTTGAATTGCTTTTGCCCAGTCGGTTGGGCATATTTATGTGGGTCTATTCCTAGGTCTATGTTATGTTATGTTATGTTATGTTATGTTATGTTATGTTATGTTATGTTATGTTATGTTACTTTAATCTATGTCTCTATCCCTCTACCAATACCAAACAACTTGATTGCTGTAGCTATATTATGAGTCTTGAAATCAAGTAAACTAATTGCTCCTATTTTATTCTTTTTCAAAATTGCTTTAGCTATTCTAGTTCCTTTGTCTTTCCACACACATTTTAGAATAATCTTGCCTATATCTACAGGTAATCTTGCTGCGATTTTGATAGGAATTTCATTATACCTGTATATCAACTTGGAAAGAATTGCCATTTTTACTATGTTCAGTCTTTTAATCCATCAGGATAGTATGTCTCCTCATTTCTTTAGAGCTTCTTTGATGTCTTTCCTGAAATTTGTGTAGTTTTTAGCACGTAAGTCATGTACTTATTTTGCTATATTTATACCTGAGTACTTTTTGAGTGATTTTAAATGGAAGTATTCCATTGTTAATTTTGATGCCTTCATGTTCATGCTTGTATGTAGAAATACAATTGACTTCTACATTAATTCTAGGAAGTTTTTTTTTTTAATTACCTTGAGATTTTCTACATAGAAAATTATGCTATCTGGCCAGGCACAGTGGCTCACCCCTGTCATGACACTGTGGAAGTGTGAGGTGGGTGGATCGACTGAGCTCAGGAGTTCGAGACCAGCCTGGGCAGCACCATAAAACTCCATCTCCAATAAAATGTTAAAAATATAAATGTTAGGCCAGGCGTGGTGGCTCACGCCTGTAATCCCAGCACTTGAGGCTGGGGCAGGCGGATCACGAGGTCAGGAGATCGAGACCATCCTGGCTAACACAGTGAAACCCCGTATCTACTAAAAATACAAAAAAATTATCCAGGTGTGGTGACGGGCACCTGTAGTCCCAGCTAGTCGGAGGCTGAGGCAGGAGAATGGCGTGAACCCGGGAGACGGAGCTTCAGTGAGCCGAAACTCCATCTCAAAAGAAAAGAAAAGAAAAGAAAAAAAACCAAAATATATATGTATATGCTATCTGCAATTTTGTTATTGCTGTTGTTGTTTTGAAATGGAGTCCTGCTCCGTTGCCCAGGCTGGAGTGCAATGGTGCGATCTTGGCTCACTGCAACCTCTGCCTCCTGGGTTCAAGTGATTCTTGTGCCTCAGCCTCCCGAATTGCTGGATTACAGGCACATGCCACCACTTCCAGCTAATTTTTGTATTTTTAGTAGAGACGGGGTTTCCCTATGTTCCTCAGTCTGGTCTTGAATTCCTGACCTCAGGTGATCCACCCGCCTGAGCCTCCCAAAGTGCAGGGATTACAGGGGTGAGCCACCATACCCGGCAATTTTTGTTGTTGTTCAGATGGAGTCTGGCTCTGTTGCCCAGGCTGGGGTGCAGTGGCACCATCTGGGTTTACTGTCACCTCTGCCTCCAGGTTCACGTGATTTTCATGCCCCAGCCTCCCGAATATCTGGGACTACAGGTGTGCGCCACCACGCCCAGCTAAGTTTTTGTATTTTTAGTAGAGATGGGTTTTACCATGTTGGCCAGGCTGGACTCAAACTCCTGAACTCAAGTGATCCTCCCACCTTGGCTTCCCAAAGTGCTGGGATTATAGGGGTGAGCCACTGCGCCCAGCCATGGACAAGTTTATTTCTTCCTTTCAGATCCATATGGTTTGTATGCCTTTCATTTCCTTTTATTGCTTTATACGCTGCATAGAACTTTCAGCATTATGTTGAATAAGACTGATAAGAGCTGATATCCTTTCCTTGTTCCTGATCTTATTTTTTTTCCTTGTCCCTGGTCTTAAAGGGAAAACATGACATCTTCCACTATCAAGTATGTTAGCTGTAGGTTGGTTGGTTTGTTTGGTTGTTTGTTTGTTTTGGAGGCAGGGTCTCACTCACTCTATCACCCAGGCTGGAGTGCAGTGGTATGATCACAGCTCACCACAGCCTTGCCTCCCAGGCTCAAGTGATCCTTATGCCTTGCAAGAGCCACCATGCCCAGCTAATTTTTGTATTTTGTTTTTTTGTAGAAACAGGGACTCTCTATGTTTCCCAGGCTGGTCTTGAGCCCCTGGGCTCAAGAGATCCTCTTGCCTCAGCTTTGCAAATGAGCCATCGTGCCTGGCAGCTGTAGGTTTTTTGTAGATGGAAGAAGTGTTTTTTTCTATTCCTTTTTTTCTGAAAGTTTTTATCATTAATGAGTGTTGAATTTTGTCAAAAGCTTTTTCTGCATCTATTGACATGATCATGTGATTTGCCTCTCTTTAACCTGCTAATATGATAGATTACACTGATTTTCAAATATTAAACCATGCTTGCATCCTTGGAATCAACTCTACTCAGATATGTTGTATAGTTTCTAAAAATATATTGTTGAATTCTATTTACTAATATTTTATTAAGGAGTTTTGCATCTCTACTCATGAGGGATATAGGTTTGTAGTTTTTTGTTTTAATTAATTCATTAATTTCTAAATAGAGATGGGATCTCACCAGGTTACACACGTTAGTCTCTGGAACTCCTGGGCTCAAGCAACCCTTCCACCTCAGCCTCCCGAAGTGCTGGGATTACAGATGTGAGCCACTATGCCTGCCCTATTTTTAAATATTTTCTTTGATTTTGGCATTAGGCAGATATTAACTTCATAAAATGCATTGGGAAATATTCCCTTCTCCTCTATTTTCTAAAAGAGATTGTGTACAACTGGTGTTAACTTTTTAAGCATTTGGCAGGAGTCTCCAATGAAACCATCTGGCCCTGAATTTTTCCTTTTTGGAGTTTTAAAATTATGAATTCAATTTCTTTAATAGTTATGCAGCTATTCAAATTATCTATTTCATATGTGTGGGTTGTGGTAGTTTCCTTATTCCTCATACTAAGTACAACTGACAGTCCTGGGTACTATATATGAAACAAACATCAAGACTTGAAGGACAGAGAACAGCAGACTGACCAGGAACCTCAGGACCACAGGGATGACTGCGTGGTGAGTTCCCTGGATTTTCTTTTTGCCTCATAGTCAACAAACTATTATTTAATATTTAAATTTATTCAAACTTTCTTAATTTTTTTTTGATACAATGTTATATCCAAGAAATGTATGTATTTGTCTTTAGTTTAACCACATTTAAATAACTCTTCTGGGCTCATGTACCATGCCAGGTATCCACACTACACAAAGGTCTTGAAACTACGTTTGCAAAATTATCACTGAGACAGTGAAAAAGATCTAACTTAACTGACTCCATCTTGCTTCTAACCTGTAAGCTGTCCTTGTTCATTCCTGAGTGTAGGCTGAGCTAACTTTGGGAGAAATTCAGTTTATAGTTTAAAACAAAGACGAAAACAACCCTTTCCCAAAACAAACCTCCTTCTTGCCTGGAGACTAGATTGCCTTTTAGGACTAACATTAGCCACAAGATTGGAAATTACCATTTAGGAGTCAGGTAGCTGGAGGCTACAAGATTCTGACCCTCCCTAAACTGCTCCTAATATCAGTGCTTGAGATATTTTGCAGGCCCTGTACTTGATGGATCAGCTGGCACCACCCAGATCAATAAACTGGCTCATCTGATCTTGTGGCCCCCAACCAGGAACAGACTCAATCCAAGAAGACATCTCAGATTCCCTAAGATTTCACCCCTGACCAATCAGCACTCCCGGCTCACTGGCTTTCCCCCACCCACCAAGTTGTCCTTAAAAACTCTGATCCCTAAATACTCTGGAAGACTGAATTGAGTAATAATACAGCTCTGGTCTCCCTCACAGCCAGCTCTGCGTGAATTACTCTGTTTTGCAATTCCCCTGTCTTGATATATTGGCTTTGTCTAGGCAGCAGGCAAGGTGAACCCCACTGAGCAGTTCCAGTCTCCCTCTCTCCCTTTTTTTTTGTTTTTTTTTTGAGACAAAGTTTCACTCTTGTCACCCAGGCTGGAATGCAGTGGCATGTCTTGGCTTACTGCAACCTCCTCCTCCCAGGTTCAAGCGATTCTCTTGCCTCAGCCTCCTGAGTAGCTGGGATTACAGGCGTGTGCCACCACACCCAGCTAATTTTTGCATTTTTAGTAGAGACAGGGTTTCACCATGTTGGCCAGGCTGGTCTCAACTCCTGACCTCAGGTAATCCGCCCACCTCAGCCTCCCGAAGTGCTGGGATTACAGGTGTGAGCCATAAGCCACTGCGCCCAGCCTTTTTTTTGCGGGGGGGTGGGGTGGGCTGGAGTCTCCCTCTGTCGCCCAGGCTGGAATGCAATGGTGCAGTCTGGGTTCACTGCAACCTCTGCCTCCTGGGTTCCAGCGATGTTCCTGCCCTCAGCCTTCCAAGCAGCTGGAACTACAGGCACCTGCCATCATGCCCGACTAATTTTTGTATTTTTGTAGAGACAGGGTTTCACCATGTTGGCCAGGCTGGTATTTAACTCCTTAACTCAGGTGATCCACCCGCCTCAGCCTCCCAAAGTGCTGGGATTACAGGCGTGAGCCACCGCGCCCGGCCGGTCCAAGATTTTGGGACAAAGTCTCACTCTTGTCCCCCAGGCTGGAGTGCAATGGCATGATCTCGGCTCACTGCCACCTCCGCCTCCTGGGTTCAAGCAGTTCTCCTGCCTCAGCCCCCCGAGTAACTGGGATTACAGGCGCCTGCCACCACACCCAGCTAATTTTTGGGTTTTTAGTAGAGACAGGGTTTTACCATGTTGGCCAGGCTGGTCTCGAACTCCTGACTTCAGGTGATCCACCCGCCTTGGACTCCCAAAGTGCTGGGATTACAGGTGTGAGCCACCGTGCCCGGCCCTGTTGAAGAGTTTTTATAGCACTTAATCTTCAGCTCATCCTCTTCCTACAGGTGGGAAGGTGGGGCCGATAGTTCCCACCCTCTAATCACATTTTTGGTCTTTCTGGTGACCAATCCCATCCTGAGGCTAGCATAGCAGCCCCACTGTGAGTCACCTCATTAGCATAAATTCCGGTGTGAACAAAGGCTTATTATGAACAGCAAAAGATAAAAGTGTCTCCTAAGAAATTCTAAGGCGTTTAGGTGCTCTGTGTTAGGAACCAGGGACAAAGACCAGGTATAGTTCATTTATAACATAATTATAAGGCCGGGCGCGGTGGCTCACGCCTGTAATCCCAGCACTTTGGGAGGCTGAGGCGGGTGGATCACAAGGTCAGGAGATTGAGACCATCCTGGCTAACACGGTGAAACCCCGTCTCTACTAAAAATACAAAAATTAGCCGGGCATGGTGGCGTGCGCCTGTAGTCCCAGCTGCTGGGTAGGCTGAGGCAGGAGAATGGCGTGAACCCGGGAGGCGGAGCTTGCAGTGAGCCGACATCGCGCCACTGCACTCCAGCCTGAGCGACAGAGCGAGACTCCATCTCAAAAAAAAAAGAAAAAAGAAAAAAAACATAATTATAGTTTCCAAGAGGAGACATCATGCCATGGGGATGGGGTGGGTAGGTGGGAAGATTATGGATGGGGAAGCATCAGGTTCAGTCAGGAGGAAGAAAGAGGAGAGTAAAACTGTGGGTAAGTTTATTTATCGAAGTTTGCATAGTAAGGAATGGGAGAGACAGCAAAAGCAGGTTTAAGATTAGCTAGATTGCATAATGTCAGTGGCCCCTGGGGCTTAGGGGCTGTCTCTTAGTTGTCTGATACCTGTCTCTGGGGTGGTTAGGGCAGGTGTATGGTAGCCCAGAGTGTGGAATCCCCATAGAGGAGGTGATTGGGGCTCTGAATCAGCTGGTTTTGTCTACTAAAATTGAGGCTGTTGAGACAGAAATAATTTTACAAGAGATTATTGAAAGCTGAACATGAGGATTGGCCCAGGAAGACCCACCAACAAACTTGCAGTTGTTCTGGAGTCTGTCACTAGGTGAAAGGTTTTGTTTGTTTTTGTTTTGCCTTTTTAATTTTTTTTAATAGAGACGGAGTCTCACTTTGTTGCCCAGGCAGGTCTCAAACTCCTGGCCTCAAGTGATCCTCCTGCCTCAGCCTCTCAAAGTGCCGGGATTAACAGGTAGAGCTGCCACACCCCACCATGGTGAAAAGTGTTTTGTTTTTTTTTTCCTGAGACAGAGGCTTGCTCTGTCGCCCAGGCTAGAGTGCAATGGCACGATCTTGGCTCACTGCAACCTCTGCCTCCCGGGTTCAAGTGATTCTCCTGCCTCAGCCTCCGGAGTAGCTGGGATTACAGGTGCCCACCACCACGCCCAGCTAATTTTTGTATTTTTAGTAGAGACGGGGTTTCACCAGGTTGGCCAGGCTGGTCTCAAACTCCTGAAAAGTTTTTTATAGGAAAGTTTAAAAGAGGGGAGGAGGACTTCTCATACTGGAGTTGTTCTCTTTTCATAGGTGGGTACAATACAGAAGTCGTGATCATTAGCTACAGATTACATCATGTGGGCTAAAAAAAATGCCTACATGCAAGACAATCAGTAGAACTTCATGCTTCAGCTAATCTTAAAATAAATCAGCGCGTCCTATTCAGTGTCAGCAGGCTATGCATTCATCAGTACATCAATAATTTGCAGTACTTTCAATAAGATTCTTTACTCAGAGACAGAATGTCACCATCAAGTCACAAGATCTTCCCAAGAGTGATTAATTTGTAAGCCTGCTTACTTCTAAGGTAAACTGTCAAATGTGACCAGAAGGTTATCAGTTTTTATTTGAAAAGTGTGATCGGCCTGGTGCGGGGTGGCTCATACCTGTAATCCCAATACTTTGGGAGGCCAAGGTAGATGGATCACTTGAGGTCAGGAGTTTGAGACCAGCCTAGCCAACATGGTGAAACCCAGTCTCTACTAAAAATACAAAAAATTAGCCAGACATGGTGGTGCATGCCTGTAATCCCAGCTACTCAGGAGGCTGATGCAGGAGAATCGCTTGAACCTGGGAGGCAGAGGTTGCAGTGAGCTGAGATCATGCCATTGCACTCCAGCTTGGCCTGGGCAACAGAGTGAGACTTCGTCTCAAAAAAAAAAAAAAAAAAAAGAGGCCTGGTGCAGTGGCTCATGCCTGTAAACCCAGCACTTTGGGAGGCCGAGGTGGGCGGATCACCTGAGGTCGGGAGTTCGAGACCAGCCTGACCAACATGGAGAAACCCCGTCTCTACTAAAAATACAAAAATTAGCCAGGCGTGGTGACACATGCCTGTAATCCCAGCTACTCAGGAGGCTGAGGCAGGAGAATTGCTTGAACCCAGGACGGGGAGGTTGCGGTGAGCTGAGATTGCGCCATTGCACTCCAGCCTGGGCAACAAGAGCGAAACTCTGTCTCAAAAAAAGAAAAAAAAAAAAAGTGTGGTCACAGGAGGATAGGAGGTAGACTACTCCTGTAAGGGGCTTGGGGACAACGAGAGAGGTAGGAGGCCAAGGCGAGGTGACTCAAACATAATATCTGGTTGTCTAGAACAATGCATGTCTGACATATGCAGATGTTAAACACAGGTTTACAGACACTAGAAAATGGGTGATACATGTAAACATATATTATCACTACAAATGATAAGTGCTGTATTAGTCTGTTTTCATTCTGCTGATAAAAACATACCTGATACTGAGAAGAAAAAGAGATTTAATTGGACTTATAGTTCCATGTGGCTGCGAGGCCTCAGAATCATAGTGGAAGACAAAAGGTACTTCTTACACAGTGGCGGCAAGAGAAAATGAGGAAGAAGCAAAAGCGGAAACCCCTGATAAACCCATCAGATCTTGTGAGATTTATTCACTATCATGAGACTAACACAGGAAAGACCAGACCCCATGATTCAATTACCTCTCCCAGGTCCCTCCCACAACACGTGAGAATTCTGAGAGATACAATCCAAGTTGAGATTTGGGTGGGGACACAGACACACCATATCATTCCACCCTTGGCCCCTCCAAATCTCATGTCCTCACTTTTCAAAACCAAGCATGCCTTTCCAACAGTTCCCCAAAGTCTTAACTCATTTCAGCATTAACCCAAAAGTCCACAGTCCAAAATCTCATCTGAGACAAGGCAAGTCCCTTCCACCTATGAGGTGTAAAATCAAAAGCAAGCTAGTTACTTTCTACATACAATGGGGGTACAGGTATTGGGTAAATACAGCCATTCCAAATGGGAGAAGTTGGCCAAAACAAAGGGGTTATAGGGCCACGCAAGTCCAAAAATCCAGCAGGGCAGTCATATTTTAAAGCTCCAAAATGATCTCCTTTAATAACAGGTCTCACATCCAGGTCACACTGATGCAAAAGGTGGGTTCCCAAGGCCAGGCACGGTGGCTCACGCCTGTAATCCCAGCACTTTGGGAGGCCGAGGCAGGCGGATCACAAGGTCAGGAGATCAAGACCATCCTGGCTAACACGGTGAAACCCCATCTCTACTAAAAAAAAAATACAAAAAATATTAGCTGAGTGCGGTGGCGGGCGCATGTAGACCCAGCTACTCAGGAGGCTGAGGCAGGAGAATGACGTGAACCCAGAAGGCAGAGCTTGCAGTGAGCCAAGATCGCGCCACTGCACTCCAGCCTGGGCGACAGAGCAAGACTCCGTCTCAAAAAAACAAAAAACAAAACCAAAAAAAGCTGGTTTCCCATGGTTTTGGGCAGCTCTGCCGCTGTGGCTTTGCAGGGTATAGCCTCCTTCCTGGCTGCTTTCACAGGCTGACATTGAGTGTCTGTGGCTTTTCCAGGCACATGGTGCAAGCTGTCAGTGAATCTACCACTGTGGGGTCTGGAGGATGATGGCCCTCTTCTGACAACTCCACTAGGCAGTGCCCCACTAGGGACTCTGTGCTGGGGCTCCGACTCCACATTTCCCTTCTGCACTGCCCTAGCAGAGGTTCTCCATGAGGGCCCCACCCCCATAGCAAACTTTTGCCTGGGCATCCAGACATTTCCATACATCTTCTGAAATCTAGGCAGAGGTTACCAAACCTCAATTCTTGACTTCTGTGCACCCACAGGCTCAAAACCATGTGGAAGCTGCCCAGGTTTGGGGCTTCCACCCTGAGAAGCCACAGCCTGAGCTCTATGTTGGCCTCTTTTCTGCCATGTTTGGAGCAGCTGGGACCCAGGACACCAAGTCCATAGGCAGCACACAGCATGGGTACCCTGGGCCTGGCTCATGAAACCACTTTTTCCTTCTGGGCCTCTGGGTCTGTGATGGGAGGGACTTCCATGAATGTGTCTGACATGGCCTGGAGACATTTTCTCAGTAGTCTTAGGGATTAACATTAGGATCCTTGCTACTTATGCAAATTTCTGCAGCTGGCTTGAATTTCTCCTCAAAAAATGGGTTTTTCTTTTCTACTGCATCATCAGGCTGCACATTTTCTGAACTTTTATGCTCTGTTTTCCTTTTAAAACAGAATGCTTTTGCTGGCCGTGGTGGCTCACACCTGTAATCCCAGCACTTTGGGAGGCCAAGGTGGGGGATCACAAGGTCAAGGGATCAAGACCATCCTGGCCAACATGGTGAAACCCCGTCTTACTAAAAATACAAAAATTAGCCAGGCGTGGTGGTGCGTGCCTGTAATCTCAGCTACTCAGGAGGCTGAGGCAGGAGAATCGCTTGAACCCGGGAGGCAGAGGTTGCAGTGAGCTGGGATTACGCCACTGCTTTCCAGCCTGGCAACAGAGTGAGATTCCATCTCAAAAAAAAAAAAAAAAAAAAGAATGTTTTTAACAGCACTCAAGTCACCCTTTGAATGTTTTGTTGCTTAGAAATTTCTTCCATCAGATACCCGAAGTCATCTCTCACAAGTTCAAACTTCCGCAGATCTCTAGTGCAGGGCAAAATCCCACCAGTCTCTGTTCTAAAACATAACAAGAGTCACCTTTGTTCCAGTTCCCAACAAGTTTCTCAACTCCATCTGAGACCACCTCAGCCTGGACCTTATTGTTCATATCACTATCAGCATTTTTGTCAAAGCCATTCAACAAGTCTCTAGGAGGTTCCAAACTTTCCCACATTTTCTTGTCTGCTTCTGAGCCCTCCAAACTGTTCCAACCTCTGCCTGTTACCCAGTTCTAAAGTTGCTTCCACATGTTTGGGTATCTTTTCAGCAATGCCCCACTCCCAGTAACAATTTACTATATTAGTCCGTTTTCAGGCTGCTGATAAAGACATATCCGAGACTGAGAAGAACAAGAGGTTTAAATAGACTTACATTTCCACATGGCTGGGAGGCCTCAGAATCATGGCAGGAGGTGAAAGGCACTTCTTACATGGTGGCAGCAAGAGAAAACGAGGAAGAAGCAAAAGTGGAAACCGCCGATAAACCCATCAGATCTCATGAGACTTATTCACTATCACGGGAATAGCATAGGAAAGACCAGCCCCCATGACTCAATTACCTCCCCCTGGGTTCCTCCCACAGCACGTGGGAATTCTGAGAAATACAATTCAGGTTGAGATTTGGGTGGGAAAACAGACAAACCATATCAAGTGCTAAGTTAACTGTAGATATGGCAGCCAGGTATTGGCACTGAGCCCAAACTGGTAGTGTCTGAGTTAGCTTTTCTCTTTTTCTGATATGTTAACTCCAGGATTTTTGCAGATGGTATTTATCAAGTTGAGGATGATCCCCTCTATTCCTAGTTTGCTGAGATTTTTATCCTGAATGGGTGTTTAATTCTGTAAAAAGATTTTTATACATTAACTGAAATGATCACGTTTTTCTTCTTTTTTCAATATAAAGAATTATAATAATTGACTTTTGAATGCTAAACCTTATTTCTAGGATAAGCCCACTTGGCCATGATAAACTCAATCCTATAAACGTATTGCCAAAGTAGATCTGCTAATATTTTATCAGAGTTTTGCATCTATATTTGTGAGGTCTTAATTTTCTTGTAGTGTAATGTCCTTTTTTTGTTTGTTTGGTTGGGTTTTTGTTTAGTTTTGTTTTGAGATGGAGTCTTGCTCTGTCACCCAAGCTGGAGTGCAGTGGCGCTATCTCAGCTCACTGCAGCTTTTACTTCCTGGGTTCAAGCAGTTCTCCTGCCTCAGCCTCCTGAGTAGCTGGGATTACAGATGCCACCACAACTGGCTAATTTTTGAATTCTTAGTGGAGATGGGGTTTTGCCATGTTAGCCAGGCTGGTCTTGAACTCCTGACCTCAAGTTTTCCACCTGCCTTGGCCTCCCAAAGTGCTAGGATTACAGGCATGAGCTGCCACTCCTGGACTTAAAAATATATATATATATATATATTCTCTGCTTTGTCACCCAGCTGGAGTATAGTTGCATGGCATGATAATGACTCACTGTAACCTCAAACTTCTGCTGTCATGTGACCCACCTGCCTCAGCCTCCTGAGTCGATGGGACTACAGGAGTGCAGCACCACACCCAGCTTTTCTTGTCTTAATCAAGTTTTGTTCCAGAATCACACAGGCCTCCTAAATAAAGCCGTGAAGCATTTCCTTCTCCTGTATTTTCAGAAAGAGCTTGTCTAGTATTAAGATTATTTCTTCATTATTTGACATAATTCACTAGTAAAGTCCTTTCTATAGGGGGAAGATTTTTTATTGTGAATTAAGCTTCTTTATAGATATAGGACTCTTTACATATTCTATTTCATTGTGTCAGCTTCGCTAATTGCATGTTTCAAGGAATCTGTCTAAGTTTAGTAAGTTTTGAAAGTGAGTTGCAGGCCAGGCATGGTGGCTCATGCCTGTAATCCCAGCATTTTGGGAGGCTGAGGTGGGCAGATCACCTGAGGTCAGGAGTTCAAGACCAGCCTGGCCAACATGGTGAAACCCTGTCTCTACTAAAAATACAAAATTTAGCCGGGCATGGTGGTGGGTGCCTGTAATCCCAGCTACTCAGGAGACTTGAACCTGGGAGGTAGAGGTTGCAGTGAGCTGAGATTGCACCACTGCACTCCAGCCTGGGCAACAAGAGTTAAACTGCGTCTCAAAAAAAAAAAAAAAAAAAAGTGAGTTGTAGACCAAAAGACAGAAAAATAGCTTAAGCATAGAAAACCACATGGTCAAAGATGTGGCATGTAGTTGTGTGTATACACACAAACTGTTTGTTGCAAGAGCGTAAAGGGTGAAAAGTGGTGGAAACAGAGATTGGAGGCTGAACCTGAGTCAGGCACCTCTGAATCCTCTTTTTGTCTAGGCCTCATTCTGGGTCCTGTCTTTAGCCTGACAACTCCAGTGGAAGCTGTTGAGGCCAAGGGAAAACTTCCCCTTCACTCTCTGAATGTAACTGCCCCATGGGTTCACCTTGCCCACTGCCTAGACAGAGCCAATTTATCAAGACAGGGGAATTGCAATAGAGAAAGACTAATTCACACAGAGCTGGCTGTGTGGGAGACCAGAGTTTTTTTATTACTCAAATAAGTCTTCCTGAGCATTCGGAGAGCAGAGTTTTTAAAGACAATTTGGTGGGTAGGGGGAAACCAGTGAGCCAGGAGTGCTGATTGGTCAGGGATGAAATCACAGGGAGTCGAAGCTGTCTTCTTGGGCTGAGTCTGTTCCTGGGTGGGGGCCACAAGATCAGATGAGCCAGTTCATTAATCTGGGTAGTGCCAGCTGATCCATCAAGTGCAGGGTCTGCAAAATATCTCAATCACTGATCTGAGGAGCAGTTTAAGGCATGTAGAATCTTGTAGCCTCCAGCTGCATGACTCCTAAACCATAATTTCTAATCTTGTGGCTAATTTGTTAGTCCCACAAAGGCAGTCTAGTCCCCAGTCGAGAAGGAGGTTTGTTTTGGGAAAGGGCTGTTATCATCTTTGTTTAAAACTATAAACTATAGGCCGGGCGCAGTGGCTCAAGCCTGTAATCCCAGCACTTGGGGAGGCCGAAGCGGGCAGATCATGAGGTCAGAAGATCGAGACCATCCTGGCTAACACGGTGAAACCCCGTCTCTACTAAAAATACAAAAAATTAGCCGGGCATGGTGGCGGGTGCCTGTAGTCCCAGCTACTCGGGAGGCTGAGGCAGGAGAATGGCGTGAACCCGGGAGGTGGAGCTTGCAGTGAGCTGAGATTACGGCACTGCGCTCCAGCCTGGGCAATAGAGAGAGACTCTGTCTCAAAAACAAACAAACAAACAAACAAACAAACAAACAAAATCTACCTCTCTCCAGAATGCAAATACACAGCAGCTTATCTCAGTTGAATGTTCACAGAAAAAAATAAAATAAAATAAAAAATTAAAAAAAAACAATAAAACTATAAACTATAAACTAAGTTCTTCCCAAAGTTAGTTCAGCCTATGCCCAGGGATAAACAAGGACAGCTTGGAGATTAAAAGAAACATGGAGTTGGCTAAGTTAGATCTCCTTCACTGTCTCAGTTATAATTTTTGCAAAGGCGGTGTCATGAAGGTTTGCTGAAAATCACTGACAAGATGCAGATTAATAGGAGAATAGGCATACAAATTTATTTGATCATAGCTTTATGTGAGACGTGAGTCTTCAGAATGAGGACCCAAGGATACAGGGGAAAGTGTCCATTTTTATGCTTAAGTTCCTCACAATGCACAGCCATGCAGAAATATGATAGGACAGAAGGAGTATGGTCTATTGCAATTAGACTGAGTGGGGAAACCCAGCAAGCCTGTCTATCTAGATTCTTCTTGCCCTCTCTGAGCAGCCTTCCTTCCTTCTGCATGTGGGGCAGGACCCTTTCTGGAATGGGGGTCTTATGACATACAGTCAAATAAGATAGGTCAGATAATTTATTTTTTAAATATCTTTTTAATTAAAATAAATATTTTAAAGAGACAGGGTCTCACTATGTTGCCCAGGTTTGATTGGAACTCCTGGGCTCAACCAGTCCTCCTGCCTCAGCTTCCCAAAGTGCTAGGATTACAGGCATGAGCCACCACCCCAGGCCCAGATAATTTCCTTCTGACCAGTTTTTACACAGAAAGGTGGGTTGGTGGTGGGAGAGTTAGAGTAATATTTTTAGGTTTTTTGACTGGCTTTGGAGAAACAGCGTTCAGGTTTCTACGACCCCCTTGGGGAAGAGGGATTGTTTTCTATGGCTAGCCTTGGGGGAGAGGGAAAATGAGAAAAAGAGGGAAGGAAAAGGTCAGAGAAAAACTTTCGCTTCTGAGGCCTTCATTTTGGGGAATTGATTTCTGAGTCTCAACATAGCAAAGATACTACCACACCAGTTTGGAGAGAATTAACCCTCCGCCCTAGATATCTGATTCTCTGGCCTCCCTTCAGCAAAAATCTTACTAAATCAGTTTAGCAAGAATCCCTGCCCCCAACACCCACTCCAGTTCCCCTCTTAAGTAATTTTCCATCCTCTGACCCCCCTCACTCTGCTCCTTAGCTTTCCTTGTTTTTGTTGTATTGAGAGTTTTTTTGTTGTTGTTTATTTTTACTTTTTTTTGAGACGGAGTCTTGCTCTGTCGCCCAGGCTGGAGTGCAGTGGCACAATCTCGGCTCACTGCAACCTCCACCTCCCAGGTTCAAGCAATTCTCCTGCCTCAGCCTCCGTATGAGTAGCTGGGACTACAGGCACATGCCACCATGCTCAGCTAATTTTTGTATTTTTATTAGAGGTAGGGTTTCACCATATTGGCCAGGCTGGTCTCGAACTCCTGACCTCGTGATCCACCTGCCTCAGCCTCCCAAAGTGCTGGGATTACAGGCATCAGCCACCACGCCCGGCCAGAGTTAGTTTAATTTTTATTATTATTATTTTTGAGACGGAGTTTCGCTCTTGTTGCCCAGGCTGGAGTGCAGTGGCTCAATCTGAGCTCACAGCAACCTTCACCTCCCAGGTTCAAGCGATTCTCCTGCCTCAGCCTCCTGAGTAGCTGGGGTTACAGGCATGCACCACCACGCCCAGCTAATTTTGTGTATTTTTAGTAGAGACAGGGTTTCTCCATGTTGGTCAGGCTGATCTCGAACTCCCGACCTCAGGTGAGCCGCCTGCCTTGGCCTCCCAAAGTGCTGAGATTACAGGTGTGAGCCACTGCGCCCGGCTGGTTATTTTTATTTATTTATTTTGAGACATAGTTTCACTCTTGTTGCCCAGGCTGGAGTGCAGTGGCACGATCTCGACTCACTGCAACCTCCCCTTCCGGGTTCAAGTGATTCTCCTGCATCAGCCTGCCAAGTAGCTGGGATTACAGGCATCCGCCACCACACCCCACTAATTTTTGTATTTTTATTAGAGACAGGGTTTCTCCATGTTGACCAGGCTGGTCTTGAACTCCTGACCTCAGGTTATCCACCGACCTCAGCCTCCCATAGTGCTGAAATTACAGGTGTATTCAGAGTTAAATTTAATCTCTCTCCCTGATTGTGGCTGTCTTGACACCAATATCAATAGTCCTGAATAGTCTTTCTTCCTGTTTTAACAAGTGTCTGAATAATTTTTCCCTTAATGAGGCTGCAGTCCTAAGAAGTTTGGATTGGATTTTCTGTGCCTTCAGAGCTTAGAAAAAAATCTAAGCCATGATTAGATTTTTCAGTATGAGACTTAACTTAATGATGACTTTCTGAAGATAAATATATTGGGTTTTTAAATTGTAGTCTAACTTACACAAATGGATTTTTTTTTTTTTTTTTTGAGACAGGGTCTTGCTGTTTCACCCAGGCTGGAGTGCAGTAGTGCCATCCTAGCTCACTGCATCCTCCACCTCTGGAGCTCTAGTGATCCTCTCACCTCAGCCTCCTGAGTAGCTGGGACTATAGGCACGTGCCACCACACTTGGCTAATTTTTGTATTTTTGGTAGAGATGGCATCTCGCCATGTTGCCCAGGCTGGTCTTGAACTCCTGGGCTCAAGAAATCCTCCCACCTTGGCCTCCCAAAATGCTGGGATTACAAGTGTGATATGGTTTGTCTGTGTCCCCATCGAAATCTCAACTTGAATTGTATCTCCCAGAATTCCCATGTGTTGTGGGAGGGACCCAGGGGGAGGTAATTGAATCATGGGGGCTGGTCTTTCCCATGCTATTCTCGTGATAGTGAATAAGTCTCACGAGATCTGATGGGTTTATCAGGGGTTTCCGCTTTTGCTTCTTCCTCATTTTCTCTTGCCGCCCCCATGTAAGAAGTGGCCTTTCACCCTCTGCCATGATTCTGAGGCCTCCCAGGCATGTGCAACTATAAGGCCAATTAAACCCCTTTTTCTTCCCAGTCTCAGATATGTCTTTATCAGCAGCGTGAAAACAAACTAATACAAGGTGTGAGCCACTGTGCCTGGCCACAAAAGGAAATTTAATGGCCACATGTTGTTCCCAAAATGAAAGGACTAGAGAACCAGGCTTAGAAAGGATGAGGAAGCAGGCAAGCCTCAAGGGACCTGGAGCAGGAAGATGGGAAGTCTCTTAAGGGTGAAGTCAGAGGCCATTTTTTTGGTGTCTTTATAGTTCTGTGTAAGGCTCCAGTTCCATCGGCAGTGGGTTTGTCTGTTGGTTTCTTTGGTCCTCCCAGAGTGGCAAACCCCAGCTATGCCTGCACACTGGAATCACCTGGAGAGTTTAAACATTTTTAAATTTCCCAGCCCTACTCCCAGAAAGTCTAACTGAGAGTAATTGGCCTGGGGCTCCTCTGGGTCTTGGATTTTTTATGGAGATGAAGTCTCACTCTGTCACCCAGGCTGGAGGGCAGTGGCACAATCTTGGCTCACTGAAACCTCTGCCTCCCGGGTTCTAGAAATTCTCCTGCCTCAGCCTCCTGAGTAGCTGGGACTACAGGTGCACGCCGCCATGCTCAGCTAATTTTTTTAAAATTTAATTTTATTTTAGTAGAGACAGGGTTTCACCGTGTTGCCCAGGCTGGTTTTGAACTCCTGAGCTCAGGCAATCCACCCACCTTGGCCTCCCAAAGTGCTGGGATTACAGGCATGAGCCACTGCGCCTGCCCGGTCTTGGTCTTTTCTGGAGCTCCTGGGTGCTTCCAGGACGCAAGAGGAAAAACAGCCCTCTCCTGGGGCCCGAGAAAAGTGCACTGGGGGCTGTCCCTGTCCTGTGCTTTGAAAATGGAATTAAAAACAAAATCCCTTCTAAGCTAGAAAACCTGTCCACAAAGTAGAAGAGAAAGAAAACAATTTTATTATCAAATAAGCATGAAATAGAATATATCCATCATAGGCAATCTGCTAAAAGATTGCAAAGACTGAAAGAAATTTCCCTCTTTTGCACAGGCAAGTGGCTGCAACACATTGCAGTAAGTAGGTTTGCAGTGTGGAGTCAGGTGGCAAGTGAGGCCCATCTCCTCTCTGCAAACTGGGAGACAGGGCCATTCTCTTCCTTGATGATTACATTTCAAACTGGGAGACAGGGCCATTCTCTTCCTTGATGATTACGTCTCAAGGAGATGTCTCTTGGGTCCTTGAAACATTTCTGGCATTGGGAGGCAGGCAAGAGGCTTGTTTGGCCATTAGAAGATTTACATACATTTGAAAAGGACAGAGAGGCTCGGGGCAGTGGCTCATGCCTGTCATCCCAGCACTTAATGGGAGGCAGATCACCTGAGGTCGGGAGTTTGAGACCAGCCTGACCAACATGGAGAAACCCTATCTCTACTAAAAATACAAAATTAGCCAGGCGTGGTGGCGCATGCCTGTAATCCCAGCTACTCGGGAGGCTGAGGCAGGAGAATCACTTGAACCTGGGAGGTGGAGGTTGTGGTGAGCTGAGATCGTGCCATTGCACTCCAGCCTGGGCAACAAGGGCGAAACTCTGTCTCAAAAAAAAAAAAAAAAAAAAAAGAAAGAGAAGGAAAAGGTAGCGGGGGTGTGGTGGCTTAACGTGAGATTGTAATCCCAACCCAGCCCTTTTTTCTTTTTTTTTGAGACGAAGTCTCACTCTGTCATGCAATGGCGCGATCTCAGCTCACTGCAACCTCCGACCTCCACCTCCCAGGTTCAGGCAATCCTCTTGCTCCCTAGTAGCTAGGATAACAGGCATGAGCTACCACGCCTGGCCAATCCCAACACTTTGGGCGGCCGAGGTAGGTGGATTGCTTTGAGCCCAGGAGTTCCAGACCAGCCATGGCCGACATGGCAAAACCCCATCTCGGCTGAGCATGGTGGCTCACGCCTGTAATCCCAGCACTTTGGGAAGCCGAGGTGGGCAAATCACTTGAGGTCGGGAGATTGAGACCAGCCTGGCCAACATGGTGAAACCCTGTCTCTACTAAAAGTACAAAAAAAATTAGCCGGGCGTGGTGGTGCATGCCTGTAGTCTCAGCTATTCAGGAGGCTGAGGTGGGAGGATGGCTTGGGCCCAGGAGGCAGAGGTTGCAGTGAAAAGGTAGAAAGAAAGAAAAGGTGAAAAAAAGAAAAGGTGGCTGAATACGGTGGGTGGCTCACACCTGTAATCGCAAAGCTTTGGGAGGCCAAGGTGGGAGTTCGAGAGCAGCCTGGGCAAACATAGTGAGATCCCAGCTGTAATTTTATTTTATTTTTTTGAGACAGGGTCTTACTATATCACCCAGGCTGGAGTGCAGAGGCATGACTACAGCTCACTGCAGCCTTGAACTCCTGGACTCAGGCAATCCTCCCACCTCAGCCTCCCAAGTAGCTAGGACTACAGATGCATGTCACCAAGCCCAGTTAATGTTTTTGCATTTCTTGTAGAGACGAGGTCTCTCTATATCACCCTGGGTGATCTTGAACTCCTGTTCTCAAGTAATCCTCCCACTTTGGCCTCCCAAAGTGCTGGGATTACAGGTGTGAGCCATTGAGCCTAGCAAGACCCCCATCTCCACAAAAGATTTAAAAATTAACCAGTCATGGTGGTGTGTGCCTGTGGTCCCAGTTACTTGGGAGGTCAAGGTGGGAGGATTGCTTTAGCCCAGGAGTTCAAAGTTACAGTAACTTATGATTGCTCCACTGTACTCCAGCCTGGGCCACACAGCAAGATGAAAGAGGAGAGGAGAGGAGAGGAGGGGAGGGGAGGGGAGGGGAGGGGAGGGGAGGGGAGGGGAGGGGCGGGGAAAGGCTGCAGGAGTCTCTTATTTTCTCGGGGAATATTAAGCCTCCTTATTTCTCCTTTGTATGTGCTTTTGCACTGGAAGCCAGGACCCTCATGTGCCTGTCATTGGAGTTGCTCGGTGGGTTCCTGCTATGCAGATTCCTGTCCTGTTGGACACAGGCTCACTCACCAGCCTTCCCTGAAGAGGTTCCATCCTAGAGACGCCAGCAAAGGGCCACAGTGGAATTCTCCACATGTTCCCGCCAGAACCATTGGGTTGATATGTTATTGGAATGCAAGGCTCATCCCTGTCATCAGAGGACTGCTGTCATCCTAGAGTTTGACATAGCAGGACCCTGGAGACACAGCTCTCACTGTGGCCTAACATTGGGATATATGAGGCACCAGTGGCCTATCTGGTGACCTCTGGGACTAAGGGGAGCTTCTGGGTAAGAGCATAGAGAACTTTTTTTTTTTTTTTGAGACAGGGTCTCATTCTGTTGCCCAAGCTGGAGTACAGTGGCCAGATCCTGGCTCACCGCAGCCTCAACTTTCCTGGCTCAACTGGTCCTCCCACCTCAGCCTCCCTAGTAACTAAAACTACAGGCACAAGCTACCACACCTGGCTATTTATTTTTATTTTTATTTTTTATTTTTGAGATGGAGTCTCACTCTGTCACAGAGGCTGGAGTGCAGTGCCGCAATCTTGGCTCACTGTAACCTTCGCCTCCTGGGTAGAAGCAATTATCCTGCCTCAGCCACCCCAGTAGCTGGGATTACTGGCATGAGCCACCACGCCAGGTTGATTTTTGTATTTTGAGTAGAGATGGGGTTTCACCATGCTGGCCAGGCTAGTCTGGAACTCCTGACCTCAGGTCATCCGCCTGCCCTCTCCCAAAGTGCTAGGATTACAGGTGTGAACCACCATGCCTAGTCTAATTTTTTATTTTTTGAAGAGATGGCATCTCCCTATGGGTTCAAGCCCCAGGCTCATCTTGAGCTCCTGGGCTCAAGCAATCCTCCTGCCTTGGACTCCCAAAGTGTTGGGATTCTAGGCATGAGCCACTGCACTTGGCCAGCTGAGAACTTTGGAAGCCAGCAGTGTGCTTTGTGAACGAAGGCTGTTTTCAGTGGTTTATGGCTATACTTCAGGGTTCAAGTGTTGTTATCTCCCTGGCTGCTTGTGAGCAGCTCCCTTGCCCCAGTGGGGGGAAGTCGTGAGTGGCGATGGACAGGCACTGTCTAAGGTTTCCACATTTGACGTTTGATAAGGGCAAACATTATTTTCTCTCCTGGAATGGAAGAAGTTGACAAGGAAGAAAACCCCCAAGTGCTCCTGAGAAACATCGTCCTATCCTTAAGAAAAATATATTGGCTGGGCACAGTGGCTCACACCTGTAATCCCAACACTTTGGGAGGCTGAGGCGGGCGTATCACAATGTCAGGAGATCGAGACCATCCTGGCTAACATGGTGAAACCCCATCTCTACTAAAAATACAAAAAATTAGATGGGCGTGGTGGCAGGCGCCTGTAGTCCCAGCTACTCGGGAGGCTGAGGCAGGAGAATAGCTTGAACCTGGGAGGCAGAGGTTGCAGTGAGCTGAGATTGCACGACTGCACTCCAGCCTCGGCAACAGAGAGAGACTCCATCTCAAGAAAAAAAAAGAAAAGAAAAATATCTTCACACAAGTAAAGTGGCACCAACTTCTTTCACCTTATAAACCCTTTTCCTTTAAATTTACCCATTCGGTAAGCACCAGACCTGGTTTTCAGAGACCCAGAGAAATTTAGAAGAACATACCAATGGTAGGAGATGTATGGGGAAAGAAATAACCTTTTTTGGCTTGGCTCAGTGGCTCATGCTCATAATCCAAGCACTTTGGAGGCCAAGGTGGGAAGATCATTTGAGCCCACAAGTTCAAGATCAGCCTTGGGAGAATAGTGGGGCCCATCTCTTTGAAAAATTTTAAAATTCACCAGTTGTGGTAGTGTGCACCTGTGGTCCCAGCTACTCAGGAGGCTAAGATGAGAGGATCACTTGACCCCAGAAGGTGGAGGTTGCAGTGAGCCGAGATTACACCATTGCATTCCAGCCTAGGGGACAGAGCAAGACCCTATCTCAAAAAAAAGAAAACCCAACCACCTTTTCTTCCCCATCAGTAGGTTCACATCTGAAGCCCCTATAACAAAAGACAGATTAAGAAGAGAAAAGCATACACATTTATCTTATGTAAGTTTTATGAAACACTAGAGCCTTCAGAAATGAAGATCCAAAGAAACAGGGAAACCTATGTGGTTTTTTTGAGAAGGAGTCTCGTTCTGTTGCCCAGGCTGGAGTGCAGCAGCCCAATCTCGGCTCAATGCAACCTCTGCCTCTCAGGTTCAAGTGATTCTCCTGCCTCGGCCTCCCAAGTTGCTGAGAGTACAGGTGCCCTAACCTATGTTTTTTTCTTTTTCTTTTTTTTTTTTTTTTTGAGATGGAGTTTCGTTCTTGTCGCCCAGGCTGGAGTGCAATGGTGTGGTCTCGGCTCACTGCAACCTCGGCCTCCCGGGTTCAAGCGATTCTCCTGCCTCAGCTTCCCGAGTAGCTGGGATTACAGGCATATGCCACCACACCTGACTAATTTTGTATTTTTTAGTAGAGATGGGGTTTCTCCATGTTGGTCGGGCTGGTCTCGAACTCCCGACCTCAGGTGATCTGCCCACCTCGGCCTCCCAAAGTGCTGGGATTACAGGCGTGAGCCACCGCACCCAGCCTAACCTATGTATTTTAATGCTAAGTTTGATGAAGAGTGGACAGGCGTGCAGAAATGTGATTGAACAAAGGGACATGACCTAATGGTAATAGATCGGGGACTTGCAAGACAAGTTTGTTCAGATTCTTCTCTGTGTGCTTGTGTCTTCAGAGATAAGGACATTCCTTTCCTCTGAGTCCAGAGAGGACACCTCAAAAATGAGGGTTTAATGACCTGCTTCAGGGGAAAAGGGTGAAGGGAGGGTGAGGGTGACCTTCCTGCCTTGGCTGTTTTCTCAAATGTCAAGGGGCCACAATTTGGGGTAGCATGTCCTGACCCCTATGAGAGACTTCAAGGAAGATATTCAGTGTGCTCTTGTTATCACCTCATCTCTTGGGATCTGAATAATCAACAACCAGAAAGGTCTTGCATGCTTATGGTGGATTGCCCAGATGGTCACTGTCCACACAAAGTGGTGTTGACAGGATTCAGGGTCTTCCCAGGAGGGCGTATGGTAAAGCCTTGCTGCATGCCATCCTGATGCTCAAACCAGGGTAGAGGACGATGAAACAGCAGTTTCTTTGTGAGGAGACGGACCCCAAGAGGGTGGTTCTGATCCATACCAATATGGTTTGGTTCTGTGTCCCCACCCAAATTTTGTCTGTAATTGTCATCCTTATGTGTCCAGGGAGGGACCTGTAATCCCCACGTGTGGAGGGAGGGAAGTGATTGGATCATGGGAGCGGTTTCCCTTCTGCTGTTCTCGTGATAGTGAGTGCTCACGAGATCTGATGGTTTTATAAGAATCTGGTATTTCCTCTGCTTGCACTTCTCTTTCCTGCCGCCATGTGAAGGTTCTTGTTTCCCCTTCACCTTCTGCCACGATTGTAAGTTTCCTGAGGCCTCCCCAGCCATGTGGAACTGTGAGTCAATGAAACCTCTTTTCTTTAGAAATTACCCAGTCTCAGGTAGTGTATATATATATATAAAATATATATATAATATATGATATATTATGTATATTATATTTAATATAATATATTATATATTATATTTAATATAATATACATAATATATTATATTAAATATGATATATAATATATTATATATTATATTAAATATAATATATTATGTATATTATATTTAATATAATATGTAATATTATATATATTATATTAAATATAATATATTTAATATATATTATATATTAAATATATATAATATATATTATATATTAATTATATAATATAAATATATATTTTTTATATATTATATATTTATATATATTATATATAATATAACTATATATAATATATAATATAAATAATTATATATTTATATTATTTATATATATAAATATATATATAAAATATATATATATATTTATATATAAATATATAATACATAATATATATTCATATATTATATATAATATATAATACATAATATGTATTATATTATATATTATATATTATATATAATATATAATATACATTATATATTATATATATTTATATATAAATGTATATTATATATATATATATATATATATATATTTTTTTTTTTTTTTTTTTTGTGAGATGGAGTCTTGCTCTATCACCCAGGCCGGAGTGCAGTGGCATGAACTTGGCTCACTGCAACCTCTGCCTCCCAGGTTCAAGCGATCCTCCTGCCTCAGCCCCCCAAGAAGCTGGGATTACAGGCATGGGCCTCCATGCCTGGCTAATTTTGTATTTTTAGTAGAGACAGGGTTTTTCCATGTTGGTCAGGCTGGTCTCAAACTTCTGACCTCAGGTGATCCACCCACCTCGGCCTCCCAAATTGCTGGGATTATAGGCCTGAGCCATTGTGACGGCCAATTTTTTTTTTTTTAGTAGAGACTGGGTTTCACTATGTTGTCCAGGCCGGTCTCGAACTCCAGACCTCAGACGATCCACCTGCCTTAGCCTCCCAAAGTGTTGGGATTACAGGCATGAGCCACTGCGCCTGGCATGAGTGCCTTGCTAAAAGAGACCTCTGGGAGTCAGTTTAGTGAGAATCCCTCTTCCCTGAAATCTGGTCACCCTTGATATCAAGTTGATCATCCTCCACCTTTGATAAGGTGATGCTTTCTAAGTCTAAGTCCCTGGCTTGCCTTTAGCAAGAGTCCCATTAGTCTGGGTTAGCCAGAATCTCCTGATCCTTGATGCCTCCTCTTAGTAATTTTCCACCTACTGACCCCATCCTGCTCTTTGGCTATCAGTCCCAGCTGTCTCTCCTGCCTTTGGGGTTCAAGCCTGATCTTTCTCCTCTGTTGCAGTAATCTTGGATAAAGCCTTCCCAATTGTTTTAACAAGAGTCAGAATAATTTTTCTTTAACATGGTTGAGAAGGAAATAGAGAAGTAGCCTGGTGGCTGTTTCTGGTTCTGTTCCTACAAGTAACTGGACTATGGCTAGTGTGACTTTGGGGAAAGAGTTGTCAGTTTCTTGATTTGGTGAATGAACGAGTGGGCAGTGTTTTCAGATTCTTGTCATCCCTTACTCCCTGGCCACAGAAGTACACAATGCAGGGAAAGAATGCGCTGAGGCAAGTAGATGTGGTTATTCCCTGGGGGGCTGGTAGAAAAGTATAAAGTTGAGAATGAAATCCAGGGTTTATCTCTTCATTCTCATTGTTAAGGGAGAACTGCTATGCACTATCAACCACTCTCTGGTGTTGGAGGGAAGAGAGGTGGGGACTTCCAAACCAGGGAGAAGGTCTCAGAGGGGGCGTCTGCACAACACATCCCCGAATTTAAGTAGCACATTAGTGGATACTGCAAGATCACTCCATTTATCTCACCTAATTTTTATTTTTATTTTTTTATTTTTATTTTTTTGAGATGGAGTCTTGCTCTGTCGCCAGGCTGGAGTGCAGTGGCACAATCTCAGCTCACTGCAATCTCTGCCTCCTGGGTTCAAGCGATTCTCCTGCCTCAGCCTCCCAAGTAGCTGGGACTACAGGCACGCACCACCCCGCCCAGCTAATTTTTGTATTTTTGGTAGAGACAGGGTTTCATGATGTTGGCCAGGATGGTCTCGATTTCTTGACCTTGTGATCTACCTGGCTCGGACTCCCAGATTGGTGGGATTACAGGCGTGAGCCACTGCACTTGGCCTATTTTTCTTTTTTTTTTTTGAGATGGAGTCTCACTTTGTCACCCAGGCTGGCATGTGATGGCTTGATCTCAGCTCACTGCAACCTCCGCCTCCCGGGTTCAAGCAATTCTCCCTCGCTCAAGTGATTCTCCCACCTCAGCCTCCCAGTAGCTAGGACTACAGGTGCATGCCACCACAGCCAGCTATTTTTTGTTAGTCACTTCTCAAAAATGAAAGAGGGCTGGATGCAGTGTCTCACGCCTATAATCCCAATGTCTTGGGAGGCTGAGGTGGGAGAATTGCTTGAGCCCAGGAGTTTGAGACTAGTCTGAGCAACATAAGGAAACATGTCTCCATAAAAAATAAAAAAAAATTAGCCAGGCATGGTGGTGCATGCCTGTAGTCCCAGCTACTCAGGAGGCTGAGGTGTGAGGTGTGAGGATTGATTGAGCCCTGGAGGTCGAGGCTGCAGTGAGCCATGATCTCGCCACTGTGCTCCAGCCTGGGCAACAGAGTGAGACTCTGTCTGGAAAAAGTAAAAATACATAATAAAATAGTAAATGGTAGTGCTTTTGATATATACTGCTGATTTTTTTTTTTTTGACAGTCTTGCTCTGTCGCCCAAGCTGGAGTGCAGTGGTGCGATATCAGCTCACAGCAAACTCTGCCTCTCGGGTTCAAGTGATTCTCCTGCCTCAGCCTCCCGAGTAGCTGGGATTAGAGGCACCTGCCACTATGCTGGCTAATTTTTGTATTTTTAGTAGAGACGAGGTTTCACCATGTTGGCCAGGCTGGTCTCGAACTCCTGACCTCAGGTGGTCCATCTGCCTCAGCCTCTCAAAATGCTGGGATTACAGGCATGAGGCACCGTGCCCAGCCATCAAATACAACCTATAGGAAAAAGATTAAAGTGTCCATCTAAGTCAACACAATTTTCATTATTGTTTTTAAAAGTTCTATATGAAACCCAGAATATAAAACGTATAAAATTTTACATTAAGTAGATCCTCTTACTGGATCCTCTTACTAGACTGTGATTTCTTTTCCACCTAGAGACTGGAGAAAATGGACAATTGTCAAGGAAAAAGAGAAAGAGAAGGGAAGTAATAGTATATGTGGGAAGGGGAGTGGCCCTTAAAACCACAGCCCTCATTAGGGAGAGACCGTTAGAACTATAAATACCAGATCAGTTCACAACAAAGAAAACAAAATACAGTTAAGCATCCACATTTGGGGGTGGTGGGGAGTGCAATGATAGTGAATGAGAATATCAATATTATCCATTTTCCTTTTAGACATTAAGAGCTTTACAAGCATGAATTTAAGTTCCCAAATTAGTTGCCAAATATTTAGCTTTTCCAGCCCCAAGTTTCTGATCTCGAAAATGAAAGCGGACAGGCAACTTGAATATTCGTTCTATGCTTCTGTGACCTGTGTGATTTATGGTTTAATAGTATTTATTTATTTATTTATTTATTTATTTTTGAGACAGAGTCTTGCTCTGTCCCAGGCTGGAGTGCAGTGGCGTTATCTTGGCTGACTGCAACCTCTGCCTTCCGGGTTCAAGAATTCTCCTGCCTCAGCCTCCCGAGTAGCTGGGATTACAGGCAGGTACCACTATGCCTGGCTAATATTTGTATTTTTAGTAGAGACGGGCTTTCACCATACTGGCCAGGCTGGTCTCAAACTCGTGACCTCGTGATCCACCCACCTTGGCCTCCCAAAGTGCTGGGATTACAAGCATGAGCCTCCACACCAGGCCACTTTTTTTTTTTTTGAGATGGAGTCTCGCTCTGTTGCTCAGACTGGAGTGCAGTGGCCCGATCTTGGCTCACTGCAACCTCTGCCTCCCGGGTTCAAGCAATTCTCCTGCCTTAGCCTCCTGAGTCACTGGGATTACAGGTGCGTGATACCACGCCTGGCTACTTTTTGTATTTTTAGTAGAGATGGGATTTTACCATGTTGGTCAAGCTGGTCTCGAACTCCTGACCTCATGATCTGCCCGCCTTGGCCCCCCAAAGTGCTGGGATTATAGGCGTGAGCCACTGTGCCTGGCCCGGTTTAATAGTCTTTTTAATAAGGAGAGCTAAGAATTCTTTTGTCTCTTGTGGTATAAGTGATTGTTATTGACTACCAAGAATAAAGGGAAATAATTCTCTAGTCTCCATGAAGTGCCCCCGTTGCAGGAGAGGACGTGAGGGGTTAACACCTCTCTCTCTCCCTGACAGCTGAGGCATTCTGGCTTCTGTTATAATGAGCAGGGGGTGATTTGTCACCTGCTCCTTGCCACTAATGCCCACAAGTTGATTGGTTTCAGGCAGTTTACCTCCCAAGGGGCTGAAGCACATAAATTCACAGTGGAGGCTCTGTCTTATTACCTCATCTGCTAGGACGTCATCTATCCACCTTCCTCCTTAGACAAGACTGATGGAAGTTTCCTTAGCATGCAGAGTTGTTAGTTCTTCGTGTTCCTCCCTGGGGAAGGCTTCTGCTTCCCTTTATGAGGTCTTCAGGGCACCAGTGCATTTTGTGGTGCTGTTCTCAGTTTGATATAAGTTATAACAATCCTGAGTCAATTTCTTTTGCTCAACAAGTCTTTGTAAAAAGGCTGCTCTGCAAAGGTTTCTGCTAGGTGCTGTCAGGAAACGAAACAGGAATAGGATATAACAAGAATGCATCAGTTAGGGATTGCCTTTGGCTGCATATAACAGGAAGCACAAAATAATAGTGACTTGGCCGGGCGTGGTGGCTCATGCCTGTAATCCCAGCACTTTGGGAGACCGAGGCAAGGGGATCATGAGGTCAGGAGATTGAGACCATCCTGACTAACATGGTGAAACCCTGTCTCTAATAAAAATAAAAAAATTAGCCAGGCGTGGTGGCACACACCTGTAGTCCCAGCTACTCGGGAGGGCGAGGCAGGAGAATTGCTTGAACCTGGGAGGCGGAGGTTGCAGTGAGCGGAGATCATGCCAGTGCACTCCGGCCTGGGAGACAGAGCAAGACTCTGTCTCAAAATAGTAATGATAATAATAATAATAGTGACTCAAACTAAAAGGGTTTATGAAAAAGCAGCATGGGACTGGTGGTTTTTGGAGTTTCCCAGCTGGATGCTGTGGTTGAGGTCTCAGTGTCTCCTGCCTGCCTTCCCTCTGGTCCCAAGGTAGCTGCCGGAGCTGCAGCCATGCCACCACAGATAGGAGGAAATGGGAAGCACAGAGGACACAGACAAGTTTGTACTCCCCACGTCCCCCCCACTTTTTTTTTTTTTTTTTTTTTTTTTTTGAGACAGTTTTGTTCTGTTCCACAGGCTGGAGTGCAGTGGTGCAATCTTGGCTCAGTGCAACCTCTACCTCCTGGGCTCAAGTGATTTTCCTGTCTCGGTACCCCAAGTAGCTGGAACTACAGGCGCACACCACCACACCCAGCTAATTTTTGTATTTTTTGTAGAGACGGAGTTTTGCTGTGTTGCCCAGGATGGTCTTGAACTCCTGAGCTCAAGCAATCCTCCCACCTCAGCCTCCGAAAGTGCTGAGATTACAGGCATGAGCCACCACGCCCAGCCCACAGAACTTTTATCATCTTGCAAAACTGTGGAGGGGAGGGAAAAAAGCTTCTCCCCTACCCTTCCAGGTTTACCAGCTGGGGCCCTGGAAATTAAACTGACAAAAGACAGATTAACAAGACAAAAACAAACATAAGTTTGTTAACATGTGCACTGTGCATACACAGGGAGCACTCAGGGATGAGTAACTCAAAGGGGTGGTTAGACATAAGCTTGTATTGCATCTTGACAAAGAACAATATATTCTTAGAGAAGTGATGAGACAGAGGAAAAGATGTCTAGGCTTTTCTAAACAGCAATCCGTGGGAAGGTGAAGATGTGCAGGGAAACTTGGGAAGGAAGATTGTTGTTTTGGCAAGGTTTGTTACCCAGATTCCCCTTGGGTGCTGTCTCTGGGCCAAAAAGAGCCTCAGGTGATTAAGCCTCTAAGCCTGCTTTTAGGCAAATGAGGGGGAGGACAGAGAGCTTTTTTGGCATCTGCTGCTTCTCAATTATTGAGTCTTTGGCTCAAAATAATAATTATGTCAAAAGACATGTTTTGGGATAACACTTTTTTTTTTTGAGACGGAGTCTCGCTCTGTCGCCCAGGCTGGAGTGCAGTGGCACGATCTCGGCTAACTGCAACCTCTGCCTCCCAGGTTCAAGTGATTCTCCTGCCTCAGCCTCCTGAGTAGGTGGGACTATAGGCGCCCACCACCATGCCTGGCTAATTTTTACATTATTGGTAGAGACGGGGTTTCACCATATTGGCCAAGCTGGTCTTGAACCCCTGACCTTGTGATCTGTCCACCTGGGCCTCCCAAAGTGCTGGGATTACAGGTGTGAGCCACCACGCCCAGCCGGGATAACACTTTTTTTTGAGACAACATCTCACTTTGTTACCCAGGCTGGAGTGCAGTGGCTTGATCATGCCTCACTGCAGCCTCAACCTCCTGGGCTTAGGTGATCCTCCCACTTGAGCCTCCAGATTAGCTGTTACTACAGGCATGCAATCTGCCCACCTCCACCTCCCAAAGTGCTATGATTACAGGCATGAGCCACTGCAAGCGTCCTGGGATAGCACATTCTGATGCCCTACGAATGAAACCCTGTACCCATTAAATAATAATTCCCCATTTTTCCTGGCTTTGTTTTGTGGTACAAAATATATATATATTTGGCCGGGCTCAGTGGCTCACGCCTGTAATCTCAGCACTTTGGGAGGCTAAGGCAGGGGATCACAAGGTCAGGAGATGGAGACCATCCTGGCCAACATGGTGAAACCCTGTCTCTACTAAAATTACAAAAATTAACTGGGTGTGGTGGAACATGCCTGTAATCCCAGCTGCTCAGGAGGCTGAGGCAGGAGAATTGCTTGAATCTGGGAGGCGGAGATTGCAGTGAGCCGAGATCGTGCCACTGCACTCCAGCATGGCGACAGGGCGAGACTCTGTCTCAAAAAAAAAACAAAACAAAACACAAACTATATATATATATATATATATAATGTTAGAGACTTTCAAATATGTGTCTTGTTCTCTTGAATTATCCATTGCGGGGGTGAGGAGTAAGTGAGGGACCCAACCCAAACAGTTAGTTCTCCCCATTTACCCCAATCCTGGCTTCTGTCCTCCATCCTACCTACTTGCTGGAGCTCACCACACTTACATAATGTTCGTAATTAGGTGAACGTGCTCTCCACTGGTATGTGTTTCCCGCAAGTGTACTGAAATTTCTCATCTGTTGGTCACCACTTTCTCCTGCACCACCACCTCATTCTTGCTTTATTTGGATTTATTCACTCCTGTGCCTCTGAATTCTGTATCATGAGGCCTCATCAGGTGAGAGGTAGGTATGTATGATTGGTCTGCCATCCTGAATTGAAATTCCTTATTTTTTTAAAACCACTACTTAGTTTTCTGTATTAAAAAGGTGCTATAGTTTATTTAAATTTCCCTTTTGATGAACATTTAGGTTGTTTCCATTTTTCCATTGTGATAAACAATACTTCTATAAACACTTGTATACATGCATGAATGTTTCTATGGGATAGCTTTTTGGAAATGTAATTGTTGTCATAAAGTACATGCATACTGTAAAATGTTGATAGATGCTTCAAAGGGTTCATCTAAAAATTCCATAAAAATTTTCTACCAAAATTGTATGGGGATATGGTCTTCCTCCCCTTTCCATATATGTACATATGCATTGGTCTGCACTGTATGTTATTAATCTTTAATATTTATGCCCATCTAAATAGTTTAAATGATATCTCACTGTTTTACTTTACATTTATCTGATAACTATTAAGAGAAAGCATCTTTTATTGACCATCCATATATATACAGTTGTTTTTTTTTTTGAGATGTTGTCTTGCTCTGTTGCCCAGGCTGGAGTACAATGGTGCGATCTTGGCTCACTGCAACCTCTGCCTCCCGGGTTCAAGCAATTCTCCTGCCTCAGACTCCCGAGTAGCGGGGATTACAGGTGCCTGCCACCACACCTGGCTATTTTTTTGTATTTTTAGTAGAGAAGAGGTTTCACCATATTGGCCAGGCTGGTCTCGAACTCCTGATCTCAGGCCTCTCAAAAGTGCTGGGATTACAGGTGTGAGCCACCGTGCCCGGCCAGTTTATTTTCTTTATAACTTGTGTATTTCATGTCCTAATTAGTAAATACTTTACCATCTAAGACTTATAGAAATATACTCCCTTGGGGCTAGGCACTGTGGCTCATGCCTGTAATCCCAGCACTTTGGGAGGCTGAGGCAGGTGGATCACGAGGTCAAGAAATCGAGACCATCTTGGCCAACATGGTGAAACCCCATCTTTACTAAAAATACAAAAATTAGCTGGGCGTGGTGGCGTGTGTCTGTAGTCCCAGCTATTCGGGAGGCTGAGGCAGGAGAATCACTTGAACCTGGGAGGCTGAGGTTGCAGTGAGCCGAGATCGCACCATTGCACTCCAGCCTGGGCGACAGAGCGAGACTCCATCTCAAAAAAAGGAAGGAAGGAAGTAAGGAAGGAAGGAAAGAGAAATATACTCCCTTGGTTTCTTTCAGTGCTTTTGTAATATGCTTACATCTAGGACCTTAATCAATAAAATAAATTTTAAGGGTGTGTGATCTGAGGAAAATATTGCAGTTTTTCCACAGAGATCATTGTTTCAACACTATTATTTTAAAAATAATCCATTCTGTGGTGGCTCATGCCTGTAATCCCAACGCTTTGGGAGAGCGAGGTGGGAGGATTTCTTGAGCTCAGGAGTTCGAGACCAGCTTGGGCAACATAGTGAGACCCTGTCTCTATAAGAAATAAACAAAATTAGTTGGGCATGGTGGTGTGCACCTATAATCTACTCAGTGGCTGAGGTGGGAGATTTGCTTGAGCACATGAGGTCAAGGCCTGGGCAACAGAGCAAGAGCCTGGCTTTAAAACCAACAATAAATAAAAAATTACTGTGACCTTTGTCATGTACTAAACTCCCATTTGTTGAGTTGCCTCCATCAGTGCGAAAGCCACTAATTTTCGTTTCAATGCCGTTGGCTACTTTGACTTGTGATAGGATTGTGTGCTCTCATTCTTCCTCTCCTTCAACATTTTCCTGGCAGATTTTCTTTCCTTCATTTTCTTTTTTCTTTTCTTTTCTTTCTTTCTTTTTTTTTTTTTTTTTTTTTTTGAGACAGGTCTTTCCCAGGCTAGAGGGCAGGGTCTTGCCTAGGCTGGAGTGTAGTGGTGTGATCTTGGCTGACTGCAGCCTTGACCTCCCAGGTTCAAGCAATCCTCCCACTTCAGCTTCCTGAGTTTCTGGGACCACAGGTGAGGTGCATGCCACTATGCCTGGCTAATTTTGTTTATTGTTTGTAAGGGTAGGGGCCTCACTATGTTGCCCAGCCGGGTCTCAAACTCCTAGACTCAATAGATTAGCCTGCCTTGGCCTCCCAAAGTGCTGGGATTACAGACATGAGCCACCGCAGCAGGCCTATTTTCTTTTCTTTTCTTTTCTTTTTGAGACAGAGTTTTGCTCTTGTCGCCTAGGCTGGAAAGCAGAGGTGAGATCTCGGCTCACTGCAACCTCTGCCTCCCAGGTTCAAGCAATTCTGCCTCGGCCTCCGGAGTAGCTGGGATTACAGGCATGTGCTACCACGCCCCGCTAATTGTTGTTGCTGAGACAGAGTCTTGCACTGTTGCCCAGGCTGGAGTGCAGGGGCACAATATTGGCTAATTGCAACCTGCGCTTCCCAGGTTAAAGAGATTATTGTGCCTCAGCCTCCTGAGTAGCTGGGATTAGAAGTGCCTGACACCACACCTGGCTAATTTTTGTATTTTTAGTAGAGACGGGGTTTCACCATGTTGGCCAGGCTGGTCTTGAACTCCTGACCTCAGGTGATCCACCCACCTAGGTCTCCCAAAGTGCTGGCTTAATGCAATAGGAGGGAAAAAACCAGGGAGTATGAATAATAAAATAGATGACTGTCTTACACACAAAATGCATGACGGTTATTTATGCATTTTATATAACGGAAAAACTAGTGGAACTAACAGGAAAGTTCCATAAGATGGACAGATATAGTTCGAACAAACAATAACCACTGGCTTTTTTTTTTTTTTGAGACGGAGTCTCACTCTGTTGCCCATGCTGGAGTACAATGGTGTGATCTCGGCTCACTGCAACCTCCGCCTACCAGGTTCAAACGATTCTCCTGTCTCAGCCTCCCGAGTAGCTGGGACTACAGGCGCCTGCCACCACTCCTGACCACCCTGGCCAGGCTGGTCTCGAATTCCTGACCTCAGGAGATCCGCCCCCTGCCTGCAAAACATTGCTCCTAACTCCACCTCCTATCCCAAAACCTATAAGAACTAATGATAATCAGCCAGGCACGGTGGCTCAGGCCTGTAATCCCAGCACTTCGGGAGGCCGAAGCAGCCAGATCACGAGGTCAGAAGATCGAGACCATCCTGGCTAACACAGTGAAACCCCGTCTCTAGTAAAAATACAAAAAAATTAGCTGGGCCTGGTGGTGGGTGCCTGTAGCCCCAGCTACTCGGGAGGCTGAGGCAGGAGAATGGCGTGAACCTGGGAGGCAGAGCTTGCAGTGAGCTGAGATTGTGCCACTGCACTCCAGCCTGGGTGACAGAGCAAGACTCCGTCTCAAAAAAGAAAAAAAATTATAATTTTGTACTCTGATATACTCGTCACTGTAAACAGCAAAAATCAAATGGGCACATCTGTAATAAAATAATACATTCAAATAAAAGATATTATAAAATATTTCTTTGGCAATAAAAAGCTTCTAACTTCTCCTGTAGTTAACATTCTAAATTCTGAGAAAAAAATTGTCAGGCCTCTGAGCCCAAGCTAAGCCATCATATCCCCTGTGACCTGCAGGATATGCTCCAGATGGCCTGAAGCAACTGAAGATCCACAAAAGAAGTGAAAATAGCCTTAACTGATGACATTCCTACACTGTGATTTGTTCCTGCCCCACCCTAACTGATCAATGTACTTTGTAATCTCCCCCACCCTTAAGAAGGTTCTTTGTAATTCTCCCCACCCTTGAGAATGTACTTTGTGAGATCCACCCCCTGCCCACAAAACATTGCTCCTAACCCCACCACCTATCCCAAAACCTATAAGAACTAATGATAATCAGGGGGGCACGATGGCTCAGGCCTGTAATCCCAGCACTTTGGGAGGCCGAGGCAGCCAGATCACGAGTTCAGAAGATCGAGACCATCCTGGCTAACACAGTGAAACCCCGTCTCTAGTAAAAATACAAAAATTTAGCTGGGCGTGGTGGCGGGTGCCTGTAGTCCCAGCTACTCGGGAGGGTGAGACAGGAGAATGGCGTGAACCCGGGAGGCGGAGCTTGCAGTGAGCTGAGACTGCGCCAGTGCACTCCAGCCTGGGTGACAGAGCGAGACTCCATCTCCAAAAAAGAAAAAGAACCAATGATAATCCCACCACCCTTTGCTGACTCTCCTTTCGGACTCAGCCCGTCTGCACCCAGGTGAAATAAACAGCCTTGTTACTCACACAAAGCCTGTTTGGTGGTGTCTTCACCCGGACGCATGTGACAAAAATGTCCATAGAATCTTGGGGCAAAAACATTTCCAAACGATATAAAATTCAGTCTGTTTATTGAGATAGAGGAAATTTATCTTGTATGAAGCTACCTAGCTACTCAAAAGCAGTTGAATATTGTGTTTTAGCAATTACAAAAAGAGTACCAATCTTAGATAAAACGTAACCTTCAGGATAGTAGAAGTGTGGAATCTACCAGATTGCTCACTGTGGGGATGAAACCCAATCCGCATGCTGTGCCCAGGATCCTGTGAATAAATCTCTTCTAAGGCATGGAAATGGCATCACTAATTCTTGAGTAGTCTGACAATGTGCCTATTCATAATCAAAAATTTCTTTTTTTTTTCTTCTTGAGACAGGGTCTTGCTCTGTTGCCCAGGTTGGAGTGCAGTGGCGTGATCTCGGCTCACTGCAATCTCTGCCTCCCAGGTTCAAGCGATTCTCCTGCCTCAGCCTCTTGAGTAGCTGGGATTACAGGCGCCCAACACCGTGCTTGGTTAATTTTTGTATTTTTAGTAGAGACGGTTTTCACTATGTTGGCCAGGCTGGTCTTGAACTCCTGGCCTCAAGTGATCCGCCTGCCTCGGCCTCCCAAAGTACTGGGATTACAGGAGTGAGCCACCTTGCCGGCCAGTTTCTCATTTTATTCAATAACTTCTCTTCTGGCTTCATATCCCAGAGTTAGCTTCTCAGAAATGGTTTTTTTTTTTAAGCTACAAGTGCTGGCCGGGCGCGGTGGCTCGCGCCTGTAATCCCAGCACTTTGGGAGGCAGAGGTGGGTGGAACACCTGAGATCAGGAGTTCAAGACCAGCCTGACCAACATGGAGAAACCCCGTGTCTACTAAAAATACAAAATTAGCCTGGGTGGTGGTGCATGCCTGTAATGCCAGCTACTTGGGAGGCTGAGGCAGGAGAATCGCTTGAACCTGGGAGGCGGAGGTTGCAGTGAGCCGAGATCGCACCATTGCACTCCAGCCTGGGCAAAAAGAGCGAAACTCCGTCTCAAAAAAAAAAAAAAAAAAAAAAAAAGCTGCAAGTGCTTTCAGGACACCTGGAATGGCCTTTTGCTCCTCTTCCCCTTCTTAGCCCTGTTAGTCCTTTAGACCTCAGCGTAACCACCACTTTATCAAGGCAGCTTTTTTTGATGCCCAGGCAGGGCCAGACCTTCCTGGTGGGTGCCTAGAGCTCTCTTGACTTCACATTCCAGCCATCTATCACAAGCTTGGCCCTGCATCAAAGCTCCATGGCGCATGGATCGGGCATGCTCCCCCTCCAGCAAAGTATTTCAACCCATATTCATCCATATTTGTGCAACGAATGACTGGGTAGTGTATTAGTTCATTCTTGCATTGCTATAAAGAACTACCTGAGACTGGGTAATTTATAAAGAAAAGAGGTTGAATTGGCTCATGGTTCTGCAGGCTCTATAGTGAGCATGGCTGGGGAGGCCTCAGGAAACTTACAATCATGGCAGAAGGTGAAAGGGAAGCAGGCATGACCTACATGGCTGGAGCAGGAGGAAACGGACGACAGGGGAGGTGCTACACACTTTTAGACAACCAAATCTCGTGAGAACTCACTATCACCAGAATAGCAAGGGGGAATGTCTGCCCCAACAGTCCAATCACCTCTCACCAGGCCCCTCCTCTCACACTGGGGATTACAATTTGCATGAGATTCGGGCGGGGACACAAGTCCAAACAATATCAGATAGGTTTCAGTCTTGAGTTTTATAAAAATTATTGATTTGACTGTGCTATGTTGTGAATGTGTTCCCCAAAATTTATGTGTTGGAAACTTAATCCTCAATGCAGCAGCGTTGGGAGGTGGAACCCATAAGAGGTGATTAGGTCATGAGGGCTCTGCCTTTATGAATGGATGAATGCTGTTATTGCAGGAATGGGCTCCTGATAAAAGAATGAGTCCAGCCTGCTTCCCCTTGCTTGCTCCTGGGTACTCTCTTGCTCTTCCACCTTCTGCCATGGGATGAAGCAGCAAGGAGGCCCTCACAAGATGCAGCCCCTTGAACTTGGACTTCTCAACCTCCAGAACTGTATGAAATTCAATTTTGTTCTGTTTTGTTTTTGTTTTTGTTTTTTTTTAGACAGAATTTTGCTCTTGTTGCCCAGGCTGGAGTGCAATGGCGCCATCTCGGCTCACTGCAACTTCCACCTCTCAGGTTCAAGCAATTCTCCTGCCTCAGCCTCCCGAGTAGCTGGGATTACAGGTGCCCACCACCACGCCTGGCTAATTTTTTGTATATTTGGTAGAGATAGGGTTCTACCACGTTGGCCAGGCTGGTCTCGAACTCCTGACCTCAGGTGCCACCTGCCTCTGCCTCCCAAAGTGCTGGGATTACAGACGTGAGCCAATTTTGTTCTTTATAAATTAACTAGTCTGTGGTATTCTATTGTAAACCAAAAGCAAAATTCTAAGCCTCCCCACCCCTCCCGCCAACCATCTGAATGGACCCTTCCTTTCAGCCAAGGACTTTCCAAAGTTGTCTCAGGCCATGACAGGAAGGGAGGGTTGAACATACCTCATTACACCCTCACCCTGCCGTCTTTTGGGATTCAGGAAAAGCTGACCAGCATTTAAGATCAACACAGATCTTAAGTATAATAAGAAACCTTTACAGTCTGTTCTCACTGAAGCCTGCTACCTGGAGGCTTTATCTGCATGGTACAACTTTGGTCTCTACAACCCCTTATCATTCCTTTATCAAACATTCCTTTCTATTCATTCCAGGTCGTTAGATAATAACTTAACTCTTTCAACCACTTGTCCTGCCTTTCCAGACTGAACCAATGCATATCCTACATGTATTTGATTGATGTCTCATGTCTCCCTTAAATGTGTAAAACTAGGTTGTGCCTTGACCACCTTGGGCACACGCTCTCAGGGTCTCCTAAGGGCTGTGTCGTGGGCCATTGGTCACTCATATTCGCCTCAGAGTAACTATCTTCAAATATTTTACAGATTTTTGACTCATTGTAGACACCCTTAGAGCAGAACAAACAAAGACAAGGCCCTTTTGTGTGTGTGTGTGAGATGATGTTTCACTCTTGCTGCCCAGGCTGGAGTGCAATGGCGCCATCTTGGTTCACTGCCAACTCCGCCTCCCAGATTCAAATGATTCTCCTGCCTCAGCCTCCCAAGTACCTGGGATTACAAGCATGCGCCACCAGGCCTGGCTAATTTTGTATTTTTAGTAGAGACGGGGTTTCTCCTTGTTGGTCAGGCTGGTATCGAACTCCCTACCTCAGATGATCCACCCACCTTGGCCTCCCAAAGTGCTGGGATTACAGGCGTGAGCCACCACGCCCGGCCCTGAAGACAGGGCCATTTAAGGTAGGGTATGAGTAGGAGGTCCCATTGGTTTTGATAGTGCTGCATCAACACCTTTGTTTAGCACCGTCAGTGTTTGTCACATTCATCCCATTTTTCATCCAAAGTCTTCCACCTGCTGGGACAAATTTCTTGACTCTTGCCTCTGTCTCTCCATTTTCTTTTCTTTCCTTCTTTCTTCCTTTCTTTCTCTTTCTTTCTTTCTTTCTTCTTTCTCTGTCTCCCCCCCTTCCTTCCTCTCTCTCTCTTTCTTTCTCTTTCTTTTTTTCCTTCCCTCCTTCCCTTCCTTCCTTCCTTCCCTCCCTCCCTCCCTCCCTCTCTTTCTTTCTTTCAATCTTCCCACCTCAGCACCCCAAGTAGTTGCAACTACAGGGGTATGCCACCACACCCAGCTAATTTTTTGTATTTTTTTTTTTGGTAGAGACAGGGTTTCACTGTGTTGCCCAGGCTGATCTCAAACTCCCACCTCAGCCTCCCAAAGTGCTGGGATTACAGGTGTGAGCCACCGCACCCGGCCATTAAATCACTTTAATGTCGTTGGTATCAGTAAGACCTATACAGGGAAGCTGAGACAGATTATCTGATAAGGATTTGTGGATTGTCCTCTGATTCTGCAGAAGTAATGTCACATGCTACACCCATGCAAAAGGAGCCCCCTTAACCACAGCATTTACCATGACCTGGGTAACAGGCATATTTGGTGGGTGAATATTCCAGTCATCATAAAGCCAGTCCCACAGGGCTTGCATACAAAGCATTTCAGCTGCTTCATCTGCAGGGCTCCACTTAGCATCAAGGTGGAGTCTGGTGGTAAACAGACCTTTCAGTGGCTTTACTCAGTCCACCAGGCTGGCTGTTCCCTAGGGAATTTCCTTTGTGTGTCTGGATCACGTATAGTCATTGGTGATTGTTTCATAGTGAACTGTATCAGCCTAAACTGCTCTTCTACTCTGTGGCATTTAAAACCAAAAATACTGCCCCTAAAAGAGTTACTCTCACAATCCACTTTAGTAAAGTCTCCTCAGGAAGCTGGTGGACTGATTCACAGAATGAAACAACTCCTTCACTCCGTACCCCTGGCTGTAGTCCTTTCTTAGTTTTGCCATCCTGTCACATGGACAACCTTGTTGGTGAGCAGAGGTCTTGGAAGTACTTTTTCTTTTTTTTTTTTTTGAGACAAGGTCTCTCTCTGTCGCCAGGCCAGAGTGCAGTGGCGTGATCTCGGCTCACTGCAACCTCCGCCTCCCAGGTTCAAGTGATTCTCCTGCCTCAGCTTCCCAAGTAGCCGGGATTACAGGCGCACGCCACCACACCCAGCTAATTTTTGTAGTTTTAGTAGAGACAGGGTTTCACCATGTTGGCCATGATGGTCTCAATCTCTTGACCTTGTGATCTGCCCGCCTCAGCCTCCCAAAGTGCTGGGATTACAAGTGTGAGCCACCGCCCCCAGCCAGAAGTACTTTTTCTTTTGGGGGTGGCTTTGAGGCTAGTGGCTGAAGCTTGGACTAACCCACATCTGAGTTTGGTCTAGCCTCAAGGTCCAAGCCAGCACTCTCTTTTAATTTCATTTTAGCTATTACATTCTCACAGTACCCTCGGAATTGTATGTTTAGCATGCTTCTGATTATTTTGCATTTCCTTATGTACCCAAAGGGCCAACTCAAGAGTTGGGTCTAATACCATCTCCAAATTCCATGGGTAACTTTTACCTTTGGTCACTGAATGCAGCCCAGCTGCACTTTCATACCTTGGGTGACCACGTAGCCATCCAGGGATCAAAGGTTCCTGATCTCTCATCCTTTCATCCTTTCTCTTTCCAAACCACTTGTTTCCATGAGTCAGGGCTGTTCTAGCAAATCCCTAGAAATCCATTCTCTAACATCAAATGTATAGGAAAAAACCTACTTTTTTCTCTCAACTTTAGAACACTTCTGTGACCAAATGTGTGAGTTGTTTGCCTACAACAAATTCAATTCAGGTCCTTGGAAGACACCAAATGGGTGTCCTACAATTTAACTCAATTCTGACAACATCTATCTGAGATAGCATCAAATCCCACAGGTTAAGGGCTGTGTCCCACAAGACTGCCCCACCCTCAGCTTCCGCTGCCAATTTCAAATCTAAGTATTGCCTGTATTTCTGACAAACAAGCTATACATCCAGCATTCCTAAGACCCCCTTCTTGGGCTTGACAATTTGCTAGAATGGCTTACAGAATTTAGGAAAATGGTCTATTTACTAGATTGTGGGTTTATTATAAAGGATACAACTCAGGAACAGTCAGATGAAGAGATACATAGGGCCAGGTCTGGGGGAGGGCGAGGGCTCCATGCTTTCTCCAGGGCACCGCCCTGCAGACCCATCCATGTGTTCACCGACCTGAAGGCTTCTCAGCGTGTTATTGTTTAATCCACTTTCCACTGGTAGACATTTAGGCTATTCCCATTTATTTTGCTCCCACAAACAATGCTGCAATTAATTGCCTACATCTTATGTGCTTAGTGTAGTGTCTTTCTAGGGAAGCACTTCCCAGTCTTGTCGCATGACGGTGCACAGTGGACGTGGCACCGCATGGTGTGGCACACAGGAATCAGTGGACGGAGGAGCTGCTCCCAGCAGGAGGGGCCGATCCCTGGCTGTTCCAGCTGCTCCTGGCCCTGCTCAGACATCCTGAGGACTGAGACTCTAAACCCGGCAGGTCTGCATTCATCTCACAGCACACGAAGAGCTCCAAGTCGGTAAGCTCTGCCCCCAGGGAATGAACCTGACAGGAAAATTACTGAGCCTAGGGACAGTCAGCTCCATGAATTATCATCAAGATGTTCTTCAAAGTGGTTGTAGTAATTCATACTCTCAATGCCTCTTTCATTCTTTTTTGTTTGTTTGTTTGAAACAAGGGATTCGCTATGTTGGCCAAGCTGGCCTCAAACTCCTGTCCTCAAGTGATCCTCCCATCTTGGTCTCTTAAGTAGCTGGGATTACAGTTGTGAGCCACCATGCCTGGTCCAATGCCTCTTTCAATCTGAAGATTGTGTCTTTCTTCATTAGCTTTCTTCAGAAAAGTTAATTATTTATTTTTAAATTTTCTTTCCTTTTCTTTCTTTCTTTTTTTTTTTTTTTTGACAGAGTCTTACTCTTATCATCCAGTCTGGAGTGCTGTGGCACGAATTCGGTTCACTGCAATCTCCACCTCCCAGGTTCAAGCGATTCTCCTGCCTCAGCCTCCTGAGAAGCTGGGATTACAGGTGTGCACCACTAGGCTTGGCTAGTTTTTGTATTTTTAATAGAGACGGGGGTTTCACCATGTTGGCCAGTCCGGTCTCGAACTCCCGACCTCAGGTGATCTGCCTGCCTCAGCCTCCCAAAGTGCTGGGATTACAGGCTTGAGCCACTGAGCCGGGACTATTTATTTTATAATTTTCTATCCTTCATTTTATGTTCTGTTTCTTTCTTTCTGTCTCTCTTCTTTACTTTTTTTTTTTTTTTTTTGGAAACTGATGTTTATTTTCCATCAACTTTATTTCCATGTTGCTTAAGGGCCTGTGCAAGAAGTGCTTAAGACCAATCAGTGGTTGCTGCTACCCACTCAGTGGCCTGAGCAGTGGGAGCTGCAGACTAGACTTCCGTGGCAGGCTGAGCACTCCAGTCTTTAGTAGGGAACTGTGAATAGGCACAGAGGGCACCTGCATACCTTCAAACCAGTCTGCAATCTCAGGCTGAGTAGCAGTGAACTCAGGAGCTAGAGCAGTCCACTCACCCTGAAATTCCTCCTTGGTCACAGCCTTTTCAGCAGCAGCCTGCTCTTCTTTTTCAATCTCTTCAGGATCTCTGTAGAAGTAGAGATCAGGCATGACCTCCCACGGGTGTTCACAGGAAATGGTGCCACGCATGTGCAGAACTTCCCGAGCTGGCATCCACCATATCTGACCCACTGAGGGAGCTCCCTTGTTGTTGCATGGGATGGCAATGTCCACACAGTGCAGAGGAGAATCTGTGTTACACAGAGCGATGGTAGGTAGGTTAACATAAGATGCCTCCGTGAGAGGCTGGTGGTCAGCCCTGGGGTCGGTAACCACAAGAAGCCGTGGCTCCCGGAAGGTTGCCTGGATCTGGTTAGTGAAGGTTGCAGGAGTGAAGCGGCCAGCAATTGGAGTGGCTCCAGTGGCAGCAGCAAACTTCAGCACGGCCCTCTGGCCAGTATTCCTGGAGAATATGACACTGACATCAGCAGGGTATTCAATGGCAACAATGGCATGAGCTGCCAGCAGAAGCTTCTCCCAGGTCCTCTTCAGATTTGTGATGTAGGTGCCATAACTTTTCCTTTTATAGATGTACTGTTTCATCTGGAAGTCAAGATTGGTGCCACCTAAGTGGGTTCCTGCTGCAAGGAACTTAAGGACATCCTTCTTCTTCATTTGCAGGACATCAAGGGCTCCGCACATTGTGAAAGTTTTCCTTGAAGTTACGATGGGAATCCAGAACGCCGTATGGACCCCTCTGTGGGTAGCGCAGAAATAATTTTTGTATTTTCAGTAGAGACGGGGTTTCACCATGTTGGCCAGGCTGGTTGTGAACTCCTGACCTCGTGATCTGCCGTCCTCCGCCTCCCAAAGTGTTGGGATTACAGGCGTGAGCCACCACGCCCAGCCTCTTCTTTCCTTCTTTTCCTCTTTCTGGAATTCCTACTGGGTAGGTGTTGTACCTCTGTATTAATCATCTATATCTCTTATTGTTTCTGGCCTATTTTCTGTTTCCTGTTCTCTTTATTCTCTGTGACCTCCTAAACATTATTGTCCACCCATATTTATTATTTTACATTTTGTGAACCATAATTTTAATTTCCAGAGGCTTTTACTGTGGTTCTTCTCACAGGGCTTATTTTTCACTGTGTCATGTTCTTGTTTTATTGTTTTATGGATGGAATATTTTCTAAAATCTCTCTGGGGATGCTGATCAAAGAAGTTCTGTTCTTTCATGTTCTTTGTTTTATGTTCTTTTTTCTTTGTGAGACGGCGTCTCAGTGCAACCTCCACCTCATGGGTTCAAGCGATTCTCCTGCCTCAGCCTCCTGAGTAGCTGGGATTACAGGCGTCTGCCACCATGCCCAGCTAATTTTTGTATTTTTAGTAAAGACAGGATTTCACCACGTTGGCCAGGCTGGTCTCAATCTCCTGAACTCGTGATCTGCCCGCCTCGTCCTCCCAAAGTACTGGGATGACAGGCCTGAGCCACCGTGCCAGGCCTGTTTTATGTTCTTATGTTCTCTGAATTCTCTCTGTGTTCTTTGAGGTTAAACTTCTATCTTTGTCTTTCTCTCTCTTTTGGAATCCTCATTGCTTTCTTTCATACCACAGGTTTTCTCTAATTCTGCAGCGAGCCTCTGTTAAGCTTTTATATTTGAGAATGAGGGACTATAAAAGCTGACAGAAACTCTGGGACATGAACAGGGACTGCTGCCTTTAGATCACCCTTTGTGGGGAGGCCTTTACTCTGGTCATGCACACCAGCTGCTCAAGTCCCTCCAGACTGTGCACATGATTCTTTGCCTGGAGTCATTACCTGGCTGGATGTCCTCACAGTTCTGTGCATGGGGTGGGGTGGGGATGGGGGTGTTGACTGTTCTACACACAGGTCTTCAATCCTGATTGATTTTCAGCCCTACTGGACTCTCCTGCCTCTAACTGTGGAGCCCTGGCCCCATCCCAGACTCTACAGAGCACAGTAGTTTCTTCCATGGCTCCACCCTCCATCATCCCATCCCACCAGTAGCTGCTTGTCTAGCTGTGGCTTCCTCTGAGTTGTGGTTTCCTCTGCTATTTCCTCCAGCAACGTTCTTCACTCTGGGTTCAGTGTTGCGGAAATGGTCTGTCGTCTTCCCTCTGCAGATGTCATCATCAGCATTGTCCTCATTCTATTTGTGGGTTTTTTTTACACCTGTCCCATTCCTTCACTTGTGTGCTGTTGCTGGAACCTATGGGAGGCTCCTAGCCTATGACAAACCAGGCACAAAGGTCCAAAGAAACTACAGAGCTAAGTGCAGAAACAGAAAGATTCTGATACAAGTGTTCTGATGTAAACATTTAACATATTGAATTGTTTGGGGCATTTGATCCAACTGCAAACACGTACATCCATGATTTAGTTGCTAAGACACATTCTGGCCCTATGCAGAATCTGTAAATGCCTTTCCTCCAACTCTGTAAAATTGAATCTGTGGGCCTGGCACAGTGGCTCACGCCTGTAATCCCAGCACTTTGGGAGGCCGAGGCAGACCGATCACCTGAGGTCAGGAGTTTGAGACCAGCCTGACCAACATGGAGAAATCCCGTCTCTACTAAAAATACAAAAATTGGCTCACGCCTGTAATCCCAGCACTTTGCGGGGGCCAAGGCGGGTGGATCACGAGGTCAGGAGATCGAGACCATCCTGGCTAACACGGTGAAACCCCGTCTCTACTAAAAATACAAAAAAAAAAAAAAATTAGCCGGGTGTGGTGGCCGGTGCCTGTAGTCCCAGCTACTCAGGAGGCCGAGGCAGGAGAATGGTATGAACCCGGGAGGCAGAGCTTGCAGTGAGCTGAGATCGCACCACTGCAACTCCAGCCTGGGTGACAGAGTGAGACTCTGTCTCAAAAAAAAACAAAAACAAAAACAAACAAATGAAAAAAAACAAAATTAGCCGGGCGTGGTGGCACATGCCTGTAATACCAGCTACTCGGGAGGCTGAGGCAGAAGAATTGCTTGAACCCAGGAGGCGGAGGTTGTGGTGAGCCAAGACTGCACCATTGCACTCCAGCCTGAGCAACAAGAGTGAAAATCCGTCTCAAAAAAAAAAAAAAAAATTTGAATCTGCGACCTCAGAGATTCAGTGTTCTAAATCGCTGCCTGTTTTAGAAACCAGCCTGTGTGGCTGAGGCCCTACAGCATGTGATCCTGTCCACATCTGTCATGAGTAGCACAAGGTCAGACATAACCAGATCCATGCAAGTTGGTGTCTTTCCACAAGGCTGGACTTTTATTGATGCTATTTCAGTTATAAAAGCCATGAACTACATGAAGTTCCCACAGAGGCAATTCTCCTTAGTACATCCCATTTACTCAGTAGTCAGAGCCTTGGGCACACAGGCTGAAACCCCTCCACAGGTCAGTCAATACTGCAAACCATACATTAGAGTATACTTAATCAATATATAAATATTGCAGATTAAACATTCCACATCAAACAAAACAACATTTAACATCAAGAGTAAAGGGGAGGCCAGGCACGATGGCTCACGCCTGTAATCCCAACACTATGCGAGGCTGAGGTGGGTAGATCACTTGAGGCCCGGAGTTTGAGACCAGCCTGGCCAATATGGTGAAACCCTATCTCTACTAAAAATACAAAAATTAGCCGGATGTGGCGGTCCAAGTCTGTAGTCCCAGCTACTTGGGAGGCCGAGGCATGAGAATCACTTGAATCTGGGAGGCAGAGGTTGCAGTGAGCCAAGATTTCACCACTGCACTTCAGCCTGGGTGACAGAGAGAAACTCTGTTTCAGAAAAAAAAAAAAAAGAGTAGAGGGGATAGGAAGAGAGTTTCACAAACCAGTCCAAGGAGAGCAATATGGACAGTGTCCTCAGCTGGTCCGGGCACTTGTCAACATCTTGCAAGAAAGAGTTTTTGATGCAGGCCGAGCCTTCAGTGGCAGATGCTGGGCACCGATCACCAGTGACAGCAAGACAGTGTCTGTTAAGACGGCCATTTTGAGCTCATGACGTTCTGCATGTTTTATGGCCACAGAGTCCTCTGGTGAGGACTGATGGTAAAAGAGTGTGCCTGTTTATGTCCTGGTCTGGTTGGGTGCCATCTTTATTAATTAGGTGAACCTCTGGTCCTTGTTGGTGTGGTGCCTTCCGAAATGTAAGATGGAGTCTTTTTCTAAGATGGAGTCACTTATGTCAAGCATGCTCCATACACCCTCTCTCCTGGCGCCGATGGCACTGCCCTGGAGCCCGCTGGAATCGGGGCTGTGGTAGCTTGTGATATGCGGGTGTGGCATTGTGGCCAGCCACCCAGGCTTCATTTTCTGCTGTGCTGGTTTCCCTGACAGCATTTACTGCCAAGCTGCTGGGACCCCTAACTATATCCTGTCACTTGGGCCTTTCATTGAATGACAAATGGCCCAGGGACTTAGTAGTTTAAGATGACAACCATCATTTCATATGTGCAAACTTCTGTAGGTCCAGAGTTGGGCAGGGCTCAGCCAGGTTAGTTTTGCTGCAGGTGATGTCAGTTGGCAGATGGGCTGGGGGCGGGGACCCCTGGGGCTGGCCCAGGCAGGATGGCTAAAGCAGTTGAAGGCTGGACAGACGTCTCTCTTATTCCAAGTGGTCTCTTTCTCAGGGAGCCTTGTCTCTGTGTGGTGCTTAGGGCCATGCTTGTACTAGGGAGGAGTGCACAACGGTGAAGGAGGCAGAAGGAGGATGAGGAGCTGCAGGCTGCCCCTGGCCCAGTCTTGGTAGCCACACCAAGGGACTCCTGCTGCGTGCTCTTGGTCAAAGCCTGTCTTGGGCCAGCCCAATGCAAAGGGAGGGAAGTCCATTCCACCTCTTGGTGGAGGAGGGGCAAGTCACTCGGCAGAAGGGCAGCTGGGGTGGGGATGTTGCTGCAACTTTCTCTGGAAACATAGCCTACACCCTGGGCCCCAGCATGGTCTCTTTCCCTGGGGACAGCCTCTACCCTGGTGAACTCAGTGACCAGTGGCTGAGTCCAGATGCTGGCCTTGGTTACTTGGAGGTGGCTTTGTCTAGGATAAGGAATGTGGCTATGCCTCACCAAGTCCTGAAACAACGGAAATGCCTTTCAAATCATCAAATAAATATTTAGACAGTGTTGTCCTTATCTAATGTTTTTTTCCCCATAAAGAAAAATGATTATTGCAAAGATTTTGTTTTGGTAAGCATTTTCCTGTAGGATTGTGCTCCAAGAGTTACTGTCAGTTTCACTGTTCTTTACTTTTCCCTAGTAGGAGTATAGCGAATGCTACCTGGAACAGGTGCCAATGTTATTTGAAATAAAAAGTATGCAATTTGGTATCTATTCGCCCAAGCTGGAGGTATCAGGGGACTTTAAAACAGAGATGGGCATATAAGAAATAACATTGCTTATTACAACCAGAAATGTACACTACATACCCCTCCAGAAAAAAAAAAGGTCAGAGACATGTATAGAAATAAGTCCTTTCCTTTTTTTTTTCTTTTCTTTTTTTTTTTTTTTTTTGAGAATGAGTCTCGCTCTATCGCCCAGGCTGGAGTGCAGTGGTGCGATCTCGGCTCACTGCAACCTCTGCCTCCCAGGTTCAAGCGATTCTCTCCTGCCTCAGCCTCCCAAGTAGCTAGGATTATAGGCATGTGCCACCACGCCCAGCCAATTTTTGTATTTTTAGTAGAGATGGGGTTTCGCCATGTTGGCCAGGCTGGTCTCGAACTCCTGACCTCAAGTGATCCGCCCGCCTTGGCCTCCCAAAGTGCTGGGATTATAGGTGTGAGCCACCTTACCTGGCCAATCCTTTTATTTTCTATGAAAAATGATGACAGGCAAATGCAAGAGCATGGTGAGCCAGCAGAGCATGGGGAAGACCTCCATCCATTAGGTGAGAAGGCCTGGGGAGAGGATCTGTCCCTTCGGGTGGGTGCTAGACAGAAGACATCCACATTCCTACTTCACTGCCTTCACTGCACAAAGAATTCAGCTTTCTTACCAAAGAGGTAAAAGGTGGGAAATAGCAAAGCCTTCAGTGAATGATTTAGATAGTTTTTCTACAGAGAAAGATCATCCCCTTGCTTTATCAATCTGAGGGAATCATCTTAAAAATTGTCAGCATCTGGAAACATTTTAGCCTTACAGAAAAGATGTGACAGCTACAGATGACTTACGGCCTGATATATTTCTCCCTGTACAAATAAGTGAAGCTTAAATAATGACACACTGGAGATGCTGTAGACATTGAATTCTCTGTAGCAAGCCCTGGGACAGCAGGAGGTTGCCAGGACACAGCTGAATGGGCTTCGTTGGAGGCTGAGGCTCAGCCAAGCAGCTCATTCCAGAGACCTGGGTACAAACCCAAACCCACCTAATTCAAAGAGTGTTGGGTGCTCTCCATGACAAGCAAGGTCTATTAGCTTATTTCGGCCTGCGCTAATACCTGCTACTCTTGTTTTTCCTAAAGTAGAGAGGGTATCCATTACAACGTGAGTGAGGTTGAAGGTGGGGGTTTCTGTTGTGCAGCGGCCTCTTCATTAGGGAACACATTTGACCCTGCATGATTCATGTCCGGACACTTTCTCTTAAAGCAGCGGCCATCGTAAAGAAAAGTAAAAAGTCTTTCAGTAGAATTTGAACCGAAAAAATTATGTTGAATTTCCATATTTGTAGAAGTTCTACCTTCTAACGAAGAAACAACTTTCTTCTGCATAAAAATTTGTACCTGGAGTGTTAACACGATCATCTCAACCTTTTTCCCTCTCTTCATCCTTCTCCTTTCTCTATTATCTCCATCCCGCAAAAATGGGCCACAAAGGCACGTTGAGGGTAAAAGAGAGTGGTAGAAGGCAAAACAGGGCCTTTAGGACAAGTCTTTCGAGAGAACCAAGGTGGTGATGAGGCCAAGGGGTTCATAAGCATGAGGAGTCATTCCTCAAAGCGGCCCTGCAGGGCCACACGGTCAGCTCCCTTCTGTGGGCCGGGCTGGGGGACAGCAGAAGCAGGCACAGCCCACCCTCAAGGGCGCAAGGTTAACAGGGAAGTAGACACACACACAGATAAAGTCAGTACATGAGGTTACTATTGTCCATTCTGCAGATGAGGAAATTGAGTCTCAAGATTCTTAACTAACCTTATTCAAGGTTACACAGTAAGTGTCGGATCCAGGATCCTGGTCTTCTCCCCTTGCACCAACTATTCCTTCCTTTGCATATTATTTTATTTATTTATTTATTTATTTATTTATTTATTTATTGTAGAGACAGGGTTCCACTCTGTTGCCCAGGCTGGTCTTGAACTCCTGGTCCCAAGTGACCCACCTGCCTCAGCCTCCCAAGGTGCTGGAATTACAGGTATGAGCCACTGTGCCTGGCCTTTATTTTATTTTATTTTATTTTATTTTATTTTTTTGAGACGGAGTCTCACTCTGTCCCCCAGGCTAGAGTGCAATGGCGTGATCTTGGCTCACTGCAACCTCTGCTTCCCGGGTTCAGGTGATTCTCCTGCCTCAGCCTCCTGAACAGCTGGGATTACAGGTGCCCACCACCATGCCCAGCTAATTTTTGTGTTTGTTGTAGAGATAGTGTTTGACCATTTTGGTCAGGCTGGTCTTGAACTCCTGACCTCATGATCTGCCCGCCTCGGCTAATTTATTTATTTATTTATTTATTTTATTTTTATTTATTTATTTATTTTTGAGACAGAGTCTCACTCTGTCGCCCAGGCTGGAGTGCAGTGGCATGATCTCGGCTCACTGCAAGCTCCGCCTCCTGGGTTCACGCCATTCTCCTGCCTCAGCCTCCCGACTAGCTGGGACTACAGGCGCCCACCACCACGCCTGGCTAATTTTTTGTATTTTTCAGTAGAGACGGGGTTTCCACCATGTTAGCCAGGATGGTTTCGATCTCCTAACCTTGTGATCCACCCACCTCTGCCTCCCAAAGTGCTGGGATTACAGGCGTGAGCCACTGCGCCCGGGCTCGGCTAATGTATTTTTTTTAGAGACAAGGTCTCACTGTCATCCAGGCTGGGGTGCAGTGGCGCAATTACAGGTGCAGCCTCGAACCTTTCGCATTTTAGAGCACATCATTTGCTCATCTGTTAGTAACATGAATTAGAAAGTCCCTCCCAGAGAGCGATGGACATGGCTTTTATCCTTTTAAGAGCACTTGGGTCTTGGTACAGTGGCTCACGCTTGTAATTCCAGCACTTTGGGAGGCCGAGGTGGAGGGTTCCTTGAATCCAGGAGTTCAAGACAAGCCTGGGCAACACAGTGAGACCCCGTCTCTACAAAAAATACAAAATTTAGCCTGGCGTGGTGACATGCACCTGTAATCCCAGCTACTCAGGAGGCTGAGGTAGGAGGATTGCTTGAGCCATGGAGGTGGAGGCTGCAGTGAGCTGGGATTGCACCACTGTACTCCAGCCTGGGTGACAGAGCAAGATCCTGTCTTAAAAAAAAAAAAGGTGTATATCTATATATGCACTTGGGGAAAAGAAGAATCCTAGATAAAACTCTGAAAACTCTCGCTAACACCCTCTGCCACCCCTGCATCCCACTAGGTAATGTTCCACTGGAGTAGAAGTCCTTCCTCCCAAAAAGAGAGAAAGAAACCGCTGGAGTCCTAGGCTTGATTTTCCCTGGCTGGACCAAGAATGGTGACTTAAAGTTAACTGTCTTCAATAGCAAATACTCACCAGAAGAGAAGAAAGAAGCAAGCTCACGCCTCTAATCCTAGCACTTTGGGAGGCCGAGGCGGGTGGATCACCTGAGGTCAGGAGTTCAAGAGCAGCCCTGTCTCTAGTAAAGATACAAAAATTAGCCAGGTGTGGTGGCAGGCGCCTGTAATCCCAGCTACTCAGGAGGCTGAGGCAGGAGAATCGCTTGAACCCAGGAGGAGGAGGTTGCATTGAGCCGAGATCGCTCCACTGCATTCCAGCTGGGGTGACAGAGCAAGATTCCATCTCAAAGAAACCTGAACAACAACAACAACAAAACCACACACACAAAAAAACAAGATAGAAGTATATTGTCTCACAGTTCTGGAGGCTGGAAGTCTGAAATCAAGGTGTCAGCGAGCTGCACTTCCTCTGAAAGCTCTAGGGGAGATCCTTCCTCTTCTCTTCCAGCTTCTGGTGGCCCAGAGGTCCCCTGTGGCATCATCACTACAATCTCTGTCTCCATCTTTGCATGGCCTTCTCCTCTGTATCTTTGTCTTCTCTTTTGTCTCTTTCTCTCTCTTTAAATTTTATATTGAATAGAGATGGGGTCTCACTGCGTTGCCCAGGCTGGTCTCAAACTCCTGGGCTCAAGTGATCCTCCCACCTTGGCCTCCGAAAGTGCTGGGATTATAGGCATGAGCCACCATGCCTGGCTGCTTCTATCTCTTAATTAATTAATTAATTAATTAACTTATTTATTTATATTTTTTTGAGATGGAGTCTCACTCTGTCACCCAGGCTTGAGAGCAGTGGCATGATCTTGGCTCACTGCAAACTCTGTCCCCTGGGTTCAAGCGATTCTCCTGCCTCAGCCTCCCGAGTAGCTGAGATTACAGGTACCCACCACCACATCCAGCTAATTTTTGTATTTTTAGTAAAGACAGGGTTTCACCGTGTTGGCCAGGCAGGTCTCGTACTCCTGACCTCAGGTGATCCACCCGCCTTGGCCTCCCAAAATGTTGGGATTACAGGCATGAGCCACCGCACCTGGCTGCTTCCATCTCTTAAAAAGACATCCTTCGGCCGGGTGTGATGGCTCACGCCTATAATCCCAGCACTTTGGGAGGCCAAGGTGGGCGGATCACGAGGTCGGGAGATCGAGACCATCCTGGCTAACATGGTGAAACCCCCGTCACTACTAAAAATACAAAAAAAAAAAAAAAATTAGCCAGGTGTGGTGGCGGGCGCTTGTAGTCCCAGCTACTCGGGAGGCTGAGGCAGGAGAATGGTGTGAACCCAGGAGGCTGAGCTTTCAGTGAGCCGAGATTGCACCACTGTGCTCCAACCTGGGCGACAGAGCGAGACTCCGTCTCAAAAAAAAAAAAAAAAAAAAAAAAAGACATTCTTCATTGGATTTAGGACCCATGCAGATAATCCAGGATTATCTTGTCTCAAGATCCTTAATCATGTCTGCAAAGACCCTTTTCCCAATAAAGTCACATCCACAGGCTCTTAGGGATAGGATGTGGATGTATCTTTTGGGAGACCACCATTTAGCCCACTGAATTTATACTGTACCCTAAAATGTGGTCAGATTAAATACAGTGTGAATTCAGCAAAGTGTTTTTTTTGGTTTTTTTGTTTTTTGTTTTTTGTTTTTGAGACAGAGTATCACTCTGTTGCCCAGGCTAGAGTGCAATGGTAAGATCTCCGCTCACTGCAACCTCCCCCTCCTGGGTTCAAGCGATTCTCCTGCCTCAGCCTCCCAAGTAGCTGGGACTTCAGGTGCGTGCCACCACGCTGGGCTAATTTTTGTATTTTTAGTAGAGATGGAGTTTCACCATATTGGCCAGGCTGGTCTCGAACTCCTGACCTCATGATCCACCCACCTTGGCCTCCCAAAGTGCTGGGATTACAGGTGTGAGCCACTGCGCCCAGCCTGTGTCTTTTTGGGGGTTAGGGGGGTTTGAGACAGGGCCTCACTCTGTCGCCCAGGCTGGAGTGCAATGGCACAATCTCGGCTCAGTGCAGCCTCAACCTCTCTGGGCTCAGGTGATCCTTTCGCCTCAGCCTCCGGAGTAGCTTAGACTACAGGTGCATGTCATCATGCCCAGTTAATTTTTGTATTTTTTGTAGAGACGAGGTTTTGCCATGTTGCCCAGGCTGGTCTCGAACTCCTGGGCTCAAGCTATCTGACGGCCTTGGCCTCCGAAAGTGCTAGGATTACAGGTGTGAGCTATTGCACCCAGTCTGAGCAAAGTCTTAAATACAGATAAAGATATTTTAAAAGTAACTTCCAAGTATTACTATTTGGCTGAGATTTTGAGTGTAAGATTTTATTTTCTGGTCTGTTTGCGTTAAACAAAGGTTTAATGCTAGAGAAACACTTCCTCTCCACTCACATGGAGGAGTCCAAGGGGTTGCGCCCAGGCTGGTGTCTGAGTCAGAAACAGTGCTCCTCCCCTCCTCTTGTCAGACCTCTCTGTGGAGGAGAGGGGAAAAATAGGTTTTTCTCTCTATCCATCTTAGGTGCAGTCAAATTAGACTAAGAAAAGACAGATTAGTGAGTGAAAAACAAGGAAGTATATAATGCATGCATTTTGCTTACATGCAGCACTCAGAGGTGGGTGACTCAAAGGGTGGCTAGAATTCGGGTGTATATAGCATCTCAACAAAGAATAATAAATTTGTAGTGAAGTGGCAAGACAAAGGAAAAGGTCTTCAGATTCCTGGGAGTGTCAAATTATAGGAATGCAAATATATGGGCAAGCTAATGGTAGATGAGGGCGCTGTCTCCGGTTGTCACCGGTAATTACCTTTGGTCCTTCCTGGTGGAGAGAGGCCTGGGGACTGTTTTACAAATGTATGCTTTGCTTTTAGGAGAAAGGGGGAGGATAGAGAGCTCTTTCTGTTTCTGCCTTTTTTCAGTTACCTTCAGCTCAAAGTAATGCTTACAACGAAGTGAGTAATTTGTGGGCGGGGGCGGGGAGGGCGCATATTCTTTGATCCGTCACCTGAAAAGTCTGCGAAGTCCTGCGTGGGCCGCCCCTGCCTTGCAAATCAATCCCCTCTTTATCAGTGCACCAGATGTGCCAAGTTGTAAGTGACCTTCTGTGAGGGGCTAAACGTAAATCCCCCTTGTGTTATGGATCACCCATATTAGACCCTCCAGAGGGTCTGACAGTGGTTCAATGGGATAGGTTGCTACCAGGTGCAACCAGACAGGGACAAGCTCTCGGAATGTGAGGCCTTCAGCAGTCAAGGACAATGTTCCCATAGGGGTGAGGCTCCTTTTCCTGAACAACAGTAGCATAAAATGTTATTTATTGTTTTTCCAGATAATAGTGCTGAGAGTACTCCTCATTAGTGGCTTCTTAAGGTTGTATTTCTTCTTTTTATTTTTATTTTTATTATTATTATTATTTTGAGACAGTGTCTTGCTCTGTAGCCCAGGCTGGAGTGCGATGGCACAATCACAGCTCACTGAACCCTCAAACTGCCGATCTCAAGCGATCCTCCTGCCTCAGCTTCCCGAGTAGCTGGGACTACAGGCACATGCTGCCACGCCCAACTAATTTGAAAAATTTTTTGTAGAGGTAGGGTCTCACTATATTGCCCAGGCTGGTTTCAAACTCCTAGCCTCAAGTGACCCTCCCACCTCCGCTTCTCAAAAGGGTTTTATTTCTTGATTAAGCCAGCCCACTAACTCATTTTTCTACTTCTGCTGTGAGCGGTGACCTACATCTCTCTAACCCATGCGTGGCTCAGGATGCGTGGGGTGCCGGGCACAAGCAGGAGGCCCTGCGCACAGAAATAAACTTCAATGGAACTCACGCCTGATGTGCTGAGGGGGAAATTTGGTTTAGTTTTGCCTTTTAAAACCTGAGGCTTCAACAGAAATAAACGTTACTGACTGTGGATGCCTGCTGTTTTTAGGGAAAAAAAATTTTGGTTTAGCTCTGCCTTTTAAATCTGGATACTGTGAAGTACATCTCTATTCACCACCCTTTGCTGAAGACTTACTTAGTGCAGGGCTTTGTGCTGGATTCATAGCATTGCTTCAAGAAATCTACCATTTAATTAAGAAAAGGAGACAAAGGACTGAAGGGGTGAAAACATATGAAAGATAAATAACAGGTAAATAACAGGAAGGAAGGGCAGTGTAAGGTGAAATCCCCAAATGAGTGGTAAATGTCAGCACCACACTTTCCATTGTCATATGGTACTGTGATGCTGTAAAAAGCCAAGATTCAAGTCTTGGGGACCTCTGGCTGCAATATTAAAACTGCCTCCACAGCTGGATCACAGGCCAACTTCACTGCTTCAATTGGATGATGATGAAATTGGACTCAGCACAGTGAAAAACTTAGAAACAACTGGAGCAACAAGCAATGGTGATTATACAGATGCATTCATCAAGTTTTTAAATTTTCAAGTGCAGAAGCCTCATAGGATTAATCAATTAACTGATACTTACTGACAATCTGAATGCAGGACAAAGTGATCCCTGCCTTAATGGAAGTAAGAATGAGAGGCTGAGGCAGGTGGATCATGAGGTCAGGAGATTGAGATCAGCCTGGCCAACATGGTGAAACCCCCATCTCTACTAAAATACAAAAATGAGCTGGGTGTGGTCGTGCATCTGTAATCCCAGCTACTCAGGAGGCTGAGGCAGAAGAATCGCTTGAACCCGGGAGGCAGAGGTTGCAGTGAGCCAAGATCACACCACTGCACTCCATCTAGCCTGGGCGACACAGCGAGACTCCATCTCAAAAACAACAACAAAAAAAACAAAACATAAAAGAATGTTGCTGAGCTGACAAGTCTTGCACCCCTGAGAGCTGGAGAACACCTCCGGAAGTGTTTAATTAAGGCTACATATATGCCAAAGCATTAGAAAAGCCAATGGTCAAGGGAGGCTGGAATTGAAAGAACAAGTCTGAACTGAGTCCTAATAGGCTGTAGAGGAACTCAGCTGGGATTTGAGGACTGCATTCTGAGTTAGTGATTCCTGACACAGGTTTCCTGAATCTTTTTTTTTTTTTTTTTTTTTTTTGAGACGGAGTCTCACTCTGTTGCCCACGGTAGAGTGCAGTGACACAATCTCGGCTCACTGCAACTTCTGCCTCCCAGGTTCAAGCAATTCTCCTGCTCAGCCTCCTGAGTAGCTGGGATTACAGGTGCTCGCCACCATGACTGGCTAATTTTTGTATTTTTAGTAGAGACAGGGTTTCACCATGTTGGCCAGGATGGTCTTGAACTCCTGACCTCATGATCCACCCACCTCGGCCTCCCAAAGTGCTGGGCTTACAGGCATGAGCCACCACACCCGGCCTCCTGAATCTTTGAAATGCTACTTCTGAGAGATACTCGGAAAAAGAAAGAAAGAACAAGAAAAGACAAAGAAAAAAAGGATTTGGGGTCAAATAAGTAAAATGTAGAGTCACAAGGAATTTCCATTAAGAAGACTAGACTGAACTGAAATCACTTTCCAGTTGTCATTCAAATGTCTGCTTTATAGAGATATGAAATTGTACAAATTTAAAATAAGGATGAAGTGAGGAAATGGCCAAAGGCACTTGGCAAGCTAGAGTTTAGGCATGCTGTTAGCCCTAGAGGCAGTGAGGAACAAGTATGAAAGGGAGGTAGGGAAAGAACCCACTGGTTCCAGGGCGACTGCTCCTCCTCCACCTCCTGACATCAAGGCAGTGAGCCTGATCTCAGCTCTAGGCGGCCTGACCACCCAACAGGGGTACAATGGGGGTACAGGGCTCTGGAGAATATTTTTTACAGGGATCTGTCTGCATACAAATGTTGACTAATCAGTGTATTACAAGATTCTTTGGCCCTGTGTGAGGTATGGTGACCTATGGCTAAGGCTCTGGAATATTGGATAGAGGAGAGGCACTTCTCTATTTCTTGCTTATCCAGTCAATGCATGTGAAGTTTCCTAATAGCGCCCCAGCGTGGTCTGTTTCCATTTAGGCCCAGGAATCATCGCTCCATGTTCTGTTTGGCCAAAACACCCCTCCTCCATGACTTCCTATGTCCCACTACGAGATGAAGGTAGCAAATAAACCTCCGCCATTTATGAAAACGTCATCACCGTGTGACAGAGAAACAGCAGCTGTTCGACATTATGACCCAGAGATGTAGAAAAAGGGGAGATTATGTTTAATATAAATACTTCATTATCTCTAAAGTATTTCTTTGCCGAACAATGCACTAAGTGTTTTCTTCCTCTTCCAGTCTCTGCTTAGAACTTATCAACTTTGTGGCCGGGCGCAGTAGCTCATGCCTGTAATCCTAGCACTTTGTGAGGCCGAGGTAGGCAGATCACCTGAGGTCAGGGGTTTGAGACCAGCCTGGCCAACATGGCAAAACCCCATCTCTACGAAAAATACAAAAACTAGCTAGGTGTGGTGGCAAATGCCTGTAATCCCAGCTACTCGGAAGGCAAGAGAATCGCTTGAACCCAGGAGGTGGTGGTTGCAGTGAGCTGAGATCACACCACTGCACTCCAGCCTGGGTGACAGAGTGAGACTCCATCTCAAAACCCCGTCTCTACTACAAATACAAAAAAAAAAAAAAAAAATAGCTGGGCACGGTGGTGCATGCCTGTAATCCCAGCTACTTGGGAGGCTCAGGCAGGAGAATCACTCGAATCCAAGAGACGGAAGTTACAGTGAGCCAAGACAGCGCCACTGCACACCAGCCTGGGCAAGAGAGTGAGATTCTGTGTTTGAGGGATCTGAGCAATTTGATAGTTGTGAGTATTTCTGAGTATCGCCCATGCTGATGGACACATCAGCTGTATTTCAACGTGCTTTGCATGTGATGTCTTATCAGTAAAAGCCTAGCACTAGATATTAAGCAATCTGTGTGAGTCTATTGTAATTAGGCCCCCTCTTGTTTGAAAAATAAAATACACAGTGAGAATCACTACATTAGATTTTGAATGCTATGAATTTAAGTGTGAATATCCTGGTTGTTTTTTGGCTCACCACTGAAGTTATTCAAATGTGATAAGGAAATTGGTTCCCAAAGTGGGAAAGGATCAAAACCATGGAAATGAAAGACGTAATGAGAAACACAGGTGTATTGCTTGGAGACCGCCTAACACAGTTTAGTTGCCAGCCTAACGGGCTAAATTTAGAAGGCAGGAACAAAGCTTGTTTCTTCTCTTGATTTGTGGGATAAAATGGGTCACTGGGCATGAAATAATCAAAATTGCAAGTGGACCAGAACGGCTTCTATGTTATTTGGAGCTTGCCTCCAGGCCTGGGGCCTCCCCTCATGGACCTCAGTTTCCTTATCTAGTTTTTTTAAATTGCGGAGTGTTCCAGCATTGTTCAAGCCTAAGAATGCTCAGAAACCAGAGAACCTCTTTCTTCATGGGAAATTTTTCTTCTCAGAAGTAACCAAAACAGATGAAAACCACGGCTATTCTGGTTGGAAGGTGGTGGGGACAGGCATTTTCCCTCAGCTTTTCATCCTGTGTGGTCCTGAGTACTGGAAGAACCTCTAGTTCCTAAAAAAGCACCATCTGAAAATCCTGGGATGATGTAAGGAGAATTGGCTTTTCCATATCCTCCAAGCTGCATGTTGTTCTGCTTTCTGTTGCTCATGGCAGACCACCCAAAACCGAGTGCCAGGTTTTGGTCAGGAGGCGGGAGCAGGAGTGAGGGGGAAGCTGAGGCCAGAGCTTTTACCGGGGCTTCCATGAGAATGGCAGAGCAGAGGAGGGGAAACAGTTTAGGATGGGCTAGTTCAAATGATTCCAGTAGGCTTTGGGCTTTAGGGGTGGTCTCTAGTTGCCTGGTACCTAGCTCTGGGATGATTCAGGACAGGGGAAAATATTGGCTTGGTGTGTGAGAGTAAGATAAACGGGGTGGCTGGGGTATAGACTTGGAATTGATTGGTTTGCATAGGAAAGACAGGGTCTCAACACAAAGCCCTTGGCTAGCTCTAAGAATGGCTTAACCCCTGGAGGGGCAGTCTCTCCCTGGCCAGCCAGGTTTTTAAGATGTCAAAACATTATAAAAGACCTGGGCATGGTGGCACGTGCCTTGAATCCTAGATGGAAGGATTGCTTGAGGCCAGGAGTTCCAGACCTACCTGGACAACATAGCAAGACCTCATCTCTAAAAAAATAATTATAAGATACAGAAGACAAAAAATGTGACTAATACATAGGAGAACCTGGAGGAAGCCTCATCCAGGCTTTTATGACCCAGCTTTGGAACTCACAATGTCTGTCTCAGCCTGCTGTTTTGGTTGGAGCTAGCCTAAACCCACCCAGATCCGTAGCTGGGTGCCCAGCTATCCCAGTTTGCCAGGGAGTCTTTGCTGTTTTTTTGTTTTGTTTTGTTTGTTGTTGTTTAGACTGAGTTTTGCTCTTGTTGCCCAGGCTGGAGTGCAATGGTGCCATCTCAGGTCACTGCAACCTCTGCCTCCCAGGTTCAAGTGATTCTCCTGTCTCAGCCTCCCAAGTAGCTGGTATTACAGGCATGTGCTACCACACCTGGCTAATTTTTTGTATTGCTTTTTTTTGTGTTTGTTTTTTTGAGACGGAGTCTCGCTCTGTCGCCCAGGCTGGAGTGCAATGGCACGATCTCCACTCACTGCAAACTCCGCCTCCCAGGTTCGTGCCATTCTCCTGAGTAGCTGGGACCACAGGTGCCCGCCACCACGCCTGGCTAATTTTTTGTGTTTTTAGTAGAGACAGGGTTTCACCATGTTAGCCAGGATGGTCTCGATCTCCTGACCTCGTGATCTGCCTGCCTTGGCCTCCCAAAGTGCTAGGATTACAGGCGTGAGCCACCATGCCCGGCCGATTTTTTGTATTTCTAGTAGAGACAGGGTTTCACTATATTGGTCAGGCTGGTCTCAAACTCCTGACCTCAAGTGATTCACCCGCCTTGGCCTCCCAAAGTGCTGGGATTACAGGCGTGAGCCACCGTGCCCAGCCCTTTGCTAGTTTTGGGGACTTTCCTTGCTAGTACTGAGAATACCCTGGGCAAAAAGGGACAATTCAAGGGGAGGAGACCTAGACCTCACCTCTCGGGGAAGAAGCGGCCAGGTCACGTTGTAGGAGTACACACGCGATGGGAGATATTTCTGTAGCTATCTTTGGAAAACACAGCCTGCTATAATGCATCAGGAAGGGAAAGTGTCAACACAGACAGGAGCCAGGGCCTGGAGACTTGCCTGGTTCCCAGGAAGGGCACTGGTTACAAAAAGAGAAAGAAAAAGTTGCCAGAGATACAAGTAGAAGCGAATGCCCCAACAAGATCAGATGGCCATGTAAAAAAGCATTCCAATTCACAGTAAAGTTAGTGCACCTATGCATTTACAGATTCAATCTTTTTTTTTTTTTTTTTTTTTTTTGAGATGGAGTTTCACTCTTGTTGCCCAGGCTGGAGTGCAGTGGCATGATCTCGGCTCACTGCAACCTCTGCCTCTCGGGTTCAAGCGATTCTCCTGCCTCAGCCTCCTGAGTAGCTGGGATTACAGGTGCCCGCCACCATGCCTGGATAATTTTTCGTATTTTTAGTAGAGACAGGGTTTCATCATGTTGGCCAGACTGGTCTTGAACTCCTGACCTCAGGTGATCCGCCCGCCTTGGCCTCCCAAAGTGCTGGGATTACAGGTCTGAGCCACCACCCCCGGCCCAGATTCAATCTTTATTACATATACATTTAGAGTCAAATAGCTTATGACAATAATACAGACATTAAGGCGGTTTCAAGGATTTCACAACCAAGTTTTGCAGTTTATTTCAGTGGCACCTATTAATTACACATCACATCTAAACGTTGTCAGAGATTGGTTATATTTGGCTATATCTGGAAAAGTTCCTCAAGGCAGGAAAAAAAGGCTTTTAAGATATTCCCCTCAGAAATAAGACTTTGTAGCCCCCAAATATGGATTTGCCTTTTCATTCTGAAAGGTGATGAAAGGGGTTGGAGGGGTTGGGTCCAGATGAGCCTGGAGCAGCCCCTGTGTCCTGGGCATCACCACCCTTCCACCACACGGGGACTAGGCGGCAAGAAGAGGGGGTCACAGGAGGCTGAGCACGCACGCAGGATTCTGGGGTGAGCAGCAGGCAGACTCTTCACTGAGAGGGGCTCTCTAGTAATAGATTGCCAAAATGCTTCACACCTGAAGCAATGGTCCTCAAACACTGATGGAAGAAAGAGTCACATTTAGCATAGCAAGAAGGAGAAGAAATATGTCAGAATACACACCTGGAAATGTACAGGAGTACCCAGAGAAAAGCTTCAAATGAACAAAGGAACAGACAGGGAACTTGAGTAGATAAAGAGACATGTTCAGTCCTGAGAGAGGAAGACAGCATTACAAGGATGCCCCTCTCTCTAAGGTAATGTAAAAATTTAAGATGAGGCCGAAAAACAAAAACAAAAGCTTGAATTTTCCCTTTAGCTTAGTGATTTTGGGGGCCCAAGATATTTTCCTGGCTGGGTGCAGTGGCTCACGCCTATAATCCCAACACCTTGGGAGGCCGAGGTGGGTGGGTCACTTGAGGTCAGGAGTTGGAGACCAGCCTGGCCAATATGGTGTGGAAACCCCATCTCTACTAAAAATACAAAAATTAGCCAAGTGTGGTGGTGCACACCTGTAGTCCCAGCTACTCAGGAGACTGAAGCAGGAGAATTGCTTGAACCTAGGAGGCAGAGGTTGCAGTGAGCCGAGATCATACCACTGCACTCCAGCCTGGGAGACAGAGCAAAACTCTGTCTCCAAAAAGAAAAAAAAAAAAAGATATTTTCCTTTCACAATCCTATGGTTAGAAAAATATGTGGTCTTTGACTCTGTGAAAAGGAGAGGGGCTGGAGATTGAGCTTACTAATCACCAATGATTTAATCACTCTCACCTACATAAGGAAGCCTCCATAAAACCCCCTAAACAGTGGGGTTCAGAGAGCTTACTGGTGGGTGAACACCTGGAGCTGCTGGGAGGGTGGGGCCGCTGGAGAGGGCGTGAAGCCTCTGCGCCACCCTATACCTTGCGTCTGCATCTCTTCCATCTGGCTGTTCCTGAGCTGTGTCCTTTACACAAAGCTGGTGATAGTAAAGTGTGTTCCTGAGTTCTGTCAGTCGTTATAACAAATTACCAAAGCTGAGGAGGGGTCATGGGAAACCTCAATTTATAGCCAGTTAGTTGGTCAAAACTACAGGAGACTCAGGACTTGTGACTGGCGTGTGAAGTGGGGACAGTCTGTGGGACTGAGCCCTTAACTTTTGGGATCTTCTGCCATTTCCAGGAAGATAGTCCCAGAATTGGGTAAAATTAATTTCAGGACACCCAGTTGGTATAGGAGACTTGGAGAAATAGTGTTGGAAAAGACACCACACATATGGCATCAGAAATATGATGGAGAAAACCCTTGCTTCTTTTGGTGTCGAAAACGTGAGATTTGCTAGAAAGGCCCTGGCTCACAGAAGCATATGGTTTGGGAAGAGAAAAGGCAAAAGGGTGTGGGATGAGGAACCTTTGACTCCTGGGTGGCCATGTGGTCACCCATGATACAGAGCCATAGCTCTGCTGCAATCCGTTACTAACAGTGAAAGTTACCAATGGAGGCCGGGCATGGTGGCTCACGCCTGTAATCCCAGCACTTTGGGAGGCTGAGGCGGGTGGATCACAAGGTCAGGAGTTCGAGACCAGCCTGGCCAACATGGTGAAACCCCGTATCTACTAAAAATACAAAAAATTTGCCGGGTATGGTGGCAGGAACCTTTAATTCCAGCTACTCAGGATGCTGAGGCAGGAGAATCGCTTGAACCCGCGAGGCGGAGGTTGCAGTGAGCCGAGACCGTGCCACTGCACTCCAGCCTGGGCAATAGAGCAAGGCTCCATCTCAAAAAAAAAAAAAAAAAAAAAAGCAAAATAATAAGAAAAGAGCAAAATATACAATCTCTTGGTTATTACCACCTATATTAGCTAAAATGAAAGTAAATGAGAGTGCCGGGTGGACCTTGAGACTGGACCAGGGTCAGATTTGGGTTGGTCTGAGCTCAGCTACTAGCTTCAGAGCCATCTCCCAAGAGAAAAATATGAGGGGACAAATAGAGTCCCTCTAAGACCTGTGGTCACCAAGAAGGTAGTCAATGTGGGTGGCGGGCAAAACCAAGTTAACTACTGAGATCAGGAGATACATACAGAGAATGGAAGTGACTCATATTGTGAATCAGTATCATCAGCTTCTGAGGAGACTTTACCAACATGAATTCTGAGAATAACTAATTTAGGGGCAGTATCTTTGTTTTTGAAAGCTGCAGAGTGGAAAAGCATGCGTGGGTTGATACAGGACCCACAGCTCACTATAGAACAATCACAGATGGCTGTACATGATTCAGACACACAGGAGGTTATTCCCAAGGGAAGAGCCAGCCTGGTGGACTGGAAAAAAGTCACTGTAAGATCTATTTATCCTGAAAAGGGGGCTTGCCCGACTCCCCCTATAAATGCCAAGTGGAGCACCCCAGCTGACATGCTTCAAATGCAAGCCATGTGGGGGACTGGCCTATGACTGGGATATTCACCCACTGAATATGCCTGTTATCCACGTCATGATAAATGCTATGGTTTAGGGGGTGTTTGATGTGGACACCCCATATAACCTCACTATTGCAAAACTGAGGGAGAGTTTCAAAAGCCTTATCAAATTTGCTGTTTCAGCTTCCTTGCCATGTGTTTTACAGGTGCTAATAAAAATACTGGGTTAATGAATAAGTGAATGAGGAAAGGCAGAGGGGAGAGTCAGGGACCCCTTGATAAGGGATCCCCACACACTGTGGTGCCAGTGCTTGTTGGTGAAGCCCTAACTCAGCAGCAATTATACTGAGAGAATATAGAAATGAAAGGATTGGTGGGATTAGGATGAAAGATTGCATGAAAATTGGGGTATTAAACAGGTTTTATGTGAAGAGGTTGTGTCTCCTCTTCCTGAATGTTTTATGGGAGTGGATATCATGTTTGACTGTGGAATGCCTCCTCTACCTAGTATTGTAAAACCAAAAATTGTTGGGGAAGTCCTAATGGAGGCTTCACTTAGGAATATCAGGATTGATGGGATTAAGGGGAAAGTAAGAATAAAAATGGGTATGTTTGAAGTTGCTGTGTCTCTTTTACCTGAATGGCTTACGGAGATGGACGTGGTATCTGACTGGGGAACTGCTGCTATAAAACAGAAGGCATTAAATTTGCTTTTCAAGCAATATTAATTGGACATGCTGTGTGGGGAGCAGAAAGATTGCCTGAGCTCACACAGTGCGGAGTAGAAGGTGGAAGGCTAGGAGAGACAGACCCTCAGTGGGATAGCCCTGTGTGGAGTATAAAGTGGGGCTAGTGGAGAAAGCCCGTAAGTGCATCCCAGCCACATCTACTGGGCTTTGGACCAGTGAATTTCCATCTGGGGGGCACGTACTAGCTTACTATCAAACATTAATGGAAGCCATCCTATGATAAAAGGACATAAAATAATCTTGAAACTGAAAATACCCATGATGTCCTGAGTGATGTCAGAGAACCATTCTAATGGGGAAGGCAGTGCTCACAGGAGCTTCATAATAAGATGGAAGTGGCTTATACAGGATCATGCTGCCTGGGGCACAAAGGAGCAGAAACTCACAAACAGGGAGCCTCTGTTCCCCCAGGACTGATTCAGAAATTGCATTAGGAGCTGCCAGATCCTATTATCACATGAACCGTGCTCTATAAACTGCTCTTGACTGACCAGCAAAGAACTGGCTGGTGTGTTGATGACAGTTCCAAGGTGAACAGACAGCCTGTTTGGAAAGATACCCCTCTGATTGAGGAAGGTAAAAACAAATCAGCTCAGTGGGCTGAGTTTCTAGCAGTGACGGAAGAATTGAAGAGTGGTAAGAGCCTGTATGTTTCAGTTTTTACCAATTCATGGGTGATGGTCAATGGCCTGGCCGTATGGTCAGGCAGGAGGCTATAGAAACTTGTCCTATTTAAGAGATACTTGTATGGGGCATGGTTCTATGGAAATCACTATGGGGATTTTCTTTTTCTTTTTCTTTTTTGAGACAGAGTCTCACTCTGTCACCCAGGCTAGAGTGCAGTGGCACCATCTCAGCTCACTTCAACCTTCGCCTCCTGGGTTCAAGCAATTCTTGTGCCCCAGCCTCCCAAGTAGCTGGGACTACAGGTGCCTGCCACCATGCCCGGCTAATTTTTGTATTTTTAGTAGAGACGGAGTTTCACCATGTTGGTCAGGCTGGTATCAAACTCCTGATCTCAAGTGCTCCACCCGCCTTAGCTTACTAAGTGCTGGGATTATAGGCATAAGCCACCATGCCTGGCCACTGTGGGAATTTGAGGGGTGCACTAAAGTAAGACATATAGAGGCTATCAGAAGAATGGGTACCTTGAACTTTCAGGTCCAGAAGGTGACTGTAATTGACAAGCAGGTATCCCCATATACTCACTTGAGGTGGCCGTCTGGGTCCATAAAATGACTAGATTTGGGGAGGATTTCAGCAGTGCAGAGATGGGCTGAATCTAGACATGTTTCTCTTGCACTTTTTCAGGCACATAGTGCTGATAGAATTGCTCTGTCTGCCAGGTGCGGTGGTTCACACCTGTAATCTCAGCACTTTGGGAGGCCAAGACGGATGGATCACAAGGTCAAGAGATCAAGACCATCCTGGCCAACGTGGTGAAATCCCTTCTCTACTAAAAATACAAAAAATTAGCTGGGCATGGTGGTGCGCACTTGTAGTCCCAGCTACTCTGGAGGCTGAGGAAAGAAAATTGCTTGAACCTGGGAGGTGGAGGTTGCGGTGAGCCGAGATCGTGCCACTGCACTCCAGCCTGGTGACAGAGCAAGACTCTGTCTTGAAAAACAAAAACAAACAAACAAACAAACAAACTGCTCTGTCTGTAAGCATAAGAGACAGAGACTGCGGATGGCTACGGAGCAGATTCCCTAGTGGGGAGGCCCTGGACACAGCTGGCAAGTGAGACTGATGTGATAGCCCTGGGCGGCTACAAATAGGTCCTAAGAGGAATAGACATTGACTCTGGACTGGGCTTTGCTTACCTGCTAGAAGATGCATGTGCTCAGAGTGCTATAGAAAAACCAGAACAGGAAACATTGCCCAGATTTGGACAGCTGATGGTAATTTCTTCAGACCAAGGACACGGTACAGTCCTTATGTCCAGCAATGGACAGGGAGACATCCTCCTTGGAGTAATAGTTTGATAAAAAAGTGGAACAGGAGGCCAGGTGTGGTAGTTCAGGCCTGTAATCCCAGCACTTTGGGAGGTTGAGGTGGGCGGATCACGAAGTCAGGAGATCAAGACCATCCTGGCCAACATGGTGAAACTCTGTCTCTACTAAAAACACAAAAATTAGCCGGGCATGGCGGCATATGCCTGTAGTCCCAGCTACTTGGGAGGCTGAGGCAGGATTGCTTGAACCTGGGAGGCGGGGGCTGCAGTGAGCCAAGATCGCGCCACTACACTCACTCCAGCCTGGGTGACAGAGTGACACTCCATCTCAAAAAAAAAAAAAAAGGTGGAACCGGCAATTAAAACGTTGGTTGTGTAATACAAGGGGGAGATAAAAATGTGAAAGGCTGGCTGACACACTTTCTTGAGTGTGTGCTCACACTCAACATGAGAAATACTAAAAGAGTGTCCCTCGCCGGGTGCAGTGGCTCACACCTATAATCCCAACACTTTGGGAGCCCGAGGAGGGGGGATCACTTGAGCCCAGGAATTTGAGACAAGCCGGTCAATATAATGAGACCCCTATCTCTACAACGTTTTTTTTTTTTAATTATACTTTAAGTTCTAGGGTACATGTGCACAACGTGCAGGTTTGTCACATATGTATACATGTGCCATGTTGGTGTGCTGCACCCATTAATTCATCATTTAACATTAGGTATATCTCCTAATGCTATCCCTCCCCCTCCCCCCACCCCACAACAGGCCCGGTGTGTGATGTTCCCCTTCCTGTGTCCATGTGTTCTCATTGTTCAATTCCCACCTATGAGTAAGAACATGCGGTATTTGGTTTTTTGTCCTTGCGATAGTTTGCTGAGAATGATGGTTTCCAGCTTCATCCATGTCCCTACAAAGGACACGATCTCATCATTTTTATGGCTGCATAGTATTCCATGGTGTATATGTGCCACATTTTCTTAATCCAGTCTATCATTGTTGGACATTTGGGTTGGTTCCAAGTCTTTGCTATTGTGAATAGTGCCACAATAAACATACGTGTTCATGTGTCTTTATAGCACCATGATTTATAATCCTTTGGGTATATACCCAGTAATGGGATGGCTGGGTCAAATGGTATTTCTAGTTCTAGATCCCTGAGGAATCGCCACACTGTTTTCCACAATGGTTGAACAGTTTACAGTCCCACCAACAGTGTAAAAGTGTTCCTATTTCTCCACATGCTCTCCAGCACCTGTTGTTTCCTGACTTTTTAATGATCACCATTCTAACTGCTGTGAGATGGTATCTCATTGTGGTTTTGATTTGCATTTCTCTGATGGCCAGTGATGATGAGCATTTTTTCATGTGTCTTTTGGCTGCATAAATATCTTCTTTTGAGAAGTGTCTGTTCATATCCTTCGCCCACTTTTTGATGGGGTTGTTTGTTTTATTCTTCTAAATTTGTTTGAGTTCATTGTAGATTCTGGATATTAGCCCTTTGTCAGATGAGTAGATTGCAAAAATTTTCTCCCATTCTGTAGGTTGCCTGTTCATTCTGATGGTAGTTTCTTTTGCTGTGCAGAAGCTCTTTAGTTTAATTAGATCCCATTTGTCAATTTTGGCTTTTGTTGCCATTGCTTTTGGTGTTTTAGACACGAAGTCCTTGCCCATGCCTATGTCTTGAATGGTATTGCCTAGGTTTTCTTCTAGAGTTTTTACGGTTTTAGGTCTAACATTTAAGTTTTTAATCCATCTTGAATTAATTTTTGTATAAGGTGTAAGGAAGGGATCCAGTTTCAGCTTTCTACAAATGGCTAGCCAGTTTTCCCAGCACCATTCATTAAACAAGGAATCCTTTCCCCATTTCTTGTTTTTGTCAGAGATCAGACAGTCGTAGATATGTGGCATTATTTCTGAGGGCTCTGTTCTGTTCCATTGTTCTATATCTCTGTTTTGGTACCAGTACCATCCTGTTTTGGTTACTGTAGCCTTGTAGTATAGTTTGAAGTCAGGTAGCGTGATGCCTCTGGCTTTGTTCTTTTGGCTTAGGATTGACTTGGCAATGTGGGCTCTTTTTTGGTTCCATATGAACTTTAAAGTAGTTTTTTCCAATTCTGTGAAGGAAGTCATTGGTAGCTTGATGGGGATGGCAGTGAATCTATAAATTACCTTGGTCAGTATGGCCATTTTCACAATATTGATTCTTCCTACCCATGAGCATGGAATGTTCTTCCATTTGTTTGTATCCTCTTTTATTTCATTCAGCAGCGATTTGTAATTCTCCTTGAAGAGGTCCTTCATGTCCCTTGTAGGTTGGATTCCTAGGTATTTTATTCTCTTTGAAGCAATTGTGAATGGGAGTTCACTCATGATTTGGCTCTCTGTTTGTCTGTTATTGGTGTATAAGAATACTTGTGATTTTTGCACATTGATTTTGTATCCTGAGACTTTGCTGAAGTTGCCTACCAGCTTAAGGAGATTTTGGGCTGAGACGATGGGGTTTTCTAGATATACCATCATATCATCTGCAAACAGGGACAATTTGACTTCCTCTTTTCCTAATTGAATAACCTTTATTTCCTTCTTCTGCCTGATTGCCCTGGCCAGATATTCCAACACTATGTTGAATTGGAGTGGTGAGAGAGGGCATCCCTGTCTTGTGCCAGTTTTCAAAGGGAATGCTTCCAGTTTTTGCCCATTCAGTATGATATTGGCTGTGGGTTTGTCATAGATAGCTCTTATTATTTTGAGATATGTCCCATCAATACCTAATTTATTGAGTTTTTAGCATGAAGAGTTGTTGAATTTTGTCAAAGGCCTTTTCTGCATCTATTGAGATAATCATGTGGTTTTTGTCTTTGGTTCTGTTATAGGCTGGATTACATTTATTGATTTGCATATGTTGAACCAGCCTTGAGTCCCAGGGATGAACCCCACTTGATCATGGTGGATAAGCTTTTTGATGTGCTGCTGGATTTGGTTTGCCAGTATTTTATTGAGGATTTTTGCATCGATGTTCATCAGGGATATTGGTCTAAAATTCTATTTTTTCGTTGTGTCTCTGCCAGGCTTTGGTATCAGGATGATACTGGCCTCATAAAATGAGTTAGGGAGGATTCCCTCTTTTTCTATTGATTGGAATAGTTTCAGAAGGAATGGTACCATCTCCTCCTTGTACCTCTGGTAGAATTCGGCTGTGAATCCATCTGGTCCTGGACTTTTTTTGGTTGGTAAGCTATTAATTATTGCCTGAATTTCAAAGCCTGTTATTGGTCTATTCAGAGATTCAACTTCTTCCTGGTTTAGTCTTGGGAGGATGTATGTGTCGAGGAATTTATCCATTTCTTCTAGATTTTCTAGTTTATTTGCGTAGAGGTGTTTATAGTATTCTCTGATGGTAGTTTGTATTTCTGTGGGATTGGTGGTGATATCCCCTTTATCATTTTTTATTGCGTCTATTTGATTCTTCTCTCTTTTCTTCTTTATTAGTCTTGCTAGCGTTCTATCAATTTTGTTGATCTTTTCAAAAAACCGGCTCCTGGATTCATTGATTTTTTGAAGGGCTTTTTGTGTCTCTATTTCCTTTAGCTCTGCTCTGATTTTAGTTATTTCTTGCCTTCTGCTAGCTTTTGAATGTGTTTGCTCTTGCTTCTCTAGTTCTTTTAATTGTGATGTTAGGGTGTCAATGTTGATCTTTCCTGCTTTCTTTTGTGGGCATTTAGTGCTATAAATTTCCCTCTACGCATTGCTTTGAATGTGTCCCAGAGATTCTGGTATGTTGTGTCTTTGTTCTCGTTGGTTTCAAAGAACATATTTATTTCTGCCTTCATGGAAGAGCAACTCCAAGACACATAATTGTCAGATTCACCAAAGTTGAAATGAAGGAAAAATGTTAAGGGGAGCCAGAGAGAAAGGTCGGGTTACCCACAAAGGGAAGCCCATCAGACTAACAGCTGATCTCTTGGCAGAAACTCTACAAGCCAGTAGAGAGTGGGGGCCAATATTCAACATTCTTAAAGAAAAGAATTTTCAACCCAGAATTTCATATCCAGTCAAACTAAGCTTCATAAGTGAAGGAGAAATAAAATACTTTACAGACAAGCAAATGCTGAGAGATTTTGTCACCATTAGGCCTGCCCTAAAAGAGCTCCTGAAGGAAGCACTAAACATGGAAAGGGGTAACTGGTACCAGCCACTGCAAAAACATGCCAAATTGTAAAGACCATCGAGGCTAGGAAGAAACTGCATCAACTAATGAGCAAAATAACCAGCTAACATCATAATGACAGGATCAAATTCACACATAACAATATTAACCTTAAATGTAAATGGGCTAAATGCTCCAATTAGAAGACACAGACTGGCAAATTGGATAAAGAGTCAAGACCCATCAGTGTGCTGTATTCAGGAAACCTATCTCAGGTGCAGAGACACACATAGGCTCAAAATAGAGGGATGGAGGAAGATCTACCAAGCAAATGGAAAACAAAAAAAGGTGGGAGTTGCAATCCTAGTCTCTGATAAAACAGACTTTAAACTAACAAAGATCAAAAGAGACAAAGAAGGCCATTACATAATGGTAAAGGGATCAACTCAACAAGAAGAGCTAACTATCCTAAATATATATACACCCAATACAGGAGCACCCAGATTCATAAAGCAAGTCCTTAGAGACCTACAAAGAGACTTAGACTCCCACACAATAATAATGGGAGACTTTAACACCCCACTGTCAACATTAGACAGATCAATGGGACAGAAAGTTAACAAGGATGTCCAGGAACTGAACTCAGCTCTGCACCAAGTGGACCTAATAGACATCTACAGAACTCTCCACCCCAAATCAACAGAATATACATTCTTTTCAGCACCACACCACACCTATTCCAAAATTGGCCACATAGTTGGAAGTAAAGCACTCCTCAGCAAATGTAAAAGAATAGAAATTATAACAAACTGTCTCTCAGACCACAGTGCAATCAAACTAGAACTCAGGATTAAGAAACTCACTCAAAACCGCTCAACTACATGGAAACTGAACAACCTGCTCCTGAATGTCTACAAAATTTTTTTTAAAAAATGGACAGGCATGGTGGTGCACGTCTGTAGTCCCAGCTACTTGGGAGGTTGAGGTGGAAGGATCACTTGAGCTGAGGAGGCTGGGGCTGCAGTAAAGCATGATTGCACCACTGCACTCCAGCCTGGGCAATACAGCAAGACCCTGTCTTGAAAAGAAAAAAAAAAGAATGACCCCAATAGATATTTCTCTCTCTCTTTTTTTTTTTTTTTGAGATAGAGTCTTGCTCTGTCACCCAGGTTAAAGTGCAGTGCACCCAGGCTGCGAGATCTTGGCTCACTGCAACCTCTACCTCCCGGGTTCAAGTGATTCTCCTGCCTTAGCTCCCCAAGAAGCTGGGATTACAGGCACTCACCACCATACCTGAGTAATTTTTGTATTTTTTATAGAGATGGGGTATCGCCATGTTGGCCAGGCTGGTCTCGAACTCCTGGCTCCAGGTTATCTGCCCACCTCAGCCTCCCAAAGTGTTGGGATTACAGGCATGAGCCACCAAGCTCAGCCGATATTTCTCTTTCTGTGGATCTGGGGAAGAGGGGGTGGGGACGATGCTGATATGTCTATGCAATTCTTGCCAACAGAGGAGTACACTGGTTTAACAACTATAATTTTTTCTTTTTTCTCCACCTCACCTCAGTTTTTTTTTCCCCACCAGATGCAATGGTCAGAGGATCAGGCTGTGACTATAGCAGGGATGGTTCCTGAATAAGAAGCCGTAACTACTTTTTTTTTTTTTGAGACAGAGTCTCGCTCTGTCGCCCAGGCTAATTTTTTGTATATTTAGTAGAGATGGGGTTTCACCATGTTAGCCAGGATGGTCTCAATCTCCTGACCTCATGATCCGCCTGCCTCAGCCTCCCAAAGTGCTGGGATTACAGGCGTGAGCCACCGCGCCAGGCCTAGAAGCCGTAACTATATTTTTAAACTTTATGACAGAATTCCAAAAGGCCTGATGGGGTAGGCTGTGCCTTCACCCGATTTGACAAATTGGGGCTAACAGTCAATGCAGCTATCTTGCCTGATGGTGAAAGTAGCCCACTCATCCTGCACCTGTGTAACCTTACCCTCTCTGAATGGGAATGGACTGAGACGACGGCTCTCTCTAGACTATACTGCTGCCTGCAATCTGGACTAGCAGAGTGGCCAAACCTAATGTCCCTCCCAAGGTGGAAAAGTTTGGGTATAAATGAAAAGGAGGAGAATAGCTAAAGGTAAAGAAATGAATAAGTGGGTTATGTAATAAGGGAAACTCAATGTCATATTAATACTTTGAAAATGGCTCAGAGGAAGAGATGATAATGTCTCTTAGCTCAGAGGCCTGAAAGGACAAAGCTATATTTGCAGAGACCACACCTGTTTCCAGAAGCTGACAAGGTGGAATGGCAGCCTGCAAACCTGTGAGATATTTTCATATAATATGATAGACTGGACCAATTATATTTTTTTTCCTTTTTTTTTTTTTTTTTGAGATGAAGTCTCACTCTGTCACCCAGGCTGGAGTGCAGTGGCACGATCTTGGCTCACTGCAACCTCCACCCCCCAAGTTCAAGCAATTCTCCTGCCTCAGCCTCCTGAGTAATTGGGATTACAGGCATCTGCCACTGCGCCCCGCTAATTTTTTCGTATTTTTAGTAGAGACGGGGTTTCACCATCTTGGCCAGGCTGACCTCGTGATCCACCCACCTCAGCCTCCCAAAGTGCTGGGATTACAGGCGTGAGCCACCACGCCCGGCAGACCAATTATTCTTGACTGAAGGGTATTCTAGTAATTTGACAGTGTCTGTTGACTTCTATGATCCTTCACAATAAGGTAGCCATGGTCAAAGACCAGGGAGTGACCTGTGATATAATAAAAAAATAAATATTTGGTCTTTGTCCCCAGTTCCTGGCATACAGCTCTTAAAACCCTTGGAGTGTCCTGAAGGATAGGAGTGTCTTTGTATGCTAACAAGATGACTGATGCCTGGGGTCCCTAAGTAGCTTCAGGATGGGGGCTGGTGGCCAAAAGACCAAGGCAAGATTAGAGGGAAAGGAGCTGGTGGTTGAGTTGATCACCAATTGCCAATGATTATCAATTATGCCTACATAATCAAACCTCCTAATGAAACCTCCCTAAATGACAGGGTTCAGAGAGCTTCTGGGCTGGTGAATATATGGGTGCTGGGAGTGGGTTACCCAAAGAGGACGTGGAAGCTCCACCCTCTTACTACATATTTTGCCCTGTGCAGCTCTTCCATCTGGCTGTTCCCGAGTTGTATCCTTTATAACAAATCAGTAAATAAACTTAACAAATGTTTCCAGGTTCTGTGAGTCCATCTGGCAAATTATCAAACTGAAGGAGATGTTGCAGGAACCCCCGATTTATAGCCAGTCAATCAGAGGTACAGGTGGTCTGGGACTTGTGACTGGCATCTGAAGGGGGGCAGGAGTCTTGTGGGACAGAGCTCTCAACTTGTGGAGTCTGTGCTATCTCCAGGTAGATGGCGTCAGAATTGAATTGAACTGTAGGCCAACCAGCTGGTGTCAGAGAGTTAGAGAATTGGCGTGGAATAAACACTATACATTTGATGTCAGAGTGTGGTAAGGGAGACCCCCGCTCAGCTTCCTATGGCTTTCCTCAGCCTGTAGGAATAGGGGTGAACAGGTGGGATGCTCCTAAAAGTATTCTGAGTGCAAGTATGACTTGCGCAGCCTCTGGATTTTCTGGGCTGCCAATTCTCCTGTCAGGCTCTCTAGCCTCCCCCTCCTCTGGGGGTTCCCACTCACCCTCTCGTAAGTGGTGCAAGGTCAGAGATAACCAGGTCCATGCTCATTTATGTTTTTCCATGATGTCAGACTTTTACTGATGATATTTCAATCACAAAAGCCAAGAGCTTCATGGGATTCTCAAGGAGGCAATTCTCAGTATTCAGAGCTGTAGACACACAGGTTCAAGCTACTCCACAAGTCAGTCAATGTTGTAAATGGTACATAATGGTATACTTCATAGAAAAATGTTACAGAGTAAACATTCCACAACAAAGTAACATTTAATATCAAGAGAAAGGGGATGGGACTTGGTATGATGGCTCATAAAAAATATAATCTCAGCACTTCCGGAGGCCAAGGTGGGAGGATCACTTGAATGCAAGAGTTGGAGACCATCCAGGAAAACATAATGAGATACCATCTCTACAAACAAATTAAAAAAAATTTTTTTTTTTTTGAGACAGAGTCTCACTCTGTTGCCCAGGCTGGAGTGCAGTGGTGTGATCTCGGCTAACTGCAACCTCTGCCTCCCAGGTTCAAGCGATTCTCCTGCCTCAGCCTCCCAAATAGCTGGGATTACAGGCACTCGCCACCACGCCCAGCTAAATTTTGTATTTTAAATAGAGACAGGGTTTTGCCATGTTGGCCAGGCTGGTCTCGAACTCCTGACCTCACGTGATCCACCCACCTCGGCCTCCCAAAGTGCTGGGATTACAGGTGTGAGCCAGTGCGCCAAAGTTGGTTTTTTTTTTTTTTTTTGTTTTTGTTTGTTTGTTTTTTTTTTTTTTTTTTGAGACAGAGTCTTGCTCTGTCACCCAGGCTGGAGTGCCGTGGCGCGATCTCGGCTCACTGCAAGCTCCGCCTCCCAGATTCAAGCCATTCTCCTGCCTCAGCCCCCCGAGTAGCTGGGACTACAGGCACCTGCCACCACGCCTGGCTAATTTTTTGTATTTTTAGTAGAGATGGGGTTTCACCGTGTTAGCCAGGATGGTTTCGATCTCCTAACCTTGTGATCCGCCCACCTCTGCCTCCCAAAGTGCTGGGATTACACACCTGAACTACCGCACCCAGCCCAAAGTTTTTAAAAAGAAGAAGGGGATAGGAACGGGCTAATGAACCAGTCCAGGGAGAGCAATGTAGACAAAAAGAATATCCTTGTGTGGCCCAGGAGATCCACCAGTCTTTCAAGGAAGAGTCTGATGTGGGCAGAACGTTCGGTGGCAGATGCTGGGTGCTGATCAGGAGTGACAGCAAGACCGTGTCTGTTAAGACAGCTGTTTTGATCTGCTGAAGTCCTGCTCTTTTAATAGTCACAGAGTCCTCTGGTGAGGCCCGATAGTGGAAGAGTGTGTATGATTATGTCCTTATCTGGTTGGATGCAGTCTTTATTTATCAAGGCAAAACATCTGGTTCCATTGGCAGATGCCTTTTGAAATGTAACATGGAATTTTTTTCTAAGATGGAATTATATGTCAATGATGCTCTACACACACACTCCCTCCTCCCACCTTCTCTGTCATCCAGCCTGTGCTCATCAAACTAATGTGGACACGAATCACCTGGGGGTATTGTTGAATGAAGGTTTTGATTCAACAGCTCAAGGGTGAGCTGAATCTCTGCATTTTCTCACAAGTTCCCAGGAGATGCCACTGTAAGCAGCCAGGCCTGGTCCCTCAGTCTTAACAGATGTTTTTTTATGTAGAATCTCAGCTACTGATTTCTCTTGCCTACTTCTCAGCCCCCACTTTATGCAGAGCATTTTTAGCTAATGAGTTTGTCTGTTATCATCTTACAGACACAACATTATGCTGTGTGTGAAAACCATGCACTGGAATTTATTTTTGATCAGTGAGAACACATTTCAACATATGTACTAATACAAATGAATGGACTGTGTGAGTTTCGCTCACTGCCATGCTGAGGAGTAGACAACATCCCAGCGTCACCATCAATGGGAGATGGAGGCACTGAAACGGGGGTGGTTTGGGAGCAGGGTTAAGGGTGTCTGATGACTTCAGACGTGTCCTCCCAAACTGTACTAAATCACAGTTGCCTTAGGCTGGGCCAACCATAAACAGCTCTATGGGACCAGGTACCTGCGTTCAGCCTGTGCCCTGTCACTTGGACTGTAAGGTGGGAGGGCTCGTCAGGACACCTTTGCAAGCTGGGGTTTCTCATGGGTCAAGGGTAGCTACTGCCACCTGCCCAGCAGGTTTGGAAGGCCATTTGAGGGCAGCCAAGGGTTTTGAAATGAAAATTCTTCAAAGGATTCTCGAGAGTGCTGAAGGCATCAATGCTGGGCAAGCCTCAGGGAGGCACAGGCCCTGGAGACAGCAGAGGGACATGGGGGAGACGTGGTGTCAGCAGTGAGACGGGGCTTTCGGGAGGAGAAAGAGAGAGTCCAAGACGGGATTGCTGAAGACAGGTGGGCAAAAGGCCTTTCTGGCCCCCAGGATGACTAAAAGATTGGAGAAGGTCTCTTAGAGACGGCTTCAAGGTTTGGGACATCTTAGAGAAAAACAGGTTTTAGTCATGGGAGGAACTGGGAAGAGCTTTTCCCCAAATCTGGACAATGGAGTTATTGATTCATTAGTAGACCAAAGGGGGACAATTAAAGGGGAACTAGGAGGAGAGATGGGAGATGAGACAAAGGGCAGGAGCACCTAGGCGGGTTGAATTGCGTGAAGGAGGGGTTACCACTGTGTGCCCATCGAGAGGCAAGAAACCTGGAATCACAGAGGAGACCTTGAGCAGAGTTTGGCAACTCTTTTTTGTTGTTATTTTTTGAGATGGGGTCTCACTCTTTTAGCCAGGCTGGAGTGAAATAGTGTCATCTCGGCCCACTGCAACCTCCCTCCTGGGTTCAAACTATTCTCCTGCCTTAGCCTTCTGAGTAGCTGGGATTACAGGCATGCACCACCACACCCAGTGAATTTTTTGTGTTTTTAGTAGAGACAGGGTTTAGGCATGTTGGCCAGGCTGGTCTTGAACTCCTGACCTCAGGAGATCTGCCAGCCTCAGCCTCCCAAAGTGCTGGGATTACAGGTGTGAGCCACCACGCCTGGTCAGAGTTTGGCAAGTCTTGAGGGAGAGATGAGCATCATGAATGTATGGACTTGTAGAATGGACAGGCCTCAGGCTCGCTGGACACTGGATCCAGCCTGGGCTGCAGGTCTCAGCACAGCCAGAATAGTCTCTATCATTGTAACCTTTGCGCCCACAGGACCCAGCGTGCACTCCAGGTTGTTCTTGAAGAGTAGGTTACTCCAGAAATGCTTGTTTGGTGAAGACTGTCTGATGGAGGGGGAGAAAGATTTGCCCTTAAAGTGACATTGACAGGGAATGCTCATGTACATTCACGCACACGTGGGAATTCTGGAAACTATGCAATGGAATACGGTGCTCAGCTTCCAGTGTGATGGATACGCAAGATCTCTCCTTTATTTTATTTTTTGTCACCGATGCAAGGTTTTGAAAATGAAAGGACCATATTCTGCCATATTCCAATGTGTGATTCAAAGGAAAATTATTCATCACTAGCAAAGAAAAAAAAATGAAACTCTGTGTAGCTTTCTTCCAGAAGTAATTAACTGGTAGTTGTCACTGATTTATGTGACAGCTGAGATTTAATGCAGAACAAGGCAGTAATGCCTTCGTGCAATGGTGTAAAGGTGACAAGGTCTCTAAAGCAGCCTGAGTGTGCAGTCGCGTTCTAGCTGCTGCCGTGCAGGCCTGGGGAGGGAGGGCGCTCCAACATGACTGTAGCAGGGCGCCATGGAGTGGGCGCTGTTGATTCTCACACTTGGGGATTGATTTCCTTAATGTCTTTGTGGCAGATTCTATTTGTTCAGATTGGCCACAACTGCATTTCTGGTCCCATGGGCTCCTCCTGAGCCTTGTCACCCCCGACCAAGACGTTGCATCTCTGTTCTCTCACCTGTAACCAGGTTGAGCCTTTGTGACTCCGGCCAGAGGAAGAAACTGCGTGGCTTCTTGGTTTCCCCCCAGACTCACTTTTGGCCAGAGAGGCTTCCCCCCACTGCCAACCCCCATGGGCAGCATCACCTGAGCTTCCTTGCTGGGGTCAGCCAGAGCAAGGCAACAGGAGGAAATGAGGGCAACAGGAGGGAATGAGCCTAGGTTGGTCAAATCTTCAGAGCAACCCAGCTTCTGCTTGGCTCTCTCTCAGGAGCCCTAAGCCACTGTCCAAGTGGACTGGCTACTCTGGGGCCACTGTCTAGGGCACCAACGTGCAGCCACCACAAGGTTCCATCACATGGAGCAAAGCTGTGCCGTCCCACCAAGCCCTGCCCGAATCACAGATCTGTGGGCTAAAGACGTGGTGGTTGTTTTAAGCCACTAAGTTTTGATGTAGTTTGTTGTGCAACAACTGTGCTGGAAGCATCTCTATTTATCTTTTCAGACACTCTCGTTTTGGGGATATCTTAGAGACTGGGAACCAGAGAGCACAAACAGAGGAGATGGATTCCCACATCTTCACCATCATAGGCCTCGGTGTGTCTGATTTCTATGACCTTCTAGGATTCCCCAGCAAATTCCCAGTGCTTTGGGTCAGGTTATTTTTATTTTATTTTTTTTGAGACAGAGTCTCGCTCTGTTGCCCAGGCTGGAGTGCAGCGGCACAATCTTGGCTCACTGCAAACACCGCCTCCCAGGTTCACACCATTCTCATGCCTCAGCCTCCCAAGTAGCTGGGACTACAGGTGCCCGCCACCACACCCGGCTAATTTTTTGTATCTTTAGTAGAGATGGGGTTTCACCGTGTTAGCCAGGATGGTCTCGATCTCCTGACCTCGTGATCTGCCCGCTTTGGCCTCCCAAAGTGCTGGGATTACAGGCATGAGCCACCGCACCTGGCATAGGTCAGGTCATTTAGTTGTTAGATGTTTAAGGCTCTTTATGTATACATATACATGTATGTATGTTTGTTCTAAATACATCAAAATATAAATAACATCCAGGAATCAAAAGACAGAGGAAGATCACTCATGTGTCATCTGTCTGTATCTGTCACAATCCTGGCAGGACACACTAAAGGTATTAATAATTTATCTGAAAAGAGTTTAATGAAGAGATTCTTTATAGAGTTGGGTAAAGAAACCAACAAAGGATGGGGAGGCACCAGGGACTATAAAGACTGGGTAGTGGTTACTCCCAGCCCTGAAGGGCAAGAAGAATGTTTGCTGGGATCAGAAGCTGGTGAGGGCTTGGAGCCAGGGACAGGACCACATGGAACACAGCCAGTCCAGGCTGCAGCAAGGGAGGAGGAGCAGAACAACTTCCTTGTCATCTTTCTCTCCTCCCACCCTTGTTCCTTACTGTTGCCTTGTGCTGGCTGACCCCAGCTAGAAGCCAGAGGCAAGGGAGCTCAGGTGATGCTGCCCCTTGGGGGCGGTGGAGTCAGGGGCAGCCTCCCTGGCCAAAAGCGAGTCTGGGGGCAAACCAAGAACAGCTGGCCTGCTCTGCCTCTGCCGCACTACTGGTCCACAGCTCATGTATCAGGGAGGCGCCCCAATTTTAGGGGTTGAGGTTACTTAGGCTTTGAACAAAAGAGAGTTTTTGAGATCAATACAATGATGGCTACGTAAAAATAAAGTCCCTACATAATAACATCTAGCTTGAATAACAAGCTTAGCACATTAATGTACCAGATAAAGGATTTCTTTTTTCTTTTCTTTTTTTTTTTTTTTTTTTTTTGAGACAGAGTCTCAAAAAAAGCCTGTCGTCCAGGCTGGAGTGTAGTGGCGTGATCTCAGCTTACTGCAACTCTGCCTCCTGGGTTTAGGTGATTCTCCTGCCTCAGCCTCCCAAGTAGCGGGGACTACAGGTGCACACCACCATGCCCGACTAATTTTTGTATTTTTAGTAGAGATGGGGTTTTGCCATGTTGGCCAGGCTGGTGTCAAACTCCTGACCTTAAGTGATCCACTTGCCTTGCCCTCCCTAAGTGTTGGGATTACAGGCATGAGCCACCACACCTGGCCAGATAAAGGATTTCTTATAGTCAAATTCTTTGGTGCCTGATCCTCCAGTGAGCTCCAATTTTTACCCACCTGTTTACCCTAAATATCTCTGGGGCAGGTAGAATTCTGAGATGACCTTCAAGATTCCTGCCCCCTGGTGCACACATACCTCCTCTGTTTTTCAAACACTTACCCAAGTCCTCTTCTGCTTTCTTTTGTTTATTTTGAGACAGAGTCTTGCTCTGTCACCCACACTGGAGTGCAGTTGTCCCCTGACCAAACTGAGGGTTAGGCTGCTATTTCTTGTGGCCCAGTAGTGAGATGCAGACGAACTGGGGAGGAAGAGAGTTTTTATTTTCTGCAACCAGTTACAGGGAGAAGGCCTGGAAACTATTGCCAGAACAACTCAAAATTACAAAGTTTTCCAGAGCTTATACACCTTCAAAGCTATATGTCTTTTTTGTTTGTTTGTTTTGTCTGCTTTTTTTTTCCTTTTTGTGGAGAACAGGGTATCATTATATTGCCCAGGCAAGCCTCAAACTCCTGGGCTCAAGCTATCCTCCCACCTCTGCCTCCCTGAAATCTGGGATTACAGGCATGAGCCACCACGCCCGGCTAAGCTATATGTCTATGTGTAAGTGTGAATTCATCTGAAGACATTAGTGATTAACTTCTTTTAATCTATAACTAAGGTCTGAGTCCTGAAGCCCTTCCTCTGGAGCCTCAGTAAATTTATTTAATCTAAATGAGTCCAGGTGCTGGGGTGATTACCCTTATCCCGTCTCCTGCTGTGATTACAGACGTGAGCCACCTCACCTGGCCTCTTTAATACTTTTATTATAAAAATTTGAAAATGGGTTGGGCACCCATCCCGAGTAGCTGGGATTACAGATGTGCGCCATCACACCTGGCTAATTTTTGTATTTTTAGTAGAGACAGGGTTTCGCCATGTTGGCCAGGATGGTCTCGATCTCCTGACCTTGTGATCTGCCCACCTTGGCCAACATGGCGAAACCCCACTACTCTGGAGGCTGAGGCAGGAGAGTCCCTTGAATCCAGGAGGTGGAGGTTGCAGTGAGCCGAGATCACGCCACTGCACTCCAGCCTGGCGACAGAGTGAGACCTCGTCTCAGAAAAAAAAAAAAAAGATAATAATAATACTGTTATGGGCTGAATTGCTTCCTCCCAAAATTCACGTGCTGAAGTCCTAACCCCAGTACATTATTCTACCATTTATTTATGCAGTGGGAAAAAAAATATATTGCTTAGCTTTGAAATCTGAGTAGCAAGCACAAAACTAGCCATCTAAGAGAAGGTCAATATTGTCATCGTTAGATAAAGATTTTCAGCGGAAAAGAAGCTGTAGAGAATTTCTGGGATGTAATCTGGCCCTAGTTTGGGGCGAGGTCGTGAGACAGCCCTGGGAAACAGGGGACTTACTCCATTTGGGGCAGCTGTGATAGGGCTAGGACTTGCATATCTGGCAGGAATATGGTCAGAGAAAGTGGGCTGCTCTGAATTTTGTTTTTCTAAGCTTAGTGTGGCTTATACCTACCTTTTAGGCAAACATCAAAGTAAATCATGTTGTGGGATGAAATGAAAGTACTCAGACAGACATGGAAGGGCTGTCAGAAGTCTCATGATCAAAACAAATCACATATATATAGAAAAGAATCTGAGGCAAGCTAACATGATTGAATTCTCAGGTTAAAAGGATAACAAAATAGCAACAGGGATTCTGGTGATGATACCTCTCCTTCTCTTGGTCATGCTGGTTCAATCAATCTGGTTGGACTGGCTTCCCTCTATGTTGGGGCTCTGTCCCTGCCCTGAGACATCCCCTCCCATCATCTTAGGGATCCCCTTTTCTGCTATCCATTGCTGCATCTCTTGTTTCCTGGTTTACACTCTCACTGAAGTTGAGTATATTCTTCAGTAGGTTCTGGAGGAAGGGTGCATGTCACATTGCATGTCTGAAAATGTCATTATTCTACCCTTTTTGATTGATAGTTTGGCTGGATATAGAAATCCTGGATGCCATTCTCATAGCATTTTGAAAGCTGGCTACACTGTCTTCTAGCTGTTGAATGTGGCACCATTCTAATTCATATCCTGTGTGAGTGACTGTCTTTTCTACCTGAAAGCTTGTAAAATCTTTATCCCTGGGCTATGAAATTTCACACTGTAGTGCCTGGATGTGGAACTGTCTTCATCCATTGTGCCAGGTACTCTTTCAATCTGGAAATTTGTGTCTTTTAGTGAGAGACATTTTCTCAAATTATTTCCCTGTAGATTTCCTTTTTTTTTCTCTCTCGCTCTTTCAGAAACTTCTGTTCAGATCTAGGCCTCATCCTATGATTTTTTTTTTTTCTTTTCACTCGTGTTTTCCATCTGTCTTTTTATTTTAATTTTTGGGTGATTTCCTCAACTTTTTCATCTAACCCTTATCCTGAGTTTTAAAATTTCTACTATAATTAAGAACCCTCTAACACTCTAAACATTTATTTTTCATAGTACCTTGTTATTGTTTCTCATATCTCTCTGAAGATATTAATGATTGGTTTTTGTTTCTTAAAATCTTCTTGCATTATCTGTGTTTATTCTGTGTTGTTTTCAGATGCTTGTGCGTTTGTTTGCTGGTTTGGTCCCTTTCTTCCATGTTAGATGCTTTCCTCAGATGTCTGGTAATTTTTGGCTGCCTGGATTAAGAAAGGAGGACAAAAAGGTGTTGGGAGCTCTGAGCACTTAGATGGGCTTCATGATTTTGAGCTTCACTGTAAAATAACCTAAGTTGGTCTTTTTTTTTTTTTTTTTTTTTTTTTTTTTTTTTTTTGAGACAGAGTCTCGCTCTTTCGCCGAGGCTGGAGTGCAGTGGCGCGATCTCTGCTCACTGCAAGCTCCGCCTCCCGGGTTCACGCCATTCTCCTGCCTCAGCCTCCCAAGTAGCTGGGATTACAGGTGCCCGCCACCACGCCCGGCTAATTTTTTATATTTTCAATAGAGACGGGGTTTCACCTTGTTAGCCAGGATGGTCTCAATCTCCTGACCTCGTGATCCGCCCGCCTCGGCCTCCCAAAGTGCTGGGATTACAGGCGTGAGCCACCGCGCCCAGCCCCTAAGTTGGTCTTTTATCTGCTAGGGAAACTCTGAGGTCAGCATCTTTAGGTTTTTTCCCTGAGGCAGGTTAGATACTTCACTGGAAATTCTTCTAATTTTGGCTGGGCACAGTGGCTCATGCCTGTAATCCCAGCACTTTGGGAGGCTGAGGCGGGCAGATCACTTGAGGCCAGGAGTTTGAGACCAGCCTGGCCAACATGGCAAAACCCTATCTCTACTAAAAATATAAAAATTGGCCGGGTGTGGTGGTGGGTGCCTGTAATCCCAACTACTTGGGAGGCTGAGGCAGGAGAATTGCTTGAACCCAGGAGGCGGAGGTTGCAGTGAGCCAAGATGGCACCATTTCACTCCAGCCTGGGTGACAGAGCAAGACACTGTCCCCCCCCCCCCCCAAAAAAAAAAAGCAAGCAAGAAAAGAAAATTCTAGTTTTCTGCCTGGACACTAAATGTTTGACATCAATAGATCTGAAAGCCTAGGGGTTGAAGTGGGTTGGGTATCTTTGAGTTCAGTAAGCTGTGTGCTGACAGTTACTTAGTCCTTCTGTTCTGATGCACTTCTCAAGACCTTCGATGTCGCTCTCTGTTGAGAACTCTCTCCACCAAGTGAACATCCAAGTTTCTCCCTGATAGGTGGCAAGCTCCAGCAGGTGAAGGCTGAGGGCATCTCAGGATCTGCCTGCTTCTTAAACCCCTTTCACATGAGCCCCCCTCAAGTGACTCCCCACTCTTCCCTCATCTGGGAGCTTTTGGGAAATGGGGTGTCACAAGTGGGATGCTTGTGATTTCCCTAATTTCCAGCTTTCCTTTTGATCTTGGATTTGGCCCTCATAAGCCTGATGAGTCAGTTTCACTCATCTAATTGCTTTCTAGCTTCAAAGTTTGTTGTTGTTGTTGTTGCTCTTGTTTTCTTCATCTTTATGGGTTCATAGTTTATTGCCATTTTGTTTAAATCCCTGTAGTGTGGCCATCACTGGATTCCAGGAATAAGCAGAGTTAAATGCGTTCAATGCCACTTTAAAGAAGGACAGGGCTTGGTGCTTTATTTTAATTTCTCTATTTTCTGGTTTCCACTCTTTCCACTACTATGAACCTCTTGAGGATGAAATTAAATAGTAGCTAGAACTACAAATGTGCTGGGTCAGGAAGAGTTGTTGACCAGCAGCTTCTCAGCAGGGTGGGTTTGAATTTGTTCTTGGCCAGGAGTGGCGTGCTCTCTGCCTTGACTCTGTGCTTTCCCTGTTTTGGCCTGCTATCTCTTATATATGTGTGTTGCTAGGGGCTGTATTTCTCTGCAACTCACTGTATACTCAGTTTTCTTTTTTTTTAAAATATTGAAATAACTCTAATACTAGTTGAGACCTGGCCGCCCTGTGGTAAAGCTTCATAAACTTGGTTGCCCTTTCTGCTTCTTGGTTTTTCTCTTCTCTACCTTCCCTTTCTGGCAGCCCTTTCCCCATCCTTCCCTTCCTTGCTTCTGCAGATGGAGCCCTGCCTGACCTTCCATGGGCTGCTCTCTGTTCCGTGCTGTGAACAGTCTCCCTGCGTGGCTGCTCTCAGGTGGCCAGCCTGAGAATCCTTCCATTTCAGCCTATGGGCTTTCCAGAAGAAAGCCACCTGGAAGAGCAAATTCCACCTGGAAGACTCTGTCTCTAAAAGTAATAATTATAATAATAAATTTAAAGAAAAATAAAATGGGGACATTAGGGGTGGGTTAGGGAGGGAGGGCAGAAACTTAGGGAGACATAACACCTAAGGCCATTTGAGCTACAGGGCTCCCCTGCTGATAGTGGTCCCCTCTGAAATTCCTGACTCTTGACTCATCCTCTGAGCAGGCACCTGAAAGACATGAGCTCATGGCCAGACCACTCTCCTTTTATAGTTAAATGAAAATAAACTTTTCTTTTTTTTTTTTTTTGAGACAGAGTCTCCCTCTGTCGCCCAGGCTAGAGTGCAGTGGTGCGATCTTGGCTCACTGCAAGCTCCACCTCCTGGGTTCACACCATTCTCCTGCCTCAGCCTCCCGAGCAGCTGGGACTACAGGTGCCCGCCACCACACCCGGCTAATTTTTTGTATTTTTAGTAGAGATGGGGTTTAACCGTGTTAGCCAGGATGGTCTTGATCTCCTGACCTCATGATCCTCCCACCTCAGCCTCCTAAAGTTCTGGGATTACAGGCGTGAGCCACTGCGCCCGGCCCTTTTTTTTTTTTTTTTGAGTCGGAGTTTCCCTCTTGTTGCCCAGGCTGGAGTGCAATGGCGCAATCGTGGCTGACCACAACCTCCACCTCCCGGGTTCAAGCAATTCTCCTGTCTCAGCCTCCTGAGTAGCTGGGATTATAAGCATGTGCTACCATGCCCAGCTAATTTTGTATTTTTAGTAGAGATGGGGTTTCTCTATGTTGGTCAGGCTGGTCTCGAACTCCCAACCTCAGGTGATCAGCCCACCTTGGCCTGCCAAAGTGCTGGGATTACAGGCGTGAGCCACTGTGCCAGCCGAAAATAAACTTTTTATATTTTTCTTATTGCAAAAGTGATGTACGGTCATGTAAAAAATGTAGAGAAATAGTAGACAAGCAAGAAAGTAAAATCAGCTTTAATCTATAGATAGCTACTGATCATTGACCATGCTTTGGTGTATACGGCATATACTGCCTGGGCTGCTGGCTCTCTCTCTGAGTATGTGTGTGTGTGTGTCTGTGTGTGTGTTTGTCTCCATGTACATCTACTATCGTAATTGCTGTGTTCACATGAAATGACAAGTGAGTTTCTTTCAAATCATATCCATACTGGATACTCTTGGGATTGATTGATCTCTCGGCCACACTCGAAGGAAGGTAGGATCTCTTCTGGAAGCCTTTTCCAACCAAATGTGTCAGTTCATCCTCCAGGAAGAACAGCAGCAGCAATCACACAGCAGCGGAGCAGGGATGCGGGGGGTTCTGGCTCCCAGGCTCCCTCCTGACCTTTGTTTCTGGGCCATGACTCGCCTTGCTGTTTGAGGTAGGCCACCCCATTCATTGCTACCCTTCACGATTCAGTATGACGTCAGCTCAACAGTTACACTGAAGCCAGGAATTAAGGAGCAAGTACTAGGCTGTTTCCTTGGCAACCCGGCTTCTGTGGGCAGTCGTTGTGGCCATTGATGATCCACAGTTACCACTGGGGGCACAGTGCTCAGCGGAATGAACTAAAATGAGCTTTTTCCAGGGGCATTGGCAGAAATCTAATTCAGAGAGTCGCTTAGGAATCCTCTGGTCCTCAGGTCAGGGAGACCAAAGAAACTTAAAAGACACACCTCTCTGTGGCTTTCATACCTGCAGGCACTTCCTCTTGTCCCTGCTCCCCGCAACCCCAGGCTTCCCTCCTAAACCACAGATCTGAGGGCACTGTGCTCTTGGTTAAATGGCCTTTGACACTTCCTTGAATGGAGAACAAAGCCCAGGTTCCCCAACATGCCATTCCGGAAACCCATCGCTGACCCCAAGTGGGCTCTTGGTTGCTTCTCACTGTATTATTTCTGGTCCAGCCTCACTAGAGACCCACCTTGCTAGAATCACAAAGCATTCCCTGCAAACTTGGCTGAGGGCATTTTTTCACTTTACTTTCAAATTTGACTGCCTAGCCATCAAAGGCTTAGTTAAAAGAATACAAAGTTCTGCTTTTAATAAAGTTCTTCTATTGAGACTCACATCATTTTCATTTGTCTTTGTTCTCTTCTCTTTAATTGTTAAATGATCCTTTTTGGGATAGAGGGGACTCAATCCTTTCCCAATAGCTTTACTCTAATTTGAGCAGCGTTTCAATGTGAGAAACAATGTATTACGTTTATGATTTCCAGGTTTATGTTTTTAAAATTTTTGTTGAGAGATGGGAGTCTCATTATGTTGCTCAGGCTAGACTCAAACTCCTGGCCTCAAGCAGCCCTCCTGCTTCAGCCTCCCAAGTAGCTGAGTTGACAGGTGCATGCCACCGTGCCTAGCCTCATTTCCAATTTTAACTTAATAATTGGCATACTTTATAATTACATTGTGTCATTGGATGCCCACAGCCGAAATCAGGCAGAGACTAGAGCTGAGTGAGTGGGGGTGACTTGGGAATAAACAGAAGGATTCAGATATGAGGGATTTTGAATGGATTGATTTTGTTTGTTTGTTTGTTTTTGAGACAGAATCTCCCTGTCTCCCAGGCTGGAGTGCAGTGGCATGATCTCAGCTCCTTGCAACTTCCACCTCCTGGGTTCAAGCGATTCTCCTGCCTCAGCCTCCTGAGTAGCTGGGATTACAGGTGCCAGCCACCATCCTTAGCTAATTTTTGTATTATTATTATTATTATTTTTTAGTAGAGATGGGGTTTCACCACGTTGGCCAGGCTGGTCCCAGACTACTGACCTCAGGCAATGTGCCCGCCTCGGCCTCCCAAAGTGCTGGGATTACAGGCATGAGCCACCGCTCACGGCCATGAATGGATTGCTTTTGAATGTGGCCAATGCACAGGTGTTTATGACATTATAATTTACTTTATTTGTAACCTGCAAGGTTACCAGGAATTATAAATACTTAGATAAGGCACTCAGCGTTTCTTTCTCATTGTTTACACATTTTTAAAAAATTTTAATGTGCAACTGTGCGTGTGCGTATATGTGTGTGTGTATGTGTGTATATAAGCTCATATTTTTTCTTTTTTCCTTTATATCATAGGATTTTTCTCATGCTATTTTACAGGTTTTATAAATGTTTTAATGGTTATATTACAGTCTATCGTATAAATGAGCTAATTTGACTCAACTATTATTCTAATAATATCTTAAATTGTTTCTAAGGAAAATTCTTAAATTGTTTTAGTAATAAAGATAAAATTTTGTGCATTAATCTCTTCTGTCTTTTCAGATTATTTAAAGATCAATTCAGAGAAGTAGGATTAGTGGGTTAATGATCATGACATCATTTTAAGGCATTTTCTTTTAATCACAAAATTATACCAAATTATCTTCCCTTTAGCAGTTACATCGCAGTCTAGCCATTGAATATGGATATTCACATATGTAACCTTTTTCAAATTCCACATGCAAAATGCAGATTATTATTGTTTTAACTTGCATTTTGATTTATAGTATGGTCGAATATAGTTTCCCTTTAATTACTTTTATTTTTAAATAGTTTGCTTATGTTTACTGCCTTCACTGAACTTCAGGGTCATGTTTGCCTTAAACAACGTGCACAAATTATTAATATTAAGGTTATAACCTCTTACATTTGCTACACACTCCCTCTCTGTCATATTTAATTTTAAACATAAAAATTGTTTTTAATTTTACATTTTTAAAATTTTCAGTGCAATCTACAATATCAACTTTCTACTGTGTAATTTTTTCGATTTATATTAAGCTTAAACATTTTTCCCACCCGGAAAATGAATATCTTTATTTTCTTCTGCTCTTTGTAAATTTGTATTTAAATATTTTCTTTTTTATTATTTTATTTATTTATTTGAGACGGAGACTTGCCCTGTCCCCCAGGCTGGAGTGCAGTGGCATGATCTCTGCTCACTGCAACCTTCACCTCCCGGGTTCAAGGGATTCTCCTGCCTCAGCCTCCTGAGTAGCTGAGACTACAGGTGCCCGCCACCACGCCCAGCTAATTTTTGTATTTTTAGTAGAGACGGGGTTTCACCGTGTTAGCCAGGATGGTCTCGATCTCCTGACCTCGTGATCCGCCCGCCTCGGCCTCCCAAAATGCTGCGATTATAGGCGTGAACCTGGCCACTATTGTCTTTTTTAAATTCACATATCCAGAACTGGTGGCTTACAGAAACCCATTCTAGGATATGAGATTAACTAATTTATTCATTCATTTAGTTATCCATGACTTCAAGAAATAATTATTTGGTGCCAATTCCTAGCTCTGTGCTAGGAATTGGAACACGAGCATTTCCTCTCCTGACAAGCAAGTGTATATAGCAGCTCTGCAAGGTTCTGTGTGGCACCTCGGGAAAGTGGTCCAGCGACAGGGGACACCTGGGGAAGAACGAAGCTCACCAGGGCTCAGGAAACAAGGTGATTCAGACGCAGGGCTTGAGGCTTGAGACGGGAGGGTGAGGGGGGCGTGTTTGAGGCCAGGCAGGGTACGCTGAGTTTTAAGGCTGTGAGGAGGAGGAAGTCTCCTGCACTGAGGCCTCAAGGTAGGATGGGCTAAAGGTGCCGAGGGGACAGGCGGGACCACAAGCCGGCTGAGCTCAGGCAGAGACCAGGTGAGGAGGCAAGCAGCCTCCTGGGATTCCATTCAGGGGCAGGGGCAGCGTGCAGGGAGCAGGCTAATCTAGGATTACATCTGGTTCATCACGGTACAGGTAGATATTCTCATGGGACATAGATTCTTATATGTTATGTATAGATTGTCATACTAGATTAGATCTGCTATACGCTATGGACCTAATCTATATCTTGCTTACATTTCCTCCACCTCCAGGGCTGCACCCTACAGAGGAACAGGAGTGGAGCAGAAGCTCTGTGGCCGTCAAGCAGGAGGTGAGGTTGTCCTGGACCAGCGCAGTGGCTGCTGAATGGAAAACGGGACAGGCATAGAGGGTACATGAAGGTATCTTGAAGGTCTTGCTCAAGAACTGGATGTGGTGCATGAAGAGAAGGAAGAAACGATGAATTCTTGGGTTTTGGTTTGAAATTTGGTAAATGTGCCATTTACTGGGATTGAAGCAGAGGGCAAGTGAAGAATTGTTTTAGTTTAAACTTTGAGATGACTCAGGTATTGAAATAGTGAGTAAGGAATAGAAACTTGGGTTTGGAGGTTGGGGGAGGATTCTGGGTTGATTTTGAATTTGGGAGCAGGTAGGTGTTATTTAAAGTCCATAGTGTAGGCCAGGCATGTAATCCCAGCACTTTCGGAGGCCGAGGTGGGCAGATCACTTGAGGTCAGGAGTTAGAGACCAGCCTGGCTAACATGGTGGAAAACCCATCTCTATTAAAAATACAGAAATTAGCCAGGCGTGGTGGCGCACACTTACAATCCCATCTACTCGGGAGGCTGAGACAGAAGAATTGCTTGAACCCGGAAGGCAGAGGTTTCAGTGAGCTGAGGTTGCACCACTGCACTCCAGCCTGGGTGACAGAAAGACTCCCTCTCAAAAAAACAAAAAATAAATAATAAATAAATAAAGTCCATAGTGTATAGCAGATCTAATCTAGTATAACAATCTATACACAAAATATAAGAATCTATGTACTTTAAGATTATCTACATGTACTATGATAATCCAGATGTAATAATTTTCTTCTGCAAGAAAAGTTGTAAAGTCACAGGACTGGATGAAATTAGCAAAGGAGGGAGTACAACTAGAGGAGATTTCAATGGGCTGTTATGGCCCCTGCAAAAGTGAAGGGAACCCCGTGAATGCTGAGTCCTGATGTTGAGGCTGGTGGTGCCACACATAGAAGAGGGTATGAAAGAAAAGGCTTATTACTCAGATGATGGCCAACTCTGGGTGAGTGGGGCAGGCCTCCCAAGCAGGTCCAAAATGACTCGAGAGAGCCAGGAAAGGGTCCTGGCTTGGGGTTTTACTGTGGTCAGGGTGAATTGAGTTAGGGTTTCCATACACAGGCAAGGGCTTGTGTGATTGACTCTCCTGCTGGGACCAAAGGAGGGAACACTGAGAATTTCTTGTCAGTGTGTGTGTGGAGGGGAGACTTCCTCTATCCTCTTAAGTGCAGTCCCTGAGGCCTGTGAATTAAGCTGACAAAAGAAAGACTAACAGGAAAAAAAAGGTTTATTTGTATGCATATGTTAGCAAACAAAAGAAGTAGCTAGCTTGCTAAATTAAAGTTAGTGGCTTATAAACCTAACTTAGAAGGGAAAAAGGAGTGGAGAGAAAGGTTTCTATGGGAATTGGGAAGAGCAAGTAGGTTTCTTTAGGAAAGACAAAAGGGTTTTTAGGAGAACAAAGAGGAAAAAAGAAAGTTTCTAATAATGTTTGTTTATGCAGGTGTGAGTGGTCTTTCCCATCTACCTCAGGTCCATGAAACTTCCCCGAAGAGGGGATTTATGATAGGGCTACTCCCCATCTTCTTCCTGTGAGTAGAAACTGCCCTAAGGGGAATTTACGGCAGCCTTGGTTTTAAAAAGTTTCCGCTTAATATTAGTCAGTTAAGGGGTGCTCCAGCTTCTTTCTGCATCTGTTGAATCTCAAATGTCTTCAGCATAAAATAGTCTTCATTCCAACTCTGGGGTTCCTAGTGGGTCCCCACAGTAGCTTGTCCAGATGTGGGGCAGAGGGGAAGAGGGAAGGGGGGCTTAAATGCTGTCATCAAACAGGCTCCTCATTCCACCTGCCGACCAATAGGGCTCTGGTGGAGCGATGCCTAGCAGCAGAGTGGAGAATTTGGCTGTCCAGGGAGGCAGGAAAGCCGGGAGGGGAGAAGAGAGAGGAGTCAATTATGACCAGAAGGTTTCAAAGCATGGGGAAGGTCCTCTCGGTTCAGTGGGATAAGGAGGCTGAGGCATTCACTAGATTTGCCACAGGCAGGCCGAGGAGAGGAGTGGTTTCAGTGGAGTGGTTGAGCTGGAAGCCTAATTGAAGAGTTTGTTAGAGAAGTTAGGGGTGGCAGAATACGCCACCCTAAAATATGCCACTTTGTCGTAAGGACTATTTTGAACCGAAGGCAGCTGAGAAACAGCAGACAGAAGATCTCCGTTTCCTCCCCCATTTGCCTAAAAGAAGGACAGAAATTGGTAAAGGTGCCCTCCTCCCTTCTCAACCCGGAAGGAGAGAAGTTCATTGTTAATCACAGGAGACAACTTCAGACTCTTGGCAGCCTAGAGACAGCACCGGAGGAACCCACATAACAAACCTTGCTAACCACCCGTATCGTCCCAGTGGTCTCCCCATATATTTGCCTTTCCGCAATTTGCCACTCCTTGAAAACTCAGTCCTTGGCCTTGGCCTTGTCACTTCTCTGCTAGTGTACTGTTCTTTGTTAAGATGCTACATAACTGGCCAGGCGCAGTGGCTCAGGGCTGTAATCCCAGCACTTTGAGAGGCCAAGTCAGGTGGATCACGAGGTCAAGAGATTGAGACCATCCTGGCCAACAAGGTGAAACCCCATCTCTACTAAAAATACAAACATCAGCTGGGTGTGGTGGTGCGTGCCTGTAGTCCCAGCTACTCGGGAGGCTGAGGCAGAAGAATTGCTTGAATCTGGGAGGCGGAGGTTGCAGTGAGCTGAGATCGCGCCACTGCACTCCAGCCTGGTGAAGGAATGAGACTCCGTCTCAAAAAAAAAAAAGCTACATAACTGTCCCTTTTGGTTACTCATCTTTGAGTTTGGTGTGTCTGCACAGTGCACAGTTAATAAACTTCTGTTTGTTTTTCTCTGGTTGATCTGTCTTTTGTCAGTCTAATTTGCAAGGCCCCAGCTGAAAATCCTAGGAAAGTGGCAGGAAAAGGAATTTTTCCTCCTCTAGGGTAGTGAAGATGTAAGAGTAGACAGATGCTAAATAAGTTTTATCATGAAATGATGTGGGTGTGGGGTCAGGACAGTTGTTTCTAAGTGATGGGAGTTGCTAGAATAGGTTAGTATGCCAAAGAGCGACAGGGGTCCCCAGGAGAGGGAGGTAATGGGGTAATGATGAGGGTGGGAAGTCTTCCTCTAAGTGAGAGGACCCAGAGCTGGGGAGGGAGGGGTCTTGACAGGATGTGTGTGTCACGTTGGAGGAAGAGGGGGTGCTTTCCTTGGCTGGAGTATAAGGGGGTTCGTTAGCTGTGAGTGAGGCAGGGTGGTGGACTCTTAGGACAAGGGAGGAAGTTGGCATTTTGTATGCCCCTGTACTATTCCCCACCCTCTTGACTACAGAGGACAAACGTCCTAATGAGAGTTGGAGCCATCTATGAATTAGCTCCAGGGAAAATATAGAAAGAAAAATCCAATCACATAGAGGGCTGGCCTCCTTTACTGAATTATTCTACCTCTGCAATAAGCAGTTAGACCCATGCTTCTTAGCCTTCTTTTGGTCTTAGGCCCTTTTGAGATTCTGATGAAAGCTATAGAGACACTCCCCAGAACAATGCGCATGCCATTTTGGGGAATTTAAATACTGGGGGAACTCTAGGCCTCTTGATTCATATCCCTTATGCTGGAGGATACTCTGTGGGCAGAAGGGGCATGCAGCCCTGACCTTTTCTTGGAAAAGTGGCAGATGCCATCATGCCCATATAGAATTCCATCTGCTCCTGTTCCTTGAGATCTGGTTAACACAGGCGACATGTGGCTTCACAAGATTCCAGCCTCCCTCCATCCCCACCCATCTCCACAACAATTATAACTTTATAGTCTCCTAATACAAAGAGTGGCTTCATTACCCATTGTTGACTAACCCTTAGATAAAATTGAAATTCTCAGAACAGCCCACATTTTCTCCTTAGTGGTCCTTTTTTTCTGAGCAAGAATTTGATTTCATTTTCCCAAAGGGCATAAAACCTTCATTTCATTTACTCAGAAAATATTTTTGGAGAGTTGGGACACCCCACGCATGGTCCTAGGAGCTGAGGAGACTAAGAAGGACGAGGCAAAAGGGAGCCTCTGTCATGGTGGGGGACGGAGCGCAGATCAGCCAATACATTGTAAAATGATGAGTTTAAATAGACGTAACTGCTAGGAAGAAATACTCTACGTGAAGGTGTATCAGAAAGATCTCCCTCTTGGCCAGGCGCAGTGGCTCACGCCTGTAATCCCAGCACTTTGGGAGGCCAAGGCGGGTGGATCACGAGGTCAGGAGTTCAAGACCAGCCTAGCCAAGATGGTGAAACCCCTTCTCTACTAAAAATACAAAAAAAAAAAAAAAAAAAAAAATTAGTGGGGCCTACAATCCCAGCTACTCAGGAGGCTGAGGCAGAGAATTGCTTGAACCTGGGAGGCGGAGGTTGCAGTGAGCTGAGATTGCACCACTGTACTTCAGCCTGGGTGTCAGAGCAAGACTCTGAAACAAAAAACAAAAAACAAAAAACTCCCTCTTCCCTACAGTGAACCAGGAAAAAGGAGGGCATTTGGGTCTCCCCTGGGAACGAATCTACCCCTTAATGCTGCTGCTTGGACGTGATGGGTGTCGCATGGCCCAGCCTAATGTCCATGGGCCTGGCAGTGTTCCGACGGCCTCCTGGTCACCCTGCTGGTGAAGGAGAGATCCTCCACCCTAAAAAGGGTGAGACACACACAGTGCAGACATCGGCCACATGAGAACTGCAGCAGCTTCTTGGTCACAAATACTCATAGCCTGGGAGCAGAGGACACCATACTCTATGCTGTGCAGGCCACACCAAGACACCACACTCCATGCTGTGCAGGCCACACTGAGACACCATCTCCATGCTGTGCCAGCCACACCAAGGACACCACACTCTGTGCCATGCAGGCCACACAGAGACTGCCCTCAGGAATACAGTGAACCAACAGGGCTGTGGGAGGAGGTTTGTAGTGACAGGCGGGGTTGGTGTCTGGTTCCTGCTGGAGGATGTGCTGGGTTTTTGAAAATAATTCTGCAAGCTGGCAGTAAAGTGAAATCTGTTAGGTTGAGGACCAGGTGGGGTTCAGCTGCTCTGGAACTAGCTGGGTGGGGAGCCTTTTCCACTGGGTGGGGAGCCTTTTCCACTGGGTGGGGGGCGCTTCTGGTGAGAGCAGGGGAACTCACAATTAAGCCTTTGGGGCCTGTGAGGCTAAAAGATGTCATGGCGGCACTTTGAAATTTTAGGTCTTGCAATATAGGGGGGACTCTTGCCTTAAGGGAAGGTCCTGGAACTCTCATGACTGTGGACTGGTGTGGGAACTCCTCTTACAGCAAAGTAGGGGTAAATAATGCATTCTAATTTAGAATATATTCTATATTATATAGAGAATTATGTATATAATATATATTATATAGAGAATTATATATAGAATATAAAAATATATATAGCATGCAATAATGCATTCTACTCCCAGTGTGCACCTTAAAAAGAGTAGGAAATGCTTGCCAAAGTGCCTTTCAAAAAAGGCCGTACCAATTTATTCTCTTTTCTACAGTGCGTTATCATACAGAGAACGTCAGTTTGAGAAAGATAACATGTCATCGTAGGTATTTTAACCAATTCCCATGATCGTTAATAAACGTGAAAACACATTTTTTAAATTAATTTATTTTTGAGACAGGGTCTCACTCTGTCACCCAGGCTGTAGTGCACCAGCACCATCACAGCTCACTGCAGCTTTGAACTCCTGGGCTCAGGCCATTCTCCTGCCTCAGCCTCCCAAGTAGCTAGGACTGCAGGCACACATCATCATGCCCAGCTAGTTTTTTTTGTAGAGATGGAGCCTCACTGTGTTGCCCAGGCTGGTCCTGAATTCCCGACCTCAAGTAATCCTCCTACCCTCAGCCTCCCAAGGTGCAGGGGTTACAGGTGTAAGCCACTATACCAGGCGTGAAAATTGTTTTATACATTTGTAGGCCATTCATATGTGCCCAGACCCTTTGTCTGTTTTCTTTTTTTTTTTGGGGGGCTAATATAAAAAATTGATTCGGCCGGGCCCAGTGGCTTACGCCTATAATCCCAGCACTTTGGGAGGCCGAGGCTGGTGGATCATGATGTCAGGAGATCGAAACCATCCTAGCTAACACGGTGAAACCCTGTCTCTACTAAAAATACAAAAAAATTAGCCGGGCGTGGTAGCGGGCACCTGTAGTTCCAGCTACTCGGGAGGCTGAGGCAGGAGAATGGCATGAACCCAGGAGGTGGAGCTTGCAGTGAGCCGAGATGGCGCCACTGCACTCCAGCCTGGGCGACAGAGGGAGACTCTGTCTCAAGAAAAAAAAAAAAAAAAAGATTGATTAATCAGAGTTAAAGTAAACGTAGACTCTGAATATAAACCCTGTATAGACACAGTGCATATACCTGATTCTCTCATTTTTATACTTTGTTTGAAATCTTTTGTTGTATGGAAGTTTTAAATTTCTGTGTAATTATCATACTTCTATCATTTCTGTGCTTAATCTTGCTTAAGAAGGTCTTTTGTACCCCAGTTTTGTAAAACGTGCTCTTATGCTTTTAAAGCACTTTTCATGTTTGTGCCTTTACTCCGTGAGGAATGTGCACTTGCACAAAGTGAGATAGAGATCTAAGTTTCTAATGTAATTGCTCCAGGAATTTTTGTTTCATTCCATTGTTTTATGTGTCTAACTCTGCCAATATTTGAATTCCTAGGGTGTGTGTAATGTACATGTGGTGATACATGCTTTTTTTTTTTTTTTTTTTTGAGACAGAGTCTCACTCTGTCACCTAGGCTGGAGTATGCAACGGCACGATCTCAGCTCACTGCAACCTCCACCTCGGCCTCCTGAGTAACTGGGATTACAGCTGTGCGTCACCATGCTCAGCTGATTTTTGTATTTTTAGTGGAGATGGGGTTTCACCATGTTGGTCAGGCTGCTCTCGAACTCCTGACCTTAAGTGATTTGCCTGCCTTGGCCTTCCAAAGTGCTGGGATTACAGGTATGAGCCACTGTGCCCTGCCTGCATTAAATAGATTTATTAATGTTAAGATATCCTTGCATTCTTGGGATACGCTCTACTTGGTTATGATATATCATTATTTTGGTTCATGCTGGATTTGATTTGATAATATAGAGAGGACTGAAGAGCTGAGCACTGGCAATTAAAGGTGGCATCACAAAGGCCACTCCTTGTCACATTCCATTGGCTAAAACCAGTCACATGACCATGCATAACTTCCAAACGACAGGAAGAAGTAGAGGAGAATTGGATACTGTCCAACAGTATGAGTTTCTATCAGTCAGGGGCCACACCATTTATCATCCAAACTGGAACACTTTTGAGAGTGAAAGGGGCGTTATTAATAATTATGCTGAGATGACATGTGTGTTGGGTTTTGAATATTTCTTCATTAGGCCATGCACGGTGGCTCACACCTATAATCCCAGCACTTTGGGAGGACAAGGCGGGTAGATTGTTTGAGCTAAGGAGTTTGAGACCAGCCTGGGCAACATGGCGAAAACCCGTCTCTACAAAAAAATACAAAAATTAGCTGAGCGTAGTGGTATGCACCTATAGTCCCGGCTACTCGGCGGGGCTGAGATGGGAGGATTGCTTAAGTCCAGGAGGTCAAAGCTACAGTGAGCCATGATCTCACCACTGCACTCCAGCCTGGGTGACAAAGCAAGACCCTGTCTCAAAAAAAAAAAAAAAAAAAAAAGGCGGGGCGCGGTGGCTCACGCCGGTAATCCCAGCACTTTGTGAGACCGAGGCGGGCGGATCACGAGGTCAGGAGATCCAGACCATCCTGGCTAACACGGTGAAACCCCTTCTCTACTAAAAACACAAAAAAATTAGCCGGGTGTAGTGGCGGGCGCCTGTAGTCCCAGCTACTGGGGAGGCTGAGGCAGGAGAATGGCGTGAACCCGGGAGGCAGAGCTTACAGTGAGCCGAGATCGCGCCACTGCACTCCAGCCTGGGCTACGGAGCGAGACTCCGTCTCAAAAAAAAAAAAAAAAAAAAAAAATTTGTTTTTTTTTTTGGTGAATGTGTGTATTTATTGGGTTGAAAAGTTTTCCCCCAAATTCACACCCACTCAACCTGTGAATATGACTTTATTTGGAAACAGGGTCTTTGCAGATGTAATCAAGGTACGATGAGGTCCTCTTGGACTAGGGTAGTCCCTAACCCAATGACTGCCGTCCTTATAGGAGGGAAACTTGGACACAGACACACAGAGCAGAGACTGCCACATGAAGGTGAAGGCAGGGCATGAAGTTAGGTTGCCATAAGCTAAGGGACACCAAGGATTGCTGGAAGCTCCCAGAAGTGGAAGGTAACCCTTCTTCCCGGGGAAAAAAGGCAAGGGGTCTGCAGTCCGCGGGAAGCCAAGCTAGGAGAAGAGGATCCTCCATTCCCAGTCAGCTCTTTGTCCAGGCAACCCTGGTCACTGCAACACACCATCACCATTCCTAATGATGAAACAGTCAATGTATGCCTCTTATAATCAGGGACAACACAGGGACTGTTACCAAAACACCAGAGAGTTTGGTCTAGGTCCTGCTACTTGCTGCACAGAAAACCAATCACTGAGACATGAGTAGTGCAGGGAAGAAGGCTTTAATCAGGTCCTGCAGCCAAGGAGACAGGAGCTCAGTCTCAAATCCATCTCCCTGACCAACTAAAATTAGGAATTTATATAGCAGGGAAGAAATGTAACTATGTGTGGGAGAATGGGAACTAGGGAGGGGCAAGGAAGCCATCATGATGAATGAGAGGTCTGGCATCTCATTATCTGGATCAGATGATCTGGTGAGTTTCAGTCCTTTGATATTTTTTGAGAGGCCTGGGGTCCTTTCCTGAGGAAGGAACTCAGATAAAACAAATGTAAGTTTCAAGCTTAAAGACCAGAGGGCCAATTTCTATGTTTATTAAAAAAAAAACTGTCTAAGGGATTATTGGGTTGGTTTCAGGGTCTTTAACCATGACCACTTTAATATGTTCTGAAACAGAAGTAAGATGGAAAGTAAAAACAAAATTATAATAATCTGAAGATCATAGGGTGATCTACCTAAAATTGGAAACAAAAATCAATAGCAAATCACTTAAAATGAGAGTTCAATCAGTCATACATATTTTTAAAAATCAGTAGTTTTCTGATATACTTTCAATAAGCTGTCAGAAAACATCAGCCAAAATGAATATAATTCATAAAACAAACAAAAATAATGTGTAACATGATACCTAGGTTGAAAGACAAAAAAAAAAATTCTTTTAAAATAAACATCCTGGGTGTGGTGACTTACACCTGTAATCTCAGAGCTTTGGGAGGCCGAGGCAGATGGATCGCTTGAGCACTACTCATGTTGCCATCCTGGGCAACATGGCAAAAATCCTATCTCTATAAAAGATACAAAAACTAGGAGGGTGTGGTGGCGCATTTCTGTACTCCCAGCTACTCAGGATGCTGAGGTGGGAGAATCGCTTGAGCCCAGGAAGAGGAGGTTGCAGTGAGCCAAGATGGCACCACTGCACTGCAGCCTGGGTGACAAATCAAGACCCTGTCTCAAAATAATAAAAAAAACAACAACAACAATGTCTCTCTTTTACCTTTCACCATATTAGCAAGCAAAGGGAAAATGTGTATAGTCGCCATCACAGTTGCTGAAAAAGACATGTAGTAAAAGTTATAATTCATAACCTCAACATTACCTCTTTAATATTGTCCTGATTTTTAAAATCAACAAAATCCAAATAGCGTATAGATATTTCCTTAGCATGATGAAATGTTTACTTATTGTGGAAATAAATTAAATCACCCAAATGAGTACAAGCAAAGGTTGTTTATTACAGCTTGCTGCAGTTGGAGAGTCAGCACCATCGCTGGTGTTTCCAGGGCCTCCTTGGCTGGCTGAGGAGTGGGGAAGCTTCATGGTGGGAAAAGGAAAGGCCTGGGTGGGCCCTGAGGAAGGCTGCTAGCCTGGGGACGCTGGGGTGATCGATTAGAAGGGGGCGACCTATGAAATTGATTAAGGTTTGTCTTTCTCTGGTTGGTCTTAAGTTGAAAGCAGGGGCAAAAATTAGGAGAGGTGACGGTTTTTAAAAATTTTTATTTACTTATTTTTAATTTTTAAATTATATATTTACAAATTACAGTTATATACATTTATAGGTAAAAAGTGATGTTATGACTTTTGAATACAACGTGAAATAATTAAATCAAGCCAATTAAATCTATTCATCACCTCAAATATTTGACATTTGTGGTGATGAGAACATTTGAGATTTCCTCTCTTAGCAATTATTAGCTCGATAGCACTCAATTATTAGTTCTATTTACCATGTTGTGCAATAGATCTCAAAAAAAAAATCAGACTTGTTCTATCTGACTGAGACTTTGTACCATTGATCATTATCTCCCATTTCCCCCACCCTCTGCCCCCGTAACCACCATTCTCCTCTCTGATTCTATGAGTTCAATTGTATCAGACTCTACACAGAAGTGAGAATATGCGGTGTTTGTTTTTCTGTGTTTGGCTTATTTCACTCAGCATAAATGTTCTTCAGTTTCATGGCTGTTGTCACAAATAACCATTTCTTCCTTGTTTAAAGGTGAATGGTGGCCAGGCGCGGTGGCTCACGCCTGTAATCCCAGCACTTTGGGAGGCTGAGACGGGCGGATCACGAGGTCAGGAGATCGAAACCATCCTGGCTAACATGGTGAAACCCTGTCTCTACTAAAAATACAAAAAAATTAGCCGGGTGTGGTGGCGGGCGCCTGTAGTCCCAGTTACTCGGGAGGCTGAGGCAGGAGAATGGCATGAACCTGGGAGATGGAGCTTGCAGTGAGCAGAGACTGCGCCATTGCACTCCAGCCTGGGCGACAGAGCAAGACTCCGTCTCAAAAAAAAAAAAAAAGTGAATAGTATTCCACTGTGTATATACCGCATTTTTTCTTATCTATTCAGCCATCGATGGACCCTTAGTTTGATTCCATATCTTGACTATTGTGAATAGTGCTGCAACGAACACAAGAGTGCAGATAACTCTTCAACATGCTGATTTCAAATACTTTGGATAAATATCCAGGAGTGGGATAGCTGAGTCACTGTCAGCTGTTAAACACGTCCTGGCAATTTGGGGCTTGCTATTACAGGGGTTCTTGTTTGGCTTCCTGGACAGCTTGTTGGATAGTGGCCTGACTTCCTTCAAGTCTGACTTACAGCAGGCTGGCTTCCTGGGCTGGTTGCTGTAGACAGCAGGTTGGCCTCCTGAACTAGGCTGCAGGTTGTGAGAAAGATCTTTTTTTATACATAATCTGCCCATTGTCTATTTGCATTTTCAGTCTCTCACTACTGATATCTCTGGTCAGAAACCAGTGTCCTGCTTAATGCTAAGACTCTAGAAACAAGAAAAGTCAAGAACAAGAATGTAAACTCCACATCACTTCTTTATTTAATATCGTCCTGGAAGCAAATGCAGTTAAACAGGAAGTAAAATGGAAGATGTGAAACTTGGTCAGGAAGAGACTAAATTACCACTGTTGGCAGATGATATTTAAAAACAGGGGTGGTGGCTCATGCCTGTAATCCCAACACTTTGGGAGGCTGAGGCGGGTGGATCACGAGGTCAAGCAATCGGGACCATCCTGGCCAACATGGTAAGACCCTGTCTCTACTAAAAATACAAAAATTAACTGGGCATGGTGGTGCATGCCTGTAGTCCCAGCTACTCGGGAAGCTGAGGCAGGAGAATTGCTTGAACCTGGGAGGCAGAGGTTGCAGTGAGCCGAGATTACACCAGGGCATTCCAGCCTGGACGACAGAGCGAGACTCTGTCTCAAAAAAAAAAAAAAGAATATATATATACAGGTTATTATTACTATTATTCCGAGATGGGGATTGTGGAAGATTGTATTTTCCAGAGATGTTCACAGAATCAACGTCTCTCCTCCCAACTCTTCTGTGTGTGACCATGTCAGACCAGCCATTGAGACTCTTATAACCCACAGAGTATGGGAGTACTAATGGTGACTGACTTCAGAGGCAAGGCCAGAAATACCCCATGCAGTTTTCTCCTGGTTTTCTCAGTGCACTCACTCTTTCTTGAGATTCAGCTGCCCACTGTGAGAAGCCACCTGTTGGTGCTGTAGCTGACAGTCCCACCAGAGCCCAGCCTTTGAGCAGCAGGCCTGTGAGTGGAGAAGCCTTCAATCCTGCCTCTGTTTTTTTTTTTTTTTTTTTTTTGAGATGGAGTTTCGTTCTGTCGCCCAGGCTGGGGTGCAGTGGCCTGGCCTGATCTCGGCTCACTGCAAGCTCCGCCTCCCGGGTTCACGCCATTCTCCTGCCTCAGCCTCCTGAATAGCTGGGACTACAGGTACCCGCCACCACACCTGGCTAATTTTTTGTATTGTTAGTAGAGACGGGGTTTCACCATGTTAGCCAGGATGGTCTCAATCTCCTGACCTCGTGATCCACCTGCCTCGGCCTCCCAAAGTGCTGGGATTACAGGCGTGAGCCACTGTGCCCGGCCTCTTTTTGTTTTTTTAAAGTCCTCCCAACTGAGGGCCTGGACATCAGGGAAAAGAAATGAGCCACCTGTGGGCTTCACCATAGTGGCTCAAAGCAAAAGCACTTCTAAATGACAGTATTTCTTGGCTTGATCTTGAGGTGCCGCTGCTGTGGGCAGTGTTAGCCCTGCTACATGGTGGCTCCTGAGAGGCCAGGGTGCAGCTGCAGATCCCAGCTTTACAGCTGCCCCAAGAGTCAGGGAGGGCACAGAGCATGGGGCTGCAGCAGGAGCCTGAGTTGGTCTGTAAGGTTGTTTTCCAGGAATGCCGGGGCTGATGGAATTGGACCCCTGGTTGTCCAGTTTTGGTGGAAGTAAAGTGTATTGGGCTGCTTTGGGACAAAGGGTCTTAGAGCCCCTGGGGACCATGGGGCCAGGGAAGCCCTACTGGAAGTTAGTATCTAAGTAATTGTAGCAGGTCTTAATGGTGGATTGTCCACGAGGTGGGCACCCTTGGTGTTCCCAATCTGTAGATGAAAAACCGAGGTTTAGAAACCTGCCCATGGCCGCAGAACCCCACTATGGAGCCATGTTTTCAATCATGATGTCTGTAGAGGGTCACTGGGAGACTTTTTAAAAAGAAATTGACAAAATAATTCCAATTTCATCTTGAAGAATAGACAGGTGAATATGCAGCAGAGTTGCATCTTACAGATCTGTGTTGACAGTGAACTTGCAATTAGGAAATATGTGGAAAAAATTACTACTGCAAACCCCTGTATCAGGTTTCCATCACCAAGACAGGCTCCCTGCAGCACAAAAGTAAGGAATAATAAGGAAAGGCATTCCTCTATCCATTGTTTTCATTTTATCTTCAACTCATGTGTCATATTTTCTTTTTTTTTCTTTTTGTTTTCTGAGACAGGGTCTCACTCTGTCACCCAAACTGCAGTGCAGTGGAGCAACCTCAGCCCATTGCAGCCTCAGACTCCCTGGGCTCAAGCAATACTCCAACTTCAGCCTCCTGAGTAACTGGGACTATAGGCATGTGTGCCACCATGCCTGGCTAATTATAGTCCCCCTCCCCTCCCCTCCCCTCCACTCCCTTCCCCTCCCCTCCGCTCCCCTCCCCTCCCCTCTTTGACAAGCGTCTCACTCTGTGCCCAGGCTGGAGTGCAGTGGCGCGATCTCGGCTCACTGCAACCTCTGCCTCCCAGGTTGAAGCGATTCTCCTGCCTCAGCCTCCCGAGTAACTGGGACTACAGGCGCTCGCCACCACACCCGGCTAATTTTTTGTATTTTTAGTAGAGACGGGGTTTCCCCATGTTAGCCAGGATGGTCTTGATCTCCTGACCTTTGACCTTGTGATCCACCTGCCTCGGCCTCCCAAAGGGCTGGGATTACAGGCGTGAGCCACTGCACCCGGTTTATAGTCCCATTTTCATAGGTGAAGTGTGTGCTGGATGCAGTTCCACTGTGGCTGGGAAAGTCTTACTTAGAGGTAGCACTGTGACGTGGACCTGGCCATACATCCTGGGGATGCGCCCCCACTTTGATAATCTCCCCTAAGAGTGGGACTGTTCCTGTGGATTAGGTCCCCCCTCTAGCTCTGATGTTCTGTGATTCCAAAGGGCAATTCCCAGGACTCCTTCACTCTAGTTAGGGCTGTCAGCTCCCAGTTCTCCGTGTGCTTTCTCATGTAATAGAGGGATAAAACACAGAAGCATTCATTCTGTTTCATAGAAGGATGAAATTAGAGATTCTCACATGATTTAAATAGTGCTTTTGATAGAAAAAGTTTTTAAATCTTTCCTTTTGTGGTGAAGGAAGGGATAAACAGGAAAAACAATGAACAGAAATAGAACCATAATTTGTAAAATTTCCCAGAAAATATGGAAAAAATTGCAACTCCCCTTGAAAACAAAATAATACAAATTTAAAGTACCCCAAAAAGAAGGGGGCAAAGAAGTACATAAAGATACTGGGCCCAGTAGGGGGCTCACATCTGTAATCCCAGCACTTTGGGAGGCCAAAGTGGGAGGATCACTTGGGCCCAGGAGTTTGAGACCAGCCTGAGCAACATAGTGAGACTCTGTCTCTCCAAAATTTTTTAAAAAATTTAGCTGGGTGTGGTGGTGCACGTCTGTAATCCCAGCTACTCGGGAGGCTGAGGTGGGAGGATCACTTGAGCCTGGGAGGTTGAGGCTGAGGTGACCCATGATTGAGCCACTGCACTCCAGCCTGGGCAATAGCATAAGATGCTGTCTCAAAAAAGAGAGAGAGAGAGAGAGAGAGAGAGAGAGAAATACTGTTCCACACTGTTTCAGTTAGCTCATTTTGTAAATGAAACCAATCCAATTGTCCCATAGACAGTCTTTGGATAAACATAGAAACCGACCCTGGTCTTAAAGCTTGAAACTTACTTTGTTTTATCTGAGTTCCTTCCTCAGGAAAAGACCCCCAGGCCTCTCTAAAAGTATCAAAGAACTGAAACTCACCAGATCGCCACATCCAGACAATGAGACTGTCTTATTTATCATGATTATTTCCTTACCCCTCCCAAGTTCCTGTTTTCTCAGACATTGTTACCTTTTCCCCTGCTATATAAACCCCTAATATGAGTTGGTCAGGGAGATGGATCTGAGACTGAACTCCCATTGCCTTGGCAGCAGCACCTGGTTCAAGCTTTTTTCTTGGTAATACTCATCATCTCAGTCATTGGCTTTCTGTGCTGAGAGCAGCAGGACCTAGGCTGAACCTCTGATGTTTTGGTAACATAAAGAATAATATTCTTTTTCTTTTTGAGACATAACATAAAGAATAATATTCTTTTTCTTTTTGAGACAGAGTTTCGCTCTTGTCCCCTAGGCTGGAGTGCAATGGCACGATATCGGCTCATCACAACCTCCACCTACCAGGTTCAAGCGATTCTCCTGCCTCAGCCTCCCAAGTAGCTGAGATTACAGGCACCTGCCACCATGCCCTGCTAATTTTTGTATTTTTAGTAGAGACGGGGTTTCTCCATGTTGGCCAGGCTTGTGTTGACCTCCTTACCTCAAGTGATCTGCCTGCCTCGGCCTCCCAAAGTGCCAGGATTACAGGCATGAGCCACCACGCCCAGCCCAAGAATAATACTCTGTGTTGATGTGGTAAACTTGATAAAAACACGTTGTTGTTGGCAACTTTGCAAAACCACTCTGCAAAGCAATTTGACAATATGTATTCTTCGTAATACAACATATGGGTATAACAATAGCATATAATAATCACAAATGCACTCTAAGATCAACAATTTTATATTTATTATTTCACTTAATTTTTACAATAATGCTGTGAGGTGAGTACCCTTACGTGTCCTGTATTACAGATTAAGCTCAGAGACATTAGTTATGAGCCCTAGGCCACACAGCTAAGGGAGGTGCAGCTGGGATTTAAAGGCTCAAAGAATTTGGAGACTGTTACCCTTTAACTCTTACTGACTTAGATCTATCTGTATTCCAAACCACTAAATAGCAAATCAAACAAACAAGTAATTTGATCATTCAGCTTTGTAAAAGAACCACACAATGTTATTGGTATATGAGAGAAATAAAATATAAAGTGATGGAGGCCGGGCACGGTGGCTCACGCCTGTAATCCCAGCACTTTGGGAGGCTGAGGCGGGCAGATCACGAGGTCAGGAGATCGAGACCATCCTGGCTAACACAGTGAAACCCGATCTCTACTAGAAATACAAAAAATTAGCTGGGCATGGTGGTGGACACCTGCAGTCCCAGTTACTCGGGAGGCTGAGGAAGGAGAGTGGCGTGAACCCGGGAGGCGGAGGTTGTAGTGAGCCAAGATCGTGCCACTGCACTCCAGCCTGAGCGACAGAGCAAGACAGTCTCAAAAAACAAAACCAATAAATAAATAAATAAATAAAAAGCCAAAACCATAAAGTGATGGAAAATAAAGGATTTCCTAGGGGTAATTTAAAACAATTCAATTCCACTTAGAAATGTAAATGGGAGGAAGGTTAACACTATAGAATAAATAAAGGATACATTTTATAAAAAGCGCAGTTGCAGAAGTACTGCATGTTGTTGGTAACACTGCTGCATGTCCCTCAGCACTCACTCTCACTTTCTGGGGAGAATTTAAATTACCTTGTGCGATGGCTGAATTGCGTGCCCCTAAAAATTCCTATGTTGAGGCCCTAATCCCCAGGACCTCAGTGGATGTATGTGGAGACAGGGTTTTTACAGAGGTAATCAACTTACAGTGAGATCATACTGGTGGGTCCTAACTAACATGACAGGTGTCCTACAAGAAGAGGAGATGAGGACACAGACAGAGGGACAGCCACGTGCGGACACAGGGAGAAGACACCGCCTGCAAGCCAAGGGGAGAGGTCTCAGGAAAAATATCCTTGCCGACACCTGGCTCTCAGACCTGCAGCCTCCAGAACTGTGAGAAAGTAAATGTCTGTTGTTTCAGCCACCCAGCCTGTGGGCCCACGTTGCAGCTGCTCTAGACACCAATGCCCTTTGCATCCATGTGTGCTGGTGAGGCACCGTGCCACCTGGGGCCATTCCCTCGTCCTCTCTGCAGCCCTCGCCCCAAACTCTCTCTGCCTAACGGGTCTGGCCAGCATGTGAGACGGAGCATTTTCCCTCAGTGTTCTGCACTGTTGCATGAATTCTAAAGCACCAGCATTTGGGAGAAAGCAAGGGGGAGTGACAGCTATGGTGCCCATCATTTAGTTGACAATAATAAGGTGCAAGCCAGAGCAAACGTGTGCTCCTCAGCACGGGGACTTGCACCCGTGCTGCAGCCTGCCTTGATTTCCTGGAGTCTGGCATATTTCACTCTGTGAGCAGGAAACCGGCTAACCAATCGGCTGCAGCGCTCTCTACATTAGTATCATGCTACCTGGAAATACATAAGCCTGCCTCGTCATCAATAAGACAATTCAAGATGTCGTCAAAAGAGGGGCCTGTTTTCTTTTTACCGATAAATGTTATTCATTGTCAGCTCATGGGTACTGAGGGGGCTTCGTGCTTCACAGCCCAATCCCTCTGAGTAGACTGCATTTTTTTGTTTTGATAAAATTAGGAAAGTAATCAGCAGAGCTCCTGACTTTGTCCCTCTTTTTTTTTGAGCTGTGTTGTTTGAGAAAGTGCTTGAGCACTGAGGTTGTTGGCAACTGTGGAAGCATTTTGGAAACAAATAATAAAAAAAACATAATAAACACTTTTGTTTACATGTCCTAGCTTTATGGAATCTGAAGAAGACAAAGGACCCACTCACATGTTGGGCACTTGCTTTAAAACCTTACTCTTGGCTGGGCGCGGTGGCTCATGCCTGTAATCCCAGCACTTTGGAAGGTCGAGGCAGGCGGATCACTAGGTCAGGAGATCAAGACCATCCTGGCTAACACAGTGAAAACCCGTCTCTACTAAAAATACAAAAAATTAGCCGGGCGTGGTGGTGGGCGCCTGTAGTCCCAGCTACTCGGGAGGCTGAGGCAGGAGAATGGCGTGAACCCAGGAGGCGGAGCTTGCAGTGAGCCGAGATCGCACCACTGCACTCCAGCCTGGGCAACAGAGCAAGACTCTGTCTCAAAAACAAAACAAAACAAACAAACAAACAAAACCTTACTCTTTAGTAGTCGGCTTCATGGGCTGACAGCTGCACTGTTTCTCAGGGCCCAGCCCTCAGAAGGCCCATGCTTGGCTTAATACTCTGCTATCACCATCTTGAAATTCTTAATAATTTTGAACAAGGGGCCCCCACATTTTCATTTTGCACTCAGTCACGAATTATGTAGCTAGTCCTGCTCTTTAACCAGGAGCCAGAGATACGGTCTCCAAAAGGAACATACCTATTTACTAAGTGAAAGAAGCTAATTTGGAAAGGCTATATGGTTCCAACCCTCTAACATTCTGGAAAAGGCAAAACTATGGAGACAGTAAAAAAAAAGATTAGAGATGAATCAGTCAAGCATAGAGGATTTTTAAGACAGTGAAGCTAGTCTGTGGGATACCGCAGTGGTGGACACATCATTATACATTTGTCCAAGCCCACAGAATGTACAATGCCAAGAGTGAACCCCGGTGTCAACCACGGATTTGGGTGATGATGTGTCAGTGTAGGTTCATCAATGGTAACAGATGGACCACTCTGTGGGGGATGTTGACAATGGGAGAGGCTGTGTGTCTATAGGGCAGGGGAGATATGGGAATGCTCTGTATTTTCTGCTCCTTTTTGCTGTGAACCTGAAACTGCTCTAAAAAAATAAAGTTTACTATAAACAAAAAGAACAATGCACCAATGAGGATCTGGGAATGACAACGTGAGGGTTGTTGTGCAAATGGTCAAATCCGACACCTACAGGGTGAGAACCGGGAGAAGGAGGGCAGAGATCCAGCATCAGGACACGCCTGACCCCAGTTCTGCAGGCTGTGGGGATAATAGAGCTGTCTGCTTTGACGGGGCCAGACCTTGCAGTCCAGTAACCATGCAGGCTGTCCCGACGCCCGTGTCTGCCAAATCTCACTTTTTCCCGGCAACAGGCCAGGTCATACCAGCCGAGAGACTTTTCCGGGAGGCTGAAGGCACACCTTCCTTGTGAAGAATGCTGAGCAGTTGTAGAGTTTGTTTCTTTTAAACACGAAATTGCTGAGGATAAACATGAAATGTTTTATTTATTTAAAAAAATGTTTTTCCTTGTTGCGGTTCCTATTTTTCCTTGTTGTGGTTCCTATTACCCAAAGGATTGGGTTTGCTTTTTTTTTTTTTTTTTTTTGCTGGCATTTCAGGGAACTCTCATTTACAAGCAAAACTCATGCTTTAAGTTTTAGAACAAATCCAGACAGACTGCCATTGGGGTTTACCGGTCTTTAAAAACCAGTGATTTATTTAATGTTGTTGATGAAAACCTAGCTTCCAAAATGTTTTCTTGTGAGATGATTGCTTGGTCTTAGTTTCTAGAAGGCTGAGTTTCTCCACCACTCAATCATGTGCAATGACCTCACCCTTTCATCTGCCCAGGAAGGGAAACCGACTCCAGTGTCCATAGAGACAAGCAAGGGAGTCTGGCTCTCATTTCCTGACTTGCAGAGAATCCGGCTGGCTGCCCCTGGTTTCAGTGGGACTGCTCAAAGCTGAGAGCTCAATTTCAGCAGGAAATGCAGAATCAGCATTAAGAAAGCCAATGTTTCCCAAATTCCAATCAGACAGTGAGTTTCAAATGCTGTATAGTCATGCAGTAGTTTTTGAATAGAAAGCAAGCAAGCATTAAGACAGCAGAAAAGACTATTTTCCAATCTATGAGGTTTGTGTTGCCAAAGGGAGAGAGAGTGCAAGGTTATTCTGGTAACTTAGGAAGTATAAGTGACTGAAGATAACCATTTGTGCATGCTGAGGGGCTTGGTCTGTACAATCCAGCAGGCAAGCATGCTTTCATTGTGTTATCCAGACACTTGAGGCTAAAAAACATGTAGGCCAGGCGCAGTGGCTCACGCCTGTAATCCCAGCACTTTGGGAGGCCGAGGCAGGTGGATCACCTGAGGTCAGGAGTTTGAGACCAGACTGGCCAACATGGTGAAACCCTGTCTCTAACAAAAATACAAAAATTAGCTGGGTGTGGTGGTGGGCGCCTGTAATCCTAGTTACTTGGGAGGCTGAGGCAGGAGAATCGCTGAACCCGGGAGGCAGGAGAATTGCTGAACCCGGGAGGCAGAGGTTGCAGTGAGCTGAGATGGCGCCACTGCACTCCAGCCTGGGCGACAAGAGCAAGATTCTGTCTCAAAACAAAACAAACAAACAAACAAAATCCAACCTTGACTTCTCAGTACCTTGCGTTGTAATCCTGCACAGACTGAGGAGAGATCACGAGCACACAGAAACATTTGGGGTTCTAGGGCATTGAGGCCTGCAAAACAGCTGCCTTGTCTGATGCTCAGGGAGGTTGGGCCGTGCCCTTGGCCATCCACATTCCTTCCTTTACCAGGCTGACATCCCACTGGCAACACCTGGACTGCAGGCTGGTGCGCACCACCTCTGCCCCCTCCACACTTCTCTCTTTGGGTCCCTGTCCCGCTCCAGCACTTACTGCCTCTCCTGGTGGAGCACTTTTTCCTGGACAGTGTCCTGAGGACATCTGGAGAAAGCCCCTGCCCTTCTGAGATCACTTTCTACACCTGCACAATGAGAAAGTGGCACCTGAAGCTACCTACCTGTTCTAAGACATTAACAGGTTTTGAAACCATCAGGTTAGATCCATGGCAATTTCTGGGGAACCCATAGGCACCCCACGAACTCTGCCTTGTTGGAGGAGCTAAGTGAAGAGTTCTGGTTACAGCTGAATGTCCAGGTCAACTCCAGAGGCCCCCCACAGACAGTGGGCTTTCCTCCTGTGTTTGTTTTCTCAGGTTTGCAGCCCACACTGCTCTGAGCAAATATAAACCTGCTATTTGTCCAATGCTTTAAATCCCAACAACATTCCCAGATTAAACATCATACATACTCAAGTGACGGTGATTTGAGATTGGCCAAGCTGGCAGAATCTAGTTTAACAGTGGAGGGCGTTGGGGTGCAATGGAGAGAATTCAGACTTGGAGTCAAGGGAAAGTCAGCTGTAATGTGAACAATCTTCTTGGCCTTCTGCAGGTGTTACTTCCTTTGTGCCGTATTTTCCTTTCCAGCCAAATAGGAACTCCTTTATAGGGTTGTTAGGAGGCTCAATAGTCACGTCTTTTTTTTTTTTTTGAGTTACAGCCTCACTCTGTCATCCAGGCTGGAGTGCAGTGGCACGATCTCAGCTCACTGCAACCTCTGCCTCTTGGATTCAAGCGATTCCCCTGCCGCAGTCTCCTGAGTAGCTTGGATTACAGGCTCCCGCCACCATGCCTGAGGCTGTTTCTCTGCTCAGGTCCCAGTGGCTGGTCTAGTTCCTCCACATACTTATGGTAACTTGGTCCTTTCCCTTACACTATTTTTGCGTGTTTCCTTTACAACTAAGAGTTCTACTCATGCGATATTTTAGTAAGGCAAAATATCTGGTCAATTGAACACACCCAATCCTGTAGTGAGACAAGTGCATCAGGGTGGAAAGATCTAGCTTTCAAGTTTGTCCAATGTATGGCATTTCACATTTTTATTTTCTTTTATTTTGAGACAGGGTATTGCTGCCACCCAGGCTGGAGTGCAGTGGCATGATCTCGGCTCACTGCAACCTCTGCCTCCTAGGCTTAAGCAATCTTCCCACCTCAGCCTCCTGAGTAACTGGGACCACAGGCACGTGCCACTCCACACCCAGCTAATCTTTCTTTCCTTCTTCTTTTTTTTTGAGACAGGATTTTGGCACGTTGCCCAGGCTGGTCTTGAACTCCTGGGCTCAAGTGATCTGCCTGCCTTGGCCTCCCAAAGTGCTGAGATTACAGGCATGAACCACCACGCATGGCCTCAAATTTTAATCTTTGAACACATTCCTAAGAAAGAAATACATTTGACATTGGGACTTGCTTTCAATGCACATGCACACACAGACACACATGGGAACATACAAAACACTTCATGATTTTTAAAAATTTAGAGATGGGGTCTCACCATGTTGCCCCAGCTGATCTCAAACTCCTGGCCTCAAGTGATCCTCCTGCCTTGGCCTCTCAAAGTGCTGGAATTATAGGCATGAGCCACTGTAACTGGCTGAAAACACTTTGATGCATGTTTGATGAGACCATATTTTTTACACTACGTCTCATTCTATCCTATTAGATTCCACTAGCAAAGGTAGTTGTTAACCTACTAAATCAATTCTGTTTAGTTGGATCGATTAATGGTTGTGATCTGCAGTTTGAAAAACACTGCTCAAATTATCTCTTTTTTGACGTTCCCCCAAGAGAAATATTGTGTCTCGTGACACTTTCTTCCAGGGAGAAAATTGGCACACCAGCCAACACGAGTATTTCTGCCTATTTGGAATCTATTTCTCATCACAGAAGATCAAACTGGGCTTCTGCGTACAGTGAGCTCACAGCCTCTGTGAGTTTAGTCACACAAGACTCTCCTGGGAGACCGAGCATTTACAAAATTGAATTTCTGACTCTGCAAAGCTGAGGACCCAGCCAGGACTTGGGTTCCCTCTCAGTCTGGGTATGTGCACATGGTGAACATCATCAATGCTTTGTTTTAATGTCATCTTCCCTAGGTACCCTTCTGTTATGAACTGAACTGTGCCTCCCCAAAATTCATCTGTTGGAGCCCTAACCCTAGTACATCAGAATATGACTGTATTTGGAGACAGGGTCTTTTAAGAGGCGATTAAGTTGAAATGAGGTCATATGAGTGGACCCTAATCCAATCCGACTAGTGTCCTTGTAAGAAGAGGAGATTAGGACACAGAAACATAGGCATGACCATGTGAGGACACAGGGAGAAGACAACTGTCTACAAGCCAGGGAGCAAGGCTTCAGGAGAAACTAATCCTCCTGACAACCTTGATTTCAGATTTCCAGCCTCCAGAACTATGAAAGAATACAGATGTCCCCCAACTTCTGATGCGTTATGTCCTGAAAAACCCATTACAAGTTGAAAAGACCATAAGTTAAAAATGTATTTCAGGCTGGGTGTGGTGGCTCACGCCTGTAATCCCAGCACTTTGGGAGGCCGAAGTGGGCAGATCACCTGAGGTCAGGAGTTTGAGACCAGCCTGCCCAACATGGTGAAACCCATCTCCACTAAAAATGCAAGAAATTAGCCAGGCACGGTGGTGTGCACCTGTAATCCCAGCTATGTGGGAGGCTGAGGCATGAGAATTGCTTGAACCTGGGAGGTGGAGGTTGCAGTGAGCTGAGATCACGCCACTGCACTCCAGCCTGGGTGACAGAGTGAGACTCCATCTCAAAAAAAAAAAAATATGTTTCAAACAATAACATACTGAGCATCATAGCTTAGCCTAGCCTACCTTAAACATGCTCGGAACACTTCCATTAGCTTACAATTGGGCAAAGTTATCTAACACAAAGCTTGTTTTGTAATAGTTGAATATCTCATGTAATTTATTGAATACTGTATTGAAAGTGAAAAACAGAATGATTGTAGGGGTACTCAAAGTACAATTTCTACTGAATTTGATACCAGTGGGCTGGGGGAGGTCCCCAAACACTGGTGGGACCAGATGAGGAACCCCAGCTGATGTCCAGGCTCTTAACATTGTTTGGAGAATGACTTCAAGGCTGGGTTAGAAAATAGTGAAAGTAGAGATTTATGGTAAAGGGAAAAGTACACACTCAAGAAAAGGGAGTGCACGTGTACTCAAGAGAGTCACGCAAAAGGGAGTTTGGGACTGCTGCCTTTATGAATTTCTGTAACCAAGGGGTGGAATATCCATGAAGATTCCTGGAAAAAGGTGGAGATTTCTTGGAACTGTGGTGCCACCCATTTGTACACCAAATATGGGGATTCTCAGAACCGTCATAACACCGGTGGGTATATGATTTAGAATGTTAATGAACATATAATGAGGTCCTAGGTGAAACCTAGGTCAAATCCAGCACCATGTTGGGTCCAGAAGGTTTTAGCTAGCTTGGTCTATACCCTGGGTTTTCAGAGTCTTATCAGCCTATAGCTGCTGCAGCTATTTCAACAGTTTCTTTTTGCTAGTCATGTGAAACTTCTGCCTGGAATGTTCTATTCTCCTGTGACTACCCTGTATTATTCCTATTTAAAATGATGGTGTGCATATTGCTTTCTCACCATCATAAAGTAGAAAAATTGTAAATTGAACCATCATAAGTTGGGAATCATCTGTGTGTTTCTATTTAAGCTGCCCAGGGTGGTACTTTGTTATGGTAGCCTGAGCTGACTTGTAGGCCTTCCTAGGTCTTTCCACAGGCATTTAAGAGTTGTCTGCTCTCCCCCTTTCCCTGGCTTCTGCCAAGTTCCCACAACACTTCATTCCTATCTCAGTTGTTGAAATTGCCATGCTATATCTTATTTATTTATGTGTGACAATAAATTACTGTAGGTTGTACTCATATCTTGGTGTAGAATAGTTTGTCAACAAATGCTTGTTTGGTTGAACTCAAAATATAAAATCTAAGAACAAATATTATGTCCTTCAAGATTGTCTCATAATTTCATTATAAAATGCTTTTCTTTCTTGAAGCAGACTCACCTTCATATCCAATGTATATTTGTATTAGTCCATTCTGACACTGCCATAAAGAACTACCTGAGACTGAGTAATTTATAAAGAAAATAAGTTTAATTGACTCACAGTTCCACAGACTGTACTGGAGGCATGGCCAGGGAGGCCTCAGGGAACTTACAATCGTGGATGAAGGGCAAAGGGGAAGCAAGCACATCTTCAAATGGTGGCAGGAGAGAGAGAGGGAGAGAGAGAGAACGGGGAAGTGCTATACACTTTTAAACAACCAGATTTCATGAGAACTCACTCACTATCATGAAAACTGCAAGGGAGAAATTCGCCCCCCGATCCAATTACCTCTTACCAGGTGCCTCCTCCAACATTGGGAATTATAATTCAACATAAGATTTGGGTAGGGACACAGAGCCAAACCATATCATTCCACCCCTGACCCTTCCATAATCACATATCCTTTTCACGTTTCAAAACACAATCAAGCCTTTGCAACAGTGCCCCAAAGTCTTAACTCATTCCAGCATTAACTCAAAAGTCCAAGTCCAAAGTCTCATCTGAGACAAAGCAGGTTCCTTCTGTCACTTCAGTTCCCTTTTGAGCCTATAGAATAAAAAAAACAAGCTAGTTACTTCCAAGATACAATGGGGATTCAGGCATTGGGTAAATTCCCCCTTTCCAAATGGGAGAAATTGGCTCAAACAAAGGGGCCCATGTAAGCCCAAAACCCAGCAGGGCAGTCATTAAATCTTAAAGCTCCAAAATTATCTTTTTTTGACTCCATGTCTCACATCCAGGCCACACTGATGTAAGGGGTGGACTCCTGAGGTTTTGGGCAGCTCTGTCCCTATGGCTCTGCAGGGTACAGCCCCTGTGGCTACTTTCACAGATTGGCATTTAGTACCTGTGGATTTTTCAGGTGCACAGTGCAAGCTGTCGATGGAGCTACCATTCTGGTGTCTGGATAGTGGTGGCCCACTTCTTACAGCTCCAGTAGGCAGTGCCCCAGTGGAGACTCTGTGTGGGGACTCTGACCCCACATTTCCCCTCCCCATTGTCCTGGTCAAGGTTCTTCATGAGGGCTTCACCCCTGCAGCAGACTTCTGCCTGGACATCCATGCATTTCCATACATCCTCTGAAATCTAGGCAGAGGCTCTCAAACCTCAACTCTTGTCCTCTGCATACCTGCAGACCCAACACCACATGTAAGCTGCCAAGGGTTGGTGCTTTCACCCTCTGAAGCAATGGCCCAAACTGTACCTTGGCCCCTTTTAGCCATAGCTGGAGCTGGAGTGGCTCCATAGAACAATGCACCATGTCCTAAGGCTGCACAGAGCAATGGGGTCCTAGGCCTGGCCCACAAAACGATTTTTCCATCCTCAGCCTCCAGGCCTGTGATGGGAAGGGCTGCCACAAAGGTCTCTGAAATATGTCTGAAAGGTCTCTGGAGGCATTTTCCCCATTGTCTTGGCTATTAATATTCGGCTCTCTTTACTTATGCAAATTTCTGCAACCTTGAATTCTTCCCCAAAAAATGGGTTTTTCTTTTCAAACCACATGGTCAGGCTGCAAAATTTTCAAACTTTTACACTCTGCTTCACTTTTAAATATAAGTTACAGTTTTAGATAATCTCTTTGCTCATGCATATAAGTGTATGCTGTTATAAGGAGCCAGGTTACTTCCTGAATGCTTAGAAATTTCTTCCACCAGATACCCTAAATCATTTCTCTCAAGTTCAAAGTTCTACAGATCCCTAGAGTGGGGGCACAATGCTGCCAGTCTCTTTGTTAAAGCATAGCAAGAGTGACCTTTGCTCTAGTTTCCAATAAGTTCCTCATCTTCAATGGAGACCACCTCAGCCTGGGACTTCACTGTTCACATCACTATCAGCATTTTGGTCACAACCATTCAACAAGTCTCTAGGAAGTCCCAAACTTTCTCTCATCTCCCTGTCTTCTTCTGATCCCTTCAAACTGTTCCAACCTCTGCCCATTATGCAGTTCCAAGTTGCTTCCACATTTTCAGGTATGTTTATAGCAATGCCTCACTTCTCTGGTACCAATTTTCTGTATTAGTCCATTCTCACACTGCTATAAAAAACTACCTGAGAATGGCAAATGTATAAAGAAAAGAGGTTTAATTGTCTCACAGTTCCAGAGGCTGTATCAGAGTCATACCTGGGGAGGCTTCAAGGAACTTACAATCATGGAGGAAGGCAAAGGGGAAGTAAGAATATCTTCACATGGCGGCAGGAGAGAGAGAGAGTGAAGGGGGACGTGTCAGACACATTTAAACCATCAGATCTCATGAGAACTCACTATCATGGAACAGCAAGGGGAAAAACTGCACCCATGATCCAATCACTTCCTACCAGGTCCCTCCCCCAACACTGAGAATTACAATTCAACATGAGATTTGGGTAGGGACATGGAGCCAAACCATATCAATATTTTATTATTATTATTATTTTAGACACAGGGTCTCTGTGCAGTGCAGTGGTGCAATTATGGCTGACTGCATCTTCAAACTCTTGGGCTCAAGTGATACTCCTGCCTCAGTCTCCTGAGTAGCTAGGACTACAGGCATGCAAAAACATGCCCAGCTAATCTTGGCCAGATGGTAGCAATCAGGAGAGTGCATGCATCTGGCCAAATCCCACCAATTCAACATGCTGTGAGGACTAAGGGTCTAGTTAAATTTTGGGAGGATCAATTGCAAATAGCCAGAGGTTTCTGGGTCATGTTACTTGTTAGTCATAGCAACAAATGACATGATCAGTGCCTATATATAAATTTATTCTAGGTTTACAGGAATAGCAAATGCTCTTCACACTCACACTATCATAATTAGTTATTTGAACACACTGAACACAGTCCCTGCAAAGCCATCTCTGCCTCTGTTCTTTTCCCACAGGTTCCCTTTCCCTCTTGCTCCTCTGCAAGCTGCCTCTGCCCTGAGGACCGTCCCTGCTGGAGGTGGTGTCCTCCCTGCTGGCCACCCGTCTGGATGTGGTAGCTGTGTCCTTTGCTCCTTATTGCTGCTTCCAGATCTTTCCCTCTCCTTCCTCTCTAAAACCTGCTGAGTCTCTTGTCAGCAATGCCAACACCTGCCCTTTTCTTGCTACAGCTGTCTCCAGACCTTGGTTGAATCTCTCTCATTCGTGGCACACGCTCATACTCTCCACTACCACTACTGTCCTGATTTCTCTGGTTCTAGCGTTCACATCAATGGCCTGGCCTCAGCTCCGGCATCCTCTCCTCCAGTGATCTTCCACCTAGACTCAGAGACTGAACAAACTCCTCAATGTCATGTCCTGCCCAGCACCCTCAACCTCATGTCCTACCGGACATCTCCCACATTTTCATATCTCCCTCGTTTCCACAACTTTCACATTTTCACTTCCCTCAGCTACTCATAGACACGCTCATGTCCTTAGCAAGGACTTCTCACCCAGCTTGGTGTCCTTGGGTCAGGATCTAATTACTCCATGCCTGACTTAGCCCACTGGGGCTGCTATATCACAATACCATAGACCGGGTGCCTTATAAACAATAAACATTTATTTCTCACAGTTCTGGAGGCTGGAAGTCCAAGATCAAGGTGCTGGCTGGAAGTTCAAGATCAAAGATTCCCTGACCGGTGAGGTCCTGCTTCCTGATTCATAGTCAGTGCCTCTGGCTGTTTCTTCACTTGCTGGAAGGGGCAAGGGAGCTCTCTTGGGGTCCCTTTTACAAGGGCACTAACCTAAATTTTTGCAGGTCCCACACTCATGACCTCATCTAATCCTATTACTTCTTAAAGGTTCTTGAAACTATGACATTAGGCAGTAGGGTTTCAACATATGAATTTGGGGAAGAGACATTCAGTCCGTGACATTCCACCCTTGGCCCCAGCAAATTCATGTCCTTCTCACCTGTAAAATATATTCATTCCATCCCAACAGCCACCAAAGTCTTAACTGATTCCAAAAGCAACTCTAAAATCAAAAGTCTGGGTCTCGTCTAAATATCGTCTACATTAGCTATGGGTGAGACTCAAGGCACCACTCATCCTGAGGTAAACGTCCCTTCAGCTGTGAACTGTGAAATCAGACAAGTTATGTGCGTCCAAAGTACAATGGTGGAACAGGCACAGGACAGACGTTCCCCTAAGATGGTGCCCCTGTCTCATTCATCATTCTCACCTGGCAAAACCCCACTCCAGCCAGCCTGTTCTCACCTTGACCATGCCTGGCCCTGGATGGGGAAGGACACATTCCGATAGCTGGTCTCACTGAGGTGGCAGTCAGGACCCTCAGTGCTGCCTGTAATCCTATTACTTATGGTTCCTCATTTCCAGTCAGTGACTTTGCTTTCTAGTTCACTGAGGAAACAAACATGGGAAGAGAACTGCAAGTGCTCCATCTCAACACAGACATCCTTCTGGCTCTGTGTATGCCTCCCTGCCTTCCCCAAGTTACTCTTCTGGAAACTTCTGAGCTCCCACCCAGGGACAATTTTACACATGGGAGGGTCCAAGCCCCTCAGCCCATTCCCTCAGGCCATCCCAGCATTGTTCTCCTGAAATCCACCCCTTTCTTTTCCACATCATCTATTTCTTCCTCATCTTTTCCCCCATATCAAAAAAAAATCCCTCTCAGTGGCTGCCCAATATCTTTGCTCCTTGTTACAGAAAAATGCCACAGAATAATTCCCCTCTTGACTTTCTAGTCAGGCGTGAGCCCCACTCCTCACTCCGCTGCTGGCCCTTTTCACCGTGACCGGTCACTCTCATGTCGCTGAAGCCAATGACCAGTCCAAAGCCTCACCTTTGACCTGTCAGGGGACTGGACAGTTGAGACCCTCCCCTTTTAGAGACACTTCCTTCAAAGGGCCTCCAGATCCCCCCTCCTCACTCAATGTCCTGGGTTCTAACACCCACAGAATGTTCTGGAACCATGATTTCCAAAGCTATTTAGGACACTTTCATATGCCACCAGGCTTTTTAGTACATCCTCCCCATTGAGTACAACTCTGAATTGGCAAAGTTAGTTGTCAAGTAGTGCTTAACAATGTGTGGGTTCATGGGTGCCATGTTCCCCAGGGAATATCTGATGGTTGCCTTTGTCCTGGAATGACCTTTTAGCTGGATACCATATTCATGGATTGCTCATCCTTTCTCACAGAGTCTGTGGATTTTGCTCCAATGACTGTTGACTCTGCAAGTAGTTTCAGAGAAGCCCAAAGCATGACCAATTTTACCCTTTGCAAAATACATGGTTTATTTTCCTGGGTGCCTGAAAAAATTCTCTTCTTGTATTTTGAAGTACAATAGTATATCTAGGGTATTTCTCATTGCTGCACAATGTATATATTACTGTTTTTCATGGAACATGAAATATTTTTTGACCTGCAGATTTGAAGTTTCCTCCCTCTTTTGTTTTGTTTTTGAGAGAAGGTCTCACTCTGACGCCCAGGCTGGAGTGCAGTGGCGCAATCTTGGCTCACTGCAACTGCTGCCTCCCAGACTCAAGCAATCCTCCCACCTCAGCCTCCTGAGTAACTGGGAACATAGGCGCATGCCACCACACCTGGCTAATTTTTTTGTATTTTTGGTAGAGATGGGGTTTCACCATGTTGCTCAGGCTAATCTCAAACTCCTGAGCTCAAGTGATCCACCTGCCTCAGCCTCCCAAAGTGTTGTGATTATAGGTATGAATCACTATGCCCAGCAAGCCTCCCTCTTTGTTTAAAGATTTTTTTTTCTTTTTGTACTATAACTTTGATTTAATCTTCTGTTACATTTTTTTGGAGTCTTTTCTTCAGAGACAGTTTTTCTTTTGTTGGTTTGTCTCTGTCTCTCTTCTATAATTATTAGCTTCTTTCTAATTACTTCAATTCCTTTTAAAAATCTGCATTCAGTGTCATTATTTTCTCTATATCAGTAATTCAATTTTCAATGATATCGACTCTGTTCCTGTTATAATTTAAATTAGTTCTGCAATAACACTGCTTTCATCCTTAAGCTGTTTCCTTATGTTTGAATTTCCCTGTTTATTTCATGTTTTTAAAATCATTCATCATCTCTTTGAGTTTTGATTGTTATATATGTTTTTCGTCAAAAATTTTAGAGGATAAACTAGTTGGAATTGTGGAATTTTCTTCTGTCCTTGAATTATGTTTTCTTCTCTTGGGTTCTCTGGGTGTCTTTTGAATTACTTTTCCTTATTTGTGTATTTGCACTCTATTGCTGTGAATGACTATGTTGTTGCCATGTGGTTTCATTTCATTTTATTCATGTTTGAGAGGCTCTGACTTGAAATTCTACTTGTTCTTGTACGATGTGGGTACCTTCTTTGCTGTCTGGATTCTGATTTATCTCTCTCCTCCTTTGCCTGTTATGCTATAGCTTAAGATCAGGATAGACCATGTTCTTACCACCTTTCTAGAGTTTGCACAGTGCAAGGGTTTATTCTGCCCAGTTTGGTGTATGCTTTAATCCTGAGTGGGAATCGGGGAGGAATGTCTTAGAGCAATGTTTCCTAACCTTTGCTGTAAGTCAGAATCACCTGCAAAACGTTCAAAACTGCCAATGCCTGGATTGTACCCCAAACCAATTAAATGGGACTGTGTGAAGGTGGGAATCAGACTAGTACATTTTACAGTTCTCTAGCTGATTCTAATGTGCAGCAAAGCTTGAGACCTACTGCCTTAGGTCTTTGCATGATTCCTTAAGGAAAACACCTAAAAGGAAAAACTGTTTTTCTATACGCACGACATTTCTGACACCAAATGTGTATGTGTGTGTGTGGAGCGGGTTCCCATACCAATTAATTCTCCAACTCTCTGGACACCAACCAATTCACACTAACTACCTAGAGTTAGTGCAGACCCCAAAAGTTAAGGACTCAGCCACACAAATATAGCCCCCACTTCAGATATCGAGTCCCAGGTTGTCACTGGTACTTCTGACCAACTGGCTGTAAATCAGGGGTTCCCATGACCCTCTCCTCAGGTTTGATAATTTGCTTCAATGGCTTGCAAAAGTCAGAGAAACGTTTACTTATATTTACTGATTTAGTATAAAGGATGTTACAAAGGATACAGATGAACAACCAGATTAAAAGGTACATAACCTCCTCTCCCTCTCCCTCCTCTCCCTCTCCCTCCTCTCCCTCTCCCTCCTCTCCCTCTCCCTCTCCCTCTCCCCACGGTCTCCCTCTCCCCACGGTCTCCCTCTCCCTCTCTTTCCACGGTCTCCCCCTGATGCCGAGCCAAAGCTGGACTGTACTGCTGCCATCTCGGCTCACTGCAACCTCCCTGCCTGATTCTCCTGCCTCAGCCTGCCGAGTGCCTGCGATTGCAGGCGCGCGCCGCCACGCCTGACTGGTTTTCGTATTTTTTTGGTGGAGACGGGGTTTCGCTGTGTTGGCCGGGCTGGTCTCCAGCTCCTAACCGCGAGTGATCCGCCAGCCTCGGCCTCCCAAGGTGCCGGGATGGCAGACGGAGTCGCGTTCACTCAGTGCTCAATGGTGCCCAGGCTGGAGTGCAGTGGCGTGATCTCGGCTCGCTACAACCTCCACTTCCCAGCTGCCTGCCTTGGCCCCGCAAAGTGCCGAGATTGCAGCCTCTGCCCGGCCGCCACCCCGTCTGGGAAGTGAGGAGCGTCTCTGCCTGGCCGCCCATCGTCTGGGATGTGAGGAGCCTCTCTGCCTGGCTGCCCAGTCTGGAAAGTGAGGAGCGTCTCTGCCCGGCCGCCATCCCATCTAGGAAGTGAGGAGCGTCTCTGCCAGGCCACCCATCGTCTGAGATGTGGGGAGCGCCTCTGCCCTGCCGCCCCGTCTGGGATGTGAGGAGCGTCTCTGCCCGGCCGCCCCGTCTGAGAAGTGAGGAGACCCTCTGCCTGGCAACCGCCCCGTCTGAGAAGTGAGGAGCCCCTCTGCCCGGCAGCCACACCCTCTGAGAAGTGAGGAGCCCCTCCGCCCGGCAGCCACTCCGTCTGGGAAGTGAGGAGCCTCTCCGCCTGGCAGCCACCCCGTCTGGGAGGGAGGTGGGGGTCAGCCCCCCGCCCGGCCAGCCGCCCCATCCGGAAGGGAGGTGGGGGGGTCATCCCTCTGCCCGGCCAGCTGCCCGTCCGGGAGGGAGGTGGGGGGGTCAGCCCCCCGCCCGGCCAGCCGCCCCGTCCGGGAGGTGAGGGGCGCCTCTGCCCGGCCGCCCCTACTGGGAAGTGAGGAGCCCCTCTGCCCGGCCAGCCGCCCCGTCCGGGAAGTATGTGGGGGGGGTCAGCCCCGGGCCCGGCCAGCCGCCCCATCCGGGAGGTGAGGGGCGCCTCTGCCCGGCCGCCCCTACTGGGAAGAGAGGAGCCCCTCTGCCCGGCCAGCCGCCCCGTCCGGGAGGGAGGCGGGGAGGTCAGCCCCCCGCCCGGCCAGCCGCCCCGTCCGGGAGGGAGGCGGGGGGGTCAGCCCCCCGCCCGGCCAGCCGCCCCGTCCGGGAGGTGAGGGGCGCCTCTGCCCGGCCGCCCCTACTGGGAAGTGAGGAGCCCCTCTGCCCGGCCACCACCCCGTCTGGGAGGTGTACTCAACAGCTCATTGAGAACGGGCCATGATGACAATGGCGGTTTTGTGGAATAGAAAGGGGGGAAAGGTGGGGAAAAGATTGAGAAATCGGATGGTTGCCATGTCTGTGTAGAAAGAGGTAGACATGGGAGACTTTTCATTTTGTTCTGTACTAAGAAAAATTCTTCTGCCTTGGGATCCTGTTGATCTGTGACCTTACCCCCAACCCTGTGCTCTCTGAAACATGTGCTATGTCCACTCAGGGTTGAATGGATTAAGGGTGGTGCAAGATGTGCTTTGTTAAACGGATGCTTGAAGGCAGCATGCTCGTTAAGAGTCATCACCACTCCCTAATCTCAAGTACCCAGGGACACAAACACTGCGGAAGGCTGCAGGGTCCTCTGCCTAGGAAAACCAGAGACCTTTGTTCACTTATCTGCTGACCTTCCCTCCACTATTGTCCTGTGACCCTGCCAAATCCCCCTCTGCGAGAAACACCCAAGAATGATCAATAAAAAAGAAAAAAAATGGAAAAAAAAAAAAAAAAAAAAGGTACATAAAAGGTTGGAAGGGGTCTGAGTGCAGGAGTTTCTTTCCCCATGGAATTTGGATGTGTCACCCTCTTGGCACATGAATGTGCTCACCAACCTGGCAGCTCTTTGAACCCCATAGTTTAGGGATTTTTATGGAGGCCTCATCACATAGTCATGGTTGATTATTAACTCAATTTCCAGCATTTCTCTCCTCCAGGGAGAATGGGAGGTGGAGCTTGGAAGTTCCAAGCTTCTAATGATGGCTTGGTCTTTCTGGTGACCAGCCTCCATCCAAAGCTACCAGAAGCACACCAAGAGTAGCCTCATTAGAACAAAAGACATTCCTGGCCAGGTGTGGTGGCCCACACCTGTAATCCCAACACTTAGGGAGGCCAAGACAGGATCACTTGAGCCCAGGAGTTTGAGACCAGCCTGGGCAACATGGTGAAACCTAGTCTCTACCAAAAAATATAAAAAATTAGCTGGGTGTGGTGGCGTGGGCCTGTAGTCCCAGCTCCCTGGGAGGCTGAGGTGGGAGGATCACCTGAGCCTGGGAGGTCAAGACTGCAGTGAGCTGTGATTGTGATACTGTGCTCCAGCCTGGGCGACAGAGTGAGAACCAGTCTCTAAAAAAAAAAAAAAAAAATGACACTCCATTCACCCAGGAAATTCCAAGGGAATTGGGAACTTTGTGTCAGAAAACAGTGGCAGAGACCAAGTGTTTATTTCTTAGCTCACATCCCCCAGTTTAGTGTATGGCTCTGGGCCTTTAATTGTGCACCTAGTTTACTTTATCCAGCAGCTGTTTCTAACAGTCCTCAAATGCAAGGGAAAAAAGACAAGGAAACCTATGTAGTTCTTCTTTCCTCCAGATTTAAAAATTCACAGTACTTTTTTTTTTTTTACATTGGCACAATCTGTAGAGTTTATTCAGACTTCATCAGTTATACATTCAATTTATGTTTGTATAGCTCTATGCAATTTTGTCATGGAGCTTTGCATAACCACTACCACAATCAAGATACTCCACTGTATCATCACCACAAGATTCCCACATTTTACATTTTATAGCCACGCCCATCACTACCTGATCCCTGACCCCTGGCAACCAACTGATCAGCTCTCCACCTTGATAATTGTGTTATTTCATGATGTTAACATAAATGGGATCATTCAGGATGGATTCTTTAGGGACTGGCTCTTGTCACTCAGCATAATACTCCTCACGTCTGTCTACATTTGTGTGTATCAATCTCTTGCTCCTTTTTATTGCTGACTGGTATTCCATGGTGTAGATTACTACAGTTTCTTTAACCATTCAGTTTCCGAAGAACATGTGGCTAATTTCCAGCTCTTGGTTACTATCAGTAAAACTGCTATAAATATTTGTTTACCAGTTCCTGCATGAAAATAAGTCTTCATTTCTCTGGAATAAATGCTCAAGAGTATGATGTCTGAGTCATACGGGATACGAATGTTTAATTTTATAGGAAACTGCCAAACTATTTCCCAGAGTGCCTGTGCCATTTTTCATTAACAGTAGCAATATATGAGTGATCCAGTTTCTTCATATCCTTGCTAACATTTGGTATTGTCACTATTTTTCATTTTAGCCACTCTGATAAGTATGTAGTGAAATCTTACTGTGGTTTGAATTTGGATTTCTCTAATAGCTAATGATGTTGAATATCTTTGAAGCATGAGTTTATTTGCCATCTGTATATCCTCTTTGGTGAAATGTCTGTACACGCCTTTTGCTCATCTTCTAAATGAATTCTTTGTTGTTGTTGTTTACTGTTGAGTTTTGAGGGTTTTTATATAGTCTAGATACAAGATCTTTGTCAGATATGTGATTTGCAGATATTTCCTACCAGTGTGTAATTTGTCTTTTCATTCTTTTAAAAGGGTGTTTGTTTCACAGAGAAAAAATTTTAACTTTAATAAAGTTGAATATATAAATTTTCTTTTTATAGATAATGCTTTTAGTGTTAGTTCTAAGAATGCTTTGCCTTGCTTTAGGTCCCAAAGATTTTCTCCAATGCTGTATAGTTGTACATCTTTTATGTTTAAGTCCATGATCTATTTTGAGTCAATTTTTTGTGTAAAGTATGATGTTTGGGTTGAGGTTTATTTCTTTCTTCAGTCTTCTTTCTTCTTCTTCTCCTTTCTCTTCCTCCTCCTCCTCCTCTTTCTTCTCCTCTTCTCCTTCTCCTCCACCTCCTCCTTTCTTCTCTTATCTCCTCTCACTTCTTTCTCCATCTCCTTCTTGCCTGTAGATGTTGAGTTGCTCCAGCAAAGATGTTGCTCTTTTCTCTATTGAATTGCATTTGCTCCTTTGTCAGTAATTCACTGGGCCTATTCGTGTGGGTCTGTTTCTGGGTTCTCTGTGCTGTTTCACTGATCTATGTGTCTATCCCTCTGCCAGTACCACACTGTCGTGACTATTGCAACTGTGTGATAAGTCTGAACATTGAGAACAGTGATTCTTTCCACCTTATTTATTCTTATTTTTCAAAATTATTTTGGCTTCTCTAGGGTCTCACCCTTTCCATATCAATGTTAGATTAAACCTTTTTATGTCTATAAAGAAATTTCTGGAAATTTGGTAGAAACTGCATTAAATGTATGGATCATTTAAGGGATAATTAATATCTTTATTATGTTGATCTTTCAATCTATGAATATGGTGGGTCTGTCCAAGTGTTTAAGTCTTTGATTTTTTTCATCAACCCTTTGTAATTTTTATCATATGTCTGGCCATCCTGAGCCTGTCATGCTGGGTGGTGACCTGTAGGTGTTCCAGTTGACAGCCTCAACTCAGCTCCCAGCCAACATTCAGCCCCGTGAGTGAACTGCTCTGGACGTCCAACTCTGTGGGGTCTTCGGATGGCTCCAGCCCCCAAGTAAAAAATGCCCAACTGAGCTCTTCCCTAACTCCTGACCTACAGAATCAAGAACAGAATAAAATGGTTGTTCTAAACTTAAATAAGTTACACAACTTTTTATAACTTGGAGCCATCAAGAGGCTTTAGAGTCACACTGGCGTTTGTGTCGATAATTGAGTTGCCACCACGCAATATTCCTTTAACTATCGCAAGAACAGAACAGAGACAGACATAATGTGCAAATGGTACATTCTGGCCAAGAAAAGACCAAGTAAAAATCACTATAGGATTGGTGAGGCTCCAGTAAGAAGAAAAATGAATAAACAATCGAGTCATCTCAAGATCCATCATAGTTCAAGTGTGCAGGCTCAAAATAAACAGCCATAGGCTGGGCGCAGTGGCTCACGCCTGTAATCCCAGCACTTGGGGAGGCCGAGGCGGGTGGATCACTTAGGTGATCAACCTAAGTGAATTTAATATAAATCCAAATATATTATGCATTTAATATAATCAATTGAAATTTAACACACTTAAATTGCCCAAGTGTTGGGCAATTTGTTACAAAACTATAATAACTGGAAGAAATATATAACAATTTAGTAGAACACCTTATGCTTATAGTTCTTATGAAGAGTTACAAGATGTATAAACTGAATAGAAACAAAACTAGGCTGGGTGCGGTGGCTCATACCTGTAATCCCAGCACTTTGGGAGGCCGAGGTGGGCAGATCACGAGGTCAGGAGATCGAGACCATCCTGGCTAACACAGTGAAACCCCGTCTTTACTAAAAATACAAAAAATTAGCCGGGCGTGGTGGTGGGTGCCTGTAGTCCCAGCTACTCGGGAGCCTGAGGCAGGAGAATTGCTTGAACCTGGAAGGCAGAGGTTGCAGCTATAGCTACAGCTGTACAGAGCATAGTTATCTCTAGAGCCTTGCTTGAGTTGGAACAAACATATCATCTGGCAAACAATACTAATGTTGGTAATTTACAGTTTACTCTTCTAGTTTTGTTTCTTTCTTTTTTCTTTGTTTGAGATGGAGTCTTGCTCCGTTGTCCAGGCTGGAGTGCAATGGTGCGATCTCAGCTCACTACAACCTCCGCCTCCCGGGCTCAAGTGATTCACCTGCCTCAGCCTCCTGAGTAGCTGGGATTACAGGCGCCTGCCAGCATGCCAGCTAATTTTTGTATTTTTAGTAGAGACAGGGTTTCACCATGTTGGCCAGGCTGGTCTCAAACCCCTGACCTAAGTGATCTGCCTGCCTCGGCCTCCGCAAGTGCTGGGATTACAGGTGTGAGCCGCTGCGCCCAGCCTATGGCTGTTTATTTTGAGCCTGCACACCTGAACTATGATGGATCTTGAGATGATTCGATTGTTTATTCATTTTTCTTCTTACTGGAGCCTCACCAATCCTATAGTGATTTTTACTTGGTCTTTTCTTGGCCAGAATGTACCATTTGCACATTATATCTGTCTCTGTTCTGTTCTTGCGATAGTTACAGGAATATTGCGTGGTGGCGACTCAATTATCGACACAAACGCCAGTGTGACTCTAAAGCCTCTTGATGGCTCCAAGTTATAAAAAGTCGTGTAACTTATTCAAAACGTGTATGACACACTTTTCTCAAAGATTGTCACTTACATGATAATGTAAATCTTGGGAACTTGGGAATCTTTGAGAATCTCTCCACTCCAGTTCAAGACCTCATGCCTTGGAATCCCCTGGAGAAAAATAGAGTTTAAGGTAAACTAGCAGGGAAGGGGGACCTCTAGCCTGGGTTCCTTGACTTATTTTGGGCCGTAAACTCCTTTGCAGCCTACTGCAACCCATATGCCAAGTCTGCATTTTGCATAAGTTGAAGTGAAAACATAAGATTGAGAACAGGTAGTTTATTCAGGAGGTGCAGGGAGCACCGTCGCAAGTAGGGAAGCAACATGGGGGCGCTAAGGTAGCCAAGGGGCGCTGTGAAGCTGGCTTCCTTGGCAGAGGATGAGCTGAATCCTGGGGAGATACTGGGAGAGGTGTGAAACTCACCCAAGACATGAGGGAGCTAAGCAGTTTACAACAATCCTTGCAAATCACCGGATGGGGCTCCTAGAGGAGGATGGTTCTTAGGGCACACTCCTCCACTTGGAAGGTTAAGCTGGAAGATGAGGTCCAGGAATGCGGAGGAGGCATTGTAGTGGCCTCTGCAGGTCCCCTTCTCAGAATGATGCTTAAAACAAAACACAAAGGGCCAGGTGCGGTGGCTCACGCCTGTAATCCCAGCACTCTGGGAGGCCGAGGTGGGCGGATCACGAAGTCAGGAGATCGAGACTATCCTGGCTAACACGGTGAAACCCCATCTCTACTAAAAATACAAAAAATTAACCGGGTGTAGTGGCGGGCGCCTGTTGTCCCAGCTACTCGGGAGGCTGAGGCAGAAGAATGGCGTGAATAGTGTGAACCCAGGAGGCAGAGCTTGCAGTGAGCCGAGATTGCGCCACTGCACTTCAGTCTGGGCGGCAGAGCAAGACTCCGTCTCAAAAAAAAAAAAAAAAACCACACACACACACACACACACACACACACACACACACAAAGAATTATAGGAAAATCCATTTTATTGAAAATCATCATTAAAGTATAAAAATGCACCTGCGATGTCATAATATAGGTGCTTCTTTGTTAACGCATGAACAAGCCCTCACAGTGGTCTGGTGATGACCATTAATTATGAAATAGTCATGATCGTGGACACTAATTCAAGGCGAAATGAGAACAACTGAGATTTCTTCTATTGACAGGGTCACAAAGGTGGTGCTGATACCACTGTGGTTTGTCACCCACTTTTGAAGTGGGAGGAAGTGCTAAATTGTAGTTAGAAGTTAGTGAAAATAAAGATGCAATTTTTTTCCCCATCCAAGTTCTCGGGGCTCAGAATTCTGCCCACACACCTCAGGATGAAAACCTCCGGCCCACACAGAAGCAACCAGGTCATACACATGCAAGCGTACAAGTGAAAGACATGGAGCAGCCGTGGCAGCATCTCCCCACACTTCCTTAGCTGGAAGCACCACCCTGTACAGGTGCACCCTCCTCGGTTTCCTCAAAGGCTAAGTTTCCTCCTGAGGCCCTACTGGTGCCCATACCACCTAACCGGTTCAGAACAGGGTCATCTCTATTTCCCACGTGTCTCCAGCATTGATTAAACAAGCAGACACCAGGGTCTAAATAGTACAGACTGCACTACACGTCCAGGAGAGAAGAAACAGCTAACCCAGCTGAAACTCTGACCGACTGGAAACAGCTGGTTGGAACAGTATGAAAAGTGCCAGGCAACTGGGTTGGCTTCACACGCACAGATGCATGCATAATCAAGAATTCCAGAACGGTGGGAAATGCCCCCTTTTGGGGAAGCGGCAAATATACATGCAGCCCCTGGGCAGAGGGCAGGTCTAGAAAAACAGCCAGGGAGGGAGGTGGCTGCTGGTTCACTGGGGGACTAACCCAGCCACTCCTGGCTGTGTGGACGGGGCCCTGCCTAGGGATATACCAGGTGACTCCAAGACACAAGACATGCTTCTGAAGGCCAGGCTGTTCTCTGTTGGGAGGAGGAGCACCTCAGCAAGGCCAGGAGTGGCCTCAAATCAGTCCCCAGAATGAGTAGGTTTTCATAGCAACAAGGAGGTATTCAGATACGTTCAGCATAATGCGCTGATTGTTTTTTGACCTGGACTCACTGCATTTCTAGCAAAGTCTGCACAGGGATGTGAAGTGAAAATAATAGAAAACAGATTGAAAATCGAGCAGAAATGAGGTGGAGGGGGGGCAGAAGTCAGAGTTCAAGCATTGTTTTTGGAAAGAGAATAAAGAGCTTATTTCTCAGTTCTGATTTTCACAAGCCCGAACTATGCAACTGGACAAATATGTATGGCTGTCCTCCAGCACTGCAGAGCCTGTCATGGGAGGCCATGGAGGAACGTCCCTGCATACCGGTCTGTCAGCCTCAAATTACCCTGCAATTCACCTTGGCTCTGGGAAGTGGGAGACCTCCATATTTCTACACCTGTGGAGTAGCCTAGACAGGCTGCTTCTCTGGCTTTGGCTGTTCACAGCCTACCACCATCTCTGTGCCTGGAGAACAAGAGGCTGCCTCAGTCTGTGCTCAGAGCTGGGGAGAGCACGAGGTCTGGGGCAGGAGACAGTTGGCCGAGTCTGGAGGCCTGGCCGAGGGCCTAGTGGGCTGGCAGGACACGAGGCGTGATGAGCTCTCCTTTCCGGGGCGCTTCGGCCGTTGCAGGCTGCTCGCAGGCCTGAGAGTATTTTTGTATCTGGACCACCACTTGCTTTCCTCCTCTGTGATGTCTGCAGCTGTGGTGTAAACCTGGAAACCTGGGAATTCAACTGCCCTGACTCTGGCCATATGGGGAGAAGCACCATGTGACGCATCCATTTAAGACAGGTCCCAGGAGCTGTTTCATAACGACCCAAGAAGCCACCTGTGAGCATTTCTGTCAGCCTGTTCCGGCTCCATTCTTCTGGCCATCTGCTGATTGAATTGCATTGTCCATTCTAAGACACATCATTTTTTACAATCTAACACTTCTGACTCCCGGATACCACCACCAGCTGGGAGGTAAACTGTAGTATCATTGTAGGACAATGGTTCTGTTGTTTGTGTTGGTGGTGACACACAATAGGTGAAGTTTAACTGAAATTTAGTTGTCTCTAATTTTTACTGAAAAGTCACATGGTGCTGCAACATTGAAGGAAAAGTTATTTCAGGCACCCACATTGCCTGGGGTATATACTACCCAGTCATGAATTAAAGGTAGAGAGCACAGTTGTTTTTTTTTTTTTTTTGAGATGGAGTCTTGCTCTGTCACCCAGGCTGGAGTGCAGTGGCACAATCTCGGCTCACTGCAACCTCCGCCTACTGGATTCAAGCGATTCTCCTGCCTCAGCTTCCCGAGTAGCTGGGATTACAGGAACCCGCCACCACGCCCGGCTAAGTTTTTGTATTTTTAGTAGAGATGGGGCTTCACTATGTTGGCCAGGCTGGTCTCGATCTCCTGACCTCTTGATCTGCCTGCCTCGGCCTCACAAAGTGCTGGGATTATAGGCATGAGCCACCATGCCCAGCCAAGAGTACAGTTCTTATGCTTGACCCTGGTGCCATACTCAGCTGTGGAAATTCCTTCTGTCAGAAACTTCCAGATGATTTCCAGCAATAGGAATTCAGATAGACAAAGAATAAGACTGTGAATTCAACTGAAAATGAAAAATGCATAAAACCATGGTATTCTTCAGTATGATATTTCAAAATATTATTCTGTCAGTCCCAGTGGTGGCAAAGAGGTCCAGGACTTGAGTAGGTTATGAACAGCATCACTTAACTCCAGGCAACAGGCCAAGCCACAGCAGCCAGGGCCTTTAGCGTCTGTACCTGCAGAATGCTTAGAGTCAAACTTCCACAAGAATGGGAGGCCAGTGAGGGAAGGAATTTTCGTCTGTTATTTTTCCACTGCTGTAATTCCCAGTGCCTGGCACATAGAAAGTACAAAATTTGTTAAGTAAGCAAAGGTCTGATAATGAAGAAGAAAACCTATGTGTCTGGAGAAATATATGCTTTTATCAGTCTATTGCAAATCAGTTATTTTTGGTTAGCCATCATCCTTCCCTACTTTTAAAATTTTTAATTTTTTTCTGATAATGGCACTTTCTTCCTTGCTTTGGGGCCTTGTTCTGTATCATTTCACAGAGCTTTTGGTGGGGCTGCCCAGCCCAGGAATGGGGGCTGGGTCTCAATAAGCCAACCAGACACTGTCTTGGGAGAAGGAAAGTCATGGGAAGACACACAGAGAGGCTCTCGTCTGAGATCAGCCACAGGGTCGCTCATTGTGCAGGACTCACTGCCTGCAGTGCCCAGGCTCCTGCCCTGCGTCCTGTCCACCCAACCAACAGAGGCTGTGTGTGCATCTCTGTTGGTTGTATGAGATACCCAGTGTTCTTAGGATAAGCCCCAACTTTTGTCATGTTTAAGTTAATCAGAGTTGGTTTCCACTGCCCCACTCCCCCCATCCAAAAATCCTAAATGAAAAAAGTGAGATAGAAAAGAGTGTCTATTTAAAGTGAGTTCTTCTTTTTCCTAAACAGCTGTTATTAAATTGATGCCGTGTTCTGCATTTCAGAGTGAGGAAACATATTGGTAGACACCCATTAAGCTCTCAGCTGTTGACCACGTTTTCAGATGCATTCAGTAGCTCCCTGCCTCTGCCCTCTCTCCTGTAGACCTGTCCTCCGTTCTGCTGCCTGGAGGGTGGCTCTGAGGTGAGCGTCTGAGTATCTCGCTCCAGTGAGAATTCCAGCCAGGGATCCCTGAGGTGAGTAAGAGCGCTCTTATCCTCATATCGCAGAAGGTCCACAGAGGGGCTCCTGGGCTCCATGGACCCTCAGAATTGTAGATACAATTGTATCGGTGTGCACTATTGCAACAGCTGTGACCAGAGCTTTGTCAGATTCTCAAAGAGGCTTGTTACTTGGCCCTCAAAGGAGGCCTGCTGCCTAGAGAAAAGAATCCATGCTCCTGCACTCGTCAGCTCAGCCACACTTTCGGACCTTTTCCTGCCTCACTTTTGCCTTTGTGTTCTATAAAACTAGCATCTCCAAAGCACTTGCAACTGTTTCCATATGCGGGGGTGTTTTATGGGTTTATGTTCTTGCATATGCTGTACCTTCTGAAATGTTCTCTCCATGCGACCTCTCTGCCCCTTGTCAGTGTCCTTTTCATCCGTCCGCACCCCCTCAGAGCATGACTCCCACGGTAGATCCTTGATTACCCCCTGCAGAGAATTGTCTTCTCACGATGACAGCTTTATTCCAACCCACCTAGATCTGTTCCGGCCTAAAGGTCACGTGTTGTGCTGCTGATCCGTGCAGATCTAGTTCCTTCCCAGGGGGCTGTGGTTTTTCTCCTGTGTTCCAGCACACTGCTGGGCCCATAACAGGTCTAAACAAACAAGGGTAGGAAAAATGCATCTTCCCAATTAATAAATAACTGATTTAGTTATGAACTATTAATTTTAATAATAAAAAGGTGTTTTTTTCCTCTGGAATTCTTAGATTATTTTGTTTTGACTTCTCCACCAGTATTTACCATATTTTGCCTTGTGTGATAGTTTTTTTGTGTGCAATGCTTGCCTGTCTCTGTAAATGGAAGATATTTGAGGGTCAGCCTGTCTATGCTTGGTTCAGCTTCGTACGCCAGTGTTCAAGCTGGTGCATCAGATCTGCTCGGCACATGCTTAGGGAACAGTCTTTGAATGGAACGTTGTATCATACCCTGAACACATTTTCGTTTTTTTGTTTCTTTTTTCTTTTCTTGTTTTTTTTTTTTTTTTTTGAGACAGAGTCGCTCTCTGTTGCTGAGGCTGGAGTGCAACGGCCTGATTTCGGCTCACCGCAACCTCTGCCTCCTGGGTTCAAGCAATTCTCGTGCCTCAGCCTATCAAGTAGCTGGGATGACAGGCGCCTGCCACCACACCCGGCTAATTTTTGTATTTTAGTACAGACGGAGTTTCACCATGTTGGCCAGGCTGGTCTCGAACTCCTGACCTCAGGTGATACACCCGCCTTGGCCTCCCAAAGTGCTGGGATTACAGGCATGGGTCACCGCACCCTGCCCCTGAACACATTTTCAATGGATTTGAAGATGTACAGGTTCCCCTCACATGCGGCCATTGGACATTTCCTTTTTTTGAGGTGTAAGATCAAATTGCTCTTAAGTCTCCTGTGTTATTTGACCCAAGACACTCCCCTCTGGCCCTCTTAGCATGCCTGCAAAGCAAGACAGAAGTGAAGATGTGCTGCAGGCTGTGTGATACGGGGCTTTGTCCTAAGCAGTCTTAAGCAGGCAAGTCCGAAGGTTCATTCCTGTGGTTAGAACCTTGGTTTCAGACTCTGCCTGGGGTTGTCTGCAAGGCAGAACCCCCTTTCCTGGAGGTGCTCACAAGCACACACTGAGTAACCAAAACTAAAAGCAGCCAGACTCTGGGGAGCCCAAGATATTCTTGCAGTGAGAGAATGCAGGTGTATTTCCATTATTTCTGCACTGTTGGGAGCATGGTTCTGGTAATAGCTGGCAAATTCTCCAGGCTGGGCAGGCAACAGGTCACTGCTGAGAATTTGGGCTGCTGATGAAGGAGTTTCCAGGGTGAACTGTAACTGACGCCTGGTTTTCAAAAGGAGAAAATGAATTCTGATTTTTCTTTAACACTTGCTAGCATACTCTACATCTCCCTATTTAGCTTAGCATTTTTATGGTACTTTTGGTAGCCAACTTCTAAGACGGCCCCCAATGACCCCATGTCCTGGTTTTTACACCTTGTAGGGTCCTCTCCAACGTGGGGCCAGGGTTGGTCTATGTGATCATTAGTATACAATGTAGTGAGGAGATATCACTATGAGATTAGGCAATAAGAGAAACTATGACTTCTGTCTTGGGGCTGGCTCTCTCTGTTTCTCTCTCTCTCAAATCACTTGCTCTAGAGGAAGCCAACTGTTATTTTGTGAGTAGCCCTATGGGTTGGTCTATGCAGGAAGGAACTGAAGTCTCTGGCCAACAGTCAGCAAGGAGCTGACATCTGATGACAACACATGAATGAGTTTAGAAGCAGATCCTCCAGCCCCAGCAAAGCCTTCAGTTGAGACCACAGCCCTGATGACAGCTTGACTGCAGCCACACAACAGAATCCAGAGCCAGAAGCCCCAGGTCAGCCACCACTGGGTTCCTGACTGCATAGGTCTCAGGACAATTTGCTATGCAGTCATTGTATTAGTTCATTTTGTACTGCTGTAAAGGAATATCTGAGATGAGGTAATTTATAAAGAAAAGAGATTTATTTGGCTCACGATTCTGCAGGCTGTCCAAAATGCATGGCGTTGGCATCTGTTCAGCTTCTGGTGAAGCCTCAGGAAGTTTTACTCGTGGTGCAAAGCAAACGGAGCTGGTGTGTCACATGGTGAGAGAGAGAGCAAGAGAGGAGGAGGCTTGCCACACCCTTTTAAACTACAAATTCTTGAGTGAACTAATAGATGGAGAACTCGCTCATTACCATGGGGATAGCACCAAGCCATTCATGAGGGATCCACTGTCATGACTTAAACACCTCCCACTAGACCCACCTCCAACATTGGGGATTATGTTCCAACATGAGATTTCGAGGGGACAAATATCCAAACTATGTCAGTCATATTTCACAAATATGGTCCTTACGGAAAATTAGAGGTTTGCATAATTATTTGCATGTATGAGAATGTGAGATTAATCTCACCACTATGAGATTATTTTATGACCATTTTCACAGAGTAAAAAGTAGGTTCAAGGAGATTGACTTAACTAAGTCCATGGTCCAAGAGACAGCTGCCATTAGAAATTAGAGCTTCAGAGTTTTAGCACCTATGGAATCTTTTCTGTGCAGGGGAATTTCTGTTTGTTTTTGTTTGAAATGAATGAGAAGAAAAAGTCTTTCTTAAAATCTCATGGCAATCCAGGAGTGTGTAGCTGACAGCTATTGCTCATTAAACTATATTCCAACAAATCCTTACAAGCCACGAGTGAGGATGAGCAGAAAGCAAATATCTGCTAAAGACTGTGATGATGAGACAAAGGAGCACGAAGCCCTTGTGGCTACAGTGGACAGATGGATCGTATGTGTGTGCGCCCTGATGCTGATTGTGGGATCTTGCATTAATTCAAATGTTCACTCGTCAAGTGCTGTAATTTGTTCATCTTGATGAACCATAAGGGATTCAAGTTACTACTGTAATTTTCCTGTGACGAAAGGATCTGCAGTTACAACTGCACACAAAGGTCGTAGAGTGTTTCTGTTATGGTCGTTCACACTCACAGATTTATAACGAGACAGGAAAACCCTATTCCAGCTGAAACCCAGAAAAGACAGTCTTAGCCTGGGAATGAAATTTAAAACAAATAGCTGAGGACCCATCTCTCTCCCTCACCCATGAAGACTATACAGTCTCAGAGAGACTTGTTCTCTGACTTGAATTACATGAGATACATAAGGGTGATTTTTAGTGTACAGAAAATATGGACCATTGTCCAAAACGAGTGTTTTTCTCTTTTATTTTTATTCAACATTTTTCACAGTACTGAAGTTGGAATGAGCCTGAAAGGCGACAGGTGGGCATAGAAAGAGGTGGCACTGTCATTTGATGTTAAAAAGACAATATAGAAGGTCAGCACAACACCTCCAGCTGCCACTCCCCTTTTCTATAATGTTTCAGGAATGAAAAAAGTAAAAGAAAAAAGAAAAAAAAGGACAATATAATTGAGTGCTTACAATGGGGCATCTGCTGTTCTGTATTTTCTGTGTGTTGACTCATCTTATCGTGTTGACTCATCTTATCCTCCCAACATTCTCATATGGAACCAACATGGAGCAGACTACAAAATGTTACTGAGGAAAGTAAAAGAAGAAAGTATCAAATAAGAAAAGTTAGCATCTATTAAGAATGCGCCATGCATTATTCTAGTCACCTGACAAATATACATTCATTTAAGTTGTACAACCATCCTATGAAATGGCTACTCTTATTACCCACACTTTATATATATTGAACTTGAGGCACAGAGAGGTTTACTATCTTGCCCAAGGTCACAGAGTTAGAAAGTTTTTCAGTTGGGATTTGAACCCAGGCCATCTAACTCAAAAGTACATGTTCTCAGCCACATTTTTTTCACTGAAATGGAAACCCATAGCCTCTCTTTGGATGTGAAGCCTATTGTTCTGTAAATTTGGGAATTTAATAAAACTGAAGTCAAAGCTTTCTTTAGGGGGAACACAACAAAATGTTCTAAAGTTCATTCAGAAAAAATAAATATAGACAAATAGCTTGGAAATTCTGAAAAAGAAAAATAATGAGGGTGACTTTTCCTGGCCAATTTTATATAAATAGATATTGTAAAATTTACAATAATTAAAATAGTAATGATTCTCCTGTTTGAGCCAACAAGTAGTGAAAGAAAATAAGGAAGTTCAGACTCACCAGAAGTAGACAGGACTTTGTGAAACAATCAAGGAGCCTTCTCCATCAGTGGGAAAAGACTTGCCCAAGCTGTAGTTGTTAAAATTAGCCAGCTACTGGGGAAAAAATTTAGATCGCTCTCTCATGTTTTGCATCAAAATGAATCCCAAATGGTTTAAAGACTTAAATGGAAAAAATACAACTATAAAAACCTGAGAATAGCATGTAAGTCACCAACTATACAATCTTTCAGCACGCAGAAGAACTTAACAAGGCCGACAGAAAAGGCAAAACTCACAAACGGAAAGATCACTAGATCTGTCCCCATAAGTGTATCTTCCCTCTGATAAAATAGTGGAGTTAAAAGACAAAGACATTTTTTGCAACATATGCAATAGACAAAGGATTAAAAACATTAATATATAAGGAAGTCTTATGCATCAATCATACAAAAGAGAAGCAACCCAAGGGAGAAGACGGTGTAATCCAGGAATAACTGAGTCACAAAAGAAGAAATACAAAGAACTAATAACCATATGCAAAAACTCTCAGTCTCACTAGTAATCAGATAGGCAAAACCAAAGGAATTCTCTCTCTCTCTCCATATCTTTCTGTCTCATTCTCTGTGTCTCTGTCTGTCTCTCTCGGTCTGAATCTCTCTTTGTCTCTGTCTCTCTCTGGATTTATCAGATGAACAAAACTAATACTCAGTTTTTGGGAGGCAAGTAGAAAAAGATCCTTACATGTTTTTTCTGATTATAAAAGTGATGTTCACTCACTATGAACTACTTTAAGCATGAAATGAAAGTTTCTCCCAACCCCACACTCAGAGCTGCTCCTGTTCCCCCCGCACAGGGTTTTTTGTGCAGGGCTTGGTTTGTTCTACATGGCATCTTCAGCAAGCCCAGATTTACACTCTGTCTCAGCAAGCCCAGATTTACACTCTGTCCTCAGTGCTCTGATATCAAGTGTGGGCCTCCCAAGCAGACTGTGAGCCACAGGCTTGTTACATACAGGGTACAGGCTGGTTGAGTGAAGGGTGATGTTTGTGCCTTTGTAAGGCTGTCTTTGAAGCCCCCCAGCTGAGAATCCTGCGAGCTCTGCCAGGGCTCGTGTCGCATGTATAGCAGCAGTGTGAGGTCTGGGCCGAAGGCTGGCCCAACAGAAGTTCCGACAACAGAGGGGTAATGGTGGCAGCCATCCTTTGAGACCATGGGCCACTGACTGTGATGTCCCCACACAGAGGCCCCTGCACCTTTCCTCATCGCCACCCACTCTAGGCAACCTGGGCAAACTGCGGGGAAGGGTTTAATATCACAAGGGGCTTCACTGAGGCCCTTCAGGGATGGCCTGGACACCCTGAACAACTGATGGCAGCTATAGTTCCTGCCTAGTAGCGTCTGTGTGGACGGTGACATGCCTCACCACTGAGAAAGTCTGTGGCTATTGCAAGCACTTAGTGATAATCAAGAAACTTGGTCCCTGTATGTAACTTTAACCCAGGCAAGCGATGCAACTCATGTGTAGCAATGTTGCTTTGTTTGATAAAGCAGCGCCTACCTCATGGTGCCCTTGTGGGGAGGAAAGGTATTTGTACACAGAAAGTGCCAGAAAGGTGCCTGGAGGGAAACAGAGCCTTGGGGACCACTGGCTCTAGTGGTGGTTATGTTGGGCTCTGACACCGCTGACTCTAGTGGTGGTCGTCATTGCTGCTGGGCTCTTGCATGGCTGGCTGTGGTCGTCATGGTTATGGGGACTGTTGATGCTTCTGTTCTAGGTGTTCTTGAGGATGCTATTGGGAGAGGCACAGCGAAGGAGTCAGATGGGCTCTCGCTGTTCCTTTCAGGGGAGTGGTGCAGCAGTGAGGAGAGTCAGACTCACAGGTGGCACCTGTGTGCAAAGCCTGACTCTTTCCAGCTGTGCAACTTGGGCCAGTTTCTTAACACTTGAGCCTTAGTTTCCTCACCTGTGAAACATCATGCATGATCTTTATAAGGACTGAATCACATAATAAATATCAGTCATTAGCCATCCTTGACACTGAGCAGATGTGAGCTTGGATGGTGTGTTGGTCATGGTCCTCCAGAGAAACAGAGTGGTAGGATATACTGAAAGGAGACTTTAGATAGATATAGATATAGATATAGATATCTCCTATATATATCTATCTCTTATCTGTCTATCTAGATATGTATACATATATACACATACATATTTAGATAGATAGATACATAGGAGATTATATATATATGTGTATATATATCATATATATATATGATTTCCCAAAAAAGAAGGAATTCTGTCTCAAGACTGCAACATAGAAACCTCATTCTCTCTCTATATATATAGGTATACTCTCTGTCTATCTGCCTATGTATCTATCTATCTATCTATCACTTATCTATCTGGGTTTATTTTAAGGAGTTGGCTCACATGATTGGGGCAGCTGGCAAACCCAAAATCCACAGGGCAGGCTGGCAGGCTGAAGATTCAGGCTGGAGTTGGTGTTTGAGTTTTGAGTCAGAATTCCACAGGCCAGCAGGCTGGAAACTCAGGTGAGGTTTCTACGTTGCAGTCTCGAGACAGGATTCCTTCTTTTTTGGGAAATCGTAGGCTTTGCTTTTAAGGCTTTCAACAGATTGTTTGAGGCCCATTCACATTATGAAAGTTGTCTGCTTTACTCAAAGTACCGATTATAAACGTTAGTCACATCTTTAAAATACTGTCACCGCAACATCTGAACTGTGTTTGACCATACAGCTGAGCACCATGGCCTAGCAAGGTTGACACACAAAATTCACCATCACAGACAGTCTTGTAATTTCTCCAAGCCTCAGGTTCCTCAGCATGGAATGGCATTGATAATACCTAAGTCATAACACAATTTTTTGGCAGGGGTTGGGGGTGGGGTCAGGGTCTCGCTCTGCTGCCCAGGCTGGATGGAGTACAATGATGTGATCTCGGCTCACTGCAACCTCTGCCTCCCAGGCTCAAGCGATTCTACTGCCTCAGCCTCCTGAGTAGCTGGGTTTACAGGCGCCTGCCACCATGTCTGGCTAATTTTTTATGTATTTTTCTAGAGACAGAGTTTCATCATGTTGGCCAGGCTGGTCTTGAACTCCTGAGCTCAGGCGATCCACCCACCTCGGCCTCCCTAAGTGCTGGGATTACAGACATGTTCCACAACACCAGGCTAATTTTTATATTTTCGGTAGAAATGGGGTTTCACCATGTTGGCCAGGCTGGTCTCGAACTCTTGACCTCAAGTGATCCACCCGCCTGAGCCTCCCAAAGTGCTGGGATTGCAGGCATGAGTCACTGCACCTGGCATAACACAATTATTTTAACACACATTTCTTCAAAATCCTCTCTCATCCAGGAAGTCCTCGGTGCTTGGGATACAACAGTGAGCAAAACAGCTCCCTACACAGAGCTCACATTGGGAGGTGGTGAGGAAGGAAGTTTAATTGCTATATAAACCGCCAGATATTGATAAGTGCCAGGAAGGGAAAAGCAGAGCCCGCTGTTGTGAGGAGTAGAGGAGATGGTGCACGTCAGGGTACAGCCCAGGCCTGAACATGCTCAGGTGTACAGCCAGGTTACCTTCCTTCCTTTCCCCCTAGAATAACCATCATGAAATATAATACATGATTTTTTCTTTGCTTGTTTTTAGATGGAGTGTCGCTCTGTCACCCAGGCTGGAGTGCAGTGGCACGATCTCAGCTCACTGCAAACTCTGCCTCCTGGGTTCAAGTGATTCTCCTGCCTCAGCCTCCTGAGTAGCTGGATCTACAGGTGTGTGCCACCAAACCCGACTAATTTTTGTATTTTTAGTAGAGAAGGGGTTTTCACCATGTTGTCCAGGCTGGTCTTGAATTCCTGACCTCAGGTGATCCACCTGCCTCGGCCTCCCAAAGTGCTGGGATTACAGGCATGAGCCACTGTACCCAGCCAGTACATGATTTTCTTTGCCCTACCAGAAATTACATTTCCCCCCTTGTTGGTATAGGCCATCTTTGAGCAAATCTTCGTTATGTATGTGGGAAACCAGGAAAAAGGTGAAAGAAGAACTTTGGCTGTTTTAGGTGCCTGGCAAAGCTGTTTATTTATGGGTACAGAAGGCTGGAATTTGGGAAGGGTTGAATAATTGTGTATGGAGTCTAGCAGTCTTTGGGAAGGGAAGACGCCAAATCCCTAACCAGTGGTTTCCAACTCTGAGACCCAGCCCTTCTTCCAGCCCACCCTTAAAAGATATTTAGAAACATTCTATTCACTATCTTAAAATGAAATTCATTGATTTTATAACCAATGTATGCTCATGGTCCAAAATAATCAATATAATTCTGTTTGAAAATATGGAGGCTGGGCACAGTGGCTCACACCTGTAATCCTAGCACTTTGGGATGCTGAGGTGGGCGGATCACTTGAAGTCAGGGGTTCGAGACCAGCCTGGCCAACATGGTGAAACCCCATCTCTACTAATTTTTGTAAAACTACAAAAATTAGCCCAATGTGGTGGCACGCACCTGTAATCCCAGCTACTCAGGAGGCTGAGGCAGGAGAATTGCTTGAACCTGGGAGGTGGAGGTTGCAGTGGGCCAAGATCATGCCACTTCACTCCAGCCTGGGTGACAAGGCAAGACTCTGTCTCAAAACAAAAACAAAGACAAACAAACAAACAACAAAAAAAGAGAGTATGGAAGATAAAAACAACTTGTAATACAATGCTTTGTATTTCACTACGTAAGTGCTAGGTCACGACTACACTAAATGGCAAAAAATGACCCCAAGGTCCCCAACATGCCCCTGTGCCAGTGAGGAGCTCAGTGGGAGGGACCGCAGCACGGAAACTGTAAAGGGATTATTCACAGAGGTGAACATGGGGGCGGGGAAGCCATCGAGGGGTGGTGCAGCCCTTGCGTTAGGAATGGGGAGTGAGAGTAGCTGGTCCCTCCCTGGGCCCTGGTGGGTCCTTGGGAGAAAGCTGTAGTCGTGGGTGGTAGCCACCCAATGGGAGCTGAGTACCACTTTGGCAGAAGAATGGCCCAGGACATGAAACTGTGTTGTCACTCTCCTCCCACCTGCTGAGCTCCTGCAAGCTCCTCTATTGGCCTAACTCTTTTCAATGTTGAGTCACTCTGACCTATAGGTTCTCTGCAGCCCCTAAGCAATCCTAGATACCTTGTTACTTGCTCACACTGACTCCAGGTTGCGGCAGGGAATTTGCCTTTTATAATCAGAAAAAGGGCGTGATTACCTGACCTATCTGTATTGGTTCTCTGGTCTCAGTCAGAAAAGCTCTTCTCTCTGGTTTATTTTTGGTTTTGTTTTTTAAAACAAACTGAATTCCATCCTGTTTCTGCCTGTTTGAAGGGAGGCTTGTCTCATAGTTGAAGGCGGGAGAAGGCTGATGCACCACCTCATATTCTGGCGTTTTCCACTGCTCTCTGGATGAAGTTCAGCAGGGATGTGGTTCAATCCCTGTTGGCGAAAGGCGAGGGTTTCCCAGCAGCTTTACTCCTCTCTGTGAGGGCGGTTAACGTAGGGAGAGCCCAGCCTTCTCCTGTCTTGATCCAGTCTCTTCTGTATTGTAAGGTCTGTCAGGTGCCACAGCCCACCCCAGGCCTCATATCCTGTGTGAGTGAAACCTCAAATCAGCTTAAACCTAAGAGGGAATTCACTTGCTCACACAAGCTGGTAAGTGTGGGGTGGACACAGTTCAGGCTGATAGACCCAGCAGTGTGGGGTATCCAGGATGCTCCCTCCCTTCTCCGCTGGTCTCTTTTTGGTTTCATTTCCTAACTGCAGACGGTGGTGGGAATGTGGCTGTGGCAGATCTAGCATCATCTCTTTCTGAATGAGACAGGAGGGGCCACGGCCTTTCTCTCCAGTGCCACATTGTAAGGTCCCAATGACTTGGGTTCCTTGCTGCCCTGCCTTAGACCAGCCACTGTGGCCAGGGCCATGGGGTATTTGGCCTAGTTTACCAAAATACCTATTTGGCCAGAGGTTTAGAACATGTGACTGGCACTTCTCCAAAAGTGTGCCATCAGCACAGTGAAGGCGAAGCTGTTCCCACTAGAGACAGAACTTATATTCATCCCATCAATGCATTTTTCAACCTACTGACCTTCCTTGAAGTCAGCATGTGTTTATCATGCACACAGGCTAGTGATCAGATAAAGAGCTTGTCTTTATTGAGCAGTGTGGAACCCAACATTGTGCTCAGCACCCAATCCATGCTGCCTTTTGCTGCAGGAAGGTGAAGGAAGCATTGGGGGTGCTTCTGCCCTCAAGACACCTGCAGTCAAGACAGGGTAGAGGAAGAAGTGAGGACCTCTCCATGCCTCCCTCTCCTCTCTGCTCCCTGCCCTCATCGTTTGCTGTCCTTGGGCTCACTCGCTTCTAGGCAATCCTTAGTCCTGCCTCATGGGTCCCATCCATGACACGTGCTGTACACATGATCCAGCAGTCCCATGTCTCTGATGTCTCTGCTGGAGGCTAGTCTCGTTGCCCCTTCCTTCCTGTCTCTGTCTCTGTCTTGGTTGTGCAGCCTTTGCACAAAGCCTTCTTCTGATTGAAGCTCCTGTAATTCTCACTGCTCTTCCACCAGGCCCCTGGCACTGTTGGGCTGTCTGATGATTGCATGTCAAGTGGCTGGGATGATATAAATTCATTTAACTCACTTCATTACTAAGTGGGGTGATTAAAAAGCTGGTGGAGCTCGACATCCATTTGTGGAATTAAATTGCTAAGGTGAGTGGGAATCTGCAAAACACTCCACAGCAAAATCCCCTTGCAAAGTAGAAATCTAGTAAAGCTTCTAATTCAGAATATGATTCTAATTCAGAATAGATCATATCTCAAGGTTAAAATTATTAACCACATTCATTTGTAGACCATCTACTTTACCTATGAATAACAAATGCTTTCAAGGAGTTTTCAAGTGTTACTGACGCAAAAACTCTGTAACTGTGATATAAGCAAAGGTAAGCACTGTATAGCTGGGGCTTTGCTAGCTTTAAAAATCACTCTTATCTGGAAGGCTGGTCTCCCCACCTGAGGCTTAAATATCTCAGAGCCAAGGCCCCAGCCCAGCAGTTCTGAGCATGCTGTTAAGAACACTTGATTGGAGTGTCGTATTAGTTTGTTAGAGCTGCTGTAACAACATATCCCAGATCTGGGGACTTCAACAACAGACATTTACCTTTTTAAGTCTTGGAGGCTGGAGGTCTGAGATCAAGGTGTGCACATGGTTGTTTTTTCCTGAGGCCTCTCTCCTCGGCTTGTAGACAGCCTTCTTCTCCCTGTGTCCTCACATGGCCTTTCCTCTGTGTGTGTCTGTGTCCTAATTGCCTCTTATAAGGACACCAGTCATGTTAGATTAGGCCCCAGCCATACGACTTATTTTATTATTTTTTGTTGTTGTTGTTGGTTTCTTTTTCTTTCTTTTTTTTTTCTTGAGACAGAGCCTCGCTCTGTCACCCAGGCTAGAGTGCAGTGGCATGATCTCAGCTCACTGCAAGCTCTGCCTCCCAGGTTCACGCCATTCTCCTGCCTCAGCCTCCCAAGTAGCTGGGACTACAGGCAACCGCCACTATGTCCGGCTAATTTTTTGTATTTTTAGTAGAGATAGGGTTTCACCGTGTTAGCCAGGATGGTCTCGATCTCCTGACCTCATGATCCGCCTGTGTCGGCCTCCCAAAGTGCTGGTATTACAGGCACGAGCCACCGCACCTGGCCAACACCCAGCTACTTTTTTTTTTTTTTTTTTTGGTAGAGACAGGGTTTCGCCATGTTGGCCGGGCTTGTCTTGAACTCCTAACCTTAGATGATCTACCTGTTTCGGCTTCTCAAAATACTAGGATTACAGGTGTGAGCCACTGCGCCTGTCCCATGACTCATTTTAATTTAATGGGATCTTTAAAGACCCCCCCTCTTTTTTTTTTTTTTGACGGAGTCTCGCACTGTCTCCCGGGCTGGAGTGCAGTGGCGTGATCTCAGCTCACTGCAACCTTCTGCCTCCCTGGTTCAAGCAATCCTCCTGCCTCAGCCTCCCGAGTAGCTGGGACTACAGGCGCCCGCCACCACTCCAGGCTAATTTTTTTTTTATTTTTAGTAGAGACGAGGTTTCACCATGTTAGCCAGGATGGTCTCGATCTCTTGACCTCGTGATCCACCCACCTCAGCCTCCCAAAGTGCCGGGATTACAGGCATGAGCCACCGCACCCGGCCTAAAGACCCCCATCTTCGAATACAGCCACATTCTGAGGTCCTGGCTGTTAGGGCTTCAACATAGGAATTTGTGGGAGCGGTACAATTCAGCCCCCAAGTGTCCGCTAGCAGAGACTCTGCACGCCATGGTTCCCAAGGTGAGACATGCTTTAGTCTCCCAGGAGGGATGTAACGCTCCGTTTCCAGAGCCCATGCCAGACCCACTACAGAGGACACTTGGGGGTTTGCATCATTATTAAGTTTCTGAGGGAATTCTTGGTGCCACTAGGTCACCACCGCCAATGCTTAGGAAACAGTGTCCTAAACACTGCTTGGCTGACCTGGACCCAGTTACCAAAAAGGCTGAGGGCAGTGGGGAATGCATGGAAAAATAAATCTGTAGGAAAAAAATCCCTAAGAGTGAAAAGAATGGGAAGGGACGTTAACAGTTGATGGGGAAATTTCAATTTATTTTTGGAAGCTGGAAAATAGATCATAGGCATTGTTGGAGGAAAAAAGGCGGACAGCTACAGCTCCCAATGCATGTGCAAGGCCTGCAGAGGAGGGGAGGGCTTCCTGGTGTGCCTGATGATCCCCCAGGCTGCGGGGGTGGGGGTGAAAGCAGCGAGGCGTGAAATCTGGGGAGGAGCTGTGGCAGCTGCATCTGCCCCCGCCCGCAGCTCCCCGCACCCAGCCCTGCCCATGGAGCCAGGAGGTTTTGGGGGAAGGGGACTTTGGGAGAAAGGGGAACCTAGAGGGCCCTCTGCTAAGGAAATTGGGAATTGAAAGTCTGGTTAGTGTATTTGAGTCTAATATTTAGTTGCCTGAAGCTAATAGTATTTCAGAGTTATAAATCAAGAAAGGGTGAAACGAGCAGATTATTTGGAGATACGGAGGTAAATCAATATGAGAATAAAGCAAACGGCAGGTGAAGTGCGCCTCTCCCTCTCCCTTTGGCGGGAGCTGGGCTTCAGCAACAGAGCGCCTGAAACTCAGGCCCTTAGAATCAAGTTCATTTCCCTCCACGCAGAGTCCGGGTGCCGCGTCAGGATGGGTAGGCCTCGGCTCTAAAGCCACAGTCGGAGGCCCGGCGTGGCACAGGTGTTGCTGTTACCGGCACGCTCCCAGTTGCCTTCCCCAGCTCCAGGAAGGGGCACAGGGCAGCAGTGAGGACCACCGCCTTGGCCAGACCCAGGCCCGGAGATGCAGCCTCTTTTGCTAGGGGAAGCGAGAATAGACTTCTGGCGAGCACTGGAGGTTCTGCCGCAGTGCAGAGTTGGTAAAAAGGCAAACCTAAACCTAAAGGTGGCTCACGCTTGTAGTCTCAGCACTTTAGGAGGCCAAGGCGGGCGGATCGCAAGGTCAAAAGATTGAGACCATCCTGGCCAACATGGTGAAACCCTGTCTCTACTAA